>NC_000002.12:32917625-42917625 GCF_000001405.40 Homo sapiens
CGAAGGAGTAACAAGAACTTAACAAAACACAATAGATAAATAAAAAAAAAAATTATACCAACATTTATAAAAACCCTATAAAGCAAAATATAAAAGAGAAAATATAAAAAAAATAAGGACCACAAATAAGTACAAATAAGGAAACAATAATCGCCCAAAAAACCAAAAAAAAGTATTTGAATAGAGATAGTAGTCCCAATAAGAGGAAAACAACACAAAAAAATAACAATTATAAAAAACCTAATAAAGAAGAAAAGAAAACAACAGAAAAAATAAGAAAGTATAATAAAAGTGTTCACAAATATGGGAAACACTACAAATAGAGACCAATTAGGAGCGAAATAAATAATAAAGAATATA
This sequence comes from Homo sapiens, assembly GCF_000001405.40. NCBI lineage: Eukaryota > Metazoa > Chordata > Mammalia > Primates > Hominidae > Homo > Homo sapiens. The sequence goes on from NC_000002.12 coordinate 32,917,986, forward strand.
ATAAGAGGAGATTTATAAACCAAATGAAGAAAAAAATGAGGATAAAAAAATAAGAACATAATATAAAATACCACAAAAATTTTAAAAAGAGACATTTATTAAACGGAAAAAAAGTATAATCAATTAAAAAATAAACATAGAAAATTCAAAAAAGAGAGAAAAGACAATAATAGTGAAACAAAGAGAGAAGAACATATATAAGGAGTAAAATTAATCATGAAAAATTAAAACAAGATTAGGATAAAAAAGATTAATATATAAAAAAAGAATTACGAGTTAAGAATTGGAGAAATAACCAAAGGAATTATCCAAAAAAATAAAAATATGTAGAAGTAAGCACCAAGGAAAGGAAAAAGATAAAATAATGAAAAAAATGAAATATTAAAAAAAAATAAAAAAGAGAAATAAAACCTGTAAATCCCTGCTTCCTCCCTTCCTTCCTTCTCTCCCACCCCATTCTCTCTGAACTGAATCTATCATGGAACACCTTTTTAATCTCACTTGTTTCTGAGATTTCCCACTAGCTAAGGCTTTAGTCTTCCTAAAAGCCTTCTCTCTTCTTTTTTTTTTTTTGTTTTGATCTTGGATATGGGTCCCTTATTATTGCTTGTGAACATGTCTTTAAAAAAAAAACAAAACATGAGTTCATGAGAGTTTTCTGAGTGGCCACACTGGCTTATAAGTTTACTTATCCTTTCCCTATTTACAGGATTGTTCATTATTCCATTGCCTTGGAATTTATGTAATGCTCTCTTTCTTTGCTATTATGGACTCCCAAAAGACATGGTCACATTCTCCCAAGGTCTCTATAATTTCCATATAGAAACCAGTTCTTTCTCTTTGGTTAAAATTGCATGCAGAATACCAGTTTCTCCTTTGATCTGAGAGCTGAAATTGTTAGCTAGGAAAGTCTCAAAATTTTTATAGGCTGCTCTACTTTAGCAAAATATGACCTCCAACAGACATAAAGATAGTTCAAGTTCCTATCCCTATGACTGCTTGCTTGTAGTTATGTGGTCTGCTTTCAGGAAGGCTCCTCCATGCCTGGGCACCCAACCTAAGCCCTCGCCCTCGAAGGAATCCTGTTTATGTTTTGCCCGTAATTCCCGGCTGCTTCCGTTCTTACTGAGTAACTTTCTGTACAGAAACGGGCTATCTTTTTGCATCCTCTTTTCACATATAAGGCTGCTTCTTCCTGCCTCTCTCAAAACAATGACTCTTTCTATTGCTGTATTTCAGGTAGGAGTCCCATCACATCTATGTGAGAATGGCTGTGCTTCTTATATTAACATAAGTTAATTTCTTTCTTTGCATCTCATCCTCTGTGACTCAGTGTCAGAGATATTTTCGTGTTTAAGGGATTTTTTTTTTTGATGAGTTTCTCTCAGTTTTAACAAAAACTGACATATGAGTACCATCTACAAGACTCCAGCAGTTTCCCCGGTATCCCATTCTTCTCATGTTTGACTCTCATTCTCCCTCATCCCCTGAGAAGATTTTTCCCTCTAATTTTCTAGTGTTCCATCCCTTTAAAATTCTCTCTTGGCTGGATACGTTGGCTCACGCCTGTAATCCGAGTACTTTGGGAGGCCGAGGCGGGTGGATCACGAGGTCAGGAGTTCAAGACCCGCCTGGCCAGCATGGTGAAACCCTATCTCTACTAAAAATACAAAAAATTAGCAGGGCGTGGTGGCGGGTGCCTGTAATCCCAGCTACTCAGGAGGCTGAGGCAGAGAATTGCTTGAACCCAGGAAGCAGAGTTTGCAGTGAACCGAGATCACGCCACTGCACTCCAGCCTGGGCGACAGAGCGAGACTCCATCTCAAAAAGAAAAAGTCTTCCTTAAATTTTTTTTTTTTTTTCGAGACAGAGTCTCACTCTGTCACCCAGGCTGGAGTACAGCGGTGCGATCTCGGCTCACTGCAACCTCCACCTCCCAGGTTCAAGTGATTCTCCTGCCTCAGCCTCCCAACTAGCTGGGATTACAGGCATGCGCCACCACACCTGGCTAATTTTTGTATTGTTTTTAGTAGAGACAGGGTTTCACCATGTGGGCCAGGCTGGACTCAAACTCCTGACCTCAGGTGAACCACCCGCCCTAGGCCTCCCAGATTGCTGGGATTACAGGCGTGAGCCACCACACCTGGCCCAAATTTTTTCACTGAGCAAATACTCTTGTGTATGGAAAGGCATTTCTCTTGGACTTTGCCTGCTCCTCTGCTAGCTGATCATCACAGTAACTGGTGGTCACCCCAGGAACCGGGGGTGTTACAGATATAGAAGATACCCCGCACAAACCGGCAGGAAAATGATTTCTAAATCTCAATTTAGCTGACCATGTGATTCTGATGAAGAACCATATGAGAAGCATAGATACAGGAACACAACTTGTAGAAGTGGCCCCATGCAGACTGCAAAGCAATGCCCTTTGTGGTACAAAATTAAGTGTCTCCTTTTTCTTTGGATTAGGGGAAGGGGCTGTGAGCAAGGGAGAAGGCGGTTCTTGGAAGCAGGTGGGATTGGAAGAGGGAGAGGGGGCTTTGGGGAGGGGAGAGGTCTGCAGGATTTGGCCTTCCCTTCCCTTCTTTCCATCAGACAAACCATTCTGCCCCTTTAGCTCCCCTGAGACTAGGAGGAAGCCCCTTGCCATTGTTCTCTATCACTGCCTCTTTTCTTCCTGCAGGATTGTGTCCCACCTAAACAATCCCCATTTCCTGCACTGCCTGCCCTGGTGGCTTCTTCCAGGACCTCAGGGAAGCAGGCAGCTTCATCTCCAAGTCTCCCAGGCCTGTGGCCTCACCCCACCACTCCCACCCTCACCTCCTTTGTCACCCCAGGAGTTCTCTCTGGCATTCATGCCTGCCCCACCTTGCCCCAGACACTGTACCTGAGGATGCAGATCTGGGAGGTTGCATGTACTCCTGGGCTGTAGTTTAAGGCTTATTCAAAGGCCTGTTTGTAGGCAGTATGGTATAAGCAGTCGAAACTAGATAAAGGCAGATTTGGGTTCAAATCCAAATTTTGCTACCTTCCAACCAGTTGAGTTATTTAATCATTTTGAATCTCAGGGACCCCATGTATAAAATATGGATAGTAATCCTAGTAATGCACACAGATATTTGCGTGCACACACACACATATTCACACACATATTTCCTGGCATATATGTTCAACTGATGTATCAATGTTTCCCCATCTATGAAATGGATAAAATAAATAAATGACACCTACTTTTTTTTTTTTTTTGAGACAGAGTTTCACTCTTGTTGCTTAGGCTAGAGTGCAGTGGTCTCGGCTCACTGCAACCTCTGCCTCCTGGGTTCAAGCTATTCTCCTGCCTCAGCCTCCTGAGTAGCTGGCATTACAGGCGCCCATCACCATGCCTGGCTAATTTTTGTGTCTTTAGTAGAGACGAGGTTTCACCATGTTGGGCAGGGTGGTCTCAAACTCCTGACCAAGGCAATCCACCTGCCTTGGTCTCCCAAAGTGTTGGGATTATAGGCATGAGCCACGGTGAGCCACGGCGCCTGGCCATTTCTTTTTTTTTTTTTTTTTTTTTTGAGACTGAGTCTTGCTCTTTGCCCAGACTGGAGTGCAGTGACATGATCTTGGCTCAATGTAACCTCTGCCACCAGGCTCAAGCAATTCTCATGCCTCAGCCTCCCAAGAAGCTGGGATTACAGGCATGCACCACCACACCTGGCTAATTTTTATATTTTTAGTAGAGATGAGGTTTCACCACATTGGCCAGGCTTGTCTGGAATTCCTGGCCTCAAGCAATCCGCCTGCCTCGGCCTCCCAAAGTGCTAGGATTACAGGCATGAGCCACTGTTCCTGGCCAAATAGCATCTACTTTTAGTGTTTATTTTGAGGAAAGTTAAAGGAGGAAAATAAGTACAATAAATTGTATCCATAATTAATAGGTATTGTGGAGAGGTGTGTGGGCTACTGGCAAGGGTGATTACTTTAGAGTCAGATTAAGTTTGAGAGCTAGTTCTGCCACTAACTAGCTGTGTGATGGGCAGGATAGTCAACCTTTCTAAGTCTCATTTTCCCAAACTATAAAATAGCAACTGTATTAGTCCGTTTTCATGCTGCTGATAAAGACATACCTGAGACTGGGCAATTTACAAAAAAAAGAGGTTTATTGGACTTACAGTTCCACGTGGCTGGGGAGGCCTCACAATCATGGTGGAAGGTGAAAGGCAGGTCTCACGTGGCGGCAGCAAGAGAGAGAACTTGTGCAGGGGAACGCCTCTTTTTAAAACCATCAGATCTTGTGAGACTTATCCACTATCACAAAAACAGCATGGGAAGGACCTGCCCTTATGATTCAATTACCTCCCACCTGGTCCCTCCCACAACATGTGGGAATTCAAGATGAGATTTGGGTGGGGACATAGCCAAACCATATCAGCAACAATTATAGAACCCACACTCTAGAACTGTCATAATGAAACACGATAATCCACAGACAGCATCCAGTCCTGCACTTGGTGCTCAGTGAGGGCTTCACAAGTTGCTGCTGTTACTGTTACTAGTTGTATTGGTTATTTCATTCTCCCTGCTGCCCTCCCTAGCTCTGGACCAGGAGTCACTTCTGTTGCCTTGTGGGGAAGGAGAGGAGGACAATGAGCAAAAGAATCCAGAAGGCACAAAATCCAGCCCTTTGGAGAGAGGAAAGTGAAAGGCAGGAGCAGCTGAAAGGGACAAATTCAGAGAGGATGTGGGTTTAGTGGGGATAAGCACCTGGCACTTTGTCGCTTTTATTCTTGTCTTATGCCTTTTCCATCATTTTTATGGGCTGGTGTGCAGACATTTGTTGAAAGGACTCTTCCACCTGGATCTCATTGAAATCATGCAGCCTTTCTCTTCACTGAATATTTTTCTATCCCAGTAACTATATAAATGTTCCATTTGTGATGTAATTGTTCTGTTTCAGATTTTCTTTCCTAAACTAAAAACGAGAGTTACCCCAAACATTCGAGACAATGGCTTGAATGTAATGCTTTGAATGATGAACTTTTCATTTCCAATGGTTTACATTTATTTTTTCTATTTAGTGGTCTACCCTCTGGTGCTAGGTGGAGGCTCCAAAGGGCAAGGGTTACATTGAGAGGAGGATGGAGCTGCAGAGACTTACTTTCGATATAAAAATTTCCACTTTTTAGAGAGAAGCATGAGCTAAACAGAGGCAGCTTTTACTTGTTTGGAAATGCAATCAGGGTCCTTATTTTAGTTGCTTAATATTTCTACACCAAACAACCAGCTTCTGCCAAAATCACTTTTACACAGAAAATACTCTGTTGCATTAACGGGCTATGGCAGTGACTTTTTCTTGAAGCTAATGAACTGTCATTCTACTTCTTGGCTCTGCCAAATAACCATGCATGGGAGGAGGAAGGAGGAATCAGGAAAGGGCCAGAGTTTTGCTTAGGCATTTTCAAACATAGAAGATGGACCACATCTTGTTCAATGAGGAGATGAGGCTGACTGTTAAGCTGTTTAGTTGTGGTAGATGAAAGGAGGACGGCTTCAAGTGGGTCAAGCCCCATTTCTCCTATTCACTTATTTATATGGGCTGTAAATCTCGATTTTATTAGCCATAAAATGGGAAGATAATGCCTAGATAGCAGGGCTGGCTGAAGCTTAGCAGAAATTAGATGTGTGCACAAGTGACCCTTCTCTCAAGCCATTTGTGTGAATGTGATAATATGTATGAGGAATTTTCTTTTTTCACTGGAGGAGAAAGGGGAGTTTCTATAATAGGTGTCTTTAAATGTAGGGAGCCAAGAGATGGCAGGAGGAAAATGGAAGGGTGGTATGACAACTGTGTCCCATGCCTTGTCCCTTATCCTGGGCATAAGTTTCCCTGTTCCTGACTCCCCCACCTCTGGCCTAATGAAGTACGGATTGGAGGACAGCATAGCCTTGAAGCCTAGGTAGCCAGGTGGCTCATGCCTGTTATCCCTGTACTTTGGGAGGCTGAGGCAGGCGGATCACTTGAGGTTGGGAGTTCAAGACCAGCCTGACCAACATGGAGAAACCCCGTCTGTACTAAAAATACAAAATTAGCTGGGCACGGTGGCTCACTCCTCTAATCCCTACACTTTGGGAGGCTGAAGCAGGTAGATCATCTGACGTTGGGAGTTCGAGACCAGCCTGGCAAACGTGGAGAAACCCCGTCTCTATTAAAAATACAAAATTAGCCAAGCGTGGTGGTGCTTGCCTATAATCCCAGCTACTCAGGAGGCTGAGGCAGGAGAATCGCTTGAACCCAGGAGGTTGTGGTAAGCCAAGATCGTGCTATTGCACTCCAGCCTGGGCAACAAGAGTGAAACTCCATCTCAAAAAAAAAAAAAAAAAGAAGTCGTCTAGGTGACAGAAGTCTCACCTGAAGATGAGCAGAGCCACTGTTGCTCATTCCACCAAAAATCTGTTGCACCCTAAGGGCTCAGGAGAAACACCAGCAGCAAAGTGCTGCTCTCAAATGGCTTGGAGGCCATGAGTGAGCAACTCTGAGGATCCGGAGAGTAGAGGGGTGTGTGTCCTTATTCATGAGCCAATCTGAGACAGCTTCTAGGACACCTAGAAGGCAATAAAGGAGACTTCAAGTGATGAGGGTGTGGGGGGATCAGGGCTATTGAAGGCTTGTAGGTCTACAGGTGGAGGCTTCATTGTAATGGGAGCTCACAAGTTGGTGAGGCCTGGAGACATGTGAAATAGTTGTCCTAGATAATATTTCAGTGTGAATTTAAAAAGAGAAAGAGAAAGGCCATGTGAAAGCACTTTGCAAATTTTAGTGTTATAGAAAAGTGCAGAATTGGTATTATGAAGAAGACATTCTGGGATCGAGCACAGCCCCTGTTAGGGTGGCTCTGCCAAGGCCAGACTCACGTGAGAGGTATCAGGTAACAGGGATACCGAAATGCTCCCCAAAGGCCAGGTGTGGTGGCTCACGTCTGTAATCCTAGCACTTTGCAAGGCCGAGGCGGGTGGATCACCTGAAGTCGGGAGTTTGAGACCAGCCTGGCCAATATGGCGAAACCCTGTCTCTACTAAAAATACAAAAATTAACCGGGCATGGTGGCGTGCACCTGTAGTCCCAGCTACTTGGGAGACTGAGGCAGAAGAATCATTTGAACCCAGGAGGCGGAGGCTGCGGTGAGTGGAGATTGCACCACTACACTCCAGCCTGGGCGACAGAGTGAGACTCTGTCTCATTGAAAAAAAAAAAAAAGTAAAAGAAAGAAATGCTCCTTGCGGCAATACATGGGAATTTTGTTGAGCACCTGCTGTGTCCTCAGAATTCTTTCATCTGCTTAGGATTCAAATACAATTAATTCTCAGTCTCTGTTCTTCAGCAGCTCACTGTCCAAAGGGAGTCTCTCTCCCCGGTCCACATGCTGAGGCTTGCTCCAGAGTGAATGTGTGCACTGGAAAGAACCCACACAGGCCCCCTGAGAGCTGTCAGCCTTGCCAGGCTTCTGTGAGATCCCTGGGTCCGAGTAGCCAAGCTGGGAGGAGCACCATTTGCCCACTGACTCTTGGGCAACGCTGCAGCCTGCATCCCAGCCGGCAGAAGGCAGGTGGTATCACAGCTGAGTTTACAGCCACGGAAGGAACCACTGTAGGCTTTTAGTAGATAATATGTTTTCTCTGCTTCAAATCCTTATTTTGGTTGCTTAAAATTTCTGCAGAAAACAAACAGCTTCTGCCAAAATTGGCTCACAAAATTAGCTTACTAGTATAATCAGTTGTATAGCAAGTATTTACTGAGTAGCTCTTGGAAGGCAGTCAACACAAGAGGGATGGATCATTCTTCCAGTTCATCACACGTGGGTTGGACATGCTAACAGTCCCCGATAGCTATCAGGCGAGTAAATGGATGATCACACAAAGGCAGAGGCATCGCAGAAGGATGCTAACTAGATGTCATGCGTCAAGGATACTACAGAAGGATCTCTTTGCTGACAAGGAGGGTACCTCTAAGGTTCCTTCAGATGGGATGGTTCTCTGTTCACCGTGATCACTACTATGCAAAGGCCTGTGGGCCATTTAGGAGAAAAGCATTCAGTCCAATTCCACAGACACAGTGAGGATGTAATATGCCCTAGGCATATATGAGTGGATCCAAGGAGGAAATACTCAGTCACTACTGTCAAGAACTCATGACCTGCTGCAGGGTTTGCCAAACTATGGCTTGTGGGCCAATCTGGCTCACCACCTATTTTAGTAAATAATGTTTTACTGGAATCCAGACACGCTTGTTTGATTACATATTGTCTATGGCTGCTGAGCACCCACTATAAGGGCAAAGTTAAGTAGATAGAGACTTTATCACCCACAAAACCTAAAATATTTGACTGGATGGCCCTCTACAGAAAAAGCCTGCGAACCTGTGGTCTTGTGGGAGGACACTGCTGGGCACAGTTAACTCTAATTCTTGGCTGTAGCATCTTGAATAGGGTGGCAGTCCCTGGCTGCTGAGGGGGACAGCTGGACGGCTGCCTCCCAGGGGCATTTCCATGACTTGCAGGCCCAGAAACTAGACTTGGGCATGACCACAGAGTTCTTGATGGACTGAAGATGCCCAAACCACAGACTGACTTGTAGGCTAGAAATGAACATGTGGGGTGGAATAGTCCTTTTGGGGACTAGAATAATTTCTAGAGAGCCACCCTTTCTACATGATACGGCGCACATTCAAGTGTGGCTACTTACACTGAGACTTTCTGATGAGCACGACTAGACAGCAGGGGGCCCCCAGGATAGTTTGTTCAGGTCAAGGTAAGATGAGAGGAGAAACTAGCCCTGTCCCTTGCTGGACACCACCACTCCAGTGCCTGAAATCCAACCTCCCCACCCCCATCAGCATTCCTCCCCTGGAAAAGATTGGAAAATGCAAGAATGTGCTTCTTTGACTCTGGCCTTCCTCTAACAGCCCTGCTTCTGTTAACACAGCCTTTTTGCAGCTTCCTTGACGTCATTGGCTACAGGCTACAGCTGTTGCTAGTCAAAGGCATTGTTCCTTTGAGCTAGCAGGCACTTTGTTCTCTCCCATGACACATTGTTTTATGAGCTCACTCTAGAGGAGAAACATTCTATCCCTGTGCTCAAGTTCTTCAGGAGCACCTCACTGTCTCCCTCTGCCCACCCACCTGCACCTGACAGCTGTGGGCTGTGCTCTCAGGGAGGCACCGTCAGATGCTACCAGACTACAGAGGAGAGCACCCTCAATCCTGACTGAAGGTTTGGGAAAAGGCTGCTCAGAAGAGGTGATACTTGATATGGGCCCTGGAGGAGGAGAAGCAGTTTGAGAAGACAGCAGTGAGAGATGGCATCCGGGCAGGCGAGAAATGTCAGTGGTCATGGAGGCAGCATGAAGGGACTGTTGGCTGCAGAAACCTGGCAAGGCTCTTAGAGACAGAGACGAAGAGGGAGATGGGGCTGGAGATGGAGATGATAGAGACAGAAAGATTGAAGATGGCAGAGTGGGGGCTATGGGGAAGGGTGATGAAGCAGGAAAGATAGATCGAACGAGACTGCGAGGAGCCTGTGTGCCTGGGCTTTATTTTGGAGGCAATGAGAAACAGAAAGTGTTTTTGAGCATGATGGGACAATGAGGAGTTCTGTGGTTTAGGAAACCCAGCAGTCACGGGAAGTGCAGATTCAAAGTAAGAAAACGTCCCAGGGTTTGGTGATGATCTTGGTGGGAAGTGACACAGGGGTAGTGGGGATGGAATTGAAAGAAAGGATGAACTTCCAGAGTATGGCTGTGCTCAGTAGACAGGAATCAGGGAGGGCAGGAGGAGAGTAAAAGGGTCCTCTGAGCTTAAATCCAGATGTTGAGGAGATGGTGGTACTATCAATGGAGGTGGAGCTCTTAAGAGGAAGAAAGATGGGAAAGAAAAGGATGAGGTTTTTGACAAGTTGAATATGGGGTGAGCATGGGTCCAACTGAAAGCAGTGGAAATATAGACGTGAAAAATAGATGCGGTAGAGTTGAAAAGTTGGGGATAATTTTCACCTGAATGTTACCTAAGGCAAAGGGAAGAGAGGTCATCCAGGACAAAAGTACAGAATGAAAAGAAAAAGCAACTAAGCACGAAATCTTGGAGAATGTCCTCATTGAAGGGTGAGCAGATGAAGAGGAGCCCACAAAAGAGACTGAGGAATTGTCTTCATTCACTCATTCATGCATGTATTCATTTGGTCAACAAATATTTTTTGGCACCTCCCATGGACAGGTCCTGAGCACCAAGGGTACAGTCAGAAATGATGAATCCAGAAATGATGCCCTCCAGAACTTCTGGTGAGGAAGGCACTCAGGAAAATGCAGCACCCTATGGAGGCCCAGAAAGGAGGGCATTCAGGAAGAACACAGTCTGATGGTGTCAAGTGCAGCGGAGGCTAAGAGGTAGGGAGGAAAAGATGGTAAAAGGAGAGAACTGGGGAGGCAAGAGGGACAAATGAGGGAGAAGAGAAGGGAGAGGAAATACAACAGAGGCACAGAGTGGGGATTTGTCTGATTCAAGAATCCTAGGCGGGGCGCGGTGGCTCACACCTGTGATCCCAGCACTTTGGGAGGCCAAGGTGGGTGGATCGCCTGAGGTTGGGAGTTTGAGACCAGCCTGGCCAACATGGTGAAACCCTGTCTCTACTAAAATACAAAATTAGCTGGGCATGGTGGGGCGGGTGCCCATAGACCCAGCTACTTGGGAGGCCAAGGCAGGAGAATCGCTTGAACCCAGGAGGCAGAGGTTGCAGTGAGCCAAGATTGCTTCATGGCACTCCAGCCTGGGTGACAGAGTGAGACTCCATCTAAAAAATGAAAGAAAAAAGAATCCTATGTTCTTTCCCCTGGCCTTACCTTAGAAAGCAGAGTGAATGCCGACCTAATCAGGTTTACCTCCATTGCCATAGCAACCTCTGGGACTCACTTTGGTGCACATTCTTGAGACCTGAAGTGAAGAAGTTAACTTTATATCAAGTTACCTACCAATTAGGCTAGCGATTTCTCTGTCTTTTAAAACATTCTTTTAAAGTCTTGTCATGTTTCATCTTTCTAGAATTCATTTTTCACATCTTCATTCACTGGGATTCTGGACCATAATATATGTAAACACACAAAATACTAAAGATTGAAAATACAATTATTCTGTTTTCTGATTATTAAAGTGGTCATTGTTAAAAAAAAAAGACTTGGAAAATACAATATAAAGTAGAAAATACAAATCACTCATTTCCCCACCACTCTTAGTATTCTGTTGTTTTTCTTCCCAATCCTGTTTCTAGACACATTTGATGACATTTAAACATATTTTTATTGTGAATATACAGTTTCATATATGGTTTTGTTTGCTAACTAATTATATCATGGACATTTCCCCATGCCACTAAAATAACTATAAAATCATTTCATTATTCATAAGCTTCACATTTTAGCCCTTCCTCTATTTTAATGCAGCAATTGTCCACCTTTATACATAAATATTTGTTCCTGAATCTTAAAAGTAGTCAAATTCGTTCACACTTCAAAATTATTTTTGTATTTACTTTTTCTTAGAATCTTTGTGTTTAATGTCTCATTCATTTCAAAGAGCAATATTAATACAATTGAAAGTGATCACAGCATCTTTTGTCTCCAAATGCAAGTTATTTTGTAATGTGATCTAATTTTATTTTGTAAACTCCATTATTAAGAAATTTGACCCAAATTTGAGAAATGATAGTTACTCTTGACTCATACCATTCAGCCCTAGGTTTCCATCAATGCTTGTTTGAATTCCATGGGTATAGCACTGGTGGAACTGCTTTTTCAGATTTTTAGATTTGTCAGAGAATATTAATCCTTAACCTAAGTTTTTTTTCCCTGATTTCTCTCTTTACATTTATTTGTTTTCTTAGTTTCATTATGATATATGAAACTAACATATCCTTTGTATGAGGATTCAGTGGTTACATCTGAAAGCAAACAGGAAGTTATTATTTTGCTTGTTAGAAAAATTCACTTCCCTTAATGTAGCTTTTCCCATTATTTTACTCTCAAACATTTGGTGTACTTCTGTTTTACATGTGTTTCTTGTAAGAAGAATATGGTTGGATTTTTAAAAATTAACTATCTTTTAGCTGACAAGCGTAATTCTTTTTTATTTAATTATGATCATTGATATATTTGGATTTATTTTCACCATCTTTTTACACTTTCTATTTGATGAAATTCCTACTCCATTTTTTTCTCCTCCAATATTTTGGAATGTATAGATTCTAATTTTTTAATAGTTAAAGTTATTAATTAGATTCAGCCTCCTTCTAAAACCTAGAGTATTTTAACTCTTTCTCAGCTTATAAGCTAGTATTGTCCAGTATTTTATTTCTATTAAAAAGTCTTGTGAAATGTATCATATATAGAAAAGTTTACAACATGCATGTATGTATATGCATGTTTGCGTGCGCGCACGCACACACACACACACACACACACACACACATACATTCATATATTTACCATTTTAAGAAATAGACTATGACCTCTGCTTTAGAAGCTCATCTCTCCCAACCTCTGACTTTTATAACTTTACAAGTTAGATTTATTAGTGTTGATATTTATTTAGATGTATCCATGTGACTACAAATGTCTTTGATCACGTGGTTATCTTTCTTACAACTTACAGTTCACATCTCCTTTCTGGAGAAGTATATATATCCTTCTTTCCAAGGTATATATATCCTCAAGAAGTTCCTTTACTAAGAATCTGTCCAGAGTAAATTATCTTGGCTTTTGTTCACCTAAATATATTCTATTGCATCCTCATGAAAGATAAGTTTTACTGGGTATCCAACTGTAAATTGAAACATTTTTCCTAGCACTTTGAAGACATCATCTTGTAATCTTTTGGTTTCTGCTCTGTTCATATGAAGTTAGATGTAAAACAGGAAAGCTGTCTTTTTCTCTAGCTGTTTTTAAGCTATTAAATTTGTCTTTAATGTTCTTTCATTTCACCAGGATAAGTCTGGGTGTGAATATTTTTTAGAATTTTTTGTACTTCCTAAATATAAGGAACCATACAAATTATTGAATATTGTTTCCATCTCATTTTCTCTAGTCACTCTTTCTGGAACTTTCATTAGATGAATGTGAACACTTCTTAAACTTTCATGTGTATATCATGATATCCTTTTTCTCTCTCTCAACTATATTCTAAGTCGTTTTGTCTCATCCAACTTTCAATTTATTAATTATACATTTCATTTCTAATTCGTTAGTCAACTCATATGTTGAATTTTAAAATTCAACTATTTTACTTTCAGAAGTTAATCTTTTTTGATGTTTATAAGAGTATTTTGTTCCTTGCTTATGTTTTAAAGTTTTTTTAAATATTGAAAACATATTTATTTATAAGGCATGGTTTTCTGGCACACTCTCGGTTTTTGTAGATATAGTTTTATTAAAACACAGGCAAGCCCATTCATTTGCATACTGCCCATGGCTGCTTTTACAGTAGAATAGCAAGGCTGAATCTTTGTGACAGAGACTGCATGGCTTGCAAAGCCTAAAATGTATACTATCTGGCCTTTTAGAGAAAAGTTTGCTAACCTTGCTCTACGTGATAATTCCAACCCAAAGCCTGAATGTCTGATTCTACTGTTTGATGTTTCTAACCCTGTCTGATGATGTCTTACTACATGGGTGGTCTTGTGATTTTTTTTAAAAATTGTGAGCTCATTTTTGTTGAGGCACTAGCTGTGAGAATTTTATGAGGCTTGAATTGGAGAACATTCCTTCTATTTGTGTTTACCTTTGCCAAGTGTCTCGTCATTTTAAATTTTTTTTTTGGTTTGTTTGTTTAAAATATAGTTTCAGAATAGGTACACAGAGTGAATTTGAACCCAGGCTTGAGGCCTGACTGGTGATTATTTATAATTTCTGGTAGGGGGTAGGAACTTTTATTTTTTCTTCCAACCAAAATCAAGGCTAAGATGCAAAATCTTCTTTGCTATTTCCTTTGCATGGCGAACATTTTCTAATTCACTATTTTATTGGGAATGTGGGCCTTTCGGGACTCATTCCAAAGTCTCCATGCTGACACTGCACTGCTTTGTCGCCTGCCTCTCCTGTCCCCCTTCCCCCGACACGGATGTAAAAACTGAAAGCTCTAATTTACAAAACACTGGCAAATGCCCTCAGGGTCTGATGCCTGCTCCAGTGAATATTTACCATGCTCATTCTGAATTCTGGCTTCCAACTTCATTTTTGGCCTCTGGGGATTAAGATACTTTAATTTCTTGCCAAGTTAGCTACTCATTTTATCCAGCATTTTAAAGGTGCTTTTTGGGGGAGAATTTTCAGGATACAGAGTCTGTCATATTGCTGGAAGTAAACATCAGGAAATTTTTAAATGAAAAAAAACACACGATTCGGAAAATGGAAATAGAAAAGTTTCATAACATTCCAACATGGTTCCAAGTCTACCTAATGTTTATTTATATCCGAGTTATGAGTGTTGTCTCTGGAGTCAGACAACCTCGGTTTGGAATCAGGCTCTGCCGCTTACTACTGCTAGAGGTGAGGGTGGGCAAACTTTTTCTGTGAAGGGCTGGATGGTAAGTACAGTTGTCCCTCAGTACGCATAGGGGATTCATTCCAGGACACCCCATGGATAACAACATCCATGGATGCTCAAGTCGCTGATATAAAATGGCCTAGTATTTGCATATAACCTATGCACATCCTCTCGTATACTTTAAATCATCTCTAGATTACTTATAATACCTAATACAATATAAATGCTATGCAAAGAGTTACTGTGTTGTATTGTTTTTAATTTATATTATTTTTACTGTATTGCTTTTTTATTTTTGTTTTCAAACATTTTTGATCCTTTGTTGGTTGAATCGACAAATGTGGAACCCTCACATATGGAGGGCCGACTGTATTTTGAGCTTTGCAAGCCATATGCAACTACTCAACTCAGCCACTGTATCACGAAAACAGCCATAATTATGTAATGTGTAATGAATGGGCATGGCTGTGTTCCAATAAAACTTTATTTACAAAAGCAGGCACTTAGCTGGATTTGAACTTCAGGCTATAGATTGCACACCCCTGGCCTTGTACAAGTTAATAAATCTCTTTAAGCATCAGTTGTTTCATCTCTAAAATGGAGAAAATAATAACTGTGTCATCCATAGGTTGTTTGAGCATTAGTGAATTTGTCAGAGGCATTTGAACCATAGCAATTCCATCTTAAATAGGGGTAAAATGAGACTGAGACCTGCTGGGCTGCATTCCCAGGAGACTAGGCATTCTTAGTCACAGGATGAGAGAGGAGATCAGCACAAGATACAGGTCACAAAGGCCCTGCTGATAAAACGGGATGTCATAAGAAAGCCCACCAAAACCCACCAAAACCAAGATGGCGATGAAAGTGACCTCTAGTTGTCCTTACTGCTCATTATATGTGAATTATTAATGTATTAGCATACTAAAAGACACTCCCACCAGTACTGTGACAATTTACAAATGCCATGGCAACGTTTGGGAGTTACCCTACGTAGTCTAAAAAGGGGAGGGACTCTTAGTTCCAAGAAATCTCCACCCCTTTTCCCCCGGCAAGCTTATGAATAACCCACCCCTTGTTTAGCATATAGTCGAGAAATAACTGTATTTAGTCAAGCAGCCCATGCCACGTCTCTGCCTATAGGGTAGCCATTCTTCTGTTTATTTCTCGAATAAACTTGCTTTCACTTTACTCTATGGACTTGCCCTGAACTCTTTCTTGCTCGAGGTCCAAGAGCTCTCTCTTCAGGTCTGGATCAGGACTCCTTTCCAGTAACAAATTCATGTAAGTGCTAATGTTAGCTATGATGTCACTGCTGGAAGTGATGATGATGATTTGAAACCAGTTTCTTGATTTTTTAAGATCATAAGGTGTCTCGT
Source organism: Homo sapiens (assembly GCF_000001405.40). Lineage (NCBI taxonomy): Eukaryota > Metazoa > Chordata > Mammalia > Primates > Hominidae > Homo > Homo sapiens. The sequence goes on from NC_000002.12 coordinate 32,933,929, forward strand.
CTTCAAATCATTTAAATACATCCAATGTAGCTTCCTATGCTGCTACTGATGACACACAGTAGAAAGCTAACAATACTGCAGTAACGAACGACCCCCAAATCTCAGTGGCTTTAAAGAACTCAGATTTAAGTTTTGCTCACACTACATTCCATCGCACAGGTTAATGAGGGGTTCTCCTCACTGTCATTCCTCTGGGGCCCAGGCTCATCGAGCAGCCACCATCTTGAAATCACTGGTCACTACAGGGGAAAGGAGCTTTGAAGGGTCTTTAAACAACAATTAAATGCTTGGTCTGCAAGTGAAGTGTTATTTCTGTGTGCAGTTCACAGTCAGAGTTGGTCACATCTTTCTCTCCCACTAGCTTATTGCTTGGGTTTCTGGGCGTGTTGTCACAGACAAGCTTCATCTGTTGGCTCCTCCAAGGAGTGCCTAGAAATTCAGAGCTACTCACCCAGGGCCATATGCTTCCCAGGGCAGCCCACATCCAGGGAATGCTTCCTGTGTGGGTAGAAGCCCAGCCCTTTCAGCCTGATGTGGGACAATTTTGGGATTTGGCTCAGCCTGTTGTTTGGCAACTTGACTTCTCCCTCTGCCCAATCCTGCTTTCCTCTTTTCCTTTCCACAGGGATTGTTCCCAAGGATGTTCATTAATAAGCATCCTGTACACTAAACTCCATCTCAGGGTTCTTCTCCAAAAACCCAGTCGTGACATTCACCATGTGCCCAAGAGAGAGAAGGCTGGACTATCTCCTGAGGAACACCAAGGACTACCTCACTCACTAAAGTGAACACAGTTAGCCCTTATAGATGGGAGAGACTAAGATCACAACCATGATAATAGCTAATATTTATTAAGCACTTACCTGCCGCATGCTGCACTAAAATACGTTACTTGGATTTGCTCATTTAATCTTCACAGTGCCCTATGTATTAAAACAGGGGATTAGACTAGGGAATGAGAAGCTACGGCCTGCAGACCAAATCTGCCCACGCCTATGCCTTATGCATTGTCTATGGCTACTTTCATGCTGTAACTGCATAGCTGAGTTGTTGTGACAGACACTGCATGACCCACAAAGTTGAAAATATTTACTATCTAGTCCTTTTCAGAAAAGGCTTGCCGAATCCTGTTTTAGGTATTATTTCCATTTTACAGGTAACAAAATTTAAGCTTGCAGAAGTGTGTGGTTTATTAAATCACAGAATGTCAATTTTTAGTCATATAGATCAAAGATAAAATTCTAAGTCCCCCAACCAACTGAATGGACCCCTTCTCCCAGCCAAGGACATTCCAAAGTTAATCTGAAAAACTAGTTCAGGCCATGATGGGAAAGGGGCAGTCAGATACACCTCATTATACCGTCCTTCCTTAGGAATTCAGGCACAACTGACCAGCATCAACATTAAAACAGGCCAGGCACGGTGGCTCACACCTGTAATCCCAGCACTTTGGGAGGCCGAGGCGGTTGGATTGCCTGAGATCAGGAGTTCGAGACCAGCGTGACCAACATGGCAAAACCCCATCTCTACTAGAAATTCAAAATTAGCCAGTCATGGTGGTTCACGCCTATAATCCCAGCTACTCGGGAGGCCTGAGGCAAGAGAATCGCTTGAAACTGGGAGGTGGAGGTTGCAGTGAGCCAAGATTGAGCCATTGCATTCCAGCCTGGGCAACAAGAGTGAAACTCTGTCTCAAAAGCAAACAAACCAACAAACATTAAAACAGAGACTTAAGACTGACAAAACTGACTCTTTGCAGTAATAAGATACCAACGTGACAGATAGCAGACCCTGAAAGCAACTGAAGTATATTTTTTTTACATATTCTGAAATGGCCCTGCAAAGCCGTCTCTTGTGGGGAAAATCTACATTCTGTAGAGAATCCCCTTCCCTTTCCAGGTCTTTTCCTTGATCCAGGAGATAATTACCTGAGTCTGGCATCTTTTTAAGTCTAATAAGAAACATTTACAATCTATTTTCTCTGAAGCCTGCTACCTGGAGGCTTCATCTGTATCAGAAAATCTTTGAATCTACCTATGACCTGAAAACCCCCTGCCCCACCCCACTTTGTGTTGTCCCACCTTTCCAGACTGAACCCATCTACACCTTACCTGTATTGATTGATGTCTTATGTCTCCCTAAAATGTATAAAACCAGGCTGCATCCCCACTACCTTTGGCACATGTTCTCAGGGCCACTGGGGCTGTGTCATGGGTCATGGTCCTAATATTTGGCTCAGAATAAATCTCTTTAAATATTTTATAATTTGACTCTTTTTGTCAACAGTCATGAAGACAAACATTTAAACAGCAGCCCCCTTCTGTGATGGCAGGTGCAGACTCCCCCCTACCCCCCATGCCACTGATGGGCCTTTGTAAGTGCTCAGTGAATGATAATGAATGATTTTCTTCCCTTCTCTTCTTCCCACCATCCTTCTTTGTAAAATCGAGGCCTCCTCCTCCATCTTTGCTCTAAATCCCCTCCCAGACAAGTTCTATTTTCTAGAGACAAGCGTATCTGAAATTGCAACCCTGTGGCTTCTCTCCACCAAGTGAAAAACACAAGAGACACATCAGTTTTTGGTACCTTTGGCTATAAAACCTCTGGAGGAAGTTCTGTTTTTCTGAAAATGGCTTTCTTTTACTGGAAGAGTTAGGGTGGTAAATCTGTAGAGCCTGAGCTGGCTACCAGGAAACACTTCATGATGGCTGAGAAATTATTCCGCATGCTGAACCTTAAAGGGATAACATAAAATGGCAGTCTTGACAGACCCCTTAGAATCTAACGCTGAGATTATCTGTTTCCAACTGCTTCCAGCTGAGAAGTGGCTCTCAGGGCAGCAATGAGTACTCAAAAGCATTCCCTCATAGAAGTGATTGTTCAAGGGGGATTCAAGAGTTTAATTCCTTAATGCCCATCCGGCTGTTTCCTAGATTCTTCCAGAACATGGGCCTTATGCCCCTAAATTCACTCCCATACCTAGAAGCAGAACTGGGAACTGAGCCCAGGTTGTTTGATACCAAAATTTGTGCCCTTAACCATGCATTTCACTCCCTTCTGGTACACAAATATCCAGGATCATGTATTTACTTTTTACAGATACTGTTATATGTGCTCATGTAAATTGTCTGGCAATTAGCTGCAAGAGGATTGTAGGAAGAGATTCTACCTATCCATCTCTTTACACCATGCCTTCTGAAGAGAAGATTTTCGGAGAGAATCCTTGGATTTAGTCAGGAATATTAGATCCCTAAATAAAAATGTCTAAAATCCTTTCCCCATTCTTTGTTGTTGTTTTTGAGATAGGGTCTCACTCTGTCACCCAGGCTGGAGTGGTGGTGGTGTGATTACAGCTCACTGCAGCCTCAACCTCTTAGGCTCAGGTGATCCTCCCATCTTAGCCTCCCAGTACACCCGGCTAACTTTTTGTATTTTTGGTAGAGATGGGGTTTCACCATGTTGCCCAGGCTGGTCTTGAACTCCTGAGCTCAAGCGATCCACCTGCCTTGGCCTCCCAAAATGCTGGGATTACAGACATGAGCCACCGTGCCCAGGCTGTTTTTTATTTGTATAAATTTAAGGGGCAAAACTGCAGTTTTGTTACATGGGTATATCGGGTAGTGGTGGAGTCTGGGCTTTTAGTGTGGCCATCACCTGAATAGTATATGTTATACCCATTAAGTAATTTCTCATCCTCATTCTTGGTTCCTTAAAAAACAACTGGCCCTCAAAAACGTCTAGGGAATGGTGTACAAATGAACGAATGAGTCAATGGATGAAAGAATTAATTAATCAATCTCCAGACCCTTGACAACTTAAGGATCTTGGGCACAGTTTATGCTCATGATAAACAAACAAAAAAAAGATAGTCAGCAGTTTTCTTATTGTGACATAGGCATCAGAAGGTTCACAATCATTCATTTAACAAACACTGAACCTTGACCATGAATTGCACACCGTATTAGGCACGGAGGACGTGACACGCAAGGTCTCTGTCCTCAGCACAGGCAGGACTCCAGAGATGAGGCTGAAGCATGGAACGTAGTGTGGCCACAGGAAGCTTCACCTGGGGCTTTGGCCAGTTGCTCATATGTAAGGAATAGAACATAGGGAGACATACAAAGATAGAAGATACCCTTTCTAGGAAGTGAAATGGGAGTGCAACATCCAGGTCGAGGATTGGGAAGGGTTAAGTGTAAGGTTCTCTGGCAGCTGGAAGATGTAACCCGATCCGTCTCAGCAGTAGCTTTTTAAACCTGGGCTTTAAAACCGGGAAACCTGGAGGAATCACAGACGCTGGGCTGGTTTTACTGGTCTCCCCTCTCTGCTTAGAAAGACAGCTCATGCCTTGTATAGCTAATGTTTCTTTGGTGGTGAGAGGGACTTCTGTATATTGCTCAGTTTATCCATATTGTGATGATTTGTACTAGTTGCAATTCTCAGAGTATGTCCTGATCTCCACAAACGGGAAGTTGAGAGGACAACAAAAGAGAGATGTTTTAAAAGCACTATTTTAATGACATAATTCTGTAAATATTACAGTGTTTAGACACAAATATAACAGGATTCTTTCTACAGAACTTTTTAAACCATTAATTTAGGATTAGGAAACTCCCCTCACTCCCCCTAGGGCCACTGCTTGATTTGGTTAAAGCAACTTAATTCAGGTTAGGGTAAAATTTAAGCAAACTCCATTGCTCAGCAAAATGCTGCCTGAAAACAGCTAAAGACAGGTCAGAATGTCCCTAACCAAACCTCAGGCATTATTAACCAAGACCTGCCTTAATTCTGGTTTATCTCATGATGACCAAGGAGAAAAAAGTCTTCCCCTGCTAGAAGTATTCTATGTCTATCACAAAGCAAGGATTGTGTGTTCAATGGTCATAAGAGAATGGATAATATACATAAGAGTTTAGAAGAGAGAGTAAACTGAAGTTAAGGTCATTTCAAAGGGCTTCATGGATGAAAGGATCTCAAATTCTAATTGAAGGAGAAGGAAGACTTAGTTGAGGAGGTGAGAGAATTTCAGAATGATATGAAGGGAGGCTTGGAAGCAGCAATTTGGGTGTCATATTTCCACAGACTAGTGACTGATCAGGGTCTTTTTTTTTCCTTCCAAAGAGTGAGAAGAAAAATATGAGGTTGGTGCAAAAGTAATTGAGGTTTTGCAAAGTAATGGCGAAAACCGCAATTACTTTTGCACCAACCTAAATAGGTAGATAAATGTAGTTGGAACAGAAGGTTTATTTGAGGATGTAGCCCAAGATTAGGTTGAAAAATTAAGAAGGAGGCAATCTGTGATGGGCCTTAGGTTTTAGAAGAGCAGACGAGGCCAGGAATTGATATGTAGAAGTGGAATAGTATTTTTTCTCCTAGTTTTCTTCTGTTTCTAGATTGCTTTGGTCACTATATAATGTCTTTCTCAGTTTGAAGGCAGACAGAAAGATTATCGGGAAAAAAATTAGGATCAAGTGTTAAACTCAGGCAGCATCATGTTCTAGTGCTATTGGGTGAAACTTCTAATGTAGACAAACGATATAACAATTTTAATAACTCCCTGAAATTTAAGTAAAGAAGCAATTCTAGGCCAGGCGCGGTGGCTCATGCCTGTGATCCCAGCACTTTGGGACGCCGAGGTGGGTGGATCATCTGAGGTCAGGAGTTGGAGACCAGCCTGGCCAACATGGTGAAACCCCGTCTTTCCTAAAAATACAAAAATTAGCCAGTCACGGTGGTGTGTGCCTGTAGTTCCAGCTACTTGGGTGGCTGAGGCAGGAGAATCACTTGAACCCAAGAGGTGGAGGTTGCAGTGAGCCGAGATTCTGCCACTGCACTCCAGGCTGGCAGACAGAGTGAGACTCCGTCTCAATATATATATTATATATTATATATATTATATATAATATAATATATATAATATATAATATATATATAATATATAATATATAATATATATAATATATATAATATATAATATATATTATATATAACATATTATATATATTATATATATTATATAATAATATATTTTATATATAATATATAATATAATATATAATAATATATAAATATATAATAATATATAATATATAATATATAATAATATATATTAATATATAATATATTATATATTAAATATATAAATAAATAAATAAATATATATAATAAAAGAAGCAATTCTAGCAACTCAACAACATGAAAGACACTGAAGTTGAAGCAAAGCAGGAGGTTCCTTTTAAAACTGGATCACAATTTATAGATAGCTGTATCCAAATAGAGAGAACATGATTGCCATCCAGCCCTCAAACAACCTTACAGGTGTCTGGGCACCTTTGAACTGAAATTTAAGCAGGGAAGTTCCAATGACTGAATGGAACGTCAAAGAAGTGTTTGAAACTGAAATACCAAAGTAAAATAAAATTTGGAGGCCTTTTGGTGATCCGAAGGCAAGTATTTCATAGATTTCTCTGTTGAGGTGCATCTCATTTTGGTGTGCGTCCAAGTGTTTTCCAAGATGCAAACTCCTTGAGAGCAGGAACATATTTCCTTTATGCCTCATTGAATGCAGGCCAACCAGTGGCCTGATGAGGTTTGGAGGGTGTGAATGACAAGTGTAAATAAAATTGTGTTGACAGCTATTTAATTATCATGTAGTTTCATGTTTAATGTTCAAAAGTTCTGAATAAATGAGCATAACAAATCTCAGTGAAAGCTAAATTAATTGACACATTTTGGCTAGCTGCAGAGAGCCATTTTGCTGTCTTTAGGAGTCCCCACGGTGTGATACTCATCTTGATTATGTAAGGCAAGTGAGGAGGGGAAAGGAAAACTTTATTTTTTGTGAGTTCCCTTTTTGTTGATTGACACCTCTAAATTTGTAGCAAGGCAGACCATGCCCCTGACCCATTTTCCTCTGATGGGTCTTGTTTCCCACCCTGTAGTTCCTTTTTTTTTTTGAGATAGAGTCTTGCCCTGTCACCCAGGCTGGAGTGCAATGGCATGATCTCGACTCACTACAACCTCCGCCTCCCGGGTTCAAACGATTCTCCTGCCTCAGCCTCCCGAGTAGCTGGGATTACAGGCGCCCACCACCACGCCCGGCTAATTTTTGCAGTTTTAGTAGAGACGGGGTTTCACCATGTTGGCCAGGCTGGTCTCAAACTCCTGACCTTGTGATCCGCCCACCTCGGCCTCCCAAAGTGCTGGGATTATAGGCGTGAGCCACCGTGCCTGGCCTGTAATTCCTTTTTAATACCTGCTTCACATGCGATGATTTGTTCAGGATCTATTTACACCAGGAGGCTGTCTGCTCCCAGTGGACAGGGTCTGTATTGCCATGGCCAGGCACTGAGGGCCAGCACGAGGGCACTTGCTGGTCCAGGGGCAACTTTGGGTTGCAATCTAACAACATATTAATTCTAACTTCTCCATCTAAAATGGAAATCTGTTCTGAATTTGCTGTAAAGTTTCTGTGGAAGCTAGCTGAGGACCCTATAGTTGTTCAACAAATGTTTGTTATATGAAAACAAAAGGGAAGGGAAGGGAAACGCTGGGGTAAACCTCAGTTCTACTTGTTGCTCATTCCTGGGGGTACGTCATCTTTTTCTGCAAAGCAGACCTGTTTCTACCTTGCTCACACAGCTTGGTAGACAGACACTAACATTTTCATCACATGAGCCCACATGAGCCTCTGCTTTAATTCTGCATTTGTAAAGCTTCATGTTTTTTTCTCATGGAAGTAGAGTCATAGGTGGAGGAGGTCACACGTTTCTAAACTCCCTCACCCCTACTTTTTTTTTTTTTTGATATGGAGTCTTGCTCTGTCACCCACGCTGGAGTGCAGTGGCGAGATCTCGACTCACTGCAACCCCTGCCTCCCAGGTTTGAGTGATTCTCCTGCTTCAGCCTCTCAAGTAGCTGGGATGACAGGCGCCCACCACAACATCCGGCCTAATTTTTCTATTTTATTTTATTTTTTTTTTAGTAGAGACAGGGTTTCACCATGTTGGCCAGGCTGGTCTCGAACTCCTGACCTCAAGTGATCCACCCGCCTCCGCCTCCCAAAGTGTTGGGATTATAGGTGTGAGCCACCGCGCCTGGCCCCCCACCCCTACCTTTTGATGAAATGGTTAAAAATACAAAACAGGACTGTGTGAGTGAATAAGCTACCTATTTTTGGGCAGTCATGAGGTGAAGATTCCATTCTTGGCCTGCTGCTTGTGTAGGAGAACACGAGACTTCCTGTCCCTACCACTTTGTGTGAGGTATGGGGCAGCCAGCCACACTGTGCTAGCACCTAATAAGGTTGCAGATTTAATTCTAGCCCAAATCTGGACAAACTGATGTTCAGGTTACAGCTAGCTGATGTTCAGAAAAGGCTGCCAGAATCCTAATGAGCAGCCTGAGGAAATGGAGCCGTAGATTCTGTTTAAAATTCTCTCCTTTCATTTTTTCATTTTCTCCATCTACATCTCTGTCTGCTCCCTTTCTCATTCATTGCTTTCTGCTTCCTTCCCCCTTTCTCCATTCATTCCTCTTCCTTCTTTGCCTCTATCCGTCTTTCTGCTTTTCTTTCTGCCTTTCTGTCTTTCCCTTCTCACCCTCTCTCTCCTGCTTCCTCTCCTCTCACTTTCCTTTCCCTCAGTCTCTCTCTTGCTCTTGCTCTTTCTCTCTCTTCCTTTTATCTACAGCCTATTGGCTTCTCATTTCTTTTCCTTCTCCCCTCCCATTTTCTTTCTAAGAATTTCTTGATGAAACTAAAAGAGGACTAAAAGGAGCTCCATGAAATGCTTGCCTGGAAGAAAACATGGCTGGATGCTCTTCTGATCATAGGCAGCCACTAAATTTGATTTGTAGCTGATCTTAAATGTAGGAAAAGATTTTCAATTACAAAACTCATAAAGTGTAAAGATGAGGGAAACTGGCCATGCTTTGAGTTTGACTAATGGTCTCAAAGCGCTTTAAAATGTTTGGCATTTGCCAGCCTTTCTTTCTTCTCCTAATCCTCAAACTCATGAGTTTTTATGGGAAACATAATCCTCTTTTCTGATTCATTTACACTTAGCTCATCTGAGTATTGTTTTGTAAAAACCATCTGAAGTCCAAGAAGTTTTATGAGATCTTTAAAGGCTTGTTTTTTGAACCAGGAAGTTGTGTACTGCCAACATAAATGGACCTTGAACTCTAGGGGGGTTTGAGTCCAGCATCCATAGCATTAAACTGGGTCTAGAATTGGCAAAGGCCCATCCTCATGGCTGACAGAAACTGGGCTTTCACCTTCAGAATAATAGTGAGTTCAGTGTTTGGGATGAGTGACCATCTCAGATGATAGTACATGGGGTGCATAACAGGTTTTTCAAGGATTATCTTGCTAGTTACGTAAATAGCAAGAGACTTATGTGGAAACCTGTGATTTTGCTGGAGTCTCCCAACTACAGAGTCGGGCTGCTTGCTCATGTGTATATTTCCATATTAATTGTGTGCATACACACATACACTAATGTGTAGACGGATGGGTTAACATTCACACTAGAGATTTATTTTTGTATTTAAAAAATTTTTTTTAGTTTTAGTCTTATTATTTTTTTGAGATGGAGTCTCGCTTTGTTGCCAGGCTGGAGTACAGTGACACAATCTTGGCTCACTGCAACTTCCACCTGCAGGGTTCAAGTGATTCTCCTGCTTTAGCCTCCGGAGTAGCTGGGATTACAGGCATGTGCTACCATGCCCGGCTAATTTTCGTATTTTTAGTAGAGACGAGGTTTCACCATGTTGGCCAGGCTGTTCTCAAACTCCTGACCTCAAGTAAACTGCCTGCCTTGGCCTCCCGAAGTGCTGGGATTACAGGTGTGAGCCACTGCACCTGGCCTATTTTTATTTTTTTCAGAGTTGGGGTTTCACCATGTTGCCCAGGCTGGTCTCAAACTCCTGACCTCAAGTAATCTGCCTGCCTTGGCCTCCCAAAGTGCTGGGATTACAGGTGTGAGCCATGGTGCCCAGCCTCACACTAGAGGTTTTTTTTTTTTTTTGTTTTTTTTTTTGTTTTTTTCCTGTGGTTTTGTTTCAGAGATGATCTGATTGTGATATATCCAAATCTGTCATAAGGCAGGTTGTAATTGGGTTAAAGATTGGTGTGAAATGCCCACCTCGCCATTGCTGTGGGTTGAGAGGAAAACTGCATTCTGCATTTTTTAATGGTTAAAAAACATTTTTCTGCAGAGCCAAAGGGCCTGGTTAAGGTCATTTCTCCCCCAAACACTAGGATCTCAGGCAGAGTCCCAGGCCTTCTGGAAACTGAGGCTCAGAGAGGTGAAATGTCTTGCTCAAGTTTCCACGGGAAGTTGATATGGTTTGGCTGCGTCCCTTCCCAAATCTCGTCTTGGATTGTAATCCACGTGTCGTGGGAGGGAGCCGGTGGGAGGTAATTAAATCACGGGGGCGGTTACCCTCATGCTGTTCTCCTGATAGTGAGCTCTCAGGAGATCAGATGGTTTTTTAAGGGGCTTTCCCCTCTTTTGCTTCGGCACTTCTCCTTGCTGCCGCCATGTGAAGAAGGACGTGTTTGCCTTCCCCTTCTGCCATGATTGTAAGTTTCCTGAGGCCTCCCCAGCCCTGCGGAACTGTGAGTCAATTAAACTTCTTTCCTTTAGAAATTAACCAGTCTCGGGTACGTATTAGCAGCATGAGAACATACTAATACAGAAGTAAAGCAGCAGGTAGAGCCCAGCCCCCTAGAGTCCCCATCCAGGCTGTGCCCTCCACAGGTAGCTGCCACTTATTGCCCAAAAGCAGCTTTAATGCTTGCCATCTGTCCATCTGGGGACTGGGAGTGACCACCACTGAAGACAGGTAGAGGCTGGTCCTGTTGGGGATGCTGTCCTTTACTCTTTCCTGAGCTTTCCTCTGTCTGACATCTCTCCTCTCCTGTCCTGGCTCTGCAGAATGTTGTAGCTATGCTAATCACCCTCCTCCCCACCTCCAACCATTTCATCTGCTGTTACATTATCCCTACCTGAGAGGTAAGAGCTCTGTGAACTGATCTGAGTTGCAGGTAGGAAGTATTTTCCCTACATGTTGGTGAATTTTCCATAAGATGACAAAGAATTGTGGGCTGTACTATGATACAGGCATCATACAAATCAGGTCCTCCCTTGTGAGAGGTCTATCATGATCTCAAAGTGTTGCTTCATTAAGTTGTTATCATTTTTAAGCTTTCATTTACATCTTCTCTCCCTAACAAGACACGAAGTTTCTTAAAGACAAGGGCTTTATGCCTTGTGATCCTTTGTATTTCCACAGCCTCAGTGCCTCCTTCAGAGATGCGGTGGATATTAGCTTCTGTTGTATCCTTCATACAGAACCTGGTGCTGAGAGACAGCTTCTTCTTTTTTTTTTTTTCTTTAAACTTTTCTTAAGACTAGTCAAGTACAGTATCAAGAAGACGGGAAAGAGTAGAACAAGGAATTGGATCCGTAACTGACTGTGAACAATCAATTGAGGTAACTCATTACCTTTGAACCAACCTGGGAGGCAGCCTTGTGACTCACCTCAATCCTCAATCTTCTCAGCTAGTTCACTTTGGCCTGGCTCAGGGGCTGACCTAGAATGATCCTGTCCAGAAGGACCCTGGATGTTCTTAGAGACACAGACTGCTAGGGCTGGCAGGGACTTTTCATCCAATTCCTCTGTGACAGAGGAGGAAGTGGAGGTGCAGAAGGAGAGGTGAGCTGCCTGTGGTCCTTCAGCTTACTAATGGCAGTGTTAGGACTGGACCTGAGGGCTCTTCCCTCCAGTCCGGCGCTATTTATTCCATGACAGTGCCTCTCAAACTGTGTTCTCACAAGCAGCTAGTGCTCAGGCAGCTGGACTGAGGCCCTGCCTGCCAAATCAAATATTGGAGGTCTTTCTCCAATGTGCAGAAAAAAAAAGTAATTAATGGGTTAAGTTTCCTTAGGGTTAAATTATTTTTCCATTAATGCTTCTTAAACCATTGTCACCTGCTACCAATTGTCTACTAGCCAATGCATGCAGGCAACAAAACAAAAGGATAAGCCACAAGTAAATAAGAACAAGAACAACCAAAGCCTTGGAAACACACCATCATTCTTAAGTTAAAGGCTTAAAAAAAAAATAGAGGAAGACTGCTATGACTGTGGACTTTCTATTGCATTCACATAATAAAATCATGCGACATTGTTTTGAATTCAAATGCTAAAAGTAAATATGTCATTATTTCATGGTTTTCCCCAAAGAGCACTATGACCCCCCAGACTCTATCCCTGGTACATTCTGCCATCTCTCTTAATGGGTCAGGTCATCTCCAAGTTGGGTGACCCGGTCGGATTACGGTCCCGTGAACTGATTCGCCTTTATTAAAAACAATAATGGCTTAGGGTTTTCAGGGATCCTGAACTCTAGTCCTACCCTAAAGGCCCAGGGACAGGGCTGTCTCTGCGGTTGTCCCTGGGCGGTTCTCCCCGTCCCACGCGGGCGCCCTCTGCTGCCCGCCCTGCACTCCCATCCCTGCCAAGCGAGAAGTAGGGTACCAGAGGCTGCACACCGAGAAGCAGCCACGGGGACTTTACAGCCCCACAGGGAGCCACCTAAACGGTTTCCGATGGAGACCTCAGCGCGCCCCGACAGCCCTTTCTGGGGCCCGATTTGGTATCTGAATTCAACCCCGCAGCAAGTATCACAGCAAACACGGATAAGAAAATGCCGGGGCTTCCAAACAATATCAAACGCATGGGGCTTCTGAAAGGACAGGATCGTTCAGTAACTTTGCTGAGCGCTTTGTCCTCTCCCGGGACACGGGACCGGGGCGTGGGGACCTCCGCCTCGGCGACCCACGGGGGCAACCCCAGTGGATGTGGAGGGTGGCGGCGCGCCTTCGGGCTCCTCGCACGCCTTCCCCAATTAGGATCTGCCGCCTGACGTCACGTCTGCCGGAGATTGGCTGCTCAGGTCTGACACTCGGGGCCACGGGAGAGAAACTTTTAAAAGACTTCGCCGCCGGGGCTGCCTCGGAGTGTCCCGCGCGCTCTCGCTCGCTCTCGGCCACCCTCGCCGGGCCCCGCTGCGGCGCGCGCTGCAACCCCCGGCCGGACGCGCGGACCCTCACCTTGCGCGGCCCGCTCCCCTCGCCCCTCCCCGCTCCCCGGGCTCCGCGCTCCCCACCCCCACGCCCTCCTCCTGCTCCCAGCCACAATCGGCCGGGGTCTGGGGCCGCTCAGCTGCCCGCAGAGCCTCCTCCCTCGCCACCGACTTGGTCTCCTCCCGCCTTTCCCGGGCTCTCGGCAGCTCTCGGGGGAGCCCGAACGCGCGGGGAAAGGCGAGCCGCACGGCCGGGGGAGGGGGCCGGACCGCGCGCGACCGGTCGCGCCCGCTGGGGCCCGCGATGGCGGGGGCCTGGCTCAGGTGGGGGCTCCTGCTCTGGGCAGGGCTCCTCGCGTCCTCGGCGCACGGCCGGCTGCGGAGGATCACCTACGTGGTGCACCCGGGCCCCGGCCTGGCAGCCGGCGCCTTGCCCCTGAGCGGGCCCCCGCGTTCGCGGACATTCAACGTCGCGCTCAACGCCAGGTACAGCCGCAGCTCGGCGGCTGCCGGCGCCCCCAGCCGTGCCTCCCCCGGGGTCCCCTCGGAGAGGACCCGGCGCACGAGCAAGCCGGGCGGCGCGGCCCTGCAGGGGCTCAGACCGCCGCCGCCGCCGCCGCCGGAGCCTGCGCGTCCCGCGGTCCCCGGCGGGCAGCTCCACCCCAATCCCGGCGGCCACCCGGCAGCCGCCCCGTTCACCAAACAAGGCAGGCAAGTTGTGCGCTCCAAGGTGCCGCAGGAGACCCAGAGCGGCGGAGGCTCTAGGCTGCAGGTTCACCAGAAGCAGCAGCTGCAGGGGTAAGCCCACACCCCCTTCCGCCCGCCCGCCCGCCTCGCGCGCACCGCCCGCGGAGGGACCTGCGGGGTCAGGGCCACTCGGAGCCCCGCGGTGGCCAGGGCGGTCGCGCGCGGTGGGTCGGCTTTCTCCTCCCGCCTCCGCCTGCTCTGGGCGCCGCGGGAAGAGGGGAGTGCGGGGAAGCCCAGGAACTTTTACTGACGTGAAACTCCGAGTGCATTGTTACCGAGCTGCGGGTAAACACAAAAGGCATTTCTGCCTGGGGCGTAACCTTCTGCGCGCAAACCCAACTGCTTCTAGAAGATGGGCGTAAACTTGAGGTCACTACAGTTTAATCCCTCAGCATCAATTAAACTCTGCAACTGAGTTTTAATTTTGGTCTAGCTAATGAAAAAAATGTTTCGAGGGCGGGCTAGCCGTAAAGATCCAGCTCCTGTTCTGTGGCCTGGAACTTTGCAGCATCAGAGAAATCATGGGCTTGGACTTCGCTGCACCTGTGGGGTCTGCTTTCCTGGGGTGGGGTGTCTTGGTATTGATAAAAGTTTTGGTTGGAATGTTTCTGTTACTGGGCGCTCATAGTGCCTTCCCGTTGTGGGAATTCATCTCAGGTTGGGGTGTAGGGGAAAACTTGTTTTGCTTAGTTGGCATGTTTTTTTCAGGGGTGATTCCAGGCCATGTGCCCTCACTCCTTTTTGGACAGTTCTCTCTGAAACTCATTTCCAATTTAAAATGTTGGCCCAGATAATAGAAAAAATAAATTTGGCTCTACTGTAATTTGGGGGTAAGAAAACCATTTGTTGGGCCCTGTTCTCCCTTCCTGTATAGCCCTAGGTTTATGCAGGCTTTTTGGTTCTCCCAGCATTCCCTGATATATGTATGGGCCTTGCCCCTCTGCTTGGGCAGCTTTGGGTTGGGCATCCAGGGTACCTGTTAGGACTCTCTCTCATCCAGAGGGTTGCAGAAGCTGGAGGCTGGCCTTTCTGGAACATGCTGGAAGCTTGGGTTCTTGGGAAGGGGGTCTTTCTGCTGCTGGACTCAGCGATCTTGCTTTGTTTCAGGGTCAATGTCTGTGGAGGGCGGTGCTGTCATGGCTGGAGTAAGGCCCCTGGCTCCCAGAGGTGCACCAAACGTAAGTTGCCATGTTCACAGTGGCCCTGCACAGTAGGCAAAGTGGGGGGAGGTGTCCACATGGGGGCATCTCACAAGGGCCACTTGAAAGGGCTCGGGGGAAGTTGAAGTCTGAAATACAATCCACCCAGGCTTCATTACCACCTAGGAAGGGCTGGGTCAGGGTAATGTTAGTATCAATGCCAGCAGCAATACATTGTACAGAACCGTGCTGTGCATCCAAGACTTCTCTGAACTCAACAGAGATATTCATCATTCTGGCACATCTGTGAATCAGGAGCTAGGAAAAAAATTTCCATTTGAGGATATGCCATATGGCAGAACCAATGTAATTAATTTGAACATGATACCAACAAATGAAAGACATTCTTTACGGTGATGGCAGGAGGGGCTTGGGGAGTAGAGGGCCCTGTTCTGGAGTACAACATCAAAGTTTTTATAGCTTCCTGAAAACAGCAACCAGAATCCTTCATCCTTGAGGCCTGATGGTTTTCTAGAATGCACTTCTCTGCTGCTCTTCAGAACTGATGGATGGGGTTCTCTGCAGTGCTTCTGCAGTTCACATGCATGCCCAGCAGTGTTTTTTAAAAAATGTGTTAATGATGCATACAGATTTCAGAACACTGGAAAATTTTTCTCCTATGCATTGTGAAATTAAAGATCAGATTAAAATGTATTTTGAGGTTCTTCTTGACGAATTGATGCTATCGGGTGCTCATTGGACATAAAGGAGCCTTACCTTCCCCCTCAGAAAAAGTGAAGCATTCTTAGTTGTTCTTTGCATAGAGATTGAGGCATTCCCATGTGGATTGGAATTGTCCAAAATTTCTGCTGCTTGGATTTTAAAATACAGGTGGATGAATTTTAAAAATTTTGGATACAGTCAATCTGGTGACCTTGTTTGTTGAAAATGTCTTCAATCCTGAAGGAAACAGAAGGGTTTTGGCATAATGGCCTTACTTTTGTAAAAAGGGAAATGTCCACAGGTTTTATGATGTGTTATGATCAAGCAGTAATTGCAGACATGAACAGTCTTCTGACTATTGAACTCAAACCACTAGATCAGAAATGCTCAGGGTTCTAGGCATTTTAGATTAAGTCATAATTTTTCATTTTGTAACTTCTTAAATTATACTTGTCAGAAATGTGTTAGCATTTGTTTAGAATTTAGCATTGCTCAGGCCAAATGACATGTCCCCTCTCCCCTCAGTAACTCATTCTGTCCAAAACCTGCTATGATATGGTTTGCCTGTAACATGGAGATAACTCGTCTGTTAACAGCACCACTGCAATGGGATATTGCTGAGTAAAGGTTAAAAATACGGAATAGGGCCTGGTGCGGTGACTCATGCCTGTAATCCCAGCACTTTGGGAGGCCAAGGTGGGTGGATCACTTGAGGCCAGGAGTTCGAGACCAGCCTGGGCAGCATGGCAAAACCCCATCTCTACTAAAAATACAAAAAAATTAGCCAGGTGTGGTGTTGTGTGCCTGTAATCCCAGCTACTGGGGAGGCTAAGGCAGGAGAATTGCTTGAACCCAGGAGGTGAAGGTTGCAGTGAGCCGAGATCGCTCCACTGCACTCCAGCCTGGGTGACAATGACTCTGTCTCAAAAAAAAAAAAAAAAAAAAATTACCCAGACATGGTGGTGCATGCCTGTAATTGTAATCCTGGCTACTCAGGAGTCTGAGTCAAGAGAATTGCCTGTACCTGGGTAGGGGAGATTGCAGTGAGCAGAGATTGTGCTGGGCGATGCAGAGAGACTCCATCTCAAGAAAAGAAAAGAATTCAGAGCAGGATTTTACAGATAGGCAGAAGCTCCTTGATGCCTGTTGGAGAGAATGCTCAAAGGCTTTAATAAGTTTGCTTGGCAAATGATGCAATTGAGTGCTGTCTCTGAAAAGAGGATAGGCCCCCATTTTCAGGTTGCTTGGGGAATTCGGGGATCCAAAGATGTTCTAGAAGATCCCAAGATGTTCCAAATCTTGGGGAATCTCTTCATGGCTTCCTGCTTCTGCAGGCAAGAGAGGCAAAGAAGTGGGTGCCTAGGTTTAGCTGGGTTTGCCCCCTGGTAATCCAGAGAGAGATCACAGAAGACTGCTGGTCAGAAAAATCAGTGTTGAAGTTACTTACAGGGCTCTAGAGGAAGTTGCTATGTTGGTTTAATCTTACGGTACCTACAACCAATGCTTCCAGCATTTGGCTTAAGTTTTCCTGCTGGCTTCTAAGAGGTAGCCCTTGGACAGTACCAGCATCTAAGCAATGTGACATCACTTTCCTTTTCTGTGGTTTTCAGCATTCAGAAGATTAACCTTCCTGTACTTCCCAGTTTAACAAATGAATTTAGGTACAAATGCTAGAAACTTAATTCACAGCTCTCTTCAGAAATAATTATGTTTTTAAAAGGCATGCTGGGGTAGGTCAGCGTGCGATCCAAAATAATGTATCTCTGAGGTGGATATTTAAAAGAGGGGACTTACTTTGCATGTGTCTGGGAGATCCAGGGAGCTGAGAGAGCCTTCTACCTTCAGATGGGACCACTGGGGCTCCTGCTGATGCTATAAACCTTGTGTCCATGGCTGAGTAGTGTGATGCCAGGAAAGACCCCCGGCTTTGGGGTCAGAAGACCTAAATTCAAATGCTGCAGCCCTCACTAGCTGTGTGGCCTCAGGGAGTTCACTTGACCTGTCTGGCCTGTATTTTCCCACTCAGAAATGACTGTGCTAAAATCTTGCCTTCTTTATAGGATGGTTGCAGGTATTAAGATGAAAAAAAATGGGTATGAAAGCCTTGGTGAAACCAGAAAGATTAATATTAGAGATTAGTATTGGATCAAGCCAAGTAAATTCTATCTCCTTTGTCGATGATTTGGTTTTCTTCTGTTTGTGGTTTCCTCCTCTCACTTCCTTATTATGCGGAGATTGAACAATTACACTTGGGTATGGTTTATTACACATAAGAATACAAAAACCAATGATACGCCCACATGAAGTTCCCCCTTATAATAGTCATCATAAAATATGCATGGACATTTAAATGTATAACCCAGGATGTCTTCTAATTGTCATTACATGTTGAAGATAATGAAGAATTTGAGTTTATATAGGTCATGTGCAATTGATGCGAAAAAAATTTCTGTGTAAGAGGTTGGAAGTGTTCATGTTGTTCAGTATTTGCCTAATCCAGTGAAGAAAATAAGGTATCCCTTTGAGAAAGCCTGGATTGTTTTTAGTTGATTGAAACCTAATTTAAATGGACCATGATCAAATGCTTCTGAAGACTAAAGATTTAGTGAACCTTAAATTGCAAATCAGAGAGATGTGAACAAGCAAGCGGCAGACTCACACAAGGGCAAAGAATGGATATGTGCACTCACCAAAGTGGTCCTCTAGGCTGTAGCTGCCCAGTCACAATGTAGAGATGCCTGGTTGCATGTTAATGTTCCTTTTCCAGACACCATTTGTATGTGGATCCCTAGGAATCGAAATTATCGTGTGGGATGTGTCATTTTAGTTAATATTGGATGACTCTTGATAGCCTTACCTGTTTTGGACAAAAGAGATGGAGAGATGGACCACATTTGTGCTCTTTCCAAGGAATTAACACTTAAAGGAATGTTTTGTGGGTTAGGGACTTTGTCTTCCAAGTGGGGCATTAAACCCCTGATGTGTAACATTTTTGCCTCCTATCATTTTTGTAGTTTTTTTTTTCTGCGCCCAAACTGAACCTCCCCCCATGCCCTGCATTGGTTCTGCCAGTCTTTTTGCCCCCGTCTCAGGGTAAGTGCAGGCCAGACAGAGACATTGCCGGTAGGCTCAGCTTTAATGAGAAGACTGGACACGGGAATAGGCAATACAAAAGAATGAAAGAGAGGAGAGTGAGGCTGGGCTGGCAGGGTTATGGGGTAGAGGGAAGAGAGATGATGGCAGATACGAATCCAAAGCGGGTGCCTGGCACATTGCAGGCCTTCCATACACGCATGGATGGTTCTTTCATTTACTGTTTAGCTTTTACCATGTGCCAGGTTCTATGAATAGAGGAGAAACACAGCCAGCTGTAGGGAGTGCAGGTCTGTTTTTACTCACTTAACTCGTGGCACATCAAATGACTTGTTCTCTCCTTAGAAAGAAACAGAAAATCGATATTCCATTGCTTTTCCATTGGCATTCAGCCCATGCTACTTTTGGGGAAAAAACCCAACTCTAGACATTTTCCTTAAATTATATGCAAAGGAGACAGAGTCACATGCACCCTTGGTGCTCAGAGATGCAGTGGTGGATGGCATCATCCAGGAGGGTGTGATGTGGCTGGAGTTCAGGTGACCTAGAGAACGGTCTCAGGCTGTCCCCCATCCCTCTTGGCTTGGCATCGTGCTTGCCAAACTTGGGAGTCGAGCCCAGAGTGATTATATATTTTTTTGTATGCCTGCTATGGCCATTGGCAGCTGCTTTGCCAATAGATCTGCAGTGAGGTTTACCATGACAACTGCTAGGAGGGCCACCCCGGCCCCCATGTGGGAGGGTCAGCTGGAGAATCTTGTCATGTGACACAGACAACCTCGGTGAAGAGAGAGGAACCCAGAGGTCAAGTTCACACTAGGTCAAATATGTGTTCTCGAGACTAGTTAAAATCCACATTTAGGAACCATAACACTGTAATAGTGCTTAAACCTTCATGATGAAGCCCTCCTCCGGCCCATGGGCCTGCTGAGGATGCCGCCCGCCCCCTGCCTGCTCTGCTTTATCGAAGTTTTTGCTGCCCAGTGAACCCTGGGCCCTTAGGAAGCCTGACTTGTTGAAAAGACCTTTGACAACCACAGGGTTTTGCTGTTTCTGACCCTGTTATTTGTTGTCTTGGATATTTCAGACGTACTCAAACATGTTCGAGAGCTCAAATTAAATTTTCCTAAAGTGCAGATTTTGCTTCCCAGTCCTTCCTAGCAATGAACAGAGGCGACTTGGAGTGTGAGGGCTATGTCACCACCCTTTTAATACGGACCAAAATCAGGTCCAGCAGAGAGGAGCTGCCGATGGGGTGGGGGTAACTTGTGTGGTGCTGTGGAGCTTACAGAGAGCATTTTCTTGATCTTCACACCCTGTAGTGTCATTGAGGCAGGGATGCTTTATTAACCCTATTCCAGACAGTGGGGCAGTGCTCAGATGCCACTGCAGATCTTGTGGCTCTTCCTACTGCCCTGGGCTTCCTGGACATCCAGTGCTGTGACATTCTTTCTTGAGGTCTTGGTCTGAAAACTGTCCTGACAGTCCTCAGTTATCTGGATTGGCTTCCACTGCCTAACTTCACATCATGATTTTCCAAGCTATGTGAGTTTTCTCGGGCTTCTGTAACAAGTTCCACAAGCTGGGTGACTTAGAACGATAGAAATGTATTGTCTCACAGTTCTGCAGTCCAGAAGTCCAATGTCAAGGTGTTGATAGCGTTACTTCCTTCTGAAGGCAGTTCTAGGCCTCTCTCCTTGGCCTGTAGATGGCCGTCTCTTCCCTGTGTCTTTATACATTGTCTTGTGTGTGTGTCTGTCTCTGTGTCCAAATTTCCCCTTTTTATAAGGACATCAGTCATACTGTATTAGGGCCTCCACTCCCCGCCCCCCCCCACCAATGATCCCATTTTACCTTGATTACCTCTGTAAAGAACCTATCTCCAACAGTGGTCACATTCTGAGGTACTTGGGGTTAGGACTTCAACACTTTGTTTTTTTTTTTCTAGGGGGAGTACAATTCAATTCATGATGTAAGCCTGCAGATGCCTTGCACATAGGTTGGAGAGATGGGCTATTCAGAGTTGGCTCATTCCTGGGGCACTTGGGAACCCTAGCAGCTGACCCAAGGATGGGTGGGCGGGGCTTTGACTGGGCCCCTGCCACACAATCTGTGACTGTGGATCTAATTTGGTTACTTTTCTACTGCAGCAGCTCTGGCTGCTCCAGGGGGTGTTAGGAGAGATGAGGAATTGGCCACAGGTAATTTTGGTGATGCCTCTGGCCATTTTTACTGGGGCTCTTTTAAAGAGATTCTAGGTTGGTGTTTCTTACACATGAATGTCCAGCGGGACCACTGGAAGGGTTTGTTAAAATGTTGAAAGTTGTTAAATTCAACAAATTGAATCAAAATCTTTGGGGTTTTTAACAAGCATCCCAAATCATGCTGATGGAGGTGGCCCACAGTTTGAGAAACTGATCTGGAAGGAACTCAGTCCTGGGCAATATTTATGACCCTTTATGTGGGAATTTAAAGGCCAACCTCAACGCTTAGCAATTTAGAGAAACCTCTCAAGCAAGGCAGGAACCCTCTAAACATTGGGATAGCTCGGATTTGAAGAATGTATATACAGTCAAAGATTGCTGCACATGCAGTTTTTACATCCAGTTTTTCTTTAGTTAGTTGAATGTTTGAAGTATATATGTGTATTTTTGGGAGAGCTGGAAATTTGCAAAATTGTTGCTGCATCAGTGATTATGTAGAGTGCCTTTTAAAAAAGATTTAAACACTTTGGAACAGTTGGGTGTTTTCTTCCACTAATTTTTTTTAATTACAAAATTTTTAAAGTTATATACATGTATATTTTTGCGAGAGCTGGAAATTTGCAAAATTGTTGCTGCATCAGTGATTACATAGAGTGCCTTTTAAAAAAGATTTTTTGGAACATTTGGGTGTTTTTTTCCACAAATTTTTTTTAATTACAAAATTTTTAAAGTACACACAAACATAGAAGCTGCCCATCAGGGTCATGTTTTTAAAAGCTCCCTGATGTGGTAGTTAAGTACAATGATTTATACATAAAGGAGAAACTATGGTCTTATCTTTCTGTAAATGCGTGTTTTACTAATGGTTTCCTGCTTTCTTAGTGGAGAGAAAATATTACATAATTTGTTGGTGTGACACAAATTGGTTGTTTTCGTACTTATGGAAAAATACATCAGGGTTGTATTTGCAAGCATACCTCAGATATGGAGGGTTCAGTTCCAGCAAATATCTCAATAAAGTGAGTCACAAATTTTTTGGTTTCCCAGTACATGTAAAACTCATGTTTATATACTATATTGTAGACTATTAAGTGTACAATAATAGCATTATGTCTAAAAAGGCAAGTGTATACCTTAATTAAAAATATTTTGTTACTAAAAAATGGAATGATCAAGTCAGCCTTGAGTGAGTCATTATCTTTTTGCTAGTGGAAGGTCTTGCCTTGATATGGCTGGTTGCTGAAAGTTGGGGTGGCTGTGACACTTTCTTTAAAATAAGAAAATGATGAAGTTTGCTGCACTAATTGACTCTTCCTTTCGTGAAAGCTTTCTCTGTAGCATACAGTGCTGTTTGATAGCATTTGACCTACTGTATAACTTCTTTCAAAACTGGAGTCGGTCTTCTCAAACGCTACTGCTGCCTTATCATCTATGTTTATATAAAATTATAAATTCTTTGTTGTCATTTCAACAATGCTCACAGCATCTTCGCCAGGAGTAGATTCCATCTCAAGAAACCACCTTCTTTGCTCATTCATAAGAAGCAGCTCCTCATCTCTTCAAGTTCGAACATGAGATTGCAGCAATTCAGTCCCATCTTCAGGCTCCACTTTTAATTCTCTTGCTATTTCCACTACCTCTGCAGTGACTTCCTCCACTGAAGTCTTGAACTCCTCCAAGTCATCCATGAGGGCTGGAATCAGCTTCTTCCAAACTCCTGTTAATGTGGATACTTTAATCTCCTCCCGTAAATCATGAATGTTCTTAATGGCATCTAGAATGGTGAATCCTTTCCAGAAGGTTTTCGATTTACTTTGCCCAAATCCATCAGAGGAATCACTATCTATGACAGCTATAGCCTTATGAAATGTATTTCTCAAACAAGAAGACTTGAAAGTTGAAATTACTCTTTGACCCATGGACTACAGAATGGATGATATTTTAGCAGGCATGAAAATGACGTTAATCTCCACGTACATCTCCATCACAGCTTACAGGTGACCAGGTGCATAGTCAGTGAGGAGTAATATTTTGAAAAGAACCTTTCTGAGCAATAGGTCTCAACAGTGGGGTTAAAACATTCAGTTAACCATGCTGTAAACACACAGACTGTCATCCAGTCTTTGTTGTTCCATTTACAGAGCACAGGCGAAGCAGATTTAGCATAATTCTTAAGGGCCCTGAGATTTTTAGATTGGTAAATTAGCTTTGGCTTCAACTTAAAGTCACCAGCTGTGTTAGCTCCTAAAAGGAGAGTCAGCCCATCCTTTGAAACATTGAGGCCAGGAATTGACTTCTCCTCAGTTTTCTTCAAGAACTTTTTCTTTGCATTCACAACTTGGCTAGCTGGTGTAAGAGGTCTAGCTCTTGGCCTATCTTGGCTTTCTACATGCCTTCCTCACTTAGCTTTTTATTTAAAGTGAGAGATCTGTGAGTCTTCCGTTCACTTGAGCCCTTAGAGGCCATTGTAGGGTTATTAATTAGCCTGATTTCAATATTGTTGTGTCTCAGGTAATAGGGAAGCCCAGGGAAAGGGAGAGAGATGAGGGAACGGCTGGTCGGTGGAGCAGTCAGAACACACACAACATTTCTCAGTTAAGTTTTCTGTCTTATATTGGGTATGATTTGTGGTGCCCCAAAACAATTACAATGGTAACATGAAAGATCACCGATCACATATCACTGTAACAGACACATTAATAATGAAAAAGTGTGAAATATTACGAGAATTTCCAGAATGTGACACAGAGACAGAAAGTGAGCACTTGCTGTTGGGAAAATATTGCCAGTAGACTTGCTGCATGCAAGGTTGTTACAAACCTTCCATTTGTAAGAAACACAGTGTTTGTGAAGTGCAGTAAAGTGAAGCAAAATAAAATGAGGTCTGCCTGTACATGCATATACTGATGTGTGTCTGTTAATTTTTCCTGCCTGTTACGGATTGAGCACGTCATGTAGACACAGTCCATTGGATACTGCAATTCTGTGCATACATTGCCATCGAGACCCCAAGACTGTGTGGTTATAAGAAGGAAGTGCCACTGCTTACTCCTCTCCTCTCCCTTCTATCTTACCTGCTTTTGTTGCCTTTCTCCTCTTCCTCCCCTTACTTGGTCTCAGTTTGGTTTGTCCTGAATGACAGGCAGTATGGCTCAGTGGTTGGAAGTTCAGTCTTTGGAATTAGAATACGGAGCTCCTAATTGACCTTAATACTTTCTCACTGTGTAATCTCGGACAGTCAAGCTTGAGACCTGAAGCAGGGCTAAGTTAACTCCATTCACAAAATAGGAATAATGATGGTCTCTGTCATCATCCAGGGGCTTGCTACGGGGCTGCATTAGGTAATACATTAAAAACGCATAGAGAGCAGGGCCCCTGCACAGTAATTGACAAAAATGAGCTCTCAGCACCTTTCATTTGTCTGCTCAGGACCACTTCCTCCTGGGTACCACTGCTTCTTCCATGCCCCTCTTCTAAGATCCTTGGGGGCTGATCCTGTTTGGTGCTCCCTAAGCAGATTCTATTTGATGCTCCCTAAGCACTCTGATTTCACTCTTAGTTGGCTCTGGGTATGGCTGAGCCAGGTAGAAGAGGCATCTGTCCCTTCATCAGCGTTGAGCTCCTGGGAAGCAGGTCCCTTGCTTTGCCACAGTACAAGTGCCACAGTACAAATGCTACCTAGGAATAGAATGGAGTTGAGTCGAAGTAGCATTTCTGATTTTGCGATGTTGCTAATGCTGTCCTCTAAATACTATAGAAAGAATTCTTTTTCTTTTCTTTGTTTACTCTCACCTTTTGGCAATAATTTCCACTTGTTTTTCTTTCCTGCTTTTTCTCTCTGTACTTTTCCTTGCCCAGCAGACACTGCTGATTGTGACAGCTTTTTCAAGGGCACAACACCTTACTCTGTTTCCTCCTGCCTTTGCTCTGTAAGGCTGCTCTGGCATGGCCCAAACTTTGAGATGACTTTTCCTTTCTCCTTGCCAATTTTAGAATCTTTCTGTTCAACATCATCATCTGATAGAGATTTGGGACTAAGTAAAATGAATGTTGTATGATTTTCCCTGTAATTTTAGATCCCCAAATACTGCTCTTGGCCAACTACACTATTCCCTGTGGCTTTTTTACTCCACCACATTTGAGTAATATTGTTGGCATGGACATAAGTAAACAGTTTGAAAATGTTGTGTTTTGTAAACTAGAAGATGGATGGGCTGGTTTTTTAATGCATGCTCTTGGTTCTGCTGGGCCAAAGGAAAGATGAATTTGGTCAGTGGATGGGAAGATGAATTGGAGGAAGGTGTTGCTATCCGAAGTTGATGTGGCCAACTTTACTGAACTGATGAGATCAGTTATTTAGAGGTGAAAACCGAGTGGCTGGAGGCGACTCTTCGGAGGGATTTAGATAATGCAGTTAGAGGGAATTTTTATAGAGGAGATAGCATGCTACCAGTAAGAAGCCACCAATGGAAAATATGATAATAAAGTAAGGAAAATAGAAGGATAAGGATCTTTTGTCTTTGTAAATTTAAACATGTTTTTATTTCTTTGTAGAATTACCAGACAATTCCAATGTGGCTTTTAATCTTTCATGAACTTCATTTTATTATTGCTGTATATATATGTGTGTGTGTGTGTGTGTGTGTATGTATATGTATATATATGTACGTGTATATATATATATATATATATATATTTTTTTTTTTTTTTTTGAGATGGAGTCTTGCTTTGTCGCCCAGGCTCTAGTGCAGTGGCGTGATCTCAGCTCACGGCAGCCTCCGCCTCTTGGGTTCCAGCGATTCTTCTGCCTCAGCCACCCGAGTAGCTGGGATTACAGGCATCTGCCACCACACCTGGCTAATTTTTATATTTTTAGTAGAGATGGGGTTTCACCACTTTGGCCAGGCTGGTCTTGAACTCCTGACCTCAGGTAATCTACCTGCCTTGGTCTCCCAGAGTACTGGGATTACAGGTGTGAGCCACTACACCCACCCTATTATTGCTATTTTTAATTAAAATGTAGAGTCTCCATCCTCCCATATGCATTTCATGTTCACACCATAGCGAGTAGACAGTTAACACTTAGCATCTTCAAAATATGATTATTGTAAAAGCTATTTAAATGAGCCGAGACTTATCACTTCACCTTCATAAATCATTTACTACAATGATTCAAGGGTGAGGATACTCCTGCCTCTTCATTGGCTGTGAAACTTCAAGCAGATTAATGAACTCCTCTGAGACTTTTCTCAACCTTCAGACGGGAAGAGTACCCTCATCACACAACTTCATTCATGTTGTTGTGAATGTCAGGCATACACATCCTCTTTGCTCTGAATGCTTGTCACATTGCATCACAGACATTTATGTATTGTCTGGCATTGCTGCTTGAATGTGAGCTCTATGAGGGTAGGGATTATACTATAGCCATCTTTTTGTCTTCAGTACCTGGTAAGCATGTACACCTTTATGGAATGAATGAATGAATGAATGAATGAATGAATGAATGGATTGATTTGTTGTACTTTCACCAAGCTCCTATATAGTAGGTTTTGGTACACGGAAGGTGTTAAGATGACTTTTTCTTTCTCCCTGCCAATTTTAGAATCTTTCTGCTCAATATCATCATCTGATAGAGATTTGGGACTAAGTAAAATGAATGTTGTATGATTTTTTTTCCCTCTAATTTTAGATCCCCAAGTACCATGTACTTGAAAAAACTAAAACAGGGTCACAGGCTAGAGAGTGACAGGAGCTGGAACTGGAGGTGGGGAGAGGGCTAAAAGAAAGTCTCTATAGGAAGTGACATGTGAGGCCTGTGTGATATGAAAGGGTCTGAGAGAAGAGTATTTTAGGCCAACAGAATGGCTAGCACAAAGGCCTTGGAGTGGGGATAGGCCTGGCTTGTTGTGGGAACATAGGTCATTATCGTTGGGTTGTCAGTGAGGGCTGCTGTAATAGGTGATATAAGATAGGGTTGGATCCCAAGTCAAGTCTTCTAGGCTGTGTGAGGCCACAGATAAGATAACAAGAGGGGACTGTACAACACAAGCACAGTCAACACAAGTACTATAAAACACGAGTGCATGCAAGTGTATTTTATTACTAAGAAATTAAAGAAAATAAAGGATTTAGTATTTTTTAAGGCATGGAAAAATATCTTACGTAGAAAATTCATTAGATCACTTTGATTGCTATTTTTTATTGATGAGAAAAACTGCACGTGGAACAGTGAAGTACCCAAGTCCACACACAAATTATTCTCATAGCCTGACCACCTGCCTGGTGCCCAGATTGCCAGACCAGCCTTGTGCTGACTGGACCTCCGGGTCTCTGCCGAGCTCTCGTGGAAAGGCAAGACCCTCAGCAGGGAGCTGCGAGGCTGCGGTTTAGGATGAAAGTGTGAGGGTGAAGAAAGCCAAGTCACTGGTCACTATTGTGTTAAAAGTCAAATTAATGGGGATCCTTACATGGTACTAAATTTAAAAAAATGTTCAATCCTTTAAAAATTGATTAAAAATTTTATTTTGATGATCATAGAAAATCTACAGAGAGCTGATAGGATGTGTTAAAGTGGAAGTTAAATATTTTTGGAACATTTGTATGCTCTTCTGAGGTTTTGTTCATCCCCCCCACCTCAACATCTAATTTACACGTTGAATTAGTCATTGACTCCGCCTGCCATTTTGTGGTAAAGATCAAGTCAAATGAGGCTCATCACAGTGCTTCACAAAAGGGGCCGGGTGTGGTGGCTCATGCCTGTAATCCCAGCACTTTGGGAGGCTGAGGCTGGCGGATCACCTGAGGTCAGGAGTTCGAGACCAGACTGGCCAACATAGTGAAACCCCGTCTCTACTAAAAATACAAAAATTAGCCGGGCGTGGTGGTGGGCGCCGGTAATCCCAGATACTTGGGAGGTTGAGGCAGGGGAATCACTTGAACCAGGAGGTGGAGGTTGCAGTGAATCAAGATTGTGCCATTGCACTCCAGCCTGGGCAACAATAGTGAAACTCCGTCTCAAAAAAAAAAAAAAAAATCCTTCAATGCTTCACAGAAGGGCCATATAAACATAAGGTGACCTTATTAATAAGGTTTTTATGACCAGTTTGTACACTTTTTTTAATAATGTGTTGGTGCATTTCTTGTCTTGAAAAATGGAATGCATAAAATGTACCCATTTTCAATGAGTTTTTGGTAACTAAAGAATTGGTGTCTCTGATGTTTATATTGACCATCGAGTTTACCAACAATGTCTCTGGTACACCTCCTAGAAGTTGGTTTGAAAATAAACAAAAACACCTACATCTCCACTTTAATTCTACCCTCCCTGGAATTTATTTTATTCTCCTAAAAGTAGGGTTCGTGCAAAGACAAGAATTCTTTCAAGAGAGCCCTGTTTCTTTTATTTTGAGATAGTGAAAAGGTTATGTTAAGTTAGTCCAAAATTTCATAGTAATTGAAGGTGAAATAATACAGACAATAAGTAAATTAAAGGTAGAGACTGTTTTTGTTTTACTTTTTCATCCATTTAGGAGATTGGCCTACACAGCGGTTCTCTTTATATACAATAGACCCTCAGTAAGGTTTCTTGATTAGTAAGCATTGCAAGTTACGTTTGTTTCGAGTGGAAGACCAGCTGAAATCCATTTAAATCAATGAATACTGAGATTATGTTATTAAATGGTTCTTTTTGTTTTACGAGAATGTATATTACAACAAATGTCCCTGTGTAAGTTTGGAATGCTTTGTTTTGAGTGTTAAAGGCTCTTTTCTCTGGCAAAATTTCCCCATTTCTTCCTTTAATACAGAGTGCTTGAATGGCACCTCACAGACACTTAGCCTCGTGGCTCTCAAAGTATAGACCCTGGAATGGGGCGTCAGCTCCGCCTGGGAACTTGTTAGAAATGCAAACTCTCCAGCCCTGTTAAACCAGGAGCTCTGGGATGGGGCCAGCCATCTGTGTTTTAACCAGGCCTCTTGGGGATCCTGATACAGCTGTGGCTTGAGAACCACTGCTCTAGCAGAACCCATCTCCTCCTCCCTTTCCACATCCCCCCACCCTACTGTGATCACTTGTGGTGTGATGAGGGGGACAGGGAAATCAGCTCTTTTGGGCTCCAGGCCTTGAGAGTAGAGGCTTCATTTACCCTTTCCCCCTTCATTTCTGCCTAAGGATGAGTTTATATGGTATAAAGCCCAGTGGAATGGATCATTTTCCCCAGTTTCAGATGGGAACCTTGCAATCGGATAAGATGTAGCTGTGTATGTTGTTACTGTTATTATTAATTGTTATTCAGAGACAAGGTCTCACTCTGTAACCCAGGCTGGAGAGTAGTGGCGTGATCATAGCTCACTGTGATCTTGCACTCCTGGGCTCAAGTGATCCTCGTGCCTCAGCCCCCCGAGTAGCTAGGACTACAGATGCATGCCACCATGCCCAGCTATTTTTTTTTTTTAACTTTTTTGTAGAGGTGAGGTCTCGCTGTGTTGCCCAGGCTGGTCTTGAACTCCTGGCTTCAAGTGATTCTCCAACCTTGGCCTCCCAAAGTGCTGGGATTACAGGTGTGAGCCACTGCACCTGACCACCATGCACATTAATACACATTCTATACTGTATGCTCACTGAGGAGTGGCAAAGAAACCAGTTTTCATTCAGTGAATATACCTATAAATGTGTTTTGTACCTTTAGGTCTTCCTAATTCTGTTCTGTTCCTTAACATAAAAGATGCCTAAACCACACTTCTTCATATTCTTCAAAGCCACATTTATCAAGGTGTGGTTCCAGGACCTCCTACAACAGAACCCCTGTGGGATGCGTAACAAATGCAGGTTGTGGGACTTTCCCACACACCTACCAAATTGGAACCCCTGGTAGTAGACCCCTTGGCCCTCATTTTCACAAGCACCCATCTGACTGATCCACACTGAAGCTTGAGGGCCCTGAGTTTAAAGTACATATGCTGGAATACAAGATATCAAAAGCGAAGAATGATGAGAAAGAGATTGCAAAATTAATAAAAGTAACGAAGGAGCAACATTTTATTTTAGAAATAGGTGCCATTACTTGTTTCTAAAATAATTTGAAAGTGAAATGAAGAACAAGCTCTTGTCTAGAGCATACTCTTGGAATTGGCAGGGATTGTGCTTCCTCGCGTCAAGATCAAGAAGCTCAGATGCAGAGGAGACAGGGCTGTGCTGCCCAGTTGTTCCTTGGGGTCATGCTGACTCCATCCTGGAAGTTGCTGGAGGAATGCATCATATGTTTGGAAACAGCCCAGTTGAGAATTTCAGCAATGATACACTTTTTTTATTAGATGTGTATTTAGGAAAGGAATTGCCTATTATAAGACTAGGGCCCTTTGTAGAAGGAGCTGAAAAAGGAGCTGGTTTGCTTGTCCTGTGAAATAGGGACTGTTTTCCCCATTATGCATCTTTTCTTTTCTTTCCACAAAATAAATAAATGCAAAGACATGTCACTTGAATGTTGTATAAAAATCAGGTCTTTTAAAAATTACTTGTTTCTCTCCAAGTAGAAAGGCATTTTTTCCCCAAGGGAAACTTATTAAAATCATCAGTTATTGTAGTAATAGCTATGCCTCCTTAAAAGTAAATAGATTTTTTTTTCTTCCCAGTGCCAGTAGCATGTAGCTATTTCCAAATATGTTAACTTTTGATGAAGCATCCAAATGTTTAAATATCTTATAAAGGCCACAGTTCTAAGAAATGGTGTTAAAATTTTGAGAAAATTCAAATTTGAAGAATTACCTAAATACTAAGTAAATCAAAAAGTATTTGTAACATTAAAAAAAATTTATGTCAAAAATATTTTTTAATGTCAAAAATATTTTTCAATACTTAAAAAACTAGCACTTTGGGAGGCTGAGGCGGGCGGATCATGAGGTCAAGAGCTCGAGATCATCTGGCCAACATGGTGAAACCCCGTCTCTACTAAAAATATAAAAATTAGCTGGGTGTGGTGGCGTGCACCTGTAGTCCCAGCTACTCGGGAGGCTGAGGCAGGAGAATCGCTTGAACCAGGGAGGTGGAGGTTGCAGTGAGCTGAGATCGCGCCATTGCACTCCAGCCTGGCGACAGAGCAAGACTATCTTAATAAAAAAAACAAAAAACAAAAACAAACTTTAGTCCTTACTCCTTCAGTCTCAGTTGGGAAAACCATAGAATAATGAAGACAAAGTTACAGATTAAAGCAATAGCTCCATGGTCAAAGTGGACAGTGGAGTTATTAAATAGTGTATTTAAATAGACTTTTGAGAGAAGTTTTAGGTTCAGAGCAAAATTGAACAGAAAGTACAAAATTCCTATATACCTTTGACCCCACATACACACAACCTCTCCCACCATCAAAATCCTGTCCCTGTCCTGTTACAATCGATGAACCCCTATATTATCACCCAATGTCCATAGTTTATATTAGGGTTCACTCTTGGTGTTGTATATTCCTTGGGTTTTGGCAAATATATAATAACATACATCTACAGTATCATAGAGAATAGTTTCACTGCCCTAAAAATCCTCTGTGCCCTGCCTACTCATCCCTCCTTCCTGTCTAAACCCTGACAACCACTGATCCTTTTACTGTCTCCATAGTTTTGCCTCTTCCAGAATGACAAATAGTTGAGATCATACTGTAGGTAGTCTTTTCAGATTGGCTTCTTTCACTTAGTAATAGCCACTTAAAGTTCCTCCATGTCTTTTCATGGCTTGATAGCACGTGTCTTTTTAATACTGAATAATATTCCATTGTCTGGATGTACCATAGTTTATTTATCCATCATCTGCTGAAGGACATCTTTGTCACTTCCAAGTTCTGGCAATTATGAATAGAGCTGCTGTAAACATTTTTGTACAGGATTTTGTGTGGACGTAAGTTTTCAACACTTTTGTGTAAATACCAAGGAGTGTGATTCCTGAACTGTATAGTAAGAGTATGTTTAGTTTGGTAAGAAGTGGAAACTGAAACTGTCTTCCACAATGGTTATACTATTTTGCAGTCCCACCAGCAACAAATGAGAGTTCCTATTGTTCCACTTCCTCATCAGCATTTATTGTTGTCATCAGTGTTTTGGATTTTGGCCATTCTAATAGTTATGTAGTGGTTTTAATCTTGTTGTAATTTGCAGTTCCCTAATAAATAACATATGATGTTGAACATCTTTTTATAAGCCTCAGATACTTGAGCTTTTTTTGGTAAGGTATTTGTTCAGGTCTTTTGCCCATTTTTTAATCAAGTTGTTTGTTTCCTTATTGTTGAGTTTTAAGGTTCTTTGCATATTTTGGATAATGGTCCTTTATCAGACGTGTCTCTTGAAAATATTTTCTTCCACTCTGTGTCTTTTCATTCTTCTCAGTGTCTTTTTCAGGACAGAAGTTTTTTTATTTTAATGAAGTCCAGCTTATCAATTCTTTCTTTCATGGATTGTGCCTTTGGTGTTATATCTTGTTTTATTTTATTAGCTAGGACTTCCAGTACTATTGAAAAGGAGTGATGAGAGAGAATATTCTTGCCTTATTCATGATCTTAGCAGGAAAACTAGTTGCTCACCATTAAGTATGGTGTTAGCTGTATGTTTTTTATAGATGTTCTTTGTCAAGTTAGGGAAATTCCCTTCTATTCCTGGTTTACTGAGAGTTCTTATCATAAGTGAGTGTTGGATTTTGTGAAATGCTTTTTCTGTATCTATTGATATGATCATGTGATTTTTCTTCTTTAGGTTGTTGATGTGATGGATTATGTTGATATTTGAATGTTAGACCAAACTTGCATACCTGGGATAAATCCCATTTGGTTGTGTATAATTGTTTTTATTCATTGTTGCATTCAAATTTGCTAATATTTTGTTGAGGATTTTTGTATCTGTGTTCATGAGAGATACTTGTCTGTAGTTTCCTGTTCCTGTAATGTCTTTGCCTGATTTTGGTATTAGGGTGATGCTGGCCTCAGAATGAGTTAGGAAGTATATTCTCTTCTTCTATCTTCTGAGAGAGATTTTAGAGAATTAGTATACTTTCTCCCTGAAATGTTTCCTAGAATTGAACCCATCCTGGCTTGCTGTTTTCTGTTTTGAAAGGTTATTTATTATTGATTCAATTTCTCGGTTTTGGCAGATTATGTCTTTTAAGGAATTGATCCATTTCATTTAGATTATTGAATTTGTGGGCATAGAATTCATAATATTCCTTTATTATTCCTTTAACGTTCATAGGATCTATAATGATGTTCCTGCTTTCATTTCTGACATTAGTAGTTTGTGTCTTCTTTTTTTCTTAGTTAGCCTGGTTAGAGGCTTATCAATTATATTGATGATTTCAAAGAGCTAGCTTTTGGTTTCATTTATTTCTTTTGTTTACTTTCTATTTTCAGTTTCATCGATTTCTGCTCTAATTTTCATTATTTCTTTTCCACTGCTTACTTTGGATTTAATTTGCTGCTCTTTTTCTAGTTTCCCATGGTGGAAGCTTAGATTATTAATTTTAGATCTTTCTTATTTTTAAATATATGCATTCATTGTTATGAATTTCCCTCTAAACACTGCTTTCACTGTATCCTGCAAATTCCATTAAGCTGTATTTTAATTTTCATTTAGGTCTAAAATATTTTAAAATTTCTCTTGAGATTTCCTCTTTGACCTATGCTTTGTTTAGAATTATGTTGCTGTATCTCCAAGTATTTTGGGATTTTTCCAGTTATTGTTATAAATTTCTAGTTTAATTCCATTGTGACCTGAGAATGGATATTATATGATTTTTACTCTTTTAAGTTTGTTAAGATGTGTTTTATGACCCAGAATGTGGTTTGTTTTGGTGAATGTGCTACGTAATCATGAGTAAAATGTATATTCTGCTGTCGTTGGATGAAGTAGTAAATACATGTCAGTTATTTTCAGCTAGTTGATGGTTACGTTGAATTCCAATTATGTCCTTACTGATTTTCTGCATGCTGGATCTGTTCATTTTGTGATAAAGGAGTATTGAAGTATCCAACTTCAATAGATGAATTATGGATTCATCTATTATTCCTTGCATTTCTATCAGTTTGTTTGTTTGTTTGTTTGTTTTTGAGACAGGGTGGAGTGCAGTGGTGCAATCTCTACTCACTGCAACCTCTGTCTCCTGGTTTCAGGTGATTCTTGTGCCTCAGCCTTCTGAGTGCTGGGACTACAGGTAGATGCCACCATGCCTGACTAATTTTTGTATTTTTTGGTAGAAATAGAGTTTCACCATGTTGGCCATACTGGTCTTGAGCTCCTTATCAGGTGATCCGCCTGCCTTGGCCTCCCAAAGTGTAAGGATTACAGGCGTGAGCCACCATGCCTGATTATCTATCGGTTTTTGCCTTATGTATTTGGTGCTCTGTCATTAGGTGCGTACACATTAAGGATTGGTTATGTTTTCTTGGAGAATTGACACTTTTATTATATGTAATGCTCCCCTTTATGCCTGATAATTTTCCTTGCTCTGACGCCAGCTCTCTGTGAAACTAACATAGCTATTTCTGCTTTCTTTTGGTTAGTGTTAGCATGATATTTATTTTTTCATCCCTTACTTTTCATTTATATCAATCTTTATATTGAAAGTAGCTTTTTGTAGACAACATATTGTTGGGTTTTCTTTTTTGATCCACTCTGACAGTCTCTGCCTTTTAATGGGTGTATTGAGACCATTGATGTTTAAAGTGATTATTGATACAGTTGGATTAATAGCTACTGTATTTGTTACTGTTTTCTATTCATTGCCCTTGTTTTTTGTTCCTCTTTTTGTCTTCTACTCTTTTTTCCTGCCTTTTTTTTTTTTTTAAGACAGGGTCTTGCTCTGTTGCCCAGGCTGGTGTGCAGTGGTGCAGTCTCATCTCACTGCAACCTCCACCTCCTGGGCTGAAGTGATCCTCCCAACTCAGCCTCCCAAGTAGCTGGGACTGTAGGTGTGTGCCACCACACCTGGCTGATTTTTTTCTTTAGTGTGTGTGTGTGTATTTTTTTTTTTTTTTTGAGGCGGTGTCTCGCTCTGTCACCCAGGCTGGAGTGCAGTGGGCAATCTCGGCTCACTGCAACCTCTGCCTCCTGGGCTCAAGCAGGGCTCGAGCAATTCCCCTGCCTCAGCCTCCCAAGTAGCTGGGATTACAGGTGCCCGCCACCATGCCTGGCTAATTTTTGTATTTTTAGTAGAGATGGGGTTTCACCATGTTGGCCAGGCTGGTCTGGAACTCCTGACCTCAAGTGATCCACCTGCATCGGCCTCCCAAAGTGCTGAGATTACAGGTGTGAGCCATGGCACCTGGCCAATTTGTGTGTGTGTGTGTGTGTGTGTGTGTGTGTGTGTGTGTGTGTTTTAATTTAAAAAGTTTTATTTTCATTTCAGGGGCACATGTGCAGGTTTGTTATATAGGTAAATTGTGTGTTGTGGTTTGATGTGCCAGATTATTTCATCACCTGAGGAATAAGCACAGTACCTAATAGGTAGTTTTTTGATCCTCACCTTTTTCCTATCTCCACCCTCACGTAGGCCCAGTTTTTGTTCTCTTCTTTATGTCCATGTGTACTTGATGTTTAGCTCCCACTTGGA
The DNA here is from genome assembly GCF_000001405.40 of Homo sapiens. Lineage (NCBI taxonomy): Eukaryota > Metazoa > Chordata > Mammalia > Primates > Hominidae > Homo > Homo sapiens. The sequence goes on from NC_000002.12 coordinate 32,969,508, forward strand.
AGTAAGAACATGCAGTATTTGGTTTTCTGTTACTGTATTAGTTCACTTAGGATAATGGCCACCAGCTCCATCCATGTTGTTGCAAAGGACATGATCTCATTCTTTTTTAAGGCTGTGTAATATTCCATGGTATATACATACCACATTTTTTCCTATCTAATCTACTGTTGATGGACATGTAGGTTGGTTCCATGCATTTGCTATCGTGAATAGTGCTGTGATGAACATATGCATGCATGTGTCTTTATGTTAGAATGATATATATTCTGGGTATATACCCAATAATGGGATTGCTGGGTGAAAAGGTAGCTCTGTTTTAAGTTCTTTGAGAGATCGCCAACTGATTTCCACAGTGGCTGAACTAATTTACATTCCCACCTACAGTGTATAAACATTCCCTTTTTTTCTGCAGCTTCACTGGCATCTGTTATTTTTTGACTTTAACAATAGCCATTCTGACTGGTGCAAGATGGTATCACATTGTGGTTTTGATTTGTATTTCTCTAATGATTAATGATGGTGAGCATTTTTCATGATTGTTGCTGCATTTATATCTTCTTTTAAAAAAATGTCTGTTCATTTCCTTTGCCCATTCTTTAATGGGATTGTTTGTGTTTTGCTTGTTAATTTAAGTTCCTTGTAAATTCTGGATACTAGACCTTTGTCAGATGCATAGTTTGCAAATATTTTCTTCCATTCTGTGAGTTGTCTGTTTACTGTGTTGATAGTTTCCTTTGCTGTGCAGAAGCTCTTTAGTTTAATTAGGTTCCATTTGTCATTTTTTGTTTTTGTTGCATTTCCCTTTGGCATCTTTGTCATGAAATCTTTTCCAGGGCCTATGTTATCTTTCAGGGTTATCTTCCAGGGTTTTTATAGTTTTAGGTTTTATGTTTAAGTATTTAGTCCATCTTAAGTTGATTTTTTTGTATATGGTGTAAGGAAGGGGTTCAGTTTCAATCTTCTGCATGTGGCTAGCTAGTTACCTCGGCACCATTTATTGAATAAGGAGTCTTTTCTCCATTGCTTGTTTTTGTTGACTTTGTTGAAGATCAGATGGTGGTCGGTGTGTGGCTTTATGTCTGGGTTCTCTATTCTGGTCCATTGGTCTATGTGTCTTTTTATAAAAGTACCATGCTATTTTGGTTACTGTAGCCTTGTAGTGTAGTTCCAAGTCAGGTGATGTGATACCTTCAGCTTTGTTCTTTTTGATTAGGATTGCCTTGGTTGTTTGGGCTCTTTTTTTTTTGTTCCATATGAACTCTAACATAGTTTTTTCTAATTCTATGAAGAATGTCATTGTTAGTTGATAATAGCATTGAACCTGTAAATTGCTTTGGGCAGTATGGTCATTTTAATAATATTGATTCTTCCTGTCCATGAGCATGGATTTTTTTTTTCCATTTGTTTGTGTCAATTGTTATTTCTTTCAGCAGTGTTTTTCAATTCTTGTTGTAGAGATCTTTTATCTCCCTGGTTAGCTGTATTCCTAGGTATTTGTGTGTGTGTGTGTGTGTGTGTGTGTGTGTGTGTGTGTGTCTGTCTGTCTTTTGTAAATGGGATTGCATTCTTGATGTGGCGCTCAGCTTGGATGTTGTTGGTGTATAGAAATGCTTCTGATTGTTATATATTGATACTGTATCCTGAAACTTCGTTGAAGTTATTTATCACATCTAGGAGTTTTTGGGCAGAAACTTTGGGGTTTTCTAGATATAAAATCATATTGTCTGCAAATAGAGAGAGTTTGACTTCCCCTCTTCCAATGGAATGCCTTTTATTTCTTTCTCTTGCCTGATTTCTCTGGCTAAGACTTCCAGTAATATATTGAATAGGAGTGATGAGAGTGGGCATCCTTGTCTTGTTCTAGTTCTCAAGGGTATGCTTCCAGCTTTTGCCCATTCAGGATTATGTTGGCTGTGGGTTTGTCGTAGATGGCCCTTATTATTTTGAGGAAAATTATTCCATGCCTAGTTTATTGAGGGTTTTTTTCAAACATGAAGGATATTGATTGTTATCAAAAGCCTTTTCTGCATCTATTGAGATAATCATGTGGTTTTTGTTTTTACCCCTCTTTTTGTGATAGATCACATTTATTGATGTGTGAATGTAAGACCAGCCTTACATCCCAGCGATAAAGCCTACTTGATTGTGGTAGATTAAATTTTTGATGTGCTGCTGGATTTAGTTTGCTAGTATTTTGTTGAGGATTTTGTATCTGTGTTCATCAAGGATATTGGCCTGAAGCTTTTTTTGTTTGGTTTCTGTTTGTGTGTCTCTGCCAAGTTTTGGGATCAGAATGATGCTGGCCTCGTAGAATGAGTTAGGGAGGAGTTCCTTCTCAATTTTTTGGAATAGTTTCAGTAGGAATGGTACAACCTCTTCTTTATATGTCTGGTAGAATTTGGCTGTGAATCTTTCTGGTGTTGGACTTTTTCTGGTTGCTAGTCTTTTTATTACTGATTGAATTTCAGAACTCGTTTTTGGTCTGTTCAGGGTTCCAGTTTCTTCCTAGTTCAATCTTAGGAGGTTGTACTTTCCAGGAATGTATCTATTTCTTGTAGGTTTTCTAGTTTGTGTGCATAGAAGTGTTTGCAAGAGTCTCTGAGTTTTTTGTTTTTTTTTTTCTGTGGATTCAGTGGTAATATCTTCTTTATCATTTCTGATTGTATTCATTTGGATCTTCTCTTTTTTTTTCTTAGTCTAGCAGTGGCCTATCAATCTAATTTATTCTTTCATAGAACCAACTTCTGGTTTCATTGATCTTTTGTGTTTTTTTTCCTTCTCGGTTATATTTAGTTCAGCTCTGATTTTGGTTATTTCCTGTCTTCTGCTAGCTTTGGGGTTGATTTGCTTTTGTTTTTCTAGTTCTTCTAGGTGTAATGTTAGGTTGTTAATTTGAGATCTATTTTTTTGATGTGGGCAGTTAGTGCTATAAACTTTCATCTTAACACTGCTTTAGCTATGCCCCAGAGATTCTGGTATGTTGTATTAATTTCTTGATTTCTGACTTAATTTCATGTTTATCCAGAAGTCATTCAGGAGCAGGTTATTTAATTTTTATGTAGTTGTATGGTGATATGGTTTAGCTCTGTGTCCTCAGCCAAATCTCATCCCAAATTGTAATCCCCACATGTAGAGGGAGGGACCTGGTGGGAGGTGACTGGATCATGGGGATGGTTTCTCCCATGCTGTTCTTGTGATAGTGAGGGAGTTCTCATGAGATCTGATGGTTTTAAAAGTGGCAGTTTCCCCTGCACACTTTCTCTCCTGCTGCCATGTAAGATGTGCCTTGCTTCCCCTTCACTTTCTGTCATAATTGTAAGTTTCCTGAGGCCTACCCAGTCATGTGGAGCTATAAGTCAATTAAACCTCCTTTGTTTATACGTTACCCAGTCTCAGGTAGTATCGTTATAGTGGAGTGAGAACAGACTAATACAAATGGTTTTGAGTGATCTTCTTAGTGTTAATTTCTGTTTTTATTGTGTTGTGGGTCCAAGGGTGGTTGGTATTATTTTGGTTTTTTTGAATTTGTTGAGAATTGTTTTATGGCTGATTGTGTGGTCAATTTTAGAGTATGTGCCATGTGAAGATGAAAAGAATGTCTATTCTGTTTTTTTTGTTGTTGAGACTTCTGTGGATGTCTGTTAGGTCTACTTGTCCAAGTGTTGAGTTCAGCTCCTGAATGTCTTTGTTAGTTTTTTGCCCTGATGATCTGTCTAATACTGTCAGTGGGTGTTGAAGTTTCTTGCTATTATTGTGTCATTATCTAAGTCTCTTTGTAGGTCTCCAATAACTTGTTTTATGAATCTGGGTGCTTCTTTGTTAGGTGTATATATACTTAGTATAATTAAATTTTCTTGTTGAATTAAACCCTTTACCAGTATGTAATGCTCTTTTGTGTCCGTTACATAATGCTCTTGTCTTTTTATATTTTTATTTTTAATTTTTGTGGGTACACAGTAGGTATACATATTCCCAGGGCACATAAGATGCCATGATATAGGCATGCAATGCCTGTATCAAAAAAGCACATCATGGAGATTGGGGCATCTTTCCCTACAAGGACCCCCTTATCTGCGTTACAAACAATCTTAACTACATTCCTTAAGCCATTTAAAAATGTACAATCAGGTTATCATAGACCAAAATCACCCTATTGTGCTATCAGACAATAGGTCTTATTCATTCTTTCTATTTTTTTTGTACCCCTGAACCATCCCCACTTCTCCTCCAGCCCCTCACTACCCTTCTCAGCCTCTGGTGACCATCCTTCTACTCTCTATGTCCATGAGTTCAATTGTTTTAATTTTTAGACACCACAAATAACTGAGAACATGTGATATTTGTCTTTTTGTGCCTGGCTTATTTCATGTCACTTAACATGATGACTTCCAGTTCCATCCTTGTAGTTGCAAATGACTGGATTTTATTCTTTTTTATGGCTGAATAGTACTCCATTGTGTACACGTACCACATTTTCTTTATCCATTCATCTGTTGATGGACACTTATGTTGCTTCCAAATGTTAGCTATTGTAAATAGTGCTGCTTCAAACATAGGAGTGCAAATATCTCTTTGGTATACTGATTTTCTTTCTTTTGGGTGTATACCCAGAAATGGGATTGCTGGATCATATGGTAGCTCAATTTTTAGTTTTTTGAGGAACCTCCAAACTGTTCTCCATAGTGTTGTGCTAATTTACATTCCATGAACAGCGTATGAAGGTTCCCTTTTCTCTACATCCTTGTCAGCATTTGTTATTGTCTATTTTTTCATATAAGCCATTTAACTGGGGTGAGATGATATCTCATTGTAGTTTTGATTAGCATTTCTCTGATGATCAGTGATGTTCATTTGCCTGTTGGAATTTGTATGTCTTCTTTTGAGAAATGTCTGTTCAAGTCTTTTGCCCATTTTCGATGGGATTATTAGTATTTTTTCTATAGAGTTGTTTGAGCTCCTTACATAGTCTTGTTATTAATCACTTATCAGATGGGTAGCTTGCAAATATTTTCTCCCATTCTGTGGGTTGTCTCTTCACTGTTTCCTTTGCTGTGTGGAAGCTTTTTAACTTGATGTGATCCCAGTTTTCCATTTTGCTTTGGTTGTTTATGCTTTTAGGGTATTGCTCTTTGTCTTTTCTGATTGTTGTTGGTTTAAAGTCTGTTTTGTTTAAAATTAGAATAGCAATCTCTGCTTCTTTTTGTTTTGTGTTTGCTTAGTAGATTTTTCTCCATCCCTTTACTTTTAGTCTACGGATGTCATTTTATGTGAAATGGGTAGGTATCTTGAAGACGGTATACAGTTGGTTCTTACTTCTTTATCCGACTTCGTACTCTGTGCCTTTTAACTGAGACGTTTAACCCATTTACATTCAAGGTTAATACTGACGTGTGGATTTGATCCTGTCACCATGTTGTTAGCTGGTTATTATGCAGACTTGATTTTGTAGTTGCTTTATAGTGTCAATAGTCTGTGTACTTAAGTGTGTTTTTGTTGTGACCAGTAATGGTTTTTCATTTCTGTATTTAGCACTCCCTTAAGGACCTCTTGTAAGGCTGGTCTGGTGGTAACAAATTCCTTTAGCATTTGCTTATTTGAAAAGGGTCTTATTTCTTCTTTGCGTATGATGCATAGTTTGGCTGGATATAAAACTCTTGGTTGAAGTTTCTTTTCTTTAAGAATACTATATTTTGGCCCCCAGTCTCTTCTGGCTTAGACAGTATTTGCTGACAGGTATGCTGTTAGTCTGGTGGAGTTCCCTTTGTAGGTGACCTGCCCCTTCTCTCTGGCTGTCTTTAATATTATTTATTTTATGTTGATCTGGGTGAATGTGATGACTGTGTATCTTGGGGATGATTGTCTCATATAGTATCTAACAGGGGTTCTATGTATTTCCTGAATTTGAATGTTGGTCTGTCTAGTGAGGTTAGGGAAATTTTTGTGAAGTGAATGATATCCTTAAATATATTTTTCAAGGTGTTTACTTTCTCACTCTTTCTTTCAGGGATGCCCATGAGTCATAGATTTGGTCCCTTCACATAATCCCATATTTGTTGGAGGTTTCATTCATTCTTTGTTTTTTTTTTTTTTTTTTTTTTTTTTTTTTTTTTTTTTGTCTGACTGGGTTAATTCAGAGAATCAGTGTTCAGGCTCTGAGATTCTTTCCTCAGCTTGGTTAATTCTGCTGTTAATACTTGTTATGATATCGTGAAATTCTTGTTGTGAGTTTTTTAGCTCTATCAGATGAGTTTGGTTATTTCTTAAGATGACCATTTTATCCTTTGGCTTCTGTGTTATTTTATTGTATTCCTCAGATTCCATTGATTGAGTTTCAACTTTCTCCTGAATCTCCACGATCTTTGTTCCTATCCATTTTCAGAATTCTATGTCTGTCATTTCAGCCATTTCATCCTAGTTAAGGACCATTGCTGGGGAACTTGTGTGGTTGTTTGGAGGTAAGAAGACACTCTAGCTTTTTGAACTGCCAGAGTTCTTGTGCTGTTTCTTTCTCATCTGTGTGGGCTGATATTCCTTTAATCTTTGAAATTGCTGTCCTCTGGATGAGTTTTTTTGCTTTTATCTTCTTTGCTGCCATTGGGGGTTTGATTGTGGTCTAAAGTGGGTTCAGTTGACTAGGTTCAGTTGACTACTATGCTGTGTGCTCTAATTCTGTGGGGCTGGTATGGGGCCCCCAGCTTTGTTCCTTGACACCTTTGTGTTAGGAACCTGGTGTGCTGAAGGGGCCAAGGTGTTCCCGGTCCACTGACCTCAGTACTCTGATGGGGGGTGCCAGCCAACACCTTTCCTCAGGGCCGTGGCAGTGGGATCCATGCTGGCTTGTGTGTGCCAGAAGCTGCAGTGGCGCAGTGGGGTGCACATGTGTTGGTTGGGGTGGGGTGCCAGTAGGAGCCTTTGCATTAAGTTTTCATAGGCACTATATCCTGGCAAAATATTTTACCATTGTATTTTGGGCTGTGAGCCAGTAGGCACCATTTAAGAATGTTAGCCAGCAGATAGGCTCTTACCGTACTGCAAAGCTTTTTTGTTTTAGCACAGTGGGTAGGAGTGCTCTATGTTGGGGGTTAGAGAGATGACTCCCTTACCTAGTTTGTTCCGGTGCCTTGGAGGAGGCCCCTCCAATCACTGGCTCTGTGCTTGCATTTCTTTTGTTAGGAGTTCTGGTTCATGAGGATCCCTCAGGCAGGGGCCACGGTTGGCACATAGGCCATATCCTTGCTGTTTCCTGTGGAGGGAGGCACACTCCGGTCCTCCACCAGCCTGTGAACCCAGGCATCTTCTCTCACTGACCTGAAAGTGAGGGCTCCTCCCTGCTTGGGTACAGCAAACAAGCAAGCTCTCCTTGGCTAGGAGCCGTGAGGGTGAGTGAGGTCACCTAATGTTCTGTCTGGGTGCTTCCTGGGGGAATATGGGGTTGTGCCTGCCTGCAGAGTTCAGACAGAAGTGGGACCATTCTGCTGGAAGCTCTAGCATGCCTGGCCCCTCTGCCTACCAGTGGTGGAGGTGGGTGGAGATGCCTGCCCTGCTGTCCGGGTGTTATCCTGGGGCAAAAGGATATTGTGCCCCTTGGCAGAATTCAGATAGAAGAAGGACCAGTGGACTGGAAGCTCTAGCAGGCATGGCCTGCCTGGCTACCGGCTTTGGGGGTGGGTGGAGTGGCCTCCCCTGCTGTCCAGGTGTTTCCCAGGACAACAGGAGGTTAAGTCTGCCTGCTGAGTTCAGGCAGAAGCAGGACTGCTGGGTTGGAAGCTCTAGCAGGCGTGGCCCACCTGGCTATGAGCCGACTGGGAGAGTGGAGTCACCTTCCCTGCCGTCTGGGTGTTTCCCAGTACAGCAGGAGGCTGTGGCTGCTGGCTGACTTCAGGCAGAAACAGGACCACTGGGCGGGAAGTTGGCACTGAGCCTTGTCTATCAAGGGCGGGGTGAGGGCGGCTGGAGCAATCTTATTGCTTCCAGGCACCCTGACTGTGGCCTCTACTGGGGTTATGTCACTGGTGCCAGTTTTTTCTGGGGTCCAAGGCTTGTATAGGTGTCCTTGGACTTGAGAGTTGCCTCTGGAAAATCTCCAGGTGGCTCTCTGCTTCAGTTTAGAAGCATGGTTGGGTGTGCAGGGGCCTAGAAGGATTCTCCCATTCCCAGTCCTGCACAGGTCCTTGTGGAAAGTGTGAATCCCCTGAGGGGCTCTCACTCACCACTCCCTTGTTGGGGAGCTTCTCATGGGTCTGTGTTGACTCCAGATAGGCTCCTGCGCAGCTTCACTCCTCTTTGCTCTCTGTGTCCCCTTGCTGCCTTGATGGATCCCGGAGTAGTTTCATGGATGATCAGCTTGTAGGATCAGTGTTCAGTTTGTTTCCCTCTTCAGTTTCTTGCATCAATGTTTTGTAGTTTTCATTGTAGAGATCTTTCACTGCTTGGGTTAATTCCTAGGTATTTTATTTTATTTGTAGCTATTGTAATTGGGATTACTTTCTTGATTTCTTTTTCAAATTGTTCACTATTAGCATATAGAAATGTTACTGATTTCCATATGTTGATTTTTATATCCTGCAACTTTACTGAATTTGTTTTATTAGTTCTAATAGTTTTTTGGTGGAGTTTTTAGGTTTTTCCAAAAATAAGATCATATCATCTGCAAACAAGGATAATTTGACTTCTTCCTTTTCAATTCGGATGCCCTTTATTTCTTTCTCTTGTCTGATTGCTCTAGCTAGAACTCCCAGTACTATGTTAAATAACAGTATAAAAGTGGGCCTCCTTGTCTTGTTCCAGATCTTTTCCCCATTCATCATGATACTAGTGTGGGTCTATCATACAGACTTTTTGGCTTTTATTGTACTCAGGTATGTTTTTTTCTATACCCAGTTGTTTGAGTGCTTTTTTTCATGAAGGGATGTTGAATTTTATCAAATGTTTTTTCAGCACCAATTGAAATGATCACATGGTTTTTGTCCTTCATTCTGTTGATATGATGTATCACATTGATTTGCATATGTTGAACCATCCTTGCAACCCCGGGATAAGTCCCACTTGGTCATGATGAATGATCTTTTTAATGTTTTGTTGAATTTGGTTTGTTAGTATTTTGTCTAGGATTTTTGCATTAATGTTTATTAAGGATATTGGCCTGTAGTTTTTTTTTAATTTTTTTTTTTTTTTTGCATGTGTCTTTGGTTTTGGTATCATATACCAGCTTCATAGAACGAGTTTTAGAAGTATTCCCTCCTCCTCTATCTTTTGGAATAGTTTGAGTAGGATTGGTATTAGTTCTTCTTTAAATGTTTGGTAAAATTCAGCAGTGAAGCCACTGCGTCCTGGGCTTTTCCTTCCTGGGAGACTTTTTATTACAGCGTTGATATCATTACTCAGTCTGTTCAGGTTTTGAATTTCTTCATGATTCAATCTTGGTAGGTTGTATGTGTCTGGGAGTTGATCCATTTCTCCTAGGTTTTCTAATTTATTGGCATATAGTTGCTCATACTAGCCTCTAATCCTTTGAATTTCTGTGTTATCAATTGTTATGTAGTTTTTTTCATCTTTGATTTTATTTATTTGGGTCTCCTCTTTTTTCTTAGTTTGGTCAGAGATTTATTGATTTTGTTTATCTTTTCAAGAAACCAACTTTTCATTTCATTGATCTTTTATATATATATTTTTTTCATTTAAATTTCATTTATTTCTGCTCTGATCTTTATTATTTCTTTTGTTCTACTAATTTTGGGTTTAGTTTGCTCTTGCTTTCTAGGTCTTTATGATGCAGCATTAGGTTGTTTATTTAAAGTTTTTCTACTTTTTTGATGTGCTCATAGCTATAAATTTTCCTTTTAGTACTGCTTTTGCTGTATCCCATAGGTATAGTATGTTGTATTTCCATTATCATTGTTTCAATAATTTAAAAAAATTCCTTCTTAACTTATTCATTGGCCCTCTGATCGTTCAGGAGCATAATGTTTAATTTCCATGTGTTTGTATAGTTTCCAAAATTCCTTTTGAATTGATTTCTGGTTTTATTCTATTGTGTTCAGAGAAAATACTTAATATAATTTCAGTTTTAAGAGTTGTTTTGTGGCATAAGATACGGTTCATCCTTGAGAATGGTCCATGAGCTGAGGAGAAGAATGTATATTCTGTAGCCACTGGATGAAATGTTCTGTAAATATCCGTTAGGTCCATTTGGTCTATTGTGTAGATTAAGTCCATGATTTCTTTGTTGATATTCTGTCTGGATGATGTGTCTGTTGCTGAAAGTGTGCAGTGTTAAAGTTTTCAGCTATTATTTTGTTAGGGTCTATCTCTCTGTTTAGCTCTACTAATATTTGCTTTATATATCTGGGTGCTCCAAAGTTGGATGCATATATGCTTACAATCGTTATATTCTCTTGCTTTATATCCCTATATAATGACTTTTCTTTTCTCTTTTTATAATATTTGTCTTGAAATCTATTTTGTCTGATACAAGTATAACTATTTCTCCTCTATTTTGGTTTCCATTGGTATGGAATATCTTTTTCCATCTCTTTATTTTCAGTCTGTGTCTTTGTAGATGAAGTGTGTTTCTTATAGGCAACATACTGTTAGTTTTTTTAAATGCATTTAACCACTCTTTGTCTTTTGATGGAGAGTTTAGTCCATTTACATTCAGTGTTGTTATTGTTAAGTAAGGACTTACTCTTACAATTTTGTTATTTGTTTTCTGGCCTTCTCTTCTTTCTTTTCTTTCTGTTTTCGTTTTAGTGAAGGCAGTTTTCTCTGTTGGTATGTTGTAATTTCTCACTTTTTATTTTTTGTGTATCTGTTGCATGTTTTTAGATTTGAGGTAACTATGAGGCTTGCAGATACTGTCTTATAAACATTATTTTAAACTGATGACAACCTAACACTGATTGCATAAAGAAACTTATACCAACAAACAAGTAAAAAGAAAACTAATAACTTTAACTTTCAAGCAAGTAAAAAGAAAGCTAATAACTTTATCTACCTGCTTTTTAACTTTTTGTAGTTTCTATTTATATCTTACTGTACTGTGTATTTCTTGAAAAGTTGTAGTTATTATTTTTGACTAGTTCATCTTCTTTCTTCTGAAAATATTAGTAGTTTACATACCACAATTACAGTGTTATAACATTCTATGTACTTAATATTACTAATGAGTTTTGTACCTTCAGATGATTTCATATTGCTCCTTAATGTCCTTTTCTTTCAGATTGAAGGACTCCGTTTTAGCACTTCTTACAGGACCAGTCTGGTGTTGATGAAATCAGCTTTTGTTTTTCTGGGAAAGTCTTTATTTCTCCTTCATGTTTGAAGGATATTTTTGCCATAGATACTCTTCTAGGGTAATAGTGATTTTCTTTCAGGACTTTAAATATGTCCATGACACTCTCTCCTGGCCTGTAAGGTTTCCAGTGAAAAGCCTGCTGCCAGATGTATTGCGCTCCATTGTATGTTACTTGTTTCTTTTCTCTTGCTGCTTTTAGGATCTTTTCTTTATCCTTGGTCTTTGGGAATTTGATTATTCAATGCTTTGAGGTCATCTTTGGGTTAAATCTGCTTGGTGTTCTGTAACCTTCTTGTACTTGAATATGGATATTTTTCTCTAGGTTTGGGAAATTTCTCTGTTATTATTCCTTTGAGTAAACTTTCTACCCCAGTCTCTCTCTCTACCTCCTCTTTAAGGTCAGTAACTCTTAGATTTGCCCCATTGCGGCCATTTTCTAGATCTTTTAGGTGTGCTTCATTCTTTAATTGTGTATTTTTGTTGTTTAGTATAACTTATAATTTTTCTTGGTAGCTGGATATGTTGTACTTGGTATTGGTTCCCATGAAGGTTTCTGCTCAGGTGTTTCTGTTCCAGTAAATTGTATTTCTATGTATTTGCCTGTCTGTTTGTCCAATTTTGGGGCAGCTTTGTGATCTCACTTTTGCTTTGTTACCTCACTTTTCTGATGGATCTATGCAGAGTTGATGATTTTTCAGTTTGTTCAGCTTTTTACTTGTTAAGATGGAATGATGACTTCCAAGCTCCTTACATGCAGGACTGGAAAGTAGAAGCTCACATTTTATTTTTAGAACAATAAAACTACAAACATAAGCTCTCTGATATGGTTTGGCCATGTCCCCACCCAAATCTCACCTTGAATTGTAGCTCTCATAATTCCCATGTGTCATGAGAGGGACCTGGTGGAAGGTAGTTGAATCATGGGGGCGAGTTTTTCCTGTGCTGTTCTCATGATAGTGAAAAAGTCTCACAAGATCTGATGGTTTTAGAAAGGGAAGTTCCTCTGCACATGCTTTCATGCCTGCTGCCATGTAAGACGTGCTTTTGCTCCTCCTTTGCCTCCCCAGTCATGTGGAACTGTGAGTCCATTAAACCTGTTTTATAAATTATCCAGTCTTGAGTATTTCTTAATAGCAGTATGAAAATGGACTAATACAGTAAATCGGTACCAGTAGAGTGGGGTGCTGCTCTAAAGATACCCGAAAATGTGGAAGCAACTTTGGAATTGGGTAACAGGCAAAGGTTGGAACAGTTTGGAGGGCTCAGAAGACAGGAAAATGTGGGAAAGTTTGGAACTTCCTAGAGACTTGTTGAATGGCTTTGACCAAAATGCTAATAGTGATAGAGACAATAAAGTCCAGGCTGAGGTGGTCTCAGATAGAGATGAGGAACTTGTTGGGAGCTGGAGCAAAGGTGATTCTTGTTACACTTAAAAAAGAGACTGGTGGCATTTTGCTTTTGCCCTAGAGATCTGTGGAACTTTGAGCTTGAGAGAGATGATTTGGGGTATCTGGTGGAAGAAACTTCTAAGTGGCAAACTGTTCAAGAGGAGGCAGAATATAAAAGTTTGGAAAATTTGCAGCCTGATGATGAAGTAGAAAAGAAAAACCAATTTTCTGGGGAGAAACTCAAGCCTGCTGCAGAAATTTGTGTAAGTAACAAGGAGCCCAAGACAGTGGGCTTAATCACCAAGACAGTTAATCACCAAGTTAATCACCAAGACAGTGGGGAAAATGTCTCCAGGACATGTCAGAGACTTTCATGGCAGCTCCTCCCATCACAGGTCTGGAGGGAAAAATGGTTTCTTGGGCTAGGTCCAGGACTCCCCTGCTGTATGCAGGCTAAGGACTTGGTGCCTTGAGCTCCAGTGCTCCAGCTGTGGCTGAAAAGGGTCAAGATACAGCTCGGGCCGTGGCTTCAGAGGGTGCAAGCCCCGAGCCTTGGCAGCTTCCACATGATGTTGAGCCTGTGGGTGCACAGAAGTCAAGAATTGAGGTTTGGGAACCTCCGCCTAGATTTCAAAGGATGTATGGAAATGCCTGGATGTCCAGGAAGAAGTTTGCTGCAGGGGCAGGGCCCTCATGGAGAACCTCTGTTACGGCAGTGCAGAAGGGAAATGTGGGGTTGGAGCCCCCACACAGAGTCACCACTGGGGCATTGCCTAGTGGAGCTGTGAGAAGAGGGCCACTGTTCTCCAGACCCCAGAATGGTAGATCCACCAACAGCTTGCACCATGTGCCTGGAAAAGCTGCAGACACTCAATGTCAGCTCATGAAAGCAGCCAGGAGTGGTGCTCTATCCTGCAAAGCCACAGGGGTGGAGCTGCCCATGGCTGTGGGAGCCCATCTCTTGTATCAGTGTGACCTGGATGTGAAACAGAGTCAAAGGAGATCATTTTGGAACTTCAAGGTTTAAAGACTGTCCTGTTGGATTTCAGACTTGCATGGAGCATTGTAGGCCCTTTGTTTTGGCTAATTTCTCCCATTTGAAATGGGTGTATTTACCCAATGCCTGTACCCTCATTGTATCTAGGAAGTAACTAATTTGCTTGTGATTTTACAGGCTCATAGGTAGAAGGGACTTGCCTTGTCTCAGATGAGACTTTGGACTGTGGACTTTTGAGTTAATGCTGAAATGAGTTAAGACTTCGGGGGACTGTTGGGAAGGCATGATTGGCTTTGAAACATGAGGACATGAGATTTGGGAGGGGCCAGGGGTGGAATGATATGGTTTGTCTGTGTCCCCACCCAAGTCGTATCTTGAATTGTAACTCCCAATAATCCCCTTGTGTCGTAGGAGGGACCTGGTGGGAAGTAATTGAATCACAGGGGCAGGATTTTCCTGTGCTGTTCTCGTGATAGTGAATAAGTCTCAGGAGATCTGATGGTTTTATAAAGGGCAGTTCCCCTGCACACACTCTCATGCCTGACGCCATGTAAAATGTGCCTTTGCTCCTCCTTTGCCCTCTGCCATGATTGTGAGGCCTCCCCAGCCATGTGGAACTGTAAGTCAATTAAACCTCTTTCTCTTTATAGATGGCCCAGTCTTGGGTGTTTCTTCATAGCAGTATGAAAATGGACTAATACATTCTCTAAAGCATCCTCTGATAATCCTTTCTTTTATTCAAGTCTTAAGTTAGATCTTTGGAACATAAAGCCAGATTGTTAAAACTGTACTGCATAATTTTCATCTAAGACACTTGTTTTAAGGCATTTTTTCCCATTGGGAGGGTTTTGAGATTATGAAGATGACACTGTACATTTGTAATGTTTTCAACTTTTTGGAGCACTCAAGGGAGGTCCCCCAAGAACACTCTTTAAGAATGACTTTTTTTGGAAATTACCTACCGTGTGATAAGGTGTCAGGGATAGAGTGGCTCCACACACAGCTTAGAGTTTTGACAGCACAAGACTGTCTGTTTCCACTTTATTGCTAGTGATCATCTCATTCGACTTCTGATACTACAAGTGGTTTTGGCCAAGTCTCTCTTTTTTTCCATCTGAATAAATTTCTGCTTTTCCTTTCATCTTTCCTTCTGATAGTTTTCATCACCCAGCTTGCTAGTAAAACACATGGCTTTAAAGGGCCATCTGATCTTGTGAAATCTCCTTTCCTGATGGTTTTTCAAAAATAGGAGAGCAATCTCTCTGGCATGTTTTAACTCAGCTGCACCTGTAGCAGCAGCTTGACCTGGACCTGTGGGGTCAGGACGAGAGAACTGAAACTCAGACTCCCATTTTATAGAGGAGATAAGTAAAGCTCAAAAGAAAAGAAGTGACTTTCCAGTTTCTGTGGGCTCTGATTGCCCTTTTGTACAAAAAGAGTGAAAAACAATTCTGGGCCAGGCGCGGTGGCTCACGCCTGTAATCCCAGCACTTTGGAGGCCGAGGCGGATGGATCACCTGAGGTCAGGAGTTCGAGACCAGCCTGGCCAACATGGTGAAACCCCATCTCTACTAAAAATACAAAAAAAAAAAAAAGTTAGCTGGGCGTGGTGGCGCACGCCTGTAATCCCAGCTACTTAGAAAGCTGAGGCAGGAGAATCGCTTGAACCCAGGAGGCGGAGGTCGCAGTGAGCTGAGATTGCGCCACTGAACTCCAGCCTGGGCGAGAAGAGTGAGACTCTGTTTCAAAAAAACAAAACAAAACAAAACAAAACAAAACCAGTTATGGTCATTTTTTCTCTAGGGCTTGATAACATGTAAGACAAATTTTAAATTTACTTGAAAGAAAGTGCTATGTAGATATTGACTATCATTAGACTTATATTTTGGATAAGGTATCTCATTTTAATATTGCTAAACTAGGATCGATATAACTACTAGTATTAAAAACATAGAAGGTCAAATCTGTTTTCCCCCGGAACACAGGAGAACACCCTACTTTTGAACAAGTGATGTCCCATTAGATCTTTATCAATTGGTGGGTTGGAACATGGGTTTTCCTTTGCTGAGTGACATGGTACTGTCTACTGAGCTCTTGATGTTGCCAGGCTCTGGGCTGACAGCTCTACATGGATTACTTCAGGTAATCGCTACAGTAAGCCCATGATTGGCTATCATTTTAACCTCCATTTTATCGATGAGGAAACTGAGGTTTAGAGAGGATAAATTCTCACAGCAGGAGTCAGGCCCAAAGACAGCACTCTTCTGTCTCCTAGAGGAGCTCAGTACAAAGCCCACAGATAGTGCTTGCCCTAGTTTAGAGCCCAGCTACCAAGCCTGGAGATGTGTCTAAGGGACAATGAGCCCTCTGACCTGGCTGCTGAGAGTCTGGATTTCCCAGACTACAGATGAATCAAATGCAGTCATCTGTGTTTACAAACTCACCTAATTGATCCAACAGGGTTAGAAATACATGAGAGATTCATTTGTTCATTGATTCAAATAATATTTATTGAGTACCTACCATGTAGTAGGTACATGTCAACATGGAAGATGTTGAGGGGTGGCAGCGGGCACTCTCAGTGATGGATGGGGCCCTGTGTAACCCTCCAGGAAGCTTCTTGGTTTTACATTTGCTCCTTTTTAACCCCTTCTTTTCTTCTGGAAACCTCAGGGAAGATCTGAGTGTTCCTTCACCCCTTCTGTATCTGGCTTCTGATTGGCTTCTTTCCTCCCTTCTCACACCTATAAGCTTCTCTGCCTGTCTGTTTCTGAAGGAAGGACATCGCTTATTTGAGGGTTTCTAAGGGTGTTTTTTTCCTATCAATTGCAAGTACAAAAAATGTTCCTTTTATCTCTCCTGTGCCTAGTACATGGTAAGTATTCAATAAATATTTCTTTGAATGAATGAACAAATAAATCTCTCGTGTCTTTCTGACCCTGTTGGATCAATTAGATGAGTGTTGTAAACATAGATGATTACATTTGATTCATCTTTAGTCTGGGAAATCCGGGCTCTTAGCAGCCAGGGCAGAGGACCAGTCCAGGACTCCTAGGATGATGTTGGTGAGGAGATGGATGGACTAGAGGTGAATGCAGAGGCAGCCGGGGCTGAGGGGAATGGATGTGTGCAAGGTGTGGTGGGAGAGGGCGTGGTGGACTTAGAGGCAGTGGTGTGCAGGCAGATCCTTTGGTTGTAAGTGGATGATACACAGACTGACTTAAATAAAAGAGGTTGTTTATTGGCAGGTAACTGGGAATCCTAAGGTTTATGCTGACATTAAGCCTGATTGGCTCTCCAGGGGTTCAAATGGTGATACCGTGACCTGAACCGGCTACATCATTTGCAGGGCTCAGTGCACAAGGAAGATGTGGGATCTCTTGTGAAAACAAAAACAGAAACAAACAAATTTCAAGATGATGACAGCAGAAAGTTAAATCAAGCACAGGGCCCTTCTAAGCACAGCACCTGTGGGACTGCACAGATTGCAGTCTCATGAAGCTGGCCCTGATCAGGATCCTGTCTCTCTCAACAAGTCTCAGCCCTGGTGATCTCCGTTTGTCTTCATTCTCAGATGGATTTTCTCCATGTGACATCAAAATGACACCAACAACTCCAAACCTTCATCGTCTTTAGATCTAATGATCTCAGAGTAAGGCAAAATTCTGAACCTGTTTTCAGAGCTTTAGTGACAGTCCCAGAGAGAACTCTGATGGGTGATTGGCCAAGATTGGGTCATGTTCCCATCCCTGAACCAATCACCTGGCCAGTGGTTTGTGTTGCTCTGATTGGCTAGGGTTGTGGCGATGGGGGTGTGATGGGAAGGCAGGGCTAGCCCCATGTAGCTCTTATGGACTGTGGGTGCATTGTGGAATGGGAGGGGAAGGTCCCCCAAGGAAGGGATGCTGGATGGACAGAAAGTTAGATCAGCATCAGCTATAGCTGGGGAGGTAGGAGACGGAAAAGTAGCCCCACATCACCCATCTTGTGATGAGAGCAAGTGGGTATGTGATTGGATGGGGTGGGTATAGTTGCAGAAGATGTGGTTTCTGACAACAGATAGTTGAATGAGTATAGAAAAAGGGGAACGGTGAAGTGGGGATGATATCTTAGGGTGGGGGCAGATGGAGAGGAAGGAATAGAAGACCCTTGGGACTTCTGGCCTATAGGTTAGGGTGGCTGTCCTTGCTTGCTGTTCATGTATTGAGGGGGTTGCATCAGCTGGGCCAGCCTTTAGTCACTCTGGGCCAGGTTTTAGGAATTCTCGTAGTTAGTGAGGAGATGAGAAGCAGGAAGCTTTCCATCAGTTTCCTGCCTCTGGGAGGTAGAAGTAGCTCTGGAGCCATTTCCCTGCCACCCACTTTGTGATCTTGGGCAATTATATTACCCAAAACTTAGCTTCAGTTTTGTCATCTGTATGTGAGAATCTTATAATTCCCTAATAGTTAGTGGGAACTTGTAAGATGCTTGGTCTAATATCTAAAGTAGGTGCTTAGGAAATACACACTGTTGTTATTGTTAATATTGGTTTCAGGGCTTTCAGGAAACAAAGGTCACTGCTGTGCCACATCCATGCATTACATACTCCTCCAGAATACCTCTAGCCATATTTACAATGGAGAACTAGAATAATGGTTCCCTGAAAGATACCAGCTCCTAATGCCTGGAGCCTATGAATGATACCTTATGGCACAAATACTTTGAAGATGTGATTAGGTTAAGGATCCTGAGATGAGGAGGTTTTCCTGGATTATCCAGGTAGTTTTATAAGGCATCCTTTTAAGAGAGATAGAGATTTGATGTACCCACAGAGGTGGTAAAGGCATTGTGAAGATGGAGGCAAAGATTGAAGTGTCACAGCCACAAGCCAAAGAATGCTGGCAGACACCTATAGTGTACCTGGAAGAAGCAAGGAACAGCTTCTCCCTAGGGATATTCAGAGGGATTGTGGCCCTGGTGAAACCTTGATTTCATCCCAGTAATATGGATTTTGGACTTCTAAGCCTCCAGAACTGCGAGAGAATAAGTTTCTGTTGTTTAAAGCCAATCAGTTTATCATAAATTCTTAAAACAGCCACAGGAAAATTGTACACTCTTTTGAGGTGGACCTTTGTTATTTGCTTTGGTTCTCGTGTTTAGCATGATATTGCACCTGCTACAGTTTTCTGGTTTAAACTCTGGGGAGTCAGGTGAGACTTTCAAGATGGCAGTAGCCCATGCCATTTCTACCACACTGAGCTCCTAAAGAGCCATAGGAACCCTAGGATTCAGGTTATATGGAGCCAGCTCTTTAATTCTGAGATAATCAGCTAATGGTGCAGTTACTACCTGAGATGATGTATTTCATTGGGAAATCTCTAGACTAAATGAGGCACGAGTAATTTTTAAGTTTTAGAAGAACAATAATCTATTCTTAGAGTTCACACCTCATGGAAATTGTTGGTTGAATATGAGTAACAAGCACGAGACTTATTTCCTCAATTCCCCAGTATTTAGAAGTGTGAACGCCCTTCAGGATCAGCCTTTCCCACCTTCCACATGCTGCAGAGGTCCACTAAGCAGAGGTCCACACCCTCATCTGAGAATTTACTGAATGCTGCAGTGATGTTAACATTGTTTGTTCTGCCTTTCTTGATAGGAATGTAATTATCCATATAGGATTAAGAATAAACAAAATGGCACTTGAGTAGTTATATCCTGTCTTTGTTTTGGGTAATATTGCATAATTTATCCTAAATGCTTAGACCTCTTTTTTTTTCTATTTCTCAGAACAGAATTTAATATTTTTGTGCCACTATCAAACTTTGAATTCCAAAATGACGGCACATTTTGGACCAAGATTCAGACGATAAGTTCATTCCAGAAAGGTGGTGTTTGGCCTTGAAATGATGACAACAAAGCATTGGAACATTGCTATAACGGAGTCCCTTATTGAACTCTGATATTCTTCTCAGAAATCCATGTTAGAAGACAATTTTAAAATAAGGATATAATTATGACTCAGACAGATATAAAATGAACATGTGTGAGATTTTAACTTATTAATTAATGTGGGAACCAGTGAGGTGTTTCAACACATTCAAAGGAATGCCGAAATGAATTTATAAATAGATGCAAAATGGGTTTATCCATAGGGCAATAACCACATTGGATTCCAAAGATACAATTAATTTCCATTTTATAGTCACAAATCATTTGCATAATTATCAGTTTTCTACATCTTACATGGTGTATATTACTCAAAGGTAATGAAAGGCAGAGGTAACTTGGAAGGGTGAGTTAGACCTTTTTTTGGGTCTGTTTCAAAGTGTTTTACAGTTTTTCCAGTATATGCTTTACTCTGACCCGTGGATCAAATTCTACTTGGAATAGCACTGTGGTAATGTGGACAAGGAAAAGCCCAGGGACAGAGTGTGCCAGTCATAGAGGTGTCTGGGGAACAAGTCCCTTTCTCCTTTCAGTGCAGGGACTTGTCAGTTGTATAGATTCTGAGGAACCAGTTGCATTGTAGACATGCCATCATCAAGGACTGTGTGCTTACCTTTGAAAGATCAAATAGTGTAATGGTCAAGGGAGCGAACTTGGGTTCACATTTTAGCTCTGCCACTTACTAGCTATATGACCTCTCTGTGCCTTAGCATCCTCATTGGTAAATGGGGGTAATATGGTACCTACGGCAAAGGTAGTAGGTAACTAAATACATTAATATCTGTGAGGCAGTAGACCAGAATCTGGCATTTACCTAGCACTAGGTAGTTGTTAGCTATTATTAATTTCCAAGCAAATAATAGCACCTGTAATTTCAGCTACTTGGAAGGCTGAGGTGGGAGGACCGCTTGAGCCCAGGAGTTTGAGGCTGCAGTGGGCTATGGTCATGCCACTGTGCTCCAGCCTGGGTGACAGAGCAAGACCCAGTCTTTAAAAAAGGAATAGCGGCAACCAAGTGTAAGTCCTGCATTTCACCATTTCGGGAGCTGCTTTATGATCTGATGCTTATTGTACTCTATCGATATTCCATGCATACGCAATTGACAGAGGCCTCTGGCCAATAAGCTCGTAAACTCTCTTGTCTACTGGATATCGTCATGGTCTCTGGGCATTTTGCAGGACTGGGGCACTTCTAGAGCTCACATTTAATTTTCAGATGTCAACATAGTGATGACTTTATCTCAAATTACATGGAAGCAAAGCGTAGGGTATTAATTTTTTTAATGTAATGTTAGTTGCATTAACTTTTCTGTAAAGTACTAATGGAGTTCCATGTAAAATGCACTTAGAAACACACTGGGTGAGTTTCACAAAACTTCAGACTGTTGGGTTGGAGTCATATTATTCTTTAGTATTTACTTACGTTGTTTACATGAAAACTGATTTCAGAGTGACTGTACCTGGGTGATTAACCACATTTTCATAAATTTGGATGCTTTTCATATAGTTTCTAATGAATGTTTGATAAACTGTTAAATAAATGAGTATGTGTGTGTGGGAGCAATCTTCAGATTACCTGTTTTGCACAGTAGTGCAAAACAGCTGTGTGGGGAAAAGTTATATGTGTCATTAGTAATTTTTATGACTCAGTTCGGTATTATGAGTCTACCTGTCTGCACAGCATTTTCATCTTGGTGGGAGAAAATTGACACATCATGGTGGATGTAAAAGTTTTCCATGAAGAAATTACTCAGTTCCTTTGACTGTGTAGGCTGTTGGATGCTGTCTTTTCTCTGGACAAGCATGTGGCATTGGCTCTCAGTGGACAGTTCATCTCTCACAGATAAACAGTTTACCTTCCAAGATTATAATAGCTACTCCCCCTGGCTCAAAGTAGGATTACACAGTTAATAGAGAGAGCTGTAGCAAAGTTTGGAAAGTGTAATGACAACATTATGGCTTGAGGAGAAGAAAGTGCCGATTTTCCTTTGTTTGAGTTTGTTACTCATTTTGCTTTTTATCTCATATAACTTTTTGCAAAAAGTTACGAAACAGAAGATATGATCTTATATGTTTCTCTTTTAATAAATATTTGCCCGCATTAATACCTGCAACTACAGAGGATTCAAGCCAGTACATTTTAAAAATGGATCTTAGGTGGCCAGAATTGGATTAATCATACTTTTTGGCTCATTACACACTATTGTTCTTACTTGTAAATAAACTGTCATGATTCTAATGACTTGAATACTTTTTCTTGAAATATAGTTGTTTAACTTTTCCCTAAATTTGGCAAAATAATTGCTGTCTGAACTATCTAAATATAAAGCTAGCTTTGGACAGGTTTGGAACATGTTTTAAAAATCACACATAGGCTTTCATGATAAAAATAAGGGTTTGAGATCAGAGGATGAACTCATGGACTTCTTTGACCTTTTATTCTTGCGGAACTTCACAGTTGAGTGATACATTGATGCTTGGTTAAGTGACATGGGTAAAGTTTCGGTCAACTGTTTTCAGTTGTTGTAACATGACAGAACATGCTAGCCATCTTCAGTGGGCGTCCTCAAAACAGAGAGGGATGGCTTTAGAATTCTGTTTGGAAATGACCTAGGAAGTCAGTCATCTAATCTAGCTCCTCCAGCCCTGTTGCAACCCAGGAGTCCTCTGGGTGCCTCTGCCACAGGCAACTTAGCCTGCACTTGAATCTTTGTAGGGACAAAAAACTCACTCCCTCATGACCAATCCTTTTCTTTCAGAGACAACTTTAATGATTAAAAATGAAATTGGTTTTGTTGAGCTTAAATGTGATTCCTTAACACTTCTACTCATTTGCTGGTATTATTGGTCTCCACTTGTAGATGACACAAAAACAGTCCTCCTGCTTATAGGGAATTCTTTGTTGCATATAAATTCTGACTTTTGTCAGAATTTGTGTTTTCTCAGTGTGCTTCTCTCCGATAAGATCTTACGATATCTGCTCAATTCAACAAGTTGAGAATCAGTTACATGCAAGGCACTGTACTGTCCTCAGTGCCTGGGTGGGAGAGGTAGGGACACAAGATGACTTGGTTCCTGCCATCCAAATGTATGCTGCCACGTGAAATGCATTGGAAAAGCACACAGATTGATACAACAGAGAAACCCAATGCCATTGGGGTTCAAAGGAGAAAGAGTGATATCAAACTCAGCTGTGCTAGAAGAGCTTCAGCATCAGGAGGGAAGGGAGATAGGCAGGTAGGATATTTTTGCAGGTTGAGACGGGAGAAGGGCATTCCAGGAAGAAACCAGTGTGGACAAAAGCCCAGGGATGGGAAACATGAGTTTGTCCAAAAGAAGGGGAGTATCTTATTTGCTCAGCATGTAGGATGCTTGCAGAGAAATGAAGGATTAGATGGTAGGTTGATCCCAGAGCTCAGACAGGCTTGATCTCTCTGCCTCAGTTATTTGTGTTTTGGTACTAGGATTCCATTGCAGGAGCACAGACCTGGATTTGGATCCAAGTATTGCCACAGAGCTTCGGCATCTTAGTCTGAAAATGGAGATTTGTGTCCATTCTAAGGATTCCAGGACATGTAAGGGAAGAATCCAGCACTCTGCCTGGTACACAGCAGAGGAGATCAGTGACAGTTGTTATTGCTGAATGTGATAGGCCTCAGGAGGAGATCCTGCAGGGGGTTCAGGGTGGCGCATGGAGGAAGACCTGTGAGAGATGCTCCTCCAGCGGGAAGGGAAGGTGTGCGTGGCAGTGCTGGAGTGGGAGTAGGGAGTGGGAAACAGGGCTGGCATCAGTGGGGAAGCTGGAGTCGGCAGAACTGGAAGCAGATTTAATGTACTGGGCAGGAGGAAGAGGAGAAGTCACCCCAAGTTTTTGTTGGGGAAGGAGGGTTAGGCAAGAATGGTGAGTTTGGTATCGGGTGCGTTGAGGTGCTGGTGGGCCTGCAGATGGAGAGAGCCCACAGCAGCTGGCAGCGGGGGGATGCTGGGCCTTAGGAGTGAGCCAGGGAGGTGGAAAATGCAGCATGAGGAGGGTCAGGATCCAAACGGTGTGCTAGGAATGCAGGCACGTGCAAGCAAGGGAGGGTCCTTGATCATGTAGAGCCTGCACTTTGGCGTGGGTATGTGGAAAGCAGCCAGCACCCAACCAGGGCTGGCGTAAAAGCAAAGAAAGGAAAGAATTCAAGAGACATGGGGAAGGGAAAATTGGTGGAGACAGCCTGACAGATGATTCCCAGTATCTTAGAGTTCTCAGGAAAAAACGGAAAACAATCTTCACATTGTTTTTATACACACACATATGCACACACACTCTCTCTCTCTCATATATACAAGTTCAATCCAAACACCATCTATTATTTGGTCCTGTTAGTTTCCTCAGAAAGACCCTCAGGAAATCCTTGCTCTCCCAGAGATTGTGTCTATGTTTAGAAGACTTTTAGAAAAAGCCTATTGTTAAATTTTAGTTTACTGGGTAGTCACTAGGAGACCATAGAAATGTAACCCACAGGTTGGCTGTATTGAGTGGGCTTTTGTTTTACTGAAGGCCGTGTGGGGAAAACAGGACTCCGTCTTTGGTGAGTGGCTCTTCCTGGTACTGTGAACCCAGGGAACCCAAGAAGGGAAGCGCTGGGGGTCAGGGATCACCTGGCCTGACCCCCTTGTGTAACAGATGAGGAAACTGAGGCCTAGGCCATTGGAACCAGCTCAGGGTCACATGGCACATGGCTCATTTGAGGCAGAGCCTGTGGCTTGATGTTGGGCATTCCTGCTACTTGAAGTTACCTGTTTATCCCAGGCCGGGACCTCTGGGCTCATTTACAAGTGGATGGCCCAAAGAGGGGACTTCAGTTAGGGGAGTGTGTGTGTGTGTGTGTGTGTGTGTGTGTGTGTGTGTGTTGGGGGTTATTCAGGGACCATTCATTACAGAGCTTGACTGTGGGAAAGAGTAGTCAGATCCAAGTGATTATTGTAGTGCCCTCGTCATTTATTAGCAGATCTTTCTAAGAAGTGTCCTACAGAGGAGAGTGCTAAAACATAAAGGGTGAAACCCTTGTCATCAGAGGTCTTTACGTAGAACCTAAATATCCACCCACTCGAGTTAGCAAGAGTTAACATTCACTGAGGACTGATGGTGTGCCTGGCACTAAGTGTGTTTTCTATGGAATGTGTCTCATTTCATCCTCTTAGTGTCTTTATGAGATAGGTACTATTATTATGCTAATTTTACAGATCAGGAAACTGAGGCACCAAGGGATTAAGTAACCTGCCCAAGGTGACACAGCCAGTAAGTGGTAGAACCAAGATTATACCATCTGTTAACCTCAGAGTCTGCACGCTTATCTAATATTAGTGAGTCTTTTTTTTTTTTTTGAGATAGAGTTTCGCTCTTGTTGCCCAGGCTGGAGTGCAGTGGTGCGATCTCGGCTCACAGCAACCTCTGCCTCTCAGGTTCAAGCGATTCTCCTGCCTCAGCCTCCCAAGTAGCTGGGATTACAGGCATGTGCCACCATGCCTGGATAATTTTTGTATTTTTAATAGAGACGGGGTTTCTCCATGTTGATCAGGCTGTTCTCGAACTCCTGACCTCAGATGATCCACCCACCTCGCCCTCCCAAAGTGCTGGGATTACAGGCGTGAGCCACCGCGCCTGGCCACATTAGTGATTCTTAACCTTGCTGCGTATAAGAATCTCTTGGGAAAATTAAGAAAAATTCCAGTTCTCAGGCTACATCCCAAACCAATTGAATGAAACTCATGGGAGATCTTGCATTGGTATTTTCTTTTAAAGCTCTTCAGCTGGGCTTGGTGGCTTATGCCTATAACCCCAATAACTCAGGAGGCTGAGGTGGGAAGATTGCTTGAGGTCAGAAGTTCAAGACCAACCTGGACAACGCAGAGAAACCCCATCTTTTAAAAAATACTTAGCTAGGTGTGGTAGTACGTGCCTGTAGTCTCAGCTGCTTGGGAGGCTAAGGTAAGAGGATCACTTGAGCTGAGAAGTTTAAAGCTGCAGTGAGCTATGATCACACCATTGCACTCCAGCCTGGCAACAGTGTGAGACCCTGTCTCCAAAAAAAAAAACCGCTCTTCAGATGACTGTTACTCATAGCGAGGTTGAAAACCACCAGAGTGCTCCACAGCCGGTGGAGATGTTATAGGGCAGTGCCTCTCGAACTAATGTGCATAGGAATCTCCTGGGGGTCAAGTGCACATTCTGACCTAGAAAACCTGGGGTGGAGCTTAGAGTCTGCATTTCTCACACGTGTCCAGGTGATGCTGTGCTACTGGTCTTTGACTTTTCTGTCTTGGTTGAAGGCTAATCATTGTGGTTGTGTCCAACTCCAGGATTTAATGGCTCTAGTGATACTTATAAGAACACATGATTTGGCCGGGCGCGGTGGCTCACGCCTGTAATCCCAAGACTTTGGGAGGCCGAGGCAGGCGGATCACGAGGTCAGGAGATCGAGACCATCCTAGCTAACATGGTGAAACCCCATCTCTACTAAAAATACAAAAACAAAAAAAATTAGCCGGGCGTGGTGGCGGGCACCTGTAGTCCCAGCTACTCAGGAGGCTGAGGTGGGAGAATGGCGTGAATCCAGGAGGCCAAGCCTGCAGTGAGCCAAGATTGCGCCACTGCACTCCAGCCTGGGCAACAGAGCGAGACTCTGTCTCAAAACAAACAAACAAACAAAAACACCACATGATTTTACTGTGTGTCAGCCTAAGAACATTACATACATTATCTCTTGCCCTCTCAGCAGCCTCTAAAGGAGGTATCATTTTCCCTGTTTTATAGATGAGGAAATCGAGGTCTATTGAGTTTAACCCTAGTCCTAACCTGAGTCTTCGTAATCTTACACCTGTGGGATTAACTACCATGCTATGTTGCTTTCCTATACATATCGATATGTGTTTCCTATATACGTATCGATATAGTTACCAAGAACATCTTTTATGGCCTTGTCTTTGTTTTCTAACTTGATGGATTATGTTTGGAACTCTCTTAGTGTATTCAGGATGCTATAACAAAATACCGTAAACTGGGTGGCTTATAAACAGCAGAAATATTTCTCACAGTTTTGGAGGCTGGGAAGTCAAGATCAGGGTGCCAGCTGCTTCAGTGTCTGGTGAAGGCCTGCTTCCTAGACGGCCATCTTTTTGTTTATAACTTCACGTGGTGGAAGGGGCAAGGAGTCTCTCTAGGACCTCTTTTATGAGGGCACTAACTCCATTCATAAGGGCTTCATCCTTATGACCTAATCACCCTCCAAAGGCCCCACCTTCTAATATTGTCGTATTGGGGGTTAGGATTTCAACATATGAATTTTGGGAGAGTGGATACAAACATTCAGCCCATGACACTGTTCATTTATTTAATAAATAGTTTTTTACGCCTACTGTGTACTCAGAGCTGTGCTAGATGCTGGGGGTGCAGTGGTGATAAGAGGAGACATCTACTATGTACAAAGTAGAGTGGTTGCTGCTGTTGTCTGCTTGGCTACTAGAGGCACGTGGAGCTTCACAATAATATCTGCATGGCACTTCGGAGTTTTCAAGGAACTTGCACAACAAACCCATGAAGAGTTATTATCACCCACATTACACAGATCAGGAAACTGAGGCTCCAGAGGTTTATGTGTAGTCCAAGGTTGACTGTCTAACTTGCAAGGGGCAGAGCAGAAATGTACACCCAGGCCAGTCTCGCGCAGTTCCTACTGTGCCACACTGCCTCCCGCACTGCCCAGGGGTGGTATGGGTGGAACTTTTTTTTGTTTTGTTTTGTTTTGAGACAGAGTCTCGCTCTGTCGCCCAGGCTGGAGTGCTGTGGCATAATCTTGGCTCACTGCAGTGTCCGCCTTCTGGGTCCAAGCGATTCTCATGCCTCAGCCTCCCGAGTAGCTGGGATTACAGGTGCACACCACCATGCCTGGCTAATTTTTGTATTTTTAGTAGAGACAGGGTTTCACCATGTTGCCCAGGCTGGTCTCGAATTCCTGACCTCAAGCGATCCGCCCACCTCGGCCTCCCAAGGTGCTGGGATTACAGGTGTGAGCTACTGCACCCGGCCTGGATGGAACTTAATCTCCATGCTGATGCCAATCAAAACTCAGTGGCCAGGTGTGTTGGCTCACTTCTGTAATCTCACCGCTTTGGGAGGCTGAGGTGGGAGGATTGCTTGAGGCCAAGAGTTTGAGACCAGCTGGGCAACAAAACAAGATCCTGTCTCTACAAAAAATAAAAAAATTTGCAAGGCATAGTAGGGCATGCCTGTAGTCCTAGCTTCCCAGGAGGCTGAGGCAGAGGATCACTTAAGCCTGGGAGTTTGAGGCTATAGTGAGCTATGATTATGCCGTTCCAGCCTGGCCAACAGAGTGAGACCCTGTCTTTAAAAAACAAAACAAAAGAAAACCACACACACATGCTATTCCTGAATCAAATGGAGAGCGGCTTCCCCTGGGGTGCCTAACCAAGCTAAATGCTCTTGGGATGGTGGGATGGTCGGGATCCTGTGCCTTCATTCCCCTGCCTTACCAGGTGGGTTCAGAGGGTATCAGGAGTTGAAGGGCCAGGACAACTCCAAAGCTGTGACACCCTCAGGACGTAGCTGGACCCAGCAGATGTGCAGACCAGCTTAGCTTTGCTCTAGTTTTACTTGAATGAATTGTGGAGAACACAATTCTAGTTGTGGAGAACACAAACATTTCGACCATAGCAGGAGCCCCACCCAGAGACCATATTCCAGGAACCCAGCAGTTACTGGCAACTTTTCTGGTTCCAAGTGTCCTTGTTCTTGCCTCCTTATGTTGGACCTGGTATTGATTTATGAGAAAGTGTTGTAGGTTTCTTTGTGAAGTATGTTTATGATGTTCAGACTGTTTCCAGTAAAGTTTGTTATCAGTACCAGAAAGGCTTATTGCATTTGCAGGATATAAATTCTAGATTTGAGCATGGTTCCTGGATTAATGGACCATACTAGTACCTTGAAAAGCTTATTGAATTATAACTCTTGGACTCCTCCCCAGACCTAATAATCAAATGGATCAGGCCTGGCGACCTCTGTTTTTGAAAGCTCCCCAAGCCATTTTAATGTACACTAATATTTAAAAACCATGGTTGTTGGCTGAGCACGGTGGCTCACGCCTGTAATCCCAGCACTCTGGGAGGCTGAGGTGGGCAGATCATGAGGTCAGGAGATCGAGACCATCCTGGCCAACATGGTGAAACCCTGTCTCTACTAAAAATACAAAAATTAGCTGGGCATGGTGGCAGGCGCCTGTAATCCCAGCTACTCGGGAGGCTGAGGCAGGAGAATCGCTTGAACCCAGGAGTCGGAGGTTGCAATGAGCCAAGATCGCCACTGCACTCCAGCCTGGCAACAGAGTGAGACTCCATCTTAAAAAAAAAAAAAAAAAAAAAAAAAAAAAAAAAAGGTTGTTATGAACTGAATGTTTGTGTTGCAAAAAACATATAACTGAATGTTATGAACTGCAAAATTTCTATGTTGAAACCCTACCCATGTGATGGTATTAGGAGGTGGGCCTTTGGGAGATAATTCACGTTAGGTGAGGTACTGCAGGTGGAGCCCTCATGACTGAAATTGATGGAGAGTCATACAAGAGCTTGCCTCCCCACTCTGTTCTCTCCCATGTGAGGATACAAAGTGATGTTAGCAGTTTGCAACCCAGAAGGGATCCCTCACCAGAACCTGACTATGCTGGCACCCTGCCCTCACATCCACAGTCTCCAGATCTGTAAGCAGTAAATTTCTGTTATTAGCCACTCAGTTCCTGGTATTTTGTTATAGCAGCCTGGGCTAAGAACATGGTCTGGACCAGTGGTTCTAAAAGGTAGTTCCTGGACCATCAGCATCACCTGAGAACTTGTTAGAAATACACCTTATGAGGCCCCACCCAGACTTACTAGAAACTTAGGGATGGGTCCTGCAAAGTTTTAACAAGCCTCCCTGTGATTCTGTTGCTTCCTAAAGTTTGAGAACCACTAGATCCTTGTGATTCAAAATGTGAGCTGTGGACCAGCATCATCAGCAGCATCTGGGGGCTTGTTAGAAGTGCAGGGTTTCCGGCCCCACCTTTACCAACTGAATCAGTATCTGCATTTTAGTGAGATCTGTGCATATTCACATTTGAGAAGCTGCACTCTAGATAGTCGTTTTCTTTCCGGGATGTGCATTTTAACCCGAGATGCCTTAAAAAGATACCAAGGCCTTGCCTCCATCCAAGGTGATTAAGACAGAATCTGTGAGGTTGGGCGAGGCCTAGACATGGTGTGTGGAGACCCCGGTCTAAGAGTTGGTGCCTAGATTGGAGCCCAATTTTCACACCTAAAGGATAAGACTGTGAAAAGGGGTCAGGACTCCCAACACTGCTTTCTCCTTCCTCCTCTCTGCTCTTCCACCATCCCAGAATGTGACCCCACACCCAGGCTCCAGGAGGGAAGGCTCAAGTCTCCCTGCCTCAAAAAGATCCAGAGGCGGCTGGGCGCGGTGGCTCACGCCTGTAATCCCAGCACTTTGGGAGGCCGAGGTGGGCGGATCATGAGGTCAGGAGTTCAAGACCAGCCTGGCCAATGTGGTGAAACCTGGTCTCTACTAAAAATACACAAATTAGCTGGGCATGGTGGCGCCAAGATCACACCACTGCACTCTAGCCTGGGCGACAGAGTGAGACTCTGTCTAAAAAAAAAAGATCCAGAGGGAAAAGTTCTCTTTATATTTTCAGGGTTGTGTGTGTGTGAGAGATCGAGGGAGGCACAGACAACAGCGTTGTGTGTGTTGGAGGGATGGAATGTGGTATCTGGCACCAGGCCACAGTGCTTCTCACACCTGATGTATGTAAGAGTCAGTCACCTTCACAATGCAGATTCCTGGGCTCTACTCCAGAGAGCCAGTATCAGTAGGGCTTGGGAAGGACCCAGGAATTTGCATTGTTAACAAGTTCTCCCAAATTCTTCTTATGTGAAAGTCTAGGGTCCTGCTCTGAGACAAACACTACTCAAAGGCTGTGATCTGGCTGATTCTCAGAATTACTTGGAGAAACTAAAAAGTACAGGGCTCCAGGCCTTGCCCCAGCTCCTCTAATTCAGTAGGACTGGCGAGGCCCAGGAATCAGAATGTTGTAGTGTAAACATATCTGAAAGCAATAACTTAAGCCTACCCTTAGAATGACCCTATATGGCAGATGCACCTGAATGTGTATACCGAGCTACGGAATCCAGGATTCATTCCTTGTCTGTGAGGGACATCTGAGCCCCACGCTCATCCTGTGGAGCATGAGCCGTGCATGGGATTGAGACCTTTGGTTTTGGGTTAAATGGAGGTTGCCAGGTGGAGGTGGAAGTTGTTGGGGGAAGGGTGCTAAGTGAAAATGCTATGTAAACTGCATGCTGTTTGCAAGTGGTCGCAGGTTTCCTGCCCAGCACACTGCCACTGGGCCTCCAGCCTCTCCCACTGGACTGTGTGTAAGGCGGTCTCCTGTGCAGCCCGCCGCCACTGGACTGTCTCCTGTCTGTAAGCGCCCAATAAAACCTCATGCCTCATTTGCTGCCTCCAGATCTCTTCTTGCCATTTCTGTTGAGGTTAATAGGGGTTCAGTATAATGCATGTTTAATAAGTACTCTGGGTTTTTCAAACTGTGTTCTCAGAAACCCTTAGGATTCCCCCAAAGTATATTGGAGGCTACCAAGGGGGAGAGGTAAGAGGAGAACCAAGGTTGTTGACAGGAGGGGGGGTTCAAACACTCAACCCGCTTCATCTGCTTCATGTATTAAGCTTCAGTGTACAATTGCATTTGAAAAGAGGATTTTTTTTCCAAATTTTGAAAACAAGTCATAGCTGTTCATTGATAAGGGCCTCTTTAAAGTTGGCAGTGTTCTCCTTTTGAGCCACAGTTCAGGACAGCCTCTCGCCCTTGTGACCACCTGTCCTTCCTGACACGCTGACCTTTAGTCCCTGAGCTGCCTCATACCTGGCCCATGATGCTAACTATCCACAATGACCCTGACTCCATTCACATTGTGGGATTGCCTGGCTCTGCCATTTGCCCCAATTACCAAATTCCTTTACTACTGAAAGAATGCTGGTCACACCAGAAATATGCTTTGTACAAATCATAGTACCTCAAGACAGTGAGTCTCAAATATGGCTGTGGCTTTCAAATATTTTTCTGCACGAGAATCATCTGGAGAGCTTGTTAAAGCACAGATTGCTCAGCCCCAAACCCAGAGTTTCTGATTCCATGGGTCTGAGGTGGGACGTGAGAACTTGCATTTCTCGAAAGATTCCAGGTGGGACTGATGCTGCTGGTCTGGTGACCACACCTAGAACAACTGCCTTAAGATTAAATAATGTTGGATACAGCTTGGGTCCAATTCTCCTGTTAGGTGTTTTCTCACTGAGTAGTTCCTCCTTTGGTGTTAAAATATATGAGGAGAAGAAGTGCTGGAATGAAGAAATCAGTGTCAGTTGGGATTATGGCTCAGTCCTGCTCTGCACTAATTAGGTTTTGCTGGACTCTCCTGCCCAGCTAACAGCCATTTATGATATTGTTTCTGCAGGACAGTGCATTGCATAGTATGGTCCCCGTGCTGCTCATCGTATAGGCCCTGCCAGAATGGTTGGCAATGACAAGGATCTGACAGTAGCTTCTTATTGCCAGGGCTTGATTAGAATGTGACAAGTCATTGCTGAACATTGGTTACCATAAAGGCAAATATTTTGTCTTCCCTGAAACAAATAGTAAGAGGAGAAAGTGTCCTGTTGTAGAAACTCCCATCTTTGTAGAGATTTCCATCCTTTCAGTCTTAGACGCTTGCAGAAAGCTGGCATGGTGGCAAGGCAGAGGTGTCCTGTCAGTGGCCAAGCAAACAGCAAACACATGCTCATGGTCACTGCTGTCTAGGTCAGAGGCCTTCAAAGCTTTGATCAAATACAACACCAGTCACTGTTGGGAAATCCTCCTGGACATGTCCCCTCATTTGTTGAAATGTTTTGACCAGGCAAATGACTATAATTATTGTTATATTAAAAAAATAGCCTTTGAGTTTTTTAACCTCTGTAATGGTTCAGCTCTGTGGTGGAAAATATTTAACTTCAATTTTCAGAAGTACACCTGAGTGACTTTATTAACTACCCTTGAACAAATGCAAGGGGTGAGTTAATAAGGTGGTTACATTTGTGCAGGTGGTGGAGTGAGCATCTGTGAGACGGTGGAAAGAAAATGTTTGTGTTATGTTGGGTGGGTAAGGACAGGTAAAACCACCTTCTCCTTTTCTGTGTGTGAGGCTGGCTGGCTGCTTTAGGATAAATACTTCCAGGTGAGTGTGAGCACAGATGCTGCTAGGCATTGTCTGGGAGTACCCTGGAAGGTCAGGCCCAGCGTCTCTTCTCCACAGTGCTCTTGTGGGTGGATTTTCCAGCTCTCTTTATCCTGCTGCTGAAGGAAGTAGCAGACAATCAAAAACATAAAAAGAGGTCCTGGGCATGATGCCCTGAAAAAACATTTCTAGCACTGGGCTGAGCACTTTGGTTTTTTTGTTTTGTTTTGTTTTCTTTTTTTTTTAAAAAAAGGGGTCTCACCCTGTCGCCCAGGCTGGAGTGCAGTGGTGTGATCTTGGCTCACTGCAACCTCTGGCTCCCTGGTTCAAACGATTCTCATGCCTCAGTCTCCCAAGTAGCTGGGACTACAGGTTCATGCCACTATGCCTGGCTAATTTTTGTATTTTTAGTACATGTGGGGTTTCACTGTGTTGGCCAGGCTGATCTTGAACTCCTGACCTCAGGTGATCTGCCTGCCTCAGCCTCCCAAAATGCTGGGATTACAGGCGTAAGCGACCGTGCCTGGCCTAGGCTGACCACTTTGGAAACATCGCATTCGATTTGGTCCTTCCCTTACAATACGTAGAATAATAAAAGCTAGCAATGTTGGCAGGCTTCCTGAGTTCCAGACTTTGTACTGGTTGCCTGACGTTGAGGTGGGTTCTGTTAAAATGGGGTCGTATCATAGAAACATCGAATGTGCTTGAATGACGACATGTGCTTGGCAGAGGCAAAGAGATTGTGTTTAAACAAAACGACCTGCTCAAATGTAGAAAGACATTTTGAGAGCCAGTATGTTGGTCCTACTGAGTAGATTTGCAAGAGTAATTTTGACTGTAAGTGATTTTCATCTTAGGAACTAACTTCACTCCCTGCTTTGCTCCCCCTCCAAATGAGGCTTCTTTCAACCATCCCCAATTTATAGATGTTGCAGTTGAGGCTTAAGAGGGTTAAATAACTTGCTAAAGGTCATGCAGCCAGTTAGTGATGGAAGTCAGATTTAAACCTGTAAACCTATGCATTCCAACTCTGAAGGTTACGCTTGTCACCAGTGCTGGGGCATGCTGTGGTGTATGCAGAGCTGTGCAACCAGGTGACGGCAGAACTTGAAGCGCTGTCCACATGAGGAGTAACTGCAGGAATGGGTATATTGAGTCAGAAGAAAAGAAGTCACAGGCAGGGTGGTAGAGCTTCCTTCCAACCTTGTGGAAAGGGGAGGCAATGAGTGTAGCTCTGGGCATCCATTTTAACTTGGTAAGAGGCATGAAAGTTGTAAGAATCAGAATGTCACTTGTGTCAAAACCCTGACAAATAGAGCTGGGAGAGGCCACGAAAAGAAGGTTCTCACACATATATGCCTGATAACAAGAACTGTCACAAAAACCTCTGCAAAAACCACAACCTTGCACAAAGCCTGTGGCAGTCTTACACACAAAAACATATTTCTGCAAGGACATCTGCCCAGCAACTGCCTGTCCAACGTTGGGTTGATGCCACCATTGTTACTGATACCTGTACCCAAGGATAATTGTCTCAAAACAACTTATATAGCCATCCTTATTTTTCCTTGAAAAGCCCTTGTTTTCCTTTATCTCCCTGAATACACTCACATGGATTCCCATTGCAATGCCCATTCCTTAATAAATATCATTTTTTTTTTTTTAAAGAGAGTCTGCCTCGCTGATTGTTACTTAGGTTTGATAAGGTAAAGTCTTTTAAAGATGGAGCTGTTCCAACTTCACTGGGCTGTTTGCAGGTAGAGATCCTTGTTGGAGCTACTTAACTTGTGCAGAGAGATTGTAGATGAGTTTTAATCCTAGGGTAAGGTCCTGCCCATCCTGACAGTCAGTGACTTAAGCTTTGGCCACACTTTGGCCAGTTTGTATTTGTCCTCACAGAGTTCTGTGGGCTTTATGATAAGCTGTTTGATGGAATCCCCTTATATGGGCATGGCGATTTTTTTTTAAACAGCTTTATTGAGATATAATCCACATACCATACAATTCCCTTAACGTATATAAGTCAATTTTTTTGTATATTATTTTAAAAATTATGGTAAAATTGGTCGGGTGCGGTGGCTCACACCTATAATCTCAGCACTTTGGGAGGCTCAGGTGGGCAGATCTCTTGAGGTCAGGAGATGGTGAAATCCTGTCTCTACTAAAAATACAAAAAATTAGCCAGGCTTGTTGGTGCGTGACTGTAATCCCAGCTACTCAGGAGGCTGAGGCAGGAGAATCACTTGAATCTGGGAGGTGGAGGTTGCAGTGAGCCAAGATTGTGCCACTGCACTTCAGCCTGGGTGACAGAGTGAGCCTCAGTCTCAAAAAAAAAGGAATATATATATATATATATATATATATATAAACATAAAATTTGTAAAATAGTATTTATTGTGGCTAGTATTATCAAAGATGAGTATTTTTCTGCACCTGGTAACTTGGCCAGGAAATCATTGGAAAGCTGGCTTTGCATTTGTATTTGATAGTATTTAGTGCTTGAAAATGCATGGATATGGAGGCCTATGCTGGGTCTTCTCCCTGCATCACAGGATTCATGAAGTTATTAATCATATCTGTGCTGATTTTTATTTTGACGACTTGTTCATACAGCCACAGCTGTGAGAGTTAATGCAGCAGGCTCAGCATGGTGGAATTAGCAGAAGCCCTGGAATGAAGTGAAGTGACTCTTTGGGAAGATTCAGTTATTCCTGCAAGATGACAAAATACCTAAAACCAACACAACCATTTATTTGCTTATGGTTTTGCAATTTAAATTGGACAGGGCTCAGTAGGGACAACTTGTCTCTGCTCCATGTATCAGCGTGGACGGCTTGACTGAGAGCAGAGGATTTACCTCCAAGGTGGCACACTCATATCACTGGCAAGGTGGCACTGGCTGCTAGTTGGGAGCTTAGCTGGGGTTGTTGGCTGGGGACCTCAGTTTTCTTCCAGGTGCACCTTTCCACATGGTTGCTTGGGCTTCTCCATTACATGATGGCTAGGTCCCAAGAAGGAAGAAGTGTTGCTGCCTGACCTTCCTGATGCCTGGGCTCTCAGGTCTTAGTATGGCACTTCTGCATGTCACTTTCAGAACAGTGACAAGTCCAGCTCAGATTCAAGAGAGAGGGAACATAAGCTCTACCTTTTTTTTTTTTTTTTTTTTGAGACAGTGTGTTTCTGGCTGGAGTGCTGTGGCACAATCTTGGCTCACTGCAACCTCCGCTTCCCAGGCTCAAGCAATTCTCGTCCCTCAGCCTCCCAGGTAGCTGGGCTTACAGGCGCCCGCCAACATGCCTGGCTAATTTTTGTATTTTTAGTAGAGATGGAGTTTCACCATGTTGGGTAGGCTGCTCTCGAACTCCCGACCTCAGGTGATCTGCCTGCCTTGACCTCCCAGACTGTTAGGATTACAGGCGTGAGCCACTGTGCCCGGCCGGCTCTGCCTTTTGATGGGAGTAGCAGCATAAAGTGGTAGGGAGGGGTAGAATCATTTGAGGTCATCTTTAGAGACTAGCTACCACGAAGAACCACAATGGTCTTTTTTCTCTTTCTTCCTCATTCTCACTCCACAGAAGCCTGTCCCTAATCATTGTGTGAGCCAGTGATGACAAATACTGGCAAGAAATCTAAGAAAAAATTTAAAAATCAGTACTAGGAATACATAGTATTTAAGAGATCGTGGCTTGGTCTCAAACTCCCTACCTCAAGTGACCTGCTCATCTTAGCCTCCCAGAGTGCTGAGATTACAGGCGTGAGCCACTGCACCTGGCCTGCTCTTAATGATTATTTAAATTTATATTTGTTTAGTGATTACACATTATTTGCTTACTTCTGACATACTCTGAGTCTCACTCAGATCAGAGATTATAGGAGGGGGAATATATTTACTAGAATAATTTCTCCATTCAGAATGTCAGAAATAAGAAAGCCTTTTTTTTTTTTTTTTTTTTGAGACAGAGTCTTGCTCTATCACCCAGGCTGGAGTGCAGTGGCGCAATCTTGGCTCACTGCACCCTCCGCCTCCCGGTTCAAGTGATTCTCCTGCTTCAGCCTCCCAAGTAGCTGGGAGTACAGGCACCTAGCCACCACACCCGGCTAATTTTTGTATTTTATTAGAGACGGGATTTCACCATGTTGGCCAGGCTGGTCTCAAACTCCTGACTTCAAGTGATCTGCCCATCTTGATCTCCCAAAGTGCTGGGATTACAGGTGTGAACCACCATGCCTGACCCGAGAAAACCTACTGAACATTTTTAAATTTTATATGTTACTGCTTGGAAAACAGAGCTTTGCTTGTTCCTTTCAGCTATTCCCTGATGAGCCCTTAAAGTCCACAATTCTGTTTCAGCTTAATTTCTGAAAATAGTTATACCACATTTTCACAGTAAGAGAGCTAGTAGCCAGATGCATCGTGTGTTTTGTTTGCAAATGCATCATCTGCTGTCTAGCTTCCTTCCATGGAGAGGAATGGCCTTATATTTCACAGTGAGGCTTCAACTGCTGCTCCCTTTTGGCATGTCAAAGTCTAATTACTGTGGTCTCTGTAGCAGGGGCTGTATCCACAGCCTGCGAATGTTTGTGTTCTACGATGATACTTGGGCATCAGTGACATTTGAAAGGGGTGGTTTTTTGAGACGGAGTCTCACTCTGTCGCCCAGGCTGGAGGGCAGTGGCACGATCTTGGCTTACTGCAACCTCTGCCTTCTGGGTTCAAGTGATTCTCTTGCCTCAGCCTCCCAAGTAGGTCTCGAACTCGTGACCTCAAGTGATCCGCCCGCCTCGGCTTCTCAAAGTGCTGGGATTACAGGCGTGAGCCATCATGCCCGGCCTTGAAAGGGTTTTTATTTTAGCATCAAAAATCTATGGCATGGCTTGGATTGCATTTCTTCTAGGCTGTTCCATCCTTAGTCACATAATGCTACTAATTCACCTGAAGGAATGCTGTCAAAATAAATCAAATGGTAATTTTAAAAGACTCTGTCTCATTCATTGTAGCTTTTACTCAGTTAAGAACAGTTTGGAAATATGAGCCTTGAGCATGAGAACACTCACGTAGCATTTTATTTTAGCTTAATGCTGCTGGCTGTCATTTTGCCGCTATCACTGTTTTACGCTGAATGGTTAAATGTGAGAAAGAAAGAACAAAATGGTAGCATATTGTGCTTGACTCATTGAGAAAGGCTGTTTTAGGTTAATGTAGAATTCCAATAGTAGAAAGAAAATTCTATCCCATATACAAATGTGACTTGCCTCTCAAGAGCTTCTTTGAAGGTTATTTTGGAGCGTGTGGGGGATGAATTTGGTGCATAGGATAATAATAATTGACATCTGTCTGGTGCTACTCTGAACCAGGAACTGTCCCTAAGTGCTTTGCATGTATTAATTAATCTACATATAAGCGCTCTTTGTATTATTTCCATTTACAGATAGAAAAATTGAGATGTAAAAAGATAATAGAAACAAGGCCACACAGCTAGTCAGTGTTGAGCTGGGGCTTGGTTTTGACTGTCTGGCTTCAGTGGACTCTGGCTTTAGCCACTATATGACACTCGCTAATCAAAGTAAGTTATGTTTTCTTAGTCTTTTTTTTCCCTTTATTTGAAACCAAGTTTCAGATGTTGATTTGCAAGTTGGCAGTCATTTCTGTTTTATAAAGCTTATTTTTTATTGCCCCAGTTTTCAAAAAAGCTTTTCTTGTTTAACATTTTTGCCTGATGAAAATAAAAGTCAACTTTTCAAACAGATTATACATGTTGATAATAGTGCTAGTCATATGAACCACTAATAGTATGTTAAGAATAAGTTTCAAAGTAAAAATAATGTAAGTTCCAACATAGTACATTTATCATATAGTCGAGTGAATAGTACTCTGTCTCACATATTGTTTAGATTGTAGAAATTACAGCCCTTAAAAATTTAAGTATGTTTAAAGTAGCCCTTAAGTGAATTAACATTTCTTTTTTAAAAAAATATTATTGATTTTTGCCAAACAATAAAAGTAATAACAGACTTTTAGAAAATCTGGAAAGTATAATATGGTATAAACAAAAAATTAACACTGTGTGTAATTTCACCACTTATAGGTAGATGATTCATTCATGTTAGCATTTAAGTCTATTTGCCTTCCAGCCCTCATTCATGCATTTACTCCTTCCACGATTACTAACTGATTATCTTCTAGGCGCAGGGCAAAAGCAGCAACTAAAATAGTCTTTCTCCCTGTGGAGCTTATACTTTACTGGAAGAAGTGGACAATGACCAGATAAATATGCAATATGATGTCAGGTAGGGAAAAGTGCTTTAAAGAAAAACAAGGCAGGGTAGGAGGATAGAGGCACAAGGGCTGCTGTTTTGGGAAGGGCAGCCCCAGAGAAGGCTGAGTGGTTTTAGGAAGGGAGCCTGTGACTGTCTGGTGAAGGACATGACAGGTGGGGACACAGCCAGTGCAAGGCCCTGTGATGGAAGCAGGCTTGGTGTGTCTGGGGACCAGCAAGCAAGCCAGGGTGACCGGAGTGTGGCACTCAAGGGAGTGCAAGGAAATGACATGGGAGAGATGGCAGAGGTTTGCAGGCTGTAAAAATAAGGGCTTTGCATTTCACTGAGTGAGGTGGAAGCCTTTGGAGGGTTTGAGGCAGAGGAGTAATGTCATCTGGGTTTGGTTCTAACAGATTCCTTCTGGTTGCTCTGGTGAGAATAGACTGCAGGGGATAAGGTGGCTGGGAGAAGGGTTTGCGGGGAGGTGGTGAGAAAAATGGTCAGATTCAGGATGTCTTTAAAGTAGAGCTAACAGGATTTGGAGCTGGATTGGATGTGTGTTATGATGAAAACAGAAGAGTCACATATAGTGATAACTTGGTGTTGTGGTCTGAAATATTGCCCTTCCCTGATTCACGTGAAGTCCTAACCCCCAGTACCTCAGAATGTGAGCTTCTTTGGACATAGGGTCCTTGCAGATGTAATTATTTAAGATGAGGCCATTCCAGAGAGTGTGTATGTGTGACGTAATCCAGTGGACTGATGTCTTTATGAAAAGGGGATATTTCAGCATAAGCATATAATAAGAGGGAAGATGTGAAGATATAGCAATAAGGACATCTGTTAAGCCAAAGAACGCTTGAGGCTACCAGAATCTAGGAGAGAAGGATGAATAGATTATCTTTCAGTCCTCAGGAGGAACCAGTCTTACTGACATCTTGATTTCAGATTTCCAGCCTCCAGAACTGAGTGGTAGTAAA
This sequence comes from Homo sapiens, assembly GCF_000001405.40. Classification (NCBI taxonomy): domain Eukaryota; kingdom Metazoa; phylum Chordata; class Mammalia; order Primates; family Hominidae; genus Homo; species Homo sapiens. Next base: position 33,009,687 of record NC_000002.12, read on the forward strand.
TTTCTCATTTTGTGATACTTCGTTATGGCAGTCCTAGTAAACTAATACACTTGGTGAGCAACCTTGTGAATGGCCGTCCCTTTTAAGGCAGTGAATGCCAGGAAGGAGCAGGTCTTAGAGTTTGGGGTGGATGGAGGGGACAGAAGACATGCTAAGTTTGAGAAGCCTGTTAGATACCCACATGGAGGCATCGATGAGACCGTTGGATGTGGAAATCTGGAGTTCCAATAAGAGGACAAGGCCAGACATCTAAGTTCGGGCACTGAATTAGATCTTCAGGAGAAGGGTCCAAGGATCAAGGAGGCCCTGGGAAATTTTGACATTTGGAGGGTGGGGAGAGAAGGAGGAGACAGGAGACAGAGCAGAGGATGGCAGTGAAGTGGGAGAAGGCTGGCAGGGCGTGGTGGCTCAGCAGCCATGGGGGGACATGGGGAGGAGGAGGGACCAGGCCTCTGTGGCCAGCATGGCTGATGGTCAGGAATGGAGAGGACCAAGAACTCCCACTGGATTTAGCAGCCTGGAGGCCACTGATGACTTGGACAAGAACAGATTCCGTGGAAAAGCGGAAAAGTGGATGCACAAGGCTGATTGAAGGGAGTTCAAGAGGAAGTGGCATTACATCATAAGCATTATCCAGTGTCATTAAAAATCTTTTTCAATCAGAGGCTGGCTAGGAAGAGTGCATGGGTGTGTGGGGGGGATGAAGAGAAATTGGTTAATGAGCACAAACATACAGTTAGATAGAAGAAAGAAATTCTGAGTTTGATAGCAGAGTAGGTGGCTAAAGTTAACAACAATGTGTTGTATATTTCAAAATAGCTAGGAGAGAGGACTTGAAATGTTCCCAACACATAGAAATGATAAATATTCGGGGTGATGGATGCCCTAAATATGCTGACTTGATCATCACACATTCTCTGCAGGTAACAAGATATCACATGGACCCCATAAACATGTACAAATATTATGTATCAATTAAAAAAAGTTTTTGAACATTGTTTTTGATGACTGTATCACATTCTAGGATTTTAATCCTTTTTTTTTTTTTTTTTGAGATGGAGTCTTGCTCTGTCACCAAGCTGGAGTGCAGTGGCTTGATCTTGTCTCACTGCAACCTCTGCCTCCTGGGTTCAAGTGATTCTTCTGCCTCAGCCTCCCGAGTAGCTGGGACTACAAGTGCGTGCCACCACACCCAGCTAATTTTTGTATTTTTAGTAGAGACGGGGTTTCACCATGTTGGCCAGGATGGTCTCGATCTCTTGACCCCGTGATCTGCCTGCCTCGACCTCCCAAGGTGCTGGAATTACAGGGGTGAGCCACCAGGCCCGGCCTAATCCATTCTTTACTTGTTTTATGGGTAGGATGGTTCTAACTTTTACCACTATATTGGTTGTGATACTGCAGTGGACATATTTGCATACAAAATTCCCTAGATTAGGAATGACAAGACACAACAGGATGATTATTTTTAGGGCTTAATCCTAAAATATGGCCAGTCATTTACAGAAAGTCTGTACCAGTGTACACTCCTCTTGGCATGTAGGAGTGGGCTTGTCTCACTGCACAGCTCCCCTCCATGTATTTTTGAATTGACTAGAACATCCAGAAAAGCATTGTTACAGAGGTGATGGTAGGGCTTATGGGCTGAATTTTGTTTCCCCAAAATTCTTCTATAGAAGTCCTAATCCCCAGTATCTCAGAATGTGAGTGTATTTGGAATTAGAATCTTTAAAGAGGTAATTAAGTTAAAGTGAGGTCATTAGTGTGGGCCTTAATCCAGTGTGACTGATGTTCTTATAAGAAGAGGCAATTTGGACACAGAGACAGACACAGAGGGAAGACCGAGTGAAGTCACAGGGAGAAGACGGCCATCTACAAGCCAGAATGAGGCCAACTCTGCTGATGCATTGACCTTGGACTTTTAGCTCCCAGAATTGTGAAAGAATAAATCTCTGTTATTTAAGCCCCTGACTCTGTGGTACTTTGTTATGGCAGCCTGGCAAGCTAGTACAGTGGGCATTAGTGTTTTGTTCCTGATTTACAGGATGATGTCTCTGGTGATTATACTAAATCATACTGGACCTGCATACTAGACACATATATTTAAGAATATATTATAATTTATCCTCCCAAACCTGATCGCTTATGAAACATAAATCCTGAATCAGTGGGGTCTATTCCCATTTTGCTGCTCTGTGGCAGATTTTAACACTGACATTTGGCCTGGTCCGTGTGTTATTTATTTCTCTCCGATTTCAGGTCTCCTGGTTAAATTCATGGTCTCAGGGAGGTCTTTCCTAACTCCCTGACCCCCACTGTGATCACCCCCCATCAGACACTCCTCTTCTCTTTCCGAAAGACTGGTAATAGTTATAATTACTTTCCCTGTGGGGTCTCCCTGGCTGGGTTGTGAATGCCAAGGGGCAGAGATGATGTAAAAACATCATCTCTGTTTCCAGTTCTAGCCACAGGGCGTATGACAGTGCCTGGTGCAAAATTGAGCATAGAATTGTCACTCAGTATTTTGTTGAATGAATAAGGCATGAGTCAAACTTGGCCACTTGCCCAAGGGCACAGAGCTGGGATGGGGTGGGGGGGGCTTCACACTCAAATCTCTGTGACCCCAGAGCATAGCTCCCTCTTGTACGTGTCTGCTCATCAGTAGATGAGCTTGGGCAAGGAGGTGTGTAGTCACATTTTTTGATTTTCTCTCAGGCTCGGTAGTAGCTCCTCAAGGAAACAAACCATTTCTAAGAATTCTTTGTATCCTTTATGGTCCCTTGAATATAATAACTCACAAATATTTGCCAATTGTCCAATTAAGGCCGCCATGTTCCTCTTTCTACACCTTTGTTATTATGACACGTAGCTGTATGGTGATTCTTTTTCTGTACTTGTGTCTTTCCTATTGGACTCTGATCTACTTGAGAGCAAGAAATTTGTCTCCATCTTTTGTCTGCAGTTCTTGGCACAATGCAGGCATTTAAGAGGGGGCTCAATTGGATGAATAAAGATAACATGGATGGGATTAAAACAAATTTAAAGATTATTTAGAAAGGTATTGTCTTCCTTTGAATGAACTCTAAAGATAACAGTTATAACAATATATGTGCATAATAGTTTACAGTCTGTAAAACCCAAGATTTTTCAAAATATGTACTCATCATACATATATACTAGCATGAATGCACAAAGTAAAATTATACTATTAGAGAAGGTGCTTAAGGAGTGAATGGCAGTGAATAATGAAATAACGTGTTTTAATTCACTTTATCAATGCTTTAAAAGCTGGTAGTATCACTTTATAGTTCTAATTTTGAATGGCTGTTAATACCATATTCTACTCAACCTTTATGGTTCTTTTAAATTTTTTCTTGGCACAAATAGCGCTGCTGTGGACACCTACATATATGTATGCCCAGTTATTTCCTTTTTTTGATTATTAGAATAAATTTCTAAAAATGAGGCTACTGAAATATTTGAAACATATTGTTAAACTGCTTTCTAAAAAGGCTTGTACCATATTCCTTACCTCCTTTGCAGCACTTAGTACTAATATTTATATTTTCTAAAAAATTAGCCGTGATGTATCTCCTTGTTTTAGTGTTCATCTCTTTTGATGACTTTGTTAATTTGGACATTACCCTATAAGTTTCTTTACTAATTTCATTTCCCTCTGTCTAAATTATCTATTTCTGTTCTTTTTTTCATTTTTTGATTTTGGTCTTCCTTTGTTAAAGGCAACTTTTATTAATTTTTTTTATATAATAGCATTTTCAGAAAAATTTTTTTTCTGGGTTATTTTTTTCCCTTTTGCTATTTTAATTAATGTTAAATGCTTATATACACTAAACTGTAGATAGATATTTTAACTTTTTCTTTTTTTTCATTGAATGCCTGTGATTAAAAAAAGTTATACATGGCAGTGATAAGATCAGAAACAATCCAGGAAAACTGCTGGTTGTTTTGTATTACAGGACTTGTGATTTAATTACGTTATATTCTGTGAGTGCTTTTACAACTATTGACGGTATTGGGAAGAGTGTGTTTGGGCCCAGCTGACCACCTATTTTAAATTACATCACATGGTTAACAACCACTCCTGCTGAGCTTAGGTTTAGAAAACTTCAAGCTTCCAGAACACAGCTCTTGGGGAGCTGGGAATTCTGGGGCTGTGTACTTGACATAAAGGCATTAAACTCCTGAATGAAACATGAGATTCTGTACCCAGCCTTTGTGACTTGTAGTCCCTTTAATTTTTGCTATGCTCAACTATCTGGTTGGTGAAGTTGTTACTCGTAAGATTAGAAAGGCAAATAGGGTAGGAAAATAGGGTGGAAAGAATGCTTGTGTGACTTGACGATCTGACTCAGAGGGAAGAGAGAGAACAATGAAAGCAAACACCCATCCCTCACAGGTTTCAAATAGATTTTCATAAGGATGAAAGACCTGTAAAGATTTATTAAATATATTGGTGATTGATGGGCATGGTCCACGTATTTAGAAAATTTCATTATGTGGAATTCTTCATTATTCCAGGAGACTGGATAGAAAAGGCATTGGGATGTTATGCTAATTTTTTTTTCTCTTTAGGGATTTTGGAGGAGGCTAACCCAGAGACATTTACAACGAAACAACAGCATTTATTTGGATTTGGTACAAGGAGCAAGCAGACAGAGTAGACTAAAATGTGTGACCTCATGCTATATTTCTTGTGATCTGATATCACTTAGTGTTATTGAATGACTTCAAAGGGCAGCTGGGAATTACTGTGAAGACACACACAGCAAAGCAATTTCTCACCTGCTGTCTCTGATCACAGAAGACACAGTTAGACTCACATTTCTCCCCAGGACACATGCGGTAGACATGCTGCAACTTGTTTGGAGAGAAAGGCAAGGGGCAGAGAGTCACACTGTTTGCACTGTGTGGACTGAGACAAGTTTTAAATATAACTAAGGGTTACTTTTTTAGAATTAAAAACAGTAGAAGCTGAGCTTCAGGGCATGGGTTACTTCCTAAAAATACAATCACTGAACTTTTAAAGAACTCTAGGATCAGCTTGTCAAACTGGAGTAGATACGAATGTGAAAGACATCTGAGACTCTTTAGTACTTGGCGCACAGATTGAGAATTAACTCAATTTTGACTGTTTCAAATGATGAAAGTATTTTCAGAAGACCAACCTGGTAGCCAGGATGGTGTAGGGTTTTGTTGCTTAACCTGCTCACCTAGATCTTGATGTCAGTGGGCTTTCTGCAAGCCCACTATCTGAGTTTATCGCTGTCTTGGTGGCAGTTTTGGCCACTTTTTTTTTTTTTTAAGAGATGGGGTCTTGCTATGTTGCACAGGCTGGACTCAATCTCCTAAGTGCCTACAATAACCTCCTAAATGTTATGCCCCTTGTGATGTTCTCTTCTCTTTGACCTTGACCAGTTTGCTTCACTGTCGCTACTCTTCAGAGTTCCTCTACAACACATTGGATCTGGTTTCTGAACCTGTTTCTATCTGTAACTATAACATAAGGTTAAATGTCACTGCAGACTTTGTGTCTTTGCAGAGTTTACTTGAATTTAATTTTGATGGAAAAACATCTGCTTTGAAGGATTGGAGACTGCTTGATTGAATAAATCGCAAATCAAGTCTGCAAGTGTAGATGTTACCATGTAATGAATTAAGAGACCATTGGCCATCTTTCCTTTATAGACGTCCTTAAATCCCCCAGCATCATTTGGAAAGTAGTGGCTCTATGTTTATATCAGTCAGTCAACCAAGTTTAGGCTCCTATCCCAGGCTACAGAAAGTTCTGCATAAGTCACTTAACTGACCTCACAGCTTATAACCTAGTTGGCAAATAGGAGAGAACTGTAAGAAGTTGACTAGCATGTGGAATGTGAATGATGACAGTGGACAAGAGCCAGATGGTACAAAGGTCGTGATAGGGCTGGGTGGGTGGGTCTGTTAGTCACTTCTCACACTGCTATAAAGAAATGCCTGAGACTGGGCGATTTATAAAGAAAAGAGGTTTAACTGGCTCATGGTTCTGCAGGCTGTACAGGAAGCATAGCAGCTTGTGCTTCTGGGGAGGCCTCGGGAAACTTCCAATCATGGCATGAGGCAAATGGGGAGCAAGGCACAAAACATGACCAGAGGAGGAGGAAGAGAGAGAGTGGGGAGGTGCCACACACTTTTGAACAACCAGATCTCAGAATCACCCACTCACTCACTATTGCAAGAACGGCATGGATGGGATGGTGCTAACCCATTAATGAGAACTCTGCCCCATAGTCCAGTCACCTCCCACCAGGCCCCACCTCCAACTCTGGGGATTATAATTCAACAGGAGATTTGGTAGGACTCATACCAAACCCTGTCAGTGGACATTTGGGAGAGACTTCATACAGAAGGGTGGGAGAAGGGTGGGCTTGAAGGCATTGGAGGTTTTAATTGTTCTCATTGGATTGAGGGGCCTGTGCTCCTGCATAGGGCTCCCTCTGTGCAGAGACAAGGAGGTGGGAATCCCAGAGGTTGGGTGAGCTTCTGCAGGGGTAGACCAGTGAGAAGTGAGGGTGGAAAAGGGGGTTTGGGTTAGATGTAGATGGCCTTAACATTTACCCTTGGTCAGCTAAAATGTGTGGAAAGTTTTTGAATGAAAGGGAAAAAAATGATTCAAAGAGTAGCGTTTTAGAAGACTAGTCTGTCCGCAAGCCTGGATTAGGTTTTTGTTCCTAACCCACTACTTTTCAGACTTGGCTGTATATTTCAGTCACCTGGGGAGTTAAAAAAGTACTGAAGCCTGGAGCCCTCCCCCGCTAGAGATTCTGATTTAATCTGTTTGGAGTTAGGCCTGGGTTTGGGGAGTTTTAAAAGTTCCCCAGGTGATTCTAATGTACAGCCAAGCCTGAGAACCACCGCCCAATCCACTGATAAGATCTTGATATAGCCTCCACTCAGCCTCCACTCATCGAGCTGAACCACAGCACAGTGCTGGCCAGGAAAAAGCAATCAACTGATGGGAAAAAAAATAAAATTAAATTAAAAAGTACTTCTGGCTGGCTGGGGGCAGTGGCTCATGCCTGCAATCCTAGCACTTTGGGAGGCTGAAGTGGGTGGATCACCTGAGGTCAGGAGTTCAAGGCCAGCCTGGCCAACATGGCGAAACCCTATCTCTACTAAAAATACAAAAATTAGCTGGGCATGCATGCCTGTAATCCCAGCTACTTGGGAGGCTGAGGCAGGAGAATTGCTTGAATCTGAGGGACAGAAGTTGCAGTGAGTCAAGATCGTGCCACTGCACTCCAGCCTGGGTGACAGAGTAAGACTATGTCTCAAAAAATAAATAAATAAAAATAAAAGGTACTTCTGTGACAATATTTATAATATTCCACATAGTCCAACACCTTAGTTATAATAAGTTTTCACGTAAATGCTATGAATTTTTGCATTGGCCATGAAGTAGATGGGGACAAATGTGTAGACTTTTGGCAATGTATAGATATGGAAAATGACATCTAAAATTGCAATAAAAATGGCAAGATAAAACACTTTTATCATAGCCAAGAATTCAGTAGCCTAAAAGCAATTACAGCATGAAAGCTTGCAAGTATAAAAATATAAGTCCTCAGAAACTTGCTGCTGGAAGACCTGTTTCCAGATGTTGTGTGTCAGTGATTCTCAAACCTGAGTGTGCATCGACGTCGCTTGGAGGGCAGTCACTGATTGCTGGGCTCCAGTTTCAGATTTAGCAGGCTTGGGGTAGCCCAAGGATATGTAGTTTCAAAGTTTTCCCGGATGATACTGCCGGCCTGGGCACCATACTGTGAGAACCACTGATGCTTGCTGCCATGTAAGAACTGCTACTGCATGGGCCCAAATATTGTAGGAAAAGGGGCTTGATAAATGTGATAGAAGGACATGAGTTGTTTTGTTTTGTTTTGTTTTGTTTTTTGAGATGGAGTCTTGCTCTGTCGCCCAGGCTGGAGTGCAGTGGCGCTATCTCGGCTCACTGCAAGCTCCGCCTCCTGGGTTCACGCCATTCTTCTGCCTCAGCCTCCCGAGTAGCTGGGACTAAAGGCACCCACCAGTACGCCTGGCTAATTTTTTGTATTTTTAGTAGAGACGGGGTTTCACCGTGTTAACCAGGATGGTCTCAATCTCCTGACCTTGTGATCCGCCCACCTCGGCCTCCCAAAGTACAAGTTTTGCTTTTTATGTCAGATGACGGGCTTCTCTTGGGAGTTAGGGAATCTGTCCTCCTCCAGTTCAATCCAGCCCCTCCTCATCTCCGTGCTCTAGGGGGCACCTGTCTGAGTCTAGGTAGGGTAGGTAGAAGAGAAAATTGTCTTTTCATTCTCCTAATTGTCCTTTTAAAATGTACTACAAAGGGAGGTATTATATACATAGCTGTAATATTATATAACACGTTCTTTACTTTTCTTCCAGTAGAAAATATTTGTAAGTTCAAAGTTTTTTTTTTTTAACTTTTATGACTGTCTCCCCACCCCCCTTACCCTACCACATGAAAAATTTGAAGAGTTAAAAAAAAATGCTAACCATCCATGTCTTCCTTAAAACAGGTTCTTGCGGCTCATTCTTGGTGGTACATTGGAGGATGTCAGTCCTTGGCCTCCCCCTAGGTGCCAGCTTTTGCACCAAACAGCCTTCCTGGTAGAAAACACATTTGCAGTGTACCTTGGGCGGGAGGAGAAGCGGAAATCATTCTCAGATGTTAAAAAGAAACATGTTTCTAATTGAAAGCATGATGAGAAGGCACACATGAAAGGGCCTGGGTGGTGAGCTCAGGCCAAGGCACAGCTTTGAAAGCCCAGCTCAGTCCTTGCTGTGGCCACTTCTGTTCTCTTGGGTGGATCCCATTCCCATTCCTGTGACATTCCAGAAATAACCATGGCTGAGCAGGGACCCAGGACAGCATCTCAGATATAGCAACAAAGTTTGCTCAGTTGGTCAGGAAACTCTGATAGTTAGAATTCTGAATTCTAGAAACACAGAGCTTTTGAACTAGAATTCTAGAAGCAGAGTGTGGGAACAGCCTTTATTCTCATATTGTGGAGACCATTTTAGAACAAATCGCTGCTGCCCTCCTCATAACCCCCAAACACACACAAGTGCAGAGGCCAGGGTTAAGTGGCTTACTCCAAGGTCACCTAGGGAGCTGGCTCCATTTTTTTTTTTCTTTTAGAGAATCCTTCCCAACTTTCTGAAAATTTGTCAGCTTGGTATTCTGACACCCAAGGGCCATTTTAGAAAAATCATTACTTGCTGTAACGAATAGGCATCATATTGTAGGAAGATGGGAAAATTATTTTGTCTCTTTTATAGAAAATCAATAGGTTTTGAGGCTTTTAGGTCTTGGTCTTTTGGATCTTCATAACTGAGTCTCCTGTTGTTCGTTTTGCTTGTCTATTTTGTAATTGCTTTGTGGACTGAAGCTTGTTTTGAACTTTATGGGAGACTTGATAGTGTGATCTGCCTCAGGACCAACAGTTTATGTAAAAGGTGAGCTGACAGCAACAGGGCAGCATAGTAAATGTATTTGAACAAATAAAGAAGGGACTGAAGGAATCATGGCCATAAGCTTATGACATTACATAATAAAACTTAAGTCAGTAGCATGTACACTTCTTTTTTTTTTTTTTTTTTTTTTTTTTGAGACCAAGTTTCCCTCTGTCATCCAGGCTGCAATGTGTGGCACCATCTCGGCTCACTGTAACCTCTGTCCTCTGGGTTCAAGTGATTCTCCTACCTCAGCCTTCCGAGAACTGGGATTACAGGCCCCTGCCACCACACTCGGCTAGTTTTTGTATTTTTAGTAGAGATGAGGTTTCACTATTTTGACCAGGCTGGTCTCGAACTCCTGACCTCAAGTGATCCACCGGGCTCCGTCTCCCAAAGTGCTAGGATTACAGGCGTGAGCCACTGTGCCCAGCCAGTAGCATCTAAACTTCTAAGGGACCTTGCCTATCATAAAACCTACTTACTCTACCAATGACCCACAGCCCTGATAACTTCTCTTTTTAAATTTTTAATTTTGAGATTGGGTTACATTCTGTTGCTTAGGCTGGAGTGTAGTGCTGTGATCACGGTCACTGCAGCCTCGACCTCCTGAGCTCAAGAGCCTCCTGAGTAGCTGGGACTACAGGTGCGTGCCACCATGCCCAGCTAATTAAATTTTTTTTTTTTTTTTTTTGGTAGAGACAGGGTCTTACTACGTTGCTGAGGCTAATCTCAAACTCCTGGGCTCAAGCGATCCTCCCACCATGACCTCCTAAAGTGATGGGCTTACAGGCGTGAGCCACTGTGCCTGGACTGATAACTTTAAAACTCTGTTTGGTCAGGAGTGTGGTGATTCAGAGTACATACATCCTTGCAAATAGGAGATGAAGAAGTTGTTTCTTTTTGGTTGCCTTTCATTATTAAATTCGGAATGGTGCCTAGCACACTGGATTTTTATACAAACTAGCAGGTGTGTTTTGGGCGACTCTCAACCTTTCTGCCCTTGGTTTTCTCGTTTTCTCGTATGTCAAAGAGTAGATTGGACTAAATTTCTGACACAGTCTCTCGAAGATCTGATAGCCTATACAACATGAGGTCTATAGGAGAGCACTTTTTGGGGTTGGGGATTGGACTGAACTTTTGTTTTTTGCCAAGTCTTGGCAAAAAATTTAGGCTTAAAAAATTTTAAATTAAATTTTAAGTTAAGCGTATATTTAAATTTAAGCCACAGAACATAACTTTAAAATAATGGCAGAGCATTTTCTTACGATTTTTCCTGGATTTTCTGATGCATTTCTGGGAGGCAGATGCAGTAAAATGGTTAAGAATGATAGCTTTGGAGCTGGCTCACTTGGTTTCAAATCCGAGCTCTTCTACTGAGTAATAATTATATAATGTTTAACAAATCACTTAATCTCTGTTTCTGTTTTTTCATCTGTAAAGTGGGCACAATAAAATATCTACAAAACACGTTGCTGGGGGATTACATTTGTTTATATATTTTAGAACAGTGCCTGTCACATAGGAAGCCATTAATATTAGCTCTCTTCCCCCTCCTCCGCCCAACTGCCCCACCTTCCTCCTTATGAGTATTTGTGTGGTTTTTTATTGGAGAACAAACAACCTGATGCTACTGTTAACCCTTTGGAAAAATTAGGAAGTCTACAATGTTGTTCTTCAAAGCTGTGCCTTCTGTTTTCTTTCTGCAGCTAGCTGTGTTCCGCCATGTCAGAATGGAGGGATGTGTCTCCGGCCACAACTCTGTGTGTGTAAACCAGGGACCAAGGGCAAAGCCTGTGAAACAATAGCTGCCCAGGACACCTCGTCACCAGTCTTTGGAGGGCAGAGTCCTGGGGCTGCTTCCTCGTGGGGCCCTCCTGAGCAAGCAGCAAAGCATACTTCATCTAAGAAGGCAGACACTCTACCAAGAGTCAGCCCTGTGGCCCAGATGACCTTAACCCTCAAGCCGAAGCCTTCAGTGGGACTCCCCCAGCAGATACATTCTCAGTGAGTGTTTCGAACTTTCATTTAGCTAAGGATCATCTTAATTACTCTCTTGGATGCCTTGCTTTAAATCACTGTCCCTTTCCTGCACAATTTGCAGAAATCACTTGGATAATAATGTTTTTCTTTCCTTTCTTAAGGCTTTACACGTTAGGCTTTACACATGGAATCTCTTAAAAATATTTGGTGTGTGTATTTAGCCTCTGCAGGAAATTTTACCATAAGTACAACCCATGGCAACCATGAGGATTATAGGGATCAAGACTGGAAGGGAATGATAAAAATAGTTATTTTTGATAAAGTTGTTAGTTTAAAAATTCTGTTTTTGAGGGGGGAGCTGCTTTATAGAGTTTTGAAATAATAATTTAAAAAAAGAAACAGTGTTATTTTTAAAGTTATCTGGAAAAGGTAAGAACTCAGCTTGCACAGAGAAACTACTCAAATGAAAGGGAGTCCTTGCAAAGAGAGAATTTCTCAACCTCAGTAGCAGGTTAAGTGTACCTTCTGTTAACACCATGTTTATCTCCCAGTTGCCGTGTGGGTCCATTTTTGGTGAATGAGCTTGTTTTCTATTTATGGGAACAAGGTTTTTTTTTTCTTAGTGTTAGGAAGTAAGTGCTATTCTGAACAAAATGAGAACTCAGAGAAGAAAGATTACCCCGTTCTCTGAGTTGCATTACAAGCAGCCACTCAGCTGCACCGGGTCCTTAAACAAATTGTCTCCTCTTAATGAGCTATTCTGTATGGATAATAAGATGCAGAATGTACTGCAACTATCACTTGTCATTTGTCTAGGAAGGTAAAATACAGGAAGTTCCCAACTTAAAAATGGGCTTGACGTAGCAGTTCATTTGTAAGTCACTTGCTTGGAATTTAGAATGCTTCTTCCCTCTGCAGAGACAGCTTCCATATGGTGATTAGTATCCAGTCAGCCCACAGAAGTTATTCAGTCTGTTGCTATAGATGAAATTATCCTTATTTTTACTTCCCCTTCGAATAGACCACCTACTGTTTCTTCTGAGTGTGGTCTTTTTCTTTTCTCCTATTCCCTCCTCAATCCTCTTTTTTTTTTTTTTTTCTGTTTTTCTTCATTATTCTCTAATTTCTTCTTGTCTCATAATACTTCAGTTCTATTGTGGTAGCTAGATTTAGGGACTAGTTTGAAATGCTACTTTGCTGTTGGAAAACACATTCTGCAGCCCTCAACAAGAAGCAAAGGTAAGATAGGTATAGCTAATACTTAGTAAGGGCTTACTATGTGCCAGGTACTCTTTTAAACACTTATTGTGTATTGTTCACTTACAGCTCACAAGGATCCTGTAAGGAAGGTAACATTATTAAACCCATTTTACAGATGAGAAGACTGAGGTACAGAGTGGTTAAATAGTTTGTTCAAGGTCCCACAGTTACTAAGTGACAGTATTACAATTTAAACAGAGGCAGTCACGTTTCAGCATCCATGCCCTGAAGGAAGGAGTTGGCAAAAATTTTCTGTAAAGGGACAGATAGTAAATATTTTTAGCTTTGTGGGACATACGGTTTCTGTTGCATCTACTCAGTTCTGCCATGGTAGCACAAAAGCAGCCATAGACAGTGTATGAATTAATGAGTGTGACTGTGTTCTAATAAAACTTTATGGACATTGAAATTTGAATTTCATATAAATTTCACAGGTCATGAAGTATTATTCTTTTTTAAATTTTTTTCTCAACCATTAAAAAACATAAAAGTTATCCTTAACTTCTGGGCCATAGGAAAGCAGGCTGTGGGCTGGATTTGGCCCATGAACTGTAGTTTGCTAACTTTTTCTCTAAAGGATAGTAGTGCTTTTTTTGTGTGTGCCAGAACATGAATATAACTGTGTGTCCTTGGAACGGTATAAAGCTTTGATTATATCATAGCTAGACATCTCCCTTCCAACATTGTTTTGGATATTAAAAACAAAAAACAATTCTGTGTTGAACTATGCTTTGGCGATCAAGAGTCAGATTACTGTGAATTGCAATTAGTTTTTTCTAGCATTATGACTTACATAAACTGTAAAGTAATTTACAAGCAACATTATTCATCTTCAATATCACCATCCACTGTTAGAATTTGACCCTCTATGATGTATATATATGGATTGTTAGTAAGAACCGTATGTCGGATGTCAGATAAAGGAACAGTCTATTTTTTTTCCTTCCTTTTGGTAGCCGCGGTGTACTTTAGACAAGAATGTTGTGAGTCAAAGAGGAGGCTAAGGTTTCAGCTCTGACTCAGCTTTGGTAAAATAAAGTCATTAGGCAGTTTGCTTTGGAGACTTCATCTGCTGAATGAAGATGCTTTTTTATGGTAGCATTGTTATAGGCATGTATATATGGGTGTGCCTACTGGTGCACTTTTAAGTAAAGAGAAGAGATGAGAAGAGATGGCCTTGGGTGCCATCAATCCTGATATTAATAAACTATATAGTTTGCCCCATTATCTAGTCCCTGCAGAGAAGATTAAGATGTACAAGATCCAGTCCTGCTCTTAAGGAGATTTTGAAATGACAAATGAGCTATACAAAGGAAACTATACAAAGCTATAGAATTAGCCCTTTGATTAATTTAGGTTATGACATAATCACAGTGAGTCATGTTTAATCAAATGGCCAAGGAATCACATGTGATAGGCCCACTTTGGCTACTTTTGAGAAATGTTACAATCCTTAAGTTATCTTTCAGATTGCCTATTTTAGGATATTTCAGGTTTTGTGTTTAACCAGTAAAGGAGGAGATTGATTAAGCCTCCTTAAAGTATTCAACTATATACATAAATATGTCTAACATGCCAAAATGTTTAGTGTTACGTTCATTGTGTGTCACATGAAGTGCTATCATCTTGATCACTTATTCAACAAGTTTTTATGGAGCATATTTTATGTATGAGGGCACAGTTCAGGGAGCTAAGGATAGATAACACTAGGCAACTACATAAAATGTCTGCTTTCTTGGAACTTACAGTTTAGAGAGGGAGAGACAGTTGATAAATGACATAATTAAAATACACATTAGATATTCATAAGTGCTGTGGAGAAAATAAAACTGCATTAGCAGATAGGACATGCTGGGTTGGTGTGTGGTGGGGAAGAGTGAGGGGTGTGGCAGTTTTAAATAGGCTGCCAGGGAAGACCCTACTGAGAGGCATTTAAGCAAAGGCCTGCGATAAGTGCATGAACCCTGCAGATATGTAGGGGTGAGGCAGAGGCTTTGAGGCAGGAGTGTGCCTGAGATGTTTGAGGAACAGCTAGTTTGGTAAAATTGTAGTGTTAAAAGCACATATTTTAGGCAGGTGGGGATTAGATGAATTGGTTTTACCTTTGGCTGAATTGGTTTTAGGCAACTTGATTTAGAACCAAATACAAATAAAGTTCCTTAGGAAATCAAAGGAAAGAGCAGTTGTTTCCAGATTTTGGAGTGTTAGTGCAGTGGAGTCCAGGGATGGCTCCTTAGAGAAGGTGTCTGTGAAAAGATGGTTGGATTCAGATACATACAACTGGAGGAGAAGGGTGTATCCAGGGGAGGCAATGATGTGAGGCTAGGTAGCCTGGCATATTAGTTTTCTTTGGCTGTGTAACAAATCACCCCAAAACTTAGCAACCTAAAATAACATGCATTTATTGACTGACAGTCTGTGTCAGGAATCCAGGGGCTGCAGCCAAGCAGTCAGCAGGGGTGGCAGTCATCTGAAGGCTCGACTGGGGCTGGGGAATCCACTGCCAAGATGGCTCACTTTCATGGCTGTTGGCAGGAGGCCTTAGCCCTGGCACTGGCTGTTGGCAGAAAGCTTCACTTCCTCTCTATGTGGACCTCTCTGTAGAGCAGCCTGAGTGTCCTCACAATGTGGCCATAAGCTTCTCCCAGAGTGAGTGATCCTAGATTAGGGAGAGCGAGGAGAAGGCCACAGTGCCTTTATGGTCTTGGTCTTAAGGATGCCACACCCTCACGCTTACCTTATTGTACTGATTAGTAGTGAGTTGCTAAGTCTAGTCCTCACTCAGAGGGGGTAGAAGTATGCTGCACTGCTTAAATGGAGAAATATCAAAGAATTCGTGGACATATTTAAAAATAACCATATTTAGGATATGATTTAATTAGAACTTGATAAATATGAAGATTAACGGTAATATAAGGTAATATAAAGCTCTAAAGGTTGCTTGAAAACCAAGCTACTGACTAAGATTTCAACAAAACAATTCCAAAAAGACACAAAATAGAGAAAAAAGTAATGGAAGGACGCCTCGTAGCTTAAACAAGGCTTAAGAAACACATTAACCAATCACAGTATTTTGATTATGTTTCTATCCTGTTTCAAACAAACTGCTAATAAAAGAAAAAGATAACAATGACGATTTATAGAACAATCATGAACATGCTAACATTGGTAATTTGATGATATAAATGAATGATTGTTGATTTTGGGAGCTGTGATGATGGCATTGTAGTTATGTTCATAAGGAGGAGAATCATGTTAAAGTATTTACAGATGAAATGATATGATATATGAGATTTTATTCAGAATAATCCAGTGGGTTGAGGTATAGAGGTAATAAGATTGGCTTGAGGTGGTAATTATTGAAGCTTGATGATGGGTACATAGGGGTTTCTTACAAAATTCTTTTTATATTTTTGAAATTTTCTGTAATAAAGAGTAATAAAAAGATGAAGTTTCTTATAGTCCTGAGTGTGGTCCTGAGTCTTCAAAAACCTAATGCTATGATATCTCCAAGGATGGAAGAACTTCTGGGATATTCCTTGAAGTATGCCACCTCCTAATTGACAATAGTAACAATAAAACGTAAGCTCATTCTCTTTATTTGTAGTAAAGGAAAAAAAATCCCATTATAAAGCTATGCCAATAGTTAAACACTTTGGGGAAAGAGTTCAAGCTTGTTGCAGTACTGATAGTTATTACTGGGACCTTGTCTGAACTTATTAAAGGATCCAAGGAATTGGTCAGTAGTCAAACGGATGATTTCCTTAAACGATCTCTCAGACTGTAGGAGGGGACCTTGCTCAATATTGAACCCCCACCTCAACCCCACCAACTCTCTCCCAGGTTTCTCTTGTGTGCTTTCCTGTACTTAACATTGTCATGACACAACACAGTCTTTGATCTCTTTGTCCACAGAGGTACACAGAAAGGCTCCAATCAATGTTTGCTTAATATATATATATTTAGAGTTTTGCCTAGAGAAAATAAGTGTTAATAATGTCTAAATCCTTGTCTATGGATTGTTTCACGAATGCTTATATTGCAGGACGTACCCTTCTCTCTTGGAATAATAGCATTTGCCTTTGTAAAGCCCTGAACATTTTGCAGAGTATTTTCCATTCCTTATGGTATGTGGTCTGCCCAACGAGTCTGTGAGGTAGTTGAAGGTTTTGATCCTACTTTATTATGTGGAAAAAAAAGGCATTGAACGAAAGTTGAACAAAAGGAACTCACTCCAAGGTGCTCAGTGCTCAATTCATGACACCTGGGGAATGGGATGAGAACTAAAAATTTGAACCAATCACTGATTTTATCGTGTTATACATATTTATTTAAACTTAAAAAGATGTTAAATTGAAATTACATACAGAAAAGTACAAAAGTCAAAAGTGTACAGTCTAGTGATGATCCCAAAGTGACATATTCATGTAAGTGCCATCAACATTAAATAGAACATTTCCAGCACCACAAAGCCCCTTGTTCTTAGACTCAGCCATCTTCCTCCTCACCGGAGGGAGCTACTCTCTTAACTTCCAATGCCAGAGATCAGTTCTGCCTGTGTTTGAACTGTATGTAAATAATACGGTGTGTTTTTTTTCACTCAGTGTTATGTCTGAGATTCATCTATGCAGTTGTGTGACTATAGCTTGCTCATTTATATTATACCACCAATGCTTACCACATCATGTGAGTGTACCACAATTCATTATTTATTCTGCTCTTGATGGATGTTTGGATTTTTTTCAATTTTTGGCTCTTTTTATCCCAGATTGACTAAGGTATAATTGACAAATAAAAATTGTATGTATTTACAGTATACATGATATTTTCAAATATGTACACATTGTAAAACGATTACCACAATCAAGCTAATTAACATATCTCTTATCCCACATAGTTACCATTTTTGGTTTGTGGTGAGAATGTTGAAGGTCTACTCTCTTAGCAAATTACCAGTATACAGTATACAGTATTATTTACTATAGTCACCATGCTCTTTGTTAGATCTCTGTAACTTACTCATCCCACGTAACTAACATTTTATACCCTTTGACCATTTTTTGGTTCTTAATACTGCTGTATAGGTATGTATATGTGAAAATTCTAGAAGAAGGCCGGGCGCAGTAGCTCACACCTGTAATCCCAGCACTTTTGGAGGCCTAGGCAGCTGGATCATGAGGTCAAGAGATCAAGACCATCTGGCCAAGATGGTGAAACCCCTTCTCTACTAAAAAAAATACAAAAATTAGCGGGGCGTGGTGGCATGCGCCTGTAGTCCCAGCTACTCAGGAGGCAGAGGCAGGAGAATCGCTTGAACCCGGGAGGTGGAGGTTGCAGTGAGCTGAGATCGCACCACTGCACTCCAGTCTGGCGACAGAGCAAGACTCCATCTCAGAAAAAAGAAAAAGAAATTCTACAATAAGACCTTTTTGAAATAATCACCAAGCCCAACTGGATATAGCAGTATGGTAGTTTGAGAAGGACTTCCTAATCCATGAAAACCATGTAAAGTTTGATCATATCATTAGCTATTGGTCAGACCTATTTTGTTGTTTGAGAAAAACAGACACATGGGGAAAATGGTGAGGTGAGGTAGTGTGTTGAGGAGCTGGAAGTGAGCAGCTCTTAATTTTTTCCTCCTGAGACTGAGTTCGGAAGAAGAGTAGACCATGGCATGGAGGTGGGAGAGACAAGGACAGAGTTGGGGAGGTCACTGCCTCACACTTCTGCTCACACCGCTGGGTCTGGTGGAAACTCAAAGTTTGTATCTAAAAATGGGAGGTGTTGGGATAGAGTTTGCTTCCTAATACAATTGAAATAAATCAGGATAATGTTTTGGTGCTATGTAATAATAATAGTTAATATGACCAATTATTCTGTGCCAGACACAATTCTGAGTACTTTTTGAGTGTTGTCTCATTTAATCTCTTCAAAACCATGTGAGAGGCCTAGCGTGGTGGCTCACACCTGTAATCCCTGCACTTTGGGAGGCTGAGGTGGGCAGATCATGAGGTCAGGAGTTGAAGACCAGCCTGGTCAACATGGTGAAACCCTGTCTCTACTAAAAATACAAAAATTAGCTGGGCATAGTGGCGAGCGCCTGTAATCCCAGCTGTATCTCAGGAAACCAATTCAAAAAGTCACTGATTGGAATTAGCAAAACTTTACTTAATCATCCTGGTCACCATCCCAGGCCAGTAAGTAGTTCAGCTATTCAAGTACCATAAAGTCCCATTCTTTACGGTACTTGTAGCAAATGATGGGACCCACTTCTTGTATATCTCTGGATGTCATAAGGGTTTTCATTGATCAGACCATATTTAATTTTCTGTGTCTTATGTTCTTGACCTTGCAGTGTTGAATCTTCTTGCTCCTTGCACTTAGAATGGCTGTGATAGACATAAGGCATGTTAACAAGGAAAAGGCTGACGGCAAAGCCCAGGCAGCCAGCCTCTTGGGAAAATTACTGAAACTGGTACTATAAATCCAGTTTATGGGCTTGAAATTTCCTAGTACTCATGAATATTCAATTAAATATTGATATGAACCTTGACACAAGTTTGGCTCAAGTGCTGGTAGAAAGCAAACAGGGACATTCAGACAAACTTTAATTATTTTTCACTTAGAGATCATACAGTTCTAGAGTAGTGTGAGTAATTGGAGTTAGCTCTCACCAAAACACAGAAGAAATATTTAATCAATATTAGTATCTTTGAATAGAATTTATCCTGGGCACTTGCTAGTTATTATTTGTCCGGGCGTGATGGCTCACACCTGTCATCACAGCACTTTGGGAGGCTGAGGCAGGTGGATCACCTGAGGTCAGGAGTGCAAGAACAGCCTGCCCAACATGGTGAAACCCCGTCTCTACTAAAAATACAAAAATTAGTTGGGCGTGGTGATGCGTGCCTGTAATCCCAGCTACTCAGGAGGCAGAGGCAGGGGCATCTCTTGAACCCGAGAGGTGGAGGTTGCAGTGGGCTGAGATTGCGCCACTGCGCTCCAGCATGGGCAACAGAGTGAGACTCCATCTCAAAAGAAGAAAAAAAAAAGAAAGTTATTATTTGAGCATAATGAAAAAGAGAACAAAAATTAGGGACAACTTTCCCTTCCAACTTTCCAGAATTTTCAACCGGTACAAACCATAAAGTTTTATAACTGCAAGTGTCTGAATGCCTGGCCCACAGTCACTCAGCAGGGCTGCAGCAGAGTCATGACTTGAACCCAGGCTTCCTGACCTTTTGTTCCATGTTCTCCTTGCATCGTTTACATGTCAGTGTCTGACTCCGCTTAACAAAATAGTGGAAAAATACTTTGCACAGTATTTTTGAAGCCCCAAATTCAAATAAAAGGCATAAAGAAGTGAAAAATTGTAGTTATTTTATGAATTCTCAAGTAAACCACTGTTGTTTGACCAGAAATTGTTTATTTTCAAAACAATAAAGATTCACCTAAAACATATTCTGTTTCATGAAGGAAATGTGACAACCTATTCATTACAGTCAGTTACCAATATAGAGAGCTGTTCCCAAATGTTTAGAATTAGCTGGACTGTCTACTGTAGACACAGAATTTATTTTTTAAAAAACTCTCTTTCCGAGAGTTTCAGTGCTTTCAGAGCACTGCCTTTTGTTTCTTTGCCTGACGTTGGTGTTTTGCCAAGTGCTGGTATTTGGAGGTTTGATGGACAGCATTCGAAGTGAGGCATCAGTCTTCCTTAATTTGTTCAAAGCCTCTTTATGCAGCAGCTAATCCTTCCTAATTATATTTCTAGGAAGGATGTTCTTAACTCAGACGGGAAGAAGACATAGACATTTTGACATTAGGATGCACTTCACTCCAAGAAAAGAAATTTGAAAGGAAACACTCTCCCAATTCCCATTCCTTACCCCCTGGGCACAAGCAACCATTTTCCCCTGCCCCATTTATGAAGCTCTTTTCTCTCCCTCTCCATTCCTCTTTCATTCCTGTGGCTCCTATTTATCTCCTGGCTTAATGAAGCTATTTTGAAGGAGCTAAAAAAAATTCAGAAAAAACCATTTCCGTGTAGTGAGGCAGGCATTTCACACCTTAATTGCTTTAACGTCTTGAAAGGTGAAAGGTGACCTGTGAGTCTAAACAGTTGGAAAATTTAGTGTGCATATTTGAAATGCTTTACATAAAGTTGAAACACTTCACAGTCTCCTTGATTAATTTCTTTGTTGCCGTGCTGCTTTGTATTAATTTAATTTAGTGACTTTTATGTGAAAGTAAATATGTAAGTCAGTGGCATTATGTTTATTAGATTATTTTCCTTTAATATTTTAAGCAGACTAAATGCGGCTTCTGTCAAATGAGTCTTTAATAAATAAATTGCTGTCTGTGAAGTCTTAGTGGCTTTGAATGGTCTTATGAAGTGTGATCTTATCACCTTATGAAGCAATTTTGTGTTTCTTAGTTTTTTTTAGTGAGGTTGAACATTTTCCACATTTTTATAAGTCCTTCATATTTTTTATGTGGATAACTAACATCTTCACACCCTTTTCTGTTACATGTGCTTATAATTTTCTTTAATTTCTAAGAGCTCTTTTCATATTAAAGATTGTTTTTATCAAATATTTAAGAATTCTCCAAGGGAAGGTACTTTTATGCAAAAAATATTATTAGTACTCTGGTTTTTTTTATGCTCAAATTTGGAAGAAACGTCTTAAATTGGATTGTAAAAAATCCCCCCTTGTCCATGAGGACAAGAATACAATCTGTTACTCATTGACTGGGTAATTTATTTCAGAATTCTTTGGTCTTCTGAGAGGCTTATTGACTTACACAGACATAAATCGTAATATACTACTGAACCATCTATAACTTTCCAAGTTCTCTGTGCATTTCTAACTGGTTGCGTTATCTCTGGTTCACCATAGTGAAGATAGAATCTCAGTCCTCCTGGCCCCCAGAACACAGATTCTCAATAGTTGATTCATTCATTCCATCAGCAGATATTTACTGAGTGCCATCCACATACCAACTACTGTTCTAGGTACTCCAATTGGAGGGATCAGGCTAATGTGTCTGCAAAATACTGAATAACATAGCATAATACCTAATAAGCTGCTAAACTATGTGGTGCATAGTATAAATTCTAATGGCGAGTAAGGAAGGGGGAGATTGGCAGGGGCTGGAGGACTGGACTAAAGGAACATTGACCAGAGTTGGAAGGACTTGGAAAAGTGAAGGAGAGTCTGGCCTTTAAATAAATAACAGGTGGACGATAGGGTGGGAATGATTCTCCTGTTGGGGAATTGATCTCTTTGTGGGGATTGAAGAATAGCAGGAAATGAGATTGAGTGGGCAGGTCCAATTATGGAAAGCCTTGACAGTCAGACAGAGGAGCTCTGTGTAGGGCTCCGAGGAATATGAAGATGGCTCTGATAGTCACTGAAGAAGTGTCAGGCTCACCCTGGAAAGCCAGGTCAGGTGGGGTGCTAAGAGAGTGTGAGGGAAGGCCTGGGAGGCTGGCTGCTGGGCAGATGAGAGAGAGGGAGGCCTAGAGGAGCTGGCCCTGTGGAGTGTCTGTCTTGCACAGGGACTTGAGAGGAGAGGGATCTGATTCCCTTTAAAACAGGAAGGATTCAGACTGCCAGTCAAGAAAATAATTCCTTTGGATTCGGGTTAAGGAATTATGTGTAGTCTAATGTTGATCTCTCTCTCTACCTATGTTAAATGGAATGATATGTAATCTTATCCTCTTTAGGAACAGGAAAGTAGGGGATATCATTGAAGGCTTCCTGTTCCTTATTACACTCTATCCCTAGACTCAAATTCATCAACCCATAATCAAAACCAGATTTGATTTCCTTCTGTGTTGATCAAACTAACACATCATGCTCTGTAGAATAATCAAGGTCTTTTTTCCTGTTTCAAATGTTCAAGAGTTTTCTACCTTTATCTTTGTTGGCTTTATAGCTTTGCCATAACTACTTTTTGTTATCTCTACCCCTATCGATATCAACTTCCGTGTATCTTCTCTGTGTTTTTCTTGCTACACTAGGAGTGATCCACTCACCTATATTCCTCCTCCTTTAGGTGACAGAAGTCCTACATCTTGATTATCCTGTATTGGTGAACTGGAAAGGAACCTTGGGTAATCACACACAGATGTATAATAACCAACAGGTTGTTAGGCTCTAAATGTCTTCCTAGCTGGACTGCATTCTCATTAGTTATTATTTAAAATAATATAAAATAAGTAACAGTATGACACAAAAATTGCATATGTATTTGATACTATTAATAAAGCAGTTTTTGTTTCAGACTTATATTCATTTAATTTAGCTATTAAGGTCTAAAGTTGCTAGGAAAGTTTTTGTGATTTGCTTTGTGAAGTAGTGTAGTAACATGCTGCTTGATAAAAATAATGGTAATTGCCTTTCACAGAATCAGAAATGCTTTTCATACCTAGTGAGGAAATGCTATACTTCTTTTAAAAAACTTACATATCCATATCAGCTTTATGTTCAGATTAATTTAGGATGTTCATAAAAAACAAGGATTTGATCAAGCTCAGCTTTATGTTCAAATAATTTAGGATGTTCATGAAAAACAAGGATTTGATCAAGCTCCATTAGGAAGTCTTTGACAAGAAACCAAAAGAAATGATTGGGACTTTCAATTTCACATGTATTTGTTGAATATTTACTGTGTGCCAGGCAGTGTGCTAGCAGCCAAACTAAATAGTCTTTAGTTTCAATGAATAATTGATAACTGGAATGTTTCTTCCATCATTTCTAGTGTAAGTGGTTTTTTTTTTCATTTTTAGTAGAGAGCTATATTTTCATAGGACAAAACATGTAATACTGTCCCCTCTGTTGATATTAAGTCAGATATTTTATCTGTTCAGTCAAAGCCCAGTTCTGGTGTTAATGGGCCTGGATTTAATTAATTAAAGGATTAACTTACTGTATCATTACCTGTGTGCACCAGGCACCCTTCTGAATTGCAGACAGCATGTAGGAAGATCTAACTAAACTTTAACCTTACAAGTACAAACCACTTCTAGGTGTTCTCAGGTGTGAACAATCAGATGCAAGCGGGAAAGAGATCAGAAACACTGACAATAATAATGCATGAAATAATAGCTCCTGTAGAGTTTTAGAAGAAAGGGTTGAGCTGACTATGGTGGGGGAAAAAAGGGACTTTTTTTTTTTTTTAATGTGTGTGATGTTCTACAGAAACAGCAATCTGAAAGCTAACTGGCTGCAGCTGGATGGACTTTCTTTTGTATGGAGACGCTGCCTCTAGTGTTTAGGAAAAAATGCACACTAGAAAATAGTGCAACATTATGGTGCCATCTGTCTTGAAAATGAATTATTTTTTATTGTCTGCTTTATAGTAGTTCCCAGACAAAACTTGAAAAAACTTCAACTAGCTTTGGTGCTATTTTGCGTATGGACAGTTTCAGCAGGCAGAAGCCTTTAAAGTTGTATTTCAAAGCGCCTCAGGAGTTATCGATGTGATGTGATGAGACTGTTTGCCATATAAGCCTCTCAAGAGGCCACAGCCCTAACCCCCTCCCCGGCTCCCTGGGGGACAGGAGAGCAGATGGAGTCGTGTTTGCATCATTCACCGTCCTAATTGGGTTTGTGACTGGCTGTTAGGGCATCTTTCTCTCAGATGGCATTTTCTTCTTTAATTCAAAGTTTCACTTTCTCCTTAGCAGCGTTCTGGATTGTTTTTGAGGGAATGATGGCATGGATACGCAAATCTACAGAGTTAGAAGAAAGAGACGAGACTTGAAGGATTGTTGTTCTAAAAAAAAAAAAAAGGCTAAAATGCATTTATTTCTCAGACTTCTTTAGAATAAGTGCAAATGAAAAAGAATACTGAAAACATTTTCAGAACCCATGAAAACACTTGTCGGTATTAATATAATTAAGGTATTTAAGTTTAAATGTTTAAAGCTGATCTTTGAGGTGTTTTAGCTGGGCTTCTACTTGAAATTTTGTAGTGTGAATGTATATCAACTATTTATAAACTAGCTGAAGGGAGTTAAGCTATTAATGTTTGGATTTTAAAATCTATAAGGATCAGAAAATGGGTTTTGTATTCCATATCATCTAGAATGATGACAGGCCTGGAAGCATAGGACAGAGCTGGCACATTTTCAAAGGAATTCTTCCCTGGTCTGGATACTATAATGAGCACAACTGCATTTTGGTGGATTTATTATATACAGTACACAACATATATAACCATTTGGAAGTTGGGTTTGCTTTCTGGTTAGAGGTGCACTGGTTATAGCTGATTATGTATAGGGTTTGAAATAGCATCTGGTTAAAAATTTGAGGGGCTGACATTTCCTCTCAGAGACTGGTGAAAATGAATAAATACGCAATATGGAAATATCCATGCCAATCAATTAGTAGAAGGGTTTAAATAAAAAAAAAAGGATGCAATTTGAACATTTACGATTATGCCAGTGGGCAGCAGGTGGCAAGCTTTGCTTTTCAATGTTCTTCAGTTTTATTTTTATACCGCAGAATGCCAAAATTTGAAGAGGGGGGTTTAACTCCACTGGAATATGTCATTTCTTGGCAGTGCAACCTCGAACCACCTTCTTTGCTCATTGTGCATAATTGCCTTTCTTTGGATGCCGTAGCCGACCCTTGGTTCCCCTTGTTGCCGATGGATAGGAATTAATTCATATGAGCAATGTTCTATTCTCTTGTGATTTTAGCAACACGTTGCTAATGGAGAAAATAAATTAGAAACAAATGAGTTTCTTAAAGCAGTCCTTGTATGATTTATAAGAGATTTTCTTGTGTAGTTTTACTTAGTTCTAAATGACACATAAATTGCTTTTAATTTAAAAAATTCTAACTGGCTATATACCTTGATATGGAGATGAGAAGTAAGCAAAACTGCGTAGAGTTCCATGAAAGTGTTTTGAAAAATTAGAGAGGAAAAACACATTTTGAGACCAGAATAGAAGACCATTATCTTTTCATAGGCTAAACTGTGTAGTCAGGATTTGAATTTTAAATCCGGAAAAGAGAGCAAGCTTGAAATGGGAGTGATGGTGAGGTGGACACCAAATTATTTTATAGTCTACTGTATTTCTTCATACTTTCTAGATAAAAAATTCTTTTTGGGTTGTTTTATGCATTGTGAGAAATTCGGAAGAATGGAGAAGAATGCAAAAGCATATCAAATCACTGTAAACATTTAATAGTCTACAAATATTTAACACTTGCTGTGTACTCAATTTTTTGTAGGCCGTTTGTTAGAATTGAGTTCACATGGGGTATAATTCTACGTTCACGACTTGACATTCTCAACCTCAGTTCAGCATTTTTTCTTTTTAGAAAAGAGATCGTTCATAATGATTATAATTTACAACACACATATTTTAAAGGATAGTAATAAAAAAACCCAAACTGTTGTACCCACTACGTAGCTGAAGAAATAAAAACACTGTTGTCATTATCTTAGAGGCTCTTACGTGGTCCTTGTTAATTCCTTTATCCTTTTTTCCCAGAAAATAATTTATATCAGTTATTTCCTGCTTTTCTTTATAGTGTTACCACATTTTTAGGTATATCTGGATACTGTGCTGTTTAGTTTTTGACTTTTAAACAAATGTCATATTGTTTGTATTCTTCTGAGACTTGCTTTTCTTGCTCAAGGTGTTTTTGACATTCTTCTGTAACAGTGGCTCTCAAACTGGAGCATGAATCAGAATCGCCGGTGGAGGGCTTGCTAGATAAAATACGGCTTGTTGGGCCCCACCTCAGAGTTTCCGATTTGGTGGGTCTGGGGAGGGGTGGAGAATTTGGGTGGCTGACAAACTCGCAGGTGGTGCCAATGCTGAATGCTGCTGGAGGGGTCTGCACTTTGAGAACCACTGATTAAAGCTGGGGATTCTTTTACTTTTTACAGTAGCCCATTATGTCAGTATACTACAATTTATCATTTCTACTGATAATGAACACTGGGTTGTTTTTAGTGTTTTGCTGTTACAACAGGGTCATGATGAACGTTTTTTTTTTTCTTTTTTTGAGACGGAGTCTCACTCTGTCACCCAGGCTGGAGTGCAGTGGGGCAATCTCAGCTCACTGCAACCTCCGCCTCCTGGGTTCAAGCTATTCTCCTGCCTTAGCCTCCCAAGTAGCTGGGATTACAGGTGTGTGCCACCATGTCTGGCTAAGTTTTGTATTTTTAGTAGAGACGGGGTTTCACCATGTTGGCCAGTCTGGTCTTGTACTCCTGACCTCAGTTGATCCACCCACCTTGTCTTCCCAAAGTGCTGGGATTACAGGCGTGAGACACTGTGCCCAGCCTCGTGATGAACATTTTTCTACAAGTCTTCTGTTGCATAGTTTAAAAAGCTTTTTTAGCATGCAATAGAAAAATATCAAAATGCTTCCCTCATATTAAGGGTAGGTGTTGTTTCATGAAACTTTTGTTTTTGGAACACACACTGCTATGTAAAATGGCTTTCTTACAGTGAACTCGTCAAAAAATGCTTAAAAGCCTCTTGTCCAGAGTAGTTACATTGATCATGCTTTCTTTATAAAATGGGATCCATTTCTATCTCATTGCTATATTTTTCTAGATTTTCTTCTAAAAGCTTTTTCTTTCACATTTCCTGTAATGTACCTGGAAATGATTTTTGAGTATGTGTGATTTTTTTTCCATATGGCTAACTTATTGTCTTAGCACTATTTATTGACTAATTCTCCCCCTGTCCCTCTCATAAAAAAAATTATAAAAAACTACCATATCATATATGTTTCATTCAAGTTTCTAAATATGTAAGTCTGTTTCTCCATCCTCTATCCTACTGTGTTGGTCTTTTGAGTATCCTTAAGTCAGTGCCATGCTACTGAAAGTGCTGCAATTGTGTAGTAAGTCTTGGAAGGTGTAATAATCATCTGTGTCTCTTGTGCTGGGTTCTGGCTGATTTCTTCTAGTTTATTAATCTGCTATTCTGTTATACCCACTGTCATCTTTTCAAGTGTTATTTATTTTTTAATCTCTGAAAGTTCTATTTGACTCTTTTCAAATTTCCTTAGTGTATGTTGTCTTATTATTTAGTCATATTTTTGACCTCTTTCTACATATTAAATATACATTGTGTATCTTATAGTTGCAGTCTTAATAATCTACAGTTGTTACTGGACTGATTTGGCACTTTTATTTTTCCTCTGATTCTGGCTTGTTTCCTTGTTCATTTTGTGATTTCTGATTGTGAGTATTCATTGGAATTTTATTTCTAGAATTCCTGAAGATATAGTTTTTATTTTATTTATTTTTTTGAGAAAAGGCCTCACTCTGTCGCTCAGGCTAGAGTGCCGTGGCATGACCATGGCTCACTGCAGCCTTGACCTGCTGGGCTTAAGCAATTCTCCCACCTCAGCCACCCAAGTAACTGGAGTTACAGGTGTGTGCCACCATAGCCAGCTAATTTTTAAAATTTTTTGGAGAGATGAGGTGTCATTATGTTGCCTAGGTTGGTCTTCAACTCCCGAACTCAAGCAGTCCCCCTGCCTTGGCCTCCCAAGGTGCTGGGCTTACAGGGCATGAGCCACCGCACCTAGCCAAGATCCTGTTTTAAGGAGGATTCCTACAGAGGAGAGCACTTGTGTCTGCTTTTAACAAGTCTCCTAGTGGGGTACTACCCATTCAGGTTGCTTTTAATTAAATGTTGGGGTTATTATTGTTTTGATCACTCAGATACTTTTTAATTTGAATGCCAAACCAACATAAAGGCGAACTTGTGGGTTAGGAATTCTCACCTGAGATTTATGCTGTTGCTTGTTTTCGTGTTTACCCAAAGCCCAAACTAAGACAGATGCGACTCCTCCTGTTCTCTCAGCAGTGCAGTGTTTGGTTTTTTGGTTTCCCCTGCAGAAAGTTTTAACACGAGGGTTTCTGATCTAATCTTTTACCTTATGCAGCACCAAGCTTTGT
The DNA here is from genome assembly GCF_000001405.40 of Homo sapiens. Lineage (NCBI taxonomy): Eukaryota > Metazoa > Chordata > Mammalia > Primates > Hominidae > Homo > Homo sapiens. The sequence continues at coordinate 33,038,391 of NC_000002.12, forward strand.
CTCTGTGCCCCATGAAGCATGTTAAAACCTGTAATCTAGGCATCCAGAAATGGCAGATGCCCCTCCAGGGAAAATTCCTGTTCTGGAGCCAACTCATTTCCCTGGATTCATGCTCTCTGGTCGTTCCTGGCCTGTGAAGATTTCTCTTACTTTCTTGACATCTCAGCCATATTTTATATTTTGTCCAGCAATCTTAGTTGTTTTATCCTGGCAAATTTTCTCTGGACATCTTATCCTCTGTTTTGCCAGAATTAGAGATCCTAGTTAATTTATTTTAAAGAGTTCGAGTTCTGAGAAGTAGAAAATATTTGGAGGCTAGACCATAAAGTTTCCTGTGCTGCAAGGAACCCATAGCACTGTTGAATGACTATACGCTTGAGTCTTTGGAAAGACTCAGATGTTCTTTTCCTTGTCATTTATGACATGAGAAGTCTTAGGAAAATGTCTTTTTTTTTGCCAGAGCCTCATCTAACCAGTGGCCAGTGAGCCTGGGAGATGTGTAGGATCCTCTGGGGCTGCTTCTCGCATCTCTGCCTCTGGGTGCCTGCCTCTGGGCACCTGCCTGGGACATCTGCGCTCAGGGCTCTGCCTCCAGTTCCCGCCCTTTGTCTTTTTGTCCCCAGCCTAGTTGTGAAATCTCATCTCCTGGTTCTTCATTTTGCTCAGTAGTTTCATTTGGGCAGTCTCTAGCTCTCACAAACATGTACTCGAAGAGTACTGATTAGTGTGTTCAGAGGTTAAATTGGCCTTTGTGTGTTATAATCCCACTCTTCTCTTTGAGGGTTTGATGAGAGAAAATTGAAGTTCTGTTCATTATCATTCTAGGAAGAGTAAATGGATAGTAATTTAGGGGTAGGAAAGGGGCAAATGCATAGTTGTTGCTTTTACTCCAGTAGCATCTGACAGGAGAAAAAAAAAACACCAAAACCCATAATTGTTCTTTCGGAGAGAGAAACCCCACCTGTATATATTTTTTAAGCTGTAAATACTCCTGAATGAATTTTGGTAGCTTTGGTAGCTATAAGGGGAAACAGTATTGTATCCATCTTGAGTGTCCTTCTTACCTCTTATACTACATTTATCATCTTTAATTCTGCTTTAGACTCATCCCTTGCAGTGGCCACCTGTAACTTGGCAGCCTGCAGGGCATTGCCAAATATATCGAGACACCAAGTAAAATATCTTTTGTAACCAAAATTAAAATCAACTATATTTTTGGCTGACCAGTTCTAATCCCAGACTTGTCTAAATCATTGAGAAATTATATGTTGTGTTTGTGGGGGGCCATAATAATATAATCATAGTCAATTAAATTAAATTGAGGGAGTGAATGGAATTAAACATTTTTTTTTACCCTGTATTTCTTTTTCAGGAATCTGAGTTGGAATTTGATAACCATCAGTTTATTATAACAGGGTCAGTACTGGAGTGATAATGGGTTCGGAAAGGCAGGTTCTGGGCAAGGGAAAGCTGATAATGGTTGCTTACGGTTGAGGTTTTAGATGACGAAGCTTGGTTTTGTGTGTGATTTAGATTGGGACTGCACCAAAATGAGGAAGGAGAGTAGGTGTAAAATCTCGGGAGTGCAGGGGAGGAATCAAGGAGCAGCCAGAAAAGAGAGATCGAATGGGACCGGTTTTGGAATCTGGGAGTGGTTGGGGAAGGCTAGGTAGAGTAGGGCATGGAGGCCCATAGAGATTTCATTCCTTGGTATGGAAGAAAAATGAGCAAGAGTTACTTGAAGGGTAAGCAGTGGTTTGAGATCCTGGGTCTTGATTATGGGAGGCAGTAATCAGTAGTTAGTGAGATCCTGAAAGCAGGAGAGGGCTGCTCAGAGAGAATTCACAGGGCATCCAACTGTGAGTGTAGACCCAGATGCTTGGAGCAGTGGGTATGAGAAACTCAAGCTCCTGAGAGCGCTGTCTGCCAACACACATGACGATTAGCAGACCCTTCCTGGTGGTTAAGGAGCTCACAGGTCAGTGGAAGACATACCTGCATTCTGCGCATATGTGTACATGCATAGAATAATATTTCTTTGTAATAAAGGTAATGAGAGGAGCTTTGCAGCAGGTGATCTGGGAGTTCCAAGAAGAGGGATGTGCCTTTTCCTACTCCACAGAACCTAAACTCATTTCAAAGCCCTTGGTAAACACGTTCATCTACTGCCTCCTCAACCACATATGTCACTGCTCTCCAATCCACGCCTCACTGTCTCTTCCCTCTTCCTGCTCCTTTTCTGCTCCACACTTTGTGTTCCTGCCTGTCATATCCTCCCTTGAATGGTAATGTCAGGTATTTTGCATGCATTACTTGTGACAGGAGACATTCAGATGATTGAACTATTTACTGGACAGCACAGGCATAGAGCAGTTGGAACAGAGCCGGCTGCAGTGCAGGGTCACTTGCTTTTCTGGAGGTTATTCCCTTAGTGCTTGTGCTGTGTGGCGGGGAGGTCTGAGGGAGGTTTGGTGGGATGATAATGACACCTGGGAGACTCAGGATAGCAGCTCTTTACCATTTGCTATGGAAGAAGTCTGACAATTTTACAATGGTCACACTGTGCTGGTACCTACCAGCTGACTGTCAGACTGCCTCACAACTACCCCACCGTTAATACCTTCCTTTTATAGATCTGGAAAATTAGTTTTCTTTAGAAGAGTCAAGTAACCTGCCAAAATGACAGCTAGTAAGTGAGAATTAGACTTGAACCCAAGCCTGTGTGACCTCAAAGAATGATTAAGAGGTCTCTACCACCATACCACATAGCCCACCGAGTAGAGTCTTGTGTTGCTCACTGTCTTGTCTGGGTCAGGCCTCTTTATTATTTGTTTATTTATTTTTTCTAGCTAGATGGCTATCTAAAGATACAGACTGTGTCTTTTCTTTTTCTTTCTTTTTTTTTCTTTTTTGAGACGGAGTCTCGCTGTGTCGCCCAGGCTGGAGTGCAGTGGCATGATCTCGGCTCACTGCAACCTCCGCCGCCTGGGTTCAAGCGATTCTTCTGCCTCAGCCTCCCAAGTAGCTGGGACTACAGGTGCCCGCCACCATGCCCAGCTAATTTTTGTATTTCAGTAGAGATAGGGTTTCACCATATTGGCCAGGCTGTTCTCGAACTCCTGACCTTGTGATCCACCTGCCTCTGCATCCCAAAGTGCTGGGATTATAGGCGTGAGCCACCGTGCCTGGCCCAGACTGTGTCTTTTCTGTATTCCCAGTGCCTAATCTGGAATGGAGCACATGATAAATAGCATTCATTCCTTTATTTATTCTGCAAACTCTTAATGAACACCTGCTATGTGTCAACCTTTGTATTAGGGCATAAACAGATAAATAAGGCAGGATAGTCACCCTTAAATAACCCACAGTTTACTGGAAGTCTCAGTCTCTCCCTCTGTCTCTCTCTTGCTCACACACATATATAATTATAATGATAAAGATATGTACCAGATGCATCTAGTTGCATTTATTTGAAGAGGTGAGGTAGCTGAGAGTGATAATGGTATGTGTATCCTTTACAGGATACTACCAAACTGTTTGCTATAGTGACTATACCATTTTGTTTCCTTACCAGCCGTGTATGAAAGTTTTAGTTGCTCCACATCCTCATCAGCACTTAGTATTGTCAGTTTTTTCTTTGTGCCATTCTAATAGGTGTATAGTCGTAGCTCATTGGGCTTTTAATGTGAATTTTTCTAGTGATCAATCTTTTCACATGCTTTTGAGTATCTTTGCATATGCGTACTTGCCATCCATAGATCTTCTTTGGTGAAGTGGACCTTTAGCCCATGTTTTTAATTGTGCTATTTATTTTCTTACTTGTTGATATGACTAACTTTTAACAGAACTTTCTTTTCAGGAATTTGTTAATTAGGTTTCAAGTACATTTGATATAAACAGTTTATAAAATGCTTCAAACAACATGCTCTAGGAGTGGTTGCCAGGGAAAACTAAAATGGACTTTGATCCCGACTGGGGCAAGAGTGATGAAGATGAGGTTTTTTCTGTGCTTTTCCTCAGTGTGATTTTGAAACAGGAGGACAGAGCAAAGGGAGAGAAATAGGAGCCAAAAAGCTCAGGAGGGACTTTGATCTTCAGTCTAAAAGGGAAAACAGGGATTCTTTTGGTTGCCAGTGGAAGCTGGAAGGATTAGACATGCCAAAGGGATGGTTTACTCTGATGAGAAAAGCAACTGGACAACAACAGCAAAAAACACTGCAAGGCCCAATTCCCATCCTTTTCAGCCCAAAATTGGAGGAGGCCAGACCAATGGGAGGTTTCTGTCACTGAAGATGAGGTCACATTATTTTGTCATCCAGACTGATCTAAGCAGATACTTTTAGGAAAGGTAAGAATGCCTTGATCTATGCCTAGATATTTACAATAGGCGGCAATTTTTGACATTTATGTTGTTACGCTAATAAATTGGTATTTTTTAAAAAAATATTTGGCTGATTATGTAAAAACTGTTTTGGGAAGGAGTCTATATAAAGCTAAAACACTCCCTGCCTCCTGTCTCTGACTTGCAGGCCTTGTGCCATTGGGAAAAAAAACAGCCAGGCCTATGGTTTAAGGCCTTCTGGGCATCTGACTACCTGCACCCCAGCACTGTCTACACAGTTTGTGTACATGAGTATTTTTATGGGGAATGGTTACAGAGCTCTTCTCAGCCTCAGGGAGGCCTATAATCCCCAAACGGCTGTGAACCGCTGTTCTAGAGGGTGAGATTGGCAAATTCACTACAGTGATGGCACAGCAAATGTTCCATGTCTCAGCTTGAAAACATTATGGCAGGAAGTCCTGCGTCAGATGAAATTAGGTATACATTAAAGTAGTGGGATTGAGCCCAGAGCCTTTTCAACTCTTGTATATAACAGCTTTGATTCTCTTCCTGACATAATGAGTCTATAATAATTGGTCAAGAATTTTTTTTTTTTACTTATTAAAAGAACCACCTCAGATAATATGTTCCTGATTATGTAACTATAATTATAAAAAATCGTATATTATTGTGTTTAATAAAAACCAAAATTTATAGGCTGGGTCTAATATATGCATCTTGCCATGCTATATTTTGGAGAAGACAGTAGAGTGTAAGCTATGATCTTTTTGAGAAGACAGGAGCCACGTGCGCAGACCATGAAGTCCAGAGGAGGGTGGTGGAGGGAGAGAGTGTTTCAGGCTAGAATGGCCGGTTTTAGCTGTGGATGGAAAGGTAGTATTTGATGGACCAAGAGGAGAGGAAATCTGTAAGCAATTGCTCAGAGGAGGAGGAAGTAGAAGAAGGAATTTGGCTGAGCATGTTTTACATGAAGTATTCCTATTAGGGGAGTAGCCATAAGTGAGGGTGAGAATGCAACACAGGTGAAATAACATTTTGGGAAATTTATCTGGTGGTGGAGGACCAGGCGGTGGAGGACCAGGCATAGAGAAGGGAAGAGACTAAAATGAGAGACGGTGTTTAAATAGTTAATGCAATCACATAGTCATGAAGAGGGAGGGCTTAAGCAAAAAGGAAGGGATAGCTAGGAGAGCCCTTGTAGAGGGTGGAGAAGGCAGGCTGTGCCCTATTCAAGGAAAGGGAGGCAGTGGGTCAGGTGATTCCACTGACTCTTAGACTCTATATTCACAGTATAGATTTCTGTTCGTTTTTTTTTTTTCTTCAAAAGCCTTTAAAAATGTTCAAAAGGAAAGCATTTAGACCTTTTATGAAATAGAGTTGTTAAAGGAAAAAGTATTTTTTTTTTTAATTATACTTTAAGTTCTGGGATACATGTGCAGAACATGGCAGGTATACACATGCCATGGTGGTTTGCTGCACCCATCAACCTGTCATCTACATTAGGTATTTCTCCTAATGCTATCCCTCCCCTAGCCCCCTACCCACTGACAGGCCCTGGTGTGTGATGTTCCCCTCCCTGTGTCCATGTGTTCTCATTGTTCAACTCCCACTTACGAGTGAGAACATGTGGTGTTTGGTTTTCTGTTCCTGTGTTAGTTTGCTGAGAATGATGGTTTCTAGCTTCAGCCATGTCCCTGCAAAGGACATGAACTCATCCTTTTTTATGGCTGCATAGCATTCCATGGTGTATATGTGCCACATTTTCTTTATCCAGTCTATCATTGATGAGCATTTGGGTTGATTCCAAGTCCTTGCTATTGTGAACAGTGCTGCAATAAACACGTGTGCATGTGTCTTTATAGTAGAATGATTTATAATCCTTTGGGTATATACCCAGTAATGGGATTGCTGGGTCAAATGGTAATTCTGGTTCTAGATCCTTGAGGAATTGTCACACTGTCTTCCACAATCGTTTAACTAATTTACATTCCCACCAACAGTGTAAAAATGTTCCTATTTCTCCACATCCTCTCCAGCACCTGTTGTTTCCTGAGTTTTTAATGATTGCCATTCTAACTGGGATGAGATGGTATCTCATTGTGGTTTTGATTTGCATTTCTCTAATGGCCAGTGACGATGAGCTTTTTTTCATGTGTGTTGGCCGCATGAATGTCTTCTTTAGAGAAGTGTCTGTTCATATCCTTTGCCCACTTTTTGATGGGGTTGTTTGGTTTTTTTTTCATGTAAATTTGTTTAAGTTCTTTGTAAATTCTGGATATTAGCCCTTGTCAGATGGATAGACTGCAAAATTTTTCTCCCATTCTGTAGGTTGCCTGTTCACTCTGATGATAGTTTCTTTTGCTGTGCAGAAGCTCTTTAGTTTAATTAGATCCCATTTGTCAATTTTGGCTTCTGTTGCCATTGCTTTTGGTGTTTTAGTCACGAAGTCTTTGCCCATGCCTATGTCCTGAATGGTATTGCCTAGGTTTTCTTCTAGGGTTTTTATGGTTTTAGGTCTTACATTTAAGTCTTTAGTCCATCTTGAGTTAATTTTTGTATAAGGTGTAAGGAAGGGGTCCAGTTTCCGTTTTCTGCGTATGGCTAGCCAGTTTTCCCAACACTATTTATTAAATAGGGAATCCTTTCCCCATGCTTGTTTTTGTCAGATTTGTCAAAGATCAGATGGTTGTAGATATGTGGCATTATTTCTGAGACTTTTGTTCTGTGCCATTGGTCTGTATGTCTGTTTTGGTACCAGTACAATGCTGTTTTGGTTACTGTAGCCTTGTAGTATAGTTTGAAGTCAGGTAGCATGATGCCTCCAGCTTTGTTCTTTTTGCTTAGGATTGTCTTGACTATGTGGGCTCTTTTTTGTTTCCATATGAAATTTAAAGTAGTTTTTTCTAATTCTGTGAAGAAAGTCAATGGTAGCTTGATGGGGATAGCATTGAATCTATAAATTACTTTGGGCAGTATGGCCATTTTCACAATACTGATTCTTCCTATCCATGAGCATGGAATGTTTTTTCCATTTGTTTGTGTCCTGTCTTATTTCCTTGAGCAGCGGTTTGTAGTTCTCCTTGAAGAGGTCCTTCACATCCCTTGTAAGTTGTATTCCTAGGTATTTTATTCCCTTTGTAGCAATTTTGAATGGGAGTTCACTCATGATTTGGCTCTCTGTCTGTCTATTATTGGTGTATAGGGATGCTTGTGATTTTTGCACATCGAATTTGTTTCCTGAGAATTTGCTGAAGTTGCTTATCAGCTTAAGGAGATTTTGGGCTGAGACGATGGGGTTTTCTAAATATACAATCATGTCATCTGCAAATGGAGACAATTTGACTTCTCTCGTCCTATTTGAATACCCTTTCTTTCTTTCTCTTGCCTGATTTCACTGGCCAGAACTTCCAATACTATGTTGAATAGGAGTGATGAGAGAGGGCATTCTTGTCTTGTGATGGTTTTCAAAGGGAATGCTTCCAGTTTTTGCCCATTCAGTATGATATTGGCTGTGGGTTTGTCATAAATAGCTCTTATTATTTGGAGATATTTTCCATCAATACTTAGTTTATTGAGAGTTTTTAGCATGAAGAGGTGTTGAATTTTGTGGAAGGCCTTTTCTGCATCTATTGAGATAATTATGTGGTTTTTGTCGTTGGTTCTGTTTATGTGATGGATTACGTTTATTGATTTGCATATGTTGAACCAGCCTTGCCTCCCGGGGATGAAGCCGACTTGATCGTGGTGGATAAGCTTTTTGATGTGCTGCTGGATTCAGTTTGCCAGTATTTTATGGAGGATTTTTGCATTGATGTTCATCAGGGATATTGGCCTGAAATTTTCTTTTTTGTGTGTCTCTGGCAGGTTTTGGTATCAGGATGATGCTGGCCTCATAAAATGAGTTAGGGAGGTGTCCCTCTTTTTCTACTGTTTGGAATAGTTTCAGAAGGAATGGTACCAGCTCCTTTTTGTACCTCTGGTAGAATTTAGCTGTGAATCTGTCTGGTCCTGGACGTTTTTTGGTTGGTAGGCTATTAATTACCGCCTCAATTTCAGAACTTGTTATTGGTCTATTCAGGGATTTGACTTCTTCCTGGTTTAGTCTTGGGAGGGTGTATGTGTCCAGGAATTCATATTTCTTCTAGATTTTCTAGTTTATTTGCATAGAGGAAGTCAAATAGTATTCTCTGATGGTAGTTTGTATTTCTTTGGGATCATTGGTGATATCCCTTTTATCATTTTTTATTGTGTCTATTTGATTCTTCTCTCTTTTCTTCTTTATTAGTGTGGTTAGTTGTATATCTATTTTATTAATCTTTTCCAAAAACCAGCTCCTGGATTCATTGATTTTTTGAAGGGTTTTTTGTGTCTCTATCTCCTTCAGTTCTGCTCTGATCTTAAGTTATTTCTTGTCTTCTGCTAGCTTTTGAATGTGTTTGCTCTTGCTTCTCCAATTCTTTTAATTGTGATGTTAGGGTGTTGATTTTAGATCTTTCCTGCTTTCTCTTGTGGGCATTTAGTGCTATAAATTTCCCTGTACACACTGCTTTAAATGTGTCCCAGAGATTCTGGTACGTTGTGTCTTTGTTCTCATTGGTTTCAAAGAACTTACTTCTTTCTGCCTTAATTTCGTTATGTACCCGGTAGTCAATTCAGGAGCAGGTTGTTCAGTTTCCATGTAGTTGTGCGGTTTTGAGTGAGTTTCTTAATCCTGAGTTCTAATTTGATTGCACTGTGGCCTGAGAGACTGTTTGTTATGATTTCTGTTCTTTTGCATTTGCTGAGGAGTGTTTTACCTCCAGTTATGTGGTCAGTTTTAGAATAAGTGCAATGTGGTGCTGAGAAGATTGTATATTCTGTTGATTTGGGGTGGAGAGTTCTGTAGACGTCTGTTAGATCTGCTTGGTCCAGAGCTGAGTTCAAGTCCTGAATGTCCTTGTTAATTTTCTGTCTCGTTGATCTGACTAATATTGACAGTGGGGTGTTAAAGTCTCCCACTATTATTGTGTGAGAGTCTAAGTCTCTTTTAGGTCTCTAAGAACTTGCTTTATGAATCTGGGTGCTCCTGTATTGGGTGCATATATATTTAGGTTAGTTAGCTCTTCTTGTTGCATTGATCCCTTTACCACTATGTAATGCCCTTCTTTGTCTTTTTTGATCTTTGTTGGCTTAAAGTCTGTTTTATCAGAGACTAGGATTGCAACCTCTGCTTTTTTTTTTGTTTTCTATTTGCTTGGTAAATATTCCTCCATCCCTTTATTTTGAGCCTATGTGTGTCTTTGCATGTGAGATGGAAAAAGTTTTTTTTTAAACCACAAGGGATGAACCTTGCATAAATTAAGAGCCGTAGCATTGTTGCAGGCATTGTGTTGTTACCTGACACCATTTTGGAGTGGTTGATTCAGAGATCTGTTGTAAGGATAAGAATAAAACAGACATTCAGAAGCAGAGGAGGATTTCAGGCAGTGACTGGTCTTCATGGAAAGAGATGAAGAGCGCTTATTTAGTACAAGGAGCTGTGTGACTGTAACTGAACCCATTCCTTAGAGTACTGGCTGAGTGCTAGCAGGAAAGACATCCAGAACCTTCAGAGGATTCTGGGAGTGCAGTAAAAATCCTTCAAATTTCTCTTGGAGAGGAATAATCCTGTTGTCTTCTAATAGTAGAGAAAAACAGGTGACTGGATTAGAAGTGGTTATTAAAGTTAAATGTTGACCAGGCACATTGATGCCTAATAGCATTGCTTTCCACAGCAAAGTACTCACACTCAGAGGAGCATGAGACATTCCACTAAGGCTGCAAGAAGAAAAAAAAGAATAGATGTTGTACTTATGTTTACTTCTGTCTAAAAATAGAAATCAACCTGTATAATAGTCGACATCCAGACTGACCCTGGTCCTTCCTGTGGTCCAGATGCCAGAAGATCTGCAGCCTTGCTCACAGCTGGACATTTCGAGGGAAGCGTGTGTGCTCCGTTGACAGGGGCTGACTCTTCAGAGAGGATTATCTCTACCTGATTAGGTAGACTTACAGATGATAGGATATTAAATAGCCAAAAAATCTTACAGTATTTAATAATGAGATTGAGAATGATGCTGATAATCTCTAATACCACAGATGCTAATGAGCAGATATCTTAAAGGAACTGTTGAATGTGAGTTAAGAATGTTTTTTATAAAAGACAAACATTTTGAAATTGCTGGCCTTCTGCATGATATTTAGCTATGAGTGGTCTTGTTGCCCTGCAGATAATTTAAAAGTTAATACTCATAATCTGTCCTTTCAAAGTAGAGGTGATACATTAACAATGAATAAGAAAGTAACCTTTAAAAAAATCTGGTGATCTGGTGCTACACAGAGAGCACTTGTAAAATAAATGTACAGAAATAGTTCCATTGTGACATGATTTTCATTCCTAAAAACAATAGGTGTGCGTTACATGTTAACTCATATTTGCATACTTAAAAATATTGGAAACAAACTAAAATCTTCCGGAGAGTTTAAAACCCAATAAAAATTTGTCAAAATGTAACATTTTCCAATAAGTTTGTAAGACCAATGAAATGACATTGGGGAAAATGGAAAGTTACTAATTTTAGCCAAAAAGCTTTTGAGTAGTTAGTGTATGAGATTGAAATATGAGTGTTATGACTTTGTAAGTACATTTCTTCCATTTGCATCAATGTGTCTTTTTCAAATATCTCTTTTGAGCTAGGCCGGACACTAAAACTAAATATTAACATATACTGGACTTAAAATGAGACCTCTGAATTGCCATATCAGTAAGTGTTAAACCAAGATTAAAAAAATGAAACCCATTCAATCATGCCGCAGTCACTAAGAAACATTTTTAGTGATAAAAAGGGTTAATAAAGGAAAACTACTTAAAAAAATTTAAATTTCATTTTTATCTCAGCCTTCCAAATTTCTATTTTTGAGTATGTTTTGTGATGTACATATTGTATAGACAGTGTAGTTTTAGAATATATACTCAATCAGAAGTGTTAACAGCAAAGCTAGAAGGAACTTTGAGATTCTCTAATCCTGGTATAGAACATGCATATAATTTGTAAATAATGTATATTTTGGAGGTTAGGCTTTTTTTTTTCTTTTTTTTTGTTTTGAATGAGACAGAGTCTTGCTTTGTTGCTCAGCCTGGAGTGCAGTGGTGTGATCACAGCTCACTGCAGCCTGGGACTCCTGGGCTCAAGCGATCCTCCCACCTCATCCTCCTGAGTAGCTGGAACTATAGGTGTGGGCCACTGCGCCCAGCCAATTTTTACAAATTTTGTGTAGAGCCAGCATCTTGCTTTGTTGCCTAGGTTGGTCTCGAACTCCCGGCCTCAAGCGATCTTCCTGCCTTGGCCTCCCAAAGTGCTGGGATTATAGGCGTAAGCATTTTTTTTTTTTTCTTTTCTTTTCTTTTTTTTTTTTTTCCCTAGAACGGTGTATGATCCAAATAGGTGGCCATTGGTCTACAGACAAAAACCTGCTGAGAACCTTTTAATAAAATCATCCTGGTTTCTGAGGGGTTGAGGAATGTTCTGTTTCCAAGCCCAGGACTCTTAGAAACTATCTGTAGCACATTCAGGTGACAATATGGGTTGAGATGTATCTATAGGACCTAACAGGTAGAGGAACTTCTATTCTTTGAGTAGATGTCAAAAGGTAAAAAGTAGGATCGGAATCTTTCTCCATGTGGAGAAATTTCAGATTCCAAGAAAGAGTACACACAACTCACCTGTACATTAGACACCAAAAAAATGCTCAAATTAATGAACTATTATGGAGTATTTAAAAACATAGAGAACTCTGCTTTAAAAAAAATAGGAGAGGATCCTTAAGTTTAAAGCAAAGTAGTACTTCAAAACTTCATTAATTTTGAAGTATTACTCTGCTACAGATAGTGTCTAAGAGTCCTGGGCCTGGAAACAGAACATTTGGGTTCAGGTTTCCTCTTTATTCCATTCTGGCTTTATGATCCTGGCAAATTATTGAAACTCTCTTTTTTTTTTTTTTGAGACCGAGTCTCGCTCTGTTGCCCAGGCTGGAGTGTAATGGCATGATCTCGGCTGACTGCAACCTCCGCCTCCCGGGTTCAAGCGATTCTCCTGCCTCAGCCTCCTGAGTAGCTGGGATTACAGGCGGGCATCACCATGCCCAGCTAATTTTTATATTTTTAGTAGAGACAGGGTTTCGCCAGACTGGTCTCGAACTCCTGACCTTGTGATCCACCCACCTTGGCCTCCCAAAGTGCTGGGATTATAGGTGTGAGCCACCGCGCCCGGCCTGAAACTCTTGAGGTTTCCTCAGCCAGAAAATGAGCATGGTAATTCTTCACACCATGATTGTGAAGCTCCATGAGTTGGGGCAGAAGGAAGTGCTGTAAAAACTATAGTCCCCGCCCGTTGTGGTGGCTTGTGCCTGTGATCACAGCGCTTTAGGAGGCTGAAGGAAGAGAATCATTTGAGGCCAAGAGTTCGAGACCAGCCTGGTCAATGTAGGCAGACCCAGTCTCTACAAAAAATACAAAAATTGGCTGGGTGTGGTGGTGTGTGCCTGTTGTTCTAGCTACTTGGGAGACTGAAGTGGGGGGATTACTTGAGTCCAGGAGTTTGAGGCTGCATGAGCTGTGATTATGCCACTTTAACTCCAACCTGGGTTTCAGAGCAAGATCGTGTTTCTAAAATAAGAAAAAAAACACACACACACACAAAACTGTAGTCCTCTGCAATATTACTGAGTGAGGATTGCCCGAGACTTGAGAGGCAGTTAGGCAGCCCCCTTCATTCTGACTGTGGTGGTCCTCTCCTAATTGAGACTGAGAATTCTCTAGATGTGCCTGTTAAATATTTGCATGGCCCCGGAGTGCCATTCAGAGCTGGATTTTGTTTCTGATGGCTCAGTTGCCCTTGAGGCTGCTCTTGGGTTCCCAGTGCTTGTGTTGCCAAGTTGTGTGAAGTGTGCAGAGCTGCTCTGGGTTTGCAGAGCTGGCTTCATGTGTTGTGGAGAGGGCCCTGAGATGTTGGTGACTCATTCAAAGCCACTTTATGTCTGCTTCTACATCTTGCTCAATCTGCTAGGCTTACTACCATCTAAGTCCTAGAAGGCCTATCAACTCTCCCCAGGAAATGTAGAACCCAAAGACATAGGCACATACTTTCATTTCCTTTTTAAATGAATACAGTCTCTTTAAAAGTTTTATTTGAATACCGATCCATGGTTTGCACAAGCCATTTGAATTTTAAACAGATGTGTGTGCAAAGCTGGGAGTCAGCATTGCATGTCTCAGTCAAGTTTTATAGTCATTGACTTTTAGGGTTACAGCCTGGTCTCATAGCTGTGCCTTGGGTGGAAAGGCTGGTAAGGACTTCGATGTACTTTCCTGTCCAGAGTTTTGAGACTTTAGCCAGGACTAGGGCAGCTTTCTGGGTGTCCAGTGGAGGGCCACGTCATTCGACCGTTGCTATGGGAAAAACCCATGAGCTCTCTCATTCCAAAGTTTACCGATTGCCAAATACTTGGGTGTGTGGTATTTGGAAAAAATATTTAGTGATGCAGTGATTCTTTGAAGAGGTGTCCTCTAATGTTTACTTTTTAAAATGGTAAACCAATTTTAATATTGTTCATACCTAGCTAAGACTGAATTAGATTATTTAAACATATTTAAACATCATCTCTGTAAGTGAATGGGAAAATAGGAACCAGACCAAACCCCTATTATTGAACGCTAAGAGAAATGGATTTTTTTAAAAACCGAAATAATTAAAATCTAGTGTTACATGTGAGTCTAGGGACTGGATTTACTATTTGGCAACTACATATTTTGTTGGCAATAAACTTATTGTCTAAAAGAAAATGCGTAGAGCCAAGATAGAGGCCCAAGTAAAGAAGAAAGTGTGATCCTAAGGGAAATTGGTTTATTGAGGAGAATGTATCTTCATATACTATTTGTAAGTTTTCTGTATGGAGGATTTCTCCCTTTTCACCCTTGTATTTATTTAATCGTTTAGTTGTAGTACCTTAGCCTCATTTGTTTTATTCTTCAGGTTATATTATTATTTTCTTGCTCAAATTGTTCCATCTTTAGTCATTGTAAGCTCTTTCAGGTTGACTCCCGGATCAAAATATAGTTTTTAAAACAGGCTTTTTTTTTTTTGAGATGGAGTCTCACTCTTGTCACCCAGGCTGGAGTGCAGTGGTGTGATCTCGGCTCACTGCAACCTCTGCCTTCTGGGTGTAAGCGATTCTCTTGCGTCAGCCTCCCGAGTAGGATTACAGGTGCATACCACCACACCCAGCTAATTTTTGCATTTTTAATCGAGACGGGGTTTCACTATGTTGGTCAGGCTCGTCTTGAACTCCTGACCTCAAGTGATCTGCCTGCCTCAGCCTCCCAAAGTGCTGGAATTACAGGCGTAAGCCACCGCGCCTGGCCTAAAAGATTTCAGTTTTTAAGGGCAGTTTTAGGTTCACAGCAAAATTGGAGAGGAAGGTCCAGACTTCCTATATACCCTGGCCCCTGCAACCCCTCTCCCCGTCCCATAGGCATAGCTTCTCCCATTGTCAACATCTACCAGAGTGGTACATTTGCTACAAATGATGAACCTACATTGACACATCATTATTCCCCAAAGTCCTAGGGTTCACCCTTGGTTTTGTACATTCTGTGGGTTTGGACAAATGTATAATGACATCTATCTATCATTATAGTATCATAATGAGTATTATTGAAAGGTGACAGCGTGCTGGCAGCCCTCGCAGCCCTCGCTCGCTCTCGGTGCTTCCTCGGCCTCGGCGCCCAGTCTACTAGATGAGTATTTGCCGTCTGGGTTTCCTTGATTAGAGGGGCCTGGCTATTTTGCTGTATCCGGGGATCCATAGTCGGCAAAAGCCAGTAATTCCAAGGAACCCCCACAAACTGTTTTAATGTCTTAGGGCAAGGATAAGCCAGTATAGGCTTTATTCATTCCTTGCTGAGGGCCCTGGTCCCTCTGGCTAAGATTAGGCCTAGATATTTGACCTGCTGTAGGCAAAGCAGGGCCTTCGACCTAGACACCTTGTACCCTTGATTAGCTAGAAAGTTCAAGAGATCTAGAGTAGCCTGCTGGCACGAGGCTTCCAAACTGGTAGCCAAAATTAAATCATCCACATATTGAAGGACCAGAGTGCCTGGACTTGAGAAGTGGCCTAGATCTTGGGCCAGTGCCTGACCAAATAACAGGTGAGGGCTATCCCTAAACCCCTGGGGCAAGACCATCCACATAAGTTGGGACGTGTGATCTGTGGGATCCTCAAAGGCAAAGAGGAACTGGGAGTCAGAGTGCAGGACAATACAGAAGAAGGATCCTCGAAGTCCAGAACTGTGAACCATTCTGTTTCCTCTGGTATTTGAGAGACCAGGGTATAGGGGTTGGGTACAACTGGATATAGAGGAATTACTGCCTCACTGATGAGTCTAAGATCTTGCACTAGTCTCCACTGACCGTTCGGTTTTTGTACTCCTAGAATTGGGGTGTTGCAGGGACTGCTGCATTTCCTTACTCAGCCTTGAGCTTTCAAATGTTTAATAATATTCTGTAATCCTTTATGAGCTTCAGGCCTTAAGGGATATTGCCTTTGATAAGGAAAAATGGTGGGATCTTTTAACCTGATTTGGACTGGGCGGGCATTTTTTAGCCTTCCAAATTGTCCTTCCAATGCCCAGACTTCAGGGTTGATTCCCTCCTCAAGTAGGGGACAACAAATGGGTAACTTGTTCCCCATATTCATGTAGATAATAGCTCCAGCCTTGGCTAATATATCCCTCCCTAATAAGGTGTGGGACTTACAGGCATAACAAGAAAGGCATGTGAAAAGAGCAAAGTCTCCCAATTAAAACTGAGGAGGTGTGAGAAACACCTGGTTACAGGCTGTCCCAGGATTCCTTGGGTGGTAACGGACCTTGAGGACAGTCGTCCAGGACAGGAGATTAACACTGAGAAGGCCGCACCAGTGTCCAGGAGGAAGTCAATTTCCTGGCCCTCAGTAGTTAAATGTACCCGGGGCTCAGTGAGGGTGATGACATGAGCCGGTGTTTGCCCCAGGCACCCTCAGTCCTGTTGTTGGATCATCTGGTTGGGGGCTTCTGACCCAGGGAACCTTCATCCTCTGGAGCAGTGCACCTTCCAGTGATTGCCTCGGCATAGTGGACATGGACGAGGGGGCAGCTTTTTCTCACTGGACAGTCTTTTTTAAGGTGTCCTAGTAAACCACACTGATAACAAGCCCCACCAGATGATTGGCCTGCTCCATTTTCTGTCCTCTCTGAACCACCAAGGTTTGTTTGTCTGAGGGCCATGACTAAGGCTGCAGCCTTTCTCTGATCTCGCTTTTCCTTTTGGGCCTGTTCCTCTTGGTCCTTATTATAGAACACCGAGGTTGCAAGGTTTAACGATGCCTCTAGATTTTGTTCAGGGCCCAGGGCTTGCCTTTGGAGCTTTCTCCTGATATCTGTGGCTGATTGGGTATTAAACTTATCTTTTAGAATCAATTGACCCTCGAGTGATTCGGGTGACAGGGGAGTATGTTTTCTTAAGGCCTCCCATAGCCACTCGAGGAAGGCAGAAGAATTTTCTTCCTTTCCCTGAGTTATGGTGGACATCATTGAATAATTCATGGGCTTTTTTTCTAATTCTCCTTAGTCCTTCTAGAACACAGGTCAACAGATGTTTACAACTCCAGTCCCCATGATCTGAGTCAAGGTCCCAGTGGGGATCCATACTGGGGATAGCTTGCTGACCAGTAGGGAATTTGTCCCTTTCTTTGGCTGTCATTCTATCATTTACTTGACTAAGATACCAGGTGTCTCCAAACTCTTGGGCTGCAGCTAAAGCCGCATTCTTTTCGTTAAAGGCCAGGGTTTGATCTAACAGTAGCATGACATCTCTCCAAGTGAGGTCAAAGGTTTGCCCTAGACCCTGTAGGACATCTATGTACCTATCAGGATCATCTGAAAACTTCCCCAGGTCTGCCTTCATCTGCTTTAAATCAGAGCAGGAGAAGGGGACATGTACCTGGGTAGGGCCAAATTCCCCTCCCCCTACAGCTTGAAGGGGACATAACCCATAGCCCGTGGGTTTTTGTGGTCCTTTGGAGATTTCTTTGCTTATTTCCTTCTGGGCAGGGGAGATGAGAGGATGATTATCATTAATAGGAAGGGGAGCTATAGGGAGGCTAGGATATGGGGGTAAGCTGAGAGGTCCTCCTGTGGGATGTAACTTGTAAGCTTTGCATAGTTGTGTATTCTCCCTCAATGAAAAGAAAGCTTGGACATAAGGTATTTCACTCCATTTGCCTTCCCTCTTACAGAAAAAGTCAAGCTGCAGGATGATAGTATTGTAATTTGTACTTCCCTCAGGTGGCCGTTTTTCCCCATCAGAGAGAGAATATTGGGGCCAAGCCGTAGCGCAGAAAAAAATGAGCCGCCTCTTTTTCAGGGTTTGTGGGTCGAATTGGTCCCAATAGCTTAGGATGCATTTCAAGGGTGAGCCTGTGATGCCTGAGTGTTTCCCATCTGAAAGACAAAACCGCCTGCAGTTTTGTTTTGTTTTGTTTGCATTTATTTGCTTTTGGCTTTGTGGCTTTCGGTTTTCTTTGGTAACAGAATGGCCTGGATGTTAGGCAAAATGCCGCCCTGGGCGATGGTGACTTTGCCCAGCAGCTTGTTTAGTTCCCTGTTGTTGCAAATTGCCAGCTGGAGGTGATGAGGGATGATGCGCGTCTTCTTCTTGTCCCTTCGTGGTTGCAAAAATGTGTCCAGATTTGGCGGGTTCTTGGTCTCACTGACTTCAAGAGTGAAGCCGCGGACCCTCGCAGTGAGTGTTATAGTTCTTAAAGGTGGCGTGTCCGGAGTTTGTTCCTTCTGATGTTCAGATGTGTTTGGAGTTTCTTCCTTCTGGGTTTGTGGTCTCGCTGGCTCAGGAGTGAAGATGCAGACCTTCGTGGTGAGTGTTACAGCTCATAAAGGCAGTGTGGACCCAAACAGTGAGCAGCAGCAAGATTTATTGCAAAGAGCAAAAGAACAAAGCTTCCACAGTGTGGAAGGGGACCCGGACGGGTTGCCACTGCTGGCTCAGGCAGCCTCCTTTTATTCTCTTATCCGGCCCCACCCACATCCTGCCGATTGGTCCATTTTACAGAGAGCCAGTTGGTCTGTTTTACAGAGAGCCGATTGGTCCGTTTTGACAGGGTGCTGATTGGTGCGTTTACAATCCCTGAGCTAGACACAAAAGTTCTCCACGTCCCCACTAGATTAGCTAGATACAGAGTGTCGATTGGTATATTTACAAACCATGAGCTAGACACAGAGTGCTGATTGGTGCATTTACAAACCTTGAACTAGAGACAGAGTGCTGATTGGTGTATTCACAATCCCTTAGCTAGACATAATGATCCAAGTCCCCACCAGATTAGCTAGATACAGAGTGCCGATTGGTGCATCCACAAATCCTGAGCTAGAGACAGGGTGCTAATTGGTGTGTTTACAAACCTTGAGCTAGATACAGAGTGCTCATTGGTGTATTTACAATCCCTTACTAGACATAAAGGTTCTCCAAGTCCCCACTAGACTCAGGAGCCCAGCTGGCTTCACCCAGTGGGTCTCCCACTGGGGCCGCAGGTCGAGCTGCCTGCCAGTCCCGCGCCATGCGCCTGCACTCCTCAGCCCTTGGGCAGTCGATGGGACTGGGCGCCGTGGAGCAGGGGGCAGCTCTCATCGGGGAGGCTCAGGCCGCACAGGAGCCCACGGTGGGGTGGGGGAGACTCAGGCATGGTGGGCTGCAGGTACCGAGCCCTGCCCCACAGGGAGGCAGCTAAGGCCTGGCGAGAAATAGAGCACAGAGCTGGTGGGCCAGCACTGCTGGGGGACCTGGCGCACCCTCTGCAGCTGCTGGCCCAGGTGCTAAGCCCCTCACTGCCCGGGGCCGGCACGGCTGGCCGGCAGCTCTGAGTGCGGGGCCGCCAAGCCCACGCTCACCGGGAACTCTAGCTGGCCTGCAAGCACCACGTGCAGCCCCAGTTCCCGCCCATGCCTCTCCCTCCACACCTCCCCGCAAGCCGAGGGAGGCGGCTCCGGCCTCGGCCAGCCCAGAGAATGGCTCCCATGGTGCAGCGGCGGGCTGAAGGGCTCCTCAAGCACGGCCAGAATGGGCGCCAAGGCCGAGGAGACGCCAAGAGCGAGCGAGGGCTGCGAGGGCTGCCAGCACGCTGTCACCTCTCAATATCACTGTCTTAAAAATCCTCTGTGCTCTACCTCATCATAAAAGTAAGAAACCTAGGAGTGTTTCTCTCTTTGGTTTCCAATTACTTTGGCCTGGGATAAACTGGGACTTCTCAATTCATTGCGGGCCATTTAACAGTTAATGAGAAGCATTTCATGGTCTTTCTAAAACTCTTGTAGACTAATAATAGCTATGATGAAGTATATAGAAATTCATTAATATTTATAAAAGTAATAAACATTGAGTAATAGAATTATGTTAGCATTAAAATTCAATTATTAATTACATTATTATTTCAACTAATTTTGCAAAAGACCATTGACTATAGGTTCTTAGAGGCTAAAAGAAAATTAGAAGTCTACCACCCCACCTCCTTTGTTTTACAGATGAGAAGCTAAAGCTTCCAATGTTTAAGTGATTTGCCTAATCGAAGCCAGGACCAAAACTCATCTAATAACGTCTAAACGTAGTACCTTCCACTGAATCAAAGAGTTGGGTCTTCCTGTTTTCCCTTTTTCTCCCCCCTTCTTTTCAAGAATTAATATTCTGAAGTATTTTCCAGATATGGAATCACCAATTTATAATGATAAATATGCAAGAAGATCAAGATAAATTTTGTGTATTATCTTACATTTGTGTTTTAAATTGATAGCTGCTATCAATGGCATGTTAAAAAATACTTTAGTGAATTTCATATTTTGATACAGCTTTCAGCACAGATCAGCAATTTCTCTCAAGTTTTTTGATTATACGTTTGATTCCAGAAATTCTGTTTCACTGGTACTAATTCAATGTGTTTACTCTTCTTTTGAGAATGGTACCTTACTATAAATGTCGCAGGAGAAAAAACATTGCCATTTAAGCTACAGAAGTGCTGAATATGACCTGCACGTGTTGAAATGGCAGTGCTGCGGGAGAGGTTGGAAAATGTGTGATGCTGTCTTATAATTTTAGCTCGGGTTTATGCAAATGTGGGCATTTATCTTGTTATTTTCACAGCCATACACATTTACTGCCGCTTGAAGTTATCCTTACAAGTGATCTTCATTAAATTAAGTTTGTCTTACAGGAGCAGAAGGAAAAGGATGATGTGAATTTCACCTTTAAAAGGCAGCACTAGGCAATGCAACATTTAAGAAGTGTTTTTTGCCTGTGCCCATAAAAAGCTATACCACTTTGTTGATGGATTTGCTATTTTGTGTCCTATTAAGTATAAAATGTGACCATATATTTTGGATTCCAAGGTCTTTTCTGGTTTGTTGAACACATTAGTGCTTATGATGATGATTTAAATTAGTTTTAATGTACTTGGGTAGTCAAGCGTACAGTGCTTTGAAGCCACTAAGGGAGAAAAAGAAGAGATATTTCAGCCTTCCCCAGTAATGAGACCCATAAATCAAAAGAACGAACATGGAAACTTCAAGCAAGCCTAGGGATCTAATTTCAAACACCTTAAAAGAGACTCCTTTTTTGGTTTAGGCTTGCCATGTCCGTGGTGCCCAGTGGAAGGGCTGAGCTGAAAAATTTGGATAAAAAACAGAGAACCTCTATAGGATTAAAACAATGGAGCCAGACGCTCTCAGTGTTAGCCTTTGGATTTGAGAGGCTTGTGTTTAAGAAGTCTGGGCCTGAAGAGGTGGAAATACAGGGGGTCAGATTCAGTTACAGATACATACATGTTCAAATACCAAATACATGTCATTTAAGGGAACCATAAGATGACTTTGCAAGAGGGAGACTTTTTTCCATGAAATAGTTATAGTAGACTTTTCAAACTAACTCTGAAGTGAAATTTTGAGCATAAAAGCTTTTCAGCTGACAAAGAGAAATGGCATGAATGTCTGAGAAAAAAACCAGACACATCCCTAAAACAACAGAGAAATGCCTTCTAGACTTTAGATACATCTATGGCAAATAGGAAGACAAGCTATTTCTAGACCTCTGGCAAGAAGACTGGCCTTTTACTCAGTTCTTAAAGAAAATAGCTAAGAGAAGTTTGGAATAAGAAATCCAAGTTCTTCTACATGTTGTTGGTTCGGGCAATGTCAAAGATTTTTTTCATAGCTTGTCTCTTGGAGGCTGACCTTGGACTGTGCACATGGACCTATTTTTAAACTGTAGACTCCATTTCACTCCCACATATTTTACCCTTCTACTGTTCAAGTGCTAAAACCAGGGATTATTTAAGTTAGCTTACTCTGTTGCAGGCTGGGATGAGAGTTTAGGATTCCAAAATTGTGTTAGAAGTGGGTTGAGAGGAAATAAATGTGGAGAGGCTAAATGACAGTTGTGTTATGGATCCTTTTCCTTTTAATTTCCCCCTATTTTTAAAAAACTCACTGGAGTCCTAGAATACACACAGATAATTGACGTATCTCTAGGGGTATTTGCATTCAAGGTAAGTTTCTTTTGATTTTAGTAACATGTGGCTTTTGATTATTATGGAGGACAATTTAAGCCCAAAGTATTATTTTGCCATTTAGGTTTGTATCTTAATTTGGGCTGTGCTGAAATCATCTTGGGGGGTGTGTGTGTATGTATGTGTGTGTGTGTTTGGGGGGGATGTGTGTGTATGATATATGTGGGTAGGTGAGATATGGAGGGAGGCAGGGAGGGAACTTTTAATACCGTTCGTTGTACTGAATTTTAAATTCAGATCTGTGTGTGTGTGTGTGTGTGTGTGTGTGTAAAGAAATGCATTTGTCATGGCTAACTGTGGTCTTTAATAGCAAAGTGACCAGAGCATGAATTATTTTCTTATTCAAAGAAAAATGAGGGGATCAGAAGGGCCACTGGTTTTCAAACAAAAAATAGTACAAGGTTTATGTTTTTAAAAAACTCATGTTATAGTGATTGAAATTTTCTTGTTTGGCAGCCTTTTCAAAAATTAAAAATTATATTACTTTTTTTTTCTGAAATAGCTCTTGCAAACAATTATATGAATCAAAACTGAAAACTAATTGTAACCATGTATTTGCTTATATCAGATCATAGACCAATAACAAGGATGTTTTGCCTGGTACTGAATTGTAGAAACTGGAGTTGGTAGGACACATTCCTTTAACTTTGAGGGATGATTATGGATAAGGCAATTGAAGTATTTATGGAAGATAATTCAGTCTATATTTAGGAAAGACTTCTTTTTTCTAACCAAATATGGTGGGTTTTAAAAATCTTACATATTACAAGATGGATGGATGATACTGGTCCATCCATTAATACACCCTATTTTCTTAATGCCTTTCAGACTAAGATGCACACATCATGAGTATATGTTTACCTATAAACACTTTGTCATGCATGTCATTAACTAGAGGTCAGTATTTGCTTATAGTGTTATTTTTAAGGTAAAATTTACAGTGTACTGAAATGTACAAATCTTACATGCACCCTTTGAATTTTGAGAAATGTGTACTTATGTAATCCAAAACTCTATCAAGGTAGAGGACTTGGCCAGTATCTAAGTTATCTCATCAGTTTTCTCAGTCCTACCCCAGAGACAACCACTCTTCTGATTTTTTTCACCATACTTTTCACTATTCTAGAAACTTCATGTGAGATTATACAATGTGTACCCTTTTGTAGAAGGCTTTTTACTTACCATACTATTTGTGGAATGTGTTAATACTGTCGCGTGAATAAGCAGTTCATTCCTTTTTATTGTTAGGTAGTATTCCATTGTATAAATATATGGCAATTTGTTTGTCCAGTCATCTGTTGATGAACACCTGGGTTGTTTCTAGTTTGGGGCTATTATAAATAAAGCTGCCATGATCATTCTTGTGAGTTTTCCTGTGGACATATGCTTTCAATTCTGTTGGGTAAGTACCTAGGAGTAGAATTTCTGTGTATAAGGTAGGTATGTGGTTAGCTTTATAAGAAACTCTCAGATGTTTTTTCCAAAGCGGTTTATCATTTTATCTTTCTATTAGGAGTGGATGAAAGTTCTGGTTGCACCACATCTGGGCTTACAGTATAGAATTGTCAGTCTTCTTCATGTTAATCATTCTTCTGAGTGTATAGTGGTATCTCATTATGTTTTTAATTTGCATTTCCCTGATGACTAATGATATCGAATAGCTTTTAATGTACATATTAACCATCTGTATATTCCCCTTTGTGAAATGTCTATTGAATATATTGCTCATTTATTAATCAGCTTTTTTTTCTTAATGAGTTGGAATTTTTTATTAGTATATATCCTGGATATCAATCTTTTATCTCTCTGTCTCATACACACACACACACACAGCATTTTTTTCCTCTTACTGTGTTAGTTTTCTTAACAGTGTCTTTTGGTGAGCAGTTTTTAATTTTGTTGAGGTCTGATTTTGTATGATTATTGATTTCTGTGTGTCGCTCAATAAATCTTTGCCTACTCTCAAATTATAAAGATATTTTCCTATGATTTCTTCTAGAGCTTTGTTGTTTTAGCTTCTGTGTTTAGGTCTAGGATTAACTTTGAGTTCACTTGAGTGTAGTGTAAGGTGAGAATCCAGGATGCTTCATTTTTTTTCTTTATACTGATATCTAGTTGTTCAGGATCATTTGTTGAAAAGAGTTTCTTTTCTCCGTTGGAATGCTTTGGCACCTTTTATCAAAAAATCAGTTGACCATATATATGTGAGTCTATTTGGGAGTTTCCAGCTATTCTGTTGATCTGTTGTTGATCCTTATGCTAGTACAGTAATCGCCTCTTTATCCATGAGAGGATATGTTCCAAGACCCCCAATGGATGCCTGAAACTGTGGATAGTACAAAACCCTCTATGCTATGATTTTCGTATCTGATAACCAAGATAGCTACTAAGTGACGAATGTGTGGGTAGTATGTGCAGTGTGGATATGCTGGAAGAAGGTGTGAGTCATGTCCCAGGTGGGACACAGCAGGACAGATTTCACACTACTCAGAATTTAAATCATGAATTCTTTACTTCTGGAATTTAAAACTTATGAATTGTTTAATTCTGGAATTTTAAACTTCTGAATTGTTTATGTCCATTTAATGTTATGAGACTGAAACCATGGGTAACTGAAACAGCAGAAAGCAAACCACAGATAAGGGGGGACTCCTGTCCCACACTGTCTTGAGTACTGTAGCTTCAAAAGTAAGTCTTCAAATCAAGTTGTGTAAGCCCTCAATTTTGTTCTGCATTTTCAAAACCACTTTTTGACATTTGTAGGCTCTTCATATTGCTGTTCGAATTATAGAATTAGTTTGTCAGTTTCTTTTTTTTTTTAAGTCTGATGTGATTACAATTTGCATTGTCTTGAATCTGGAACACCTGGTGAAAACTATTTTCATAATAATACTTAGACATTATTTGCTTTCACACTCATTGTCTCAGGAGTACAGTGGAGTTTTCCAGAGAATACATAATGTGTGATCTTGCAGCAGATTGAATGCAGAAGCAGATAGGCAATCAGGCTCTCTTCTTTTATGGTAAACATTAATGGTATTTGCAAAAGTGTAAAACAATGCAAAGCTTAATACATTTTATTTTAGGAAAAAGAAAAATTATTTTAACATTTAATGGGCTTGTTAATTTTAAATGAATTAATATTTTAACATTTTTTAATTTTAAATTCCTTCTCTGGTAAATTTTGATAGCTATAAACTACATAAATATTAAAAGTTTTTTGGGATCCTCAGTTGTTTTTGAGAGTTTCAAGGAGTCCTGAGAATGAAGGGTTTGAAAACTGCTGCCATAGCTCAATTTTGGGACAATTGATGCCTTAACAATATTTATTTTTTCAATCCATGAATATGGTATATCTCTACATTTATATATGTTTTATAGTTTTCAGTATAGAGATTTCTGAAGATGTTTTGTTAAATATATTTCTAAGTATTGTATATTCTTTTTTTTTTTTCTTTTTGAGATGGAGTCTCGCTCTGTCGCTCAGGCTAGAGTGCAATGGCATGACCTTGGCTCACTGCAACCTCTGCCTCCCAGGTTCAAGTGACTCTCCTGCCTCAGCCTCCTGAGTAGCTGAGACTACAGGCACCCGCCACCATGCCTGGCTAATTTTTGTAATTTTAGTTGAGACGGGGTTTCACCATGTTGGGCCAGGCTGGTCTCAAACTCCTGACCTCATGATTTACCCGCCTTGGCCTCCCAAAGTGCTAGGATTACAGGCGTGAGCCACTGCACCCAGCCTCTAAGTATTGTATATTGTTTACACTTACATAAATGTAATATAACTTTAAATTGAGTTTTCTGCTAATATATAGAAATACATTTAATTTATATTTAGTGACCTTGCAGCCTCCAAAATTTCAAAATTCACACATTAGTCTGGTAACCTCAAACTCATATTGTCAAGAACTGTGAAAGGTTTGAGATTTTATCTTGCTTGCAGGCTAAAAAGTTAGCCTCCCACAGTTTCATGGATGCTGACAGAAGACAGGAGAATCCTGGGTAAGAGATAAAGAACTTTATTACTCATGGCATAGCAGGCAGCATGAGCTTCATGTTCAGATTGGGTCTCCACACTCCCTAAGCTTCATGGGGTAATGCAGAGTAGCCCAGGTCGATGTTACTCGTGTAGTAGGTTTGTGTCGCAGTTGAGGAACCCTGAGCTTAGGAAATACCATTCTTTAAAAGGGGCTGCTAGCCAACTTTGCCTAATCTTTGTGCCAGATGGAGATGTTATTTTCATTTCCCTGGATAGCAAACAAATCTTTCCTTTGCCACAGAAGGAGATACTATCTGTTTTCCAAGACTGTGTACTATATAAACATTCTTGAAAAGACAGGCCAGAAGAAAAGCTGATAAAGATATGCAGAAACACAGAAGGCACATGGGTAATTTTTTCCCAACTTGTATTGTTGGGATTTTCTTCTTAGTCATGTCATGTCAAATACAGTTAGTATTGTGTCTTTCCAGTATTTATGCTTCTCCCCTTTTGCTATATTTTACTAGCCAGGACTGCTAGTGTAATGTAGAACAGGAGTGGTGACAGTGGTCATCTTTGCCTTTTGTTCTAGGTTTTAGGGTGAAAGTATGTTATTTTACCAATCAGTATAATACATTAACAAAATAATCATTGTAGAAACGGGGTCTAAAATGAGGAAATTATCTTATATTACTCATTTGCTGAGTGTTTCCTTTTATCATGAAGGCTTGTTGTATTTGCCAGATGCATTTTCTGTATGTAGTGTGATCATCAATAAAAATACGATTATTTTTTATTCCTTTATTCTGTCAGTATGGTTAGTTAAATCAATTAAGTTTTAAATGTTAAACCAACCTTGCATTACTAGGATAAATTCCACTTGAGGTGAGGCATGGTGGTTATACCTGTAATCCCAGCTTTGGAAGGCTGAGGCAGGAAGATCACTTGAGGCCATTAGTTTGAGACCATCCTGGGTAACACAATGAGACTCCATCTCTACAAAAAATAAAAATATTAGCTGGGTGTGGTGGTGCACGCCTGTAGCCCAAGCTACTCAGGAGGCAGATGTCGGAGGATTACTTGAGCTCAGGAGTTTGAGGTTACAGTGATGATCATGTCACTGCTCTACATCCTGGGTGACAGAGTAAGACCTTGTCACCCTGTTTCTCTACAGGAAAAAAAAAAATCCCACTTTGTCAGGGTGTATTAGCCTTTTTCTATATTATGAATTCGATTTGTGGACCCTTTTTAAAGAATTTTTCCATATATGTTGATGAGGAATATTGGTCTGTGAGGGTTTGGTATCATGGTTATGATGGCCTCCAAAAACAGGTTGGGAGGTGTTTCTTCTTCCTGTATACTTTGAAGAGTTTTTATAAGATGGGTTTTCTATCTTTCTTAAATATTTGTTAGAATTAACTGGTGAACATATGGTCTTGGTCTTTTATTTATGAGAAAGTTTTTGAAAAAATTCACTTCGCTAGATATAGGATTATTTATATTTTCACTTTCACTCTGTGTCGTTCTTTTTATCGGTCTGACAGATGAAAATAACCTGTTTTAAATAACAGTGAGGTTAAATAGTAGTAGTTTATGGCTGTTTGCATTTTTTTCCTCCTATTTTCCGGCCAGTTTTCTATTAGATCATGTATCTTTTTCTTGTTGAACTCTTTATATAATACTATGAACTTTCTGATATCTGTCTATATACCAACCTATAATCAATATTTTCCCTATTTTTCTTTTATTCTGTTTATATGTATTTGCTATGCAGAAGATTTTAAATTTTATGTAGTCTTATCTGTTAATTTTTTCTATATGGTTTTTGGCCCTAACATCATACAATTGTATTGAATCACAGCCATACTCACTTGTTTATATGTTGTCTATAGCTGCTTTCTTCCTGTAATGGCAGAGTTGAGTTGTGACGGAGACTGCATGTAGCTCTGTGATCACTTTTCACTGCTGCTTGGCACCCCAAAAATCATAGTTACCACATTTAATTATTTTAAACTTAGAAATTGTCAGTGTTTTTAGTGGCATGTGTATTAACTTACAGTGACTTTTTTTTATTTTTTATCAGTGTAAATCCTTGATGTCAGAAGAGTAGAAAAGTAGACTCTGAATGTCATACTTTAAAAGGCATAGTGGAGTATGGATTATTTTGTTATTAAATTAGATGGCAAAGCATTGTGTTTATTATGTAATGAGACTGTAACTGTGCTAAAAGAATATACGGTATGCTGACATTACCAGACTAATCACTTATCACAATATTTTCAACTCACAGAAATGCTGTGGTGAAAAGTTAGAAAATTTAAAATCAAATGTTTCATTATAGCAGAATTTCTTTACACAAAAAAGAACATTCAGCTGCAAACAAGGTAAATTTGCAAGTGACTCCTTTGTTATCCAAGCCAGGAAAGCCATTTATTGATGGTGAGTTAATTAAATCATGCTTGATTGCAGCAGCTGAAGAAATGTGTTCAGAGAAAACAAAATTGTTTAAGACTCTTCTAAGCCTTGAGCACTTTGGGAGGCTGAGATGAGAGGATTGCCTGAGTCCAGGAGTTCGAGACCAGCCTGGGCAAACTAGACAGAACCCATTTCTACAAAAAATAAAACAATTTAAAAAAAGCCAGGCATGGTGGCATGCCTGTAGTCCCAGCTACTCTAGAGGCTGAGGCAGGAGGATTCCTTGAGCCCAGGAGGTCCAGGCTGCAGTGAGCTGTGATCATGCCACTGCCCTCCACCCTGGGCTACAGAACGAGACCCTGTCTGAGGGCTAAGATTTATTTTTTTCTGAACAGGATAAATTGACTTTAGCTACTATTGAAGACTGAGTGGCTTTGGAAATTAGCTTTAGCTGCAGAGTTGATAATGAATTCAACATAAAACTATAAGGCAAAACAGTGCTTATATGTGAAACTTAATATTGAAGTAAAGTCACTTAGATGCCACCTAACATTGTTTTAATCACTAGTAATATTAAGATGCTTTATACACTTCTTATGCTGTCAAAAGTGAAAATAAGAAATGAGATCTCTGTTTGCATACCAGTTGTAGCAGATACATTTTCTTAGCTCAACTAAGTACTGTTGACCTTCCATATCCATGAGTTCTGCATCTGTTTTTAACCAGCTTTGAATCAAACATATCTGGGAGAAACAAATGGCATCTGTACTGAACATTCACAGACACTTTTTGATCATTATTCTCTAAACAATACAGTATAACAACTATTTACATAGCATTTACATTGTATTAGGTATTATGAGTAATCTAGAGATTATTTAAAATATACAAGAGGATATGCATAGATTAGAAGCAAATACTATGACATTTTATATTAGGGACTGGAATATCCACAGTTTTTGGAATCTGAGGGAGGTCCTGGAACTAATCTCCCATGGATACCAGGGGACAGCTGTACCAGCAGTGCTTTTGGACCACAATGCAAGTAGAAAGGAAATTTCTATAATTCAAAATCTATTTAACTGTGCAGTTGAAGAGCTTCCACTTAACTTTAATTGCAAGTGAAGAATCTGAAATGTAGCAACATACCAAAAGGAGGATATCAACAGAAGAATATAATAAAAATTTTTAAATGCCATCCAAGTAATGAATATGCTTAAATAAAATCATATGCTCCTGGATAACAGTATTTTTTCCATACACAAATAGGTGTGTGAAAAGACATTTTCAGAGATGAAATATGTAAAATCTCATTAGAGATTAGCATTAGCAGAGTAACATTTGCGATTCTTTTTTTGTGGGGTGGGGGGAGGGTGTAAACATATGTTTTTATTTCTCTTGAATAAATGCCCAGGAGTGCAGTTACTAAGTCATGTAGTAGTTGCATGTTTAGTTTTTTTTTTTAAACAATAAACATTATTTTTCGATAATTTTTAGATTCACAGCCAAAATGAAGGGAAATAGATATATAGTCCATATACTCCCTGCCCCCAAATGTGCACAGCTTCTTCCATTATCTATTACCACTCCCACACCAGAGGGGTAATTTGTTATAAATGATGAACCTGCATTGACTCATCATCATCGTCCAGAGTCCATAGTTTATATTGCTGACTCTTGATGTTGTACATTCTGTGGGTTTGGAAAAATGAATAATGGCATGTATCTGCCATTACAGCATCCTACAGAGTATTTTCACTGCTCTAAAAATCCTCTATGCTCCACCTATTCATTCTTCCTTCTCCCCTAATCCTTGGCAACCACTGATCTTTTTATTATTTTGATAATATTTGCAGTTGATTTTGATGATAAGGAATACTAACTTTGAGTCCCAATTAAGCAAATTGTCCTCCCTCTACCAAAAGAATATCATTCTTCACATTAGGAGGCTTATATACAAATAATTATACTTTGTTATTAATATTATGTTTTGAATTTTGTCAATGAAAAATGTGTGTGAAATTGTTTTCTCTCATTAAGTACCCTCTATGATACCCTCAATATTGCCTTTTGGCCCACAACTAAAATATATACTATATGGGTCTTTATGGAAAAAGTTTGCTAACCCCTGATTCATATCAATGTTTAACTATTCTAACCATTTAGATCAGAGAATGAATGTTTTTGTGCCTCAATAAATGTCAGTTTCAAAAACCAACAGCAGTAAAGGAAATTTTGTTTGGGGCTCAGGATATTTTGCTCCGGAAGTTAAGCTTACTTAAAGTTTACTCTTGTTCTGAAATTGTGTTAAGTTGTCTGGGAGAGGGTTGAGCACAATACATGACTGTTGATTCCTCTCTGTGTACTTGTTAGGTATCCCTGGTACCCTGAGATGATGGCCCCACTCAAAGCCAGACTTCCGAGAGCCTGGACTGGGGAGAAAGATGCCCCTGGCTCTGTGCACTGATGCCTCCCTCCCCGCCCCACTCCATTCATACCCACACCCTCTCCCTCTAGTCTGCACCTCTTCCTCCTGTGCATGGGAATATCTAGTCCCTCAGTTCCCAAATTTCTGCAGATGAAGCACCCATTCTTGTCATTCCCACTTATGATCCATTTTGATCTAGAAGGTAGTGTTGTCTCCTAGGAGGGCAACAAGCAAGTCTGAGCTGCCTGCCCCAGAGTTTTTGCTGTTTGCTAAGGCATCTCTGGGGTGAACAGAGGGCAGGTCAATGTTACCTGCTGACCTTGAAACCCTTGGTGTGTGTGCAGCACAGCCTGGAAGTTGTCAGTCAAGATTATTCTCAAGCCTCATAGACTCAGGTTCCTAGTACAGACATCTGCATCCAGACCAGTTATCTGCTCACAAAACAAAGTTGAAGAGAACAAGAATGAACATCATGCAGTTTTGATTTTTGCCTCTTCATTCTCCCTTTCCCCCATTTTCATCCACAAATGCTTACTGTCTTCACCATTTTGTGCAATATTAATTTCTCTGGGTTATTTATAGGGAGTGGGTGGGCACAGTGCTTATGACTTAGAATGGAAGACGGTATTCCCCGAAGAGCTCTCAACAGCTCACAGTCTGAGGGAGACCCTGTGGGTACTTGGTCTGTTGATCCTGTTGAAAAGTGAGCATAGCATGTGGGAAAGTGACTCATGGATGTGACTTCACCATTGCCCTCCTTTTAAACTTCTTACAGTGAAAGCATAACCCAGTTCTGACAAAGGTTTTCAGCCAGGGCTGGGCCTGCCTTTGACTCAGCGATGTGTCACATTCTCTCTGCCGGAAACTCTCATTCTTAACACCAGTCATCATGGTCCTGGCAACACACTTTTTGGAGAGGTGTTGGTATTTGGTGGATTTATTTTCTTTTCCAGCTGCCCACAAAAAAACAAACTCAGAAATATCTATTTGTTTTTCCTTTGAAAAGTTTGTTGGAATAGTGTGTCATTTCTCCATCTGGAGCCGTTGTTGCTTTGCCAAGGATAGTTTGCTTAGGGCCATGGCAAGGTGACGGTGGCCCTAAGTGAAGGGTAAAATAACTGGGGCGGCATGCCCGTCTGGGATGGCGAAACCTCTGAGCTGCTGTCAGGCGGTGGGTGGCTAGCCATGGCTGGTGGCCACAGGCCATCACTTCAACTGTGGCTGGGATTTGCTTAAAGAAGTCCTTTAAGTTTCTTAAGTAATGTCTGCCCAGTCACTCACCTAAGCGGATACCTCTTTACTGTTCGGTGATTTTGTGCCAAGAGAATGCCTAGACTTGCCAGCCCACATTGGAAACTTCCCAGAAGCCCAAGGGCCACACCTAATTTACAAGAACTGGAACCCCTATTCCATTCTTTGCTGCTTACAGCTTATGGGAGAGGCATGTTCTAACGGGCTTCTTTCCTTCTAATTTGTAGATCCTGTGCAGGCAGCTCCTTGAAGGCAGGGCTGTGCCTTTCTTGTATGTTTTCTTAGAGTGTTGAGCTCAGAGGAGACCCCAGTAGAGAAGGCACTGTGGCGTGGGGGAGTAACACCTGTTTAGTAGTCAGGGGAATAGGGTCAAAACTCCACGTTGGCCACGGGCTATGAGATCTTGGCCCAGTCAGTTCATTTCTCTGGGCATTTCCTCATCATCCAATTGCTGGGCTGAGTGATTCTCTAAAGCAGTGGTTCTCACCCTTGCTAGATGTATGAGAAACACCTGTGGACTTTTTATTCTTTAATCATACATGATCTGGCCACAGCCACTCATAGTGGGTTCAGCAAGTCTGGGTGGAGCTTGCAGAGTAAAGATTTTTCCAGAGTTCTTTATGGCCAGGGTTGAGGGCCACTATGTGCAGTCCCTGACTAGATAAGCAATGGGAACAAAGAGTGAGTCGTTCAGGCCACTTCCAAGCTTACTCACGTGGCTTTGGGTAGGTCTTGGTTCCTCATGGCTTTTGGCGGAAGGCCTCATTCATACCTCACTACCTGGGCCTCTCCATAGGACAGCTAGCTTGCCTTCCTCACAGTGAATGAGAATGTGGACAAAGTAGAAGCTACAGTCTTTTTGTAAACGCAATCTCAGAAGTGATGTCCCATCATGTTTGTCATATTTTATTCATTAGAAATGAGTCCCTTGATCTGCCTTATACTCTAGGGGAGAGGATTCTGCAAGAATCTGGACTACCAGGCAGTGGGATCATTGGGTGCCATCTTAGAGGCTGCCTTGCACAGCATCTAGGAGGTGGCTGCAGAATGGATTTTGGAGCAGGAACAGGGGGAAGGGAAGCAGGGAATCAGAAGGGTGTGGTCCACAAGCTAATGGAAGGAGGATAGAATTCAAGTATAGGCTAGGTTATGATGTCGTAACAAGTCATAATCTGAGGGGCTTGAAATAACAAAGATTTATTTCTTCCTCATGCAGATAGTAGTTACAGGCTGTTTTGGGCTT
Organism: Homo sapiens; assembly: GCF_000001405.40. Taxonomy (NCBI): domain Eukaryota; kingdom Metazoa; phylum Chordata; class Mammalia; order Primates; family Hominidae; genus Homo; species Homo sapiens. The sequence goes on from NC_000002.12 coordinate 33,071,728, forward strand.
TGTGCCATATCATCACACGTGGGACATGTTCATCACGGGTCGTCTGGGGATTCTTCTTTATGTCATTTTCACTGTGGGACCTAAGCTGACAAAGCAGCTTGAATGTGGAAAAACTCCAACTGTGCTTCCCCCACTATACTCTCACAAAGCAAATCTGACACCGGATGTGTGGGGATTTCTGCCCACCAGCAAGCAAGCAGTCAGTTCTGCAGTGCACACCAACTGAATGTCCTTTAATTGAATTCTGACACTGTCTACCTGGAGACAGCATCGGATCCCACAGGTTCAGGGCTCAGTCCCACGAGACTGCCCCCGTTTCAGATACCAGTTGCAAGTCTGAGCCTCTGGAACTTCTGACCAACCAGTGTCAAGTTGGGGTTCCCATGATCTGCTGTTTGGGTTTGACTAATTTGCTAGAGCGGCTCACAGAACTCATGGAAACACAGGTTTACCAGTTTATTATAAAGGATATTGCAAAGGATACAGACGAAGAGGTGCTTAGGGAGAGGTTTAGGGGAAGGGGCGCAGATCTTCCATGTCCTCCCGGGATGCACCACCCTCCAGGCACCTCCACATGTTCAGCTATCTGAAGCTCTCTGAACCCAGTCCTCTTCGGCCTTTTATGGAGACTTCATTGGATAGGCATGATTGAAGCATGGAGTGGGGAAACCTACCAAGGCCTGTCCAGATTCTCAGCCTCTCTGTGCAGCATTCCTTCCTCCAGGGTCTGGGGCAGCACCCCTGAAACAGGGGCCTTAGGACCTGCAATCAGACAAGGAAGGTCCTCGCATTTGTTCACGGTCAGTTTCAGGACAGAAAGGCAGGGGGATATCTGAGTATGTTTTTAGTTTCTAAGGCCTTCCTTGGGGAGAAAAAAGTGCAGGTGAAAGGAAGGCAGAAGGTCAGTGAGAGAGAGATTTGTTTTTTGAGGACTAAAAGTGCCCCAACATGAGGTGATAAGGACTATGGGAGTTACGAGCCAGAAACCATGGTTGAAAACCGGTATATTAATATATATGTCATAGTATCACGCAAGTACTCTCAGAAACATTGCTGGTTGCCATGGCAGAGGGAAAAAGTTATGGAAAAGCATGTATTAGCTCTTAAAACTTCAGCCTATGTTATTTCCATTCACGTTTCATTGGCCAAATTATGTCTTATGGTCTACCACCACTTCAGAGGGGGCGAGGATATGTACTCCTGTCATGTGTCCCGAGAGTAGAAGTCTGGAGATATTTGATTAGCACCAATGACACCCCTGGGGGGAGTAGTCAGTAGTGTTGCCCTCCACAGAGCCGGGCAACGTGACCACTGAACATGGTGTTTCGGTTGGCATTCACGTGGTCATTGTTAATCTTAATCTTGGCCAGTTCAGTAGTTGTAGAAAAATGATGTATAACCTGATTGCATGGTTTGAGGAGTGAATAGGAGATGAGAAGGTGCAGAGAGCTAGAAGGAAAGAATTGTAGACATTTTTTACCATGAAGGAAGTTTGAATTACCAGCCTTTCCTCATTCTTTTGTATGTAATCACAGAATGATGTCACAGTGTTTTTTTTGTTTTTGTTTTTTTATTTTACCATGTACATATCAACAGATTTTTCTTTGACTATAAAGGACTCTGTGCTTTGATAATAATCCAGAAATGACCAGAGGAAGTTTATCTTGTGTGCACTTTCAATATTGTATTTAAATAGGAAATCACCCCTTTTTACAGTTTTCATCTCGAGCCAAACAAAGTCAAGGTATTATGAGAACTGCAACGCTTTTTGAAGAAACCTATCATACATTTATTTTTCTTAGTTTTTCTTTCTTCTTCCCTTTTTAACTGGTTTTGAAGTTTGGAAATAATTAAATTTTATTCAGTCTCCAAAGTTGCTCTGAAACATCAGTTTTTCTTCTTTCTTTCTTTTTTTTTTGGACAGAATCTTGCTCTGTTGCCTATCCTGGAGGGCAGTGACACAATCTCAGCTAACTGTAACCTCCGCCTCCCAGGTTCAAGCAATTCTTGTGCCTCAGCTTCCTGAGTAGCTGGGATTACAGGTGCCTGTCACCATGCCCGGCTAATTTTTGTATTTTTAGTAGAGACAGGGTTTCACCATGTTGGCCAGGCTGGTCTCAAACTCCTGACCTCAGGTAACCCACCCGCCTCGGCCTCCCGAAGTGCTGGGATTGCAGGTGTGAGCCACTGTGAGTTTCCCATTTTTGCTGAGTTCAGTATTCAAGCAGGAGATGTGAAACTACTTGGCAAATTGTAAGGTGATATACAGGTATAAGTCATTTTGCCACTTTTTCCATTAGTTTTGGTTGGCCAAGTAGTAGCATTCTGCACATTTTATTTCTGTTGTGAGCTAATGGTCTGAAGTTGAAGTGCAGATCGTCCGAAACTGTATAATTGAGATGTTGATTATATTTGGCTTCACAGAATTCTAAAAAGTAGATTTAACGTATATGTTGTCCTGAACTAAATATAAGCTGGCACTTCATTAACATTTAAGAATTGATAGAAAAGAGACGTAGCTGCAAACCGGGGCTGATCTGCCCAAATGCAGCAGCAATGATTATTTTGCCACCATTTTCTTCTCATCAGTCTCCCATCTCTTGTCATGGCCTTTTTCACTTCTTCCTCTAGCAGTTTCAACTGACTCAGTTACTTTCTCTAGGCCCTGTACTAGGGTAGAGATACTGAAAGAGCTGGTGATACCTGCCTTAAGAAGGGTCAAAAAAAGGCCGGGCATGGTGGCTCATGCCTGTAACCCCAGCACTTTGGGAGGCCAAGGTGGGTGGATCACTTGAGGTCAAGAGTTCGAGACCAGCCTCGCCAACGAAAACCCTGTCTCTACTAAAAATACAAAAATTAGGGCTGGGCACAGTGGCTCACGCCTGTAATTCCAGCACTTTGGGAAGGCCGAGGCAGGCAAATCATGAGGTCAGGAGATCGAGACCATCCTGGCTAACACGGTGAAACCCCGTCTCTACTAAAAATACAAAAAATTAGCCAGGCATGGTGGCAGTCGCCTGTAGTCCCTGCTAGTCGGGAGGCTGAGGCAGGAGAATGGCGTGAACCGAGGAGGTGGAGGTTGCAGTCAGCCGAGATCGCACCACTGCACTCCATCCTGGGCAACAGAGCGAGACTCCATCTCAAAAAAAAAAAAAAAAAAAAAAAAAAAGCACGTTAGATGGGCATGATGGCACCTGCCTGTAATCCCAGCTACTTGGGAGGCTGAGGCAGGAGAATCATTTGAATCTGGGAGGCGGAGGTTGCAGTGAGCTGAGATCACACCACTGCACTCCAGCCTGGGTGACAAAGTGAGACTCCGTCTCAAAAAACAAAACAAAACAAAACAAAAAATGGATAAAAAAAAAAGATGTTGTGGTGGTAAAATTTCAGATAACAGATAGATGGGGCTGGAGAGAGCCAACTGCTGAGCATCTCTAAAACCTTTCTTAGACACCTGTAATTCTAGCTCCTCAGGAGGCTAACTTTATACACAATGACTTAAGATGTCAAGGAAAAATTAGCTTTGATTCAAATATTGTGTATGATCCTCACATTGCAGGTTTTCGGTGACCTGTGGATAATTGAAAGTTGATACATGATTTAAAAATATTTTTTGGGGGGCAACATTTTCTAAAAGGTAAACCTTAGGTATACATTTTGATTTATTACTAACTTGACATTCCAATATTTAAACTTCAAATTTTGAAATACAATAAAGTTACTCCTATTGTAATTTAAAATATCTTGAGATAGCTGCAAAAACCATCTATTTGTTGGTCCTATCAAAGAAATTGATATTATTCAGCTATGAGAGTTATGCTGGAATTATGTTTGTAAAAAATTCCTTCCCACTTTCTTGGCAAGATGCAAGAATGATGGGCTGTAAAATTGAACCGTTAAAATGGCCTTATGCGTGTTTGAACCAACATCTGATTTTGAAGTTACCCAACTGCCTGTTACCAATTTACCTACTTTACTGGGTGTTATGTTTTTGTCAATGGGGGTTATTAAATTTAATACTCTAAGTAAGTGATATAATCCACACTTTTTAGCACACGATGCTATTCTGATAAAAGTCACTTCCAGGTACTTGTAAGTGAAATGCTTTAGCAGGCAAATTCTTCTAAGGGTGTTTCTTTTCCTAATCAATATAAATGTGCTTCTTTATTTTTCTAGGCATTAGGTCCTCTTTTCAGGCTATGAGATATATGTTGTTCAGCTATTATTTGCATGCAAGAGTAGACACCAAAAGTTTCTGATTTCTTAGTAATAAATTAAACCTCTTTGAGCTGTTGAAGTTATTATTGCCCATGTGCAACAGTAAAAAGGAATATTAAGGTATGTTTGGAGTTGTATGTGACAACCAAAATGAGTGATTGAGGTATAAGTCTCAAATCATTGAGGTTTATTGAGCAGGATCGGGAGCTCACCAGGGAAAAATGTGACTTACGGAAGAATCTGTGACTGGTTTTTTCCAAAGAGGTTCATAGGAGGTTTAGTATTTATACATTTTCCTTAAAAAAGAAGGTAGGGTATGGCAATGGGGCAATTGATTATGTACTTGTGAGACTTTAGTTAGATCTACATTTTATGTGAGAGAAAGTGACCATTTGAAGAAGAAGAGAAGAGAGGAAGGAGAGGTCTCAAGGAGAGGTGAAGGAAGGATTAATCTCATCTTGTCTTTGTTCTGTACCTGGGAAGACAAGCTAGTAGTCTTTTGGAAATGCTGGTTTCTGTTTAGCCCTTAGGGAAGAAAACCTAATGACTGTTAGCGAGGGAGGGGGTATCATGAATTATGTCCTAATTTCCCATCCTTTTTTTTTTTTGAGATGGAGTTTCACTCTTGTCACCCAGGCTGGAGTGCAGTGGCGTGATCTCAGCTCACTGCAACCTCTGCCTCCCGGGTTCAAGTGATTCTACTACCTCAGCCTCCCAAGTAGCTGGGATTACAGGCCCGCACCACCACGCCGAGCTAGTTTTTGTATTTTTAGTAGAGACAGGGTTTCACCATGTTGGCCAGGATGGTCTCAATCTCTTGACCTCGTGATCCACCCGTCTCGGCCTCCCAAAGTACTGGGATTACAGGCATGAGCCACCGCGCCCAGACCCTAATGTCTCATCTTTTTATGGCTGTGACTTCAACTTCCAAGAGTTCTGTGGCATTCCTTTGGCCAAGAGGGCATCTGTTCAGTGAGGCGAGGGGCTTAGAATTTTATTTTTATTTCTCATATGTGTTTTGACTGTAAGTGGTTAGGAAAGATGAATTTTCGTCTCTCCTCCTCTGCCAGTTGAGATATACTTCTAGGGCTAGAGAGGTGATATTGCTGTTTTATAGGGAAGACAAGTCGTGAATTCTAAAAGAGGACACTGTCAGATGTGATAGTGTAAGAGGGCCACACGGCTATGGAGAATGTTCCATATAAGCTTCACACACTGACAACCTGGGCAGTGCTATGCTAATCAATGGGAAGGTTGTTGTATTGCTGCTTTAAAATTATTTCCTTGAGTCCAGCTATAACTGGGATTCCAAGGAATTACTAAGGGGGATACAAAGCTTTCTCCATTTACTGATTTGCTTTTGGAAAAGCGTATAAGTCCGTTCTTGCCCTGCTATAAATAAATACCAGAGACTGGGTAATTTACAAAGAAAAGATATTTAATTGGCTCAGGGTTCTGCAGGCTGTACAGGAAGCACGGCAGCATCTGCTTCTGGGGAGGCCTCAGGAGCTTTTACTCGTGGCAGAAGGCAAAGTCAGAGCAAGCATCTTCACATGGCCAGAGCAGGAGGAAGAGAGAGGGGGGTGAGGTGTCACATACTTTTAAACAACCAGATCTTGTGAAAACTCTGTCACAAGACAGCACCAAGGGGATGGTGATAAATCATTTATGAAGAGTCCACCCCCATGATCCAGGCACCCCCGAACCGGCCCCACCTCCAATATTGGGGATTATAATTCGACGTGAGATTTGGGTGGGGACACAGATCCAAACCGTATCAAAACGCATTGTTGTTTTTTACTTTTATTTACAAACCAAGCCCAAAACTCTCAAACATTATATTGTTAAAGAAAAATCCTGTTGAAATTGTAATAACAAAAATTGTGTTCGCTTTTGAACAAGATTACTTTTGCAACATCTTGGTGGGTGTAAACATTGAGGTTTAGGCAAACAAAAGGTCGGCAGCTTGGGTATCAGTCCACTGAAAGCAGGATCCGAACAGGAGGGGAAGTGGTGAAGCGGGTGAACTCACCCTTGTAGATTTTGAGGTTGAGTGGCTTACAGCATGTTCATTCAGGAAGAGAGGCCAGTATGCAGTTGCAATTGCTTGCAGCCTGGAGGAAGGTCACATCTAGATGCATAAATTTTGGAGACAATTTATTTGTCACTGATGCCTTTGGAGACGGTTGAGACCCTTCATTAATCATGAAATGTGATAACTGCTGTTGTAACAGCATGAACTTGGTGTTAATCACAGAGCCAATATTATTAAGTGATGTTAAGTGTTGGGAACACAACCAGTATTTTCTCTTAAGGAAATGGGAAGGCTGTGTCTCTGACCTCACAAATAAATATTCTGGAGGGTGGAGTTGACAGAATTTTAGTGAAGCAGGTATCCAGTTAGCACAGGCCCACAGTGCCAACCAACTATGAATTTTGAAGCAGTTAGACCTTACCTAAAATTAGCTGTGCTGTTAAAAGAGTGAATAATAATGCTAATAATGTGACCAGAACCACTGATATTAAAGCCAAGCTTATCTTGATTACCTGTGTTTTTACTGTGTGAGAGGAATAATTGTGGGAATAATTATCAGGAAAAAGTTTGGGGAACAGTAAACATTGTTTATATGGACGATTATGTTTAATTCAAATAAGAAGCATACAATAGGAGTATTTATAATCCAGGCAGATTTTATAGTCACAGTTTAACCACAGGTAAGCTTGAGTTAATTTTAATGAAATTCTTTAATGTATATTTGTCTTTAAAAGTAGAAATTTAAGAGTGGCATATCACTAAGCTGGAGTCTATATTACATAGTCAGCTCAATAAGGTGATTACCTTTGCCCTCCTGTGTTATTGGGATAGAATAATTTTTCTTTTCTTCTCTTCTCTTCTGTTTTCTTTTCTTTTCTTTTCTTTTTTTTTTTTTTTGAGACAGAGTCTCGCTCTGTTGCCAGGCTGGAGTGCAGTGGCACGATCTCGGCTCACTGCAAGCTCCGCCTCCCTGCTTCAAGCGATTCTCCTACCTCAGCCTCCCGAGTAGCTGGGATTACAGGCGCACACCACCACGCCCAGCTAATTTTTGTATTGTTAGTAGAGACGGGGTTTCACCATGTTGGCCAATATGGTAATATTTCTTTTTATCCTGTTAATTTTATTTTCTTTGTATTGCCATTCATATATTCCGACCAGTGTTGTAATACTGTTTATTTAACAATATTAATGAAACACTTTGCATCAGGCACAGGAGATCCAAAGATGAATAAATGAAGGTCTTAGTCCTCAAGGATGAAACATTCTAATGGAGAAAACAAATGAATAAGGCAGAATCGCAGGACAGGACAGTACGTGCTGTGATGGAGAGTATCACAGTGAAATGGGAACACACACATGGGGATGGAAGAAGCTTTCTGGATGTTTCCAGCTGTATTGCACTAAAACAACACCAGCAGATGGGATATAGCAATTCATTTATTCAAACTGATCATAGAGCTTAAAGAGCTAGGCAATTTGGAGAATTAATACAGAATTAATATTAGGAAATCCAATGTTAATAGAAAGGGTGTGTGTGAGATTAGTGGTGGTTATTCAGGCATTTCCATTTTTACCATATGATAAGATCTGAACCTTCTGAAACTTGTAGTAATAGAAGGACCCATTTTTCCTTCTGTGAAGGACCCATTTTTCTAAATAACCAGTTGCACCCTGCTTTCTGTGGCACTGCAGACTTCTCCCAGTTCTGGTCCTGCACCCTCTAAAGGTGACAAGGCTGTCCTGGACTGATGGAGCCACCTGGGGCCATCAGCCTCCCACCTCCTTTCTGGCTTCTTAGGAAACCTGTCTGTTTTTCTTCTGTTTACACACTTGCAACACAGTTAAGTTTCCAACAGATTGCCTTTTCTTTTCATATGTACATACGTTCTTCTTAATCCATATGCTTCTTTACTCCTTTTGACTTGCTATTCTTTCTTTCTCTGTGTTCCAAATGTAGACTAAAAAACTTTAACTATGACTAGCAGCAATGAAAAGAATGTAAATGATATTACTGTGTTAAGAAGGCAGAGACCACTTTTTTGTTTTGTTTTGTTTTGTTTTTTTGAGACAGAGTCCCCCTCTGTCACCCAGGCTGGAGTGCAGTGGTATGATCTCGGCTCACTGCAACCTCTGCCTCCCGAGTTCAAGTGATTCTGCTGCCTCAGCCTCTTGAGTAGCTGGGCTTACAGGTGTGTGCCACCATGCCTGGCTAATTTTTCTATGTTTAGTTGAGATGGGGGTTTCACCATGTTGGCCAGGCTGGTCTCAAACTCCTGACCTCAAGTGATCTGCCTGCCTTGGCTTCCCAAAGTGCTGAGATTACGGGCATGAGCCACCACGCCCATCCCAGACCACATGTTTTAAACTAGAACCAATGTCCCCATTTGTTTAAGCCCTTGAAAAGGCCCTGGAGTCCTGCTTAAATCTTCTATGTCTTTATCTGTTTGTCTGTTGTCTACTTAAGTCTAATGTTCTTCTTTTTATAATATCTGTGTTCAAGATAAAGAGAATCTAATATTTCTATTTGTCAAATCTTTAAAAAAGTATGCATTCATATTATTGTATATTATATTGTATTTTATAGATAGCACTGTCTCTGTGAAAGACTGTTCTATTTCAAATAACTGACATAGCAATCTTTGAAAGCAGTTTTTTTCTTTACTGATTTGTTCATGTATTTAATTTTTCCCATTTATTCCCTGAATAGTTACTGAGGCACTGTGTACTGGGATCTCAGCTGAAAAAGTTATACTGGATGCACTTAAAGATTTTGTTCTGGGATAAATCTTGCACATACATACACTTTCTTCATGTACTTTCAATACACACATCAATGTATAGTATATATCATGCGTATATACACACACATATATGCATATATGGTAGAGGAGAAAGAGTATTTTCCTTACCCATTGCAAGGTTCGTGGCTGAGGCATCTATAATAAAAGACAGGTTAATAAGAGAAAAGCGTATAGATTTATTTAATATAAGTTTCATTTGACATGGGAGCTTTCAGAAGTGAAGACCCAAAGAAACAGGGAAACCTCTATATTTTATGCTTAGATTAGATGAAGAGTGAACTTTTGTGTGGAAGTATGATTGGACAAAGGGGGTATGATCTAATAGTAATATACTGGGGGGAACTTAGCAAAGCCCCTTTGTTCAGTTCTTCTTGGTGTCTCAGTGTCTTTGAGGATCAGAATGTTTCTTTCCTCTGGGTATAGGGAGGATGCCTCTGGAATGAAGATTTTAGGACCGGCTTCAGGGGAGAAGGGCCAGGGAAGGTGAGAGTGACCTTCCTGCTTCTGCTGTTTTTTTAAATGTCAAGGTGCCATATTTTGGGGTAGCCTGTCCTAAACTCCATCAATACCTATACACAGATATACATATACACACATGTGCCCACATGTATGGACACACACGAGCATACACACATGCACACACACATATGTAAAGTGGTATTTGATCTAGGAATTGAAGGATGGGTCAGAGTAATTGGGTAGAAATGTGAGAAGGGCAGTAGTTGTGGAGGGAATTCCGTGCTCAATCCATCAGGGTAGGAAATCTCGGGCTCTGTAATGTTGAAAGGACCTGGATTTGTTAGCACGTTGGTTCTAAACAGGGGAGTAGTAAGAGAGAAGGCTGAAAAGGTAGTGCTGTGGTTTAAATGTTTGTCTTCTCCCAAACTCATGGTGCTGATATTGTTTGGCTGTGTCCCCACCCAAATCTCACCTTGAATTGCAGTCCCCATAGTCCCCATATGTCGTGGGAGGGACCCGGTGGGAGGTAATTGAATCATGGGGGCGGTTACCCTCATGCTTTTCTTATGATACTGAGTTCTCACACCATCTGATGGTTTTATAAAGGGCTTTTCCCCTCTGTGCTCGGTACTTCTCTTCCTGCTGCCATGTGAAGAAGGATGTTTTTGCTTCCCCTTCCGCCACCACGATTGTTAAGTTTCCTGAGGCCTCCCCAGCCATGCGGAACTTGAGTCAATTAAACTTTTTTTCTTTTATAAATTACCCAGTCTTGGGTATGTCTGTATTAGCAGCATGAGAACAGACTAATACAATTGCCACTGCAGCAGTCTTAAGAGGTGGGATCTTTAAGAGGTGATTAGGCCGTGAGGGTTTCGTCCTCATGAATGGATTAATGACACTATTGCAGGAGTGGGTTCCTCTTAGAAGAATAAGCTCAGCCCCCTTTTCTCTCCCTCTTGCCCTCTCTTTGCTTTTCTGCCATGAGATTGTTGCAGCAAAAAGGCCCTTACCACATGTCAGCCCCTTGATCTTGGACTTCTCAGCCTCCAGAACTGTGAGCCAGTCAATTTCTGCTCATTATAAATTACCTAGTCTGTAGTATTGTTATAGCAGCACAAACAGACTAGGACAGGTAGCATAGTGGGGATGAATTTCAGTCCACAAAGTTAACCGTGGCTAAAGTATGACTCACTTTTTTTTTTTTTTTTTTTTTTTTTTTTTTTTTTGAGAAGGAGTCTCGCTCTGTTGCCCAGGCCAGAGTGCAGGTGCGATCTCGGCTCACTGCAAGCTCCGCCTGCCTCAGCCTCCTGAGTAGCTGGGACTACAGGTGTCCACCAGCACGCCTGGCTAATTGTTTTATATTTTTAGTAGAGATGGGGTTTCACCACGTTAGCCAGGATGGTCTCAATCTCCTGACCTCGTGATCCGCCTGCCACAGCCTCCCAAAGTGCCGGGATTACAGGCGTGAACCACCACGCTCAGCCTACTCACTTTTTGATCATAACTCCGTTTATATTTCAGGCTCATTTCTGACCATGCTGTAGGAGGCATCTCTTTATTCTTCTTTTGAGGTCATCTCCTCTCTGCCTTGTGTCCTGGTCCTGGGATCTTGCCTTTGCCGGTCACTGGGTGGGCATCTGGTCCTCACTGGGTGGGCATCTGGTCCTCACTGGTGGCTAATGCAAGGTACTCCTGAGACAGAAAACCTCCCAGTTCTCCAGGCCCTTGGGCTCTTTGCTGTGTGGGAAGCTTTGTGAGGCTGCTGCCTGCCAAGCTCCACCACAAACCACCCTTCCCTTGTTGGGGTCTTGTCCCTTCCCCAGCAGCTCTGCTTGTGAACCCAGAAACCCATCTCTTCTCCGTCCTGCTTGCTGCAGGTCTCTTTCTAGTCTGGTGGAACTTGGTAGTTCTGGTAGCAGGTTACTTGCTCTACACATGAGAACCATTTCCCATCTGTGCTTAGGCTTAGTCAGGATCATTTGTAGGCTAGTTCTGCTGCTTTCAGGTCATACCCGTCTCTCAAGATCAATGAACATAAGGACCTGTTCCTATCTTGATTGAGGAGGAAAGAAGGGGAATGTACCAGAAAGAAAAAAAAATTAGATCATTTCTCAAAAAATGTGTCCTCCACAGGATGGATCTCAGTTGAGGCGGGTCTTAGACATCAAAATTGAGGAGTCCAGGCTTCACTGGGAAGGTAACAGGAAGCCTTGAGTGACCCTGAGCTGGGGAGTGACATGTGATGAGGGTTGTGTTTCTCCTGTGTGGCAATGGGAGGCAAACAGGAGAGGGGGGAATCTGGATTCAGGGAGACCCCAGGGGAGGCTCCTAGCATGGTCCCTGCAGGGGTGATTTCTGGTGCTGCAGTAGGTCCTTAACTTAGAGAACAATGGTTAGTACAGCTCGTGCCCTGTGGACCTCACCCAAGGCTTTAGTTCATGGAACTCCCAACAGGAAGCCATATTACCAAACTCTTACTTATATGTTACCTTAAGGCAGAGCTGTTCTCATTGCAGAATGTTACCATTTGAATGGGAAGCTCTAGAGGTCGAGAAACGATCAGTGACTGAAAAAGGAAGTTACAGAAGGTTATTCACGAAGGGAACATTCTTTCATTTCATGACCACCTGACGCACTGTCAAATTGAGGAAGCCAGCATTCCTAATGGGTTTTTTGACCTGGAAGGACATTGGATACTCTGAAAGAGGAAGCTACTCTAATAAGGTTGGGGCCCCCAGACTGGTAATAACTGGTTAACTTGGGGAGACCTTGCCGAGTGTTAATTAAATTTGCATTACAGGTGGAGGAATCTGATGTCTGGAAATACTTTCCCATTCCATTTAAAGGGTAAGCTGCAGATCTCTAAGGCTCTCTTTGTGACTTTTAAGAAAATAGCAGACAAAGAAGGCTTTTGTGGGATAAAAAAAACACGGAAAGTTTCTTGCTGAAACTTGATGAGTCTGCATTTGCAGCACATACATGTATCAGATTTTTTTGTGTGTGCCCAGATAGGCATTTTTGCTTTTAAATTTTCAGCTGAGTCTGATTACCTAATTAGTTCAGATTGGCCCTTTCTTGGGGAGACAGGGAGGAAAGAGGCTTTGAAGTTGTGAAAGGGACCATGAAGCAGACAGGGTTCTGGGGGTTGGGAAGGTGCTGCTGGTGGGAGGCGTCCTGGAGGCTTCTGTCTTTATCCTCATTGCGTCTGTAGCAGTTCATGCAGAGGAACTCTTAGGGATCCCGGGTGATAGCAGTCACTGGGCTTTAGGGAACTCTGTTGGAGAGCCTGCAGGCAAGTGGATCAAAAAATCAAACTGTTGAGAGGGGTGTAACATACAAAGCAAGGTTACATCCCTTACAGTCCGTCTCCTTACCACATCCCACTCTCTGGAAACCACCATTGACAAGAGTTTCCTGTTTATTCTTATAAAAAACTCCTGTGCGCAAACAGGCACACATTGCTTTTAAACACACATGATTTGTTTGTTCTCATTATTCAGATTGTACCACCTGACACCCTTGACTCTGCTGTTCCCTTTTGCCAGTCAGTCCAGCTCGGTCCGTCCCACAGCTGCGGGGTAGAGTCCACCATGATCCAGTTTGTTTCACCAGGTTTCTGTGAGAAACAGCTGGATGTTTTTGGTTTCCAGCCTTTGGGGGTTGAATGATAACCCTCATCCCCCAAAAAGATATGTCCACATCTTAATCCTCGAACCTGTGAATGAGATCTTATTGGAAAATTAAGGATCTAGAGATGAGATCATCCTGATGTAACCATGTGGGTTCTAAATCCAGTGGCAAGTGCCCTTAGAAGACACAGAAGAGAAGACACAGGGAGAGGAGATCTTGTGAGGATAGAGGTAGAGATTGGAGTAATGCAGCCACAAGCCGAGAAATGGCTGGAGCCCCTAGAAGCTGGAAGAGGCAAGGGATGATTCTCTTTTAGAGCTGCCAGAGGGAGTGTGGCTCTGCTGGTCCCTGGATTTCAGACTTCTGGTCTCCATACCCGAGAGAGAATACATTTCTGTTGTTTTAAGCCACCTAGTTTATGGCAATTTGTTAGAGCAGCCCTGGGAAGTTAATACACTGCCCAAACTCTGATCTAATGAACATTTTTCTTATTATGAGAAATAATGGACACCTTCTCTGGACACATCTGGGCACATCTGCTCAAGTTTACCTTCAGGACAGGTTTCCAGAAGTAGAATTTTGGTTCTAGGTCCTGAAATATTTTCCCCTTCAGATGTATTTCATATCACATGCATCCTTGCCTTAGGAATAATAATGCAAGTAACAGTAGCAATTACTGTGTGTTGAGTGCTTTTTGTGTGTCAAGCATTGTACCTACATTATCTTATTCATCCTGACAATAACCCTATGACACATTTATTATTATCCTCTTTTTATGGATGCAACACTGAGATTTAGAGTATTGAAGTCACTTGCATAAGATCATATGCTTACATAAGAGGCAGGGGGGCCAGGATTCAACCCACCCTCTAACTCCAAATTCTGTGTTCTTAGCTATGTTGCTGGGTTGGGAAGATAAACCACATTTTAGACTTTTTGGCCCTGTGTTGTATGGATGTGGTTTGGCATGTTCTGGCCACTGGGTGTGGTGGGTTCTGGGAGGTGACAGACTCAGTTATAATTACAGGAAGAAGTCTGGTCTGGCAGGCAGCATGTGGAATCAATCCATGGTGCATTGGGAGTCTGGTGAAATAGCACCATGCAGATGGTCCATCTTGGCGTAATGGGATCCCAACAGGTGGACTGAACATCCAGGAGTTAGAACATCAGTGATAATCACAAAGCTACAGTTATTGTTAGCTCTTACTACATGTCAGGCATTGCTCTAAGTGCTGTATGTGTATTCACCCACTGTGAAGTAGGTACCGCATTAGCATGGAAGGGAACCATCAGTAAGTCATGGGACGCAACTGCTTGGCATTCAGGTACAGATCAGCTCCTGAGTGAGGAGACAGCAAGAACAAGGCTGAAAATGGAGGTACCAGGTAAGTTCAAGAAAGAGACCTCAGCTCAGGCTACCGGGTGGGTACCCAGTTAATAGAGTTGCAAGATGGGAATACATCTCAGGAGAGAGGCAGAAGTTTAGTTACCGGAACAGGGGTCCTTCATCAGAGGTCAGCGTAGCATGACTTAACACCAATTCCAGAATCCATTTGGTGCCTGCTCTAAGGAGTGTAGCAGCAGCAGGCCCAGGAGGGGAAATAATGGAGCTTGCCATTGACTTCCTCAGGCTTATGACCTTGTGGTTATGGCGACATACATGAGACCCGAGACTGCGGTGAATAAGTCCTTGATACTAGTGTGTCGTGTTCTCATTTATTTCTTTATTGCAACTAGTGAACACAGGGTTCAGCTGTAAGACTTCTGGGCAGCACCGCACGGTAGGCTTTCTATAAGCTTAGTGATGTAATCCTTTAACTATTTTTATCTTTAATACAATTGTTATCTCTACTGGCTTTGTTGGCAAGTTTTAATTCACAAGGAGCATTAAGAAGCGTGATTTCTGTTGGCTCAGTAAAGTGATTTTCACTTCCTTGTCTCGTTGGGCCACCTGCCATCTCTTAACTTTTGGCAAAGGAAAATAAACTAACACATTGTCTTTTTATTTATATATTTATTTATTTTTTTTGGTGGAAGAATATCCCCATCTTGTGGATATTTGCATTGTGTTTTAGCTTCCGTGGTTATAAATACAGATTCACCCAGTGTGGGCACTTGATCACAGAGATTATTCTTAGAGTCTTCTTTGGTGTCCAATTTCACCAGCATTTCGGATTCTGGACACAGAAGCACCAGGCTGTCCCTCCTTTATGCTTTTTTTTTTTTTTTTTTTTTTTTGGAGAAAGGGTCTTTCTCTGTCACCTAGGCTGGAGTGCAGTGGCATGATCATGGCTCCTGGGCTCCAGTGATCTTCCCACCTCAGCCTCACGAGTATCTGGGACTACAGTTAGTGCCTGGCTACTTTAAAAAAATGTTCTGTAGAGGTGTGCTCTCACTCTGTCTCCCAGGCTAATCTTGAACTCCTGGCCTCAAGGAATTCTTCTGCCTCCACCTCCCAAAGTGTTGGGATTACAGGCATGAGTCACTGCACCTAGCCTCACTTATGTTCTATTTACCTTTACCACTGTTGCACTTTCAGCATTTTCAAAGTCCTCTCAAAATAATGGTTTCCTTTGCTTCTCCAAACAGACTTAAGTAATAGGTTATACATTCTACTTTAAGATGAGAGAATTACTTTGTTTTAAGATGGGGGAATTTATTGTGTAACAGAGAATAAATCAGTCTTAGACCTGAGGCCAGAAATCTCTGATTTTCTTGACTTCAGATCACTTACCACTCCCACCCTCTGTCCTGCCCCCAGCTTCAATCATGGAAGAAACAGAATGTAAATGATAGCTGTGTCTCAAACCATCTTTCAGAAAGCTGACCAGAAATATAAGTCACATTGTTTATAAAGTGCCGATGGAGTTTATCCAAGCAGAATTTGCTTTCCTTTAATTATTTGTTAAGTGCATTTCTCGAGTTTTCGGAAATGGAAATGAGTTTACTTTATGAGCCATACCATCATGTTCTAATTACTATTTTAAGAAGTTAAAGACCTCCAAAAATTGGATTTGACTTAAACATACAATGTATGGTGTCAGAGTAAAGATTAGGGCTTGGACTGATGTTGTCTGGTACACAGGAAAAAATTCTATTACGTATAGTTAAAATGAATTTTTAAAAATTTGGTGCTGAAATAGTAAACTTCAGTCTTTAGGCATTCACTTTGGTAAAATTCCTGGAAAGCACCAGGCATGTCAAGTGCTATAATACAAAGTTTTACAAATAGGGATTTGAAGTGATTGCTTTTATGGCATGGAATAATGCCAAAGAAGTCTCTTGTTAAATATGGACAGTGAGCCGGGCGCGGTGGCTCACGCCTGTAATCCCAGCACTTTGGGAGGCCAAGGCGGGTGGATCACGAGGTTGGAAGTTCGAGACCAGCTTGGCCAACATGGCGAAACCCCATTTCTACTAAAGATACAAAAATTAGCTAGGCATGGTGGCGCGTGCCTGTAATCCCAGCTACTCTGGAGGCTGAGGCAGGAGAATCACTTGAACCCGGGAGGCGGAGGTTGCGGTGAGCCGAGATCATGCCACTGCACTTCAGCCTTGGCGACAGGGCGAGACTCCATCTCAAAAAAAGAAAAAAAAAAGGACCAGTGTGTTCTTGGAGACAGAGTCTTGAAGTAGAAAATGCTTAGGCACATTCTTGATTTGCACATGCTGACGCCTGCATGTGTTCCGCTCTGTTTGGAAATGTATCCCTAGACTGTAAGCTTCATGAGGGTAAGGTCTTAGTCCATCTTGTTTTTACTGGATCCCTTGGCTTAGAACAGTGTACAGTAGGGACTTAATATATATTTGTTGAGTGAATTAATGAACAGGTACATAAAGGTAGCAAGAAATGAATGTAGATCTTTATTAGTGACAAATGAGTGAAACTAAAATTCAAAAATTGGGGACTTGTATGCTATTTGATCATGGTCAAGATGACAAGAATATATCATTTAAAATATTATATAATTTAAAAGTAGTTGTGCATTGAAAATGCGTGACAGGCTGGGTACAGGGGCTCATGCTTGTAATCCCAGCACTTTGGGAGGCCGAGGCGGGCAGATCACTTGAGATCAGGAGTTTGAGACCAGCCTGGCCAACATGTTGAAACCCTGTGTCTACTAAAAATACAAAAATTAGCCAGGTGTGGTGGCAGGTGCCTGTAATCCCAGCTACTCGGGAGGCTGAGGCAGGAGAATCGCTTGAACCCGGGAGGTAAAGGTTGCAGTGAGCCAAGATCGCACCACTGCACTCCAGCCTGGGTGATAGAGTAAGACTCAGTCTCAAAAAAAAAAAAAAAAAGAAAAAAAGAAAAAGAAAAGAAGAAAAGAAAATGTATGACAAAGTGGGAAAAGCTTGGATTTTTTCATAGTGGGGACAAAATATGAGATTGGAGATGACATACCTAGCAGAGTCCCTGGCACATAAAAGCAGCATAGAACATTTATTTTCCGTTCTCATTAGTGCCTTTTAGATCAAATTGAGAAGGAAACACTAGAGTCAGCGATACTTGAGTAGGGTGATATTGCCCTCCACGTGACATGTGGCAATGTCTGGAGACATCATTAGTTGTCATGGCTTGGGGGAGGGTCCTACTGGCATCTAGTGGGCAGAGGCCACCAATGCTGCCAATGCATCCTGCAGTGCACAAGATAGCCCCCTACAACAGAGAATTACCTGGCACTAAGTGCCAATAGTGTTGAGGCTGAGAAACCCTGTCCTAGTCACTCATAAAGCTATATTAAAATATTGAGCCAGATAAAAATTGTGTCATTATACACATCTCATGTTGAATCAGATATTACTAACTAAAGTCTATTAATATGTAGCACATAAGTGAATTTTCTTATTTCTTTATGCTATGGTTCCTGACGTAAATTACTTTTGTTTTTAAAAACTGATGATTTCTGTCAATATCAGGGACACTTTTCACCAATATGTTTATATATTTTTAAAAAGATAACATTTGCTTTTCAAACAGTGCAGTAAACGTATACCAAATGAAGCATTGCTGAGCTGAGCAAGCCCTATTACTTGATAAAGTTACAACAGCCACACAAGAATGGAACAACTTGTCTATAGTTTGATCAAAATACACCTGATTAAAATACATTTGATGAGTTTGCTGATATTTATTGAAATGAAACCTAGTTGATGTTACGTGTTTTATATACATTTAACCCGCATTTTAGACCTACTAGACTTTTACATTTAAAAAGAGTTTCTGTTTTCTCTGGAAGAATATTATTAATTTCTGCAGCAGAAGAGAGTTGGAAAATTAGGGTAATTCCACTGTTTCATTTGCTCTGTCTTTCAGACATGGTGAAATGTTTCATATTTGAGTAATTGGACGGAGTGGGAAAGACTTTGAAGATATTCTTTGTGTTTATTATCATTGGCTTGAAAGTTGGCCCTTTTTCCTGGACATTTCATGGCACATCAGTAACTCACTTGGTGGGATCACAGGTGTTGCCTTTGGTGGACTGATATTCTCATAATGGGGATCTGATGTATGGTATGCCGAATCTGTCTTCGCGCTTGTGACATTGCTCTTAACTCTTGAGTGCTATCTCAAGTGTAGTTTCTTGTGAAAATTGATGACATTTACTGAATGCCGAGTGTGTGTTGGGCACAGTACTAAATGCTGTTCGTGAATTACCCATTTCATTCTCATCACAATGTCATGAGGTAGCTACTATTATGGTTCCCATTTTAGAGATAGGGAAACAGGCTTGGAAAGTTTAAGTGATTTGTCCGTGGTTGTGTAACTAGGGGGTAGGGAGGCTAGAATAGGTCACGTTACCCTGTTGATGATCTTTGCTGTCTTCAAAGGAGGGGTTGAGGCGGTGGGGTGCTTTTAGTGAGATAGCATACAGAGAGAATTCTGACCTTAACTCTAAAGTCCAACTATAATAAAATAGCAATGAAATATAACTCAACGCCATTTCATATAGCTCTGCAAGGAGAGGGAAGGCACTTGCTGGTACAGTTGGGTTTAAAAGGATTACCTTGTTGAGTCAGTTTTCCCTCCCCTTGGCTAGCAGTTGGGGCAGAATGTGGAAATACAGATTTGCAGTAATGCATGACCTGAGAGGATGCTGCTTGAGTCAGGCTTGGCTTCCATAGTGTGCACAGACTTCTTCATGCCCCATGCTGCTCTAATTGTACTTAAGAACCATCTAGGAATGCTATGCCTCTGGGTAGCAGCACTTTTGTGGAGCCTCCCTGTCCATGTCCAGAAAGCTGTATGAATGGAGGTTTGCCTGGTACTTAATGTGTGTCTACGTGTGTGTATGTATGTGTGTGCATGCAATGTATGTTTGCATGACTCTCATTGGTGGTCGTGGGGAGTGTGTCATCTCCTCCCATGGACACTTCCTATATTTCTGGTAGCCTCTGGTCCTGTGGGGCTGTAAGTAGTTAATTGTTCCTAGTTCTCTCTGGTCTATGAGCAGCTTAAGCATAGATATTGTGTTAATACTAGTAGTAACAGAGACCCTTTGAGTTCTGGTCTCTCTCTGTTTTAATGATGAAGCAACTAAGCCAAAGATGGGTAAATAGTGCCTGAGGATACTCAGCCCATGAGTAGAAGAGCTGAGGTTCCTACGTAAGGCGGTCCAAGGTCAACATCTGTACTCTCTTCACTATTCTCTGTTCTCTCTTTTATCTTTGTATCCTTGGCACATGGTAGTTAATCAGTAAGTCTTAGCTGAATAAATGCTGCTTATGAACACTTCTAGGTGGAAATTAAGCATTGCTTTTACCAGAGTATAATGCTGAATTGTAATATACTCAAGGATGGTGGCAAGAATCCCCTGTACTTGGTGCCGAATCCTCTGACTAATCGCCCGAAGGAAGTTCTGTGTTCTCAGAGCATCTGTCCTATTTGTGTCTCTTGGGTCTGGATTTCCCAGTCTTTAGTCCAGTTTCATAATCTGCCTCCTGAGCTCTTCCAGGGAAACTTTCTGAGCTTTTCTTGGTGCTGTTTGGAGTTCCACTTTCAGAGTGAATTTTCATTCTGATGTTCCCTGATTGGGGCCTCCCCTGTTGCCCTGGGAGGGAGTCCTCACATTACCCCCAGCTCAAGAGAGAGCACTGGCCAGGCGTGGGGCACCTCTAGCTGTGTGACTGTGGAGAGTAGCCTTTTTACATCTTGAGTTTTTCATCTACAAATTGTGAGGGAAATTACCTACTACAAATTGTAGTAGTAGGTAATCTTGTTCTATAGTTCTTTGCCGTTAAAAAAATTATGGACCCCTTTAACAATCTGCCAAAAACACACCTTGTGCTGTGCGTGCACGTGCGCATGCACACACACACACACGCGCACACACACACACACACAGTTTGTCACAGAATTCCAAGGCACCCAGAGACCCTGCTCACTCAGATCCCGTCCCTTTACTAGTTATCCATATGTAAAGGATCTGTTCTTTATTGAGTTCTGTCTGTCTTTGACAGTCTGTGGCATGCCATGATAAAGTTCTTTTTAAAATACCAAGTTTATTGAAAAGATAGTCTTGTGTTAGAACTTGTAAAACTCACAAACCTTTCAGCCTGGGCTTTGAAGCAAAAAAGGAAGGTTTAGAATTACAATATAGACTCCCATCAAATAGGTGTTGACAACTCCAGACATTAAGCCTTCTGGGTTATTCCTCACTCCCTGCCTTCTGATTTTTATCCCATTCTCTCATCATCTGTATTATATACAAACAATGGGATGAATGTTTTTTCTTGGAAGGAATAAATACTGGAAGGATGTTTCATAGGTGGAATTTTTAGTCTTAGAGAGAACATCAGTAATTTATCTTCAGTTTTAGTTTAAATGGAAGGAGTATTTGAGGAGCTCCTGGATCCCACAGAAGAACTTGAAATCCTCTCTCCCCATTGCTCTCGAACTCTGCATACAGCAGCTGCCTCCAAAAAGTCCCCATTTCCATGACCCTAAATTCTCAAATTCTTCTGACCACCTCTCTTCCCCACCCTCCCAACCTACCTGGACCTATTTTCTGCTAGTATATTTTGTTCTTTATTATACAAATCCCACCTGCCCTCAAGGAACTGATTCATAGACCTGCACTCCTTCCTTTTAGGGGGAATGTTTCAGTCACTTATAGTTTCATAAATTCCTTTCATTTCTGTCACAGGTGGAGGGGAGGGAACCCAGGGAGTAAGAGACCACCCCACAGAGCATCCACTCTATTAGAAGACCATGTGGCACCCACACGAACTCCAGCAGACATTTTCTGAAGTGGAACGTGTCTTTCAACAAACTAGCATTTTGTTCATAACATTCTAAGCAGTCCCTGGTATATTTGAATGAAGCTTTTGTTTCACTTACATGTATTTTCAAGGGGAAATAAGTGAGTAAAATAAAATATTTGATTTACAGCGGTTAAGATGGTTAAATGCAAACGTCTTTGGCTTGCCCCTCTTTCCCCTCCATATTGTTTTCCCCTGCTCTCCCTCCTATTCAGTGAGATAGCCTGTTGTTCACGGATTCTAATGGGATTTTATTTACCGCCTGGTGGAAACAGTTGAAAAAAAATTACACAATTGGAACAATTCAAGCATTTTGAAACATTCTCTTGGCAGTTTTTTTTTCTTTTTTTTGGCAACTAGGATACGCCTGCTCAAAACATTTTTAATGTTTTACCTTCATGGGCTCCGCATTTGCCAGTGTAAATGTTTCCAAATTGTTCTCTTGATTTCATTCTTAAGACCCTAGGCAATGAATATAACATATGTATATATGTACGCACATGTGTATATACATATATGAGTGTATATATAAAGAGAAATTACTCTTGTTCTTTGGTTTAAAAATAACAATGATTTCTTGCAAAGAGAAATCATAATTGTGAAGCTACAGTTATCAGAAGCCAGCTAATTGAATTCCACTGAGAACTATTAGAGTCATATACAGTAATGATGATGATGATTATCATCATCATCATCATCATCTCAAAACTTGCCTTGGCATTCATAAGAAATCTCATGATAGCAATATATTTTAGAAATGTGGACATAACTAGTTCTTTTTATTTTCTTTTTAACATTTCAACAAAGTGGGACTTAGAACTCAGCATCTCCTGGGTCCTACATAAGTAATTTAATGTGAAACTTAAAGATGTAAAAAGAGAGTTTAACAGGATAAATGGGTTCTGGCAATACAAGGTAGTGGGTTAGTAATGTAAGTTAATGATATATAACTTTCAATAAAGCTTTTAGAGTTTTTCATATTTGCAGACTATTTACAATTTTTTTATTAATAGTTCTGCAAAACAACTTGTTTGGAATAAATTTATTTTGTATCTCTTCTTCAATGACATAAGAAGGTTAAATTAGCCCAATCATGCAAAACAGTGAGAGAGTCAAAATTTAGGGGATTTCTGTTTCAGTTTCCTTCTTCCCTTAAGATTTTTGTCTCTGATACTTTTTTAAAAAAATTTTAAATTTTTGCTGTATCTAGGAGACCTAATGTAAGATATTGGAACAAGCAGTTGTCTCTAGACTTGTTTCTGCCATTGTTGACATTTACTTAATTTTTTGATGTTGCATAAGTTATTTAATTTCTTTTGCAATCAGTTTCCTCACCTGTAGAATGAGGAGACTGGACTAGGTGATTTCCTAAGTCCCTTTTAGCTGTCTGAACACTGCTTTTCATCGGTGAAGTTACAACTGGCCTCCTTCAAGAATGTAGAGTACTAGACCATTATCACATGAGTTACAGATAAGGTCTGGGGAATTACATAAAGTCATTTACTGTAATTGGCTTGCAGTACTCTGTGAGTACCACATAATAATGCTATTTTATTATTCAGTGTGTTAGAGGTTACAGATTCCCCAGTTGCCAGAGATGTGATGAATCCCCTTGGCCTTGGCAAACAGACTGCTTTCATGAGTTGCACTGCACATGGTTATAAACCCAATGGCTTTCTGAGCTAATGTGCAAGGTAATGCCATCTTCCAAATGAAAAAAAAGTTGCATTTACCCATTCCTCTAACGAGAATATATTTCTCCTCACTTTAAAAATAACTCCATTACCAAATGCAAATATGCATAATGAGATGGAATTATTTCCAAATTTATACACTATATAGTTTTTCTAGTGTAAGTAAACTGTTGCTATGAAACCAAAAACTAAGAACTTTACTGCCCCTTTTGTAGTCTAATTACTTAAAAATGAACAAAGAATGGTTTTATTCTGTGCTTTTTTTAAAGCAAGAAAATATATATCAGTATATAACAATAGTGATCTTGAATAAAGGAAATGTGTTTTTAAGATATAGATGGGGCAAATTTTTCTTATCAGACTAATGGCACTACAGATGACAATTACAAACTCTGAACAAAATATAAAGTGAACTATTTGAAGGCATTTGAGAGCAATAAAAAGCAGACTGAAATTGGAGGGAAGTTAACTAAAGAAAGAAGGGACCCCCAAACATCTATATATAAACTCTTCCCAAATTTCTTGGCTGATCCTGGGGAGACTCCAAAGTTCCTAGTGAAAAGCAACAGCTGGAAAGCTGAAAGAACTGAGCTATTGCACACTATAGAGGAAAGATAATTTGGAGTTTGAATCTAGCCAAGTAACTGCCTGGGCAACAAAATAATTAACATTATTTAGAGTAAGATAGAGAGTCTCCGCAAAATAATATTCATGAAATACTGTACCTAATAATAACCATGAGAAGAAGAGGAAATTTGACTCATAGAGAAGAGATAAAACAATCAGTAGAAAACAGCTCTAAGATGACTGAAGATGTTGGAATTAGTGCACAAGACTTAAAAAGCATATATATATAAATATGCCCAAGGACTTAAAATATGATCTTAATGAAACAAAAGATGGGGGAATTTTTAATAGAAAAATAGAAAACATTAAAAAACAGGTGGAAGTTTGAAAGGGTAAGTGGCCTTGAAGATAGATCAATATTAATTATTTAATCTAGAAAACAAAGAGAAAAATTATTAAAGAAAAATGAATAAAATCTCAGTGCTGTTGGAGTAATGTCATGTAATTTAACATATATGTAATTGTAGTCTCAGAAGGTAAGAAG
Source organism: Homo sapiens (assembly GCF_000001405.40). Classification (NCBI taxonomy): domain Eukaryota; kingdom Metazoa; phylum Chordata; class Mammalia; order Primates; family Hominidae; genus Homo; species Homo sapiens. The sequence goes on from NC_000002.12 coordinate 33,095,938, forward strand.
AGAGCAAATGTAACAAGAAAAATGTTTAAAGAGATAGTATTAGACAGTCTTGCAGATTAGGTGAAAAACATAAATTTAGAGATCAAAGAAGCTCAGTAAACCCCAGGCAAGATTAATAAAAAGGAAACCACACCTGGGCACTGCATAATAAAACAACTGAAAACCAAAGATAAAGGAAAATCTTGAGAGCAGCCAGAGTCATAAGACATATTACATAGATTGGAACAATAGTACAAATGATCACTTCTCATCAGGTACAAAGTAGGTCATAAAATGGTGGAATGACATTTTTAAAGTGCTAGAAAATAAACTATCTATACTCAGAATTCTGTATCCAAAGAAAAATCCTCCAAAAATGAAGGTGAAATAAGATATTTTCATAAAAATGAAAATGGAGACAATTTGTTGTAGTACATCTCTACAGCAAGAATTTCTGAAGGAATTTCTTTAGGCTTAAGGAGAAGGACACTGGATGGGAACTCAATATAATAGAGTGGTGTGGGGTTTATTACAAACATAGATGTAATATATGTAAAAATGTAAGATTTTTGCAACAAATGCTATTGGGATCTCAAGAATTGTGAGTTCTGCCAACCTATTATCCTGACAAGAACGACAACAGGATCATTGGTGGCAATTTTAATGGTGCTTTGTAGTTTTCAGAGTTTTTAAAGTGTATGTTGGTTTATTCTTAGAGTCATTCTCACAGGATTATTTGGGAGAGGAATTTAGCAGATGATGTTGTGAAAATCCACTTGTAAGAGAATGGAAAGGAATTGGTGGTGATGGGTGTAGGTAGATCACATATGAGAGTGACAGAAAGTAGCTGAGCACAGGAAAGTGCATGATTTTAGTTCTAGCTACTCAGAAGGCTGAGGCAGGAGGATAACTTGAGGCCAGGAGTTCAAGGCCAGCCTAGGCAACGTAGTGAGACCCTCATCTCTTTAAAACAAATCAAAACTAAAAAAAGAGAAAGTGATAGCAGGTGGTGGTGGTGGTTTTCTATCTGAGAAGTCCTGCTCTGATAACTTGGTGACTCTTATAGGGTAGAAGGAGTGGGGATGGAAGGGAGAGGAAGATACTGATAAACCCAATCCTAGTAGAAACAATGGCTCTAGTAATTTTTTCTATAGAATCATATATGCCTACAGGTTCTATAGAATCATATTTGCCTATAGATTCTGTAATCAAAACTTTCTTGAAGGAGTCTTGATGTTAAAAATTATTCTGCTTTAATGTATCCACCGTGGTCTCTAAACTTTTAAATTGTGTATGTTTATCAGCTAAAATGTTTCAATATTACCCTATATATGCATCTTTTAAGGCAACATATTAATAATATAAAGCATCCTAAAAATAGTTCAAGTGGATGAAATAACATAACTACAGATAAAATAAAAGTCAATATGTAAAGTTCTAGTATTTTTCTCTTGTATCCCAGCATTGTATTTTGTACTGTTTGGGTATGGTGCCTAGTTTGAAGACCCCTGCAGTGACAATCAAGCGGGATCATTGGAGTTATTTTGTTTCTGATCATCTGTTTATGCATTTATGTATGAAATACACATATCATTTTACGCCACTGGAATACCATGTTTTTAAAAAAATCATAGACATTGTTAAAATTCAACTTTATTTTGTTTTTTAGCTTTTCCCACTTTATAATGGTACCACTCTCCTTCACAAATAAGTAGTATTAATAATGTGGTGGATAACCTGTGTTTTTCTTCTGTCTATATAATTATCTTTAACTTTTTTAGTGCTTAATAAACAATAAGGATATAGTATGTTAATGTTTCTACACCTTGATTTTCTCACTTAAAATACAGCATAGAAGTTCCTCCCTAGCATTGACAGGATTCATTTTTAGTGGTTATATAGCACTCCATTTTGTAAATGTGCTGATTTATTGAATGAATCTTCTGTTAATGAATATTTAGTTTCTGGTAGTTTTTCTTTTTGCTGTTATAAACAGTCATTTAATAACCATGTTAAATATATATCCTTACATACTAGACTATTATTTCTTAAAGAATGTGATTAGTAGGTCAATGAGTACATCAGTTTTTGATTTAACTTTTTACAGATTGGTTTCCAAAGTCTGTTACAATTCTTGTTTCTATTAGGGATTCCAGAGTATACTTCTCCCCCGACTTTATATCCCCATGACAATAGTTCTTTTAAGAAAAATTATTTGCTAATTAATTAGCAAGGTGAGTGCAAATGTAATCTCATTATGATTGCCTTTTCCTCAGTACTGGTGCGGGTGGGCATTGTTTCATATATCACAGTCATTTAGATTTATTTAGTGAATTGCTTATTCATGTCCTTTGTCCATTTTCCTATTGGGCTTTGTTTTATTTGCATTGAATCACCAATTTGTCTTGTTATCACTTTGTGGGAAACTTCTGTATCTTATGCCCTAATTTTTCATGTGCATTGCAGATATTTTTCAAATGTATTATTTAACTATTAACTTTATGGTGTCTTTTTATATATAAATGATTTTTTTCTGAGACAGAGTCTCACTCTGTTGCCCAGGCTAAGTGCAGTGGTGCGATCTCGGCTCACTGCAACTTCTGCCTCCTGAGTTCTAGTGATTCCCCTGCCTCAGCCTCCTGAGCAGCTTGGACTACAGGCGCATGCCACCACACCCAGTGAATTTTGTATTTTTTTTTTTTAAGTAGAGACGGTGTTTCACCTGTTGGCCAGGCTGGTCTCGAACTCCTGACCTCAGGTAATCCGCCCACCTTGGCCTTCCAAAGTGCTGAGATTACAGGTGTGAGCCACCGCGCCTGGCCCACAAATGATTTTTACTTTATAAAGTCAATATATTTTTTCCGAAAGTCAAACTTGCATTATTTGCTTAGAAATTCCAATGCAAAGTAGGGCAACTAGCCTCAGAGCAAGGCTCTCCTGGTATATATGGGAACTGTAGAGGCACTACCTTCACCATGTTCTCTGAACAGACCTACCAAGTTGAGGCTTAAATTGGGTACATACCCAACTGAAGTTTGGCTATGAGTCCTGTTGTTCTAGTATAAGAAGATTTACTTGTTCAGATTTTGCAGCTTCTCATATAATTTTGTACTTGTGCTCCAGACATATTGAAATAAGCCATATATTTTTTTCTCCAGATATATTGGCTTTAGGGGAAAAAAACCCTCCAACATTTTCAGCAGTGTTAGAGGATCTTGCAGGTCCTGTAGGGCAGTAGATATTTTGTTTCAGCTGGATCAAGCCCTAAAAGGGGATTGGAACAGATGTTTGAATTTGGTTAAATGCTTTCAATATTTATTACTTAGGTGACCTAGTTTAGCAGCAATTGTAATAGAAAAAAAACAAGGCCATTTGAGAAAAACAGAGTTTCTTGCATTCACCTTAAAAATTGAAAGAATTTTCCCTTTTTATTTAGTTTATTTTATTTAGCTTGAATGTGGGAAAATAAAACCCTGAGAGATTCTCTTCCTAATTTGAACAGATATCTACTTGTATATTACATTTAAAAAATTTTCCCGTATGAAATATTTTTTTGGTGTGACTGGAGAACAGTTTTGGAGCTACAGTTCTTGATGTGCTAGTTGAACTCTGAAAGCTGGAGGACTATAGAGATATCTCATAGAGTCCTGTACTTCATAAATGAAGAGACTGAGACTTAGAGGAATTTGGTAACATTTGAGTTAGGGCTCTCAGAGATTCAGCGGCACGGGCAGATGGATGATTTGAGTTTCCCAGATCCTGTGTAGTACTGTTTATTCTTCCCCTGTGTTGAGCACCATGTGCCACGTGGATGCCTGTCCTGGAGAAGTAGGTGCTTGGGTCCTCCTACCCATTGGATTTATCCTTGACTCTGTGGGTGCCTCTCATAGTGCTTTAGTGTCAGGAAGGTGCTGGCTAGTAAGAGGGAAAATTGTGAACGAACAGCTTCTCTGACATCTTCCCACTACCTTTTCCATTCTTCTAGGCTTAAAGGTCACAAGGGGGAATAGATAAAATTAGCATCCGAAACCAAAATCCATGACTGTCTCTTGCTTCCATTAGGGTGCGAGGTGGAGAGTTCAATAAAACAATCATGTAAATCAACCACTACAGCAATGCAGTGGGAGAATAATCTGGGGAGTGAGCAAAATTAGGCAGGAGAGTTCTCCCAGGTAAGTGGATAAAGGTTATGTCTGACATCTGGCAAACTGGATGTTAATTCCTCACAATGCGATAAGAGGAGCATCACTGGAGAGCATAACGTGTTCCGGCTACAGAGACTGACAGCTCATGCTGTGGTTCATGGGAACAGCTAAGTGAAGAGTGCGAGAGTGCAGGAGGAGTAAAAATGAAGTTGATAACATGTGGGATAGAAGTATATACCTAGCTGCTACTCCAGAATTGGCATCTCAAATGGTTACCTAAAAGGGGATAAAGACATATTTGAAATTGGCTGAGATGAACAAGACTTGACACTGTGTCATCCAGAAATATGAAGGATGGGGGCAGGGGGGGCAAGAAACCCAGCTTCTTTTTCCCTCATTCACTGTGGTACCTGACTTTTTTTTTTTCAAGGAATCTAGGGTATAATTGCCTTTTTTATGTAGTTTTAAAAAATTTTTGTAAAGTATATGTAATGTAAAACTTGCCATCTTAACCATTTTCATTGTACAGTTCATGGAAGTACATGCACCGTGCTGTGCAACCATCACTACTTTCTGTTTCCAGAACTTTTCATCACCCCAAGGAGAAACTCTACCTATTAAACAGTAATTCTCTCTCTCTCTCCCCCAACCCCTGGTGATAACCTCTACTCTATTTTCTGTCTATAAATCTGCCTATTTCAGAGACCTCATAGAAGTGGAATCAAATCATACAGCATTTGTCCTTTTATGTCTGTCTTATTTCACTTAGCATGATGTTTTCAAGGTTCATCTGTGTTGTAGCCTGTGTTAGAGTTTCATTTCTTTTTAGGATTAGATAATATTCCATTGCATGGACAAACCACATTTTGTTTGTTCTTTGTCCCAGGACATTTGGGTTGTAGGTTCTGCCTTTTTGCTGTTATGAATAATGCTGCAGTGAACAGTGGAACATAAGTATGTTTGAGACCCTGCTTTCAGTGCTTAGGAGAAGAATTGCCAAATTATATGGTAATTCTGTGCTTAATAGCTTTTTGAAGAGCTGCAAAACTGATTTTTCACAGTGCTTGTAGGGCTAGGTTCCTTGACTCTTACAAACTCATTAGGTATTAAGGAGTGTGAACAGCTGACCCTAGGATTGCTGAATGGGGCTTTGCAAATTCTGAGCTCATTGTTTACAAATAACTTCAAAAAAAATTTTAAGTGAAGCTTATATTTAATGAAACTTTAGAAAGTAAGCTTTGCTTTTTTCTTAAGTATACACTTAGGCAGTCTTTGAATAGAAATCTAATATTATCAGAGGGATGAAATTCTGTTTTTGTTTTGTCGTTATTGGAAGAGGAGTGAAAGAATTGAATATCAGGTATTGTGCTAGATATTTTCACCCATCATAAAAAGAAATCACTCATCCTTATCGTTTCTGCATTAACTTTGTGAGGCGATGTTATTACCCTTATATCACTATGAAGGAGTTGAGGTAATTCTTCCCTTCCTTCCCATGATAAGTGGTAGAGCTCAGGTTTGGTTCTTAGAATTCAGTTAAAAAGTCTCGTGATTGGCATTTCCCCAATAGGCTAGGAGCCTTAATTACTCAACTGTTTACATTTTGAATTTTTTTTTGGATTGTATTAGTTAGGTTTTCTCTGGCCCTTGTTAGTTTAGATAAATAGGAGATGGCTACAATTTCTTTTTAATTTGGTTTTAGATAAGCTCTCCTCAGTAACCAAATGTAGTAGCTCGTTTTTTGAGAAACTCAGGAGTTTAGTTATTAACAATATCTCTTTCAATGGTTGCTTGTTAAATAACTTACTCAGTTCAAGGTTTTGATGATTTCGGTGTACTGTGCTTTTCAGAATTTTTGAACACAGTTACCTCATCCTTTGCAGATAGGATATCTGCTTTTTTTAGCACGTAGCTTTGACAATTAAACATAGAAGAGAAGAGGATATGTCTTGTGTCCAGGCAACTTGAGTATAGGGCCACCTCTCTGGCCTAATGGGGCATCCAGAGGACACATTTGGAGGTTGTGCAGTTTTGATCTCCTCCTTCTCCAGGGTCGAAATTTCTGTGTGCCTGGCCTCATCATCTCTGTAAACCTGTCTGTCATTGGCTCTTCATTCATATCTGTTGTAATAGTTTGGTGATAGTAGCCCACGTTTAGAGCGCTAGTTTTCAACCATGGAACTATTGATATATTGGGCCAGGTACTTTTTCTGTTGGGGTGGGGGGCTGTTCTGTGCATTATAGGATACTTAGTGTCATCCCTGGCTTTTTCCCAGTAGATGCCAGGCTGCCATCTCCAAGTCTTGACACTTAAAAATGTCTCCAGACATTGCCAAGTGTCCCTGAGAAGCAAATACAGCCCCTGGTTAAGAACCACTGGTAAAGGAAGATTTGGAATTACTTGGTTGTGTTGATCATGTTTCTTAATGACCATTACTAAAAATCGCTTATTTTCTATATTTTTTCCCTCAAATATCTACCTTCTTTCATTTTAATTTCTCAATCCCTTTTGTCTCTTTCATCTCATTTAGTCGAAGACAATTTTTATTGGTCTTTCTCTTATATTTTCATTTCTCCCATTTTCCTGACTTTGTGTTTGCTCCTTTCATTTTACTTTTGCTGTGTTTTTCTGGCATACTCTGGTTTTCCCATATTCTTTACTGGCAGTCTGTATATGCTGTTTGTATGCACTGTCCGTATGCACAGTCTGTATGCTGAATGCACAGTCTATATGTTGTATGCACTGTCTGTAAGCTGTACGCATTGTCTGTATGCAGTCTGTATGCTGTATGCACTGTCTGTATGCACAATCTGTAATGCTCTGTATGCACTGTCTGTATGCTGTATGCACTGTGTATGCACAGTCTGTATGCTGTATTCATTGTCGGCATAGTCTGTATGCTGTATGCACTGTCTGTATGCACAGTCTCTATGTTGTATACACAGTCTGTATGCTGTATGCATTGTCTGTATGCATAGTCTGTATGTTGTATGCACTGTCTGTATGCATAATCTGTATGCTGTATGCACTGTTTGTATGCAGATTCTCTATGCTGTGTGCACTGTCTGTATGCACAATCTCTATGTTGTATACACAGTCTGTATGCATAGTCTGTATGCTGTATGCACTGTCTGTATGCAGTCTCTATGTTGTATATATAGTCTGCTGTATGCGCTGTCTGTATGCAGTCTCTATGTTGTATACAGTCTGTATGCTGTATGCACTGTATGCACAGTCTCTATGTTGTATACACAGTCTTTATGCCGTATGCATTGTCTGTATGCATAGCCTGTATGCCGTATACATTGTCTGTACGCATAGTCTGTATGCTGTATGCATTGTCTGTATGCATAGTTTGTATGCTGTATGCACCATGTGTGTAGTCTGTATGCTGTTTGCATTGTCTGCATGTGCTTCCCTTTAGTCTCTTCATCAGCAGCCTGTTACCTCCTAATTCTGTTTTGGTCTGATAGGTAATTCCATATGGATGGGGTCATGGACCATAAATCCTTGTCTCCGTTTACGTGTGTGTGTGTGTGTGTGTGTGTGTGTGTGTGTGTGTGTGAGTGTTATGCTGCCATGTGGCATCTTCCTAATGGTTTGCTTATTCTTTGCCATTCCCTATGTGCATATTGCCCTTGAGCACTCTCCAGGGGGAAGAGATTTTCTGCATCAAATCATAGCTGACACTTTAATTTACTTGAATGCCCATCCTGCTTGTTGAGTAGCATTCACCCATCCTTCTCAACAACTTGAAGGCAGGCAGGGTGCAATTGATCACTTGAATTTTGTGGAGAAGAACTGGCCCTGGCAGCCTGAAGGTGACCCCTGCACTTTCCTCCTGAATCCCTGTTTCCTCTTCTGCTTTTTCTTACTCCTGATTATAAAACTAAGGACCCTCAACACAGGGGAACGGGTTAGATTGTGTTGGACTGGACTTCTGTGGGAAACTTTTTGTGGCCTATTGGGGGTTCCTTTCTGTGAGGTCCAAAGCCCTTTTCTTAACTGGAAAGGGCCTTGTGTTCTGCCAGATCCTCCCACCCTCTCTGCAGGTCAAATAATGGATTTAGTAGAAATATGGAAAAGTTTAGTCTGTCTGTGCGCCAAAAATTGCCACTAGGAAGGCAGCAGTGTAAACAGTGTGTGACTAATTCTTTCTTTTAAGGAAAGCAGTTTTATGCGATTGTTTCCCTGCTGCTAACAAAGATACAGAGGTTTCCTCAGATTCAAGTCTTTAGATGGCCAGCCACACCCCAGCCTCTGGCCTGTTTCTCTTGTTCTTTCTTTTCTGTGTGTCACTAGTATCTCCCCATCACATAATATGCAGTCATATTTTGGCTCCTACCATTCCTAACACCACGCTATTGATTTCTCTGGCCCTTGTTGGTTTAGATTAGTGACCTTCAACCAAACCCAGCGGCCTTTCCTAATTTCTTATTCCTTTGGTTTTCTGCAGTAATTTGCAGGTGGTCCTCTCCTGCTTCCTCCTAGAAACTTTCTTCCACTTACCATTTTTGAACTGACTCGATCCTTGTTTTTCTCCTCTTCTGACTTTTTGGCCTCCTATATTCTCTTTATGTCCCTACCATTAAGTGTGAGTATCCTCCAAGACTGTGTGGCTCCCTGTTGTTTTTCCTGAAACATTTTTGCATTTGAAGATGTTGGCCTCTCCTAGAATGTCACTATTCCTAAACTCAGAGGCTTTTCCCTAACCTCTCCTTAGAGATCCACCCTGCATTTCTGTTTCTAAACTAACATAATCATTCTTGCCCTCTCGAGAATAGAGTGGCCCTTTCTTCTGACAGACATGACTCAGCACGCCTCATTGCACTTACTTTTCCCCTCGGCTTTGAACCAAAAATATCCTTCCAGTGGGCTTGAAACCTTCAAGTTGCTGGAATCCTTCCCTGGCTGTCCCCACCCCTTTGCTGATTTGATCCTCAAGTCCTGTTAGTTCTTCTTATAGTTACCTCCATTATGGCCCCTTCTCGATTTATTCACTTTAGATGTTTTCTAAAATGTCTTGCTCTAGTAGATGAAGACTTAGCTTATTTACTTCACCCCCTGTCCACCAGCCTTCCTCCCAAAGTCATCATAGGCACACTGGGAAATACTGAGGGTTCACATCCAGACCATCCCAAGAAAGTGAGTATCCCAGTAAAGCAAGTCACATGAATATTTTGGTTTCCAAGTACATGTAAAAGTTATGTTTACACTATACCTTAGTCTATTAAGTGTGTAATAGCATTATGTCTAAAAAACAATGTACATTAATTGTTTAAAAATTAATTTCAATTTTTAAATTAAAATGTAAAAATACCTTACTGCTCGAAAATGCTAATGATCATCTGAGACTTCAAATCATATGTGATCTTCTGCTTTTTTTTTTTTTGAGACAGAGTCTCACTCTGTTGCCCAGGCTGGAGTGCATTGGCATGATCTTGGCTCATTGCAACCTCCACCTCCTGGGTTGAAGTGATTCTCGTGCCTCAAGCTCCCAAGTAGCTGGGGTTACAGATGGCACCACACCTGGCTAATTTTTGTATTTTTAGTAAAGATGGGGTTTTATCATGTTGGCTAGGCTGGTCTTGAACTTGCGACCTCAGGTGATCCACCCGCTTCGGCCTCGCAAAGTGCTGGGACTACAGACTTGAGCCCAGCCCCATAATCTTTTTGCTGGTAGAGAGTCTTGCCTTGATGTTGGTGTCTGCTGAGTGATCAAGGTGGTGGGTGCTGAAGGTTGGGGTGACTTTGGCAGTTTTGTAAAATAAGACAACAATGAAGTTTGCCACATCAATTGACTTTTCCTTTCATGAAAGATTTCTCTGTGGCATGCAGTGCTGTTTGATAGCATTTTACGCACAATAGAACTGCTTCCAAAATGAAAGTCAGTCCTCTCAAATCCTGCTGCTGCTTTATCAACTAAGTTTATGTAATATTAGAAATCCCTGGTTGTCATTTCAACAATGTTCACAGCATCTTCAGTAGGAGCAGATTCCATCTCAAGAAACCATGTTTCTTTGCTCATCTGTAAGAAGCAGTTCTTCATCCCTTCAAGTCTGATCATGAGATTATAGCAGTCCAGTCACTTCTTCAGGCTCCACTTGTAACTTTCATTCTCTTGCTGCTATTTCCACCACATCTGCAGTGACTTCCACTGAAGTCTTGAACTTTTGACCTTTGGGTCATCCATGAGAGTTGGAATCATCTTCTTACAAATTCTTATTAATGTTGATATTTGGACCTCCTCCCATGAATCACAAATGTTCTAATGGCATATAGAATGGCAAATCCTTTCCAGATGTTTTCCAATTTACTTTGCCCAGATCCATCAGAGGAATCACTATCTATGGCAGCTGGAGCCTTAAGCAATGCATTTCTTAGATAGGAAGACTTGAAAGTCAAAATCACTGCTTTATTTATGGGCTACAGAATGGATGTTGTGTTAGCAGGCACCAAAAAAGTTAACTTTTTTATACATCTCATTCAGAGCTCTTGGGTGACCAGGTGGATTGTCAATGAGCAGTACTATTTTGAAAGGAAATCTTTTTCTTTTTTTTTTTTCCCTGAAAAGTAGGTCTTAACAGTAGGGTTAAAATATTTAGTAAACCATGCTGCAAACGCATGTGCTGTCATCCAGGCTATGTTGTTGTAGAGCACAGGCAGAGTAGATTTAGCATAATTCTCAAGAGCCCTAGGATTTTTGGAATGGTAAATGAGCATTGGCTTCAACTTAAAGTCATCAGCCACCAACGAAAGTCAGCCTGTCCTTTGAAGCTTTGAAGTCAGGCATTGACTTCTTCTCCCTTGCTTGAGTTGGGGAAAACAGTTGTCTTCATATATAGGCTTTCAATTGAGATAACACTGTTCAGCCCTACTTCTCATTTTCACCCTTTACTTTACTTGGCTTAAGTATTCCGAACCTTTGTGTGGTCCCCTGTGACAACTGCTTCCTCTGTGTCTGTACTCTTTCAGAGTGACTCCTGACCAGTGTACTTGAACTACCGGGTTGTAACCCATTAGAGAACTCATGAAGTCATGAAATACATGTAGTGGCTTAAGATTATATGAAAAGAATAGCTTAGAAGAGAACACGTCAGGGTGCCCTGCACATCGTAAGGGTAAACACTGTCTTGTAAAATTTGTTTTAGTTATACCAAAACACAGACATATATGTAGATATGTATTCGATCTCCATGTAAAATGTACTTTTTACTGTGGGTTGAGGTGAAAGAAGTTAGAAAAATATTTTTTAAGACCATGGCTTGCTTCACCCTGTTACAACAGTCAGGGTTTCTCGGTGCACTTTGAATCTCTTTACAGATTTGTTGAAATGTCTCTTGTGTGTTTATTAATGGATGATATGAAACATATTTATTAAGCTGTGTAGAACAGGTCTGGATCAATCAGAAGGGATGCTGGAGCAGAGACCCTGAGTTCTCCAGCTTTGTCAAATGTTAACTCTTTATAGGATTGAGGAGATGTCTTAGGGGGCCCAGTGGATGGGACAGGGAGATCCACCAGTGGAGGGGCACTTTGGGCATTGGGATAGTAGCTCTTCATCAGTACAGAGTATTTAAATATTTTAAACCACCAGTGTGGCTGTACGATTGCATAACAGCTAGATATGAACCCTGGATTTATATCTTTTTAATTTCTTACCTGTAACTTTAAGGGTATCTTTGGAGGAAGGGGAAATATATGGGTGCCCCCGCCAACCACTTTGAACCAGAATCCCTGCAGTTTGTAATCTAATTTTCTCTTCAAAAGTTTAGTCCCCCACTTTGAAAAATTACGGTTACATTGCTGTGACTAATTTGATGTTCACTGGTGATAGTAAAGCTTTTTTTTCTGAGAGGAGGGAAGGGAGGAGGAAATCCCAATTTAAATGGAGAGAGACTTTTTCCTGAAATACTCGGGGTAACAGAAGGAAAGGAAGAAGTAAAGAGGATATGTATTTGTAAGACTGCAACGTGGTCTGAAGTGGAAATAACTGTGAATAATGAAATTAGAGGAAACAGTGGACACCAACCACGAAGGAGAAAGTGAGGAAGAGAGTGTAGGATAGTGATTTCATATAATGCTTGTAGGATGAGTAATGGGACAGTTTCCTCTACTTGCCTCAGCAGGGGTCCTGTCCGTGGCCTTGCTTCTGTCTCTGGGGGGCTGTGGGGCAGAGGGGCATCAGCCTGTGGGGTACCTGTGCACGCACCTCATGGGGGGAAGCGGGAGAAGGTAAGGGAGTGGGGGCAGCTGTGTGTAGCTCCATATTTGCAATGTGTTTGTAACTTGAGGAATATGTAGACAGTGGTGGCACTTAACTACTGATTTCCTTAAGTTAGTGATGGCTGAGGGCTGTTAACTTAAGTTCTAGACCTAGTACAGCTTGGTTTTACCTAGTTTATTACATTTCTGTTACATTCAGGGAAAAAGGGCCCGTCCACATGTATGCTTTCAGCTCGTTTCTTGTCCTCCGCTTCCTCAATTCAGAGGGGGGACAAGAGACAACCTCAAGTAGAAGGCAAACCCCATACTCTTACTTTTCTGGCTGTGGTTGGGGCACGAATTAGGTGCAGTAGCCCAAGGTCTCCTGGAAAACTGGGTTTTCCTTTCCTGAATAGGAGCTAGCCTGTACATCTCTCAGCGGGTCAGAGTAGCATGGTGACAGGGTGGCAGCATGGCCGGAGGGCAAATTGCTTCCGAGATGCGGAGGATTCCTCTTTCCAAGAGGCTGATAGAAGAGACTTGTGGTTCTTATCAGTCACTACCAGATGTGTCCAGCTGTTTCACTTGCTGCTCTATCCCAACCAAACACACTTAATGTCAAAACAACACTTACATCATCAAAACAAAAGTGTTCACAATGTTAAGCCTCAGGCTTTTAGTAATTTAGTCATTAGTCTGGTGACAAAGGGAGTGCCCTTGTGTGGTATTGCATCTGGGAAAATCCAGGCCCAAAATAGATTTTCCAGGCTTTCCTGAGACCACAGGGTTTAAAGGGGTAGACCCAGATTACTGACTAAGAGGGAAGCAGCCTAATTCTAGCCTCTTCTATTCCTTTATCTCTCATGAATGCCTTTTCCCACAGAATAGCTCATTTACCAGCTCCAATGAGAATGAATCTGATAGAGTGAGACTATTCAAGTTTCTTTTACTGCTTTTGATATGAGACATTGTACGGTGGTGTTTTGGGTGGCTTGACAATTTGCCTTTTGCACTGACTGCCATGGCGTCATTTCTTCCCCTTGTTCAGATAGTCAGTCCCTCCTTAGGATCGGTATTTTGGGTCAGATTACATTAGAGAGCATGTTCCCTTCTAAAAGCTCAGCTTGCTGCAAAACTGCACTGTCCTAACAATTTCAGTAGCAATTTTGCATATTCTGGAATTAGTTGGTATATCTTCTTTATATTTTTCATTCCTCTTCCTCAGGGAATAACTGAATCTGGGCAGAGGCTTATTTTAAAATATGAATTAGATGCAGTGGAAGAGAATTGTCACAGAAAACAAGGGTTGGGCCAGGAGGGTTAGCACATAGTAATCATGTTCAGAAGTTCCCAGAAGTCTTGACTCGTGCTATTAAAAAGATAATGAGAGTATAATTATAAAACATTTAACTCAAATAGTACAATTTATATTATTATGAGACACAGCATAAAAAATTGTTTCCCTAAAGCGGCATCGTAATTTATATTTCAAAAGGAAATTAACATTATTATGTTTTTAGTTTGCATTTGTTCAGATTTTTACAGCCACTTTTTTCTCAGCTCAGTGTCGCAGAGATTCTGCAGTACAGATTAGGTAACTGAGGCTTAAAGAGATTAACCAGCTAACCTTTAGCATTAGGCAGCGTTAGAAGGTCCCACTGTATCATACAGCTTTAATTGTTTATGATTGCTTTTGCTTAACTAATACAACATGGGGATTTCTTGCATAATTCCCTTCCTGTACTTTCTTCGCTATTTCCCCCCTTCCCATTTCCAGTGCTGCACGCTTACTAAATATATACCTGTCTGTGTAAACATCTTTGTCTTTATTCCCTTTTTAGAGATGGGGTCTCACTCTTGTCATCCAGGCCGGAGTACAGTGGTGCAGTCATAGTTCACTCCAGCCTCAAACTCCTGGGCTCAAGCGATCCTCCCATCTCAGCCTCCTGAGTAGCTAGGACTACAGTCATGCACCATCATTTTCTTAAATATAAATGCCATGTTTTTGTGTGAAGGCTTATGGCAGTTGTGCTCTGAATCCTCTGATAAAGTTACCTGTGATGACCTATTTATCATCACGCTTCTTAACTAGACAGGCAGGATCTTTTTCGTGAAGGACGCTTCTGAGCGTAAGCCATCATTTACCTCCTTCTATGTCATGAGTGGTCAGCGACAGTATTTGAAGGAAAAAAAATGAGCCTTGCTTGGAATTGATGCTCCTTTCTACATTTAACTCGTTGCTTACCCTTTCCTTATTAGCTGACTTTTAAAAGCCCATTATTTAATTCCTTCTCTTTATTTTGTTTCTTCCCAGAGTGACTCCTCTTTCTTCCCAGAGTGTGGTGATTCACCATGGCCAGACCCAGGAATACGTGCTCAAGCCCAAGTACTTTCCAGCCCAGAAGGGGATTTCAGGAGAGCAGTCCACTGAAGGTTCTTTCCCTTTAAGATATGTGCAGGATCAAGTTGCGGCACCTTTTCAGCGTGAGTATAGTCTTATCAACCATTTTCCCAAGTTATGGTATCAGAGATTGGAAACACTTTGTTCAGTGTAGACGGCTTTAATGTGTCACAGTAAATAAAATTCAAGAGTCATTAAAAAATCCACATTGGTTCCTGAAGCAACCAGACAGCAGAAATTTAGCATGGTTTCCTTATTCTGAGGAAAAGCAGTTTTTCCTGGGTTTTGGAAATGAATCCGAAGTGACCTGCCTGTCATTCTGTTTCTGCAATATGGCTTCATGTCTAAGACATATTTGCTCTAACTTTGGGTCCAGTCATATGTCTGACATGTTTACATTGATGCAATATTTTCTTTAGTAAGCTAGCCAGGACTCATGCCTTGTGAAACGTCTGAAATGTCCTGCATAGCTCTCTGAGGTTCTCCTACAGTGGATATTTTTACATTATAAGACTCACCTAGTTTTTAGTGTATCAAGCAGCTGGCGTGGCAGATTTCTCTGAATTTGTAAAGCGCTATTGTATCAGTGGCCAGCTTGGTTAATATCTCGCTATGTGGGAAGCTCAAGGACAAGGCCTGGCTCAAAGGGTGGGGAATGTGATGATTTGTGGTTTAGGTATTACAGAGTGTCTGCCGGCAGCATCTGGAGAAAACGTTCTGGAGTAAGGCGCAGCCCATCCAAAGGCGAGAGCTAGACACACGCTCTCGTTCCAGCAGCTTCCTGCCCTGTCACATGTTGACTGATTGCCTGCACCATAGGTAATGAAAGAGAATGCCAGTTGTGAGGTGGGAAAAGGACCATCTTTCACCACTGGGAATAGTATGAAGAGTTGAGATACAGTTTTTACTACTGTTTGGCACTAGTGAAGTCCACATTTGTTGTGGCTTTGGTTCCCTACACCCACTCCACCTCCCCGTTTCTGTACTGAATCTAAAGTGATTGACTCTTCCCTCAGAATTGGTCATTTAACAAAAAGAGTATCTAACAGCAGGTTTGTCCATCCACTTTTTGTCTTTTGAGAAAGTCCTGCTCAGTGACCGGTGGCTAGACCCCAGAACAATAGTTTGGTATGGTTTATTGGGATGTTGAGGAAAGTGAGCCCTGGGGATCTTAGGGAAGAATACAGAAACCATTTAGATCATTAGGAAAAAATCACTTCCAAGTCATTTGCAAAAGAATAGATGCATCTATTTGATTCTTAAAAATCCTTTGATATTCGTACTTAAAGAGCCGTTTCTCTTAAGTGAATATTTCTTGAGTATATGTGTAATATTTTTCTAATACTAATTTTAAAAATTAAGGAAAAGATGTACTTCTTATTTCCTTGGGGTTTTATACAGATGACAATTTTTTTAAAAGATCTCCCAAATCAGAGTGTGATGGGAAGAGAGATTTTAAAGTTTATGATTATACTGATAAGAGAAGAGAATTCTGAATTATCTGGAGGTATCAGGAAAAGATGGTTAGAGAACACTGGTATTAAGACTAGAGACTAGACTGTGGTTTTGATTTGTTTTCTGTGATTTGTTATTGGAATGAAAATTCCCACTGTGTGTGTATTTCCACCCTCGTGTGTATATATGTATTTTAAACTCTCAAATCTTGGTTGAACTGTGTTCTGAAAGATGAAATTATATCTTAGAAGAATGTGAAGATAAGTTTCTTATCTGTTCTGTCCATATCTTTCCCGCTCATCCTGTTTAAATATATTTTCTACATAGTAAGGAGCTAGTAAAAGAATGTAGACTAATATACATTATCACAGTGGTGGTGTTCTCTGCTCAAACCCCCTAAAAGATGGCTGTTGTTCAGAAAGAAGCTCAGGAATTAACTGAAAGAGTTACGCATGTAGGAAAGACAAGAAGGGAGATGTGGCTATTTTTGCTGAGGCCAGAGCTCTACTGAGAGCTGGAGGGCTAGTTGGAAAGTTTTTAAAAGAGATAATTTGGCAGGACCATGAAGGATACTGAAATGGCAAAATGGAGTAAGAACCACAAAAGATGATTAAAACTGGAAAGGAGGTACAGGTAGTAGGAGGGACCTAAACATACTGTCTCTGCATACTCCTGTTCTGTGGTAGGTAAAAGAGGAGGCTCCAAAGAAGCCTTACATGGAACAGAAAGGAAGGAACAGTTAGTCAGAGAAGTCTGAGGAAAAGCAGAAGCTTTTATAGCATCTTCATTTTTATATTTACAGAAGAGATCAAATGCAAACATTAATTTTTTATTGTGCTGAAAGATTTGAAGGTCAAACAGAAGCTGATAGCTCTGATTCTTTAGAAAAATAGAAGATACTAAGATCATTTGAGCATGATGTATCTTGGAGTGAAATTGAAGAAGTGAGGTATGTCATTGTAGTCCACTGCCATTACTTTTGAGAAGCTATGGGAACTAGAGAAGCGGTTGAAAACTAGAGGTTGGCAATAACAAGTGTTATCTTCTCCCTTTAAAAGTGATTAAAAAGGGGGTCTACAGTAATGACCAGTTGGTATGTTTAATATTGATATATTACAAGAGCAATAATAATAATGCATACCTTGAGCTCTAAGCACTGTGCAACTCTTAGCTCATAATAGGAGACAGTAGTCTACAAGCCCAAGGGAATAAGGATTTGCTCTCGACACTTGGTAAGAGAAAAAGAACAATTGTTTTGAATAAGCAGGAAAGAGATGAGGATGGAGGTGATGGATTTAGTAGAGTAAAATACATTAATGTGTCAAACGCAGCACTCTCCAGATAAAACATTGTAGATAGAGAGAAACTAACCAAGTTGCTAGTGAGGTGCTTTCTTTTGGGAGGGATGACTATTTTATGGGATTTTCCCACAGTTTTGATAATACAATTCACCATCCCTGTCCAATGTGTACACACTACTTTTCCTAATTTGATTCTGTATATTTACCAGTCTTCTTAGTCACTTTCTAGGTAACTTGACATCCTATGTTGGGTGTTCTCTGGTCATTGGTAAAGGATATCTCTTTTTTTTCCCAGCTTCTTTTCAAAGTTCATCCGTGTTGTAGCATGTATCAGTATCTTATTCCTTTTTATGGCTGAGTAATACTCCCACATTGTATAGAGATATGTATCTCAGTTTGTTTATCCATTCATCAGTTGATGGACATTTGGGGTTGTTCCCACTCTCTTGGCTATTATGAATAATGGAGTGCAGTGGCATGATCTCAGCTCACCACAACCTCTGCCTCCCAGGCTCAAGTGATTCTCCTGCCTCAGCCTTCTGGGTAGCTGGGATTACAGGTGTGTGCCACTACTGCCCAGCTAGTTTTTGTATTTTTAGTAGAGATAGGGTTTCACCATGTTGGCCAGGCTAGTCTCGAACTCCTGACCTCAAGTGATCCGCCCACTTTGGCCTTGCCAAGTGCTGGGATTACAGGTGTGAGCCACCATGCCCAGCCGGTAAAGGATATCTCTAGTGATAAATTAATAACTTGTGGTGTTCTGCTTTATTTGTTGGCCTTAAAAGAATTTAATTTGCATCCGTATCATCTAGAGTAGGGATTGGCAAACTTTTAGGGAGTACTTTAGACTTTGTTAGCCAATAGGCAAATCAAGGATCTTAGGTAGATATTTATATAGCTATTTAACATGTATCTATTAAACGTGTAAATATCCTTCTTACCTCTCAGGTTGTAGATCAGGTGGCTGGATTTGGCTCATGGGCTATAGTTTGCCAATTCTTGATCTAGAGACTCACAGTCTCTCAATCCACTGAAAACATCTAGATATCGGACCTGATTGTTTGGTGCCTGGAACGTGACAAAAGCAGCCCAAGAGGCCCTGCTTCTAGCAGCTGTCCTTCATTCTCAGTGTCCCCACCAACCCACCCTCCAGAGCATGACAATTCTCGGATACATTTCCACTTAGTTTGAAGGCACCCAGAAAAGCATGAACTACCAGGAAGCTGCTTGTGTTAGATAAGTCTAGTTTCTTTTAATTTTAGAATAATGGGCCACACAGCAATTGGGAAAGGAATGGGATGTTACTCCTGGTTGCTTATAGAAAACCTTTTGATATTGGTGGAAATATTTTTATGGGATGAAGCAGTCCCAGCCATATCACAACACAGTATCACATTAAGATACTGCATGAGTTTCTCAAAAAAGTTAAATATAGAGTTATCATATAACCCAGCAATTCCACACCTAGCTATATATCCAAAAGAATTGAAAACATATGTTTGCACAAAAACTTGTACATGAATGTTCATAGCAACATTATTTGTAATAGCCAAGAGAGTGGGAACAACCCCAAATGTCCATCAACTGATGAAGGGATAAACAAACAGATATATACACACACACACACACACACACACACACACACACACGTATACACAAATATATATACACACATATATGTACACACACACACACATATATATACACACACACACACAATGTAGGAGTATTACTCAGCCATAAAAAGGAATAAGATTGATACATGCTACAACATGGATGAACTGTGAAAACAAGCCAAGTGAAAGATTCCAGACACAAAAGAATCCAGACTACATGCTATATGAGTCCATTTCTATAAGATGTCCAGAGTAGGCAAATCCACAGACACGGAAAGAAGATTAGCGGTTGCCAGGGACAGGGGAGAGTGGGAATAGGGAATAGTTATTTATAGGTAAGAGGTTTCTTTTGGGGTGATGAAAATGTTCTGGAATTAGGTGGTCATGCTGGTTGCACAACCTGAAAACACTAAAAATAAAAAAACTGAATTATACACTTAAGGGTGAATTCTGTGGCATGTGAATCATATCTCAATTTAAAATAACAAATATTTATGAAAAATTATTGCCAAGTAGGTAGTTATGAGACTCAGTTTCAGCTCCAAGGAATTGAGCTCATAAGCTCTCAGAAGTCTAGGGATGGTGTGGGGTAGGGGTGGGGGTCTGCTTTATACAGTGTTTTCATTGGTGACTTGTAGGAAAGAATTCAGCATGTAAACCAAATTCTATTGTGTTTAGTTTAGTAATTTTTTTTAACCCAGAGGAAGAAAATGGAAATGACATAACATTTGGAAGACCATCTTATAAAAATGGTCAGTCAAGATTAGAATAGCACATGTTCAGGAGCAAACCCAAGTAACTCAGACAAAAAGAGATTAGTTTGACATAACCTGCTAGAAAAAGTCCTTGAGGGTATAATAAGTGTCTACATCATACTATGTGCTGACGTAGTAAAAATGATATGGAATGCTTTATAATATTAAAGCCAGCAAATAATATTTTAAGTACAGTCTATGGTGGAAAGAGGTGTATTTATCATCAGGGTTATAAGACACCAAAGGACTTACTAAGATAGATTGTAGAGCTACTTATAAAGGAGATCTTTAGGATGAGCAGCAATGGCCATGTAACTGACATGGTTCCCTAGACGACTGGTTTCCAGACTGTGCAAAGAAGAACTAAAAGATTAGCGAAGCTCCAATTTAAGCATTTGCCTCCTTAGTCCCTTTTTCTACTACATAACTTTAATATTTGGAACGATTTAGAAATCTGAACTTCTCTAAATTGGATTTCTCATTGCTAATTCCAGTTGTCGTTCTCTCAAGATGGGCTTAGGTTTTAAATAGGTTACTTATATTTCAAAGTCATCTAAAGTTTTAGTTCTTTAAATTCAACAAGGCAGAAATTTTACGTTTTAGGCATGGCAGATGTCATGTTTTATACAGTAACTTCTTAAAGGTCTTTAAACAGATATAGCTCTGGCTCTTAAAAAAATGTACCAATTTATCTCCTGATGTGCTAACGTGGGGGAGAAAGAGAGAGAGAAATGACTGGCATTTGCAAACACATAATACTGTTAAATTGCAAAAAAAGAAAAGTAAGGACAAGCCCACTGTTTACTTAAAGTGTAAACAATTTCAGGAAAGGCAGATGTCATGTTTTATATGGTAACTTCTTAAAAATCTTTAAACAGATATAACTCAGGCTCTTAAAAAAATTGTCTAGTTGTCATCTGATGTACTAACATGGGGGAGAGAGAGAGAGAAATGACTGGCATTTCCAAACACACAGTACCATTAAATTGCAAAAAAAAAAAAGGAAAGGAAAAGTGAGGTCAAGCCCACTTTTTACTTAAAGTGTTAAACCTAACCTTTTTTGTTTAAATAAGCAACCGTAGAAGTGAAGAAGCACGCACAGGGTCCCTATTAAGTGACTTCTGACAGAAGAAAATGTAATTCCCACCTGCAGTGGCACCACAGGAGACATCTTAGCCCTGAGTTCTGGTCTGTGCTGCCCTCTCTCAGTCTTTGCAACAGGCTGGGGCAGCTTGACTCCCAGCCATCAATCACGGGCTGACTGAAATCTGGCACCTCCATTTGCAGATAGAACAGCTCCCCAGGTCTCCTGAGCTCTGGTCTGAGACAGATGTAGAGTCTGTTGTTTTCATAGTAGCAGCTTTGTGGCCTGAACTCCTGAATCCCAGTTCTGGCCTGATCGCAGTCCATAGTTCCACACTAAGAGAAGTACGGCTGCTTTGGACACACGAGGCCTCTTCTTTCTAACTTTTATTAATACTATGGTTGAATGTCTTGCTTGTAGCGTTAGCCTTCAGGCTTCAGTTCAGGCTGACATCGAGAAGCACGGCAAGTCACGGAAACATCTCAGGGTTTGATGGTAAATGCTTATGTCTCCCCTTGAAAAAGGAAGTTCACATGTCTGGAGCGAAGAGTCTTTACGGTTGCAGTCTGATACCACAAAGAGGTTACCCGTAAGATTGTCTGGGTCTTCCTGGTTGCCCTGAGTGAGAGAGCAGAGTGCTTTGGCAGAGACTTACAAGAGACATTCAAGATTTTTGCTCTGTCAAAACAAAGCTGAATGTTAGGAGATAGGCAATATTTAACACGGACAGGTCTGCTTATGCCAGCCACTTCAGGGAGGTGGGCAAGAACGTTGCTTAAAGGCTCTGGATGCCTAGTGCCAGTTACAGAATGCTCATGGGAGGTGTCCCTGGCGTAGTTGAGAGCACCCATTATGGGATGGATGCTGCAAAAGACGGGAAAATCCTTGGGGTGGCAACTGGATAAAGGCAGATATAGTAAGTGTAGATGAGGGGAATTGGAGCAACATTCTTACACATGGGATGAATTGCAATCTGGAGATCTTCAGAGGAGGAGCCATTTGAAAATGCTGTTGAGGAAGAGTCTGGTCCTGAGAACTGTTGTGGCCTTAATGTCGATGTTGAAGTTTAGGATATGGATGGTATCACACTCATGTGAAGAGAGAACAGAAGCAGCAGCAGGAGAAATCCAGGGTTTGGGCAGCTCTGCTCCTCTGAGACATCCTCGCTGATAGGTCCTGACAGATTGGGAGCCTTACAGGGCAGAGCTTTGCAGATGGACCAAGTGGGTCCATGGGAGAGAAGACTTCCAGAGAACATGTTTGCAGCATTGAAAGCCCTCCCTACATGGAGACTACCTTTAACTTGTGTGCAAAAAAAAAAAAACAAAAAAAAAACAACAAAAAAAACTGTCTTTGGGATTGGCTTACACCAACCCAGTGGGTACTAAAAGGCAGTGGAAGTTGGACCAGCCATGAATGACCTTACAAGAGCTGATGAAAACCAGCAAAAACTGCTTAAGCATTTAAGAGGAATATTAGGTGTGAAAACAAACTGTTTTAAAGAAGGAATAATGATAAAGCTTTGTGCTTTTTCCTTGCAAAATCAGCGAGTTCCTTAAGCTCCTTGTCCCATGCTCAATTCTGTATGGGAATCGGGAACCTTGAGCCAGTTTCCCAACTGTATGATCATGTGGATGTTAGTACTAAAGATTCCTGAAAGAAAGGCGTCTGCTTTTCAATGATTTCTGGCAAAGTTTTTGGTTTGAAAGCCTAGACAGTAAAACTACATTATAACCATGTACAGACTGACACCTGAGAAGGCATTCTGGTGAATGTGGATGAACAGGGTTCTGCTGAGCTGGTATCCTTGGGAATCCAGATTTCATTCAAGGACAGGATATGATCTATTGCAAAGAAAAGTTCATGAGCAGTCTTGCCATGCACGTTATCCTGGGTTAGGGCGTGGAGGGGAGGATGGTATATCTGAGAGCTATTTGATAACATTCCAGTTCAGGGAAGCCGTACGAACATGATTATTCTCTTTGCCCCCTGATAGGCCACACGAAGTTTAAGATAGCTGTGAAACAGTAGATATGGATTGGTTATAAATATTTCCAAGAAACTTACCCAGCAATATGAAAACAGCAAAGAAGAAAAACCTTCTAGGGTGAAGGATCATGTAGTTTAAATTCCTCGATGAGCAGCCTTCACTACCAGATAAAGGTTTTAGTTATAAGGGCCCAAGAGTTTATAAGAAACAAGCAAATTCAAGGACATTTCTGGGTGTTGAGACTGATTTTAAGAAATCAATACTGTATGGCTCCAGAATATTCTGGAGTCAGACTGATTTTTTTTTTCCCTAGGGAAAGGTAATACAAATGAATTTATTGTTTGCATGTGGGGAAACTGTAAAGCAAAGAAAAAGAAAAGAGATGGTGCCTCCTCAGCCTTAGGATACCTTTGCCAGAAATTGAGGGTTTTAGTTGATTTTACTTCTGGATTGGGAAAGAATTTTGAGGAAATTAATCATTATTAGAACAGAAATGGTAGCTTTGATTCAAAATAAAATAGGCCCACGCAAAATACTGCTCATGAGATGTTTCCCAGGGACTTAAAGTAGAATGCTTTGTCTTCTCATGAATTAGATTCCTTATAGAAGAGTCCCCTTAATGTTGAAAATGACTGCATTGGAGTAAGTCCATCCCCACTTTGACATAAGGATCCATAAATACCTTTCTTTCTTTCTTTTATTTTTGAGATGGAGTCTCGCACTGTCACCCAGGCTGGAGTGGAGTGGTGCGATCTTGGCTTACTGCAAGCTCCGCCTCCCGGGTTCATGCCATTCTTCTGCCTCAGCTTCCCGAGTAGGCTGGGACTACAGGCGCCTGCCACCACGCCTGGCTAATTTTTTTGTATTTTTAGTAGAGGCGGGGTTTCACCATATTAGCCAGGATGGTCTTGATCTCCCGACCTCGTGATCCTCCCGCCTTGGCCTCCCAAAGTGCTGGGATTATAGACGAGAGCACTGCGCCTGGCCTGTAAATACCTTTCTTATATTTTATATGTGACATTTCTTAAAAAGGGCTTTGTGTTATTTTCTGTGATTTTAGTTCTGCATTGTTTGTTTTTGAATATCTCCTGAATATTAACCCTACTCTGGCTGCCCTAATTTCTTTTCATTCCCATACAAAGGAAGTAGAAGTTAATACATGACTGGAGAACAACTTTCTTTCCTAAGAGGTAGTTGCAGTATGGTTATATTAATTCTTCTGACAAGCAAACTTTAAATCAAGAAATACGTACATGTATATATGTATGATGGCTGTGTGTATATATACACACATATATTCAATCAAGTATATATGTGTGTATTTTTTTAACTTTTAGGTTTAGGGGTACATGTGAAAGTTTGTTACATAGGTAAACACGTGTCACGGGGTTTCGTTGTACAGATTATTTCATCACCCAGGTATTAAGCCCAGTACCGTAGTTATCTTTTCTGCCCTTCTCCCTCCTTTTACCCTCCCACTTAAAGTAGACCCCAGGGTCTGTTGTTCCCTTCTTTGTGTTCATAAGTTCTTATCATTTAGCTCCCACTTACAAGTGTGAGAACATGTGGTATTCGGTTTTCTGTTCCTGCATAGTTTGCTAAGGATAATAGCCTCCAGCTCCATATATGTTTCTGCAGAAGACATGATCTCATTCTTTTTTATGGCTGCATAGTATTTCATGGCATATATGTACCATATTTTCTTTATCCAGTCTGTTATTGATGAGCATTTAGGGTGATTCCATGTCTTTGCTATCGTGAATAGTGCTGCAATGAACATTCATTCACGTGCATGTGTCTTTAAGGTAGAACGATTTATATTCCTCTGGGTATATATCCAGTAATGGGATTGCTGGGTTGAATGGTAGTTCTGCTTTTAGCTCTTTGAGGAATTGCCAAACTGCTTTCCACAATGATTGAACTAATTTATACTCCCACCAGCAGTGTTGTATGTGTATTTTTTAAAGTAATTTTTTTCGCAATTAAACATCATCTTTATTAAGCAAAGTACTATGCTATTAAAAGACTACAAAACTTCATTAGTACGTGGTTGACTACTCAGACTTACATGCAGTTTCTTAATATTTAGCATGGTATGCAAGTCAGGAAAAATAATTCCCAAATCTCTCCCTGAGTAAATATAATTCGCATGGAGCTAACTTTGGTGATTATCATCGTTATTTCTCATTAGATCCACTTTCTGACCACTTAAATACATTTTCCTTTAGTTCTGTTGGAAAACTTTCTAATTAGTCTGATTTTCTTCAGTGGAAATAAATTTTGTAAAGTCTTTTTTTTTTTTTTTTTTTTTTTTAGTTTCTTACATTATCCATACAGGAAGATCCATTAAGAAAAAGTCTTGTAGCCCAAACTGCACTTCACAAGTTTGCTTTTCCAAGGTTCTAGCTTTTTTTCTTACTGAATGAAAATATTTTAAATATGCAGTGTTTTGTGAAAAACATCATAATTACTTGTAAGTCCTTGTATCCTATAAACAGATTTAGAAAGCTTTGGCGAGAGAAAGAAAAGCATCCGGAGAGCAGGTGAAAGGGCGGTGGTCGTTCCTGTGTTGATGGTATCTGGGCTTCTTGTGTGGGATTGAGTGCTCTTCCCTAACGAGGCCTGGAAGCACAGGCACCCACCAGCTGGGCTCCTTGTTTAACCAACACCCCTTAATGGCTACAGGTGCATCTCATGAGTGCAACTGCTTCACTCAGATCCAGCAGAAACCAAGAGCTCTTCCTCCCACGCTTTCAGCTTACATTCCATGGAGGAGCTGGCTGGAGCGCGCATCTGCTTTACTTTAGAAGGTTACGGCGTAATCCTCCCCCAAACAAAATCTTTTGATTTATATTTTTGCCTTTATTCGTCAGTCAAAAATACTGTACTGACCTTTTGTGATTCGGTTAGGTACATGCTTTCTGGTCCAAAGAGTTTTTTTTTGTTGTTGTTTTGGTTTTGGTAACTGTAGAAATTTAATGAAAAGCACTTTCGTTAGTCTTTATAGGAGAGAGAAGGTGGTGGATATAGTTTTGTTAAGAATGATTCTCTCACCAATTTGACTTTCTCCCCTAACATTTTATTCATCCGAGAATAAATAATAAACATGGTAAATCGTATAATATATGCATAGTTCTTTCTAGTTCTTCCCCCCACCCTGCCCCCCTCCACACACACATCTTGTCATGGCTTCCTGTGGGTATAGTGGATTTTGCGTGTCCCCTTGACTCTGGGCTTGGCCATGTGACTTGCTTTGACCAATCGAGTGTGGGTGGAACGAGTCTATGGGTTCGGAGCGGGAGCTTCGTTCGAGAGGAATTGCGTATTTCCTCTCTTCCTTCTTCTACCATGAAAAAGGCAATGCCTCTGGTCTGCTGACCTGCCAACTCCCTTGAAATGTGTTGTTTTTCCTAGATTACCATTTCAGCAGGGCAGATTTACTTTTTAAAACAATCTGGACAAATCAATCATTAGTCTTAGAACAGATGATAACTATTGTAATCAGACAGGTTACCTTTTGGTAAAAGTGATACTATGGGTGACCTCACCTTCTGGCCACAGTGGACTGGAAAGCGGGTGGGCAGTTGACTCAAAACCAATCTGAGGCTGGCCAGCTGCCTGTAAGGTGGCCTGGCAGAGGCACTTTCCCAAACAGGGATGATGTTGACGAAATTAGATTAATCAGAATCTCTCTTAAGGAATTCCTAAGTTAGAATTGAACAGTAAGTATCTGGAACAGACGTATAATACCAAAAAGAAACAGAAGTAGCCAATCCTACCACGTTAATGTTGGGTACAAGAATGAAGTTCAACAGCATTTCTGAAGGGGAGTAGGGATGGGGCAGCATATAGTGGGGTTGCTACAAGTGCTGTGGATTCTGAACATCTTTTCAGTTACTGAACTGTGTCTTAGCCTCCATGAGGTTTGGCTTATATGGCCAGCTGGTTCTGCGTTCTGGGTTCTCTTGAGACGTCTATCTCCTTCTTGCTGTACACAACCGCAGTTGAACATCCTGTTGCTTGAGATAATGTGCACCCCCTTGTTTTGTAGGCAAGAGACCTCAGCTAATACAAGTTCTATTTCTACTCTGCTCTCTAACAGCTGCATGTCCTGATTACACAAAGCACCAAAGCTTGACTTCTAGAGAGGGAAAACCCAGCTGCTCAACTTTTCCTCACTCTCTTTATAGCTTTTCCTCACTCCCTTTATAGCTCTTAGTCCTGTCCACATTCCCTCTTTCCACATAGAAAGAGGAGTGGGTGGGTCAGTTCCATCAGTTCCCTGAGACCCCTGCAACACTTGGAGAATTGTTCTGCCTGGCCTGCGGGTTACTAGGACCTGATGGTATTGCTGTATTCATGTCTAAGCTTCCACTGGAATTTTTAACAGAAACATTCTCAGGTCTGGGGGATTCTTGCCCACATGGAATGGAGAATGTTCACCTTCAGTCAGTGAGTGTGGATTGGGAAACCTTTTCAGTAAGATTCCTGGAATCCTATCATGCCTCCTGTTCATTCATCTTTTTTTTTTTTGGTATGGGTTTTCTGGCAACCACAATGCAGTATGTGTGTAAGTACATAGCAGGCATGCTCTGCCATGTCTTGAACATGGAAATCTAGCAAAATTAGATGCCTCTCTTTGAAAGGGTTTTTCAAAGACTATTAATGGAGAAAGTGATTCATGGTGTTTCTTGTCAGAGATCCCAGTTTCCAAACCACATCTTAATATACCTTAAGAACATATACTCTGAGCAAGAAAATACAAACAGATGTGCTGAAGGCATTGTGAATTGTATTCTTGTTATCAAAGATCAGGTAGTTAGGAAATTTGGACATAGGCTTCTTTGTCCCAGCAAAGACATGAGGTAAGTTCCACCCTCCTCCTCCTCATCTATTTAGCACTTTCTGCATGCCAACCATGGTACTAAGCACTTTATATGCATTAATTAAGTATGTTACATTATAATACTTGTATATTACTTGATTACTACTTAAAATGCATTCCTTAAGTTAGGAACCAAAAATTGAATTTAAAATTACAGAAATCAATCTTATTCATTGAAAAAAAGTACCACTTTAGCTCTTTGTGTAAGTTATCTTTAGGCAAGTGCAAAGTCAAGATTTGACTATATTTTAGATATTTTAAAATTGTATTATATTTTAGACTTTTAACACAATAACATGTTTTAAAAATTTGTTATGTGACTATAGAGCTGCTAACAAGAGGTGTTTAGCTTAACAAAAATTACTCAAATGCGGCCAGGTACGGTGGCTCACGCCTGTAATCCAGGCACTTTAGGAGGCCAAGGCGGGCAGATCACTTCAGGTCAGGAGTTCAAGACCAGCCTGGCTGACATGGTGAAACCCCCGTCTCTACTAAAAATACAAAAATTAGCCGGGCATGGTGCTACATGTCTGTAATCCCAGCTACTTGGGAGGCTGAGGCAGGAGAATCACTTGAACCCAGAAGGCGGAGGTTGCAGTGAGCCAAGATTGTGCCACTGCACTCCAGCTTGGGTGATAGAACAAGACTCCGTCTCAAAAAAAAAAAAATTATTCAAATGCAGAGTAAACCTTTCTAATCAGTGGGTTCCTACAGCTGGTTGATGTTCATTATGATACCTGTCAAACAAAGTCAAACAATCAGGTTGTATGTGGAAATTATGGTGGAACCAAAGTCCACAGTAGAATCTTGCTTTATTCTAGAGTCTTTAATAATAGTTATGATCTGAAAGCAAACATCTTAAGATGAGAATTTTCCTAGATTTAGAAGTGGTTATAGATTTTGCTGTGTAGTATATCATGGTTTAAATGTCACTACTGGTTTGAGCTTTTCTAACAGTTGCTCCAGTTAAAACTGACCATGTGTAAGTATTTTTTCTTTGATTTGCATAGAGTTTTACAGCCTATAAATTATATCCATACAAATTATTTCACATGGCCCCTGCCACAGTCTTGTGAGGTAGATAGGTTGGATGGCGTTATTCTGAGTGTGTTTTTAGGCGCTCTGGATTTCAACATCCTAAAGGGTAGAACCTGTGGGTGGTTTTGTATTCTTTCCCTTTGAACTTCTTATTATCAGTTTCTTTGTCTTCCAGATAAAGATCTTAAGACTTGTTCTGTAGGAGTGTTGTGAGAATGAAGTGAGATGAAGTCTATATAAGATATCTCGCATACTGCAGAACACATCACATAGGTGCTCAATCTATGCTTGTTTCTCTCTCCCTCATCCTAATTTCCCAAGCGTATAGCATTCACATTCCTAAGTGTCATATATTTTTCATAGTAATGCTCATTACAAGTGTAGGAGAGGCATTGGGGCGTATCGAGGAAAGAAAGAACAAGGGCTTGCATTAAAATCCCAGCTTCACTGTTCCCTAGCAGAATGACCGTGGTCAAGCTTCTGGTGAACATCTCTGGTTTCCTTGCTGGCAGAATGGATATGACTGCAGCTTACATGATTGTCATGTGTATTTGCTCTCTGCAGCCTAGTAGGCACTCAGTCCTTGTCTCTCGAGTCTGCCATTCATGTATACGGTGCTTTTGTGCATTTAGTATCGTCCATAATTTCTGTTGTTCTCAGAATTTGGGCCAAAAAAAAGCAGAAGGGAAGAAGAACATGTTATGTGTGTGTATGTTTATGTTAGTTATCAGTTGCTGCATAAAAAATTACTCCAAACTGGCCGGGCACGGTGGCTCACGCTTGTAATCCCAGGACTTTGGGAGGCTGAGGCGGGTGGATCACGAGGTCAGGACTTCGAGACCAGCCTGGCCAATGTAGTGAAACCCCATCTCTACTAAAAATACAAAAATTAGCTGGGCGTGGTGCAGGTGCCTGTAGTCCCAGCTGCTCGGGAGGCTGAGGCAGGAGAATCAGTTGAACCCGGGAGGTGGAGGTTGCAGTGAGCCGAGATGGTGCTACTGCACTCCAGCCTGGGCAACAGAGCAAGACTCCGTCTCAAAAAAAAAAAAAAAATTACTCCAAACTGTAGTGATTTAAAGCCACAAACATTACCTTAGAGTTTCTGTGGTTCAGGAATTTAGAGGGACCTCAGTTGGTTGGTTCTGGCTCAGTTTCTTTCATGAAATTGCAACCAGGGTATCAGTAAGAGCTGCAGTTATCTGAAGGCTTGACTGGGCCTAGAAGATACTTTCAAGGTGGTTCACTCATGTGACTGTTGGCAGGAGATTTCAGTTCTTTGCCCCATGAGTGAGTGTCTCCTTAGACTGCTTGAGTATTCCCGTAGCATGGGAGTTGGCTTCCCCGAGAGTGAGTGATCCAACAGAGACAGACCACGACAGAAGCCACAGTGTCTTTTATGATGTAGTCTCTGAAGTTGCAAAGCATCATTCCATTTTTTTCTGTTATTTATTTATTTTTTAGAAACAGGGTCTTGCTATATTGCCAGGGTTAGTCTCGATCTCCTGAACTCAAGCAATCCTCCCCCTCAGCCTCCCAAAGTGCAGGGATTACAGGCATTAGCCACCATATCTGGTTTGTTCTTAGACAAGATTCACAAAAACCAGCCCATGTCCAAGGGGAGATTAGACTTTTAGATTTCACCTCTTAAAGATAGAAGTATCAGGGAATTTGTGGACATATTTTAAAACCATCACAGTGTTCAACAGAAGGGGCACTCTTTTGATGAGAGTCAAAGGAAATGAGGAAGCTGAAAATGGGCAACCTAAAAAGAATTAGCTGACAGCTGGAAAACTTAGAGTGTACAACTATACATCAGTAATTTTTTTATTGGCAACTAATTGTTTTTCAATTTTATTTATCACATAATATTGGAGCATAGCTAGCTATATATGATGATTTTGGGAAAAGGATATTGAGGCTGAAATCTTTCCTAATGATGAGATCTATTGAGTTTGGCCGTAGTCCCATAGGGGGAGTAGTTGGGGCCATTGGATGCAGTCATTTAAAAACTGAGCCAGAGAGAAGTTTGTATTGGAAAAAAAAAATGAAGTAAATGACAGAATCAGTATTCTGCAAGCTTGGATTCTCTGAGACTCTAATTTTAAATTAATTTAGAGATTTTAAAATGCCAATTTTCTATACAACTAAGTGCTTCAACAGATTTTTGTCTCCATTGAATCCATGAAACTTGAGAGTTGTTTTGGCCATTGCAAAAATGTTCATATCTTTGACTTCCTTGGTGCTTCTTAAAATATAATGCATTCAAGTTATAATTTTATTTTTGTTTGCTCTGGATTTTTATTGCTTGTGTGAAAGAATTGGAATCCCTTAGAGGCACATCAAGACATCTACTTCTGGCCTGGCAGCTCCAGTGACTCAGAATGTGTGTTCAGAGCCCAGGAGGTTTTGGTTTTCTTCTCTGCCTTGTCTTTTGACTCTTTTTTTTTCTTTTATGCAGAATTTAAATTTCGTGAAGTGTAATAAGTCATTTCCTTCACTATGTCTGCCTCGGTGTCGGAAGAAAATTCCCAAGCCCTCTTTATGAAGATGGTAGAAGCCTGAGGCATTCAACTCCTTTAAAGTTTTGTGACTTCCAGCTATCAGTTGTTTGAGTAAAAGTCATTTCTCTGCCTTTCACATTGTCTGCCCTTCCTGTTGCTTTCCCTTCCCATTGTCCATCTTCCCATGGATTCTCAGCCTCAGTTCATACCAGGCCTCTTCATTTCCAACCCCCGTATTCCATTCCCATGACACTCCCCTCTTACCACATTCTCTCTTCCAGTCCTAAAAAGAGAATCACCAGGTGGGACATTTGTTATAGATAGAAAAGGAGGATAAGAATATAGACTATTTTCTTTGGCCTGACTGAGGCCAAAGGAAGGTGGGAAAAGTGGAGAAATATCCATAGACGTGTCTGCAAAGAGTCAAGAGACAATGGAGGGTTGAAACATTTGGTTGTGCCTAGGTCAGTGAAAATCATGGAGGGAAGGAGTATTTTAGTTGAGTCAAAAGGGTGGAATGTGGGGAAGAAGAGGAAAAGGTTTTTAGGGAAAGGAAACTGCATGAGTGAGGTGTCTGAGTGGGGACCTGTGGACAGCGTGGCTTGGCTCAGGCCCTGGCTTTACATGGAGATGTGGTGGGAGGCGAGGCTAGGTTGGACCTAGGTAGGAAAGGGGCTTACTTTCCCTTAAGGGAGTTTGATTTTGTCAGAAATATTTGTCATAACAATGATATAGGATCCTAATTTTCAAAGTGTGTGGTAGAGATAATTTGGGACCCTCGAGAGGAATGGCCCCCTGTTTAGCTTGTGAGTAAGCCATCAAATGTGTTCCTTGGTAAACAAATAGCCCAGTAGATATCTATCATTTAGTCAGACATGCTTCTCCACATACAGATAGGTGTTATTTATAGAAATGGTCAAATGCCTCCATTTACTTGCTCTTTGAAAGACAACAAATGTGGGGATAAATAAAACCTAACTGTGTTCCAAAATTAAGGGACAGAAAATTTGAGTCATGTGAAGCATATGTAACCCACTGTGGTTATAAAGAGCCTATGCAAATTAGGCAGATTGCATGCGTAGTAGAGATGGAAGACAGGTAAGTGTGTTGATTGCTCTGCTCCTTATTCTGTTTACAGAGAGCAGTGAAGTCAGTCTTCTTGTCAGTTGCACATCTGCACATCCGGGTCCTCCAGCCACATGGCCATGGTGTGGAATTTAAAGCTGTGCTGCTGCGAAGACTGGCATAGAATCTTTGAGGGAGGTAGCTATTTTTCATTTCTGAAAAAATGTATCTTTTAAATGGCTTTCCCCCTTGGGAGACAGACTCTTAGAGTAACATCTTGAACTGTGATGCCCTTCACTCTCTCTAGTTCCCAAAAACCCAGGGCAAACTCATTGAACCCTCAACAAGTATGGCTCCCATGATTGTCAGGATTCTAGATTGTGGCTGTGGATTACATTCTCAATTCAGAATTAGGAGATTGGGTACATTGAGCTCTTGCTCCCCCTTTCTTTTTTCCTCCTTTTTATGAACGGATTCAAGACCTTTCTTCTTGGAGGATGTGTTTCTTCAACTCTCAGTCACAGCATTTCAAATACTACTATCCCTTCTGGATGGGGCAATGCTGGTAGGTTCTCTTAACATTCAGAATTAGGAACAGAGAAGGGATTGCCAGATGTGTTCTAGATGAGGGATTTCCAGATGTGTTCTAGACAGGTGAGTTTTAAAAGTCATTTTGAAAGAGACACCTGGAACAGCCTGGAACAGAGACACCTGGAAGGAGACACCTGGAACAGCCTGGTATGGTTCTGGAGCCAATGATGGGGAAAAAAAAGTACAGTTGGTAATAAAAGTGGAGAACGAGCAAAAACAAATCCATGGCTTTTTGACATGTTCATGGTCTGTCCTTTTTTGTAAAATATTTTTCTTTAACATTATAGATCCTGAAGGGGTTCAACTGTCCAGGCATACTTCTTCAGTTTAGGGATGCGGAACACCCAGAAAAGTTCAGGACAGGCTCCGGACTGCAGTCCAGGGCAGAGGCGACAGCACTTGCTGTCGGCATTCCAGTAACCAGAGGCAGCAACAGGGCACACACCTCAGTTCTAGTGGACCCAGAACCACACCAGACTGTCCCACGGTGTCTCTTTCAAAAATTAAATATCTTACACAGATTTTATCTATAAAGTTAGAAGTTTCCATCATGTGTCAAGATGATTCTTGCATAATATGTTGTGAAATTTTAGTAGCAAGTAATTTTCTGTTTTTCTTTTCAAAAGTACTTGAGAAATTGCTATTTCCTATTGCTTATTCAGTTATTCTCTTTAACATATTTAATTAAAAATGGTTTTACTTTTAAAAAATATTATTGGCTATTTTTTCGGGTAAATTTTTAGGGGAAAAATGTCTTTTGTAAAGATGGCAAGGTTTCCAACCCGTAATGACTTATGCTTTTTCTTGATCTGAGACTTAGATTTCTATCACTGTTGTAGCAATTGTTTCTCTCTGCCTCTTTCTTTAGTTACTCCTGCCTCAGTAACTCAAGAGATGGAGCTGAAAGATTACTCTGGATTCTTACCTGTGGAACTGCCCACATCAGTACTAGTGATCTCATCTGAGTTTCCTTCTTGGAGGGTTTTCCAGGACTGGGGCTGCCTGGTGAAGTAATAGATTTGATATTAATTTTTATTTACATAGCACCTTTCTTGAGGAACACAGAGCAGTCTATGGGCATTATTTTAATAGTCCAGGAGGAGTTAAGCAAGCCTGGAGAGCTGAACAATAAAGTCCTGTTATTCTAAGCATTATTTAATATTTTTATGATTTGTCCTTCAAAGAATTCTTGGCCTTCGGGTAAGCGATGGACTGCAAGTGGGAGAATGAACTGTTAGCTCAGTCTCTCTCACACCCTGAAGAGTGTACACGTGACTTGTGTATTGAATCAGCCTGTAGGTCTCTTTAAACCGGGTGGTGGCTTTAAACCACAGAGAGGTTGCTTCTTCCCAGAGGATATTGCCTGTGCTGGTTGGTCCCCATTGTTTAAGTTGGATGCACGCTAATGTGCTGTTGCGGCATTCTGGACGAATGCTGAGGAGACTGTATTTGTTCATGACATCTGATGTGAGTCTTGAACTTGTTACATTTATTTCTCTGCTTTTGGTCACATCTTGGTCTGATGACCAAACAAGGCAACTGTGCCCTTTTCTAGACTGATGTCTGTTTGTCAAGCACAGTTTTCACATTTTTATATTTTTCTCTATTGTTAACAACCCCGAAGCAGAAATGAAAGCTTTTTATCACGGGAGGAGGGGTATCGGCTTCACTTCCATCCCATTCACCATTCACTCTGAATATCTGTGGTTTGTTTTAAACCGAGTGCCAGTGCCTCTTCTTGGAGGTATAAATTTGCACAGGGTCTGGCAGACGCTGCAGACAGGATGTTGACTCTTGAGTGTCTTGACTGACTAGGAGGCCCAATGGCGGTGCTGCATGGCTCCAGGCAATCTGTGCCTCTAGCCAAGGCCTCCAAAACCCAAAGTTTTAAAGTGCTTGCTTAAGATTTTGGGGGCTGATTCACCTAAAGGGATCTAAAAATTGCATTTTTTTTCCTCCAAAGGACCAAGCACAGAAGTTGTGCCAGTGGTTTCCCTGTTAACTCCTGACTGGCCTGATTTTTGCTTCTCAGACTTATAATTCCTAATCACCTGGTAGGTGCCACTCGGGATGGTCTTCTGCCTCTGGTTAGTCCTGAGCTTGTTTTCTCACTGGTGCAGCAGGACCTTAGACCAAAATGACCTCCAGCATCCTGTGAGTCTTGGATCTCTGTGGGATCCGACAGTCACCCTTGCCCCATGCTTCGGGTTACTTTGTCTATTCCACAATTATTGGGTGCCTACTCTCTGCAAGGCATCAGGAGTCCTTGAATATTACCTTATTCAAGACATGCAAAGAAGATGCTTCTGATAGACCAAATGGCTTTTGCGGGAGAGCTTGTGTCTACTGTTAGTGAATTCCTACTAAATTCTTGAAAGGTGAGTGGTATTGCCTTCAGCGTGTCACATGTGAGGAATTTGAAGCTCAGAGCATGGATCTCTGTTTGATGAACTTTAAAACTTAAACTTTTTACACTATACCCTAAATATGTGGGAATGATTTTCAAGGAGTAGAGATGGGAGAACATATTTTCTAATCCATCCAGCATTTATGGAGATCCTGTTAGAGCTCTGGATAATAATCTAGTGTCAAAAGCAGTAGTGCATTTTCACTACCAATTTTGAGAAGATTGGCATGAAAACCTAAAGCTAATTATAATGAAGAAGTAAGTGCTTCATGGAGATGGGAGGACCCGCTTAGAATACAAGTGTCTGTTTTAGAATTAGATTACTTTATAGCAGAATGCTTGTAAAACACAAGCATTTTTATTTTTATATGAAATAAAATATAGCTTCTGCTTCCAAGAAGATGTGAACATTGTAAAAATCAGAATTAAGTCATATGAAACTGTCTCTGCCTTTTGAAAATCCAGATGATTCCAAGCCAAAAGAAATTTTTTTTTGGCAAAGAAATATAAGAAGTTTTTAATAACAATAGGCCCGGAGAATCTCCAGTGCTTATAAAGTGACTACTGTAGCTGGGAGGTGAAATGGGAATAATGATTAAGTGCTTGCTTTCTTTGGATGTCTCAGTTTGCCTAAGTGAGCATAATTTAGGTGACTGTGTGAGCATCTGTGTGGCAGCTGCTGGTGCTACAAGTTAATGCCAGAGAAGACAAAATAGTTGGCACACGGATTCTAATTTCATGATTGTACCAGGAGCCAGAAAAAGGAGGAGTTTATATTCTTTTGAAGTGGGAAAATGTTGTCTCTTTTTTTCTTGGGTTTCACACACTTGAACACACAAAGTATCCTCAAGATATTTGTAAGCATTTTCCGACAACTTAGATTATAAGCTGATTTGTTTGTGCTACTGTGAAAAAGCAAATCAAACTAGGTGAATTTTCTCTGCTGGTGAAATCAGGATTCTGTTGTTTTTTTTGAATTTCTAAGGTAGACTCCCAGATAACTTTAAAATGTCCTGTAAGCATTTAAAGGAGGGGTTACTGAAGTGTTTAAGTAAAGTTTGATTGGAACACAGCCATGCCCACTCATTTACATATTGTTTTTGACAGGCTGCTTTCCAGCTAAGCGGGTCCACAGAGTTGAATAGGAATAGAGTCCTTTTCGCCTACAATCCTAATATAGTTACAATTTGGCCCTTTGTAGAAAAAGTTTGCTAGCCCTCGATTTAAAGTATTGACTGATAGTAGCATCCTATTGGATGTCATTTTGCAAGGTGCCAGAAGGTCTGCTTGGCCACTAGGACATCTTGCCATTTCAGACAACATGTCTTGATCCTCCAGGGTTAGAACCACCGGTGAAGGAGAAACTGTCCTGGAAAACCATTTGAAAAGAATGGAGGGCTTTCTCCTCCAGAGGAATAATTTTTCTTCTTCTAAGTGAGATGACCAACCCAGCTGATGGGTTCAAGTCCTAATTTTAGCTTTCTTTGATTAAGTGGCATTTATCTCAAAGATAACTTATTTGAAGGGCTGTCATGTGGAAGAGGCATTAGATTGTGAGGCCATGGGGAACCAAATTAGGATTAATGTGTGCAAGTTACTGTGAGGCCAGATTTCAGCTCAATAAAAAATAGTACTTGCTGGGAACTGCCATAACTATCATGTGCTTTTGTGGGTAATGAGCTGCCCGTCACTAGAGATTTTCAAGTAAAGGTTACACGACCACTTGATACGTGGAATGCAAACAGTGGATGAGAGATGGTTGCGTTAGAAAACCTCTGGGGCCCCATTCCAACCCTGAAATTGGAATGGCTTCTTTGGTTAAAGTTCTTTGTTTCCAAGCTCAGCTTATGACCACAGTTTTAATTTGTTGAGGGTCTTATAGAGGCATCTTGGGATGATTTTCTGAAAATATAATATTAGCCAAACCAAAGCAGTATAAAGAGAGACAAGCTTTTCTGGTGGGCAAAGATGGTATAAAAAAGGCTGGCCCAGAGCCTCTCTCCCCTTTGGCCACTCCAGTCATGGAGTGGCGTCAGAAGGGCACTGCTTCTTGACGGCCTTAAAGCCTGACAGATGACTGGCTGTCTTCAGCTACTGCTACCATCTTTGCTTTCTGCCTAGTCTCCTGGAAAGAGGAAGGACCTGGCTAGGGGCCTATCGCAGATGTAGCAATCAAAACAGTGTGTGTCTTGCAATTTGCCAGAGAGTTCAGGTTGCGATCCAGCAGTGAAGGGCAGGTCTGGGTGAAGCAGAACTGCACAGAGACAGTGCAGTTCTGCCGTCATAGCACAAAAGCAGCCATAGACAGTACAGAAATGAATGAGGGTGGCTGTGTTCCAGTAAAGCTTTATTTACAAAAGCAGGCAGCAAGCTGGATTGGGTCCCTGAACTGTAGCTTGCTGACCTCTGATAGAGACGTTGAAAGTTAGAAGTGTGTAGAAAATGCCAGTTTCAATTCTCTCAAGTTTTGGAAAAACTGAACTGAACTGGACTGAAATGGCATGTCCGGAGTCACACCGTGGTTGAGCTGGGATTGTAAACCAGGATATACTTTTAGTCTAGGGCTTATTTTGTGATACCACATAGCCTCGGCTGTGTGGTCAGGTGATAGCATTTCGTTTTTAAGAGAAGGCCACGCTAATGAAAGAAAGCTCCATCCCCAGTGGCTACTCCAGGTGGTCTATGAATAGAGACAGTGAGAGCCCAAGGGTGTTATTTTTAGGGAGGCAACCATTTATCCCTGTGACCTGGCTTACCCCTTTAAAGATGGGCCCCGTTCACAGGAAAACAAAATATATGTTGCCTAAATTCTTATGGAGAAATAGTGCCCTGGAGTTGTGAAAAAGAAATGGGCTCCCGCAGCTGCGTCACAGCATTTGATCACTTCAGCCGAGAGTGCCAGGAGATTTGAGACAGATGTTTTCAGACATGCCGCATGCCTAAAACATTTCCAGGGGTCGGGCTGCAAATAGTGACTTAATAAGTGGAGAAACAGGGAAAGTATGCAAGTTGAGGACACAAGAGTTTATTCACCGCTAGGTGCACGGCCAACCCCTTTGCATTACATCTGCCTGTCAGGGTTGGCTCTTTAATCTGTCGTGCCCTCGGTATTGCTCTTTGTCTGCCCGTGAATAAAGTGCAGCATTGTGGTTAGTAATCCCACTCCAGTGACTCGACTTCAAATGTGGTTTTGGAGTGCATCCCAGAGTTCTGTTTGCTAAGCTTCCTACTCCTGTTTCAGAGACACCACTGAATACAGAGCAGCGAGCACTGAAGGCTTCCCTCTTTCCTTAAACCTGTCGGGTTGTGGGCTCTCTCTTTTCCCCTCTTGCTCCTTTCTTTTCTTTTTTTCTGTTTTTTTAAACCTTCCAAGGCAAGTTCATGGATACTAAGCTGATGTGTTTGTTGTTCTTTTTCTCCCTGCCTCCGCTCCTAGTGAGTAACCACACTGGCCGCATCAAGGTGGTCTTTACTCCGAGCATCTGTAAAGTGACCTGCACCAAGGGCAGCTGTCAGAACAGCTGTGAGAAGGGGAACACCACCACTCTCATTAGTGAGAATGGTCATGCTGCCGACACCCTGACGGCCACGAACTTCCGAGTGGGTGAGTTCCTCCACGGTCCCTAACTGTCCTTACTGAGTCGAGTTTTATGAGATTGTAGCATTTAGACACCCCCTCCATTCACACTGCTGTCTGCTTCAATGGGTGTCTGTCTATGAGTACGAGTATGTTTCTTTCATGGGATCTTTTAAATTGCTTTTGGAATAATTTTTAACCTGATTCTTGGTTTCTTAGGGGAATGGCAACTAGAATATTTTCCCTTATTGCTTAGCATTTACACAGCCATGTGGTAATGGGAATATATATAGTAGAAGAGAAGAGAGTAGGTTTTAGATTTAGACCCTAAGGCATGACTTGTGCTGATAAGCTTCAAATTTTATCAGCCCAGTGATAAGTGGAATTTGTCTTAGATTTGACTCATGTAATAAATTTTGGAAGGTGGTGATGAAATTTGAAGTTTTTACTTCAAAAATAGCCAAGCTCTAAAACAAAACTCCGAGGATTGTCAAAAACCTGTACTTGGTTGTAGAAAAGGATACAGAGTTGCATCTTTTGCCACGTTTCTGCTCCGTCTCACAAGACTGAATATAAATTGATATATAACGTGGATTTGGGGAAGACAGACTGGTAGATTACTCTCAGTACTCCTTTTTTACGTGGATTTGGGGAAGACAGACTGGTAGATTACTCTCAGTACTCCTTTAAGTTAATTTAAATATGAAGTAGTAGTTGCTGTCTGCAAGAAAGCCTTGTTGGTTCATTTTGAATTTTTGTTTTTTACTTTTTTGCAAATGGAGAAAGGATTGTGGTCCACGGAATGCTGTCATGTTGCCATGTTGTCATGCAATACAGTATTTTTGTCGCAGAAAAATGTCTTTTATTATTTTTTGACCAATTATGGTTTGCCATGTGTACTCAAATAATCGCAGACACCCACGTTACTTTCTGAGTTACTCACAAGAATAACCCAAATGTCAGACAGATAATAACACTGGCTAGATCTGGTCTTTTTATGGAATATTGCTGTTTAGTCTTGGAAGTGTGTGTCTGGGGGGGTGGTAGGAGAAGGGGTGTCTGTGTCAAACTGATTTACATCAAGACAAAATAAAGGGACAGCTTGAAGTTCTTATTAGATCTTTGATTATTCTGCTGTTTTATTGTGACTCCCAATCCTTAGGAGGTCAAAGCATATTTTTGATCGTCTGTACTTGGAAAAAATATGTGCCCATAGATACGATTTAAAAGGGCATTGTGAGTTTCCTGGCTATGATAGGGGTACTCTGGGCATAGTTTTTAAAAGAATTTAGCCATTAGGTGCCAAATGGCACATTATGCTTTGCAGGGCAGGGAGCCAAGTCTAATGGGAAGTGAACTGATGATCAGGAAACTGGATTCTGGTCCCGGTCCTGCCACTAACTAGCTAATCCGTAGGGCATGCCAGTTAATATTTCTGGGCCTCAGTTTTTCTCATTCATAAAATAAATGGGATTGTATTTAATGACCTCTAAAATTTAGTCCATCTCTAAGATCATATGACTTTTTATCAGCAATAAGTAATACTATTTTCTGGCTTAAAAAAATTTTTTTTTTTGGAGGGCCACAGACAAGGAGGGGAAAAGAAAAGGCAATTCCAGTAGACTATCATGAGTCTGATGGCTTTTCACCACTTTATCTTTCTTGGTTGCCTTCCTTACTCACTGCTCCTTTCCCTCCTTGTGTTTATTGTAAATCTTTACAGTAGCAATGACAAAATAATCAAATGGGTGGTAATTTTTTGGCTTCCAGTGTATTCATTTTGAAACTAAATATTTTGAAGGCTTTGAGAAACAGAGGAAGTCTACTTGTTGAAACACACCACACACTTTCCTTGCTGGCACTGAACCAGATGTTTAGGAACAGAATATACATAGCCTACTCAAAATGCAAAATGAAGCAAAATTATTTACAAAAGCATTTCAAAAGCAGAACTCCACTCTCCATATAGGATCGGCAGAGCAGTTTAATTTTTTGAAAAGTAGAGGATGGGGTGAGAAGGACCCATAGTAATAAATAGTTTCACATTGGAAATTGTGGGAAACATTTCATTTATATTCTGAGCTATTTCCCTCTCCTGTTTAACGTTTTATTTCAAATATTGGATAGTTTGAGGGACAATTTTTATGATATTTCTTTCTTTAAGAATGGTAATTTTATAGAACTTATAGACTGTGATCCTTTGAAAATACAGAAAAATTCAAAAACGTTTATGCATATATCTTTTTGGGACTTTACTGGTTTAGTGTAATTTTATTATTTGCAAAAAGTGATTTTCTGATTTTTTTCTTCTCTCTTTGTACTTGTTTATAGAATACTAAATCTTTTGACAAAAAAGACCTATTTGGAAAATAGTTTAAAATTTGGGAAAAATTCAAAATTTACTGTCACTTGTCAGCTACTCCCTTTGATCTCTAATATTTGTTGGTACTTAAAGGTGAGGGCTGGCAAACTCTTTTTGTAAAGGGCCAGATAGTATAAAATATGTTTTAGACTTTGTGGGCCATACAGTTTCTGTTACAGCTACTCAACCCTGCCATCATCGTGTGAAAGCAGCCAGAGACAATATGAACAAGAATAGGTGTGGCTGTGTTACAAAAACATTTGTTGGGCTGAATTTGGCTTGAGTGCCATTCTCTAAGGAGTCAACATAATCCAGGGAAAATTATATGGACTTCATAATTAGTTTTGATAATCAGAATAACAGAAATAATTTCCAACATTTGCATGGTGATTTACAGTTTTTGTTTGTTTGTTTGTTTGTTTGTTTGTTTGAGGATGTGGAACAGACATGATCATCACCATTTTTTCAATACGGAAACTTAGGTTCAGAGTGTTAATTAAGTGAGCTTGCTTTAGTTTCTTGGCAAGTCAGTTAGCTATGCCTAGAACCTAGATATCCTTATGCCATCTGTTTTCTTACCTACCTGGAGTCTGCCCATGATGTATAAGAGGGACAAGGTGAAGGACCTCATGGAGTTGTGTCTTGTGGGAAGGCTGGCTGGGATAACAGAGAGAGAGAAAGCAACTGAGAGTCCAGCATACCGGGGCTGAATCCTGGGGTAACATTGGCTCTATGTGCTCTTTGGGCCCAGCTCACCTCCTCCACACAGTG
Organism: Homo sapiens; assembly: GCF_000001405.40. Taxonomy (NCBI): domain Eukaryota; kingdom Metazoa; phylum Chordata; class Mammalia; order Primates; family Hominidae; genus Homo; species Homo sapiens. The sequence goes on from NC_000002.12 coordinate 33,138,067, forward strand.
CAGGTCCTAATAGATATGTGGAGGTTGTTCTTTTACAGGCTTGTGGGATAATTCCTTCCTTCCTTCATGCTGCTTCTGTGTTGGTCTTCTGGTCTGTGATGAGGGTGAGTCTGGGCTTTCCAGGTGTGAAAGGCAGCAGGTATTTTCGCATGACTATTGAGCATGCAGTCTCTGTTCTTGAGTATTCAGTGGGAGAAATAATAAGTATAACTTCTGCTTAATGCAACTCTAAAAGTGAGGCCCAAATGAATATGGTATCCAAAGGAAGCACTCTGAGATTCTAGAAGAGCCCATTTTTATGGATAGTGATTTTGATATGGTTTAACAGAATAGTTACTTTAAATGGTACTTCCTATGAAGCAGGTTTCTAATGATAATGACTTTTTTTTTTTTTGAGCTCAGCCTTGCTGTTTGCCCCACCCCTGCCTTTTTAAAAATGGAAACCTATCCCTTGTTGGGTGGGCTGCAGGTTCACCGTTGTTGTTTTAAAGGATTCTTAACATTTTATAGGGCTAAAATGCAGATGACCTTCTGGGATTTTTAAATTGTTTATAAAGCCTTAAGTTCCTCTGACAAGAAGAACATATAAATTCGTGTCACAACTAGAATATTTCAAACACAGTAATACTGTCACTTGGTATAACTTATTTGTGGAGACATTGAAAAGCAGTCATGATGGTCAAAATAACACATTTGGTTTATGTGAATCTAAAGACTCATGTTCTATTAGCACCAATTGAATAATTATAAAAAACATTGGACCATTTAAAAAGTATGTTCTCTTTTTTTTTTTTTTTTTTTTTTTTTTTTGAGACGGAGTCTCGCTCTGTCGCCCAGGCTGGAGTGCAGTGGCGCGATCTCGGCTCACTGCAAGCTCCGCCTCCCGGGTTCACGCCATTCTCCTGCCTCAGCCTCCCGAGTAGCTGGGACTACAGGCGCCCGCTACCACGCCCGGCTAATTTTTTGTATTTTTAGTAGAGACGGGGTTTCACCGTGTTAGCCAGGATGGTCTCCATCTCCTGACCTCGTGATCCGCCCGCCTCGGCCTCCCAAAGTGCTGGGATTACAGGCGTGAGCCACCGCGCCCGGCTAAAAAGTATGTTCTCATACATTATTTCATTTGATGCTTACTGCCTCTTCGGCATATGGTACTATCCATAATTGGCAAATATGAGCCCTGTTGCTTTACTGGCTTCATTAAAGGTGGTTTCAGCCAGGTTTTCTTATCCTAGAGTCACAATACCTCTGGCTCTCCCATGTTGCCTCCTATGACCATATATTAAGTGACTATGTATAAAACATGGTAGTAGATTTTCTAAGATAAGCAAATCATAAAGCTGCCTTCTAACAGCTTATACTTTGAGGAAGAGATGAAGGGTATATGTAAATAACCCTAAATTAAGGTAGAGAGCTGCTAGCAGGCGCCCAGAGAAGGGAAATACCACTTCTAGCTGAGGGAGGATGCTTAGAGAGAAAAGAGATGGCATGCAGCTTTTATGTTTAGTTCACCTTGCTGTCCCTGCCTAGAAAGCGTGTTGTATCATGGTGAGGGGCTGAGTAGATAAATGCAGATGGCCTGATTGTGGACTGAAGGGAGACGTGGAACTTGAAACATTGGTAAGTTCCAAAGTAAAGATGCATGGGGGAGTAGAGGGAAGAGAGAAGCAAAGTTGACATGGGAAAGAAGAATTTACCCCCCTAGAATTGGGCATGGAGATGTGAAAGCAGAGGTGGTTTCTGGGAATTGGGAATAGTTTCACTTAAATGTGGGACACATGAAAGGTAATAATGGTAGATGACAGGTTGGGAAGGCAGATTGGTGCAAGGCTGTGGAACACCTTGAATTTCAAGCTTAGGCATTTGGATTTTACTCTTTGAGAATTTACTAAAGTTCTCTGAAAGAAGTTGATACTTGTCATTTTGAAGAAGAGAGAAGTGCTTTCAGTTTTTTAGCTAGGAAACTCATGTTTTAAGAGGCTAAATAAGTTTCTGAATGAATGACAACCTCTGGCATCCTGTAGCTGTTCTGGGGCTTGTCTGATGCTCTGCACTGAAAATCGCCTTGGAGATTTCACAAAACCGACCTAATACTGTGGTGCTGGGATGAAGAGCAGAAGCAGTTCGTGCTGCTAAGCTGACTGTGTAGGTTCTCCTCACAAGGAGGGAAGAAAATTTTCTCTCGTTAAGGCATTAAATAATCTGACATAACTGCTTAAGAGGGGCAAGCATATGGAGTTTTTTCTGGAAACTTAGTTCAGTCACTGAGTTTCTCATCCTTTGCCATTCGTCATTGTTTGGACTCCTTAATGTTTGTCTCACACAGAAACCAATGAAAATGCCATCGTGTCTCCCTTTCACTGGAGAATGTATTTTCCCATTAATACATTGTGCAGGTATATCTCAGGTTTTAAAAGATGTTTCAATACAATAGTAAAAGAAAGTGGTTGCTTTTCCTCCAGGCAATTTAGAATGCCTAAGAACTTATCAAAGAAACCACTTCCACATACATTTAGCTATATCAAAGAATTTTATTTTCTAATACTGAATAAATGTCATAATGTAGAGCATTTTCCTTTTATTTATTTATTTTATTAATTAATTAATTTTTTTTTTTTTTTGAGATAGAGTTTTGCTCTTGTTGCCCAGGCTGGAGTGCAGTGCCGCCATCTCAGCTCACTGCAACCTCCGCCTTCCGGGTTCAAGTGATTCTCCTGCCTCGGCCTCTCGAGTAGCTGGGATTACAGGCACCTGCCACCATGCCCGGCTAATTTTTTGTATTTTCAGTAGAGACGGGGTTTCACTATGTTGGCCAGGCTGGTCTTGAACTCCTGACCCCAAGTGATCCACCCACCTCAGCCTCCCAAAGGGATTACAGGCGTAAGCCACCACGCCCGGTCTTTTCCTTTTTATTTTATTTAAGCTGTAGACCACCTTTAAAAGGCTAGTATTAGGAACAGTTATTCATTTAACGTGCATTTATTGAGCACATACTATGTGCCAGGTATGGGGGTTCAGGCAATAGCAGTGCACTAAATAAAAGTCCTTGCCCTCCTCCGGCATTACAAAAACAGTGTGGCTACAACGTGGATGAACCTCAAAGATGCTAAGTCAAATAAACCAGTCACAAAAAACCAAATACAGTATGAGTCCATTTATATGAGATGCCTAAAGTAGTCAAGTTCAAAGAGAAAGTAGAATGGTGGTTGCCAGGGGTCACCCGGGTGGAATGGGGAGTTGTTTAATGGGTATAGAGTTTCAATTTTGCAAAATGAAAAAGTTCTGGAGATTTGATACAGAATAATGTGAACGTACTTAGCACTCCTGAACCACAGCACTTAAGAATAGTAAAGATGGTACATATTACATGTATTTTACCACAATTATAAAAACACATTTTAAAAATATAGTATATGTGTACACTACTGTCAAATAGATATTACCAAAAATATACTGTAAGAAACGTATATGAACTAATGTCAGGAAGTGATAGACACTCTGAGGGAAAACAAAGCTGAGAAGGGGGATGGAGAATGGGGAGTGTTGGTGGAAGGCGTGGTTGCTATTTTAGAGAGCTCAGGGAATGCAGGGCTGTCTGATGAGATAACATTGGAGCAGGGACCTGATGAAGTGGTGATGAGTGTTGTGAGGAAACATCGCTTACATTGTCATCAGACTCTGACCCTGCTTTTTATTTTGTCTAAACCGTGGAGCACCCCCCAAAAAGGCTGACATTTGGAGCATTCTTCCAGACTTTTCCTATCTCCCATCTTGAGTTTGGGTTCATCGACCTGCTTTGTATCAGGGAATCAAATTAATATCTGCAGATAAAGAGCCTTATACACAGAGGAAAGAGGCAACCAATTCTTGTTCTTTGGGTGAAAAAAAGGATACAGTCCTGGAATTCTTGCAGGAGTCTTGGTGATTTATAATAAAAAGTAAAGGTCTTAGATTTAAAAAAGGTTATCAAGAAAGTAGTGTCACCTTTCTTCAGCATTCTTTTTTTTAGACGGAGTCTAACTCTGTCTCCCAGGCTGGAGTGCAGTGGCGGGATCTCGGCTCACTGCAAGCTCCGCCTCCCGGGTTCACGCCATTCTCATGCCTCAGCCTCCCGAGCAGCTGGGATCACAGGCGCCCACCACCACGCCCGGCTAATTTTTTTTTTGTATTTTCAGTAGAGATGGGGTTTCACTGTGTTAGCCAGGATGGTCTCGATCTCCTGATCTCGTGATCCGCCCGCCTCGGCCTCCCAAAGTGCTTGGATTACAGGCGTGAGCCACCTTGCCGCACGGCCCTTTCTTCAGCATTCTTTTATGGAGGGCAGATCACATGAGTTTGGTATGGAGCTTGCTTTTAATTAAGGGAAATAAAATTGGTTCTTGCTTGTGAGTGGTGTAGAGGGTGCGTGGTGGTGGTGGGCAGAGGGCAGGAGGACCCTGGGTAGACGAAGGGGTGCGTGGAAAGGTGATTCCATGGGTTACTTGGAACAAGAAGGGCAATAGGTTGACCTTAAGAGCCAGAATCAGGAGGGAATAAGGTCCTTTTGGTTGAAGAGGAAGACAACTGAGGCAGAGAAGGGCAGTGGGGCGGGGGGCAGAGTGGTTGTATAAGAACATATGTCTGTAGCCAGGACAGTTTTTTAAAAATTAAGCTTAACTAAAAGAGGGGTCCGTGGTTTGCCAGATCTGTGAGAAAGGCACATGTGATAGATTGCTCCTTTTAAGCCATTCCTGGCCTGTATCTTGGGAGTGGATGGGGCTCCTTGAAAGGGTTGTGCTAGGCCAGCCTGGAATAAATAACCTTTCAAAATTCCTTGGGGTCTGTAACACAATGTCACAAAGTGTGTATTCTTTCCTAGGCTGTCGGCTTGAGCATACGGAGTGATCTTTGGAAAAGTCTAAACTGCTTAGCATAGCATGCAGGGCCCTGCTGCCTGGCTCCACGGCATTCACTTTGGCCCTGCCCCTTCTTCCACCCCAATCCTCTACTTCTGCCAAACTGAGCCTCCAGGGATACCAAAGGTCCCCAAGTGCTCCGGGGTGTCTTGTGCTCCTGTGTCTCTGTGCACACTGCTCTCTCTGCCTGGAGGGTACATTTCCCTACCCATTCTGCTTGGGCAATCACCCACTTCTTTTTCAAGACTCAGCCAAGTGACGATCATGCTACAGAGCCTCATTTCCCTTATTTGTTGACTTGCCTGTTTCTTCCACTACACTCTAAACTGATTGGGAACAAAGACTTGTCCACTCCATCTTGGCACCTCCAGTGCCAGCACAGTGCCTCGCTTTGGAGATGCTGAATGCATTTTTGTTGACAATAAATTGTTTATGCGGCTGCCTGGGCTGTGAGGTGTACACAGAATTTACCTGATACAGCTTCATCATTAGTTCTCAGGCAAGTAAAATCACAGAAGTAAAATAATTAACTGAGAAGACTATGTTAGAGTTTAGGGGCATAGGAAATAGGATATTCCACTGACCACAAGATGCATGAAAAAGGACACCCTGGTAGCAATTTACATGGAGCTTTAAGTTTTTAACACTGACTTCACTGTACTTTCTACTCATGGGCAAAGTGCAATTAGATTTCCATACCTTTAGTACAGCTGTTCCTGCTGCACAGAATTCCTGCTCCCGCTCTTGCATCCATGTAAATACTGACAGTCTTTTACGGAAGAACCTTAAGTTCCATTTCAAACAGTTCTGCCTGTGCTGTTTTTTGTTGTTTTTTTTTTTTTTCTTTCCTATTATACCTCTAGTCATTACTATGTCATTTGACACTTGGTTGTCTAGCTTCAGGTATATTGACTGGCTCCAGGACCCGGGGTTGGTAATCTCACCTCTCTCATTCTTGACTTCCCTGCATGTAAAACAAATCATATGATATCCTAACCTTCCTTGGAGGGCTATTCTGAGGCTCACAAGAAGTGGCAGACTGAAGGTGCATATGGACTCCTTGGATTGACTGGAAGACCTTTGTCTCTTTCTGAAGATGACAAGTCCTTTTCTTAATTCTCAAACTCCATCTCGTGTGCTGTGGGGTAGAGGCGTTGAGAGAGAGTGTGCTTATGTCTCCTGGAGCTTGGTGCTCCCTGTGCACCCCAGAGACAGTGGTTGCTTTATTTACTGATCCTAACAGCACAATAGCATCAAGAAGGATATAGAAGGACAATTTCTTTACCCCTTCACTTTGGTGCTCCGGTAGGAGCGCACAGAAGGTTCTGTACTTGTTTACACTTAAGCTTGCTGTGGGTAGGTTAGACCTTGCACAAAAATAATATCAGGCTTCAATATCATATGGCCAAGACAATATTGTAGCACCATGTCCTCTCTGCCTTGGATCGTGCTTCTTCTTGAGTTCACTTGCTTACACAGGAAGCTGTTGCATGTTGCCAAGCCTTCTGGCAAGGGTAAAAGCATTTAAACAGTGTAATACATTTTGGAACCAAAAGCTGTGGTCAGGAGGAAAAGTAATCATCTTGAGTAGATGGGGGCATCTCCAGTGATGTATGATTATAACATTTGATCCTACTTTGTGCTATTCAGTTTGCTGTTGGTTGTGTAACTTACCTCTGGGCTCCTAGGTTAGAGTAAATTTAAGGAAGCTGGACTTAAAATAGATATTTGTAATCACATTTATGCGATGCAGTATATATACCTGCACCATTTATTGGCATATGAGTTGATCTCAATTTTGCATCTGTAGTATAAAAGTCAAGTATTTGTACCAACTTTTAACTATCAAGAGGTGTGTATATGGGTGTATGTAAATATGTATTTCCAGGTGGAGAAAGAATAATTAATTTGTCTATTGTTGGAAAGCTTCCTGGAACTAACATCACAAATGATGTGAAAATGTTTTTGAGGTCAGCCACATAGTCATCTTCATGCTAAGCAGTCCAGGAAAATAAAATAACTACCAAATGGAGAAGGATAAAGTTAGTGAGCATTTTAAGATTCATTCTCCAAATTTATATCATAAAGAAAGAAAATAAGAAGAGTCAGATGCCCTTCCATTGCCAATTTAATGTGATACTGTCATTGATATACTTATTAAAACTTGATTTTCTATTTAGTTGAAGGGTATGGGCCTAAGGAATGGTTTACTGTTCAACCTCATTATCTTGAATTTAGACTCATGCAATACTTACTGAAAGACTGGCATGACTGAGTGTTGGCTTTTCCTAAGATTTGGTTGGGGAGAAAAAAAAAAACTTTATGCAATACTGAGAGATTTCGTTACTCTGAGACCAAACTTCATTCAGATGCCCATCAGCTTCAATAAGAATTGGTCTGGATTATGGGGACTTTATAAGTTTTCCTAGTGTAGAGATTCAGCCCAATTTTCATCAGATTCTCCCTAGAAGAGGTAAAAGGAAAACTTGTTGTTAGAGTTTACTACAGTGAGGAAAGCAGACCACTGCCCTTCTCCTGGCAAGTTAGGAAGTATCCTAGAGCATTCTTAGCTAAAGTCTTATTTAGCAAGATTAGAATATGTCACTTTTCGCCACTGCATTGTCCTTTTCTGAAGAAAGGATGATTTATGAGTCCTCTGGATCTTCTTGTATTAATAACATCTTGAGCCAGCTGTTTTATTGGGTGTACACAGAGGGTAATTAGAAACATCTGAGAATCCCATAGCGTGCCCAGAAAACCATGACGCTGTGTGGAAATGAAAAAAAATAACATTAATGCCAAAATTGTGTACTTGGTAAATAGATGAATAAGTATTCAACAAAATTTCCTTTGTATTATACCATTTTCCAAAAAGAAGCTAAAGTCTAAAGGCTGAAAATATCCTTTTATTGAAATACACTCACTGCAGAAATCATAACCTTATTTGGTAAAAGCCTACTGACTCTGCTGTTCATACAGTAATTATCATTTCCCTTCTGTCAAAGTCTATCATATTTTGGACCATTTTGTGCCAGAAGAAGTATTTCTTCTTTTTACCTGGCAGTTACTTGAAAATTTTAGACTTCTGAAGGATCTCATTTAAGGAAATTAACTCTTAAAAGCACTAAAAGGACTAATAGTGTCCAATTTACGTAATAGTCTATCCTAAAAATCGGGTTGGGATGTAGGAGTTTGGGCTCTATTTCAGCTGGTTATTTGAAATTTGATCTGCTGCAGTGGTGGCTGAGTTTGAAGTATTTGTGGATGCAGCAGCAACAGCCACTAAGTTCTTGGGGCTTGATTTAAATCAGGCACTGCTCTTCTTACTCTCAAGACAAAATCTAGACAAGAAAACCTAACAATTTGGTGGTGGCTTGTGAATGGTTCCTTTCATTTTCATTCACAAATAACAAGCCCCTATGAGAAGTCAATGTTGAGTCACACAGACATAGCCCAGGCAGACATGGGCAGAGCGGAGGGTGGAAGCCTCCAGTGTCTTTCCAGCCTGTCTTGCTTTGCATGTCCCTATTCAGTATGCCATTTTTATTCTCTTTAATTGTTTTGAATGGATTCCTCATTGATCACATGTATTAGTCCATTCTTGCATTGCTGTTAAAAACTACCTGAGACTGGGTAGGTTTCAAAGAAGAGGTTTAAGGAACTCACAGTTCCGCAAGCTGTACAGGAAGCATGGTTGGGGAGGCCTCAGGAAGCTTACAATCATGGTGGAAGGCAAAGGGGAAGCAGGCACATCTTACATGGTTGGAGAAGGAGGAGAGAGTGAAATGGGAGATGCTACACACTTTTAAACAACCAGATCTTGTGAGAACTCATTGTCACAAGAACAGCAAGGGAAAGTTCGCCCCCATGATCCAATCACCTCCCACCAGGCCCCTCCTGGGCCCGGGGATTACACTGGGGATTACAATTTTATATGAGATTTGGGTGGGAACACAAATCCAAACTATATCATTACAGAGATGAAGTTGTAGCTAATTGTGTGTTTTGCTAGAGGTTATCAGTGACTTAATGAAGCCCCTGGAAGGAGAAGTGGATTCACCTGTGTAAAAATGTTTACAGGGTAGGATATAATTAGTAACTCAGAAATGTGACTTCAAATGCCTGCCTTCTTCAATCCCTAAATCAGAGATTCTCAGTACTGGTAATATTATACAACAGAATCTAGGAATGCTCAAAAGGTACAGATGCCCAGCCTGCACCCCAGGGTCTCTAAATCAGAATTTCTCAGTGTGCTTTGGATATGTGTATTTTGAAAACAAATAATGTAGGCAATTGTTATACTTAGCTTTGGTGGAGAACCAATAGTCTAAACCAGTGCTTATTACCCTTTAATGTCCGTAGGAGTCATTATGGATCTTATTAAATGCAGATTCTGATTCAGAATCAGAATTCTGGGTAGAGCCTGAGATTCTGCATTTCTACCACATGCTCTGAGGATGCTGTGCTGCCCACCTGTGGATCACTCTGTGAGTTGTAAAGGTCTAAACTATTATTAATCCACTCTGATAAAGCTATGTCATCAATTAATGATGTTTATTATTGAGCTCTTAAATGAGCCTGATACTATATTAGGAAATGATTTATAAATGCCAAAAGAGACTCAACCATATCATCAAATATGTTAACCTTTTTCAAATCTCCTACCTCAGGTCCTGCTCCTGTGAGGGCTGAGGTTTCCTCATTCTGCGAGGCAGCGTCTCAGGCAGAGTCCTACCAGGATGGCTTAAGCCTGTGGAAAACTCATGCATGATTGCCATATGAAATGCCGGGAGGGCAGGCTGCCTTCTTAATTCATCCTACCATTTCAGCTCACTCCAGTCTGCCTTGTCTTCAGAATTTTTCAGGGGATGGTGAGAAAGTGTTTTTGTTCACATGTCCCCTAAATTCCAAGGGATATGTGTCAAGCCCTCCAAAGAATTTTCACCTTTTTTGCTCCAGTGGAACAGACTTGGTTTCTGCAAGCACAGCCAGCGTCCCAGGAAGTGAAATAACAGATACTGCCTTTTGTCTTCAGCTTTGGGATGTAGCCCAAATCCCATAACAGGAGTTCAATTCCATAGTCTGCACAATATCTCAGCAAAACATTACCAGCTGCCAATAGTGTGGTGGTCTTATCTGCAAGGATGATACTCTTGGTTTACTAGTAATAGGACAGATATTTCGTTGTCTTTCCAGGAAGGTGGAAGGGGAGATATATTTGCGTAGGTCCATCCTTATTCTTGTTAAGCCCTACTTGGGATTGATGTTAAGCATTTTGACGATATTTGAGGATACCATCTTTAATTTGAGACAAGAGAAGCTACACTTGAATTAATTGAATGATATCAATTAGTTTAAACCTGTCATGTAGCCATCATTCTTTCTGATAACATATGTTCTCTATGCTGATAACATACGTTCTCTATGCTGAACTTGCCTACCTGAATTGTCCAGATTTGACTTATGAACATGATACTTGAGAGTACTTTGAGCACAGAGTTGAATTAATAGAAAATAACATAGAGTGAAGATGAATTCATTCACTGGTATCACAAAATTGCAACTTTCCCTTCTGTGTGTCATCAAAACCTCATTACATTTCCTTCACCTCACTCTGGCCTCTCCTCTTTCCCACATGGTCTACTAATACCTAGCTTCTTTCTCTTATTCCCCATCTCCAATTCTCTTATTTCACTTGCACCCATCAGGCATATCCTTAGCTGGGTGCTCACTTAGCTCACTCTGTTACTCTGAAATATTTGGTTCACACTCATAATGCAGAAGTGAGGTGGAAAAACTGTTTGTCTGTCAAATAGTTCTCAACTGGGGCAGTTTTGCACCCCCACCTAAGAGACACATTTGGCAATGCCGGCAAACATTTTTGGTTATTCAAATTTGGGGGTGCTCTTGGCGTATAGTGGGTGGAGGCCGGGGATGCTGTGTGTGTCCTACAACGTACAAGAGAGCTCCCATGGGCTGGGCGCGGTGGCTCATGCCTGTAATCCCAGCACTTTGGGAGGCCGAGGTAGGCGGATCACGAGGTCAGGAGATCGAGACCATTCTGGCTAACACAGTGAAACCCCGTCTCTACTAAAATATAGAAAAAATTAGCTGGGCGTGGTGGCAGGCGCCTGCAGTCCCAGCTACTCTGGAGGCTGAGGCAGGAGAATGGCGTGAACCCGGGAGGCGGAGCTTGCAGTGAGCCGAGATCGTGCCACTGCACTCCAGCCTGGGTGACAGAGCGAGACTCCGTCTCACTCACAAAAAAACAAAAAAAAAAAAAAAAAAAAAAAAAAAGAGAGGGAGCTCCCATGGCAGGTAATAATTTGGGCCCAAAATGTCATTAGCAACAAAGTTGAGAAGGCCTGCTCCTTAGAGCAGCCTTCTTTCCATTGCCATTCTTTCCTATCAGACAACATCTTAGACCCTGTTTCCTATTTTGTCCAGGTCCTTGGAAAACCCTCCCTCTTAATCTCAAGATTGTTCTGTAGATGAAATCTCTAGCCTTCTGTCACAAATGTCTTCCTTTGATGATGGTGCCAGAGCAAACCCACAGCTTGCCTTTCAGCTGTCCTTGCACATGTGTTGACCTAGTCAACTGGACCCAGGCTCCTAGAGGCTTGATTTACATTTGATAATTTGTATGAGATGATCACATTGGATTTTAGAGGGTGCAAGGATTGAGATGGTTTGGGATGTGATGGGCCTTCATTCTGAAGATTCTCTGGAAACTGAAACAAGAAATGACAAATGGGAAACCGTTTAGCACAGGAGGCATTTTTTTTGCACGTCTCAGAAGTGATCGTATAACAGAAACTGCTTTTCAGCACTGACCATTGCTACTGTGGATGCTCATTTGCAATGTGTCTGAGCTATGGCTGTTGGAAAAGGAGGGAATTCTGAGTGTGTTTATTTGAACGATAGCATCATCACACTTTCAAATAAACATAACACCTTGGGAGGGTATGGGTTTGTTATTTCTAACCCAAACATCTTTACACATGCCCTTTGAAGGATCATTTTGCCAAGTTTGAAAGAAAAAACTATTCAAGCATTAAAAGTCTGACATATTATTTAACTCATTGAAAAAAGAAAAACCTCTTTGGGGCCAAAACACTCTAGGTCAGCTGGACAACAATGTGTATCACGTTTTTAAAGCATTCACTTTTGGACCAAGAAATGGCCCTAGGGAGCAAGTAAAAGACATTGCCCTCACCTGCATATAAAGTCATATAGCAGTCTTCCGTTATGTTTTGGTCATCTTGCCTGGGAGACTTGGAATTTTCACAGTTATTTCTTTTGTGCTTTTTTACTTGAATGAAATGCCTGTTCTTAATTCCCTCGGTGTGTAGGGGGGTTATATTTTATTGCTTATCTTCATGAGACCCCCCAAACCCATAATTTACATGACTGATTTTTTCCCCAATTGTATCATTTTTTAGTTGTAAAATATACATAACACAAAATTTATTATTTAAGCTGTTTTTAAATGTATGTTTTAATGGCATTGAGTATATTCATAATTTTGTTCAGCCATCATCACTATCCATATAATAACTTTTCATCATCTCTAACAGAAACTATACCCATTAAGTAAAAATTCCCCATTCCTTTCTCCCCTAGCCTCTGGTCACCCCTGTTCTACTTTCTGTCTCTATGAATTTGAGTATTTTAGAGACTTACTATTTGTCCTTTTGTGACTAGCTTATTTCACTTACTTTGCTTTCTTTTCTTTTTTCTTTTTTCTTTTTCTTTTTTTTTTTTTTTTTTTTTTTTTTGAGACAGAGTCTCGCTCTGTTGCCCAGGCTGGAGTGCAGTGGCAACCTCCACCTGGGAGGCGGAGGTTGGCTCACTGCAACCTCCACCTCCCAGGTTCAAACGATTCTCTTGCCTCAGCCTCCCAAGTAGCTGGGATTACAGGCGTGCGCCACCATGCCTGGCTAATTTTTAAAAATGTTTTTAGTAGAGGCACGGTTTCACCATGTTGGCCAGGCTGGGCTCAAATTCCTGTCCTCAAGTGATCCATCTGCCTCAGCCTCCCAAAGTGCTGGGATTACAGGCGTGAACCACCACACCTGGTCTCACTTACTGTGTTTTCAAGGTTCATTCATACTGTAGCATGTTTTCTTTTTAAGGCTGAATGCAGTTCCGTTATTTGCATACACTACCTTTTGTTTATGCATTCATCTGTCGATGTATATATTTAGGTTGTTTCTACCTTTTTGCTATTGAAAATAATGTTGCTATGAGCCCTGATGTATAAGTATCTGTTTGAGTTCCTGCTTTGAATTTTTTGGTGCATATACCTAGAAGTGGAATTTCTGGGTCAGGTGATAATTCTCTGTTTAACATTTTGAGGAGCTGCCAAACTGTTTTCCACAGAGGCTGTGCCATTTTATATTCCCACCAGCAGTGTGTGAGGGTTCCATTTTCTCTACATCCTTGACAACACTTATTTTCCCATTCTTTTATTGTGCTTCAGCTTACCCTTTTTTTTTGTATTTTATTTTATTTTTCTTCCCATAGGTTATTGGGGTACAGGTGGTATTTGGTTGCACGAGTAAGTTCTTTATGGTGATTTGTGAGATTTTGGTGCACCCATCACCCGAGCAGCATATTCTGTACCCTATTTGTAGTCTTTCATCCCTTGCCCCACTCCCACCCTTCCCTCTAAGTCTCTAAAGTCCATTGTATTATTCTTATGCCTTTGTGTCCTCATAGCTTAGCTCCCACATATCAGTGAAAACATACGATGTTTGGTTTTCCATTCCTGCGTCACTTCACATAGAATAATAGTCTCCAGTCTCATCTATGTGGCAAATGCCATTAATTCCATCCTTTTTATGGCTGAGTAGTATTCCATTTTGTGTGTGTGTGTGTGTGTGTGTGTGTGTGTGTGTGTGTGTGTGTGTGTGTGTGTATCACAGTTTCTTTATCCACTCGTTGATTGATGGACATTTGGATTGGTTCCACAATTTTGCAGTTGTGACTTGTGCTGCTATAAACATGCGTGTGCAAGTTGGAAAAACCCTTCTAGACATGGGCTTAGGCAAGAATTTTGTGACTAAGAACCCGAAAGCAAATGCAATAAAAACAAAGATAAATAGCTGCAACTTAATTAAACTAAAGAACTTTTGCATGGCAAAAGGAACAGTCAGCAGAGTAAATAGACAACTCACAGAGTGGGAGAAAATCTTCACACTCTATACATCTGACAAAGGACTAATATCCAGAATCTACAAGGAACTCAAAAAAGCAGTAAGAAAAAAACAAACAATCCCATCAAAAAGTTGGCTAAGGACGTGAATGGACAATTCTCAAAAGATGATATACAGATGGCCAACAAACATGAAAAAGTACTCAGCATCACTAATGATCAGGGAAATGCAAATCAAAACTACAGTGCGATACCACCTCACGCCTGCAAGAATGACCATAATTAAAAAATCAAAAAACAGTAGATGTTGGCGTGGATGTGGTGAACAGGGAACACTTGTACACTGCTGGTGGGAATGCAAACTAGTATAGCCACTATAGAAAACAGTGTGGAGATTCCTTAAAGAACTAAAAGTAGAACTACCATTTGATCCAGCAATCCCACTACTGGGTATCAACCCAGAGGAAAAGAAGTCATTATACGAAAAAAGATATTTTCTCGTTTTTTAATAAAGTAAGAGCCATACTAGTGGGTGTGAAGTGGTGTCTCATAGTTTTGATTTGCATTCCCCTAATGATTGATGATGCTGGCCTCTTCGTGAGCTTATTAGCCATTTGTATATCTTCTTTGGAGAAATGTCTGTTCAAGTCCTTTGTCCAATTTTGAATTGGTTTGTCATAGTTGATTTTTCAAGAAAAACCTGGGATTTCCATTTAACAAGCTAAATACTTAACTACAGCATTATCTCTAGCTGATAATTGATTGTGAATCTTTAGGGAGACCTGAGTTTTAATAGTGGTGCTGCTACTTGGACAAGACTCAAATTTTTAAGTCTTAATTTCTTCCTCTCTAAAAGGAGGAGTTCAGGAAGTAGATGTTCAAGATCCTTTGCAGCCCTAAAATTCTATCATTTTGTTGAATATGAAACATATCTACGCAGAGAATGCTAGAGTGTAAATGAGATGAGGCTCTCTTTGTGATGTTTTACTCTGAAAATATTTACTGTGCTTTCCAAGGATGTACAGTATGTTCCCCTTTGTACTTTTTTGGGCTCTGTTTTCCACTTTGAATCAAAGGATGATTTTGTACAACTCCAGTGATACATTGTGTGGTGATGTGTCATCAGCTTGACAAGTTTCATCAGAAAAGTTAAGGCCTGAAAGATTTCGAAAACTTGTAAGTGACTCTGTATTTTCCTTGCTTGGTTTATAAAATCAAAGTTCTTAGAAGAGTTTGGCTAGAAACAGAATGACTCCTTGGTGGCCTGAAGGAAGCACAGCTTGTTTGGAGCAGGATGAAAGGATGGAGTCAGGTTGGGCCAATAAGGCTGCAGAGGACAAGTTTTTAGTTTAGTTTTTTTAAAAGAAAACTGAAATGAGAGCCTGCAAGCCTTAGAATGCGCTGGGGTCCTGCTACAAATGATAACAAATGGATCATTCACATTAAAAATCTGAGCCGCGAAGGATCTAAATTGCCTCACTGTGGGGAAAAAGTCAAAAGCCAACTTTAAACTTAAGGAAAATCATTTTTATAATAAACGAAAAGGTAGTTTCCTAATACATATTTGAATTCATTTATCTCTTGCCAATTCCTGGTAAATTCTAAGTGAATTCTGAATTTATCTAGATTAACAGCATCTTGAATTTTTTCTTCACATGGAATTAAAGAAAAGGCCAGACATGTGAGCATTCTTTAGCAGTCAAAATACAGCCTTGAGTGGCACTTGTGCCAGAGATCCACCCGGCTCCGTGTCCCCAGAGCGGCATCATTGGCACCATTTTCCTTTAGGAAACTGGGGGGTGGAGGAAAAGTTGGGGTTTTATTCCCCCAGCCCCCTCCTGCAGGGTCCCTGAAGGTGGTTTATGTTCCTCTACCTCAGGCCACAGCGCTGTCAGGAGGCACTTCTCTGTGCCAGTTCTTTGCTTTTGCAACCCCAGGGTTCTTGCTGTGGGTTTCCCAGAACTCTGCCTGTACCTTTGTCAAGAATCTCTTTATTAAACTGTATTAAATTTTGCACCACTTGAATGTGCCTTTCTTTCCTGACTGGCCCTTGACTCATACCAAAATTACATTAGCTAGGCCTGTAGGTAGATTTTTTTTAAGTTGATCTGTATGGCATCTTTAAAAAAATGGAATTAGGTTTTTCGAATATGTAACACATAATGCAAAATTTAGAAGGGACAAGAGGACCTGCTGTAGAGTGAAGAGTCAGTTTTCTTCCCATTTTTGTATTCCAAACACTCATTTCTCCTTCCCAGTGAGTAATACTCTTTCCCATTTCTGTCTTCTCCCAGAATCTGAATGTACTGGCATATGTGTATATATATCCTTGAAACTGCTAGAATATTTTATTTATTGTATTGTACCATGCGTTGTTCAGTTAGCAGTCCTTATCAGCACAAATAAATCTGCCTTGTTCTTTATAAAGGCTGCATATTCCATCCTGGCATATAATATAACTTATTGAACTGGACTGAATTGTTGGGCAGTTGACCTTTCTACTTTTGCTGTTATCATCCAAGCGACAGTGAATAATGAAAGTCTTAGTATACATTTGTGAATATCTAGGATAAATTCTTAGAAACAAAATTGCTGCATCAAAGGTTATGTGTTTATTTAATTTGAATAAATATTTGCCAAATTATCTACCATAAAAGTTGAACTAGGCCGGGCGCGGTGGTTCACACTTATAATCCTAGCACTTTGGGAGAGCGAGGTGGGAGGATAGCTTGACGTCAAGAGTTCGAAACTAGCCTGACCAACACAGTGAAACCCCATCTCTACTAAAAATACAAAAATTACCTGTGCTTGGTGGTGGGTGCCTGTAAGTCCAGCGACTTGGGAGGCTGAGTCAGGAGAATCACTTGAACCTGGGAGGTGGAGGACGCAGTGAGCCGAGATCATGCCATTGCATTCCAGCCTGGGCTACAGAGTGAGACTCCATCTCAAAACAAAACAAAACAAAAAGTTGAACTAATTAGTTTTCCCAGCAATATATGAACTTGTCTGTATCACCATACCCTTTCTAATACAGATTATTATCATTATTATTATTATTTTGAGACAGAATCTCACTCAAGATTGGAACTACAGGCGCGCGCCACCATGCCTGGCTAATTTTTGTATTTTTAGAAGAGATACGGTTTCACCATATTGGCCAGGCTACTCTCGAACTCCCGACCGACCTCATGATCTGCCTGCCTTGGCCTCCCAAAGTGCTAGGATTACAGGCGTGAGCCACCACGCCCAGTCTCTAATACAGATTATTAAACACTTTGAACTCTGCTTCTCTGATAGATTGGAGTTTAAGTTGCATTTTGCTTGTGCATGAGATTAAGTTTCTTTTCATGTGCCTAAAACAGAGTTTCTCCACCTCAGTGTTATTCACATTTGGGTGGATAATTCTTTGTTTTGAGGGTTTGTCCTGTGCATTGTAGGATGTTTGTAGCATCTTTGGTCTTTACCTATTAGATTCAAGTAGCAACCCCCCATCTCACCACCACCAAGAAGTCTCTGGGGACAAAACCACCCCTGATTGAGAAGCATTGGTCTAAAAACTTTTCTCCTTTGCCTGTTTTCCTTTCCCACTGCACTTCTGGTGTTTCAACTTTGCTTATGGTGTTTTTGCTATTTACTTGTTTATTTCTTTTTAGGCCATACAAAAATTTTATATTATTTTATGTAGTCATATTTGTAAATATGCTGCTTCTCAGTTCATACAATTGATAGAGAAATTGATTTTTGATAACGTTTTGTTAATCAAATAAAGGTACCAAATTCTTCTTCCTTTAATCAGCTGTGATACTTCCCTTCAGTGCTAGACAGCAAACCAAGGGAAACCAGAGTAAGCCCTGAATTTTATTGATGACTGCTAGCACATAGATGTATTGGAGAGGATCAGAAATCTTAAATTAATAACAACTACCACTATCGAGTCTCTTCCGTATGCCCAGCACTGTTTAGGTACCTTGCACATATTATATCTTAGCCTTGAGACAGAGCCCTGCGTGATCAGGATGTATAATCATTTTAAAGGTGAGGAAACTAAGGCCCGAAGAGGTTAAGTCACTTGGCCAAGACCACAGAGCAAGCAGGTAGCACAGCTAGGTTTTGAACCCAGATCCTTCAGAATCCCAGGGTTGTGCTTTCACCTCATGTGTGATGTTGTCTCATAGCTAACTCTGTGCTGGGGTTGACATTAAGCTTCAAGGGAATTCTCAGGGAAAAGACCATATTCGTCGTGCTTGTGAGATCCATCTTACTTCTCTTTGGCTTGGACAGATCCGCAGAGTACTTTCTTCCATCGCATCTGACTCAAGTTGTTCACTGAATCTTGGGTCTTGGTCTGAGTTTTGTATTGTACTTGTGCAACTATTTCCTCCTCACCTGTAGAATGGGAAGGATAATACCTGCCTCATAAGATGTTGTGAGGGTTAAATGACAGCATGGTTTGCAAAAAGGCTTTGTGATCTGCAGAATAATGTCCATATATAAGTATTATTATTGTTACTGTTAATTGCTTGCTTACCATACTTCATATATTTGATTACATCAAAATGCAACTATATAACTATACAACTATATATATAACAATTGAACATATTTTAACATATTATAAAATAGAAGACATTGGTATTAACACATGTAACCAGTGTATACTTAATTTCTTGAGTATATTAAACATCAAATATTATAAATTGATAGCATTGCCTAGTACTTCAATATTTTTATGTCATTTAGCTATAATTTCAAGTCTGAGTCAAACCGATTATCTTACTGTATATATATTTAATGAATTTTAAGAGAATTCAAAGAACTTTGATTCCATTTGATTTATTATTTCGGGTTTTCATGAAGAAATTTACAAACTTGACAGGTCTGCAAATGACAGATTTTACACACTTGGCCATTACATTGGTGACTGAAGAGCAGAGGTTTTGTTTGGACTCCAGGCATGCAGGGGAGGCAGACATAATTTTCCCCCTTTCTAGAGTTCTTGGCCTTGGAAATTTAATATCTACTTTAATCTTAAATGTAGAGATGCTGAAAATCGTGTAAGTCAAACATCAAAGGTGTTTAGAACCTAGAGACTTGTTATTGTCTGTGATTATTTTAGATGTTTAGAATTGAAATGTGGCTAATGCACGGATGAGGATTAAGAGCTTTGAAGGCTGTAAGCAGTTAAGGAAGGAAAACCTCATTTCAGTGGCTCATTTACTGTCATTGGCATGTTTCTGAACAGTTGAAAGCTGATTTACCAAAGGATCCTGCGTGCAGGAGGAGTAAGCATTTTGTAGAAATCAGTAGGGAACTGTTTTGAGAAGTGAATGGGAAGCCCTTAGAGCTGAAAGTAGCTTGGAGAGCATCTCATTCATTCTTTTCATTTTATAGATCAGAAAATTGAGACCCAGACAGGGAGGTTATGACTTCAAGGTCATAGTTGGTGGCAACGCTCAGATGCAGACCCAGGCTTCTGACTCCCATTGCATTTCCAAGTGAGATGGTTTTTGCAAGATTTTTATATCCAGAACATTTTAAAATTGGCCATCTATAGGATGATGGTGCTGTACTGGAGATTTCTAATGCAGTTTGCATGTGTACGAGGAGCATCAGAGAGAGATCTTGCCCCAGCTGAAAAGCCAGTATCTTTTTCCCACTGACCTGTGCCCACCCAAATAAGGTGAGGATGAGAATCACTGGGTTACTGGGAAAAGCTGGAATGACCATAGTCAAGAGAAAATATAGGCCACATGCGGTGGTTCATGCCTGTAATCCCAGCACTTTGGGAAGCCAAGGCATGTGGATCATCTGAGGTCAGGAGTTTGAGACCAGCATGGCCAACATGGGGAAACCCTACTAAAAATACAAAAATTAGCCAGCCGTGGTGGCATGTGCCTATAATCCCAGCTACTTGGGAGGCTGAGGCAGGAGAGTTGCTTGAACCTGAGAGGCGGTGATTGCAGCAAGCCAAGATTGTGCCATTGCACTCCAGCCTGGGCAACAAGAGTGAAACTCTTGTCTCAAAAAAAAAACAAAAAAAAAAAAAAAAAGAGAGAGAGAGAGAATATATATGCATAAAACAGAGTATTCCTCAGTCATTTTGTAAACCTTTGTTCAACAAAAGAATGAATACATTGTGTTGTGTAAACTTCAGATAGAGATTGAGAGACTATCAAACCCAAATATCCAGGGATTAAGTAGTTACATAGAAGTAAGTAGTTACATAGAAGAAATATTCTATGTAACTGGGGCACTGACAGGCCCTCCCATCCCAGACACAGAAGGCTACTTACTGCCCACCGGAGCTTCTGCAGGGCCTGATAATGATGGACATCACAGTTCTGTGCCACTTTTTGGAATTAATCTAGAGAAAGAATTGAGACAGGGCATCCCAGATGAAGCCAAATAGGGGTGACTTATAGTTCCCTGGTTAATTCCTGGAGGGGGTCCTGAATAACAGGCTCTTGGATCATGCAAAGGAAGTAGAGTAATAAAGGACCTATGAGATTCATTGACATTGTGGTTGTCGAAGGAGGCACCTTCTAGCCAGAAAATGGAAGATTTCTTTCCAGTGATTCATATGTATTACCCAGAACACTTTGACTTCCTGGAATTTAAAATATAAACTCAAGTCTCTTGGCAATAACTTTTAAACACTGCAGATCACTGGCTTCTCCACTCCTCTCCCTTTTCCCCTAACCCCGATCCTTTAAATAGATAGCAGTATACGTACATGTTAGGTAGCTGTGATGACAAAAAAGTTCAAAATGATGCACAGAGTGTACCTTCTTTCTTTTCTGTGATACTGTTGACACATTCTCAGTCCAGCACAGTATAACCATGCAATAGGAAACACAGTTCTTTGGAGAGCTCAGTTAAGTGAGATGAAAATACCTATCGTGATTCTGTGTCTCATGGCCAGGCAGGATGCAATGACATGGGAATGCAGGGGGCCTAGGGTCTGCCTAATCTCAGCCCTGTATGTGCTTCTGTGAGTGAGGGAACAAAGTACCTGCCTAGCAAGCTGTGGCCTGGGTGGTGACAGCTACATTTTGCTTGCTTCCCTCTCCTAAGTGAGCAGTATACTTGCTGCTGTGGCTCCGCAACTCAAGGGCGTCCTATCACAAATAATGAAAAATATGGGTCCTTTCAGCATACAGATGACTTAGTGGTAATAGTCCCTTCGAACCTTGAGTGCTTGCTTATAAAGTCAAGGCCCAGCCAATCCAGCAGCCACTTCACTGAGCTCTGGAGTTTGAGTTATCAAAAAGCTGTCACCTCTTACACTTCCTGTCTAGCACCTTTTAAAGGTAACATCACTGCCTCCACTTCCAAAAAAGAATTTCTGTTCTCCATCTCTTCTATTTCTTATTCTTTGTGTCCAATTCATTCAACTCTTAAAATAATACTTTCAAATAATATCCAGAAAGTCTGGTGATTGTGCTTCTAACCCCCACCCTCCCCAAACCTAGTGAAGCTGCTTATTTCTCTGCCTCTTGGATCTATGGGTGGTCCCATTTAGGCTTCTTTAGTTTCCTATGTCATCATCTTCAGGATTATTAGAGAAGAATTCCCAGATTAAAAGTATGGAGAAAGATTTGATTCGGAGCTGGAAGGAAAGGAAAAGTAATGTTCACTGAGTACCTTCTGTGTACTCAACTTAGTTTTAGCCATTGTCACATGCTATTTTTCTGCATCCCAAGACCAATGGGTATATTATTTCCATGTACCGATTAGAAAACTGAGGCCTAGCAAATTCATTTTATTTTATTTTATTTATTTTTGAGATGGAGTCTCGCTCTGTTGCCCAGGCTGGAGTGCAGTGGCGCAATCTCTGCTCACTGCCACCTCTGCCTCCCGGGCTCAAGCAATTTTTCTACCTCAGCCGCTCGAGCTGGGATCATAGGCACCCGCCACCACACCTGGCTAATTTCTGTATTTTTGGTAGAGATGGGGTTTCACCGAGTTGGCCAGGCTGGTCTTGAACTCCTGACCTCAAGTGGTCCGCCCACGTCGGCCTCCCAAAGTGCTAGGATAACAGGTATGAGCCACCGCGCCTGGCCTCAAATTTAAATAGAATATTCAATCCAGAGAAAGAATTCAACTTTAAAAATAACGATTATGGACAATTTCCATTTCTGTAGCCACGAAGAGAAAATTTATTAGGGGCTTGAGGAGACTTGCCCCTTTTAATTGTTGGTGGATGAATCGCAAAACTTGAATTTAA
This sequence comes from Homo sapiens, assembly GCF_000001405.40. Lineage (NCBI taxonomy): Eukaryota > Metazoa > Chordata > Mammalia > Primates > Hominidae > Homo > Homo sapiens. Next base: position 33,160,343 of record NC_000002.12, read on the forward strand.
TGGAATCCAAGTGCCTTGGACTGCTTTTGAGCAGGTCATTCATGTGGTTAGAGCAACGCTGCTTCCAAGGGAATGTTTTGATTGATTGTGTCAGCGTCCTTGGGTGGCCCTTCCAGGAGCTTGAATGCCTGTGTAAGTTTGGTTTCCTCTGGCTAGCTTCTAAGCTCCTGCAGATGAGGTACCACATCTTCTTTCTATTTTGTTCTTCTAATAATGACTAGTGTAATAAATTAATCAGTATGGAAATTCAGCACAGGTAGGTTGACCTACTATAGAAAGAGGCTTTTTCAGCTCTGTTGAGAGTCACTAGATATTATAGACAAGTACTATCAACTAGGTATTTGGGCCTCGTGATTAGTTGCAGTTATTTCTGCCTCATTATTACTGGTCATTGTGGTTCTTAACTCAGGGATAGAAGGTAGATTTTATTTTATGTACCCACTCTATCTGTTGCTGACCAGCACAGTATGCTGAGAATTCGGAGATGACATCTAGGCCCAGCAAGAACTATGATAGGTTAATAATTTTTGTTAGAGGAGAGGAGAGTGCAGCACCTACCCTATAGGTGCTGCTGTCATGGTTGTTGCCAGCAGTCCAGCAGTTATCTCAATGAAGACTGGGTCTTTCTTGCCCCTCTTGACCACTCCAGAAGTTATTGGGACAATGTGTACACTTTGGAGATAGCATGGTAGACTTTGAGTATTGACTCTGCCATTTATTAATAGTGTGCTTTGAGAAGAATACTACATGTCTCAGAATCTCAGTTTTCTTCTGTAACTTGGTGTAAAGCGATGTCATTCACAGGATGGCTATAAAGAGTAGATGACATAATAGCTATAATACCCTGTAAAATAGAAATCCAACAATTGTTAGTATCTTTCCCTTACGTAGAGGTTAAATAGGAAGCTTTTTTTTTTTCCTTTTTTTTTTTTTTTGAGATGGAGTCTTGCCCTGTCTCCCAGGCTGGAGTGCGGTGACATGATTTCAGCTCTGTGCAACCTCCCAACCTCCACCTCCCAGGTTCAAGCAGTTCTCTGCCTCAGCCTCCCAAGTAGCTGGGATTACAGGTGCCCGCCACCACACCCAGCTAATTTTTTTGTATTTTCAGTAGAGATGGGGTTTCACCGTCTTGGCCAGGCTGGTCTTTAACTCCTGACCTCGTGATCCACCTGCCTCAGCCTTCCAAAGTGTTGGCATTACAGGCGTGAGCCACCACGCCCGGCCAGGAAGCTTCTTTATAGAGACTTTGCTGTTCTTACCTTCTGCAAACAAATGAGCACATGAAAGAATGGAGAATGTTAATATTAGCGTTAAAGTAGATATGTTATTTTCTTCACTTTTGTGTCCTAAATTGTTAGCTGCAAAAGATTAATATATTTTAATTTATTAACAAAGAAAGTAGAAACTTTTCAACAGGTTTATTTTGGGCATATTAAAGAACCTGCATTGTAGACTATAAACATTCATGATCGCTTTTATTGATGATCAGTCTTAGGAATTATGAATCATTTGGTTAGTGAGTAAATAAATGAGAAATACAGTTCTCATTTAACTCTGTATTTATCCCCCATGGCTTTTGAATTGTTTCTTTCAGATGGGAACCAAGTGACTTGCCAGAAGTGGGCATGCTTGCTAGCATTTTGTGATAGCTTCACACGAGCTTGAGAAGCACATGCTGAGGAACTTACTTGACACTCATCAATTTTAGAATAGAGTGACAGCCATAGATAAATAATTTCTGTGTTTTGTCTTCCTCAAAAGAGCAAATTTGGAGGGAGACAGTTGTATCATCTTAACTACCTTTTTGTGGCTGAAGTGTTGAATCTAAGGTACCAGAATAAAGGGTGAAGTTTTTAAAATTTTGCATGTTTATTTAATAGATTTGTATTTGTTCATATGTATGTGAATAGGTTTATACATAATAAATGCCACAGTGATAGTGGTCAATACCTTAAAAATAAAAATTAGTTCTTCCTTAATCATTATTTTTCTTGTTTGCTTTAGGAATTCTGAATGGATGTCATGACTATATATCTAATAATTACTTAGGAAATCCTCTCAATCTCTGGGCATGGGGTATTAGGCTATGAAAACCAGAATTTTCCATTTTAATCATAACAACTCTGAACATTTTTATGCTAATGGTGAAAGCAGAAACTTTGTTCTTGTCCTCAAATCAAATTTAAGCTTTCCTGTTGATTACACATATCCTTGACGAGTAAGATTCACTCTCTTTCACCTGCCTGGTTATTGATCAGCTCATGAGCAGATGGAAGATCTAAGCATAAATCACTCATGAAGATGATGAATAAGCTGAAAGTTTATTCATATGTATACCCTTTCTTATCCAGTGATAGTAGAAGCTTCATATTTAAGAAGGGGATTAATGACATAATTTATTATTGTTTCTTGTTCTTTTCGTTAAAGGGAATAAACAATATAAGTGAATAATTAATTGAATTTTGTAGGAAGGGTTCAGAAAAGACCTGCCAGATACAGACAGGAACCCTTGTCATTAAACCCAAGGCCAGCAGACATTGCACGGGTGTGTGTTAGAAGCAAAGGCAAAGGGCTCTGGGAAAGAGAGTAAGAAAGTGTTCCTTTTAGATCTGAGAAATAGTAAGCTTTAAGAGGCTGGCTTTATTGATTTATTTATTGAGACAAGGCCTCACTCCATCACCCAGGCTACAGTGCAGTGGCCTGATCTCGGCTCACTGCAACTTCTGCCCCCTGGGCTCGAGCAATCCTCCCACGTCAGCCTCCCAGGTGGCTGGGACTACAGGTGCATGCCACCACGCCTGGCTAATTGTATTTTTTATAGAAACAGGGTTTTGCCATGTTGCCTAGGCTGGTCTTGAACTCCTAGGCTCAAGTGATCCACTTGCCAAGGCCTCCCAAAGTGCTGGGATTACAGGTGTGAACCACCACACCCAGCCTTTAAGAGGCTTTAAATTGTCACTTGACATTGGTAATATTCCAGTATGCTAGAAATGATGGCAAGAGTACAAAACATGGCCTTAAAATTATTCTGGACATGATATTAAACGTGGTAAGACAATTGGAGACTGTGACTAAGGTGGCAGAACTGTTCAGTCTTTTGATAATTGCCATGATCTTATGGTAGAAAAAGCACTGGAAGCAAGAGCGAGTGGGGTAGGATGATGAAAAATGGCTTAAAGGATAAAAACATGTGATTATTAGGTAGAAGGAATAAATTGAATGTATGATAGCAGAGTAGAGTGACTATAGTTAGCAAAAACGCATTATAGTTAGTTGCTGGACACCCTAAATACCCCGACTTGATCATTGTGTGTTATATATATGTAACAGAATTTTATGTGTATTCATACATTTGTATAAATAAAAGAAGCAGCACCTGGATTTTAGGACTTTCAAATAAAACATATAAGGTTTGGGGGAGAAAAAGAAAATAAATTAACCTACGTCAAAATCATTGATTTCTAGTTAATAAAGATTTGATAATTGTTTCAGAAATAGACTAGAATGGCCATATCATTAACTGGGTCATAATTTTATGGAAAAAAGCTTATTTCATGTCTCTCCTTTTTATCATAGTGCTCTATCCAGAAAAGATGCTCAGAGAAAACAGGTGTATTGATTCTTATTTTTTTTTTCTCTTAATATGTCTAGTAAAAGTCAGGGTGCACACTCACTATAAGAACAATGATTATTAAGTTGACTTGTTCATTAAGATTAAGAATAATGGGCCGGGTGCAGTGGTTCATGCCTGTAATCCCAGCACTTTGGGAGGCTGAGGTGGGCAGATCACGAGTTCAGGAGTTCGAGACCAGCCTGGCCAACATGGTGAAACCCCGTCTCTACTAAAAATACAAAAATTAGCTGGGTGTGGTGGTGCATGCCTGTAATCCCAGCTGCTTGGGAGGCTGAGGCAGGAGAATTGCCCTGAACCTGGGAGGCGGAGGTTGCAGTGAGCTGAGATTGCGCCACTGCACTCCAGCCTGGGTGACAGAGCAAGACTTCCTCTCAGGAAAAAAAAAAAAAAAAAAAAAAAAAAAAGATTAAGAATAATGGCCCAACTATGAATAAATCTGAAGTTTGGTTCCCATACCGGGAACCAAAAGAGCATTAATGATATTGGGTATATATTATTTTCTTAAGATGTGTTTAGGATGTGGGCCTATCTTGCTAATGCTTATTTATAGTATTTTAGTCTATGCTTTGACTTTATGCAAGATCTACAAATAAATATTTCTGATTACAGAAAAAAGCATCATTTCTTATTTTGATGTCATTTGGAATAAAAAATGACCCAAAAAGCTCTACTGGGAAAAATACTCTTAATTGATCCGTGTATAAACCCAAAGAAAGTTTAACTTTGAGTCTTGTGGCCTCTGTCAGGAGGCTGGAGATTTGGCTCCACTGAGGTTCATTCCAACGATTGACATTCATTTGTCACCTACTTAGGGCATTCACAGCAGTTTTCTAGGTATTGATGAGAAGATACATACCTTTGAAGTTTGTATACAGACAGTTTCCTTATGATGCATATTTGTGCAAATGTGTACTGAGAAGCAGGTCCACCTGAACCTTCAGGGAGCAGTCAAAAGGAAGCTTCACTTAAAGCAAGTACATAAGAGTGGTGGTGGGCCTCAAAATCGAAAGAAGGAAGAGTGTGAAGAGGAATTCTTTCAGAATCTAGCCAGGAGGATGGCATGTGCGTTAGTATACATCCAGGATAGGGAGTGTGGTATGTTCCAGAATCACAGATCATTCAGTTTCATGATCTAAATGGAGAGTCATAGAAAAATTCTGTAGGGAAGTGAACTGATTGGTTGAATATGCATATCAGAATGTCCCTCCTGGCTATGGTATGAAGAAAGCATATTGGAGGGATTATGAAAAGAGGGAGAGGGACTATTGAGAAGGCTCTGCTGTAGTCTGTGAATGATATAATAGCTTGAACTTGGACAAAGGCATTGAAGAATGGAGAGAAAGAAATAGGCGAGACGCTGAAGAGAGAGAAGCAGTAGTACTTAGCTACAATTGGCATCTGGTTATGGGACAGAGAAGAATCTAGGCTTTGATGTTTATGGTTCATAAGGAATATTCTTTAAAATTTAATAGATTATAGGACCATAAAAACTTAGAACTGAGAAAGCAATTATATATCAGGCCTTTCATTTTACCAACTAGAAGAGCAAGTTGCAGAGAGCTGCACTGAATTGCTCAAGGTTATTTAGCTTTGCGGTGCAGACCTACAACGGAACTGAGATCTCTTGTCTCCCAGTATGGGGACCTTCTGATACACTAGACTTTAAACTTGTACAGTAAACTCTCTGTGGAAAAGGTGATTTTGTTGCACCCAGGAATTTATCATCATCATTATTATTATCATTATTTTAGCAGACGGAGTCTCTTTCTTAATGAATATAATGGACTTAGATAATGTGAATCACCTAGTAAAGTCTGCTTAAATGCATCAGTTCCATGAAGAGAAGAAGTACAGTTTTAGAAGTGAATTGGTGAAAATGCTTTATTCCAAATGGCTTGTGAAAATAAGGATTTAAAAGCTGGTAGGTTTCCAGCTTTGATGGTATGGAGCCTATTAGTACAATTAAAGGTGTAAAATGCATTCTTCTTTCCCCATTAGCTTTTCAAGTTTCTAATTCAGTTTTGGAAGTCACCTCTTCCATCATAGCCTAACTTTAAAAGTAGATACACACCCCTCTATGAGTAATGTATGTTTTTTTTTTTTTTTCTTGTTTGGATCAGATCTGCTATAAATTATACAACTTTATGTTGAGATCAATTTGGTAAATTTATTAGTTTATAAGAATTAGATAAGTGATTGTATTTTGTAAAAATATTTCATTATATATCGGTTAAAAAAGTACATATAAAATGTATGGTACATTTTCATTCTGAATTAAAACCTCATAGGGTTGCCTTAACTTCAGTATCTAGCCATAAAAGGAAAGGAGAAAGAGAAACGGGAGGAATACTAGGGAAAAGTTGCTGAAATTCTTCTTTGTATACCCAAGTAGTTTCTCTGATGATACTTGGTTTATTTAGGAGAATTGCCAGAAGGATTTAGAAATGTTTCTAGTCCTTATTAGTGATGGTAGTTTTAATTTACTTTTCTTCCATGTCTCTGATTCTTATCCTGTACAGAATCTAGACCTCCAATTGTTTTATTGTGGTAACTGAGTATTAGCGTGTACACAAGGATGTTTCAAATGTCAACTTAGTCTAATTCTGAGCTACATCTCGAGAGTTAATTAGAAACATACTCATGGGCCAATACTGAGGTTTAGAAAGAATTATCTTAAGGAAGTCAGTTTTGATACATATTGTCTTGATTTAATGGAATGTTCCAGATTCAGGAAGTATATATGGAGCCCTGAGGAATGAATAGGCATATTTTAATAACCTGAACTTGACATACCAAGTTATTTAAGTTAAATGGAAGGAGACATGTTGGCTCATCTCATCAGTCAGTAATGAATCACGTGGCCCTGAATAGCGTTAGCATTTGATTCTGGAAGGCTCTGCTGTGTGATTTTAAGCAGTGTGCAGTAGAAACTCCAAAATTACCTCCATGTAACTGACTTTCCAAATTAACCAACACCCTCTACTCCCTTTTAAAAATATGCTGACTGATGCCCATGGTGTGCCGAATACTCCTGGCTGATAGCTACTCCGGGGTTGACCCTACACATGACACCACCCAGATCTGAGTTTTGTTTCTACTAAGAGTCAGTTCTTTTGTCCCTGCCTGAAATTGCATTATTTAATTAAATGTTATGTAAATTGATTAAAAAGTGAGTGCCAAAAAAAGAATTATTTGCATGAAAATTAAGATGAATAATTTGGAAAGAATCAATAAAAGTGAATCTCTAATATAATATTGACTGCTGATTTAGGGCTAGGCAAGACAACATTAAAACTTTGGAAAGCAAATTATAAAAATCAGAAATTTGGCATTCAAACGACTTCCCAATTAAAAAAAGTTTCATAAAAGCCTCATTTGTACATTCAAAAAAAAAAAAAAACCAAACATATATTAGGTACCGACCATGTATTAAGCATTTTGCTAAGCTCTAGGGATGAGCAACTGAAAAAGATGAGGTCCAAAAACTGTTTCTTTCTTTCTGGAACTCATATGCTTTTGGAGCAGTCAGATGTGAACCCAGACAATTAGAATTCTGTCTGTCCTGCACACAAGCATTTGTTGCTTTAAGAGCATGTGGCAGGGAGTGGGAGCTTCCAGCTTTGCCCTGGCATCTTCAAGAATGGCCTTAGGAAAGAGGTCATGCTTCAGCAGAGGTGTGGGTGGAAGTAGTAAGGTGGGGAGGTAGGTTGGGATGAAGAGGAAAGAGGCTGTATACAACCGTGTATGGAGGAATGTGCAGTGGTCAGAAGAGTCCAAGTGTTCAGGATGACTGAGACTAAAAAGAACATGATGACAGCAGCAGAGAGAGATGAGACTGGATAGGTTGCAAGAACTAGATCAAGGAGAGCCCTTCTGCCATGATTAGGTTTAGATTTCTTCCACTGGTGGTATAGAGAATCTCTGAATTAGTTAAGCAGGAAATTGATGGGTGTGGTTTTCAGTTCAAATGAGTCTGTATCTTAGAGGGAATGATCCAGTTAGAAACTATTTGAGGACCTTTTTGCTACCATCGAAGTTTATGATAATATCTAAAAACCACCATCTAGCCCCTGTTAGACATTCCTATCACTCTGTGCATAGTTGTAAGAACAGAAAATGGAGGCTGAGCACAGTGGCTCATGCCTGCCATCTCCACATCTTGGGAAGCTGAGGCGGGAGGATTGCTTGAGGCCAGGAATTTGAGACCAGCCTGGGCAACATAGTGTGACACATCTCTACAAAAATAAAAAAAGAAAATTAGCCAGGCTTAGTGGCACATGCCTGTAGTCCTAGCTACTTGGGAGGCTGAGGCAGGAGGATCACTTGAACCCAGGAGTTTGAGGCTGCAGTGAACTATGATGATGCCACCACTGCACTCTAGCCTGAGGGACAAAGTGACAAAGTGAGACCCTGTCTTTGTCTCAAAAAAAAAAAAAAAAAGAAAAAAGAAAAAAAAGAAAATGGGTGTTGTGTAAAATAAGCAATCTGGATTTTTAATCTATCAGATTATAAAAATGAAACTTGTGATGTTGTCTTACAAATTTTTAATATTTAGTATTTCTGAAGAGCCATTTGAAACCAATCAGTATTTGGGATTGTGTACCCACCAGAGGCCAGGAGTCCTCTAAAACTAGTTTTCCCTGGGTGTTTTTGTGTTACATGGAGATTTAAAGGTCACAGTCCACCTGGCCTTTTTAGCATGTTAAAAGAAAAAAAAAAGGCATCAGGAGCCTGTTTTCCTGCCTAAGGGTTTTCCAGTTGAGGTATCTAGAAAGATCTGAGGCTGAGCTTCTTAAATGTCCATCTCTCCCACAGCTACACAGGCTATTATGTATGCTTTGGGATGGTTAATTTCCAACTCATAGTGATTTTGACACCTTGTGCTGCATCCAGTCTCGCCTACCTATATGCTGTCAGTGACAGTTTGCTACTCAGAAGAGAGGACTAAAAGGGATCCGTGCCCTTTAAAAGAAATAAAAGACCAGCATAGAAAATAGAGGCCTTGGCTGTGGCAGCAGAGTTAGGGGGGAGCCATGGGAAAGTAATGATCCATGGAGGGTGGGAATAAAAAGGAGTTGTAGTCGGGCCTTGCAGATTTTTGTTTATAGTAGTGGTTCCCAAACATTGTCCACCCAGAATTTATTCCTTTTGGCATTTGCTGGAATTTTATAGACCCTATTTCATTTTATTGCCCAGTGTGTTTCTTCTTTCATGTCCCATGGGGAACGTTTCTCTGCTTTTGTGTGAGTCCTAGAAGGTCTCCATGCCCTTCTTTAGCTTGCATTCTTCCTCTGTTCTTCCATTCCTAACTCCACCCGAAACTGCCACATTATATTTTTCTTTTCCAGCACATTATGTCTCTCTCCCCCTCTGAAGCCTTCTGTTCAAAATAGCTGCTTATCTTTAGAAAATAGGAAAGGAAGTTTTATTTAATAACTAATATTAAGATATTTAGATAACAGTTGAAAGCAAAATTAGTTACAATCTGTACTTAATACAGTGGGTAAAAGCTCCAGATGGAATGAGTTGAATAATTAAGCAAGAAAGAGAAGAAAATAAAATACCAGCATGAAATAGATTACTTATCAGATACTTGGAGGGGTAATAGCTTTTTAAGAATTGAAACCATAGAACATATAATAGAGAATAGCACTTATAAACTTAATTATAGAAAAGCAGCAAACAAAATTTGTATAATCCAGACAAACTAAAATAAACAGGAAATAGATTGACAAAGATGTTTTCATCAATAAGACAAATAGAATCTTAAAGTTTATGATCCATAAAAACCAACACGAGAGTAATTTAAAAATCATTAACATTCTAAGAGATAGGTAAAATATATGGATAACAAGATAGTTCAAACAAGGAGAAATAAAAGCAGTAAACAGATATGTGGGGAAATGTTCAAAATCTTTAGTAAAGACATGCAAAATCAGCATTGTGGTAATATAATCAGATAGTAAGAAAAATATTCACAGCTCAGAAGTTACCTTGAAACTAGTAAATTGGTAAAAATATTTAGAAATAAAATCCAGGGGAAGCAGCCAAGATGGCCGAATAGGAACAGCTCTGGTCCACAGCTCCCAGCGTGAGTGATGCAGAAGACGGGTGATTTCTGCATTTCCATCTGAGGTACCGGGTTCATCTCACTAGGGAGTGCCAGACAGTGGGCGCAGGACAGTGGGTGCAGTGCACCGTGCTCGAGCCGAAGCAGGGCGAGGCATTGCCTCACTCGGGAAGCGCAAGGGGTCAGGGAGTTCCCTTTCCTAGTCAAAGAAAGGGGTGACAGACGGCACCTGGAAAATCGGGTCACTCCCACCCTAATACTGCGCTTTTCCGACGGGCTTAAAAAACGGCGCACCACGAGATTATATCCCGCACCTGGCTCAGAGGGTCCTACGCCCATAGAGTCTCGCTGATTGCTAGCACAGCAGTCTGAGATCAAACTGCAAGGCCGCGGCCAGGCTGGGGGAGGGGCGCCCGCCATTGCCCAGGCTTGCTTAGGTAAACACAGCAGCCTGGAAGCTCGAACTGGGTGGAGCCCACCACAGCTCAAGGAGGCCTGCCTGCCTGCCTCTGTAGGCTCCACCTCTGGGGGCAGGGCACAGACAAACAAAAAGACAGCAGTAACCTCTGCAGACTTAAATGTCCCTGTCTGACAGCTTTGAAGAGAGCAGTGGTTCTCCCAGCATGCAGCTGGAGATCTGAGAAGGGGCAGACTGCCTCCTCAAGTGGGTCCCTGACCCCTGACCCCCGAGCAGCCTAACTGGGAGGCACCCCCCAGTAGGGGCAGACTGACACCTCACACGGCCGGGTACTCCTCTGAGACAAAACTTCCAGAGGAACGATCAGACAGCAGCATTCGCGGTTCACGAAAATCTGCTGTTCTACAGCCACCGCTGCTGGTACCCAGGCAAACAGGGTCTGGAGTGGACCTCTAGCAAACTCCAACAGACCTGCAGCTGAGGGTCCTGTCTGCTACAAGGAAAACTAACAAACAGAAAGGACATCCACACCAAAAACCCATCTGTACATCACCATCATCAAAGACCAAAAGTAGATAAAACCACAAAGATGGGGAAAAAACAGAGCAGAAAAACTGGAAACTCTAAAAAGCAGAGCACCTCTCCTCCAAAGGAACGCAGTTCCTCACCAGCAACGGAACAAAGCTGGACGGAGAATGACTTTGACGAGTTGAGAGAAGAAGGCTTCAGACGATCAAACTACTCCGAGCTACAGGAGGAAATTGAAACCAAAGGCCAAGAAGTTGAAAACTTTGAAAAAAATTTAGACGAATGTATAACTAGAATAACCAATACAGAGAAGTGCTTAAAGGAGCTGATGGAGCTGAAAGCCAAGGCTCAAGAACTACGTGAAGAATGCAGAAGCCTCAGGAGCCGATGCGATCAACTGGAAGAAAGGGTATCAGTGATGGAAGATGAAATGAACGAAATGAAGCGAGAAGGGAAGTTTAGAGAAAAAGAATAAAAAGAAACGAACAAAGCCTCCAAGAAATATGGGACTATGTGAAAAGACCAAATCTACGTCTGATTGGTGTACCTGAAAGTGACGGGGAGAATGGAACCAAGTTGGAAAACACTCTGCAGGATATTATCCAGGAGAACTTCCCCAATCTAGCAAGGCAGGCCAACATTCAGATTCAGGAAATACAGAGAACGCCACAAAGATACTCCTTGAGAAGAGCAACTCCAAGACACATAATTGTCAGATTCACCAAAGTTGAAATGAAGGAACAAATGTTAAGGGCAGCCAGAGAGAAAGGTCGGGTTACCCACAAAGGGAAGCCCATCAGACTAACAGCGGATCTCTCGGCAGAAACTCTACAAGCCAGAAGAGAGTGGGGGCCAATATTCAACATTCTTAAAAAAAAGAATTTTCAACCCAGAATTTCATATCCAGCCAAACTAAGCTTCGGAAGTGAAGGAGAAATAAAATACTTTACAGACAAGCAAATGCTGAGAGATTTTGTCACCACCAGGCCTGCCCTAAAAGAGCTCCTGAAGGAAGCACTAAACATGGAAAGGAACAACCAGTACCAGTCACTGCAAAATCATGCCAAATTGTAAAGACCATCGAGGCTAGGAAGAAACTGCATCAACTAACGAGCAAAATAACCAGCTAACATCAAAATGACAGGATCAAATTCACACATAACAATATTAACTTTAAATGTAAATGGACTAAATGCTCCAAGTAAAAGACACAGACTGGCAAATTGGATAGTCAAGACCCATCAGTGTGCTGTATTCAGGAAACCCATCTCACGTGCAGAGACACACATAGACTCAAAATAAAAGGATGGAAGAAGATCTACCAAGCAAATGGAAAACAAAAAAAGGCAGGGGTTGCAATCCTAGTCTCTGATAAAACAGACTTTAAACCAACAAAGATCAAAAGAGACAAAGAAGGCCATTACATAATGGTAAAGGGATCAATTCAAAAAGAAGAGCTAACTATCCTAAATATATATGCACCAAAAACAGGAGCACCCAGTTTCATAAAGCAAGTCCTCAGTGACCTACAAAGAGACTTAGACTCCCACACAATAATAATGGGAGACTTTAACACCCCACTGTCAACATTAGACAGATCAGCGAGACAGAAAGTTAACAAGGATACCCAGGAATTGAACTCAGCTCTGCACCAAGCAGACCTAATAGACATCTACAGAACTCTCCACCCCAAATCAACAGAGTATACATCTTTTTCAGCACTGCACAACACCTATTCCAAAATTGACCACATAGTTGGAAGTAAAGCTCTCCTCAGCAAATGTAAAAGAACAGAAATGATAACAAACTGTCTCTCAGACCACAGTGCAATCAAACTAGAACTCAGGATTAAGAAACTCACTCAAAACTGCTCAACTACATGGAAACTGAACAACCTGCTCCTGAATGACTACTGGGTACATAACAAAATGAAGGCAGAAATAAAGATGTTCTTTGAAACCAACGAGAACAAAGACACAACATACCAGAATCTCTGGGACACATTCAAAGCAGTGTGTAGAGGGAAATTTATAGCACTAAATGTCCACAAGAGAAAGCAGGAAAGATCCAAAATTGACACCCTAATATCTCAATTAAAAGAACTAGAAAAGCAAGAGCAAACACATTCAAAAGCTAGCAGAAGGCAAGAAATAACTAAAATCAGAGCAGAAGTGAAGGAAATAGAGACACAAAAAACCCTTCAAAAAATTAATGAATCCAGGAACTGGTTTTTTGAAAGGATCAACAAAATTGATAGACCGCTAGCAAGACTAATAAAGAAGAAAAGAGAGAAGAATCAAATAGACGCAATAAAAAATGATAAAGGGGATATCACCACCGATCCCACAGAAATACAAACTACCATCAGAGAATACTACAAACACCTCTACGCAAATAAACTATAAAATCTAGAAGAAATGGATAAATTCCTTGACACATACACCCTCCCAAGACTAAACCAGGAAGAAGTTGAATCTCTGAATAGACCAATAACAGGCTCTGAAATGGTGGCAATAATCACTAGCTTACCAACCAAAAAGAGTCCAGGACCAGATGGATTCACAGCCGAATTCTACCAGAGGTACAAGGAGGAACTGGTACCATTCCTTCTGAAACTATTCCAATCAATGGAAAAAGAGGGAATCCTCCCTAACTCATTTTATGAGGCCAGCATCATCCTGATACCAAAGCCAGGCAGAGACACAACCAAAAAAGAGAATTTTAGACCAATATCCTTGATGAACATTGATGCAAAAATCCTCAATAAAATACTGGCAAACCGAATCCAGCAGCACATCCAAAAGCTTATCCACCATGATCAAGGGGGCTTCATCCCTGGGATGCAAGGCTGGTTCAATATACACAAATCAATAAATGTAATCCAGCATATAAACAGAACCAAAGACAAAAACCACATGATTATCTCAATAGATGCAGAAAAGACCTTTGACAAAATTCAACAACGCTTCATGCTAAAAACTCTCAATAAATTAGGTATTGATGGGACGTATCTCAAAATAATAAGAGCTATCTATGACAAACCCACAGCCAATATCATACTGAATGGGCAAAAACTGGAAGCATTCCCTTTGAAAAGTGGCACAAGACAGGGATGCCCTCTCTCACCACTCCTATTCAACATAGTGTTGGAAGTTCTAGCCAGGGCAATCAGGCAGGAGAAGGAAATAAAGGGTATTCAATTAGGAAAAGAGGAAGTCAAATTGTCCCTGTTTGCAGATGACATGATTGTATATCTAGAAAACCCCATCATCTCAGCCCAAAATCTCCTTAAGCTGATAAGCAACTTCAGCAAAGTCTCAGGATACAAAATCAGTGTACAAAAATCACAAGCATTCTTATACACCAATAACAGACAAACAGAGAGCCAAATCATGAGTGAACTCCCATTCACAATTGCTTCCAAGATAATAAAATACTTAGGAATCCAACTTACAAGGGATGTGAAGGACCTCTTCAAGGAGAACTACAAACCACTGCTCAATGAAATAAAAGAGGATACAAACAAATGGAAGAACATTCCATGCTCATGGGTAGGAAGAATCAATATCGTGAAAATGGCCATACTGCCCAAGGTAATGTATAGATTCAATGCCATCCCCATCAAGCTACCAATGACTTTCTTCACAGAATTGGAAAAAACTACTTTAAAGTTCATATGGAACCAAAAAAGAGCCCGCATCGCAAAGTGAATCCTAAGCCAAAAAAACAAAGCTGGAGGCATCACACTACCTGACTTCAAACTATACTACAAGGCTACAGTAACCAAAACAGCATGGTACTGGTACCAAAACAGAGATATAGATCAATGGAAGAGAACAGAGCCCTCAGAAATAACGCCGCATATCTACAACTATCTGATCTTTGACAAACCTGAGAAAAACAAGCAATGGGGAAAGGATTCCCTATTTAATAAATGGTGCTGGGAAAACTGGCTAGCCATATGTAGAAAGCTGAAACTGGATCCCTTCCTTACACCTTATACAAAAATTAATTCAAGATGAATTAAAGACTTAAACGTTAGACCTAAAACCATAGAAACCCTAGAAGAAAACCTAGGCATTACCATTCAGGACATAGGCATGGGCAAGGACTTCATGTCTAAAACACCAAAAGCAATGGCAACAAAAGCCAGAATTGACAAATGGGATCTAATTAAACTAAAGAGCTTCTGCACAGCAAAAGAAACTACCATCAGAGTGAACAGGCAACCTACAAAATGGGAGAAAATTTTTGCAACCTACTCATCTGACAAAGGGCTAATATCCAGAATCTACAATGAACTCAAACAAATTTACAAGAAAAAAACAACCCCATCAAAAAGTGGGCGAAGGATATGAACAGACACTTCTCAAAAGAAGCCATTTATGCAGCCAAAAGACACATGAAAAAATGCTCATCATCACTGGCCATCAGAGAAATGCAAATCAAAACCACAATGAGATACCATCTCACACCAGTTAGAATGGCAATCATTAAAAAGTCAGGAAACAACAGATGCTGGAGAGGGTGTGGAGAAACAGGAAAGCTTTTACACTGTTGGTGGGACTGTAAACTAGTTCAACCATTGTGGAAGTCAGTGTGACACTTCCTCAGGGATCTAGAAGTAGAAATACCATTGGACCGAGCCATCCCATTACTGGGTATATACCCAAAGGACTATAAATCATGCTGCTATGAAGACACATGCACACGTATGTTTATTGCGGCACTATTCACAATAGCAAAGACTTGGAACCAACCCAAATGGCCAACAGTGATAGACTGGATTAAGAAAATGTGGCACATGTACACCGTGGAATACTATGCAGCCATAAAAAAATGATGAGTTCATGTCCTTTGTAGGGACATGGATGAAATTGGAAATCATCATTCTCAGTAAACGATCGCAAGAACAGAAAACCAGACACCGCATATCCTCACTCATAGGTGGGAATTGAACAGTGAGAACCCATGGACACAGGAAGGGGAACATCACACTCTGGGGACTGTTGTGGGGTGGGGGGAGGCGGGAGGGATAGCATTAGGAGATATACCTAATGCTAAATGACGAGTTAATGGGTGCAGCACACCAGCATGGCACATGTATACATACGTAACTAACCTGCACATTGTGCACATGTACCCTAAAGCTTAAAGTATAATAATAATAAAATAAAAAAATAGAAAATAAATAAAAAGAAATAAAATCCAATTTTGACATGTTAATTAATTAATCTATTTATTTATTTTCTGAGATGGAGTCTCGCTCTGTCGCGCAGGCTGGAGTGCAGTGGTGGGATCTCTGTTCACTGCAAGCTCCGCCTCCCGGTTCATGCCATTCTCCTGCCTCAGCCTTCTGAGTAGCTGGGACTACAGGCGCCCGCCACCACGCCCGGCTAATTTTTTGTATTTTTAGTAGATACGGGGTTTCACCATGTTGGCCAGGATGGTCTCGATCTCCTGACTTCGTCATCTGCCTGCCTCAGCCTCCCAAAGTGCTGAGATTACAGTCGTGAGCCACCATGCCTGGCTGACAACATGTTAATTTAATATATTAATATAGTGCTATTGACGTTATTGATTGACATATTCTTTTTGGAAATTCATCTGTTGATATACTCAGAAATTCAACAGCCCAGCACTAGATTCTAGAGAAAGTGGTGAACGAAATAATCTACAGTATAGTGCACGACCTGACCAGCTTCCCAAGATGTGGAGATGGCAGGCATGAGCAGGCTTGAGCCACTGTGCTTAACCATCCCAAAGCTGTTATGTATGCTTTGGGATGGTTAATTTTCAAGTCATAGTGATTTCGACACCTTGCACATCCCTTTTGTTGCTGATATGCTGGTTTGCTTTCCCTTTTATATGTTCTTCTCATTGCGCCCTGCCATCATAATTACGAAGTTGATGAGGATGGCTAACGTTTGCTGAGTGCCTGCTATGTGCTGAGTTCTGTGTACTGTGAATATATGAATTCATTCAGGTCACACAACAGCCATATGAGCTGGATACAATTATTTTTCTCATTTTACAGGTGAAGAAGTGGGGTAGAAAAACATTAAATAACTTACCCAATGTCCTGCCAGTAAGAAATAATTTAGTTGGGATTCAAACTCCTGGAGGTCTGATTCCAGGCTGTTGCTCTTAATGTCTATGCTCTGTATTCTCCCCATGGTGAGACAGTTACATTAGTGTAATCGACTCATGTTATATTTTCTTGTTCGCTATATCTCCTAGCACATTGCCTTGCATACTAAGCAATTTGTAAATGTTAACTGAATGCATGAGAAAATAATTACTAAGAATAAAACTTTGTGCTTGTGGAGGATATTCTTTGGAGCTTTATCTCTAATAGTTAAAAAATGCAGACAAGGCTGAGCGTGGTGGCTCACACCTGTAATCCCAGCACTTTGCAGGGCTGAAGTGGGCAGATCACTTAAGGTCAGGAGTTCAAGACCAGCCTGGCCAACATGGTGAAACCCTGTTTAGTACATAATTTTTGTATGTACTAAAAATACAAAAATTAGCCAGGAGTGGTGGTGGGTGCCTGTAATCTCAGCTACTTGGGATGCTGAGGCAGGAGAATGGCTTGAACTTGGGAGATGGACATTGCGGTGAGCCGAGATCACACCACTACATTCCAGCCTGGGTGACAGAGTGAGACCTTGTCTCAAAGAAAGAAACAAAGAAAGAAATGCAGACAAGCTAAGCACAGTAGAGGAATGGCTATATAATTTACCATCTGCCAATGGAATATTATATAGCTACTAAAATCAATCATTAAGGCTCTGTAGCAATACATGGTGCATACCTGTATGAAGGCTGTGTAGTAAGAAAAGAATGCAAATGTAAACTGTAGTGGTTAAACTGTAATCTGAACACTCATCTAGGCTTTACAAATTTGTGGGCATAGATAATGTAATGATCAAATCACATTACGCTAGCCAAAAGCCCTTGCTTGCTTACCTGCACCCCTCTGTACCCCCTGCAAGTGTTTCTGATGATCCCCAAGGGCTGCTCCCCAGCCTGCTGAATTACAGGGATGGAAAGGAACCTGTGGATTGTGTCCCTCAGCCACCTCATTTTTGCAGATGGAGACACTGTAGTCTACATAGTGATTTTGAAGTCTTTTAAGATTGTTGCCGAAGGAGGCCTCAATCTCAAGGTGTTTGGTGTTTCTGCAGCCAACAAATGTTGCTGCGTTTTTCCTAAGGGGGACAGAGCCTTGAGGTTTAGGAATCATTAGGAGAGAGCGACAATGACAGCATCTGTGATGAAGAATGTGAAGTGGAATTTTATGACATGCCTAATATATGGAGCTCCTTAGGTTATGCAAGGTATAAAACTAGATCAAAATAGATAGCGCACAGCAATGGCGAGGTTGATGATAAATGAACAGGAAGCTATAAACAAAGTTGAGATGATGAATGGCCTCATCTCATCTGGTGTGTGTGATAGCGCTTCGTATCTCCTGGGTTATAAACAGAACATGTTATTGAAGCATTTACTAATGCCCACCAGCATTAAAAATTTGTGGTATTTTTGGAATTGTTGTTTGCATTGAGGTTGATCTTTTCTACTTGTTGAAATCTGCATTTACTTTAACATTAGCTTGATATACCTGGTATTTGATAGGTGGCGATGGAATGAAAATGGTCTTATTAATTTTCAAAGCAGGTAACAAAAAGAGTAATGTCCTATTTGCTTGAATGAACTAAACCAATGGTTAAAATAGTCTTTAAAGTCAGTGATGCTTGAATGGTATCTCACCACCATGTTGGTTTGTTGATGATAATAGTCTTGGTAGATCCTGTGGAGGAACTTCCTTGTAATGATGTCTGTCCACCCCCAACATTTTTGTAGGTATTAATTAGTATGTTTCTACATCTTCTGGCATGCTTTATTTTCCTTTTTTCTTTTTCTTCTTTAGAGATGGGGTCTCACTGTGTTGCCAAAGCTGGTCTCAAACTCCTGGCTTCAAGTGATCCTCCCACCTTGGCCTCCTACAGTGCTGGGATTTCGGGCATGAGCCACCATGCCTGGCCCCCAGCATGCTTTTATTTGCTGTTTTTAAAAAGTCACCTCTTTGTCTAGAGCAAGCTTGTCCAACCCCAGCCCATGGGGTGCATGTGGCTCAGGATGGCTTTGAATGCGGCCCAACACAAATTTGCAAACTTTTTTAAAACATGAGATCTTTCTGTGATTTTTTTTAAAGCTCATCAGCTATCATAAGTGTTAGTGTATTTAATGTGTGACTCATGACAGTTCTTCTTCCAGTGTAGCTCAGGGAAGCCAAAAGATTGGAAACCCCTCATCTAGAGTTTAAAACTAATGGTTACTATGAATATTCGTGAAGTCTTTTAGTTCTTGTGATATATAAAATAGAAAACACCTTCATTATAAAAGAATGAAACGATAATGTATTTTTACATCTGATGTCAAATAAATGCATATATTCTTAAAAAAAAAACCAAAGAGATGCTCACTGATGGGGAGTGTTGGGTGCATCTTTAACTTTTTTAAAGCATTTTCTCTTTGGAACTCTGTTGTGTCTTTTGCATGTACTATGGAGAATACTAGTCTCTTCTCTCATATGTAAAAGAAAATCCCTGTACCTTCATAATGATTATATATTTAGTGAGTTTTAAGTTAAAACTTTTAGAAATTTAATTAGAATCTGGCTAATGGGTTATTTAAAAATGTAAAATAAGGTTTAAAAACCCAAAGCCAAGTGTCCAGTGCACATTGAAAGCGTATCCAATAGAAGATCCTGTAGCTATCCTTGTTTTTCCCCGGTTCTGTGTCCTGTGATTCAGATCTGCCTGGGTCCTAAGTTTTAATCTATCATTTATATTCTTTGTGTTTAACTCTGTCTACTTTTACAGACTGCCTTATATCCTTATGGAAATGAACAGGAATCGGGCCTGTGTCTGTATCTGAAACCCAGCTTGTCTCCCTTTCTCCCTGCCTCTTACACTCCAGCCACATCAGCTCCCTCTCAGTTTTGGAGCCTTTCTAAAACACCTCACCTCAAGGTCTTCACTCATGTTATTTGTTCTTCTGTAAACACTCTTCTGCCAACTTTTCATCTTGCTGTATTCTTCCCCCTTTAGGTTCAGCTTAAATCTCACTTCCTTGGACAGGTTGTTCTGGATCACCCTAACTCTGGTTTTTTGATGGAGTCCGAGTCAGTATAAGTTAACAGACAGATAATCAAGAATTGAAGATAGGCAGTTTTAGAACACAACAACTGTAAATCTCCACATTCCATAGGGACAAAACCAGTCCACATTCTTCTTTCTTGGTCATGTGTAGGACTAGGCCTTCCTGGTTCCTCTGTTCTAGCTTTAGAAGAAGGTAACTGTCTTCTTGGAGTCCAGCCTTTCTTTTTTCCCCTTGGTGATGCATACCGAATGAAAAGGCAAGCATATAGGTTTGGTTTTGTGTAGCGTGGCATAGTTTTTTTTTTTTTTTTTGACAGGGTCTCACTCTGTCACTGAGGCTGGAGTGCGGTGGTGCAATCTCAGCTCAGTGCAACCCCTGCCTCCCGCGTTCAAGTGATTCTCATGTCTCAGCCTCCCAAGTAGCTGGGACTACAGGTACATGCCACCATGTCTGGCTAATTTTTGGGATGTTTTAAAGTAGAGACGGGGGTATGCCTTGTTGACCAGGCTGGTCTTGAACTCCTGGCCTTAAGTGATCTGCCTGCCTGGGCCTCCCAAAGTGCTGGGATTACAGGTGTGAGTCACCGTGCCCAGCCTAAGTAGCATAGGTTCTTAAAGTGAGCAATGGTTTGCTGTAGCATGTAATTATTATATAACATATTTGTTATCCTAAAGCAGAATGGGGGGAGAAATAATGTGGTAACTTAACTTTCTAAAAATATTGCTACCCATCACCAACCAGCCCTGCAAGGGATATCAACAAAAATGCTGAAGGCCTTTAAGGGAATATTATTCTAATCAGAGACAAGTGGGAAAGTCAAATCAAAATCATGTGTGTGTCTGTTCTGCAAAAGGACAGATACGGGTTTTCCTTCAGATGGAGGTTTGTTTTCCCTGCTCTGCCTTTGCCACGATAACTTGAAATGGTCTGTCTGCTGGCACAGAAAGCCAGGGAGCGGGTGGAGTGGCCAGGACCCTGCTGCAGGAAGGTCAAGAACATTCTTAGAGTGCCTTTTGGGAACCAGCAGCCGAAGTATTTTTATAGTCAGCTAAGATAACAGGAAAGAAAGAGGCAGGGTCTGCCTTTTTATGGTATAAATTTTTAGAAAATTCAGTTTGCCCGCATTTATATACAAGTCATGAATATTTGTTCATCTAAACAAGGTTCCAATTCGTGGCACAGAATGTGAATATTATTCTGTCAGCCCAATTACTTGAGTACTGCAAGTTGTTTTACAGACCAAAGTGAATGGTGGAATACAACTGAAACGCCTGACTTATTTAAAACCTCCAGCTTGTTGTTCTTCCAGCATGGATCCTTTTGCTCATTTTGACCTTTTACAGTTGTACCGTGAGATACTTTGAGTGACCGTCACAAAATTACACTTTCTGGAGTAACAGGCTGAAGGCCTACCTCTTGTTAATTGCAGTAGTTCCCAGGTGACTCTCTGATGCAATATAGTGAATTATGGTGATGACCAGCAAAGTATCAAGCTAACAAGGTTATGGAATGTCTCAGCCAGCATTCTGCAGTTCACCTTCCTGTAATATTTTCTAAAATATATGCCCCATGGCTAGCCTTGTAACCAGCGTACCACAAGCATCTCAAGTCAACCTTAACAATAACGTACTCTTTTCCTCTTGATGTTCTGAGGTTTTATAGAACTTGGGAAGCACAGATGATACATCACTAGATGATGTTTTGAGAGTGGCATGAACTTTTGAAACAGAAGGAAACTATTCATAGTTGAATCCTAAAGTTTGTAGGTGTATTTTCAATTTGTTTCTGTGATGTAACTGACTATTAGGTATAAAAAGACTGCCTGCCACAAAGGGTTCAATACATACTTATTGAGCTGAGACAAAGAGCTTTATATTGTCATTTAGATTTTAGAAATGCTAGAACTGGAGAATAGATATTTTATTTATTATTCATAAAGGGTTATAAATACTGGACTTTTATTGGTTGAAATAAGTCAAGCAGAAACCATTTCCTTTATAACCAGAGAGACACAGGGTTGTTGGAGTTTAGGGATTATTGCTGTATCCACGTATGCTGGTATAGTCCTTGAAACAACTGTGTGGAGGTTATCTCAGGGGGTTAGAGGTAGATTTAAATGAAACTAAGTTCATGATAGAGTTCAAAGTCTACTGCTGATATTGGGAATACCTTGTAAAAGTCAATTGGTTACTGTTTCTTTGTTTAAAAAAAGGTGGTGTTGGCCGGGCGCAGTGGCTCACACCTGTAATCTCAGCACTTTGGGAGGCCGAGGTGGGCGGATGATGAAGTCAGGAGATCGAAACCATCCTGGCTAACACGGTGAAACCCCATCTCTACTAAAAATACAAAAAATTAGCCAGGTGTGGTGGCAGGTGCCTGTAGTCCCAGCTACTCGGAAGGCTGAGGCAGGAGAATGGCACGAACCCAGGAGGCGGAGCTTGCAGTGAGCCGAGATGGCGCCACTGCACTCCAGCCTGGGTGACAGAGTGAGACCCTGTCTCAAAAAAAAAAAGAAGAAAAGATGGTGATATATATATATACACACACACACACACACACACACACACACACACACAGACATATATATGTATGTATGTGTACACATACACACACATTGTATTCTAGTATAGATTGATTATAGGGAGCCCTCACTTTGCATCTTAAAAATCAATTTAAAAATGATGAGTTCTATGACCTTAAGAAATTTTTGCCAAAGCATTAAAAATGTTTTAGTGTAGGTTATTAATATATAGGGAAATGAAAAAAATAGTACAGCTAATATTTATTTAGTACTTGATAATTTAAAATGTTAGAAACATTGAGAGTTAAATGTTTCATTTCTTTGAGTAAAACTTGGGAATAATTTCAACATGTTTGCTTTTCATTGTATAACTGATGATATAGAGTATTTCTTTTCTTTTGTGTACTGTCGTACTCCTTTTTGAGTTTGTACAAAACGTTGGAAGCTGATCCAAAGTTGTGAAATACCTGAGAGTTACTTTAATGTTAATTCCTTTGGGAATCTTCATCCTGTTCATTACAGCCACCTTCCAATTTCACTTCCAGTGTTGTCACTTTGTATTTCTTTGCTATACTTTCTTTTTTGTTGGCTCATACTGTCTTTCGATTATCCACTTTTGTAAAATGTCCTGTGATTTTTATCCCTCTGAGATGAGGAGATGGCAGAACTACCTGCTTTGCTGTTTGTTCCTGAACTGAATACCAGATGTGCAGGGACCAATCACCGACAGGCTTTCAGAGAAGTGACATGATTGGTCATTGGTCGTGATACACATCTGTTATTCACATCATGATTTGCGAACCAAAGAGCTAGCAGTGAAGTTTGTATTTGATGCAGTTACTCAGTTAATATACCTTGGTAAGTGAAGTCTGAACCACGTTGTCGGGGGACTGGTATTATTTAACAAAACTACGGTAACGGAAATTCATGCGTATTGGAACCATACCAAGTGAGGAGTGCCTGTATTCCAGTTATAAATTCTTTGTAGTACATTTAAAGCTGGGCCTAGCTCCCTTTGCTTTACCCATTACACACTGAGCCTGTCCAGTGTAGCCAAACTGTGGTGCAGAAAATCAAATCAGAGTTGAACTGAGAGTTTCAAAGTCATTGATTCAACCTTGGAGTCAGCTTTGACTTTCTCTTTTCTTACCCAAGACCTCACAGAGTAGTTTGGGCACTAATGAAGGTATTTTTCAGACCCCATCCAGCATGGGGAGTTTTGACTTGATCTGCAGCCTACGCCCTGAAGAAAGTTTCTGGGTTGTCACCTTTGTAATTTTTCCAACTCTCTCCTCCCTCCTCCACTTTCTCCCCTCTTCCTTGGCCTGCTCTTTTCCTCCTGTGTCCCATCATCAAGTTCCACTGATTTTCCCTCCAGCCTTACGTTACTGCATGTTTCTTTCAGTTCCTGTTGCCATCATCCTAATTATATGTTTTTCAACTTGAATTTCAATTGCTATAATAGTTTCCTCACTGACTTTCCCACTCTACTCTCTCTCCTTTCCAGCTAATCCCGCATGCCATCACTGGAGTAATCTTCCTGGAACACTCTTGCAGCTTTACTTAATCCTCTGCTTGAAGCCTCCAAAATAACTTACTGATAACAGAATAAAACCCAAAGCCCTTATCAAGCCTGTAATAACTTTCTTTGTCTAACACAAGCCTCCTTCTTCGAATTTATCACCTGATCTCTTCCCTTCCCTCTAGAACCTGAGGTTTCAGCAACATAGGTTTACTCATTATCTCCCAAATATGCCCACCACCTCTCCTTTCTATGCATTGTCTTCCTAAAATGCACTTTCTGATGTTGTCTGAATCTTGACCAGTTTCAAAAACTTATCCTAAATGATCTCTGCTGTGAAGTCTATTTTAACTTCCTAGAAATGTCTTTTCTCCTCTGCAGTTCCAAAGGATTTATATTTCATACTTTCCAGTTACCGCTTATTTGCTGATCTGTGTTTTTAGTTATGTGTTATTTAATTTCTCCATTTAGCTTTTAAGTCCTAGATGGGCAGGGACTGAATCTTCTATACCATGAGGAATGGCATTTGACAGAGTGATAGGTATAAATCTGTCCCTTCCCTCATTCAGTATTTTCTGTTTTTTTTTTTTTTTTTAGCATTTCTTCTAGACATTGGGCTATGTGCTAGCAGTAAAACATAACAAGGTAACTTCCTGACCTCACAGAGCTCTGGTTGAGTGAGGCATACAGAGAAGTAGTCAGTCAGTTGTAATGCCATAAGATGCATGGAATGATGGATAGTGAATCAGATTTGTGGCAGCAAGAAGGTAAGTGTCAAGCCTAGATGAGGGGCAATGGGAATGCTTCTAGAAGTGAGGTTCAGGCAGAGTCTGAAAGATATGTAGGAATCAGGTAGTTGACGGAGGCCAGATGGAAAGAATGTTCCAGGCAGAGGACTCAGTGTGGATAAAGCTCTGGAAGGGTGAGAGCACACTGAGGAACTGAATTAAGTTCCATGTAGCTGTATTGTAGAGAATGAGGTAAGATTGCTAAGTGTGATGAGATTGCAGAGGATCCCTGTAATGGGCAAAAAGTTGACATCTTTGGTGAATGTTCAGGAGGGAGGACTTCCAGGACCAGATGTTTGAGTAGATAAAATGAGGGGGCAGCACCCAGGTGTTTCTTAAAGATCGCTTGGTGGATGGAGGTATTGGAGGGAAGACGATGAGTTCAATTTTGAATTTGAGGTGCCTATGAAATATGTATATGGTGACACATAGTTGTAGACAATTTGAAGCTCGGAAGAAAGCTTTGACCAGAAAATAAAAATTTGGGTGACATCAGTGTATGATAGGATGAAATCATAGAGAAAGAGTGTGTAGAGTCAGTGAAGAAGACTTCAAGACCAAACCTTAACACACATCAGTATATAAAGAACAAGTAAAGAGAGCAGAGTCTGCAAAGAATGTTAAGATGGATCAGGCAGGAGGAAGGAGCAAAATAGGTGAGTGAGGTGTCATGGAAACCAAGGGAAGACTGAAATCCATCCATTGGGTTTAGAAATGTGGAAACCATTCATGACCCTAGCAAGAATAGTTTCTGTGTAGAGGAGGGGCAGGGAATGGGAAAACATAAACCGGCCCAAGATAGATTGTAGCGCATTGAGAAGTCAACAAACAATTATGGTGGAAAGTTTAGTTATGGAGGAGACGATTTAAAGAGGGTAGAAGCTGGAAGGAAATGGAGCTGAGGGGCTTTTATTATAATATTCTTCAAGCTGCTGGAAATCTGTGATGTTTAAAGGCTGATAGGAAGAATTCATTAGTGATAAAGAGGTTGACCATAAGCTAAAATAGCCAGAGTTATAACTCCTCTTAAAATTCTTTGCCCAGTCTGTCCTGTTACCTTTCAGTATTCTAAATAAGTTAATTCCAAACTAATTTTGGACTTCACTGAGATCTTGTTACACAAGATTGCAAATTCCTATAAAGTATGATTCAAACTATTCTACTTATTTGTTCTGGGTAGCATTTAGTGTCTTAAATAGAGAAAATTTTCAACAAATATTATTTTTATTACTGATTTGTTTCTTTATTTTTTGAGCAAATATATTTAATTTTTAATTTTTGTGAGTACATAGTAGGTATATATATTTATGGGGTACAGGAGATGTTTTGATACAGGCATGCAATGCGTAATCACATCATGGAGAATGAGGTGAGCAAATACTTATTTAATCTCCATTGTATGCCAGACATTTTTCTAGGTGCCAAGGATGTTAAGGTTACCAGGCCATACACACTACCAGGCCATACATACCCCTTGTTCTCGAGGAGTTTATCATCTAGGGAGTCAGTTAATGAAATAATTATGGATTGCAAATGGTACTTAAAATGGCATGGTGGTAGACAATCATCTTGAGTGGCTACTGTATATACACACTCTTTTCCTATGAACTTTTCTTTCCATTGTTGGAGGGAGAATAATTACAAGCTATTAAAGAGTTAAATGACTTAAGATGGAAAGAAAAAGGTAGTCAGTAACGGAGACTACTTTTGGCATAGCGAGTTTACTCCTCTGTTTACCATTTCTAAAGGTCATGGGACTCTGATGCCTATAATGGGCTGTATGTTTTGCAGGTTTTGTTGGTTGATCATTACTTAGCCTCTGAGAGACTAACCAACTCTCCATGTTTTCTCTTTTCCCTTTTAGTAATTTGCCATCTTCCATGTATGAATGGTGGCCAGTGCAGTTCAAGGGACAAATGTCAGTGCCCTCCAAATTTCACAGGAAAACTTTGTCAGATCCCAGTCCATGGTGCCAGCGTGCCTAAACTTTATCAGCATTCCCAGCAGCCAGGCAAGGCGTTGGGGACGCATGTCATCCATTCAACACATACCTTGCCTCTGACCGTGACTAGCCAGCAAGGAGTCAAAGGTAAGCTTTTTTCATTCCGCCCATTTGCCAGACCTCTGTTAACCTGCCAAACCCACATAGAAGTCAAGGATCTGCGGGTGGCCAGGGCTGGTATTGAAACAGAAAGGAGTACATGATTTGTGGCCTGAGAAATGGCAGTAGAGACAGAATGTGGGCCCAGGTATGTAGCTGCAGTACTTTCTAGGCCATAGAGAGTTAGTGTCTAGGAAATAAGAAAATAAAAAGGAGCCCATTCTTCTCTAGTGATTCTTTACCACCAAGAGCTAATAAATGTGCATGGTACTGTTCTGACAAGGCCTGGGAAATAGAAAGATGAGCAAGACAGTGTTCTGGCCCTTACAGCATTAATAAGCTAGTGGATCGCACAGTACCTGCTGGTGAACTTCACAATTGAAGAATGCTTGGTTTTAGTTGTAAACAATCATTTAACCTCACTGGACTTCAATTTGTTCGTCTGTAGAGGAAAGTAAACTAGGTCACTTGGAGCTCAAAAATTCTATGACGAATTCATCCTTTTAAACCTGGCATTTTTATAAATGCACACTTTTAAAAAGGGAATCATAGAAGTTTACTGGCTCTAATTCTTTAAAACCTGAGTCCTTGCATCAGGAGATGAGATTTTGTTTGAAAGCTACGGAAAGTAGCTTGTTATAGATATAAAATAATGCACTTTGGTATTTTGTGTGTGTGTATGTCACAAGAAGCACAAAAATAACAGGTACTGTATTATTTAAGGGTAAGAGAATTGTGCCTTGTAAAACTGGGTTTTCTCTTTTAATAGAAACATGTAAATCCTACAATTTTTATGACAGAAATTTTATGAGAAATTCAAAAATAATCAAATGCTTGATCTTTCTGATTAACATTTGATAAAATTTACCTGCTTAGAACAAGCAGCATGAATTTCACAGCTTTATGACTTTGGAAAAGAATATTTTAGTCTCATGAATGTATTACTGTTAAAAGTTTTAATTTCTCTCTATAATTGCAAATTTTAAAAACATATAAATTCAGGCTTAATTTTTATTTTGCCTGTGCCCTTAAGAATTGTGATGGCTGGCTGGGCACGGTGGCTCACGCCTGTAATCCCAGCACTTTGGGAGGCCAAGGCAGGCGGATCACCTGAGGTCAAGAGTTCAAGACCAGCCTGGCCAACGTGGTGAAACCCCGTCTCTACTAAAAATACAAAAATTAGCCAGGCATGGTGGTGGGCACCTGTAATCCCAGGTACTCGGGAGGCTGAGGCAGGAGAATCGCTTGAACCTGGGATGCAGAGGTTGAGGTTGCAATGAGCTGAGATCGAGCCATTGCACATCAGCCTGGGTGACCAGAGCGAAACTCCATCTCAAAAAAAAAAAAAAAAAGAATTTTGATGGCTATGCAGCAAAATGCTACACATGCATGCATGTTTATAAAATTTACTTTCATGTTTTAAAACTTTTGATTTGCCTGTTAGTTATTCAGGACTAACAAGTTTTCCTCCCAATCTGTTGTAGTGAAATTTCCTCCTAACATAGTCAATATCCATGTGAAACATCCTCCTGAAGCTTCCGTCCAGATACATCAGGTTTCAAGAATTGATGGCCCAACAGGCCAGAAGACAAAAGAAGCTCAACCAGGCCAATCCCAAGTCTCGTACCAAGGGCTTCCTGTCCAGAAGACCCAGACCATACATTCCACATACTCCCACCAGCAGGTCATTCCTCACGTCTACCCCGTGGCTGCTAAGACACAGCTTGGCCGGTGCTTCCAGGAAACCATTGGGTCACAGGTAAACATCATCACCGAGCCTGCTTTAGCAGTGTCTTACAGATATGGTATCATTTTAACAAGAAAGCCAGACTTGATAAAAATGCTTTTTTAAAAAAAAGGCTTTGACAAACTATGACTTGTGGCCATATTTTTGTAAATAAAGTTTTATTGCCACACTCATAGCCACACTTATTCATTTACATACTGTCTATGCCCATTTTCATGCGATGACTGCAGAATTAAATAGTCCAGTGAGATCATATGGTCTGTGGAACCTAAAATATTTACTGTGTGTCTTTTTACAGAAAAAGCTTGCCAGTCCCTGATGTACAGAATACATTTATTTATTTATTTGTTTATTGATTGATTGATTGATTGATTGAGTTGGAGTCTCACTCTGTTGCCCAGGCTGGAGTGCAGTGGCACGATCTTGGCTCACTGCAACTTCCACCTCCCAGCTTCAAGTGATTCTCCTGCCTTAGCCTCCTAAGTAGCTGGGATTATAGGCACGTGCCACCACTCTCAGCTAACGTTTATAATTTTAGTAGAGATGGGGTTTCACCATGTTGGCCAGGTTGGTCTCAAACTCCTGACCTCAAGTGGTCTGCCTGCCTCGTCCTCCCACAGTGCTGGGATTATAGGCATGAGCTACCATGCCTGGCTTCCAGAAATGTTTCAGGAAGTCCATGATTACCTGTTTCTATTTTTTCAGTTAGGATGATCTGTGTATAAAATGTGTCAGGCGTGAGATATGGTACAGAATATATATTCCGCAAAGATGCTTGTAAATATTTTTGCCTTTTGCAGTAGTTTTGTTCATGAGTTTTGAATTCATTGTGCAATAATAATTCATGTCATCTTTGACAGGAAGTAATATTTCATGTTATCTTTTATTTTCTTATAAAAATTCAGGCCGGGTGCTGTGGCTCATGCCTATAATCCTACCACTTTGGGAGGCCGAGGCAGGTGGATTACCTGAGGTCAGGAGTTCGAGACCAGCCTGGCCAACATGATGAAACCCCGTCTCTACTAAAAATACAAAAAATTAGCCCGGCGTGGTGGCAGGCGCCTGTAATCCCAGCTACTTGGGAGGCTGAGGCAGGAGAACCACTGGAGCCTGGGAGATGGAGGTTGTAGTGAGTCAAGATCATACCACTGCGCTCCAGCCTGGGTGACAGGAGTGAGACTCTGTCTCAAAAGAAAGAAAAAAAAATTCATAACTTGCAAGGTGTAGTGCATGAGTTGTTTGAAGTGTAACTTTAGGCCTACATTTATATCATAAAGTGAGAGAAAGGCAAAATTTTCTTTAAAACTCATCATTGAATGTGCATAGCGAAGACAACCTAAAAGCGTTGGTTCCTCCACTCCATTATGTGGTAATGATGGAGGCTTCGTTCTGTGGTTTCCCTCCTGTCTTTTGGTTATGGGTTAAACCCCTCATGAGAAGACTAGATGAGATACATTTATTATTATTCCTCTGCGATGTCTTGAATATTAAAAATATATCGTGTGTGTGTGTATATGCGCATGAAATACTTGGGAGTAATAGAACTAATTGTCACTGCTTTAGAAACCTGGGAAACACTTTTAGGTAGTAAGTCAATGGTAAGATTGTCACCTTTCTTCTAGGAGAAGGAGGGGAGATTGTAGACCTGAATGGAAGGCAGCATATGGGAATGGAA
Source organism: Homo sapiens (assembly GCF_000001405.40). Taxonomy (NCBI): domain Eukaryota; kingdom Metazoa; phylum Chordata; class Mammalia; order Primates; family Hominidae; genus Homo; species Homo sapiens. The sequence goes on from NC_000002.12 coordinate 33,190,515, forward strand.
AGAGCATCCTTGTGGAGTTGTAAGACCTTGATTAGAGCTGTGAGCCCAGCACTCGGTAGGAGGGAAGTGGCTTCCTTATCTGCAAAGTAGAGATAAGATGTGGGGCTCATGAGACTTTGTTAAGATTAATCAAGATAATGTGAGCCCTGCTTTGCAAATATTATAGAACGATGCAAATATTAGCTTAGAGAATATTTATCAAGATGAGTCAAACTTAAGCAGCCATCTACTATGACTGTTTTTATATCATGTGCTTTCAGTAAGATAGGGGACAGCATCGATCCCACAAACACAGCCCTCATTGGCCTGTGGACACCTGAAATGCGACTACAGGGGACCTAACGTGGCTTTTCATTCCCCAGTTTTGCAAATGCTTTTGGGAGAAGGAACATCAGTCTAAATTTAGCTTAAAAGTAAAGACAATGTTTATGCTAAGGGTAGATTTTGATAAGGACAGTGGGGCTGAAGATAAACTTTATACACTTCACAGCTTTGCACTGAACTAGTCTTGGAGAGGGAGGACAAATTTCGTGCCATTTGCATTGTTTATTCATTCCAGCTTAGGTTGGTCATGGAGAAAGGAAAAAGCAGATCTTTTTAAAATTGTGTGCCCAGTACCTTTCTCCCCGTTTCCAAGTTGGAACACAGATGATAAAAAGCAAGAAAATGAGGCATAACAAACTTGTTATTCTTGTATAATATTAGGTGATTGTTAACAAGAAAAGATGAAAAGATACTATTGACTTGTAAGCCTAGAGTGTACAATTGAAATGAATTGGCTAATTGATGGAGTTACCCAAATAATTAAAACTCTGGAATACTTTTGTCTTATCTGCATACATCTCTGACTTTTGGTCTAAAAGATCCAAACAGTGATCTCAATTCTTAATTCATTTTGCATGTGTACTCACTCATACACAGCTTCAAAATAAGACCTGTTTTTTGGAAAGCATTCTCAGCATATATTTATTGGTCTTCCTGTTCATGAGGAATGTTGCTGGATGCTAAAGACTGCCCAATTAATTTGTGCAATTAGGGTGAACCAGGCATTTAAAAAATACATTACTGGCAAATAATCATAGTGTGTAGGTGTATCCTACTATCCTACAAAGGATTTTGAAAACATTTGTGCTTTCTTGCTGTGGTTGGTTTGCAAACGTAGCTATAGCCAGGAGGTATAGGTAGATTTTAAATGGCAGATAATCCAAAACAAAAACAAAACCCTGGATAAATGCTCACTGTTGCTTTGCTCAGTGGAGCCGTCTTATTAATTGCAAGTGTCAAACATTGAGACTTTCAATGCAATAGTTACCAATAAACATCTATGTTTATATGTTGCTATGAGAGGTCATATACAAAATAAATTTGGCAGAGATAGCCCTTGTTTCTGTGGCACATTCTAATAATTAGGTAGTAAACTTGGGATTGAACACCAAGATGAACTGTGATCAACGTATTTAAATTCAGGAAAGCTTTGTAGGGTAGAATTTCAGAACTGTTTGGAGGGTGGAGGAAAATGGATGATTGATGAGGAAACCAAGCTCACAGAGCAGAAAGGGAGAGTAATTGAACAGAGGAAAGAGAACAGTACAAGAAATGGGCAGGGAAGAGTTGTCAGAAGAGATCAGAGAAGTGAAATAGCTTGGGATTCTTGGCAGGCTATTGCACAAATATTAAGCCTCTTAAATCTGAGGCATAGTGCAGTATAAATGACTTGCTGGCAAGGTCAGCGTGTCAGGAAGCCCCTTTGACTAAGTGATCAACTCAGCGTCATTAATAGTGGGGCAGCCTGACCTTATGTGCCTCCTGCTGTGAGACAGTATAGAGTGCAGAATTACCCATGAAGTGTTCTTGCCAAATATATCTAACCTGAATCTAATCAAACCCTTAGACTTAACCCCAAGTTTACAGGGAATACCAAGGGTAAAGAAACAAGTTAAAAACATCACACTCAGACAGAAAAAACAATCAGACATTGACAACGTAGGGCATTGTTGCCTGGTTTCTTAAAAAAAAAAAATCAGAGTATAAAAGAAAGTGAGATGATGTTTGTAGAAAGAGACACAAAAAATAAGTGTAATATATTCACCTTAATTAAATCTTGATTTTTTAAAAAAAAGCCAGATCTAAGAGATATTTTGGGAATAGTTGGGGAAATTTGAACATGAGCTCTGTCTTAGTCCATTTTGTGTTGTTATAACAGAGTGTCACAGACTGGGTAATCTATAAAGAAAAGACATTTATTTCTCACTGTTTTAGAGGCTGTGAAGTTCAATATCAAGATGCCAGCATGTGACCAGGGCCTTCTTACTAAGTCACCCCATAGCAGAAGGACAGGAGAACACAAGAGAGCAAGGGGGAGCTGAACTTGCTTTTATAACAAGTCCACTCTGGTGATAACTAACCCACTCCCAAGATAATGACATTAATGCATTCATGAGGGAAGACCCTCTTATTAGGTCCCATACTCCTAACACTGTCGCTTTCAGGGGATTAAGTTTCTAACACATGAACTTTGGGGGACACATTCAAACCATAGGAAATGTCATTAGATGATATTTTGGAATTACTAGTTTTCTTATGTGTGGTAATAGTATTGGGATTATGTAGGAAAATATCCTTATTCTTTTTTGTTTGTTTGTTTTGAGATGGAGTCTCTCACTCTGTGGCCCAAGCTGGAGTGCAGTGGAGCAGAGGTGACACTGCAACCTCTGCCTCCCTGGTTCAAGGGATTCTCCTGCCTCAGCCTCCCGAGTGGCTGGAATTACAGGTGTGCACCACCACACCCAGCTAATTTTTGTATTTTTAGTAGAGACGGGGTTTCACCATGTTGCCCAGGCTGGTTTAGAACTCCTGACCTCAGGTGATCCACCCGCCTTGGCCTCCCAAAATGCTGGGATTACAGGCATGAGCCACCGCACCCAGCAGGAAAATGTCCTTATTCTTAATAGATGAATGCTGAAAGTTTTAGGGGTGAAATTCCATGATGTTCGTAGTTTACAGGCACACTTTCTTTTACTGCACCTCACTTCCACTCTTTGTAGATAGATATTGTGTCTTTTACTAATTGAATGAAGGTTCTGGCAGCCTTGCTTATAGGCAAGCAAGTTTTTCTGACAGCATGCTCTCACTTTGTGTCTCTGTCACATGTTGGTAATTTTTGCAATATTTCAAGACCTTTTCATTGTTGTATCTGTTATGGTGATGTGTGATAAGTGATTTTTGTTACTATTGTAATTGTTTTGGGGCATCACAAACCACAACCATATAAGATGGCAAACTTAATTGATACATGTGTATTCTCTGACTGCTCTACCAACTGGCCATTCCCCCATCTCTCTCCCTGTCTTCAGGCATCCCTATTGGCTGAAACACAACAATATTGAAATTAGGCTAATTGATAATAACACAATGGCCTTTAAATGTTCAAGTGGAAGAAGGAGTCACACATCTCTCACTTTATTTATTTTTATTTATTTATTTATTTTTGAGACAGAGTTCTTGCTCTGTTACCCAGGCTGGAGTGCAGTGGCACGATCCTGGCTCACTGCAAGGTCTGCCTCCCGGGTTCACGCCATTCTCCTGCCTCAGCCTCCCAAGTAACTGAGACAACAGGCGCCCGCCACCACGCCCGGGTAATTTTTGTATTTTTATTAGAGATGGGGTTTCACCGTGTTAGCCAGGGTGGTCTCGATCTCCTGACCTCGTGATCCACCCTCCTCGGCCTCCCAAAGTGCTGGGGTTACAGACGTGAGCCACCGAGCCCGGCCACATCTCTCACTTTAAATCAAAAGCTAAAAATGATTAACCTTAGTGAGGAGGGCATGTTGAAAGCCAAAATAAGCCAAAAGCTAGGCCTTTGCATCAGTTAGCCAAGTTGTGAATTCGAAGGAAAAGTTCTTGAAGGAAATTAAAAGTGCTACTCCAGAGAGTACATGAATGATAAGAAAGTAAAACAGCTCTGTTGCTAATACGGAGAATGTTTGAGAGAGGTCTAGAACCAGCCACAACATTCTCTTCAGCCAGAGCTCAATCCAGAACAAGGACCTAACTTTCTTCAATTCTCTGAAGGCTTGGAGAGGTCAGGAAGTTGCAGAAGAAAAATCTGAAGCTAGTAGTGGTTGGTTCATGAGGTTTAAAGAAAGAAGCCATCTGCATACCATAAAAGTACAAGGAGAAGCAGCAAGTACTGATGTAGAAGCTGCAGCAAGTTGTCCAGAAGATCACTGATAAAGGTGGCTACACTAAGCAGCCTTATACCTGAAGAAGATGCCATTTAGGACTTTCATAGCTAGAGAGAAAGTCATTGCTTGGCTTCAGAGGACAGGCTGGCTCTCTTGTTAAGGGCTAATGCAGCTGGTGACTTTTAGTTGCAGCCAGTGCTCATAGGCTGTTCTGAAAATTCTATGGCCCTTAAGAACTATGTTAAATGTACTCTGCCTGTGCTATATAAAGAGAATAGCAAAGCCCGGATGACGGCACATGTGTTTGCAGTTTGGTTTACCGAAGGTTTTAAGACCACTATTGAGAACTGATGCTCAGAATAAAAGATTCCTTTCAAAATATTACTGCTCATTGACAATGTACCTGGTCACTCAAGAGCTCTAATGGAGATGTACAAAAAGATGAATGTTGTTTTCATGCCTGCAATCACAACATCCATTCTGTAGCCCATGGATCAAGGAGTCATTTGGACTTTCAAGTCTTATTATTTAAGAAATACATTTTTTAAGGCTATTACTGCCATAGATCATGATTCCTCTGATGGATCTGGGCAAAGTAAATAAAAAGCTTTCTGGAAAGAGTTTGCCATTCTAGATGCCATTAGAAACATTCATGATACATGGGAGGAGGTCAAAATATCAGCATTAAAGATATTTAATTAAATTAGATACTTGAAAATGTCAAATCCCACCCTTATGGATGACTTTGAGGGGTACAAAATTTCAGTGGAGGAAGTCACTACAGATATGGTGGAAATAGCAAGAGAACTCGAGTTAGAAGTGGATCCTGAAGATATGACCAAACTGCTGCAATCTCATGTTCAAACTTGAATGGATGAGGAGCTGCTGCTTATGAATGAGCAAAGAAAGTGCTTTCATGAGATGAAATCGACTCCTGGTGTAGATGCTGTGAACATTGTGAAATGACAACAATGGATTTAGAATACGCTATAAATTTAATTGATAAAGCATTAGCAGGACTTAAGAGGACTGACTCATTTTGAAAGCAGTTCTAGCATGGGTCAAATGCTATCAAACAGTATCACTTACTACAGAGAAATATTTAGTAAAAGGAAGGGTCAGGTAAAGCTGCAGACTTCACTGTTGTCTTATTTTAAGAAATTGCCACAGCCACCCCAACCCTCAGGAACCCCCATCCTGATTGGTTGACAGTCATCAACATCAAGGCAAGACCCTCTACCAGCAAAAAGGTTATGACTCACAGAAGGCTCCGATGATTATTAGCATTTTTAAAGCAATAAAGTGTTTTAAAATTAAGGTATGTACTTTAAAGCATAGCGCTACTGCAAACTTAATAGACGACAGTATAGTGTAAACATGACTTTTATTTGCACTGGGAAACTGACAGATTCATGTGAGTCGCTTTATTGTGATAATAACTTTATTGCAGTGGTCAGGAACTGAACCCACAACATATCTGAGATATTGCCCGTAGTTTCAGAGGTATTTTACACACAAGTAGCACGAACTTGACTCTTGAGCGGTTCATATGCAGGTGATCATTGTATTATCCTTTGAATATCTCAGTATATTGGAAAATATTTTAGAAAGAAGGGGGAAAATATTAAAATTTCCTAGACTTATAAATAGAATAGTATATTTTAAAGCCGAATTTAAAAGCTTTCACTGTAATACATTTAGAGACTTTTTAGAAACAAACTTAAAGTTTTTAACTGTTTAATGGGAGTGTTGGGTGAGTGTGAGGTGACATGAGGCCAAGGAAGAGAAATTGGCCTTGTGAAATGACCAAGGGCCAATCTAAGAAGTCAAGTTGAAAAAAAAGGAGATGACTATAGGGGATTTTGTGAGGAATCAAGCATCAGGATTGCGTTACAGGCTGTTGTGAAGACAAGGATGATGAAGAAATGAACGGTTCTGAATTTTCTTCTAAATAAATAAATGCTAAATAAATGCTAACTAAATAAATGCTCACCAGAGTTGATTTCTTGACCCTTAGCAGGGAGGATTGTGAGAAGATGAGCAATGACATCTTTGTTACAAGCAGCCTCATCCTTGATTAATATTAGGAAGGGTGTACTCTTAATTATCAGTCAAGGAAGTCCAGGGTGTTTTCGAGATGGAATGCTAGAGAATTAATGGAGAAAATTCAGTGATCAGTGAATAGATTTGCTGATGATAGCTTAAATTCATGACCACAGAGGACATTTCTTTGGATTGCATTATAATGAGAAAAGAGCGGGAATAATGGAGTTAAAGGTTTCTGTAATGTTTTCTCACCTTGACAGAGAATGCCAACCTGTAGGGAAAAAAACATTTCTATTGTTTTGTTTTTGTAAAAAGTTACGTTTAGTATTTCAGAGTTCTAAAAATATGTTTAACAATCAAATAAATCATTGGTGTTTATGTGAATTAGGCTGTCTATATAGGCAGTCTCTATAGGCATCACTAAATCTCCTATATTCAAAGAACAGAAATTGATCTCATAGAACTATATAGGGTGACAGACAGGAGTGGTTTTCTTGAATATAAATCAAGTATGAAGTAGTTGGCCGGTCCTAATTTTGGCAGAGTTAGGTTTCTGTGCTACCTGGAGTAAGTTGTGGTAGTCTACATATATGTGAAAACATTTGCAAGAGTTTGCTCACTGACTGTTAGAATGACAATTCCAGTGGTTACAATCACCAGCCACTTCAGGGTAATCTCATTTTTCACAGGCTTCAAACCCGAACATTTCTGTGGTAGTTATCATCTCTGAGGAGAGGCCAAGTTTCAGAAAATACCCCTCCAATTTATTTTTGCATCATAGGAACATTGAATATGTTCATCTTTTTTACATAAAAATCAATTGTATAAGGGTGTCCTTTGTTTTTAAATTGGATCTCTTTAACAGTGACCTAAATTCAAAGCTTGTTTGGCATCTGACTTTTTGATTGTTTCAAACATGTTTTATTGATTGCCCAGTTCCTGGAAACAAACATGTAGTGACCTAGTTATGCCAGATGGTATGAAAAGGCCTTCTATGGGAAGCATTTAGAATCACAGTATAGAGTTCAGGGTCCAGCTTCCATGCTGAACCTGCCCACTGCCTCGTTGCACAAGCCTGTGCTCTTTGTTGAACCCAGGAACCTGCCTCGTAATCAGACAGAAGCGTTATAAGGGGAGACAAAAAATTCAAGTGCTTCAAGATTTCCTGTTTCAAGATGCTGAAAGATCAGAAAATTTTACATATAAATACCTGAGTTAATTAAAAAGCAGGTATTCCAGGACTCTGGAAAACCCTGATTTATACAGCATATGTTTTAAGTACAGCACTCTAACACAGATAAAGATGATCAAATAACACATGAACCCACTTTTATAGTTTGCAACTATAAAACTCTTAGAAAATATTTTAAAAACCATAAGAAACAAACTTTTCTGCATCTATTGAGATAATCAGGTGGTTTTTGTCTTTGGTTCTGTTTATATGCTGGATTACATTTATTGATTTGCGTATATTGAACCAGCCTTGCATCCCAGGGATGAAGCCCACTTGATCATGGTGGATAAGCTTTTTGATGTGCTGCTGGATTCGGTTTGCTAGTATTTTTTTGAGGATTTTTGCATCAATGTTCATCAAGGATATTGGTCTAAAATTCTCTTTTTTGGTTGTGTCTCTGCCTGGCTTTGGTATCAGGATGATGCTGGCCTCATAAAATGAGTTAGGGAGGATTCCCTCTTTTTCTATTGACTGGAATAGTTTCAGAAGGAATGGTACCAGTTCCTCCTTGTACCTCTGGTAGAATTCGGCTGTGAATCCATCTGGTCCTGGACTCTTTTTGGTTGGTAAGCTGGTGATTATTGCCACCATTTCAGATCCTGTTATTGGTCTATTCAGAGATTCAACTTCTTCCTGGTTTAGTCTTGGGAGAGTGTATATGTCGAGGAATTTATCCATTTCTTCTAGATTTTCTAGTGTATTAGCGTAGAGGTGTTTGTAGTATTCTCTGATGGTAGTTTGTATTTCTGTGGGATCGGTGGTGATATCCCCTTTATCATTTTTTATTGCGTCTATTTGATTCTCCTCTCTTTTCTTCTTTATTAGTCTTGCTAGCGGTCTATCAATTTTGTTGATCCTTTCAAAAAACCAGCTCCTGGATTCATTAATTTTTTGAAGGGTTTTTTGTGTCTCTATTTCTTTGAGTTCTGCTCTGATTTTAGTTATTTCTTGCCTTCTGCTAGCTTTTGAATGTGTTTGCTCTTGCTTTTCTAGTTCTTTTAATTGTGATGTTAGGGTGTCAGTTTTGGATCTTTCCTGCTTTCTCTTGTGGGCATTTAGTGCTATAAATTTCCCTCTACACACTGCTTCGAATGTGTCCCAGAGATTCTGGTATGTTGTGTCTTTGTTCTCGTTGGTTTCAAAGAACATCTTTATTTCTGCCTTCATTTCGTTATGTACCCAGTAGTCATTCAGGAGCAGGTTGTTCAGTTTCCATGTAGTTGAACGGTTTTGAGTGAGTTTCTTAATCCTGAGTTCTAGTTTGATTGCACTGTGGTCTGAGAGACAGTTTGTTATCATTTCTGTTCTTTTACATTTGCCAAGGAGAGCTTTACTTCCAAGTATGTGGTCAATTTTGGACTAGGTGTGGTGTGGTGCTGAAAAAAATGTATATTCTGTTGATTTGGGGTGGAGGGTTCTGTAGATGTCTTTGACAAAATTCAACAACCCTTCATGCTAAAAACTCTCAATAAATTAGGTATTGATGGGATGTATCTCAAAATAATAAGAGCTACCTGTGACAGACCCACAGCCAATATCATACTGAATGGGCAAAAACTGGAAGCATTCCCTTTGAAAACTGGCACAAGACAGGGATGCCCTCTCTCACCATTCCTATTCAACATAGTGTTGGAAGTTCTGGCCAGGGCAATTAGGCAGGAGAAGGAAATAAAGGGTATTCAGTTAGGAAAAGAGGAAGTCAAATTGTCCCTGTTGGCAGATGACATGATTGTATATCTAGAAAACCCCATCGTCTCAGCCCAAAATCTCCTTAAGCTGATAAGCAACTTCAGCAAAGTCTCAGGATACAAAATCAATGTACAAAAATCACAAGCATTCTTATACACCAATAACAGACAAACAGAGAGCCAAATCATGAGTGAACTCCCATTCACAATTGCTTCCAAGATAATAAAATACCTAGGAATCCAACTTACAAAGGATGTGAAGGACCTCTTCAAGGAGAACTACAAACCACTGCTCAATGAAATAAAAGAGGATACAAACAAATGGAAGAACATTCCATGCTCATGGGTAGGAAGAATCAATATCGTGAAAATGGCCATACTGCCCAAGGTAATGTATAGATTCAATGCCATCCCCATCAAGCTACCAATGACTTTCTTCACAGAATTGGAAAAAACTACTCAAAAGTTCATATGGAACCAAAAAAGAGCCCACATTGCCAAGTCAATCCTAAGCCAAAAGAACAAAGCTGGAGGCATCACGCTACCTGACTTCAAACTATACTACAAGGCTACAGTAACCAAAACAGCGTGGTACTGGTACCAAAACAGAGATATAAATCAATGCAACAGAACAGAGCCCTCAGAAATAATGCCACATATCTACAACTATCTGATCTTTGACAAACCTGAGAAAAACAAGCAATGGGGAAAGGATTCCCTATTTAATAAATGGTGCTGGGAAAACTGGCTAGCCATATGTAGAAAGCTGAAACTGGATCTCTTCTTTATACCTTATACAAAAATTAATTGAAGATGGATTAAAGACTTAAACGTTAGACCTAAAACCATAAAAACCCTAGAAGAAAACCTAGGCATTACCATTCAGGACATAGGCTTGGGCAAGGACTTCCTGTCTAAAACACCAAAAGCAATGGCAACAAAAGCCAAAATTGACAAATGGGATCTAATTAAACTAAAGAGCTTCTGCACAGCAAAAGAAGCTACCATCAGAGTGAACAGGCAACCTACAAAATGGGAGAAAATTTTTGCAACCTACTCATCTGACAAAGGGCTAATATCCAGAATCTACAATGAACTCAAACAAATTTACAAGAAAAAAACAAACAACCCCATCAAAAAGTGGGCGAAGGATATGAACAGACACTTCTCAAAAGAAGACATTTATGGAGCCAAAAGACACATGAAAAAATGCTCATCATCACTGGCCATCAGAGAAATACAAATCAAAACCACAATGAGATACCATCTGACACCAGTTAGAATGGCAATCATTAAAAAGTCAGGAAACAACAGGTGCTGGAGAGGATGTGGAGAATTAGGTACACTTTTACACTGTTGGTGGGACTGTAAACTAGTTCAACCATTGTGGAAGTCAGTGTGGCAATTCCTAAGGGATCTAGAATTAGAAATACCATTTGACCCAGCCATCCCATTACTGAGTATATACCCAAAGGACTATAAATCATGCTGCTATAAAGACACATGCACACGTATGTTTATTGCGGCAGTATTCACAATAGCAAAGACTTGGAACCAACCCAAATGGCCAACAATGATAGACTGGATTAAGAAAATGTGGCACATATACACCATGGAATACTATGCAGCCATAAAAAATGATGAGTTCATGTCCTTTGTAGGGACAGGGATGAAATTGGAAATCATCATTCTCAGTAAACTATGGCAAGGACAAAAAAACCAAACACCGCATATTCTCACTCATAGGTGGGAATTGAACAGTGAGAACACATGGACACAGGAAGGGGAACATCACACTCTGGGGACTGTTGTGGGGTGGGGGGAGGCGGGAGGGATAGCATTAGGAGATATACCTAATGCTAAATAACGAGTTAATGGGTGCAGCACACCAGCATGGCACATGTATACATATGTAACTAACCTGCACATTGTGCACATGTAACCTAAAACTTAAAGTATAATGATAATAAAAAAAAAGAAGAAGAAAAAAAAAGAAACAAACTTCAAGATTAAGGTCTTTATACATATTCTACAGAAGAAAATAAACTTTATGTGGATTAGGAAGAAAGGAAAGGACTGGTAGTTGATGTGGAATCCTGAAATCATTGTGAAAACTCTTTTTTCCTTTAATTATTGGTCATATAAATAATAAGCCTTAGGGCAAAATTGGGTTAAAGTGACACAAGAACTGTTTGGGATTCTGTTAGAGATGCCAGAAGTTGTTCCAGCAGTTCTGTTTGGACAGGAAAAATGGAAACAGAATGGACCATTGGAGAACAAGATTATCTAATTGAAGATAGGTCTCTTTTGGCAGATATGTTCAGTAACATCCTAAGCTCTAAAGCTTAGCACTGGAACACACACACACACACACACACACACACACACACACACAGAGCATTCTAAAGGGCCAAATAGATATACTTAGCTTTTGTTTAAAAAAACTTAAAAGAATAAGCTTAATGGAGAAATTAACAGGAAAATATGAGCTCATTGAAGTGGAAAGTATCCTAATTGCATGGCTGAAATTACTTTTTTTTAAAAGAGTTTCAATACTTTTGTCACAGGACTTTGAATAAAGAAAAATATTTCTTGGTTTCCACTGGACAAAAGCCAGTAAGAAGCTGGGGAAATAGATGTGATGCCTGCCAACTCCACATGGGAGAAAAAGATGGGTAGATGGTTGGGTCGATGCAGATGAGATGGGCACTTTGGAAATCTTTTCTCAGTGATGAGAAATGGTGTTCATTTAGGGGAGCTGAGACATTGAGTTCTGCTCAGAAACCTGCTCTTGAATTTCCGCAGTATCTCTCCTGTCCTGGCAACGTGAATATTACTGGGATGAAGCCTAAATCTATGATTACAAAACAAACAAACCTAGTTTTATCCTGACAGAAGTAATGCCAGAATTATTGTAACACTTTTCACACTGGTTATTCCCTAAACTGAGTCCATAAACTATGTAAATAGATTAGAAGTCTAAAGAAAAAAATGGTTATAAAACATCTTACTTATGTGGAAGGGGAACTGAGCCAGGCTGGGTCAGTAGAGGGCAGAGGTGAATTGTGGCTCTCTCTTCCTCCCCATCGCCTAAGGCCACATGCCCTTATGGATAGGGCCCTCCCAGGTGATCTTGGACCAGTGCAGTGGCCTGCCTTCTTTTGGAGGAGCTGCTGGGCAGTGACTGGGGAAGGTGAGGCTGAGGCTACTAGACATCTGTCTTCTTGCTGAGCAGAGAGCTCAGTTGGAGTGTGTGCTGATTGCATTTATTGAAGCTTGGCTTCCTTGAGGTGGAATAAGTCATTAACACCAGGCACTTCCTATGCCATCTGGGCTTTTCTTCAGTGTCCCACTCAAGTACTCCTTTGGCATAATCTAAGAAATATTTAATTGAGTGTTACTGAGTCTCTTGTGGCTCTAAAATGGCTGCTCTCTGTAGCCATCCGTGCCAAACCTTACCTGCGTCAACAGCTGAAGGTATCACTGAAGGTGTCCTACACATCTCACTGATAGGTGCTGGGACTTTTAAGTGTTAGCTGGTCTTGTTCCAGCAACCTCTGCCAGATTGACTTTCGCGCAGGGGCCCTCTAGCCTGGAGTCAAGAAAGATCAGCAGAGACAGGGGTAAGATCCAAAGAGGGAAAATCACCGCATGTGAGAGAGAACATGTCTGCATGTCACTGGGCTCCTGCCAGTGGAGAGGAGAACTGCTCGTTTTACTTGGATTGAGAATGTAGGGCTGGGACATTAGGATAATCAAAATATAGATTCTTAGAACTTCAGAGAATGGGTTGTGACCCAGACGTTACCCTTCCTGCGGCCCAGTATCTGGTCTTTACCCAGGTAGATGTCTTCTGGGAACCAAAGAGGCTGTCAGCTTTAAGGGTCCACCTGCCCGGACCTGTTTAAGAGAAGCAAGTATGTGTTTCTTCATTGGTTCTCCCTAAGCCCCTCCTCTCAGATTTTTTTTCATTTTATTGGCAATTAAAATGCCTTTATCATGACGTGGAATATCAAATTACCATATTTTATACCTCTAGGGCTCTATAAAATAATATACCTATTAATAATTAGACTCCTGTTCCTACATAGGAATAAGCATTGAAAATAATAATTATGGAGCAGCTCAGAGTGGAAGCATGTTGAGCTACTTCTGATATTGGCAAAGTGGTAAGATTTTATGGTCACTGTGTTTGAAGATGACAGTTCTGAGCATGTTGGAAATAGTTTTAAGAGACGATGGCTTGAATTGATGGTTGATTTTGGCTCTATACATTTTAAGAAATGGTTTCAGGATTTATAGCTGGTATTTCTGGGCTCTGATGGTCTGATGTGGCTCTGTGCTATCCCTCAGAATTGAGATTTGCTAAAATGAGGAAGAATCATCTGGTTTACTAAAAAAATCAGTCCTCTGAAATCTGCCCCATAAAGTTGTAGTGAGAGAAGCAACATTTTTTGCCGTATATTGAAGAGGACAGAGTTCTCTCCTGAACCTTCTCTAAGACCATGATAGTACTGTTTTTTTCCTTTCTCATCCTTCCATTTTTTTTCCCTCTTCTGTCTCCTTTCTTAAATAAAATAATTTATATATAGAATTGAATGTTCTATTTCAACAAGGTCACTGTATGAGACTGTGCATTTACTCTAGTGACACTGCCATTGGGCAAATAGCTTGGACACGTCTGTGAACAAGATTTGCCACCGTTGAGAATATTTAAAGTATGTCTCTAGCCTTGAAGAACATTCTAAAATTCAAAATATTTTGTATATTTCTAAATATTTTAAACAAAGAGAGCAATGCCTCCAAGATGATCACTTTGCAGAAGACTGGTTTAGAATCTGCAAGCTCTAACGGAGTTGTTAAAGAATATGGTCTTAACATTCTGTGGCTTCAAGATAAGCCTCTTTTTTTTTTTCTTTTTCTTTTTTTAAGAGATAGGGTCTCACTCTGTTGCCCAAGCTGGAGTGCAGTGGCAGGATCATAGCATGCTGCAAGCTCAAACTCTCGGGCTCAAGTGATCCTCCTGCCTCAGCCTCCCAAGTAGCTAAGAGTATAGGTGTGTGCCACCATACCTGGCCATGGGGCAAGCCTCTTCGTAAGACAATGCATTTTTAGAAAACTGATAGCTGATTTGACCTTCAAAACAATCAGGAGAAACATGAAAAGTAGACATTTATGTCTCCCATTTATTTATGTGAAATTTGAGGCTCAGAGATTGGGACTAGCTTGTGTTGGTATTTCCAAGACAATAGCTCTCTTTCCATTTTAGCAAATTCATCATATCTTGGCCCTCAGTTTCTTCATTTTTCAAATAATTGGATTGGCTAAGGAGACTACCAAGGTGTCTTTGAGCCCTCCAAACCTCTATGATGATTTCTACATCTTTGCTCTTTTCTGCAATCTTAGACACCACTGGTGCTGACATATGCACAGGCCATATGGACAGATCAATGTCAAACAGAGTGAATGAATAACCTATACTTGTCTCTCAAATGCTACTGACTTAGAAGACTCGTCTTTAGTATCAGTTTCTCTGAAAAGCTTTTTAGTACTTCTTCAACCCACACTTCTCTCTGTTCCTTAAATCTTTATTGCATTTAGAATCTAATCAGACAATTTTAAATTTAAATATTTTAAAGTTGTTGCTTTTGTGCCTCGTTTCTCTTCCTCACCAGCTTGCGCTTTTTATAAGGCCAGGATCACTTATGAATTGATCTTAGAACTAGGCACACATGAATTGTGGGTAAATATATTAGATTAGTCTAGGTTGTGCTTCAGTAACACATTAGCACAACAAAGTTTACGTTTTGTGTGCATTAGACATGTTAGAGGTGAGCAGAGGACTCTGCTCTGCATATTTCAGGGACTTGGGTTGATAGTGGTTCCATCATGTTACTGCCATGTTATCCAGAATATATGGCTTCCTTAATTCCTACAGCAGGGAACGAGAGGTTCTGCAAAGGACCACACTCATTCCCTTTCCCATAGCCCCCTGTTCAGAATGAGTCCCATGGCCATACCTATTAGTGCTATTGATGGAATTATGCCTCCCATCCCCAAATTCATATGTTGAAGCCCCAAACCCCAATGCAGCTATATTTGGAGACAGAGCCTAAAAGGAGATAACTAAGGTTAAGTGAGATCATAAGGGCAGGGCCCTGATGTGATAGGACCAGTGAGCTTGACCTCTCTGTTGCTTTCCCCACACACTTGCACAAAGAAGAGTCCATGTGAGCACACAGCCAGATGGCAGCCACCCACAAGCTAGGAGGAGGGGCCTCACCAAAAATCCACCATGTTGGTACCATAATCTTGGGTTTCCAGCCTCCAGAACTGTGAGGAAATAAAAAAAAAAATCTATTGTTTAAACCACCCAGTCTACGGTATTTTGTTATGGCAATCTAACACATAGTTTTGGAGCTGGGAAATGTGGGGAAACAAGTGGCTCTTTGGGGAACAATGGATGTTTCTGCCAGAAGAGTCAGGGCAGTGGACAAGACAGACATGGTTCCCTGCACCCAGGGATCTAAATGAACCTGTTAGTGTTATTTGTGGCTTTCAGTTTTTCTACATGACTTGCAACCAAACCACAGGTAATTATTAGTTTTGAGTTCTGTGTACTTGGAAGAGACACAGAAAAAACTGAAAGCTTAACCAAATGAGGCATGCATTACAATTTCACATAGTGCTATGAGGCCTAAAATGTTTTTGGTTCCTTTGATTATCTCTTTATAGACATGAAGCTTAATATAGAAGATTTATCTCAATATGGTTGTAGAAATAAGCATTGGAGGCCAGGCACAGTGGCTCACCCCTGTAATCCCAGCACTTTGGGAGGCCGAGGCGGGCGGATCACGAGGTTAGGAGATCGAGACCATCCTGGCCGACACGGTGAAGCCCCATCTCTACTAAAAATACAAAAAACTAGCCGGGCGTGGTGGCAGCACCTGTAGTCCCAGCTACTCAGGAGGCTGAGGCAGGAGAATGGCGTGAACCTGGGAGGCGGAGCTTGCAGTGAGCCGAGATTGTGCCACTGCACTCCAGCCTGGGCGACAGAGCAAGACTCCATTTCAAAAAAAAAAAAAAAAGAAAAATTGGAGAAGATAGGCATTTATGTTCATCATTTTGGGGGTGATCAGGTTGCTATGGTGATAGTAATCATGGCTATATGCACATCTTTATTCCCTCTCTCAACATGAGTCTTTCTTTTTAGACACATTCCTAGTAATTAAACTTAAAATAAATTCGATCTACTCACCATCTAGTACTAGGATTTATCACATGATTTGTGTTGTTTTGCCCCAAGGAAAGGCTAACAGGAATTATGATGTCAGAATATAATCATGATAATACTGTACTTAAATTTTCTTTTTGCAACTTAAGAGCAAAACACACATATCACAGCCTGGAAGAAGACTTGACTGTTGAAATGTTCAAATCATTGTAGAGGTGGAGAAAATAGGCAGCACAGATTCTATCTTTTCTTTAGAAAAGATGTCAAGTAGAATCATAAGTTTCATGCTTAAGAGGGTTTTTTTTCCCTTCATATGTGACTTTAAAAACCATTTTTGCCTTAGTGTAACTTTTAAAATACCGTTTCATAAACTAAAGTAGTTGTCTGGAATTCCTTGAAGCCCATGGTTTGGCTTCAGCAGGTTTTAAACAAATACACTGTCAGAAATCGATGTGGATACATTTCCAGCAGTTAAATGCTCTAGTCACAGTAGATACTTTGTAAAATCAATAGCCTGAAATATCAGAGGATTATAGTTGTATCAGATTCCCCAAATGCCTAACATTGTTTTAATTACTCTAATAAAAGAAAGCTGAGTGGACTTAAAAAAAAGAAAGAAAAAAACCTTGCCTATAAAGAATGTTCTGCTCAAGCCAAAGCAAATTTTTTTACAAGTTCTCTTAGAAAATCTGGAAGTATTTATGCATTTTCCTCTTCTTATGAGACAATGCCTGTTACCCAGCCAGTTCTGCATTGTACAGTGCTCTTTATAACAACGACCCTTAGAACAAGTTGATCAAATATGTTGCTCTAGTTGCACTAGCGATAGGGGTTAGAGATTTAGAACTTTTTACTTTTTGATGCATAGAAATAAGCATATTTAATGATCTAGTACTGGGACACTAAAGAGTGTTCATGAGATTTTCTAGTTTAATTTGGAGCCATAGTTGATTCAGGGGCTAGAAGAACACCATTTTGCTCAGAACATTGTCAGGAGTCACTTTTCCAGAGTGGAGATGTGTTTATATCATAGTGAAAAGACAGTTTAAGAGGAGCAAAGAAGAGGAAAGACGAAGTTTGGATTGATCCAACAACCTGTTACATGTAGTCAGTACTTTTCCCATAGGGGACTTCATTCTGATTCTTATGAAAAGAAGTTCAAGATTTCAAAAAAAATAGGATTAACATTCCTCATCCAGATTCATAGTATTGATGGTGTAGCTTTTGTTTACTAGAATACCCCAAGGCTTTGTGCCAGAATGTTAGAGTAATGTGCTTCTGAATGTGGATGGAGGTGAGGATGGCACCTGCATGGGTGGAA
This sequence comes from Homo sapiens, assembly GCF_000001405.40. Classification (NCBI taxonomy): domain Eukaryota; kingdom Metazoa; phylum Chordata; class Mammalia; order Primates; family Hominidae; genus Homo; species Homo sapiens. Next base: position 33,208,222 of record NC_000002.12, read on the forward strand.
TAATTTATGGGACATACCTGTACAGTGTAGGTTGATGGATTATAATGTGACTTTATAATGGTCACAGCCCAGTACACCCAAGATCTGCATTTCCATGACCATCTTGAATCATTTCTGAGATCTTGCCTATTGATAATTATATCATTCATTATAGCTACCCAATATAATCTAGAATCGAGCCATTTAAGAGCTGTAACTCTTCTCAGGAAGGTAGAGCTGCCCTTTGTGTGTACAGGTTAGCAGGAAAGGGCTGGCATGACGTAGGGTGAGGAAAAGGCAGCCCATTATTATGGTTATCCTTGATTAGGTTGGCCTAGGTCAGGGTATGAGGATACCACCAGGCAGGCTGTGGCAGCATGGAATCTAATGTATCAACCTGGCAGGCAGGGGGCACCTGAGGAACACCGACCTTCATAGGATTGCCCTGCCACGTAGCTCCTTGGCTGCCCTCAGCCCTGCCCTGGAGCTTTCATAAAATCATAGAACTTGGGCACTTAAATGAGTATTAGCAAGTAGTCTGTCCTTACAATTTTATGGGTTGATGCAACTAACATCCAGAGAGGTAGATCAGTTTGCAGTTGAGTTTGTGTGGGAGGTGGGGAGTAAAACTGAAGATTTTAGTGTCTAGTCCAGTCTTGCTACTATTTTTTTTTTTTTTTTTTTTGAGATGGAGTCTCGCTCTGTCTCCCAGGCTGGAGTGCAGTGGCGCGATCTCGGCTGACTGCAAGCTCCGCCTCCCAGGTTCAAGCAATTCTCCTGCCTCAGCCTCCCAAGTAGCTGGGATTACAGGCGCCCGCCACCAAGCTTGGCTATTTTTTTGTGTGTGTTTTTAGTAGAGACTGGGTTTCACCATGTTGGCCAGGCTGGTTTCGAACTCCTGACCTCAAGTGACCCGCCTGCCTTGGCCTCCCAAAGTGCTGGGATTACAGGTGTGAGCCACCGCACCTGGCCAGTCTTTCTACTATTGCACCCTGACTCTTAGGCCATTTCTTCTAGGGATGGAGGATTCACAAGAAACCATTGCTATCTAAACCTGAAAGGACAGCTATATTCTCTGGGACCTGACTTAGTTAGAGAGTCGCATGCTGTGTGGTGTTTTGTGATTGGGCCATGGATCCTTGAGGGGAAGGAGCACAGTGAGCTCCATTGCTGTTGCTTCATGGTCTTGGTTCTCTGGCACCAAAACATAGCACCATGACAAGTACGATCGTGATGTCCCCAAAGTGAAATCATCTGCCGCTTGAACGTCAATATTTACAAGTTGAATTATTGGAATTCCATGATACCATGTTGTGCTTCTTAAGCAGAGTTAAAATGAAATCTATACAATGACATGCCCTCCACAGCATTAATTCACTGAGTATTTCTTTACTAGCCAGAGCACTTTTGAGAAAACCTGAATATTTTTAGCAAGGTCTTAAGAATATCTTTTTCTTTTATTTCTATATCTAACTTACGTGTTTATTTTATACATCTCTTATCTGTAGGCTGAATCTGGGATATTGTATATCGAATAACTACTAGATTAATTGCTCTTTTGTTAAATAAGCCCAGGTTTTTAAAGGAGGAGCCTGGGGGAAGAGATCTAATACAAGCCCAGTGGGGCTTGGCCATATGGCTGTCTCACATACAGTCCGTCTCACATGTGTTGTCTCAGTCCACTCAAGAGCTCCATGAAAAACGGATGTCTCTAGTGCCATTTTATAGAAGACAAAATAGGCAGAGAGACGTTGAGAGTTTTGCCTATAGTCATGGAGGTGGTAATTGGTAAAGTGAAGATGTGAATGTTTTTCTATTTTCAAAAGCTGCCCTCTTGCCATTTACCCAGTTGTGGGTCATCCTTACATTGCTTTTCACTGAGTTCAAGGGGAATGTGGTTGTGCAGAAAAGTCTGTTTCCTGTTCATAATGTGCTAATGCTGCAAGGCAAGTAGATATCTGGGAGTTTGCTTTGTGTTCAGAAGTCTTTTTGCTGTGGCTGGACAGCATTTGTTGAGATAAGATATTATTCGTGCTGAACTTAACTCCTTTCTGCTGTTTGTTTGAGAAAAAGTACAGTCAATGGGCCTCCAATCATCTAATTTCAAATTTTTGTCCTCTTGTTATTCCTGATTATGTTTATCTCCAGTATAGTTTCTTCCTTTTCCTCCCTGTGAATGATATACTTTGTCCTGGTAATTCTTTTTTACATTTCAGGGGAAGTACTAGATATAGAACACTTTACCTTTATAAAAACATTATCTCTTTCTCCTTTTCCTCCTCTTCATCCTCATCAGTCTTTCTGTACTTACCATTGTTTCAAAGATGCTAATTATTTAATTGGAAGCAATATAAACTTTTTTGCTTTGAGAAAAGGAACTATGATGCTTCTTTTCCCCTGTTTCCTGGTTGATTTTTATATCCAACTGTACATCTAATCTCAAATTTGGAAAACCCTCCATGGTTTAGCTCCACATCTTCTCTGACTCTGCACACCCACTCTTTGTTCCTTCGTATTGACCTGCCTTCCCCTGTCTTTACCCTCCTCCGTTGCCACTGGCTTTTCTCCCAGCTGGTGGTTGGTGTTATGCTTAGCTAGAGCTGTTCCATCTCTTTGGAATCTCTCTCCCCAGTAGAGCCATTGAGTCACTTCCTTGTTTCAGTTCTTGCCTAAACACAGTCCTACTTACTCTTGCAAGAGTTACAATGAATCAGACTTCTGTTTTATTTCATGTTTTCCCTCAGTGCAGTCTCTACAAGTATTTTTTGAAACCTGTATCACTTTAACGTTTTGGGTTCTCTCCTTTGGCTCTAAAAGATGTTCTCTACTGAAACTTAAAATATTTTATACTTTATTATATAATAGTCCTTCATAGCATAATAAAATGAGTTATATACATGTAATGAAGACAATTAATAAGAGTATTTCAGTTTATCATTTTTTAGTGTTTTAAATAGTAAGATTAAGTAGTAGGTTCCTGACATGTGGCTATCTTTATGGAGTGGCCCTTTTAATAGTTAAATATCTGAAGACTTTTAATAAATGTGTCCTGAGAGTTTATCAAATGGCTAGTACTTTAATGCTGGTTATAGGTTTTACCCACACCAGGCACCAGTTGAGGAGGATGATTGGGGCCTGGAGTCCAGCCCATGCTCTGCTCATCCAACTCCATGTCCTGATGCAGGTCACATCCTACAGCTGCCCTTTTCTAATCCCCACACAGGGGTTGATGGAGTCCCAGTATCTGGGATTGGACAAGCATCATTTAATCTCACAATCCTTTGGGGTTGGGATTACTGGCTCAGAGAGGTTGGATGATTTGCTGAACTTCTCACTGCTAGTAAGAAGTTTCTGGGATTTCAATCCAAGTCTAATGACTCCAGTCCAGCACTCTTTTCTTACCACCACTGCTGGATCCTCCTTCCCCAGGACTCTGCACAGTGCAGCAAACACTCTTGGAATGAGGGTACGTTGTAGGCACTATAGGTACCAGCGATTTTAATACGTGAAAATTAAATCTTATAAAACCTTATGAAACCATATTCCACCATCTATCACAATCTCTTCAAATCATCATTCAGCCTCTGAAGCAACTCCAGTGGGGAGTTTTTAATTGACAAAAATTGTAATCCTTGGTTACCAGATAAGTTTTGAACTATCTTTCCTCTCACATTGATAGGCAGATGTAAAAGTGTCTATGATCACAGCCCAACTTTGAATATCAGGGAAGTGCTACAGTATTACCTCAAAAATGAGATTAAAGTCTGAAGATATGTGTTCCCAGTCAGGCCAAGATTTAGATACATACATTACCCTGCAATCTGTAATTTTTGATGACTAGCTTCAAAATTAAAGGTTTTTTTCACTATTGCTTATAATAATTTTGTGTTGTAAATGTAGTAACATGGATATTTGTGGAATAATTGTAATGATTCTTGAACAGCCTTACCTTCTGCATCACAGTGTTCATACAGATGTGCACATAGGAAGGGTTGAAAAGTTATTTTCATGCACTCAGTGTTCCAGGAATCATGACCAGTGCACTGCTGAATCAAGGCTGGGAGTAGCTTTGTTTGTTTTTCTTCCTTTTGCCTTATTTGTATAAGTGCTGTAGTTAGAGGCCCAGGCAGCATGAGCAACTCTAGAGATGTGGAAATGAGGGAGGAGGAGATAAGACAAAAGGAGGTGGTTAGGAGGCCGTCTGCCTAGACGCAGTCCTATTATAGATGTGAGAGCAGCAGAAACACTTGAGTTTTGCTGTGGTGTGTAGTAACTTGTATTTCCTAGATGGGATAATGTAACCTATCAGTATGTAGTGACCACAGAACCTTAGACCTTGCAGAAATCGTAAAGGTCATCTGCTTCATATCCTGGGCATCCCTGAGAGATGGGTTTCCATGGTCAGCTCCTAGTGAAGTCAGCATCTTCCACTGTTAAGGAGCATTAACTGTTGAAAAGATCTTCTGCTTAATGAGGTTGAATCCACTCTTTCTATGATTTGTAGCCTTTAGTCCTGCCAATACAAGTTAAGCATCCCAAATCCAACAATCTGAAATCCAAAATGCTCCAGAATCCAAAATGTTTTGAGTACCAACATAACACTCCAAGGAAATGCTCGTTGGAACAATTTAGATTTTGTACTTTTGGATTTGGGATGCTCAACTGGTATTTTCAAATATTCTAAAATCTGAAAATAACTAACATCTAAAATACTTCTAGTCCCAAGCGTTTTAGATCAGAGATCCTCAACCTGGACCTTCATCGTGCAACAGGCTTCCTCTTGCTCAGGGTATCTGAACACTGCCATCATGTCTGCACGTAGTCTCACCGTTCCGCCTTTCCTCAGTTGATCCTTACAGGACCTGGTTGCCAGAACTTTCATTTCTCTGCTTGCACTGCTTCATCTAGGTCATGCATGGGCTGAATCCTGGGACAGCTGTGTAGGGTTGTAGTGTCCCTTAATCTGCAGCCCAAGGTTGTGTGAGCTTTTTGAGGCACTGTAGCTTGTTTGACCCAATAGGATTTTTGTTTTGGATTTGATTTAGCTAAATATTGGGTTGTAAATTTAGCACATTTCTCCAGGATTACTTATTCGTAAGACACATCCTGAAATGATAAGGCTTTCCATGTTAATGTAGTGAATAATTCACAAAGGAGGAATTCCATTTGTGTTTTTAACTTGTAAAACATCACCTCAATCTGTGCGTAAAAATATAGTTAGCGTGAGCCTATATCTGTGTGATTACATCTCACCAGAAAGCAGAACCTAACAGTCATAGACAAGGATTTTCTGAATGCTGATCTCATCCTATTCCATGTGATTCTCTTCAGTGTGGCCTTTTGGTGTGGGAGAGAGAAGATCTTTCCTCTACCTTCTTTTCCTGTAGGCATTTCCTACATCCAGGTGAGACCCTATGGTGTTCAGTGGTCTCTTGGGTGAGAGCCCTGAGTATGGCCACAGAGATCTCTCAGATGGAGTTTCTGGCTGCACATCGAAGCCTCTTCATAGTTAAATAACTGAAGGGCATATGTAGAACTTTGAGTCTTGTTATAACTGTGACTTCATCTCTTGTAGCTTATTCTTATACTGTGCAGACCCAGTTTCAAGACACACACAGTGTTGTGGTACCACCTACACTACCATTTATTTAAACAATTTGGATGGCTTATGCTGCTCTTGGCTGTGGACCTGCAAAAACAAAGCCATGGGATAAAGCGGCCTGAATCATGTAATGAAAACCTTGTACCTTTCTGGAGGCCCTGTTGAGAAAAAATGATTTATTTTTGCCCTACCAAATAAAACATTCTAGGAATCCAAGGTGAAAATTGGATTTTAACTGCTACTAACATTTTAAGCATATAAAATCAGCAAGTGTTGAGTGTTTCGCTTGATTAGGAGATGAACCTAAAGAGTCCAGTACAAGAATGATCTGCATATGATGTGAACTGGTGTCTTACATAAATTTTATAAAACTGGAAATAAACCCTAAGCATGCTTTGGCAGCCAGGTTGCAACGGTGGGGACCTCTGTGTTTTTACAGAATCATTTTGTTCCCAGTCTTAGGCCTGGGTCATTGTTCGCCTTTCCTCCCTTCAGTCCTTCATATTTCAGGGTTACACGTTTTGTGATTAAGCTCAAGGAGTATGGAAACTACCTGATTCCAGCCCCAAATATGTGCCTGTCTTCTCTAAGGTTCCCGTTTGTTCTCACGTTGGATCTGTCTCTCCCTCTTCTTCTCCCCACTCTGCGTGTACGTGCCTGTGCATGTTTGTTTCGTCATCTCTGTGACTACCTACCCACCTACCACTTTATCACTCTTTTTTTGGTCCAGTCTTCCCCCGTGTCTGAGACTGTTCATCTGTGGCCCTGCCGCTGTTCCAACCTCGGGGACTTTCCCTCACTGCACGTGGTTAAACACTTTGCTGAGAGCCCTGTCTTCAAACAGACTTCCCCAGGTCATTGTGTTGGTATCTGGCACACAACGTCACTCATTGTTTATCCAGTTGTGTTGTTTTATAAGAGAGTTTCTTTATCTCAAGGAATGCGTGTCACGTGTCTGCAGGAGTTACTGCCCCGGTTTCAAGAGATGTGATGGTCTTGGGCTTTACTGACTTACACTAGGGCTTTTTTCAGTGCCTTCCCCAGAATTACGTGTTTTTTCAAGTTCATCTAAAAAAAAAAAAAGCAATTGTTTTGGTATGCCTAGTTTTGCTTAACTCAGAATGTCTTTAACACCTGCTTTTATATTAGGGAAGTTCATTTTGTCTCGTAGGGTCGTTTCTTATGGAGTCTGGTACTTTCGAGAGGGCAATTAGACTAACCTGTTTGATTGACAGGACCGTTTACAATCTACTCCACTCACACGCCTTCTACTCCCTGGGGAATCCGACAAACATTTGGGGCCTCAAATGGGACATCTGGAGTAGGGAGCTTTTATCTATAATAATAATAATAATGATAATGGTAATGATAGCTGACACATGTAAGTGCTCAGCTATAATGTTCAGCATTGCACATGCCTTTTTTCTTTCATGTTTCATGACCCTAGGAGAAAGATACTATTATGCACTCTACGTTATGGGTAGGAAAATGTCTAAGATAATGCGTGTAAGAAGTCCTACAGTCAGAATTCATTCTCAGGCCTCTCTAACTCCTGAGTCACATTTTTAATCACTATCATATACTGCTGTTGGAGAGCACACAGCATCCTGTTGAAATCATTAAAAATAATAAAACCTTAGAACATCAAAGCTATGATGTAACTAAAACTTAGCTGAGCCTTCTGTGGTTTGGTCTTGTTTTACAATTTGGATATGTAGTTACTTAGCGCCTCAGTCAGAATGTTGCATGCTTGGACCTGGCAGAAAAGAAACGCTGCCCCTGGAGGCCTGCCAGGTGACTGGTGTCTACTACTTGCTGTCCTTCTGAGGGCCACCACCTGCCTGGACCTTCTGTCACCACACTCTGCTCACTAGCCTGGGGTATGGATGCTAAACTTCCATTGGTTTTCTTTTGTTTTTTGTTTTTTTTTTTTGAGATAGAGTCTCGCTCTGTCGCCAGGCTGGAGTGCAGTGGTGAATCTGGGCTCACTGCAATCTCTGCCTCCTGGGTTCAAGCGATCCCCCTGCCTCAGCCTCCTGAGTAGCTGGGACTAGAGGCACGCACCACCACGCTGGCTAATTTTTTGTATTTTAGTAGAGACAGGGTTTCACCATGTTGGCCAGAATGGTCTCGATCTCCTGACCTCGTGATCTGCCTGCCTCGGCCTCCCAAAGTGCTGGGATTACAGGTGTGAGCCACCATGCCTGGCCCCTCCATTGGTTTTCACATAGCCATTGCTTGCCTGGATGGCCTACAACTAGCTTGTTCCTTAGTTCCCTAGGTTGTTTGTTCCTTTCTTCATGCAGCGTTTCCTGAGCATTTGCAACGTGTACTGTGTACTGGAATATAAACATAAGATACATACGCATTTAACAAAAATGCATCTCAGAGGCAGTAGACTGTATAGACAGTGCTGTGGGGTAAAAAGGAGGGAGGAACTCATTGGAATTAAGGAGATAGGGGAGGTTTCATAGTGATGGTTCTTCAGAGCTATTAATACATCTCATGGGTTGAATAAAGTTTATTCTGGGAAAGAAAAAAGGGGAGGGTGTTCCAGCCAGACATGCTCCTTTTGGAAGGACGTGATTTGTTCAGAAAATAAAGAGCCCTTTGGTATGTCTGCAGGATAGAGGTGGATGGGGACAAGAGATTGCCTTAGGTGGGAATAGGAAGGACCTTATAGATCATTCTAGAGTGTGCCATTTTCAGACAATGGAGAGTCAGTGAAAGTTTTTAATCGGTAATGTGACCAGATTTGTCTTTGGAAAGACAACTCTGGAAACTGTTGGGAGGATTTTTGTAGAGGCTGAGGCAGAGAAAGGCAGAATAACCCCTTGGATGCTCTGTGTTTGCACAGGAGACAAAAATGTGGGGTGTGTTAGCCTGCATAGCAGGGGTGGAGAGTCAGCTGGTCCTCCCCTCAGGCTGGCCTTTGGATGGGTCCACAGAGCAGGATCTGTTTTCTTAGGCACTTCCTCACCCCATTGAGGTGGTCTAACTTCAGGCCCCTGCCTCTCAGCTTTTTCTCACTTCCTGTGGTTGACCAGGAGTCTTACCTGGTCTTAACACTGGACAACCAGTGTTGCACCAGTAGCCTCTAAGTCCTACTCTTCTGCCTGCTCAAGCTGGTCTCGCTTAAACATGCTGGCACCTTCCTAGCTTGGCTGACCTCCCTGGGTCAGAATACTTGGCTGCCTGGAGCCTTCGTCTCTGCTAGAGCTGATTTGGCCCAGCCAGTAATTGTTTCTTCTGTCCTGTCTGTGCCCAGGCCTTGGGGTTATAGGAAGACCAGAAGCCTCCTGTAGGTGGGACCTGTGCCATCTTCTCACATTTTACACACATGCCATACCCTTAAGAGTTATGTTCCCTGATGGTCCACACAAGAGATTTAAACAGACAGATACAACTAAAATCTAAAAAGCCTATATTGATCTTACACACTATGAGGCTCTTATTAAGAAAAAAAGGCATTGGAAATTTAAGTTTTATGAAGTACTCTGAGCAGTGACAGATTTTCTTAGACTAGAAAAACATCAAGGTGCTCCCATTTGGAAATGTACTTGTTCATTTTTGTGTTGTATTGATTTCTGTCCAGGTATTTTCTTTCCAAGTTTTATAGTTTTTTTCCTTTCTAATTGTGTCGATAACAAGGGAACTGGTTTATAGCGTGGCTGTGAGGGACAGCAGTGCTCTGGGGCTGGGCATCCTGCACTCAATTAACCTTCATATTTCACACCTAATCATTGCAGTGTGGCAAAGCGCTCCCTGGCCTTTCAAAGCAAGAGGACTGCTGTGGAACTGTGGGTACCTCCTGGGGCTTTAACAAATGCCAGAAATGCCCCAAGAAACCATGTAAGTAATGTTTCCTCACTCCTTTGCAGGTTAATGTAGCATATCTGTTTTTTATGATTACTCCTTTAATGATGAGGCAATATTAGACTTTCAAAGAACTCTCCTACTGAATTCTAGAATGTAGTACTATGATGTGCATTTCCAGAAAATTTGCAAGTCTGAAAAAGTTTTCATGTCAATTATTTTGTAATAAGCACAGTTATTAATTATCCTCTTTAGTTGGATTACTTATGGGGAAAAAAAGTCTTAAGTGGTAATGAGTTAAAATGGACTTTTTGTCTCAGGGGAAGAGAAAATAAGATCTCTTTTAAAATGGTAAATAAATGTTTCAAACCCTGTAAAAAGTACAGTTGTTATTTCCTAGGTTTAAATTCCTTAAATGAGATTTTTATTAATGTCCACAACTTATGTTGTAGTTTTTGTTATATTATCGGTTTTCAAATTTCATTAAAAGGAAAGCTAAAATGGAGAAATAATTGGTTGTTGATTTGTAAAAGAGAAATTTATAATCACTAGGACACAATTCTTTCCCATTTTTTCTGACACTGGTTTTATGCTGTCACAGACCTCAGCAACATTAATCTATATTAACACCCCCAGGCTTTGATTTGCTTTTATTGTTCAGAACATGTTGATTTGAATAAATCAGATTTACACCTTTTTAATACTCTATTCCTGACAATAATTTGTACCTTTAGTTTTTCAATGTAGTATTAACTCTGGATAACTGATTTCTAATAAATACTTTTTTTTCTTTTTGAGACGGAATTTCACTATTGTCGCCCAGGCTGGAGCACAGTGGGGCAACCTCGGCTCACTGCAGCCTCCGCCTCTTGGGTTCAAGTGATTCTCCTGCTTCAGCCTCCCGAGTAGCTAGGGTTACAGACATCTGCCAACATGCCCAGCTAATTTTTGTATTTTCAGTAGAGATGGGGTTTCACCATGTTGGCCAGGCTGGTCTCCAACTCCTAACCTCAGGTGATCTGCCTGCCTCTGCTTCCCAAAGTGCTGGGATTACAGGCGTGAGCCACTGCGCCTGGCCATAAATAGTTTTTAGAGACAGAGGTGACTGGGTTTAAGTTGAGCTTTCTGACCCTTATTCATCATGTTTTTGCCAAGAGAGCAAGTGATATTTTTGTCAGTCATCTTTCTTTGCCTCATATAACTGAAGTTTTTATAATTTTTTTATTCTTTGTACTGCAAGAAATTTCTCATTTGCTTTAAATGAATAATTTTTGTTTACTCCTCTTATCTGTTGATTTGATTGTATTCTCAAATGCCTTTTAAACCTCTATATTCAATCTAGGATTTGCCATCTGGGCATTAGTATTCCATATCTCTTTCTTACATTATTTGTTCTTCTACCAGTATAACAATTCATTTTAAGTAATTGTCTCTCATTTGGACTTCTTTGTCTCACAAACTTACAGATTTTCTAAATGCCTAAAGCAAGTAATTTTATTTATTTTGTTGATACTACTCATCTCTTTTTAGAAGACTAACTTGTGGAAATGCCCACCGAAGTTCCTCATAATTAATGAATTCTTCATTTACAAAAATAATCCATGTAAATAAGGACATTTTCAGTACTGAGAGAATTTTCCAAGCAGATGTTCTAAGCTGATTCGATGATCATTTGCAATGCAAATTTCCAGGAAGTAGGTTGAGTGTGATGGTTCATCGTCACTGGAAGATCCATTTGCTTAAAATTATTTTGGCAACCTGACCAAAGGGATAGCTATGATGCATTTGGTTTGATTTAAAAATTTTAGTGTTTGAAGTTAGGTAGCCCTGAGTTCGACTCCCAGCTCTTTCATTTGCTATTGAGTCTTAGAGCTCATTAAGCAGGAATCTATACCTAAAACGTTGAAGAGGCGTTGCCATCTTTTTTTTTTTAAACCTGCCTCTTTGTTTACCATGTCTGTCTGTCTGTAGGAATATTGAGGAGGATGATATATTTTCCACTGTTTGGTCTAAGAATTAAGGATGAGGGAAGTTAGGTTCATAGAACTTTGTTTTGGTCCTAAGTCTATGTTCTCTAATATTAAATACCTTCCCCATCTGTCTTATTTTTCTTTTTCATTTTCATTTACCCCCTTCTTTGTGTATCTTTTGCTTAGCTGCTTCTCTTCTCTTGTGTCCAAACCCCAAAGTAGCAGGGATGTGATAGACATTAAAGGTAAAGAGATTCCTACTGTCCTTTTATTTTTTTTTTAATCCCTAACTTCCACTCTTGACCTTTTGTCGTTTTTGTCTAGAATTGCGTCATTTTTATCTAAGATGAGTTCACTGATGTCTGTGGTTTGTGAGCTCTGTATTTTAATCTTGATAAGGACTTAGTTGAATGTGAAAGTGCAAAGTTGCTGTCACTTTTAACTAAATGTTGGTGAAAAAAATCCATATGTTGGCTCATTTAATGTATAAAATTGAAGAGACTGCCTTCACTTCAGGAAGGGCAATGTGGACTATGAATGAAGTAAACTGTTAACATCTTGACATTTATTCTGTTTGTGTCCTCTTAAGTGACTCACTCCCAAGAAACACACTCAGGGTCACATTCTTCCTGTGTCATTTAAAAAGTTTTCCTTTCCTTGGTTGGGACTCCTCTCTAAATCATATTCAGTTTGGAAGGAAGCAGACTTTCCTTGGCTTTCTACGCTATGGTTTTGTGTTCCACACCTCTTTTTTTTCACTCAAACTAGTTCAAACTTTAGTTTTCAAGTGGCTTTTATTTAACATTTGAAGTTTTTGTTTAGCCACATACAGAAAGACCTTTCATTGTTGATCATTTTTTTTGCTGTGAATACTTAATTTTAAATCTGCAAATGATTTCTTAAATAGTTTGTGACCCATTAGAAATGTGCCTAGCATGAACAAGTCACTTGTCCTTTAAAACTTTTGAGAAGAAAATGAACATAAAATCCTAAGCTGAGGAGGACTGTAAGAGATTGCCTGGTCTGGCTCTCTGCCTTCAAGTAGATGACTGCTGAAAGTTCTAAAACAAGTTCATATCCATCTCTTTTGACTTTGAGGAATTTGCAGCCAGAGATCCCACAGTCTCTGCAGGATGCCTGCTCTAGAGGTCTATGGGACAAGACAGACCTGAGGCCAAGGAGCTGAATGGAGGGACTCCCACACGCCCATATCTCCCGTCTTTTAATTTGCCTTTCCCAGATGCCTCACTCTGATCTTCTCTTTTAGGCATTCGGGGGAATCTGAAGAGAGGGGAAATACAGCAAAGAAAAGAATTGAAGGAGAAGAGGGACACCCCAGTACATATTCACCCTGTTCCTTTAGTGGTGACAGATAAAGAGCATATGGGGAGGCTGAAATAATTTTATTTTTTAAGAGAAAATTTCCCTTTTTATTTTCTACTTTCCCCTTTTACTCCTCTTTCAAGTCTTTTTTAGTGGTTTAATCTTTCATCCCATTTTGATTATAGCTTGTTTTCTGTTGCACAGTAGCCTCTTAATAGAAGAATTCCTTACTGCAGGACATAGCAATGGCATTTGACACTTTGGGAGTGCTTATCACACTTAGGCCCTGTGGTAGGCATTTTTCATGAATTATCTCTAAATTGCAGAAGAATTCTTCCCTGCTCAGTAGATGGGAATTACCCTCATTGTATAGAATTTCTGTGTGAAACCCAAGAGGCTTGTTTCCCAAGGTCACAGCTATTGATAGGAAGAGGATTTGAAATCCACTTCTGCCACATCCCAGAACTTTGGCTGCATCCGCTATGCCAGGTGCTCTCTCAAGTCTCACTCTAGAGTATCAGAATCTCAGGAAATAGGGTTTTGTTGAGAAGTTGGTGATTGCAACATTTGTATTGTTTGCATATTCTGAGTGTAGCCCTTTTAATTTCCTGACTTCCTCTCATCACCTGCCTATTCTTCTCTGGTTCATAATGGTGAGAATCATCTCATGACTGGGATACCCGATCCAGCAATTAGGATGAGTGTATAATTTATTGTCTAAAGTGGGACACTTTGGGGAGTAAAGTACTGTTAATTAACTTTGCTGGAATAACAGACATCACCCAGAATGTTCCAGGACGTGTAGTAACCCTACCTACAATGGATAAGAAAATCCAAAACCTAAAGCACATCAATGGGGAGGAATAGATCCTTTGTGATGGAAATATGTAATCACTAATTAGAAGAAAATGTACAACAATCTTAGGATTGTTTCAGTTAACGTAATAAAGATTTACTGATAATTTCTTGGGACTTTATTGCAAAATAAGTATCCTGAAAAATAAGCAGAATGGGAAAAAAATTATGGAGATATACATTGGTATTGGTTTCTTATATTAATAAATGAATAAGTAAGTTTGCTGATGCCTTAAATGGCTTCAGATATCACTTACACTAGTCTAAGATTGTAAGAATTTAAGTATGTAACAAAGCATTTCTTCCCTTACAGCTTATCATGGATACAACCAAATGATGGAATGCCTACCGGGTTATAAGCGGGTTAACAACACCTTTTGCCAAGGTAAGACTAACTGAATTCATTGATGTGGACTCAACAGTTGTTTTGGCTTTTTAGAAACTTCAGTTGTTTGCCACGGCTTGCTCATTCGCCCAGCCTGTCACAGTGAACCACCTCATGTTCACTCCTTTTGGCTAAGGAAATGTAAGGAAATAAGTTTAAAATATGGTTATTGGAATTGCTTTACTACCACTGAAACTTGATGCAAGTTTTTAATCTAAAAGAGTTTGGATAGAATTTAAAAGAGTTTGGATCACATTAGAGAGCACACTGTGGTTTCCATGCTAGTCACCTCATATCCTTTCATGGGCGTGTGCACACATGTGCTTGCAGGCACCCACATGTACTTAGCAGTTCTACTTCATTGCCAATGCATGGTTGGGCAACAGAATTCCCTTTTCTCCTCTCATCAAAATGTTGTTGGTCATCTCAGGAACTAGATATCAGAGTAAACACATTTTGCCTAGGCAATAAGAAAAGCTATGTAGCTAAGTGTGAAATGCCCTGAGTACTTTTGTTTGGTTTATGTTGAACAGTACAGCAAAGTTGTACAAGCAGGGGGAAGCTAGGAGATTGTCTGGTACAGTGTCTACTTTATAAATGAGAAAACTCAAGCCCAGAGAGGTTAAGTGACTTTCTTGTGGCAGCATAGAGCTGAGATTATAACTTGAGTTTACCAAGGCCTAGTTTAGTACCCATATATGATATCATATTTTGTTTTAGTTACTTTATGGGAAGACCAATGCTTCTAATTTCCCTTTACATGTCTAGGATGAAGATGTTGTTATTAGTAACTTGGAAATATGTATACATTGAAACTGAGAAAGCAGAGAGCCTCCCAGAGTCTGATAGAACCAAAAGCCATGTTGAGAACATGGCACATGTCTTCTGATTTGTGTTCTGAGGCTCTGTATCCTTCACCACCATATGTATTTAGGATACAGTAGATTAAGGTCATGTTACAGAGTATAGGTTAACCCCCTATTCAAATGGCTCATGTCAAAGGAATATCTTGATTACCTGAGAATTTTCTCAAGTAGATTGTCTATCACCCTATTCAAATGGCTCATGCCAAAGGAATATCTTGATTTTTTATCTGAGAATTTTCTCAATTGTCTATAGTGCATCTGTGTAACTTTTATGATATGTAGAGTCTTTGGTAACATAAAAGAATTTATTTAGAAATGCACATACAGTCTGTCTTTGAAAGACTTTGTCTTAAAAATATTGTAAGCCCTCATGTGTCACAGAATGTTGAGAAAATTAGAATTAACCACTTAAGGAGAGGACACCCATGACACATTTTGAGAAACATCTGCTAAACTTAGTAACATGGGAATAGTGGATTAATCTACATTATTTTAGAGTCAGAATTTAAGGTATCATTGAATTAATTAGATGGATGAATGAGTAGGTTAAATTAAATAATGAATAGATTTTAAGATGCATGTTTTACAATATAAACCAAGTTATTGTTTTATAGATTTGGATAAAAGTCTATAGCCTTAGCACATCTGTAGGATGCATTAGTAGAAATGGAATGAACAGGGCAGTGGAAGTAACAACCTTGTACACTGTGCCCCTCAGACTGATTTGGGGTTTGGGTGTTCAGTGTTCATTATTGTCTTTTGGTTAATAAAGTCAACCAAGTTTGTGAAGGACCTAGAAACATGAGTGTGTTTAGCACGCAGAAGTACAGACTGAAGAGAAATATTATGGCTGCCCTATAAACACGCCTTAAAATGTTTGTAAACAGGCCACTAAATGATTAACTGTCCTACAAAACAAGACATACCTAATAACAGGGGACACTTCAGGAAACTCGGTGTCGAGGGGCTAAAACTTATGTGAAAGGCTGAGACGTAATTCCTTTCTTCTCATGCACAGTCTCTGTCCCAGGGGACTGATGGTAATGATAGCATCATAGAACTGGAATGTGCCTATGGGCCATCTAACCTTATATGCTGTTCAGGATAAAAATACTCTTATCATATCCCTGGCCAATAGTTATTAAGAAGCTATCAGATCACCTCTGTGGACAGGAAGCTCAGTACTTCCAAAGACATTTCATTTCAAGGTTGTTGGGGAACTCTATTCCACAGAAAAGGCTTTCTTGTAGTTGTTCCGTTAAACTAGAGGACAGAGGAGGGTCCTTATTTATCCTTCACTAATCCAATCCTGCATAGCTAATTGTTAGATACATTTTCCAGAATGTCAGATGCTCCTAATTTCTCTTAATGTCAAATGGATAAAATATACATATGTTCTCTTGGTATGGTGTGTTTATTTGTTTGCCATTTTTTACCATTCATAGATATTTGAAGACAGAAGGCTTACTCTCTCTTAGATAGTTTTATGGTGTTATTTCTTCCTTACGTATTTAGCGTAATTCACAGGAGAAGACATTTGGTCCTGAAGTTTTCTTTTAGAAAGTGTTTCGGTTATGGAGCAAATTAATAGCTATACTATTATTCAGATTTCCCATTACTACTTTGTGTCAGTTTTAATAATCTGTATTACCTTAGAAAGTGTCATTTTATCCAAAATGTCAAATGTATTAATATGAAATGTTTTCCTAATATCCTCTTTTCTTTTTAATTTATATAGCAACCCCCATCCCTTTTAGTTATATTGCTACCTGTGCTATATTTGTTTTTCTTGAATTAGGCTTGCCAGTGGTTTATCAATGTTACCAATTTTTCCCCCAAAGAATCAGTTATTTGTTTTGTTGAAAACATTTGTCTATTTCACTAATTTCTGATCTTTGTTTTCTTTTCCTCTACCTTTTTGTTCAATTGCTACTATTTCTAATTTCTTTAGATGCATACTTAGGTCATTGATGTCAGCCTTTCTTCTTTTTCTGAAATGTAAATAAAAGGCTGTAAATTTCTATCAGTCTAGATTCTGACTTTAACTGTGTCCCTTAATTTTGTGTCATTTTCTTATCTTTAAGTTCAAGTTTTAAAAAAATTTCCTTTTATTTTTTATCAGCATATAATAATTGTACATATTTATGGGGTATGTAGTGATGTTTTGATACTTAAAATGTATAGTGATCAGATCAAGGTATTTAGCAAATCTATCATCTTGAACATTTATAATTGGAACATTCAGTGTATCTTCCTTCTACCTATTTGAAACTATATAACTACAAAACACTAGAACTTATTCTTCCTATTTAACTGTTGTATTAGTCCGTTTTCACACTGCTGAAAAAGACATACCCGAGACTGGGCATTTTACAAAAGAAAGAGATTTAACTGGACTTACAGTTCCACATGGCTGGGGAAGCCTCACAATCATGGTGGAAGCCAAGGAGGATCAAGTCACATCTTACATGGATGGCAGCAGGCAAAAGAGAACTTGTGCAGGGGAACACCTATATTTAAAACCATCAGATCTTGTGAAACTTACTCACTACCACAAGAACAGCAAGGGAAAGACTTGTCCCCATGATTCATTACCTCCTACCAGGTCCCTCCCACGACATGTGGGAATTCAAGATGAGATTTGGGTGGGGATACAGCCAAATGATATCAGCTGTCATTTTGTATCTTTTAACAAATCTATCTTTAACTTTACCTCCCCTCTACCCTTCCCAGCCTCTAGTTATCTTCTGTTCTACTTTTTACTTCAGTGAGATCAACTTTTTTTTGCTTCCACTTATGAGTGAGAGTATGTGGTGTTTAACTTTCTGTTCCTGGCTGATTTCACTTAACATAATGTCCTCCAACTCCATCCATGTTACACAAATGACAGGATTTCATTCATTTTTATGACTGATTAGTATTCTGTTTTGTATATACACCACATTTTCTGTATCCATTCATGTATTTTTGGACACCTAGGTTGATTCCATATCTTGGCTATTATGACTGGTGCTGCAATAATAAGTTCAATTTTTAAAAATTATTCTGATTTTGTTATTGACCCATGGATTATTTAGAAATATATTGCTTAATATGCAAATACTTGTGAAATTTTTCTTGTTCTATCAGTTGTTGAGAGAGGTGTTAAAATTGCCTGCTACGATTATGGAATGGATTTTTTTCTTTCACCTCTGGCAAATTTCAGTCTGTGTTTTTTTACCTTTACAATGGGTGTCTTATAGACAACATGTAGTTGAGTCTTGCTTCTTTTCTACATTCTGATATCTCTGCCTCTTAATAGGGGTGTTTATTGCAGTATAATCTAAAGTAATTGATCCTGGCATACCCCAAAGTTGGGGCCTAGCCTGAGAGGGTTTTTGGCTCTGCTCAGGAAAGAATTCAAGGCTGAGCCAGCAGTGAAAGAAAGCAAGTTTATTAGAGTAGCAGGTACAGCAGAATGGCTGCTCCATAGGCAGATCAGGGCTATCCCAGAGGTGGGGTGGCCCAGCATAGTAGCAGCAGCGTACAGCAACAGTAGCCATCCGGAGCAGCAGTCCCTGTAAATTGCTGGCTAGCTATATTTAATACTCACTCTTAATAATATGCTAATTAAGGGGCAGGTTATTTCGAATTTTCTAGAAAATAAGTGGGGAGTTCTTGGAACCACGTAAGATAACTTCTGGGTCACTGTCGTGGCATTTGTGAACTGTCATAGTGCTGGTAGGAGTGTCTTTATGCTAATGAGCAGTGAGGGTGACTAGAGGTTGCCTTCATGGCCCTCAGTTGGTTCTGGCCATTTTTTCTGCTACAGCCTATTTTGATTAGCAGGGTCATGATTAGTGCTCAGAAAATAAGTCCTGCTGATCTCCTACCTCATAATTATTGATGTGGTTAGATTTAGGTCTATCTAAACATCTTTGTCTGATCAGGAATTTTTTTGTTCTTTTCTTTCCCTTTTCTTAGAATTCCATTTTATCTATTGGCTTTTTACCAATATGTTTTTGCATCATTTTACCTTTTTTTTTTGTCTTTTTTTTGAGACGGAGTCTTGTTTGTTGCCCAGACTGGAGTGCAGTGGCATGATCTCAGCTCACTGCAACCTCCGCTTCCTGGGTTCAGGTGATTCTCCTGCTTCAGCCTCCTGAGTAGCTGAGTAGCACCAACACACCTGACTAATTTTTGTGTTTTTAGTAGAGATGGGGTTTCACCATGTTGGCCAGGCTGGTCTCGAATTCCTGGCCTCAAGCAAATCACCCGTCTCCACCTCCAGAAGTGCTGGGATCACAGGTGTGAGCCACTGTGCCTGGCCTTTTTGTATTATTTTAAAGGGATTACTCTAGGAATTATAATGTATGTAGTAACTGATAGACCGTTTGTATTATAATTCCTAGAGCAATCAGGAATTTGACAGTTTAAGTTTTCATAGCCTATTTAGAGTTAACATAGTACCTCTAAACAGAAAATATAGAAATCTTGCCTCCAAGTAGCTCCTCTTTTTGGCCTGAAAATCAATCCCCTACTTATGCCCCATGCCACACCCTTAGTGAAAACCACCATGACAGTCTCCCAGACAGTAGTAGGATTTCCTCTTACTCTGTGTTGGAATTATTTATTCACATTATATGTTGTTGTTCACCTCTTTCTTTTCCTGACAGGCTGATTTCTCAGACATCAAGGACCCAGTCTTACTCACTTTTGTGAACCCAGAGGCCCAATTTTTAAAAAATAGATTTGATGTGGATGAAGAAAGGGTTCATTTGTTATTGATGAGATAAGAAGCTCTTTTTTTTTTTTTTTTTTTTTTTTTTGACAGAGTCTCGCTCTGTCGCCAGGCTGGAGTGCAGTGGCATAATCTTGGCTCACTGCAGCCTCTGCCTCCCAGATTCAAGCAATTCTCCTGCCTCAGCCTCCTGAGTAGCTGGGACTATAGGCGCGCACCACCATGCCTGGCTACTTTTTTTATATTTTCAGTAGAGACGGGGTTTCACTGTGTTGGCCAGGAATGTCTTGATCTCCTGACCTCGTGATCCGCCCGCCTCGGCCTCCCAAAGTGCTGGGATTACAGGCATGAGCCACCACGCCCGGCCAAGAAGCTCTTATTATAGCTTTATTTTATTTGGTCCAGTACCAATGACTTACAAATAAAACCAACATATTTGTAGTGATTCATGATAAACTATGTTTGTAAGCCCAGAAGTCATAAACTTATAAAGAGGGAAATAAATAATGAATTAATTTGATTTTAATAACTAAATTTACTGTGTGCCAGATGCTTTGTTTAATAAGCACTTTATATCAGTTATCTCCATTAGCCTTTAAGTTTTCTATTTAAAGTAGGCACTATTATACCCCATTTTACAGGAGAAATTGAGACCTAGAGAGGCTAAGTCATTTGTGCAGCATATTGCTAATAAGTGCTACATGCAGGAATTAAACCAAGGTAGAATGAGGCCAGAACTTATGCTATCAACCGTCTTGTTCTGCTTTAGGGAAAGGGAACTAACCTTTATTGATCATTTACTATGGGTTAGTCCATATGCTATGTACTTGGTTTAATCTTCAAAACAATCCTATGAGATTTGGGCATTATTATTCTCAATTAGACATTGAGACACAGAGAAAGTAAATAACTTTCCCAGGGTCACAAAGATAGTTAATAAGCCCAACCAGGGTTATACCCTTTTTTTTTTTTTTTTTTTTTGAGATGGAGTCTTACTCTGTCGCCAGGCTGGAGTGCAGTGGTGCAATCTCGGCTCACTGCAATCTCCGCCTCCTGGGTTCAAGCGATTCCCCTGCCTCGGCCTCCCAAGTAGCTGGGACTACAAGCACACGCCACCACACCCGGCTAATTTTTTGTATTTTTAGTAGAGACAGGGTTTCACCATGTTTGCCAGGATGGTTTTGATCTCCCAACCTTCTGATTCACCCACCTCAGCCTCTGAAAGTGCTGGGATTACGGGTGTGAGCCACTGTACCCGGCCCTAACCAGGGTTATACTCTCATACCACCTATGGCCACCTTTACCAATTATATATTTGTTTATATTTTGTAAAATATCACTAATGCAGATACTAGCTAATTAGAAGTTATGCCATCTGTTGTGAGAGCTAATAGAAGTCAAAGCAATTAATATTAATTTTGTTTTATTTCATTAAAAAGTGATGGTTATCAGCCAGATGTAATGGCTCATGCCTGTATTCCCAGCACTTTGGGAGGCTGAGGCAGAAGGATTGCTTGAGGCTAGGAGTTTAAAACCAGCCTGGGCAACAAAGCAAGACCCTGTCTCTACAAAAAAAATAAAATAAAAATTTGCTGGGTGTGGTGGTGCATGCCTGTAATCCCAGCTACTGAGAAGCTGAGGCAGAAGGGTTGCTTGAGTCCGGGAGTTCGAGGCTGCAGTGAGCTATGATCGTGCCACTGCACTGAAGCCTGGGCAACAAAGTGAGACCCTGTCTCTAAAAAGAAAGAAGGAAGGGAGGAAGGAAGGAGAGACGGAGGGAGAGAAAGTTGTACAATACATTTCTTTTACTGGCTGATTAATGTTTTGAATAATTTATATTAATAAAAATACCACTTTAGAAGTGATAGAAGTGCAAATTTGCAAGTAATCACTTGCTATCTATTTTGTATGTTAGAATGGAGACTTATTCAAGTAATTGCATGAGTTTTTTTGCATTTTCCTCTGTCGGTACGGCTGACTGACCCTTAGCAAACTTTGTTCATACTGAGCATATTAGATGGTTCTGCCTTAGTCAATTCGCTGATGGTCTACTGGTAACACCAAATCCTGGCTTAGGTCTCTGGAGGATATTTGTAAAGCAGTGTTATACTTTTTGGCAATGATTCTAAAGTGAAGTAACACACAAAATTCTATTTCATGGGTCCTCAAGGAGGCACTGCTAAATTACATTACAAAGGCATTTGACTCATAATATGATTTCATTCAGTAAATCTATTGAAATTACTATTGAGAGAAGGGCTTAATTTCACTCCCTTTGTGATATTGATGGTCAGTAAAATGAAATCGAACTTGCTCACATTACATATGTACATTCAGTTTTCCTAGAACCTTGAAGCTTTTTGATTTTGTTTTCCTAAAGGTTTTCAAAAGGAGCCCATTTAGCATCTAATTGCTTGTGCCTTCCACATTGTTCTTACAGTCTAATGTCTTCTCAGTTTACAAAGCACTTTTAAAATTAAAGTGGTTAATAACTAGAATTACATTATTTCCTTCAACTAAGTGAACTAATGTCCTGAAACAACTTTTACTAATGTGCACTCAGTAACAAAGAACCAACTGTATACATGTTAATTTGAGGAGCTTTCAAATAATTGCCCTCAAAGTTGTTTTTTTTCCTCCTCTCTAGTGGTGCTGCAATTATCTTTTCAAAGGGATGATTTATTACATATACACACATGGAGCTCCAAAACAGCCTTGCTACTCTCAGCATTATGGAATTGTTATAATTTGCTTCATTTATCATAACAAACAATATAGTTATATGCTCTGATGGATCTAGAGCAGCATTTGTCATTTGATTATTATGCTATAAAGGTCTGATGTAGAACTAGAATTAAATGAAATAATACTAAGAGCTCCTACGTCCATGCTGCTTTTCTTTAATACTCAGTCCTTCCCTGAGTGGAAATACTGAGTACCCTCTTTTGTCCATATTTTGCCATAAGTGGGTTCTTAAAAAGTTAGATGTAAATCTAAGTTTCAAAAATAGAATTTGGTTCTGAAAGTACTTGGGGAATCAGTCTGTTGAGTGATTTTATTAAAAGCAAGTATCTCTTTTGACATACCAAAGTCACTTACCAGTTTCAGTTTACAAGGATAAAATCAACTTAGTATTATTTGCTACATTTTTGGCACGTACTGTGGGCAATACCACAGTACCTCAGTACGTGCTGAATGTAATTAAAAGACATCTACACTTTTATAATTCAGTGTATGTATATTCGTTTTTCATAGATCATCTCGAAGACTTTTTAAATGACTCAGTATTCCACAAACATTAATCGCTGGGGCACTCCTAGCTATAGACTGAAAGTATGTGTGATGAATGATGGGTAAGACATTGTTCCTGCCCTTAGAATTTAGTGTAATGAAATCACTTTGAATGAGCAGGATGCAATGTGCTTTATTTACTCTTCGAACTAGCTGAATTTTAGCTGGCTCCCTATGAGCCCGTTAAAGGAAATAGGAAAGAGCTAGCCACATAACTTTCTTTCAGCATCGTTTTATTATACTCGTTCTGCTTTAATAAAATAAATTTATGAAACCGATACATTGAGGCACAAGAATACTCATTACCAAAACTTTCAGCCTAGGCTCCTTTTAGATAAAAAGTTCCTCGGAGTGCATCTGAAATCACATTTTGTTTGGACAAAAGAAGAGATAATGTACCTGTTTTCAGGGGGCATATCTGTTATTAAATGAGACTCCACAGTCTTGATCAATATTCTGCATAAGGACTTTTTGGCTACAAAGCGCTTGTCTGGACTGTAGCTTGCATTTCAGACCTCTTCTTAATGATTACCAAAAAAATACTGAGTGTGAACTGCAGTACTGTGAGCAGGTAAAGGCAGATTGGTCTTTGAATGCTTTGAGAACCCTAGATAAATGAGCACTAGAAAGTGCAGGTGAGACCCCCAAGAAAGCCTGCCTGGCTGGAGAAAAGAATGTGTCTTGTAGCATAGTGCTGGATTAAAACAGACATGTAGAATGAGGTGAAATGATTGAGAATCTTAAGGCAAAGCTCTTATAATTAATCGAACCATTTGCATGCAATTAATTATGGGCTTTGTGATACGTGCTGGGAAAACACTTACTGGATTTGTTCTGCTTTTAACATAATGTTAAAGAAAAATATTGTTTATAACATTTGTTAAAGAACAGTAAGACAGATTTTATTCAGGTAACTGTTGTAACAGGTATAAGAACTACTGCAGTGGAGTTTTGGGGTAGGGGAGAGAGATTGGGCTCAACTCTGAAAATAAGGAAAAGTAAAAGTGTATCACCAAGGAGTGAGGGTGAGAGTGTGATATCAGTGGATGAAAAATTACTAAGAGGACACATGAGGGGTAAGGGGGGATTCTGGCTCAACCATCCTAGGAGGGTATTCTTGCTGAAGGCAGATCAGGGTGACCAGACATTACCTAGGGGTTGGTGGAAGATGAGGAACCCAATCAGATATCCAGCATGGGGGATTCTGGCTAAACTAACTTAAGAGGATATTAGCTAAAACTGGACAATGCAGAGACAAATACAGAAGCATACATGAAGTCAGAGCTAGTTGAGAAGAGGGTTCAGAGGAGCCTGACTAGAGTTTGATCAAGGAGAGCATCTTTGTCGATGGAACACTGAAAGGCCATTATGGCAACCTCTTGGATATTTGAAAGAAAATGGATTTGTGGCTTAGACCAGAGTCATTATTTTACAGGTATTGTCAAAGGTGTACCTAATGGAAATAAAGCCTTTTTCCCTCATATAGCTAATAGTTAAATGAATTTACTGTCATTTTTCTGATGGCAGTATTTCTTGTATCCTGTGCTTGTTTCCTGCATTTGTTTCTTCTTTTGGGGAGGATTTGCCAAATAAAATCCAGAACCCAGTTAAATTTGAATTTCAGATAAACAACAAATAGGTTTTTAAAGTAAGTACATCTCAAATTATTTATTTGAAATTCAAATTTGACTGCTATCTTGTATTTTTATCTGGTTAATCTGTATTTTGAGGTTATATTCTTTAACAGATCCTTTAGTGAGGGTCACTAAAGTATATACTTTATGTGTCTGAAAATATCTTTATTTTGCACTCATTTTATAATGAGACTACTCGTGTGTACAATTCCAGGTTGATAGTTGTTTTCTAGTGGTGCTTGACTACATTATACCAAAGTCTTCTGACTTCTGTGTTTTGACACCTCTTCCTTTGTAGATAATGTGTTTCTCTCTTTTGAGATAATCTCCTAATTCTTTATGTTCTGTAGTTTTATCATTATGTGTCTATATTTAGATTTATCTTTATTTTACTCAGTGTAATGTCACTCTGAAAACTCATGTCTTTCCTCAAATTTGAAAAGTGTTCACCTATTATGTCTTCAAATATCACTTTCCACCATGCTTTTCTGCTGAAACTCTCATTAAACAAAAGTTGGAGTGTGTTTTTCATGGCTCTTAAAAAATCTTTTGTCTTTTTATTCTCTTTTTCGCTGCATTTTGAATGGTTATCTCAGTTCCATTTTCCAATTTTCTAATTTCTGCTTTACTATGCCCATCTAGGCTTTATCTCATTTGTTACATTTTTAATTTTAAGACTGTTTTTCATTTCCAAGGTTTCTAATAAATTATTGTTCATAGCTACCTGTTCTTGTTTTATATTGTTTAAGTATTCATTTAACTGGTTAAGGTATGCTAAAAATCCTTAAAGAATCTTGGTAAGACCATTTCGTAAAATTATTCTCATCTAGAGAATATTTGTGTTCAAATCATTGGCTTCAATTAGTTTCTTAGCAAACAAGCATTAAAATTTTTAATTGGGTTGATAAGCTCACTTTGAATCAGAAGTTTATTTTCATCCTCCCCACCCTTTTCCTTTTTCTGTCTAGCAATTTTATGGAAATTTCCACTTGGAGTTTGGGGCCGTTGGTCTAGAGCTAGATTATAATGATAGCTTCTGACCCATGGAGCTTTTCTTTTTATGATACTGTTTGCATAAGAATGTGATAATTTTCCTTTTTCTAATATTAGTAAATTTACTTTTTGTTCATGATTGCCTTACACAACTTTTCAATCTACTTATTTATATATTTTGCTAACTTTTTTTTTATTTTTATTTTTTATTTGTTTATGTTAACTTTTGTTGAATGACTATTCAGTGGAGCCATTGTGTTAAGTACATTGGAGACAACCTTGTGAGATAAGTAGTGGTTTGTGTGTGTCTGTGTGTGTATGTGTGTAGCTCCCTCTTTTCTAGAGCTTATCACTACCCTTTCAACTTCAGATCAATTTTATCTTACGAACTTTCAAATAATTCAGTAAGTGTTTTCTTTAGTGTCTGGCTTCTTTCACTCAACAGTATATGGCCAGCACAATTTTTATTTTTAGAATTCTGCCTTATAAAGTGAAAATATCCATTGATGTTTTTATTTAAACACCTTTTCCCCTCTTCCATCTTGTTCTTCTCTGACTTCTCTGCTTAGACCCCATTGCCCCAAAGTTACAGCTTTGTCTCTAAAGTTGCCTTCAGTTGCATTATCATAAGTGAGTTGCTATGTTTATTTCTTTCTAGAAGGTTTTTGGGAATATATAAGAGAGTGATGTGGGCATAAAGATGAAACTTAGACGAGATCGGGCACATTCAGGGTGGTATGGCTATAGACACGAGCATTCCTATACACCAATAATAGACAGACAGAGAGCCAAATCATGAGTGAACTCCCAGTCACAATTGCTACAAAGAGAATAAAATACCTAGGAATACAACTTACAAGGGATGTGAAGGACCTCTTCAAGGAGAACTACAAACCACTGCTCAAAGAAATAAGAGAGGACACAAACAAATGGAAAAACATTCCATGCTCCTGGATAGGAAGCATCAATATCGTGAAAATGGCCATACTGCCCAAAGTAATTTATAGATTCAATGCTATCCCCGTCAAGCTACCATTGACTTTCTTCACAGAATTAGAAAAACTACTTTAAATTTCATATGGAACCAAAAAAGAGCCCGTATAACCAAGACAATCCTAAGGAAAAAGAACAAAGCTGGAGGCATCACACTACCTGACTTCAAACTGTACTACAAGGCTACAGTAACTGTATATGCAGAAAACAGAAACTGGACCCCTTCCTCACACATTATACAAAAATTAACTCAAGATGGATGAAAGACTTAAATGTAAGACCTAAAACCATAAAAACCCTAGAAGAAAACATAGGCAATACCATTCAGGACATAGGCATGGGCAAAGACTTCATGACTAAAACACCAAAAGCAATGGCAAAAAAAGCCAAAATTGACCAATGGGATCTAATTAAACTAAAGAGCTTCTGTACAGCAAAAGAAACTATCATCAGTGCAAACAGGCAAACTACAGAATGGGAGAACATTTTTGCAGTCTATCCATCTGACAAAGGGCTAATATCCAGAATCTACAAAGAACTTAAGCAAATTTACATGAAAAAAATCAAACAACTCCATCAAAAAGTAGGTGAAGGATACGAACAGACACTTCTCAAAAGAAGACATTTATGCAGCCAACAAACATGAAAAAAAGCTCATCATCACTGGTCATTAGAGAAATGCAAATCAAAACCACAATGAGATACCATCTCACGTCAGTTAGAATGGCGATCATTAAAAAGTCAGGAAACAACAGATGCTGGTGGAGAGGATATGGAGAAATAGGAACGTTTTTACACTGTTGGTGGGAGTGTAAATTAGTTCAACCATTGTGGAAGACAGTGTGGTGATTCCTTAAGGATCTGGATCCAGAAATACCATTTGACCCAGCAATCCCATTACTGGGTATATACCCAAAGGATTATAAATCATTCTACTATAAAGACACATGCACACATATGTTTATTGCAGCACTGTTCACAATAGCAAAGACTTGGAACCAACCCAAATGCCCATCAATGATAGACTGGATGAAGAAAATGTGGCACATATACACCATGGAATACTATGCAGCCATAAAAAAGGATGAGTTCATGTCCTCTGCAGGGACATGGCTGAAGCTGGAAACCATCATTCTTAGCAAACTAACACAGAAGCAGAAAACCAAACACCACATGTTCTCACTCATAAGTGGGAGTTGAACAGTGAGATTACATGGACACAGGGAGGGGAACATCACACACTGGGGCCTGTTGGGAGGTGGTGGGCTAGGGGAGGGATAGCATTAGGAGAAATACCTAACGTAGATGGCGGGTTGATGGGTGCAGCAAACCACTATGGCACTTGTATACCTATGTAACAGACCTGCACATTCTGCACGTGTATCCAAGAACTTAAATATAATTTTTAAAAAAGATGAAACTTAGAATATATTGTTCTTGGTATATGTTTTGGAAATAATAGTAGAAAACCAACAGGTAAGAACTAAGACTGCGGTCAACCAGACTTGATAATTCTGTTCTTCAAAACACTTAGAAATGTTTAATATTCCTTTTGTTTAGCCTGCCAGAGGTTAATCATAATTTTCTATTGTATTTTCATTTAATCTCAGAAACTGTCATGTACTTAGTTTGATGCCAGATCATGTTTTACAGTGGTCAATGGCTCAGTGGGAACTGATAGATAATTTACTGATTTGAAGGTGTTAACTGTTCTGGTCATCCTCTTAGAACTACTGCTGCACTTTCTAGTTTAAATGTGCACAGTATTTTCAGTAAGAATTTAAACAGTTTTTGATCTGGACCTGAGCACCCTATTTCAGCATTTGCAAATCAAATTGGGACCCATTCCTGTGCATTTTAGAATTATTTTTCTGGTGTGTCCTCTTACTATGCTGGGATAGGTTTCAAAAAGGAAATGTCTGTTTATTTTATTAACTCTTCCTCAGGAAAGACAGTGGTGAAGTGAGTCATTAGCACATTGTATTTTTCAATAGCTCTTTGACCTTAATCTCTGTGGCTATAAAATGAATGGGAAGATGCCTACTGTATTATGAGTGATGAAGAAAGCCCATGATGGATTCATGTTACTGTGAATATTTCAAGGAGAAGTTAATGTAATATCTGTAGACTACAGTCATGAATCCAAGACCAACAGAGTAAGTGTGTGTTGCTAGCAGCGTCGTCCATGTGTAGCACACATGTGTCAAGAAATAAATACAAGCTGTTCTCTGGGCTCTGATAATTCCTTTATCATGTTACCCCGAAGACAGAAGAATTGGAAGGAAAGGAGTTGCTGCCACAGTGGTTTGACTTTTTTCAGTGAGTCCAGTGATTGAATCCATCCTATGGTGGATGGTCATTTTATAATCATGGGACAGTTACAGGGTGGTGGGTAGGCTTTTAATGGCAGTGGGGCCTAGATAGAAGCAAATATAATCACGAAGAGACTCATACAATAGTCTTTGAAGCTGGCCCCAGAGAGCAGCATTTCACAAAAATGTTTCCACAGATGACCAGTTCAGAAGGATGTTAATAGATTGTGTGTTAAAAAGGGTCCCACAGCCAAATGTGCAGAAAAACCAAGTTAAACACAGAAAAACAAGAGATTTTGCCAAAGGACTCTTCGGGTTTTAAATATGCTTATGTATATAGAATAGGCAGTGTTTCTCAAACATATTTGGCTGCAGAACCCCTCTTTTAGCAGAGGTCTCACAAAGTCTGTGTTTTGTGTAAAATACCTTGGGTAAAATTGCTCTAGAACATTGGTTTTCAAATATTTTTTTCTTAATCTCCTAGAATAATTTTGAAAAAGTTATGTGTTCACATATCTTTAAGCTGACATCTACATTTTCATTAAAAAGTCAAGTGGATACAATAGGTTAATTTCTGGCACATTTATATTGTATGTGTGCATTAAATAATTTCATCAAAACTTTGGAGCTGCAGAATTGGTTCATG
Organism: Homo sapiens; assembly: GCF_000001405.40. Classification (NCBI taxonomy): domain Eukaryota; kingdom Metazoa; phylum Chordata; class Mammalia; order Primates; family Hominidae; genus Homo; species Homo sapiens. The sequence continues at coordinate 33,237,607 of NC_000002.12, forward strand.
CCATTGATAAACAGTCTCTGCCATTTAACCTAATTGGTAAAGCCAGATCTTCTTATGAAAGAAATCGGACTCATTACTTTTTCTGTGACTCTATCCTGGGGTTGATATATTTGTGAATTGTTCATTTATTCTGTGCCTGTGAGAATTTTACCTTTCAAGACAGTGTTCTTAGAAAGGCCTAGAAAGATTCTGGATTGACAAGAGGTATGCCTTGACTTGGTCAAGAGCAAGAAGGCCCTGAGGAAAGGGGAAGATAGGAAAGGAAGATTGGCAAATATATTCTTAGGCAGATGACTTCAAAAAGAAACATCTGAAGGCTGAAGATCTATAGATTAGTTCCCTTAAAAGTGTCTAAGCCTGTGTGTACCCTATAGAATATCTTCATGTTCCTTCGTGGTATGTCTACCCAGTGCAAAGTTGTTCTTTGGAAGTTTAAGAAATATATATATTGTCTAAGTGATCCTTATTAAATAACTTAATAGTCTGTCTGGGAAAAGTATTTGTATTAAGAGGTATTTTTCTGCTTTCAAGTGGAAGGCATACTGCTAATGGAATTCTGTCATGGAATTTATATTTACTAGCAAAAGCTGAACACACACAGATGAATCTCCAGAAAGCTTCATATTTTCACACAGTAGAAAGATGCTCATGTCCTGTTCTTACCTTGTCCTGACTCCTGTTGGACATGCCTCATTTCCTGTATAAACTTGCGTCACTAAGAAGACAGTAAATTCTTACTCACTTTGTTAAACATACATACTTTCCTGTAGGAGAAGAGATGCATAAAAATATATTTATTTCCCAGAAGGGCACTTGTGCTGTTCGTAATATATTATGCACCAAATGTCATACTTTCTTTATTCCCTGGCATTTTCAGCCCTGGCAACTGGCAGATTGTTTTGAAGTCAGAGAATATTTAAACTACAAGTAACCTTGGGGATAATATAGTTCAGCCCCTCTGTGTTACAGGAGAGGACACTGAGATCAAGAGAAACTCAGAGACTTGCTCTGGGTAACATAACATTTTGTCCTAGTTGGACCAAAAGCTAGATCTTAGTGGAATATTCCTCCTATTATTTTCCCCCATCCTCTCCATCCTTTTTAGAAATATGGCCTTGGACGAAATTATCTCTGTAAAATGGAATAATTATTCTTGTACTGCTCACCATCCAGAATTGTTGTGAAGTTCCAGTGAGATACGGTGTGCTATAGAAATGTAAAGAATCCTGATGAGGTAGAAGGAAGATGAAGGTCCTCACTTCATCGTCACCTTATCGCATCATTCCCATGTACTGAAATACTTAGGCTGTTTTATGTTGGGTTGTTCATAGGGAGTCTCTTGTTATGCATGTATACCTGATTACTTTATATTCTTCTACTACCTGGTTAATAAAAGCCCAGCCCTCTTATTTCTGTTGTATTAGTTTGAACCATAGGACATTGCCAATATTTGACCATTTTAGAAGAAGAGCAGTTTTAGAAGAAAAGCAGTTTTGTGTTCCTGAACTTCATCTGTGAGCTGAAGTATGTGGTAGGCTATACAGGCAGAGATACCTGTAAATGTTTTAAATAAGTGGAAAAGTATGTAAAGCTCCTTCATGTTAGCTGTAGTAGCTTCATGGATTTTGCCTACTCCAGAGGAGCACATGGGTCCGTATGAATTTCTTTCCTAGTTTCTGTTTCTGTAAACTTCTAGACTGCCTGCCTGAACACAAAAGCTCAGATGGGGATAGGGAATGGTGACTGGCTGTATGTGGGTGCTGAGCCCCTTCAGCCATTTATTTTGGCCTTCATTCTTTAACTCAGGAAGTTGTTCTGTATGCAGTGGTTATACCACTTCTTCAAAGGACAGACTTCCACAGTTTTCCAGAGAAATTTGTCATCTATAGAGGGAGAACAAGGAATAAATTCATGTATTTTTCAAACTAAATATTAAAATACTTTTGATTTAGTTAGAATCTGTTGAGGAAGGTTTGTTGACGCTTTAAAATATGAGACTTGGCCGGATGCAGTGGCTCACACACTTTGGGAGGCTGAGCACTTTGGGAGGCCGAGGTGGGCGGATCACTTGAGGTCAGGAGTTCAAGACCAGCCTGGCCAACATGGTGAAACCCTGTCTCTACTAAAAATACAAAAAAAAAAAAAAAATTAGCTGGGCATGGTGGCATGTGCCTGTAATCCCAACTACTCAGGAGGCTGAGGCAGGAGAATCGCTTGAACCTGGGAGGCGAAGGTTGCAGCGACCTGAGATTGTGCCGCTGTACTCCAACCTGTGTGACAGAGTAAGACTCCATCTTAAATAAATAAATAAATAAATAAATAAATAAATAAAAATATGAGACTCCTGAAACACTATATTGTTATTTGAATTTATTCCTTCACAAATAAGCTATTTATAAAATGACAAATATTGTAATCAGGTTTTATTTGATTAAAGAAAGAAGATAGCTTTAGGCAATGAAGTCCAAATAGAATTCTGGTTTACCATTCACCCGTCACGTTCCATACAGTTGTTAAGTCTGAATAGAATTACGGTTTACCATTCACCCATCATGTTCCATACAGTTGTTAAGTCTAAATAGAATTATGGTTTACCATTCACCCATCACGTTCCATACAGTTTTTAAGTATAAATAGAATTCTGCTTTACCATTCACCCATCACATTCCATACAGTTGTTAAGTCTAAATAGAATTCTGGTTTACCATTCACCTATCACGTTCCAAACAGTTGTTAAACTTTGGCCTGATGATGTCATCACTTGGAATGTTCTTCTCTCATCCAGATACAATGCGTTCAGTTCAACCAATGCTTTGTTCTTAACGTGTTTGTGAGTCTCTGACATCCTTTACTTTAATTTAGAAAGCTTGTGACTACCTGTCTAGGAAAAATCACTTAGGCAGTTGCTCCTGTTTCTTAATAATTAGAAATGTCTTATTAATTTATTAATTTCTGAAGTCCTATGTTAAAATTATGGGGATAAGTTGTTTGTTGGCTGGGAAGGGGCACAAAGAACCTTCTCAGGTGATGGAAACATTCTTTTTTTTTTTTTTTTTTTTTTTGAGACGGAGTCTTGCTCTGTCGCCCAGGCTGGAGTGCAGTGGCGCGATCTCGGCTCACTCCAAGCTCCACCTCTCAGGTTCACGCCATTCTCCTGCCTCAGCCTCCTGAGTAGCTGGGACTGCAGGCACCTGCCACCACGCCTGGCTAACTTTTTGTATTTTTAGTAGAGACGGGGTTTCACTGTGTTAGCCAGGATGGTCTCGATCTCCTGACTTCGTGATCTGCCCACCTCGGCCTCCCAAAGTGCTGGGATTACAGGCGTGAGCCACCGCGCCCGGCCAGAAACGTTCTTAATCACAATCTGGGTGGTGGTTACACCACAAGTAGATATGCAAAAATTCATCTAGTTGTATACTTAAGATTGATATATTCTAGTGTATATACGTTAAATATAGGAAACAGAAATCTAATCTCTAATTTGTAGTAGCTCAGGAAATATAAAAAAATAGATGAACCAAGGCAGTTGAAGGAAACAGTTTTTCTGGAAGCTGTGAGAATGTGTCACAAAGGAAGGCCCAGGCTTCCTGGGTTCTTCGGGCCAAAATTAGGGGAAGTGTTGGTGCCAGTGCCGGTGGCACAAGCTGATTAAAACAGTCATAACAGGAAGAGTCTTACACGATTCTTCGTCTTTGTGGATGTTTCTGTTTCTTCCTGTCTATACCTGATAGGTTTGCTTGGTCATTTTGTTTGTTTTCTTCCGTCTGAATTCCTGTCCTCCATTCCCATGGCATCAGAGTCAAGGCAGTAAGCAGTGTGGAGAGTCAAAGAAGGGGCATTGGAAGAGGGTACTAGGCATTGGTTGTAAATCAGGTATTTATGAGTCTGGGGGGAAACCTCTACATTAACCTGGCAGCCAGCCGCAAGGCTGAGATGGTGCTGTTATAGAAACCACCTAGCAAGGGAAAATTCTGGGTCCTCAATCTTATCATGGAATGTGTAGTGGTGCAGCCAATGAACAGGAATACAGGCCATTCAGGGGAAGAGGAATGCTAATAATCATACCCTAGTGAGGATATGAGGGGAAATAGAAGAGTGGAAATTTTGTCCAGCCTTCTTGACCACAACTGGCTGGTTACCCAAACTTGAGGTTTTACTTGGGACATATAATAGGGCTTCACTTGTACCGTGTAAGCTCCAACTGGACTTGGCACTCTTCCTGGTCCTTCATGGTGGTTTTCTTAAAAAGAATGAGTTACGGGGGAATATTTTCAGTTACATGCTGTACATAAAAGTGCATTACAGAACAACACACACTTCAATAAATAATGAGATGGTCAGGTGCTGTACTGTGTGCCGTACCAGGTGTCATCTAGCTGTAGCAGTTTCCAGCTACGTGCAAGTTGGAACACCATAGAATTTATACAGCAAATATGCATTAACTTATCATTTGAATGTCACGGAAGGTATCATATTTTATCACTGAAATTAACTTAAAAATTGCATGCTCTGAGTAAAATATGTACGTATAGATCACGATGCCTACTTAGAACATGAAATATTGATGTTCATATAATGTTAATATTTGCTTAAATAGTGATTGAGGGCTGTATTTTCTTTTTATGTGATGATCCTGATAGTAATGTTTTGCTACCATTGTATCCAACTTTTTGATTTTCAATTAATTACCTTTGCAAGTGACTATATAATCTTTCTTTGTAAAATCACTTCATTTATATCTCTCCTCTTTCAAATCGCTTTGATTTCCCCCTGGATCTCCATATGCAGAGTATCTTAAGTGTCTATTTGTAGCAGTGATTTCCTCTTTCACTGTATTTCTGAATCTTCTGCTGCTACTGGGTATTTCTACTTGGGTATCCCAATGTGACCTTGAACTATAAAACTGAACTCCTCTTCTTCCTGCCTTCTTTCTTCCTCAGAACTCCTTCCGCAAAACCAGCTGTGATTTTTTTTTCCTTTTTTCTTAGATTAGGAGCCTCCCAGACATCCTTGACTCCTTTCTCTTACTTTCTCATGATGTGTAGTCCAGTCAAGCACCATGCATTTTCAGTTGTTCTTAAAAAAAAAAAAAAAAAAGATTTGTCCATTCTTTATCTTCCTGATTGTTCTCACTGTCACCAGCCTGGCTGTTACCAACCTCATACTTGCATGACCCCTTCAAGTGATCAGACTTTTAATCTCTTCTCAACAAGCCATGTGTTGGCCAGGTGAATTTTCCTAGAGTCTGTCTTTGAGTCTTTCTTTCTCCTGCTCAGAAACCTTTAGTATATAGCTCCCTGTTCTCAATGAAACTGAATCCAAATGCAGCCTGAATTGTACCAGCTCTGTTTCCAACTATTTACCTTCCTGAATCTTCTTTTCCAGCCAGTGGTTTGACTCATCATTTCCTGAGCCTCCATCCACTGGCCACACTCTGTGCTCAAGCTCCAGGGTTTCCCACACAAGTCATTCCTTCCCTTCCTCGCCCATCCATCCAGCTCCTGCCCAGACATCAGCACTCTAAAGCCTTACCTCCTCCTCAGTGCCACAGTCTGCCCCACCTCCAGCTTCCTTCTGTGGCTTTTACTGTCTGTATAGGCAATTTCATAATTTAACTTCTAACAGTTTATGACAGTTCTTTCTTGTGATGACTTGGACTGCTTTTCACTTCTTAAGTTTTTCAAATATTCATATGTATAGTTAGACTGTCAGTGCTTCTAGAGTGAGAGTCTTTGCCTTACCTATATGCTCCATAATGCCTAACATAAACTAACACTAAAGCAAAAGCTCTGTGAAGGCCAGAATTTTTATCAGTTTTTTTCACTAGTAAATCCTTAGCACCTGGCATGTAGTAGGTATGTAATAAATATTTGCTATATAAATTGTAAATGTTCAATAAACATTAACTGATTTAAGATTATTCACACCTGCTACATCCTTTTTTCACTATAACTAAAAGATTACTATAGTGAAAAAGGAAGTGAATGCAATGTATAGCCAGAATCTGCTCAATGGGGCTTGACTGCTCCTTCTAAAGAATTGTGTTTTCCTGCAGATATTAATGAATGTCAGCTACAAGGTGTATGCCCTAATGGTGAGTGTTTGAATACCATGGGCAGCTATCGATGTACCTGCAAAATAGGATTTGGGCCGGATCCTACCTTTTCAAGTTGTGTTCGTAAGTAATAATCACTTTTTATTCCTGTTTTGGATTAATTGTCTTTGGGGTTTTTCCAAAAGAACGGAAATACTCAGTGGCCAACTGAATGCTTGTAAATATACAGGAAAACCTCATTAATTAAAATAACAAGCAAGGGGCCTGCCTGATGTAGTAAAATAAATTGATATCATGGAACCTTCTCTAAAATGCATTTTTATTGTGGTGATAAAAATATAATAGCTAAAACTCTGAATAGAGACTAAGCACACCGAGGAAATATGCTTTGATGAAAAGAAAAGAGAGAATTAAAATGGACATATCAAACTTTTTTGGTACCTGAGAGATGACAGTAAGTTTTTCCTTCATAAATACGGTATTTTAAGCATTCTTTAGGTTGAATTGAACTGTGTCCCAGCTTCTGCCTTTAATTATTCCAAATTCTGAGTCACTGGACTCTGATTTAATGAGGTTTCACTTCTTTCTCAATTGTAAGAGTCTGGAAAATAGTTACCAAGGCCCTGTGTTTTAGATTTTCTAATTCAGTCCTAATTTCAGATATTGTCTTGTTCTTTAAACCCACCAAAATGACCCTAAATTATACTGTTTTGCCTTAAAAATGTTTCTGAGATTTTCCCTTGTTTCTGATAAGGGTAAAAATCCTTCATTAAACCACATGTTCTAATATTGGTTCTGAAAGATAGTTTCACCAAAGAGATACTCCCTCTCCGTGTAAATTAATCCATGTAATCACTACAGATCATATGCCATTAGAGAGGAATGCATTTTAGGTGTAAAGTTCTCAAATGCAGATTTGAGATTTTTAAGAATGTCTTATTTTTAAAGTAATCATGCCCATTATTATAGGTAAGCACTGTAAGATTTTTTTTAAAGAGATGGGGTCTTGCTATGTTGCCTAGGCTGGACTCAAATGATCACTGTTCAGCCTGCTGAGTAGCATGACTATAGACATGGGCCTTGTAGCACTGCAGATTTTTAAAGATTATATACAATTTAAATGGCTGCATGGCAGAAAACTATTAGGATAATTTTAAGAACAACTGTGTATTAGTTTCTTTCCTGCAAGTTTTTGTTTTTATCTATCTATCTATCTATCTATCTATTTATTTTTGAGACAGAGTTTCACTTTTGTCACCCAGGCTGGAGTGCAATGGTGCGATCTCCACTCATTGCAACCTCTGCCTCCCGGGTTCCAATGATTCTCCTACCTCAGCCTCCCAAGTAGCTGGGATTATGGGCATGTGCTACCACGCCCAGCTAATTTTTTGTATTTTTAGTAGAGACAGGGTTTTGCCATATTGGTCAGGCTGGTCTTGAACTCATGACCTCAGGTGATCCACCCGCCTCAGCCTCCCAAAGTGCTGGGATTATAGGTGTGAGCCACCATGCCCGGCCACTTTTATTTATTTTTTAATGTGGCTTTGGTATATAATGAGCTGCATCTTTCTTGTCTAGTTTGAAATTTGCCATTTGGTTGACATGTTCTTCATGAGTTTACTGCCATTCATTTTTAACGAAGCTTATCTCTCTTAACTCTTTGCCCTAAGGTGAGATATGTAGAGGTGATAAAATAAAGACAAATGTAGTAAAATAAAAATGACAGTCTCATTTATTACTTTTAGGTGAGTTTGTTGAGTCTTTTGAAATGTTATCACTAATTACTACTCTTTTCCTTTAAAAACTGTCAACTGCAGATTAGGAAGTTTTACACGTAAGTCCTCTTTTCTGTGTTCTTTTACAAACAGTTCTGATCATGAAGCAGACAGACACCTAATTATAAGGCTTTCCTAACGGGTGGTAAAATTAGACCATAAAATTACATTTGCACACAAATTACCTTTGAAACTGATGCAAGGATTTGGAAATTTCAGGCCAAAAATCACATTGTTGATGACATCCAGATAACTTAGGGGATCATTTTTGGCTGATTTGAATCACATGAATAAATATGTTAAATCATTTTATAATTTAAATGTAAAGATTGTAGAGTTTGGATATAGAGTTTGTTGTGAATGCTTTTTCCACCCTTTTATAATTTGACTTGTAGTCTGGTTACAATTCTTATATTGAAGGTTGCTGATTAGGTAAACTTGCAGAACTAGTCACAAAACGCTCTGTGAAACTTTGACCAGATCTGATGTCTAGAGTTGAGGGCAGACATCCAGGTTTTAATAAGATTATAGAAATCTGCCAATGAGATTTTTGAAACACTTGCACATTTCCTTAGCATTTATTTTCCCTGTCATTGCCCAAATAATTCTGAACTTATTAAACAACCATCCATTCTTATTTGAAAAATAAATAATTCAATTTTATGGTTCAGCTACAACAGCTGAACTGATAAGTATTAAGAGACGTTTGTTGCTAGTTAAGTGTTCCAGTTGAGAGTTCGAAGTGAAAACCTGGGCTCTTTACCAGTGTTGAGTGAGAAGATTTATTTCTCTTTCCTCTGAATTTACCACATGTAACATCACAGAGACATGTAGAGTTCCTTTAGGATTTGCGATTTGAACCAGTCCAGTCTGATTTTCAGGTGAATTCTGTGAAGAGCTTGATGGGGGAAGTCTGAAGACAGAAGGAATTAGGGAAAAGGGTGATACTTACAGAGTAAAGGAAATAAATGAAAAGATAATGGTATTTTTGGTAGTCACAGGGAAATAGCAGGAGGGGACTGGAGATCACACACACGCACACGCACACACACACACACAGACACACACACAGGCACTCAACACAGTGGTTGCTAAATGTTTGCTCTGGAGAGAGAGAAAACCAGCCAGGGATGAAGCCTGCAGGCAAATGGAGGACAAATGACAACATTTGCTAGGACAGCATGAATTTAGGCCATATCCAGAGCATACAAGGTGTGGCTGACTCTCTGAACTCCTGCACATGGTTATGGCCAAGGAACAACGGGAAGCACTTTCTCTTCTTGAATGCACTGAACTGAGATGAACCCCCCAGAATTCCTTGACTGCAGCCAAAGGTTGCAACAATTTCACTTTCTCTCCTTGCCGCTTGCCTTGGCTTAGCCAAGCTAAAAGGAAGAAAGCAGGCAAATGCTGGCATTTGCTGCCTCTGACCTCTATGTTTGAGGCTTAGGATGGTGTAGGAGCATTCTCCAGACATGTTGCTACCTGATTTATGGGGAAAGGTGGAAATTCGAGGACTTTTCAGAGCAAATTCAAGAAAAGTATCATCTTTGCAATCCAAGTAGGAAGACTTTCTGGCTTTCTGAACTCCTGCAGGAACTTCAGAGCTCCAGGATGAGTGCTGCTGAGAATGTGTCCATAGGTTCAGTAAAAAGGCCCAGATAAAAGAATTCTGAGCCTGGGCTTTTGCCTTTTCGTAGTATTCTTCACCCATCAACTTGGAGCTAGTTGACAGAAATGGAGGGTTAGAGAGAAGATGTGCTCAGGAACTTCTGCCGTAGTCCTGGAAGTCATGAGAGAAAGGGCAAATGCCTTTTAATTAAGTACATCATTCATTTGTAATTTCCTGAGCATCTTTATGAGAAACATACCATGCTTATCTTATACATTGGGAAACTAAAGCTAGGAAAGTTTAAGTAGCTTCTCACACAGCTAGTAGCTGAGAGTTGAGATTTAAAACAGGATTTGTGCCTCCAAATTTAGGGTTCTAGATCAGGAGTTGGCAAATTATAGCCCATGGGAAAAAATCTGTTTGTTTTTGAAAATAAAGTTTTATTGGAACACAGCCATGTCCATTCATTTACTTATTGCCTAATGCTGCTTTTGTATTACAAAGACAGAGTTGAGAAGTTACAACAGAAATCATATGGCACACAAAGCCTAAAATACTTATTATCTGATGCTTGACAGAAAAAGTTTGCTGACGCTCAAGCTAATTAACACTGTCCAATAGAACTATCTGAGATGATGGAAATATTCTCTATCTGTGCCACCTCATACAGCAGCCACTAGTCATGTATGGCCTGTGTAACTGAGGAATTGAATTTTTACTTTTATTTAAATTTTATCCAAGGAGCAACATGTGGCTAGTGCCTAACATATTGAGTGGCGTAGTTTTGTATCCTTTTTGGCAAGCCAAATGGGTTAATTACTGCTAGCTTTCCAGCTTTTCCGTTAATATGGGCTTTCCTTCCAGACTTGATATTTTTTGCCCATGGTAACATTTTCTCCAGAGCACCCCGGCTGGGAGCCTGTGTCATCTTGGACTCTTTTGTATCTTTTGGTTTCAAAGGATGACATTTAGTCTTCATAATTTATCTTATGCCCGTTCTTTTCTTTCTACCTTCTCTGTGGCCATCTCAGGTTAGGCCCCTAGCCTCCCTCACTTGGAGGTCTCATGGCACCGTGGCCCGGAGGTGAGACAGATCTGTACAAGCTGCTTGCTCCCAGATAATTACAGTAAACAAAAACCATGACAATAATAATTTTTATTGCAAACTTCGTAAATGCCAGGCACTGTGCTAAGCACTTTATGTGAATTATCCCATATAATACTTACAAGATCTCTATTGGATTTGTTCTGTTATTTTTCCTAATTTAGAAATGAAGGAATTAAGGCATAGAGGGGTTAGGGATCTTTCCAACAGTCATACAGTCCATAAAGGGTAGAGCCCAGATTTGAAACTGGATCTGTCTCACTCCACAAGCTGAACCTTTAATCAAGAAATGGAAAAGTCTGAAATGCCAGGAGGAGTAAGTCATTTATTTAAGGAGAACTGACATTTTAATCTCACCTGCCACACTATAGAATAGGTGACGTAACTGCAATGGCCTTGAATTATTGTTTCTTTTATTTTGGTTCTCCACGAATTTTTTTTTTTTTTTTTTGAGAGGGAGTCTTGATCTGCTGCCCAGGCTGGAGTGCAGTGGTGCAATCTCAGCTTACTGCAACTTCCGCCTCCTGGGTTCAAGTGATTCTTCTGCCTCAGCCTCCTGAGTAGCTGGGATTACAGGCGTGCGCCACCACACCCGGCTAATTTTTGTATTTTTAGTAGAGATGGGGTTTCACCATGTTGGCCAGGCTGGTCTCGAACTCCTAACCTCACGTGATCCGCCCACCTCTGCCTCCCAAAGTGGTGGGATTACAGGCATGAGCCACCGCGCCCAGCCATGAAATGGTTTTTAATGACACATTTCCCAGAGTGCCCAGTGGTTCTTACTGCCCTAGGTAAGCTGCCTCTCAGACTCCTCAAAGCAGCTTTACCTGCTTCCTAGACCTGTATCCTAACACTCATCCCCATAGATACTAAGCTGTAAAGGGATTAAATGCTAATGTGGAATTTCATCCAAGAAATGATTAAGGATATTACAGATGTGGGTGGGAGTGATTGCAGACTAGTAAGGTTAGCTAGACTTTTAAACCCTTGCTCTTTTCTGAAATCCTCCCTACTTTTCAACTTCTTCTAAGTACCAGATTAATTAATATCTGCTTAATATTTGTCATTCACATTTTAACCCATTTATGCCTGGTGTTCCATTATTGGAATGCTGAGCTTGTGGGAGTTATTTATATCCTGCTCAAGGTCATCTCAGTAGGTCTGATTTTTCACACACACACACACACACACACACACACACACACACACACACATTTACAACCTCCAGCATAAATGGGTTAATACATTAGAGTAGTATGTCTTTGAAAGTATAATGTGAGTTTATTATACAATCCTATAATTAAGGCCATAATTAAATATAAGTTGCTTAATATATCACTGAGGAACCCGAATAATAGTATCTTAGCTTTTTACTCTTGTTTTGTAATTGAATTGCCATCACCATGGGCTGTATGGTTATGATTTGGTACTATACTTGGGTACAGAGCTATATGCTTGTTACCAGTTTGAAAATTTGTCTTATGTCTGTAGCCAAGAGCAAAAAAATTACTTTCCTGGTGGATGTGGCATTTTCAGTAGGTTTTATGCTTCTGAAGTGCTTTTCCTTTTAGATAAAGTATCAGAATCTTTTTGCCGTAATTTTAGTAACACATCCTGCACAAAATAGGATCTGACAAAGTACTGTTTCAGTGTACAAACATGTAAGAGCCTACAGGCACCCTTTATTATCACTCCTCAGTTTTATTCGATTCTACAGCTGCTTCCCCTATCCCTTAGAAATCTTTTGGTATTTCTAGTTTTCTTTAGTACAGCATAAAACCTTATGACTCAGTAGAATATATAATCACATGTACCATATTTTAAATAATAAACGTAGTACACTAATGTGTTATCCTTTACAATTAATCTTCCAGTCTGAGGTTAAAGATATTCAGACAATAACAACACCAATCACATCATTCTGGGTAGCATATTGTTTCTGGGTTTACGCATCATATTGACCGGAGTGTGAAAATACTAGAGATGTTTAATAAACAGAATGCAAGTCATTTGAAATGACAAAAAGAACAACAGGCAATTTAGGTCGTAAAATAGGGGCAGTTTTAAATGGCACACCCTGTCAGGTATATGTGGCATAAATGAACAGTTTTGGCTTCAAATAGTTGTAGATTAAAGAAAATGTGAATCATGAAAGCATCAGTAAAATTTCGGTTTGGGAGAGGCTTTAAGATGGTTGACTAGAGGCATCTGGTGCTCACCCCCTCCACAAAGAAGAACCAAAATATCAAGTAGATAATCACACTTTGAACAGATCATCTAACAGAGAACACTGAGGTTTAACAGAGAAGTCACAGGAAACACCTAAGGCAGGGAAGGAGAGGGAACCAAGGGAGCCTGCTCAGCCAGGATTAGCTGGGAGCCTGGGGAGGCTCCCCAGTGTGAGGAAAGGGTAGATGAGAGACCTCCAGTGATCCACATTCCCATGTGAATTCCTGCAATCCTAGCCACAGGAGAGCCCTTCGGCCCTCACAGACTCTGAGACTTAACATAGGGAGCTGCCTAGAGACCTCGTGATGGAATTGCTGCCGAGAGGGAGCTCATGCATGCTGGGTCCCACACACACCTTCTGAGTCTTAAGCAGGTACCACCACCATTGGCACCTGAGCACTCCTCTCAGAGGCCTCAGGTCAGGCCCACCCAACGTACCACTACCATCACAGCTGGCACTCACCTGTATATACCACCTGTGGGCCTGGGGACTGGCCTGCCCAGCTGCTAACACCAGCATGGACTGCGTGAGAAGCAGAGGGTTGTCTCACCACTGCTGCTGCCATCACCTATGCTACACCCACTGCCCAGGAGCCTGAGAACCTGCCTGGCTAACTGCTATCACTGCTGGCACCTAAGCAAGCCACGTAGAGACCCAAGAATTGGCCCACTTGGACCCACTAACACCAATGCCAGTGTACGCTGCCCTCGGGCCCAAAGACAAACACATTTGGCCCACCTCTGCTACTACTGGGGCTGAGGACTGGCCCACCTGGTAGCCTCATCCTCGGCAAAATTTTGCACAGAATCTACTAACAACTGCATCCTAAGGCACTGAAGAATCAGAGACACCACTGATGCTATTTACAACTGAAGAAATCTTATGGAGACTACACTACTGCATGTGGCCAGAATCAAAGCCAAAGTGCCCCACCCAAACAGCACCACAGATAACATCTTCAGGAAGTCCTCCCCTAAAAGAGATGCTAGAGGAGGCTGGGCGCACGGTGGCTCACGCCTGTAATCCCAGCACTTTGGGAGGCCGAGGCGTGCGGATCACAAGGTCAGGAGATCGAGAACATCCTGGCTAACACGGTGAAACCCTGTCTCTACTAAAAATTCAAAGAACAAAATTAGCCGGGTGTGGTAGTGGGTGCCTGTAGTCCCACCTACTCAGGAGGCTGAGGCAGGAGAATGGCGTGAACCCGGGAGGTGGAGCTTGCAGTGAGCTGAGATCGCGCCACTGCACTCCGGCCTCGGCAACAGAGTGAGACTCAGTCTCAAAAAAAAAAAAAAAAAAAAAAAGATGCTAGAGGAATTGGGTAAGGGAAAGGCAAGTCAGAAAACCTCATTTGTATGGTGATATGATAGAGAAGAGCTTTGGTTGGGTTTGGGGAATGGGCGGCGGGGGGACACCAAACTTATTCAGCACCTTTGGCCTGACCTGGACCTGGTTCTGTAGAATACACTCCATCCATATTTGCATTAGAAGATGAACTTCTTGAAGGCAGGGCTGTGTTTTGCTGATTTTCATATTTGCCATGTGTGCCTAGCAGAGTATTTAGCTGTTAGGTTGATGAACTCTTATCTACTAAACGTATAGCAGAAGATGAGGATTAAAGTTTAGGTATTGGATGGCTATAGCCTTGTATACTTTTGCAGTGTTTTCCGAAGAGCTGAGCACATCATCTCTTCCTTCTCTGGTGTACTGTCTGGCTAGAACAGGGGCCTTGTGTGGCACTCGAAATCAGAAACCACTTTCTGCCTCCCATTCATGTTCACTGGCGTAGGGTGAGACCTGATGGGCCCTGCAAGCTCTTACTTCCCTGGGATGAGAAGAGCAGAGGCTGGCTTGCAGCATCAGCCATGTTCCTCATTCTCCAAAGTGCCTGATTATTCACTAAATGCTGCCCTAGAGTTATCTCTACTGTGGTTAAATATAGAAAACTAGGTAGTGATTTTGGCAGTAGGTGACTAGGTTTATTTGGAAAGGTGGGTTTTTGTTGAAATGTTTCTCTTCATTACGCACACATACCTAATTGCATGCTTGCTAAAATGGAAGAAGAGACCAGAGAGGGACAGGGACAATCACTGTCACGACTTTTGGTGCCCTGACTCTAAAACTCACATGGTAAACTGATTTTTCTTCAAGAAAGGTGATGCTCTAAATCTAGACAGATTTATCCTGAAGTGTGGTTTTTAATTCATACCTTAGGGTTCATTTTACTATCATTTGGAAAGCCAATGTAGTTTTGGTTTCTCATGTAATGTCGGGCTTTATCTCTCTGCTTCAGCTGATCCCCCTGTGATCTCGGAAGAGAAAGGGCCCTGTTACCGACTTGTCAGTTCTGGAAGACAGTGTATGCACCCTCTGTCTGTTCACCTCACCAAGCAGCTCTGCTGTTGTAGTGTGGGCAAGGCCTGGGGCCCACACTGTGAGAAATGTCCCCTTCCAGGCACAGGTAAGACATGCCCAGCTGTATGCGCACATAGATTCCCAGCCACATGAGTACACGGGACAACTTTGGCACCTTGGGTCATTTGTGGTTTCTGACTTTAATTTTTAATAATACATTGTAAATATTTAATCACCTTTGTAGAAACTGTACACATACAATGTTGAATCAGTGGGAAAAAATTATGTGCAAAGAGATTTTCCCATTTCTATGTGATATCAGACTTCCTTTTGAATATTAAGAAAAGCCATTATATTTTATCTTCAATTTCCAGGACTCTGAGTCTGATATTTAAGTGTAGAGAGACCAGAAGGCTCTGCTGGGCCATGCGCTTTCCTAATGATTGGCTGCTCATCAATTCACAGTAACTAGACTTTGTGCAAGTTGACTCATTTACTCATTTATTGAGTATCGTGCTTAATTTCTTTAATTGGAAATGGAGGAAATTATATTCATGATTGAATTTACGCTATGAAGATTAATAACTTAAGGACAGAACTTGCCAAAACTCCTGAAAACTTCTGTGGGAGTTGAGTATTAAGAAGTAGATTATTCTTTATCCTTCAATTTGGTACATAATTGCCTTATGCCCTGAGAAGGCAAATTTATCTCTTTAAATACCTTCTACCAATGAACCACCAACTTCTCAAGCAGGATCAAGTAGAGTTAAGTGGAAGAGAAAGAAATGTAACCTGAAAGCGTTAGACCTGATATTAACAAGGAATGGCTTCAATGTCACTTACTTGGGGTGGACATTAAATAGTCTACTCAATTGCATGTTTGATAAGATGCTTTCTACCTAGGAAAGTGTCTTAACTCTCACAGGGCCATGTAGTGTCTTAAAGCTGTAACTTACACCATAGCAGACAAGATTTAAATATAAGTATCATGACTCACCTTTGTTCATGGTTAGAACCAGAAAGAACTGTGTTAAGGCAAAGGATAATACAACATTGATGGTATGTTGGTAGACTAGATAATTTTAGGCCTCCAAAAGATCCTAGTACCCTCTTGTGCTCTTGCTCTTGTGCCATCTGATGCACTTTTTTTTTTTTTTTTTTTTTTTTTTGAGATGGAGTCTCGCTTTGTTGCCCAGGCTGGAGTGCAGTTGTGTGATCTTGGCTCACTGCAAGCTCCGCCTCCCAGGTTCACACCATTCTCCTGCCTCAGCCTCCCAAGTAGCTGGGACTACAGGCACCCACCACCACGCCTGGCTAATTTTCTTTTTGTATTTTTAGTAGAGACGGAGTTTGACTGTGTTACTTGATCTCCTGACCTCGTGGTCTGCCGGCCTCAGCCTCCCAAAGTGCTGGGATTACAGGGATGGTTCCACTCATTATTAAAAATTAATAATCAAGTAATCTTTATAATTTATAGACACGTTTCTCTTGAAGTTCAGTTTTTAAAGCTTTCAGTTTGTGAATTTATTATGCGTATTATTTTGTGTCTGTATAATGTGTTTTTAATTTTTTTAAATTTTTTAAATGTTTAGCTTTTAAGTTCAGGGGTAAAAGTGGAAGCTCAATTTTGATAGCTTTATAATCCTTACATGAAGCATAAATTGAGATGGTGACTGGAACTCAGGGATACTCCTCTCTAGTACTATCAATAAATTTGAAAATAATATTCAAGATAAAATTTTTGCACTTAAGTTTTGGTTATATGGTGATTTTCACTAAAAATATTTAGTTCGTTAATTCTTTAAACTTGGTTTTTTTTTTTTTTTTTTTAGGGAGTTTGTTGTTGTTTTTCTGGTTTTGTTTTTGTTTTTATTATACTTTAAGTTTTAGGGTACATGTGCACAGCATGCATGTTGGTTACATATGTATACATGTGCCATATTGGTGTGCTGCACCCATTAACTCGTCATTTAACATTAGGTATATCTCCTAATGCTATCCCTCCCGCCTCCCCCCACCCCACAACAGTCCCCAGAGTGTGATGTTCCCCTTCCTGTGTCCATGTGTTCTCATTGTTCAATTCCCACCTATGAGTGAGAACATGCGGTGTTTGGTTTTTTTTTTTTTTTTTTTTTTTTTTTTTTTGTATTTTCTATTACATTTATTAATATCAAACACTGTTGTTTCCTGCATTTTTTTTTATTATACTTTAAGTTTTAGGGTACATGTGCACATTGTGCAGGTTAGTTACATATGTATACATGTGCCATGCTGGTGCGCTGCACCCACTAACTCGTCATCTAGCATTAGGTATATCTCCCAGTGCTATCCCTCCCCCCTCCCCCCACCCCACCACAGTCCCCAGAGTGTGATATTCCCCTTCCTGTGTCCATGTGATCTCATTGTTCAATTCCCACCTATGAGTGAGAATATGTGGTGTTTGGTTTTTTGTTCTTGCGATAGTTTACTGAGAATGATGGTTTCCAATTTCATCCATGTCCCTACAAAGGACATGAACTCATCATTTTTTATGGCTGCATAGTATTCCATCTCACACCAGTTAGAATGGCAATCATTAAAAAGTCAGGAAACAACAGGTGCTGGAGAGGATGTGGAGAAATAGGAACACTCTTACACTGTTGGTGGGACTGTAAACTAGTTCAACCATTGTGGAAGTCAGTGTGGCGATTCCTCAGGGATCTAGAACTAGAAATACCATTTGACCCAGCCATCCCATTACTGGATATATACCCAAATGACTATAAATCATGCTGCTATAAAGACACATGCACACGTATGTTTATTGCGGCATTATTCACAGTAGCAAAGACTTGGAACCAACCCAAATGTCCAACAATGATAGACTGGATTAAGAAAATGTAAACTTGGTTTTTAAAGTCATGTTTTCTTCTGGAAACATGTTTCCAAGTAAAAATTGTTTTTCCTAGTTAAACATAAGAATGAGGTTCTACCATTTAGTGTGTGATCCTTAGAAAAACAGTATTTTAGCATACTATAAGCAGTATTTTTAGAGTTTCCTTTTTCTTGAGAACTAATTTTAGGTCCCAGACATTCAATAGAAGATCTCTTGTTCAGTGAAAGTGAGAAATGACTTATTTTATATTCAATTTTAAAAGTAGAAATAAAAAAGTTAACCATAAGCTCCTTGGTGTCTACATTTGGTAATTTGCCTCCAACACCAACACCAAAGGGATTAGGTGGATTTTTCCTCTGAAGGCCACACACTGCCTTACCCTTCTTCTCCCCCTTGCCTTTCCCCTTCACTATTCATGGGGATTATGCCGTGGAGGTTAGCAAATCACATGTGCTGAGTCTACTTTTTTTTTTTTTTAAAGAATACAAAACCACTTTTTTTCTGGCAATGGTAGTGATTGATTCCAGGGCACAGAATATCTCCTTGGCCTCTGGGTAGTTAAATGAGCTGGTCACGGCCAGGCTTTTGCCCAGTTGTTGTTCCTTTACTTGAAAATAGCTGCATCTTGATTTGGCATTTCCCTTCTTTCTTGATTTCTACCTATCATCTCCAGCATGTCTCACTCTCTAGACTCTTCCTCACTATCCCGAGATTCTCCCCTTCAGAAACACTTCCCCTTTTCCGTCCTCCGTAATCTACATCCTCTTAACCAGCTGATACATGGCATTTTGGTGGAGCCCTTTGTGTTCTTCAACTGGAAGCAAACTGTGAGGATTTCGGCATCTCATTTCCCTGAATAGTGATTTTTTTTAACCTTATGGCTCTTCATCTAACTTAGACAAATGTCACTGAGTTCTTTTTTAATAACTAATGAAATTACATCAAAGCGGGAAAAAAAGCCTGATTTTTGCTGATAAGACATATACATGCAACATGAGATATATAATACATATAGTGTCTTCTATATATAAAATATCTCCTAATATATAACCTAATATGATATATAGTATTTTCTAATTGGTTGCTGATATATATGGGATGGAGGGCTAACTATATATATATATATATATATATATATATATATATATATATATATATATATATAGTTACCCTCTGTATCCATGGTTATGCATCAGTGGATTCAACCCAATTGGTTGGTTGAATCTGTGGATGCAGAACTGGATATGGAGGGCTGATCATACTATGCAATTTTATGTAAGGGTCTTGAGCATTGCAGATTTTGATATCCACAGGGGTTATCCTAGAACTAATCCCTCATGGATACTGAGGAATGACTATGTAAATAATATGATATATAAAATATATGCTAAGTATATGCTATATATAATATGTATATTCTGATTTGGGTAGGATAAGGAATTAACAGATGGAAAAATGTTTAGTAAAAAAAAAGTTGGATTTTTTTCTTTAAATATGCAAGTTTATCAGAAATTCGAGCAATTTGCTTACATTTTGCACCTGTTTTTGAAGTTTTAAAATGTAACTACATTAGTGATGATTTATTAAGAGCTATTCATCATGATATTTTCCTCTGTATAAGTTTGCACTGTTAGATTTTTAAAAGGAATATTTTCCCATCCCAAATCTAGCTGCTTTTAAGGAAATCTGTCCTGGTGGAATGGGTTATACGGTTTCTGGCGTTCATAGACGCAGGCCAATCCATCACCATGTAGGTAAAGGACCTGTATTTGTCAAGCCAAAGAACACTCAACCTGTTGCTAAAAGTACTCATCCTCCACCTCTCCCAGCCAAGGAAGAGCCAGTGGAGGCCCTGACCTTCTCCCGGGAACACGGGCCAGGAGTGGCGGAGCCAGAAGGTGAGAGCGGTAATGGATCATGGACTCTAGACATCTATCTGTGTGTCTTTGCTTTGATTTCCCTGTTTATAACCCTCTAGAACAGAGTTTCTCAGCCTAAGCACTATTGGCATTTTAGAGTGGAGAATTATTTGATTGGGGGCTGCCCTGTGTATTGTAAAATGTTTAGCCACTGCTATAGAATAATATGTACCTAGTAGATAACAATATTCCATGCTAATTTTAGAATGCTGTCCTGATGTTTGGGGGCTGCTTTATCTTGGCGTTTATATCTGGAGAGTAATTTAGATCCTTCAGGGAATAGCCCTAATTTCATTTCTTGTCTAGAAGGCCATTTAACAACTATTTATTTCTGAAGTGGAATCCACAGACTTTCAAAAAGTTAAAGCATTAAGGTCTAATGGGCAGTCAAGGATAATGGAGGATGAAATGAAGGAAGCTAAGAGATTGTCAGTTGAAGAGATCTGGTGATCACCTAGTGTGGTTCTTCCATTTACCCTCTGAGAAACCTGAGACCTAGAGAGGGGACATGACTTGCCAGATGTCATATAGAGAACATGTAATGGGACCTGTGACCACGGAGCACCTTTTCCCAAGGAAATAGTTTAAGGCTTATACTTGAGAGGGAGTCTAGAGACAATGGACTTTGACTCTCTCTCTGGCATTCAGGCTGTGGGGTCATCCCTATCTCTTGATATAAACCCAGCAATATCTAATACTTCACATATCTTGCTTACAAAGATGTTCACCTCAGAAGGAACAAACCTTTTGGATTTGTATGGAATAGACGTATTTTCTCTAATAAAGCTCCTGTTGGCTTTTCACAGTTGATTCTGAGGTCAGAATTCAGGGGGCCATTTTTGGGTGCTGTTGAGGAGATAGAGTGCCCAGGCTAGTGTTGTGTTGGGAGTTTGCCATAGCCGCCTTCTTGGTGAGGCAGGCTTTTTTTCTGAGCTCTGAACGTTTGTGTGTTCTGGCCTATTTGATTCTATGCTTTCACTCACTGCATTTCTTCCTTGGTGAGGCAGAACAGGCAAAACCTCAGCTGGAATCAACAGTATTAATCAGTTTGCCCCTGGACACTTAGTATCATGACCAGATGTTTGCAACTGTTCATTGTTTGCACAGGCAGGAGGAAATGGGCCGTAGTTCCAGATTTTGCCTCAAGACCTTCTTCGTGGTAGGTTAGGCAGAATAGAAGGTTATTGACTTTCTCCAACCCCAAGAATATTGCAGCAATGATTTTACTTTGTCTGGTACCCTGATTGCTTTCAGGATTTAATGCTCCTGCCCAACCTGTAAACTAATGTTTTTACAGGAGACATTGATTGACTTATGAGAAAAATCCTGGTGAATGTTGATCCAGGGCTTTAGAACTAATATGAAGGACTGATTAATGAAAAGCAAGTCTTTAAAAATACAAAGGCATCACCAACACCCTCACAATAACGTTTATGATTGTGTAATGTATAATTTGTTCAGTATATTGATGCTAATCTCTAATTGGCTCTTCCTGGCTTGTGAGATTCTTTTTCGTAATTTAGTTAGCATATCTTTTTGAAAATATTCACGGGGCTTCATTAAAGATTGGAATACATCAAGAATGCAGCACATGCTGTCATGTCTCTTACTGAAATAAGTGACATTCTTTTTTAACACTTGACACCAGAAAGCATTTCAAACATTATATACCATAAGGATAAACCTTTAACCAATTAATGAAAATGTTTGTTTTCTAACATATGGAAAGTTCCACATAACTGAGATAAGGCATAAAATGTTGTACCAGAAAGTATTGCCTTCTTCTTTTAATTTTAATTCTGAAAGAGTTTGAAAGACTTGTTCACATCTTCTCCATGTGCTCCAGTAGTTGAGGAGTAACAGCACTGAGAGTTCTCTGTTAGTCATGTGTAAAATTCCCTAAAATGGCAGATGATCCTAATTCTGCATTTGCTTTAGTCTGATTCTTAATCCTTTTGCAGAGATAATGGACTTCTATTGTTTTTTAAGAATTGAAATATAATAGACTGAATTGTCTTAAATGGTACTAATACCCTTTTTCTTTTCTGGTTTTAGTGGCAACTGCACCCCCTGAAAAGGTAATTTATTCATTGCTTGCAAGTCTTTTTTTTTCAACGCTCAAAGTGATTTTCTATTAGAATATGTATGGATTTTTTAGACTTAAATATAGTAACATCTCTATTATGCATCATTTGGTTTGAGTTAATATAGCATTCAGTTATTCCAAAAAAATTTATTGAGCCATTGTCATAGATTGGGACTCTTCTCAGTGTTAGGAAAACAATAGAGAACAAATAGGACAAAAATCTCTACTTTCATGAAGCTTCAATTCTCGTGAGAAGAAAATGGGAAACTAATGGGAATCAAGGGCATAAATAGAATTCAATGTCACCTGATGGCCTGGACCATCTGTGAAAGAAAGGCTGTGACATGCTTAGATAATCATGTATTCTTAGAGCACATATATAGTTAGTGAAGTACTTCTTAGTTCAACTAAAATTTAACATACATGTTTGAATTGAGTTTGAGTAAGAACAGAACTTACACTTAAAAGTTACAATCAAATACTAGAATGTTGCTTTTTGAAAAGTCAGTCTATTGGCTTTTGGGCATAGATGGGGGCTATGAATTGTGAGACATTTTAGTAGGAAATGTAAACATTTACTGGATCTAAGTCCTATTTATGTAATATTGTTCCTTCTCTGAATCCGGCTTTCTTTCTTTAATAAAAACATCCATTTTCATTAAATGAATGAACTTTATGTCAGAGAACTACTATGATATATTGCTAGACTAAATTATCGTTGCATTTTGAAATGGGATCTCAATGCATGTAACAGGCTTTAATTTTCTTTTTATCTCCTTCTGCATAATAATTACATGAAAATTAGGTAATTATTAAATATTTATACATTTATGTACCATTCTTTAAGCTGACAAGAATGCATTATTAGAATTTAGATGAGGCAATACATACATGAGTTATTTTAAATAGTATTCTAAATCTTATAATTATGGGATAGAGTAACATATATGTCATAACATAAGTGCTGAAATAAGAAAAAGAGACTTACAATTTTGGAGTGATAGCACTCGTCCAGAAAGAGGTTATAGTATTTTGAGACCAAAAAATGTATAACAGATATGCATACTTTTTGTGTACTTTTGAAGCTCTTAGCATCTCTAAAGATCAGTCACAGCGAGTAGTTTGCAATTTTGTTGATTTTGAATTTAGTCCTGGTTGATGTATGGAAGTAATTATTTAGCTTGTAGGTGGGCCAGCCAGCATCCTGGCAGCCTCATCACGACTCAGTTCTTCTGTCTTTATGATTGAATTTAATAACTCTCATTAAAAATCTAAAAAACCCCCAAAATTTTCTTGTATACTTTTACTGCATTTTATTTGGGGAGGAGATAGTACGAAAAATGCAATCATAGCCTTTGTTGTCTTGGTACTTAAAAAAGTCTCATGATGTTATGTGATGGATGAAGAAAAGAAAGGATACCCAGAGATGTGCAAAGGTGTGGTAGAGGGGACAGCAAGGGTCATGAAAGACTTGGTCAGAAACCGAATTAGGGACTGCTTTGGAAGGCTTAGAGTACCAAACTGCCATTGTAATCAGTGGGGAAATACCCTGCTTCTCGACTGGACCGTATTTGTTAAATGTAGAAGTGGTGTAGATTAGGAAGTCTGCTGCCTCACGGTGATGGGGGAAATTCTGTAAACTGCAGTAGTGGATTAACACCTGATCCTGGTCTGTTCCTTGTTGGCATTGGCCATGGCTGCAGGGAATGGGGTGCAATTGAGACTGGTTGAGGTCATCTCTAGTAAGTAATAGAAAGCTAGTTTTAAGAAGACAGAGGAAATGTGGGAAAAACTATTAAGTGCTCAGTATTTGTAGGAGCTGAATTTTGGTAGGTCTACTCAAGTTAAGAAGAAAGAGGAAGCCAGTTAGATTATTACAATAAACTGAAAATGAGAGTGAGTCCGGCCTAGGGTGGTGGGATCTATGGATATGAAAAAGGGTGAACAACTGTTAAGAAAAAAGTGTCAATGGACGGGGCTTGCAATGAAAAATGAAAGAGGGAGGACTAAAAGGTGACTTTAAACCTGGATGGGACAGATTAATGACTGTGGCACTGGTAGAAATGAAGTTGGAATGAGAGCCTGGATGGTTTTGGAAGGGTAGGCTGGAGGTATCTGTGGGATATCTAAATGGACTTACCCTGTAAGCATTTGTGCTTGCAAAGTTGGATTTATGATGAGATATCCAGGCAGACTATCTTAGAAAAAGCAGAAAATAGGTGATACTTGAAGCCAGGAGAAGAGGATAAGAGGTTAACAGAGGCCAGAGGAGTAAGCTTTCTGGAAGAGGACAGAACCAAGTAACTCGATGAGTACTTGAATGTAGTGATATGAGCTCCCTGGTCACATCTGGTGTGAGTGAAGTCACAGATCCTTAACTAGGCTAATTGTTCAGTCTGCCTGAGCCCTGCACAGTTGTAAATGGAAGCTGAGCCACGGATGATGGACTGCTTCTTTGCTTGAGGTCCAGGGGACAAGCGTGGGCACCAAAATGTGTGATGAAGCCCCAAATCCTTCTCCAAGCCAGCACATTTCTGTTGCTCTGCCTGGCTACCACTGTTCAGAGAGCTGGAGTTGTAAAGTTATCAGACGTGAGGTTAAAGAAGGCCATAGTAACTGACTGGTTTAAAATATTTTAACTTACCATGTGTTCTTTGTTATGGCACATCTGCTATATCCATTATTTAATCTGCAAACTGTGGCTGGTCATCTTAGTGGGGCAGAGCCACATGTGAATGAGGCAATAGTCCTCGTTGGGGGTTAGTTTTGCCCTGTTGCAGACCAAATATGGACCCCTGGGCCAAGACATTTACTTACAAGATCAGACTTTGGGCCTCAGGGAAATGGCTGAAGATATGTGCGTGGATTAGCACCACTGGGAAAAATTTAGGGCTTTCCATAGTAGCACCACATCAAAGGTTCTTTTTTTTTTTTTTTTTTTTGTAATTTCACACAATTATACATGTAAGGTCCTATGATATTTCTTTGCCTTTCTAAGAATATAATTAATTACATAAAAATAGTAATATGTGGGAAACTAAAAATAATTTCCACTTTCAATTCTTTTTTTTTTCTTATTCTCTTTTAAAATACAACCATCCAGGAAATACCTTCATTGGATCAAGAGAAAACCAAACTTGAGCCTGGTCAACCCCAGCTGTCTCCAGGCATTTCCACTATTCATCTGCATCCACAGTTTCCAGGTAGCCTGTGTTGATCTGTGCTGTTTGTCAGAGTATTCTGAATAAAAATGTAAGACGGGAAATTTTTGTCTTTGACTTTGTGTAGTAAATTACTAGACTTCATAACTGAAGTTCAGTGTTAAGTATAGTAATATACTTATATAATGTTAGCATAATTACAGCATTGTAAGGATTGTAGTGGGAAAGATAGGTTTTTTTTTTTTACTGTTTTCTGTGATCAGGAGTAGTATACACTATTCAGACATTATTGAAGGTTATCATTTGATGAACGATCATTTTTCTTGGCTTCCGCATCACTCTCAGATATTCTTGCTAAATGTTGAACCCAGAGCCTTGGGACATAGAACAGTTCTTTATATCTGACAAATGCTGTGATATATTGCTAGACTAAATTATGCTTGCATTTTGAAATGGGATCTCAATGCACATAACGGGCTTTAATTTTCTTTTTATCCTCTGCTTCCTCATATAGTAGTGATTGAAAAAACATCACCTCCTGTGCCTGTTGAAGTAGCTCCTGAAGCTTCTACGTCTAGTGCCAGCCAAGTGATTGCTCCTACTCAAGTGACAGGTTGGTGCAGTATTTTTACATTATATATCACATGGAGGAGACGTGGGGCTGAGCTTCATTTTAAATGTAGTATCCATTATATAAGCTTGCTCATGGCAGGGTTAGCCATACTAGCAAATATTTGGAAATCATCTAAATACAGTTAAAAAGGAGGAGTATGTGGAAATAAATTATAGTATATATGAAACAGAATATCACATAGTATTAAAATAATGTTTGAAAAGAGTAGTTAATATCATGAGGAAATATGGCATAATCTGTTAATAAATACAGAATACAGGCTGGGTGCGGTGGCTCATGCCTATAATCCCAGCACTTTGGGAGGCCAAGGCAGGCAGATCACAAGGTCAAGAGATCGAGACCATCCTGGCCAACATGGCGAAACCCCGTCTCTACTAAAAATACAAAAAATTAGCCAGGTGTGGTGGTGCGCACCTGTAGTCCCAGCTACTTGGGAGGCTGAGGCAGGGGAGTCGCTTGAACCCAGGAGGCGGAGATCGCAGTGAGCCAAGATCACGCCACTGCACTCCAGCCTGGTGACAGAGCGAGACTCTGTCTAAAAAAAGAAAAAAAAAAAAAAGGACTGGGTGCGGTGGTTCATGCCTGTAATCCCAGCACTTCAGGAGGTCGAGGTGGGCAGATCACTAGGTCAGGAGATTGAGACCATCCTGGCTAACACGGTGAAACCCCATCTCTACTAAAAATACAAAAAAATTAGCTGGGCCTGGTGGCAGGCATCTGTAGTCCCAGCTACTTAGAAGGCTGAGGCAGGAGAATGGCGTGAACTCAGGAGGCAGAGCTTGCAGTGAGCTAAGATTGTGCCACTGCACTCCAGCCTGGGGGACAGAGCGAGACTCTGTCTCAAAAAAAAAAAAAAAAAAAGAATATGATGTAATGATTACCATTTTACTTTTAAAATTTCTACAAACACGGAAAAAGAAAGAAAATGCATCAGTGTTCTGTTCTCACCAGTTAATACTGGATCATGGATAATTATGTTCTTTAATATATTTTTATTTTCAAAGTTCTGTATAATAAACATATTATTTTAATCATGAGTGAAATAGCATAAAATGTTTTATATTCTGAAACAAATGCAAAATTCTAAATGTCCATATCCTTAATGTGTATTGAGCTCTTATAAATCAATAGGAAAAATACTAACAATAGAGAAATGGAAAAATAATATAATCAGATAATTTGTAGGAAAAAACAATACCAAGAAGCATGTAACAGAAAATTTCGACTTTCCTGGTAATCAAAGAAAGGCAAACTAACCTAGGATAATACCTTATTCCTATCAAATTAGTATGTAAAACCCAATCAAATTTTTTTATTAGGGTGAGATTGAGACTCTCTCACATTGCTAAAGGGAGTATGTGTTGGGGTTCTCCAGAGAGACAGAACCAACAGGATATATCCAGATATGTAGAAAGAGCTTTATTGTGAGGGATTGGCTCACACCATTCTGAAGGCTGAGAAATTCCAGGCCAAGGAAGGCTGGTGTTATAGTTCTAGTGCAAACCCAAAGGCCTGAGAAGCAGGGGAGTTGATAGCATAAGTTCCAGTCTGAGTCTGAGTCTGAAGGCCTGGATACCGGGCATACCAGCGTCTGAGGGCAGGAGAAGATGGATGTCTCAGCTGAAGTAGAGCAGATTGCCTTCCTCAGCCTTTTTGTTGTGTTTGAGCCCAGCACCCAGCAGATAGGATACCCACCCACGCTGCTGAGGGTGATCTTCTTTACACAGTCTAACAATTCAAAGGCCTTTTTCTTCCAGAAACACCCTCACAGACACACCCAGAAATATGTGATCAGCTATCTGGACATCCCTTAGCCCAGTCCAGTTGACTCATGAAATTAACCTTCACAGAGTATAAAGCACAAATTGGCAATATGTATAAAAAACTTCAGAACTATTCAGAACTTTTGACCCAGTAATTCTATTTTAAGACATCTTGTCTAAGGAAATAATATTCCCAAAGGCTGTGGGTAGGAGTTTATATGAGTGGTTACCTATCACAGACAATGTATAATACAGAATAAATAGAAATAACTGTACATTCAACTACAGGGAAATAGATAATTATGTTACATCTATACATTGGAACATTATGTTGCCACCAAATATAGTATTTTTGAAGAATTTTTATTGAAATATAGCAGGAAGTAGTCATACAATATTGCTAAATTTAAGATGAAGGATAAAAAACTGAATGATATAGAGTATTATACCAGTTTTTTTAAAGACATATATACACTGAGAAAATGCTGGGAGAAAATACACTAGATATTAGCAGTGGTTTTTTTTTAGTGGCATCTGAGAGATTTAAGTGTTTTATTTTAGATTTTTTTATTTTCCATATTTTCTAAACTGAACAGTTATTTTTAGAGTCAGCAAAAATGTCACTAAGGGGCATCATCATCAACTTTAACTGAATTTATGATACCACTGCAGGATGAGGTTGACAATGTGTTATAGGAGCTAAATGGAAGAGTTTGGAGCCTCCTTTAGAATATTCCCTCCTCAGAAACATGTTATGGTTCCTTTCTAATAGAAATGTTCTCATATGTTAAGCTTTTGGCCACTTAGTGAGTCAGTAGAACAGGAGCCTCGCCCTTCAGGGTGCAGCTACAGTCACCTAGCCACGGCTCCAGATCTAGACATCCCTGCACTCTAAGGGGCTGGGAAGTCCCTCTTTCACCACAGGCTCAGAAGTGCCTGCTGTCACTCCTTGGCCTCTCCCCGCTGCCAGCGCCTGCTCCAGGGTGGAGCAAAGTTGTGGCCAAGCCCAAGTGCTATTGCAACCCAGCCAGTTGTGCATGTGCTTGGGTGAGTGTTGACATGCCAGTCCCCTGTCGCCTTGGCCCCCTCTGGACATTGGGCACCAATGAGCATGGGAGGGAAGCTGAGGGTAAGCTGAGGGTAGCTCAGTGTGGGCTTGCAGGTGCCCCTCAGCATGAATAGCCTGGGTGTGTGGACAACATGTTGATGGAGGGAGGCAGACAGGTTCCTGGGTGGAAAGGGGTGAGTCCTCAGTGAAACCCCACCTTCAAGCCAGGAATGGCCTGAAGCCTGGGGGCCAGGCTGCCAGTTCCAGGTGTAGTCCACGGTCCAGAGTGAAGACTTCATCGATAACAGTTTGGCCAATCAGATGGTGTTTTTCTAGGCCCTCCATGATCACCCATGGACCAATCAGCACACACTTCCTCCATTCTGAGCCCATAAAAACCCTGGACTCAGCCAAACTCACACAGATGTCAGGAGTACCAGCTGTGAGAAGGAGCTACCCACTTCGGGTCTCCTCAGCTTTTCAGGATGACGTGCCCGCAGAAAGGAGCTACCCACTGTGGGTATCCTGAGAGCTGTCACGTCACTCAGTGAAGCTCCTCTCCACCTTGCTCACCCTCCAGTTTTCTGTATACCTCATTCTTCCTGGATGTGGGACAAGAACTCAGAGCCCACCAAATGGTGGTACTGAAAGAGCTATGACACAAACGGGGCTGAAACATGACCCCCCCACTCACCATGTTGAGGGTGCCGAGAAGGGAAGAAGAGCTGTGGCCCTTTGGGGAGCCCAAACCTAGGGGCTCCCCAAGCCAGGGCTGTAACAGCCTCTTTGGTGCTGTGTGGTTTCTGGCATCTCCGAGCTTTCGGGCAGCACTGTGTCCGCCATCTCCAGATGCTGGTGCCTGCAGCAGAAGTTACTGGCAGTATATCTGGTCCAGCCACAGCCTCACATGAAGCCTGCACCTGTGCCAGCACCTGGAGCTGCCCAGTCTGCTACAGCAGCTGGGATGCCTGGCTGTGTGTAGTGGCTGGACCCCATGCTTGCTTGCTCACACACCCCTCACTGCTCCACACCTGGCTTGCCCTTGGCAAGTGTGGGATCTGGGCTGGCAGCACAGGCCAAGCACAGCCTGCTGGGCTGAGTGGGTAGAACAAGCTCAGTGGGTGCAAGCAAAACTTGGGCAAAGATGCCACCAGCCACAGAGGTTCTGGCTGGCAAAGTGATACCCCAAGGATCCTGTGACAAAATGATGGTGATTTTTTTTAATGGCCATGGCTAAAATTGTTATTCTCTATTCTGAGGTCATGTATGTATCTACCCACTTTATTGAGCACACTGATAAGAGACTGCTTTGTGCTGCAAAGTATACAAGCAAATAATACACTATTTTGGACAGCAAGGATCTTCTAATTGTTTATAGTAATGTTAAAAAGAAAAAAATGCAGTAAGACATTGTAATTTACTAGTTCTTTCAAAATACTGCATTTCAATTTTTTCAATGTGAAGATAAACTCTAGTTTTGAATGGGCATGGCTGACTTAAATGGACAAACCTCTTTCAAACTAGCTTTGTAGAGGTTAAGTTCAGTTAGGTAAATGCAGTTTCAACATTTAAATGTAGCTGTGTGAAGGGTAACAAATTGAAGTTACTCAGCTTCAACTGAACTGCAGAGCTGGTTAAAAAAACAATGCAAGTAGCCTTGCTATAGGAAGTTGTTAAAACACAACTTGTTAGAGGCTTAATTTGAGTTTGGCAGAAATACAGGGCTGACATCTGCTGTCACATGTTTGAAGCATGAATATATCCTTCCAAGAAACAAGTGATGCAGATTTTCTTTTCATGCAACAGTTGTAGGTACTTCCACTTTCTGTAGTAAAAGAATATTTCTGAAAGAATCCATAGGGGGAACAGTATAGATAGTCTTTGAAATGAAGTGGTTTGCAACTTTAGAGCTACACTATACATAGTGATCTGCATTAGCACAAGAAGACTGTTTTGTATCAAATATAATTTAACTCAAAATGTGTATGTTCCCATCGGTTTCATATGGGAGCCAAACACAGATTTAAGGAGCAATCTCATCAGTTCTCTCAGGAATATTGCATAATAATGTTTTTGTCTCTAAAACACAGAGGAGGTAAATATTATTTGTTACTGTTAGTTTCTCCCATGATTGAAGACAGGGATAGAACAATACGTAAGAGTCTAAAATGAATACCATCAGCTCCACATTGTTTAGTGATTATATCTTTACGATGGTGAAATTGGAAGTAGCCTTTTCACATTTAGCTAAACACACTTTGACATGTGATAATTATAAAGTGAGCCACATATCTGCAGGAAATACGTGTGATGTTTTCCACTCTTAACAGCTGACTTGGTGGCTCGCAACATTATTGGCATACCATTTTCAAGTGAATTATATGTTTCAGCATATAAATTCTTGATTTAGCATAGTGTCTTAATAGCTAAAGGATAGGTTGGGAAAATCAAACTTTTATTTCTCTGGCAGATATTTACAAAGTGGAAACATCTGTTTCAATTGTTGTGGGACAATCTATGCTCACTGTGGGGCAGTTAGGAAGCCAGGGCATTTTTGTAAACCTTTCCATGAGTTAACATTTGATGCCTTCCTCTGGCTCTTCCCAAGCTTTCTCCATGGCTCTTGCAGACTGGTCAGAAATTATTCTTTGACTGAGTTAACTGCCTTGTGGAAACCTCTGTAATTATCATGGCCCAGACATTTAAAAAAACTATTTGCTCATCAGATCTTTTCCAGAACTCAGAAATGACCCAAAAATGTTTGTCCCTCAAGCATATTACCAGTGTCATTACTGCCTCAATAAACTGTGTATGCGGATAGAAAATGAACTCTTTTATTTCCATGTGAAATCATCATGCTTTAGTATTTCCAGACTCCATTCATTCATTCATTCATTCATTCATTCATTCAGGGAATCACATGATGAAGAAAAAAGCTAAAAGTCAGTATAGTCATTTTCATATTTTGCTAAAAGCTTTCTGTTTCATTTAATTTTAGAAAATAGAGTAAAAATACCACACTGTTAAATCTACCATTGGCCTTGTTGCTGGTATAAATAGAGTATTTGGTTTTCCATCACTGGCTTTCTGTCATGGCCCTTTTTCCATATTCTAGATGGACTCCAGCAAAAGAAATAGAATAAGGTCCTTGACCTGGTGAAGATGAGGTTTTCAGGGAGCAGATATAGTAGGGAAGAGTAGGGCTGTCCTGTGAACCAGGTGGCATTATGAAGGACATGTGAGAGAGTCCAGTGGGGAGCACTCACTTAATCGTCTCTCTGCAAAGCCAAGAAAGCCAAGCATGCTAAAAAGACAAGACATTCCCATTCACCAGCATACATACCCCTGACACAAGAAATGAGTGCTGTCTATGTGAGGCTTGACTCTGGTGTATCAGACAGAGCCCAGTTTCTAGAGTTTATATTGACACAGTTTGCTCAAAGAATCATATTCTTCTACATGAACTGATCTACTCGGTGGGAAAAGGTTTGCATGCCGATGTGTGAGTGACCACTTAGGAAAAATATAAAGCATCTTGTCTTTGCCCTAAAAAACAGAAAATGCAGAACACTTTTCCTGTTCTTTAAGACAACATTCTCAGGACTTGTGTACTGTCTATGTGCTCAGGAATGAAAACCTATTAGAAAAGGAGAGAAAACACAGGGGAGATATGAGGGAGACATGTTTTATATGTTTTAAAGTATAAGTACCAGTAATTTATTTTTTTACCTGATATTCAACTTTTTTTTTTTTTTTTTTGAGGCAAAGTCTCGCCCTGTCACTCAGGGTTCAAGCGATTCTCCTGCCTCAGCCTCCCGAATAGCTGGGACTACAGGTGCCCACCACCACACCTGGCTAATTTTTTCTATTTTTAGTAAGGATGGGGTTTCACCATGTCCTGGCTGGCCTCAAACTCCTGACCTCGCCTCAAGTGATCCTCCCTTCTCGGCCTCCCAAAGTGCTGGGATTACAGACGTGAGCCACTGCACACAGCCTCTGATGTTCAACTTTTTGATAAGTAGTGAATAGAAAGCAGACAGGGGTGTTTTGAAGGTGTGATGGTTGTTTTCTGTCTGCCTACAAGAGTGGAATCCTTGGCTCACGCCTGTAATCCCAGCACTTGGGGAGGCTGATGTGGGTGGATCGCAAGGTCAAGAGATGGAGACCATCCTGGTTAACACGATGAAACCCCGTCTCTACTAAAAATACAAAAAAATTAGCCGGGCGTGGTGGCGGGTGCCTGTAGTCCCAGCTACTTGGGAGGCTGAGGCAGGAGAATGGCGTGAACCCGGGAGGCAGAGCTTGCACTGAGCCGAGATCGTGCCACTGCACTCCAGCCTGGGTGACAGAGCAAGACTCCGTCTCAAAAAAAAAAAAAAAAAAAAAAGAATGGAATCCTGCCTGGCAAAGGATGGAAGGGATCTCTGAGGTCAAACTGATGACAGTTACATTAATTAATCACTTGTGTAAAAATGGGAAGAAGTAGAAATCAAGTATGTTTCAGAAAGTGTCCCTCTTTCCTTTGCTGTATCTCTTAGTACCCTCTAGTGGTGTCAGCCTAACATTTTCTTACATGTAACGTGATCCTGACAGACATGTTCAGCGTTTGCAAGCCACGTCTCTATATACTTATGTATGAGGTAATCAACTAAAAATCAACAAACATTTTTTATCAAATTCCAACCTCCTAGCTTCTATCTAAGATATTGGATTGGTGGGAAAGGCCATTATTACTCATTTTATTCCTAAGACTAAAGAGTTATACTTCTTCACTATTTCTCCTACCTCAGAGCTGACTTTTGAGAAGAAACACTTTAGCTATGTTGGCAATTTGTGGCATAGGAATATATCACATTTTAATTAAGCATCACATATATTTGAAGACTTGTTCACACATATAAAGAAGTTCCATTCTAAGGCTGTCCCTGCCAAATGACAAATACTTGGTAATCACCAAATTGGTATTGTGGGAGTGGGTTAGTGACTACTCATCAAGCTTTTCATGAAAACCCCAGATTTATAGCCTCTTAATTTGTTCTGAACCCTTGCCCTGAATATATTAATTCACCTTCTAATTTTTTTTTTTGCAAATATGGTCAACATGTCTTTCTGCTTTATGAAAATGTCAGAGATGAGTATAAAGATAGGTCAATAACCACCCGGGAAAAAACCCAAGAAATCTAAACACCAGTAACTTGCAAAGGAAGCTTCTATGTATAATATAGAGTCGTGTGCATCTCATGCTGTTTCACTAAAAAATTCCTATAAACAGAAGAGAATTCTTACCTGAAAGTCCATGAGTATAACCTGGTGAAGATTACCTTTTACCTTCAGATTTTAGGTACATACAAGTTATATTTTTAAGGAAGACTTTTCAGATTATGAAAGTGCCAAGACATGCTTAGTGTAAAAATTTTAAAAAGTACCAAAAAAAATGAAGAAAATGCTAATCCTAAAAACCATAAAACTTGGATCTACTTCCCTCCAACCTTCTTTTCTGTGTGTATTGTAGTATAATGGAGATTATATTCTATATTATAATTTGTGCCTGTGTTTTTTTAACAAATAAGCATTTTCCTATCTTGTTAATGATTATATGCTGTGCTGTATGTATAATTCATTGTTTTGTGTTATTATTGCCAGTCACTTAAGTTTAGGCAGTCATATTAATTACCCATGTTTTTAGCCTTTTGAATTATTTTTCCTATAATTTGATAATATTTTCACTATAAACAAATGTATCTTCCTGAAAGTGAATTAACATAACTAGACTCACAAAAGGTATAAGTAATTTGTAAATACATGGGGTGTGCATACATTTCTCATACATCCAGGTGACTTTGTGTAAAATGCTGAAGTTCATATGCTTCCTTTTTCAGATGACTTGCATGAGTAGTCTCAAAGTCACAGCACAGTGAATACTTTATGAAAAATGAAGCATGTGGTTTTGGTTTCGGAGAGCAACCTCAACCCCAATTTAGGTCATTTCCATAGTGAATCTGTGTTAAAGCACTGTTTTCCACATCCTTTTACTGCAGAATAGACAGTGTGTTATTAGCGAGAATAGCCCACCTGCTTTTCTTCTCATTCAAACCACAGACCTCTCTAACAAAGCTGTGCTCCTAGGTTGTCATGCTCAGAGGCGCCAAACTATTTACCTTGGAGGGTCGCTTGGCCTCATTCATACCAGCCTCTCTTTTGAGCCTTGTTTACTATACGATGACAGATAATAGCCCAAGGTAGTATTGGTATAAATGTGTTGGTTTTTAAATATATTCTTAAATGACTTCAATATGAACAATAATGGTAACTTTTATTGAGCACATATAATATGCCAGGCATTGGCTACATGCGTTATTTAGAGCATCTCTTTCATTCTCATACTTTGAAGTTGGAACTCTGATTATTTCCATTTTACACATGTAGAAAAGTGAGGCATAGAATGGTGAGGTCACTTGCCCCATTCTGCAGAACTGTAAAGGGCAGCAGCATTTGTGCCTGCACTGTCTTCAAGCCAGTGCTTCTAACCACCAGCTGTGCCACCTTCACTAGGCCATTAGACCTTCTTACAAAGGACATTGGAAACAGAAAATCTTAAAGGAGTAATTAATCTCAGAAGGCCCCCTTTGAGTCCTTGGGTTTTTTTTTGATGGACTCCACCTAACCATGGACTCCTAAGACCCTCCCTCCACTGTAGTGTATGTCTGTGAGTAGACTGAGGACTTGAACAGGGCTAATCTGTACAGGATATATAGAAGAAGCCAGTCTTACACAGGGCTCAGTAAGGGAGTAAGGGAGGAATTTAGCAGAAAAGATTTGGGAAAAGATTCTACTTTACCAGTAGAAATAAAATATGTTCATTTTGAAATTGGCAAATAAGAGTAAGATACACCAAGAAGTTTTTCTTTGTTTAGAAGTGGGAGGTCTTTGGGGGGATTAATGATAAATTTTGGAGGAGATTGGATGTATTTGTTGAAACTCAAATATGGCCTGCTAAAGAATGGAAAGTTACAATGTGTTTCTTATCAATAGATAAGAAATCTCTTACCTATTGGTGATTCAGACTCTATCATCTAAGATGAACTACAATGAATAGAAACTCATTAATAGGCCATTTTGGAAGCTGTTTTATTAATAATTGATTTTCTTACAACTTACAACATGGCCTTTTTCTGAGTTTCTTCTCACTTCAGTTCATCTTAAAAATGGCTTTACTAGGAACTATTGATGTCCTTGGATAGGACTAACTAATCCATTATAAAGTAATCACATGAATTTATACTTGATGTCAGAGGTCACCTTTGTCTTCTAAATGTAGAGCTGGCAATAATTTGCTAGTTGGTCAGGAAACTCAAAGTAATACTTTGAGAGTAGCAGTGAAATCTGTTCATTTCTGTGGGTTTTTTCACATTATTTTATTTACTTTTAAAGAAATCAATGAATGTACTGTGAACCCTGATATCTGTGGAGCAGGACACTGCATTAACCTACCAGTGAGATATACCTGTATATGCTACGAGGGCTACAGGTTCAGTGAACAACAGAGGAAATGTGTGGGTAAGAGACAATTTGATTGACTAAATTATTAAATATCAAACATTTGAACATTAAGAACATTTTTTTCTTAAACCAACTTAACCATTTTGGGAAAGTGTTACTGGTTTAATTTTTTGAAAGTTTATCCCTTAGCTAAGGGAGCTCAAAAAAAGGTTTGCTAAACAACTGGAATTCTCTTACCTCTTTGTTCAACATTTGTTTACCTCGCAAATGTAATATATTTACATAAAGGTGAAATAATTTCCAAAAGCTTTT
Source organism: Homo sapiens (assembly GCF_000001405.40). Lineage (NCBI taxonomy): Eukaryota > Metazoa > Chordata > Mammalia > Primates > Hominidae > Homo > Homo sapiens. The sequence continues at coordinate 33,274,037 of NC_000002.12, forward strand.
TGGGTAAAGTAAACAAAATATGAATTACAGAAACAGCTACCTAAAAACATGTATTTAGCAAAAACAAATTAACATTAGTGTATACTGCAGTAAAGAATTACATTCATTTATGTACATAAGACTTGATTTTTTTAAAGGGATTTTAAAATTGAAAATCCATATATGCTGGCCTGAAGGTGTCAGTCAATTTAGAAATTTAGGGATCTCATATATGCTCCTTTTGGAAAAAAAAAAAGTATCTCAGAAAGATATGCAGTAGAGTTAAATAAATCATTTTAATGTGACTCTAAATTTAATTTCTCTTTTTTTTTTTAAGAAAAAGAAAATTCAGCACTAAATTATGAGGCCAATAGGAAGCAACAAAGGAACATATCTAATTAATACTTCTTTAGTATATGTGAATTTTGCTGTTTGGTGTGTGTGTATGGGGGAGAAAGGAGACAGCCACCTGGTCCATAATTTGGCTATTTCCTTGTCATTTGTATACATTATATGTGTCACTTTCAGAACCTAGAATATTAAGTTAGAAAGGCAACAGAGATGACCTAATCCAACTCCATCCACATGCACGGAGGAAGAGTCTCTTTCATGGCATTTCTGACTCCCTACTGACAGCAAATTCCATTGCTTGGATGTCTCTCGTTATCAGGAGAATCCTTCTGTGTTGACCTGAAATCTGCCTCTTTGAAACACCAGTGTCATGGTTTTGTAGTTTTAGCCTTTGAAGTGATACACAGTAGGCTGCTTCTCTCTTCCAGGAACAATCCTTCAAGTACGCGAGGAGAAAGATCGTGTCTCCTTTTGCTGTTGTCCTCAGTTATAAAGGTTGGGTGGTACCCAGGGAATAGTATGATGGTATTTTACAGAACAGGGAAACTAAGTTCTTGCTACACAGAACTAATATTTTTATATGTATTTTTGTTAACAGATATTGATGAGTGTACTCAGGTCCAACACCTCTGCTCCCAGGGCCGCTGTGAAAACACCGAGGGAAGTTTCTTGTGCATTTGCCCAGCAGGATTTATGGCCAGTGAGGAGGGTACTAACTGCATAGGTAATGGCAGCATTCTTCCTGCTTACAAATTCTTAGATCTGAGTTTTTAGATCCCCTAAGACTATCATCAGTTCAGTGCTTATCCAGACAACCCAGAATTTTTTATTAAACAATTATCATGACAGCAGTCTGCTAGATCCCAGGTGATATAAAAATGGATTTTTTTCCCCTAACATTTTTGAAGAAAGAGTGTCATATATGTGCATAGACAAGATACATTAAATGTTACTTTTGGACCACCCTGCATGAATCAAAACTGGATGATTTTGATGTGTGTCAAACAAATCAAAGGGAAAGTAGAAATCAGTTACTGGCCAGGCGCCATGGCCCACACCTGTAATCCCAGCACTTTGGGAGGCCGAGCCTGGCGGATCACCTGAGGTCGGGAGTTTGAGACCAGCCTGACCAACTTGGAGAAACCCTGTCTCTACTAAAAATACAGAATTAGCCAGGCATGGTGGTGCATGCCTGTAATCCCAGCTACTTGGGAGGCTGAGGCAGGAGAATTGCTTAAACCCAGGAGGTGGAGGTTGCAGTGAGCCGAGATCACACCATTGCACTCCAGCCTGGGCAACAAGAGCGAAACTCCATCTCAAAAAAAAAAAGAAATCAGTTACTTCGTTATTATATTTGAGCTAAGCTGGGAGATGGGAGAGGTTTGAAACAGTATTTGGAACACAAAACTCAACAATGCTATCTGCTCTTCGTAGATGTTGACGAATGCCTGAGGCCGGACGTCTGTGGGGAGGGGCACTGTGTCAATACTGTGGGGGCCTTCCGGTGTGAATACTGTGACAGCGGGTACCGCATGACTCAGAGAGGCCGTTGTGAGGGTGAGTCAGCTGAGAGTGTTCAGCACACATGACGGTGATGTGCAGGGTTGGTAGGCACCTTGCCTGGTTCTTGTTTCCTTCCCACACTCAGTGCGTGACACCAGTTTATCCAAGCTCTTTCTGCTTCCTAGATTCACAGGCTCTTTGCCTCTTCCTTTCACTGGCTCTTTTGGGATTATTTTCCATCTTCATGCTCTCATTATTTTTCACCTCAATATCTGCCTCTCTGGTATTTGGAATGAAATCACCATAGAATGATTAATTGCATCATATTTAGTAGAAACACAGACTTAATTACAGAGTCCGGACCATTCATCTGGGAACATGCTGCAGGTGTAACCAGTGTTGATTTTTTGTTTTTGACCTTTTCACCTACTTACATTCCTTTGTCTCCAATGCTTTCTTTTACATGTGTTCTGGTACTTTCTCACAGACTCCCCAAGAAGCATGGTCTGACAAACTTTGGTCAGATTCCAACTGTGCTTAATAAAATTTCCTCATTATTGACCACAGCAATGAGCTTTCTCTCATTATAAAAATGTTATAAAAAGTATTTATAGCATGGTCACAATTATTATCCTTTTCATATTTCTTTTCACGTTTGTGTCCAAGTTGCTCTGGTTCTTTTTGAAACCAATGTAGTGAGGCCAGGCACGGTGGCTCACGCCTGCAATCCCAGTGCTTTGGGAGGTTGAAGCGGGTGGATCACTTGAGGCCAGGAGTTTGAGACCAGCCTGGCCAACATGCTGAAACTCCCTCTCTCCTAAAAATACAAAAATTAGCTGGATGTGGTGGCACACGCCTGTAATCCCAGCTACCTGGGAGGCTGAGAAACAAGAATCACTTGAACCTGGGAGGCAGAGGTTGCAGTGAGCTGAGATCATGCCACTGCATTCCAGCCCAGGTGACAGAGAAAAACCTTGTCTCCAAAAAACAAAGCAAAACAAAACAAAACACTATGGCACTTTTTTTGCAATTATTTTCATGAAGAAATACACTGACCTTCTGCTAAAAACCTGTCATGGAAATATGAGGGTGAAGGAACACGGGATCTGTGAGGGCACGGGAGCATGGTGCTGGTTCCTTGGGGTTCCCTGCCTGGCTGTCAGCAGAGCCTAATAGATCTGGGCTCTGTTAGGTGGGGCAGGATGGACTAGGTTGGCACAGCCAGCCCTCAGCTGTCCCCTGGCTTCTGCCTGTTGGTTTTCTTCACTGCTCTAATGACCCAGGCCTGGAGGGAGAGCTAATTAGACATTTTTTGGCAGCCTACACTTGCCCCTCCTGCTGGTGTCTTGCCTCTGCCCCTTGGGTTCTAATCTAGAGAGAAGTGGGAGTGTTTTATGTTGCTGGATCTCTGATCAGCATGGAGTTTTGTACCCTCCCCGAGGGCCACGAGGCTACAGAACAAGCACAGGTGTAAAGTGTCTCCACGCTGCTCTTCCAGGGAACTCTCCTCTGCTGAAGAGATGCAGCGTGGGAGCAGCTCACCACGCCCACAGTAACTGCCTGACCTGTAGCCACTGACTTTGCCCCTTTGAAACGTAGTACATCATCTGTAAAATAGGAACCATGAAGTTAACTTTCCAGGTTTTCATGAAAATAACTTCATGTTGCCATAACTTGTATGATGCCTGTCACTTTGTTAGTTTTCAAGAAGTTATAGTTTCTTTAAATCTCCCCCCATCCCTGACTCCTTTTGTGTTTGTATAGATCTCAAGCACCTCTGTAGTTGCGGGGAGTGCTTTAAAAAAATGGGGTGTTTATTTGACAAGCATTTATGTGCAGAGCAGTATCCCCCAACCCCCAACAAAGAAGTCAAATACTGATTTTTTTTTCCCTTTCTTTCTTTCTTTCTTTCTTTCTTTCTTTCTTTCTCTCTCTCTTTCTTTTTTTCTTTCTTTCTTTCTTTTTTTTTTTTTTTTTTTAAAGACAGTCTTGCTCTGTCGCCCAGGCTGGAGTGCAGTGGTGCGATCTCAGCTCACTGCAAGCTCCGCCTCCCGGGTTCACATCATTCTCCTGCCTCAGCCTCCTGAGTAGCTGGGACTACAGGTGACCGCCACCATGCCCGGCTAATTTTTTTTTCTATTTTTAGTAGAGACAGGGTGTCACCGTGTTAGCCAGGATGGTCTCGATCTCCTGACCTCGTGATCTGCCAGCCTCAGCCTCCCAAAGTGCTGGGATTACAGGTGTGAGCTACTGCACCCGGCCCAAATACTGATTCTTAAGTTCTACACACGGGTCAAGAATGGAAAGATAAGATACTTAAGTAATAGGATGGAAAGGAATAGAAAATAAATTGGAAAATTATGTACTTAAATTGGAAGCTTGTAGGAGAATATTCGGTGATATTCAATATATGAAAATTATTTGGGAGAAAGATGACTAGCGTTCCCTCAGTAAATAATATATAATTCTATCCCCATGAAAAGTCTTGAAAAGAAGAAGGAGCCAAGAAACGCGGCTGTTTTCAAATTTCATCATGGACTAGAACCAAACGTCCCCGGGCTTCTGGCACACAGAAGATTTTCTCAGCTGTCACTAACGAAGTTGCTTTCAAATAGCACCAGTCTCCAAGGAGTCTATTGTAGTTTACAGACATTATCTCATGCATCCTTACTTTATTCTGTTAAGGTATTATAAGGCAGGTAGTTCCTAATTTATAGAAGAGGGGAAAAGCCGAGGTGAGAGCAGGTAGAAATTCAGGGACATTATCTTGTATTGCTCAACATTGCACCCTATTTATTGGGCTAGCCTGTCTCGATGGCATTCTCTGATTTAGCAGTTGTAGTTCTATTTTTTTGAAATATCCCATCCAGAGGAGAATGTAATGCTATTTGGAAAATGAAACTGGCAAGCACCATCTTTTTGTAGAACAAGAAGTCCCAGAACATCTGACCTAAAAAAACCACTATGTATCATTGGCCATTGGCAAGAATTTTTACTGATAGAAAAAAAATTACAACACTGACCTGGTGCTTATTTTGTTAATATCATCTTTAACTTTTTCACTTTAAGTATCTTTTCACATGTCTAATGGTATGCAGTGGGAGATAATTTTTAAGTATTTACTAGAATGTAGACATCACATACCCATGGATATTTAGTGGACCCATTATATATTTCTTTCTTTTTTTGTTTCTCTAGTTTATGTCCTGAAAATCCGTTTATATTTTAAGTACGATTAAAGGTCATATATACATTGTGTATTGGGATACTTAAACATTAAATCCACTCATATAAATTCAAGATCCACCTCAGAAAAAACACTTATTTCAAATGCAGCTAGAAGCCATGGTGTTAACACTTATTTTAAACTGTTGAACTCTCTCTTATATCTTTTTCCTCATTTTATTGTTTGACAATTTTTAAAAATGCCTCAAGCTGTCGTAGTTATCTCCTCACAGACTTAACCATATTTTAGGAGATTTTTTTCTCCCCAAATTGGAAAGAATGATGATTAATGACTTCAGTTAGCTATGAATATGAAAAGTAAGGTGTATTTTTACCAGAAAATATTACCATATGGTCATATCACCGTGTTTTCTGGAAAGGCTTGGAAGTATGTGATGAGTTCACTCTCTCCTCATGTTTTTTTTTTTTTCCACCTCCAAGGAATTCCTGTCATATGAAAGGTTTTAAATTATTCCAACCTAGGATATTCTTGGGCCCATGAAGCCAAAGTGAGAATTTCCCTAGAGCATCCAATGTTTGCAGAGAGAACCTCTAGCTGGGTGGATACATAGCTTCCTCACACTCACCCCCATTCTTTGTATTTCTTTCTGGAAAGCTGTGCTATTACTTGAAAGGTTTCATGTCCAGAAATTGGCCCTAGAGGAGCTGCCAACTCCCAGAGTGGAGAGGCCAGGTCCTGCTAGTTGAAGAATTGGGGCCAGGTTCTTCCTTGGAATGTATGCAAATATTTTAATCCAGGTATGCTTGACCATGCATTATTGCCATGTATTTAAGTATAGACCCAATGTCTCACTTACCCAATTATTGTTTTTCCCACTGAAATGTAGATATAACATGCTTTCCCCCGCTGCCTTCATCACAAAGTAAGATTTTGCTTTGGTATTCTGATAAAATGTTCACGACCTAGGTTTTTGATTTTTCAGATATTGATGAATGTTTGAATCCAAGCACTTGTCCAGATGAGCAGTGTGTGAATTCTCCTGGATCTTACCAGTGCGTTCCCTGCACAGAAGGATTCCGAGGCTGGAATGGACAGTGCCTTGGTAGGTACTATAGTGTACTTATCAAAGATTTGTTTCTTCTGCATGGCCCATTTTCTGATAGAGTGGTGTAATGCCAATGGAGCCCTCTTTCAAAATGAAAAAATGAAATCTTACATCATTCTAAGAAAAGTTCCCAGTAACTTTTAACCATTGAGAAAATAAGAAAATGACTTAGCATAAAGGATGTAAGATTCTCGATGGGGAAAATAATTAGGATTGAAACAAACTGATATTCCTAATGAGATAAATATCCAAAACCAAATAAGATAGTAAGGTCTACAGGAAGGAAGAGAGATGGAGAGCAAAACACTTAAAAAGAGAGAAGAAGCATCTACCACAGACAAGTAGAATTAGGTAACACACACACACAAATTTTCAACAGAAGTATCAAAGGTAGTGCTTTAGGCACTGAGGAAGACAGAGTAATGTATTTGCTTTGATTCTAATTACCCGTGCTGTAGTTAGCTCTGCCCCTTAATGGTTTTCATTTGTGTCTACCATGTAATCTTTTTCCCTAAAACTTGAACTCTTTTCCACTCCATACCAAAACTCTGAATATGTGAGTTAAACTTTTCATTCATTCATTCCTTCTTTCCTTTCTCCCTCAAATGCTTAAGAACTTACTATAGGCTATGCATGGTGGCTCATGCCTGTAATCCCAGAACTTTGGAAGGCCGAGGCACGAGGATCACTTGAGGCCAGGAGTTTGACACCAGCCTGGGCAGCATAGCAAGACCTCATCTCTACAAAACATTAAAAAACTTACCTGGGCTTCGTGGGGTGTGTGCCTGTAATCTCAGCTACTTGAAGGCTGAGGTGGGAGGATCGCTTGAGTCCAGGAGTTCAAGGTTTCAGTGAGCTATGATTGTGCCACTGCTCTCCAGCCCGAGTGACAGTGAGACCCTGTCTCTAAAATATGAAACAAAAGGCAAAACTTACTGTATATCCCCAGAGTTGTACTAAGTTCTGGGATATATTGAGAGGAAAAACTGATATGACCCCTTCCTTTTGGTACTTACTGTCTGGTGGGGGAGACTGACATGCACTCAAACATCTCACAGATAAATGCAAACTCACAGATTTGAGACAAGCACTAGAAAGGAGGGTTCTATGATGCTGTGAGAGCATATGGTAGAACGAGCTGCCCTTAGGAAAATTCTTGAGTTGAGGTTCAACTGGTGAGGGGGTGGGAGGGAGAACATTTCAGGCACAGTAAACAGCATATGCAAGAGGCTCGTGGAAGAAGAAGAGAGCAGAAGGCCAGTGTAGCTGAAGGCCAGAGAACACAGGAAGATTTGCTGCAAGATGAGAGGACAGACCACTGAAAAATTTAAAGCCCTCTTAGTCCTGTTAAAACTGACGGTCTTCATTCTCATAGCCCTGGGAAGACATTTAGGTGTTTTAATGGGGGTTGCAGAAGTACTCTCAGTTTTAAAGCTTTAGTCTCATCACCAAACAGCATCAGCTCAGACTCTGTAGCTGGTACGGAGAGCTCCGTGTCCTGAGCCCCTAGGCCCATCCCCAACCCAAGAGTCTCTGCTGATGGAGTTGTGAGATGTAGTCTTTGAAGAAAAGATTTTTATTCATTAGTTTTTTATTTGATAAGCAATTGTTTTTGTAACTGGTGCTGACCAAAAAGTATTAATATATATGGTTTCAGTTTTCCCATTTGGCATAAATTTCATACTTGCCTATCAAGGTTCCATGCGTATTCTCATTTTCACATCCTGATAAATAATCCAGGAGCAGAGCCGGAACTCTACCTTAAATAACTACAATTCATAATAGTAGTGTAAACGCAGCCCTGATTCATGAATTTATTAGTGGAATGTGACTGATCAAATTGGCAAGTGATTGTTCTTCAATATAAATAATACTAAATGAATTCTTATACCTATATGTGCATATATATATATATATATATATATATAAACTTTAGTGATAGAAGCACAGCACCTCATTTAAAACTAATTTTACTTTGTCAACCAGATGAGTAGAATCATAAGCAGAAATATTAGATCACTGCATTTCTCAATTCAGCCAAAGTCCCACATTTAGCCCCTTGTTTTGTTTTTGCGTTGCTGAGGTCATGTATTTCCTATTGTTAAATGGAGGCAGTGTCCTTTATCTTTCTGCTTTGGGTAAAATTTTAGGCTCTACATAATCTACAAATGAAGCCACTCCCCCAAGATTTAATTGCAGTTCCATCCATTGTTCATATTGGACTTGCAGCTCTTCTAAATTTCTCATGAGGGCCTTTGCAGGTTATACTGAAATAGATTTTCCATCTTAATTTTTTATAGTAGTAGAGCTTTCAAATGTCGAGAAGTTGACTGTGACAAAAAGCAGATATTGCAGCATGCCTTTCTACTTACATTGAACCAATGGGTGGGTTGGAATTTTCTGCTAAACTCTGACCATGTTAATGACTGCCCAGCCCTAGCTTTGTACTTCTGGTACTCTAAAATACCTTTCAGAAGGTGCAGTCTTGTCTTAAGCCTAGTTTTGAGTTGAGCTCATCACTAACATAACTGGATATATATTCATTCATTTAACAAATACTGAGTGTCTACCTTGTGCCAGGTATTTTTCCAGAACACTGGGGATTGAGAGTGACTAAAATAGGCCAGGCACGGTGGCTCACGCCTGTAATCCCAGCACTTTGGGAGGCCAAGACGGGTGGATCATGAGGTCAAGAGATCGAGACCATCCTGGCCAACATGGTGAAACCCTGTCTCTACTAAAAATACAAAAATTAGCTGGGTGTGGTGGCACGCGCCTATAATCCCAGCCACCCAGTAGGCTGAGGCAGGAGAATCGCTTGAACCTGGGAGGCGGAGGTTGCAGTGAGCCGAGATTGCGCCACTGCACTCCAGCCTGGCGACAGAGCAAGACTCCATCTCAAAAAAAAAAAAAAAAAAAAAAAGAGAGAGTGAATAAAATAAAGTTTTTCTCCCTTCATTGTAGTTATACTCTAGTGCTTACGTCGTGCTTACAAATAAACACATAAGCAAGTACAATATATAGGATGTCAGATGTGATGCATGACGTGAAGAAAAGTAAAGTAAAAGATTCAGAGTCTTTAGAGATCCCTTGGTGGTCAGGATAGTCAAATGCTAAGTTATTAACATGCTCTTCCTGGCTAGTCATTTGTTTTGTCTCTAACTGTTACCTGTGATTATATCCTTTTAGTTCTGATAATATAGGATATATTGATGAATTTTTTGCCCCAATTGTTAATGAAAATTCTCCGTGATAACATTAAAGACTTTTTTTTTTTTTTTTTTTTTTTTTTTGAGACGGAGTCTCGCTCTTTCGCCCAGGCTGAAGTGGAGTGGCGCCATCTCAGCTCACTGCAACCTCCACCTCCCGGATTCACGCCATTCTCCTACCTCAGCCTCCTGAGTAACTGGGACTACAGGCGCCCGCCACCACGCCTGGCTAATTTTTTGTATTTTTAGTAGAGACGGGGTTTCACCATGTTAGCCAGGATGGTCTGGATCTCCTGACCTCGTGATCCACCCGCCTCGGCCTCCCAAAGTGCTGGGATTACAGGCGTGAGCCACCGTGCCCGGTCATTAAAAAGTTTCCTGCAATCACACCATTTTGGTGAAAAATCCTACATTTGTCATTTGTTAGTTGCCATCTGTAGAGATGATAATGTCTATCTCACAGGGCTGCCGTGTTCCATAAATGTTAGTGTCTTTTTTTCTAACTCTCCTCTCACTGAGTACATGTTTTTACATTGTTATAATCAAACATGTACAATGTTTTATATAACATTTCTTAAATTTCACATTATGCTTATAGTTTTTTTTCTAAACTGGTCTATCTTCACGTTGATTTGACTCTCTTTCTATTGAATGACTTCATTAAGCATTGCTATTCAACCCCTATATTCTGCAGGGATTTTATACCAGTTACACTTTCTGCTTCTTTCACAGACTAAATGATGAACTTGGTGAAACCGTTAATGGCCTCTTTGTATTCATGACATGTAAGCTGGATCTTACTGATTGATGCTTCTCCTTGATTTATAAATTAGAGCAGAAATTGTTTTGGGCAGAAATAGGCAAAATGTTAGCAGGTGTTTTCTGAGGGACTACATTTTTTCCCTAGTGTTTAGCTCAGGTCATACAATCCCTCATCCTCAATAGTTTATTATCCACTTCAAATATCTATCATTTCAGACTGTACCTAACACACATCATCCCTAATGCTTTTTGGCAACTCTTGTTGGCTCTTCTGTTAACGTAGCTTCTTCTTTCAAGTCGTGGATTTCATTCTTCTCTAGAGAGTCACGTTCGTCATTCGGCACTGTATTCCTTGGACCTGACATTCAGCCTGGAGTTGCTGCCCACTCGATCCCCACCTTTAATGACTATTTCATCACTCTGGGTTCTGGCCAGTTCCAAATGGCTATTTCAACCAAGTCCTTTCTTAAGGGAAGCCACCCTGTCAGGTACTCAATTTACAGGTTCTTCTTGGCTTGTGGAGATCTGGCCTGATTGAAACCCGATGAGAGCCATCCCCCAAGGAAACTCTCTAATATTTAATTATTTAAAGATACATTTGATATTGCTAATGTAGAGATCTTAGTTCCCTGAATTTAGACAGAGTTTGGGCTACATGACCTCTCTGAAGCTTAGTTTTATTATCTGTAAAATGGGGATTGAAATACTTGCTGTTTAAGCTTTCTTGCCAGAATGAAGTAAGCAATATGAAGCACCTAGTAGGCATCTGACATATGGTGGAACCCCATCCATGCTACAACCCTTTTTCCCCAACTATTACCCTCCTCTATACTGCTCTTGTCCTCAAACATAAGAGATGCAGTAATAACTGGTACTTGGTAAAGTAAGTTATGTATCACATTCTTTTTTTTTTTTTTTTTTTTTCTGAGATGGAGTCTCACTCTTGTCGCCCAGGCTGGAGTGCAATGGCGTGATCTCGGCTCACTGCAACCTCCGCCTCCAGGGTTCAAGTGATTCTCCTGCGTCAGCCTCCCGAGTAGCTGGGATTACAGGTGCCCGCCACCACGCTTGGCTAATTTTTGTATTTTTAGTAGAGATGGGGTTTCACCATGTTGGCCAGGCTAGCCTCGAACTCCTGACCTCAGGTGATCCACCCATCTCAGTCCCCGAAAGTGCTGGGATTACAGGGGTAAGCCACCGTGCCCGGGTCACATTCTTCTATATAACTATATTCTCTTTGGCTTTTTGAAGCTCATGTCATATAGTTTTTTAATTCTTCTTATGTCATTGGAGCATTCTCTTTTCTTTCTTTCTTTTTCTTTTTTTTTTTTTTTGAGACGGAGTCTCCCTCTGTTGCCCAGGCTGGAGTGCAATGGCGCGATCTCGGCTCACTGCAACCTCCACCTCCCGGGTTCAAGCAGTTCTCCTGCCTCAGTCTCCTGAGTTGCTGGGATTACAGCTGCATGCCATTATGCCCGGCTAATTTTTGTATTTTTAGTAGAGGTGGGGTTTCACCATGTTGGTCAGGCTGTTCTAGAACTCCTGACCTTGTGATCCACCTTCCTCAGACTCCCAAAGTGCTGGGATTACAGGCGTGAGCCACCGCACCTGGCCTTTTGGAGCATTCTTTTATGAATGTAAATAATTTTGTGGTTCCTGTTCAATATCTCCCATCCAAATACTAACTGGGCCCACCCTGCTTAGCTTCCAAGGTCAGACTAGATCGGGCACGTTCAGGGTGATATGTCTGTTGACTCCTTCCAACTTCTTAGTGTTCTTACTTAGCTGGAATATACTTCTTGGGAGCCATGATACTTCTCTGTAGGGTCATTAGTGATTCCTAACAAATGTTCAGGCATCTATAATAATGCTGCTATTTCCATTCCTGTACTTTATTGTCTCTGCTCACCTTCACAAGGCAGAATATGCCACCTATTGGATATATGCAGCTAGCCTTTTGGGGGTTGTCTTGCTTTGTAGTTCAGTTTGTGATAGAACTTGAGACCCGGTAACACAAAATTCTGAGATTTTGTCAGTGTAATCTTTCTTTTTTAACCCCTGATTAAGTTGAGAATGACTTTCTGACTCCCATTTAAACTCTGTGAATGTAGGTCTTGGGTATTTGAAGAATTTAGTATCATTCAGTCTACTTGACAACTGATTAGCTACAGTCTTAACCAAGACCTGGCACAGAGAACTTGAAGAATAAACTTGGACAGAAAACATGGAGAACTCATTGTTCTAGAAGTTCTTTTCACACTAGGCTTTATTTTCAGATTTGAAGATTCAGTGTTAACTTTCATGGCTTATATGAATATTCATAGACTAATCCAAAATTGAAGACTTGGTACAGCAGATATTTGTTTTATAGAAGATTGCAACTGAGTACAGCATGTACCTTTTTCATATTTTATGTGCAAACATTAGCTTTATCCCTACATTATTATATGCTAAAGGATGCTTCTAATCAATCACTAAGCTATTTATTGAGCTGTTGTCTGTGTATCTATATGCCAGAGAAGATTGGCAGTTATAAAAACACCCACCCAAATGTCCAACAATGATAGACTGGATTAAGAAAACGTGGCACGTATACACCATGGAATACTATGCAGCCATAAAAAAATGATGAGTTCATGTCCTTTGTAGGGACAGGGATGAAGCTGGAAACCATCATTCTCAGCAAACTATCGCAAGGACAAAAAACCAAACACCGCATGTTCTCACTCATAGGTGGGAATTGAACAATGAGAACACATGGACACAGGAAGGGGAACATCACACACCAGGACCTGTTGTGGGGTGAGGGGAGGGGGAAGAGATAGCATTAGGAGATATACCTAATGTTAAATGAAGAGTTAATGGGTGCAGCACACCAACATGGCACATGTATACATATGTAACAAACCTGCACGTTGTGCACATGTACCCTAAAACTTAAAAGTATAATAAAAATAAAATAAAAACAACAACAACAACAACAACAACAACTTTTGAAAGCAGGCAGCATGGTTTGTGGGAACATTAATTATTATAACAAAATCCTTCTCATTGTATAGTTTATGAAGGTTTTGACATGATGGCATCATTTGATCCTCACAGTAGTCATCTCTGTAGTACAAGTGTGGAAATTGATTCCCAAACAAGTGAATGGGCTAACTAAAGGTTATAGGTAATAAATGTCAGAACTAGGATGTGACCTCTGATCTTTTATCTCTAAATCCAGTGTTTTGTTCTGTACAATGTCTCATGTACCCTTCGTGTACACGTAAGAAAACTAAAGAACAAAACAATATAATGAAGACAATAAGGAAAATAAAAGAGCATAGAAAGGAGAAAGCCACATGGGCTGGAATCATCCCTTGCAAGCAGCAGTAACAATGGCTTGAGGATTCTAGAGTTTGAGACAGCAAGTCTGCACCATATGTAGTGGCAGTTGAGTTTTGCTGAAAGATAAAATGCTCCTTTGGAAAGGTGAGGTAGGAAGCCAATAATTTGGTGGGATTAGTGATTGGATTTTTCTGAGATCATCCTTGGCTCTTTATGTAGGATGTGCATAGCATTCATTGGTTCTTCTCCAGTTCTGCAAAGCCGTGATGATTCTTTGAGGATTATGTAACAAATGTTTGTCAGCAGCTCTGCTGCTACTACCACATATTTTAACTTCATCAGAATTGACAGAGGGGGTGTGAGATTCTGAGGATCTACTATACCTCAAATGCAGTTGAGGTGGTTTCATCACACTGGCTGGACCAACATCTGTCTCTCATTTTGCCATGCTTGCTTTTCTGCCAAATATGTTCTTCCATCTTCTTTAATATAAAAGATTATGTGTGAAGAATAGTTGAGGAGTCGCTGGAGTAATGACACATTTGGGGTAGGGGATAATCCTGTGTTTTCATGTAGCTGTAGTGCTAGAATAAGATGCTTTATCCCTATCTCAAGTGGTACTCACTCACTGAAGCCTGTATTGGTGATTAAGGAACAAATTGAATTTGGATAGCCTTAGAGAAATAATTGGCTATGTTGACATACTCATCTCATTGAAAGTACAGGAAGTAATACAGGTAAATTACTGCTCCGGGACAAATTCTAGCCAACCCCAAGCAGCTGCTACATGAAATGTAAGTGAGCACAGGCTGGGGAGAACATGACTGGGTGACATCAGCCACTGAATACCCTCTGTACATGGTGGGCTGTGCCCACCAGGGAGGGGCTTGAGACAGTCTGGTATGTTCCCAGGATATTAGGAAGGGAAATTTTAAATTTTAAAAGGTTCTTCACCCAGATGAATTACACCCCAAGGCAACGAGACAATGAGCCAGGTGGGATTACTGGCCAGCTGGGAGTCATCTCTGTGAAATTGTGGAGAATTGATAGTTACCAGAGGATACGGAGAGAGTAATGTTCTCATTTCCCCGCAAAAAGAAAAGAAGTTGGAGGCCAGGTGCGGTGGCTCACGCCTGTAATCTCAGCACTTTGGGAGGCCGAGGCGGGCAGATCACAAGGTCAGGAGATCGAGACCATCCTGGCTAACACAGTGAAACCCCGTCTCTATTAAAAATACAAAAAATTAGCCAGGTGTGCTGGCAGGCACCTGTAGTCCCAGCTACTCAGGAGGCTGAGGCAGGAGAATCGCTTGAACCCAGGAAGCAGAAGTTGCAGTGAGCCGAGATCGCACCACTGCACTCCAGCCTGGGTGACAGAGCGAGACTCTGTCTCAAAAAAAAAAAAAAAAGAAAAAAGAAAAGAAGGTGGAGTCTGGGAATTACTGACCACTGAGCTTCATGTTAATCTTGACAAAGAACTGTAGAATGCATGATTCAAATGATGAGATGAAACATTTTAAAAAGGAAGTGATGATTATAAGAACCAGTCAGGATTCGTTAAGGATAAATCATGCTAGACTGTCCTGACTGCCTTTCCTGATACAGTGATTAGATGAGTAGACCAGGAAATTCTGTGGGCATGGCACATCTAGTTTTCAACAATGTACTTGTTAGAGTCTCTCTGGGCACTGTAGATGAGAAGGATCAATTTGGATTGGGTGATAGGATTGTAAGATGGATGCATACATCTTTGAACTATCTGCCTACCAAGTCTGACCTGATACCTCGGCAAGTTTCTTACCCTGGGAGGTTTAATTAATTCATTGAGTGGCAAATGCCAAATTGTTATGTCTCAAAAGCCCATTGGTAAATTGTTTGAGATTTAGAATCCATTTTTCTTTTCTTTCTTTTTTTATTTTTTAAAGTGTCAAGGTCTTGTCCAGGCTGGAGTACAACAGCATGATCACAGCTCACTGCAGTCTCTAACTCCTGGGCTCCAGTGATTCTCCTGCCTCAGCCTCCCAAGTAGCTGGGACTACAGGCACGCACCACCACACTCAGCTAATTTAAAAAAAAAATTTGTGTGTGGAGACAGGGGCTTGCTGTGGTGGCCAGACTGGTCTCAAACTCTTGTCCTCAAGCAGCCCTCCCACCTCAGCCTCCTGAGTTTCTAGGATTATAGACAAGAGCCACCACACCTGGCTAGAACCAATTTTTTTTATCAACACTGTTTTTTATTATATTTCCTAACAGATAAAACGCAAAGGCCTGTTGAACTCATTATGTATATGCACTGGAAGAATTTGGGTAATATGAACATTCTGTAAGACCATATCTTAGAGTAAGACAAATTTTGAGCTCTACCATGAAAACCAGAGGCATAATCATCTCCCTCTGCTTCAGGGAAAAGGCAACCATGGGGTGGATGGTGGGGTGGGTAGGCACCACCTGCTTCCTTCATAACCCATTTTGTGTTGCTGTAACGGAACACCTTGAGACTAGGTCATTTATGAAGAAGAGAGGTTTATTGATTTAGCTCATGGTTCTGGAGACTGGCAAATTCAAGATCAGATGGCCACTTCTGGTGAGAGCCTTGTGCTGCGTCTTAATATGCTGGAGAAGTGGCAGGTGAAGCAAGTGCATGCAAAGAGAGCAAAACACAGAGGCAACCTCACTTTATAACAATCCACTCTCTTGGGAACAATTTCATTCCCACGAGAACTAACCCAGTCTCGAGAGAAAGACATTCATCTATCTTAATGAACTAATCACCTCTTAAAAGCACGACTTCCCTATGCTGCCACCTTGACAACCAAGCCTCAACATGAGTTTTAGCAGGGACAAACCATTTTCAAAGCATAGCACTTCTTATGGCATTGATGGGAGATCTTCCCAAGGGTTGGAAGCTAGAACTGTGGGGGCCAAGCCTTCTGCTATCATTACCACCCAGGGCCCCACAAGTTTGTGTCCTTGACTAAACTGAAGAACACTGAAAGTCATGGAAGGTTTTTAAAGTAGAGGAGCCAACACCATTTATCAGATTTGTATTTTAGAAAAAAGTTTATTCTGTCTGCAAGCTGGATAATGGATTAGAGAAGCCAAGTCTTAGACAAACAAATTAAAAGACTGTGGCAGTAACTCGGGTGAGAAAGAATGAAAGTAGGTGATTTGAGAGATATTTGAAGGGCAGATTGGTATGCCTGGGCAATAACAATGTGAGGAAAGAGGGAGAGTAAAAATAAGGACTCAGGTTTCTGACTTGGGCATTTGAGTAGATAATGGTACTAGATATTGGTGTGAAAAATAACATAAAGAAAAGACAGAGGAGGGGTCAGTTTTGGCCATAAAGACTCAGAGGTACCTGGGGGACATCAAGGAGATGTCCAGTAGACTTACCAGCTGGATGCATGCTTCTACAGTTTAGGAGAGAAATCTGGGCCAACGATATAATGCTGAATTAATTTTACACCATTTGCATCCACCAAGTGTTTTTACGTGTGGTTCCTCTCTGGAGACCTTCCTTCTTTGTAGAGATTCTTTAGTGATATTTTACTGTCTTGCTATTTTCTCAGGAGCATAGTCTCATTAAGGCAATGTACTTTCAGTTCAAACTGTTCTATCTACGGTGATTGGCTTGACAGAATTCTGGTTCCATGCAATTATGTCTATAATAAGTAAAGAAAGAATAAACACATCAGGCTACCCTAGATATTTCAAGGCATTCTGCTTCATCATTAATCATGAGTAGCCTAGAAAAATAGAAGTTTTATAAGTATCTCCTAAATGGTAATCTGCAGTGTCTGTTAATTTACTTTACCTAGAGAAAGTATGGTCTTAGAAATTGATTTTGCTGTTATATTCTACAGCCTTATAAATCACTTTCCCTGGTGCATGAATAATTAAAGAGAGCAATCCATACATTTCTGAGCTTGTTAACATTTTTGAAACAAAACCAGATACTAAACATGACATTTTCCTGTTGCTGTCTGGAATTTCTATGCCTGGTGTCTAGGCTCATTCCCATTATTTACTTTGGCTCCAATGCTTGGCTTCTTCTTTCAAGTTGTTTGCCTTCAGTGTTTACAGAAGTGGATTCCCACAACCAAGGAAAGGGTGGTTAATGAGTCAGTCTGGAAGTGCTATTTTTGTTATCGTGGACTAGAGTCAGCTCACCATAATTAGTGATATTTTGTGAAAGCAACGCAGAGCACCTAGGCAGTGCCATTTCCTTGGCTCTTCTCAGTATGTGCAGGGAACACACCCGTGTGCACACTCACAGATACGTGTTTGCCACATTTTAGTACAACTCCGTTTCTGCATTCCACTGTAAGAAAGAATACAGTCTTAATACAGTGCAAATGCATGCAATCTAGACTCTGGGTTTGTATTGTCAGTGTGCTTGTGACTGCCTTAAGAGGGTAGAAAGCTTTGCTGCTTTCGTGGTGTAGTGAGCATTGAAAAGTGAAACAGATGCTGTCACGTGTCTTTTCCTCCTTGTTTGCCTGGCTTAGGCTTAAGATGCTTTGATTATGTTATAGACCCCTATAAGATTAAGCCTAATTGTGTTATTGTATGTGTAGTTTTAGCATTTTGTGATTTAAGTTTTTCCTCTTTAAGTTCTTGCTTATTGATACCTCACTAGTGTCTGTCACTGTGACATACGGTGGACCTACCCAGGGCCATTCAAATGGAGCACAGAACTTACATGTTTATTTATTTTTGAAAAATAGTAATATGTAGTAGGGACTTAATATTTTTTAATGAAGTAGATTTTAGATGATTATTTTCAATATAAATGCTGTGTTAGCAAATAATAAAAACAAACATCAATTCATACATTCTCTCTTTCTTTAACTGTTTCTATCACTAGATTTAACTTTGCCTGTGACAGAAACTTACAGTCAGGTTAAAAGGATAGGCTTGGGTTCACATCTCAGAACCACCATTTTCTATGTGGCGTTGGGCTGGTTATTGAACTTCTCTAAGCTTCAGTTCCTTCCTCCATAAAATGGTTGGCCCATAAGGATTTTGTTCGGATTAAATGAGATGATGTATGTAAAGCTTTTAATGCCCACATGTAGCAAGTGCTTGATAAAGATTAGGTGCTATTATTATTATCTACCTCTTCAGCGTGTGCCCTACCTTCAAACTGCCCAGTAGGCTTGTGTTTGTCCCTTAGATTACTTGGTTTTTATCATATGGATTCACTGCCATTTTAGAGCTTTTTATTGGACTCTTTTTCACCTTTCTGTTAAAACTTCTCTGTGATTTCTCTGGGTCATGAGTCATATCTTTTGCTTTTGTGAACTCTCCCATCCTATTGAATTCATCAATTTCCAAAATAGACCTCAACCCATCTTTGGTTCTTTGGAAAATGCTTTCTTGTAGAGATGTTGCACTAAATCTCCCGTCTCTTCCTTCCTCCCCCCTACAACAAGCCATCTTTACTTCTTGAATTTATTCACAGAGCATATTTGGTTCCGAGTTACTTTCAGAAGGTAAGTTAAAGTATAGAACCGTCATCCATTTAGCTCACGACAAGCTGCTTTTTCTCCTTTGGGCTAATTTGAAAGTTTATCTTTAAGAATCTGCCTGGTCTTCTGAAGGTCTACTGTTTCCATTTCTAACCAAATTTAACTTTATCCATGTTTTCTTTTTCTTCTTTTTTTGTTCTTTCCATTACGCAACATTCTTCAAGATGTGGACGAGTGCCTGGAACCAAACGTCTGCGCAAATGGTGATTGTTCCAACCTTGAAGGCTCCTACATGTGTTCATGCCACAAAGGCTATACCCGGACTCCGGACCACAAGCACTGTAGAGGTAAATACTGTGATCAAGTTTCCCATTTTTATTTAAACTTCATTTAAATATAGATTAGAGCAATTAGCCTTAGAAAAGGGAACCCTGCTACCTGTGTTTATTTTGACCGAGCGACTTAGAGCACATATTGGTTGGCTTGGCTGAAAGTGGCTCCTTGCTGTGGTTAAATACAGAGCATATCTATTTACATAAAGGGAAACGATGTATTTTTAGAGAGTGTCTGTGAGCCACAGATCGGTTCATCTAAATTTTTTTTTCTCATTATAAAAGCAATACACACAGTTGCACAACTCTGTGAATATATTAAAAACCATTGAATTGTACATTTTAAATGGAATTGTATAGCATGGGAATTATTTCTGAATAAAATTGATATGAAAGTAACCAATATACACTCATTTTAGAAAATTTAGCAAATAGAGAAAAAAGAAAAGTAACAATCTTACATAATGTCATTAATGAATATTCATATTTCGTGGATATTGTATATAAAGATGTTCTATGTATAATTTTATATCTTGCTTTTTGCCATTTAATAGTATACCTACCATAAGTGTTTTACATTCCATTCATAACTTTTTTTCAAACGTTATTTTTAGAGGCTGCACAATATTCTAGTATATTCCTATATCACAGTTTTCTTGCTCTTCTTTAGGTATTGAACAAACAAAAAATTTTCAGCTTCTCATTAGTGAACAAAACTGGTACAGGTCTTTTTTTTTTTTTTTTTTTTTTTTTTTTGAGCTGAAGTCTCACTGTGTTGCCCAGGCTAGAGTGCAGTGGCATGATCTTGGCTCATTGCAACCTCCACCCTCCAAGTTCAAGTGATTCTCCTGCCTCAGCCTCCCGAGTAGCTGGGATTACAGGCACACGCCACCACGCCCGACTAATTTTTGTTTGTTTGTTTGTTTCTTTGTTTTGGGTGTTTTTTTGAGGTGGAGTCTTGCTCTCTCCCCCAGGCTGGAGTGCTGTGGCATGATCTTGACTCACTGCAACCCCTGCCTCCTGGGTTCTAGCGAATCTCCTGCCTCAGCCTCCTGAGTAGCTGGGATTACAGGTGCCTCCCACCATGCCCAGCTAATTTTTATATTTTTAGTAGAGACAGGGTTTCACCATGTTGGGTAGGCTGGTCTTGAATGCCTGACCTCGGGTGATCTGCCCACCTAGGCCTCCCAAATTGCTGAGATTACAGGCGTGAGCCACCACACCTGGCTAGGTCTCTTTTAAAAATAAACTTTTGTCTGAACTTTAGAATTATTTCCTTATTCATAAAAGTGGAATTATTGGGTAAAATTTTTTTTTTTTTTTTTTTTGGAGACAGAGTCTTGCTCTGTCGCCCAGGCTAGAGTGCAGTAGTACGATCTTGGCTCACTGCAACCTCCGCCTCCCAGGTTCAAGCGATTCTCCTGCCTCAGCCGCCTGAGTAGCTGGGACTACAGGCACCCGCCATCATGCCCAGCTAATTTTTGTATTTTTAGTAAAGACGAGGTTTCACCATATTGGTCAGGCTGGTCTCGAACTCCTGACCTTTTGATCCACCTGCCTCAGCCTCCCAAAGTGCTGGGATTACAGGCATGAGCCACCACGCCTGGCAAAAATGTTCTGAATTTTTTTACTATTTGGTTTTTTTTTTAATTGGCATGTAATAATTGTCCATATTGTACATATTTATGGGGCACACAGTGATGTTTTGATACATATATTGTATCATGGTCTTTTTACTATTTTTACAGGAGAACATTCTCATTTCATATATATATTTATTTTAATTCTGAAAAGGCTTAATTTTTTTATATGTTCATTCCCTTTAGCGATTCTCTGAACACTTCTAATTTTTAAACATTTATTTTATATACTTAACATTTATATTTGTTTTTAAAATTTCCATTAATATCATTTCTCATTTATCCGGCTTTTTATTTGTTTAATCAATGTATACGAACTCTTTATATATGTAATACATATATAAACGTATGTACATGTGGCCGGACACAGCACTTTGGGAGGCCCAAGGCAGATGGATCACCTGAAGTCAGGAGTTCGAGACCAGCTTGGCCAACATGGTGAAACCCTGTCTCTACTAAAAATACAAAAATTAGCCGGGCTTGGTGGCATGCGCATGTAATCCCAGCTACTTAGGAGGCTGAGACACAAGAATCACTTGAACCCGAGAAGCAGAGGTTGCAGTGAACTGAGATCGTGCCACTGCACACCAGCCTGAGTGACAGAGCAAGACTCAAAATAGAGTCTCAATGATGATAATAATAATAATAATAATAAATATGTGTACATTACGTATACATTTTTGGTGGTACACTGTTGTAATTTCTCCAAGGCTTCCCTAATTTTCCTTTTTATGATTTTTTAAAAATTTTTTCTTATGGCCAAATCTGTGGATTTTTTTCTTTTCTGCTTACTTTTACATCTAAAAGTATGTTCTAGCAAAGGGTAAAAGAGGAAATAAGTAAACATTTTCTTCTTAAGTGTCTTGATGTAAGTGAAGGATGTAGGGTGATAATTAATTTCTCACTATGGTAGGCAAGTAGTAAATGAATACCCTGGTATCCTGTAAGAATCGAGGCCTCTTCCACTGGCAGTAGGGAACATGCAGGCATCTGGATTTGATGCCTTGCTCCAATAATACAACAGAGCAACAGTGGATCTTGGCCACTCCTAGTGGAACATCTAACGTGGGCACACCTCCATTTCTCCTGGTCCCTTCTCTTTTGGCTCACATCCACAGTTTCCTACTGATTCCTTAAGCCAGGTATCTCCTCAGACCAAATTAAATATGAGAAGCATCTGAAAGGTATTATTTCTTCCCCCATACACTGGATCAATGGTGGATGAGGATCTCAAGCCTTAGGAGTCATGGTTAATCTTTGATTGCTATATCTAGTTTATTTTCATATCCTGCCATTTTATCTTCTTTCATCCTAATCTGCCTAATTTTTTTCATCTGCTTGTTGATAAAAACTCTTGTAATCTGTCCTCCTCTTTCATAGTCCAAACTTACTTGTCACAGTTGCATTCTTCAGCTAGCATTCTCTGACCTATCCAAATCAATGTCACAACTGCCCTGTGAAGATTCTTCACAGGGCAGTACTTGGACCCAAGTACTTGTTCAAGATTATCCTGCCTTTCATATTCATCTTCTTCCTCACTGCTTACCTGATGTGGCTCTTCCAGTGGTTCATGGTATGACCTTGGGTGAATAATCTCAGGTTTCCAGACATTGTGTCATCCCTAAAATTAGGGGATCAGACTCTCTAATGGGATGCTCAAAGTAGCACATGTTGAATGAATGGCTCATTACCACTGTCTTGCTCTTGGCTGTTGCCATCCCAGCTGAGCCTGGGAAAGATTGGTTGGGGAGACAAGACAACTAACAGCAATCTAATATCCAAGATTATAATATATATATAATGTCTAAAGTCTAGTATTTAGTTTTGTTTTTTTAAAAAAAGGCAGCATATCGGATGCTAGTCCTGATGCGTAGAAGCTGTGTGAGCTTGGATAAGTTACGGTATCTTACTTCACTAAGCCTTACTTTTCTCATCTGCAAATAAAAGGGAGCAATAATGGTACCTGCTAGAGTTGATATGAGGATTGCAGGAAATAATACAGGGACAGAGATCATGTAGAGAGAATGAGTTAAAGCAGGGGCAGAGCATGACATGGTGGTGGTGGTGTTTGCTAAATTAGAGGCATAAACAAAGTTTCGTTAAAGCCAAGAAGTGTGTGGCTAACTCTGCTTGTGTGCGTCTGGGAAAGCTTCACAAAGGTATTGCTATTTGAACTTAGTCTTGAAGTACTGAATACAAAGGGGAGTAAAACTTGGCAGGCAGAGGAAACAGCATATGCCAAAGCTTAGAGGTGAGAAAGGGCTATTACTTCCACTTGGCATTTAACCTTGACCTCTACTCCGATTCTAATGGCGTCTTCCCATTACAGCCTGGGATGCATTACCTCATTCTTCCCACATGATCTCTGTCCCTGTATTATTTCATGCAATCCTCATATCAGCTCTAGTAGGAAGCATTATTGTTCCCTTTTTTTTGCAGATGAGAAAGCTCACACAGCTTCTACACGTCAGAGCTAGGATCTAATATACTGCTTTATTTATTTATTTATTTATTTATTTATTTATTTATTTATTTATTTATTGAGATGGAGTCTCGCTTTGTCGCCCAGGCTGGAGTGCAGTGGTGCGATCTCGGCGCACTGCAACCTCTGCCTCCCAGGTTCAAGTGATTCTTCTGCCTCAGCCTCCTGGGCAGCTGGGACTACAGGCACGTGCCATCACACCTGGCTAATTTTTGTATTTTTAGTAGAGATGGGGTTTCACCATGTTAGCCAGAATGGTCTCCTGACCTTGTGATCCGCCCACCTCGGCCTCCCAAAGTGCTGGTATTACAAGCATCAGCCATTACACCCGGCCCTGCCTTTTCAAAACAAAACAAAACAAAACAAAAACAAAAAACTAAACACTAGACTTTATTTGGATTTCACAAGTTTTTCCAGTCACGTCCTCTTTCTGTTCCAGGATCCAATCCAGGATACTACACTGCATTTAGTTGTCTAGTCTCCCCAATGAATCTTTCCCTAGTTTTCATGATCTTATCTATCTTAAAGAGTATAGGCCAGAATCCTGTAGCTTTTCCCCACTCTGGATCCATCTGATGTTTTTCTCATGATTAAACTGGGGTCATGGGTTTTTGGGAAGAAGAACACAGAGGTGAAAGGCTCTGGTCCTCACATAATGTCAGGTGTACATTCACATGTCGGGGGTGTGTGATATTCTTGGCACAAAAGAAAGAAGACATTTGTCCAGCATTCCTATTTTATTAGAAAGCTTTCTTTTGGCTCAGAAATGCTATCCCTCATTAGAAAAGAAAAATATTTTTATCCCTAGAATTAATCTATCTTTGTTCCCTTGGTCATTTTAAAGACCCAAAGATCACCTTGTGCAAGATAACTGTGTTGCCTCAAGTTATTCCAAGTGTATGTGTCATTACTTGTCATGAATTACTCCTGACATTCTTAGCAACATAAATGAGTCAGTTACGTAAGATGTCTGGCATAGCCTGATAGTCCTTGGAATGGAGGGTCTATCTCTGTTGCAGACATCTTCACATGGGAATGCTTAATTTGTTGTCTTCTATGAGAAAGTCAAAAAGATTCCAAAGCACTAAAAATGTTGTCAGATGTTATGTGAGATCCAGCCAGCTACAAGAACTATTGTTGGTCTTCAGTTCGTGAACTGACATCTCAAGTATTTTATAGAATGTGCTAAAAGAAAATAGTGACGTAGGCTGATCTTTGCTGGCAACCATTCCTAAAGCTAAGAGACTTACAGTGTTTGAAAGGTATAAAATAATCTTTAAAATGAAAGTTACCTTGTTTATTTTCTCTATGGACAGACAATATTGGCAGCCAGGAATTATTTATAAATCAAAGAGACCAAGAACACAATTGGTAAAACAAAAGTTTTTAATCAACTAAAGTAATTGCTATGAAATATTAAATAAAATAAGAAACAAATTTTTGAACTCCAATTACATTAATACTTTGAGCTATTTCAGGAAACTATGTCAGTATTTCAGTAGCAATTTCAACTATTTCAGGGAGGGATAACCTGATACTTTGCTTATATCTGGATACATTTTAAAAGTTAATGCCCCATTAGAGGTTAAGAAATGAAACTTTGCGGCTAGGTGTGGTGGCTAACGCCTGTAATCCTAGCACTTTGGGAGAACGAGGCAGGCGGATCATGAGGTCAAGAGATCAAGACCATCCTGGCCAACATGGTGAAACTCCCTCTCTACTAAAAATACAAAAATGAGCTGGGCGGGAGGCTGAGGCAGGAGAATCGCTTGAACCCGGGAGACGGAGGTTGCAGTGAGCCGAGATAGCGCCACTGCACTCCAGCTTGGCGACAGAGCGAGACTCTGTCTCAAAAAAAAAAAAAAAAGAAGTTTGGCTCAGGAGAAACAGGTAATTGTCAATAATACTTGAGTGAAAGGCCTATACAGTTAATTGAGTTTTCCTGGCAGACACTTTTAGATGCATTTTAAATAAGAAAATTTGAAGAAAACCACAGTCATACATTGATCTATAGGACATGGTTTTTAAAAAACAAATCCCTCTATTTTATTTATTACTCCCTTTAGATTAGGGCTCCTTTCTCCTCCTGTGAGTATAGGGCTAAAGTGTTTTATATCTATTCCCTTCGGTAATCTTCACAACAAACCTGTCATGTAGGTGATGAAGATCAGTTGTACCTACCATGTTTTAATAATCATAAACTCTTATAAGTTGGCTAGCCATTCAGCAGAACATTCTGAGGCTGTATTTGCACTGACAAGGCAAGACAGAATTATCTGCTTAGGTCGGACCAATATAATGGCCAAACAAAAACATCTGGAAGACTCTACTCTTACCAGACGTGTTCAAGTTATTGATGAAGCCAGTCCTTTGCTTCAGTTGTATAACTTCGTATACATGACATTTTCTAGGACACTTATTAAGAATTATCTTCTTTCTCAGTTAGTGATTTTATCTTGTCAAAGCATGTTTAAAAATCCTCACTTATCACTTTCTCCTTTGGTATTCAGCAGTCATCATAATACTACCATTTCTCTTGGCTTTCCTTGTTACTTTGAAAATGAGCCAGAGTTCTTTATACAACTGTTTGGCCTTATAGTTCAACTTCTAGACAAAGTAGAATTATCTGTTTCCTTCCATAACTGCCTATGTTTTTGGTTTTGTTTTTCAAATTCCTAGTCGAGTTTTCCTTCTGACTTCTTTCATGCAACTAAACAGGTCTGCAAACTATCTGAGCGACATTATATTGCATCAGGTTCTGCCTTCTGTTTGCAGCTCTAAAATATTTCATGTTGTATTCCAAGACACTGATGGTGAGGAGTATGATTATTATAAATAGCTTATTGATTTATTGTCTATTTTTAGTTATTTCTATTCTATAGATCAGTATACTGAGGTTGATACAACAGCATGGGTGGAGTGATAAATACTAAAGTGTGTAGTGCCAGACATAAGAAGTACTATTATTTTTGTTACACTAATCCCAGAATGCATTGCAGGGAGCACTGCATTCTCCTGGGTAGTCTCTTTTTCAGAAAAATTGCCGTTGTTGTGTTTGCAGATATTGATGAATGTCAGCAAGGGAATCTATGTGTAAACGGGCAGTGCAAAAATACCGAGGGCTCCTTCAGGTGCACCTGTGGACAGGGGTACCAGCTGTCGGCAGCTAAAGACCAGTGTGAAGGTAAGAGGGTAGTAACATGAACTACTGAAACTTCAGCTTAAAGCACCTGGTCTGAAAAAGGTACGCTCAATCAAGTGAGTTTACCTTTTAAAAATTACCCAGATAATTGCATTATAGTGCCAGAAAGCCAGGACTTAAACATAAGTTAGGAAAGTCAATAAAACAAGATTGAAGACAGTTAAATTTGAAAACCTATGGCATTAGCTATCAATGGCTAGGCATTAGTATTAAGAAGAAAAATTATTGCTTTCTGTGTAATTCTTTACTACAGAAGGTAATTTCCATTTAAACATGTAAATTAATTTAAAGTTTTTATATACTTGGATTTCAGCAATTAGAAAGTCATTATATCGGGCTGCTTTATGCTGTGGAATGTTAATAACCTTAATTTTTGTATTTAACGTTGAAAAATTTTGTCTTTTAAAAAAATCGCTAAAGAAGATTTCTCAATAAAACTGTAATAATGTCCCCCTTAGAGAGAAAGTTTGCAAAATATGTTCTGTTCCTACAGCTGATAGTGAGGATTCTGGATTTGCTAGGGTTGACCTTAGACTTTTTAAAGAAACATTTCATTGAATTGCACACAGAAATACTTCACTTCCCAATAAGTATGTGCTTCCTGAACTTGAAGATATTATGATCTCACCTGTGTCAACCACAAGTGTCCAGAGTTCTTGAGAGGAAACGCCATTTCTTATTTAAGAACAGAATCCACACTGTATAAGGCCATTGTTTCATAAATAAACAATATCCACGTCTTCATGTATACTCTGAATATTTGAGAAGCAAAAAAGTCTCCTGAGATAGTATTACAAAAGCGACAATAC
Source organism: Homo sapiens (assembly GCF_000001405.40). NCBI lineage: Eukaryota > Metazoa > Chordata > Mammalia > Primates > Hominidae > Homo > Homo sapiens. The sequence continues at coordinate 33,301,401 of NC_000002.12, forward strand.
ATGATGGTCATTACTTGTATCAACATTGTCTTTCTAGAATTTACACTGATCCAATTGAGACTGATTGAAAATGTTTTTGAAGCACCACTTCCACAGTTTCTTTGTATTCTCTTGCTCATAGACATTGATGAATGCCAGCACCGTCATCTCTGTGCTCATGGGCAGTGCAGGAACACTGAGGGCTCTTTTCAATGTGTGTGTGACCAGGGTTACAGAGCATCTGGGCTTGGAGACCACTGTGAAGGTAAGAATTGCTCCTGATTTCAGAATCATAAAATGCCCAGATCGGAGGGAAATCTGGGCATCATCTCAGCCTTGATCTTTGAACCTCATCTCTTGATTTCATAGTGAAGACATTAGGTCCCTGCAAAGTGTCTTCCCCGGGGTCACACAAATAATTCAAAGAAGGGAGTAGAGTCCAGATTATCTTTGCACTGCTTGGAGCTGTCTTTTAGACTTGTGCCAGCCAAAGGCATAAAAGAATCAGTTTAACTTTACCAGCTATAGATGGTTTATCCTGGGTACATAGTTCTGAACTGTAACACCTTATTTATGCAGAACCAACTTCTAAATGTTCCAAATAAGTAAATACAACTTAATTTTCCAGGCAATTAGAAGGTTTTTCAGAGCCAAACATCAATTCAGTTTTTGGCTTTTTGCATAAAATATTTCTGAAAGATATCCCACATGTCCAGTATCGTGCAGTCATCAACCACTTTCACTACTTGTTTGGCTAAGAAGCTCTCTGCAGTGGTTGGGTGACTGAACCAGGCCTGCTTATGGAGCGGGGAATATCTTCTCCCAGTGGGCTTCTTTTTCACTTTTACCACCGGTCTGTCACTTGTGACCTTTCTCTGCATTCATTGTCCACCTAAGTAACAAGCTTTTTCCCAGCCCACCTGAGGTTTCACTGCATTTAGAGCCTGTCAGTTGTGAAACCAGAAATATGCATGTTGGCAGGGTTGTGTCTCCCATGCAGGGTCCAAGTTTTTGAAGGAGGGTCTGAACCCCACCTTTGAGAGAAGTGGATGAGCCTTTTGGTGAATGGTTTCATGACACACACATTTCAGCAGCCCCAGATCCTTTTTCACTACCAGTCCAGTGGATTGGGAAAGATCTATTGTCATTTACAGCATCTACATTTCTGACCAGAGAACTTGGCAGAAGCAGTCACAAGTGGCTGAGCCCCATATCCTCCTGCTGCTGGGAGTGTAAATGACCCAACCCTCGGGAAGGCAATTTTGGCAGCGTTTTAAAGGCCTTAAAGTGTATACTGTTAATGAATCAGTAAATCAACTTCTAAGATTTTATCCTAAGGTGATCATGTTCCTCAAAGAGTTAATAACACCAGTGAAAAGTTGTAATCAATATACCTATTGAGGCCAGATGTGGTGGCTCATGCCTGTAATTCCAGCACTTTGGGAGGCCGAGGCAGGTGGATCACCTGAGGTCAGGAGGTCAAGACCAGCCTGGCCAACATGCTGAAACCCCGTCTCTACTAAAAAAATACAAATATTAGCTGGGCGTGGTGGCGCCCAGCTAATATTTTTACACACACACACACACACACACACACACACACACAAACACACACAAACACACGCACACACACCCCTATTGAGAAATAGGTCAGATAAGTGATAATATAAGATAGGACTATGTATGAAAAAGTTGTGTTTTAGGAACTCTCTAATATATGGGTAAATGATAATGATTCTAGATAGTGACATCCCAAGGTGGGAGGGTTGGTGGTGTTGGAGGGAGACATTTATGGAAGAATCTATTCTAGAACTAAGTAACTGGTAAGGTATATTCTAGGGCAGTGGTCCCCAACTTTTTTGGCACACAGGGACCAGTTTCGTGGAAGCCAGTTTTTCCCTGGATGGGGTTGAGGGGATGGTTTCAGGATGAAACTGTCCCACCTCAGATCATCAGGCATTAGTTAGATTTTCTTTTTTTTTTTTTTTTGAGACGGAATCTCGCTCTGTCACCCAGGCTGAGGGCAGTGGCACGATCTCAGCTCACTGCAAGCTTCGCCTCCCAGGTTCACACCATTCTCCTGCCTCAGCCTCCCGAGTAGCTGGGACTACAAGCACCTGCCACCATGCCCGGCTAATTTTTTTGTATTTTTAATAGAGACGGGTTTTCACCGTGTTAACCTGGATGGTCTTGATCTCCTGACCTCGTGATCCGCCCATCTCGGCCTCCCAAAGTGCTGGGATTACAGGCGTGAGCCACCGCACCTGGCCTGCATTGGTTAGATTCTCATAAGGAGCGTGCAACCTAGATCCCTCACATGCGCTGTTCACAAGAGGGTTCGCCCTCCTATGAGAATCGAATCCAGCTGCTGATCTGTCAGGAGATGGAGCTCAGGCGGTAATGCTCGCTCCCTGCTGCTCACCTCCTGCAGTGCCGCCCGGTTCCTAACAGGCCACGGACCCGTACCGGTCCATGGCCCAGGGATTGAGGACCCCTGTGCTAGGGCACTAAAAATGTAAACTGACCATCAGCATCTCCTCTGTCCTGATTCCTGGCCAAGCCAAGAAGGAACTGCACCATTGATTAAGTCTTGGGTAACTGATGTTCATTGGAGGGCATGTTCCTCGCTTTGTCTCTTTTAATGTGTAAGCATTTTAACAGAAGTCTAAGGTTTTTATTCCAAAAACATCCATTGCATGAAAAGTCAAACAAAAGCTTTTAGCAAACTCGTTCTTCATTATTAATGTATATAAGATATGACTATGTTCCGTAAGAAAGCTTCTTTTGGAATATATAATCAGGCCCTTTTAAAGTCAGGACTAGTTTCTCTAGTGTACTGGGTTATAAATAGGACTGGAGTCCATCCAACTAATTTAGAGCTCCCTTTGAAACTATGTTAGCACCTCAGCCTGCTAATTCCCAACTAGCAATGTTTCCGACCCTCCCCAGTGATATTTAGCCATAATTAACTAAACCGTGACTGTTCACACGCCTCTGACAGCTGTGCAAGGAAGAGCCATCTTTCTTGTTGGCTTTTATGTTTACACGTGTAATTTTCCCCTAATGGTTCTGGCAAAGACCTTGTTTTCTTATTGTCCTGTCATCCTGCTGGCCTCCTCGTAGAGTCAGACTCCCAAGTGTTGTGCCTGCTTCTGTGCGCTACTGACTCCAGCATGCTTGGTAGCTAGTCATTCTGTGATAATGAACGTGCCTCAATTGTCCTCATTCTTAGGAGTCTGGAGCATCTCAGCTTTCAAAGGCTCTGCCTGTGACTTGTTCCCTCCAAGCACAGTCTTTAATCTCGTGTCTACCTTAACCTTTCCCCAATCCCTCACTAAGGTTGCTCCCTGCAGTCCTTTACAAAGCTGAGAAGATGACTCATTACTTACAATGTCTTTCCCTTTCCCTCTGTGCCCTTTGCTCTTGGTCATTTATTTGTGGACAAAATTTTAAAAAGGTGGAAAGGTGGGATAGTATTTCTTTCCAAATCAGAGTCATTCATACATTCACTTATGTATTTGTTCAAATATTTATTTAGTGTGGAGCTTGTGCCAGACACTGTTCTAGGCATAGGGCAATAAACCAAACAGAAATTTCTTCCCTTTTGTAGCTTACATTGTAGTGTGGGAGATAACGAAAAAATACAATAAATGGCTGGGTGCAGTGGCTCACGCCTATAATCCCAGCACTTTGGGAGTTCCGAGGCAGGTGGATCACGAGGTCAGGAGATCGAGACCATCTTAGCCAACATGGTGAAACCTCATCTCTACTAAAAATACAAAAAAAAAAGAAAAATTATCTGGGTGTGGCGGCGTGTGCCTGTAGTCCCAACTACTCAGGAGGCTGAGGCAGAAAAATCACTCGAACCCAGGAGGCAGAGGTTGCAACGAGCCAAGATCACGCCATTGCACTCCAGCCTGGGCAACAGAGCAAGACTATGTCTCAAAATATATATATATGATAAATAAGTAAAATATATAGTTCGTTAAATGGCAATAAATTTTACAGAGAAAATAGAGCGGGGTATATGGGGAGTGTTGAGGAAGGGTGGTGATTTTAAATAAAGAGGCAAGTAGAGGCCTCGCTGGGATGATAACACTTAATCATTTATGGGTAGAGCATTCAGTTCAAGGGAATAGCAGATGCGGATGCCCGAGGAACCAGCTATGTGGAGACCTGAGGGGCACCACGTCAGCACTTTCCACTTTTGATGCCCAAGATGAATATTTGAAGGAAGATATCTGAAAGGCAATTGTATCTATGCATTTGGAATTTAGGGGTGAGTTCTAGGCCATGAAATTAATTGGGAATGAGTGTAGCTAGAAGAGAGATAAATCCCGGGCCCTCCAACATTTAGAAGTGAGGAAATGGGTAAGAACCAGCAAAGGAGATTGAGGAAAAAGTGGCAAGTGAAGAAGGAGAAAACCCAGAATCCAAGAGAAGAAAGTGTTTCAAGGAGGAGGGAGTGATGGATTGTGTCAAATGTTATTGCTAGGTAACAGAAGAACCAAAAGTTAACCATGGGATTTTTAGCAAGCTGGAAGTAGTTGGTGACCTCAACAAGCTCAGTCTTGGTAGAAAGATGACAGTGATTCACTGTTCCTGCCCTTAAAACCTTTTACTCTACTTCTAGGAAAAATATATATTTTCGCACTACCCCAGGTGGTGGTACGAAATAGTACCATGTTGTGCTCTCGTAATGTTCAACCTTCTTATTGCTTTGAAGACAGATAAAGGCCTTGCAAAAAAAAATTTAAACTAAACCTAACCCTAACATATGCTCAGCTTTCTAATGTATATAATTATTTATAAACACTTTAAATAATGCTCTTTTCCCTCACATTCATTATTTGTCTTAGATTTTGGAAAATAAATGAGAATCAAATTGCTTTAAAGTAGCATGAACAGAGCCGGGCATGGTGGCTCACGCCTGTAATCCCAGCACTTTGGGAGGCCGAGGCGGGTGAATCACTTGAGGTCAGGAGTTCGAGACCAGCCTGGCCAACATGGTAAAACCCCATCTCTACTAAAAATACAAAAATTAGCCGGCCGTGGTGGCAGGCGCCTGTAATCCCAGCTACTGGGGAGGCTGAGGCAGGAGAATCGCTTGAACCTGGGTGGCAATAGTTGCAGTGAGTCAAGATCACGCCACTGTACTCCGGCCTGGGTGATAGAGCAAAACTCAGTCTCAAAAAAAAAAACCAAAAACCAGCATGAACAGAGCAACATGCTTCCATTATGCTGAGGCAAACATCTAGGTTATGAAGTGTTTTTTCTTGTAGAAATTCATATTCCCAGGATTCTCTTATGATCTTTTTTGAATTGAGTTTTTTATTTAATGTCACTGATCAAATATGCTTCTCCTCGCTTCATTATCTCCATTTCCTACAAAGCAAAGAAAGAAAGGTTAATGGAAAAACTGATTGTCAGTCGGGTGCAGTGGCTCACACCTGTAATCCCAGCACTTTGGGAGGCCGAGGCGGGTGGATCACAAGGTCAAGGGATCGAGACCGTCTTGGCCAACATGGTGAAACCCCGTCTCTACTAAAAATACAAAAATCAGTTGGGCGTGGTGGTGGGCGCCTGTAGTCCCAGCTACTTGGGAGGCTGAGGCAGGAGAATTGCTTGAACCCGGGAGGCGGAGGTTGCAGTGAGCCGAGATACACCGCTGCACTCCAGCCTGGCAACAGAGCGAGACTCCATCTCAAAAACAAAACAAAACATAACTGATTGTCTACTTTACACCCATTAAAATAGTTGTAGAGCTGTCAGAGTAAATGTGGAACAATCGGAGTTCTCATATGTTTCCTGTGGGAATGTAATTGCTACAGCCACTTCAGATAACAGTTTTTCAAAACTTAAATATAACCTAATTCCATGACCCATGCATCGTTTTCCTGGGTATTTACTCAAAAAAGGTAAAATCATATGTTCACACAAAGACTTATGATTTTAGAAATATTTATAGAAACCTTATTCACAATGGCCCAGATGGAAACAACCCAAAATGCTTATCAAAAGGTGAATGAGTAAACAAATTATGGTGCATTCATCCAATGGAATTCTACCCAGCAATAAAGCACAGAGAACTACTGATACACACAGCAACTTGGGTGAATCTCAAAACTATTATGCCGAGAGGAAGAAGCCCCAAAGCACAAAAGGAGTGAGAGGGAATGTATTGGGGATGGAAATGCCTGTTCCTTGACTGGGATGGTGGTCACAAGGATGTGTATACATTTGTCAAAACTCATTGAGCTGACTCTTAAGTAGATCAATTTATTTTATGTACATTATACTTCAGTAAAGCTAGAAAAACACATTAAAGAAAAAGTTGAGAACCTGCCTTAGTTGAGACAAATTCACATCACCTGTGTTTTATGTTTTAGGGTCAGTACCCGGAAGCATTTTAATTCTGGGTGAACAGTCATTATAATAACGTGGTTTTATTTGATAGAAAGAAGTGATAAGGCACTCTCTTATTTCTCTTTTGTTTGCCCTGTGAATAGTACAGAAGCCTGTTAATTGGTTGATTGGATTCTAGGAGAAAAATGAAATTCGGTATCACCGTACTTGAACCAGACAGCCGGGCGTATTAGACAGATGGCAACAGTCTCCATATTCACTTCTTCCTGGAATCTCTCATATTTTGGCAGCAATTACAATTATTTGCAAGAAATGCCATAAAATGCCAAGTTCTGAGAAAACAAAGAAGGTTTTGTTTCTTAGCTTTCTTCGTTGCTAATAACTTAAATCCTCACATTCACAACAGAAGAGGGCTCATGGAGTACATTAGGAATAATGTGCTTTGACTAGGGGTAAACATGGTAATCAGCAGCCCTTGAGAAAGATCTGCTCGCATTCATGCGGTGAAGGGGAGCCATTAATTGTCTTTCATTCTCACAGTCAAAACTCGTTATTGGTTATGTATACCACTTTTAGTTGCGCATTTGCTATGAATTTTTTTAAACATTTTTAAACATTTTTTAAAATCCAGGCTACCTCAAACCTGTTTGTTACAGCTGCTGAATAAGTGACTTAAACTAGGTTTTTGATCTTGCTGTTCTCCTTCTGTTCAAAAGTCCCTCTTCTTCCGACTCCCCCATATTCTACCCTACTGTGAAATTTACTATAAGTAAATTTACAGATATGCTTCTGTTACACAAAAGTTTTATTTTAAACTTTATGATATTCTTTGTCTAAATGCATATGACCCCTAAAGTTGATGCTACTACTTTGTCAGATAATTATATTTTGTGACAATTCTTATGTTACATTGGTTTGGACTTATAAAACAATGTAATATTTTATGTTTAATAATACAATATCATTTGTTTATTTTATTGTTAATAATACAATATAGTTTGTTTCTTTGAACAAACATTTCTCTTGGGGACAAAGACCATGCTGAAAACTTTTAAATTTTTTTCTATAATGCATAATACAGAAGCTTGTATAAATAGATCAAGTGTTGCTCAAGATACACTTAATAAGTATTTTTGAAATATTTTAAGTCTTTATCATCACCAACAATATAATCAAGTAAATTATTATTTGCTACAGAATTTTGACTTTTCCTCTTCCATTTAATTTCATTTGATGTTTAAAAGTTCCATTTCTTGGCCAGGTGTGGTGGCTCATGTCTGTAATCTCAACACTTTGGGAGGCTGAGGTGGGCGGATCACTTGAGGTCCGGAGTTGAAGACCAGACTGGCCAACATGGTGAAACCCCATCTCTACTAAAAATACAAAAATTAGTTGGGCGTGGTGGTGGGCGCCTATAATCCCAACTACTCGGGAGGCTGAGGCATGAGAATCACTTGAACCTGGGAGGCAGAGGTTGCAGTGAGCCAAGATAGCGCCACTGCACTCCAGCATGGGTGATGGCAAGACTCCGTCTCAAAAAAAAAAAAAAAAAGTTAAAAAGTTGTCATGTATTTAAAATTATGTATTATAAATGATGTAAAATAGTGTACCTTTACATGTAAGAGAAATGTCTAATTTTCCGATATGTGATTTATTTAGTCTTTAAAAATTTTTAAATTGGTTTTTAGATATCAATGAATGCTTGGAGGACAAGAGTGTTTGCCAGAGAGGAGACTGCATTAATACTGCAGGGTCCTATGATTGTACTTGTCCGGATGGATTTCAGCTAGATGACAATAAAACATGTCAAGGTATTTCTTGCTCTTTTTTCCCCAGTCATTATTTACGTAATTCTTCAATTCTGCCATGTTGCCAGATGATAGTCTGTGGTTTTGCCATGTGATTTATATGTAAATAATTTATGTCAATTTTTGATATTAAAATAGCTGTCTTGGGTCCACATCAAGTGCAGGAAGGTGTTGCTTTGTCCAGCATAGTGTCAACTGAAACTCACACGAGTAAGAGCTGTGTCCTCACTGCGTGCTTCCGTCACCTGTACTTTACTGTTTATTCCATGCTGTAACCTTGGTACTGGGTTCTAAATTATCTTTATAGCATCTTTTATGGGCATATTTTATTTTGTCTCATAGGTGGTATTTATCTGTCCTTTTCTGACTCTATTTTTATCCAGTGCCCGCCATTGCTTTTTTTTTTTTTTTGAGACAGAGTCTCGCTCTTGTCACCCAGGTTGGAGTGCAGTGGTATGATCTCGGCTCACTGCAACCTCCACCTCCCAGGTTCAAGCGATTCTCCTGCCTCAGCTTCCTGAGTAGCTGGGATTACAGGCGCCTGCCACCACACCCGGCAAATTTTTGTATTTTTACTGGAGACGGGGGTTTCACCACCTTGGCCAGGCTGGTGTTGAACACCTGACCTCGTGATCCACCCGCTTTGGCCTCCAAAATGCTGGGATTACAGGCATGAGCCACTGCACCTGGCTCACCATTGCTTTTTCTCTTCCTAAAAAGCCTCACTAATAATTTGGTCAAAATCATGAAGAAGAGGATCTTATATTTTTTCAATGTGCTGTCATGTTTAATCTTCCAAACTGTACAGTGCATGAAGGGTACTAATGAAAACACAGCAACACAACACAGGTACTAATAATAACAATCACAGCAGCTGTAACTGAGCTTCTTCAGTGTGCTGAGTACTGTAGGTATCTTGGTATCTCTTCGAATTCTTACAGCAACTTCAGAGGTAGCTTTTCTTGTATTCATTTTGTGCATGAGTAACTGAGGCTCCGAGAAGTTAGGGAGTATGCTGCTCTCTAATGAGTGGTAAAGTTGAGATTTGAACCCAGGGTCTTTTCCCACTACTCTTCCCTACATTGCCATACCAATTATTGTTACATTTATAGCCAAAAGAAAGAAGAAAGTGAAATTAAGTGATTTCTCTCACAAGGTAGCCCATTGAGTCATTTCAACACCATAGCTAAAAAAATTAAATTCTCTAGGTTCTGTATCCCAACATTTTTAGCTATACCTGACTTGCCCCACAAGCTTTCCTCTATTTACTAGTGTTAGTAAACCCATGTTTATATTTTCCATGGAAAATTCACACTTATTTTACCTTTATATCTGTTTATTTTTGATACCCAATAAATGTTATTTTTTTCTTATTGTTTATCTACCATTATGGAACTGTGTAGTGTATCCCAAAGCATAAATAAATAAAAAAAATTGTTGGAGTTACTTTTTACCCACTATTACTGAATATGTATGATTTTTTTAAAATTCTGGATTGCCATAAGTTATATCTCATCTCACATGTCCCAAATAACAGTCTTCTTGTAGGAGAAGATGGTATCTACTCTCTAAGATAGTGGCACTGGAATTATATATCTATATTACCGGTCACACCCAGCCATGTGTCAGAGATATGAAAAACACGGACCTTTGCCACAAGGTTTTTAAAAATTAATTCCTTTACTGATCCAAAGATTTAAATATACACCTTCCTGCACTTGATGTGTACCCAAGACAGATATTTTAAAAATCCCAAGATTTAAATATACCATGTACCTCATTTGAGATCATGTATTTATTTGCCATCCTCATGCAATAAGGTGAAATTCAATTTTTTCCAATGCAGAAATTAAATGTGCTTGGACTTAATGCAAAAGAGAAGGAATATTTGAATTATAAATATATGTGAGAATATTTCCACTTTGGGACTATTACCTTTTAACAAAATGAATCTTGATTTATATAAAAATACCAAGAGATGGAAAAAAAAAAAAAAAGGAAACCAAACCCTGACTCTTGTTTTTATTATAGGCTTTTTGGCTTAAAAGTATATTTTCTTTTCTAATTCTTCTCGTCACAATTTGTTTTGGCCAAATACAGGCAAAACCAAATCTTAATAAAAATGGACCAAGATTTCATATTGCATAAATTTAACTTCTAGAGTTCAGTCACACGGAACTAATTTAGTTATCTGATTCATTAATTGCACTACTTCATTCTCTCAATATATTAAATTTGTGTCTGTGGTTTGATATCACCTCTCAAATATGTGACTACTCCAAACATAGAGAGTTTTATTGACTATCAATCATTATTAAATTGACTTCGTTCTCTGTCACATATATTCCTATTTTCCAGAATAAGTTAATATGTCTGAAAAATGTAAATCCAAATAAATGAGAAGCATTTCTGAAGTAGGTCTTAGTACTGTTTAAAGAATAGTGTCTGTGAATCTGTTTTATCACCCACCACCTCCTGTTAGAAGCTGTATATGATGGCATGTATATACTCACCTCGTTTTGAATTATCCCTTTTCGCTCTTTCACTAGAGGCAGTTTTGTGATCTTTCACTCTGCCTGAAGTTAGTAGCCTACTTTTCTCTAATCCCTTGATCATGTCAGCATTCTGTGGAGAGGTGTAGATTTCAGAGTTTGTTTAAATTCTGAAAATGTAATTGATGGCAATGCTAATAACCATGGACATGTTTGAATAACAGTGTGTGATAGGCATAAACTTTAAACCTTACCTAATGTTCTGAAAATACTTCTATATTCAGTAAGGCATTTTCAGTTGGAAGCGTGTTTAAGATTTTCTTTCCCATACAAAACTAATGATGATATACAGACAGTATGGAAATTCCATGTTAATAGTCTCTTTAGAAATGTGGCAGGATACATTTGAGATTCAGAATGCAGTTCAGTTTCATGTTTTGATTTACGCATGCCAAATTATGAATTTCTGTGGAATCGCGGACCCATGAAAGAAACCCAACTTAAATATAGTCTGGCTTTCAGCTTGAAGTTACTAGCAGCATAGTTTAGAAATGCCTCAATAAGTACAATCCAAATTGAATGCATATGTTTCCCTAGTTCCAAATATTCATGTTGTTCTTTCTTAGCAGTTTCCTGGAAAAAAAAAAAGTCTAGGAATTCATCTTCAGTTCCCGTCATCAAACTTTTTAGACAATTATTTGTGTTAATCAGTGACTTTTTTGATGAAAAAACTTTGTGCACATTATTCCCTATGCAAAGTTGCAAAGCAGGTAGTTTTTAAAGGGCCACACTGAGGCATAGGATAAAATAAGAAGAGGGGTCTCAGGTAGCTATTAGGGCTTAATAAGATGGATATAGGTCCTGAGCTTGATCCCCAAGCCAGTGGAACTTCATGCCACCTTCTTCCTCAGATAGAGGTAATTCTTGGGCAGCAGGTTGGAAATAAAGAGTGGATCTGAGGACCAAAAGGAGGTCAAACTTCAAAAAGGATGGCCAATCTAAGATATTACCAATAGGTAGAGAACAAACATAGACAATGTCAGAGATTTTATCAAAGAAGTAAAGAATTTCACAGAGTAAAATCATATTGAGAAATACATAAGTAGAAAATGATTCATTGACCTTCCTTGAAATATCTAAAAACTAGTGACAGTAACAAGAATAGGAGAATTGTTAAGAAAGTATGAGTAATTCCTGTTGGGTTTCTTATTTTTATTCAGCGATGGACAGGCCAAATAATCTGAATTATGTTGCAGATGGAAGGCTAAAGAGTTCAAGATTAATAAAGGAAGACGTTTAAACCAATAATTGCCAGAATTTCTGTTGCACGGGAAGATCAACAAGTCAAAAAGAAGAGCTTCAGGAGATTCTGGCTGTAGGGAAAGGGATGACTTTATTGAGGACCACTGGGTCAGTGGCTAAGCGTGTTGTAGCAGCCAATAGGAAGAACATACATTCTGTACCTTTTCCCTGTCCTTATTAAGCTTTGCAGTATTCATGTGGGTTCCTGTACTGAAGACCTCTTTTGTAAGAGATAAAGGGAGGGCCTACGAGACTTGGGGAAGATAGGAAAACGACCTTAGTGGAGGTATGCCTCCTGAATGCTGCTGCTAAGGACATGGGATCATTTTTATGACCCCCAATTAACTAAAAGAACCTTCACCAGTCACCATTCAGTTAGCGGAGAAGGAAAATAACTGAGAAATTTTGTGGTGGACAAACATTCATAAGACCCTGCAATGTACCCAATAGGAGTCAGGAACTCAGAGCTTTTCAGCTGAGATCGTTTATCAAGGAGCCATCAGTGTAATGAGGGACACAGATGAGTAAACCAACAATTAGGCAGTTGCATGTATCAGAACCATTGTGAACAGGTGAAACTTTCTCTAGGCGCTTTATGTTGTCATCTTGGGCACTGTTAGCCAATATAATTAGAACTGGTTTGAAAGAGCCTTTTACTTATAGTAAACAGTCCATGTGTTATCAGTGTTTGGAAGTAGCCCTTGACCCTGGCCACGGGGAGCACAATTACACTGAGGACAAGCTGAGCATAAAGTCGACAACACAAGTGTATGGCATGATCTGTTCATGAGTCTTCTTAATAGTAGTTATTGCTTTTTGACGCTTCATTGTGTGGTAGGCACTGCCCTGAGCCCTCATTCGCTGATTTCATCATCGGAAACCATGCAAATACGAATTTTCATGGTCTAAAAGTCCTTCTCAGCCAAGCATGGTGGCTCACCTCTGTAATTGCGGCACTTTGGAAGGCGGAGACAGGAGGATCACTTGAGGCCAGGAGTTCCAGACCAGCCTGGGCATCATAGTGAGACCCCATCTCTGCCAAAAATTTAAAAAATTTGCCAGGCATGGGGCCAGTACCTTAGTGCCAGCCACTCGAGAGGCTGAGGAGAGAGGATTACCTGTGCCCTGGAGTTTGAGACTGCAGTGAGCCATGATCATGCACTGCACTGCAGCCTGGGCAAAAGAGTGAGACCCTGTCTCTAAAATAACTAAACAGGCCTTCTTTTACTTGTATTTTATTTCTATTACCCATTTCCAATGAGTTATAGATTGGAGTCTATTTCATTTATATATTCAGCAGACATTTGTGAAGTGCCATTTATGAGCCAAATACTATAAATAAGACATGTCTAGCCTTGCCCTTAAGAAGCCCACATCCTAGGGATGGATAGGCAGGAATGTAACAAGGTACTACAGACTATAACAGCTGTGTGCATGGCAATGGGAGAGGGCAAAGAAGGACAGCATTCTCACCAATGAAGAGCATCTCTCAGAGTTGTGGAGTATTCCTCAAGCCCCATATGTCTAAAATAAGGGTAGCTTTGGGTTGAACCTATGAAATTGCTTTTTTTGCAGGTCAAAAATGATTGTACATTGGCTATTTCCTAACTCAACCTAAATAGTTTCTCTCTCATAACTCAGCTTGTCCTGTGGTTGATTTATGGACAAATGGTATAGTTGTTCCACTAAATAAATGTCCAGCCATGTCATAATAGATTTATTTGCCATCTGTTTGATAGTATATGGGAATGAAACCGATTTTTTTCAAGTTTTTAAGACTCTATTTTAAATTACAGATATTAATGAATGTGAACATCCAGGGCTCTGTGGTCCGCAAGGGGAGTGCCTAAACACAGAGGGTTCTTTCCATTGTGTCTGCCAGCAGGGTTTCTCAATCTCTGCAGATGGCCGTACGTGTGAAGGTAAGATAAACCATACGAAATCATATTGTTGTGTGATAAAAGAGAGAGGAGATTGCTTTCACTTATACAAAGACTTGAAGACACTAAGAGGTACTGCATAATTCAGAGCCTCAAAGCATGTATGCATCAAAGTAAACCATATCTGAAAGCATAGCTCAGGGGTTGCTGGGATTTACGAAGAGGATAACCTAAGGTTATGATGATAAAAACACTCACAGATGGCTCCACGACTGGTACTGAATTAATGAGTGGAAATGTGCAAGGACTGATAGGAGACATGTAGGAGACCTAAAGGAAAACTGTGGCAACTTCCCTTTCCCCTGGGACTCTGCTTCTTTTGATTGTGCTTCATGTAGATCGTCTTGATCATTCTGTGTGTAAAAAATGTCTTGCGGCTGGGTGCGGTGGCTCACACCAGCACTTTTGGAGGCCCAGGCAGGTGGATCACTTGAGATCAGGAGTTGAAGACCAAGCCTGGCCAACATGGTGAAACCTCATCTCTACTGAATATACAAAAATTAGCCAGGTGTGGTGGTGGGTGTCTGTGATCCCAGCTACTTGGGAGGCTGAGGCAGGAGAACCACTGTAACCCAGGAGGCAGAGGCTGCCGTGAGCCGAGATGGCACCATTGCACTCCAGCCTGGGCGACAAGAGTAAGACTCCGTCTAAAAAAGAAAAAAAGAATGTCTTGCTTGATTTTTCTGTATCACTGTGAACAGATCTTCTAGAATTCTTCCCCTAATATCCTTATTTCCAAGGCAGTATATTTACTTACCTACCAGTATTTATTATCTCCTAAAAGCTAATTAAGTTGTAAGATGTTAAGATAATGCTCTTGGCTTCCTACTTACAACCTCTGTATGTTTGCAAGAATACAGCACTGGTTATTTTCATAAGATTTGTGTTCTTGATGATAATTTACCTGAACCATTTTAAAAGTAAACTGAAAAGATTCCCATAATCATAATTTCAGTTGATCTCTTTTGAGAATCTAGATTATTGAAACTCAGCTATATTTTAAAGAAGTAAATTGCAAAAGTTTTGTTCTGGGTCTAACATAGTGCCCAGATTCTTTGCTCTAAAAAATAGTGCAACAGGAAGTATCTGCTCTCCTTGCTAGTACCAGAATGGAACCAAGCCGTGTGCCAGCAACCAGGTTCATCTGAAACTAATTATTATATTGGGAGGAATAAACTGATCTTGTAAAGAGCAGAAGATTGTTGAAATTACTCTCCTGCTGAGCAGACAAAACATGGATGCCAGATTTGACTAGAACTGGGAGAGAGAGAGTTCAGGGTGGATTGAGCAAACAGATTGAGGGGTTTGGAAGGGATAGGAAGTTGGGAAATGGAAGAAAGCATCATAATAATGTGGGTGATGAGAGATTTAGAAGAAATCCCTGCTTCAGTGGTTCAAGTTTTATGTAAATTTTATATTTGGGGCTTTGAGACCAGAGCTTTTAGCAAAGACACTCCATGAATGCATACATTCTTCTGCAGAGATTACAGTATTCCTCAGCTTGAGGGATAGGGTGCAAGCCCATCCGAGTCACTGAGGAAACAGATTTGCAGAATTCCTAAGCTCTAGAAGGATGCAGGTTTGCTTCTTTGCTTAGCTCTAAATCATGGATGGTAAAGGCTTGCTTCCTAAGAAATGGTCTGTGGTATAACTACTGATGGTTGTGCCATGCAAAATTATATTCAGAAAAAAAAATAAGTGACCTCAAGTGCTCCCTAGTCAAAGCTGTTGTTCCAAAAGAATATACTAAACATAAATATATTCACAATTATTTTGTCTTTTGCACTTACTAATGATTTAATTCTGTACTTTTTTAACACAGATTTCTGCAACTTGAGAGTTGCATAATCACTGTAATTTAGTTGCAGCTCTAATTTTGTTGGTCATTTACTTGGCAAAGACTTGAATTTAAAAATGTGGTTTTAGGAAACTTGTAATGCTTTATAAATTACTGTACTCATTGAGTATACTCTTTGTGACACCTGGTCTGTACTGCCTTGACTCCAGAACCTGGACAATTTTATAAGTAATGAAATACAAGTTAGAATATTATGTTGGTATTATACATGGTAGTATAACTAGAACTCTCCGTAATTATTATGCATGTTATTCTCTTTCTGGAGTAAGTTCTGCATGAATTTTATTTTTTATGGGCTTAATCCAATATTCTAAATTGGTCCAAATTTCCCTTTGTTAGACTCAGTCTGACACTTATGGCAGTAGTGCTATGTCCTGATTTCTACCTCTGGCTGTGCTGCAGGACAAAGCCAGCTCATGTGATCAGTATTCAGCAGTGAGGCTGATGTGTGATTGAAATTTAGCAATGGAGCAGTTGTACATAGTACTTGAATTAACACTGAGAAGTGGCTGGCATTCTTATCTCATGTCCATTTACTGATTTTCTTCTGAGCTTCTGTTTGAGGAGCTGAAGCCTCGTTGACACCAGGGCTGACCTGCCCGGCTCTAAGCAGGGCTAAATAACTCCCACATAGCTGAAGGAAGGAGGGCCCTTCCCTGATTTCCCGTGACTTGGAGAAGTGTCAGCATCTGGTCGTAGTTAATGAACCACAATGAAGAGGCAAACTCTGTCAACATGAATTGTCTTTAAGTGTAGCATGGCAGCTTCTATAGCAATAAAAATGGCACCACTGGCTCCTTCCTTTCTCTTACATGTATAGATTGAGTATTCCTCATCTGTAAATCCAAAATCTAAAGCACTCCACATTCTAAAACTTTATGAGTGCAGATGTGATGCTCAAAGGAAATGCTCATTGAGCATTGCAGATTTTAGATTTTTGGATTAGGGATGCTCAACAGGTAAGAATAATGTACACATTCCAAAATTACCACCACCCCCCAAAAAAAATCCCAAATCTGAAATACTTCTAGCCCTAAGCATTTTGGGTAAGGGATACTCAACCTGTATATGGTACTCTGGGATAGATAGCTGGGAGAGGAAGGAGAAACACCGTGGTTCTCCCATGTAAGGTAAAGAATGGTGTAATTCACAGTTCAAGTGAAGTGGGAAGTAGGTGGTGGGTGGGCAGCTATTTGTCATTTATTCACTCACGTAACCGGTATTTACTGAGTTCCTATCTGGTTCCAGGCCTTGTTCCAAGGGTAAAACATACAATTCTTGCCTCCATGAAGCCGACATTCCACTAGGGGAATTGGGGATAAAGAAGCCAATGGTATGTGTAGGATACATTAAGTGTTTATAACACAGCATAGTTACCCTTTCTGGATATAAATAAGTGCAGAGTGTAACGTGTCATATATAATATAATACACAGGATATTTTTTTCAAATCCCAGACTTAGATGTCAGGAAATTGCAGGGGAACAGGACTCTTCTGATTGACTTCTGCTACACTTCCCTTTCCTCTCTCAGTTATAGTTCATCTCCTCCTGCCACCTTCCTTTCACGCTATAGCCAGAGCTTTTATCTTGTGTATTAAAACAAAGGAAACTTTTTCTTTCACTCAACTCGTTGTTTTATGGTCCATTTGATCATATCCATTTGTTTAGCAAAAAATCATAATTCTTTTGCCTTTTTATTTCTGCCCTTTTTTATTGTGGAATTTTAATTCACATGAAAAATACTCATCATCAAGCCTGGGCAACATAGCAAGACTCTGTCTCTACAAAGAAAAATTTTTTTTAATTAGCTGGACATGGTAGCTCATGTCTATAGTCCCAGCTACTCAGGGGACTGAGACGGAAGGATCGCTTGAGCCCAGGAGTTCAAGGCTGCAGTGAGCTATGGTTGCACCACTGTACTCCAGCCTGCGTGACAGAACCAGACCCTGTCTCTTAAAACAAAAAATCTGACCAGGCACAGTGGTTCACGCCTGTAATCCCAGCACTTTGGGAGGCCAAGGCAGGTGGATCACCTGAGGTCAGGAGTTCGAGACCAGCCTGGCCAACATGGTGGAACCCCGTCTCTACTAAAAATACAAAAATTAGCTGGGTGTGGTGGCAGGCACCTGTCATCCCAGCTACTCATGAGGCTGTGGCAGGAGAATCACTTGTACCCAGGAGGCAGAGGTTGTAGTGAGCCGAGATTGCGCCATTGCACTCCAGCCTGGGCAACAAGAGTGAAACTACATCTCAAAAGAAAAAAAAAAATCCTTATCATTGCATTCATAAGCTGATTTGAGATTCGGTCTCTTCATCATCAGTAGAATGTGTGTGGGAGAAAATTAGGGAAACTTAATGGTAATCAGATTCCTAGGGGTCACCACGTCTGTCCCCATGGCCCATGGGGAAAAACCTCCTGATCTCTGACTTTGTGTCACCTCTTTTCCATGCCTCCTTCCTTGCTGCACTTGGCCAGGAACAACTGCGCTCTCCCAGTCGTGTGCCCAGGCTGAGCAAGGGCTTGTGTGACTGCCGTGGAGTCCGGCACACCCCCCATCTCTAGGCTCCCTGTGCACTCTATCCTGTTCACATGATACAGCGGCCATGTTCATCTAGCAGGGACCCCAAGGAGCCCAGCCACACAGAGGGAGCACCAGCAGCTTATAGGACCTGGCACTTTTCCCTCTGGTGTTGGCCAGGCTTGGTTAGTCATGGCTAATTAGGCCTCCAAACCATGGCCAAAATCACTCCCTGAAGTATTGTCTTTTAGAAAGCATCCTCATTCATTCCTTCGTTTGACAGATATTTATTAAGTGTCTACCTGTGTGCCATCCACTGTTCTAGGTACTGGGGCCTTGTCAGTGAAGAACAGCAAAAGATCCCCACTTACTTAGAGGCAATAACTAATAGATAACTAAGATGTTAGAAAGTGTGATAAAGGCTGGGCATGGTAGCTCACACCTGTGATCCCAAGCACTTTGGGAGGCTGAGGCGGGTGGATCACTTGAGGTCAGGAGTTCGAGGCCAGCTTGGCCAACATGGTGAAACCCTGTCTCTACTAAAAATACAAAAATTAGCTGGTTGTGGCCGTGCACACCTGTAATTCCAGCTACTCAGGAAGCTGATGCACGTGAATTGCTTGAACATGGGAACTGGAAGTTGCAGTGAGCCAAGGTCACACCACTGCACTCCACCCTGGTGACAGAGCAAGACTGCCTCAAAAAGAAAAAAAAGCGTGATAAACTCTGTGAAAAAAAAAAAAAAAGAAAAGGTAGAGCACAATATGGGGGACCTGAAGGGTAGAGAAAGAAGTGGAAAGCTGCTTTGATGCTAACTGGGGTGGTCAGAATCGGCTTTTCTGCTTCTGTAAGTGAAAGAAATACTGAAATTTTCTGAGTGAAGAAATGAAGCCATATGAAGTGCCTGTCATGTTCAAACTGGTCTTCTACTGGCGAAGTGATAAAAGCCCATCAATAAATAGGTAAGGGAGCATGAGATGGCAGCCGAGGACTTTCTTGCAGCTGTCAACATGAATTCTATTGTCCAGACAAGAATAGAAAATCAGATAAAGTACAACGCCAAGAGTTGTAAACACTTGATGTAAACTATGGACTTTGGATGATAATGATGTAAGAGTTCATCAGTCATAACAACTGTATGTACCAGTCTGGTGCAGGAGACTGGCAGTGGTAGATGCTGGGGGCTGGTGTGAGGAAGACAGGATATAAATGAAAACTCTCTGTGTAATCTTATTGGGAACCTAAAACTGCTCTTAAAGTCTTTTTGAAAACTCAGACATATTTTTGGCATTACCTTTTTTTTATTGGAAAGGAAAAATGAAAACCTTTCATTTTATTAATAATTCTATATTCCACTCCTGTATTTTCTTCTCTTGGATGATGATGGTGATATTATTTCTCACTTTTCAAAATAATACCCTGGACTGAGTATGGGATCAGCAGCTTCTCCTCCTAGTTTTCAAAAATGATTCTACTATTTGATTGAAAAATTGAGCACTGCAAGACTGGAAGAGGGCTTCTTGTCACATCTAGCCTGAACTCTGACTCCCACAGTATACCCAAAGTATTCAGGAATCAAGTCCTATTGCTAAACATCTATAGAGACTCTAACCCCATAACCTTCTTAGGTATTTACTATAAATCACTCCTTGCTTACACATTCATCTGAAATGGAAACCGGTAAAAATTGCCAATGCGTTGACGTGTACTGAAAGTAGTGATATCACAACCGAGAGAAGGTGGATTCAAACTCTCAGGCTAATTTTGTATTCATTGGGAACCAGAAAACACAAGAAAGACAACATTGCCAAATCAAAAAAGTAACAAATTGGGAGCAGACGTGGGGTTTGTTTTCACACTTCTAGGTACATTTTCTATGAACGGGGGAGAATGAAAGCATAAAGCCGTGGACAGTGCCCCAAGGCAGTTGGTGGTTTTGTGGCATGGATATAGAACTTTATATCTGTCACCAAATAGAAAATGCTTTTGAAAATGACTCAGCCAAGTGGGATGCTGAAGAACTCTGATGCAGTAATGTGTTACATGTGGTGTGCTTAGCCCAAGATTTTCAGGTTTTTAAGAGTTTTCGGGTCTGAAACTGAAAACTGTACTAAGAGATGATGATTTTAGTATTTCTT
The DNA here is from genome assembly GCF_000001405.40 of Homo sapiens. NCBI lineage: Eukaryota > Metazoa > Chordata > Mammalia > Primates > Hominidae > Homo > Homo sapiens. Next base: position 33,321,804 of record NC_000002.12, read on the forward strand.
AGTAGAGAGAATTTTAACAACAGAATCCACTCTCTTCCATGTGTAAAAAGAAAAAGGATCATACAACATTCTAGGTAAAGAAAGAAAGTGGCTTCCAGCTATAAAAGCTACTGTTCACACTCACTCTTCCTGTGAATGTACTTCTGCAGAAGTGAGTGAAAATGAATGTTTAAATCATTAGGGAGAAAGCTGAGGAAATTTTTCTGGAATGAGTTGCTTTTGGACTTGAAATGCAGATTTTCCATGCATTGCTTGATTGTCTTCCATATATCAACATTTGTATAAAGAAATTCATAATAGTAGCAAAAAATTTGAGATCTCTTCCTAAGCCTTTTTTTTTTTTTATCACTGCTGACCTTTTCAAACCCCAGAGCTATGGAAATCATCTGTTCATAGAAGGAGAAGTAAACACTTGCCTTGCAGCCAAAAAATAGGCAGAAGACTGCCAGAAAGTGAAGTCTGTGACTAGGCTAGCTGACCTTGCATACCGTATGCTGACATCCACTCATGCTCTGGTGCTGGGCGTCCTACATCTGACTCCTTTGATGTCAACAACCCGAGTCCTTTTTAGATCATGGAAGGTTATTGTAAGCAGTGTTTTTGTACTTGAGACCTAAACTGTAATGCTTCATACACATATTCCAGAAACAGTTACTTTTTAGACATGTGATAGAATATTAAGCAACTATCTTGGTCTCCCACTATGAGTGGACTGGAGATACATTATATATCTGATTGCATGATTTTATTAAAACAGTAGCAAGAATAATGTATAATAGCATTCACTGAGTTCTTATTACAAGCCAGGCACTATGCTAAGTGCATTGCACCTGTCTTCTCATTTAATCTTCACAATAAATCTGTAAGTAGGTTAAGTATTAATTGGTTTAATTTTGGCTGCAACAAACAGCTTAGAATGAGGGCATTTATTATACGAATGAGAAGTATAGTACAAGATTGTTACCTCTTGCCTCCTGTAGGTCCGTATTTAAATGCTGTTTCCTTAGTGAACCGGTTTCTGACCGTTCTTTCTCAGATTCACTCACCGTGTAATGAATGAATTAATTCACTTCCTGTTCTTTTTTCCTTTTGCTTTTTTTATTTCTTTACCACCTTATTCTACTTCTTTACCTTGTTTATTGTTCTTTGTCACACTCCATTGCTAGACTTTAAGGCCAGTGAGATCGGGATTGTTTTCTGTATTTTTTACAGCTCTGTATGCCATTGGGAATACAGATGCTACTCAATTTATGATAGGGTTATGTCCTCATAAATGGAAAGTCAAAAATGCATCAAATACACCTAACCTACCGAACATTATAGCTTAGCCTAGCCTGCTTCTAGCACATTCTAAACGTGCTCAGAACACTTACACTAGCCTATAGTTAGGCAAAACCATCTAGTACAAAAAAAACCCGATTTTATAATAAAGTGTTGAATATCTCATGTAATTTATTGTACTGAAAGTGAACAGAATGGTTATATGGGAACTCGAAGTACAGTTTCTACTGAATGCATATTGCTCCTGTACCTTCATAAAGTAAAAAAATCGACTAGGCGCGGTAGCTCACACCTGTAATCCCAGCACTTTGGGAGGCCGAAACAGGCAGATCACCTGAAGTCAGGAGTTCGAGACCAGCATGGCCAACATGATGAAACCCCATCTCTACTAAAAATGCAAAAAATTACCCAGATGTGGTGGCACACACCTATAGTCCAGCTACTTGCGAGGCTGAGGAAGGAGAATCGCATGAGCCTGGGAGGCGAGTGAGCTGAGATCACACCATTGCATTTCAGCCTGGGTGACAGAGCAAGACTCCGTCTCAAAACAAACAAACAAACAAAAAATCATAAGTGGAACTATCCTAATTTGGAGACCATCTGTAATTAGTTGGGGCACAATACGCATTTGGCAAATGAATCAAGGGAGGAAGGGACAGTCTGTAGCTCATCCTGGAGTACTAGGAAACATTCTTAATAAGATTACTCCAAACTGAATGTGATGTACACTTCTGTGAAGCCTTCCCTATTTTTTGAAGACTTAATTCTCTAATGCACACCCTGCATAACTACTGGGTGTAGTAGTGGCTAAGAAGTTATGCTGGTGAGTTTGGCTACATGGGCTTGAACTCTTGTTCCAGCACTTCTAAGCTGTGTGAACTTGGTGAGTGCTTCAGTTCCCTCTCTGTATAGTAAGAATAATAATAGCACCTACATGGAGTTGATGTGTGTTGGCAAGTATCCGCCGAGAATGGAGTAGCCCATAGAACATACTCAATGAATGTGAGCTATTGTTACTATTTTAGCATTTCTTATACTGGTACCTTAGTTACAGCAGTCCTTCCTTATCTGCAGTTTTACTTCATGTGGTTTTAGTTACCATGGTCAACCACAGCCTACAAATATTATAGTATTTTGAGAGAGACTACAATCACATAACTTTTGTTACAGTATATTGTTATAATTGTTATAACAATTGTTATAATTGTTATAATTTTAATTATAATATAATCACAGTATATTATTACTATTAATTCTTACTGTGCCTAATTTATAAATTAAACTTTATCATAGGTATGTATGTATGTATGTATGTATGTATATATATGGAAAAAAACACAGTATATATATATGGTTCAGTACTATTTGTGGTTCCAGGCACCCACGGGGGATTTTGGAACACATCCTCCACCAATGAAAAGGAATGATTGCATTGTCATTGGTTTCCTTATTATGTGAGCATCTAAAAGGAGGGAAACATTTAACAACTATTTTATTTTTATATTGTCAATGCTTACAACATATATAACATGCAGATTAAATACATACTTGTGAATGAAATTGTATGGTATTTCCAAGTTCATGTCCTGATATTGATGAATTACTGTATTCTATCTTTTTTTTTTTTTTTTTTTTGAGACGGAGTCTCCTTCTGTCACCCAGGCTGGAGTGCAGTAGCGTGATCTCGGCTCACTGCAACCTCCGCTTCCTGGGTTCAAGTGATTCTCCTGCCTCACCCTCCTGAGTAGCTGGGACTACAGGCATGTGCCACCACACCCGACTAATTTTGTTTGTTTGTTTTTAGTAGAGACAGGGTTTCACTCTGTTAGCCGGGATGGTCTCTATCTTCTGACCTTGTAATCCACCCACCTCGGCCTCCCAAAGTGCTGAGATTACAGGCGTGAGCCACCGCACCTGGCCTCTATTTTTAAACCCCATATTTATTTTAAATCATATAGAATATAGTGTAGTAATTCATTTATATATAATTTGCTTTAATTCTTCACCCTTTGTTTTCCCTGAGAGTTTCATATGACTCTTTTCCATTCACCCACAAAGTAGTTCCAGCTTTAAGTCATTCCCTGTATCAAGGGCTAGTAAGCTGACAGCCAGCACTGATGCTTGTTTGCATTTGAGCATTGGAGCTCTTATTTCTAGAGGTACACTGTCTATTTTCTGTGGTTTTATAACTGATCTTTCTTGGCCTCCTATTTGAATATAGAAAGAGAAAAATTAGAAAATATAGAAAAAAGTGAGAATTTTTTGGCTGATTTTATGTTGCCTCTGAGGCCTAAGTGTCAAAAAGATGAATCTGGGGTTTGATATGTTTGGCCTGTCTGTAGGGCTTTCTCCCAGTCCTCACTGGCAGCACCTTTTAGTGTAAGAAAAGCTGTATGAAAAGAGAAAGCGTACAGCATGGATCTAAATTTAGAAGACATTTATTTTTCTTAATCCCAGATATAAATACGTAAAACTATTACATTAATTCCGAGACTATCCAGTGGTTATATATAATTATGTAAAGACAAAGTAATAGAGCCTTTTAAAAACTTAGAACAGTGTAAAACAAAATGTATATTTCACATTTATCTTTTGTGAGTAATTGGAAGAAATTTACAAATGAAGTTAAGATTTTCCCTTAATACCTAAAGAACTGTTTCTGAACATCGTGGAATTTATTTATAATGGAGCTAAAACACTCCACTTTTTTGACATTGTTCCTTATTTCATAGTAAACTGTAATTCTTTACCTACAGGTGTAGAAAGGTGGATTTTGGGGGCTTTCTTCTTTTTTTCCTTTAAAAATTTTAGAAGTATTTCTTTTCTATAACAAATTCAAACCTTCCTCATACACTTTTTCTGTTTTATAACACTGTCAGCCCATGGTAGAAAGAAATAGGAAGAAAATGTCTTTAAATTTAGAAATATACTTTGGTTCTCTTTTTCTGTAAAGAATCACAGATGACTTATAGTGTTTATAGTTTTTGCTTTTGTTAAAAAAAAAAACAGTGTTTTGTGTTTCATTAAATATATACTACTTTTCAGTCTAATTCAGAATATTGCTTTAAAATGTCCCAGATACTCAGTTTTGAATTTTCATGTATAATATCAAGGTTTTATTATAATTGAACAAACATCTGGCACACACAATGGCTTTCTCACGCAGCACCTCTCAACTCCACCCCGTTTCTCCATTCATGGAGTGGGGAAGATACATGCCCAGCACAAACTGCGTGTTTGCAAAGCTGTTAATGACATAAATGTCCTTTCCAGATACAAAACCTGAGCTTTGTGAGCTCCCTCAATGAGGAAAACTGTTTGAAACAAACCACTTTCCCCATTTTCCTGGTCATTCACTGAATGAGCTTGTTGATACAGTTCGAAATGTAAATGCTGGCATACTTTTATTGGATTAAAAAAAAAACAATCTAAACTGACTTCAGTCATGAGGATATTCATTCTTGACCTTATTTGGGATGATAAAGAGAGAATCTTCTATACATTTACCCTGCTTTTTTGTCTTCAAAGCCTACTGAAAATGAGAATGAGGGATATAATTTATTTATTTATTTATTTATTTATTTATTTTTTGGAGGCCGAATCTCGCTCTGTTACTCAGGCTGGAGTGCAGTGGTGCAATCTCAGGTCATTGCCGCCTCCGCCTCCTGGGTTCAAGCGATTCTCCTGCCTCAGCCTCCCCAGTAGCTGGGATTACAGGCACGTGCCACCACACCTGGCTAACTTTTGTATTTTCTTAGTAGGGAAGGGTTTCTTTCACCATGTTGGCCAGGCTGGTCTCAAACTCCTAACCACGTCAGTCTCCCAAAGTGCTAGGATTACAGACATGAGCCATTGCACCTGGCTGATATAATTTAAATACTTTAATAATTCTTAGGACTCTTGGCTGTTCAAAAAAATCAAGATGTTTAAAAATGCATTTTAGATTTTACTCCTCTGTAAAAAACCATTTGCTGTTTATTTTTAAACGTTTGAAAGGACATGTGGAGTGGGGAAAGGAACCAGGCCTTGGAGCCCACTCTCAGTGGTTCAGATAGACTCTGGGAAGGGGGTGAGTCCAGTGAGGACCCTGGAGACCTGGACTGATCCAGACCCAGTGTCTCCTTATGAATGCTTTACAGTAAACTATGACCTATCTTTTGAACATGAAATAGGTCTTACTTCCGTCTTCTATCATTTTTTAAAACATTCATAATTCCAAAGCCTGATGTCTTAGAATTATTACTAGGATTGCATTCTCTTCTGAATATATAACAATGCTGTTATACTTCTAAGAAAACGATTTTTTTTAATGACATAATAATTCTCCATCACCTTCTACAAGACTAAAGAACAATAGAATACTGAAGACAGAGGATTCAAATAACTCCCATGACATAGAGTGGGTCATGTACAAATGGAGTTGAGTTTTTAAGGAAAGATATAGTAAATTACATATGTTTCTTATTTTTGCTTATATTCCTATTTTAAAAAAAGTAGCTTGACTTCATTTTGCAGTTGGAGAAAAATAAGTTATAGGGTATTAGAATGTCTTCCAATAAGCAGATAGGAAGTGGTGGTCAAGATGACTACTCAGAGTGCCTTAATATTTCAGTCTAATATATATGCCACAATACCTGTAACCCATGGGAAATAGAAAAGCAAAGTTAGCTTTTGAAATGGTAAGAGAGTCTCTAACCAGGAAATGCAGCAGTGTGGATTATCTCTTTTTTTTTCAGTAAACATTCAAGTTGGTGTTTAAAATGCATGTAGAGGGCCGGGTGCAGTGACTCACGCCTGTAATCCCAGCACTTTGGGAGGCTGAGGTGGGTGGATCCGAGGTCAGCAGTTCGAGACCACCCTGACCAACATGGTAAAACCCATCTCTACTAAAAATACAAAAATTAGCCAGGCATGATGGCACACGCCTGTAATCTCAGCTACTTGGGAGGCTGAGGCAGGAGAATTGCTTGAAACCGGAAGGTGAAGGTTGCAGTGAGCCGAGATCACGCCACTGCACTCTAGCTTGGACAACAAGAGTGAGACTCTGTCTCAATAAATAAATAAATAAATAAATAAATAAATAAAATAAAAATAAAATGCATGTAGAAAAGTGCCTAAATCATAAGGCCACCACTTGACAAGCATTTATAGTGAGCATACCTGGTAACCAGCCCCCTGAACCTCCCTCAAACTTCCTCGTGATTATTCCCCACCCTCATATCCAATACTCATACATAGCACTTACCACTATCCTGACTTCATTATTGTAGATTCGTTCTGCCTGGTGTATTAGTCTGTTCTCTGCTAGAACACTGCTAGGAAGAAATACCCAAGACTGAGTAATTTATAAAGGAAAGAGGTTTAATTAATTCACAGTTCATTGCTGGGGAGGCCTCAGGAAACTTACAGTCATGGTGGAAGGCAAAGGAAGAGCAGGTACCTTCTTCACAGGGCGGCAGGATGGAGTGAGCGCAAGCAGGGAAAATGCCAGACACTTAAAAAATCATCAGGTCTCATGAGACTTACTCACTATCATGAGAACAGCATTGGAGAAACCGCTCCCATGATCCACTTGCCTCCACCTAGTTCTGCCCTTGACACATGGGGATTATGGGGATTACAATTCAAGGTAAGATTTTGGGTGGGGACACAGCCAAACCATATCACCTGCTTTTGAACATTAGCTACATGTAATCATAATATGTACTCCTTTGTGTCTGGCTTCTTTTATTCAACATTGCATTTGTAAGCTTCGTCTGTCTTGTCATGTGTAGTAGTCCATTTATTTTCATTGCTATATAGTATTTCATTGTATACTACATTATGTATCCATTCTACTGTTGATGGTCATTTGGCATGCTTCCTATGTGAGGCTGTTGTGAATAAACTTCCTGTGAATATTCTTGAACATGACTTTTCATGGGCATAATCACTAATTTCTGTTGGATATCACTAAGAAGTATAATTTCTGGGTCATAAAATGTATGTATGTTTCACTCACATATATATAGCCAGTTTTTCAGAGTACCAGTTTACACTGCTACCAGCAAAGGGTTAAGAGTCTCAGATCCACATTATCATCAATAATTGGTATTGTCATTCCTCTTAAGGTTTAGCCATACTGAGTAAAGGTATCTCATTATGGTCTCAATTTGTGTTTCCCTTGTGAAGATATATCTTTAACAACTTATCATACCTTTATTGGCCCTTTGGATATTGTTTCTGTTATCTAATTCTGCATAAGAAACTTCTTCCAAATGAAGTGCTCAAAACAACTATTTTAATGGCAACTTCAGGTGAACTCAAGTTGTTAATTTTAATGAAGTCCAGTGTTTTAATTGTTTTATTTCAGATCAGTATTTTTTATGTCCAGAATCTTTGCAAACCCTAAAGTCATTAAGGTACTGTTATGTTGTCTTCTGATAGCTTTATTGTTTCACATTTTAAATTTGGATTTGTAAGGCCCCTGAAGTTTTTTTGCATATGGTGAGAAATAGGGGTCAAGATTTCTTCATTTCCTAAATGGACATCAAATTAGGTCATCACTGTTTATTGAAAAGAGTGCCTTTTTCCCACTAATATGAATTTTTTTTATTAACCATAGAGTCAGATATATATGAATATATTTCTGCATTATTCATATTATTTAATAGGTTTATCTGTCTTTGTACCATTTGTACATTGTCCTAGTTACAGTAGCTTTATAATAAATTTTAATGTTTTCTGCTGTCAGTTCTAACTTCTTCAATTCTGTTCTTGAGATTGTCACAGCTATTCTTGGCCCTTTGCATTTCTATATAAATTTTATAATCAGGTGATCAATTTTTACAAAACTCTGCTGGGATTTTGATTGGAATTGAGTTGAATCAATAGATCAATTTGGGGAGGTTTGGCATTTTACAGTATTTAGTCATCTAATCTGTGAATACAACACACCCCTTTATTAGGGTTTCCTTCATTTGTCTTAGTGTTTTGTTGGAGATTTTTGTATAAAGTCTTTCACAGCTTATTTAAGACTTATTCCTAGGTCTTCAAGATTTGCATGTGGTTGTGAATGGTATTAAAATTTTTTTACCCTTATAATTGTTTGTTACCAGTATATAGAGCTAAATTTGATTTTTGTACATTGAACTTGTATCCATGACCTTGCTAAATCTGCTTGTTAATTCTAGCAGTTTATATGCAGATTTCTTTGCATCTCCCACATATACAATTATGTTGTATAAGTAATGCTAGTTTTATTCCTTCTCTTCTGGTAAGCATACTTTTATTTCCTTTTCATGTCTTACTGTACTGTCTAGGACCTCTACTGCAATGTTGACTAGAAGTGGTGACAGCTTGCTTGTCTCTTTCCTGATATCAGCAGCAAAGACATTTAATATGATGCTTGCCATAGGTTTTTTTTTTCTTAATAGATATTCTTTATCAGATAAAGAAGTTCCCTTATATATCTAGTTTGCTAATGTTCTTTATCATGCTTGGTTTTGAATTTTAACAGATGGTTTTTCTGCATCTGTTGAAATAATTACATTATTTTCTTCTTTATTCTGTTAATGTGGTGAATTACATTGACTGGATTTTAAAACAAGATAAAAATTTGTTTTCCTTATAGCAGTCTAAGCTTCAGTAATCTAGGGCTGATAATACAGGTCTATAATACAGGGACCCAGACAATATCTTTTTTTTTTTGCTTTGTTCTTCCGGACTCAGGTTTTCTCTATCATGGTCTCAAAAAAAAAAAAAAAAATCCTTGAAGAATTCACCGGTAAAGTCATTTGTGCCTGGAATGTTTGTTTTTGTTTCCTTTTGTTTTTGTGCCTATGCATTATAAACATTTTTAAATTGCAGTTAAGATTTCATTAATAGATAAAATAATATTCAGGCTTTTGACTTTTCATGTCAGTTTCAGTAAGTTTTGTTTTCCAAGGAATTTATCCATTTGGGTAAAATTTCGTTTTTATTTGCACAAAATTATTTATAATATCCTCTTCTCTGTATATATGTAGTGATCTTTTTTAAAATTTCAGTAATTTGTGCTTATGTTTCGCTCTTGATCAGTTTTCCTAGGGTTATTAGTCATTTCAAAGAAACAACTTATGTGGATTTGTTTCCTTTGTTTTCTATTTTATTAATTTTTGCTTTTATATTTATTATTTTTTCTATATTTTTTATATTTACACTTTGGGGTTTAAATTGTCTTTATTTCTAACTACTTGAAGTAGATCTTTAAATCATTAGATTATCAATCTTCTAATATTTGTATTTATAGGTATATATTTCTTTCTAAGAATGGCTTTATCTGCTATCCATAAGTTTTGATATGTTGTATTTTGTTATTTACATAAAATATTTCTAAAGTTCATTGTCATTTTTTTCCTTTGACCAATGAATTATTTAGAAGTATTTCACTTAATATCCAGATGTTTGGGTATTTTCTGGTTAACTTTTTGTTACTGGTTTCTACCTTAAAACCACTATGGCCAGAGAATATACTCTAAATGACTTCAATCCTTGAAATTTGTTATGGCACAGAATATTATCAATTTTAGTAAATAGTCCTTGTCTGCTTGAAAACAATTTATATTATGCGGCTGGACCTATATGTCAATTAGGGCCAGTTTGTAAGTTGTGTTGTTAAAATCATCTATATCCCTACCGATTTTTTGTCTGCTTACTATATAAATGACTGAGGAGTATGTAAGAAAACTACATGTATGTAAGAAAACTCGGCTAGATTAAAAAGCATTTTAAAGGGTTTTATGTGTATTTTTTTGTTTTGAGAGTTTTGGGTTTTATTTGCTTGTTTGTAATTGCAATTGTTGAGAATTGCAGTGACCTCCTAACTTAAATATGTGTATACTATTAATTAATAATTATCAGTAGCATTTTATCTTACATAATATAATTTCAAGCAAAACACTTCATCTTAAAACAAGATTTTATTTTCATTCAGAAAAAATAAAACGTTGCAAGTTTTCAATATTTTAAAAATATTTATGAATAGGTATTTTATTTTTGTTTGTACAGTTGTATTTCACTCAAATGTTTATTCCTGTTAGGGTGGAATATATATTTATACACAAGCAAAATAATTAAAATACTTATTTAAGTATCCTCAAATAGTAGATTGCAAGTATGTGATTTTTCTGATTTTAAGAGTAACATAAGCCAGGTGTGGTGGTGGGTACCTGTAGTTACAGCTACTTGGGAGGCTGAGGTGGGAGGATCATTTGAGCTTAGGAGTTTGAGGCCAGGCCAGCCTGGTTGATGTAGTGAGACACCATCTCCAAAAAAAAAAAAAAAAAAAAAAAAAAGAGAGAGAGAGACAGAGACACTCTCATTATAGAAAATTTAGAAAATTCTGAGAAATATAAAGAAAAAAATCATTTATCAACCAGTGTTAATTAATGTTAATATTTGACATATTTCTTAATAGTTTTTAGCATTTAAAAATGAAATTATATACTTTATTTATTTAATTTTTTTTTTTTATATGGAGTCTTGCTCTGTCGCCCAGGCTGGAGTGCAGTGGTGCTATCTGGGCTCACTGCAAGCTCCACCTCCCGGGTTCACGCCATTCTCCTGCCTCAGCCTCCCAAGTAGCTGGGACTACAGGCGCCCACCACCATGCCCAGCTAACGTTTTTTGTATAGGATTAATGAGAGGGAGGAGGAGGGAAGACTGTTTTGACTGAAGGATCTCTCTAAAGAAACAGCATTTGAGCTGAGCTCAGGGCAAAGCCTCTGAGACAGAGAACTTGGTGCACTCAAGGGAGTGGAAAAGGCCATGCCTGGTTCTGAGAGAGGAGGTGTAGTCTACAGCAATCCCACCGTAAATACACCTCTCATCTGATCTTGAAAGCTGAGCAGGGTCGGGCCTCATTAGTACTTGGATGGGAGAGAGAGGCTCAGCAAGGGTAGAGCTAGGGAGGCAGGTACAGAATTTGCAACTTCCCACAGGAAATGTAAAGAGTTTGGGTGTTATTCTAAGTGTAACTGAAATAGACTGATAGATTCGGAGCAGGACAATGATATACTATATTTCATCTTTCTAAAAAGATGCACATTTTTTCACCTTTAATACTGGGGCACTTCCTACAGTTGAAGTGATTTTTAAAAAGCAGTGCAAAATAGGTTAATTTGTAGAGTTTTTTTTTTTCTTTCTTAGTGGTTCAGAAAATAATTTTGTTCTTTTTAATGAGTGGAGTCTTCTATTTGATTTAATTCAGTAATTTATATTTTTTAAGTACAGTGTTTCTGTTTTCCAGGTTGCTTTTTGGCAATGGGGTTAGAGGAGCAGGAGAAAACTCAGGATATCTTCTAGGATATTGTTATAATAGCTCAGGCCACACATATTGGTAGCTCAGGCTAGAGCAGTGGCAACATGATGGAGAGAAATGAATGACTCCAAAAATGCTCTGGAGATAGAGCCTAGTGCTAGATTAGAACATAGAGTTGAACCCGATGTAGGACATGGAGGAGAACTGTTGAAGAGGGGTCATAGGTCCTGGCTTTAGCAAGTTGGTATTTGGTGACACTATTTGCTGACATGGTAAAAAAACGAAGCAATTTTTTTGTAAAGATCAAGAGTGTGAGTTGGTTATATTAAATTAGAGTTGCCTGTGAAATATCCATGTGGGTGTGTCCCATAGGGAATTGGATCAAGTTAATTCTAATGTTCAGAAGAGAAGTCTAGTCTGGAGATAAAAACTGGAAGTCATCAGATCTAGACCGCATGTGAAGCCATCAGAATGGATGAGACCACCAAGAGAGATCATAGAATGAGAAAAAAAGAAGGTCTAGGACTAAGCTCTGAGAAATGCCAACATATAGGGGTCAAGTAAAAGAGACCCTGTAGGAGGAGTCCAGGGAGTAAGAGGAAACAGAGGATATGGTACTGTAGAATCCAAGGGAAAAGAGTTCTTCAAGGAGAGAGTGGTCAACCGCATTGAATACAACTGAGAGCTCTACTAAGAGGACAAGAAGAATCCTTTGGGTTTTACAAAATGGTGACCTTATCAGGTGCTGTTTCAGTGGAATCTTGAATTCAGGAGCCACTCAAGAATGAATGAGAACTGATGGAGTAAACACAGCATGCGTAGATAAGTCAAGAACCTTGGCTGTTAAAAAGGAGTAAGAAATATGGAATGATCCAATAGAGAGGGAAAGAAGGTGATGCAGGGGCAGAGGCCACATGGACAAGCGCAGACAGCACGTGGCAAAGGCCTCTATGCCATTACCCATGGAAGAAAACTGAAGAGGTTTAAGCAGAGAACTATTTGATTGGACTGTTTCATTAGGTAAATTATTCTGTCATTGTGGGAGATGAATTTGGGGTCTTTAATGAGTGTCTGAAAGCACAAAACTCAGTTTGGAAGCCATTGCAGGAATTCGAGTGAAAGATAATGTGTCCTTGAATAAGGCTGGAGAGGAAAGGAGAGACTGGAGATACAACCAAAAGATAAAATCAGAAGAATGTGGTGACTGGATGTGGAGCAGTAATCAAGGATGACTCCCACATTTTTGGGTAACTAGGATGATATATGTGATTTTTAGGATGGTTTCCAACAGGATATCTTTAACTGTAGATGGTGAATACCTGTTGTCTACATAGTGGTTGACAAAAATGGAGCAGTGTTGTTTTAGTTTCTCTGGAATATAGGATTGAGGCTTGTCTGGGTAATTTTTACAGAATAATTTAAGTAGGCTGGGCATGGTGGCTCATATCTGTAATCCCAGCACTGGTTGGCCGAGGTGGGAGGATCACTTGAGCCGAGGAGTTTGAGATCAGCCTGGGCAACATAATGAGACCTCATCTCTACTAAAAATTAAAAAAAAAAAAAAAAAATGCCAGGCATGGCAGCATACACCTGTGGTCCCAGCTATTTGAGAGGCTGAGGTAGGAGGATTGCTTGAGCCTAGGAAGTTGAGGCTGCAGTGAGCTGTGGCTCACTGTGAGAGCCATGGCACTCTCTCTCACAGTGAGAGCATGGCACTGCTCTCTAGTGTGGGCAACAGAGTGAGACCCTGTCTCTAAAATAAATAAGTAAGTAAGTAAATTTTTTGAAAGTAGTACATCTCCATGCTGGGGAAAAAAAAAAAAAAAAGATGTCTCATTGGCCAGCCTTCTTTTCTAGAAGGTAATTATGGGAAAGTTGAATTTCAAATAATTTGTTACCTATGTCATTTCTTATTGCTTATCTTAGGCTGCTAGCTTTCAAAACAGACTTGTGACCATCAAGGTCCCCGTGTTTTTTTCCTGCCCTTCTCTGTCAAGGGATAGCATGGTAGTCAGACTCGGCCCAGGGATGTCGTCTGCTGTTTCTGGCCTATTCCCATCTCCTAGAACAAAGTTATTTTCCATAACACATATGGGCTATATTCCCCAGCCTTGTCGATGTTGCCAGACCTCAGTGGACCTTTTTTAAAAGGATCTTTCCATATCCTATTGTATTGCCTGGACCATCTCCCAATCCAGTTTTTAATTTCCTATTGGCTAAATTTTATTTTCTTTCTTTAGGCCTTGTGCTCATCTTCCGCTTAATGCTGGCTTCCCTCCTGTGCTGTGAGAGAGACCTTAATCGCTTGTGGGCCAGCAGCCATGCCATTTTAAAATTCTTTTGGGCAGCTATTCAGCTGGTTTAACATCTTTCACTCCCACTTGTTGGCTGAGATTTACTCTCTCCTAGCCGGCTTCCATTCCTTTCAGAAAGGAGTGTGAGGGCTGCATTTCCATTGTAAGCCCCTTTTCTTTGGATCTGTTTTCCTAAGATTCTGGCACCAAATACTTAACCAATCTCAGTTGGTTAAGAAGTTCTGAGCTAAAATAGTGGGCCATTTTCTTCTTATGAAGAGTTCCAGGAGCACCGATGCTAGACATGGTCCTGTCTAAGTCCTGGGACCTCCTGAGACTTGCAACCATGGGTGCCTGATGTGCTTTCTTCCAAGGGTCTCCTACAAAAATATCCTCTTCATGGCCCACAGTAGCTCTAGTGTCTAGATTTCAAGTATGATGATATTTCTTGTATTAAAGGACAGAGATGCCTAAGTCTTATTTAAGGACAAGAAGACTTGATAAAACTGGAAGCCAGTAGGTGATGAGTCAAAGAGTAACAGATGGTGTGTTCTGACCTCCATCTTCATAGTGGGCAAACTCCAGTGTGCTTTTTGGGCTCACAGTTTGGTTAGTTCTCTTCATCATCTAGGACTAACCTTTTTTAACTATCATCATGGTGACAGGTAAGAGAATGTGATGGCTAGAACCACAGACAGATTCAGAGGATTCTTCTGTGACCAGGCCCTGTTCCTCTGCCAGCTCTCCCGCTAACTGACTATGTAACCTTGAGGCAAGTCACTTCCCCTTTCTAGCCCTCAGTTTTCCGGTTATTAAAATGAAGAGATTGAACTGGATAATCTTCAGGTTTCCGTTAAGTCAAAATGGACCATATGATTCATCTAAAAATGTTCTAAGACAGGAAGCCCGTTTCTTCACAACTCTCAGTAGCTTTGGAGATTTTCCTATGAATTATCCATTACCAAAAAATGACACCCCCATTCCCACTATCCACTTCTCTGGAGCGTCCTGGCAGCAGACGGAAAGCTCATTAGTGAGCTGCTTCCCCTAATAGATGAGTACGTTTTGCTCAGAATAAGGAAGAAGGAAGTCAACAAAATAAGAGAAGGAGATGTTAAGAAACTAAGAAGAAGCACTTTCCTAAAAATGTAAAACCAAAAACTGAAGAATATATCTGAAAAAAGAGCACCAAATCATTTTACTAATGAAATAGACACAAATACCCCTTTCTTTCCAATATACATCATTTTCAGAATATGTACAGATACACATAGACTTTTCTGCATGTAATACAAGACACCTAATGGAACCATTGAGATTTGTTGTGAATTTTTGTGTTGAGTTCTTAAAATTAAAACGATTTTAATTTTTTGGTTCTTAAACAAGATTTACATGACCCCAACCTCTTTTAGAAAACCCTGCCTTCTTTCCATACTTGTTATTTATTTCATAGTTCACTTTACATAAATGAGAAGGTGACACAGGTGTCTGGCCTTACACCTTTATTTGAGAATTCGGGAGTGCATGGGTTCGAGTTCTACTCTAGTATGTAGACTCCCTGAATGCAGTCAGTAGGTTTTTAAAAACTTTTGGTTCATTGAGAAAATGTCTTAAGTAAAAAGCATCTGGGCAAGGAAAATGGATCTGCCAAGTAGATCAATAAAGACCCTCAAAAGCGTGGATCTATTAGTCATTGACAACATTGCTACTTTTTAAATGAGCCACTGGTAGTTCCCGTCACCCAGAACTATGTTCTATTTTTCTTTCTGACATTTATGTAATTTTTTATTGGGAAATTCACATCAGGGATCGATTCTCCTTGGTTTGCATAATTCTTTCTTGACTTTATTTCCATTGAAATATCAATATTTATATCTGCCTTCTTCAGTAAAGTGTAAATAGCAACACTTGCGTGATGAATCAGCAACTTTTATAATACCACACCTGATTTTTCTGGATTGACAATTGACAGTTGATCACTAGACAAATCACGCCTGTAATCACTAACCCATTGGATAGTATTACCAATGATATCATGCATGGCCCTTACAGATCACTAAGCAAAATTGCTTGGTAGTTTTAACAGAATCACCCTTCATTAAGTGAAAACATATGATATTTGGATGATTCAAAATATAGTTTCATCTTCCAAATTCAACTTTAGCAAAAAAGGATGACTTTCACTTGTTCGTTTAGTCTTGCTGGGACTTCTACTCTAATGTAATAAATTTTCTTAACATTTAGCTTTATTTCTCTAGAATTACTCGTATTTGTAGCAGTTCTTTTCATTGTATGTATATACGGGACTAACAATGGAAAAATATCTCAGAGAGCTCACATCATCAAAGAAAATTCTAATGAAATAATGTTTTTTCTTGTAGAGGTCATTAAAGTGAAACAAATGTCCTCTTATTAAGCTATTACCTCACCTCATTGTTGAAAACATGAAACTGCTGAGAATTACATTATATCATTTTTATAAAATATTAGTTGCTGAAGAGCTAGTTTCCAGCAGGCATTCCACGTTATTTTTTCCTATTCATTCAAATCCAAAATATTGCTCATCTAAACTTTCTCGGTTAATCACTGTTACAGTAAGTCTGAGACTGCAAGACGCCCAGTAATTCATAACCAGCTTGGGGCTTGTTCACCTTCAGGTCAATTATTTGGTTCCTGTGCACAGTAACGAGAAATCATCATCTGCTATAATTGCATAGAATTAATAAAAAGGAAAGCAAGGATGTTCCTTCAGGAATCTGGACTGAAAAGCCACCAGGTTTCTAGTACATACCTTCTCTTTCTCCTCCTTAGCTGTCCTTCCACTCATTTTAGTAGGGAAATAAGTTGCTGATGAGGTTAAGTTAAAGGTTCCTCACCCTGAGAAGGAGCCCTCGATAAGCACAGCAGTGGCACAAAATGCTCTGGGACTGGAGAGGAGAGGCCCTGAGATCTGCTTGTGGAGTAGTTAAAGGAGGTGCTGCAGAGGAGGTGTCTCTTGGGCTGACTCCTGAAGGGCCAAGAGGCATTTCTAAGTAAGTCCAGGGGAAAGGGGTGGCATGGAGATTCCAGAGACGGAAGGAGTGGCATGGAGATTCCAGAGACGGAAGGAGTATGCACCAAGTCCATGAAAAATTAAAGACCGTAGGTTTTCAAAGACCTCTAGTATGCTAATTGAGCCAGAGTGCAAATTGGGAAGGAGGTTGTCTGGAAACTGTGGCCAGACATATAGGCAGGAGGCAGATGAGGAAGGGTGCTCCATGCCCTACTAAGGAGTGTGGTTACCCTTTAGCCAAGAGGAGATTCTGAACACTCTGAGCAAGGGAATGGTACTGGTGAGTTTGCATTTTGCAGAGAGCACATTGGCAGTTTTAGGTGGAGAATGGATAGAGGGAGGGAGGCAAGACTGGAGATGGGAAGATGACCCACCAAGAGTATGAGTATCAGGAAAGATAGTAAAGACGGCATGACAGGGAAGGACAGAGAATAGGAGAAAGTGAAGGGTGATATTAAGATTTCTGGCTTGGGTGACAGATTGGATTTGCTGATGAAGGAAATAGGAGAAATGGAGTTGAGATGAGGAGGGGAGTGATAATAAATTCGTTTATTATGAATATATCCAATAGGTATTAGATAAGTGGTTCTAAAGGACAGAGGTAAATTTTTGAGAGAGACTGGGAAATCATCAGTATGTAAATGGTAATTGAAGTATTTCCGAGTTTCTTTCCAGCCCTTAAATCCTGTGGTTCAATGAATAACATAAATAATCTCTTTGATGTACGCCCATCTCAGAAAGCCTACCTTTAGCAGTGGCCTGTGTTAAGTGATTTGGTGACGCGATGCAGTTCCTCCTCAAGTTGTGATCAGTAAATAGTGATCTCAGCCTCATGCTGACATTGAAAATCAATCAGAACAGATTTATTGAGTGTCTTTTTTGTGTTTACTGTTGTAAGGGAGATTCATTTTTTAGACTGGAAATAATTTCATTGATTTGTCCTTTTTTTTTTTGAGACGGAGTTTCGCTCTTGTTGCCCAGTCTGGAGTGCAATGGTGTGATCTCGGCCCACTGCAACCTCTGTCTCCCAGGTTCAAGCAATTCTCCTGCCTCAGCCTCCCAAGTAACTGGGATTACAGTCATGCACCACCACACCCGGCTAATTTTGTATTTTTAGTAGAGACGGGGTTTCTCCAAGTTGGTCAGGCTGGTCTTGAACTCCCGACCTCAGGTGATCTGCCTGTCTCGGCCTCCCAAAGTGCTGGGATTACAGGCATGAGCCACCGCGCCGGGCTTCATTGATTTTTTAATTCAAGTCACCAAGGTCAGGAAATGGAGTTTAGTAGGAAGACAGTGAATACAGTTTTAGGCTTGATAAGTTTAAGTTCATGGCAGAAGATCCAATGGAAATGATTAAGAAATGTGCTTGCACCCCATCTCTACTAAAAATACAAAAAAATTAGCCAGGCGTGGTGGCGAGCGCCTGTAGTCCCAGCTACTCAGGAGACTGAGGCAGGAGAATGACGTGAACCCAATAGGTGGAGTTTGCAGTGAGCAGAGATCGCGCCCCTGCACTCCAGCCTGGGCGACAGAGCGAGACTCTGTCTCAAAAAAAAAAAAAAAAAAAAAAAGTGCTCCGTAGAAGAATCTTGGCTGGAGAGGAGGATGGGGGATTTATCCCAAGGAGCATGGTCACTGAAACTGGGAGAGTGTGGGAAGGGTGGAGGAGAGGAGTGCTGAGCACACAGCAGATTTCAGGCAGGGCGGGAGCCTTGGCAGACACCCACTTTCAGGCTGCCAAAGGGCAAGGACAAGCTCAAGGCAGAACAAGAAGAATATTCCGTCACTGAACGTGGGAAGAGAGTGTTCAAGGAGTGGGCATTCAGCCAGACTCGGAGGTCAGGGGTGACTGACCGGAAGATGATCATGAGATTTAGTGATGAGCTGGTCACTGGTGCTTTTTCTCATAGGAGTCTCAGTGGCATAAAGAGTTAGGAAGTAAGATTCTAGGTCATTGAGGAGGAGGAGGAGGAGGAAGAGGAATAGTAGTAATAATAATAAAGTTGACATGTACTATATTGGATGTCTCCCTACGATACATGCCAGGCAGTCTTCAAAGCACTTTGTACGTGTTATTTTGTTTAATGCTCACAGTAATTGTAGGAACTTACCAATGTTATTAATATTATTCATATTGATACTATTATTTCCATTTACAGATAGACTGTAATAGGAAATAAAGACAATGAGTATAGACAATCCTTTGTGACATTTTGCAGTGATACAAAAAGTTTAATTCCCCCCAAACTAAATTCTGTCAAGTGAAATTGAACTTGTCATTTTCTTTAGCATTTGTTGTCTGATTTCATTATTTGAACATAAAAGTACAATCTTCACATATATTTGGATGCTGTTACATTTTCTTAATTGTTTCTCCAAATCTTACATTTTGGCGTGACTGTTAAGTCCAGGGCAGAGAGAGCAGAGTACCAGGCGTGGCTGGTGTGAGATGTGGCAGTGCCCAAGGAGAAGAAAAGCACAATGGGCGATGATATGATCAGGTGAAAACTATTTTCAAGCAATTTTAACATTTTTGAAGGCAGTGAGGGTAGGATCCAGGGGAGGAATAACTGAAGATGTTGGAGAAGGATGAGCAGGTGGGACCTTGAGGCAGAGACTGGTCAGGGCGGGAGAAGGAGCCCCACCCAGAAAGGAGAAGGGATGTAGGTTTTTTGTTTGTTTGTTTTGAGTTGAGAAAATAAGTTTAAAAGAGAAAATGCGGCCAGGTGCGGTGGCTCAAGCCTGTAATCCCAGCACTTTGGAAGGCCGAGGCGGGCAGATCACGAGGTCAGGAGATTGAGACCATCCTGGCTAACATGGTGAAACACCGTCTCTACTAAAAATACAAAAAATTAGCCAGGCGTGGTGGCGAGTGCCTGTAGTCCCAGCTACTCAGGAGGCTGAGGCAGGAGAATGGCTTGAACCTGGGAGGTGGAGCTTGCAGTGAGCCGAGATTGCGCCACTGCACTCCAGCCTGGGCGACAGAGTGAGACTCCGTCTCACTCAAAAAAAAAAAAAAAATATATATATATATATGTATATTTATATATAAAAATAATAAAAGAGAAAATGCTCAATTTTATTAATAGTAACTCTCCCCAAACTAAACTCTGTCAAGTGAACTTGAACTTGTCATTTTCTTTAACAGTTGTTACCTGATTTCATTATTTGAACATAAAAGTGCAATCTTCTTCACATATATTTGGATGCTGTCATTAACATTTTCTTAATTGTTTCTCCAAAAACTTGCATGTGGCATGACTGTTAAATCCAGGGGCAGAGAGAGCAGAGTACCAGGTGATGGGTGGTATAGATGTGGCAGTGCCCAAGGAGAACGGGAAGGAAAGAACGGAGAAGGAAATTAGTAACCGTAAGAATAAAGAAGAATTCTATCTAAAAGTCTGTTGTAACTTTGCAATTGAGGCATCACTTTTATAAGAACATTTTTATTAATGAGAAAAAAAGGCAGAAGATCACTCTCATCACGTTTATGGAGAACAAAATGAATTGGCAAGTCAGCCAATCAGCTGGAGCAGCCTGGACGGTTAGGACCTTGAATGGCTGTAAATTGGTGGCATCAAATCTTTTCTTTTGGCACTGGGACTGACTGGCTACCCTGCTGACTTCATCAGACTCTCTCTTGACTTCCTGAGGATGTTGTGTAGTCTGGATCAAGGTTATCCACAAGGTTAAGTAAACTATTGCTCATTTCCACCTGTAACTATCAGATGCAAATACTATTAGCATTTACTGCAACTAAAACAAGTGACAATATTTTCACATGTTTTCTCTGTAGGAATATAAGGTCCCTTGGAAATAAAGAGTCGAGAACGTTTAGGTAATACTGGGCGTGGCACTTGCAGCCATCATTTCAGTCTAAAAACATTTCCTAAGGAAAAGTACTAAATGTTTTTTTCATAGAACCCAACATTTTGGCTGTTAAACCATTTTCATCAAAACATTTTATTTATATGTAAAATATTTTAAAAGCTGTTTTCTGTGTAAACATGTTCATCTCATCATCACACACTAATCAGGATGTGTTGAGTGCCTCTGTTTATCCATTAATATCTGGTGTTTGTCAGCCTGTGTTTGTTTTGTGTCTGATGTTCCATGTCTTTTTTGCAGATATTGATGAATGTGTAAACAACACTGTTTGTGACAGTCACGGGTTTTGTGACAATACAGCTGGCTCCTTCCGCTGCCTCTGTTATCAGGGCTTTCAAGCCCCACAGGATGGGCAAGGGTGTGTGGGTGAGTTTTTAGATTTTTTCCCAACGTGTTTCACATGTCCCTAGGGAAAAGAAATCACAGTGAACAACAGGAGCTTTTAAGCAGGTAATTTGGGTAGAGCTTTATCGTAATTTGATTTTGTCATACAATTTGAGGATGTGCAAAAATATCCTATGTTGGCTGGGTGCATGGCTCACGGTTGTAACCCCAGCACTTTGGGAGGCCAAGGTTGGAGAATTGCTTGAGACCAGGAGTTTGAGACCAGCCTGGGTAGCATGGTGAGATCTTTTCTCTATGAATAAAAATTTTAAAAAAAAAATTAGCCAGGCTTGATGGTGGATGCCTGTAGTCCCAACTACTTGGGAGGCCGAGGTGGGAGGATCTCATGTGCCCAGGAGTTTGAGGCTGCAATAAGCCGTGATCATGCCACTGCACGGCAGCTTGGGCAACAGAGAAAGACCCTGTCTCAAAAAAAAAAAAAAAAAATCCTATGGCTTCTGAAATTGTTAGGGACATTAAGAAATATAAAAGTATGACTTTACATTTAAATGAATTTTAACAAGAACATCTGTTTAAACTCTAACTGAGTATGCAGAACTCTAGACTCCCTTCAGCACAGGAAATAGAGTCTGGTGTGTGGTATAGATTGTCTGTCTTTGAAATGCATCCCCTTAGACAGTGCGTTTAAGGCAAAGTATTGCCAGGAGCTTCAGTGTCCAGGAATGATACCTGTAAAAGGATGCTTTGAATTGTGCAACTGTATTTCCTCAGTCTGTTCCGGGATTGACAGGGCTGGAAGGAATCTTGAATATCATCATATGTCCTGGAATATGGTCCAACAAATGCTCACACAGAAAATAATTTGTATTTCATTGTCTGACCAAGATGTGATTTCTTCACGTCAAACTCATTATGAAACATATTTGCAATTAGAGCAATTAAATGGGAAAGAGAAGAAAGGTTATCAAATTCAAGACTTTATAGATAGCAAGACTTTTCTTTTTCTTTATTCTTAGAGAAAAATAGCCATGTTCACTACATGGCAGGTGGAACTTGAGGAGTCTATTGCCTATTTGGTTTGAAAATTTGCAATTAAGACATTAGTTCATTTGCCATCCATATTAAACTTGGAAAACAAGATTTTTAAGGTTTAATGATAATGTCACTTAATAACTGCTTTTGTGGAATTATGAAATTCAGTTAATTCTCAACCAAAAATTATTTACAAAGCAATGGTGTGGTTTCATGCATAAGCAGTAGCTAGTCAAAAACATAGATAATTATTCAAGAATTATTCACAACAAGACATAGTTATTTAATAATATAGCTAAGACTATCCTAATCTTAGTTCAAACTCCTGCTTTGGCCACCTTTCCACCAAAATACAGTTGTTTGACGTTTGGATAATATTTTCACCAGTTGGGTCTTGTGATGTGGCCCCTACTTTTCATCTTAACTTTACCACTTCCTTCTTCACCTGTTGTTTCCAGCAACGTCAGACTGGTTGTGGTTGCCCATGTCACTGTGCAATTATTTGACTGTTGTTCACTCCTTCTGCTGGGAATATCCTCCTGACCTCTCCTTCCCTGAGCCCTGGATTTTTCTCACTCGTTCTTGAAGACTGAGGTTCAGTGTCATCTTCCAGACACCATCCCTGCTCCATTCCTCACTCTCAAGCTGAGCTGTGACCTCTGCTTCCAGAGCACCTTCAGCAAATTCTATTATAGCACTTACAACCTTTGGGGGAATAATTTAATAATGGGTATACCACCTGCAGACCGCTTCTGCAAGGCTATGACCTCTATATGATTGAAAACTTTCTCACTTCTCCCTGGGCAGGGCACGATGCTTGGCTTATTATAGGTGCTCAGTAAATTTTGTTTAACTACCAACTGTTTAAATATCAGATGTTGAACCATACCTGGAAACCATGTCAGCTATCTGGAGTCCACATAGCTCCAGAGCCCCTGCTTAATGTTCATTTCTAACCAGCCAGATGAGCACACCAAACCCATGCTGACATTTCAGCTTGGCACACAAAACACCACCCTTAGAGAAGGAATATTTGTTATCATTTTGGTGAACTCAACAAATGCCATTTTATTTGTGTTTGTATTTATTATTTCAAAAATATTTACTAAGCACCTATGATACGCACTTCACACTGGGTGTTCTGTAGAGCTACAGGGATGAGTGAGCACCTGCCCCATTATCACCTACTCATCCTTCAGCTATTTGCTCCAGTATCATTTCTCTAACCCACCCCCACATTTAAGGTCTGCTGTTCCATGCTTTCACTGAGCTCTGAACTTTTCACTCCTCACACTCACTGAAGCATGTACAATTATTTTGTTCATTTCCCTAACTCGTCTGTAAGCTCCATGAAGGCAGGAGTTGGGACTGCTGGCTCATCATTGTTACCCCACATATAGGCCGTACAGGCCTGCCCCACAGAAGTAAGCTAGGAAATATTTCTTGATTGAATTATTGCAGTCTGATGGGATAGAGTTTATTAGCCATGTCAATAATACATGTTGGAAAGTACAAAGTTCCACTGGACATTTACCTAAAATTGATCAATGTGAACTGGCAATTTCTTAAGTTTTTCTGGTCTCAATATGACTGTCGGTTGATTAAATATTTCAACTCTGCTTTATGTTATGGTATTTTTCACAAGTGAAACCAGTTCATTGGATTTATATCTCTTTATATATAAATGAAATGGAAAACTGAGGTAATTATCCAAATAAGTCAAGATGTATAAGCTTTTTGTCCAATTAACTGGGTATACCAGGTGAAAGGACGATTTTTTTTTTTCTGGAATGATTTAGATAATTGCTCAAATTTTTAACTTTGATTAAGCCATCTCAAAGTATGCTCATGAAAGCTGATGTTTATACACGTTTAATGCATAAGACATGTGAGCATTTCAGACTTTAAGTCAGGTGCTTTACTGAATTGGATACCCATGAATAAAATATTGCAGGAGGAAAGAGGGTAAAAAGCACTATGGGACAACATCAAACATAAAATTAGCCTTTCTTTAGGGCTGTGTACTTGCAAAATGTTGAATAAAGTGTACTTGTCACTGAGATTCCTTCACTGTATTTTAATTATGTATATTTAAGTACAGAAGAAAAACATTTAGCAAAATAGAAATTACACAGTGGAACATCAACAGAATTTGAAAAGGTGTCATGAGATCAGTGATTAGTTATTGGACCAATTTGTTTCACATGAATGATTAATGTAGCCTGATGAGTATCTATAGGAGTCTTTCCTTCATTTCTCAAAGGAATATGTAATCTGAATTCTATTGATAATTATGGATGCTTTGGCTACCAGAGAACTGTATTTTCAGATATTTAAGTATATTTTAAAAGTTTTTAAGTGAACTTAATTCTGTGGTTACTGAAGTGTCAGTGATTCTAACTTTGCTTGAATTAAGAACTGAGAGTAGGCCAGGCGTGGTGGCTCACGTCTGTAATCCCAGCACTTTGGGAGGCCGAGGCAGGCGGATCACTTGAGGTCAGGAGTTCATGACCATCCTGGCCAACATGGTGAAATCCTGTCTCTACTAAAAATACAAAAATTAGCCATGCATGGTGGTACGTGCCTATAATCCCAGCTACTCAGGAGGCTGAGTCAGGAGAATCACTTGAACCCGGGAGACAGAGGTTGCGAGTGAGCTGAGATCACGGCACTGCACTCCAGCCTGGGTGACAGAATGAGACGCCGTCTCAAAAAAAAAAAAGAACTGAGAGTAGAGTGTTGCGTCATTTAAGACTTCATTATGTTGAAAAGTCAGGAATGATAAAACTAGATGGTCAGTGGGCACATACTAGTTTTGCAGTACAATTCCAGAGTATCTTTTAAAACTAGATTGGGAATTGGCTGGGCGCAGTGGCTCGCGCCTGTAATCCCAGCACTTTTGGAGGCCGAGGTGGGCGGATCACGAGGTCAGGAGATCGAGACCATCCTGCCTAACACGGTGGAACCCCGTTGCTACTTAAAATACAAAACAAATTAGCGGGGCGTGGTGGCAGGCACCTGTGGTCCCAGCTATTCAGGAGGCTGAGGCAGGAGAATGGCGTGAACCCGGGAGGCAGAGCTTGCAGTGAGCCGAGATCGCGCCTCTGCACTCCAGCCTGGGCGACAGAGCGAGACTCCGTCTCAAAAAAAAAAAAAAAAAAAAAAAACCTAAATTCGGAATTGTCTTGAATTTTCATAGTCCTTTCGTACAGACCAAATCTGACAGCTCTACCTTAAAGAGCCCCTTCCCTAAAAGAGCAGAAGGGGTTTGACTGCTCTCTGGGGATCGCCTTCTTTTCAGCAAGACACTATTAGCCCTGGCACAGCTGGTAAAATAGAGAGCTGTCGTGAATGAGGCACACATCTCACTTGGTCTGTGCTCCCTTTTCCAGATGTGAATGAATGTGAACTGCTCAGTGGGGTGTGTGGTGAAGCCTTCTGTGAAAACGTGGAAGGGTCCTTCCTGTGCGTGTGTGCTGATGAAAACCAAGAGTACAGCCCCATGACTGGGCAGTGCCGCTCCCGGACCTCCACAGGTAAGTCCCAGTGACACTGTGCAAGGGAATGACAGGCTCCTCTCAAAGACCTGCACCCACACAGCTTTGGGATAAACGCTGGGAGTGAGATAAGAAGCAGCCAGATGTCCTGACACAGTGCTGTCTCTGGAAGCTTCCATGATCTTCTGTGCCTGCCTTGTCAGTGGAATTAAGATGTGGGTGATGACTCTTTGGGCTAGATGGCCTCTAATGTTCTATCCAAACCAGAGATGCCTCCAGTAAGGTAAAGGATCCAAAATGATGAGGACATTTGCTGGGGATTGCTTAAAACTTAGAGAGCTATCAGCTCAGGATTTAATATGGCACCATCTCATTAAGTTGCATAATCCTCCATACGTTCTTGGCCCTTAGAGAAATGTGTCTTGACACTTCTCTAAATTAAAAGCAACATATAGGCCTCTTAGGATCTACAAAGACTTCCACTTGGAATTCTTAAGGTGTTTTTCCAGAATTTGGCCTAGAGAGTAGCTATGTTTGCATTCGCTTAAAATTTGATTTAGGCTGTGTCGTCACTGTGCAAACTGAAATAGAGAGTTGGACTGTTTTCCAGATAAATTAATCAACTTCCCAATCACCCTTTTAAGTTTGTGCCATGTAGCTATAGCTTGGTTGTATTTTAGGGAAAGCAAAGGCCCAAATGGTCCTTTGAGAGCCAAGTAAAATGAAACATAGACCATTTTTTTTTCTTTCTCAGTCAGTTTTATCCATGCTTCCATAATAGCTTTCACTACTCCTCTGGAGGATACACTTGTTCTGTGTAAAATAGCTATCTTTGCAAGTAATAGGAAATGAAATATGAAAATATTTTCACCCACACATATTTCCTCAGTTATTAAATATAGAAAGGTGAAGGGTATAGAATTAAATGAACAGGCTATAATTCAAAAACCTTGTGAAAGAGAAGAGACAGGTTATTACTGGTGGGAGGATTTCTCTTCATTCAAGTGACCACCACAACAATACATATTCCATAAAGAAGAGACTTTTCATTTTAATTGGATCTACAATAGCAAAAAACAAACCAAAAAACAAAAAAATCTGGTTGGCCACTAACAGAATTGGTTAACTAAGTGTCTTTTTCTTATTTTTGTTTGGTTCCATAGGGTAGCACCTCACCTATAGTGTTATTTTGAATGAATTAATTCATATATCATAATATATAGCCATTAAATGGTCTGGGTGATGCTTAGATAGTCATGATAAAGATAAATGTATGTGATACAATGTTAAGTGAAAAAATACAGGATATTCCAATGATCACACTCTGTAGAGGAAGGGAGAGTGAGAATACATAAAAAGGTAATTGTTGGACCGAACCAATAACTAATTGAGCTTATTCATTTGTATAGCTCCTGGCAGCTTTTCCTTTTATCATGCCTCAATTTGTATAGTTGATGGTGAACTTTGATTATATGGAGTCTTAAGACTGTCTTATGACAGTCTTCATTTTTAAAAAATTTTCTAGCAGTATCCTGAGAGACTGAGTTTAGCCATAAACTTCAGCAGAAGCCTTCTGTCTGATTTCATCAGAGTCAATAATTGATCAGTTATTTGAAAAAGGTGATTAAAAACTAGAAATCATAAAAAGGTAACATCTTCTAAATTTAATTTTTAACTCAAAGGATATAAGTACATTTGGCCAGGTGCAGTGGCTCACGCCTGTAATCCCAACACTTTGGGAGGCCGAGGCAGGCAGATCACTGAGGCCAGGAGTTCTAGACCAGCCTGGCCAACAAGGTGAAACCCTGTCTCTACTAAAAATAGAAAAATTAGCCGGGAGTGGAGGCATATGCTTGTAATCAGTAAGGCAGAGGCATGGGAATCGCTTGAACACATGAGGCAAGGTTGCAGTGAGCTAAGATCACACCACTGCACTCCAGCCTGAGCAACAGAGCCAGATTCTGTCTCAAAAGAAAAAAAAAAAAAGTACATTCATACACCAATCTTTGAAGAGAAAGGCTGTGGTCTTTTTTTGTGTAGAGGTTCATTTGTGGAGTTTGTGTGGCTATCCTGCATAAACCCCATCTGTTATGTATTACTTACACTTTCTTTGTAGAAGGGAGTGAGAATCTAAAGCCTTTTTCAAAACAAATGAATGTAAAATCCCTCTAAATTTTTACAGTTTTTCTCAATTTTTTACACTTGTCCACACCTAATTTGACAGCATTTCTTTTACTGAATCAACTTTATCTAATCTTTCTAAAGCTTTAACTTGCCCTAGAAACAGCTCTTCTGGTTACATTCATATTGTACTGGTTGATGTAATATTTAATTAAATTATGTAAGTACAGTAATCAATACACTGACACAGAATGTTTGAGTGTATACCTAGGTGAGTCTTGGTTTGTGTACTGCACAGCCTGTAGGAGCAGAAGTGTGTGGACCTCTGCAAGAATAGCCGTCTGGCTCTGAGCATTCTCCCTTCCATGAGCATCAGCAGTGATATTTTACAGAGGGCAAGAAAACATCAGTTAACACAAGTTGGTTAAATGTAGGCCAGTTAAGAGAGTTTGTACCCTGTCCAGTAAAAGAATCTGCTATTCCACAGACCAAAACATTTTAAACCAAATTTAAATAAAAGTTTTTAGACTAGGATTCAAATTAATTTCATTATATGCATAATATACTGAAGCTGAGAGCTCATCCGTCCTGAAAAGTACTTAGGAAGGGAAAGATAAATTTCCAGTATAGGCTATCACATTTTTATTCAGCTATAAAACTCCCCCAGGACAATCTATATTCCAACAATGAGCAGTAGCATGATAATCTGATGTGGTATCATACTGAAGGCAGAACTAGGGTTATGGGGTAGGATATTAGGAAGGCAGGTTTCAGGTCAGTATCCAGAAGAGCTTTCCAGTAACTAACAAGAGCTAGTCAGCAAAAAGCTGCCCCAGAAAATACTGGAGTGCTTCCCGCGGAGGCATCCAAGAACAGGTGGGATACCCACTGGCAGAAGAGCACCCACTTCCAGCAGGGTATTGCCCCAGATGAACCTTTAAGGTACTTTGGAACTCTAATGTCCTAGGGTTTTTATTTCTAAACTTTCTTGCTTCCCACATATATATTTTTTAGGTCTGCCTTAATGTTTTTTACTGCCTGGGCCTTTGGCCACTAATTTACATTGCTGTGCATTGCCTAAAAGCATCTGAAAAAGAAGTAACTAAAAAATGTCCATACCAGGCCACTCATCACATTTAAGAAGGTATGGATATGAAATATAGTCTGATGCTATTATTTCCTTAGTGCCTGTGATAATTGCTCAATAAAAACTTTATGTCTTTGGGCACTCTAAGGGAAGCAGTAAATATTTAATCTTGGCAACTGCAGCCTTCAGACCTTACCCACAAAATGCTGTTCTTTTCCTTGATTGGTGTACAGAGGAAATTCTGTGGTAGGAACTGCATCTTATTCTTAAAACAGAAGGTATAATGAAAAGAATACAATGAAAAATATATATATATTATAATCCATACAGGTATTCTCCACTTTAAGACAAGCAAACAAAATCAGGAAGTATAAAGCATATAGGTTGGGGTGGTTAGTTATATTATAAAGTAATTCTTCACTTTACTCAATAATTTATCATAGGATTTCTTTAAATATCAGTTTTCGCTAATACAGTTCGCTAATACATCTTATTCCCACATCATGAGCTATATCCTAGACTTCTGCATTTAGAAACCACCTTAGTGATTTTCCAGCTCAACTTTTTTATTTATAGGTAAAGACACTGAGGCCCAGAGAAACATCTGAAATGTCATTCTTAAGGTTATATAGCTAATGAATGGCAGAATTGGTCCAGGAACCCAACTCAGGATCTTCTCACTTCACCATTTCTAATTTTAGGGCTGAGGACAACAAGACATCAAATTCTTCTCAAAATTGGCTTTTCTCATTTTGTTTTTCATTATTAAGATAATACACATTAATCATAGAAAATTGGCAAATACAAAGGTAAATTTTTAAAAAGTCTCCTGCAGTATCACCATCCAATATCTGTCACCATGTTGACCTCTGGACTCTGAAAGGACATCCATATTCCCCTGTCTCAACAGAACCGTTTTCCATTTGACCTTCAGTGCACTGAAATCAGGCCCTCTGACTTTTCATCTAAGTGAGCCGTCAGTGAGCTTCTATATGGTAAACTCCTTAGTCTCATCCCAGAGTCGTCTTCTGAAACATTTGACAGTGGTTTTTCATCTTTTCCCCCGTCTTTGCCCTGTGATTGATTTCATGACATTACTGTTCCCTGCATCCTCCTGCATCTTGGACTAGTCTTTTCCTGTCTCATTCTCAGGTTCTTCTTCTCCTGTCCATTCCTTAAATAATAACATCCCAGGCAGTTACATGCTTAGCTGTCAAATTATTTATGTTATTCCCCTGGGATATTTCATCTGCTTTGGAGTCAACCATTACTTATATGACATTGCCTGCTAAGTAAATATCTTCTGCCCCCACCTCTGTTGTGAGTGTCATGCTCCTATTTCCAGCTGCCTATTGGACTTTTTCTTCCAGGGTGTCTTGTAAGCCTCTCTGGCTGACAGTTATTCAAACCTAAATTAATCACCATTTCCTCTCCTTGTGTCTATTTATTTATTTATTTATTTTTATTTTTGAGATGGAGTCTTGCTCTGTCACCCAGGCTGGAGTGCAGTGGCGTGATCTTGGCTCACTGCAACCTCTACCTCCCGAGTTCAAGTGATTCTCCTGCCTCAGCCTCCTGGGTAGCTGGGATTATAGGAGCATACCACCACGCCCGGCTAATTTTTGTATTTTTAGTAGAGACGGGATTTCACCATGTTGGTCAGGCTGATCTCGAACTCCTGACCTTGTGATCCACCTGCCTCGGCCTTCCAAAGTGCTGCAATTACAGGCATGAGCCACTGCACCCAACTCTGTCTATTTATTAATTGCTAGACATCGATACTAGAAATTCTGAAGTCATACTTTTTTTTGTCTCCCCATTCGTCATCCAAGCAGTCCATCATAATATCCTGCCAGTTCTACCTCCAGGGTGTCCTTCAAATCTCTCCCTGTTGCGGATGCTACTTCCCTGGGTCAGTCTTTCAGCATCACTTACCTGGATCATTGCAGTAGCCTCCTACCTTCTCTCCTCGCCTCTCTCATCAATTCCTGCTCCACACTGCTGCCAGAGTTAATGTTTTCAAAACATAGATATCGGTTTAAATCGTTCAGTCTTTCAACTGCTTACCACTGCTTTATAGCATGAAGTCCAAATGCATTAGCAGGGCAGCAATACCCTTTATCTTCTGTAATGTAAATGGATTGTTTAGCTTTCCGTCCTACACTCCTCATACCTACATCCAAGCCCATGCCCTGCTCATGGTTACCCCAAACAATTACGCTTTCCCAAGATGATGACTTTGCCACTACTAACTCTTCTGCCTACTGTGCCCTCCCCCTTGTAAGCCTTTCTTTTTTTTTTTTTTTTTTTTTTTTTTGAGACAGAGTCTTGCTCCATTGCGCAGGCTGGAGTGCAGTGGTGTGATCTTGGCTCATCACAACCTCCACCTTCTGAGTTCAAGTGATTCTTGTGCCTCTGCCTCCCTAGTAGCTAGGATTACAGGCCTGTGCCACCATGCCCACCTAATTTTTGTATTTTTAGTAGAGACAGGGTTTTGCCATGTTGACCAGCCTGGTCTTGAACTACTGACCTCAAGTGATCTGCCTGCCTTGTCCTTCCAAAGTTCTGGGATTACAGGCGTGAGCCACTGTGCCCGTCTTCTTGTTGGCCTTTCCTGAAATATCTCTCAAGCCTTTTTAAAAGTCTGCTTGACTGTCACCGAGTTGTCACACATTCCCCAAATCCCCAAGATGGAATTACAGGATTCTGCCTCTCTGCTCTCAACACGCCTTGCTTTTGTGGCTAACAGTCTCTGCGTCTTATTCTCTCTGCATCCACTGCAAAACAGCTCACTGCTGAGCACGGCGCCTGATGGATGGTAGACACTCGGTAACTGTTGAATAAATTGCCTCTCCACATTAGAAGCACATGTCCCTTTCATAACCCATCCCTCCCATTCCTAGCTACTTCTACAGAATAAAAATAATTTTTCATTTTTTTAAAGATTTAATAGGGGCACACTTAAGTGGGGAAATGTCTATTCACACTTCCGTGTAGGAAGTGCTGCTTCAGATTGCTTGAGTTAAATTAGAAGAGGTTAAATTAAAAGAAAAAAAGAACATCTCCCCACTGTCAAGGAACACAGAATACAACTCATCTTGGTAGTTCTGACAATTGAACTCAAATAGCATCCCTGTTCCCTTCCTAGAGAGGTACACTACAGGTTTTGTGCATGTACGCCTTTTTTTTTTTTTTTTTGAGACTGAGTCTCTCTCTGTCACCCAGGCTGGAGTGCAGTGGCACCATCTTGACTCACTGCAAGCTCTGCCTCCCAGGTTCACACCATTCTCCTGCCTCAGCCTCCCGAGTAGCTGGGACTACAGGCTCCCGCCACCATGCCCTGCTAATTTTGTTTTTGTATTTTTAGTAGAGACGGGGTTTCACCATGTTAGCCAGGATGGTCTCGATCTCCTGACCTCGTGATCCTCCCACCTCAGCCTCCCAAAGTGCTGGGATTACAGGAGTGAGCCACCGCGCTCGGCCGTGCATGTACACATTTTTTAAAGGCAGGAAGCCACATGTGACAATCAGTCAACTGTTATATTTGGCAGAGTCTGTTTTTTAAAATGTGTTTAGTTAACCTGTTAAATAAATTTAACATTGAAAGACTTATAAAAATTATTTCTGATTGGAAAAACAAGACTTTTGGTAGGAAAAAAATATTAAAGAAAGTAAGACCACAGTATTTATAATGCAAATATTGTAAAAGGCCATAAACCTCCTGAGGTCGTATTGTGTTTTTGTAATGAATCTATACCATATATGTAGGTAAGGCTGAGGAAAATACGTTCATTTGTTTAAAAAAAAAATATCTAGTCAAGTTTCTTCCCACATCCAGCGATGACAATGAGAAGGTATCATCTTTTTGGTATAAAAGCCAAACTGCTTTTTTAAGATTTTCTGCTTGCTATAGATAGTACCTAAAGTCATATCTGAGTTTCTGAAAAGAGATATCAGTGTTTTAATGAACTGACATATCAATCAAAGTGACAAACTAAAACTATACACACACACACACACACACACACACACACACACACACACACACACCATTGTATCTTCATTTATTTTTATTTTTTTGAGACAGGATCTCGCTCTGTTGCCCAGGCTGGAGTGTAGTGTACGATCATGGTTCACTGCAGCCTTGACCTGCTGGGCTTAAGTGATCCTCCCACCTCAGCCTCCTGAGTAGCTAGGATTACAGGCCCACGCCACCATGCACAGCTCGTTTTTAAAATTTTTTTGTAGGACGAGGTCTCACTATGTTGCCGAGGCTGGTCTCGTTTTATCTTCTTAATACTACAAGATATACTCACACTGTTGCATTAGAAATGCATTTTGGATCCTAGAACTTGCTATAAACTAAACCTGACGAGGAATGGTTTGTACATTTCCTTTTAAACGTTTCCATACACTTTGTGTGTCACTTTGGATGTGCTTTACTCATGCATTTATCCTCGCAGGCCCTCATGACGCCCGAGTGTCAGGAATGTTATGGGTTTGTGTTGTGTGTCATCTGCTTGTTCCCCCATCTCCATATGTGCTTCCTATTCTGACTCATCTCAGTGTACTATTCTCTCGTTTTTCTTTCTCTGCAGTACAGCTATCCCTTGGTATTTAAGGGGGCTTAGTTCCAGGGCCCCCACTGATACCAAAATCCACAGATGCTCAAGTCCCTGATACAACACGGCGTAGTATTTACATATAACGTATGCACATCCTCCTGTATACATTGAATCATCTCTAGATGACTCATAATACATAATACTATATAAATGACATGTAAATTGTTACACTATACTGTTGTTTTATTTGTATTATTTGTTTTTGTATGTTTTTTATTTTTTCAAATATTTTTGATCTGCAATTGATTGAATTCACAGATGTGAATCCCATGGATACAGAGGGCTGGGCCCACTGTACTTTATTTGGCTTCCAGGAGCCCCTTCATTCATCCATTTCTGCTCATTTTTCTTCCCCCTGCTTTTCCACTCTAGAGTAATATCCCCGACTTTTTCTTCTCCTCACCCTCTCACTGTCCCAGGCTCATTTTCTCCAATCTCTTGTAATGCCTTCACTAGATGTCAGCTCCACCAGGCAGCCTTCCCTGATAGCCTTGTCTACCCATCCCTCTGCAGTGAGGCCTAGGTGTGCGTGTGTGTCCTGGGAGTGAAGCCTCCAGTTCACTCCTTAAGACCTCTTTAAGAGCAAGAACTATGTGGAGAGATCCTCTTTTAAAGTGTTTTTATTTTTGTGCTTTTTTTTTTCTAAACTTCACTTTGACTGCTTTGGCATGTTTTACCATCTGAAGTTATCCACTTTCTGTTACCGAACACCAGGGGTTTGGTCTAGGTTCTGCAGCTCACTGCACAGAAAACCAATCACCGAGACCACAAGTATTTCCAAGGAAGAAGGCTTTAATTGGGTGCTACAGCCAAGGAGATGGTAGCTCAGTCTCAGATCCATCTCCCTGATGGACTAAAACTAGGGGTTTATGTAACAGGGAAGAAATGTAACAATGTGTAAGAAAACAGGAGCAAGGGAGGGACAGGGAAGCAATCGTGATGAATCAGGGGTCAGCATCTGGTTGTCAGGATGTGGTGATCTGGTGAGTTTCAGTTCTTTGATACTTTCTTTGAGAGGCCTGAAAGTCATTTCCTGAGAAAGGAACTCAGATAAAACAGATGTTAAGTTTCAAGCTTTAAGATCAGAAATGTCTGCCGGGCGAGGTGACTCACGCCTGTAATCCCAGCACTTTGGGAGGCCGAGGTGGGTGGATCACGAGGTCAGGAGATCAAGACCATCCTGGCTAACATGGTGAAACCCTGTCTCTACTAAAAATACAAAAAATTCGCCGGGCATGGTGGCAGGCGCCTGTAGTCCCAGCTATTCAGGAGGCTGAGGCAGGAGAATGGTGTGAACCCGGATCCACTGCACTCCAGCCTGGGCAACAGAGTGAGTCTGTCTCAAAAAACAAAAAACAAAAAACCACATTTCTCATTTTCCGAGTTCTTGTGTGAGAAAACTCGAAACAAGGCATATGAATTTCTAAGTTTTCCTTGACATCTCCTTGAAATATTACAGAATTCTTTCTCATTAAAACATTAATGCCTGTAGCATTTTTAAAATAAAAAAGGAAATAAAGTGTCCTGGGTAATTCTGCTGAAAGTAATTTACTGAACATCATCACACACACAGAGTTTTATCCATTGATCTCTTTTCAGGACTATAGGCAGCGTTTCTTTGGGGGTAACTATTTACTCATGTGTATTAGCAGTGTTACTCTTGGGTCATTGTAATAATTCTGACTGTTAGGAAAAGGTACAGAGAAGATTAGCTCATAAAAACCTTCAGAACACATTGTAAATGGAAAGGGAGAGCCCATTTAAAAAGCTCATGTCCACTTTGACCAACTACATGTTGTAGATTTTCTCACCCCAACAGTAATTCCTAAGATTAGACATGTATGGGGAAACACTAAAGATGGAAACGGCCCTACAAGCAAATGGCCCACACCCTCTTTAGGCTGATGAACCAAGAGAGAAGGAGCTCCCAGACAGGGCTTGGTATAGGTGGTGCCTTCAGCTCAAACCTACTCCTTCCTATTCAGAGCCAGGGGACATGATTGCACTATTTGTGGCCTTGTTGCTGAACCCCCAGCAGCAGAGATTATCTGCGGCCCTCTTCCCATTTATCTCAAAGATGAAAAAACACAGAGAATAAAGGGCAAAGCAGAACAAACCCATGCTATGTGAGATAAGAACCTGAGCTCCAAAGAAGGGTTTTGGGGAAAGTAGTAGACATAGGCCACTTGGAACCGACATTAGTTTTCTCTTCCGGGAAGTGAGGATGCTGTATTTACCAGCACCTTCTATCTCATATAGTTACCCTCTGGATCACATGAAAAGGCCTCTGTAAAAGTTCCTACAGAAAAAAACATAGAAAATGTCCAAAACCGAACTTTCTTGTTGTTACCGGCCACACCTCTAGAATAAAATATGAAAAACTTGATCTTTTTATGCAAATGTGAAGCCAGCCTCTTCATGCAAATTGAAAACTTAATCTGAAAATACTGAAGGAGGAGTAATATATTTTTTAGAAGTCTGTGGCATGAGATATGTAGTACAGCTAATCTTACTCAAAATATCTTTAAGAAAAAGAGTATTCATTTTTTAGTGCTTGCCACTTTCTATAGCTATTGATTTGACCTTTTAAAATTAGTTTCCAATATAGAAACCCTCCACCCCTGGCAGCAATGAACTAAACTCATGTAGGAGTTTCTTTAAGAAATTACATTATCACATATTTACTGACCAGAGTTTTATCCCAATAGAAAAATGCTCTAGGAAGTTAATTACTTAAAGACTAGGAAGATAGGGAAATTGTAGCTTTTCCCAGAATGACCTTTGTGGACTAGTTTTTAGAAAATAATTTGCATTTCTTTCCAAACAGGGTAAGTCAAGATGAGGGCTTGACTAACCCTCAGTTTCAGCTGTATAAACATTGAACTTTCAAATGTCTTAGAAAATAAGACCAAAACTTATAACAACCAGTGTAAAAAATAATTATAGTTA
Source organism: Homo sapiens (assembly GCF_000001405.40). Taxonomy (NCBI): domain Eukaryota; kingdom Metazoa; phylum Chordata; class Mammalia; order Primates; family Hominidae; genus Homo; species Homo sapiens. Next base: position 33,358,254 of record NC_000002.12, read on the forward strand.
CATTATTGATTATTTCCCTTATGGGAAATAATCTCTTTCTCCAAAAAGGCAAAGATTGTTTTATTTCTTAGTTTGTATGATGTGAGTGTAACAAACATTTTAGTAAACAAAACAATGTTTACCATATATGTATTTGTCTATATATATGTGTGTGTGTTTAAAATGCATAAAATTATATTTAAATATATTTCAAATTTTAAATTTATATATATTTATAATTTTGACATGCTTTGGACTCGAGAAGCCTATAGTTTCTAATTACCTGTGAGTATAATCTTCATTGAGGCCTTATTACAAAGTATTCCGTTTTGTAATAAACACCATGACATACTTACAACTTTGTACATGAGGGAAAAAAATCTGAGGCTTCTTTTAGCACAAACCATAGAATAAACCCGATTACCAAAACCCTGTTGCTTTTTTGATTTGTATTTCTCACTATTATTTATTAATAGCTAGCTACATTTTTGGACCAGCTGAATAAAATAATTGAGCGGAACTGGTAGTAGTAACAGGCTGACAATTTATTCACCATGTTGAGGGAGAGATTCTAAAATTTTCTATAGGGCTCATAATTGATTTAATAACAATTTAAAATACGTACTCTTAGTTTTCCTAAGTAATTCCATGTCTAAGAGCTTGGAGGCCCTTCTAACGAAGATCCGTTCCGTTAAGAGTACGCAAAGTGAATTTCAGTCCTCTGCACACTTGAAGCAAGCTAGACCAGATGAGGGAAGTGGCAGGTTTTACCCAATTTCACACACAAGGAAATGATTTAAAACCACTTCGTAAACTGCTGCATAGAAATCAGCATTTGAGTTTTTCCTGGACGCTTGTTCTAGGTTTGCATTTGTCATCAGCTATTAATGCTGACTTACAGTCCAAGCTGAAATCTGTCAAAGACAAAATAATCAGAGAATTGGCCAGAATCAACTGGATGAGGGATCTTTATATTCTCACTGATGCTCTGTGTTCTGAGAGGAGTATATATTTCAGAGGTTTGTTTGCTGCTTTGCTTGCTTTTAATGCCAGAAGAGGAAAGAGAAAGGGCAGTAGCTTTTCGGATAGAATTTTATGAGTTTATATTTTAGAAACACGTTTACTATTTAATATATTAATAAAATTTCCATTGTCAACTAGGCCCTGCAAAAATAAACATATAGGAAGCTATTGTAAAAATAATTTATTTAATTTCCTTGCTAATATAATTATCTACTAACTTCAAAACAAAGGTAAGTGTAAGTATGTGTGGACATTAAACTCTTATCCTCATCAGTAAATGTCTTCCTTTTGACCTTAGAGTTTGAGTCCCAAGAATCTGGAAATAGTAGAGTTCTAGTGGCAATATTTCATTAGAATTAATCTAAGTAATTATTATGACAGTAGTCAGCTTCTTATTTGATGTGGCATTAAATAAAAACAGTTAATACATTCAAACTGGATCATAGGCAGTAATTTGAACTCCATAGTATACAGGAGAGAAGGGATGTGACTACTTTCCAAGTCTAGTCACAAAATAGTGATCATTTTTTAAAAGCACAGACTTGTTCAAAGATTTCGTATCTGATTGAATTCAATCAATTTCATTATTATCTGAAAGTGGGTGGATTTTGTTCTTATTGTTTGTATTCTTTCATATCGCCTTGTTCGTGTTTTATCACACAGAGGGTTAAGCTGAATCTGTTAGAATATGTTTTCCTCTAGGACACAGTTGAGCTGGGACTAGAACCCAGATTTGAAATTCTACCCTGAGGCTTAGCTGGCACTCATTATGTCATTCAGTCATATATTTGCAACAATTTAAGTAGTTAGATTTTTCAGTGATGAAAGGTTATTTAATAGGCTGCAGGTTACGACAGTATTTTCCTAGTTATCTTCTGTGCAGTCTTCAGAAAAGATTGGGAGCATGGTTGATTCCAATAACTACCTAAGGGTTAAATATTATGTGTGGGCTCAGACCCGTGGTCAAGTATTTGGGAAAATTTTTATTGATTTAAGTAGGTGTTATAGCTCAGTAACAAATGGCCCTATGTTTGGCAAGAAAAGGAGATATGGAAACTCTACTCACAGCCAAATCTGCAAGAATAAAATAATTGGTTCACGTAAAAGGAAATGGTTTTGACAGATTTACACTCTTGGGGTATGTTAGAATTCCACCAAAACTAAGGATTCAAGTGCATTTTTATCTCAAAGTGGAAGAATCTGACACTGAAAGTGGAAAGCATTTTCTATAAAGCAAATGCTATTGACACGGTCACTCTTTCCCCCATTGCATTCTCTACTTGTTGTCTTAGGTAGTTCTGATGTGTCCTATTGTCACTCTACTTTCTCTACTCCATTTAGATTTAGATGTAGATGTAGATCAACCCAAAGAAGAAAAGAAAGAATGCTACTATAATCTCAATGACGCCAGTCTCTGTGATAATGTGTTGGCCCCCAATGTCACGAAACAAGAATGCTGCTGTACATCAGGCGTGGGATGGGGAGATAACTGCGAAATCTTCCCCTGCCCGGTCTTGGGAACTGGTAAGAATCCGCTTAGTGGTAGAGTCACACTTGTGTTTGGTCACATGGTGTCCCTGGGCCTTGAAATGATAACACTCATTCCCACAGCCAACTCAAGGCGACTTACCTTATAGTGAGTTTCATTCAGGGCTAGAGCCAGCACCTGCATCCCATCTTAATATGAATCCTTGAACTTCTCTTCATCATCGTGTACTTTGACAGTCAGGTTCTTTGTGATATTTTGGCAGAAAGTTAATTCAGTTTTATTCCACTTTAAAATTAAAATCAGTCTTTGTTGCTGACAATGATACAGCATTATTCGTAACTAAAGCTTGTGTATTGAAGCTATGATTTCGTGTAATTGATTCTTACTAAACCTTTAAGATACTATACATCACAGTAGTGGAAAAATAATAGTTATAATTTCAAGTAAAGCATGAGTAAGAAAATATTAGTGAACTTGGAGGTTTTTTAAATTAAAAAGTGTAAGAAAACCTATGAAGTCATTAGATTTCTTTGCACTTAATCCATCATTTTTTGAGATTGTACTAAATTTATTTGCTGGAATTGCCTTAAAGTTACTGAGTCTGAGAAAGCAAAACTGAATTTGAAACATGCATTCATGGAAGATGTTGAATCTTTTTTTTTTTTTTGTCTCTTCTAAAATCAGCTGAGTTCACTGAAATGTGTCCCAAAGGGAAAGGTTTTGTGCCTGCTGGAGAATCATCTTCTGAAGCTGGTGGTGAGAACTATAAAGGTCAGAATCAAGTGGAAACAAATTTTCAGCACATTGTGTACATGTCAGATATTCAAGTGAAAACATGGCTTGGGTTTCACAGAATTAGAGTTCTTTTTAGTCATGAAAACTGATTACAAAGTCCTTAATTCTACCATTAAAAGAAAGTCCCCATGGACTTGCAGTCAGAACACAAACTGTATGATGCTCGGAGTTTGACATTGGGAGGTGAACTTCTGAGTTTCTGTCTCTTCATCCCTGAGATAGGAATAATTTCTCAAAGGTTATAATGATTAAGATATATATCTGAAAGTACTTAACAAATTCTGTACCTAGTAGATACTTACTAAATATTTTATTCTAGATGCTTAATAGAAATCATATCAATTATGATCATATAAATTTGACCACTGTTTGTCTTTATGGTCATCAACAAAGCTAAGGTTCTTGTATTTTTAGACTTTATCCTACTGTTGTGGGGCCTTTTACCAGTGTGCACAAGTTCATAATGAGAAATGGAAGAGAAGACAACCAAAGTAGACATGTTTTATGTATTTGATGCTACGGTTATATAATTCTAAAATAAATGTGCGGCCTTTTAATTTTGGTGAATATCCACATGTATGAATATTTCCTCATTAACCACTCACTTTTGACATTTTCATGATAGAGATATTACCTTTTATATACAAAGTGATTTTTTTTCCTTTATAGTTTAATACTGAGGACTGCTAAGTAGCTGGGAAACACACTGTAAAATCATTTTTATTGTCCATTTTTGGAAAACTAGTGTTTGAATAATATGGTATAATTCAGTAGCTGGATAAGAAATTCCATTTGTGTTCTTTTAAATACATCTATGATTTGGTCCAATTAAATAATGAGAAGATTTGGTTTATAATATGTGTTGAATGGTTTCCAAATTCACAAATATACATTACTATGTTTTTGCAGGGATGTAGTTAAATCTCACTTCATATTAAGGTACAGAGCTTTGATTTCACCATAAATTCATCTTCTCTTTTATATCAAAATAAATTCCTTGTCTTCCTATTTTAGCAGTGCTGTAAATGGTTGGAAGAAGATTGGATTCAGATCCAACCAGCCATATGTTCTAGGCTTGACTTTGCCATTTTCCATCTGTGTTAACTTTAAGCAAGTCATCTATGGAGTCTTCAGGTTGTAAAATGAGGACTAGATGACCTTAGCTCTAAAATGCTAGAACTAATGCTAATAATAGCAGTAAAAGCAATAGATAACACTTTTGAGTATCTGCTTATGCCAGAGCATATACCGAGTCCTATCCATGGATTATCTCATTTCATCCTTCCTCTCTTATTAGGTAGATGTTCCTATTGTCTCCAATTTATCATTGAGTAAACTGAGATAGCAAAAGCTATTAATTCTGTGGGGGAATGGGTCTGCTAACCCCCTCAGCAACTTGTGCTTTCTTTTATCCTCAAGAAAGACTTGCATTCAAGTTCCACCAAACTTTATTGGAAACTTTCTACATCTCAACTAGTGAATGGGCCAGAATATACATTACAGAACACATTTCTTAAAAGGTATATATCCTTTTGTTGATGCCACTATGGAACCATAGACCATTTCATCAAATATGAGGTAGCATCTCAGAAACCATATTTACAAATACACTTCTCCTATAATGTTTTGGGCATTGCTTCTCAAATATCACAGACAAACTACATCTGTTTATGTTTTTATGCCTGCCAATTAGGCCTTATTTTAAGAAGGTTATATTGCTGTTTGTGTAGGATTCTTTGGAATGTAAATATTATAATATCTAACTTAAAGCCCCAAATCTGGTTAGACTCTTTTTAATTGAAAGATCAAACCTAACTCCTTTTTGTATTTCTCAATTTTTTTCCCCGTAGATGCAGATGAATGCCTACTTTTTGGACAAGAAATCTGCAAAAATGGTTTCTGTTTGAACACTCGGCCTGGGTATGAATGCTACTGTAAGCAAGGGACGTACTATGATCCTGTGAAACTGCAGTGCTTTGGTAAGCTTTAGGGGGATATAGTATGGTGTACTGTGAAAATATACAGATGGAAAAAATAACTATGCTATGTAGTAAAAACAATTTCCTTGAATCTAAATCATGTGTTGAAAAGATGTGTAAACGTTTTAGGGATCTTTTTCTTAAGCACAATTGAAGAAAATAAAAAGAAAAAACCACCTCCATACTACTGTTTGAATGTATTTCAAACAAAGAGTTAATATTCACTGTGGAATTATGATTCAGGCCACTGGTATAACTGAAGTGTTCTTTTGGTCTGTGGAACATCCTGTTTCATCACTCATACCGTGCAAGTGACAGCCATTTTAAATACTGACCCAGACTTTAATGCTTAAGCAGAAAACCATATACACTAGGCAGAAAAACATAGCAAAAGGAAATAATTTTAAAAGTTATCATAAAGAGCCATTTAATCTTAAATTTCTAAGCATATCCTGTTCATGGATGTTTTCTTTCCTTATTTAATGTCAGCAGCAGCAGCAGCAATGTTGTTTTTCAGTCAGAGCAGCTTACATTTTTATAGACAGAGCCACTCTCTTTTGGATGATAATGTGTGGTTAATTAAAATTTGGCAGCACCTGGAATCTGGACTAAATATAGCAATGTGTAAAGTTTGGGAAGTGTATGAGGTACAACTGATGGCTGATTTTCTTTAGTAATACTTTTTTTTGCTCTTAAGATATGGATGAATGTCAAGACCCCAGTAGTTGTATTGATGGCCAGTGTGTTAATACAGAGGGCTCTTACAACTGCTTCTGTACTCACCCCATGGTCCTGGATGCGTCAGAAAAAAGATGTATACGACCGGCTGAGTCAAACGGTATGTTTCCAGGAGATGCAAACCTGTGTCCAAATAACTATCATAAGATTTTCCTTTTAACTAAAATGTGAACTATTGGAAAATAGAAAAATGGATTCCTTGGGTATTTTGAAATAACTAAAATGAGATACAATGAGATACTTACAGAAATAGTAATAAGATGCATATCATCAGTATGTAGGAGATTTAATAGCCTGGACATACTCATTAAGTATGGACTATGGAGTGGCTGAGCAGATGGCAGGGTTGTTCCATGGCTTAGGGTTCATCATCCCTAACCTGCAGAGGCAGCTGAGGGAAATGTAATTCAGGGAAAGATAATTAGGTGCACTCAGCAGAGTGGAGGATGTGGATAAGGCTCAGCAGAACAGAGGGTGGAGTTCAACAGGGTGGTGGAGAGCCCCGAAGTCCACTGACAAACTCCTGTCCTCCCTGATGCTACTGATAATTGGCAAAAAGCCGCTGATAATTGGCATAATCTGTCATTCGCCTCAGGAGACTGCTTTGGATGAAGTCAATTGAAAGGTAGGAATTAAAGACTCTAGGATGAAGGGTCACTAGTCCAGGGCTTTGGCAGATTAAATGGATAAGAAGGCATGAATCCAATAGCTGTTACATGGAAAGAAATGGTAGGGTTTGACAGGAGTAAATGAAAAAGTGAAGATTAGGAGAGTGAGAAGCCTGATGGCTTATGAAGGACAAGCAAGATAGTGGGCATTTTATATAAAAGTAGGAAGCTATAGAGAACTATTGTGTCGGGACCGGATGGGCAGCTGGAATTTCAACTGATGGAATGACACCCAGTTGGAGATGACAGAGAATTGATCCATTGAAAGACCAGACTGGATTCAGACTTTTACTTGGAAGTCACTCTTAGAAATAGAGATGGAAACTTTGAGACTTGCTGGCTTCCAACACAGTGTTTATAAATAGGAATAACTGTGCGATTTTCATGGAACTATGTCTTCCCTTTCAGAACAAATAGAAGAAACTGATGTCTACCAAGATTTGTGCTGGGAACATCTGAGTGATGAATACGTGTGTAGCCGGCCTCTTGTGGGCAAGCAGACAACGTACACTGAGTGCTGCTGTCTGTATGGAGAGGCCTGGGGCATGCAGTGTGCCCTCTGCCCCCTGAAGGATTCAGGTGAGCCCATATCCAATTCCTTCTGCAGGAGGCCTTTGGGGACAAGTTCATCTCACCTCCTTTGTAGCCTGACATTTCTCTTCTGTATCTTTGCCTTCACTCCTGATATCTTACTTTCATCCCGTGTGTGTGTGTGTGTGTGTGTGTAGGGCAGAACTGCATAAACATTTGGCTCCTGGTTTACCTCTACTCCCGACCCTGTCGTTAATTTTTGAAACTCTCATTCCATTACCCCAATGAATGATAAATGACCCAAAAAAACATAACTTAGCAATCAGTGGCATAGGCTTAGAATTTATATTTCCTGGCAGTTCATTTTTTACTACAATTCTTCTCATTCCTAACAGTTTCTACTTAGACCAAAATGTGTATTAGAGACGGTAGAAAATCATTCTAGGTCAAAGTCCAAATTTTCATGTCAATCTCTGTATGTGGAGATATAAGAAACGGGTTACAACAAAAAGGGAAAAGTACAGAAAGTAATTGAAGAAGTATTTCAACAAATCTCCTTTCCTTTCAAGTTCTAGATCTATCTGGGTTTAAACCTTTGGTCAAATGGAAAAGATGAGACAGGCTAAGCTCCCAGTTTCATCCCCTCTCCCAGTTTGGAGGAGGCCTGGAAGGTGCTGGCTTTGTGCTTCCTGGCTAGGCTGTTTGGTGACCGTTGAGTTGTGCACTGATTGCTAATTTCCCTTTTTTACCATCATAGCACCTTCTCATTAAAGGAAAGCACTCGAAAGTGTCCAGTATATCCTTTTGTAAAGTTGACTTGTTAAAGCTAGAAAGATCATGTGCAAGTAGAAAGCAAAGGAGTTTATTATGAATATATTCTCAGAATGGTCGAGAGGGGAAAAATTGCTTGAAAAGAGGAAATGCATTAATTTTTAGTTAATTCAATTAGAATATTTCTTTCAAGCTCTTTAGAAAATTAGCTTTGCAGCTTAGAAATAACTTAAAACCAACGTAGCATGAAAGAGAAAATAATTGGGAATTCCCGTAAGAAGAAAATGAATAGCCAAGGATAAAGAGCAAATACACAAAGCACTAGATGGCAATGATAGCAGCCCAGAATTGGAAAGAGGGCAGGTCTGGGGCCAGTTGGCACTGAGTCTGGAATCCAGCACTGCCATAGCAGCTGCATGACAAGGGGAAAATAACTTCACCCTGTACAGCTCATTTGTAAAACGGAGGCGTCTACATCTGTCCTGTTGGGTTGTTGCAAGGGCTGGGAGGATGTAGGTAGAGCAGGGGGTAATTACTAGCTTTACTGGTTGTTTCGGGCCCTGGAAGCAGATGCCACGGGGAGATAAAAGTGAAATCACTAAGTTAATGTGAGTTCAGTGAGGCTTTTGAGTCATTTTCTCACAATGCTATACTACCTCAAATCTTTTTTATTTATGCAGTGGTTTTATATTGTCTAATTTTTTTCCAAAAATCACATGTATTCCTCCTAAAGTATTAAAATAATCAAAGAGGTTATATTCCCCTCCACCTACCCCATCACAGTTGAACTCTGCTCCTTAAAGACACTCACTTTTGACAGTTGGGTTTTTATCATCCTAGCATTTTCTTATATATTAATTATCATTATATATTGATATTAGTTATTGCTGTATATTAATATATTTATATCCAACAGAGTATTTATAACTGAAGTCTATGTCATCAATCTAAGCTACACTTTGCTTGTTATTTTGCACTTCAGCATCCCTGAGATTGGGGTCATCTGATAATTATGACATATAACAATGTCCACGGGTTATTTTTCCCAATTTTTAACATCTGTTATATCAAGATACATTTTACAATCTAGGATCTCTTAAAATAGATGAAAGTTAGAACTTAAAATTTTTTTATATTGATATATTTAGGGGTGCAAGTGTAGATTTCTTACCTGCAAGTATTCCATAGTGGTAAATAAAGTCTGTGTTTTTTGTGTACCCTTAACAATAGCGAACACTGTGCCCAATAGGTAATTTTTCAACCCTTACCCCACTTCCAGACTCCCACATTTTGGAGTCTCCAGTGTGTATTACTCCATTCCATATGTCCATGTGTACCCATTGTTTAGCTACCATTTATAAGTGAGAACGTTCAGTATTTGACTTTCTGCTTCTGAGTAATTTCAATTAGGATAGTGACCTCCAGTTCCGCCCATGTTGCTGTAAAACACACGATTTTATTCTTGGTTACGGCTTAGTGGTATTACATGGATAAAGAAATTTTCTTACTGAGGCATTCCTACAGGTGCATATGTGGAGGTTCATTGCAGCATTGTTTATAAAAGGAAAATCAGGACTGGGGCAAGATGGGGCAGGGAAAGGTTAGGGGAGGAAGAAAAACAAATGCCCAGCACAAGAGATGGCTAAATAAATCATGTACATCTATAAAACAGATTCCATGCAGCTGTTTAAAAATTACCATCTTTTGGCCGTGCGCGGTGGCTCATGCCTGTAATCACAGCACTTTGGGAGGCCGAGGCGGGCGGATCATGAGGTCAGGAAAGATCAAGACCATACTGGCTAACACAGTGAAACCCTGTCTCTACTAAAAAATAGCCGGGCCTGGTGGCGCATGCCTGTAATCTCAGCTACTCAGGAGGCTGAGGCAGGAGAATAGCTTGAACCTGGGAGGTGGAGGTTGCAGTGAGCCGAGATCGCGCCACTGCACTCCAGCCTGGGCGACAGAGCGAGACTCTGTCTCAAAAAAAAAAAGAAGTTACATCATTTGAATTTAAATTAGTACAGCCTTTATGGAAAACAGTATGGAGATTTCTCAAAGAACTAAAAATAGAACTACCCGGCGATCCCACTAACTGGGTACCTACCCAAAGGGAATGTCTTTATCCATTCCTCCATTGGTGGATACTTAGGTTGATTCTATCTCTTTGCTGTTGTGAGTAGTGCTACAGTAAACACACAAATGCAGGTATCTTTTGGATATAATGACTTCATTCCCTTTGGGTAGGTACCCATAAACAATGCTGCAATGAACCTCCATGTATGCGTCTGCAGGAATGGCTTAGTAAGAAAATTTTGACAAATAAAAATACCAGGCTAAGTGTGTACACTTTAAATTTATGATATTATTCTGGCTGGCACCATGGCTTACGCCTGTAGTCCCAGCATGTTGGGAGGCCGAGGTGGGTGGATTGCCTGAGCTCGGGAGTTTGAGACCAGCCTGGGCAACGTGGTGAAACCCCATCTCTACAAAACATACAAAAATTAGCTGAGCGTGGTGGTACACACCTGTAGTCCTAGCTACTTGGGAGGTTGAGGTGGGAGGATGGCTTCAGCCCGGGAGGCAGAGGTTGCAGTGGGCCAAGATCGCACCACTGCACTCCATCCTGGGCAGCAGAGCCAGACCCTGTCTCAAATAGATAAATAAAATTATACCCCCAAAATACTGTAAAAATTTACACTCAATTTAATTGACTAGGTTTAAAAACCTTCAAGTATTTTGTTATGAGAAATGAATTTTTGAATAATGTAGCAATATTCTAAAAATGAATTTTATTTTAAATATTTATTCTAAAAATATGGATTTCAGAATATTGCATAAATTGTTTTCAACTAAAGTTTTCAAAAAACATTTTAAAAAGTAGATTAGAACAAATACATATGAAGTACATATTATATAATATTTTTGGAAAAATACAGAATATCAGGGGAAAAAAGATAACACATGCCAAATTTAAAAAAAAAAGATTAGCTTCATTGCTATACTGTTTCTAGTTTGTATATCCACAGTTATTATGATAAAATGTCCAAGAAGAATCTCTAGTGTACATGGTCAGCCAAACCAAAATCAGTGCTTTCCAATCCGTTACTTTTTAAAAAACAATGGTAGTTTTTTTGTTAACTGTATTGTAATTTTAACCTCCAGCATACACATTCATTGACATTAAAGATGCTGGGTGGGCTGGTTGGCGAGAACAACTACTTAGGCTCTTGAGGCCCCTGTGAAGGACCCCAGGGTTCCAGGAAACGCATGTTGAAAACTGCTTTCGAAATATATCTGTTGGAGTATATAGGAATTAGGGAGGTAGCCCCAAAGGAACTTTTTTTATTTTTTGACAGAGTCTCGCTCTGTCACCCAGGCTGAAGTGCAGTGGCGGGATCTCAGCTCAGCGCAACCTCCACCTCCCAGGTTCAAGAGATTCTCCCACCTATTACAGGCGCGCACCACCACACACACAAAAATAATTTTTTGTATTTGGTAGACACAGGGGAACTTTTCTTTTATACTACCAAAATTACGGACCTAGAACTAGGCTTATGGATCATCTATTCTGAATCCAGAGAGAAGTACACAGTGAAATTAAACTTTTCCACAGGTCCTATGATTAGTTGGCATTCCCTTCATTGGCACCTAATCATGTAGTCACATTTACACAAAACCATCTCTTGTTGCAAAGCACATGTTTGCTGGAGTGGAGTGAACTAAGAGGAGCCCCAGGGCATCAGGGTTAGCACATGTGCCCCAGAACCAGGTTGCCCTGCCTTTGCATCCTGGTTTGGCAACTTCTTTTCCCCATGACCTTGTTAATTTTCTCTCTCTGTACCTCAGTTTCTCATGTGAAAATAATATCTGCCTTTCAGGGTGGTTGTGAGAATTAAATAATACGTGAACACTTCAAATAGTGTTTGACACATGGTAAGTTTTCAGAAGATACTAACAACTATGGCTGCCACTAATAGGCGTCTCAGATCAAATGCATTTTCAAATGTAATTAAAATCCAAAGGATCTTATAAAATCTACAGTTACCTAATAGCATGTGAACATAAATTAAGCGTAGACAAATGCAGAAATAATTGTTCTTAATGTAAGACTGTCTTTTCTAGACCACTGCTTCGTAAACATTAATGGGCATGTCAGTTACCTGGGGGAGCTTATCAAAAAACAGATTCTGGTTTCTCACTTGCAAAAGATGGGGCGGGGCGCGAGACACAGGATTCTGCATTTCTGATAAGTCCCAAGCTGCTGCTGCTGCTGCTGCTTCCTCTGAGGAGGAAGCAAAGCTCTAGAGCCATCTAATAGCATCTAACTTTATTTTGTTAAAACCTACGTTAATGCTGGTAGTTATCTATCATAAAGGAAGCAAAGAATATGTGAATTTTAAAACTAGTTTGTTCATAGTTTCTGCCATTGAACCTTTTAAATATACTGTTCCCGGATATCTTAATCGTTGAGAAGGACCACGTTGTCTATCTCTTCATCTAAGCACTGGACTAATCCCAGCCTGTCAGACATCATGCATCCCATTTTCCTTAGGAGTGCAGTACTGCTTTGGGGAACAATTCGTTACTGATGGAATCAGTGCTGGAGGAATTTAAGGAATAAATCGCACCACTTGTCATCAGCTTTAAGCATTAAAGTGCAGTGTAAAATAAAGCTTTGGCTCCAGAGCGAGCTTTCACACTTCTGGTCCAACAGGTCACGGGCACTAATTCTTGCTAAAGCAGCAACTACATCTGAGAGTACTGGTAGGTGCAGGAGGTAGGAGTGGCTGCTTAAATAGTGTTCTCTGAAGTTAGATGGCATCTTGCATATTGGTACCACATGCAGGGGAAATGAGTGTGATGGATTGTGTCAGGGGAGCTTTACATAAGGAGAATTGCATAATTGTAGAATTCATACATTTCTGGGGCTGCTTAGGATCCCATTTCAATGCTCCACTACAGAGGCCAGACCGCAGACTGCACTAGGAGGAAGTTCCTGATTTTTCCTTCACCATGGATGTATCATGGACTGACTGTCTCCCCATTCAGACTTCTGGAGGCCTTCCTTGCCCCATTGCAGCCCCTGACTCCTCTTCTCCTTCCCCTTTCACAGTACCCGCTGATCCTGCCCACTCTTAAAATGATTTGGGTGGCTAAACTGTTTTGGGAGGATCCTCAAATTTGTGGTCTTTATTGTGATGTCATGTCAGCCTCTGAGAGACAGAGCTGTTTGGGAAACCAAGTCAGGAAAAACGAGCCATTGTATCCATTTCATAAATGAAGACAGAGTGGTCATTGTTTGATCTTGCTGAGAATTTCTAGCGCTGTGAGAGAAGAAAGTCATAGAGTTATCAGAACTTTGAGGCCTTTGGTTGCATATGGAGTTTATTGGATATAGATTTTTTGTTGCTTGGTTTTTCTCAGTCTAAGTGATAATAAAAATGATAACTAACATATACATAGCACAATGCCTGGCATTTTCAACATGTTTTCCATCTACTGAGATATTTAACTTGCCAAGCCATCTTAGGTATACAGTTACAGTAGTCCTCTGCCTTATCTGGTTTCAGTTACCCACAGTCAACCACGGTCCGAAATATTAAGGGGAAAATTCCAAAAATAAACAACTCATAAGTTTTAAATTGCATGCAGTTCTGAGTAGTGTGATGAAATCTGGTGGTGTCCCACCCAGCACGTGGACCATCCCTTTGTCCATGGTGTCCATACTGTGTATGCTACTTGCCCATTAGTCACTTAGTAGCAGCTCCATTATCTGATAGAAATCGATCGTATATATAAGGTTGAGTACTACCTGCAGTTTAAGGCATCCACTGGGGGTCTTGGAACATATCCCTAGTGGATAAGGGAGAATACTACCCCTCCTTTTTCTGACAGAGGATCTGAGGCACAGCAAGCTTAAGATGCCTGTCAGTGGTCACGTACCAGTAAGTGGAAGCTTCAAATCCAGGCACCCTTGCTCCAGAATCTACGTTCTAACCTCTTCAGTGTTACTCGAGTCTCTTTCCATGATCCCAAAGCACATCTTAAATAGTCTCCCTTAGAACAGAAAAGTAACAAAGTGAAGAATTAAAGCTGAGATTTTAAAATTGTCTCACACATTGTGTGCTAAAAGAAAAACTGATTTTAGAGCTAACAATGAGCATAATAAGAGGCAATGTGTCATCAAATCTGTAGCCACAGACACATTGGCAGGAATAACAAAAAACTATATATTCAATGGACTAATGAACTAAAGCAAGTCAATAATTCTCAGTAAATAAAACTTTTAGTGATGCCTATCACTTAATCTAAAATGATTTTTTAATGTTTTTATTTTTTGCTACTCTTAAAAGTATAAGCTTAATCACCGGGTGTGGTGGCTCACACCTGTAATCCCAGCACTTTGGGAGGCAGAGGTGGGCAGATCACTTAAGGTCAGGAGTTTGAGACTGGCCTGGCCAACGTGGTGAAACCCCATCTCTACTAAATTAGCCAGGCATGGTGGCGCATGCCTGCAATCCTAGCTACTCTGGAGACTGAGGCACAAGAATTGCTTGAACCCAGGAGGCGGAGGTTGCAGTGAGCGAAGATCGTGCCACTGCACTCTAGTTTGGACAACAGAGCAAGACTTCATCTGAAAAAAGATAACATAAGCTTAAATGTTCTGGAAAATGTACGTAAGAATCACAAGATAGAGGGTGCCATTATCTCATGGAAATCAAAATCCGTTGATCTGCAAATGAAAGAAAATTATACATATTTGAACATTTGAATCTTAAGTACCCAGGGATCCCAGTGTCTTTTTATATTGTTAAAATAATTAGATTTCTGATAAGTAAATTGTTAAAGTAATTAGACATTGTAAGTAAACGGAACAAAGACTTGATAAACGGGACAACTAGTGTGTTGGGAGAATGCCACCTATTGGCGATGTAATGTACTACAGCACAGGTAATTTCTTGACTACTCAGGTGTAGAAAGATGGTTTTAAAACATGAGGTCCCAAAGGAAACAGAAGGTGCCACAAAATAAATTGAAAAATGTTAACAAAGTTTAATGAAACACGAACATTGATCAACATACAGAGGCATGGTCCTCTCAGTGTTGCTAAGAGAGCAGTTTGAAGAGACAGACTTACACATCTGAATCAAAAATTCTAGTTCTGGGACTGATGAAAGAGCAAATGGATTTTGTTTAATGCCTATTGAATAAAAGAATAAAGCACAAAGGCATGATGTGAATAGGCACTTAGTGAGGATCTGTTGAGTCAAAGCAATGTCAGTATGTATCCAACTTCCTTTGAGAAAGGTAGACTGTGCTATAGGGGAATAGAAGATATTTGTCAGTTATTCATACTCCTTTAAATAATGCTAGGAAGAATTATCATTACTGTATATAAATTATATACAGCTTGTGGTTTATAAGAAGAGATAAGTAAATGATCTGAAATGAAATCTAAATTATTTATAACTTACCTGTTTTCAGTTTTAGTTAAATTACTTACATGTTCTTTATTTTATTATTTATTGAATGCCTACTATGTACTAGGCAAACAATTCTGGAACAGGTGTAAAGTTGTATTTAATGAAATGCATAATTAGTATAATTTATTCCTAAATATTATGTATTTTAAATCTGCAAATGATACTTTAATAAATTCACCATTTGCTGTGACAGAAAATTTTTCAATCCTTCCTAATATCTAACCTACCCAAGTATTCATATCATTTTGCAAAAGTAAAGAATTTGGAATGTCTTCAAACAATTCGGCTAGTGATTTCTTCCATATCTGTGCATGGCTCTTAGACGCTCCCAAAGATCTCAGGGCAAGAAGTTTCGTAATGCCCTTGGAGGTGTGAAGGAAGACAGGGATTTGACTCATGGACTAAACTTGAAAAAATATTGTAACTGGGCCATAGTTGCAAAAGGCCTGTCAGCAGTCACGGTTTAAAGGCTTTTCCAAGAAATATGTTTCCAAAGAATGTTAATAATCACTTTGGAACACCCTACTTGTGAAACAATGAGTGGTCACTGCCTTTGGTTTAGGCAATCCAGGGATCTCTTTCTGCTTTTGGTCCTGGCTCTGTGACATTGCACTGGGCACATTACTTCAACCTCCTTTATCCAAAGTTGAGACCTCTTCGTGAGGTTATGATAATTAATACAATCACTATGAAAGCATTTATCATTTCAATCATAGATCCTGAACATTATAATTAAAGAAACAATAACCGCTAGTCACTTACAATGGAAAATTAAAATCAAACTAGAAAGATACAAAAGGAAATCGAGTGGCCGTCATGCGGGCACAGAGAATATCTATAAAACAGGCAAGCGTTCCAGTTCTGTGGGACTGAACTCTTGGTATCCATGGAACTAGATTGAATGGATGTTATATGAAATGGCCAGTAAGCCAGTTATGTTGTTCCTCATTGAAAGGACTCTTGGCCCGGCACAGTGGCTCACGCCTGTAACCTCAGCACTTGGGAGGCCAAGGTGGGCAGATTCTGAGGTCAGGAGTTCGAGACCAGCCTGGCCAATATGGTGAAACCTCATCTCTACTAAAAATACAAAAATTACCTGGGTGTGGTGGCGTGTGCCTCTAGTCCCAGCTACTCTGGAGGCTGAGGCAGAAGAATCGCTTGAACCCGGGAGGTGGCTGTTGCAGTGAGCCAAGATTGTGCCACTGCACTGCAGCCTGGGCAACAGAGCAAGACTCCTTCCCAAAAAAGAAAAAAGAAAGGACTCCTGTATTTATTTAGAAAGCTTTCTCTCACCCCTCCCAAAGAAAGGTTGAAAATACTTTTACTACTCTCAAAAGATTATTGCAAAATAAAATTCATTAGTGAATTCAAACTGAAAGTAGCTCTTTGATGTAATGTGATCCGTATGTTAATTTCCTCACTTGAAATCCTAGTGATTTCTTCCATATCCATGCATGGCTCTTACATGCTCAAGAGGGTTAAATGTGATAATGCATGGGAGAGGATTGGCCTACAGTAAATGCGCCATAGCGAAAGGCGTTAGCAATTATTATGAATCAAATCCAGTTCTAGGAAATGAGTCAACGTTCATCATGCACTGCTCCCTGGTTATCCAGTGCTAGAAGTCTCTTTGAAAGGGGCCAAGAATCAAAGACAATGAGGGATAGGAGGGTGTTCAGGGAATTGCACAGACCCGAATACCCCTGTGTACTTGCAGAGAAGCTCCACCTGTGCCCGGCCAGGCTCCTACAGTGTAAGTTAGGAAGTCAAAGAGAGGCTTTATGCACACAAAGGACCATTATGTTGAGTTGTTTGTTTGTTTGTTTGTTTATTTTGAGACGGAGTCTCGCTCTGTCGCCCAGGCTGGAGTGCAGTGGCACGATCTCGGCTCACTGCAAGCTCTGCCTCCCAGGTTCACGCCATTCTCCTGCCTCAGCCTCCTGAGTAGCTGGGACCACAGGCGCCCGCCACCATGCCCGGCTAATTTTTTTGTATTTTTTTTTTTTTTTTTTTAGTAGAGACGGGGTTTCACCATGTTAGCCAGGGTGGCCTCAATCTCCTGACCTCGTGATCTGCCCGCCTCGGCCTCCCAAAGTGCTGGGATTACAGGTGTCAGCCACTGCGCCCGGCCTATGTTGGGTTTTAATGAACATTCAATGTACTCAATTTTTAAATGTTAAAACCTAGATATTCCTAAGAATTTGATTTCAACTTTCACATTTTATCATCCTATTTATAAGTCCAATAACCTTCTATAAAATAAGATCAATTTTATTTGTTGACTGTTTATATGTCTCAAAGAACGGATTAAACTTAAAAGTTATTTCTACATATAAATTCTATTAATTAAAATTTTGAACACTTTGGTCTCCATCTCACAATCCTAATAAGCATTTCCTCATAAATATTTAATTAGCTCTTATAAGTCTAATAAACCAAACTTAAAACACAACAAATTGAATTCCCTAATAAATTTAAATAATGTTTACCAACCTAATCAAATTCTCCTAATCCTCATTCAACTTAAAATCCAAAATCTAAATTCAGTTTTGAGTTGAAGTTGCAAGGCCTGTCAGGTTCTCTGATGATATGATTCTCTTAGGCACTAACACATGTACAATAACAAGAAAAAGCCCTCACCCTAAGACGTGTCACAGAAAGTGTTAACATTCTAAGCTTAATTAACTTCATTATTTCTGTAGCAGAATTACTGTGTTAGGCCAGCTGAGGTTAGTGGCTGAAAAAATTCAGGACCCTGATTGCCAGTTGGAAATGAGAGAATGAAAACCAGGACTTGGGACCTGCATCCTCTCAGTAATGAGTCTGCCCTGCCCACCATAGGATGCGGAGCACCTTCTTGCTTCCGTGCTAACGGGATCCCAGGTGTTTCTCATGTGTGTTTTTTTATAATCAGTATCTTCCATTGCAGTGACTTTCAAGGGAATAATAGGACAGAAAAAATAAATAGGACCTTTTATCCAACTATACATGCCCTCCCGTAGGAATCAGATACCTTCTCCTAAGGGGATATCCTCACCCCACTGAGATTCCCTAGTAGATCAATAGCTGCCAGCAGGATGGGGCTTTTATGGATGGTCAGGGCCTCCTTTACTAAACTGGGGAAGAGGTACTGGATTTGTGAAAGGGGCCAAATAAGCAGGAATGAATGGCAGAGAAGCCAGGTACAAAAAGCAGGGACAGTACGTACATAAGAGGAAAAATACTAGATGCTAAATTGTGTGTTTTTAAAAAATAACCATGTTTGGGCAGGTGCATTGGAAGGAAAGAAAGCAATGGGCAAGGAAGCCACATTCCAGTTATGATCCTATTGTAGTCATTGAAAGCAGAAGAAAAGCAAACATGGTTTGCCGCAAGGTGAGAATAGTTAAAATAAAATTTTTAAAAACCCTGATAGAGGGGAAAACTTACTCCTTCATTTCTTGCTAAACTGCTGAAGACAGAGCTCTGGAGGAGTGTCCTGGAACAAGCTGCCATTCCCAAACCCCAAATCCCTGGATTGCGGGTGAGTCAGCAAGTATTTGGAACGCCGACCAGGGAGGACCAGTGGACCTTGCTAGACTGCACTGTAGCATGAACTCTCTGTTTTGAAAGCTGATTGAAGCTACTGCCTCAGTGTCCTCACCAGCCATTAGAGAACAGTTCAAGGCGAGAGAAGTTTGATTAATGGGTTACTCGTTGGTGACATGAGCACTTCTGAAATTTTACTTCTTGTACAGCTTGAGCCTTGGAGTGTCAGTTGTATTCATGGCACTTTTCCTAAGAGCTATACTGCATGGAAGTGCTAGGGAAAGTATTTGGCCACTCTCTGTTATAAAAAATACTCTGAATAGAAAATAAATTTCATTATGATAATAATCTTACTGATGTCCTATTAAAATCTTTCTAGTTTGAGCGAAAGGAGAGAAATTCAGGCATGCATGTAAACAATCTGATCCTAAAAAGCAACACTTATTTTTAGTTAACAAGTGTATCAGTCTGTTTTTACACTGCTATAAAGATACTACCTGAGATGGGTAATTTATAAAGAACAGTTCTTCATGGCTGGGGAGGCCTCAGGAGACTTATAATTGTGGCAGAAGGCAAAGCCAGACACTTCTTACCTGGCGACAGGACAGAAGGAGAGAAAGAGCGAGGAAGTGCCACACTTGAAACCATCAACTCTCCTGAGAACTCCCTCACTATCATGAGAACAGCGTGGGGGAAACTGCCCCATGATCCAGTCACCTCCCACCAGGTCGGGATTACAATTCAAGATGAGATTTGGGTGGGGACACAAAGTCAAACCATATCAACAAGCAATCATATTTATCTCAAAAGTAAAAGTCTTAGCAGTTTTACCTTTCTCCTGTGAAATCAGAGATTATGAATAGGCATTCCGTTTTCTAGAATCGCCCATTCAGTATGATACTAAATGATTTGGTCTAGTGAACATTTTACTTTCATATATATATATATGTGTGTGTGTGTGTGTGTGTGTGTGTGTGTGTGTGTTTTGTTTGTTTGTTTGTTTTGGAGACAGAGTCTCGCTCTGTTGCCCAGGCTGGAGTGCACTGGCACGATCTCGGCTCACTGAAACTTCTGCCTCCTGGGTTCAAGCGATTCACCTGCCACAGCCTCCCGAGTAGCTGGGACTACAGGCTCACACCACCACACCTGGCTAATATTTTTTATTATTATTTTAGTAGAAATGGGGTTTCACCATGTTGCCCAGGCTGGTTTCAAACTCCTGAGCTCAGGCAATCCACCCGCCTCAGCCTCCCAAAGTGCTAGGATTACAGGCGTGAGTCACCACGCCCAGCATACTTTCACATCTTTTAAATAAAATTTGCTCTTCTTTTTTTCCTTTTGAAAATAGGGCTAGTTGAAGCATACTCTAAGAAGCATGAACTGTGATGAGTCTGACTTTGAGAAAATCACTGTGCATAATTGCTTAAGCACTGTTCTAAGTTTGAGGTTTTGAATTCAACTAACGTTTGAATTTCTTTTGACCTCTTCTTAACGAACCTAATAATACAACTATGGCTAGAACAAAGCTGCTGACTGCCCATGTCTGTTAAACAGTGACCTCATGGCCAGAGCAGGCAAGCCGGGCAGAGGAGGGATGAAGTAAATTTTATTCTCCTTTTATGCCGCAGACAGATTGTGCCCCTTATGATTGGGAGAAAAACATCTAGAAAGTTCTTAGAATGACCAGGTTCTTGTATTTACAAATCTGCAGGGAGCAGAAGCTAGAAAGTAATTGTTCTGCTAAGCATCAGTAGCCACTACCTTAAGAAAGAAGCAGATTACAAAACATTAGCTCATTGGGAGGGCTTCTGACACAACAAAGCCTTCTTTATGCTTCCTTCTGGGCTTCAAGTCTCAGTGGCAGGCTGAGCTGTTTTGAGCAGTTGTGCTGATTGTACACTGCTCATTTCAAGAAAATACTAGGTTGGTGCAAAAGTAATTTCAGTTTTTGCCATTGCTTTTTTTTTTTTTTTTTTTTTTTCTTTTTCCAAGACAGAGTCTCATTCTGTTGCCCAGGCTGGAGTGCAGTGGTGCAATCTTGGCTCACTGCAAGCTCCGCCTCCCAGGTTCAAGCAATTCTCCTGCCTCAGCCTCCTGAGGAGCTGGGACTACAGGTGCCTGCCACCATGCCCAGCTAATTTTTTGTATTTTTATTAGAGAGAGGGTTTTACCTTGTTAGCCAGGATGGTCTCAATCTCCTGACGTTGTGATCCACCCACCTCGGCCTCCCAAAGTGCTGGGATTCATAGGCATGAGCCACCGTGCCCGGCCCTGCCATTACTTTTAATGCATTCATGTGGTAATCTGTGAGCCCCTTCCAAAGAAATCACTGCCAGAGGCAGAAGTTGCTAGGACTGTATCTGATAGTGAACAGATCCAGAGGGGAAGGAAAGAGGAGGGTCATCTCAGATTGAAGTAAATGGCAGAATACAAAGAAATCATAAAACAGAATCAGGATTTCAAGATAGTCCATCTTTTACTTTGCAGTGATGTCTTACTTCCTGTTATTGAATGAAATACATTTTCATGACTAGTCATTGACTATGTTTAGTGTTATTTTCATATTACATTGATTAGAACTTGCTCTTCCAATAATGTTAATGGATAGTGGTATATCTTTGTTATTCAGAACCTTGAGATCTGAACTTCTGAATATTAAGAGAGTTTTAAATATTAGAAGAGCTTTCTCTGCTATGAAGCTTTAAAAAAATAAGCAAGATTAAAATACGTTAAAACACAATTTTCTTTATAATTTAATAGCTTATTACTTTTAGTAAAAGAAAACAAAATTTATCCTGGCTTGACCTTTGGAATATCATAAAATTTCTGTAAACTTCAGTTTCCTCAGCAAAATAATACATGGGAAGATTAGATGTCCACGCTTACAGTTTGTTAAATTACATGTTTGTCATCATTCTGAAAAATATCTAGATGGGCACCACCTGCAGGTAACAGCGTCATCTAGTGGTGATTACCTTATATTACAGCCACAGGTTTCAAAGACAAATTGTCTTTCCAAGAGTTTTGCAGCCCATGATAAGAATGTTTTCTGCTCAGGCCAGATGCAGTGGCTCACACCTGTAATCCCAGCACTTTGGGAGGTCAAAGCGGGTGGATCACCTGAGGTCAGGAGTTTGAGACCAGCCTGGCCAACGTGGTGAAACTCTGTTTCTACTAAAAAAATACAAAAAAAAAAAAAAAATTAGCTGGGCGTGATGGCACACGCCTTCTGAGGCAGGAGAATCACTTGAACCCAGGAAGCAGAGGCTGCTGTGAGCTGAGATCACGCCATTGAACTCTAGCTTGGGGGACAAGAGTGAAACTCCGTCTTTAAAAAAAAAAGAATGTTTTCTGTTTAAAATCATAGAATATGCAAGCTAGAAAGGACCTTCGAGATCATCTAGTCTTATTGCCTCATTTTGCCAGTTAAAGTTAGTTGAATTCCAGAGTTAACATATTAAATATTTTCCCCTCCTGTATTTTTTGTTTCTCTTGACTTTTTAAAAATTGCAGTGAACTTCACAGAACATGAAATTAAGCACTCTAAAGTGAACAATTTAGTGGCATTTACTACGTTGACGATGTAATGCAACCTCCCCTTTATTCTTAAGCACATGCTTAGTTCCTGTTTTTAAACAATTCTTACTTGGTTAATGAAGAAAAAAAGTTCTTTGTATGTATAACTTAAAAAAAAAATTTCAGCTTGTCAGATTGTTGCTTCAGAGTGGTATTTAAAGAGCAGGAAAGGGGAAATGAAGTGGTTTACCTGTCCTTGCAGCTGAAAAAATATGAAGTAGATCAGTTTGGAAATTTAACATGCTGAACACTCTTTTCATTTGCCTCTTTGTTTATTGTGTTGTTCAGTCTTGTCTCTTATCAATTTTAGAAGCCTCATTCCTGATTTCCTATGAAATTGCTTGGATGTAAGACTTAATATATTTCCTATGCCCCAGATACATTGGCAATCATTATTTTAAGGTTATTGTGTGTGGCATAATTTAATACTATTACAGTAGTATAAATGTTTGGATCCAGGTTTTAAAATGCAAAGGAACCACTATTTTTTTGGCATTTCTACCCAACAAATCTCTTTTTTCATTTTGTCTTGCTAAATAAACAGCAGTCTGTTGGGAAACTCTGGGAGTAACTAAAATGAGGAGGGTAACATTAGGTGAAGGTTGGGAGTGGGGAGAACGTGGTTGGTCTATGGCCCGTGAGTCTCCTTAGAGTATTAACATTTACAGGAGTCCCACAGAATATAAACCTTGCCAAGACTTTAGACTTCATTACTTCCCTGTCCTCGACAAGTACAATTTAATTGAACATTAAGCAATTTGATCTCTTTCACCTAATAAATCGAGCAAATTCAATAAACATAAATCCTGCTAATGATGGAGCTGCCCCTGGTGGAGCTGAGCTCATCAGCATTCATGGTTATTACTCTCCCTGGAATTTTAGTCACAAATGCTTATTGCTGAACTAAGTGCTTACCTGATGCTTAAGGTCTAGGGAGTGTATTTAATAATTTTTTTCCCAGGGTTTCAAAAGGACAGCTGGGGAGTAGAAAGAACATGGTTTGGCAGATAGACCACTTTGGGTTCAAATCCCTCACCTGACCTTGGGCAAGGCAAGTTATGCTATTAAAAAGTGTAGTTTTCTTATTGGAAACAAAAGGAGCTAATTACAATTATTTCATAGAGTTCTGAGTTTTAAATGAAACAGTGTATGCAAAAGTAGTGTCTGGTGCGTAGGAACTTAATAGTGCGTGTTAGCTAACTCTCTTGTTTTTAATTGTTCAGTAGCCTGCATCTACAGCAGTTAGCGCCCTACTGCTTCTTTTTTTTTTTTTTTTTTTTTTTTTTTTTTTTTTTTTTGAGACAGAGTCTCGCTCTGTTGCCCAGGCTGGAGTGCAGTGGTGCGATCTCGGTTCACTGCAACCTCCACCTCCCGAGTTCAAGCAATTCTCCTGTCTCAGCCTCCCAGGTAGCTGGGACTACAGGTGCACGCCACCACGCCTGGCTAATTTTTGTATTTTTGGTAGAGACGGGGTTTCACCATATTGTTCAGGCTGCTCTCGAACTCCTGACTGTAGGTGATCCACCCGCCTCGGGCTCCCAAAGTGCTGGGATTATAGGCGTGAGCCACGGTGCCCAGTCTAGCTTCCCTAATGCTTTCTTATCTATTATACATGCTTATGACTCTCTCTGAGTTACCTTCCTTCCTCTTCTACCTGGTTAACCTCCTGGCTACAGATGGTGTTTTCAAGCTGAAGCCTTTCCCAGCTCTTCCAGGATGACTTTAGTCATCGTCTCTGTGATCCTGATAAGTTATTGCATGTGCCCTGATTGACTATCATCACATCTTTCCGTACTCTCAGGTCCCACCCTGTCCGTAATGAAGCAATGAATGAATCACTTTTAATAGAGCTAAGGCAAAGAGTACCTTAATTCCGTGCAATAAATGGAGAAACTAAGGCTAAAAGAACCGTGTCCAGACCAAGAAACTAGGAAGTGGAGAAACAAGGACTAGAACCCAAGTCTTTGGATTCCAGGTGTTTGCAGTGTATCCAGTTTTGCATCACAACACCACATATTTTAGTTTTAGGGAAGGAGGGTTGCTGCCTGTTCACCAGAGACTGTAAGCAGTAATGTATTCCGGGATAAAGAGCAGGACAGACACCCAGGCAGACATCCAGTCTCACAGTATTGTGGCAATACCCAAGGAGGTCTCTCTTCCACCTTTCTTTACTGGTACAGAGTGGAATGTTCTGTAAATGGCCACCGTTTTTCTAATTTCATAACTTTTACTAATTTCATTTAAAGAAAAGTGCCCATTGGCTGGGCGCAGTGGCTCACGCCTGTAATCCCAGCACTTTGGGAGGCCGAGGCAGGCAGATCACGAGGTCAGGAGCTCAAGACCAGCCTGGCCAACATACTGAAACCCCGTCTCTACTAAAAATATAAAATTAGCCGGGCATGGTGGCGCACATCTGTAGTCCCAGCTACTCGGGAGGCTGAGGCAGGAGAATCACTCGAATCTGGGAGGTGGAGATTGCAGTGAACCGAGATTGCGCCACTGCACTCCATCCTGGGTGACAGAGCGAGACTCCGTCTCAGGGGAATAAAAAAGTGTCTATTACAATGCTGGCTTATCAGTCACTGGAGGAGACAGTCATTTCATTCTCTTTATCTCCTCCCTCTGTTTCCTAGTTGTGTGTTTTAAACACCATTGTCGTTAATCCATGTTTAAACCTGTAAGAAAAATACCTGGTCTAGAAATTGTAGTAGCATGTGACCCACTTTTCTGCTTCTTTTTCTCTTTTTTTTCTTTTCTTTCTTTTTTTAGATAGGGTCTCACTCTGCTCAGGCTGGAGTGCAGTGGCACAATCACAGCTCACTGCAGCCTGGACTTATCTGGGCTCAGATGATCCTCTAGCCTCAGTGTGCCGCTATGCCCAGCTAATTTTTGAATATTTTTTTGTGGAGACAGAGTTTCACCATGTTGCCCAGGCTGGTCTCAAACTCCTGGGCTCAAGTGATCTGCCCACCTCAGCCTCCCAAAGTGCTGGGATTACAGGCGTGAGCCACTGCGCCCAGCCCTGACCTGTTTTTCTTAATGCATGAAAATTGGTCCTTGTTTCTCTTATATTTGAAAATAACACAGTTCAAACTTCAGAGCGTTGCATTTTTAGCCCTGATGTGTGCAAAACGAAATTGCAACCTCTCTACCATTTCTAAAAACAGCTGAATTTAATTTGCCTCAGTCAGAACTAAAACTTTACCTCCTGGTCTCCTCACATGCCAGGGTAGCATTGTGACATGTGACTGTCCAGACTGCCCTGCACATGTGTCTGTCATCAAGAATGGAGATTTCTTATAGTAAGGATATGGTAATGTTCCTTCCATTGCTGCCAACAGCAGGGGCCCCACACCCACAGGCTCCAGGGGATAATTTTTAAACCTTTTCTTTTTTCAATTTAAGATGAAAAGCAACAGCATTTGTCATATGAATCAGCCATGCCAGGGAAATTAATGTGATCAATGGCCTGGATCTTGTTTAGACTACTTAGCGACGGCGTCCCATAGCATCCCTTATGTATCTTTCATAGCTTTGATCAAGAGCTAAGCATTTGCGCTTGGGGCATGGGGAATGCAGTGGGTCGGGGAGGGTCTTTGAGGTGTGACTGTTTCCATTTCCTGTTCATTTCACATTGGTATTTGGCTAGATTCCAGATGGACACATTGTATGGGGTCTCAAATGGGATTGCCTCCAAAGTGCACCTCTCAGGGCAAGCCCTGCTAAGCAAAAACTTTTCCTTTGCACCGAGCCCCAGACAAGGAGGTGACTATTGTTCTTGATGCACAGAAGTCAAGGGTGTTTTGGAGAAAGAGAAAGATTCTAAGGACAGAAAATGTGTTCATCTCCACATGTTGAGCTGGATAAAGTAGCAGCCAAGAGTTTCTTGTGGGAAGTTATGGAAATAGTTTAGGGATCTGCTATTCTTGGGCTCTGTACTCTCAGCCAACCACAGTTCATGCAGTTCCCCAAGCTGGACTGTAGCAGTGACCTAGTCATCGAGATAACCAAGGCCAAGCACCTCCAAGCTGTAATGGGTTCTGCTTGTGGCTTGGGGTGCCCAGAGGCCCAGCACATGCTAGAAATTTGCCTGTACCGAGATCCTAAAGAGGATGACTTGCCCAAGTCCTGATATTTCCATTGCTTTCCTGAAAGATGGTGAAATCCACTTCTATAAACCTATTCTCTTCTGTTAACTTATTCTCTATGTAAGACATTTCTGATTTAGGCCTATATTAAAAATTCTTGGACATCAGTTTTTCCCCTGTACTTTGAGTTCTGATGATCTAATGTTAAAATGTACTATTGTTCATACTTTATCACTGCACAACCAAGTAATGAAATTTACCAAGGCAGTCAACAGTTTTGTGCCTTGTTTGAGAGGAAGTCTAGGAAGACTTCTCTATTTACTGAGCTAGTTTCCCTCTACCTATTTAAAAACTCCAAATAGTCTTGAAACAAGATTTAAAAACACCTGTGGACCGTTCTTCCATTGCTCTTTACTGCACAATTATTTGCCTGTTGATCACTGCTTTTACGTTTTGTTAACATTAAAATGTAAATCACTCACTCATTATAATACTGTCTTTAAAAAAAACTTCATTTATTTCCAAATGTTCACTAGGGACTTAGTGATGTCACCCACAGGAAAAAATTGGATTCTCCATTTTCTTGATGCTTCAAATTTTTAAAATAGTTTCACAACATTATCTCATTTTTTTACATATCAGTAACACAGATGTAGTCAAACAAGAATTCTTGTTCCTGTGTTACAGATGTGGAAACTGAGGCTTGCCCAAAACTGCTAAGCTGGGAAGTAAGTGGTGCAGTCAGGACTTGAGCCTCAGCTTCCACCTCTGAAGCCCATGTTCTTCCCATTACCCCACGATCCTGGCCAAGAATCAGGGCAGATGTGCATGATGGGAAGGGCGGCGTGGATGGATTAGGACAGACCTGTGCAGGCTCCCAGAAAAATAATTCAAAATACATTTCCTGGTGATGACGGGACTTTAGCACATCTTCAGATACAGAAGAGAAGACATGGTGCAGAAAGGATGTTTTGATCACTGACCAAAACTGTCTTGGAGCTTGGAATGTGAATGTGTTAGAGAAAAGTGAAGCAGCAAAGGGCAACACGCTCTAGCATTTTAAGAGGAAAAAACGCATGGCAGGGGAAGAAAGGAAAGGAAGGAGGATGTGGAATATCCCAGAAGTACCTCCCCCAACCCATTACCCTCCACTGCCCGCTTCCCTAGCCTTGGTCTAGTCAGAAGACTTCTTTAGGAACCATTTGGTAGTTCCAAAAAACAACTTAGTTTTCTTTCTTGATGCCTTTGGGTACGTGCTTTTAAAAACTAATCCAAAATTCTGCAACATAATTCCTACATACCTACTTAGTTTCAGTTCAGGTCCACCTTTTGCAGGGAGCTGTTCCTAAACATTGCATAGGAACAGGAGCCTGCCCTTCCTCTTCACCCTCACCTTCAGTCCTTTCCTCTGGCGTTGCTGTAGAGTGACAGCTTAGAGACTCAAGCCCATCTCATTTCTTTGGTGGAGGAAGCATGTCTAGGGGAGTGCACTGGATTGAAGGTGGCTGCCCTGGCCAGCCCCTGATCATGGCATTCGACATCCCCGGACCTCAAGTCTCAGCAAGGCTTCTCTGACAGCCAACAGGCATCAGCAGGATGCTCAGCCATCTCTGGATTTCACTTTATAAAATAAGTACCTTGGCCAAGCACGGCAGCTCGCACCTGTAATCCCAGCACTTAGGGAGGCCAAGGTGATAGGATCGCTTGAGCCTAGAAGTTGAGACCAGCTTGGGCAACATTGTGAGACCCTGTCTCTACAAAAAATAACAAAAATTAGCCAGGTTTGGTAGCTCATGCCTGTAGTTCCAACTACTCAGGAGGCTGAGGTGAAAGGATCGCTTGAGCCCAGGAGTTTGAGGCTGCAGTGAACCACGATACCACAATGGTGCCACTGCATTCCAGCATGGGTGGCAGAGCAAGACCCTTTTTTTTTTTTTTTTTTTTTTGAGACGGAGTCTCGCTCTATCACCCAGGCTGGAGTGCAGTGGTGCAATTTCGGCTCACTGCAACCTCTGCCTCCTAGGTTCAAGCGATTCTCCTGCCTCAGCCTCCTGAGTAGCTGGGACTATAGGTACGTGCCACCATGCCCAGCTAATTTTGTATTTTTAGTAGAGACAGGGTTTCACCATGTTGGCCAGGATAGTCTCCATCTCTTGATCTCGTGATCCACCCACCTTGACCTGCGTCATGAGCCACCATGCCCGGCCGACAGTTTCTTTAAAAATAAGTACCAGAATTAATTCATTTTTAACATCTCCTCTAGATCACAACTGTGGCTTCAATATAAAATATGGAACAAGTCTGTCTTTCAGATGTACAACAAATGTATATAAAAAATAATGGGAGAAGATGACCTCAGCTCTTGAAACTTGTAAACATTTCAGCAATCTTGCTCTCGCAAAGAAATCCTTAATTCTGCGTTTTCAAACTTTAAGCAGAACTGACAGCCATTTGTGCTCTCTCTGTTTGAAGTAGTTCTTTTCTTTTGAGTCAAGAATCTTTTTCCAGGTTCGGCTATTTCCTTAATGAAATTAATATTTCACACAGAATGGTTTCATGCAAAAGTGCTGGGACGCCTGGAGTCTGGATGTTGTTCCTGGAATGCTTCCACATAAGGAGAATTTTAGACAGGGGCAGCCAGAATCCTACCCTATCCAGTGGTTCAAGGTCTTTTCTGGCCTCACGCTTGCTTTGGGCAGTTCTCAGAATGTGTGTGTGCACGTGTGCACATGCATACACACACACCTTTGATTCGTCACCCTCATTCCTCCAGTCATTTAAGTAGGAGCTGATAAAAGAAAGCCTTCAGGGTTCACAGTATTGCCTTGGTGGGGTTTTTTTTTTTTGTATGTTGCAAGAATAAACACAATAGGGGAAAATTCCAGGCAAACGTGGCCATTGCCTTGCGCGACAATAGAGGAAAATTCCAGGCAAGTGTGGCCATTGCCTTGCATGACAATAGAGGAAAATTCTAGGCAAGTGTGGCCATTGCCTTGTGTGACTGCCCCACTCATGTCCATCTGGTCCTGGGGCCTGTAGCCTGCCTGCACCTCACAGTCCTAACAGAGCTGTTGACATCCGTGGAGCCCCAGAATTTCACCAACTGCTAGATGTATCTTTGGGAAGTGTATTTTGTGGAACATACTCAGAACATGAGGCTGTCCTTTCTACAGCTTTCCTCCCTAGACCTTCTCAATAACTCTGTTCTTAAATGTAGACAAGAGCCTGGGATCATGAAAAGCATTGAAACCTCAGTAACCCCGGGACAAATGGAGAACCAAAATCCTGTGCACTGGTGGGTCCTTGGGGGAGGAGTAAAGGGGAGTCTAGGAGTCAGGGGGCCGTGGGGCTGACCCAGTGTGGAACAGCAATATGGCCTCAGGAGGTGAAAACCACAGATGGGTCTAGCTGGGGTACAGAGATGGTAAGGACAGGAATTCCAAAGGAGCTGAGATCATTGCAGGGGAGACAAATGTGAAAACTGTACACTCTGGAGCTTCGTTTCTGACTTCAAATCAGGTTCTGCCACATGGCAGCTGTCATGTAACCTCTCTGTGCTTTTGTTTCCTCACTGGTAAAATGGAGATGGTAGAACATAGGATGGTGTGCGTCTTTTAGTGCATCGATGTGTATTAAGTGCTTAGAACAGTATCTGGCATAGAGCAAGCATTATATGACTGGTAGCTGTTGTTATTACCACTACCACGGCTGTTCTTATTATCGTGATTATTATGACTCTCAGCATAGCTATAATGCTATCCATAGAGACTGTAGAGTTATAATCGTGACTACTAAATTTAAGCAGCATCCTTGCCTGGTGCTGTATCATTTTTGGACACCAGAGATATATTTATTCCTGTCTCTAGAGAGCGAAAAAGCACCTCTCTGTCAGAATGACTACTTTCTACTTTAAAAATGTTTTTGATGATAACTCTTGATGGCTTTAGATAAAGCCATCCTTCCAAAAGGCCTGAAGCACTCTCAGATGGCTCCGTTTTGTCAGCCCTTTACTGCTCTGGGATGTGGTCTACCCACTGTTAAGCTAATATTTTTGATCTTCAATTTGGAACCTTAATTATGCTGTACAGCAGTCGTTGTACGTGGATGCATAAAATTCCCATCAAAAGATATTCAGACACTTTCCAGGCTCAGTGGTACGCAGGAGATGGAGACACACGTGGAAGGGTGTGCTGGCAGATTCCCGTTGCTCTGAGCTGCGAGGGGGTGGGGCAGGTGCGAGCTAACAGTGGTGGGGCCTCATGCTGCTTGTCTACTCCTTAGATGACTATGCTCAGCTGTGTAACATCCCCGTGACGGGACGCCGGCAGCCATATGGACGGGACGCCTTGGTTGACTTCAGTGAACAGTATACTCCAGAAGCCGATCCCTACTTCATCCAAGACCGTAAGCAAAATAACCTTGTTCCTTTGATACTAAGTTGTGGTTGAAGATTAATCAGTGGTCCTCAAAATGTAATGGCAACTTGTTAGCAATGCAGCATTTCTGGTCCCACCCCAGACCTGCTGGTCAGAAAGTCTAGGGTGGGACCCAGCCATCTTTGTTTCACAAGGGCAGTCCTTCTGCGTGGGTGAGTCTAAGAACCACTGCATCATTCGTGAGCCGAGATCACACCACTGCACTCCAGCCTGGGCAACACAATGAGACCCTATCTCAAAACAAACAAAAAGAACCATTGCATTTGATGAATAGTCTTGCTGGTGGGGATACTGTTATATTTACTTTTCTTAAAGTTTTGAGATGGAGTCTCGCTGTGTCACCCAGGCTGGAGTGCAGTGGCACGATCTCAGCTCACTGCAACCTCCACCTCCCGGATTCAAGCGATTCTGCTGCCTCAGCCTCCCAAGTAGCTGGGATTGCAGGCACGCACCACCATGCCCGGCTAAATTTTGTATTGTTAGTAGAGACTGGGTTTCACCATGTTGGTCAGGCTCTTCTTGAACTCCTGACCTTGTAATCCATCCATCTTGGCCTCCCAAAGTGCTGGGATTACAGGCATGAGTCACCGTGCCCTGCCTATCATTATAATTTCTATAACAAAATCATTTCTCTTCTCTTTAAGTGGTGGACTAGTTTGAGGGCCAAGGTTTCCATGAGAGCCCAGTTGTATTGCAGCCTTTTTTTCCTACAGGGAAATGCAAATGTTAACTGTACAAGTTGATCATTATTATAAGTGTTTTAGAGTAGGAGGTAAGAGAAGAATTGCCCTTTTGGTCAGAAATGACTTTTTAAAATACATTGGTGAGGGGATTTATGGAGTAAGAAATAATGTGTGCCAACTTTTCCTGGATTAGTGAGCACAGCTTTCATGGGGGAGGTGGGAGTGTGTATCTGCAAATTGTGATCCCCTTTAGAACGTAAATGTTGTGTGAGGAAGCCTACAAACACACAAGCTCAAATCAGACTTTTCAAATACAGACAATTTGAAGTCTGAAACAGCAGGAGGTCCACAATGAAATATTAGTAGATAGTAGATAGTCTCACTTCAAGAACGAGAACAGGAAAACGCCCATTTTGAGAGCCTCGTCCACAGCTCACAGAGGGGCCATCCTCACGTGTAGCTTCACCACAAATTTTTTTTTTTTTGAGATAGGGTCTCGCTCTGTTGCCCAGGCTGGAGTGCAGTGCCATGATCACAGCTCACTGCAACTCTGCCTCCTGGGCTCAAGCGATCCTCCCACCCCAGTCTCCCGAGAAGCTGGGACTACAGGCACGTGCCACTATGTGCAGCTAATTTTTGTATTTTTTCCGTAGAGATGGGGGGTTTCACCATGTTGTCCAGGCTGGTCTCGAACTCCTGGACTCAAGTGATTCATCCGCCTCGGCCTCCCAAAGTGCTTATAGGTGTGAGCCACCATGCCTGGCCTGCACCACATTTTTAAGATAGGTAATTGCTGCCGACCGAGGAGTTTGACTTAGGACTTTAGAGAAAAATGCAGTGAAGCTTTTTTCTGTCCTGGGCCCTGTCACCTGTGCACGAAGCGTCCTAGCCAGGACCCAGTTCTGGGGCAACAGCATGAGATTTCTAGCTGAATTTAGGATCTATTTCAGTTCTGCATCAAGAGCTTTTATTTTTTTTTTCCTTCTCTTCTCTTTCTCTTTTCCCTTTCTCTCCCTTCTTCATTCCCTCCTTGTCCTTCCTTCCCCTCCACCTTTTTTTTTTTGAAGGATGTAGTGTATTGATCATCTGGTAGAATTAAAAATGTTTTAAAATGTCCATGATAAGAACATTCTATTAATCCAGCTAGGCTGCTTAACACACGCCTGTGTAACTCCCACCCAGGCCAGGAGCAGTGCCAGCCTCCAGAAGGCCCCTGGTGCCTTTTCCCACCCCCCTCCCTAGGGTAACCACTATCCTGACTCCTAACACCATAGATGAACAACACTCTTTCTTTTCATCCACAGCACATAACCATGCAGCTCTTTATGAAATGGACCAGAATGCACTCACAGCTACAAGACTGTGCACTTAGGGTTTGATGCTTCTCTGTATATGTTACGGGTCAGTAAACGTTTACTTAAGAAAAAAGGAAGGGAGAAGAATTATTAAGGTTGAAAGAAAGCCCAGCTTGCCCCATTAATCAGGAATACCAGGTTAAGTCTATATGCAACTCTGACAATCCCGTGGCTTACAGCTTTCCTCCCTAGACCTCCTCAATAACTCTGTTCTTAGATGTAAGCAAGAGCCTGGGATTATGAAAAGCACTGAAACCTCAGTAACCCCAGGACAAATGGAGAACCAAAATCCCAGGCACTGATGGGTCCTGAGAGTCTAAAAGTCAGAAGCCTCTATGGCATTATAGTTTGGATTCCAGGAATTTTCATGTTGAAATGTCTGGCTTATGTACCTTCTTTTTAATGCTGGCATTGCTTTAAAGCTCTTTTTTTTAATTAACTACACATGTTAAGAAATAAACATGTTGGTGTCACATCAATCTCTTATTTAGCAACATAGGAAATTGAGATGCAGTTCCAAGACCTCCAGCTTGGACGATGTAATGGCCTTTACATTTCTTACAAGTTGCAGAGAAATATTTCCCCCTTCCCAGCCAGTTTTCTGACCTCCAGCAAGGGCTTTTGGAGCCTGCTGCAAAAATGATTGTGTTGGGTAGATAGTAACATAGACGGAGGCTGAGTGAGGTTTCTTATCGCCTTTATGGTTCACCATCTCTGTTACCTTTAGGGAGAGCAGTACTTCTAAAACTGGAATTTGCTTGAGCAGAGAATAGGCAAACATTTGCCCTTTATAAGGGCCAGGTAGTATTTTTTTTTTTTCTTTTTTGAGACAGAGTCTTCCTCTCTTGCATAGGCTGGAGTGCAACGGTGCAATCTTGGCTCACTGCAACCTCCACTTCCTGGGTTCAAGTGATTGTCCTGCCTCAGCCTCCTGAGTAGCCCTGGGATTATAGGCATGCACCACCATGCCCGACTAATTTTTGCATTTTTAGTAGAGATGGAGTTTCACCACGTTGGCCAGGGTGGTCTTGAACTCCTAACCTTGTGATCCACCTGCCTTGGCCTTCCAAAGTGCTGGGATTAAAGGTGTGAGACACCGCACCGAGCCCAGATGGTAAAATTTGTAGGCTTTGCAGGTCATGTGGTTTCTGTTGTAGGTATTCAACTCTACTGTAGTTTCACAAAAGCAGCCCTAGATAGCACAGCAGCAAATGGGCGTGGCTGGGTTTATTTACAAAAATAGGTAGCAGGCCAGATTTGGACCAGAGACTGTAGTGTCCTGACCTGTTTTAGAGTCCTGCAGAAGTATTTTGGGGAGCCTGCCTGATGTGTGGGGAGTTTCAAGTTTTACTTTTTATGTTTTAATTTCTGTAATAATAAAAAAGGTATTAGATATGAAGTAGAAATCATTTTGCTGTGATACATGGGATCTGAAAATATTGTCGTAGATTAAGTCTTTATTTTGTGTGTTTCTTAACTGGCTTTGAGTATGTGGTGTCACTTTTTTTTTTTTTTAAATTGGGGTCTCACTATATTGCCCAGGCTGGTCTTCACCCCATGAGCTGAGGAGATTCTCCTGCCTCAGCCTCCTGAGTAGCTGGGACTCTTGTTCTCCTTTAAAGTTTTAAAATGGGCCTGCCATGGATGTATTACTCAATTTTTTTTTTATGGTACAAATTTTTTTAACTTTTAGGTTCAGGGGTACATATAAAGGTTTGTTACATAGGCAACATGTCATGGGGGTTAGTGGTACAGATTATTACATCACCTAGGTGTGAAGCCCAGTACCCAATAGTTATTACCTTTTCTGCTTCCCTCCTCCCACCCTCCACTAGTGTCTGTTGTTTCCTTCTTCTTCTTTTTTTTTTTTTTTTTTTTTTTTTGTGGTATTTGGTTATATGAGTAAGTTCTTTTTTTAAATTTTTTAAATTATACTTTAAGTTTTAGGGTACATGTGCACAACGTGCAGTTTTGTTACATATGTATACATGTGTCATGTCGGTGTGCTGCACCCATTAACTCATCATTTACATTAGGTATATCTCCTAAAGCTATCCCTCCCCCCTCCCCCAACCCCGCGAAAGGCCCTGGTGTGTGATGTTCCCCATCCTGTGTCCAAGTGTTCTCATTGTTCAATTCCCACCTATGAGTGAGAACATGCGGTGTTTGGTTTTCTGTCCTTGCAATAGTTTGCTGAGAATGATGGTTTTCAGCTTCATCCATGTCCCTACAAAGGACATGAACTCATCATTTTTTATGGCTGCATAGCATTCCATGGTGTATATGTGCCACATTTTCTTAATCCAGTCTATTATTGATGGACATTTGGGTTGGTTCCAAGTCTTTGCTATTGTGAATAGTGCCACAGTAAGCATACATGTGCATGTGTCTTTATAGCAGCATGATTTATAAACCTTTGGGTATATACCCAGTAATGGGATGACTGGGTCAAATGGTATTTCTAGTTCTAGATCCTTGAGGAATCGCCACACTGTCTTCCACAATGGTTGAACTAGTTTACAGTCCCACCAACAGTGTAAAAGTGTTCCTATTTCTCCACATCCTCTCCAGCACCTGTTGTTTCCTGACTTTTTAATGATCGCCATTGTAATTGGTGTGAGATGGTATCTCATTGTGGTTTTGATTTGCATTCCTCTGATGGCCAGTGATGATGAGCATTTTTTCATGTGTCTTTTGGCTGCATAAATGTCTTCTTTTGAGAAGTGTCTGTTCATATCCTTCTCCCACTTTTTGATGGGGTTGTTTGATTTTTTTTCTTGTAAATTTGTCTAAGTTCTTTGTAGATTCTGGATATTAGCCCTTTTGTCAGATGGGTAGATTGTAAAAATTTTCTCCCATTCTGTAGGTTGCCTGTTCACTCTGATGGTAGTTTCTTTTGCTATGCAGAAGCTTTTTAGTCTAATTAGATCCCATTTGTCAATTTTGGTTTTTGTTGCCATTGCTCTTGGTGTTTTAGACATGAAGTCCTTGCCCCTGCCTATGTCCTGAATGGTATTGCCTAGGTTTTATTCTAGGGTTTTTATGGTTTTAGGTCTAACATGTAAGTCTTTAATCCATCTTGAATTAATTTTTGTATAATTTTGTAAGGAAGGGATCCAGTTTCAGCTTTCTACATATGGCTAGCCAGTTTTCCCAGCACCATAGCACCATTTATTAAATAGGAAATCCTTTCCCCATTTCTTGTTTTTGTCAGATTTGTCAAAGATCAGATGGTTGTAGATGTGTGGTATTATTTCTGAGGGCTCTGTTCCGTTCCATTGGTCTGTATCTGTGTTTTGGTACGAGCATCATGCTGTTTTGGTTACTGTAGCCTTGTAGTATAGTTTGAAGTCAGGTAGCATGATGCCTCCAGCTTTGTTCTTTTGGCTTAGGATTGTCTTGGCAATGCAGGCTCTTTTTTGGTTCCATATGAACTTTAAAGTAGTTTTTTCCAATTCCGTGAAGAAAGTCATTGCTGTTTCCTTCTTTGTATTCATAAGTTCTTATCATTTAGCTGCCACTTACAAGTGAGAACATGTGGTATTTGGTATTCTGTTCCTGCGTTAGTTTGCTAAGGATGATAGGCCTCCAGCTCCATCCATGTTCCTGCAAAAGACATTATCTCATTCTTTTTTATGGCTGCCTAGTATTCCATGGTGTATATGTACCATATTTTCTTTTTTATCCCCCAAACTTATGCCAAATCTCATTTAATCTTTACAAGGTAGAAAAGTGTTCATTCATTACAAAATACTTCTACTGAGTGCAGACATTGTGTTCAATGTTGGGTATGCCATTCTACATAGCATCGTTTCTCTATTTTTAAATGAGGAACCTGGTTTCAACAAAATCAAGTGACTTGGCCAGGGTCACAGGCATGAGCAGAAGACCGAGTTCCTCTGATTCAAATCCCATGGTTCATTTCCACAAAATAAACCTATAACTGAGTGGGGCTTTAGAGATCCTAAAATTCAGTGCTTTTACTTCATACGTGAGAAAAATAAGCTTTCTGCCCAAGTTTACAAGGTACACATAGGGAAATGGGAATGGGAACTCAAGTCCCCCAATACCAGTGTATTGTTCTTACCCAAACAGATAATTTAAGATTCACTTATTGTATATTTTTCGGTCATCTCTAAAACCCACTTTCTTCTCTGAAGGGCATGCTCTAAAGTTTCTTCTTCACCTATCTCCCCTCAGGGCACCTAATCTTAGAATGTAAGAGAAACTCTGACCAAATTTGTCTTCATGTTGACCTCAGGCACTTTAGTCATTGTTGAAACTTCTTTTTTGTTGTAGTTAAGAGAAGTAACAAGTAAGTCTTTATTTCCTTGTTTAGAAAAAAAAAAAAAAAGCTGGCTAAGTTGGTTGCTTTTTGGTGATCAAGGAGACCAAACTCCATATCCTTGTCCAATTCCTCCAAGTTAGACCTTATTGCCCTCCATAAGCAATGATATTTTGCTGCCTGCTGCCCCCTGCAGTTCCACTGGAGAATTACTTCAAAGGCCAGATAGAAAGTTCTAGCCATATATTTTTTTTTTTTTTGAAGCTACTTTGTGGTACTATTGGGAAGAGACAGGAGATGAGAGGCCACATGACAGTGTGTTGGGTCACTGTGGATTTATGTTTAGAACTTTCCTCTGCAAAATGAGAGCTAAACACTCTTGATGCCTGGCTAAATTGTTTTTACATCACAAAAACTCTAAAGTCTAGCTCTGACTTGGTTTCAAGAGATCTAAACTATAAAAAGAGCCAAACAAGAGTTTCTTTGTTTCCTTAAAAAAAAACTTTTGGTTCTGTTTTTTTTTGGTGTGTGTGTGTGTTTTGTTTTGTTTTGTTTTTTGGTTTTTTGTCTTTTGTTTTTTTGACAGAGTCCTGCTCTGTTGCTCAGGCTGGACAGTGGCCGTGATCTCAGCACACTGCATCCTCCACCTCTCAGGCTCAAGCGATTCTTCTGCCTCAGCCTCCCAAGTAGCTGGGATTACAGGTGTCCACCACCACGCCCGGCTAATTTTCTGTATTTTTAGTAGAGACAGGGTTTCACCATGTTGGCCACGCTGGTCTTGAACTCCTGGCCTCAGGCGATCTGCCCGCCTCAGCCTCCCAAAGTGCTGGGATTA
Source organism: Homo sapiens (assembly GCF_000001405.40). Classification (NCBI taxonomy): domain Eukaryota; kingdom Metazoa; phylum Chordata; class Mammalia; order Primates; family Hominidae; genus Homo; species Homo sapiens. The sequence goes on from NC_000002.12 coordinate 33,396,497, forward strand.
TAGGCATGAGCCCAGACTTTGGGTTTTCTAAACACAAGTATGATGTTCTTTCTCATTCATCAGGATGTTTTGAGGCCCTTTTACTGAATTTTTCCTTTGATCCCCTGGGAGCCCTTTTGTAAGGCTCATTCCGTAGCCAGAGCAAACAAACACATGGCAGAGCCAGCCTGCTTCTCTCTGGTCTTACAAACGCCGGCTGAAAACGTATTGCCTCACACTCTTACGGACCTTCTTAGCAAATGCTTACTAGACTCCGATAGTGAATTCTGTTGGTTCTGTTCTGAGAGTCTGACACTTGCCCTACTGCAAACTCACGAAGTTTGGAACTTTGGATGAACACTTTTAATAATTAAGAGCAAAAACAAAAACCATACTTGCTTTCTCGTTTTATGTGATTTTAACATAGAATATCAGAATTCAAAATGAGGCTACTCTGCACAAAATATACAAGTTTTTTATTTTTATGCTATTTTACACAGCAACATTCAGTATTTCTAATGCTAACTTTAAGATGTCTGAAATATGTATGGACATATATGTGTCTATTTGGAAAATGAACCATCATCTAAATATCATTTACAAAATGATATAGGAAGTTGAGAAGCTCTAACTTAGCTTCTGCCCTTTCCTTTCCAGGTTTTCTAAATAGCTTTGAGGAGTTACAGGCTGAGGAATGCGGCATCCTCAATGGATGTGAAAATGGTCGCTGTGTGAGGGTCCAGGAAGGTTACACCTGCGATTGCTTTGATGGGTATCACTTGGATACGGCCAAGATGACCTGTGTCGGTAAGAATGACGTGTGTTTTATGGGACATTAATTTTTTCCTGACACCCCGTATCTCAGTCAGTAGAGAACATTTAAGATAGATTTGCTGAGTTTCAGTTTGAGAAGATGAGAAAAGTTCTGGAGATGTACATTAAGTACAGTATGAATATACTTAATGCCACTGGACTATATACTTAAAAATGGTTAAAATGGTAAATATGTTCTGTGTATTTTACCACAATTCTTTTTTTTTTTTTTTTTTGAGATGGAGTTTTACTCTTGTCGCCCAGGCTGGAGTGCAGTGGGGTGATCTTGACTCACTGCAACTTCTGCCTCCCAGGTTCAAGCAATGCTCCTGCCTCAGCCTCCTGAGTAGCTGGGACTACAGGCACCCGCCACCACACCCGGCTAATTTTTTTTTTTTTTTTTTTTTGTATTTTTAGTAGAGACGGGATTTCACCGTGTTAGCCAGGATGGTTTCAATCTCCTGACCTCGTGATCCGCCCACCTTGGCCTCCCAAAGTGCTGGGATTACAGGCGTGAGCCACCACGCCTGGCCTCTTCTCCATCTTGAAGCAGTCCTTTTGCCCACTTTGCTTTTGTTAGTTTTAATCCATGGTGTGTCTGTAAAATAGGTAACCTAGCTTCTTAACAGATGTTTCAAGTGAGTGAGAGCCTAAATGGGTCTCATGTAGAAGGAGGTCTGTGAATGTTATGGAAGGCTTTAGACAGGCTGTATGGAGAGGCCTCTGCGTAGGTATCTGGTTCCTCTTGACAAATCTAGCAGTTCCTCCATACCTATGGGAAGGAATTTGGAAGTAATATAGTTCCTCCAACTTCCTTGAGGTTCTACTAGAAAATGTCAAGCTCACAAAATGCTCATGTTTTGCTAGATAACAGTGAAAGAAGTTCTAGAACCTCCCTGATAATCTGCCTCTTTAAGATCTCAAAAAAGTCATCTTCGTCTTGTCTGTGACTGAAGCAATGACGAGAAAGCTTCCTTGGGGTGGTCGGGGGAAGGGCCTCAGGTAAGCCTCAGGTTATGTGTCCTCACAGAATAATATCCAAGATTGTTTACCTGCATGGCTTGACTTATTGCAGATGTAAATGAATGCGATGAGTTGAACAACCGGATGTCTCTCTGCAAGAATGCCAAGTGCATTAACACCGATGGTTCCTACAAGTGTTTGTGTCTGCCAGGCTACGTGCCTTCTGACAAGCCAAACTACTGCACTCCGTTGAATACCGCCTTGAATTTAGAGAAAGACAGTGACCTGGAGTGAAACAGAATCTACATAACCTAAGCCCATATACTCTGCACTGTGTAAAGGAAAAGGGAGAAATGTATTATACTTGAGACATTGCACCTACCCCGGAAGGCTGGAAATACAGAAACAGCATGGAATTGCAAGTCCTCTGAAGACAATGAGAGGATTTAGGATGAGCCCGATAGGTGTGGCAGACCAAATGGACATTTCTCTAAAAAACCAGTATATATAGTCTGTTCATATGTAAAATTCAATGGAAGAGAGGTGGAACAGTGCTGTTATTTTAAACAGAAGGTTGTATTATTATGTTGTTTTGTTTTTTTACTATTGCTTGATTAAATTTGGCATTTAAATAGTGGTGGAAATATTTTATATAATTTTCATTTTTTGGTTGTGCAGTTCCTTGGCTACTGTTTTTCTTTTACTTCAGTTTTTTAAAAATCTCAAATGAAAAAGTCTTCGATACAATATTGTTAAGCTGTATTATAAGTATTGTTACACAGGGTTATGCAATTCCCGGCCTGGAGCATTTTTGAAATTCAAATTGTCTGTCCTGTGGAGCAGGCAGTGATTTTGTTCCAAAACTTTGTATACACATTTGGAGAAAAGTACTTTATATTTTCAGTGTTTTGTCTGATTTTAATGTCCGTTCTTAGCCAAGCTGCTAGCAGGTGTTAATTGGATCCCTTTCCTTCACTGAAATGGAAGAGTTTATAAGCTTACGTTAGTATTGTAATATGTAAAGTAAGCCCAACAAAAATTTTTAAAAATTTGATGATCCCCAATATATCTACCATTGTATGTTAAATAAATCACCATTTTTGTAGAAAAAATTCTACCTGAGAGTAATTGTCAATGAGTACATGTGTATAAGTTGTATCCCACTCTCCCCACTTTTATCTTTTCCAGTGGTCTTCTGTTAATGTAGTGTCTTTTACAAGTTAATCATTAAATTTGTTAGATCTTGTTATGGGCTAAATTGTTTCCCCTAACATTCATATGTGGGAATTTTAACCTCTGATACTTCAGAAAGTGACTAGATTTGGAGATCGGATCTTTAATGAGGTAATTAAGGATAATGAGGTCATTGGAATGGCCCTAATCCAGTATGACTGCTGTCCTTGTGTCACCCATAGAAGGTGTCTGAGTTACCGGTGACGAATCCATATAGGTCTGCAGCAACCTCAGTTCTTGCCTCCTCAGAAGAATTTGACTGAGGGGTATAAGGCAGAAAAAGAGACCAGGCAAGTTTCAGAGCAGAAATGGAAGTTGATTTAAAAAGGCTTTAGAGCAGGAAAGAAAGGAAAGTTCACTTGGAAGAGACCCAAGTGGGCACCTGAAGGCCAAGTGCAGTGTTTAACCTTGACCTAGCTAGGATTTTACAGGCTGGCCCCTTTCCATGCTTCTTCCCTTAGGGTGGGCTGCCGGCACACACAGCACCCTCCTTACACTTGGGAAGTGAGCACACACAGTGTTGAGGAAGCTGTACATATGCCCATCTGAGGCTTTCTTCCCTTTCCTGGTGGTGTGCCCCTGGAAGGTTGTACTCCACCATTTTGTCCTTAATGTGCATGCCCAGGAAGTTGCATCTCTTTGGCACCTGCATTTAATTAACACTTAAGTGCAGCAGGTGTGGGCCATCAGGAAATGCCCACCCCACCCCGCCCCTGGGCCTTGGCTGCCAGTTGATCACTTTTAGAGAGGCAATGTGGTCACTGCTGAACCACCACCTGACATTCCTAGTGGGTGGGGGAAGAACCCTCTCCTGCCCCGCTTATGCTTGTCTAACTACCTGTAACACAAGAAGAGATTAGGACACAGATACACAGGAAAGAAGTGAAGACACAGGGAGACAATGGCCATCTACAAGCCAAGGAGACAGGCCCCAGAACAAATCAACCCTGCGGAAACTTTGAACTCCAACCAACGGCTAGACTCCAGATTTGACAGAAAATAAATTTCTGTTGTTTAAGCCGCCCAGTTTTTGGTACTTTGTTATGGCAGCCCTAGCAAACTAAAATACACATCACAGGAAAAATGAATATAATAGCTTTCACAGTTCCAGTCCCTGCTTATACAACCACAGTAATGCCATTGTTTCATTGTTTCATACTTTAGCTGAAATTCACTTTAACTTGAAAAAGCATCTGAGTTTTTAAAAACAAACTATCGCTAGGCATATCCAGCAGAAATATCTGCCCACATAACATTTTTTTCTGAAAGGTTTTGCATTTTAATAACTACAGTAGGCCTGGCGCAGTGGCTCACGCCTGTTAGCCCAGCACTTTGGGAGGCTGAGGTGGGTGGATCGCCTGAGGTCAGGAGTTCGAGACCAACCTGGCCAATGTGGTGAAACCCCATCTCTACTAAAAAAAAAAAAAAAAAAAAAAAAAAAAAAAAAAGAAGAGAGAGAAAATTAGCCAGGCATGGTGGCAGGAGCCTGTAATCCTAGCTACTCAGGAGGCTGAGGCAGGAGAATCGCTTGAACCGGGGAGGCAGAGGTTGCAGTGAGCTGAGGTCGTGCCATTGCACTCCAGCCTGGGCAACAAGAGCAAAACTCTGTCTCAAAAATAACTAAATAAATAACTACAGTAGGCAGAATAATGACACCCCAAAGATTTCCGTGTCCTAATCCTCAGAACCTGTGGGTATGTTACCTTCCATGGCAAAGGGGAAGGAAGGTTATAGATAAGCTGCTAATCACCTGGCCTTAATAGGAAGGCTATCCTGGATTATGTGGGTGGGCCCAATGTAATCACAAGGGTGATTTCATTGTGATTACACTGGGCCCACCCAGATCATTTGGTGACTTCTTCCAAAAGGAAGAGGACCTTAAAAGTAGAAGGAAGCCAGTCATGGTGGCTCACACCTGTAATCCCAGCACTTTGGAAGGCCAAGGCGGGTGGATCGCTTGAGCCCAAGAGTTTGAGACCAGCCTAAGCAACATGGTGCAACCCCACCTCTACAAAAAATAACATAAATTAGTTGGGCATAGTGGTGCACACCTGTAATCCAAGCTACTCGGGAAGCTGAGGTCAACTTCCAGCCTATAGAACTGAAGATAACAAATGTGTATTGTTTGAAGCTACTGAATTTGCAGTGATAGAAAGCTAATACAGTCTCAAAGCTTCATATCTTACCTGTCTCTTGCAACATCTTGTAGCTGATGTTTGTATAGGGGAAATGTGTGACCAGTTTCCAGCTGTTTCCACTTTCCAGCATGTGCTTTTAATGCATTTTCGTAGTGCCTTCCACGTCTAGACCTTGTTTTTACCTAGTGGTGTGCAAGTCCCAAAAAAGTACAGCAAGTGTCTAAAACTGTACAGAAGACAGCCACGTATGTGTGAGAAAAACAAATAGGGAAGAGAAGATACTATTGCACACAAAGCAACTTTGATACTAAGAGATGCTTTAAGCATCTTACAGTCTAACATGATAGTTTTATTGCATTTCCATTGTCTTTGTAGGAAATTAAGGGATTTGACTGAGGTGTATCATGAATTCTATTAGCTTCTTCACACAGCAAATTTTCATTTTTACAGATTACTTATATTAAGCAGGAGATGCCTGTACATAATGAAAATACATAGCTTGCTTTATTTATTTATTTATCTAATTTTTTATTTTTTTGAGATGGAGTCACGCTCTGTCGCCCAGGCTGGAGTGCAGTGGCATGATCTTGGCTCACTGCAACCTCTGCCTCCCAGGTTCAAGCGATTCTCTCCCCTCAGCCTCTCGAGTAGCTGGAATTACAGGCATGAGGCACCACGCCCAGGTGATTATTGTATTTTTAGTAGAGACAGTGTTTCACCATATTGGCCAGGCTGGTCTTGAATTCCTGACCTCAAATGATGCACCCCTCCTCACCCTCCCAAAGTGCTGGGATTACAGGTGTGAGCCACCACCACGCCCAGTCAAAAATACATAGCTTTAAATGTGACTATTTTTAAGTAAGTTTTGTTGCATAAAGTTTGTTTCACAACCCTAGAAAAACGGTTTTCTTTTTGTGGTATCTAAGATTCTTTTAGCTCCTTTCAGAAGTTACTGCAATTTTAGGCTTAATGTCAGTGGCCTTCACACGAGGTCTAGGATTCTGTGACAGTGGTCCTAATTCATTGGTCATGAAGAGACAGGCACATGGTAAGATGTAGTCTAGTCATTCATTTGACATGTATTTTCCAGCTGCATTTAAGCATCTTATACCCAATTAAGAACCATTTCTCTTCTTCTGCACGCCCATGGAAGTGGTCTCCATACTGTAAAATACTATCAGTAATATTTTATTCATTTGTCATAAAATCAAATGTCATTCCAAAAAAACTAAATCTGGCCATCTAATTTAAACCTATATAGTTTGAAGTTATGTTCTTGAAATTTGCCATGCTAGTTGAAATGAGCAGCAAGTACTAATCTAGCAAAATAAACCCTTAAATATATCAAAGTTCTTTTGTACAACTTCATGTTTCTATTTGAAAAGTTTATAGAGGCCGGGCGCAGTGGCTTACGCCTGTAATCCCAGCACTTTGGGAGGCCAGGGCGGGGGGATCATGAGGTCAGGAGATCGAGACCATCCTGGCCAACACGGTGAAACCCCGTCTCAACTAAAAAAATACAAAAAATTAGCCAGGCGTGGTGGCACATGCCTGTAGTCCCAGCTACTCAGGAGGCTGAGGCAGAAGAATCACTTGAACCTGGGAGGCAGAGGTTGCAGTGAGCTGAGATTGTGCCACTGCACTCCAGCCTGGCAACACAGCAAGACTCACTCTCAAAAAAAAAGTTTATAGATACAAAAGCATATCATAATTTAGCTTTAGTGTTTTCACACAGAGACTTTCTTACTCTAAAATTGTACTTTAATTCTGGTAAATCTTAATGACTCCATGTTGCCAGAAATAGGTATAAGAAATGAGGCTCATGAATATTTCATTTGAGTCACCAGCCTTAGTTAACATATATGTCAGTGTTTCATGTACTACTTTGTGGAGGCAACCTGTAGCCGACCAGACTATGCTACTCTAAATATGCTTTTTTGGCACAATGATTTTTTTTTTTTCTTTTTGAGACGGAGTCTTGCTCCATCACCAGGCTGGAGTGCAGTGGCATGATCTTGGCTCACTGCAACCTCCGCTTCCGGGGTTCAAGCAATTCTTCTGCCTCAGCCTCCTGAGTAGCTGGGACTACAGGCGTCCGCCACCACGCCCGGCTAATTTTTGTATTTTTAGTAGAGAGGGGGTTTCACCATGTTGGCCAGGATGGTCTTGATCTCTTGACCTCGTGATCTACCCGGCTCAGCCTCCCAAAGTGCTGGGATTACAGGCGTGAGCCACTGCGCCTGGTCAGCACAATGATTATTTTGATGTGATTATTTTCAGAAACAGCAGACAGTAGAGGCTCTGAAAACAGCATAGGATACTTTTTTTTAATAAGGGAAATTTATAAAGAAAATTTCCATTTGTGAGGATATCTCTCCTTCTCTGTATCAGAAAGATGATCGCTCTGGGACTTAAACTTGCATAATAAGCCTCACAGTTGTTTACCACACTTTCCCTATTCACCTTCTCATAACTTGCCTCCTCCATAGCTTTCTTCCTTTATTTTAACTGGAGATGGTATTTAAGCCCAAATTCTAAGCCTTCCATGTATATGAGATACACGTGTTAATACACTTCTATTTGTTTTTCACTTTTAAATCTGTCTTTTGTTACAAAGGCCCCAGTGGAGAATTCAGAAGGGCAGAGGAACAAGGATTTTTTCCCCCTCATCTACAAGACCATAACCATAGATTTATGAATTGTTCTAATTACTTGCAGCACTAAAATTCTATGTTGCTAATACTCTCCAAATTTCAAAGAAGAGTGACTTAAATATGTCCTATAGCACCTATTATTTGCTGCTGAAATCTTTGGCAAGAAGAAGAAGAAAATAGAGATGGTTGCCAAAGCCAATATCAAAGTGATGGGTAATTGCAATTATGAGAAAAAGGGAATAGGGAAGGCATCATCTGCAAAGTGCAGCGATAAATCACATTCTGATAAGACAGAAGACAGTTCTCAGGGAAAAAAGCTCCCCGAGTTAGGATAAAACATTTACAATCATTACAGGAATGTGAGGGTCCTCGGGCTTTCACTTGAAGGCTTTCACTGCCTTTAAGATTATGGCTTTACCATGGGCCGGGAGTGGTGGCTCACGCCTGTAATCCCAGCACTTTGGGAGGCTGAGGCCGGTGGATCACCTGACGTCAGGAGTTCAAGAACAGCCTGGCCAACATGGTGAAGCCCCATCTCTACTAAAAGTACAAAAATTAGCCGGGCATGGCGGCAGGCGCCTGTAATCCCAGCTACTCAGGAGCCTGAGGCAGGAGAATCACTTGAACCCAGGAGGCAGAGGTTGCAGTGAGCAGCGATCATGTCATCACATTCCAGCCTGGGGGACAAGAGCAAGACTTTGTCTCAAACAAACAAACAAAAAAGAGTATGGGTTGGCCATTACCAAAAGAAGAGGTGAGAATGTTTGGGGAACTTCAGGCCCAGTAAAATCAGTGTGGCTAGAGCAGAAAGAGAACCCAGCGGGAGTGGTAGGTTATGCTCTCAAAGAAGCCTTAACATGTGATGTTTATGGGCCAGGGTAAAGTTTTCCTTCCTACTAAGATGTCTTTAAAGTTCTCCCTCAACCTTTAGTGATCTCAACTTTTTCAGCCCCATTCCCAGACATTTCTTTGAATGATGAATATTTTTTCTACTATCAGTAAGCAAACTTCTCTCTTCCTCTCCGTAGGAATTGTCCTCCCTGGTTCCTTCCCTTGTGACGTTAATAGTTCTCTGCAGGTTACCTTAAACTATAAAAATCTCAGACCCTTCTAAGGCACATACAGAACAGGATGTCATGTTGCTCCTAAGCCCCACCTGGAATGTCCTGCTCTTGGAAGAAAAAACAGCCCTTTTCCTCTCACCATTTGCAGAGGCCCAAAGAGCAAAAGCAAAAAAGGATAATGAGATGCTCCTAAGGAAATGGCAAGCGGCTGGGCTTTGGGGAACATGCCCAGCTGGGTTCAATTTCAGCATCTTTCCTTTAAAACCAAGAAGTTCCTAGCACGTGGGTTCCTGGGGGCGTTGCATACTCAGCAAGCTGCGCAGCCTCTCAAGGATAGAGAGGGAACAGAGAAGAAAGAGGCTGAAAGGGGAAAATGGTTCGTACAGAACTTTCCCACGTAAGAGAACTGGGTAGGCACTAATTAGCCTCTGCTAAGATTTTAATAGTGAAAAGGAGTTGCTGTTATTTCATTTATTCTATAAGCATTTGTTAAATGCTTATTTTGTACCAGGCGTTGTGCCAGCCCTGGGAATATGGAAATGAATAACTAGTCATCTTTGACCCCATAGCTAGCTCAGAAGACAGATGGGACTAACCACAAGGCAATGAGGTAAGTATAGTAATTAATAGAACCTAGAATTCAGTGTTATGGAAACAAAGCAGAACCAACTGATTCTACCCTGGAGGGCGTGGGGATGTAGAACTGTTCCGTTTTTTTGTTTTTTTGAGACGGAGTCTCGCCCTGTCGCCCAGGCTGGAGTGCAGTGGCGGGATCTGGGCTCACTGCAAGCTCCGCCTCCCGGGTTCACGCAATTCTCCTGCCTCAGCCTCCCGAGTGGCTGGGACTACAGGCACCCGTCACCACGCCAGGCTAGTTTTTTGTATTTTTAGTAGAGACGGGATTTCACCGTGTTAGCCAGGATGGTCTCGATTTCCTGACCTTGTGATCCACCCACCTCAACCTCCCAAGGTGCTGGGATTACAGGTGTGAGCCACCGCGCCCCACCGGGGATGTAGAAGTCTTAAGGAGAAGATGAAGTAATTGGAATTGTATGGGCTTAAAGTTCACTAGGAAAAAAAAAGAGAACCACACAGCCACTTCACCTGCTCCTTCCTTTTTGTCAAAGGATGTATGTCTGGTCTTCCAGAAATAGCACTGGACTTGGCATCTCAGAGCACCTACCTGGGCCCTAATTTCTGTCTCTTCCATGGCCAGCTATACGACCTCGAACAAGTCTCTATCTTGTCACTTTTTTTTTTTCAGTCAGTAATGTGAACTCTGAAATCCTTACTGTGTCAAAAACGTCAAATGCTTTTTTTTTAATCAAATAATCTTTCCCAGCTTGATTTCTTAATCCTAGTTAACTGTGATCACATTAATGATTTGCTACCTTAGAATGGCTTAATGAAACCCTTGGGCCATAGCCATCCTCTGCAGAGCTGGGTGTTCCAAATGGACATTCCACAGATGTATAAAAACAGGTGGTAACTGCTCTAACAACGCAGGGGCATTCTGTGAATCACAGCTTCAACATTTGAAAGACTTGACATGAAAAAAGATAGATTGGATTCTAAATCCACTGGCATTTTGACAAGAAATTTCAACTTTACTTTTGCCAACATAAAAAAAGAAGAGCTTCTTTAAATGCAATTTTAAATGTCTTAAATTTGAGTGATCTTTAAAAAATTTAGAAGTTTTAGCCTCCATTTGTGCAAATTTTTCACTGATGGTGACTATTAGAAATCCGAGAGATTAAATTAAAACTCTCGATCAGGAACTGCAGGTAGTCATTTCAAAGATAAAACCTACTTAAAAGTTTGCAGATGTAAGCTCAAGTTTCTCAATAACACTTTAAAAATACTTTATTAGGAAGTGTTATAAAATTATTCAATATTTAATTTTATACCTACTATATAATCTTGGTTTTACAAGTATTATATAAAGAAAATTTAGTTTTTTTAAACTAAGCTCCACTTAAAGGCCTCAAATCCCCTCCCGTTAATCCCAGTCTGCCAAATAGACATCCTGTGAAACAGATGTTTTGCCAATCTGTGAAAAACATTGGGAAGCATTATTTTAGGGTGTATACCTATGGGTGGAACACTTCATTTTATTCAATAGTCATCCTTTCCCTTTCTGATCTGCAGAGAGAGTTGTGCTGTAGATAAATTTTCATCCATGCATAGGTCTGTTTCCGAGCTCTGTGTCCAATTCCATCACGTTTTTTCTATCTGTGCATCAATGTTATACTGTTTTCATTATTATGGCATTTTTATAAGTCTTCATTTTTGATAAGGCAAATTCCTCTACCTTTTTTTTAGGAGTATGCTCACTCTTTGATTTTTAAATAATTAATTAGCAGACTTTATTTTTTGAGCAGTTTTACACGTATAGAAAAATTGAAGGGAAAGTATAAACAGCTCTCATATAGCCCGTCGCCCCCACTCCTGCCTGCAGGTTCCCTCATTAATATCTTACGTTAGTGTAACACATTTGTTACAATGGATGAGCCTCTGTTGATGCTTATTATTAATTAAAGTTTATAGTTTACACTAAGGTTCTTTGTGTTACACATCTGTGGGTTTTGACAAATGTATAATTACACGTATTCATCAATATATCATACACAACAGTTTCAGTGCCCTACAAATCCCTGTGCTCCCACCGATTCATCTGACCCTCCCTCACTTCCCCACCACCCGAACCCCTGGCAACCACTGATCTTTTTACTGTCTCCATAGTCTTGCCCAAAAAATATGGTTGGAATTATATAGTATGTAGCCTTTTCAGATTGGCTTTTTTCACTTAACAATGTGCACTTAAGGTTCCTCTATTTCTTTTCATGGCTTAATAGATCATTTCTTTTTAGTGCTGAATAATATTCCTTTTATAGATGTACCACAGTGTATTTATCCACTCACCTACTGAAGAACATCTTTGTTGCTTCCAAGCTTTGGCAATGAAAAATAAGGTTATTCTAAACATCTGTGTGTAGGTTCTTGTGTAGATGTAAGTTTTCAGCTTATTTGGGTAAATACTAAGACGTACATACAGCTGCTGGATTGTATAGTAAGAACATGTTTAGTTTTGTAAGAAGCTGCTAAAATGTCTTCCTGAGTGGCTGTACCATTTTGCATTCCCACTAAGAATGAATGAGCGTTCCTGTTGCTCCATATCTTTGTCAGCATTTGTTGGTGTCAGTGTTTCGGATTTTAGCCATTCTAATAGGTGTGTAGTGTATCTCATTGTTTTAATTTGCAACTCGCTAATGACGTATGATACAGAACATCTTTTCATTGCTTATCTGCCATCTGTATATCTTCCTTGGTGAAGTACTGTCTCTTTTCAAGTCTTCTGTCCATTTTTTTAATTGGGTTGTTTATTTTCTTATTATTGGGTTTTAGGAGTTCTTTGTATATTTTCCATATATCTTTTACCAGATACATGTTTTACCAAGATTTTCTCCCAGTCTGTGGCTTCTCTTTTCATTCTCTTAAACCCATTGCTTTTTATAAATTTAGGATCTGTTTAAGTTAAAAACAAAACCCTGTTGGGATTTTTATTAGAATTATATTGATTCTATAGATAGTTTGGGGAAAAATAACATCTTTACAATATTGAGTCTTCTGGTCCATGACATTGATTTAGATTTCACTTAATATTTGTCATAAATATTTATAATTTTCTTCATAGAGGTTTTTACTAATATTTTAGTAGATTTATTCTAAGTATTATATTTTGTTGCTGTTGGAAATGTTATATTTTTAAAGATTTGTGTTTGATATTTGTTTCTGGTGTATTGAAATACAATTGACTTTTAGATACTGATCACAACCTTGCTAAATGCTCTTCTCAATTCAAATAATTTATCCTAAGATTATTTGGGGATTCTGTGAATGGCAATTTTGTTTCTTCCTTTCCAGTCTTCATATTTTAAATTTTCATGCCTATTAAACTAGTTAAAACTTACAGGGCAATATTGAATTACAGAGTGATGATAGCAGGTATACTGATTTTAAAGAAAATCCTTTTACTGTTGCTCTATTAAATATAATGCATGCTTAAATGTTTTTATGTATACCTTTTCTAGGGTAAAGAATGTTCCTTTCATCCCTAATTTGCTAATGGGCTTAATGTGAATGTAAGTGTTGAGCTTTATTGAGGGTTTTTTTTTTTTTTTTTTGCAGCTAAAGAAAAAATTCCTTTTGCCTTTGTTACCCACAGAAACCAATTATAACTCAAGAATAAACCTCTGCCTTTGAAACATGCCTGAACTGGCCTCTGCTTGACAGCACTACCCAGTGGGTCATCCCAGAAACCCAGGCCTCTCAGGATTAGCAAAAATTTTCATTGATTTATTGAGATAATAAGATATTTTATTATTCCCCATTTAGCCAGGAAATTAAGTTAGCCAACTACCGGAAATTATAAATTGATTTATCTTAAGCAGTATGTAACTCCAAGTGCATACCTTGGTGCAAAATTAAAACCATGAGTTAAACATATTTCCAGTGGAGTTAGCCTAGGAAGCATTCAGTTCAGAGACACTGGACAGACAAATGCAGTATCCTAGCATATAGGAAGAGCAAAGTTATTTCATTTATTCTGGCAGCTTAGCCACCCCACACCACATGCAATGTGCCTACATTGAAGACAAAACGCTCAACAACCTGGAGAGGGGATGAGGGAGGGAGAAGTAGAAAACAGGCAGACAATAGCAATAGTGAGATTCTCTAGTGGCAGAGTATAGCAAGTGGATGTTGTCCAGTGAGCCAATGGAAGCACTGCTGTAGTGTAAGAGTCCAATTGTATTAGAATCCATTAACTTTTCTGTGTTTATCATACACTAATAGTAAAATATTTACTTTTACTGTGTGTATTAGCTTGAAATAGGCATCCTTCACATTGTTTTCTTGCTGGATGCTTTGTCCCAAGTTTTTACTGACGCCTTTGGTTTCAGGTACTTTGGCTATTGTATAGAAAATTGTTGGCCAGGTGCAGTGGCTCACGCCTGTAATCCCAGCACTTTGGGAGGCCGAGGTGGGTGGATCACCTGAAGTTGGGAGTTCAAGACCAGCCTGGCCAGCCTGCCCAACATGGTGAAACCCCACCTCTACCAAAAATACAAAAATTAGCCAGGTATGGTGGCGGGGGCCTGTAATCCCAGCTACTAGGGAGGCTGAGGCAGAAGAATTGCTTGAACCTGGGAGGCGAAGGTTGCATGGAGCCGAGATCATGCCATTGCACTTCAGCCTGGGTGACAAGAGCAAAACTCCACCTCAAAAAAAAAAAAAAAAAAAAAAGAATATTGTTCATATACCGTTTTGCTAGTTCATTTCTATTAGTGTTTATGAAAGTTTATTCAAATTTATTTCAAGTTATTTACTTTTGCTTTCCATTATTTGTTGGAAGATTGTATTGATATCTCTATAGTATTCTATGTAGGATATAGGATTTCATTTACCAATAAATTCATTTTGTTTTATAGTCTACTCAGTGCCAAAAGTCACAGATACTGAAATCTTTCTCTCTCTCCTTATCTCCTTCTCTCCCTCTCTCCCTCTCTCCCTCTCTCCCTCTGTCCCTCTCTCCCTTCCCTTCCCTTCCATTCCCTTTCTTTTTCAGAGTCTCACTCTGTCACCCAGGCTGGAGTGCATTGGTGCAATCTCGGCTCACTGCAACCTCCACCTCCCGGGTTCAAGCGATTCTCCTGCCTCAGTATCCCAAGTAGCTGGGATTACAGGTGTGCGCCACCACGTCCAGCTAATTTTTGTTATTTTAGTAGAGACAGGGTTTTGCCATGTTGGCCAGGCTGGTCTCCAACTCCTGACCTCAGGTGATCCACCCGCCTCAACCTCCCAAAGTGCTAGGGTTACAGGTGTGAGCCACCACACCCGACCGAAATATTTATTTTTAACCACATGATATTATTTATTTGTAGAATTAGTGGAACATTGCTACATAACCATAACCAGTGGTTTTCATCTGGACACCTGTATCTGTAGAATCACTTAAAAAACTGTTTAAAGGCAGAGGTGGGTGGATCACGAGGTCAGGAGATCGAGACCATCCTAGCTAATACCGTGAAACTCCATCTCTACTAAAAATACAAAAAATTAGCTGGGTGTGGTGGCAGGCACCTGTAGTCGCAGCTACTCAGGAGGCTGAGGCAGGAGAATGGCGTGAACCTGGGTGGCGGAGCTTGCAGTGAGCAGAGATCGCACCACTGCGCTCCAGCCTGGGCGACAGAGTGAGACTCCGCCTCAAAAAACAAAAAACAATGTTTAAAACAAGTGGGAAGAAAACTACTTTGATTTTTTTTCCCCCAGAATTTCCTTGTAAAATTGGCAAGCCTTATATTTCAGTAAATAAGTAAATATAGATATAGATGTAGACTAAATATAGATATTGACCTTATACTGGATGCCAACTGTGTGCCTTCATCTTCACATTCTTCAGAATTTTATGTAGTTTGCATAGCATTCTCTGGAATTTATTTTTTTGTTTTGTTTTGTTTTGGTCTGGGCCAGTCCCTGGGAACCAGCTGCTTAAACCACTGGGTACAAGCAAAACCCTGTGGTCTCTGTGCACTTTCCCATCGGCACTGCTTCGATGGACATAAACCTGCAGGAGAAAGTAAACAGAGATCTGGATGGTGTTTGTTTTTAGTGTCAAGGAATGACGTCACTGCCTGAGACCATGACTTTGAGCAAATTGGTGGATGGGCACAGAAAAATCAAACCCTGGTTAAGAGGCCACATCATTAGCACACAGAGAACAGTATATGTGCATTTCAAAAGTAGAAAACATTAACCTTTTATGAACTTTGGGTAAACTGGATGGTGTTTGTCAAGGCCAAAAAAGTGCAGTTTGTAAAACATGCATGCTATGCTTGGGCCGATTATTTTTCTTTTAGACTAAATCTGGTGATAACAATTTTATTTATTTTTCTCCATCAGGTTGGCAAAGGCGCTTGCTTGTTTAATGTCAATGAGTTAGGGTTTCTTCCATTCCTTTTTTTGTTGCCATGGGTTCTAAGCTGTCCATCTAGGAGCCAACAGTTATAAAATCACAGATAAAAAATAACTTGGAAATGGCCAGTTGGGACTTAAAGGTGAATCTGTGAGATTCACTCTCCATAAGGGTGTGAATTTGCGGTGGGCTTGGGAAAGCAAGAAGGGGTTGAGTGTGCTGGCAACATGAGGGCATTAATGAGTCAGATTCTCCCCTCATCAAGTACAAGTAACTCTTTTTTTTTTTTTTTTTTTTTTTTTTTTTTGAGACAGTTTCACTCTTGTTGCCCAGGCTGGAGTGCAATGGCATGATCTCGGCTCACCACGACCTCCGCCTCCCAGGTTGAAGCAATTCAGCTGCCTCAGCCCCCCGAGTAGCTGGAATTACAGGCATGCGCCACCACGCCTGGCTAATTTTGTATATTTTGTAGAGACGGGGTTTGCCCATGTTGGTCAGGCTGGTCTTGAAATCCCGACCTCAGGTGATCCACCCGCCTTGGCCTCCCAAAGTTTACAGGTGTGAGCCACTGCGCCCAGCCCAAGTAACTCTTAAACTGGCTACTTATGGAAGGCTATGATCTTCTTCAGGATCACAAGAGGACCAACCAATTACTTTCAAAATCAAGAAAACACAATACAAACTTGTATGGTAGGCTAGCATTGCAAGTTAGTCACTAAGCTTGAATGAATGCATTTGGGACTTGGCAGTGGAAAACATGAAGACTGACTGGGGGCTTTACATCATATTTGCCTGAGAGCTCCACCACTGGATGGCAGTAAAAATCCTTGGATTCCCGTCTATTCTTTCATTTTCCTTCTACTCATTAGCTAGCCTTTTTTGTCCATTTAAAAGTGCCATACTCTTACAGTTAATTTTGACCAGAACACCTTAGTGTGATATGCATATGACATGTTAGGCTCAAGTTCCAAAATTTAAAAATAAGAAAAAAAAAAAGATAATTATGTGCATTATGGTTAAAACAAGATAAAGGGATTTGGATGATCACAAGAGTCAGGCAGTTTCTCCATTAGTTAAGATCAATACTCAGCCACTCCCATTTTTAAAATCACATTTGGTTCAAGGTGATTAGGTATTGATTACACAGGTCTTATGGGGACTTCAAACTTCTAAATGTGGGGGGAGAATAATGGTCTCAAAATAAGGACACAGGAGTTATTTTTTCACTGGTTATCTTCAGAATTGAACAAAAGGTTGTATAATCCCCAGTGTACACTTTCAAAAGAGGACCCATGGGCACTCAAAATTCTCTATGACCAAGGCCGGGCACTGTGGCTCACGCCTGTAATCCCAGCACTTTGGGAAGCCAAGGCGGGCAGATCACGAGGTCAGGAGATCGAGACCATCCTGGCTAACATGGTGAAACCCCGTCTCTACTAAAAGTACAAAACATTAGCCAGGCGTGATGGTGGGCGCCTGTAGTCCCAGCTACTCAGGAGGCTGATGCAGGAGAGTGGCATGAACCCAAGAGGTGGAGGTTACAGTGAGCCAAGATTGCACCACTGCACTCCAGCCTGGGCAACAGAGCTAGACTCCATCTCAAAAAAAAAAAAAAAATTTCTGTGTCCAAAAGTGAACTTATCATCTCAACTTCCCAGCTTATTCATCTACGCATTCATTCATTTACTCAA
Organism: Homo sapiens; assembly: GCF_000001405.40. Taxonomy (NCBI): domain Eukaryota; kingdom Metazoa; phylum Chordata; class Mammalia; order Primates; family Hominidae; genus Homo; species Homo sapiens. The sequence goes on from NC_000002.12 coordinate 33,414,005, forward strand.
CAAATATTTATGGAAGACCTACCAGACTAGTGCTGTGCATTGGGAATATAGCAGCACAGGCAAGGCTCCTGCTTCCATGGAGTTTAGATAATCTCTGCCTTGTCTGGTTGTCCAACTCACACTCTGAAAGTCACTCACTCCCCACTCCCTTCGCATCATCTCCCCTTCCATTGTCTTCCAGATAAATTTTTTTTTTTTTTTTTTGAGATGGTGTCTCACTCTGTCGCCCAGGCTGGAGTGTAATACAGTGGCACAATCTTGGCTCACAACAACCTCCACCTCCTGGGTTCAAGTGTTTCTCCAGCCTCAGCCTCCCGAGTAGCTGGGATTACAGGCGCATGCCACTGCATCCAGCTAATTTTTGTATTTTTAGTAAGAGATGGGGTTTCACCACGTTGGCCAGACTGGTCTCGAACTCCTGACCTCAGGTGATCCACCCACCTCGGCCTCCCAAAGTGCTGGGATTATAGGTGTGAGCCACTGTGCCTGGCCTCTTCCAGATAAATCTGCATGTCCCCTGCTTGCCTTCTCAGCCTCATCTTGGGCTGTGTGCCCTCTTGCTGTCTCCCTCTAATAACCCGACACACAGTCGCAAGAAATATCTTTTAATTCCGTGATTGTAACTCACTCTTTATCCCTTTGGGACTTGGCCACAGTTGGTTCTTGCTTGGAATACTTCTCTTCTTCTTCCTACCAATACTCCTTGGTCTGACTAAATGCCCCTTCAGGTGTCACATTAACTGTCACTTTTTCAAGGACACCTTGGTTATCTGGGTTCTCACTGCTAGCTGGCCGGTGGTTGGCAGCTGCAGAATCTCACATGGGCACGTGCTTTCTTGGACCATTCCTGCCACCATTGCAAGTGGGTCTTCTGGAAAGCAGACTGTGAAATGGAGATTAGCATGTAGGGATCGAATTAGGGAGTGTTCTTGGGAAAATACCCCTAGAAGAGAAGAGAAGAAAATCAATATTGGGTAGAAGAACAAGAAGGATTATGATACAATCTCAAAGACTTTCTATCTCATTATAACCTTCTAAAGTTCTGCTGCTTACAGGTTTTCTTTGAAACGAATTGCATTGTTGATATCAAGAGTATTATGCACGTTCCAGCATCAATTTCTTGGTGCATTAGCTCCCCATTGAATGACACATTGGATGAACACCACTGAGATGAATATCTCTGTCAAGGTTTCTGGAAATTTTGTTGTTCCTCTGCAGGAATACCTTTTATTCTTGTAAATTCAGTGGTTATACTTTAAAAGTTTTCCGATAAAATATTGTTTTTTTAAAAAAAAATTATCATTGAGATATTCTTTAGTCTGATTTTCCAGTATGATTTTTTCTTTAAAGTGCTTCATTAAAAAGCAGTTCTTTGGCCAGGCACGGTGGCTCACGCCTGTAATCCCAGCACTTTGGGAGGCCAAGGCGGGTGGATCACCTGAGGTCAGCAGTTCAAGACCAGCCTGGCCAACATGGTGAAACACCGTCTCTACCAAAAACACAAAAATTAGCTGGGCCTAGTGGCGGGTGACTGTAATCCCAGCTACTCAGGAGGCTGAGGTAGGAGGAGAATCACTTGAACCCAGGAGGCGGAGGTTGCAGTGAGCCAAGATTGCGCCATTGCACTCCAGCTGGGCGACAAGAGCAAAACTCTGTCTCAAAAAAAAAAAAAAGCAGTTCTTCAAGAATGTAACTATTGAAATAGAATCCAAAAAATGCCATAAGCTGAGACATGATAGAAATACCTATACTTTCACCCAAATGCATGGCCAATACTAAGTTGTTTCTTCATATCTTCCGTAATATTTACTATGTGACTTCCCAAAAAATTGCTGACAAAAGAGTGAATTTTAGTTTTTGGCCTTTTGTTTTATAATTATTTCAACATTTTTTGTTGTGGCAGGGAGAACCAGAGACCCCAATGGTTTGTGGCTTTTGTTTCTTAACCGTAAAACAAAAAACCTCAAAAGAAGTTTCTGAGCAATTATTAGTAGGTTTTGTGAAATTTCTCAAAAAGCTGCTGAAATTTTTCTTCCATTTTGAATGTTTGGCTTTCAAATATCTTGTTAATCATAATAACTTTATATTATTACTAGTTAACATCTTAAGACATAACATGCCAGCCAACTAGGAAGAATTTTATCATTAATGGCAGTGGATATAAATTCATAATTTAAATGGTCTTCTTGATAACTTTGGATTTGAAGGGACTACCTGCTGGTCTAATTATCCTACCATTCTTTTCTTTTAACCTCATATTGTGGCTGATGTAGAATTTATATTTAGAACAGAAGGGTTTGCTCTGCCATTTTCTTTAGGTTTATTCTGCTGTTGTCTTTCTTTCACCTATTTTTTTACAGAAATATTTTTAAAGCCAATTTTTCCAATATGAGGGTTAACTTAGTTAAAATTAGATAATATTATCTAAAAATCCCTTTGCTGGGCACATGTTAATGGAAATGTCCAGTCTCACAGGAAGCAATCAATTGAGCCAGCACTGTTATCCCTTCCACACTTTTTTTGAGACAGAATCTCACTTTGACACCCAGGCTGGAGTGCAGTGTCACGACAATAGCGCACTGCAGCCTTGACCTCCTGCGTTCTGGTGATCCTCCCACCTCAGCCTCCCGAGCAGCTAGGCCTACAGGTACACGCCACCATGACCGGCTGATTTATTTTTATTTTTATTTTTAGTACAGGCAAGTTCTCGCTATGTTCCCCAGGCTAGTCTTGAACTCCTGGGCTCAAGCGATCTGTCCATCTTGGCCTCCCAAAGTCCCGAGATTTCAGGAATAAGTCACTGTGCCTGGCCCCTTCCATACTTTTTTCTCCACAGGATATCTTGAAATCACTGGGACTTGGGCACTGTCATTATAGCAGTTAGCATACCCTGACTGAGAGAACATCAAGAACAAGCTTGAAAAGTTTGGGGTCCTGTTCAGCCACATCTCCCCATTCTGCACTTCTACAAGTGGCTTTTTGAACCTCAGTACAAAATTTTACCTTTGCTCCTATTAATTTCTCTTCTGTTGTTGGTCCCTTTCTTTAGCCTTATGTTAAGATGTTTTGAGATTCTGATTCTGACTTCCAGTATGGTTGCTGTCTCTTCCAAGTTGACATACACTCTCCATCTTTATTCAAGATATTAATGTAACTATTAAGAAGGATATCTCTTTAAGACAAAAAAAAAGTGCAATACAAAAAAACAACTTCCTTTTGCTGAGTTGCTGAGCCCCTTGTGAGGCTGACAATGGCAGGATGGTTTAGTCTGTCGTCTCCAGAGGGTTTCCTGCCAGGGGACTTCTGGATTTCAGGATCGGCCAACATGAGTCAAACAGCTCTTGGAGCTCTTTATTCTCAAACCTTCTCTGCAAATCAGAGCTGGAGATTTCAGGATTCCCTCCCCACATTCCTCATGACCAGTACCGCTCCCTATTTTCTCAATTTTTCATGAGTCCCTTCAAAGAGAAATAATTTAAATAAAAAGTCTTTCCCAGATTTACCTTTTGCTGATTTTCCATTTTTCCCAACTAGGCAACAAGACTTCATTTTGTTCACTGATGTGTCACACAGAGTATTTCAAATAGTTTGAAGCCAGAAGAAGCAAAAAGGGAAGATGCTAAGAGGTCACCAGGGCCGGGCGTGGTGGCTCATGCCTGTAATCCCAGCACTTTGGGAGGCCGAGGCGGGCGGATCACTTGAGGTCAGGAGTTCAAGACCAGCCTGGCCAACATGGTGAAACCCTGTCTCTACTAAAAATACAAAAATTAGCCGGGTGTGGTGGTGGGCGCCTGCAATCCCAGCTACTCAGGAGGCTGAGGCAGGAGAATCGCTTGAACCTAGGAGGCAGAGGTTGCAGTGAGCCGAGATCACACCACTGCACTCCAGCCTGAGCGACAGAGTGAGACTCCATCTCAAAAAAAAAGAAAAAAGAAAAGGCAACCAGGTTTCTGTTTTGGGGGGCTACATTGAAGAAATCCAGTGTTTCCTACCTGCTTTCCATGGTGGCGGCGGGGGGGAAATCTGAATGAAAAAAGAGATTAGATCCATCCTTGAGCATGGTGGGTTTGAGGTGCCTGGAAACATCTACACAGAGATGCTGAAAGTCCATGAAACTGACTAGTCTGAAGCTGAGAAGGCGGACTGGCTTAGTGCTCTGCAATGTGCAGATAGAATATCTATGGATACTGAGTCAGGGCTCTCACAGTGTTGGTCTCAAGGCAATCCTGGTCCTTAGAATAGACATGGAAAAAGGCACAAGGCAGAAAAGGCCCTCTTTCTTTCCATGTCTATCTCCCTCTATGATCATAGACAACATGCGTTAAAAATCATATTATAAGCTGCTCTTAGAACTTGATCGCTTCAGCTCACAAGTTCAAGGCAAGTCTCGGCAACATAGCAAGACCCCATCTGTACGAAACATTTTAAAAATTAGCCAAGCATGGTGGCATGTGACTGTCATCCCAGTTACCCGGGAGGCTGAGGTGGAAGGATCACCTAAGCCCAGGAGGGTGAGGCTGGAGTGAGCGGAGATCGTACCACTGCACTCCAACCTGGTGACAAAGGGAGACCTTGTCTCAAAAAAACAAAACGACTCCCACCTCCAATAAAAAACCCTCATCAACCCCAAATCTAGACAAGTAATGTCCACTTTTGCCTGAGATTTTTTTTTTTTTTTTTTTTTGAGGCAGAATCTCGCTTTGTCGCCCAGGCTTGAGTGCGGTGGCACGATCTCGGCTCACTGCAACCTCCACCTCCCAGGTTCAAGTGATTCTCCTGCCTCAGCCTCCCGAGTAGCTGGGACTACAGGCGCATGCCACCATGCCTGGCTAATTTTTTGTATTTTTAGTAGAGACAGAGTTTTACCATGTTAGCCAGGATGGTCTCAACCTCCTGACCTCACGATCTGCCCACCTTGGCCTCCCAAAGTGCTGGGATTACAGGCGTGAGCCACCGCGCCTGGCCTTGCCTGAGGTTTTTAAATCAGCTTTACCCATCCTACTGACTGGGGGAGGGTAGCGGGTAGGTGGATGGGTTGATAATTTCCACCTCCATAGCAATCACCCTAAGCCTTCTATCTTGTTCCAGTCCTACTCTTATTTTGCTTATGTCTCTGCCCACCTTCAACCTCCTAACTTTGTGGTCACTCTTTCAAATTCTGTCTGTGGTCTTTGCATTTGGTATTTGAACTTGATCTCCCTGCTATTTGAACCTTCAGTTACCCCCAACCTCAGTTACCATCATAGATTTTTCTTTGGAAGAAATACCTTTTATTAGTCAGGATCCATTCAGCAGACAGAAGCCACACCAGGTAAAGGAAAAGGAAAATTTTAATATGAAGAATTGCAACTAGGTAAAAAGCCATTAGCTAGGTAACTGAGAAGGGAAAAAAGATCTCTAAAGTATCACAGAGGTAAGTGGCAACTGCAGTCATCAGCTACCACCCTTTCAACTGAGGGAAAAGAGGGAAGAGATTGGAATTATTAAACTTGGAAACGTAGAGTAGGAGTCTTGGAGACTCAAATTTTCTGAGGAGTTGGTACTGGCTGGCTGGGGTTAATGTCTCTGAGTGGGTACAAAGGAGCGTGTTTTATAAATGGGACAAAATTGAAAAGCAGATTCAGCTGCTGCTGTGAGAAGGCCGTGCCTCTGCCCATTTGAAGAAGCTTTGCTCAGGTGACATCACAGGAATAAGAAGTAGACAGGAGGCAGCAAATTCTCTCTTCTTCCTCCAGCCTTGCAGGCTCCCTCTACCACCCCCTAAAGAGCCTGAAAGGTATCTGGCTGGAAAAATAGAAATGTCGTTTGCAGTTTCTGTCCCAGCAACCCAAAGCGAGGTATAGAAGTGTATTTGAATTTGAAAGATAATAATGCTGTAAGGTCACTGTTTCTGACCTTAGCCAGCTCCCACTCCTCCCCAGCTAATTACTTCCCACTCCTGCCTCCAGTAGAGAATGACATATTTACCATTCATTTCCCACTGTGTTCTCCAAGTCTCTGCCCTTGCCCTGGCAATTGTAAGCAAATTGTTACTATCACTTTCCTTTCCTGATTCCACATTACTGCATGAGTAAGTTACAGTGCTCTTCAAGCAGGAGTCCACCTTGCTCTTTCAGCATGGTGAAGACAGATGATCTGCCTTACAAGCAGCTGCAGATCTTTTCCTTACCTCGAATCCTTTCTTCAGAGAAATTTGGAGGTAATTCCGAGTTTCTCTTGGGCTCCCTTCAGCAGCTTCATTTACTCAGGCTGTGGTCTTGTTATTTAATGTTGCATAGCAAATCACCCTAAATTGTAAAGGCTTGAAACGAGAACAAGCAGTTGTTGTCTTTTATGGTTTCAAGGCATCGGAAATTAGGAAGCAGGTTGGCTGAGCTGGGTTGAGGTCTCTCATGAGGCTGTAGTCACGTGGTGGATGAGGCTGGGGTCATCTTGAAAGCTCTGGCACCTGGGCCGGGAAGACTCAAGAAGCTGGGGATAGGAACAACTGGGGCTCCTTAGGTATCTGTCTACTTATTTAGACTCTCCAAGTGGTCCTTTTCAGAGTATCTTGATTTGTACATGGAAGCCCATGCCCCACAGAGCAGTTCTCCCCAGAGAAGCCAGGAGAAGCTGTATGTCTAACTTCACTCAGAATTATCCTCACTTCTGCCACATTCTGTTCATCAAGGCGGTTACAAAAGCCCACCCAAGTTCAACAGGAGGGAACATAAACTCTACTATTTGATGGGAAGAGTGTCAAAGAATTTGCAAGCACTTTGAAAACCACAAGCGGCACCTCTGGCTTAGGGTTTGTGGGAAACTCTGAACCATTGTTTTTCTCATATCTAGAATTATACTCTTTCAAACAGGCAGGATTCCTGACTATACTATGTGGCATGCTCTCCTTCCTGCACATGAATATGTAAAACAATAGAAAGAAGGGACATTCAGCCTGGACACTACAGTCCTCATGCTGGTCCAGGATCAGAGATACAATCATCGGTGCTTCCTGACTGGTCCCAGGAAGACCTTTTAGGATTGTTGCCTGAAGAGTTAATTTCCATGTCAAATCTACAAAGCTCTGGGGCAGACCGCAAGCCACTGCAGCTGGTTATATTCGCCACTCTCTGCTGGCACCTCCAGGAGGGCACATAACTGTCCATGTATTATGCTGGGGCATATCACATCAAATATGGGGTCTGGCCTGAGCAGCAAACATCCACTACTGGGAAAATGAGGCTGATCAGGCTCCATTCATGAAGATCAGAGCAACTGGTGCCTTCCTACAGGTTTGAGCCATGATAGAATTAGAGGTATGAGTGGTAGCACCAGATTTCTGTATATGGCTTGGGAGTAACAAGTGGGTTGGGAAGGGGAGCTAAGGAGTTTGCCTGGAAGCTGCTTTCATATAACACAAATCCTATTTTACTTTGAGTGTATGTTTATTTGGGATAACTTCAGGGGTGGAGGCCAGTGGATGTCATGGGTGCCAAAAGCCTACACAGGTCACCTATTGGTGCCATTATTTGGGCCACTATGATGTTTTAAAAATCAAGCCATGGTGGCCAGGTGCGGTGGCTCACTCCTGTAATCCCAGCACTTTAGGAGGCCGAGGCGGGCGGATCACCTGAGGTCAGGAGTTCGAGACCAGCCTGGCCAATATGGGGAAATCCCGTCTCTACTAAAAATACAAAAATAAGCCAGGCGTGGTGATGCATGCCTGTAATCCCAGCTACTCGAGAGGCTGAGGCAGGAGAATAGCTCGAACCTGGGAGGTGGAGGTTGCAGTGAGCCAAGATCGCACCACTGCACTCCAGCCTGGGTGACAGAGTGAGACACTGTCTCAAGAAAAAAAAAAAAAAAATCAAGCCATGGCTAAAGAAGCCTAATGACCTATTAGCAAACGTACAGACCTCAGACCTCCATATACTTCCCTGCCTTTCCTGTTCCTAACAACTTTGAGATCCTTACCACATTCCTGCTCCTTATCAACCCTGAGATCCTTACCACATTCCTGCTCCTTATTAACCTTGAGATCCTTAGCAATTATTTCCGGGAGGCTTGCATCATGGAGATGATGTGCACCAGGAGAGCATCCTCACAGTGTTACACAGCAGTTAGGAGGCATGTTTTTGCTGCATGGGTGTGCTTGATTTTTGAGCCTAAGACTTCCACAACTCCACTGACACAACTTGTGTTGACTGTTAATAAGACTCTCCACCTCCCCCCTGGAAGAACCAATGTTCTTTTTAATGAATACGAACAACAACTCTTCCCAACCACCCACTGCATCTAAGATAGTTCTTCTCCACACTTGTATCCATTGTCTTATCCCTGATGCCTGTAACTACTCTTTGGCACCTGGTCCACAGATACATGAAATTGTATCTTTAGAAGGCAGGGAACATGGTCTAGATCTTGAGGTGACCTGTGGTCTGAATGGTTGTGTCTCCCTCAGATTCATATGTTGAAACCTAATCACCAAAGTGATGGGATTAGAAGGTGGGGACTTTGAGACGTGATGAGGTCCTGAGGCCTCTACCCTCATGAATGGGATTAGTGCATTTATAAAAGAGGCCCCAAGGAGCTGCCTTGTCCCTTCCACCATGTGAAGATGCAGCAGGAAGGTTCCATCTATGAGAAAGCAGGCCCTCACCAGACACCAAATCTGTAGGCATCCCCTTCCTAGCCTCTAGGAGTGTGAGAAATAAATTTTTGTTGTTTATAAGCTACCCAGATTTTGATATTTTATTATAGCAGCCTGAACAAAGACAGAGGCAAAAAGCCACAGCAATAAATGAAAAGTCACATCGGGCCGGGCACGGTGGCTCACGCCTGTAATCCCAGCACTTTGGGAGGCCGAGGTGGGTGGATCACGAGGTCAGGAAATGGAGACCATCCTGGCTAACAGGGCGAAACCCCATCTCTACTAAAAATACAAAAAAAAAAAAAAAAAATTAGCTGGGCGTGGTGGCGGGCGCCTATAGTCCCAGCTACTCTGGAGGCTGAGGCAGGAGAATGGCGTGAACCCGGGAGGCAGAGTTTGCAGTGAGCCGAGATCACACTACTGCACTCCAGCCTGGGCGACAGAGCGAGATTCCGTCTCAAAAAAAAAAAAAAGTCACATCGTAGGTGTGTCTCTCTGTCTGATAATGAGTGTGGCCTTTGCATTGTCCCTGCAGTTTTGTGAATGCCAGTAAGTGGTATACTGTGAAAACTCATGGACCTGCATGATACCGTGCTTGCAGAGAACTATTGTGAGGAGCTTCCAAATGCTTTTCACATGCCCATACTTTTAAAAATATATCCAAATAATAGGTGTGTGGCCTACTGGGTAAAAAGAAGATTCTGCTTTACTGGGAGTCAACTGACCTTAAACCCCATCCTGCTTTCCACAGAGCTGAGGGCATCTCTTTCTTGGCAACCTGTAAACCTTGATTGTGTAGTTGTTAGGAACTGCCATAGGGCTAGGGCAGTGGGGACAAATGACCACAAACTGGATGCCTTAACTCAGCAGAAATGTGTTCTCACAATATTGAAGGCCAGAAGTCTGAAATCAAGATGTTGGCAGGACTGTGCTCCCTTTAAAGGTCCTACAGGAGAATCCTTCCTTGCCTCTTTCTAACTTATGGCGGCTCCAGGTATTCCTTGATGTTCCTTGAAGTGTAGCCACATCACTCCAGTCTTTTCCTTTGTCTTTACATGGCCTTCTTTTCTGTGTATGTCCGTATGCCCTCTCCTCTTCTCATAAGAACACCAGTAATTGGATTTAGGTCCCACCTTAAATCTAGTATAACTTCTACTTCAGATCCTCAACTAATTACATCTGCAAATATTCTATTTCCAAATAAAGTCATATTCTGAGGTTGTAGATGAACATGAATTTTGGGGTACCATAGTCATCCCATTATAAACATTCAGCCTAAAAATTCTCCTTGTGACTTCCCACTGCTGAACTATTCCTTTTTATTGTTACTTACATATTCAAACATAAAACATGAACTCCCTATGTTTATTGTTCCTTTGCGAGTACAAACCAAAACAAATACCAATTACATGCAAATGAAACAGTGAAATGAATATATTTAAATGAATAGCATTAATTTAAGGTGACAGATGACATTTTTTAAGATTAAATTGTCCTGCACTCATATGAGTTGCACTGTCTGCTGTGGTGCACTTTCTTCAAAGTCTGTCTTGCTTCTTTAATCACTGTTCTGTCTTCTAAATATTATAAATTTTGGTTCGTACAGTTCTCCACTGATTCATTTTCTGGGTACAAACGTGTCCTCTACTTATTTACTTACATAAATTTATTCTCTCAAATCACATGACAACATTTGGTTAAAAGGTGGTGATCAGATGATCCAAATATTTGTATATTAATGCTTTTTTTTTTTTTGAGATGGAGTCTCTCTCTGTCGCCCAGGCTGGAGTGCAGTGGCGCAATCTGGGCTCACTGCAAGCTCTGCCTCCCAGGTTCACGCCATTCTCCTGCCTCAGCCTCCCAAGTAGCTGGGACTACAGGCACCCGCCACCACGCCCGGCTAATTTTTTTTTTTTTTTGGTATTTTTAGTAGAGACCGGGTTTCACCGTGTTAGCCAGGATGGTCTCGATCTCCTGATCTCATGATCTGCCCACCTCGGCCTCCCAAAGTGCTGGGATTACAGGCGTGAGCCACCACGCCTGGCCATTAATTCTTTTTTTTTTTTTTTTTTTTTTTTTTTTTTTTTTTGAGGCAGAGTCTCTCTCTGTCACCCAGGCTGGAGTCAGTGGCACGATCTTGGCTCACTGCAGCCTCCACCTCCCAGGTTCAAGTGGTTCTCCAGCCTCAGCCTCCTGAGTAGCTGGGACTACAGGCACATGCCACCACACCTGGCTAATTTTTGTATTTTTAGTAGAGATGGGGTTTCACTGTGTGTTAGCCAGGCTGGTCTTGAACTCCTGACCTCGTGATCCATGTGCCTCGACCTCCCAAAGAGCTGGGATTACAGGCATGAGCCACCACGCCCGGCCTGTATATTAATTCTTTATAAAGACTGTCATTATTTAAATAACATCCAAAATTAAATATTTTTTTCTAGAGAATATAGACATCTTCATGTTGCCCCTATTTTGAGAAAACTGGTGTTTGGCCCTAAATCATATGAACTCTTGGCATGTGTGTTCTCCATCCAATTTGCAATAGCATCTTCCATAGACTAACCCTGAAAAATATCATTTTAGAAAAACAGAAGTGGAATACCTGAGCTAATTTATGTTTAGCAAGGGCAGCTAAAGATTCTAGCCTTGTTATCCCCAGATCTGAAGAAGAAGCTCCCTGTTTGTCATCAGTGAATTCCTGAGGTTTTCTAGGCCCAGAACTTTGGTGCCAATTTCCCACTTTTCATGTCCTGCTAACCATACAACAAAAGGGAGAAGAGCGATCTTTGGCTAACCACCAGACCAGAATTCTGAGAACTGTAAGTTCTTCATCTTTATTTTGGCTTACCTTGATCTAGGCTTTTCCCTCATCTTTAGAATCAGTGCCTTTGGTATCTGGATAGGAGTGGGAAGCACATTCTAGATCTCCATTTCTTTGTCTGTCCAGACCCTTCCTACCTTCCTCTCCCACACGCAGCCTCTTTGACTTTGGTCATGGTCAGGAGATGTGGGCTGGGCCAGTTGTATTACTTCTGGTCACAGTGATTGTTACAAGAGCTGGGCATATTACCCAACCCAATCTGAGTCCTGCCTTAAGAGTTTTCTCACTGGAGGTGGAATGAGGGGGCCCCATTCCTCTCTGTGAAGGCTGTGTGGTTGTGAGTCCAGAAGAGACCCATTTCTAGTCTCATGAAGAATCCAGTCTGAGTGTGAAGTAGAGATGAAAGCTAGAGGAAATGAGTCATGATGGTGCTCTGTGTTGGCTCCAGACATCCTAATGCTCCTCCACCTTTGTTCTCCTAAAGTTTAGTTAATGAGTTCATAAAATTCCCCTTTCTCATATAAGCCAGTTAATTTGGGATGTCTTGTCCCTTGCAGCCATGAATTGTGACTGATTCATTTCATTAAAAAAAACTACCTCACTCTTGACATCTAACCCTCTGTCTACTACTAAAAGAAGCTGATCCTTGGCTGGGTGTGGTGGCTTACGCCTGTAATCCCAGCACTTTGGGAGGCTGAGGCGGGCGGATCACGAGGTCAGGAGATCGAGACCATCCTGGCTAACACAGTGAAACCCCATCTCTACTAAAAATACAAATAATTAGCTGGATGTGGTGGCGGGCGCCTGTAGTCCCAGCTACTCGGGAGGCTGAGGCAGGAGAATGGTGTGAACCCGGGAGGCAGAGCTTGCAGTGAGCCGAGATTGCACCACTGCACTCCAACCTGGGTGACAGAGCGAGACTCACACACACACAGACACACACACAGAAAGCTGATCCTTGATCATGTCAGTTATCTTGAATCACATTAGGGTCTCCGTTATAATTTTTCATGGGTAGGGACAGGTTCTGGGGATTTGGGTTCCCAGAAGTAAAAATCTTACTACCTTTTGTACTAACTCCCTTCATTCTGGGGAACCATGATGGTCTTTTGAGGACACAAAACATAAGGCAATATTCCCTATTGTTCTGTGAGCAAAACTGTGCAGCACCTTAAGTCTGTACAGATGCAGTATCAGAAGCAGCAAGGGATTGGCAGGTTGCTGACTAGAGCCATAGGGACTTCACTCTTCTCTCATTTTCAGTCCTCCTGCCCTGGACACCTGCCAACATTCCTTCTCAACTCTTGACTCCAGCAGTGAAGCACGTGGCCCAGCCTAAGTCAATCAGAACTTAATCCAGTCAAAGCCAGTTAGACTTTGGCTGGCCCTTCTGGAAATGTGGTGTTCTCTCTTCAATACTAGATTTGAATGTGAGAGGAGGGGTGGTTGGAGCTGCCATGACCATCTCTTGACTATGAACAGAGCCAGCCTGAGAATGACTAACATCCTTGGACCCGTTGCCTCAAGCCGCACCCAAAGTTTTTGTTTTCATTTGTAAGGGCACATTAAATAATGAGACCATAGATTTAATTAAATATGATAATAGTTAAAACCATGTTCAGGGTACAAATATACCACCTCAAAGGACCAGATTCCTTATGATGACTCAGTCTGCATCATTTAAAACAAAGCAGAAATAAGCCTGCCCCCAAGCCCCATCTTTGAATTCCACATACATTATGGGCTAGATAGCTAAAGTAGCTGAAAAAGTCTCCTATCCTGCACATCAGAATAACAGAATAACAGGAACCGCTTGGCATGCTATTCTGATAGCAAGAGCGGGAGACCAATTGTCATCATCGTAGTTATAACCATTACAACAACTTACTGAAAGCTCTTGGGCTAGCAATTGTGCTGGTATATTGAATAGTTACCTTTAATGCTAAAACATAGGTACTGTTTTAATATGTACTATAGATGAGGAAATTAATATAATATTAAGATGGTTTAAAGGTCACCTAGATGGTAAGAGGCAGTTTAATTTCAAGCCAGATTTGACTCCAAAACACACGTTCTTTCTACTTTTTCCATGCTTCCTTTCGTATTGCATGACTTGGCTGAGGTTCCACCCTAGCACACACAGTAAAAGAGATGTCTCGTCCACCAGATTGCTTAGTTTGATACCTTGGGAGACACCTTCATCAAACTTCTTGAACTCTTTTAGGCCATCTCCTCAATCTTGTTGGGTCACTGTGGCCCATCCAAAGTATTAACCGTGGCCCTCCAGAACTTCCAATGGCTCTGGATTTGGCATTTGTAAGATGCATTTTTTTTTTTTTTTTTTTTTTTTGAGACGGAGTCTCGCTCTGTCGCCCAGGCTGGAGTGCAGTGGCACGATCTCGGCTCACTGCAAGCTCCGCCTTCCGGTTCATGCCATTCTCCTGCGTCAGCCTCCCGAGTAGCTGGGATTACAGGCGCCGGCCACCACGCCCGGCTAATTTTTTGTATTTTTAGTAGAGACGGGGTTTCACCATGTTAGCCAGGATGGTCTCGATCTCCTGACCTCGTGATCCGCCTGCCTCAGCCTCCCAAAGTGCTGGGATTACAGGCGTGAGCCACAGCACCTGGTTGTAAGATGCCTTTCGATACATAATATTTATGATATGTGTGCCCAAATCCACAATGCCCGAAGGGCTGCCTCAACCAATCCAATCCTAGTTAACTATCATGATGGGTTTATCATAGGTATACCCACTTCCCAAATCTGCAACAAATTTTGGTGGTGGTAAATACCTTTTATAATCCCTAATCTTTATCCCCTGACCTACTTCCCATCTACTTTAATCACAATCCATCAACGATATAGGAATTCGATCTGATATCTGATAGTGACCTGTAGTTCATATCCTGGCTTTAGAAAACACATCTACCTGATACCCACTTCCCATAGCCAGATGATCAAACTGTATCAACTCATTTCTGAAAAACACCTCTACTTATACATCCAAGTGTCTTTGCTTTACACCTTTCGGCTTTATGATCTCTTTTTTTTTTTTTTTTTTTTTTTTTGAGACGGAGTCTCGTTCTGTCGCCCAGGCTGGAGTGCAGTGGCGCCATCTCGGCTCACTGCAAGCTCCGCCTCCCGGGTTCATGCCATTCTCCTGCCTCAGCCTCCTGAGTAGCTGGGACTGCAGGCCCCCGCCACCATGCCTGGCTAATTTTTTTTTTTTTTTTTTTTTTTTTTTTTTTTTTTTTGTATTTTTAGTAGAGACGGGGTTTCACTGTGTTAGCCAGGATGGTCTCGATTTCCTGACCTCGTGATCCACCCGCCTCGGCCTCCCAAAGTGCTGGGATTACAGGTGTGAGCCACCGTGACCGACCTGATCTCATTTCTTAAACCAAACCCCCTGATTTTGATGTTTATACTCAGTTCTTCTTCCTTTTTCGCGTACCTGACACATTGTCATGTATTGGGTTTTTTAAATGGGCCATTCATCATACAAACAAAAAGTAGAATAGTGGTTGTCAGCAGCTACAGGGAGGGAAAAAAGAGGAATTGTTGTTTCAAGGATATTGAGTTTCAGTTTTACAAGATGAAAAAAAAAAAAAGTCCCAGATATCTGCTTCACAACAATGTGAATATATTTAACACTACTGAACTGTATACTTAGAAATGATTAAAATAGTACATTTTATGTTAGGTATATTTTACCACAATTTTTAAAATGCAAAAAAAAATTTTAATGCACTCGGGAAGAGAAATGGTCCCTCCATTCAGACCTTTTCTAGGAAACTCAAAATAAATTTGCTACTATTAGGACAAATTAGAACAGACTCTAAGAAAGTTTACACCATAACGTGTATTCCAATATGGAACGTTGATGTTGGCTACAGCTATAATCAGAATTCACTCAATACTTGCATAACCTGTTCCTTTGGGTACTCTGTTGTATTAGTTTAAAAGATGTGTTTTTACCTCTGGGTCACCCCAATGACACCTTATAATTGGCTCTCAAACTTCAGTGTACAATAAGAATCACAGGCTTATTATAAATGCGTATTCCAAGGCTTACCCTAGACCTACTAAACCAGCAATCTTCTGGTGCCAAGGCTCAGAATTCTGCATGTTCAATAAACTCTCTACATTACTCTTTTTTTTTTTTTCTTGAGATGGAGTCTCGCTTTGTCACCTAGGCTAGAGTACTGTGCTCAGAAATCTCCACGTTCAATAAACTCCCTACATTACTCTTTTTTTTTTTTTTTCTTCTTGAGACGGAGTCTCACTCTGTCACCTAGGCTGGAGTATGGTGGCACGATCTCAGCTGCCTGCAACCTCCACTTCCTGGGTTCCAGTGATTCTTCTGCCTCAGCCTCCCAAGTAGCTGGGATTACGGATGAACACCACCACACCCAGCTAATTTTTTGTATTTTAGTAGAGACAAGGTATCACCATGTTGGCCACGATGGTCTTGACCTCCTGACCTTGTGATTCACCCGCCTTGGCCTCCCCAAGTGCTGGGATTACAGGCATGAGCCACCATGCCCGGCCCTCTCTACATTACTCTTATACAGGCTGTCATTGGACCATGACTTGAGAAATTCTGCTTTAGAAAGTATGCTTCTTTTGGGGGGAAAGGCCAAATGTTTAATTTTATTTCTTTTCTTATGGCTCAAGCTCAGAGCTTTGTACTTAGTAGGGACTTACATGGGGTTGAAAAAATACAGTTTATAAAAAAGAATTGTGCTGGCCTCATTGTCCAAATAAAATACAATTTGTAGCACGTGGTTTCTTTCAGAATTAATTGCACATTAATACTTGATATTTGAGCAGGCTGTATATTAAGGAGCTACAACATGATACGAGTTCCAAGAATGTGACTTTAGTGCTTAGTGTTTTAAATCTAGACTCTTAGATGCTCTGATCTCATATAGCTCTAAAAAGTCATTTCCTTCTTAAACTTTTCGTCCTCTTCAGCCTCTAAATGGAAATTAAGCCTGCCTAGTTTCAACCTGATTTACAGCTTTTAATCTGTGTTCTTAATGAGGTATTAGAGAATATTTATAATGTCATTGTGTAGTCTGTCCACAGAAGAATAACTGTGAATATATGTTTAAAATTCCATATACTTTAGAACTTAATGTTTTGCCTGAAGAAAGAGCTCACTGATATATTGAGCAAGCGTTTGGATTCGCCTTATGTAGATTAAATTCATAATTTTATTTTTAACAGAGTCATTTACGTTTATGACATCACAAGGAAGTATAATGACAGTCTATCAGTTTCTACTTAGAAATAATAAGATAATTTGTTCTTCATGTTCTGGAAGATATTTGCCTGTCAGATAGGTGGCTAAAAAGATGACTTTGAAAGCCCTTTCTAATCCTGAGGATGTGAGTTTACACTGCCAAAGTAACTTCTTGATGTACTCAATATTACTTGGATGTGAAATGTAGTTTGCTCCCCACATAGAACATAATTTTTAGCCCCAAATTTGCCTGTAAAAAGTGAAGTTTATAGTGGTTTTGTCTTGTGTATTTTTTATATGACATCATGCTTTAGAAATATAAACAAATGGAAAATCAAAAATTGGATCAGAGGGTAACACCGTAATGGATTTGACTTTTAACTTCTCTAGAGGACTGATCTATTAAATGTTTTCTTTCTCCTCAGTATTGTTCTATAAAGATGTCAACAGTGACACACTGGTTATCACAGCACTTTGTATGAATACAGCCAGAATTTGTGGCATTCCAAAATGTCTTGAGAGGCTTGGAAAGGAAGGTCTGAGGTCACAGAAGCTTAGCACTGAAAGGACCTCAAAGATAGAGCATGAGGACATTTAGGTCCCTGAGTTGCTCAAGCTTGTGTAACGGTAGAGAGATGCCCTGATCTTTCTCAAGGCAGTGCACTTCCCACTGGTTTGAAAGAAGAAAACTTAAGTTGTTTTGTCTATTTTACCTTTGGGTAGCACTGTCCCTAACTGTCCTATATTAACCACCTGGTGTATGATGTCTACTTTCTTTTTTGTTTGTTTGCTTGTTTTTTTGAGACGGAGTCTCACTCTGTCGCTCAGGCTGGAGTGCAGTGGCGCGATCTCAGCTCACTGCAAGCTCCGCCTCCCGGGTTCACACCATTCTCCTGCCTCAGCCTCCCAGGTAGCTGGGACTACAGGTGCCCATCACCATGCCCAGCTAATTTTTTGTATTTTTAGTAGAGATGGGGTTCCACTGTGTTAGCCAGGATGGTCTGTATGTCTACTTTCTTCTTTCTAGGTCAGTCATCCATTGTGTCAGACAGAAAACAGGGGGCCCTCACAATCCCACTCTTGGTAGTCACAGCCTTGATCCCTCACCTGATCACAGGAAGGACTTGTGACTTGCTTCTAGCCAGCTGAATGCAGCAAAGGTGACTTGAGTGTCCAGGATCACATGTACATGATTACCTTACATAAGACTGCAAATCATCTTGATAGGAGCTCCTCTCCTATAGCTGGCTTAGCCAGACATGGATTAGCTGGGTCACTGCCTCATGGTCTTAAAAGGCTGCAAGAAGGTATTAGCTGGAACTTTGGTCATCTGAGGCTCGACTGGGGAATGATGTGCTTCCAAGCTCATGTGGTTATTGGCAACGTTCAGTTCCTTGCAGGCTGTCAAACTAAAGGGCTTCAGTTTCTTGGTGGCTGTTGGAGGGAAGCTACCCTCAGTTCTTTACCAAGTGGTCTTCTTCATAGGCAGCTGGCTTCTTCAGTGGCAGCAACGAAGAGAGATTTTCTTGGTCATTCTGAATACTCAGTTGTTTTTAACTTGCTTCATCTAACCAGTGTGAATTTGCACCCTACAATTTGTTAGAATTATAAAGCTGATGGTTGTGTTCACCTTGCCAGTCTTAATATAAACTCAATTGCATAATTATGTGTTTCAGGGGAGTATGGAGTATATTGACCCCATTGTGAGTTCGAACTAATCTATTGTATAAGTAAGGAACCTGTATAGACTATTAATTCAGTAACCAACCTACTGCTTGGCTTTTTACTCGACTACAGTGACTGCCAAAATGAAAAGTTTAATTGTTGTTGGATAAATCAGTTCCATTGCCCTGCTCTCTCCCCTCGTTTCTTCCTTCCTTCCTTACAAATACTGCACACAATCAGCTAATATTTAGGTGCGCGTGCTGTCGGCGCCCATGGTAGTTCCTTTTGCCTTCAGATGGGTGCCATGAGCTGTCTCTACCACGGTCTGTTTTGTTTCCTGTGTATTTTACTTCCAGTGATGGTTTTGCTTCTTCTTTGCCTCCAAAGCTTCACAAACAACCTTAGCGCTGAGTCCAAAGGCATTTCCCAAAGGAATATACAACTAGCAGAAACAGCAAAATGAGAGTCTGTGTTTCAGAATTAGTAGGAAAACTTTTACCATAACACCAATTAGAATTTCCTTTAGTTATTATGACATCAGATTTTAGCTTCAACAAAACTGAACTAGCTCTAGATTTTATTATCGGCGAGTCTCAAGTTGTCTTTTTTGTTGTTGTTGTTACACAAAAACTCATGCTGTTTTATTTTAGGTGCATGGCAGAGTGACAGAATACCAACAGAAACCAAAGTCTAGTGCAGGGAAGGTAGTCTGGTTTAGATTTTCCAACTGAACTTTACCAAGGCTGGGCTTCTCTTGGGAGATATTGTGCACTGTTTTATTTGTGCCAAGAGTTTTCTAATTTGCAAGGTAACTTTAACATTATGTTTGCTGAGAATCAGTCTAAATAAACTACTGATGAACACAAATCAACTTCAATTAAATTAATGGAAAAGCTTTTTTTCTATCCCACTAAGTCTTCTAGCTCTTTCAAAGAGTTGGTAACTCTTATATTTTATTTTTAAGATGGAGAAGTCCTTCCTAACTTTCAACCACCTTTTCATTATTCCTGCTGTGATTTAGAGAGCCATCCTTAACCTGTGTTCTTTTGAGTGGTTATTCTAGCAGTTTTGACTTATTTTCATTAGTATGATGCAACAATTCAAGTCAAAGGAACACAGTTCATAGCCCACAATTTGGTCATTATCTAGAGCTTCTGCACTTTGGGGATAAAGATAAGCTATTATTAAAAATACCTATGGGACATACAGGCTCAGATACATAAGTGCATTCATCTCAGTTAAGCAATAATATGCAGACTCTTTTTTGCGTTTTCTTTGAGAACTTTTGCTTAGGTTTTCTCTATATTTTATATATTGAAAACTTTTTAAGGGACTTCAATTTTAAAAACCGTATTTTCCTCCACTGACAGAACCAAAATAATTGAAGAATGTCACACATTATCTTTCCTAACAAGGCCTTTGACTTTTTCCCACTATGCCTTTTGAGAGAGTCTGTCATTAATTTTAGATTAAGAATACAGAGCCTTGTTGTTCCCATAGACGTTTGAATGATTCATTTCTAGAGATGGGCAATACGGGGAGTTCTGTGACGTTGTTCTTTTTGACAAGTAAAATACTTCCCCACAAAAAATAGAAGGAATATTTCCAGAGGACAATGAAAGAAGCCTAGTAAATGTACTTGGAGTTTCTTAGAAGCATTCATTCTTCTCACATGGGAGCACGGTTTGCTCTCAAAAACATATTACCCCACTGCCAGCCATTTTCTTGCCAAAGTCAACTCATGTACTTTCTAGCTCTTTCAATACACTGCAGCTGTTATATCCTGAGCACCATGGACTTCCTTCTTCCTTTCTGCTATTACAAGGAAGTCATTCACCTCTCTTTTTCTTTTTTTCTCTATCCGTCTTTTTTTTCTCTCTCCCTCGCATTCTGTTTCTCTCTTTCTCTCTGAAGAAACATTTTCCTCCCAATCTGTACTTAGGATGTGGACACCCTTACTTTTTCCTTATCAGCTCTGGCTTGAGCTCATTGTTCAACCTATTGCTTCTATTATACGGGGGCCTAGTATGAAACCCAAGCATGGACAAGAAATGGCTGGGTTTCAAAACAATAATCAAATCACTAAACAAAAATAGGGGCTGGGGGCCGGGCGCGGTGGCTCACACCTGTAATCCCAGCACTTGGGGAGGCCGAGGCGGGTGGATCACCTGAGGTCAGGAGTTCAGGACCAGCCTGGCCAACATGGTGAAACTCCATATCTACTAAAAATACAAAAATTAGCCGGGCGTGGTGGCACATGCCTGTAATCCCAGCTACTTGGGAAGCTGAGGCAGGAGAATTGCTTGAACCTGGGAGGCGGAGGTTGCAGTGAGCCAACATCGCGCCACTGCACTCCAGCCTGGGTGACAGAGCAAGACTCTGTCTCAAACAAACAAACAAAAAAAGTGGGGGCTGGGACATTGTATTTCCATTAGAAGCTTCATTTCTTCACTGTTTACTTTGGTTTTGTTTCAGACAACTTATAATTTTTAGATATAGCTGTTAGTAAAATTTGCTTAGAATTTATCTATATGTAGGATGACTCTTCACCATGTGTGAGTGCTGTTGTCTCTCTCTTAAATACTATCCTTTTGTTTTTTCCACTGCTTTTGCCTCACATTAGGTAGCTTCTCCAAGTAATTAGGAAATTAGTATGTCTTCTTAACATTAGATCTAAAAACTCTTCTAGTCATCTAGATGGAGGTTACCAGCATAAAAAGCATATACATTATTTTCTGATTCTTACATTAAAAAAATCTACTCTTAAATTCCTTTTTGAAGAGATATTAATAAACATGCACACAAAGTAATTATGTAGATCCATGTTTCTCCTATTTAGTGAGCATCAGAATCACCTGAAGTTAATCATCTGAGCCCCAGCCCCAGAGGTTCTGATCCAGGGTTGCTGATGCTACTGGTCCTCGGACCACTTTTTTTTGTCTTTTTTTTTTTTTTAATTTTTAAAATTTTTTTAGACGGAGTCTCGCTCTGTTGCCAGACTAGAGTGCAGCGGCACAATCTCAGCCCACTGCAACCTCCGCCTCCTGGGTTCACGCCATTCTCCTGCCTCAGCCTCCCAAGTAGCTGGGATTGCAGGTGCATGCCACCATGCCCAGCTAATTTTTGTATTTTTAGTAGAGTCAGGGTTTCACCATGTTGGCCAGGATGGTCTCCATCTCTTGACCTCGTGATTCGTCCACCTCGGCCTCCCAAAATGCTGGGATTATAGGCGTGAGCCACCGCGCCTGGCCGGTCCTTGGACCACTCTTTAAGTAGCCCCTCCTATGGAGAAATTCCTTGTGCTTCTTCTCAAAGTGTTACTCACGTAAAGAGCAGCTAAAACAAACACTTACTGGGTGGCTAAAACAAACACTGTTGACAGACAGTAAGTGTAGAATGACAGAGTAAGGGAGGGAGGTGACAGATAAATAGATGACTGTTAGATAACAAATCAATACATAGACATCTAATAGAATTATATGAAGGACCTTAAGTAATAACAGTTTTAAAAATTGTCTTTAAAATTAATGTTTTGAAAGCATGGCATACACAGTATAATATTTGAAAGGGAAAAAAATATGTATGTCACAAATTAAACTGTCCCTTCATTCCAGACATACACTCCCACCTTGAAGAATCAACCATATTTAAGTGTCTATAGGATATGACAACTTATAGTAAAACTGAGACCATAGGAAATTAAAGAAAATGTTGACTATGGTGCACAGACCAAAGCTGAATTATTTGAGGCCAAATTTTTAGTTTGTTTGTTGGTATTCATTTGAAAGAAGCACACATGCACTCATATACCTAAGGCTGCTTTCTGAAATCAAATACATTTCCTGCCTTCTTCTTTCCTCAGTACTCTTACCACCAGCCTATTTATAGCCCAGGAAAGGAAAAAGCTCCACTGGAGGCAGGAAAACTAAGTTCGGAAAGAATAGGAGGAAGTCTGCCTGCCATTTAGCCAAACAACCTTTAATTCATTGAGCTCAAAGCTTAGCAGCTTCAATGTTGTTGTTAGGCATAAACAGCTTGCAAATTTCAATTTTTTTTCTCTCCTCACTTTTGAACTAGATTTGGGCAATGGAGGTGATGACAGCATTTTAGAAGACAGAACAGGAATTCTAGGTGTTTAGGCACGTTGAAGAGAAACTTGCTAGAGGTGATGAAGTGGAAAGAAAAAGACAATTCACTATAGGGATCAACATTATTGCAGTTCTGCAAAGGTAAGTGTCATTTAAAAATCTGTCTGTTGTTGCGTCTTAATGCACTTCATGAACTATGGATATTAGCCACAGACAATGGATATGATTTGAGGTCCGATCCTCATGTAACTTTTCAATATGCTTTGCTCATATCTCTGAAGAAATGTAGAAATCAACCTTGGTTATGACATCTTCAGGTTTTTACAATAAATATTTTAAAAAGTTGTTTCTTGACAATAACTTTACAAACTTTCTTCAGTTTCATTATTATCAGGGGTTTAGATAGTATAAATAATTTCATTGATGATCACCTTTAAAAATATATTTTTGATATTTGTCTGCTTGTCTGCCCTTTTCAAATTGCTGATTAATAATCCACCTATAATTTATTTGATGAATAATAGTTTAGAATACTTTTAATAAATAGGCCTTCAAGCAGAAATGGACAATTGTATAAAAGTTATATATAAAATTTAAATTTTGTATAAAATTAAGCAAAGATAACAAATTTTAATACAGGTTTTTTGTCTTGAACATTCATTTTTCAGAAAATGGAGAATCTTCTAGAACCACAAAAAACAGCACTGAATAGTTTCCAGTGATAGAAAGTGTTCATAGTAGTTATGTAGATTTAAATTATTATTTCCAAACATTCGTTCATTATGTTTTGAGTACCTTGAAAAATGTCACTGGGTTTGGAAATGGTAAGGTTGAAAGGAAATGGATTAAATCCAAGAACAGTTGATGTTGCCCACAAAAACTTGGAAAGCTACTAGGGACATTCCAAATTCTTTTAACATTCTTTGCCATTAAACAAGCACATTTGTTTAAATGATGCACCATATTTGCATCCGCTGCTGATAATAACCACATTTGTGTCTTGGAGTAACTTGATTAATGTTACCACAATGACTAACAGAGGAATACGGTTCTGGTGGATTATTGAAAAGGAAGAGCAGAAGGAAATGTGTGGCTGTTATTTCTTTTGCCCTATCCCTGTTTGAGATTGGGATGTTTAGAATCTGTCCCAAGAAGATAGCAAAGCTGGAAGCCAGAAAAGCAGAACCAGCTAGAACCGGCACAGGAGGCCAGGACTCGGCTCAGGCTCAGTGTGGATCCCACTGGCCGTCTTCTTTCCTGGGAGAATTTAAGGGTTATTTTTTACTGATTAGAAAATTATAATTCCATGGAAACTGTTAGAAAGTATAATATGTTTGAATAGAAAGATCATGATTTCTTAGCTGAACTTAAGTGGTTAAAAAAAAAAAGAGAGGGAAATGAAATTAATCTGAATAAATATGATAGATCTGAAGAAACAAACAAACAAACCCTCAGCATTTATTTTCAGGACATTCCAGTGCTGCAAAGTCAGTTCTGAGTCCACTTTAGATCTTCCACAGAGTGGACTCTAAGGTGACTTAATTAATTGCCACGCCACATGGCTCTAATTACAGCAATGTTGCTTACAGCAATTCTGATTTCTGATCATGTTGAACTCATTTCCCTTAGAGTTTCAAAACAACGTTCACATTTGACACATTCACATGTTTACATTATGAGAATGAAAATGTTTTAACTGTATGTAAGGTTTAAGAAAGATAAAATTATGAGTTAGATGTATTATTTCAAGAATATATTTTTTCACTTGTAAAAGGCTCATTGCTGGTCATTGGTTTCCAGATGACCATAGATTTATAAATGTATTCATGGGGCCAGGCGTGGTGGCTCACGCCTGTAATCCCAGCACTTTGGGAGACCGAGGCGGGTGGATCACCTGAGGTTGGGAGTTTGAGATCAGCCTAGCTAACAGGGTGAAACCCCGTCTCTACTAAATATACAAAATTAGCTGGGCGTGGTGGCACATGCCTGTAATCCTTGCTACTTGGGAGGCTGAGGCAGAAGAATCGCTTGAACCCAGGAGGTGGAGGTTGCAGTGAGCCGGGATCGCGCCACTGCCCTCCAGCCTGGGCAATGGAGTGAGACTCCATCGCCAAAAAAAAAAAAAAAAAATTGTATTCATGAAATGCCAGGTATTTAAAATACAGTTCTTAGAAATTGCTTAATAGTTCTACGGTAGTTCTACAGATTGTTTTATGTATCTACAAGTTGCTGAGAACATTTTAAGTTAGAGTTAGCTAATTTTGAAAAAAATTATCAATTTTTTAGCTTTTTAATTAATTACATAGAAATGTATTGCCTTATTTCCAGAGTAACTCCTACAATCACCATGTGTTTACAGTTTACATAATAATAGAGCCAACCCTGGCCTTCACATTTAAATACAAGTAAAATCAGGTTACTGAAGAGACCATATGAAGCAGCAAGAAATTTAGATGTCACCAAATACAATGTACAACTTGGGGGATGTGTTGAAGAGGGATGTGGGAGAAGCATGCCAAGGTCTTCTTCTTCAGACTGGAAACTACACCCACCTGCCATCTGGCCTGACGCTGGGTGGGGTAGAGGGGTATTGCACGATGATTCTTGTGTATTTACAGGCACCTTAAATTCAGACAATTGGCTTTTGGAGACTTTTCTCCTACTGTCTCATCCTGTATTACAGGTCTACAAGCAGCACCACACCATGAACACCTATTTATTAAGTTTTCTAACTTACAATATAATCTCTATC
Organism: Homo sapiens; assembly: GCF_000001405.40. Lineage (NCBI taxonomy): Eukaryota > Metazoa > Chordata > Mammalia > Primates > Hominidae > Homo > Homo sapiens. Next base: position 33,439,203 of record NC_000002.12, read on the forward strand.
CTTGAAAAACTCAATGTTAAGTTGAAAAAAGGGAAGTATACAGGACACAAAGCATCCTGTATGTGGAGCCAAATTAATGACGTAGATAATGAGTGCCACCTAAGGAAGACCTGATCCAGACGGGCTTCATGGAGGCCTGAGGCTGAGTTGGGTCTTGGTAAGCGGGAGGAGAGCTGATGGATGAGGGAGATGAGGACATCTATGATAAGAATGGAGCTGTGAGCATGAGCAGAGACAGGAATGGCCTTCCTGCGCCCAAGGAATAGGGCTGTCAGATGAAATACAGGATGCCCAGTTCAATGTGAATTTCAGATAAACAACAAACACTTTTTTAGTCTAAGTGTGCCCTACTGCATGACTGTGTATGAGACTTAGTGCATGGGACCTACTTATACGAAAATAGTATTTGCTGTTTATCAGAAACTCACACTTAGCTGGGGGCCCTGTATTCTGATTTCCCAAATCTGGCAACTCTTCAAGGGAACTGAGAGTCAGCCAGCTTGACAGCAGCAGAGGGAATGAGCCTATGGAGCAGGAAAGAAGTGCCTGGAGGAGGCTGGGTTCAGAAGGTGGTGGGACTTTAATGGTGAACTAAGGAGTCAAGAATTTAAAGACACCTGGGGCCGATGAGAAGTTCTGAAAAGGGAAATGGCGTGCATAAGATCTGCCGGTTGGAGGCAGAACTTGCTGGGGGAGAGATCAGGGCACCGAGGCCTGGGTTCTGATGAAGACAGAGAGAAAGAAGCCCAATGGAGACACATCTGAGAACAAACTGACGCGTTTTGCAAACTAATTGGGTATGGTTATAGGAGGAGAGAATGTGTTCAAGAGGATGTTATGTTTTATGGCTCCATTCAAAGAAATGGCCAAAGAGACAGCAGCAGGTCAGGGAGTTAGTGAGAGGGATGGGGATTTTGGTTTCAAACACAGGAAATTTGAGGGAATGATGGAATAGTCAGATAGAAATAGTAAGCGAACAGCTGAGAATGGAAAACAGCTTAGGAGGGAGGTGAGAACTGGAAATAAAAACGACAACATTTATTAAGCACTTACTCGATGTCAAGCCTTTTATCTCCATTATCTCCTTCTGCCTCTGCAACCATCTATCGGCAGGTTCCATTGCCAGCCACATTTTGTAGTTGAGAAAAGTGAGGTCAGAGAGATTAAGTAACATGTCCATGATCACATCATTAATGAGAGGCAGATGGAAAATGGAACCACCATGTGTAGGGGCCAAAGCCCTCACAACTGAGACTCATATACAGAATGTTGAGCCTCTGGCTCTAGATTCACTTTCTCCATCTGCAAAGAGCTAAGGGCGCCAGTTGCTCATGCTAGAACCCAGTTTTTAGCCAGGTTCCAGGTCTTCTATTGTTCGTAACTTTGATGGCCCTCGTAGAATTCTCCATCTTTTGGTTACTCTCTCTGAGAAAATGGAAATCATTTATACCCAGAGGTTTTCCTTATTTATTAACCTCCAGAATCGTTTTTCCCCTTAGTGGCTCATTTTAAATTTTCCCTTGGTCATCTGGTGAAATAAAGATTATGATGAAGAATCTATAATCTCATATAGTTACTTTTTTTGTATGACATGTGTGGCTAAAACATACTTATTTTACAAAAATCCCGAATACAATACAATTTTATTAAATTTCATCTTGAGGTTGGACATTAGATCTCCAAACTTGTTTTTTTTTCTTTCTTCTTCAAGACAAGGTCCCCCTCTATCACCCAGGCTGGAATGCAGTGGCACAAGCTCGGCTTGCTGCAGCCTCCACCTCCAGGGCTCAAGTGATCCTTGTGCCTCGGCCTCCCAAATAGCTAGGACTGCAGGAACACGCCACTGCACCCACTAATTTTTGTATTTTTTAGTAGAAACAGGGTTTCACCATGTTGCCAAGTTGGTCTTGAACTCCTGACCTCAAATGATCCTCCTGCCTCGGCCTCCTGAAGTGCTGCGATTACAGGCGTGAGCCACGGCACCCAGCCTCCAAACTTGTTCTTTAGTGTCTGCTATTTTGTATCCTTTGACCTATATGTCCCCATTTCCCTTTCCCCCCTCCTCCCACCCTTAGTGGCCACTGTTTCATTCTGTATCTCTGTGTTTTAGGGTTTAAAAAATATTCCACATATAAATTAGATCGTGCAATTTTTAGAAAAAGGTTATGCTGAAGAGAAAAGACCAAGGGTGTCAACCTCCTCTCCTTGTCCCTGGCTGCTCTCTAGTGGCAATACCAGAAAACAACGCTCAGCCCAGAGACAGCAGAGCCAGGCACTAGAAGCAAGCTCTTTAGGAATCTCTAAATAGCAAATTCAAGAAGGCTAGTTGTGCTAGGAAATTCTGGAAGAAGACTCCATGGAATTACATACACCCTTACAGCTTGTTGGCCTGAAAGGCATTTTGAATAGAACAGTTTTAGATTTATCTTAAACTTTCTAATCATTAAAAATACTTCACCTGTTTACCATTTTAGGCAGGCACATATGTTTGGCTACTAAACTTTCAATGCACATACGTGCCTTTTTATTAAGATTTCCTAGATCTTTGATTCTAAATATTTACTTCAAAATACACAATATATTTTTTAGTAAAAAGCAAAAAGTCTATCTTTTAGGGATCTATTCTTAAAAACATCATAAATTGAGACAATAATGCGTGTGTAAAAGACTATTCATAACAGATACATTTTGTAACTAACCTAAATATACAGGGAATTGTTAAATAACATTCCACAATATGAAATTTTATACAGACATTAAATTACATTATAATATTTAATGACATTGGAAACTATTCATAGTAAATGTTAAGTGAACATTTACACTTACATTCAGTGAATGTAAGAAGTCTACAAAATTATGTATATAGTGTGACCCCATTTGCTTAAAAAATATATATGTACATATGAAAAAAGAAGTAAGAGCTAAAAAGTCATACACCAACTGTTAACAATAGAAATTTCTTAGCCTGGCCAATATGGTGAAACTCCATCTCTACTAAAAATACAAAACTTAGCCAGGCGTGATGGCATGCGCCTGTAGTCCCAGCTACTCAGGAGGCTAAGCCAGGAGAATTGCTTGAACCCAAGAGGCGGAGGTTGCAGTGAGCCAAGATCGCGCCGCTGCACTCCAGCCTGGGTGACAGAGCGAGACTACGTCTCGAAAAAAAATTTCTGGTTGGTGGGATAATGGTGATTTTGATTTTCTACTTTGTCTCCAGGATAAATAAGCATGTACTACTTTTATAATCAGGAACAAAACCCAGTATGTTTTCAAAATGTACAGAGCTAAGTCTCTGTTCTGATTTCTTGCTGTCATGGCTGACAATATGTTCATGCTAATTCATTGCCATTGACGGCCTCTCCTCCAAGTAAAGGGCTATATCCTGTTTGTGACAGCATAATCCATTGTAATGGAAAAGATTATGATGCACTGGCCTGTTCTATGACTTCACTGCATTCATCAGCAGCAGGAAACAAAGACATGCACTTTTTTCATAATTGTTTTAGTAATAATTGACAATTGGAGGAAATGAATGGCAGAAAACAATTATGGGCAGACAAGATGGTCAGCAAATCAAACTGGGAAATGCAGGGGAGCCCGTCTCAGCTTTATTCATGTAGCGATTTCAGAACATTACAAAGATATTATTGTTTTGTTCTCCTACAGAAATCACTATTGTTTTTTTTTTTTTTCTTTTTTACCAGCAGTTACACAATTCTTTGCTGGCAGCAATGACTTCCAATGTGTTTTTAATTCAGTAATCCGGTAATCCCACAACAGGGATTTGCTGCTGAACTTTTTATGTTTATTAATATTCAGGGTCAGTGTGAACGCCTCCCTGTGCACATAGCTAGTAAAATGCACAGCGATATTGCTGTGACTTTTCTTGCCTCTGAATAACTCCCTGTTGCCCAGACATAGAATCTTAAAAGTGTTTCTTTCTATTACATTTATAAATAGCAAATTCATGTTTCTATTTTTTAAATTGTCCCTAGTCTTCATTTTAATAGCAATGGGCAGGAGAATAAAACAACAAAAACTCAAAACAAGTGAATTAATGATTCAATATCTAGTTTCCATGCCATGAAATGGGCACATCCCTTAGATGAAAATGAGGGATGGGTTATCAATTAGGAAACAGTTAAGTAAGGCAGGTATTATGCTGTGGTAACATTTATTTATTTCTCTTAGCGGCCTGTGTTCATAGTTGTCTTGCTGGGTATTACTAGAATTCTTTGGATGGGGAAACTAAACATGTGTGGGCTGTTACATCACTCCAAGTCATACTCTTCTCTGGTTAGCCTGATATGGAGTAAAATTCGGCAGCAGCTCTGACTTCCAGTTTTAAAGACTACTTACTGCTCTTACTATTTATTATGGAACACCCTACAGCACAGTCCTGTAGAAATACATACCTGTAATCCCAACAATTTGGGTGGCAGAGGCTGGAAGATCACTTGAACCCAGGTGACCAGCCTGGGCAACATAGTGAGATCCTGTCTCTAAAAAAAAAAAAAAAAAAAAAAATAGCTGGGCATGGTGGTACGTGCTTATAGTCCTAGATATTCAGGAGGCTGAGTTGGCAACATTGTTTGAGCCCAGTTGTTCAAGTCTACAGTGAGCTATGATCACACCACTGCACTCCAGCCAGGGCAACAAAGTGAGATCCTGTCTCAAAAAAATTAAAAAAATAAAATATAAATAAAATGTGAGCCACTAATGTGACCTACATAGTTCATTTTACATTTCCTAGTGACCACATTTCAAAAAATAAAAAGAAACAGATAAAATGAATTTTAATATCATAGTTTAAGGAGTGGGGGATAGTGCCTTACACCTGTAATCCCAGTGTTTTGGGAGGCAAAGGTGGGAGGATTGCTTGAGGTCAGGATTTCAAGAACAGCCTGGGCAGCATGGCAAGACCCTGTCTCTACAAAAACAATTTTAAACATTAGCTGGGCATGGTGGTGCATGCCTGTAGTCCTAGCTACTCAGGGGACTGAGGTGAGAGGATTGCTTGAGCCCAGTATTTCGAGGATGCAGTGAACTATGATTGCACCACTCACTGCACTCCAGCATGGGCAACAGCAAGACCCTTTCTAAAATAATAATAATAATATAGTTGATTTAACCAAATATATCCAAGATAACATTTCAACATGCACCCAATATAAAAAACCACTAATAAAAACTTTATATTCCCTTTTTGTAATAAGTCTTTGAAACCCAGTGTGTATTTTATCCTTACTGCATGTCTCAACTCAGACTAGCCTCATTTCAAGTTGATAGCTTCAGGTGCCTAGTGGCTACTGTATAAGACAGTGCAAATCTAAACAGAAGAGCTACGGTGCCACCCACAGCTCATAAATAATGTGAAATTTAGACTATGAGATATTGCTACCTTTTCTGTACTCACAGTCATCTCCATTCTGAAACATTTGAGCTGAACATTCTATATCAAGTAAGATTGAATAGTTGAATAGCAAGCCAAGGACTGGCAGTTTTGGAGATTTGGCTTATTAGAATGATTCAGCTCTTCACCTGGGCTGGGTAACTATGGATTCCTCAGTTGAGAATTAGGGCAATAGAAGTTTTTTTAATAAACATTATCCAAATTTGAAATCTGGATGATATGCTTGTAAAAGACTTTATCATAATGTTTTGAAGTGAATTTTAGGTATAGGAATAGATTCAATTACACAGCCTAAAATCGAGTTCCAAAAACCATTATAGACATTATGCTCCTAATAGTGCCTACAACTTAGTACAAAGAAATAAATCTTTAGCAATGGAAACACACACAAGTGCACATGCACACACGCACATACTTCCAACATTGTGACCACTTGCTGATGTCTTTTCTGCATTTTGCATTGTCTTATTTGAAGGATAGGAAGTATGCTATAATAATCTTCTATAACTACTATGCCTTGGGGACTCTCATGCCAGTCAGCTGGTGTGATAAAGATAGCTTCTGTGTGCTAAATACGGAGATACAAAAATAGAACTGGTGGAAGTGGATAAAATCAGAAGACACTGTAGGTTCTTATGGCCCCACCAATGGCAGAGACCTGGAAACATAGGTCTCTGAAATCCTGGCAATGAGTTGCAGCCAACTGGAATGATCACATTTTTGGTTCTTGTCTTATTCCATGAGGGTTTGGTTATGAAACTAGAGTTTAACCAGTCAGAAAATTCTGAAATCAAAATAAAAGTTAAAGACATATATAAATAATGACCATTCATTGCATGATTTACAAATTGGTAATGGTCCAAAAGTTTGTTTTTAATAATTTTCTTGGCCCTCTGAATTCACTTTACATTTTCCCCATAGAAACAAAGTTATAAATAGTGACTGCATACTGCACCTAAAATGCCACGTATCTACAACGAAATTATTACAATGTATTTATAATATATTATTTATTCTAAACATGTATGCATTTGAAATTATTCAATGAAATCTAACTATTGATGTACTATTTCTACATTAATACATTATATCATATATTAATATGCTAATAATTATATCACATTAATATATTAATAATATGTTAATTAACCAAACAGAAAAAGTATATACTGGATCAACAAAACCACCTTGAATTCAAAGCAACAAACACTAGTAAAGAATCCAGGAAGTGCCAGGTGCTATACTAGAGTCAGGGACAAGCGTAAGAGATAAATCATATTTATCTTGTTTCTTAATATTGGAGGAAAAGCAAATTTACCAACGAAAAATGAGGAAGTAAATGGAATTCTTTTTTTTAAAGGGGACTGCCTTATCTAAGTGACCCTTAGGTAGAGAGACCTTTTTTAGGCTTTTATGTCTAATTTTACTGTTAAACTTTGTGCTTGCCTTTTCCTGAAGGACAAAGTACGACTAGTTCTGCTGTTAATGTGTAGCCATTCTTTTTTGTTGGTTCCCAAATAGGGTAATTTTGTTCGTTTGTTTGTTTGTTTTGTTTTTGAGACGGAGTCTCGCTCTGTCGCCCAGGCTGGAGTGCAGTGGTGCAATCTTTGGCTCACTGCAAGCTCCGCCCCTTGGGTTCACGTTTCTCCTGCCTCAACCTCCCTAGTAGCTGGGACTACAGGCACCCGCCACCACGCCGGGCTAATTTTTTTGTATTTTTAGTGGAGATGGGGTTTCACCATGTTAGCCAGGATGGTCTCGATCTCCTGACCTCATGATCCACCCGCCTCGGCCTCCCAAAGTGCTGGGATTACAGGCGTGAGCCACCCACACCCGGCCCAAGTAGGGCAATTTTTTTTGGAAATTTTTTGGATTTTTTTTTTTTTGGTTCCCAAATAGGGTGAGATTTCTGTGAAGTAACACTTGGCTAAGAAGTAGAAGAGAGGAAAGTGAAGAGAATGGTTAGAATTAAATATGCAGGCACATGAGAATTGTGCATGATTGTCCAGTTCTCCTTGGAGAAAGGGTGAGGAAGACTAGAGACTGAGCCTCAAGAAATGATCCTCAACAGCCTCTAGGGTGGGGAAAAGGAAGGGAGGGAATGTGTGCAATTTCACATTCAAATTGCACATACAAATTTCCGAGTCAGTTAAAGAAAAATCTCTTGGTGAGTGCCATTAACTGTTGGATCCTGCAGAGACTACCATTAAAAAAATATATCAATAGAAAATGAGGAAGGACTGGGCCGGGTGCGGTGGCTCACTCCTGTAATCCCAGCACTTTGGGAGGCCGAGGCGGGTGCATTACGAGGTCAGGAGATGGAAACCATCCTGGCTAACGCGGTGAAACCCCGTCTCTGCTAAAAATACAAAAAATTAGCCAGGTGTTGGTGGCGGGTGCCTGTAGTCACAGCTACTCGGGAGGCTGAGGCAGGAGAATGGCGTGAACCTACACTCCAGCCTGGGTGACAGAGCGAGACTCCGTCTCAAAAAAAAAAAAAAAAAAAGAGGGGGAAGCAGTGACCAAGTCAGGCATGAATGGGCCTTCAGGGAAGGTCAAGAAATCTGGGTTGAGTGGTCCCACTGGTTGATTTCACAAAACAGTGAGAATCAGGGACCTACAAATGAGTTGAGATTATGTATGTAGCCCAAGGAACAGGAGGCTGGGCCAGGGGGACAGACTGTTCTGGAACACTCTCTTATTTCTTCTGCTGGGAACTAGGGCTGTTTCTCTGGTAATGGAGGCCCTCTGACAAAGACAAAACATAGGGTAATTGTGCCACATGCTACTCAAAGAGGTGCCCCAACCTTGGAGTGTGCACATTTTTTTTTTTTTGAGACAGAGTTTCACTTGGTCACCCAGGCTGGAGTGCAGTGGTCCGATCTTGGCTCACTGCAACCTTCGCCTCCTGAATTCAAGTCATTCTCCTGCCTCAGCCTCCTGAGTACCTGTGATTACAGGCGTGCACCACCATGCCTGGCTAATTTTTTGTGTTAGTAGAGACGAGGTTTCACCATATTGGCCTTGAACTCCTGATATCAAGTGATTCGACCGCCTTGGCCTCTCAAAGTCCTGGGATTACAGGCGTGAGCCACCGCACCCGGCCCATGTCTGTGTTTTCTATCTGAAACTGTCTCCTCACCTTCTGGTCAATGAATGCATCCTTCTTCAATGTCTTCTCTCAATTTCTTTTGTTTCTAGGATATTTTCTTTTAAAACATCCATATCTCTTCTTTGCCATGGAAACTACACCCAATCTACCTGAACCTGCGGCACCCCTCTGATGACCCATTTGGATTCTCTGATTTCACTGCCAAGATTCTCAGTGAGTATTCCATCACATACCACCTTTATTTTCTCAAGTCTCTTTCAGATTTTAAACACATAAAATCTGATCACATGTTTTCAACCCCACTGAAACTGTGATGTCAGAAACTTTGTAAATTATGAAGTGAACAACATTTTTGTTCTTCCTCATTTGATGATGAAGCTGTCACCAGTCTTGAGTGAATTTGCCCTCTTCAGAAATGCTATAACATTTATATACTGTAATACTATATAAATACTTTCTTATATATTTAATCCCATGTCTGGTGGTGTTTCTTTAATTTATTCAACTACTATTTGCCTCTGTGGTTAATTTTCCAAGAGTTTCTTCTCTCAACAACCTAATTATAAATTCCTTCATGTCTAGGCCTTATTTTGTGCTTTAAAAAAAACTCTCTGTGGTACACTAATGTTCATAGCAGCATTATTTATAATAGCTGAAAGGCAGACACAACCAGACACAACCCACATGTCTATCAACAGATGAAGAGATAAACAAAATGTGGCATAGACATGCAATGGGAAATTATTCAGCCATAAAAAGGAATGAAGTTCTCATATATGCTAAAATATGAATGTACCTTGAAAACATCATGCTAAGTGAAATAATCCAGACACAAAAGAACAAATATTATATGATTCCACTTATGTGAAATATCTACAATATGCAGATTCATAGAAACAGAAAGTAGATTAGAGGTGGCTGGGGGTGGGGGGAAAGGGAGAATAGAGAGTTATTTCTTAATAGTTGTAAAGTTTCTGTTTGGTGTGATAAAAAAGTTTTGCAAATAGTGGTGATGATTGCACAACATTGTGAATGTAATTAATACCACTGAATAGTACACGTAAAAATGGTCAAAATAGCAAATTTATGTTATATATATTTATTACAATTTAAAAATTAACTATATAATATAGCAAAACGCAGTGAATTGTATGGTATGTGAATTATGTTTCAATAAACCTATTTTAAAGAAATCCCTCTGGGAACCAGATATAACCTTACATATAGTAAATGTTTAAGTAATATTTTGTATCATTTGTTGTAATGAGATTCATTAGGACACAAATTTACATGTGGTAGAGATTAGACATGTTTTTCAAATTATGCATACCAGGTATAACATGATTACTCTCTGTTTGGGGCTTTAGGTAGGTTTAGACAAAAGCCAAGTGCTGTGCAAGTGTGATTGAGACCTTAAACAATGTCTTCATCATTTCTACCTCTCCCAGATTACCAGACATAAGATCAGGTGCATGACACATACCAACTTCCTAATCTTAAATTTGGTGAATGAATGAAAGTATTAACAAAGTATGCAGAGTTACCTTGCATATATATGCATATATGTTTTTTCTCAACCAACCTTTCGTCATTGCAATTGAGACATTACTTTTTCAGACATCTACTTTTAAGACATAATACGTTATACTATGTAGATAGCATAGAATATTGTGCAGGAATCTAGAAAAAACCATGTTTGATGACATACAACAGAATATTTCATGACATTGGAATATTTAATAATATTTAGGCCGGGCGCGGTGGCTCACGCCTGTAATCCCAGCACTTTGGGAGGCCGAGGGGGGCAGACCATGAGGTCAGGAGATTGAGACCATTGTGGCCAACATGGTGAAACCTCATCTCTACTAAAAATACAAAAATTAGCTGGGCATGGTAGTGCATGCCTGTAGTCCCACTCCTAGGGAGGCTGAGGCAGGAGAATTGCTTGAACCTGAGAGGCAGAGGTTGCAGTGAGCCGAGATTACACCACTGCACTCCAGCCTGGTGATAGTACGAGACTCCATCTCCAAAAAAAAAAGGAATATTTATTACAGTGAAAATATTTATGATATATAGCAAATACAAAATGCAAACTTTTGTATATTTGACCATTATGCATTTTAGTAAAGATAAGAAAGGTATTTTATTACTTATTTCTGTGTAACAAATCATTCCAAAACTAAGTGCCTTTAAACAACTGTAAGCATTTATTACCTCACATGATTTCTTTGGGCCAGAAATTCAGGAGAAGGTCAGATTAAGGAGTTTCATTTGTGAGGTTGCAGTCAGTTGTCACTTGGGACTAGAGTCTTCGGAAGACTCAATAGGGACTAGAGATTTACTTTTCTTATCGTTATTTCCAGCCCCCAAGCTTTATTAAGATATTGACAAACTAAAATTGTATATATTTATGATGTAAAACATGATGTTTTGATATATGTATACATTACAAAAAGATCAAATCACCTATTTAACATACTTATCACCTCATATACCAATCATTATTTTTGTGGTGAGAACATTTAAGATATATCCTCTTAGCAATTTTCAAGTATACAATACAATATTAACTGTAGTCATTATGCTGTACAACAGAACTTATACATCTTGTCAAACTGAAATTTTGTACCCTTTGATCAAAACCTCCTCATTCTCACCTCTTCCCAGCCCCTTGCAATCCTCATTCTACTCTCTGTTACTGAGTTCAACTTTTTTAGATTTCACAAAAAATGAGATCCTGCAGAACTTGTCTTTCTGTGTCTGGCTTATTTCACTTAGCATAATAGTCTCCAGGTTTATCCATGTTGTTGCAAATTACAGAATTTTCTTATTCTTTAAGGCTAAATAGCACTCCATTGTATATACCGCATTTTCTTTATCCATTCAACTGTCAATGGATGCTTAGGCTGATTCCACATCTTGGCTATTATAAATAATGCCACAATGAACATGGAGTGTAGGTATCTCTTTGACATGCTGATTTCATTTTCTTTGGATAAATACTCAGAAGTGGGATTGCTGAAGTATATGATAGTTCTATTTTAAATGTTTTTTTCTTTTTTCTTTTCTTTCTTTTTCTCTTTCTTTCTTTCTTTTTTTTTTTTTTTTTTTTTTTTTTTTTTTTTGAGACAGAGTCTTGCTCATTCGCCCAGGCTGGAGTGTAGTGGCATGATCTCGGCTCACTGCAAACTCCACCTCCCAGGTTCACAGCATTCTCCTGCCTCAGCCTCCTGAGTAGCTGGGACTACAGGTGCCTGCCACCACGCCTGGCTAATTTTGTTTTTGTATTTTTAGTAGAGACAGGGCTTCACCGTATTAGCCAGGATGGTCTCGATCTCCTGACCAGGATGGTCTCCAACTCCTGACCTCGTGATCTGCCCGCCTCAGCCTCCCAAAGTGCTGGGATTACAGGTGTGAGCCACCGTGCCCAGCTGAGCATTTTTTCATATACCTATTGGCCATTTGTATTTCTTCTTTTGAGAAATACCTCTTCAGGTCCTTTATCCATTTTAAAATTTGAATTATTTGTTTTATTGCTATTGAGTTGCTTTGAGTTCCTTACATATTTTGGATATTGGTCCCTTATCAGATATAATACATAGTTTTCAAATATTTTCTACCATCCCACAGGCTGTCTCTACAGTCTGTTGATTATTTGCTGTGCAGAAGCATTTTTGTCTGATGCAATCTCAACTCTCTGTGTTTACTTTTGTTGCCTGTGCTTTTGGAGTCATATCTAAGAAATCATTGCCGAGACCAATGACAAGAAGATATTCCCCTATCTTTTCTTGTAGTAGTTTTATAGTTTTCAGGTGTTAAGTTTAAGTTTTTAATCTATTTTGAGTTTAAGTTTTAATCTATTTTGAGTTCATTTTTGTATGTAACGTAAGGGTTCGATTTCATTTACTGCTGCTTTCAAAGTTTTTTCTTTGTCTTTTGAGAATTTGATTGTAATGTGTCTTGGTGAAGATCTCTGTATTTAATCTGCTTGGGGCTATTTGGGCTTCATAGATCTGGATGCTCATTTGCCTCTCCAGATTTGGGAAGTTTCTTATCATTATTTCTTTACCTAAGCATTCTGCTCTTTTTTCTTTCTTTGCTACTTTTGTGAATCCCCTAATGTATATATTGGATTGCTTGATATTGTTTCATAAATCCTATAGGCTTTTTTCATTCTTACTTCTTCTTTGTTGTTGTTGTTGTTTCTCTGGCTGAATATTTCAAATGATCTGTCTTTGAGCTCACTGATTCTTTTTTCTGCTTGATTGAGGCTACTGTTGAAGCTCTCTATGGAATTTTCAGTTCCATCACTATGTTCTTTAGATCCAGAATTTCTGCCTTGTTCTTTTTTATGGTTTCTATACCCTCATCGAATCCCCTATTTTGCTTTCATATTGTTTTCATGATTTGATTTAGTTATCTGTATTCTCTTATAGCTCACTGAGCTCTGTTAAGATGATTATTTTGAATTCTCTGACAGGCAGTTCATAGATCTCCATTTATTTAGGGTCAGTTACTTAATTTTGTTGTTTGGTGGTGGTGTTTCCCTTATTATTCACTATCTTTGTGGCTATATATTGATGTCTATGCATATGAAGAAGTAAGCACCTGTTCTACCTTTTACATATTGGCTTTGGAAAGCTCTCACCAGTCTATCTAGAGATTCTGGGTGGGTTGTTTGGTGGAATCTGAGGGCAGACTTGCTCCTGTATTCTCAGGCAAGTTGCCTTGGTGCCTGAGTCAGCAGGCAGGAAGGCCTGGAGCTTGCATCTCCTGGGGTGGGCCTCGATTCTGGGTTCATGGGAGTGAATCTGGACCCTGTGTTTGCAGGGGCTGGCCTGAAGTCTAGGTTCATGGGGGCCATCCTGTCCATGAGATGGACCTTGAGCCTGAGTTCATAGAGGCCCACTTTGTTCTAGGATGGGCCTGGAGCCTGAGTCCACACAAGGGCTAGCCTGGTTACTGGGACTTGCCTAAAGCCTGTGTCTGCAGGGGTTGGCCTAGAGGTTGAGCTGCTGTGGCAGACATGCCTCTGGGTGTAGAGCCTAGTGCTGTTGTATTGGTGTGGTGCTTGAATGGAGCTGCAGCCTGATGCTATAGAGGCCTGCTTGCAGCCTGGGGCCATAGGGGCTGGCCCAGCATTAGGGTAGCCCTGGATGCCCTTATCCACAGGTGCTAGCCTAGAGCCTGGGATCATGAGGGCTGCTCTGGCACTGGATTTCACTGAAGTGGGCCCGATGCTGTGGTCCATAGCAAAGTAGGGTGTTCAGTTCACTCTCCTTCCCCCACAGGGAAGGTATCTTTCTCTGTGCTGTGCACCCCTTGGGGGAGGGATGATATCAGTAATATGACACTCTTTCTCGCCCTCTTCAATGTGCCTTTTCTTATTTCTGTACTGGGGTAGGCATGGCAGTATTTGTGCCCCAAGGGCCAGAGACATCAAAATGGATTAAGAATATTTTAAAAAGCAATGAGTGTATTATAAAGATTTTGAGCTTCCAGCTGAAGACGGGCTTAACACACACATTATCTACCTTTGTTTCCTTTTGAAACCCCATTAAGATGAGATCAAAGGGTTTTTGATCTCAACTGGGATTCTTTAGTTCTTGAGAAGGTACATTCATGCATGGATAGTTGTTCAAATTGGTGTTTCTGTAAGGGGATATGTGCTGGAAAATACTATTGCACCATCTTGCTGAGGTCTGCTTTTGAGGTGGCTCACTTATATGGCTGGCATGTTGGTGCTGGCTGTTAGCTGAGACTTCAGTTCCTTTCTTCGTGGACTTCTCCATGGGTCTTATTGGATACCCTTATAAGGTGGCATCTGACTGGCTTCTTTCAGAGTGAGAGATTCAAGAAACCAAGATGAAAGATGCAAGGTTTTTTATGACCTTGCCTTGGAAGTCATACGTCATCACTTTTCATGTATCCTATTGGTCACTCAGGGTCAGTCCTGATTCAGCATGAGCAAGGACTACATGAGGATATGTAAGGATCTTGGGAGGCCATCTGCAGATTATCACATGTATATGCCAAAATAATGTTATAAAAGATGTAATTAAAATTGATCTTATTTTTCTCCTTTGTACTTTTCTATACTTTAAAAGTTTTTTATGATAAACATATATGATTTTTGAAATTACACACATACAAATCAATAAAAGTGGGGGTTTTTTTGGGTTAAACAAGAGAAATTTATTTTTCACTATCCTGGAGGCTGAAGCTCAAAATCAAGGTGTCAGCAGGTTTGGTTTCTCTTGAAGTTGTCTCTGTGGATTGAGATGGCTGTGTTTTTCACAGTCATCTTCTTCTTTTAAGTAAAAGTTATTTTTTTAAAAGCCATACATAGTCCAGAGAGGAGTGAGTCAATTCTTGTTACTTTGATTTAACACTGATGTCAAGTTCAAGATCAAGGTGTCAGCAGGTTTGGTTTCTTTTGAAGTTGTCTCTGTGGATTGAAATGGCTGTATTTTCACTGTCTTCTTCTTCTACTTTTTAAGTAAAGTTATTTTTTAAAAAGCCATACATAGTCCAGAGAGGAGTGAGTCAATTCCTGTTACTTTGATATGACACATCAATGCATCTATACTTTTCTCTGTTTGATGTAACCCTGTAACTAAGGAAAGGAGAATTTTTATGGGAGGAGGGATGGTTTTAAATATAGAGCATAAGACTGGAAAGATGTGACCAAGGTAGAGGGTCTGGGGTAGGCATGGCAGTATTTGGGCCCCAAGGGCCAGAGACATCAAAATGGATTAAGAATATTATAAAAAGCAATGAGTGTATTATAAAGATTTTGAGCTTCCAGCTGAAGACGGGCTTAACACACACATTATCTACCTTTGTTTCCTTTTGAAACCCCATTAAGAAGAGATCAAAGGGTTTTTGCCCAAGTGGGAGATCACCCATCTCTCATCATAGCAGAAGGCTGGAAGTTTATTCTCTCAACAGGGTAAAATATAGGGTGTTTAGGCTGGGGGACCCTGGTCTCTGGACCAGGGCCACCTAAAGGCAGACATATTACACTTGAAACTGGAATATTAACTGAAAAGTTCTCCCTCAGAAAATATAACTGCTAATAGGTTGTAAGTTTTATACCTTGTATATTTGCCACAGAAAAAGGATTTTCTGGTTCTATGTCCTAAAAATTTGGGGAAGGGAGTCATTTGATTAGGGAATCATCCACCTCAATCACATGCTTATTCCTGGAATACTCAAATGTGGCCAAAAAAAGAGAGGGATCATGATTGGCTCAGTTTGAGTTACATGCTCATCTGGGCCAAGGTAGGGGGGGCATAAGGGGTGGTTGAATGTGGTGATGGAGGAGAGTGGGAATGTCAGGAAAACAGTGTCATAGATGTCAACTATAGCTTCTCACCCTCTTCTATAGGAGATGATGTCATGTAGGCAAAGATCCATGAAAGCTTAAAACAGTCTTATGGATGTAAGAAAAAAGTCCACTTTACCATATATTATGGTTTTTCAAAGAAGATTTTTCTATATTATTTCAATTCTTCTTAAGAAATTCATGAAACAAATATTGCCATTCTCATCTTGTTGCTTGATCATTGAGGTGAACTCATAGTAGTAATGTTCTGGACTCAGTTACTGTCCCTTGAGTGGATTAAGTCAGGGATGTATAAGAAGCCACATCTTTTGATTCTTAGTCCTGTGCAATTTTTATTTTATCATCCCAGTGATCAGGATGGGATCACAAATTTGTAGATAACTGGGCTGGGAATGATATCTGGAGAGATGCTGCTTACAGGCAATGAACTTCATTAATGTCCATAGTTTCCTAGTATCTCACCTACAATTCCCTCAACATCAGTCCCAACACGTGTAAAATCGATGGAGACTGGGAAAGTGCTGCCAAAGGCAGACCGCCCGAGGAGCCATGTGGCCTACTTTTGGAATAAGACTGAAGGATTAACTTCTGGGAAGGACTTTCCATCTGTTTTCCCGATAAGATTGATTAAAACCATCTAACCAAGTTTTGCAGACTCTATGAAAGAACGAATGAATTGTATCGTCTGGCCTGGTTTAGTTCAAATTCCTTAAAGGAGTTCTAGCTCCACTATTCAGGAAAGGAATCTTCACCATGACACCTCCTGGGGGGAGGAAGAGCAGCTAGGAGGTCCCAGAGGTTTGCCCCACCCTGCCCCGAGTGTCTCATTTTAGGTAGCAAGTGATACATCATTTTCAATAAACCAGCTGGATATCAGTTAGACAATTTCACGTGCATTTAATTTACCCTTCTGCTGAAATTATGGCATGGAAACATTATTTTTCTTTGCCAGTTCTCTTTGTCCCCTTTCCATTTCTCCCACCCTCTCCTCTTCCCACCAAAGTTACTTTCCTTTGTTATTTTTGGTATAAAGAATTTTCCTTCAATTAATTTCAAGCCTTCAGAAAAGCAGTTAAAAGAAGTTGAGTTGGGGAGAGGTATTTGATCCTCTTACTACACACATATAGCCCTACACCTGTGGAATTGAACTGAGTAAAAATGGATCTGTCTTTTCGTTTGTTATTTAATGATAGTCTTTACATTTTAATGGTGAGTTTAGACCATCTACACTGTGATTATTGAGATATTAATGTTATTTTTAATTTTCGATTTATCATTCTTTCTTTCCTGACTTCTTTTGGATATTTCAAATTTTCTTTATTCCAATTTTTCCTCTCAATTGCTTACATAATCCATATCTTTTGTTTTAGTGGTGGTACTTGCAACTTTAAAATACATACTTGATTTAACAAAGTCTAATATTAATATATTCAGTCTTCTGAATAGCATAAAGACCTTAGGAACTTTAAATTCTGATCTCAGTCTTCCATCTTATTCCTGTTGAAAATTTTAGTTCCACTCTGTTTTAAACAAGTTTGTTAATGTATAATTGACATATGATAATCCACACATATTTAAAGTACACAGTTTGAGGTCTTGACATATTTATATACCCATGAGAGAATCACCACAATTTTTAAAAAATTCATTTTTCTAAAAATAATTAATCCAATTCACACACAGGCATAACTGGTTGCATGTTACCAAGGTCTGCTAGTTTTTTGTAAACTTGTTTTACTTAAAGAGTTCTGTAGCTTCTACACAAAAGTAACTATGATAATCACCATTCGTCAAAGTCTACCAGGCATTGTGCTAAGTGCTTTCTATTTTTTTTTTTTTTTTTGAGATGGAGTCTGGCTCTGTCACCTAGGCTGAAGTGCAGTGGCCTATCTTAGCTCACTGCAGCCTCTGCCTCCCAGGTTCAAGTGATTCTTGTGCCTCAGCCTCCCAAGTAGCTGAGATTACAGGTGTGGATAGAGATGGGGTTTCCTTATGTTGACCAGGCTGGTCTCAAACTCCTGGCCTCAAGTGTTCCACCCGCTTCAGCCTCCCAAAGTACTGGGGTTACAGGTGCGAGCCGCCATGCCGGACCGCTAAGTGCTTTCTTCACGCTAATTATTTCCCATTGTTTTCTTCATTGTTTTAAATTTTTAATTATAGACATAATCCAAGTTTGTTATAAATGAATATACTCAACTAAAATTAGTCATATTTTTTTAAAAAAACCTGGAACCCTCTTTTTTTCTTCAAAGTGGATATATGTTTATGGTTTGTTGTCACTGCAGATATTTTATGTGCATTTGAAAACATGCTTTATTGTAATAAAAATGGGGCTAAATGCATAGTGTTTTTTTCAGCCCACTTTTTAAACTTACTGCATCAAGACCATCTTTCCATTACATCTTTTTCATGGCTACATGATGTATACAGCTTTGAATGAATGCATTAAGATTGTTTTGATGAATCGCCTCTTTTTTTTAGGTTCCTTCCTTCCTTTTTTTTTGATATTACAAATGTCACGTCATTTTTATAAGATAAAATCCTGATGCGGAATGCATTATTTGCAACCCTCACTGCCACCCTTTGAGTTGGGTATTATCATTTCCCTTTCACAAATGAGGAATTTTATTCTTAAAGGCTTAAGTGACTTACTTGGCTCTTACGTGACTGATTGGGGAACGAGAATCCTGGTTTCCTGTTCCTGGTGGGCAGTGTTCTTAACCCTCACCACACTACCTCTCCTACTACTTCAGAAAATGGTTAAAAAAAGTTTTAAAGTATATTTATAGTGAAATTGTCAGGAGGATTACTGAGAATTTTCAGCAAATAGTCACCTATGGAATTAGAATGCAGAGGACATATTTCAGGCAATTTATATTTTCACCTGGCCCTTCAACTGAGGACTCTGACGTGAGTGCTGAGGAGCTATTTATAGCAGGTGACTTTTGCGCACCCTGGGGAGGTTGTGAAATAGCTGTCTATCACAGGCAGCTAGGAACTGCTTGCCCACTTTTTTTTGTTCTGAAAGAAAGGATACAGACCATCTGGGCCAGTAAGTTGGGTCCAAAATCGGACTTATGTTTATTTTACTTAATAAATGTGTTCTTGAATCGTATGAGTTGAATTTTGGTTGGTTGAATGCCATTTTTAGTGCACCAGGGGTGCACACATTTCTTGTAATCCTTTAATGAGTAGCTTTCTAAAACAAAGAATGCTTTGGCAATGTGAATAATTTTCCCTTAATTTATATTGAATATAATTTATGATTTTTTTTCTGTGCAGCAGGGAAACTTGTGCTCAGTTGTTTGTGTTTTAGAGCGTGTTGGCTGGTGTAGCCATATCAGTTAACAGTAACATGGAATATATATGCTATTAAAAATATAGACAGATATATTGCAACCTCTCACTACAAAGCCCCAGATCAAACTCTGTGGTGAAGCCGTGTAATTCAGAAGAGGTGGGTATAGGTAAAATTCCATACCAGGAGGAGTATAGCTGTAGACACTGGGTGCCCCTTGTCCCTGTTTAGATAGTGGACCCTATTCCTGCCTCAGATGGTATGTGGAAGAGCGGGCTCTTCAGTTACCAAGGCCACAGTGCAGAAAATAGGGTAGAAACAAGTGAGAAGGTAACTGACCCTTTTTCCACCAGCACCATTGCATGCTGTGAAAGTATAATAAAGTATTTTTAGTCCAACCTTAACATTTTTGTCCTTAATAGCACATCAGTTCACATTTGCTCATTAAAATAAATTGTTTTTACCCACTCGGCAGTTGATTCCATGGCCTCAGTGATCTTTAGAGTTGATCGAAATTGTGGTATGTGCAGATAATAAGGACTAACTGGGGGCAAATAGACTCTAACTTTTAACTTTGACAAATTTTAATCAGTTAGATTTAAGATATATTTTTTAAAAAATTATGATTCTACATGAAAAAATCTAACATTTTTAACATAAATGATTTCATAAATATGCCTGGTGGGATATAATGCTGAAATAAATTTTAATGCCTCTCATATTACAATCTTGATCCTCAAAGTGGACATTTCTCGGACTTTTTTTTTTGAGATGGAGTCTCGCTCTGTCGCTCTGTTGCCCAGGCTGGAGTGCAGTGGCGCAGTCTTGGCTCACTGCAAGCTCTGCCTCCCGGGTTCAAGCCATTCTCCTGCCTCAGCCTCCCGAGTAGCTGGGACTACAGGCGCCCGCCACCACGCCCTGCTAATTTTTTGTATTTTTAGTAGAGACAGGGTTTCACTGTGTTAACCAGGATGGTCTCGATCTCCTGACTTCATGATCCGCCTGCCTCAGCCTCCCAAAGTGCTGGGATTACAGGCGTGAGCCACTGCACCCAGCCAAGACTTTTTAAGTCTATAACTTTGCATTGCTTTTAGTTCATTTTTGGAAAAATAACTGGAAATATAGAGCATTAAAGGTAAACAAAGCCAAACACTAATTAAAGTGGTAAGGACAGATTTTAATCAGTTTTAACTATTATAATAGGGAAAACAGTCTAGTGTGAACTGAGCTCAACTTTGATTTGTACAGAAGTGACTGGGCATTTTTAAGGGAGAATAAGGGAGTGGTGAGGGGACAAGGAGGGCTTCAGTAGAGTCAGGAAAGTGAAAAATTACAAAGGGTTGATCAGTATAAATGCAATGAAGCCAGCTGTGTCTGCTCGCTGAAAGTTGCTGAAGTTAGGATTCTGTCTTTCCAGAGAGACTGGGGGACAGAGGCCTTATCCTCTGGTGTTGACTGGAACAAGCAATAAATTTTTTTGGCAGCCTTGAGTTCTCTCCAGTTCTCTCTAAACTCCATATTAGAATTTGTTCAAGCCTCTATAGGACAGGATTGAGGCCTAGTTGAGAAGAGAGCTCAGAGGAGCCTGGCTAGAGTTCGGTCAAGGAAAGAATGTTTGTCAATTGTAAATGAATAACTTTGCAATCCCAATACTCCCAATTTTGGAACTTTATACAATGGAAATAAAAGCATTAGCAACTAAAGATACATGTACCAGGATGTTTAGTGCAACACTGTTCATAGAAGTAAAAACTGGGAACATTTCAAATATTCAGATAATGAATAAACTATGATATAACTATACTGTGGAGTAGAATGCAACTATTAAAAAGAATAAATCAAATCTATATGATTGACTTTGGAGCCAATATCAATGGCCATGATACATTATTAAGGGAAAAATCAATTTACAGAGTAATGGGGTTTTGAAAGTTGCATTTGAAAATAGAACCCCATACATATATATGTAGGAGATACCTTTTTCTATCCTATATTGGATTTTGATACAGGATAGAGAAAGATGTGTGTTATCTCAGTGAAATGAGAATGGATAGGAAAGAGGGTTATTACATTTTTCCTTATGTATATGTCTGTACTATTCAACTTGCTACAGTGGGCATGTATTGTTTTTTAGATATAATTTTTTTTTTTTTTTTGAGACAGAGTCTTGCTCTGTCACCCAGGCTGGAGTGCAATGGCGCGATCTCGGCTCACTGCAACTTTCACCTCCCGTGTTCAAGCAATTCTCCTACCTCAGCCTCCTGAGTAGCTGGGACTACAGGCACAAGCCGCCATGCCCGGCTAATTTTTTGTATTATAATAGAGACAGAGTTTCACCTTGTTGCCTAGGCTGGTCTTGAACCCCTGAGCTCAGGCAATCAGCCTGCCTCAGCCTCCCCAAGTGCTAGGATTATGGACGTGAGCCACCGCACCCAGCCAGATTTAAGTATTTTATAACATAAATCACACACACAGGAGTCCTGCTCATCTTATTTTATAAAAGGAAACAAGACTATGTGATAATGTGAGTATTCTGGCCATTAGTTTGTAAGTCTAAAAGGATTTACAGGAATTCAAATACCTATCAAACTTCACTGCTTAGGTTGATAGTTTTCGAGTGTTGCAATCCATGCTCCTCTGCATTGATTTCTCACTGCCACGCGTTTATTTCCATCAACCAAGAAGATTTATTGAGCTTTATACCACTGATGGTCTGTATTAAGGAATCAACACCCATCCCTCACTTCCAATCCCTTGCCTCTCAATTTGAGAAGTTTTACCCCAACCTAAACTTATCTATTACTTTTTATTCATGAGACTGGCAATCACAAAGATGAGCTTTGAGAAGACTCCTTTTTTAAATTAAAACGTTAGGGAAAACTGGAAATTTCTCTACCACTATTTTATTTTATTTTATTTTTTGAGACAGTCTTTCTCTGTCACCTAGGCTGGAGTGCAGTGGCACGATCTCTATTTACTGCAGCCTCCATCTCCCGGGTTCAAGTCATTCTCCTGCCTCAGCCTCCTGAGTAGCTGGAATTACAGGTGCCGTCACGACACTCAGCTAATTTTTGTATTTTTAGTAGAGGCGGGGTTTCGCCATGTTGGCCAGGCTGGTCTTGAACTCCCAAGCTCAAGTGATCCACCTGCCTTGGCCTCCCAAAGTGCTGGGATTGCAGGCGTGAGCCAATGTGCCCAGCTCCTGCCACTTTTTAAAATGCGTTTCTGAAAGTGCTTTCTTAGTTTATGCCTTATGATCTACAAATAAGAAATCTTGTAGCAATAATGTTAGATCCTCATTCCTCAGCAGATTCTTACTCTGCTATGGATTCCCAGGAAGCCGTAAGAATATTTTATCCAAAAGTTTTCTACACACAAAGTTATAAGTAATACCGAGACTACAGTCAAAAGATTGAGCAAATACAGTGTAAGTAAATCATGGTGCTATTTAAGAAATGTATGACAAAGGGAGTGATACTCCAGAAAAGGCGTGGAATAATGGAAATGAGGTTAAAAGCCCAGGCCTCACGAGGTTATAACCAAGAGGCTGTGATGGTTGAATTAAAACTTGAGCAAGGGGTTTGGCACTAAGGCTGGAAAACAGGACTTGCAGTTAGCTAGCTGGGTTTGGATAACCTGGTAATTAAAGTGAAGAGCAAAAGCGATTAACTGGAACATTGACATTGTTTAGAATTATGTACAATGTTGAGCAGATGGATTTGGTATCAAATTAACATGGCTATTTTATAATTACAGCCATGATGTAAAAATTCATTCATTTGGAAAGAGGAAAAAAAAACAAATGAAGAAAGAAAGTGAGCATCATTCTCCAGCCAGTGCTAGTGAGCTGCCATGTGAACCCAGAACAGCTTAGTGGACTCAAAAGGAGGCCTGTGTTGATTGTTGATTTAGAGTGAGGCTGTGATGCAAAGATGAGAAGAGGCAGAAGAAGCCTAGAGTTTGCATTTGAGAACAAGAGGATGTAGAGGTTTTTTTTTTTTGTTTTTCTTTTTTTTTTTTTAAGACAGAGTCTCGCTCTGTTGGCCAGGCTGGAGTACAGTGGTGCGATCGGCACACTGCAACCTACACCTCCCGGGTTCAAGAGATTCTCCTGCCTCAGCCTCCCAAGTAGCTGGAATTACATGCAGCCGCCACCATAGCCCGGCTAGATTTGTATTTTTAGTAGAGATGGGGTTTCACCATATTGGTCAGGCTGGTTTCAAACTCCTGACCTCAGGTGATTCACCCGCCTCAGCCTCCCAAAGTACTGGGATTACAGGCGTGAGCCACTGCGCCGGCCAGATGTAGAGTTTCTAACTGCACTTTTCCTGTGATTCTCACGAAGATCAAATTGCGCCCCCACCTCATGCATTAAGCTATCACACATTTCAAGAAAAAGAATTTAAATATTTACTTTGTGTCATTTATCCCTGAATCAGCTTTGTAGTTCTGCTTTGAAATAGCAAACTATACTAATGCTTGAATAGAAAGGAAATCATAATTCTGAAAATTCTCCTTATAGTATTCTCTGCACACTAAAATGATTCTCAGAAGAAATGCAGAGGTTGCCTCAGGATTTTTATTTATTTATTTATTTAACTATAAGAAACTCTTTTCAAGAATGAAAAGAATCCTAGAATCAACAGTGGCATTTCAGAAGATCTAGATTCAGATTAACTTTACCACTCATCTGCGTTTATAGGAGTGAGAGCCTCAAAAATGAATGAAACTTGCTGTCAAATCAAATAGTTTTGGAATAAAAATAATTGGGGGAGAAAGCTGTGTGTAAGTAATTATGCTAAACAAGGTGTTTTGTGGCATGAACGCTAAATTTTCCTTCTCAGGTTTTACTGAATCCAGCTTCAGCTAGAAATCTAGGCTAGTTTATAGAAGATGATTAGATGGACAGAGAATGTTAAGAGAGAAACACTGCCATAAAGGTAAATTCAAGTGAATTATAATAAGTAAATGCATTTATGCTAAAGCTAGTATGTTTTAAAAAGTGAATGAAGTTTAATAAAAAGAAAGAAAAGAGAAGAGATAAAAGACAGGGAAAAGAAAGAGAACTGAAAGGGGAAGATGATTGTTAATCTGGACCAATTTGTCTGGAAATTTGGGAGTTTCTCCAGGATGCTGAAGAAAGGGGGCCCACAGAGGCTGGGGTGTAGAGGCCTCCAGCAGCCCTCCTCTGGTAGAAGCTGTCTGCTCCTTCACTCTTTTTTTTTTTTTTTTTTTTTTTTGAGACAGAGTCTCGCACTATCGCCCGGGCTAGAGTACAATGGCGCAATCTTGGCTCACTGCAACCTCTGCCTCCCAGGTTCAAGCGATTCTCCTGCCTCAGCCTCCCAAGTAAGCTGGGATTACAGGTGCCTGCCGCCACACCTGGCTATTTTTTTTGTATTTTTAGTAGAAATGTGGTTTCACCATGTTGGCCAGGCTGGTCTTGAACTCCTGACCTCGTGATCCGCCTGCCTCGGCCTCCCGAAGTGCTGGGATTATAGGCATGAGCCACCGTGCCCAGCCCTTTCATTCTTTTTATTTGTACATGTGCATACCTCATTTTACCATGCTGTGCTCTATTACACTTCACAGATACTATGTTTTTTTACAAATTGAAAGTTTAAGGCAACCCTGCATCAAGCAAGTCTACTAGGACCATTTTTCCATTAGCATGTGTTCACTTCATTTCTCATTTTAGTAATTCTTGCAATATTCAAACTTAATAATAATAATAATTATTATTATTATTATTATTATTATTAGATGGAGTTTTGCTCTGTTGTCCAGGCTGGAGTGCAGTGGCGCTATCTTGGCTCACTGCAACCTCCGCCTCCTGGGTTCAAGTGGTTCTCCTGTCTCAGACTCCCAAGTAGCTGGGATTATAGGGACATGCCACCACACCTGGCTAATTTTTTTGTATTTTAGTAGAGTCGGGGTCTTACCATGTTGCCCAGGCTGGTCTTGAACTCCTGAGCTCAGGCAATCTACCCACCTCAGCCTCCCAAAGCGCTGGGATTACAGGTGTGAACCACCGTGCCTGGTCTTAAATTATTATTATATTTTATATCTATTTTGGTGATCTGTGATCAGTGATCTTTTTTTAAAAAAAAAAAAAAAGATAGGGTCTTGCTCTGTCGCCCAGGCTGGAGTGCAGTGGCCAATCACAGCTCACTGCAGCCTTGACTTCCCCTGCTCAAGTGGTCCTCCCACCTTAGCTACCCGAATAGCTGGGATTACAGGCACATGCCGCCACACCAAGCTGATTTCTTTTCTTACATTTTGAAGAGATGGGGTTTCACTATGTTGCCCAGGTTAGTCTCAAACTCTTGGGCCCCAGCAATTGTCCTACCTAGGCCTCTGCAAGTATTAAATGTGTGAGCCACCATACCCAGCCTGTGATCTGTGATCTTTGATGTTACTATTGTAAGTGTTTTGGGGCATTCCAAAGCACACCCATATTGGCTGGCAAACTTAATCAATAAATGCTATGCATATTCTGACTGCTCTACAAACTGGCCATTTCCCCACCTCTCTTCCTCTCCTCAGGCCTTCCTATTCCCTGAGACACAACAGTATTAAAATTAGGCCAGTTAATAATCTTAAAATGGCTTCTAAGTGTTCAAGTGAGAGAAAGAGTCACAATTTTCTTACTTTAGATCAAAAGCTAGACATGATAAAGCCTAGTGAGGAAGGTGTGCTGAAAGCCAAGCCTCTTGTGCCAAACAGCCAAATTGTGACTACAAAGGAAAAGTTCTTTAAGGAAATTAAAAGTGCTACTCCAATGAATACATGAATGACAAGAAAGCAAAACAGCCTTATTGCTGATATGAAGAAAGTTTTAGTGGTCTGGACAGCAGATCAAACCAGCCACAATATTCCCTTCAGCCAAAGCTTAATCTAGAGCAAAGTCCTAATTCTCTTCAATTCTCGGAAGGCTGAGAGAGGGGAGGAAGCCACAGATGAAAAATTTAAAGCTAGCAGAGGTTTGTTGATAAGGCTTAAGGAATAACACTATCTCCATAACATAAAAGTACAAGGTGGAAGGCCGAAGAGGGAGGATCGCTTGAACCCAAGAGTTTGAGGCTACAGTGAGCTATGATGACACCACTGCACTCCAGCCTGGGCAACAGAGCAAGACCCTGTGTCAAAAATAAATAAATGAACATGTTATTAAGTAAAGTACAAAATGAAATCTTAAGTGCTGATGGAGAAACTGCAGCAAGTTATCCACAAGTGCTAGCTAAGATCATTGATGAAGGTAGCTACATTATACAACAGATTTTCCACGTAGTTGAACCAGCCTTAAATTGGAAGAAGATGTCATCTAGGACTTTCATAGCTAGAAAGAAGTCCATGTCTGGCTTCAAAGCATGAAAGGACAGGCTGACTCTTGTTAGGGGCTAATGCAGCTGGTGACTTTAAGTTGAAGCCAATGCTCATTTGCCAATCTGATAATCCTAGGGCCCTTAAGAATCATGCTAAATCTATTTTGCTTTTTCTCTATAAATGGAACAACAAAGCCTGGATAACAGCACATTTGTTTATAGCCTGGTATACTGAATATTTTAACCCCACTGTTGAGACTTACTGCTCAAAAAAAAAAAAAAAAAGGAAGGATTCCTTCTTACTGCTCATTGACATTGTAGCTGGTCACCCAAGAGCTCTAGTGTAGATGTACAAAGAGATGAATGTTGTTTTTATGCCTGCTAACACAACATCCATTCTGCAGCTCATGGATCAAGAAGTAATTCCAACTTTCAAGTCTTATTATTTAAGAGACACATTTTGTAAGGCTATAGCTACCATAGATAGTGATTCATCTGATGGATGTGACCAGAGTAAATTGAAAGGAGCAGAATAAATTGAAATCCTTCTGGAAAGGATTCACTATTCTAGGTGCCATTAGGAACATTCGTGATTCATGGGAGGAGGTCCGATTATTGACATTAATAGGAGTTTGAAAGAAGTTTACCCCAACCCTCATGGACGACTTTGAGGGGTTTAAGATTTCAGCGGAGGGGGCTGGGCATGGTGGCTCAGGCCTGTAATCCCAGCACCTTGGGAGGCCGAGGCGGACAGATCACCTGAGGTCAGGAATTCGAGACCAGCCTGACCAACATGGTGAAACCCTGTCTCTACTAAAAATACAAAAATTGGCCGGGCATGGTGGTGGGTGCCTGTAGTCCCAGCTACTCAGGAGGCTGAGGCAGGAGAATCACTTGAACCTGGGAGGTGGAGGTTGCAATCAGCTGAGACTGTGCCATTGCGCTGCCGTGTGGGCAACAAGAGGGAAACTCTGTATCAAAAAAAAAAAAAAGATTTCAGCGGAGGAGGTAACTGCAGATGCAGGGGAAACAGACATAACGCTATTGCACACTTAACAGACTACAGTATACTATAAACATAAGTTAAAAAATTTTCCGTGACCCAGGTTTAATTAGAAGAGGATGAGCAAGTCTAGGAAAACTTCTATGGCTGCTAAGTCATTCTGGGGAGGTAAATGCTCAGGGTTTGAAGTCAGACAGACCTGGGTTTACATCCCTCTTTGCTGCTCACTCGTTGTGGGCAGGCTAGTCAACCTCACGAAAAGTCATCTAGGGGTAATAATAGCATCTCCTTAGATCATTACCATGAGGATTAAATGAGTGTTTTGCACAGGTGTTAGCTTATTATATATTAGTAACATACTAACTATATATATATTAATAAATTCTACTTGGTATTATATATAATAATTATGATTACTTCTATATGCCTTTCTACATGTTCCTCTTTTCTCCCAGAGAGATTTCAGGTACTTTGATGAATTCCTAAAGGCAATGCACATTGAACACCGGCACTATATTTTTTTCAGTTATTGATATTGGTTTGTTTGATTCAGGAGCTTTAGAGGTTGCAAAGTCTACTCTCTGATGCTTTCAAAAATTTTTCTTTCTTTTTATTTGTTACAGGCATGTAGCTAGCACAACTCTTATAATGAACTGACTGTGACTGGGTGCTTACCCTGGCCCACACATAGTTCAAAGGGAAGAACAAGAAGGGTAGAGAAATCTCCCATGATTTTTAGACAAGTGTTGTAAGAAAAAAAGAGAAGGTATCAAAAAAGTGTATGTGTCTGAAAAAGAGATTGCACAAGATAGAATTTACTGAGCTGGAGGAATATGAGAGAATGTTGCATACAAAGTCTCCTAAAAGGAAAGGAAGGCAGAGATGGGATGAGATGTGGTATGTGTTAGTGCTTCAAATTAACAGCAGGTTTTGCGTCCCAACTTGACGCAGCTTGTGTGGAATTTGGTGTAGGGCAAATGGACCCACAGCTTCAGGAGGGAGCTGCTAGCAGGGGAAGTTGTACTATCTGACAGTGCCTATATGAGATTGGTACCTTTTGGGAATTTCTACCTAAGGCGGTGGCTCAGATAGGCACAAAGGCCCATTGGGACCTCCCTGAGAAACAGAATAAGAGGTGCTCAGGCAAGACCACACTTCCGCCCTCTTCCTGTATCCTTGAAACCTTTCAGAGATTTGCTGTCAAATATTGACCAGAAAGTTAAAGAAGCAAGACTTGGGAAAAAGTGACTGGTTTTTCTAATGGATGGTGAGGCTTTTTCTTTCTTTCTTTCTTTCTTTCTTTCTTTCTTTCTTTCTTTCTTTCTTTCTTTCTTTCTTTCTCTCTTAGTGTACATGATTTGTTTTTTTCTCTTTGTGTAGATGATTGAAGTACTTAAGTGTCTTTGTAAGTCCAGTATCTCTTTTCTTATTTTAAAAAGATCTCATTAAAAAATGAACTAATAAATATTTATTATAGAAACAGTAGATAAATGCTGATGAGCATAAAGGAGGAGGAAATATATGTGACCCCCAACTCCCAGAAATAATCACTATTAAAAATTTGATATATAATGTTTCAGATTTTTAATATATTCACATATTTTCTTAGAAAAATGGGATTGTACTGAATAAACTTTTGTAACTTTTATATCTCACTTAATCGATGCTGAATATTTTTCCATGTTACTAATATGCTTCAACATTTTTTTTTTTTTGAGACGGAGTCTCGCTCTGTTGCCCAGGCTGGAGTGCAGTGGCATGATCTCGGCTCACTGCAACCTCTGCTTCCGAGGTTCAAGCGATTCTCCTGCCTCAGCCTCCTGAGTAGCTGGGACTACAGGTGCACACCACCATGCCGGGATAATTTTTGTATTTTTAGTACAGACAGGGTTTCACCATGTGGGCCAGGATGGTCTTGATCTCCTGACCTCGTGATCCACCTGCCTCGGCCTCCCAAAGTGCTGGGATTACAGGTGTGAACCACTGTACCCAGCCACTTCAACATTATTTTATAATTGCATAGTGCCATATCTTATGAATATGTTCTAATTTATTCAACTACTTTTGGCACCTAGATGTTTTTCTAATATTTTCTTAGTATAAGTAATGCTGCGTGAAATATCCTTATACATATGCAATCCATATTCTTTTCTTAGGATATATTTCTAGAACAGGAACTGCTGAGTTAAAGGGTATTCACATTTTAAAAAGCTTTTGACATACATTACAAAATTATCTTCCTCCTATGTTGTACGATTTATATTCTTTCTGGTAGAGTATGAAGGTGCCATTTTCCAAACCTCCTGCCAACACTGAGAATTTTCGTTTTTTCATCTTTGTCAAGTTTATAGATAATAAATTGTATCTTATCGTTGTTTAATGTATACTCCTTTTTTAGGGAAGCTGACTTTTTCATGTGTAGATTGGTCATTTATGTTTCTTCCCTTGTGAACTATTTATTAATATCCAGTTGTTAATTGTAAATGCTATTTATATGTTAAGACCATTAACCCTTTACCATACGTATTTCACTTTTGAATCTCATTTTATTATTTGTAGGTTAATTTTGATTACCGTTGGATTATATTTTACATATATGTTTTATATTTTATGGTTTAAATCGTGAACTTTTATCTTTATAGCTCCTTCTGTTGTGACTGTGATTGAAACGTT
The DNA here is from genome assembly GCF_000001405.40 of Homo sapiens. Lineage (NCBI taxonomy): Eukaryota > Metazoa > Chordata > Mammalia > Primates > Hominidae > Homo > Homo sapiens. The sequence goes on from NC_000002.12 coordinate 33,469,378, forward strand.
TTCAGGACAAAAGTATTTAATCATGATTAAAACAATTTTAAGATTATAAAACCAATCATGTGATTCTCTTCAAGTTTGTATGTGATTTTTTTTTTTTTTTTGACATGGAGTCTCATTCTGTTACCCAGGCTGAGTGCAGTGGCGCGATCTTGACTCACTGCAACCTCCACCTCCTGGGCTCAAGTGATTCTCCTGCCTCAGCCTCCCTAGTAGCTGAGACTACAGATATGGGCCACCATGCCCAGCTAATTTTTTATATTTTTGGTAGAGAAGGGGTTTCACCATGTTGCCCAGGCTGGTCTCAAACTCCTGACCTTAGATGATCTGCCCACCTCGGCCTCCCAAAGTGCTGGGTTTACAGGCATGAGCCACCGTGCTGCTGTACAGCGTTTTTATGTTTAACTCTTTAGTCTAACATGCTTTTACTTTGTGTATGGCATGAAGTAATGATTGCATCTTAATTTTTCCGAATAGTTAATGATTTAACCTGTTTTTGAATAGTTTATTCTTTTCCCACTGGGTTTAAAAACCATATTGAACAAATACAATAAACATTTTACTGTAGTTCTTCTATGTGTATTTCTGGGCTTTTGGCTCTGTTCCATTGCTCTAGTTCTTTTGGCACTAGTACCAAACTTTAAATTCACGTTATTTTTAGCCTATTTAGTACCTAATATCTCCCTTGTGGTTCTTTTCTAAAATTTTCTTTACCATTCTCAGTTTTTTATTCTTTAAAATAAACTTGAGGATTTTTGACCTGTTTGAAAAATTTATTTGGGATTTTAAGCAAAATTTGATTATATTTATAAATTAATTTGAGGGAGAATTAATATATTTACAATGTTAAGTTTTCCAGTACAGAAAAACTTTCCAATACAGAAATGTATCAAACTGTTTTTAATTTTCTCAGTAAAGTTACATTTTTAAATAGGTTATTCACTTTTTTTATTCCTAGAAATGTTATTGTTGTTGTTGCTATTATAAATAATACTATAACTAAGAATTTTTTTTTTTTTTTTTGAGATGGAGTCTCACTCTGTTGCCCAGGCTGGAGTGCAGTGGCGCGATCTCAGCTCACTGCAAGCTCCGCCTGACGGGTTCACGCCATTTTCCTGCCTCAGCCTCCCGAGTAGCTGGGACTACAGGCGCCCGCCACCATGCCCGGCTAATTTTTTGTATTTTTAGTAGAGACAGGGTTTCACCGTGTTAGCCAGGATAGTCTCGATCTCCTGACCTTGTGATCCACCCTCCTCGGCCTCCCAAAGTGCTGGGATTATGGGTGTGAGCCACCACGCCCGGCCAAGAATTATTTTCTATTATGTTTTCTAAGTTTTTGTGGGTTATATGGAAAATTTCATATATTTCTGTATAATTGTTCCGTGGCCAGAACAATTAATTTTGTATACTTATTTTGTATATTTATTTGTAACTGTTCACCTCACTTTTTAATTATTTAGAAGCAAATTTTAGTTTGTTCTATTGAGAAAATGAATATTACTCAATCTGCAGGTTGAATACTTTTGTCTCCATTTTTCTCATAAAATTCTTCTTTAGTTTCTTTTTCTTGCCTGGTTGCAGTGGCTCAAATGTCTAGAACAGTGTTAAATGGATGGTAGTGATAATGAGCATGCTTTTCTTGTTTCTGATTTTAACATTAATACTTCCAGTATTTTACCATTAAGTATGATGCCTATGTTTGATTTGAGATTTGAATTAACATGAGTATCATGTTAAGAATCAGTCTTTTAATTTTGTTTTATTAATTAAAAAATTGATATTGAATTTTATCAAATGATTTTTCAAGATTATTGTGGCAATCCAAAAGTTTTTCTCTGTTGCCCAGTCTGGAGTGCAGTGGTGTGATCATACCTTACTGCAGCTTTGATCCCCTAGGCTCAAGTGATCCTCCTGCCTCATCCTCCCAGGTTGGTAGGACTATAGGCATCTGCCATCACACTGGGCTATTTTTTTTTTTTTTTTTTTTTGTAGAGATGGAGTCTCGCTATGTTGCCCCTGCTGATCTCAAACTCCTGGCTTCAGGTGATCCTGCCACCTTGGCCTCCCAAAGCACTGGGGTTACAGGGGTGAGCCACTATTCCCAGCCTTATTTTTTACATCTTTAGGGCAACCTATGTTTACGTATGAAGTTAGTCTGTGGTTTTCTTTATTATGCTTTATCAGTTTTTTTTTTTAAGACAGGGTATTATGTTAGCTTTCTGTTACTTTTGTCCACTTGAACACTTCATATACCATGGGAGTTAATTCTGCTTGAAGCTCAGTTAGAACTTGATTGTGTAAGTAATCTGAACTAAGAGCTTTTTTTGGAAATAATTCCTTATTAACTTTTACATTTTTCCATGGTTACTGATCTGTTGTTTTTTGACTTCTTCCTGGGTCAGTTTGCTTCTAATTATTATTTTGGCTATGTCTCCCAATATTTGATATGTGGTATTCTCATCACTGAAACCTTCTAAGCATTCATTCTGTAATTGTGTTTTTAATTTATTCTCCAATCAATGATTTTTTTTTTTAAGAACTCTAAAGTTTCCCCAAGAGCGTGGGGTCTTTTTGACTTACACTTTTGTAATTAATGTATAGTTTTATTACAGTGTGATCACAGAATATGGCCAATTTCTTTTGGAAAGAAATTACTTACAATTTTTTTTTGGTAGCCTAATATAAAATCAAGTTTTGCAAACTTTTCTTATATTTTTTTCTTAATGGGCTAGACAGAAGATCCTTCTCTTTAATTATTCATTTATTCATCGAGGATTGTTTCCACCATGTGTCTCATACATGCCAGGCATTGTATTAGGCATTGCAGGATATAAAATAAGTCATAAGCTTTGTCTTAGATTGGTAAAGTTTGGATGGAACACAGACACATGTAGACCTAATTATAATACAGAAAGAAATGCAACCGCAGCGAAATGTACAAAAGCAGCAGGCAGCTAGAGTGGGAGTGAAGCCCTGAAGGTTCTGGGAATACAAAGTTGCCTACGATGGCCCGGAGGGGCTTTCAGTCCTAGCGTGTAAAACATACATTGAGATCAGAGACAGGCTTTTTGGAGGCAAGGTGATTAATTAGGAAATCACCGCAGACCTTCAGTAATAAATCAGAACATATGAGGGGCGGTAAGAGTGCAAGATGAGAAGAGAGGATTTTCACACCTAAGGGGCAGATAGCGGAAGAGAAGCCCAGACCTGAGGATGAAGGAGGTAGTAGTAAAATTTTATAGACGCCATGGGAGAGCTTTTCAAGGGGTGGTTGGTCAGTTGGGACAAATAGAGCCAAAAGGTCAAGTAAGATGGCTCACGCCTGTAATCCCAGCACTTTGGGAGGCTGAGGCGGGCAGATCACGAGGTCAGGTGTTCGGGACCATCCTGGCCAACATGGTGAAACCCCGTCTCTACTAAAAACATGAAAATTGCCGGGCGCGGTGGGTCACGCCTATAATCCCAGCACTTTGGTGACAGAGCAAGACTCCGTCTCAAAAAAAAAAAAAAAAAAGCAAAAAGTGTCGGTTGCCTTTGGTCTTTGGGGACTTGGAAAGAGCAGTTTCAGTGAAGTGAGGGAAAAAAAGCCAAGCCACAAGTAGGTTGAGAGTAAATGGGATGTGAGATGGTGAAGACAAGTATTTTTTCAGGAGTTTAGTTGTGGAGGGAATGCAGGAGTTAGGGCAGTAATTAAAAGAGCAAGTCTGGCTGGGGGCAGTGGCTCACGCCTGTAATCCCAGCACTTTGGGAGGCCAAGGTGGGCAGATCATGAGGTCAGGAGATGGAGACCATCCTGGCTAACATGGTGAAACCCCATGTTACTACTAAAAATACATGTCTCTACTAAAAATACAAAAAATTAGCTGGGCGTGGTGGCGGGTGCCTATAGTCCCAGCTACTCAGGAGGCTGAGGCAGGAGAATGGCTTGAACCTGGGAGACGGAGCTTGCAGTGAGCCGAGATCGCGCCACCACACTCCAGCCTGGGCAACACAGTGAGACTCCGTCTCAAAAAAAAAAGCAAAAAATCAGAAAGACTGTTGTTAGGATATAAAGACAATGTGAGAACGTGAGCATGTTTAGCTAATGAGCGCACGCTGAGAGCAAGAGAAGGCGTGGTTGTTGTCGAGAGTCCTAAGCAGGTGGGAGACACAGGGTGAGACACAAAGCCGAGGTAGGAGGTGGCCTCTTGACAGGAAGAGGGCACCTCTTCTTGAGTCGAAGACAATGCTTGGAACTGGTAGGGAGTGTGGGCAGAAAGATGGGATCTCCCCCATTTCTTTGCAAGGCTGTGTTATTGTAGAACCTTTAGTCACACTCCTGGACTCTGACTGAAAGGGTCCTGGGTCTTGGCCTCTGTGTTAACAGTTTGCTTCATAGGGAGGATTGAGGATCCATCCCTTCCTCTCCTGGCTATAGAACTAGAAAAGAACCTCTACACCAGTGGTCCCTAATGTATTTGGCACCAGGGACCAGTTTCATGGAAGACAATTTTTCCATGGACCGGGAATGAGGGGATGGAGATGATTTCAGGATGAAACTGTTCCACCTCAGATCATCAGGCATTAGACTCTCATAAGGAGCATGCAGTGTAGATCCCTCGCGTGCACAGTTCACAATAGTGTTCATGCTCCTATGGGAATCTAATGCCACAGCTGATCTGACAGGAGGCAGAGCTCAGATGGTCATGCTCCCTTGACTGCTGCTCACCTCCTGCTGTGCAGCCTGGCCTCTAACAGACCATGGACAGGTACCTGTCCATGGCATGGGGGCTGGGGACTCCTGCTTTACACTTATGATGTAGTTTGGATGTTGTGCCCACCCAAATCTCATGTTGAGATGTAATTTCCAGTGTTGGAGGTGGAGCCTGGTGGGAAGTGATTGGATCTTAGGGGCAGATTTCTCATTAATGGTTTGGTACCATCCTGTTAGTGCTGTTCTCATGATAGTGAGTGAGTTCTTTTATTTATTTGTTTATTTTAAGACAGAGTCTCACTCTGTTGCCCAGGCTGGAGTGCAGTGCAGTGGTGCGGTCTTGATCTTGGCTCACTGCAACCTCTGCCTCCCAGGTTCAAGCACACCACCACGCCCGGCTAATTTTTGTATTTTTAGTAGAGACAGGGTTTTGCCATGTTGGCCAGGCTGGTCTCAAACTCCTGACCTCAGGTGATTCACCCTCCTCAGCCTCCCAAAGTGCTGGGATTATAGGCATGAGCCACAACACCCAGCTGATAGTGAGTTCTGGCAAGCGCTGGTCATTTAGAAGTGCCCCCTGTCTGTCTTGCTGCTGCTCTGGCCATGTGACTCATCTGCTCCCACTTTGCCTTCCACCATGATTGTAAGTTTCACGAGGCCTCCCCAGAAGCCGAACAGATGCCAGTATCATGCTTCCTCCATAGCCTGCAGAACCATGAACCAATTAAACCTCTTTTCTTTATAAATTACCCAGTCTCAAGTATTTATAGCAATGCAAGAATGGACTAATACAACTTAACTTTCCTGAGGCTGTTGTCGCTGTTGGGCATTGAAGAGTTTCTAGAAGTCCCTGTTTCTTTATGTGGCATGCAATGGATCATCAGAATAATTAACCCAGTCAATGGTAAACAAAGTGATGGATGGATGCCATCAGATCACAAAAGTTTCTATTACTGTAAATACAAGGGGGTAAGTAAATCAAAATAATGTTTCAAATCCTCAGTAGGCCTCTTTTTCTGTTTCTAATTGAAGATTGTCACATCAACACATAAACAAAAATGCCTGTGAGGGAAATGTGTATTTTATGCATTGCATTTTTATATCTGAAGTTTATTTCTATTACTAACTTGAAATGCTGAGGAAGGGATTTGTTTTGGTGCTTACAAAATTCTCCCATTTGCTCTTCGGACTCTCACAAGTTGACAACAAATTACTGCCCTGATAGTATGGTGAGACTGAGGGTTTTTTGTCTTTTTCTCTTATTCTAGAAAACACTGTATCCTCTATATGGAGGGAAATTTCTGGTTTGATTAACACTGTAAATAATTATGAGACAAAGCCTAAATATAAAAGATTACTCACACAGGCTCTTACACTGAGTAAGATATTATGTGTTAAAAATCAGGGTTAATAGTTTAACAGGCACATTATGGTTCAGAAATCCCCTGGGGGACTTCAACCATCTTTTCTGGATGTTCACTTTGCCAAATAGGCTGCCTCTATGTCATATCTCTACCTGAAGGGCAGGCTCAGACACTGATTCGGGGAAGTGTCACCCTTACTATACCAAGAAGTCAGACATCCAAGGTCAGACACTACGTAAAGTCAGATACTTCAAGGGCTTTCCTTGGAAGGGAGGATGAAAAGGGAAGGGTGGGAACATCAGCTCAGGTGAGACATATGAATTCAACAAAACATCAGGGATGGTTTGCCACGTTTGCGAGCAGCACAGAAAACGGCAGTTTGCTCCAAGTTCCCAGCACACCAAAGGGGGCAGTAGTGCGTCTGTAAAGCGCGTTGTCAACTTGGTGATAATTTCTGTTTGCATTCACACTCGCCGGCTGATAATCTCAGCTGCTCGATGCAATTCAACAGATAACAATGCGGAAGTTTGGTCTAAAGCTACCTGAAATCACTTCCAAGAGCTCTTCAGATAAAGCTGCCTTTGATAGTCTTCATTAACCCCTCCCATATTTGCCCCTCAGCGTCCCTTGGCTTAGCAGCCCCGGCCTTTGAAGTCCAACCTAAGCATTCTTAGATGGTGAGTGAGGGTCTGCCTTCCCCAGCACCAGCCACCTAGTCAGGCTTGTGGCTCGTCTAACAAACTGGAGCCTGAGATTCTGAGAAAACGAAACCAAACAGTTGTACTCCGGGGTTAACACAGAGCAACTTCCACCTGCTGTGCGAGTTGGTGATCCTCTCTCTTGCCGTTCGAGAGCCCCAGTGAAACTTGAGTGAGATGAGAGAGCATGGAGCCTGCCAGTCTCCCCCTCTGCGCACACACACACGCAAACACATTTAACTTTCCACTTGCAGTGACCTGCCCTTCAGTGTGACTTATCAGCTGTTTGGCTTTTGTCACTAAAGGAAAACAAATTGTGGAATATCCCGCTCTGCATGCTCATGAGATGGCTGAGCCAACTCAGGGGTTATGAGGTGGTTTGCGAGTGAGGAGAAGAATGATCTTCAGTTTCTGACCTCCTGGCACGGTGGCGGGCGGTATTTATCAGGAGGTACATGTGACTGGTTAAGACTCAGAGCCCCAGCTTGAAGGAAACAGCTGCTCTCGGCGTGCTCCGGCACTTGGCAGCTGGACAGGCAGAGTGCTGATGTGAAAAATACCACGACAAAACCACCCTAGTAAGTAACTGGAGAACTTTCCTCTCTCTCTCTCTCTTTCATTCCCTCTCCGTGTGTGTGTGTGTGTGTGTGTGTGTGTGTGTGTGTGTTGCAAGCCACCAACAACTTTTGATTTTGATTTTGGTTTCCCTCTGGCACGATAGAAGGAGATATTTTATTTGTACCTGTTAACAGCCATTGGTGTTTTCACAGCCCTTTTTTAGAACCTGTTATTTTCGGCAACGTGTCTTGTAACTTTGAGGATGAATGGGGCATATGGCTTCATTCCTGTCTAGGAAACAGAAAGTTTGTTTCCCAGTGTTCAAGATTTTTCTAGTCCATGGTGTTTAGGTTCAAAGTCAAGTTCAGGTTATGAAGTAGAGACTTCATTGAAGTGAGTTGATGACTAGATTTGATTTTAATCTGTTTCTACCACTGAAACCTGAAAACGTAGTTGTTTAAAGTAACTTGTGAATTTATTGTATGGCTGATTTGATTTTTCCTATTCAATTTTTGAGAATATCTCATTTAACTGTGTAGAACTGTCTGCAATATAGAAGACTGACAAAATAATATTTAGATTCACATTAGAAATCATATTTAGATTTCTTGCATGGTTTCCAACTAATTGAAAGCTGTATTTTATAGCGACTTTTTTTCCCCCCAACAAGCTAATTCACCTTCATTACTTTAAAATGTTCAGTTGCCCCTGGTCTTCCTTCACCTTCATTACTTTAAAATGTTCGGTTGCCGCTGGTCTTCCTTATTTTAGTGTTTTCGTGATACTCAGGCTGTTTTTTCCTTGTTTATGACCTGACTGGGAAAGTGCTGCCTGCAGCTGATGATTAACTCTGGGAGGCCTGGCATCCAAATTACGGAGAGAACCGGCTCCTTCTCAGGTTCATTCAGCAGTAATGGTGCTTGCGCTTGGGCGAGCAGCAAAGCAGGCACCATGCTGGAACTGAGCTGTTGTTCGGTGACTTTTGTCCTTCCTTGGTAGTCACCAGACAGAATGCTTCAGAGGAAAGGCAAAAGGGGAAAAGAGAGAGGGCAGAGCTCTAAACTGATGACGTAAAGCTCTGAAAGTGACAGGTCTTTGAATCAGAGGCTGCAGGGAGATAACCAAACAGGTTCCTGTTTCTGGAGATCGCGTGGATCTTGAGGAGGGTGGGCAGAGAGGGGCTGTTTTTATTTGAAGTCTCACCAAATAGTTGTTTTGCTTGTGATAAGCCTAGGACAACCTGGAGTGCGCTTGTTTCCTCGTGTGACAAATGGATTCTCATACAGGCTCAAGCTATACGGTTTTCTTTCGCCCTCTGCCCCCTGCCATGAGGGAACACTGTTCTCTCCCCACCCTTACCATCCTTTGTTGTTTGTGGAGAATGGATTAAAAATGACCCAGGGCACGGCACTTCTGCGATCGAGTTTCCCTCAGCACAGTGGGTCTTGAGTACCGCACCAACCAATGTTCTCTGATGGAAGCAGTTTCGGATGCCCTGTCTAAACAAATGGCTAGTCTGACATTGAGAAGTTCTCCACCTTCTTTTCCTTCAAATGTAGAAGAATCCACAAAATGTAGAGTGGCCAATGAGGAAAAATAGTCCCAACTTCTCTGTTCCTCGGTATGGCATTTGTGTGAGGTCCTTGGGTCAGCCCGCGGCCATGTGGTCTGTGACTTCCCTGTCTGACTGCTGGGGGAGGGGGTTCCTCCTGAGTCATTCTTTAGGGAGTTTGTTCCTGGTATAGTTTCAGATTTTCCACAGGTTGATAGTGGAAGAGAACCCTCTGGTGAAATTGTGTCTCCGGAATCATCGAGCCTCCCATAATAAAATGGAATGTCTAAATGGGAGCAGTTGAATTATCCAACTGCTGTATTTTTGAGAGCCAACAGGCTCCTTTGAAAAACCCATGCCTTTTCAAAATATTAATAGCAAAATAATAAAAAATAATGATTTTACTTGCAGATAGTACATCCATTGACTCAAAGACTTTTTGACCTGGATAGGAATGATAGAATGTGCGATTTAACTCTTTCGTATCAAAGATGAGGAAACTGTAGCAAATTTATCGGAGTTACGGTGCAGAGCCAGAAGAGAGAGCTCAAGGCTTCCATCATAATTTCAACGCTAATAACAATCCCTTACTTTTATTGTGCACTTACTCTGCCAAATGATGCGCTAAACAAGTGTATTTATTTTCATAGTCTCCTCACAATAACTCTATGTGTTACATATTATTATTCCAGTTCTATAGATAGGAAACTGAGGTTCTTGACCATACGTAACACAGACAGGAGGGACACCCTTAGTTACTTGACCATATGTAACACAGACAGGAGGGACACCTGGATCTGACTGTAGAACCTGTATACATTAAAAAATAAAAGTGGAATCCCACACATTTAAATGTAAAAACTCACAACATGCAAATGAGAGTATTTCCAGCACAATATGATTACACACACAATGTGTGTTATGCCCTTTTCGAGCTCTCCATGACAGGAAGGGCTAGGTTTCCCCCTGTGACAGTCCAAGCCCAAGCTCTCTCTATAGGATCGCTGGCTGGTGGCATGTTTTTCTCTTTGAAAATAGTTCAGTGACGGTCTTGATGTTGGTAAGAACAGCAACCGGGAACTTTGTTATTAACCTCCAGCACACGGCTCCCATGCCCCTTCTGGCCTTTCCCTCCAGTTTTCCTGTCACTCCTTTCCTTTGGAGGACAGCCACTCCACCCATGCCCCACCCCAAATAGCTGGCTTAGTGTTGATAAAGCTATTATCAGACCCATCCCCTTTGCTCAGCCTGGAAGGTTGGTTGTCCGAGTAGGTTGTTGATGAATAGAAACCATGCACTCTGCCACTCTGCGCTGTTTTTTTGAGCTGTGGGTGTAAGGGGTGGGTCACGGGGCAGGGGACTAGCTGGCAGTGGTGAGGGAGGAGAGGTATGCTTTTCTTCACTGCCTGCACCTGCCATTTACCCTGAGTCCTACTTCTCCACACACCAGTTGCATATCTAAAGCTCTGACTGTCTCACGGGTGGGCCATAAACCTGTGGATTTTCTGGGTCATCAGACTTGCAGAGCCCTTAAGAAACCTGCCTCCTGAATCCTTTTAAAAATGTCATTTGGCTGTCCACATTCCTCCACTTTAGGTTAAGTGTCAAAATTAGGGTTGGAGATAATGGGAAAGAGCACCAGGTAGTATGTAATCAACAGGGAACCTTTTATTAATCAGGAGGAAAATCAAGCAAGTATGCCATGTGTGGATGTTTCTGAGGAAGTTATCAGTGTTTCTGCAAGGTCGTTCTGGCAAGATTACACATTTTGAAGATCAAGCTATTTATAGCATGAAAGAGGAATTTTTTTTTTTTTTTTTTTTGAGACAGTCTCGCTCTGTCGCCCAGGCTGGAGTGCAGTGGTGAGATCTCGGCTCACTGCAAGCTCCGCCTCCAGGATTCACACCATTCTCCTGCCTCAGCCTCCTGAGTAGCTGGGACTACAGGCGCCCGCCACCATGCCCGGCTAATTTTTTTGTATTTTTAGTAGAGACGGGGTTTCACTGTGTTAGCCAGGATGCTCTCGATCTCCTGACCTGGTGATCCACCCGCCTCGGCCTCCCAAAGTGCTGGGATTACAGGCGTGAGCCACTGCGCCCAGCCCGCATGAAAGAAGAATTTTTAATCTTTAATTCCACCTGCCTGCTGCCTCTAAAACTAAGCCCAACTCAGTAGTAGTCAGTGATGTGGTTTGCTAGACCAAAACCACTGGGAATTGCCTCCAATCCTTGCTAGGAATTGCTCACTTCTGTAGAAATTGGCTTTGTACAGGGGGTGTTATATGGGTACACGTGAAGTGGACTCAGAATCACGACAGAGTCCACAAGTCATACTCTGGAGCTGATTTGAAAGAAAATAAAATGCTTGATTCGTTTTGGGGTCCTTTTACAATAAGGAAACACATTCTGGGATACAATGCCTATTTTGTTTCTTTGTTTTTGCCCAATTGTGTGTTTCAAAGACATCTGCTTCCAAAAAGTTAACTTTCCTGGATCCTCCTTTCCCTTGGTATTGATTGCTCACTTATAGTCCCTGGAGTTAACAGCTCCTGTGTCATGTTTCCACTGCTCTATGGGATTTGAAGTCTTTGGATTTTTTTGCTGTTTCAAGTGATTATTATAGCTTCAGAGTCTGTGGTGTGCAGAGTCGCTGTGCTTTGATCTTTGAGCTCATCTTTGGTATTGAGAAGTCGAACCCCTGCATTTATATATGCCGGCATAAGGCACTTTCTTGTACCTTGCCATAATCCCATGAAAGAGGGAGGGTATCATCACCATTGTTTTCAAAGAGGAAATAGAGGACGAGAGAAAATGAGTGACTTGTCTATGGTCATGGGAAAAGTAACTGTCAGAGCTCAACTATATCTCTTGTCTACTGACTCCAAGTGCCAGGCTTTTTCTGTTGGTTATGCTATCTTTCTTTTGTTTTGTTTTTGTTTTTCAGATGGAGTTTCACTCTGTCGCCCAGGCTGGAGTGCAGTGGCACGATCTCGGCTCACTGCAAGCTCCGCCTCCCGGGTTCACACCATTCTTCTGCCTCAGCCTCCCGAGTAGCTGGGACTACAGGTGCCCACCACCACGCCTGGCTAATTTTTTTGTATTTTTAATAGAGACGGGGTTTCATCATGTTAGCAGGATGGTCTCGATCTCCTGACCTGGTGATCCACCCACCTCGGCCTCCCAAAGTGCTGGGATTACAGGCATGAGCCACTGCGCCTGGCCTAGTTATGCTATCTTTCAAAGAAAGACCAATTTCAACTATTTCATGACCATGCACTTACACAATCTGTGGAATTATCTTTGGTGATAAAAAGTTGTGTAATTTGTATTCTCTTCAGATAGGCAAAGAGTGACTGGATAACCGATTTGCGACATGCCACTCATGATATTTCCAAAGCCTATGGACATTTGACTTTGGAAACAGGGTCAGCTTAGTCTTCAGACACCGTATTTGCTTAGGATAATTTTGTTTGTTTGTTTTTTCAGACAGAGTCCCACTCTGTCACCCAAGCTGGAGTGCAGTGGCACAATCTTGGCTCACTGCAACCTCTGCCTCCCAGGTTCAAGCGATTCTCTTGCCTCAGCCTCCTGAGTAGCTGGGACTACAGGCGTGCACCACCACACCCAGCTAATTTTTGTGTTTTTAGTAGAGATGGGTTTTCACCATGTTGGCCAGGCTGGTCTCGAACTCCTGACCTCAGGTGATCCACCCACCTTGGCTTCCCAAAGTGCTGGGATTATAGGCATGAGCCACTGTGCCTGGCTAGCTTAGGGTAATATTTTTTTTTTTTTTGAGATGGAGTCTCGCTTTGTCGCCCAGGCTGGAGTGCAGTGGCACAATCTCGGCTCACTGCAAGCTCCGCCTCCCAGGTTCATGCCATTCTCCTGCCTCAGCCTCCCGAGTAGCTGGGACTATAGGCGCCCGCCACCATGCCGGGCTAATTTTTTTGTATTTTTAGTAGAGACAGGGTTTCACTGTGTTAGCCAGGATGGTCTCGATTTCCTGACCTCGTGATCTGCCCGCCTGGGCCTCCCAAAGTGCTTGGATTAGAGGCGTGAGCCACCGTGCCGGGCCGCAGCTTAGGGTAATGTTTTTAAAGGAACTTAGTGATCATTTTTCTGTCTTGAAGACTCATATAGTCAAGTTGGAGTTATACCAACTATGGCATGATGTAACGTTACCTTTTAGAGACAATTTGGTTGTTTCCTGAGGTATGAAAACTGCAGTCTGCTCTTCAGTGTGCACGCTCCTTGCCCAACAAAACCATCGGCATTCTTGAAAGTTCTGCCTGAGTATAGCACCTTTATTCCTGTGGAGGTATAGTGCATTCTAACTACCATGAATAGTGTCCACTGTGATCATTTCCCTCTGCACGATTATCTGCCCACAACTGAGAGAGTCTTAACTTGCTAGAATAATGGGGACGCTTCACTATCTGTCAGTTTCCCAATATGGCAATTCAGTTCATTGTATGACAGCATCATCAGAATGTTGCCAAGATCATAAAAATAGCAGTGCATGTTGCCTGATGATTTTACAGTGCATATTGTCATGGCCAGGGCTTAGAGGTAGGGGAAAAACATGTGGACAGCTTTGTGACAAGAGTCTCTCTTATAGTGTTTCTTTCTAAAGTAACTTTTTCTGAGTATGAATGTGAAAGGTAGCCTTCTTTGAATTAAAAAATATTCTGAAAAATGTTTAATGTCTGAGCTGACTTGAGCATTTTTCTTTAGTGATTACTGTAATAATCAGAAATTTCTTCACCTTTCAAGAGGACAAAAGGGAACAACTATAATTAAAAAAAAAAAAGAATATGAAATAGTAAGTTAAAAGTATACCTTCCTGGATTATGGTCTATAGAATGTAGGGTAATAGAAACCTTGATGCCCCTATTGTAAATGGAGAATTCAACTCAATGTATAAATGATTTCTGTGCTTGTAGATATCCCATCTTTTAAGTTTCTATTTGAATAGATTGGTAATTTTATTTCCTGAAGTCTTCTCTATTTGTCAAATGCTGCCTTATCTTTGTTGGTTCAGGTGGATCGATCTCCACCCCACAATAGGTTCTAAGCCCCTTGGAAAGATCATTATGCCGTTGATTTGCTAAAGTATTATAAGTGTTCTCAGAGTTTCAACTCTTAGTATGTTCCAGGTGCAACTTTGACAGAGAACTAGTAACATAGGGAAAAAATATGGAAAAAAATTAAATTCATATCTAATCCCAGAGGCATGTTTTAGCCACTATTTTTTTTTTTTTTTTTTTTGAGACGGATTCTCACTTTGTCACCCAGGCTGGAGTGCAGTGGCACAATCTTAGCTCACTGCCACCTCCATCTCCCGGGTTCAAGTGATTCTCCTGCCTCAGCCTCCTGAGTAGCTGCGACTATAGGCACCTGCCACCATGCCTGGCTAATTTTTGTATTTTTAGGAGAGACGGGGTTTTGCCATGTTGATCAGGCTGGTCTTGAATTCCTGACCTTAAGTGATCCGCCTGCCTCGGCCTCCCAAAGTGCTGGGATTACAGGTGTGAGCCACTGCGCCCGGCCTAGTCACTACTTTTCTGTTGTTGAATTGTTTCAAAATCACAGACAAATAACCACATTTGAGTGTATGTATGCAGTTTTAATTGCTTGTCCTTTTCCCATCTGGGGTGTTTGTACTATGCTAGAGACCTTAATAGTTAATGAATTGACCAAAAGGAGGAGCGACAAGCTATGGAAGAACTCAGACAGAGAGGTGATCAATCTGTGATGGAATCAGACTCCATTAAAAAAAAAATTGGCTTAGTCACTTCTCTGTTTTGTTTTGAGAAAGTAAAAATTTCCCCTCCATCCAGCAATTCAAATTTGGCTGAACCAAGTTTCCTTGGAGTCTTTTACCTAAATTAACTTTGGGAAGATACCAGGAGGAATTCTTTCCTAGGAATGTGCACACATGGGTTGCTTTTCAGAACTCCCTAGACCTGGAATGAAAGGAGTAAAGAAGAAATGTCCTTTTCTGGCCACACTCTAACAACTTGCTTGTGACTATCAGGGATGAATCTCTTCAAGTCTCAAGTTAATATAGATTTCTGGAGCTCATAAACTACTCAAGAATTTTAAACAGTTTTAAATAAGAATTGGGTATAATCTCCATATTTGGTTCTGGAAAACTCATACCATGAGTTCAATTTGACTGAACTTTGAATTCTGCTCAGCTTTCAGTTCTGTTTTTTAAAAGTAGAAAGTATTCCACTTATGCATGGAATGCTTGCCGTTCAAAATCATATGAGTTGACACGATGCTTTAGAGATCATTTTTTTTTTTTATGGTAAGGACAGCACCCAGTCTGAATGGTGGTGCTGGAGATTTCTCTGTAATCCATTTCTCTCCCCAGTCACTCTTGATTCTGAAATTAATCCATCTCTTTCTACTTTCCTTCTCTTCTAGGCATTTAAATTGTGTCTGCTATTGAGAGAGGAAATAAAATAACGCTTATTTTCACATCACTCAGAGGTAGACAGATTAGCACTCTTGCAGAAGAGAAAAATAAATTTTAGAGAAGTCATATACCTTGTAGAAGGTCACAAGCCAGTGAGTAAGAGTCTAGTCCTAGTCTGCCTGGAAACAAAGTAGGTGCCTTTTTCATCCAATCACACTGTCTCTCACTATGTCTGTGTTAAAACTGATGCCCTTGGCCGGGTGCAGTGGCTCACACCTGTAATCCCAGCACTTTGGGAGGCTGAGGCAGGTGGATCACCTGAGGTCGGGAGTTTGAGAACAGCCTGACCAACAAGGAGAAACCCAGTCTCTACTAAAAATACAAAATTAGCCAAGTGTGGTGGTGCATGCCTATAATCCCAACTACTTGGAAGGCTGAGGCAGGAAAATCACTTGAACCCAGGAGGCAGAGGTTGCGATGAGCCTAGATTGCGCCATTGCACTCCAGCCTGGGCAACAAGAGTGAAACTCTGTCTCAAAACAACAACAAAACTCTATGAAAAGGGAAGCCATTCTGTGGAGGTGAGATTCTGCTGTCCTTGTCATGCAATTGACATTATGTCATTGTCATGCCTAATACATACCCATTTCTATTAGAAGGATGCTGTAGGACAAAGAAATATCCCTGGACTCTGGATTTGTGATTGCACCCTGCAGTCTTCTTTTAGCTTCTACCCAGAACACACTCAGTTTTTATTATTGAGGTGTTCTCTCAACTGTGCTGCCCTGCATCTTTGGCAGGGTGCTACTGCAGAGCTAAGCCTTTGGCAACACCCAAAAATCATTATGCTATCTCAGATGGTGACAGGTATGAAAAAGATCTTGACTGTTGGACTAGCTGATTAACTAGCAGTGACAGTTTGCTTTAAAATATATTTGGTTTTTATAAGAAGTGACATAATATTGGCACCAAGAGGGACAATCATATTCATTCCCATGAAATGTTTCTTGGGGCCATGATTACAGATAGATAAAAGGGCCAAGCAGACCTTGAAGCAGAACCAGTGTAAAATATCTCGTGCTATTTTAATTCTTTATGTTTTTAGAAGGAATATTGCTTTCAACCTCTCTTTGGAATTTGCGGGAACTTTGGTTGACTTAAGCCAATGATGGTGGATTTATTATGTAAGAATTGAAGGTTTGTCTTTTTCAGCTACAAAGATGGCTGAGACATGTGTCATGCATAAAATTCTGCAACTATTTGGAACACCATCTCACATCTAACTTGTGGAAGAGAGGCTAATATATTTGGAAAATTGTTTTGAGCTTTAATCGCCAGTTTTAGAAATTTTTCTCAACCAAAACTTCAGGAAGTACAGTCTAGTAGAATACAGGATTTCCATGTAGGTAACAAAAGTAAGGGACAACATCCAGAACATATTTTCATACAAGATGATTCACTTGGTATTTCTTTTCTTTTCTTTTCTTTCTTTCTTTTATTTATTTTTTTTTTTTTTGAGAGAGAGAGAGTCTCACTCTGTCACCTAGTCTGGGGTATAGTGGCACAATCTTGGCTCACTGCTACCTCTGTCTCCTAGTTCAAGCGATTCTCCTGCCTCAGCCTCCTGAGTAACTGGGATTACAGGTGCCCACCACCAAACCCAGCTAATTTTTGTATTTTGTTTTAGTAGAGATGGGGTTTTGCCATATTGGCCAGGCTGGTCTTGAACTCCTGACCTCAAGTGATCTGCCCACCTCGGCCTCCCAAAGTGTTGGGATTACAGCTGTGAGCCACTGCTCCTGGCCTCACTTGGTATTTCTAAACATATGCTTTGTGCTGCTTATTGCACAAACATGAAGAATATAGAATTTATCCCATAGGATTTTACTGTTTAGTTAAATAGACCAATATTTTTAAAAGGTTACAATAATCATCTTACAATACATAAATGTATATTCTGTAAAAGAGAATGTTTCCAAAATATTCTGTGGGAATTCAGAGAAAGGAGATAACTAACTATATCAGGATGAACCAGGGATGATTCCCTTGGGTTGGTGACATTTAAGCTGGGTATAAAAGGATAAAAAGTCATTGTTCAAGAAGAAAAAGACTATATTTGAAACAGTGCATTCCAGGACTAATGTGTAACTTGATAGAGCTGAATCATAGATTACATGTTGGAAGAGGGACGGGAGAAAAGGAGCAAAGATAAGGTGGTTCTGGGTGGTTAACAGTAGTGTTTGCCCTTCTGAAGCATGTCGGTATTTTTGAGAACCGATTTATATATGGCAAATTTCAACCATATATAAAAATAGACAAAATAAATGATAATTAACCCCCATTTATTATCTAACTTTAACAATTTTCAATTCATGGTCATTCTTATTTAATTTATATATCCCTACCGATGTTCTCCCCTTCCCATATTAGCTTTGAAGTAAATCCCAGATATTTCATCATTCCATCCGTAAATATTTTAGTATGTGTTTCTAAAAGATAAGTTCTCTTAAAAAGTTCACAACGTCATTCAGACATGCAAAATAATTAATAATAATTCTTAACTATTATTGTAGTTTGTCAAGTAGAGGGATGACATGAATACATTTGCATTCTGGAAAAAAATTTCTGAAGGCAATAAGGACGACAGATCAGAGAAAGAAAAATACCAAATACCAAAAGAAGACTTCAAAGATAGGTTTGAACAAAGACAATGATAATAGAGAGGGTGGAAGAATTTTCAAAATGTTTAAAAGGTAAAGTTGATAGTTCTTGAGATTAATTGTATTTGGGTGTGCAGGAAAGGAGGGAGTTAAAGAAGTTTTGGAGGTTTTAATTTGAATAATCAGCATATGAATATGCCATTAACCTATATAGGGAAAGGATTCCTTGAAAAGCAGTTAGCCTGGTTCAGCATTATACAGAGACTACAGGAAACAAATCAAAAAATATCTTCCTATTACCCTCAAACAAAAGTTTGAGATTTCCACCTGTAGTCCTAGCTACTTGGAAGGCTGAGGCAGGAGGATTGCTGGAGTCCAGAAGTTTGAAGCCAGTTTGGGCAACATAGTGAGACCTCATCTCCAGAAAACAACAAAACTTTGAGACTCAGAGCATTTGGAATAATTCTGATTGCTGCACCTTAAGAAAGCCATTAATGCCAGCCATGGTGGCTCATGCTTGTAATTCTAGCGCTTTGAGAGGCTGAAGCAGGAGGATCACTTGAGCTCGGGAATTCTGAGACCAGCCTGGGCAACATAGTTGCAGACAGCAGTACACTTCATTCCTAAACATTTCATCACGTATATATGTATATTACCAACTAGAGTTAGTTATTGCAGAATTTATATTTCACACAAGAGAGATTAAACTTATACATTTATTTTCTCAATGGGAAAAGCCGTGATTCAAGAAAGATTAACACAATTCATGGCTGATTCTTACTCGATTATTTATGAAAGCAAGAAACTGAGAACCTCTTGATTTTCAAAAGTTGTTGCCATACAGAGCAGCCACATCCTACTACAAAACAGCCTTTGAGTAACTATCAAGTATTGTCCTGGCAAAGCACGTTTCTCTCAATAAGTGTTAATTGAATTTGAATGTAAAGAAACTGACACCTAGAAATGCAAGCTTTTTGCCAGTAACTGACAGAGCTGGTACTAGAACAAATTACTTCTAATAGTTTCTCACTGAGCATCACTCCTTACCTCTAACAACTCTGAATAGTAATAATGGAACACAGAAGATGCTTTATTAGTAAAAAGGTAATGCTTTCTATATCAAGTCATTGTGAGATTGCTCAAGGCTCAATGGGACCAAGTAGCTGGGCCGTAGGAAAGGAGGTAAAATGCTCTCACAAAAAAAGAACTCTCCATACACAATGGAAAAAAAATGCCTGTGTTCATATTTATCCTCTGACTTCCTCCAGAAGAGGATTAAAGCAGCTGATGACAAAAAGCAAAAATAAAACACAACTGAAAATGATTAACACAGGAATAAAACAAGGGCCAAAATCCACCAGTTAGTCAGGCGGGGAATACATTTGGACCTAGAAAGCTTTAAAATGTTCTCAATTATGTCAAATTCTGACATGTTAAATCTTGCTGATTGGTTCAAGAATTAAAAATCAAGTTGAGATGATGTCTAAAAGACATGTTCATTCAAATGTTTTTTGTTGATGAAGATATCGAGTATTCATTTGGAAACTGAAAAACTCAGTCAAATAGCCAGGCATTTGCCTACACAAGAAACAGACATTCTGATACTAGAAAAGATTTTAGGGGTTTGACCGATTTTTTTTTTTTCTGGTTTCCATTTTGATGTTATGGCATCAGTCTATATCAGTGGTTCTCAACTGAGAGTGATTTTGCCTTCCGAAGGACATTTGGCAATGTCTGGGGACATTTTTGGTAGTCTCTACTGGGAGTGGCAGTGGAGTATTACTGGCATCTAGTTAGTAGAGACCAACGATGCTGCTAAACATCCCAAAATGCTCACGACAGCCCTGCATGACAATCAATTATCCAACCAAATATGTCAATAGTACCAAGGTTGAGAAATCCTGATCTATGTGAAACAATTAAAAATCTCACGCAAACATGCCTTCAAAGACACTTTAGATGAGTTACATGCAACATTTTTGCTTGTCTGCTGCTGAGCAGTAAGTGATGATGGCCTAATACACTTGCAGAAATACTGCTGCATCGGCGTCAGGGTGGAGATGAGATGTCAAATGGCCAGTCCTTCAGAATGAAAAGCCAAGTTGAATGGTTCACAACACAGGCTGACAGCACTCTTTGGTGTCCAAAAGATCAAATGTTGGCAGGCAAGGATACTGATATTTAGTCAGCAGAAAATATTCAAAGCAATGAGGGACACATTGTTGTTTCTTTTGTGGGTTTTATTTTTATTTTTTATTTTTTTGGCAAGATCTGGCTCTATTGCCCAGGCTGGAGTGCAGTGGTGGAATCTCAGCTCACTGTGACCTCTCTGCCTCCCAAGTTGCTGGGACTATAGGCAGGCACCACCACACCCAACTAATTTTTGTATCATTTGTAGAGAAGGGGGTTTCACCATGTTGGCCAGACTGGTCTTGAACTTGTGAGCTCAAGCACTCCTCCTGCCTCAGCCTCCCCATGTGCTGGGATTACAGGTGTGAGCCACTGCTCCCAGTTGACAGATTGTTGATGAGGACAGAACAAGGGATCTTTAGGTCATAAGTCATGGGACAGTTGATCCTGGGACTTGGGAAGTTCATTTCTCTGTTTCTGGCTTTTTTCATCTTCAAAAACTCAGGAAAAGAGAACTGAGGGCATCAGAGCAGGCTGATTTGATACACTCTTGCTGCCAACCTGATGACTGTATATCTCTATGATTTATGTGATTCTTTCTCATGTTCCCTTTACTAATTATAACTATTATCCATGTTTGTAACCATGTTCTTCTTCCTTCTTTCATATTATAACTGGAACCCATTCTCTTCCCTTTGGTTATCTTCTCTTCCTTCTGAGTTTTCAGCTTCCTCTACTATGTTCTCCTCATCAGTGCATCGGTCTGCTTCAGTAACTCTCATCTTTTAAAAATATCCTTTGCTTGCCACAACCTCTGCCAACTTCTCTTCACTGCAATTCTAAACAAACTTGTTGAGCTCATATTCTACACACGTTTTCTTTGTTTCTTTACCTCTCATTTACTCTTGCACTCACACCAAACTAGCCTCTGCCCACAGTTCTGTAAAACTACCTTTGTCAAGGTCACCAGTGACCTCCTTGTGTTAAATTCTAAAAAAGCAGATCATTTCTCTTTCTCCTCTTATTTAACTTTGCAGTAGCATTCAACATGATTGACAGCTTCAGCTTCCATTCTATCCCTGGCCTCATGGCACAGCGTGCTTTTAAGTTTTCCTTCTCTTTCTCTGACAGGAGCTCCTCAAGATGCTTTGCTGCTCCTCCTCCCCTCTCTGACCTCTAGATGTTGGAAAGCCCAAGGCTTAAGAGTGGGTCCTCTTGTCCTTCCTCTTTATACTTTCTTCCAGAGCGATCTGAGCCATTGCCATGGCGCTAAATGCTGCTTACCTGGTGATAAATCCCAATTGTAAATTGCATCTCAGATCTTTCCCTGGAGCTCCAAATTGTATATGTAACTGCAACTCAAGATCCACACATAGAGTTTCTCATCTGGCCTGTTTAGTTCACTGCCGGATACCCAGGCCCTGGCATAATGTCTGGAAGGTAGAGACGTATTTGTTGAGCCAGTAAAGAATGATTTGGATACTGGGCCTAAAACAGATACATTTTTTTCTGTGACAAGGTAAGAGTTAGCTGCTTTTGTTGTCAGAGTTACACTTTTATTAGATTAAAAGATAACATTTAGAGCAGGCACGGTGGTTCATGCCTGTAATCCCAGCACTTTGGGAGGCCGAGGCAGGCGGATTGCTTGAGGCCGGGAGTTTGAGACCAGCCTGGCCAACATAGGGAAACCTCGTCTCTACTAAAAATACAAAAATTAGCTGGTGTGGTGGTGCATTGCCTATTGTCCCAGCTATTTGGGGGGCTGAGGCAGGAGACTCACTTGAACCTGGGAGGCAGAGGTTGCAGTGAGCCGAGATCGTGCCACTACACTCCAGCCTGGGGCAACAGAGTGAGACTGTGTCTCAAAAAAATTAAAAATAAAAAAAGTAAAACTTAATTGTCACCCAGAAAAAAAAAAGAAACAAGATACTGTTTAATAACTGCTTACTGGTTGATGGATAGATTGATTAATCAATTGGAAATGTATTAATACTTAATCTTTTTGTATTCCAACTTATTTATTTATAACATAGAAATAATGCTATTATTTGCCAAATCATTTTAAAGGACAAAGGTAATTGCTTTTTAATATCCTGTGGAGAAAGACATTAACTACATACAAAATTGCACACAAGATGGTGTAGAGATTGCATGTATTATCAGTTTCCTTAGTCTGGAGACTGCATTGCGTTTGCATCTGAACTCTTGTGGTTTGTGAGCCAACAAAATATCATCAGTCCTCATTGTTATAAGTTTTATTTGAAAGCTACCATTGGATAGTGTTTTTGTGATGTGGCTAGAATTATATAATTGTCTATGCAGCCTCGCAGCCATCTCTCAGCTGCCCTGCACTGAGAGGTGCCAGGTGAGGCTGGTGGACAGCACAGCACAGCAGCCCGTGGCTGAGGCTTAGGCTAGGGCACAATGGACTTTCTGGCATCTGGCCAAGGTGCTGAAGGGTAACGGGGGTGAACAAAGTGGAGTAGGAAGCAACTTCATGGGCAGGAGTCAGGAGTAGTAGTTCTAGACCTGGACAGGATCATAGGTACTTCTGCAAAAGAGAAAACCTGTTTTCAGAATTGAATGTTCAGCCTGAGGTTGCTCATGGAATCTTGGGAGGAGATGAAAATTTCAGTATCTTAAATTTTTGTGACTCCAAACAACTGATGGTGAGAATCAGGAGGTGAAGTTATTTTTCCTCTCCTTTTGCATTGGGCAAGTCCATTTGCTTTAAGGTAATAAAAAATGACATCGAGTGGTAGAAACTCAGGAATTTTGATTTCCCTTTGTCTTCTTCAGAAATCCTCTGGGGCAATTGACCTTTGTGTGTTTGAGTAAAGGTTATGAAACTTTTATTACAGACCTGCTTCGAGCCCCCAAGGAAGGCTATGGGCCTTTATCCTAGAAAGAAGCCCATGGACACAAATACACAAAATTCTGTGTGTGATTTCAGGATTGTATAGATCTCCAGTCCTTGGTTGAGAGCCTAGATGTGGACTGAATTTTGTACCCCCCAGCATCCATATGTTGAAGCTCTAACCCCCAATATGACTGTGTTTGAAGATAGAGCCTATAAGGAGGTAATTACGGTTAAACAAGGTCACAAGAGTGGGGCTGTAATTTCTGATAGGGCTGGTGTCCTTATAAGAGGAAGGGACACCAGGCTTCTCTTTCTGTGCCATGTGAGAACACAGGAAGAAGGTGGCCATCTGCAAGCCAGAAAGAGAGTCCTCACAGGGACTTCTCAGCCTCCAGAGCTGTGAGAAATAAATTTCTGTTATTTAAGCCATCCAGTCTGTGGTGTTTTGTTATACCAGCTTGTTAAGACAGGCCTCTACCCTGGAAGCTGCCCTGGCCCGTAATGTAGCTGTGCTCATGCTTACCGATCCATGGAGGCATCAGGATGGGGAGGGGAACATTCTAGTGAGCAAATGTTCTGGGGACATGTATGGGAGCCTTGGTGCACCGAAGTAGGTCAGCCAGTAGTACCACGCCTGGCTCGCTCTGCCCAGGCTTCATGAGTCTGCAGTGACAGGGTGAAGTATAAAGGTCATCCAGAAGAATGATGTGCCATCATGCTGAGTGTGTACCTCTTCTTTAGGTGTTCATTTCACTGGGCAGGTTGTCTACCAGAACCAAGGGGCCTCTTTGAATTTTCTTTCAAGCTATTAATAAGAGGCATGCATCCTCCTAGACACAATCATCCATTTAGTAAAATAGGTAAGTATCTCCCCATGGCTAAAATTGGAGCTACCTGAGCCCTAAACAACTGACAATGTGGGAAGCATTTGCTCCAGACGAATCCACTTATCCCATCCCTATCCTTCTTGAGAAAGCTGCCATTGTCTGATGTGGGTAGAATCTGGGGACAACAACAGTGAGAGGTGCGGTATGCAGACTAGCTGGTCCAACACCTGGGAGAGCAGGGGCAGAGTCCCTAGTGGTGCTGTCAGAGTGAGTCTGGACTGGGCAGAGGAGTACTTGAAAGTCTTTTCTGGAAGAGTTAAAAAGAGAAGCCAAGGTTTGAGTGGCTAAAAGAAACCAGCAAAATCTGTGGGATTCAATGTGACAGGAGTAAATGAACAGTGTCAGGACCCAAGTGTTGGAGCCAGAGAACCAATGGTTTGTGCCAAGACCCATTTAGAGTTCCCAGCTCCACCTTCTCAAGCTTACCTCCACCAAGTCACCTTCACCCATCTCACAGACATCCAGACCTGCTTGAGATGCCCGGCACCCAACAGCCAGGGATTAGAGCTTTTTATTGAAATCCCTGCTATCATTTTAGACCAAGTTCCTGAATGAATAAAAAAAAAAATCTTTTGACAAGGAGAGATGATCAGATTGAAATAATCTTTACAAAATTAAAAAAAATAGGTGCCCTCAAAATCAGACCAGTGAGAAGAAATTCCATGACTGGTGATAGCATATAGCTGTTTCATTTCTCCGTATCAAAATGGCCAAAGGGTGGCTTCGTGTCAGAAGACCCAGATGTTTTTAAAGCAAATGCATTAGTTCAAAATCAGCCTACTGCCTCATATACTTTTTATGTCTTAGAGACCCCAGTATGAGTCTGGATTCTATAGAAGCTCACTATGATGGAATATTTTCCTTTCTTTTACTAACTCACTATTTACAACTTAGGCAAATCACCTTATCATTTTGGCCTTGGGGCTCTCCTTTATAGAATGAGGTAGTTAAACTGGCAACTAAGTAAAAAAATCCCCTTGAAAAGTGGACATATTCTGTGTCGCCTACTAGCACAACCTCTTTCTCTGTTGGAGCTACGGTTTTCTCTGAGTAGACTAAAAACACTATCAGAAGACGTGAATGACCAAGATGATGAAACCAGGTGCTTAGAGACCAAGGCTCGCAGCTGCACTGATCAGTAAATAACGCTTCCCTGGTTTCTGGTTTTCCTTTTTAGAGTAATAAACAACAACAAAAGTAGAGTACCGGTTCAACTTGTGTAGTCACTAATTATACAAGTGACTCATTCTAAGGGCTAGAAATTATCCTACAGGAAATTATCCCAAAGGGTCTACCGTGATGAATATCTGTGATTTCCTTGAGTCTGACATGGAAAAGTAAGCTGTGACTCGTAGTCAACAAATCCAAACCAACCTAGAGAGGAAGTGGGAGAGAGTGAAACTATATACTCACTATAGTGTGTGGAATCTGAAAATGTTTGCCTCTAAGCACGAATAGGTACATATTTTTTTCTCAGGTAGCCCAACGTACATTCTAGTTTCTCTAAATCTTTACAAAGTAAAGTATTGAGGGGGCATTGGCACCCAGTCCCATGCTCTTTAGAAATCATTAATGACTATTTTGCTGATTTTGAGAACTTTTTCTATTAATATAAAAGAATAAACCAGAAATCTGAGGAAACTCTAAAACTTGAAGGCAATCTAGACATTTAGAGGATATTACAAGTGGAAATAAATACTAATGTCTTAGACTAACCAAGCTTGACAAATGCTGCAGAAATCTCCAAATTTACTTTCTTGTTCAGGCAAGAGGTGAAATTTGTCTTGCAATTTGAAATTACGTTTAGAGTAAACATGTGTCAGAAGGCTTAAGTAAGCATAGTAACTGTCTTGTCATTCTTCCTTGTCCACTCCACAAACAGTAACATTCCAAAGATCTGCACTTTGAAAGATCCTCCTTAGCTTTTGCATCTGTGGTGTCAGTAGGTAGCCCAGTGAGTCTGAGGTAGGGCTTGTAAGTGCAGATGTCTACAGCAGCAATCCCTAACACTTTTGGCACAAGGGACAGATTTCGTGGAAGACTGTTTTTCCACAGACAGGGCAGGGGCTGGGGGTTGGGAAGATGGTTTGGGGATGAAACTGTTCCACCTCAGATCATCAGGCAGTAATTCGATTTTCATAAGGAGCATATAACTTAGATTCATTGTTTGTGTAGTTCACAATAGGGTTTGTGGTCCTGTGAGAATCTAACGCCGCAGCTCATCTGACAGGAGGGAGAGCTCAGGCAGTAATGTTCCCTCACCCGCATTCACCTCCTGCCGGGCAGCTTGGTTCCTAACAGGCCATGGACCAGGCCATGGCCCAGGGGTTGGGGACCCCTGGTTTACAGGACCAGGAAGATATTATAATGATGTAATGAGTGAAATGAATTAGGAATAAGAAAAATTCTGGACGAGGCATGGTGCCTCATGCTTGTAATCCCAGCACTCTGGGAGGCTGAGGCAGAAGGACTGCTTGAGCCCAGGAATCTGAGACCAGTCAGGGAAACATAATGAGACTTCATCTCTTAAAATAAAAAAAGAACAATTCTTTCTCCGTTTGGAACAAGTGATAGTTCACTTTCCTCTTAAATCTACTGAAAGAGAAAAGGCACATAGTGGGATGGTAAATGGTAATGTCACTTGGTCTCAACTTGGGGAGACAGCCGAAGGTAGGAGGGACTTTGGGGAACTGGGAGTCAGTCAGTTGCTGCTCAGCTCCATCCAAATGTTGCCTCATGGGGATGCAGCCCTAAAATGAGCAGAACCAATTTTTCCACAAGAATCTAGAAAACTGGATTTTTAAAGTAAAGGTTCAGATTTGTACATTTGCACAATTAATTCAAAATTTTTGAAACTTTGTAAGAGCCAATCCTGTATGGCCCTAACAAAAAATATACATCTAGGGGCTAAATCTGTTTATAACCTGTAGTTGCTGAGTGAGGTAGAACTTATTAGCTTGCACCATCTTCGATTTGGAGAAAGGACAAAGATTCATGGTTCATTATTTGTATGTCTTTAAATAGGCTTTATCAGATAAAGAGAAAAAAGTTTAAAAAGCAAGGCATTTGAGGACAAGATTTATAGTGTGTGGACAGGAACTCTGCTCTTGCATTTCATTCCTATAACATCAGAGCCAGAGTTCTTGGGTTAATACAGAATGCGTGATTTTATTTTAGGATCCACAGCACAATGAAGTAAGATATTGCTGATGTCAGGCTTATGGCATCTATAGTCATCTTGCTGTGAATATGGTCCTTAATAAAGAATTCATTAGAATGTTTCAGATAGGGCCTATGTTACAACAAAGATATGGAGATCTGGATATATCTAGATGACATGAGGAATTTTCTAGTTGTCAAAAAATAAATGTTTGGGCTGGGCACAGTGGCTCACACCTGTAATCCCAGCACTTTGGGAGGCTGAGGTGGGTGGATCACTTGAGGTTAGGAGTTCAAGACCAGCCTGGGCAACATAGTGAAATCCTGTCTCTACCAAAAAATACAAAAATTAGCAAGGTGTGGCGGCGCATGCCTGTAGTCCCAACTACTCAGAAGGCTGAGATGGGAGAATCACTTGAATCCAGGAGGCAGAGGTTGCAGTGAGCCAAGATTGCACCACTTCACTCCAGCCTGGGTGACAGAGTGAGAACTTATCTTAAAAAGAAAACAAAACAAACCAACAAAAAAAACAAACCCCTACTCCCATCACATTGCTTTAGATGCATGAAAGCAATACGTTTTGGGTCTTGAGTATTTCTTGACATTTCAAGTGTAAATACAGCTTTAGATACTTCAGCATTTTTTTCCTACTCATTGATTAATGGTAGCTTTTTTTCTTTTTCTCCCAATTCAAGTACGTAGTAATAAGTTAATGTGAGATTTGTACATTTTAATTTGTATTTTTCTGTTTTAATAATATAATAAAATATTTTGTGTTGCATTTAGTAGTAAAGAAGTATCTTTTTACCTAAATGCTTGGTGAATACTTTCAAGTTTTGTATGATTAATAGTTAAAGGGTGCTAAGATAAATAAATATATACATGCTCTGTTTCCTGAACTGGAGATTAGAAACAAAGTTTGAAAAGAAGCCAGTAGACATGAGATATTGTGGTGAGATAAAGATTGGCAAGGGTCTAAAACTGTGAACTTGCAGACTTGTGAAATCCCCACAAATTACCACAGAAGCTGATGAGGTTCTCTTTTTAATTTTAGTCCCAGCTTGGTTTCAGTTACTATTTCAACTCTTCAGCATCCTTATTATGACTAGTAGATCTGTTAGCAAAACTGCTGGTGGAAAAGTTTTTGTGTAATATCCACTCCCCCAAATTGTTTTAGGGACATTAATCACCTGACATGCATTTATTTTCATTCTACAGAAGAATAAATGCAATGTCCAGACTTGGATCCCATTCAAGATTCATTGGTCTATTACTGACATTTCTAAATGTATCTACTGAAATCTCCTGCTCTTTAACCTCTTTGCAGGAAGATATGTGTCTTTGTATTCCCTTGAGTACTTTCGGTATGTGTTTAATAAATACTTCTTAAAAATTAGATTGTAAATTGATCAATAAAGATATCATTGAATGGTTTGGGTGGTATGCCCAGAGACAGCTAGTTTTAATCTACCAAAATAATGAATAATACAGAGTAAGAAGCATATTATAGAATTTTCATTTAAGAAAATATGGACTAAGTCATAGAAGAAATGGGATTTAAACTAGTTCTCATTTCATGATACAGATTTCTGGCCTACACTGCCTTTTTCCCCTCCCTTTCTCCAGCCCTTCTTTCCTTTCTCCAGCCCTTCTTTCCTTTCTCCCTTCTCTCTTTCTTTCCTTTCTTTGCAAAATGGGTATATGTAGGTAAAATGTATGTGGCTTATGAATTTGAGAGGAGTGACAGAAATAGGAATCATTGCATCCCTCAGTAGAGGGCACTTTTTGGTCCCTTACCAAGAAAATAATAACAGCAGCTAACACTCATTGAGGGCATACTATGTGGCAGTTAATAAGCACTTTACCTGTTATTAACTTACTTAGTTCTCATAACAACCCTACAACACAGACATTATTATTATTCTATCATACAGTTAAAGATACAGACACACAGTAAATTAAATAACTTACCCCCAAACCACACAGTTAGAAAGTTCAAGAGTTGAATTTGATCCCAGTGGTCTGGCTCTAGAGTCCATGCTCTTTACCATTACATTGTACTTAGAAAAGAACTCAGTAAAGAACGAGTAAAATGTGTAAGGCCAGCAAGGAAGGACTGTGTTGGGTTATGTCACATGGGCTTTCACAGAAGCTTTCATTATGATGTTCAGAACATGATAGTCCCTCTCTCCCCTTCAAAATGGTTTTGAGTGAAAGAATGAACAAATATATACTTTAATCCCAACTTGAAGACCTCACCATCCTCTGAGCATTCCTGATTTTCCATGCCTCCCTGCCTTCTTCAGTGCCATTTTCTCTGTGTGCAGCATTCTCCTTCTTCTCTCTGCCCAGTGCATCCCTGCTTGTGCGGCTAGGCACAGCTCGGTTCTATGAGTCACCTTGTTTTTACCTCTCTCACAACACTTTCGTAATGCCCCTGATCATAACTTCTGTCCATGTGTGCCCCCTCTCTAGATCCTCAAGCCTCCGAGATCACAATCTGTGCCTGACATATGCTTGTACCTCCACCATGGTGTTAATCATAGTGTCTGGCACAGAAATAAGTGTTTATTCAACAGACAAGAAAGTGACTGGAGAAGTATTCACTGTAATTTTATCCTCTTTAACAATCTGTAATACTAAAAATTGGGAAGCATATCTTGAAATTCCACTATGAGCCTGTTAATATAAAAGAAATAAATGTATTCAATAATCAAAAGAGAAACATCAAGACAAGAATAAGGTTAGACTCATCCCCAACCCCCTCCCATTTCTGACCTCTGTTCCTCTCCTAAGATTCACCCCATCCCTGGTCCTAGCCCAATCCTGGACAGTGAGTCCCTCCCTAAGGTGAACCACCTGTCTCCCTGGCTTTGTCCAGACACCTAATCCTCACTCTATACAGTGATTGAAACCCCAGTTTTTGGCCAGGTGCGGTGGCTTAATCTCAGCACTTTGGGAGACCGAGGTGGGTGGATCGCCTGAGCTCAGGAGTTCGAGACCAGCCTGGGCAACATGGTGAAACCCCCATATCTACCAAAAATACAAAAATTAGCTGGGTGTGGTGGTGCGCACATGTGGTCCCAGCTACTCGAAAGGTGAGGTGGGAGAATTGCCTGAACCCAGGAGGTGGAGGTTGCAGTGTGCCAAGATCACGCCACTGCACTCCAGCCTGGGCAACGGAGTGAGACCCGCATCTCAAAACAAAACAAAACCAAAACCAGTTTTTGGTATCTCAATGCACAATGTTAATTAAGTAGCAAAATCTCGGCATTTAAAAAATCTGAAATATTTACATAAATGATTTGACCCAAATCACTTGTAAGGGTCAACTGATTTGGATCAAATCACCTGTGTCTTGAGCTATACTCAGAGAATTACATGCCCCATTAAAATATCAAATCCAAAAAAAAAAAGAGAGGATAAGATTAGAGAAGAAAATTAAAGAAGAAACCAATTTGAAGTGTACAGACCATGTCAAAAGAATATGATGGCAGAGAAAAGTAGTCATATAAAGATATCAGGCACACTTCTGGGCTAGGGGATAGAAAAAATACAGTTTTGTTCTTAAGCCATTGGAGAGACCGACAGAACCATTCAGTAACATAAATTTTACAAAGCTAAAGGAAGTCAGTACACTGAGTGCCAAAATCCACCTGGAAGGGTGAGGAAGGAAGAGGAGAATTCTGGAAAAGGGAGTAGGGGATTGCCAAGCGTAAGTATTGGGAGAGGAGAGACATTCAAAAAAATAAAGAAACAATGTGTGCAAAGCATGGGGTCTGTGAAACCAGAGTTCCCTTTCACAGCAGTATCACATGTGCTGGAGTAAAGAGAGGAAAAAGGAGGGAGGGAATGCAGGGGGCAGGCTTTGTATGCCATGGAAAGGACTTTCTATTTATGTAAGACCACAGGGAACTGTGGAAGAATTTTGGAGACAGGAGTTCCGCAATCAATCTGATAATTTGGAAAGATTGATTTGGGCCCAGGAGAGAGGGGAGATAAACAGGAACTGAGAACCAATATAGAAGTCTGAGAAGTGAGCCATTGCGGTGGGCCAGGGGATACGGGATGACAGCTTGAACCCAGGAGAGGCGGTGGAGATGAAGGGCAGTGGGCGAGGAGAAGAAACAACTGGGAAGTAGGTGATCAGACTTGGGCATGAGGGATGGCAAAAGAGAGTGCTAGGAAATCTAGGGTGAGTCCCAAGTTTCTGGCATGGAATACTGGGAGGCAGGTTGAGCCATAGACCAAGGAAGGAAATATGGGAGATATAGCAGGTTAAAAAAATGAGAAGGAGGTGGGTGCGGTGGCCCACGCCTGTAATCCCAGCACTTTGGGAGGCCGAGGCAGGCGGATCACAAGGTCAGGAGTTTGAGACCAGCCTGGCCAACATGGTGAAACCCCATCTCTAATAAAAATACAAAAAGTAGCCGGACATGGTGGCGCGCACCTGTAATCCCAGCTACTCAGGTGGCTGAGGCAGGAGAATCGCTTGAACCTGGGAGGCGGAGGTTGCAGTGAGCCAAGATCGCACCACTGCACTCCAGCCTGGCAACGGAGCAAGACTCCGTCTCAAAAAAATAAATAAATAAAATAAAGTGCACAGTTCAATGGTATTTAGTGTATTCACAAGGTTCTTCAACAACTAGCACTATCAAATTGGACAGCAATTTTATCACTCCAAAAAGAAACGGTGAACCCACTGCAGTCAATTCCCATTCCTGCCTTCCCTCAGTGCCTGGCAACCACTAATCTCCTTTCTGTCGCTATAGATTTGCCTATTCTACATATTTTCTATAAATGGAGTTGCACAATATGTGGCCTTCTATGTCTGGCCTCTTTCACTTAGTATAACATTTTCAAGGTTTATCTATATTGCAGCATGTATCAGTACCTTGTTCCTTTTTATCATTAAATAATATTCCATTGTATGGAGATATACTTCATTTTGTTTATCCATTTGTCGATTGATAGACATTTGGGTTGTTTTCACTTTGGGGAAATTATGAATAATACTGCTATGAACATTTTTCAATTCTCTTGGGTATGTACCTAGGAATGAATTTGCTAGATCATATGATAACTCTATGTTTAAGTTTTTGAGGAGCTACCTAACTCATTTCCAAAGTGACTGTACCATTTTACATTTCCACTAGCGATGGATGAGGGTGAGATACGAAAACTCACCCAAATGTTAAGTAAAACTTGTCCAAAGTCACATGCTAGTAAGTAGAAGAGCTAGGTTGCAATCCCAAGTCCACCTGTCTCCAAACCCTACTCCCTTCCTCTGCAGTTTGCGTGTAGCTTGTCTCTGTTTGGTTTGGAGTCATCAACGTAGAGGTGGTAGCTGAAGCCACTTCTGTGGATGAGTTCAGCATGGAGACATGAGAACCGTTGGCAGTTTAGAGGCCAGCAGTAGGAAAGGAGTCTGCAGATGAGACGATGAGGTATGACCAGAGGCAGAAAAACCAGGGAAGAGATGTTGCCAGGAAAACCAACCAAAAGGAGAATTTAAGGGAGGGTGTGGTCAAGAAGTACTACACTGCGGCTAAGCCTTAGCATAAGAAGACAATGAAGAGAGCTTAGCGGGTGTAATGACTTTTGCCAGAGTAGTTTGAATAGAGTATGAGGGCAGGAAGTAGAAGGGGAGTTAGACAGAGCTTGATTTGGGTGGTCTGAAGAGAGGATCAAATAGAACCAGCAAATTCTACTTGGCTGTGAGGGATGGGAGAGATGGCCAGTAGAGGGTTGCTAAATTTTGTTTGTTTGTTAGTGTTTGGTTTTGGCCAGAAGACACCTCACGTTTATCTATGTAGAGGAAATACAAGGGGAGTTACAAGCTAGAGGAAGGAGAAGTGGTAAGACGCATGAACTCTAGACAGTTACACCAAGGAACTGGTGAAGAGAGAAGAAAGGCATGGTGCTGTTTCTGTGTGTGGAGGTGGGTGGGGGTTGGGGGGTGTAGATACCTTCACATGGTAGGTCAAGGGAAATTAGTTCACTCTGGGCTTCCCTTCATTTGTCTTAATTTGCTCACACTTTAGTAAATTACAATTGATTAATTCCTCCTTTTACAACCTACCAACAACATCCTTATTCCTATTCCTTGGTCTCTTTTAACTGTCTCTTTCTTTTTTTCTTTCTTTTTTTTTTTTTTGAGATGGAATTTCTCTCTGCTGCCCTTTTGCCTAGGCTGGAGTGCAGTGGCAGAATCTCGGCTCACTGCTCACTACAACCTCCGCCTCCCGGGTTCAAGGGATTCTCCTGCCTCAGCCTCCCAAGTAGCTGAGACTACAGGCACGCACCACCACACCCAGCTAATTTTTTTGTATTTTTATTAGAGACAGCGTTTCACCATATTGTTCAGGCTGATCCCGAACTCCTGACCTCAGGTGATGCACTCGCCTTGGCCTCCCAAAGTGCTGGGATTACAGGTGTGAGCCACCATGCCCAGCCTTCCTCTAACTCTTTAACCTTTACTTTATGAAAAGCTAGCTTCTTCTCCCTCTTTCTTTCTCATTCTCTGTCTCTCTAGATCCACTAATGAGTCCAAAATACACATCAGAAACCCTAGTTTCTCAGAGTTGTGGCATTTCTGAAAGCTAATCTGGCATGGTAGCAAACCAGTCTATCAACCTCTAAAATTCTTAAGAACTCCCAAAGTTCTCTTTTAGCATTTTGACAGACTGTTTCCCATATGTAAATCTGTTATTAATCCATTTGTAATATTGTTCTAATGGAAAATATATATTCTAAATTTCAACCACTTTACAAATTTAGTTGGGAACATTTCACAATTTTAGGACTTCCTTTTTTCTCACTGTGATTTATGCTCTTAAAACATTTTTGAAATGAATTTTTTTTGTTCTGATAAGGAGGGCAGAGTCGTAGTATTTATCTCATGTCAGAGATGATGAAAGTGAGCCTCAGAGAAGTTAAATGGGACCTAAGATACTACATAAATTTTCTAGTCAGTTATATTTTCTTTTTTTGTAGGTATGGACTGTGATTTCATTTCAGGAGTAAGGTGAAATTAGTTGATGTCTTAGATGGGAGGAAGACATATCGTTGGCTCTTGAGATTTGTTTTTCTTTTAGAGAAAAGAAGGACCATTTGCTGCAGGAAAAACATCTGAAACAAAAGGGAATGACAAAGTTATTAAGTGGAGCCTTCTAATTATGGGCCTCAAGCTGTGTAACTTTATTTGAGAGCACAGAAATAATTTTAAACACACTTTTTTTTTTGGTTCCTGTACTTTACCGTTAATTGATTCCAATAAAAAGTCTAGCTCCAAATCCCTGATTTCAGAAGTAATTTCAAACTGAGACATTACCATCCCATAAAAGAGTACTATAAACACATGGGTTTCTAAATAGGAGCAAAATGTTTTCACTTAGATGATAACATAGTACAGTTTCTCTTAGAAAAGAGAAATTCATATTACATCTTCAGTATCTATATATACAAAGTTAGCGTCTAAATGGTAAAGGAAATCTATTTATTAAAGCTTATCACTGTCAATAGTGAAACTGGATAATAAAATTAATAATAAAAATAAAGCAGCATTGTGCAACCCCTATGCTTTTTGCAATCCTTTCATTTATTTGTGCCTTTAAAAAAATCCAAAGGTGGTTCAGAACTCAATATATCCCTACCTGACCCCAATCATTTTCTCTGTCATCAGCTTTTAATCTAAATATTGTTGTCTCATGTGTATTCCTATTCATTTTTCACGTAGTGATAAATTTCTGGATTGCAAATTGCATATGTCTATCCTATGCCTAATTCTGGAATCATGTTCAGATATTTCCAACCACCTTACTGTCTGACACTATTGGACTTAGCCTGTATTTTCTATTGTAATTTTGTGACCCATAAAGCTTAGTATCTTTCCTGTCAAGAAGGCCTCCTAGATCTCCTTGGGTGGAATTTGGTCCCATTTCTGTGCTCCCGCAATGCCCTGGGCATCTGTCTCTGTCACCAGACTTAATGGACTCATTGGTTTATAATAACTGATTTATATTATGTCTCCCGCATGGGATTGTATGCTGTTGAGAATGGGCTCTCTACACCTCCAGCCTATTGCTATAAACATTGTGCTTAATGCTAAATAGACAATAAACATTGGCTTTTGTGCCCAGCCAAACTAATGCCTTTCTCTGAAAACCTGGAGGTCCATTTAAAGACAGTCTTTCATTATGTTAGTGCTTCTTGCTGCATTCCTGTGGAGCAACTTAAAATTCTTGTTTTCAAATCCTTTCCCTTGTTTTTAGCGACAGTCAGCTTCCACTCCCAGCCTAGAGTGATGGTAGTTTAGGAGAGATTTTGTAGTCCAGGCTGTGCCTTCTGTTCACATTCTCTTGCTTTTTAGAGGCTTTCCATGCAATGTCTTCATTCCCTTGGAGCCTCTTTTGTGTAGATTCTGTCCTTGGAGATTGTCATCTGGATGCAGTGGGAAGACCCCTAAGAATTTTACTTATGCAGTTGTTAAAAATGCCTTCCTGTTCCTAGTGAGCACATGAGGCTGAGCACGTTGGTATTGGCACCAAGTACTAAACAGAAGTCAATAACCAGCTCAGAGCTCATCTCACAAGACCTCATTGCATTTTTTGGTGAGAATTAAGTAAAAAGCAAGATTTAGCCACATTTTAGTTATTGCTGGATTGTTTGGGAGGAGCCTGGCCTCCCAGAGTTTGTTGGGGAAAAATATCAACACTGTGACCAACATGAAGAGCACCTAAATGATTCCTCCTCTTCCTCCTCCTCCATATCATCACCATCATCATCATCATCATCACCACCACCACCACCACCACCACCATTATTATCAGCATCAAATCCACTCAGAATTAAGTGGAACAACAAAGGAGTAAGGGAATGTGACTTTATTTCAGGGAATTTGAGACCAGGTACTTCCAGAGCATTAGGACCGCAGACAGGATTTTTTTTTTTTTTTTCTTTGAGATGGAGTTTTGCTCTTGTTACCCAGGCTGGAGTGCAATGGCGCGATCTTGGCTCACCACAACCTCTGCCTCCCGGGCTCAAGTGATTCTCCTGCCTCAGCCTCCTGAGTAGCTGGGATTACTGGCATGAGCCACCACTCCCGGCTAATTTTGTATTTTTAGTAGAGACGGGGTTTCTCCATGTTGGTCAGGCTGGTCTCGAACTCCTGACCTCAGGTGATCCGCCCACAGCCTCTTAAAGTGCTGGGATTACAGGCGTGAGCCACCATGCCAGCAGGATTCTTCGGAATACAATATTGGTATTTTTGAGAGAAGAAAATATTGATCTTTAAAAAAATGATTTTCCCGAAGTTTAAAATTTTAACTTCTGAGGCTCAAGTTTCCTAGTTCTGGGTCTTAACTTTGAGGCATTATTTGGAAAGTGAACACTCGAGTTGCCATAGTAGGTCATAATCCTTCAATGTGGCTGAATGTGTCCATCTGGAAGCCATCCAACTGCAGGTGTCTAGCATGTATATATATCATTTCCCTGCTATGTTCGGCTGCAGCCAAATGCTAGGAGAATACCCCCTTGGTGGGACTTTGGAATTTCATGGTATTTATTACTAAAGCTTCTCTAAGATTCTCATTTCTTGTTCAACTTATGTCAGGTAGCTGTAAATATGTTGGTTTGGTTGCCAATATTCAATACCAGTAACCAAGAAAACATAAATAAAATGCAGTTAAGCTTTGTTACTTGTTAGCAGAAAATGCAACAAGGCCTTGTGAGATGAGCTCTGAGCTGGTTATTGACTTCTGTTCAGTACTTGGTACCAGTGATTCCCTGAGTTGCCAAGCTTGCTGTAATAGTGAACGTTATTCATTTTCAGACAATAGGGCCAGTGATAGAATGCTTACCAGCCAAACACAGAGAATAACAAACCTTTGTTCTGGACAATGTCTAGAAACTGATCTAATGGGCAGGCCTTAACAACAGCTAAAATTTTTGTGGGTAGTAGAAAAACATAAATTTTTGGAGTTGGACTTGGCTTTGCAACTTAACTAGTAACATGATACTGGACAAGTAATTTAACTTCTTTAGGCCTCAATTTCCTTATCCATGAAATGGAGATAATAAGACCTTAGCTTTCGGGGTGTTAAAAGATTGAAAGATAACATAGGCAATTTTCCCAACATTATATCTGTCACATTACGTTGCGACCAACAAATGGTATTTTTAGATGCTGTTATTACTTCATTTTCTAAAATCCAGGACAATGTTGATTATTAATTCCCCATTAACTTAGTGAAATCTCTTTTCAGGATAAAACAGACAACAAAAATTTTTAAATCTAGGAAAATCCTATTATCACATTAAATAAACACATCCAATGCAAGAAGGACAAAAAATTTCTTTTAGAGTTGAAAATTACAGTATTAAGTGTGGCTCCTTCCTACTGTCATTGTTAAATAACCTTTGGAGATACTGCCTCACCATCCATAAATATGGGGGATTTTAGTCTTCGTGTCATCAGTTGTGGTCCATTTACAATGAATGAACTTTGCCATAAGCACCAGGCCCATTTCTTATATTCATACTATCCCAGTAGGTTTGTGATAGAAACAAGTTTGACAGTGATGACAGTATGACTTTGGTGGAGCACACTGGGAAGAACACCTGATTGAAGAAAATAAAATAGAAAGAAAAATTCAAAGAACAGAATAGTGAACTTAAAAGGAATGAGAAGGAAAATTTAAACAGAAACAAGACCAATGCAGAAATAAACAAATAATTTCAAATATAGTCAACTGAGGCCAGGCACAGTGGCTCACACATGTAATTCCAGCACTTTGGGAGGCCAAGGTGGGCAGATCACTTGAGATCAGGAATTCAGACCATCCTGGCCAACATGGTGAAACCCCATCTCTACTAAAAATACAAAAATTAGCTGGGCATGATGGTGCGTGCCTGTAATCCCAGGTACTCGGAAGGCTGAGGTAGGAGAATTGCTTGAAAGTGGGGGGCAGAGGTTGAAGTGAGCCAAGATCACACCACTGCACTCCAGCCTGGGTGACAGAGCAAGACTCGGTTAATGAGAGCACTGGAGAGTGTGAGTGGTGGGGCAGAGATGCAGAAAGCCTAGTGGGGAAGGTGGGGATCATAGGAAAGGTGGCTCTGGTGGTAGTTACCAGAATGTAATATTTTGGATCAAGTCAAAGGATGGGAGAGAAATGATTTTCTTGAGACTGAGTCTCTCTATGTTGCCCAGGCAGGAGTGCAGTAGCAGGATCTCGACTCCCTGCAACCTCCACCTCCCAGGTTCAGGCGATTCTCCTGCCTCAGCCTCCCAAGCAGCTGGGATTACAGGCATGTGCCACCACGCCTGGCTACTTCTTGTATTTTTATTAGAGATGGGGTTTCACCATGTTGGCCAGGCTGGTCTCGAACTCCTGACCTCAAGTGATCCACCCGCCACAGCCTCCCAAAGTGCTGGGATTACAGGCGTGAGCCACCGTGCCTGGCCCATATCTGGATTTTTAAAAGATTCTTTCAGCTGCAGAATGGAGAATAGATTGTAGTAAAGACCTATACTGTGGATGGGGAAACCAGTTAGTAATTGGTTAAAATCATTCAGGCAAGAGATGATGGTTGTCTAAACCAGCATGTGTCCATGGAGAAGGGAAAGAAGTGGTTGGTGGCAGAATTTCTTTTGAAAATAGATTCAGAAAGATTTACTGATCCATTGTCTATGGGGAATGATCAGAATCAAGGATAATTCCCAGATTTCTAGCTAGATATTTGGTTGGCTGATGGTGCCATTCCCCTGCGATTGAGAAATTGAGAGTGGAGGGGAGGAGAAACAAGTTTGTGGGAGGAAAATGATGAGTTCACTTTGGCAGTATTGATTTAGAGATGCCTGAGATTCCAAGGAGAAATTTTGTTTTAAATGATTTCCCTTGATCATATCAAGGGGAAATTTTGAGTTAACTTCTAGATATCCATTACGGACTTCTGAGTTAAGACCTGGGCATCTTTAAGTGCTAAGAATTAGCAGGAAAAAAAATATTGGAGGAAGAGGCAGAAGAGTGAGAAGTTAATTCACGTAACGTGGTCCCTGGGAGGACAAGAGTAAGGGATCCATGCACAGGTGGAGGGATTGACCTTGGATAAAGAAGAGGGCCACTTCTTTCAATGCAATAGCAGGAGAGACCCCCCAAAAAGGGCATCCATGTGGGTAAATTTCTCATTTTTATGGAAGGAAATCAAGGAAGTTTCTGTCTGGCAACTTCCATTTACTCTAAAAAGGAGACACGGTCATCTGCCAGAAGGTATGATGGATACCATTCTGACGTTTATCGAGAGGAGAAAATGTACAAAAGCCATTGTGAAAAGAGAAGAAAGGAACCAGAATTATCAGGATTATTTCTGTCAAGAGTAGAAGGCTGATGTTTTTCTTCTCCTGGAGGTATTTGTTTGTTTTTTATTGTTGTTGTTTTTGAGAGGAAGTTTAGTGTTCCTTGCTTTTTGGGCTATTGTATCATCTACCCATGTCATGTTTCTAAAATTACTTCAGATAACTTCTGGAACAATGTTTGTGGCAAATCTCCCCTGCATTCAAGAAGCAATTATGAGTTTCTATTGTTATGGTCTAGTTACACTTTCCATAAGTCTGAGCCTCAGAACTAAAGCAAGGCTGGCATTTGTTAGGTGGTGTCCTCACAAGGGCACAGATCCTAGCTCCCATTTCACCTAGGTTTGCTTGATATGGTGAAGAGGACGTTAAGATACCATTGGAAATGAAATAATAAGAAAATCAGGCAGGGTGTGGTGGCTCATGCGTGTAATCCCAGCACTTGGGGAGGCTGAGGTGGGTGGATCACTTGACGTCAGGAGTTCGAGACCAGCCTGGCCGACATGGGGAAATGTCCGTTTCTACTAAAAATACAAAAATTAGCCAGGTGTGGTGGCACATGCTTGTAATCACAGCTACTTGGGAGGCTGAGGTGGGAGAATCACTTGAGCCTGGGAGGCGGAGGTTGCAGTGAGCTGAGATCATGCCACTGCACTCCAGCCTGGGCAACAGAGCAAGACCATCTCAAAAAAAAAAAATCCAGATATGATCATGCCATTCTCCTTTCAAACAATGGCTTCCCGTTGCCCTTTGGATAAAGGATATACTCCTTACTAAAGCTTACAATACTGTCATGAGCTACTTCCACTGACGTTTTAGTCTCATCTCTTGCCATAACACTTTAGTCATTGTAAATGTCTTTTCGATTTCTCATAATTGAAAAGACTTCATCTTCATTACTAAGCTAAAACTCCTCAGGCTTCTAGACTAAATTAGTGCCCCTCCCTACCTGCTCTGTGCTCCATAAGATATTTTATTGTCATTGTTCCTTTAATTCTTTGCTAGACTATAGAGGCAAGGATTGTATCTGTCTTGCTTATCCATTTATCCTTCACTTCCCCGACACCAACCCCTTCTACCAGCCACTCTAGTATTCTGTTCGGTGTCTGGTGTCTAGTAGATCCTCAGTAAGTATTTATCAAATAAATTAATTGTCTTTCAGAGTTTTTATTATTTCATTTACTAACCTCAATCTTAATTCTCCTATGGAGTATCAGGTAATATAATCACAGCACTTTAAAAAAAAATCTCATGTCTGTGGTGATAAAGAGAAATTAAGTTTGCATATTTCCAGAACAATGAATGCTGACATCTTTGGCATTAATCTTTAAGACTTCAAGGTTTGTAACAATTAACACTTGTATTCATGAAGGATTAGTCATTTAGAGAAACCTCTTTGTCTCCATATGGAGGTCATATGAATGTAAAGATATTTATGTAGTCATTTATGCATAAAGATAATAACTGCCATTGGCAGGGAAGGATCTTCAAGAAATTCTTTTATCTTGGAATAGAGACAATGTGATAGACAAGACAATTGTTGAAAGTTCTAATATGGCCAACATCATTTCAAAACGATTTGTTGAATACTTACTAGTTACAATATTTCACCTTATAAATCCTACAATTCTAGAGCCAAGAGAAAGCTTCCCTGTCATTTTGGCATACTTCCTAGATACCGTCTGGGAATTTAGTCTACAACATCTCTGACAGTCATGACCTAACTTTGGCTTGAGAACCTTTGAGAATTGGAGTCCCTTGCTGGTGAGGCTGCTTGGCCCCCTAATAGGTGCTCCAGTGTCATCGTATTTTTTCTTCGAATATCTTTTCTCTTCTCTAAATGAACACCTCTCTCCCTTTCGCTTCTACAAATTGGTCCTCTACTTCAGGCCTCAACTTAAAAGACTTTTAATATGGGAGGGGAAGAAGTAGTGCAGGTAAAAGGAGACCCTTTCCCTGAGCACTCAGCGTTCTGCAGGCTCCGTGATGGATTCACTTTATGTGACCTCACTAACTCCTTAAACAGTCTAGTAAAGTACGCAGCATTATGGAATTTTACTCAGAGATAAGTCAGACTTTCCCCATTCAGTTACCTAATGTTGAAACCCGATTTTTTTTAATGGAGAGGTTCTGAGTCAAGAGCCTGGTATGCTCATTTATATCTGTTAATGAACAGTTACATGGAATTGGCTACCTTTTATTATTTCTAAAATTGGGAGCACTGTTCTTAGTGTCCTAGGCAACCTCAGAAGGATGTTTTTTGACAATAGAGGCTTCACAAGTCATGTTAATGAACGTCCTTTTGCTACAAGAACATATTGTAGCCTTTGAAATCACACCCAACAAAACTCTATTGCCCTTTAAAAATAACACTTTTCTTTTAGAAATAATTCAAACCCTGGGAGAAATTTGGCTTATTGTGTCCCTTTCAGACTTGGGAGAAAATGTATATGCTGGAGAACAATAATTTTCATGGCCGCCAGAGAGTACCTATCAACACCACAGCAAGTCCTAAACAAACAGCAAGTTCTTAAGGCCCCATTGGGAGACTAAACAACCTGCTCTAAAATAACATTGACATTCATGTTGAGACAATCAGTAGTGATTTAGGGTCAGAGTTTAGTGATCATGACCACAGACTGTTTTAAGGATTTACTAACATTTCAAAGTCAATGTTTGGAAATTCTTAATGAGTAATCCACTGATATATTTGCATGAAACAGTAGTTTATACTATGTGTATAGAACTTGGTTTTGTTGCATATGTGGGTTTTTAATAGGCTGCAAAAAGCTTACTTGATTTAAAAAAAAATTGTCTTACCAAATAACTATTTTGAATATTTGCCCTTGTTAATTGATGTTGTGGGTGAAGTTTAGACAAAATCTCAAATACCACCTATAACTCAAAGTTTTTGAAAATGCTTTAACACAATGTGGATTCTTTGGGGTTATCATGATCTAATTCTATATGGGGGTTTCTTTCTGTTCTTTTGTCAGGTTCTCCAAAATACTTATCATTCAGGTTGAATAAACCAGTTCTACAGACTGCTTCTTCCATGCATTTCCCAATGATGCTAGCTGCCCTTAAAATTCTTTCAGATTTGGAACTGTATCTGTATGGAAACAACAGGTAAGTATTTCTTTAAATTGTCATAAATTATGTAAGAATTCTAATAAAAATTAAATATGCCTAGAGAAACTAAAAGAAACGTGCTATGATGTTAATAGGAGTTATCTTTGTATGATGAGATTAGGGATAACTTTTTCCTTAATGTCCTGTTTTAAATAATAAGTGTATATTGCTTTTGTGATAAAGAAGCCTTATTCTGAAAAAGGTAGTTGTAGACACAATAATGTCCACACATAGGAAATGAGATCTCAGGTAAATGTGCAGGTGACAGAAGGTGGAGCAGAGACTCAGACACATCTACTGATTGCAGAAACAGATTGTAACCTGATAGCCCGGCCCACCTGGCCCGTCGTGTGCCAGTTTCTTTGCAGATCAGAAATATAACCCTAAACGTGGTGATGAGTCTTTGGTTCCAGGTTATCTCTAACCCCTTATGGGGATGTGAACACCTTCCCCAGACAGCTCAGCTGAGTAATTTTGGTTTTGAATTGAGAAACCAGTTTAGTCTAGGCCTATTTGTTCTAAGTAATATGTCTACTCTTCCGTGAGTAACAGGCTAAAAAAAAATGTCTGTATACACATGAAGGTAATCAAACTTGTTAATTGTTCAATCTTGACTTTTAAGGGTACTGATAGAGTTTACATTAGAGGAATCAGAGAAGTTCTGCCCCAGAATGTCTTGGAAAAGGCAAGTTCTAATGATGAATATAGGCAGATTCTATTAAGTTTAGAAAACTGGCAGAAATTTTTGTCCCAGTGATGTTTACTTAAAGCTGATTTAGTAAACAAACTTCAAAAAGTCTCTTAAAAATGTATGGTATCTATACACACTCACATAAATATACTCATATTCAATGACAAACCTCTGACAAGTTTCATGATATTCATTTCCTCACCCATTAATCCACTCGTTTATTAATTTAGTGAATAATTTTTGAGTATCTTTTATGTGAGAAGCAAAACCTTAGGTGTTAAGGTGTATACCAGAGAACAAACACAAAAATCCCTACAATCTTGGAGCTTATGTTTATGACACTATAGAGATTTAAAAACAAATAAACAAGTAAAATATATAGTTTGTCAGATGGTGTTAAGTGTAATGAAGAAAAATAAATCCAGGAAAGGCAGTAGGACATGCCAAGTGAGAGGTGGGTGAGAGCTGAGAGGTGCGTTGTTTTAAATAGGTCAGGAAAGGCCTTACAGATAAGGTAACTTTGTTAAAAGATATAAAAAAGTTAGTTCCAGATGACTTTAATAATCTGCTTTCACAAATCATTTCAGCAGCAGAATTGGGAAAGCGTTTGATCCAGCGTTTCTGCTGTTTTTATTGAACACTTGAAATAACCCTTTATTTTATGTTCTAAGAGTGGTACCTTCAGCACAAGAATCTGGTTCTTTCACAGAATTAATAGAGGGCAAACATTTTTTCCCCAGAGTTATGTGCCTGGTGAACAGACTCATTCCAATGTCACTCCAGTGGTCTCACTGAACTAATACAACCATACATATGGACATTAGGTATTTTTTCCTATTCATTCACATGTTTGTTTTCTGAAGTTGACTATGAGCCTGTTGAAGGTAAGAATGGGACAATGATTTGTTCATCTTGGCAGCCTCAATGCCTAACCAAGTTCCTGGCATAGGTCAGGTGCTCAATGATTGCCAGTTGAATAAATAAAGTTCAAGAGTAAAATAGACATTGACTTTAAACAGCTCACGAGATGAATCCTCAATGGCTGCATTTACCTACTAAAATGTCTAAAGTGGATAAATGTCTTACAACATGACAGCCTCCCTCCTGCTCCAAGTCCTATGGGGACCTGGCATCAAGGACCTGCTCTGTAAAATAAAGTGATAATGTCTATCCAGCAGCGATGCTTTTGAGTATAAGCAACTATAAGAGGCTATTGCCAATCACGTTTTCCCCATGACAGTGCTGGCAAGTGGGATAGCTCTCATCCTCACATTTTCCTTCTGTCTCTGTAACAGATAATCTGTCTTACATCTTCTTTCTGAGATGATGTGGAGGAGTGATACCCTTTACACTAGATTAGCAGGCAAAACTATGATGGTTTGTGATATCCATGCTTGTAGAAGTAATAAGAAGAAAGGGAACACAGAAGCTTTATTTTATAGTGGAGTCCTGACTCTAGGCC
Source organism: Homo sapiens (assembly GCF_000001405.40). Classification (NCBI taxonomy): domain Eukaryota; kingdom Metazoa; phylum Chordata; class Mammalia; order Primates; family Hominidae; genus Homo; species Homo sapiens. The sequence goes on from NC_000002.12 coordinate 33,513,999, forward strand.
TTAATAATTGCATGGTTTTGGGTAAGTTGCTAAATCACTGTGAATCCCATCACCTCATCTGTAAACTGGGAATAATAATTACTACCTTACAGCATTGTTGTGAAGGTCAAGTTCAATAATATATGCAAAGCATTCGGAATGGTGCATAGTACATAATGTGGGTGTTCAATAAATTAACAGTAGTATTTTTACCACTGCAGAGAATAATCTTACTCTCAGGCAAGTAGAATCTGTTACAGTTGTTGAATATTTATGTAATCATTGAGGATGTTTATAAATATATTTGCTTCTAAAAATTTTTTCCTTACATATTCTTTTATTAATATTAAACCAAGTAACATTTATAATATTCTTGAATATCTTATCACTTAAGAACATGAGGAAAGGTGGCCGGGCACAGTGGCTCACACCTGTAGTCCTAGCACTTTGAAAGGCTGAGGTAGGTAGATTGCTTGAACTCAGGAGTTTGAGACCAGCCTGGGCAACATGGTAAAACCCCATCTCTACAAAAAAAAAAAAAAAAAAAAAACCCAAAAAATAGCCAGGAGTGGTGGTGTGTGTCTGTAGTCCCAGCTACTTGGGGGTCAGAAGTGGGAGAATTGCTTGAACCCGGGAGGTCGAGGCTGCTGTGAGCCGAGATCGCACTACTGCACTCCTGTACTCCAGCCTGGGTGACAAAGTGAGACTCTGTCTCAAAAACAAGAACAAAAACAATCAAAAAAAAGGATATAAGGAAAGTATAAAACATTGCATTAAAAAATTTCAGCAGTGAAGTGGGATGGTATATAACAGGGAACATTTCCATGGTCTCCAAGCAGCATCCATCCCCGAGAACAGCTTAGCAGGTATTTTGGCATCATAAAAGGTTGATGTAATCTCAGTCACTATGATACTTTTCTTGTACAAAGATACAGTCTATGGAAGTCATTATCTTTTCAGGTAGGAAAGTGATGCTCTAGTGGGGTCTGAACTCTAGTCTAATAACTTTCTCTCTTTTTTCTTTTTTTTTAGAGTTTTCTTGAAGTACAACTAAGGACAGGTCACCACTAGGCACTAACATCGCTGACTTGCATGATTATGGAGATGGTCTATCTGATGCTGAAAATGTCTCTAGTTTTTTGACAACGGCTAAATAACCATGGGATCAAGTGGCCTTGGGAAAGCAGCAACATTAGATGAACTGCTGTGCACTTGCATTGAGATGTTTGGTACGAGCCTTTTCTCCTTTCATCTCTTTTGGATCTCTCGATGCTCTCACTTTCCTCTATTCAGAGGCAAGTTGCTTGTAGAACAGAGTTCAGTCTCTGTACCTTGGTATTTAAGGCCTTTCGGATGGACCCGGGTCTGTCTCTCCAGTTTCACTGCCCTCCATATTTCTTTCCCTTTACTGCCCACAGCTCATACCCCAGTCAAACTGTCTACTTAATGTTTCTGGAACATTCTCTGCACCTTTCTACCACCATCCATTGGTCATATTCCCTTCACTGAAATTCTGCTTCAGGGCCCTCTCAGATGTTCATAGTACCATTCCTAGTCTTCTTGGTCAGGAATGCTGCTTGCCTCTTCCCCCATCCCATATCCCATTGTAATTCCTTATAGCACATGGCATATGCCTCTGTAATTGTTTCTTGGTCTTTTGACTCAGTCTTTTGACTCAGACGAATGTGAGTAGCACAATTGACTACATTCTACATTCATACACGTCATATCTGCTACTAGATTATACACTTTTCAGCTGTATGCTCCTTGTGTTGTTGTTTTCATATCCACCTCAGCATTTTGGGTTATCCGTTGCACAAAGAAAGTCAACCCACATGGGAGTAGTTATTTATTAAATTGATTACTATAGAAACCAGAGTTAAACCAGTGCAGGGTTGCCAGATAAAATACAGGATGACCAGTTACATTTGAATTTCTGACAATCATTTTTAGTGTTAGTATGACCTAAATAATGCCTGGGACATACTTACAATACAGAAATTTATCATTGTTTCTCTTAAATTCAAATTTAACTGATTGTCCTGAATTTTACTAAAACTGTCAACTGTAGACCAGAGGAAGGGTAAGACCCACCCACCTTTACTTGCAAGGAAATACTAGCCGAAGTAGGAGGTAAAAGATCACTGGTCGGCCAGGCGCAGTGGCTCACGCCTGTAATCCCAGCACTTTGGGAGGCTGAGGTGGGCGGATCATGAGGTCAGGAGTTCAAGACCAGCCTGACCAATATGGTGAAACCCCGTCTCTACTAAAAATAGAAAAATTTGCCAGGCGTGGTGGCAGGCGCCTGTAGTCCCAGCTACTCAGGAGGCTGAAGCAGGAAAATGTTTGAACCCGGGAGGTGGAGGTTGCAGTGAGCCGAGATCATGCCAGTGCACTCCAGCCTGGGTGACAGAGCAAGACTCCATCTTAAAAAGAAATAAAATAAAAGATCATTTGTCTATGAAAAGTTTTTGACATATGACACTACTGCGTCTCTACTGATGTTAGAAAAAGTAAAGAATAGCACTATTATCTCCTCACTTCTTGTTTTATTTTTCTAACAGATGACAATGGAGAGCTGGATAATAGTTATTTGCCAAGAATAGTTCTACTGATGCACCGATGGTATTTATCTTCCACTGAATTGGCAGAAAAACTTCTCTGCATATATCTTTTCAACTACTGTGTAATTTTTACAATCATAAATCAAGCTCTGTATTTAGATAGAGTGTCTATCCAAAGCCAGTAAATTAAGATGAATAAATAGTCTTTGGTTATCCAGCTGTTTTGTGAATATATATAGATGTCTAGACAAAACACATCTGGATGATAGACCAGATAGTTGACTCTCCATCTGGATGTTTTGGCTGTACTTGAAAATAATCACTAAGATGTAAAATGAAGCAGGAACTGTAGGCTGGATGTTTCTAACTTGTCTTAAACATTTCTGTTATTAGAACAATGAGAGAATATTTAACAATGATTCAAGACCAAATTTGTTTCTTCTGGGATGGCAAAATGGTGGGCATAGAGGACGCAGCTTAATCATATGGAAATACAGCCAAAATAATATGCTCTTACTTGGGCACAAACATCAATTTAGTTTTCACATCTCCCCTTGCTGCCAAGACACAATGAACATTCTAGCAGACTTATTATAATTTGTTGACTGATACTAATTTTAGATTTTCTTCTGAAATGAAAACAAAAAAATCCCACATGGTTAGAAACACCATTCCGTAATGAAGGCTTTTAGCAGTCTACCAGTTCTCTACATAATGCAGTCCAGAAAAGTGGTTGAAAGCCAAATGACTGAAAATGCAGTCTCCCATTTGTAAAAGGTTCTATTCCCTGAGAGCCAATGCTTTTATTATACAATCTCTAATGTCAGTGCCTGCAGTCTCTGCCTTCTTCAAGCCCATGAGGCCCTGGAGATGAGTGAGAACCCCTACAGGGAGGGGGAGCCTTAGAGAGAGAGGCACAGCCTTAGAGGGAGAGGCACCATCAAGTGTTATTAGGGCCTGCCAAGGCTTCTGGAGCCAGTAGGGTGTCCACCTGTTCAGTTCAAGCTTCCTCCACTTTCTACTTCTTCTCTTCATCCTCCTCACAACCTCAGAGCAGAAAAGGATATTAGACAGTCTATAAGGTCTGTGGAAGTGAGCAAGATCCTAGCTCCCAGTGGTCCAAGGGTCATATGACTCCACTGTTGAGGTGTAGAAAATAGGTAAGGATGGAGGGCATTGACTCAGTCTGGCCATATTCCTGACAACCTAGACATTGTCCAAAGAATGTACCCACCAACAGCATTCTCACCCTTAGCATGGCCACCAATGCATGAAACACAAATAAAAAGGGATATTTAGGCATAGTAACGTTTAATGTGGAAAGTTGAAGACTGCCTGTGAATCGACATTTCTATAAACTTTCCTCCCTTTGGATTCCTTGCTCATGCTATATCCACAGTGCCTGGCATATACACAAGCTCAATAAATATTTGTTAAAAAGAATATGAATAAATACGCTTACAAGTAAATAACACAACTTGAGTATTAATATACCTGAAAATGACATTTTCAAATATTAAAGAAGAAATTAGAGTACCCATACAGTTACACATAACATAACGACGGGGATACATTCTAAGAAATTCATCATTCGATGATTTCATGATTGTGCAAACATCATAGAGTGCACTCACACAAGCCTAGATGCTGTAGCCTACTACACACCTAGGCTATATGATACAGCCTATTGGTCCTGGACTACAAACCTGTACAGCATGTCGCTGTACTGAATTCTATAGGCAACTGTAACACAATGGTGGGTATTTGTGTATCTAAACATAGAAAAGGTGCAGTAAAAATATGGTATAAAAGATAAAAAGTGGTACACCTGTATAGGGTGCTTATCATGAATGGAGCTTGCAAGACTGGAAGCCGCTCAGGGTGAGTCAGTGAGTGAGTGGAGAGTGAATGTGAAGGCCTAGGACATTAGTGTACAATATTGTAGACTTTATAGACACTATACACTTAGGCTACACCAAATTATAAAAATATTTTTCTTTCCTCAATAATAAATTAACCTTAGCTTACTGTAACTTTTATACTTTATAAACCTTTAAAAACTTTTTAGTCCTTTTGTAATATACACCTTAAAACACAAATATATTGCACTGCTGTAAAAAATATTTTCTTTCTTAATATCTTTATTCTACAAACTTACTCTATTTAAATTTTTTTTTTTACTTTTTAAACTTTTTTCGTTAAAAGCAAAGACAGAAACACACGCATTAGCCTAGGTTTAGGTTTACACAGGCTCAGGATCATCAATATCACTGTCTTCCACCTCTATCTCTTGTTCCCCTGGAAGGTGTCTGCAAGAGCAGTAACAGGCATGGAGCTGGTCATCTCCTATGATAACAATCCCTTCTTCTGGAATAGGTCCTGAAGAACCTGCTGAGGCTGTTTTACAGTTAACTTTTTAATTTTTTAAGTAAAAGGAGTACTCTAAAATTACAACAAAAATAATATAGTAAATACATAAACCAATAACAGTCATTTATTCTCAAGTATCATATACTATACATAACTGTGCACACTAGACTTTTATATGACTCACACAACAGCAGGTTTGTTTACACCACCATCACTACAAACACATGAGTAATGCATTGGGTTACAACATTATGCTGGCTACCATGTCACCAGGCAATAGGAATTTTTCAATCCCACTATAATCTTATTGGACCACTGTCACATATGCAGTCCTTCATTGACTGAAACGTTGTTATGTGGTGCATAACTGTATAAGGCATTAATCCTAAATACAAAATCTTTTTGGTTAAAATAGTGTTTCTCGGCCAGGCGCGGTGGCTCACACCTGTAATCCCAGCACTTTGGGAGGCCGAGGTGGGCGGATCACAAGGTCAGGAGATCAAGACCATCCTGGCTAACACGGCGAAACCCCGTCTCTACTAAAAATACAAAAAATTAGCCAGGCATGTTGGCGGGTTCCCACTACTAGGGAGGCTGAGGCAGGAGAGTGGTGTGAACCCGGGAGGCAGAGCTTGCAGTGAACCGAGATCGTGCCACTGCACTCCAGCCTGGGCAACAGAGCGAGACTCCATCTCAAAACAATGTAGTGTTTCTCTGTACTACCAACTTTAATTATGTATAGTTGCCAGACTATTTGTAATTACAGTTGGCAGTTATTGGTTAATAAGTGTGGAGGAAGGCAAAACTAATCCTGTAAGTGGCTTCTTCTTCAGACCAAAAAAATGCATTCCAGAGCTATAATAAATCAAGTTTCAATTGTTCAGTGTGGAAGTCATCAGAGGCCACTTCTCTCCGTATTTGAGTGTCTATATAACCCCAGCATGGTCCTCTTATTAGGAATTGGTATACATTGAGGGCACAGCTGCAGGGGTGTGCAAAGGAAAGGAGGTGCAAGGATTTTTTTTCTTTAACTGGTTTACGTATCGAAATGCCACTGGAGAAAGCTGCAATGAATTTCGATTAAAGATCTGCTACTTCATGAGGTAAATATATTTACAAATTTAATTTCTTGTAGTTTCTGGTTCTGGAATCGTGGACAATTTCCTTTTCCCCAAGCTGCAGACCTAGTTTGACAACAGACTCTACTCTGATACCCCTCCCACCAACTTTGTTAAAATTGGCTCTCCTCTGTTGGGTGGGGTGGGGGGAACTATCTTTTGGACTAGAGATCAAGTAGTAGTAAATGTGATTACGGAATGAAACTAGCTCTTAGAAAGGGTGGATTTATTTTCTTCTATTCCCTCACCACACCCATTCCCATCTACTCACCATGAATTGAAGGAAGGGTTTCCTCTCAACTGAAAGAGAGGCTATGAGTGGGAGCGGTTTTAGATTGAAGGAGGGCAGAGAGAGGCTCCATGTGATGGATGGGGTTTTGGAGACAGGAGATGGCTAATTTGAAGTGTGGTCCTGGATGGTCCTGGACTTGGTGTTAAATGTAGTCTGTAAAACGGTACAATCGTTTCCATAGATAACCAACTTGCAATCTTCCAGCTGCCAAAAATATTTGATGCCTTTCAGGTACTGGATTCTGAAGTTTCCTGCAGAGTTTAATTTGGATCTTGGTTTGATTCGTATGACTGAGGAATTTCGGGAAGTAGCTAGTCAACTAGGATATGAAAAACACGTCAGCCTCATCGACATATCCAGCATGTAAGAGTGGCACCGACGTCTTTCACACCCAATAAGTCCACCACTTAGGGGAGGAAGTAGTGATCACCCCACTTGTTCTGAGTCCATCCCACTCCTGAATCCAGGTTTGCTTCTGTGAGGAAAGCCTTGCTGCAGTGAGCGCAAGCCGTATGGGACACAGCTCATCTCTCCAAGCTTCAGTTTTTTTTATTTGTAAAATGTGGACGATACCTTTCTCATGAGATTATTATGAACATTCAATAAGGACACAAGATAGCACATGAAAGGATTTGGCATGCAATAGATGCTCAGTGTTAGTTACTGAGTCTGAATCTACTTAATGTCTCTTACACCTTCACTGATTAAAGTGTGGTCTGCAGACCAGCAGCATTGGCGTTACCTGGGAGCTCATTAGGAATGCAGCCTCTAGGCCCCACCTTAAACCTGAATTGGAATCTGCACTTTAAAGATCCCCAAGTGATTCACATGCAAGCTTGAGAAGCTCTGTACCATGGTGCTGCTGAGGTTGGCCTCAGAACAACAGCCTTATGGTGGTTGACCATAGATGTGCCAGGAGCTGGTTAGCTCAGTTATTAGGTAACCGGTGCAATTAGGCCACTTTCATATCAACTAGGTAACTTTGCACAGGGAAGACTATTTGATGATCCTAAATATGGCTATCCATCTTGCAAATGTCTGTTCTTGTGTGTTACGTATTCATAGTCTACTCTGTTTTCCACTGTCGATTACTATTGAATACTTCTTCAATAGTAATCAATAGTGAATGATCCAGGAATTATAAGGGATGTTTGGTGAAAATACATATTATTCAGGATCATTCCTAATAAGTCAGAACCTCTGGCAGCGAGGCCCAGGCCTCTGTCTTTATAACAAGCTTTTCAGATAGTTCATGTTATACTAAAGTATGAGAACCACAGCTTCTAGTGGTTTCCATGTGTCTTAAATCACCACCTATATCCTGATAAACTCCCAAATTTATATACTAGCCCCGACCTTTCCTGTATGATCCAGACCTTGCCGGTCACAAAGACACTAAGTAAGAAATTCTGGATGGTTCAGTGCAAAACCTACCCTGTCTGGAAAAACAACTGCAAGTTTATGTTCTGTTGGCAACTGGTCAGTGGTTTTCTCTTCCAATATGAAAGACAGGGCATGTATTTTGCACAAGTCCCTGGAAGCAAGCCAAGAGTTGCAGAGTCAGTAGGTTAATAACTTCCATTGAGTGAAATGGGCTTTCAACACATTGACCGGACTCACTCTTCTTTTATAGTCCTTCCTATGACTGGATGAGAAGAGTCACACAGAGGAAAAAAGTATCCAAGAAGGGAAAAGCCTGTCTGCTGTTTGACCATCTGGAGCCCATTGAATTGGCTGAGCACCTCACTTTTCTGGAGCATAAATCTTTTAGAAGGATCTCAGTAAGAAACTTGACATTTATTCTTCCAAGGATAACAACCACCATGCCAACTTTCCCAAGAGCTGCATTTTCATACTCTGAAGTGTTGGCAGCTTCTATCACTGTGCTCTGCTGGAGAAGTGCCCTTAATTCACAGGAACAATCCCTTTTAACCAAAGATAAATATTATCCTGTCTTTATTTTATGGCTCAGGAGCTATATTTCTGTCGCTATTTTCAATGTCTCCTTTCATAGGATTAAAGCGTGATTTTTCTAAACAGTCAGTGGAGATTTAACCATTCAAGGTTGATTTAGCTCCATTGACTTCTCCCAAGTGAACATGTTTTGCTAGGCCCTTCGTTTTTGGGAAAAAATATTTAGTTAGGTTCGGATTTGTATAAATGGCTAATTATGGGTATAGGTTGAAAATAGGAATTGTAGACTTTAAGGAGAATCTCAACATCAGGTTGTTTCTTTCCCAGAGATAGAGATCCTGAATTAAACTTTTCTTTCCTACTCATCTTGATGGAGCCTCATTCCTTCTCTAACTCCCCCTTTTCTTTCTCTGGTCTGTGATTTCTTAGCCTCCTGCTCTCTCTCCTCCCGTTATGGTAAACATTTTCCACACTGGTTCACAATCAGCCAGCCACTTTGCTTTGTCTCGCCAAGCTGTGGGGAAGTCGCTCCTCCTCCTTTTCCAAGGTGTCAGAGAATGAATTACATTATTGCGTGCAAAGAAGACTGTCTTGGTTAGAAGCATGAATTTCTGAAAGACTGATTCTTTCACTAAGTAATCCTACTTGGAGAGGACCTTAACAATTCCCCACAGGCAGGCCATGGGAGTCCCCTGCACAGTTTATATGATAGAAAGCTCTTATGTATTTTTTGACATCCATGCTAACATTCTGAAAATGTGTTTGCCTTGCTAAAGAGCAGCCTTACTTCAATTAATTTTTTTTCTTCTGTCTTCTTTTTCTTGAAACAACTTTACAACTGATGCTAACTTGAAATAATTATATTTACGTTCATTTCCTCGTCTTTATTGTATACCGTTATATCTTTAACTTGCCTGATTGGAATCACCAGCAGTGTGTTAAAAATGGAGATTCTTGGCCGGGCGCGCCTTTAATCCCAGCACTTTGGGAGGCCAAGGTGGGCAGATCATGAGGTCAAGAGATCGAGACCTTCCTGGCCAACGTGGTGAAACCCCATCTCTACTAAAAATACTAAAAAATTTAGCCAGGTGTGGCAGCTTGCACCTGTAGTCCCAGCTACTCAGGAGGCTGAGGCAGGAGAATTGCTTGAACCTGGGAGGCGGAGATTGCAGTGAGCCGAGATCGCGCCACTGCACTCCAGCCTGGCAATAGAGCGACAGTCGGTTAAAAAAAAAAAAAAAAGGAGATTCTTAGGTTTTTCTTCTGAAGATAGTGATCATTTACACCTAGAGTGTTCCCAGGAACCAGCATTTTACCAAGTGCCACAGGTGAATCTTATCACCTAGTAAATTTTGAACTCATTGGAATACAACTTTGAATCTTGCCTCTTTCTCCTCCCACCAAAGCTGTGATGTGTAGTAGTGGGTGTCTTTGCGTGGGGTGAGTAGTGGGGTTTGAAAAGCAGCAAAATAACATTTTAAAGACACATGTATATTCAAACTTTTAGGATGCCATTGTAAATGTGAAATAAAAGAAATTGTGTTGTTACGAAACAATATCTCACCTTTTCTATGCAATATTCTAATTTTTGATTTTACAAAGGCTCTATTATAATTCAGAGTCTCTGAATCTTCCTTTCCTAGTTCACTGATTACCAAAGCTATGTCATCCATGGCTGCCTGGAGAATAATCCAACCTTGGAAAGATCGATTGCTTTATTTAATGGAATCTCTAAGTGGGTCCAGTTGATGGTTCTTAGCAAACCAACCCCCCAGCAAAGGGCAGAAGTCATCACAAAGTTTATCAATGTTGCAAAGGTATGTCTGGTAATCAGACTGGGTTCTTGAGTTCTAGATGTTCGTTCACTCTGTTGAGAAAAGTCATTGAGGAAATGTGGCGTTCACAGTATAAGGGCATCGGACAACTAAACTACTCGCTGATATCTAATGAACAAATCGTATTTTTGTCATGCAAGAAGATTGCTTTCAGAAAGCAATGCTTAGAAGCATTTAATGTAGCTATTTCTCTGTGAAATAATAGATATATTTCTCTGATTCTATTTGTGCTTCATTTTAAATTGATGTAATGTTTTCCTTAGCTTCTTGTTATTAAAATTGTGCATAAATTTACTTGTAATTCAGAAAGTTTAGAATAATTTGAAAATCCTTAAAAAGCATTGATGCATTTTTATTGCAGAAGCTCCTTCAGCTCAAAAATTTTAACACCCTGATGGCAGTGGTGGGAGGCCTCAGTCATAGTTCCATTTCACGCCTCAAAGAGACCCATTCTCATCTTTCTTCAGAAGTTACAAAGGTATAGTAGACTTGATCCTAATCAAAAGTAAAAAAATGCATTTGTAAATTGTTCAGGTTTAGTATACGCCTAACAAATGTCACTCAGAGTGGGAAAGTTTTCCTCTTAAACCAGTGGTAGGTTATAAATGGGGACAAAGTAGAAAGGGAATAACCACACCAGCTGAGTCCACCTGGAAAAACAGGTTGGAGGTGGTGGTAAGTGTCCTAGGAAGAATGCTTTGACATACCATTAGAATACTGTAGTGGTGGCCGGGCACGGTGGCTCACACCTGTAATCCCAGTACTTTGGGAGGCTGAGGCGGGCGGATCACAAGGTCAGGAGATCTATACCATCCTGGCTAACGTGGTGAAACCCCGTCTCTACTAAAAATACAAAAAAAATTAGCCGGGTGTGGTGGCAGGCACCTGTAGTCCCAGTTACTGGGGAGGCTGAGGCAGGAGAATGGCATGAACCTGGGAGGCAGAGCTTGCAGTGAGCCGAGATCACCCCACTGCACTCCAACCTGGGCGATAGAGCGAGACTCCATCTCAAAAAAAAAAAAACCAAAAAAAAAAAAAAAAACTCAACATATTGTAGTGGTAAATATTCAACAGGTATCTATTTGGTCCTACTATGTGATAGGCATTGTGATACACAAGGTAAATAAGACAGAAATAGTTCCTACCCTACCTCCTGAAATAAAGTCATTGAATGACTATTCATAACACTGTGTTGGGCACATCAGAAGATAGAAAGGGGAAGACATAGGCCTTGTATAGAAATCCTCAGATTTATAACTGAATTGTCATGAATATATATATATATATTAGAAACAGTGATCATTTTCCAAACTGAGCGTTTCTGCCACATTTATTTTCATGACATGATAGTTGTTTTTCTTCTTGAGCAAAAAGGAGCATTTCATCCTTATGAAAAGATTCTCATATAAGAGTGCACTTTGCTACTTCAATAAGGACACTTTTAGCTGTGAGTTTAAAAGAAAAAGAAAAAAACTTCTACAGCAATTAAACAATAAGCAAATGTATCGTCCATCAGGCGTGGTGGCTCACACCTGTAATCTCAGCACTTTGGGAGGTGGAGGTGGGAGGATTGCTTGAAGCCAGGAGTTCGACACCAGCCTGGGTAACATAGCTAGATCCTGTCTCTACAAAAAAAAAAAAAAAAAAAAAAAAAAAACTAGCCAGGTGTGGCAGTGTGTGCCTGTAGTCCCAGCTATTTGGGAGGCTGAGGTGGAATGATCACTTGAGCCCAGGAGTTTGAGGCTGCAGTGAGCCAGGATCATACCACTGCACTCCAGCCTGGGGGACATACCTGGAAGTCCAGAGACAGAGCAGGCACGGTCTGATCAGACCTCTGACTCAGGTGCTCCGCCCGCCTCTGAATATCGGAGAGTTTTGTTTTTTTGTTTGTTTCATCAAACTGTTTCTCTCCTAATTGGGCTGTATGTAGCAACCGAAAAATTACGTTCCCTTGTTCATGAAAGTTGAAGATAGGGAAGACTACTCACTTCAACTCTTCACCCATAGAATTAAAGACCTTTTGAGCCAACTCAGGTCTTAGGTCCATCCCTGGACCAATAACAGTTGCCAGAGTAATACAATGTACTGATTGGCTTAACCCTGAGTTCCTGAACTAATCACAAACTAGAAGGATGCAATTACTCTGATGATAAATCAAAACCCATTCCTGGTTCTGGAAATGGAAACAGACTCTGTCTGAGTCACAAGGGCTGCTTTGGAGAGAGCAGACTAATCAAAATTGGGGTCTACTAGAAAGGTCTGGTTGCTGTGAAGCAACCAACGATAACTTGTCCATATAAACAACAGGAAGTAAGCCACAGAAGTACCGTTGTTTGACCTCAAGCTCTGTACTCATTCCAAGTGTAATGGAACTTATTAGGTAATAAGTGTTTCATTTTCTTTTAGCTTTGTACCAGATCTCAAGTAAAAAGCAAAAACAAATTTTAAATGTTGTGAAGAATAAGAATCTGATAGAAGTTTATAGAGGCTTGGAGAACTACCAGTGCATCTTTTAAAATTATGTATCGGAACTTCTCTTACTTACAGAGAAAGAAACTGAGGCCCAAAAAAGTGAAGTGACTTGCTCAAGGTCACCCTTCTAGTTAGGCAGAATATAGAACCACAGCTATCTCACACCGCATTGCAACTTTCTCTACCCCATACTGTCCCAAATTAACCTCGAGTAATATCTGGAATGCAACTTTCTTGGAACAAATAACAATTTTAATATTCGACATGCTTGAATTTGCGGACAGTAATATTTTCATAAATTTCCAAACACTTAAGTATACATGATGCCATTTAATATCCCAACATCCCTAGTAGGTAGGCAGACATGTAGGCTATTTCCATTTTATAGCAAAATGGAACAGGCTGCTCAATGCATAGCCAGGCCTAGTACTTTTTCTAACTTTCTTTTTCCTGATTCATATTTCCCTGCAGCAACATTGGTGCAAGTGATACTTTTCTCAGTAGCTGAGGAATTTCCTAGCCACACATTGCAGGGCCCGGGGGTGTGCAGGAGGGAAAGTTGTTTGAAAATTCTACTTTTCCATCTGTTCCCAGAACTGGAATGAAATGACAGAGTTGGTCTCCTCCAACGGCAATTACTGCAATTACCGCAAGGCCTTTGCCGACTGCGATGGCTTCAAAATCCCCATCCTTGGAGTACACTTGAAAGACTTGATAGCTGTCCATGTCATTTTCCCAGACTGGACAGAGGAGAACAAAGTGAACATTGTGAAAATGCACCAGCTCTCCGTTACCCTGAGTGAACTAGTCTCCCTGCAGAATGCCTCTCACCACTTAGAACCCAACATGGATTTGATCAACCTGCTCACGGTGAGTTCCAAGGAGCCAAGTTTGGGCTCAATAATTCTTCTGCACCTTTCTTTCCAGGAGACACAGGAAGATGTGTGCCAGCAATTCATTCTGGGGGAAAATTGGTTTCAGAGTCAATAGATGAGAGGAAATCTCATAGAACAAGGGAAAAGGAGCCCTGATTAATATTTTCCATAACCAGCAAATCTTGGGGCAAAGAAATCTACCTTTGTTCGGAGGGGCCCAGTCTCTGCCATATGACTCCACTTCTGGAGTTCTTAGGCTCCTCCAGACTGTGCCTCAGCCCTCACTCTCCTTCACCACATTCATCCAACTTATCACATCCTTCTGTATGTCCTCCAGTCATCTGCTCCTCTTTATCCTCACTGCACTGCTTTGGCTGAAGCCTGGAGTAATGCAAGGACCTTATCTGTGATCCCCCTGTTCCCATTATGAACCTCCCAAACCTCCAGGATGTAGTTTACAGTCTGGCATTCGAGGTTCTTGAAGACTCAGTCTCCAACCTTCTTTGCCATCACCCTATCCCACATTTTACCAGCCTTTGAGAAATATTGAACTTCTTATACTTTCCACCCCATGAAATGCTGTCTTCTGCTTCCTGGCCTTTGGACTTGCTTGGAGAATCCCATCCCAACCCATCCATGTGGCAAGTTCAATTTCAAAAGCCTGTCTTTCTGGAGCATTCTCTCTCCCCCTCCATAGCAGTCATGCATCTGTCACATCACCCTGGCACTTTATATTTTCCTTAACTATAGGAGGTATCACTCTTTATTCGATTTTTATCTGTTTATCTGCCTTACATATCATATGCCTAGCACCTCTCACAGTTCCTGGCATATTTGGGAACTCAATAAATGAACTGCATGCTGTATTTAGGAATGATGTGGCTTAGACAAAAGAAGTTCACCTACCACTCATAGTTTTTTGGCATTTGTGGCACACATGTTTAGCTGGTCTCTGCATCCTAGAACTTTTAGACACAACGGTGTATAGAAGAGAACATTTCCCACTGGCTGCTGCTTTGTGGGAAGAAGAGGCATAACAAAATTCACTCACCCTTCCTTAAACAAAAGTAGAGGTGCAACTTCCCTGTTTGGGTTTATAACACTGTAGCATCTGAAACTCAGCTGCAATACTGAATTAACTGTTTTCCTTGTATGGCTGTGGAAAATGAAACCAATAACTCCTCTTAATTTCTGAGAGCCTAAATCCCCTAGGTCTGCTGCATTGGAATAGGAGTGTGGTTTCTCGCCCTTCTCACAAACTGTTCCTAGACCATGTAATTGTTTACCAAAGAATAAACCCCTAAGTGTAGGCAATAATGCAGCTATACCCTTCAAATAAAGCAGAAGTGGCCAACACACAGAAACACAGATCTCTTAAAGTTGAGTTTTTGTGACAAATAGTAAATATACAGACTTTCTCTACTGGGGGCAGGGAACGCAACTCACAATAATCCAAGCACCTGCATTTATTAATGATTTGCCATGTAAATCTGTTTCCATGAATAAGTGATCAGAGTTGCAGCCCCAGTCAGACTGCAGACCTACAGCCACAGGTGATGTCTGCAGACCAGTCTCCATGTGGAGCCTAGGCTTCCAGTGTCTGTGTCCAAGCTGTCCACGATGTCAAGCATAACTTCAGAGAGCAGGTGCCTACCCTTGGGCAATTTCTCATAGAGCTAAAAGATAATAATGGGGTAGGGAAATTAATTTGAGTTATAAATGAAACAAGCAATGTTATGACAAAGAAATATTTAGAGGAATATTGAAGGATTTTCAATAAAATTTCAGGAGTACTGGCTGGGCGTGGTGGCTCAAGCCTGTAATTCCAGCACTTTGGGAGGCCAAGGCGGGCAGATCACAAGGTCAGGAGATCGAGACCATCCTGGCTAACACGGTGAAACGCCATCTCTACTAAAAATACAAAAAAATTAGCTTGGCGTGGTGGCAGGTGCCTGTAGTCCCAGCTATTTGGGAGGCTGAGGCAGAAGAATGGCGTGAATCCGGGAGGTGGAGCTTGCAGCGAGCCGAGATGGTGCCACTGCACTGGGCGACAGAGCGAGACTCCATCTCAAAAAAAAAAAAATTCAGGAGTACAAATGAAAAAAATCTGAACTCTAGAAATAAAGGCTAAGAAAAAAATTCCTTTTTGCTGGGGAGGAATCTTTCTCTCTCTGTCTCATATTGAAGGAAAACTTAGAAGCCATCAAGCACTGTATTTAGTAACTGCAGTGTTGGGTAGCATAGTGTAGTGGCAAAATCCTAGATGTGAGACCTTGCTTTCAGCCTTCCCTCAGCAGTTGCTTGGTTTTGTCTCCTTGCTAACAGCCTTGACTTTGGCTTTTTTTAAACAAGGGTTTTATGCTCATTTGTGAGGTCTTTTCCAGCTCTAAACTTCTAGGATTCTAGATGTAAGAACCAGTGGAGCCTTAAGAATAAGGAACCAAGAGTCAACTTGATTCTGTAGTACCAGCCCAATAGCTCATCACGATAGCACAATCCTGTGTATGAGTCACCAAACTTCCAGTCAAGATCCTTTCTCTGTCCCCACAGCCAAGAAGAAAGTTTAGTGCATAGCAGTATACATTCCTTCTTCCTGACTCCTGAGGATTAATCTCCTCAACATGAGGACTGAGGAGGCTTCCATCTTGTGGTCACTAGAGCCCAGCGGCCATTTTAGGAAGCACACACATATCTGGATTAGACCCATATGGCTGACCACAGCTGCCCCAATGCATGCGAAGGCATCCACATGCCAGCATTGGAAGGGGTGATTCATTTTGCCTCAGGACTCTAAATTTTCTCCTGAAGTGATTGTTTTCATCTAAACATGGCTCCAGCTGAGGTCGCCTGTATATGATGGACAGCCCTGGAGGACAGAAAAAGAGAACCCTTATGTTCATCAACAATTATGAAATGCCTACTCCGTGTGGTAGGCTGTAGGGCAGTGCTTTAACTTTCTGTAATAGTTAATTACAGTTTTCACAGCACTTTTCACATACGTTTCCTCAGTAAATTCTCACACATACCCTGCAATGCAGCCTGGGCAGGGCTGTGAGTGTAACATCACCCCTGCCCCTTCCTTTTTTTTTTTTTTTTTTTTTTTTAAACTAAAGAAGAAACTGAGATTTACAAAGGACAGGGAGCAAACTTCTGCATCCCAGCCTGGGCCGGGTTCCCCTCAAATGGACATTTGCTCTCTCATGTGGGCACACTGCTGACATCTCATTTATTTCACATCTGTAAAAATTAATTAATACTGCTCTCTCCTCCTCTTCATGATGTGCAGTAAAGGAAGTAATTACAGGACAAAATCTGTGAGGGTGGGGGCTATGTTTGTCATTTTTGTCATTGTATCCTTGGCCCCTTGAATACGGCACCAGGCCTGTTGAGGGAAGGAGGACCACGCCACCAAACTGTTGGGATTTGTATTGTTCCTTCCTTTCAGGGAATATCTGGAGAGGACATTTGCCTTACATCCCAATTCACGTAACCAGGAGTTTTAAAAGCTGATGTTTCTGTTGCGTGGGGTATGAAATAGTTTGAATCTTTTCATGGTATTTTTAGCCCTATCAGTTACTTTTACCATTTTGAGTACATGCAAATAACTGGAAAGCCCCTGTATTTTTAATTTTAGTCTCATTTTTAAAAAAGAAGAAGAAGAATAAGAAGAGTTTCAAAAATGGTGAGTAGAGGCAGTCTGATGTCCAGGTGTGTTTTATTTTATGATAAACAGTCAAGCCAATGTAGATCCTAATGAAGACTGAATCTGCAACCAACTTTGCTGAAAGGATAGGTTGGTAAATGCAACAACTTGAAACAGTGGATAAGAACATTTGTCAGAAAAAAACAGCCAGGCTCAAAATATGTTTGACAAGAGCAAATGTTCTTGAAATTCCATTGATGAGCAGCCCATATTATAAAAACGTTGTGCAGAAAGTAGAACAGATCACCCTTTGGGCAGGTCCGTAAAGCCCAGAGGAGATCTGAGAGAGGAAGTAGAATCGTGACTGGGAAAGAAGAGATGCTAGGAGTAACCCCGAGGGCAGCTTTACATTCACGGATAAGCACAGTGGCATTTGACTCGTGCATTGACTGGAAGCCAAACCCTGCATTTGTGACCTTCTAAACAAACCTTAGTCAGACACCCATTAGCTCATTTCATCTTCACCATCGTTCTTGGAGGCAGCTATTATTTATGATTCCCATTTCACAGATCAGGAGACTGAGACTCAGGAAGGTTAACTGCATGCCCAGGCTCACACTACTAATAAGCAGAGAGTGAGTATTTGGAGACTACCAAAACATTTCCATCGCTGAGCCAGTTATCCATTTGACACATGGAAATACCCAAGGGTGTTCTGGTTCTCTTGAGAGAGCATCTCCTTGCCTTACTGTGTGGCTTATTTGGATTCTTGGTTGGCTGTGGTAGTGCTTCTGTCATCTCATCTCCAGCAGATGCTGGTGCCAGTCATCACAGGACTTGGAAGCTGAGTCAGGAGGAAGGGAACATGCTCCTCCAAGTCTGCACTAACTCCTGATAACAGGGAATTCAGAAGGAAGGAGTCACTTGGTTTTCTCTCTTTATTTATGTAACCTTCACAGTGCGAGGCTTCAAGCTGGGACTCAGGGTACAGAGGTGCAAAAGACAGATGTGCTGCCCACTTTCATGAGGCTTAGAGCCTGGCACAGTTGTCTGTTGTGGGAATTACAAAATAGTAGGCAACTGCCCACGGCTGATGTATTTTATTTGGCCCATACGGAATCCTAAACTTTTGTCGTTGTTAGTTCCCAGTGTTTGAAAATTGGGATAGTTTATCTAAAACTCCAGATTTCTGGCTTCTCTTAACAAATCAGAAGACTTGGCAACTCAAGGTCCAACGTTAGGCTGACAGCAATTTGTCATCACTGAGCAGTGATGTTCATCACAAACCGCACCTCTCCCTGTGACTTCCCTAACAGAGAGTGGTGTCAGGTCCCACTTATCATCACACATTTTTTTTTATTGTGGCGCTAAGGGGAAAGATCCCTAAATAAATTACATCTGCAAAGACTCTGTTTTCCAAATAAGACGTTTCTATCAAAATGTACCTTTTACGCATCCTACTTGGCTCTTTTATATAATGGTATGGCTCCCAAAGGCATTTGTTTGTGACATGCGGATGTTTCCTTTCCTGTAAAAAGGCAGAGCCTGGGAGGTGGGAGTGATTACTGTTCAGGGGAAGGTGAATACGATGTCTCTTCTTTGTAAGCAGGATTGTCATGATCTTGAAATGATACTGGGGAGATTTTACAGTTAAGTCGGTTTTATTTTGTTTAGAAAAAAAACTTTGTGACAAAGTGCAGGTAAAAGAAACGTGACCTGATTATGAAGTCCTTAATTTAAATGTTATATTCAAGCAGCTGCTAGAACAGTGACTAGAACAATCCCTGACACATAGTAGATTACTGATAAATATTTGTTGAATGAATGATTTGAAAATGAAATTTTATGACACCAACTTCATTTTTAAAGGAAGTAGAACAGGAAAAGGAATCTTTGAAAACATCTTCGCCTCTGAGTTTTCTCTGGCTTCCTCCTTCTTTCTTTTCCCCCACACTCCACCTCATACACATGTTAGATAAAATATGTTAAAGAAAACTTTTCATTCCTACATGGTCAAAGAAGGGAGCCCGCACTGGTTATGTTCATGGCCAGGGAAGTGATGTGATTCATTGAGTGTCCTAGCTTTAAAGGACTAGGTGAGAATGGTTCAGGTTTATTTTAAGCCTCATGACTTCTGTTTTAGGTGAGTGGAAACATGCACTGTAAGGCTTTACAGAGTTTATCCATGTTCTCCAGCCTGGATCTGTGTTGTTGTCCTTGCCTACAATGATCTTCCTCTCTCTTTTGTCCAAATTAAGTCCCAATCCTCCTGGTTAAGTCCCAATTCACAAGGACCTCCATGAATCCATCCTGATCATTTCTGTCTCCGGGGCCCCTATGCATAGTAATAATATAACTAATAACAAATGCGATAATAACAGTAACATTAACACTATAAAATAACACTTCTTGAGATTTTATTGTGTACCAGGTCCTGTGTGAAATACTTTACATGCATTATTTCATTTGGTCCTGACACAAATCCAACTCAGTAGGGACTTTTATGATCATTTCCATTTTCCAGATGCAGAAACTGAGTGTCAGAGAGGAAATTACTTGCTAAAGGTTACAGAGCTAGCCAGTGGCAGGCTGCATGCTTGAACCCAGCCCTGCCTGACCACACAGCCTCTGCCCTCGTGTATTTACTATGCTGCCTCCCTGATTTCTGACCGGTTCCTGGAGCACTTAAAGTGGAGCAACTACTTCACACTCAGCATGTGCTGTTTTATTGCTACGAACACATCTTTTTAGGTTCAGGCCCTGTTTATTCAAATAAATTATCAGGGCCTTGAGGGCAAGAAATGATTTTATATCAGCTTGCCTCACTAGGACTTAGCACAATGCTCTCAAATAATAGGAGCCTAGTTAACTGCTCCTTTATTTCAACAGTTCTTTAATCAAACTTCAAAGGCAGCATTTATTACATTTACAAGTCTTATTGTTTGCATCTGTCCCCACTTCCAGCCTGGAAACATCACATATCCCTCATCCGTGACTCAGCACTGAGCACCTGGGAGCTGCTCAGTAAATATTGCTGAGGAATTGAGTTGATGGTTCTCGTCAATACTGATGATTAACCAGGATTAACGTTTTCTCTTTTAAATTTCATTTTCCATCTCTGCGTGCCGTCTTTTTATTGTTCTGCATTTACTCAAATTATTAGACAGTGAACTTAAAACATTCAACTTGAAAAAAAATTCAGCAACGTAAATAAATAAATAAATGTAATCCGACATTTTTATCCCTTCTAATTTTGTTGTAGCTTTCCCTGGACCTCTATCACACTGAAGATGATATTTACAAACTGTCACTGGTGCTGGAGCCTAGAAATTCTAAATCGGTAGGTATTATTTTCTCTCCAAGGATCAGTACCAATCACTATTTTTTGTCATGTACAGTAATTGGCTATTACAATGCTGCTTTATGTTCTAAAACGGAAGAATTTTAAAAATTGACATTATTCTTTCTTTTTCTTTTTTCTTTTTTGAGGCGGAGTCTTGCACTGTTGCCTGGGCTGGAGTGCAATGGTGCGATCTCGGCTCACTGAAACCTCCGCCTCCTGGGTTCATGTGATTCTCCTGCTTCAGCCTCCCAAGTAGCTAGAATTATAGGTGCACACTGCCACACCCAGCAATTTTTTTTTTTTTTTTTTTTGTATTTTTAGTAGAGATGGGGATTTCACTATGTTGGCCCCGGCTGGTCTCGAACTACTGACTTCATGATCCGCTTGCCGTGGCCATTACAGGCTTGGATTACAGGCATGAGTCACCACGCCCGGCCATTATTCCCATTTTATCAATGGGACAGCTTAGCCCTGTCAGTTTGAGAATTATGTCTTCATACCAGAGGCTAATAAAGAGGAAGAACATCATTCTCATTACTCTGTTTTATAATTGATCTTCTATTTGTTGTGTTCCTGCTAAGAACTCATTACACCTAGGACCAAAAAGAAAGGAAAGGAGTAATAACTCATCTTAATGTTAAAGATCATTTAGACTGTTTCAGGCTTTAAAAAAGCTCCATTCAACATAAAATTAGATTTAAAATTTTAAACATCTCGATCATAATTTACAAATTTCTCTACTAACCATTGATTCAACTCAGAATTTGGATGTCACATTGGATGGTGTCTCACTTAATAGATGGCAGACGCTTAGTAAATAAACATTATATAATGAGATTGAAGAAATTGCATTATTGAATATACACCACTCATTGGTTTTAGTGGATGGACTATATTTTAGATATGCTTTGCACTAATACAAAATGCCTGGATGAGTTTAAAATTTATAATGAGGTTGAGGCTTGCATGTTGAAGATAAAATGCCTATGCTTGCTTCTTATAATCACATCTTGAGATCAGTTCTCTTATAAAGATCTCATCCTTACCAGCTGAACTCTGTAACATATTGGCAGTGACTATGCCCCCTAAGTTTATTAATACCTACTGTGATTCTGAACCCTCAGACCGAAAGAGACAGAATGGCAGTGAGAGCCGTCCTCTGGCCCTGGCAGGGCATGCACTTGAGCCTGAGTCAGCTGACCTGGTAGCATCTGTTCTTAAAATAGTGCATATGCTTCCATGAGCATGTTCTCCTTCCTGCCAGTCCCCAGAGGCTCATCTCCTGGAAATACTGCAGAACAGAGCCACGTGGGATGATATGGCACATGCAATGGTAGGAGTGAGGACCCAGACTCTTTAAAGCTAGCAAGAGTAAGAAAGCTAGCAAGAAAGCCAAAGCTATTGAAAACCAAAAAGGAATTTGTAAGCCCCTCCCTAATTCTGTAGTTTTGTCATGACGAACCTGGCCATGGTGTATTAAGCCCTATTGTATGTGTGCATACAGAATTTCCACCTCTTGACACCAATTAGGCACCAGAATCGCTTCCAGTTGTTGAATGCCTGGCAGAGCATCATACACAGGTTATCTTATTAACTCCGTTAAGAAAACTAGGTCTGGGCCAGGCACAGTGGCTCACACCTGTAATCCCAGCACTTTGGGAGGCCGAGGCAGGCAGATCACTTGAGGTCAGGAGTTTGAGACCAGCCTGGCCAACATGGAGAACCTTGTCTCTACTAAAAATACAAAAATTAGCCGGGCATGCTAGCATGTGCCTGTAGTTCCAGCTACTTAGGAGGCTGAGGCGGGAGGATCACTCGAATCCAGGAGGCAGAGGTTGCAGTGAGCTGAGATCACGCCACTGCACTCCAGGCTGGGCAACAGAGCAAGACTCCATCTCAAAAAAAAAAATTTAAAAAAGAAAAAAAAAAAAAAACGACAGAAAGAAAAAAGAAAGAAAACTAGGTCTGGTGAGAGTAGGTATCTCACTCGGATCAAACAGCTGCTAAGTTGGAGAGCTGGGATTCAGTGTCAGGCCTGTCTTCCATCCCAGTGATGTTTCTACCATCCCTCATCTCAGGGACAACTTAGGAATAGCCATTTTACCACACTTGCCTGCCTTGTGTGCCTTTAGTTTTACTTTAGTTTATTTTCAGGATCTTTTTTTTTTCCAATTTTAGGAGATATTTCCATCAAACATAGAAAAGTCTTTTTATTTGTTGTAAGAGTAGAAGCTTTTGAAAGTCCCTTCTAAGTGCTAAAATCCTACGAATCTAACACAAGACATTTCCCAGTCTCTTTCTGTCTCTTCTCTAAGTGGAGTGTCAGCCTATTTGACATGTCCTGTTGAGATGGGAGAGTTCCCTGGATCCCTTCACTGAGACTTGCGACAGAGGTGTGGCCACATTCAAGCCCTTTGCTGGAGGGGAACATACAGACAAGTGGGTGCCGGCGTGGGGGCCGGGGAGAGTGCTTTTGGGCTCTGGCCCCAAGACAGCATCTAGGGGTGTGTTACAGTTAATGCTCTTTTAGCAGTTGCTGTCCATGGATGGCTAAGTCTTAACCAGCTCAGTGGAGAGTCAGGGTGACAGCCTTTTACACCCTACCTTCTTGGTACCTGAGTCCTTGTCTGGCATCTAAGAAGAATCAGGTCACATGGACTTGAAGGATGGTGAAGGCAGAGGTTTTATTGAATGACAGAGGTGGCTCTTAGCAGGATGGGGAGCTGGAAAGGGGATGGAGTGGGAAGATAATTGTATTAGGGTTCTCTTAGAGGGACAGAACTAATAGGATATATATATATATATATCTCAAAACTCCTGTGCTGATCAGTAGTGAGATGGTGCCTGTGAATAACCACTGCACTCCAGCCTGGGCAACATAGTGAGACCCTGTCTCTAAAATACACACACACACACACCGCCCCCCCCACACACACACACAAGTATATATATCTATAAATGTAATTTTTTTTTTTGAAACGGAGTCTTGCTGTGTCTCCCAGGCTGGAGTACCGTGGCAATCTCAGCTCACTGCAACCTCCACCTCCCTGGCTCAAGCAATTCTCCTGCCTCAGCCTCCCAAGTAGCTTGGACTACAGGCATGTGCCACCACATCCGGCTAATTTTTTTCTATTTTTAGTAGACAGGGAGTTTCACCATGTTGGCCAGGCTGGTCTCAAACTCCTGGCCTCAGGTGATCCACCTGCCTCAGCCTCCCAAAGTGCTGGGATTACAGGTGTGAGCCACTGTACCCAGCCTCTATAAATATAAATTAAAAAGAAAAGATAGAAAAAAATAGATTTGCATGTGTGCACCAGCAAAAATGTTGACATTTTATGAAGGTTTCAGGGAGAGGATATAAAGTGAACACCAGTCTTGGCTGGTCTCCTGAAAGGATTGTGTTCTGTGCTTGTGTTATCCAAGCATGTTATGCATTGTGCTACCATCTTCCCCACAACTTTATATGCAAATGTCTTGTAAGAATGCAGAAAAATCTGTGGAGAAAGAAAGTTCACCAAAGAGGGCCAGAGAGACCTAATGATTGGCAGAACAGTCAGAAGTGCTTAAGCGTATTGAGCAAGGTGCAGACGTAAGGACATAAACTTGGCCACCCACTGGTACCCATTTGCTGCATGCACCATAACTGATCACTAAGTATTAGAGAATTAGATAACTGGTGTTTTTGTATCCTGTATTACACAAAAATCCATGATGGATTGTTATATAAAAGTTTTAGTGATATTTGGAGAACTCGGATAGGATTTTTGGATGGACTGGGAGCGCATTGCTTTTTTCCCATTTAAAATAATGGAATTTAGTCTGGATGTGGTGACTCACACCTGTAATCCCAGCACTTTGGGAGGCCAAGGCAGGTGGATCATCTGAGGTCAGGAGTTCGAGACCAGCCTGGCCAACATGGTGGAAACCCGTCTCTACTAAAATTACAAAAATTAGCTGGGCTTGATGGTGGGTATCTGTAATACCAGCTACTTGGGAGGCTGAGGCACAAGAATCGCTTGAACTTGGGAGGCAGAGGTTTCAGTGAGCCGAGATCATGCCACTGCACTCCAGCCTGGGTGACAGAGAGAGACTCTGTCTCAAAATAAATAAATAAATAAATAAATAATAAAAATAAAATAATAGAATTTAAGTTGCTGTTAAACAAAAGGCAGTATCTAAACATGCATTTAGTTACAGATTAGATTCCATTAACATAAGATGCTTGTTTTATAAGCATTTAATAGCTATATAAATGTAAGTTTCTACTGGTATTATGAATATACAAAACTTATTCATTCTTCTCAGTGTCCCTGGTCCTAGTTGTTCAAGGCCCCAGTTAATGTTGAAAAATATGGCCAGGCGTGGTAGCTCATGCCTATAATCCCGGCACTTTGGGAGGCTGAGGCCGGAGAATTGCTTGAGCCCAGGAGTTAGAGACCAGCCTGTGCAACATGGTGAAACCCCATTTGTACTAAATATACAAAAATTAGCTGGGCGTGGTGGCACACACCTGTAGTCCTAGATACTTGGGAGGCTGAGGTGGAAGGATGGCTTGAGCCCAGGAGGCAGAAATTGTAGTGAGCCGAAATTACACCACTGCACTCCAGCCTGGGCGACAGAACCAGACCCTGTCTCAAAATAATAATAATAATAAAGTTGAAAAATATGTGGTTTTTTTTTTGTTTATCAGCAGCCTACCTCCCCTACGACGCCCAACAAGCCTGTGGTACCCCTGGAGTGGGCATTAGGGGTGATGCCAAAGCCAGACCCCACGGTCATCAACAAGCACATAAGGAAATTAGTGGAGGTAAGTGGTTGAGGGAGAATAAAGAGAGGGCACTAGAAGACCCTTTCTCTTTCCAGAATGTTCTGCGATTGTCCAGGAATCTGATGGAACCCCTGAAAACAACCCTCTGGCAGGTAGGAACAATTTAGCAGGCACTTAGTCCTACCAGGCATTGGGTCCTGGGGAGAGTCGATCAGAAAGGCCCTTTTCCCTTTGTTGTCTCTCTTGCCCAGATACTCTCAGCTACTTCCAGCTCCTCTCTTTCACAGGCATTTGCCACCTCTGTCATTGTCAACAGCTCAAGGGATTGGGGATTAGAATCACTCATGAAAAACCCACATAGGTCCCACTAAGATGCCCAATAAATTGATTACCCAAGGGCAGGAAAGAAATCCTGTAAGTTGGATAGTTTCTCCTTTTGTATAGTTTTGGAATTTTATGACACAGCAGCCCGATGTTACTGAGATTAGAAAAATCACCTAATGTAGGACAAGGCTCTGTCAGAGTTTTCCGTGTAGAAAAAAGAGTAGGGCCGGGCGCGGTGGCTCACGCCTGTAATCCCAGCACTTGGGAGGCCGAGGCGGGCGGATCACGAGGTCAGGAGATCGAGACCACGGTGAAACCCTGTCCCTACTAAAAATACAAAAAATTAGCCGGGCGCGATGGCGGGCGCCTGCAGTCTCAGCTACTCAGGAGGCAGAGGCAGGAGAATGGAGTGAACCCGGGAAGCAGAGCTTGCAGTGAGGTGAGATCGCGCCACTGCACTCCAGCCTGGGAGACAGAGTGAGACTCCGTCTGAAAAAAAAAAAAAGAAAAGAAAAGAAAAGAAAAAAGAGTAGAAGTGCCGATGGGGGAACACGGAAACATCTCGGGTACAGGAAACTGCGATCCTGAATTAAATGTCTACTTTAATGGATTGGTAGGTACATCTGCTGGTGCAACAGAATTGAGTCTTTGGGATAGAATGTGCTTTTTGCTGGGAGAAGATATTTAAAGAAAAAGAAAGAATGTCTTACATCTTGGATAATTCAGAAAACTAGGAGGTGCTGAAAGAAAAATTTTGCGGAGTGTGTTAGGCAGGCAGGAAAATGGTGGTGCCAAGAGGAATATTAGTGAGGGAAGGGCTGAGAAGGAGATAAGGTCCAGTGGAGCCCGTGGTAGTAACAGACCCAGCTTGGAGCTGGGGAAGGTGAGAAAAGGATCCAGGGGTCCCCAGGGAATGCAAGGACTGAGCTGCAGCTCAGGAATGTCTGAAGCCAGGAAATAGAAGGCAGAGCTGTTCCCTCTCCCAGTCTCATTCTACATACTGACTTCCTCAGTCCACATGCGGAATTTCTCTCTCTCTCTCTCTCTCTGTGTGTGTGTTTTGTGTGTGTGTGTGTGTGTGTGTGTGTGTGTGTGTGTGTGTGTGTGTGTCTGGGGAATTTCTCTCTCTCTCTCTCTCTCTCTCTGTCTCATTCTGTCTTCCTTACCTTTTCTCTCTTCCCTTTTCTCCAAATTCCTTACCATTGGTTCAGTCAAATAAAAGACCAGGATTTTATGATGAATTTTACTCCGCAAAAAATCTTCTACTCGTGGTATAAATATGGATGTTAAACTATAAATAGTAGGCATTCCAAAATAGTTAACTTTTAAGCTATTTTTATTATGGCTAAGTAATGATACTGGAATTAAAAAAAAAAAGGTAATGTTTTCTGATTTTGCACAATTCTGTTACCTACAAAAAAGCTTGAGATGGGCTCATTTTAGTCACATTTTTAATTAATTCATTCATTTATACCTTACCTACTTCCCAAAATACTTGCAACACAGGGCAATAGCGATAGATAGAATAGACAGAAACTACTGGGAATTAATTAAAACTGGAGATTAATTAAAACTGGAATCAAAATCAAATATAAATTTGTATACATGTGTTTGCAGAAAGAACTTACAAATCTTTTTGAAAACCTAATTTTGCAGAGGGCAATGGGAAACTTTTTTTATTCTTCTCTGATTATAAAGGAAGATAGAATCATCAAAAATATTAAAGCATTACATAAATTATAGAAAATAAAAAGCTTTACTTTCAGGTCTTGGTAATTCTATTCTCCAAGGATAACCACTGATCATTTGTAGATTATCTAATATGACTTTATTCTCTATCTCTACATATGTATAAACACACATATACTACATACATATATACATGTGTATCTTACGCAACTTTGTTCGATTATTTCTTTAGGACAGATTCCTAGAAGTGGAATTGCTGTGTCAGAGAGTAGGCACTTAAAATTCCTGATTGTCCTCCAGAAATATTGTGGCTATTTACGTCACTAACTTGATACAAGAGTACCTGTTGTCTCATACCCTAGAAGATGATCGATTACAGTATTTTAAGATTTTATTTAATCTGAGAGGTGAAAAAAAGCTTCATTAATGTTTCTGTAATGATTAGCTGAGCTGAATAACTTTCCATGGATGTATTGACCATTTGTATTTTTATTTGGTGATTGCCTGTTTGACTTTTGTGTCTTTGCTCTCATATATGCTGCAAATAACTTGCTCTGTTTGACATTTATCTTAAAATTTGTTAATTGAGCTTTTTTGGTTCAATTTTTTTGCATTTTATTAAATAAAATATTTTTCTTTATGGCTTCTGACATTGATGTCATGCCAAGAAAGGCCTTTTTCACACAAAGATTATGAAACATGAAAAATATTTTCATCTATTTATCTTTGGTACTTTTATAGCTTTGGGTTTTTTTGCATTAAACTATATAATACACTAGTGCAGTGGCTCATGCCTATAATCCCAGCACTTTGGGAGGCTGATGCAGGAGGATGGAGTTTGATTCTAGGAGTTTGAGGCTGCAGTGAGCTATGATCATGCCACTGCACTGTAGCCTGGGCAACAGAGTGAGATCCTGTCTCTAAAAAGAAAAATAAATAAATAATATATAATACATCTAGAATTTAGTTTGGAGGTAATTTATTTTGTAAGATTATTAGTCATTTAACTCAACAGCAGTTATTGGATAATCCATAATTTATCTGTGGATTTTAAAAGATACTTTTTGATAAATTCCTATACATACATGGGTTTGTTTCAGGACTCCACTCTCTGTGGTAATTTGTATCATGTTGTTTTGATTAATGTAGCTGTGTAGAATATTTGATTTCTGAAAGGGCATGTTCCCCCTCATTACTCTTCATTTAAAATAATTTTTAGCCTGTTTTCAACATGCCCACTTTGATTTGAACTTTATAATCAATTTGTTCATTTAAAATAAATCCCTACTGGGATTTTGATTGGAATTGCATTAAATGTATGCTTTAATTTTTGAGATAACACCTTAAAACTTTATTTTCTATTGTCATGGTATTTGAATTTGTAAATTCACTAAGCCAATTTCTACTCAACCCTGAGGTTTCAGTTTAAACCTTGCTTTTCCCAGGAAACCTTTCTTAATCCACCTCCTCTTTCCCCCCCCCACCAATATCACTCTATTTTATTTATTTGTTTATTGAGACAGAGTTTTGCTATTGTTGCCCAGGCTGGAGTGCAATGGCGCCATCTTGGCTCACTGCAACCTCCTCCTCCCAGGTTCAAGCGATTCTCGTGCCTCAGCCCCCTGAGTAGCTGGGATTGCAGGCATATGCCACCATGCCCAGCTAATTTCTTATTTTATTTTATTTTTAGTAGCGATGGGGTTTCATCATGTTGGTCAGGGTGGTCTTGAATTCCTGACCTCAGGTGATCCACCTGCTTCAGCCTCCTAAAGTGCTAGGATTGCAGGCATGAGCCACCGCGCCCAGCCGAAGTTTTATTTTTAATTTTATTTAAAATTTATTTTTTAGAGATGATGCCTTACTCGTTTGCCCAGGCTACAGTGCAGCGGTGTGATCTTGGCTCATTGTAACCTCAAACTCCTGGGCTGAGCAAGTCTCCTGCCTCAGCCTCACAAGTGGCTGGGACTATAGGCATGCACCACCGTGCCCAGCTAATTAAAAATGTTTTTTTGTAGCAATGAGGTCTCTCTATATTGCTCAGGCTGGTCTCAAACTCTTGGGCTCAAGTGATCTTCCCACCTCTGCCTCCAACTCCCAAAGTGCTGGGATTACAGGTGTGAGCCACCACATCCAACCATTACTCTGTTTTTATCCTCATCAAACCACTTGTCTTGTTATATTATAAAGGCTTCTTGACTTAGTTATCTTTCACTAGATTCTAACCTCCTTGATAGAAAGGATCATATGCTAGTTATCGTTGCTTTTGCAATAACAAGTTCAGAGCCTGCCTTATAGTCATTCAATAAATACTTATCTTTCCTTTGCAGTCTGTATTTAGAAACTATGATCACGACCATGATGGGTACATTTCCCAAGAGGACTTTGAAAGTATAGCTGCCAATTTTCCCTTCTTGGATTCCTTCTGTGTTCTGGACAAAGATCAGTAAGTTTTAATTTTGTTTTATTTTAATGCAACTATCCTAAAGCAGAAAATTATTATCAGAGGAGAGAAGGGAAACTTGTAATTTGCATCTTGACAGCTTCAACCCTGGTGCTTTGATGAGCCAGGTTTAATTTGTCACTGATTATTTTCTTGGTGTGTATGAACATGACCTGAATGGAATCACAGGGAAGACCATGTTGTCAGTGTTGAACACAAGTGCACATTTGTAAATTATCCAAGCACTCCATTTGCTATATTGCTTCTATTGCTTAGCTCTCAACCTCAAAAAATCTCCACCAAAAAAGAGTAGAGGAGAAATATTGTTAGATCTAACCTGGGAGAGTCCTCAAAATTAGTGCACCTGGAAGCAATCTTAAAATTCATGAAGATTTTAAAAAAATTTTGGCCAGGCATGGTGACTCATGCCTGTAATCCCAGCACTTTGGGAGGCTGAGGCAGGCAGATCACTTGAGGCCAGGAGTTAAAGACCAGCCTGGCCAACATGGTGAAACTCTGTCTCTACTAAAAATACAAAAATTCACTGGGCATGGTGGCACAGGCCTGTAATCCCAGCTACTTGGGTGGCTGAGGCGGGAGAATTGCTTGAGCCTGGGAGGCAGAGGTTGCAGTGAGCTGAGATAGCACCATTGCACCCCAGTCTGGGTGACTGAGTGAGACTCTGTCTCAAAAAAAAAAAACTCACTTATAGTCTTCATTAAAGCAGATGATAGCTGCAGACAGCCAAGAAGCATTCATGCTTTGTTTTCTCTTTGATTGATCAAAGGTTGTCTTGATAAAGAAAAAATATATTGCTTTTTAGCGTCAAATGATTCCTAAAAATTAAATCGCTTTAGATACTAAAACCCAACTCATTAAAAGAAAATAATGATCTGAAAAAAAAAACTGCTGAGAAATCCTGGCATTAATAATTTGATTAATTGTTAATAGTACGAGATTAGTTCCTAATTTAAAAATCACCTGTAAGGAAATGCTGGATTTTGTTTTGGTAAAATGGGCAAATTAAATTACATTAAAATTCTCTAATATTTTTGCTGGTATGAGAATTCTTAAAAAACGAAATCTGGAGCCGGATGCGATACCTCACACCTGTAATGCCAGCACTGTGGGAGGCTGAGATAGTAGGATTATTTGAAGACAGGAGTTTGAGACCAGCCTGGGCAACATAGTGGGAACCTTGTCTCTAACTATTTTTTTTTAATTGAATTTAAAAAATAAAATCTGTAATTCAACACACCAAGAAAAGTCTTGACACATTAACATAACTTAAAATCTTAAATTCATCTTCATTATATACCCAGAACAAAGAATACTTTTAAAATAAATTTAATTAGAAACATTAACTTCCTTTACAAAGTAAAATTTAAATTGCCTGCTAACTACCCACTTCTTTGCTTAGTTTGTTACTATTAGTGACATGTAAATAGGACATTGACTTAAAATAACTTCCTAGTCTTCATTTCTTTTATCTGTTGGTTCTAGAGACAAAATTGAGATTGTCCTAGCAAATATTTGTGTCTATCTCTATCTCTATATCATCCTTATCTCTACTTATTGATATCTATAGAATTGTTTTCTATGAATGAAGGTTTGGACTATTCATATCTTGCTTACATGACACTAAAGTTTTGAGTGGTTAATACTGGAAAGTCTCAAAAAGATGTTTTCTCTAAGGTACTGTTTTCCAAACGATGTTCCACAGAAGTAGCTATTAATTAGTACTTTTGAAAAAGGAACTAAGTAGTCACATGTGAGAAACACAGGGTTAAATCTCATTAAATAGGTGTCTTTACTGTGTGACTTCCCAAAGCTTTTAATAGGCTGGTGTATTACGCTGTGAGTCCCTAGGAGGGGAGATGAGCTAATGCACTGTTACACAAATTTATGTACCAAATGATGTAATAAATTTGTGGGACAATGCATTCATAAATTCATTTATCATATATATAATAAAGATTGTTTTTGGCCTCTTCATTATGAAATCTGTGCCCATTCCTTTGAGTAGGCAAAGGACATGAATAGACACTTCTGTAAAGAAGACATACATGTGGACAATAAGCATATGAAAAAAAGCTCAATATCACTGATAATTAGAGAAATGCAAATCAAAACTACGATGAGATATCACCTCACACCAGTCAGAATGGCTATTATTATTATTATTATTACTTTTCTTTGAGACAGAGTCTCGTTCTTTTGCCCAAGCTGGAGTGCACTGGCACAATCTCGGCTTATTGCAACCTCTGCCTCCTGGGTTCAAGTGATTCTCATGCCTGAGCCTCCTGAGTAGCTGGTTATAGGCATGCACCACCACGCCAGGCAATTTTTTTTTTCTTTTTTTTTCAGTAGAAACGAGGTTTCATCATGTTGGCCAGGCTGTTCTTGAACTCCTGAACTCAGGTGATCCACCTGCCTTGGCCTCCCAAAGTTCTGGGATTCCAGGCGTGAGCCACCGTGCCCAGCCAAGAATGGCTATTACTAGAAAGTCTAAAAATTGGCTGGGCGCTGTGGCCCACGCCTGTAATCCCAGAACTTTGGGAGGCTGAGGTGGGTGGATCACGATGTCAGGAGATCAAGACCATCCTGGCTAACACGGTGAAACTCTGTCTCTACTAAAAATACAAAAAATTAGCCAGGCTTGGTGGCGGGCCCCTGTAGTCCCAGCTACTCGGGAGGCTGAGGCAGGAGAATGGCATGAACCCGCGAGGCGGAGCTTGCAGTGAGCCAAGATCGCACCACTGCACTCCAGCCTGGACGACAGAGCAAGACTCCGTCTCAAAAAAAAAAAAAAAAGAAAGTCAAAAAATAACAGATGCTAGTGAAGTTGCAGAGGAAAGGGAACACTTATACACTGTTGGGAGTATAATTCATTCAACCATTGTGGAAAGCAGTATGGCGATTCCTCAAGCAGCTAAAAACAGAACTACACTTCAACCCAGCAATCCCATTACTGGGTATATACCCAGAGGAATAGAAATCATTCTACAGTAAAGACACAGGCATATGAGTGTTCATTGCAGCACTATTCAAATATCAAAGTCATGTAATCAACCTAAATGCCCATCAATAACAGATTGGATAAAGAAAATGTGGTACATATACATCATGGACTATTATGCAGCCATAAAAAAGAACGAGATTGCCAGGCACGGTGGCTCATGCCTGTAATCCCAGCACTTTGGGAGGCTGAGGCAGGCGGAACACCTGAGTCGGGAGCTCGAGACCAGTCTGACCAACATGGAGAAACCCCATCTCTACTGAAAATACAAAAATTAGCCGGGCGTGGTGACACATGTCGGAGGCTGAGGCAGGAGAATCACTTGAACCCAAGAGGGAGAGGTTGTGGTGAGCCAAGATCGCACCATTGCACTCCAGCCTGGGTAACAAGAGCGAATCTCTGTCTCAGGGAAAAAAAAAAAAAAAAAAAAAGAGAGAGAGAATGAGATCATGTGTTTTGCAGGAACGCGGATGGAAGTGGAGGCTATCATCCCTAGCAAACTAACGCAGGAACAGAAAACCAAATACCACAGGTTCTCACTTCTAAGTGAGAGCTAAATGATGAGAACTCAAGAACACAAAGAAGGGAATAAGAGACGCTGGTGCCTCCTTGATGGCGGACGTTTGGAGGAGCAGAAAAAATAACTGTTAGGTGCTAGGCTGTGCCAAATTTCCCCGCAAGCTTGAGAATATAGAATCCTTTTTTTTTTTTTTTTTTTTTTTTTTTTTGCCTCCTACGCAAAATAACTTTAATAATACTTATAAAGTACAAAAATCAAAGTTATTTTGCATAGGAGGTAAGAAAGGGATCTTAAGTTCTCAAGCCTGGGGGAAAATTGTGGCACAGCAAACAGTAATAGGGAAGCCTGGGCAGGGAGTACAGGGAAGAAAGAGATGAAGTTGGACTTAGATCCGTTGATTGAGACAGAGAGTGGATCATCAGGAAGAGAGGTCTAGCAAGTTGTCAAAGATGCAGTGCAAAAATTCAGGACAACAGTCAGGGCTGGAGATGGAGATTAAGTCTTCAGCCCCACTGTAAGCTGGAGTCTCGATCTTGTGAGCAAACTCTGGTGGGAACTCTTAGAGGGAGGTGAGCTCAGGGCCTGAGGAATGAGCCTTCAGGGACTCGCCTCCTACATGCAGGCATTGAAAGGAGTCAGAGGGCCCTGCAGGTGAGCTGGAGAAGGGGGAGCTGGAGAGGAAGGAGGAGAAGCGGGGTGGCATGCAATTCCAGGGTGCCTAAGGGGAGAGCGCCAAAAGAAGGAAACATGTCTCCGTGTTACCTCCTGCCAATGAGAAAAGGCCACTGAGGATGTTCTTGGTGACAGATTTGTAGGGTTAGAAAACCAAGTGGCATAAACAGTACCTGGAGGAAATGATAAAAGAACCTAAGGGTTTCTCTTTTTGAAAACTTCGGGAGTAAAAGAAGGTAGAGAGGGCTGGGCGCGGTGGCTCACGCCTGTAATCCCAGCACTTTGGGAGGCCGAGGCGGGCGGATCACAAGGTCAGGAGATCGAGACCATCTTGGCTAACACGGTGAAACCCCGTCTCTACTAAAAATACAAAAAATTAGCTGGGCGCAGTGGCGGGCGCCTGTAGTCCCAGCTACTCGGGAGGCTGAGGCAGGAGAATGGCGTGAACCTGGGAGGCGGAGCTTGCAGTGAGCCGAGATTGTGCCACTGCAATCCGGCCTAGGCTAAAGAGCGGGACTCCGTCTCAAAAAAAAAAAAAAAAAAAAAAAGAAGGTAGAAAGAAAAGACATCTGTTGGAGATGGCAGCAGGACTGAAGAAGGGGATTTTTCAGGTAGGAAAGTCCTGAGCGTATTTGTGAACGGAGGAAGAAACAGGGGAAGAGACTGAGCATAACCTGGAAGGAGGAGAGTCCCGGGGAGGCTGGAGAGTGCTGGATGGCACAACTCTTCCTCTGAGAGAGGACTCCCAAGAGAGGACATAGGAGGTAGAAAAGAATTCTGAACTGGAAAGGAAAGGTGTGATCGCCAGCAAATGCTAATGGACAAAGAAGCAAGATAGAGCTCACCTGTGTCAAGTGGATCCAATTATTATTATTATTATTATTTTTTGAGACAAGAGTCTCACTCTGTTGCCCAGGCTGGAGTGCAGTGGTGTGATCTCGGCTCACTGCAATCTCTGCCTCCGTGACTCAGCCTCCTGAGTAGCTGGGATTATAGGCACACACCACCACGTCCAGCTAATTTTTGTGTTTTTGGTAGAGATGGGGTCTCACCATGTTGGTCAGGCTGGTCTTGAACTCCTGACCTCAAGTGATCCGCCCACCTTGGCCTCCCAAAGTGCTAGGATTACAGGCATGAGCCACCGCACCTGGCCGATTTGATCATTTTTGATAAACAAGAAGTCAGCGTATGTGGTGAGTAGGGGTAGGAAGGTGGGAAGGACCAGAGGTTTGTTCTGTGTGGAGTAGATCTGGAAGAATTGCTCCCAGCCAGTCGCAGTGAATGGGCTATGAGCCACTAAGATATGAGTGAAAATATCACCAAGGAGCCCGGACAGCATCAAGCTGAATGAATTTGAGAATGGTCAGCCCAGTTATTACAGTTCTCTGCCTTTCTCCATCATCCTAATTCTTGCAACCTTACAGCTAGGCAAGGACTAGAAAGATGTCCTTCAGGAAGCTGCTTTTCATAATAAAGACTTTCTGTGCTGCGGTGCACAGGCCACATGTGTGCTTACATGAATATGCTCCTGCACACACACACACACACGCAGGATGCACACATACACAATTTTCTGCTTACTGAAAAAGGCTTTGAACACCTGAAGATGCCTTTTGAGGTTTGCTCCTTCTCTGAGATGTAATAGAGAAGTGAATGTGCCTCAACTGCTTTTGGCCACAAAGGTTTGGGAGGTGGGTGATTAAAGTGTGGCAACTACTTAGCAACCTGTTATTTAAAGATTCCCTCCCTTCTTTGATTCTCTTAACAGGGATGGCCTAATTAGTAAAGATGAAATGATGGCTTACTTCCTGAGAGCTAAATCCCAACTACACTGTAAAATGGGACCAGGATTTATCCATAATTTTCAGGAGATGACCTATCTCAAGCCAACCTTCTGCGAACACTGTGCGGGATTTGTAAGTCTGTTTTCCGTTGTTTTCTTATGTGTGTAGTTATTTGTGTGGCATTCTGAAAAAGTAGGAAAATGATACACTAAATAAAGTTCACTGTCTGCTTTGAATCAGAAGTAAAATGTGATGGCTCCCTGAAATTGAAGATTAAACACCAAAGGCAAGGTTTAGTTATTTTCTAGGAATGCAGGGCTAGCAAAAACAGGGAAGGCTGGTGAGGGCTGTTAACTCAAGAGAGTGGTTTTGTTTATTACTCCCTGCCAGGGAAAAGTGTCAGCCCAATGAGCCCTGGCATTCATCACTAATATTCATAAGTGGTTGCAATTAAGAGGTGCATTTATCTTAGCGAGTTCCTTCCAGTTTTCATTTCATGGGGTATTAGTGACCAGAAATCCGTCATGGCATGGTTCAATAATTCACAACTCAAAAAGGAAGAAAAAATCTTTTTGGAGAGAAGCTGGTTATAATAATAAATAACATTTACTCAATGCTTGACGGTAACAAAGTACTTCCATAGACATTATGGTAACTAATCCTCATAGCAAGCCCTTGAAGTGGGTATTTTACTTTCACCATCTTGCTTATGAAGATAGAGGTTCAAAGAGGATAACCCAGGTTCCCGAGGATTGCACAGCTAATCATTACCAGAGCTTGGACTCCGACACAGGTGTACTGACTGTCAGCCCTGTGCTTCACCTACACCACTGCAACAAATTAAGACTGCATGCTTCCTTCCCCCACCTTTGATAATTCTTTGGGAACCAAGGTCAGTTTTTGATCCTGGCCTTAACAGAAACTCCTGGGCCCTGAATGTCTCCAGTTGATAATCCAAGTTAAATAAAATGGGAAATGTGGTATTCCAGGTGAGGGAGGCCCAGCACCCAGAGGAGTATGACAATCGCCCCTTTTTCTAGATGCCAGAGCTCAGTCGTGTTAGCTTTATTTGGCAGCCATGTCCTCCTGTTGACTCGTTGACCCATATTGAATTTGTTGCCGATATTATACGCTACCAGAAATTACATTTTTCCCATCCCATGCTCAAAGAACTGGCTTTCAGGAGCCCAATGCAGGAGTCTGTGTTCAAGCACACACTCCTCTGAGAATGGGTAAATAAGAGGCAGCCGTTTCCTCAAAGACGGCCCCAGGTGGTCATAGCAGCTGATGTGACACAGGGGAAAGCCAGTCTAACTAGCTCTCTTTATTCACTGCAGAGAAGGTGAAGTTCTTCTTTAGTATCTCCACTGGGATTGCATGACCAGACCATTTTATCATAAAACAAATGGTTGGCCAGGCGCGGTGGCTCATGTGTGTAATCCCAGAAATTTGGAAGGCCAAGGCAAGCAGATCACCTGAGGTCAGAAGTTTGAGACCAACCTGGCCAACATGGTGAAAACCCGTCTCTACCAAAAATACAAAAATTAGCAGGGCATGGTGGCAGGTGCCTGTAATCCTAGCTTCTCAGGAGGCTGAGGCAGGAGAATCATTTGAACCTGGGAGGCAGAGGTTGCACTGGGCCAAGATCATGCCACTGCACTCCAGCCTGGGTGACAGAGCGAGACTCAGTCTCAAAACAAAACAAAATGGTCTCCTTTTTCATGTTTCTCTATTCTGATGGAAATTTTTGGAAATACCTAGACCTGAAAATTCTGATGTGGGATGGGGCCGTGCATAACACGCTCCTACAGAGTGGGACCCAGTAAACAAAAGGTCAGGCTGCTGGGCCATGGTATGGCTCAGCCAAAAGTCAGGATGATGCATCTGTCTTTTGGTGGGCTGTGAGAGTCAGAAGACCCTTATCAAATCTCAAGGTCCCGGGTGCTGTGGCATGGACCTGTAGTCCCAGGTACTCAGGAGGCTGAGGCAGGGGTATAGCTTGAGCCCAAGAGTTCAACTCCAGCCTGGGCAATATAAAGAGACACCTGCCACTGCCATCGCTAAATATAATAATAACAATAATAAAAAACTCGGCCAGGCACGGTGGCTCACGCCTATAATCCCAGCACTTTGGGAGGCCAAGGCGGGTGGATCATGAGCTCAGGAGATCGAGACCATCCTGGCTAACACGGTGAAACCCCGTCTCTACTAAAAATACAAAAAATTAGCAGGGTGTGGTGGTGGGCGCCTGCAGTCCCAGCTACTCAGGAGGCTGAGGCAGGAGAATGGCGTGAACCCGGGAGGCGGAGCTTGCAGCGAGCCAAGATGGCACCACTGCACTCCAGCCTGGGCGACAGAGCAAGACTCCATCTCAAAAACAAACAAACAAACAAACAAACAAACAAACAGAGAAACAAACTCAAGATCTTATCTCCGCTCTCTAGTCCTTCTGTCCTGCCCCTCCCTTTTACAGAGGCCCTGATTCTGTAGGAGCAGCAAGGTAGACTTTCTTGGAAGTTCCACACCTGTCTCCCTGACTCATTGGAGCAGACCTGCTGGTGCTACATTCTTGATGCAGCTGTGATGAAGTAGAAAGCTCTGGACCTGGAGTCTGGAACCCTGGGTTAAAGTTTTGCCCTTGCTAACTCTATGTCCTTGACCAAGTTATTCACCATCTTTGGGTCTATTTCTATCTGTAAAAGGGAGTTAATACTTACCCACCATGTTGTTGCATGATAAAATACTATTAGACACGTTGCACGTCACATGGCTCGGAGTACACATTTTTTATGTATTCCTTGATACTTTGAGAGTTTAATTGAAATTAACTCATTTAAAATTTTTACAGCTGTTTTTGTTTTTAAAATATATTTAATTTTATTGGTACGATTTGATTTGATCTTTACTGACACTCATGTCAAAAAGCCCATTGGTTTTCAAAGGAATTTATAACTATAGCTCTATAGATGTGTCATTGAAAGGAATTGTGGGAGAATGGTTCCAGTGCCGGAACCATCTGCTTTTAAAATAAATTCCATTTTAAGTTTAAGGAAGACAAACAGACTTGCTCTGCAGAAGATTTACTTTAGAATTAGAATTCCAGAACTGAAAGAGTGTTAGTAATTCCCTTATTTTGTAGATGAAGAAACTGAGGTCTGGAGAAGTTAAGTGACTTCCCCCAAGGTCACACAGATCATTAGCAGCAAAACCATGAGTCACACCCAGGTCTCCTGACTCTCAGTCCAGTGTGCCTTACACCACAATTACTCCAAATATGACAGCAGCCGGTGGTCTCAAATCAAAGGACTGTGGGAAATACTCCTGCATACCCATCCACATGAGTTCATCCTCTACTGTTCTTGGCAGGCACACTGACCCAGTGCCTCTTCCTAGCTACTGTTTGTTCCTGGCTATTAAGTAAGCATTAGCAAACCTACCTCCCCACCCCCACCCCCAGCACCCTTGCTTGACTGTATCTTTTTCAGCAGTTCCTGCAGCAATGCTAATAATGTAACATATCTGGATATTAGGATGTCTCTTCTTAAATCTTATCCTTTCTTGTCCCACCTCAGTGCCTTTGCTCACACAACAGTATGCAGGGGCAATGGCTTCCTGTCTTTCCCTCAAGTGACACATTCTTCTTTCCCTCACTAGCTATGAGACCTTGCCAAGGGACTTTACCTCTCTGTAGGTCAGTCTCCTCATCTGTAAAAATGAGAAAAATATTATTACCTACACCATAAGGACATCATGAGCAATTAAATAAGCTAATATGTATAAAGAGCCTAACTGTGCCTTTCACATAGCAAGAGTTCAAGAAATGTTAACTATCATCATTATTATTGCTATTATCATTACCAAGGGCTCCAGAGAAAGAATTTCCAGGTTGTGGGAGATTGCAAATTATCTAACTTCCTGGATCATCACATTCACCTTTTACAAAAGAGAAGCAAACTAGATTATCATAAAGATCAAGCTGTGATGATCCTGGCCACCACTGCCCTTTTCTGGATCATGCCCCTCTCTCTTCCAGCCATCCTTGCTTCTACTTAGTTGTCAGATAATCCTTCCTGTCCCTAAGACAAAATACTGCTCTGTCCTAGGAGACATTTGCATTTTATTTATTTATTATTATTATTTTTTCTTTGAGATAGAATCTCTCTCTGTCGCCTGCAGTGGCGCGATCTTGGCTCACTGCAACCTCTACCTCCTGGGTTCAAGTGATTCTCCTGCCTCAGTCTCCTGAATAGCTGGGACTATAGGCACACACCACCATGCCCAGCTAATTTTTGTATTTTTAGTAGTGACGGGGTTTCACCATGTTGGCCAGGATGGTCTTGATCTCTTGAGCTCATGAT
The DNA here is from genome assembly GCF_000001405.40 of Homo sapiens. NCBI lineage: Eukaryota > Metazoa > Chordata > Mammalia > Primates > Hominidae > Homo > Homo sapiens. Next base: position 33,553,978 of record NC_000002.12, read on the forward strand.
CCGCCCGCCTCGGCCTCCGAAAGTGCTGGGATTACAGGCGTGAGCCACCGCGCCCGGCTGACATTTGCATTTTAATATGTATTCTGAAGGACCAAATAGCTGTTAAGGCTCAAAGGAATCCTTGAGTTTTCTACTTGTGGAAGTTCCTTGTCAAAAAGAAGTAAGGAGCAGTCTTTGTATACTCTTGAGTCACTTCACATTGGCTGTGACTTACTCTTCTGGAAGAGCGGGCCATGCTGCCCACATGTGGGGGCATTGTTCACTTATAATACATTGTGAACATTGTGAACGGCACCCCCATCAGTCCCAGTGGGCCCTGCTTTTTCAACATTATTTTATTAAGTAGATAATAGCCACCTAACCCAAACACAAAGAGGTTAGCAATAGTTCTTCTCCAACTTGAGCTAAGCCCATTTAATTACCCATACTGTATGCCTCTGGTGAATCTGTCACCCCATGCAAGAGGTGTGGGGAGGCACAGAAGGGCATGGCAAGGCCCTCTTCTTTTTTTTTGAGATGGACTCTTGCTCTGTTGCCCAGGCTGGAGTGCAGTGGTGCGGTCTCAGCTCACTGCAAGCTCCGCCTCCTGAGTTCATGCCATTCTCCTGCCTCAGCCTCCCAAGTAGCTGGGACCACAGGCGCCCACCATCATGACCAGCTAATTTTTTTGTATTTTTAGTAGAGACGGGGTTTCACCATATTAGCCAGGATGGTCTCGATCTCCTGACCTCGTGATCTGCTCTTCTCGGCCTCCAAAAGTGCTGGGATTACAGGTGTGAGCCACCGCGCCTGGCCAGGCCCTCTTCTTTATGGTGTTTAGAAGGAGTCTGTCTGGAGAGCGAAGACACCACCACCAGGATGTCCCTGAACCCCCTGGGCAAACGCTCCCTCGTGGAACTGCAGGCCCTCACATCTCCCCTCAGGGATTTGTCACTTCCTACTTGTTAACCACGAGGATGTCACAGACTCCTTGCTTGGCAGAATCTGAGCTTTTTCGACATCTCCTACAACCCTGGCACAGGCCAAACATAGAGCAAATGTGGAGAATGAAGACATGAATAACTAAGATCATTTCCTCTTCTGTATTTTTCCACGGGACAAATACTACTCAGAAAATAGCCTAGCAAAATCCAAATGCTTTCACATGAGGTGCGCTTCTTCCATTGCTTCATTTCCTGTAGTGGGCGCTAAGAGCAGCTAGTGTCATTAAAAAGAGAGAGCCAGGGGCTCCCAAAGACCAAGTGGCCATCTCCTCTGTACATTTTGCTGAGAGCGCATCAGGCCAAAGTCTGGTGCATCAAACTTTAGTAGTTTCCCATCCCGGCTCCCAGTTGGCTCTGAGAAAGAAAAGGGAAAGGAAACTCATGTTATCACCACAGCTGGAAGGGGCCGGGAGAGGGTTCTTCTATCTGGCAGGAAGGGTGTTAAAAGTGGCTACATCCTGTTTGTGCCTGGCCAGTCCTGAAGCTTCCCAGGACTTCCTTTTCAGTGGCCTTGTTTTCCTTCCAGATCTATCCTCAGATTCCCTGACATTCCTTTGTCTTTTGTTACAGCTCTGGGGCATAATCAAGCAAGGATACAAATGCAAAGGTAAATCAATGTTATTTTGTTACAATTTTTAAAATGTGACATTTTGGGTAAGAATCAAATTTGTCTGGTTAAACTACAAAAGCTCTTGCCATTATTCGGAATTTCAGTCTTTTGGGTCAACGGCAACTGAGAATGATTGCCTCTGAGGAGGAGTTTCTGGAGTTTTGGAGAGCTAAAATTGGAATTTTATAGCTTGTTACAAACCACTCTTATCAACACACATAAATCTAGTTCTTTGGAATCAGCAGCATCCAGTTAAGGTGGGAATTCTGAGTGGGACAAGCCTAGCTAAAATACTGAATATAAGAACTTCTTCCTTCAAAGAAAAACACCTACACACTATTTCTCTAATGCACAGGCACTTCTTCCCACTCACACTTAGCTATTCCTTTCTCTACTAAATCACATAGATGGTGACAAAAAACGAGGAGAAAACTTAAAACGTAATTTTGTCCTTTTCAATGAATGCTTTCCTCTATCTTTCCCATTTAATTAAGTTTATAAACAATTGAATCAAATATATTTGACAAATGCAATATGCATGTATACTAAGCATTTAGGAATGTGTTGCTACTTGTACATATATGATCAAGTATACATTACTGTTGTTTAAGAAGTTGCTGGACACTTTATGTGGACAGTTTATATGGTTCTTCTAATAATCTTTTTTTTTTTTTTTTTTTTTTTTTTTGAGACGGAGTCTCGCTCTGTCGCCCAGGCCGGACTGCGGACTGCAGTGGCGCAATCTCGGCTCACTGCAAGCTCCGCTTCCCGGGTTCACGCCATTCTCCTGCCTCAGCCTCCCGAGTAGCTGGGACTACAGGCGCCCGCCACCGCGCCCGGCTAATTTTTTGTATTTTTAGTAGAGACGGGGTTTCACCTTGTTAGCCAGGATGGTCTCGATCTCCTGACCTCATGATCCACCCGCCTCGGCCTCCCAAAGTGCTGGGATTACAGGCGTGAGCCACCGCGCCCGGCCTCTTCTAATAATCTTATAAAGCTTTTGAAAAAATATAATAAAACTACAAAAAGAAACATCTTAATCACAGAATACCTTCAGATGAATGTTGTTCCCCAGGGATGCCTTTTTTCTCCAGTCGTTTTCCAGTATTTCGTCCTCATTTTGCATGAACAAAAAGCTTCCCAAATCTCAATGGAAGCCACTGTTTAGTGCTCAGAGGGACCTTCCCATTAGTGCTTCTCTATCACTTGCCTTGGTCTAACTTAGATTTTTACTTTCAAGCAGCAAAGATACTGCAAGATCTTATTGCCCAGCAGTGAGTCATTAGTTTTATTCTGGTTTCTATCCTCATACCCTAAAATACACACACACACACACACACACACACACACACACACACGCAATTTTATAAAGATGAAAATCTATTACACCTTTGGATTATCTCTTGTATTTTCTTAATGGCACATAAAGTGAAAAAAAAAATGAATTGAAATAGATTGAATACATCATTAAGACTATTTGAAACAAGGTCACTTAGGGGAAAATGGGTACTGGAAATAGTTAGAAAGGTCCTCCTTGATGGTAGGAGAGAAATGATCATCTCTATTCAATGATTCTCAGTGAAGTGCAGGACCCTCATCATAGGAAATAATTGTGAACCACCATCTGAAGTGGCCACATTTTTCTACCCCAAGTAGTAATTAACATTCTACTGTCTTATCTAAAACATCCTAATGGGCAATTCACAGACTCTGCTGCACGCTGTTTCAAAGCCATAAGCAAATATAGAACATATTTACTGAGCATATGCCCATCTTGTGTTCTGTTGGAAGCAGAAGATATAATCACTGGCCCTGAAAGGTTTTGGAAAATGAAGAAGAGTAAAAAAATCCAGACAAGGCCGGGCACGGTGGCTCACGCCTGTAATCCCAGCACTTTGGGAGGCTGAGGTGGGTGGATCACGAGGTCAGGAGATCGAGACCATCCTGGCTAACATGGTGAAACCCCGTCTCTACTAAAAAATACAAAAAATTAGCCAGGTGTGGTGGCGGGCACCTGTAGTCCCAGCTACTCGGGAGGCTGAGGCAGGAGAATGGTGTGAACCCGGGAGGCGGAGCTTGCAGTGAGCCGAGATCCCGCCACTGCACTCCAGCCTGGGCAATAGAGCGAGACTCCATCTCGAAAAAAAAAAAAAAAATCCAGACAAGTGCTGAGTGGAGGAACACCTCACAGTAAATGATCAGAGGCAGTTGGCCTGGGAGAGACTAGAAGCTGAGGCTTCTTGCCCTAATGCTGGCATAGGCTCTCTTTGTGGGGATTCCGTCTAAGCCTGGGAAAGACTCTCAACCCCATTTGATTTGCATTTAGTTTTGGGCAAAGGCAACTGACCTCTCAGGCTGGACTCTATTTACTCCCTAGGCACAATTGCTCATTAGGTCCTCAATTGCATACAGAACCAAGCTGAGCAAATCTAAGAGAATTTTCGGAACCTCAGGAAGGCAAGTGCAGACCAATGGCCTCTTTCCAGATCCTAGACACACCCCATGGGCCTGAGCTCAACTCTGAAATTCAACACAGAAACTGGGGTGGGGGAGGGGAGGGCTGACAAATCAAGTGCCACCCTGGAAACTGAATCAACATCAGACACACTAATCATCTGCGACACCCTTGGAATTTTTCAGACTGTGGAGCCAATTGTCACAAACAGTGCAAAGACCTCCTGGTTCTGGCCTGCAGGAGATTTGCCCGGGCGCCCTCCTTGAGCAGTGGTCATGGGTCACTGCCTGGAAGCCCCTCGCTGCCCCCAGGTAATGCCCTCTGCTTTCTTTGCTGCCATGGTCTCTTTCTGCTTGCCTCCTCACACTTGGACCTCATTTAGGTTCTGGGTCTAAACCCGGTCAGTCACTCTAAACGCTAAGGCCTTCTTTAGGGTGAGCAGCAGTAGCTAAACCCTTGAATCATCCTTGCTTCTCTCTGCTTTCTAGTCTCAGGAATATGTAACTTGCCTGCGGCTAATTGAGTTCTGTCCCTTGTCGGTTCCTCTAGAATGTTGCATGCCAGACTCGTGCTGTTTGCACTAACCTTGATGCTTTGCTGTCAAGCAGTCAGATGTCAAATAATCACCACCCTTTTTCACTTCCAGCGCAGGATGAGGTGTTTGAGTTCCCTGGAGTCACTGCTGGACACAGGGATTTAGACAGCAGAGCCATCACACTGGTTACAGGCTCTTCTCGCAAGATCTCTGTGAGGCTACAGAGGGCCACCACCAGCCAGGCCACCCAGACTGAACCTGTCTGGTCAGAGGCTGGCTGGGGGGACTCGGGGTCCCACACCTTCCCTAAAATGAAATCCAAGTTCCATGACAAAGCAGCAAAGGACAAAGGCTTTGCCAAATGGGAAAATGAGAAGCCCAGGGTGCATGCTGGTGTGGATGTTGTAGACCGGGGCACGGAGTTTGAACTTGACCAGGATGAAGGAGAAGAGACCAGACAGGATGGTGAGGTAAGTGCTAGGTCAACCCACAAAGAAAACCAGAAGAAGGAGGCTGAAAGTGCTGAGATGAGCGTTACAGAGGGTCTGGGGGGCAGCCTGGTAGTTCTGAAAGCAGAATGGTTGGGAATGAAGACATGTATCACTTTTAGTCTTGCCACTGCCTAGCTATGTGACCCTGGACATATGTTTCTTCTTTATGGATCTCAGTATCATGATTTAAAAAAATTGAACGAGATCAAGTTCTGAAACCTATTGAAGGCTGTCATGTGTGCGTACTGAAATGATGCCCCAGAAACCCATGACTATATATCCAAAATACCAGTACACGATACAGATCAGCTTGGTTTTCCAAGCTAGAACCAGGGCCCAGACTCAAGAAAGGCAGTAGAAGCAAAAGACTTTTAGATAAAGGAGAATTGGAAACTTTTCATTCTGCTCAAAAGAAGCTTTTGACAGCATCATGGAAAAGGGGGTGGTGAGAATCAGAGATACGAGGCCCTTGAGGATCTCTAAACCAGGCTCTGCCTCCGCATGAGCAAAATCATGCAAAGCAAAGTAGGATGCAGATGGAATTTGTTAGAGTATGCTGACACAGAAATTGATTCAAGATGGAGTTAGATAAATTTATTAGTTAACAGTCTATAGTGTATTAAGAGAAAGGATTTGAGAAAATTGGCATGATATTCCTAACATTTAAAGCAATGTCATGGAGGACAGCCATTGCCACCCTGTCGAATTGTTCTCATAAACAGAATATTGGGTTAGGCAGAGATCCTACTGGATCAAGCCAGTGCTCTTTAGTCTTATGGGTGGTCCTCCACATTCCACTCTTCAGGAGACCTAAACACACGTCTCCATACATTTCCCATGATGAGAAAAACTCCAGTGACCTTTAGCCAGAAATTCCCCTAGTTCCTTCCTCACTGAAGGCAGTGCATAAGGAGGCCACCCATTATCTCTGGTCATACAAGGTTTATTGTAAGTTTCTGCTGAAACACTTTTTTTGTTTCTATAACATCCACTTTTAAAAACAGCTTTGAGATGTAATTCATATGCCATGAAACTGACCCATTTAAAAGTATGCAATTTAGTATACTTTCAGTATGCTTTTAGTATACTCACAAAGTTGTGCAACCATCACTACAATCTAATTTTAGAACATTTTCATTATTCCAAAAAGAAATCCTACACCCACGAGCAGTCATTCTCCCCCAACTCACCCCAGCCAACTAATTTATTTTCTGTCTCTATAGATTTGCAATGCCCACTTTATTTTTAACATTTCCCCCACTGATCATCTTGACAACTGTATCAGTCCTATCCCCCTACTTCTTTTACTGGCCTAGCACAGTTCAAGCTGGGAATATAAACGAGAATAAGAGAAAGATCATGATTAGGTGTCAACAGCTCTTAACCCGAGGTCTATTTAATGGCTTTAGGGTGTTCATGACAGTACTTTATACTCCGTGTAAAATATACATGGACATATGGTCACTTCTGGGAAGAGGAGTCCATGCATTAAACAAACAGATTCTCCTGGGGGGTATGTGATCCAAAAAAGCAAAGAATCATTGTGCAAGAAGATTTTCTGGATTCCCTGTCTAGTCACCCCATACACTAACTCAGCCTGCAGAGGCTGTTTCCGTGGGTGCTGTAGCTGCCCCTGGAATGTCAGAAAAAGAGCTTCTCCAGGTAGATGGTAGGACGCCTACCAGAGTGCTCAGGATGGCGCCCACCTTGTGGGCATCTCTGAATTCAGAGGAGAACCTGCTTTTGTTTAACAAATAGTGAAATTGGCCATGAGCTCATTACTATTGGCCTCTCACAGTTCAAGTTACTTAAAAACTGTGCTTCTGAGTTAGGAGAAATTCACAGCCTGTTGGGTGTAAGACAATCAAATAGGTAAGATATCCTGATCATTAATCTCTATAAGGAAATATAAACAAGTATCTGGGTTTTTAAAAAAATTTAATTTTGTTTCCTGGAAATTGAACTTTTATATTCAAATGCTCTCTTATCCTTTCTGTGTTCTTATCTCTTTTCTTTCTTTTTTTTTTTTCTTTGAGACGGAGTCTCACTCTGTCACCCAGGGTGGAGTGCAGTGGCACAATCTTAGCTCACTGCAACCTCTGCCTCCCAGGTTCAAGCGATTCTCCTGCCTCAGCCTCCCAAGTAGCTGGGACTGCAGGCATGTGCCACCATGCCCGGCTGATTTTTGCATTTTCAATAGAGACAGGGTTTCACCATGCTGGCCAGGCTGGTCCCAAACTCCTGACCTCAGGTATTCTACCTGCCTCAAACTCCCAAAGTGCTAGGATTACAGACGTAAGCCATCGCGCCCAGCTGTGTTTTTATCTCTTAAAGCACAGGGATGGTTCACTGACCACGAGTATTTAATTTCATCTGTGCTAATTAATGAAGGACGTATGCTCTTATATGAAATGCATATATATGGTATACAGTTCCAGTACCATTCAAATCAGTAACAAATGAGATGTTTGCTCTGTTTAGGGAATAAGGAAGAAGGGAAAAAAAATGACAAAATTATACCCAGCGGTTGAATATGTAGACAAAGGAGTTTGCAAATTTAAGATTTTTTTTTTTTCTGCCAGGCAAGACCAATAAATGGCATTAGGAGCACTGACCTACACATTTATTATTTAGTATCAGATGATGTTTGTGAGTCCTGTAGTTAAAGACTTTAGAACACAGAAAAGGTACGTGTGTTTGTAATCTGTGTATTTCCTCCAACGGAGTTCCAGGATTTACGCTCATTTTAAAATATAAGGGTACGAACATTTTCTGTGGCAGTGTATGTCATCTCCCCAATGACCACTACATGTCAGAACAGTTCAAGATTACTCTCTTGGCAGTAAGAATACATGTATTTCCTTTAAACTTCTTCTTTTGTTTTCCTTTATCTTCTACTAAATTAAATTTAGTCAACAAATACTTATCATAAAAGGGTTGGGAAATGCTGACTAAATAAAATGGAATATGTTTATGAATATATGTAATATACATAGTCATACATATGTACATATACATATGTAGATTTACAGATTTTCTCAGTGCCCTCTTGCACTAATTTACACTGTGGATTTCTAAGAGGGAAACCTTTTAACAAGGACCATTTCAAGGGACTAATGATTTGTGGTACACCCTTTAAGGTCAACATCCTAGTTGGACTCCATATTGGAGTCTTTAAGAGTTCATATGCTGGGTGAACTACATGATCTCTCTCTCTTTTTTTTTTTTTTTTTTCTGAGACAAGATCTCACTGTCCCCCTGGCAGGACTGCAGTGGTACAGTCATAGCTCACCACAGCCTCGAACTCCTGGGCTCAAGTGATCCTCCCATCTCAGCCTCCCAAGTAGCTGGGACTGCAGGCATATGCCACCATACCCAGCTGGTTTTTATTTATTTTTTTGTAGAGACGGGGTCTTGCTATATTTACCAGGCTGGTCTTGAACTCCTGGCCTCAAGTGATCCTCCCACCTCAGCCTCCCAAAGCTCTGGGATTATAGGTGTGAGCCACTGCACCCAGCTACCTACATGATCTCCTAATTCCCACTAAATCCTGAGACTACAAGGTACTGATCATTTCAGATGTTCCCTCAAAGTCATCTGAAAAACTGCTTTCTAGGAACACTCTTATTTTGTTATATGAGATCCAGCCATGCAATAGGTTCCAATTTGTGTTTCAGGATGGCTGACTTCAGGCTGCGGAAACTGAAGGCAATAATGTTGGCTTTTGGAAGGGGCAAGACGAGAAACTCTGAAGAAAGCTCTGACTCTCAGGAAGTTATCTGGAAAGATACCTGGATGTTTACTGCCTTGGGACACTGTGGGATCTCCATGTTTGGACTATGGGACAGAGAATTGACCCTAACTAACTAACTATGAACTATTTATTTCCTCCTCCCCTACCCCTAGTTAAGTGCCACAAAGACTGTGTTATGTAGTCAGTACTTTTTTCTCATGTATCTTTCTCTAGACCATTTATATACGGGTGAAATGAAAGCTTTTTTGCATGTACTTGATACTCAGTCTGTAAACTCAGACTTCGCTTTTTTTGTGAGACTATCCTTTCAATATTTTTATAAACTTTTGTGTGTGCTGTGGCAGGGAACAGTTAACAAGGAGTTTATTTAGAGGGGTTTTTTTCATTTTTTGTTTTTCTTGTTTTGTTTTGTTTTGTTTTGTTCTTCTTGGTGTGCTTTTTGGATGGGACCAGAACTTAACATTTTCCTGAGGACTAGGAAGCTCATCAGACACTGGAATGCAGTGATTCTTCTAATGATGGTCAACTGCAAGGAGAAACTGTTTACATCCTTCCCACTACACAGTTGCTATGATATGTAACAAGTCACACATGTATATATCACACAAGTCTTACCAATTCTGCGTCACTAGGAAGCTATAGCATGGTCGTGAAAGCTCTCCTAATACTTACTTAAATAGCCATGGAAGAAAATTATGCTTGTCCCTTCTGACTGGGTTAAGCCATCTTTCTTAAGATTCCTGAAGTAGAAATAGCAATTAAGAAATTAATTCAAGTTTTGACGGTTAACATTTAGCAGAAAAACAAACCATTGAATAAGCTACTAGGTGAAATGCAAAACAACCATCAATTTTTTTAAACTCAATAATTTTGTGAAAAAAAAAACCACCACCAAACTTTTGGTTGTAAAAGAGAACCCTTGTTCCCTTCCTAAGAAACTGCCTTCCACAATTAAAGAATACTCATAGAAAGAAAATAATCATAAATCATATTTGATTAACATTTCATTTAAGCTTTTAAAATATCAATTTTTTAAATAGCTCCCATTTACCCAAAATAACTAGTTATGGGTCTATTTCTTCCATGATTAGAGGAGAGAGAACTTGATTCAAGATACTGAAAAATAGAGCTGGGACTGAGCCTGTGAATGACAGGAATGATCTATTACCAGGTGACTAGTCGGAAACTACACAGACGTGCACTGGTCTGCATTTGGGGGCTAAAGTGTATATATTCCATTTAAAATGGAATTTGTTTGTATTTGGGGCAGTCTTCAGTAAAGCCTTTCTCCTTTCTTTTCTCCATTGAGGACAGTTCTGCTCAGCAAAATTGTTGAGTACCTGTTCTGGGCAGGTCCCACGCTATATGCACAAAGTTAAGAAAAACTTGGTCTTAGCCCTTGGGAGCTGACAGCCCATGGGCATTAAGGCAAAGTAGTTCCAGTGATTTAAAATACGGTTCCAAATACGCTAAAACCAACTTGTGCCAACCAGATTTACAGATTGGAAATACTGCAGATGATGTGAAGTTATCAGTTGGAGGAGCTGTGATTAAGCTGGATAATAAGAGAACGTGCCATCTGTAAAGCACTCAGAAGGCAGCCATCCCTAGATGTTGGTTTCATGTATATTACACTATCTACTACTATCCATAAATGCAATAATATGCATGTTAACAACATTAAAAACAGCAAACAGCAATCTAAGTACAGAAAAGCTTTTTGTGTGTTTAAAAAAATTGAAGAAAATTCAGGAAGAAACGTGTTAATAAACATTGTACTGTTCTTTTGCTTCTCAAAGGAATTATTCACTTGCCACTTTGGTTATTTTTGAGTTTTCGTACATAGGAAGTTTTATATTGCCAGCCTTCCTGTGATAAAGATATTAAATGTAACTTGAGTAAAAAATAAAAAAGAATAACTATGTATATACATATATAAATTACATATGGGCCTGTATATTGTGTGTGTATATACACAGTAAGTCCTCATTTGTCCATAGATTCTTGGAAACTGCTACTTTAACAACTTGAAGTTGGTCTTGAAACAACTATAACAAGACCAACTTTTTTTCTCATCAACGTTGTAATGAAAGGAAATTGAATGAAATTACCTTGTGGAGGACCAGTTTGAACACTTCATTTGACTTAAAGTTGCTATTTCCAAGAATCTACAGACCATGTTAAGTGAGGACTTACTTACTGTATACACACACACACACACACACACACACGCACACCCCCCTATTATTACTTTGCTGAAGACTAATTTAAGTCTATAACAAAACTGCCTTATAATTATGATTATATCATTTACTGACAACCAGTGACTCTGATGTTTCCAATCTATCAATTTCCCATCATCAGTAAAATAAAATAGGCAAATCCACGATGGGGCAAAAAGAACAATCACAATTGACTCCTCCTCACCTTCATTTTGTAGGTCTGATGATCACTGTCACCCTGAAAATTGAAAGGAAAAACAAAAGTAAACTCTTCTTAACAATGAAAATGAGGTATGAAGGCAGGATTTATTAAATGCTTCAATTGCATCTTCATTGGAGCATCTACAAATTGACTGATGCTTTCTCAGACCTGCCTAAACCATAGGAGCCATGATTGGTTATTTGAACCCTTGTGTTGAGTGGATATCCCTTGAAGCAATAATGTGCCCAGATTTTCATGGTAAGTTTCTACAATGGACAGAGGAGTTTGCATTTTAAAAATGAAGGCAGGACTTCTGCAGAAGAGAACGTCAAACTGTTATTGATGGTAGGAAGCTTAATTATTCCTAAGATAAATATGTGAATTTTGCCAAAATATATAAAGCTCTAGAATGACTGAGGAGATCAATTCAGTGAAACTGTACCACAAAAGTGTACCTTTAGCACGCAATTCCCAACCAGACTGAAATCTCATCTTGGCTGCTTACAGTCATGGAATCCTGGGCAAGTCAGGTACATCTATTTGAGCCCTCAATTTCTTCATTTGAAAAAAAGAGATTTCACCACCCTCTTCAACTACCTCATAGAGTTTTGGTAAAGATCAAGTCAGATAATATATGTAAAAGTATTTGTAAAGACCTTATGTTATTATTATTTTGCAATTAAGCAGGATTCTTCTCTAAAACTGTCTCAAGAGCCCAGATTTTCTCTATATTATATGGCTGTATATTTGGAGGCTCTAAACCCAATATTTAACTAAATTTTCTGTTAAAAAAAGATGTATGGTGGCTCATGCCTGTAATCCCAGCACTTTGGGAGGCCGAGGCGGGTAGATCACAAGGTCAGGAGATGGAGATCATCCTGGCTAACACGGTGAAACCCCGTCTGTAATAAAATACAAAAAAAAATTAGCCAGGCATGGTGGTGCACACCTGTAGTCCCAGCTATTTGGGAGGCTGAGGCAGGAGAATGGCGTGAACCCAGGAGGCAGAGCTCGCAGTGAGCTGAGATGGCGCCACTGCACTACAGCCTGGGCAAAAGAGCAAGACTCTGTCAAAAAAAAAAAAAAAAAAAAAGATTAAACAGAAGTATTAATGAAAATAGTCAAAAGAGATTTTCTTATTTCTGGCACTATGTGTGTGTAGGATTAGTTCTGGTTTGATTGTAACACTGACTAGTCTTGTCCTGTTTGAAAACAGGCCTGCAAGATTAAGAAACCAAATGAGTAAAATGTAAATGAGGTTAGAGAAAAATCCATATATTGGGTATACATAAATGGGATAAAATATAAATATATTCAAAAGGTTGCCTCTTAAAAAGAATTTATTAGTTTACACAGGGAGACAGGAGGAAAACCAACATTACTTTTTAAAATAAAAAGCATTTACTTGATAACTGGAATGTATTTTACAACTATTGAAGGTGGGTAAGTATAGGAAACTACTTGGCATTTAAGGCTTAATCAGGAAATGGCTTCCTCCTGGCTGCATCCAAAACCTGCTGGCCTAAGTCTAGAGAGCACTCAGACCTCAAACAAAAATGATTACTTTATCTTGTCTTTCAAAAATGTTACTAGCATATCACGTTGGAATTCATACCCATTCAGAATCTAAGTGACATGCAGTTTATCCACAGGAGCATGAAGAAGGAATTACTTGGAGTATTCTACAAAGCAACTGGCCTGAACACTTCAAAAATAAAATATCACGAACAGAAAAAGGAGGGAAAGGGCAATTTTGGATCAGAAAAGATTGAATGAAACACAACAGTGAAATGCGATGTTACAAACCTTGATTGGATTCTGGGTCAAATTTTGAAGAAAGCAGTGGCTCACGCCTATGGTCCCAGTGATTTGAGAGGCTGAGGCAGGAAGACTACTTAAACACCGGAGTTCAAGGCTGCAGCGAGCTATGATTGTACCACTGCACTCCAGCCTGGGCAACAGAGCGACACACTGTCTGGATTAAAAAAAAAAAAAAAAGAAAAGGAAAGTAAAGCAGGTATTTGGGGGACAACTGGAAAGATTTAAATATGGAGTATAGGCCGGGTGCGGTGGCTCATGCCTGTAATCCCAGCACTTTGGGAGGCCAAGGTGGGTGGATCACTAGAGGCCAGGAGTTCAAGACCAGCCTGGTCAACATGGTGAAACCCCATCTCTAGTAAAAATACAAAAATTAGCTAGGCATGGCAGCACGCACTTGTAATCCCAGTTACTCAGGAGGCTGAGGCAGGAGAATCGCTTGAACCCAGGAGGCAGAGGTTGCAAGTGAGCCAAGATCACACCACTGCACCCCAGCCTAGAGTGAGGCTTTGCCTCAAAACACACATACACACACACCAGGCGGCAGCAAATATCTTACACACACACGCACACGCACACACACCCGGCGGCAGCAAATATCCCGCTCAGAGAGAAGGGCACACTCTGAAGTGCAAATCCTCAATCTTCATTTACAACAGAAGAAACAAGGATATATTAGCTGGTGGCAGGAGCTTCCCGGGCCTGTTTGGTTCTGAGAAGCAGGAGAGCCAGGGCACACTGACAAGAAATATTTGCTAGAAGCAATCTGTCTCTGTGACAGCAGAATGCCAGAGGCTCTTTATGATGAAAAAAAACAAAAAATCCCATAGTTGCCAGTGCCCAGCAAGATGTTAAGACTAATTGAACTCACACTCAAAACCTAGGATAATAGAAATTTCACCTGGCCTGAACTCTACTCTGGTTCCTTCCCTACAGGAACTTCCCACAGATTTTGAATAAAAGCTCAAAATTAAAACAGAGGTAAAACCAAAACCAAGGGGATATGAGAAGAAAAAAAAAAAGGACAGTTAAACAGATGTCAGAAAACTCACCAGAAAACAAAATTGCTACAGAGCATATGAAAATTGTTTTTCCAAGAATTAAAGCTACTTAATGAATTCCTGACTCACAGAAATCATGGTAATAATAAATGTTTATTGTTTTATGTTATTAGGTATTAGGGTATTTTGCTACACAGCACACATGAATATAATATCCTACAAGGCAATTAAACCATAATCTTTGAGGTTATCTTCTCTACTAGACAGAAATAATTTACACCTCTACCCGATAAAAAATCTGTTGTATCTTACCCATTTTCTGGAAGTTAGAAACTGAGCCCTAATCCATAGTAAATAGTAAATGAAACAAAAATACATTCCTGTAAAGAAGGTTCCTATATCTCTGTACTATTGACATTTGGGGCCAGAGAATTCTTTGTTGGGAAGTGGGAAGGGGGCTGTCCTGTGCGCTGTAGGGTATTTAACAGCGTCCCTGGCTTCTGCCTTCTAGATACCATTAGCACTTCCTTTATAACCAAAAATGTCTTCAGACATTTCCAAATGTCCCCTAAGTGACAAAATTGCTACTGGCTGAGAACCACTGTCCATGCATCAGAGTCACCTGAAGGTTTGTTAAAGCACACATTGCTGGGCCTCATTCACAGTTTCTGATTCGGTTGGTCTGGGGTGGGGCCTGAGAACTTGCATTTCTAAGTTCCCAGGTGATGCTGGCGCTGATGATGCTAGTTGGGTACTGAACTTGAGAACTGCTTCTAGAAAGACAGATGGCTCTCAAGCAGGCTTGTCAGACACTGCTGCAGAATGACACCCGAGGACATACAGCCATCTTCTGCCTTATTTCCAGGTTTTAGGTCCCTTCTTTTTTTTTGCAATTCTTTCTAAAGAAGTGTAAGGTGAAGGCAATTCTACATAGTTATAAAGGTCCACATTACAGCAAAATTTTAATTCTTCCTAAATATCAGAGTAAATGCAAAAAACCAAAGCAAAGAGACTCTATACGAAAGTTAAAAGTTATAAAAACAGAAAACAGAACTTATATATAAGAGAACTAAGTTCAAACATCTGTTATATAAATGGGCTAAACTCACTTTTTTTTAAAGGGTACTCAGACTGATAACACCACCACCAAAAAACCCCAATTCTATGCTGTGCACAAGAGACCTGCTGTAAAGTGATTCAGGTGGCTGAAAACTTTTTTAAATGGGCAAATATATACCAAACAAACGCAAGCAGAAAGAAAACATTGATCATAAATATAGTATCACACAAAATTAAATTCAAGGCAAAAGGCACAAAAAAAGACTGGGCGCGGTGGCTCACGCCTGTAATCCCAGCACTTTGGCAGGCCGAGGCAGGCGGATCACCTGAGGTCGGGAGTTTGAGATCAGCCTGACCAACATGGAGAAACCCCATCTCTACTAAAAATACAAAATTAGCCAGGCAAGGTGGCGCATGCCTGTAATCCTAGCTACTGGGGAGGCCGAGGCAGGAGAATCACTTGAACCTGGGAGGTGGAGGTTGTGGTGAACTGAGATCGCGCCATGGCATTCCAGCCTGGGCAACAAGAGCAAAATTCTGTCTCAAAAAAAAAAAAAAAAAAAAGGCACAAAAATAGACAAAAATGGACCCAGCGCGGTGGCTCACACCTGTAATCCCAGCACTTCGGGAGGCCAAGGCAGGTGGATCACGAGGTCAGGAGATCGAGACCATCCTGGCTAACACGGTGAAACCCCGTCTGCACTAAAAATACAAAAAAATTAGCCAGGCGTGGTGGCAGGTGCCTGTAGTCCCAGCTACTCGGGAGGCTGAGGCAGGAGAATGGCGTGAACCCGGGAGGCAGAGCTTGCAGTGAGCCGAGACTGCGCCACTGCACTCCAGCCTGGGCGACAGAGCGAGAAACTCCGTCTCAAAAAAAAAAAGGAGACAAAAGTAGGCCCATTTTAATGCTAATGGATACAGATCACAATCAAAATATAATTATGAATATCTTTGTACCAAATTATAGAGCATCATCATTTACAGAACAAAAAGAATAGATGATTCAAAGATACACAGAAATATATTAGTGGTATAAAATATGTATTATCCTCTCACTCAGCTCATGATATAACCAAGTACCAAGTACACAAAAAATAAGGCGCTTAGACCTGTGCCATTCAACACGGTAACCACTAGGTACATGTGGCTAACGAGCACTTGAAATATGACTAGTCCAAATTGACAGGTGCCATAAGTACAAAATATGCCAGATTTCAAATAGCACAAAACAAAGAAGGTAAATAAGTTGTTAATAATTTTTTCTATTGATATATGTAAAATAATGGTTTTTATATAATGGGTTAAATAAAATTTCACTTTTAAAAAACTTCCTTAACACAGTTACTTTAAACTTGAAATTGAATGTGTGGCCTGTATTATATTTCAATTAAGACAGTGATGCTGCTCTAGAACTAATTAACAAGGTAGATCTAAATACTTACAACAGCTAAAACATATATAGTATTTATTCCATTCCAGACACTGTTCAAGATATTTTGCACATATTAATGCATTGAGTCCTCTCAACACCCTAAGAGGTAGATGCTATTATTATAGCCATTAGCCATTTTACGGATGAAGAAACTGAGGCACAGAGAAATGAAGTAATTTGCATAAGATCACAGTAGTGAATCTGACGTTTGGTTCTCATCAATCTGGCTCCAGAGTCTGTACTCTAAACCATGATGCTACAATTGATAAATGTGCATAGTGAACTCTGTCCTTTGAAAACAAAGATACATCTCCTGTTCCATCTTCAGTAAGACAGCCACAAAAATTGACCACAGATTAGGCCACAAGAGAAATATCAAGTTTCAATCCTGCGAAATAATACAGAGGAAATTATGCTGTAATGCCATAAAATTAGAACTTGAGAGCAAAACTAGAAAAATGAAGTAGCTAAAGTTCAGAAATGAAAACAAAACAACACAAAACCTACCTCTTCTAAAGAACTCTTGAATAAGAGAGGAAATCAAAGTCTAGCAAATGATCATGAAAATACAGATCAGAATAACTACAAGATTCAGCCTCAGCACTACTCAGAGAAAAAGTTTTAGTCTTAAATACGTTCATAGACAAGAAAGAGTACAAATAAATGGCTAAACTTCTCAAATCCAAGCCAAAAAATAAAAACCACAAGTGAATAATTTTCTAGGAAATTATAATTTACAAAAACTGATCTAAGAATTAAAAAAAAAAAAAAGGCCAGACATGGTGGCTCACGCCTGTAATCCTAGCACTTTGGGAGGCCAAGGCGGGTGGATCACGAGGTCAGGAGATTGAGACCATCCTGGCTAACATGGTGAAACCCCGTCTCTACTAAAAACACAAAAAATTAGCCGGGCGTGGTGGTGGGCGCCTGTAGTCCCAGCTACTTGGGAGGCTGAGGCAGGAGAATGGCATGAACCCGGGAGGCGGAGCTTGCAGTGAGCCGAGACTGTGCCACTGCACTCCAGCCTGGGCTACAGAGCAAGACTCTGTCTCAAAAAAAAAAAAAAAAAAAGAATTAAAAAAAAAAGTACAGTTATTGAAGAGCTATTGTCCAAAATTACCATCGGGCTCAGAAAATTTTTATTGAATTTTTAAAGTGTAGATAATTTCAGTGTAACTTACATTGTTTTAAAACACAAAGAAAAAACTTCTAGAAGCTTTTAAATGAAGGGAATATAACATTATTCTGCAATAGGACTGTTTGTGAAGAAACAAATAAAATAAAAATAAAACGACAATAACAACAACAAAAAGAAAATATAACATTGATACCAAAACCCAGTAAGAATTGTCCAAATTAAGAGAACTGGAATAATCTCATTTCTGAATATCAAGGCAAATCAGAATGCTGTAAATACAGTAAAAATATGAAAATTCTTAGTAGAAATTCAAGAATGGCTCAATATTCATATATTTATGAATATAAGAATGCTAATAATATAAAAAGAATAAAACTATATGATCATAATAAATACTAAATAAATGTTTGACAGAATTCAACATATATTTTGATTTAAAAATTCTTAAAAGTCAAAATAAAAATTTCTAAAAATGATTAAAATATATCTATTTCAACCCTAAAACCATCATGATCCCTTACAAAAACAATTTTTTTTTTCAGAGTGTCGTTTTGTTGCCCAAGCTGGAGTGCAGTGGCATGATCTCAGCTGACTGCAACGTCTGCCTCCTGGGCTCAAGCAATCCTTCCACCTCAGTTTCCTGAGTAACTGAGACTACAGGTGCCTCTACCATGCCCTAGCTAATTTTTGTATCTTTTTTGGTAGAGACAGGATTTCGCCATGTTGCCCAGGCTGGTCTCTAACTCCTGGGCTCCGCCTGCCTTGGCCTCCCAAAGTGCTGGCATTACAGGCATGAGGTACCATGCTCCACCCCAGATTGTTAATGAGGGAATAATGCAAGCATTTATACTAAGAACTTGTCTAAGATAACAAGGCTTGTCATCATGATTATCTAACATTGCCTTGGAGGTACTAGACACTACAAATAAATAAACAAGAAAATAGATGTATATTTAAAAGTAGGCAAAATTATTACTGTAATATAATCCTATACCTAGAAACCCAAGAAAATCAACTGAAAACTTACTACAAACAGTAAGAAAAATCAACAAGGTAGCTGTGCATTAAATTAATAGACCAACAGTTTTCATAATGTAGACAGCAATCAGTTAGAAAACATAAATAAAAGACCAGTGACAAAAATAGACAAAATATCAAGGAATAAACTTAAGAAACAAGCAAGCTATATGAAGAAAATTTTAAAATGTTCACGAGAGACACAAAAGAAGACTGAAAGGAATGGAAAGCCTTCAAGTTCTTAGGAAGAAATCATCATGAAGATTTCAGTTCTCTTCAAGTTAACCTTTGAATTTAATACTGTGATTCCCCAAAAACACTAAGAAGATTTTGTTTTTGGCATTACCAAATTGATTTTAAAATGCATGGAGGAAATCCAAACACAAATAGCTAGGAAATATCTGAACAAGAGTAATGAGGATTAATTAGCCCTGCCAGATATTAAAACATAAAGTCTCAACAAGTAAAATAGTGTATTACAGATGCCTGCATAGATAGAACAGCAAGTCCAGAAACAGAAGCAGCAATATAGTAATTAAACATATGCTAAAGTGGGCATCTCATAACATTTCAGAAAACAATATTACTCAATGAACGATTTGAGACAATTGGGTAGCAATCTTAAAATAAATTTGAATTTGTACCTCAAAAAAACAAAAAACAGAAAACTTATGCCATGATAATTCCAAATGAATGAGTAATTTAAATGGAAAGGAATAGAACCATAGAAATGAACACCATGAAAATTATTTTTAATTACTGTCTTGGACAGGGGAAGCCTTTCTAAGTGCGACACAGTTCCCAGAAGCCATAAGAAAGAAGACTGACAAAAATCTGCGATATAAAAAGTCTGATTGGCTTATTGTACCAAAAGTTAAGGGAAAAATAGACAAAAATATTTTAAAACATTTTCAAATCCTATCACTAACACAGAGCTAACTTACCTAATATATAAAGAGCTACAAATTCATAAGAAATCTAATGTCCTGGTTTCAAATAAAATGAGCGAATGAATTAAGTGGACAATCCAAAATAAATCCAAGGGATTCATAAAACCATGTCACATCCCTCACAAAGAAGAAGTGCAACTTAAAACCACACTGTGGGCTGGTAGTGGTGGCTCACGCCTATAATCCTAACACTTTGGGAGGCCGAGGTGGGCGGATGGCTTGAGTCCAGGAGTTTGAGACCAGCCTGGGCAGCAGGCTGGTGGCAAAACTCCATTTCTATCAAAAGTACAAAATTAGCTGGGTGTGGTGGTGCACAGCTACTTGGGAAGCTGAAGCAGCAGGATCACCTGAGCCTGGGGAGGTCGAGGCTGCAGTGAACCCTGATCACGCCACTGCACTCCAGCCTGCTGACAGAGTGAGACTCTGTTTAAAAACAAACAAAACAACAAAACTACACTGTGATAACAGTTTCACTCATCAGACTAAAAAAATGTGAATACTCTCTTGGCACAAGTGCGAGAAACAGACATTCTATTCATACATCACTACTGGGAATGTAAATTTGTATATCCTTGATGGAGACCATTTTGGCCATCCATAAAGATTAGGAACGTTCTTTCTTTTTGACCTAGTAAGTCCATATATGGGAATTTGTCCTAAAGAAAATGAGAATGACAGTAACAATAGTAGTAATAGCAGTAACTACTAGTTACAGCTTATGTCAGCCACTGTTCTAAGTAGTTTACACAGGGCGTGTCACCAAATCTCTGCACTAACCTTAAAGTTCTTACTGATGAGGAACCTGAGGCAGAGAAGTTAAGTAACAGGCCCAGAGACACACACCTCATAAGTAGAGCCAGGGTTCGAACCCCAGCAGTCTGTGTCCGGAATCCATGCTTTTACTTGTGATCTCTCAAGCTATATTTAGACATAAGAGAAATTACAAGTAAACAAGGTTTTTCACAAGGGTATTGTTCAGGATTGGAAATAACTGGAAATAACCAAAAATCTATTAATATAGACCTAGTTAAATAGTTATATCCATACAATGTAATACCATTCAGATGTTTTAAACAAAGAAGAAACTCTATATAAATTGATAGGAAGTCTCCAAGATAAATTTTTTAAAAACAACAAAGATGTAAAACATTATGTGTTATATGTCATCATCAGTATACAAATGAGGGAAATAATGAATATATCTATTCACTTTATATGTTTAAAACATCTCTGAGAGAGGACAACACCACATACCTAATAAATTATTGTATTTGGGAGGGGAACTGTGTGGCTGAGGGGCAAAAGTGAGAAGATGAGCTCATTGAATAACTTTTTTTTTCATTTTGAATTCTGAACTATGAATAACCATTTAAAAATTAAATAATAACATGGCTGGGTGTGGTGGCTCACGCCTGTAATCCCAGCACTTTTGGAGGCCGAGGTGGGCAGATCACTTGAGGTCAGGAGTTCAAGACCAGCCTGGCCAACATGGTGAAACCCCGTCTCTACTAAAAATACAAACATTAGCCAGGCATGGTGGCGGGCACCTGTAATCCCAGCTACTCGGGAGACTGAGGCAGGATAATCACTTGAACCAAGGAGGTGGAGGCTGCAGTGAGCCGGGGTCACACCAGTATACTCCAGCCTGGGCAACAAGAGTGAAACTCCATCTCAAAAAAAAATTAAATAATAATATTAATAATAATAGTAACAGAATGGTATGGATCCTCCTTAGGGTCTATGTCACAGAGGAACAAAGGGAGGCAAGGTAACAATGACAAATGTGAGGACTGACTGCAGCAGAATGTGCAGCTATCCTTTTGATAATCACTTAACGAAATAGAAAAACCCAGAACTAGTTATTAGCAGAACTGAGACAAGAAGCCTTTAAAAACTCCTAATACATTCCTCTTTCCATCACTCTTATTTTTCCTGTAGCTAAAATGACTTCGAAGGTGGTGTTCTATCACAGAAAATGGTAGAGCTTATAGTCTGAAAAAGGTTGATCTGGGATACCATATTCAGAGAAACCCCTCTCTGGTCTGGGACAGTGCATTATAATGAAGTATCCCTCAGACACACATGAAGGCATTTACCAAATTAGTGGTCTTTAAGCCCTTGTGCTTACCTGATTGTTTTAAAGTTTATATACAAAATATTTCATCATAAATTTAAATGTTTATTGTTCGCAATAAGATGAAACGAGCATTGACTGTGATTGGAATAAATATTTCATGACATGATTTGATAGCATAGGTTTTAACTAGCTTATTGCATAGAGGTCACTGAATGTGAAAGAAGTCATGTATCAGTTTACCTATTTTATCTAGTTTATCTTAATAGATTTGGATTTCATAAAATATTTTGGTTATATTGAAAACAACCCACATCACTAACCTATATTGTTTTAGTTGGTCTGAATTCAGAATATCCCCAGACAGGTCAATTTGATCCTTAAGGGAAATACATACAATACAAAAGGATTTAAAGGGTTAGAATGCCTTCTTTATGTAAATTGGGAAAAGTTGTTTTCTCAGCTAGTTTTGGGAAAAAGTAACTGTGGAAGATGATCTAGAAACCGATTCCCTTGCTTAAATTTACTTGACTTAGCAGCATATCTCTTGCAGTGACTTCATGCACTATTCCTTATTCCATTTTGGAAAACACTATGCTAAATCATAGGCATCATTCTATCTTCTTATTGTGTTTTTATTTTTTATTTTTATTTTTCTGAGATGGAGTCTCGCTGTTAACCAGGCTGGAGTGCAGCGGCCTGATCTTGGCTCACTGAAACCTCCCCTTCCCAGGTTCAAGCGATTCTCCTGCCTCAGCCTCCCAAATAGCTGTGATTACAGGTGCACACCACCATGCCCGGCTAATTTTTGTATTTCTAGTGGAGATAGGGTTTCGCCATGTTGCCCAGGCTGGTCTCGAACTCCTACCTCAGGTGATCCGCCTGCCTCGGCCTCCCAAAGTGCTGGAATTACAGGTGAGCCACCGCTCCCGGCCGTGTTTTTATTTTTTAGAGACAAGTTCTCACTGTTGCCAAGGCTGGAGTGCAGTGGCACAATCATAGCTCACTGCAGCCTCAAACTCCTGGGCCTAAGCGATCCTCCTGCCTACAGGCATGTGCCACCATGCCTGGCTAATTAAAAAAAAAAAAATTTTTTTTTTTTTTTTAGAGATGGGGTCTTGCTATGTTGGCTGGGCTGGTCTTGAACTCCTGCCCTCAAGTGATCCTCCAACCTTGGCCTCTCAAAGTGCGGGGATTACAAGTATGACTCACTGCACCCAGCCTATTTTGTTTTTGATGGGAAAATAAAAGTGTGACCAATGAGAGGTAATGTTCTAAAGGGACATAAAAAGAATTGTGGCTGGGCATGGTGGCTCACACCTATAATCACAGCGCTTTGGGAGGCCGACACGGGTGGATCACGACACCAGGAGATCGAGATCATCCTAGCAATACAGTGAAAAACTGTCCCTACTAAAACACAAAAAGTTAGCCAGCGTGGTGGCACGTGCCTGTAGTGCCAGCTCCTCAGGAGGCTGAGGCAGGAGAATCTCTTGAACCCGGGAGGCAGAGGTTGCAGTGAGACAAGATAGCACCACTGCACTCCGGCCTGGGTGACAGAGCGAGACTCTGTCTCAAAAAAAGAAAGAAAAAATCTGTAACATGAGCCAATGAGCGAAGTCGCCCAATCTTCAGCTCACTCCCTTTGTTGTCCTTAACAATGCTCTTACAGAGCAGCTCTATTCTACACAGTCACACACTGAATACTATGGAAAACCATTTATTAGAAAAAAAGCTAGAATACAAAAGCAAATTTGAACATCATGTTGTACAGTTTAAAAAAAAAAAAAGCAAAAAGATGCATAGCCGATTGCCCATCATAGATTCTTTATGTCTGGGTACTCAGGATATCTTAGGCTGTTTTCAAGTTGTAGGAAGGGGAAATAATTGAGTGCTATGCCCTTCTCTGCAACATTTGTTCCAAATCTGAAACAGGAGGAGTAAAGAGATTTCTCCCTAAGATTGTGCTTAGGAAGTTCCTGAATATTAGTTACCTCTGTATTGATAGTAAACACTGAGTGTATATTATGTGCTATACATTGTGGTATTTTATACGGATCATCACATTTAATCCTCCCAGCTCTTCTAAGAAGGTGGGATACTTTCACTTTAGAGATTGGAATATCATGGGTTAAATAACTTGCTCAACATTACGTGGCTAGTGTACCAGGCTGCTTCCTGGTAATTTACATGAATTGTTAGTCAAGTATTTGTTGCATCCACCCATTGCTCTCAAATTTTAACATAGGTACAAATTTCATTGCCCTAGTTTGTTATACAGTAGGTATCTAGGGGAAAAATGCTTTCCATTACTTGTATTTTTTCCAGAGTAAGCACTTAAATAACTTGATAAGGTGTTAACCTTAAAAGAGTGGCACCACAAAATTTAAATTTATTACATTTCATTATCATTACAAATGAGATTTTTTAAAAAGCCCTGGCTCATCCTTTTAGGTTGTAATTTACTTTTTGTTTCATTACAAAATTTTTCACTAATTTCTACTATTTGAGGGTTAGAATGAAGCAAATTTCTCTGTAGTTAGACATTCGTGTAGTTAACTTGTGATTGATCATCTTCCACACCATATCACATAAATTGGTTTCTATTGGAAAAGAAACAATTCTGAAGCAGTTAAACCTTGAGAGATAATACAGCTGGTGTTGACTAAGGCCTTGATAAGTGCTGGAAATTTTGCATAACTCGGAATAAACTTACCTGTTCTGAGGACTTGATAGTACTTTTCATACATTTTGCAAAATAAGCCTGTTATCTCGACCATTTTGTAAATGCCTCATAAGAAGCCAGGCGCTGTGGCTCACACCTGTAATTCCAGCACTTCGGGAGGCCAAGGTGGGAGGATCGCAACAGCCCAGGAGTTTGAGACCAGCCTGGGCAACATGGCGAGGCCCTGGCTTTATGAAAAATGAAAAAACTTAGCTGGGTGTGGTGGTGCCCACCTGCAGACCCAGCTACTCGGAAGGCTGAGGTGGGAGGATCACTTGAGCTTGGGAGGTCGAGGCTGCAGTGAGCTATGATCACTCTAGTCTAGGCCTGTCGTTCATGCATTTATTCATTTATAAACCAATAAATAAAGAGAGAGTACTAGATATTTGAACCCCTAAATAATTCTATTATTGATACTTTTGGGTTCTTAAAGACTTTCAATTATATTTTCTTTAAGACTTCCCTGGCTTTTTGTAACCTTTCAGAGTACATCACTTCATTCCACTAAATGTTACACTGTTATTTTACTCAGTCCTTTCTCAGTGAAGCTTCTAGAACTACAGTGGTCCCTTGGTATACAGGAGATTAGTTCCAGGACCCCTGAACTAATGCACATACCAATATGCACACATAGTCAAGTCCACAGTCAGCCCTGTGGAACCCACATATATGAAAAATCAGCCCCTCCCTATACGGAGGTCTTTACATCCTGTGAATACTGTATTTTCCAGCGGCATTTGGTTGAAAAACTTTCTCATATAAATGGATCTGTTGTTCAGGGTCAACTATAATCTAAATTTATGGTTTATTTTCTCATTCTTTCCTTAAACTCCAGAAAACTGGTCTCATTTTTATTCTGAAACTGCTCTTGAAAATGCCACAAGAAAACAACACCAACACAAAAACGCCGCAAGACATACGGCTATTTTTCAACTCTAGTTCGTTGAATTTCTCTGTAGCATCTGGAATTGTGCATTACTGAGCTCTGGAGCCAGATGGCCCTAGGTTTATTCCAGCTCCCCCGCTTACTAACTATATGGATATGGGCAAGTCTTCTCAACTATCCTGGCTTCATACTCTTTACATGTGAAAAGAGGGTTAATAGTAGTACTCATGTTGCTCTCAATAAACAGTAATAACAGTAATAAATTACCATTCTTACTACCAACCCTAAGCTTCCACAACACTGTTCTCTAGGTGTCCCTCTTACTCTGTGACCCTGCTCCATCTATCCCTTAACTGATTAATCCTTAAGATTCCATCCTTGGTCCACTGCCCCTTTCCTCCCTTTTTGGATGGTTTAATTTGGAATCATTTTTCTGATGAAATGTTTCAATGCAAAAATCAGTGGATGTTGATCATTCCCAGACTTCTATCTCCAGGCATTTTCTGGAGTTTCAGACTGAAATCATTTCCCCCAGCCCACCTTTCCCCCTTCTTCTAATTTCGATTTCAATTGGTAGTTCATCATCTACTCAATCACAAACCAAAAAAACCAAAAACCAAGGTTCATACTACATTTCTTGTTCTAATATACTCCTATAATATTTGCCTCCGACATAATTCTCAAATCTGCCCCTTCTATACCCTTACTATGTCTACCACATTAATTTAAGCTCTACGCTTCTGATTCCAACCTTTGCCCTCCTCCTTGAGTCTATCCCCTACTCTTGAGCCAATAATTTACACAGAGCCAAACTTGAATATGCCGTGTTATTGGTATACTACCGTACACAAAGTAGCTCCAAGTTACTCAGGACGGCATGGAGAGCCCTCTATTACCTGACCCCTGCAATCTTTCCAATTTCTGCCAATTTCCACCCCATATAAGCAATACAGAAACACCATGCTCTCCTAGTACCCACACATAATTTTCATTATTATTTATGCTACAATTACCTATGTTTCTGGCTCTGTCACTCAGTCCATGCTGAGACATTTCTCAAGCCATGGACTTTCTACCTCAGCCCAGCACAGTGCTAGAATATAGCAGACACTCATTTTTACTGAACTGAACTACAGGCCTTTCTTCTTCTTTTTTTTTTTTTTTCCCTGAGATGGAGTTTCCCTCTGTTGCCCAGGCTGGAGAGCAGAGGTGCAATCTCGGCTCACTGCAACCTCTGCCTCCCGGGTTCAAGCCATTCTCCTGCCCCAGCCTCCCAAGTAGCTGGGATTACAGGCGTCCGCCACCAAACACAGCTAAGTTTTGCATTTTTAGTAGAGACGGGGTTTCACCATGTTGGCCAGGCTGGTCTTGAACTCCCGACCTCAGATGATCCGCCCACCTTGGCCTCCCAAAGTGCTGGGACTACAGGCTGAGTCACCGTGCCTGGCCAGGCCTTTTTTCTTCTTGAAAAAATTATAACTCAATTTAACAAATACCAATCATTTTAAGAGGTTTTTTTCTCCCCGACCCAAATTCCTAGGAAACATTTTTTTTTTCTTCCCTATCTATTTCTGCCCCCGGCCTCTTTATTACATTTAGTGGGCAGGGAATGATTTACTGTGGAAGTTCTCATACCAACAGTTATGTTTACTCCAACTTATAACCGCACATCTGCAGGTGACTAAAATTGTGCAAGCGGAAAGTGAGTTCAAACACTGACATGCATACCTGTTTGAATCAGTGATTTGAACCCTAGGAATACATTAGTGTATACAAATATGGAAACCACAGGGAAAAAAAAAGCATTTCTAGTTATTACTATGATAATGAAGAATGAGAAAAACAAGAAAAACAGGAAAATAAGAAGTCATAAAATGCTAAGTATTCTGTGATGAATGTACTTTTTCATTCAGGTAAACTCATTTTTTTATTTAGGTAAAATACAAATAAATACCTAAATTTTATTTAGGTAACCCTCTCTGTTAAAAAACAAATGGATCAAATGCTATCCAAATTACCTAAAGTGGGAGGCGGGGGTATGATTAAATAATATAAACATATTTAAAAACTATTTTCAAAAGGATGTAATATAGGTAGACAAAGTATCCAGAAAGATACAATGGGCACAACCTAAAAATATTTAAGTCTAAGGATGGAGGT
This sequence comes from Homo sapiens, assembly GCF_000001405.40. Lineage (NCBI taxonomy): Eukaryota > Metazoa > Chordata > Mammalia > Primates > Hominidae > Homo > Homo sapiens. Next base: position 33,581,490 of record NC_000002.12, read on the forward strand.
AATCTGGGCACTGGGAAATCAATTAAGTATATATAGAAATGATTCAAATGCCTTCCCTCAGCAAGAATTTGCCTATTCTATGTCTACCACAGTTGGACACTAGATTAGTTTGGATCTACAGCAAGAAATAAAAATGATAGTGGTATATCTTTAATAGTTTTCATAGAGAATACTGACATCCTATTCTAGTTCCTAGTAGTAGGAGGAAACAGAACATTAACTAAAGGTACTGTCTGTCTCACTGTATCCGTTTTAAGAGATAACAGTTTAAGATATCATGTTAAAAATTCTCTCCTAATATTTTTCGCTTGTTTCTCCAAGAAATTCTCATATGCCCTATATTCCAGTAAATCATTATTTACAAGTTAAGGTTAAGAATGCATATAAGATCAAAAGATACTCTCTATACAAAACCTAAGAACTTTAATATAACAATAAAACTAACTGGTGGTTTGAAATATCCTGTTTCTAGAGAACTTGATCTATGTTCAAGAGAAAAAACTCAATTCTTTTATGGTTTCAGAATGGGGAGAGGCGGGGGAGGAACAGCAAACGCTGGTAAGGTTCCAGAGAAAAGGGAACACTTATACACTGTTGGTGGGAGTGCAAATTAGTTCAACCATTGTGGAAATCAGTATGGCGATTCTTCAAAGAGCTAAAAGCAGAACTACCATTCGGCCCAGCAATCCCATTACTGGGTATACATCCAGAGGAATATAAATCACTCTACCATAAAGACACATGCACGCATATATTCACTGCAGCACTATTCACAATAGGAAAGACACGGAATCAACCTAAATGCCCATCAATGACCAACTGGATAAAGAAAATGTGGTACATGTACACACCATAAAATACCATATAGCCATAAAAAAGAATGAGATCCTGTCTTTTGCAGGAACAAGGCTGGAACTGGAGGCCATTATCCTTAGCAAACTGACACAGGAACAGAAAACCAAATACCACATATTCTCACTTATAAGTGGGAGCTAAATGATGAAGACGCATGAACACAAAAGAGGGAAACAACAGATAGGGGTCTACTTGAGGGTGGAGGGTGGGAGGAACTAGAGGAACAGAAAAGATAACCTTCGGGTGTTGGGCTTAATACCTGGATGATGAAATAGTCTGTACAACAAACCGCTGTGACACAAGTTTACCTGTATAACAAACCTTCACATGTACCCCTGAACATAGAAGTTTTTTAAAAAATAATAATGTTGGGGGAAAATCTAGTTTGAAGCAGGAGCTGCAGATTTCAGAACTATCAGGGCGAAATGTATCATTTGTGTTCTTACATCCTTATATTCGAAAAAGCAATCTATTAACCGTAAAGATAAATCAAAATATTTTTCAAAAGAATGAAACCTGTATTCATTAGCTATATTGTGGAGTCTGAGGCTACAAAACAGATCAAAGCAAATACTAAATATAAATACATCCTAAGATATGATACATTTAAAATATGAAACCTTGACAATTTTAATAGGAAATCCTATATAAACATAATTACTTAACAGTTTAAAGAAACCAACACAACATTCAAGACAACTTAAAACCTTAACTTACTTTAATGATAAAACACTTGAAATTGTCTTCAAATTTGAACATTTTAAAATAATTGTAAATGTTAGCTGAAAAATAAACAGGTAAAGTTAAAAGGATCAATGTGGGTTTTCAAAGATGGTTTTAGTATTAGAAGAATGTGCTTATCTCAGTAGCAAGTAGATTATTTTAAATGGCATGACATGAGTTGATTCTTTAAAAAAGCCCAATTTAGTAGAAAGGAAATACAATTTCTCTTTTGATAAACATATTTATATTTTCAGTTACTTCCTTTTTTAAAAAAAGTCCCCCAATCTTAGGAAGAATGGAGAAGCAAATAACAAAAAAACCCTAAAAACATTTTTGCCTAGTATGTGTAGCAACAGCTACACCCAGTGGCCAGAGATGAGTGGTGACGGTTTCTAGCTATATTATTATAAAAGGAAAACCTGGAAAGAGCCATTTTTCCATTTATTTAAGGTTTTAGGATAAAAGTCACCTTTCACTAAAATTAGGTTTTAAGGAAATACTCAAGAATCTTTGGGAACAAAAGCCTTAGCTCATCAGCTTGACGCAAGAGTCCAGAATAATTCAGTAGCTAAAATAAAACTCAAACCAAAGAGAGAACTTAACAGATACTTTATTGCTCACCTTTCACACAAAGCACACCTCCAGCCATTTTCTTTCACAGCTTGACAATGTTTACATGTACAAAAACCCAGCAAGAAGCATCATGTCATGTAGATTTCAGTAAGGGAGAATGTAAAACATCAACTCAGCCAGGCTTTTGTTTTCTGCAGCAATAATAAAGGGCCTCCTGCACTTAGCAAAAATCTGTCTTAACTTTGTAGTGCATTTCTTCCATTACAAAAAAAGTTACCTGCTTAAAGCAAACTAACTTGTATTTGCTGAGCCAGTGGTATTAACTCATGCATAAAACAAATTTCGGTTTGCTATTTCTTCTAGCAAATTTCAAGTAAAAATAAGGTTGAAGGAGGAATTTGTTTTGGATGGATGCAGGTCAGTTTGAATTGCTATACTTAACTAAATGCCTACATGTACTATAGCTTCACAACTTAGTTTGCTTTTATAATCTTTATGGATTTTGGCCGTGTTCAAGGTTTTCAGAGTTGAGCATATGATACAGTATTCCATCAACAAAATAAGGCTACTGAATGTGCTATCTGCAAAAGAGCTCATTTAATAGGAACTGACCTAAAAGTTCCATCATGAAGCACACGTGGCATAAAAGTCAACCGGGGGGCAGAACTGTGCTTGGAAAATAGGCATTGGAATACTTTAAGCAAAACACATATAAATGGTTATTCATATGAGGAAGGTTTCCTAGTAGTAAATCTAAAAAAGTCTAGGTGAATCCTCATTTTCAAAACTGCATATTGAAAACATGAAAACTACTTATTCAAGTAATTTCTTCAAAAAAGTTTGCATGTTCTGACTGTGGAATTAGTCTACTGGGCAATTAAAGGCAATTTTAACCACCTTTTAAAAAATTTTTCATAGAAAGGAGAGATGTTATGTGTTTCTCAAATAAACGGCATTATGTAAGTCCAATAAAAAAATCTAACAGAATTGAATGAAGACCTACAAATGCTTATGCCAAGCAGGAATCTGCCTGCCACCTGTGGTCTCACATTAATTCAAAATAGGTGCTGAATTCAGGATTCTGAAACTAAGTTTCTATTACTTGAGCTCTAGCAAAATGTAAGGTTCGGTAGCCTCAACTAGTGTAATGTCTTCCCTGTCCAAATCCAGAATGATTATACTGATAACCTCCATGCTGGAAATGCTGTTCAAATTGACCCCCTTGGTGATAATTCTGGCTCCCTCTTCCTCCCCAGCCTCCTCCCTGGCCTGCACGACCACCTCGGCCTCCACGACCACCTCGCCCACCACGACCACCACCACGATCACCATGGTGCCCGCCATCTTGGTATCTATTGTCCTGCTGGTAGCCACCACCCTGGTATCCACTTCCTGTATATGAAGAAGATGTTTGGAAGCCACCATAACCTCCGCCTTGATAGCCACCACTGCTGTGGCCACCATGATAGCCACCTGGCTGGAAACCTGAATCTCGATAACCACCATCTTGGTAGCCACCTCCTCCACCACTCCCTCCATCTGTCCAGCCTCCTTGATGCTTATTTCCTCTTCCTCCCCCTCGGCCACCATGGTCATAGCCACCACGTCCACCTCTCCCGCCTCCTTGTTCATGACCTCCTCGTCCTCCGTATGAGGAATGTTCATAGCCACCTCTCCCTCCTCCTCGGCCTCCTGTTTGCTGCTGGGGGCCATCTTGCCTCTTCTGCCACGGTGGCATCTCTGGGGGTGGAGGTTCGATTTCATTGGGTCTACCACCTCTGTCAGGCACCCTGCCCATCAACACCTACAGAATAGGAAAGATATTTTAAACTTTTATTTTATGAACAGAAATAAATGCATTTGGAAAAAATTAAAGGTACTCTAATCACCTTATTGATGGCACAGGCAGTCTTTTCTCTTATAGAGCCGCTGCTTGTCCTTAAAATCTTTGACAAGTCCTGCCTTGCAGCCAAAAGATGGGCAACAGAAATAGTAGTTTTAGGGGATAAGACTGAACGTTTCGGCTGGTAAACCTTGGCTAATTTTTCTGTCTGGCTCTGTTGAAAGAAAAGTGTTCAAAGAGAAATGTCAATTTTCAAAATGACATAAGAAACACATATTAAATAAGTTAAAGGTCTCCAAAATATCTGATAATGATATTTACTAGGCTCTAGATGGTAGGAAAAGTTATATACTCACTACTGCTCCTACATAGTCAAGAACTACCTTAAAAGTACAGCTGCCAGACTTGTTGACACAACAAGGAGTGACAGGGACTGTGGGGGCAGGGGTGGAGTGAGAGGGTGCCCCTTTAGGGTTATGAGGCCAACGTGATAAAAAGGTTCCCCCATCATTGGTCTCAGATCAAACATACTCATTTTCTCTATTTAAATATAAGAATATAAAGCTATTTCAACAATTTTGCTTTTTAATTTTCCTATCTTTGGTTTCTATGAGGTAATAACTATCTGCTGAATGACCAAGGTCTTTACCTGGATTGTCTCATTTAGCTGAAAAAAAACTTAAGTCTTACCAAATTCTCCAATTGTCTATAAATCATACCAAATCCAATATTTCTAACTTCTATTAGCAAATTAAATTATTTAAAGTAAACAAGTAATTTGAAATCAATTTATTATTTTAGTAATTTTCAGAATAACTCCATTTCTCTCATAATAAGAACTTCTCTCTCCAATAAGAACTGTAAAATTCAGATTTGTTAAAAAATAGAAAATTGAAAAATAAATGTTTTCATCATTGCTGAATAGTTGAAAGAGCCACTACTCAATAACTCACTAAGGAAAAATCCCTATGTGTGTCTTCTATGTACTTCTCCCATAGTTGCCAAGTAGCTAAATTGTTTAGATGTTCAGGGATCATGTCTATAAATAGTCTGCTCTTTTAAATTATTTAATGTGTACCTTAGCTCTGTCAGACCAGCCAAAGGATTGTACAGTGACATCCAAACGTTTTATTAGCAGCTTTCTCCGGACTTCATATTCATTGGCTATGGCTTGGTTAATTGCTTCTATCTTTTCCTGAAGCAAAATTAAAAAGACTAGTTAGAGTTTAAATCTGCTTGATTCTCTGTCCCAAAAGGGCAAAAACTACGTCTGTGTCATTCATAACTGAGATCCCGGCCATTTAACAGTCAAAAGTTCTTATTCCATATAATATACTAACAATTAATGAAATGATAGGTGACAAAAAGCTGATTCACAAAACATAATGAAGAGTATGTGAAGTACACAATTCTTATTTATCTTTCCCATAATTTACTGTGTGAAGCTCAGCCCAGTGAAGTTTTTGGCTTGAAGGCAATCCATTTGGCAACGAGAAACATGCACCATACTTAATTTCAGTTTACTTTTATCAGCTGTGTGAAATATTTACAAAGTATGAGAAAAGTGCTTCTAATCTTACACAAATAAAAATATTCTGCAGAAATCCTGAGATTCACAAAATGATTCTAAGGGTGTTCAACTAGAAAACTATGTATAAGAAAACATAATTTAAAAAGCACAAAATGTAAGTGTTGACATGAAAATCATAAACTCTATAGTTCTTTACAAAGTTTACTCAAGATGATTACTACTCACCCAGTGGGCTGGTCCCATTGGCTTCTTCAGTAAAGGCTTTCCCACATGATTAGGTGGAACTTTTGCTAATGTTTCCTTTAACTGACACAAAAACATAAATAAATGAATAAAAACTCTAAAAGTAAAACATCCTCATCTTCCCAATTCCCATCATATCTTGCCATCAAAAGAAGATTCCTGACAGAGGCAAAGGTGGAGGATGTTTTGAAATGCAAATGTAAAAGACCCACAAGATAAAGACACTCACTGGTCCCACTCCTCACGCCTACAGAAGTCCTTCATTGCACCTAGAACAGTGCCTGACAACAGTAGGCACTCAATGAACATTTGCTGAATGGATGAATGAACACACAGGAAAATATGGACTATGGATACACTGCTGCTCCCCTGTAGAGTTCAGCCAAATTTGTGCATCATGGTGCTGGTCTACCCCACAATGCAAATGTACCAATTCTTAAGAGTCCAGCAGATAAGCGTATAGGGAATAACTGTGCTTTAACAAATACCGTTCTCTTCTACTCATTTTTGTTAAAATTGCTTGTTCCTAATTAATTATATAGAAAATCTTAACTGATAATGTGTGGTATAAAAATAATTCTAATTTCTTTTCACATACTAGATTATGTTAGCAGTCAACAAATCTATTTTGTCAATTGAAGCATGAGGTTTGAAGTGACTGGATTAAAAAACAAAAATATTAATATCCTTTCTGTCCAGTCAATGGGGAGGAGGGTGGTAACATTTAGTGATAAAGAACTTAAATTGACTGTATCAAAGTTCAATGATAAAATAATTTTTAAAAGGACTGAAATCTTAATCCTTTTTACATTATATCTAGCTTACTTTAGCTTACAAACCAGTGTAAAGTTTCCTTTTTGAAAAAGAAACATGCTAACATGTTTTTAGGAAAATACTAAAATACTAATTTATCTTTAAGGCATCTAGGATTTAAAACCCAAAACTCATTTCGTAACAATTACTTAATAATATATGCACATTAGGTTCCCATTAAGAGAAATTAAATTAATTGCTTCATTTCAAACAAATGTAGGACTATGCCTTTAATACACTACAATTTGGTACTAAAGGTCTTACTTTTTTTTCAATCCCGCTGAAGAATTGGAACATAGTTATATTGGCTGGAGGTTTGGACATTCCTAGAGCAATACATATGCCTTTCAACTCTTGAAAGACCTCACTACCGCCTCCTTCTTGAGCTTTTTTTGGAGGAGCATTCACACAGAGCATTCTGGCAGCTTCTAGTTCTGAGATGAGGTATGCTGAAGTAAACAAAATAAGATTTCAAAATGAGATACAGCTATAGTTATAGTCATAAGTCTGGAGTCACAACTATATAGACCTATTGATATGTAACTGTTAAAGCTGCAAGAATGGATAAAAACAAGAAAGAAAAACTACTTTTACCTGCAAATGAAATAAGAAATAAACTGGTTATGTAATTCAGTTATTTAAGCGATATATAATGTTTAAATGTTAATTTTAAAATAAGCGATTCTCTTTGAAACCGAAGGATCGAGGTAAGTAACATCTAAAAATTTGGAATCTTGAATTCTGGTATTAAGGAACCTCCAGAACAGGGGTTGGCATCTGTTAAAAATTTTGCAAAAGAAGGCAGGTGACCAATTTTTAATGACAATTAATTTTTTTTTTTTAACTTCTCACTACTTGTGAGCATCAATGACACAACTACCTTGCTCTCTTGTCTCCCATTAATTAGGAGCCTGTCCAGAAGAGGTGTGAAACAACATTTATAAGAAGTCAAAGCTTAACTCACAGGAGAAGCAGGAAGGCACCCCAGAGCTCCTTTCCCATGGTCTCCAAATCTTATGTTGCCCTCTGGCTAATCAAAGAGAGCCCTCTTTCATCTATATTCTTCTCAGGACTCCCTTCCCCCTACTTTCCTCACCCCATTCCCTTCAAAACAACCATAAAACCTTCAAAGCACTTTTTGGCATGGTTCCCTTTGTGTCAGTATCATCCCCTTGTGTGCTGATTTCAGCCTGGTATAATGGGGGCTGCAATCTGTTTCAGGTAATTCAGTTGAAGGTATAAATATTCAATCTCATTCCTTTAACATTCCCAAGGACATTTCAATTTTTATAAAAGATGATTAAGAATCATTTGAATCTTAGGATTTCTGGTTATGTGACAAAGTGAGATTCTTCTGACAATATAACAAAACCAGTTTTGGGAAAAGATATTTTCAAGGCCCTCAGGTCCTATTAGAAGTAGAAAAAAGTCAACTTGTGTATCAAATTTCCTATACCCAAAATGTAATGCTAGAAGGACAGAGGCCATAATTTTGGCAAATCATTTCTGAAAGGCTGCCAACTCCTGTTCTAAAACAATAAATACAGCTAAGTTTCTGGAAAGGTCATTCTAAATGGATTTGACACTGTAAAATCTTAACATGTTCCATACAGCAAACTGTATTTATGAGTTAAAACGTCAAAACAGTAAAACCCCACTGTTAAGACAACAACCACTGTTTTTGTACATAAGGTTTCATTAGGACACTGCCACACTCACTCATTTATATATTGTCTATGGCTGCTTTCATGCTGTAACAGCAAAGGTATGTAGTTGTGACAGAGAACTTAGGGCCACAAAGCCAAAAATATTTACTATCTGGCCCTTTTAGAAAAAGTTTGCCAACTCTTGTTCTAGAAAATCATATACTATATGATTTAATATATTGGTTCTGTAAATTTGGGATAACATAGTTCAGGTATTCACAAAATTAGGTTACCAATATAATTATCATGAAAAAACTTTAATCGTAATCAGTATGTTCAAAGCACTGGGAAAGGCACTGAAGATAACATTTTTTAAAACATCAAAAAGATGACCTCTTCCGATAATCTAGTTAGGAATAAAGAGTATATGCAAAAATAAAAGATGAATAGTTCTTCATCTATTAGGAACTCAGACATCTTACTTAATTTACGTAAGGGCAACACTCTGAGAACCATAAAAGGCCAATGAAGAGCCAAACAGAGTCCTTAATCTGATACATGAGAGCTTTTCAGCCTCTCACTCAAAGGCTATTCTATTTTTCCAACAATTCTAATGAGGCTGGTTTGTTTTCCCCCCTAAAATACAATGTGATAAAAGATTCAAGTTAGTGAGGTAAGGGTGCTGGAAAAGTAAAATTATAGCATCCAGATGTGACAACTGATACTTCAAAAGATGAGAAATATTTACATAGACCAAGTCAAAAATGAGTACATGTAGGTAAATGCTAGAATGAAAGAGAGGTTACAAACTGGGGAGAATATTTTAGAAAGGGAGAATCGGCAGAAGCAAAGATAAAGAGGGAAACAGTGTGTATATATGTATGTATGAAGAATATAAAAAGTGAGTGACCTCTAGATGATTTAGTCATTTAATTGAAGAGCAAATAGTGGTATATTCTTGAAAAGCATTTGAGGTGATGATAGCAGATTAAAATAAAGTCTAGAATTATGACCCTGAGTCCAAAATAATGTTCACTGAAGTCTGCTTAAGAAACAGAAAAGTGTGAAAGGCATTTTATACTTACATTCAAGTGGTTTGTATAAGTATCAGTGCTAAAAAGGCCAAACTCTGAGCTCTTTGGAAGAATTAGCTATTCAGGGTCATTAGTAAGCATTCCACACAGCTATTATCTTCCTATGTAGATAACATATTCTAAGTGCCAAATATTGGTAAAGGATAAGCAATGCTATAAAGGAAGAATCAGCTGAGTATACTGCTATTGAATCAGTTACAGAAATTGTACAATATGAAGAATATTAAATGAATATGTAAGAACTACCAGCAGCAATATCAGTATCTAAAGCAACACCTAACCTTACGTGCACATTCCCACAATAACAATCATTTGACAGACAAAGGGGAAGTTACAAAAGTGATTCTGGAATAACTTAGTGCCTAAGTATAATGGCTATGAACACTTTTTTTTTTTTTAACAGAACCTTAAAAACTGAAGTTGTATAATTTTTTCAGAAACCATAATAGAGTTGTAAAAACAAAGATTTTAAAAATCCTCTGAATTGTCTGTCATAATGAGAACTATAATAGCCAGTTAACCAAAGCTTAATGTAAATGTGCTTCAGAATGCTACATAAATTCTGAGTTAAGACTATAGGTTGTATTTATTGGAAAGTTTATAGAAGGCAATAAAATTTTTGAATCTACTTACTGTTTTTCAGTGTGAAGAGACAAAACAGTAGTAAGTATGTAAAAAACATGGAAGGAAAGAACTTTTCATAAAAACTCATTTCTCAGAATAAGTACCAGAACAATGCAAGTATTATTCCAGAATATTTACAAACAAAACCAAAATCCCCAATTACCCAACCACAAAGAAATAGCAACAAGACAAAATACTTTAAATTACATTAACCATTAACTGTATCTACTATTATAAATGCTTACTCTCCTCAAAGAAATGAATTTCTAAACAAAATCTCCATTATTTCCATACTATCTTCCTAATATACTTAAAAATGTGCTTCTAGTCTAAAATGTAAGTTTAATGATCACACACTTGAGCAACACTCCAAAACTACCAGTGATCACATTAGGAGAAGCACAACGGCCTGAGTACCACTGAGGCTGAAATATTGAAAGAGTATCAGTTACAAAAACAATAATGCTACCAGTGCACACGTCTACCCTCAGCTCCTAAATTGGAAATTTAAGAAAGTTTTATTTTAAAATGAATTTTGAATTACATTCATAATGAAATAAACAAACAAAAAACCATGGTCAGTTTATTAGTCATGGAAAACATAAACAGAAAGTAATAGCTATATTCTAGTAGCCATGAACTTACTGAGCAAGAGGAGGCAGTTCTTCTGAATGAGAAGGCGCTTGGTCACATCCCCAGATGTCAGTGAAAGATACGGGCAGTTCATCTCCCCTAGTAGCCCACTCACCTCAAGCTGGAATTCTTCAGCTTCACTCGGACCTTTTAAGAATTAAAATAATCTTATTTAATGATAGTGATTATTTTTCCATTAGCATAACAATTATTATATATAATTGAAATTGTTAATAGGATTTTCATAACTTGAGTTTTTTCCCCTTCTAATTTATCCTTTCTTACACCACTGCAAAGTTTCTTCTTTTTTTTTCTTTTTTGAGATAAGGTCTCTGAGGCCTAGGCTGGAGTGCAGTGGTGTGATCAGGGCTTACTGTAACCTCAAACCCCTGGGCTTGAAGGATCCTCCTGTTTAAGTCTCCGGAATAGCTGGGCCTACAGGTGTATGCTACCATGCCTGGCTAATATTTAGAAAATTCTTTTGTAGAGACTAGGTCTCAGTATGTTGTCTAGGTTAGTGTCAAACTCCTGGCCTCAAGTTATCTTCCCACCTTGGCGTCTTCAAGTGCTGGGATTACTACAGGCATGAGCCACTGCTCCCAATCTAAAATTTTCTTTCTCAGTGTTCATTAGGTCATTCTCTTATTTGGGAGTCTTTAATGGTTCCCTAATTTCTCCCTCATCCAATCTGATTTTTTTCTGTCTGCTTTTAAAGATTCTTCATAGCTGCTTAGGTTTGTTCTTCCTAGCATATTCAGCTATAATCACCTACATTCCCTCCACAAATATTTCCTGTGTGTGCCAGGCCAGTCTCCTCACTGTCCCATGAATAGCCAGTCTTATTTCCACTCTGTGCCTTCATTTAAGTTATTCCCTGTGACAGATATGTCCTCTACTCTCTTCCCCTCTAGCAAATCCCACCCATCCATCAAAGCCCAGTGGCCTTGCTCCTTGATGAAACCTTCCTTGTACTTGGCTGAAACTTCACCCTCGTACTTGCTGATTTCCTCTCTCTGTGAACCACAAAGTGGTTCAGCATTTAAGTACTGTACTTGGCCGGGCACGGTGGCTCATGCCTGTAATTCCAGCACTTTGGAAGGCCGAGACGAGTGGATGGTTTGAGTTCAGGAGTTCGAGACCAGCCTGAGTAACGTGGCAAAACCCCGTCTCTAAGAAAAATAACAAAAATCAGCCAGTTGTCGTGGCACATGCCTGTAGTCCCAGCTACTAAGGAGGCTGACCTGGAGAATTGCTTGAACCTGGGAGGCAGAGGTTGCAGTGAGCCCAGATCGCGCCACTGCACTTCAGCCTGGGTGACAGAGTGAGATCTTGTCTAAAAACAAACAAACAAAAGGACTGTACTTATCTCCAGTTGTTTAATTTGTGCCTAACATTCTCAATTAGAAAAAATTTGAAGACAGCAAACATGACTTACAGTCTTGTATTCCCACAGCATATAAAAAAAGGTATAGAGTTCACTGGGTGAACCAAAGGAAAAACAAAGCTCTTTCTTCATTATTTTGATTGTTCTCTATTCACTATCACAAAGGGGAAGAAATTAACAAACTCTGAGAGAGTCACTTGATCACCTGAGTCCATTTTCTAATCTGTAATACAGGAAGCCTACATTATGAATATTTTGCAAACTGTGATCTGTGAGCCCTTGAGTTCCACAGAGCTCTTTTAGAGGCAGCTGGGAGGATGAGGAGGAAAGAGCTGGGCTAAAGGTACCTCGTCTCTACTTTGTTAGAATACCTTCTAACCTGTTTTACATGTTAGCTTCTGTATCATGTTTCATTTGAGAAAAAGGGGCTCCAGGTTAAATAGAGGTATCATCTAGTACTGGTGTTTTCAAAGGTTCCTACAGTCTCTCAAACATCTGGTCAAGAGGCAGTATAGCACAGTGTTCAAGCACACTGGCTCAGAACTTGACTACTGTTCTGGGGTTGAAACCAGGCTTCACCCCTACAGGTTGTATGACCTCAGGCAATGTATTTAAATTCTCTGGGCTTTCTTGTTAAAGGTATAACAGTAATAAAACCTGCCTCATAGGGTTGCCCTGAGGTTTAATGAGTTAACACATATAAAGTGTTTAGAACATAGTGAGTACACAATAAATGTAAGCTGTTGCTATCATTACTGTTACACTATACTCTCCTTAATAATTAGAACTGAATGCAACTAACACGTACACATTAAATATACCAGCATGCAAGCCATCATCCTCCACAAACTAACACAGGAACAGAAAAAAAACACCACATGTTCTCACCACTAAGTGGGAGTTAAAAAATGAGAACACATGGACACAGGGAGGGGAACAACACACACCAGGGCCTGTTGCGGGTTAGAGGGTGAGGAGAGGGAACTCAGAGGACAGGTCAATAGGTGTAGCAAACCACCATGGCACACGTATCCCTATGTAACAAACCTGCATGTTCTACACATGTATCCCGGAACATAAAGTTAAAAAAAAAAAAAAAAAAAAAAAAATTATATATATATATATACACACACACACACACACACACACATACATACACACATATATATATACACACATATATATACACATATATATATACACACATATATATACACATATATATATACACACATATATATACACATATATATATACACACACACACACACACACTAGCATGCAAGAAGGTGAGCTCTTCAAAACGTGATTATGTGGAAAAAAAGGAATTATATGTATAGCTCTCCATAAGGGTGGGTTAACAGGTGAGTATTTTCCTTGGTCTCCTATTATAGGTTTACCTACAGCAGGAAGGAACCAGATGGTAGAGTGGTAGGTTCCAAGCTTTTGCCTCTTTTGCAGTGTCGACAAACTAGTGCAACAGTGGAAACAAAATTGGTAAATGCAGAACAGCTCTCAGATCCATAAATTTGATTGTCCTGGATCTCACTGTGATGTATCTAACGATGCATTCTTATGATAAACAAAATGTCTTAACAAAGTGTTCTCTTTCTCCCCAAGCATAACAGAATAATAATGCATTTACTCTACATGCTATAGATGCTTCTAGAATCTGGTAATCCTAAAAGAAAAATATCCCAGTATCTAGTTCTAGCCATCAATCTAGGATCTTACATTTAACATCTTACAAAATATAGGAAGTTCATACATTCTATGCTTGTGGTCTCCATTTCTCTGTATCCCAGTAATAGGGTCTTTTCAGCATCCACGAATTTTTAAGTTACATGACTTTATTCTGGTATTTCAACTTCTGAATCACCTCTAAAAACAACGGACGGAAAAAAAATCTTGGCTTCTTTACAAATTTTTTACATTTACAAAAACTTGCAACTTTCAGCTTTAGTATTGATAATGTTCAGTTGACAATACCTCAATGTTATTTTTATACTTTGTACCTAAAAGTGAATGTTTACTTACTGTTAGTTGCTTGCACGTTTTCCTCTAGTTTACAGAGCACTCTTAATTCAGACACCAGCCAAGCACAGAGTTTGGTAAACTCGGGGGAACTGGCTCCAGCAGAGACTGCCTGAGAGAGCGCTCCATCTTCCAACAATGGGCCCTTGTAACTGGTGAGCAAGAAATTACATTTCAGAAGAAAATACAATCATACCTAATATATTACAGATAAAACATATCTATGTCTTATTTATATAAGCAATAATTTAATAAAGATAAGTTAGTACTTATCTTTATTTTAAATGGACAAATATAAACATAATTTAGAACTATACTGAACCATTACAAAAAGCAGCTAAATGGTAGCTGCATTTCAACCTTTCAAAATGTAGGTGAATATCTAACAGAATTGCATATACTACTAAATTATGTCAACTTCTGTACATTTACTAAAAGCTTCCATTGTAAAAAGATTTATTTTCTTACTGTAATTGAATTGAGTATTAAAAGCAAATTAACAAGTAATAGCTAATTATACTGTAACTTATTTCAGAAATAAAACTTAGGTTATCTTTTCTAAAAATTTTCCAGAAAACAACTAGATTATGTTTTTATTTTGAGATGAGGTCTTGCACTGTCACATAGGCTGAAGTGCAGTGAAGGCACAAGCCACCAAACCTGGCTTTTTTTTTATTTTTTATAAAATAGCCAGGGGTCTTACTATGTTGCCCAGGCTTAGTTAGGTTTTTAATGACTTCCTTTAAAAGTAAAAACTTTCCAGTTAACCATTTATATCATTTTTATAAATTTAATGCCAGTTAAGACTAGTAAGACATTCTAGTACCAAAGAAACGTCAGGTTAGGTTAATAAATATTGGCAGTTAATGAACTGGCGCATCTGAATCCTAATCCTTTGTAAGTGATTCCAATATAATTTTAAAAAATTTAAAAATGTTCAAACATTCATAAAAGATGACAGTCATAATGAACTCCAATCACCAATATTCTAAAATATAAGATTTCTGTCACTCCAAGTAATCTTAAATACATATTATTCAGATTGCTTTACATTCTCTTAAATATTGATAATAATGCTTACTTAAGATGATACAATAAATATGCTTAAGATAATATAATGTTTAGGCCAGGCGTGGTGGCTCACGCCTGTAATCCCAGCACTTTGGGAGGCCGAGGCAGGTGGATCACGAGGTCAGGAGACCAAGACGATCCTGGCTAACACGATGAAACCCCATCTCTAATAAAAATACAAAAAAATTAACCAGGCATGGTGGAGGGCGCCTGTAGTCTCAGCTACTCAGGAGGCTGAGGCAGGAGAATGGCTTGAATCCAGGAGGCAGAGCTTGCAGTTAGCCGAGATCGCACTACTGCACTCCAGCCTGGGCGACAGAGCAAGACTCCGTATCAAAAAAAAAAAAAAAAAAAGATAATATAATGTTGAGAACTACAGGTATGTTAGAGAAATGACAGTTCTCAAACCCTTTAAAATATGATTATAGGTTTATACAGTATATGCAACAAAATGAAAACAAATCATACATAAAAAAATGAGATCACATGTAGTCTGGCATCTAGATTTATAAACTATGTATTATTAGACACTGAAATCAAAAGACTAGGCCTAGAAGTTTCTCCTTGAGTTTCACATTTAGACTTCATTAGTTTATTCAACAAGTAGTTACTGAATTCCTACTGTGTGCCAGGTAAGAGATAAAAGATGACTATTTGCCAGGATCAGTGGCATACACCTGTAGTCCCAGCTACTCCGGAGCCTGAAGTGGGAGGATCGCTTGAGGCTAGGAGTTCGAGACCAGCCTGGTCACCAGAGCAAGACCTCATCTCTTAATAAATAAATAAATAGAAAAGGTAGTCATTTAATTCTAATATTTCTCAGTTAATCCTTTAAAAGTACATTTCAGTTAATTAAGGCTGACTTTTAATATTTGAATGCCACCAAACTAAGTAGTTAAGGTTAAAATTTATAACAGTTTTCAGAAAATCCATGGTTTACATTACACTCTATGTCAAGTAGTTATGTGATTACAATTACTACAGTAACAATTACTTGTACAGTACCCAAAAGAATAAAAAGTTAAAAAAAGGAGGGGGAAAAAAAAAGACAATAATGGGAAGAAACAGCATCCGTGGCCAATTCTTAAGTGACCACTATCCATGCAGAAAGACTACATTTAATAAGGTCTACCCCCTTCCTTTCATTCCACTCATTCCACTACAGTACTATAGTGTCATTTATTCCAGAAAGAAGCTTCTAGGATTTCATTTCCTTTCCCAGTAAAGGGACCCTCCTCAGGGCTCCTCACAGCATATTTTCCCAGTATCCTGTGAACCCCTCTTCCACCTCACCTTGTACTCTAAGGGCCTAACACTGCCACAAAGAAACTGTTCCTAAAAAAGTCCTAATGAATGAATGGTTTCATGTGTGAACAAGCGATTCAGTCTGAGATGTCAACTAAAGAGACTATTTTGCTGAATGACTTTAACATATGCCCTAATGAAAGAAAGAAGCCCCCTAAAGTCTGGAATATTTATAAAAATTCAGAGCAAGTTTCCAAGAAAAGAACAATAGTATTTCACTGTGACAAAGACAGATGATAAGCAAGACTACTTCGTTCCTAAAAATTTCTACTAGGGTAGTAAATTATTCAAATAGGCAGACTTTGGGAATCCTCAAGGTGTTTTTTCCTAAAGAAAGGTTTCTCTCAAAGGTTTCCTTGTCATGGAAAAACCTAAGAGAAAATTTTGATAAAGAACTTGTTACTTAGAAATACAGCTAGCTAAATCTGTACTTTGTTTTGATACCGTACCTGTAGGTAAGTATCTAACCATACAATTTGTTTCTGGAACCACATTTAGCCCAAGAGGGTCCACGTTCTCAAGTTTAATAGAGTACACTGATCTGGGTGACCCAGTGAGATAACAAACCCTATTTCCAGCTTCTAGATACTGATGAATTATGGTTGAATAAATATCAGGAGAAGGAGAGACACAATGCAAAACAAATACGCAGGTTCTTCGTGGGTGAAGACGACCCTGGTCTAATGGGGCTCAACGAGGCAGAGTATCACAGAGTCAAAGCAAACTGCTGGTGGTTCCCAGGGACGTGGTGATAGGTTAGATGCACAAGCGAGCTGGCCAGCGGAACAGATGCAGCGCCCATACAAGTGGCTTAGCGAAGCCTGGGTGCATGCAGAGATGACTGGGCAAAGGAGAAATTTTGAGAGAAGTGGGGTGGGGTAGGAGGAGGGGCTCAAGATGGGAGTAGGAAATTTGGAGAACAAGTAGGAAAGCAGAATCAACTTTGGCAACCTTTAGAGTTGAGGGGTTAAGGGGTAGGGCAGGAGGATGAAGCGAGGAGAGAAGCTCGGGGAGTGGGGGTGGCGAAAATCAGAGCCCAGACAATGACACGCATGACTGACAAACGCTGCGGGTAGCTCGCCTGCAGGGAGCACTGGGCAGGCCTAGGGGTGTTGGGATTGGAGGACCCCGAGCTAGCAGTGCAGACAGTGGACGTGGCATTGGGGGTGCCGGGGCCAAAGGGAAGCGACAGCCAGGAGCCACGGGGTGCGGCGTGGAGAGGCAGGTGTCTCAGACTGGGGCGCAGGAGGTGTTCCCAGGGGGCCGGCAGCGTGGGGCTTGGGAGACCCGTGCCCTGACAATCTTACCCTAGATCTTCCAACGACTCCAAGATGTCAGTCTCCATGAGGTCACACTCCATGCTACTGTGGTATTCAAATTTCCGAGTCGTCAGGCTCCCCTCTTCGCCGGCAACGCGTACACTCGCGCATGCGCGACTTCCCCGGAACTTCCAAATCCACAGCTGGCGCCTCAGCTCCCGCACTGCGCATGTCCGGAGCGTGCGCAAGAAACTTGGTCCCACTGACCGCCCCACCCCTGCCCACTAAAGAATTACAGGGCCCGCAGTTTTGCACATGCGCGTTACTGGATCGTGAAGCTAGCCGCCCAGAGAAGGGTAGGAGGACCGGCTGCGTGGCAGCTGGGCGTGGGGACCACGCGAAGGGGAGCGCTCTCGGCTCTCGTTATTGGGTGTACGCATGTGCGAATGTAGGGGGCGCGGCGGGCCGGGAAGGAGCTTGGAAGAGTCTCGGGACGCGGGTGGAGTCGGCTGTTAAACCGAGTCTCTGCATCCCAGACAGGAGATCGGGTGGCTCTTCGTAGGGTGCCGGCATGTGCTAGCCTTAGCTTGCAGGTCATGTAGAAAGGGAGAATTCTTGCGCTCCCGTCTTCAGGACGCGGGTGCGGGCCAAGTGCAGACGGCAGATAGCGTGCCATTTGATTTCCTCGTGGCTGCAGTAGCTTTATTTCAGGGTTAGGGATGAGCCAACTTTCCGCAGACTATGGATGTTCAGAAAGTTGGGTCGTTTTCCCTCATGCATTCTCTACCTGATGTCTAAAGCCCTTCCCAGACACTAAGCATGTTATTTTAAGGAGAAGGGGAGCTTCACTCCATAGCAAATAGAATAGAATATTTTTAAATCCACGTAGTTTAGACAGTGAATAAACTTTTTGGCTGTACTGTCATTACTTTTGACATTATTTGCCCGGGTGAAACATTGAGTTCACGATGTGGATGTGTTGTGATATCTTGGCAGTTACTGAGGGTGTGTTTAGAAATTACTGAAAAATCAGAAATGTTTTCAAAGTGATGGCATATTTAGAAAACTATATTTAACCATAAGTTGGCGTACTGTTAAATCGTGTAGGCATTTAATTAAAGAGTTTTCATATTGATACCTGTTGATTTTATTCTATAGTTCTCAAGCATTTTTGTGTCTGATGGATAGATGTTCCTATCCTTAGTAGTACCTTTTTCTTTTCTTTCTTTTTTTTTTTTTTTTTTTATGAGACGGAGTCTTGCTCTGTCGCTCAGGCTGGAGTGCAGTGGTGCGATCTCGGCTCACTGCAAGCTCCGCCTCCCGGGTTCACGCCATTATTCTGCCTCAGCCTCCCAAGTAGCTGGGACCACAGGCGTTCACCACCACACCCAGCTAATTTTTTGTATTTTTAGTAGAGACGGGGTTTCACCATGTTAGCCAGGATGGTCTCGATCTCCTGACCTTGTGGTCCGCCCACCTTGGCCTCCCAAAGTGCTGGGATTACAGGCGTGAGCCACCGCGCCCGGCCAGTAGTACCTTTTTCAGTTTCCTTATTTTGCATCATCTGAAGTGGGGGTAGGTTTTCTGCACTTACCATGGGCACTTGATATGGCCCATTATGATGCAGTCACCATAAGGCTGTGTGAATATTAGTCACATTCTACAGATGAGGACACTAAGGCTGAGTGGCTTAATAATCTTCAGCGATCTTAATGCCTGTAAGTATGAAACTAGATTTTGAGATTGAGGTATATCTAAATCCATATTCCTTCTTTTTTGACTAGTCAAATAAGGATTTATACGCAGGATGTGAAAAGAGGAAAATTTAGCTAGTTGAATTTGTTTAAACTTGTATATATTGTACATAATTACCTTATAATAATTGAATAATTATTTTCCTCATAGGGTTGTTGAAGGTGCTAAACAAAAAGTCATGCCTAATACAAAAATCAATTTTGAAAGAAAAAGGGTTTCATTCTTGACTCACTTTTGATGTAAGCTGTGTTCAATATTGAACTAATATTGAATATAATATTGTGTTCAATATTAGTGAATGAACGAGTGATGACTTCCCTAAAAGTATTAGTATTCCCTTTCTTTCTTTAAAAAAAATCCAGCTTTTGCAGGAATAGTATTCTCTTTCTAATTCACATCGTTAGCTTAAATGAAGGATTGCTGATATGAAATTTTTATATATTATGGTTTAAAGGAATTCTACAATGGCTTTCTCTGCAATTAAAAAAAGCTTTTAAATACTACTTAAACAAAATTGTGTTCCCTACCAGGCAGGCTCAGAAAGAAAGAAAAAAAATTGTCATCATTTTAATGGGATCTACGAGGAATCTTTTGCATTTTATTTAGAAATTATTTATGTTTATAATGGAACCTGATATCTGAAGACCTCTTTGAAACTGAGTTTACTAGAATGAAAGGAACAATGATTTGGAAGTGAGGAAGCTCTGGTTTTTGCATCAGATCAGTATAAGAAAGAATTTTTCTAACACTCTAAGAGTAGTCTTAAAGTGACTTAGGTATCGTTGAGAGATGATGAGCTTCCTGTCTAGAAGGTGTTCACCTAGAGGCTGAATAATTACTTAAGGGTACTCTTGTGAGAAGGCACACCCACAAGTGCCAGCACATGCCCTTTTACTGATGACTTTGATTCTAGATTCTTTCTCAAAAAAGAATATAAAATACCAACTTAAAACCCTTCTAGGGTCTGGCGCGGTAGTTCAGACCTGCAATCCCAGCACTTTGGGAGGCTGAGGCAGGACGATTACTTGAAGCCAGGGGTTCAAGGCCAGCTTGAGCAACATAGCAAGACTCTGTCTCTGTTAAAAAAAAAAAAATTAATTAAAAATGACTTCCAGGTGGGACCCAAGTGAGGCAGAGGGGCAGGGGCTGGCAGACCAGCGGTAAGCATGGCATATCAGGGCCTCACCATACGTCTCATTGCAATGAGCGTGTTTTAGGGCTTCACTGGTTTCTTCATGCCTTGGTTCATCCCTAAGGGTCCTAAGTAGGGAGTTATCATTACCATGTAGGTGACCTGTTCAGTTTGTTGCTGTCTCTTTTGGCTGATTGCAATCCTGGCCAACTCAACCCTCTCTTCAGACTGCAGTTGAAACATGAAATCATCTGGTATCCGAAGTGTCATTGGCCTTGAGGAAGACAGGCTTTACAGTGCTCAGTCTTAGCAGTCATGAGAAAAGAATTCCTTCTAGATGCAAAATCCAAACCACACCACTTTTCTTGACTTGCTTATTTTGGGCATCAGCTGCCTTAAACATTCACACCACATTTGAATGTCTAACACAATGCAGCATTTTTTTCTTCAACTTTTTTATGCTTTAATGAATTATGTGCCTACTTAACCTAAACTGTGCCAACTCCTCAAAATGATAATGCACTCTTTTGAGAGAGAAGATGCTTTTCTTCTGAGAAATGTGTTATTATGTCCTTGGAATTTGTGGATTTGTAGTGGCTCCTGCCTTCTCATAACATGGGAATCAGTGAACTATTTAGAACGTACTACTGCCTGACAAGACTCCAGTGGGGCAGTCAGTAGGAGAGGACGTTCAGAGGAAAGAGCTCTCCCAACAGAATTACACCAAATTATGTGTTCTTTTTTTTTTCTTTCTTCCTTTTTAAACAGAGTTTTGCTCTGTCGCTCCCGCTGAAGTGCAGTGGTGATCTCGTAGCCTCAACCTCCTGGGCTCAAGTGATCCTCCTGCCTCAGCCTCCCAAGTAGCTGGGACTGCAGCCGCTGGCCACCATGCCTGGCTAAGTTTTTTTATTTTTTGGTAGAGACGGTTTTGCCATGTTGCCCAGGCTGGTCTCAAAATCTTGGGCTCAAGCAATCCGCCCACCTTGGCCACTGCACCCCGTCATGAGCCACCACATCCGGCCCAAGGTATATTTTCAGCATGAATTTCTCATTTCTGCCATCTTTTGGAATAAATCATTTTTCTGTTTTCTATAGATAAAATAAAATATAAAATAAAGCTATTCTAGTGTCCCATCTTTGAGGGAGTCTGGTTACTGTCCATATTCTTAACTGCTGCTGCTACAGATTACCACAAATTTAGAGGCTTAAAACAAGACAGATTTATTATCTTACAGCTCTGGAGGTCAGACACCTGAAATGGATCTCACCTGGCAAAAATGGGCAGGTTTGCATTTCTTCTGGAATCTCTAGGAGAGAATCTGTTTTCTTCCCTGTTTTGGTTTCTAGAGGCCACCCACCTTCCTTGGCTTATGACTCCCCTCCTTCATCAAGACCAGCAACACCACTCCGACCCCTGCTACATGGTAGTCATGCCCTCTTACCTTCCTGCCTCCCTCTTTTACTTATAAGGACCCCCATCCTTGTGCCAGATAATCCAGAATAATCTCCCAACCTTAAGATCTTCAATTTAACCACACCTGCAAAGTCCCTTTTTCCATAGTCTCATGTTCCAACGATTATGATGCAGATAGTTTTCGGGGGAGGGGGGTCCATACCACACTGCCTTTCCTGGAGAGTAGAAACAATGAATGATCTTAAAGATCAGCCTTTTCTAGCTCTTCTTGAAGAGAATAAAGACAAATTATTTTTTTCACTTGTGAAAGAAATGTAAATGGGAAAATTGAAAACTGATTTCAGTTTCCAGAGGAACATGTTTTATAAGTCATAACCTTAAAAATTATTAGAAGGTTTTTAATTATATAGTAATTAAAAATTTATGCAGCTGACATCTTTAAGAAAGTTACTTCTAGCATCTATAGAAGTAATTTTTTATCATGGAAAAGAGGTAGGTATAAGCTCAAATATAAGATTTGTCATGGATTGGTTTCTAAGAGGTGATTAAATAGGCATCTAAAACAAATAACTTTTCTATCAAAAATAAAAGAACACTGTCTGAAAAATAGCAGCATTTTCCATTTTTAGTGAATTTATCTTTAGAATGACCCTCCAGCAAGGAGAAAATAGAAAGACCATAGATTTACTGGTGTTGCTCAGAAATGCAAGTTTGTATATGTTGCTAAATAAAGTCCTTTTCAGCTTGCACAGTGAAAGCACAACTCTTTTTTTTTTTAAGTTAGCATGTAGAATTAAATCTTGTATGGTCTCAAATACTTTATATTACTAAAGAATGCTGTTTTTTCAAATCATTCCTCTGGCTATGTTAGTATAGTTTCTGAGCCCTGGCAATTTTTAGAGAATATTACAAAGTTTGAGAACAACATCTTGCCTGTGTTTAAACTAAACAAAGGAAGTGCTATGTGTGTGAATGTACGTGTGTATATATATATATATATATATATTCACACACACACATTCACACACACAAATGTGTATATATATACAAAAACACACACAGAGATATATCCAGATCTTTCCAGAATAAAAGCTCCAAATTTGATTTCTGTTGTTCTCCCAACAAAGCTTCAGCCTAGTTGCCATGTTCTGCAATCAGGCACACAGTGAACCAGATAGAAACCCATCTAATTTGGATGCAGTAAGAGCTTATTAGACTGTAGCCTAGAGGTAATAAACTAGCCTTCACACCAGACCAAGCGTTGTATTTTGTTTGGCCTGTTTAATAAGTTAAAGAACTGAGCTTACATTTAAAAGTTTGGAGATTTTATTTTAAAAATCTGAGTGTCTGGCTTTTCTGGGGCGAAAACGTCTGCTGATTTGGCAGCATTGGAGGAACCTCATTGCCCATAAAGGCAATGATTGGCTTGGGTTGAGCAGGTTGCCCCTTCAACATGGGGTATGGATCTACCAGTTCCCTCTGTTTTCTGGACCCTGTAAGTCACACATTATGTCATATGTGTGAACATCCAGGCATTTATTTGCCCTGCATTATGGTTTGGGATTTCCAACCTTGTTTAGTCTTTTACTTGTTAAGCAGGTCTATCACTTTTTCTACCCTGTCTCCCATGGGCCTCTCCTCCTTTCTCTGCCTATTCCAGTCTCATGGAACTCCTCCTGGTCACTTAACATAACTTGCCCTTTCATGCCTCTATACTTTTGTACAGACTTTGCCTGGAATCCTGTTTCCCTCATTCGTCTGCCTGGCAGATTCCTCCTGCTCAGTCTTTGAGACTCAGTTTGGGAGAAGCCTTCTCTAACTGCCTTGGGCACTCATTCTCTCCTCCCAAGCCTTCCTTAGCATTTTGGCACAGGCAGCTTCAGGTGAGCACACGTGTAAACCCTCTGCTCTGTCAGCTACTTAGTTCACATCTTACCCTGTCCTCATGTCACAGGCCGACTAGTTCTTCTTGCCCGCTGCCCTAAAAGAACCAGTGAGAACCGGTATTGCAGCAAAGAAAGAGTTTAGTAATCGTAGGTCTGGCCAAGCAATAACAGGGAGAAATTTCTCAAATCTGTCTCCCTGATAATTCAGAGGCTAAGATTTTAAAGGGTACTTTGACTGACAGGGGGCTGGGGACCTGAAACAATTGACTGGCTGGGGTGAAATCACAACAGTGTCTGTAACTGTCTTCATGCAGCTTAGTCTGTTCTCAGGACCAGGTGGTACTGAAGTGCTGAATCTAAAAAATATCTCAGTGACCCAGTTCTTTAGGGTTCATAATAGTAAGGTTATAGGAGTAGTAGAGGAAGTTATAAATGTTGTGGCCCCAGTTACGTGACTCTGGGTCAGTTAGCAACTTGTAGGAAAACACATTAAGCAATGGCAGGTAATTGTTTATGCCAATTTTTCTTTTTTCTTTTTTCTTTTTTTTTTTAGATGGAGTCTCGCTCTGTCGCCCAGGCTGGAGTGCAGTGGCGCAGTCTCGGCTCACTGCAAGCTCCGCCTCCCGGGTTCACGCCATTCTCCTGCCTCAGCCTCCTGAGTAGCTGGGACTACAGGCGCCCGCCACCACGCCCGGCTAATTTTTTGTATTTTTAGTAGAGACGGAGTTTCATTGTGTTAGCCAGGATGGTCTCAATCTCCTGACCTCGTGATCCACCCGCCTCGGCCTCCCGAAGTGCTGGGATTACAGGCATGAGCCACCGCACCCGGCCTAACTATGCCTATTCTTTAGCAAAGTTCAAGCTCCTACCATAATTTTACCCGTGTCTTAAGAATGTGGCTTCAATCTCTGGATAGTGTGTGTGGGCATGGTAGGATAAGGCAGAGGCAGGGGGGAGTTAGTTTCCCTTGCCTCCAAGTTTAACTATAAACTAAATTCCTCTCATAGTTATCTTGGCCTCTGTGCTAGAATAAATAAAAAAGCAATTTAGCCTGTGAGGTTAGAAGCAAGATGGAGTTAGCCCTGTTAGATTTCGCTCATTATTTATAATTCTGCAAAGGTGGTTTCACTCAGGCCCCATCTCAGCTTCACTGCTCCACAAAAAAGTTGTTCTCTGATAGTACTGGTTAAAATTAATTTTCCTCTCTTCTGCATTTCTGAGGTAGCGGTGCTTAACTTGATTGAGTAGCATAACAACCTGGCAGACTTAAATGCAGATTCCTGGGCCCTGCCTCTGATGAGTCTATGTCAGCATTTCTGATATTATGGCATTCTGACATAGCACAGCAGTTATGGGGTGGGGTTTCTATATTTCTTTTCTTTTTTTTCTTTCTCTCTCTCTTTCTTTTTTTTTTTTTTTTCTGAGACGGGGTCTGGCTCTGTTGCCCAGGCTGGAGTACAGTGGGGCAATCTCAGCTCACTGCAACCTCTGCCTCCCAGGCTCAAGTGATCCCTCCACCTCAGGCCTCCCGAGTAGCTGGGACCACAGGTACACGCCACCATGCCCAGTTAATTTTTTTTTTTTTTTGGTAGAGATGGGGGTCTCACCTTGTGTCCAGGCTGGTCTTGAACTTCTGGGCCCAAGTGATCGGCCCGCCCTAGCCTCCCAAAGTGTTGGGGATTACAGGCGTGAGCCACCGTGCCTGGCTGGAATCTGTATTTCTTAGTACCACTTCAGATAGCTTCATAAGTAGTCTTTCATAATTTATCATTTATTAGTGTTTTATTTTTATGTTGCTTATTTCATGTGTTGTGATCTTTTCTCTCCAGTGGTTGTAAAACTGTAACCACCTAATGGGTTCTCCTTGCCTGCTGCCCAGATAGAGCTGACTTATCAAGGCAGGGACATTGCAATGGAGTTGAATTCATGAGAGCTGGGATTTCAGGGACTAGGGCTTTTCAAAGATAGTCTGGGGGAAGTGGTGGGGGTGGCTGCTGATTGGATGGTGGATGCAATCATAGGGTTGTTGGAAATGATCCTTCTGCATGCTGAAACCCTTCTGGGTGGGGCCACAGGAGCAGTGGGCGGGTCCAGGTTGGAGCCAGAGGCGTAGATGTCAGACATGTAAAAACCCTGAAAAGATATCTCCGAAGGCCACTCTTAGATTCTACAATAGATATGTTATTTGCAGGAGTAATTGGGGAAGTTGTATATCTTGTTACCTCCAGAATAAAGACTGGCAATCATTTATGTCTACACCTTAGCAGAATTCAGGCTCCTCCCCTCCTGCTAGCCTGGTGGCCTCTCATTAGCTTTACAAAGGCACTTGAGTTTTGGGGAAGGGCTATTATCATTTAAACCATAAACTAAATGTCTCCCAAAGCTAGTCTAGTAATAATTAAAGGCAGCTCGATTGCTTGAAGGCTAAAGGCAGGAGGGGAGTTGGCTAGATCAGATCTCCCCCACTGCCATAATTTTCTCACTGATACAATTTTTGCAAAGGCAGTTTCAACCCACCCATGTCCTACATAGTGCCTAATACATTGATGCCTATCCAGCAGCCATAAAAAAAATTGATTAGTTGATTGACAAGAAAATTTTCCTTTTTTCATAACTAGATTTTGCTCTCTTAAAGAATAGTGGTTCTTTGCAGCGAATAAATAAGTATACAATAATGAATTATGCTCTGAGCTCTTGGATCATCCTGGAACTCAGTCAATGCCTATTTAAAACTTGGCTATTCTGGGAGGATGATATATTCTCTGCTGACTTAGATTGTTCTTAGCAACTTTGTATTTTATCCTAGTGCAGAGATTCTTTTTGGTGTCTATGTGGGGGAGGGGGTGCATTAGAATCCTCAATGAGACTTTTCATGCTCTACAGCCCCCCTAGTCCCCATGAGAATCACAGCATTGTGATGAGAGATGCTACTGATTAGGAGTGTACTGGGAACAAAACAGGGTTAAATCAGAATAGCGGCTGTGAATCACTGTCCTAGAGAGAGTTTGCAAATATGACCATTATGATTAGATAAATGAACTAGAGGCTGATTTTGAATGTCCTCAGCAAATCATAATTTCCAACTCTTAGTAACAGTTATATATTTACATTCTTCATTATAACAATAGGATCATTGTTTGTAATCACAATAGAGATAAGAAAATACATTTTAAGCCAAAATGATTTTTTTTCAAATCCTTGGTTAGATTACTTTATGTTTTGGAAAACTTGGGTTAAGTCTCTATAAACCAAAAATAAAATTCTAAGACCTCCCAGCCATCTGAATGAGCTTCCTCCTCGGCCAGGGTGCTCTTAAAATTTAACCTGAGAGACTGGTTCAGGCCATGATGGGAAGTGGGGGTTGGACATGCCTCATTATACCCTCCAGCATTAACATCAACACAGACCTTAAGTCTAATAAGAAGCATTTACAATCTATTCTTTCTGAAGCCTGCTACCTGAAGGCTTCATCTGCCTAATAAGAACTTTGGTCTCCACAGTCCATTACCTTAACTCTGATATTTCCTTTCTATATTGATCCCAGGTTTTTAGATAAACTCAACCAATTGTCAACCAGAAAAATTTTAAATCTACCTATAACCTGGAAGCACCCCTACCACCCCCTATTCCCCCTTCAAGTTGTCCCACCTTTGTGGACCAAACCAATGTGTGTCTTAAATGTATTTGATTGAAGTCTCATGTCTCCCTAAAATGTATAACATCAAGCTGCACCCCAACCACCTTGGGCACATGTTCTCAGGATCTCATGTTCTCAGTATCATAGGCCATGGTCACCCCTATTTGGCTCAGAATAAATCTCTTCAAATATTTTACAGAGTTTGACTATTTTTGTTGACATCATGCAAATTTACTCTGAAGAAAACCTTGGGGGATCATTCTAGATTTTTCCCTTCTCAACCACTCCTAAGAGAGAATTAAGCCCTCCTGCCCTAAGGCATCCATTGTATGTAATAACTAACTTATTTCCCAGTATCTTCTAAAATGCCAGCTTTCTACTTGGAAAAAATGACAAGAGTCACTGAAATAATTTTCTCTAAAGCTCCAGTCTCTCCTGTGATTGAGAAAGGCTAAATTACCTAGATTCCAGTGGTTTTCTAACACTGGTGTGCATCAGAGTTTCTTGGACGTTTTTTAAAACATAGATTTCCAGGCCCTGTCCCTGTTCAGTAGGTCCAGGATAAAGCCTCCAAATTTGCAATTCTAATGATCACCGGGTCCCAGGTATTTCTAATGCTGCTGGGCCAGGGACCATAATTTAGGAACCACTGGTCTAGACCAATTCTTACATTGTTTGAAAAGCTCATGCCAATCAATAAGAAACTCATTTTACATCATGTCTCAGTACACTTAGGAACACACACACACACACACCCCTGAAACAGTTTTGAAACTGCCTTTGCAAAATTATAACTAAGGAAATTATGAAAGTGAGAGACATCAGACCTAACCAACTCCATCTTGCTTGTAACCTTTAAACTGTCCTTGTCCATTCCTGGATGTAGGCCAAACTAGCCTTGGGAAGGAATTTAGTGTATAGTTTAAGTAATAGCCTGTTGGGAACAGGCTCCCCAAAATCTGGCCATAAACAAAATATCTGCAGTACTGTGATATGTTCATGATGGCCATAATGCCCATGCTGGAAGGTCGTGGGTTTACCGGAATGAGGGCAAGGAACACCTGGCCCGCCTGGGGCAGAAAACCGCTTAAAGGCGTTCTTAAACCACAAACAATAGAGTGAGCGATCTGTGCGTTAAGGACATGCTCCTGCTGCAGATAACTAGCCAAACCCATCCCTTTATTTTGGCCCATCCCTTCATTTCCCATAAGGGATACTTTTAGTTAATCGAATATCTATGGAAACAATGCTAATGACTGGCTTGCTGTTAATAAATACGTGAGTAAATCTCTGTTCGGGGCTCTCAGCTCTGAAGGCTGTGAGACCCCTGACTTCCCACTTCACACCTCTGTATTTCTGCGTGTGTGTCTTTAATTCCTCTAGCGCCTCTGGGTTAAGGTCTCCCCGACCAAGCTGGTCTTGGCAATAGCCCTTCCCAAAAGCTAAACTGTTCTTGTAAAATGAATGAAAGGCCACCAGCCACCAAGGTAGAATGAGAGGGGCTGGAATTCTAAATATTACCAGCCATTATTCCAGAGGCCATAAGATTCACAACTTCCTCAATTACTATTAGAGGTAACATCACTATTGTGAACCTAATATCACCTTTTGAGATGTCTTTTCAAGGTTTTGCATTTCTAACAACCAGATGGTCCCACCTGGACCTGCCAACCAGTTCTGTGGCCCCCACCCAGGAACTGACTCTGTTACGGGATGGTCTTTGTTCTTCAAGCTCCCAAGATGGTGGGGGGCCACTCCCAAGATGGTGGCAGCTGCTCCCAAGTTGGGGCAGGCCTTTCGTTCTCTGACCTGGGATTCTTGGCTTCACAGATTCCAAGGAATGGAACCTTGGCCCATGCGGTGAGTGTTATGGCTCTATTAGAAGCTGTGGGTCACAGAAGAGAACCGTGGAACCCAGCGACTAGTGTTCAGCTCGATTAGGA
Organism: Homo sapiens; assembly: GCF_000001405.40. NCBI lineage: Eukaryota > Metazoa > Chordata > Mammalia > Primates > Hominidae > Homo > Homo sapiens. The sequence goes on from NC_000002.12 coordinate 33,610,888, forward strand.
TGAACCCGGGCACTTAGCTGCACAGGTACAATGGCGAACCTTTAGCCCAATTGGGAGCAGCAATGGGCGCCTCACTGGATCAGGAGTTCAGGGGACACCCTGCTGGATCCGGAGGGGTGGAAGTCAATGGTGGGTCTGCGACAGCAGCAAACAGCAGTGGTAGATAGTGAGTGAAAGCTCAGCTTGAGCTCTAACAAACATGGACCAGAAGAGTGTGCAGTTGCAAGATTTAATAGAGTGAAAACAGTGCTCCCATACAATGGGAGGGGACCTAAAAGGGGTTGCCCCTCCCTGCTCCAATGCCTGGGTTTATATCCCAATCATTGTCCCTCCCCCTGTGCTCTCAGGCGATACATGATTTGACTATTTCTTTACCTCCTGCTTTTAGCCTAATTTGTATTTTAGTGAGCCCTGTTTACTACCTTATTGGTCAGGTGTGAGCTGAGTTACAAGCCCTGTGTTTTAAAGGTAGGTGCAGTCACCTTCCTCAGCTAGGCTTAGGATATCTTAGCCTAGGAAATCCAGCTAGTCCTGTCTCTCAACTCAGCATAAGTGAACAGCTTTGACTCCCTGTGACTTCATCCCCGAACCAACCAATCAGCACTCCCAATTCATTGGCCCTCTACCCACCAAATTATCCTTTTAAACCCTGATCCCAGAGTTTTTGGGGAGACTGATTTAAGTAATAATAAAACTCCTGTGTCCTGCACAGTCAGCTCTGCGTGAATTACTCTTTCTCTATTGCAATTCCCCTGTCTTGATAAACTGCCAGTGTCTAGACAGCAGGCAAGGTGAACCCACTGGGCAGTTACAAATTTGGGGGCTCGTCTGGAATTGCCCTCGTGGGTCTGCCCATGGTTCAGCAGCCCCCCTCCAGTGATGGATTCAGAGGCCAGCCCAAGCAGCCACCTAGTTCTCTTGGACTGGAGGCTAACTCTGGTCCTGTTTCTACTGGTGGGGTGCTGCCAACCCAACATGCAAGGATCTAATTGCAATAGAGAAGTAGTCCTGGGGAGACGTCCCATAACTGTATCCCCATCACAGGGTGTCTGTCTGTAGGCCCATTGCAGGGTGTCTGGGTTGGTGAGTATCCTAGGCACTGCCAATGCCTCCTTCCTTCTCCTGACTGGTTCTCTCGCCCCATGGTGGAGTGTCTGTCTGTAGCCTCATTGCACAGGGTGTCTGTTGCTCCACCATGGGGTGTCTGTCCTGGTTTGGCTCCTGAAAGGCCTTGGTTGGCTCTCCCTAAATAATAGGAAGGGTATTGGTTGAGGAGACTTCTCCTCAATCAGGAAGATTTCGGGGAGATTTCTCACATGGAGAATAGGAGGATAGTTGGGAAGGTATACTCTGGAATTCTTGGTTAGGGATCTTGATTCGGAAGGCCTTCTGTCCATCTTGTCTTTGTGTATGTGTTTGTATATGTGGAGAATATTTCTGAAGGAATTGCTGATGGAAGTCTAGCAGGCCTAACTCAGAGAACCCTCCTTATCTATCTGGTCACATTCAGTGAGTCCGGAAAGAAGTTTAACAGGCCTGATTGAGGGTAACTGCTCTTCATCTTGCCCAGAGACAACCCATTGAATTCTGGATTGGAGGTCACCCCTCCCCACCTTGAGTGGATCAAAGACAACAGGGACCAATGGGAAAAAGTTTCAGCATTGCCAGGTTGATGTTGGGTGCTGAGCGAGGTGACCAGTGTCCATTGTGTTATGTGTATTTTGCTTCTGCTGGGATGGAAAATGTTAATTTGGTTCCCTATGCAGCTCATCAGGCAGCATCTTGCATAATTGAGAAGCTTTTGCTGATGGTTTCATAAAACAGAAAAGGATTATTTTCTTTTGTAATGGGGCTTGGTCGCCGACAGCTATGGCACAGTGAACAGGGCCATCAAAAGCCTCTCCATTCTTCTGGAAGCTGCAGAGAAAGGGGACCCAGAAACCTGGTATACCAGCAAAAAGGGTAAGAAATTCTTATCAGTCAAGTTTCTGGCCTGCCTCTCTTTCTCTTTCTTTCTCTGCATGTCGGGTGATGGTAAATGATAAACATCACTGTGTCTCCTCTGCAAGGGTTTTATTAATAGTAAAAAAAGGATTTGTGAGACTAGTCATAGGCTATAGCAAATCTGGTGCACTTTGTGCCAAGAATTTGTCTTTCTGTAATGGAGAGGAGGGTATCACAGGATAGAACGTGGGCTTAGGACCCCTGTAAGCCAACTTTTCAAGCCAGCCTGGCAGGCTGGTCCGTTACAGACTTTGCTGCGAGTCCCTGAAACCAATACCAGATGAAATTTGTCTTGTTTTGTGTCCTTAAGAAGTTAACATTGTGACCATGTGGGGATACTTTATCTTGGTCTCCACCATCCAGAGGACAGGAATTTTGGGGTTCATGTCACAGCCTTAAAAATTACCTTGAGCAGTTAAAAGTCTTTGCAAGCTTGAAATTGGCTGCTGCAGACTTCTTCTGGGAGAAACAATGCTCAGTGCTGTGTAGTTTAGTAGCTAAGGCTTTATCTTTTGACAGCGGTGGCCCAGGTTCAATTCTTGGCTTCCGAATGATTCCTTTCTGGTTTGTTATTTGTGTAACTTTGCCATGTATGGAGGTTCCCTCCCTCTCCCCATGGATAGCTTCTGATTTCCTGTCTTGAATTTTCCTTTCTCTGAACTAACCTTGGGAAGATTCTAAATCTTGTTAAAAAAAAAAGAAAAAGAGAAAAAAAAGAAACTGCTTACCATCTCTTTAAAACACCTTATGCGTTAATGGTTAAGTTATAACCTTAGTTAAGACTTACTATTTCATGTGGGAGGTTACCTGGGGTAGAATTCAAAGGCCGGAAATATTGGCTGTCCTGGCTAGAGTCTGGTAATAAGAGATTTAAAAAAGAATTTTTTAACAAAAGAACTCTGTGGTTAAAATTGGCTTAATTAAAAATGGATATTCAAGCTATATATATTTAAAAGACTTTTTTTCCTTTTCTTGAATCATGTTTTTCTTCTAAAGAAAAGGGAAAAATGTTTTTCTTATCAGTCAACTAACCTGTTTTTCTTCATTTTGTCTTCTTGCCACTGTTGATGCCCACATGAGAAAACATAAGATAATTACTAACAGCCTGGGCTGCCTGGGGAAAAACAGGAGGTACCATGGACCCCATTCTGGGAAAAACTTCTGTTTTCCCATGGAACCCCAGGAATTGAAAGAAAATAAATCCCTCTCAAAATCTAAGGCTCTGTTCTCTTTTGCACTGTGTTAGCTGATGGTTTTGACTTTTGGGGGTATCAAACATTACTTTGCATTGCATTAGCTGATGATTTTGACATGTGGGGGTATCAAATTACTTTGCATTTTAGCCTTGGTGTATAATAACTAGGTAGAAAATATACTTTAAGGGATGGCTGAGGCAGTTATGGAGAAATACTTTGCTCTTTGCACACTTGGATTAGAGAAGCATGCTCTTGGCCACCTGGAAGATATGGAAACATCCCAATCCCCCCAACTGAGAGATAAGACTTCCTTGGGGGATGGGGTGATTACAAAATGGGCTGACTGTCTTTGAGTTGCCTTGCAATAAAATGCATGGTAGAAGCACACCACTATCTTCTCCCATAGTATTCCCCTCCTTTTTGGGGATCCATGATCCAGTATAAAATGGCACCCTTAATTTTGGGGATTTGTTTTTGCCTTCCTGCTGTGCCTGCTTATTAGGTCCTAGAAACTGCAAGCTTTCCTGGTTCTGTTCCTCCAAGGGCTCCACCCTGAAGTCAGTAATCCAATTAAGAAACTGGCAAAAGGAAGATCTTACAACTGCTGGATCTTCTGTCTGTCTGTCTGTGTATTTATATGTGTTGTGTGTGTGATGTTTATATAGAAGAAATCTGATTAATTGGCTTAGAAAAATAAGCGCTTAAATAATATTTTTTTCAGAAAAATAGAAACTTTAGAACAATGCCTTTTTGTTCACGTGACTTTAATAATCATTTGGAAATAAAGACAGCTTTAAAGATGATTGGTAAAATAAAAATGTCTTCAAAATTTGGACATTTGGTCTAAATTAAGGTCAAATACCAAATTCGCTAAATGCTTTAAGGTCATAAACTGCTTCTTTGACTTTTGAAAATTGTTCAATTTATCTACTTTGAAGCATTAAATTCTAGATAAGGCCTGGGGACATGTGGAGTAAAATTGCTTACTTATCAAGTATTTCACCAAAAATAAAATTTGCTAAGAGTCAACATTGTAACATGTAATTAAGACTACTAAGAAAACCAGTTTTACATACAGGATGTATAAGAAAAGTAAAATGTATTTTTGGTAAAAAAAAAATTATAAGATGGCATGAGAATGTAGTTTCTGTTAAAGGAAATGTAATTTTGTCAGAGGGTTTTATAGATTTCTTACCCTAAAAGAGTAATGGGACAAAACTTAAGGCTTAAGAGAGTTAAAGAGGGGTCATAGAGGACTGCTGTTGTAAAAAAAGTTCTGTGGATATAAGCTAGTTGGCTAAGATACAATGATGACTAATTTTTTTTCCATAGGTTAAACATTAGAATAAAAGCACACTGATGCGGGGTCAGAATCTGGGCTCATATGTCCAAATAACAGGGTTTTATTAGAAAATTAATTTGCTGGTTTATAAAAAAAATTGTAAAGCATTCTTAAAAAAGTTTACAAAAATCTTACCTTATGGTCAAACTAATTAAAACTGGATAGATTATAAAATATGTTTTTAAAACTAGCTTTTGCATTTAAGATGCACTAAGGTAAACATAAAAGTTGGTTTCTTCTTTTTTTAAAAAAAAAAGATTTTTATGTAATACTATGAAATGCTGAAAGATTTTTGTTTGCCTTTTAAGTAAATTACAAAAAATGTGGGAATTGGAGAGAGAAGAGACAGATTCAGTTAGCTTTATGCTATCTTATTGGGTCTTGTTTGGAAAACTGAGTCTCCCATCTAGCAGAGTAAAGGGTTGTCTCTTTTAAAACTTTTGAGTTATCGTTTTGGCTAAATAAATGACTTATGGTGATCTTGGATTCTATTTTGTGATATCCAGTGTTTTAAACCTTTGATATTTGACAAACCTTCCAAGATCAAATTCTAAGTTATTAACGTAATAATTAGGTCCCCTAAGTCCAAAAAGACATATTCATCTTATTTAATGTATTAAAATCATGCAGTAAATTGTCAAATATAAAATGGTGTTTAATTTTGGGTTATGTTCATACATATATGTTATTAGTATCTGTTTCAGAATTGTATAAGATTCCTATAATTCTGGTATGCCTCCGTATATGTTATCAGTAATAATTATAATTGTTATGTTAAATTCTTTTGTGCCACAGAGGTAATACATTTCCTCGTCAATTGTGCCTTTGTGGCTGCCCTAAAATGTTTTTGTCATCCACAGACAATTGTTGTCTCATTTTGGTTCTCTTCAGAAGACGGTTTTATAATCAGGTATAAAACTTTTGCAGGTGCTCTCAAATGCAAGTTTCTGATAACTTTGGAGGTTATGACATTAGAATAAAATAAGAAACTTTCAGGACTGTCATGGATAGCTGAAGTGATCATGAATATCAAACACAACACGAGTTAATTGAATGGACTAAACTAATAAAAAACTGAAGTAATCTTTTTTTTGACTTTTTGCTTAAAACATTGCTGATCCTTTTTGTTTTCCAGAGCCAAGAACACTTTTCTTTTGAGCTATTTACTGCTTTTGACAATTGAGTAAAACATACTCCTGTGAATAAAATTTGGAGCATATTTGTTTCTCTCTATCTGATTTCTCCAGAATTTGGAAACTATTTGTGAGTATTCTTAACTTATGGCAATATAGTTATTTGCATAAGTGCATTAAGAATGTTTTCTTTTGAAGAGACTGGTTGTTTCACCAAGGCTTTTACTGGAATGGCATGCTTTCCTTTAAGGAATCAAACTTGACTTATAGAGCCAATAAACATTCCCTGGGAAAACTGGCCTCATACCTTGTCTACACAGTCCCTGTACAGGAATCCTTGTAACCACCCAAGGGATTCACCTTGCCCACTGCCTAGACAGAGTCGATTCATCAAGACAGGGGAATTTCAATAGAGAAAGAGTAATGCATGCAGAGCCAGCTGTGCAGGAGACTGGAGTTTTATTATTACTCAAATCAGTCTCCCTGAGCATTTAAGGATAACTTGGTGGGTTGGGGGAAGCCAGTGAGCCAAGAGTGGTTATTGGTCAGAAGTGAAATCACAGGGAATCAAAGCTGTCTTCTTGTGCTGAGTCAGTTCCTGGGTTGGAGCCACAAGATCAGATCAGCCGGTTTGTTGATCTGGGTGGTGCCAACTGATCCATCAAGTGCAGGGTCTGAAAAATGTCTCAAGCACTGATCTTAGGAGCTGTTTAGGGAGGGTCAGAATCTTGTAGCCTCCAGCTGCATGACTCCTAAACCATAATTTCTAATCTTGTGGCTAATGTTAGTCCTACAAAGGCAATGTAGTCCCCAGGCAAGAAGGAGGTTTGCTTTGAGAAAGGGCTATTACCATCTTTGTTTAAACTATAAACTATAAGTTTTTCCCAAAGTTAGTTCAGCCTAAGTGCAGGAATAAACAAGGATAGCTTGGAGTTAGAAGCAAGATGCAGTTGGTTAAGTTAGATCTCTTTCACTGTCTCAGTCGTAATTTTGCAAAGGTGGTTTCGTCCTGACTTGTGGTAAGTAAAGAATGTCACTTTCTAACAGGCCCAGGAGCCCCAGATTATCTTGGGACTTTCAGAAGAATTTACCCAACTTGTAGGTATTTAAGTGTACAAACACATGGCTGGGCTCAGCTTAAAACAGTCTTATCTGAAATTCCTTATGGAACAGAGTTCCATCAAAGCCAGTTTAAAAAGCCCATATGAAAAATAATTATTCTTGGTGCACTTATACAAATAATCAGGCCAAGTATAATAAAGCAAATTGGTGTTACCATTATTTGTCTTTAGTAAAAATGAAAAACTGGAGAGAGAAAAATCATGTTTGAAAAACTATAGGATACCTGTTGTTAGATGTTCTTAAGTTTTTCTTTTTTTCTGCAATTTAGATTAAATCCTAATATTTTTGTGGGCTACAGGTCCCTAAATTAATGTTTTCAAATCTTTACTTTTAAAACTGGGAATTGCGCTTTTTATCCTAGAACTCATTATTTACTTTATAGGACACTGTCCACTTAAATGCTGTACTGAAAGGTGTTAGTATAGATAACAACACTAACACCTTTGTCATGCAAGCCTTGAAACCCCAGCCAGGCCTGCCTGAGTATGCTTGGACAGTTGCAAAGCAGTTCTACTCTCCTCCCCTTGGGGTCAACACCTACCCTCACCACAACAATTTAATTAGTTACAGTTTGTTTTCTTTTCTGTACTGTTTGTTTTTCTTTTCCTTTCTAATTTAAAAGAGTGTGTTTAACCCTCCATCTTAGACAATGTGATAGTCATGAAGTCTTTGTGTAAGAAAAGAAGAAGAAAAGATAATCTGTAATGAAGATCAATAAGGGTCTTCTCTGGTGCCCTTCAGTTAACTACTGTCTTTTACAAAACAACGTAGGTAAGGAAAAAAGTTAATCTATAACAGAGAAATAAAAATCACATTGGCCTAGGTGACAGCTGCCTGCTTATGTTGACTCAGGTACCATAATCACATTCCCTTAAGGCTCAGATATTTTAAAGTTCCAACAGCTTAGATTTTAAGTGACCTATTTTTACAGAGGAAGGATTCTGAGCATATTCTAAGGCAATGACATTTAAGTGGACTTTCAGCCTAGTTCAAAGGAAAACCGGGCCTGATTCATAAAGAAGGAAAATTGAGGATAAAGAACTATAGGGAAAAAAAAAGTTACCACTATAGGTGTATGACAGACATTTAGACTACAAGGAAGCCTTTGATGACCCAAAGGCCTGGAAGGGGGTAGGGGGAGGTGATAATCAGGGAGAAAAGGCTCATGTTATTGTAGTGGCCTTGGAAATGGGAAAACTGTGGATGAAAATGTCGGTAGGATGGGCACCACAGTTACTCCAGAAGTGATGTCAGGAGCCATGCTAATAGATGGGAACAGATTGACTCCAGGATTCACTAATGAGGACTGTCTGAAGACTGATAATTTGTTTGGGGTAATTCACCATCTGTAATTGTTCATCAGGCTAATATGTCTTGGGCAGTATAGTTACTTAGGAAAGAGAGTTTCTGGTTTGTGTGAACTGACCTGCTTCAGTCCATGAGAGGTGATGAACTGATACTGTTATTGAAATGCCAAGGGTTCAATCTAGGTCCCATTACTTGCCACACAGAAAGCCAATCACTGAGACAACAAGTATTGACAGGGAAGAAGGCTTTAATCGGTTGCTGCAGCCAAGGAGATGGAAGATCATTCTCAAATCTGTCTCTCTGACTGACTAAAATTGGGGGCCTTTATATAGTGGAGGAAGTGATGTAGCTACATAGGGAGAGGAATTAGAGAGGGTTAGGAAGCAATCATGATGAGTGAAGAATCTGGTGCCTCATTGTCTGGATCTGGAGAGCTGATGGGTTTCAGTTCCTGAGGAAGGAACTCAGATGTGACAAACGTAAGTTTCAAGTTTTAAGCACCAGGAGGGTCAATTTCTATGTTTATTGAAAAAGCCTTAAATGTCATTTCTATGGGACAATTGGGCTGTTTTCAACACCCGAATCTATAGTTTCTGATTCTCACTTTTTGTGTGTGCATTATTGTTGTTGTTTATTGTTTTTTATAAGGGGAGTTTTCTGTATGTAAAAATACTTCTCTTATTGCGTTGAATTGGTTGTACAATTGATCATAAGATACTCTATCAATAAAATAACAGATTTTGGGGAAACAAAAATACTGCATGACATGCATGTACATTTCTTTTTCACATTAAAAAATACTATGTACTACAGGATCACAATTAAGGTTTGCATTTAATCCTTTTATACATTTAAAGTCTGAAGATTCTTCTAGGTCACTTTTTGACATTGACAAGCTTGTACAACATCACGGTGACACTGACATCACTTGGATATGATGACTGAGCAAGATTGAGTATGAAGAATGACCCCCTAGGATGACTTTTATATGACTGAATGGAGGGTGATGCCTTTTAGTTGCTACGTAGAGCCATGGAACAGATCTGTGGAACTAGATCATGAGATGAATTTTGGATATGTGGAAGCATTTTGAAACATTTCTTTGAGAAATTCAAATGGAGCTATCAAATAACCAACTGGGGCCAGGTACGGTGGCTCACGCCTGTAATCCAAGCACTTTGGGAGGCTAAGACAGATGGATTGCTTGAGCCCAGGAGTTTGAGACCAGCTTGGGAAACATGAAGAAACCCTATCTCCACAAAAAATGCAAAGATTAGCTGGGTGTGGTGGCACACACCTGTAGTCTCAGCTACTCAAGAGGCTGAGATGGGAGAATGGACCCGGGAGGTGGAGGTTGCAGTGAGCCAAGATCACGCCATGGCACTCCAGCCTGGGTGACAGCGCAAGACCCTGTCTCAAAGAAAAAAAAAAAGCCATTGGATAAAAGTCTGGAATTGAGTGGCAAGGTCTGTAAATCTGTGAGTTACCTCCATCAGGATGGGACTTAATATCATAAAATGATATTTTATAAAGGTTGGCAGTGGAGAGGATCCAAAATATTAGGGTATGGGTAAGGTTTAGAGGCTGGAAGGATGGTAATCCATGATATGCAGTGGTGAAACAGTGGATAAAACTATCTCCTGCAAAAACTTGGGAGAAGTATCGTATATCTAATAAAGTTTAGCTTTAGACGACAAGATGGAAAAATAGAATATTAGAAGCTCATGTGGGTTTCTATTGGATGTATTTGCCAGACATTATTAGAAAGAGATGAACTCAGAAAATAATTACTGTGTTTGGAATCAGGAATGAAAAGGAGGACAGAAAATTATGAAATTCAGGGACTTATTCTTGGAAGAAGCAATGGCTTTTCAACTTCAACTAGAGAAAGCTAATACTAAGAAGGCTTCCGAATAACAAAAGCTGATTAAAACTAAGCTTTGTGTCAAGGGTCAAACCCGCTGATATTAAAACAACTGAATGAAATAAGATGTTTCAGAGTAAGCGTCCAGCCAAATTTGTCCAGCCCAGTAAATAAATACCTTTAGTGACTCAGAAAAAAGAGATTAAATGTGAGGCAATCCCTGTGCAGCCTTATAAACAGCAGGTATGCACAATTAATTTGTGAGAGAGCATTTTGAATGTAAGAAAGCAAATACAGGGCCAGGTGCGGTGGCTCACGCCTGTAATCCCAGCACTTTGGGAGGCCGAGGCGGGCAGATCACGAGGTCAGGAGATCAAGACCATCCTGGCTAACATGGTGAAACCCCGTCTCTACTAAAAATACAAAAAATTAGCCAGGCGTGGTGGCAGGTGCCTGTAGTCCCACCTACTCGAGAGGCTGAGGCAGGAGAATGGCGCGAACCTGGGAGGCAGGGCTTGCAGTGAGCTCAGATGGCGCCACTGCACTCCAGCCTGCATGACAAAGCGAGACTCCGCCACAAAAAAAAAAAAGAAAGCAAATACGTAGGCATTCTGAGTACCCTGTCTAAGGAGAAAAATAAAATCTAGGGACATAGAACTGACAGGAGTCAGAACATAAGGGGCTTGTTTTAAGGAGGTGATAAGCTGGGCATGGTGGCTCACACTTGTAATCCAACTTTGAGCAATCCCTCAAGGAGAATTACCTGAGGCCAGGAGTTTGAGACAAGCCTGGGCAACATAGAAAGACCGCCACCCCTCCGCCAAAAAACAAGCTGTCCATGGTGGGTACCCCTGTAGTTCTAGCTACTTGGGAGGCTGAGGTGGGAGGATTGCTTTAGCCCAGAAGGTCGAGGCTGCAGTGAGCCAAGATTGTGTCATTGTACTCCAGCCTGGGTGATAGGACAAGACCCTGTCTCTAATAAAAATAAACACATAGGCCAGGGGTGGTGGCTCATGCCTGTAATCCCAGCACTTTGGGAGGCCAAGGTGGGCGGATCACCTGAGGTTAGGAGTTTGAGCCCAGCCTGGCCAACGTGGTGAAACCCCGTGTCAACTGAAAATACAAAATTAGCCAGGCGTGGTGGTGTGCGCCTGTGGTTCCAGCTACTTGGGAGGCTGAGGCAGGAGAATCGCTTAACCTGGGAGGCAGAGGTTGCAGTGAGCCGAGATAGTGCCATTGCACTCCAGCCTGGGCAACAAGAGCGACTCCATCTCAAAAAAAAAAAAAAAAGAAAAAGAAAAAGCGAAATACATAAAAAATTAAAAAAATAAAGGAGTGATCTGGCAAAAGAACCACATGGTCAACCAGAAGCCCGTGACTAACTGAGACCTAACAATGACCCTGGGTCATCAACCTGCTATGGGCAGGAAGTAGCCTGAGAAAGCTTCTCAGTACTCAAGGAGGAGCTTCTATCCAATTCCACTTCAAGTGTGACCAAGGAGGGTGACAGAAAAGGAAGAATCTCCCAGAGGGTGAAGCCAAAGGTCAAGGTGGCAGTTTCAGAGTCTTCTTCTGTGCCTTTCCCACCAGAAAGGCTGTTGTTTAATGGTCAGAGAGCCAATGGGAGGCATTTTTTCAGCTACTGAGTATAGCCATCCTTAGGGGTGACTATCATACATTTAGGGGCTGGGGAAAAGAGCAGAGAGTGTGTCTATGTGACTAACAGTGAGATGGATTTGATTTATAACTTCCTTTATTCTTTGGTCTCCATATGCTCCCATGCTAAAGTGTGGTAGGCATGATGGCATTTTGGTTCCCTTAATACCTGTGTCAGCTCAGACTCTGTATCATACAGTCGTGAGTATTCCCTCTGCTCTGTGAACAGTTATTCTGGAAAACGGCCAAATATGCACCTACACATTGGAATAATACTCTACATAAATGAGAATGAACAAACCACAACTTTACACAACAATATTGATGAGTTTCGCAAACATAAAGTTGAATAACAAAAGCAAGATACAGAAGAGTACATAGTATATGATTCCATTTATATAATCATTAAAAACAGGCAAAACTAGTTTATCATCATTGAAGTCAAGATAGGTAACCATTGGGGGGCTAGTAATTGAGAAGAGAAGAAATATGGGATTTCTGAGAATGGTTGTATTGTTCTTTCTCTTGATCTTAGTGTTGTTTACATTGTCATTCTCTGAAAATGCATCAATCTTTACATTTATGACGTGCACTTTTCAGTATGTATGCTATACTATTAATATTTTTGTATAAGTCTTTGCGGGTGGATCTACATCTATTATTTTTATATCTTCATTTCTTTTAGATAATTACCTATAAGTAGGGCTATAAGGTCATAGGCTATGTTTAATTTTTTTTTTTTTTTTTTTTTTTTGAGACAGGGTTTCACTCTGTCACCTACGCTCAAGTGCAGTCAGTAGCACCATCACAGCTCACTGCTTGACCTCCTGGGCACAAGCAATCTTCCCACCTCAGCTTCCCAAGTAGCTGGGACTATAGATGCACACTACCATGCCCAGCCATTTTAAAAAAATTTTTGTAGAGATGGTGTCTCCCTGTGTTGCTTAGGCTGATCTCAAACTCTTGGACTCAAGCGATCCTGCTGCCTCAAAGTGCTGGGATTACAGGTTTGAGCCACCATACCTGGCCCTGTTTAATTTTTTTGACTACTGAATTTCCTAAAGAAGTTGTAGCATTTTACACCCCTACTAGGAGTAAATGAAAATTCCAGTTGTTCTACATCCTTGTCAACTCTCGTGATTGTCTTCTTCATGTTTGCCATTCTGGTAGGTGGTCATGATTTTATCTCTTTGTGGTTTTAATTTTTACTTCCCTGATAGCTTATAATATCAAGTGCCTGTTCACCATTCTAAATACTTAGAACAGGGTCAGGCACAATGTTAGTGTTCAATAGATGTTTAATGAATAAAGGAATTAAATATCAGGAATTTCAACGTTATACCTTTTACTAAGTATGTACCAAGCTCTAAACCACAATTAACAGCAGTATGCAAAATATGACTTTTCTTTATTTCTACATGTGAAGTTCCTAAAAGCAGAGTAGTATTAACTGTTCTCTTTTTATGTATAAAAGAGTGGTTAAAAGACTGGGTTCTAGCAACAGACTCCCTGGCTGTCTCATCTATTATCTGTGTGATTTTAGGAAATTTAGAAGATTGTTTCATGCCTCAGCCTCCTCATCTGTACAATTGCTGCCATAATAGAATCTACTTCATAGTGTTGTTTTGAGGATTGAATGAGGCAATTTATGCAATGTATTTAGAACAGTGCCTGGCATATAGTAAGCTCTCAGTAAATGTTAGTTTTTGTTATTTTCCAGATATGTTTAAAAAAAAAAGCTTACAATTCTTTTCTATAAACTGTGTATATGAGTAAGAAAAACATGGCTCCTTTTTACAGTTAAGAAATTGAAGCTCAACGAGTTATTGGTTTTTGTTTTGTTTGTTTGTTTGTTTGAGATGGAGTCTCACTCTATCACCCAGGCTGAAGGCAGTTGAGATACAGCAAACGCAGGAACTCTCTGCCCTCCCTTTTACTGCCTAAAAGCAGGGCGTAAATGTCCCCCATCTCTTGTGCCAGGTTGAGGGGAGCAGGCCTTATCATTGAAGATGAGACAGCTGGCACTGAGATGAGTCTGCATAAACAAATCTTACTAAAATAACCCCTATCTTCCACTAGTCTCCCCCATATATTTCGTAGTCACTTTTCCACATTTATTGGCCCTGGAAGCCCAAACCTCTTTTCCTTTGACTCATCATTTCTCCATGATTATTGCCCTTGGCTAAAATGGTATATAAACCTTGAGTCTTAACTCCTTCTTTGGGTTTTCACTTCTTTTCTGTGAAGACCCTGTGCATATAAAAATATTAACATCAATAAAATCTGTATACCTTTTCTCCTGTTAACTTGTATTTTGTCAGTTCAATTTACAGATCTCAGTTACTAAACCTAAGGAGGTAGAGTAAAAGTTTTTTTTTCTCCCCTACACTATATTCCCTTTTTTTCACTGTTACCAAGTAAAATTTCATTCATTTCTCACCCCCTTTTTAACAACAAAATTGACCTCTACAACCTTCTTTTTGCTTACATTTCTAGTGAGTACAAATATTTCTATTTAAGGAAAGAGGCTCAGGATGAAGAGAAAGAGAGATCTTCTCTGTTTTGCAGCTTTTGGGTGAGAGTGCTTTCTGTATCATTGAAAGCATTTGAATAATGTAATTTGATAAAGCACTAGAAACATTCATTAGACTCCTAATCTTGCTTTTCTGTGCAATAAAAGAGATTCCTGTGAATATTTATAACTGTTTCTAACTTGTTTCTTGCTTATGTTAATCTGCCCTTGAAAGCAAAATTTAAACAAAGAGAACTTGTAAAATTGCAGAGACTTTAGAAAATGGTGCTGTATCCCATGAAAATAACCTTCAAAGAGAAACATGTAATTCTGATTAGTTTTCTTACTTGTTTTTTTTGTTCTGATAATAATGTTGAAATTGACATCTCTATATTCCTAAAAAGAAAAAATATATTTATGAGTTGTTTTTCTTAAATCAGTTAACCTTTTCCCCTTCTGGTGTGAATGGAGGGGGGAGTTGTATGACTGCTAGACTTCATCATTTAAAAATGATTAACAATCTCATTTAAATAAACAATTGTGAGATATACTTTTATTAGCTCTAATGACTTAAATGATTTTCTTTGTGTATTTGATATGGCCTGTTTCACCAGCTTCGGGGAAAAATCACTTCATATTTTCATCTCCACACACCTTACTTGGCAAGAACTTAAATATCTCCCACTTTGATTTTCTTCTGCTCTTCCCAGTTGCCCAAGAGTCTTTGGACTGAAGCTTGAGTGCTTCCACACATCAGGCAGAGTGCAAGGTGGGAAGTCCAATCAGCCCAATAGTTGATGGTTGCTTTGGATGCTGTCACTCAGTTACGCTACTGAATATCTTGGACAGCCGGATGAACTCTTGTCCATTATTTCACTGATACCCTTCCTGGCACAGATCCTGGCAAAAGCTGCTATTGATGACCTGGAGTTGGGCTCCAAGGTTACATTTACATGCTCAAAGGGTCAACCTCCACACTTTGCCTTTTAGTTGAGCCCATGGTACCAGCCGAAACTCCCTGTTTCCTTGCAGTTGTTCCACTTTGAGGCTCATGACATCTTTTTAAACTAGTGGACTACTGTTTAAGCCACCCAGGTCCACCTGGGTCAAATGAGGCTTCAGTATCCACACCTCCCCCCACCCCTTTGGGTCTTGGGATCCTTAAGCAAAGTGGTCAATTTCTCCTTTTGAGTAGTGCGTTCAAAGGGGCCTTAGGTGGAGGCTCCTTTATCACACCCACAGGATTCTGTTACATCTTCTCCCGGGACAATGGCTGTATGTCTGCCTTATACCTGCATCACTAAAGGAGCTGCCATTCAAGAGATAGCTCACATAACAAGACAATCTATTCCTAGGTAAATTGTGCCTCAACTTTGGCACCAGAGGCAGCTATCATAATTTTGAATTTTTTAAATTTTTTAAATCAGAGACTCTAAACACTTATTGAAGGCCATATGTTACCAAGAATAAGGCCAATAGAAGGAAGGATTTGAGGCCTGGACATACGAAAGAAGTTATGGGTTTTTAGATCTGTTTGTGTTCATATTGTTCAGTAGAAAGCTCTGTGTGTACCAAAACAAATTAGGCCTCTGTCTGAGAACTATAGAAAAGGAAAAAACTTTTCCTTTACTCACTCAGGGTTAGTAACTGGGGGCTTGTGAATGAAATTGACAAAAGACAGATTACCAAGAGAAAAAACCGAGTTTATTCTTGCAAAGTACGTACACATGAGAGTGTTCAGTGCTGAGTAACTCAAAGGGGTGGTTAGAATTTGGAGCTTATATACCATTTTAATAGATAAAGGGGAGGAATAGAAAGGCACTATGGGAAAACAAATAACTTTTTAGCAGCATAAATGAGCTCTATGGAGAATAGATAAGAGATCTGAATCTTGTGTCAATGTCTGTTTAGATGTGGTGTCAAACTCACTCCTAGTCTCTGAGATTAGAGTTGCTTCTGGAGAGAGGATTTATGACAATTAGTTATTTTGGGAGGCTCTACTTTTGGGCAGATAAAGGATTTCCAGAGCTAAAATACCTTCATCTCAAAATAATTTTTATGACACAATGGCATATTTTGAAGTGTCATATTTTGGTCCCCTTCACAAAGGACCAAATTATTTGAACATTATAAAATACAACAAATTCAAAAAATATACAGAAAATAGTTTATCTCCTGTTTCTTTTGACATATAATTCACTTTAAAATTCAATGTAAAAAATCTAAATACCCCCAATCTCCCTAGATAGCTAACCACAGGTAATTTTAACCCTACATATATGCTCATTCCAATTAGATCATGGATAAAGGAGCTTTGTGATCTTGGAATTCCCTTTACTTTGAAGCCTCAGCCAATAGCAGGAATAAATTCTTAATGTCAATTTACCAATGGTAGCCTATCTGGTACATTGGTATAAGATGGGAAAATGCAATTAACTCACATGAAGAAAGCTTGGCTTCATGCTTTTCATATTTCTGATCTTTAGATTTTAGTGTTTACTTGCCAAAATCTTAACAATTTTCCTTCCTGCTCGGCATGTTTGTAGCTGCATGATGGCTCATCAGATAGGTCTATCCTTT
Organism: Homo sapiens; assembly: GCF_000001405.40. Taxonomy (NCBI): domain Eukaryota; kingdom Metazoa; phylum Chordata; class Mammalia; order Primates; family Hominidae; genus Homo; species Homo sapiens. Next base: position 33,627,605 of record NC_000002.12, read on the forward strand.
TTCTTTTTTTTCTTTTTTTGAGATGGAGTCTCACTCTGTTGCCCAGGCTGGAGTGCAGTGGTGCAATCTTGGCTCACTGCAACCCCTGCCTTCTGGGTTCAAGTGATTCTCCTGCCTCAGCCTCCTGAGTAACTGGGACTACAGGCCTGTGCCACCATGCCCAGCTAATTTTTGTATTTTTAGTAGAGATGGGGTTTCACCATGTTGGCCAGGTTGGTCTTGTACTCCTGACCTCAGATGATCTGCCCGCCTCAGCCTCCCAAGGTGCTGGGATTATAGGCGGGAGCCACCATGCCCAGCCTAGATTGGTGTATTCTAATATCTACTGAAGACTGGATTACATTATTGTTATTTTTAACTAGAAAGATAAAATTTAGAGAAAGTATCATTTTCAAGTAAATTGTGTGCCTATGAATCTAAAGAAGACAAAAGATTAGTTGACTAAGCCCTAATGAAGTAGAAAATATCTGTATTTTGTTTAAATAACTATGGGTCCGTAGCCTATGGGGACACTTAGTTTTTTAATTCTATACTGCAGCAGATACTCAACAATGGCCTTGGAATAGTGTCTTTTTTATGTGGCCAGTGAAGTTTCCCTGCTGATGGCAGATGGCAATTTATTTTTAAATTGGCCTACACAGAAATACTTTTTTTTTCTACCTTGGCTATGGTGCTGATTTCAGGAAGACAAGCCTCCATAGAATGTTAATACTGGCAGGTTAGATTTTTCATGTAACCTTAATTGGAAGAACTGGGAATAATGACTGAAAATTCACCTATAAATACCTCCCACAGAGGAAAAATCTACACAGAGTTGTTGCTAATGATGTCAAGGTCTCCGGCTTCTTCTACAGCTGATGACTGTTATAAATCCAGACTTCTCCCTCGTGTCTTATCTTGGTAGAAATGCTTTGAAGACCCATTCTCCCTCTGCTACAACAAGGCCTTTAAACATTCCTGCAAAACTGCTCTTTTATATTAATGTTTCCTCGATGACTCCCCTGAGCCAATGACAGCATCTGCTCCCACAGTTTGCCAGGACATTAAAGCAAGAGCTCCTCTCAGCTCTGTATGATGTATGATGGACAGGTCTTATCAACTGCATTTTAATCAGGTTCTTTCTTCTCTGCTCCTAAGGAGAAGTGTTTTCCGTGTTGTGGCATTGACGTACAGAGGCTCTCACCAGCTCTTTTCATAAATTCATAAGAAAATTAGTTTATAGTTATGAAATAATACCTTACATTTTCCTTGTCCAGATTTGCTTCTGTCAAAAGAGGAAGATTTGCTATTTGCTTAGTAAGGGTGGGTTGAGTCAGTGTCTCTCTCTGTGTGTGTTTATTCATTTTATAAGAAGATAAGACATTTATCTGTTATGTAGTTTATGTCATAGAAAAAGTTGTAGATATAATAATTCTATTTTAGAATTATTTCTAAGTGGAAATAATTCTAGATCCAAGCTGTGCTTTGAAACTATCATTTCATTTTATGAGAATTTTATTTCTGAAATGACATTCATGATCTAATATTAAATGACTTCTTGTGAAGTTATTTCGTAGCACTGAAAAAAGGAATCATGGAAATAAATGATGTAAATATATGCATTTCCCAAATCTATCACTGTTTGATCCAAGGGCCATTGTATGGGTATTGCTGTGGAGTCTTGTATAATGAAAGAATCTTAGAATGTTTATCTTAGAAATTATTTTAGGTTAGTGTTTCCCTATTGATATGCTTTGGCTCTCTGTCCCCACCCAAATCTCATGTTGAATTGTAATCCCCAGTGTAGAAAGAGGTGCCTGGGAAGTGATTGAATTGGTGGGTGGTGTCTAATGCTTAAGCACCATCCCCCTAGTGCTGTCCTGTGTTAGAGTACTTATGAGATCTGGTTGTTTGAAAGTGTGTAGCACCTTCCCCTTCACTCTGTTTTCCTCTCGCTCCTGCCGTATTAGACATGCCAGCTTCCCCTTTGCCTTTTGCCATGATCGTAAGTTTCCTAAGGCCTCCCCAGAAGCAGAAGCCTGTACAGCCCACAGAATGGTGAGCCAATTAAACCTTTTTTTTTTTTAAATAAATTACCCAGTTTCAGGAACTTCTTTATAGCAGTGCTAGAACAGACTAATAACCTATGTTTTCCACAAAACAATGATTCAGAGAACTGCCAATCAGTTCAAAGGAAAAAAATGATGAGGAGAAAACCTGGCCTGATAGATTTATGGGGCAGATTAAACACATAAAGTTTTATTTATTATAATATTTCACATATCCATATAGCATTTAAAATGCTAATATAGATTGTGGTGTCCAAGAGGCAATGTTTTGCTTCCCAAGATGATTGGACCACAAATTCATTTCTCCCCCCAATGTATAATTTTGTGGGGCTCACGTTTCATCATTCTTGGGCAAGTGCTGATCAAGCACAACTCCTTAGTGATTCAGTGGAAGAAAATGGAACCCGTAAGAGGTCATTGACATGTCCAAGATCACTCAGATGCAGACTCAAAGCTGGAACCAGAACTCCCCATGTCTGTGTTTTTTCCGTGATTCCATACTAGCTCTACTTGCTTATACTTCACTACACGTAGACTACTGTTAGAGTAGTTTCTATGTGATTTCCTTTTATGATATGCTTTTAAAAATTAGATTATTATATTCATATGTTATAATAGTAATCTGAATTTGTTCACATTTTCTTTTTGCATTTTTTTTTTTTATGGTAAAAATGATACAGGAGGGGGCGGGAAGTGCTGGAAGGAGAAGGGCGGGTCCCTGGCTAGAGTTAAGGATTGTTTTTTCTATTTCTGTGGAGAATGTCATTGGTATTTTGATAGGGATTGTATTGAATCTGTAGATTTCTTTGGGTGGTATGGACATTTTAACAATATTGATTCTTCCAATCCATGAACATAGAATATCTTTCATTTTTTTGTGTCCTCTTCAATTTCTTTCATCAATGTTTTAAGAATTTCATTGTAGAAATCTTTCATTTCTTTGCTTGCTTCCTAGGTATTAATTTTATTTGTGGTTATTTTAAATAAGATTGCTTTTTTGATTCTTTTTCAGATCGTTCACTGTTGGCATATAGAAATGATACGGATTTTAGTATGTTGATTTTGTATCTTGTAACTTTACTGAATTTATTATCAGTTCTAAGTTTTTTTGTGGAGTCCTTAGGTTTTTCCAAATATAAGATTATGTTCTTTGTAAACAAGGATCATTAGACTTCTTCCTTTCCAGTTTGGATGCCCTTTCTTTCTTTCTCTTGTCTGATTGCTCTAGCTAGGACTTCCAGTACTTTGTTGAATAACGGTGGTGAAAGTGGGCATTCTCAGCCTGTTGTAGAGCCATCCTCTGGGAATATTTTTTGTCACACCTTTGGATCCATGTTGTTTCATGGATACTAAGTCTCTCTGTTTCTGTTTTTTTTCTGTGTTTTTTTCAAACCTTTATAAATGACGTTTTACATGTTTACATTTTTTTCTTTCTGAAAGCTTTCATACCCTTCTCTGTAACCTTGGTGTTCTGGAATTTCATAATTATATGACTGGGTTGTGGGTCTTTTCTCATTCCCTGTTCTGCTTTTTGTAGTCTTTTCCAGTCTCTGGCTTCATGTACTTAAGTATAACAATGTCCTCTCATCTGTTTTTTTTGTGTGTGTGTGTATGTGTGTCTTTTGTTTGTTTGTTTTTTACATTGTGGTAAAATGCATGTAATATAAAATTTACTGCCTTAACCATTTTTAAGTGTACAGTTCAGTGGCATTAAGTACATTAATATTGTTGTGCTGCCATCGCTACTATGCATCCCCATAACTCTTTTCATTTTGCAAAACTGAAACTCTGACCATTAAACAATAACTCTGTATTCCCCCTTCCCCTAGCCATTGGCAATCACTATTTAACATTCTGTCTCCTTGATTTTGACCACTCTAGGTACCTCATTATAGTAGTTACGGTTTTCTAGAGAAACAGAACCAATAGGATGTGTGTGTGTCTGTGCGTGTGTGTGTGCATGTGTGTGTACACATACATTATACGCACACACATACACATATAGAGACAGAGATTGATTGAGAGAGAGAGAGAGATTGATTTATTTTCAGGAATGGCAAGGCCAGCAGGCTGGAGACCCAGGGAAGAACTGATGTCAACATATACAATTAATCATCCTCATCCTGTAATCCCTGTGACTCAGGAGGCTGAGGCAGAAGGATTACTTGAGGCCAGGAGTTTGAGACCAGCCTGGGCAATAATAGTGAGACTCGTCTCTACAAAAACAAAAGGTAAACAAAATATTTAACCATCATACTCACATAAGTGGAATTATACACTATTTCTCCTTTTGCGTCTGGCTTATTTCACTTAGCATAGTGTCATTATGTTATGTCTTCTCCTTCTCCTCCTCCTCCTCCTCCACCACCTCCTCCTCCTCCTCCTTTTTCTTCCCTCTTCCCCTCCTTCACCTTCTCCTTCTCCTTGACTTAGCCTGCATTTCTTATGTTGAACAAGCACTGCTTTGGAGTTTATGAGGCAATTTAATCATGTTTACTATTCCCCTTTTATTATTCTGTGGCACTAGTTCTTTTAATTTTTATTTTTAAGTAAAGACAGGGTCTCATTATGTTGACCAGGCCTATCTGGAACTCCTGGCCTCAAACAATCCTCCCCCTATGGCCTCACAAAGTGATGGAATTACAGACATGAGCCACTGTACCCAGTCAGCAGCTAGTCCTTTCTTTGTCCTTGTATAAAATTTAATGCCATTCCCCTAGCTTTTCTCATCATTTTCAGATAACCAAAGATGCTTTCCAGTTCCATGTCATAGTCAAATATTTCATCTTGGTTTTAAGTGAAATCATCTTCGTTTCTCCAGCTTATGCTGCTGCAGATGGAAAGTCTGAAGTCACAGAAAAGTATATTCTCCTTCTTTTCTTCTTGTTACCTGGATCTTTATTTTATTTTATCTCCCACGTTATTCTAATTGCATTTTCTGATCTCTCTCCCCTCCAGGGCAGGAATCCTTTGAAGGGATAAAAGAAGTAATCAGAGACCTGTCCATGGTGACAATAGGGTCAAGGTGTGTGGTTTCTTGTAGGTAGTATTTTCTTATATGATTTTATGAGAAAACAGGCATTATGTTTTTTTTAAATTAAGTAGTCTATATATATTTTAATCTCATTAATAGATATGAAATGTTAGTATTTAACAAATCATAATACATCAATTCAATTATGTTGAAGCATCAGCTCTTCTGAGAACCCTTCCATAATATCTCCACAACCCCTTCACTCTCTAACAGGGTTAACCTCATCCCCATCCTCCACCACAGCTGGTGCCTGCTTCTATTTGACTCATAACAGACTGCATTGGAATCATCTGTTTGCTTGTCTGTTTCTCTACCACTCAATAAGCTCCTGAGGGGCCTCATTATCTCTCCAATGCCTGGATTATAGTGTTGTTAAATAAATTTCCACAGAATTGAACAGACACAGTTCAGAGGCCAAAAGATCAAAGATTCAGCAAAAGAAGGCCCCGAAGTGCGTGCTGATTCCAGAAGAGAGGCTGCTTGTCTGTTTGGGAAGAAAAACCTCCCAACTCTTGCTTATGATCTCTGGTCCTATCTCTTTTTCTCCTGCTTCAGTGAGTAGGGGGTTTGGCAATTTAAAACATTTTTATTTTTATTGTTTTGAATCGGGCAGCCTCCAGAATCACAGCAGATTCAAAGAGATTCCCTCGGGGTGGCAATTTTACCTACTCTCAGCTCAGGGCTGCCTCTGCTCAGCAGACATTAGACAACAGTGCTGAGAATATTTTCCTCCTAATAAGAAAATTCCAATCACAATGATCATGCTCAGATACCTAAAGAGCTGCTGGAATCTGAGCTCTGAATACCTGGGGAATTACTATACTGTGAAAAAAGGCAGTCTGAAGAAAGAAAGGACAATAAGGTAGGCTTGTTTGTAAATATGTGGTTCACCTTTCTGAGAGGCATCTTTAAGCTATAAAAGTGTATGGAATGTTTTATGGATTTTGTCTTCCTTCATAGCTCTATAAAATTTCAGTTTTATTGGTGCGAGCCCTCTGTGTGAAGTAAATGATAGATAAGCAGATGATCATTTTATTTCATGGTTGAGACAAGATGTGCTGGGCTTTATTGCACCTAATCTCCCAGTGAAAGAAGAGTTTTAAAGTGCATAGTAGTTAATTCTCTTTGGCAGACATGAGCTATAAACATGTTTTCATCTGCTTTCTGTTCTTATTAAATTAGAAATTTTCAGTGATTATAGGTTTTTACTTCTCTTGTGGGGAATTTGGAAATAATTTTAAAAATCGATCTTTCCTATTATTTAGATGCCTGGAGTGACTTGGAATAAAGTATTAATTAGTTTCAGCATATTATTATTATTGGTGTAAATGGCGTTTTGGCTCAGAATCCCAAGATTAGTCATCCTTACCATAGCCAAAACAGTGATTCCTGATCACCCCAACCAGAAAGAGTTCTTCTGTCTTTGTGCTACTCAGTCATTTCTTGTCAGCACTTCATAAACCAAGTTCCTTTTATTTGGGCACCTTGTGTAATAACATGGCCTATTCCCAGGCCCTTCATTCCTTTTATCCCTACAGATGGGACTGCCTAACTAGTATAGGACAGAAAAATTGATCTTTTTCATACCATGTCTGATAAATAGTTTTTGGCTTTGTGGAGCATTGAACCTATATAAGATGATAAGGTGACATGTAGACTCAATATTAAACAGATCTTTCACCATCTACAGTTGGTTAGAGACTCCCTCCCCAGGTTCAGGAGCAGGAACACAGAGGATGTGCATTTGTGGACCCTGGCTGCACTCTGTCTTCATAGGTCCTGGTGTGAGAATCATGCAGTTTTCTATTAGGCAGTTTATGGAATGGTGTTCATAGCTATGGTCCTGTCTTAGTCCATTTGTGCTTCTAGAACAAAATGCCTGAGACTGGGTAATTTACAAAGAACAGAAATTTATTTTCTCACAGTCCTGGAGGCTGGGAAGTCTAAGATCAAGGCACTAGCAGGTTTGGTGTCTGGTGAGGGCTCATTCCTCATAGATGACCCTGCCTAGGTGTCCTTACCTGGTGAAAGAATGGACGACAGCAAATCCACTTCCTCAAGTTTTTTAAAATAAGGGCCGTAATACGATCCATGAGGGCTCTGCTGTCATGCCTTAATCACCCCCTAGAGGCCCCACCTCTTTTCTTTTTTCTTTTCTTTTTTTTTTTTTTAGATGGAGTCTTGCTCTGTTACCCAGGCTGGAGTGCAGTGGCACCCTATCGGCTCACTGCAACTTCTGCCTCCCGAGTTCAAGTGATTCTTCTGCCTCAGTGCCCCGAGTAGCTGGAATTACAGGCACCCACACCACCCCTGGCTAATTTTTGTATTTTTAGTGGAGACGGGGTTTTGCCATGTTGGCCAGGCTGGTCTTGAATTCCTGACCTCAAATGATCCGCCCACCTCATCCTCCCAAAGTGTTGGGATTACAGGCATGAGCCACCATGCCCAGCCAGCCCCACCTCTTTTGGCAATGAAGTTTCAACATGAATTTTTGGGGACACATTCAGACCATAGTGGGTCCCAATAGAGGGAGAGAATTTGTGATTACAGTCAAAGCCCAAATTATTAGATTACATAGGTGTTGTGGGGAGGGCAGTTGGAGATCACTCTTGAAGTCATGAATTTTAGGTCAGGTATGATTCCATAAGAGCACCATGAGTCCAAAGGTTGCCCAGTAGGAGGAGAAAGTCAATTAGGAAAGGGCCTCAATTCTACTAGTAGGCAGCCTCATGTCTCCCTTTTCAATTTCTCTAAGCTATTTCCAATTTCCCAGTCAAATATATTCAGTGAAAGTAAGAGAACATACAGGTATGCCAGGAAAGCTTACATGAAAAATGCTTTCAAGGAAAAGAGCCTCACACATAATGGGATGTCTTATGGCAAGACCTTTCACTTTATCCCAAGCCACTCCAAGAAGTGGTCAGTCCAGTGTCCACAGGTTATTGAAAGATCTGGGCCCTGTCTTGCATACCTGTGCTGCCTAAAGGAGAGAAAGAGAGGGAGAATGTGGAAATTTGGTTACTAGATGGGTAAAAGGAGGTGCCTTGGAAGAACAGGAGGGTTGTTTTAAAGCTATTATCTGAACTTGTGAGTTTTTAAATTTTTCATTTTGATATCTTAGGGAAACTGGCCGTTTGTTGAAAATCTGTCTGACGGAAATCCAAAGAAGGTTTGACCTATCTCTTCTAGTTTCATACAATTCTGCTTGCAGACAGACAAACCTAGTTGACTTGACTTGCTAGCTCAATAATCTCATCTTTTTTCATTTTATAACTCAGCAAATAGCTTATAGTTTTTCACTCTCTCCTTAGCCTTTATGCTTCTGTTCATGTTGTCTCCTTGTCTAGAATGCCCCTCTCTAGCCCTGCCTGCTCCTCAAGCCACTCCTTCCTATGTTCACTTAACCTGGCATATCTCTACTAGCATGTTAAAATTTAGCTCAAGGATTGCCTTATCTAGGGCACCTTCCTTGTTTCACACCATGGCAGACCTCAGCTGCCTCCCCATATCCTCTCTTCTTTCCACTTAACAACACTCTGCTATTTTTAGTGGTGCCATGCATCGGAGGTGGCAGGGGCCTCTTCCTGGACCTAGGGGTTGAATCTTGACTGATTTAAGCCAATTGTAATAATTCTGTTTCCCTTGCCAGTGACTGTGTTAGAAATAATCATGTGATGTAATTCTAATTACTAACACAAGGGAAATCTGCTGGGAGGTTCTGGGAAAGTGTTTCTTACCTTAAAAAGGAACCTTAGCTTTCTGCCTGTGGACACCACCGAGGAAGCATCATTAAAGTCTCTCTTCCCACTGCTCTCATGTCAAACTCAGAGTCTCCAAAAGAGCCCGAACAGCTGCAGAAGCTCTTTATTGGAGAGCTGAGCTTTGAAACAACTGATGAGAGCCTGAGGAGCCATTCTGAGCAATGGGGAATGCTCATGGACTGTGTGGTCATGAGAGATCCGAACACCAAGTGCTCCAGGGGCTTTGGGTTTGTCACATATGCCACTGTGGAGGAGGTGGATGCAGCCATGAATGCAAGGCCACACAAGGTGGATGGAAGAGTTGTGGAACCAAAGAGCTGTCTCAAGAGAAGATTCTCAAAGACCAGGTGCCCACTTAACTGTGAAAAAGATATATGCTGACAGCATTAAAGAAGACACTGAAGAAATCACCTAAGAAATTATTTTGAGTAGTATGGAAAAATTGAAGTGATTGAAATCATGACTGACCGAGGCAGTGGCAAGAAAAGGGCCTTTGCCTTTGCAACCTTTGACAACCATGAGTCCGTAGATAAGATTGGCATTCAAAAACACCATACTATGAATGGCCACAGCTGTAAAGTTAGGAAAGCCCTGTCAAAGCAAGAGATGGCTAGTGCTTCACCAGCCAAAGAGGTCAAAGTCGTTTTGGAAACTTTTGTGGTGGTTGTGGAGGTGGTTTTGGTGGGAATGACAAATTTGGTCATGTAGGAAACTTCAGTGGTTGTGGTGGCTTTAGTGGCAGCCGTGGTGGTGTTGAATATGGCAGCAGTGGGGATGGCTATAATGGATTTGGTAATGATGGAAGCAATTTTGGAGGTGGTAAAAGCTACAGTGATTTGGCAATTATAACAATCAGTCTTCAAATTTTGGACCCTTGAAGGGAGGAAACTTTGCAAGCAGAAGTTCTGGCCCCTATGGTGGTGGAGGCCAATAATGTGCCAAACCACAAAACCAAGGTGGATATGGCCATTCTAGTAATGTAGTAGCTATGGCAGTGTCAGAAAATTTTAATTACTGCCAGGAAACAAAGCTTAGCAGGAGAGGAGAGCTAGAGAAGTGACAGGGAAGCTACGGGTTACAACAGATTGTGACCTCAGCCAAATGCAGTGGTGGCAGGACCTAGCTGCTACAAAGAAGACATGTTTTAGACAAATACTCATGTGTATGGGCAAAAAACTTGAGGACTGTATTTGTGACTAATTGTATAACAGGTTATTTTAGTTTCTGTTCTGTGGAAAGTGTAAAGCATTCCAACAAAGGGTTTTAATGTAGATTTTTTAAAATTTGCATCCATGCTGTTGATTGCTAAATGTAACAGTCTGATCATGGCACTGAATAAATGTGTCTTTTTTTTCTTTTTGAGAGAGCCTAAGAAAAATATCTCTTTTCTAGTTTGTGGATGTTATTGGTGAGGAGGTGACATGTAGAGCTATGGCAGTCCTCTTGTGATCATGAGGGGACATGCCTAAGAGAAAGGCCAAAGGGCTGAAATGGAAGAACAGAAAGATGGAAATAATTGGAACTTTGAAACTAACATTGAGTTACTGAGTTAATTGCCCTGGAAATGTCATTCCTCAAGACTACTTGGTATGTAAGACAATAAATCAATTGAATAATTGAATCAATAATTCAATTATTGTTGAAGCCAGCTAAAATTAGGTTTTCTATTATTTGCAGCTGAAATCATTCTTACTGGTACCAAACCAATCCATATCTTTCATCTATGCTTCTTTTAGAACTCTGTGAATTTTTCGTCTTTTTTTTTTTTTTTTTTTGTTACAGGATCTTGCTCTGTCACTGAGTGAAATGGGTCAGGTGTAACATATGTTTTATCATGCCATTTCAATGGTCTGTGTGTCATTAATGTCTAGTACATACCAGTTACATAAGTACAGGTACATTAATGGATCTGATAAAACCTTATTTGTAGATTGGGGATATAAAACTTATAGACTCATTATAATGACCAAATGGTGGTTCACAGCTTGGACATTAGAGTAAATCACCTTAGATTCTCATCCAGGCTCTGCCTCTTATTATCTGTAATTTCTTTTTTTTTCTGAGACGGAGTCTCACTTTGTCTCCCAGGCCTGGAGTGCAGAGACATGATCTCAGTTCACTGCAATCTCTGTCTCCCAGGTTCAAGTGATTCTCCTGCCTCAGCCTCCCAAGTAGCTGGGATTACAGGTGCCTGCCACTGCACTCAGCTAAGTTTTGTATTTTTAGTAGAGATGCAGTTTCACCATGTTGGCCAGGTGGGTCTTGAACTCCTGACCTCAGGTGATCCTCCCACCTTGGCCTCCCAAAGTGCTGGGATTACAGGCGTGAACCATCTCACCTGGCCTATTATCTGTAATATCAAACCTTATTTAAGGTTACTTAGCTTTAGTTTCTTCATCTGCAAAAGGAGGAAAAAAGTTGTTTATCTCTCCATGGTGGTGTGGGGATTAAATGAGAAAATCTAAGCCCATTTTTGAGTACAGTGCTTGGTACGTAATCACTGAAAGAGTGGCAGCCATTTCTTAAGAGATATTAATTCCTGAACAAATAGTGCAGTACCTTTAACCATGCCCGCCCAGGCCCCTGCTACAGTGAGTGCTGGCTGCTTAGTGCTCATTGCTACCCCCTTTCTCCAGAACATGGGCTTGGCAGAGCATTGCCTTGGCCCACTTAGCCCCTACTTCCTCCTACAGACAGCACACAGACTGACCAACCCTTCATGCAAAAGACTGGGCCCTGGCCTCAAGGCAGAATGGGATTTGTGCTTCAGAGCACAATCTCAGCTCACTGCAACCTCCACCTCCTGGGTTCCAGTGATTCTCATCCCTCAGCCTCCAGAGTAGCTGGGATTACAGGTGCCTATCACAACACACGGCTAATTTTTGTATTTTTAGTACAGATGGGGTTTCACCATGTTCGTCAGGCTGGTCTAGAACTCCTGACCTCAAGTGATCCGCCCACCTTGGCCTCCCAAAGTGCTGGGATTACAGGCGTGAGCCACTGAGCCCGGCCACAACAACTTGTGTCTTTTAAAGAATTTTTTCATAATCCCAGTGCTTGGGAAGCTGAGGCAGGAGGATTGCTTGAGGCCAGGAGTTTGAGACCAGCCTGGGTGGCATAGTGAGACCCTGTCTCTACAAAAAAAATATATATATAAAAGAAAATTTTATTTCTTCTATGTTATCTAATTTGTTGGCATACTGTTTTTTATGGTAGTCACCTATAACTCTTACGATTTCTATAAGGTGATCGTTATGTTCCCTCTTTTATTATTGATTTTAAAATTTTAAGTGTTTCCTCTCTCTTAATTTTTTGTCAGTGCAGCTAAAATTCCATTTTCTTTATCTTTTCAAATAACTAATTTTTGGCTTCTTTGATTTTCTCTGTTGTTTTCTATTTTTTTTTTTTTGCCTTCACCTTTAGTATTTTCTTTCTTCTGTTTGCTCCCAATTTAATTTGTTCTTCTTCTTCCAAGTGTTTTTTTAAATTTTAGTTATTTATTTTTTTTGAGATGGAGTCTCGCTCTGTTGCCCAGGCTGGAGTGCAGTGGTGCAATCTCGGCTCACTGCAACCTCTGCCTCCCAGGTTCAAGCTATTCTCCTGCCTCAGCCTCCCAAGTAGCTGGGACTACAGGCATGTGCCACTATGCCTGGCTAATTTTTGTATTTTTAGTAGAGGCGGGGTTTCACCATATTGACCAGGCTGGTTTCGAACTCCTGACCTCAAGTGATCCTCTTGTCTTGGCCTCCCAAAGTGCTGGGATTACAGGCGGGAGCCACCATGCCCGACCTTCTTCCAGTGTCTTAAGCTGCAAGTTTAGATTATTATTCTTCTCTGTTAATATAGATGTCTACAGCTTAAAATTTCCCTTTGAGTATTGTGTTGGGGCTCAAAAACTGAAGCCCCAAAATGTGGTGCTTTGACATGCTGAAATGAAGAAGAAGCCTTATGGTCTCTCTGACCTCCCCCTACCACCTACTCTCACAAAGCCTTGAGGAAGTTGTTCTCCAAAGCTCCTTTATCTGCCCCAAATCCTGACCAACAACAACAAAAACAATGGTTTTGGCTGGGTGTGGTGGCTCACAACTGTAATCCCAACACTTTGGGAGACTAAGGTGAGAGGATTGTTAGAGCCCAGGAGTTCAAGACCAGCCCAAGCAACATAGTGAGACCCTGTCTCTACAAAAAAAGTTTAAAAATTAGTCAAGTGTGGTGGTGCACACCTGTGGTCTCAGCTACTTGGGAGGCTGAGGAGGGAGGATCACTTGAGTTCAGGGGGCTAAGGCTGCAGTTAGCCATGTTCATGTGACTGCAATGTAGCCTGGGAGACAGAGTGAGACCCCATATCAAACAAACAAACAAACAAATGAAAAGCCAGTTTTTTCTTCTCCCTGTAAGACCAAGCACGAAGCAAGATCTGAACTGACCCTTTCACAAGATAATGTCTTTCTCCCAGGGTCATTCAAATCCAAAGAGAATTATGTACCAGTTAATCTCTGTTCCTCTTTATTGCCCCTCAACAGAATTCTTTTTCTCCTCTCTCCCATAATCTGTTTTGCCAGGATCCAAGCCCCATTCTTTGTGTAACCTCAAAATGGTATATAAGCTTCTGAACTCTGTTGGTGGATGGGTGATCACTCTGTGGTTCTTTCTGTAAACATGTTAATACATTTGTATGCCTTTTCTCTAATTAATCTGCCTTTTGTGAGTAGTTGACTTTTCAGCAAAACTTCAGAGGGTGAAAGGGAAGTTTTTCCCTTGGTTCCTACAATTGATTTAGCTGCATTGCATTAGTTTTGGTGCATTATGTCTTTTTATTCATTCATTTTATTATCTAATTTTGCTTGTGGCTTCTTCTTTGTCTCATTGATTATTTAGTAGTATGTTGTGTAATTTTCACATATTTATAAATTTACCAATTTTTTTTTCTGTTACTAACTTCTAATTTCGTTCCATTGTGATCTGATAACATATATGATTCCAGTCCTATTCAATTTATTGGAATGTGTTTTATAGCCTAACATATGGTCTCCTCTGGAGAATGTTCTGTGTTTCAGGAGAATGTGTATTCTGCTGTTTTGGGGTGAAGTGTTGAATAGATGTCTCTCAGGTCTAGTTGGTTTACAGTGTTGTTCAAGTCTTCTGTTTTCTTGTTCGTGTTCTGCATAACTGTTCTATGTAGTGCTGAAGGTGCAGTATTTGTCTCCAATTGTCCGTGGTTGAGCAAAACACACTCTGTTTCTCTACACTTTCAGCCAACACTTTGGATACCAGATGCGTGAATTTTTTTTTCTGCACCAAGCACTTCTCCAACTCTCTGAACATCAATTGGGTGTCTTACAATTTAATTTAATTCTGACCCTATATACTTGGAGTTAGCATCAGATTCCACAACTTGAGGGCTTACTAGCTATGAATTAAGGGCTCCCATGACCCACTTCTGTGTTTGACAGAATAGCTTAGGGAAATGCTTTACATTTACTGAACTCAGAGAAATGCTTTGCTAACATTGACTGGTTTATTATAAAGGATACAACTCAGGACCAATCAGATGGAAGAGATGCAAGGTGTAGGGGAGAGGAACACTGAGTTTCCATGTTCTCTGGACAGGCCACCCCCAGCACCTCCCTGTGAAACTCATCAAATCTCCTTGTTCAAGAGTTGTTTTTTTGTTGTTTTGTTGTTGTTGTTGTTGTTGTTGTTGTTGTTTTGAGACAGAGTCTCGCTCTGTTGCCCAGGCTGGAGTGCAGTGGAGAAATCTTGGCTCACTGCACCCTGTCTCCGGGGCTCAAGCAATCCTCTCACCTCAGCCTCCTGAGTAGCTGGGACTACAGGCGTGCACTGCCATGCCTGGCTAATTTTTTTGTATTTTTAGTAAAGACAGGGTTTCACCATGTTGGCTAGGCTGGTCTGGAACTCCTGGCCTCAAGTGATCTGCCCACCTCAGCCTTCCAAAATGCGGGGATTACAGGTGTGAGCCACCACACCCGGCCATGTTCAAGAGTTTTTACATGCCCTTTTCATGATATATCCTTTTTATCTTTTTATTTTCAACCCATTTGTATCTTTCATTCAAAAGTTTGCATCTGTAGACAGCATATGATAGGATCTTATTTTTTTAATCCAGTGTGATAATTTCTGTCTTTTAGTTTAATTGTTTCATCATTTATATTTAATATTATTATTGATACAATTAAATTAATGTCTGTCATTTAACTTTTTGTTTTCTGTATGTTTCATGGCTGTTTTGTTCTTCTGCCCTTTGTTGCTTTCATTTGTACTAAGTGAATATTTTCTAGTGGAAAAACTTAATTCCTTTAATGATTTTTTTCACTACATTTATTTTCTCAGTGGTTGCTCTAGGGCTTACCATGCACATCATAACTTAATGGTATCTACAGTTGACCTTGAATGATGTGGGGTTTGGGGAGCCACCCCCACAATGCAGTTGAAAATCCATGTATAACTTTTGACTCCCCCCAGATTCAACTAAGAGCTTACTGTTGAACTGAAGCTTTATGGATAACATAAACAGTCAATTAACATATATTTTGTATGTTACATTTATTATATACTGTATTCTTAAAGTAAGCTAGGTGAAAGAAAATTTTATTAAGAAAATCATAAGGAAGAGAAAATGTATTTGCTATTCATTGAGTGGATCATCATAAAGGTCTTCATTCTTGTTGTCTTCAGGTTGGAAGTGGAGGAAGCAGAGGTGTAGGAAAATCCACATATAAGTTGACCTGTGCAGTTCAAACCTGTGTTGTTTGTTCAAGGGTCAATTGTACTTTAGATTTACACTAACTTAAGTCCAGTGAGATATTGAAACATTACTCCTATATATTTCTAGTCCTGCTTCTCTTATTTGTGGTATTATTGTTATACATATTCTAGTTATATGTTACAAGACCAAGAATACATTGTTATAATTATTACTTTGTATAATTTTATGTATTTTAAAGAAGCTGCTAGAATAAAGGACAGCAACAATATATTTATAGAGGGTGTTATATTACCTTTCTTACTTACAACATTTCTGGTCTCTTTCTTTGTTCCTGTTGATTCAAGTTACCATCTGGTATTATTTCCTTTTTTCCAATACAGCTTCTCTTCCATCCCCTCCTTTGTTCTGTTATTTTAAGACACTTTACATTGGCATATGTTGTAGGCCTGATTATGCAAAAAGATACATACTGTTTTGTACATTTGTTTTTCCAATAAGTTAAGAGATGAAAGGAGAAAAAATGCATTTTTGCTATCTTCTATAATTACATAATTACCTTTACTGGTGCTTTTTGTTTATTTCTGTGCATTCTAATTATTGTCTGAGATCACTTGCTTTCAGCCTGAAGAGCTTCCTTTAGTGTTTCTTGTAAAGAGAGTCTACTAGCAACAAGTTATTTCAGTTTTTGTTTTCTTCGGAATGTCTTTCTTTTGCCTTTATTTATTTTTATTTTATTTTATTTATTTATTTATTTTTTGAGATGGAGTTTCACTCTTGTTACCCAGGCTGGAGTGCAATGGCATGCAATCTTGGCTCACCGCAAGCTCCACATCCCGGGTTCAAGCGATTCTCCTGCCTCAGCCTCCCAGGTAGCTGGGAATACAGGCATGTGCCACCACACCCGGCTAATTTTTTTGTATTTTTAGTAGAGACAGGGTTTCTCCATGTTGGTCAGGCTGGTCTCAAACTCCTGACCTCAGGTGATCTGCCCGCCCCAGCCTCCCAAAGTGCTGGGATTACAGGTGTGAGCCACCATGCCTGGCCTCTTTTGCTTTTATTTTTAAAAGATGGTTTTGTGGGATATATGATCCTTATTAAAAGTTTTACTCTTTCAGCAATTTAAATGAATCACATGATTGTTTCTGGCCTCCATTGTTTCTGATGAGGAGTCAGCTGTTAATCTTATTAGGGTTCCCTTGTACTTTATAACAGGGCTCCTCAACCCCTGGGTAGCCAACCAATACCTGTCCATGGCCTGTTAAGAATCAGGCTGCACAGCAGGAAGTGAGTGACAGGTGAGTAAGCATGACCGCCTGAGCTCCACCTCCTGTCAGATCAGTGGTGACATTAGATTCTTATCGGAGCACCTGCCCTATTGTGCACCACACATGTGAGGGATCTAGGTTGCACACTCCTTATGAGAATCTAATGCCTGATGATTGGAGATGGAACAGTTTTATCCCAAAACCACCCCTGCCACTCCCATCCCCAACCCCCACTCCCAGTCTGTGGAAAAATTGTCTTCCATGAAACTGGTCTCTGGTGCTGAAAAGGTTGGAGAACACTGCTTTATAAGTAGTTTTTTCTTTCTGCTTTCAAGATGTACCCTTTATCTCTGGCTGTCAACATTTTACTATGAAGTATATCTCTTTGCATTTATTCTTTGCATTTATTGTTGGAGGTTTTGAACTTTTTGGATATGTAGATTTATGTTTTTTATCAATTTTGAGAAGTTTTCAGCCATTATTTCTTCACATATTTTTTCTGCTCCTTTTTCTTTCTCTTCTCCTCTGGCACTCTCGTTATGTGTATTTGTTGCTCTTAATAATGTCCTATATTTCTCTGAGGCTGTGTTCATTTTTCACCATTATTTAATCTCTTTCTCTTTTTTTTTGACTGCAACATCTCTATTAATCTATCTACACAGTCACTGTTTCTTCTGCTAGTTTGGATCTATTGTGGAGCTTTGTTGGTGAATTTTTTATTTCAGTTATTGCATTCTTCAACTCCAGATGTTCCATTTGGTCCTTTAAAAATAATTTATATCTCTTTATTGACATTTTTTATTTCATGAGACAGTGCCATCATACCTTCCATTACTGGTTGAAGCATAGTTTTCTTTAGTTCTTTGAACATATTTATAATGGCTCATATGAAGTCCTTATCTATATATCTGAATTTTGTCACAGGCATTTTTTTTGCTGTCTGCCTTTTTTTTCCTGTGTGTGAGTTACACGTGAAGGTTATTAGAATAAAAATGGAATGAATTCCTTGTGTTAAAAACAAAACAAAAGAAACAATCTGACAAATAGAGCTGAGGAGCGCCATGAAGGTACGGTTCTCATGCATAAATGCTTGATAAAAACTATTACAAAAGACTCTGCAAAACCGCAACCTTATACAAAGGTCATGATAATCTTAAACACAAAGTAATAATTCTTCAAGGACACCTACCCAGCAACTACCCGTCCAACCCCAGACTGGTGTCACCCTTATGCAGAGGAACTCCCATTTGTAAAACCATCAGATATTCTGAGACTTATTCAATACCATGAGAACAGTATGGGGGAAACTGCCCCCATGACTCAGTTATCTCACCTGGCCCTCTCCTTGACACTTGGGTATTATTACAATTCAAGGTGAAATTTGGGTGGTGATACAGCCAAACCATATCAGTGAGGGTTATTAGGCCTTCAGTGTTTTTGGCCTGCTATACCAGACTGGGGTAGACCCTCCACCCTTTGTGTGGAAACTGGGTGGAGGCAGGGAGCCCTCACTGTCTTGGCTATATTCACCTAGAATTTAGCCTCTGCCACAGGAAGCTTGAAGTTGGGGGATGAGCAATGCTAGCAACATGACTCTCCTGGCAAGATTTCATAGCTTCTGACTGGGAACTGGAGAGACAGGGAGCCCTGTGTTCTTAGCCTCGCCTACCCAGATTGAAACTTTCCTTAAGCTGAGCTCAGGGGGTGAGGGAGGGAGTGGGTCATGGGTTAAATGCCATAGATTCTTGCTGTTCTTACCAATATTTAGTATATTTCTTCATTTGCTGTATGCCCTTCCTTAGGGAAATTTGAAGAGACATTAAATTGTTGCATGCTTATAATGTTTGGTTTTTAGGGGGAGTAGTCCTGGCAAAATCCTCACTCCACTGGCATTCCAGAAGTCATCCTCTATTTTGACTTTTGCTGGAAACATTGAAGGGACTTCCTTAGAGTATTCTTGGTGCTATGTATGCTGTGGAAGAGATACGTTAGAGGCAGTTTACTTTTATGGAGGAGACAGAGAACTCTGAATCTGAGTTGCTTTGCCTCCCTCCAGACTTAGAAGTCAGTGGGCATATGGTGTGGATGAGTTCCCATTCAGCTACATACTATATAAATGAATGTGGTGGAAACAAGATTTATTCATAAAGAATGAGTTCTCCCACCCTTTTACTAACTAAAGGTAATTTTATATTCATTTACACAGATTCTCTCCTCTTTTTAGTGTCTAAGGAGAGTTCTGTCTCTACCAGTGTGATTCCAGGATTTTAAAATTATCTGGGGCTGGGTGTGATGGCACACACCTATAATCCCAGCACTTTGGGAAGCCAAGGTGGGAGGATCGCTTGAGCCCAGGAGTTTGAGACCAGCCTGAGCAACATAGTGAGACCCTGTGTCTAAAAAAAAAGTATCTGGAATTTGAAAAACTAGTGGATAGGTATAAGACAAGAAAGATTAGAGAAAAGGGAAAATAGTTAAGTTGGGAAACTAAGAGATGAGTGGGAAGAAGCGATGAAGATGTGTAGGGGGTTGCGTACCTAGCTAGCTGCTGGAGAGAGACAGTTTTCTTGGTGGGGAGGTGTGAAAAAATTGGGAAGAATAAAAAAAAAAGGATTTAAGAAATTTTGTTTTGAGTTATGAGTGGATTTTCTATCAGGTACCTTGAGAAATGCAAGGAAAGTTTGTTATACTGTCTGAGTTTCTTTCAGCTGATGAGCCATACTCTCTATGCAAATACACATAGAGACTGCTCTATGTATTGCTCTTGTTCTTATTATATCCTAAGAAATAAATTCTAAATATCCTCTCTTCCTGCTTCTTTTTTGGGTTTCTCCCAGAAGTACTGACTATAAAGGATGTTGATTGTTTTATCAGACTCAGGAAAAACGGAAGAGATTCAAACTCTGTCTTAAGCATCTCATTGACGTGTAATTCTTTTTCTCATTAAAAAGATATAAAACCTGGCCAGGCACAGTGGCTCATCATGCCTGTAATCTCAGCAATTTGGGAGGCCGAGGTGGGAGGATTGCTTGAGCCCAGGAGTTTGAGACCAGCCTGGGCAACATAGTGAGATCCCATCTCTACAAAAAATAACACAAATAAACTGGATATGGTGGTGCATGCCTGTAGTTCCAATTACTTGGGAGGCTGAGGTAGGAGGATTGCTTGAGTCCAGGAGTTCAAGGCTGCAGTGAGCTATGATCACACCACTGCACTCCAGCCTGGGTAACAGAGTGAGACCCTGTCTCAAAAAAAAAAAAAAAAAGATATAAAATATTTTACTCTATTTTTTTTCCTAGAAAACCATTTCTTCAACAGTTATATGTATTTTAATTTTAATTTGATTGACACATTCATTGTAGGTGTAGTTTCTATAATCCCTAAATGCTCAGGAGTTGTGGCAGGAGGTCACAAGATTTGTGACTTCCCCAATTGTTCTTATAGGTAACATCACTATTGTAGAACCTAAGATTGGTTTTTTTCTTTGTTTGTTTGTGTTTTTTTTGAGATGGAGTTTCACTCTTGTTGCCCAGGGTGGAGTGCAATGGCACGATCTTGGCTCACTGCAACCTCCGCCTGCCGGGTTCAAGTGATTCTCCTGCCTCAGCCTCCCGAGTAGCTGTAATTAGAGGCATGCACCACAACATCTGGCTAATTTTCTATTTTTAGTAGAGATGGGGTTTCTCCTTGTTGGTTAGGCTGGTTTCTCCATGTTGGTTAGGCTCCCGACCTCAGGTGATCCACCTGCCTCAGCCTCCCAAAGTGCTGGAATTACAAGTATGAGCCACCACGCCAGGCCTGATTGGTTTTTTTAAAGATGTTTTTCTGACTGACTCCACCCAGACTCAACTGTACTGTGGTCCCACCCAGAGGTGGACCCAGTGCATGAGGACCATTTTCCACACTCTTATTATTTCATCCCCAACCCATCAGAAGCATCCATTCCCTAGCCCCCTGCTCATAAAATTGCCATAAAAATCCTAACCTTCAAGCCTTTGGGGAGACTAGTTTGAGTAATAACTCCATCTGCCACATGGGTGGACTTGAATTAATTAAACTCTTTACTGCAATGCCTTGGTCTCAGTGAGCTGATTTTGTCTGTGCAGTGGACAGGAAGAACCCACTGGGTGATTAAAACTTTACAAGTTATAGGGCAATGGAAAGGATGGAAGATTGATCTGAATTGGAGGTGGGAAAGCTGACAGATGGAATGTAATATGCTGCTTAAAAAACTTGAATGAGAAGGAAGGAAAAGCTAGACCATCAGCTCTCGTACTGGCAATCAAGCCCTAAGTTAATGTCTTCACTTTTTTATTTTCTGTACTCAATACTTATCTGGCCTGATACATACTAACTCAACAAATACAGTTTAAAAAAAGGAAAGATAAGGGTCCAGGGAGTTGAGAGTACAAACAAGAGAGAAGTTTGGGCTCTGTGTGGTGACACACAGCTGTAATCCCAGCATCTTGGGAAGCTGAGGTGGGAAGATTGCTTGAGCCCAGGACCTCAAGACCAGCCTGAGCAACATAGGGAGACCCTGTCTCTACAAAAATAAGAAATTAGCTGGATGCAGTGCTTCGTGCCTGTAGTCCTAGCTATTTGGGAGGCTGAGGTGGTAGGATTGCTTGAGCCCAGAAGTTCGAGGCTATAGTGAACTATGATTGCACCACTGCACTCCAGCTGGGTAGCAGAGCGAGACCTTGTCTCTATTAAAAAAAAAAGAGAGAGAGAGAGAGAGAGAGAGAGAAGTTTGATGGAGTCTGTTCTGCTTTCCCTTGTCTCAGTTCCCTGGACTCAAATCCTTCCTTGATTCTACTATAGTTAAGACAACAATTGGCTAGCAAGCCTCTGGTTGTGGCTGGCCTTTTGTCTATGCCTGTAAGAGATGGTTTAAAAATCTTTCTGAGGTGCATATTGAGAGTACCATAAACATATCCTTCCAATATGTAAATATATCATTCTGAAGCCCAAGAGAAATGCTAAATGAAACAATTACTTCCTGGTACTTGTTTCCCTTCCTGCTCACCACAGAATAATCTCTTCAGACTCATTAAATCCCTCAGTCACTTCAACCATTAGTTCCACTGCCTTTGCATACCTGAACAAATGGTTTCCTGTTTAAATCATGTTCAATTAGTTTTGTCTTAAATGAGAGGTTCTCAGCTCTGACTACGTGTCACAATCACCTGGGGAGATTAAAAAATACTGATGCCAGGGTCCTACCCAAAATTAATTAAATTAGAGCCTCTCAGCATAATGCCTGGGCACTGGTATTATTTAAATTCCCCTGGAGATTCTAATGTGTGATTAAAATTGAGGACCAATTTCCTAAACCCTTGCATGGACATGGTTCTTAATTATGCCTCCAAATAATGACTCTATCCTTACCCAGGAGAAACTGGCCATTGACCTTCATCCCATCCTTTGGGAATGGAAATACAGCATCACGTATTCTGAATTTGAGGACATTCCATTCCCATATACCACGGAATTGCCCCATTTTGTGCTCCCAATGCCAATTAAGTAGACTGAGCTGGCTACACACAGTCATGCCAGGCAGGAGCTCATTTTAGTGGGGAAGATGAACGTGTCTGTGCTATTAAGAACAGAAGCAACACCATCTGAATGCAATTGAAAATTTGATCTCAAGTTGGTAGACTGCTTAGAAGAAGCTGAGTTCCTAGGACAAAGTATTCCTGCCTGAATAAATCTATGGTAACCTCTTTGGCTTCAAGGAATCCTGCTGTCTTCTGCACATTCTTGTACTATTCCACCTCTATTCTAAGGTGATGCTGTGAAAACTTTAATTTTTTTTTTCAGAACAATCTTTCAAATGCAATTCCATGCAGAAGCTGGATATAGAGGTGGATAAAAGTGTAGTTGCTCTAGCTGAAGCAGAGATGTGGGAGGTTTCCACTCCCAGCTCTTACCTCCTCCTCAACTACCTGGAGGTGCTTCTGCTGAGTTCTCCAGTTTTCAGGAACACAGATTGAAAATCACCACTTTAGGATGACAGCAGCAATATCAAAAGCCAACAGGCAAACGATAACACTAGAACAGAATTTTGAGTTGTTTTGCTCCATAGAATGAAAAAGACACTCTTATTGAGTAGTCAAGGATACAGAAGTCAACACTCTCAGGAAGAATTCGAAGAAATGTGGAGGAAGCATTAAAGGAAAGGAAACAAGAGCAAGAAAAATGGAGAGTAACCAGGATAATGAGATTAAAAAAATTACACTGTGGGAGATATGGTTGAAAGAAATGACAATGTTTAACCTAGAGAGAAGGAATGTGATAACTTTCTTCAAATATTTTTAGTACTGTCACATGTAAGTAGGAGTGAAGTAGTTCTGTGTGGTTGCAGGAAATAGAACATGCACCATTGAGTGGGTGGCAGTTTTAGGGAAAAAGCTTTCGGCTCAAAATCTAAGTAAGTTTCTAATATTATAATGGGCCACCTAAAGAGGTAGTAAAGTCCCTGTCCTTGGAGATATTGAGTCATTGACTAGATGACAAAGTCACTTATTTACTCCCTCTTTTGATTTCTCCCTTTCTCATGTTAAAGAAGAAAAATAAATAACTGATAGACACTAGGATTAATACCTGGGTGATGAAATAATCTGTATAACAAACTCCCATGACACGCGTTTACCTATGTAACAAACCTGTGCATCCTGTACCTGTACCCCGAACTGAAAAGTTTAAAAAATTATTCATGACACTTGTTAAAACATGGTGAAGTAGACTTTGTACAGGACCATCAAGATAGGTACAGGGACCATTTCAATCACGTTTTGCAGAATGGTAGAGAGACCGGGCTCACCTTTGAATATAGAAAGGAAAAGTGGGAATTTGGAGTGAAGGAGCAGGGTGGAGTCCATTGGATGGAAAATTACTAAGAGGAAACATCAAGAGGAAGAAGGTTTATGGCTAAATCAACCTAACAGGATTCTTGCTGAAGACAGGCCAGGATGATCAGACATCACATGGTGGTTGGTAGAGGTTGAGAAACTTGATAGATATTGAGGATGATCAGATATCATGAATGGGGGATTCTGGCTAAAATGACTTAGCAGGAATTTTACTAGAACTGGACTCCACAAAGAAGTCCAAAGGAACCCAAAATTGGACCTAGTGAAAAAGATTGCTCAGAAGAGCTCGACTATGGTTTGGTCAAGGAGACAATCTTTGCTACTCACATGCTTGATCTCAATACTTACATTAATTTAAGGAAAATTATAGCTTTCATCCAAAAAATTAAAATTTGAGTACCTACTGTATGCCACATGAGTGGTTCCTAACTGCGGTGTTGACAGAGAGATATATCACAATTAGCTGTGAAGTATGTCGCAAGAAATTGATTTCTAGAAATAAACTATTAAAGCTTACAAATGATTTGCTTTAACATTAATGATAATTTAGAGTGTATTCAGTGTTGTACCTGTACCACAGTTACTTTCATTCTTCTGTATTCTGTGATTCATATTTGAGTGCGAGAAAGGTGCAGGTTATTAGCTAAAGCATTTCAAGTTAATTATAATCTATGTTATATCAAATTTCAATTATGGCCTGGAATAATTTGACTGATGATGATCTATCATGGAGAAGTGTGGCAAGAAACATGATCACCTCTATGTGTATTGCCTCTGGTACTATTTGTTTCACTTTCCTGCAAATATTTTGGTGTTTCTTCAAATTCTTAAAAGCCCCATGGGGATGTGTCCATCTGTCATAGGAGACACTTGGACAAGAACTGTAGGGTCCCTGCCTTTACCAGACTAGAAGGTGTAGCAAAATTGACAGAGCTTTGGTACTGGACACAACTCAATGTGATGGTAGTGCTGCCATTTTCTAACTCTGTCTCCTCTGGCAGGTCACTTAACCTTCCTAGGCATCAGTTTCCTCAGCTGTGAAAAGGGAATATTAACTTCATTACAAGGTTATCAGGAGGGTAAGAGACAATAAACATACATTGTTAAGTGCATTTGTTTAAAAAATGTATATACTGAATATGATAGCTGTTGTCCTTATTAATAACATCTGAACAGAACGAGAGGTAACATCCTATTCAACTGAGTTCAGATTCCTTCTGATAATATCAGAGCATACTCACAGTTCTGGGGGAAAAGTAATTCCGTAGAAAATGACTATTTTTGAGCTATTTTGTGAGGAAATATTATCTTCTGAGCTACTTAGTTTATTTTGTTTGTTTATTTTCTTCTTGTGAGACTTTACTATTTCAAAGCAAAACCTAAATTTGAATACTAGATGCAGCTACCAAGAAGTTATCAGCAAAACACAGAGCTACAGATAATATTCTTTTGAGTTTTTTCTTACACATCATTTTCAATGCTGAGCAGTGGCTGGCAATCCGGGGCCTAGTTGGTGAGACTTGCAGATTATTAAAGGGCTTTGAAAGGATTTGACTATTTTTACATGGATGAATTTTATGTATTTCTATAAAATGTAACTGACGTGAGCAGGCTTCACTGGACTGTGAATACCAGGTGGGAAATTTGTTAATGTCCATGTTATTACAGCTCTGAACTTCACCCAATCCCTTTGTAGCCCAGCAACAGGGCTGGCACAGAAGTGAGGCAAAGGAGGTGCTTAGGGTGCCAAGAATGCCCTTTTACAAATGCAAAATTTCAATAGTTGGAAATTATAACCATATGTGTAGCTGCTACTTAGAGTAAGCTAATATTTTAATAGAGGAAGAAGTATTTTTGGAACTCTGATGAGAATTGAGAGTCACAGGCTGATCTGAGGATTTCAAAGCTGTTCCATGCTAAACAGTTTCAGAGCCCAGTGAGAAGATACCCTGCTGGGATCTGGTAATTACCTGTCTATCTATCTATCTATCTATCTATCTATCTATCTATCTATCTATCTATCTGTCTATCATCTATCTATCATCTATCTATCTATCTATCTATCATCTATCTATCTAATCTAATTTCTCTCTCTTTCTGTCTCCCCAATCAATCAATCAATATTTATTTATTCATTTTTGAGACAGGGTCTCACTCTATTTCCCAGGCTGGAGTGCAGTGTTGTGATCGTAGCTCACTGCAACTTTGAACCTCTGGGCTCAAGCAATCCTCTTTCCTCAGCTTCCCTAGTAGCTGGGACTACAGGTGCATGCCACCATGCCAGGCTAATTTTTTGATTTTTTTTTCTGTAGAAATGGGAGTCTTGCTATGTTGCTCAGGCTTATCTTGAACTCCTAGGCTCAAGTGATCCTCTTGCCTTGGCATCCTAAAGTGCTGGGCTTACAGGTGTGAACTATCATGCCTGGCCCAATCATTATTTATCTATTTATCTGGCACTATCTTGTCTGTCAGTGTTACCTCATCAATTTAACCCATAAGTCAAGGTATTGATACATACAGGAGGCAGAAAAATGCCTAGGTAGATAAGGGCAGGTCCCCAATGAAACCCCACCTTCAAGTCAAATACAGTTTAGAGCCTGAAAGCCAAGCTACGAGTTAAATCCGTGAACTGGATTGAGAACCTGTTTTCCTGTTTGGTGCACTTTCCTCTGATTGATCTCCCCCCTTCACCTATTTTACTGATACCTACCCTTCCCTAACTGTTTTTTGACCCTGTTATGCCCATCTTTGAGCAAGGCCTTTGTTTTAACCTTTTCTCCATACTCACAAACCAATCAGCACACACTCCCTATTCTTTGCCTATAAAAACCCCGAACTCAGTCACACTGTGAAACTGCCCACTTCTGGGTAGTGGGGAGACTGCTGCCCACTTTCAGGCGAGAGGTCAGAGATGACCTGACCTTCCCATCCCCTCTCCGCTGAGAGCTGTTTCATTCCTCAATAAAATTCTCCACCCTCATCACCCTTCAATTGTCAGTGTGACCTCATTCTTCTTGGATGCAGGACAAAAATTTGGGATCCACTGAACATGGGTACTAAGTGCTTAGTTGTGATGGCCACGGGAGCTGTGGGCTGGAGTGCAAGCCAGACGTGACCCAGTAGGCTGAGTAGATGGGGCACCCTCTGCTGTGAGCCTGGCAAAAAGGCTGAGAAAAATCCTGCATTGTATCTGGGGGCTTGTCTGGGATTTGTTGGAAGGGTGACTGAATGTGGACCCTGCTACCTCCACCAACCTGTCATCCCGGGTGTTGGGAATGGTGGCTTTGTTTCCTTTCACGGAGGTCTAACCGTTGCGTAGGAATGGAAGGAAGTCCTGGGGCAACTGAGGGCATCTGGTTGAGGCTACACCTCAATGTTATCCAAAGGCCCCTGGATTGACTCCAGTCTCTGACCACCCGATAGGTTGTTGGCCAAGACCTCCAGTCTTTCCTATGGTATATTCTTTCTTTCTTTCATGGTGATGATGGCTCCTACCTCTCTTTTATAATGTTAAGTGTGTTGTTGCAAACTACAGAAATATTACTGGGTAGACTGGGCACTTGGCCCAGTCATCAAAAATGTAATTCAGAACAATGGAGTTTCTGTCCATTCTTAGAAATGGGGAAAAGGCAGCAGTTAAGAGCTTTTTCCCTGTTGAAGGATCCCATTTGCAGAAGAGCAAGAGGCTTACTCCCCCAGGCACCTTCTCCTCCCTGCGCTTAAGCTGTTTTGTTTCTTTTCTCCACCATGTTAGGAGTTAACATAGACCTGTAAATACGGGGAGCTTTTCTATGCAAGAGATTTTTTTTTTCCTTTTAGAAGGCGTCTTATTAGGCTAGGTCCCCTTTCTCTCCATTGTTTGAGGACAACCTGGTTCCACAGCTTCACCTTAGCACTCTGCTTATAATAAGGAAGCAACAGAGGAGTGCTCCCACTGGCTGCTGGCTGCAAGTTTGGAGAGGGCCACCTGGGACTTAATTTTATGAGTCCATGCATCCTCCTGAGGCATCTTTTTGTCCCAAACTCAATTCCAAGCTTTAGGTTGAAGCCTTAGAAAGGAAAATTGGATCTGAGGGATCCAGAGGCAGGCAACAATGGAAGCTAAGGGGCACAGCATAGGTGAGCCTGACTAATTCCTGCCAATTAGGCACCCCTCATTTCATGGATGGAGGTCATGCCTGTATGCATGGCATAGATGAAGTTACTGACAGCAGGGATGATAGGCTAGTACGTAGGTGGGTGCAGATAATTCCTACCCTCTAGGCCTCCCTGTTACATGGATGAAAGCCACATTGGCACCCATGGGCAGCAACTGCCAAGGTTCCTGGGACTTGGGGATATAAGGACAGAAGAAAAAAGGGGATACCTTTTTTTCTCTCCCTCACATACCCTGGGTATTTGCTAGGAAGAGAGAAGAACTAAGGGGCGCCTTTTTCTCCTCTTTCCAGATGGGTAACCAACCATCTTCAGTCTGTATGTCTCTCCAATGCATCCTGAATCACTGGGATTCCTTTGAAAAGAGAAAATCAACCTTCTTCTTCCTGTTTCCTCCTCTGTCCTCTCTTCATGGATGAATAATCATGTCTCCATACCACAGGACATTTCCCTCTGTGAAAAGTTTAATTTCTGCATTAAACCACTTGGCTTAAAAAAAAATGAACTGGGAAGACATTATAACTCACATTCCCCTCTGTGAAAAGTTTAATTTCCATAAACCTTAAATCACTTGACTTAAAAAAAAAATGAACTGGGAAAACTCTAACTGAGCAATCTCTTGAGGAAGGACAATGTTTACAGTATGCAAATAACCTATTTGTCTGCTCCCCCTTTACGGAACTCCAGGGTCAAAGGGCTTCATAGCTCGGGGGAAGGGAACCCAGAAGCCTGACATGCTGGCAAACGAGTAAAAGTTTTTTACCCATCAGACTTCTGGCTTTTCTCTCTCTCTGTGCAAACTGTTTGAATGAATGATAAAAATCACTGTTTATATACTCTGAAACGTTGTGATTAATGGAAAAAGGATTTGTGAGGTGAGTCTTAAGCTATAGAGAATCTGTGATACTTTGTGTTAAGAATTTCTCTTTCTGTATCTTTCTATCAGAAAGAGGGGTACCTTAGGATAAAATGTGGGTCTAGGCCCAAATGTCCAACAATGATAGACTGGGTTAAGAAAATGTGGCACATATACACCATGGAATACTATGCAGCCATAAAAAATGATGAGTTCATGTCCTTTGTAGGGACATGGATGAAGCTGGAAATCATCATTCTCAGTAAACTATCGCAAGAACAAAAAACCAAACACCGCATATTCTCACTCATAGGTGGGAATTGAACAATAACACAAGGACACAGGAAGGGGAACATCACACTCTGGGGACTGTTGTAGGGTGAGGGGAGTGGGGAGGGATAGCACTGGGAGATATACCTAATGCTAGATGACGAGTTAGTGGGTGCAGCACACCAGCATGTCACATGTATACATATGTAACTAACCTGCACATTGTGCACATGTACCCTAAAACTTAAAGTATAATAAAAAAAAAAGTGGGTCTAGGACCCCATAAGCCCATTGTTCAAGTCAGCCTGACAAACTGGTCAGTAGCTAATTTTGCTATAGGTCTCCGAAGAAAAAAAATGGGATGAGGTCTCCGTTTTCTTTTACCTACTTGGGAGCTTGACCTTGTAACCACATGGCAATACTTTTTTGGTCTCCGCCGTTTTACAGTGGTGGCCCAGGTTCAATCCTGGCTTAGGGAATGAGTATTTTCTGGTTAATATCTGTGTGACTTTTTCCATTTGCTGATTCTCTTCCCCTCCATGAACAACTTCCATAATAGCTTCCTTTCTTAAATCTTCCTTTCTCTGAGTTACCTTTAAAGATTCTAGATTTTGTAAAAACTGCTTACCACCTGTTTGAAAATACCTTGTACACTCACGGTTAAGTCATAGCCTTAGGTGAGGCTTGTTGGTTTCACCTATGAGGTTACTTTTGGCAAAGTTTAAAAGCCAGAAATATTGGCCACTTGGTGTGGCTAAAGTTGGGTAATAAGGGATTTAAAAGGATATTTTTTTGAAAGAGTGTTATGGTTGAAAGTCAGCTTAATTAGGGCAACCCCCTTTGGGTCCCCTCCCATTTTATGGGAGCTCTGTTTTCACTCTATTAAATCTTGCAACTGCACACTCTTCTGGTCCGTGTTTGTTACAGCTTGAGCTGAGCTTTCACTCGCCATCTACCACTGCTGTTTGCCGCCATCACAGACCCGCTGCTGACTTTCACCCCTCCGGATCTGGCAGGGTGTCTGCTGTGCTCCTGATCCAGTGAGGCGCCCATTGCCACCCCGGATTGGGCTAAAGACTTGCCATTGTTCCTGCACGGCTAAGTGCCCGGGTTCATCCTAATCGAGCTGAACACTAGTTGCTGGGTTCCACGGTTATCTTCCGTGACCCACAGCGTCTAAGAGAGCTATAACACTGCATGGCCCAGATTCCATTCCTTGGAATCCGTGAGGCCAAACCCCAGGTCAGAGAACAAGAGGCTTGCTGCCATCTTGAGAGCGGCTGCCACCATCTTGGGAGCTCTAAGAACAAGCCCCCACCCCAACCGGTAACATTTTGGCGACCATGAAGGGACCTCCAAAGCAGTGAGTAATATTGGACCCTTTCGCTTGCTATCCTGTCCTATCCTTCCTTAGAATTGGAGGAAAATACCAGGCACCTGTTGGCCAGTTAAAAACGATTAGCATGGCCACCAGACTTAAGACTCAGGCGTGAGGCTGTCTGGGAAAGGGCTTTCTAACAACCCCCAACCCTTCTGGGTTGGAAGCATGGTCTGCCTGGAACCAGCTTGCACTTTCAATTTTCCTGGGGAAACTGAGGGCCAACTAGAGGCAGAAAGCTGTCGTCTGGAACTCCCAGCATTAGCCGGTTGAGATTATGGCACAGCCAGAAGTCTACTCAACAGTCGCCCATGCGTGCGCCCCTGCCTTTCCTTCTGACCCATACCTTCTGGGTCCTGACCACAAATTTCTTGAAAGTATAGCCCCAAAATTCTCCTTACCTCTGAATCTACTTCCTCTGATCCCTGCCTCCTAGATACTGATGCTTCAGACTTTCACTTCCTCTCCCAAGTATTACAGCAGGTTGTATTTCCAAAGGGTTCTAAGGAAGATCTATGCTGCACCCTTAGGCCCCTAGGCTATGAACCCAGGGAGTCTTATCCCTGGTGTCCCTCCCAATTTAGGCATAGAGCTCTCAACATGGGCAGTTATGTGGGACCCGTTCCCCACCACCCTTGCCAGGGCCTTAGAATTGATAACCCAGTACTTTAACAACTGGAACTGGTTCTACAACAACATAATAGATCAGGATGAAAGCAAATTGAGTAAATAAAAGGGAGGCGCATATTCCTATAGTGGCAAATGGGGCAATGAGCGAACGTCCTTCCACTGTGTTTCCAAAAATCCATCTACAAAGACGGAAAGGAAAAAGTAAGTGAGAAAGAGAAAGATAGAAGTAGTAAAGAAAAAAACAGTGTACCTTATTTCTTTAAAAGCCAGGGTAAATTTAAAACCTATAATTGATAACTGAAGGTTTTCTCCGTGACCCTATAACACTCCAATACCACTTTGTTGTCAGTGTAAATAAGGGCATAGCCTGAAAGCACTGAGGCCACTGACAACTAGTAGCCGTCCTATAAAAAATCCTTAATCCAGGAACCCACGGGTGCCCAAATGCATTCAACCTGTAGCGGCAACTGCTTTGCTAACAGAAGAAAGTAGAAAATTAGCCTTTAGAGGAAACCTCACTGTGAGCACACCTCACCAGTTCAGAACTATCCTAAGTCAAAAAAGCAAAAAGATAGCTTACTAACTCAAAAATCTTAAAGTATGGGGCTATTCTGTTAGAGAAAGATAATTTAACATTAACCACTGAAAATTCCCTTAACCCAGCAGATTTCCTAACAGCGGATTTAAATCTTAATTACCATACAAAGGTCCGACCAGACCTAGGAGGAACTCCCTTCAGGACAGGACAATAGATGGTTCCTCCCAGGTGATTGAGAAAAAAACCACAATGGGTATTCAATAATTGAGGGAAACTCTTGTAGAAGCAGAGTTAAGAAAATTGCCTAATAATTGGTCTGCTCAAACGTGCGAGCTGTTTGCACTCAGCCAAGCCTTAAAGTACTTACAAAATCAAAAAACTCTATCTCAATCCTGACTCAAAAGGTTACCCATACCCTCTCTGAAATGAATTTGCATAAGAACTGTTGTTTGTAGGAATGCATCTTGATGGGGCAACTGGGTTATTATGAAATACCCAGGAACCCAGCCTGTCTCCAGAACTCACCCTTGAGCTCAAAGGCAATGTTGGGCATGCTGGTAAAGGACCACTAGAATCCAGCAGCCCAGACCCCTTTCTTTGTGGTCAAGAAAGGTGGGAATACAGGTGCAGGACTGCTACATCGGTGAGTGTAACTAATCTAATAAGCAGAAGTCCATGGG
Organism: Homo sapiens; assembly: GCF_000001405.40. Taxonomy (NCBI): domain Eukaryota; kingdom Metazoa; phylum Chordata; class Mammalia; order Primates; family Hominidae; genus Homo; species Homo sapiens. The sequence continues at coordinate 33,659,819 of NC_000002.12, forward strand.
TGGTTACACACCCTGGAAAGGAATAAGCATTAGGACCACAGAGGATGCTCTAGGACTAATGCTTATCAGAAAATGACTAGGGGTGCTGGCATCTCTATGTTCTTTTTTCAGATGGGAAATGTTCCCCTCAAGGCAAAAACACCCCTAAGATGTATTCTGGAGAATTCATCCCAGCCAGAGTGTATATAACTTTTTCCCTCTCAGACTTGAAGCAAATTAAAATAGACCTAGGTAAATTCTCAGGTAACCCTGATGGCTATATTGACATTTTACAAGGGTTAGCACAATCCTTTGATCTGACATAGAGAGATATAATGTTACTGCTAAATCAGACACTAACCCCAAATGAGAGTTTGGCGATCTCTGGTATCTCAGTAAGGTCAATGATAGGATGACAACAGAGGAAAGAGAACGATTCCCCACAGGCCAGCAGGCAGTTCCCAGTGTAGACCCTCACTGGGATGCAGAATCAGAACATGGAGATTGGTGCCACAGACATTTGCTAACTTGCATGCTAGAAGGACTAAGGAAAACTAGGAAGAAGACTATGAATTATTCAATGATGTCCACTATAACACAGGGAAAGGAAGAAATTCCTATTGCCTTTCTGGAGAGACTAAGGAAGTAGCATACCTCTCTGTCACCTGACTATTGAAGGCCAACTAATCTTAAAGGATAAGTTTATCTCTCAGTCAGCTGCAGACATTAGAAAAAAGCTTCAAAAGTCTGCCTTAGGCCGAGAGCAAAACTTAGAAACCCTGTTGAACTTGGCAACCTCAGTTTTTTATAATAGAGATGAGGAAGAGCAGGCGGAACGGGACAAACGGGATCAAAAAAGGCCACCACTTTAGTCATGGCCCTCAGGCAAGCAGACTTTGGAGGCTCTGGAACATGGAAAGGCTGGGCAAATTGAATGCCTAATGGGGCTTGCTTCCAGTGTGGTCTGCAAGGACACTTTAAAAAAGATTGTCCATATAGAAATAAGCCGCCCCCTCGTCCATGCCCCTTATGTCAAGGGAATCACTGGAATGCCCACTGCCCCAGCAGACGAAAGTCCTATGAGTCAGAAGCCACTCACCAGCTGATCCAGCAGCAGGACTGAGGGTGCCCGGAGCAAGTGCCAGCACATGCCATCACCCTCACAGAGCCCCAGGTATGCATGACCATTGAGGGCCAGGAGGTTAACTGTCTCCTGGACACTGGCACGGCCTTCTCAGTGTTACTCTCCTGTCCCGGACAAGTGTCCTCCAGATCTTTCACTATCTGAGGGGTCCTAGGACAGCCAGTCACTAGATACCCAGCCACTAAGTTGTGACTGGGGAACTTTACTCTTTTCACATGCTCTTCTAATTATGCCTGAAAGCCCCACTCCCTTGTGAGGGAGAGACATTCTAGCAAAAGCAGGGGCCATTATACACCTGAATATAGGAGAAGGAACACCCATTTGTTGTCCCCTGCTTGAGGAAGGAATTAATCCTGAAGTCTGGGCAACAGAAGAACAATATGGATGAGCAAAGAATGCCCGTCCTGTTCAAGTTCATCTAAAGGATTCCACCTCCTTTCCCTACCAAAGGCAGTACCCCCTTAGACCCGAGGCCCAACAAGGACTCCAAAAGATTGTTAAGGACCTAAAAGCCCAAGGCCTAGTAAACCATGAACCATGAAATAGCCCCTGCAGCATTCCAATTTTAGAAGTACAGAAACCCAAAAGACAGTGGAGGTTAGTGCAAGATCTCAGGATTATCAATGAGGCCGTTGTCCCTCTATACCCAGCTGTACCAAACCCTTATACTCTGCTTTCCCAAATACCAGAGGAAGCACAGTGGTTTACAGTCCTGGACCTTAAGGATGCCTTTGTCTGCATCTCTGTACATCCTGACTCTCCATTCTTGTTTGCCTTTGAAGATCCTTCAAACCCAACGTCTCAAATCACCTGGACTGTTTTACCCCATGGGTTCAGGAGTAGCCCCCATCTATTTGGCCATGCATTAGCCCAAGACTTGAGCTGGTTCTCATACCTGGACACTCTTGTCCTTTGGCACGTGGATGATATACTTTTAGCCGCCCATTCAGAAACCTTGTGCCATCAAGCCACCCAAGCACTCTTTTTTTTTTTTTTTTTGGGATGGAGTCTTGCTCTGTCACCCAGGCTGGAGTGCAGTGGTGCAATCTTGGCTCACTGCAAGCTCCGCCTCATGGGTTCATGCTATTCTCCTGCTTCAGCCTCCCAAGTAGCTGGGACTACAGGCACCTGCCACCATGCCCAGCTAATTTTTTGTATTTTTAGTAGAGACGGGTTTCACCGTGTTAGCCAGGATGGTCTCAATCTCCTGACTTTGTGACCTGCCCACCTCAGCCTCCCAAAGTGCTAGGATTACAGGCATGAGCCACTGCACCCAGCCCCACCCAAGCACTCTTAAATTTCCTCACCACCTGTGGCTACAAGGTTTCCATACCAAAGGCTCAGCTCTGCTCACAGCAGGTTAAATACTTAGGGCTAAAATTATCCAAAGGCACCAGGGCCTTCAGTAAGAAACCTATCTAGCCTATACTGGCTTATCCTCATCCCAAAACACTAAAGCAACTAAGAGGGTTCCTTGGCATAAAAGGCTTCTGCCGAATATGGATTCCCAGGTACAGCGAAATAGCCAGGCCATTATATACACTAATTAAGGAAACTCAGAAAGCCAATACCCATTTAGTAAGATGGATACCTGAAGCAGAAGTGGCTTTCCAGGCCCTAAAGAAGGCCCTAACCCAAACCCCAGTGTTAAGCTTGCCAACAGTGCTAGACTTTTCTTTATATGTCACAGAAAAACAGGAATAGCTCTAGGAGTCCTTACACAGGTCTGAGGGACCAGCTTGCAACCCGTGGCATACTTGAGTAAGGAAACTGATGTAGTGACAAAGGGTTGGCCTCATTGTTTACTGGTAGTGGCAGCAGTAGCAGTCTTAGTATCTGAAGCAGTTAAAATGATACAGGGAAGAGATCTTACTGTGTGGACATCTCATGATGTGAATGGCATACTCACTGCTAAAGGAGACTTGTGGCTGTCAGACAACCATTTGCTTAAATATCAGGCTCTATTAGTTGAAGGACCAGTGCTGCGACTGCACACTTGTGCAACTCTTAATCCAGCCACATTTTTTCCAGGCAATGAAGAAAAAACAGAACATAACTGTCAACAAGTAATTGCTCAAACCTGCACCGCTCAAGGAGATCTTCTAGAGGTTCCCTTGACTGATCCCGACCTCAACTTGTATACTGATGGAAGTTCCTTTGTAGAAAAAAGACTTCAAAAAGTGGGGTATGCAGTGGTCAGTGATAATGGAATACTTGAAAGTAATCCCCTCACTCCAGGAACTAGCGCTTAGCTGGCAGAACTAATAGCCCTCACTCAGGCACTAGAATTAGGAGAAGGAAAAAGGGTAAATATATATACAGACTCTAAGTATGCTTACCTAGTCCTCCATGCCCATGCAGCAATATGGAGAGAAAGGGAATTCCTAACTTCCGAGGGAACACCTATCAAACATCAAGAAGCCATTAGGAGATTATTATTGGCTGTACAGAAACCTAAAGAGGTGGCAGTCTTACACTGCTGGGGTCATCAGAGGGGAAAGGAAAGGGAAATAGAAGGGAACCACCAAGCGGATATTGAAGCCAAAAGAGCCACAAGGCGGGACCCTCCATTAGAAATGCTTATAGAAGGACCCCTAGTATGGGGTAATCCCCTCTGGGAAACCAAGCCCCAGTACTCAGCAGGAGAAATAGGATGGGGAACTTCACAAGGACATAGTTTCCTCCCCTCAGGATGGCTAGCCACAGAAGAAGGGAAAATACTTTTGACTGCAGCTAACCAATGGAAATTACTTAAAACCCTTCACCAAACCTTTCACTTAGGCACATAGCACCCATCAGATAGCCAAATCATTATTTACGGGACCAGGCCTTTTCAAAACTATCAAGCAGATAGTCAGAGCCTGTGAAGTGTGCCAAAGAAATAATCCCCTGCACTGCAGCCACACATTTCAATCCCTGTATCTTTAACCTCTTTGTTAAGTTTGTCTCTTCCAGAATCGAAGCTGTAAAACTACAAATGGTTCTTCAAATGGAGCCACAATGCAGTCCACAACTAAGATCTAGTGCAGACCCCTGGACTGGCCTGCTAGCCCATGCTCCAATGTTGATGACATCGAAGGCATGCCTCCTGAGGAAATCTCAACTGCACGACCCCTACTATGCCCCAATTCAGCAAAAAGCAGTTAAAGCGGTTGTCGGCCAACCTCCCCAACAGCACTTGGGTTTTACTGTTGAGAGGGGGGACTGAGAGACAGGACTACCTGGATTTCCTAGGCCGACTAAGAATCCCTAAGCCTAGCTGGGAAGGTGACCACATCCACCTTTAAACACAGGGCTTGCAACTTAGCTCACACTTGACCAGTCAGGTAGTAAAGAGAGCTCACTAAAATGCTAATTAGGCTAAAACAGAAGGTAAGGAAATAGCCAATTATCTATCACCTGAGAGCATGGGGGAGGGACAATGATCGGGATATAAACCCAGGCATTCAAGCCATTGGGTCCCCTCCCATTTTATGGGAGCTCTGTTTTCACTCTATTAAATCTTGCAACTGCAAAAAAAAAATTTTGAGTCATCTTTTTTGCTAAATGACTTATGGTAACCTGGAATTCTATTTCATTATATCAAGTGTTTTCACCTTTAACATATTTCATAGGCTTCCCAAAATCAAATTTCAGCTTTGAAACTGTCTTTTCTGACTCCTGAATTTTGAATGCTACAGAGGGCTCCTGAAGCAACTAACAGAGAGGTAAACAGGATTATTTTACATATTTAGTTACACGGGATTGTCAGAATAAAAATAATGTTTAATCTTCTTCAGGTTATATTTTAGTGAATAATAGTAATATATGTTCCAAAATTTTATGGGATTTCTAAAATTCTAATGTCTAAGTATATGCTATCTAATCATAATTAAGGTTACTATGTTAAGTTATTGTAAACCACAGAAATAACTGAATTTGTCAGTCATGTTTTTTTTTGTCTTGTTTTGATCCTTTTCAAAAGATGGTTTAAAATCAGCTATAGAACTTTGACAGGTGCTCTTAAATTCAGGTTCCTGATGTCTTTGGAGATTGTGACATTGGAATAAAGGAAAAATGTCCAAGACTCATGAAGAGATGAAATGTTCATGAGTATCAAGCAGAAAAGAGTTAACTGAATGAACTGAACTAACAGAGAACTGAAGTAATCTTTTTTTAACTTTTTGCCTAAAACATTGCTTAACCTTGTTTTGTTTTTGAGAATCAAGGAAACTTTTCTTCTGAGCTAGCTACAGTATTTAACAATTGGGTAAAGTATACTCCTGTGAACAAAATTTGGAGCATATTTGTTTCTCTCTGCCTGGTTTCTCTAGAATTTGGAAACTATTTGTGAGTATTCTTAACTTACGGTGATATAATTGCTTGCATAAGTGCAAGAAGAATCCATTTTCTCTTGCAACAGGATGCAATTGGAAAGACTGGTTGTTTTACTAAGGCTTCAACTAGAAGGATGTGCTTCCCTTTAAGGAACCAAGCTTTACTAGCAGAGCCAATAAAAGCCCCTTGGGAAAACTGGCCTCATATCTTGTCTACACAGTTCCTGTACAGGGTTGCTAACCTGTGGTGAGTAAAGAATGTAACTTTCTAACAGGCTTAGGAGCCCCAAGTTATCTTGGGACCCCAACAAGAGAGGAATTTGGAAACTCAAAGGTATTTGAGGATACAAACCCATGTCTGGGCTTGGCTTTAAAAAGTCTTGTCTGAGATTCCTTATGGAACAGAGTTCCATCAGAGCCCATTTAAAAAGCCTATATGAAAATAATTATTTTTGCTGCACTTTATGCAAATAATCAGGCCAAGTATAAGACTAAAGTTTATTTTGCAAGCAAATCAGTCCTATCATGATTTGTTTTTAACAAAAATGAGGACTGTAGAGAGAAAATTATGTTTCAAAACTTATACTTTTGTCATTAAATTCTAGTCACATCAGTTGTTTTTAAGTTTTCATGTACATTTTAGACTAACCCTGCTTATTCATGTGAACCAACCAGTGATCTCCAGCTGCAGCTCAGAAGGAACAGAAGGAATGGGTAATGTAAAAATCTGAATCAAATATTCTAGTTCTGGGCAATTATCTTGCAAATCTTGCCCGGTGATAGGAGTAAATGGGGTGCCCATAACAGGAGGTTTCTTTTTTGGGAAAATAAGACCAAATCAGCTAACTAACCAAAGCCAATTCCCATGCACGCAAATCTTAGCAGGCGTAACTATTAATATAGCATGTCAACAGCCTGGGGATTTTTGAGCTGTCCTTATTCGCTTGTTCCATTTTAATCCATGTCTTCTAATAACCCTGTTTGTCTCATCTTGCTTTCAGGCCATCAAACTCCAATGTTCATGCAACCAGAGCCTTGGATGATGGCTCCTTTTTACCAGGGACTTTTAGATAGGCCTCTGAAGGATATCTGACTGCTGTTTTCCCAAAATAACAGCCCCTGTCAGCATGAAGTAGTTAAAATTGGTCATCGTTCTTATCCTAATGGAAGTTAGATGTACCTCTTCAGAGGAGGGAATGATAGAGGTAGGAAGCAGAAAAATGCTTAGGCAGATAGGGATGAGTCCCTAGTGAAACCCCACCTCCAAGTCAAAGACAGTTTAAAGCCTGAAAGTCATGCCACAAGTTAAATCCACAGACTGGATTGAGAACCTATCTTCCTATTTGGTGCACTTTCCTCTGATTGAGCCCTGCCTTTCATCTATTTTACATATACCTACCCTTCCATAATTTTTTTTTACACTCTTGTGACCACCTTTGAGTGGTTCCTTAGTTTTAACATTTTTTACATACTCACAAATCAGTCAGCACGCCCTCCCCATTCTGTGCCTATGAAAACCCTGAACTCAGCCACACTTTGAAACTGTCCATCTTTGGGCAGGGGTGGGGACTGCCTGCCTTCAGGCAGGAGAGAGAGACAACCTGAACTTCCCCTCTCCTCTCCACTGAGAGCTGTTTCATCACTCAATAAAATTCTCTGTCCTCATCACCCTTCAATTGTCAGTGTGACCTCATTCTTCTTGGATGTTGGACGAGAATTGGAGACCACTGAATGCAGGGGCTGACTGCGCTGTCACAGCAGCCATGGGAGCCGTGGGCCATAGTGCAAGCCAAACATGGCCCAGTGGGCCGAGTAGACAGGGTGCCCCCTGCTGCAAGCCTGGCAAAAGGGCTGAGAAAAATCCTGCATCACTATTATTTGGACTCTGACATGCTATTTAAAAAGAAATTAATTCAGAAATACAGCCCAGCATGGCAATGTAATATTAGAAATAAAATCTAAATTATTTTCTTGCCTATGGAGTTATGTTAAAATTCATTTATTAAGTGAAATCTGGAGGCTATTTTGTTTAAGTGTCATCTCTGTGACAAGTCATCCTCTGTTGATAAAAGAATAAAAAGCTTTTGGAGTAAGTGTTCATGCAGAACACCCCTGCATGGATTCCTGGAATGGTTAGGGCTACTTCTTCTTTGCATTCCATCAATAAGCTAAATGCAGTGAAGATAAAAAGTGAGAGGCTATGACAAAGAATCCTCTGTGGTCCATTGTGTGAATGATTTATAAATAATAGATGATGTTTATAATGATGCTGTCAGGTCAAAAACTGTGAAAACCAGAGTAGTAAAGAAGATTGCCTGAGGGGTAGGATCATTACTCATGATATAATTGTTTTGTTCTTTTATTTAGTAATTCTTTTATTTAGTAATAAAAGTAATTTTATTTAGTAATTTATTTAGTAATTTTATTTAGTAATTTTGCAGAAATCAGCCATGTTACACCACCCTAGAGATTCAGGATTCAGCCCCCTATATGTCAAAACTGACTTTTTTTTTTTGAGACATGGTCTGTCTCTGTTACTTAGGCCAGAGTGCAGTGGTGTGAACATGGCTCACTGCAGCCTCAATCTCCTAGGTTCAAGTGATCCTCTCACCTCAGCCTCCAGAGTATATGGGACTACAGGTGAACATCATCATGCCTGGCTAATTTTTTTACCTTTTTAATTTTGTAGAGATGAGGGGCTCTCCATGTTGTCCTGGCTGGTCGTGAACTCCTGAACTCAAGTGACTTCCTGCCTCAGCCTCCCAAAATTTGGGATTACAGGTGTGAGCTACCACACCCAGCCCAAACTGACTTTATTAGATAGATACAGATGTTGACAAATCAGCAGTGATCAGAAACTTTTTCAATAAGGTAAGATTTGATGATACATACATATGTCCCTTGTTCTTCAGACCTGCATTACAGGTATAAATCTAATATTATAATTAATTCAAAGGAAATATTAAATTATGTGTATTTTATGTCATAAAGTAAGTTTTTGAGCTTGGGTCAAAGAAATATTCAAACTTCTATTGTAGTCTACATATTTAAACTATGAGAAAACTAACATCGAAAGTCAGGGAATTGTCTGGGCGCGGTGTTTCTCTCCTGTAATCCCAGCACTTTGGGTGGCTGAGGTGGGATGATCACTTGAGCCCAGGAGTTTGACACTAGCCTGGGCAACATAGTGAGACCCTATCTCTATAAAAAAAATAATGTTAGGGAGTATGTCTGAAGCTGCACACAGCAGAAAATTCATAGTATCAAATGCTTGGAAAAATCAAAATAAGAAAGTTAGATATTCAATAAACTAGGAAAAAACAATAAAGCAACTGTGAAAACTAGGATAATGTATTAGTTTTTAAAAAGCGAAAATGTATTCCTTGAAACACTTTAGGACTTGATTTGTTTAACATATATTTTTTGTTTGCCTTCCCTGACTATTCATACACAAAAATACTGTATCTGCGGGAGTGCCAAGTGACTGTCTTTAAAGGGAGGATATGATTTTGGAGTTATGTGTAATTTGAGACTTTTGAATGAAATAGGTGATCTGTCTTTAATGATCTAGATGATCATCTGTCTCTAATGAAATAGATGATCTGTCTTTAATGATCCAGATTTGTTTTTGATGCAGTCAAAAAAGAGATGAGGGCTGGGGGCGGTGGCTCACACTTGTAATCCCAGAACTTTGGGAGGCCAACACGAGTGGATCACAAGGTCAGGAGATCGAGACCATCCTGGCTAACATGGTGAAACCCTGTCTCTACTAAAAATGCAGAAAATTAGCTGGGTGCCTGTAGTCTCAGCTACTTGGGAGGCTGAGGCAGGAGAATGGCATGAACCCAGGGGGTGGAGCTTGCAGTGAGCCGAGATAGCGCCATTGCACTCCAGCCTGGGTAACAGAGTGAGACTCCATCTCAAAATAAATAAATAAATAAATAAATATAAAAATAAATAAATAAATAAAAAGGTGAGACCAAGCTACTCAACCATTGTTGGACTTTACTCAAACATTGTTGGACTATGCTTTGAAACTAAGAAGACAGACAACACTCCATTAAACGAACAGAGTATTCTCAATGTTCATAGTCATACTTCAGTTTTACTCCTCAGATACTGAATTTCCCTACTAAAAGCTAACCATTTTTTGATAGAATAGTTTCTATATATTCCCCTGGCAGCACAATATGATACCACTTTGACCCCTGTTTTTCCTTCTTAACGATATATCTTGGAAGATAATTCCATATGAGTACATAAATAGCCTCTTGCATTCTTTTTATGGTTGCATAGTATTCCATCTTGATAGGTCAAGTTTTTGCTCATTTCTCTTCATTTTCATACTTACTTTTCAATGTGGCTTAGAATCCGCTTGTTTAATTAAAAATCCTTTTGGAATTTAAAGTTGAGAGTATGCTAAATTTAGGTTAATTTATAAATACTTGACATCTTTATGATGCTTTGTCTTCCAAGCCAAGCACGTGATATTTCTCCATATGTTTAAGTCTTTTTAACCTCAATGAACATTTTATAGTTTTTGTATATTTTTAATACAGTTCTTTTTTTTTGAGATGAGAGTCTTACTCTGTTGCCCAGGCTGGAGTGCAGTGATGCTATCTTGGCTCACTGCAACCTCCACCTCCTGGGTTCAAACAATTCTCCTGCCTCAGTCTCCCTAGTAGCTGGGATTACAGACACTAGCCATCGTGCCCCGCTAATTTTTGTATTTTAGTAGAGATGGGGTTTCACCACGTTGGCCAGTCTGGTCTCGAACTCCTGACCTCAAGCAATCTACCTGCCTCGGTCTCACAAAGTGCTGGGATTACAGGCATGAGCCACTGCTCCCAGCCCAATACAGTTCTTAGATTTGTTTCTACATAAATAATCTCTTCTGTTATTGTTTTAAATGATCTCTTTCTTTCCAATATATCTGCTAATTGGCTGTTTGACTGTTGAAGGCTATTAATAACTATAGATTAGTTTTGAGCCTACCCACTTTAGAGAATTATTTTATTGTTTGTGATGTTTCTTTTAACCTTTTTGGTTCTCCAAGTATTACAATTATATCATTTATAATTAAATGACTCTTTTACTTTCTCTCCTGTCTAATTGAATTGGCTAATACCTACTAAAATAATATTAAAAACTAATGAGCATAGCGAAAATCCTTGTCTTATTCATTTTTTTCTTTTTCCTAAGTAGATTGTGGTTGGAATCATTTATGTAAATCTTCTCTTGATTGTAAGGGATGCTCCTAATAAGGAAATGCTATAATTAGAACAGTGATAGTAGGACAAATGGGCAACCGGAGACTCACCAGGCTTTCCCAGCTCAGTCATGAGGTATCAGTAAAGCAGTGTAGGATACCAGGTTGGGCCAAAGGATGAAAAGGGGTCCATACACTGAACAAGAAACTAGTAGAGACAGGCATGCTTAAAGAGACTCTTCCACCCTACAGCACCACTAGGTGGCTGGTGAAAAAGCCAATGGTATTTGATGCCTCATTGTGGGTTGCCTCAAGCTCTTTGCTGCAGCGGTCCTCCTTGTCCCTGCCCTGCCAGGTGTAATAATCACAGAGTCCATTGGGTGGACTGGGGAGCCTGGCTCATGCTGGTGGACATACTAATGTTTTCTTCAGATTCTACTGCATCCTTACGATCAGACACTGTTTGACTTCATGGGACTTGGATTACAACTCATATTCAATATGCGCCTTAAAACGACTTTAAATCTCTCTTGATTTTTCACCATTGAATAGGCTGAGACACAGGAAACAATCAAACCTTACCAGAGCTGTCTTGCTACCATTACAAGAACGGCATAATTCTTACTGTTAGAGATAGGGACAGCATACTATCTGTCCTAGATAAATAGTCAACTGTCTGAGTTTTGGCTTAAAAGCCTCCCGAAAACCCAAATTTTGCAGTGCCTATGGTAAACTTTTTCAGTATTTTGGATGTGCTTCTTACCTCATGTAGGGATTCTCCTCAGCCCAGCCATTAGATTACTGGAAAGGCATCCACTGTGACCAGCAACATGCCTTAGAAACTCTCTAATGATCGGTACAGACTCCTTCAGACTGGCCAGTCACCTGGACAGCATGTTTCAGTGATGGCATTTTATAGAACAGAACTCATGGGAAAAACATGTGGCCATGAGGCAATGATGCCCTTTGGAATTTGTTAGTAGCACTTTCCTGGCACCACCATCTCATTTCAGAGAGTATTCCTTGCTTTTTAATGGGGGTTGGTAGACACAGAGTAACATAGGCAGAGCTTAAGCTCTGTTTTCCTTATCATTCGATGAATCCCAAATGAGAACCCCAACAAAGTGGCTGGCTCAAGAAACACCCATTTTTAAGTGAAAGTGGTGTATGCATGGAAGAAGTAAACCGGGTATTAAAGGCATCTCAGAGGTAAAGGGAAAACATCTAATTACCCTCTCTTTGCATGTTTTGGAGCCAAGGACTCAGCTTTCCTGATGGCTTCAATACCCCCAGGTTCCTGAGGATACCTGGTTCTGGTTGTAGATGCATCAGCTAAGTTAAAGGCAGTTCATATACAAGGGGTTGCCAAACCTGTACAGCACCAAAAATCAATCCTTGCATCTCTAGTTGGAATCTACAATCTGTTAAATGGGTAGAGAATGAGCACTGTGGTGCTTGCCCTGGAGAAACAGTCCCCCAAATGAACCTTGTTACATTTTGATAGGTTCCTGGACAGGTACCCTCCTTGTCTTATTTTTATTTTCGTTTCACACTATTAGGCCTTTCTGGCATTATTCCTGACTCTAATAGGATTGCCTTTAGTCCTGACATGTTGGCTTTGGGATTGAAATAGAACTATACATATATGGCTAATATAAATAAGTATAATATTTAAATAGTATAACATATAACAAATATAAATACATCACTATATAATGTATTCTGGAAATATCTACCTATTTCTATTTCAGTATTTAGGATAGTTGTCATATAAGTTTCCTGCTTAGATATTTTAATATGGTGAGTTGTAACACACTATGCATTTCCAGAATAAACCCTACTTGGTTTCCATGAATCTATGCATAAAAAATACAAGCTTACCCTTAAAATATCCTTCACAGAATGACTGTAGCAGACACTATTTATCTACTTGCCTACTGTAACCCATTCCTTATTCCTTTCCCCCTTCTATTAAATTCCAATTTGTGAGGTGTTATACGCATTGCTGTAAATGGCCATCTGTTTCATTAAGCCAAACATTATCAATTATGTTTCTTGACCAGTAATTGAATCAGGATGCATTAGTCTGCTAAAGATGTGTAGTGCTCAAGAAGGCATTCATCTCACCCCATTACATGTAGTTAGGAAGACAGTGGATAAAGATATCATCTTGGAGAGTAAAACCAGAAGTCCAGGTGGACAGGGGACAAGAGAGATCCTCCCAGGAAACAGACTCACAGAGTGACAGTTGGGTCACCAAAGGGGGACTCTCTCTGTTGCTATGATAAGGTTTCCTTGCATTTCTGTCCAGCAGGATATGTAAAATAGGCACTATCAATTAGTGATTACTGTACTCTGTTCCCTCTCTGTCTTCCTTTAGTTAAAAGAAAGATTACTTTCATGGATTTTTCTTCCTTACTATGGGATACTACACAATAAAGGCAAAAAAAAAAAAAAAAAAGGCTGGATTGTCTGTAGAGAATTTAAAAACAATAATAAAATTGACTAAAGTCTATCTGGTTTTGATGATCACCATATGCCAGGCATTCTGAACAATGTCAGTGATAAAAATATCATTTTCCACCAGGGTGGACAGCACCTACTGGCATCTTCCTTCATATTTCACTTTTGATAACATCATGAAAGTAATGCTGAATTAATTGCCAGATTAACCTAGCCTGGGGCTTTTGTATGTTGGGACTTCTTGTTATGTGAAGTATTATTGCTAAAGCCACTTTGAGTCAAGTTTTCTGTTACTCCTCTAGGAGGCCTTACTTGATCCTCTGCGAGGGAGCTAATCTGTATTATCATCCTCTATGCTAACACTATAGCTTTTCTATACCTCTTTGGTCACACTTGTTTGTAATTTTTTATTTGGTGTTCCAATGATATTTTGAAGTCCTTGAGGTCATACAATTTATCTTATTCATATTTATCTTCCTAGGACAATACATGTCATACTGGTTGCTCAATAACTTACTGTCTCCTGAATATATCTGTAGCCTTATCTGGCTAGTGTTATGCAGTCATCAGTGTTAGCATGTTGCTTTTTTGGAATACTCATGCTGCAGTGTGGACAACAGAAATTTAATAAGACTTAATAACTATATATTTGCTTTGTATTCCTCAGACTAGCCATCTCTGTCTTATAAAATAAAACTTCATGGTGTGGTAAGCAATGTGTTTTCTAGTTACCTTCAGGTCTTTTGTTGGTTATGTCTACCCACGTACTTTTTTTTTTTTTTTTTTGAGACAGGGTCTTGCTGTGTCACCCAGGCTGGAGTGCAGTGGTGCAATCTTGGCTCACTGCAACCTCTGCCTCCCAGGCTCAAGAGATCCTTCCACCTCAGCCTCCCGAGTATCTGGGACTACAGGAGTGTGCCACCACATCCAGCTATATTTTATATTTTTTGTAGAGACAGGGTTTCACCATATTGCCCAAGCTGGTCTTGAACCCTTGAGCTCAAGCGATCCACCCACCTTGGCCTCCCAAAGTCTTATGATTACAGGCATGTGCCACTGCCCCTGGCCCAGATACTTTTGGTGAGGGTGTAAGAAGTCTCCTAAATATAAATACAACAAAACCTTTTTAAAAGAAACGTACACTTTCCCTAAATCAGAGCTTAGAATTTGTTAGTCTCCTGTGTTATGGCTGAGAATCCACTAGATGGTACTATTACATAAGTGATCATAATGAAAACAATACACTGAAATTTTCTTCTCTGTTAACTGCTTACTGAAATATTTTGTTTTTCATTTCAAACTGTAGCAGCTTGATTAATGATGTAACTTGGTCTAGCGTGAGGAAGTAAATTGTCATTATTAAGATTTATGATAAACTCCTTGCAAAATAAATGAGTAAGGCAATCAATTAACAGTCATCTAGTAAATTATGTGCATAAACTATTGTGAACTACATGTTATATTTGAAAACTGAGCTCCTTTCAGAAAAAACTCTGGTGTTTATGAGAATGAAATTGTATTTGGTGTGGATTTGAAATTTCCTGCTCTGTAGATGGCAATTTATTGACTATTTGGTGTTTACAAAGTTTTTCCAGGAAATCAACCACTAATCTGGGAAAGTCTAAGCATTACACATTATGCAATTAGAAGATTTGGCTTAGTGGAGCAGCAACATGGAAGCCTCCTTGTCATATTTTCATCAGTATCATGTTCTAGATCTACCTTGGAATATCCTTGGAAGAATCCTTGGAACTAATTCAAGATGAACATGCTACATATAGAATTCTCTTCGGGCTAGGTGCGGTGGCTCACACCTGTAATCCCAGCACTTTGGGAGGCTGAGGTGGGAGGATCACTTGAGCCCAGGAGGTGGAGGCTGCAGTGATCCAAGATTGCACCACTGCACTCCAGCCTGGGTGAAAAAAAGAATAGAATTTACTTTATAGTTTCATTATAACAGAATCTACAAATCACTAAAGTAATGAACATATGGAGAATTCAGAGGCTTGAATGTAAGGGATAATTCTATACTTGTATTAAAAGCAGCAATTATACATATCAGCACCAAAGTCACTACAGTTATTTAAGTACTAGGAAATGTACCCTAATGATGAGCTAATATTGCATTTTTTTCTTTAAGCTCTTTTTATTTTTCTATTTTTAGGTACAGGGTCTTGCTCTGTTGCCCAGGCTGCCGTGCAGTGATATGATCATAACTCACTGCAGCCTCAAACTCCTGGGGTCAGGCAATCTTCCTGACTTGGCTTCCCAAAGCACCACACACAGCCCCCTTTCTTTAAGCTGTTAAATTCCTCTAACTAGGAGTTCTTAACCTCGTCCATGAATCCCTTGAGTGTTCATGGATTAGAAACAGGGGTCCAGCAGCTTTAAGTGGAAGAATTCCACTTATTCTAATTGATATCCATCATTTCCTTTGGTTGTGAATGTAGACAATACACCGTGGAAGTATTATTAGTACCAGTGCTTTTAACATCAACAGAAATCATAGACATTTACATGACATATTACATTTCTTGCAGCATCTCGAAATATCTTTCCTGTTAATCATACTTTAAAGTTATGATGGTCTGGTTCTTTGCTGAATTTTCTTATTAATATGTTAATAAATAAAAAATGCATTATTCTGTAATAGTTTAGAAATGATTTGACTACCATATTTCAGTGTAATTGTTTCCTTTCTAATCTTGTACATTACTTTATGCAATTGAAAATATCATTCTGACAAGGGTTCATAAGTTTCACACCAAACCACCATGGAGATACATAATAGAAAAATGTTCAGAAAATTTGCTCTAAGTCATATTTTGAGATAGAACATTCTGGCTAAGCTAAGCATTGCTCCTCTTCCTTAAAAAAAATGTAGCATCCTTTGGAAGGTGCCATCCAAGGGCGTGACTGACCTAGACGGTAGATGACCTTGAATAGAATCTGTGATGATTCTCCCATTTAGCTACAGGAGTGAATTTAGAAGGTGATTATTTCAAATAAGACAATATTCAGGATTTCTAAATTTATCAGCAAAATAAAGCTTTTTAAATGCAGAGCAGTTGACTTTCAACTTTGTGTAGCAAATGAGATTGAGAATTGAACTAAAAAGGCAGGAATCTTATTTCTTAGTATTCACTTCCCCTAAAGCAATTCAAAGTTTGAGGGGCTAGACTGAAGTTAACCTCTCCATTAACTTACAGGTCCAGGTAACTTCAAGAAGCTAAGAAACATCAAAAAAAATTTCTACCAGGAATAGAGTCAAAAGTTTGTTCAGTAAAATACAGTCACGCCCTGCATAAAGATGTTTCAGTCATCAACGGACCACATATATGATGGTGGTCTCATAAGATTATCGTGGAGCTGAAGCATTCCTATTGCTTAGTGATGACAGGCCTAGACTAATGTGTGAGCTTATATTTTATTTTTTAAGAAAAATATTTATTTATTTTTATGTTTTAATTTTTCTTGAGACAGAGTCTCACTCTGTCACCCAGGCTGGAGTGCAGCAGTGTGATCTTGGCTCACTGCAACCTCTGCCAAGCGATTCTCATGCCTCAGCCTCCCGAGTAGGTGGGATTACACGTGCCCACCACCACACCCAGCTAATTTTTGTATTTTTAGTAGAGATGGGGTTTCACCATGTTTGCCAGGCTGGTCTCAAACTCCAGACATCGGGTGATCCTCCCGCTTCAGCCTCCCAAAGTGCTGGGATTACAGGTGTGAGCCACCATGCTCGGCTAATTTTTTAAGAAAAAATTTTAAAAGTAAATTTTTTTTCTTGAATACAAAAATACTTATAGAATACTGCTGTACAATATGTTTGTATATTAAGCTGTTATTACAAAGGAGTCAAAAGTTATAAAAATTAAAAATTTTATAAAGTTAAAAAGTTACAGTAAGCTAAGGTTAATTTATGATTGAAAAATTGTTTTTTTGTTTTTTTGGGTTTTTTTTTTGAGACAGAGTCTTGCTCTGTCACCCAGGCTGGAGTGCAGTGGCACCATCTCGCCTCACTGCAAGCTCTGCCTCCTGGGTTCACATCATTCTCCTGCCTCAGCCTCCCAAGAGCTGGGACTACAGGCACCCACCACCACGCTCGGCTAATTTTTTGTGTTTTTAGTAGAGATGGGGTTTCACTGTGTTAGCCAGGATGGTCTTGATCTCCTGACCTCGTGATCCACCCACCTCAGCCTCCCAAAGTACTGGGATTACAGGCATGAGCCACCGCATCCGGGCTGAAAAAATGTTTTTATAAATTCAGTGTAGCGGCCAGGAGTGGTGACTCACGCCTGTAATCCCAGCACTTTGGGAGGCCGAGGTGGCCGGATCACTTGAGGTTGGGAGTTCGAGACCAGCCTGACCAACATAGAGAAACCCCGTTTCTACTAAAAATACAAAATTAGCCCTGCATGGTGGCACATGCCTGTAATCCCAGCTACTCGGGAGGCTGAGGCAGGAGAATCGCTTGAACCCGGGAGGCGGAGGTTGAGGTGAGCCAACATCGCGCCATTGCACTCCAGCCTGGGCAACAAGAGCGAATCTCCATCTCAAAAATAAATAAATAAATAAATAAATAAATAGATAAGTAAATAAATTCAGTGTAGCCTAAGTATACAGTGTTTATAAAGTCTACGGTAGTGTACAGTAATGTCCTAGCGCTTCACATTCATTCTCCAGTCACTGACTCACCCAGAACAACTTCCAGTCCTACAAGCTCCATGCGTGGTAAGTGCCCTACACAGGGGTAGTATTTTTAAATCTTTTATAATTTATACTGCACATTTTCTATGTTTAGATATATTTAGATACACAAATACTTGCCAGTGTGTTACAAATGCCTACAACATTCAGTAGAGTAACATGCTGTACAGGTATGTAGCCTAGGAGCAATAGTTTATACCACATAGCCCAAGCATGTAGTAGGCTATACCATCTAGGTTTGTTACATTCTATGATGTTCACACAATGATGAAATAGCCTAACAACACAGTTCTCAAAACATATCGCTGTTGATAAGCAATGCATGATTGTATAAGACAATATCCTAAAAATATAAAAAGACACTGAGAAAACCAGGCCATAATCAATTACACTATTAACTTCAAATTACTGGAATGTTGTAGAATCATCAGTAAATATTGTCTTGGTAGACATACTGCTGATAGACATTGCAACAATTATCTGTGACTAAAACTTTAAATATGTGTTTCATTAAACATTGCCCACATCTCATTCCAATTTAACTATGAACCTCGGCAAAGATTTCTATGATCAATGTGTTCTCTTGGTTCTCTCTCTTTCTTGCTAAAAATGCCAGTTTAGATAGAACAATGTATTTAAAGGGAAATTTGAAAACTTAGGGGAGTTGACGGAGGAAAGAAGGGAGCTTTATGATTTGTCTACTTGGTAGAAAACACTGCGTTACTTTTTCTTGATCTTGTAAAGACATTAATAATTTATTTATTTGTTAAATGTGATTGTCTCTGTTTTCAAAAAAAGGCTTATGGTGCCAAGTTCTCATTTTGTACAGTTCACCAGTGGGAAAGTTAGAGCTTCTGGGTGTGGGGTCAGTGCCCTTCATCCAGAAGGATTTATTGCTGGAGAAATCCAGGCATGAACACTTAGGGCAAGCTTGAGCTTATTGTAATGTAGGGGCCTCCTGTGAACCGTGGTTCATTTGCATGTGGAAAATCACCAGGTTTCCTGCTAGGTCCCTGAACTCTCTCCTTCTGCTCCACTAATGGCTCATGCTCTAGGCATGTTTCTGCCCCTTCAAGCATTACCTTTATTTTTCTTTGCAGCTTCTCTCCTCAGTCTCTGAGACACTCTTCTAATAATGCACCTCAGAGTTACTGGTAACATATTTACTCCACTCTTCTTGCTCAGTCCTTGAAATTCTGCATTACATTGATCAGAATTGATCAGAAACTCAGAAAAGAGTTTTCCGCCTCTTATTCTATATTGCCAAGTTAGTACCTTTCCAAGTTAGTTATCTAGTCCCTAGTTCTATCTATCTGTCTATCTATCTATCTATCTATCTATCTATCTATCTATCTATCATCTCTATCTATATCTATCTATATCTATCTCCATCTATCCTATTTATCATCTATCTATTCATCCTATCTATCATCTATCTATCTATCATCTATTCATCCTATCTATCATCTATCTATCTATCTATGGCTATACACCATGAAACTAATTTTCTATTATGGGTTAAAGTTTCTATCTTTTCACATTAGGTTAGAGTTGTGCCAATCACCATTTTCTCATTAATCTTTTTTTCTTTTAATTCAATACTAAATGCAATATCAGCCAACTTGTCACTGAGATTATGCCATTTTAATCCCTGAATCTCAGTGCCTCCCTGCTTTCCTCCTCATCAATGCTTCAGATGCAGTCAGCATTTTGTCAATATAATTTTGTTCTCATATCCCAAGATATGTTTTCTTATTCTCTCTGCACCTCCTGGAAGTCTGTTCCTCATTTCATCTGAAAGCCATGCTTCAATCTTTCTCCACTATTTCCCTTCTTTAATGCTTTAAAAACATCACCTCATATCCTGGATTTTATTCCATACCTTTTATAGCTCATTCTTTTTTTTTTTTTTTTTTTTTTTTTGAGACAGAGTTTTGTTCTTGTTGCCCAGGCTAGAGTGCAATGGAGCGATCTCGGCTCTCCACAACCTCCCCCTCCCAGGGTCAAGTGATTCTCCTGCCTCAGCCTCTTGGGTAGCTGGGATTACAGGCATGTGCCACTACGCCCGCTAATTTTGTATTTTTAGTATAGATGGGGTTTCTCCATGTTGGTCAGGCTGGTCTTGAACTGCCGACCTCTGGTGATCCACCCGCCTTGGCCTCCCAAAGTGCTGGGATTACAGGCGTGAGCCACTGCACCCTGCCTCATTCTTAATTATTTAGAAAATGTGGGCTATTAAGCCTCAACCAACTGGCATATCCCCAGTCAGTGCTAACACTTCTGTTACATACAGATGAGGATTCACAATTGCAAACATCTCAAAAAAGAATTAAGGTACCTACACGTGCTTGCATGGTGGGTTCTTTATGTGCAACTGGTTCTAGCCCATGAAATATTTTATCAAAGCTACAAAGGTGATCTCAGAAGCTAGAGTTTTATCTTGTGGGGTTGAGTTATAGACCACATCCTCTGGACTGGCCAGTAATGAATCATTCTTTTCATACATTCTTAATCTATAACAGCTTCTCTACCTCCAATTAGAAAAATAATTTGACAGGAAAAAGATACAGAATTTTGGGAAAAGTTTGGCGAAAGCATATAATCAAGGCTGGTTACACAACTTGCTGAACCCAGTGTAAGATGAAAATGCAGGGCCCTTGTTTAAAAATAAAAAAACTTTCCCTTTTCTTCCACAATCTCTCTTGGTCTGTCACAGTGTCTTTTATTTGCTACTTCATGTTGTACTGCCTCAGGCACGGGGACACTTGAGGGACGCCATCCTGTGACTTATGCTTGTGCCCACCAGCTGCCGGGGTCCCCCTCCCACTAGCGCCAAACCACTGAGAGAAATCTGTTTCCCTTTCCTCTGGAACATTTGCTTTAACCAACAGTGGACAGGTGATCCCCAAGGGATTGCAACCTCCTCACCATGATACATAAGGTACCTGGATTGGGTTAGGCAAAAGCCTAGCCCCCCACCACATCTCCTACTAAGTGTGCTGTGGAGCTGCCAGCCCAGAAAGAGGACCTGGCCACTGCCATGTCCCTCCCTGACATATGGGCAAGTGCGTTCTCATATGCATGACTCTGAAGGCTCCTCATGCCCATACCCAGGCCTCCACTGCAGGTGGAGGGTGGCAGCACTAGCTGAGTGGTGATGGGAATGGAAATGGAGGGTTGGGTGGGGCTCAGAGCACCCTGGAGATAAGAGCCTGGCAGGCCAGAGTCTGTCCCAGGAAGGCAGTGGGAGGCAGGACTGCTCTGGAGCCAAGGCTTCAAGTCCTCTGGCACATGCTCGATTGTGCCATCAGACTTTACTTACAAAAAAACGAATTGGAAGATAACATTGGTAAGAATTTTAAGACAAAGACTGCAGCGCATTAAACCCCAAACGAGAGGCTGTTATGAATGGGAATCCCTGGGCGGCTGCACTGGCAACTGGCCCAGGAAGCAGCCCCTGCATGCATCCCTAAGTCCTGGTTGTTATGTACAGCATTTCACACCAAGATAGAAAATCCTTTAAAATAAAAAGTAGGGACGATACCATAACACATTATGTTACTCTTCACGAGTGGCGGTGCTGCATATTCATTGAGTCTCAGAACCCCACAGTATTCAAAGCGGCAGCATATGCGAAAGTATTCACTGAATATTGAAACAGCAAGAAAACAACCCAACAACAGGATCGAATCTGAAATTAAATACATGAATGAGCATTCATTTAGCCAGTAAAGTTTATACACTAGGCAGAGATGCCAATTTTACACACTTATGTTTCCTAAATCTGAGAATATTTTTACAAAGAATGGTACCACTTAGGTTATTTTTTCCCTAGTGAATTGATCATTGTTTAGGAAGTAGTAGCATTTACATATGGAATCCACAAGAAGGAGCTCTGAATTCATTTTAAATATCAGGATTGGAAGTTTCTGTCTCAAGTATATCCGTGGAGAGTAGGACTGTCTTGAAGTATAATTAGTTCCAAGACAGAATTTTATCAGCTGAGTCTTTGGGGAGTGATAGTATGTAAACACTTATTAAAATGGTGGGAGGGAACACAAATTCTGCATAAGTCAATTTAGATAGATGCAAATAAAACCAAAGACTTTCTGCCCTCTGGGATTATTTGTTCCTTGGTGGAAGATATACGTCATATGCTAGATTTTCATCCATGTTAAGAGATAGCAAGAAAAGAGTAAGGATTATTTTGCAGCTTACAAGTGGCTCTGACAAACAAAGATATAAACAGTGTAGCTCGCAGAATCTGGTATTTCTCCCAGGGCACGTTTTGGGGGGTGAAAACATTTCTATATAATTGAATATATGAAAATATTGAGTTTTATTTTTATATATTAAGTTCTCACACCACAAAAGCCTGGACTAAAGTGTATTACGGGATGTCTTGTACAAATATAAATAAGTAAATAGTGTATTGTAAACAGGTAAGACAAAACAACAGAATAGTTTATAAGACATATATTGAATCGCAGGCTGTTTTTCTACCTCTGTTCTGTATCTATATAAAGCCACCTAGTCTTTTAAGCAAGCTGGAGAAATAAAAAGTGTCATATAGGAGTGAGGAGTATGCTGGGCAGCACCTGATGATACTCAAAGGGTGTGACCATGTCTTTAATCTTTCTTCTTGGTTCCCCAACCTGGCTTTGGGATAAAGATTGCATATTTTGCAAAAATTGGCTGGCTTTAACTGGCAAGGCTAAGTATTCGAGATTTTGTTGGTTATACTCAGCTGGGGAGTTTGGGAGATTTTTTTTTTGTACCCTTGTTACAAGGTTAATAGAAATGAACTGAGAAGGAGTTATATTGTTTGACATTGGCACTTTCCAAATAAAGGGTTGGGTTAGACTCAGATGGCAAAATACTAGAGGTCTTTCCTGGCAAATAGCACCACTTGCTCTTCTACTACCATTCCTTTGCGTTGCTTTTTTTTTTTTTTTCACCATCTGGCCTTATGGTGTGTATTTATTTGCTTTTAATCTGTTCCCTCCACTGAAATGTAAGCATCATCCTGCACACAGTGATTTTGCTCTGTGAGCCTATCTCTAGAATGCAGAACTGTACCTGGCACAGAGGAGGTACTCAATAATTATTTGAGAAATGAATAAATGTATAATGTACATGATTTTTAAAAAATTGGACTTTTTATTGAGGTCAAAATATATATAAAATTCGCCATCTTTATTGTTTTAAGTATACAGTTCAGTGTTAATAAATGTATTTATATTCTTTTTAAAAAATTCCTTTAATTCCTCCCTCCTCCATACCCTTCCTAGACTTTGGTTACCACCATTCTACTCTCTGTCTTCATGAGATCCGCTTTTTTAGCTCCCACATATGACTAAGAACATGCAATATTTGTCTCTCTGTGCTTGGCTGATTTCATTTAACATAATATCCTCCAGGTTCATCCATGTTGTCATATGGATGTACATACACCACATTTTCTTTATTCATTCACCTGTTGCCGGGCACTTAAGTTGATTCCATATCTTGGCTATTGTGAATCATGCTGCAATAAACATGGGAATGTAGATGTTCCTTCAGTATACTGATTTCCTTTCTTTTGAGTATATACCGAGCAGTGGAATTGCTGGTTCATGTGGTAGTTCTATTTTTAGTTTTTTGAGGAATTTCCATACTGTTCTCCATAGTGGCTGTATTAATTTACATTTCCACCAACAACGTATGAGGATGCTCCTTCTCCACATCCTTGCCAGCATCTGTTATTCCCTGTTTTTTGTTTGTTTGTTTTTTATACAAGCCATTTTAACTGGGGTAAGATATCTCATTGCGGCTTAGATTTGCATTTGATGGTTAGTGATGCTGAGCATTTTTCATATACCTGTTGGCCATTTGTATATCTTCTTTTAAGAAATGTCTGTTCAGATCTTTTGCCCATTTTAAAATTAGATTATTTGTTTTTTGTGATTGAGTTGTTTGAGCTCCTTATATATTCTGGTTATTAGTTTCTTGTCAGATGGATCATTTGTAAATATTTTCTCCCATTTTGTGGGTTGTCGCTTCACTTTGTTGAATGTCTCCTTAGCAATGCAGAAGCTTTTTAATTTAATATAATCCTATTTGTTTATTTTTGCTTTTGTTGTCTATGATTTTGAAGTCTTATACAAAAAATCTTTGCCCAGGCCAATGTCCTGGAGTGTTTCCCCAATGTTTTCGTCTAGTAGTTTCAGAGTTTCAGGTCTCAGGTTTAAGTCTTTAGTCCATTTTGATTTGATTTTGATGAATGATGAGAAATGGGGTCTAGTTCCTTTCTTCTGCATATAATTCTCCAGTTTTTCCATCACTATTGAGAAGATTATCTTTGCCCCATTGTATGCTCTTTGTGCTTTTGTTGAAGATGAGTTGGCTGTAAATGCATGGATTTATATCCGGGTTCTCTATTTTGTTCCATTGGTCTATGTGCCTGTTTTATACCAGTAACATGCTGTTTTGGTTACTTTAGCTTTATAATAAATTTTGAAGTCAGGTAGTGTGATGCCTCCAGCTTTGTTCTTTTTGCTCAGTATTGCTTTGGCAATTCGAGGTGTTTTGTGGTTTCACATCAATTGTACAGCTTTTATTTCTATTTCTGTGAAGAATGTCATTGGTATTTTGACAGGGATAGCATTGAATCTGTAAATGGCTTTGGGTAGTATTGTCACTTATCAATATCAATTCTTCTCCTCCCATGAGAATGGATTATCTTTCAATTTTTTTCTTCTTCATTTAAAAAATCTGTTTTATAGTTCTTACTGTATAGATCTTTTACTTTTTTATTAGATTGATTCATGGGTAATTTATTTTTTGGTAGCTATTGGAAATCTAATTCTTTCTTAATTTCTTTTGCAGATTGTTCACTGTTGGTGTATTTAATGCTACTGATTCTTGCATGTTGATTTTGTATCCTGCTACTTTTCTGAATTTGTTTATCAGCTCTAAGAGTTTTTTGGTGGAGTTTCTAGTTTTTCTGGGTATAAGATCATATTATCTTCAAACAAGGCTAATTTCTCTTCTTTCTTTACAATTTGGATGCCCTTTATGTTTTTCTTTTATCTAATTGCTCTGGTCAGGACTTCCACTATTATGTTGAGTAATAGTGGTGAGAGTGAGCATCCTTGTTTTGTTCTAGCCCTTAGAGGAAGGACCTTCATTTTCCCCCATTTATATGATGTTAGATGTGGGTTTGTCATATGTGTTCTTTGTTATTTTGAGGTATGTTTATTCTATACTCATTTTGATGAGGGTTTTTATCATAGAGGTATGTTAAATTTTATCAAATGCTTTTTCAGCATCTATTAAAATAATCATATGGTTTTTCTTGTTGATTCTGTTAATCTGATGTATCATGTTTATTGATTTTATTGATTTACGTACATTGAACTAGACTTGCATCCATGGAATGAATCCCACTTGACCCTGGTGATTGATCTTTTTAATGTGTTGTTGAATTTCATTTGCTAGTATTTTGTTGAGGAGTTTTGCATCTATGTTCATCAGTGATATTGGCCTTTAGTTTTCTTTTTTTTGTTTGTTCTGCCCTCATCTGGTTTTGGTATCAGAGTAATGTCGACCTTGTAGCAAGAGTTTGGCAATATTCTCTCCTCTTCAGATTTTTTGAAGAGTTTCAGTAGGATTGGTATTAGTTCTTCTTTAAATGTTTGGTAGCATTCAGCAGTGAAGCCATCAGGCCCTGGGATTTTCTTTGATGGGAGATTTTAATTGTGACTTCAATCTCATTATTCGTTATTGGTTTGTTGAAGATTGCTTAACTGCATATGAGTGGGTATATTTTTGGTCCCTTTCTGTTTCATTAACCTATCTGTCTTTATGCCAGTAACATACTGTTTTGATTACTGTAGCTTTGTAATATATTTTGAAATTAGTACATTTGATGCCTCCAACTTTGTTCTTCCTTCTCTGGATTCATTTGGCTATTCATTGTCTTTTGTGGTTCCATATGAATTTTAGAATATCTTTTTCTGCTGGGTGTGGTGGCTCACGCCTGTAATTTCAGCACTTTGGGAGGCCGAGGCGGGCAGATCACAAGGTCAGGAGATTGAGACCATCCTGACTAACACGGTGAAACCCTGTCTCTACTAAAAATACAAAAAATTAGCTGGGCATGGTGGCGGGCGCCTGTAGTCCTAGCTACTCAGGAGGCTGAGGCAGGAGAATGGCATGAACCCGGGAGGTGGAGCTTGCAGTGAGCCAAGATTGTGCCACTGCACTCCAGCCTGGGTGACAGAGCGAAATTCTGTCTAAAAAAAAAAAAAAAAAAAAGAATATATTTAAAGAATATATTTTTCTGTTTCTGTAAAAATGCTATAGGAATTTTGGTAGAAATTGCATTGAGTCTTTAGAACGCTTTGGGAAATAGAGACATTTTAAAAATACTAAAGGTTCCAATTAATGAACACAGGATATCCTTCCATTTGTTTGTGTCTTCTTTAATTTCTTCCATCAGTGTTTTTTAGTTTTTGGTTTACAAGTCTTCAACCTGTTTCACTAAACTTATTTCTAAGTATTTTATTCTTTTTGATGCTATCATAAATGAGATTGTTTTCCTAATTTCTTTTTCAGATAGTTCATTGTTAGTGAACAGACACACAACTGATTTTTGTATGTTGGTTTTGTATCCTGAAACTTTACTGAATTCATTTATGAGTTCTAACAATTTTTATGGAGTCTTTAGGATTTTCTAGATAAAAGAATATCCCATCTGCGATTGTGACAATTTTCTTCCTCCATTCTGATTTGTATACCTTTTATTATTTGTTTGCAGTTGCTTTGTCTAGACCTTCCAGTACTAAGTGGCAAGAATGAGCATTCTTGCATTGTTCCTTATCATAAAGGAAGAGCTTTCAGGCTTTCACTGTTGAATGTAATGTTAGCTGTGGTTTTGTCATATATGGCCTTTATTATGTTGAGGCACTTTTTTCTGTTCCTAGTTTGTTGAGACTTTTCTTTTTGTAATCAATAAATGATATCAGATTTTGTCAAATGCTTATTCTGCATCTATTGAGATTATTGTGTAACTTTTATTCCTTATTCTGTGATTATGGTGTATCACATTAACTAATTTTTGTATGTTGAGTCATCCTTACATTTCATGGATAAATCTCATTTGGTCATAGTGTATGATCCTTTTGATGTTCTGATGGATTTGGCTTGTTAGTACTTTGTTGAGGATTTTTGCAACTATAATCATCAGGGATATTGATCTGCAGTTTTCTTTTCTTGTGATATTTTTGTCTGGCTTTGCTATCAAAGTAATAATGGCCTCTTAAAGTGAATTTAGAAATGTTCCCTCCTCTTCAATTTTTTGGAAGAGTTTGGGAAGAATTTCATTAATTCTTCTTTAAATGTTTAATAGAATTCACCAGTAAAGGCATTTGGTCCTGGCCTGTTTTTGTTGGTAGATTATTGATTACTGTTTAATTTCTATGTTAGTTACAAGTCTGTTCTCTTTGTACTTCTTTAAGATTAAGTCTTAGGTTAGGTTAGGTTAGGTGTGTTTTTAGAAATTTATCCAGTTTTTTCTAGGTTATCCAGTTTGCTAGCATGTAATTTTTGATAGTAGTCTCTTATGATCGTTTTCATTTTGTGGCAGCAGTTGTAATGTTTTCTCCTTTGTTTCTGATTATATTTGAGTTTTCACCCTTTTTCCCTACTTAGTTTAGCTAATGGTTTGTTGATTTTATCTTTTCAGAAGCTCAAATATTTGTTTTGTTGATTTTTAAAATTTGTTTACCCCCATTTTCTTTTTTGTTTATGTCTGCTGTAATTGTTATTATTTCTTTCCTTCTGCTATCTTCAGGCTTAGTTTGTTCTACTTTTTCTAACTCCTTTAGGTGGAAAGTTAGGTTGTTCATTTGAGATATTTCTTCTTTTTAAATATAGGTGTTTATTTAATACAACTTTTGCTGAATTTTATAAGATTTGTTGTGTTACATTTTTGTTTGCATTTCTCTTGAAGTATTTTGTAATTTAAAAAAAATTTTATTTGTCCAAATGGCTGTTCAAGAGTGTGTTTTTTGGTTTCCAAATATTTTTGGTGTCTTGTTTTTAAATTAATTTAGTCACTATGTATTTTTATTGAGATGTTTAATCTATCTATATTTAAAGTAATTGTGAAAGGGAAGGATTTAGTTTTGCTTTTGTTAGTTTTCTCTGAATCTTATAGTTCTTTGGTCTGTCTTTTTATCTTTTGTTGTCTTCCTTTGTGTTGTATTGAGTTTTGTATTGAAATGCTTTTATTTTATTATTTTATTCTCTTTTTCTTTTGTGTAACTTCTATATACTTTGTGGTTACCTTTGGGTAAAATAACCACAGTCTATTTTAAGCTAATAACAGTCTATTTTAAGCTAATAGCAAATTCAGTTGCATATAAAAATTCTACACGTTAATATCTTCCTCCTCATTTTATGTTATTATAGTTATAATTTATGTCTATTCACATTGGGCATCTTTTAAGATAATTCTAGTTATATATTTTTTAAACAGTTTTGTCTTTTAACTTTTATGGTAGAATTACACATGATTTACCTACCACCATTACAGTAATACAGTATTCTGTGTTTGTCTTTATATTTACCTTTACCAAAGAGTCTTATTCTTTGTCATGCTGTTATGTTGTTGTTTAGTATTCTTCCATTTTAACTTGAAGAACTCCCAGTAGAATTTCTTGCAAGGCAGTCTATTAGTGATAAACATTTACAGATTTTGTTTGCCTAAGAAAGTCTTCATCTCTCTTTCTTTTTTTTTTTTTGAGACAAGGTCTTGCTTTGTCGCCCAGGCTGGAGTGCAGTGGCACAATCTTGGCTCACTGCAACCTCTGCCTTCCAGGTTCAAACAATTCTCCCACCTCAGCCTCCCGAGTAGCTGGGATTACAGGTGCTTGCCACCACGCCCGGCTAATTTTCGTATTTTTAGTAGAGACGGGGTTTCACCATGTTGACCAGGCTGATCACGAACTCCTGACCTCAAGTGATCTGCCCACCACGGCCTCCCAAAGTGCTGGGATTACAGGCATGAGCCACTGCGCCCAGCCTCTTCTTCATTTTTGAATTATAGTTTTGCTGGGTATAGTATTCTTGGTTGGCAGACAGTATTTATTTATTTATTTATTTATTTATGAGTTGCTGTCTTGCTATGTTGCCCAGGTTGGTCTTTAACTCCTGGGCTTAAACAATTCTCCCACCTAGGCCTCCCATGTAGCTGGGACTACAGGTGTGTGCTATTGCACCAAGCTGGCAGGTTTTCTTCTTTTAGCACTTTGAATACATCACTCCACTTTCGTCTGGCTTGCAAGGTTTCTGTGAAAAAGTCACTGATAGTCTTTTGGGGATTTCCTCTTATGTGACAAGATACTTTTCTCTTGCTGCTTTCAAAAATTTCTCTTTGTCTTAGACTTTTAACAATTTGATTACAAAGTGTCTTGGTGTGAATTTTTTGGGTTTCTCTTATTTGGTATCCTTTGGGGTCCTTGGATCTGGGTGCTCATTTCTTCCTCAGATTTGGGAAGTATTCAGCCGTTATTTTTTAAATACGCTTTCTCTGTTCTCCTTCTCAAACTTCCATAATGTGTATATTGGTCTGCTCGATGCTGTACTATAAGTCCCTTAAGTTTTCTTTACTTTTTTAAATTCATTGTTTTTTCTTTTTTTGATGTTTATTTTAGGTTCAAGGATACATGTGCAAGTTTTTTATATAGGTAAACTCATGTTAGGAGGTTTGATGTACAGATTATTTAGTCACCCAAGTACTAAGTCTATTACCTAATAGTTATATTTTCTGCTCCTCTCCCTCTTCCTAACCTCCACCCTCAAGTAGGCCCCAGTATCTGTTGTTCCCTTCTTTGTGTCTATGTGTTCTCATAATTTAGCTCCCACTTATAAATGAGAACATGCAGTATTTGTTTTCTGTTCCAGCCATTAGTTTGCTGAGGATGATGGCCTCCAACTCCATCCATGTTCCTGCAAAAGACATTATCTTGTTCTTTTTTATGGCTGCATAGTATTCCATGGTGTACATGTACCACATTTTCTTTATCCAATCTGTTATTGATGGGCATTTAGGTCGATTCCATGTCTTTGCTATTGTGAATAGTGCTACAGTGAATATTCACATGCATGTGTCTTTATGGTAGAATGATTTATATTCCTCTGGGTATATACCCAGTAATCAGATTGCTGGGTCAAATGATAGTTCTGTTTTTAGCTCTTCAAGGATTTGCCACACTGCTTTTCACAATGATTGAACTAATTTATACTCCCAACAACAGTGTGTAGGTGTTCCTTTTTCTCTGCAACCTCACCAGCATCTGTTATTTTTTGACATTTTAGTAATAGCCATTCTCACTGGTGTGAGATGGTATCTCATTGTGGTTTTGATTTGTGTTTCTCTAATGATCAGTGATATTGAGCTTTTTTTCATATGCTTGTTGACCACATGTATGTTTTCTTTAGAAAATTATCTGTTCATGTCCTTTGCCTGCTTTTTAATGGGTTTATTTGTTTTTCTTTGGTAAATTTGCTTAAGTTCCTCATAGATGCTGGACAGATGCTGACCTTTGTCGGATGCATAGTTTGCAAATATTTTTCCCCATTCTGTAGGCTATCTACTCTGTTGATAGTTTACTTTGTTGTGCAGAAGCTTTTACGGTTTTTTTTTGTTTGTTTGTTTTTTGAGACGGAGTTTCACTCTTGTTGCCCAGGCTGGAGTGGAATGGCACAATCTTGGCTCACTGCAACCTCTGCCTCCTGAGTTCAAATGATTCTCCTGCCTCAGCCTCCCGAGCAGCTGGGATTACAGGCATGTGCCACCACACCCAGGTAATTGTGTATTTTTAGTACAGATGAATTTCTCCATGTTGGTCAAGCTGGTCTCGAACTCCTGACCTAGGGATCCGCCCATCTCTGCCTCCCAAAGTGCTGGGATTACAGGCATGAGCCACCATGCCCAGCCAGGTTTTAAGTTTAATAGATCACATTTGTCAATGTTTGCTTTTGTTGCGATTGCTTTGGCATCTTCATGATAAAATTTTTGCCTGTCCTTATGTTCAGGATGGTATATTGCCTTGGTTGTCTTCCAGGGTTTTTATAGTTTTCAGTTTTACATTTAAGTCTTTAATCTATCTTGAGTTGATTTTTGTATATGATGTAAGGAAGGAGTCCAGTTTCAATCTTCTGCATATGGTTAGCCAGTTGTCCCAGCACGATTTATTGAATAGAGAGTCCTTTCCTCATTGCTTGTTTTTGTCAGTTTTGTCAAAATCTAGATGGTTGTACATGTTTGGCTTTATTTCTGGGCTCCCTATTCTGTTCCATTGATTTATGTGTCTGTATTGTACCAGTACCATGGTGTTTTGGTTACTGTAGCCTTATAGTACAGCATGAAGTCAGGTAATGTGATGCCTCCAGCTTTCTTCTTTTTGCTTAGGGCCTTGGCTCTTTTTATGGTTCCATATGAATTTTTAAATAGTTTTTCTAGTTCTGTGAAGAATGTCATTGGTAGTTTGATAAGAATAGCATTGAATCTGTAAATTGCTTTGGGCAGTATGGCGATTTTAATGATATTGATTCTTCCTATCCATGAGCATGACATGTTTCTCCATTTGTTTGGGTCTTCTCTGATTTCTCTGAGCAGTGTTTTGTAATTCTTATTGTAGAGCTCTTTTACTTCTCTGGTTAGCTGTATTTCTAGGTATTTTATTCTTTTTGTAGCAATTTTGAATGGGATTTTGTTCCTGATTTGGTCTTCGGCTTGGCTGTTATTGATGTACAGGAATGCTAGTGATTTTTGTACATTGATTTTTTTTATCCTGAAATTTTGCTGAAGTTGTTTATCAGCTGAAGGAGGTTTGGGTCGAGACTATGGGGTTTTCTAGATATAGAATTATGTCATCTGCAAACAGGGATAATTTGACTTCCTCTCTTCCTGTTTGGACGTACTTTATTTCTTTCTCTTGCCTGATTTCTCTGGCCAGGACTTCTAATACTATGTTGAATAGGAGTGGTGAGAGAGGGCATCCTTGTCGTGTGCTGGAATTCTGGGGGAACGCTTCCAGCTTTTCCCCATTCAGTGTAATGGTGGCTATGAGTGTGTCATAGATGACTGTTATTATTTTGCAGTATGTTCCTTCAATACCTAGATTATTGAGATTTTTAACATAAAGGGATGTTGAATTTTATTGAAAGCCTTTTCTGCATCTGTTGGATAATCATGTGGTTTTCGTCTTTAGTTCTTTTTATCTATTTATTGATTTGCATATGTTGAAACAGTCTTGCATCACAGAAATGAAGCCTACTTGATCACAGTTGTATCAGTCTGTTTTTATGCTGCTGATAAAGACATACACGAGACTGCGAAGAGGCTTAATTGGACTTACAGATCCAAATGGCTGGGAAGGCCTCAGAATCATGGTGGGAGGTGAAAGACACTTCTTACATGGTGGCAGCAAGAGAAAATGAGGAAGAACCAAAAGCAGAAACCCCAGATAAACCCATCAGATCTCAAGACACTTATTCGCTATCACGAGAATAACATGGGAAAGACCATCCCCCATGATTCAATTACCTCCCCCTGGGTCTCTCCCACAACATGTGGAAATTCTGGGATATACAATTCAAGTTGAGATTTTGGTGGGGACACACCCAAACCATATCATCCCACCCCTGGACCCTCCAAATCTCATGTCCTCATATTTCAAAACAAATCATGCCTTCCCAACTGTCCCCCAAAGTCTTAACTCATTTCAGCATTAACCCAAAAGTCCACAGTCCAAAGTCTCATCTGAGACAAGGCAGGTCTCTCCTGCCTATGAGCCTGTGAAATCAAAAGCAAGTTAGTTACTTCTTAGATGCAATGGGGGTACAGGTATTAGGTAAATACAGCCATTCCAAATGGGAAAAATTGGCCAAAACACAGGGGCTATAGGCCCCATGCAAGTCCAAAACAAAGGGGTTAGAGGCCCCATGCAATTCCAAAATCCAGCAGAGCAGTCAAATTTTAGAGCTCCAAAATGATCTTTGACTCAGGTCTCACATCCAGGTCATGCTGATGCAAAAAGTGGGCTCTCATGGTCATGGGCAGCTCCGCCCTTGTGGCTTTGCAGGGTGCAACCTCCCTCCTGGCTGCTTTCATGGGTTGGCGCTGAGTGTCTTTTCCAGGCATACAGTGCAAGCTGTCAGTGGATCTACCATTTTGGTTTCTGGAAGATGGTGGCCCTCTTCTCACAGCTCCACTAGGCAGTGCCCCAGTAGAGACTCTGTGTGGGGACTCTGACCTCACATTTCCCTTCCACACTGCCCCAGCAGAGGTTCTTCACAAGGGCCCCGCCCCTGCAGCAAATTTCTACCTGGGCATCCAGGTGTTTCCATATATCTTCTGAAATCTAGGGAGAGGTTCCCAAATATCAATTATTGACTTCTCTGTACCTGCAGGCTCAACACCACATGGAAGCTGCCAAGGTCTGGGGCTTCCACCCTCTGAAGCCACAGCCTGAGCTCCACATTGGCCCCTTTCAGCCATGGCTGGAGTGGCTGAGACACAGAGCACCAAGTCCCTAGGCTGCACACAGCACCAGGACCAAGGGCCTGGCCCATGAAACCACTTTTTCCTCCAGGGCCTCCAGGCCTGTTATGGTGGCAGCTGCCATGAAAGTCTCTGACATGGCCTGGAGACATTTTCCCCATGGTCTTGGGGATTAACATTACGCTCCTTGTTACTTATGCAAATTTATGCAGCCAGCTTGAATTTCTCCTCAAAAAATGGGTTTTTCTTTTCTACAGCATCAAGTTGCAAATTTTCTGAACTTTCATGCTCTGTTTCCCTTTTAAAATGGAATGCTTTTAACAGCACCCAAGTCACATTTTGAATGCTTTGCGGCTTAAAAATTTCTTCTGCTAGATACCCTAAATCATCTCTCTCATGTTCAGAGTCCCACAAATCTCTAGGGCAGAGGCAAAATGCTGCCAGTCTCTTTGCTAAAACATAACAAGAGTCATCTTTGCTCCATTTCCCAACAAGTTCCTCATCTCCATCTGAGACCATCTCAGCCTGGACCTTATTGTTCATATCACTATCAACATTTTTGTTAAAGCCATTCAACAAGTCTCTAGAAGGTTCCAAACTTTCCCACATTTTCCTGTCTTCTGAGCCCCTCAAACTTTTCCATCCTATGCCTGTTACCCAATTCCAATGTTGCTTCCACATTTTTGGGTCTCTTTCACCAATGCCCCACTCTACTGGTACCAATTTACTGTATTAATCTGTGTTCATGCTGCTGATAAAGACATACCTGAGACTGGGAAGAAAAAGAGGTTTAATTGGACTTACAGTTCCACATGGCTGAGGAGGCCTCAGAATCATGGTGGGAGGTGAAAGATACTTCTTACATGGTGGCAGCAAGAGAAAATGAGGAAGAAGCAAAAGTGGAAACCCCTCATAAACTCATCAGATCTCATGAGACTTAATCACGATCACAAGAGTAGCACAGGAAAGACCAACCCCCGTTATTCAATTACTTTTCCCTGGGTCCCTCCCACAACATGTGGAAATTCTGGGAGATACAATTCAAACTGAGATCTGGGTGGGGACACAGCCAAACCATATCTACAGTGGATACTCTTTTTGATGTGTTGCTAGATTCTGTTTACAAGTATTTTGTTGAGGATTATTGCATCAATGTTTATCAAGGATATTGTCCTGAAGTTTTCTCTATTTGTTGTATCTCTGCCAGATTTTGGTATCAGAATAATGCCAGCCTCACAGAATGAGTTGGGGGGGAGTCCCTCCTCCTCAATTTTTTGGAATAGTTTCAGTAGGAGTGGTACCAGCTCTTTGTACATCTGATAGAAATCAGCTGTGAATCCATCTGTCCTGGGCTTTCTTTTTTTGGTTGGTAGGCTATTTATTACTGACTCAATTTTGGAGCTCATTATTGGTCTGTTCAGGGAATCAGTTTCTTCCTGGCTCAGTCTTGGGAGGGTGTATGTGTCCAGGAATTTATCCTCCTCTTCTAGGTTTTCCAGTTTGTGTGCATAGAGGTGTTCATAGTAGTTTCTGATAGTTATTAAATTCCTTCTTCTTTTTGTTCCTTTAACTAAGCTACTTCCAATTACCTGTATGTGAGTTTTCTATCATTTCTTCTGCTTGATCTAATCTGATGTTGAACCATTCTAGTAAAATTTTTAGTTCAGTTATTGTGTTCTTCAGTTACATGATTTCTTTTTTTACTCTGAGAGAAGCTGGGGCTAGGTAGTCTCTTCCAGATCATATAGCACTGTGCCAGGGTTAGGGATTCTGGTGAGAGGGTGTCCCAAATCTCCCTACCAACTTTAGAGTCTGGTTTTGCATTTACCTGGGGTGCAGTAGCCTTTCAATTAGTTTTTGAATTTTTCAGAAAGGGAATTTGTAAACTTTTCAGAAAGTGAATTTGTTGCTGAGTCAGTATGTTTTTTGCGGGAAAGGAGGGTCTAGGGCTCCCTACTATGCCATCTTGCTAATGTCACCTCCTCTATAAATATTTTTTGTTGTCATCTTTTATTTCTTTTTCATCTTAATATTTTTCTGGTTCTCTTCTGTCATTGTAGTTTCACCTAATATGTCAATAAGCAAATAAAATGTTTTGTATTTTATTTGTAGGTACAGTTTATTTAAATAATGTCTGGTTCTAAAGATCTTACTTGTCTGCATGTAAATATTTCTTCAGCTTTCTTAGGTACCAGGAAAAAAGTTCATATTATAAGTGAAATTTCACTCTACCAATCAACATTTACAAAGGACTTTTCATCTCTGTGCCACCGCTTTCAGAAATGTCCTCCTTGGGCCTGGAGTTTTTTCTTTTTTGAGTGACTTCATAAGTATTTTCTGAGAGTACTTGAGGGAATGTTATGTTTAGAAACTAAATACATGTATTTTAATTACTATTATCTAAAATACGTATTCAAGAATGATTAACTTACCATGACTATATTTGAAAATCAGACAAAAGGTCACTCTTAGAGATTAGGGAGAGAAACATGCCAACGGTTTTCTTTTTTTCTTTTTTGAGGGGGAGGGTCCGCAAATGTCCTGAACCAACATCCTAAGATTTTTGTGTAAGTGTTAAAACACAGAACAAATGTTTCTTATTTCCCACTGCCGCTATCGTCCCTCTACATTGAGATTTTAGTTTGCTTGATGAGAGAAGCTCTAACTTATATTTTCCTTTGTGGACCATCTAGCAGAGTATTGCACACCTTACAGTGTCCAAATAAATTTATGATTTGAAATTTTGAAAAGTAACAAATCAGCTATAAATGGAAAAAACTGTGAATAAGTAGAAGACCTAACAAGACAAATAAGCCATATATTTAGCAGATAGAGGCACAAATTGAGAGGATATTTAATGACATTTCCTATGAACATTTTAAAGTTGTATAAGTGATTATAATAAGCAATCATTAGCCATGTTTTATATTGTTTATCCAAGATATTTTAATTTTAACCTGTAGTTAGGTTTAACTACAGAGCTGGTATCTGTTTCCTCCTCGCAGCTATATTCATGTATTCATCTAGGTAAAGATTCAGAATGCTAAGATAGCATCATTTTGCTTCATTCATATTCCTCAGTGATGATCATACCATATTTCCTCAGCTGATTAAAAAAAGGCAGATTCTTTGTTCTGTCTTGAAAGGTGATGTGGAATGAACTCAGCCTGCCTTTGTTTGTCCATATCACATGCCATATTAGTCTTAGTGAATAATCAAATGTCAGGAAAGGCTGTCTTTTCTAGCTCTTGGTGGTGCTGACACACAGAGAAACACAGTGTTTTATACTGTACAAGTTTAAGAGGATACTATATAGAATACAGATTCATAAAAATAAGGTTATACAAGTATGCAATAAATTAAACAATGCTGTCATGGATGTGATAAGATATAGGTAGGCAACATCAAACTGTTAGGCTTACTGCTATAGTTTATTCTTTAACTGATGCAAAATGTAAAATACTCAATTTTCATGTCATTGGAATCTCTTATTATATTTTTTCCCCTCAATTTCATCATGTCTTTAGGTATGTTACAGTTTAACCCTACACATGCTTACTATTTATGTTATATATATTGCATATAATTATAGATACAATGTTTGATCCAATTACAGTTTTGGGCTTGATAACAGAAAATCAGTAATGCAAACAGAACTGTCTTTTGGACAAATTTTCATTAAAAAAATCCCAAGTCTATAGCAAAGAAAGACTATCTGAATTTAGCTTTTCCTTCTTTCTTTTCTCTCTATATTTACTTTCTCATTGCTGAGAAAAAAGAAAGATAAAAACTGAGTGTGTTTGACTTGCTCTTTCCATACCTGTTACAGTAAAATTTTTAAAGCCCAAAATATCAGAGATCTGCTAAGGGGTAGCAGGGCTTGATACTTCATATGCCAAAGAGAATAGGAGAGGGCATGGTGATGTAACTTAAAGTCAGGAAGAAGACAGATGCTCCTTTAATAGAATATGATCTAAGATTGCACTTCCAAAATAGTGGAGTAATAATCCTGGAAAATCAACTTCTCTGTAGAAGCAATGAGAATGTTGGCAAAAATGGTCAAAATCAATATTTTCAGAAATTTGGAAATTAGGATGTGAACACTTGATGAGCAGTTATTCAAGAAAAGTGACTAAATCTTGGTAAAACAGTGAGCTTTGTGGTATTTTAACTTGCTCTATTCTCAGCCTCTTTTCACTTGAAGATAGATCAATTGAGGTTTTCTAGTTTGACAAAATGAAAAAAGAACAATGAGCCTCAGAGACAGAAGGACACCATGAAATATGTCAACAAATGCATAATGGGATTCCCAGATGGAGGGGACAAAGTGAAAGAGGGTGAAAGAATGTTTGAGGAAATAACATTCAAAGCTTCCCACATTGGCTGAAAATAATTAATCTACACATTTCATATGGTTTGGCTCTGTGTCCCCACCCAAATCTCATCTTTAGCTCCTGTAATTCCTATGTGTTGTGAGAGGGACCTGATGGGGGATGATTGAATCATAGAGGTAGGTCTTTCCCATGCTGTTCTCATGATAGTGAATGGATCTCACAAGTTCTGATAAGGTTAAAAACGGGCGTTTTCCTGCACACGCTCTCTTTTTGCCTGCCATTATCCATGTAAGATGTGACTTGCTCCTCCTTGCCTTCCGCCATGATTGTGAGGCTTTGCCAGCCATGTGGAACTGTGAGTTCCCCATTAAACCTCTTTCCTTTGTAAACTGCCCAGTCTTGGGTATGTCTTTATCAGCAGTGTGAAAATGGACTAATATAACATCCAAAAAGCTTAACAAACTCCAAGTAAAACAAACTCAAAGAGATACATATCTAGACACATCCTAATCAAACTGTTGAGGGATAAGCAAGAAGACAGAATATAGAAAGAAGACAGAACCAACTCATCACATACAAAAAATTTCAATTTGGTTAACAGCTAATTTCTCAGCAGAAACCAGGGAGGCCAGAAGGCAGAGGTTTAATGTATTCAAAGTGCTGAAATTAAAAGACTATCAACCAAGAATACAATATTTGACAAAACTATCCTTTCAAAATGAAGAAGAAATTAAGGCATTCTAAGAATAAATAAAAATGGAGAGAGTTTGTTGCTAGCAGACCTGCCCCACTAAAAATACTGAAGGGAGTCTTTCAACTGAAATGAAAGGACGTTGTAGAGTAACTTGAATCCATATGAAGAAATAAAGAGCACCAGTAAAATAAATAATAAAGATCAGAGTAGAAATAAATAAATAGAAAACAGACAAGCAATACAAAAATTAATGAAAAAGAAGTTTGTTTCTTTATGCCATCAAGAAAATTGACAACCCTTAGCTAGGTTGATCAAGAAAAAAAGAAATAAAATTCAAATTACTAAAATCAGAAATGAAAGAGAGGAAATCATTTTGACCTTAAAGAAATACAAAAGATTATAAGGGAATACACAAATGACCATATAACAAAAATTAGGTAACTTAGATACAATGAATAAAATTACAAAAAGTCACAATCCACTGAATTGGCTCAAGAAGAAATTGAAAACTAGAAAAGACATGTAATAGGTAAACAGATTGGATATGTCATTTTAAAACTTGCCATAAAGAAAAGCTTGCTGGAGCTCTCTCCAGATTGCTTCAGTGGTGAATTTTACCAAATGTTGAAAAAAGAGAATGAGTACTACTTCACAAATTCTTCCAAAATTTGTGAAAAAATAGCTCCTCAAAAAAATTCACATCTAAATTCCTGGAACCTGTAAATATTACCTCACATGGCAGTCTTTGAGGTGTTATTAAGTCAACCATCTTGACATGGAGAGATGATCCTGGATTATTTGCATGGCCTTAAATGCAATCATAAGTGTCTTCATAAAAGAGCGGGGTAAACAGACAGAAGAGAAAAGGTAATATGACCATGGAGGCAGAGATTTGAATGATGCAGTCACAAGAGAAAAAGGAAAATGCTGGCAGCCACCATAAGCTGGAAGATGCAGCAGAAGGATTCTCCTCTAGAGTCGCTAGAGCAAGCATGGCCCTGTTAACACCTTGATTTAGCCCAGTAACACCAATTTTGTATTTTTACCTTTTTTTTTTTTTTACTTTTTAGGATGGGTCTATGTTGCCCAGGGCATGCACCACCATTCCTGGCAAACATTATATTTTGATGGCAAAATGATGAATGATTCCCCCTACAGTTGGGAACAGCATGTCTGCTCTTATCACTTTAATTCAGCGTTGGACTCTCAGTTATAGACAGGGTAATTGGCAAGAAAAATAAATGAAAGGCATCCAGATTGAGAAGGAAGAAATAAAACTCTCCCTATTCACAGAAGGCATGTATAGATAATCTTAAAAAATCCACTAAAATACTATCAGAATTTCGAGCCAAATGGCGGACTGGACACAGCCAGCAAAAACATCTGCCACTGAGAGACTAGGACATTGGGAAGACTGGCATTGGCACACTCTAAGCAGATCTTCGAAGGGAATGCATTGGGACTGGACAGAGGGAGGATGCAGACACTGGGCTGAAGGAGGAGGAAGCTGGGAACCCTGCACAGAGCTACTGAGCACCGGGACTCATTCTGGGCTCTCAGCGACTTCTGGGGAAGGAGTGAGTTGAATAGTCCAGGAATGGCCAACTCTTGCCACAGACCTCTGGAACTTGACTGGCACTTGAGCTGGCATGGACACTTGAGCTGGCAAAGAGAGCCGCTTAAAGAGATGGTAGGAACAGGACTCCAGGCTGCGTGGAGCCCAGAGGTTTTGGTGAGGGAATGTCTGCAGTGGAATATGGCCAGGGACACCCATCTTCTAAGGCTTGCCATGCTTCTCTAGGACACTTTGGCCACAGGGTGACTGTCTGACCTAGAGAGAGCAGGACAAGCTCTCTGGTGAGATAAATCCAGTCCTATCTGAATGCCCAGGCCATTCTCAGGGCCCCAGCCTGGCCATGCTCGCAGAAAGCCCAGCCTCAGCTGCCCAACCAGGGTGCTTCCTGGGTGCCTTCATTATAGCTCTTTTGCTGGAAGACTCTGCCTGATCATCAGAGAGCTCCAACAGAGCAATCTCCATCAACATGCACCAGCCCACCTGCACCCTCCTCCCACTGCAGCCTCCGCTGTGCTGCTTTGCCAGCACATGCTTGCCCATGGCCACCTCCTTACTGCTTTGCTGGAGCATGTACACAGGCTGACCTCTTCTTCCCTCCCCCGCTGACATGCATGTGCACATGCGTTCTGTTGCACCACTGCTGCTGGCATGAATGCAACCTGCTTACATTCCACTGACACATGGGCACTCATGGATGTCAGCAACTCCACGGCTCCACCAGCAACTCCACACCACTGCTGTTGGTGTAAATGAGTGCACAGACACCAGTGTCCCTGTCCACTGCCTTTGCAATGACACCACCAATAGTGTAAATGCACACACAGGTGCTAGCAGCCCTGCTCTCCTACACCAACACTATCACTGGCTGAAATGTGCTCATGGATGCTGGCAGTCTGTTCCCCACCAACACTGCCACTGCTGCCTCTGTGAACATGCGCACAGAGGCCAGCAGCCTGCACCCACTAATGCCTTGCCTAGACTGCCACCACTGCTATTGCAAGTGCAAGTATGGACACCAGCAATCACTTCCACCTGTGCCCAGTCACTGGTGCAAGCACATGCAGGAACACCACGGTCCTGCTTCTGCTGGTTCCCCATCCCTGGCAATGCACATGCACCCTGCCATGCTGCCATGGCTGTGGGCACATGTGAGTGAGCATGGATGCCACTGCCACCACCCTGATGAAGTGCTTTGGCTGGCACCACCCTTCATAGTATTGTGGCTAGCAGACCAGGAACACCTGAGCCCCTCCAGTGTAGCAGGTTCCTAGCCATGAGGGTCCACAGAACAAAGCTGGAGGCCTGGTATCAGCCCACAGAGTTAGAGTACACAGACCAGGAGTGCTGAGCTGTACCTTGGCCTACTAAAATCTTCCAGAAATGAACGCAGTCAACTGAACCCACCTTATACCACAATCAAACTTCCAAGGGCATCAAAGAAGATAAAAGCGAAAAACAATCTATCCAAAGGACAGCAACTTCGAAGATTGAAGGAACATAATCCAACACAGATGAGAAAGAACCAGTGCAAGAACTCTAATGACTCCAAAAGCCAGAGTGCCTTCTTGACTCCGAACAACCATGCAAATTTCCCAGCAATGGTTTTTAACCAGGATGAAATGGTTGGAATGACAGAAATAGAGTTCAGAATATGGACAGGAACAAAGAGCATCTACGTTCAGGAGAAAGTTGAAACCCAATCCAAGGAAGCTAAGGAATACAATAAAATGATACAGGTGATGAAAAATGAAATGGTCATTTTAAGAAAGAACCAAACTGACATAATCGAGCTGAAAAGCTCACTTCAAAAATTTCATAATACAGGCGGGGCACAGTAGCTCACGCCTGTAATCCCAGCACTTTGGGAGGCCGGGGCAGGCAGATCACGAGGTCAGGAGATCGAGATCATCCTGGCTAACACAGTGAAACCCCGTCTCTACTAAAAATACAAAAAATTAGCCAGGCGTGGTGGCAGCGGACGCCTGTAATCCCAGCTACTAGGGAGGCTGAGGCAGGAGAATGGTGTGAACTTGGGAGGCGGAGCTTGCAGTGAGCCAAGATCGTGCCACTGCACTCCAGCCTGGGCGACAGAGCGAGACTCTGTCTCAAAATAAATAAATAAAATAAAAAGAGTGCGGGGTAGTGGCAAGTGCTCGTAGTACTAGCTACTCAGGAGGCTGAGGTGGGAGGATCACTGGGGCCCAGCAGTTTAAGGCTGCAGTGATCTATGATCCTGCTACCACTCTCCAGCCTAGGTGACAGAGGGAGATCCTGTTTCAAAAAAAAAAATAGAAGTACTGATCAAAATAAACATTATGGATTTTAACCAACTACAAATCAGATGAAATAACACTAGGAATGTTGTATTGTTTTCTTACATGAAGCCATCCACTTCTGGTAAATTTAGCCTTGGGTGAATGTGCTTTAGAAGTTGAGATTCATTCTTTAAAATACTAGAGAGTTTACTACCATATTTTTGCTTATTTTTATATTTTACCTTTCTTAACGTCTTTGGCTGCCTCATATTAACTTAATCCAGAACATTTTTGTGTTAGTTTCTTATTGATGCTGTAACATATTACCAGAAACTTAGTGGCTTAAAGCAATACACATTTATTTTCTTACCATTGCAGAGGCCAAAAGTCTGAGATTAGCTTCACTGGGCTAAAGTCTAAGTGTGGCCCTGGCTGGGTTTTCTGGAGGTTCTGGAGTGGTGGTAGTGAGGGAGGAATGCATTTCCTTGCTTTTCTAGCTTTTGGTTGCTGCCTGCATTCCTTGACTTCACCTCTTCTTCACATCATTCCAATCTCTGGCTTCTGTCATCGAATTTCCTTCTCCTCTTGTGTTGTCAAATCTCCCTCCACCTTCCTATTATAAGTAAATTTATGGTTACATTTAGGGCCCACCTGCATAATCCAGGCTAATCTCTCTATTATAAGATTCTCAACTGAATCATATCTGTAAAGTTCCTTCTGCCATTTAACGAATCTTGAACAGGTTGCAGGAATTAGGACCTGAATATCTTTGTGGGCTATTATTCAGTTTATCACAATATATAAAACATTTCTTTTCAAAGGCACTTAACCTTATTTCTGTTTTGTGCCAGTGCTTTTCTGTCCAAAATGCAAAGTTTATCCTATCACCAACTTTGGATCTGAAATTTTATAGAAAGGACACTCAGGCAACTGTCACCCTTTCTGGGATGTTCCCTGTTTATATGGTGTAAAGTGCTTCAACTTCCCAGGCATAAAGCGTCTTGGTGCTATGGATACATTTAAACCAGCCAGCCAACCAACCAACCAACCAACCAACCAAACAACACAAATACTCTTAACTCTTAAAAAGACATATCCTAATTTTTCTTCAAAAGAAGTATTATCTCTTTTTCTTCTTAACACTTTGTTCTGTTTTTGTTGATCTCGTTTCTCAAATCCCATATAGGTGGTATTTTGTTTGCTTAAGCAGGGTCTACAACTCTGCTATAGTAAGAGGACTGGAACCAGGACTGGGCTCTTTGCTCCCCACGTCCTAAAATATGCCCTTTTTGCTCCACATTCTTAGACCTTGCTTAACCCCAGTGGTCCCTATTTTCCCAAGGAAGGAGAGTTCCCATGGTATTTTTTGCTTGCCAGTTTCTGGTTCTTATGGTTCTTTCATTGGCGATAATCGTTCCTCTCTGAGTTCTTAGCGATAAAGACAAGCGGGTAGTTGGGGCACCATGAATCTTTCTATCAACTGACCCCTGATTTCACTCAGATTATATTAGAAGTCTCTTTACTACAGCAGGATTTTACTTCAGAAGAAAAAAGATGATACAGAGTAAGAACATGCAGTAATTGGAGGTGAACAGTGGCAAATGGCCATATAATCCCTCAATCTTGGGGATGTGTATTTGTCCATTTCATTTAAACATGGGGAGGATTAGTGTTCTGAAAATCCAAATTAAATTATGCAAACACTATCTGTATATAGAATAAAAAGACTGAAAAACTAACTAGAATTAATTGGAATTCCTAACCAATTTTCTGCACATTCTTTCTGCTTTGTTATGATTTTCCTTTTGGAAATGGACTAATGTAACCTACTAATCTTAGGCAGAATTGCTTACTTTCTAGGATAGCAAAGTAATTAAAGACTTGTTTTTATGAGAGAATTTTATTTTTGTTCCTGTCTGGAATAGAGTAAACAAAGATCTAATTTACGTCAACAAAACACTTTATAAAGCTGAGTAAATGACAATGTCAATAAACACATGAAAGGAAGATTTGCTTCCAATTCATTGGAATTCATTGACCTGACAAAATCTCATATCAACATTTCTTCCGGAACTAAAGCTTTGGATAAAGTAAAAATGTATTAGCACACTCTTTTTGCCTCTATCTTTTTGCATCCTCATTTCTCTCCATCTTTTTCCTGTGTAACGAAGTGACATTCAGGCAACACAAAGATGGGCAGCAGTTAGAAAAGGACAGGCCCCCTAATGGATTCTCAATGTTTGGTTATAAAGTCGGATTACTTGCTGGCACCTAACATTAGACTACTTGATGCAAAACCTCCGTTCCAGCCTGATGCTCCATTCCATCAAGCTAATTATCCCAAGCTAGAAGCACAGAGGGGTCACTTATGTGTGGGCCTTCCCTGTTAAAGCAATTTTTTTTTATGGGCCAAGGAGGAAAGTCTTCAATTTGGACTCGTACAGAGGATTTCCTTTGTCCTGTGAAACAGTCAGATGTTCAGGAATGATCCTTTATTTACACAGGAAGTTTCTAACAATAGATCCTGATTCTGCTATTAGGTTTCCTCTTTCTCATTTATTCTAAGAGAATTTGAAATTCAAAAAGAAAAGAGAAGAACTGTGAAAAAGCATGATGTCTTGAATGTGCTATTGAAGTGAAGATTAACCTTTATAACAGGGCATCTGCTATGCCACAGCTCTATGTGTAAAGTCTGTTTACTAAAG
Source organism: Homo sapiens (assembly GCF_000001405.40). Lineage (NCBI taxonomy): Eukaryota > Metazoa > Chordata > Mammalia > Primates > Hominidae > Homo > Homo sapiens. Next base: position 33,704,757 of record NC_000002.12, read on the forward strand.
AGGGCATTAATCAAGACATAGGCATCCATTTATAATCTCTTTGCACTGTTGCTAACTCCAGAGTGAGCTAGTGAGTAAGATGGCTGAAGCCTGACAGCTAATTTAAAGCCAGGGTCTTCACTGTCCAGAGATTTATCAGAGAGTCAAGCAGCTTGTATCTTTTATGACTTGCACCTTCTTCTTTTTCAGAGGTAGTAAATGAAAAAGATGGAAAAAGGAGGTGCCAATCTATTGCAGCTGTGTAAAATCACATAAACACCATGCCCTGGGCTTTCATTATAACACCACCTTGTTAGCTAATTACTGTCAGCATTAAATTACAGAGTCAGGAGGACCCACTCAATACCAATTCATTCATTTCAGGTCACAGTTTGGCAGAAAACATGTAGCGAAAGGCCAAACCTTTATCCACTGAACCTTTTATTTGTGACTAAACAAAAGTCTTGACAAGTAATATAACTTGCATCAAGCAGGGCTACAGCAAAGGCCGATTAATAGTTTTTTGTTTATTTAATAAAGATTTGCTTTATCCTCTAGTCTACTTGACAGGACTTATCATTTTGCATACCAAAAGACACAAAAGCTTGTAGATTATTTTTTTCTCAATTCAAGCATTGTGTCTAAGTATTACCAACCTTACAATCAATGAGTAACATGATTAAAAAAATAAGCTCAACATTTTACATTTCTCAGATCTGAGCAGTTGGTTTTCCATACTGTGCTGTGGAGGTAAATTTTTGGTGGGGTTGGTTTTATAATACGTTGATTGGAGAGATTTACTATCACAACCTTTTAAAATTCCATTATTGTACAATTTAGAACACAGGTGGTGAGACCAAAATGGGCTTTTCAGAAGTGTAGAAAGCTTTTAATCTGCTTAGGTATTTTCTGGGATGAAAAGGTATATAAAGCTACTAACTTTGCAGAGGGGTTGATTTTCTTTTTTACTATCTAGCTGTCATTCTTCAAACAGCTTATTTAGGGAAAAAAATCAAATGTATTTCAGCCTCGTATATATGGTTGGCAGTCTGTCATAGCTTCTTAAAGTGATTTTCTGATTATATAGAAGATTGACATGAGAAATTCAAAATCAACATATCTTAAACTCATGCCGGTGAGTTTGAATGATGATATTAATCCATAAGAATCAATTTCTTCTGATTTGCTGTGCTTGGGTTTTACAACATAAGGAAAATGCATTTGGTGAAAACACTTCTTGCTTTGAGTGAAGAGTTATTCAAACCTTAATCAAGCAAGAGCCTAGACTAGGCACTTTCTCACATATGACCTTATTTATTTAATTCTCACAAGTATGGTGTGAGTTACAGATAATTCTGTATTACAGATGAGGAGAGTCAAGCTAAGCGAAGTTAAATATCTTCCTGAAGGCCACATGCTCTTAAGAGAATTGAAACACAAGTATTCTAACTTGAAAGTCACTGACTTTTCTGCTAGAACACTGTCCCTTCTGAACACAAATTGTCAGGAGGGTAAGATTATATCTCTTGTTGAGCTCATCATTGCTGTTCTCAATGGTCAATTTTAAAATGCAGCGCCCCCCAGGAAGGTTTCTGGAAGCATACTCTTGTTCTCTGTTAATTGGCAAACCAAGAGTTCTTCTTCAATTCATGGATGGCTTTGGTAGCTTTCACACTTGTGAACATAAACAGTTCACTCAGGTGTTGCTCTGATTTGCCCACTGTGTTTTCTCTCATTTTAAGTCAACCGGAAGACAAATAAATACTCATGACAAGTTGTTAACAGAGTGGAAACTGCTAATTAGAGGGTTTAACGGAAGTGGGTGAGTATGAAAATGTAGTAGTCTGTGGGAGTCCTCTGATTGTAGACCTCTGAGACTTGGCGGAGATTGGGGCCCGGCAGCTACATTTACAATACAAACGTTGTACATCTGCCCCTCTGATATGGTTTGGCTGTGTTCCCACACAAATCTCAACTTGAATTGTGTCTCCCAGAATTCCCACGTATTGTGGGAGGGACCCAGGAAGAGGTAAGTGAATCATGGGGGCTGGTCTTTCCCGTGCTATTCTCGTGATAGTGAATAAGTCTCACGAGCTCTGATGTGTTTATCAGGGGTTTCTGCTTTTGCTTCTTCCTCATTTTTCTCTTGCTGCCACCACGTAAGAAGTGCCTTTTGCCTCCCACCATTATTCTGAGGCCTCCTCAGCCATGTGGAACTGTAAGTCCAATTAAATCTTTTTTTGTTCCCAGTTTTGGGTATGTCTTTATCAGCTGTGTGAAAATGGACTAATAGACCCTCCTTTATTAGGGCCTAGTGAAAGGTAACCTTTCTACTATGATGGATTTCATAATTGTAAAATGGTTGCTAGTAAGGCATCACTTTTACAAATATGTTTTGTGTCTTGTCTATACTATTTTCCTAATGAAATCAGGGTGAGGCAGGCTTTTTGAGTGTCTCGGAAGGGCTTGGCACTGAAGGGGGCGATATTAAATAGGACATAGTCCCTGACTTCAAGGAAACGATAGTGCAGTTGAGCAGCAGAAATGGGCAGATGTTTACAATGATATGTACAACAATAAAAAGTGTACAGTATAGAGTAGAGGCACAAGAGGGTGTTAGGAACTCTGGGTATGAGGGCTAAGGAAGGCTTTCAGAAAAGGTGGCCTTAAAGAATAAAAAGGGATTTGCTAAGCAGAGAAAACTACAGGTTCAAAGGCAGGCAAGAGGATGTGAAACAGCATAACTCAAACGCCATGGGTCCAGGGTTGAATCAGGTCAGTGGAAGGGGTACACAGGAAGGCAGATGTTAGGTTGTGAAGAGACCTGTGGACCATGGAGCTCGGCCATTGTCTTCAAGGCCACTGAGTGCCACTGAAGGCCTTTAGCAAAGGATTGCCATGATCAGATTTGTGGTTAGGAAGCAATACTCAACAGTGTGGGTACAGATTTTAGAGTGACAAAACTAAAAGAATGGACACCAATTAGTACTTCATGTCATATTATCTTTAATTACAAATGGATTAAAAACACTGGCACTCTTTTTTTTTTTTTGAGATGGAGTCTTGCTCTGTCGCCCAGGCTGGAGTGCAGTGGCTCGATCTCGTCTCACTGCAAGCTCCACCTCCCAGGTTCATGCCATTCTCCTGCCTCAGCCTCCCGAGTAGCTGAGACTACAAGCGCCCACCACCACGCCTGGCTATTTTTTTGTATTTTTAGTAGGGGGTTTCACTGTGTTAGCCAGGATGGTCTCGATCTCCTGACCTCGTGATCTGCCTTCCTTGGCCTCCCAAAGTGCTGAGATTACAGGCGTGAGCCACTGCACCCAGCCAAAACACTGGCACTCTTAAATGATTTCTAAATTTGGTGATGGTGCTGCTGTTATATTTTATTTTTTTGATACAGACTCTTGCTCTGTAGTGCAGCCTGGGGTGCAGTGATGCAATCATGGCTCACTGCAGCCTCAAACTCCTGGGCTCAAGCTATCCTCCCGCCTTGGCCTCCTGAGTATCTGGACTATAGGTGTGTGACACCACACTCAGATGATTTTTTTTTCTTTTTCGATAGAGATGGGGTCTTGCTTTGTTGCTTAGGCCTGCTGTCATCGTTTAATGTTTATAAGTAACTAAATTGATCAACCTTGGTTTTAAGCTGGATGCCCCAGGGAAAGAGATGCTGAGATGGAAATCTGTGGAGAATCGCTCTCAAAATCAATACCTATAGGGCAGTGAAGAAAGCAGGACTGGGCAGAGAGAGGAGGTGGGCTGTGCTGCAATCAAGATAGAAGAATCAAGCCAGCCCATGGGGCACTAAGGACTTGGATGACTCTTGCGAGGGGTTGAATTTTTATAACTCTGTGGCCAGTCACTGGATGTGGTCTGCTTCCAGGGAGGTGGAGAGACTGTCTTAGGCTCTGGGCAATTCCTGGAGTGGGATTCAGCTAAAAGACATCAGCTGCGATAGTCTCGCAACTAGGGGAATGAATGCTTTATTCTATGAGAACTCAGCCGAGTGATCAGATGCAAGAGGGCATCCACTATCACTAAAGACATTAAAATCCCCCTGAGTACACTCTTGTAGCGTAATCACGTTCATGTACAGACTCTCTTAGGCCTTTGCACTTGCTTTTTCCTCTGCCTGGTTATTCTTTACCCGGATCTTTTATGCTGCTGAATTTTTTCTTGATACTTGGTTTTCACTTCTAATATCTCCACCGAGAAGGCTTTTCTGACTACCCTGTGTAATCAGCCACCACTCCTAACAGTCACTGTCTAGGACATCACCCTGTTTTCTTTTCTTTATATAGTGGAATAAGATAAATATAAATCTCATTATCTGTCCTCCCATCCCTAAAATGTGAGCTCCAGGGACCTTTTTCTGTCTTGTTCACTGCTGCATCCCCTGTAGGCAGAACAGGGCAGATCACATAGTAGATGAACAATCAATATTTGATGAGTAAATAAATAAAAATGAAATTTAAGAAAATGGATACCAGAAAAATTAGAATTTTTCAAATAACAAATTTTGAGAAATTATTTTGCTTTTGACACTGGTAAAAAATCAAGTCCAGGCTGGGTGCAGTGGCTCATGCCTGTAATCACTTTGGGAGGCTGAGGCAGGCGAATCATCTGAGGTCAGGAGTTCAAGACCAGCCTGACCAACATGGTGAAACCTCTTCTCTACTAAAAACACCAAAAAATTAGCCAGGTGTGGTGGTGCATGCCTGTAATCCCAGCTACTCAGGAGGCTGAGACAGGAGAATTGCTTGAATCCAGGAGGCGGAGGTTGGGGTGAGCCGAGATCACACCATTGCACTCCAGCCTGGGCAACAAGAGCAAAACTCCATCTCAAAAAAAAAAGAAAAAAAAAATCAAGTCCAGGAAAAGAATATGTGTCTCACCACTCGTATACAGTTTTCAGTCACCCACAGAGAACTACTGGAGAATATCTCTTGATCATGTGAGACGGATAGGCCTCTGGCAAGAGCTGAGCTCTAAGATCTCACATTGAGTATAATTTTTTTTTTTTTTTTTTTTTTTTGCCTCTGGGAAATTTGAGGGCTTTTATTATTGTAAAAAAAAAACTATCTTAGAGGAACATAAATTATGTATTAAAGAGACTTTTGGAATTTCAACATAGAAATCACAAGTGGAATTTGGGTAGAATTGACCAGCTACTCCTCTATAATCATCTAAACCATCTTCCTTCAAATAGAAACAAACTGAAAAATGTAGTAATTTTCATGTGTAGAGGCAAAAAGGCACTTAGTACAGCTTGAAGACTCAAATTATTCTGGAAACAACACTGCGGTACTTGGCTTTAATTGGAACTCCATCTCTTAGAAACAGATTTTGAGTCAAGCCTCATGACAACTGCTGACTTCAGAAGGGCCGAAGATAGCAAGGCATGGAGGCAGAGCCCTTCTTATCCCTTCCTTTAGCCTTCCCCTGCCTGCTTCATCCCTGTTATTGTAACTTACATAGTGATCCCAGTCCAGGAAACACTCCTGTGTTTGTTTAAGAAGAATGGAAGGAATCTCTGGAAGTCATTTATTCCAGTTCGTTTCACTAGCCAGGAATGAATGGATATTATTTACTATACATTCACTTTTACTCATATTTAAATATTTAGATTCTTTTACTAAAATGTTGAGTTCTCTGATACAAGTAAGAGTCCAGAGAGAAAAACAGGCAACATTTTGGTAGTTATTAAAAGCACTGAGAATACTTAGGGCAGATCTGCAGTATTTTAAGCAAAAGAAGAGAGTCAAGAACTGCAGGGTAGCACAAGAGACCATGCCTGGTATGCAGATTTGGCTTTACCTAAGGAAGTCCCATTTAAGAATTTGAGAAGCAGGCCGGGCACGGTGGTTCACGCCTGTAATCCCAGCACTCTCGGGAGTTCGAGACCAGCCTGACCAACATGGAGAAACTATGTCTCTACTAAAATACAAAAATTAGCCGGGCATGGTGGCACATGCCTGTAATCCCAGCTACTTGGGAGACTGAGGCAGGAGAATCGCTTGAACCCAGGAGGTGGAGGTTGCAGTGAGCCGAGATCATGCCATTGCACTCCAGCCTGGGCAACAAGAGTGAAACTCCGTCTCAAAAGAAAAAGAATTAGAGGCCAGGCGCAGTGGCTCACGCCTATAATCCCAGCACTTTGGGAGGCCGAGACGGGTGGATCACGAGGTCAAGAGATCAGGACCATCTTGGCCAACATGGTGACACCCATCTCTACTAAAAATACAAAAATTAGCCAGGAGTGGTGGTGTGTGCCTGTAGTCCCAGCTACTCAGGAGGCTGAGGTGGAAGAATCACTTAAACCTGGGAGGCGGAGGTTGCAGTCAGCCAAGATTGCGCCACTGCACCCAGCCTGGGCCATAGAGCAAAAGAAAAAAAAACAGAAAAGAAAAGAAAAGAATTTGAGAACCTTAGCCAGGCCACTGGCTCATGCCTGTAATCCCAGCGCTGTGGGAGGCTGACGCAGGCAGATCACTTGAGGTCGGGAGTTCAGGACTAGCCTGGCTGACATGACAAAACCGCGTCTCTACTAAAAATACAAAAATTAACCGGGTGTGGTGGCACATACCTGTAATCCCAGCTACTCAGGAGGCTGAGGCTGGATAATTGCTTGAACCTGGGAGGCAGAGGTTGCAGTGAGCCGAGACTGCGCCATTGCACTCCTGCCTGGGTGACAAGAGCAAAACTCCATCTCAAAAAAAAAAAAAAAAAAAGAGAACTAAAGAAGCTCAAGTAGAGAGTGGGGCCTCAGTACATGGCGAATGCTCAGTCACTATAGGTGTTCAAATAGAGCATGTACAGCCCTTGCAAAGGGTATCCTAGAAAAAATTCAGGAAACAGAAGCAAGTTGATCTCTAAGGGCCCTTGCAACCTTAAATTTCTGTGGGTACAGAGAGTGGCTCTCCATGATTTTGTGTCTCTAGATAGTTGTTTGTTGTGATAAATGCTTTACTTTTAAAATTGTAATTGTTATTCTCTTTAAATTCAAACTTTCCTTTGGAATTCCTTATCTTCCTAGACATTTAAATATGAAACTTATAAGTTATTTATAGATCAGTCTCTGTTTCTCTTTTTCTCATGCACGTCTCTCCCTCATCCTTGATCTGTTGATTTTTTAAATTAAAATAGTCTTTTATTTAGTTTTTATTTTTATGAAACTTTTACATACACACAGTTAAAACAAAAGTGTCCCTCACCCTTCATTTCCTCTTCTCTACAGGCAACCACTGTAAGTTCCTTTCACTGTTCCATTTGGTATATATCATCATACATCTACATAGCAGGTTCATATTTCTAGGTATTGATTTTTTATATTTCGGCATGATTTATTGAATTCTCACTAGGAAAATAAGGATTTTATTCTCTTTCACCACTTTCCTTACCTCCTTTCTCATCCTTTCTCCCATTGTGTTATAACTTAGGCTAAAGCATTACTCAGTCTTACAGTATTATGACTGTTTACAATTGAGGCACACAGTTTGCATTTTCCTTCATGATTTAAAATTTGTTTGGATTTCATAATTATGCTTTTTGTTTGTGTGTGTAGTTTCTTTGCTTCCTACAGACATACACATCATTAATTCAAACCCAAACTCTTCTACATTTTTCCAAGTCTCTTCTCAATTCTTTAGTTAGGTGTGTCAGATAATTTATTGACGTTATCTTCTTGAATAAATGCTCTCCTAGAACCTTTTGGCTTGTTCTGGCCTGCTGCAGTCTGGACTGGTTGCCTCTGTAGCTGGTGTACAGCTGACATCCTATCTTGGGATTTTCCTTTCCCTGTTGATTCTTAGGCCTACTTTGTAGAACCTTTTCCTGTATCCCATGTCTTCTTTCTTGGTTGACTCTGTAAACCAAAAATAAAATTTGAAGGCCCCCCCAACCATCTGAATGGACTTCCTCCACTAGGCCAGGGCCCTCCAAATTTAACCTGAAAGACTGGTTCAAGCCATGACAAGAAGGTGGGGTGGTGGCGGGGGGGTGGGGGGGTTGGACACACCTCATTATGCCCTCCTACCTCTTGGAATTCAGCAAAAGCCCACCAGCTTTTAGCAGCAACGCAGACCTTAAATCTGATAAGAAACATTTACAATCTATTCTCGCTGAAGCCTGCTACCTGGAAGCTTCATGTGCATGATAAAACTTTTATGCAACCAAGACATTCCTTTCTATTGATAGTAAATCAACCAATTGTCAATCAGAACATTTAAAAATCTACCTATAGCCTGGAAGTCCTTGCCCCTCTTCAAGTTGTCCCACCTTTCTGGACCAAACCAATGTATATCTTAAATGTATTTGATTGATGTCTCATGTCTTCCTAAAATGTAGAAAAGCAAGCTTCACCCTTACCATTTTGGGAAAATGTTCTCAGGGTCTCCTGAGGGCTGTGTCACAGGCCGTGGTCACTCATATTTAACTCAGAGTAAACCTCTTCCGATATTTTACTGAGTTTGACTCTTTATAACACTTTCATTTTTGGTAGAGTCACAAGATTCCACTGAAAGATTCTTTGAGGCAAATTTTTTGAGCCTTTCAGAAGAGAATGTTTTTCTTCTACCCTCATACTTGATTGATAACTTTTGACTGAAGGTAGAATTCTAGAATAGTTTTCCCCTAGATTTTTAAATGCCTTATTTTCTGCTTTTTACGGTTAATGTTAAAAAACTAAGTCATTCTGGCTCCCAAAACTTTGTATGTAAACTGTGTTTTTCTCTCCTCTACCGCCTTGGAAACCTGTAAGATTTTCTCTTCTCTCTGAATATCCTGAAATTGCACAGTGACATCTATGTTGATGAAAAATGTCAAACTCTGTAAAATATTTGAAGAGATTTATTCTGACCCAAATATGAGTGACCATGGCCTGTGACACAGCCCTCAGGAGGTCCTGAGGACATGTGCCCAAGGTGGTTGGGGTATAGCTTGGTTTTATGTATTTTAGGAAGGCATGAGACATCAATCAAATACATTTAAGAAACACATTGGTTCGTTTTTGATGTTCGTGACCTTCGGATTGAAGACTGGATAAAGAAAATGTGGCACATATACACCATGGAATACTATGCAGCCATAAAAAAGGATGAGTTCTTGTCCTTTGCAGGGACATGGATGAAGCTGGAGACCATCCTCCTCAGCAAACTAACACAATAACAGAAAACCAAACACTGCATGTTCTCACTCATAAGTGGGAGTTGAATAATGAGAACACATGGACACAGGGTGGGGGCATCACACAATGGGGCCTGTTGCGGGGGTGGGATCCTGGGGGAGGGGTAGCATTAGGAGAAATACCTAATGTAGATGACAGGTTGATAGGTGCAGCAAACCACCACGGCATGTGTATACCTATGTAACAAACCTGCATGTTCTGTACATGTACCCCAGAACTTAAAGTACAATTAAAAAAAAAAAAGAAAAAAGAAATACATTGGTTTGGTTTAGAAAGGTGGGACAACTCAAAGCAGGGCAGGTTGGGGGGGCTTCCAGGCTATAGGTAAATTTAAACATTTCCTGGTTGACAATTGGTTGATGTTGTCTGAAGACTTGGGATCAATGGGAATGTTCAGGTTAAAGAAAAAGAATTGTGGAGACTAAGTTTTATTGTGCAGAGGAAACTCTTAGGTAGCCGACTTTAGAGAGAGCAGGTTGTAAATTGTTTGCTATCGGACTTAACAGGGTTCTTAGTTGATTATCTCCTGGATCTGGGAAGGAAGGAAGGAAAAGAAAGGAGGAAGGGGATTCTCTATAGAATGTGGATTTTTCCCACAAGAGACTTTGCAGGGCAATTTTAAGGTATGGCAAGGGAATGTATTTTGGGGTTAAATATTTTTTTCCTTGTCTTATAATGTTATGCCAGAGTCAGATTGAAAAGTATAAGTCACGATATATAAGGTCAAATAAAACCCATCTGATGAGAATTTATGGTTTGTAGAGCATGACTCCCTAGACCCTTTAGGTAGGAATTTGGGTAAGATAAAAAATCGGAGCTTAGTCCTCATCTATTTTTATTATTTGTGCTGGCCACGTGAATTAAGCCTTTAAAGTCTAGAAAAACATGTCCTCTAGCTCTGGGCTATTTTCTTGAATCATTCCTTTAATGGTTTCCTCCCCTCCATTCTCTATATTCTGCTGGAAACTCTACTATTTGGCTGGTGAATCTCCTGGGATGGCTCTCTGATGTTGCTGTTGTTCCTCTCCCGGTTTTCAGCTCTCTTTTTGGTCTCCTCTCTGGGAGACTTCTCCACTGTTATTTTCCAACGTGTCTACTGAGTTTTTCATTTCTACCCTTGGATTTTTAATGCTTTATTTTGTCTCTTCTCTTTATTTTGTTTTAATAGCATTCTGTTTTTGTTTCATGGATATAATATCCCCTTCTATTTCTCTAAGTTTATCAACATTAGTTTTATTCCCCATGTTCTCTCAAGAGTTCATTCCCCCAACTTGCTTTTCTTAATCAGTTGATTAAATTTTGGTTTCTATCATTCAGCTTAGTTACTTTCCTCATGTGTCTGGTGATTCTCCTGTGTGAGAGTAGGGAATTAGACTTGTATAGAAAATCTGCACAAAGCCTGGCATGGTGGCTCGTGCCTGTAATCCCAGCACTTTGGGAGGCCGAGGCAGGAGGATTGCCTGAAGCCGGGGTTTTGAAGAACCCCATCTCTTCCAAAAAATACAAAAATTAGCTGCGTGTGGTGGCATGTGCCTTGACTCCCAGTTACTTGGGAGGCTGAGTTGGAAGGATCGCTTGAGCCCAGGAGGTGGAGGCTGCAGTGAGTACAGATTGCACCACTGCACTCCAGCTTGGGTGACAGAGTAAGATTCTGTCTCAAAAGAAAGAAAAGAAAAGAAAGTCTTACTGGTCTTAGTGGATGGTTGTTGGTTGTCATTTATGGGATGCACCACAGGATGATTTGGCTGGGCCTTTGCATATCTTCCAGTATCAGTTTTTCCTTTTGAGCTGGTCAAATTCACCCAAAAAGAATCTTTTCATCTCCTGTCTAGAAAATTTATGTGTATTGCTAGAATTCTGGGATCCAAATTGGAGAAGGGAGCTGGAAATCTTAGCACTGGACATGTAAACCCTAATTTCATACTCCCGCCTTCATTTTCCATAAATCACATTCTTTTCCTTATCTGTGCTACATACTCCTCAGTGTGGAGACCCTGTATTTTATTTTTTTAGAGAATAAAACTCTTGTTTGCAAGGAAGGAGGGGTTTTAGTGAACTATTTCTCAAACAACAGACTTCCAACCAGTCTTTTTCTTTTGACACAGAGGACAGATTCTCGCTCTGTTGCCTAGGCTGGAGTGCAGTGGTGCAACCTCGGCTCACTGCAACCTCGGCTCACTGCAACCTCTGCCTCCTGGGTTCAAGCAATTCTCCTGCCTCAGCCTCCCGGGTAGCTGGGACTATAGGTGCATGCTGCTACGCCTGGCTAATATTTTGTATTTTAGTAGAGATGGAGTTTCACCATGTTGCCCAGGCTGGTCTCAAACTCCTGAGTTCAGGCAATCTGCCCGCCTCGGCCCCCCAAAGTGCTGGGATTACAGGTGTGAGCCACCGCACCCAGCTTTTCTTTTTTTAGAGACAGGGTCTCTCTTTCACACCCAGGCTGGAGTGCCATGGCATGATCACAGCTCTCTGCAGCCTGGAACTCCACGGCTCAAGCAATCCTTCCACGTCAGCCTTCCAAGTAGCTGGTACTACAGGCATGCACCACCATCCCTGGCTAAATTTTTAAATTTTTGTAGAGACGAGGTCTCCCTATGTTACCCAAGCTGGTCTCAAACTCTGGGCTCAAATGATCCTTCCACCTTAGCCTCCCAAAGTGCTGGGATTGTGGGTGTGAACCAACGTACCTAGTCCACTCCTCTTATTTTTAACTCTGTTTCTATAAGTACCTGGTGCTGCCAATTCCTCAGGTTTTGGGAGATTCTGTGTTATAAATTGGGTTGCTTCAATCCATCATCTTTATCCATGAATTCCATTCTTAGAAATCTCTTATCTATCAAGGACATGTCAGTATCTTTATTATTTTTCAAATGTATGACGTTAATAGCTTTTAAAAATAACTTTGTTCTCTGTGGTAATATTAGTTTATGGTTCTAATTGGCTTACACTCTTTATGAACAAGCATAGAATACTGCCCAAATTTCACTTTGCACGTGTCACTTCTTGCTCATAAAACGGTAATGAATCACTATGTAATTAAATACTATTTTTTATCCTGCATTCTAGGATCTTCGTGATGAATGTACATCTTTCTGGGCTAATATTCCATTACTGTATACATTCAATTAAATAAGTATGGATTCTTCATGATTCCCTCTCCTGCTTTATGACTTCTTGTCTCTTTGTCATTGTTTCTCACAGTTCTTAGAGCGTGGAAGTTCCTCCCTACCCTTTTCTGACTATTGCAATGTTATTTCCCCCTCAGTGCTCATTTCCAGGGTGACCTCTTTCGTGAAATCTTTATTTCAGTATTCCTTCATTCATATGGTCATCTTTTTGCTCATTCACTGTATATTTACGGAGCCCCTAGCATGTGCTAGGCAATGTGCTAGGCTACAGGGATACAAAATAAGCAACAAAGACATTGTCCCTGCCCTCATAGAGCTTACAGTGCAGTGGGAACAGGATGGAAGCGGGAGACAGATTTAAATAATGACACAATAAATACCTAGCTATGAGTTGTGATGAGCATTAAGAAGAACCGATTGTGTCTAAAAAGTGAACAAAGTCTTCCCTGCCTAAGTGACGTTTGGGCTACAATGTGAAGATAGGGAGGGGATGGAGCATTCTTGGTAAAGGGAAGAACAAGGGAAAATCTAGGAAGTGTGAAGGACTGAGGAATGTTCAGTGATCCGAAGGAAGACCAAAGTGACAAGAGAGCAAAGCGATACGGTGGCAGATGATGGGACTGGAGAGTTAGGCAGGGTCTAGATCAAGCAAGGCCTTGTGGTCTAAATTAAGGAATTTTGCACCTTACCATAAGGCTAATGTAAAGTTCCTGAAGTGGTTTGAGTGGGAAAAGCTATGACTAGATTTGTATTTTTACCACATCACTCCACCTGCAGTGTGCAGAGAACATTGGGTAGGCTCAGAATGGAAGCAGGGAGGCTATTTAGGAGGCAGTGCAATTCATGCCTATGGGAGATAATGGCAGCTTGAACTCAGGCTATGGCAATGGTGATGGAAAGAACGTGAAAAATATTTAGAAGGTAAAATTGACGGGACTTGATGGACTGGATCTGGTAAGGGAGAGGGAATAATGAGGGAAGATTCCTGAATTTCTGGATTGTTCAAAGGGGTGGATGTTGATTCACTGAAATGAGAACATTGTCTCCTCTTTTAGGATATAAAAGAATAATGCAAGCCAAAATGTGCTGTTTTGCGTATGTTTTTTTCTGACTCTCCCCACTAAACTACAAGCATAGTGAAGGAGAGAATATGCTTCATCTCTGTATTTGCAGATCCTCCTATCCCCAAAGTGTCCAGTCCAGTGTTTATACCAGTGGAAGGAAGAGATAATGCTTGATTCTGATTTTGGAAACTGGAATGTGACTGAGAGTTGGACTTAAAAAAAAAAATAGGCGGCTGGGCGCAGTGGCTCATACCTGTAATCCCAGCACCTTGGGAAGACAAGGTGGGCATATCACGAGGTCAGGAGATCGAGACCATCTTGGCTAACACAGTGAAACCCTCTCTCTACTAAAAATACAAAAAAATAGCCGGGCCTGGTGGCATGTGCCTGTAATCACAGCTACTCATGAGGCTGAGGCAGTGGAATAGCTTGAACCTGGGAGGTGGAGGTTGCAGTGAGCCAAGATTGCACCACTGCACTCCAGCCTGGGCGACAGAGTGAGACTCCGTCGCAAAAAAAAAAAAAAAAAAAAAAAAAAAAAAAAAAAAATTGGTTTAGGAAATATTTTTACCTCCATCTTCTAATATTTTTTTCCAAGTTGTATGAAAAACAAATGAGATGGCAAATATAAAAATATTTGTGAGAGAAAAAGGTCTCTCAAAAGGGATTTATGTCATTATAATCATTATACTTATGTTTTCTTTGGCCCTCACTTTAAGTTCCATATATTTCTCTTATTTGTAAAAAGGAGAACAAGGTAAGACATATTAACAAAGGATCTAATCAGTGCCAGATATAATGAGATAGATTTGTTTTTGCTATGCACACCACTCCATGGGATGTCTGCTGGACCACTTCCAGCTATTATCCTATATGTGTTTGCAGAAACTTCTTCCTTACTTAGTGTATTACGTAGTATTTGTCCTCATTGAATCTTAATCAGTCTTTAAGTAAAAGCAATTACTTAATAAATGTTGAAATTAACTAGTTCTTGAAAGCATACAAAGGTTTTCGTTAGGAAAACCTTTGTAAACATCATTAAAACAAATGTCATAGGACATTTGGAAGACAAAACGTCTTTCTGGTTCATAGATTTCAAATACTGTAAGACCCATAAAACAGTGCAGCTTATCACCTAGCCAGTGTAAAGTATTGTGAAATACCCAGTGGTGCTGTCTTTGATGGTTAAAAAGGGTTTTTATTTATCTTTTGGGGTAAATTAACTATTTGGAAAATATCAATAATGAGGGACAGTCTTTTGCACTTTGATATTTTCTATTGCCTTATGTTACCACTGTACTATCAAGCAGAAAAATATTATATCCCTATCTGAGTGATATATCTACATTAAAGTTCAATTTCACCTCTGAAGTGAATATGAATTGTATTTAATGAAACTCTAAGAGCAGTTGTACAGAGTGAAAAGGCCAAATAATTTGGAATCAAATTTGTCAAGTAACATTTTACAAAAGTGACATATTTTCTTTTTTCATTCTTCATCATGCTCACAATTCAAAACTGAGTCCAAATGTCACATCACCTGTTTTGATTCGTCTCTTCTCTGCCTGACAGAATTAGGCTTTTTCCTCTGGGCTGAAACAGCCCCTTTTCCTTTCCTCTGAAATAAAACTTGCAGCATGATATTGTAAATTTTGGGTTTCCTGAAGGGAAATGATTTTCTATTACTCATCTTTGAACCCCCTATGCCCATCAGAGTTCTTGGCCCACAGCAAGAGCTCAACATGTTTGTTGAATGAATAATGTAAATTCCCCCAAAGCACATGAACTCATTTCATGCTAAAAAATTTCATGTTCAAATGTGTATTAGCTAGTTTCTGTAACAAATAAACTCCAAAATTTCAGAGGCTTGACCAAATGGAATTTTATTTTTTATTCATATAACAGCAGTGTGGTTGTTCTTGGTCAGCAGGAGGGTAGCTTTCAAGGACTCATACTCCTTTCTTTTATCTCTGCCTTTCTCTAGGGCCTCAGTCAGAGTCTTAAATTTGTGTTGATTTACATCTTTGTAATATATAGAAATCCCTGGATATATTCTTATATAATGCAATGCATACTGCCTTAGGCAAGCCACTTACCTCTCATTAGTTCATATACTTAATATTTGAGAGTCTACGATATATAAGACAATTCTTTAGGCTCTTAGGATATAACAGCTAATGAAACAAAGATCTCTGCCCTTGTGGAACTTACATTTTATCGGAGGTAGACAATGAATAATGAGTTAAATAAATAAAATCATACACTATGTTAGATGGTGATAAGTGCTATGGAAAAATAAAAGGTGTGGCAAGGCAAAGGAGATTAGGAGTATGTAGATGGTTAGTTGAAAACGGGGTAGATTTACAGCATAGTGGAAATCAACAGTTCTGTTTTGGCCACTCACTTTACAGAAGGGCTGTGAAGGAGGCAGGAGGTTTGAGGAATCTGGAGTTTGTGGGAGAGGAGTAATCCTGACATAGAAACTTGAGAGTCATCAGTGTGTGAATGCGATTTGCACCCAAGAAGTGCATGGGACCTCTGAGGGAGTAAGGTTAGATTGAAAGGAGGTGAGACCTGAGGACTGAGCCCTGGGGACATCCCAGCATTCATAGATTTGTAGAGAAGGCAGAGCCAGCCTGAGACCGAAGAGTGCCAAACCAGGGGAAGGTTTGGGTGTCGGAACTTGATGTAGAAAGTGTTTCAAGGAGAGTGTAGACAAGCACATCAAATGCGGCCAAGAGGATGAGGAAGATGAGGACTGAGAACTGTCACTGGCTTTGGAAGAAAGGAGATAATTGCTGATCTTGGTAAGAGGCATTTCCATGGAGCGGAGGAGTAGAAAGCCTGATTAAAGTCGTTGGAGAGGGAATGAGGAAGTGTGGGTGGTAAATACATAGCACTTTTCCAAGGAGTTTTTCTGTGAAAGGGGGCAAAGAAGTGAGGTGGTAGCAGGGTATCACGCGTGTGTGTGTGTGTCTACCTATGGACAAAGGAGGTTGTTTTGCTTTCTTTTCCTCTTCTTTTAAAAAAAACAAACATGGGTATGTTATTATGACATGTGTGCCACCAAAGGGAATGACCCAGTAGAGAGGAGGCATTGTTGAGGTATGAGAGATAGGAGAATTTAAGAAGTGAAGCCTTGAGATGGCCACAGAGGATGCGATTCATAGCTCAAGTGGAGGGTCTTTCTTGAGGGAAGTGACACAGAGGGCAGCATGGCTAATAGAGAGCTTGGGCTCTGGATGAGGCAGCATCCCCTCTTTTATCCTATTGGACAATTCTCTAGTTTCAAATACATTCTTGATATGGATGCTTACCTGGATTTGAAGGATCTTATAAGGCTGAAATTCACAACATGTTCTCAATTTGGTGGTGGAAGAGATAGTGAGAAGCTGTAACTTATGCAATGGTCGCCTGGCTGACTCTTCCTATCATTTTACTCTCAGTTTATCACTTCCTTGAGATACCACCCTCATCTAAATTATGTTCTGCTGTTTGCTAATACAGAACACGTACTTCTCCCGTTATGGCACCTACCACATTTTATTTTAGTTTTTTGATAAGTTTTCTTGTTCTTTCGCTTAACTAAAAGCTCCATGAGGAAAGCAACCATATTTCTCTTTCTCTCTATTGTAACTCCAATAACTGCACAGCCCAGCGTCAAAGAAGAATTGAATACAGATATGCCTACCAGGCAGTGGGAATGTAATACATATATTTGTTGAAAGAATAAATAAATGAGATTGTGTATGAGAGAGTGTTCAGATTTAAACTAACTACCTTTTAGATTTTTTTAGCAAGATCTCAGGAAATCCTTTTCTAATTCAATGAGAGGTAGGGATTTATGTGGAGAAGAGTCTTTAATGATATCCACCCAGACATCCATTTTTTTCCCTTGCATTGTCACAAAACATCTGAATTAGATTATGGCTGAAAAAATATAATTGCGTTACATTCATGTGATTTAGTGACACAAATTATTTGTTAATAAAGTTTCTTACACATATGTAATAGATACCAATTTTTTTCCTGACATTCAGGGAATAATTTTATCTTTCTTGAGAAGGATTTTATGAGAAATGGTATTAGCTCCCACATGTGCAAACCAGTGAAAAATCCAATATTAATCATTTTTAAAGTTGTCCAACGTTGTTTTGTACAGTCATGCTGTAGGCTTGTGTCATCCTTATAAAATGGTCCTGCAGCCTCTCAGTTCTTGAGTGGGGCAAATCCCTGGTCTCATCCAGGGTTGCAATTATGGCTGTTATTCTTATGGTCACATGATGCTGTGGCTCAGATGCTGGGTCCATTTGTGGTCCCATTTATGGGCCCAACATTGCTATTCCACATCTCCAGATCCAGGTCCTTGCTCATGTTCTGCAGAAACTCCACATGAGAGCATCTTGGGTAGGTCCCCAGACTGGGCTCCTGATGTCCTGCCCTGTACCCTTTAAGTGCCTGACACCTTTAAGACCCTGCCCCTGAGCTGCTGCAGAATCTGCAAACCTTGTCCTTATTCACAATTCTGCATTATCTAGTGGAGCAAAGCCTAATTCTCCCCTTCCAATGTCCCCAATACAGAAAAATTCATCCTGCTTCTTCTTTCAAAACTAGGGCTTCAGGAAGCACTAGATAACCCAGAGCACCTAGCCTCAGACCCACCGCAAATGAACCTGTGTTTTTGGGAGTGAAAAGGACCTGACTTCAGGAACACAGAGGCTTGATTCCTTCCTTTCAGATGGATCTACAGCAACTGGGAACAAAAAAAGCAGAAATTAATTTCCCAGTTGGCATCCTGCTATATAATATTTTCAATAAGTCACGTCGTAAACACTCAATACACGTTTGCTGAATGCACTGGTTTCTAACACTATACAAGAAACCCCTTTAATATACAGATAACATTTTTAATTCGCACTTTGCATAAATGGTTGGGCTAGAAGCCTTAAAAATTTGTGGTCTGGAAAGTAAACTTAAACATTACCTTTAACTTCACTGTTTTTAATATTCTTAATTTGTCTGAAACATTTTCCACACAAAACTGACCTATTTCTATGTGGCTGACTGAAGATAGTAAGCTCATGTAGGATTTAGCTCTTGATATCTTATTTTCTCTAGCTTACAAACAGAAATATTTATTTTAGTTGCCTGAAACATATACTCACGGTCAGATCTGGGGGTATGTAACCATTGTGTTTATAGGCAAAGAATGATCAAGTATCTGCATCTCTCTGTTCCTCTCCGGGATTTACTGTCAAAAGCCATGCTTGCCCGGTCACAGTATCGCCTGGTCAGTCTAGCTTCTGTGGAAGTCTGTTATTTTCCTTGATTTCTTGGGTTAGAATGAGTGACCAGAAACACATTCTGTCTCCCAGGATACAAGCCTATTGAGGTTGCTGGAAAATGAGCACAATTTGGATCAGCTCATTAACTGCAATGGTTTTCAGAGCATCACACAGAGCATGTAACCCTATGTGGTCAAAGACATTGCCCATTAGCCAGCATCTGGACAATCACCTTTCCATGTGGTTTCTCTGAAAGATTTCACACTCTCTATAACTGAAGCAAGGAAAATAGAACACCTTTAATGAGCAATTACAATTAACACACTGACTCACTGAAAAGTCAAAATTGTGGTATGTTAGGTATTAGTATATATATTTGTAATCATGTTTGATTTTGATTGTCTTACAGCTAGCACTTTTTTAAGAAGACTTTTTGAGTATTTTCTGAAAGAAATGATAGTTCTGATTCAATATAGGTTCAAAGAAGACTACAGAGATATATGTGGCCCTGCCCATGACATTCTAGGTGGCCTCAGGCAAGCCATTTTACAGGTAATGAGGGGCTGGGCTAAATCAGTGCTTCCCCATGATGACTGAAAAATTAAAAATCCCCTTGGGAGCTTTTAAAAGTACCAATTTTCAGGTACTGCCCCAGATTGATTAAATCAGACATTGTGGGGTGGGAGCTGGCAGTTGTATTATTTAATAGCTTCTCCAAATGATTTTACTGTGCAGCCAGGATTGAGACCATTAGACTGGATGATCTATACATGTTTTACCAGCTTTCACAGTCTATGAATTATTTCAATGTGTTTTCCCTGGAAGGAAGTTTCTATTATACTGCAGTCTTTTTATTCAAATTTTTGGTGGCATTTCCCTTATTTTTCAATGTAAACATTGTTTAGATAATTTGAAGAAATAAACATCACAATTTTGTATTTGAGGTTTCTAACAACATAGAGCTGGAGAGGAGGGCAGTTTTGGTGTTAGCTAGGCTGTGAGTCTATATGCAAGTGAGGGGTGGTCTCCAATGCCTGTCAGTTACTTGACCAGTGTGTCTGTGATCCAAGGGCCTGGCTGACTCCCTCAAGGGTAGTCCTGCCTTTAGCACTAAGGTTAGGACCCAGAATCATCTGAGCACTGCTGAATAGAAGTCCTTTAACTTGACATGTAAGAATCATTGCACAGAACTCCAAGTGTGAAGGATGCTAGGTGGTGTTCATGTGCAGCTGGGTTGAGAAACATTGACCACACTGATACAATCTAATTCCTTATAAAATGTAAAACATAATTGGCACCTTGTAATTTAATTACCATATGCATAGCATAAGACTAGCTGTGTAGTTTAGGCTAAATATGTTCTGTGTGCCAGAATTTTGATCTGTAACATGGAGCTAATAATAGTACCTTTTAATTGGATTATAATGAAGCTTGGTTGAGATGATTGAGGAAATGAGCTTAATTTAGTGCCTGGAACATGGTAATCACTCAAAAATGTTACCTATTATTACTAAAACTATGGCTATCACTATTGTTATATTATTATTTTTTCCTGCTTTTACCTTTATATTGATATTAAAAAAAATTATGGGTGTGGGTGTGGGGGAAGGGGCAAGCCTTCTTTTCTATGATTAACAGCAGGAGCTGATGGGAACCAAAAGTTCCAGGGAATTAAAAAATATATATATACACACACACACACACACACACACACACACATTTATATATATTGCACTATGCACGTGAGTCCCAGAGAAGCAGGAAGCAGCAGCAAGAAGCAACTAGCACACAGCAACACCCGGGCATGTGCACCACACACTCAAGCAAAGCCATTCCTCCGGCTAGGGCAGCAGCAATCCTCACCTTCCCATCAGCTCACAATAGAGAAAAAAGAAACCTCCTTTTTTTTTTTTTTTTTTGAGACTGAGTTTCGCTCTTGTTGCCCAGGCTGGAGTGCAATGGCATGATCTTGGCTCACTGCAACCTCTGCCTCCCAGGTTCAAGCGACTCTCGTCCCTCAGCCTCCCGGGTAGCTGGGATTACAGGTACCCACCACCATGCCTGGCTAATTTTTGTATTTTTAGTAGAGACAGGGTTTCACCACGGTGGCCAGGCTGGTCTCGAACTCCTGACCTCAGGTGATGCACCTGCCTTGGCCTCCCAAAGTGCTGGGATTACAGGCATGAGGCACCGTGACCGGCCATTTTTTTTTTTTTTTTTTTTTTAGAGATGGGGTCTGGCTCTGTTGCCCACGCTGGAGTGCAGTGGTGTGATCTTGGCTCACTGCAACCTCTGCCTCCTGGGTTCAAGCGAGTCTCCTGCCTAAGCCTCCTGAGTAGCTGGGACTGTAGGCACCCGCCATCACGCTGGGCTAATTTTTGTATTTTTAGTAGAGACGAATTTTTGCCATGTTGCCCAGGCTGGTCTCGAACTTCTGACCTCAAGTGATCCACCCACCTTGGCCTCCCAGAGTGCTGGGATTACAGGTGTGAGCCACCCTGCCAGGCCGAAACTTTTTTTTTTTTTTTTTTTTTTAAAGGCCACCTAGTAATTTCTGCCCTCATGACCAGGAAAAAGAAAAGAAAGAAAAAAAACCCAAGCTGGTACTGCCTTGAAGGGCGGAAGTGGCCATTTTCTCCTCTCTGCCAGAGCAGGACATGTTGTTTATTTATTTATTTACTTATTTCTTTCCACACGCTCTGAAGGACACCGTGTTAAAAGGACACAGTGTTAAATGTTATTTTTAACACTGAGGCTGGAAGGCCACATCACTGTCCCTCACAAATACTTCAAACAGTTGTCTTCAAGATCTTACGGTTCTTTGCCTGACTTTTTTTTTTTTTTTTTTTTTTTGATACCGCGAAGAACAGTTGGGATGAAAGGGATCCATCCATTGCTTCCTTTAAGATGGCCTCTAGGCAGTGGGTTTTCTGTAAGTCTGGCACAAATTCTGGAGCCAATCTCTGGCAAGGCAGAGTGCTAGGCGAGGTCTAGGGACCCAGGGTCTGCGCTTGAAGCCTCCCGCTCACTGGAAATTATTGACTTCCAGAGATACATACATTTTTTTTAATTTAAAGGGGAGGTGCACAGCACACCTTCCTCCACTGGGAGAAAGGGGGCCCAATTCCCACTCCCCCAAACACACACAAGTACACACTGACTAAGGCACAGCTAGGGCGGGGGCGGGCAGAAGGCCCCTTGGGAGGACGTGGCGCCACAGCTGCAATGGGTGTGGGGGTGTGGAGCTCATCACCGCTGGAGGTGCTTGGGGGCAGGAGAAGAAAAGCCTCAGGGCTCCCCAGGAAATAGGAGAAGATGGTCGGGAAATAGGCAGATAAGAAAACCAACAGGAAACCTAGAAAAGAATTGAGAGGAAAGAAACAAAAGAGAGAGTGGAAAAAGAGAAACGGGTGAAAACAGGTTGTGGGCAACAGAACAAAACAAGAAGGAAACAGCAGAGGAAAGGGAAGAACATACATCAGAGAACTGGGAAAGTGCGATGAATTGGGAAGGAAAGAAAAGGGGAGGAGGGGAGATAGGGAAGAGGAAAACCCAGGAAATGAATACTCAATAAAGAAAACTCAGCGGGGGCAGGATGAAGAGGTTGGAGAGGCAAACGGGGCCCTTTGGGAGTCTTAGACCTTGACAAAAACCAGGTGGGCAGAGTACACCAGGTCGCCCACATAGGCCAGCAAGTTGACGGCCGTCAGGTTGGTCACAGCCAGTCGGCGGTCCCAGATACACACAAGGTAGGGGTTTCTGTCGCTGCAGCTCACATCTCTCGTCTGCCAGGGCTGGACACCATACTTCTCGTTGAACTGGTAGAGGGGCCAGAGGACAAGGGCAGTGGCATAGAGGAGGACGGACAGCAAGGCCAGCCCCAACAGGAAACTGGGGAAGCGGATGGGCAGCATGTTGGTGCAGTGCCCCAGGCTCAGCAGGATAGTGAGGGCCGCCAGGACGAAGCAGAGGGCGTACACCGCCACCCACCACTCCAGGGCCGGCCGGTTGTGGTACACGTAGGGGCTATTGATGAACACGAAGATGAGGCAGGCCACGAAGGTCTCCAGCACCTTCAGCAGCCCCAGCTCGGAGGCCATGTAGTCAGTGATCTCGCCGGGCCGGGCCCGGGTCCAGGTTACTTCGGTGGCGTAAGCCACACAGGCGATGCCAGAGAAGACGATGGCGGCGATGGCGTGGTCGCGGGAACGGCCGTGGGACAGGAACTGCAAGTAGGTGGTGGGGTAGATGATGGAGGCCGAGAGGCACAAGAGGGCCGCATAGCAGGCAAAGGTGATGGGGAAGTTGCGCCAAAACAAGGGGAAGCGGGCCTGGGAGCCGCCCAGCTCCACGAGGAGGATGACCAGGGTCATGGCAAAGCAGAAACACTAGGTGAACATGGACCAGTTACCCATAGGCCCCTTCCAGGCGCCCACGCTGGCCACCAGTGACAAGGCCACGCAGGTGGACACCAGCTGCAGCAGGCGGAGGAGGCCCAGGGGCTGGATCAGGGCCCTAGAGGACCCTACGACGGTGGGGGACCGCATGGTGGTCGTGACGGTTGGGTGGGTAACAGTCACCGGCATGGCAGCAGTCCTGGCTGAGGAACTCACGGAGAAAAGGTCTGGCTGTGGAAACGGATTAAGTCACACGCCTGGAAAAGGCTGGGAACAGCGAGAGACAATGTCAGTGTCCACTGGGTCTGGGCTTCTCCCTCCCAGGACCCGCCACCCCGTGGAACAGGAACATAGCACCGAGCAGGGAAGAGACCTGGCCTTGACCCGGAGAAGTCCCGCCCCTCTCCTTCCACCAGTTCCACTACCTGTGTGGGCTGCGGCCCAGGAAACCCAGCGGAAGTGCACACCCCGGGCAGGCGTGGGCACGTGTGTGATGGTAACCCCGCTCTGGCAGGGGCCAGGGGGCAGGCGGTGGTGGTGGCAGGGCCTGGGGCAGCACTGAGGGGCCAGCGGCCCAGCAAGGCCCGACTCTCTCTCCTTATAAAGGCTTCAAGTCAGCCTAACCATTTTTAATTTTTTAATTTTTTTGAGATAGGGTCTCACTCTGTTGCCCAGGCTGGAGTGCAATGGCATGATCAGGGCTTACTGCAGCCTTGACCTCCCGGGCTTAGGTGATCCTCCCACTTCAGCCTCCCAGGTAGCTGGGAGTACTGACACCAGGCACCACCTGCCTGGCTAATTTTTTGTGTTTTTAGTGGAAGCGGGGTTTTGCCATGTTGCCCAGGCTGGTCTTGAACTCCTGGGCTCAAGTGATCCACCTGCCTCAGCTTTCCAAAGTGCTGGGGTCAGAGGCGTTGGAACCAAAGCAACTTCATCTTGAATAGGAGCTGGGTAAAATAAGGCTGAAACCTACTGGGCTGCATTCCAAGAGGTTAGGCATTCTAAGTCATAGGATGAGACAGGAGGTCAGCACAAGATATAGGTCATAAAGACCTTGCTGATAAAACAGTTTGCAGTAAAGAAGCCGGCTGAAACCCACCAAAACCAAGATGGTGATGAGAGTGTCTTGGTCATCCTCACTGCCAAACTCCCACCGGCACCATGACAGTTTACAAACGCCATGGAAACCTCAGTAAGTTACCCTGTATGGTCTAAAAAGGGGAGACATGAAGAATCCACCCCTTGTTTCTCATATAATCAGGAAATAACCATAAAAATGGGCAACCAGCAGCCCTCTGGGCTGCTCTGTGGAGTAGCCATTCTTTTATTCCTTTACTTTCCTAATCAACTTGCTTTCTTTGGAGTAGCCATTCTTTTAACTCCTTTAATTTCCTAATCAACTTGCTTTCACTTTACTGTATGGACTGTCCTTGAATTATTTCTTGATCAAGATCTAAGAACTCTCTCTTGAGGTCCAGATCGGCACCCCTTTCTGGTAACAATGGGATTACAGGCAAGAGTCACCATGCCTGGCTGTTGTTGTTATTATTGATCTATGGCCAAGACTTGCTCCAGGAAAATCTGCAGTCATACATTCATTCTGTTGCTTGTCATTCTTTGAGGTCCACACCCAAAGCCTAGTCTCTAGGGGCCACAGGCTCTGGGGAAGTGGGGGGCTGAGAAGCCATGCACTCACCTTCACCCTTTCTTTGCATCTGCTTTGTGCAGCTCTACTCTCTCAGGCCATCTGCCCTTGGATGAATAAGTGCCCTGGCTCTCTTATAGACCCCAGTTTCAAAGTTCTTCATATTCATGTATTTGTTCATTCATTCATAAATTCATTCATTTATGTACTTCCTCATTCAAAGCGATACTTAGAAATTAAATATACTGAAAAGTTTCCTGAGGCAGAAATAATTGTATTCAAGCATATAAACACAACCACAGTTTCATTCTCTGCTGTTTTGAGAGTGAAAGCGTGTTTTTAAAAGAAGAAAAGACCTCAGAGAAAACTGCATGTTGATTGTGAGAGGCTGTGGAAGCAGTAAAGAAGCCAGCTAAAACCCACCAAAACCAAGATGGTGATGAGAGTGTCCTGGTCGTCCTCACTGCTACACTCCCACCCGTGCCATGATAGTTTACAAATGCTATGGAAACCCTCACAGTCCAAACCATGTGTGGGAGCAGTTGCCTCATTGGGGTACTAGGAGATACCAGCAGCACCCGGACTCCAGAGCCAAGTCTCTGCCCAGCACATGGCAGACACTTGCTCGTGCTACTTCTCTTCACTGTATGTTTACATTAAACGAGCATCTGTGTTCATCACATTATTGGGCAGGTAGCCATGTTCAGTATACATTATTTGTTTGAAGGTGTGACCAGCTTACATGGGGTGAGAATTTCAGTTGAGTCATTGGGTTTGAAGTCCCAAGTAGAAAATGTTATTTCCATAGAGCAAAAGGATGAGGAATGTTTGTAAACTTGTATTTGTTGCTTTTGTACTACTGAGGCTGTTGCTCATTGATGTTCAGAAAATCTAAGTCGGACTTTCAATATGGTCACTGAACTGGGTGCTGCAGGAAGTGACAGGCTGCTGCTAGTGTTACCCACATAATGCAAAGTTGCTGCAAAAGCTCCTCCAGTCCTTTTTATGTAAATTCTAGTGACTAAAGAGAACATCTGAAGGCCCTGGTTTACAAAAGATGCCCTTATTCACCAATGTTCTTTTTAAAAGACATTTGTATGAGAATACATTACTGACAATTATAACATGTTCAATTTGGTCAGTTTGCTTTTTTTTTTAAATGTATCTGATATTCACCTGCATTGCTGATTTTAAGAAGTGCTTTCATATATGTTGCCTTGATTTTGATGTCATGTTTCTATAGATCTCTGAGACACATCTTCTGTGTGCATTATATTGTCAAGCATTAGGAGTTTAGTTCTTATCTCTACCTTGAGGGACCAGAATGGACCTGTGATGCAGGAAGGATGCCTGCACACTGGCAGACTTATTGTAGTCAAGGATTTTGTATTGGAAAACCTTAAAAAATAATTTTCCTGGCTTTAAGATATAATAGATATTTACTGTAAAATGTTTGCAACTAGAAGAAGTTATAAAAAAGAAAATAAAATTACAATCTGACTGTGTATGTAAACACACATAATTATTACCTCCCTTAACACCTCTTCCCTGGATCAATTTAACAAAATTATACTCTCTTTGCTTACTCAGCATTATATTTGAAAATTTAACCATATCATTATATATATATATGCATCTGCTTTGTGCAGCTTTTATATATATAATAATATATAATAAGTATATATATTATATATATATAATTTTAATAAGTATATATATTATATATATATATAATATATATATATTATATATATATATATATATATATATAATATATATATATACTTAGAGGCAGGGTCTTGGGTCTTGCCCTGTTTCTCAGGCTGGAGTGCAGCAGCACAATCATAGCTCATTGCAGCCGTGAACTCCTGGGCTCAAGCAGTCTTTCTGCCTCAGCCTCCCAAGTAGCTGAAACTACAGGGGTATGCCACCACGCCAAGCTAATTAAATAATGTTTTTGTTTTGTTTGTTTTGTTTTATTTGTTTTTAGAGACAAGCTCTTATTATGTTGCTCAGGCTGGTGTTGAACACCTGGCCTCAAATGCGCCTCCTGCCTCAGCCACCCATAGTGCTGTGCCTGGCTCATCATACTTTTAAAAATAGTTATTTTTAGTGGTTGCATAACATTCTGTTCTTTGGATAGATAGTTTACCATCTGTCACTTATGTTTGGTCATTTCAATTGTTCCTAAGTTTTTTTGCAATTATTCACAATGTTATAAATAGAAAATAAGTGCTGGTATGATTTATAGATGGTACTAATAGTATTCTAAAATGTTGGTATTAATCTGGATTATGGCAAAATCCTAATCTGGATAATATTCCAACATGCTAATCCTAATCTGGATTGTGGACTCCTCCCAAGTCTATCTTTCCTGCCTGTCTTTGGTTCTGGCTCCCACATCACTTCTCTCATCTGCCTTTCCTTAACTTCAGGACATACTGGGTTCCAGTATGTCCTTAACTTTCCTTAACTTCAGGACATACTGGGTTCCAGCCCAGGCTCTGCCCCTCACAGTTAGTAGAAGGTTAGAAGTTTATGCATTATGACTAACTTTTGTGTTATGATTAATATGTAGCTTGGTTTGAAGTTTGTTCCTAAGATTACACAGCAATCAGTTTTTCAGTGAATGTAGTCATATTCTTTTTTTTTTTTTTTTTTTTTTTTGAGACGGAGTCTCGCTCTGTCGCCCAGGCTGGAGTGCAGTGGCGGGATCTCGGCTCACTGCAAGCTCCGCCTCCCGGGTTCACGCCATTCTCCTGCCTCAGCCTCCCAAGTAGCTGGGACTACAGGCGCCCGCCACTACGCCCGGCTAATTTTTTGTATTTTTAGTAGAGACGGGGTTTCACCGTTTTAGCCGGGATGGTCTCGATCTCCTGACCTCGTGATCCGCCCGCCTCGGCCTCCCAAAGTGCTGGGATTACAGGCGTGAGCCACCGCGCCCGGCCGTCATATTCTTAATTCAGTATTCTACTTCTTTGTTTAGTGAGCTACTCTTTAAGACCCAAAAAGGACCAGATAATACGGTAGAAAAAAGTACAAAACCTTTCAAGTGTATTCTCCTATATTCATGGTTACTTTCTGGAATAAATACTGAGAATAGTCCACCTCATTCCATGAAGTAGTTCTTATGATTTAAAAGAATCATAAAATAAAAGAAGAAAAAAAGACAAATCAAAATGGAATCATGAAAAATAAATCCTGACTCAGATAAGAGTTTAAACCTAAGGGAAAGCTTTAGAACCACAGAAATGTGGCCCAGATGGCCCCAACGGTTATGAATGTTGAACTTGAATTAGGCCCTGAACTGCTAGATCAAAATGAGAACGATGTTCTGTCCCATAATTCGCAATAATCTCAAACTGAAAACGTACCCTGCATTATGGGTTAAAGCAATTTGTGAAGCACAGAAATAGTTTTACCTTATTCAACCTATCCTTTAAATTTCGCTAAAGGCATCCTGGAATATTTTATGATTGTTCATGATTAAAGGCATCCTAGAATATTTTATGACTATCTTCCCACTGAGGCATACTCCATGAAAAACTGAAAAGTAAAACACAGAAATGGTGACCTCCGTTGTACATTCAAAATATCTATGGTTTGTTCATCTGGGTGTGATTTGAGACTCCAAACCTCTCTTTAAATATATGTATTCATTTTTGACTAGATGATATATTCACATCACATGGTTCAAAACACACAAGGCGCAAAAGGACATACAGTAAACATCTTCCTCTCATCTCTGTCCCACAGCCACCCAGTTCCTCCGCCAGAGGAAACCCATGTCACCCAATCTTTTTTTTTTTTTCCCCCTGGCTGGAGTGCAGTGGCTGGATCTCTGCTTGCTGTAAGCTCCGCCTCCCGGGTTCACGCCATTCTCCTGCCTCAGCCTTCGGAGTAGCTGGGACTACAGGCGCTGGCCACCATGCCCGGCTAATTTTTTGTATTTTTAGTAGACACGGGGTTTCACCGTGTTAGCCGGGATGATCTTGATCTCCTGACCTCGTGATCCACCCTCCTTGGCCTCCCAAAGTGCTGGGATTACAGGCGTGAGCCACCGCGCCCGGCCACACCCAGTCTTTTTGTAGGGTCTTGGGGATTAGGTGAAACCATCAAATGAGATCAAGAAAAAATAAGTACAGTTTATCAGATGATTTCAACACTTGGCTTGAGGAAAGAGGAATGCCAATAACCGCACTCCCAAAGTGTTGACCTAGTTTAGCTTTTGTGATTTCTGCGGTCATGGCTGCTTCCTGGGCATGTTACCTGTAAAGTTGCACTGAGCTCCCTGTGCCTGGCTTAGTGCTCTGCTCTCACCATCTTGAAATTCCTAATGCATTTTCATTATGGGCCGGGTTCTGCTAATTATGTAGCTAGTCCTGTTAGTGATACTTTTGAGATTAAAAACAATAGGATAATTTATGACTCGAGTAGTCCATGACTGACATGAGACAGTTGCTTGCTGTGAAAAAAATTCAGATTCTCACCTGTCTCTGAGGTTCACAGGGTTGAAACATTTGCTAAAACAGTGAGAAACCTCCTGATTGAATAAAATTTCTAAAAGAATGGGAAAATACCAAACTGAATAGTAATGAGCTGCTTTTGAATATTAAATTCCAGATAGATTTATTATGTTTACACAATTGTATGTTTAATATTTACTATATTCTTAAAGACTATAGGTTTGTTTTTGGCAATTGACATTTTAACCATATTGGAGTGGGGTCAAGGCTCCGGTAGAAATCTGTCAATAAATATGTAGTACCCTGTGGTTGTGTTTTGAACATGAGCCCTTACTAAGTCTTCATAATAAGGGATATGAGGCCAGAAGGTGACATTCCAGCCTAGTGCAGACCTCATGGGAGTAGGGTTGCCAGATAAAATATAGGACACTCAGCTAAATTTAAATAAACAACAAATAATTTCTTTAGTATAAGTATGTGCTAAATGTTGCATAATTATGTATGTGCTAAATAAAACTAAATATACTAAATATAACACTTGAGACATTTATACTAAATATTATATAAATAAATATACTAAATGTAACATTTGCAACATAATATACTAAAAAATCATTAGTTGTTTGTCTGAAATTCAAATTTAACGGCATTTCCTTTATCATTACCTACTAAATCTGGTCATTCCATTTGTGGAACAAGATAACCAAGAGAATTGTAGAAGAAGTTGCAGACTCGACTTGAACTTAGCGTCCCACTGCTTAGGGTCAAATGCTGGGTTATAGTGGGGAGATGTGAAAGTTAGGTAAGAGCCCACTGCACACTTGTTACACAGGTTGAATATCCCTTATCTGAAATGCTTGGGAGTAGATTGTTTTAGATTTTGGATAGTTTCAGATACTTGCATATATATTAATATAATGTGATATCTTGGGGACAGGACCCAAGTCTAAACATAATGTTTGTTTATGTTTTATATGTATCATATATACATATCTTGAAGGTAATTTTATATAATATTTTAAATAATTTTGTTCATGAAACAAAGTGTGTGTGCATCGATCCATCAGAATGCAACCCTTTTGGACAATATGTGGTTGTTTGGCCTCACCATAATTCCTGACTCTGAATTTATATGCTACTGATAAGCAATCATTTTCTCACACTTATTCACATATAAGTACTTAACCATAAAAAGTATGATATATCATTAATACAGTGAAAAAATGTGTTCAGGGTAGGTAAGCAGCCCAGTAACATCACTAGAATACCAGTAATCTGCTATTAAAAATCAGCAATAACAAGTGACAGGCTTTCAGTCTCCACCTATGATGCTATGTTTTGATTAAATGGTTACTATGTACTGGTTTTTTTTCTTTGTAAGAGGAAACATCAGAAGCACTTGAAAGACCAGGAAGTGAGTCCTCTAGGGATGAGAAGGCATTCTGCTGGATGTCTTTTTAAAAATATTCCTCCAAAGTCATCTGCCTCATTAACAACATTTTTGTCTTGAAAGTCTCCTTTGATTTTACGAACTGACATTATTTCTTGTTGTGTTATGAACAAACACTGCTCTAGTCCTTCAATAAGCCCATCACACATTTTCACCATGTTGTCTATAGGCACCTTTTCTGCAGTGTTAATGTAATCTTCATCATCACTGTTATGATCACTTGATTCAAAACTATTTCAGGCCAGGCGTGGTGACTCATGCCTGTAATCTCAGCACTTTGGAAGGCTGAGGTGGACAGATCACCTGAGGTCAGGAGTTCAAGACCAGCCTGGCCAACATGGCAAAACCCGGACTCTACTAAAAATACAAAAAGTAGCTGGGCGTGGTGGTGGCCGCCTGTAATTCCAGCTACTCAGGAGGCAGAGGCAGGAGAATCACTTGAACCCAGGAGGTGGAGGTTGCAGCGAGCCGAGATCACACCACTGTACTCTAGCCTGGGTGAGAGTGAGACTCTGTCACCAAAAAAAACCAAGAGAAAACCCCAAAACTAATTCAGTTATTTTACCATCAGCGAATGAACATGTGGGGCTTCATTATTGATGTTAAAAACTTCTTTGATTGGCCAGGCGCAGTGGCTCACACCTGTAATCCCAGCACTTTGGGAGGCTGGGAGGATCATGAGATCAGGAGATCGAGACCATCTTGGCCAACATGGTGAAACCCCGTCTCTACTAAAATACAAAAAATTAGTCGAGCGTGGTGGTGCGTGCCTGTAATCCCAGCTACTTGGGAGGCTGGGGCAGAGGAATTGCTTGAACCCGGGAGGTGGAGGTTGCAGTGAGCCAAGGTCACGCCATTGCACTCCAGCCTGGGCAACAAGAGTGAAACTCCATCTCAAAAAAACAAAAACAAAACAGGAAAACAAAAAAAAGCTTCTTTGATCTCCATGTCCTCCAGCTCACTGACACACTGTGAGGGTCTATTTTTTGCATATGTAAGGAGGATAGACATTATTTTATCTCACTTGACATATAGGATCCTTCAAAATCACCACCTTGTTCATCATTATCACTGAACATAGCTGCAGGCCAGAGGTTGTGCCAGGTATGCACAACTGTGTCTTCAGTTAGAACTATGTTCCAACAGTTGGCAATAGCATACATGGCATCCTTCATGCTAAACTCCTTTTGAAAACCTTCCACATTCATGCCTCTGTTCACTGCTGCTAGCATGCTGTTCAAGAAAGTGTTTTTATATTTACTCTTTATTGATTTAAGGATACCCTGGTCACATGACTGAATGAGTGAAGTAACATTTGGGGAAAAGTACATGGCATACACAGTGTTTTTTGATGAGAATTTCAGCTGGAGGATGAACAGAGCAGTTGTCAAGGAATAACAGTCTCGTAGTTGTCATTTACTCCAGCTTCCCTGTAGTGAGCACCAGCAAAATGTTTGTAAAACCAATCAGAAAAGATGTCCCTGGCGATCCATGCTTTTTTGCTAGTGTAAAAATGGGCTGGTGAGAAATTCACTCTTCAAAAACAATGAGAATGCAAGCTTTTGCCTAACAGCAAGTTTGCACTTATGTGTGCCTGCTGCATTAGTACATCCCAGCACAGTTATTCTATTGTTGGCATCCTTAATTCCTCTATTGACTATCTCCTCAAGTGTAGTCAAGTGTCTTTCTGGGGCAATAATGCCAAAATGGTGATGTTTCATCAACACTATAGACTTGTTTTGGTGTCAGATTTTCATCAGCAACAACCTTGGCAAACTCATCAATTAATTTTTCTGCTGCTTTGTAATCAGCAGATGCTTAATCACCACAAACTGAAAAAAATTTTGCCATGCTTTTTCTTAAATTTCAGCAACCAGCTCATTGAATATTCACAGTTCCTTCCATTTTCACTTCATCATGACAGATCTTTGTTTCATGATCAACATACCATTAAGTGGCATGTGTTCACTGCAACACTGATGGATTCAAGACACGATTGAGAACTTCATTTATCTGTAGCTTTTTTTTTTTTTTTTTTTTTGGAGACAGATTCTTGCTCTGTCACCCAGGCTGGAGTGCAGTGACGCGATCTCGGCTCACTGCAACCTCCACCTCTGACTCCCGGGTTCAAGTGATTCTCCTGCCTCAGCCTCCCGAGATGGGATTACAGACGCCTGCCACCACGCCTGGGTAATTTTTGTATTTTTAGTAGAGACAGTGTTTTGCCATATTGGTCAGGCTGGTCTTGAACCCCTGACCTCAGGTGATCTGCCTGCCTCGGCCTCCCAAAGTGCTGGGATTACAGACGTGAGCCACCATGACCAGCCGAGGTATTTGCTTTATTGGGGTGGTCTGGAATGGAACCCTCATAAACTTAGAAATATGCCTGTACTATGTGCTGGTAACTGTGTTAATGTGCTTTGCTTGATTAATTTAATTTTATTATCACAACAATATTATGAGAGAAAAACTAATATTAACCTATCTTAAAAGATGATAAAAAGGGTCCCTACTGCAAAATTGTAATATAATACCATAGAAATTCACCTTTTTAAAAGTATATAATTCAGTGATTTTTGGTATATTCACAAGGTTATGCAACCATTCCCATGATATATTTTTATTTTTTAAATTTTAATAATATATTTTATTTAACAAAATATACCCAAAACATTGTAATTTCAGTATGCAATCAATAGAAAAATTATTGAGATATTTTTTATTCTTTTGTCATACTAAATATGGTATATATTTCACACTTAAAAGACATCTCAAATGCTCAATAGCCACATATATCTACTGGCTACTCTACTAGCATAGCATTAGAGAGATATAGAGACTACTATTGACTTTTTCAAAACAGTTTATTTTTAACTAATTATAGATTCACAAGATGACAAGAAAAGTGGAGTAAGGCCTTGTATACCCTTCATTCTGCTTCCAGTAATGCCGATATCTTATTATAATAATTATAGTACAATAAAAAAACCAGGAAATCGATTCTCGTCTGTTGTTGCCTTTTTAAAAATCTTTTCAGTGTATTAAAAAAATTTTTTTTCAATAGGGTTTTGGGAAGCAGGTGGTGTTTGGTTACATAAATAAGTTCTTTAGTGGTAATTTCTGAGATTTTGATGTATCCATAACCCAAGCAGTGTACACTGTACCTAATGTGTAGTCTTTTATCCATCACCCGCCTTCCACCCTTTCCCTCTAGTCCCCAAAGTCCATTGTATGGACTTATTTCTTAAAATAAGAAATTGCATCCTCATAGCTAAGCTCCTGATTGTGAGAGAGAACACGTGATGTTTGGTTTTCCATTCCTGAGTTACTTCACTTAGGATATAATTCTCTCTCTCTCTCTCTCTCGTGCTCTCTCTCTCTCTCTATATATATATATCACATTTTCTTTATCCACTTGTTGATTGGTAGGCATTTGGGCTAGTTCCATATTTTTGCAATTATGAATTGTGCTGCTATAAACGTGTGTGTGCAAGTATCTTTTTTGTATAATGGCTTCTTTTCCTTTGGGTTGATACCTAATGGTGGGATTGCTGGATCAAATGGAAGATCATTTTTAGTTCTTTAAGGAATGTCTACACTGTTTTCCACAGTGGTTGTACTAGTTTACATTCGCACCCACAGTGCAAAAGTGTTCCCTTTTTACCACATCCATGCCAACATCTATTAATTTTTGATTTTTTGAATATGGCCGTTCTTGCAGGAGTGAGGTGGTATCACCTTGCAGTTCTGATTTGCATTTCCCTGATAATCAGTGATGTTGAGCATTTTTCCATATGCTTGTTGTCCATTTGTGTGTCTTCTTTTGAGAATTGTCTATTCATGTCCTTAGCCCACTTTTTGATGGTATTGTTTGATTTTTTTCTTGCTGATTTGTTTGAGTTCTTTGTGGATTCTGGATATTAGTCCTTTTTCAAATGTATACATTGTGAAGATTTTTCTCCCACTCTGGGTTGTCTGTTGATTCTGCTGTTTCTTTTGCAGTGCAGAAGCTTTTTAGTTTAATTAAGTCCCATCTATTTACCTTTGTTTCTGTTGCATTTTCTTTTGGGTTCTATGTCATGAAGTCTTGCCTAAGCCAATGTCTAGAGGGGTTTTTCCAATGTTATCTTCTAGATTTGTTATGGTTTCAGGTCTTAGGTTTAAGTCTTTGATCCATCTTGAGTTGATTTTTGTATAAGGTGAAAGATGAGGATCCAGTTTCATTCTTCTACATGAGGCTTGTCAATTATCCCAGCACCATTTGTTGAATAGGGTGTCCTTTCCCCACTTTATGTTTTTGTTTGATTTGCTGAATATCAGTTGGCGGTAAGTATTTGGCTTTATTTCTGGGTTCTCTATTCTGTTCCATTGGTCTGTGTGCCTATTTTTATACCAGTACCATGCTGTTTCAGTGACTATGGCCTTATAGTATAGTTTGAAGTCAGGTAATGTGATGCCTCCACGTTTAATCTTTTTGCTTAGTCTTGCTTTGGCTATGTAGGCTCTTTTTTGGTTCCATATGAATTTTAGGATTGTTTTTTCTAGTTCTGTGAAGAATGATGGTGGTATTTTGATGGGAATTGCATTGAATTTGTAGATTGCTTTTGACAGTATGGTCATTGTCACAATATTGATTCTACCCATCCATAAGCATGGGATGTGTTTCCATTTGTGTTGTGTATAATTTCTTTCTGCAGTGTAGAGATCTTTCACCTCCTTGGTGAGGTATATTCCTAATTTTGTTGTTGTTGTTGTTGTTGTTGTTTTACAGCTGTTGTAAAAGTGGTTGAGTTCTTGATTTGACTCTCAGCTTAGTCACCATTGGTATATAGCAGAGCTATTGATTTGTGTGCATTAATTTTGTATCCTGAAACTTTACTGAATTCATTTACCAGTTCTAGGAGCGTTTCGGATGAGTCTTTAGGGTTTTATAGGCATATGATCATATCATCAGCAAACAGCAACAGTTTGACTTCCTATTTACCAATTTGGATGCCTATCATTCCTTTCTCTTGTCTGATTGTTCTGGCTAGAACTTCCAGTACTATGTTGAATAGAAGTGGTGAAACTGAGCATCTTTGTCTTGTTCCAGTTCTCATGGGGAATGCTTTATATTTTCCCCCATTCAGTATAATGTTGGCTGTAAATATGTCCTAGATGTCTATTACCTTAAGGTTGTCCCTTCTATGCCGATTTTGGTGAGGGCTTTAATCATAAACGGATGCTGGATTTTTTCAAATGTTTTTTCTGCAGCTACTGAGAGAATCATGTGATTTTTGTTTTTAATTCTGTTTATGTGGTGTATCACATTTATTGACTTACTTATGTTAAACCATCCCTGCATCTGTGGAAGCCCACTTGATCATGGTGGATTATCTTTTTGATATGCTGGTGGATTTGGTTAGCTAGTATTTTATTGAGGATTTTTGTATCTATGTTCATCAGGGATATTGGTCTGTAGTTTTCTTTTTTTGTTATATCCATCCCTGGTTTTGGTATTAGGGTGATGCTGGCTTCATAGAATGATTTAGTAAGGATTCCCTTTTTCTCTATCCTGTGGAATAGTGTAAGTAGGATTGGTACCATTCCTTCTTCGAATGTCTGATGGAATTCAGCTCTGAATCCATCTGGCCCAGGATTTTTTGTTGTTGTTGGCAGTTTTAAAATTACTATTTCAATCTTGCTGCTTATTATTGATCTGTTCAGAGTTTCTATATCTTCCTGGTTTAATCTAGGGGGGTTGTATATTTGCAATTTATCCATCTCCTCTAGGTTTTCTAGTTTATGTGCATAAAGGTGTTCATGGTAGCCTTGGATAATCTTGTATTTCTGTGGTGTCAGTAGTAATATCTCCTGTTTCATTTCTAATTGAGCTTATTTGAATCTTTTCTTTTCTGGGTTAATCTCACTAATCAATTTTGTTTATCTTTTCAAAGAACCAGCTTTTTGCTTCATTTATCTTGTGTATTTTTTGTTTGTTTCAATTGCATTTAGTTCTGCTCTGATCTTTGTTATTTTCTTTCTTCTGCTGGGTTTGGGTTTGGATTATTCTTGTTTCTGCAGTCCCATGAGGTGTGACCTTAGATCGTCTATTTGTGCTCTTTCACACTTTTTAATGTAGGCATTTAATGCTGTGAACTTTCCTCTTAGCACCACTTTTGCTGTATCCCAGAGGTTTTGATAGTTTTGTCACTATTATTGTTCAATTGTTCAGTTCAAAGAAGAATTTTTAAATTTCCATCTTTTTTTTTTTTTTTTTTTTTTGAGATGGAGTCTTGCTCTGTCACCCAGGCTGGAATGCAGTGGCGCAATCTCGGCTCACCGCAAGCTCTGCCTCCCAGGTTCACGCCATTCTCCTGCCTCAGCCTCCCGAGTAGCTGGGACTACAGGTGCCCGCCACCATGCCCAGCTAATTTTTTGTATTTTTAGCAGAGACAGGGCTTCACTGTGTTAGCCAGGATGGTCTCGATCTCCTGACCTGGTGATCCGCCTGCCTTGGCCTCCCAAAGTGCTGGGATTATAGGCGTGAGCCACCGAGCCTGGCCTAAATTTCCATCTTGATTTCATTGTTGACCCAGTGATTATTCAGGAGCAGGTTATTTAATTTCCATGTATTTGCGTGGTTTTTAGAGTTCCTTTTGGAATTATTTCCAATTTTATTCCACTGTGGTCTGAGAGAATACTTGAAATAATTTCAATTTTCTTAAATTTACTGAGACTTGTTTTGTGGTATATCATATAGTCTATCTTGGAGAATGCTTCATGTGCTGATGAATAGAATATATATTCTGCAGTTGTTGGGTAGAATGTTCTGTAAATATCTGTTAAGTCCATTTATTCTAGGGCATAGTTTAAGTCCATTGTTTTTTTTGTTGACTTCCTGTCTTGATGACCTGACTAGTGCTGTCAGTGGAGGATTAAGTCCTCCACTATTATTGTGTTGCCATCTATCTAATTTCTTAGGTCTATTAGCAATTGTTTTATAAATTTGGGAACTCCAGTGTTAGGTGCATATGTATTTAGGATTGTGATATTTTCCTGTTGGACTAGTCCTTTTATCATTGTATAATGTTCCTCTTTGTCTTTTTTTAACTGCTGTTGCTTTAAAGTTTATTTTGTCTGATATAAGAATAGCTACTCCTGCTCACTTTTGGTATTAATTTGCATGGAATATCTTTTTCCACCCCTTTACCTTAAGTATATGTGAGTCCCTATGTGTTACATAAGTCTCCTGAAGACAGCAGAAACTTGGTTGATGAATTCTTATCCATTCTACCATTCTGTATCTTTTAGGTGGAGCATTTATTCCATTTGCATTCAATGTTAGTATTGAGATGTGAGGTACTATTCTATTTATTGCCTTAATACCTTTTTAAAAAAATTTTGTTATTGTCGTATAGGTCCTGTGAGATTTATGCTTTAAGGAGGTTCTATTTTGGTGTATTTCAAGATTTGCTTCAATATTTAGAGCTCCTTTTTTTTTTTTTTGAGACAGAATCTCACTCTGTTGCCCAGGCTGGAGTGCAGTGGCGCAATCTTGGCTCACTGCAAGCTCCGCCTCCCGGGTTCACACCATTCTCCTGCTTCAGCCTCCGGAGTAGCTGGGACTACAGGTGCCCGCCACCATGCCTGGCTAATTTTTTGTATTTTTAGTAGAGACGGGGTTTCACTGTGGTCTTGATCTCCTGACCTTATGATCCGCCCACCTCGGCCTTCCACACTGCTGGGATTACAGGCGTGAGCCACTGCGCCCAGCCAAGATTTAGAGCTCCTTTTAGCTGTTCTGGTAGTGGTGGCCTGGTAATGGCGAATTTTCTCAGCATTTGTTTGTCTGGAAAAGACTGTATCTTTCATTCATTTATGAAGCTTAGTTTTTCTGGATACAAAAATTGTTTGTTTAAGGAGGCTAAAAATAGGACCCCAATCCCTTCTAGCTTGTAGGTTTTCTGCTGAGAAATATGCTGTTACTTTGATAGGTTTTCCCTTATAGGTTACTTGATGCTTTTGCCTCACAGCTGTTAAGATTCTTTCCTTTTCATCTTGACCTTAGATAACCTGACGACTATGTGCGTTGGTGATTATCTTTTTGCCATGAATTTCCCAGGTGTTCTTTGAGCTTCTTGTATTTGGATTTCTAGATCTCTAGGAAGGCCAGGGAGGTTTTCTTCAATTATTCCCTCAAATATGTTTTCCAGATTTTAGATTTCTCTTCTTCCTTGGGAACACCAATTATTCGTAGGTTGGATGCTTAATATAGTCCCAAACTTCTTGGAGCCTTTGTTCATTTTTTCTAATCCTTTTTTATTTCTCTTTGATGGGTTGGGTTAATTCAAAAGCCTTGTCTTTGAGCTCTGAAGTCCTTTCTTCTGCTTATTCGATTCTATTGCTGAGACTTTCTGAGCATTTTACTTTTCTCTGTGTCCTTGATTTCCAGAAATTGTGATTGTTTTTTGTTATCTATTTCACTGAAGATTTTCCCTTCATATCCTGTATCATGTTTTTGATTTCTTTAAGTTGGATTTCACCTTTCTTGGTGCCTTCTTGATACGCTTAACAATTGACCTTCTGAATTCTTTTTCTGGCAATTCAGAGATTTCTTCTTGGTTTGCATCCATTGCTGGTGAGCCAGTGTGATCTCATGGGGGTGTTAAAGAACTTTGTTTTGTCATATTACAAGAATTGTTTTTCTGGTTCCTTCTCATTTGGATAGACTATGTCAGAGGGTAAGATCCTGGGACTCAAGGGCTGCTGTTCAGATTCTTTTGTCCAACAAGGTGCTTTCTTAATGTAGTATTCTTCCCCTTTTCCTAGGAATGGGGCTTCCTGAGAGCCAAACTGTAGTGATTGTTTTTGCTCTTCTGAGTCTATCCATTCAGCAGAGCTATCAGGCTCTGGGCTGGTACTGGGGAGTGTTGAGCAAAGATTCCTGTGATCTGATTTGTCCTCAGGCCTTTTGGCCGTGGATAACAGCATCTGCTCCTGTGGAGGTAGCAAGGGAGTGAAGTGGACTCTGTGAGGGTCCTTGGTTGTACTCTTGTTTAGTGCACTGGTTTTGTGTTGGTTAGCATCCAGCCAGGAGGTGGCACTTTCAAGAGCGCATCAGCTGTGGTCCTATAGAGAGGAAGCAAACTTGCCTGAGGGTCTCCTGGTTAAGTATTCAGGTTTCGCAGGCAGTGGGCAGGGCCATAGAGCTGCCAAGAGATTATATCCTTTGTCTTCAGCAACCAGGGCAGGTAGAAAAAGACCACTAGGTGAAGTAGAGTTGTTCAAGGCCTTGGGAGCCCACCCCTTGTATCGGTGTGCCCTGGATATGGAGCACAGAGTCAGGAGATTATTTTGGAGCTTTAAGATTTGGTCACTGCCTTGCTGGGTTTTTTACTTGTGAGGGGTCTGTAGCCCCTTTCTTTTGGCTGATTTGTCCCTGTTGAAACAGAAATAACTACCCAATGCCTGTACCCTCATTGGATCTTGGACATAACTAACACGTTTTTTATTTTACAGGCTTATAGGTGGAAGGAACTTGTCATGTCTCAAATGAGTCTTTGGACTTTTCAGTAAATGCTGGAATGAGTTAAGACTTTGGGGATTAGTGGGAAGGCATGAATGTATTTTGCAATGTGAAAAGGACATGGGATTTGGGATGAGCCGAGGTGGAGTGATATAGTTTGGATGTTGTCCAAGCCTAAATCTCATATTGAAAGGTAATCCTGTGTTGGAGTTGGGGCCTGGTGGAAGGAAGGTGATTAGATGAATGGGGGTGGTGGATTTCCCTCTTGGTACTGTTCTCACAGTAGTGAGTGAGTTCATGAGATTTGGTTGTTTAAAACTGTGGTGCAGTGGCTGGGCACAGTGGCTCATGCCTGTAATTCCAGCACTTTGGGAGGCTGAGGCGGGTGGATCACAAGGTCAGGATATCGAGACCATCCTGGCTAATGCGGGAAACCCTGTCTCTACTAAAAATACAAAAAATTAGCCGGCTGTGGTGGCACATGCCTATAGTCCCAGCTACTCGGGAGGCTGAGGCAGGAGAATAGCATGAACTTGGGAGGCGGAGCTTGCAGTGAGCCCAGATGGCGCCACTGCACTCCAGCCTGGGCAACAGAGCGAGACTCCGTCTCAAACAAACAAACAAACAAACCTGTGGCACGGTGGCTCAAGCCTGTAATCCCAGAACTTTGGGAGGCCGAAGTGGGCAGATCACCTGAGGTCAGGAGTTCGACCAACCTGGCCAACATGGTGAAACCCCGTCTCTACTAAAAAAAATACAAAAATTAGCCAGGCATGATGGTGGGCACCTGTAGCCCCAGCTACTTGGGAGGCTGAGGCAGGAGAATTGCTTGAACCGGGTACATGGAGTTTGCAGTGAGTCAAGGTCATGCCACTGCACTCCAGCCTGGGCAATAGAACGAGACCCTGTCTCAAAAACAAAAAACAAAACATCTGTGTAGCACTTCCTTCCTCTTCTTTTCCACCCGCTCCAGCAATGTGGAGATGCCTTCTCCGGCTTTGCCTTCCACCATGAACAAAATGTCCCTGAGGCCTCCCCAGGAGCAGATGCTGCTGTGCTTCCTGTACAGCTGGAAGAACTGTGAACCAATTAAACCTCTTATCTTATAAATTACATGATCTTAGGTATTTCTTTATAGCTATGTGAGAATGGCCTAATATGTAGCACAAAAAAGGATGATGATAGGGAGATCCCTCTGCTTTCCCTGTTCTCTGTCTCATTTCCAAATCCTGTACTTCTCAGTGCCTGGGTTACTGAAAAAATAGCAAGTTACATATAAAAGAAATTGTAGCTTCTTTTGAAGCTTTACAAAGTTTAATACTTCCTATCAGTCTTCCTGTTTCTTGTGTTACCAAAGAATAGAAAATAAAAGCAAGAAAATAAACACATACACAAAAAACATAAAGCAAGAGGGAAATGGTTTGAGGGCTACTGTTGTTTTACTGCTTGTGTTGATTTCACTCTTTTTACACTACCCAACTGTGTAAAGGCCCACAACTCATGCATGCAATAGGCAGCAGAGAGAACAGCAAATAAACCAGAAAGAGCATCCCATTTCACTCCTTAGTAGCAACTCACTAGAATTCCTCCCACTGTAAATGAGAATCCCAAAATGCAGGGAAGAAATAGTACATTTTTTCTTCTTACAGATCCAGTTAGTCAATATTTAACCATTCAGCTCGGAATCATACATGCCTCATTCCAGTAGTAGCTTCTTTTATACAGTGTTTTGTTAGAGGGAGTGTGGAAAGGGGAGAATGTTTGAGTCAAGCTGTTAAAACAAAGCACATGTGCCAGCTAGTCAGAAGGAGGCACTTTCCCCTGGGCAAGATTTCAAGCAGGGGCAATAGAAGGTAAAATCTT
This sequence comes from Homo sapiens, assembly GCF_000001405.40. Lineage (NCBI taxonomy): Eukaryota > Metazoa > Chordata > Mammalia > Primates > Hominidae > Homo > Homo sapiens. The sequence goes on from NC_000002.12 coordinate 33,746,732, forward strand.
AAGTTCACTTTCCTGTTAAAAACCGAGATTATTATTTTGATCCTGCTGTTCAGTGTTCTCTTTCTCTCTCTTCTTTTACCAATTGAAAAATTCCCAGTCTGAGGTCTCAGAAATAATGCCACACGTCTACAGCCAACTGATCTTTGACAAACCTGACAAAAACAAGCAATGGGGAAAGGATTCCCTATTTAATAAATGGTGTTGTGAAAACTGGCTAGCCATATGCAGAAATCTGAAACTGGACCCCTTCTTTACACTTTATTAAAAAAATTAACACAAGAGGCCGGGCGCGGTGGCTCACGCCTGTAATCCCAGCACTTTGGGAGGCCGAGGCGGGAGGATCACGAGGTCAGGAGATCGAGACCATCCTGGCTAACACGGTGAAACCCCGTCTCTACTAAAAATACAAAAAATTAGCCGGGCGTGGTGGCGGGCACCTGTAGTCCCAGCTACTCGGGAGGCTGAGGCAGGAGAATGGCATGAACCCGGGAGGCGGAGGTTGCAGTGAGCCGAGACAGTACCACTGCATTCCAGCCTGGGCGACAGAGCAGACTCCATCTCAAAAAAAAAAAAAAAAAAAAGAAAAAAAATTAACACAAGATGGATTACAGACTTAAACGTAAGACCTGAAACCATAAAAACCCTAGAAGAAAACCTAGGCAATACCATTCAGGACATAGGCATGGGCAAAGACTTCATAACTAAAACACCCAAAGCAATGGCAACAAAAGCAAAATTGACAAATGGGATCTAATTAAACTAAAGAGCTTCTGCACAGCAAAAGAAACTATCATCAGTGTTAACAGGCAACCTACAGAATGGGAGAAAATTTTTGCATCCTATCCATCTGACAAAGGGCTAATGTCCAGAATCTACAAAGAAGTTAAACAAATTTAAAAGAAAAAAACAACCCCATCAAAAAGTGGGCGAAGGTTATGATCAGACACTTCTCAAAAGAAGACATTTATGCGGCCAAACAAACATGAAGAAAAAGCTCATCATCACTGGTCATTAGAGAAATGCAAATCAAAACCACAGTGAGATACCACCTCATGCCAGTTAGAATGGCAGTCATTAAAAAGTCAGGGCCGGGTGCGGTGTCTCATACCTATAATCCCAGGACTTTGGGAGGCCGAGGCAGGTGGATCATGAGGTCTGGAGTTCAAGACCAGCCTGAACAAGATGGTGAAACCCTGTTTCTACTAAAAATACAAAAATGAGCTGGGCATGGTGGTGGGCGCCAGTAATCCCATCTACTTGGGAGGCTGAGGCAGGGAATTGCTTGAACCCAGTAGGTGGAGGTTGCAGTGAGCTGAGATCACCCCACAGCACTCCAGCCTGGGTGACAGAGTGAGATTCTGTCTCAAAAAAAAAAAAAAAGTCAGAACAACAGATGCTGGAGAGGATGTGGAGAAATAGGAATGCTTTTACACTGTTGGTGGGAGTGTAAATTAGTTCAACCGTTGTGGAAGACAGTGTGACGATTACTCAAGGATCTATAACCAGAACCAGGTCAAGGATTTGACCTGGCAATCCCATTACTGGGTATATACCCAAAGGATTATAAATCGTTCTACTATAAAGACACATGCACACGTATGTTTATTGCAGCACTGTTCACAATAGCAAAGACTTGGAACCAACCCAGTGCCCATCAATGATAGACTGGATAAAGAAAATGTGGCACATATACACCATGGAATTCTATGCAGCCATAAAAAGGATGAGTTCATGTCCTTTGCAGGGACATGGATGAAGCTGGAAACCATCATTCTCAGCAAACTAACACAGGAACAGAAAACCATACACTGCATGTTCTCACTCGTAAGTGGGAGTTGAACAGTGAGAACACACGGATACAGGGAAGGGAACATCAGACACCGGGGCCTGTCGGTGGGGTTGGGGGCTAGGGGAGGGATAGAATTAGGAGAACTACCTGATGTAGATGACGGGTTGATGGTGCAGCAAACCACTGTGGCACTTGTATACCTATGTAACAAACCTGCATGTTCTGGCCGGGCACAGTGGCTCACGCCTGTAATTTCAGCACTTTGGGAGGCTGAGTTGGGTGGATCATCTGAGGTCAGGAGTTTGAGACCAGACTGACCAAAATGGTGAAACCTGGTCTTTACTAAAAATACAAAAAATTAGCCAGACTTGGTGGCAGGTGCCTGTAATCCCAGCTACTTGGGAGCCTGAGGCAGGAGAATCCCTTGAACTGAGGTGGTGGACGTTGCAGTGAGCTGAGGTCGCGCCATTGCAGGCCAGCCTGGGCAACAAGAGTGAAACTCCATCTCAAAAAAAACAAAAACAAAACCAACCAAACAAACAAAAATCCCTGCACCTTCTGCACATGTATCCTATCCCAGAACTTAAAGTATATTTAAAAAAAAAAAAAAAAAAAGAACCTTTCTGTCTCCCTGTAGCAGAGGCACATAGCCCAACCACACATTAAGGCTCCTACACAGTGAGACTGCTCAGAAGGCCCACGGATGCTCTGATGTTGCTTCCTCCCTCATAGCAATGGGTACCAGGAATGCTTTGCTCTAATTCTGGGGGGTTACACAATTGGAGCAAACCACTCAACTTCCCATTGTCTGAATTTAACTTGTGAAATGAACAAGAAGCAACTTATCCACAGGAGTTTAAGGGAACTGATTAAGGTTTGTAAAGACCTTATTGGATGAAAGACAATAAAATTATGATCATAAATAATTTGACTACAGATTTCTACATTATCCTCCCAATGCATGGGACCCAAAGTACTTCATGTATGAGTCTATTTAAGCTGCACAGATTCCTGATGAGACAGAAAAAAGAATGATCTCTAAACTCACATTCTGCAATGGGAAACTGAGGCCTCAGATAAACTGAGTTTGCATTCTTGTTGCTTAACTCCCAGTGGAATGCATTTGTTATGAATTCATATTGCACTTTAGGTAAAATCAGGGAGAAAGCTTGATTTATGATCTAGATTTGTCTCCCGAGAGCACTGTTTGTATTTTGATTACTTAGTAATTTACATAAGAGGAAAAGAGTGCTGATGTACTTGCTCTACAATGTCATAGCATATGAATAATATGGAGAAAACAGACATTGAAAGAAAAAAGATGACACAGAATAATTCAACAAAACACTTCAGATATGACTGATACATTTCTGTCCAATTGAGACAGTAACACACATGCACAAAGCCTCTTTGGGGAGAGTCAGTGAAGACAAAAAGGTACAGATTATATCTTTATATATAATGAAAATTACTCTCCAAATGGCAGTTTAACTTATCTTGATGGAATATTACCAGTATTTTACAAAATGCCTATAAATTACTCAGCTGGCTTTCATCATACTGACCTATTTTAAATATTTCAGAAGTTATACTCTGCTTCTAATTGGACTTGATGCAACTGGTTAGAAAAGAATACATAGCTCACTTTGGGGAAATATAATAACTCTTCTGGGCAATTTGGGTGTCATTTAGTACATCGGATGGGGTAATTTTCTAAATGCTATCCTAGAATTAATGCATGTTTGAAAGAGAATAATTTGCCTCTTTCTTAGTGATAGGTTCAGGCTCATTCTTTACAATAAAATTCATTGGTTAATCTAATTATAGCAACAGTCACTTGAATTTTCATGTTTGATCAGTCCTGGTCCTGAACACAGAGGAGTAAGTCCTCCTCTGTGGGGACTTCAGGATCCCAATAGCTCTGGTCAGTGCCATTTACAAGGTTTGGATTTAAGATTCTGTTTAATCCCACTGCTTTCCTGAACAAGTCATGGAATTTTAGAGTGAATACAGCTGTTGTTGTATCTTTTGAGGAGGTTTATTTGAGTCCCCTCTACCTTTTCTTCTCTTCTACTCTATGGGATCTGGTGACTAGAATGTTTTAAAGCCTCAATATATATGACATCCCTGTCTAAGTTTGAATGAACAGAGGTTGCTTGAAAAACGTGTGTTGCATACATTCTTTGATTGCCTATCTGTGAGTCAAGGGAGAGGACATTGACTTGAGAAATGGGATTATGATCCAGAATTTTGGCTATCTTGGTATATGTTGTATGGGTCCTCGAAGAGGATGCGTATTCAGTTGTCAGTAAAATGTTCTACAAATGCCATTTAGATCCTGTCGGCTGATTGTGTTGTTGAGTTCTTCTGTATCTTTGATGGTTTTTATATCGTTGTTCTATCTACTTTTTTCTTTTTTTGACACGGAGTGTCACTGTGTTGCCCAGGCTGGAGTGCAGTGGCATGATCTCGTCTCACTGCGAGCTCCGCCTCCTGGGTTCACGCCATTCTCCTGCCTCAGCCTCCTGAGTAGCTGGGACTACAGGCGCCCGCCACCAAGCCTGGCTAATTTTTTGTATTTTTTTAAGTAGAGACGGGGTTTCACCGTGTTAGCCAGGATGGTCTCGATCTCCTAACCTCGTGATCCGCCTGCCTCGGCCTCCCAAAGTGCTGGGATTACAGGCATGAGCCATCGTGCCTGGTCCCTGTTCTATCCACTTTTGAGAGATGGTTGTTGTATTCTCTAACTATAAATGTAGATTTGTCTGTTTCTGCTTTTACTTCTGTCAACTTTAACTCAATTATTTTGCACCTCTGTGGTTTGGTTGCTTACACATTTAAGATTGCTATGTCTTCTTGGAGTATTGATCTATTTATCATTACATAATAATGTCTCTCTCTGTGTCTGATAATTTTCTTTGTTCCAAGGTCTACATTTCCTGATATTAATATAGCCACTTCTTTTTTCTTTTGATTAAATTTCACATACTATGTCTTTTTCTGTACTTTTATTTTCAACCTGCCTGTATCATTGTATTTGATATGAGTTTTTTTGTAGACAGCATATAGTTGGGTCTTATTTTTAATCTACTCTGCCAATCTGTGTCTTTTAGTTGGTGTATTTAGATAATTTACATTAAGTATAATATTCATATGTTGGGGTTTAAGTCTGAAATTTTATTTTTTGTTTCATTTCTCTTTTTTTTGTTTTTGTTTTCTTTTTCTGCATTCTTGTGGGTTACTTGAACTTTTTGAAAAAATTATATTCTGGTTTATCTTTAGTGTTTTTGAGTGTATTTCTTTATATTACTTTTTAAGTAGTTCTACAGGTGTTAATTTGCATTGACATAATTTATCTTGGATTACTACTGTCAGCATTTTACCAGTTTGAGTGATTCATGGAAACCTTAGCTCTCTTTATGTTTCTATACTCTCTTCCACTTATAATTGAAATGTTTTCTCTATATACATTGAGAATCACATCAGTGTTATAATTTTTGCTTTATTCATTAAACATAATTTAGAAAACCCAAAAGGAGAAAAAAAATCTGTTGTTTTAACCCATATTTTTGCTTACCATGTTTTCTTCTTTCCTGATGTTTCAAGGTTCCTTTTTTATTGTTTTCTTTCTGTTTAAAAACTTTTAAATATTCTGTTAAGACAGGCCTGCTTCCAACAAATTCTCTTAGTTTTTCTAATCTGAGAATTCTTTGATTTTTCCTTCACCCCGATGGATATTTTTGCTGGATATAAGATTAGGAATTGACATTTTTTTTTTTCAGCATTTGAAAAATGTTGTGTATTTCCTTTTGGTCTCTGTGATGAGATTTCTGCTGTCATTTGAAGTGTTTTACCCCTCTAAATAAAGTGTTATTTCTCTCTCACTGTTTTCAAAACTTCTCTTTGTTTTTAGTTTTCAGAAGCTTGACTACGATGTATGTCTTTGGATGTATCCTGTTTGCATTTAATACAGTTTCTTAAATACGTAGGTTTATATTCTTTGCCAAATTTGGGAAATTTTCATCCATTATTTCTTTGAATACTTTTTAGTCCATTCTCTTTCTCCTGTGATACAAATGTTAGATTTTTTTTTTTTTTTTTTTTTTTTTTTTAGTTTAAGAGTTCCTGGAGTCTCTGTTCCTTTATTTTGTTTTCCTATATTATCTCTATTGTTCAGATTTGATAATTTCTATTGTCTATCTTCAAGTTCACTGATTCTTTCCTCTATCCTCTTGATTCTGCTGTTGAGCAGTAGAACAGTTATTATCTGAAAGTTTTATTTTCTGTATTGCTGGGCTGTCTCTTTCCTGATCTTTTGGCTAGAGAAAGGTAGCAGGCTTTTCTTGGGGTGATTTTTTTTTTTTTTTTTGTCTGTGGGGAGCTGACATATTTGTCTGTGCCCATTGGCATTTCTGGGTTGCTAGCTTCTCAGTACCCAATCTGGGTATGTATGAGCAAGAAGAAAACTGAGGGAACTCACCACTGAGTAACATTCCTCAGGTATGAGGTCTCTATCTTGTCTACCTGCTTTTCTCCATCTTTCAGGTCTTCTCATGTTTGTTTTATGACATCCAGGATCTTTAGCTGTACTTAGGGGAAGGACTAGGGGAAAATATGTTTGCGCTGTCTTTCCTTGGATCATAGACTTTTCAAACTGGGAAGAACTTATTAGTCAACTTGGGCTACCATAACAAAATACCATAGGTTGGGTAGCTTAAATAACAGAAATTTATTTTCTCACAACTTTGGAGTCCAAGATCAGGATGACAACATGCTCATGTTCTGTTGAGGCCTCTCTTCTTGGCTTGCAGATGGCTGTTTTTTAGCTCTGTCTTCACATAGTGAAGAGAGAATGAGAACAAGCTCTCTGGGATCTCTTCTTATAAAGGCACCAATCTCATCATGAGGTTCCTTCTCTCATGGCCTCATCTAGTCCTAATTACCTGCTAAAGCCCTCATTTCCAAATACCATCATATTTGTGCTTAGGAATTCAGTATAAAAATTTGGGGGAAAAACAAACATTCAATTCATAACAGAACTTCAAAGATATTACAGATGGACATCTGAGGCCCACGGACATTCATTGAGCTCTTTCAACTACCCACTTAATACTTGGCAAAAAGTATTAATAGAATAAAGGCAGGGTGTCCTAATTTTTAGCCTGTTGTTATTCGTGTTGTACTATATTACATCATGACTAACTACTGAAAAATTATTTTTGAAACATGAGAGAGAACTACATCATGATAATTCTACCTCCATCCCCCCCAAAAAGAGCCTATCCAAAAACCTGAGACTTATTCCTAACACAATGTTCTTTGTTATAAGACTAGTTTTTCTTTTCTTTTTTTTTTTTTGAGACGGAGTCTTCCTCTGTCGCCCAGGCTAGAGTGCAGTGGCGCCATCTTGGCTCACTGCAACCTCTGCTGCCGGTTTCAAGTGATTCTCCTCCCTCAGCCTCCTGAGTAGCTGGGATTACAGGTGCCTGCCACTGTGCCCAGCTAATTTTTTTGTAGTTTTTGGGGTTTCACCATCTTGGCCGGGCTGGTCTTGAACTCCTGACCTCGTGATCCACCTGCCTCGGCCTCCCAAAGTGCTGGGATTACAGGTGTGAGCCACCGTGCCCAGCCTATAAGACTAGTTTTTCAAATATGAATCTGTTAATATAGAATGATAGAATTTTTTTTAGTTCGTGTGTGATTTTCCTCTCAACTTGTTAATATTTTGAAATGACCAGGGGCATACTGTTTCACAATTAAAGAGAAAATTGAGGCATTACATAAAAACCATAAGAAAAGAGTTTCAAGTCTTTTAACTGTGTCTTTTTTTTTTTTTTTAGTCTAGCTCTGTTGCCCAGGCTGGAGTGCAATGGTGTGATCTCGGCTCACAGCAACCTCCACCTCCTGAGTTCAAGTGATTCTCCTGCTTCAGCCTCCTGAGTAGCTAGGATTACAGGCATGCACCACCACACTCAGCTAATTTTTCTATTTTCAGTAGTGACGGGGTTTCTCTATGTTGGTCAGGCTAGTCTCGAACTCCTGACCTCAGGTGATCTACCCGCCTCGGCCTCCCAAAGTGCTGGGATTACAGGCGTGAGCCACGGCGCCTGGCCCGTAAATGTGTCTTCGAGTGCAAATAATAGCTAGTTTAGTGGCTTTAGGAACTGCTGTGTTTCCTAAAACATGAAGCTTTTTGGTAAAGCTGTGAGTGAGATGAAGAAGGTGTAAAGATATTACCTTCTGTGTTAAAATTGATTATTGAAAAAGGCTATACACTGGATTACATTTTTAATTTTGGTGCAATTGGTCTCTTAAGGACCCAGATCTCAAGGGCAAAGAGAAATTCCCAAGATCCAAGAGTGTGGATAACTATGATGTTGGGTGCAATGATGTTAAACTAGTATTAAGTCAGAAATGGTGAATAGTCTGAGATTTTACCCTACTTGTAAGCTAATAAGTTAGTTTGCCATACATAGGAGATATATCTATGTATCTCTATCTCTATCGCTATCTCTGTCTCTCTCTATCTCTATATCTCATAAGGCACTTGAGCCAGAGACACAAATGGTTTATTATTCATAGCATAGTAGTCAGAGTAGCATCTTGCATCAGTTCCCCACATTTTAATTTCCCACAGGGAGATGTGAATGAGGGCCAGATTCTGCCTGTGCATGCCTTGGGTTTTCATTATAGAAGACAAACCCTGAACTTAGGAGACTCTAGCTTTTATTAGGGTTGCTGGTGATCTGCCCATTCTTCCCTCTGGAGAGCTATTCCTCATAACCCTGGAACTAAGGAACTATCCTCTGGGAAGGAAGCAAACCTTTACTATTCTGGAATGCCTTTGGAGAAGGAGATGTTCTCTGTTTTAGGGTTGCTATTCAATTATCCTTGAACAAAACTTGTCAGTGCCCCTTGCTCAGAAAGTCTGGACGATGTAGAAAGTGAGGAATCCAGGGAGAATTGTCTCCCAATAAATGCCAGTGGATATTTAACTGTGCTAGTATTTTTATTTGGATTGGGATTGTTGGTGTAAATGCTCTGGTTACAAAGTTGTGCAGGTTTTGAGTGATCTGTTCCAACTTTATTTTTTCCCATAAAGTCTCTAATTTTTGAAGCATAATTTTGCAGAAAATAAAGTTTATCAGAAAAACGTACTTACATTATAGCAGCAATGTCTATTACCTCCAAATCTGGAAAGAAACCAAATAAGCAGATTTATCTTTTCCCTCCTCTGACTCGAGGTATTAGAATGAGGATGAAATACAAGGAAGGGAATGGCCCAGGGGTTCACATGCATTGGAGAGACACTGTAAGACCTGAGGATGCCCATTCATGCAGAGGCAGATTTACAGTAAAGATAAAAAACTTAAGCTTCAGAGACTCTGACTTGCCCAGGCCCTTTCTAATGCTGTGAGAGGGGCCTTAGCACAGTGTTTTCACATCATCGTGTGTTTTTGTAAAATTTGCGAAAGGAAACTATTTTAACTTCAATCAGTTAAGAGAGCTGCTTTTTCCATTATAGCTTTCCCTTGTGCTGGCAATAGAGCGGCCAACAGCAGTTTTTGGGAACTAGCTAAGGGAATGTTGAGCTGCGGATATAGTTAGAGTGGATTTAGTAGGATATATTGAAGTGGCTCACAATTTCATCCATGAATATTGAAATTGTTATTAGCCCTCCTGGTGTAGAAATTGCCTCCAGGAACACTACTTTCTGCTGTGTAAGCTCAACTGGAGTCATTTTAAGCAACTGCAGAGCCAGAGGCTGTATAATGATACGAAAGTGTCCTGTTGTACCTGGCAGTGGAAATTTGTGGGTGCTAGAGGAGAAACAAGGTTTGAAAAGTTTGGAACCAGAAGTTAGAACATGGAAAAAGATTCAAATATGATAGTTTACATATGAAAGAAAAATGACAGAGAACCCCAAATTTGATAATTCCCAAAGCTTATATGACCACACCAAGAAAACATTGTGATGATTAAAGAAATTTGGCTGGGTGCGGTGGCTCACGCCTGTAATCCCAGCACTTCGGGAGGCCGAGGCAGGCAGATCACAAGGTCAGGAGTTCAAGACCAACCTGGCCAAGATGGTGAAACCCTGTTGTGCTAAAAATACAAAAATTAGCTGGGTGTGGTGGTGTGCGCAGGTAGTCCCAGCTACTTGGGAGGCTGAGGCAGAAGAATTGCTTGAACCTGGGAGGTGGAAATTGCAGTGACCCAAGATCGCACCACTGCACTCCAACCCGGGTGACAGAGTGATCTCAAAAAAAAGAAATTCTCAGCAATAAAACTAATAACAATGTAAGCATATTTTGGTAAATATGCCAGTAGACACTAAATTATCTCTAGTCTCCCCACTAAAAATGATTTTACAAAAATTGTCATGTTAAGGAGTAAATGAAAGATTGTGTCCATAAATATAGAAAAAAAGTATTATAGAAATGTGTAGGCAGTTAGCTAACTATTCTTCCGGAATAGTTTTGTGGGTTTTGCTAGTCTTTTAATACTCATAATGTTTTGGTTTCTTTTTTCATTCTGAATAAAAATGTATGTAGAATTTGGACCATAACTTGTGTTCTTTTTCTTACAGAAAACCCATCAAATTGTATAAATTGTAGGTCTCATAAAATCCAGATCTATTCCTTTTTTTTTTTTTTCTTTTTGAGACAAAGTCTCACTTTGTTGCCCAGGCTGGAGTGCAATGGCACGATCTCGGCTCACTGCAAACTCTGCCTCCTGGGTTCAAGCAATTCTCCTGCCTCAGCCTCCCGAGAGCTGGGATTACAGGTGCGTGCCACGATGCCTGGCTAATTTTTTTTTTTTTTTTTATTTTTAGTAGAGACGGGGTTTCACCACGTTGGCCAGGCTGGTCTCAAACTCCTGAACCTCAAGTGATCCACCTGCCTCGGCCTCCCAAAGTGCTGGGATTACAGATGTGAGCCACCACCTTCACTACCTTTCCCACATGGATGGAGCAAATACTCTCAGAAGAAGAATGGAGCCCATGTGTTCTTCCAGAGCCCGTACATAGCATCAGCTGACCTCCTTCTTTTCTTATACTCACTCCATCCTGCTGTAACTCAGTCTATGACTGAACATGAGATGTCCAACTCTCTAATTGTAGCTGAGAAGAGAAAACAAACAGGTATTAGGCACAGTTATAAAAGGGAGGTAACCCCACTATATCAGAGAAAAATTATTGGGATAGAGCAGCTCAGATTGAGCATAGTATCATGAGAAGAAATGGCAACACAAAGATGGAAACATACTCTAGCTGCAATAAACACAAGTATGAACAAAAATAAAAAGTAACAGTAATCCAGTCTGGGAGGCACCATGACAATGACCCAGAACAAAAGAAAATTCCTCACAAGAGCTCTGCGTTATTTAGCAACTTCATAAAGGTGACAATCACATGGTGTCTCAGGGAAGAGATGACAGATAGTAATGAGGATGCTGCAGAGTAAATAAGACAAATTAAGGATCAGACCAACACATGACAGAACCAACATGGTGATTTGAAAATCAGGGAACAGATAGCATAGGTGAAAATAAACATGCTAATATACAGAAAAGGCTTTAGATAATGAATGCAGGTGAAAAATATGATATTGAAGTAATTGAATATAAAGTAACAGACATGGTGAATAGACAAAGACAATCCAATGTAAAGATAACTGATGACCCTGAAATACATAATCCAACAGATGGAATTGAAAAAGCATTCAGAGATTTATATAATAGAAGAAAATTCCCTGAAACAAAGAAAGAAGTGAATAAGTATACTGGAAAAGGCTACTGCATCTTAGGTGAAAGTAAAAAGCAGTTGACATCAAGCCATATGCTGATTAGGTGTAATTTGAGGGATAAAGAGAGACTTCTTGGCCAGGCACGGTGGCTCACGCCTGTAATCCCAGCACTTTGGGAGGCCAAGGCGGGTGGATCACGAGGTCAGTAGATCGAGACCATCCTGGCTAACACGGTGAAACCCCGTCTCTACTAAAAATACAAAAAAAATTTAGCCGGGCGTGGTGGCGGGCGCCTGTGGTCCCAGCTACTCAGGAGGCTGAGGCAGGAGAATGGCGTGAACCCGGGAGGCAGAGCTTGCAGTGAGCCGAGATGGCACCACTGCATCCAGCCTGGGGGACAGAGCTAGACTCCATCTCAAAAAATAAAAATAAAAATAAAAATAAAAGACTTCTTTAGGCCTGGAGGCAGAAAAAAGAGCTTCACATACAAAGAAAAACGTAACATGTTGCCCTCAAGGTTTTTCAGTGTAACACTAAGTAACACATTGGAAACAAAATGATTTCATATTATAATTTTCAGGTGAGTTGTTGTTCAAGTATAAAGGAAACATGCATTCTCAATATTGTACCAAATACTTCAGGCAATGAAGCACTCATGAACCCTTTTCCAAAAACAACAAAACAAAATTTAATGAAATTAGAGAAATAGAACAAAATCAACCCCCCCTCTGGTAGGAAGAATACTATCCATCCCTTCCCCTCTGTAAAGATATCCACATTCTAATCCTCAGAACCAGTGAATATATTACCTTATATGGCAGGGGAGACTTTGCAGACACAATTAAGGATCTTGAGATGGGGAGACTACTATGGATTATCCTGGTGATCCCAGTGTAGTTACAAGGGTCCTTATCAGCAAAAGTAGGAGACAGGAGGGTCAGAATCAGAGAGATACTTGAAGATACTACACTGCTGGCTTTGAGGATGGAGGAAGGGGCCATGAGCAAAGGAATGCAGGCAGCCTGTAGGGGTGATGCTGGGCAGGTGAGCCCCAAAGTGGAACTTAGCCTACAAGGCTTCTTGGCCTTGCTCGGGAAAGAATTGAAGGGCAAGCCAGAAATAGAAGAAAACAACTTTAGTTAAGAGGCAGTGTTACAGCTCTATCACTGCTCCTGCAGAGCAGGGCTGCCCCATAGGCAGAGAGTAGCAGCTCAGGGAGTTCTGCAGCCATATTTATACCCACTTTTAATTGCATGTGGATTAAGGAGTGGTTTGTGCAGAACTTTCTAGGGAAGGGGTAGTAACTTTTGGGCCACTGGGTCATTGCTATGGAAAGGGGCAGTAACTTTGAGTGCTGCCATGGCAACACTAAATTGACATGGCACACTTGTGGATGTGTACGATTGGAAAGCCTCTGCCCCGACCCTGTTTTAGCTAGTCCTCAATCTGGTCTGGTGTCGGAGTCCACCTCCTATCTCAGAAGCTGGAAAAGGCAAGGAAATGGATTCTCTTCCAGAGCCCCCTGAAGGAATGTAGCCCTGCCAACAACTTGATTTTAGCCCAGTAAAATCTATTTTGCAATTACGACATACAGAACCATAAGATAATAAATTTGTGTTGTTTTAAGGACTAAGTTTGGGGTAATTTGTTATAGTAGCAATAGGAAACTAATATGCCACCAAGCCAACCAACCAAAGAAAAACAAAAGAAGAAATCGCCAAGAATTCAGGAATAGGGACACCCTGGTAAAAGGCATTGTCAGGGAACATTGAATGCTTTTAAATATTGAACTCAGACAAATTAACTCTAGGAATTATCATTTCAGTGTACACAATAATGATATAGTCTGTTGATATATTAGTTGAGATATTAGTCAAGGTGCAGTTAGGATTCTATAAAAAGAAACCTAAAAATAAATTGGCACGAATGAAGTAGAAATATATTTCATTCCTATATCACAGTCTGCATAGACAATCCAGGACTGGTTTGGATATCAAGGGCACTGGGGACCCGGACGTCTATGACTTTGCTGTCCTGCCATCATCAGCATATGGCTTTCATCTTATGTACCCACATGGATGCTTTAGCTGTCACTGTTGTGTCTGTGTCTTAGCCTGGAGAAAGGTGGGAAGGGGACAGAGGCAAGGGTACGGTTCTTCTCTTTGAAGGCACAATCCAGAAATTGCATCCATTCCTTCTCCAACATTTCCTTGCCCAGATTTGGTCAGATGGCTACACCGAACTACAAAGGAGGCAGGGAAATGTAATCTTTATCAGGGGAGTCTTATGCTCAGCCAAAACTTGTATTATAACTGAAAAAAGGAGAAAACAGAGATTGACGAAGACCAAGCAGTTTCTGCCATACTTGATAATGTAAAAATAATGATACAACCTGAGTCAAAGGGTGGGGAGGGTGGGGGAAGCTGATGTGATCTGCTTCCTTCCTCACGTTTTTCTAGCAGGTACCCAGTGCACTGGAAGCATCTTAAGTTGAAATGTAATTAAAATAATTTCAACTTACAGCTTTTCATGATCACCTTTTGACCTAAGAGTGATTTTTTTTTTTTTTTTGGGTTTTGGCAAGTAATTTTTTTTTTCTTTTTTTTTTTTTTTAATTGATCATTCTTGGGTGTTTCTCGCAGAGGGGGATTTGGCAGGGTCATAGGACAATAGTGGAGGGAAGGTCAGCAGATAAACAAGTGAACAAAGGTCTCTGGTTTTCCTAGGAAGAGGACCCTGCGGCCTTCCGCAGTGTTTGTGTCCCTGGGTACTTGAGATTAGGGAGTGGTGATGACTCTTAATGAGCATGCTGCCTTCAAGCATCTGTTTAACAAAGCACATCTTGCACCGCCCTTAATCCATTTAACCCTGAGTGGACACAGCACATGTTTCAGAGAGCACCGGGTTGGGGGCAAGGTCACAGATCAACAGCATCCCAAGGCAGAAGAATTTTTCTTAGTACAGAACAAAATGGAGTCGCCTATGTCTACTTCCTTCCACACAGACACAGCAACAATCTGATTTCTCTATCTTTTCCCCACATTTCCCCCTTTTCTATTTGACAAAACCGCCATCGTCATCGTGGCCCGTTCTCAATGAGCTGTTGGGTACACCTCCCAGACGGGGTGGCGGCCGGGCAGAGGGGCTCCTCACTTCCCAGACGGGGCGGCTCCCAGGCGGAGGGGCTCTTCACTTCCCAGACGGGGCGGCTGCGGGCGGAGGGGCTCCTCACTTCTCAGACGGGGCGGCCGGGCGGAGACGCTCCTCACCTCCCAGATGGGTTCGCGGCGGGGCAGAGGCGCTCCTCACATCCCAGATGGGGCGGCGGGGCAGAGGCGCTCCCCACATCTCAGACGATGGGTGGCCGGGCAGAGACGCTCCTCACTTCCTAGACGGGGTGGTGGCCGGGAAGAGGCGCTCCTCACTTCCCAGACTGGGCAGCCGGGCAGAGGGGCTCCTCACATCCCAGACGATTGGTGGCCAGGCAGAGACGCTCCACACTTCCCAGACAGGGTGGCGGCCGGGCAGAGGCTGCAATCTCGGGACTTTGGGAGGCCAAGGCAGGCGGCTGGGAGGTGGAGGTTGTAGCGAGCCGAGATCACGCCACTGCACTCCAGCCTGGGCAGCACTGAGCACTGAGTGAACGAGACTCCGTCTGCAATACCGGCACCCCGGGAGGCCAAGGCTGGCAGACCACTCGCGGCTAGGAGCTGGAGACCAGCCCGGCCAACACAGCGAAACCCCGTCTCCACCAAAAGAACACGAAAACCAGTCAGGTGTGGCGGAGCGCGCCTGCAATCAATCGCAGGCACTCGGCAGGCTGAGGCAGGAGAATCAGGCAGGGAGGTTGCAGTGAGCGGAGATGGCAGCAGTACAGTCCAGCTTCGGCTTGGCATCGGAGGGAGACCCTGGGGAGAGGGAGAGGGGGAGGGGGAGGGGGAGGGAGAGGTAAGAGTGATCTTTTAGGAAATACTTACAGTGGAGAAATATTCCTTTAATATTCAGGAATCACTTCAATTTTGCTTCAGTTTTTTTGTAGTTAAATAAAATTAAAGAATTTTTAAAGTTAAAATAGCATTTATGTAATGATTTAATTTTAATGAAAGTTGATCTACCTTTCTGAATATATGAATAGACAGTCAACTAGAATAATATTCACATAATGTTGATTCTGGCTATTTTTGGGAAGTAAGATTTTAGATAACTTTTTTCTTTGTTAGACTTTTCTATGTCAGTTTAATTTTTATAATGAGCACACATCATTTTTAACAAAATGATAAAGGCTTTGTTCTTAACAAAGCTACAGTCATTACTAATGTGAGGAGGCAGAGATTTTTAAAAAATATTATAAATATTATGGAATATCTTTAATTAATGCAATAGCTTGAATTTCTAAAACAAATCTCTTTAGCAACTCTTTTTAATGTATTAATTATGTTTGCTATTTTACATATCTCCTTTCTGTTTTCCTGTCATGATTAGCAGTATTCAAGAGTGAATATTTTTAGATAGCAAAATTAAGGAGGTGTTTTCACTCCAAGTTCTTGCGTAGGCCAGGATCTCCAAGAAGCAGAGGAGGTGGTGACAGCTTTGAAGAGAAAAAGATGCAGATTGCTTTCCAGATTATGGAAAGAAAGAGACAAACCTGTGGGTTATCTGTCTGGGATTGATAAAAGAATGTACCAGACGTATCAAAATGCTATCCCCTCAGAGCCGCACACAGCCTAGAACCTGTACTGCCCTAAAATGGTGTTTTCTAGCATACAACATATCTTCCTGGCCATAGCTTATTGGATTAGGAGTGGGCACTTTTATCTAGGGTAGCCAGTATTTCATCTGGTTGGTGACCACCTATATGGCTTGGCTTAATGATATGATGCATAAACCTCTGGGGCATGCTCCTGTCCCTGATTGGGCTCCAGGGAAGCTGACTCTGCGAGGGAGATCAGTGTATAGGAAGTTTATCAGGAGTGCTGTTGAGATCAACATCTATGCAAGAAGAGAGGAGGGAAAGGGAGGGGAAGAGAGTAGCAGGAAGGGATAGGAGCAGGAGTGGGCAGAGGGAGAAATTGAATGGTGATGTAGTCTCAATTCAGGGCTGAGCAGATACCACAGCAGGTCCTACAGCTGAGATGACCCTTCAGAGGTGTCCTGAGTTGGGACAACAGGACTGGGCCTTTATCCTCTTTCTCAGTCAGTTCCAGCTGCCCTGGAGGGGGACATGACCTTGGATGAGGCAGCTCTCTTCAGCTGAAGCAACCTCTCTGTAGGGGGCTGACAGCTGGGGGCTATCTGCAAGCAGCACTCCCAGGGGCTAGGGCAGAAATCTCTTCATTTCTGAAAGGGATCTGGGTGGCACAGCTCAGTGCCCGCTGCAGCTCTTTTCATCTTTTGGCTGTAGTTTGAATCTCTGTTTTGGGATTTAAAGTAGGTAACAAAGTGTGCATTATCATTGTCCTTGGGAGAGAGTAAAAGTCACTGTGAAGAAGGGGCCATCGAGGCCATTATGAGGCACACAGAGTTAATGTCATGAAACAGAAACTGTGAGTACACAAGGAAGCTGCTTGAAGCAGGAAGCTGGTGTGACGCACAAGAGAGCAGAGGTGTGTCACCAAGCACTCCAATGACATAGCTGGAATTAGGGTGTATGAGATCTTGTGGCTGAGCCCTTAGAGACACTTCGAGCTCCAGTGTGTCTTTTTATTTTATATAGATGACATTTTCTTTGTGGTTCTACATATATTCTTTCTTTAGATGGTAGCTTAAATATCTGAAATTCTGTGGTGACTTACGTGTACATAATCCCATGCGTGAATACAAGGAACTCAGAGAAGATCAAGATACACAGACCATACTGTTTTTTGGGCCATTTATCTATGTCTCTGTTGTTGTAATAACATGGCCCCAGGCAATGCAGGATGATAAAAAGTTTAGGTCTGTATTCAATGGCCTTTTATCACATTGATCCAACTCCATTTCTATGTTCTTGCTCTGTGGCACTCATTCCTAAATTGTGCATATGTTTACGTTGTATGCTGGAACAAAAAATTCCTACAACAGATATTTAGTTAATAAATATCCTGAGAGTATTTAGTTAAATAAATGAGATGGAGCACTATTTGTTATTGACCTTCATAATACTATGAAGAATATAAGCATTATTCTGTATCTATTACATGCCAAATACTAAGCAAAGGCCTTTACATACGTTATTTCAATGAACACGTGAACACCATTATGGTAGAGAAGTTTTTTTTTTTTTTTTTTAAATCCCCTTTTTACAAATGAGGAAAGTGAAGCTTAGGCAATTTAAGCGTCTCACTAAAGGTTACAAGGTTAGTAATTGGTAGAACCAGCACTTCAACTAGGCAGCTTAACTCAAGACTGTGTGCTTAACTATTCACTCCTCCGCATCGTAGATCTAAAGGATTGTAATCCTTATGTCAGCAGTGCTGGGCTTTTGATGGGGTCATGGGTGGTGGTCTGGCAAGCTCTGTTCTCCTCATCCAGGGGCTGTTCTGTCTGAAATTCAACGCTTTGAAGTTTCCTCTTCATGCTCTTCTCTCAGCTGTCCTCTTTTAAGGGGCAGAAATTTTACAGGACACCAGACGGCTGAATTAATTCTCACCAAGATGTTATTGTATTTTTGAAACAATTTAATCCTATAAAACCACCCTCAGATATTGGATGTCTGGGAGTCTAGGGCACACTGAAGAGAGGTGACAAAGTTGAAGGGCACTGGAGACAGATTCACCTTGGAGGCATTTTCCCTACCATTGACTCTATTTAAAGAAAAGCTTGTGCATAGTCCATCTTTTTGAGAACACAGAAGATAAATCCAGGTGAATTTTAAAAGTTGGATGCATTCCAAATAAGGTTTATTTTACTTATTTTGTAAATCAACGTTTTATAATTGGTAAAATATGCTCACATACAATTTTGGGAGAATGGTGGTGGTTCTGAGCTGTACTTCAACTCCTTCCTGTCAGTGTTCTTTTGTTGCTGAAACAAGACCCTTCAGGTGGTGGCAGCAGTGTAGTTTGTTACTTTAAATGCTAAGGCCTGTGCTAGGCAGTTGCCTAGCAACCCTTGTCTCTTTTGTATTCCTTTGTAAGGAGGGTTTTTTTTTTGTATTGTACAATGCAAAATTTTGTATTTGTATTTATTGACGATTTAAAATGAGATTCTTATGTGTGTGTTAGAATACAACAAATTCTATATGAGCCCATCAAACCCCCTGAGTAATAATTATGAGACAGCCAAGCCTTATTTGGTGAAACTACAAACACTAACAGGCCCACAATTATTTCAGAATCCTGCTGGAAAGCATAAAGGTCCCAAAGAGTGAGCGGCATCTAATGGAACTGCGTGTTTCTTATGAAATGTTGCTTTTTAAATACATAGACTATTAGTGTTTTCATGGGCTACATGTACTTTTATTGAAGATATTATCCAAAGTTGCTTAGTACTCCAAGCTACAGCAATAAAAAAGATACAAAACAATATAAAACGTGTAGAATATCTTTCATTATTTTTTCCCAGAACTTATGAACACAGTGACTTGCTATTTGTTATGTTGTTAACTCCGAATGAGGAAACCCTTAGGTTTTTATGTGATTTAAATTCTAATTTTCATTTTTTAAATTGGCTTTCCTTGGTTCTCAAGGGTTCCACAGGTTGATATCTAGAAGGCTTGAGAACTGATCTTCCGTAAGTATTCATGTCGGAAGCCATGATCTTTTTAAAGCCTGGGAAAACTAGATTCTGATCTGCGGAGATAATCTTATGGCAAATATTTAGCTGCCCCAAACATAGAAGCTAAGTTTTTGTAAACAGTGAAACCTAAATATAGAGTTGAAACAGAGTTTAAGGTCTTCACCAGAACAAAAGATTCCCAATTAAGTAAAGTCAGGATCAAATAGAAGAATATTTTTAGAAGTTAATGTGATCCTCTCAGTAACATGGAGCTAGTATTAAACAGTGCTCAGAAACGTTCACATTCTCTTATGTTTGACAGGTTGTTGGTATATGATACGACTGGTTATAGAAACAGCCATGTTAAGCACATTCTCTAACTGGTCTACCCAAATGTTCTGGGGCGGAAGCAAGAAACAATGGATCATTCATTTGCCAGTGGCTCATTTGGAACAACCTCTCATCTGCAATATGAGAATTTTATTTACTATACATTCTAAAAATAAGATAGGACTTGAATAAAGCAGTGGAGGGAAGACCTCTTTGTCAGTACTGCCCCAGAGCTTGCCCAGTAGGGGCTATTTTGCTAGGGGTCAGCCACGTGGAGATTCAAGAAGGTCCCAGGTGACAAGAAAAAGGAAGCTAAATTAACCGATGTTCAGAAAAGACCTAAGGTTGATGTTTATTCCATTATGCTCTAACCCAGTGACCAACACCTCCATGATTTTGGCAAACTGAGTTTGTGTGTATGTGTGCACGTGTAGTGACCTCTTGCTTTTCATTCATTTCCTGTTTGCAGTTTTTATAACTTTTAAATGTTTTTTCTCCCTTCATCCTACTGTAGATAATCATCCTGAATAAGTTTTGCAGATAGGAAAATGTGTGTGTGTGTATGGGCATGACTGAGGAAAGACAAGAACATGAGGTTAGTAGGTGATTCGTAGCAGTGTCTATCCATTCATCCTTTTGAGTTGACTTATGGACGTAGCATGTCTTTGAAAAATTATATTCATAGGCGGTATGGGTGAGGAAAGATTCTGAATTTGAGAATTATCTGATTTTTATTCCTTCATACTTTAGGAGGGAGAGACATGGAATGAGGCAGCTCTCTTCTTGGAGTCAGTTACGCTTAAATATCTAAATCTTTTGGATAGGGAGAACTACTTGACTTACTAGATGCAATGCCCTATTATAAGAGCCATGGATAAATAAGTGTGACATTGGAATCAAGTTCCCTTTCTTCTGTTCTTGAACAGAAAAAAAAAAAATAAGAGACACTTGAAGTCTTCCCAGTCAAACATGCGTCAACATTAGTTCCTGAATTTCATGAGCTCGTTGGCTGTTGCTTGACTCACAGGTGGACCTCAGCCCACTTTTAAAGCTTTCTACTTTTTATGTATTTCTTAGAGTTCTCAGAAGAAGTCTTCTGTGTTCTCACAGATCAGACCTTTTGCTCCTTTCTGCTCCTGGGCTAGTCCATGTCACGCCGTTGCTTCCAAGATGACTTGCTTGGTTATAATTTTTCATCTTTCCCTTGCGGTACTATATCTATTGCGCCATGTGAGGAGACGTTGCTGCTTTGCTCTGGGACTCTGTTTATCTAGGCTGATGGTCTCCTGGGGCCAGTGTGCTGCTTGGAAATCCCTTCCTCTGGTGTAGATTCCCTAGGATGGTCTAGTCGCAAATTCTCTTGGTCCTCGTACTGCTGCAACATTGTATCAGTCTGCTCAGAACAGAAGGGTTGCAGTAGACAACTGGTTTTGCTCATCCAATTCTCATTTTCTTCATCTCATTTTTTTTTTTTTTCCTGTGGGGAGCTATGCCTCCCTCTTCCATGTGGTCTAGTGGGATTGTCAATAGCAGTGTCTTACATACATGGCCTGTGGGTGTCCTCATGCCCCAAACTAGGACTAGCTGACTTCTCTAGGAAATCTGTACCTTGACGGGAGGGACACATTATTAGAAGGAAGTTGTTATTCCAATGGAATTGCCTTAAAAAGATAGTCTATGTGTTTTTGACAGTGATCCCTTGGGCTATGCTGATTTCTGTCCTTCCTGGGTTTACATGGATTATGGCTGAAATATCCAGAGTCAGTTTGGATTGCTTAAAACCAAGGAACTGTTGCTGATGCTGAAGAGGAATGGTTACTTCCCTGATCACTTAGGGTTAGTTGTAACAGATTGCTCAGTTTTTAAAGAGTTAGAAGATTTAATGAGATGCTCTTTTTGGTTATAATGATAACTTCTGTCTTTCCAGAGGATCTGCTGGTTTCCGAGGTGACTGGGGTGGAATGGGTTCAGGGGATACCCCTCCAAGCCCAGGCCCTGTTACTAAGGCTCTCTTGTAACGTGATTCTCCACTGAGGGCACAAGGTCCAGTGGGGCAAATAATTGCCTGGAGATACAAGTAATTTGAGAAAGTGTATTGAATATTATATAGTTACGTGAGTTACAAGTTGGAAAAATTTGACATATACAACCATGTGGTAAGCATATACCATGCTTCCACCACAACTTCTCTCTTATTCAACTCCATTTTACAAATTCAAAACATTATAGGATCTGAAGATATAAATGTATTCTATATGTTAACTGTTCTTGAAGCACTCACCATTCAGCAGCAGAAAGAACCAGCTTAAACAACTCACTTTAATAAAAGTGCATGATTAGAGGCAAGTGCAAAATGTCCTGGGAGCTCAGGGAATATTAATTCTTCCTGTGTTTGGTTCGTGAAGGAAGACTTCTTGGAGGAGGTGACTTCTGGATTGGAATTTGAAGATCAATAGGAATCTACTGGGCTAAAGCTCTCCTTGCCCTGCTCAGAGTCTGACACCCTATGCCAAACAGTGTGGACTCCTATCACTAGTGTGAAGGGTAGTTGGGCATTCTGCTTGGTGTCACCTAATGACTTTTACACTGAATAGTCCAAGAAGGGAATGAAGGGATGTGATCCAAAAGTAGGGAAGGGGATGGAAGGGAAATGAAGGGAGGGAAAAGCAGGAGAAGGGTGGGGATTAGAGAGGAAAATGAAGGGAGTGAAGAGGAGTGGAGGAGAGGAGAAGAAGGAAATGAGAAGAGGGAAATTGTGTTTTAGCTTTTCAGTTCTTTCATTTTTAGCTGGTGCTTATTATTCCATTGCACGAAAAGCCCACAGTTTATCCATTCTTCTAATGAGGAAAAGTTAGCTTATTTCTGTATTGCTCTTAAACATGTGGATCAGCTTTTAATGTACATGCAGTTATGAGAACACTGGAAGATAACTAGCATTAAACTTTAGTTAACTGTGGTCTCCTTTGCATATTTTCCATGTGTGAATCTACCACATTTTTTCTCTTGCTTGGGAACAGCCTTGAATTTTAAAACAAATTCATTAGGTTATTTAATCTTATAGATCTATATTTGAACATTCTTTGGATATCTCCTCATGTTAGACTGGATGCATTAGATAAACCTGGATTTAAAAAAAAATGATATTGGATGTATACTTTAACAATTAAAATAAAAACTTCTACACTCTAAGTTTAGATTTTGCTTGCAGTTCTAATTCTTATTGGAACTTGTGTACTTCATTTAAAACTACATGAGACTCCTGGGAAAAGTATTTTTAAGGCATGGCTCAGAGAGGTGGATGAAGGCTGAGAGTGAAATAGCTAAAATTAAACATTCCTGGGGAGGTTTTTAAATGTCGTATAGAAATTTCTTCACTTTTAATGGACATATTTTTCAAAAATAGGATATTTTGAAGGATGCTAAACTTTTATGTAAAAGTATATGTTTCATTAAAAGGATATTATCTTATTTTGAAATTAAGCTAGGTCTTCCCCAGTTTCAGCAAAGCCTTTAGGGCTCTGTGTATTTCTTTGTTCACTCTTTTCCTTACTCATCTCTCTCTCCTTCATTCACTCAGCAAATATTTGTTGATCACCTACTATGTACAAAGCACTGTTCTAGTTGCTGGGGTTATAGCACTAAACAAAAGAAACAAAAATCGTTGCTCTCAGGAACTTATGTGCTACTGGGAGAGAGAGAGAATAAGCAAGAAAACAGCTGTATATGTTTAAGTAAGATGTATACATTAGATTGTGATAAGTGTAATGGAGTAAAGCAAGGAAGGGGAATAGGCAGTGTTGGGGTGTGATGGGACAACCTTAGATAAGGTAGTGACATCTGCAATGAGATGGTAACGTGGGAAGGAAATTCTGGGCCAAGGTAGCAAGCGCAAAGGAATGTGAGATGCAAATGTCCCTGACAGGTTTAAGGAAGAGCAAGGAGGTGAGTGTGGCTCACAGAGGAATGGAAGGAAGGGTAGGAGGAGACAAGTCACAGTGTTAATGGGGATGGAAGTGCAGGGCATATAGGGCCTTGTAGATCACAATAGTGACATTGCAGTTTGCATTGAGTGAGACAGAAAGGGAAAGCCATCATCCTGACTTCTTGTACTTGATCTTTCTCACTTCTAATGATCTATGGTTCGAATGCATGTATACCTCCAAAATTCATATGTTGGAACTTAAACCTCAAGGTAATGGTACTAAGTGAGACCTTTGAGAGGTGATTAGGCCATAAAAGATGACGCATTTCGTAAAATGTCTTTTAGTATCTCACAGGAAGACTATGTGATTTATCTCCTTCATGCTTACTGTGATGAATCTATTAATACGTATTGACTATTTTGTCATTCTTGGAATGAAGCTATTTTGTTGTAGCATGTAATTCTTTCACTATACTCTCTAACCTTCTTAGTTTATATTTTAATTGGTTTTTCTAATATTTATAAATGAAATTTGCATGTTTTTTTGGTGCATTCCTTTTCAGGTTTTGATATATGATATGCCGGCTTTTAAAAATTAAGTGTTGTTTCTTCCTTTCTCCATTTTCTTTGATAATATATTGTTTTTATAAAAATGATTACTATTTCTTATAAGTAATTCAAGTTTGAAAGAAAAACAAGGCTGGGTGTGGTGGCTCATGCCTGTAATCCCAGCACTCTGGGAGGCCGAGGTGGGCGGATCACGAGGTCAGGAGATAGAGACCATCCTGCCTAACATGGTGAAACCCTGTCTCTACTAAAAATACAAAAAATTAGCCAGGCATGGTGGTGGGAGCCTGTAGTCCCCACTACTCGGGAGGCTGAGGCAGGAGAATAGCGTGAACCTGGAAGGCAGAGCTTGCAGTGAGCCCATATTGCGCCACTGCACTCCAGCCTGGGTGACAGAGTGAGACTCTGTCTCAAAAAAAAAAAGAAAGAAAAACAAAAGAGAAACATTCTAAATTCTATCATTCATTCAAAAATAACTGTCATTAACATTAGATGGACCTACCAGATATTTTTTGATGTGTATGTATTGTTTTTCTGTATGTGTGTGTATTGTTTTTCTGTGTGTGTATAAAAAACTGTTCCTGGAACATAGTAAGTGCTCAAGTAATGATATTTGTTGATTGAACAAGTAGAACATTAGATGGAATGAATTTTGCAAACATGGAGTCAAACTAAATTCTATTTTTATTTTTAAATTGTATTAATATATATTTTAAATAAAAAGTAACAAAATTAATTTTACAAAAACGAAAATAAATAACTGAAATAACTGAAACTGTAGGCAATTTAGAAATTTAGGTGAAGTTTTGTTTTTGTAAAGTATTAATTTCTAAAAGAGCCCTATATTGTTCAAGAAAAACAATGGCATGATGAAAGGAAGGTTTGATTTATTACATTTACTTTTACTTACTTTTTACTCAATTTATAGATGAAATTGATTGATAACATTTAAATATGCTTTTTATCTCATTTTCTATTAGCTTTATGTTATTTTACATTATATTTATTTTGCTTAATTTCTATTCTTTACTCATTTTCCAGTTTGCTTTAGCTGTATTACCATAATTTAATACTTTCAATACTTACCAGTCGTCCTTTTAACCAGCCTTCTTTATTCATCTCAGTTGCCTTGCTTGCACTGTTCAGGAGAATTTGCAAGAAAGTCTTGTGGGTGCTGAACTCCCTGAGTTCTTTCATGTTGAGAACATTATAATTATTCAACCTCTTCCTGGATAGGTTCTTGATTTTCACATTCCCTCAGAACTTTGCATATATTGTTAATATCTTCTGGTAGTGAATATTTCTGTGGAGAGGTCTAAGGCCATCCTGTTTTTAAGTTTTATTTCATTTTATTTTATTATTAGGCCATCCGTTTTTAAGTTTTATCTCATTTTATTATTATTTTCTAATGATACCTTAGAGTTTCTGTAAGAGAGGAGGACCCCCTGTATCCACATTTTCACCCACCCCTCTCTTCCCCAAAGCCTTTCCCACTCTGTCTGATCACAAACGGGAAACAATAAGGCCATCTCTCAGCTTCTGGTCTTATTAGGGTAGACAGATACCCTGTCATGATACTGTCGTCTTGCAGTCACTCAGTCCACTTCTCTGTGAATTGAGGCTATTCGTGTGACTTAAAATTGAATTTCAGAAAAACAGTGAATCCTTTTTTAGTATAAGTGTGTCCAAATGCAACTGGACATCCTGTGATTTTATTAGCGAAATCTGGCAACCTTAGGTACTACTTGTTTTCTGGCCTTAGGTGGGGTGTGAGTGGGTGAAGAGAACTTGCCTGGGGCCTTGCAATATTCCTTCTCTCCCCTGGCTTACTATTCTCTCAGACGATCTCATTTCATTAATTTTCTCATCTGTTTTCAACCCTGCTGAGTCCTTGTTCCTTGCTGGGGATGATTACGTCTGGGTGGAAGTAATAAATACACCTTCCCTGTCTGCGTTTCACCTGGCCTGTGGAGATGGTAGCTGCATTCCTCCCTCCTCACTGGGAGCCTAGAGAAAGTTGGCCAGGGCTTCTTCCCCTCAGAATTAGTTTGTTCAAGTCTTTCCAGGGAATGTCGTCTTCTCGGTCACTCAGTTCGCTTGTCTGTGAACTGGGGCTATTAGTGTAACTTCTCAACCTATCTTGCATCTGAACTCCCTCGCACCTCTTGTGATGTGGACTAAAGGTCCCACTGCACCATGCCACACCATACCAGCGTTTTGCCTCTTTTCCTCTGGAAATTTATGGCAGAAATTTGGGTTCTTACTTGTTTGTGTGTGTGTTTATTCAAACACATACACACAAATTCTTGTTTGGAATTTCATGTTTTTGTCCTAGTTTTTTTTTTCTAATTTTTTGAGGGTTTTGACATTTTTAGAAAGAAAATATATGCACTTTAAAATTATCTTAGTTTTCCTTGTATCAGTTATCACTTATCTTTCTCATTCTTAAATTTGTGTATTTGTGTTTTATCTCTTTTTACAGATCTTTGGTAGCATAGTGGTATATTTAGTTTATTTATCCCCCTACCCCACCCCCACCTCCCACAGGACTAGCTCTTGTATTTATCAATCACTTCTTTTTTGTTTTCCAATTCATTAATTACTATTTTTTTAATTAAAACTTTTTCCTCAAGTTGCAGTATCATTTACCAACGTAACATGCACGCTGCTTAAGTGCGGAGCCTAATGAATTTTTACCTTCACGTTTACCCTTATGATCACCACCCTGGTCAAGTTATAGAGCTGTTCATTACTTCCAGAAAGTCCCTTTGTGCCTTTTTCCTATTAATACCATTTAACCCCACCCTAAAAGATAATCCCTCTGCTGATTTCTATGGCCATAAATTAGAATGGACTGTTCTTAAGCTTCTAATAAGTGCAATTACATTACATTATAATGTGTGTGTGGGTGGCGGGGGGTGGGGGTGTCTGGCTTCTTTTGCTCAACATTTTTTTTTTTTTTTTTTTGAGACAGAGTCTCACTCAGTTACTGAGGTTGGAGTGCAGTGGCGCGATCTTGTATCATTGCAACCTCCACCTCCCGGGTTCAAGCAATTCTCGTGCCTCAGCCTCCTGAGTAGCTGGACCTACAGGGACATGCTACCATGCCCGGCTAATTTTTTGTATTTTAGTAGAGACATGGTTTCACCACGTTGCCCAGGCTGGTCTCAAACTCCTGAGCTCAGTCAATCCACCCACCTTGGCCTCCCAAAGTGCTGGGATAACGGGGATGAGCCACTGCACCCGGCCCAACATGTATTTTTTAATTCATTCATATTATTGAGTGTATCCATTCATTTAAAATGGATTTAAATTCTGTTTTTATGTACACTTTTTAATTTTTCCAACTCAAATGTCCCAGTTGTTTTATTCATATTTGTTTGGTAACATATAAGTGTTTCAGGCCATAGATTTTCTTTGCCTGCAGTGTTAGTTTTCCCCTTAGGTTTTAGTAAACGTTGCCTTCATGCTCATGGTTTCTAATTTCTCTGCTGTTGCACTTTGATTCACACTTTGACCCACAAGTTATAAAGAAGAATCTGTCTCAAAAATTTGCAAGAATCTGCGTTTTTAATTTCTACCTCTGTTTTGGATTTCTAATTTTATTGCACTGATTATAATCAGAAAATTTGTTTTGTGCTATTTTTGTTAAAAATTATATTAAGATTTCCTCTACTATGTATTATATACTCATTCAAAAATGTTCCACAGTACCTTTAGAGAGCACTTTTTGTCTTTTTAAAAAAGTTCATGGAATATTTACAAAGACTGATTACAGGATAGACCACAAAAGCTGAACATTACGATTCTCAAAGTTAATAATGTATTTTTTTCCCCTCAATCTGTAGACATTATTCCATTGTCTTCTGGCATTTAATATTGCTGAAATGTATGAGTTTAGCTTGATTTTTTCTTCTTTTGTAGATTTTGTTTCTTCTGTTTAATTACTTACAGACTTTTTCTTTGACATTCAATAGCTTGACTGTATTTCTGTTTCAATGGTTTGCTAATAATTTTACTTGTATAGTGTGAGCCCTTTCAATCTGTGCATTCCTATCTTCTTTTACTTCAGAAAAATGGTTTTCTATTATCACTCTATATGTTTTTCCTTTTCACTGACACCACTTTTTTCTCTAGGACTGCAATTCAGATGTTAGATGTCCATTATCTTTATTTCATGCCTATCATCTTTATCTCTAATCACTTTTATACATTTTACTTTTCCTTTTGCATTCTGTTTCTCCTCTACCCAGTCCTTCATATCACTGACTATTTTTGCTAATTTTGACTTCTTGCTGCCATCATTGTGGTTTTCACAATGTAATGTTTTTATTAATCTTATTTTTTTCCTTTTCATTTTCTTCTATTGTTTTATCTCTTAGTTGATCTCATTGAGAGGTGACAACATCCTAGCAGCCCTCGCTTGCTCTCAGTGCCTCCTTGGCCTCAGTGTCCACTCTGGCCGTGCTTGAGGAGCCCTTCAGCCTGCTGCTGCACTGTGGGAGCCCCTCTCTGGGCTGGCCAAGGCCGAAGCTGGCTCCCTCTGCTTGCAGGGAGGTGTGGAGGGAGAGGCATGGGCGGGAACCGGGGCCTCCTGGTGCTTGCAGGCCACTGCGAGTTCTGGGTGGGCATGGGCTCTGCAGGACCTGCACTTGGAGTGGCCGGCCGGCACCACTCGGCCCCGGGCAGTGAGGGGCTTAGCACCCAGGTCAGCAGCTCAGCACCCAGATGCTCCAGCTCCCCCAGCATTGCTGGCCCGCCCACGCCCCGCTCGAATTCTCGCTGGGCCTCAGCCGCCTCCCCGCGGGGCAGGGCTCGGGACCTGCAGCTTGCCATGCCAGAGTCCCCCCACCCCCATGGGCTCCCACGCAGTCCGAGTCTCCCCGACGGGTGCCACCCCCTGCTCCATGGCACCCAGTCCCATCGACCACCCAAGGGCTGAGGAGTGCAGGCGCGCTGCGTGGGACTGGTGGGCAGCTCTGCCCACAGCCCCAGCAGAGGATCCACTAGGCTAAGCCAGCTGGGCTCCTGAGTTGGGTGGGGACTTGGAGAACTTTTATGTCTAGCTGGAGGATTGTAAATGCACCAATCAGCACTCTGTGTCTAGCTCGGGGTTCGTGGATGCACCAGTCAGCACTCTGTATCTAGCTAATCTGGTGGGGACTTGGAGAACTTTTATGTCTAGCTGGAGGATTGTAAATGCATGAATCAGCACTTTGTGTCTAGCTCGAGGTTTGTAAATGCACCAATCAGCTCTCTGTGTCTAGCTCAAGGTTTGTAAACGCACCAATCAGTGCTCTGTGTCTAGCTAATCTAGTGGGGACTTGGAGAACTTTTATGTCTAGCTAGAGGATTGTAAATGCACCAATCAGCACTCTGTGTCTAGCTCAGGGACTGTAAATGCACCCATCAGCACCCTGTCAAAATGGACCAATCAGCTCTCTGTAAAATGGACCAATCAGTAGGATGTGGGTGGGGTCAGATAAGAGAATAAAAGCAGGCTGCCTGAGCCAACAGTGGCAACCCGCAGGTCCCCTTCCTCACTGTGGAAACCTTGTTCTTTTACTCTTTGCAATAAATCTTGTTGCTGCTCACTCTTTGGGTCAGTGCCGCCTTTAAGAGCTGTAACACTCACCGGGAAGGTCTGCAGCTTCACTCCTGAAGCCAGCAAGACCACGAACCCACCAGAAGGAAGAAACTCTGGACACATCTGAACATGTGAAAGAACAAACTCCGGACACACCATCTTTGAGAACTGTAACACTCACTGTGAGGGTCCGCGGCTTCATACTTGAAGTCAGTGAGACCAAGAACCCACCAATTCCAGATGCATCATGAATCTGAATCTTCTTTGATGTCAATTTTTGTAAAGTCTTTGTCTTCTCTGATTTTTCCAATACTTTGAGAAGTTCTAATCTATAAATGAGTTCTGTATTATGAGGCACTGTTCTTGGAATAACTGTTCTTCCAATATTCCAATAGTCTTTATTCCTATTTGTTTAGTGGAGTCTTTTTTTTTCCCTTACACCACCTCCTCCTTTTTTTTTCTTTGTTTTGGTTTTGGTATGAACTCTGCATAAGTGCCATGTTTGAAACTTCATCTTATTTATTCTGTCGGTCTGAATGCAGGCACTTCTCTTCTGTCTGGCCTGTTATTTACTCAAGAAGTGGATAGTGGAATTGTCTTTCCCTTGAATGTATTCTTCTCCAGATAAATTTGCAAACTTTAAAATTGTGCTAATGGACGCTAAGGTGGAAAGTTAAACTCTGTTTAGTCCTTCATGTGTTTGAGGGACAGACGGACAAAATAAGGAATCTTATTTTAGGTGTAGTGTCTTCACATTCTTTGTAATTACATATGATGGATCCTCTGTTCTGCGGCCCATCACCCCTCAGCTTCTGTCCATTTCCCACTTTAGGTCTGTGGTTCACTCTGGCAGGAGTCTGGGTGAGTGGGAACCCTGGGACTCAGTTTCAAGACCTTTTGTTTGCTGATTAGAGTTCATTTAATTTAGCCAAGCAAATGTATAGGCTTCCATTTATTGTCTGTCCTCATCGCAAGGATTTTTAGTGAATAGATAGTAAGATAGAAAAAAAGAAGCATGATTTCATTTCCCTGTCTTGCAGCCACTCCTCTCAGCATGTACAGTTGTTCAATAAATATTTGTTGAGTTGATCGTTGTAGCTCCTCCTACTGACTGTTCACAACTCCTGCTCCCATTTTCACATCCATAGAATTTTGGTGTGGGCACTTTAGGGCTCTTGCTTTTTGTAAGGGAAATTTACATTCTTCCTATGGGGTGTGGAGTCAGATGTTGGTTTCCACGCATCTTTAACTTGTCCTGAATTTTGGCATGAACAGATATTCATTATGGTGTCTTTTATGCCATTTTCACCATTCTCTAGTTTCACCATGGGTGATGGTTCTCTGGCTCTGTTTTTGGTGGTGGTTATTCATTTCAGTGAGTTTCTGGCAAAGGAACTAAGTAAATGTGCATTCATTTTGTCACCTTTTAGCAAAAATTCTCAAGTTGTTATTCTAAGACAAAATATAAATAATGAGACAACCGTTCCTATGGGTCATATTTATGAAACTGTTTGAGATAGCTGTCACCTCCATTTCCAAGACTCCCTGTTGCTAGTACTAGGGTGTGCTGTTTGGATTTCTGACACTCCAGACTTCATGAGGTCCTCAACTCATGACTAATCCACAGGGTTTTGACTCACGTTCTTTTGACTTATGGGACCCATGTTTCTGTGGATACATGACTGTACTCTCAGCCTTTTTAGCCAAGTTTCTGAACCTCTTGAATTTAGCTAATTTCCAAGTTGTTACTGATCTTGCTTTTAATTTCTCACCCTCCAGTTTCCAGCTTTGTATTCCCAAGTCCGCCATCACTCATGGTCTAGGTTTAGAGCTTGTTTGTAATAAGAAATTCAGCACTCTGCATTTACTACTTTAAGTTCCTTTGAAGTTAACCCAATCTTGTTTTCCTACATTTGAAGGAAAATGACTTCTGTGAATGGAGGTTGTTAAAAACATATGAAACTGAGCTACAGAGATCCTGTGGCATTTCAATTTAATTGGTTTTATTGCACCAAAATGTCCAGAATGGTGAAAGAACAACGTAGACCCAACTCTCTGTAACCCTCACTATCCCATTTGTACAACATCTTGCTTGGAACAAAGCAAGGAGCGGAGCACACTGGAGTTACGTCTAATGCAGTCTTGTTTGTATTTAGAGCAAAGCTGTGGGTATATAGGGTGAAATAGAGGGTTGTGGCTCAGTGCCTGGATTTTCTTCAAGGATTTGCCAATGCCTTAATCAGTGATTATAAGTCACCCATTAACTTGGCTATTCAGTGCTTCTGATTCTCTGTTATGGAACTGGAAACTTTATCTATCATGATTTTTGTAGTCTAATAGATGTTGTGATGATTGATGAGACAATGTAAGCTCACCAGATGTCCTCAGCTATGAAGAAAGCCTGGGGTTCTACATACTTGGCTAGGATTTGTAATTGTTCACTTTAGTCTTGGATCAGGATTTCAGTAGCCTGCTGGTAATCAGTCCAAAAGGCAGTTTCAATTTTTTGCAGATTGAGACAATGGTAGGGAAGTAAACATTTTAAGGTTTAAGTTATGGTTTCCTTTCAAGGTAGCATATTTTGGCCAGACTAGGTTACTTTAAATAACAAAAGATTCCTTACCCTTTTTTTTCATTGTTTTACAATGCTCATTGTAGAATTTTTTTCAATTAAAATTTTTACATCACTAAGCAATGAGATTTTTAATTTGGAATTTCAAATGAAGTCTGAAATTATAGTCATAATTTTTTTTGTTTTGTTTTGAGATAGAGTCTCACTCTGTCACCCAGGCTGGAGTGCAGTTGTGTGATCTCGGCTCACTGCAACCTCTGCCTCTTGGGTTCCAGGGATTCTCCTACCTCAGCCTCCCGAGCAGCTGGGATTATAGGCATGCACCACCATGCCCAGCTAATTTTTGTATTTTTAGTACAGACAGGGGTTTCGCCATGTTGGCCAGGCTGGTCTTGAACTCCTGACCTCAGGTGATCTGCCTGCCTTGGCCTCCCAAAGTGCTGGGATTACAGGCCTGAGCCACCAAGCTTGGCTGGTCATTAGAAATTGAAGCAACTTTATGTTTTTCTCTTTGTGTATGTTTTGTTGTTAAATTGTGCTTTTTATTTTTATTTTAGGAATTACCGTCCTGTGCTAGGTATTCCCTGGAATGCTCAGGATCACCCTTGGCTGCTCCTTATTGTCACTCAGACCTTAGCGAGCCCCTCCTTGATGATCCATGAAAAATAGCTACTGGTCACTCCCTTTCACTTTCTCTTTTCAATTCTGTGCATAGTGTTCATGGTCATCGAGTATTTCCCCTCCCTTCCCTTCCCTTTTTCTTTATTCCCTTTTCCACTCCACCACACCTTCTCTCTAGTTTTAGATACTGGCCTTGTTTAGATATCTGTTCACAGCTACTCATAAGATTATGTGAACTCCAAAGTATTAATAGTAGGGACCTTGTCTGTCTGAGTCACCTCTGTTTCCAGCATCTAGATTAAGACTCAAAGAAGGTACATGATCAAACATTAAATGAATTAATAAGGTATTAAGTTTGGTTCAAAGCTGCCTCCCTTTGTATTTTAAATTTGGCTTAATGGTTTCTGCATACATAGTGGGCTGTAACCTGACTTGATGTGTCAACAGACTGTAACCTCCTCTTTTGTAACAAGTAGCCGAGTTTCAGCCAATTACAGGTAGCCAACTGTTCACACCAGGTTCAAATAAGGCAAGCACCCAGCTATAACTAATCTGGCTGTTTCTGTACCTTGCTTCCGTTTTCCATAGGTCACCTTCTTTTTCTGTCCCTTAATGTTATTGGACCATGTGGTAGCCCTGTAGTTGCTCTGAACTTCTGGTTCTGGTGGCTGCCTGATTCGCGAATTGTTTTTTGCTTTATTAAACTCTATAAATTTAATTTGTCTAAAGTTTTTCTTTTAACGGAACACATGAATTAGAAGTTTCCTAATAGCCTATTGAACACGATGTTGAAGTAATTACAATTAGTGAACATTCCATAAAACATCATTTAATGTTTGAATGAATGTCCAAATGACGGAACTGCTACATCCTCAGGGAAGATGTGCTTCTTTGTACACTCCCTTGTGTAAGTGTTTAACACATCCCTTCTGATTGAGTATGTTTGCTTTTTCCAAACTCATGGCTCTTCCTTTGATCCCATTTTTATGTCTATCCTGAGCTCAACCGCTGGCCTTCTTTTTTTGTTTTATCTGGGCAAATATGATTACTTCAAAATTGATGTGATTATATAGCAGGAAGGACTAACCCCACACAATGTTTAGTTACTAAAGTATTTGTTGAGTTTTGGATTGCATTATATTCTTTTAGCACTTTACATATTCAGGAAATAAGTTCATGCTCACTGTGTTCTAGATACTGGAATATATAGATGAGAATGCAAAGTTCTTATTTTGAGCTAATATATTGTTGGAGAAGATAAAAACACATAATCTGATGAATTCAAAAAGGTATCACAGGACAGGTAACATTGTTTCTTGAAAGTTGCATAGAAATTTTCCAGGAAGGTAAGAACAAGAAGAAAATTCTCAACAAGTGCCGAGTAGCCTCTTAGGCATGAAGTTCTACTCAACTCCAAGTTGCTTCTACACTGATGCTTACCCTTTACCAAGTAGGTCTAAGCAGTGAGGAGGCTGCTTAGCATTGTCTGGCAAATGCTACACATTTAATAAATGTTCAGTGAATAGATAAATAACTTCGCCCTTTGGGTAACAAAAATCCATCAAAAGTTTCCTTGTGGGCATACATGAGTAATGTTTTTCTTTTTTTTTTGAGATGGAGTCTCGCTCTGTTGCCAGGCTGGAGTGCAGTGGTGTGATCTCGGCTCACTGCAACTTCTGCCTCCTGGGTTCAAGCGATTCTCCTGCCTCAGCCTCCTGAGTAGCTGGGACTACAGGCACACGCCACCATGCCCAGCTAATTTTTGTATTTTTAGTAGAGACGGGGTTTCACGTTGTTGGCCAGGATGGTCTCCATCTCTTGACCTTATGATCAGCTGAAAGTGTTGTTTGTTTTAAAGGAGGCTCACACTGACAGAAGGGTGGAAAAATCTACAGGTGGGGAGAGCCTGGGGCCTGTGGGGACAGATGGGGACAAACAGGAAGGAGCCCATTGTTCCTGCTGTCCTCAGAGCCCCTGAGCGACAGCATGTATAGCACATATGCAAAGTGTGTGTGTGTGTGTGTGTGTGTGTGTGTGTGTGTGTGTGTGTGTGTTGGGGGATATGTTCAGGAAAAAACAAAGTAGAGATGTTTAAAGGAAGAGGCAAGGGCTATTCTATTCATGGACAATTGGGCACTGTGGCTATTCTTTCTAAGTTGCTCAGAAGTGTTCTGAAGCAAAGGTTCTATGAATTTGAATCATTGGGTTGTTACTGTTACTCTCTGAAGTTCCAACTTCCGAAATGAAATCTTTTGCTGTTTTTCCCTAGGACCTGATATTTGTCAACCTTGGCTCCTGCTTTAGGGTAATTTGGCTTATTTTTAATTTTTTTTCTTAAAAAAAAAAGCATTGCCAATCCTTCTTCCATAAGGATTTGTCTGTGATGGAAAAGTCTCTCCACCAGCATTTCTCCTACATTGACAGTGATTGAACTCAGGGTAGAATCCATTTGTCAAAGCAGGCTGGAGAAGGGAGTCCTACTCTGTGGGCTGCCACTAACGTGCCTCTCAGGCTAAGATTCTGTGGTGGCCACTAGGATACGGCGTTGTGGTCCTTCCTGAATCTCAGTCAGGCAAAAACTAACCCAGAGATGTACCACCTGTATTACTATTAATATTTTTCATTAAATACAAACTTTAAATTTACTTTAAAAAGTTAGGCCTGTTCCAAACAATCACATTCATGGAATCACAGACTTTGTGTGCTGGTTGTTCCCTCTCCCTGCCCCAGCACCCCAATGCACATAAGATGAATTTATAACTCATAAAATATGTTTATTCTTGTATCAAATACAATTAGCTTGTGTCTCTTCAATGGTACAGGACCTCCACACTGGGAAACCCTAACATAGTGTATTTAAGCTTGCTGGGACACACATGTCTTAGTCCTTTTATGTTGCTATAAAGAAATACCTCAGGCTGGATAATTTATAAAGAAAACAGGTTGATTTGGCTCATGTTCTGCAGGCTGTGCAAGAAGCATGGTGCCAGCATCCGCTCTGGCATGGGACTCAGTAAACTTCTACTCTTGACAGATGCAGATCACATGTCAAGAAAGGAGGCAAGAGAGAGAGGAGGGAGGGGCCAGGTTCTTTTTAGCAATGGGTTTTCCCAGGAACTAAAAGAGCAAGAGCTCATTTGTGACTGGGCGAACAACACCAAACCATTCATGAAGGATCCACTCACATGACCCAACACAGACCTTAATGCCCAGCAGTGCTGGCTAAAATCCAGAAGTGCATAAAGAATATAGTGGAGGGGCCTGTACCTCCATCCGTTGACTGCCGGCTCAGTCAGCTGGCCCACTGAGGAGAAGAAAGAAGCTCTTAGCAAATGAAGAGTGAAGAACACACATTTTTCTTCCCAGAGAGTTGACAGTAAGCCCAGAAAAAGGAAGTTAAGCCCTAGCTTTGGTGTGGCAAAAGAAGAAATGATACCAGAGGCTTAGAGATCTTCTGTGTCCTTTTTGCCCAGACAACGCGAAGCCCAGGAGGTGGAGCCACAGCCCCACATGAAGTGCAAGAATCAAAGGGGCCAAGGAAGGAATCACGGTAGATGAGAGAATTGTGTTTTCTCTGGAACCTTGGCCCCCAGTCTGATCTTGGCTGCTTGGGGAGTGACCAGATCTCCTGATGGCTTGGGCTTGCTTGCTCACATCGGCTGCAAGGCAGGGATATATAGGTTTATAGCTCATATATAGGTTTATAGCTCACACATAGGTTTATAGCTCATGAAGCATCAGGATTCTCATTGACCAAGACATTGCTCTGTTACATTTATTCAGTAATGGAGAAACTAAAGGAAAAAAGATGACTGCTTTTCACAGCAACTACAGGGGGAATTCAGGATGACAGAAATGTAGTTGCAGTGGCACTTCGATTAATAAAACCCATGGGAAACATGCCCTTTTACAAGGAAATCATCATGCTTGAGAAAATACGAAACAAAAACGACTGTAAATCACAAAGTTGCCTGTACGTGCTTTTACTTGACTTAAAAAACCCAACAAATAAAAAGTCCAAGCAATCAACCAAAAACCTGTTTCCCAGCTTGTGTTGTCTCCTCACATTGTGAGGTGAACAAAAAATTCTTTGAGCAAAATTTCTTTTGAGCCACCAATCACAGCTTTCTGTTACTTGCTAACATTCTGCCCAGTCAACCCCAGCACTCACTCCCTCCTGGATCCAGTGGTCATTCCCTCCCCAGCCTTCAATGTTTAAGACCTTCTTTCATTTTTCTTCCTCACCAAAACTGAGAAAAATCCACAACCCCAAACTATTTATCACTGATTGCTAACTGATGGTATCTTAGCATACTGTGAGTATGGCCCTTGGACAGTGTTTCAGATATCAGTGGGCAGGTGCTTTGTCACCAAAAGGAAAAGATTATGCATCAAATAAGATTGTAAAGTTCTGGGTTGAGCAACTTGAATGGGTTTCATTACTGCAGGACTTTTCAGAAACTTTAGTGTGTGTATGTAAATTAGGAATCATAAGAAGGGTATAGAGTGTTCAATGTTTTCCAAACTTTGACCATGGTAACAATTTTTTTTGAGTATCTTGAGGAACTAATGTTTGTCTTACACACTCTGAGAAATGCTGTTTCAGGTAAAACTCGTCTACGTGTATCTAAGCAACCTGTTAACATTGTACATCTGTAGTGGGTTGAATAGTGGCCCCCAAAAGATATGTCCAAATCCTAACCCCTAGTACTTGTGAATATGACCTCAATTCAAAATAGGGTTTTACAGATGTAGTGAGATTAAGAATTTCAAGATGAGATCACTCTGGCTTCAGGATGGGCCCTAAATTCAATGACTGTTCATATAAGAGATGAGAAAGGAGGAGACACAGAGACATACAGAAAGAAGGCCATGTGAAGAAGGAGGCAGATTAGAGTTATGCTACCAGAAGCCAAGGAACACCAGGAGCCACCAGAAGCTGGAAGAGGCCGAAAGAGATTCACTCTGAGAGCTTTTGGAGGGGACATGGCCCTACTAACACTCTGATTTTGGACTTCCGGTCTTCAGAATTGTGAAAGAATACATTTCTCTTGTTTTAAGCTCCCTGGTTTGTGGCAACATTGTCAGCTCTAGGAAACTGAATGCAACACTATCTCTAATTGTGGAGTGTGCTGACTCAGGCTTTGGCCTTTCATTACTGTAAAAAGACTAGGCATCTGTGAGCAGAGGGCAGATATTTTTGAGGTCAGAGCCTGATTCTACTTTTGATCACTGAAAATAAAATCTGTTTAATCTGAGGTGATTGGCTGAGGAGTGTAGTACATTAGAAGAAATAGCCATGATTCTCTCCAAAGACAGTTCTCTTCCTTTTTGGTCCTTTTCTGGTGTTTTCCTGTTTTGGTGAATGGTGACTGCATCTGTTCTGTCTCTTTCACTTTCCACACTTGATCAACCACAAATCCTGAAAATGTTAACTTCCAAATATGATTCCCATCCATCCTCTCATCTGCCACTTACTTGTTGCTTCTGAGTCCAGGCTTCATCACCTCTTGCTTGGGCTACTGGGATCCCCTGACCAGTCTCCCTGTATTTACTCTTGCTCCTCTCCAAAACATTTTACATGCAGGCGGAGCATGTTACATTTCTCCCACCTCCCCAGCTACCACTTAAAATACTACCATGATTTTTTACTTCTTTTAGATAAAGGAGAACATCCTTAATACAGGCTACAAAGCTTGCCATGTTATGGTCTCCACCGACTCCACAAACTTGTTTCTTCACAGCCTGCTTCCCTCTGCTGTCTTATTTGTAGTCATAGTAAATTTCTTTCAGTTCCTCAAAGACGCTTTGCTCAACTTGCTATACAGCCTTTGCTCATACTATTTCCTTTGTCTGAAACATCTTTCACTCCTGTCCTGTGACATAGCTAATTTTCACTCTTTTTTCAGATTCCAGCTCAGTCATCAGTTGCTCAAAGAAGTCTTCCCTGGATTTGATGATGATTAATTCTCCCTATAATATGGCTCTTTCCTGAACAGTTATCACAGTTGCACCTTTACATTTATTTGTGTGATTATTGCCTACTAAACTACATGTACATGAGAGGAGGGACCATGTCTGTTTTTGCCAATTGGCACAGAGTAAAGGTTCAGTAAGTAGTTGCTGAATGAATGAATGAACAACTAAATGACTGAATGACTGAATGAACAAAATCAATGAAGTAATGAAGAGAATGAACAAAGGTTGTTTCAACTGAAGATGTTGAAAGTTTAGTCCTTACAGGATTTGAGAATTATAAAATCTTACTTCCTCCAGAACCTGAAAGCATCAGTCACGGTTTTAAGTTACAAGCAAAAGAAACCAACTCTTATTAATTAAAGCAGAAAGGGGATTTGCTGAAATATGGTGGTGACTCACAGAATCTCTGATAAGTCTGGAAATCCAGGCTTGGAGGTTCTGTAGCCAGCACAGTGCTCACATTATGCATCAGAACACAGCCTGTGAAGATAGTGTTATTAGGTTGGTGCAAAAGTAATTGCAGTTTTGGCCATTGAAGGCAACGGTCAATTGAAAGCAATGGCCAAAACTGCAATTACTTTTGCAGCAACCTAATACTACCATACCAATGTTGAACAACGGGTGCTACTGATAGACTCATACCTGCTGCCGCCTCTGGAAGCCAAGTGCAGCTTCCATGCCTGCTGTTACTCTCACCAGAATAGCTTCTTTGCAATCCCTGCTTCTTCAAGCCACCTTCCCAAAGTCTGAGGGGGAATCTGGGAAGTGAGTGTCTGGCATTTTCAGTTTCACTCGTGAGCGGTGAGGTCAGTCTTATAAAGTTGGGGTATCTCCAGCCATCGTAACAGTGTGCAGATGTTGGAGAACACAAAGAATAATGGTTGTTCGCTGTAACCCACTTGGCTGTACAATGTTAACGTATCGTCTTTCCCCCTTATTAACATTAAACAATAAAAAATGTACCTGTCTAGTAATGTTAGCACCCCTCATCCAGGTGGTATGTGGTCAAGGCACAACAGTTACTATATCTAGCCCCAGAACCAGCATCTCTGGTTCCATTAGGTCATTCTTCAATATTCTGGACTAAATTCTAAAGCTTACTTCTATGACAGCACCATATATAAAAGAGTAGGAGAAAGGAAGAGAAAATAAGAGAAAAGAGTCTCATAAATAAATATCAGGGCTGCAAGCCTACAAAACTGTATTCCTTATTTCTAGAACTAACCCCAAGGCCATAGTTGATACTTTTTCTTTGTCTTCAGCCACCTCAGCTGGTCAGCATCCTTTATCAGCATTTTCCGTCTCTATCCCTGAGGGTTCTAAAACCTATCTGTGTGGGTTGCTGTTGTCTTCTAGTAAATTTTACCACTAAATATGGAACTATAATAAAGTCCCTCAGGGAAACTGTCCCCATACTGAAACAATAACACTGCTTGCCCTTGACAATCAGGATTACTCATCCTACTCAGCACCCTAATACTCCTTTTTTGCCTTTCCTCCTGACGAGCCCCAGATGAGATGTCGCAGCTTCCAATTCAATGTTGCTATTGTTGGGTTCCTGAGGAACACTCCCTCTGAATCATCTGAGCTCATGTGGACGAGATGGGAAGCAGACATTTTGAGATGACTTGTTAAGAGTAATAGAGGTGTTCCTGCCTTCTACCTCTTGGTTTGAATATATCCATATATTTTGACTAGCGGAGAAGACAACCACCCACACATATCGGTTTCTGGTTCAGAGTATATTTGTATCTTGTTGGAGAGCACCTCAATCTCACAAACTGGTATCTAAACTGAGTCTTCAATAGGCCATCCCACTGTTTTGTGAGGTCAGCTGCTTCTGGGTGGGGTGGCGTACGTAGTAAAACTGGAGGATTTCCCGAATCCAGATGTTCCAGGTTGCAGTGAGCTATGATCACACCACTGCACTCCAGCCTGAACAACAGAATGAGACCTTGACTCAATTCCTCAGTGTCCCTGAGAAATCTCATGGGCATTGGCCAACTGTCATGTTTATTTCACTGCAAAGTGAGTTCCTCAATTAGAAGCAATAGTATGTATGTATGTATTTTATAGTTCTTTTTTTTTTTTTTTTGAGACAGAGTCTCGCTCTGTCACCCAGGCTGGAGTGCAGTGGCGTGATCTCGGCTCACTGTAAGCTCCGCCTCCCGGGTTCACGCCATTCTCCTGCCTCAGCCTCCTGAGTAGCTGGGACTACAGGCGCCCGCCACTATGCCCGGCTAATTTTTTTGTATTTTCAGTAGAGACGGGGTTTCACCATGTTAGCCAGGATGGTCTTAATCTCCTGACCTCGTGATCCGCCCGCCTTGGCCTCCCAAAGTGCTGGGATTACAGGCGTGAGCCACCGCGCCCAGCCTATGTATGTATTACATAACGATGGTGACTATAGCATTCGGTAAGTCCAGGGATAAAGAAGCTACCAGAGACATTGTGATCAAGGGTAGTAAATCTGAATCCAAAATAAGTGAGGGCAAAGTAATCACAAATACCTTCTCCCTCCATGATAGAATGAATATAAGGAAATCAAAGCGCCAGGTATCTGGCTGTTCCCCTGTGATATGGTACCATAGACAGGACTTAGTGTTGGTCTCTGCTACTAGCAAGTAGGACCCATAGATATACAACAGTGTCAGCCTTGGTGAGAGGAAGTCTATGCTGCTGCATAACCTCCATTCCTATCTTCACAGTCATCCTGTTCATGAACCTAATTAGCAAGCATGGGTTGGCAGGGGAAAGAGACTAACAAATAACTGTTTATAGAAACCTTCCTTCCCAGTGAGAGCTTTTGGGTCATCATTCATATGGAACAAAAAATATCACTTCATGGTGGGTCCATTGTGATAAATCCATGTACATACAGCTCTTTCTCAAATATCTTTTTCCAAAATCCTCCAAGGAACTTGATCCTTTCAAGTTTTCATTCTCTTTCTCTCTTTTTTAGAGACAAGGTTTCATGTTCTTGCCCAAGCTGGGGTGCAGTGGTGTGATAATAACTCACTGTAGCCTTGAACTCCTGGGTTTAGGCAATCTTTCTGCCTCAGTTTCCCAAGTAGCTGGGACTACAGGCCCACACCACCATGCCTGGCTAATTTTAGTTTTTATAAAATTAAAAAAAAATTACTTTAGAGATGGGGTCTTACTATGCTGCCCAGGTTAGTCTTGAACTCCCGACCTCAAGTGATCCTTCTGCATTGACCTCCCAAAGTACTGGGATTACAGGCTTGAGTCACAGTGCCCAGACCCTTTCAAGTTCTTGACAATCTAGTGGAACTATTAATCACTGCCCATGAATTGATATAAATTCTTATTTTAGGTTTTCTCTGCTTCTCAGCAAGTG
Organism: Homo sapiens; assembly: GCF_000001405.40. Lineage (NCBI taxonomy): Eukaryota > Metazoa > Chordata > Mammalia > Primates > Hominidae > Homo > Homo sapiens. The sequence goes on from NC_000002.12 coordinate 33,788,901, forward strand.
GCCCAGAGGAAGAACTGCTTAAAGTTCTACTTGCTGCAGCAGTCTACGTCTGGTGCCAGCAGGTTAGATAAAAGTATCTGTAAGTCAGGCTTAAAATGTCCTGTTGGTCAACTGGCCATAGCAAACTTCTCGCCAAACTTTAAGTCTGTAGATGGAGAGGTCATAACATAGCCTGTAAGAGTAAGACTTCTGCAGTGGATACACCATGAGTGTGAACCACTGACTTATGCCTTCAGGACATCCTGAAGCCTGATTTCATAAATACTATGTCCACTTGAAAATGGAGTGCTCCTAGGCACACCTGTATTTATGGATTGTTGAAATCAAATAACACCTAGTTTCCACGTCTCCTGATTTCCTATGATAAGTCATCCAGTCTCTCCCAGGGCTAAATAGCAAGTCAAGAGCTGTTTCTTGAAATGAGAATTAGTTATTTAACAAAGAGTGCATGATTTTACTATGAAATACTTGAGGTCACTTTTCCCATTGGGGGTAACTGTAAGGTCCTTACAATGATCTATTCTTCTGCAGACAGTTCAAGCACCGTTGGATCCTCTAGGTCAGAATTCCAGTGAGGCCTTTGGCTCTACTCACTGCAGTCTTTGGGAGCCTCCAGTAAATGTCACAGAATCAGAGTACAGGTCCTTTATTCTTCCCTCCTTTTTTCCCCTTTGCTTTTCTACTTTCCTTCCTTCTTGCACTCATTTATTGAGTTCCCTTTACTCCAGTCTATCCTGCCTGACTACAGAAAGACCCTGCCTCTCACTTCTTGAATGTAATGGAATCCCTGCCCTTTTCTCCCTATACCCCAAGACTCTCAGCTATAACTTTTATAATTCTGGCACTTTTGACATTATAATAATTAGCAGTTAATTCATTTTTTAGTAATGTAACTCTTCCTTTTTCTGGAGTCCTGGAACACATCACTAACTCTCCTACATCACTTGACCTTTGTCAGAAACTTTCTAAGTAGAAGAAATGTGTTGAAGCCACACGTCCTCTTCGTTAGTAGAAGTGTCACATATTAAGCTGAATTGCCGTGGGATCTGGGTTGCTGCTGAAACTGGGTGTTGGGACACATAATAACTGCAGGGAACCAGGATTTCAGCCTTATTCTTATTTGAGAGATGTTTCCTCTGAGAGCAGGATATATGTTTCTTCCTATCATAAACTCTGCCTCAGAAGAGCTCTATGGTCGTTTGGTCTATTACGCCAACAGGCTGTTATCACCGGAGGAAGGACACAGTCTAGCATCTCATCCCAGGTGGTGCTAAAGGCCTAGAGACATGGACTTGCTGTTGCTCCCTGGGCAGCTTTAGATTCATGGCTTCACTCTTCATGGGTTTGCCAGGTTATTGCACTTTATTCCTCTTTCTTAAAAATCCCTTCTTTTTCTTAATTTCTGTTCAGACAAAATGCAATCCCCCATTACACATCATTTGCACATACTTATGGACTAATATTATGAGCCTCCCATTTCTTATGAGCCACTCAGTTACTCTTTCTTGTTTCTCGGAGAATTAGCGTTCCTCTTACTACTCCTTGTCACACATTCCCTTCACTTCAGACATGACTTTGTGGCCTTCTGAAGCCCCAAATCTGGTGCGTCATCCTCAGAGAAATCTCAGTAAATTCACATTATTTCTTTGCTCAGAGGAATAACAGAATTTTGTATATGTACCCAAACAGTGGCATTTGTTTTCCTCCCTGGCCTAGCTCGTAATATAAACTTCTTTCTAATCTGCTCTTCTTGTTTGCCCCTTGGTGCTTTTTATCATTATTAGTTTCCTATTTCTTCCAGTCCCTTGGGCATGGTGAATATCTCAGTTGAATGAGTTAGCATTTTTACATTGAATTTTATACAGCTGTGTCTTACCTGTGTTTCCAAGCTTATTTTATATTAAATATGCTTGCGTTATTTTACCTTTGCTTACTGGTATTTGCAACATCTCTCAGGTTAGAAACATCCAGAAAATCTCATTAAGTTACTGATCACTCTATCTCCCAGGTCTTCATTAAGATATAAAGATTTAACACTTCAGCACTCCACCCATCATTTCAGTTTCACAGAAGTCTTTGAGGCAAAATGAGAAAGGACCCTGTGGACGCATCTGTCAGTTTTATTAATACTTTACCTTGTGTGTCATCTGGATCTGCTAATTCATGCATGCTTCTTAGACTTTCCTATGTCTTCCTTCACTTTTACTTTTCCGTAAGAAATTATCTTTATAAGATGATTCCTATTTATTAATTGTCCATATTTAGAGTCTTTCAGTATTAAAGATGGACACCCCCCTCCATCTCCATAAATTGTCAAATTGTTGTAGAGGCTAGGGCAACATTCATAGAGTTATTATGTTTTAATATGTTAATTTTTTTTATTCAGGGCTGGGCACAGGGGCTCACACCTGTAATCCCAGCACTTTGGGAGGCCGAGGCAGGCAGATCACGAGGTCAAGAGATCGAGACCATCCTGGCCAACATGGTGAAACCCTGTCACTACTAAAAATACAAGAAGTAGCTGGGCGTGGTGGTGTGCACCTGTAGTCCCAGCTACTAGGGAGGCTGAGGCAGGAGAATCGCTTGAACCCAGGAGGCAGAGGTTGCAGTGAGCCAAGATCACACTACTGCATTCCAGCCTGGGTAACAAAGCAAGACTCGGTTTCAAAAAAAAAATTATTTTATTCAACAGGCAGCACCCCCACATAAGAAGGTTTTGTAGATTTTGAGGGTGAGATGCAAAAAGGCTAAGTAACTTTATTCTTGGCCCAGATGGGTTTGATGCAGGTCCAGGCAATACCTGCTGCACCACTGACTCTGGAGGGCCAATCTGTCAGCCAGGCAGCAACACTGTTCTGTGGCCCATTGGCTCTTTACCAGTGGTTTTGGTTTACTTGGTGAAAACCCAGAGAAAATATCCAGTGAGTCAGCACATCGCTGAGGATGAAGCAACCATAGAGTACTGCTGGAAGGGTTTCAGGAATCTCATGGGGAAGGTGACACTTAAAAGGCTGCTCTAAGGCTGGGTGTGGTGGCTCACGTAATCCCAGCACTTTGAGAGGCCAAGGTGGGTGGATCACTTGAGGCCGAGAGTTTGAGACCAGCCTGGCCAACATAGCAAAACCCCATCTCTACTAAAAGTACAAAAATTAGCCAGGTGTGGTGGTGAGCACCTGTAATCCCAGCTACTCGAGAGGTTGAGGCAGGAGAATTGCATGAATCCAGAAGGTGGAGGTTGCAGTGAGCCAAGATTGTGCCACTGCACTCCAGCCTGGGAAACAGAGCAAGACTATGTGTCCAAAAACAAACAAACAAACAAACAAAAAGTCTGGGTGTGGTGGCTTACGCCTGTAATCCCAGCACTTTGGGAGGCCCAGGCAGGTGGATCACAAGGTCAGGAGATCGAGACCATCCTGGCTAACATGGTGAAACCCTGTCTCCACTAAAAATACAAAAAATTAGCGGAGTGTGGTGGTGGACGCCTGTAGTCCCAGCTACTCGGGAGGCTGAGGCAGGAGAATAGCATGAATCCAGGAGGCGGAGCTTGCAGTGAGCCAAGATCGTGCCACTGCACTCCAGCCTGGGGGACAGAGCGAGACTCCATCTCAAAAAACAAACAAACAAACAAAAGTCTGGTCTAAAAAGCACCTGTGTGGCCACCTCCTCCATTTGTGACTTCCCTTCCAGACCTCCTGCCATTCTCCTACAGGGTGCCACAGACTTTCTGATTGTGCCTCCCTCTCCACGTTTGCTATGGGACACTTTGTGTCTGTTTAGAGCATTACCACCTTGGAAGCATGGTATTCTTTTAAAGATCATGAATCTCTTTTCCCACCTCTGTCTCTGGTGTGGCACAAATTTAGAAAGACACAACTATTTCATTCTCAGGAGAAAGCTAACACAGAACAGTCTAAAGAAAGACACAGAGAACAGTCAAGGTAAATATGTACAAGATTGCTTTAGTAAACGGGAGGAAGGGTTTTGTCCAAATGGGCTCAGTGCTATCCGTGTGGCTACAGCTGCTTTGTGAGATTATCTCAGTCACATGCTCTTGCATCAGGACCTCTTCCATGGCAACCCCTGAACGCACTCTCTCAGTCGTGCCCGCCCTTCTGCTATAGACCCTTCCCTTCTCATCCACACTTGGTGCTGTGGATCCTGCCTTGCCTTGGGTCTGGAACTTGTTTCCTTGGGTCTCAGCATTGAATCAATCCTTCCAACTTCCATGCCTCACTGCAACTGCTTGAAAACTAACCCAGCCTAGGTCAGACTCCGGATTATCCTGCTAAGTCAGAAGAGGCGTCAGATGAATTGACGGTTGATCCCTTGGAACAAGGAGGCACCAAAGGCTGAGTGCTGGAAACACTGTATTCTGTAATAGCCGTCTTCAAGTTTGTCTAGATTAAATTACAGTCGCTCAACTAATCAACATACACTTTGAGCACTCAGTATCGTGAAGTTCTGTTCTGAGCATTTAAAGTGATACAGGTGTCCCAAGTAGAGTTGCTGGATTTAGCAAATAAAAGCACAGGTGACCCAGTTTAAGTGAATTTTAGAGAAACAATAACTTTTTAGTGCGTGTTCTAAATACTGCATGGAAACTTTTTTTTAGATTGTATAGAAACTGTGTGGGTGCCAGATGGACAACTCAGCTGACAACCTCTACCCTGAATGAACTTGAAATTGAAATATTGCACAGGACAAACTTATGCTAAAAAAGTGTTGTTTATCTGAAATTCAAATTTAACTGGACAACTAGTTGAATTTTATTTGGCAACCCTAGACCCTAAGGAACGTGCCTTAACTCAAGTAGTCAACAGCCTCATTGGGAGGATGGAGTCACCTGTGCAGCCTGTATTGGTACTAGGCAGCTCCTCACAAGGGCCAGGAAAATGCCATAGAACAATGAGCTCAGAAATAGAAAACTTTGGCCAGGAGCTGTGGCTCATGCCTGTAATCCCAGCACTTTGGGAGGCTGAGGCAGGTGGATCACGAGATCGGGACTTCAAGACCAGCCTGGCCAATACGGTGAAACCCCATCTTTACTAAAAATACAAAAAAAAAATAGCCAGGCATGGTGGCGGTCACCTGCAATCCCAGTTACTCGGGAGGCTGAGGCAGTAGAATCACTTGAACCCTGGGGGTGGAGGTTGCAGTGAGCTGAGATCGTGCCATCGCACTCCAGCCTGGGCAACAAGAGTGAAACTCCATCTCAAAATAAAAAAACAAAAATTAGAAAACTTCAGCTACATTCAAAGAATCAATAGGCAGAGTTAAAGTGTGCATGGGAGTGGTGGCTTACACCTGTAATTCCAGCATTTTGGGAGGCTGAGACAGGAAGATCACTTGAGGCTAGGAGTTTGAGACCAGCCTGGACAACACAGCAAGGCCCCATCTCTCTAACAAGAAAAAAAAGTGTGCATGGGGAAGGGATTGAATTTCAGGTGGCTGGCCAGGCATGGTGGCTTATGCCTGTAATCCCAGAACTTTGGGAGGCTAAGACGGGATGATCACCTGAGGTCAGGAATTCGAGACCAGCCTGACCAACATGGTGAAACCCTGCCTCCACTAAAAATACAAAATTAGCCAGGCATGGTGGAGCACACCTGTAAACCCAACTATTCAGGAGGCTGAGGCAGGAGAATCGCTTAAACCCAGGAGGTGGAGGTTGCAGTGAGCGGAGATTATGCCACTGCACTCCAGCCTAGGTGACAGAGTGAGACTCTATCTCAAAAAAAAAAAAATAAAAATAAAAAATAAAAAAAATAAAAGAATTTCAAATGGCTGAAGGTATAAAAGCTCAAGTCATTGTCAGGGGATAAGTAGTCTCAGCTAGAAGAGTAAATTGAGAATGAATGGAAGGGAAAACCAGTTTTGAACTCGGTTGTCCGTGTTTTTGTTTTTGTTTTTTTTTTTCTGGTTAGTGTGGAGCCATTAAAATTTTTCACCATGGGGGCCGGGTGTGGTGGCTGACGCCTGTAATCCCAGCACTTTGGGAAGCCAAGGCGGGCAGATCACAAGGTCAGGAGATTGAGATCATCCTGGCTAATATGGTGAAACCTCGTCTCTACAAAAACTTAGCTGGGCGTGGTGGCCGATGCCTGTAGTCCCAGCTACTTGGGAGGCTGAGGCAGGAGAATGGCATGAAGCTGGGAGGCAGAGCTTGCAGTGAGCTGAGATCACGCTACTGCACTCCAGCCTGGGTGACAGAGCGAGACTCCGTCTCAAAAAAAAAAAAAAAATTACCATGGGGAAGAAACACTGTGTCATGTTTTTAGATCATAATTTCCATGGGAAGAACCTGAGGAGAGAGAGAGAGAGGTTAAGTAATTTGCCTAACACCAGACTTGTCTTATTGTAGACAGGAGAAAGGCCATGTGGATACAGTCAACTTTAAACAACTAAGAGTTATACAGATGTTCCTTGCTTATGATGGGAGTCTGTCCTGAATTACCCACCGTTAAGTTGAAAAGATCTTAATTTGAAAATGCATTTAATACACGTAACTTACTGAACTTCACAGCCTAGCCTAACCTGCTTTAAGTGTGTTCAGACCACTTACATTAGCCTACAGCTGGGCAAAATCATTTAATACAAAGCCTATTTTATAACAAAGTGTTGAATATCTCATGTAATATGTTGAATAATATATTGAAAGTATATCGCTTTTACTCCATCAAGTTGAAAATTTGCAAGTCGAGGACTGTCTATCTAAAAACATGACTTTAGGACTGATTTTTTCTTTGTCCATCTTTACTGGATTGTGTAGAAACTGTGTAAGTGGCAGAGATGCACAACTAACAGCCTCTACCTTGGGTGAACTGTTCTCTTGGCCTCTCGAGATATTTGTAGTTTAGGAAGCATAAAATTTAATATCTACTAAGGATATTTCTCTCAATACAGGTTCACCTGCTTTACCCTGGCCCAAACACTGGGGTTATCAGGGAGGGCCATCGCCACCTTTATTGCTGCAAGGATCTGGCTTAGTTTAATCTACTAAACTGTTGTAATGGCCAGCACAGACCCACCCTTTGCCCATTTGTCTCTCTTTTTCAAGAGACATGTAGTGCAATAAGCATGTGAGCTTTTATCTAAGAGCTGCCAACGTTAGAACTGTTTCTAATCTGTGAAGTTCATAGTGATTATGCTATTTCTGCCTAAGTGTGAGGGCAACATTTCAAGGAAGCCCCATTCTGTGTGGATAGTCTTAGTGCTTTGATGCTACCCTTATGTGTAGGCAAACCCTAAAATCACACGTCAAATTAACATCAGGAAAACATGAGCGAATCTTCAGCCTTGTAATTTTCTGGGTGACTGAAATTGCTTCTATGTTAAGTGTTTATAATTTTGTTTTTCATCTGCAGGCTTATATTTTCTACTTTCTGCATTAACTAATAAATTCCTGTTTTCTGGAATGTACTAGGCCAGAATATCACCTATGAGTGGAGCTGTAGTAGAGACTTAGGAATTAGAAGGGATGTTCAACTAAATGACTTTTAGGTTCCCTTTCATTTATGATAATTTGTTATTCTACTTCCTTGGTGACTCAGAATAAAATTACATACTGATTTTCCTACTTGAAAACTGTAGTTGATAGGAAAAAAAAGGAGCACAAATATTGATTGCTCATCCATCCTACCTTTTGTTTAGGTTTATTTGAGTGATACATTACTGAAATTTGTCTTTTGATAATGATGATTTAATTCTTTAGCAACTATTTATACAATATTGGCCAGTGAAAAATTTCAGATGGTTCTCCATGTTTTAGACTATCAGAGCAATGCATTGGTCTGAAACATAACACCCTAGAAGACAAAAGAATGAAAAGAATGAGGTGCACAATACAAGAGTCATTCCGATTAAGATATGGTAGAGAAATCATTTTTTTTTTTTTTTTGAGACAAAGTCTCACTCTGTAGCCACTGCACCCAGCTAGTTTTTTGTATTTTTAGTAGAGACAGGGTTTCACCATGTTGGCCAGGCTGGTCTTGAACTCCCGACCTCAGGTAATCCACCGGCCTCGGCCTCCCAGAGTGCTAGGATTACAGGCGTGAGCCACCGTGCCTGGCTGAGAAGCCATTCTTAAATAGTGGATGACAGTCCTCATAACTCAGAATCAGATAGGAAGCTTTCCCAAAATATGGACTGCTAGACTTTACTTTGTACATTTGGGGTATGACATTGGAATCCTCTCTTAACTCAGAAGAAGCTGGGCTCTGGCCTTCTACCTACCTAAAAAAAGCTGAGCACTCCCTCTCCCACCAGTGTATGTGCAGATGGGTTGGGATTATTCTGGGAAGCAATCATTTCTCAGAGTCCCAGACATGATGTGGGGCAATCCCTGCCCACAGCCCTTCAATTCATTTCAGTTTATCTAGTATCCCTCCTTTGGCTGTGCCAAATCCTGTGCATTTTACACCCAGGTTCTCCTGACTTTCTCTCTCTTCTCCCCATGCATCAGTAAAATCGATCAATCCTATCACTACCACAAAACACAGACCTTTCTGCCTGTGGCACCTGCCTTCCTGAACCCCCCTCCTACACTAACCTTAAGATAGGATCCTGAGGCCGTGCGGTGGCTCACGCCTGTAATCCTAGTGAGAGGTGAAGCCAGCTGGGCTTCTGGGTCTGGTGGGGACTTGGAGAACTTTTCTGTCTAGCTAAAGGATTGTAAATGCACCAATGAACGCTCTGTGTCTAGCTAAAGGTTTGTAAACACACCAATCAGCACTCTGTAAAAACACACCAATCAGCGCGCTGCGTCTAGCTAAAGGTTTGTAAACGCACTAATCAGCACTCTGTAAAAATGGACCAATCAGCACTCTGTAAAATGGACCAATCAGCACTCTGTAAAATGGACCAATCAGTGCTCTGTAAAATGGACCAATCAGCAGGATGTGGGTGGGGCCAAATAAGGGAATAAAACCTGGCCACCCGAATCCGCAGCGGTCACTGGCTCTGGTCCCTTTCTTAACTGTGGGAGGTTATTTGTTTTGCTCTTCGCAGTGAATCTTGCTGCTGATCGTGTTTGGGTCTTCACTACCTTTAAAAGTTGGAACACTCACTGTGAAGGTTTGTGGCTTTACTCCTGAAGCCAGCAAGACCACGAACCCACTAGAAGGAGGAAACTCCAGGCACGTCTGAACATCTGAAGGAGCAAACTCTGGACACACCATCTTTGAGGAAACTGTAACATTCACTGCGTGGGTCCACAGCTTCATTCTTGGAGTCAGCGAGACCGAGAACACACCAGAAGGAACCACTTCTGGACACACCAGCACTTTGGGAGGCTGAGGCAGGTGGATCACCTCAGGTCAGGAGTTCAAGACAAGCTTGCTCAATATACTGAAACCCCGTCTTAACTAGAAATACAAAAAATTAGCTGGGCATGGTGGCAGGCGCCTGTAGTCCCAGCTACTCAGGAGGCTGAGGCAGGAGAATCGCTTGAAGCCAGGAGGCGGAGGTTGCCGTGAGCGGAGATCGTGCCATTTCACTCCAGCCTAGGCAACAACAGCAAAACTCCATCTTAAAAAAAAAAAAGGACCCTGCAGGGAAAGATCAGTCTACCAATGCAGGATGCCAAATTGACAGGAGATTCTATAAATAGGTGTATTTCAATACCTTTATAAATCTGAGGAATAGTGTACCATTTCATTTTATACATTGACCAATAGATTTTTTTTTGCATTGTTGGCAGATTGAACTTAGTAAATATTTTTGCTTTTAGCATGGACCTTAAATCACAAACCACAAAATACACAGTTCTGTCGTGCGCACTGTTTCCAAAGGGAGAGAAAATTACCTGCCCAGTCTAAGGTAGTTTAACTTCTGAAAGCGTAGGAAGGTTTATGTTGACTTGTTTGTTTTTCTTTTGGTGCAAGTTTCACTCCATCCTTAGTAATTGCTTTTGGAAAAGACACTTTAACAGAAAAGTAAACTGTTATACCTGGAAGATTGATTATACGTTTTCTTCCATTTCTCTGTCCTTATTAATTTTCTGTGACATTTGTGAAAGTCAATATATTGTTCATTTTTTATGACGACATGAAGAAAATGCTCAGCCGTGAGAACCTTTAAAAAACAAATGAGGCCGGGCAAGGTGGCTCATGCCTGTAATACTAGCACTTTGGGAGGCCGAGGTGGGTGCATCACGAGGTCAGGAGATGGAGTCCATCCTGGCTAACACAGTGAAACCCCGTCTCTACTAAAAATACAAAAAACTAGCTAGGCGTGGTGGGGGTGCCTGTAGTCGCACCCACTCGCGAGGCTGAGGCAGGAGAATGGTGTGAACCCAGGAGGCGGAGCTTGCAGTGAGCTGAGATCGCGCCACTGCACTCCAGCCTGGGTGACAGAGCGAGACTCCTTTTTACAAACAGGGACTCCCTGTCCCGAGTCAATTGAACATGTTTAGCCCGAATATTTTCTAATATGTATATGGGTATTTTAAAGTCTTTTTCTTTCATTGTGAATGTTACATATGGTTATTTTTGAAAATGTAGAAATTGAAAAAAGATTTAGGAAGAAAATAAAAACCATTAGTAATTTCTCCATCCAGATATAACCATTATTAATTTTTTTTTTTGCAATCACTGATAAATTATATGCTGGTATGTGCATAGTATATATGTTCTCTTTGTTGGACACAGTGATAGCATTTTCACACAATTCTACATTTATTTTAATTTACCAATATATCATGTAGTCACCCTATATCAGCATATGTAGAGCTACTTTGTTCTTTTTAGAGGCTGTGCAGTGTTCTGTTGTATTGTCCCTGAAGGTGTTTAGTGTTCTATTGATGCCTATTTAAGTTGTTTTAAATGTTTCGTTATTTAAAATGGGGCACTGAATATCCCCGAATGATACAATTTTATCCACATGAGTGTATTTGTAAGAGAAAGTTCTAGAAGCAGAATGCAGGGTCAGAGAATGTGCATTTGTAAGTTTGATAGATTGCTCTCCAGAGAGGTTGTAGCAATGAATACTTCCATCAGCAAAGTTTCAAACTGTCTGCTTTCCCACACACTCATGCTATCAAACACTTTGGACCTTGTCATTCCAATAGGTGATACTTGTTATATCATTTAATTTGCATTTCTCATTATGAAAGAGTTTGAACATCTCTTCCTGTGTTTAAAAACTATTTTAATTTCATTTTCTTTGTATTCACTCTTCAATCTCTTAGCCATTTTTCTATATTTTCTGTCATATTTTTAACATTTACTTTTAGGCACCTTTTAAAGAGTAAAGAACATAGCCCTTTGACTCTAATGTGCTTGCAAATTGTTTTTTCCTTTCCATTTTGTAATGAGTGTTTTTAATATTAATGATGTTCTCCCCCAGCCTCACCTGGCGTGCCATGCAGGTATTCTTAAAGTTTTTGTGTCATCAAATTTATCAGCATTTTCTTGTGTGGAGTTTAGATTTTGTTTTCTGTGGAAATACCTTCTTCCTTCCAAAATTATACAGAAAAACTTTTATTTGTCTTCTATTTTTCATTCTTTGTTTTATTTTACTTTGGCTAAAATTGGAAGCATTGGTTAAAATATTTTTTTTTTCTCAAATGGCGACTTAGTTTGACTATAGTATACATATACATTAAAAAATCCATCTTGCTTGTTTTGAGTATCATATTTATCATCTCAAATTTCTGTATATATTTGTGTCTATCTTTGGAGTGTCCTGACCCATTTATTCATCTATTCATGTGCCAATACTTCCTGTTTCTGTTATTGTAACTTTTAAATATGCTTTGTCATCTGGTAGGACTAGTGATCCCTCGTTACTCTTCTTTTTCAGAATTGTCTCCTTTAAAAAAATCTTGTTGGTATTCTTATGTAGTCCCAGATTTTGAGACATTGGTTTATTTCCAAGTTCGTTTATTTCCAAGTTTTAACTATTATAAGCAATGGTTTTAAGATTTACTATCAAGATAATTTTGGGGTTTTTTTGCAAATAATCTTTCATTGCATTCTGCTTTATTTCTTTATAAAAGAATCTTAGATGTGGAATTATTGGGTAAAAATAATTAATTTTCTAAAAGCCTCTTGATGCATACTGTCACACTAACTTTCCAGAATCTAGAATACATACTAACAATATGTATTAGTTGTCTTTGGTTGTCTTATGCTGTGTACAAAAATTACCCCCAAATTGAGCTTAAAATAATAAGCATTTATTAATGGGTCAGGTATCTGGCCGTGGCTTAACTCAATTCCTCTGGTTCAGGGTCTCTCATAGGACTGCAATCAAGGTGTCTGCCAGTGGTGAATTATCTCAAGGCTCCACTGAGGCAGGATTTGCTTTTGAGCTCATTCAGGTCACTGTTGGCACACCTCAGGTCCTCGCTGGTTCTTGGCCGGAGAATTATCTCAAGGCTCCACTGAGGCAGAATTTGCTTCTGAGCTCATTCAGGTCACTGTTGGCATACCTCAGGTCCTCGCTGGTTCTTGGCCGGAGATACCTGGTCCTTGCCACATTGGTTTCTCCATAGGCCAGCTCAGAACATGGCAGCTGCTTCTCTCAGAGGGAGCAGGGGAGACAGTAGGAGAGAGGAAGCAACATGAAAGTCATGGGTTTTTTATTTTTTATTTTTATTTTTGTAGGTAGCTTTGGAAATGACATCTCCCACTTTTGCTCTATTTTGTTTGGTAGTAGCAAGTTACTAAGTCCAGCTCACTCATGAGGGTGAGGATTACACAAGGCATGAATTCAAGGAGGCAGGAATCACTAGGGACAATCTGAGAGGCCACCTACCACGGAGCTCTAGTTTCATTGCATCGTCACCAGCCTGGAGTGTTTGTATGTTGTTAAAACCTTTCAGTTTGATATGTAAAAGTCATTGTATTTTGCTGTAATTTCATTTTCTATTTCTTTTATTACTAAGGAAGAAAAGACAATTTATTATTTATTGATTGTTTGTTTTTTATTTTTGTTTTTTTTGTTTTTGAGATGGAGTCTTGCTCTGTCGCCCAGGCTGGAGTGGAGTGGCTCACTGCAAGCTCCACCTCCCGGGTTCACGCCATTCTCCTGCCTCAGCCTCGCAAGTAGCTGAGACTACAGGTGGCCGCCACCATGCCCAGCTAATTTTTTTTTTGTATTTTTAGTAGAGACGGGGTTTCACCATGTTAGCCAGGATGGTCTCGATCTGCTGACCTCGTGATCCGCCCGCCTTGGCCTCCCAAAGTGCTGGGATTACAGGTATGAGCCACCACGCCTGGTTGATTATTTGTAATTTTATTCTTTAAATTGACTATTTTCCCCCTTTTTCCTCCTTAAGGATCTTAGTTTCCCCATCTCCATAGATTTGTAATGCTAACTTAATTTGGAATTGTGACCCTTCTATGGAAGAAAGAGTGCCCTGTTAACTTCAGGGAGCTGAGGGAAATACGTATCTCATTTTGTTCTGTGGTTCAATGCTAGTACTTTTTTCTTAACAAAAAGATTGGGGTATTAACTGCAGATACCATTGGGTGGTACTACTGAAACTCTCAAACAAAATAATGAAAACTTTGACATTTATTTCCCTGGTTGCCACTGTATTTGTAATAACATATTGACATTTAACGTTTTAACACATGTTACAGAAGATCTACCAATTTGCAGGCTAATCATTATCATCTAACTTTTTCAATGCAAAATTGGTTAAAACTAATTAAAGTGCCATGCTAAGAATTTGCAGAACTATAAAAGCCTTATCTATTAAAAGGTTCCAAGAAGGCCAACTCTCAGATAATAAAAAACTTGAATTTTGCTTAGAAGATCAAGAGTTGAATTGCAATAAGTAACATCACGTGCAATTGCAGGAAGCTTATTATTTCCTAAGACAATAAAGAAATATTGCAAAGAGAACATCAGACTTGCATCAATCAATATGTGACCCTGGGCAAATCATTTAAGCCTGTCGATTTCTTCATCTACAAAAAGGAGACCTATGGCTTTGTTACATATTTCGAAATGCCATGATCATTAATGAAGTAATATCTTGAAGACATACCATTTATGGGAATATTTCTTTTTATGACTCTTGATAAATTTTCTGCTTTGGAATTCAGCCCCTTCTGTTGCTAGACAGCTTTAATTGTAGGACAGTTATTCCTTACTTTAAGCTAAAGTCTGTCATTTGCTAACTTATCTCCATTCATTGCTGTTTTATACGTTGAAACCACTCTAAGTTTAATTCTTCTACTACATTATTAGTACTTAAATACTTTAAATAAACTCCTTAGTTCCCCTAGAAGATTTGTAAAGAATCTGCCCCTAAGCAGTATTCAGTCTAAAATAAAATTTGCCTTTTTATTTAGGAAAACCTACTAGAAAACCTGTTTTGTTTAGGAAAACCTGTTTGAGAACCTAGGGGAATTGTCATTTTCTTACGTCAGATCATAATCACTAAAACCCTTCAATAAAATTCAGCTACAAGTAGTGCTTTAGAATAAAATGACAATTACACACATATATTTGGTCATTATTCTGTGTTTGCTTAAACATAGAGCAAAATACGGGGCCGACAAAACACAGAAGCATTCTGATAGCTGAGCTCATGCGCATTTGTAAGATGAATTAGACTCACAGGAAAGGCCTGTTCTGGCAGAAAGATGACTCTAAGTGGGGTGGAGGGCAACAGGGAGCTGGAGGAGGATCTGCTTTACATTTAAGGTTGGACCGTGGGTTGGATGAGAATGTAGAGAAATTTTCTTTCTAGTGCTATTCCATAGTAAATGCTTAATATATTTATTTGATCTTTTAGTAGGATGATACTTTGCTTTAGTCTTTTGTCTGGGGTTGGTGAACATACAGAACCTACTATTTTGTTACTGGTCATCTTAAATCTTCATGAAATTCAATTTGTTTCATCAATTCATATTTTTGAAGTATGTGTTATGGGCTATACATTGTACTGGGCACTGGGATTGTTAAAGTGAAATAGGCAAGGTCTCCTTGCTGAGGAAGTTTGTGTTATAGATGAGTGAAAAATAAGAAAACAAGGAAGATGTTTTCTCCAACGGTCCAGAGAGCCAGGCCTTCCCATGGAGGTGGATCACAAGGCAGAAAAGGGGGTCCCTCGAGGCTTCGCAAAGGGAGGCTGAGGCTGACTCTTGAAGGCTGAGTGAGGGATGGGAAGGGCATCCGTGGCACAGGACAGAGTACATGCAAAGGCACTGAGGAAAGAAACCACAAGGCCTATTTAGACAACCACTAGTGGTTGGAAGCAGCTTGAATTAGGAAGCGCAAGAGGAGCAGTGGTAGGAGATAAATCTAGAGAAGGAGCAAAAGGCCAAATCATATCAACCACATGCAAAGCCCTTTAAAAGAAATTGTATTATGTACTCTCCTTGCTTCCTGTTTTCCCTTAGACTAATTTTCTCATCTTCTACTACAAAACTTATTCTACTGACTGTCATTTCCTGATTTATTTTCCTCCAGGCACTACTTCTAAGCACTTCTCCCTGTATGCACACAACCCTGTCCTTATCACCCAACAGCAGGCCTTTCATTTTGGCTTGGACTCCTGGTTATGGGTTCAGTGAGGCCAGGCTATTTAACTATACTGCTGCTTGTCAGGGGGTTTATGAAATCCTTAATCAGGGGTTTATGTAAATCAGTGTAAGTTAACTTCTAAAACCTTTATAAAACTGTTTTTATTTTTTTAAGACTAAATCACAGGTCAAAAGTTTAATCAGTCAACACAACTCTAAACTAGCTTTAAAAAAGAATATATTCATCTTACTGAAAAATCCAAATGTAGATCATTACCTGTCATTGCTAGCTCTGGGGCTCAAAAAATGTGAGCAGAACTTTGGCTGTGACTCCCTCCTTGTGTTTTGGTTCTTCTTTATCATGTGCTGGCTCTATTCTCAGCTGGCTCTGTCTATGTGGTGGCCTCTGGCAGCTCCAGATTGGTGGTACCAATAGAGTCAGGATTCTCAGTGTAGAGAGTGCTCCTCCTCCTCAACATTTCTACCTGATGCTTCGGATTTGAGTCTTATTGGCCTGGCTGTGCCATGTGTCCATTCCAAATAAAGGATGAAACGCAGATAAGCAACCACATGCCTATATCGGGAGTGGGATGGGAGCTTTGAGGGAGCCAAAGTTCAAACCACGTGTACAAAAGTATGGAAGGAATGGTTTCTCCTCATCACTAGGATGTCCTTACCAGAAGAAGGAGAAAGGAGTGCTTGTCAGCAAAAGCAAAATGTAACTAACATGAAGATTTTACAGTTGATCATTCATTCAATGATATTTATTGAGTGTCTGGGATTTCAAGGTATCACGATAAATAAATGTGGTTATTTACTGTCTTCAGGATGGTCAGTCTTCAAGTAAAAAATGATAGGTTAAGGTATCATATTAATCAACAAGCAACACTTATCTTTGAATCCACATTGTTTAATCTCATCTTCAGGGTTACAGGAAATTGTGAAGACTTTGATAAAATCATTATGCATTACAGAGACTGGAAATTTCAGACCTGAAAAAATGTATAAATTAAATCATTTTTATTGCATTAGAATGATTGTATTAAAAATGTTTTGAATACTGTGCCAGGGACTATGAAAAAAAGACTGTGACATATTTATTAGAGGAGAGTCAATGGGTGAAAACCAACTGTTTTTGTATTACTTGAGTAGAAGGTTGGAAAAGCCGAGACTTCAGAAGATTTTAAAAGGATAAAAGAAATGAATTTGACAATCTTGGGTGCAGAAATTATCCATAAAATTATGCTTAACCATAAAAAGGATGGTTAAGGATGATTGTAATCTTCAGGAAGAGAGATGATTGTAAGTGAAAAATAACACAGACAAGATACAAGATAAGTAGGCCAGGTGCAGTGGCTCACCCCTGTAATCCCAGCACTTTGGGAGGCTGAGGCGGGCAGATCACGAGGTCAGGAGATCAAGACCATCGTGGCTAACATGGTGAAACCCCGTCTCTACTAAAAAAATACAAAAAATTAGCCAGGCATGGTGGTGGGCGCCTGTAGTCCCAGCTACTCAGGAGGCTGAGGCAAGAAAATGACATGAACCCGGGAGGCAGAGCTTGCAGTGAGCCAAGATTGTGCCACTGCACTCCAGCCTGGGCGACAGAGCGAGACTCCGTCTCAAAAAAAAAAAAAAAAAAAAGATACAAGATAAGAAAGAATACAAGTCTTCCAGATGATAACACCTTTTAAAAAGTCAGCATTCCATTGGGATTCTTATTGGAATGTCAAGACACTCACCTTAAATATACTATAGTTCTGAAGGTGTCATGCACATCTTTGTAACCAACAATCCTAAACAATGTGGCATCTTACATTTACCCAGCCCTGTGTCTCCAGGTCCAGTCAAACCTCCGGGACGAGTGCCAAATCTAAGTGTCTCACTCAAGGTCATGCATTTTACTGTCTTCTTCTTCTTTTTTTTTTTGTTTGTGAGACAGAGTCTCACTCCGTTGCCCAGGATGGAATGCAGTGGCATGATCTCGGCTCACTGCAACCTCTGACTCCTGGGTTCAAGCAATTCTTGCGCCTCCGCCTCCAGAGTAGCCAGGTACAGGTATGCGCCACCACAACTGGCTAATTTTTGTATTTTTAGTAGAGATGGGGTTTCATGATGTTGGCCAGGTTTGTCTCAAACTCCTGACTTAAGATGATCTGCCTGCCTCAGCCTCCCAAAGTGCTAGGGCTACAGGCGTGAGCCACCGCGCCTGGCCAAGTCTTATTCTTTTAATAGTTTAAATAAAATTCTAACCTGATCTGATAAAAGCATATGTGACAGCTTGGATTTAAACCTTCCTTTTTTGGGAAGGTGGGTAGTGGGATTTGAGGCTCTGCTAGGGAGAAATTAAGAAGAAAAATGCAGAAATGTGCTCTGGAATAGTACAAATATTCTGGTTAAGAATCTCAATATGAGAAACATAACCTACTCTCTCTGACTTGAATTGTTTATTAGAAACAATCCTTTTTTCCTCACTGTTTTTTTATTAAGTTGACAGAACAGTATTTAAAAAATATGTGAATAGCCTAACAAACAGTGAATACAGTGTACTTAAGTTATTAGAAATTTAGAAGGCTTTTTACTTATCTTTACTAATTCTGTACCTTTCGCTTCCTTCTTACATAAATTATTCAGTTTTCAATGTTTTTGAACCTTATATGAAAGGAACCAAACTGAGCTTTTAATTTTCTTCAATATGCTTTTAAGTTTTGCTTAACATTATGTTATTGAGATTTATCCTTGCTCTTGCACATAACTGTATTCCCTTCATTTTTATTTGTGTAGTATTCCATTGTATGACTACATCACCATTTATGGATTCATTCTACTGTTGATGGTGTGTGTGTGTGTTTATAGTTATTGAATCCATGTTTTTTGGATTGAGTGGAATTGAAGGGTCATAGATATGCATCTCGGTAGATAAATGCCAAATTATTTTGTGAGGTGATTTTAACTACTGCTAGCAGCAGTGTAGAAGAATCCCAGTTGCGGCTGGGCGCAGTGGCTCACCGCCATAATCCCAGCACTTTGGGAGGCCAAGGTGGGCCGATCACAAGATCAGGAGTTCGAGACCAGCCTGGCCAATATGCTGAAACCCCGTCTCTACTAAAAGTACAAAAAAATTTAGCCGGGCATGGTGGCGCACACCTGTAATCCCAGCTACTCAGGAAGCTGAGGCAGGAGAGTTGCTTGAACCTGGGAGGTGGAGGTTGTGTGAGTTGAGATCGTGCCAAAAAAGAATCCCTGTTGCTGCATGTCGTTTCAACTCTTGATAACCAGATATAAATTATTTTTAGCCTCGTAAATTTACAATGGTAATTGATAGTGCTTTATTTTGTATTAATTGCTCACTAATGAAGTTGAGTATCTTTTTAGTTATTACCCTTTCAAGTTTCTGTTCAAATCTTTGGGCCATTTTCCATTGGGTTTTTTTCTCTTTTATTTTTAGTATTTCTTTATATATTGAATTAATCTTCACGTTTTCATAACTTGCCTGTTGACGTTCTTCTATAAGAGTCTTTTGATGAATGAAAGATCATGATTATAATGTTCTTAAAGTTATCCATATTTCCTTTATTGTTTGAACTTCTTGCATTAAGAAATCCTTTTTGATTCCAATGGTCACATATAAAGAATGTGACCTATTCTTTTTATATAGGTTTTATAGTTTTGCTTTATTTTACATTTCCCCCAAACATTTTCACATCAGTTTCTTTGGAACTGACTTTGCATTATGTGAGAGTTGCATCCCTCCTCCTCAATGTGAGTAACAAGTATTGTAGAATCATTTTTTTTTTAAAAGCACCCTTTCCACACGGACTGGTAGTGCCATATTTGCCATACATCTATATTACATCTATATGAGTGAGTATCTTTTTTGGAGTGCTCTTTATTCTGTACCTTTTGTCTGTTTTCTGTTCTGCCAGAAGCATACTGTATTTACTGCTATAGATTCAAAATACTTTTTGTTGTCTGCTATGGCATTTCTCATTTTATTTTCTTCTTCAACATATCTATTCTGTTTTGGGCCATTTGAAAGTAAGTTGCAGATACTGTGACATTTTACCCAAGAATATCCCAGGGTATGTAATTATCACAGTAATGAAATTTTATATTGCTATAACACTATTATTTACTATATATTCTATTTTAAAATTTCAACAGTTGTTCCAATAATGTCTTTTATAGCAACATTATTTCCCTGTTTCCAGATCCAGTCTAGGGTCACACATTACATTTAGTTGCCACATCTCATTAGTTTCCTTTAATCTGGAACACTTTCTCAGTTTTTTTGTCTTTTTTTTTTTTGAGACGGAGTCTCACTCTGTTGCCCAGGCTGGAGTGCAGTGGTGCCATCCTGGCTCACTGCAACCTCTGCCTCCCGGGTTCAAGTGATTCTCCTGCCCCAGCCTCCTGAGTAACTGGGACTACAGGTACTCGCCACCACACCCGGCTAATTTTTTGTATTTTTAGTAGAGATGGGGTTTCACTATGTTGGCCAGGATGGTCTCGATCTCTTGATCTCGTGATCCACCCACCTCGGCCTCCCAAAGTGCTGGGATTACAGGTGTGAGCCACCGCACCTGACCTTGTCTTTTATAATAGTGACATCTCTGAAAGTACAGCGCAGTTGTTGCTGTGAAATGCCCTTCAATGTGGATACAGTTGCTTTTTTTTTTGAGATGGAATCTCACTTTGTCACCAGGCTGGAGTGCAGTGGTACAGTAGGCTTACTGCAACCTCTGCCTCCTGAGTTCAAGCGATTCTCCTGCCTCAGCCTCCCGAGTAGCTGGGACTAGAGGCACGCGCCACCACACCCAGCTAATTTTTGTATTTTTAGTAGAGACGGGGTTTCACCATGTTGGCCAGGATGGTCTCGATCTCCTGACCTTGCGATCCACCCGCCTCAGCCTCCCAAAGTGCTGGGATTACAGGTGTGAGCCACTGCGCCTGGCCCAGTTGCATTTTTAATGGAAATGTTAGGTAAGTTACATCATTCCCTTCTCAGTGCATAATATCAAAATGTCAGTTTCTGTTATTATTGAGGCTTTTTTTTACCTTGTTACTTTTGTTTACCTGGTTAAGATGGTGTCATACATAAAGTTTTCCATTTTTTCCTATACAATTAATAAGTAATCATTGGAAAGAAATGTTTAGACTGTGTAAATGTCTTGTAATTTATCAAAATTTTATGTAATAATTTTAACATCCATTGATGATTCTTGCCAAAATCAACTATTTTTCCTATGGTTTCTAATCAATTCTATTTTAACTATTATGTCATTCCTTCTACATTTAACATTGCCAAAAGTAGATACAAGTTCTAATTTGCTCTTTAACAAATTTTCTTGATCATTTAGAAATAACTTTTCCTTTTCACTTGTCTCCAGGTTTTTTATTTCATACTATATAATAAATTTAGCTAGTATTTTATATGTCTTTGTTAATTCCAACATCTGATCTACTTGGGTCTAATTTTCTATTTGTTATTTCCTTATATGTTTTATTGTTTTTGACTATGGACTCAATTTTTTGGGTACTTTATCTGAGGCAATTCTTTGCCTTTCTCTGGGCACTTCTGGAAACTCCAAACAAATACTACTTTACATAAAATTCTTTGGTGAGGGTTTATAGGCCATTAAGGAAGTGTGAATTTGGGTTACAAAATTCTGTGAAGGCTGGCTTGTAGGTAAGGACTTTTAAGGGCAAATTTTTTCCTTACCACTCAGCACTGAAATTCAGCAGGCACTGTTTTTTTGTTGTGCTTGGCGTGAGGAGGTATGTGGGTTTATTTGAAATTCACCCTTTCCCTGAGGCTGTAGCTGTTGGATAGTCAGCTTCATGTGGTGGGATCTTCTATGGGATTCCTTGCCTTTGAAGGGCCCTGGCTTTATCTTCTGCCCCCAGTCCCCCAGAGGCCATGACAAATGAAGCTCAAGTTCACCAGTGTTGACATGCCTCAGGACAAAATCTGGCTCTAGTGAGTGACTCATGTCTCTGAATTCCTGTTTCCACTTAAGTTTTGGCCTCTGGATATTTCTTACCATTTTTGTTTTCCATTTGATATATCTTAAAATAAGCTTTTAGTAATTTAACTAGCCTCCTAGTTGTTTTTAGAGAAAGAGTTCTCTGGGTTTTTAACCGTCACACTGTTGGAAATGGAGTCCTCCGTGGTCTCTGTCTTTACATTGAGATCCAGGAACCACTTTGCCTTTAATAAACTCACGCAAGGGTGAACATATTCACACATACCAGTGGGGTAGATTTGCATGTGTCTGCTTATTCTTCTCGTAGAATAATGCGTAAGGCCCACTAGTTTAATACTTAATGAGGTTATTTCAGGCAGTTGTAGTAAAAAAATACGGAGTTCCCCTTCCTGTGTCCATGTGTCCGGGGCCTGTTGTCGGGTGGGGGGAGGGGGGAGGGATAGCATTAGGAGATATATCTAATGTTAAATGACGAGTTAATAGGTGCAGCATACCAGCATGGCACATGTATACATATGTAACTAACCTGCACGTTGTGCACATGTACCCTAAAACTTAAAGTATAATAAAAAAAAATACGGAGTTTCATAGGTGGTTTATTTGATCACAGATAATTTTCCAACTTTTTGGCTGAGTTGATCAAACAGTAAATACAATGTTTGGCAGGGAATTAAATGGGATCTTATGGTCTAAACAAATTTAAAGGATTATTTTATCTTTTCTTCTAAATATTTGTTTGAAATAACTCTCATATAATAAATAGGCATTCCATAAATATTGAATGAATGAGCAATGAATGAATGAACAAATGAACGACTGTTGTTCAACTGCTCAAACCCAGTTTAGTGTACACAGGATAGCCTGCGATTGGCCATCATTGAATGAGTAAGGTTTATACCTGGCCTCTTCCATGCTTACTAGCTTGCATAGACCTGGTCATGGGGGAGGGGTGGAGAAGGACGTTTTCAGTGAAACATTGTAAATGCTTGCCTCGCTTCAGCCTGTAAATTGAATTTCCAGCATAAATCCTATCCTAGGCATCAACAGTGCAGTATTATTTGGAAAGGTACAATTGATGAAAATATAAGAGCTGACTATTTATCAAGCTATCTCGTTCTTTTTCCACCAAGAGGTAAACAGCCTGTAGCATTTGCTGTCATTGAAATACATCGAATTTTCAAGGACTGCTTCCTAAATTCTGGTTATTTTATTTGGAAACATTTTGCCTGAAATTTTGGCAGCTGCTGCTCTGAGCAGGGTGGACTATGAGGCTAGTCAGAGACTGGAACAGAATTATAAGGACCTTAAACTCTCAGAGGGAAGCCTCAA
This sequence comes from Homo sapiens, assembly GCF_000001405.40. Lineage (NCBI taxonomy): Eukaryota > Metazoa > Chordata > Mammalia > Primates > Hominidae > Homo > Homo sapiens. The sequence continues at coordinate 33,811,696 of NC_000002.12, forward strand.
CTTGCTCTGGATTGTGGCCCAAAGCAAGACAGAAAGTTTCCTGGGCAGGATAGATGATTAGAAAAAAGTCCTCTGACTGGGCACAGTGGCTCACGCCTGTATATCCAGCATTTTGGGAGGCCAAGGCGGGCAAATCACAAGGTTAGGAGATAGAGACCATCCTGGCTAACATGGTGAAACCCCGTCTCTAATAAAAATACAAAAATTAGCTGGGCATGCACCTGTAGTCCCAGCTACTCAAGGAGAATCTCTTGGACCCGGGAGGCAGAGGTTGCAGTGACCAAGATCGTACCACTGCACTCCAGCCTGGGTGACAGAGCAAGACTCCATCAAAAAAAAAAAAAAAAGAAAGAAAGAAAAAAGTCCTCTGATTGGTACCCATGAGGTAGGTACCAGTCATAGGAAAAGCACAGGACTGAGTTTTCAACACACAAGCATGGCTTAAGTCTGGCTGGATATAGCACCTGAATATGAATTGAAAAATACCTTAGGCTATAAATCAGGTCCATCTAAGGCACTTCTTAAAGACGTTGTACCTTCCACCTCATCTCCCACTCCCCTTTGAACAGAACAGAACAATTTGTAGTTCTTTATGTTTTGATTCTTTGTACATCTTTAATGGTAACTAAAGCCTTATTAATTCATTAATTCAAATATGTTTGTACAGTGGCCTTTTCTAAGGGATTCCTCCCATGTGATTTGCTAGAAAGGAACATAGAGAGCTGCAAGACCAGGTTTCCTACATTCTAGAAAACAAGTTTCACAGATTATGAAAATCTTTATTGTTATTCATTCCTTCATTTCAGTTATAAATAAAAATATTATTACCACCTCCCTCCCATACATTACAGCCAGTGGCTAGGTGAAGTTATCTATTTGCAGGCTGCCTGCACTTTATATAATCTCTGGAAAGTCATTCCAACTAAATAGTTCATATTGAGTTTGGTCAAAAAATTGATGAAAAATTTATTATTCCAAAGCTATTTCATTTGTTCTTTACCTTTGCCAGTGACTAAACACTGAAGGGGTAATTATGTAAATTTTAACTAGCTATTTATGTTCAAATATTTTTGGTTCAGTAACCAAGACTGTAATCTGCTCAGTACAGAAAACCCTATCAGATGTTGTTTTTTGACATCTGGTTTCTGAGCATGATGGTGAAGTGTTCGTCAACTGCAACAGAACAGAGGTATAAGGAGCCTCACTTTTTGTAATGATCTGGCTCTCTGTCACTATCCACTGATCTGGAACGTAAGTATTTGTGGGTGACTCATCAAATGTAGAGAAGAGCTTTGAATGTGAGAATGTTTAAATTGCTTGAAAATATCACCTCTAAAGATAAAGTCTTGGCACAATTTAAATTCAAGATACAACTTAACATGGTTTTGAATTTCCCAAGAGATTCTTGAATTGTTCTCATAGGCTGAAAAACATACAGCAGTAATAAGTGACCAGATAACATCCATTTCACTTATTCCATTTCTTTGATAAGAACAGATATTAATATTTGATATAGAGAAAGATCACCTTCAGCATTTGCATTGTCTGGTTTAATTTGGTTTGGTTGTTTGAACTACATAACGCCAGATTTTCTGTGTTTTCTGAGAGAGTACAGGTATAAATCCGAAATTTATAGATGATTCGTATATTTGGCAAAATGATTAATCGAGAACATTTTAAACCAAATCCTGAGATGGAGAAGAAATTCTAAGATATAAAATTATACTCACAGAGAACAATGTGATCTGAAGAAATTCTAAGATAGAAAATCATACCCACAGAGCACAATGTGAGGTAGCAGCATCAACTCAATAAATCTCAGGTGTGTGGAGCAAATAGGTTTTGGGAAGATGACTTATGTGGATTGTGGACAAGAACCAAAATTTTAACAACAAAAACAGGTTAGCATGATTTTTCAGTATTTCCAGTGTCATAACTTGTGAGGGTTAGTATTTATGAAGAGGGCACTGAATAGTGATAATAATACTGAGAGTAATAATAACTATTATAATTCTAGCTACAGCTTTTATTCAGAACTTAGGCTGTACTCACTGCCTGTAGCTATAATTCCCAATTGTAAATATTATTATTATCCATTAAAAAATCTTTATTTTCCTCTGGGATGCGATCCTGTTTGTGCAGCTTGGTTCTTTGTTTTGTTTTGTTTATTGTTGTTGTTGTTTTGAGACAGGATCTCACTCTGTTGAGTGCAATGGCACAGTCATAGTTCACTGTAACCTCGAACTCCTGGCCTCAAGTGATCCTCCTCCCTTGGCCTCCCGAGTTGCTGAGATAATAGGCGCGAGCCACTGTGCCCAGCCTATCGCGTCTGTTTTGCAGTTGAAGAAACTGAAGTTCAGAGATACCATGTAACTTATTCTACTAGTAATAAATAATAAGGTAGCTAAGAATAAAGAATCGAGATTTCATTGGTGCTTTAAAAATTAGTAGGTTATGGAATCAATGGGCTTAAAAAAAACATATTCCAGGACTAGATAACAGAGTAAAAGTGGGGGAAACAATTGTTTGCTTAGATGGCACACTGTAAAGGATGGCATTTTGGAAATAGTGTCATGGCATGCTTCTTATACATCAGGTGGGTGAGTGGGCAGGAGTAAGATGTCCAAGCCTGTCAATGATCAAGAAACTTCTGGCAGCTGACTCTTAACTGCTGTGTCTCATTTCTTCTGTGTTGGGCTGGAACAGCTTTAAAGTAACATATTCTGGTTGCCCCAGGCCACTAGTGGGATGGGGTGGGATTAATGACAAGAAAAGGATAGTGAAAAAATACAAGATATGCTTTTATGAGGTGACCTCTTCTTTCTTTCCTAATGTTTCCTGCCCCTCTATCCTCCCTTGCTCCCATTTGGGCTTCTAGTACAATCTGACCTACTTGTTTTCAAACATGCTGTTTCTTTTGTTTGTAGCCTGACTGTCTATCTTGCAAACTGCCCCCTTTTTTAAAGTCAGTTGAAATCTGACTTCAGTGGCAAAGCTTCTCCTGACTCCCCATTAGGGAAGGCTTCAGTGCTCAGGCTGATGTTTACACAGCCCTCCACTGAAACAATAGTGTTAGAATATTGTGATTGTTTGCTTGTTTCTTTGACTTCCCACCAGATTGTATACTTACCTAAGACAAGGAGATTTTACTTTTTTTGTATCTTTGTGCTTCCAGTGCCTTACACATGGTACTCTATAATAAAAAATGTATTGAAGTTCAATAACTGAATAAATGAATAAATCAGTCATAGTTTGGAGAGAATAGTGTAGTGGCATAGTAAGGACATACGTAAAGAAGGCATTCAGGGGACTATTTAAATATCTACAAGTGCAGCTCACAGGAGAGAGGTGGGTGAGGATGAAAGACAAGAGCAGCTAAGTGATATTATTGTGGGAATTGTCAACAGACTACACAGCTAAGCTGAAGTTATGAATTGTACACACTGCTCAGATTATAAAATAGGCAAAACAGAAAAATGTACCGGTGATAACACAATCCAACTCTCTGGATAGCTGCTCAGAATTTTAGTGTGCTAAAAGCAGAACATCTGATTAATATTTTACAATTTCAGCTCTCAGAAGGCACCGGAAGGAGCAAGGGGAAGGCTGATCAGGGCCTAGCGTTAACGTAGTGCTGGCAGGCATGGTGTGGAAGAGACAGAAATCCCGGGAAGGGGAGACTTGGCTGTCTTTGCAATAAACGAGTACTTTTATTGTTCTAGCCATTAAAATTATGCACATATTTGTAAAAAGTGGAATGTAAAGAAATGTAGAAAGAGAAAAATATAGCCCTAATCTTTGATCCCCATTACTGCTAACATTTGTGGTATTTCTTCAAATCTTTAAAAATAATGAATGTATGTATAATACATGCATTTTTCACACATTTGGGATGTATTTTTCCACTTTCCACTAATTTTCACTAATTTGGTAATGTATTTTTAAAAATTAATATTATTCCAAGAGTCTTTTTCCCATATTATTTTATTTATTTATTTATTTATTTTTTGAGACAGAGTTTCGCTCTTGTCACCCAGGCTGGAGTGCAGTGGCTTGATCTCAGCTCACTGCAACCTCTGCCTCCCGGGTTCAAGCGATGCTCCTCCCTCAGCCTCCTGAGTAGCTGGGATTACAGGCGCCCAGCACCATGCCTGGCTAATTTTTTGTATTTTTAGTAGAGATGGGGTTTCACCATGTTGCTCAGGCTGGTCTCAAATGCCTGACCTCAGGTGATCCACCCGTCTCAGCCTCCCAAAGTGCTGAGATTACAGGCGTGAGCCACCGTGCCCAGCCTTCCATATTATTTTAGATTCCTTTATAATATCACTTTCTTAGATGTATAATATTCCATCTATGTATAAATCATAACTCGGAAATACTTATCTATTATTGTTAGATGCTTGTTTTCAGTTTTTGCTATAATAAGTAATGCTGCAATGAATAACTTTATTGAGGATGTAACTCATATCTTTTGTATATATTTTCTGGATGGATTTCTAGAGTGAAATGATTGGTAAGACTTCATACTTTCACTAATTTCTTTCCAGAATTACACTTCCACTAGTGGATTACAGAAGTGATATTTTCATTTTGTCATGTCTCCTATATAAATATACGTATACACATATGTTTGCATGTATATGTCTTCGTTTGTTTTCTGTTGCTATAACAGAATACAGACTGGGTAATCTATAAATAATAGAAGTCTATTTGGTTCACAGTTCTGGAGTCTAGGAGGTCCAAGATCGAAAGGGCACATTTGGTGAGGGCCTTCTGCTGTGTCATAGCATAGTCGAAGGCATCCACATGGTGAGAAACAGTGTGCACCAGACAAAGAGAAGAAATTGGGCTGAACTCATTCTTTCATTAGGAGCCCACTTTCGAGATAACTAACCCATTTCCACTATAATGGCATTAATCTATTTATGAGGGTGGAGCCCTCATGACCTAATCACCTCTTGAAGGCCCCCCACTTCTCAACACTATTAGAATGGCGATTAAATTCCCTCCTTCTCTCCCTCCCTCCATCCCTCCTTTCCTTCCTTCCTTCCTTTTTTTTCCCTCTCTTCTCTTCTCCTCCCCTCCCCTCCCTTTCCTTTCCTTTTTTTTTTTTTTTTTTTGACAGGGTCTCGCTCTGTCACCCAGGCTGGAGTGCAGTCGTGTGACCTTGGCTCACTTTGGCTTTGACTTCCTGGGCTCAAGTGATCCCTCCACTTCAGCCTTCCAAGTAACTGGGACTACAGGTGCGTGCCACAATGCTTGGCTAATTTAAAAAAAAAAAAACTTGGTAGAGGCAGAGTCTCATTATGTTGTTCAGGCTGGTCTTGAACTCTTGGGCTCAAGCTATCCTCCCACCTTGGCCTCCCAAAGTACTGGGATTACAGGCATGAGCCACTGGGCCTGGCCTGGCAATTAAGTTTCACATGAGTTTTGCAGGGGATATTGAAACCATGGCCATATATGTACACGTGTATATATAATTGTAAATGTACGTCCGACATATATGTTTTGATTTGCATTTTCTTGAGTACTAAAGAGCATCTTTGATTGATTAGTGGGTACAAATACACAGTTTGATAAGAGAAATAAGACCTAGTGTTTGATCTATCACTAGGGGGATTATAGTTTATAATTGCCTTAGTCCATTCTCACATTACTGTATATAAATACCTGAGACTGGGTAATTTATAATGAAAAGAGGTTTAATTGGCTCACAGTTCTGCAGACAGTACAGGAAGCATGGCAGCTTCTGCTTCTGGGGAGGCCTCGGGAAACTTCCAATCATGTAAGGAGCAGGCGTCTTACATGTAAGAAGCAGGGGTGGGGGAGGCGCTACATACTTTTAAGTGACCACATCTTGTGAGAACTCACTCGCTATCTCTAGGACAGTATCAAGGAGGATGGTGCTAAACCATTCATGAGAAACCACCTCCATGTTCCAATCACCTCCCACCAGGCCCTGCCTCCAACACTGGGGATTACAATTTGACATGAGATTAGGTGGGGAAACAGATCCAAACCATTTCAATAATAATATGTTGTATATTTCAAAAGAGCTAGAAGAGAATAAATCAAATGTTTCTAGCATAAAGAATAGACAAATATTTAAGGTAATGGATATCCCAATTCCACTGATTGGATCTTTACAAATTATATGAATGTATTAAATTATCACATGTATCCAAAAATATGTACATCTATTATGTATCAATAAAAAAGAGTTTCTTTGACTACTAAAGAGTTTAAAGATAACTAAGAGTTTAGAATACTTTACGGTCAGCAAATTGTCCCTTTAAGACCTTTGCCCGGTTCTTTCCTGTTTAGTTCTTATTTATTTTTCCTTTTCCTGACGTATAACACTATCATTTTAACAACAGAGAGGCAAAAGACTTGATCTTGCCTTGAAGTTATCCCGTCCATGTAGAATATTTAGAAATCAATTAAAATAATTACTGAAGACTTCTAAAGATAACAAAAGTTATCTTACTCAAAATGTACAGGGAAATTTTTTTTTCTTTTGAAATAATTCCAAATGCACAGAAAAGTGTCAACAAAGTTACAGTTATGTTTTCTGCACCATTTGATTGTTATGTTACTGCTATGATGCACCAATCATTTCTGAATACTTTAGCATGGAATTCTGACAACAAGAACATTCTCCCAACCAGTATGCAACCATGAAAATCAGGAAATTAACATCAATCTAAAACTGCCATCTAATCATCAGACTCCTTTCAATTGTCTCCATTCGTCTTCAGGATCCAGTCAAAGGTTATGTGTAGCATTGGTTTCATGACTCTTTAGTCTCTTTCAATCTGGAACAATTCCTCAGTCTTTCCTTAACTTTTATGATTTTGACACATTTGCAGATAAATTACTCTGTAGAATATCTCCCAGTTTGGGTTTATCTGATGTTTCCTTTTGATTAGATTGAGCTCATTCACCTTTGACAGGAGTATCATACAAATAAGGTTGTGTTCACCATGTTATCGAGTGGCAGTGATTTTAACATCCCATTACTGGTGATGTTACCTTTAATTAACTGAGGAAGGTGGTGTCTGCCAGTCTGCTGGGCTTCTCTGCTGTCAAGTGATAACTCTTCCCTTTGTAATTAATAAGTTTTTTTTTTTTTTTTTTTTGGTGAGGAGTTTCATTGTGACTCTGTACACACCTGTCTGTAATTTTTTTTTTTTTTTTGTAGAAACGGGATCTTGCTCTGCTGCCCAGGCTGGTCTCAAAACTGGCTTCAAGTGATCCTCCTGCTTCTGCCTCCCAAATCCTCCCTCCTGGGATTATAGGCATGAATCACCACACCCAACCACTGTAAACATCTCAATCTTAATCAAACTTTTACTTTATTCATTATTTATATTGGTATGAAACTCATGAATACCTATTTTATACAGTGGATTATAATATGATACTATGATTGTTTACTTTCATGCTGAAATTGTCCCAGATTTGGTCATTGGAGACTCTTTATGCTGGCTTCTGTGTTCTTTTGACTTGTCCTCATTATTATTTAAGCCCTTCCCTTTTTCTAGCACACAAAGTTCCAAGTTAATCTTATACTTTTCCTGTCCCTTTTCTGGAATTCGTCATTTCTCCAAGGAGCCCTGTTCACTTTTAATGGAGAGTGGCTTTTAGAAACCAAGATCTAAGCTTTAAACGTGTTCATTGCTATCTAGATATAGTTGCTTCCAAGCCCTTTCAGTGACTAAAGCTAGAGTGTATATGTGTACGTACACACACACACACACACAAACGCACACACACTGTCTTCTATATTTATTTATCTCTCTATCTCTCTTATTAAGATTCAACGTGGTGGCTCACGCCTGTAATCCCAGCACTTTGGGAGGCAGAGGCGGGCGGATCACGAGGTCAGGAGATGGAGACCATCCTGCTAACACGGTGAAACCCCGTCTCTAGGAAAAATACAAAAAATTAGCCGGGCGTGGTGGCGGGCGCCTGTAGTCCCAGCTACTCGGGAGACTGAGGCAGGAGAATGGCGTGAACCCGGGAGGCGGAGCTTGCAGTGAGCCGAGATGGCGCCACTGCACTCCAACCTGGGCGACAGAGCGAGACTTGGTCTCAAAAAAAAAAAAAAAAAAAAAAAAAAAAAAAAGATTCATGGGGCCGGGCGCAGTGGCTCATGCCTGTAATCCCAGCACTCTGGGAGGCTGAGGTGGGTGGATCACAAGGTCAATAGATGGAGACCATCCTGACCAACATGGTGAAACCCCATCTTTACTAAAAATACAAAAATTAGCTGGGCGTGGTGGCGCGTGCCTGTACTCCCAGCTACTCTGGAGGCCGACGCAGGAGAATAGTTTGAACCCGGAAGGCAGAGGTTGCAGTGAGCCGAGATCACGCCACTGTACTCTAGCCTGGCGACAGAGCGAGACTCCGCCTTGGAAAAAAACAAAAAACAAAAAACAGATTCATGAATTCTCAGTAATATCCACTATTCTAATCAAACACTACAGGGTTTTTTTCTTCTAGTTATTTCTCTTTCTGGATTTGTAACTTCCTTTTCTTTCTTTCTTTCTTTTTTTTTTTTTTTTTGGAGACAGAGTCCTGTTCATTCGCCCAGGCTGGAGTGCAGTGGCGCGATCTCCGCTCACTGCAAGCTCCGCCTCCCAGGTTCACGCAATTCTCCTGCCTCAGCCTCCCGAGTAGCTGGGACCACAGGCACCCGCCACCACGCCAGGCTAATTTTTTTTTTTTTTTTTTTTTTTGTATTTTTAGTAGAGATGGGGTTTCACCATGTTAGCCAGGATGGTCTTGATCTCCTGACCTCGTGAACCACCCACCTTGGCCTCCCAAAGTGCTGGGATTACAGGCATGAGCCACCGCGCCTGGCTTGTAACTTCCTTTTCTAACAATGAGGACTCTGGCCTCCATTATCTTCAAAAATATTTATTTATTTTCTCAATCCTCTTATATGTAACCCATCTCCTGTCTCTGCTGCCAGCATCTTCCTCCCAGAAACACTGCTCATCCTGCTTGGGCTGTGACACCCTGGCCAGTGCTTCTGTCACTGCCACCCACGATCCGTCGCTTGATGGACACCCTCCTTAACCCACTCTAGCTCAGTTTTCCCACCCAGGCCTCTGCTGCTACTTGCCCCATGTAGATATCTTTTAAACCCCACTGAGGCTTGGATGCTCCCTGGTGGCCACCCTACCACATCCATCCCCTGCAAGGACAAACCCTGACCCCGCTTGGACACAGGACACCAGAGCCGGAGCCACTGCTGTTGCTTCCACTCATTCTCCCTTTGCTTCCATCTGCATGAATGCCTGCCGTCCTCAGCCCAGCCTAGTTTCCTTTGGATAGAATTGCTCAGGAAGGAAGGGGGGCAGGTAGGAAGGACAGAAGCAGTGGAATTTCTCAACATCTGCCTTCTTCACCTTTCTCTCACTTCCACATACCTGACAGCAACTGAAATAGAAAAAGAAAATCAATAAAGCAACTTTCTTCTCTCACTTTGTAAACTACCTGCACAACTTTTTACCTTTTTTCTGTCAGATCTTTATTTGGAAAATCGATTTATATTATCTGAATTCTTTATATTTCTTCACCTTACTTTGCTTCTGCATATAAAGGGAAGAAACTTCAGGAGATGACCTAGCAAGTAAGAATCCTCAGTCCTTACAAGAACCAGATTGGAGTAGTGGCTAATGTATATCTTTTATTTCTATTATGGTGAATTTTTCTGAAATTGGTGTGACTGCTGGAGAAAGAGAAACTAACAAAGAGGGGAGAGAGAAAAAGGACTCAAGGGCGTAGGTGGAGAACGAGAAGAAAGGAATATATTGGAAAACAAAGCAAGAGAGAGTTTGAAGAAGGAGGATGTGGTCAACAGACATAATGATCCAGAGTAGTCATGTAAGATAGGAACAACAACAAATAAGCAAACTGGGGTTGTTGTCAATAAGATTGTCTGTTAAGCATTTATCAAATTTCATTCATTGTTTAGTGCTTTATATACTATCCCTACTTAATTCTCACATTAATTTTGTGAAATTGTATAATTATTATTATTCCCATTTACAGATTAGGAAGTGGAGACTTACGGAGGCTAAGAATTGTGCCTAAGATCACACCACTGGTATGAGATCAGATCCAGATTTTTCTTCCTCTAAATTTGAACTATTTCACCACCATGATTCACTATTCATTGCATTGTGAGGAACAAGGAAAGATTTCAGGAGCTAGATTGCACAAGAAGCTGCTTTTGAAGTACTAAGATCGCCATTATTTATTAAGCAGACATTAGATAACCAATTACTAGGCATGTTATGAAGGGAATTCTTAAACAGGAAGGGACACGTAAGGTTCTTTTGGAACACTATAATTGTTGGGTTTGGTGGTCTTCCCAAAGAAGAGGTAAACTTTCAAGCTTTTCTGTTAAAAGAAGGTGCCATATTGCCATTTCAGATCTTTTTGTTTTGTTTTGTTTTAGAGACAGAGTCTTGCTCTGTCACCCAGGCTGGAGTGCAGTGGCGCAATCACCTCTACTCTGCCGCTTTCTTTCCCAATTTTCCACTAGGAAGCCTCCAGGATGCCACTAAAACCATCTATAACTTTCAGTCCAGCCTATCGGGTGGGCCCTCAGGAAATGGGAACAATGTTTATACTTTTCAACTTCTTTCAGGCCTAAAACTTTGTCTTACCTTCAGAAAGAATTGTTTTCAGACATCTTTTTTTTTTTTTTGAGACGGAGTTTCGCTCTTGTTGCCCAGGCTGGAGTGCAATGGCACGATCTCAGCTCACCACAACCTTCGCCTCCCAGGTTCAAGTGATTCTCCTGCCTCAGCCTCCTGAGTAGCTGGGATTACAGGCACCCATCAGCAAGCCCAGCTAATTTTTTTTTTTTTTTTTTTTTTTTTGGTATTTTTAGTAGAGACTGAGTTTCACCATGTTGACCAGGCTGGTCTTGAGTTCCTGAACTCAAGTGATCCACCCACCTCAGCCTCCCAAGGTGCTGGGATTAAAGACATGAACCACTGCGCCCGGCCAAGACATCTCATATTCCTTTAAGTGATATAATGCATATCTCTGGCTATCATATCTGAAGGTATTTTGTATTTTTATATAAATTATATCTACACATGGATTTTTAAGTAAGAGGTACAGATCATCAATATTCAGTTAGTGGTTTAAGGGGAATGTTTAACATTAATGCACTACTGATGCTGGGACTATAAATTTCTGAATGAGGAAAAACAATCCATATTTATATTTCTAGATACATTTTAGTTTAACCTGTGTTTTACTAAATTTGCAGAAGATTGTTTCAAGCATCCTTGCATATTTCTGTGCTCATAACCTTTATAATTTAGATAATGGTGAGTGATCAGTGACCACACACTTACTAACACATGTAGCTGCAAAGACCTCTGTCTTCCTGTAAGTGGCAATTTATTTGGTTAATTTGAAGCATATTCTGAATTCATTGCTCATCTACTGACTGTGGGCTCTGTTCAGCACAGGTCAAGAGAGTAACATAATACAAATTATAAAAGACAATTATGGTACTATCCAAACCGATCAAATCAAGGCAGATAGCTAATTTCGACTTGCAAGTTCAACTGATAGTGTTTATGTGATCTGTCAAATACATTTAAAAGCAATCCAAGAATAGTCGTTCATAATGTATAGATAGTAAATTCTTGAGAGCACAGACTGTACGTTATTCATCTTTTTGTCTGCAGCAATTCCCACAAATCCTGGCATAAAGTAAGTGCTCAGTGAGTGTAGGCATATACACGTTTGTGATTTGGAGTAGTGACAAATCTCACCTTGTGACTATCAACAATTGTGTGTTTTGATTTGTAATGTAAAATGAATCTACTAGGAGATTTTTCCATTGAATTTGATTTAGTCATGTGTTTAATGACTTTTAGGGAAATTTAGTAAAACATGTATCAATTTATTATTTTAGTAGAGTTATTAAATTTTAATTTTTAATGATATTACCAAATCACAATGTAAAAACACTCTTAAGATGGCTAAAAAAGCCCTGGCGTCATGGCTTATGCCTGTAATCCCAGCACTTTGGGAGGCTGAGGCAGGCAGATCACCTGAGGTTGGGGGTTGAAGACCAGCCTGACCAACATGGAGAAAGCCTCTCTCTACTAAAAATACAAAAAAATTAGCTGGGTGTGGTGGCACATGCCTGTAATCCCAGCTACTAGGGAGGCTGAGGCAGGAGAATCGCTTGAACCCGGGAGGCCGAGGTTGTGGTGAGCCAAGATCGTGCCATTGCACTCCAGCCTGGAAAACAAGAGTGAAACTCCGTCTCAAAAAAAAAAAAAAAGTCTAAAAACAAATCTTTCTGAAGGTAAGACAAAGTTTTAGGCCTGAAAGAAGTTGAAAAGTATAAACATTGTTCCCGTTTCCTGGAGGCTCACACAGTAGGCTAGGCTGAAGGTTATAGATGGTTTTAGTGGCATCCTGGGGGCTTCCTAGTGGAAAATTGGGAAGAAAGGGGGAGAGTAGAGGCGGGGGCCAGAGAAGGGACAGGGTGCCAGGAGCAACTGAATATTATCTTGTTAATCTCCTCTCTCTCTCTGTCTCCTCCAGTCTCATGAAATGAAACACCTACACCACATGAGTTTGTCATCCTCTCAACTCTATTTGGGGAGGGATTGGGTGAGGAGGAGCCTGGCATTTCTGGGGTTCTCAAGCAAGGAGAAGTACAGGGGCCTCTCTCCAGTCAGTGCAGCCCAGTTGTTGTGCGGATGAGGCCTGGAGGGGCTGAGAACCCGACAAAGTGATCTCTGCCTGAGCGCCAGGCACCCTGGTTACTTCTGGCACAAAGAAGATATGATTTATTTGGGAAAAGGCGCCACTTACTTGCCCAGCTTTGGCCCAGAGGGGAGTACTTTTATTGCTGTGTGAAGAGCATTTGATAGAGAGACAAAACTAGGCACAGGAACCTGGGCCTCTCCTGAAGCTCTGATTGAGTGCCCAGGGCCCTGGAGTTTGAGACCATGATGTTTTCCTTAAGGTAGCCAGCCCTAAACCCAACAGTGACCTAAGCTGAGTTTGTCCTGGATATCTGCCCAGCCTCAGTTGGCCAACCTTTCCCCCAAGAAAACTCATTGTTTGAATTCTGGACCGCAGTCCGCCACAGCAAAATCCCTTTGACCCTCAGGGTTTGCATGAGAATTGCTATATTCACTCTTCCTCCAGTCCTGTATACCTAGGGTCAGGCTCTTCCATAAGATGGCAGGGTAAAGCTATATATATTTTATATTTATTATAAAATATTTCAAACATTCAAAATATTTTAAGAAATTCATTACCAAATCCCACCTACTCATGGGTCAGCTCTATCTGTTTTGACATTTGCTTTAGATATTTTTTAACTTTTAGGTTCAGGGTTGCCTGTGTGGGTTTGTTAAATAGGTAAATTGCATGTCACAGAGGTTTTGTGTACAGATTATTTCATCACCCAGGTAACAAGTGTAGTACCCGATACGTAGCTTTTTTATTCTTTCCCTCTTCCCCTCACTCACCCTCAAGTAGGCTCCGGTGTCTATTGTTCCCTTCTTTGTGTCCATGTGTACTCAATGTTTAGCTCCCACTTACAATTGAGAACATGCAGTATTTGGATTTCTGTTCTTGCATTGGTTCGCTGAGGATAATGGCTTCTGGCTCCATCCGTGTTGCTGGAAAGGACAGTATCTTGTTCCCTTTTTTGGATGCATAGTATTCCATGGTGTATATGTACTATATGTTCTTTATCCAGAGTACCATTGATGGGGATTTAGGTTGATTCTATGTCTTTGCTATTGTGAGTAGTGCTACAAGGAACATATGCATGCCTGGGTCTTTATGGTAGAATGGTTTATATTATATTATATAATGGGATGTCTGGGTCGAATAGTACTTCTGTTTCAAATTCTTTGAGAACTTGCCACAGTGCTTTCCACAGTGGCTGAACTAATTTACATTCCCACCAGCAGTGTATAAGTGTTTCTGTTTCTTTTTTTTTTATTATTATACTTTAAATTTTAGGGTACATGTGCACAATGTGCAGGTTTGTTACATGTGCCATGTTGGTGTGCTGCACCCATTAACTCGTCATTTAACATTAGGTATATCTCCTAATGCTATCCCTCCCCCCTCTCCCCATCCCACAACAGGCCCCGGTGTGTGATGTTCCCCTTCCTGTGTCCATGTGTTCTCATTGTTCAGTTCCCACCTATGAGTGAGAACATGTGGTGTTTGGTTTTTTGTCCTTGCGATAGTTTGCTGAGAATGATGGTTTCCAGCTTCATCCATGTCCCTACAAAGGACATGAACTCATCATTTTTTATGGCTGCATAGTATTCCATGGTGTGTATGTGCCACATTTTCTTAATCCAGTCTATCATTGTTGGACATTTGGCTTGGTTCCAAGTCTTTGCTATTGTGAATAGTGCCACAATAAACATACGTGTGCATGTGTCTTTATAGCAGCATGATTTATAATCCTTTGGGTATATACCCAGTAATGGGATGACTGGGTCAAATGGTATTTCTAGTTCTAGATCCCTGAGGAATCGCCACACTGACTTCCACAATGGTTGTACTAATTTACAGTCCCACCAACAGTGTAAAAGTGTTCCTATTTCTCCACATCCTCTCCAGCACCTGTTGTTTCCTGACTTTTTAGTGATCGCCATTCTAACTGGTGTGAGATGGTATCTCCTTGTGGTTTTGATTTGCATTTCTCTGATGGCCAGTGATGATGAGCATTTTTTCATGTGTCTCTTGGCTGCATAAATGTCTTCTTTTGAGAAGTATCTGTTCATATCCTTTGCCCACTTGTTGATGGGGTTGTGTGTTTTTTTCTTGTGAATTTGCTTGAGTTCATTGTAGATTCTGGATATTAGCCCTTTGTCAGATGAGTAGATTGCAAAAATTTTCTCCCATTCTGTAGGTTGCCTGTTCACTCTGATGGTAGTTTCTTTTGCTGTGCAGCAGCTCTTTAGTTTAATTAGATCCCATTTGTCAATTTTGGCTTTTGTTGCCATTGCTTTTGGTGTTTTAGACATGAAGTCCTTGCCCATGCCTATGTCCTGAATGGTATTGCCTAGGTTTTCTTCTAGGGTTTTTATGGTTTTATGTCTAACATTTAAGTCTTTAATCCATCTTGAATTAATTTTTGTATAAGGTATAAGGAAGGGATCCAGTTTCAGCTTTCTACATATGGCTAGCCAGTTTTCCCAGCACCATTTATTAAATAGGGAATCCTTTCCCCATTTCTTGTTTTTGTCAGGTTTGTCAAAGATCAGATGGTTGTAGATAAGCGGCATTATTTCTGAAGGCTCTGTTCTGTTCCATTGGTCTATATCTCTGTTTTGCTACCAGTACCATGCTGTTTTGGTTACTGTAGCCTTGTAGTATAGTTTGAAGTCAGGTAGTGTGATGCCTCCAGCTTTGTTCTTTTGGCTTAGGATTGACTTGGCAATGCAGGCTCTTTTTTGGTTCCATATGAACTTTAAAGTAGTTTTTTCCAATTCTGTGAAGAAAGTCATTGGTAGCTTGATGGGGATGACATTGAATCTATAAATTACCTTGGGCAGTATGGCCATTTTCACGATATTTATTCTTCCTACCCATGAGCATGGAATGTTCTTCCATTTGTTTGTTCTCTTTCTGCACAACCTTGCCAGCATCTGTTACGTTTTGACTATTTAGTAATAACCATTCTGACTGATGTGAGATGGTATCTCATTGTGGTTTCAATCTGCATTTCTCTATTGATTAGTGATGTTGAACATTTTTCATATGCTTGTTGGCCTTGTGTACGTCTTCTTTAGAAAAGTGTTTGTTCATGTCCTTTGCCCATGTTTTAATGGGGTTATTTGCTTTTTGCTTGTTAAGTTCCTTATAGATGCTGGATATTAGACCTTTGTCAGATGTGCAGTTTGCGAATATTTTCTCTCATTCTGTAGGCTATTTACTCTGTTGAGAGTTTCTTTTGCTGTGCAGAAGCTCTTTAGTTTGATTAGGTCCCATTTGTTAATTTTTGTTTTTTAACAATTGCTTTTGGTGTCTCTGTCATGGAATCTTTGCCAGGGCCCATTTCCAGAATAGTATTTCCTAGGTTATCGTCTGGGTTTTTATAGTTTTAGGCTTTAAGTATTTAATCCACCTTGAATTGATTTTTGTGTATAGAATAAGAAAAGGGTCCAGTTTCAGTCTTCTTCATAGGGCTAGCCAGTTATCCCAGCACTGTTTATTGAACAGGGAGTCCTTTCTCCATTGCTTGTGTTTGTCAACCTTGTCAAAGATAAGATGGTTGTAGGTGTACAGCTGTATTTCTGGGCTCTTTACTCTGTTCCATTGGTGCGTGTGTCTGTTTTTGTACCAGTACCATTGCTGTTTTCATTACTGTAGCTTTATAATACAGTTTGAAGTTGGTAATGTGATGCCTCTAGCTTTGTTCTTTTTGCATAGGATTTCCTTGGCTATTTGAGCTCTTTTTGGTTCCATATACATTTTAAAATAGTTTTTTCGAATTCTGTGAAGAATGTCATTGGTAGTTTGATAGGAATAGCATTGAATCTGTAAGTTGCTTTGAGCAGTATGGTCATTTTAACAATATTTATTCATCCTATACATGAGCATGGAATGTTTTTCCATTGGTTTGTGTCATCTCTGATTTCTTTGAGCAGTGTTTTGTAATTCTCATTGTAGAGATATTCTGCTTCTCTGGCTAGCTGGTAAAATATCTAGTATTCCCAGGTATTTTATTCTTTCTGTGGCTATTGTGAATTGGATTGCATTCTTGGTTTGGCTCTCAGCTTGGACATTTTTTTTGTATAGAAATTCTACTGACTTTTATATATTAATTTTATATGCTGAAACTTTGCTGAAGTGGTTTATCACATCTAGGAGCTTTTAGGCAGAGACTGTAAGGTTTTCTAGGTAAAGAATCATATCATCTGCAAACAGAGCTAGTTTGGCTTCCTCTGTTTCTATTTAAATGCCTTTCATTTCTTTTTCTTGCTTGATTGCTCTGGCTAGGACTTCCTGCTTTATCATTTTTTTTTCCTGCAGCTAAGACATACAGATACAGTTAAAGCTTCATGAGTATCTCCCACTGATTCTATTTCCATCTTTCTGGCCCTGAAGAAACAGTTATCCTGAATTAGTGATTGTAATTCCTATGGATGCTGTAATCAATTATTATTACTATCCATACATTATATAGAATATTATTTTTCACGGCTGGGCGTGGTGGCTCACGCCTGTAATCCCAACACTTTGGGAGGCTGAGGCAGGCGGATCATGAGGTCAGGAGATCAAGACCATCCTGGCTAACACGGTGAAACCGCGTCTCTACTAAAAATACAAAAAATTAGCCAGGCGTGGTGGTGGGCATCTGTAGTCCCAGCTACTCGAGAAGCTGAGGCAGGAGAATGGCATGAACCTGGGAGGCAGAGTTTGCAGTGAGCTGAGATGGCACCACTGCACTCCAGCCTGTGCGATAGAGCAAGACTCCGTCTCAAAAAAAAAAAAAAAAAGAATATTGTTTTTCACACTTCTAAAATTTATATAAATGGGACCATATATATCATTTTACAACTTTTCTTTAACTTAACACTTTGAAATTTATCCATGTTGATACTTGTAGCTTTCCTTCATTTCCTTTAGCTGTTATTATATATATCCAATTATATGAATCATTAGAGGGATTGCAATAATTATTCAACTTTCCCTTCTACTTTGTGCATTTTTAAATCTAAAATTCTCCCAGATTACTTAGCAGCACAGCCATAGAGTTTATTCAGTTATCTACAAACACATCAAATGCCTCTGTTTAAGGAACGTTGATATGGTGCCTTGCAGCTTGTCAAGTCCCATGTATCTGTGCAGAGATAGATAACACATGGGTGTAGTATGAAGCAGAAGACAGATACACAAACAAGCAGTGAGTCTGCAACCAGAGCTGTGTGATGTTTGGAGATGTACATTGTGCTTTAGGATCAGGGAGGAGGGACTGAGGCAATGAAAACAGAAAGATAGCAATTAGGGAAGCCTGCACAGAGGAAATGGTGATACTTGAATTGCTTTTGAAAGAGTGAATTCTCCTGGGAGCCAAGTGGAGAACCACCTTTATAAAGGGATTAGTTTGTATAAAGACAGGCAGGGGTGTTTTGAAAGGGAATAGTATGATCGGCAAACTGTAAGTGGATTGGTCAGCAAAGTAACTGAGGGAGAAAAATCACCTGGCTATCATAATTTTTCTTCCTTAGAATTGAATGAATAAATGGTGCCCACTACTCATATATAGCAATTGTGGTGGCTTTTTGTAACCACTGAAAAATATAATGTATGTGTCCATTCTTCTAACTGAAATGGTTTAATAAAACTCTCTTCTGCATTTCCTTCTTCAGGGGTTTAAAACATGTCTCTGGGGTCTGGCAGACTTATATTTAAAATCCAGCACTGCCACATTTGCAGGTATGTGACCTTAGGTAGATTACTTAACTTTTTTTAAGTTCTCAGTTTCCTCAACTGTGAATTGGAATAATAGCAGTTTCCTGTAAGCTGTGGACTGAATATGTCTCCCCCAAATTTATATATTGAAACCTAAGCCTTAATGTGATGGTATTTGGAGATTGGGTCTCTGGATGGTGATTAGGTCTTTAGGGGAGAGCCCTCAAGAATGGGATCAGTGCCCTTATAAGGAGCTGAAGAGACCAGAGTTCTCTCCTTCCACCATGTGAGGACACAGCTAGAAAGTGTCATCAGTGAACCAGAAATTGATCCCTCACCAGATACTAAATATGTTGGTGCCTTGGTCTTGGACTTTCCAGCCCTCAGAACTGTTAGAATAAATTTCTGTTGTTTAAAAGTTACCCAGTATATGGTATTTTGTTATAGTAACCCAAACCACAGTTTCTGCAGGCATTTCCCATTCCTGGGCTGGCAGGACTCACACTTGGCCGGGCTTCTATAGACATGATAGGCCAGACTGTGGAGTTCCTGGTGGTCCTGAGCTGTGTTAGCTCAACAAAGGGGATGGGCTACTTGATACCATAGTGTTACAAATTTGAGGGCAGAATGTTTATAGAGATTTCATCTAAACAGTCTTTTTTTTTTTTTTTTTTTGCTCAAAAAAGTTTCAGGAAAACCTAGGTTAAGCAATGTGAAACAACTTTCTTGAGTGACTGCGGGATCTCTCAAAGACTTTAATATATTAATGAATATTTTGAATCTCAAAGAATGAGGTGATGGTACACAATATTTTCCATACTTATTTGATCAGAGAATGTCCTTTTCAGGGTGCTTCTTTCACTGTCTTCCTGAGCAGTAATGCTTCAAAGAACACAGCTTGGGAATTGACTTAGACTTCATTCAGTGTCAGGACATAAAGCAAATTCTAAGATCCTTGAGTGTTCTGATTTTATTTTTTTCCCTGGAAGTAACACAGAGAATGCATTATAGGAATCATGTTTGTTTTGTGAGATGTTAATTAATCTCCAAGTATTTGTGTTGTCTTAGAAAAATAGTATCTCTGGTTTTCTTTATTAGTCTATTATGACTCTATTTTCCCATCCTAAAAATTTTCTAAGTCTTTCTTGAATCCATTGGATTTTTAAAAATTATGAATAATTAAAAAATTTACTGTTTTATAAGCATAACATTCCTTATTTGCCCTCAAATTTCTTGTCTCAGACTTCAAGTTGAGCCTCATTTGAGTGTTCTAGGACTCTATTTTTGCAGAATGTCAGATACGGATCCCTTATTAAATCAATAAACCAATTGATTAAAAAAACTGAATATTCTAAATTTCTCTGCTCTGGAAGATCAATAATGGTGTAAAATTCACAAGGGAGTATACGTTAAATATCAATAACGAATGACAAAATATGATCTTTTTCTATTTATAGGTTATGAAGTGTTCCTTTTTTGCTTCCATAAAGGACTTGAGAAATTTACAATCAAAGATACATTTTCAATACTATTTTTAAGCAGAAAGAAGATAATCAACACCACCACCAATAAACTATACAGATGGGAGAAATAAGTGTGCCAAAATGTAGGTTAATGTTACAGCAGTTGAAAATTAAATTAGGTTCAGGTCTTCCTGGAAGCCAAGGGAAGACAAAAGGAGCAGGGCAGGGACAAGGCATTATGAGGTTATAACATAAATCTTTAATTAGCAAAGGTATTTCTTTGAGGGTTTGCAAATGAGATAAGAATACATTGCTCCGTGGTGAACCAACTAGGTCTAAGGATAGAATTAAGAATTCCCAGGAGAATGAAAGTCTCATTGTATACCACTCGGGCTTTTACAACTTTTACTGGGCAGAAAAATTCACTCAGTTGAAGATGGTTTTCTTTGAAATTATCCCATTAGATTGCTTAATATCCTTACGGTGAGCAATCTCATGGAGGCTGTGGACCAAAGAGCCAGGAAGTACCATACATTGAATTAAATCAATGTCACTTCACCACTGATCATTGTTGGAAGGACACCTTCAGCCTTTTCAGATGCATGGGTCAAAAGGCAGCCCCTTGGCGCATATCCTTGCATGCTATATTATTTATCTATCTATCCATCTCTCTCTCTGTCTGTCTGTCTCTCTCTCTCTCTCTCTCTCTGTGTCTCTGTCTCTCCAGAACTCATTTCTGTGTCACTTCTGGACCCTTGAATGTCCTAACTCCTGAGAATGGTCCTGGGAATCTGTACCTGCAGCTAGGCAGTATTCATATGGCTTCTTGAGATCCTGAAGGATACTGTTCCCTGGTGCTCCATTCTACAAACTGCTGATACTTTGAGGTTTAGAGTCATCTGCTGATAAATGTTTTCACAAGTAGACACATGAGTCCAATACTTTGATGTACTTTAAAAATGATATTTTTCAAAAAGCCAATAATTATTTATGTACAGGAGAGGCAGAAAATATATGAGGGAAGGAGGAGAAGGAACTCTGGTGGTGGCACTCAACCTCTCCTTTGTGGTCATCTGTGACCCCAAATATTCACATCACACTCATTAAGACAAGAGTATGCAACCAACTGGTCACACCTCATGTAATGTAATACTGATTCCTTAGGTTTCTGGGGTGTGCCTCTTGGAGGTCTCAAGTCCCATCCCAAGTGGCTTATCAGAAATTCCAATGACTTACAGTCTCCCTGAGAGGACTTCTGGTAAATGTAGCCTTCTCCATTTAATTGCATTTCCAGTGATGTTTTAATGCCTCTTATTGATTGGTGACCCGGTCAGGTGCCCAGCTGGCTACCCTTTGATCTAGCCCTGGTAGGCCTCAATGAAACTTTCTGTGGGACCTTTTACATATATATCTATGACCCTTTAGCTGTACTGGAGGCTCTAGAAATCAATCAAATTCCAAGCAAAGCCTACAGTGAAGCCACATTTTAGCAAATGAAACATGAAAAACCTTGCCTGGGGAAAATGTGGAAGAAACTTGGCCTGTTTTGCCTCTCGATTGCATTGCCTCTTGATTGATTGCATTGCCTCTTCTTGGTTGCACTTTTGACAAGGGAAAAGAAACAGAAATTTTTGCAGTTTAAAAACCAAGCAATGTGTACACAGGAGAGGCATGCACAGAATAATCTAGCGCAGAACTATTTCCCTCACATTAGGGTGAGCACCACCTAGAGTGTGTTAAAGGCCCCTATAAGCCCTATAAGTGAACATGCCATTTTTGATGAGTAGTGCTCATTGTATGCTGGGAAAAGTTGTCATATCTGGGAAATGCAAAATGGGTGAGCATTAGAAAAAAAAACAGAATATTGGCAAGAAATTTTAATTACTTGAAACTTAGTGTTTAGTTGGGAAATACCTCATTATCATATGATCTGTCATCCATCATTGCCTTCCAATCTCCCTTTATCATTAGAAAATTGAAATGGTTTAGATGTTAGAAACAAAAGGTATAAATACACTTCAGTAGATTTGGAGAAGTGAAGAAACTGGGCTGTGAATCTTTACCTATTTAAGAGGAGACTTGTTGATATGGTTTCGCTGTGTCCCCATCAATATCCCATCTTGAATTGTAACCCCATAATCCCTGCCAGGTCATGGGAGGGACCTGGTGGGAGGTAATGCAATCATGGGGGCAGTTATCCTCATGCTGTTCTCGTGATAGTGAGTTCTCACGAGATCTGGTGGTTTTATAAGGGGCTTTCCCCTTTTTGCTCGGCCCTTCTCCTTGCTGCCACCATGTGAAGAAGGACATGTTTGCTTCCCTTTCTGCCATGATTGTAAGTTTCCTGAGGCCTCCTCAACCCTGCAGAACTGTGAGTCAAACCTCTTTCCTTTAAAAATTACCCAGTCTCAGATATGTCTTTATTAGCAGCATGAGAATGGACTAATGCACTCATGTACCCAATTTTTCCTAATATTTTCCCTAAATATACAACTAGAATTTCAGGAGACATAAAAGGTGTATTTTTCAATGTAATGCATCAAATTGGCTGATAATAGGGTGTTGCATTCATGAGAGACCAGGAAGTTTTTACTCATCTGTTCACTTATCCCCTTAACTATCCATTTCTCTCTTTATTCTTCATTCCTACACACTGTGGTGCTCTCTGAGGCAGTTATCAAAACTCTTATGACATAGACCTTGCTCTTACAGAACCCATAGCTGAATGTGTGTCACAGACTCATTAATGACAGAGTATATGCTTTAAAGCATGTGAGTCCAAGGTGCTCGGAGAGAACTAGAAGAGAATAGCTTTCTTCAAGGGATTAAAAAACAGAAGAGGTATGTAGGGAGTTGTAGAGGGGAGGCAAAAAGTCTTCTTGGGGAAGAAAATACATATATCCTTTAAGATTTAAGTGTATATGTGATTATAAAAATAATATCAAATGAAGATTAATGTGGAAAATGTGGATATCTTAGTCTGCTTTGTACTTTTATAACCGAACACCACAGACTGGGTAATTCATAAGAAACAAATTTATTTCTCACAGTTCTAGAGGCTGAGAAGTTTAAGATCAAGGGACTGACATCTGGTGAGTTGAGAGAGTAAGAGAGATAATGGGAGATGGAATTCACAGGCTCAAGCCTTTTTATAATCTACGTAAATTCATTAATCCATGAAGGCTGCATTCTTACGACCTATACACCTCCCATTAGGCCCCACCTTCCAACACCGCTGCATTGGGGATTAAGTCTCCAACACATGCCTTTTCAGGGACACATTCAAACCGTAGCAGTGGGCACACTGAAATAAAAAAAAAAGAATAAATGAAAGCCGGATTCCCCAACTTGGGAAGTCCACACTCTTCTTATAACATAGTTACTGCAATAATCACTAGTGGCTGATTACAGTTGATGAGCCGAAACCTGTTGGACATCTCTGTAGTCTGACCCTTTCACTTGATAGAAGTAGAAACCAAGGCCTTGGGTTGGGGGCTTGGGGTCATAAAAAAAACCATGTCTGCTGACACACAGTGAGTTAATATCTCAGCTGGGACGAAATCCTTTGTCTTACTCCCAATGAGAAGTTCTTTCTCTGCCCTACTACAAAAACAGCTTCAAATAAACTTTCAGCCAGAAAATAACAGTGTGGAGCATATTCTGGAGCTTGGTATCTGATTGCTGTAGTTTCCATAATTGCCCTGCATTTTCTGGGGGCTTTACGATGAACTGATATCAGAAAGTTAAGGTATGTACGTAACTCGAAGGTGACTTCAGAGTGCGGTTAATCTCCTGTGTACAATGAGTTTTTTAAAAGATTCATTTTATTGAAAGCGGAGGCAATGCCGAGCAGTGATCCTATTTGAATGCAATAGCATTTTTAAGGGAATCAGGTCCAGCCAATTTCTGATTCTGTAAGGCTAAATTCTATTAGGCATTAAAACTCAAATTTCAGGCAGCTTGCACTGACGAACACAAGGAACATCTGTAGAAAGTTTCTAGCATTATAACCTCTGAATACTGATTACTATAGAAAGATCTAGGCTGCAATGCTAACGGGCTAAAGTAAAAAAGCATTTCTTCCTAAAAATGCGTAAGTATCTTTCTTGTACCTTTCAAGTGGACTGAGAGGATGTTGATAAATACAACCTGTATGTTTTCAGTTGATTTTGTTGCTCCAGAGCATTTATAGGCTTAACAATAGACATGCTAATAAAAAGTACCATTAATTGTGCATCAGCCACATTCCAGACATTTTATGTACATTATTCTAATCTTTATAGTAACCCTGAAAATCAACAGTATTATCTTCATCTTACAGAAAAGAACATGAGAGCTCATAGAGGTTAAATACCTTGCTCTGTCCTCCTTTTCTCTTCCCTTTGTCTGGCCATGGTGGCTCAGATTATGAACTTGGCTTCACTAGCTGGGTTGAATGTACCCACATGCCCTGACCTGCTTTGCGAACTGACATATATTCTGAGAGATGATTGTTATCCAAGTTGTTGGATTTGTGGTTTCAGCCATTTCTGATTTGTTCTGCCCAGCAGTTCTTCCTGACCAGCTGTCAGGGCAATTAGAAGGAAGGATTGATGCTCAGAATAACAGGAGTAGGGGAAGAGGGCAGGGATCTATCCTTGAGGGTTGAGAGGCCAGGAATTGATCTCATGTGATGACAGAAGATTTTAGGGGGATATGTGGGGGTTGACTTAGGGGACAGACTATATTTCCATTACATGGCGAAGAAGGGATAAAAAATGGGTATTAGTTAGGAATTTTGCTGTTGTTGCAAGTTCAGTAATTAAACTTGGCTAAGCTAAGTAAAGGAGGACAATGCTTGGGTGTCTTCTCACAGTATTCAAAGACAGGAGTGCGGCTGCCTCTTGGTAATAACCTGCAGCTAGGGACCTGAATAGGACTGCCATTCTCCACATCTTTCTTCTGTGCTTCTTTCTTTCTGCCTTATTTTCCTCCCCTCCAGCTGCTGGTCCACAGGGCAGGAAGCATGGGCACTAAGATGCTCTTAGTCTTACATGTAGGAGGTACAGTAACTAAGACAGAGACTAGTCTTCGGGTTTTCACTCTTGCATTTTCTTTCTTTCTCTTATTTTCTTGTTTTTGCTCCCTGCTCTCCTCTTGAGTCCCACAACTTCCAGGAATATAAATAATCATAGCAGCATGGGTAATGTGTTAAGCCCTGGACCACCTGTGGCACGGACAGTGACACGTGTTAGAAACATGGCAGGTTTTGCTGTCATCTGGATGGGGTAAGGAGTGGCAATTTCTAGGAAGGTGGTACAGGGAAGACAATTCTACCGCAGCTACTCTCAAAATCCAGAATCCGATAGCACCAGGCCAAAGGTCCAGTAAGAGTATTAATTAATAGGGTGATTATGTGCAATAATGAAAACAGCCAACTTTAATGAGCCCAACCAGTACTGTGCCAAGTGTTTTATATACATTATCTCCTTCAGTCATCACAACTCTTAAAAAGTAGGTAGTAGTAGTCTTATTTTATAAGTCAGAAACCAAGGTCAGTGTACCCTGTACAGTTAACTACTATACATACTGCCTTACATAATGACTGGCCAATCTTTATAGAAGTATAACATGAGACTGGGTGACGTGGCTCACACCCGTAATCCCAGCACTTTGGGAGGCCGAGGCAGTCGGATCACCTGAGGTCAGTCATTCAAGACCAGCCTGGGCAACGTGGTGAAACCCTGTCTCTACTAAAAATACAAATATTTGCTGGGCATAGTGGTGGGTGCCTGTAATCCCAGCTACTCGGGAGGCTGAGGCAGGAGAATAGCTTGAATTCAGGAGGTGGAGGTTGTAGTGAGCCGAGATTGTGCCACTGCACTCCAGCCTGGGCAACAGAGTGAGACTCCATCCCCCCAAAAAAAAAGAATTATAACGTGAGGTGATTGAGGAGATTTATTACATGCTAGTGCAAATTAACTCTTTCCAATACTCTTTTGTTATCAGCAAACCAAACGGTTGCCACAATGCAAAGGGCTATGTGAGGTATGTTGATATGCTTTATGATCATGCATAGTTTTTTATTTGAGTGCTTAAAGTTGTCAGCTGTCTGTATTTTTGTCCCAGTTGTATAGAGTGAGACACAGATACACAAAATGACTTCTAGAAAGTCCAATGTAAAACCAAAGCTAAAGTGAAGAAGACAAGTGAAAATACAATTCAGGTTTCTGATTGCCCAGATTTTCTGATGCCCCTACCTCTTTTCACTTGAGTAGCTATAGAAAGTTTCTATTTCTAGAGAAAAAAAATTGACTCCATGGTTCTGAATAATAACTGATACCTTCTACATTGTTTTATGATGCTGGAGAGGAATTGACAATATATAAAATTTCAGAAAACTATGAAGAAGAAAGGCATTTCATAACCTTGGACACAGCAGCGGCGCCTCAATAAATATATTTATCTCCATTTGATTTAAGACAATATGATTTAACTCAAGGGCAAAAAAAGGATAAAGTAGGATGGTTGTACCCCTGATTCTACAGTCTCACTTACCAAGTGTTAGCATATCTAAGGAGGCATGATGATTCGGATCCCAAAGAGCTTAGTTGTGGACTTGCTTCTCATCTGTTTATTACTTGTAGAATTTTTTTTTTAGCCGTGGGTGTTTCCTCCTTTATGAAATGAAAATATTAATAACAACTACCTTCACTATCTCACAAGTTTACCTTGTGAATCAAATGAGAGAATTTATTTGAAAGCACGATAGACACTAAAAGTATTACACAATCTTTATCTTTTATATTTAGCACTTACTTCAGAAATTCACAAATTATAGAGAATTATAAAATGAACGCCCCTGTATCTACCACACAGCCTAAGAAATAACGGATTGCTGGGCCAAGCGTGGTGGCTTACGCCTGTAATCCCAGCACTTTGGGAGGCCAAGGTGGGCGGATTGCCTGAGCTCAGGAGTTTGCAACCAGCCTGGGCAACATGGTGAAACCCCATCTCTACTAAAATACAAAAAAATTACCCAGGCGTGGTGGTGTGTACCTGTAGTCCCAGCTACTTGGGAGGGTGAGGCAGGAGAATTGCTTGAACCCAGGAGGCGGAGGTTTCAGTGAGCCGAGATCACGCCACTGTACTCTAGCCTGGGCGACAGAGCGAGACTCTGTCTCAAAACAAACAGACAAACAAAAACAACAAACAAAACAACAACAACAACAAAAATAACAGATTGCTAATTTCAGGTCCCTCTCATCTCACCCTGGTATACATTTATTTCCCTGATCCAATCACTCGCCTTTGTCTCTGTAATTAATGATCTTGAATTTATTTAGCATTCCCAAAGTGAAATAATTAGTAAATAATTAGAAATAATTTAGTAACATATATATATATTTCTCTAGGCAATTCATAAGCAACCCTTGTATACACAGTATAATATAAATTATATCATGCTGGGGCATTCTTATGCCACCTACCTTTTTCACTCAAATTATTTTTGCAGATTTTGTCCATGTTACATGATCATAGCTTATTTACATAATCATGTTACATGATCATAGCTCAGCTTATTTTCAGTGTTGTGTAGTATTCCATTATACGAACAATCCATGTACTTATTCATTCTCTCATTGTTAAAAAATTAACTTGTTTTTTGTTTTCTTTTAAAATTTGTTGTTATATATAATTCTGCAGTCCATGTTCTTTTGAATTAAAAAAATTTTTTTTTGTAGAGGCAGGAGTCTCCCTATGTTGCCCAGGCTGTTCTCAAACTCCTGGGCTCAAGTAATCCTTCTGCCTCGGCCTCCCAAAATGCTGGGATTACAGGTGTGAAATACCATACCCAGCCCCAGTTCATGTTCTTTTAAAATCACTTTGGGCACACAGCTTTGTTCCTGCTCAAGTGAAGGCCTTCTTTTTTCTTCATTATAGATATTTTTATTTCTCCAAATTTGTTGTTTATCAGGAGTAACTGAAATAAAAAATATAATTGACTCCTATCCTCATCATCATGGAAATGGCTTTAAGAGAAAACTGGTCAGATGAACATTATTGCTTCTCATTTTCAACAGCAAATAGTTGCCACAGATAAATTGACAGCCAGGAGTCTGTCAAGAATGCTCAGGACATGTTATATAATACAACATGCCTGTTCACCAGGAGAAAAATCCTAGAAAACAACTTATGTGTACTTCTTGATTTCATTATGCAAGACAAGCACAAAAGCACCACCCGTGCCTCTGAAAACACTGGACCATGCACCCTTAAAGGAAGCTTTGCCTCCTACATCACGAGCAATCTTCCTCCAGCAGTTAAGCATGCCTGTGTACATGATGTCAGTTCCTTTGCACCCTGACTGCATCATCATGTGGTGGCGAATGGTGTCAAATGGATAGGAAGTCAACCCAGCAACAGCAGTGACGGTCTGTGTGATCATCTAGCTGATGAGGATGTGAGTGTTCTTGGGATCCGGAAGCATTCCCTTTGCAGTGTCATAGATACTGAAGTAGGCGGCTCGGTAGATGATAATACCCTGCACAGACATGTTAAAGCCTTGGTAGAGGCCCTTAATCCCATCAGATTTGTAAATCTTAACCAGGCAGTCACCGAGGCTTCGGAATTCCCTTTCAGCTCCAGCTTTACCCACATTGGCTGCTAGACGGGTAAGAGCAAAATCAAGAGGGTACACAAAACACAAGGATGTGGCCCCAGCAGCACT
Source organism: Homo sapiens (assembly GCF_000001405.40). Classification (NCBI taxonomy): domain Eukaryota; kingdom Metazoa; phylum Chordata; class Mammalia; order Primates; family Hominidae; genus Homo; species Homo sapiens. The sequence goes on from NC_000002.12 coordinate 33,840,319, forward strand.
GCCTGATGTCAGATTCCCTTCAAAGTAGCGCCAAAACTGGGTCCTCTTGTCCACATCACCCAGGAAGATCTGCTTGTATTTATCTTTGAAGGCGAAGTTGAAAGCCTGGGTGGGGAAGTATCTGATGACATTGGCCAAGTTACCGCGCCAGAAGGACAGGACTCCCTGCTCCTTGGATATGCAGACCACGCAGTCTATAATGCCTTTGTATTGCTTATCTGCGGTGACTTGTTTGCTGGCATGCTGCACCTGCAGCAGCAGCTTGACCCGCTGGATGGGCACTACAGCCATCTTGGAGATGGCTGCGGCCACTCCACCTGCCAGGAAGTCCTTGGCAAAGGACACTGTGGCATCTGTCATGTTGAAAGGAAAGAGGAGGCAGGCTGCTAAGGGACGGGACTGGGCTGGGAACTGGCTTTGACTCGGGCTGTGAGAAGGACCATTTTAATGTCCTACACTGCTCATATCGGGCCATGGAGGTGGGATATGCATCCTCCTCAGTGTTTTGTTGATGCTGTGAGACCCTGCTCCCTCTCTCCTACTTAGACTCTATAAGGTCTGAATGTCTTAACAGACCATCACTCCCACTGTCCCCCCGTTGAGTTGTCTGCTTTCCCCTACTTCATTGTCCCTTATTTCTCAATGATTTTTGTCAATTCCAGCCTTTTTTCTTAATTTAAAATTTTAATTTTTGTGGGTACATAGTACCAGTACATAGTATATACACTGTCAGTCTTTTAAACAACATTCCTGGGCCAGGCGCAATGGCTTACGCCTGTAATCCCAGCACTTTGGGAGGCCTAGATGGGCGGATCACGAGATCAGGAGATGGAGACCATCCTGGCTAACGCGGTGAAACCCCGTCTCTACTAAAATTAGCTGGGCGCCGTGGCGGGTGCCTGTAGTCCCAGCTACTGGGGAGGCTGAGGCAGGAGAATGGCGTGAACCCAGGAAGCGCAGTTTGCAGTGAGCCGAGACTGTGCCACTGCACTCCAGCCTGGGCGACAGAGCAAGACTCCGTCTCAAAAAAAAAAAAAAAAAAAAAGGGCCAGGAGCCGTGGCTCACGCCTGTAATCCCAGCACTTTGAGAGGCCAAGGCCGGAGGATCACAACGTCAGGAGATGGAGACCATCCTGGCTAACATGGTGAAACCCCATCTCTACTAAAAATACAAAAAAAAATTAGCAGCGCGTGGTGGCGGGCGCCTGTAGTCCCAGCTACTCAGGAGGCTGAGGCAGGAGAATGGCGTGAACGCAGGAGGTGGAGCTTGCAGTGAGCCGAGATCACGCCACTGCACTCCAGCCTGGGCAACAGAGCAAGACTCTGTCTCAAAAACAAACAAACAAACAAACAAACAAACAAATAAACAAATGAAAAACCCCACAACATTCCTGTCTTAATTCTTGGTAATTTTAATATCCACAGAAATGATTCTCTACCACCATGGCCTTGAATTTCTTCAGTTCCTCCCCTTCAGCCTATCTCAGCCACTCACTCACATGGTCATAGCACAGAATTTCCATCACCTTTTCATAATCGCAGGTTCAGCCATTCCACCCTCTGTATGCCTTGTCCTATCTTGCTCATTTTAGTCTCACCACCTGAACAAGCCCCAGGATCTACAATCAATCCACTGCCCGGTGCAATTTTTCGTATCCCTGATTCACACTCATGTACTTTTGACTCTTCCCACGGTTTAAATTCCATCATTAATCATTATAGCCATTTCCTCACATACACCCTCAACACCCTTTCCCCTTTCCTGTGGTACTTACTTGCTTGGCAGAATTTTGATCCTGGTGAAGTCCAACTCTCCTCCTACTTTGCATCATCACAGCAGAAGAAAAATACATAGCATGCTTACTGGTCTCACTTTAAGTTCATCCTTAGTGTCAATGGATCTTTCATGCTGTCTGACAATCTTGTTTCCCTTGTCTATTTCTTACTCTACTGTGATTGTTTTGCCTTTCTTTTCTCAAAACTCCAACACCTCACCAGCGCTCCTGGCTATCATCTGATGAACTGCTTCTTATTTTACTGGGGACATAGCAAAATAGAACTTCCACAAGCTCCTGCCACATCCACTACCTACTGGCATCTATGCCCCTGTACCCTGTGTTCCCTCCTGGCTACTATAAAATGACCATCTGTGCTTCTGTATAAATCTGAGCCATATGCTGCTTCACGTAATGCCATTCGCTTTCATGTACTCAAGCACATAAACGTGTAGGAGTTTCTCGCATTTCGGTTCTTGAAACAAATAAAAGCACGCATACATACACAAACAAAAATCTCTGCATCTCTCTTGTCCCTCCAGCTACTACCTCATTTCTTGGTTTCTACCTGGTTCAAACCTCCATCACCTCTCCTGTACTGTTACAAGACTTCTAACTTCCTGCTTCCACACTTGCACCCTTATAGGCTAGTTTTTATTATAGTGATATGGTTTGGCTGTGTCCCCACCAAAATCTCATCTTGAATTGTAGTTCCCATAATAAGCACATGTCATGGGAGGGACCCAGTGGGAGGTAATTAAATTATGGGGGCAGTTATCTCAATGCTATTCTTATGATAGTGAGTGAGTTCTCACAACATCTGATGGTTTTATAAGGGGCTTTTCCCCCTCTTCACTCTGCACTTCTCCTTGCTGCCGCCATGTGAAGAAGAATGTGTTTGCTTCCCCTTCTGCCATGATTGTAAGTTTCCTGAGGACTCCCCAGCCATGAGGAACTGTGAGTCAGTTAAACCTCTTTTCTTTATAAATTACCCAGTCTCAGGGGTTTCTTCATAGCAGGATGAGAACAGTTTAATACATATAGCACCAGGGTGACTCTGATAAAAATTTAAATCAGATCACTCTTCTGTTCGCAACTCTTCAATGGTTCTCCATCACACTCAGAGTAAAATTCAAAGTCCTTTAAAGTCCTGCAAGGACCTAACCATCTAGCTGCTTATGATTTCTTTGATCCAGTCTCCTACTACTTACCTCTTGCTCACTCTGTCTTGTTACACTGAAGCCTGCCAAGCATGCCCTGACCTCAGGTATTTTGCACTTGCTTTACCACTTGCCTGAAATTCTCTTCCCTCATATATCCACATGACATTCTCCCTTACCTCCTTCAAGTTTTTGTTTAAAGTATCATCTTCTCAATGTGTCCTTCTCTGAATACCCAAACAAAATTGCAGTTCCTGCCCCCAGCTTTCCCTATACCACTTTCCTGCTTTATTTTTCTCCATAGCATTTATCATCTTCTAGTATAACATACACTCATTTACTAATTTTGTCTATCGTCTGTTTTCCATGACTATAATATAAGAAAGGCCCATGAGAGCTGGGCCTTTGGTCTCTTTGTTTTCTTTCTTTTTTTTTTTTTTGAGACAGAGTCTGGCTCTGTCACTAGGCTGGAGTGCAGTGGCGTGATCTCGGCTCACTGCAACCTCTGCCTCCTGGGTTTAAGAGATTCTCCTGCCTCAGCCTCCAAAGTAGCTGGGATTACAGATGTGTGCCACCATGCCTGGCTAATTTTTTGTATTTGTAGTAGAGATGAGGTTTCACTGTATTAGGCAGGATGGTCTCAATCTCCTGACCTAGTGTTCCGCCCACCATGGCCTCCCAAAGCGCTGGGATTACAGGCCTGAGCCACTGTGAAATATTTCTGAAATATGAAGGTTGTATATTATTTCTTAGAATTATTTATAGTTATCTTTCAGAATCTTCTGTTATTAAACAGAATATTTTTTAAAAATGCATTTCCTAACTATGCATAGGAAAATGATTGCATTTTGTACATAAATCTTATATTTAGTAAACTGGCTAAATTATTCATTGTTCTACAAGATGTTCTGTGAATTCTGTGGCTTTCTGAATAAAAATGTTTACCTTGAGATAATTATAGTTTTGCTTCTTTCTAATCTTTACCTTCAAATTCGTGTGTGAGTGTATCTGTGTGATGCATAGACATGTTGGAAGGCAGAAATGATATTGAGAAGCCTGACTTGTTACTGATTTTAAAGGGCATGCTTTTAAGGTTTAATCATTAACTATGATTTAAAACATCCATTTATAGTAGACATGATTTCTTAGATTAAGGGAATTCCCTTCTCTTCCTAGTTTGTAAGTTTGTTATTGAATCATTCATAGGTATTAGATGATATTTTCCTACAATTATTGAGATTGTTATGTGGTGTTTTAAAATGTTAAATCTTTTAAATGGACGGATTTTATCTTTAGAATTTCTAAGGTAGAACCATTCTTGCATTTGTGTGACAAATCCAACTTGTTCATGATGTATTATTTAAAAAATATATTGTTGGGTTTAGCTAGTTGATATCTTACAATTTTGTGACTACGTTCATGAAAATATTGTCCTATAATATTCTATTTTTACACTGTTCTTGCCTGGTTTTGATTTCAGTTATACTAGCTTCATACTGTGGATTGGTAAGCATTTACTTTTTTTTTCTATTCTCTGGATAATTTCCACAATGTTGGAATGATCTCTGACTTGACAGTTGATTGGAATCACCTGTAAAGTATCAGGCACTGGAGACTTCATGTGTAAATATGTTTTAACTATGATTCAACATCTCTAAGGATTCCAAAAAAATTTTAGATGTTCTATTTCTTTTTGTCAGTTTGGCAAGTTACATATTATTTTCTCAGAAATTGTACATCATAGCTAGACTTTCAAGTTTACTGGCTTAACATACAAAATCCTTCTTTTCTTTTTAATTTTGACTGTAGCTATTAGGTTACCTTTTCACTACTAATATAATTTTTAACACCTCTATTTTTTGTGATCAATCTTGATAGAGTCTATTTTATTTGTGATTCCAAGAAACTTACTTTTGCTTTTGTTTGTTCTTTATATATTTTTCTCTTCCATGAATTTCTAGTTTTAGCTGTAATATTTCTTTTTTTTCCCTACTATCTTTTTTTTTTTTTTTTTTTTTTTTTTTTGAGATAGAGTCTTGCTCTCTCATCCAGGCTGGAGTGCAATGGTGCGATCTTGGCTCACTGCAACCTCCGCCTCCCCGGGTTCAAGTGATTCTCCTGCCTCAGCCTCCTGAGTAGCTGGGATTACAGGCACATGCCACCCCACCTGGCTAATTTTTGTACTTTTAGTAGAGACAGCGTTTCACCATGTTGGCCAGGCTGGTACTGAACTCTTTACCTCAAGTGATCTGCCTGCCTTCAGCCTCCCAAAGTGCTGGGATTACAGGCATGAGCCACCGTGCCTGGGTGCTTTTGGGTTAGATGCCTACCTAATTACTCGTTATCATTTCTTCTTTTTTAATATACACATTTAAAGTCATACATTTCCTGGTGAGGAATTAGATATGTATTATATTTATTACCATTTGGTTCTATATATTTTAAAATTTTTATTATGATTTATTCTTTAACTCAGTAGTTATGTAGAACAGTGCTGTTTATTAGAAATATAATGTAAGCAAGTGTAATTTAAAAAACTTTAGCAGCCACAATAAAAATTGAAATTAAAAAATGAAATTTATTTTAACATAACATTTTATTTAACTCAATATAAACGAAGTTATTTTAACATGTAATCAGTATGAAAATTATTGTATTATTATTTTACACTTTTTGTTTTCTACTAAGTCTTTGACATCTGGTGTATATTTTATTCTTTTTTGTTTTTTTGAGACAGAGTCTTGCTCTGTCACCAAGGCTGGAGTGCATTGGCACGATCTTGGCTCACTGCAGCCTCCGCCTCCCTCTCGGATTCAAGCAATTCTCTGCCTCAGGCTTCCAAGTAACTGGGATTACAGGCGCCCACCGCCATGCCTGGCTAATTGTTTTGTATTTTTACTAGAGACAGGGTTTCACCATCTTCGCCAGGCTGGTCTCGAACTCCTGACCTTGTGATCCACCTGTGTCGGTCTCCCAAAGTGCTGGGATTACGGGTGTGAGCCATCGCACCTGGCCGTTATTCTTTTTTTTTTTTTTTGAGACAGAGTCTCACTTCGGCTCACTGCAACCTCTGCCTCCCGGGTTCCAACAATTCTGCCTCAGCCTCCCAAGTAGCTGAGATTACAGGCCCCTGCCACCATGCCTGGCTAATATTTTTGTATTTTTAGTAGAGACGGGGTTTCACCATATTGGCTAGGCTGGTCTCAAACTCCTGACCTTAGGTGATCCACCCGCCTCGGCCTCCCAAAGTGCTGGGATTACAGGTGTGAGCCACTGCGCCTAGCCCCTTTATTCTTAAAATACATCTTCATTTGGACACTAAATTTTCATTATAGATTCTTCATCTGTATTTAAACTTAACAAAATTTACATTTCAAAAGTAGATTCACATAATTGAAAGTTTTCTAGTAATTGAACTGAGTATCAAAAACTGCTTTTCCAGCTGGGTGCAGAGGCTCACGCCTGTAATTTCAGTATTTTGGTAGGCTGAGGTGGGAGGATCACTTGAGCCCAGGAATTCAAGGCTGCAGCGAGCTATGAGTGCACCACTGTGCTCCAGTATGGGTGAACAGAATGAGACCCTGTCTCAAAAAAAAAAAGAAAGAAATTTTCCTTTAGTTTTTAAACCCACATTAACAAAATTAGTTCCTCTGTTTTAGAATAGCTGATTTGATTTTGATGCAAAAGTATATCATTTTCAAACTGTAAGTGCAATAACTTTACTATTTTTCAACTCAGTATTAACATTTAATTGAAAGGGTATTGTATAAATTCTAAATTTACAAATATCAACAATGTGTTATTCCTTTTACTTACTGTCGTCAATCAAATCTTCACGTTGATTCATGCTAGAAAAATGCGTAAAATTATTACCATTGCTTTTTATGTAAGTTTTAATTTCAGCATAAATTTTCATACCTGTCTAGCTAGATCACAAGTAAACTTTTCCTTGCAACTTCACAGATAACTTCTTCATATGCAGTGTGATATCTGTGAGGAACTATAAATCACATTGCTATTTTTCTGTTTTTTGATTATTGCATATTTGGCAAATATATTTCTATTTCAAGGAAACCTTGAATAGGAGTTAAAGGTTGTGCCATAAGCTGTTAGCTCAGTGGGCTTGGTTTGCTCAAACACCACATATTCCATGGAAAGGACTGGCCCTTCACCTGCCTCCTAGGAGATAACCCTTAAGCCTTTGTAATATCCTGCTTTATCAGTGTCTTTGTATATCTGAGGCTTTGGTCCACATCAGATAGTTTATGCTAACAATATGATTTATGGTGAATTTCTGCTCTTGTTCGCTTGGGGCCCTGGACCACGCTGTATCAGTTTGACTTCTAGAGAAAGAGTAGTTAAGGTGAGCCATGCAGACATGCCCACTGACTCCTAATAAAAACTCTAGACCTCAAGGCTCAGGTGAACTTCCTTGGTTGGCAACACTTTGCATATGCTGTCAAACACTACTGCTGAGAGAATTAAGCCCTATCTGTGTGACTCCACTTGGAGAGAACAACTGGAAGCTTATACCTGGTTTCACCTGGTGCCTGTTTCCTTTGCTAATTTTAATTGGTATCCTTTAGGTGTTATAAGCCATAATCATTAGTTTAATAGCTTTTCTGAGCTCTGTGAATCATTCTAATGGGATGTTAAACCAGAGGATGGCCTTGGGAGACCCCCCAGTATAGTTGGGATTGTAAGTAGGATTTGTTGGGATGACCCTTACTCGCTGAAACATGGCAAAAGCATAGTTTGGGAAATGAAAGAATGAGAGGACAGGGGTGGACAAACTTTTGATTCCTATATGGCCACTAGATATGAAACAGCTTGAAATAGCGGCTGTGCCATGATTCTTTACTATAGGTAAAAGTCTCCAGTGGAATTTAGAAATGGTAAGTCCAACTCTCAAGTATTTGGGTTCCCTGTATACATCAGGAAATGCAAAACAAGAAACTAGCCAAATGTACAATTCCTTGCTTAGTGTTATCCATAATAGCTGAAATGAAAGTAGAAGATAGTGTTGGGGCAGATCCTAACACTGCATATATACCAAGCTCAGATTTCAGCCACTAAGCCTCAGGGCCACCACCAAAAGGATAATTTATGGTGGGACAACAGATAGAACCTCTGCAATCTCTGTTTACCAAGCAAGCAGTCTAAGTGGGAGAGGAGGGCCAAACCAAGAAACTACTGAAAGCAGAGGGTATGGCGTGAAGGAGTTGTCTCAATTTGTGGATTAATATCAATAACTTCCTAAAAAACCTTTACTAAAATGGATCGTGAGAGTGGCCAGTTCAGGGGCAAGTCACTCTCCTTGCTTTTGAATTCTGCAGAATGAAAGAGCATGTTTGGGTTGACACATAGCTATTGACTAATCACAGATGACTGTATGTGATTCAGACACATAGCATGTTATTTCCAAGGAGACAGATTGTGTGGAGGACTGAGTGGAATTCATCTGAGCATATGAATTCTCCTTCTCCTCCTTTAAATGCGAAAAAGAACTCCACAGATGAAGTGGCCAATATGTTGCATATGCAAGCCATGCTAGATTGACTTTATGATGATCAGGATGTCTCATAACCAGGTCATGGTAAATGCAGTGATTAAGGGAAGCTCTTTTGTGTGGGCACCCTATGTAAGCTTACTGCTGTAAAATCAAGCAATGGTCTGTGGGTGGGCCTTGTTAGGTTTGTTGTCTCAGCTTTGCCTTCTGGGTCTACAGATGCTGAGAAAGAGCAGTTCGCAAAAGAATGAGGCAAAGACAAAGGGTAGATTCAAGGGACTCTTCCCAGCAGGGTGAAAAATTTTAGATGGCAATTATTAAGTAGCATGAATAAAGCAAACATTGATGGGTTTGAAACAAGGTCTTGAAGCAGCACTGTGGGAAGCTGGGTGTACATATGGGAGCCCCTGATGGACCCCAGCATTGAAAAGCCATAAACAAAACCACTCTATTTACTTAATTTTAAAGAGTTTAAAAAGTTAGAAAGCAAAGGTGATAATGAGAAACCTGACTTAATTGCTGGGGGTGATGGTCTGGCCAGTTAATCAGGATGAAGATTTATAAAGGAATGAGGGTGTTGTTGTGCAATCCCTACATACACATATGTGGGTAAAATGGCCATCAAGTGGAAAAGAAAGTTTCCTGGGACTCCTTAATATGGGAGTCAAATGCACTGTGATTCCAGAACCTTTTGGTGAATTTCTAATAGGGCTACAGTTAGATTGAAGGATATTGGAGATGCAGTGGTTGATGGGATTTAGGTGAAAGTTTGGATAAAAATTAGAATATTCAAATGTACTTTAAGTGAAATCATTGTGTCTACTTTTCCTGAATGTGTTATTGGAGTAAATATTATGCTTGACTGGGGAACACTTGTCTACCTAGTATTGTAAAACATGAGGCATGTAGGTTATCTTTCAGCTAGTATTAATTGGACATTCCAAATGAGAATCTATAGAATTGCCTGATCCCATACAGGTTGTTAATCTGAAACAGTATAGAATACCTGGTGGACAATAAAGACCTTACTACTTTAATTAAGGACAATATTAGAAGCTGGAGTGCTGGTATCAAAAGTTCTCTGTACAATAGCCCTGGGTGACCCATGAAAAAGTACGTGACTAATGGAGATTCAAAGTATACTACTGAGGCTGGAATAAAGATGTGCAGCCTGTAGCATCAGCCGTCCTTGATATGGTTTCAATAGTGCAAAAATACAGTAGGCCAAAGAGAATGATGCTCAGTGATTTATCTTGCAAATTCTTTTTTTCCTGTATCAATCAGAAAAGAGCCAACCATAGTTTGGCTTTACATGGAAGGATCCCATTTTACATTTACTGTATCGCCACAGGGTTATTTGATATAACCAGCTTATTTTCATAATTTGATTAGAAGAGATTCAGACTTGATGCAGGTCTGAAGTTTAATAATGCACATATATTAATAATATAAAAAATCAGAAACAGAAGAATGAGCAAAACTGACATTAATGCAATGCTGGCGCACATTGCCAACAAAAACCTGATTGATAAATCTAGCAAAGATTCAGGGTTCTGCCCAAATGATAAAATTCTTAGTAATAACCTGGACAGGAGCCACCACAGGCATTCCACAGATGACTGAAAATAAGCTGCTGTTGTTGTCTCTCCTGAGAACTAAGTAAGAATCACAGTACCTTGCCAATTTCCTTGTATTTTGGAGGATACATATTCCACATCTGGGAATATTGCTAGATTCTATCCATAAAACTACCTGAAAGAAGGTCATATTTGAATGGAATCCTCGACAAAACCAGACTATGTCTGAATTGCAAAAAGTGGTAGCCCTCTCAATCCTTTTGGCCCTTATGATCCACACTCAGATAGGATTTTGGAAGCATCTGTAACACACACTTATGCAGACTAGAGCTTATGGCAAAAGTCTGTCACTACCACCCGGAGTGACTGCTGGAATTTAGAAACAGAAAATTTCCGTATGCAGTAGTATTGTATATACCCTTTGAGAGACAATTACCAGCTTGCACTGACAATAATCGAAACTGCCCCTATGACTGAAGGACATAAAATAATGTGGAATCCTGAAATATCCATAATGTCTTGGATGATATTAGAGAAACATTTTAATATGGAATGCAGACACAAAATAGTTCCATAATAAAATGGAAATGATTTATATGGGAACATGCTACTTGGGAGAGTGCAAGGAGGTAGTCATCACATTTAAGAGCAGATACCCCTCTTCCCCCTATAGCTGACTTTGGAACCACAAGAGGAACTGCAGGATGTTACTGTCACACCAGTGGTGCCCTATGAACAGCTCTCTATTGGCCAAGAAAACACTGCTTGGTTTATGGATGGCAGCTGCCAGGTGGACCGACATCACCTTATTTGAAGGCCTGTCACACTGTGACTGACTGATGGAAAAACTGATTGAAGAAGGCAAGAACCAATCACCTTAGTAGACTGAATAGCATGGTGTTTTTCTTGCAGTGGTGGAAGAATTGAACAATGATAATAGCCCCTATGTTTGGGTTTTTGCCAACTCATGGGCATTGGCCAATGGTTTGGCTATATGGTCAGTTAGATGGGCAATGAAAAATTAGACTAATAAAGAGATTCCTGTATAGGGTATGCCCCTATGGAAATGACTACGGGAATATAAATGATGCATTAAAGTAGGAAATCTTGATGCCCATCAGAAGAACATCCTTCTAAGATTGGAAGGTGATTGAAACCACCAAATCTGGTGTTTTCGCTTGAGGGGGCCACCTAGGTCCATGAAATGAATGAATATGGAGGAGCTGTAGGAATGCAAAGATGGTCTGGTCATCAACATACACCTTTTACACCTCTGCGGCACAAAATGTCAACAAGAACTGTCCAGTCTACCAGCAAGAAAGACAGAGACTGTGGAGGGCTATGGGACAGGCTCCCCAGGGAGAAGGACCTGCACGGAGCTGGAAAATAGGCTACATTGGACTGGTGCCAGTATCTCAGAGAGACTGTAATTGTATCTTGACAAGAATAAACACTAACTTAGGACTGGACTTTGCCTACCTGATGGGAGAAGAAAATGCTCACAATGTTACCCAAACATCAGACTTCAGTCTAGATCCTGCTGTTCACTGCACAGAAAAACGATCACTGAGACAAGGAGTATTGCCAGGGAAGAAGGATTTATTTGCATGCTGCAGCCAAGGAGAACAGGAGATCAGGCTCAAATTTGTCTCCTCAACTGACTGAAATTTGGGGTTTATATAGCAGGGAGGAAATGTAACCACATGTGAAAAAATAGGAATTCGGGAAAGATAAGGAAGAGGAATTGGTCAACAGGAAGCAGGTGGTCGGTTAGCCAATCATGATGGGTGACAGGTCTGGTGTCTCACTATCTAGATGTGATGATATGGTGAGTTTCGTCTTCTTGATACTGTCTGGGTGGCCTGTGGGTCAGTTTCCAAGAAAGGAACTCAGATAAGACAAATGTAAGTTTCAAGCTTTAAGACTGAGGAGGTCAATTTCTAAGTTTATCCAAAAAATAGTAAACATTACTTCCATGGGCCACTTGGGCTGATTTTAACAAGACTAAAAGGTCTGTACTGGTCCATTCTTGCATTGCTATTAAGAAATGCCTCAGGCTGGGTAGTTTATAAGAAAAGAGGTTTAATTGGCTCACGTTTCTTCAGACTGTATGGGAAGCCTAGAAGCATCTGTCTCTGGGGAGGCCTCAGGAGGCTTACAATCATGTCAGAAGGCAAAGGGGGAACAGGCACATGACATGGTGAAAGCAGGAGCAAGCAGGAGAGGTCAAGGGAAGGGGAGTGCCACACACTTTTAAATGACAGGATTGTGCAAGCACTCACTATCATGAAGACAGCACCAAGCCATGAGAGATCTACCCCCCTGATTAAAATACAATTTGACATGAGATTTGGGCAGGGACAAATATGCAAACTGTTTCAATCTGCCCTGGCCCCTCCTAAATTTCACATCTTTCTCACATTGCAAAATATAATCATACCTTCCCAACAGTCCCCCAAAGTCTTAACTCATTCCAGTGTTAATTCAAGAGTCCAAAGTTCAAAGTCTCATCTGAGACAAGGAAAATCCCTTCTACCTATGAGCCTGTAAAATGAGAAATGAGTTAGTTACTTCCATGATACAATAGAGGTATAGGAATTGGGTAAACATTGTTGTTCCAAAAGGGAGAAATTGGCTAAAAGAAAAGGGCTACAGGCCCCATGGAAGTTTGAAACCCAGCAGGGCAGTCATTAAATCTTTAAGCTCCAAAGTAATTTCCTTAGACTCCATATCCTGTACCCAGGGCATACTAGTGCAAGGGATGGGCTCCCAAGGCCTCAGGCAACCCTGTGGCTTTGCAGGGTGCAGCCCCCACAGCTGCTCTCATGAGATGGAGTGCTGCATCTTTCCCAGGTGCAGTGTCCAAGCTACTGGTGGATCTACCATTTTTGGGTCTAGAGGATGGTGGCTTTCTTCTCACAGTTCCACTAGGCAGATCCCCACTGGGGACTCTGTGTGGGGGCTCTAGCCCTACATTTCTCCTTAGGGGGCTCTAGTAGAGGTTCTCTGGGGGCTCTGCCTCTGCAACAGGCTTCTGTCTGGGCACCCAGGCTTTTCCATACATCTTCTGAAGTCTGGGTGGAGAGTGCCAAGCCTTATTCACTCTTGCACTCTGTGCACCTGCAAGCTTATCACCAAGCTGCCAAGTCTTATGGTTTGTGTTCTCCAAAGTGGCAGCCTGAGCTGTACCTGGCCCCCTTTGAACCATAGCTGGAGCTGGAGCAGCTGGGATGTAGGGAGCAGTGTTCCCAGGCTGCACAGGGCAGTGGGTCCCTGGACCTGGCCTACAAAACCATTCTGTTGTGCAAAACCATTCCATCCTCTTAGGCCTCTGGGCCTGCCATGAGAGAGGCAGCCACTAAGGTTTCTGAAATGCTTTTGAGGCCTTTCTCCATTGTCTTGGATATTAGCTCTTGGTTCCCTTTTAGTTACGCTAATTTCTCTAGCAAGTGGTTGTTCCAGAGCCTGCTTGACTCTTTCTATGCCACATGGCTAGGCTGCAAATTTCCCAAGTTTTACGCTCTGCTTTCCTTTTAAATATAAATTCCATCTTTAAGTTTTTTTTTTCCTCCTGTACGTGAGCTGAGGCTGTTAGAAGCAGCCAGGCCACATCTTGAACACTTTGCTGCTCAGAAATTTTTTCCACCAGATACTCTAAATCATCACTCTTAAGCTTAAACTTCCACAGATCCCTAGGATCTGAACAAAATTCAGCCAACTTCTTTGCTAAAGCATAACATGTGGGACCTTTGCTCAAGTTCCTAGTAAGTCCCTCATTTTTATCTGAGACCTTGTTGGCCTAGACTTTACTGACTGTATGACTATCAGCATTTTGGTCATAACCATTTAACCAGTCTTTAAGAAGTTCCAAACATTTTCTCATTTTCTTTTCTTCTTCTGAGCCCTCCAAACTCTTGTAACCTCTTCTCATGACCCAGTTCCAAAGTTGCTTCTACATTTTCAGTTATCTTTATACCAATGTACCATTCCTAGATTCACTCTTGAACTAATGTTTTGTTTTAGGCCATTCTTGCATTCCTATAAATAAGTGCCTCAGGCTGGGCAATCTAAAAGAAAAGAGGTTTAATTGGCTCATGGTTCTGCAGGCTGTACAGGAAGTGTAGTGGCATCTGCTTCTAGGGCGCCCTCAGGAAGCTTACAATCATGGCAGAAGGTGAAGGAGCAGGAGGCACCTCACATGGCAAAAGCAGGAGCAAGCGACAGAGAGTGGGAGGGAGGTGCCACACACTTTTAAATGACCGGATTTTGTGAGAACTCACTATCACAAAGAGCACCAAGCCATGAGGGATCCACTTTCAAGATCCAAACACCTCTCACCAGGCCTCACCTCCAGCACTGGGGATTACAATCCAACATGAGATTTGGCGAGGGACGAATCTACAAACAATACAGATTGTAATAGAAGACAAATATACAAACTATATCAGACTGTAAAAGAAGATACTGTGCCAACTTGGACCACCAAGTTACTTTGTTTTTTATACCAAATATCATACTTTACAACCCATAGTGTCCAACAACAAGTAAATAGATCAACCAAGTAAACATGTTGCATATTATCCTCAAAGTAATGGTTTAATTGAATACTGTTGTTTAAAATGGGGGTGGGGGATAAAGGCATGAAGGGCTGGCTTACATGCCTTCATGAGTGTGTGCTCACATTTAATATGATGGGGGGGCTAGGAGAGGGATGGATATTATGTCTGACTGAGAATAATTCCCTACCTCGTACTATAAAACAGAAGACAGGTAATTTCACCTAGATAGATTCCTCTGCCTTTCCATGGAACTTGTGGAAGGGAGCTAGGGGAATATGCTGGTACAACAATACAGTTCTTTCCTACATGTCCTCAATTATTTTGTTTCCTACCTGATGCAGTAGTCCCAGGACCGGGGCTGCAACTGCAGATGCCAGAAGCAGGGATGATTGCTATGCAAGAAACTGTAACAATATCTTTAAACTTTTATGCCGGAATTCCTGAAGGCCTGATGGAATGGAATTTGCCTTCATCCTATCTGGCAAAATTGGAGTTGACAGTAAATGCAGCTGTATTGGTATTGCTTAGCGGTTGTAATGGCCTACAAATTCTGTACCTATGTAATCCTACCCTGAATGGGTGGTGCTATGGTTTGACTGTTTCTCCCAAAAAGCATGTGTTTCAAACTTAATTCCCAGTGCAACAGTGCTGGGATGTGGGACCTAAAGGGATGTGTATAGGTCATGAAGGGTTCACCCTTATGAGTGGATTAATGCTAATTACAAAAGTGCTTGAGGCTGCAAGTTTGATCTCTTGATTTCTTGTCCTCTTTTTGCCCTTCTGCCACAGGATGACACATCTAGAAGACCCTCACCTTATGCTTATGCTGGCCCCTTGATCTTGGCCTCCAGAAATGTGAGAAAATAAATTTTCGTTCATTATAAATTAGTCAGTGTTCTGTTATAGCAGCACAAAATGGACTAAAACAGAAAAGAATGAACTGAGGAGACACTTGACAGCCTGGTGTTTGTGCTCACAATCCAGACCAGCGGAGTGGCTATATAACTGTAATATGTTCATTGTCCAATGCACACAGCAAGTCAACATGCTAAGACACTGGCTTGCAACAGAGAAAGAGGCTTAATCATAGGGCTGCTGAATGATGAACAAAGCCATCTCCCCAAGGAGTTTGGGGATGGGGTTTTGGAGTGGGTAGAAGTGTAGAGATCTTTGATGGGTTGAAGAGTGCAGGGTGAAGTCATGGGACAGGGAAATAAACTATATTCTCATACTGATATGGTTTGGCTCCGTGTCCCCACCCAAATCTCATCTTGAATTGTACTCCCGTAATTCCCACTTGTTGTGGGAGGGACCCGGTGGGAGGTAATTCATGAGGTTGAATTATGAGGGTGGTTTCGTCCATACTCTTCTCATGGTAGTGAGTAAGTCTCATGAGATTGATGGTTTTATCAGGGGTTTCTGCTTTTGCATCTTCCTCATTCTCTCTTTGCCTGCTGCCATTTGTCTTAAGACAGGACTTGCTCCTCCTTGCCTTCCATCATGATTGTCAGGCTTCCCCAGCCATGTGGAACTGTAAGTCCAATTAAACCTCTTTCTTTTGTAAATTTCCCAGTCTGGGTTATGTCTTTATCAGCAGCATGAAAACAGACTAATACACATGCTTATTCTGTTTCTCTGTGGGGCGTCTTCAAATTATTTGGGGTCAGCTGTTTTTTGGGTTTTTTTTTTTTTTTTTTTTTTTTTTGAGATGGAGTCTCACTCTGTCGCCCAGGCTGGAGTGCAGTGGTGCAATCTCGGCTCACCGCAAGCTCCACCTCCCGGGTTCACACCATTCTCCTGCCTCAGCCTCCCGAGTAGCTGGGACTACAGGCGCCTGCCACTACACCCGGCTAATTTTTTTGTATTTTTAATAGAGACGGGGTTTCACCGCGGTCTGGATCTCCTGACCTCATGATCCACCCACCTCGGCCTCCCGAAGCGTTGGGATTACAGGCGTGAGCCACCGTGCCCGGCCTGGGGTCAGCTGTTATACTGGAATTCAGGATCTGAAAAATATCTTAAGCAATTCTTTTTTTCCCCCCAGAAAACCCCTTTACTTTTTACTCCACATTATATTACACAATGATCAGGTATTACATGACCTGGTTTTTTGGCTTTCTGACAATGAGATCTCTCTCCTTAAGTGATGAAGGGTTTCAAAGCTCTTAATGGAGATAAAGCCTGTCCCTGCCTTCTCCATCACCAAACATCCATTCTTTCTTAGGCAGATCAGGTAAAAATATGTTTGTCCACGAAGCACCATGAACACAACGCAGTCATCACCACTGCCCTTCCTTGAGGGAACAGCTTCCCTATGACACCTAAGAGGACTGGCATCCATGACGTCAAGCTGCAACTTCTCACCTGAGGCATAGATAGAGAGGCTGTCACAAAGTAGCAAGGATGCAAAACATGACAATTGTCTCATGACAATTCAAAACAAAGCTAAAGAACATCCTATGATCTTCAGCAATTCTTTGTTAAACAAACACCTTACTCTTCTAATGTCAGAGATCCTATCTATCTTAAACAAAAGCCTTGTGATTCTAACATCAGAAATCTTATCTATAGGAACAATGGGGATGCAAATGGTTAGTATCTAGTGCTACGTGGCTTTCAATTACAACGAAGTGGGTCAAAATGCAGTCCAATTAATGCTTAAGTATAACTATATTTTTGTTCAGAATACTTGTTAACTGGTGAGGATGGCTTCAGCTAAACCTAACATCCATTCCAAAAGTGGAAAAGTTTAGGTAAAAAGTAATGACAAATAGGTTGAGCTTGGTGGCTCATGTCTGTAATCCCAGCATTTTGGGAGGCTGAGGCAGGCGGATCATGAGGTCAGGAGATCGAGACCATCCTGCTAACATAGTGAAACCCCGTCTCCACTAAAAATACAAAAAATTAGCTGGGCGTGGTGGCAGGTGCTTGTAGTCCCAGCGACTTGGGAGGCTGAGGCAGGAGAGTGGTGTGAACCTGGGAGGCAGAGCTTGCAGTGAGCTGAGATTGCACCACTGCACTCCAGCCTGGGTGACAGAGCAAGACTCTGTCTCAAAAAAAAAAAAAAAAAAAAAAGAATGACAAATAAAGAGGAGAAATAGTAGCTGAGGGTAAAGAAAGGAATGAATACATGGATTATGAAATGAGGGAAATCCAATACTACAACAGCCCTTTGAGAGAGGCTGAGAGCAAGAGAACCATATTTTCTTTTAGTACAATATATCAGATACCCAAAAAGGGTGGAGCCATGTGTTTGCTGACATTACTCTTGCTTTTTGAACCTGACAAGTTCAAATGAAACCTGCAAAACCAAGTAGCATCACTCTGGGAGATATTTTGGTGATGGAATGATGAACTGGATCAATTGTTAGTAACTGAGTAGAACTCTAGTAATATGCTCATGTCTGTGGATTCTTATTTCAGGATACAACTATTACAAATAATATCACTTGGGAAAGAATTTCCAGGAACTATTCCCTACTGGGCCATCATACTTTGGTGTACAACTCTTGGCAAGACTCTTTACTGTGTAACTACAAACATTGATGATCAAATACTTAGAAAGTTCTCCGATTATAATGAAAAAATATATAGCAATCGTATGCCGAACGTCTTGCCATGTGCTGTCTACAAATACATATAACACGTGTTTTGTGGGTGGAAAGCTATTAAACAGAATAGGAAAAGACAATAGGTTTCTGAAGGTATTAAAGCAGTAGGCATCACGTGAGAGTGTGAATTCCCTGGGGGACAGCCCCATCCTGAGAGGAGGAAGGCTATGGAAAGCTTTATGGTTTAGTCAAAGTAAATCAATCTAGGTGTGACTACCACTCATCTAACCCCAGTATGGAGGACCATCATTTTGGGGTACAAAATAGGTATCCTAATTGCACTCACGCAATTAGTACACAATGGCAAAACATGCATGGTAGATTTAAACAACGTTGGTTCAGAAGACTGAAAGAGGGCTTTAGGAGAGAGAGACACCTGTCTAGGCATCATGGAACAAGCTGGTTTTGCTTTTGATGAAGAGCAGCATCCAGAGGAAATTATTTATTGACTAGATTGGGCAGATTAGAGGAAATTCTATTCCAGGAGGAAGACAGGAATGGAAGTCAACCTCAAAAGATTATAAAGTTTAGGGAAGACTCAAAATAATGCTGGATCCAGTGTTGAGAAAGTGCTTGTACTCTGAACCAACATGGCCTTTTGATTATTTTAATATAGTTGGAGGCCAAAGTAGCCATGGGCAATGTATTAGTCCATCTTCACACAGCTATAAAGAACTGCCCTAGACTGGGTAATTTATGAAGAAAATAGGTTTAATTGACTCACAGTTCTGCAGGCTTAACAGGAAGCATGACTGGAAGGCTTCAGGAAACTTACAATCATGGCAGAAGGTGAAGGGGAAGTAAGCACGTCTTATCATGGTGGAGCAGGAGAGACAGTGAGCGAAGTGGGTAGTACCACACACTTTCAAACAACCAGATCTTGTGAGAACTTACTCACGATCATGAGAACAGCAAGGGGGAAGTCCGCTTCCATAATTCAGTCACCTCCCACCAGGCCCTTCCTCTGACATGTAGGGATTACAATTCGAGATGAGACTTGGGTGGGGACACAGACTCAAAGAACGTCATTCTCACATTTGAAACCAATCATGCCTTCCCAGCAGTTAATGAGTTCTTAACTCATTCCAGCATTATCTCAAAAGTCCAGGTCCAAAGTCTTATCTGAGACGAGCAATTCCCTTCCACTTAATGAGCAGACATTGAGAAAGAAAGAAAATATAATCCAGGTTGCATCCAAACCTGAATCACTGCCCACCTGCAGCAAGAAAACACATTTTTCTACCACTCTTGCAATATGCATAAACTTTATAAAACCCACCCTTATTTCCCCTTCTCCTCTGCAAAAATTTCAGAAAGTCGGTGGCTATGTTTTTCAGGAGGGCTCAGAAGATGGGAATGTGAGAGAGGTAAGCACAGAGAATGGATTTGAAGGGTATTTTCTTTGCCATCTCATTTTCAGTCTCACTTCTGATCCTTTTAGCTGAACGGAAGTCTTCTGATCAGCGTTTCAACCTCCTTCCTTCCCCTCCTGCGGCTGTGTATTGTGCACACCAAACATTTACAGTGGCTAGCCATGGCTTTTACTATTGATCCTTTTTCTTTGTTGTGTTTTTCCTCTGAAAATTCCATTCAGTACTTCGGCATTAAAAAAGCTCGGTATGAATAAAAACAACATAATTCTCCCCTTTTGTGTCTCTGTGAGAAGCCAACACCACAATACTTTGTGACCATCTTCTGTGGCTAAAATGACTTCTAAAACTTGTGGTTGTGCTCGGAGTACTGAAACAGGATGTGCAGAACATTGGAACGGGGCCATTCATCAGCGAACAAACTTCCCTGGGTAGATATGCAGGGAGGATCTTGCAGGCTAAAGTTTCGTCTTTGTTTTTCCTGTTTGCTGCCAACTACAAGTTACAAATTGGATACAAATTCCTTAACCTTTGGCCGGCAACCCTCAATTTCATGCTGTCTAATTTATATGTAAACAAGGTCATACATTTGCCTTAATTATATTTGCCTTAAGTTTTTCCACCTTATTTAGGGGAGGTTTTTAGTTTCTGATTTCCTGAACGCTGGTTAACTCTTGACTTTCTGGAACGTTGTACCGCAGCATTACTCTGGAAATGTCAACATTAAAAAAAAAAAAAAAAAGTTGAAAAAAACAATGCCAATCAGTTGGCCTGATTTGAACACCAGGGTGCAGCCTTACGGTCACAGACTATTCTTTAGTATTGAAAACAAGATCCTAAAGACCGTGAATCAAAAATCAAGTCTCCATTTGACAAATAATTGGTAGCACAACCTTATTTTGTTTAAATACAATTAGGTAAGGGAAGTGAGAAGGAATTAAGTGATGGTAGAGACAGCTCTGACTTCCAATGTTGTCTACAAAGCCTCTCAATAGAGTGAAATCTATATTTTTCTCATCTCAATCGGAAGAAATGTTTTTATTTCATTTCATATGGCCTTGGCCTATAGTTTATTTATTTATTTATTTATTTTTAAAGTCTGTTTTCAGGAAAACTCCTTCCCGCATCCTCCTAGGAACTTCTCTGCAATCTTCTGTGTTGGCTGCTATGTTAGTTTTCTAGGGTTGCCATAACAAATTACCACAAGCTGAGTGGCTTATGTCAACAGAAATTTATTCTCTCACAGTTCTGGGGGCTAGAAGTTTGCAGACGAGCTGTTGGTAGGGCCATGCTCTTCTGAAGGAGTTAGCCAGCTTGCTTTAGGCAGAGAGCGAGGGAAGGGCCTGCAGAGAACATCCGACTCACCTCACAAGTGCCTACATCAGATGTTTTGTGCAAGTAAGGGAACTTGCACAGGGGGCTTGCCTAAACATACCTGCCACAGACTAAAGGCCAGCATGCACTGAGGTGGGGGGTGGAGGTACCCGGAATTCATGCTTTATGTAGCGCTATCAGCTTTTATAAAAAGTCCTTGTATTCAACTGTGAGGGGGGCAACTGGGAACCTGGTTTCAGGACCCCTCTCTTTGCTGAGGACTTTCCTTTCGCTTAATCAGTTCTACTCCACTCACTCTTCAAGTGTCTATGTGCCTACTTCTTTCTGGTTGTGAGGCAAGAACTCAGACCTAGCTGAGCTAAGGAGCAAAAATACCATGCATCACCTCTAAAAGGTCTAAGGAAGAATCTTTTCTTGCCTCTCCTAGTTTCTCGGGGTTGCCAGCACTCCCTGGCATTTCTTGGCTTGTAGAGGCATTGCTTCAGTCTCTGCGTCTGTCTTCACATGGCATTCTCCTTTCAGTCTCTCTGTACGTCTTTTTCTCATAAAGGCACCAGTTGTTGGATTTAGGGCCCACTGTAATCCAGAGTGACCTTACCTTAACTAATTACAGCCTCTAAGTCCCTCTTTCTTTTTTTTTTTTTTTTTTTTGAGACAAAGTCTTGCTCCGTTGCCAGGCTGGAGTGCAGTGGCGCAATCTCGGCTCACTGCAACCTACACCTCCCAGATCCAAGCGATTCCCCTGCCTCAGCCTCCCAAGTAGCTGGGACTACAGGTGTGCGCCACCATGCCTGGCTAATTTTTTGTATTTTAGTAGAGACGGGGTTTCACCATGTTGGCTGGGATGGTCTTGATCTCCTGACGTCATGATCTGCCCACCTCGGCCTCCCAAAGTGCTGGGATTACAAGCGTAAGTCACTGCACCCGGCCCACCCTATTTCTAAATAAGGTCACATTCTCAGTTTCCAGGTGGACATAAATTTTGGAGGACACTATGTAACCCACAAAGTTGTCTTTCACTCATTTAAACTAAGTATACGTGATACAGATGTGAAAATGTCAATCACATATTGTTACTGAAATGCCAGGAGTTTGGTCTAGGTCCTACTGCTCACCACACAGAAAGTCAATCACTGAGACAATTATTATTGCCAGAGAAGAAGGCTTTAAGGGTGCTTCAGCAGAGGAGATGTGAAATCAGCCTAAAATCCATATTCCTGACTGACTAAAATTAGGGGTTTATATAGCAGAAATGAAATGTAACCATGTGTGGGAAAACAGGAATTAGGGAGGCATAAGGAAGAGGAGTTAGTTTACAGGGAGCAGGTGGTCAGTTAGGCAATCATGATAGGTTAGGAGTTGGCGTCTTATTGTCCAGATGCAATCATCTGGTAAGTTACGGTTCCTTGACACTATCTGGGAGGACTGATGGTTGGTTTCCTGAGAGAGGAACTCAGATAAGACAGTAATAACTTTCTCAGGTTTTAAGATTGGGAGGATCAATTTCTATGTTTATTCCAAGAAACCATAAATATCAGTTCTGAGACAATTGGGCCAGTTTCAACATCTGGAAATTTTGTTTATTCAGTCACCTGAGGCTGGCATTTTGAGGATGGAGACCTCTTATTTTTTTAGGGATGTTATCAAGGTTTGTTATATAGGACTTAGTTATTTCTTTTGTTCACATGTGGACAGTCTTCAGACCTTTCCCATGTATTCAGTACAAACAGATAATGTATAGGAGTTGTCAGCACTAATGGACTAACTCCAGAACGCATGGGGAGCACTTTGAATCCTCCCTGCCAAGGACAGTGCAAAGATGCACCCTGCTAAGTCCCACAGAGGAATTTAGACCAACACCTACATTATCATTTCATGAAAATTTCTCTGGCTTAAGCTGTTGCTTATACTTGAGTTTTACAATTGAGAGACAGTATATTGTGTCTGGAATTGGTGGGTTCTTGGTCTCTCTCACTTCAAGAATGAAGCCGCGGACCCTCACGGTGTTACAGTTCTTAATGATGGTGTGGCTGGGGTTTGTTCCTTCTGTTGTTCAGACGTATCCAGAGTTTCCTCCCTCTGGTGGGTTCACGGTCTCGCTGACTCCAGGAGTGAATCTGCAGATCTTCACTATGATTGTTACAGTTCATAAAAGCAATGCATCCGGAGTTGTTTGTTCCTCCTGGTGGGTTCCTGGTCTTGCTGACTTCAAGAGTGAAGCTGCAGACCTTCTTGGTAAGTGTTACAGCTCATAAAGGTGGTGTGAACCCAACAAGTGAGCAGCAGCAAGATTTACCGGGAAGAGCAAAAGAACAAACCCTCCACAGGGTGGAAGGTGACCCAAGCAGGTTGCTTCTGCTGGCTTGGGTGGCCTGCTTATATTCCCTTATTTGGCCCCACCCACATCCTGCTGATTGGTCCATTTTACAGAGAGCTGATTGGTCCATTTTACTGAGTGCTGATTGGTCCATTTTACAGAGAGCTGATTGGTCCATTGTACCGAGTGCTGATTGGTCCGTATTACAGAGTGCTGATTGGTGCATTTACAAACCTTTAGCTAGACACAGAGTGCTGATTGGTGCATTTACAATCCTTTAGCTAGACAGAAAAGTTCTCCAAGTCCCCTACCTCATTAGCTAGACACAGAGCGCTGATTCATGTGTTTACAAACCATTAGCTAGACACAGAGCACTGATTGGTGCATTTACAATCCTTTAGCTAGACAGAAAAGTTCTCCAAGTTCCCACCCGACCCAGAAGCCCAGCCGGCTTCACCTCTCAGTGCGACCTACACTTCTAAAATCCAGTGAAAATCTAGTTGAAAAGGGATAATAACTCCTTGCCTTTCACTCTAGAAAAAAAGTCCTGTCTGGGTGTTGCTAAAATAGTTTAGTGATATGCTGCTAATACAGAGCAATTGAAATGTACTCATTTAAAAATATCTAACCTTGAGTAATCCATTAGTGGAAAAAATCCATTTTTTTCATTCATCAAAAACTGATATTCTGGAAAGAAGGAAAAAGAAACAAAGGATGAGGATAGTCACTGCATGAATTTCTTTCCAGATTTTTAAACTTAATTTCTGGTCTTTAGTCTCTCATCCTCTTTTCTGAACTTGTAGACATCTGTTTACTGGTATACACTGATAAGAGAAAATTTATGTAAGTAAAATTTATATAAGTTCCTGAAGGTTCTGCTTTAGATGTATAGATGGTGAGAGGTCTAGAATCTTAGGGAATATAGAAGATTGGCCTTGATGAGAAAATGCTGGAAGTCAGAGAAGCACCTGCGCAGAGAACAGCAAATGGATCTAGGTACAGGGGACATCAGGAAGCTTGAAGCAGAGAAATCTAATGAATCCCAAGACAGACATAGTGAGACAATTACAGTTAATCCATATCTTGAAGGCATTCCTTTGACATACAATCTGCAATCTGCCCTACTAACAACTATTTTCCCACATCTGCTAAATTTATAGAGTTATGCATGGGTTATCCCTAAGAGAGCATGATAAATGATATAGATAAATAATTATAACAGCGGTTTGCTTTATTGTTTTATAACAAGGAGACATATTAGGAAGAATTTGTTAATTCCTGGTTATCAATTGCTCAAGCTGTTTATGATTATTTTAGGGTTTTGAAATAAACTATGAATTCTTCTCTATTTGAGAATTGATAGGAAATGGAATTTGAAAAGAAAGAGTATTTTGATTTTTCCTCCCACACTGATCACTTTCTAGTTTACCATGGTTTCTGAATTCTGTTTATTAGCCATTCTGTTAACTACATTAACTAACCTAGTAAATTTAGTAGGTTAAGAAACTGAAATATAAATTAATGAGTATAATCCATCAATGTCTGCAGTTTCAATCATAATATTTATACAGTGTGAAAAAGATGTCAGATGACTGCTAGGATTATCTTCTTTGAAGAGATTTATTAAATTTGCAATTATTTTGCCTGGAATGCCAACATTAAATTAATGTATTCCAAAATGTTAGAAACAGACCCACTTGTGAAGATATCATGTTACCATTTTTGTTTCTAGGCAAGCATAATAGATACCCATTCCACCAAAGGTAAAGTACATCAGGCAAATAATTAGTTCAAGCTGTAATACAGTATTTCCACCTGATTTTCATTTGTTTATTCATTCATTTACTCAACAAATGGTAAATTTTGTGAGATCCAACTATGTGTCACTCACTGTTCTAGACACCAGTGATATAGGAGACAACACAAACCCTACACTAACACTAGAGCTCACATTTCAGTGGGGGGAAGGGAGGGAAACAGGCAATATACAACAACAAAAAATAATTAACATCTCGGTGCGGTGGCTCAGGCCTGTCATCCCAGCACTTTGGGAGGCCAAGGCGGTGGAATCACCTGAGGTCAGGAGTTTGAGACCAGCCTGGCCAACAGGGTGAAACCCCGTCCCTACTAAAAATATAAAAATTAGCCAGGCATGGTGGCATGCACTTGTAATGCCAGCTACCCAGGAGGCTGAGGCAGGAGAATCGCTGGAGCCCGGGTGGTGGAGGCTGCAGTGAGCTGAGATTGCGCCACTGCACTCCAGCCTGGGTGACAGAGCAAGAGTCCATCTCAAAAAAAAAAAAAAAAAAGGAAAAAAAGAAAAATAAAACAACTTAACATCTCAGGTGCTGTCAAAATGTAAAATGCCATGAAAAAGTGTGAAGCAGGGTAAGAGGATGGTGAAATAGGATGGTAGCTTTGCTTCAGAGACTTGGAGGAGTAAGGGAGCCATGGGCAGAAGTGGACTCATTGTGAAGCAAATGAAGCTTAAAATTCAGGGACTTTCACTTGCTTGGGTCTCTGTGAGTGGTGGGACTTGCAGGACACTGCAGAGTATTCTTAGTGGAGAGTGGAGGCCAGTTTGCTTTCAGGAAATATTTCTCTGTAAGTGCATTCGTCATAACACTGAAACTCCAAAGAAAATGAAAGATGACTTCAAAGACATCTCCAGAGCTCCAGTAATTTGCTGTAATTTCTGTTCTCATTCTATATAAATATTAACCTAATTTTGTGTTTGTGATCTTATTTCTTTTTCTAAAACAGCATCCTTGACTATAATTATATATACTTCAGGTCAGTATATGTCATTTCTAGGTATTGCAATTATACATATGAGTAAGATATGACCCCAGCCTTCAGCTCACTTCATGATCTTAATAACTTTTGATATATTAAGGTGTAGAAGAAACAGAACTCAGCCAAGTTGATATCAAGTCGATAACTTGATATTTCCTTGAGTCTAACCGTCAGTTGTAAAAAACAGAATTCATAATAACTTCATGAGAAAAAAGAAAATGCTACTAAAATTAACATTTTCAGTTTTAAGACTAGTTGATTTTTAGATACAGAATATAAAGAAATATATATTAGAATTTTAAAAATTAACATTAATTAGAATTTATTGGGCTCTGATTTTCTAACGTCTTGGTATGCTTAACTCATTTAATCATCAAAACAAAACTTTGGGATAGCTACTAATAGTATTCTAATTTTTCAGATGAGGAAACAGGCATACAAAGGTTAAGGGAAGTGGTAAAGCTAGAGACCAAACTGAAGCTATCTGACTAAAAGCTGGCATTTAATCATTTTGCTAAACTTACTTCAAAAGTCATGGGATTCCATTTTTAAATTTCTAGTCCAGATTCTACTTCTAAATTTTGGGGTATCTCTCCTTAGATTTTAGCATCATCATCAGTAAAGTTGGATTAAAAAATCTTGACATTTTTCAGAATCTATTAAGGTTGTAACAATAGTCAATACATTTTTTTATTATGAGATATAGCTCTCAATGTTTTTTTAGACAGAGTCTCTGTCATCCAGGCTGGAGTGCAGTGGTGTGATCTGGGCCCACTGCAACCTCCACCTCCCGGGTTCCGGCAATTCTCCTGCCTCAGCCTCCCGAGTAGCTAGGACTACAGGCATGCGCCACCACCCCTGGCTAATTTTTGTATTTTTTAGTAGAGACCGGGTTTCACTATATTGGCCAGGCTGGTCTCGAACTCCTGACCTCGTGATCCGCCCACCTCGACCTCCCAAAGTGCTGAGATTACAAGCATGAGCCACCACACCCGGCCACAGTTCTCAATTTTAAAATGGCTTAGATTATAAATATATTATTTGTTTGATACCCACAATGTGCAATGTGCTTTATATGGGTTATGTAATTGAATAGTCACAATAGCTCTGCAGGGTCAGGATTAGTATTACTGTGTTATTGTTGAAGAAACAAATTAGCCAATTTGCTGAAGGTCAAACAGTTGTAAAGTTTGGAACCGGATCTGACCCAGTTCTGAATCCAAATTCCATGCTCTTTCCACCAGGTTAGTGATTCTCCAGAAAAGTAGAGCTTATTCTAAGGCAAAACTCCAAAAAAAGGTCAACTCTCAGGAAAAAAAAAACAAGACATTTTTGGGTATACCAGACTAGTTAGCAGAAGAGGGTGTTAGAATGCTGAAGCTGTTTGCTACAACTTCAGCCTAGTCAGTGAATTTCAAATAATGCTTCAGTTTGGCAAGCTTTTTCTAGAGAAGAACCTGCCAAGATCTACCCATTAGTAGAAATTTAAGATTTCCTTAGGAAGCTCTGCTGTCATTAATATCATATTATGTAAATTATCCTATAGACATTGAAATGTTTAGGAAAATAGAACCATTCTGAGCCTTCTTGGAAGTCTACATTACAATGACAATTATTTATGTGGCTGCTTTGGGCATGAAGTATACTGATAATTGTGTTTATTGGAATCCTTAATTTAATTGAATTAATTATTTTTTTTTTTGTTTTTTGAGACAGAGTCTTGGTCTGTCACCCAGGCTGGAGTGCAGTGGCATGATCTCGGCTCACTGCAACCTCCACCTCCCGGGTTCAAGCAATTCTCCTGCTTCAGCCTCAAGAGTAGTTGAGACTATAGGAATGTGCAACCACACCCAGCTAATTTTTGTATTTTTAATGGAGACGGGGTTTCACCATGTTGCCCAGGCTGGTCTCAAACTCCTGACTTCAGGTGATCCTCCTGCTTCAGCCTTCCAAAGTGCTAGGATTACAGGCGTGAACCACCAGCCTGGCCAGTATCCTTAACTTTAAACATAAACAAATGTAGAAGGAATAGAATAAGATCCCCATAATCCATTAACCAGCTTCAACAATTATCAATATTTTGCCAATATTATTTCACCTATAATTCCTCTACTGCCTACTCCTTGCTGTTGTTTTCCCTTGTAGCTTTATTGAGGCACAATTTACATTCCACAAATTAATCCATTTTAAGTATACAATGATTTGTAGTAGATTTACAAAGTTGTGCAACCATCACAACAATCCTGTTTTAGAAGTTTCATTACTCCAGAATATTCTGTCATGTCCATGTGCAGTTATCCCTCTCATACCCAGGCCCAGGAAACTATTTGCTTTCTGAATTTATAGATTTGCTTTTTCTGGACATTTTATATAAATACAATCATACAATAGTTTTTCTTTTGTATCTGGTTTCTTTCACTTAGCAAAAAGCTGTTAAGGTTCATTCATGTTTTAACATGTATCAGTAGTTTGATGATTTTTATTGCCGAATAGTATGCATTGTATGTATATACCACATTTTGTTTATTTATTCACAACTTAATGAACATTTGGGTTGTTTTTGGCTTTACTGTATAATGCTGCTATAAATATTCATATACAAGTCTTTGTGTAGACATATGATATTTACTCTTTGGAAGATTTCTATGCATGAATTGCCAGGTTTATGTTTATGTTTAGTGAGTTTAACTTTTTAAGTAACTGCCAAGCTCTTTTCAAAAAGGCTTCACTATTTCCCAATTTTACCAGCAGTGAATAAGATTATAGGTTTTCCACATCCACACCAAAACTTATCTGTTCTTTAAAATTATAGCCATCCTAGTGGGTGCATAATGGTATCACATGGTGGTATTGATTCCCTAATTGTTACTGAAATGCCAGGGGTTTGATCTAGGTCCCATTGTTCTTTGCATAGAAAGCCAATCACTAAGACAACAATTACTGCCAGGGAAGAAGGCTTTACTCAGGTGCTGCAGCCAAGGAGAATAGAAAGTCAGTCTCAAATTCATCTCCCTCACCAACTAAAATCAGGCATTTATATAGCAGGGAAGAAACTAAAACAGGAATTAGAGAAGGTAAAGGAAGAGCTGTTGGTCAACAGAAAGCAGGCGGTTAGATAGGCAATCATGATGGGTGAGGGGTCTTATGTCTTACTGTCCAGATGCAATGATCTGGTAAGTTTTAGTTCCTTAATACTGTCTGGGAGAACTGATAGTTGGTTTCCTCAGAAAGGAACTCAGATAAGACATTTTTAACTTTCATAACTTATAAGACTAGGAGGGTCAATTTCTATGTTTATTTAAAAGAAACCATAAACATCAGTTCTATGGGACAATTGGGCTGGCTTCATAATGACTAATGATGTTGAACATTTTGCATGCACTTATGAGCCTTTTATAAATCTTCAGTGAAATGTTGATTGAAATATTTTGCTTATTTTAAATTTGGGTTGTTTGTCTTTCTGTTCTTGAGTTTTAATGTTTCTTCATGTACATTAGATACAAGATCTTTATTAATTATATAATTTGCAATATTTTCTCCCAGTCTCTGTTTTTCATTTTCTTAGTGATGACTTTTGACATGAGAAAGTTTTTAATCGTGATGAAGCCCAATACATCATTTTTTCTCTCTCATGGGTTATATATTTGTTATAATATCTAAGAATTCTTTGCTTGAACCGGGGACACAAAGATTTTTCTCCTTGTTTCTTTCTAGAAGTTTTCTAGCTTTAGCTCTTACATTTAGGTCTATGATACATTTTGAGTTAATTTTTGTACAGTACACTGTGAGGTAATAACTGAAACCAGTGATTCTCATCTGGGGGCAGTTTTGCTCCTCAGAGCACATGTAACAATGTCAGGAGACAGTTTTGGTTCTCACAACTTCATAAGAGGTGCTGCTGGTATCTAGTGGGTAGAGGTCAGAGATAATACAGAATATCATCCTATTAATACAATGCACAGAACAGCCCCTTGCCACAAAGAATTAATTACTGGCCTCAAATCAATAGTGCCAAGGTTGAGAAATCCTGGAGTAGTAAAATAAGAAGGTAGCATTAATAATACATCAGATAGGCTGGGCGCAGTGACTCATGTCTGTAATCCTAGCACTCTGGGAGGCTGAGGTGGGCAGATCACAAGGTCAGGAGTTCAAGACCAGTCTGGCCAGCATTTTGAAACCCTGTCTCTACTAAAAATACAAAAATTTGCCAGGCATGGTGGGGGGCCTATAGCCCTAGCCACTCGGGAGGCTGAGGCAGCAGAATCACTTGAACCCCAGAAGTGGAGGTTGCAGTGAGCCAACATTGTGCCATTGCACTCCAGCCTGGCTACAGAGCAAGACTCTGTCTTAAGGAAAAAAATAAACATAAAAATAAAAATAAAAATAATACACGGGATATAGACCCAGACATGCCCCTCTGGAAGTGAAACTGTTGATTTTTTGCTGCTTTCCCTGCCCTGGTAGAGTGACCATGGAGCAGCTCCAGGCCAGAACACCAGAGACATCCACTGTTCTTACTTAAAGTTGAGTGGTTTTTCCATCAATAACCACTTCTTAATTGTTTGTATGCCTTTGATCAATTTCCAGAACCCTGAAATGATTGCTTTTGAAAATGTTGCCCTGTTTGTCATTGGTTTTCAGGAGTATTTGCTGCCATATGGAAGTTCCCCACGTTTTGAAAGAAACAAAAAAGTCTATGAACAAAGAAAACATTAAGTGTATATTTGAAAATATATTTATTTATTGATTCAGGAAATATTTATTCAACATTTATAATACAGCAGCTAGTGATGTGGCAAGGGTATACAAAATACCATCCTGACTCTTAAGACGCTTATGATTAAGTGGAGGAGACGGAAAAGTAAATGAGCATGATGCCTAGAGGCTCAGGGGGTGGGTCTGCCTTCAACTCTTGATGTTCTTACTTACTGCTGTGTGATGTTGGGCAAGTTGTTCAAGCTGTCTAAGCCTCAGTTCCCTCATCTGTGAAGTAGGGTAATTAAGAGCATCTACCTCATGTGATTTCTGTGAAGCTATTTTCATGTATGTAAACAGTTTAGCACAGTGCCTAGCATCTAGTAAACACTAAAAAATGGTTCACTTTTCATTTTATAATGTGATCATTGTTATGCTAAGAGTAAGCATGTGATACTGATACAAAGAGGAGACAGGGAAATACTGGGTAGAAGAGGGCAATTCCCTGTTAAAGGCCCCACCCACAAGCCTGGAAACCCACAGCCCTAAATGAGAACAGGCATTCCTGTTTTCAAGCCCAGCTGTTTTCAAGCCCAAAAGTTGTCTTTGGCCCACCATGCCCCCCCTATCCTGTACCCATATAAACTTCAGATCTCAGGGTCCAGAAGCTAGATGACAAGGAGATGAGCAGACGAACGGCGAGTGGCTCAGCGGAGAAGGAGCATCTGAATGCCCAGAGGAGTTCAGCTGGGGATGACTGTAGAGGAGATCAGCTGCTGGATGGCCAAACTCCAGCAGGAAGATCATCTTCCCATTCCATTCCCCCTTCTGGATCCTCATCCATCCCACTGAGAGCCACCTCCACCACTCAGTAAAATCCCTGCATTCATCCTTCAAGTCCATGTGTGACCTGATTCTTCCTGGATGCTGAACAAGGACTTGGGTCCCAAGGGGGTCCACTGAGCTGTTTAACACTTAAGCTATCTGCGAATGGCAGAGCTAAAAAAGCACAGTAACACTGGGGCTTCGGGAGTCACAGGCAACCACCCCTAGATGCTGCCGTGGGGTCAGAGCCCAAAAGTGCTCACCTTGGTTCCCACACTTGCCCATCTGTGTGCTCCCCCATCTCGTAAGGGATTTGAGCTTGTGGTGGCCCAGCCCAAACAGAGAGCCACACCCCTGTCCCATATCCTGTGAGGAGGGCCAGGGAACTCTCCCATCTCAATACTATTATCCAGAAGAAATGATTTTAAAACCGAGATTGGAAGGACAAGTAGGAATTATCAGTGAGTAGGTGGAGAAAATATGCAGGGAAGAGATTTCCAGAAGAGGCCCAGAAGGAAGAGGAACATGACCCAATATGAAGACAGATAAGTGAACAGATTGCACAGGCACTGGAAGCCTTAGAAGGATATGCAAAATAGTTCTTATATTTCATTAGAGCTCAGTCTTTATGATGTATATAAGGGGGAGAAATTGAGTTTGCTCGTTTGTTTTTTGTTCTTACTCCCTTTTCTATTCCCAATTTCCCTATCAAACCTGGACCACCCAGAAGCCACAGTTATACACTCTATATTTAACTCCCTCCCTGCATATCTTAACTAATTGCAGTACAAATTAAGAAAGATGTAATCCCAGCACCTTGGGAGGCCAAGGCTAGAGGATCACTTTAGTCCAGGAGTTTGAGACCAGCCGGGGCAATATATCAAGACTCTATCTCAACAAAAAATAAAAAGTTAGCTGGGCATGGTGGTGGATGCCTGTAGTCCCAGCTACTTGGAAAGTTGAGGTGAGAGGATCGCTTGAGCCTGGGAGATTGAGGCTACATCGAGCCATGATGGTGCCACTGTACTCAGCCTGGGTGACAGAGCAAGACCCTGTCTCAAAAAAAAATTGAGAAAGAAATTGTGTCATATAGATTAGAAATATTGATTACAACCATTCTGCTTTCTCAAAGTAAGATTTTTGTGCCCTTTTCAGTGTGCAGTCCAACAATCACCTCTCATTAGAAACTCATACATATAAGCTTATAAACAACAGAAATTTATTTCTCACAGTTCTGAAGCCTGGGAAATCTATAATCAAGGTGGATTTGGTGTCTGGTGAGGGCCTGCTTTTTGGTTCACAGATGGCCCCTCCTAATGGTTTCACATGGTAGAAGGGGGAGAAAGTTAATTTTGGAAGATGATGTATGTCCCTCAAAATAAGGGAACTCCAAAATGCATCTGTTGAGGAAAGTAATAGAGAAATAAAGCCACAATAGGAAGTGTGTGGCTTTGTTTTTGGCAGCAGCTTTGTTGTGATATCATTCATATACCATATAATTTACTCATCGAAAGTGTACAGTTCCATGGTTTTTAGTATATTCACAGGGTTATGCAACAATTTTAGAACATTTTCATCATCCCACAGAGAAACCCTTTATCCCTTAGCAGTCATCCTCATTTTCCCCATCCTCCCCAGCCCTAGGCAACTACTAATCTACTTTGTGTCTCTCTAGGTTTGCCTATTCTGGACATTTCCTATAAATGGCATTATATAATATGTCATCTTTTGTGACTGCTTTCTTTCACTTAGCTTGTTTTCAAAGGTCTTCCATATTACAGCACCTAACATTCCATTATATGGATATACTACATTTTATTCATTCATTCATCAGTTGATTGACATTTAGATTGTTTTCATTTACCAGTTATTATAAATAAAGCTGCTGTGAACAGTTATGTACAAGCTTTTTTTGTGGACATATTCCTTCATTTCTTTTTGGTGTATAGGAGCGGAATTGCTGGGTCATATTCTAACTCTATGTTTAACCTTTTGAGGAACTGTCAGACAAGATTGGCATATGCGTGTTGTTTTCCAAAGCAGCTGCACCATTTTGTATTCCCACCAGAAAGGTAGAGTTCCAATTTCTCTACATCCTTGATAACACTTGTTATTATCTATCTTTTTGACCATAGCCATCCTAGTGGGTGTGAAGTGGTATCTCATGGGTGTATGTTTTTGTAAATTGTATGTTTCCATTTACAGGAAACGTCTAGAGTGGGCATCTGTAGAGACAGGAAGTAAATGAATGGTTTCCTAAGTGTTTCCCCTTCCCCGCTTTCCTAGGGAAACCTAGGAAACCATTCATCATCCTGGGGGAACTGGGGAGCAATGACCAGAGACTGCTAATGTGGCGTTTCCTTTTGAGGTGATGAAATGTTCTAAGATTGATTATCACATCTGCGAATATACTAAAAGTTACTGAATTGTATGCTTTATGTGGGTGAATTGCCATATTTGTGTGGGTTTATTTCTGGGCTCTCTTTTTTTCTGTTGATCTGTGTGCATATCTCCTTACCAATACAAACTGTCTTAGATGAGTGTCCCTCTTCCACCTTTTTTCTTATTTTTCAAAATGATTTTCGCTGTTCTACTTTTTTCCATTTCCATATAATCTTAGAATCAGCTTGTATATATCTACAAAATTTCCTGCATGGATTTTTGATTGAAATCCGTTAAATCTGTGGGTCATTTTGGGAAGAATTGACATGTTAACTATGTTGAATCTTCCACTTCCTGAACACATTATGTCTCTCCATTTATTTTAGTCTTTTTTGATTTCTTTTTTATCAGTTTTACGGTTTTTGATTTCTTTTATCAACATTTTACAGTACAGATTCTTTACATGTCTTGTTAGACTTATACCAAAGTATTTCACTTTAGGGGGCAGCTATTGTAAATAGCATCACTTTTAGAATTCTTGTTTTCAATTGTTTATTGCTAGTATATAGAAACAGTATTGAATTTTTAATTTTGACTTTGTATCCTATAACGTTAGTTAACTCACTTACTGGTACTTGGACATTTATTTTTGCGGAATTATTGGGATTTTCTACATGAACTTTCATGTCATCCATGAGTAGGGTCAGTTTTCTTTTTTTCTTTTTAATGTGCACATCTTTTATTTTATTTTATATTGTTATTGCCTTGGCTAAGACTGCCAGAATTATGTTGAATAGGAGTGAATGGAATGAAAACCTTTGCCGTCTTGCTGATCTTAGAGCAAAGCACTCAGTGCTTCATTATTATTATTATAGCCTTTTTGATTTTGTCGATTTTTTTATTAGATTGAGTAAATTACCTTTTACTTCTGGTTTGTTGAGAGTGTTTTTCGTAGATGGATTTTGACTGGGGCTGCGATCGCATTGCCTAGGGATTGGTGAAGCAGAACCAGGGACCATGCAAGATTGGCATATGCATCGTTGTGCTGGGGGTTGATGTGTGTTTCCTGCTGGTGCAGTGCTGTGTGGCCATGTGGGTGGGTTATTAGGTGTGCTCAACCAAGCTTGGCTATGGCATCATCCTCTCTTAGGTCATTTTGACTTTAATTTCCGTAATGACTAATTATATTGGGCATCTTTTTATGTGCTTATAGGCTATTTGCATATCTTCTTTGGAGAAATCTCTACTTAGATCTTTTACCCATTTTTAAATTGGGTTGTCACTTTATTATTGCATTATAAGTGTGCTTTATATGGTCTGCAATAAGTTTTTTAACAGATATTTGATTTATACATATTTTCCCATTTTGTAGGTTTTATTTTTACCTTCTTGATGGTGTCTTTTGAATCACCATTTAAAATTTTCACTATAGTTCAATTTATTTTTTCTTTTTTTGCTTGGGTTTTTGGTGTCCTGTTAAAGAAACCACTGCATCATCCAAGGTCATAAAGATTTACCCATTTTTTTTTAATAAAAGTTTCATAGTTTTATATTTTAGTTGAAGACCCATTTTGAGTTAATTTTTGCATATGGTGTTATGTAGGGGTCCAACTTCATTTTTTTGGCATGTGAAAATCCAGTTGTCCTAGAATCATTTGTTGAAAAGACTATTCTTCCTCCCACTGAATTATCTTGGCACCCTTGTCAAAAATCAACGGGTTATAAATGTGAAGGTTTATTTCTTGACTCTTAGTCTGATTCCATTGATCTCCATGTTTACCACCCTTCCAGTACCACAGTCTTGATTATTGTAGCTTTGTAGTAAGTCTTAAAATGGAAAAATGTGAGTCCTCTAACTCTGTTCTCTTTCAAAATCATTTTGGGGGGGAAAGTGTTTTTACTGTATGATAGTGCATGTTTAAGAGGCACTTTAAGGTTAAAAAAATGGCAGGCCTAAATATTTTAATCGTACATTCTTTTTTCTATCCTGGGGCCTTCCAATCAAACAAATCTGACTCAAATGCTGCTCATGCTGTTAAAGATGTGTTCTTCCAGGCCCGGCGCTGTAGCTCACGCCTGTAATCCCAGCACTCTGGGCGGCCGAGGAGGGTGGATCACGAGGTCAGGAGATCGAGACCATCCTGGCTAACACAGTGAAACCCCGTCTCTACTGAACAAAATACAAAAATTAGCCAGGCATGGTGGCGGGCGCCTGTAGTCCCAGCTACTCGGGAGGCGGAGGCAGGAGAATGGCGGGAACCCGGGAGGCGGAGCTTGCAGCGAGCCGAGATCACGCCACTGCACTCCGGCCTGGGCGACAGAGGGAGACTCCATCTCAAACAAACAAACAAACAAACAAACAAACAAACAAACAAAAAGGTCTGTTCGTCCAGTTGCATGTGCTGTAGCAATTTTGCATTCACCTAGCTTATTCTCATCTGCTAATCTTCATTATTAAACCTGCCCAACACTTCATCTTTGGATTTGTGTTCTATTCCGGCCAGCCCCAGATTAACTTTTGAGCTTGAGATTTTCTGTATACATATTTTCCAATTGAGTTTGCTGAAACACTCACACTCTATATTCTTGTTTGTGCTCTGTGTATACTCCTTTTGGAATAAGATCATGCTCCACCTTGAGACATGCCCTGGCATCACTGGGACTCTTTGGACAGTATTCTAAGCTATGTATTGGTATTTTTCTTGTGGCTTGGTGCCTAAGTACATTTCTGATATTCATTTGAAGTTTAACTCTTTTCAACCAGCGGCGAAGAGTTCTGATGTTGAGATAGCACAACCGTGTATTTGTCTATGCAGAAATGCTGCATCTAGTGTTTCTTTTCGGTTTAAATGGATAGGTTAATGTAGTGCAACAGGCCTGCCAGTTCTTTAACCTTCAAGTGTCTCTTAAACATGTACTATCCTACAGTAAAAACATTTTCCCCCCAAAATGATTTTGAAAGAGAACAGAGTTAGAGGACTCTGGTTTAAACTCAACAGTTATGTCCTTTACATGAAGCAGTCAATATGCCTTTCAATTCTCTGGATCTTTATTTTGACTTTGGTTTTGAGGTTAACAATGTTCAATCAAGTTTTATCCCATTTTTAACGAATTTTTTTCTGAAATGGTAAAAAATGATGGAAAACAGGTAATGTATGTCAGTACACTCAGAACCTTATGTGTAGACTTGGGCTAAATGATGGCCCCTTACTCTGAAAACAAAAAGGCAATTGGTTCTCTCTACTGATATAACATATTTGTAGGAGGCAGTCTAACCACTGGAGAGAATACGAGTGTTTATAGAGCCACAGCAGTTGGAACTTACTGCTTTGTAGATAAGAGCCTGTGGGACTTGGAGGGATTTAATCAACATTCCAACTATAAACATTCTCTGTGCCAATTCCAGGTTATATTTAAGTTTCAGGTTCATTTCCCAAGAAGCAAGAGGTTCAGCACTTGTACCAGGATGTTTCGATGTTTCTTTTTTAACCTGGAATCCCAGTTGTTTATCGTTTCTAGAAATCAATGGCATTGTTTTGGAAATGGGAATGGAAAATTCTCCAGAGTCCTGATAAGGTCGGGTCAGGCTCTCCCTGAAGGTTGTTTGAGAGCCCAAGTTTGAATCAGTTGCATGAATAACAATTTTTACTGTGCCAGGGTCAGGATGATTTTTATTCAGCCCAATGCCTCGTCAATCGGCTAGCCTGGCTAAATATAATGAATCTTTTTAAAGGGGCTTACCTACTTGTCCTTGAATTCTTGACTGGGCTGATAAATGGCCCCAGTTGAGGCTCAGTTACCCTGTTTCCAATATTTATGGAGAGAGAAACGTTACAGTTTAGCAAGGCTGTCTTTAGAGATTAACATGCCTGGCCCTTTCTTCTTTCATTTGATTGAGTTCTGTAGATTTTTCAGTGGTTTCTGGAGTGAGCCTCTTTCCAGGCTGTACTAGCTATTCTTTGCCTCCTTCTCCCTTTATCCTTCTTGTACATAAAAAGAAATGAGGTTTTATCCTTTGAATAGAATAATCCACACAGTCTCTGAAACTCTGGTCCCTTAATTTCCACTCTGATTCTGGTTTGACAAGTGGCAATCTGTTTTTTACTCCTTCACATCTTTCCTGGCCATTTTAGAAACACTGAAGTGATTACAAACACAGAGGAAGCCTCCTTAGGAGAACTGACTCAGCAGCCCTCTGCTGAGAGAAAAGGCTATCTCCTTCTCATCCTTCTTTGTGACCAGGGCCAGTAAAATTATCTGTCTTCAGGAAATGCCTTGGCTTGCTGGGAGCACTAATGGGCATGACAATCAATATTGCTTCTACCGATACATCACACTCTTGGTAAGGGATTTCACCAGTAAATTTTCTTTCTCTGGGGATTCAGTCAACAATATTTATACAACACTCACAGCATGTAAAGCATGCATGGTAGTAGACAGGACAAAGAAGCAAGAGAATCACAACGAATGGTTCCTGCTCTTTAGGGCCATCTTTAATAGTTGAGAGATTGATAAGTATATTAGACAGGGTTCTCCAGAGAAAGAGAGGAAGCAAGTGAGAGAGAGAGAGAGAGAGAGAGAGAGAGAGAGAGAGAGAGAGAGAGAGAGAGAGATGAGAGAGGCAGATGAGAGAAAGAGACGAGAAAGAGACAGGGAAAGAGAGAGAGAGAGAGAGAGAAACTGATGGATTTATTATGAGGAATTGTCTCACGTGACTATGCAGGCTAAGTACCAAGATCAGCAGTCAGCAGGCTAGGGACCCAGGAGAGCCAACGGAATCAATTCCAGTCTGTGAGCAGAAGAAGACCAGTGTCCCAAGCAGTCAGGTCAGAGACGTTCCCTCTTGTCCTGTCTTTTGTTCTATTTAGGCCTTCAACTGATTAGAGTGGGCCACCCACATTAGGGAGGACAATCTGCTTTACTCAGTCTACTGATTCGAATATTAATCTCATTCAAAAACATCCTCACCAAGACACCCAGAATAATGTTTAAATAATATTTGGGTCCTTTGTGGCCCAATTAACTAGACACATAAAATTAACCGATACAATAAGTACATGCAGACAAGAACATGAAAAACACCAAGTAACTTATATACAGTTGGCCCTTTGTATCTGTGGATTCTGTATATGTAGATTTAACCAACCTCAGATCAAAAATAATTGAAAAAAAAAGAGTCTGTATTGAAGATGTACAGACTTTTTTTTCTTGTCATTGTCTGCTGAACAATACATATAACAATTATTTACATAGGATTTACATTGTATTAGGTATTATAAGTAATCTAGAGATGATTAAAAATATATAGGAAGATGTGAATGGGTTATATGCAAATACTATGGCATTTTATATAAAGGAGTTAAGCATTCACGGATTTTGGTATCTGAGGGGAGTCTGGAATCAATCCCCCATGGATACCAAGGGACAACGCTTTTGATGTGCATTGTTTGAGCTTGTGTTTAAATGCTGAGTGAGATTAAGCAGCTGTGTGCCCCTTCTCAGGGATATGATGGAGCTCAAAGAGGACAGGACAACATGGCAGCAAGAGCCACTTCCAATTGAATCATGTGGGCATGAGTGGGGACTGCCAGTGAATTCGCCCGGTTGTGGGGATCTAAGGGAGACCTGAGGCCCGGTACTAAGCTGATTTGGAGAACAAAGGGAACAAAGATGTGATCGGCCCACATCTCTGACGTTGAGGAGAATCAGAGGGAAGAGGCTACAGCTGCACTGGGGCCTTTGGTAATAGGATGGCACCGAAGGACAGTTGTATCCAACCAAAGCCTTTATTTACAAAACTGTCCAGGTCTGTCAAGGTTTATGTATCTGGTAACCAAGGCCAAGTGTCTGCTTCCCCTTTAAGAATCTTCTGAATTTTCTGCCGGTTGCAGTGGCTCACGTCTGTAATCCCAGCACTTTGGGAGGCCAAGGCAGGCGGATCACGAGGTCAGGAGATCGAGACCATCCTGGCTAACAAGGTGAAACCCCTTCTCTATTAAAAATGCAAAAAATTAGCCAGGCATGGTGGTGGGCACCTGTAGTTCCAGCTACTCGGGAGGCTGAAGCAGGAGAATGGCGTGAACCCAGGAGGTGGAGCTTGCAGTGTGTCAAGATCACGCCACTGCACTCCAGCCTGGGCGACAGAGCGAGACTCCATCTCAAAGAAAAAAAAAAGAATCCTCTGAATTTTCGATGCCAGGCGTGGTGGCTCACACCTGTAATCCCAGCACTTTGGGAGGCCGAGGCAGGTGGATCACCTGAGGTCAGGAGTTCGAGACCAGCCTGGCCAACGTGGCGAAACCCTGTCTCTACTGAAAATACAAAAATTAGGCAGGTGTGGTGGTGGGTGCCTGTAATCCCAGCTACTCAGGGGGCTGAGGCAGGAGAATAGCTTGAACCTGGAAGGCGGAGATTACAGTGAGTCGAGATCACGCCACTGCACTCCCTCCTGGGCGATAACAGCAAAACTCTGTCTCAAAATAAAATAAAATAAAATAATCCTCTGAATTTTCCTCAAAGAGATAATTATGATTTCAAGGAAAAAGGAGAACTCAGTGACAGCCAGATGCAAATTGGCCCCAGTGAAGACTTGGTCTTTTGCCCTGTGATTCTGTACTTGATTGAGCCTGAGATGAGGCATAGTTTGGATTTGAATACTTTGCACAGGGTTGTGGATAGGGCCTTCAGGGGACAGAGATACAGGTGGCAGGGCAGGGGTGTCATAAGGCAGCTATTGAGAGAAACAGTGTTGTGCTGAGAGTGTATAGTCTGAAGAGGGAGGAGCCGAGGGAAGCTCACAGAAAGCAGACATGTGCAGGTTCCAGAATCGGGAAACCATACAAGCTCAGTATGAGTTACTAACATGCAGTTTCTCGAGGCTAAGATTATAAAGAAATCAAGACTCCAGGTAGTCAAGATCTAATCAGAGAAGTTAAGATGGCAAAAGAAAAAAGGTCTTGGCAAGTCAGCAAGAGGAGACAAAGTTTGCATTCCTTTTTTGTTCTGGGTGACAACTAACCACACATTTCGTAGCTTAAAACAATACACATTTATTATCTCACAGTTTCTGTGGGTTGGAGGTCTGGGAAGAGTTTAGTTGGGTCCTCTTTCCAGGTTATCACAGGCTGTGGTCAAGGGATTGGCTAGAGATACAGTTTCATCTGAGGTTCACAGTCCTATTCCTAGGTCAATGGTTGCTGGCAGAATTTAATTTTTTGGGGCTGTAGGGCTGAAGTCCTCTGCTCCTGCAGACTGCCTCCCATTCCTTGCCCCCTGCACAGCATACTGGTTTCCTTCTTCAAGGCCAGTGGAAGAGCATTTGCTGATGCTTCCTGTCTCTTACCTCTAGATGCTCTTTTAAAGGGCTGACCTAATTAGATCAAGCCCACCTAGGATAATGTACATTTTGATTAACTCACAGTCAATTTATTAGGGACATAAATGACACCTGGAAAGTCCTTTCACCTTTGCCACATAAAGTAATCTAATCACAGAGTGATACTGGTCATATTCACAGATCCCAGACACGCTCGAGGGGTTGGGATTACACAGGGCATGTATACCATGGGCTGATAATCTTGGGGGCCATCTTGGGATTCTGCCTACCACAAAGAGTAATCAATCAAACTAATGTAATCATCTTGACCTTAAGAAACAATTTGGCTCTTCAAGTGCCTTGTATATATATTTCCTGTGAGGTCAATTCTAATTCCAATCACTAGAGTCTGCAGAAAGAGTAGATAACAGACTATACCTATGGGGCCAGAGTGTGTTCAGAGAATGGGAATGCAATAAGTAAGTCTCTTGGGAGGTTGGGAGTGATGTGATGAAAACTGATCTGTTGAAGATGATTTCATCTTCTCTGAGATCAATTTTGGGGATGGAGCAGGGGGTCCGAAATGTAATTTAGAAGTTGTTAGAACAGCCTAGCTCAGAAGATAATTATGTCTATACTTTGTAAAAAATCTCTGGGAAGAGAAGTGTAAGTTGAAACATACAATATATATTTTTGAATTAAATTTATACACATTGGGTATGGATTGGGTTTTGGGGGGTGTGTGGAAAGGAAAGGAGAAATTGGAAATGCCTCTGAGGCTTAAAACTAAAGTACTAGGATGGAAATATCAATTTTTTTCATTTAACATATCTTTTGAGGCCTCTTATGAGCAAAATAATATTAGAAGGAATATAAGGATATTTAGGATATAGTTTCCCTCTTCATGAGCTTGGAGTGTTGTAAAAAAAGAGAGGGTAGGTAAGGAGTCCCCGGTATCAAATGCAATAGAAAGATGGAGAAGATATAGGTCATGAACAGCAGTATTCTCAACGAAGTGGGTAGAAGTGCAAGTCACATCTCAAAAGACAGTAAAAAGAACTGCAGGATATCCATTTGAAAAGCAGGACTGAAAAATGAATTGAAAGGAAAGCAGCATTATATACAGGGCAGTAAAGCAAATGATTTCCTTTGGAGTTTGGAAAGAGTACAACAGTACTTAAATGACACTTATTATTATTTTTAATGATAAGGCTCCAGAGTAATTTGAACTTGTATTTGTCAAAAGAAAAACTGTAGACAAATTAAATTTAACAGAGTTCAGTTGAGCAAAGAACGATTTGAGAATCAGGTAGCCCCCGACCAGAATAAGTTCAGAGAGACTCCAGTGCTACCAAGTGGTTAAAGGAGAATTTATGAACAGAAAAAGGAAAATCATGGACAGAAAACAGAAACAAGGTATGGGAACAGCCAGAATGGTTGCACTTGGGTGTTTGTCTTAGGTGATGGTAAAATTAAGTGTCAACTTGATTGAAGAATGCCTATATGGCTTTGGTAAGGTATCCTTTCTGGTGTGTCTGTGAAGGTGTTGCCGGAGCAGATTGACATTTGAGTCAGTGGACTGGGAGAGGAAGACCCACACTCAATGTGGGTGAGCACCATCCAATCAGCTGCCAGCGCGCAGCTAGAACAAAGCAGGTGGAGGAAGGTGGGATCAGCTGGCTTGCTGAGTCTTCCTGCTTTCGTCTTTCTCCAGTGCTGGATGCTTCCTTCTGTTCCTCCTGCCCTTGACATAAAACTGCAGGTTCTTCAGCCTTTGGACTTACAGTGGTTTGCTGGAGGCTCTCAGGCCTTTGGCCACAGACTGAAGGCTACAATGCTGGCTTCCCTACTTTTGAGGCTTTGGACTCAGACTGAGCCACTATGGGCTTCCTTGCTCCCCAGCTTGCAGACGGCCTATTATGGGACTTCGCCTTGTGATCATGTGAGCCAACTGTCCTTAATAAACTCTTTCATATACACATATATCCTATGAGTTCTGTCCCTCTGGAGAACCCTAATACACCTTATTTGAACCCAGTTTGAACAGTTTTAATTGTTTGAAACTTGGTGAGTCTGGTCAAACATCCAGTTTGGTTACAGTTCATGATGTATGAAGAAACCTTTAAAATATGTAAATAGGCAGCTTTAGGCTAAACTTTTAACAGATTCAAACAGATACCCACAGTAGGACTCTTACCACTGTAAAGAGTGCAGATATTCATCCATATTCTCAAAATGGCTGTTTGGGATGCCATTCTAAGCTACTCCGTCACTCATGTAGGACTCCATTTTAAGCATCTGAATAGTCAAATGCCTCTAGAGAAAGGAAGCTCACAATTTTCTATTTAGATAATTTTGTTGTTGAACGGTTTTATTAAGTTTTCATTTCCCACCTAAGAGACTTACTTTTACAATAAAAAAATTTCTTGTTCAGCATACCTGCACTAAACTAGAAAAAAGGCTCCCAGGTACTTGTCTTCGGGAAAAATGCCCATCAGAGCACTCTTCACTGGGAGAAAAAAACCGAAGGTCTCTTTTTCCAAGGATAGTGGCTCCTCCAAACCGAGGATTGTATAGTAAATGCACCTGTTAGCAGTAACATACACTTATGCTGAGAATTACCCTGTATGGCAGATGTACCTGAATGTGAGTTCTGAGCTACGTAATCTGGGACTGGCTGACCAAGAGATTTGTTCTTTGTCTATGAGGAACATCTGAGCCCCCATCCCATAATGGAGGTTCCGAGTTTTGGGTTGAAG
This sequence comes from Homo sapiens, assembly GCF_000001405.40. NCBI lineage: Eukaryota > Metazoa > Chordata > Mammalia > Primates > Hominidae > Homo > Homo sapiens. The sequence continues at coordinate 33,884,304 of NC_000002.12, forward strand.
ATTGCCAGGTAGAGGTTATTAGGGAAAGGGTGCTAAGTGAAAATGACACACAAACTACATGCCTTTTGCAGGTGGCTGTGGTTCTCTTGTCCAGCCTGCCGCCACTGGACTCTCTCCCCTCCACATAGCCTTCAGTAAAACCCCATGTCTTGTTTTGTGGCTCCGGGTCTCTTCCTTGGCCTCTTGAACCTGGTGCCATCCCCACTGGAGTTGATAGGAATTTGGCATAACCAGGATTTCTGCTCCCTCTGATATGGTGTAATCAAGCAAGGATCGTCTTCAGGATGCTGATCTCTTTGCTTTTATCCCTAGCCTGTTGCCCTGTGATATGATTTGGGTCTGTGTCCCCACCCAAATCTCATCTCAAATTGTAATCCCCAGGTGTTGAGGGAGGGAAGTGATTGGATCATGAAGGCGGTTTTCCCCATGCTGTTCTCGTGATAGTGAGGGAGTTCTCATGAGATCTGATGGTTGTAAAGTGTCTTGGCATTTCCCCTGCTTGCACTCACTCCCTCCTGCCGCCTTGAGAAGAAAGTGTCTGCTTCCATTTTGCCTTCTGCCATGCAGAAGGCAACACTATAAAATAGTGTTAGTCACCAAGCCTCAAAGGAGGAGGGAACTGGGTAGTATATAATGGGGTGTGGGTGCCTGTGTGTGTGTGTGTTTGTGCGCGTGTAAGTTTCCTGAGGCCTCCCCAGGCATGCAGAACTGTGACCTAATTAAACCTCTTTCCTTTATAAATTACTCAGTCTCAGGTATTTCTTTATAGCAATGCAAAAATGGACTAATAAAGACACCATCTCTCAATGGCCACCATTGGTGACATTTTCTAAATGTAGACTATAGCTACAGGAATTATATAGTCTATATTCTCTCACAGTCTAACTCTCTCTTTCTCTCTATATATAACCCACATGTAATATTAGCCTTATCTTTTTTTTTGAGATGGAGTCTCGCTCTGTTGCCCAGGCTGGAGTGCAGTGGCACGATCTCGGCCCACTGCAAGCTCTGCCTCCTGGGTTCACGCCATTCTCCTGCCTCAGCCTCCCGAGTAGCTGGGACTGTAGGTGCCTGCCATCACGCCTGGCTAATTTTTTTGTATTTTTAAGTAGAGATGGGGTTTCACCGTGTTAGCCAGGATGGTCTCGATATCCTGACCTCATGATCCGCCTGCCTCGGCCTCCCGATGTGCCGGGATTACAGGCGTGAGCCACCACACCTGGCCCAATATTAGCCTTATCTTAAACAATACAAACTCGGCCGGGTGTGGTGGCTCATGCCTGTAATCCCAGCACTTTGGGAGGCTGAGGTGGGTGGATCACCTGAGGTCGGGATTTCGAGACCAGCCTGACCAACATGGAGAAATGCCCTGTATACTAAAAATACAAAATTAGCCGGGTGTGGTGGCACATGCCTGTAATCCCAGCTACTTGGGAGGCTGAGGCAGGAGAATCACTTGAACCCAGGAGGCAGAGGTTGCAGTGAGCCGAGATCATGCCATTGCACTCCAGCTGGGGCAACAAGAGTGAAACTCCATTTCAAAAAAAGAAAAAAACCTCATTTTAGATGTCTGTTTGAATTGTAGTCTTGCTTGAAAAATAATGTTGTGTTAGCTAGTTAATTCAGTCTCATCTGATATCAAAAATTTGAAATTAGTCTGAGAAATCTGCTTTCGAAATACAAGTGCCCTATTTTATTTTGTAGATGTTTCCAGATTTACTGAGTAGTTTATCTTTAATTAATGTCAGTAATGAATTTAAAATTGGGAAAAATCAAGCAAAAATGACAGGCAATAAAAATATAACTCTGAAGTATCATTTATTATAACTATTATGGAGAGATATTTTGATAAAGTTTGCATGCAATAAAATGTGAATCTTGTATAGCAGATACCAGAACACCAGTGAAATTTTGGGATTTCAAGAGGGGATTAGTTAATGATGACTTGAAAATGTATTCTAGCAAGTACCAAAGTGCCTTATGACAAATTGATCAGTATGAAGTAGTAATTATTATGTTCCACAACTCCGGAGCCTACTAAACTAACAAATGTAACTTTCTCCCACAGAACCCAGAACAGCAAGATTTTAGGAATTATTGGAAAAGCATTTTTTGAACTGTGTGTTCATCTTAAAAGCCAAATTCTCCCTCCCTTCAAAGGACAGCATGAGGTAAACTATTATATCAGGCTGGAAGAAGACATAATGCTTTTCTCAAAGTGTAAAGTGGGTCTACTGAGGTCTGGTGAACCAAAGCAATATAAAAACTTTCCTGCTTCAACTCAGAGAAATCTAACTCAGGTATTCTTTGCCAAAAGGTAATAAAATAGTGTTAGTCACCAAGCCTCAAAGGAGGAGGGAACTGGGTAGTATATAATGGGGTGTAGGTGCCTGTGTGTGTGTGTGTGTATGTGTGTGTGTGTACGTGCATATATGGTGTTATAACTAAATGAAAATAGGTAACTCTTGGTCTAGAGAGTAGGAATTTCCTAAATAGTAGTACTATCTTGTAACTTTTTTTTTTTTTGAGACAGAATCTCACTCTGTTGCCCAGACTGGAGTGCAGTGGTGTGATCTTGGCTCACTGCAACCTCTACCTCCTGGGTTCATGCCATTGTCCTGCCTCAGCCTCTCCAGTAGGTGGGACTACAATCGCCCGCCACCACGCCCAGCTAATGTTTCGTGTTTTTAGTAGAGACGGGGTTTCACCGTGTTGGCCAGGATGGTCTCGATCTCCTGACCTTGTGATCCGCCTGCCTTGGCCTCCCAAAGTGCTGGGATTACAGACGTGAGCCACTGCAACCGGCAGAAAAGTACCTATTTTTGTAATGATTCTTTATATTTTGTAACTCAGAGATTTCACTAAGTTAGAGTATCTTTCCTCTTTAGTCAAGGTTTATTAATGAGAATGTTGTTAAACTATAAGATTAGTTCAACAGGAATGGCTTTTAACTTGGTCAGACACATACTCATTGTATTTCATATGTAGTATTCAGATAAGAACGAGTGTACAGATATTTGTATGTACCACAAAATTAGATTATGAGTTATCTGCTATATTAAAAAGAAGTGTATATCAGTGATTACTGGCTTTATCTGGACAAATTAAGCCTGCCTGGAGTTTTTCTAACAATAAGATCTGTTAATTAGCTCAGCTCCACACAGCTTGGTTAAGCTTGCAAATAATAGACCTATTGCCCATTGACTCCGTCCTGTTCTAATTCAGAAAGAGAGCTATCTCAGATCCTAGAATCAGAAAATCATTACCTAAAGAGACTTATTTTGACTTTCAATCCAAAGAGTTTGATGGATTCCAAACATTTTTGCCAGTGTTCTTAACTTACCTGGCCAGAATGGAAAAGGGTTTGGATGATGCAGGCATCCCATCATCACCCTTGAGAAAATCTTTGGAGTCCTTCTGGTTAAGAGGAGAAAGCCAAGATTTTTCAGGCTGTGGATGAGTTAAGAAGCATTATCCCATGGTCTCCTGTGGTCATCTCCCAAATCCTATTTTGTGTCTCATAGAGCCCTTGGAAAGATTTCTGTGCTGGCTCTCCCCCTTCCACATTTGTGTGCTGTAGTCATCCTACCTTCCCTGGTTGCAAGCAGTTGGAGTTTTGTTCTCCCTACTGTGTGGGGACTGGCATAGCTCTGCTTCCATGAGGAAGAGGCCCAGGGTCTCTCCTGCAGCTACTGCATGCCTGGAACATAGACTCCAGCCCCCAGGCTCACTGACCTCCTAAGTGTGTGTGTGTCTGTGTCTGTGGTAATTCTCTACCTCTATTCTATAGGGATATGACATCAGTGCTTAGGACCTAACACAGTGTCTTAGGCTGAAGGAAAACATCTACAATTCATTATTATGTGGAATGGTAGATCATCTGAAATCCACATGCAGCCATTGCTCCTATAGCTCCAGCTTTCATAATGCAAATTGATTATAACAGGATTGAATCATCAAAGGGCGCAATTTGTATTCTGAGGACCAGCATATGTTATAACTTGAACATACCTGGAAATGAACATTATTGCTGGAGGAAGGGGATATGGTAGAGGTGTCAAGTGCTTCCTTTGAATAGGTCTTTGCTTTGTTTTTCACAATGACTGGACAATGAGAAAATGAGAAAGTAGAGAAAGCTTGTGCTGATGGGTAGCTCACAGTTGGGAAAAGGAATGACTTTCATGTGGCCCTCAGCTAGATGTAGTCAAGGGCAGCAACATGCACTCAGCTATTTGGATTATATAAGCTGTGAAAAAACACTCCTGCTAGAAAAGTGAAGCTTATATTAATAGCTTGAAGCCCTCTATCCCCTAGTCTTGCTGATGTTCATTTAAAAACAGAATGCACTCAGGCCAGGTGCAGTGGCTCACACCTGTAATCCTAGCACTTTGGGAGGCTGAGGTGGGTGGTTTGCCTGAGCTCAGGAGTTCCAGACCAGCCTGGGCAACACAGTGAAAAACCCCATCTCTACTAAAATACAAAAACTTATCCAGGCGTGGTGGTGCGCACCTGTAGTCCCAGCTACTGGGGAGGCTGAGGCACAATAATCACTTGACCCAGGGAGACAGAGGTTGCAGCGAGCCAAGATTGCACCACTGCACTCCAGCCTGGACAACAGAGTGAGACTTGGTCTCCACAAAAACAAACAAACAAAACAAAAACCAAAAACAAAACCAGAATGCACTTACTTCCTACTATGTGCCAGGCCCCAGGGACATACTGTTGAGCAAAATTAATTGTATTCAAATACAGTTTTTGTTAATGCATGCCATTTTAGGACTTTAAGTATATTTAGGAACAGGAGGTTGTTTGGAGGCCACCATTCTCTCACAACAGCAAAACAGACTATGTTTCGAATTCGGAAACTCCCCAAATGCACTCTGGATCTCCTATATTTTCTTTTTTTTTCCTTTCTCTACTTTTAATGGACGCAGCTTGACAAGCATTAACTGAGTACTCACCATGGTCTGGAACCCTTAAAAAATCTGGGGAGAAGGAGATAAAGATGGTCCAGTTCTTAGTTTTATGGAGCTCACAGTCTATCAGGCATTATTTAATGAAGAAATAATGAATTGGGCTGGGAGCAGTAGGGTCACAATCTATCAGACTTTAATTGATAAATAAATAATAACGGGCTCACGCTTGTAATCCCAGCACTTTGGGAGGCTGAGGCAGGTGGATCATGAGGTCAGGAGTTCAAGACAAGCCTGGCCAACATGATGAAACCCCATCTCTACTAAAAATACAAAAATTATCCAGGCATGGTGGCATGCACCTGTAATCCCAGCTGCTTGGGAGGCTGAGGCAGGAGAATCGCTTGAAACCGGACGGCGGAGGTTGCAGTGAGCTGAGATCGTGCCACTGTACTCCAGCCTGGGCGAAAGAATAAAACTCTGTCACAAAAAAAAAGAAAAGAAAAAAAAAGAAATAATAAATTGCACCATGATGAGATAAAGGCAGGAACAGAGATCTACATAAAGCCCTTCAGAGGGTAAGCTACATGTTACAGAGCCAGGAAAGTGTGAAGAAGTCTCACCAAAGCAAATGAGATAATAATATCTAACTTACAGGTTTGTTTTCGGAATCGAGTGAGATACTCTATAACACTCAGCACATGATAATCCTACACTTATGCTAGTTACTATGATGATGACAGGTTAACCTTGTTTCTTATTATTCTTGGACTAAATACATTTTATCTTAAAACTATCTCAATACTCTTAGACTACTGAACTACTGTCTAATTTCTTCTTAATCTCTCTCTAAAACTTCCTCCTTCTCTATTTTTTTCTCTCACTCTAGAATACTTCTCTATCAACTTGACTAAATTAAAGCAAAAGACTCAAGGCAGGGCTGAAGTGGAAAGTGGAATTGGGAAAATGAAGGCAAATGGAAATTAGAATATTACAATTCTACATGCATTTTTGATTATCCACAGAAATTGGAAATCATATAAGGAAATTGAGATGTTTCTCTTCTGCTGTATCTGACAATAATATCTGCCACTGGGGACTGGACTGCGTTTTCCAGTCCACAAATGGAAAACTTGGGACACATCATTCTCAGCATGTTCATAGTATTTGAGTGGGAAGGCTACAGCTAGATTTAGAATAATAGAATTAATTTGTACTTACAAGAGTTTTGTAGAAAGGTACTTAGTATAATTTCCAAATGTAATATATAAAATATATTTTTCTGGAGGTAAACAATCTCGGGATAGTGATGCACTGTGTGCATGTAAGTAAATACCATCTTTGAAAAGTATTTAGGGCATTAACAAACTGCATGAAAATGAGCAAATATAGTTACAGTCTTACTCTATGACATTTAGTATCGTTTTTCTAAAACATTGAAAATAAGTAAGAGGCAATGTTGTATAAATGTTAAGAGAGCAAAGTCTATCACTAGTTATGTGACCTTGAAGCATCAGATTCTTAAACCCTAAAAGTGAGAGGTGAAGCCAGCTGGACTTCCTGGGTTGAGTGGGGACTTGGAGAACTTTTCTCTTACAAGAGGATTGTAAAATGCACCAGTCAGCACTCTGCAAAATGCATCAATCAGCACTCTGTAAAATGTACCAATCAGCATTCTGCAAAATGCACCAATCGGCGCTCTGTAAAACGCACCAGTCAGCGGTCTATAAAACGCACCAATCAGCGCTCTGTAAAATGCACCAATCAGCAGGAGTCTAAAGGTAGCCAATTGTGGGAAGGACTGAATAAAGGGCACTCTGATAGGACAGAAACAGAACATGGGAAGGGACAAATAAGGGAATAAAACTGGCCACCCCAGCCGGCAGTGGCAACCCACTTGGGTGCCGTGAAAGCTTTGTTCTTTCGGTCTTCACAGTAGATCTTGCTGCTGCTCACTTTTTGGGTCTGTGCCATCTTTAAGAGTTGTAACACTCACCTCAAAGGTCTGCAGCTCCATTCTTGAAGTCAAGGAGACCACGAACCCCCCAGAAGGAACCAACTCTGGACACAAAAGGAAAGGAATAGCAGTTATGTCTCAGGGTTTTTTGAGGATCAAACTGGAAAATGCTGTCAACTATAGTTATTAGTATACAGTAAGTGCTCAGCAGATTTTAGTTGTCATCAAATTATGTAGCATCTATCATTATCAAGTAACATCTGAACATGATGTGGACCATTCATATCCTAAAGACATAGGTGTTACCTTGTTATAATAATGCTCTGTTTCACTTTTCAGTGTTTTTGAGGATAAGGAAAATAAGTATGGTAATGTTTCTGTATGACTTTTTAGTTTAAGAAACCCTTTGCTTTATGGATTTCTGGATGTGTTCCAGGACTTGGGGACGGGGGACGTGGCTTTTCCCATTACTTCTGCCACAAAAGTCTTACCTGGCACTCAACCTAATTTAAATGTACTAGGTGGGTCCTGGCCCTGTAGCTCATTTGGGTCTGTTATAAAATCAACACTCCCTCTGCAACTCAGGCAGTCTGCCTCAGAGGAGACGAAGCCAGCAGAAATGCATGCTGCCTGCCAATGTGGGGCTTGTCTTGGAGTCTGAACAGAAGGAAACTTCTCTATGTTTGTGCCAGGTTTTAGTGGTAGCATTTTGGGTCATGTTGTACAAACGTGACACTTAGGATCTGAGTTGGAAATCCATGCTCTTAGACTCTGCCACACCTGCCTGCCTTCCCAGGTGGTTGGAGGAGTTGAGAGACCTGGTTAGTTTTATTCTTTATATATGAGTTTGTATTCTACAGGAAAGAAGCTTCTAGAAGTGCCACTTCCAGAAGTAAGCAGCCAGAAGCGTAGGAGGAAAAGGAATAAATCTTGATCAATGTATTGAAAATTATTGATCTCTGAGGACTTTGTTGTTATTGTTTCAGATTGGCCTGGCGAAATGTGCAGAATGCCTTAAAGCTTCTATTCATCTTTCATCTGTTAATTAGCTGTTACCCTGCCTGCATGTATTATGATCAGTGCTGTCATCCTCTGTTTCACAAGGACATGGAGTGAATAGTGTTAGGGGCCCTAAGTGCTCATAAGAGTGGAGCTCTAGCCTATACTATGTGATGCGATGGAGCAGCTGGTGAGATGTGGTGAAAGTTTAAGCAGCATTTTTCCAACACAGGCCCTCTGACATTTTAATTTGTCTACATGCCGATTCTGAATCAGTAATTTTGACTAAATTGACTTATCAAGTCATTAAAAAATCAGTTACACATAGTTTTTGTTTATTTCATGGCTGTCTGAATCAGCTAAGTCGATTGTCTTATTACAAAGTAAAATGGGCTGGGCGTGGTGGCTCACACCTGTAATCCCAGCACTTTGGGAGGCCGAGGCGGGCGGATCACGAGGTCAGGAGATCAAGACCATCCTGGCTAACATGGTGAAACCCCATCTCTACTAAAAATACAAAAAAATTAGCCGGGTGTGGTGGCGGGCGCCTGTAGTCCCAGCTACTTGGGAGGCTAAGGCAGGAGAATGGCGTGAACCTGGGAGGCGAAGCTTGCAGTGAGCCGGGATGGCACCACTGCACTCCAGCCTGGGCGACAGAGTGAGACTCCATCTCAAAACAAAGGAAAACAAAAAAAGGCAAAATGGCATTTTTTTTTTTTTTTTACAACAGCCAAATGGAAAGAGAACAGAACAGAATCCAAGCCTCATTTTCTTTATTAGTCAAATATGGGATTTATGCTTGCATCCGGGAGGCGGAGGTTGCAGTGAGCTGAGATTGCGCCACTGCACTCCAGCCTGGGTGACAGAGTGAGACTCCATTTCAAAAAAAAAAAAAGAAAAAAGAAAAGGGATTTAATACGAATGTCACAGGTCTTAATAAGATAATGTTAATAAGGAAATAAGTGAAAGTGCTTTATAAACTATACAGCCCAGTATGAAAGTAAGGTGTTAGATTTAACAATATGTCATTAGGCTCATTAGGTTATTTTCTTGAGGCTTTTCCTGCTTCATTTCCATTAAATATTCCAATTCATTTGGAGCTTTCAGCACATGCATAGGTTACATTTATTACTAAAGCTATGTTTTTTTTTTTTTTTTTTTTTTTTTTTTTGAGTCAGGGTCTTGTTCTATCACTCAGGCTGGAGTACAGTGGTGTGACCACGGCTCACTGCAGCCTCGAACTCCTGGGCTCAAGTGATCTACGATCTACCTGCCTTAGCCTCTTGAGTAGCTGGGACCACAGGCACGTGCCAACACATGTGACTAATTTATTTTTCATTTGTGGAGATGAGTTCTCACTATGTTACCCAGGCTGCTTCTGGACTCTTCAGATACATATCCACAATTACAATTTAACAAACGAGAGTGAGACAGTAAGACACTTTTTATGTTGTGGGATGGAACCCAGCTGCCAGTTACCTTGACCCTCAAATTCTCATTCTCATCCCCATCTCCATCCCTATCTCCAAAGCGAAGCTATGTCTCCTTAAAGCTGATATTTTTGGAGCTTTCTTATTCCCCATCCCTATGAATGTGATTTTAAAAAACATTTAGAAAAATTATATGAGCTGTAGTGCCAAAAAGAAGTCCAGAAATGTAAGACTACTGAACTGACACTATGAATATGTTTATTTCCTTGTGATATTTTTGCTTCATGTTCATAGCTGATAGCAACAGATACGTGCAAGTAAGGGTGTGGGACTTGTTTTCAGCTGGCATTCATTCTTAGTGGTTGGTGCCAATGGTACCAATTGTTACAATGTTACACATGTCATTTGTATCTATATTTAGACTAATAACCTCCCACTCCCCTTCCCTCCCCTGTCATCTAAACAAGCCACCTTATCTTAGCTTCTCCCAGGCCCCTTCTAATAATACCAGGTCCCCATCACCAAGGGTGACAGGAATGTGTCAAAGACATCTTTATGCCCTAAAATAAATTTTTAAAAGTTCAAGTTTATTGTTTCACTAAAGAATGCAAACCCAGACAACTTCCATGGGAAAATAAACTTTTTTTTCTACTTTTCAAAATAAACCTTCAAGTTGAAAAATCAAACCCTGCCTGTGAGTTAGTGTTGAAAGTTTATAAAGACAATTATTTTGCAATTAGTGTCTGTAGAACTTGTTGGAATTACAAAGGACAATGACAACTGACTTCTTTATTTTGCAAAACTAAGGAGGCTAGCGTTTGCCAACGCTTTTTATGTGTACATCTTGTCTAACTGAAGTCTTTTAGTTAATTTTGTCTTAGAGTTCTTTGGTGTCCTTTGTAGTTACTGAGAAGCTTGGCTTTAAGCTGCATCCTACTCTTCTGTTCTGCATGTGAATGGCCAGATCCAGAAATATACCTGTGTTTAGATCCAGAAAATATACCTGTGTCAGAGGTGTATGAACCAGAGCAACTCCATCTTGAATAGGGGCTGGGTAAAATGAGGCTGAGACCTACTGGGCTGCATTCCCAGACAGTTAAAGCATTCTAAGTCAGGATGAGACAGGAGGTCGGCACAAGGTACAGGTCACAAAGAACTTGCTGATGAAACAGGTTGCAATAGGCTGGGTGCAGTGGCTCACGCCTGTAATTTCAGCACTTTGGGAGGCCGAGGTGGGTGGATCACCTGAGGTCAGGAGTTCAAGACCAGCTGGCCAACATGGTGAAACCTCGTCTCTACTAAAAATACAAAAATTAGCTGGGCATGGTGGGCGCCTGTAATCCCAGCTACTCGGGAGGCTGAGACAGGAGAAATCACTTGAACCCAGGAGGCAAAGGTTGCAGTGAGCCAAGATTGCGCCATTGCACTCCAGCCTGGGTAAGAAGAGTGAAACTCCATCTCAAACAAAACAAAACAGGTTGCAATAAAGAAGCCAGCCAAAACCCACCAAAACCAAGATGGCGATGAGAGTGACCTCTGGTTGTCCTCATTGCTACACTCCCACTAGCACCATGACAGTTGACAAATACCGTGGCAATGTCAGGAAGTTACCCTATATGGTCTAAAAGGGGAGGCATGAATAATCCACCCCTTATTTAGCATATAATCAAGAAATACCCATAAAAATGGGCAACTAGCTGGGCGCAGTGGCTCACACCTATAATCCGAGCACTTTGGGAGGCTGAGGCGGGCGGATCACGAGGTCAGGAGATCGAGACCATCCTGGCTAAAGCGGTGAAACGCCGTCTCTACTAAAAATACAAAAAATTAGCCAGGCGTAGTGGCGGGCACCTGTAGTCCCAGCTACTTGGGAGGCTGAGGCAGGAGAATGGCGTGAACCCCGGAGGCAGAGCTTGCAGTGAGCCGAGATTGCGCCACTGCACTCCAGCCTGGGTGACAGAGCAAGACTCCATCTCAAAAAAAAAAAAAAAAAAAGCAAGCAGCAGCCCTCGGGGCTGCTCTGTCATTGGAGTAGTCATTCTTTTATTCCTCTACTTTCTTAATAAACTTGCTTTCACTTTATGGACTCACACTGAATTTGTTCTTGTGCAAGATCCGAGAACTCTCTCTTCCAGTCTGGATCCAGACCCCTTTCCAGTAATACTTGTGGTCATTTTGTTTTTCCTGAAAAGGTTACTGTAAAGGGCTGAATAATGGCTCCCAAAGATGTCCAGATACTAATTTCTGGAAACTGTCAATGTTTTTGATACCAAAGGGACCTTCAAGATATGATTTAGTTCAGGATCTCAAGATGGAGGAATTATCCTGGAGCATTTGAGTGGCTCTAAAGGTAATCATATGTGTCCTTATAAGAGGATAATGGAAGGAGATGTTACTCAGAAGAAAAGTAGGAGATGTGACAATGGAAGTGAGAGATTGGAGTGACTCATGGAAAGGGACATGAGTCAAGGAATGTAGGAGGCCCCCAAAAGCTAGAAAAGCAAGTAAATAAATTCTCCTCTGGAGTCTACAGAAGGAACCAGCCCTGCCAGCCGTTAGACTTCTGACTTCCAGAACTGTGAGAGAATGCATTTGTATTATTCTAAACCACCAAAAGTGTGATAATTTGTTACAACAGCCATGGGACACTGATACAGGCACAACTTTTCCCTTCCCTTTGGAATCAGTTTCACCACCAGGACCAACAGATTTATGTGGGAAATTACGGCACACAGGTAGGCCATTTCCTTGGAGAATGGAGCCTGCCTAGGGAGAGAAAAGAGGCCACATTTGTTGTTTTCCTTATGTTCTTTTCTTTCCTCTCATGCAAATTGAGTGCTCAAGGTTTTAGGGTTCCATCGTGGACAGTGCTCTTACCCTTGGAGGACCAAATAGGATCAGAGTGGTGTCTGGAACAATGCCAGAACTGAGGGCCTGCTTGGGGTTTCTTACCTGTAGCCTTTGAGCATCTGGTAAGATGAAGGCTAAAAAGGCTGGGTGCCTGGCTCATGCCTGTAATCCCAGCACTTTGGGAAGCCGAGGTGGGAGGATTGCTTGAGCTTGAGTTCGAGACTAGCCTGGGCAACATAGTGAGACCCCCATCTCTACAAAAAATTAAAAAAATTAGCTGGGCCTGGTGACACATGCCTATAGTCCTAGCTACTAGGGAAGAGGGAGGATTGCTTCAACCCAGACAGGGGAGGATGCAGTGATCTGTGTTTGGAGCACTGCACTCCAACCTGAGCAAAAGAGCGAGAACCTGTCTCAAAAAACAAAAGACAAAAAGATGAAGGCTAAAAACCTGTGAGGATATTAAGAAGTGAAAAAGCCACTTACAGGAAAAGCTGACAATTGACAAAAGTTGCAAATGCTGTGTTTGAGGGGAAGCTCTCTTCTGCCTTGCCCCTGCTGGGCACAATTTTATTAGGACAAAAGCCACAAAGAAAACCAAATCAACATAAAACTCATTAAGTCAGTTTTTTTTAACCGTAATCTTTGTAGTGGACTGATTAGTGTCCCCTAAATTCATGTCCACGGGAATCTAAAAGAGTTGAACTCACAGAATCTGAGAGTAGAATGGTGTTACTAGGGACCTACGGACAGGGGAAAGGTAGTGGAGGAGATGTTGGTCTAAGGATACAAAATTTCAGCTAAACAAGAATCAGTTCAAGAGATCTATTGTGCATCACACGGTGACTATAGTTAGTAACAGTGTATTCTTAAAAATCACTGAGAGTTGATTTTTTTTTTTTTTTGAGACAGAGTCTCGCTCTGTTGCCCAGGCTGGAGTGCAGTGGCGCAATCTCAGCTCACTGCAAGCTCCGCTTCCCAGGTTCATGCCATTCTCCTGCCTCAGCCTCCCGAATAGCTGAGACTACAGGTACCCACCACCATGCCTAGCTACTTTTTTTGTATTTTTAGTAGAGACGGGGTTTCACCATGTTAGCCAGGATGGTCTCGATCTCCTGACCTTGTGATCTGCCCGCCTCGGCCTCCGAAAGTGCTGGGATTACAGGCATGAGCCACTGCACCTGGCCCACTGAGAGTAGATTTTAAATGTTGTCACAACAAAAAATAAGTATGTGAGGTAACGCATGTTACCAGAACACCAGGGGTTCAGTCTAGGTGCTGCTGCATGGCTCACAGAAAGCCAATGACTGGGATGAGGGGTATGGCCAAGGAAGAAGGCTTATTTGGGTGCTGTGGCCAAGGACATGGCAGCTCAGTCTCAAATCTATCTCTCTGACTTACTGATACTAGGGGTTTATAGCAAGGAAGAAATGTAACAATGCGTAAGAAAACAGGAACTAGGGAGGGGAAGGAAGCAATCATGATGAATGGGGATTCCAGCATGTCATTGTCCAGATGTAGTGATCTTATGAATTTCAGTTTTTTGATACTTTTTTTTGAGAGGCCTAAAGATCATTTCCTGAGAAAGACAAAACAAATGTAAGTTTCAAGCTTTAAGGCCAGAAGATTCAACTTTCATGTTTATAAATAATAAAAAAGATCTATGAGAATATCAGGTTGGCTTCCCATATGTTAATTAGCTAATTTTAGCCATTTTGCAGCATATACAAATTTTAAAACATGTTTTTACACTATATATGCAGACATTTTTGTTAATTAAAAATAAATTAATTGAAAAAATTCACATCCACCTGGGACCTCAGAATGTCACCTAGTTGGAAATAGGAGGTCTTTGCAGATGTAATTAGTTAAGGATCTGAACTTGATATCATACTGGATTTAGCGTGGACCTTAATTAAATCCAATGAATGGCATCTTTATAAGAAGAGGGGAGGGGACACAGACACAGAGAGATGGAGGCCATGTGAAGACAGGCAGAACTGAGAGTGATGTAGCTGCCAGGCAAGCAATGCCAAGGATTGCTGGGAGCCATCAGAGACTGGGAAGAGGCAGGAAGAATACTTCCTTAGAGCCTTCGTAGGGATCATGGCCCTAACACAAACTTGATTTTGGACTTCTAGCCCTCAGAACTGTGAGAGAATAAATTTCTTATGGTTTAAGCCACCAATTTGGTGGTAATTTGCTATAGCAGCCCTAGGAAATGAACATCTTCTTATAGCAAAGATGTCCTTTCCTTTCTTTCTTTCTTTTTTTCTTTTTTCTTTTTGAGATGGAGTCTTGCTCCGTCACGCAGGCTGGAGTGCAGTGGCATGATCGCGGTTCACTGCAACCTCTGCCTCCTGGGTTCAAGCACTTCTCCTGTCGCAGCCTCCCGAGTAACTGGGACTACAGGTGCCTGCCACCATGCGCGGCTAATTTTTGTGTTTTTAGTAGAGATGGGGTTTCACCTTGTTGATCAGGCTGGTCTCGAACTCTTGACCTCAGGTGATCCAACTGCCTCGGTCTCCCAAAGTGCTGGGATTACAGGCATGAGCCACCATGTCTGGCCCTCCTTTCGTTTCAAATGTCACTTTCGTGATCTTTCTGGAGGCTAACACTTATGCAATTTATATATACACAATTTGAGAGGACTATATGTGGTCACAATTTGTAAGAGCTTACTTATATTTAAAGTGGGCTTTCTGTAGGTCACATAGTTGCAGCTTTTCTTTTTCTCCAATATGACAATCACTGTCTTTTAATTGGCCTGTTTAGACTGTTCATATTTAATGTGGTTGTGGATATAGCACCATTATGTTTTATCATATTTGGAATTATTTTCTACTTGTTGCATTAGTTCTTTTCCCCTCTTTTTCTGGTTTTATTTTACATAATTCAGTTTTATCTTCTCTCTTGGTATCTTATATATATATATATGTGTGTATATATGTGTGTGTATATATATGTGTATATATATGTGTGTATATATGTGTGTATATATATGTGTATATGTGTGTATATATATGTGTACATGTGTGTGTATATATATATATATATATATATTTTTTTTTTTTTTTTTTTTGAGACGGAGTCTTGCTCTGTTGCCCAGGCTGGAATGCAGTAGCGCAATCTTGGCTCACTGCAAGCTCTGCCTCCTGGGTTCATGCCATTCTCCTGCCTCAGCTGCCTGAGTAGCTGGGAATACAGGTGCCAGCCACCACACCCAGCTAATTTTTTTTTTTTTTGTATTTTTAGCAGAGATGGGGTTTCACCATGTTAGCCAGGATGGTCTTGATCTCCTGACCTCGTGATCCACCCGCCTTGGCCTCCCAAAGTGCTGGGATTACAAGTGTGAGCCACCGCGCCCAGCCTATATTTCTTTTTTAAAAAACATTTTTAGTGATTGCTCTGTGATTTACAATATACTTCTAAGTTCATCTTTAAATAGTACTATACCATTTCATGTGTAGTGTAGAGTTTGCACCAGACTGTTCTCAATAACTGTTTCCTGTCCCTCATGATATTGTGATTTATTTTACTTATTCTTATGCTATAATCACCTAACACATTGTTACTATTATGGCTTTTAGCAGTTGTCTTGTAGATAAATTAAGAAAAATTGTTTTTACTTTTATTCCTTCTCTGATGCTCTTCTTTTCTTTATGTAGATCCAAGTTTTTTACCTCTTTAAATATCCATCTGCCTCAAAAACTTCTTTTAATATTTTTTGGAGTGTTTGAGTTCTTGGTAAATTCTGGATATTAGTCCCCTGTTGAATGGATAGTTTGCAAATATTTTTCCCCATTTTGCAGTTTCCTTATTCACTCTTGATTTTTTTCTTTTGCTGTGCAGAAGCTTTTTAGTTTTAATTAAGTCCCATTTGTCTATTTTTGTCTTTGTTGCCTATGTTTTTGAGGTCTTAGTCATAAATTCTTTGCCTAGGTAATACTATTCAGCCATAATAAAGAATGAAATCACATCTTTTGCAGCAAAATAGATGGAACTGGAGGCCATTATTTTAAGTGAAACAACTCAGAAACAAAGACAAATACTGCATCTTCTTGCTTATAAGTTGGAGATAATGTGTACACTTGAACATAAAGTGTAGAATGATAGTCAGTAGAGACTTGGAAAGGTGGGGACTATGGAAGGGGTGTGGATGAAGAAATTACTTAATGGGTACAATATACGTGATTTGGGTTACACATACACTAAAAGCCCTGACTTTTTTCAGTATATTCATGTGACAAAATTACACTTATACCCCATACATTTATACAAAGAAAGCTAAAGCAAAACACCAAAACATTAACTGTAGGACAGATTTGCTGGCAATGCATTCTCTGTCTGAATAGGTGTTTCACTTTTGAAAAATAATTTTAGGCCTGATGAGGTGGCTTATGCCTGCAGTCCCAGTACTTTGGGAGGCTGAGGTGGGTGGATGACATGAATCCAGGAGTTCGAGATCAGCCTAGTCAACATGGTGAAACCCCATCTCTACTAAAAAATGCAAAAAATTAGCCACACATGGGGGCTCATGCCTATAGTCCCAGCTACTTGGGTGGCTGAGGTGGGAGGATACCTTGAGCCCAGGAGGTCGAGGTTGCAGTTGAGAGCTGATCATGCCACTGCACTTCAGCCTGGGTGACAGAGTGAGACTCTGTCTCAAAATAATGACAATGATAATAATAATTTTGTTGAATGTAGAATTCAAGGTTGGTATTTTCTTGTTTAGTTTCAACATTTTAAAGATTTCACTCCACTTTCTTTTTCTTGTGTGGTTTCTGATGGGAAGTCTACTATGATTTTTATCTTGTTTCCTCTGTAGTTAAGACACTTTATTCTTCTAGGGTCCTTCAATAATTTCTTTTTGTCTTTGGTTTTCTGCATTTTGACTATGATATGCTTAAGTGTTATCTTTTGATGTATATCTTCGTTTTTAAAAATAACTATTTTTTTTTGTTTTGTTTTTTGAGACAGAGTCTTGCTCTGTCGCCCAGGCTGGAGTGCAGTGGCACGATCTCGGCTCACTGCAAGCTCTGCCTCCCCCGGGTTCACGCCATTCTCCTGCCTCAGCCTCCCGAGTAGCTGGGACTACAGGCACCCGTCACCACGCCTGGCTAGTTTTTTGTATTTTTAGTAGAAACAGGGTTTCACCGTGTTAGCCAGTATGGTCTCCATCTCCTGAACTTGTGATCCGCCCGTGTTGGCCTCCCAAAGTGCTGGGATTACAGGCGTGAGCCACTGCGCCCAGCCAAAGTAACTTTTTTTTCTTTGAATTTCATAGATCTGTGGTTTGCCATCTGTCATTAATTTTGAGAAGTTGTTTGTCATTGCTACATAAAATATTCCTTCTGCCCTATTACCTTTTTCTTCTCCTTCTGATATTCTAATTACATGTACATTACTCTTTTTAATGTTGTCTCACAGTTCTTGGATGTTCTGTTCCTTTTTTTTTCTTCATTCCTTTTTCTTTTGTAATTTCAGTTTGGGAAGTTTCAGAGGACATGTCTTCAAGTTCACTGATTGTTTCCTCAGCAGTGTTGAGTCTAACGAAGTACCCATTAAAGACATTCTTTACTTTTCTTAATGTGTTTTGATTTCTAGCATTTCCTTGTGGTTTGTTTTTAAAATTTCTCTCTCTCTGCAGACAGTACCAATCTAGCCAGTTATCTATCTTTTCCCTTGTAGCCTTTAACATATTAATTTTAGCTATTTTTTTTTTTGAGACAGACTCGCACTCTGTCGCCCAGGCTGGAGTACAGTGGCATGATCTTGGTCCACTGCAACTTCCACCTGCCAGGTTCAAGCAATTCTCCTGCCTCAGCCTCCTGAGTAGCTGGGACTACAGGAATGCACCACCATGCCTGGCTAATTTTTTTTTTTTTTTTTTGTATTTTTAGTAGAGATGGGGTTTCACCATGCTGGCCAGGCCGGTCTGGAACTCCTGACTTAATGATATGCCTGCCTCAGCCTCCCAAAGTGCTGGGATTACAGGCGTGAGCCATTGCACCCGGCCCCAATTTTAGCTATTTTTAATTCCTTGTTTGATAATTCTAACATTTGTGTCATAGTTGAGTTTGGTTCTGATGATTGCTTTGTGTCTTCAGAGTGTGTCTTGTCTTTGGCATAGTTTGTATTTTTTCTGAAAGCTGGATGTGTTTTATGGGTGACAGATACTGAGATAAATAGGTATTTATTACAAGAATTTGTGTTAAAATATGGTGAGGAGATAGAAAGTTATTTAATGTTTGTTGTAGTGACAGCTATCAGAGGCATCAAATTCCAGTAATACCTTGTTTCTTTTCATTTCTTGGCTTTGGGACTTTTCTCTGTATTGCTCTCAAGGAAGAGTATGTCTTGCAGTTCTTTTAACTTGAATCCACCATTATTATACTGGGACTTGCTAGTGTCATGGTGGGTGTTGGGAAGAAAGAGCATGCTTTAATTTTCTGATTAAGTCTCAGTCTATCACTAGGCCTATGTCTTGGGGTATGTCTTTTACAAGTGTTTCTGTCCCTCCTCTAGGGCTATAGCATTTCTCCCTTCCTCCATGCCCCCTACTCCTTTTCTTTGCTACAGCATTCCAGATCTGTTTTTACTTTCGTGGCCCTGTCTCTGGTTGAATATGGCTCCCCATCCTCCTCTTGGGGTGAGAAAGGAGGGTTGGCATGGGCTGCAGTGGGCAAGAGCCATCTTCTCCCAGGAAGAATAAAATTGCAATATTTCCCCCCCGGTGAAGTCTTTTCCTCTGGAGTGTTGGCTTTTGTTTTGAGCTGGTGAGGTTATGGTGGGGTGGAACTTTGGGGGCTGGGGAAGGAGAGAAGGATCCATAACTTGAGTGCCTGCAAAGGAGAACTGGAAGAGAGGCAGTATGAGGAAAGAAAGTCAGCAAGGTCTACTGGCTTGTCTCAATCCAAGGAATTGGGAAATGTGGTGGAACCAGGAAAGGGAAGTTTAAAAAGAGGAAGTCACCAAAGTTGACAAACCTTGCCCACTGTCTTCAAAGGGGAAATGCCTGGGAATGGTATTGTGTCCAGAATTGGTGGGTTCTTGCTCTCAGTGACTTCAAGAACGAAGCCGCGGACCCTCACGGTGAGTGTTACGGTTCTTAAAGGCGGCGTGTCCGGAGTTTGTTCGTTCTGATGTTGGGATGTGTTCGGCCTTCTGGTGGTTCGTGGTCTCGTGAGTGAAGCTCACAGCGGTGTGGGGAGGCTCAGGCATGGGGGGCTGCAGGACCCAAGCCCTGCCCTGCGGGGAGGCAGCTAAGGCCTGGCGAGAAATTGACCACAGCAGCTGCTGGCCCAGGTGCTAAGCCCCTCACTGCCCGGGGCTTGCGGCCGGCCTCTCCGAGTGTGGGGCCCGCCGAGCCCATGCCCACCTGGAACTCGTGCTGGCCCACAAGCGCCATGTGCAGCCCCAGTTCCCGCCCACGCCTCTCCTTCCACACCTCCCTGCAAGCCAAGGAAGCCAGCTCCGGCCTTGGCCAGCCCAGGAAGGGGCTCCCACGGTGCAGCGGCAGCCTGAAGGGCTCCTCAAGTGCCGCCAGAGTGGGCACCCAGGCAGAGGAGGCGCCGAGAGCGAGCGAGGGCTGTGAGGGCTGCCAGCATGCCGTCATCTCTCAATCCCCCCTCTAAACAGGACACCCCAACTGCTGTTGGGAATTTGGCTGATGACCACTCTAGCTACTTCCTGCTGGATAGGGGCAAAGAAGGGGCCCTGCAGTTCTAGTGTCCTCCAGAGGGGAACTCTCTAGGCCAGTGGAAGTGCCAGCGGGTCAGTCCAGGGGTCCTTGGTAGAAGTTGTTAGTTGAACTCTTTTGGGGTTCCATTTGTGAGACCATCTGTAGCTTAGTGGCCTCGATTCTAGAGGAAACAAATTTGGCAAGAAGGTTAAAAATACAGGTTCCAAAGGTGAGTAACAGTAAGATGGCTGCCACGGGACCTAGAAAGGGGAGAAGGCATGTTGCCCAACTCCAGGGGTTGGTATAAGAATTTGAAAGGTGTTGTCTGATTTCAGAAGCCTTTTCCTGTAAACGCCGGGCGGCATCTCATACTATCCCTGACTGGTTAGTGTAAAAACAACACTCTTCCCCTAAGAAGGTGCAGAGTCCTCCTTTCTCAACAGTGAGGAGGTCTAGGCCTTGGCGGTTTTGGAGAGTCACTGCTGCCAAAGAGTCTATTTGGGATTGTAGAGTAAGGATAGGTTTTGTTATTTCTTGCAAACTGTCTGAGAGGCAGATATGGGTTGAAGATCCACATAAGTAGAATATGCCTTGGCTGGGTAGACAGAAATTTACCCTGGCTTTTAAAGGAATAGGGTACACTGCTTTTTTCTTTACTATTTCTTTCTCTCTCTTTCTCTCTTCGACTTCTTCTTTGTCTCTTCCTCTCTTTCTAACTCTGTCTTTGACTTTCTGTGTCTGTCCCTCTTTCTCTCTGACTCCTTCTCTGTCTCTCTGTTTCTTCCTCTCTCTCTCTTTCTCTGACTGTATGGCATAACTTGCTTATAAAATAACTTTCATTTTTGGAATTTGTTTAATAAATTGCTATGTGGGCAAAAATTATTTTTTCTTCACCTGTATACTAGCAAATAGTTTATTTTGTCTTCTCATATTTTTCCAGAAAATATATTTTTTATTTATCATTTGTTCCCAAAGTTACAAATCTAACAAAAAGGTATACGAATTAACATTGTTGGCTCTGCAATATTGCATTGACCACAAATCGTTTGATCGTGAACAAATTATTTAGCTTCTTTAATTTTCAGTTATTTATCTGTAAAATCTGAATAACGCATCTCTCATGGAGTTATTGTAAGTTTTCAGTGAGATAATATAGGTAATATGCTTGTTTAGTGCTAGGCACTGCCCTGGTAAAGAGTAAATACTAAATAATGAATAGTTATCATTCTTATAACTTCTATTGCTAAACATATATGATATATATTAAATGTTATGTAAATATGAAATAATATATAATATAATATACATGATATAATATGTTTAATATAAATATACATATAATTAATAATGAAGAATTACAATATAATTATAATTATATATAATTAGTATGATATATTTATATAATAAATTTAGATATATATAATATAAATATTAGATATGTTTAGCATACATAATATATGTTCAGCAACAGAATACACACACACACACACACACATACACACGCTTTTTTTTGAGACGGAGTTTCGCTCGTCGCCCAGGCTCGAGTGTAATGGCGCAATCTTAGCTCACTGCAACCTCCACCTCCTGGGGTTCAAGCAATTCTCCTCCCTCAGACTCCTGAGTAGCTGGGATTACAGGTGCCCGCCACTACATCTGGCTAAATTTTTTGTGTTTTTAGTAGAGACGGGGTTTCACCATGTTGTCCAGTCTGGTCTCAAAGTCCTGACCTCAGGTGATCCATCTGTCATGGCCACCCGAAGTGCTGGGATTACAGGCATGAGCCATAGTGCCCGGCCACATATTTTTTTCCTATAGGAAAATACAGCTATGTAAAATGGCAAGATTTTATTTCTGAGTTCCCTGCCAAAAATCTGGTTTATATGATTGGCTTCTAGCGTAGTTATCAGCACCAGTTAATAAAGAAAGATATATGTAGTATATATACCTAAACACACACATGGGCTGTGTGTGTATGTGTGTATATGTGCATGCTTATATATACACATATATTTTTATACACACACACTTGTTTTCTTGGAAAAAAATTCTGGAAAGAAAAAACTTTTTGTTATTTCTGGAGAGTTAAAATGGAAAATGGGGAGAAGAATAAAAAAGTTAAAGTTTTACATTTTATTGTATGTTTTTCTATGTGATTTAATGTTTTATATTGATTTATTTTATTTATTATTTATTTATTTTTATTTTATTTCTATTTTTTTGAGACAGAGTCATTTATTTATTTTTATTTTATTTATTTATTTTTTTTGAGACAGAGTCTTGCTCTGTTGCCCAGGCTGGAGTGCAGTGGTGCCATCTTGGCTCACTGCAAGCTCCGTCTCCCAGGTTCAAGCCATTTCCCTGCCTCAGCCTCCAGAGTAGCTGGGACTACAGGTGCCCGCCACCACGCCTGGCTAATTTTTTGTATTTTTAGTGGAGATGGGGTTTCATCGTGTTTAGCCAGGGTGGTCTCTATCTCCTGACATCGTGATCCACCTGCCTCGGCCTCCCAAAATGCTGGGATTACAGGCATGAGCCACCGCTCTCGGCATTTATTTATTTATTTATTTATCAGATAGAGTCTCGCTCTGTCACCCAGGCTGGAGTGCAGTGGCGTGAACTTGGTTCACTGCAAGCTCCACCTCCCAGGTTCGTGCCATTTTTCTGCCTCAGCCTCCCAAGTAGCTGGGATTACATGCACCAGCCACCATGCCCGGCTAATTTTTCTGTATTTTTAGTAGAGACGGGGTTTCACCGTGTTAGCCAGGATGGTCTCAATCTCCTGAGCTCGTGATCCACCCGCCTTGGCTTCCCAAAGTGTTAGGATTACAGGCGTGAGCCACTGCGCCAGGCCTTAATGTTTTATTTTATGATTTATATTATGAACAATATTATTTTCTATAATGAAAATCACTTAGATGCGTGATATATATCTATGTATAGATATCTCTAACTGTAGACTCTCTTTAGATATCTCTAGACTTATATGTATATACAGAGAGAGAGTTTTCATCCCAATGAATTTTTTTCTTGCTTTACAGTCGTTCAAAAGCACGAGTCCATTAAATGGTATTAATTTCTTAAAAGCAGAGATAAAACCTCCGTGTTTATAATTAATAACTGTTGAAGCATACAAATATATGGAAAACAATTACACAAATATTTCAGTATTTAAATTAAATGTTGTTTCTATAATTGTGGTATAAAATGGGTTTTATTTCATGGTAAGATGAGTGGGAAAACATTCTTCACATCAGAGTGACTTTTTTAAAAGTACACAAGAGAGATTGGAGAGATATTAGTTAAAGGATATAAAATTTTACTCAGACGGGAGGAATAAGT
Organism: Homo sapiens; assembly: GCF_000001405.40. Classification (NCBI taxonomy): domain Eukaryota; kingdom Metazoa; phylum Chordata; class Mammalia; order Primates; family Hominidae; genus Homo; species Homo sapiens. The sequence continues at coordinate 33,907,476 of NC_000002.12, forward strand.
TCAAAGATGTACATTATGGTGACTATAGTTAATGACAATATATTTTATTCTTGAAAATTCTAAGAAAGTAGATTTTAAATGTTTTTACCACAAAAAAAGTATGAGGTAGTACATATGCTAAGTACCTCAAGTTTGCCATTTCATGATGTATACACATTCAAAACATCATGTACACCATAAATATTTATAATTTTTATTTGTCAGTTAACAAAGAAAAAGTGCACAAAATAAATATTGAGAATTGTTTTGGACATGCTATTGGAAGCTTCAGCAATAGGAAGGTGTTAGGGACCCAAATGTGCTTTTTCATGTTGTCAGACTCTTGACTGGAAATCACATCAAGAGAATACTGTGGAGATTTCTGCAGGGCATAGAACACAATTCTGGGTTTTATCAGAAGGACACACATCCTTGCGGTTGTCTGACCAAATGCTTCATATGCAAGTTCAAACCTTTCAAGAAAAAAAAATACCCACTTAACACCCTCATCTTTTAAAAAGAGAAAAACACATCCTTCAGGCTATTTTAGTGAACATGCACAGCAAATCCAGCCCTTCTCTTTTGTTGTGCACTCAGGATCCAGATGTAAGCACCCATAAAGCCTCTGTAAGCCTTTCCCAGGAACTGAGGCTCTTTGCATGCTCCTCTGGGACCAGACACAATATAAATCTCGAATAGTACTTGGAATTTAGCTCACATAGGGGTGGGCTAAGTTATATCAAACAGGTTTTCTGGTGCAATGATGATGATCTGAGCCATGAAAAATGTGTTATTAGCACTGTCAGTTTACATTCCCCACCAGAGAATGAACACAAGCGCCAGAGTTAATATGCTAATATTACCTTTCAATCCCTAGCTTTAGAAGAGGTTGAATTACAGAGATATTAAAGTACTGGGGGTGTTTTGAAGACATAAACTTTGTCTGATTTCATTGATCCAGACTGTACTGCTAACTGTAGGTGGCTGACCTGTAAGTGTGTGCAACTGATCAAAAGGCAGGGGCAGTGGGGGTCAGGTAGGAGAGAGGATTCTTACTAGACCCTGAGAGCTAGAAATGCCTTTACGATAAGGTGTGTCAGCTTCCCCTTTTTATACGTGAGGCACCTGAGGCATAGACATATGATGTGAGTTGCCTAAAGGAACAACATTTACTTAAAAATAAATTACGTTATTTGGTATTCAGATGATTACTAAATATTTATTACCAGATAATTTATTTGGTTTTTTAAATATTCCAAATTCATAAATGCCACGTCTATAAAGACAAATCTATTGGCCAGAGTTGAAAAGCCTCCTTCTAATTTATTTGTTTGATAGTGATTTAGTCTTACCACTAAACTGTATGTTCTACATGGTGCTGACAGACCATTTTGGCTTCTTAATTGGTTATTCAGTTGCCTTCATATTGACAAATACATTCAGTGATTAGTGGGATGCAAACAGGTGATTCGCTGAGGCGTTGATCATAGTAGGCTTTAGTAGGTTTCACAGTGACCTTTGGGCACCTTCTGTGATACTCTGCATAAAAAGAGAGAGAAAGATCAAGATCAATGATCTCTGGCATTATCTTCCTCTTTACTTTGGAGGTCACTAGTCCTACTTCATTAGGGCCATACTGTATAGGTTTCATTTAACCTTAATTACCTCCTTAAAGGACTTATCTCAAAATCCAGTCACATTAGGGGTTAGGGCTTCAACATATGATTTTTTTTAGGGGGGGTCGCAATTCAGTCAGTAAGAGAGATGGAAGACCTGGGGTGTGATGTGACTCTGAGTCTGACTTAGAAACTCATCCTTATTCTTTGGTGCCTGTTGCTTCTTAGTGTATGACGTGGCAATAGTGGTATTTTTCCCTATCAAATTAATGTATATTTTTGTACCATAGCTCAGAATTAACTGTATTGCACTCCCCTCCAATCCCCCTCTTGTGGTAGGTAGGAATGGCCAACGATTCTAACTAAATGATACAAAATAAAATACTTTGATGTTACTGGTATACTTTATCTCCAGAAAGGAGATTCCTTCTGCAACTGTGTTTGTGTGCTGACCTCCGATGTCAGATTCAAGCTCCAACTATCAGAGCTTGGAAAATGGGTTACACCATTAACTCATTCCAAGCCAGGATAGTCATTTAACATTCACTTGATCCACACAAATATATATTGAGTGCTATGTGCTAGGAGCCCTAATGGCTGGCAGTATGGCTGTGGAAAAGGCTGATAAAGTTCTTGCTGTCATGGAGAAGATGGGAAGGTAAGCAAAGAATAAGAATTCCATACAAGATTGCTACTCTGAAGAAATGAAGTAAGATGGTGAAATGGATGGGATCAGGACGTGGAGTAGTATAGTTTGGTGGTCAAGAAACCCTCTTTGCTATAGTGGCATTTGAGCTAAAACGTAAATGGCAAGAAAGGGTTAGTCATGGAAAGATTTGGGAATTAAATGGTCCAGGCCAAGGAATAAGAAGAGAAAAGGCTCTGAATGGGAAAATATGATTTTCTTGAGCAACAAAGAAAGAGGCCAGTGATTGAAGTTGGGTGGGGTTGGCCCAAGATGAGACGGAGAAGTCGACTGTAGCCAGGTCAGAAAGGGAAACTATGGGAAGGAGGTTGCCCTTTATTCCCAGTGCAATGTGACTCTCTTGCAGGGTGTTGTGCAAGAGAGTGACATGGTCTGATTGGCCTTTGTAAATAATCATGTTGGCAGCAACACATACCGCTTTCAACAATTGGGATTCTGTGTCTCTCTCTGACTTGAGTATCTTCCTGAGGCAGAAGGAAACAACGTATTCTGCAGAAGGGTCCATTTAAAATTTGTTTTGGAAGAGCTGCTCTGTCAGATAATCAGAATAGAATGGCAATACAAATGTAAGCTTTGCTTGTAGCTAACCCGTGTCTAGTCAGTGAAGAAACTCAGCCACTTGTTGGTGACTGCCCATCTTTTTTCTCTGTTGTTCAGATAATATTGATGATGTCTTAATGAGAAGTGACTTGCAGCTTCCTTTCTTCCTTCCTCTCTCTCTTCCTTCCTTGTAACGACCCTTCTAATGAGGGAGGAATTCTGTTGTCTGTCAGTACGTGCTCTTTTTCCTATGCAGATTCATCCTGTTCTAGGTTTATTTTCTGGGCACTGATTTCTTCTCTTTTGGCACTGATTTTATTGTCTGCTTATGAAGTCCTCCAGCTGTCAGAGACCAGCCTGGCCAACATGGCGAAACCCCGTCTCTACTAAAAGTACAAAAATTAGCCAGGTGTTTGTGACACATGCCTGTAATCCCAGCTACTTGGGAGGCCAAGGCAGGAGAATCGCTTGAACCCAGGAGGTGGAGGTTGCAGTGAGCCGAGATCACACCACTGCACTCCAGCCTGGGCAACAGAGCAAGACCCTATCTCAAAATAAAATAAAATAAAATTTAATTTCTTCCAGTTAGCAGAATTTGAAGACTATAATGGGAGCAGATCTGAATCTGAACCTGGGAAATATTTGTTGCGGGCTTGCGTAGTAGCTGTGAGCCAGACTTACTCACCAGGGAATTCCCAGACGGGAAGCTGTGCTGCCTCCACCTGTGGGCACTCCTCCTCTCTGTGCTCTGATGATACCTGTTATAGGACAGCTGGTGTGGTTTGGGGACATCTGAAACTGTTAAAGTCACATGCTCCCACAGAGCAGCTGGTGGCTGTAAGCGTCATCCATGGTGGAAGCAGGGAACGTAATAAATATATATATAGTAAAAAATATATATATAGTAAATATATATATATATATATATATATATATATATATATATATATATATATATATAATCAGAGGTACAAGGAAGGAAGCCTAGCAGATCAACATTGAGAAATAGGGATATGATGGGGAAAAATGAAATTGAGAGGACACAGAAGAGATCATTCTAATTTCATGTGAAGAAATAGGAAATGAATGATGGAGTAGGGACTGGGGAGAGGGACAGGATATGCACATCTGTGCCCGTTCACTGTGTCTGTGACACTTAGAGTCCAAGTCTTTGCCACAGCCCTCTCAGGAAGTGGGCTTGTGCACGTGGAGGCACAGCTTTCAAACAGGGCTGTCCTCTGGTGGTTCCTGATTAGCAGTGTAACATTAATCAAGTGCAATGTTATGTGGCCTTATTTCTCCTGCAGGGCCATATACTAACCTGTGCAAACAACCCCCATATCAGCCCTGAATAATGCCTCTGAACTTCTCTCTCTTTCTTTTTTTTCTTCCATGTTTTTGGTACCCTGTACCCCCTTGTACCATGTTTACCTTGGAGGCCAGGTGAAGTAAAAATTAAAATAACTAGGGCTACAAAGGAACCCAATTATATTACAAATGCTTTCTCTCTATATATAATTATATTGAAATATATCATCATATTAAAAAACAAACGTGTGATATAGCAATACATATGCATTTTATTAACATGTTAAATAACAAGATCTGATGTGCCTAGTAACTTCCATTATATTGCAACAGGATGAGCATATTTTGAGATATCTGGACCAGTAGTAATATGGTATAAAAATATCTGTGATTTCCATTGGTGACAAAGTAACAGGTACCATTGATTCCACTATAGTTTTTTTTGCTTATTCATAGTTAAATAACATGCTAAACTTCAGTTAGTTGTTAGTAAAAGTAAAATAAAAATATATATAACCTCCAATCAAATTCATAGACCCCCTGTATTTATCCATGGACCTTGGGTTAAGAGTTAAGAATCTCTGCCCTAGGAGGTCTCTGAGGTAGAAAAATTAGGTGGCCAGCCTATCCATCCTTAAATTGGTAGAATGTACTCTGGTTCTGGGTTCTTTCTCTAGGGTTAAAGGATCCCTGAGAATATGGAAGAATTTTGTTGATACCTGGAAGCTTAATGCTTTCTGAGCATGTGCTGGGTAATCAATGCTGAAGGATATCACCAGAATCAGCTGGACTAAAGTTTACAATCCACAGACTTTTCCAACTGACCTGCTTCCCCAGTGACCCATAATCTTGGCCCTAGAAGAGGCCCCTATGGGATAACTGTGGGCTGACGTAATTCCTACATGTGCATCAAAATGGCCCCATGGTGGCTACAGTCACAGCCTCCAAGCCACAGAAATATTTGTTCACATATCAAAGTGTTTCCTTCAAGAAGAAATGAGATTGATTTTCTTCGCTACCTATTGAGATGATTACCTCTATGCCAGTTTTCATTTGTAAATATCAGGACAAGGTAACCCACATGCTATTAGACATGAAGCCACAAATTCTCATGGTTGGGGAAATGATTAATGATGATTCTTTCACCTGAAGTGCAGAGGTACTGCCAGAACCAGTGACCTGCCTCCTGCCCAGGACATCAGACATTTCCTGTTGGTGGAGTACAAACTTTTGTAGTCTTCTCTTGTTTTCCTGTTCTCTTGTCTTACCAACTTACTGCTCTGCCCAATATATAATTTTGCTGTGTGCTTCATTGCAAAGAAAATGATAAGTATGAATATTCTGGACCCTCCTCGTATGGATCTCACATGGTGCACTCAGGAGGAAATAAGATTATTGGAGGGTTCACATAGATTGTGTGACTGTGTGGGGGGGATGTTGTATAGGAGACAGAAGGTTTGGACACATGTTTGGACGTGATCATCTTTTTGGCTGCTATCAACTATAAAAGTCATGATTCAGTGATTCTGTGAAATGCTCTGAACTGCTATGATAAAAGATGCCATGGACACAAAGAACATTATTATTAGCTCCATTTTTTGAAGTGATGTTGTAATCTTTTTTCATTTTCAGTTTTATTATTCATTTGAGCTCACTGAATTTTCTCACCAGCTCTTCTTTTGTATTATTACAATATCTAACAGGTTTAATCAGCCAATTTGTCTTGACAAAAATTACATGCATGGCTGTCCCTATTCATAGCACTGTTTTGTTTTTTAAATCTCCATTCAGCCATAGCTTCCCTCTCAAAGAATACCCCATATGTATATTCAGTCCTAGTGTTTTGATTTTGCCAAAAGGCCCCTTATCTGTTTTCCACAAGCAGAACCTGCTTTAATACTCATTGTCTGAGAGAATTGTTTTTAATCACTCCATATTCATGTGGAACTCATAGGTAGCTCCAATATCAGATTCAAAGTGAACCAGCATTACTTAATAGAGTCTTTAAATAGATTATTAGAAGCAATTTTATTCCCTTGTGCTATTTAGTTCCATGCTCCTATTTTATCAAGAATATTTCCTTTTACCTGGCCTTGTCAGACTTTATTAGAGAGGGAGTGCATTAATAAGTTAAAAGTCTTAGTCAATATGAGAATCTTACATGAAGCTTCATGTTTTGCCTACCTTGGAATTATCTGGAATACTGGGCATGTATTCAGTTTTAAATTCATTACGTTGCTTTTTTGTTGGTCAAACCTTCAGCTCTATTGCCGCAAAGCTCAAATTCTCTGGACTTCTAATGAATCATCTTAAGAGAATTTATAGTACATATTTCTCACCTTGAACTAATATTTTAGACTTTGATTTGGGAGATGGTAATGCTTGCACAAATTTCTAAGCCACTTTGACCATTGCCGAGACCATCGCCGAGACCCTAACCCAGCGGTGCTAGAGGAACTGAAGACACACACACACAGAAATACAGAGGTGTGAAGTGGGAAATCAGGGGTCTCACAGCCTTCAGAACTGAGAGCCTCGAACAGAGATTTGCCCACGTATTTATTAACAGCAAGCCAGTGATAAGCATTGTTTCTATAGATTATAGATGAACTAAAAGCATTCCTTATGGGAAACGAAGGGATGGGCCAAAATGAAAGGATGGGTTTGGCTAGTTATCTGCAGCAGGAGCATGTCCTTAAGGCACAGATCGCTCATTCTATTGTTTGTGGTTTAAGAGTGCCTTTAAGTGGTTTTCTGCCCTGGGCGGGCCAGGTGTTCCTTGCCCTCATTCCGGTAAACCCACAACCTTCCAGTGTGGGTGTTATGGCCATCATGAACATGTCACAGTGCTGCAGAGATTTTGTTTATGGCCAGTTTTGGGGCCAATTTATGGCTAGATTTGGGTGGGGGGGCGCTGTTCCCAACATGTCCCCCTTCTTTGATTTACAAATCGATAAAAGGAAAGGCAGCTTTGTCATGGTGAGCTACTTCTCGCAGGAATCAGGATCTGCATCTGCAGACTATACAGTGACAAACAACACAGATTAAAAGCACAATCATCGTTTAAATTACAGAGCTTCCAAGTATTTTTATTCATTTTAATGGGTTACTAGCTGCTAGTCTGTTTGCAGCTCCTTCAGGCACTCCATTTCCTGGCATTAAGGTCAGGTGTGCCTGGGATGCTTCAAATATTGGTTCTTTTAATTTTGCAACATCCAAAAACAAGTTTGTAGAATGTGCTTCTAGATGCTTTTTTATTCTTTCCCAAATTTTGATCTTACTAAGAGCTATTAATAGTTTCCATAAATCCTTATGTTTAGCTCCTACAGCGAGCCATATCATTTGAGGTTGAGGTGCCACTATACCACCATGGTTCCAGATAGTAGGAACTCTGGCCGTACTTCTTGCCATTTCTACCATCTGACTGTTTGGTTCGGATCAGCTGAACATAGTGTGGCTGTGGCATGCAGGCTGAGAGGTACAACTTAAGCTAAACATCCCCTTAGGGGACCAATTAATAATGATTCCATAGGAATCGTTGTGCAGCTCCTCTGCCTGTTCTGCAATGCAATCTTCCTAAACAAGTATGTTCATTTTTTCTGACTGGGTCCAATCCTGTTTACAAAAAAGTTTTTGAGGGTGATATACTTCAATTATAGGAGCAGGTTTATTATGGTAAATACTGAGATCAGAAAGCATGTGTAACTGTGTTATAGAGTGATTACATCCAGGCACTATTGCCAGCCAAGATTGATAAATATGCCCAATGAGTATAATTGTTCTCTGAGTCAGCCCTTATTGAAGGAATACTCACGGCAGTGGTGATCACCGTTATCATAGCTACCATTAAATTACTTATTGTGACTGGCTGTCCTGCCTTCCTTAGGTTTTCTTTTGCCATCTGTGACAGCTTTTTGATCTGTCCCCAGGTGGGTGTCTGTGTTCAACGGGTGTTGCTCGTGACAGTTGGGGTCCTCCTCAGTGTCAGTATCGACATGGCTGCAACTGGGGGTCCTCGGGATCCTCCCCAGAATCTCTTCCTTGGCATCTGGCTTGTGATAACTTTTCAGGTGTCTTGATGGTATCCAAATCGGCTGTTGATTTTGGCCTGGAGAAACACAAGCATAACCTCTACCCCAAGTTATTATTTTACATATTTTCCAACTTTTTGTTATCGGATATCTCCACCAAACCAATTGTTTTGCTTCTGTCTTTGCAGCTGGTTTTTGTAGATGCTGTTCAGCTGCTGATAACATCTGGCCTTTGGGCAGGCTCAAAAAATTTAAAGTTAATAATGCTAGATTCAATTGTGTATGGGCTGTCCCGTAATCCCTATTTCTCCCCCTTTTTTGTTTTTGTCATCAGTTGTTTATCTGTATGAAATCATAACTGAGCATTTTTAATTAACTGTGTGGAATGAACCACGTATGAAGAATCAGAAATTATATTAATAGGCATATCAAAAGCAGTCAATACCTCAATTACAGCTACAAGCTTCGCTTTTTGAGCTGAAGTATAGGGCATCTATAAAACTTTACTTTTTGAGCCAGAATAAGAAGCTTTACCATTATTAGACCTATCTGTAAAACAATGAAAACACTTAGCAGGCTGCAGGTTGTTTACCGCAGGAATTGTAAATGCAAACCATTCAGTCTTGCTCAGCTAAGGGGATAATAAAGAAACAGTCTTTTAAATCTATGACTATTAAAGACCAGTTTTTTGGAATTATAGCAGGAGAAGGCAATCCTGGCTGTAATGCTCTGATAGGTTGTATAACTGAATTGATGGCTCTTACGTCAGTTAAGATTCTCCATTTACCTGATTTTTTCTTACTTACGAAAACTAGAGAATTCCAAGGGGAAAATGCTGGAGCTATGTGCCCATTTTTTAATTGTTCAGTAACTAATTTCTCTAAAGCCTCCAGTTTCTCTTTACTTAGTGGCCATTGTTCTATCCAAATTGGCTTATCTGTTAACCATTTTAAAGGTATAGCTTCTGGAGGCTTAACAGTGGCCACCATCAAAAATTATATACTAATCTTTGGCGGGAACTTTGTCCTTCTGCTTGAAGCGGTTCTTTCAAACCTTGCACATTTTTTCCTAGTCCCATACTAGGGACGTACCCCATTTCATGCATCATATGTTGACTTTGAGGGCTGTATAATTGTTCTGGAATTAAAACTTGTGCTCCCCATTGTTGTAATAAATCTCTCCCCTATAAATTTATAGGTACAGAAGCTATACTTGGTTGAATAGTCCCAGGTTGTCCATTGGGCCCTTCACAATACAAAATATAACTACTTTGATATACTTCAGGGGCATTACCAACTCCAACTATGTTAAGTTGAGCTGGTTGAATTGGCCACGTGGATGGCCAATGCTGTAGAGAAATGATTGAAATGTCCACTCCTGTATCTACCAAACCTTTAAACTTCTTTCCCTGAATAGTTATTTCACAGGTAGGACGTTTATCAGTAATTTGATTTACCCAGTAAGCTGCTTTGCCTTGTGTATTTGTGCTTCCAAATACTTCTGTTCATTTAAATTTTACTTTTCCCCATTCCCACATATGGCACAATAAGGAGCTGTGCTATGAACTCTCCTGGCTCTGATTTCCAGGGAACAGAAGTAGATAAAACAATTTTAATTTCTCCACTGTAATCTGAATCAATGACTCCTGTGTGTATTTGTACCCCTTTTAAATTTAAACCAAACCTGCCTAGAAGTAATCCTATTGTCTCCGCTGGCAAGGGTCCACAGACTCCTGTTGGGACCTTTTGTGGGGGTTCCCCAGGCAGAAGGCTCACAGCTCTTGTGCAGCATAAATCTACTGTGTGTGGCACAACCAGCTGTGGCAGGGGACAGTCATTGTACAGGGGTGAGGGAATGGCCTGAGCTGGAAATGCCCCTGTTTGGAATGGGGCCCGGGGCGGGCCCCTCATGTTGTTTCCTGAAATCGGGTTCCTGTCTTTATCAAACTTAGAGTGACACTGATTAGCCCAATGTTTTCCTTTTTTACATTTTGGACATATTTCAGACTCAGCAGTTTTCTTTTTTCCCCTATCTGGTGGCCTGACTCGCTGAGTTTTTCTACATTCTTTTTTAGTATAACCATGCTTCCCACAGTTAAAACAAGCTCCAGGAAATGGAGTATTTCCTTTATCCATTCTCAGTCCTGCCATTCCCTGTGCTAGCAGAATAGCCTTATGCAAATTACCTCCAATACCATCACAGGCCTTGATATAATCAACTAAATGTGCTTTCCCTCTGATAGGTCACAGAGCAGCCTGGCAATCAGGATTAGCATTGTCAAAAGCTAATAACTGCAACACTATATCCTGAGCAGCTTAATCTGCAATCACCTTTTTAAGAGACTCCTGTAACCGAGCTATAAAATCCACATATGGTTCTTTTGGTCCCTGTTTCATAGCAATAAAGGAAGGGTATTGTTCTCCACTTGAAGTGATTTTTTCCCAAGCTCTAATACACACTCCTCTAAGCTGTTCTATGGCATCATCCTGCATGACCACTTGTGCATCTCAACCAGCCCAGCTGCCAATCCCCAAAAGTTGGTCTGCAGTTATATTAATTTGAGGTTGGGCCTGGGCGTTGCAAGCAGCCTGAATGGAAGCTTCATCTGCCCACCAAGTTTTAAATTGTAAGAACTGAGCAGGAGTTAGACAAGCTCGAGTAAGAGCATCCCAGTCAGTAGGAATCATCCGACTGGAAACAGCAACATTCTTTAACAGTCCCATTACAAAAGGAGAACCTGGTCCATACTGATTAATAGCTTCTTTAAATCCTTTGACTAATTTAAAAGGAAAAGGCTCAAATGTAGCTATAATATTTCCCTGTTGATCTGGGGGGTGTATTCTAATAGGGAACTGCCAAGCCTCTAAATCACCGTCTCATCTAGCTTGCTCAATTCCTGCTTGAATAGAACTAAGAGCGGTCACTTGAGGTGCTGCTCAAACAGTCACTGGGGCAACTACTTTTTGCTCAGTGTCCTCCAGAAAAGAAAGATCTGGAGGGTCAGGCCACTCTTTTTCTTCAAAATAATAATGAGGGGGGTGCAGAAGGGAAGGGATGAACCTCTCTCTCCTTTGCTGCTTTAGCTTTAGCTGGCAAATAAACCTGCTCTGTAACCTCTTCTGTTACTTTGTTATACTCTCCTTCCTCCTCATTATCAGTGTGAAAAAGTTCCAAGGTAGAATGAACCAGAGCCCATACTTGTCCCATTGTTACCCTGACACTTCTGAGCTCCTCTTCTTACTCACCACAGGGATTGCTTTAAGAGTACTCAGGTGTCCTCCAGCTAGTTCCACATTCTCCAGCCATCATTCCGGTGACCCTTCAACCTGGATTCGAGCCCCCACAATGGACGCCACTTGCTGAGACCAGCTCGGTCAGGGAGACCCTAACCCAGTAGTGCTAGAGAAATTAAAGACACACACACAGAAATATAGAGGTATGAAGTGGGAAATCAGGGATCTCACAGCCTTCAGAGCTGAAAGCCTCGAACAGAGATTTACCCACGTATTTATTAACAGCAAGCCAGTGATAAGCATTATTTCTATAAATTATAGATTAACTAAAAGTATTCCTTATGGGAAATGAAGGGATGGGCCAAAATAAAAGGATGGGTTTGACTAGTTATCTGCAGCAGGAGCATGTCCTTAAGGCACAGATCGCTCATTCTATTGTTCGTGGTTTAAGAATGCCTTTAAGCGGTTTTCTGCCCTGGGTGGGCCAGGTGTTTCTTGCCTTCATTCCGGTAAACCCACAGCCTTCCAGTGTGGGCATTATGGCCATCATAAACATGCCACAGTGCTGCAGAGATTTTGTTTATGGCCAGTTTTGGGGCCAGTTTATGGCCAGATTTTGGGGAGCCTGTTCCCAAAAGACCGTGATCTCTAGAGTGTTACAGAGTATTTGGCTGGGGCCTTATACTTTAGAGAGAGCAGGTCTGTTGCCATGTTTTGCCTCCAAAAGTAAAAATGCAAGCTGGCCAATGAATTCATCTTTTGTCTTTTAAAAAGTCAGTCCCAGGTTGGTCAAAGGAATGCTTAAGGTACAGATATTTTGAAGGGGTTTCACTTTTAAATGCAATTTGTTTGAAAAGCATCAGTATGTAATACTCTGCCCCTGAAATCTTTTACTTTGCTTTTATTCTTTGATCAGTTAAAATCAGAGGACTTGCCCTTTGTCACACTCCATGATATTTTATTAAGAACTACCCTCAAATTACAGCACTTGTTGGGATTCTATTCCTGGGTCTACTTCTCATAGAAATTCTGCTTAGTATTATTCAACTTCAATTTATGCACATGGAAAATTATATTTCAAATGCCAATCTTTGGATTATTGAATTATTTTGGGTACACATCTAAAGCAAATAAGAAATATAGCCAAAAGTTAAAATGAAATTATTTTGTTGCTACTCACTATTTGATGTCATGTTTCTCTGCTCTTTCCATGATCATGAATAATTTTTTTCTCTTTTGTTTTTCTGAGACAGGGTCTTGCTGTGTAACCCAGGCTGGAGTGCAGTGGCGTGATCTTGGGTCACTGCAAGCTCCGCCTCCCGGGTTCACGCTATTCTCCTGCCTCAGCCTCCTGACTAGCTGGGACTACAGGTGCCCGCAAGCATGCCTGGCTAATTTTTTTGTATTTTTAGTAGAGACAGGGTTTCACAGTGTTAGCCAGGATGGTCTTGATCTCCTGACCTCGTGATCCGCCCGCCTGGGCCTCCCAAAGTGCTGGGATTACAGGCGTGAGCCACTGCGCCTGGCCGATCATGAATAATTTATGTCTATTTGTGTATCAGTATTACAGAAGATAGATATTTTATAGATAAGAGAGTAGGAGAATTTAATTATAAATATTAATCTGAGAGTGACTGCTGAATTCCTTAGATCTTCAATTTTCCTATTTACCCAAAGGAACAAAGACACAAAGACAGGCATATTTAGTTCTAACAGTAGCTTGTGTTTCCCTGAATTTGCATTTAATTAATTGCTAGCAAATCAAATGATATTTTTAGTACCTGGAGGTGGGATGTGGCATTGGCATGCTATTTAAAGAAATATTTTAATGAATTTAACAAATAACCCCCTAATACATCTGTTTTTATAAATTTGGATTTTTAAATAATGGGTTTTGGTAGAAGAATGATTCAAGTTTCATAAATGATGTCATATTTTACATGCTCTAGGGGTGCACTCTTATTAAAATTCAACCTTATATTGAACACTTCTATAAATAATGTTTTCTGATTCATTTCATAATTTATATTTTTGATAAATTCAATTTTTATAAATCAGTTTTTCTTAAAGTAGAGCACAGCTGGATTACTCTTCTTTTTCCTACAGATGCATAGTGTAGGGTAATTAGTTAATCTCTACAGTGTCCTGAAAAGATGAATAAAACATGGAGTGCTATTCCTACCAATCTCCTCTCTCACCTTTTCTCCTCCTCACTCTCAGGTGGGTTTGTAGTGGTTGAATAGATGTCAAAGAAATGGTTACTGGCTAATTTACTCTACCTCAAGGCTTGCCAGTGCTCTCTTGGAGAAACATTTTTATTTTATGAAAAGAAAAATAAATAAAAATAATCAAGTAGAAGTAAAAGAAAACAAGGAAAATAGGAGCTTGAAAATTGCAGGTGTATTACAGATAAAAGAACGAACAGAGGACAAAATAAATCTTGAATTTTATGTAATTATTGAATTTGTTTTAAAGCCTAGAGTGCAGTAGGGAGAACAAAGATCTAACTTACAGTCTTCCATCTCGTGTACGCCTCCTCTTCAGGCGTAAGGAAATTCTGTATCATCTCTGCTGTGTTCTAGAAAACTCTAAAAATGCTCTAGGTTCTGATGTTCAGCCTTAGCTCTCCCAGAAACCTTTGCACCCGAGCTACCAGCACACATAGGCCACACACACACACACACACATATGCACACACACACGTTTGCTGCTTTTTCTTACTTGGGCTTTTTTTTTCGGGTAGGTGGTGTTCACTTTCTCCATTGTACAAATGAGGATACCACTGGTGTCTGAGGCATTTTGTCTCTTCTGATTTTAAAATAAGATGCTTGAAGGTTCTGGAAATATTGCAGCTGAGATGAGGCTCTTTCTTTCCTTTCTGGCTTCTCAAAGCTTTGTGTGTGCTTAAAAGTGGCTCTTGAAGGAAATGGATGTTCTCTATTGGGAAAAGGCATTAACTTTAAGAGCAAAAGTCAAAGAACTGACCCTCTGTACCCTGGTTTCTGTCCTGCTTAACCTGTAGGCGTTATTAAAGACTGGGAAATATGGATTTGGGGTCCTTACTTCTATAGACAGATCATCACCTGTTTCTATAATTTTCTCAGGCCTAAAAACCATGCATGTTTCCATCTAATACTCTTTTCAGGGAACTATTTAGACCATGCCCAGGTTTTGTAACTTACTATTGTCCAGGGAAATAGACTTCTGTAGGTTGATATTGCCTACTTCCTTTAGGTTATCCTGTCTTCCGTTTATATCACCTTAAAGAAATGTTTCTGGGCAAATGTGTCAGTAAGACTACCATCACTGAGGGAAAAAGACACCAACAAAAAAAATAAAAAATAAATTTGAACCATAAAGGGTTAAGAAATTTGCCAATGTTACTGGAGTCTAGGGAATCACCTGGAAGCAGAAATCTTAGGGATCTTGTTTCATTATTGGCTCAAAGTGGGGCCTAGGACAAGTTGCTTCTCCCCTTTTGGACCCGTATTCTGAGAATACAGTAATTCTTGTCACTAGGGAAGCACCCAATATCCAATGCTGTTTTTATTTGTGTTTGATTTTTTCAAAAGGAGCTTTGCATTTATTGACAGAGAATTCACATCATACAGCTCATCCATTTAAAGTGTAAAATTAATTGTATGTTTTTTTAGCACGTTCACAGGGTTGCACAACCATCGTCATAATCTAGTTCTAGCACATTTTCATCCCCCTTCAAGGAAACCCTGTACCCATTATCAGTCAATCCCCATTTCTCTCCTGTATCCTTCCCTCAGCCCTAAACAACCCCTAACCTACTGTCTGTCTCTGCAAATTAGCTTATTCTGGACATGTACCCTAAATAGAATCATACAATATGTGGCCTTCTGTGACTGGATTCCTTCACTTTTCATAATGTTTTCAAGAGTCAAACACATTGTAGTGAGTGTCTTTGTAGTGAGTGTCTTCATTCCTTTTTATGGCCGATTAATACTTTACTGGATGGATATACCACATTTTCTTTATCCACTTATCAGTTGACCAGCATTTGGGTTCTTTTCATTTTTTGGCTATTTGTATTGAGATACAAATCCTTTATCACCTATATGATTTGCAAGTATTTTCTTGTGTTTCATGGGTCATCTTTTAGCTTTCTTGATGATCTCATTTGCAACACAAAAGTTTTTAACTTTGATGTAGTCCAATGTCCAATATATATATATTTTTTGAGATGAGGTCTCACTCTGTCACCAGACTGGAGTGCAGTGGCGTGATCTCGGCTCACTGCAATTTTCACGTGTGGTGTTCAAGTGATTCCCCTGCCTCAGCCTCCCGAGTAGCTGGGACTATAAACATGTGCCACCAGGCCCGGCTAATTTTTAGTTTAGTTTTTTTTTTTTTTTTTTTTGAGATGGAGACTCACTCTGTCACCCAGGCTGGAGAGCAGTGGCGTGATCTCAGCTCACTGCAAGCTCCGCCTCCCGGGTTCACGCCATTCTCCTGCCTCAGCCTCCCGAGTAGCTGGGACTACAGGCGCCCGCCACCAGGCCCCGCTAATTTTTTGTATGTTTAGTAGAGACGGGGATTCACCGTAGCCAGGATGGTCTTGATCTCCTGACCTCTTGATCCGCCCACCTCGGCCTCCCAAAGTGCTGGGATTACAGGTGTAAGCCACCACGCCTGGCCAATTTTTTGGATTTTTAGTAGAGACGGGGTTTCACCATGTTGGCGAGGATGGTCTCCTGACCTCATGATCCGCCCAGCTCGGCCTCCCAAAGTGCTGGGATTATAAGCATGAGCCACCACGCCCAGCCTAAGTGTTTTCTTTTGTCACCTATCTTTCGGTGCCAGATCCAGGAAACCATTGTGTAACCCAAGGTTACAAAGACTTATTCCTTATGTTTTCTTATGAGAGTTTTATAATTTTAGCTCTATGATTGTTTATCTCTTTTCACTGTAGAGTTCATCCAAACACTGAATACTTAAAAAAAAAATGGTCAAAATGATCCAACTCCTGGTAGCTTCAAATAATGGAAAAGCTGGCAAGAATTGAGGCTTGTGTTGAATATTTCATTTCAGGCAGTTGTATCATGATTCCATGCTCCCATCCATATTTCCTTTGCTATAATAAGTTTTAACTTTAATTTGTTCTGCCCACATTGCTTGACAATTTAAGAAATAGTTTCTTTAGTAAAGTCTGAAACTGATAGCTATTATATTTTTCTATGAAATGTTTTGCTCTTTATGTGTTGCCTATACTGCAGTCTATCCTCTAAAATCACTTTTAGTTTTTCCTTTTCACGTGCTTTTTTTTTCAATCTCTTTTTAATTTCTCACTTTTATTATTATGTCCTGGGAGATTTTTAAAAACCCTTCATTTTTTGACAGGGCTTTTTTTTTAAGATAATAATGTTTTGCCTAATTATCTTGCAGTATCTACAGCCCTTAATATGTGGTGAGAATTTAATACACATTTAACAGCAAAAGATTTATGCTTGACCTTTTCAGATGGATATCAATTGTATTAGATTTCCTAATTAGCCATTGGTCTAACCTCACTGGTGCTTCAAAATTTAGGTGGTGGCCCCTCAACATGTAAAGCTCTAGTGTTATTCTCAATAAGAGAATAACAAGAATGTGAACTTGTAAAGGCTTTTAGTGATGGTAATGGCCAGGCTTCATAGCATTAGCCATCACTTGCAAAACCTTGACCTCCATGTTTCTTACTAGATATGGTCACACATGTTATTACGGGAGCCCTTGGCTTCTCCCCTTCACCTCTAGGGAAGCAATTATTTCTATTCTACTTAGAAAAACTGTATCCTATATAGTGGTTGTCTTCCTGCTTCCCAGGAAATAATCTGCTGGAATTCAAAATACAATTACCACGCTTGACCACTTTCCTATATCCTGGAGCTGACCATTATTAATGGCATCCAATTATTCATAGCAATCAAGCAGCTGACCTTGCTAAACAGATCACCGCAGTGGGCATCTGACAGTCAGTCTGCTGGCTGGGCATAATAGAAGGAGACAATGTCATATCCTGGTCCATCTTTGGTGAAAACAACATGTCACTTGCAGACTTACTGGAATGCTATAATGACTTGATTGCTAGATTTAGCCTGTCATTATTTTAAAAGCATGTGTTTATATATGCTGGCAGGAGCAGGAAAAAGAAGTTGGTTTAGGTAAGCTTGGTGTCTGAGAATGTCTTTGGCTTGCTCTGTATCACTGCAAATTAACAGAGTGACCTTTGATTAATCATTTAGGTTTCTAAGCTTGAATTTTTTTGTCAATTCTAAAATGAGGGCATTTTGCCTACTTTCAAGGGTGGGCATGAGAGTTGAATGATATAAGCATGATGAAACAATCAGGTAAGCAGCAGTTGCTCCATCACTGTCAGTTTCCTGTCCATTGAGTCAATCTGCGCCTTGGCTCCAACAGAGATAAAAGGAATAACATACGGGCTTTTTTATTCCTCCCTAAGGTGCAGGATAGGTTTTGACTCCCACATGAATGCTGCTTTTTCATTTTTCTTTTTCCACAAGCCCACAAGTCAAAGGTTTTTCTTTATTGTGCTGTGGCATTAAAGTGTGATATTTGTTTGCAGTGAAGGATCTTAAGCATAAAAACTGACATAAATTTCCAGGTGGTTGGCTTTTGACTCTTCAGTTTCCTTGACTCTATTTTCCCTTTGAGTTGGCATGATCTATAACAGCTCTGCTCCAACTGCAGAAAGGAGCAAATTGTTTACCTTTGAAAGTACATTAATTCTCTCATGCCACCAGGAGGGGGGTTTTCACAAGGAACCAACTTTATTTGAATTTTAAGCCAAGCAGTTTGAAGGGGGATGGAAAAATGCACACAGTTAATATTCACTAGAGTGTCACTGACAGGTCTAATTCAAAGTGACCACATAAAAACTCCTTTATTAGTCCTTTCTCCTTGTCACTATGAGTTATGCTCTAGTGTCATTTGCATCCCGTTTAAAAATCCATACTTTTATAAGTTTGCTAGATTGAAATGAAGATGAAATATTCTCTTTAGAATTTCTTATCTACATTGCTTACCAGTGGTGAATATGCAATGCATTTAACTTGCCATGAACCTTATGAAGCATCAAGCAGAACTTACTAAGAGAAATGGGAACTTAATTTTAAAGAAGTTGGCTGAGAGTGTCTGATTAGCCCTGAGGGCAATTGGGAATTTCCTGCTGACCTGTGAAATAGCCTGTATTTCTGCACTCCTGGTGGGCCATATGGCTATACAAATAGGTGAAGGAGGGTGCACAGAGGGACCTTGTGGTGGCTTAGGACTCTGGTACATTCAGCCTGTAGGCTGGGCAATTTAGAAAGTGGCCCTGTCTGCTTTGTAGGTAGTAAAATGCCATAGCGGCTAAAGGAATAGACTTAAATCCTGACAGATCGAGGTTTTTTTTTTGTTTTGTTTTGTTTTTTTTTTGAGACGGAGTCTCGCTCTGTCGCCCAGGCTGGAGTGCAGTGGCGCAATCTTGGCTCACTGAAAGCTCTGCCTCCCCATTTCATGCCATTCTCCTGCCTCAGCCTCCCGAGTAGATGGGACTACAGGCGCCCACCACCACGCCCAGGTAATTTTTTGTATTTTTAGTAGAGACGGGGTTTCACTGTGTTAGCCAGGATGTTCTCGATATCCTGACCTCGTGATCTGCCTGTCTTGGCCTCCCAAAGTGCTGGGATTACAGGCGTGAGCCACTGCACCTGGCTGACAGATCGAGTTTTAAATGTTAGCTTTTCACTTTTATCACTACGGTTTTCTTATGTGAGAAATAACAGTAACTGTCAAGGCTCTTGAAGACTTGGATGAGATGATACATGCGCTAGTATTCTCTTGCTACATGCAGTATATTGAATAGTGCCCCCTAAAAGATATGTCCAGGTATAAATTCCCAGAACTGTGAATATGATCTCATTTGCAAAAATGGTCTTTGCAGGTATAATGAAGAATCTTGAGGTCCTCCTGGATTACCAAAGTGGGCCCTAAATCCAGTGGCAGAAGACACAGACACAGAGAGGAGACCAGGTGAAGACAAAAGAAGAGGCTGGAGTGATGCAACCATCAGGTAAGGAAAACCAACAACTATCAGGAGCCGGAAGAGGCAAGAAACGGAATCTCTTCTACAGGATCTGGAGGAGTGTGGTTCTGTGAACACCTTGATTTCAGACTTCTGATCTGCAATTCTGTGCGATAAAATGCTGATGCTTTTTTTTTTTTTTTTTTTTTTTTTTTTGAGACGGAGTCTCGCTCTGTCGCCCAGGCTGGAGTGCAGTGGCGGGATCTCGGCTCACTGCAAGCTCCGCCTCCCGGGTTCACGCCATTCTCCTGCCTCAGCCTCCCAAGTAGCTGGGACTACAGGCGCCTGCCACTACGCCCGGCTAATTTTTTGTATTTTTAGTAGAGACGGGGTTTCACCGTTTTAGCCGGGATGGTCTCGATCTCCTGACCTTGTGATCCGCCCGCTTCGGCCTCCCAAAGTGCTGGGATTACAGGCGTGAGCCACCGCGCCCGGCCAGATGCTTAAAATCACTTTTGGCTGGGTGCTGTAGCTCACGCCTGTAATCCCAGCACTCTGGCAGGCCAAGGCAGGCAGATCACGAGGTCAAGAGATCGAGACCATCCTGGCCAACATGGTGAGACCCCGTCTCTACTAAAAATACAAAAATTAGCTGGGCATGGTGGCCCGCGCCTGTAATCCCAGCTACTCGGGAGGCTGAGGCAGGATAAACTCTTGAACCCGGGAGGCAGAGATTGCAGTGAGCCGAGATCGTGCCATTGCACTCCAGCCTGGCGACAGAGCAAGACGCCGTCTCAAAAAAAAAAAAAAACAATTGGGATTCAAATGACACTCAGACATCTCTCATAGTGACAAGGAAATAGGACTAATAAAGGACTTTTTATGTGGTCACTTTGAATCAGATGTGACAATGACAGATTAGTAAATATAAACTGTGTGTGTTTCCCCATCCTCCTTCAAATTGCTTGGCTTAAAATTCAAATGTTAGTTCCTTGTGAAACTCTCCCTCCTACTGGCATGAGAGAATTCATGTATTTCTGAAAGTAAACAATTTCCTTCTTTCTGCAGACACAGACAAATAGAACACAAATCTTCACTGCAGGATTAAATGCTATGACGAAATCTAGTTGGGTTTGGGACAAAGAACAGAAGGATTACTTAAATGGTAGAATCAGTGTGGTGGGCTCCTGGCAAAGATGGGAACAGGGACAGAAGTAGAGACATTGGTTTTAAGCAAATGACTAAGCATGGATAACAGAGGCAGAAGTCTTAGGGAAAAATAAGTATTTTTGTAGAGGACTTCTGTTATTAAAGCAAAGTGTTGACTTCAAAATTTGACATTGCCATCAGGCATGAGAAGCAGAAGACTTTTGCTGGGTCGAATATTGTTGTTCTGTGTACGGCACAGCAAGGGAACTTCCTGGATGTTCTAGGGAAGGGATGGGCAATCTTTGACCCTAAAGAGCCAGGTGGTAAAGAGCTTATGGGCTATATGGTCTGACTTTACATTATAGCATGAAAGCATTGATAGACAATATGTAAACAAATGAGTCTGAGACAGTTCCAAACTTTATTTATTGGACACTGAAATCTGGGTTTCATATAGTTTCCACATGTCTTGATACATATTTTTTGTCAACCATTTAAAAATGTAATAACCATTCTTAGATTGAAAGTTGTACCAGAACAGGCAGTGAGATATATGTGGCCCTTTCACAGTTTGCCAAGCCCTGTTATACAGAGTGCAGCTTCTGTTCCTACAAGGAAAGGAGCAAGCTTTTATGTCTAGATATTCTTCTGCAAGCAGCAACAAGCAGGCAGAGTGGAGAGTTATATGGGGAAGAGAAGTTTCCTTGGGCAAAGCCGTGTGATCTCTGCAGAATTCTCAGCTCCTGCTGGCCCAATAATCATGGGCCTGAGCTTGACTAAAAAATATTATTTTTTGCTTCATGAATCAACATTTAATGATAATGTTTCTACTTGATGTTTCAGTGACAAAAGTGCAAATTGTGCGTGAAATTGATGTACATTATTCCATAATGAAGTAATCTGAATAGAAAAACACATTAGGTATTTATATTGACAACAAGCCATTTAAAACTATTAGGACATTTTGAAAAGGAGAACCATGTCCCTGAAAACATGAATGACTGGAAATTGGAGCTATTTAGTTGTGACCAGGGAGATGGAGCATTCTGTTCCAGCACTGCCCAGTTGCCTTTATGGTCATAGATTTTAAAATGATGAAAGACAGTTTGTATCTCTTGTTCTGTGACATCATTTTCTCAATGATAATAAATAGTGCATTCCTCTATAACTTCATTTACAACCTTCACCACACTTTGGGGCTCTGGAAATATGCTGATAAACAAATGGTTATGAATTTGAATGTGAATTTGTGAAATACTCTGTGGATTTAAGTATCTTATTATTCAGATCTTGTGGGTACTCCACAAATTATTAAGCTTAAGTTATGCCATGTCAATTCTGAAGTATCTGCCTTCCACCTTCTTTTAAAACTTTGCATTTTATACTCACCGATTCCATATCAGTTTCCACAAAAGTACATCCTCTTGTCAATAAGCTTTTGTAGGTTTAAGATTAAATGTCAATGTAAGTGGCACTACTCTGTACAGATAATAGATTTTTAGAGCTTAAGGTGGCCTCAGAGATGACCTAACCCAACTTCCTGATTTTACACCTGAAGGAAATGACAGCGAAGTGACTTTGTGATTCATTAGTTTCACCATTGGCCATAGGTGGTTTCTATTTCACCCTATACTGAAACTTGGCCCTCCACTATACAGTCTGAAATACTTGGTCAGCGGTTTGTAAGAGAGACAAATTATTCTCAGCGTCTCTTCTGTAGCCTCTATTTTTCTCATAAATATATCTGAAAGATCAGGAAATCACAAGCGGGTTGGATTAGGAACTTTCTTTTCACTTAGCCCATGGCTTTGGATCTTGATGCTAGAAACTATTCCATTAATATTGTTACTTGTTAAAAAAAAATTAAATTCGATTTTTAGATTTGGAGGTACATGTATGTGTTTATTCCATAGGTATATTGCATACTGGTGGGGATTGGGATGTTACCTTTACTAAGAGAGTAAATTGGGCCTGGCGCAGTGGCTCATGCCTGTAATCCCAACACTTTGGGAGGCCGAGGTGGGAGGATCACGAGGTCAGGAGATGGAGACCATCCTGGCTAACACGGTGAAACCCCATCTCTACTAAAAATACAAAAATTAGCCTGGCGTGGTGGCAGGTGCCTGTAGTCCCAGCTACTCGGGATGCTGAGGTAGGAAAATGGTGTGAACCTGGGAGGCGGAGCTTGCAGTGAGCTGAGATCGTGCCACTGCGCTCCAGCCTGGGTGACAGAGCGAGACTCCGTCTCAAACAAACAAACAAACAAACAAATAAACAAACAAAAAGACTAGTGATGGGGTAGAGGTCAATGGGTACAGGAAGCAACAGTTAGTATAAAGGCATCTAGTTGGGGCAACTGTGTCACACAGAGAATGGTCAATATTTGTCTTTGGGCAGGCAGCAAAACTGTGCGAAACTGCAGAACTAATCCCTGGATTTGGGGCAGGATCCAACTTTTGGGAAGAACTCTAGCAAGACATATCCACATCCTCAGCTGGGGTTTAGAGGGCTAGGAATGAGAATTTTCTAGAACTCATTCTAGGGGAGAGGAACCTAGAGAGAAGCCCAGAAACCTTGTAATGGAAAAAAGGCAATGAGAAAGGGGAGGAAAAGAAGCTGAGTAATTAAACATTTAAGCTCATATTTCCTCTGTGTGGCCTTAGGGAGTGAGTTCTCAATGCAGTCACTCAAACAGATATGCAGAGGTAGCAAAGGCAGGGTTGAGGGCAGTGGCCTGGTCTGCCCCTGTCACTCCAATGTAGATTATCCTTAATCATTGTGTATGAGCCTTGTCTGTTTTTTGCATGGTCTGTTGAGTCTAGCAATGCTTACTTTCTCTGCAGAGATTTTCAATTTGGAAAGTTTTGTGATTCTGTGAAAACCAATTCTTCATGAAATCTGGAGACAACATTTTTTAACTGCTTTTATTGCAGAGGAAAGAATAGACAATAGCATTCCATATCATAAATTCCTATTACTAATATGGTAGAGCTATAGAAAATGAAATGGCCTTTTATGTATTTAAGTTTGCACTCATAGGGTTATCAGAGTATCAGCCAATGGGTTTTGCTTCAGCAATTCTTGTGTCGGCATTTGATTATTAGCACTAGTGCTATGTATAAATACCTAAATCATAAAAAGTATTTAAAAAATATAACGTTTCCTTAAAACTCATTGAAAAACCCAGTCTCGGAGGTGGAAGTGATCTGGTCCTTTCTTGACTCACCTTTGCTCCCAGTAGATGAGCCTGCTTACCAGAGTGCTTTCTTTTGCTTGGTCTCAGTTCTGCTTTTGGGCAATTCCACAAGATCATAAGCAGGATCTTGGGTCAGCTTCATGCCCATCTTGCTGCTCTTTTTCCTGTTAACCAGGATGCCCATATGTGGATCTGGGTGAAGCTTCACATGCCTAACAATGGCATATCCTTATCGGTGCAATGATTATATTTACATCCCCAAGGTGGGAACTCAATAATTCCACTCTATAGGATCTAAGCTGATCTAATTTCTGGGAGTGCTGCTTGCTGAGATGTAGTTACTTTGGGTGGGTTTTTGAACCCTGACTCATGTATAACTCTGGGCCTTTCTGACCTGTCATCCGAGGTTCCTTTCTGAATACCTGAAACCTACATTCTATGTTTTGATCTCTAGTGCTATGCAAATTATGGGTGTGAAGCTTGATCTGCACAACCTATTTTCTTCACCTGTTTTCTACTTCTTTGCATTCTGTCATGAACGTTAAACTTCTCTTACTTGTTATAAGAGTAAGAAGCCTCTTCTAGGATCTGATTCAGTCTTAGCGTACTTACTGCTCCCAAATCATTTCCTAGCCTCTATACAGATGCCAGTGTCTTGATTCCTTCACCCCTCCTGCCTTTTCTCTGGTTCTCTGGGTCCCTTAACAATCTCATCTCAATTATCTTGCTAACCAATACCTTTTCAATACCTCTTGAATATCTAAAACTATCCTCATTCTTTCCTATCTCAATCCAAGACTAAATGTCAATGCCAGAAGCCTTCTACATTAAAATAAAAACAAGAACCAAACCAAACCGAACTATACATACTTAAGAAACATTTAGAAGCACCCTACCATCATTGGATTAGTGAAAAAACAGGGTCGTATACCTAGATAGCCTTATATGCATTTATGTCACAGCCTGACCAGGTTTATTTTGATAGATTGCTGTCTACCTTAAAAGGAAATACTTTCTGCAGAGCTCCATGTACAACATGAAAAACTACCTTTAGTTGTATTCATAAATAATATTTGAAGTAGAAAACAGTTTGCCTTACCAGAACCCTTCTTTACTTTGAAATGACTGATAAAATTTCCTTAAAATATTTCAATGATATGAAAAATATGTTAGGACATTTTATTATTTATTGCTTTCGATATAACATGAACACAATGCCTGCAACTGGTTTTCAGAGGATTTGAGTTTTGATCATTTATCTTTTGATTTATTGGTTGGAAACATTTCCCTCACTGAGAGGCTTCTTTCATAAATTGTGGGATATCACACAGTTTGTAAAATAACCTGGAAAAAGAAAAGAAAGTAATAATTTTAAAAATCCATTTGATAATTTTAGCTGGATTTTGTCTTCTGATGTAGGCTTTCTTAAGCCTGTTGAGAGAGGCTTCTTTCAAAACTATTTTCTTTTTAATAAGAAGGAAAATTAACATAAACTTTATTTTTTAAATAAATTTTTAATTTAAGGCCCAGCATATGGACTGTCTTGGTTAATATGCCATCTGTGTTTTAAAAGAATGGTATGCTACTGTTGGGGTATTCTTTGAATGTCAAATTATGGTTATTTTTCTATATGATTACTAATTTTCTATGTACTTGTTCTATCAATTACTGAGAAATAAGTTTTTGAAATCTTCAATTATAATTACAAATTTGTACTCCATAAAATCTGTAGTTTTTTATTTATTTTTAAGTTCTATTTTTAGGTGCGCTCACATTTAGGGTTTTTATGCCTTCTTTATGAACTCCTTTATCATTATGATTCTTTTATCTTTATCCTTGTTAATATATCTTCATTTAAAGTCTACTTTATCTAGTATTAATGTAACCACATCAGCTTTATGATTAATATTTGCCTGGCACATATTTTTCCACAAACTTACTTTCAACATGTCTATATATTTTTTAATATGTCTTTATATTTGTAGCCTGCCTGCCTTCTTCCCTTCTTTCTCACCTCCCCTTCCCTCCCCTCCCCTCCCTCCCTGCCTCCCTCAGTTCTGCTTTTGGGCAATTCCACAAGATCATGAGCAGGATCTTGGGTCAGCTTCATGCCCATCTTGCTGCTCTTTTGCCTGTTAACAAGGATGCCCTATGTGGATCTGGGTGAAGGTTGCATTTACAACCTTCACCACACTTTGGGGCTCTGGAAATATGCTGGAAATATCCCTCCCTCCCTCCCTCCCTCCCTCCCTCCCTTCCCTCCTTCCTTCCTTCCCTCCTTCCTTCCTTCCTTCCTTCCTTCCTTCCTTCCTTCCTTCCTTCCTTCCTTCCTTCCTTCCTTCCTTCGGACAGTATATAGTTGGGTCTTATATTTTATACAGTCTGACATGTCTACCTTTTAATTGGAATGTTTGGACTATTTATATTTTAGGAAAACATTTATTTAAGATTGGAGGATTGTAGTTACTTCTTCCTGAAATGTTTGATGATATTTACCAGTGAATTTCAGTTTCATTGATTTTTCTCTTTTGTTTGTCCACTTTATATTTCATTGATTTCCACATTTATTTTTTTATTTTCTGCTTTCTACTTACTTTGGGTTTATTTTGCTCTTATTTTACTAGCTGCTTTTTTTAAATTTTATTATTATTATACTTTAAGTTTTTGGGTACATGTGCACAACATGCAGGTTTCTTACATATGTATACATGTGCCATATTGGTGTGCTGCACCCATTAACTTGTCATTTAGCATTAGCTATATCTCCTAATGCTATCCCTCCCCCCTCTCCCCACCCCATTATTTTACTAGTTTCTTAAAATGAACCTGGATTATTAATTTTAACTTTGCTTTTTCTCTAATGTAAGCATCTCAAGATATATATTTTCCTTTAAGGATTGCTTTAGTTGTAACACACAAAGTTTATTTTAAAAATTAATTTATATTTTATGATATTTTTCTTTATATTAAAATTAACATATAATTGTACATATTTATAGGGTACATAGTGGTGTTTTGATATATATATATAATGTATAGCAATCAGATCAGGGTAATTGGCATATTCATTATCTCAATTATTTATGGTTTCTTCATGTTGGGAATATGCAATATCTTCCTTCTAGCTATTTGAATTTATGAATTATTAACTTTGGTCATTCTACAGTGCTATAGAACACTATAACTTATTCTTTCTATCTAGCTGTAATTTTGTATCCTCTAACAAATCTCTCCCTATAACCCCCTTATTTCTACTCTTCCCAGCCTCTGGTATCTTCTGTTCTACTTTTTACTTCTATGAGATGAACATTTTTTAGCTTTCACATATGAGTGAGAATATGCGGTGTTTCACTTTCTGTGCCTGGCTCATTTCACTGAACATAATGTCCTCCAGTTTCAACCATGTTCTGTGAATGACAGGATTTATTTTTTTTTAATGTCCAAATAGTATTCCATTGTGTGTATATACCACATTTTAAAAACTCATTCATCTGTTGTTAGACACCTAAGTTGATTTCACATATTGGCTATTGTGAACAGTGCTGCAACAAACATGGGAATGCAGATGTGTCATCTAGATACTGATTTTCCTATTCTTTGGATAAATGGCCAGCAGTGGTACTGCTGGATCTTATGGAAGTTCTGTTGACAGTATTTTGATGAGCCTCTGTACTATTCTCCATTGTAACCATACTACTTTACATTCCTACCAAGAGTGTATGAGTTCCCTTTTCAGCATTTGTTATTTTTTGTCTTTTTGATAATAGCCATCCTAACTGGGGTGAGATGATACCTTGTTGTGGTTTTGATTTGCATTTCCCTGGTGATTAATGATATTGAGCATTTTTTTCATATATTTGTTGGCTATTTGTATGTCTTTTTTTTGGAGAAATGTCTATTCATATTATTTACCCATTTAAAAATCAGATTGTTTTTTGCTGTTGAGATGTTTGAATTTCTTATATATTCTGGATATTAATCACCTATTTGATGGAGAGTTTGCAAATATTTTCTCCCATTCTGTAGGTTGCCTCTTCACTCTGATTGTTTCTTTTGTTGTGCAAAAGCTTTTTAGTTTGATATAATCTCATTTGTTTGTTGTTACTTTTGTTGCCTGTGACTTTGTGGTCTTCTTTATAAAGTCTTTTCTCAGACCAATGTCCTGAAGCATTTCCCCTATGTTTTCTTCTGGTAGTTTATAGTATGGGGTCTTAAGTTCAGGTCTTTGATCCATTTTGAGTTGATTTTTCTATAGGGAAAGAGGTGGGGGGTCTAGTTTCATTCTTTTGCATGTATATATTTAGTTTTTTCAGAACCATTTATTGAAGAGACTGTCCTTTCCCCATTGTGTGTTCTGGATTCTTTTGGCAAAAATCAGTTGGCTATAGTTATAGGGACTAATTTCTGGCCACCCACGAAGTTTAATTTGTTGTATTTTCATTATTCAGGTAAAAATATTTCTATTTGCTTTGGTAATGTTTTCCTTTTACTCATGTTTTACTTAGAATTATGTTGTTTAATTTTCAAATATTTGGGGATATTACAGATATAATTTTGTTACTGATTTCTAATATAATTCTATTTTAGTTAGAAAATGTATTCTGTATGTTTTCAATCATTTGAAATTAAGGTATGTTTTCTGACCCAACATATGGTCTATCTTGTGCACATCAAAAGAATGCAATTGCTTTGAGTAGTGGTCTCTATAATTTCAATTAATTTCATTTAGTATTTTAAAATTGTTTAACAGTGCATTTCACATCATCAAGATCCTTTGATTTTTTTAAAACATTGTGATATGCTCCTCTTTGTTTTTACTGTTATTCCTTTTCTTGAAGCACTTTTTGTCTAATTTTTAAATATAATCAGTCTGTTTATAAAAAGATGTCCATCTGCAAGTTAGAAAGAGAGCCCTCCCCAGAGACTGAGTTGGCCAGCACATTTTTCTTGGACTTTCCAGACTCCAGAATTGTGAGAAATAAATGTCTGTTATCTTAGTTACCCAGTGTATGGTATCTATAATAGCAGCCTTAAGTGACTAAGACGTACCTCTTTGTGTACAACGTAAAACTCTTTGATATGGTGTACCTGTGTCTCCACCCAAATCTCTTCTGGAACTGTAGTTCCCATAATCCCACTGTGTTGTGAGAGCGACCCAGTGGGAGGTAATTGAATCATGGGTGGTTACATCCATGCTGTTCTTGTGATAGTGAGTGAGTTCTCATGAGACCTGATAGTTTTATAAGTGGTATCCCTCTATCCCCGGCCTTTGCTCTGCATTTCTCCTTGCTGCCACCATGTGAAGAAGGACATGTTTGCTTCCCCTTCTGCCATGATTGTGAGTTTCCTGAGGCCTCACCAGCCATGCTGAACTGTGAGTCAATTAAGCCTCTTTCCTTTATGAATTACACAGTCTCGGGTATGTCTTTATTAGCAGCATGAGAACAGACTAATACACCCTTACACTGCAGTGATTCCATTTACTTCTTTCCTATAATTGCTCCTGTAGTTGTCACATATTTACTTCTACGTATGTTTAAAACCCACAATTCACTGCCATTATTTTTGCTTTAAACAGACTTTCAAACAAATTTTAAAAATGAGAAAAGATTTTTAAAATATTTTCTCATATATTCACCATTTTCAGTGCTCTTTATTCTACCCACTTTTTTTTTTTTTAATACCAGTTAATAAGTATTTTAGGCTTTGCGGGCAATACAATCTGTGTCATAATGACTCATCTACGCTCATGTGAGTAAAATAAGCCATAGATAATTTATAAACAATTGAGCATGGCTGAGTTCCAATCAAACTTTATTTGTAAATACCAAACTTTAAATTTCATATATTTTTACTAAACTTTGAAATTTACATAATTTTCAAAATATTATTCTTTTGATTTTTCTAATTATTTCAATATGTTAAAACTATCTTACCTTATGGACCACATAAAAGATGGCTGGATTTGGCTTATAGTTTATAATTTGCTAACTTCTGCTATAGATCCATGTTTATTTGTGGTACTATTAAGCCTCAACTTAAAGGCTTAATAGTAATATTCTGCAATATTCTTTAGTAATCTGTAATATTCTTTAGTGCGGATTTACTAATGACACTTTTTTGGTTGTTATTTGTCTGAAAATCAACTTATTTCTCCCTCAATTTTGAACAATATTTTCATGGGCTATAGGATTCTAGGTTGACAGGTTTTTGTTTTTCAGCACTTAAAAGATGTTGTTCTGTTGTTTCCTGGTTAGTCATATCTCTATGCTCTGTTTCCTCTGCCACAAAGTGAAGTCTTTGGTTTCCACAGCTGCATCTTGGAAAGGTAGAATACTTTTTGCAAATGCAAAAATCACCTCCTATGTTTCTCTTCTCTTATGAGCAGCCTACATTGCCTATTTTCTAGTATCTAAAAACAGTTACTTTACATAGTTTGTTTAGTTATCTATTTATTTTTACCATGAGAATACATCCTATACCTGTGATTTTTGTCATGGACAGATCCAGAAATCTTTTGTATATGTTTAAAATAGAAGTGGTGATTAGCTTACATTGTATTCATACAAAATCATATTTGAATCCCAAGAAATGTTTAATATTTAAATTTCACTTTGTCTTTTCAAAACCTTTAAAAATATAAGTCCTAGACCATTGGATTATGAGGCTGTAGCAAAGGGTTACCTTAGGCCATGAAACTTGAGTGTTATAACATCAACCAATCAACATTTATTGAGCATCACCTATGTACCAGATGCTGGTGGATCTCAGAATTGTTGCTCTTGCAAGTTCAATATTATATAATAAATCTTGATATTCTAATACCACTTTTTGAAGAAAAGTTGAATAATGTCACAAAAACAAACAAGATTCCATAATTCTAAAGCATTGGGAGCTGGGCTCTCTGCAAAAAATGAATTAAATAATTACTGAGAATTACTGAGAAAAAAATAATTACTGAGAATTAAATAATTACTGAGAATTTTAGTCCTAACTCTGTTGGAATGATACTACGAAGTTCACATAATCCTTTTAAGCCTTACTTTCCTTTTCCATAGCATGAAGCTGTTATGCTCAATGATCTTTAAAGTTCCCTTTCATATCTAAAATTTGTGATTTTCTGTATGTCCTTGTGTGACTTGTACTTTCTTCTGCCTTATTCAATTAGGACATAAATAGAAAAGCATAATATTTTTGAGATTCTGCATTCTGAAGGCGGTCTTGATTATTTAAAATAGGAAATGTTAGAGTGCATTTAAGTTGCAAAAAAAGATTTTCTAAACATAATAGCTAGTTACTTACATATATGCTTTTATGTGTCTTCTGAGTCATATCTACTCTCAATAGTTGCTGACAAAACAAGATTTTACTGCTGAAAGAGCAGCAGATCTAATATTGCTGCAAAAGAGCAGGCTGAATTTTATTTTGCCTTGGGTCATCGATAAAATTCTAGTCATTCTCTGATCCTACACTCTTTATTGTTCCCCATGACACATCATAGGTAAAAGAAAGCTTTGCTTTTGCAGGAATTGCAAAACTTTAAATGAAGAACTGGAAAACACCTAAAATGTCCCATGTAAGTCTTAGAGAGCTTGGAAAACATTCTCCTGGACTTAGGGGCACATGCAAATGGGTGTGTCTTTGTTGGGTAATGCTGACAGCTGTAACATATAGACCTACATATAAAATGGCTTGCAGTAATAGGAATTTGTTTCTTGTGCTTGTAGCTCTCTCTGGCAGGTGAGCATGTCACCAGCGAGGTTTCCTTCTTGTGGTCATTCAGGAATGCCCATCGATGGAGGCTCTGCCATTATTCAGGGCCTTCAGCAGATCAGGACTGTGCCAATATAACACCTTGTTTCCATGGCTGCTGCAGATATATCCATCCCACTGAATTAGAAGGGGAAAAGAGCATGGATAAATTTTTGAGATATTTTTATGGGCCTGTCTTTAACCCTGTTGACTTCATCTATCTGAAAGCAAAATGGAGACATCTTAGAACCAGGAAAAAAGCCAAGTCTGTATGACTCCAGAACTCATGTTCTTAGCTACTTTTTTTACCTTTTTTTGTGTGATCTTGAAGTATTTGTTCAACTCTGGAACTCTACAAAATAATCTCTTATTATAACTCAATCTTGAAATGAACTTGCACTGATGGAGAGCAATAAAATTTTATTTGTATGTTTCCTATAATTTTCCTGATTTTTCCACAGAGACCCCATTTCTGTCTTTCCACTCAGCTCTAGAAACTGGATGTGAGAGCAGAGTTCCTCATTTTGCTGACTTGGAGATCTATGCTTGCCCTGGGAAATGAAAGGAACATGGATGGGCACGCAATCCAATATCAGCAGCTGCTTCTTTCTTGGGGCCGCAAGTTTCATATATGTCAAGGAAGATGGGTTTTAAAACTCTCTAAGTTAATCCATAGCCCTTTTATATGAAAGGGGTCTTTCACCTCTTTTTCTTCTGGATCAAAGAGGCTGAAAAGATTTCTTTATTTGCAATAGTATTTACTAGCCAATAACCTTAAGTTTTATGTAAAAATTCACTTCGCACAGGTGTCTGCTTTAAGGTAAAAAAAATCTCAATAATTGTTAGTGTTCAATTTTTAAGTCCCCAGAAGTATTTCTGTATTCTTCAATGCATGCAACTCAATTTCCAGATGTGCCCCTTGAGGCTCTTCTGCTTTTTGTTATTTTTCTGGGCAGCCATCTCATAAGTCTCATCAACAGAACACATAATTTCAACTGTCCAGAGACTATACTACATTTATATGGTATTGCTAAGATGAAAGACACTTTCCATCTGTCAAAAAATTGAGGCAGACTTGCCAAATGTCTTGCTTCTTTTAAAAACATATTCATCTGATATTGTTTGGATATTTGTCCTCTCAAAATATCATGTTGAAATTTGATTCCCAATGTTGGAAGTTGGGGGTCTAATGGAAGGAGTTTGGGTTATGGGGGTGGATCCGTCATGAATGTCTTGGTGCCATCCTTGTGGTAATGAGTAAGTTCTTGCTATATTAGTTCCCTAGAAAAATGATTGTTAAAAAGGGTCTAGAACTACCCACCCCCTGCTTCTGCTGTCTCATCGTGTGACTTCTGAACATGCCAGCTCCCCTTTGCCTTCCACCAGGAATGGCAGCAGTCTGAAATCCTTCCCGGAAGCAGCTGCCGGTACTGTGCTTCTTGCACAGCCTGCAGAACTGTAAAGCAAATAAACTCCTTTTCTTTATAAATTACCCAGCCTCAGATATAGATATAGATATAGATATATATATATATATATATACACACACATATATATATATATATATACACACACACACACATATATATATATATATATACACATATATATATATATGTATATATTTTGAGATGAAGTCGCACTCTGTCATCCAGGCTGCAGTGCAATGGTGCAATCTCAGCTCACTGCCACCTCTGCCTCCTGGGTTCAAGCAATCCTCCTGCCTCAGCCTCCTGAGTAGCTGGGATTACAGGTGCCCACCACCACGCCCAGCTACTTTTTTGTATTTTTAGTAGAGATGGGGCTTCATCATGTTCGCCAGGCTAGTCTTGAACTCCTGACCTCAAGTGATCCGCCTGCCGCGGCCTCCCAAACTGCTGGGATTACAGGTGTGAGCCACCGCACCCTGCCTAGATATTTCTTCATAGCAACACGAATGGACTAAGACAGAAAATTGGTCCTGAGGAGTAGAGTGCGGCTATAATCCCAGCACTTTGGGAGGCCAAGGCAACTGAATTGCTTGAGCCCAGGAGTTCAAGACCAGCCTGGGCAACATGGTGAAACCCTGTCTCCACCAGAAAAACAAAAATTAGCTGGGCGTGGTGGTGCATGTGCCTGTAGTCCCATCTGCTCAGGAGGCTGAGGTGGGAGGATTGCTTGAGCCTAGGTCCGAAGGTCAAGGCTGTAGTAAGCCATGATTGCACCACTGCACTCCAGCCTGGGCAACAGAGTGAGACTCTGCTTCAAAACAAACAAACAAACAAAACAACAACAACAACAACAAAAACTCATTAGTTTTGTTTGTGATTAATCATATTTATTCATTTGTATATGTTGAATCAACCTTGTATTCCAGGGATAAAGCCTACTTGATTGTGATGGATAAGCTTTTTTTTTTTTTTTTTTTTTTTTTGAGATGGAGTCTCACTCTGTCACCAGGCTGGAGTGTAGTGGCATGATCTCAGCTCACTGCAACCCCTGCCTCCCAGGTTGAAGCAATTTTCCTGTCTCAGCCTCCTAACTGGGACTACAGGTGCATGCCACCACACTCAGCTAATTTTTGTATTTTTAGTACAGACGGGGTTTCACCATGTTGGCCAGAATGGTCTCAATCTCTTTACCTTGTGATAAGCCTGCCTCAGCCTCCCAGAGTGTTAGGATTACAGGTGTGATCCACTGCACCTGGCCTAGATAAGCTTTTTGATGTGCTGCTGGATTTCCTTAAGACGGAAATACCGTTTGACCCAGCAATCCCATTATTGGGTATATATTCAAAGGAATAGAAATTGTTCCATTATGAAGACACACGCACTCATATATTCATTGCAGCACTATTCACACTAGCAAAGACATGGAATCAACCTAAGTGCCCATTTATGATAGACTGGATAAAGAAAATGTGGTACATATACCCCATGGAATACTATGCAGCCATAAAAAAGAACTAGATCCTGTTCTTTGGAGGGACATGGATGGAGCGGGAAGCAAACTAATGCAGGAACAGAAAACCAAATACCACATGTTCTCACTTATAACTGAGAGCTAAATGATGAGAACACATGGACACATAGAGGGGAACAGTAGACACTGGGGCCTGTCAGAGGGTGGAGGGTGGGAGAGAACAGAGAGGATCAGGAAAAATAACTAATGGGTACTAGGCTTAATACCTGGGTGATGAAATAATCTGTACAACAAATTCCCATGACACAAGTTTACCTCTGTAACAAATCTGCATATGTACCCCTGAACTTAAAATAAAAGTTAAAAAAAACACATCCTTTCTCCTGATTCTGCACACATATGCATACAAGTGCACACGTGTAAACACCCTATGCACACACACTTTGTAATTGAGCAAATATTTCTCTATAAGGCTTATCATTTATGATACCCACAGAGTTTCAGTAAAAGTTAATGCCTATGATAATAATCTCATGGAGATGAGCTCCATTTTACATCATTAGCATAGGAATATCAACAGAAAAATCCTGTCTTTGTACAGGTGTACTTGTTATCCAGCAGTGTGCTATGCCACAATTTATTCCTTCTGAGGACAATATATAAGGCTCAGGGAGTTGTATACAGCCACTAAATTTTACTTAGATGAATCCAAGGGGCCCTGCTACTTAACATCTTTGTAAACCAGTGTGAGTTCCTAATGACTCTGAGCTTTAATTGCTACTTTACAAAATTGGGAGAATAGGATTAAATAACATCTAGGTGCTTTTGCAGACTCTGAAATCTCTGATTTTAGGATCTGTAAAATCAGATCAGATTAGACCAACCATAGAGTTGGTCTGATTGTAAACTCATGTCAATGCCCTTGAAATTAGGTAACAGATTACGTCCAAAACAACCCACTGCAAGAATAAATTAACAGAACTAGAAATAATTTCTAGCAATCTGAGTGAATTTTTAAAACTGCAATAAGAAGATGACTGTGATTGTATGAGATCTGAAAAAGTTTGTAGTCTTTCAAGGAAAAAATATATAAAAAGTGAAATGTCATGCTTATTAGTGTATGATTAATACAAATAAGGTAGTGCTTAGAGCACCTCTGTCCAATAGAATATCTGCAATGGAAATAAGGAAATGTTGTATAACTGCACCATCCAGTATGGCAGCAGTAGCCAGTATGTGGTCATTAAGAACTTGCAATGTGACTAGTGGGACAAAAGAACTGAGAGTTTTTAATGTTATTTGTTTACTAAAATAGCCACATGTGGGTGGTGGCTACCTTTCTAGAGAGCACAGTTGTGGAGAATGTGGTATGTTCATTGAATTATAAGCTTCTTTAGGGCAGGAAATCTGTCTTATTTATCTTCGTATGCACTTAGGAAAATCAACAGAGGACATATAGTAGTAGCTCAAGAAATAATTGTTGTGACAATAAAGAACATTCCTTGAAAAAAATGATCCGTGCTCAAGTATATTTGGAAAACACTACCTCCTGTATCACTTTTTTGGAGATTCATAATGCATATTAACATATATGCTTTGAGATATCATCTAACAAATAGAACTACT
This sequence comes from Homo sapiens, assembly GCF_000001405.40. NCBI lineage: Eukaryota > Metazoa > Chordata > Mammalia > Primates > Hominidae > Homo > Homo sapiens. Next base: position 33,943,545 of record NC_000002.12, read on the forward strand.
TTAAGTCTACATCTTTCAAGCTTATTTCATTACAAACTCCTTTGTGTATGTGTGTGTGTTTGTATAAAAGAGAGGAAGAGAGAAAAGAAGGAAGTGGGGAGACAGATAGGGAGACACAGGGAGAGAAAACATCCCATAGAATACAAGTCTGTAGAACACAGTATGGAAAACAGCTTATTTATTGGGAGACTGGTTTGGTTGGTAGATGACATGACCACCTATTAGATGTATGAGCTCATTCCTGTCAGGAGCCTGCATTCTGCTCTCAAATTTAATACAGATGAAAAATATTGATGGAATGAAGGGCTTTGGAGCAGAAACCAGAGGGTAAGCATCCAGGTAACTTGGATGTATGATACTTAAAGACTGAGAACCCTCTGTGGAATTGAGAAAGGAGGCTTGTAATCTGGGACTCCACATGAGGACTCTTCATGAGGTGAGTGATTCTCCATTGAGAAATACTCACTGTTTCTGGATATTGAATGCAATGTTTGTCGATATTTTTAAAAGTCTTTTAGGGATCATTTATTTAGAAGTCCTCTGTGTTTCTTTTTGGAAGGACATCAACTTTGAATCTGAATTTGCTGTTTAAGGTACTAGGACATCCCCCATAAAGACTTTTGAAATTTACATTAAAACAAAATTTAAAAAAGCTTCAAGCCTTTACCCCTAGGTTATCCATGATTGAAATTTTGGTTGGAGCTGAATAACGTTTAACGAGAAATTAGAAATGGTTAACGTCTAATTCAAGGAGCAAGAAGAAAAAGATCAACGCTTCTCATTTATCTAGCTTTGTGTCTTCTTGCAAGTCAATGCATAGAAGTATGAGTGAGAAGTGGAGCTGTTGGAAACTACCTAGTATAACCCATTTTTTTTTTCCCAGAGAGTGAAAATACTCAGTTACCTCCTGGTTTATGAGGCAATGAAGTATTCCAGCACATAAATATTGACGCTGAGACCCATGGGATGTAGGAGTGCTGAGCACATTTGCAAGACATAAAGACCGAAGGTAAATGAAGTTACATCTCTTCCTATAAAATGCAATCTGTCCCTCAATGGATTTTACCATCCTGTTGTTTTTATTTCCTCCGTCTTTATAATTGGAGACATTCTGCCGGCCTGTTGAAAACACCACTAGTATTTCTTTCTGAAAGTTAGCCAACCTACTAATTCTCCTTAAAATTCTGATTAGGTGTTTGCAGCTAAAATGAACACATCAGAGAAATGACAGAATTTTTGAGCGAAAAACTGAGAACAAGAAAATGACTAAATAAAGGCATTTAAAAAATAATCTGTAGGAAGAGTATTCTGAAATGAAATACATTTTTTTAAAATGGAAAATATTGTGTTGCTTTTTACTTGCCTTGGAGCAGGAATAATCATAATTTTGCATATTGAATACAGCTGCTCTAACATTTACTTAGTTTTTATTCAGATGGATTGGGGCGGGGGAGAGATATCATATTAAATATTCTGTTATAATTTTCTTTTCTTTTCTTTTTTGAGATGGAGTCTCGCTCTGTCGCCCAGGCTGGAGTGTAGTGGCACAATCTTGGCTCACTGCAAGCCCTGCCTCCCGGGTTCACGCCATTCTCCTGCCTCAGCCTTCCGAGTAGCCAGGAGTACAGGCGCTTGCCACTACGCCTGGCTAATTTTTTGTATTTTTTAGTAGAGACGGTGTTTCACCGTGTTAGTCAGGATGGACTCGATCTCCTGACCTCGTGATCTGCCCACCTCGGCCTCCCAAAGTGCTGCAATTACAGGCGTGAGCCACCACGCCTAGCTTATAATTTTCTTTAGAAAGTTGCATAAAACAAGTTCTGGACACAGTGCATTGAATCTCTAGGATTCCTGGGGTAAACATGCATTTCCTGATTAGACCCTGCTTTTCAACACAAGAATTCCCTGGTGAGCTATGAAGCTTTAGAAATCTTATTTTACAGCTGGGTGCGGTGGCTCATGCCTGTAATCCCAGCACTTTGGGAGTCCAAGGTGGGCAGATCACGAGGTCAGGAGATCGAGACCATCCTGGCTAACATAGTGAAACCCCGTCTCCACTAAAAAATAAAAAAAAAAATTAGATGGGTGTGGTGGTGGGCACCTGTAGTCCCAGCTACTCGGGAGGCTGAGGCAGGAGAATAGCATGAACCCAGGCAGTGGAGGTTGCAGTGAGCAGAGATTGTGCCACTGCACTCCAGCCTGGGCAACAGAGTAAGACTCTGTCTAAAAAAAAAATAAGAAAGAAATTTTATTTTACTTGCATGTATCTCTAATTCCCCAGCCAGATCATAATATCTTTAAGAAAAAAAATCATAATTAATATATTCAATTAAGAAACAATTATCTTTGTCCTGATCCATCCCAGGTGTTGTTCTAGGCATTGAATCCAGCAATGAACATTACAGTTGTAGTCTTTGCTCTGAGAGCTTACATTCTACTATTAGGGAAGAGACAGATAGTGAGCAAATGAAGGGCTGAGTATGTTTTAGATACTCATGAGTGCTAAAAATAAATGAAGAAGGTGATATGATAAGAACGAAGGTAGTCTAGGAAGGGGCTTCTGGGAATAGAACTTTAGAGCTGAGACCCAGGATTAGGAAAGATTCTGAGTCAGAGGAAGACAGATTGAAGTAAGAGAAATAATAAGCACAAAGGCCTTAGAGTGGGAGAGTGTGTGCTTTTGAGAACAGAAAGATGACCAGTCCAATGTGGCTGGAGTAGATAATCCACTCGGAGAGTTGATCCAGATCACTTAGGACCCCACAGACCAGGTAAACACTGCCATGACCTCACCGACCTTGTTCTACTTGGCGAAACCACAACTCTGACTTAAATTCCAACTCTGTTTACTCAACCATACCAGCTGACCTCAAATCAAATTCATGACATGGATCCTAAACTGGCTTTTAATGCTGCCTGGCAGTCATGGCAGTCATGCTACATTTCTTTAGTCCAATTATTCTCTCATTCCTTTAGATGAGGGTTTCACTTCTATCACCCAGGCTGGAGTGCAGTAACATGATCTCAGCTCACTGCAACCTCCGCCTCCTGGGCTCAAGCTGTTCTCTTGCTTCAGCCCCCCTATTGGCTGGAATTACAGGTGTGTGCCACCATGCCCAGCTAATTTTTGTATTTTTAGTAGCGACAATGTTTCGCCATGTTGTCCAGGCTGGTCTCAAACTCCTGGCCTCAAGTGATCCACCTGCCTCGGCCTCCCAAAGTGCTGGGATTACAGGCATGAGCCACCATGCCTGGCCCCTTTAGATACTATTTCATACCTTTCCTTCTCTTCTCAAACCTAGCACATCTTCATTCTGAGATTAAGACCTTGCTCTTACTGTACTGGGAAAATTGAACTGAAGCAATCAGAAGAGAACATCTCACACTCCATAACTACATCTACTCATCTACCAGCATCTACATGGACATATACTAATTTCTGCATTGTTACTGTGAATGTAGTGTCCACACTCTTATAGAAAACCACTCCTGGCTGGGTGCGGTGGCTCACGCCTGTAATCCCAGTAATCCCAACACTTTGGGAGGCCAAGGCGGGTGGATCACGAGGTCAGGAGATCGAGACCATCCTGGCTAACGTGGTGAAACCCCGTCTCTACTAAAAAATACAAAAAAAAATTAGCCGGGCATGATGGCGAGTGGCTGTAGTCCCAGCTATTTGGGAGGGTGAGGCAGGAGAATGGTGTGAACCCGGGAGGTGGAGCTTGCAGTGAGCCAAATTCACGCCACTGCACTCCAGCCTGGGCAACAGAGCAAGACTCTGTCTCAAAAAAAAAAAAAAAAAAAAAGAAGAAGAAAACCACTCTTTCCATATGTACACTAGATGTCAGCTTCTCTCACCTTCTCATGGACTCGCCTATAATTCTTTTTCTTTCTTAATTTATAATTATTTCCTCTTTACCAGATCATTTCCAATAGTATATAAAAATGCAGATATTTTTCTCACTTAAAAAAAGCAGGCTGAGCATGGTGGCTTACGCCTGTAATCCCAGCACCGTGGGAGGCCAAGGTGGGCAGATCACCTGAGGCCAGGAGTTCAAGACCAGCCTGGTCAATATGGTGAAACCCTGTCTCTACAAAAATACAAAAATCAGCTGGGCATGATGGCAGGTGCCTGTAATCCCAGCTACTTGGGAGGCTGAGGCAGGAGAATCGCTTGAACCCAGGAGGTGGAGGTTGCAGTGAGCCAAGATCGCGCCATTGCACTCCAGCCTGGGAGACAGAACAAGATTCTGTCTCAAAAAAAAAAAAAAAAAAAAAAAAGAAAAAGAAAGAAAAAGCAACAACACTTCCTTCACCCTATTTCTTTGGCTTACCTTTTCAACAAAATTCTAAAAGACTCATCTATCTGCCTTTGTTGACTCAATTCCTTTATTTGTAATCTAAAAACCTATACCAGTCAAGCTTTTGTGCTCACCACTCTACCGAACTACTCTTATGAAAGTTGCTAATGACCTACGCTGCTAAATCCAATGGCTATTTGTCAGCCTTCATGTTAATCCACAACATCTGGCAGTAGATTACTCCCTTATCTTTATTCCACTTTCTTTTCTTGGCTTATAGTGTACAAGAATCTTGTTTTTTTCTCTCACCTTATTGATAACTCTTTTTAGTTTTGTTTGCTGAGCCATCCTTTTCTGATTTTTGTTTGTTTGTTTTCCTGAGGGATTACTTACATACAGCAGAGTGTATATATCTTTCTTTTCTGTTTTTTTTGAGACAGAGTCTCACTCTGTCGCCCAGGCTGGAGTGCAGTGGTGCAATCTCGGCTCACTGCAAGCTCCGCCTCCCGGGTTCATGCCATTCTCCTGCCTCACCCTCCCAAATAGCTGGGACTACAGGCACCCGTCACCACGCCGGGCTAATTTTTTTGTATTTTTAGTAGAGACGGGGTTTCACCGTGTTAGCCAGGATGGTCTCGATCTCCTGACCTCGTGATCCACCCGTCTCAGCCTTCCAAAGTGCTGGGATTACAGGCGTGAGCCACCGCGCCTGGCCATAGCAGAGTGTATATAGCTTAAGTATGAAGATGCTACTTATGTAATCACCACCTACATTAAGATGTAGAACATTTACAACATTCCGGGTGTCTCTCTCATGTTCCTTCCTAGACAGTACAAAGTTTACCTGCTATTCTTACCACTGTCATTATGGCCTAATTTTGCCTGTTCTTGAACACAATACTAAGAGAACAATATAGTATGTGTTCTTCTTTGTCTGATTTCCTTCACTCAACATTATGTCTGTGAGATTTATACTTGTTGTTTCATGCATCAATAGTTCTTCCTTGTTCATTGCTGGGTAGTATTCCATTGTTTGAATATATTGTGATTCACATATCCATTCTACCTACTGTTGATAGATATTTGTGGATTTTTCTTTTCAATTTTTGGATAATGCAAATAAAAATGCTATAAACATTCTTATAGAAGTCTTTTGTTGAATACAGCATTTATTAATGTTGGGTTTTTTTTACCTAGGAGTGGAATAGTGGGGTCATAAATTAAATGTATATTCAGGTTTTATAGGTGCTGTCTAACATTTTTCCAAAGTGGCTGTACTAATGTGTTCTCCTATCAACAATTTAAGAGAGTTCCAATTGTTCCATATGCTCACAAATGTTTGATATTTCTATTCATTTAAATTATAGATATTTTGATTTTTAATTCCCAAGTACTCCTAGGCTCCTGTCCTATTCTCTATCTAAACTTACTGTTGTGATGATCTCATCTGCCTCATGACTTAAAAACTGTGCATGAACATGTAGTTAACTCACAGATTAACATTAAAATCAGTCTGAACTCCAGATGACTGTCTACATGACATCTCTGCTTGGATGTTAAATAAATGTCAAACTTAACATACTCAAAACTCCTAATATTCCTTCCCACATGTGTTCCATCTTCAGCCTTCCCCATTTCAGTTGATTGCCACTCCATTCATCCACTTGCTTGAGCCAAAAGCTTTGGGAGTATTCTCAATGTTTGTCTTTGGTACTGTGCAAACAATTGCTTAGGAAATATGTTGGATTTACCTTCAAAATATATCCAGATTGTGTGTATTTCTCAATACCTGCACCTGCTACCACCCCAAACACATCAGCCAGAGTTATCCTCTTTATTCACAAGTCAGATCATATCATTCCTGTTCTCAACATTTTCCTCAAAGTAAAAGCCAAAGTTTTTACAGTGAGGTGGGTGTGGTGGCTAGTGCCTATAGTCCCAGCTTCTCAGGAGGCTCAGGCAGGAGGATCACTGGAGCCCACGAGTTAGAAGCCGTAGTAAGCTATGATTGAGCATCACTGCACTTCAACCTGGGTGACAGAGCAAGACCCCATCTCCAAGTACCACCACCACCAACAAAAAACAAAGTTGTTATGATGATTTGCCAGGTCCTACATCATCTATCTCTCATTCTCCTTCCCGATTACCTTTCTGCTCTCATGTCCTATGTTGTTCATGCTCACTCTCATGCTAATAAGTGACCTTATTGTTTCTTGAACATGCCAAGTATATTCCTCATTAGAGGATTTGCCCTGCTTGGAATGCTTTTTCTGCATAGCTAACTCCCTCAGTTCCTTCAAATATCAACTTCCCAGTGAGGTTTACTCTAACCATCTTATTTAAAATTTTAACCCCCTCACACACCCACCCAGATTCCCAATCTCTCTCATTTTGCTTTTTTTTTTTTTTTTTTGCTCATAGAATTTATCGCCTTCTTATATAAATTATATTATAGGCTGGGCACGGTGGCTCACACCTGTAATCCCAGCACTTTGGGAGGCCGAGGTGAGTAGACCACGAGGTCAGTAGATGGAGACCATCCTGGCTAACACAGTGAAAACCCGTCTGTATTAAAAATACAAAAAATTAGCCAGGCATGGTGGTGAGCACCTGTAGTCCCAGCTACTGGGAGGCTGAGGCAGGAGAATGGTGTGAACCCGGGAGGCAGAGCAAGACATATATATATATATATATATATATATAAAATAAAATATATATATTTATCTTGATTACTGAGTGTTTTGTTATCCCTTTATTCTTGGTCCTGGAATCATATTATTTGTTTTATGGGTGAAGAACCTGAATTTTGGAGAGGGTGGATCACTAGCACAGGCTTACATCATTAATAAGATTAGAAACCCAGAGAATGGCTTAGTTCCAAAGGTTTTGTTCTTAGCCACTATGCTATATTACCTAGATTCTTGTTAACTTTTGTGTCTTGTTTAAGTTTCAACCTGACATTCAATCCAGAGCTCCTTTTATCTATACACTTAAGGAGCGCTTGTTAAATTTGCCTGAATTTTTATTCCAGATAACACTTCGTTATTCTCCTGGAGATATTGTTCAGCATATGAGAGATTTGCACCCATCATTCACACAACAACACGTTTCTGATTAGTCAGAAATATATGTCCATGATAACCATTATTTTGAACTATAATGGGATCACTCATTCTTATCTAACAGCTTTCTGATACCCACAGTCTACAGGTAATAGTCTTTTAAGATTATTTTTGAACTTTCCTGGTAAATCAATATTTGTCCCATCCTGACTTCCATTTTTCCAAAAGGAGTGAACAAGCTTTGGATAGCTGTTTCTAATCTGGCCATGTTCTACGTGGTTTTCATTTTCTTATCACATTTCCCACCCACATCCAAATTCATAAGACATACTCCTTTTGCTTGGCTGAGGCTAGAAGGCCAGTGTATTAGTCTGTTTTCATGCTACTGATGAAGACATACCTGAGACTGGGTAATTTATAAAGAAAAAGAGATTTAATGGACTCACAGTTCCACATGGCTGGGGAGGCCTCACAGTCATGGCAGAGGACGAAAAGCACATCTTACATGGTGGCAGGCAAGAGAAAATGAGAGCCGAGAGAAAATGAGAGCCAAATGAAAAGGGAAACCCTTTATAAAACCATCAGACTTATTCACAAGCACGAGAACAGTATGGGGGAAGCCACCTCCATAATTCAATTATCTCCCACCAGGTCCCTCCCACAACACATGGTAATTATGGGAGCTACAGTTCAACATGAGATTTGGGTGGGGACACAGCCAAACTATATCAGCCAGGCTCCTTCAGTGGCATTGAAGTAGCTTGGCATTTGCGTCCAAGTGGATCCAGTGGCTTCATTGTGGCTGGTTAGTGCTAAGACCAAGCGTGACTAGCTGATGCATTACACTGTGACTTTAGACAATGTAGTGCTTATTTTAGTTTTAAAATCTTAATAATATCAATTGTCACAAAAATTTAGTCACCAAACTTAGGACAGTCACAAATTTTGGTCACACTATTCTCAGACAGCAAATGATATATCTTTCTTTTTTTGAAACAGAGTCTCGCTCTATCACCAGGCTGGAGTGCAGTGGTGTGATCTCGGCTCGCTGCAACCTCCACCTCCTGGGTTCAAGCAATTATCCTGCCTCAGCCTCCCAGGTAGCTGGGACTACAGGCGTGTAACACCATGCCCAGCTAATTTTTTGTGTTTTTTATAGAGATGGGGTTTCACCATGTTGGCCAGGATGGTCTCTATCTCTTGACCTCGTGATCCGCCCACCTCAGCCTCCCAAAGTTCTGGGCTTACAGGCGTGAGCCACTGTGCCCGGCCATCATTTTATTTTATATATAACTTACCTGATTCTTCACAAGTCCATATGTGTAAGTCAGAAATTAAAAGAGAACTGATAATTTAATTTGGTAGTATGGTATATTTTTAATTTACTTCAGAAGTAGGTTGATTATATTCTGTAATTCATGGTACATTTAAATGATTAGTTAGTATAGATCCTTATTTATTTTGTTATTATTATTTCTCCTTCTCACTCTCCAACGTATAGGCACTCTCTCCTGAATTTAAAGTATATACTCCCAGTCCAACTTCCACAATTTGTAATCTCTTAAAAATGTAGAGTAATGTTGGCAAAAGGCTCCTGGCCTCACTGTTCTATTGAGTTTATTTAATATCATTTCCACCAAGGGTCAAGGCCCAGGGAGAGAGGTCAAGGCACAGCTGCCTCCCTCCCTATCTCTTCCACCAGTCTCTCTTTTCTTCTTCCCACAGGCCATTGGTTCAGGAAAAGGTAGCTTTTCTCCCTTCTTCCTCCTGTCTTCAATAGACTTCTCTACAGGAAACCTCTGTGCTGCAGTTTGCCAATTCTACCTATTGATGTGTTTAAGAATGAGCAGCACTCAGCGGGGGCAGGGTGTGGAGGGTGGTGTTGGATTATTATTATTATTATTATTTTCTGTATTTATTTATTTTTGAAATGGAGTCTCGCTCTGTCACCCAGGCTGGAGTGCACTGGCGTGATCTCGGCTCACTGCAACCTCTGCCTCCCAGGTTCAACCGATTCTCCTGCCTCAGCTTCCTGAGTAGCTGGGACTACAGGTGCACGCCACCATGCCCAGCTAATTTTTGTATTTTTAGTAGAGACGGGGTTTCACCATGTTGGCCAGGATGGTCTTGGATCTCTTGACCTCGTGATCTGCCTGCCTCGGCCTCCCAAAGTGGGAGTTGGATTATTTTATTAAGACATTTTCCCTCCCTTCATAAGCCCTCTTTTTCATGAGATTATTTGTGGTAAAGTATATGTGACATAAAGTTTAGTATTTCAAATGTTTTCTCATGTACACTTTGGTGGTATTAAGTGCATTCACATTGTTGTGCAACCATTACCACTGTCCATCTTGAGAACCATTTCATCATCCCAAACTGAAATTGTGTATTGAAGAAAACACTAGCTCTCTATGGCCTTTTCCCCCAGCCCCTGATAACCACCATTCTACTTTCTAATTCTATGAATTTGACTATTCCAGGTACCTTGTACAAGTGGAATCATTACAATATTTATGCTTCTGTGTCTGGCTTAATAGCCACATTTTTTCACAATAGCTGAAAGATATTCATCAACAGATGAATGGAGAAACAAAAATGTGGAATACGCACACAATGGAATATTATTCAAAGGGAATTAATTCTGATACATGCTGCGCATGAATGAAACTAGAACACAAAGCCTCTACTTTCAAGACCATTGTCTCACCAAAGGGGTCAAGAAAACCAACTCTGAGACTCAAAGGAGATCAGTGGCCTCATTGTTTACTCTTTCTTTCACTGGGACAAATAAAACTTAATGACTTAAATTCAGAGAGTGAAGAAAATCAATATGGTGCATTTTAATATTTATAAAATATTATTTTTATTGCCTCAATTTAATTCATTAGATAAGCAGAGTTTTAAAATGGATGCTAACGAAACCTCTTACAGAGTGCATTAAAAAGTGTGTGTGTTGGCCAGGCATGGTGGCTCATGCTTGTAATACCAGCACTTTGGGAGGCTGAGGCAGGAGGATTGCTGAAGTCCAGGAGTTTAAGACCAGCCTGAGCAACAAAGTGAGACCCCATCTCTACTTTAAAAATAAAGTGTGTGTGCCAAGAAAAATATTTTCCTTGTTTAATCATCTGACCACTATTTGAAGATTTTTGCATCTGGTTTATTAGATCCATACTCCTGGTGGACATTTCACCATTTAGTCCTATGGTCACACCCTCGATCTGGCCATTACCAGTGGTGGCACCACCAGGCTCTGAGGGCATGTCATATTTTTGCCACTTACTCCTTCTGATCCCCTGCTCCCTCACTCCATAACTCTTTGATCCTGTCCACTTTTTAAAATCACATATCATCCACTTCCTGGTCCCATTTATCTCCCCACCCCAGGTTAGGGTCAATGACTTGTCATTATAGTTATGCCTTTTATACATCTTTAATTCCTTTGCTCATCTCTATTCTATAGTCCTGTAAGATTTCATACTCTATGAAAACAAACTGTGTACCAACTCTAGGCCCAAAGTAGAGCAGCTGGACCTGGCTGGAGAAAAACATACAACTGTTTGGATTGCTCTTATTTTAAATTCACATTTGCACATCTTAAGAGATTGGAAGCAACCTAAGTGCCTATCAACAGATATCCATTGATAAAGAAAATCTGGTACTTATATACATGATAAAGCACTATTCAGCCATGAAGAATGAGATTCAGTCATTTGCAACAACATGGGTGGAACTGGAGGTCATTACGTTAAGTGAAATAAGCCAGGCACAGAACAACAAACATGGTATATCCTCACTTATTTGTGGGATCTAAAAATCAAAACAATTGAACCCATGTACATAGAGAGAAGAAGGACGGTTATCAGAGAGATGGGAAAGGTAGTGGAAGGGAGCTGAGGATGGTTAATGGGTATAAAAAGTGGTTTGAATGAATGAATAAGGCCTAATATTTGATAGCACAACAGAATGACTATAGTCAATAATTTAACTGTATATTTAAAGATAAAAGATTATAATTGGATAGTTTGTAACACAAAGGATAAATGCTTGAGGGGACGAATATCCACTTTTCCATGATGGAATTATTACAAAAATAAAAAAAAATAATAATAAAGGGAGCCCTCAGCAGTGCCTGGCAACCCTTCCTCATGAAAGTGCATCCACTCTCCTGCTCTTCAAGTTATTGTTTCGTACCTTCTCGCTCCTCAAATTCCAATCCTCGTCTTCTGCTTATGTCAGCTGATGCTGTCAAGGCTTTCCTCTGATGATACAATCAGAGGAAACAGAAAAGGACCTGCTCATGCTCTCGCCTTCTTCCCTTTGTCCGCTCCTGCCTTCCCTGCGGTTGTGGTGCCAGGACTTTTGTCAGTACTTATCTCAAGCAAGTCCATCTCTCTCACCTGCTGAAGGACGTTCCTTCTCCAATCCCATCTATAGCATCATTTGTCTTTCTACTCTGCCCACTAGATTACTCCATTCAGGATATAAACATAATATTCATTTTTTTCTATTAAAGTTCTTGGACCTTGTGCCCCTTTTTAGCTCCTGCTTTAATATCTGCTTCTTTTCTGGCAAAACTCCCCAAAATAATGATCTTGTTTGCTGTCTCCCTTTCCTCATATCTATTTCCCCTTTAGCCTACTCTGATTAAGCTCTTAGCTTACCACTTTACTCAAACTGGACTAAAATGACCACCACCTTGACAAATCTAATGGTTAACCTTAATCTTCATATCTGATTTGACATGATCAGTCCCTTTTTCTTCTAGTACATTTTTTTTTCTGATTGGCATGTAGGACATTAGCCTCTGATTTTTCTCTTTCCTTGCCTTCTCTTTCCTCCCTGGAAATATTGAGCTGCCTTGGGATTCAGTCCTTGGCCTCTTTATCTACACTCTCACCCAGTACCTCAGCTTTTATTACAGATTTATGTCCTCTCTGCCACATATATCTGACCACAGCTTGATATTTCTACTTGTAATTCTAATGTGAATCTAGGAATTTACACAACTAAAACACATATCTGGATTTTCCTCATCCCCAAATATCCAAACTTGCTTCTCCCCAACCCATCCCCATTTCAGTAAGGGCATCCTCATTCACCCAAGGGCTCAGGCTACAAATCAAGGTGCTGGCAGTGCCTCTGTGTTTCTTCACTTCTCATCTAATACCTCAATACATCTCATCAGTTCTACCTTGGCAACATATCCTAGATCAGGTCCTCCTTTATAGAATTCCAGTGCAAGCCATCATTACCCCTCAACTGGAAAACCGCAGTCACCTCCTGCTTCCATTGCTGCTCCCTGTTGCTTATTCTCTACACAACAACCATATCAATTATTTTAAGGTCACACATTTAGTTGTTGGAGGCATTCTTTCAGAAACCTCCAACCTCTTGCTGTTGTCTGGACCAGTTCCTCCCTAAGCCTGTTGTACAAGTGTCACCTTAAGACTTCCTTATACCATGATCCTTTGAATTCTTTTGATTCCTACATTTAATCCCACATTTTGGGATTCCATGTCTTTTCCTTATTTCTGTCCTCTATTTTTGCCAAAGCAATTCTTTAGTCACTAGCTGAGAAAAACAGCATGGGAGAGAAATCATGAGACCTTGCATGCCTGATTATGTCTATATTCTACCTTCTCATATAATTGATATTTGGTTTTATATAAATTCTAGGTTTCTCCCCTAATGTAGAAGGCATTCCTCTGTTGTCTTCTAGCTTCCAGTATTTTTTTATTGATAAATTTGATCATTCTAACCCCAGATTCTTTGAATGTATCTAGCTTTTTTCTCTTTGAAAACCTTTAGGATCTTTTCATAATTGTACTTCAGACTTCCACTATAATGTGCCTTATATGACGCTTCTTACATTCACAGTGCAGAGCACTCAGTGGAGTCTTTCAATTCGGAAAATTGCAACTTTATGCTCTAGAAAATTTTTTGAATGTTTTCTTCCTTAATTATATTTTTCTCCCATTTCTTTGTCCTTTTTTTTTTTTTTTTTTCTGAAAAGCCTTCTTAATGTGATATTCGACTTTCTGGGTTGAATTCCTAGATTCTGTATTCTTTCTCGCCTATTTTCTCTTTCTCTTTATATTTTCTGTAAGATTTCCTCAATATTATCTTTCCATACTTCTATTGATATATTTGTTATCTTACTTTTAATATCCAAGGGCTCTTTCTCTTTCTCCAGTTGTTTTCTTAGGATAGCAATTATCCTTGTCCTATTTCATGAATACAATAACTTTTCTTGTCATTTTGAGAATATTAATATTAATATTCTTTACATCATTTGTATTTTTTTATGTTTTCTTGCCAGAGCGGGACTTCTCATATTTGAGACTAATATACTAATGAAGCTTATTGGAAGCTCTGTGTTCATGGATGAAGTTTGTAGCTGGCACGGTGGCTCACGCCTGTAATCCCAACACTTTGGGAGGCTGAGGCGGGTGGATCACGAGGTCAGGAGATCGAGACCATCCTGGCTAACACAGTGAAACCCCGTCTCTACTAAAAATACAAAAAATTAGCCGGGTGCAGTGGCGGGCACCTGTAGTCCCAGCTACTCGGGAGGCTGAGGCGGGAGAATGGCGTGAACCTGGGAGATGGAGTTTGCAGTCAGCCAATATAGCGCCACTGCACTCCAGCCTGGGCGATAGAGCGAGACTCCATCTCAAAAAAAAAAAAGAAGGTTTGTAGTTAATGGATTTAACAGGTGAAAATTAAGTTTCATTCATCCTTCTCTCTTTTGGTGTACTCCTTTTCAATTGAGGATTCTGTCCTCTACAGCTCAATTCTTTTATTTTATTTTTGAGATGGAGTCTCGCACTGTCACCCGGGCTGGAGTGCAGTGGTGCAATCTCGGCTCACTGCAACCTCCGCCTCCTGGCTTTAAGGAGCCTGTAATCCCAGCTACTTGGGAGGCTGAGGCAGGAGAATCCCAGCTTCCCAGATTCTCCTGCCTCAGCCTCCCAAGTACCTGGGATTACAGGCGCCCGCCACCATGCCCAGCTAATTTTTAGTAGAGACGGGGTTTCACTATGTTGCCAAGCTGCTCTCAAACTCAGGACCTCGTGATCTGCCTGTCTCAGCCTCCCAAAGTGCTGGGATTACAGGTGTGAGCCACTGTGCCCGGCCTCAATTCTTTTATTCACATAGGACTCATATGTAAAAGGCTAGGAGTTGCAGTCTTTGTTGAGATCTTGTCTCCTACCATGTGGACATTATTTTCCTATATGCTAATGGAAGACACACACACACACACACACACACACACACACACACACACACACACACTCACTTCTCTGGAGAACCCTGAACCCTGACTAATCCAAAATCTGATGAGTGGAATGGGCAGGATTCAAATTAAGATTTGTTTGACTCCAAAGCCTCTCCTCTGTCCTTAGTCCTCCTACTGTAAGTAGTGAATCTTTATCAACAATATCCCAAAGAAGTTGACGTTTTCCAATAAGTATGTGTTATTGAGTACCCTAAAAGTGGGTCAGTTATGTAGTTCTACATTGAATGTTTCTATGCTTTAATTAGCTTAAACAATTAATTTTCTTTGTGTTTTTCTACATTCAGTGTTGAGAGAGAGAGAGAGAGTGTGTGTGTGTGTGTGTGTGTGTGTGAGAGAGAGAGAGAAACAAAGAGAAGATTCAAACTCAATAAATGGCATCTTGGGGCAAGTTCACTAGACACAAACCTTGAGAGGATTCGTGTGCAGGCAATCTATTAAGGAAGTGTTCGCAAGAGTAACCAGTAAGGGAATGAGGAAAGTATGACAAAGGAGAAGCAGTGCTGCAAATGTGTGATTTCAGATGAAGCCCCAGCCTGCTGGAGCAGGAAGCTCTGAGGTGTAAATTGTACTTTACAGTCTGTTCCAACTGGAGGCAAAGGAGCTAGGTTTTAATCAGTCATTGGCTAAGGGCCACTCCAGAGGGATGTAAATTTCCAGGCACTTCCAGTTGTGTGTGAGCTGTCAAAACGGCTCTCGTAACCACAGAGCAATTCTTCGAGAGTCTGTGATACAAACCATTAGAAGAAAAAGACCACACACCTGGGAGAGGGCAATAGAAGGATTTGAGATGATTTGGGCAGAGCACAAGTAAATGATGAAAGGATCATGGGAATTATGGTCATAAAGCTAAAAAGCCCAAAGAATAGAGCTGTGAAATTCTTACTACAGGAATAAGAAAACGTTTATTACCATTGCAGATGGCTTGATTTTTAAGCATATGTTAGTTTACAAATGCTGTTTATCTGTCTGAGAACTTGAGAGTGCTACTATAAAAGACATATAAAATATGTGTGTTAAAATAGAAATAAAATTCAAACCATATAGCTATTTGGAAACACAAATTTAACAAAAGCCTAGGCTCCTATAGTTACTTTTTGTTGTCGTTGTTGTTTGTTTGAAACAACGTCTTACTCCTCCCAAAGTTCTGGGATTACAGGCATGAGCCACCGCACCCGGTCATTATTGAATTTTTTAAAAATAAATTTAGACTTGAGTTTTCTGAGAGTCATTGCAAAAAAGGTGGGTGAAGAAGTAGAGGAGGAAGAAAAAAGAAGAGGAAGAAGCCACGGCTAAGTTTTCAGAGGAGATACATTTTTATAAATCCCAGTTTATTACTACTAGTTTTCCCATGGAGATTTATACTAGGAAAGGTGAACAATCAAATAGACAATATTATTTAATAGTCATCTATTGATAGAAACAGAAATGTTCATTACATGACCAGTCCTCATTTTGATCCTCCAATCATTAAAAGATAATCCATGAACACGTATTTCTTTGGAGGGGGTTAAAGTAATGCAGCTGAGAAACACAGCTTTCTGCTTTCAGCATTAATGAGGACAAGGGAGCTAAGTCTCATCCCTTCTTTCTGAGACGGTTTAATTCAGTCACAAAAAACATATTGAAAATGGCACCAAGGTCATCGATTGATCCAGACTGCCTGAGTGTTTGTGCTATCTGCTTTGTGTTACTGAACATAAGCACATTCTTCCCAGTCCTTTTCAAACTAGTTCTCTAAAACAAACACTTTAAACATCTTAATTTGTGAATACAAAACATTAACAGGCAGCCTGCTTATGACTGGTTGACATATAAAGAAGTATAGG
Organism: Homo sapiens; assembly: GCF_000001405.40. NCBI lineage: Eukaryota > Metazoa > Chordata > Mammalia > Primates > Hominidae > Homo > Homo sapiens. Next base: position 33,960,034 of record NC_000002.12, read on the forward strand.
CAAAAAAACTTCTAGGCAAGCCTGCCTGCTGCTACCAGTTTTGTTAAGAGCCTACGTTATCTTTTAAGTAGGGAAGGAATATACAGCTCTCCTTAAGACACTGTTTTCATGTGGCATTTTACAACTGCATTATTACATCTCATTTCAGTGACACTGCAAATGGTGATAACCTGCAATTGGCAGGAGCGATGAAAAAAAAGGAAAAACAAGAGCGATTAAGGATTTTCTTCCCTCCGAATCCCTTCTCAAAATCCATCCCCATGTTTTGACCTGCTTATCAAATTAGGAAATCCAAGAAGATATCTCATTCAGCACAAACTTACATCATCTGGTTCTGAAGCCCACTCATCAGTGGCTATCTGTCTGTCTCTGTATTATACACAGTATAAGATATATAGTATATATATATGTGTGTGTGTGCATGTGTGGGGATATATATGGCCTAGCCTGCAGACTTTGAACTTGAACTTGCCATGTATGGGAAGACCCAGAGAAGAGTTGCAGTTTGAGTCCATAGGCAATTTGCTGGCAGAATTGCCTATTTTAAATATATAACCTACCCTGCAGATTTTAATCATGCTTAAGTTAGCTTCCTAGCAAATTTTAGATAGCTCTTATTCCACATATGGATTCAGTCATTTCTAAACAACAACAAAACTTGTAGCGCTTTTATAATTTATTACACATATAAAGTCTTAAAAATATCAGTTTGATTAGCTATGTGTGGGCTGTGAGATCCTTCGCAGATCACTAGTCAATATCCTGTAGTCTGAAATAGGTACATCAAGTAACCAGCAACTTACACGAACGTGATCTCAGCCAGGCCAACTTATGTCCGGACATGCCACTAGTTATAAAATAACTCTAAAAATGAGTGCTTAGGTCGATTTAGCTGTTTCAAACAATAGAACATTTATTGCTTTAAATCAGGTTGAAGAAAAGGTACTAAAATTTTTTTAAAATGTTGCCAAAGGAATCTGAAATGTCCAAGTTTTCTCATTTATTTACAAGTGGAGTGATTGTTGAAAAGGAGAATGGGAATTAGTTATAAAACTAAAAAGTCCAGGCCGGGCGTGGTGGCTCGCGCCTGTAATCCCAGCACTTTGGGAGGCCGAGGCGGGCGGATCACGATGTCAGGAGATGGAGACCATCCCGGTTAACACGGTGAAACCTCGTCTCTACTAAAAATACAGAAAATTAGCGGGGCATGGTGGCTGGGGCCTGTAGTCCCAGCTACTCTGGAGGCTGAGGCAGGAGAATGTCGTGAACCTGGGAGGAGCTTGCAGTGAGCCGAGATCGCCCCACTGCACTCCAGCCTGGGCGACAGAGTGAGACTCTGTCTCAAAACAAAACAAAACGGAAAAACTAAGAAGTCCAGTGAGTGAAGCCGTGAAATGATCACTACAGGGGAAAAAAAGCTTTGTTAGAAACACTTCTGAGGACAGTTTAGCTATGGAGGTGGAGTAAAATAATGGTCAATCAGGCTCTGGACATAGTTAGTAGGAAAGATATTGATACCCCACCCCCCTCCTAAGGGAAAGAGATGATTCTACAGGGAAGTTATACTTCTGGAAAAAAATAATGGGAAGACATCATTTAAGATAGAGACTGGAGAAGGAGACCACGATCAAATTTCTGTCCCATCATTTCATTTAGTTCATGGGTTATAGCAACACCCTTTGACTGTGTGGTTGCTGTGAAATTTTAGAAAAGGCTTATGGTAATGTGTCCAGTCGGAAAGAATGGTCATTCATTTCTTCTTATACATTTTGTAAAAATTAACAGATCAAATTGTATTTATGTGATTCAGTTCTTATAGTTAAAGAATAGCAAAGAGACAGCCTCTGCATATTTGTGTGGATTAAGCACCAGTTGTAGTTTGACTAAGCCAGCCAAGGATTGCACTCCTGCGTGATGCGATCATTCTATTGGGAGATGTTTTCTTGAATCTTTGCTAATTGCACTAAAAATTAATATAATAACCACAGTTCCCTTTGGAACACGTTTATCCTAAGTTTTCTTTAAGGAGAAGGAAGAGAAAGATCATACCCAGAGTAGGAAAGAATAAAAATAATAATGAGTGATGGTTCAGTACACCTCATTTTTGAACTAATTATGACACCGAAAGTATCAAAGTATGTTTTGGAAATCACGCGTTAGAATGTCAACATGGACAACTAGGGGTAAATAGTTTAAAGTTGTCCTAGTTGAGAACAGATTCAGTTAAAGAAAGGGAAAGGTCTCTGGATCTCATTATTTCTGTAAGAAGGAACAGCATTTACTTCTTTTTTTTTTTTTTTGAGCTGGAGTTTCCCTCTTGTCACCCAGGCTGGAGTTCAGTGGTGCGATCTCAGCTCACTGCAACCTCTGCCTCCCAGGTTCAAGTGATTCTCCTGTCTCAGCCTCCCAAGTAGCTGGGATTACAGGTGCCTGCCACCATAACCAGCTAATTTTTTTTTTTTTTTTTTGTATTTTTAGTAGAGATGGGGTTTCACCATTTTGGCTAGGCTGGTCTCGAACTCCTGGCCTCAGGTGATCCACTCACCTCGGCCCCCCAAAGTGCTGGGATTACAGGCGTAAGCCACCATACCTGGCTGAGCATTTACTTCTAATATACAATATGAGATTAGCCATCATGCATATAATTGTGGGTATCATATGAAATTAACTTTCTTTAATTATGTGTATTTCAGTTCTCATTAAGAATAAGAATTCTATGCTTCTCCATGCAAATGTATTTATAATTTCATATCAGTTAATGTAAAAAGTGATCCCCTAGTTGGATTTCAGAATATTGGGTATTATTACTAGGGAAGTTGACCTGAGTTTGAATGAATATAAAGAAACTGCTTTTAAATTAAACATGTGAAAACTTTCAGTTTTTTGCTTTCCTTTTGGAAATGCTTATAGTGTGGAATGCAAACATTCACCTAGTTAGAGAGAAAGCATCCCTAATCCCCATAAATTCTGTTTCGAAGCACATCAGCTTATATTGTACATCCTTTCCAGAGTAAAACTATTAATATTGTACCACCGTGAACTCATGTGTGTGCTGAAATGGAGTTTCTGTAAGAGCTAGTAGTTTTGTAGTTGTACTGTAAAAAATATTGATTATGCCTTACAAAGAATCAGCAATAAAACAAACATATTCTGATTGAGATAAAAAGAGATTGAAATCCTTAATTTGACACTAGATTTGTGAGCACAAAGCAAATGGAAGTTGGGCCATATTTGGCATTTCTTCAATAAATAATGATCAATGTTTAATATCCTTGTGATGAAACTAATTCATCTTCTGGTTATTGACCTGTTCAGATTTTCTGTTCATATAGTATCTTCCAGGGTGAGACACTTCTTCACTTTAAACTGGCGCTTAAAAAAAATCAGGTGAAGGTTTCTCTGTGGACAGAGGCAGATCAGTGATTAAATTTTCTCAAGTCAGTAGAGAAATTACAAAAAATAAAGTCAATGTTGTAAGTTTTTCATAAGGGTAAACTCATTCCATTAAAAATGTCTTTATGATTGCCTTCTATTTACTTACCTGGTTTTAAATTTGTCTTTTATGAAATGATGGTAACAGAAGGCAGTACTTACATTTTTGCCTTTTTAAATATTCTCACTTGACAAAAGAAAAGTTGATACCATATATTGTAAAAAAAAAATCACTAATTAAAAAAAAAATCACCCAGTTAAAAAAAATCACTAATTGGTATATTCTAGGACTTGTAAATGCTAAGCATCTACAGCTGTACTGGCCATGAAACTACTGAAATAAAGTTATTATTAAATAACTATGCCTTAATTGCCTGCCTTCACACCCACTCTGGCCACCCAATCCCCTTTCTTGGGACCCTAGACCTCCTCAAAATTAAGTATCTACAGGGTTAGTCCCTGTCATAGCTGGGGTCACCAGGATACTTTCTGACTGCTCATACTTTACCAGCTGTTAAATATATATATATATATATATATATATATATATTTTTTTTTTTTTTTTTTTTTTTTTTTTTTCTTTTCTTCCTGAGACAGAGTCTCTCTGTGTCACCAGCCAGGCTGAAGTGCTGTGGCACCATCTCGGCTCACTGCAACCTTCAACTCCCTGGTTCAAGTGGTTCTCCTGCCTCAGCCTCCTGAGTAGCTGGGATTACAGGCATGTGCCACCATGCCCAGCTAATTTTTTTATGTTTAGTAGAGATGGGGGTTTCACCATGTTGACCAGGATGGTCTCGATCTCCTGACCTCGTGATCTGCCTGCTTTGGCTTCCCAAAGTGCTGGGATTACAGGCGTGAGCCACCGCACCTGGCCTGTTAAATATTTTAAATAGGGTCCATGGTAAATTCCCAATGCTTGGGAACTACTGGTGTCATATGAGTGTTGTTATCTGTTTCTTTAAAAAAGTCAAAAACACTACAGGCTGTCAGGCCATGTAATTAAAATAAAAAATACGATTAAGTTACTATTGACAATAGTCACCCTGTTGTACCATCAAATAGTAGGTCTTGTTCATTCTTTCTATTTTTTGTACCCATTAGCCATCCTCACCTCCCTCCAGCCCCCCACTACCCTTCCCAGCCTCTGGTAACCATCTTCTACTTTCTATGTCCATAGGCCATGTAATCTTTTAAAAACCACATTCAAGGTAATTTGGCAACTCCTACTTTGATAACTGTAAGGATAGCGTTGTTTTCGTCCGTTCCTAGAGAATTGATACTGTTAGGCTTTGTGTCTCCAGCTAAATCTCATCTTGAATTGTAATCCCCACAATCCCCATGTGTCAAGGGAGAGACCAGGTGGAGGTAATGGCCTAAATGCAGCCACCAATTAAGAAAGCATTTGAGTTCTTTAATTGAATCATGGAGGTGGTTTCCCCCATGCTGTTATCGTGATAGTGAGTTCATTCTTACGTTATTGCGGGATCTGATGGTTTTATAAAGGGCTCTTCCTCCTTTGCTTAGCACTTCTTCCTGTCGCTTTGCGAGGAATGTGTCTTGCTTTCCCCTTCACCTTCCACCATGATTGTAAGTTTCCTGGGTGCTCCCAACCACGCTGAACTGTGAGTCAACTAAATCTCTTTCTTTTATAAATTCCCCAGTCTGGGGCAGTTCTTTATAGCAGTATGAAAATGGACTAATACAGTAAATTGGTTCTACAGGGAGTGGTGTTCTTCTTTAAAGATACCCGAAAATGTGAAAGCAACTTTGGAACTTGGTAACAGGCAGAGGATGGAAAAAGAATACAGTGTAAAATGTTCATAAATAAAAACACAGGGCTTTATGCTTCCTAGGAATAATAGTTCTATGATGAGAAAGAGTAAGTAGCAGGACAGAGATGGACATCCTGTGTCTTTTTCTCTCCTCAGAATTCGTCCTTCGGTGAGAGAAATTTGATCTGTACAACTAGGAAGAAAAAAATATATTGCTAAAAAACCCTTGTAGATTTGACAGCACATTTTAGACCCCCCAAAAGAGGAAAAATACCTAAAAAGACTTTAAAATACATTAAAGAGAGTAAAACAAGTTTAGAATCTTGTCTCAAATCTGTTAAAGCACATTAAAAAAATAGTTCGTATATACTTGTCTTCAAAGCAAAAGATAGGAGGAGCAGAATGTGTGGTCAACTTGGCTTGACCTTTGAGCAGGTGCTGTATTAAACTTCAGAGAGAGCACACCCCATTGCTGCAATCAAGTGACTACAGCTGGTACTGCCCCTGAGCATTTAAGGTGCAGAAATGCTTTAAAGAGGTAGCTAACCTCCTTTAGCATCTGAATCGCCAAAATGTATGACGCTCTCACGTGAATGATATTGCCATTTACAATGGCAATATTTGAAAAAAATAAAGGTAGTCACTTTGATTTCGCTTTAATTTCTTGAAGGTCTGATATTTCTGCAGAAGAGTTGTGTTGAAGGTTCTCTATTATAAGATACATAAAACATTTTGATGCCACATAGAGGTTTGAAAGTATTGAAAATATTATTTGGTTATGATTTAAGGTTTCACATTACTTGTCCTTAGAAGGAGTTTGGGATAGAAAGAGTTCATGGGTACACTAAAAATGAGCAGAGGTAATGTCTCCACAGGTTTGCTTTAATGGGGCTTTGATGGAAAGACGGGCATAAAAATGGGGAAATTTGTGAAAGAAGGTATTGAAATAGCTATTATAAAACAGGAGTCTGTGACAATGTAAAACTTTAATTCTTAAAATTGTTTTGGCTTTTCTTGAGAATGCTGCTTTTCTTTTTTTGCTAGCTTCTTAATAATCTCAATTAGCTTCTTGTTATCTAGAGAGAACAGGACAATTCGAGTAAAATTTTCAGAAAAAGAATTATTTAATCACACATAAGAAGCTACAGATTCCTCACATTCATTTCACAAACTTAAGTAAAATGAGTTACTTATCTAGGTTTTCTTTATTTATAAAGACTTTATATATTAGGAAATTTACAACATATACATTAGTAGAAAGAACAGTATGATGAACTATTTATCCAGCCTCAACAATTATTAACTTCCCCTGCAACTTCCTGGCTTCTAACCCCCAGGTTATTTTGTAGCAAGTCCCAGAGATTCTATCAATATATATTGACTATTACTAATATTACAATATAATCTAAATAACAAATATTCATTACAAACATACCTTCAACATTATCACAGCAAAGAAACCCCACATTATATTTATTGTGCCATAAATAATATAACAATAAAATACCCAGTGTTCAAATTTTTGTCTCTGTTTATTTTTGGTTTATGTGACATAGGACATAAGTAATATCTATACATTGCAATTGGTTAATGTGTCTCAGGTCTCTCTCTCAGGGGTGTGTGTGTCTGTCTGTCTTCTAGTGGGAACCTTACCTCCCTCTTTATTATTTTTTTAAAAATTGATGGCCAGGCACTGTGGCTCACACCCATAATCCCAGCATTTTGGGAGGCCGAGGTGGGCGGATCGCCTGAGGTCAGGAGTTCAAGACCAGACTGGCCAACATGGTGAAACCCTGGCTCTACTAAAAATACAAAAATTAGCAGGGCATGGTGGCGGGCGCCTGTAATCCTAGCTACTCGGGAGGCTGAAGCAGGAGAATGGCTTGAGCCCAGGAGGCAGAGTTTGCAGTGAGCCAGCCTGGGTGACTGAGCCGGACTCTGTCACAAAAAAAAAAGAAACAAAACTTCACAAAATTTGCACATATTTATGGTATACAACACGATGTTGTATACATCGTGCAATGTATGTACAATATATGTGTATTTTGCAATATATGTATGGATTGCACAATAGCTAAATAAAGCTAATTAGCATATGCTCAAGCCTGCTAAAGGATTCCTTTTACTATGTGATTTTTATCTTTCTTTTCTTTCTTTTTTCTTCTTTCTTTTTTTTCTTTTTGGAGATGGAGTCTTGCTCTGTCACCCAGGCTAGAGTGCAGTGGTGTGATCTCGCCTCACTGCAAGCTCCACCTCCCAGGTTCACACCATTCTCCAGCCTCGCCTCCTGAGTACCTGGGACTACAGGCACCCGCTACCACGCCTGGCTAATTTTTTGTATTTTCAGCAGAGACAAGGTCTCACCGTGTTAGCCAGGGTGGTCTCAATCTCCTGGCCTTGTGATCCACCCGCCTTGGCCTCCCAAAGTGCTGGGATTACAGGCGTGAGCCACTGTGCCCGGCCTTGCATTTATTTCTTTTTGGGTTGTTTTTGAAGCAACTGGGCAGTTTGTATATAGAGTGGGTTTTGTTGATTGCATCCCTAAGGTGGTGGTTACATGTTGCTCTGATTCCTGAATCTTTTGTAAATTGTTGGTTAGATCTAGAGACTTAATTAAATTTAGGTTTGATGTTTTTTAGTAACACTACTTCATAGGTGGTGTTTTAGTCTTTTATTGCTGCTGTAACAAAATACCCAAGGTGGGGTAATTTATAAAGTACAGAAATTTAATGCTCATGGTTCTGGAGGTTAGAAGTCCAAGATCGAGGCTCTGTCAGGATTGGTGTTCAATGGGAACCCAGCCTCCTCTTCCAAGATAGTACCTTGTTGCTGCAACCTCCAGTGGGGATAAATGTTGCATCTTCATATGGCAGAAGGGATTGAAGGGTGAGAAAGGTCTACTAGTTTTCTTTAGTCCTTTTATAGCATCACTAACCCCATTTATGCAGGCTCTGCCTTCTTGACTTAATCATCCCCTAAAGGCCCTGCCTCCTTTTACTATCACAATGGGATTTAAGTTCTAAAAAATGAGTTTGGGGGAACACATTCAGCCCATAGCAGGTACTGTTGTTTACTTTCTTCAGATGTACAAAATATGTCTTGTTACTTCTTTTTTTTATGTGTAGGATATTAGCAGCCATTGAAGATCTTTACCTAGATATTTTTCTGTCATTTCTTCTTATCAAATATTTGGCTACTCTGAAATACAGTCATCAAGTCAAGGCAGAATAATTGCTTGATTTCCTCTTTCTAGTTACCAGTGTTCCAAATAATGAACCAGTTCATAGCTTCCTCTAAAGAAGAAAAGTGATATTTTAAAGTTATATTTTTGTATCATTATAAACTCATTGATTTAAATATACTTGATCCATTTTGATCACAGGTAGTTTGTTTTCTTTTTTCCCCTGTGATTGGAAATGGAATCCTCCATTGTATCCTTCACCTATTTTTGAAAGTATAGACAGATACCATTGTTTGTAAATTAATTTAATTACCTGCTACCTTATTAATTTTTAAAATTGTTTATTGTAGTTTTTGTTGATTCTGTAGGGTTTTCTAAATGTATACTATACTATCTGCACAGAAATAGTTTTACTATTTTAATTTTTATCTCAATATTTTTCTTGTCAATGTTCATTGGCTAATACTTGCAACATAATACTAAATAGCAATGGAAATATCAGTGCTCTTTGACTTATGATGGGGTTACATCTCAGTAAACCCATTGTGAGTTGAGAATGCATTTAATCCATCTGCTCTACTGAATATCATAACTTAGTCTAGCCTACCTTAAGTGTGCTCACAACATTTACATTAGCCTACAGTTGGGCAAAATCACCAAACACAAAGCCTGTTTTATAATAAAGTGTTGAATATCTCTTGTAATTTATTGAATATCATACAGGCATACCTCAGAAATATTGTGGGTTCAGTTCTGGACCATTGCAATAAAGCGAATATCACAATAAAATGAGACTCACACAGTTTTTGATTTCCCAGCACATATAAAAGTTATGTGTACATGGTACTGCAGTGTAGTAAGTGTACAATAACATGTCTAAAAAAAGTACATACCTTAATTCTGAAAGAGCATGAAGCGAGCACCTGCTATTGGGGAAATGGCACTGATAGACTTGCTCAACTCAGGTTACCACAAACCTTGGATTTATAAAAACTTGCAACATCTGTAAGCACAATACAGTGAGGCACAATAAACTAAGGCATGCCTATACTGTAGCCTATACTGGAAATGAGAAACAGAATGGATGTATGGGGACTCAAAGTACGGTTTCTACTGAGTGCATATCACTTTTGCATCATCAAAAAGTTGAAAAATGATAAGTGCAACCGTTGCAAGTTGAGGATTGTCTGTAGTGGGCTTTCTTTTCTTGTTTCTGGTTTTATTGTGAAAATCTCTAATGCTTCTCCATGAAGAAAAATCACTGGCTTTGGGCTAGGAATTATATATCCTATTTTATTGAGCATTCTTTTAATATGGGTAAATGTTGAATTTTGTTAAATATCTAATTTTTGATATGTATGGAGATTTAATATGATTTTTCTCATTAGCTCTATTAATGTTATGAATCAGCAGTGTATTTCCTAATATAAACTGCCTTGCACTCTGGGACTAAATTATACTTCATGATGTATTAATTTTTAATATGCTCTTGGATTCTGCTGACCAATTTAAGATTTTTTTGCATGGATATTCACAAATGAAATTCTTCTGCAGTTGTATTTTGGGATGAATTTTTTTTCAGATTTGTGGATTGATGTTATATTTACTCTATAAAGCCAATATTTTAAGTATTTTTTGAGTCCTGCTTTCATTTGCTTTACTTTTCTGGGTTTTCTTTCACTAGCTTTCTGAATTGATTATGCAATACATTTTCTTTCCATTTTTATTTTTTGTCAAATAGATATTTAATGCCAGAAAATTTCTTTCATTGCCTGTCTTAGTTGTTTTCATAATTTCTCACATGCATTGCTTTCATTGTTATTTTGAAGAAATTCTGCAATTTTATTTTGTATTTCTCCTGGGATCCGAGTTATGGTGTTTTTGTTTAGTTTTATTTTTTAACATCAGGTGGAAGGGCCTTTAAAAGTTTTTGTTATTTGCCTGCAGGTCCACTGCATTATGGACAGAGAATTTTATTTGTATTATTTCTGTTCTTTGTGACTTATTCTCTTGAGACTGTCTTTGTAGCCTATGTATAATAAGAAACTCTCTTAAAGATTTCGGGAGCGCTTGAAAACATATCAGGTCTACACAGACACTGGATTCAGGTGCTTTATTCAGGTATGACATAGATTGCATCCCAGAAGCTGAGGGAAAAGACAGACCTCTTATTGGGCAAAGCAAAATTATTTACTATACACTGTCATTTAATAGCTAAAGGTAATCAGTGAGTTTCTTCTATTTTTCGTGTGTTTTTTTTCTCACTAATTTCTCATAGTATATGACATCCACCCTTAAGTCAGTTTTATATTCCAGAAATAAAATAGATAATGCAGTGTATATACTACTTTAGTTGCTTTCATGTACTTGCTATATCATCTGTGTATCTGTGTCTACATCCACACCTGTCTATTTATATGTTTAAATTGGGCTTTATAATTTTGTTATACTCCTTTCCGTCTCTCGGGAGGAGATAGGTTATGGACTGAATATTTATGCGCCACCTGCCCCCTCCCCCCAAATTCATGTTGAAATCCTAACTCCCAATGTGATATTAGAAAGTGGGACCTTTCGGAGATGATTAGGACATGAGGGCAGAGCTCATTTAAAAGGGACTCCAGAGAGCTCACTCACCTCTTCCATCATGTAAGGACATAGTGAGAAGTTAGCTGTCTATGGACCAGAAAGGAGGCTCTTACCAGACACTAAGTCTGCTAGTGCCTTGATCTTGGAATTCCCAGTATCCAGAACTGTTAGAAACAAATGTTTGATGTTTAAGACATGCAATCCCTGGTATTTCTATTACAGCAGCCTGAACGGATTAAGACAAAGCCTGTTGTCTTTTGGTTATATACTATACCATTTGGTTATATATATACCATATATATAGTATATACCATGTTTGTATATACTATACAAAATATTGAAATTAGCTTGTCAGCTTGTTGTCCCATCATTCCTTGCATCCAACATTTCATATGCAGTATTATCTTTTTTACTCCCTACCTAGAATTGACCAAACTGCAAAGGATGAGGGCATGGTCTTCTAGAATGTCAAGTCTGCCAAAACTTCCGACACCAACTGCAAGGAGTTAGGGTCCAACTACAAATTTGGAGGAAAGACTCCATACAAGACAACCCTTACTTTTGATACCAAATGCAAGATTGAAGGGTTCTCCAAACCATGCTCAGCTTTGATAATTCACTAGAAAAGCTCACAGAACTCACTGAAAGCTGTTAGATTCACAGTTAGTTTATTATGGGAAAAGGATAAAAATAAGCCAAAGAAGGGGCATGTAAAGAAGGGTTTGCAAGGATTCCAGACACTAAGCTTTTATTGTCTTCAGGTTATGTTCTTCTTCTGACATTGACGTGTGACCGTGTGCATGGGGCATTGCCAACCAATGACACCCACCCAAGTCTTGGTGTTCACAGTTTTTATTGGAGCTCCATTACGTAGACATGATTAATTGACTGATTGCTGACATGGTCAGTTTCAAACTTCAGGATGACTGATACTGTGTGAACCCCAAACCCCCATCCTAAATCCTACAATTTATTTTCCTGCCATAGCCAGTCTATACCCTAAGATTATCAGGTATGACCAACTCCATCCTGGTGTGGTCAGCCCCCCAACCCTAAATAATAACAATGTTCCTATCAAGTATGAAATAGATTCACTTCCAGAGGCTAAGAGCAAAGCTAGACTTCTTGTTGGGCAAGGTCAAATTTTTTACTGTACACCCTCATTTAATATCTAAATGCAATAAATGAGGTTCTGTTTCATATGTGTTTTTTTCTCATTCATTCCTCATTTTGATAGCAGTTCTAAGTATGTAGCCATTATATACTATTGTCAATATATGTAGCCATTATATACTATGCTATCTCCCTTAATGGTTTTTTTTTTAGGTATATAGGTAAATATATGTTTTATGCACACTCCAAGTTTTTACAGTAAGTGATGTAAGGAATAGATCACATCTTCATCCACTGGAGATGAAACTTCAGTGGCATAGATGGATTCTCCATATCAACTGTTAGGCATAATCAGTATGGATATCACCTACAGTGAGGAGACCAAAGGTCTGACTGCAGCAGAACGGGTTCCCCAGGTATAATGTATAGGAAGACTGAATACATGGGGAGAAATACTTATCACATATTAGTTTTCTTGTTTTGTTTTTTAAGATAGTTTAAAGCTATAAATTTCTATTAAATACCACTTCAGCTATAACCTTTAGGTGTTGTTATATATGGCACATTCATTAATGATCAGTTTAACGTATTTTATAAATTGTGTTATGATTTATTGGACCTATGGCTTATTTAGCAGAGTGTTTTAGATTTCACAGTAAGAACTTTCAAAATTGCTTTCTGGTTACTGTTTGCTAACTTAAGTGCGTTATGGACAAGAACTTAGTCTGTATAATACTGATTTTTGGTATTTTGGGAATATTTTTGTGGCCTGAAATGTGAATTTTTAGAAATGTTCCAAGAGTCTTTGGTATGAGTGTGCATTATCTCATTGTTGGTTACAGGATTCTAAATATATTCAATAGACAGTTTATTGAAATTTAGAGGAAAAGAGTTAATGCAAAGCTATAATTCTCTGACAAATTTGTGCAGTATTAAGTGAAGGGTTGGAAATAGGTGACAGTGTCTTGCTGGGGTTTCTGTGTTCCTTTTGATCCAAGGATGTATGTAAGTATGCTTAGAATTATTTCCTATGTAATCTATAATTTATGACATTCTGCAGTCCTAAAAAAAAAAAATCAGATCTAGCTATGATCTAGGTGATCATCTCCTATGAGCTAGCAGATTAGCACATGATTTAAGCAAGGGGTCCTGGCCTGAGGTTTCTATGTTCTACTGTGATCTTCACTTATGTCAATTTCTTGTCATGTCTCCCAGTCAAAATTTTCCCTGTGCAGTAATGAGCTACATCAGAAGCTGAGTCTATACGTCTGAGACCTCGTCATGTTGCTGACGTGCTACTCATTTGTTCCCTGTCCTGCATCCTTTCTCTATGCTAATTAAACATGGTGAAGAATAAGCCAGTTGTGTTTTGTAAGTTATGCTGACATTTAAACCTGAAAACCACTCTGGGATCTTGCAGTTAGGACTGCTATTTGGCCTGTTTTTAAATTTCTCCTATACATTATGGAGAGATCTATGTTAAAATTTCCCCCTTGAATAACGGTTTGTCAGTACCTTCTTGCAAACTTATCAATTTTTACTGTATATATTAAGCCATAGGTGAGAATTTCTATAACTTCCATCAGAATTTTTCTCTATAAAATTGATAAATAGTGTTAATTCACTACACAAATATTTATTGATTATTTAGTATGCATGAGGCTTTGTTTTGGGTGCTTGGGTTATATCACCTAACAAAACAAAGTCTCTGCTGTTATACTTGCATTTTTATTGGTGGAAAAAGATGAATGAATACTTGTATGCATCAGGTAATAACAGCAATGAAGAAAATGCACATCAGGTAATAACAGCAATGAAGAAAATGCACAAAGTAAGGGGATTAAGAGGGATGATGAAGTTACAGGTAAAGAGGGAACGTTTGATCAGAGACCTAAGTGGAGTGAGTGAGTGAGACTGCTTGTAGCTGAGGAAGAGCTTCCAGAGAAAGGAAATGACAAGGGCTAGGATGATGGAGTGAAAACATTCTTGGCATGGTTGAAGAAAAGCAAGGAGGCCTGCAAGAATGAAGAGAGAATGGAATAACAAAACTGAGTAAGAGAGCAAAAACAAACAAGAGTGAGGGACCAAACTGAACATCCTTGCTTTACTAGAAATCTGAGATCCATGACTCGGGCCTGAGCTTGGGAGAAAGAGGAGCAGATGTTAATAGGATGGAATTAAAATGTTAAATTTGGTTGGATTGGATTTTTAAAATTCATTTTTATTAAATATTGAATATATTTAAAAGGTTACTCTATATATGTAAATTACCAACACCCTCCCCCCTCCACCAATATAATTACACCTGTGTACTCAATTTCCACTTAAGAAGAGTATCTGAATTTTAGAAGCCCCTTAGATGCTTTTCCTGATCTTTCTCCCATTAGCCCCCAAACTAGAGGTGGAAAGATTTTTTATACTTTGACTTTTCTTTAAAGTTTTACTGCATTTTATTGCATTGTTGTGAGGGTTAATCAGACGTTATCTGGATGTGTCTGTGAGAATGTTTTGTAGATGAGATTAATATTTAAATTGACAGACTTTGAATAAAGCAAATTGTCCTCCAAAATTTGGTGAGGCTTATTCATAAGCTGAAAGCCTTAATGGAACAAATACTAGCAAGAAGGAATTCTGCTAAAAGACAGCCTTCAGATTTGAACTGTAGCACTGGCATTCCGTGGGCCTTTAGCCTACTGGCGTATCCTGTAGATTTTATACTTGACAGCTTTCAGCTTTCTTTTTCTTTTTATTTTTTTCTTTTCTTTTCTTTTTTTTTTTTTTTTGAGATGGTGTTTTGCTCTTGTTGCTCAGGCTGGAGTGCAATGGCACAATCTTGGCTCACTGAAACCTCCACCTCCCGGGTTGAAGTGATACTCCTGCCTCAGCCTCCCGAGTAGCTGGGATTACAGGCACGTGCCACCATGCCCAGCAAATTTTATATTTTTAGTAGAGACGGGTTTGCTCCGTGTTGGTCAGGCTGGTCTTGAATTCCTGACCTCAGGTGATCTGCCATCCTTGGCCTCCCAAAGTGCTGGGATTACAGGCATGAGCCACCGTGCTGGCCTATACTTGTCAGCTTTCATAACTGCATGAACTAATTCCTTACAATAACTCTCTCTATATATAACTAGATATAGATATAGATCTATATATAACTAGATATAGATATAGATCTATATCTATTTAGATCTATATAGATATAGATCTATGTCTATTTAGATCTATATAGATATTTATACTATTGACAATAGTACATATATAATATACAGTATATACACTATTGACAATAGTGTATATAGAGATATATCTCTATATTGATACATATGTAGAGATATATCTCTATATTGATACATATGTAGAGATATATCTCTATATTGATATATATGTACACACACAGGAGATATATACGTATGTATCAAAACATGTAATATACGTATACACACGTCTTTTTTATTGTTTCTCTAGAGAACCCTGACTTACACAATTGCTAAACAAAATTTATATTCAATAGATTTTTTTCTGAGTGTGTACCAGTGAGGTGTTTACATTCTACATCAGAAACCACTGCATTAGAGAATGCACAGTCAGCAACAAATTTTAAGTAAGGAAATGCCTTGATTCTACTGTATTAATAAATGTTGTAAGTTATAAAACTTATACAATGATCACATTAAAGTAGCATTAAATAAAACATACAAATAAACATTCAAATTTGTTAGTGTATCATCCTTGCAGACTCATCCAAATATGCATACCTTGCTTTAGATAATGGAAGTTCAGAAACAATTTTTTTTTTTTTTTTTTTGAGAGGGAGTCTAGCTCTGTCTCCAGGCTGGAGTGCAGTGGTGCAATCTTGGCTCACTACAATCTCCGCCTCCCAGATTCAAGATATTTTCCTCCCTCAGCCTCCCGAGGAGCTGGGATTACAGGCATGTGTCACTATGCTCAGCTAATTTTTCTGTTTTTAGTAGAGATGGGGTTTCACCGTGTTTGCCAGTATGGTCTCAATCTCCTGACCTCGTGATCCACCTACCTCGGCCTCCCAAAGTGCTGGGATAACAGGGATGAACCACTGTGCCCGGCCCAGAAATGATTTTTTAGCAAAGAAATGTTGTTGCGGGAAGTCAGGGACCCCCAACAGAGGGACCAGCTGAAGCCATGGCAGAACATAAATTGTGAAGATTTCATGGACATTTATTAGTTCCCCAAATCGATACTTTTATAATTTCTTATGCCTGTCTTTACTGCAATCTCTGAACATAAATCGTGAAGATTTCATGGACACTTATCACTTCCCAAATCAATACCTTGTGATTTCCTATGCCTGTCTTTACTTTAATCTCTTAATCCGTCATCTTCGTAAGCTGAGGATGAATGTCGCCTTAGGACCCTGTGATGATTGTGTTAACTGGACAAATTGTTTAAACAATATGAAATCTGGGCACCTTGAAAAAAGAATAGGATAACAGCAATGTTCAGGGAACAAGGGAGATAACCTTAAAGTCTGGCTGCCTGTGGGCCGGGTGGAGCAGAGCCATATTTCTCTTCTTTCAAAAGCAAATAGGGGAAATATCGCTGAATTCTTTTTCTCAGCAAGGAACATCCCTGAGAAAGAGAATGCATCCCTAAGGGGAAACCTCTGAAATGGCCGCTTTGGGGACATCTGTCTTTTACGACTGTAGATAAGGGATGAAATAAGCCCCGGTGTCCCGTAGTGCTCCCAGGCTTATTAGGACGAGGAAATTCCCGCCTAATAAATTTTGGTCAGATCAGTTGTCTGCTCTCAAACTCTGTCTCCTGATAAGATGTTATCAATGACAATTCATGGCTGAAACTTGATTGGCAATTTTAATTTCACCCCGGTCCTGTGGTCCTGTGATCTTGCTCTGCCTCCATTTGCCTTGTGATATTTTATTACCTTGTGAAGCACGTGATCTCTGTGACCCACACCCTATTCATACACTCCCTCCCCTTTTGAAAATCACTAATAAAAACTTGCTGGTTTTACGGCTCGGGGCATCATGGAACCTGCTGACATGTGCTGTCTCCCCTGGACACCCAGCTTTAAAATTCCTCTCTTTTGTACTCTTTCCCTTTATTTCTCAGACCAGCTGACACTTAGGGAAAATAGAAAAGAACCTATGTGAAATATTGGGGGCTGAATTTCCCCTGATAGAATGTCATGATGAAATCAGTGCTTCAGTAAGATCATTCTGGGTGTGGCGAGAAGAGGTTGGATTACAGCAGCATTTCTCACCCTTAACTGCCCATTAAGATTAGGATTGCATTGAAAGCTTTAATAAAATGTTGATCCTGGAAAGATTTAATTTAATACTTAAAAAAAAAAATTCCAGGAGATCCTGTTGTCAAGACAGTGTTCAGAACCACTTAGCCAAAGCAGTTTAAATGGGGGCAAATATTTACATTTAAGAGATAATTGCAAAATAGAATTGCATGACCTGATGGCCACAGCTGGACATGGGATAGTGAAAAATAAAAGACAACTCTGAGAATTATAACTTAGATGGCTGAACAAATGTATGATAGGCCAACAGTTGTGTCACTATGTATCAGGCTAAGTGGCAGCTATCTGGCAAATATCTGTTAATTTAATCTTACCTGTTCACCAAACTCATTTTCCTTTCCTCCTGTGCACAGAGGTAGGCTATATTTTCCAGCATGTTTTGCAATTAGGCCATGTGACCAATTTTTTTTTCCCCCGGAAGAAATGTTGGCTGAAGTAATATAAACTATTACCAGGTCTAGCCCATAAAAACAAGAGCTTTTAGGAAATCCTCTTTCTTTTAATTTTTTGTCTGACATTTGAGACTGATGCCTAGGATGTGTTATAGACAGCATATTTTTCTTCTTTCCTGAGTCCCTGAATAAATGGATAAAGAAGGGCAGAGCATTACAACATTTTTTCCCTCCTGCCATTGAAATTAAAGGGAGTGAGAGATAAATTCTTGTTTTGTGAAGTCACTGAGATTTTTGGGTTTATCTGTTATAGCAGCTAGTATTGCCTTAATAATTCTACAAAATAAGTACAGTTATTAGCCTTCTTTTGAAGATTAATATAGCAGAGAAAATAGTTTTAGGTGGAAAGATATTAAGCTGCCTGTATTACTTTTAGGTAGAGGGACTTATAAATATAGGTCTGAAGCTCAGGATGAGGCCAGTGTGATAATCACCTTGTGAGTCATCAGTGTACAGGTGATTGTTGAAGTCATGGAAGTGAAAGTGATCCCTTGAGGAGACAAAGCAGGGAATAAAGGAAGTGGACTCATTATAGAATTTTAGTACAAGCAGTATTTCAAAAGAGGATACCATGTTGGAGACCAAGAAAAAAAGTCAGCGAGGTTAAAAAAAAAAAAACCCAGGATGGAGGATTGTCAAGAAAAGCAAGAGAAGAGATACTTATAAAATGGAAGGCCTATCAGTAGTGCCAAAAGCGACAGAGTTATGTGAACTAAAGACCAAAGAAAAGGCCACTTATCCAATTAGGTGGTGAATGCTGACCTTTCAGAAAGCCCTTGCAGAAAGTTGGTAAGATTGCAAGCCAGGCTGAAGTGGTTTGACATGTGACTGAGACTGAAATGTGTGGGCAGTGCATGCAGAGCACCTTTTCAAAAGAATTGGCAGCAAGAAAAAAAGGTGTTCTATAAAATAAGCACTGCGATCCCTCTATCAGCTGAACACTAGAATAAGTGAGATTTGGGACATTAGGGAATGTGTCAGACCATTTCCTATCCCTTGAAAAATGTCTGTGTTTATGGGAAAATAAACGAATAGTAATTATGATTTACTTCATAATATTTCCAAGTTAATAGTTGATGTAAATGGGACTATGTTTGAAAAAGTTAGCACCTTGTAAGGCAGGATGGTGATTTAAAAGTTATTTTGTAAAGTTGGAGAGTTAGGCTGAAACAAAGTGACATTGTAAGCATCGAGTTTAGAAATTAAAAAAATAAGGACCATATTGTGTGATCAGAAAATGGAGAATAAGTATGTTCCAGGAAAACAGGAAAGAAATGATCCTGGAGATGGATTAGGCATCATGATGAGTTGCTAATGTAGTACTAGTATTGTACAAATGTTATTAATAGTTAATGGACAGGGAGGGAAATCCATGTTCCTTTTTGTATTTAACTCTTCTCAGGCAGGAACACTGTATTCATATTGAAGTGTCACAAAGTAAGGATACTGCAGAGACACTGAAGAGGCTCATGAGGAATAATATACTTAGAGAATTGTTCATATATGGTATGGAAAGGGAATGGAGATATTTAACATAAGATCAAGTTATGATGAGTAATTTCAACTTTTCAGTAAAGTTTTGCAATTAGATGTGGCTTAAAAAAAGAAAACACAGGAGCACAATATTGGAAGTGGAATAGGATACAGGAAGATATTAGAGGGGCCAGTGTGATAACATGGTATCTGTATGCCAGATGGGACCAACGTGGGATCCACTAACAGGAAAGCCATCATGAGACTGGGAGAGAGAAGCACAAATATCAAGGGGCACACGTAGCATGCTGAGTTATCACAAGACTAACTCGGAGGAGAACAAGGCACAGGCGAAAGCTAGGCAATTATTCTAGGTCCAGAAGGATGGAGTGTTGAGAGGTTAAGTAGACTGGACTCCATTGTACAGGGGGAGGTGGGTTAGTCACAGACTAAACAGTAAATGCAGTATCTGAGCCAGAGGAGAATTTGCCTTGAGCTGAAGGAAGCTGAACCTTCAGAGCATCTTCTCAAGCTCTGGGGTAGGGTGGGGGTGGGGTCCTAGCAATGTGTTCTTGTGATTGTATATTTCTGTAAAGTTTGCAAAAGTAAGATTGTCCTGAAATTTTTTTGGCAAAATCCCCATTTCTTCCAAAATTATGTGTTGAGCCTCACTAAATCTGTGTTCGTCTTAGCATCAGTTCTGGGGCACAAATATCAAGAAAAAGAGTTGTCCCTTTGCTTCAGACTTGGGGCTTCCATGTTTCCTTCACTGACAAAATAATTGGAGATAAACTTAGCCAGATAATAATTGAAAGCAGCTGAAGGGAGCAGCTAAGAAGGTCAGTTTCTAGGAGCAGGCTGGAATTATGTGGTTAAGGAGAGATCAGGCCATGGCCATCTTTAAGTAGATGTGTCTGTCTTTCAGATTTAGTTTTTGTGAAATTATCTATTGTTATTCTCTTTTTTTACTGAGTTATTTCTCTGTTTCTCTTAAAATATTTATATTTTCTGAATATGCTATTTGGTCCAACGGATATGAACTCAGTTTTGTACCTCCCTTCCTAGATTAGGAGCTCCTTCAGGGAAGGATTATTTCTTATTAGAATCTGGCTACCTTACTGAAGCCTAGTTGGTGCACAATACATGAAATTCCTAGGCTTTCTAATTGTTCTTCACTGAATTGGGAATGGTGTAGGTAAGAAAATGTTTCCTGGAAAACTGAGGCACATGCGTGCAAAAATGTAAAATTTTAAATAATCTGAGCAAATTTTATACAACCCCTCTATGTCCTCATCCCACATTGTGCATATATATATATATATATATTTTTTTTTTTATTTTTTTGAGATGGAGTCTCACTCTGTCACCCAGGCTGGAATGCACTGGTGTGATCTTGACTCACTGCAACCTCTGCCTTCCGGGTTCGAGCGATTCTCCTGCCTCACCCTCCTGAGTAGCTGGGACTACAGGCACATGCCATCACGCCCAGCTAATTTTTGTATTTTTAGTAGAGACAGGGTTTCACCATGTTGGCCAAGACAGTCTCGATCTCTCGACCTCGTGATCTGCTCGCCTTGGCCTCCCAAAGTGCTGGGATTATAGGCGTGAGCCACTGCGCCTGGCCATCGCTTATATTTTAAACTCAGTTCTAAGCTTATTGAAATAATTCTGAATGTATTCTATTATTACAGGATAATTGATCAAGAATAAAAAGAGACATCACCTAAATCAATCTTCTTAAATTCCCATGATGTGGGAAAAATTGTTTGAAAATAAATATTTGATTTTAATATGTTGTTTGTAGGTCTCGTTCATTCATTTATTCATTCATCCAACAGACATTTTTAAGTATCAAATACATATCCAATTATTTAATAATGTCTAGGACGACACTGGTAAGCAAGGACGAGATCTGTGCTCTATTTGACTTATAGTCCAAGTGTGGATTAATCAAAGGCACATGCCATTTGAAATTATATAGAATAAGATAGAAATGAATGTATCTGGAAGCCATACAACAATAGAAGCTGATCAAGACCTATGGTTGCATGTATTTGGGTAGAGGGGATATTCAGAAAAGGCTTCCTAGAGGATACAATACTAGAATTGAGGTTTGAAGGATGTCGAGGAGATCCTGGTGGAAAGGGAGTATGGAAGGTGATGAAGGGGCTGGTAATAAATGTTCCATGTAGAGGAAACACAATGGCCAAAGAGTCTGTTGCCAGAAGGTGCAAAGACTGATAGAAAACTGTGCTTAAAGTGAGAAGAAAGATAAGATTGATGCAAGGTGAAGATGGAGATGGAGGCAGAGGTCTGTGTCCTACATGGTCTATGTAGGACATTCCGAACTATGATAAGGATTTGGCTTTTTCATAAGAACAGGGAAAAGCCATCAGATAATTTAAGGTAGGACTTGATGCGATCACATTTGTGTTTTTGCAAAGATCACTCTGGCTCCATTGTATGGAAAATATTAGAGGGGCCTAGTGTGTATGCAGGAAGTACAGTTAGGAAGTTACTGCATTGGTCGAGGTAGAGATGGCAGCTTGAGCTGTCGTGATGGAGACAGAAAGAAGTGGAAAAATGTGTAAGATACTTAGAAGTTAAGTGGACAATATTTTGTAATGGGTTACACCTAGGTAGGGTGAGGGAGAAAGTGGTGTCAAGATGACTTCTAGATTCCAGCTTATGCAACTGGCTGGATGATAAAATATTCACTGAAGCTGCAACTAGTGGTAGAAGATGGGGTTTGGTGTGAGAGATCACAGGTTTGATCATGGATATGTTAGATATGCGGTGCCTATAACATAACCAAGTGCTATATTAAGTAGGTGGTTGGATATGTGAGTCTGGAACTCAAAGCATAGGTTGACCCTACAGATGTGAATTTGTCTCAGAATATTTGGTTGTTTATGATATTTCTTATAAGAGTAGAGAAGGGGCCGTGCGCGGTGGCTCACGCCTGAAATCCCAGCACTTTGGGAGGCTGAGGCGGGTGGATCATGAGGCCAGGAGATTGAGACCATCCTGGCTAACATGGTGAAACCCCGTCTGTACTAAAAATACAAAAAAATTTAGCCAGGTGTGGTTGCAGGCACCTGTAGTTCCGGCTACTCGGGAGTCTGAGGCGGGAGAATGGTGTGAACCCGGGAGGCGGAGCTTGCAGTGAGCTGAGATTGTGCCACTGCACTCCGGCCTGGGCGATAGAGGGAGACTCCGTCTCAAAAAAAAAAAAAAAAAGCATGAGAAGGGAAGAACATCTAGGAGTGAACCTTAAGAATGACAGCCTTTAATGGTGGTTAAAAAAGGATGAATCTGCAGAGGAAGCCTAAGATGTAGAGAGAAAACACCAGGTGAGTGTTTCCCTTGGGAGCCAAGGAAAAGTAGTGCTTCTAGGCTAATGTAATAACTGACATTGCCAAATGCTATTAGCAGGCGAGGTAATATGAACAATACAAACATTAATGGATTTTAGGTTTTAGCAATATGGAGGTCATTGGTGATTCAACAGAAAGCTGTTTTAGGGAGGTAACTATTTAGAGAGAAGTAAACTAGGAAGTTCGTGGGAAAAGCGGGGAGTCAAGTCAGTTGTTTGAAGATAGTTGGCTACAGAAGGAAGGAGAGAACTAAGATGGCAGAAGGTAAACACAATAGAATATAATGCTGGGAAACCTTTTGGATGACTGTCCGTTGAAATCTCTTGTGTAATCAATGGTTCAGAAGTTTATGCTCTTTAGGTAGGACTTGAATAATTTTGGTACTTAGAAATGTATAGTCATGGCTTGTATGATACATTGTTGGCAATAGCTATTATTTGTTTATGGAAATGTCTTTCCATTACAATATTTCTTTACCATGAAAATATATGATCTACTTAACAGTGAAGCCATTGACTTTATGAGACCATTTCAAGTAAACAGAGGGTGGTGAAAACCAGGGGCTATTCCTTCCTGTTTTCTTGCACTGTAATAAAATTTTGTGTACTGGAACTGGCTGGGTTTATACCCCATGGAAATGGACAGTGCTGGAGCATGCACATATGTAAGATAAATAAATATAAAATACCATAAAATACAGGGGGATGTCTGGCGAAGAATGCTCTATTATAGTTTTGTGCTTTGAGATGGTAGCTAAGATGTGGTAGAAGGGGAAATATTTTGAGAACTGCTTTATGGAAGTGCCTGTTTGTTGCAGAAATTCACCTTTTCTACTAGTTGCAAGATCCTAGGAAAAGTGGTCAATCACTTTTGGTCTGCTTTGTTATTTGCAAAATTGGTATTAAATGCAAAATGGTATTGCAAAAATGGTATTAAAAATAGTAAATAATAGTACCTTCTTCATAAGGTAGTTGTGAGAATTAAGAGGTGATGGTTTTAATGTAGGAAGCACTGTTCGATGGTAATGATTATTATGAGGGCTTTGAAATCTCTTTATCATCTAAAGCACTGCTTCTCAAATGAGTACAACTGGGATTAGGTGGAGGTGGCTGGAGAGGTTACTGGAAGTCACAAGAGAAATGGATATCTCCCAGAAGTGTTGATTTTGTTGATATTTGCTACATTTTTATAGTTTTACATGGAATATTTTTAAAACGCTTTTTTAATTTTTTAGAGAAAGAGAAGGCTTCAGAGCAATATGCTGTTCTTGGAAGAGAGGGGGTGAAGGTTCAGACTACAGTTCTGGAGGCTGGGGATATGTATCCATTCATTCCTCAGTGACAATGGCTAAGAATTACTGGTCAGAAGGCTGAGCTATTGTTGAAAGACATAGAAGTAAAGACACTTCCCCTTCTACCACTGATTTGGGCAGATTAAATGTCAAGAGGATTATATGGATTTGCTTGTGCAAATCCTAAAGTGATTTTCTGGATCTGGGAAAAATCTTGACATGTTTTAACTTAGCACTTTAACTGAGAAATGTTCCCAGCATCTTGCTGTTTTAAGTAATTGAAAACACTGCCAACTCAGATTGCTTCCGAAAAAGGCAAACCAAGATGTTTTCAGAGACACTGCATAATATGCCTTGCATTTATTTTGGTAAATATCTTGATTTCCTTATTTACTGTGTCTAAAAGAATTTGGCAAATTATCAATTCTGGAATACATAATTCTTGGAGAACACACTGTTTTTTTTTTTTCCAAT
The DNA here is from genome assembly GCF_000001405.40 of Homo sapiens. Classification (NCBI taxonomy): domain Eukaryota; kingdom Metazoa; phylum Chordata; class Mammalia; order Primates; family Hominidae; genus Homo; species Homo sapiens. The sequence goes on from NC_000002.12 coordinate 33,984,490, forward strand.
TCGATAGATTTGCTAAATATATACTTCCTTATTAACATTTGGGTGTTATTTTTTTTAAGTCTACATTTAATTAAAACATAGGCACAAGGACAAAATAGATACATACAAACAGCAGATTTTATGTCAGCTTTTTCACATGTGTAGCTTTTGTATTTGGAGTTTTGAGTTTAACTTTTTAATTATTTTGAGAGGAAATTTGGGGCTATAAGTGAAGAGGCTGGAAGAGGAGTTTGATTCTTGTTTTCTTAGGGAAAACATTCCTTTTTCTTATTTGGAAGGATGTCTTCCTTTATCTTCTAGGCTAATACAAAGCCCACTGTGGATATTGTTTCTCCTGTGAAGTCTGTCAGATCGTCTTACCCATGAGAATTGATTATGTCTTCATCTGTGTAACTTTCTGTACTCACTAAAATATGGAGCAATTATTTTCTTGCATATCTGTATTTCCCATAATTTGAGCATCATTGCTTATATTACAGGGACAGGTATTTAGTAAGTGCTTAATACCTGTCAATTAATTGGAGTTGACTCTAGTGGCAGGTGGAATTAAAAGTAGAGAGGAGGTTCACAGAGACCTTAAGGAGGTATCAAAAGAGCCACTCATTAACAGAGTGTCTCACGGAAGTACTCCTGAAGCAAAAACAGGCCTTCAGATGGTAGAAGAGTACAGACTTATACCAGAATATATTGGGTGTTTCTCAACAACTCAGTAAAGAAAGGATTGGTGTCTGGGTGTATAGGCAGGGCAACTTGGGAATGAATTCAGTCAACTTTCATTAACTTTCAAATTATGAATCTATGCTATGGAAAGTAATTACATATTTATTACTCAAGAAATTTGTTAATCAGGTAATTTATTAATCAAGTAACCTATAAGCCCTACAACCTTTGAAAATAATATGACAAGTAATTACATATTTATTAATCAAGTAATTTGCACCCAGCTTTGTGGTAGTTGCTCAGAGTAGATTGGGGATGCAGAAGCGTTGGAAAGCCTGTCCTCTGACATGAAGCAGCTTACATTCAGTGGGAAGCAAGCAAAGCTAGAGTTCATGGAATAAGAGGAGACGACAGAAACTCGTATAACAATGCAGAAGGGGAGGTATCTTGTTGGTAGGAATTGATCAGTTCTCAAAGCTGAGGATATCAGGTGATAAAGTGTGCTCAGGTTCTAAACGAGAACTGCTAAACAAATTTCCATAGATTTAAAAAGATGCAGCCAAAGTGGACAATCAACTTTCTACTCCTGTCTCTCACTTGGGTCCACAAGAGCAAGCTGACAGGAGATGCTTTGCAGAAATACCACAGCATTGGGAAGCTTTGTGACCCTTCACCAGATGTATAGAATCAACTTGGGGGAGATAATTTCAAAAAAAAAAAAGTCAGTGAGGTGTGGGAGAACACTTGGAAAGATTAAGGGGTATTTTCTAGAAGTGGAATGTGGCATACAAACATTGCCAGATGTTTGCTGAATTGCTGAAGTGCAATAAGGATTTTTTTTTTTTTTTTGCAATAAAACTGACTGGGTTTATATCCCCCTGAAGTGGACAGTTTGGGGAAGGGACACATGGAAGAGAAATGACAAATGGAAGAGGCCCTGAAATGCAGGGGAATGTCTGAAGAAGGGAAAGTGATACATTTTTTTGTGGGAGAACTGGAGATTGACCCCTTTAGTTTGCAGGGAGATCAACTGGTGCTGGACTCTGGCCTGAGGACATCTGAAGTCAGGAAATGGCTGGAGCTTCCTCTTTCTGCAGGCAAGAAGGAAGGGATGATTCCTGAGCCCATAAGCTATATTCAGAAAATACCCTGGACAAGAGTGGGTAAGTTTCCATAGGAGGAGTAGATACTAAGGATAGTAGTTATGTTAGGTCCTGCCCAAAAGGCTGTCTGAAAAAGGGAGACCCAAGCAGAAAGAGAGTATGTAGGGAATACTACTGAAGGTTGCAGCTGAGTGGCTGCCAAGAAATGTTAGGCAGAGAGTACATAAGACATGTCAAGGTTCTTAGCAGAATTAGCTTCACAGAAGGCACAAAACTGTGCCCCTGAAGAAAGAATGAGCATTACACACCTGTATCACTGTGTTAGACCATTCTTGCATTGTTGTAAATAAATGCTTGAGGCTGGGTAATTTATAAAGAAAAGAGATTTAATCGGCTCATGGTTCTGCAGGCTTTACAGGAAGTGTGGTGCCAGCATATGCTTCTCATGAGGCCTCAGGAAGCTTGTAATCGTGGTGTAAGGTGATGGGGAGCCAGCATGTCAATTGATGACAGTGGGAGAAAGAGTGGGAGGTGTCACAACTTTCTAAACAACCAGATCTCATGAGGCTCAACTATCATGAGAACAGCATCAATACATTCATGAGGAATCCACTCCCATGACCCAAACACCTCCTATCAGGCCCCACCTCCATCAATGGGGATTACATTTCAATATGAGATTTTGTGGGGACAGACAATCAAACTATATCATGCTGCCTCTGGCACCTCAAATTGAATGCCCTTCTCACCTTGCAAAATATAATTATCCTCTGCCAATAGTCCCCAAAATTCTTAACTCATTGTAGCCTCAAGTCCAAAGTCATAAGTCTCATCTGAGACTCATCTCCTTCCACCTATGAGCCTGTAAAATCAGAACAAGTTATTTATTCCCAAGATAAAATGGTAGTACAGGCATTGGGTAAACATTACTATTCGGAAAGGGAGAAATTGGCCAAAAGAAAAGGTCATTAGTCCCCACACAAGTCTGAAACTCAGCATGGCAGTCATTAAATCTTAAACCTCCAAAATAATCTCCTTCAACTCCATGTCCCACATCCAGGGGACACTGGTGCAAAGTGTGGGCTCCTAAGGCCTTGAGCAGCTCTGCCTCTGTGGCTTTGCTTGGTATTCTGATGGTCTAGAGTTGAGTGTCTGTTTTCCAGGTATAGGGTTCAAGCTGCTGATGAATCTACCATTCTGGGGTCTGGAGGGTGGCACTCACCTTCTTCAGCTCCATTAGGCAGTTCCCCAGTGGTGACTGTGTGGCAGCCCCAACACCATACTTCCTCTTGTCATTGCCCTAGTATAGATTATCTGTGAGGGCTCTATCTTTGCAGCAGGCTTCTACTTGGGCACCCAGGCTTTCTCATACAGCCTCTGAAATCTAGATGGAAGCCACCAAACCTCCTTCACCCTCGCATTCTATGTGTTTTACACCATGTGGAAGCCACCAAGGCTTATGGCTTGTGCCTTCTGGAGGGGTGACCTGAGCTGTACCTGGGGCTCTTTAAGCCACAACTGTAGCTAGAGCAGCCAGGATGTGGGGAGCAATGTCCCAAGGCTGAGCAGGACAGGGGTTTCCTAGGCCTGTTCCCCAAAACCATTCTTTCCTTCTAGCCTTCTGGGCCTGTGATGGGAGGGGCTGTCTCTAAGATCTCTGAAATGCTTTTGAGGGCTTTTTCCCATTGTTTTGGACATTAGCACTTTGCTCCCTTTTTAGTAATGCTAATCTCTCTAGCAATTGGTAATTCTGCAGCCTGCTTGGATTCTGTCTGTGCCACATGGCCAGGCTGCAAATTTTCCAAATTTTTATGCTCTGCTTTGCCGTTAATTATAAGTTTCAAATTTCAGTCATTTCTTTGCTTCTCTGATTATATGCTGTTAGAAGTAGCCAAGCCACATCATGAACGCTTTGCTGCTTAGGAATTTCTTCCATCAGATACCATAAGTGATTACCTTTAAGTTCAAACTTCTCTGATCCCTAGGGCGTGAACACAATGCAGCCAAGTTCTTTGCTAGAGCATAACATGAGTGACCCTTATTCCAGTTCTCAATGACGTCTTCATTTCTACCTGAGACCTGGTCAACCAGGCTTTTACTATCTGTATTTCTATCAGTATTTTGGTCACAATCATTTAACCAGTCTCTAAGAAGTTCCAAACTTTCCCTCATCTTCCTGTCTTCTTCTGAGCCCTCCAAACTCTTCCAACCTTTTCCTCTTACCCATTTCCAAGGTCACTTCCACATTTTCAGGTATCTTTAGAGGAACACCCCACTCCTCAGTACCAATTTTCTGTATTAGACCATTCTTGTATTGCTATGAAGAAATACCTAAGGCTGAATAATTTATAAAAGATGTTTAATTGGCATGGGCAAAGACTTCATGACTAAAACAACAAAAGCAATGGCAACAGAAGCCAAAATAGACAAAAAGGGTCTAATTAAACGAAAGAGCTTCTGCACAGCAAAAAAAAACTATCATCAGAGTGAACAGGCAACCTACAGAATGGGAGAAAATCTTTGTAATCTACCCATCTGACAAAGGGCTAATATCCAGAATCTACAAAGAACTTAAATTTACAAGAAAACATGAAACAGTGTGCAAAGGATATGAACAGACACATCTCAAAAGAAGACATTTATGCAGTCAACAGATGTATGGAAAAAATGCTGATCATCAGTGGTCATTAGAGAAATGCAAATCAAAACTACAATGAGATACCATCTCACACCAGTTAGAATGATGATCATTAAAAAGTCAGGAAACAACAGATCTTGGAGAGGATGTGCACAAATAGGAACGCTTTTACACTGTTGGTGGGGGTGTAAATTACTTCAAGCAAGGTGGAAGACAGTGTGGCAATTCCTCAGATCTAGAACTAGAAATACCATTTGACCCAGCAATCCTATTACTGGGTATATACCCAAAGGATTATAAATCATGCTGCTATAAAGACACATGCACACGTTTATTGTGGCACTATTCACAATAGCAAAGACTTGGGACCAACCCAAATGTCCATCAGTGATAGACTGGATTAAGAAAATGTGGCACATATACACCATGGAATACTATGCAGCCATAAAAAAGGATGAGTTCATGTCCTTTACAGGGACATGGATGAAACTAGAAACCATCATTCTAAGCAAACTGTCACAAGGACAGAAAACCAAACACCACATGTTCTCATTCATACGTAGGAGTTGAACGATGAGAACACGTGGACACAAGGTGGGGAACATCACACACCAAGGCCTGTTGGGGGCTGGGGGATGGATAGCATTAGGAGAAATACCTAATGTAAATGATGGGTTGATGGGTGCAGCAAACCACCATGGCACATGTATACCTATGTAACAAACCTGCATGTTGTGCACATGTACCCTAGAACTTAGGGTATAATAATAATAAAGATGTTTAATTGGCTCATGGTTCTTCAGGCTGTGCAGGAAGCATGGTGCGGGTATCTGCTTCTGGTGAGGCATAGGAAGCTTACAATCATGGCAGAATATGATAGAGCACCAGTATGTCACATGAGATGAGCAGCAAGAGAGAGGGAGGAGGTGTCACACATTTTTAAACAACCAGATCTCATGAGAACACACTCGCTATCTTGAAGACAGCACCAAGATGTTCATGAGGGATCCACTCCATTACCCAAACACCTCCCACCAGGCTCCACTCTCAACATTGAGGATTACATTTCAACATGAGATTTGGAGCTGACAAATACACCCAAACTGTAACAACCACAGAGGACTCTAAAGAACAACAGTATTTATCAAAGAAGTGGTTGACTTAATCATCTTCTTCCTGCCCCTGCCTCTGAGTGGTAAGAAACAGCAGAATAATTGAGGATGATGTGGGGCAATGTGGGGAAAAGGAAGAAACTCAGTGTTTGAAAGTGGCCTGGGGAGCTGTAGGATTTCCCAGGGTACTGTATAAGAGCATAACAGGGACAGCCAGAAAAGAGTGTTAGAAATCAATGGTAGGAAAATAAAGTCTTTTCTTGATTTTATCATATTGAATTGAGCCCACTCAAAGAAGTGTTGTATACCTTTAATTAAATTGTGAGTAGTTTTGGAATGACTTAAGCATCATAGATGAAATTCATCCCAGGTGAATGGCAGGGAAAGCCTCAGGGAGGGGCTGCATCTTTACCTAGCTCCTTAAGTGATGACTGAGAGGAGCAAGAAAAGCATTTTATTAATACTTTTTCCATATAAACATTTTTCCTACTTTTACACAAATAGCATATTGGATACACTGTTCTAGGTTTGCCTTTTTTTTTTTTTGCACATAACAATGTATGTCAAAGTTTATTTCTTATCAGTATTTTAAAAAACTTTACCATTTTGTTGTGACAGGGTCTCACTCTGTCATCCAGCCTGTAGTTCAGTAACATGATCATGGCTCACCACAGCCTTGGCCTCCTTGACTCAAGCAATCCTCCTGCCTCAGCCTGCTGAATGGCTGGGACTATAGGGGTACACTACCATGCCTGGCTAATTTAAAATATATATATATATTTTGTAGAGATGGGGTCTTGGTATGTTGTTAAGGCTTGTCTTGAACTCCTGGGTTCAAGAGATCTTCCCTCCTTGGCCTCCTAAAGTGCTGGGTTTACAGGTGTGAGCCACAACACCTGGCTATTCTTGTTTTTTGGCGGGGATGGGGTGGGGGGAGTGGCGGGCGGTAGGAGGGAGTCTCACTCTGTCACCCAGGCTGGAGTGCAGTGGTACAATCTCCGCTCATTGCAACCTCTGCCTCCTAGGTTCAAGGGATTCTTTTGCCTCAGCCGGCTGAGTAGTTGGGACTACAGGCGTGTGCCACCACGCCTGGCTAATTTTTGTATTTTTAGTAAAGACGAGATTTCACCATATTGGCCAGGCTGGTCTCCAACTCCTGACCTCGTGATCCACCCGCCTCGGCCTCCCAAAGTGCTGGGATTACAAGCGTGAGCCACCACACTTGGCTGCTGCTATTCCTTTTTATGCTTACATCTTATTCTGTGGTAGGACTATATTAAAATTTATTTAACCAATAAACTTTGAGTGTTTAGGTTATTTCTTTTTTTTTTTTTTCTGTCACTAACAGTGCTGCAAAGGATAACCTGTGCACGTGTATCAGTATAGAATAAATTATTTGACATGGAGTTGCTGCATTTTAAAAACAGATATTGCCAGATTACCCCATATGAAGAATGCATTGGATTTCCGCTTGTACCAGCAATGTGTGAGAGTCACTGTTCCCCTTTCCCTTAAAAGCATGGAGTGTTATCAAACATTTTAATCTTTATCAATCCGATAGTTGCAAAATAGTATACCAGTACAGTTATCTTTAATTATAACTAAGATATATTGGTATTTCCTTTGCTGAGTATTGTCTATTCATATTCATTTTTTTTTTTTTGAGATAGTCTCATTCCATCACCCAGGCTGGAATGCAGTGGCATGATCTTGGCTCATTGCAATCCCCGCCTCCCGGGTTCAAGTGATTCTTGTCCCTCAGTCTCCTGAGCAGCTGAAATTACAGGCGTACGTCACCACACCCAGCTAATCTTTGTATTTTTAATAGAGATGAGGTTTTGCCATGTTGACCAGGCTGGTTTCAAAGTTGATCTCAAGTAATCCACCTGCCTCAGCCTCCTGAAGTGCTGGGATTACAGGCGTGAGCAACCATGCCTGGCCTATCTGTTCATATTCTTAGCACGTGTTTCTATTGGCCTTTTTTTTCTGATTGGTTTCTAGAAACTCTTTGTATACTAAGGAATTTAGCTACTTTTTTGTGACATATGTTGCAATTTCCCTTAAATGTTTTGCTTGCTTTTAGGTTTTACTAATGGTATTTTTGGCATGCTGAAATTGTTGTTTGGATTTATTAATCTTCTATTTTAAAATATATGTGTTTTGTAAAAAGGACAGGCTCTTCAATAAAGATCAACTGAAAATAGATTAAACACTTAAATGTAAGACCCCAAACTGTAAAGCTACTAGAAGAAAACTTAGGGAAAAAGCCTCATGACATTGGTCTGTACAATTATTCTTTTGGATATGACCCTAAAAGCACAGGCAACCAAAGCAAAAGTAGACAAACAGAATTATGTCAAATAAAATGCTTCTGCACAGCAAAGGAAACAACAGAATGAAGAGACAGCATATAGAATGAGAGAAAATGTTTACAAACTTTAATAAGGGGTTAATACCCAAATGTAAGAAACTCAAACAACTCCATAGCAAGAAAACAACCAGATTTTAAAATGAGCAAAGGACCTGAGTAGACATTCCTCAAAAGAAGACATACAAATGGCCAATCAGTATATCAAAAAATGCTCAACATCACTAATCATCAGGGAAATGCAAATTAAAACCACAATGAGACATGACCTCACACCTGTTGATTGACAATTATCAAAAAGCCACAACAAATGTTAGTAGGAATGTAGAGAATAGGGAACACTTGAACTCTGTTGGTAGCAATATAATTTAGTTCAGCCATTATGGAAAACAATATGGAGATTCTTCAAATATTAAGAATAGAATTCCCTACAGCTAACAAGGGAAAGAAGATATCTCTAGAAGAACTAAAAACCACTAAGATATCAGAGATGATGCAAACAAATGGAAGAATATTCCTTGCTCATGGATGGGAAGAATCAATACCATTAAAATGTCCATACTGCCCAAAGCAATTTACAGATTCAAAGCTATTCCCTTAAACTACCACTGACATTCTTCACAGAACTAGAAAAATCCATTTTAAAATTCATACAGAGCTAAAAGAGAGCCTGCATAGCCAAGGCAACCCTGAGCAGAAAGAACAAAGCTGGAGGCATCATGTTACCTGACTTCAAACTATACTACAAGGCTACAGTAACCAAAACAGCATGGTACTGGTACAAGAACAGGCACATAAACAATGTAATAGAACAAAGAACCGAGGAATAAGACCACACACCAACAAGTATCTGATCTTTGACAAACCTGACAAAAACAAGCAATAAGGAAAGGATTTCATATTCAATAAATATTGCTGGGATGACTGGCTAGCCCTATGCAGAAGATTGAAACTGGACCCCTTCCTTATACCATATACAAAAATTAAGATGGATTAAAGACTTAAATGTAAAACCTAAAACTATAAAACCCCAGAAGACACCATAGGCAATACCATTCAGGACATACGCACAGGCAGAGTTTTCATGAAGAAAACACCAAAAGCAGTCTCAACAAATGCACAAATTGACAAATATGACATAAGTAAATGATAGAGCTTCTGCAAAGCAAAAGAAACTATCAACAGAGTAAACAACTGACAGAATAGGAGAAAATTTTTGCAATCTGTCCATCCGGCAAAGGTCTAATATCTAGCATTTATAACGAACTTAACTTTACAAGAAAAAGAAACCCCATTTAAAAAGTGAGCAAAGGACATGAACAGATACTTCTCCAAAGAAGACATGCATGTGGCCAACAATCGTATAAAAAACTCAACATCACTGATCATAGAGAAATGCAAATCAAAACCACAATGAGATACCACCTCACACCAGCCAGAATGACTATAATTAAAAAGTCAAAAAATAACATGCTGGTGAGGTTGTAGAGAAAAAGGAACACTTTTATATCATTTGTGGGAGCGTAAATTAGTTCAACCATAGTAGGAAACACTGTGGCAATTCCTCAAAGACCTAAAGACAGAAACCATTCAACTCTGCAATCTCACTACTGGGTATATACCCAAAAGAATAGAAATCATTCTATTACAAAGACGTATGCATGCATATGTTCATTGCAGCACTATTCACAATAGTAAAGACATAGAATCAACCCAAATGCCCATCAGTGATAGACTGGATGAAGAAAATATAGTACATATACAGCATGGAATACCATTTAGCCTTGAAATGAGATCATGTCCTTTGCAGGGGCAGGATAGAGATGGAAGTCGTTGTCTTCAGGAATCTAATGCAAGAAAACCAAATACCACGTTTCCACTTATAAGTGGGAGCTAAATGATGAGAAAATATGTACATGCAGAGGGGAACAACACACACTGGGGCCTGTTGGAGGGTGGAGGTTGGAAGGAGGGAGAAAAGCAGGAAAAATAACCAATGGATACTAGGATTAATACCTGGGTGATGAAATAATCTGTACAGCCAGCTCCCATTTTTACCTATGTAACAAATCCGCACATCCTGCACATGTATCCCTGATCTTAAAATAAAAATTAAAAAAAAATTACCATATGATCTAGCAATTTGTTGAAAAGCCTGTCTTTTTCCCATTTTGTGTTTTTGGTACCTTTGTTTAAAATCAGTTGATTGTAAATGCATAGATTTATTTCTGAGCTCTCTATTCTGTTGCATTGGTCTGTGTCTGTGCCGCTTTGATTACTATACCTTTGTAGCATATTTTGAAGTCAAGTAATGTAATGCCTCCGGTTGTGTTCTTTTTAATCAAGATTGTTTTGGCTAATTGGAGTCTTTTGTGGTTTCATACATATTTTAGGATGGTTATTTCTATTTCTGTGGAAAATATTGATATTTTGATAGGAATTATATTGAATCTGTAGACAATTTCAGGTAGTATGAAGTTTAATGATATTCTTCTAATTCATGAACACAGGATGTCTTTGTTTTCATTTGTGTCTTGTTCAATTTTGTAATCAGTGTTTTACAGTTTTCAGTGTAGAGATCTTTTACTTTTTTGGTTGAATTTATTTCTAAGTATTTTTCTTAGCCATTGTAAATAGGATTGCTTTATTGATTTCTTTTTCACATAGTTCACTCTTATATAGAAACATGGTTTTTTGTATGTTGATTTTGTATCCTGCAACTTTTCTGAATGGATTTATTGGTTTTAGGAGGTGTTTTGGTAGAGTCTGTAGTGTTTTCTATATGTTATTTGCAAACAAGGATAATCTAACTTCTTCCTTTCCAATTTGTGTGTATTTTCTTTTATTTAATTACTCTGGCTTGGACTTCCAGTACTATGTTGAATAAACGTGGCAAGGGTAAAAATTCTTGTCTTCATCTTAGATGAAAGCTTTTAATTTTCTTCATTGAGTATTAGCTGTGGGTTTCTCATGCATGACCTTTTTATGTTAAGGTACATTCCCATACCTAATTTGTTGAGAGTTTTTATCATGAAACAATGTTGAATTTTGTCAAATGCTTTTTCTGCTTCTGTTGAAATGATTATATGACTTTTACCCTTCATTCCGTTAATGTGGTGTATCATATTTATTGATTTGAGTATGTTGAGTCATGCATGCATCCCTGGAATGAATCCAACATGGATCATAGTGAACGAACTTTCTAATGTGTGGCTGAGTTTAATTTACTAGTACTTTATTGAGGATTTTTGTGTCTGTGCTTATCAGGGATACTGGCTTGTATTTTTCCTTTCTCGTTTTTGGTAGTATTCTTGTCTGGTTTTGGTATCGGATTAATGCTGGCCTCATAAAATGAGTTTGTAAATAGTCCCTCTTCAATTTTGTGGAAGAGTTATAGAAAGACTGAATTAGTTCCTTAAATGTTTGGTAGAATTTACTATGAAGCCATCGGGATCTGTACTTTTCTTTAATTGGAGACTTTTTTATTACTAATTAAATCTCCTTATTTGTTGGTACATTCAGATTTTTTTTCTTCGTAATTCAGTCTTGGTAGGTTGTATGTGTATAGGAATGTATCAGTATTGTCTAGGTTATAGATTTTTTTTGTCTGGGCATGGTGTCTCATGCCTGTAATCCTAGCACTTTGGGAGGCCAAGGCGGGTGGATCATCTGAGGTCAGGAGTTCAAGATTAGGCTGGACAACATCTGTACTAAAAATACAAATATTAGTATTTTTACTATCTGTACTAAAAATATAGATAGTAAAATATTAGCTGGGCATGGTGGCAGGTACTTATAATCCCAGCTACTCGGGAGGCTGAGGCAGAATCGCTTGAACCCGGGGGATGGAGGTTGCAGTGAGCCAAATTGCGCCTCTGCACTCCAGCCTGGGTGAAAGAGTGAAACTCCGTCTCAAAAAAAAAAAAAGAAAAGAAAAAAAAAAAGAAAAGAAAATTTGTCATGTAATTGCTCATAATGGTCTCTGATGAGTCTTTGTATTTTTCTTGTATCAGTTGTAATGCCTCTTTTTCATTTCTAATTTTATCTTCTCTTTTTTCTTAGTCTAACTAAAGGTTTGTTAATTTTGTTTATCTTTCAAAAAACAAACTTGTCGTTTTGTTGATCTTTTATTTTTCTATTTTCTATTGCATTAATTTTTGTAATCTTATTTTTTTCTTCCAACATTGGACTTTGTTCTTTTTCTAATTTCTTGAGATGCAATTTTAAATTGTTTGTTTAAGATTTTTCTTTTCTGTCTTGAAGTAGTCTTGTTTAGATTGAATCTTATTGAAGTCCCTTGCCCTTTCTCTACCTGGATATTTATAATTCTCCAGGTTTATAAAGATTTCTGCCATTTTTTCTATAAATACATTTTCTACTCCTTTATCATTCTCTTCCCTTTCTTATATTCATATGGCTCAAAAATTTGCTTTTTTTTGATGCTTTCCCATAAATCCTGTAAGCTTTCTTCATTTTTATTCTTTTTTTCTTGACTGTATATTTTCAAATAACCTTTCTTCAAGTTCACAGATTCCTTCTTCCACTCAATTATGCTGTTAATACTCTCTGTTACATTTTTCACTTTATTTACTGTATTTTTCAACTCCAGAATTTCCATTTATGTTTTTAATAATAATTTCTATTATTAAAATTAATTTCTATTTAATTTTGGTCATTGTTTTTCTCATTTTATTGAATTGTTTATTTTCTCAAAGTTTGCTGAGCTTCATTAAAACAGTTATTTTGAATTATTTGTCATACTGTTCATACATCTCTATATCTTTAGGGCTATTCACTGGCACTTTGTTGTTTCCCTTTGGTCAGGTCTTGTTTCTCATTGTTTTTAATCCTTGTAGCTGTGGATTGGTATCTGTACATTTGAAGGCATAGGTACCTATTTCAGTCCTCACAGACTGACTTAATCTGGGAAAGCCCTTCAACAGTTAACTTGTCAAGAGATTCTGAAAAGGTCATTTGGCATGGTCCACAGATGGACTTCTTGCTACTGGAGTCCTTGGCCTGGATAATCTGGTGTCTGGGTCAGCAGGAGGGTGAGCCTGGAGCCAGGATACACTTGGGTGGACATATTGATTGCATCTGCTGAGGTGGGCCTGGAGCCTGTATCCATGGGGATTGGCCTAAAACCTGTGTCCTCATGGGCTGGCCTGCTGTTGGAGTGGGCCTAATCCCCAGTGCTGCTGGGGCTGGCCTGGCACTGGGGAAGTCCTGAAGCCTAGTATCACTGGGCCAGCCTGCTTCTGAGGGATATTTGTAGCCTGGAAACAGTGAATTTGATCTGGTGGCAGTGTGGACTGGAGATCAAGTCTACCATGTAGGTCTGAAGCCTGAGGCTGTGGAGTCCAGCTTACTGCCAGGTTAGGCTTACAGGCTCAGTGTGAGGATATTGGGCTGGAATCTGTTGCTGTGGGGGCCTCTACAATGCTGGGTTTTACTGTGGCAGGTCTGTTGCTGGGATCCAGGACAATGTCTTGTGTTCGCTTCTTCTGTTTTTCCAAGTGGAGGGTTATCTATCTCTCTCTATGATGTGCTGCCTAGGTATGGGGGAGGGGTGATGCAGGTAACATAAAGCTGTTCTTCCTACCCTCTTCAGTGCATATGTTTTCTGTGTTACACTCAGGTACTGTGATCTCTCACCTAGCTTACTTATCTCTTGTGAAGGTATTTTTATGCGTGGATAGTTGCTGTCTTCATGGTTTCTCATCTTGTCCATTGTCACTTATGAATTGAGAAATGACTTGAGGTAGACAGTATAGAATTTTTGGTTTGCTGAAATCATTTTTCCTTCGATCACAAATCTTGTTACCTCTTCAATGGCTTAAAGCAGATTTTATTAAAAAATATTTTATCTGTATGTTCCAGTTGTTCTCATTAAGAAGTAGAATTCTCCCAGTCTTTGTTTTTTGTGCACTTGTTTTGTTGTGCTGTTTCTCTTTTGTCACTGAATTATTTTTGTTCTTAATTTTGTTGTTTTTCTCTAAAAAACTAGCTCTGTAATTTTTAATTAGTACTCATTTTTCTAATTTACCCAATGCAGTGTTTTTAAATTAATCTTTTCTTTTGCTCTACTTAGATTTATTTTGTTGTTCAGCTTGTTTTGTTTCTTGAGTTAGATGTGTGTATATGCATATATACCTATATATTGTATTTGTAAGATAATATATATATATCATTTATGTATAGCAAATTGATATATATTTAGGACTATAAATATTTCTCTAAGAATGAATTTAGATATAGCCTACAAATTTTGGTATGATGTATTTTTATTATAATATGTAAAGATAATATGCAATTTCAATTTTGACTTTTTTGACAAAATTTAATTAAATGGGTTTTTTTTCATTTTCAGATTTGATGCACTTTTTGATTTTGGTTTTGTTTATAATTTTGCTACATTATGATCAGAGAGTTTGTCTGGACCATTTCTTTTTTTTTGAGTTTACTGACTTTTTTTGTGGCCTAATAATTTTAATTTTTTTAATGGACTCTTGAAAGAAAGCCTACTCTATATTTTCATGGTAGATTTTAAAATATATGTCCTTTAGATGTTCTTCATTATGTTGTATAGATTGCTTCTAATATGCTTCTATGTTTTTCTTTGAATAGTCTCAGGTTTATTTATGAATATTGATACCATTTTTCATAATATATAGATATTTCTACCATTATAGTTTCACTGATATTGTGCCCATTATTTTTTATGTTTTATTTTTATTTTTTGAGGTGGAGTCTCACTCTGTCACCCAGGCTGGAGTGCAATGGTATGGTCTCGGCTCACTGCAACCTCTGCCTCCCGGGTTCAAGCGATTCTCCCGCCTCAGCCTCCTGAGTAGCTGAGACTACAGGTGTGTGTCACCACACCTGGCTAATTTTTGTATTTTTAGTAGAGATGAGGTTTCACTATGTTGGCCAGGCTGGTCTCAAACTCCTTACCTCATGATCCACCCGCCTCGGCCTCCCAAAGTGCTGGATTACAGGCGTGAGCCACCATGCCTGGTCTGTGCCCATTATTATTATTGTTTTAGAGAAACAGATTTTGCTCTGTCATCCAGGCTAGAGTGTAGTGGTGTAGTCATTAACTTGCTGTAACCTCAAACTCCTGAGCTGGAGTTCCTCTCACCTCAGCCTCCTAAATAGCTAGGGCTACAGGCTCGTACCACCATGCCTAGCTAATTTTTTAAACATTTTTTTTCCAGAGATGGTGGTCTTTCTCTGTTGCTTAGGTTGGTGTCGAGTTCCTGGCTTCACGTGGTTCTCCTGCCTCAGCCTCTCAGAGGTATGATATGTATGATAGCTGGGATTAAAGTGTGAGCCACTGTGTCTGGGTGGTACCCTTTATTATTTTACAGATTTTTTTCTTTTTTTACTTTATTTTTTTGTTATTAATCATGTGATACTATGATTTCTGCCTCTTTGTCTCTTTAATAAGCAAATAATTTAACTTGCTTAAATTCGTTTTCAAGTTTTCTGAGTTAATGTTTTAGGTTTTACTTATATTTATAGTATTTATTTGGTTTTGCTTTGTAATTGAATGTGGAAGACTTTTGATGGACAAGTTTAATCTTCTATTCTTATGGAAATGGCAAATGTGTTTGGTCTTAGTTTTGTCATATTGTTGTATTTCATGCTTATGTTTTTATAGCTTTACAAATATTTCATGGCCTGCTCTGCTTTCTCTGATTTATGCTTGTGCTTCTTTTGATAATTAGAAAGGTTTATACTTTTGTTGTAGTTGTTTCCTGTAATTTTATATGATATCCTTCTTTCCTTGGACAGTATTTATTAATTTTCTACTCTGATTAATGATGAAAACAGTACACTTTCTTCTTTTTTCCTTTCCTTGCTTCTCTTTCCTTCCTTGCCTCTACCTCCTAAGTTTAGTTAATTACAGTTTAGTCTTCCCTTGGCATTATGGGTTCTTAGAAACTGCAACTTAAGGTAAAACAATACATAACAAAACCAATTTCTTTTATTTTAAAAAATATTTTCTTTTTTTTCCCATTTTTTTAATACTTTTAAGTTCAGGGGTACATGTGCAGGTTTGTTACATAGGTAAACATGTGTCATGGGGGTTGGTTGTACAGATTATTTCATCACCCAGGTATTAAGCCTAGTAGTTGTTATTTGTCCTGATCCTCCCTCTCCTCTCACCCTCCAACCTCTGATAGGTCCCAGTGTATGTTGTTCTCCTCTGTGTTCATGTGTTCTCAATCATTTAGCTCTCACTTATAAGTGAGAACATGTGGTATTTGGCTGTTTCTACATTAGTTTGCTAAGGATAATGGCCTTCAGCTCCATCTATAGCCCTACAAACAACATGATCTTGTTCTTTTTTATAGCTGCATAATATTCCATGGTGTGTAAGTACTATATTTTCTTTATCCAGTCTATCATTGACAGGCATTTGGGTTGATTCTGTGTCTTTGCTATTGTGAATAGTGTTGCAATGAACATATGCATGCATGCGTCTTTATAATAGAACAATTTATATTCCTTTGGGTATATACCCAGTAATGGTTCTGCCTTTAGGTTTTTGAGGAATCACCACACTGTCTCCCACTATGGTTGAACTATCATAATCTACAATTCCATCAATAGTGTATAAGCATCCTTTTTTCTCCACAACTTCACCAGCATCTGTTATTTTTTATTTTGTGGCTTTTCGTAATAGCCTTTCTGACTGGTGTGAGATGGCATCTCACTGTGGTTTTGATATGGACAGGAGACAGGGAAATACTGGGTAGAAGAGGGCAGTTCCCCTGCAAAGGCCCCACCCTCAAGCCTGGAAACCTGCGGGCTTAAATGAGAACAGGCATTGCTGTTTTCACAACCAAAAGTTGCCTTTCAGCCTGCCATGTCCCCTTTTGCTGTACCCATATAAACCCTAAACCCTCAGATCCACCAGAAAATGAGCAGACAAGCAGACAAATGGAAGAACGGTGCAGCAGAGAAGGATAGAAGAGATGGAGCATCTGAAGATTGGGAGGAGTTTGGCTGGGGATATTTGGAGAATTGGTCATTGGATAGCAAAACTCCAGGGGAAGATCATCTTCCAACTCTGTCCTCTGTCTAGCTCCTCATCCATCCTGCTGAGAGCCACCTCCACCACCCAATAAAACCCGCATTCACCATCCTTCAAGTCCGCATGTGACCTGAGTCTTCTGGGACGCTGAACAAGAGCTTGGGATACAGAAAGCTGTCAAACTGCCCTTGCAAAAAGGCAGAGGGTCCACTGAGCTGGTTAACACTTAAGCCATCAGCAGATGGCAAGGCTAAAAGAGTACACTGTAGCCTATGCCCCCTTAGGCTCCTGCACCTGTTCGTCTGCATGCTCCACCTTCCATAAGGGGGTTGAGCAGCAGCAGTGACCAAACAGATGAGCCACACCCCTGTCAGATGCCCTGAGAGTGGGGTCAGGGAACTCTCCTTTTTCAGTTTTGATTTGCATTTTTCTATGATCAGTGACACTGAACTTTTAAAAATATGATTCTTGGCCACATGTGTGTCTTCTTTTGAGAAGTGTCTGTTCATGTCCTTTGCCCACCTTTTTAATGGGGTTGTTTGTTTTTTTCTTGTAAATTTGCGTATGTTCCTTATATATGCTGGATATTAGACCTTTGTCAGATGGACAGATTGCAAAATTTTTCTCTCATTCTGTAGGTTGTCTGTTTACTTTGCTGATGGTTTCCTTTTCTGTGCAGAAGCTCTTTAGTTTACTTAGATACCATGTGTCAATTTTTGCTTTTATTCCAATTACTTTTGGCATTTTCATCATAAAATCTTTGCCTGTGCCTTCATCCTGAATGGTATTGCCTAGCTTGTCTTCCAGGGTTTTTATAGTTTTGAGTTTTAAATTTAAGTCTTTAATCCATCTTGAGTTAACTTTTATATATAGTGTAAGAAAGGAGTCCAGTTTCAATCCTCTGCATATGGCTAGCCAATTATCCCAGCACCATTTATTAAATAGGGAATCCTTTCCCCATTGCTTGTGTTTGTGGGGTTTGTTCAAGATCAGATAGTTGAAGGTGTGTAGTCTTATTTCTGGGTTCTCTATGCTGTACCATTGGTCTATGTGTCTGTTCTTGTATCAGCACCATGCTGTTTTGCAAAACCAATTTTATTTTTCTAATCAGTGTTATAACAGAACTACTTGAAAGAAACAATGTTATTTGAGGCCTGCCATATGTCATTTCACTTAAAATCACAGTTTCCAAGAATCTGTTGATGAAGTTAAGTGAGGACTTGCTGTTAAATAATATTTCTGAGTATTTGCTTTTGTTATATCAAGTAAGTTTTTTTCTCTGGTACTGATTTTTCAGATTTGACTATTTTAACCCCCAACTACTAAAAGCGATGAAGTTGGGGCACACATTACTTGTCATCCTTATGTCACCTTCCCTCCTAACATTTTGGTTATGTACATTAAGAGTTACAACATCTGTTGCCAACCAAACTCCCCAAAGTTGTTTAGTCTTAGTACCACAGTTACAAAGATGCAACGCTCACTGATACTTCTGCCATTCTCTCTCCAGTCATCCTTTGGTGGGTATATAGGAGATTCATACAGAAACCTTCATGGTAGCAATATTCTTCATGTTTTTGCTGTTCTCCATACATTATCAGATTTAATTTTTATGTTTTTGAATAGAGACATGTTAAAATATCAGTGAGGATAGATGAATGCTTTTTGGATAGTGAATACTTTTTGTCCTTCTGTTCTTGCTCCTGCCTGCTTCTTGCCATCTACCTGGTTATAGAGGCAGGGATCTCAGCAGCTTTGGTTTTATGAGATGACTGTATATCCTTTGGCCACAGTTGATTGGTCCAAGGTAGGCACCAGATCTAAGTTTTGACAATGAGAGTCCCAACTATGGAGATTTGGGGAGAGGAGTGAGAGCAAAAGAAAGAAAGAAAGAAGAAAGAGAAATTGAGAGAAAGACCAGTCATTCTCTGGGTGGCTGGACCTGTAAATAAGGCTGTTTATGGCCATGTTTTTAGACAGTAATTAGGAAAAGCAGAGAGAAAAAAATAAATAGGGCAGAGGCACAGAGAGATGCAGAACTAAATAAGAAAGAAGATCTTGTACGTTTCCTCTAGCTTCCAGTTTATTCCAGAGGCCTGGCTGTTTCTCTTGTTTCCATGTGACATTCTTGTAACTGTATAATAAATTCGCTTATTTTACTTAAATAGGTTTCTGCTATTTGCAACTATAGGAAACCAACTTATACGCTGTATGATAGCATAGGATAGGAGTCTTCTTAATGAAAAAGAGTGAGAAAAATCATATTCGATTGATCTTTCTTATCCTATAGGATTTTTTCAACTACGGAGTTACCAAGTGAATTCAAACACAGACTCTTTATTAGCTGGCTTAATTAGCAGATTAGATCTGGTTTCAGTATCGGACACACTGGCTGTGTCAATATAATACAATAGTGCAAAATTAAAAGCAACTGAGGGATTCAGTCGTTTGGATTTGCAGTGGCTCCTTAAGTCAGCCCACGAGCTGCAGGCAGGTACATTTGGATTGCCACAGCTCGCTAATCTTTCCCTCCAGTTCTCTTGTGGTTGTTATACTTGTAGCCCAGCCATTGGCTGCCCTTCTTAAAAGCTTTCTGATCAAAAAGCACACTTCCCCAAATAGTGCTGTTTCAAAAGTGCTCACACCCTAAAAGCCAATGCTTACCAACAGGGTCAAAGTGTCTCCAGACAATTGAATATTATCTTGGTACCTTGAAAAAGAACCTGAATTTCTCAAACTTCTGTTTTTTGTCGTTGCTGTTGTTATTTTGTTTTGTTTTATTGTGGGAAGGTATTGGGTGGCTGAAGGAGAAGCTGTAGTGCTAGGAATCAATACCCAGTGTCAGGCATCTTGGGAGCTTTTCAGGCCAGCCCAAATACAGCTTATATATATATAATAATGTAAAGTTTAATTAGTCTTTAGCTTACAACTTGCCTTAAAACTCGATTAAAATTTTATTTTTCATTAAAAACGAGATGTTTTATAAAACATTTAAAAGTAAAATAGAACAAAGAAATAAAGTCACTCTCCCACCAACCAAAGAAACACTGTTACATTCTAACATTTTCAGATTTTGTTTTTAACTTGACAATGTCTTTGCTTATTTCATTTATGTGGTACATGTTGTATACCACATGTATCATATATATGGTCAATATACGTGTATATTGACCATTCTGTATCTCCTTTTTAATCCAAGAATTTTCTATATAATTATAAACTAAATGTTATCAAAGTCTTCATGGGACAGATATCAGTTTATTAGTCATAATTTGGGGGCATTCGTGTTTCTAATTTTTTGATATTTTATTGTTGCAATAAGTATCTTTTGCATAAAACTTCTGTGTGTAGGATCCCTTGTACATTAGATCCTCATAAGTCTCTGCTTCCATTTTGAATGTTTTCATTCTGGCAGTACAAGTTCACCTGCCACTTCTTCCCGGTTTCCGTTTAGATTTGCAGGCACTAGTCCTGGGTCTGTGGAGTGATGAGGAGGCCCAAGATAGGTTTGGGAACACTGAATGTGAACTGCAAATTTGAAAGAATCTGAAATCCGTGTTAATCCCTTTGTTTTCATCTCACTGAGCCCCAAAGATGAAAACTGGCTGAGAATGTGCCGGGATTTGCTTGGCCAGCTGGCGAGGCATCCCCGAATAATGGGAGATTATTAGAATCCTGCCCTTTTCCAGCAAGCCTTTATCCACATTCATTTTTGTGTTGTGCCAATTAGGGATGGCACAGTGGTTTGCTTTGTGTGCATTCTGGCAGCCCCACCCACACATATTTGGGAGGAAAATCTCACAGAACGTGTATGTCACTTTGGCTTTCTGTAACAAGGCATGACAGAGGGATCTCGGGTCCCTCATCCTAAGTGCATAAGTAGCTGTATGCCTGAAGAGATTATCTGTGAACCTTTTAGTGCTCTGGCATCTTTAGGCACGAAATGTCTCTTATAGAGGACCAGTAATCACACTGAGTATGGAGTGGAAATCACTCTCTGAAGTTTATTTTTCAGTGATGACATTATATCAATCCAAACTGGAGCCACAGTGGGACACAGCAATAAAATATAATTTGATGCAAGGTGGAGTTCGTTGACCCCATTCAATTGTATTTAGTGATTAAAATATGTAAAGTAACTCACTATAAGCATTTTTATCTATGTTGCACAGCTCTGCCCCATGGTCAGTACTATGAAGAATCTTCAGCATATAAAGAGCCAGACTCCAGTGTACTGACCCAGGGCCCTTAAGGGGATCTGTATTAAAACCCAAGTTCTTCTTCGTATCCAACTGCTAGGGTTTATCCTCTTTTCACTTCTTAGGCATCTGCTTTCCTCTTTATGGGTTTTATAGATGCAAAAGTAATACCCCAGCTACCTCTTACTAATGCATAACAGGCTTTGTTAATTTTAGCCAAAAGATACTTGTTATGTCAGCGCAGCTGTGTCAGCTGCAAGTAAGAGCCCAACTACTACGATGCCTGCGTGGAACTCCACAGATACCCATTTCTCTCATAGCCATACAGTCTTGTTGAGGTTAGCAATTGATGTAAAACCAGAAGAACCAGAGATGGGGCTTCTCTGTGGGATGACCTGATGGATTCAGTTCTTTCTTTAGGTGTCTTTGTGTGGCTCTGCTTAAATCCTTTGTGCAGAACTATGGGGGTGCCCCTCCTCTGTTAGTGAACTCAACACTTGCAGTATTAGCAATTAACGAGGGATTGATGGAGCCCAGAGAGGGTTTAACTGCTTTCCTTCTGGTTACGGTCATCAGTGGGCATGGGGACATACTCAGGTGGTGTGTAGGAGCTGTGATTCCATATAAAAGCAACCCCTTCATCTCGACAGTATCTCTCCCTTTGTTCCTGGGCCTAGGATGTGGGGTTATTTCTCTTCTGATATTCAGAAGAGAAATGCCAATATATTCCCATGGTGTGTGTGTGTGTGTGTGTGTGTGTGTATGTAATGAATGAACTTTACTGCCAGAGGGGAGCTTACCGTATTTCATTGAATACTATAATTTGAGCGCTAGAAGACACCATACAGATCCTTTAATCCAACCACCATAATTTACACATCAGGAGAGAGATATAGAGTGATTTTAGGGATTTTCTCAAAGTAAGAGAGGATTGACACAGCCAGGTCTACAACCTGGGTGTCCTGATCTCAGCCAAATGACTTTTAATCACACAATGTCTAATTTTAAAAGACAAGAGAACACTTATTTCAGTAAAAATACTTTGCTGAGGCAGAAGAGAAACACCAAAGTGTTTATCATTATTGTTCTTATTACTATTACTAATTAGCATAGTACTTTGTGCTTTTTCTTTTTTTAACCACTTTAAGTATAATTGACCTACAAAAAGCTGTACATATATAATGTATACAACTTGATGAGTTTGAAGATAAATATATACCTGTGAAACCATCACCACAATCAATGCCATAGATGTATCCATCACCTTCAAAAGTTTCCACCCATCCTCTGTTTGTTTATTTATTTGTTTGTTAGGAATATTTAACGGAAGATCTACCTTCTTAGCAGATTTTAAAGTATGAAATACAGTATTGTTAACTTTAGGCACTATGCTGTACAGTAGATCTGTTGGACTTACTCATCTTGTATAAATGAAACTTTGTACCCTTTAACTAATACCTGCCCCGTTTTCTTCTTCTCCTAGCACTTGGCAACCACCATTGTACTCTCTACTTCTGTAGGTTTGACTATTTTAGATTCCTCATATAAATGGAATTATGTAGTATTTGTCCATCAATGTCTGGCTTATTTCTCTTATTTCTGAACCTCTAGGTTCATTCATGATGTCACAGTAACAGAATTTCTTTGTTTTTAAGGCTGAATTCCATTTATTCCATTTTATTTCATTCCATTGTGCATATAGAGGAAATTTAGAAATGTGTTAGTTTCCAAATACTTGGGGATTTTCTAGAGATATTTCTGTTATTCATTTCTAATTTAACTGCATTGTGATTAATGAACATACTGTGTCTGACTGGAATCTTTTTACATTTATTAAGACTTGTTAGTGGCCTAGAATATAATCCATATAGGTCAATGTCTCGTGTGCATTAGAATATGTATTCTGCCTTTGGTGGAGTTTTGTTTTTCCATACTTCAGAGTGTTCTATTAATGTCAGTTAGGTCAAGTTGGCTGATGGCATTATTCAAATCTAAATCCTTACCAATTTTGTGTTTACTTTTTCTAGAAACAACTGGAAGAGAGGTGTTAAATTTTCTAACTGTAATTGTGGATTTTTCTGTTTCTCTTGGCAGTTCTATCAGTTTCTGCACCATATATTTTGAAGCTCTCTCATTAGGGGCGTAAACATTTATTAATACTATGCTTATTGTTCAATTGACCCCCTTACAATTATAAAATGATCTTCTTCATTCCTACTAATCATCTTTGTTCTGAAATATACTTTGTATGATAGTAATACTATCATTCCAACTTTGTTTTCATTCATGTTAGCATGGCTTATATTTTTCAGTACTTTTTCTTTTCACTTATTTGTTTCTTTATATTTAATACATTTTTCTTGTATTAGTATATGATTATGCTTTAAAAGAAAAATCTATCTGACAGAGCTGGGTGTACTGGCTCATTCTTGTAATCCCAGCACTTAGGGAGGCTGCGCAGGAGGCCCACTTAAGCCCAGAAGTTTGAGACAGCCTAGGCAACATAGTGAGACCCATCTCTACAATTTTTATTTTTTTTTAATTAGCCAGATGTAGTGACACGCATTTATGATCCCATTTACTTCGGAGGCTGAGGTGGAAGAATTGCTTGAGCCCAGAAGGTTGAGGCTGGAGTAAGCCATGATCATGCCGTTATACTTCAGCCTGGGCAACAGAGCAAGACCATGCCTCAACAAAATAAAATTTATTTGACGATCTCTGCTTTTTCAGATGTTTAAAATATTTACATTTAATGTGATTACTGATATGGTTGCATTTCACTTGATCATCTTTCTATTTGCTATTTGTCTTATCTCTTTTTGTTCCAGTTTTTCCTCTTTATTCTTTTTTAGATTAATATTTTTTATAATTCCATTTTATCTATATTGTTGGTTTATAAGTTATAACTATTTTAGTCACTGCTTTATGCTTTATATTATACATATTTAACTTACCACATTCTACCTTCAGATAAAATTACACCACTTCATGAGAATTACAAGAAATGTTCAACATTATATTTTTTTCTCCCCTCCCCACTTTTGTAGTATTGTTATGTATTTTATTTTGACATATGTTATAAACCATGCACTCTTATTTTTGCTTAGATATTTAATTATCTTTTAAAGGAGACTTTGATAGGCCGGGTGCGGTGGCTCGTGCCTGTAATCCCAGCACTTTGGGAGGCCGAGGCGGGCGGATCACAAGGTTAGGAGATCGAGACCATCCTGGCTAACACAGTGAAACCCTGTCTGTACTAAAAATACAAAAAATTAGCGGGGTGTGGTGGCGGGTGCCTGTGGTCCCAGCTACTCGGGAGGCTGAGGCAGGAGAATGGTGTGAACCCGGGAGGCGGAGCTTGCAGTGAGCTGAGATCCCGCCACCGCACTTGAGCCTGGGCGACAGAGTGACACTCTGTCTCTTAAAAAAAAAAAAAAAAAAAAAACAAAAAAAAGAGAGACTTTGATAATAAGATATATATTTTCCCATGTTGTTACCATTTTTGGCGTTCTTTTTATCTTCCATAGATCTTTATTTCCATTTGCTGTTGTTTTCTTTCTGCCTGAAGGACTTTCTTGACATTTATTGTCGTATAGATCTGGTGATAAGTTCTTTCAGTTTTTGTATATCTACCAAAGCCTTTGTTTCATCTTCATCTTTGTTTATTTATATTTTTAGAGACAGGTCTTGCTATGTTGCTCAGGCTGGGCTCAAGCTCCTGTCCTCAAGTGATTATACTGCCTCAAGTCTCTCAAGTAGCTGCGATTACAGGTGCAGCCAGCTTGCTTGGCTCATCTTCATTTTCGAAAGGTGTTTTTCCAGGGCACAGAATTTTAGATTGATAGATGTTGTTCTGTCTTTTAGTTTGCATTGTCTCTGACAAGAAATAAGCCATAATCCTCATTTTTATTTCTTTGTATGTGATATGACTTTTTCCTCTGGCTACTTTTAATATGTTCTCTTTATCATTGATTTTGAGCCATTTGAAAAGATGTGCCATGGCCTATTTTCTTCAGTTGCTAGTGTTTGGGGTTTGTTTGGCTTCTTGCATATACAAGTTTAGTTTTGATCAAATTTTGAAAAATTTTGACTATGATTTTTTCAGATATTCTTTTATGCCACCTCCATTCTCTCCCAACCCAGTGATTGCAGTTACACATGATTGGGCTGCTTGATATTGTTCCACATTTCATGATGTTCTGTTCATTTTTTTAAAAAAACTCTTTTTGATCTTTTCATTTTGGAGAGTTCTCTTGCTATGTATTCAAGTTCATTAATTTTTTTTGCAGTGTCTAAACTGCTCTTTATCAGGTCTTTTTCCAACTCACACATTATACTTTCATCTCTAAAAGTTTGATTTAGGTCTCTCAAAAAATGTATCCTCCTCTCTATACTTTAATTTTTGAAGGTATGATTATATAGTGGTAACATCTATTTTAATGTCCTTGTCCTCTACTTCTGACATCTGCTTTTATTCCGAGTCAATTTTGATTGATTGTATTCTTTCTTTATTATAAGTTGTATTTTCCTTCTCATCTGTTTGTCTAGTAATTTGTTATTGGATTTCAAATGTTGTGAATTTTAACTTCTTTGCTTTTGTGTTCTTTTTTATTTAGATAACTATTGGCCTTTGTTCTGGAATGCATTTAAGTTACTCAGAAAAATTTGGCTTCTTTAGATTTTTACCTTTAAGATTTGCTAGGTGGAAGTACAGAAGTGCTCAGTCTAAGGAGAATTATTTCTCCCTACTGAGGCAAGATCCTTCTGTATAATCTACCCAATGCTAAGTGGGTCATGAGGATATTTATTTTCCCCAGTGGGAACAGGCATTATTCTATGCCTGTCTTGCGTGAATGTTGGGCGCAGTTAACCACTAATCCTTTTGGGGGCTTCTTTCCTTAGCCTCAATGCATTTGCTGATCATTACTCAGCTGAACGCTGAGGAGGTCTCTTTCCAAATGTTAGGAGTTCCTCCTCTGTCCAGTTTTCTCCTTTCTTGTGCGTTGTCTTAAGAACTGTAGCCACCTTCACAGACTTTTAGCTCCATTTCCTCAAGTCAGATGGTTCATTGTGCTTTGCTTAGGTTTCTTCTACCTGCACCATAATTTAAAACCTTTTAAGAACATAAGCTGAGTAATTATATAGGGATCACCTTATTTGCTTTCTGTTTTTTCAGGGATCACTTTCCTTCATTTCCTGACATACGACATTGTGAAAATAATTTTTAAAGAATATTTTGCCTTTTGTTCAGACTAGAGCATGAATTTGGCCAGATTAGAAGTCCTCAAGTGAACTGAAGTCAGATTTCAATATTGTATACATTTTTCAACTTCTTTGTTTATATCTAATCACCTCTCAGGAAGGGGATTCATCTTAAACTTGTGCATATTCCCTGTGATACTGTATTTGCTGTAAATTTACAAATGTCCTGATATAAGAAATAATGATAGCATAGGAGTAACTTGCAATTAAAAAATGTGTGTCTATCATATGATGTTTAGTACTGTTCTCTTGGGTTTACTGTATTTTTATCTAGATTCCTGTAATATAAGAAGAAGGGCTGGACCAGTCTGACTTTGAGTGGAAGGTGGGAGTCCGAGGGCCTGGAATCCTGGGGTTTAAACTAAGTCAATAATCAGGTAGAAAAGTTAAAGTCCAAATGGTAAAAGGAAAGTCATGAGAAAGAGATACAAGGGAGTTCAGTGACTGGGATTCAAATCTCGGTGAGAAATCGAGTGTGGAAGCTGGAAACAAGGAGAGAGTGGAGAAAAGCAACACTGTGAATATCCTGAGAGATATACTGGGTGTAGATGGCCCTCCCCTTGAAACTTAAAAAAAAAAATAATCTGCACTTTGGGAGGCCGAGGCAGGTGGATCACTAGGTCAGGAGTTTGAGACCAGCCTGGCCTATATGGTGAAACCCCATCTCTACTAAAAATACAAAAGTTAGCTGGGCATGGTGGGCCTGTAGTTCCAGCTACTCGGGAGGCTGAGGCAGGAGAAATAGCTTGAACCTGGGAGGCAGAGGTTGCAGTGAGCCGAGATGGCACCACTGTATTCTGTCTCAAAGCAAGACTCTGTCTCAAAAAAAAAAAAAATCATCTGGCATGGATATGGTGAAAGGATGAGTGAACCTGACATAAAGAGATAGAAGTATGATGGAAAATCATTTACAGCACATAACTACAACAAATTCCTCTCTCAAATCTGTTAGTGTGGCTCTAATTACTACATTAGGTCTATAAACTCCGCCGCCATCCTGCTTATTCACAGTGGTTTCCTGGCTTTGTTGCTTTATAACTAAGATATATGTAAACATAATAAACACTCACACAAAACATCTGTCTCAAATTGGTTCTTTTTCTTTGTAAAGAAGCCAGAAACTTTGATATGATCACAGTAAAAAGATCATACTGTTTGTTATACTTAGGGCTTTTAATTACCTTAGCAAGTGTTTTAAATGAATAATAAGTTTACAATTCAAACAGAATACATAAGGTTGTAATTTCTTAAAACATATTTCGTGTTGATTTGTTCTTTGTACAGATATAGCTTCTAAATATAGTAGCATCTTGATAGGCTTTAATATAATTATAAATTTGTATTATTTCTGCCATCCGTCACATTCCATAAAAGCCAGATAAAAACTTCTGAAAACCGTTTAAAGTAATGATAGTGCTATGTTCTGGCACTTTACTGAAGGTCATGCAATGCATAATCTAATTTAATACTCACAATAATGCTATGAGGTAGTTATTACCATTTTCTAGAAGAAACTCCGGTTTGGAAAGTGTAAGTATCTTGTCCAAAGTTGCAGTTATCAGGGAGAGCAAAGTCAGGTCTGTTTGACTTCAAAATTCTTAATCACTACTTTGCTCTTATTTCTCCCTCTTTCTCATTTTCTCTTTCTGTCTGTTTTGTTTGTAGAGGACTGAGCTGCAAACTCAACAGGCTTCTCAGTGCCCCACCTTACTATCATCTTACTTAGCCACAAGACCATCCTAGAATCTGTTGTTGGAATTCATCAAACGGGCTTGCCAGCTTTGTAAAGAGTTTGGATGAATTAGGAGGTTCTCTGTCACTCCCTGTAATGCCTTAGAAACATACTTCAGGATGATATTGCACAGGCAACCCATAAAAATTAACATAACACAATATGTTTTCTTTATCTCTGCTGTTGTAAAGTTCAGATTAAATTTCCTTTTAATACAACCCAGTAGAAACCAAATTTTCATTGTTTATTGGACAGGAGAGAAGCTTGAGTCTGTGGGCGCTGCCTCACGATGACTGACGGGGGCAGCAGAGGGCTTTCCAAGTGAGCTTGCACAAGGCCAAGTGAGAGAAGCATCCCTTGGCTATGTTGGAAGTAGCGGCGGGGGGAAGGGTGAGTTGTGGCACGAAAGGTTATCAGGAGTCATGGGAAGAAAGAGAAAGAGAGATCAAGTCATGATTGTAGCTAGGCCAGGTATGAGAGACTTGGAGAAATTGGTAAGATTAGAGTTGAGGATAATAACCAGTTGAATAGACAAAAACCCCATTTGTAGATACAAGGCTATCTGGCCCTATCCAGCTTCAAGCTATAAAGTGCCATATTTATGGCTTTTCAAAATCCTTCATGGTGTCTCTTAGGATGTTATAAATTTTGTATTTATTATGGTTATTATGTTCATTTAATATATCTGTTTATATTATTTAATTTTCTTACGTTCTAGTAAAAATCTCACAAATTCTCATAAAAATCCTATGGTGGATATTTATCCAAATGTTACATAGAAAGAAACTGAGTAAGGTCAGAACATTTGGGGTTAGATCTCAGGTCGAATCCAATCTCAGATACCAAATTCTCCCTCAATTTCTCATACCTTGACAATTTTCTTCTACCTAAAGATTATTTTTGTAACTAGGAAATGTGAAGAAAATCAATGCAGTGATATTTCAAAAGCCCAAATTCTCTAAATCTATTTTCGTTTACTCAATGTTCTTTAGAATGCATTTATTGGAATGAAAATCTTTTCCTTGGAGATTGAGTTCTTTGGTGCACAATTTAAATCATTTTATTATTGAATTATCTGAGGGTAATATGAGAATAGTAGATGTTATAAGACTAGGGATTCCCTAATAGTCTCAGTTGCAGAAATGTAAATGACCCTGAGAGCTTCAATAACTCATAGAATTGTCACCTCATTTTAGGAGCTGATGCATGTTACCATATAAACATGACATATTAAGCTGAGATGAAAAATTGAAACAGCCATTTATACATGTTCAAAGTGTTTATGAAGTTGCATACTAATATATTGGTTGGTATATACAAATTTTAAAACAGTTTAAACATATTTAAAAGTTTATTTTCCAGTATAATTCTAGAGGAAGGGCTGGCATTTGTGGAACCCTGATTTTCTCAGGGTTTGATTGAAATATTGAATTCAGCAAAACTTGAAAAGGTTAAAAGTCAAAAGTGATTTTAGTGCTGGCGTAGCCATAGACCACACATTAGGATGCTCTGCCTAATCTCAACATAGCCTTTAGGAAAATAAAAATATATAAGTAAAAAGAATGTGTGTGTGAAACAACTACTTTTCAAATGGTTTAATTGTATACAGGGAAACCAACAATAGAATTTTCCCTTAAGTTACCCAGATATGGCAGTTTTATGCATACATTGTAGGACTCTGCTTAGATTGATACATTTTGCTTAGATTAAGGCTATGTAAAATTAATGGATGGAATCTTCAAACCTAATCCTTGGGTTAATTCTGTTAATTTTAAAATGTTAATTTAGGCAAATGCTTTGCGTGTCTGTATGTGTATCTGTGTGTGTATGAGCACATGAGTTTAATGTGTCCTGTTCACCTTTGCACCCCTTGCCTAGCAAAACTCTCAGCGGGCTGCTTTCACTTAATGTTTATGAACAAAACTATACGGTTGTAGGAAAATTACATCGATTTTTGCTTTGTAACAATGACAATATCAGCTGATAAAATTGAAGAGTCAGATGAAGATCAGCAAATCCAAATTCTAGTGTATCATTTATTAACCATGTGACTTTGGGAGAGCCATGCAACTTCTGCTTTTTCATTTCTACCGTGGAATAATTATAATTCTTTACTCTAAGGATGGTTTAGTGCAGCAGTGCACAACCTTTTTGGTACCAGGAACCAGTTTTGTGGAAGACAGTTTTTCCGTGGACCAGGGTAGATTGGGGTGTGGTTTCAGGATGATTCGAGTGCATTACATTTATTGTGTACTTTATATTATTATTACATTATAATATATAATGTAATAGTTATATAAGTCAACATAATGTAGAATCAGTGGAAGCCCTGAGCTTGTTTTCTGGCTATTAGATGGTCCCTTCTGGGGATGATGGGAGACAGTGACAGATCATCAGACATTATAAGGAATATACCTTAAGGTATTAAAAGCCATCTATGACAAATCCACAGCCAGCATTATGCTGGGGAAAAGTTGAAAGCATTTCCCTTGAGAACTGGAACAAGACAAGCATGCCCACTTTAATCACTTCTATTCAACATAGTACTGGAAGTCCTAGCCAGAGCAATCAGACAAGATAAATAAATACAGGGCATCCAAATTAGTAAAGGGGAAGTCAAACTGTCACTTTTTGCTGATGATATGATTGTCTACCTAGAAAACCCTAAAGACTTAGCCAAAAAGCTCCTAGATCAGATAAATGAATTCAGTAAAGTTTGAGGATACAAAATCAATGTACACAAATCAGTAGCTCTGCTATACACCAACAGCGACCAATCTGAGAATCAAATAACACAACCCCTTTTACAATAGTTGCAAAAAAATTTAAATACTTAAGAATATACCTAACCAAGGGAGTAAAAGGCCTCTACAAGGAATACTACAAAACACTGCTGAAAGAAATTATAGACAACACAAACAAATGGAAACATATCCTATGTCTATGGATGGGTAGAATCAACATTGTGAAAATGACCATACTCCCAAAAGCAATCTACAAATTCAGTGCATTTCCCATCAAAATACCATCATTCTTCACAGAACTGGAAAAACAATCCTAAAATTCATATGGAACCCTAAAAGAGGCCACATAGCCAAAGCAAGACTAAGCAACAAGAACAAATCTGGAGGCATCATATTAACTGACTTCAAACTATACTATGAAGCTATAGTTACCAAAACAGCATGGTACTGGTATAAATATATGCATGTAGACCAATGGAACAGAATAGAGAATCTAGAAATAAAGCCAAATATTTACAGCCAACTGATCTTCGACAAAGCAAACAAAAACAAAGTGGGGGAAAGGACACCCTATTCAGCAAGTGGTGCTGGGATAATTGGCAAACCACATATACAAGAATGAAACTGGATCCTCCTCTCTCACCTTATACAAAAATCAATTCAAGATGGATCAAAGACTTAAATTTAAGGCCTGAAACTGTAAAAATTCTAGAAGACAACATTGGAAAAACTCCTCTGGACATTGGCTTAGGCAAAGAGTTCATGATCAAGAACCCAAAAACAAATGCAACAAAAATGAAGTTAAATACATGGGACTAATTAAACTCACAGCAAAATAAATAATCAGCAGAGTTAACAGACAACCCACAGAGTAGAAGAAAATACTCAAAAACTATGCAGTCAACAAAGGACTAATACCTAGAATATATAAGGTACTCAAACCAATCAGCAAGGAAAAAACAAATAATAACATCAAAAAGTGGGCAAAGGACATGAATAGACAATTTTTTTTTTTTTTTGAGATGGAGTTTCACTCTTGTCGCCCAGTCTGGACGGAGTGCAATGGCATGATCTCGGCTCATCGCAACCTCTGCCTACCGGGTTCAAGCAATTCTCCTGCCTCAGCGTCTTGAGTAGCTGGGATTACTGGTGCCCACCATCATGCCTGACTAACTTTTGTATTTTTAGTAGAGACGGGGTTTCACCACATTGGCCAGGCTGGTCTTGAACTCCTGACCTCAGGTAATCCACCTGCCTTGGCCTGCCAAAGTGCTGGGATTACAGGCATAAGCCACCGTGCCTGGCCATGAATAGGCAATTTTCAAAAGATATACAAATGGCCAATAAACATATTTAAAAATGTTCAGTATCACTAATGATCAGGGAAATGCAAATCAAAACCATAATGTGATACCACTGTACCCCTACAAGAATGGCCATGATTAAAAAATCATAAATAGATGTTGGATGTGGTGAAAAGGGAACACTTTTACATTGCCAGTGGGAATATAAACTAGTGCAACTACTATGGAAAACAGTATGGAGATTCCTTACAGAACTAAAAGTGGATCTACTATTTAACCTAGCAATCCCACTACTGGGTTCCCAGAGGAAAAGAAGTCATTATATGAAAAAGACACTTGCACATGCATGTTTATAGCAGTATAATTCACAATTGCAAAAATATGGAACCAGCCCGAATGCCAATTAATCAATGAGAGGATAAAGAAAATATGCTATTATATGTACATATATATGCTATTATATATATGAGATTATATATAATATATATATATATCTCTCATATATATGGAGTTGTAGATCATTATTCTAAGTGAAATAACTCAGGAATGGAAAACCAAACATCCTGTGTTCTCACTTATAAGTGAGAGCTAAGCTATGAGCATGCAAAGACATAAGAATGATACAATGGACTTTGGGATGCAGGGGAAACACTGGATCAGGAGTGAGGGATAAAAAACTACACATTGGGTAGCGTGTACACAGTTCAGGTGATGGGTGCACCAAAATGTCAGAAATCTCTAAAAAACTTATCCATGTAACAAAACATCACCTGTTCCCCAAAAACTATTGAAACTTTAAAAGATTTTCATAAGGAATGAGCAACCTAGATCCCTTGCATGTGCATTTCACAATAGGGTTTGCACTCCTATGAGAATCTAATGCTGCCACTGATCTGACAGGAGATGGAGCTCAGGCGATAATGTGAGTGATGGGGAGTGGCTATAAATACAGATAAAGCTTCACTGGGTTGCAGCTGCTCACCTTTTGCTGTGTGGCCCAGTTCCTAACAGGCCACAGACTGGTACTAGATTGGCCTGAGGGTTGGGGGTCTCTGGTTTAGTGGAAACTGAATTAATGTGTAACTAACATGTGTATAAGCTGTAAATTCTATGTAGATCGAAGTATCTATTTTCTTGCTTTGAGATCAGATTTTTATTTCCAAACTTCATAATGGACACCAGCTCTGTTTTATATAGGCTTGGTACTGTTCCCACATGCCCACATGCCCACATGCTGGGGAGAAGGTCACACTGCTCTTTGGGCTGAATGTGGATTTCTCCTACTGCTAATGACTAACTCACAAACTCTTGTGCCTCTTACAGGACATAGGCACAAAGAATGACTAGGAAAGTCTGGCCGAGTTCAGTGGCTCACGCCTGTAATCCCAGCACTTTGGGAGGCTGAGGTGGGTGGATCACGAGGTCAGGAGTTCGAGACCTTCCTGGCTAACACGGTGAAACCCCGTGTCTACTAAAAATACAAAAATTAGCTAGGTGTGGTGGTGGGCACCTATAGTCCCAGCTACTCAGGAGGCTGAGGCAGGAGAATCGCATGAACCCAGGAGGCAGAGCTTGCAGTGAGCAGAGATCATGCCACTGTACTCCAGCCTGGGCAACAGAGCGAGACTCTGTGAAAAACAAAACAAAACAAAACAAAAAAACAAAACAAAAAAAAACCTACTAGGAAAGTGTTGGAGTGAGCTTTCCTTTCTATTGTTAATACTATAGCAAAATGCTGAAGTGTTTTTAATCTGATAAAGAAAAGACATTACTGGAATGTTCATATTGCAGCCCATTTAAAAGCATCTTGGAAGTGCATCCGGTGGTGATTGAGAGGCAGATTAGATGGAGAGAAACTAATGAAGTGAGTGAGAAAATGATGTTGGGGAAGATTCTTGTCTCTTTTCTTTCTTGAGATACTAGAGCCACCTGAACCCTGATAAATATGGGTTTTTTTTATTTTTAAGGCCTCACACATATCAGGAAGGTAGCAAAGCAGAATTAAATTGCATGATTTTCATTTTCACTGGGCTTTAATGTTTTACGTGCATGTTGTTTATGGCTTTCCTGGTTTTACTACTTAGACACATCATTCTTGCCTAGGGTCAACATAGAAGCAACAGAAGGTGTTTTATCTGAATTTATTTTTGTAGATTTCATGGCCAGAAAGTAATAAAAAAATAATAATGTTAGATTTTCATTCAACACGAAGCACAGTGCCTGGCCATAGTGGGCAACATAATACGTGTTGGCTGAATGAAAGAATCAAAATAAGCTTAGAATAAAATCTCAACTGATCACTGGGAAGTTGTGGTGCTTACTTATGTGTGATCTGGCTCCTGCTCAATTCTCTAATCTTTTCATGATGAACTTGCACTGTTTCCCACCTGCTCCCCACCTGCTCTCCTGTATTCCAGCCATCGATGCCTCCTTTCCGTTGCCCTACCTGTCTGAGCTCTTTCCCACTTCAGGGGCTTTGCATGTGCAGTTCCCTCCATCTATCACACCCTCCCTTGGGTCTTTCCATCTCTGGCTCCTTCAAGCCACTGCTCTCACCTCCTTTAAAGTCCTCTGTGACACGCTCTGGTGTGCAGACTCTACGGTGACCTCCATGATCCCCGCCTGCAGTGTTCATGCCTTTGGATAATCCCCTTCTTTGAGTGTTGATGGATCTGTGACTTGTTGCTAACCAAAAGAATATGGTAAAGGCAATCAGATATGCCCGTGATTATGTTACATTATATAAGACTGTCTTGCTGGAGACTTTCTTTGCTGACTTGATGAAGTAATCAGCAATGTTGGGAAAGCCCCTGTGTCAAGGAACTATGGACAGCTACTAGGAGCTGAGGGCCACCTTCCACCAATGGCGAGCAAGAAGCCCAACCCTCATTTTTATAGCTGCAAATACATACGTACATACATACATACATACATACATACACACATACATACTTCTGCCAGTAACTTGAGTGAGTTTGAAAGTAGATTTTTTCCCCATTCAAGCCTACAGGTGAAAATACAGCCAAGTTGACACCTTGATTGCTGTCTTTTAAGACCCTAAAGAGGACCCAGCTAAGCTGTGCCTAGACTCTTGGCCTGCAGAAAACATGAGATAATGTGTGTTGTTTTAAGCTGCTAAGTTTGTGGTAATTTGTTATGCACTAATATATAACTAATAGACACTGCATCTAGCTAATATTACTCTCAATTACTCCCTAATATCACCTTGTTTAAATTTTAAAATCTAGTGGCATGTTCATTTACTTTCAGTTATTTAATATCCCTTCTCCTGAATATATTACTAATTTTATAACCTCTGAAAAATCACTTGAATTCTCTGAAGTTGTTTCCTCATCTATAAACTGGGGTTTTGGAAGGTTATGGAAGTAACTAAGCTTGTGTTTGGGAGGATCCCTTGTGATCTTTTAATTCCTGCCTTTTCTGACTTCTGCATAGCTTTAACTGGATGATTCATCCTTTATGCCCTAGATTTTGATGTATACAGGGCCCTAACATCTTGTGTTACTCCCTGGATTCTTGACTTTTCTACCTGGCTTTCCAGGTGGAAAACAACACTGTTTATCTCTGTCCCCTTTATTACAATCCGTGGGCTGAGCTTATTAAACAAGAAGGATAGTGATGGCTACCAGCCTGTAGCAAATGAGAATTTTGAGTCTGGTATTTTTCTAAGTACTGTGATGGTCATGGAAAAGAGTGGTCTCACCAGGCCAATTCCATGGCCCTTTTCCCACTAGATAAACAGAATGTGTAGATTATCCTTCTGGCAGCATTGACTGGGAACTTCATGAACAGATTGTGCTCCCAATTAGCTGGCGAATGAATACTGAGCCTGGACTATTTAAAAGAGTTAGGAGCAGATCCTCAAGACCTGAAAAATGGTAACAGAGTTCTTGGATAACTGTCATACTTCATCTGAACTTGTGTTTCGTAGGGTCCCAAAGATCTACCTCTGCCTTCATGGCTTCCACAAATAATCACCCAGCTTATTTGTATCTTTTGATATAAATCTTATTATATGTTACCCTAGCCCTTTAACAAAATGTATGTGGATGAAATGCCACAGAATTATAGAAAGTTGATGTAGAAAGGGACTTAGCAACAATAAAATACTAATGATGGGTAGCATTTTTTAATACTCCGTGTCATGGACTGTGCAGAGTGCTTAATACGCAGTGTCTCATTTAATGTGATCCAACTCACTCATTTTACAGATGGAAAAATCTGGCCATTTGGTTTATTGGTAGCTTTCACTTATAGTGTGGACTCTACTTCATCATAGTGCTTAAATATGAACGATTGAGTGTATAAACTGCATTTGTATGACAGCTTAAAAGTGGACAATGTAGCACAGTAGTTAGCAGCTCTAGTCTTTGGGTAATACAAATCTTGATTTGAATCCTGGCTCTGCTACTTACCAGCTGTGTAACATTGAGTCAGTTACTTAACCTCTATGAACCACTATTTCTCCATTGGTATCATGGAGATTATAATGCTACACTGGGTTGTGGTAAGAATGAAATAACATCTAGAATGTAAAATTAATACTACCAAGTGATTGTGCATAGATGATAGCTATTATTATAAAGTGATTTCATACCAATTAAACTTCATGTCATATCTTTACTGTTGTAACCCATATTTTATTTTAATATCTTATTTTACACATTTCACAGATGAGGAAATGAAGTCACAGAAGGAAGGGTCATTTCCTTAGTAATATTAGGCAAGAGCTAGGCCGGGCGCAGTGGCTCACGCCTCTAATCCCAGCACTTTGGAGGCCGACGCAGGCAGATCATGAGGTCAGAAGATAGAGACCATCCTGGCTAACACAGTGAAACCCCATCTCCACTAAAAATACAAAAAAATTAGCCGGGTGTGGTGGTGGGCGCCTGTAGTCCCAGCTACTCAGGAGGCTGAGGCAGGAGAATGGCGTGAACCTAAGAGGCAGAGCTGGCAGTGAGCCGAGATCGTGCCACTGCACTCCAGCCTGGGCCACATAGTGAGACTCCGTCTCAAAAAAAAAAAAAAAAAAATTAGGCAAGAGTTGAAACTCAAATTGAGATGATCAGGTTTCTCTATTTGCTGGAAACTTAGCTCTTTGCCTTAGGCTTTAACTCCTTGAGTACGGGAATTTTGCTTCTCCAGGGAAACCAGCACATTAGGTCTTTGATAGCTATGTGTTTATTTTTTAACAACAAGTTAACACGTAATTCAAAAGACATATGTCAAGTCACTTATCCCTTAAACCAAATCTTAAATGTAAAAGAGGTATCACAGGAGGGCAAGTGTAGCATGACATATCCAGGGATCTGGTAAAGGGCACCACAGCAGTTACTTGGACCTGTTCTGGAGGAGTTAATTATATAAGCCAATTATACATATATTAGTCTAAGGATCAATACATGTATATATGCCATACTTTTCCTCCATGCTTTCTGTCTGCCTGAGCACAGTTCCAGAATTTTATTCTCATAGGAAAATTGGGCTTAACTAATTAATTCACTTAATGGGTATTTATTGAGATCCTCACATGTGTCAGGCACTGTATTAGACCCTGAGTCTACAATAATGAGTGAAAGCTATTTCCTTATGAAATTCATAGGAGGGAAGAAAAATGAAATGTTGACTAGAAAAACATGATTGTGATAAGTACTATTGAGATTGAGATAAGCTTAAATTGCTCTTAGAACACGTAGTGGGGATACCTGATCAGGATTAGGAAGATCAGAGGAGACTTGTTGAAAGAAATGATAGTGAATTAAGTCCAAAGGAGTTAACCAGGCAGATAATAGAAAAGAGACGTATTAAGTGCTACATGCTCAAAGACATGGAAATTTGAATTATCAGAGACCATTCTGGAACCTATAGGTAATGCAATATAGCTGAAATTCACAGAGGGAGAGGGTCAGGGCAATGAATATAAGTGGTGAAGCAATCATGGGCAGATCTTGAAGACCTTATAATCCACAAGAAGGATATTGGACTAAAACCTATGAGAAACGTTGAAGGGTTTTAAGCAAGAGGATGGCATAGTTATGTTTACAAAGATGACTGATCATCTGTGAAGAATAAGACTCAAGGGTTAGTGCTGCTGGCAGAGGAAACTTCAAGAGGCTGGTGTCATAAACCAAGTAGAAATTGTAACAATGACTTTGTAATCAAAAACAAAGGATTGAAGATAAAGAAGAAGCTGCAGGTGATTCCTAGATATTTGACTTGGGTGACTAGGAAATGGTGGTATAATTCACTGAACTAAGAAATAAGGAGAAGCAGATTTTAATGGAAAATGTGATTCTGTTTTGGAGCTATTACATGTGAAGAACTTAAAGGGCTCTCGTATGGAGATTTCTAGCAGGCAGTTTTTCAGGTTGGAAGAGGAATCAAAGGTAGGGATGTAGATTTGGGAGTCATTGAGGTACAAATAATTAGTGAAGCCAAGGGAAAGGATAACTTAAGGAGAGCTTTCATGGGTGCATGTAGTGAGAAGAAGGGAGAGGAGAAAGAATGGATCAGGATTTTGGAGGGAAGCAATGGTGTCACTGAAATTAAAGTTGGAGAAAATGATGAGGTTAGGGAATAATTTATAGTCGCAAATGTTGTAGAGAGAGACGGAGCAGGAAAAATAAGGACTGAAAAGTGTTAATTGAATTTAACCACACATAGGTCACTAGTGACCATGGTAAGAACAGTTTCAAAGAAGAGCCAGAAACCAAGATGGTTATATGAAGGATAAAGTAATGGCAGCAAATGGAGACAATTCTTTTAAGAAGCCTGCATATGAAAAGGATAGAAAAGAGGGACAGAGCTTTGAAGGAGTTTTTTGGGGCTCTTTGTGTATTTGTTTGTGTTTGTGTGCACACGCATAGGTTTTAAAGATGAAAAAAAAACTTGTATATATTTATATTTGGAAGGTAAAGAACCGGTGGGTGGTGTGGAATTCATACTCAATTTTTCTACCCTTTGGGCGCATAGCAGATAAGATTTCACTTTCTCACACCCTTTGAAGTTAGAGCTATGTGACTTGGTATTGCTAGTGAAGTGTAAGCAGATGTGACATTGTCAGTTGGGGTGGAAACTAGAGCCAGTGTACAATTTTCTACCTTTCCCTTTCCTGTTTCCGTGTTCTAGAAACCATGTGTCAAGATAAATCTCCCACTAGCCTGAGTCCCTGAAAGAATGCAGTGAAATGAACACAGCTTCCCAGGTGACCTGAATTGAGTATGTAACATGAGCTAAAAGTCAGGAACTTATTTAATGCTGATTTCTCTTATCTCGCATTCTGCATTGCATCTCAGCTCTGTGTCTACCATTTCCTTTTTTTCTCTTCAGAACTATTCTGTGCAATGTACAACATTTCCTGTATGACCACCCCATTCATTTCAGGCCTTTGGACTCAAACCTGGATTTACATCATTGTACCCCTGTACCCCATCCTTTCCCTGGCCTTTGGACTTAGACTGAATGACAACCCTGGCTTTCTCGGGTCTCCAGCTCGCAGGTAGCAGATTGTAGAACTCTCAGTCTTCATAATTATATGAGCCTTTTCCTATGGTAAATGTCTCTGTCTCTCCTCTCCTTTCTTCTCATCTCCTATTGATCCTGTTTCTCTGGAGAGCCCTGACTAATACACTATTCACGTGGTCTTTCTAGATGTACAATATTTAGGTGATTAAGATAATTTCTTATTAAAACTTCATTTTACAGATAAGAAAATTAAGACCCAGAGTGGAGTGAAATGAAAACCCAGGTTTCTTTCTCTTCTCAGTCTTCTTTTTCCCATGCCCTGACTTCCAGTTTCTTTATGATGCCTGGTCACATATCTAGCTTTGATTCATGACTTACATTTGGCCCAGGGTAGAATCCCTGACTTTCTCATGACTTACTCTTTTCCTTTGAGCCTGGCCTTTACCTTACTTTACCTGCTCCAATTTTTAGCTATTTTCTTCCTCTGCTGTGCCCTGAGTTTAGTGTGACACTGGGGACTTGCCTATATCCAAAAGCTGTTATTTTAGAGCACGCACATTGTGAGGCCTTAAAACACAAAGAATCAGAAGGGCTGCTGAGCGAGGTCAGAAGTGTCTTGCACCTGCCCAGGGTTGAGCAGGTGGAATAGTGGCCAGTAAGGCCGCAAGGCTCAGGGGTGCACCAGACCCTGAGGCTTCCTGTGGAGAGTTACAACTTAAAAAAGCATTAGAGGCCCTGAGGCCAGCTCTGTGTTCTTAAAGTACTCCAGGGATGCTTTTAGTATTTTAGAAGAAAGAGAGCTTTCTAGAAGGGAATAAGTTTGCCACTCAGAGATGGAAGCAATTCTCTAAACCAAACCTTGAGAAAAATTCTGATGATTTATAAGCTTAATACTAGCTTCTGTCTATCAGCAAAATTTTGAAAAGCTAGATGAGACTTTACTAGTTTAGGGAATACGTACAATGACTATTTTTGGTTAAATTTAAAAAAGCTATACATTATTATTATTCATTGAAAAGTATTTGAAGAATAGTTGTGAGTTGTACAAGACTAACATTTCAAAGCAAGAGGGACCAAGTAATTTGAATATTCAAAACTGACCTTATTTTATCCCTGGGTTGCCTTTAGTACCCATTTTCCAAAATGCAAAGCAGCAACTTCCCTAAAAAGCATTCATCTCTGTCAGATTTGTTTATCAGATTAGCTAGCAGAGAGCTAGTTTGGCCTACTTCCTGCTGCTCAGGGCTGCCTGGAGGCAAAACTGAGACTGGGAGAAGACTAGATGGGCTTGATTAAAGGTAGAGTTTATTGAAGTTTCTTTGGTTGGGAAGGAGGAAAGGAAGCCTTCTCTAAAAGAAAAAAGGCAGTGGGCCCTGAACTAACTTGACCCAGGGCCTGAACTAACTTGACCAGTTTGGGCGATTCAATTAAAATAAATATTCAAATGCATCAAACAGGTTTTAAATAATTAGGAAATATATGCAAAATAGTTTAAAATTTGTGTTTGTTGTGGTTATCTGAAACAACTGATCTCGAAGCCTAATTCTATCAAAATAACAAAATGTAATTCATAGCATTAGGAATAGAACTCATCTATCCGCATGTGTTGGTGTCCTTTGTCCTTCTGGCGGTTACCATTTCTTGTTTACATTGAGGTGGTTGGTCGTGGTGAGGAGGGAGGAAGCATCAACTTGCAATTGCAAAATGTATACTGGAATTCCAAAAAGCCACGCCTATTAAATTCTCTCCATCTTCTCTCCCTATTCAATAACTTTTTATCTTAATTTCGTGGGTCAGATATTAGGATGAGCCAGAATTGCAGGTTCTGCCAAGAAGGAAATGGCTAAGAGAAAAATATTTTTTACTGCTTAATATTTATTGAATCCATCTATATCTAATTACAATATTGTGTTTCATCTCCTACAAGATTGCTTTTGTGCATGGAGTGAGATGACCTGTAACGTATGCTACCATTATTATCAGGGCCTCCTTATAGTTATCATTGTTGATTTAAAATCTTAGCCAACCACAGTGTGCAGAAATCTGAAGCAAAATTAGCATCCTGTGACTGTACATTTCTACTCGATTAAAAAAGGTCCTTATGAAACCCAGTATAATTCCTTCCTGCACATACCTTCATTTGCTGCTAAATG
The DNA here is from genome assembly GCF_000001405.40 of Homo sapiens. Classification (NCBI taxonomy): domain Eukaryota; kingdom Metazoa; phylum Chordata; class Mammalia; order Primates; family Hominidae; genus Homo; species Homo sapiens. The sequence goes on from NC_000002.12 coordinate 34,026,293, forward strand.
GGCTGATACACACAAAAATACAATATAGAACATTTTGAATGGTGGGAGTGTGAACTTTTTTAGCATGTATTTTTTTGCATATGTTTGTGCACATAATATATTCAAAACTACTACTCTATTCATTAAGCAGATTTTTACTGCTAAATTAGGAAGGAAGAGTGGGAAGGATAGTGCACGTACTGCATGTAGTGGGCACTCAGTATAGGTTTGCTGAGTTGAATCAGATCCTCTGTATGCCTGAGACAGTGTTGGAGTGATGGTGAGACAACAGAGGCTATGCGTTCCTTGGGAGAAGTCTCAGAGGTTGGTTGACTCCTCAGTTCTCACATTCCCAGTCTTTAACAATGGGGGTACTTTTGTTCTTCTTAAGTTGTCTAAGTCCTTATTTATTTTTTGATAGAGACAGTCTCACTGTGTTGCCCAGGTGGGTCTTGAACTCTTGGGCTCAAGTGATCCTCCCGCTTCAGCCTCTCAAAGTGCTGAAATTACAGACATGAGCCATGGTCCCTGGCCTAAGTCTTTAATTTTGTTCCTTCTTGTCTGTTGACTTGAGAAGGCCACCTGCAAAGGGAGGGTGAACCATGAATTGGTACAGAGAGAAATTTCTCAAAAAGAAAAGTTAGGGAAGAGAAGAAAAGGGACTAAATAAGATACATATTTTTCTTTAATTTAACTCACAAACACAGAGAAAAATTTAGCTGGAAAGGTTTTCTTTTTTAACTCAAAAATTTGAGCTTTCTAAACCAATAAAAACACATAGCAAATTCTTTTTTGTCTTCCTTTATGGAAAACTACCTGAATCCTTATAAAGGAGACATAATGACTGAAAATGAATTTTTTATTTTGGAAAAATACACTAACTGTATGTATCTGATGATGTGTAACCCACTCATTTATTGAAATAAAAATGGTAAAAAGTAATGTCATGCTTATATCTTTTGCTTGACCTTTTAACTTCTGTTTTCCTATTTTTGTGCGACTGATTTCTTTGAGACCAGAAGACATTCATTTTAGTCCTTACACACACACACACATACACACACACACACTCTTTCATTATTATCTGAAAGGTAAGTTATTTTTTGTGTGAAATGATTGGAATCCAGGAAGGCTAATCTAGTCATTCTGTACCTTCTAGAATAAATTAAAGAAATTGAAATTGAGCTTTCTAAGTGAAAGGTCAAAGTGATCCAGTATTACTTTTGCATCCATTAAAGTACCAAAAAAAAAAGACCCAATATTACTTTTAGAGATAATGTCAATGATATCTTACATGAAAAATATTGCCCTAGCCGCTTGTGTGTTGTGATTCCATGGTGAAAGATATTGCAGAATCAGTAGTATTGTATTCGCTCAGAAGTTTGTATTTTGTTAATCTATCACCTAAAATGTGATGGAACCCAAATTTAAATTTCTAGTCCTAACATTTTCCTAAGTTCAAGAGAGTTACTTTCAAATGCCAACTGTACATTTCTAACTGCTATAGGTAGACTTTTAGGATGGCCCCATGACTTTTGCCCTGGGTGTTGCTCTGGTGATATATTCAATTACATGGCAAAGATTAGTCATCAGTTGGCTTTAAGATAGGGATATTATCTGGGTGGGCCTAATCAAATCATGTGAGTACTTTAAAAACAGAAAGTTTTCTCTAGTTGGTAGCAGATAGGAAAATCAGATAAATTCAAAGCATGGGGAAGATCTGATGCTCTGTTGCTGAATTGAAGATGGAGAAACCCAAGAAGCAGGAACCTAAGAGTGACAACCTGGATGAACTTGGATGTGGATTCTTCCTTCTGGCCTCAGATAAGAAAAAGCCCAGCCTTGACAGACACTTTGATTTTTCTCAGCAGAAAACCCAGTTAATCCTGCCTGGACTTCTGATCTACAGAACTGTTGCTCTCTGCCCCAGGTCAGGGAATGGCTGTGGGTGTGGCAGGGCTCAATTCAGCCCCTGGGCCCACCAAACCTTGGATGGAGCAAGGCAGTACTTATCCATCTAGACGTGGAACATCACAGCACATTTAAGTGACTCAGCAGAGTCTTCTTGCCAACCCCTGATCCAGGTAGTGAGAGAGTATCCTGGCATGGAGGTGCCAACACCTTGGGGGTCTCCTATCCAGCATTTTTTGTGGCAGTGGGCCATAGAAAGAAGATATTAACTATGTTCATAATTTTTTGCTAAACAGGCTTCCTTCTATTCAACTACTTTTACAACTGAAATTCAAATCAATCTTTTGGTATACAGTACCAGTCACCAAGAAAAAAGTGTCAGTCATCATTTGTGTATCCATAAATCACTACTGTTTGCCTATAATTCATTTTTGTCACGTAGTCTTCATGACCTTTGCATTTGGGTACTCAACTATCCTTTCATGGATTGTATTGTGTTGTGTTTGAGTAGGTTTCAACTCAGTAATTCCTGGATTGGCTCTATGTTCAGTGCCCATCCTTGTGTTCCGTCATGTGGTCATGAAAGGAAACAAAGGGATTGTGCAAGGGTCTTGGAGCTTCAGTTTGCATTGAGAAGCAAGATGACATGTAGCATAAAAGAGTAGGTAATATCGGCCGGGCATGGTGGCTCATGCCTGTAATCCCAGCACTTTGGAAGGCTGAGGCAGGCGGATCACCTAAGGTCAGGAGTTCAAGACCAGCCTGACCAACATGGAGAAACCTTGTCTCTACTAAAAATAAAAAATTAGCTGGGTGTGGTGGCACATGCCTGTAATCCCAACTACTTGGGAGGCTGAGGCAGGAGAATCGCTTCAACCTGGGAGGTGGAGGTTGCAGTGAGCCGAGATCTCACCATTGCACTCCAGCCTGGGTAACAAGAGTGAAACTCCATTTCCAAAAAAAAAAAAAAAAAAGTAGGTAATATCTGCAAATATGTATTCTGTAGTAAGAAGGCTTGAAAAACAACTAACCTCATGGGTGGGGTACTTGAGTATACCTCCATCTCCACCATGAATATGCTGTGTTGGCTTTTTTGGAGCCAGCTTCCTGGAGTCTCAGTTTTTCCATCTGTAAAATGTTTGTTCTGAATAGGTCAGTAGGTATGGGAATGGAAATAAGGTCATCCCTCAAGAGCTCCATCCATATACCCTCATACTTCTCATGGAAATACCTTAGAATGGAAATCGGAGCTTTTAAATCAACAAGCAAATACGGAAGGCCTAATTATGTGATACGCAGAGAACAGCCAATTTAAGGATGCCCTCCCCTCTTTGGGGGTAATTTAACGATCCCACAGCTATATATTTGATTGTGCTTTCACACTTGATAGCAGATTAAATATTTTTGAACTGGAGAAGTATAAGACTTACGTGTTTGCGCTTAACAGTAGTGCAAACTCCATTAAGTTACCCTAAGCATTGGATTTTCTTAAAAAAAAAAAAATCCAGAGATGGTTTTGGCTAGATAATCTTACTTTACCAGCTCATCCTTAGATAATCATAGTTTGACAATTATCTATACACCAAGACTTGTTTATCAATATTGTACAGTCTGGGATTATACTATAGTAGTCCTGACAGTATCATTGCCTTATATAAAAATTTCTGTCTTATTTATGGAGAATAAATAATAAACAGGCCAGTTTCTGCATCTGACCAATTAGTGAGTTTGGAAGTAGAATTTTTAGGACAATTATACAGAATTTCAAAGGCAGGGCATTTTAACAGGGCAGTGGCCCTTTGAACAGTCATGCGGTTGCGTTCATTGCAAGGGCATCTACATTGAGGAGGCAAGGACACATGTCCCCAGCCTTTATACAAATGTGTTCTTTTTCTCTTCTTTCTCTTTTCATTTAACATGACATTTCTGCCTTGATTCCTTCTGACCTGAATTTTGAACTCTTGCCCACAAAAAAGATGTAAAGTCTTCAAAACACACAAAAAACCACTGCATTAGGCTACTTCATATTGCACCCAGTTTTAGACTTGATTTGCAGAAGGTTGTTCCTTTAAAATCCTTTTTGTCCTTTTTGAAATTAATATACTGCAACACCTGTTAATATGGCTGGACCATTCACAGTTCTAATTTGAATCATTTAGCTGTTTAAAAAATGATAGGGAGTAGCTTTCATCCCTTTGGTGGTATGCTGAGATTAAATGCTGACTTTCTCAAGCCTTAGCAGGCAGTCTAAGTGAGGACACTTCAGAAGAGATGCTGAACAGACCTGAGAAGCCGCAAACATCTATGACACTCTCAAGGTGAAATTCAGCAGGCTTCTGCTGTTATAGTTTCTAAAAGTGAATACAGGATTTGGCATTGCTGAGACTTACCTCTACCCAAAGAACTCAAAGATTTGAGGGAGAGGAGAAGGCAGAGAGTTGGAACAGATGCCAAGGCAGCTGGAGACAGACCCTGAAATACATAATTGTAATCAGTTTAGTTAATAAACATGGGGTGCTTCCATGCACCATGTTTTTAAAGAAGTAATAGACTTTTTATTGCTACTAAGCCTGAAATAAACAAGTGATTTGATCATTTTGTCTAGATTGATTGGTAATGAATCAATTAGCAACCATTAAATTCAGTCAATAGCCTAGTTACTAATTGGTTTACAAATCTACCACTCCAGTAAAATGGGTCAAATGTCTACATAAAGGCTTGGAAACTCAGTGTCCTAGAGAAAAGAGTATTTAAACACGTATTTATCATAGGCTTAAGTCAAGTGTATGAAATCTTTTATATCTTGATCCATATTGGGACAAATTGATTGAGTAACTGAAGGCCAGTTTTTGCAGAAAAGACTACCTGAAAAGGAAGAATTGTTATGTCTAGCCAAAAGGAAATGCCATGTTCCTACAATTCTCCAGCCTATAATAATATAAGCACTTTTAAAGTTCTGATTTACACTTTTTTTTTTCCCAAATACAATGTACCAAGCCTTGCAGTTTACTTCTGGGTATGTGAAGAATGGTCTCTGTAACAGCCCATGGTTGGTACCTAATGCAGTGCCACAAACTGCCTGGAGGCCATGACCAGAGATCTAAATATAGGTTGGAAATTTGGCTGGGAAATTCCTCTGCAGCCCAGGAATGAGACATGAGGCCTAGAGCATAAACACAGCAGCTTATACATCTTTTCAGCAGCCTCTAGGCTATGATTGTTAAGTAGCCAGCACAAAAGAGGCTATCTTCTCCCCTCGTTAAATTTAACAAATACTGAAACATTCAGGATAAAAACACAAGCCCAGGTGCTTTTGGTTATGCCAGCAAACATATTTTAAAAGTGGACTATTAAAAGCTTCCAATTAAATTCAAGTCAACTTTAAAGAATGCTACAGGAACAAACAAATCTTGCTATTTCAGTGGCTTAACATATAAAAATGTATTCCTTGTTCAAGCAAAATCTTCTGCAGGCTCAGTGGTTCTTACCTTTACCTCCCTTCCAAGTGGTAATTCAGGGCTCCCGATTGCTTCTGTCTTGTAGCCCCTCCACTTTTCCACACAGGAGTCCTGGGTTGCTGCAGCTGAAAAAGAGAATTTAGAGGGTTGTTTGTAGACTTCTCACTGTTTCAGCTCTCAGGTGACAGATATCATGTCCCAGCCATGGATGAAGCTGGAAACCATCATTCTCAGCAAACTATTGCAAGGACAAAAAACCAAACACTGCATGTTCTCACTCATAAGTGGGAATTGAACAATGAGAACACTTGGTCACAGGAAGGGGAACATCACACACTGGGGCCTGTTGTGGGGTGGGGGAAGCGGGGAGGGATAGCATTAGGAGATATACCTAACGTAAATGACGAGTTAATGGGTGCAGCACACCAACATGGCACATATATACATATGTAACAAACCTGCACATTGTATACATGTACCCTAGAACTTAAAGTATAATAAAAATATATATATAAAAAAAATCATGTCCCAGCATAGTTTACTGGCCTGAACTAATCACTTGGCCCACCTAACTGCAAGGTCTCTGAGAAGGGGGATCTGTCTTAGGTCTCAGATACTCAGCAAATCCAGCTATCAGTGTTTCAAATCCACCTACAATGTGCTGCTTGTTTTACTAGGTGGTGAGGGTAACAAAGATGAATGTGATAGAGTTTTTCCATATAAGAAACTTACAATCCATTGGCTCAAGATCAGTCATTCAAAAATGTGAATATTACAGTATAAATAATGGCCTTCAAAATTCAAAGCTTAATGCCAAATTCGACATTTATTGAGACTTTAAATTGTACATTGGCTACCTGTATAACTTTGGCTTCCTGTAATTTAGTGGTATTGGAAATGTAAAATTTAAATAACCCTATTTGTTAGTATGAACTGCTTCTAATTATAAGGAAGAAGTAAGTCAACATATAGAAGAATTGTGCAGGATTTGAGACCAAAATTCAGAACTGTTCCTAAGGGAGGGTGGGCAGATGGGGATCCCCAAGAAGAAATGATAACTCCTTAGAATTAGAGAACTTTCACCAACTGGAAAGAGGCCAATTATCATCTCACTTTGTCAGCTGAATACATTATAAAAAGGAAAGACCTTTGCCCCTTTTGAGTTACGTGGTGTTCAGAATTCCAAGTCCCTCAGGAACTGTTTTCTTTCTTACCATTTTTAGAGTTGTTTTTTTCTAGAATGTAAGAGCAAAATGTGATCATTGAAGAACATTTAGGAAGTACAAGAAAGGTTTTAAAAAAAGAAATCACTCTTAATGCCTTTACTCAAAGACAACTTCCATTAACATCTTGGTATACTTTATTTTGAACGTTTTATATACATTTTATTTTATGTAATTAAAACCAAGTCTTACAATTTTATATTTACTTTGTTTATACAGATATCACCTCATTCTTAAGTTTCATAAGCATATTTTTAAAAATGTGGGAAAACAGTTTATGAAAATTCCAAATGTTACTTAGCTATTCCCTAATACTAGTCACATAGGTTGGTTCTAAGCTTAAGCTATTTAAATAACACTATGATGAAATTAGCAATTAGTAGATAAGGCATTGAAAGGATGCAATAGCCTTCCTCATGTAGACTTCAGTCCTTTTTGTTGACACAAGTGTTTCATAGAACATCCTCCAAAAGATAAAACTTAATACTGTATTAGCTTCAAGGGACCATGAGGAAATGAGACAATACATTCACCTCCCCCATGTTATAAGGCTTCTTAAAAGAGTAGATTTTGATTTAATTTGGAAAAAGATGTCAAGGATGAAAGCACAACCTTGTGTGAAAAGCAAGTGTATTAGTTATCCTTGGCCATAATATGGCTAAATGAAAACCAACTGAAAAATCACAGCAGCATAAAAAATAAACATTTATCTAGCTTATTCATCTGCAGATTGGCCAGACTCATCTGCCCTAGGACGGGCTTCCCCAGGCAGTTCTGCCTCAGGTTGCAGGAGGTGAGAGGCTCTGCTTCTCACTTCAGGTGTGGCAGTTGGCTGAGGCAACTCTGAAGTGTCATGCATCCTCCTCAGACCAGCAAGAAATTGAGACATGAACTTCTCATATCCATGGCAGAGCCATTTCAGTCTCTTAAGTCTTGTCAAGCCTTTTGTCATGTCTTGTCTGCTGACATTTCACTGGTCAAAATAAAACAGATAGCTAAGCCTGAAGTCAAGACAGAGAGAAGTAAACTCGGGCTGTGGAGGTGCTAGAGAGAAAGAGTGGATATCTCCTAAGAATCGACCACAGCAGACAGAAAAATCACAGTGTCCTATGATGCTTCGTCTTTATTAAAGAACCTCAACGTTGTAGAAATAGGTAAAGGACCTCTTGAGGTCTGGGATAGTTAATTTTACATGTTAACTTGACTGGGTTAAGGGACACCCAGATAATTGGTTAAACAATATTTCTGGTGTATCTGAGGATGTTTCTGGAAGAGATTACCATTGGAAACGTTAGACTGAGTAGAGAAGATCTGCCCTTACCAATGTGCATAAGCATCATCCTATCCATTGAGGGCCTGTATAGAACATAAAGGAAGAAGAAGGATGATTTTCTTTCTCTTTACTTGAGATGGAACATTCATCTTCTCCTGCCCTTGGATATTGGAGCTCCTGGTTTCTGGGCCTTTGAACTGGACTTATACCAGTGTCCAACTTCCCCATCCCCTGGTTTGCAGGCCTTTGGCTTCTGAGTGGATGCTATACCATCAGGTCTGCTGGTTCTCAGGCCTTCAGACTTAGACTGAATTATACTACCAAACTTTTCTGGTTCTTCAGCTTGCACACAGCATATCATGGGACTTCTAGGCTTCTGTAATTGTGTGAGCCAATTCCTATATTAATCTCCTCCTCCTCCTCTCTCTCTGTTTCTCTGGAGAACCCTAATACAAAGTCTCCTTGTTTTTTTCTTTTTCATACATGCACCTAATTATGAACAGGATGCTTCTGTGGACAGCCTAGACAACCTATGAGCAAATTGAGATAATGGGGCCCTGACTTGAACACGAAATCCCTTAAACTAACAACATTGTGTTGGACACAACCTCCTCATTCTCTGTTCTTTAAGGAATTAGCCTTCATAGAAGAATCTGTTTCATTTGACAACCCAGTGTCAGGCAACACTCACCTTATTTTTTCTCTAGGGCAGGGATTCGCAATCTAGCTGTGCATTAGAGTCAGCCAGGGAGCTTTTTAAAACTGCATGATGCCCTAGTCCTACACAAACCAATTAACTCATAATCTGTGGGATTGGAGGCCCTCGCATAGATATATTTTAGGTGCCCAATGATACCACTGTGTATTCAGCATTGAGAACCACTGCTCTGGCACAGTCATTTTTTCCTTTTCTCTTCTTTCAATCTACTTTCTGTTTTCCAAGACCCCACATTTGATTCATAGTCATATTTAATTCCACTCTTATCTGTCATGGAATACTAAAAACCTGCACAACCAGTTGAATTTTTATCAAAATTTCTCAGAAGAGCTAACTTAGCCAACCTATATATTCTTCTACATTAAGAAATTGATTACCTGTGCTGTATCTTACCCAGTATAGACTCAGTCTTGGCTGCACTTTGGAATTACTTGGGGAGCTTAAAACCAAAACCAGAACCCAGAGAGAACACTTGCCTAGCAGCAAACCCCTGAGACTCTGGTTGAACTATTATGGGGTGCAGCCCTAGCCAGTGCTATTGTTTTTAAAGCCCCTTGGATAATTATAATATGTAGTCAGTTTTGAGAACCACTGAGCCCCAGTAGGGCTAGGAAATCGGCCATGAAAACATAACCCTAAGGCACAACCAATGAGTGACTGTATCTTCCCTGGTCCTGAGGATTCTTTGAATAGTGAGAAGTATTTCTTTGGATGTGGCAGAATGGAAAATTGAATACAAGTAATGACAGTGATACAAGTAGTTTGCTTGGCTGTGCCAAAGGCTGTGCATGTGGGAGTGATGGGAAATAGACTTGTCAGGGACAGATGTGGACACAAGGGATCATGTAGTAAAATCTCAAATACAAGGCCAAGGGGTAGAAACATAACTTACTAGACAACGAGAAGCTCTCATAAGTCCCCAAGCAATACAAAGCTCAGACATCAAGTGTTTCTTAAATTGTCTTCTGCTTTGAAATCACAATGTTTAATTCTATTTTGACTATTTGTGTGGGTGAACCTTTCCATTCTTGCTTCTGCATATATGTTGCATATTTGATATATTGAATAAGCGTGCCACTTGAAATAGAATCATTAATTTTTCTTCTGTCCCTTTAAAAATATTCATTGGAACTAGTTCCCTTGCCTCTGGGCAAGAATCTGGGTGGTCTATAACTTCTCTAGCAAGTTCCCCATAATTGGCATATCAAAAGCTGGCTTTTCCCTCTGGCCATAGCAGGTGTTTAAGGCTGACTCTTCTCATGAGACATTCAAGTGTTCTTTGGAGGAAAACCTCGCTCATACCTCCAAATTTTGAGGGATCTCTAACTTGTAGCTCCATTGATAATAGAAAATATTTATCTATTCTGTCTGGCAACTTAGTCTTTCCACAGCCACTAGAAATAAGGTATTGCCCACAACTGTCCTCTTCTCAAGTCTGTTCTTCCTTTGGATAGGTCTAATAGCACTCTCTTTCTCCTGCCTAACCCACATCTGGTCCATGGGAAATGCTTATGCATCTTTTGTGCCAAAGATGCCAATAAACTCTGGGAGTACTGTCTGAACCCAACTCAGTCACCATTCCTTTGACTTGTCAGTAGTGGCTAGTCACCTTGTCTCTGGACCATTAAGTTTGCAGGAGGTAGTTAGATACCAGGCTCCAAAGGTCTTGTTACTAGGAGGGACAAGCTCTTGGAGTGGTCTGTTGAATCCTCTTTTACCTGTATGAAGCGAGGGCTAGCATTTCCCTACTCTGACTTGGAATTGGGAGTTAGACTCATTGCACATTAAAGAGTTTCTCCAAAAATGCCTCTCCAGAGCTGATGAATTTAAAAAATATATTAATTACCGTTAATTACATAAGTCATTGATGCTACTTAACCTGAACAGTTTTACCTATAGTTATCCAGGCAAGGAGTGGCTAGATTGCAAACCATACCTGTGTTTTTAATGATCAATTTGGGACTCATATTTAAAACTACCAATTGTTTTCTCTGTCCTTGGCATATTAATGCAAAATCCTCATACTTATGGCTCATTACTCCCTTTGGCAGTCTTATGGGCCTCTTATTTCACCTCCGATTCTTCTCTAGTAAATGACTGCCTGCTTCCCCCCAAGAGGACCCCAAAGCAAATTTTAGGTATGCCACATAGCCTATATTTAAAACCATGTTGCTCAAAACACACTCTCCAAATTTGATAAAAATCTGTCAGGCTGATTTTGCTTGATGTAGTAACAGAGACATGTAAAAACATATACAAACATTTTTGTTTAGCTATACATAGATGCAGTTAAAAAGAAATAAATACTAGGCAGTAAATTCAACTGGCTAAGGAAAAGAGTATTTTGATGGTGTTGTTAGAATAGATGGGAATTTGAGTGGCATTGTTTCTCAGGCCTGCTGGAGGCTGGGGGATAGTAAATTTTCTCAAATACCATTTAAGTCTTTGTGCCCTTGCTATTTGTCTTGCCAGGGCTATCATAGGTCTTGATGGATTTGGTATGTGCAGTCATGCTTGGCTGATGGTTTCACCTCTCTAATTGTCCCACTAGGAATTCCGTTATGGGGCCATCCATTGAACTCTGCTGTTTGCTAGAGCCTGTTGCGTTGCCGTGTTCCCTGTGGCTTTAGTCTGGTAAACAGTTCTCCCTGTTTATTTTTCTCTATAGATGTGAGCTAGAATAAAATACTTAATTTTGACCTTCTCAAATTTCTAAATATAATTGCATCTTATTATGCATCTTTGCTACACTGGAGATATTGCTGCACACAGCTAATCCTTTCAGAAGAGAGAAATAAGTTCTTTGACTTCTTGGAAGGTATACATTCATCTTCATTTTTGCTCTTGTAGCTGTCATCTGAAAATAAATGATAAATGAGCTCCCTCTGCATTTTACTGGAGAACTTAGCTCCTCCCAACACAAATGCCTGGGAGTTTGAATTTTCATTTTATTTATTTATTTATTTATTTTTATTTTAAAAATACTTAATCACCAGCAGATTTGGGAGCTCACCAAGAGGTCCCAGAGTTTGTTATGCATAAGTAACAGCTTATAAACAAGCTGTGATTTCTAAAATTAAGATGGCTTGTCTAGTGATGTTGAGGGCTGTCTTACATTTAGTGACTGTGTTGGGGGAGATCAGAGGGGAGTTAGCTTAACATTTACCTTTTGTAAATACCTTTTGTCACTCACTCCTCCATCATTTGGACTCCTTAGAAGGACCTCTTGCTCTTGGTGGCAAATATTTATTCTTTACAAAGAGGTTGTCAGGGAATGAGGAATGCTCAATCCTTACTGAAGTCCTGGCTTCTGAATATTTTCTGATAACAAATGGTTTGAAGTTTTTGTACTTAATGCAGAGAAGTGTTGCTTAACTCTAAATTTTTTAAATTAAGTGTTCTTAAAGAAAAAGGTACAAACCATACGATTGTTTAGTATATTGCAAGCAAGATATTTCTTTCTTTTTTTTTTTTTTTTTTGAGACAGAGTCTTGCTCTGTCGCCAGGCTGAAGTGCAGTGGCGCGATCTCGGCTCACTGCAACCTCCACCTCCCGTGTTCAAGCGATTCTCCTGCCTCAGCCTCCCGAGTAGCTGGGACTACAGGCGCGTGCCACCATGCCCAGCTAATTTTTGTATTTTTAATAGAGATGGGTTTTCACCATGTTGGCCGGGATGGTCTCGATCTCTTGACATTGTGATTCAGACACTTTGGCCTCCAAAAGTGCTGGGATTACAGGTGTGAGCCACAACACCTGGCCAAGATACTTCTTTGATATCTTTATTTTTGAAAGTCCTATAACGTTGACATTCAAATCTGTGTTATATTTGTAACATTTATCTATGTTTAATGTAAACAATTTACAGTTAAAATTAAATATTTTTTCTCATAGTCAATATTTGAGTAAAATTAATATGTAATTATTCTTGCTGTAGGTAGAAATTAAATGTAGTCTGTTTTTTTGATTCCTCCCATTTTACTCTTTCCTGGGTAATTATTCTCCTCTTGGCTTTCCTTTCAGTGCATGTTCTATGTGGTGAAGGGTATTGTCTCTCTCCTCCACTGCAGTAAGCTTCAAGCTGTACTTTCCCATGCTATGACTCTATATGTCCCTCAAGTTAGCCCTCTTTAAATTAGGAGCTGCCTAATTTATTGCATGTATAACTGCTGCCCCTGGCCAATGTAAAATTCTGCAGTAAAGGACAATAACCTGCATGGTCATCATTTGTTTATTTATTTTTTTTTAATACAACCTCCTTCCCCCTCCTTCTTCCCTCTCTTCCAGTGCATTTTAAGTTCACTTCGAAGGCTATTTGCTACAAATCCCTTTCAACAATTTTATCTTATTCCCCACCTACTTCTTCTAGAAATACGTTGTTCATTTCTTAAAGATCTGCATATTTTTCTCAGATAAAGTATTCAAATCACAGCAAATGTATCCCTGGGTTCCTTTCTGAGTGAACTATTAATGCTCCTAATAGAGCTACGCATGTGTGTGCACACAGTGGATAGCAGTCAAAATATTACTGTCACTAATAATTCTCATAATTGGGGATTCCACAGGTGATGTGTCAGTTCTCCTTTTGCTAAGCAGTCCTTCATGGTTCTTCCCCAACACCCATTTTTTTGTGTGTTTGTTGTACTCGCTTGGAATCTCTTTAAAAAAGCAAAGATGGGCCAGGCACGGTGGCTCACACCTGTTATCCCAACACTTTGGGAGGCCGAGGCCGACAGATCATGAGGTCAGGTGTTCGAGACCAGCCTGATCAACATGGTGAAGCCCCGTCTGTACTAAAAATACAAAAATTAGCCAGGTGTGGTGGCGTGTGCCTGTAGTCCCAGCTACTCGGGAGGCTGAGGTGGGAGAATTGCTTGAACCTGAAAAGCGGAGGTTGCAGTGAGCCAAGACTGTGCCATTGCACTCCAGCCTGGGCAACAGAACAAAAAACAAACAAACAAACAAACAAAAAAGAAAAAGAAAAGAAAAAGCAAAGATGATGCCAAGACGCCAATAGGAACAGGGCCCTTTTTTCTTCCTGGGTATTCTACTTCCTCTCTTATCTTTTATTCTTCCTATTTCTGGACTACACATATCTTCTAATAGTTCTCTGTTAAAAATCAACAGTAACACATTAATATTTGTGAAGGTGGTATGCAAAAGAAAATTTAATTGCATTATTTATACTTGGAAACTGAGAACAGAAATGGGTTAAATTGTTCTAGATGAGAAACCAGGGTTTGAACTTACTGCCATTGACTCACGGCTATTTCTCCCTCCCTCCCTTGCAATAGCACTTCAAAGTAGACCATAGCATAGATTTCCAGACATAAATAGAATCCTTAAATTAGAGCTGTGACCTGCCTTTAATAATTAACCAATAATGAGGTACTAGAAATTCATCTAATTACCTAACATATGTAAAGTTTCTGCTAAGCTGCTTTGATTTGAAGGGACAAATTAATTTAGGTTAGAATCAAATCCATTTAGTTGAAATTGTGCCTTAGCTGTAGATGATCCTGAAGCAATACATACATAAGTAACTGTGTGTCTCAGAATGCTGGTTAGTACTTGGAACTTCCAATTCAGAAATTTCTAGTCAGATTTTACAGAATGTAGTTGGAGTTATTATAATAGTTTTTGGTTCTCACTGTTAAGCTGTAGTTTTCTTGCATTCATACATTCAACCAATACATACTGACAGCCTAATAAGTGTCAGGTACTGTTCTCGGTCATGCGAGAATTACTCCCTGAGTGACAATGTTTACAATTTAACAAATCAACCATCATTGCAAGGTGGATCTAGAAACAAAGACAAATAAGGATAGTATGAAGACATAGATTCAGTATCTCTTGACTTCAAATTACAGTCTCCCCTCTCCATTGGTTGTTTAAATGTGGAATCATAGAATGTTTGGGCTGCGTGAAATCTATTCCATTCTTCTCCATGTAGAGAAAACTGAATCTGAGCAGATGAAGGGATATGCTCAGGATCACAAAGCAAATTATTGGCAGGTGGGTTCAACTCAAGATTGCTGAGTATTAGGCCAATGTTTGTTACAAGACAGTGTTAGGAATGACAGGTGCATCTTAGCAAGACCAAAGAAGCCCCTTAGGCTTTGTGAAGTCTCAGATGAGCCTTGATGGGAAATGCAAAATATGTATTTTAGGTTGTGGTCAGGGTTCTCACATTCAGGTTGGATGGTACAGTCATTGGTGCTGATTAATGTATTAAATATAATCAAATAAATAAATGTTTTTAGACAGAAAAGAAGCAGCTGGCATCTCTGAGGATTGCTCCAACTTAGGTGAAGCTGATTTCTCCCTGCATGGCCTTTATACTGATCTCATTACTGTTGAACACAGGTTCATGGACATAATAGAAACTTAGAGTTGGATGGAACATTAGAGACTATAACACATTCGTTTCACTTACCAGTTGGGATAACAGACTGAGTAAAGAAAGTGACTTGCCTAGTGATGTGCTAATAGCTAGAGACAGAGCAAAGCATCTTGATTCTTAATTCAGTGTTCTCCTGTCTCCCTATCTCGTGTTCTGATGTAATTTGGTAGAATATCAGAGCCTTGTTTCACAGGTGGTAATCAAAGGATTTACCCTTCTTTGGCAAGCAAACTCTCTGCTAGCATTATAAGATGATTCTGGGTCTGTTTGCATCCACTCTTGGATTTCTGCCATCTTTTCTTCCAGTGTGCTAAGGTATAATCATCTCTTGTTTCACAGAACATGACCACAATTCAGGAAAGGTTGTTCTGGATGGACCTTGGCCTTATTCCTTTAAGAATAAAAAAGTCATGTACATTACAGTGACTATAGTTAATTATACCATATTGTATACTTGAAATTTGCTAAGAGAGTAGAGCTTAAGTGTTCTAATCACACACAAAACAAAAGGTAACTATGTGAGGTGATGGATGTGTTTATTAAACTGTGGTGATCACTTCACTATATATATATATATATATATATCAATTTATCACATCGTATACCTTTAATATATATAATTTTTATTTGTCAATTATGCCTCCATAAATCTGGGAAGAGAACCAGTGCCCAGAAAATACATGTTTGATAAATAATACAAAAAAGAAAAGGAAAGGTGATCATTGGAGTAGAGATGAAAATTTTCTATACCCCAAAAAGAAGTTATTTAAGAAAAATCCCTACTCCCTTTATGGTTACTTCTGTCTCTGGATATAGTTCATTCTCTCAAGCATCTTATTTTACAATGATATGAGAGACGTATGCATATGTATCTGGAAAGCTATACAGATATTTAAGCAGAAGAAGCATGAAAATTATGTTGATTCCCAACACCTCAAATAATCATGCTTGAAAAAACTAAATTGTGGCTGAATAATAACCATGACTTTCACTGTAAACGATGGAAGTCCATTAGAAATCTGAGGCACAAGGTTGGTGGACCATTGCTGGCAAGCAGCAATGCTTACGTGTTAGTGGTGATTTGAAAGCCTTCAAAAGTTCAATCTGGAACGAGAGGTTTGCATAAAGCCCTTTCTATATAAGCTGATGAAAGTTCAGAGATTGGCTACTGCTGTTTGCTGGGGATGATCACAACAGAATTGCTCATGGTCTCCACACCTTCACTCAGTTGCTCTCACATTCTTTCTTCTCAGACCACATTTCCAAAATTGGCCATGTCCTGGTTACGCAGAAGTCATTATACAACAGAAAAAGGGATGCATTCCTGTTGGTCTATGTGAGCTAACAAATCCCTGATCTCAATCAGGGAAAAGTTCAACCTCATTAAATTTTCTTATTTTCTAAGCTCCTTCTATATATCCACAAATATGCTAGCTATTTATATAATTTTATGGCATGACCTGCCATGTCATATAATGTGTGCTTGTATTCTGACCTTCACCCTTTTTCTTTTCTTTTCTTTTCTTTTTTTTTGAAACGGAGTCTCCTCTGTCACCCAGGCTGGAGTGCAGTGGCGAGATCTCGGCTCACTGCAAGCTCCGCCTCCTGGGTTCACGCCATTCTCCTGCCTCAGCCTCCCGAGTAGCTGGGACTACAGGCGCCCGCCACCATGCCCGGCTAATTTTTTGCATTTTTAGTAGAGATGAGGTTTCACCGTGTTGGCCAGAATGGTCTTGATCTCCTCACCTCATGATCCGCCTGTCTTGGCCTCCCAAAGTGATCGGATTACAGGTGTGGGCCACCACTCACGGCCTTTTTCTTTTTTTTTTTTTTTTTTTTTTTTGAGATGGAGTCTCGCTCTGTCGCCATGGCTGGAGTGCAGTGGCACGATCTTGGCTCACTGCAAGTTCCGCCTCCCAGGTTCCTGTCATTCTCCTGCCTCAGCCTCCCAAGTAGCTGGGACTACAGGCATCTGCCACCATGCCCAGCTAATTTTTTGTATATTTAGTAGAGACGGGGTTTCACCATATTAGCCAGGATGGTCTCGATCTCCTGACCTTGTGATCCGCCCACCTTGGCCTCCCAAAGTGCTGGGATTACAAGCGTGAGCCACCGTGCCCGGCCCACCCTTTTTCTTAATACTCTCTTGTACCTGTTGTACTAAGATCTAACTCCTTCCCTCTTACTGCTTCCCTGGTGTCGCTCTACTTTTCCACTTTGACGTCTTCATTCTCATCATGAGAAAAACCTCAGAGTCACCAATGATATGCCTAGAAAATCTTCTCTCTCTCTTTTTTTTTTTTTTTTTTTTAACGTGTTTGCTGATAAAACAATTGCACAGAGTAGCAGGAAGATTTCTGTGGTCCTACTACTCTCACTACCTTATAATTGTGAAGAGTTCCAGATTTCCATATTTTACTGGATTTTTGTAACACTGTGAGTTAACAAACGTTTCAATCATGTTGTTTAGGTAGGAAATTGAGTCTCAAAAGATAAAGTAACAGTAAAAGTCATAGAGCCAGTTGGTAATAAAAGCAAGACTGGAGAAAGGATCTCATTTTTGTTTTAGAACATTTCCCTAAAGTATCCCAGTTTTTCATATTTTCTTATCTGTAAATTCACAGTTTGTTTCCACATAAGTAGCAGAGTCCTCAGCCTACGAACCAAGTCAATACATGATACAAGCCTGATCTACCTGACCTGTGAATGTTGCTGCTGGTAAAGGTGACAGTGAATTGCCATTGAAAAGGTAGAAGATTCAGTGAAGTCCAGAAAGTCTCTATGCAATACAAGTGTAATCTATTCATAACTTCAGGTTGTAGAGGGAAGGAAAAGGAATGCAATGAGCACTTGTTGTCTATTGGGTACGAATGCTGTGCAGGTGCTTTACTTGTGAGTGCAGCAGTCCTGTGACAGTGTTGAGTATTTTCTGCATTTTCAAAATGAGGAATGTGATGCTTTGAGAGGTTAAAGAACCAAGATTACGGCCGGGCGTGGTGGCTCACGCCTGTAATCCCAGCACTTTGGAAGGCCGAGGTGGGCAGCTCACGAGGTCAGGAGATAGAGACCATCCTGGCTAAAATGGTGAAACCCCGTCTCTAGTAAAAGAAATATAAAAAATTAGCCGGGCGTGGTGGTGGCCATCTTTAGTCCCAGCTACTCGGGAGGCTGAGGCAGGAGAATGGTGTGAACCCGGGAGGCGGAGCTTGCAGTGAGCCGAGATTGCACCACTGCACTCCAGCCTGGGTGACAGAGAGAGACTCCGTCTCAAAAACAAAAAAACAAAAAAAAAACCCCAAGATTATGCAGCCAGAGAGTAGCACATTTGTGTCAATGCGTTGCTGTGGACCATACACTTCTTCCTTGAGTAAAATTTGACTTCTCTGTCAGAGCAAATGCATTCACTTTCTCACTAAAGAGAACTAGATGCTCTCCTATACTGCAGCAGTTGAGGTATGACAGTGAAAGACATGACTTTCACTGTCTACGATGGAAGTCCATTAGAAATCTGAGGCACAAGGTCGGTGGACCAGCAGTGGAGAGCTGTTGAGGTAGTGAGTTAACAAAAGAAACAGGCCATGATTGGAATTTTAATTCAATAAATTATACTATATTATTATCATTGTCAGACTCAATAAACTTCCATGTTTCTTATCTTCTTTATTCTTTTCCTAAGAAAAAATAACAATCTTTCTTCCACTTAAACTGGTGTTTTCTTTCAGTCATGCAATCTTCAACTGTGTATTTGTGCGGTGTCATACTCATAAATTTGCATATTCTAGTACCCAAAGGAGTCCTGGGAATTTCAAGTTTAATGTAAAATAAATTTTGGAATAGAGACTCTCTAGTACTTATGCTTCCAGACATTCTCTGGAGACTTCTAATTAAAAAATAAATAAAAAGCTTTTCCAAAGCTACCAAACACATCTAAGAAGTAAAATCCCATTGACAAATACTTTGGCTGAATGCCATCAACTAAAACTTCTGCTAACAAATTTCATTGAGGCTTTATTGGGGAAAAAAGCAATTCCATTAAAACAACAACTGAATCAATTCCAGGTTGTTGCTAAAGACTGTGCTTCGGAGAGATGGTTCGGATCATTTAATTTTTTTTAATGGAAATGTGTGCATAATGAAATTTCCTCACATTCAGCCTCTTTTCTTGGCAGCAAAACATCCCTATGGATACACTTGTCAACATAACAACTAACACAGTTTTTCTTTCATCCAAGAGATAGCATTTGCAATCACTGATGAGATCTGGAAAGATCTACTAGATGGATGGTTAGCCAAACAACGTCCTAACAGTAGAAGCTTTTCCGGAGATGCTGGTGGAACAGTGTCACCAAATGTTGGTTTATTCAGTCCTCTAATGAACATTTATTGAGTTTCTGGGCGAAGTGATTGAAAGAAAGGAATTCCTCTAAAGTAGTTTTGCAGTTATAAAGCTCTATCTAGCTTAAGGGATAATAATCCATTTCCTGATTTTTTTCTTGTTACCTAAGACTGTGCTTAAGATAGTATCCTGTTTGGGGTTGGGTTAAAGGATAGTTGGAGAAAGGATGGCACTAACATTTCAAAAATCTTTCTGGTAATGAACTGAATTCACAGACTCCAAAGAGTAAATGAAAATCTGTTGGTGTAAATTAAGTGTACCCTAAGATACCTGTCAATTGCTTCTCTAGTTTATTTTAAAAATGGAATAAGCAGGCTTCAGTACTAAAATTTGAGGAATTTTTTACAATGTGAGTTGCGGGATTCTCTTACACACAGTATATGGTTATTTTCTCTAACATTATTTCTTGATTGAACCACGTTGGATATTTCTTTTTTTTTTTTGTTTTGAGACGGAGTTTCGCTCTGTCGCTCAGGCTGGAGTGCAGTGGTGCAATCTCGGCTCACTGCAACCTCTCCCTCCTGGGTTCAAGCAATTCTCTGCCTCAGCCTCCCGAATAGCTGGGATTACAGGCACCCACCACCACGCCCAGCTAATTTTTGTATTTTTAGTAGAGATGGGGTTTCACCATCTTGGCCAGGCTGGTCTTGAACTCCTGACCTCGTGATCCACCTGCCTCGGCCTCCCAAAGTGCTGGGATTACAGGCGTGAGCCACTGCGCCCGGCCCACATTGGATATTTCTAATGGTCTTCAAAATGCTTGAGCTTGTAGGAATATATCAATACGAGACCCAGAAATAGAAGGAGCGGCTTTAGAGATAAATTCTGGCTGTAATACAGAGGCTGAGTGATGCATTTTCTAAATGGTATAAGGAGACAGAGGAAACCAGCACTTCTGTATCTGTATGTTGGGCTCAGGCATGAAGTGTTAAACTCATGGTCTGCTTATAGGTTTAAAAATTCATTATAGCTGGGCGCGGTGGCTCACGCCTGTAATCCTAGCACTTTGGGAGGCCAACACGGTCGGATCACCTGAGGTCAGGAGTTCAAGACCAGCCTGGTCAACGTGGTGAAACCACGTCTCTACTAAAATACAAAAAAATTTAGCCACGCATGATGGCGAGTGCCTGTAATCCCAGCTACTCAGGAGGCTGAGACAGAAGAATCACTTGAACTGGGGAGACAGTAGTTGCAGCGAGCCGAGATCGCGCCACTGCATTCCAGCCTGGGCAGCTGAGCGAGACTCCATCTCAAGAAAAAAAATTTCATTATAAAGGTACCAAAGGAAAGTCCTGCTTGAGAGACAACATTAGGCTGATCACTCAACTGGCATGGAGTGATCTCCCTCATCTACATGGCAGGGAAGTGTGGGAGCTGCCGCTATTCAACCTCTGTCCCAAAATGCCTCAGCATGCTCTACCATGTCTTAATGTATGTATTAATGAGAGAGAGCAAAAACTGGAAGGAGATTATGCTTTTAAGTTATAAAGACACTTTCTACAATTTTCTCACTGGGCCCTTTGAATCTTCCCCAGAATGTTCTGGAATCTTATTAATAGACTTCCCTATCACCTCCAATTCCATCCCACTCCAACATCTGTCAGTTAATAAACATGGGCCTCTGTAGCAGAGTTTCTCAGACTTTAATATGCATAAAAATAGGTATACAGATTCCCTCAAGGTCTTGATAAAATGCAGATTTTGATTCAGTAGGTTTGGGGTGGGGCTGGAAGCTCTGTATTTTGAAAAAGAAGCTGGGAGATGCAGATGCTTCTGGTCCATGAACCATCCTTTGAGTAGCAAAGCTCTGGATCTGCTTTCAAGGGAATAAAATTGAATTAACATTTGTGAGTCAAAACTCATAAAAGCTATAGGCTACATACAAGGCAATGTACAGGTAATGTTTCATCTCTTTTTCTCAAGTACGTGCAAGGTGCATATTATGTCCGTTTAACAGATGAGAAAACTGGGGCTTGGAAATGTTAACTTTCCCCCAAATCATAGCAAAGCTAACACTAGATCCTAGTTTCTCTGACCTGAAAGCTCAATATCCTTTTGCCAGACTAGTGCTTCCCAGTGTTGATGCTTCTCAGAGTATGCTGACCTGCCAGCGTTTTCTAGTTTGTCAAAGAACATTCCAGGGAATAAGTAGACTGGCTTTCCACCCAAACACCGCTAATATAATTGCAGTGTGCTTTTTTTTTTTCTTCCAAAAGCCATAAATGCAGAGGGGCAATAAGAATAGAATAAAAAAATCTTTGGCATGCAAAAGAGCAGATAGGCAAGTGGTACCTGTACTAAGAAGCCCGGAGAGTGCTGAGCCGAGGTAGTTGGTGGGAGGAGTGGGAAGTCAGCTGACAGCACATTAGTGATCCTCTGCCTCAAAGGCCATCTTGAGAGTTTGCATCGTCCACCAGTCGAATAAAGTTCTAGAACTTTTAGAGTAGCTCGGATAGAGCTTAACCTTAAGCTCTACATATGGAGGACAGTAGTGAAGCCCTGAGAAGGAAAAGGCAGAAATAATGAAAAGGACAAAGAAAACGAGGATGATCAACATTATTGCCACCAATGCTTAC
Source organism: Homo sapiens (assembly GCF_000001405.40). Lineage (NCBI taxonomy): Eukaryota > Metazoa > Chordata > Mammalia > Primates > Hominidae > Homo > Homo sapiens. The sequence continues at coordinate 34,048,227 of NC_000002.12, forward strand.
TGTAAATGTCATAAAAATACAGGCACAAGGGAATCCCTGCCATTAAGAGACATTAGCATAAAGCAATGTCTGATGGAGCTGAATAAAAGTGACTTTTTGTCTATTTATTAAAAAGCAGAAGGGGGTCTTGTTGAAGAGGTGGCACTCTAACTGGGCTGGGGAAAAATGTTGAACGTATATGGAAGAGAAAGAGCTCTTTCTAATCCGTGTGGATCTGGAGAAGAAAAGAAACTAATACTAAATTCTTTTTAGTTCTATAATAGAAATCAGCAACCTAAAGTACTAAAACTTGAGGACTTCTTACAAGGTGAGTTGTGGGATCCCCTTTTATACAGTGCATCATTTTTTTCTCTAACATTAACCAGTTTAAAACTAACCTTAAAACCTGTTTATAGTATATAATTCAGTAGTTTTTTGTATGCTGATAGAGTGTGCAAGCATCACCACTATCTAATTCCAGAATGCTTTCATCACCCCCCACGGAAACAAAAAACACATGCCCGGCTGGGCACAGTGGTTCACGCCTGTAATCCCAGCACTTTGGAAGGCTGAGGCGGGAGGATCACAAGGTCAGGAGATTGAGACCATCCTGGCTAACGTGGTGAAACCCCATCTCTACTAAAAATAAAAAAAATTAGCCGGGTGTGGTGGCGGGCACCTGTAGTCCCAGCTACTTGGGAGGCTGAGGCAGGAGAATGGCATGAACCCGGGAGACGGAGCTTACAGTGAGCCGAGATTGCCCACTGCACTTCAGCCTGGGTGACAGAGCGAGACTTCTGTCTCAAAAAACAAAACAAAACAAAATGCCCATTAGGTGTTACTTCCCACTGTATGTCATTCTTTTTTATAGCAAATAATAGTCCATTGTTTACCCATGCCACATCTTCATCAGTTTATAGAGTCTCGGATTGTTTCCATGTTTCCTCTATTATGAATAATGCTTCCATGGACATTTGTGTACAAATTTTTGTGTGAACATAGGTTTGCAATTCTTGTGGGTGTATACCTAGGAGCAGCCTATGGTAAGTCTATATTTGACTTTTTGAGAAACTGTCAAACTGTTTTCCAAAGTGACTGTTCCATTTTGCAGTCCTACTAACAATTGTATGAGGCTTTTAATTTCTCCATATCCTCACTGACATTTATTATTGTGTGTGTTTTTCATTTTAGTCATCCTAGTGAAAGAGAAGTTGTAGCTCAGTGTAGATTTTATTTGCATTTCTCTAACAATTAATGAAGTTCTAGAATGATGTTGAGCATCTTTCCATGTGCTTATGTTCATTCAAATCCTTTGTCTATTTCCCCCCAGGTTTTTCACTTTATTTGGCATTATGGTGGGTAGTTTACCTGGGTCTGGAGGCTACGTTCTTTTTTTTTTTTTTTTTTTTTTTAGACAGAGTCTTGCTCTGTCACCCAGACTGGAGTGCGATGGCACAGTCTTGGCTCACTGCAACCTCCGCCTTCCAGGTCCAAGCGATTCTCCTGCCTTAGCCTCCCGAGTAGCTGGGACTACAGGCGTGCACCACCATGCCCGGCTAATTTGTTTGTATTTTTAGTAGAGATGGGGTTTCACTATGACCTCATGATCCATCTGCCTTGGCCTCCCAAAGTGCTGGGATTACAGGCATGAGCCACTGTGCCTGGCCACGGAGGCTACATTCTTGACCCAATTGTCTGCAACCATCTCGAGAGCACATTCTGCTGCAAACCACAATGACAAAACTGTTTCTTGGCTCACTGGAGAATAAAGTGTGAGTTACTGAATCATTGACAGCATTGTTCTCTACTTCTAACAGACTTCTTTTAGGAGGTTTGGCTAAGGAGATGTATGAACCCTGTGGTTACAGGGCACCCAAATGCATAGTTGTTCTATCTGCAAGATGACAAACAATCGTATTAGTTGTTTCTTTTTATTTTAATCCCCATAAGAAGAGTCATTAAAATAATGATTTGTGTATATTTTCTGCAGCATCTTTGCATAATGTTTATTATATTCCAATGCTTTATAAATATTGTCCCATTTGCTTGGAGGAAGGGTACTGAGTAGGTCATTTAAAAGGTCAAGAGATAAGAAAAGATCATTATAACCTAACAACATGATTATTATTATTTTATTATTTTTGATCATATGATACTAATACTTCTCAAACTGATAGGTAAAGAAGAGCTTTTTTGCTCAAATTAATTTGAGGTATGCTATATAGAGTATATCTCTCAGACATTCACAGTGCATATCAGTCTCTGGGAAGTTTAAATAGAAAGTTTGATTTCATTTATCTTATGTTTTCATGTATTATTTGACCACAGAATTCTTATCACACAATACATTTTAATCCTTGGCAGAGCTAGTGTCCCTTAAGAAGTGCTTTGGGAAATCATGGTGTCATACTCTAGATAAGATATTACAGCTCTGGGAATTTGAAGGCCAGAACAATTATTTTTAACTGTGTAGGTGGGAAGGGAATCAAAAAATCTTCATGCAATGGTGACAGCTAATGAAATATGACAATATTGTGAATCTTACTTAGAGCATAGAGCTGCTATGGTCATCATATGAGAGGGTCCTACAAAGTACAGCTGATCTTTGAACAGCATGAGTTTGAACTGCATGGGTCCATTTAGATGCCAATTTTCTTTTCTTTTTTTTTTTTTCATTTTTTTTGGGGGGGAGGTGGGGGGACGGAGTCTCGCGCTGTGGCCCAGGCTGGAGTGCAATGGCGCAATCTCAGCTCACTGCAAGCTCCGCCTCCCGGATTCACGCCATTCTCCTGCCTCAGCCTCCCGAGTAGCTGGCACTACAGGCGCCTGCTACCACGCCCGGCTAATTTTGTTTTTGTATTTTTTGTAGAGACGGGGTTTCACCATGTTAGCCAGGATGGTCTTGATCTCCTGACCACCTGATCCACCCGCCTCAGCCTCCCAAAGTGCTGGGATTACAGGTGTGAGCCACTGCACCCGGCCTAGATGCCAATTTTCTTCCATCTCTGCCACCTTTGAGACAGCAAGACCAACTCGCCCTCCTCCTCAGCCTACCCAACATGAAAACAACAAGGATGAAGACTTTTATGATGATCCACTTTCATTTAATGAATACTAAATATATTTTGTCTTCCATGTGATTTCTTAGTATTTTCTTTTCTCTAGCTTATTTCAAAGAATGTAGTATATAATACATATATCATGCAAATTATGTGTTAATAGACTGTTTATGTTGTTGGTAAGGCTTCTGGTCAATAGTAGTTTATTAGTCATTAAGTTTTGGGGGAGTCAAAGGTTATACATAAATTTTCAACTGCACAGAGGATCAGAGTCCTTAGCCCCCACATTGTTCAAGGGTCAATTGGACTCGAAAAATTTTAGTAATTTTGGCCTTAAAAAAATGAATGTTATTTCAGCAGTCAGAGACGCAGAGCTATTAGGATCCAGACCTCTCAATTTTAAATCTTATCTCTGTCACTTGTTAGCTGTTTCTCGACCTCTTCTGCAAGTTACTTAACTTCTCTATGACTTATATAACTCCCCAGTTAAATGAGAGTAACCTAGGGTTAAATTATCTAATATACATAGAATGCGTATAATAATGCCTTCGGAGAGTTTTTCAACTTTGACATGATTGACTTTTTTGGCCAGTTAATTCTTTGTTTTAGGGGGTTGTCCTAGGACCCATGGCATCTGCCTACTCGATGCCACTAGCAGCTGCCAACTCCCCAAGTTGTGGCAATCAAAAATGTCTTCAGACATTGCCAAATGTCCCATAGGGGGCAAAATTGCCTCTGGTTGAGAACTGCTGCCATAGAATAGTAATAATAATATAAAGGATATAGTAAGAATTTAATATTCTTTTTGTTTACAGGAGAATTAATTGAATATCCATTTTTCCCTGAGATAAGTATCAGTTCCACATATTTTACATCTTTGGTCCATCCCCTATTCTCTGTTAGCCTTTAATCCTGTGTTGAACAGGTAATTAATTGGCACAAATTGAAAGATAGACTGATGATAAAGGGAAATTGTCCCTGCTGGAGAGAGCAGGAAAAGATAGTTATACAGTTTTTATGGAAGATGAATAGAGAATAAATTAGGTACATCTATGTGTATATATTTTACTAAGACAATAAAATAACTTAATGATTCCAGAGAGGAAAATTACATAGGTATAAATGAGAGGGAAGCATTAAAAAATTGATGCTCAGGCTTCATGACTGAGTTCAAGTTGTGACGAATGGATAGAGTCTCAATGTCTTGTATAGAACTCCCGTCTTTTGCTTAGTCTGGCTAAAGATTTGTCAGTTTTCTTTATCTTTTCAAAAAACCAACTTTTATTTTCATTGATCTTTTTTATTGTTTGCCTTGTTTCAATTTCATTTATTTCTGCTCTGATCTTTACTATTTATATTCCTCTACTAATTTTGGGTTGGGTTTGCACTTTTCTTGTTTCAAAAGATGCATCACTATGTTGTTTATTTGAAGTTTTTTTTTTTTTTTTTACTTTTTTGATGTAGGCACTTATAGCTATAAACTTTCCTCTTTGTATTGCTTTCACTGTATCCTACAGGCTTGGGTATGTTGTGTTTCCATTTGTTTCAAGGAATTTTTCAATTTCCTTCTTAATTTCTTCATTGACCCACTGGTCATTCAGGAGCATATTGTTTAATTTCCATGTGTCTGTGTAGTTCCTAAAATTCGTCTTGTTATCGAATTATAGCTTTATTCCATTATGGTCAGAAAAAAATGCTTGATATTATTTCAGTTTTTTAAAATATTTTAAGACTTATTTTGTGTCCTAACACATGGTCTATCCTTGAGAATAATCCATTAATGAGGAGTTGACTGTATTTTTCAGCCATTGGATGAAATATTCTGTAAATATCCATAGGTACATTTAGTCTATAGTGCAAAGTCCAATGTTTCCATGTTGATTTTCTGCCTGGAAGATCTGTTCAATGCCGAAAGTGGGGTGTTGAAATCTCCATCTGTTATTGTATTGGTGTCTATCTCTCTCTTTAATTCTAATATTTGTTTTATATATCTGGGTGCTCCAGTTTTGGGTGCATATATATTTACAATTGTCGTATCCTCTTGCTGAATTGACCCCTTTATCATTACATAATGACCTTCTTTGTCTTTTTTCAATAGTTATGTCTTGAAATCTTTTTTGTCGGTATAGGTGAAGTGTGTTTCTTGTAGGCAGTAGTTCACTGGGTCTTGTTTCTAATGTATTCAGTCATACTCTATGTATTTTGATCAGAGAGTTAGTCTATTTGCATTCAATGTTATTATTGATAAGTAAGGACTTACTTTCGCCATTTTGTTATTTGTTTTCTTCTTGTCTTGTGGTCTTCGCTTCCTTCTTTCCTTCCTTTCTATTTTCATTTTAGTGAAGGTGATTTTCTCTGGTGGTCTGTTTTCATTTCTTGCTTTTTATATTTTTGTGTGTATCCATTGTATGATTTTTGATTGAGGTTACCATGAGGATTGTACATACTATGTTCTTGCCCATATTATAAATTGATGACAGTTTAACACTACATAAACTAACAAGCAAAGATAAAACTAATGAAAACGCTACACTTTTACTTTTTCCCCTTGCTTTTTAACATTTTGTTGTTCCAATTATATTTTATTGTACTATGTCTTGAAAAGTTTTCATTATTCCATCACTGTTTTGGATTGGGTCATTATTTAATCTTTCTACTCAATATATGAATAGTTTACACACCACAATTACAGTGTTATAACATTCTGTGTTTTTCTGTGTATTTACTGTTACCAGTGAGTTTTGTGCCTTCCGGTAATTTTTTATTGCTCATTAACATCCTTTTCTTTCAGAGTGAAGAATTCCCTTTAGTATTTCATGTGGGGCAGGTCTGGTGTTGATGAAAGTCCTGAGATTTTGTCTGAGAAAGTCTTCATTTCTTCTTCATATTTAAAGGATATTTTTGCCAAATCTACTATTCTAGGGTAAATTTTATTTTCCTTCACCCTTTAAATATGCCATGCCACTGTCCCCTGACTTGTAAGGTTTCCACTGAAAAGTCTGCTGCCAGACATATTGGAGCTCCATTGTATGTTGTTATTTGTTTCTTTTCTCTTGCTTCTTTTAGAATTCTTTCTTCATCCTGGGCATTTGAGAGTTTGCTTATTAAATAGATTGAGGTAGACTTATTTGGGTTAAATATGCTTGCTGTTCTATAACCTCGTACTTGAATATTGATACTTTCTCTAGGTTTCAGAAGCTCTCTGTTGTTATTCTTCGAATACGCTTTCTACCCAGATCTATCTCTTTCTACATCCTCTTTAGGGCCTCCTTAGATTTGCCTATTTGAGGCTATTTTCTAGGTCTTGTAGGTCTGCTTTAATTCTTTCTTATTATTTTTTCTTTCGTCCCCTCTGTGTGTTTTCAAATAGCCTGTCTTGAAGCTCACTTATTTTTTCTTCTGTTTGATCAATTCTGCTTTTAAGAGACTCCAAAGCATTTTTCAGTATGTCACTTGTATTTGTCAACTCCGGAGTTTCTACTTGATTCTTTTTAACTATTTCAATCTATTTGTTAAGTTTATCAGATAGAATTCTGAATTTCTTCTCTGTGCTATCTTGGATTTTGTTGTGTTTCCTCAAAACAGCTATTTTGAATTCTCCATCTAAAAGGTTACATGTCTCAGTTTCTGCAGGATTGGTTCCAGGTGCCTTATTTAGTTTGCATAGCAAGGCCATGTTTTCCTGGATGCTGTTGATGCTTGTGAATGTTTGTTGGTTTCTGGGCACTGAAGAGTTAGGTACTTATTGTAGTCTTCACAGTTTAGTTTGTTCGTACGCATCCTTCTTGGGTATGATTTCCAGGTATTCGAAGGGACTTGGGTGTTGTGATCTGTCTTTGGTCACTATAGCCATATCTGCATTAGGAGGCACCCCAAGGCTCAGACTCATGGAGGTACCACCTTGGTGGTCTTGGGTAAGATTCGGAATTCCCTGGATTACCAGTCAGAGACTCTTGTTCTCTTCCTTTACTTTTTCCCAATCAGCCAAAGTCTCTGTCTGTGCTGAGCTGCCTGGAGCTTGGGAAGGGGTGACACAAGCACCCCTGTGACTACCACCCTTGGGACTGTGCTAGATCAGAGCTGAAGCCAGCACAGCACTGGGGTCTTACCCATGGCCTGTGGTAACCACTGCCTGGCTATGCTTATGTTTGCTCAAGGCCCTCGGGCTCTTTAATCAGTAGGTGGTGAAGCCAGCCAGGCTTGTGTCCTTCCCTTTAGGGTGGTAAAATTTCCACAGGCCTGGGGTGTCTAAAGATGCCATCCACAGGCAGGGCCTGGAGTCAGAAACCTTAGGAATCTATTTCGTGCTCTATTCTACTGCAGCTGATTGGCATCGCAGGTACAAGACAAAGTCCTTTCCACTCTTCCCTCTCCTTTCCTCAAGCAGAGAAGTCTTTCCCTGTGGCCACCACGACCCCAGGCCTGCCGTAAGTACTGCCTGGCTACCATTGATATTTATTCAAGGCCCAAGGGCTCTTCAGTCAGCTTGTGGTAAACGCTGCTAGGCCTGGGACTCACTCTTCAGGGTAGTGGGCTCCTCTCCAGCCTAGGGCATGTCAAGAAATGCCATCCAAGAGCCAAGGCCTAGAACTGGGAGCCCAAGAGTTTGCTTGGTGCTCTTCTTTACTATGGCTGAGCTGGTACCTAAGCTGCAAGACAATGTCCCCTTACTCTTCCCTCTCTTTTTCTCAAGCAGGAAAAGGCCCTCCTCTTAGCCAACACATCTGAGAATGTGTGGGTTCACTCCTGATGCAGACATTTCTGTGAATTTTATCTAAGGTCCTTGGCAAGTATTGCCCGGGCACCAATGCTGATTATTCAGGGCCCAAGGGCTCTTTATTTAGCAAGTGATGAATCCTGCCAGAATTTGGTCCTTCTCTTCAAGGCAATGTGTTCCTTTCTGGCCCAGATTGTGTCTAGAAATTTCATCTGGAAACTAGGATCTGGAATGGGGACCTCAGAAGTCTGCCTGGTGCCCTATCCTACTGTGAGCTGACAAGTTACAAGACAAAGTCCTCTTTACTCTTCCTCTCCTCTCTTTAAGCGGAGGGAAGGACCCTCTCCCAGATCTGTAAGCTTTACTGCTTGAGGTTGTGGGAGTGGTGGCCTAAGGACCCCCTTGGCCACCCTAGCTGGTATCTCTTAGGTCACGTGCTCCCCAAGTCCACTGGCTCTGAGCCGAGCATAACACTGGGACTTGCCCAGGAATTTCAGTCTTTGTGGCCTAGACTGCTTTTCAAGTTTATTTAGGACCCCAGAGCACTTTGGTCCACGGTGGCAAGGCTTGGTGGAACTCAGGTTCCAACCACTGAAATGGGCAGTTTCTCTCTGGCTAGGGCTGGTCTAAATGCTGTCTGTGTGTGTGCTGGCTGAGTTCTGCCCTCTGTTGCTTTCCACTGTAACAGGGCAACACTGAGTTTCAGTGCAAAGTCCCACAATCATGGCACTCTTCCTCCCCCAAGGGCACAGATTCTGTCTCAGCACCATGCAGCCACTGCTGGGGGATGGCAGAGGGGTAGCATCAGCAATTCAAGAGTGTCTTTCCTACCTTCTTCAGTGCCTCTTTCCTTGATATGAAATTAAAACCAGGTACTGTGATAACCTGCCTAGTTTTTGCCTCGCAGGAAGGTGCTTTTATGTGTGGACAGCTGTTCAATTTGGCATTCCCTCAGGGAGGACTGTCAGTGGAGGCTTCTACTCAGCCATCTTGCTCCGCCTCCGTTTGTATAGAACTCAGATAGGTTATCACTAAAGCTGTTGGGACATTAAAAACATAATTGACATATTTTAGCCGTGGATATTCATCCTTCAGTTTTAGGTGTTGGCAAGTGGCTGGAGAATATTGGCGATTAGTCCTTCTTCAACTCTCATAATCAAAAATACTTACGAGAGCTCTAGGAAGTTTACTTCCCAGGAATAAATAGTGTGTTTAATTATATCTAATATTTACTTTGTTTTTCATCATTTATTTTAATTTAGTTTCAAAACTTTCCCAGAGTCAGTACCTTAGCTTTTTATTTTTTGTAGAGAATAAGATGCTTTGTGTAACAAACAAAAATGAGCAAGCAAAAATGACTTCAGTGTAGCTTGGCTAAATAGCATGGGGAAAAATGGCTTAAATTTTTGGATTTGAAACACTGTAATTTCCATTTTCTGTTTCAAACTGTGCAGCAGAGGAATAAACAGGGTCCCAAATTTCTTATGATGTGGCTGCCAATAACCTGGATGATCTTGGGTATGTCATTATCTTTCTGAGTCTCAACAACTTGAAATATAAAAGGAAAAGGCTAAACTAAGTCATCTCTGTGGTCCTGAGAGTTCAAACATTCTATGATTCTGAAGATGAAATCTCTCTTTTATAGGTCTACATTTATGTCAAGGAAAATGTCATTGTGAATGTTTCATCATCACAGCAAAAAATGTGAAGTAGACGATTGAGCAGTACATGTGTGTATCATGATGCAACCAGTCATCCCTTATTTATACAAATCTTGCAAGATACATGACAGTCAAAAGCCTTTCTATATTCAAGTATAAAAAAATCTATACAATTATATTCGACTGGTTAGCAGCTTGTGCCTGGGGTTTTTATAGAGTTATATTTCTTTTCTGTGTTCAGAGAAGGGTTTTCTAAATGAATATAAGATATGGGACACTTTACTTGGCAGTATCTTTTAAACTGAGGACTAAAATTATTAAAATATAGCTCATGATTTATTCCCTTTATTTGTTTCATTAAGCCTCGTTTTTATTTTCTCAGAAAATAATATATATTTTGTCATCATAGAAATGAGTTTCAAATAGGAACAAGGAATGAGATTACAGATTTAGCCCACATGCAACAAATCTGACGTATGAAAACCTAAATTATTCATTTTTTCCCAAATATTTATAAATATGAATTTATTCCTCAAGAATCATATTACTATAGACCATTTAACCTGATATGCATTCATTCATTTATAATTAAAACAAATTCAATTTATACACAATTTTTAGGATTTCATTTATTGCTTAAAGTCAACTTAATGTATTTAAGCAACTTTTGATTTTTTAAATGAAACTGCAAGTAAAATTTCCATTTGATGAGGTGAGAGAATTGCTTCAGCCCAGGAGATCAAAGTTGCAGTGAGCTATGATCGTGCTGCACTCCAGCCATATGTGACAGAGCAAAACCTTGTCTTGAATATATGTGTATATTTAAGACAAAAACCTTAAATATATATATATTTAAGACAAAAACCTATATGTAAGACAAAACCTTGTCTCAAATATATATATTTGAGGGTTGTAATTGCATTGAACTTGAAAAATAATGCAAAATGAGGGGACAAATAAAAGTTAAAAAAATTAGGTTAATATGAAACAAAAGAACTACTGTTTCCAACTTTGAAGCTGAATAGACTAAGAAAAAATAAATACAAAATCAAAATAGTGGCCTGATTTTGGAATTTAAGGATTAAGAAAGGGATCCCCTTGCTCAACGTGCCCCTCTTTTTCTCTCTCCTACCCACCACACATTTATAATTGGGAGCAATAGGTTCATTTACATTTTGTTTCCCACATGGGAGAAACTGAAATCTGGAAGTTTTGTGAAGATTCTGCTACACTAGGGATTCAGATAGGATTGCTCAGCTGATAATGCTGAGTTTCCAGAATGGCAAACTTCATATTGGCCTACATCTCCATAAAAATGTATTTAAGAAATTGAACATTCTTTGTGTTTGGGGTCAGGAGGGTTCTAAAGATGAAAAAGAAGAACTGATTCATTTTACACCTACCTTGAGCTTAACACTGTGTTAGTCACTTTATGTGTAAGGCTGATAATATTTTCTGTATTTCACTGAATCAGACATTAAAACCCCTTTATGCCTAGTGTTCCATTATAGGAACGCTAAGCATGTGGGAGTTATTTATATCCAACTGCTCAAAGTCATCAGCAAGGTCTGATTGCAAAAATTCAAAAAATTGCAACCTCAGGCATAAATGGGTTAATGCCTGGCAAGTATAGCAACTGGGCCTCAAACCTAGCCATCAGATTTAATACATCATCTCTTGTCATATATTAACTCCCTAAAATATAGTCATAGTCTACAGGTTGCTTATCTGCTGGTGTTTTCTTATGATTGCAGAAAAATTAACACTTGTGGGTGTGGTAATTAACATTAGGGAAATATAAAATGGTGTTGGAGGAGATCAGGGTAGGAAATGATTGTATTTAATGGAGCAACTGAAAAGTCTTTGTGGGAAAAATGGTATTTGAGACCAGTTCTCAAGAAATGAGAGAATTTTAACAAGTGGAGATAGGCTCTGGGGGATTCTAGAAGAAAGGAAGGACTCAGCTAAAATTACATAGGCAAGAAAGTACAAAAGTAATCAAGAAAAAGAAATTAGAGTTTTATGGAGGTTTTAAAGTAAAAAAAAAAAACCAAGGAGTTATTAAATACTAAGAAAGTGTTTAGTTTAAAAGACATTTAAAGAGGATATCGGATGGAAGTATTATTTTAAAGGACTTTGAGGAAAGTTGTGACTAGTGAAGAAAGATTAATGTTGCCTCACAAAGAGACCAAAAGTACAGAGCTCAATTAGGAAATAATTATAATAGACCAAATAGATGTGGGTCTTGGCAACTGATTGTATGTGACAGCATAAGAGAGGTGTTAGAGACACTTTTCTGGTATTGTTTTCTGTTCTTTTCTTTTTAACTACAAAATACTACTTCCTTTTGTACTAGTTAGTGGTTTCTTATATTAAAGTTTCCCTGATCAAATTACTGGTGTGGTTTCTGTCTCTGACAGGATTCTCACAGACACATTATTGTTCTACATATAATAGATATCACATAGATGTAGCATTGGGTAATTTCAGAGTGTGCCTTCTAAATGTTGGTATATTTTCTTTTCCAAGCACTAGCAATTTATCGTCATGCAGCAGAATCTACCTCCAAATTTAGTCCAAGAACCCGTTACCCAAGTATATGCTGAAATAAAAACAAACACCATAAAATTCCTCTAGTGAAATGAATTTGAAAAATGTATAAAAATATTTTTTCTCTCCTGCAACAGGCATATTAAAGAAACAAATATTTGAATAAGAACAAGATAGAATAAAAATAACTTAAGATTTAACTGTGATTTGTTGAAATTGTATGATCTAAGATAGATAAATCATCAAATGAAGAAATCAAACACAAAATATGTTTTGTCAATCCTCTATGTCCACACTAGTGAAGAGAAATAAGAATATTGGTTAGTTCTTGTAGAAATTATTGTTTTTTTCTAGAGACATCGCCCAGGGACATTCTAAGATCTAGACCAGAGGTAAGAAATTATGGCTACAGGTTAACCTCCTGTTTTGTAAATAGAACTCTAAAGACAATTTACATGTTGTTTATACCGCTTTTGCTTCACAGTGCAGAACACAGTAGTTGTGACAGGGACCACATTATCCCCAAAGTCTCAAATATTTTCTCTCTGTTCCTTCAGGGAAGTTTACCAACCCTGGAGAACATCAGCTCTCCCTTTCTTCCCTCTTTGCAATTGAATCTTGAAAGAAGCTAAACAAATGGACATGGATGTGTTTCAATAAAACTTTATTTACAAAAACCAGCTGCGGGCTAGATTTGGCTTAGAGGCTTTAGTTTGCTGACTCTTCTAGAGCAGAGTATGTAGGTAATAAATATTTACTGAACAAATGAAACAAATGGATTGTTTTTACATTCTAAAATTGCCTGCACGTTCTCTTCTTTTTTCAGTGTGTGTGGTATCTAGATGAGATGCATGGTGATGACTGGAGACTGGGCGTGATGAATGACTTAGGAAACCTCTGGAGGGTGCCTGCTTTGTGGCCATAAACCACTGTGCCCATGTGGAAAACACTGCAGTCCTGGGGCAGAAGATAAACTTCATGCTTGATAAAAAAAAAAAAAACAACCAAAAGGTAAGGTTTTCTTCTGGTGTGCTGCAGTCTTTAGTCTTCTTCTGTTTTCCATTCCCACTGGCAGTTCAAAGATGTCCTTAATCCATCATATGCCTCTTGAATGTGTGCTGTGGGTTTACTGTCATGATGAAAAACTACTTCATGAACTTAGTGAAGGAACTCGGGATTGAGTCCGAGCTGCTTACATAGCTTCTGGGGAAAATTCACCCAAATGTGGGGGAAGCAATCCAAGAGGCACTTCAAGTATTTGTTTTGAAATAAAAATATTGACAGTGGTACATATTTTTTTTCCCAAAGGTGTTTGTTATTCCATAAATCCAGATAGGTGAATTTCATTAGCGAACTTCAGATCACTGATTTGATGATACTACCTCTGTTATGTCTCAAATCTGCCCCGGCACCTCTATCCTACTGCTGCTAGTATAATTCAGACCCTCTCCCCTGAACTGTTACCTTAGACTCCTCATGTCTCTAATTTGTTTTACCTTTCTCAGCTAGATTAATCTTCCTGAAGCACAAATCCAATCATGTCAATATTTTTCTCAGAAACAAAATAGTATCCCTTTGCCTGGAGAATAAAGTCTAATCTTAGCCAGTTGACTCAGCTCCGGCTCCATTTATCTCCACCATTCATTACCTCTCCTGCTTATAACCAATTACTGGCATACCTCAGAGACATGATGGGTTCAGTTCCAAACCACCACAATAAGGTGAATATCTCAATAAAGCAAGTCACACAATTGTTTTGGTTTCTCAGTGCATATAAAAGTTATATGTACATTGTAGCTTATTAGGGTACAAATTGAATTATGTCTAAAAAAATCTATATACCTTAATTTAATAAAAACTAGCATATTACTAAAAAATGCTAACAATCATTTGAACCTTCAGCAAAGTATAAACTTTTTTCCAGTCTTGCCTTAATGTTGATGGCTGCTGACTAGTCAGAGAAAATGATTGCTGAGGGTTGGAGTGGCTGTGGCAATTTCTTAAAATAAAAAAATGAAATTTGCCGCATCAATTGACTCTTCCTTTCACAAAAGATTTCCCTGTAGCACGTGATGCTGTGTGATAGCATTTTACCCACAGAAGAACTTCTTTAAAAATTGGAGTCAGTCTTCTCAAACCCTGACGCTTCAACTTAAAGTCACTAGCTGCATTAACCCTTGCTAACAAGAGAGTCAGCCTGTCCTTTGACGTTTGAAGCCAGGCATTGACTTCTCTCTAGCTATCAAAGTCATAGACGGCATATTCTTCCATTTTAAGGTGGTTTCAGTTGCATGAAAAAACTTGTTTAGTGTAGCCAGCTTCATCAATGATCTTAGCTAGATCTGGATAACTTGCTGTAGCTTCTACATCTGCATCGGCCTGCCTCATCTTGAATTTTTATGTTATGAACAGGGCTTCTTTTCTTAAACCTCATAAACCAACTTCTGTTACTGTCGGACTTTTTTTCTTCAGCTTTCTCCCCTCTTTCAATCTTCAGAGAACTGAAGAGAGTTAGGGTCTTGCTTTCGATTAGGCTTTGGCTTAAGGGAATGTTGTGGCTGGTTTGAACTTCTATCGACATGGCGAGTGACCATGGCCCGTGACACAGACCTCAGGAAGTCCTCAGAACATGTGCCCAAGGTGGTTGGGGTGCAGCTTAGTTTTATACATTTTAGAGAGGCATGAGACACCAATCAAATACATTTAAGAAACACATTGGTTTGGTTCAGAAAGGCAGGACAACTCAAAGTAGGGAAGGGTGGGAGGAAGCGGGTGGCTTCCAGGCTATAGGTAAATTTAAACATTTTCTGGTTGACAATTGGTTGCATTTGTCTAAAGACCTGGAATCCATAGAAAGGGAAAGTTCAGGTTAAGATAAAAGATTTGGAGACCAAAGTTCTTTCGAAGTCTCATAATGGCTGCCCTTAGAGACAATAGATGACAAAGTTTCCTATTCAGATCTTAGTTAATCTCTTTAGGATTGGGAGAGTCTGGAAGAAAAAGAACTAGCAATGTTAATAGAGATTCTTTATAGATGCATATTTTCCCCCCAAAGAACACCTTTGCAGGGCCATTTCAAAATAAGGCACATAAACATGTTTTGGGGTGAAGTAAGTTTGATTTTTTTCCTTGTCTCATAATGTTATGCCAGAGTCGGGTTGGAAAGTAAGTCACGATATATAAGGTTCAATAAAACCTATCTGATGAGAATTTATGATTTGTAGGGCATGATTCCCCAGACCTCTTAGATAGGCATTCGGGCAAGATAAAAAAAAAAAAAAAATCAGAGTTGGCCGGGCATGGTGGCTCACACCTGTAATCCCAGCACTTTGGGAGGTCTAGTTGGGTGGATCACAAGGTCAGGAGTTGGAGACCAGCCTGGCCCACATAGTAAAACCCTGTCTCTACTAAAAATACAAAAATTAGCTGGGCATGGTGTTGTGCACTTGTAGTCCCAGCTACGTGGGAGGCTGAGGCAGGAGAATCACTTGAACCCAGGAGGCGGAGGTTACAGTGAGCTGAGATCATGCCACTACACTCCAGCTTGGGCAACAGAGTGAGACTTCATCTCAAAAAAAGAAAAAAAAATCAGAGTTTAGTCCTCACAGACCACTAAAACTTCTTTCATATCAGCAAGAAGGCTGTTTTACTTTCTTACCATGTATATTCATTGGAATAGCGCTTTTAATTTCCTTCAAGAACTTTACCTTTGCATTTACAACTTGGCTGTTTGGCACAAAAGGCCAACCTTTGGGCCTACTGTGGCTTTAGAAATGCCTTCCTCACTAAGATTAATTATTTCTAGCTTTTGATTTAAAGTGAGAGACCTGCAACTTTTCTTTTCACTTGAGAACTTAGAGACCATTGTAGAGTTATTAATTGGCTTAATTTAAATATTTTTATGACTCAGGGAACAGGGAGGTCCAAAAGAGAAGGAGAAATGGGGGAGCAGCCTGTTGGTGGAGCAGTCAGAACACACACAACATTTATTACATTTACCATGTTGCTTGGGCATGGTTTGTATCACCCCAAACCAATTATTATAGTAACTTCAAAAATCATTGATCACAGAGCACCATAAAGGACATAAAACAATGAAAAAGTTTAAAATTTTGCAAGAATTAGCAAAATGTGATGCAGAGACACAAAGTGAACATATGCTGTTGTAAAAATGGTGCCGATAGACTTTCTTGATGCAAGGTTGGCACAAACCCTTAATTTGTTAAAAAAAAAAAAGAAAACAAGAAACTATTATTGAAAGTGCAGTAAAGTGAAGCACAATAAAAGGAGATGCTCCTGTACTTCCTTTCATGGAAGGTGGCCAGATAAAATACAGGAAATCCACTTAATTTGAATTTTATGTAATAAATGGGTAACTTTTTAGGATAAATATATCTCAAATATTGTGTGAGAAATATTCAGAGGAAAAAAGTATTCATTATTTATCTGAAATTTAAACTCAACTGGGTGTCCTGTATATTTATTTGCTAAATCTGACAACCCTACTTTCATGTCTACCATGTTTACCGGATTAAAATAATCTTTGTTCTTGGCTGGGCATGTTGGATCACACCTGTAATCCTAACATTTTGGGAGGCTGAGGCAGGTGGATCACTTGAGGTCAGGAGTTGGAGACCAGCCCGGCCAACATGGTGAAACCTCTTCTCTACTAAAAATACACAAAATTATCTTGATGGAGTGGTGCCTGTCTGTAATCCCAGCTACTGGGGAGGCTGAGGCAGGAGAATCGCTTGAGCAATTGAGGTTGCAGTAAGTGGAGATCACGCCACTGCCTTCCAGCCTGGGCAAAAGGGTGAGACTACGTCTCAACCAAAAAAAAAAAAAAAAAAAAAAAATTCTTTGTTCTCTTGTTCTCTATATGTACCTCATGATTTTCAGCTGTTCTGATTTGGCCAGAATTACCCCCTAACTACCTAGATGCTATAAATAAAAGTATAGGGCATAGTGCATCAACACCCCTTTTGCAAAGTTGACGTGATGTAGAGAAAAGGATATAGATGAGAGAGCAGGAGATATACTTTGATTATCATCATGACTTCAACTTGGCCAGCTCGGTGACTTTAGAACAAATGACTTAATTTATCTAGCCTTCAGTTTCTTCATCTACACGGTGAGGATAATGACACCAACTTCACATGATTGTTTTTAGAATTAAGCATGAAACTTTAAAAAATCTTTATAAAAACATATAGCTCATTGAAGCACTTCAATAAATGACAGCACGTTATTGATTTTATCCTCATATCAGCGCTTCTCAAACTTGAGAACCCTCAACGTACCCACCCCCAAAACGTATCTGTGGATTCCAATGTAAGAAGTACTTCATTAAATAGTTCAATGTAAAAGTGGTTACTGTAGATGATCATTTCGTATCTTATAACTGTAAATGCTAATCAGACTTAAGCAATGAAACTCGGTGGCAAAACAAGGTCACTAAGTATTTATCTAGATAATCCAGAATAGAATTTTAGTTTTAGATTCTCAACAAAAACAAAATATTTTAAAACTGTCATAAAAAAACTTTATGGAGTCACAAGAATATACCAACAGATCCTCATTACGGAAACACTGTAGTGTATCATACTTGTACACGTGCTTTATTCTCTGCTAGACAGATTGTCTTTGGAAAGGCTACATTTTTGGGGTCTCTGTTTCTTCTCCATGGATTCTTCTGCAGAGTGGAATGTTATATTGAGGACTGGAGGGCTAGTTAACTAAACAGATAAATACTGACCTTTTGATGAATTCAGAAGTATAGGCTTTAAGTGGTGACTTACGTGTATGTTCAGCCAATTTACCACTGCATTAAAAGCCCCTTCTTGATATTTTATTCATTTCATCTCTGCTAGGTAGGAAACGTGTTATGTGGCTTTGGTCATGGTATACTGGACATCTCACCTGGCTGGCGTGTACTGAGTCAACCACATTTTCTCTCGCAGGATACAGAAATTGTTGTTAGTCTCTGGTGGGTGCTTAAAATGAAAGTTGTTCTCTGGCTCCCACAGGGCATCTGAATTCTGCTGGGAAAAGCAGAGAAAACTGTCTGCAGAGGGTAATAGTAATGCAGTAGTTACTGAATATAAGTATGGAGAAATTGCAAAGTAACATTATGACCTGGCTTTCTACTTTTTGATAGAGTCCCTTATGGGAATAAAGTGGTCATAACTTCTATTGTTGTTTAAGGGAATTTGAAGCAATTTTTTGTTACAACCAAATAATCAAATTCAGACACCTGGGTCAAAATTGGAACTGGACTATACCTGTCAAGAGAGTTGCTTGGAATAGTGAGGAACACCTGTGGGCAGTGTAAATTTTAGAGCAGGTGGTATGCATAGTGCTGCATCTTCACGGAGGAAGCTAATGGAGAGTGAGTGGGAATGGTAGATGGGTAAGAGAAAAGACCACTGATTGGCTGAGTGGCCATCAAAACACTTGGAGAAATTGTCTAATGAAATTTTTACTCAGTCATAGTATACAGTCTGTACCCTCACTTTCCTTTTCCCATGAAATGCTTGGAAAAGTTATAATATTTACTAAATTTTGGAATGTCTTATATTTTTTAAAATAATGAATATGCAGGACAAATAAGTTAGAGGGTGAGGTTGAAGCCTGGTTTGACTAAATGTAGCAATGGGGCCCAGAGTTGGGTTTCAAATATCCTAGGCTGTTGCTTCAGTTTTCATTTGAAGAAAGGGTTTTGCTGATAACATTTTTTTCATGAAACCAGTATAGAAAGAGCCTTGGATGAGGAATTAAAAGATATGGATTAACATCCACGATGCCTCACCTCTTTGTTGCATCTCAGGTTATGTTACTGATAGAATAATCCTGAAAAATATTAGAAGGTTTTTATAAAGCCTGAATATTATTTTTAAAAAGATGAAAGCAGTTTGTAAACTGTAAAAGACTAAAGAGGGAAATGATGACATTATTTCATTATTACCTCATTGTTTATTTCATCATTACCTCTTATTGTTTAAGAAGTAAAAGATAACATCAGCAGTTTATTTCCATTAGGGATTCAATCAAAAAGTAGAAAGCCAGGGCACAATGTTACTTTGCAATTTCTCTACATTCAAAGACTAAAGAGGTAAAAGATGACACTGTTTAGGCTTACAATTTAGATTTGAGCTGTTTTGTTTATTTTTACAATGCATATCTCAGTAACATAGGAGGAATTTATAAGTTGTTGAATGAGTGAATCTAGGCTTCAAGGTCACATATATGTTATTACATACAGTCTGCCCTCTGTATCTGTGGGTTCTGCATCTGTAGATTTAACCAAGATTGAAAATACTTGGAAAAAAAGAACAGTAAAAAATAACAATACAATAATAAAGTATAACAACTACTTACGTCGCATTTAGATTGTATTAGGTATTATAAGTAATATAGATGTAATTTAAAGAGTACAGGATACAATAAATTAGCCAGGTGTGGTGGTGTGTGCCTGTAATCCCAGCTACTCGGGAGGCTGAGGCAGGAGAATCGTGAACCCGGGAGGGGGAGGTTGCAGTGAGCCAATTTGGTGTCATTGCACTCCAGCCCAGGCAACAGTGCAAGACTCCATCTCAAAAAAAAAAAAAAAAAAAAAAGTACACGAAACTGTGTGTAGGTTCTATGCAAATCCTATGCCATTTTATACAAGGTACCTAGCATCTGTGAGTTTTGGTATCCATAGGGGTCCTGGAACCAATTCCCAGGAGATACAGAGGGACAACTGGACATATAAATAAGTCAATCTCAAAGTATTCATTGACAAAGAGTATACAAACTGTCCTTGTCTACTGTGGAACAAAGGACAGAAAATAGCAACAGAAATGACATAGGTTAGAGTCACATCTGAGAGTTCAAATGATACTTGACAGTAGAATGGTAGCAGAGAAAGAAGGGATATCCCTTCTCTAGAAGAGATTCTGTTCTCCTTGGAGCAATTTAAGGCTAATCTTGATGCGCTTGAAAATCTCTCAACATGTTTTTTTCTATCCCTTTAATTTTAGGATTGAAAGGAACCCAAAATCTTCTTTACTGCTGGGATAGACATTGATGTCTTCTGTATGGGTTTAGGTAACTCTGATGCAGTAGAAAGTGTCCAACAAACACAGTGCAGTATATGAGTAGTTTGGTTGGTTTCTCAGTGGGCTACTTTAAGTAAATTTATTGAAGCATTTTTGATGTATAATTCTATAAGGCGTAAAACAATTTATGGGCCTTTTTACCTCCAATGAATCACCCTGAGGGCATATGGCAGGTTCATCTGGGCCTTTTGATGTAACAAAGGGAGATTGTGACTTACTGCTCTTGTGACTAATTTCATGTAGGTTGCTTTTGTTTATGGACAAACATAAATGAATCACCACATACATTTCAATGGCTTTACAGAAATATATAAACAATACATTTCAGTTTCTGACTGTGACAGCTTCCAAAATGATGATAACATACAGACTGGAAGATACGGCAACTCTACAACTTCCTTTCATAGTCTTCCTGGCCAGATGATTCTTACTCTTAGAATTTTACCTTTAGACTGGGCAAGGCAGACCCCTGTTCCAGGTCCTGCACTTTATGAGGCCTCATGTATCACACAAAAACACAGAGATTACATTTGTTAAATAACGTGATATTATATCACCTTGTACCTGTTAGACTATTACAGTGAAGATGAAAGATAACAAATGTTGGAGAGGATGTGAAGAGAACCCTTGGATACTGTTGATGGAAATGCAAATTAGTAGAGTCATTATGGAAAATGATATTGAGGTTCCTAAAATTATTAAAAATAGAATTACCATATGATCTGGCAATTCCACTACTGGGTATATATCCAAAAGATATGACATAAGTATGTCAAAGATATATCTACACTCCTGTGTTTATTGCAGCATTATTCACAATCGCCAAGATACAGAATCAACCTGAGTGCATCAGTGAATGAATGGATAAAGAAAATGTGATATACATACACAATGGAATACTATTCAGCCTTAAAAAAGAAGGCAATCCTGTTATTTGCAACAACGTGGAGGAACCTGGAAAACATCACATTAAGCACAGAAAGACCAACTACTGTATGATCTCACTTACCTGTGGAGTCTCAAAAGGTTTATCT
Source organism: Homo sapiens (assembly GCF_000001405.40). NCBI lineage: Eukaryota > Metazoa > Chordata > Mammalia > Primates > Hominidae > Homo > Homo sapiens. Next base: position 34,069,326 of record NC_000002.12, read on the forward strand.
CATAGAAGTAGAGAATAGAATGGTGGTTACCAGGAACTATGGGTTAGGGAGCTTGAAGAGATATTTGTCCAAAGAGACAAAATTTCAGTTAGATAGGAGGAAGAGTTTCAAGATACCTGTTGTATAGCGTGGTCACTATACCTAATAACAGCATGTTATATTCTTGAGAATGACTAAGAGAAGATTTCATATTCTCACCACAAAAAATAAGTATGTGAAGTAATGCATTAATTAATTAGCTTGACTTCATTATTCCACTATGTACGTTTCAAAACGTGTTGGACATGATAAATATATGCAATTTTTATTAACTTTTTTAAAGAACATGTGTTTACTTCTGTCACTTGGGATCCAGAACTTAGCACTGGCACAGTATAATCTGAAACCATGAACATTCATTCTCATGATTAACACTGTTCAGGCCTCAGAGAAAGCACTTCTCTATGTCTTGCCCTGTGTTTTCAAAACAAAAGGCAATTATGTCCAAATGCTATAAAAGTTTGTGAGTTGTGCTGCTGCCAGTGTCACAGATGGATAGTGCTTTGAAATGAGAGAGGATCTGAGTGGCAAAAGCACATAGATTTTTTAAAAGGCAAATAATTTGTATCAATTTAGGTTTGGTTAGGACCACTTTAGGTGTTATGAAAAAAGGACATTTATTAAAGGAATTAGGGTTAACACAATATGGGGAAGAGCTGAGAGAGTGAACACTGGAAAATCTTCAACTGGAGGGTCAGGGAAATGGTCACTAATAGTTACGCTGAAGCAATAAAACACATGATTTCTAAAAGGTTATTAGGAAACTTCTGCAATATCAGTATCTCTGGGAATCTTCCTACCAACTGTCAGGCTACCACAGAAATGTGAGTGCCTCTGAATTGCCTGGGAAGCCACAGTGCATCCTCATCTGCCCATAATTCTAGACACCATGAACTCCTAAGAATAATGATCTCCCCTCCATTCTGCCTGCAAAGTACCACAGGAGTTTTTCTAATTGAAAAACTATAACTCAGAACTATACAAAGTTGTGGATCCTGGAAAATGTAGTTCCTGACTACTCTGCAAGATGAGGCAGAGAGAAGGGGTGATGGTGAGTTGACAGCAGAGAACTGAACACAATGCACTCCTTTGTCAACTCAGCAACCGTGCATGACACTTCTCCCTATATTTAATTTCGGAATAAAGGCAAATACAACATCTTGCTTCCAACTAATACTATGCAATTAACCTTAATTCAAGTGTACACATTCTTTTTCCCAAAAGGGAAAATGCCAAAGCTCAGATGTCACTTTATTCATCTCAGATAGTTCATGATTTCAATATTGAAATATAGAGTTGACTACTTTGAGCATATTTTATACTTGGTGGTATGAGGATGGAGGTGGAGGTTAATTTATGCAAATATGTACCTATCAAAGAATAAAGAAAATTACTAGCTTTTTTTTTTTTTTTACTAGCAATTTGTCACATGGCTGTTGTTGGTATTTATGGTATGAAAATACCAAATTGTCTTCCATGAAATGGGTCCTTGGTGCCAAAAAGGTTGGGGACCGCTGGCCTAGGGCAAAAAGATTCTGGATACCCTCTCCCATTACCCAGTGCATAATTGTTTTTTGCCCTAAACCAGTGGTCCTCAACCTTTTTGGCACCAAGGACTGGTTTTGTGGAAAACAGTTTTCCCGTGAACTTGTGGGGCAGGGGAAGGGATGGTTTCTGGATGGAACTGTTCCACCTCAGATCATCAGGCATTAGATTCTCATTAGGACCACACAACCTAGTTCCCTCACGTGCGCAGTTCACAATAGGGTTCCCACTTCTATGAGAATCTAATGCTACTGCAGATTTGACAGGAGACAGAACTCAGGTAGTAAAGCTTGCCCAGATGCCACTTACCTCCTGCTGTGCACCCCAGCTCCTAACAGCCACTGACTCAATACTGGTCTATGGCCTGGGGACTGGGCATCCCCGCCCTCTGCAAGTACATCAGGTAGTCATAGTTTGCCTAGTGGGAACTCAGAACTTGTGCCTATGTTGCTAACAAGTTGCTCTCTCAGCAACGCTTGTAGCCATATCAGCCATGGTGAATGAAAATGCATGTTTCTGAGCCTACACTTACTCTCCACAACTCTGGCCATGGTTGATACACACAGAATAGAATATTTTGTCCATCTCATTGAGGAGCCTGTTCTGCTGTGTTTACCCTGCTAGAGTTACATGAGACACAAATATCGCTCACATTTTGTGCTCATTCTGATTCATCCACATCTTTTCACAGTTTTTCCAATTTTTCCATGTAGCTTTTTAAAAATCCCCAGCCATTCAGCTAAGTTGTTAACAACTGCCCACAAATAAGTGGAGATTCATCACTCATCTTCACTCTTCTTTCAGACAAAGCAGATAACTGCTCAAAGGTCTACCGGCAAGAAGGATATCCTTTAAAAAGTTCCCCTTCAAGACTCCTGCTACCATCCATTTGAGTGGTTTTACATTACCTTCTAGAACCGTTTATAAGCCATGCCCAACTGTTTTTCCCCTTCCAGTGAAGAGAAGATTCCCTGAGGCCATAATGTGAGGTGAGGAAGAAGAGGTATTGCAATAGGAGTAGACAACAGAGGAGTTTAAATCACTTGCGCATGCAACTGAGGTATCTTCAGGACCCAGTCTCAAATACAGCACTTCTGCTTGCTAATCTATTGCTGTCACCCACTTCAATCTTTATGGCTTTGTAGTTCAGAGAGTGCTCAACTTATGATGAGCAGTTCAGGTTACATAGTAACTCTGTGGCTTATGCCATGTATTCTGGGCCCAGTGTATAGCAGAAGCTGTAATTCAAAAGGAGAATGGGTTTATGCAGAAAAGGGTATGATTTACGCCAGAATCCCAGGGGTCTGCATGGTAATTTATCTTTAGGGTCTTGCCGAAGGCTCATACACATCTCTGTCAGATACCTCTTGTACTGGAGCACTGTATCATATGGCACAAATGGCTGAGCAGCTTGCAGAGCAATGTGGACCTGTCACAGAGCCTTTTCTTTCCTTACTCTGGATTAAAAACTAGAAATCTTACAAGTTGTTTGATCAATGTATCCCAGAAGCCTTCATGCCCAACTCTGACATATGTTGCCTTCAAAGCTGAAAGAGGCCACAGGCATTGTGCTTCTTTCTTGGTGGTGGTGGGTACCAGATATACCAGCTGTCTCTTCACCTCTGAGCTGATACATTGACATGCCTAAACCACTAAAAGGATGGAAACTTTATCGAAGCTACAGTATCCTGATTTATTGAGGGGTTTATTTCACATGCTTTGTCATACATGTGTGCAATCAAAGTGTCTAGCAAGGGATTGGATAAATTTTTCTGTAAAGGGCCATTTAGTAAATATTTTAGGCTTTATAGATCACAAACAATCTCTGTCTCTTCTTTTTCACCTTCCTCCTCCTCTTGTGCCCTCTCTTTCTCCTTCTCCTTTTCCTCCCTTTCTTCTTCCAACCCTTTAAAAATGTAAAAATCATTCTTAGCTAATGAGCTGTGCAAAATTAGGGTAGTTTGTAGAGCTTTACTTTGGGGCAATATTTTTCAAATTATCTGTGGTATGTAATTTTTAAAAAATTTTAAAATTTTCAACCCATCCAGACTGCCACTTTTGTAAAATACAATAAAAATGAGGAAAAATAAAATTATAAAGAAGTACAAAATACAAGTTTAAATTTTAGAATATTAACAAGTGGGGCAGGGTGGCTTATGCCTGTAATCCCAGCACTTTGGGAGGCCAAAGAGGGCAGATCACGAGGTCAGGAGATCGAGACCATCCTGGCTAACACGGTGAAACCCCGTCGTCTAAAGATACAAAAAATTAGCCGGGCGTGGTGGTGGGCGCCTGTGGTCCCAACTGCTCGGGAGGCTGAGGCAGGAGAATGGTGTGAACCCAGGAGGCAGAGCTTGCAGTGAGCTGAGATTGCACCACTGCACTCCAGCCTGGGCGACAGAGCGAGACTCTGTCTCAAAAAAAAAAAAAATTATATATATATATATATATATATATATAAACAAAATTTTAACAGACATAAAGTTATGCTGTCAAATTGCTGTAAAATTTCTAAATGCTTAATCTGAATTTCAGTACTTAATTCATTGCAGATTAATGACAAATAACCTTTAAATCCCCACCAGTATGGAGATTACGCTTTGCCTAATACTGATCTAGAGTATTTGTTACTTTCTGCTCACCAAGGCAATCAACATTTAATGGACTGCTGTCATGGTCAGTGGAATGGCCAGATTATTAAGATCCTTATACCCTAGATTAAAACAATAGTCTGGAAAGTTAATATATTCCTGAAAGAAGGGAGAAGAGGCGTATTGCTGCCCCTTCCTTTGTTTAAAAAAAGAAAAGATACAGAGGTGGAAAGGGAGAGGGAGAAAGATAATTCACAGATCAGCAGTTGCGTATCAGGTAGTAGAGTTTTTGTTGATTTTCTGGAGTAGCAGCTGTTAATTGGAGTCACTCCTCAATTAATTTATGACATTTTCCTGTAATTCTCCAAGATTCGTCTGGCTGAATAGGTGAGTTCAATGGGTATGTGAAACAAATAACTGTTGCTCTGTCTTGTAAATCCTTGTTGGTGGCCATAATCTCTATGGTCCCTTTGGCAACGCAGTTTTCCTTTTTGTTTTGCCACTCCTTGTCATGGACTGTGAGTGCCAATGGGGTCTTTGTAAGACAGAGTTATCGTTATCTTACAGCTGTACTGGGACACATCTGTTCTTATCTCTGGGAAATCTGGAAGTCTTGTATTGACACCTAAGCAAGATAATGATAGGTAGAGTAGTAATGTTGAAAGTGCTATTAAAAGTTCAAAATTTCCTTGGTGGAAGCCAGAACCGACTTTTTTACATTTTTAAGGGGGTGCAAATTAATGAGTTACACCTGATTTAGCCAGTTACACCGGCTGGTTTTGGCTATGTGGTGAGTGGGGCACAGAAGACCCCAGGGGAATCCTTTGCCTGAGCTCTCCTGAAACACTAAGAATCCTCACACATATCTTGATGGCTTATAAGCCTGAAGTAAGGCTCGTCCTGTGCAATTGAGGAAGGAACCTGGAGAGCTCTGCCTGGAAGTCCTTCGAGCCTCTGGATCTTCCTGTGCTGGCTTTCTTCCCATCTACCATTCACTTTGCTTATATATACATTTGTGTGAATGTATTCTGAGGAATTTTGTGAGACCTTTCAGTTCTCTGACCATGTGTAATCATTGTAAGGTTCTTATTTATTTATTTATTTAGAGGTGGAGTCTTGCTCTGTTGCCCAGGCTGGAGTGCAATGGCCTGATCTTGGCTCACTGCAACCTCCGCCTCCCAGGTTCAAGCAATTCTCCTGCCTTGGCCACCTGAGTAGCTGAGATTACAGGCACCTGCCATCATGCCCGGCTAATTTTTTTTGTAGTTTTGTACAGACGGGATTTCGCCATGTTGGCCAGGTGGTGTTGAACTCCTGACCTCAGGTGATCTGCCTGCCTCTGCATCCCAAAGTGCTGGGATTATAGGCGTGAGTCACGACGCCCGGCCGGTCATTACTCTCTTCAAATTTAATCAATCAGAGAACCAATTCCAGATTCTTATTCTTAAGACTATTATCCCTAGAACACTTTCCATACCAACAAGGCATATCAGTTTGAGTTTTGTCAGGAATATGGGAATAAAAGGGTTTAATAGGAGTTAGGGCTTCATAAATGTAGAAAGATTTTTGGGAATGAGGTTTGGAGAGGCTGTAGGCAGGAGGTCACAGTCACTGACCACCATTGATGTGGGTGATATTAAAAATGACTGCCATTTTCAGCATTTGTTGTGAAAATTCCCACTAGTAAGGAAAAAAGTAGCTATTTTTAATAATTTTGACTTAAAATGTTAATTATTAACTCTTAAATATTCAGACATGTAGTATATGGGCCTGCAATCATATTCTTGCCTGGTCCCTGTAAGTACAAGGGGCAAGCCTCAGTTTTCTCATGTTTCCTTGACAGAGCCTTTGCTTTGTGGAAATCTTGGGTTCGTTTACTATGTATCCCCTGATGATCATATTTGACCAACTCAGATTTTTCCTTCACTATCGTGGCGATCCGCTTTGTGCTTGTAGATGGTCTCCAGGGCTTTATGTTACCTCTAACATTGAGTCTTGAAGCCAGTATTATTAAGTTTGTATGAACTTAATAGACTGTCATGTAGTAAGTTTATTGTAGTATATTTGCAATTAGTGAAATAATTTCTTGGTAAATATGGGGAAGATTTTAGAGCTTATTTACCCCTATGGTTAAAGGAAGAATAATATATAATAATAAATGTTGTATGGCATTTTCTGGGAGTAGATGTTGAGCATTGTTAGACAAAGGGAGTGATTTGGGGCTCTCCCCTTTTACCCGTACTGTTTAACCAAAACCAAAGATGATTTGTTTTTATTTTATTTGTTTATATTTCTTGGTAATATTTTGTTTTAAAGTAGCTGTTTGGAAGTTAAAAAATGTTTAAAATACACTAAACTAATGCAAGTCCTTATTTTATATTTGAGGAGATTGAGGTCCAGAAAAATAAATGAACTTGCTTAAGTTTACATAATGAAATAATGATTGATCTGGGAGTAACGCCTAGGTCCCTGCAACCTGACTGTGCCCTTTCCAGTTTTCTTACAAGTGCTCAGATTGCAGAGATCAAAGAACTCTTGGAGCTCTTTAAAAAGAAACATGAAATGCCCTGCTAACTTGCTTTATTTAAATGCAAATAAAATTTCATGTCAATTAAATAATTTGTTACATTCTAGAATATATGAACATAAGCTGATGTTAGAAACACACACACACGCACACACGCACAGAGAAAAATAACTTGAAATTTAAAACATCAATATTTTCCCACATGCTTGTTTCCTTCAAGTTGGGAAAATGCTGTGTTAATGGTAGAGTACCTAAGTGTAACTGGAGAAATATCACTATTATCTGAATGCAGATGCAGAATTTGAGAACCTTATCCCACTTCATGCCATTTTTCACCCACAATTCCTAAGGCTCTGATTAAACGAAATTATAGCTAGTGTTTTATATATTTAAAATTGGCATCTATTTCATGTAATTGAAAAACAATTTCCTTAATCTCTCTCAGAAAGCTTAAGGAAATTAAATTCTGGTCTCTGGTAAGAGATTTAAAATGCATTCCAAAAACATGTTCTTTAATGTCTCTGAGTTTGGTCTTCGGTTGAAAAGTGTAAAGATTCAGAGAACAGTATTCAAGTGATCTGAAAACGTCTTATGATTTTTTAAGCATGTTCTAATATAAGTCTAAATTTTCTCTTTGATAAATCACTTTTTGCTAATCTAAAAAGAAGATTAATGCATCACAAATAGTTCAATTATATGTTATGGAGTTGAGTGTCATAAACATTAATAGAAAATTATCCAAAGTATGAAGATAAAAAATGAACTCTTAGGTAAGCTGAATCAGGTGCTCTTAGATCAAATTGGACTCTAAAAAATCTTATTTAACCCCTCAAGGGCTGTTTACCAGATATTTCATTTACAGTTGGGATGTTATATGACAAGTACATCCAATAGGGTGACAATCCATGAGGCGATTTGAAAGTTTGAGCATGTCTTTTCATTCTGCCTCTATAGTTGCTGAAATCTGTCTTTTGAATATTTCTGCTTTGAGGTTAAACAGTTTTAAAATATGGCAAAGCTGGTGAATAAAAATGTGATTTGTCATCATTGAGTATGGTGACAGTGTAGTCAGTCACCAATAAATGTTGAATATATTTATTCTATGTGCCAGATATCCAGGTGGTGATTCTGGAGGTGGAGATGTGAAAGGATATGGTTTTAGCTTGGGGTCTTCAGAATATGTGATGTAATGGATGAGGATGTGGGAGGTAATACTCACGATTATAGAGTTGCCCTAGGTGTTGCCAGACTAGAAATTGTTAATTGACTGGAATACAGTAGGTGGCTAAGAAAGATTTTAAAGTGACCGGCAGCTAAAAAGGAACCTTTCCAGGCAGAGAAAAGCAATGCATTAAGAGACAGTGAAGAAAGTGGTTCTTAGAAGAATCTTTAGAGGTCTTTAAATCGGGACTTGAGATACTATGGAGAGTAATTAAGTAGAACTGCTTGGACCTGGGATTGGGACAAAAAGAACTTCATTTTCTTAGGGACCAAGGATCCTGAGGAAACTAATTCTGGTTTCAACAATGGGGAGGGTTAACTGTGGAGAATGAGAATGAAGAGTAATGCTAGATGTTGATCTACTGGAAGATAAAATGCAAACAACCCCTAAGATTTAGATTAATTTCCTAAAATAAAGAAGATGAACGTTTGGCCTAGACACTCAGAATTTCTCACCTAACTGTTTACAATTCTATTCTGAGTACATACTATGCCTTTTCTTACTATTACTTTTACATTTTTTGCCACTCTCAACATGTCTCTCTCCCTTCCCTAAATCTTTATTCTAAGTAAATTCTTATACAGCTTTACTGAGTATAAATAGGTCATAAAAATGAACTCAAAAGTTTATATAAACATATAAAAAAAGACTGAATATGGTAGTGAAGGAAAAGATAAATTGTATTAACACATAGAATTGTCAGATTAAGCGAGTAAAAATACAGGAAACCAGTTACATTTGAATTTCAAATAAACTAAATATATTTTAATCTAGGTATTTCCCATGCAACATTTGGAAGATACTTATACTAAAAATGTATTTGTTGTTCATCTCAAATTTGTAATTAACTAGGTGTCTCATATTTTATCTGACAACCTAGTCCCAACTTCTTTCTGCAACTAAATTTCTTTCCATATCTTAATCCATTAGCTCCTTTATTCTGATTTCTTGGAAGATGTATAATTTTTTTGTAGAACTGATCCATTTATCTGTACTCTTGATTCCACTCTTTCCTATCTTTTCTGGGACCTTACTGTATCAGTCATTTTTTCCATTTTAAATTTTGTCTCCTCTCTCATGATATCCTCTTGTTTCCCTCCTACTGTCTTCATTAGCTCCTTTCTTGCTATAAAGTGTCTTTATTCAACACAATTTTCCTTCAAGGTTTTTCTTTCTCAAGCTACTTCCCTTACCTGCTAAGCAGTGGATCTCTACCTACTGATTTTTCTTCTTCACAATACTCTTGTATTTTAATTTTGTATTAATGTCTCAGTGTCTAAGCAGTAATAAGTCTCAAGAGTGGAAAAAGGGTAGTCAGGAGTCAGGGTGGGGCGTGAGGATCAGTGTGTTATCTAGAAGCTTCTAAGAATGGCAATTTGAGAAAAGGCTAAATGACAGCCAAAGGAAGAAGTAAAATTTAAAGTGAAAAACAATCATCCAAATAATAAAAACAGGTTTCAATAACATTTCTTAACATTTACTGAAACCTTCTTTGGTCCAGGTGCTCTGCTAAGTATTTATATTCATAGTCCATTTAATCCTTTCAACAGCTATATGCAATTTTATCACTGGTTCTTAGATTAAACAACTGAGGTTTTGTGGGGTTAAAAAAGAATACTTGCTCAAGATCACACAACTACTGAGTGATGAAGCAGGCATTTGAATATATAGGTTTTCTCTAAAACCAATGAGGTGGGTTCATAAATAACCATCACTTAAGCAGTTGAAATAAACAAATGCCTACCCAATTGCTTATATCAGTTTTAGTTAGCTCTTGAACTCTATGTTGTGTCAATATTGTAATTAATATTTACTCAGTTATTGGATGAAACATAAGTACTTAATTTTTAATGATATGATTGTTTTATTGTTTGGGGAAAGGCAGTCTGGATCGATGAAGACTAAAATTTCCATGTTATTCATTTTCCAGATGACATTTTTAATTGATACTAAAACAGTAACTTGGCCTACTGCAAATACTTACGAGTCTCCTTTAATTAACCAAGTTTCTGATATACCTTGAAATTTAACATCTCTCAGGCATTAAGTGATGGAAACATAGGTTGTAAAATGTGGACTTGAGTCTTAGTGACCATACAGTGTATTGTTTACGTTTTCAGTATTTTTATTTTCAAGTTTAGTTTGATTAATTTCAAAACCTCTCTCACTCCAGTTCAATAAACACTTACTCAGCGCTTGCTATGTGCATAGACTATATGGGTCTACAGTTAATAAAATAACAGCAAAGTCTTTGATTTTATGGAGGTCATTGGGGAAATGAAACTCACACATGTTATACAGGATGTTTAAAGTGATGCTGAGATCCTGGGCTGTGATGGCAACAGTAAGGCTCAAATGGAAGGCACCCATGTCGGGGGCATCATTAAAAATCGGTGACTGACGGAATATGTCAGTCAAGAGAGAGCTAAAATGGCAATTTGGAAAGCAAAAAAGAGAGGGAAAAGAATGAAATAACATCAGCTATATCAAGAAGTTTGGACAAGCAATTATTGACCAAGTTCAAAATTGTATTTCCTTGAAGTATTTCAACTTTAAAGGCTTCTTGTTCCAAAACTAAAATTTAAAATAGAATTTATCCTCTCTAATCCTCCTGCCATTCCAGTTTTATCATCTTCTCGTGTTCTGATTCTTCTCCATCATTTTCACATCAGTTTGACTATAAGAGAAAAATATTCAATATTGACATAACAATTATAGAATTTAGGTAGGATATCCTTATTTTATTTTAAAATGCAATGGGAAGTTGATACTTTGACCTTATTTAAAGCAAATGCATACACAATTTTTGGAAAAGGAATAATAGAATTTTCACTTGCATGTAAGGGGGCCAGGATTTTCAATGCAAGGGGCCCATGATTAAATACAACACAGGGTATTTAGAACTCAAAATAGTTACATGGCAGTTCCAATTCCAGATGCGTAATGTTTAGTCCTGACTTGACAGAAGACAGTGAGTTTTGATAAACAAGTATAAAAATTTCCTTGTTTTTAATTGGTTTTTACAATCTCATTCTTTTCCATTTGAGCAATTACTCATTAAGCACCTTCTATGTGCATAGCCTAATTGGTCCTATGGCAGATAAAATAATAGCAATAATCCCAGTGTTTGTGAGATTGCCCTGTCACCCAATTACAAACGCATCTGTTCTTTGGATGCCTTTGTAATTCATAGCTAGTATTAGGAAGTTCATTTTACTCATACTCATCTTGGAAACCAATCTCTTTAATTAAGAAATGCAAAGCTTTTCCAGGCTGAGGAAACATAGGACAAAATTTTATTTTTTCCCCTTTAAGTTCCTTATTCATTCCTTTGAGATACAGAGTTGACTAAGTAAGTTTGCTTTGTGATTTTCTCACTCAAGGTTATTAATTTGATTTCCAGATGGGTTACAGACACATACGATTTGCCCAATTGTAGTTTCAGTGCACAAACATAGACACTGACTCATGCAAATTTTGCAGTTAGCTTCACAATTCTCTAACTAGCCAATCTTTAACTTGTAATTATAGGGCAGAGATAGTAGGCAACGTCTGATTATCGTGTAGTTACATGAACAGTGGTTTGTTTAAGGGTATGATAAGGACAGTGCTCAGACCAACAGGGCTATTATTACATTTCTCTCCATGTACAGCATAGGTTCCTCCTTGAGAGATCAGAGTATTTCTAGCCCTGTGCATTTTCCTTTCTTTTCTGTATTTCTTTCTTTCTGGTAACAGTTTTATTGAGGTGTAGTTCATACATCATGTATACAATTTACCCATTTAAAATATAGAATTCAATAGTTTTTAGTATATTCACAGAGTTGTGCAACTATAACCAGGATCAATTTTATGACATTTTCAACACCCGCCAAAAAGAAACCCTGCACCCTTCAGCCATCAACTCCTAATTCCTCCATCCATTTCAGCTTTAGGCAACCACTAAGTTACTCTGTCTCTATAGATGTTTCTATTCTGGACATTTTATATGAATGGAATCTTATGTAGTCTTTTGTAACTGTCGTCTTTCACTTTGCATGATATTTTCAGGGTTCATCAACGTTGCAGTATATATCAGTACTTCATCACTTTTTGTGGCCAAATAACATTCCATTGTATAGATATGTCACATTTTATCTATTAGTTGATTTTTATCAGTTTATATGTACATTGTTTCCATCTTTTGGCAATCATGGACAGTGCTGCTATAGATATTAATTTACAAGTTTTCATATGGACATGTGTTTTCATTTCTCTTAGTTATATACCTAGGAGTGGAGTTGCTAAGTCAAATGGAACCTTTATGTTTAATTTTATGAGGAACGGCCCAGATGTTTTCCAAAGTGGCAGCACTTTACATTCTCATCAGCAGTGTATGAGGATTCTGATTTCTCCACATCCTCACCAACATTTGTTGTTATTTGTCTTTTCAGTTACAACCACCTTAGTGTGTAGAAAATAGTATCTCATGCTGTATGTGTGTGTGTGTGTGTGTGTGTGTGTGTGTGTGTGTGTGTGTGTGTTTGCATTTTCCTGATAACTAATGATGATGAGCACCTTTTCATGTGATTACTGACGATTTGTATATATTCTTTGGAGAAGTGTCTATTCATATCCTTTGCTAATTTTTAAATAGTTGTTAGTCTTTTTATTATTGAGTTATAATTGTTCTTATATTTTAGATACAAGACCTTATTAGATATATAATTCTAAATGATAGTATCTCCCATTTTGAGCGTTGTGTTTTCACTTTCTTAATAGTAGCCTTTGAAGCACAAGAGTTTTTAAAGTTGATAAAGTCCGAATTATCTTTTATTTTTTTTGTTACTTGTGCTTTTGGTATCATATTTAAGAAAATACTGCCAAATCCATGGTTCTGAATATTTATGCCTATGTTTTCTTAAAATTTATAGTTTTATCTTTTACATTTAGATCAGTGATTTTAAGTTAAGTTGTTCATATGGTATAAGGTGAGGGTTTAACTTCATTCACTAGCAATGGGGATATCCTGATTGCTGGTCCTGACACCATTTTAATATGATAAGTTTTTATTGTGGTTACCTCTCAGAATTTCATTAACTTCCTTATTGTCAATGTAACTGAATAATTGACCAGACGAATTGGTCTAGAATATATTTGGCAGATATTCTATGATTCAGCCAATTTTTCTAATTTCCCATAGGACAAAATTTGAGGATAGAAGAATATTCAGAAATTTTCTTCAAATATCAGATGTGGGTGATCTATTCTGAAACATTTTACTCACTCTCTATTATTTAGGGCATGTATTTTCTGGGGTGGTTTCTTAGTCTATTTGGGCTGCTTTTACCAAATACCTTAGAATGAGTAATTTATAAGTAAGAAGAATTTATTGCTTATGGTTCTGGAGGATGAGAAGTTTATTTTATTATACTTTAAGTTTTAGGGTACATGTGCACAATGTGCAGGTTTGTCACATATGTATACATGTGCCATGTTGGTGTGCTGCACCCATTAGCTCGTCATTTACATTAGGTATATCTCCTAATGCTATCCCTCCCCGCTTCCCCCATCCCACGACAGGCCCTGGTGTGTGCTGTTCCCCATCCTGTGTCCAAGTGTTCTCATTGTTCAATTCCCACCTATGAGTGAGAACATGTGGTGTTTGGTTTCCAGCTTCATCCATGTCCCTACAAACGACATGAACTCATCCTTTTTTATGGCTGCATGGTATTCCGTGGTGTATATGTGCCACATTTTCTTAATCCAGTCTATCACTGATGGACATTTGGGTTGGTTCCAAGTCCTTGCTATTGTGAATAGTGCCACAATAAGCATACGTATGCGTGTGTCTTTATAGTAGCATGATTTATAATCCTTTGGGTATACCCAGTAATGGGATGGCTGGGTCAAATGGTATTTCTAGTTCTAGATCCTTGAGGAATCGCCACACTGTCTTCCACAATGGTTGAACTAGTTTACAGTCTGGAGGATGAGAAGTTTAAGGTTAAGGTGTAGAGTCATTGTTGGTAAGGGCTTGCTCTCTGCTTCATAGATAATGCCTTGCTGCGTCTTCACATGGGAGAAGGAAGAAGGGAGGTTTTTCTGTGCCTTTTTAAGAAGGGCATTAATTCTGTTCACGAGGGTGGAGCCTCATGACTTAATAACTTCGCAAAAGTCCAACCTCTTAATACTATCACAGCAGGTCTTAGGTTTTAAATATGAATTTTTTGATAGCAAGGAGGAACAGCATTGAGTAGCAGTGAGTAGATCCCTTATTATTCATAAACAGCATGATCTAAGTGAGGTAATATGAACTTGTCTTTGTATTATGCTTTAGCTTCATTAATCCAGAATAAAGATTGATTGATTTTCCATAGTTTGTATCTTGTTGGGGGAGAGGGGCATGTTTGTGTGGAGTTATTAGGAGTCGTGGTTATTGAACCGTTGTGGGGGATTCAATGTGGAAAAATTTTCTATGGATAAAAGCAACCTGTGTTTTAAGGCACAGATGATAGGTTTTATAGATACTATGGTTACAAAATCTTTGATCCATAGGAGTTTCCTGAGTAGACTGACTTTCTAAGCAGAATATCCTTGGCTTGGTTTAATTGAGGAGCCTTCTTTTTAATTGTTTTTCAAATTTATTATTTTTTAAATGATATTGTATTTATTTATCATGTGTAACACATTTTGAAGTATATATACATGTGGAATGGTTAAATCTATCTAATTAACAAATTAACTTACATGGTTATCATTTTTGTGGTAAGGACACTTATTCACTCTCAGCATTTTTCAAGAATTCAATATATCATCATTAGCTATAGTCGCCATGCTGTACAGTGTGTACAGTAGATCCCTTGAACATATTCCTCTTGTGTAACTGTAAATATGTATCCTTTTACTAACATCTCCCTATAGCCAACCCTGCATAATCATTCTAGCCTCTGGTAGCCGCCTTTCAACTCTTTATCAATGAAATATAAACATTTTTAGATTCTACCTATGAATGAGATCAGTCATATTTGTCTTTCTGTGCCTGAAATTTCATTTAACATAATGTCTCTACGTTTATCCATGTTGTTGCATAAAAACAGAATTTTCTTCTTTTTCATGGCCCAGTAGTATTCCATTGTGTGTTATACACCACATTTTCTTTATCCAGTCATCCACTGATGGACCATAGTTTGATTCTGTATCTTGGCCATTGTGAATAGTGCTGCAATAAACATAGGGAGTGTGGATATCTCTCTGCCATACTAATTTCAATTTCTTTGGATAAATACCCAGTAGAAGGATTCCTGGATCATATGGTAGTTATATTTTAATTTTTACCCCATACTGTTTCCCATATTAGATGTACTAATTTGCCTTCCCTCCAACAGTGTGGAAGGGTTTCCTTTTCTCCACACTCTCATCAACACTTGTTATCTTTTGTCTTTTTGATAATATTCATTTTAATTGCAATGAGGTGATTTCGTATTTGATTTGAGTTAATTTCCTGATGATTAGTGTTGTTGAGTATTTTTATATATCTGTTGACTATGTGTATATCTTCTTTTGAGAAATGTCTATATGGGTCTTTTGCCCATTTTTAAAGTTATTTGTTTTATTGAGATGGAGTTGAGTTCCTTATATGTTTTGAATATTACCACCGTATCAGATATAAATGTTGTAAATATTTTTTTCATTCTGTAGCTTCTTTCTTTACTTTGTTGTTTCTTTGCCATGCAGAAGCTTTTTAGTTTGAAATATAACCATTTGTTTATTTTTGATTTTGGTGCTTGTGTTTGTGAGATTATACCCAGAAAATCATTGCCCAGACCAATGTGATTGGGCTTTTCCTGTATGTTTTTTTTCTAGTAGTTTCATAGTTTTGGGTCTTATATTTAAGACTAATACATTTTGAGCTGGTTTTCTGTATAGGTTGGTAGGTAAGAGTCTAATTTTACTTTTCTAAATGTGGATATCCAGTTTTTCCAACACTATTTATTGACAAGACTTTTCTTTTCTCATTGTTGGTCAAAAATCAGTTGGCTGTAAACGCATGAATTTATTTGTGTTCCATTGGTCTTTGTGTTTGTATATACCAGTACCATGCTGTTTTGGTTACTATAACTTTGTTGTATATTTCGAAGTTAGGTAGTGCAGTGCCACTGGATTTGCTCTTTTTGTTCAAGATTGCTTTAGCTACTTGGGATCTTTTTCTGGAAACCATCGTTCTCAGCAAACTATCGCAAGGACAAAAAACCAAACACCACATGTTCTCACTCATAGGTGGGAATTGAACAATGAGATCACTTGGACACAAGAAGGGGAACACACACTGGGGCCTGTCATGGGGTAGGGGGAGGGGAGAGGGATAGCATTAGGAGATATACCTAATATAAATGAGGAGTTAATGGGTGCAGCACACCAACATGGCACATGTATACATATGTAACAAACCTGCACATTGTGCACATGTACCCTAGAAGTTAAAGTATAATTTAAAAAAATTTTGAGGATTTTTTTTCTATATCTGTGAAGAATATCATTAGAATTTTGATAGGAATTGCATTGAATATGTAGATGACTTTGAGTAGTATAGACATTTTAACAATATTAATTGATATCTATTTGTGTCATCTTCAGTTTCTTTCATCAATGCTTGATAGTTCTCAGTGTAGATTTTTTGCCTTTTTGGTTAAATTTATTTCTAAGTATTTTATTTTTTGCGGCTGTTCTAAATGGGATTGTTTTCTTGGTTTCTTTTTGAGATAGTTTGCTCTTAGTATATGGAAATGCTACTTTTTTTTTTTTGAACAGTTGAGTGCAAAGACATTTACTGTAGTAGCATTTGTAATACCAGAAAACTTTCAGTTACCTAAATGTATGTCAAATCCAACCACACAATAGAGTAGCTGCTAAACAATAAGGCAGGTCAGTATATACTAACAAGATGACTGATGACTTTAATATACTTTTACAAAGGAAGTGGATGAACTGGCCAGGAGTCGTGGCTCACGCCTGTAATTCCAGCACTTCGGGAGGCCGAGGCGGGCAGATCGCGAGGTCAGGAGATCGAGACCGTCCTGGCTAACACGGTGAAACCCCGTCTCTACTAAAAATACAAAAAAATGAGCTGGGTGTGGTGGCAGGCGCCTGTAATCCCAGCTACTCAGGAGACTGAGGCAGGAGAATGGTGTGAACCCGGGAGGCAGAGCTTGCAGTGAGCCGAGATGGCACCACTGCACTCCAGCCTGGGCGACAGAGCGAGATTCTGTCTCAAAAAAAAAAAAAAAAAAAAAAATGGACGAACTGTTAAGGTGCAATTTTCTAAGCCTTAAAAAATGACAAGTATTTTGCATAGATGTAATTGATTGACTATGCACAAAATGGGAAATTGGACACAGGCTAATTTCATGTTCAGATTTATGTAGAAATGTATTCTTTCCATTTTTAACAAGGAATATATGTTATGCTATTTTGTTTTTTTTTAACTTTTAAGTTCGGGGGAACATGTGCAGGCTGGATATATAGGTAAACTTGTATCATGGGGGTTTGTTGTACATATTATTTCATCACCCAATTATTAAGCCTAATACCCATTAGGTGTGTTTTCTGAACCTGTCCTTCCTCCCAACCTCCACCTTCCAACAGCCTCAAGTGTCCATTGATCCCCTCTTTGTGTCCATGTCTTCTCATCATTTAGCTCCCACTTATAAGTAAGAACACATGGTATTTGGTTCTCTGTTCCTGCATTAATTTGCTAAGGATAATGGATTCCAGCTCCATCCATGTTCTTGCAAAGGACATGATTTTGTTCTTTTTTATGGCTGAGAAGTATCCTATGGTGTATATGTACCACATTTTCTTTATCCAGTCTACGATTGATGGGCATTTAAGTTGATTCCACGTCTTTGCTATTGTGAATAGGGCCGCAATGAACATAAACACGCATGTGTGTTTATAATAGAACAATTTACATTCCTTTGGGTATATACCCCACATTGGAATTTTGGGAGGAATTGCAGGGTCTAATGGTAATTCTGATTTGAGGTCTTTGAAGAGTTGTCACCGTTTTCCATAATGATTGAACTAATTTACACTCCCACCAGCAGTGTATAAGCATCGCTTTTTCTCCACAACCTCATCAGCACTTGTTATTTTTTAACTTTTTAATAGTAGCCATTCTGACTTTTATGAGATGGTATTTCACTGTGATTTTGACTTGCATAGAAATGCTACTGATTTTTGTATCTTGACTTTGTATGCTGCAACTTTACTAAATTTGTTTGTAAGTCCTAACAAGTTTGTTGGTGGAGTCTTTAGAGAAACTCTTTTAGTCTTTATAATATGTTGTCTCACAAAATTTGATAATTATTAAATGTAACATTTTATTAACAATGCATCTCTTAATGAGATGAATATACATTTTTAAAAAGTGTTGTTTACATGGGCAAGCATTGTTTATTAGTAGAATGGGAGAAGGTTTAGTATCAGATTTATTCCTAAATTAATAATTTGTTTGTTTTTCATAGTTTAAAGACTAAGGACATGTATTTATATTAACAAGCAGATGGGAATAGCAGAAGGATGGTTATATTAATTTTGTCCAATTACATGAACTTCAGCATTATATATCTGAATCACATCATCTATAATTTAAAATAAA
This sequence comes from Homo sapiens, assembly GCF_000001405.40. NCBI lineage: Eukaryota > Metazoa > Chordata > Mammalia > Primates > Hominidae > Homo > Homo sapiens. Next base: position 34,087,889 of record NC_000002.12, read on the forward strand.
TAATTTTAAATTACCAACTTATTTTTGAAAGTAGTGAACTGGGAGGAGACTGACCTGCCAAATGTTTTTATCAATTGGCTACTACTAACAATTGCATGAATACTAAATCCAGGAAAAAAATAGCATAAATTTACAAAAATTAATTTATATACATATTCTTGTTGCAGAAATGTAAATAGGATGTTAAATCAAAGACTTTCAAACATAGAAACATGTCACTCAGATAAAATTCTGTGGGAGAAGTGAAATGGAAATACAAATTAAGGTTAAAAACGAGTCATGTGAAATATTAATCATTTAAAGAGGAACTTATTCACGTATTTTTATAATGCATGGCACATATTAAATTGCCATAGTAAGTATATTAAATATATTACATTTTTAAAGTGATATATCAGTTTTAAATTTTCAATATTTACAACATGGTAAAAATTATATTCTTAGCATTTACTTGATCTTCCAGTGAGAAATTAGATGTTAATCTAAAATTTTCTTTACTCTTTTTTTTCTTTGAGACGGAGTCTCGCTCTGTCACCCAAGCTGGAGTGCAGTGGCACAATCTCGGCTCACTGCAAGCTCTGCCTCCTGGGTTCATGCCATTCTCCTGCCTCAGCCTCCGGAGTAGCTGGTACTACAGGTGCCTGCCACCACGCCCAGCTAATTTTTTTGTATTTTTAGTAGAGATGGGGTTTCACCGTGTTAGCCAGGATGGTCTTGATCTGACCTCGTGAACCGCCCACCTCGGCCTCCCAAAGTGCTAGGATTACAGGCGTGAGCCAACATGCCCGGTCTAAAATTTTCTTTCCTCTTAGCTACACTCTTTCCAGAACCTTGTACTATTATTTTTAACTTTGCTGTTTATTCTTTCCAGGCATTGGGCTCCAGTACTGTTTTCATATAATCAGGTTCCATAGTCCATTGTACATGTTTCCATTACCTCAAGGCCTGTTCATCTCTTCCTTCCTTCCTTATTCATTTCTTGCTTATGCCCTTAGTATTTTGCGCCATTCACAATTAATCATACTTCTTGGAAAAGTTTCAATTTTGAAACTGGATAAAAATTATTTTTTCAGATAAGTCTGCATTTCTCAGTTGATGATAGTTAAAAAAAAGCAAATATTGACTGGTCTGACTGTATGTTAAATAGTTTTAGTAAATGTTTATGTACTAAATATTTTAAATAAAAGCAGAGGTTATTAGAGTGTATAAATATCAAGATTTAATTGTATACTGTCTACAAGAAAACCACTTTTTATTTATTTATTTAGAGACATAGTTTCCCTCCGTCACCCAGGCTGGAATGCAGTGGCGTGGTCTGCAACCTCTGCCTCCTGGGTTCAAACAATTCTTGTGCCTTTGACCTCCTGAGTAGCTGGGATTATAGGTGCACCCCACCACACCCAGCTAATTTTTTTGTATTATTAGTACAGATGGGGTTTCACCATGTTAGCCAGGCTGGTCTCAAACTCCTGGCCTCAAGTGATCTGCCTGCCTTGGCCTCCCAAAGTTTTGGGATTACAGGCGTGAGCCACTGCGCCTGGTCGAAAACCACCTGTAATATAAAAATACAGACGGGATACAAAAGAAATGATAGGGAAAGATATTCCATACCAACACTAATCATAATAAAGTTATATAAAAAATTAATCAACAATACATAAGAATACAATATTATGTACACAATAACCTATAAAAATGCATGAAGGAAAAACTGATAGAACTGAAAGGAGAATTAGGCAATTTCAGAATTACAGTTGGAGATTTCAAAACTCCTTTCTCAGTAATTGATAAAGCATGTAAACAGAAAATTAGTGAAGATATAGTAGGTTTAAACGACACTATCAAATGAGTTAAATCAATTCACATTTATTGATTTTTCTGTCCTCAAATAACAGAATACTTTGTTTTTAATTTTCTGAACTATACGTGTAATGCTCATTAAGATAGGAGACATTTTGGCCATAAAACAAGTCTCAGTCAATTTAGAAGTATTGAAATAAAACAGCATATTCTCTAACCGTAATAGAATCGAAGTTACTTTATTCTATGTAAAGTTCTAAATGCCACTAACAAAAGGATATATAGAAAATCTCAAAATTTTAAAAATTAAGGTAGATGGTTTTAAATAACCAACGGATCTAAGAAAAATTGAAAATGAAATTTTTTGTTAATGAAAAGGAATGCACCTAAAGCAGTATTTATTATTTTAGAAAATAATAAAGGCCTAAAATCAATTATTTAAGTTTTCAATTTAAGAGAAAAAGAAAAACACCAGACCCAAAATAAGTACAAGAAAGTAAATAATGAAGTACTAAAATTATTAAAAAGGGATGAGAGAAATCAATGAAGCCAATACCTGGTTTCTCAAAATAGCAATAAAATTGAGAAATGTCTAGTTAGATTGAGCAAGAAAAAAGAGATGACGTAAGTTACCGTATCTGAAATAAAACAGGCAGCTACTTATCCTACATACATTAAAAATAATAAAAGAGGCTGGGCGTGGTGGCTCACACCTGTAATCCCAGCACTTTGGGAGGCCAAAGTGGGCGGATCACCCGAGGTCAGGAATTTGAGACCAGCCTGGCCAACATGGTGAAACCCGGTCTCTACTGAAAATCCAAAAAATTAGCCAGGCATGGTGGCAGGTGCCTGTAATCCCAGCTACTCGGGAGGCTGAGGCAGGAGAATTGCTTGAACCCAGGAGGCGGAGGTTGCAGTGAGCCAAGATTGTGCCACCACATTCCAGCCTGGTCGACTGAGTGAAACTCCATCTCAGAAAAAAATAAATAATAATAATAAAAGAATATTGATAAAAATGTATTCATTATATTTAAAAACATATACAATTGGTAAGTACCTTGAAAGGAACAGGCTACCAAAATTAATGCAAGAAAAAAATTAAATGTGTTTATATTTTAGAAACACCTGTAGGGCCAAATGCTTCATAGGTGAGTGGTATAAAACACTTAAGGCATGAATTATACTCATTTTATATAAACTCTTTCAGAAAATTAAAAAGGGCAAGCTTCTTAACTTATTTTATGATACTAATACATTAGTCTCCCCCTTATCTGCAGGGGTATGTTCCAAGACCCCCAGTGGATGCCCAAAACTGTGGGTATTACCAACCCATGTGGTTACTGTAATATGATTGTTCACATACATGCATACCTATGATAAAGTTTAATTTGCAAATTAGACATAGTGAGAGATTAACAACGATAATAATGGAACAGTATAACAATATTTTGTAATAAAATTATGTGGCTGTAGTCTCTCTTTCTCAAAATATCTTATTATACTGTACTCACCCTTCTTGGAATGATGTGAGTTGATAAAATGCCTACACGATGAGATGAAGTGAGATGAATGACATAGGCATTGTGATGTAACATGAGGCTGCTGTCATCTGCTTTGGGTGATCCTGGGTCATCAAGCCATGATGATGTTGATGGTTGGATGTCAGAAGCAGATGTTGATGTCTAACAGGTGGGCAGTTTCTACAGAATGGATCTGCTGGACAAAGGGATGCTTCCTGTCCCTGGTGGAACAGAGTGGGATAGTGAGAAGTTTCATCACATTACTCAGAATGGCATACAATTTAAAAGTTATGCATTTTTTATTTACCGAATTTCTGATTTAATATTTTTAGACCACAGTCGACCTCCAGTAACTGAAACTGCTGAAAGCAACACCATGGATAAGGGGATACTACTGTATTATCCTAATGAAAAACCAGAAGGTAGACATTATGGGAAAAGAAAACTACTTAATCATATCCCTCACAAACATTAATGTTAATATCTTTGGTATAATATTAGCAAAATAAATCCAGCAATATATAAAAATGATAATATGCTAAAACTAAGTGGAGTTTATCCAAGGAATGTAAAATAAGATTAATATTTAAAAATTAAGATTCTAGTTTTATCCAAGACTGAATAAGTTCACTACAGTCTAGCTCTGTATCCCACTCACTGAAATGAAAAAATTCTGGAAGGAAAACACACACACACACACACACACACACACACACACACACACCCATCTCTAGCTGGGAAGTAAACAACAGTAGACAGATGGGGAGGGAGCAAAAATTAATGAGTGACCATAAATGGGGTAAGGCTAAACCTCAGATATATCTCTTTTCCTGGACAATAAAGAATACTATAAGCAATTCTATGTTCATAAATTTTATAACTTCAATTGAAGGGTTAGCAAACTGTGGCCTTTGGGCCAGTTTAACCGGTTGTGTTTTTATAATTAAAATTTTGTTAGAAGACAACTACATGTTAATTTATTGTCTATCGCTGCTTTCATGGTACAACATCAGAGCTGAATGCTTGTGATAGAGACAGTATGATCTGTAAACCTGAAATATTTACTGTATGGTCCTCTATCGGGAAGATTAGTTCACCTCTGACTTTCTTTCAGGGTCAATCTTAAGTCAGATATTATGGAATTATTCTTGACTTGGTATCAAATCTATCAGCAAATATATTGGTTCTACCTTCAAACAGAATCCAGAACTCAAATATTCCTCTTTATCCTTACAGCTAATCTTCTGTTCCAGACCACAATTTGCTCTCACCTGAATTATTGCTGCGCATTTCTCTACGGTTTATGTTGGTTGGTTTGCTTTCTTCACTACACCTCTGCACTCCTTATTAACCACTGAGAAGCAAAACTGATTTGTTTGAAATGGAATTCTGCTCATAACCTTCCTGTGTCTTCCCAGTTTGCTTAGAGTAAAAACCAAAGTCCTTACAATGTCCAAAAGACCCAACATAATACTCCCATCTACTTAGCATCTCTACATCCAGCATTTGATATATCTTATTTCCTGCTCCAACTCATTTCCTGATACTCTTCCTGATTGACCCACTTTAGCTCCATTGGACTCTGAGCAGTTCCTTGAAAATGTCAGACCCTCTTCTGGTCAGGTTTTCAGCACTGTGCTTCAGATTTCTACTCAAATGTCATACGATCAGTGATATCTTTTGTGAGCACTCACAGTTACAGTGTTATCCTCCAAATCCCCACTCTCCCTTCACTTTACCTTGTTATATATTTTTTTCAGTATTCATCACCATCTAACAATAAAAAATATTTATTGATGAATATAGAAGCATATATAATACTTGCTCGAGAAAAAACATTTAATATTGAGAAATTTTTCAATATATATTCGGAGAAATACATGCTCCCCTGAATAGTCCCCAATTCTGTAAGTAAATTATATATATATATGTGTGTGTGTGTGTGTGTGTGTGGAAAAGGATGTATAGGTTTACCAAGATTTTACTTCTTTGAGGAAGAATGAGTGGTTTTGCTTTTCTTCTTCAACTTTCTACAGTTAGTTTATTATTTTATAAATGGGCCCAAATATTATAAAAATGCAAATGTATTAACTGAAAAAGGTGGTTAATTGAGAGAACTCTTTATCTTAGTCCTTCTGTTTGGCATTAGGAACAGATATTTATAGGGCCCTGAGTTCAGGGACTTCAAACAGCAGATATGTTTCCAGACAAGCTATTCTTGAATGTGTACTGCTGAGGAGGTACTTATTTTAAGGGGCTGGAATATGGGTTGAGGACATCACATTATCTGCAATTGTCTCTTTTTTTTTTTTTTTTTTTTTGAGACAGAGTTTCACTCTTGTTGCCCTGGCTGGAGTGCAATGGCGCGGTCTCAGCTGACTGCAACCTCTGCTTCCCGGGTTCAAGGGATTCTCCTGCCTCAGCCTCCCAAGTAGCTGGGATTACAGGCGTGAGCTACCACGCTCAGCCAATTGTCTCCTCTTTTTAAACCTATGTTTAGGTGTCTAATCATTCAAACTATCTTTCAGAGGGACGTAATTTTAATAATTTAAGATCATTCAAATGTAGCAATTCACACTCCACATTAATTTGATAATTACTTTTGACAAGATTACAAATTTAATTATTTAAATACATGACTAGACTTTTGACATGTGTAAACTGTGGATATATTATTCATGCCTCAAGTCGTCTTCCTGTTTTCATCAGGGCTTCAAATAAACCAAAGCCTTAACACCACGTGGATTGCTTTCACTTCTAAATATATCTATGTGAAAACTTCACCGACCACAGCTAAACTAGGTGTTATCAGCTAATTGTACTGTCAATTTTAGATTAACAGATTCCAGGAGAAGGTGGGAAAGTCTAATAACCCATGGCTGAGAAATTTGTTTACATTTTTTCACCTTCTGAAGAATTAGTGAGCATTGTCTTCAGAGATGTTCCAAGTTGAAACAGCATGTATGTCCTAAATAGAATAACAACTTTTTAAACAAAGTGAGTTTACTTCAAAGAAATGTACCTTTGTGAAAAAATAAATGGAATTGTACAATTTTAAAGTTCACTAGCCACTAAAATTACTTGTCACTGTATAGAAGAGTCATTTAGACGTCTCACTCATTTGGTTCCATAAGATCTGATATGAAAATACATCGCCAACTCTTGTTTGAATTCGAACAAATGGGTATTTATTTACTACACTACCAGCCACAGAATTTGATGACCCTAGTGTTACGGGAAGTAGAATTTCTAAAGTTTTCCTTGGAAAACTCTTTCTTGGTCTAATTTTTGCAGACACATACATTTCTTGGAAGTTTTCTGGCCGCTTCCTCTAATAAAGTGATAACTGCTATAATCTCTCTATCTCTATAGCCTCGTGGCATCTAATATCTGTTAACTCTTGTTGTTGAATAGTCTACAAATTCAGATGTTTTCTCCACAGAACTCCTATGTCCTGCCACAAGTCTCCCTTCCTCCATTGATTTTTGTGTTCATGGTAAAGGGGAATCTCCTGACTAGAAGTGTAAAATTAGCCAATTGTTAGAAGTAATGAAAATAAGTAGAATAGATTCCTTGTCCAATGTTGACTGGGAACCTAATGATGCTTTTGAAAGCCTGCAGGAAATAAGGGATAAGCTCTTGGCCAACAGACCTTGGAAGGGAGAAATAACTTCCATTGGCAGTTGGAACAGATGGTATCTTTATATATATATATATATATATTTTTTTTTATTATACTTTAAGTTCTAGGGTACACGTGGGCAACGTGCAGGTTTGTTACATAGGTATACATGTGCCTTGTTGGTGTGCTGCATCCATTAACTTGTCATTTACATTAGGTATATCTCCTAATGCTATCCCTCCCCCTCCCCCCACCCCATGAGAGGCCCCAGTGTGATGTTCCCCTTTCTGTGTCCAAGTGTTCTCATTGTTCAATTCCCACCTATAAGTGAGAACATGCGGTGTTTGGTTTTTTGTCCTTGCAATGGTTTGCTGAGAATGATGGTTTCCAGCTTCATCCATGTCCCTACAAAGGACATGAACTCATCCTTTTTTATGGCTGCATAGTATTCCATGGTGTATATGTGCCACATTTTCTTAATCCAGTTTATCATTGTTGGACATTTGGGTTGGTTCCAAGTCTTTGCTATTGTGAGTAGTGCTGCAATGATGGCATCTTAAGCATGACAGATTTCCCACCATTCCAACTAGGATCAATACTCAGTAGCATGAAATAAATTGGCTAGCAGTTGAGTGAGAATTCTGCCTATTAGTTTGATTTAGGTATTGGTTGATTTGCATAGTTTTGCCATGATACTTTGTTTCAGTTCATTACTTGTGAGTGGATTCAATAGCAACCATCCCAAGGATTGTGTGAGGACCAGCTCATTGACATGAAGTTGAAACTGGAAAGATTTGAAAAGAAAGAGCAAGTGAATTGAAGGGGCTAAACTACATCTCTATGTTGGCTTTCTTCCTCTGTGGATATTCAGATAAAGCAATTTCATAGGCAGCACTTTTCTGAAACAGAGAGTAAGTGAAGGAAATTGGCAATGTATATGGAAAAGAGACCAATATTTATCATGAGTTTACTTTATACCTAGTGTTTTTCAACTGGAATTCTTTTAATTCTTACTGCAGATCACACAGTAGGTGACAAAACCTGGCTTCAAATCCATGTTTGAATCTGAAAGCCATTCTTTTTATCTTTCAATTACATCGTGGATGGTCAGTCTTCCATTAGCCTTTAGCTCTTTTCTTCCTCAAAACATTATGCCTGAGCCCATTCTTAAAGGTTTTTCTCCTCAGGAAATTCTTGTGTTCTCAACCTGGAATACTGGTATATTATATTCATTGAATATAAGAGTTAATTGCATTTTAACTAAAAACCCAATAACAATGCAAAGAGATAAATTTCTAATGATGAATTATGAGATAATTTATTTACCTACTCATGCAACAATGAGCTATTCACCAAGCATCTATTATATGCCAAGTACACTGCTAAGTACTGAGAAAACAATAGTGAACAAAAAAATGACAGTTCTTGTTTCAAAGAGCATAGAGCTTCATAGGAACAAAGACACTGATCAAAGAACACATAAATTTATATTAAATTATGATTGCTAAGACTGATACAAAAAAAGTTAAAGGATGCTTATAATATTAGAGACTTGGGTTGCAGGTTGGGTTCCCTGGAAGCAGACTTCTAAGATGAAAATTAATGCCTAGGATGTTTATCAGGGAGTATTGTTGAGATCCACACTAGTAGGAGGAAGAAGAAGAAACAACTGGGCTAAGGTGGAAGTTGGGTTGTGATGCAGGCTCCATGAAGGCCTCAGCTGACCTACTGGGAACCATGATACTTAGATGAGCCTTTAGAGTTGCCTCAAGTTGGAATGAGGGTCCAGGTCTTTATATTCCACATCAGTTAGTCATTGGACTTCTGCTGGTTCAGAAGGGCAGTATTTTGATGACAGGGTAGAATGTATGGAAGTGGACACAACTCTTTCCTAAACATTTGGCTTAGGTAGGGAGGAGAAAGATAGAGAATGGCCGCTAGAGGGCAGTGTAGACCACAGTGAACTTTTATTTTCAATAGAAGTATTTGAGGCATGGTTGTATTGAAGAAGAGAGGCTGCATGGAATATTACTGGGGGAGATGCTTCTAGGTAGGCATTTTAAACATATCTCACCATAAAACAATCTTTGTGTATATCCCACTTTGTTCTTGACCTGGGTATAAATAAGTATGGTACACATAGACTTAAAACTTTACACTCTTAAATATTGTACTTCCTACCTTTTTCAAGATATTTACTGGTAGACCTACCTCAGTAAAGGAGGAAGATGAAGGTTAAACATGGTAGCATGAGTCATAGTCTGTATATGGGATAAAAGAGAAATGTATTTGGCATAGAATATTGGGAACAATCATTTTAGGATGTCGAATCGTTCTTCACAATCATACCAGAAGATGTGACTATTGATTAATCCAGAAATATAATTTTGTGCCTTTGCTGTAAGTATTAGAAATTTATCTGGTATAATTTGAACCAGCAGGTATGACTAGTCCCAAAAAGAGGAGGTCTCAAGATGCAACAGCTACTGGGTATGGTGATAGGAAATTACATCAGATATTAAGACTCAGGGTTAAGCTTATCAGTAATCTGGATGTATTTGGAATTGAAAGTAGGGAAATATGAATTTTAAACTTTATGACACTAATATTCTAAACATGTCGCTGTACCATTTAATTATAAGGTGCATTAGTCAGAATTCTCTAAAGAGACAGAACCAATAGGACAGGTAAATATATGAAGGGGAGTTTATTAGGAGATTTGACTCACACGATCACAAGGTGAAGTCCCACAACAGGCTGCCTGCAAGTTGAGGGGACAGGAAGCCAGTCCGAGTCCCAAAACCTCAAAAGTAGGGAAGCTGATAGTGCAGCCTTCAGTCTGTGGCTGAAGGCCCAAGAGCCCTTGGCAAATCACTGGTGTAAGTCCAAGAGTCCAAAAGCTGAAGAATTTGGAGTTTGATGTTTGAGGGCAGGAAGCATCCAGCATGGGAGAAAAATGGAGGCCAGAAGACTTAGCCAGTCTTGTCCTTCCACGTTCCTCTGCCTGCTTTCATCCTAGCTGTGCTGGCAGCTGATTAGATGGTGCCCACTCAGATTCAGAGTGGGTTTGCCTCTCCTAGTCCACTGACTCAAATGTTAATCTACTTTGGCAACACCCTCACAGACACCCAGGAACAATACTTTGCATCCTTCAATCAAGTTGACACTCAATATTAACCATCACAGGAGGAATTTGACTGTATCCACTTTCTCTCTGGGTATTCTGTTGTTTTCACCAAAACATTCATGGAGAAGGGCCATAGTATGTTTATTCATTCAACAATTTTTTTTTTTTCAATGTGTATTGTGAGATTGGCGCTGTGCTAGTAGCAGAACATAGGTTAGTAGGGGACAAAAGGATATAGAACTGTCTTGTGTGGGAATACAGACAATGGCATATAAAAGTATCAAGCTGTACTGATTGCTACACATGCTTTAAAGTGAATTAAGTGCCATGGTAGAGAATAATAGAGCAGGAATGACATGGTAGGTGAAGGAACCCACTTTAGACACAGTGGTCAGAAAAGATTTTTCCAAGCAGTTGACTCTTATGCTAAGACCTCAGGGTGAGATTGAGCCAGCTACAGGAAGTGGAAAAAGCATCCCACGGAGAGGGAACTGCATGCATGAAGACCCACAGGCAGGAGAGGCCTCGGAGGTAAAAGGAACTGAAGATGTCCAGGAAGACTTAAAAGATTGCAGAGTAAAGAAGGAGTCACATCACAAGAATCCACTGGGAGCCACATATCAGAAGCAGAAATTTTATTTTCAGTGCAATGGGAAGCCATCACAGGGTTTAAGAAGAAGGACCTCATGATCTGATCCACACATTAAAATGATCTTTCTGGCTGATTCGTGGAGAATAATTGTGGTAGCAGAAAGAATAGAAGCAATAGTCTATGTAAGAAATGATGATGGTATGGGAAGAGAAATGATTGGATTGAGTTATAGTTTGGAGGAAAAAAGTGGCAGAAAATATTAATCAATTGAGTGCGGGATGTTAATGGAGAGAAATAAATCCTGAATGACTCCCAGATTTCTAGATTGAGCACTTGGATGAACTACAACACAATTTACCGGAAAGGAAAAAACTTAGGAGAAAAAGATTCGAGGAGAGATGGACTACTAAGTATTCAACTGTGGGCACGTTATGCTTCAGATACCTATAAGCCATCAAAGTGGATATTTCAGGTAGGTAATGGGACATGTGTATGTTTAAAGATGAGAACAATGATCTGTGTGAGAAATAAATTTTGGAGTTGATGACACTTAAATGATATATAGTCAGAGTAAAGCATAAGATCATTTAGAAAAGAAAATGACCAGGGGAAAAAATGAAAATCCATCACAGAGCTCTGAGGAACTCCAAAATTTAGATTTCAGGTGGATGAAATAGAGATCTTGGTGCTGAAGTGAGAATTATCCTGGTATGACAACATGATATCTGGTTACATTTTCAAAATGACAGGAATGCAAAATAACAGTTTCCATTTATGAAGCACTTACTGTGGCAGCCGCTCCTCCAAGTGCTCTGCCTACATTGACATATTTTATCCTCACTACAATCTTATGTAGCAGGTACTACTGCTATCACCCTCATTATAGAGATGAGGAACCCAAAACCTAGAAAGAATAATTGCTATAGTCTGAATGTTTGCGTCCCTCCCTTGCATATTCTTGTGTTGAAATCCTAAAGCCCACGACAATAGTATTAGGCCATAGGGGATTTGGGAGGTGATTAGGGTCATGAGGCAAAGCCTTCATGAATGGGATTAGTGCCTTTATAAAGAGAACCAACAGAGACCTCTCACCCACTTCCAGCATGTGAGGAAACAGCAAGAGGGCACTATCTATGAACAAGGAAGGGGCCCCTTACCAGACTCTGAATTTACTTGTACCTTGATCTTGAACTTCCCAGTCTGCAGAATTGAGAGAAATAAGTTTCTGTTGTTTATATGCCATGCAGTTTATAAGATTTTGTTGTAGTAACCTGAACAGGCTGAGACAATGACTAACTTGCTTAAGGTTACAAATGGAGTCAAGATTTGGATGCAAGCAGCCAGGCTCTAGAGTCTGCTCATAATTATGTAACTATTTTGCCTCATAAAATGCTCTTTACACATTGTATAGTATATTATCCCAGGTAGCATAGGTTTTGAAACCAGGCTAAATCTAAGGATGCGCATAACTAGTAGCATCTTGGCATGGTTTGCTTTAAACAATTAGATAATTCACCGTAAGGGGAAAGAAAGCCAGAGTGCACAAGTATTAACCAAGGATAAAGTCTCATAATAGCATCTGTTTCTTGATAATTCTCTGACAAGTACAATGAATTCTGGTCCTAGTGATAGAAAGCTGCAAGCAAAAATGGGTTAGTGTTTCCATGCTCTCTCTCAGACAGTGGGAGCACGAGGCAAACTCTGCAACCAAGTGTAACACGGAAGTAGGTGTCTGTTCCTTCATTTCAGCTGAATCCACAGAGTGGTTTCTGGGTCTGGAGGGCTCAGGCATAGTGGCTGGGGCTTTCAGCCCTTGGATTCTTTGGGAATTTAGTGGTAGCAGATCAAGGAGACAGCGGCTTTGGTTATGGCAGCGTGTGTTCTACAGCAGCTTCATGGACTCTGTGTGAGCTTCGTATCATGTGGGAGAAACTTTATTGTGGATTTTCAGGTATCAGAAAGTTTAGAAGACATTCTGGGAGACAGAATAAGGGATAGAAAAAATAATATAAACCATGTGTGTCAGCTACTAAGTTATTTTTTCTTGGCTCCACATTCACCCTTGTAAATTCACCTCGAGTTGCTGGAGAGCAACTCTGAAACCATGTCTGCTTCCAGCTGGGTCCATGTTAGGCTCTGCCAACAGGAGATACCAGAGGGAGACTTCAGAGCTGTAGGAGAAAAGAGATTTTCTCGTTCATCTTTGCTTCCTGTGAACTTCCTGTCTGCTTGCTGTTCTTGGGGGTGTCACTTCAGCCTTACTTTTTTTTGCCCCAGCTACAGCAGCACCTTCCTATAGAAGCAGCTGAACCCAGATTGAAGTTTCCAGCACCTGAAGAAAAAGCTTCTTTGTCTTGTTCTTAAAAATCTGGGTCTAAGTTCTATGGTGCCCTCCTCCAAGCTCAGAGACACCAGCAGGCCAGCAGTCTTTCCTCAAATGGCTGAGTTTCAGCTTCACAGGATCCCTTGTAGGTTTTAATACTTCCAATCTCTTCCTTTTGTTCCCTGGCTTTTGGAGTGATAGCTGCCTCTTGCAGGTACTATTCTCATTATACTTTAGAGATCTCTTTTTATTCTTTGATTTTTCTAGTTATCAACTACTTATCTAGTTAAGGCATCTTTGTATTAAATTTTCCCTGTTCAAATAACTGATGTGGTTTCTGTCTCTTGCCTGGGCCCTGATGGATACATCATGTGTGTTGATGAGAATGCATTAAACCCACGGACAGGAAGGATACTGCCAGAAATGGTTGTGAAAAGAATTTACCTGCCATCTGGTCCTCTCCATAACATGACTATTTGCTTTCCTAAGGCTGTCAGGAGAATCTCTGTGGGTTCAAAGCTCTTTCTTCCAGAAGGGTCCAGTCCCTTTTATGGGATCACCTGGTTAGGTCAGGTTTACCTAGGATAATCTCCCTTTTGATTAACTCAATGTTGATTTACTTGGCACTTTACTTAAATCTGCAAAATCCCTTCAGCTTTGTCAGCTAATTTAACCTAATCATGGGAGTAAGATCCCTCATATTCACGGACCTACTCATATTCAGGGAGAGAAGATTATACAGAGCATGTGCAATGGGGGTGGGAATCTTGAGATCTACCTTACGATTCTGCCTACCAGAAAGACGGTAATTACCTACCAAGGTGAGTTGGCTTCAACCTCCTGAATCCTGAACATACTTGGGATCATCTGGGCATGGTTAATTTGTATGTTTCTCATTTAAGTATGTAGATTGGAAGCTACTTCAATCTAAGTGATCTCATTTACCCTTCCTCCAGAGTAGACCACAGCTGCTCTAGAACTGAATCGCGAGAGCACATGCTGAGTGAGTTGATTTGGCAATGGACGCATACTCCATTCTATCTGAACGCTAGTTGAAATGGTTTTTGCAATGGCATTGCTAAGCTGAGTTGAAACTAAAATGTTGCAGCTTGTGGAAATCCCAGAGGTGGCAGAAGCTCAGAGTGAATGATTACCTGAAAAGCCAGCATAACCTTTTGCAACATACATAAGTTCACAATATAGATTCATTATAATTTTTCGTCCAAAGTAATGCATATCTTCTATTACCATTATTAGTTTACTAACTAGTACCTTTTATATAGCAAGTATGCAGCAGATATTTGTTAAACCAAATTGCCTTTTCAGAATGGTTGCTTATATGTATCTGAACCAGCACATACACAATTAGAATTACCATGACCTTGAGCTCTCCCAAACTTGCTTTTAAACTATTAAAAGTATAAAAACATCAAATCGCTTTTGTCTAGATAATTATATTTCTGACTAAAGTGACCACTGTACCTTTAGAAATCATGCTCATTTGTCAGTAGCAAGTACTGTAATTATTCACTGTATTGTTCACAAGAGTGAACAACTTGCTTTTTGTCATCCAAAGGCTAAACAAAATAAAATTACCCAATAGCTCTGCAGTGAGTTGCTGAAGGTATTTCATTCCCGTGGTGCTTATGAGTAATCCCATGCATAGAAACAATACCAAAAAAGCATTCTTATCTTTTGAGACAACAATAATTTCCCATAGTTCTCAGGACTCATTTGGTCTTGCCACATTGTTTTCCAAAAAACATTGTTAGTTCCTTGGGTTATTAATAGGAGTTACTGACAAGAAGGTTTCTGTATTAGTTCATTCTTACACTGCTATAAAGAAATACCCGAGACTGGTTAATTTATAAAGAAAAGAGGTTTAATTGGCTCATGGTTCCACAAGGTGTACAGGAAGCATGGCAGCATCTGCTTCTGGGGAGGCCTCAGGGAGTTTTACTCATGACAGAAGGCAAAGCAGGATCAGGCATATTACATGGCAGGTGCAGGACTGGGGGTGGCGGAAGTACTAACACATTTTTAAACAACCAGATCTCGCGAGAACTTTATCACTATATAGTACCAAGAAGGCAGTGGTGCTAAACCGTTCATGAGAACTCCACCCCCATGATCCAATCACCTCCCACCAGGCCCCGCCTCCAACAGTAGGGAATTATGATTTGACATGAGATTTGGTGGGGACACAGATCCAAACCATACCAGTTCCTGTTGCATAGAATGTTGGGAAAGGTAGCATGCTTTGCACTGAACCTACACCCCACCAAAGGATCACAATTTAAATTAGCAATTAAAAAACTCTAAGCCTTCATAAAAACAGGTATTTCTCAGCTAACTTGTCCATAGACACTACTTTTACCCTCCTCAGTGGCTCTGTGGACATCTAATTGTAATCCAAGAAAATAAAGTTGCTGAAATACACTTTGAGGAATGCTAGATAGATTAGCAAGGCATTTAATAACAAGGGTTGTAATTATTTGTTCTAGGCAGAGTTCTTCTAATTGGGGTGGGTGAATTGGGAGAATAAACGTTGATTGAGCACTCGTTACAAATGGAACAGTGCACAACATCTCTTCTTAATGTTTAGCTGTTCCTAGAAGAGAGAGAATCTGAATCCTATTTTGCAAATGCAGATGCTGGGGTTCAAGAGAATAAAACGTCTACAGGCAGTCATGTAGCCTATCACATACAAGGTCTGGGCCCTTGGCACTACTTAACGTGCACTCTCATGTATAGAACCCTCAAAAACAAAATTGCTGACAGCACATTTTCACTTTTGTTATGAAAACATAGATTTCAAGAAAGGGCCCTGTAGAAGTTCTTGGAGAAAAATTAAGAGCCTATTCAAGTCTTCAAGTGAAGCTTTGAATATTGTAGGTTAGGCAGGGACACATCAATACTTTTATTAACTAGGGCCACTGAGGTTGAGAATGATGAGTGCTAGTTGAGCTGGATGTCAGACCAGAATACCGTCTGCCTTTTGAGATGAAATGACCACCTCCAGCTCCTAAAAAGAAACTGTTCCCAAGCTTTATTAATGTTCTGACTCCATCATTTGGATCCTGACTGGGTATGTGCCGCCTTGTGAGATTTTGATTAAAATTGTGCCTTCTGGAATTTTCTCCTTAAAGAAAAGGTAAGTACTCAACCAATCTCTGAAACATGCGTCAGCAATAGTTGATAAATACTTTAAAGATTTTATTTCCCTGAGATATACTGTAAGCAGAACAATTTAGGGAAATAATTTCTTAGGGGAAAAAAACTTATAGCTAGTTTACTGAGGACTCTGACGTATAATGGTAGTCTATATTTTGAGGACTGTCTTCTCTGTATTATATTTTAGGCCTTTTTTTGGAAAAATTGCTCTTGTGCTATAACCTGCTGGAGTGATTTTGAATAATAGTGTTAAGAAAAGGCAGTTTGTTGAGGTTCAGGGTTTTATTTGTTTCAGTTAGTAGGGAGAGCAGTATTAATATGTATTACAATTGCACAGTAAGAAAAACAGGATGTGTTTATTTTTTCCATGGGTATGATATATGATGTGGTTTCAAATCTCAAATGTTACTCAATTTCATATATACGGGCATTTAATCAAGATGGACTTTAAAATATCACATATGATATTACCAATTACTGTTACCATGAAAGGTGAGGAAGATTTCTTTAGTTGAATTATTTATAACCAAAATGGCCCAGATACAGGCTTGCTGCATGCTTTCTCCAGGAAAATGCCTCAGTCACCTTGTCATTGAATGACTGAGCCTTATTTCCCCTGTATTTCATTGTACTCCAACCAGCTCAGCCAAGCACAAAAGTGCAACCCCACAGACAACAGTTCATTGCACTTGGCAAGTCTTCCCATTAAGCAGGAATGTTTACCGTATTTATATTTGTGTATGTACTGTACTCATAAACATGCAAGCTGTACTCATTTCTGTTATGATTTGTGGCTTCTAAAATCAATCAGTCACCTAGATAACAGGCTACCTGGTTTCTTCCCATGCTATGATGAGGTATGAGTATATCTGTCTATGTGTATAGCTCAATGAGATTATTCTCATTTACTGCTACTCATTAGAATTCCTTAGCAATCTTAAAAAAGAACAAAAGCGGGATATTAACAGAACAATTACATCAGAATATCTGGCAGTGGGATGAGGGTATAATTATTTACTTACGTACTTGTTTTAGACTTTTTATTTTGGAATATCTTTAACATATATGTGGAAGTGAAAAAAATAAAATAATGAATCTACAGGATGATGTAACCATTGCTCAGCATCGACAATGTCTGATTCATTGTTAGACTTGTTTTATATATAGCCAACCCCACTTTCACTAACCCTTCCTTTGGGCTATTTGGATAGAAGTCCTAGCTATGACTTCATCTGAAAAATATCTTAGTGTGGATGTATGTGTAGTTAAAAGAGGATAATTCATTGAAAACTTGTAATACCATTAGGACACCAAAAGTTTAACTTACTTCTTTTGTATAATCAAATATCCTGTCAATGTTCGCACTTCCCAGATTGTCCCATATATTTATAATTTGTTGGCTCAAATCAGAATTCAAAGAAGGTATATTTATTGAGATCGGTTAATGTGTTTCTCACATCTTTTAAAATCTATAGCCTACGTCTCCATCTCTTTTTCTTGCAAAAAAGAGAGTGAGTCATTTGTTTGCAGTTTTCCAAAGGGTTAGGAATAATTGAATTTCTGTTACATCATTTCATGTGTTCCTCTGTTCTCTTTATTTCCTGTAAATTGATAGTTAGAGCTAAAAGCTTGGTAGAATTTAAATTGGATCACTTTGGAAAGATTGTTTTGTAAATGTTATTGGGCACACCCATCATTAGGCAAAATATTTCTGGTTGTTTCTCTTTTTGAGATATTAACAGCCTCTGATGATCAATGCCCAGACCCATTTTTGAATTAGTTTACAAAGTGATGCTATTCTAATTCAATTTTTCCTTTTACTTACTAGCTGCAATAGTTCATTCTATAATGAAGTTTTCCATCATCAACTATCTAATTACCCTGAGATTATATAGTTTATACAGTAAAGAAAGGAAAACTCCTTGATTCTTTTCTCTTATTTGCTAGTTTTCAAATGAGACCACATACCAGTTTCTTCCAATGAGGTTTAAAATTTGATATGATGAATGCATGAATTCTTAAATATGTGATATATTTTAATACTTGCAAATATTTTTCTTATTTGTGCTTAAATTGTCTCAACAATGGCCAGGGTATCCTCTTCATTTTGGATTCTGAGCCCTTTGGACACAATCCTAATAGTCACTGCTTTCTTGCTTTCTGGTATGAAGGCTCATCTTAAACATTCCTAAAAACAGCCATTTCTCTAAGAAGCCCTAGTTCCTTTTATGAGGAAATGTAATTAGAGACACAGATCTGATAGCTTGACATGCTCATTGTTACTAGATTGCTCATTTTAGAGCAGTTCACAGTAATATTGAGCAGAAGATACAGAGATTTCCCATGTACCTCCTTCCCCAACACGTGCACAGCCTCTCTTGTTACCAACATTCTCCACCGGAGTAGTGCATTTGTTACAATCTATGAACCTACCTTGACACATCATTATCACCCAAAGTCCATAGTTTACATTAGGGTTCACTTTTGGCATATAGTCTATAGGTTTGGACAAATGTATGATGACATTATCCACCATTATAGTATTATACAGCGTAGTTTCATTGCCCTAAAAATTCTCTGTGTTCTGCCTGTGTATCCATCTTCCCACTCAAACCCTGGCAACCACCAGTCTTTTAATTGGCTCTTTAGTTTTGACTTTTCAGAATGTCCTGAGGTTGGAATCCTACAGTATGTAGTCTTTTCAGATTGGCTTTTTTTCACTTAGTAATACGCATTTAAGTTTCCTGTATATCTTTTCATGGCTTGATAGCTCTTTTCATTTTAGTATTGCATAATATTTTACCTTCTGGATATATTACAGTTTATTCACCTACTGAAGACATCTTGGTTGCTTCCAAGTTTTGACAATTATAAATCAAACTGCTATAAACACTCATGTGCAGGTTTTTGTGTGGACATGTTTTCCACTCCTTTTGTTAAGTACCAAGGAGCTTGATTGCTAGATTCTATGGTAAGAATCTATTTAGTTTTGTAAGAAACTGCTAAGCTGTCCTCCAAAGTGGCTGTACCGTTTTGCATTCCTACCAGCAATGAATGAGTTTCTGTTGTTCCACATTCTTGCTGGCATGTGGTGGTGTTGTTTCTGGATGTTTACCATTCTAGTAGTTGTGTATTGGTATATCATTGTTGTTTTAATCTGCATTTCCCAGATGACCTATGACATGGAGCATCTTTTCATATGCTTCTTTGTTTTCTGTATATCTTCTTTGATGAGGAGTCTGCTAAGGCCTTTGGCACATTTTTTAATCAAGTTGTTTGTTTTCTTACTGTTGAGGTTTAAGAGTTCTTTATATATTTTGAATAATAGTCCTTTATTAGATATATCTTTGCTTTTTACAAATATTTTCTCCCAACCCGTGGCTTACGTTTTCATTCTATGACGGTGTCTTTTGCTGAACAGAAGTTTTTAATTTTAATGAAGTCCAGCTTATTATTTCTTTGATAGTTCTTGCTCTTGGTATTGTATCTGAAATGTCATTGCCAAACCCAAGGCCACCTAGATTTTCTCCTATGTTATGGGATTTTTATAGTTTTGTGGAAAATAGAAACATATTTTAGAACTCAGGAATATGGTGTTTTTCTTTAATTTTATTACCCTTACTTGTGAATCTTCTTTCTTTCATGCCAAAAATGTCAGTTTCTAATTACATTAATAGAGGGACTCACTTATTTGTCCCATATGGCACATCGAATTTTCTAAAAATTGTCACAAAAGTGTTTCCAATCCTGTGTGTGCATCCAGAATCTTGTTGCTTCTGCTTCCGGATGTGGAGTCAGTTTTCTTCCCTTGAAATTGGATATGACTTTCTGTCTGCCTCAGTGAATAAAAAGAGACAAAAACAACATTGTATGATGTCTGCATGGTAGGCAGGAGGTGATTCAGCTTCTTTTGGACTTTCTCTCAGAATGCTTACTCTTGGAAATAGCCACATGTTTTAAGGAAGTCCAGGTTCCAGAGAGGTCACCTGCAGACATTCTGGCCAACAGTCCCACCTATGATCTCAGCTGACAGGATCAACCACCAGAGTTGTAAGTGAGGAAAATTTTAGATGAGTCCATTTCCTCAGGTGACATGGATTGGAACAGAAATAAGCTATTTCCACTAAGAGCTGCCCAAGTATTTTTTTCAAGAGCAAAATTAATGTCATTTTGTTGGTATTAAGTTACTCATGCTTTGTTGCTTTTAAGTATAGCCCTCTCTCTTACCTTTTTAATTATATAGCTTTAGTGAGATATAATTTGACATAAAAAACTGTGGAATTTAAAGCACATAATTCAGTAAGTTTTGACTTGTACATACACTGTGAACCCATCAGGGCAATCAAGATAATGAGACAACAAATCAGTCCAAGAGTTTCCTTCCTCTCCTTCGTATTCTGTGTAATCCTTACTTGCTGCCCCTCCCTGGTTCTCACCCCTCTTTGTCTCCAGGCAACTATTGACTGGCTGTTATTATACATTAGTTGCATTTTATAGAATTTTATATTAATTGAATCATACATTATGTACTCTTTTTGGCCTGGCTTATTTCATTTAGCATTATTATTTTGAGATTCATCCATGTTATAGAGTTATCGATAGTTCATTTCTTCTTACTATTGAATAGTATTCCATTGTGTGGCTATACTATAATTTGTTTACCCATTCATCTCTTGATGAGCATTCAGATTGCCTCTAGATTTTGTTTGTTTGTTTATTTTTAACAAATAAGGTTGGTATGTGTGTTCATGTGCAGGTATTTGTCTGAACATCTGTTTTCATTTTTCTTGGGTAACTAGGGGTGAAATGGCTGGATTATATGGTATGTGTGTGCTTAACATTTTATAAGCTACCATACTGTTTTAAAAACGGTTTATCAATATTTTATATTGCTACAGGGAATGTTTAAGAATTCTAGGTAATCCAGGCCGGGCGCTGTGGCTGACGCCTGTAATCGCAGCACTTTGGGAGGCCGAGGTAGGTGGATCACGAGGTCAGGAGATCGAGACCATCCTGGCCAACATGGTAAAACCCCGTCTCTACTAAAAAATACAAAAAATTAGCCGCCTGTAGTCCCAGCTACTGGGGAGGCTGAGACAGGAGAATGGCGTGAACCTGGGAGGCAGAGCTTGCAGTGAGCCGAGATCGCGCCACTGCGCTCCAACTTGGGCGACAGAGCAAGACTCCGTCTCAAAAAAAAAAAAAAAAAAAAAAAAAAAAAAAAATTCTAGGTAATCCACAGCATCACCAACACTCGTATGTTGAGTTGTTTTTAAATTTTAGCCATTCCGTTTGATGTGTCATGATAGCTCATGTTGGCTTTAATAGGCATTTCCCTAATATCTAAAGATGAACATATCTTCATGTGCTCATTTGTCATTTGTATATCTTTTGTGGTGTACTGTCTGTTATAATCTAGTGCACATTTATTAAAATTGAAGTTTTTCCTTCTTATTGATTTTTGAGTTGTTTGTATCCAGATATAAGCCCTTTATCAATGTCATCATATTTTAAAACCATGCATTTTGAAGTAATATATGATGCAAACATAGGAATCAGGATATCCCTTACCACACACACAACTGCCTAAAAGTAACAATGCGAACGCTATCACCAAAAGCATGATTGCTTTGTTTGCCAATGTGAATGTTTTTCCTTTTATAAATTAATCTCATTTTATATTTACTGATATGATCTGTATGTTTGACCTCTGGTTCTGTAATATTGGTTTTCATAATGATTATGTATACATACCCTTTCACTGTGTATTCTATTTTATGTACTTGTGTTCTCTCTCTCTCTCTTTCCTCCTCTCTCTGGCTATTTTTTATTTGTTCCCTCCTGCTAGAATTTTTGAAATTTCCTAGTACTAACTTCTTTTCTGTTCCCCCCGCCCGCCCCCAGCATCTACAGGCACACCTCCTTTTATTGCATCTCACTTTATTGTGCTTCCCATATGTTGTGTTTTTTTTTTTTTAACAGATTGAAGGTTTGTGGCAACAGCGCATGGAGCAAGTTTATTAGCACCATTTTTCCAATAGCTTGTGCTCACTTTGTGTCTCTGTGTCACATTTTTAAAAATTTTTGCAATATTTCAAACTTATTATTATATGTGTTATGGTGATCTGTGGCCAGTGATCATTGATGTTACTATTGTATTTGTTTTGGGATGCCACAAGCCTTGCTCTTATAGAAGGTGAACTTAATGAATAAAGGTGTGTGTTCTGACTGCTCCACCAACCAGCCATTCCTTTATTTCTCTCCCTCTCCTTGGGCCTCCCTATTCCTTGAGACAGAACAACATTGTCATTAGGCCAATTAATAACCCTACAGTGGTCTCGAAGTGTTCATCTGACAGGAAGAGTCATATGTCTCTTACTTTAAATCAAAAGCTAAAAACGATTAAGCTTAGTGAGAAAGGTATGTCCAAAAAGCTGAGATAGGCCCAAAGCTAGGCCTCTTGTGCTAAACAATTAGCCAAGTTGTGAAGGCAAAGGAAAAGTTTAAAGTGCTGCATGTAAATGATGAGAAAGCAAAACAGCCTTTTTGCTGATATGGAGAAAGTTTAAGTGGTCTGGATAGAAGAGCAAACCAGCCACAACATTCACTTAAGCAAAAGCCTAATCAAAAGCAAAGGCCCTAACTCTCTTCAATTCTGTGAAGATTGAGAAAGGTGAAGAAGCTGCAGAAGAAAACTTAAAGCTAGCAGAGGCTGGCTCATGAGACTTAAGGAAAGAAGCCTTCTCCATAAGATAAAAGAGGTGAAACAGCAAGTGCCGACATAGAAGCTGCATGTAGCAAGTTATCCAGAAGATCCAGCAAAGATCGCTGATGAAGATGGCTACATTATAGAGTAGATTTTCTATATATTAATAGATTAAATAGCCTTCTGTTGGAAGAAGAAGGCATTGAAGACTTTCAAAGCTGGAGGGAAGTCAGTGACTTCAAACCTCAAAGTACAGGCTGACTCTTGTTAGGGGCTAATGCAGTTGGTGGCATTAAGTCGAAGCCAGTACTCATTTACCATTGTGAAATTCTTCAAACCCTTAAGAATTGTGCTAAATCTACTCTAGCTGTGCTTTATAAATGGAACAACAAAACCTGGATGACAGCACCTTCTGTTTACATCATGGTTTGCAGCAGTATTTTAAACCCACTGTTAAGAACTACTGCTCAGAAAAAAAAAAGTTTCCTTTCAAAATATTACTGCTCATTGACAATGCACCTGTTCACCCAAGAGCTCTGATGGAGGGGTATAAAGAGATTAATGTTGTCTTTCTGTCTGCTAACACAACATCCATTCTGCAGCCCATGGATCAAGGAGTCAACTCAACTTTCGAGTCTTATTATTTAAGAAATACACTTCATAAGGCTATACCTCCCATAGATAATCATTTCTCTGATGGATCTGGGCAAAGTAGTTTGAAAAGCTTCTGGAAAGGATTCAGCATTGTAGATGCCATTAAGAACATATGACACTAACAGGAGTTTGGAAAACGTTGACTTCAGTCCTCATGGATGACTTGGAGGAATTCAAGACTTCAGTGGAGGAAGTCACTGCAGATGTGGTGGAAATAGCAAAAGAACTAGGATTAAAAAGGGAGCCAAAAGCTGTGACTGAATGGCTGCAATCTCATGATCAGTTTTGAAGGGATGAGAAGTTGTTTCTTATGGATGAGCAAAGTAGTTTCTTGGGATGGAAACTTTTCCTGGTGAAGATGCTGTGAACATTGTTGAAATGAAAACAAAGGATTTAGAATGTTCTGTCAACTTAGTAGATAAAACAGTGGCAGGGTTTGAGAGGATTGACACCAATTTTGAAAGGCTTTCTACTGTGGGTAACATGTTATCAAGTAGCATGGCATATGACAGAGAAATCTTTCATGAAAGGAAGAACCAACTGATGTGGCAAACTTCACTGTTTTATTTTAAGAAATTTCCACAGTCACCCCATCCTTCAGCAACCACCACCCTAATCAGTCAGCAGCCATCGACATCAAGACTTATCACCAAAAAAAAATTACAACTGGCTCAGATGATTATTATTTTTTAGCAATAAATTTTTTAAATTATATACATTGCTTTTTTATTCATAATGCTATTGCCCACTTAACAGATTACAACATAGTGTAAATGTAACTTTTATATGCACTGAGAGACAAAAAAAAAATCAAATGTGTCTCATTTAATTTGGATATTTACTTTATTGCAATGGTCTGGAACCAAACCTGCAATATCTCCAAGGTATGCCTGTATTTGAAATGTCCTTTACTCCCAGAAGGCAATTTATGCAGAAAACTTTATTGCAGAAGGCAATAAGTAAGTTCCTTCTCTTTTCATGTCTGTTCCTGTTTCTCTGTCCCTGTTTTATTATACCGTCAATGTGTAGCCATCATAAACTTTAGTTTTTCCACTATAGCCATCATTTTATCTTAGTTCTATAGATAAATATATAGTTAATATTCACTGTCAGAAATTATGCCAGTTTTTTTCTAGACATTTGGTTATCTGAAACTTTCTTTAGAGAAATAGTGCTTTCTCTTTTTTGCGAGGGTTGTGGCTGTAGTGGTTTGCTTACTTGGTAAATTAATAACTGTGCCCTTTTTACTTGGAGTTATGTTTGGCTGGATGATACACTAGTTCACATTTTCTTATGTATGTTGCCTCATTTTGTTTTTGATATAATGCTGAAATGTCTGATGACAACCTGATTTTCATAGAAGTGACTTGGAGGCAGGAGTGCTAGACATTTTTTCTTTTTATTTAAAGTCTGATGATTTTATCAGAATATGCCACGGCCGTGCTATGATGATTTTCCCACGTATGTGGTATGCCTTTTCCATGTGAAGTTTCAAGTCTTCTTATTTTTATATCTTTAAACTTCATGGAAGTTTTCTTGATTGATAATCTTCGTATTTGTTCTCTGCCTTTGCTTTGCTTTTCGCTGGGGATTCTTAGTACAATGTCCAATCCTTTTTGCTTATCCTCGATAGCTATATCTTTCTCAAGAATAGTTTAGATCTTTTTCAGTGTTTCTTTTTGATGTTAAAACATTTCTTCCTTTCACTTTCTATTTTTCTTAAGGCATTATTCTTTATGTTCATTTACTTTTGAGTGACTTCAAGTTCAGACTTCATTTCTAAAATGGTTTTTTCTTTTATGCTCTTTCTTAAATTTTGTCACCCTATCTTTTCATGCTTCCCCTTTTCTATTCACCTCATTTCCAGGTGTTTCTACTTCTGTTTCATGCTGTTATTTAATAGTTTCTATTACTTTATTATAAATCCTTTCACTTTTTTAGAAATATTAGATTCTGCTCCTTATTGATTAAAAAACACCTTTGTATGGGATTTAATCACATTCCTTTTCTTTTGTTCATGCTTAAAACAAATAAGTTCCTGTATATTTTAGACAGAAAGGGTGGTCCCGGATAGCTTTTCTAGATTCAGGGCTTTAGCACTATCTTATCTGTTGTTTCCATGCGGTGACTACTAGTAGTAATCATAATGGCTTCAGTGAATTCTGAGATCTAACTCCGGTGCACCCTTTCCCCACTTTCATCTGAATTTTCTTTCCCTTTGCTTTATTGTACCTGTCCTATTCAAATGGCATTCTCCTCAGAGTGGGATTTTGTCTTGGGAGGTAGCTTCCCTTTATTCATTTTGAAAATTCACAGGGCTTAGCTTGCCGGTGCCACATCTAATCTTACACTGGTCTCTGTCCCGCACAGTCGTATGGGGCTACTGAAAGCTGCGCTTGCTTCTGCAGCGGTTTCCAGATTGGAATACACTTTTTATTTATTATTTTTAAAATTTTTCTTTAAGTTCTAGGGTACATGTGCACAACGTGCAGGTTTATTACATATGTATACATGTGCCATGTTGGTGTGCTGCACCCATTAACTCGTCATTTACATTATATACATTAGGTATATCTCCTAATGCTATCCCTCCCCCCTCCCCCCACACCATGACAGGCCCCGGTGTGTGATGTTCCCTTTCCTGTGTCCAAGGGTTCTCGTTGTTCAATTCCTACCTATGAGTGACAACATGTGGTGTTTGGTTTTTTGTCCTTGTGATAGTTTGCTGAGAATGATGGTTTCCAGCTTCATCCATGTCCCTGCAAAGGACATGAACTCATCCTTTTTTATGGCTGCATGGTATTCCATGGTGTATATGTGCCACATTTCCTTAATCCAGTTTATCATTGATGGACATTTGGGTTGGTTCCAAGTCTTTGCTATTGTGAATAGTGCCACAATAAACATACGTGTGCATGTGTCTTTATAGCAGCATGATCTATAATCCTTTTGGTATATACCCAGTAATGGGATTGCTGGGTCAAATGGTATTTCTAGTTCTAGATCCCTGAGGAATCACCACACTGACTTCCACACTGGTTGAACTAGTTTACAGTCCCACCAACAATGTGGAATACACTTTTAAAATAAGTGTTTGTTAGCACTTTGAGGGCCCTCCAGTTCTCAGAGCCATTAGGAGTTGCTTTGCTTTCTTGCCGTTTCTCTCGCATGGTGTGGACAACGCATGGTTTTTGCTACTGGTGGTTGTATCCACTTTTTTGTGTATATTTTGGGGTTCTTATATACTACTGGTTTTGTTGTAGCTGTTGCCTGTGGGTGTTTGCATCTATTCGCCCAGTTGTTCTGCTAGATTTAGTTGGATGGGGGAGGAGGGACTTTGGGTGTTTAAAAATCAGGGAGCCACTGCTGCCATTTTCCCCACATCCTTGGCATTTCTCTTTCACAAGTGTCCCTGGTGATTATAAAGTGTGGCCAAAGTTGAAAAATGAAAAGATCTGAACCCTTGCTCTATCTCTATTACTTTGTGGCAACGTTAACTTTTTAAAGCCACTTAAATTTTCTTATCAATAAAATGAGCACAGCCATACCTGTACTGTCTTCCTCATAGGGTTGCTGTGCTATACAAGATTCATGCATGTGAAATTCTTTGAAAATGTAAAATTAGATCAAATCTATAGTGTTAGCAGTTTATGCTTAAATAAACACTGGATATCGATAGCTCCAGTAAACACACCTTTGATCCCCATGATCCAACATGCTTATATACTTATTGCAGAGGGAAGGGGAGGGGGTGCTTATGTTTCTTACTAAAGAAACTTAAGCTCTAGTATTACTTTGAGACACTGGTCTCTCTTTGTCCAGAAAGGTGTTTCTCAATGTGTGTTCTTGAAGGAGAGGCCTGGAGGTTGAGCTGCTGGGTTGTGATTCATCCAGAACTGCCTTCCCCTTTTTCTGTTTGACATGTATTCTCTTACAGACAATTGTGTTTATAAAAGAGTTCCTCAACAACAATGACAAGAACAACAACAACAGTAATATACTAGTTTAGAAATGTGCTGGATAAAGGCAATCCCTAGTTTATGTAGAGATGATGAAGCAAATTTTTATTTCCTCTTTGGTTGTTGGGAATGCTATGCATTTTCTATCAAACACACATATTACATGCTAGCTAATCCCCAAGCTACCCTTCAAATGATATTGAACCCACAATGTAGCCAAACTACATGCTTGTAACATCGATCTAAGTATACTCTGTGGTATTCTCTGATGGCAAGGAATAATATGAAGCCGAAGATAAAATGGAATTTTTTTTTCTTAACAATTCCTGGTACTCTGATGATTTTAGAACAAATTTTAAGTAGTAAAGTTTTAATTTTCCATCAATTTACCTTTCTTTCTGTGCTCCTCTTCAATACCCTAGGCCCCTCTCCTCCCGGCCTCTAATGACTTCAGCCTACACCTGTGCAGCATTTTAACAGAGGGCAGAACAAAGGTTTGGGCCTCTAAAATGATTTACTGACCTCCTCCGGCCCCAGACTACAGTCTCTTTCCCACAAAGCAGCTGATCTTTGTCAGCCATTAGAAAATTAATGTAATTAATCCATTCACACTCGTGAATGACTGATGGCCCATAACCATTCTGCAGCTATTAATATTTTAAAAAGATGATGCTTGGATTGCTAATTGGGGAATGTTGAACACTGTTGCTAAAAAATGCAAAGGAAAAAAGCCACCAAAAACCAAAACATCGGCCATAAAAGGGACGAAGTTTGCACAGATGAGCTAATAGGTGGGTCCCTGGGTTAGGACCACTGTTAAGCATGCAAGCTGTGCTCTGCCGATTTCCAGAAAGTGCTTCCGTTACGAAATGTGCCCTGAAGAGCTGAGTCATTCAGTGGCCTTATTAGAGTAAAAGTCCATCACACATGTTATTGCTTTTTTCTGTTTTATTGCATAGTTTCTTCTATTCTATTTCATCTTCACATTACGTTTCTCCCCAAATGGTAGAGCCAGGTCACTTGTAAATACAGGTTTACACACCAGATGTTTTGAATTGGGGGCTGTCTGTAGGCCTTCTTGGACTCTCAAGTGGGTCCGGTGTCAGAAGCTGCCAGTTGTCTTCCCCAACATCCATTCTCTCATTTTCTTTCTTTCTTTCTTTCTTTCTTTCTTTTTTTTTTTTTTTTTTTGAGATGGAGTCTAGCTCTGTTGTCCAGGCTGGAGTGCAGTGGTGCAACCTCGGCTCACTGCAAGCTCGGCCTCCTGGGTTCACGCCATTCTCCTGCCTCAGCCTCCCTGGTAGTTGGGAATACAGGTGCCCACCACCACGCCCAGCTAATTTTGGTTTTGTATTTTTAGTAGAGATGGGGTTTCACCGTGTTAGCCAGGATGGTCTCTATCTCCTGACCTCGTGATCCACCCGCCTCAGCCTCCCAAAGTGCTGGGATTACGGGTATGAGCCACATGCGCCCGGCCTCATTTTCTTTAATTAATAGAATGCTGATATGTTGGGGGTACAGGCAGTGTGGCTACAAAAGGCTTACATTTCCTAATATTCCTTGTGGATAGATTGTAGGCATATGTAAGGAATACTAATACATAAGCAAAAGTGTTGTATGAGTTTTCAAGAAACACACTCTACAAAGAGGGGCAACCCCTTTGTCTTTACTCCTTGTCTTCTGCCTATGGGCTGGAACTTGGACTCGACAGCTAAAGATACAGTAACCATTCTAATGAGGCAGACAGATAAGAGCCAGTGTTCTTGATGGCAGTGTGAAGCCAAAATACCAACTCTGGTCAATGCATATGTGAATAGCTTTTATTTGAGAGAGAAATAAACTTCCGTCTTGTTTAATCCTCTATTTTCCAAGTCTTACTAACAACCAAACCTATTACTATTATAAGCTCCTAACTCACCATTTTACTGGAGTCAGGGCACTATTCCAATGTCATTTATAGTTAAAATAAATGGCTTTAATCCTGTTTTAAAATGTATAAAGTTTTAGTTTAAACTGTTTATTCTACCAATAAATTAACTTCTGAAAGCTGTTAAGACCATAGAAATTCTTTCTTATTCATACTTAAACTACAACAGGAACGCAGAGGGATGTCTAATTTATTGCTTCTCAGTTTTCAATATGTATTTGAATCATCTGAGAATGTTAGTAAAATCCAGATGCTGATTCAGAAGGTCTGGGATGGAGCTGAGACTCTACATTTCTAATAAGCGCCAGGTGATAAGCAAGGCTACTGATAGGCACCTTGGATGATCTGCATTGAATCACACAGGGGGTCTCCCCTCATCAGAAATTCTGAAAGTGGGGATCAGAAAGCTGCATGATGAATAGACATTACATAAAGTTCTTAAAGAGAAGTTTAAGAATCATAGGTATGGCACATACATTGTTATTCGCAAATTTCAAACAGCACAGTAGCATTGGAGTCTGGGAGAGAATTTGTTTCCTTCTTTAAGAAGAAAGAGTAAATCGCCTTCCAATTTGGAAAAGATAACCTCTGTTTTTAACTTACAGTGTAC
Organism: Homo sapiens; assembly: GCF_000001405.40. Lineage (NCBI taxonomy): Eukaryota > Metazoa > Chordata > Mammalia > Primates > Hominidae > Homo > Homo sapiens. Next base: position 34,117,903 of record NC_000002.12, read on the forward strand.
AGAAATCATCACAGTTTTAAACTTCCAGCTTCTTTCTTGCCCATAGTGGAACAGAAGGGTCAGCCTCTGAAAAGAAGAGCCAGAAGAGAGATTCTCTTTGTCTCTGAAATACTTGCTCAAGTGTCTGATTGGGAATTGGAGGAGGCTGAGAAACATTCTTTAGGTCAAATAATGCACTGTTACCCTTAAGGATTATTTGAAATAAGACAAAATCATAGAGATCTGCTTGATCTCAGGGTTATGTTAGATTTTTTTTTCCCCAGAATTACATCACTTGTAGAGTTTATGGTCTGTGGGCCATTTCTCTGGCTGGATAATCAAGCTCTTTGAATAGGGTCAAAATCTGTACATTCAAGGTAAAGTAAAAAATTACAGCAGTCATCCATATTGATTCAGGCAAATAAGTTTCCCTGGAAACATTCAGAAATTATGAGAGAAAAAGGTTTCTTTTTTGGTTTCAGTAGTTTGTAGAAATACCTTGAGACTCTCACATGCTTTTGTGTATAAATTCAGTCATGTATGATTATGCATACACAATGAAGTATTTTTCTTCTGAGTAATGTTTTATCCTTTCCCTGAATAAATACCCTCTCTGAAAATCTTCTTTGATTTTAGTTTAAAAATGGGCCTTTGATAATAAGTTCTGATTTACTTGAGGTTTTCTTTATGCATTTTTTTGTTTTTGTTTTTGAGACAGAGTCTTGCTCTGTGGCCCCGGCTGGAGGGCAGTGACACAATCTTGGCTCACTGCAACCTCCACCTCTCAGGTTGAAGTGATTCTCTTGGCTCAGCCTCCCAAGTAGCTGGGACTACAGGTGTGTACCACCATGCCTGGCTAATTTTTGTATTTTTAGTAGAGATGAGGTTTCACCATGTTGGCCAGGCTGGTCCCGAACCTCTGACCTCAGTAATCTGCCCACCTTGGCCTCCCAAAGTGCTGGGATTACAGGCCTGAGCTGCTGCATTTGGCCATCTTCTTTATGTGTGTATGATGCATTATGTTTCTTGTTTACCTCTCCCTTTTTGTCATTGCTTGGTTGAGTGAGGCTTCTTGCTGTTTTTTCCTAGCTTCCCTCCTCTGTTTGTTGGAAAGTATATGATCCATCTTATTCTTTTAGTGATTACTCTAGCTATTTTAACATGCATATTTGTGAAAGTCTAGAGTTAGCTAATATTTTTCTTTTCCTCCAGAATTACACAAGCATCTTCAAGTATTTAACTCTGATCTTCACCCTTACTGCTTATGTGTCATTGTTGTTCAGTGTTTTAATTTTCCCTGTATTATTGCTACCCGTGGCTAATTATTGTTGCACTCGTTGAGGTTGTTGTTGCGGTTGTTGATTTATGCAGTCAATGTTTGTTTAGATCTACCCACTTATTTTTCATTGTTACTGTTGTTGATTATTTTTCTTCTACTTTTAAATTTCATCTGGGATTTTTTTTTTTTTTTTTTGGTCTGAAGTATACCTGAGGAATTTCAGATAACGAGGGGCTTTTGATGATAAATTCTTTGTTTTTCTTTGTGTAAGAATGTCCTTATTTTGCTTTTATTCTAAAAGTTCAGTTCCCCCCTTCCCAAGTTGCATAGGGATGAGACAGAGGCAGGCCCGGATGAATGCTGCACACACAGTGGATCTATGTCACAGCTGAGAATGGTGAGCCCAAGAAACTCTCAATCATATAAAGGCATCTCTAGCAAGCCTGCTCATCCTCCTCTCTGGGGACACACACACACACACACACACACACACACACACACACACACACACACCCCAGAGAAGGGAAGGAGAGGTCTTTATTTTCCTGAAATATTCCAGGGAGGGAAACATTATTTATCTTCACTTTCGTGAAATACCTGTCAATTCCTGGATGTGGAGAAACATGAGAGATTGATGGAGAATTGTCACCTAAGACATATGTTCAATTCATTACAGTTATAAAGCATTTCCACATCTGTTATGAGAATTTAAATGAGAATGAGACTGGGATTCTGTCCCTCACAAATCTGACAGCAGGTTGAAGGGGGGAGACAAGGGAAACATTCAGAATGATTTGATCCAAAGGAAGTTACCTGTTTCTAGGACTTGAGATTTATTTCAGATGAGTAAGATTAGAGAGAGTAAAAATGAACTTAGCCCAAGCAAATAAATGTTACAAATGTCTACTGAATGGATGAAGTTTTCAAAACTTGAAAAAAATAAAAAATTTCGATAACGTACTCAATCTAAATATCAATTTAGAATTATGATTTTACAAATTAATTTTTATTGACAAAAGTTGTATATATGTATGTTGTACAATATGATATTTTGAAGTACATATTCATTGTGGAATGGCTAAATTAAGATAATTAACATATGTGTTGCCTCATATTTTTTGTGGCGAGAACACTTAAAATCTCTCTTGGCAATTTTCAAGTATATACATTATTTTTAACTATGTATTATGTCACCCTGTTGCACAGTAGATGTCTTGAACTTATTCCTTCCGTGCAAGTGAAATTTTGTACAGAATTGTGATTGTAAGGGATGGAATTTACTATGGCCAAATAACTGTATACTGAAGCTATTCACTGTTTAGATTGTAAACATAAGCATATGTTGGATATTAAAACTGAAAAGTCTTTGATAAAAATGGATAGTTACATGCATATGATCAATAATAATTACCACAGGTTATTCAATAGATATTTAACTACTGTGCTGAGGTAGACTTCAGTTGTTTTGCTAAGTCTAAAAAAATCTAAAAGAAATAAGACTAAATCCTTGACCTTGATGTAGGCTTGCAAGACTAAGACCTTAATGGAGGTGAGTATGTGCATGCTAGTGGTAGAAGGGCCACTGTAGATAGAAGGTAGTGAAGCTAAGAATGACAGTACCATGTGTCTATCATCTTGTGAAGGCACGGCTTTAGGCAGAAAACTTAAACTACCCTCTTTTGATAGGGATGCTAGGGAAGCAGCTTCATTGCCTTGGGATTTATGCTCTGAGAAGAGTGAATATCCAGACGTGAACCCTTGAGTGATGCCATGTTTCAGTCTGCAGCTTATTAGACAAGATCTAAGAGGGTGCAAAAATTACACCTCTGATGTGAACTTCAGAGATCAAAGCAGATCATCTCAACCAGATTATGTAGACGTTTAGATGTTCTTTGTTTTTTTTAACCCATGAACAGTTAATAAAATCAACTGTTAGTGTTCTAAGTTTGACCAAAGTGCTCTAAGGGATCTTAAGGGAGAAGATTTCCATTCTTGAATCGGAATATCAAAGGGTGAGTAACACTTTCTAAGAATTGTGTTGTGCTCGTAGCAGTCCCTCAAGAGATTATTTCCCAAAGAAACCATGAATGCTTGACTTGGCACTACACCAACCAGACTTCCCTCTGCTTCTAGAAGTTCCCCTTTTTAAGACCAAAACTTGCTGGGTGTGTGTTTTTATAAAAATGTATTATCTTCTCTGCAGTTTCAAAGTATGATATCATTAAATAATTTAGAAGGCAAAGAAAAAACAAAAACCATCAGATCTGGTTAATAGCAGTAGAGTGACAGAGCATCTGTTCTTTTCCACGAACTGTTATCCTGTCAGAAACTCCTCATTCCTCAATCCTCACCTCTTTAACTGTGGTAGGTGCAGTAATGCCACTCTCCACAAAGATGTACATGTCCTAATCCCCAGAACCTGTGAATGTGTTACCTTATATAGCAAAATGGACTCTGCAGATGTTACAAAGTTAAGCATCTTGAGATGGGCAATCAGTCCTGGATTATTCAGGTAATATAATCAGAAAGGACCTTGTAAGAAGAAGGCAAAAGAGTCAAAGTAAAAGAAAATGATCTGATGATGAAAGCAGAGAGGAAAGACAGAACATGTGATGAGAGAAGCAGAAGTTGGAGTGATAGAGTTTAAAGATGGAGCATGAAGCCACAAGCTAAGGAATGGGAGGTTGCCTCTAAAGCAACCTAGAAAAGGCAAGGAAACTGTCAGAGCAGAAGGAATGCAGCTCTGCCAACCCTGCTAGTGGGTAAGACCCATTTTGGACTTCTGACTTCCAGAACTATAAGAAATTAAGTTTTTATTACTTTATGGCACCAAGTTGGTGGCAATTTGTTACAGCAGCTCTGGCAAACTCAAACAGTAACCATGCTGTGCTTCCTGGCGGAGTGGGCCTACTCCTGTCTGACCCGTGATCATTCATTACAACAATCTCTGCTATTATTACCAAGAAGAAATTTGAACACAGGAAACCTGACTGAAAAGAAAGTAGGAATGAAGAGGTGAGCATGATATAGTACGATGGCTTTTTCACATTAATTTATGAGGAATGGCCTGCTAAAAATATTTTTCATATTTGTAATTGTCAATTATATGAAAAGCACTCTAAACGTTACATTTTGCAAACTGTATTTATAATTATATATTTAATACATTTAAAATAATAAAATTTTGTCTACGTGTGACTCTTCTAAAAGTTCCAGCCTGTATATAGGACGAGAAAATATTTTAAAGCCTGAATTATTCAATTAAACTAAAAATTTCCAGGCTTTCATTTTGTAATGCCAGGTTACAACCTTAATTTAAAATTCTCTATCCATTCAACTTTTTGCAGATGTGTATTTTCTCTATTTTTTCATATGCAGGAAAATGGCTTTGCTTCTGATCAGTACTATGGAGAAGAAAAGCATTTTGCTTCATCCATTTTGTGAGTTTATATTTTGGTGTCAGAGATAACACTCAAGGACTTGGAGTTCAGAGTATCAGTCACAGAGCAATATTTTCTGAAAAAAATTAAAAGCGATTTTTTTTCTCACAGGGAAAAGAGAATACATAGAGTATGCAGGGAAGACAAAGAAGGTATGTAGGAGGGGGTGGTGTTAATGGAAAAGCAGTTGGGAAAACAGATTAGAGTAGATCATAAGTGACCCCCAAGTCTAAGTTCTGGAAATAGTTTCATGAATGAGTGTCTTAGTTCAAGCCCAAAAGCCATAGATCAAGTGGTTTACATCACAAACATCTATTTCTCATGGTTCTGGAGGCTGGGAAGTCCAAGACCAAGATGTGAGCTGATTTGTGTCCTGATGGGATCCCTCTTCCGGTTTGCAAATGGCTGCTTTCTTGATGTATCTTCATATGACACAAAGAGAGATCATCTCTCTTGTGTCTCTTCTTATAAGAGCACTAACACTATTATGAGATATTCACTCTTAGGACCTAATTATCTCCAAAAAGCTTTATCTCCAAATACTATTGCACTGGGGATTAGGGCTTCACCACATGAATTCTGGGGGGACATAAACATTTAGTCCACAGCAATGAGAGTATAGTCATAAGCAATCTTAATGATATTTGCGGTGTTGTTTGTTCTTTTGTACATACTTAAAAATCATGTATCAAGGTGATTGTATTGTTTTCAAACTCTTACATTCCACAGTTTTAACTAGGAAACAGGGGAGACTGCAATGTCTTAAATTAATAATGAGTTTTAATTTATAATGTATCACTGAATGGTTGTGGGACTCGTAATTCCTTTACTTATCTATTGCTGATGATTCTTTAACTTTTAGAAGTTTCCAAATTTTGGTGTGTATGAAAACAAATCACCTAGGGAGCTTGTTTAACTGACTCTTACTGGATATGTTTGAGGATGAGGCCCTGGTATCTTAATTTTTAGTAAATACCTCAGGTGATTTTTTGGGTGGTTGTTCCACAAACCACACATGAAACAGCAACACCGGTCTCCCAGCCTCCACCCCATGCCCATTCTCCTGAAGGCAGCCTTCTGAAGTTGGGATGCAAAGCCTGTTGACTTGCCACATAGAGGTGGTTCCTATACCAGCAGCATGAATATCACAGGAGAGTTCCTTAGAATTGTAGACACTCAGCCACATCCCTGACACAGAGTCAGAATCTGCATTTTAACAAGATCTTAGACTTGAGTGCAGTGGTGGAATTGTTCACAAGCACATTTAATTTTGAGAGGCACCATCCTCCTAGAAATTAATCAGCCTCCCCACCAGTGGTTCTCAATCCTCTAAGGAGCTCTGAAAAATTACACAGATTCACTTCAGGCTCACTGACCCTTCAGCAGTACAGAGGCAGGAAATAGCTTTTTAAAAAAGATCCAAAGTTGACTCTTGTGCACGCCCTGGTTAAAAACAATTGCTCCGTAGGGCTTCTTGGCAAGTCAGAACATTTGTGATGACAAAAATCACACCAGATCACTCTGAAATCTCAGTTTTCCTTTGTGATGTGACAGCCTAAATTTCAGAGCAGACATTTGTATTACCTCAGGTAGCCTTTGTTCTTTTCAGCTTTCGCGTCCTAGTTGTCACACTGGGAGAACTCAAAGAAGTCAGAGAGTTTTCATCTCTGTCTTGCGCCCTCAGGGGAAGGCTGATTTATTCCCAAGTTCTGCCTCTTTAATTTTTTTTTTTTTAAGTTGAAGGCTGTACTAGTGTAGGTCAGCAATTCATAATTCACTCTGAGACTGGGGAAAGGACTTTGAGGTCCTCATTTTCTTTAGGACTTGAGTGGTAGTTTGTTAAAACTCCAGAGCTGTCAGCCTTCCCTATAACTGTGGTCCTTATAAATATGAGGAAATAATGAAACTTTATTAAAGGACAATCCAGGCATGAATCCTTAACTATTTTATTTAATGGATCTTGTATTAAAGTAACTTTTGAGACACTCTGAGGTAATTTTTAACTCAGCCATTTGTGAGGTAGTTTACTGAAGGTATTTTAGTTGATAACTGAAAGGAACTCTGAATTATGGCCTTAGTTCAGATATGTCCTTAACGACCTACCAACCAACCTTTCATAGGTAGGATCTGAACCAACCGAGGGCAATCAGATCTTTGCTTGATGGTCTGTGGCTGAATCAACTTGCTACTTTTCCTGAATCCTGGAAAAGATACAGGAAATTGGGACCGATTATTTGAGGAAGTTCTGTTGCTGGTGAGGAAATTCTGTTGAGTTCTGTAGGAATTTTTATAGCTTGTTTTGCATTCAGTTCTATCAACAAGCCAGCAGCAACTCAAAGGGAAGCCTCCTTCTGGCATATCAATCACACAGGCACATAGGATCATATAGCATATAGGATCAGTCCCAAGAAGAACTATGGGGTGGGGGAGAGGTTTTTCTTCCACTTCTTGGATTCAGTGACTTTGAGATGGACCTCTTTTTTCCTGTGGACAAAATGTCATCACACCAACATCTTATTGCCCATGCTCTTCACCTTGTCTATGTTTTGGAATGGGACCATGCTTAAATAAAATTGCTTCTTTCCATGATAATGCATTTTGGGGCTGAGGAAACTATATGCCTTTTAAGTAATCCTTGCTTTGCCCTAGCCTGCTCTGCCCCTCCAAAGTCCGGCCTCAGCTCATAGTTTAGAAGGCATTAGTTTTAAGCTGAGGAGTATTAGAAAGTAATCTTTATGGTAAATGGTTTTTCCCTAAAGGAGGTGGCCTACTGATAAGTGAGAGAATAATATCCATTGGGCCATCTTGCCACCTAGGGGAACCCATTTGCTTTGAAAATAAGAAACATCTCTTTCAGCAGGCGGTGATTTTCTTCAAGGATTTTATAACAAAGATAAAAATTGTGGTTGACAAGTGTGATGGTTAATATTAGGTGTTGACTTGGTTGGATTGAAGAATGCCTAGATAGATGGGAAAGTATTGTTTCTGGGGGCGTCTATGAGGGTGTTGCAGAGGAGATTAACATTTGAGTCAGTGGACTGGGAGAGAAGACCCACCCTCCATGTGATTGGGCACCCTCCCATTGGCTGTCAGGGCAGCTAGAAAAATCAGACAGAAGAAGGTGGGATATATTGGTGTATTAGTCTGTTCTCACACTGCTAATAAAGCCATACCTGATACTGTTTAATTTATAAAGGAAAGAGGTTTATTTGACTCACAGTTTCACATGGCTGGGGAGACCTCACAACCATGGGAGAAAGTGAAGGAGGAGCAAAGTTACATCTTACATGGCAGCAGGCAATAGTTGTGCAGGGGAACTCCCATTTATAAAACCATCAGATCTCATGAGACTTATTCACTACCATGAGAACAGTGAACAGTGCTGGGGAAACTGCCCCCATGATTCAATTATCTCCACCTGGCCCCACACTTGACACATGGGAATTATTACAATTCAAGGTGAAATTTGGGTGGGGACAACACAGGCAAACCATATCAGTTGGCTTGTTGAGTCTTCTGGCTTTCATCTTTCTTCCATGCTGGATGCTTCCTTGAGCATCAGATTCCAGGTTCTTTGGCCTTTGGACTGTTGGACTTACACCAGTCATTTTCCAGAGGCTGTCGGGCCTTTGGCCACAGACTGAAGGCTGCACTCTTGGCTTCCCTACTTTTGAGGCTTCTGGACTCAGACTGAGCTACTACTGGTTTCCTCCTAAGCTTGCAGGTGGCCTATTGTGGGACTTCACCCAGTCATTGTGTGAATCAATTTTCCTTAATAAACTCCCTTTCGTATATACATATATCCTATAATTCTCTCCCTCTGGAGAACCCTGACTAATACATAAACTTAGTAAACAGGGAAGTTTTCGTGTTACGTAATAAGTGAAATAACATGCAAAGTAGCCAGGAAAGCAGGTCTCTGCTGCATCATATTGATAAATGTGTTAGCATTTAGCCTGAAAAGGAACCTTTGCATATGACTGGTTATGAGACTGAAATGAGTTGAAGGAAGGAATAGGCACCAGGAGGAGGATCCTAACTTCACCACCAAGGTTAAGGATGGCGGCTCCTCTTCTGTGAAACTTTACCACGTGCTTTTCACAGCGGTAAGCCTCATATACTTTTTTGTCAGATTGGAATATCACTAGTGATTTTGTGCTCATGAAGAAGTACCTTGATTTTCTGAAGCTGTGATTCAGCAAATTATACTTGGGAGTCATCTAGTTTCAGTCACTTGGACCATGATTATGTCATATTATAGCAATTTTTATCAAGGAGTGGAGTGACCTGGTACAACACTTTGTGTTAACTTATTGCTGACTTATGTGACTACTTTGTAAGAGAAAAAGTAAAAATGTAAGGAGAATTTTGCCATTTTTAATATTTTGGCATTAGACAGTCTTTTCGGCTCATGAAAGTTGCTGAAGACTTAGAGAAATAGGTCTCCCTTCACAGTCAACACCAGGCCTGTTTCTCAGCCTATAGGACCTGATGCCTTCTGTTTTATCTCATAGATTTCCTGGGGCCTTCTTGAAAACTCCTTACCCACTGCTCTTTGGATCATGGCAACTGACATAGGATCCATTTGAATAATTCTACTTTCTTGCAGCAAGATTCCTAAGGCATAAATAAGAACTACTCTAAAAATCATATTCTTATTTCTGTCTTTATTTCTTAACCCTTATTTAGGGACATAGGTCTTTTGGAGCTGTATAACCCAGAATGAGTTGAAATGCCCAGAAAGAAGAGTGATATAGTAGAAAGAGCAGGGTTTAAAAACCAAATACTTGCATTTGACCAATTTCCTACCTCATATTTAACAGCTAGGAGAAACTCAAATTGTAATCAGAAGGGGGTATGTCTCTCTGTTCACCATAGCAACGCTAGGGCAGAGCAAACATGTAGAATATGATCCTTTGGAAAGATGTGTTGATTAGTTGACTAATTGACTAATTGGAAGATCCCATGAGATGTGTATGTAAAAGCACAGGAGAGGAACTAAATGAATGTTATTTACTTTACTCTTCTGGTTTGTGGGTGGTAAAAATCATTGTTTTCTGTGAACGTGCATCAGCCATGCAGTCCTGGTGCTCAAAAATGTCAGGGATCAATTTGTTCAGTAGCCGGTGTCCAAGGAGACAAAGTCCAGCAGGAGTCGTTGAAGAGATAGCATAGCCAGGTTTTTTTTTCTTTTTCTTTTTCTTTTATTTAAGTTTTAGGGTACATGTGCACAAAGTGCAGGTTAGTTACATATGTATACATGTGCCATGTTGGTGTGCTGCACCCAGTAACTCATCATTTAACATTAGGTATATCTCCAAATGCTATCCCTCCCCTCTCCCCCCACCCCACAACAGTCCCTGGTCTGTGATGTTCCCCTTCCTGTGTCCATGTGTTCTCATTGTTCAGTTCCCACCTATGAGTGAGAACATGTGGTGTTTGGTTTCTTGTCCTTGCGATAGTTTGCTGAGAATGATGGTTTCCAGCTTCATCCATGTCCCTACAAAGGACATGAACTCATCATTTTTTATGGCTGCATAGTATTCTATGGTGTGTATGTGCCACATTTTCTTAATCCAGTCTATCATTGTTGGACATTTGTGTTGGTTCCAAGTCTTTGCTATTGTGAATAGTGCCGCAATAAGCATATGTGTGCATGTGTCTTTATAGCAGCATGATTTATAATCCTTTGGGTATATACTCAGTAATGGGATGGCTGGGTCAAATGGTATTTCTAGTTCTAGATCCCTGAGGAATCGCCACACTGACTTCCACACTGGTTGAACTAGTTTATAGTCCCACCAACAGTGTAAAAGTGTTCCTGTTTCTCCACATCCTCTCCAGCACCTGTTGTTTCCTGACTTTTTAATGATCGACATTCTAAGTGGTGTGAGATAGTATTTTTTTTCTTTTTGTTTTCTCTTCATATGACACATTTTCAATTTCTTACCTAATCTTGGTTTATAATGACATTTTTGGAGGTTGGAGGGGAGAACTCTAATCAACACTATAGATACAAAAACTATGTAAAAATAAGGCAGATGTAGCTCTTTAATTTGACCCTTTCTGCTTGCTTCCATTTTATCTTTTTGTGTGTGTGCTGCCAGGGTTTCAGTCTTTACAAATCGAGAATGTAGAATACTAAGCATTCTGACAAGCTAAACCCACAGCATCAGTTACTAGCTATCTTTCTTCTGCTATCACTGAGCAGTTATTGAAGACTCAGTGTACAGGACTGTGCTAATTAGTGTATAGACTATGCAAACAAAAATTAGCATTGTAGAAGCAGTGAACAATATTAAGAGTGCTGCCGATCTGGATTTCTTCATTCCAGAAATGAGAATCTTGTCTGCAACGGTCTCCCTATGAAAATAGCAGGAGTTCTTTAATTAGAACTTTAGGGAGGCAGAGAAACAACTTGTTGGAAGTGACTAAATGCATTAGTTGTGAATAAATGAAAATAGTATATAATAGGCTGGGGGTACAATTGCTCAAGCCTGTAATCCCAGCACTTTGGGAGGATCACCTGAGGCCGGGAGTTTGAGACCAGTCTGAGCAACATAGTGAGACCTCATCTCTACAAAAAATAAAAAATAAAAGATGCATGGTAAATACATTTGAAACTATTCCTCCAGGGAGTATTGTAATAATTTTATTTATTATCCAAACATCATCTTCTGTTGAGCTCTTAAGGTAAAATTGCTTTCTCTTTTCTATCTTTGTTCAGCTTCTCTTAATAGTTTGTGGGGTGAGAGGTTAATCTTGGGTATATATGTTTAAATAGCTGAATGTGATCAACTATAAAGAAAAAAAAATATTAGAGCCTAAAAGTATTTGGTCAGCCAGATTAAGAAAAATCTTGTATCCTCAAGTATTCTGTTTCATCTCTTTTATGAGAAAATAGGCAGTTGTACTGAATTTGAAAAATGCTTGTTACATGCACGTTCTTACAGTCTGTAGGCTAGTTTAGTGATATATGCAGCTGTTGAGTCAAACAAGAATGACTAGAAAAAACTGCTGAAGCTCGATCAGTAATTGTGGATTAAAGTTAGTGACAACTAGCCTAAGGGTGGTTGTTGATAGTCCTAATGATTATTCAAAAGCATTGTAAAGCTTTTGAAGAATCTTTTTAATCTCTTCATCTCTCTGTTCTATTACTAATAAAATGAGGGGCTTTACTTGGATGAGGACAATACATATTTTATAGATTTGTATGGCACTTTACAGTTTACTAAGTGTTTTTACATTTTTCCTTTCCTGAGGTAAATTAAGGCTTTTTTTTTTTTTTTTTTTTTTTTTTAAGATGGAGTTTCGTTCTTGTTGCCCAGGCTGGAGTGCAATGGCATGATCTGCAACCTCCGCCTCCCAGGTTCAATCAGTTCTCCTGCCTCAGCCTCCCAAGTAGCTGGGATTACAGGTGCCTGTCACCATACCCAGCTAATTTTGTATTTTTATTAGAGATGGGTTTTCGCCATGTTGGCCAGGCTGGTCTCGAACTCCTGACCTCAGGTGATCGACCTGCCTTGACCTTCAGAAGTGCTGGGATTACAGGTGTGAGTCACCACACACAATCTTGGCTCACCGCAACCTCCGCCTCCCGGGTTCAAGCGATTCTCCTTCCTCCGCCTCCCAAGTAGCTGGGTTTACAGGCATGTGCCACAACACCCAGCTAATTTTTTTAAGAAATTTTATTTTTAGTAGAGATGGGGTTTCTCCATGTTGGTCAGCCTGGTTTTGAACGCCCGACCTCAGGTGATTCACTGCCCTCGGCTTCCCAAAGTGCTGGGATTACAGGCATGAGCCACCACACCCAGCCATAGGGGTGATTATTTAAATAAAGAGAATAACAGCTGTGTGGGATCTTGTGGTGGGGGCGAACAGATAGGGCAGCAGGCTGTTTAGGAGTGATTCTAATAATTTATTGTGCAGATTTGTATCAGGAAAGGAGACTCTCGAAGAAATAGTGGCGTTCAACATTAATGCCATTGAAGCCCTGGCCTAAATTCTTGCAGAGAAAATTATTCCCACTTTTAGAACTCACCTTGAACTTCACAATGACTGGAGAACCCACTTTACCAGTCTTTTAATAAAGCAGGTACGTTCAGTTTGGCCAATTTTACAGCATTTCCATTGTGCCTACTATCCAGTCTTCTGGCTCAGTAGAGCAAACAAATGGAACTATTAAAATACAGTTGGCCAAATTTATGGAAACCATATACCTTCCTTGGCCTAGAGTTCTTCCTTTGATATTAAATTTTAGAGCCACTCCCTTTAGAGCTCAGAAACTTTTAGCTTTTGAAATAATCACAGGCTCTCCTATATACTTCACTCCCTCTATTTTGACTCTCAGTTAACAGCAAAGAGACATACTTCAGTATTGCAAAGACATTATTAAAGTGATGGATAAAAATCATACTTTGGTAGAACAGTCTTCCCACAGTACTCTCCTGGGAGACAAGGACCTACAGTACCGTGATCTGTAACCTAGTGACTTTGTCTACTAAAAAAGGCACCTACATAAGGATTCTCTCAAACCACATTGGAAGGGCCCATATTCGGTCCTTTTCACCAGTCCCTATGCTATCAGACTCAAAGACATTGACTCTTGGATTTACATCTCTTTTTTAAAAATGGTCCCTACTTCTGACTGAAGCAACTCTCCAACAGGTGATTTAAGACTAAAATTTACCTGGAATTGAAGCAGATGATGTCTACAGTAGATCCCTATTTCAGGATGCCTAGATCAGGTCACTGTATTCTTTCCCTTTTATTATTGATCTCTTCTTATATGCCTTTATTTTCCTGGAAAGACAATGCTCTAATTTGCACTTTCCAATCTATTACAAGGAGGCGGCATTACTGACTGTTGGATTTGTTACCAAAAACCTTGATCTGTCATGATATAAGTAGACCTTTAGTCTACCCCATAACAGATTTTGTTAATGTTCCCAATGTAACTGTGGTTCCAATTTTGTATCCAGTCCTTTGTAAAAAGTCAAACTTTTGGACCCAGATATTGAGATTCCTGGCTTCACCCTAACAGTACCAGCAGTCTACATAAAAGACTTTGGAATTAGACTAAGATTGTGAAAGTAAAGGTATGGTATTAAGATTCAAGAGAAAAACAATTTGACAGATTACAAAAACATTGATGATCCTGGTCTTCTAATTACTGATAACCTCAAACAATGTAATAACTCAATAATAGAACCTTGGATAAATACCACTGACATCTCCCTATGAGTAACAATTAATACACAAGGTACTCCACATAGAATTAACTGTTATGTTTCATCAAAATACATTTTTATTTATGGAGGATTTAACAGTCAATCATAAGCATGGACAACATCATGTCTCAACAAATGGAAAATAAAATGCCAGTGTGGTTTAAGATATTTCCGGATTCAACACAAATTAACAAAATCTGAACATTGGTTGGTACCTTTTAACTTAACACCATTAAAAGATATACCTTACTGGGAGACAGAAATCCAGCGGGATAGGCCTCAGCTGTTTAGATACTTTTTCTCTTGGATTGCAGTTAACCACTTAAAAACAACGATCAGAAATTTATCTTTTTTTTTTTTTTTTTTTTTTTTTTAGGTCAGAGTTGCTTTATTACTACTCTGTAGAGGCAAATATGGGATAAAGCTCTCTTTTTCAGTATCAGTGTAATCTTTGCAAAAATAGAATTTAAAATACTGTATTAGACCACTCCTAAGACACTATAACAATATTTTGAGGCAGTGATTAAAATTACATACAGAAGTTAGTAGCTGGTACAGTGTCACTATGAATTTTACCTGTAAATGATAGTATGGACTCATTTCCTTTGCTGAGTGATTTTTGTTGTTAGAAAAAAATTCTAGGCCGCTTATTTGGCAGTCTCTCTTACCCAGATGAATTCTTTTTTTTTTTTTTTTTAGTATTTATTGATCATTCTTGGGTGTTTCTCGAGGAGGGGGATTTGGCAGGGTCATAGGACAATAGTGGAGGGAAGGTCAGCAGATAAACAAGTGAACAAGGGTCTCTGGTTTTCCTAGAAGGAGGACCCTGTGGCCTTCCGCAGTGTTTGTGTCCCTGGGTACTTGAGATTAGGGAGTGGTGATGACTCTTAACGAGCATGCTGCCTTCAAGCATCTGTTTAACAAAGCAAATCTTGTACCGCCCTTAATCCGTTTAACCCTGAGTGGACACAGCACATGTTTCAGAGAGCACGGGGTTGGGCGTAAGGTTATAGATTAACAGCATCCCAAGGCAGAAGAATTTTTCTTAGTACAGAACAAAATGGAATCTCCTATGTCTACTTCTTTCTACACAGACACAGCAACAATCTGATTTGTCTATCTTTTCCCCACATTTCCCCCTTTTCTATTCGACAAAACTGCCATCGTCATCATGGCCTGTTCTCAATGAGCTGTTGGGTACACCTCCCAGACGGGGTGGCGGCCGGGCAGAGGGGCTCCTCACTTCCCAGAAGGGGCGGCCGGGCAGAGGCGCCCCCCACCTCCCTGATGGGGCGGCTGGCCAGGCGGGGGCTGCCCCCCACCTCCCCCGGACGGGGCAGCTGCCGGGCGGAGACGCTCCTCACTTCCTAGACTGGGCGGCTGCCGGGCGGAGGGGCTCCTCACTTCCCAGACAGGGTGGCTGCCGGGAGGAGGGGCTCCTCACTTCTTAGAGGGGGCGGCTGCCGGGCAGAGGTGCTCCTCACATCCCAGACGGGACGGCGGGACAGAGGTGCTCCCCACATCTCAGAGGATGGGCAGCCGGGCAGAGACACTCCTCACTTCCTAGACGGGATGACGGCCGGGAAGAGGCGCTCCTCACTTCCCAGACTGGGCATCTGGGCAGAGGGGCTCCTCACATCCCAGACGATGGGCGGCCAGGCAGAGACGCTCCTCACTTCCCAGACGGGGTGGCGGCCGGGCAGAGGCTGCAATCTCAGCACTTTGGGAGGCCAAGGCAGGCAGCTGGGAGGTGGAGGTTGTAGCGAGCTGAGATCACGCCACTGCACTCCAGCCTGGGCAACATTGAGCACTGAGTGAGCGAGACTCCATCTGCAATCCCGGCACCTCAGGAGGCTGAGGCTGGCAGATCACTTGCGGTTAGGAGCTGGAGACCAGCCCGGCCAACACAGCGAAACCCGTCTCCACCAAAAAAATACGAAAACCAGTCAGGCGTGGCGGCGCACGCCTGCGATCCCAGGTACTCGGCAGGCTGAGGCAGGAGAATCAGGCAGGGAGGTTGCAGTGAGCCAAGATGGCAGTACAGTCCAGCTTCGGCTCGGCATCAGAGGGAGACCATGGGGAGAGGGAGAGGCAGAGGGAGCATGAATCAGAAATTTATCCTTAAAACTTGGGTCTATAGCAGATTCCATACCTAAGGCTATTGTAGCTCAATAAACTTTCTTAGAATCTCTTGCTAAAGTGGCATTGGATAACAGGATTGCCTGGATTAGTTATTAGCTGAGAAGGTGGTGGTTGTATAATTGCTAACACTGCTTGCTATGCATGTATGAATTCCTCTGGGAAAGTAGAAACACAATTATACAAGATAAAAGAAAACCCAAGCTAGCTGGCTCCAACAAATCTCACCAGATACATCGGAACTTTTTGATCTGTTCAGTTGGTTGCCTTAAAATTTAAGTTCATAATCTAGGACTATTCAAACTGGATTTATTGTATTGTCACTAATGACTTTTTGCATTTTCATATTAAAGTTTTTTTTTTTTTTTTTTTTTTTTTTTTTTTTTTTGCCTGACCATTCTTTGTAAAGCCAGCACTCCCAACAAGATAATGTTAGCCCAGTGTCTTGAGATGATTGCTAATACCTATGGGTCTAATACAGTGAAACTCAATGTTGAACTCCAGGCAAAGCTGCAATGAGAAAGATTTTCCTTTTGGCCTCTCTTTTGCTAAATGTGGCCCAGGTCCCTGACATGGACTCTCATACCTAACCCCCAAAAGTAGGACAGAGGAAACTCGGACAGGTTCAGACCCTGCAGTGAGGGACAATTACGCCTAACCTCAGAATAGTTAATCAGTGACATTTTGAGAGAAAGATCTTGATCAAAATGGGGAAATGTGAAATTTGATTATACAAACTGGGCTATTCTTGTCATACCCAACGAAATCAGAGTTGAAAGGTCAGGGGAGAGAGCAGTCTGGCGCACATAGCACTTGGTCCAAGAATGATCCACCAGCTTGGCTGCTGAAATGGCCTGCTGTAACCTTAAGATCAGTTTTACCTAGTGGCTGCTGATACGGACTAGATGTGTGCTGTGACGTTAAGACCAGTTTTACCTACCATTGTCATTCACTAATTAAAGAGTGTCAGGTCCCCAAAACTTCACTAGTGCCACTGAGCTTCCTTTCAAATGTGTAACATGTCCCTTTCTAATAGAACTTCCAACCTTTTCTTTGTTCTTCAAACATGCCAAAGACCATGCCATTCTGTATGTATGCCCTAAATAGTGATTCTGTTTTTATATGCATTCCCAAATGAAACACTTTGCATAGTGATTTGTTTCTATATTTTTATTTGACTTTAACAGCCCCAACTGTCGCTAATGGCAAAGTCAAGAACTCTGTCTCTGTAGGGTGATGATGCTTTGGGAACCCAAGTGACGTTGCCTCCATTCCTTTTATTCCCCTCTTCGCGTTAGTACTTAAGGAGCTATCTCTTTATCTCCATAACTGTAATGTGCAAGTAAAGGATAGATTTTTTTAAATCAAAAATATACTAAAGAATATTCCAAAGACAGCAGTTAAATATGCTTTTCTATCAAAATGACTAAGTGGGTCCCAAAGGGAAAAGCTTGTTTTCTTATCTCAGAATTCTGGTGAAAGAAACAAAGAATGCCCAATTAAGATAAATATTTCAGTATTTTATCTATTTGTTCCTATGCGGTAAAAAGGAAACTCATAGATAAAATATAGTATTCATATCACTAAATGTATACTGATCTTAACATTCCTTTCCCAAAGGATTCTAAATATCTTTTGTCCAATAATTCTTAAATTTTGTACAGTTTCACAAAATTAGGAAAATAGCCCAATATTTATAATTTTCTTTTTGTAACTTCTGGAAGTGACAGTTATGCTGAACGTGTTCCTAGAAATCAATGCTGTAAAACATTTTCCCATATATAATATTAAAGATGGAAATCATATTTCTTATCTAGGTTCCAGTAAGCCATAAATCATACCCATGACCCAAAACATTTAATAAAATCTGGAACAACAAGCTATCACCATAAATATTTAATAGGTGGCTTTTATTCTTAGAAAAAAAATATAGAACATTAGACTGTATAAGAAATTTTCATTTTTACTGGTCCAAAATGGTTAAATAATGGTATTCTTTAATAGTTTGACCTGTTCTAGAAAACATATGTGAAGCTCACAAAAACAGAATTTTGATAAGTTATAAATTTGGTCACAACCAATATATTATCTTAAACATGTTTTTGAACTTTTGTTTAAAAATAACATTGCTTGCCTGATTTGAAAAGTCTCTTTTGGGAGAATCTGGGTGACAGTCCTAGCAAGTTTGCACTGATCATTCTTTTCCTCACAATTTTTGTTCCTGTAGTGAACAGAGCATCAAAATTCATTCTGTTGACCTCAATTTTGTGCATAAAATACCAGCAGCACAATTGGTGGTATTGTACATGAAGTTTTGATGATGCTGTTAGTGAAAAATAATATATATGAAAGTGTTAGTATAAGCATTAGGAAAGTATACAAAGATATAGCAATATAAATTTTATTGAAGCATTATTTATTATAGTGAAAACATGAAAAAAAATGCCAGAAGAAAACGATTAGCAAAATATGTTACAGTACAAGGGGCAGGTTTATAGATATCAAAAAGAATGCTGTAGAGACTATTAATATTGGAAAATTATATTGTTAAGTGAAAAACATAGATTGCAAAACAATGCAGCATAAAAATCCATTGATATACATAGGTAAATAACAAAAGGGTATTCAACAATGGAATTGCTAATCATTTTTCTAGTTGTATGTATTGTGTTAGTTTCCTTCTTTTGCCAGTCTGAATTTCTAGGTCTAAAAATTTTTTGAAGAATATGTTTTATCTTGATATAAAAAGGTTTCTTTATTTGTTATAAAATAACATGTTCTCATTATAAAAAGTACAGAATGGCATAAAGTAAAAATACTCCATCCAGATACCTCTCCCATCTGGATTTCCTATTTCAATTCTTTTGAGCAATTGCTTTTAAAATTTCCTTGGGTTTTCTTCAGAAAATCTTGATATTGTTTCATACCATCACATATGGAACAAGTTTTTAATAGTCATTTAGATTTTTGCTTAATGAATGTGCGATAATGGAATCATTTCTGTTTCAAAGAAAATTTAGGGCTTCCCCCTCCCTACAACATTTTTTGTGAATTATTTTAAATTATGCCCTGGTGAATTACTTGTAGGTATGTTTTTATATTCTTTAAAACACATTTTTATGGGATAAATTGCTCACAGTTGAGTTTTAGGGTAAAACGATTTTAAAATGTAATTTTTGTAGGTATGAACAAAACTATAGCATTCAATATAATATACAGAAAATGATACGAGAAGATAATTGATAGACACATAAATACAAATGTTCAATAAGTACGTTCAGCTCTATCTGTGGGCTCTGCATCTGTGGTTTCAGCCAGCTGTGGATTGAAAACATTCAAAAAAAAAAAGAAATGGATGGTCACATCTGTACTAAACATGTACAGACTATTTTTTTTCTGGTCAGTATCCCCTGAACAATACAGAATAAAAACCATTTACATAGCATTTGCATTGTATTAGGTATTATAAGGAATCCAGATGATTTAAAATATACAGAAGGATATGCATAGATTACACGGAAATACTACGCCATTTTATGTCAGGGACTTGAACATCTGTGGATTTTGGTATTATCCGGGATTCTTGGAACCAATCCCCATGGATTCTGATGGATGATTGCATATGAAAATCAACAGTAAGTCAAAGTAACATGATTTTTCATTTATCAGATTTGTTAAAATTAATGAGTTTGGTATATCAAGTTTTGACAAGAATAGGGGAGACATATAGTGTTGAAGGAAATGTAGTTTGGTACAGTGTGCTATTCTTTCCATTAGGGAAATAGTAAGGGCTGATCTTTACCTTATACTCTCAGTTTTTCAAAAGCACGGTAGGCTTTAGCTTTGAACTTACTAAAGAATCCTTCCCCGTATCTACAGAATAAACAAGACTCTTAAGAGATATCTTTCATTTTTCACAGCCAAATTTCCCTTCCTCTAGGCTCTGTTAATCCAACTGACCCTGCAAAGAAGGTCTATATTCTACATGTTCTTTAAAAACTCTAGAATATGGCCCATGCATTTTTTACTAGTCAGTCTTGCTGTGTAATGACGTCAAAATCACTGAGGCTTATAACACTAACATTTATTTTTCTTCCTTTAGGGGCTGTGGGTCAGCTGGAGAGGCTCTATTTCAGGCTGCGCTTCAGGTTCCATTCTACTGCATGTGTTTTTCCTTCTTATTGGATCTGGATATTAGGACACATTCTTTTCCTGCCTCCTAGGAAGGCAAGGGGGCAAGCCAAGCCATGAATGCATATTTAAGCCTCTGCTCCCGTTATGTTCACTGACATTCCATCGGAAACATGCCCAAATGTC
Source organism: Homo sapiens (assembly GCF_000001405.40). Classification (NCBI taxonomy): domain Eukaryota; kingdom Metazoa; phylum Chordata; class Mammalia; order Primates; family Hominidae; genus Homo; species Homo sapiens. The sequence continues at coordinate 34,138,287 of NC_000002.12, forward strand.
AATGGGGGTGGGGAAATATACTCTACCTGCTTTAGTGGGAGGTGCCACAAAGTCATACAGTAAGGGCAGGAAATGCGTATGTGTATACCACACATGTTCATTTTAACATCTCGAGTGACAGAATGTAATTGGCATGCTATAGAAGGATAATGTGCTTTAAAAAGAATTCCCTAGTGGATCTCCAAAATACAAAAGTTAGGACTGTAGTGGTTACATAAAATAGGAGTATCTATGTTATCAGGATTGATAAAATTATTTTTCTTGTGAAATTTTTGTTAATGGTCAAAATAATGAACATACCAAAGCCTTTATGCCTGGTATATTTTACCAGCCATTTTCTCATATAGTCTTTTAAATTTGATTTTCATAGCTACTGTGAGAATCATCATTTCAAGTACACTGAATAGTTAAATGAATTGGGTGGAGTTCAATAGTTGGACTTTTAAAAATAAATAAAATACTACAAAATGACTCCAGTCATATGAATTTTTAAATTTTCTTTCCCAAGGTCACAGACAGTATGTGGTGAAACCAGTCTTGGAACTCCTGTGTCCTGTCTCCTTCTAACTCTGCCAATGCACATCTTCTGTAATCAATGGCCAATAGATAGTCTAATTTTTCCAAAAGCCTCTTCTATAACCACGTTAAAAAGAGATTAGCCTAAAGGTGTAATCAGGTTTAGTACTGACCTTATGACAGAAGAGGCTTGTTCAGACAGCCAAGCCCACATGGCTCAGGGAGTTTAGGCACCAGGCATAATTTCTGTGAGAATAGGAATGAATAAATATTTACCTCAAATTTGGCCCAGGCCATTGCCTGACTGCTTCATTGCTTTTGTCATTATCTTGCAATATTTTCATCAGCACTTATTTAACTTAGGAAAAAAATCAAAATTCAGGAGCCTCAGTTGTAATCTACACTGGGGCAAAATGGTTGTTCCAGATAGATTTCGTGATTACCTTTGGCCTATTCTAGCTAAGCCTGTAGATTAGGCAAAGCTCATTCATCCATTAATGGAGCAAGTGACTGGATTTGTGAAATGACAGAGATCATGAAAGATCAGTGAGGTGGCTGTTTCTATTTACACTACCTTAAAGGAACATTAATTTGGATAAACCTGACCCAACCCCTAAATTTCTATTTGCAAATCATCTTGGGATTTCATTTTTTAGGAACAAAATTGATACTGTGATACAAAGAAAAGAAAAATGATCTTTTTTATGTCAGTCTCTCACAAACTGCACAGAAGTGGGCATTGTTATATTTCAATTCTCCTTTCCAGAAGAAATGTAATTTTCCTTCCTCCTTTAAAAAAGAACACTAAAATATAATGGTAGAGGCAGATCTTTTTTGTTTCACTTAATAACTACTTCATCCTTGAAACAAAAGAGAATAAAACATAAAAGCTATTCTTAATTCCAACTTTTATTGTTGAACAAGAATAGGGATAAAAAAACGTTATTAATGAAAGAAAATTGTTAGGGACCAGAGACTCTAAAGATGAAGGAGCTCTTTTGGTTACCTAAAACTCTTCTAAAGTAAAAGAAACGAGGTTTTCAGTTAGGTTAGAGAAATTGTAATCTTTCATATATAACTATTTTAAGTTTTCAGGAACTAGAAAATGTGAGTTAACTTATGGTTACGTCAATGTCCTCATATTGCCCACATGATATCTAAAATAACAGTGTCCTAAAAAGTGCCTAGCCCTAAATCACCCCCTACTTAAACAGGGGAAACACGAATCTTCAGGAAAATCGTTAATTTCTATCTTTGAGCTTGAACAATAGCAATGAAAAAGCCAGACTTAAAAAAAATGTCCCTATAGAGAAAAAAATATCTAAGTGACATCACCCCATGCCCCAAAACACCCAGACATTTAGATACTGGGTGTTAAATACTTTTTATTCACAAATCGTTTTAAAAGCCCTATGTAAGATGCATAAAGTCATCTTCAGAAATGGCTGTATGTTCAAGAAAGTTAGAAGCATGTATCAGCCATAATAGATCAGGGAAGTTTCCCCAAGGGAACAAAAGCAGCTCAGCAGGAAATAGACATTAGAAAATGTAATTTTGGGCTTAGAGGCATAGACTGAGACTTTGCAGTGCTACTTCCATACTAGGTGTGATGTTAATTCCTTATTAGGCCATGAAAATGCACTGAAGAAGCAGTTTCCCCAGTTATGCAATATGTTCTTTTCCCTCACCGAATCACTTAAATGGAGATTTTTTTTATCTGTAAATATTTGGGGGCCACTAAGTGCCTTTTTTTTAAGGACTTTTGATATCACTGTCTTCTTATTTCTTCTACAACTACCTGCAGATATTATATATCAACTCAGCATGAGTATTGAGGAGAATAAAGAGGATAGATCTTGGCCAACAGCATGAAGAGGGGCAAGAAATGAGAAAGAAAAAAATAAAAATAGTGGTTGCATTGGAGCTGGAAAATGGCTTGGAGGAGCTCCTACCTAAATAACTGGTAGCCATGAGAACAAAGAGAAAAGGCTAGGTGGGGTTCTGGGCTGCTTGGCTGAGCAGTCACTGAGTGGGAAGTATACTTCTCTGTGTTGCAGACAACAGCCTTGGGCAGCCTGAAAGGAGCTGAATGGCTCACCCACTAGGCCCTATACACTGGGTGGCTTCAAAGATCAACCTAGAAGTCTGGGAAAGAATAGGAATGAGTTCAGGGAATTCATTTCTTGGTCACAACATTCAACTTTGGACTTGGTCTTCCGAAAGCGTGCTCTTTTCTGAATGTGCTGTCTTTGACTTTCTCAGGGCCTTCCATCCCCCAAATCCAACATCCCAGTACTTGTTTGTCCTTCTGGGCTTCCTCTGCAATCCTAGAAAATACTGAAAGCATGTTAAAAACTTAAGATAGAGTTGGTGCTTTCCTTCTCACCCCTCTATTCTTTTGCTCCCTGTTCCTTGTTATTATGATTATTTGGCTGTGGACAGCATTATGTTTTCCTACTTATCTTTTAATGGCCTGTCCTTCATGTTTCCTTGTCAAAACCCAGCCTACTTTTCAAAATCCATTTGAAGTTCTACTACTTTTCACTTCTTTTTCCTTTCAGTCAGAATTAATAGCTTCAGTCTTTATGTTCCTATCACTCTTGGCATCTTTATTTTGGAATATAAGACTTTCTGCCTTGAATTAGATTTCGTTGTACAGATGTTGTCTGTCTCACTGGACCACAAACTTCTTGAGAGCAAGTGCAGTATCCTGTTTGTTGTCATAGACTTCACAATGTGTAGCACAATGGTGTGTCCAAAATTGGTGGGTTCTTGGTCTCACTGACTTCAAGAATGAAGCTGCGCACCCTCGCAGTGAGTGTTACAGTTCTTAAAGATGGTGTGTCCGGAGTTTGTTCCTTCTAATGTTCAGACATGTTCAGAGTTTCTTCCTTCTGGTGGGTTCATGGTCTCGCTGGCTTCAGGAGTGAAGCTGCAGACCTTTGCAGTGAGTGTTACAGCTCTTAAAGGCGGTGCATCTGGAGTTGTTTGTTCCTCCCGTCCGGAGTTGTTCATTACTCCCAGTGGGTTCGTGGTCTCGCTGGCCTGAGAAGTGAAGATGCAGACCTTCGCTGTGAGTGTTACATCTCATAAAGGCAGTGCGCACCCAAACAGTGAGCAGCAGCAAGATTTATTGCAAAGAGCTAAAGAACAAACCTTCCACAGTAAAGAAGGAGACCCCAGCGGGTTGTTGCTGCTGTCTTGGGCAGCCTGCTTTTATTCCCTTATCTGACCCCACCCACATCCTGCTGATTGGTCCATTTTACAGAGAGCTGATTGGTCCATTTTACAGAGAGCTGATTGGTCCGTTTTACAGAGAGCTGATTGGTCTGTTTTGACAGGGTGCTGATTGGTGTGTTTACAATCCCTGAGCTAGACACAGAGTGCTGATTGGTGCATTTACAATCCTTTAGCTGGACATAAAAGTTCTCCAAGTCCTCACTAGATTAGCTAGACACAGAGCACTGATTGGTGCATTTCCAAACCTTGAGCTAGACACAGGGTGCTGATTGGTGCGTTTACAAACCTTGAGCTAGACACAGAGTGCTGATTGGTGCATCCACGAACCCCGAGCTAGACCCAGAATGCTGATGGGTGCATTTACAATCCTCCAGCTAGACACAAAAGTTCTCCAAGTCCCCAATCAACTCAGGAGCCCAGTTGGCTTTGCCTAGTGGATCCCACGCCAGGGCTGTGGGCAGAGCTGCCCTCCAGTCCCACACCATGCGCCCGCACTCCTCAGCCCTTGGGCAGCCGATGGGACCGGGCGCTGTGGAGCAGGGGGTGGTGCTCGTCAGGGAGGCTTGGGCCATGCGGTAGCCCATGGGGTGGGTGGGGAGGCTCAGGCATGGCGGGCTGCAGGTCCCGAGCCCTGCCCTGTGGGGAGGCAGCTGAGGCTCAATGAGAATTTGAGTGCATCGCTGGCGGGCCGGCACTGCTGGGGGACCCGGCGCACCCTCCACAGCTGCTGGCCTGCGTGCTAAGCCCCTCACAGCCAGGGGCCAGCTGGCTGCTCCAAGTGTGGGGCCCGCTGAGCCTGCATCCACCCGGAACTCATGCTGGCCCAGGTTCCTGCCCATGCCTCTCCCTCCACACCTCCCCACAAGCAGAGGGAGCCGGCTCTGGCCTCGGCCATCCCAGAGAGGGGCTCCCACAGTGCAGTGGCAGGCTGAAGGGCTCCTCAAGTGCAGCCAGAGTGGGCACCAAGGCCGAGGAGGCACTGAGAGCGAGCAAGGGCTGCCAGCACACTGTCACCTCTCAATGCCACACACTGTATGTGTTCCACACATTTACATTGCTTAATAGAGAACTTAAAATATGTTTCTCTCTTAGGGAGTATTTGCATTTTTATGGGAGATTTTTCAAAAATGCAATGTCTTCACCCACTAAAGAATAATCTCCCATGAAACTTTCAGAAAGTGGAAGATACATTTTGGCAGGAACCTTTTCCAGTGCTCTCCAAATCCTACCACATAGGCTCCTTTTTGCAATAATCCTAGCTCTGGTTGCTCATGACATGTTTTGAGTACTAATATTATCTTGCAGAGAATCCCTTTGATCTATTCAGTGTAACTAATCAGAACCATATGGCTTTGTCAGTGATGAGGCTCCCTAAATGACTGATTGGCCGCCTAGTAGTTCCAACTCAAACAGCAGGATGAATTCCTCTGGGTACTTTCATACAGTACTAATGTGCAACTTAATTTGCTTGTATTAAAAAGAAACTAACAAACACAAAAATGGTCTTCCAATACTAGCAATGATAACCAGAAAAACCAGTTTCTAAGCATAGCTCTGGTTCAGTTAGCTGTGAGACTTTTAAAGTTATTTTATTTTTTATTTTTTAGAAACAGGATCTTGCTATGTTGCCCAGGCTAGTCTTGAACCCCTGGTCTCAAGGGATCATCCTGCCTTGGCCTCCTGAGTAGCTGGGACTACAGACATGAGCCACCATTTCTGGCTAACAGAGAGACTTTTGCATATGGACATTTCTCTCTATTTATTCATTTATTTAATTGATATTTATTGACCTCCCACTAAATACCAGGCACTGTATAATGGCCTTGATATATAATAAGAAATGGTAGGGCATGGCTCTTTCTCTCTAGAACTATTCTGTAAAATAGTGAACTTAAGTGAATATAAGAAAATTACACAATTTAAATAAGTCTTTCAGTCTTAGAAAAATGGTGATCTTAGTTAACTGAGGACAGATTTTACTTTCAGTGTTCTATGTTTCACTGTTCATCCTTCTATATCTTCCTCCAGCTTCCTATAAATTTATGCATTTTACATTTTATAAGGAAACATCTGCCATTTATTGAGTATTTTTCTGTTTTAGGTCTTGTAGTAGGTTGAATGATAGGCCTCCAAAAACTCATGTCCAAAAATTTATGAATGTGAACTTACTTGAAATTAGGGTCACTGTAGATAAAGTGAAGTTAAGGATCTTGAGATGAGATGAGATCATCCTGGATTATCCAAATGGGTCCTAAATTCAATGGTAAATGCCACCTAAGAGACAGAAGATAAGAAAACACACAGAGGGGAAAACCATGTGAAGACAGAGTCGGAAATTGGCGTGATGCAGCAGGAAGCCAAGGAATGCCTAAATCCACCATAAGCTAGAAGGCCCGGGGCCTCTAGAGAGGTGCAGTCTTGCCAACACCTTGATTTTGGACTTCTTGCCTCCTGAATTATGAGAGAATAAATTCCTAATATTATTCCTAAAATTCAGAAAATCACTAAAGCCCAGAGTGGTTGATGAATTGGCCATGTTCTCATGCACAGTATTTGTTGGAGACTTAATCGAAACCCATTTCTATTTGGTTCCAAAGCCCCTACCCTTTCTACCACCCCAGGCTTATTTAACATTAGGGCAGGAATGAATGATAATCTCAAATGGGCTATCTTGCTCATAATGCAAGGCATTCTTTATTGGTTCTGTATCATAGTACCCACCAGGATATTCAGGTAAAGTCAGGGCTGAGTGTTTTTCCCCTGTACCATTTTTCTCTCTTTTTCTTATTTAATTTTATCTTCAAGTTTTTTTCTTTCTTACCAAATTAAAATTATGTTTTATTCATTTATTTATTTATTTTCCAGGCATAATTCCCATTCATCTTTCCCTTTGCCATCAAGCTCACAATAACAAAAATATGCAGGCAACATAGTCTTTGCTGTAAGTTACAGTTTAGTACTGCTGCTAATGTGCGATAATGACATATTTCCCTTGAATGTTAAAATACCACCTTCTTCCTGGTGACTATACACCATATATAATCTTGTTTCAAAGATTTGTGGTTTTGTTTTTAAGTTGAGCTGGTTGCTTGTATTTCTTAAGACACTGAAGGCATAGTAGTTCAGAGGATATTTTCTCTCAGAAATATAACATTCTTCTGGATTTTAAAAATTAAAAAGATGTTATACTTTACACACTTATATGTAGAATTAGTGTCTACTGGAAACTAGTTTATCCCATTGCTGAGAAAGCATTTACAGAAACATTTAATGAGAAAGGAATGCATTGTGTTTAAAGTAGTTAGTTGTCATTGATCTCTGATCTTGTCTACAAAAGATTTCATCCCAGTAGGGAATTATTTGTAGTGTCTGAAATTATGTGGTCTTACCTTAATTTATCCAAGATTTAAAACAATTCTATTAGCCTGACACTTACTGACCAATGTCATTTGTTGATTACATCCTAGTCCTTGGATTCCTCTCCTAATTCTTCTCTGATTCATAAAGCTGATTACCATAGCACTTGCGTTCTTTATTGAAGTAACTTTCGATTAAGATAAATGGAGGAAAAGGGAATGTCTAAACTATTTATATCACTTACAGAGGCATAATTTAGTTGTGGAATAAGAGATTTCAATAACTTTTTCAAAAATCAATGATCAAGGAGACTAAGCTTGGATAAGACACAGTCACAATGCAAAAGGCATTTTAAAGATGGAAAGAGGCCGGGTGTGGTGGCTCACGCCTGGAATCCCAGCACTTTGGGAGGCCGAGGTGGGTGGATTGCCTGAGGTCAGGAGTTCATGACCAGTCTGGCCAACCTGGTGAAACCCTGTTTCTACAAAAAATACAAAAAAATTAGCTGGACGTGGTGGCATGCACCTGTAATCCCAGCTACTCGGGAGGCTGAGGCAGGGGAATTGCTTGAACCAGGGAGGTGGAGGTTGCAGTGAGCCGAGAGCACACTACTGCACCCCAGCCTGGTGACAGAGCAAGACTCCATCTCAAAAAAAAATATGGAAAGAAAAAACAATTACTTACCGAACTATGGCATGACTGTGATTTGTTTTTCAAGGAATAGAGATGTATTTACTAAGTGTTTCTTTTATCAGGTTCTATATATAGCCAACAATTTTAGTGAATTAAAAGTCCATAGACTTTGAAAGAAGAAAGGACCTTGACAACATTTAGACCAAAGACTACTAGAATTTCAGAGACATTGACCTGGATTGAAAATAATGAGGATGAAATCTGTTACTCACTGGCAAAGTGGCCAAATAGATCTGAGTAGACGCAAAGAGATGTTAAATTGCAGACATCTATGCTTTTCCTTTCTCTTTGGAGAGTTTTTGAGTGTCTCTTTCTTCTAACAAATATATGTTCTTTGTTTGGAGTTTCCTGCTATGTCTGAATTAGAATTGAAGGGAGTTTGTAGATTAGACTCTAATGATGGATAACAGGTCTCGTTAAAACTCTTAAAACTTTGCCTTTACACTATAGCTATCTAGGTCTACTTAAGGTAACTTTAAGATTACCAGGCATCTGTACATTTACTTTTATTGTGAATTTTTTTTCATTAAAAGCCAAGTATAGGCCAAAATATAGTGGAAACTCAAAATAGTTTCATCTCCTTTTTGCCTAAACTGTTTTATGGAAAAATGCCTTCACCACCCTGGTTAGTCTCTTCCCTGACTCACCTCATCTGTAAAGTTCTGGTATTGTTGGTCATGGTGGTGGTGGGGGAAGTCGCTGTATTTTAGCAGTGGTTTTAGACTCCTTGGAAAGTGCTTTAATGAAAGGAGATAAGAATGCAATTGTTACAATAAAATTACTAGTAACTATTCTTTTGGTTCCTAATCATTTGGCAATTATAAGTCTACCTAGGGCCTTGGATTCTAACTCCCATTAGATTTACATAAATCTCCTTGAAAGTTGGATGCTGTTTGATAAACAGCTTGTGGCATGTGTTATGGAATCTTTGGGCTGTTGCTTTTCTGGCCAGAAACCTCTGTGGCCAATGACACATTTGCCCAAGTTCTTGTCCTGCGTCTGGGAAGAATGAGTTATGCAGACAAGTGGAGGTTGAGCAAGATAAAGAGGAGCTTTACTGAGTGTTAGAACAGCTCAGAGGAGTCCTGCAGTGGGTAGCTCTTCTCTGTAGGCAGGTCATCCCCGTTGAGTGTCCAGCTCTCAGCAGAGAGGAGGCCCTGGACTGGGTGGCCCCTGTCTGCAGGCAGGTCCTCCCATCTCTGCAGCTCTTAGCAGAAAGGAGGCCTGGAGTGGGTAGCTCCTCTTTGCAGGCAGGTCGTCCCCATGGAGTGTTCAGCTCTCAGCAGAGAGGAGACCCTGGAGTGGGTGGCTCCTCTCTTGTAGGTAGGTCATCCTGATGAGTGTTCAGCTCTCAGCAGAGAGGGTAGCTCCTCTCTCTAGCTGGTCATTGGGATGTCTACAGCTCTCTGCAGCTGGTTGTCAGGATGTCTGCTCTGCTTTGCTCTGGCTGAGTCCTGAGGATTTTATGTTCTTCAGAGGGAGGAAGTGCATGCTGGTGAGTCCATGGGCAGCCATGGGTGGGGCCAGGAAAAAGCACCATGAGTTCCCCCTTGAGTTAGCAGGTCTGGCAGCCCCTACAGAGGCTTTAGGCCTTCCTAACACTGAAGGTGAGGCTTCACCAGGACCCGTCTGCTTCCGCCTAGGAGCCTATCCGCATCCTGCCATGATCTATGGCCCAAGAGCCTGTCTGCCTTCTGCTACGGTCCATGGTCCCTGGGCTGTTCTTGCTGAGGGGTGCCTGCAGGCCAGCGCTGAGCTGCCTCAAACCCCCTTCAGCTTCCCTCCTGTGCTCCTCAGTGCCCAAAGTCCAGAGGGGACAGAGGTGGCAGGGGGCTGGCATGTCAGGTCTCCCCTGAGTGTGCGCCCACCCCACTGGGCTGCGAAAGCCCCCTGGCTCAGCCCCAACCTTGCTCCACAATTGAAGTGGGTGCCCCGGGGGAGTGGAGAGAGGCCAGGCAGTGGGAGCAGGCACTTCTGGGCCTTCAGAGGGCAGGAGGTCGTTCCTGGGCCTCCAAGAGCACCGATATACCTGGGTCCACGGCTGGGCTTGGGTGGCTGCAGCTGCACCTGTGAGCTCCTACCCAGCAAAATTGGAAAGGGCAGGGCTCCCGCTTGTCCCCGGCTCCCCTGGCTCAGTATAGCATGCAACCCCGGCCATGCCTCTGATATTGGAGCAGGCACTGACAGCAGGGAGAAGGCAGGCAGCAGGGAAAGGCACTTCCAAGCCTGCCCCCAAGAGCACAGAGAGGCCTGAATCTGGACAGCTGCAGCAGCACACAGGACTCCTGCCTGCTCCGTGGAGTGTGTGTGGAGCACGGTGCTCCTGCCTGCTCCGTGGAGTGTATAGCCCCAGCTGCACCTCCCTGCTGCAGCAGTGTTTTGGCAGTGGCCGCTCTAGATGGGCCACTGCTGCCATCAGCATGTAGCAAAGGTAGGAAAGTGGGAGCTTTTTATTCCTGTGGGGAAGAATATTTTATCATTGACATCGTTTCAAATTGTGGATACTTGGAGATCTCAAGAAGCAAACCAGTCTCAGCTGGTTCTATTATTGTATTTATAATCTCTAAAGACAAAGTACTCACCCTGAGTATGTTAGTGGCAAATACATACACACACATACACACACACAGGCACTCACACAAGATATATCATATTAGGTCTTTAAAAATGACATATTTGGCTGGGTGCAGTGGCTCATCCCTATAATCCCAGCACTTTGGTGGCTGAGGCAGGTGGATCACCTGAGGTCAGGAGTTGGAGACCAGCCTGGCCAACATGGTGAAACCCCATCTCTACCAAAAATACAAAAAAAATTACCCAGGCATGGTGGTATGGTGGGTGCCTGTAATCCCTGCTACTCAGGAGACTGAGGCAGGAGAATTGCTTGAACCCGGGAGGCGGAGGTTGCAGTGAGCTGAGGTTGTGCCACTGCAATCTAGCCTGGGCAACAAGAGGGAGACTCCATTCCCCACCATCCCCCTCACCCCAAAAGACATATTTATTTAAAACTGGAGACCTGAGCACATTATGTCTACAACATATTTCAGTGTGTAAGGACTACATGTATATATGTGTTATAGGGGTGGCCCAAGTCAACACTCAGGCTCATAAGGCCACCATATACTATATTTGGCACCAATCTACTTAGAAGAGGACTCTATCTTGCTAACAGAGCAGTGCCAGGCATTTCTCTTCTGCAGTAGTTTTGTAGCATTCTACGCAGCTAACAGGGAATTATCTTCTCCCAAGTGATATCTCAGATACAAGGAGGTGAGATTTACATGGGTAAATTCCATAGCATCCCTTACTTACAAGCCACATGTCAAAATCTTACTTACAAGCCAAGAGACAAAATCTCTTGTATTATCTCCATAAGCATAGCTTCCGGTGGCAATTTCTGGATACAGGCATCACTATACTTAGGGAAGGAAGCCCAAAGTGCGTGTCCCTACCGGGTGTCCCCAACACCTTCAATCATGTATTTGTATTTCTCCCAGTCAAAATGAAGTCTGGGATCATTTCTATAATATTATAATCAATATTTTCTAGTAGCAGAGTTGACATTCTACCTTTATCTGTTGCCTAGAGAAACAAAGTTAGTTAACCAAAGGACAAATCCTCATAAAGCAGGGGAAGATGTTTTGTTAAATCAGTGCCCCCACTGAGTGATAGAGAGTCTAATTCAGCCACTAAGAAATCACCATACTTCATTAAAGCAATTTAGAACACAGACAACTCAGTAGTAAGAAAACAACGCAATTGGCCGGGCGCAGTGGCTCACGCTTGTAATCCCAGCTCTTTGGGAGGCAGAGGGGGCAGATCACGAGGTCAGGAGATTGAGACCATCCTGGCTAACACGGTGAAATGCTGTCTCTACTAAAAGTACAAAAAAAAAAAAAAATTAGCCGGGCATGGTGGCGGGCGCCTGTAGTCCCAGGTACTCTGGAAGCTGAGGCAGGAGAATGGCATGAACCCGGGAGGTGGAGCTTGCAGTGAGCCGAGATGGCACCACCGCACTCCAGCCTGGGCAACAGAGTGAGACTCCATCTCAAACAAAAAAAGAAAAAAAGAAAACAACTCAACTTAAAGATGGGCAAAGCATCTGAATAGACATTTCTCAAGAGAAGACATACAAATGGCCAATAGGCATGTTAAACAATGTTCAAAATTACTATCATCAGGGAAATGCAAATTAAAACCACAGTAAGATATCACCTTATACTTGTTAGATTTACAGTTATCAAAAAGACAAAAGGTAAGTGTGGCAAGGATGTGAAGAAAACAAAACCCTTGCACGCTGCTGGTAAGAATGTAAATTAGTAAAACCATCATGGAAAACAATCTGGATGCAACAAACATATGAATAACAGCTGAGAAATGCAAATCAAAACCACAATCAGATAGCATTTCACAACCAGTTAGAATGGTGATCATTAAAAAAGTCAGGAAACAACAGATGCTAGCAAAGCTGTGGAGAAATAGGAACGATTTTTTTGGGAGGCCGAGGCGGGTGGATCACGAGTTCAGGAGATCGAGACCATCCTGGTTAACACGGTGAAACCCCGTCTCTACTAAAAATACAAAAAAATCAGTCGGGCATGGTGGTGGGTGCCTGTAGTCCCAACTACTTGGGAGGCTGAGGCAGGAGAATGGCATGAACCCGGGAGGTGGAGCTTGCAGTGAGCCGAGATCGTGCCACTGCACTCCAGCCTGGGTGACAGAGTGAGACTCCGTTTCAAAAAAAAAAAAAAAAAAAAAGGAATGATTTTACACTCTTGGTGGGAGTGTAAATTAGTTCAACCACTATGGAAGACAGTGTGGCAATTTCTCAAGGATCTAGAGCCAGAAATACCATTTGATCCAGCAGTCCCATTACTGGGTATATACCCAAAGGATTATAAACCATTCTGCTATAAAGACACATGCACACGTATGTTTATTGCAGCACTATTTACAATATTAAAGACTTGGAACCAACCCAAATGCCTGTCAATGATAGACTGGATAAAGAAAATGTGGCACATATATGCTATGGAATACTATGCAGCCATAAAAAAGGATGAGTTCATGTCCTCTGCGGGGACATGAATGAAGCTGGAAGCCATCATTCTGAGCAAACTAACACAGGAATAGAAAAGCAATCACCACATGTTGTAACTTCTAAGTGGGAGTTGAACAGTGAGAACAAATGTACACAGAGAGGGGAACATCACACACTGGGGCCTCTTGGGGATTTGGGGGGCAAGGGAAGGGAGAGTATTAGGACAAATACCTAGTGCATGCAGGGCTTAAAACCTAGATGACAGGGTTAATAGGTGCAGCAAACCACCATGGCACATGTATACCTATGTAACAAACCTGCACGTTCTGCACGCTTATCCCAGAACTTAAAAAACCCAATCTGGATGTTTCTCAAGACATTAAAAATGAAACATATGAGCTAGCATTCCCACTACTGGGTATATACCAAAAGGAAGTGAAATCACCATGTTGAAGACGTATCTGCACTCTTATATTCATGGCAGCACTAGTTACAGCACTATTCTTGCTCATCTGGAATGTAAAAACATTGATCTCTTAAAAGTAGAGAGTTAAGTGGCTGTTACCGGGGGTGGGGTGGTTGGGGTATTTAGAGAGATGTTGATAAAAGAATGCAAAATTTCAGTTAGATAGGAAAAATAAGTTCAAGAGATTTATTATACAACATTGTGACTATACTTAATAGTATTTTGAAGAATGCAGTTGCATTGTTTGTAACTCAAAAGATAAATGCTTGAGGGGATGGATATCCCATTCTCCATGATGTGCTTATTTACATTGCATGCCTGTATCAAAACATCTCTTATACCCACATATAAATATATAAACCTATGTACCCACAGAAAATTTTTAAAATGATTTTCAAAAATTAAAAGAATATATACAGTTGATCCTTGAACAACAGGTTTGAACTGTGTGGGTCTAGTTATATGTGGACTTCTTTCAATAAAAGTTCCAGAGAGTGAGCCTGCCTTTCCTGCCTCCCCTTCCACTCCCTTTACCTCTTCCACCCCTGAGACTACAAGACCCACCCCTGCTTCCTCCTCCTCAGCCTACTCAACATGAAGACAATGAGCATGAAGACCTTTATGATGATCCACTTCCTATTAATGAATAATATATTTTCTCTTCCTTATGATTTAACATTTTCTTTTCTCTCTCTCTCTTTCTCTTTTTTTGAGACAGAGTCTCACTCTGTCACCCAGGCTGGAGTGCAGTGGTGCAATCTTGGCTCACTCCAGTCTCCGCCTCTGGGTTCAAGTGATTCTCGTGCCTCAGCCTCCTGAGTAGCTGGGACCACAAGTGTGCACTTCCATGCCCAGCAAATTTTTCTATTTTTAGTAGAGATAGGGTTTCACTATGTTGGCCAGGCTGGTCATGAACTCCTGAACTCAAGTGATCCACCTGCCTCGGCCTCCGGAAGTGCTGGGATTACAGGCTTGAGCCACCACACCCAGCGGCATTTCCTTTTCTCTAGCTTACTTTATTGTAAGAATACAGTATATAATACATATAATTTATGAAATGTGTGTTAAGCAACTGTTTATGTTATTGATAAGACTTCCAGTCAACAGTAGGTTATTAGTAGTTAAGTTTTGGGGGAGTTAAAAGTTATATACAAGTTTTCAGCTGCACAAGGTTTTGGTACCTCTAACCCCAACGTTGTTCAAGAGTTGACTGTATTGTAGTCTTAAAAAATGCTAAAAGAGTGGATGTAAAGTGCTTCTACCACAAAAATGATAACAATGTGAGATAATGTATATGTTAATTGGTTAGATTTAGTCATTCCACAGTGTATATACATGTGTTGTACATGATAAATACATAGTATTTCATGTGTTCGTTTAAAATTTTAATAAAAAAGAGAGAAATGCCTTACTAAAAAAATACAAAATAATTTATTTTCTCAGTTGGATAATTACCTTTTTCTAGATTGAGCTTAGAGACTATTGGTAAGAAGATATTTCATTTATTAATGTATTATTTTTATTTTCTTACCTTCCAACATTATTTCTGGCTATACATGATTGATGATATTCTTGGTGCTTCCAAGGATATTTATATAAACATATAAAATGTTATAAGCATTAAAATTATAAAGATTTTATATAAACATATAAGCATAAAATAATTTGGAAGCACTGAGAATATTGTTAATATATTATTTTCTTTTAAGGAGTAAAATATGTTTTTCTGAAGATATATAAGGATGACTCATTGGAGGTTGACTTTTTATTCCCCTGTATTTTTATTTGACCATAGCGATCAAAATATCAGATTATTCCTTAATATAGTACCCTGAAATCAATGTGCAAATGCTCAGTGCTGTAGGTGCTTGGGTCTAGCCTAGGAGTGTTTATGTGTGCACATGCATTTTCTAAAATGATAGTGCTGCTTATATATATTGTCGAGGCAAACATTTTATTTCAGAATGTTAAGGAAGCAAAGTAATTATGAAATATTTTCATTGATTTCCTTCCTTTAGAAGTTCTTGCATTCCTTTCATTTGTGAGTATAACCTTGGGACTCACAGACTTGAGAACAGCATGTAAGCACAGTGCCTTGATCCTCCCAGGAAAGCCAGCACTTATTAAACACCTGTTATTGGAGCTGTGTGCCCAGTTTAACACCATAATTCTAAAGATTTTTTAAAAATTTGGATATAATGCATACTAAGGAGATTAAAATATGGTTCAAAAGATATAAGAATAAAGATTAATTAGTCTGAGATAGAGAAAAGTGAAATAACCAACCTAACATGTACAAATCTAAGCATTCCTAAGTGTTTTGTAATTTATTAAAATTTATAATGAAGTGTTCTGTGTTCTCTATATACAGAAACATTTATATGCTGTGTATTATATCAAAACCAGACCTAGGGTGCATTTCCTTGAAGTGATGTGAGTAGTTTTAAATTTTTCCCATCATGCTTGCTGAAATATTGTTCTCTTTTAGGGTAGATTGTGTGCACGTTACATTTGTATTGGCAAATAACATTTAGTAGAAGGAAATAAATTCAAATCAGGTTGGATTTTCTTTCCTAACTGGCTTATCTCTATAACCAACAATTAGAAGATGATGGAAGATAGCGTACAATTTGTTATGAAGATGTGTTATAAAACTGGTATAAAATGTATAGCATCAAGAAACATTTTAGAAAGGACTGTTCTTCAAAGTGACCACTTTCTTCTCTGGGAATGACTAAATAAGGGCTCAGAGAATCTTTCTCATCTACTATATTATATTGGATCATTTTTCTTCCATAGGTAAAGTTTAATAGGTGACTATGTCAAGATACATACTTACTAGATGCTATCTGAAGAACTGTGATATGCATCATGACATAAAACACGAAATTTGTAATGGCAGTTTGCCCACCAGGAATTTGATGTCATAAATTATGTTGCTATGGAATAAGAATGATAATGTTACCTCCATTACTCATGTAGAAAATGCTCCATTTGTCCAGGATATAACAGTTTGCTAAAACCCTTTCATTTATCCGATTGTATCAATTATTTCCTTATTTTATGGCCATTTAATTGAATATCTTTCTATACTCAATTATTTTATTTAATAATTCATTTTACATTTATTGCCTACCTACTATGTAAGAGACATTGTTTTTGACACTTGGTAGTTTAGCGAAAAAGGAAAGATGAATACTTGCCATGTTCACAGTCTCAGAAATTTTTTTTAATTTAAAAAAATTTTTTTGAGACAGAGTCTTGCTCTGTCACCCAAGCTGGAGTGCAGTGGTGCAATCTTGGCTTGCTGCAACCTCCGCCTCCTGGGTTCAAGCAATTCTTCTGTCTCAGCCTCCCGAGTAGCTGGGATTATAGGCGCCCATAACCAGGTGTAGCTAATTTTTATCTTTTTTTTTAGTAGAGACGGGGTTTTGCTATGTTGGCCAGGATGGTCTAGCTGGGATTACAGGCACCCACTACCATGCACAGCTAATTTTTGTCTTCTTTTAGTAGAGACGGGGTTTTGCCATGTTGGCCAAGATGGTCTAGAACTCCTGACTTCAGGTGATCTGCCCACCATGGCCTCCCAAAGTGCTGGGATTACAGGCGTGAGCCACCACGCCTGGCCCACGCTCAGAAATTTTTTATCTTCTATTATTTTTATACATACATATATATGTGCACTTTGTCATTTGGAATAAATGAGGGGATGAAAGATAAAGACAAATGATATAGAACTCAAACCAGTGTAAATTGCTTTGGTTAAAAAATGGAGAAAAAAATTTAATAAGTGAAAAATATAATTGAATAAATTATCTGATGATATAATCATGACTGGATAGAGAAACACTGCATAAACATTAAATGGAATCATTACTTCATGACTTAAAATACCCAAAGAGGGTTCATAGAGCATGTTGGCCAGAAGGAACAATATAATGAACTAAGCAGACACTTGAGGCCAGTAGCTCCAGGCTGCGGTGTGCCATGATCATGCTGGTGAGTAGCCACTGCACTGCTCGTCAGCCTGGCCAACAGAGCAAGACTCCATCTCCAAAAAAAAAAGAGCAATTTACTGAATTGTCACATGGCTATGTCTCTGACTCTGAGCTTTTCAGGATTTCTAAAGAATGAGAAAAAGACATAGAGTTATCTGCAGATGGCTCAAATATAGGAAAAAGATCACTATGATAACACCTAGATTTCAACTTGTTTCATAGGCTTGATGTCAGCATTCATATTTCAGGTCAAATGACACTTCTTTAGATAGGACATCACTAATGCTCAATTCAAATAAAACGTCCTCTCTCACTCTATATTACCATATTATCTGTTTTATTTTCTTCATAATTGCATTATCTCACAATATTACTTGTTTGCTTGTGTATTATTTAGCACCCCAGATTAGAATATG
This sequence comes from Homo sapiens, assembly GCF_000001405.40. NCBI lineage: Eukaryota > Metazoa > Chordata > Mammalia > Primates > Hominidae > Homo > Homo sapiens. Next base: position 34,156,014 of record NC_000002.12, read on the forward strand.
AATTACATATGAACAATAATTTTGTCAGTGCTGTTCATTACTGTGTTCCCAAGTGCCTGAAAGGTTTACAATAAATATTTCCTGAAGGAATAAATATGAATTAATGAATGAATCTATGACAAACCCATTGAAATTATGTGGAGATAATTTTAGGTCAAGTCCTAAATAAATTGCATGTCTGCAAAGTAGAGGAGGCTTTTGTTGATGTTCTTTTAATTGACAAATATTGATTGAGAACTTGCTTTGTGATAAACAAAACAAAAGAACAATTTGATGATTTTAATTGTTCTGAAGCTTTAAAGGAACTGATGGCTACCACAATGTGAATGCAATCTTAATAGCATGAATTAAAATATCCTGTCCTGGGTAAGGGAGATAATCGCCATAAAATGTTTTGTACTAACAGAAACTTTCTTAAAAATTGTATTTAAACAAGGTCATTTAAATCATGCTGTGTTCAGAATATCACTGGCAGAATGATGAGGAATCTAGAAATCATCTTAATTTGAAGGTGTTTGAGGGGCCTTTGGCATTTGAATACTCAAAAGACAGAATTCAAGGCAATCACTGCTTCTGAAAATTGAGAGATGAACCCTGGAAAGGAGACAGACAGGAGGAGCTGCAAGCTCTTTGTATAAACTTTGTCTAAATCTCTGGCTGATCCTTAACATATTCATGCATGGAATAGATTCCAAATAGGTCAGCCAGGGACAAAAGATATGAACTGAGACTTGAGGTGCCAACCAAGAGACAGAATTTGCAATCTGAGTTCAACCAAGTAAACTATCTGTGAAAACAAAAAAGCAACACCTTTCAGAGAAAAATAACAAAATCTGGGGTCTCCATATCACACCAACCTGAAACCAAAAGATCTACCATGAAATGACCCAAATGTTCCAATTAAACAAATTTAAACCAGCTATGAGAACTGTGTCAAGAACATAAAGGAATGTACACAGTACATTAAAAATTAGGAAATTTCAGTGGACAAAAATAAACTATAAAAAGAAAAAAATAGAATTTTAAAAACTAAAAATACTATATCCTCAATAATGAACCAGTAGTATACTTTCATAATCTCTTGTTGCTTCTCACTCACTTCCCTGTTAGGAGTTTTAGTGGTACTATGTATTTCACTTAGTATTGCAGAAATAACCAAATCTTGCCTTAGGATATCCAAAATTTCTGAATTTGCTTTTTACGTTGCCCAAGTGATAATGCAAAACAAAATCAGCCGCTGGGTATTCGCTATTAACCACCATTTCCTTTTTTTCTTTCTTTTCTTTTCTTTTTTTTTTTTTTTGAGACTGAGTTTTGATCTTGTCGCCCAGGCTGGGGTGCAATCTCGGCTCATTGCAACCTCCGCCACCCGGGTTCAAGCAATTCTCTTGCCTCAACCTCCCAAGCAGCTAGGATTATGGGCATGTGCCACCACACCCAGCTAATTTTGTATTTTTAGTAGAGACAGAGTTTCATCAGGTTGGCCAGGCTGGTCTCAAATTCCCGACCTTAGGCAATCTGCCCACCACGACCTCTCTGTTTTTAAGAAGAAAAAATAGCCATATTCCAAGTGGGCACCCTGACTCTGTTGTACAATCTTGGGTTACAGAGTAGAAAAAAACAACATTTTGCAGTAGAATAACTCTTCGTACCAGTAAGAGGTGGTCAGATGACAATCCTGAATCTGAGCAACTAGTGCAGTAATTTATTCTCCCTTTGAAATGGAAAGAGTGAAATGGATATAGAGGCAAGAATTTTCTTTTACTGCTAATACACATAACTACTTGCCAACTGGATTCTACTTCTGTTTATCTACTGTGACTGCTCTCTCTAAACACGTCAGTTTTCACCCAGTGTCTGAAAACATCGTCTTCTCATCTACTGGATATCATGGCACATTAGTGTTCTGGTTCTCCTTTTCCTTTAGATGTTGTTTCAATATATTCCTTAGTACTGTCTTTCCTGCCTCCAAATATAGGCTGTGGCTATAGATTGGTACTTAATCTTCTGTATTTCTGGATCTATAGTTATTATAAAAGGCTTATACGTTGCTTTCTCTTGTGTACTTTCAAGGATCCAACTGTACTTGCTAAATGAATGGTTCTAAAAATAACAATCTTCAAGCTTCTTCTTTCTTGAACCACAGGTTCGAATGTGTAATTCTTTCTTTGATATCCCTTTGATTTATTTATTTTAAATAAGAGGAGGTTTTGATCTGGATTAATGGGGCTCCCATCATAAATCCTATAGTCATTTTTGCTTTGTGCCTCCCTTAAGTTTTCTGGATTATCTGATGTCAACTCCTGGGGCATATTCCATTATTGTATCTGTTGTGCTTTTTGTACTTTCTTCTACCACCATAACTCTGAACTTCATAAATTCATAACTGAATTACTTTGGTGGATCACACTGAGACTCTGTATTCTATATACTTTTTCTATGTTATGATCAGAATGTACTCCTTTTTACTTCTTTTTTCCTCTGCCAAATTCTTACCCTTAGTGTTAGTCCTTCATAATCAGAGTGACCTTTTCAAATACAAATGTGGTCACATCATTTTTCTATGTAAAATAAATTTTTTCAGTATTCTACCAGATAAAGTTCAAACTCCTAACTATGGCATGAAAGACCTCTTCATACTTCATTATCAATATTTCAGATACTGTTTCTCTCAACTGAAGAACTTATGTCCCAGCTCTATGGGTAGGCTTTCTCATACCTAAGTGGGTTATACATTTTTATACTTCTATGCATTTGTATATCTATCCCCTTTGCTAGAAATATGGCTCATCTTCCTTTTGTATATTGTCAGACTTCTGTATATGTACTAAGACCCAACTCCAGAGTAACCTTCTCTGAGATGTTTTCCATAACACTCTCCAACCCCCAGCCCAGATAGGCATATGAGAAAATACTCCTCAGTTCTGCAAAGTGCTGTTTGCCAGAATGGACCATCCTTTTCATTTAAAGTCTCCTTTCTTGGCTCTCTTGATTTTCATTTGATGTCTTGATGTCTCTGCCCCTTTTTGACCTTGCAATTTCTATCTCTTAGTACATTTCTTCCTTTATTAGTCTTTACAGCATCCTACTTACCTTCATAAGATTTATTCTATTTTAATTACATATTAAATTTATGCATTTTGTCTATCATCCACTCACTGAATTGTAAACATCATGATATCACCAGCAGTGATTTTTCTTTTTACCCCATCTTTACACAATAACAGACAGTTATTAGGTACTCAGTTATTTGTAGTTGATAAAAGAAATAAATGCCTTAATAAAATGTTTTTTTTTTTTTCGAGGCAGAGTCTCACTCTGTCACCCAGGCTAGAATGCAGTGGCGCGATCTCAGCTCACTGCAAGCTCCACCTCCCAGGTTCACGCCATTCTCCTGCCTCAGCCTCCGGAGCAGCTGGGACTACAGGCACCCGCCACCACGCCAGGCTAATTTTTTTTGTATTTTTAGTAGAGACGGGGTTTCACTGTGTTAGCCAGGATGGTCTCGATCTCCTGACCTCGTGATCTGCCCGCCTTGCCCTTAGTAAAATGTTTTAACTTAAATATATTCTAAAATATTATGAGATTTTTGAAGAAAATATAGTGTTAAACTTTTCTTTATATACCTATAGTCCATTATCATGCTTATACCTAGCATGTATAATACTAAACTTACTGTTGAATAAAATAAAAATTATGCAATAAGAGTCCATATGTGAATAGGGAAAGAGAGGGTCATTTGAGTGGGAAATGGTGAAAGAGAAGATTAGGCAAAGAATCTGCAACTACTTAAGGCCAGTTTTATGTTAGTCTTTATTTCTAAGATGAGAGAAATAGAGATTCAGGTATGCTGATAAAGGTGAATTCACATTTTTACTCATTGTAAGTATGTTAAATCGCTGTTATAAAATGTTTTGCATATTTTGCTCATAAAAAGATTAGAATTAATTATACTCAAAATTATATAGCATCATGTACCTCATACCTATAATTAACTAATACAGGCAGAAATGTTACTTGTGGTTTGGAGGGAAGCTGAGGATTGGGAGTGGTGGTGGTATAGAAAAGTGCTATTTTGTAAGACCATTTCATTTCTGGGAATGAGGCCAAATGGGCCTTGTGATTTTTCTTTTGTAGACTAGCTGTTTAAAAAAAAATTTAAAAAATATATTAAAGCCATCACGCAGTTAAATAAAATTTACATGTAAAATAGCAAATTTAAAATCAGAAACCAGGTTATCAGTAAACAAGAGTAGAAGAGCAGAAGAGAATCATTCAAAGCAGAGGCAGCATTTTTTACAGGGCCTTAAATAATGCTCTGGGTCTTCATACCATGGATAAATTGAAATCAATCAAAAAATTATTTATTCCTACTCTCTGAATGATGACTCTTACAGGGAACTGGATAGAAATTTCTAGCCCCATGGCTCAGAAGAACATGTTCTCCATGAAGCCTGACTGTACATTTGTCCTAGGTATCATCTGCCATGAGACCTTACTCTGTGATCAAGGGATGTGTATTGTCAGGTAAAACAACCAGATCCATCACCAAGTTCCCATTATTGTGTCCTCTACTCTTCTATGAATTCACACACACACACACACACACACACACACACACACACACACATCTTTTCTGTGTTGTCAGTTTTAAGGGGCTTGGGCTTTCTCCTTCCCTCACAATTCACATTTGATGAGCTCCTGCCACTTCACATCTCTGACTCAGGCAAAAACCTTCTGGGTCACTGGCCCAACTTGGTTACATCATGGTGTCCATGGTGTTTCATCTTGTGTGATACACGTTGAGATTATCTCAAGTAAGAGAGCAGGCCTGACACAGTTGCCTTACCTATGGTGGTTAGCTATGAGTCTTACTTTCGATGTCCTCAGTAGGCTGATGGGCAGGGAGAGCTCCTGTAGAAGATGTGCCTACCCGGAGAGTCAATGAGCAACTTTGAAGACTAAAGCTTTCTGTCTTGAGAGTTCAGACTCCCTAATCTATTCATGGTCTTAAGCTGTCAGGATCAGTTAAGGAGACCCGGTTCTTCCAGTGGGGAAAGGAACACTCTGAACTCAGTGACTCACATTTATACCAGGGAAGAGAGACATGCTCTTAGGCTAATTTAATCTTTTTTGGCATTTATTTTCTCTTCTGCTGAGTTTTCAAGGTAAAATGCTTTCCAAGGCTAGGTAGGTAAAGCAGTAAGTGAATCAGGGAGGGCCAGGGTGGAGCATCAGCAAATGCGATGGCACATGCAGCACTGAAATGGGATAATTACTGCTTGGCAACAGCCAGTTTTTGTTTATTTGGCTGTTGCTTTTGTTTCTTGCTATTTAGACTTATTTTTCAAAAAAAAAAAAAGCTGTCTATCTGAGCTTTTATAAGAAATTATTTGATTTTTAAATGTTCTAAACCATATCAGTTTAAAAGAAAACTGCGGGGTCAAATGAATCTCCTGGGAAAGACAGATACGGCTACCGGGTTACCATATAAGCTCTAGGGGCATGATACAGATGAAACAGAGAGAATGTGGAGGTGGGGGGTGATCTTCAGGTTTGATAAATGATGCTGCTCTTTATACCACTGGACATTTCAATCCTGATCCCATGCATTCCAAATTCAGTATGCTACTTAAGCCTCAGAGAACTTGCTATGCCCTTTGGGGGATCATTATCCTCAGAACCTTGTATCTTAATGTCAAGCAGATTGCAGCAAATCAACACAGCAAACTCCTTCTCCAGAGTGTACGTCATTGCTCTGACTCAAGCTAATTATTTGTGAATCATGTTGGTAGTGTAGTCTGGCAGGGAGGATATGGATATTAGAAAACTGAAATATTTATTATCTGGTTCTTTACAGAAGAGGTTTGTCAGCCTTTCGTAAAGTCAATCAAACTAAAAAAGCATGGCGTGAACTGTGCATGTGTTCAGATTGTTACAACAAAATACTGCAAGTTGGGTGGCTTATAAACAACAAATTTATTTCTCATAACTCTTCAGGCTAGGAAATCCAAGATCAAGACCCTGGCAGATTGAGCATCTTCTGAGGGTCTATTTATTCATAGCTGGAGCCTTCTATTATAGTTGTGTCCTCACATGGTGAGAAGGAACAAGGAATCTCCCTCTATTGGGTTTCTTTTATGAGGACATTCATTCTATACAGGACCCTCATGACCTAATCACCTCCCAAAGGCTCCACCTTCTAATACCAGCACCTTGAACATCAGGATTTCAACATAGAAATTTTGGCGGGGACACAAACATTCAGACCATAGCAGACTGACATCTGTCACTTGGTGATTATAACTCAGTTACTTGACTGACTTGATGACTAGTTGCTGTGACCTGCTGCCTGATGACTATAACCTGGTGACTGTGACTTGGCGAATAGAGACTTTGTGGTGGTAACTGGTGACTGTGGCTTAGTGACTGGTGACTAACCTGGTGACTAGAGACTGTGACTTGGCATTTGGTGACTGAACTGGTGACCGATGACTGTGACTTGGTGAATGGAGACTTTGGTGTGGCACTGGTGAATGTGAACTGGTAATAGGTGACTGCGGCTTGGATACCCAAAGGCTTACCTCAGAAACATCAAGAAACTGAGCTTAAGATAGCAAGATTAATTCCTTGCTCATTTCAACTGTTAAAATATTGCCCTGCTTGATGAGGCTTAGGGTAAAAAACTATTAAAGGACTCAGCCAGGTGTGCTTAGTTATGGGAAATGGAGAAACTGGCTTTCAGTCACTTACATAGAGAAATGTTCTTTTTAAAAAATGAAAATTAATGTTTTATAAAATAGTTTCTATGTAGAAACCCCCCAATATTTCTGTGTTTTTCCTTTCCCTGCTTAATTGTAGTTAATGCACCACTCCATGCCCATTGAGATTTTGACTGCAGCTCTTATTTTCTTTGATTCATATTGTTTCTCTCTCATGATAGTTCTCTAAGGACAGATATATCCTTAACTCAGGATCGTATTTTCATAGACATTAATCTCCTGTAAAGTTTCATTAAAAGTTTTAGGATTGGGTTTCTAATGACATTCGTCAAGCAGAGCATAGCAAGAAACATATGAATAATCTTAGATTTGGTAATTTTTCATTATATTAATCATAAAACCCATATGTTCTCTTCTGTGCATGGACAGAGAGAAGGAGTATAACAGATTGCTATAATACATGGCGAAGGAGAAAACAGTGTAGCCCTGTGGGAATAATGATGTTACAAATGCCAAACTTCTTAGATATGGAGATCAAAGATCTCTGTCTTTCTCTCTCTCTTTCTCTCTCTCTCTCTCTCTTTTTTCTCTCTCTTTCTTGCTTTCCAAGAATACTGTATATAATCCGTAAATAATTTGAAAGGGTGGTCAGTAGTTATTTTGAACATATGTCATGGTTCTTGGAATATAGTGCATTGGTCTTTGAATTCCCTTTTCAACAATATTAGATCCCGTTTTCTATTTTAAAAAAGTGGCTAAGAGGTGGGTGCTTTCAGCCCAAAGAAGTAGATCAGTTGAGTATTTTTTGCCTATAGAGGTTGCCATCAAATTAAAGAATTGGCTTTCTTGTTAGGGACAGAACAGTAAGTATAATGTGAAAAGAAACTTCTTTCCTATTCTGGTTCATTATTATTTGCTGAGGATATAAAGGGGAGACTGTCCAAATGCAAACCCTCAGGAAGCTTCCAGCTTAATGAGTTCAAAGGAAATACATGGCAGGAAACAGCCAGAAGTAAAACAGTAGCTGCCCAAATGTGAAATGTGTAGTTTTTCAATGGCTTGGGAGAAAAGGACTCCAAAGATTTTCACAGATCCCCTGATGAACAGGTGCCAAGAATATAGCATAGGTATCATTATTATTATTATTATTATTATTATTATTATTATTATTTTGAGACAGAGTCTTGCTCTGTTGCCCAGGCTGGAGTGCAGTGGTGTGATCTTGGCTCACTGCAAGCTCCACCTCCCGGATTCACACCATTCTTCTGCCTCAGCTTCCTGAGTAGCTGGGACTACAGGCACCCGCCACCACACCTGACTAATTTTTTTTTGTATTTTTAGTAGAGACGGGGTTTCACTATGTTAGCCAGGATGATCTCGATCTTCTGACCTTGTGATCCACCAGCCTTGGCCTCCCAAAGTGCTGGGATTACAGGCGTGAGCCACCATGCCCGGCATGTATTATTATTTTATAATTTTAAATTTTTGAGTACATTTGTGGGTACATTATAGGTGTATATATTTATGGGATATATAAGATGTTTTAATACAGGCGTGCAATGCATAATAATCACATCATGGAAAATGAGGTATCCATACCCTCAAGCATTTATCCTTTGTGTTACAAACAATCCAATCACACTCTTTTAGTTATTTGAAAATGTGCACTTAAATTATTACTGAGTACAGTCACTCTCTTGTGCTATCAACTAGTAGGTCTTATTCATTCTTTCTAACTTTTTTTTGTATTCATTAACCATTCCCACTTTAGAATAGTTACTAAAAACAGCAAGGTTTAGATTACATCATAAAGAATCAGAAAGTAGTGACCTTCATGATATACCAAATGGTTTATCACATATCCATAGTGTCTACTTGTAGCACACTATATAAGAGATGGAAAGGGTTTTGATGATCAAATAAATGTTGAAATTTTTGATGTATAGGACAGGTTAAAGAACATTCTATTATTTGGAATGGAAAATACAAGCGTAAGGAAAGCCAAAGTCTGTGAATCAAAAGTTTTGCCTGAATATGTTTTAAGGATACAAGTTGTTAAAAAGGATTGATAGCCAAAAAATCACATCTTGACCAAAAAATGACATTTGTATATGGATTCTTCCTTCTACTCATTGAACATGTCCACTTGGTCCTCTTAAGTAAATTTTGAAATCTAAGGAGAATAGCCAAGGGGATTAACATACCTGATATAGTAAATGCAGTGAAAGAGTTGTATATAATAGCTGTGGTTAATTATTCTCCTTTTTAGCTTATATTTCCTATGTATCATCAAGGTAATAAATTATCATTATAAAATATTTCAAATATTAGTGAAATATGGGCTTTCAAAGTTACAGCCCCCTTCAGTGGTCTGAAATATTTGTGTCCCCTCAACATTCGTATGTTGAACTCAACCCTTAGAATGATGGTGTTGGGAGGTGAGGCCTTTGGAAGATGATTAGTGCTCTTATGAAAGAGGTCTAAGGAAGCTACCTTGCCCCTCTAACCTCTAACCTCTAACCTTGCAGGGATACAGTTAGAAAACAGTATCTGTGAACTAGAAAGCAGGCCCTTACTAGATGCCAGATCTGCTGGTGCTTTATCTTGGACTCCCCAGTCTCCAAAACTATGAGAAATACATTTTTGTTGTTTACAAGCCATGCAATTTATGGTATTTTGTTATAGCAGCCTGAATGGACTAAAATATCCTATAACATAAACAAAAATACTGTTAAGTCCTTGATATACGTTAATCCAGACTTTTTTCTATAGGTAGACTAAATAAAATATTTAATACTTCCCTTTTCGTAATAGTTGTTTTTTGTTGAGTTTCAGGCACCTGTCACCTTGGATGTTATTCTATAGCCCCAAAGCAAATCAACTAATAGATTTAAAAAAGGATAGAAAGGAGAAATACACTTTTACTAGGATACTGTCTTAGGTATTTTTTATGTACAGTATCTCGTTTATTCCTCACAGCAGCCATACTAGATGGGAGTTTTGTTCTTAATTTAAAAAATTAGGACTCTGGTTTAGAGAGCTGAAGTCACTTGCACAAGGGTCATAGAATTTGAGTTGCAGAGCTGGGATGTGAGTCTAGGTCCTTCTAACACTGAAGTCTGTGGATATTTCCCTCAGATTGGGTAATACTTAACTGTTTCAATATAAACAATCGTTTGTGTTCTTTTATTGTGTCTAACGCATCAGATCCACATTTATCTGAATTTTTAATCTTTTTGATGCTTGTTGTATGCACACTTCCATATGTATATGATTTCCGAGCTTAGATAAACCACATTACTGTTTTTTTCTGGGCTTCAAATTCTTATCTTTAAGATGAAGGGATAAGCCCTAACGTGCTTTCCAGTCTGCTAGTCTATGATGGAAGGACTCTCAGACAGCCTTTGTGACAAAGTGTCAGTAGAGGAGTTGAACTGTTTTCCTGAAAATGTCTTTGGTCTATGAGCAATCTTACACCATCATATCCTGATTTCTATACAGCCTGGAACTGATTACCTGCATTAATGAGATAGCTCACTGACATCTAAGCCAACACGCTTGTATTAGCTATACCATATTGGCCTTATTTATTCTCTTAATTAATTGACTAAACTAAATAGAATGTTGAACACTAAAAAATACCCTTTAAAGTTCTAACACTTCTCCCCAAGTATCCAACATCTTCCAATAATATGAGTGATAGTGCCTGAGAAGAATGGAAATTTTCTGTGATAATGGTTTCCTCTACAGATATAATTCAACTAGGAGGGGAGGGAAGGTTAAGAGCATCTTTATGCATATTGTGCCCCTGTCTAGTTTTAGTGAGTTGGATCTAGGTACCATTTAATGAGAGCTTTTAAAAAAGAGTATTGTCATTTAAAAATTGATGACAGAGGAACAAGGAGATGGGGTTCTTCATTCTAGGCTTTCTGTTTCTAGAAAATGTAAGGCAAACTAGTAATATGCAAGTCAAAGGCAATATGATACTATCTTAACTCTCATTAAAATCTAGAAATGTAATTAAACATAAAAGGATTAACTTTTAATTAAATAATGTTAAATTGCTTTGAAGCAATAAGAGTAATAACACTCGGTTAATCACATAACTGAATAAGACTTTATATTTTCTTTTAGATACAGTCAGTTTGTTCTGGGGTAAGAAAAGAAGCTTTTATTTCAATTCAATGTGTAGTTTTTATGAGAGGACCTCTTGATATTCTAGTGCCTCCACTCATTGTACTGTCTTAATGGATAATACTGAAAATGAATGACTGAGCTTTATTGCAGTAGATTTCTCTAAAATCTCAACTCATCCATTATCGATTATAGATAAGAAGAAGTTGAGTGCTAATGCTATATTTTTTTACTAAATCTCTCTTATTCATGAAGTCTGAAATTTGGAATGCAACTAACAAGTAACTCTTGATTCCACCTTTCCTTTGTTGTGTTCCAGGCTGGAAACAATAGAGACATATTACTACCAATTTTGCAGGTAAATAACACCAACAAGAATTGGTCTTATAAACACTAAGTTGAAATTAAATATTAATTCTCAACTGTTTTCTAAGAGCTGCTAGTATAGTAAATGCAAAGCCGGAGATTTGCCTAACAGGGAAGCCCAGTATTAAAGGCTATAGCTGGAATGCAGTCTCTACCTTGTATAATGTCAGATGATCCTCGCCTGGGTTGTCTATATATTTTTTTTTAATTGATATTTCTCTCCTACTTTTCAAAGCGAGTTAATGATGACCTAATATGGATGGAAATAGCTATGGTGTATGTATATGTGTGAGAAAGTAGGGTATAGCTTTTGATGAGCACTAGTTAGTGTTTTAACACCAACTACATTGGAGACATCTCTATGTCATGTATTACTTAAAATAATCCTCCTGGATAGGTTTCACAGTCTCAAATTTATAGATGAAAACCATGAGGCCACTAAGTCCATATGTGGTAGATACAGAATTAGAGTGCAGTTTTGTGTTGTCTGTCTTCAAAGCTCTTCTTCTTAAGGTTTTGGCTCACTGTCTTTCTGTCTATGCATATTTACTTTGCAAAGAGAAGCATGACTTTAATATCATATATTTAGCTAAATTAAAGCTGTAAGCTTGCACAAAGCTTGTGCCTGATCTCATCTTGCCTTTTTCTTATTTGTATAAAAATATATTTTCTTTTCTAGGGACAACTATCTCCTTTATCTACCTATTCCCAGTGAAATGTAGATTATTTTGTATAATCAAGCTGTTTACTTGAGTTGCTACTAAAAATAAAATCCCACACTGTCTATTTTAATATTAATTCATTCAATTATTTGGTAAAAGTTGTGTGTATATGAGAGAGAGAGAGTGTGTGTGTGTGTATTTGCAAGGTTTTCAGACCAAAAAGTAGCTACCATGCAATTTTCAGGATATGTTTTACAATATTAACAAAGAAAAAGAACTAAGGTAGATAGCAGTTTGAAAGTAAAATGGTTTTTCTATGCATGGCTTCACTTAGCATAATGTCCTCCAGATTCATCCATGCTGTTGCAAATGACAAGGTTGTCTTCTTTTTTAAAACTGAATAATATTTCAATGTGTACCTATATACTACATTTTCTTTATCCATTCATCCATTGATGAGCAGTTAGGTAGATTCCATACCTTGGCTATTGTGAATAATGCTGCAGTGAACACAGGAATGCAGATTTTTCTTCAACGTAATTGATTTCATATCCTTTGAATATATATCCGAAGTGGAACTGCTAGATCATATGATAGTTCTTTTTTTAACTCGTTGGGTAATGTTCATGCATGATCTCACTTATATAAGGAATCTAAAAAACTCAGACTCATAGAAGCAGAAAGTGAAATGTTGGTTTAACAGGAGCTAGGGCAGGGATGGGATGTAAGGGGAAATGTTGGTCAAAGGGTACAAAGTTTCGCTTAGGAGAAATAAGTTCTGAAGATCTATTTAAATGCATGATGACTACCCATGACAATAATGCATTGTGTACTTGAAAATTACCAAGAGAGTAGATTTTAATACTCTCATCACAAGTATTAATATATGTGGTGATGTATATGTTAATTTGCTTGGTTTAATCATTCCACAATGTGTGTGTGTGTGTGTGTGTGTGTTTGTGTGTGTGTATGTATCCCTCTCTCAAAACATCATATTGTATATCATAAATATATAAAATTTTTGTTAATTACAAAAGTAAAATTATTGAATATACTAGAAAATAATCAGAATTTGGTTTAAAATAAAATGATAATGCAACATTTTTATACAATGAAGCAGTTCATAAATGCTTAGGTATAAGGTCAGGGAATACAAAGACAATAAAACTCTAATATCTTAAAAGAACCCAAAAAAGGTAGCAAAAAATTTCAAAATATGAAAGCTAGCTATAGCAGTGAACACTAGTATTAGGAAAATTTGCAACAGCCATTCAACTCTAGTATTAGCCTAATGATATCAAAGTCCATGGAGAGTCCAAGTAGGAGCTGGAGTCTTGCAGACTGCAGGAGCCATCCTAGGCCCCTGGAATTATATGCAATGTAATTCAGTGAATAGTTCCAGATGTTTGAACTTCTCAAAAGAGAGTTAGAACACTGTGACAGTTGCTTCGTTGTCTGTTCCTGCCAAGCTAAAAGCCTTAAACAGAGGCTCCAAAAGTATGCCTAGGTGTTTGCTTCCTGTGTCTGCTCTGTATTTGTCACTGCTCAGCAATCATTTAGATATGTATTTGTTGCAACTTATTTGGCCATCTAGATGCTAAATAACAAGGCTATCCAGAATAATTTATCTGCTGTACTACAGGAAGCAGAAGTGCTTCTTCATATTGAATTCTAAATGTGAAATTATTATTTATTGATAATTTTGGGGGAGAGTGAGGCATTGAAATTCCATAGAAACAGCCTTAGAGCAAAATATAGTCTTCTGGGGATACTATATTTCCTATTAATCACTTTCTTCTCAATGCTGACAACACCAAGGATTATAGAAAATATCTATTACATAACTCCTGAGTTTATAACTTTTTACTCTATCTTAGTTTTTAATCTCCATAAAGACAAAAGTATGTTTTTCATCTTTTATATGCACTTTAGTATTTGTAAAATTCTGGGCCAACAGGAAGGCTCAACAATTGTATGTTAATTGATTAATCACTGATTGAGGCACTATTTGTTTGACCTAAAATAGCCAATAGGTTTTGTCAATTCAGTGATGAAACTAGAAGAGCTTGTTGTTTGGTTTGACTTTTTTTTTTTTTTTTTAGGGACCAACTTTCCACATCAGTTAATTAAAAAAAATAAAATAAAATTACTCCCAGGGCCTGTATAGATAAAACCTGAAGAACTCTTTCAAACACTTTGAAATCATCAAACTGAAGTGTTTTTTCATTGATCATTGCTTTTTGGGGTCTGCCTGGGAGCATTTGAAGAAGGTCATGTTCTCTTTTATGAAAGTGGGGGACCATAAGCTTATGAGGAAGAAAGGACCTTAAGTAAACTTCTGCCAGACAGACTTGGAGTTTCTGAAATACAGATTAACTGCAGTGATTGATTTTTTTCCACTTCAGTAGCATACAAGGTGATACAATATGAGGCAAGGACATAAACCACGTTCAGGAAGCCAACACGTCATCTTGCAGTCTGTCAGTCAAAGATACATCAAACCTCAGACTGAAATGAAAGTCTACCATGCAGGAACGCTATCCAGTTTTCTTTATGGATATGACACTGGATCTGTTACTGGTGCATAACTTCCAGGACACCACTATCCTGCCATGTTTCGTATTAGATGGCAGACAGTTTCCAAATGCCAGGATCTAGGAAGCAGTTGATCATCAGGTGTTGACAATAGTACCATTAAAAATCAGCTCCACCAGGCTGGACATCTGTAGGGAGTGAATAACAAAATCTCCCAGTTCCGGGGCAGAGAAGGTGGCATACGATGGTTCCTTATAGGAGTATTATTTGTATGCAAAGATATACCACGTTGTTACCTTTAGTTCATAGTGCTCCAGAGGGCATTTTTCATCATTTAATACACACCCACTATGTATAAGAACATTGACATGTACTAAGAAAGTCAAGATGAATAAGAGTGTTTAGCTCAATAAGTGTTTGTTATTGAATTAAATTACTGAAAATACAATATCCTGAGTGCCAAAATAGTATATGCAATATACTAAGTGTATTAGCCCATTCTCATACTGCTATGAAGAAATACTTGAGACTGGATAACTTATAAAGGAAGGAGGTTTAATTGATTCACAGTTCTGCATGGCTGGTGAGGCCACAGGAAACTTAAAATCATGGCAGAAAGGGAAGTGAAAACATCTTTCTTCACAAGGTGGCAGGAGAGGAAGTGCCTAGCAAAGGGGGAAATGCCCCTATAAAACCAATGGATCTTGTGAGAACTCACTATCACAAGAACAGCATGAGGGTAACTGCCCCCATGATTCAGTTACCTCCCACGACATGTGGGGATTATGGGAACTATAATTCAAGGTGAGATTTGGGTGGTGACACAGCCAAATCATACCATTCCACCTGTGGCCCCTCCCAAATCTCAAGTCCTCACATTTCAAAACATAATCATGCCCTTCCAACAGTCCCTCAGAGTATTAACTCATTCCAGCATGAACCCAAAAGTTCAAGATCAAAGTCTCATCTGAGACAAGGCAAGTCCCTTTTGCCTACAAACCTGTAAAATCAAAAGCAAGTTAGTTACTTCCTAGATACAATGGAGGTACAGGCGTTGGGTAAATACATCCACTCTAAATGGAAGAAA
Organism: Homo sapiens; assembly: GCF_000001405.40. NCBI lineage: Eukaryota > Metazoa > Chordata > Mammalia > Primates > Hominidae > Homo > Homo sapiens. The sequence goes on from NC_000002.12 coordinate 34,171,520, forward strand.
TTGGCCAAAACAAAGGCGCCACAGGCTCCATGCAAGTCCAGAATCCAATAGGGCAGTCATTAAAACTTAAAGTTCCAAAATGATCTTCTTTGACTCCATGTCTCACATCCAGGTCACACTGATGCAAGAGGTGGGCTCCCACGGCCTTGGGGAGCTCTGCCCCTGTGGCTTTGCAGGGTACAGCTCCCCTCCTGGCTGCTTTCACAGGCTTACATTGAATGCCTGCAGCTTTTCCGGGCTCACGGTGCAAGCTGTTGGTGGATCTACCATTCTGGGGTCTGGAGGACAGTGGCCCTCTTCTCACAGTTCTACTAGGCAGTGCCCCAGTGGAGACTCTGTGTGGGGGCTCTGACCCCACATTTCCCTTCTGCACTGCCCTAGCAGAGGTTCTCCATGAGAGCTCCACCCCTGCAGCAAACTTCTGCCTAGATATCCCGGCATTTCCATACATCCTCTGATATGTAGGCGAAGGTTCCCAAACCTGAATTCTTGACTTCTGTGCACCTGCGGGCCAACACCATGTGGAAGTCACTAAAGCTTTGGGCTTGCACACTCTGAAGCAATGGCATGGGCTGTACATTGGCCCCTTTTAGCCATGGTTGGGATGCAGGGCACCAAGTCGTGAGACTGCACAAAGCAGCAATGTTCTGGGCCCGACCCATGAAACTATTTTTTCCTCCTAGGCCTCCAGGCTAGTGATGGGAGGGGCTTCTATGAAAGTCTCTGACATGCCCTGGAGACATTTTCCCCATTGTCTTGGTGATTAATATTTGGCTCCTCGTTATGCAAATTTCTACAGTGGGCTTGAATTTCTCCCTCCAAAATGAGTTTTTCTTGTCTATTGCATTGTCAGGCTGCAAACTTTCCAAACTTTTATGCTCTGCTTCCCTTTTAAACATAAGTTCCAATTTCAGATCATCTCTCTCAAGTTCAAAGTTCTACAGATCTTTAAGGCAGGGGCGAAATTCCACTAGTCTCTTTGCTAAACCATAGCAAGAGCCACCTTTGCTCCAGTTCCCAACTGGAGCATTTCCATCTGAGAGCACCTCAGCCTGGACTTCATTGTCCATATCACTATCAGCATTTTGGTCAAAGCCATTTAACAAGTCTCTAGGAAGTTCCAAACCTCCCCACGTTTTCCTTTCTTCTTCTGAGCCCTTCAAACGGTTCCAATGCCTGCTTTTTACCCAGTTCCAAAGTCACTTTCACATTTTCTGTTATCCTTACAGCAGCGCCTTACTCCCTTGCTACCAATTTACTGTATTACCTCATTTTCACACTGCTATAAGGACATACCTGAGACTGGGTCATTTATAAAGGGAAGAGGTTTAATTGACTCACAGTTCTACATGGCTTGGGAGGCCTCAGGAAACTTATAATCATGGCAGAAGGCACCTCTTCACAGGGTGGCAGGAGAGGGAATGAGTGCTGAGCAAAAGGAGAAGCCCCTTATAAAACCATCAGATCTCATAAGAACTCACTCACTATCACGAGAACTGCATGGGGCTAACTGCCCCCATGATTCAATTACCTCATACTGGGTCCCTCCCATGACACATGGGGATTATGGGAACTACAATTCAAGATAAGATTTGGGTGAGGACACAGCCCAATCATATCACTAGGGGATAGCAAAAGAGGATTCTTTTAAATTAGCCAAAGTAGCCATTTAGTCTGGGACTCCTTGGATGTGAACCTGGTTACCAGAAGAATCCTAAAATCTGATCATAACTCAAGGCCTTCATATTTTTTCTACCTAATTCTTCATACTTTCTGTAATAATTATTAATACTTATTTGATGGCCTTTTTGTTTTTGTTTTTGAATGCTGTTGTTTATTTTCCTTTTCTAATAATTGCAACTTTAGATTCAGGGGATACGTGTGCAGGTTTGTTACATGGGTATATTGCATGATGCTGAGATTTGGAGTACAGTTAATCCTGTCACCCAGGTAGTGCACATAGTACCCAATAGTTAGTTTTTCAACCCTTCCTGCCTTCCCTTCCTTGCCCCGTTCATGGTTTCCATTGTTTATTGTTGCCATCTTTATGTCCATGAGTACCCAATGTTTAGTTCCCGCTTTTAAGTGAGAACACATGGTATCTGGTTTTCTGTTTTGTGCTCAGGATAATGGTTAATAATGGCCTTTTTCTCTGGAGATTTTAGGGGTGCTATACAATAAAAGTGTAATGTGACACACAAATGCAAGCCAGTTACTTACAGTAGTCCCCCCACTTTATGTATGGTTTACTTTCCCAGGTTTTGGTTACCCACAGTATAGCACAGTAAGATATTTTGAGACAGACCACATTCACATACTTTTCTATTATAGCATTTTATTCTAATTGCCCATATTATTAGTTATTTTTGCTAATCTCTTATGGTGCCTAATTTATAAATTAAAATACCATAGGTATGTATGTATAGAAAGAAACATAGTATGTATCAGGTTCAGTGCTATCCACAGTTTCAGGTATCCACTGGGGTCCTTGGAATGTATCCCCTACAGACAATCAGGAATGTAAAGTTAAATTTTCGAGCAGCCACATTAAAATAAGCAAAAACAAAATAACAGCTTAAATTAATTTTATTAATATATTTTATTAACCCGGAATATCCAAAATAGTATTATTTCCACATGTAATAAGTAAAAAAATGAAGTGAGATATTTTATATTGTTTTTCATGGTTAGTCTTCAAAATCTGGTATGTGTTTTCATTGACAGCACATCTCAATTTAAACAAGCCACCTTTCAAGTAGCCAACAGGCACATGCAGCTAGTGGCTATTATGTTGGACCACACAGCTTTGAAAGAATTTCATGTTGGCAGAGAGAGAGTACATGAGTCTTGTTACTCCTTTTTTCCATGTTCCTAGTATAGTACTTAGGGTTCAAAATATTTGATGAATAAATTAACATTTTTTAAAGGCTCTTGATAGTTTTAGCTAAAAAGGGAGTCAGGTATCCAAGAATGATTCCTCTAAGCAATGGATTTGGGCCTATATTTTTTAAGTCAAAGCAGCACTCTTCATTAGTGGTACAACTAAGTTTTGAAAACTATTTTAGAATAAAGGCAACAACCCACTGAATCTCATTAGTGAATAGATTTAAAAAGAAACCTTTGAATGTGAAATACTACAGCATGTTTCTACAAAGGGCTAGTGTGTACTAATGAGGAGGAAATGGTGGTGTCTGGCTGTGTTGTAATTGCATTTAGAGAGTGTACTTCATTATTGCATTACAGTAATCTCTTAGATATCCTGTGAGTGAGAATTCATTGTGTGAATTATTTGAACCCGTTGGTTTTTTTATTCTCTTCTTTTGCTATTTTGTCATTTATCTGTTTAATTGCTTATGAACCTTGGAGATTAAACGTATTACAGACTAAAGAAGTGAAAAGTAGGTCAGTGGAATTTAATTACTGAGAAACCTTTATTGAAAACATTTAAAACAAACAAACTACAGCTATAATAATCACCAAACATCATTGGAAGTCACAACTCAGAATCTTTTTTGAGCACAAAAAATACCAATTATATTCAACATAACTTTAGAAAAAAGCAATGGAAGCAGGGCAAATAAAACCACCTACATTATCTACATTATCATCATGATGCATCTGTACAGTACCTAAGCAAGCCAGTTTAATTTACAGAACTAATCTGGCAATACTCTTAAAGTTTCTCTGACAACATGTAATTAGAAAAGAATTGAACTCATTTCTGAAAGCAAATGCTAAGAAATGTTATATGCCACTGATCCACTACCAAGAAAGTAAGGACCATCCATTCAGCTCAAAGGTTTTGAAAAACCAACAGTTAATGTCCAGTTCTCTTCATATATATAAATACGTATATACACACACACAAACACGCACACATTATATATATACACACACACATATACAGACACATATACATACGTATGTGCTATACTAGGAACATGGAAAAAAAGGAGTGACAAGACTCATATACGTGTATATATGTATGTATATGTGTGTGTGTATATATATATAAAATAGAACTTCATCTTCTAGAACAGTCTTAGGTTCACAGCAAAATTGAGTGGAAGGATACAGAGATTTCTCATCTACTCATTGGTCAATTCCCTTTTCCATGAACAAATCACTAATCTCTCAGCCAGGTTTCCTAGTGGGAGACTCCCAGGTCTAAGACATTGTGGCAAAAAGGAGTGTGGTGTGTTATAAGTCACAACATTTTCCTGGAAAAAACTGATTTTCATATGAGAGCCTATCAATTCGTTTAAGTAGATAACAAATATTGAACACTTACTTTGTGTCGTCTTTGGGTTAAATATTGTAACATATTTAAAAGCAGTGTGAAGCTTAGCTACTCCCTTTTAAAAGCCAGTGATAACAGAGATGAAACAATTAGAGAAGTATTAGGCAGGAAACTATAAGGAACTACTGCTTCATGGAAAGAAAAGTTCTGAGGAAGGGTAGATCAATGAGGCTACAGAAATGAGGAAAGACATCATGGAAGGAATGGGATTTGAATTTCAGTTTGAAAGCTGAGGAGTGGAGAAGACAGAGAGCAAAGGTGTAGATCCATGAGCCGAGTGGCATGTATGAGTTGCCGGGGTGAAGTTGAGTGTGTGCTGGGAAGTACGAGGGGATTATAGTGGAAGATGAGTTGAAGATCTTGAAAGCCAGGCAGAGAGATTCTTGGATTTTACAAAAACAAGCTGCCAAGTCACAAATCCTAGGGATGTAAGGTTCCTCATTGTTCAAAATAATTGAAATGTCTTTCATCTAGAGGCAGAAGACAGGATTCAGTTATTTCTCTATCAGGCTTAGGAGTATATAAAAACTGAGATACATTTTTAAAGATATAAAATGATGAATGTAGCAAAACATGGGAGGCCCAAGTGGCTGAAAGAGAAGAATGGATAAAGAGTGGCTAAAATGTTACCTTTTAATATGATTGCTGAAAAGCATGATGTCAGAAGGATAATGTGCTTAAGGTTGAAAATAGATACGGTTGTTTTGGGACATTGTATTAGTCAAGATAGCTTATACTGTGTAAGCATTCTTCCCAGTTCTCAGTGTTGTAATGTGACAAAAATATATTTCTCGTGAGAATAGTTGGATTCTCTCCCTAGTGCCTCCCCAGGGCAGCCGCACTCCATGTGATATCTCAGTGGTATTCTCAAGACAAAGCTTCCTCCTGGTCACTGTGATAGGAGAAGAGAAATGGGGAAACCATACAGGTTTGTCAGAATTGATGCTTTACTTTTGCCCACACATTCATCAGCTAAAACTGTTATTTTCCCCTCAATTAACTAAAGGGTGGCTTGACTGGTATAGTCTCTATTATATCCAGGAAAAAAAAAAAGACAAATATTGATGAGTAATCAAAAGGTCAAAAATAGACATTTGGAGGGTGAAAATATCTACAGTGCAGTTAAAGATACAGGGTTCAGGTTCATTTGATAGCTAAAAATAACATCTGAGTATCATTATTATAGATGTTCATTTTGCTCTATTACAGAAGTTAACATTTATATGCAGCAGGATTAGAAGGATGAAGTGACAAATTGTGCACATCTGTAGGAAGGCTATCTTGAATTGGAACCCAAGCCTGGTCTGAAACCAATGCCCTACTCTTAATCATTATATTAATATTGGACCAGGTTTGTTCTTCCTGTGGTGCAGAAAGCCAATGACTAAGAAGATGAGTTTTGCAGTGGAGAAAAAGTTTATTCACAGGGCAGCCCATTAAGGACACAGGAGAACATCTCTCAAATCCAGCTTCTAGAATATAGGGCTTAAGGGTATTTATGGGGTAGAGAAACAGGGTGGTCTAAGGTATGGGGACAGGTAATTGGCCATGTGGAAAATCAGGCAACTGATGATCATGCAAACATAGTGAGAGTTCAGGGGTCTTCCTAGAACACATGTTCAGACAATGGCAGCGTTAGCATGATATGAGGCAGGATTTTTGGTTCTCTGATGTCAAAAGCTTTCTTATTGCCTCTCAGGCATTTGCACAGGCCCAGTTGAAGCGTCAGTGGTCTCAGCCAGTTCAAGCTGGACAAGAGCTTCCCTCAATTTTGTGAAAAACAACTTGAGTAGTCATTACCTGGTGACACATACTTTAGAGGTTTTACCTCTGCAGAAGCTAGTGAAGGTTAAATTAAAGAGTGTTTAGCAGTGCAGCTTTCAACTAGGTAGGTTAAAAAAAATCAAGAAGCAAGCAACTAAAAAGATTAGCCCTCAGTTTCAGTATTATACTTTTTCCCTTACATACATCACAACTGAGTTAGCAATTTGAACTGAACAGCCCAATTATAAAATGGTTATCAACAAATTATTAAACTGAATGGAAAAGTAAGTTCAAATATGAATTTTCCTGGTCTGTGGGCTGATTGCATATGGTATGGCACTTTTTTTTTTTTACCCTATATTCAGATTATAAAATAAATGATCCTACCTTCAGAGGTAATTTCCTGGGTTGGCGGTTGTGAAGTTTATGATGCGATGCAGTATGTATCGTAAGGAGACCACAGCTATTGTGGGCAGGGAGATTTCAGGGTGAGCCCTGGTCCTGACACCTACCATCTGGAACACTGGGTCCATCAGCTGGTTTAAGAACCATCATTGAACTTTACAGGGAAATCTGTGTTTGGACTAGTGCTTTAGCAAAACACCAGCAGATGCTCTTTTAGCTACTTTCCCCAATATTTTTGTTGCTAAGTGAGAGTGAGAATCAATATCTTTATTCTGGGGTGGGTATGTGGGACTGTGTTGTCAATAAGAAGATCATTATCATTGTTGCTCATTGAGGGGTTATCACTGTTTTATCATTCAAGTCCTTCAACTTATTATATTGACTCAGGCTATCTCCAGAAACAACATGACAATCTTATGAGATCTATCTTTGTCGATTGTGACACATGTAAAATACTCCTGCTAGTCGAATCCACTTAATCTCTTCTAATGACAAGGAGGGTCTCCTGTGAAAAATAGTACTGGCCAGAATAAGAAATGTGTTGAAAAGATTGAGATGAATCTATGTCAACAAATTCCTTCATGATGCCAATGTGAACATTTGCCACCTTAAAATTTAATAGTAAAACAAAACAGACTAAAACAAAACAAACACTATTATACTCAAAACACTATACTTTGTGGTATTTCAATAGATGACATCATCCCTGCTTTAGAGAAATGCTCTATTGTTTCTCAAATTTAGCATATCTCTGGAGGGCTTATTAAAGCACAGACTGCTGGGTACCACTCCACAGTTACTGATTCAGTAGATCTGGGGTGGAGTCTGATAATTTTTATTTCCATTAGTTTCCAGGTGATGCTGGTGCTATTGTTCTGGGAACCATGCTTTGAGAACCACTGTTATTCTCAGACCTACTGAATCAGAAACTCTGAGGAGGGCACCTAGTACTCTGTGTTTAAGGCATTTAGCTAATTCTGATGCATGACAGTTTGGAAATCACTGATCTAATAATATTGAACAGACTCTGCATATGGGCCAGTTTACCTTTACCCAGCAGATGGGCAAAGTTCAAAGGAAGAGATTCCAATTTCATTGGCCTTCCTTTTAGTGGGGATCTATTATGTGAGTAGGGCTTTATTTATATACTTCTAGGAGCCAGGGAAATTAAATAAGATAGTATCCTTATTTTCAGGAGCTAACAGTCCAGTAATGGAGAAAGTCATGTAATCAAATAAATGCCAAGACATGTAATCAAATAAATGCCAAGATACCATTATGTAATCTTACACATAGATGGCACCTTTAATGTAGTGGTTTGAGGAAGTGGTGAGGACCAGGAAAGGCAAAGGGAGGAGCCTTCAGGCACAGTGTTTAAATATCACATCCTCTGTGAAACCTGACCAAGGTCTTAAAAAGTTATTTATCCAAGTGAATAGAAAGGAGAGGGAGAGGCATTTCAGGCAGAAGGAATAACATTGCAATGAAACATTTCTGGAATATTAATTATTGGAATGAAACATTCAAGGAATGTTAACTAGATGGGTATGAAACATTTAGGGGAAATTAGCTAGTTAGATATGAAACATTTCAGGAATACTAACTAGTTTGGTTTGACAGGAGTAAAGGGCATTCACTGAGAAGCAAGCAGATGGAGCAGAGTTGATAGGCTCCTGGCACACATTTTAACTATTTGCTAAAATGTTGACTTACGAGCATCCAAGTTGTAAACTGCCACCTCCCTAACTCCCTCGTGTCATCCTCCCACTGATGAACTGACTGCCTTTCCCCTTTCCCTTCAACATTCTGCAAATCTAACAACTAAAGGGTAATTGCTCTACAATGAAGGAGGCCTCTGATCCCTTGCTTCAGGGCGACTGCTGTTTGTTTTTTGCTTGTTGGTGCCCAAGCCTTGCTGGCTTTTATTGTCATCCCTAAATTGAAGAAATTGGAGTAAAAATGTAGGTAAGACCAGATCATGAGGATGCCACAGATAAGGACTTTGAACTTTGTATTGTAGATACGTTCAGAAAGGATAGAGGGGGCCTATGGCATTTTTGGATGATTGCCTATCATGACAGAGGAGGAAACATGCAGACATGCCTTGCTTTATTACACTTTGCTTTATTGTGCTTCACAGATAATGCAGAGGTTTTTGTTTTTGTTTTTTTGAGACGGAGTCTCACTGTGTCACCCAGTCTGAATTGCAGTGGCACGATCGCGGCTTACTGCAACCTCTGCCTCCTGGGTTCAAGTGATTCTGGCGCCACAGCCTCCCGAACAGCTGGCATCACAGGTGCACACTATCACACCCAGCTATTTTTTGTATTTTTTATAGAGACAGCGTTTCACCTTATTGCCCAGGCTGGTCTCCAACTCCTGAGCTCAAAGTGATCCTCCAGCCTTGGTCTCCCAAAGTGCTGGGATTGCAGGCATGAGCCACCACGTCCAGCCACGGTTTTTACAAATTGAAGGTTTCTGGCCTCGAGCAAATCATAGATGTCATTTTTATAACAGCATGTTCTTACTTCATGTCTCTATGTTACGTTTTGGTAATTCTTGCACTATTTCAAAATTTTATTATTATGTTATGGTGATCTGTGATCAGTGATTTTTGATTTTACAGTTGTAATTGTTTCAGAGTGCCACAAACTACACCCATAAGAGAGAATGAATTTATTTCATAAATGTCGCATGTATTCTGACTGCTTCACCTACTAGCCATTCTGCATCTCTCTCCTTTGTTGTGGTCATTCTGCTCCCTTAGACATCAAAATATTGAAGTTAGGACAATTAATAACTCTGCAATGGTCTCTAAGTGTTCAAGTGAAAGGAGGAGTCTAATGTCTCCCTTGAAATCAAAGGCTGGAAATAATTAATATTAGTAAGGAAGACATGTCCAAAGCTAAGATAAACCCAAAAGCTAGGCCTCATGTATCAAACAGCCAAGTTGTGAATGCAAAAGAAAAGTTACTGAAGGAAACTAAAAGTGCTATTCCAGTGAACACACAAATGAGAGGGAAACAGCCTTATGGCTGATATGCAGAAAGTTTTAGTGGTCTGGATAGAAGATCGAACGAACCAGCCACAACATTCCCTTCAGCCAAAACCCGACCCAGAGCAAGTCCCTAATTCTCTTTAATTCTATCAAGACTGAGAAGGTGAGGAGGTTGCAGGAAAAAGTCTGAACCTAGCAGAGTTTGGTTTGTGAGCTTTAAGAAAAGAAGCCGTCTTCATAACAAAAAGTGCAAGATGAAGCAGGAAGTGCTGAAGGAGAAGCTGTAGCAAGTTATCCAGAAGATCTAGGTAAGATCATTGATGAACGTGGCTACACTTAGCAACAGATTTTCAATGTAGATGAAACAGGCTTCTATTGGAAGAGGATACCATCTGGGACTTTCATAGCTAGAAAAGAGAAGCCAATGCCAATTTTTAAAGTTTTAAAACGTGGACTGACTCTCTTGGCAGGGACTAAAAGAGTTGATGGCTTGAAATTGAAGCCAATGCTTAGTTACTATTCTGAAAATCCTGTGGACCTTCAGAATTATGCGAAGTCTACCCTGCCTGTGCCCTATAAATGGAACAATAACTCCGAATGACAGCACATTTGTTTGCAGCATAGTTTACTGAATATTTTAAGTCCACTGTTGAGACTTACTACTCAGTAAGTCTCAAATTTTGAATAAATTTTTTCAAAATATTACTGCTTATTGACAGAGCACTTGGTCACTCAAGACCTCTGATGGAGGTATACAAGGAGATTAATGTTGTTTTCATGCCTGCTAACACAACAAACATTCTGCAGCCCATGGATCAAGGAGTCATTTTGACTCTTAAATCTTACTATTTTAAAAATACACTTTATAAGAATATAGCTGTCATAGTGATTCCTCTGATGGATCTGGGCACAGTAAATTGAAAAACTTCTGGAAACGATTCACCATTCTAAGTGCCATTAAGAACATTTATGATTCATGGAAGGAGTGAATAAAAACATCAAAATTAACAGGATTTGGGAAGAAGTTGATGCCAATCCTGATGTATGGCTTTGAGGGGTTCGAGACTTGAATGGAAGAAATCACTGTAGATGTTGTGGAAATAGCCAGAGAACTAAAGTTAGAAGTGAAGTCTGAAGACGTGACTGAATTTCCACAACCTCATGATCAGACTTGAATGGATGAGGAGTTGCTTTTTATGGATGAAGAAATAAAGTAGCTTCTTGAGATGGAAGCTACTTCTGGTGAAGATGCTGTGATCCTTGTTGAAATGACAACAAAGGATTTAGAATATTAAATACATTTGGTTGGTAAAGCAGCAGCAGGATTTGAGAGAACTTATTAAAATTTTGAAAGAAGTTCTTCTGTGGGTAAAATGCTATCAAATAGTATAGCATGCTCCCAAAAATTTTTCATGAAAGGAAGAGTCAATGGATGTGGCAAATTTCATTGTTCTCTTCTTTTAAGAAATTGCTGCAGCCACTCCAGCCTTCATCAACCACCACCCTGATCAATCAGCAGCCATCAATATTGAGTCAAGAATTACCCCCAGCAAAAATATTATGACTTGCTAAAGGCTCAGATGAGAGCAATTTTTAGCAATAAAGGACTTTAAAATATGTAGATTTTTAGACATAATTCTATTGCACACTTAATAGACTTTAGTATGGTATACACAAATGTTTTATATGCACTGGAAAACCAAAAAAATGTGACTTGCTTTATTGCAATGTCTACTTTGTTGTGGTAGTCTGGATCAGAACCCACAATATCTCTGTAATATTCCTTTTTACAGAAACTGTCTAGAATATTCATATATTTTCTATGAGATCCTTATCTTTCATAGTATTTTAAACACCCTGCTAGTTAGTATTCAGTCAGCTGAAATCCCCAAAACCTTGAAATCCCCCACATGTTCACTTCAGTTAAAACTGATGTTTAGTCATGAAGTCTTTGCCCATGCCTGTGTCCTGAATGGTATTGCCTAGGTTTTCTTCTAGAATTTTTTATGGCTTTAGGTCTTACGTTTAAGTCTTTAGTCCATGTTGAGTTAATTTTTGTATAAGGTGTAAGGAAAATGTCCAGTTTCAGTTTTCTTCATGTGGCTAGCCAGTTTTCCCAATACCATTTATTAAATAGGGAATCCTTTCCCCATTGCTTGTTTTTGTCAGATTTGTCAAAGGTCAGATGGTTGTAGATGTGTGGTGTTATTTCTGAGGCCTCTGTTCCATTCCATTGGTCTGTATATCTGTTTTGGTACCAATACCATGCTGTTTTGGTTACTGTAGCCTTGTAGCATAGTGTGAAATCAGGTAGTGTGATGCCTCCAGCTTTGTTATTTTTGCTTAGGATTGTCTTGGCTATATGGGATCTTTTTTGGTTCCATATGAAATTTAAAGTAGTTTTCTCTAATTCTGTGAAGAAAGTCAATGGTAGCTTGACGAGAATAGTATTGAAACACCAAAAGCAATCGCAACAAAAGCCAAAATTGACAAATGGGATATAATTAAACTAAAGAGCTTCTGCACAGTTAAAGAAACTATCATCAGAGTGAACAGGCAACCTACAGAATGGGAGAAAATTTTTGCAATCTATCCATCTGATAAAGGTCTAGTATCCAGAATCTACAAGGAATTTTAACAAATTTACAAGAAAAAAATAACCGCATCAAAAAGTAGACAAAGAATATGAACAGACACTTCTCAAAATAAGACATTTATACAGTCAAAAACATGAAAAAATCTCATCATCACTGGTCATCAGAGAAATGCAAATCAAAACCACAATGAGGTACCATCTCACACCAGTTAGAATGGTGATCATTAAAAAGTCAGGAAACAACAGATGCTGGAGAGGATGTGGAGAAATAGCAATGCTTTTACACTGTTGTTGGGAGTGTAAATTAGTTCAACCATTGTGGAAGACAGCGTGGTGATTCCTCAGGGACCTAGAACCAGAAATACCTTTTGACCCAGCAATCCCATTACTGGGTATTTACCAAAAGGATTACAAATCATTTTCTTTCTCCCTCCCACTCACTCCTCTTCAACTACACCCACATGTTCTGGGCAGAGGAAAAAGAACATGTAAAATCCCTGAGGAAGACAGTGTGGCAATCCCTCAAGAATCTAGAACCAGAAATACCAGTTGACCCAGCAATCCCATTACTGGGTATATACCCAAAGGATTATAAATCATTCTACTATAAAGATACATGCACACATATGTTTATTGCAGAACTGTTCACACTAGCAAAGACTGGGAACCAACCCAAATGCCCATTGATAGACTGGATAAAGAAAATATGGCACGTATATACCATGGAATACTATGCAGCCATAAAAAGGGATGAGTTCATGTACTTTGCAGGGACATGGATGAAGCTGGAAACCATCATTCTCAGCAAACTAACACAGGAACAGAAAACCAAACACCACATGTTCTCACTCATAAGTGGGAGTTGAACAGTGAGAATACATGGACACAGGGAGGGGAACATCACACACTGGGGCCTGTCAGGGGTTGGCAGGCAAGGGGAGGGATAGCATTAGGAGAAATACCTAATGTAGATGATGGATTGATGGGTGCAGCAAACCACCATGGCACGTGTATACCTATGTAACAAACCTGCACATTCTGCACATGTATCAGAACTTAATAAACCTGATGTTTAAAACTGAGCCCAAAGAAGTAGAGAGTAGAACTGTGGTAGTTAGAGGATAGGAGGTGTAGGGACAAAGAGAAGCTAGAGAGAGGTTGGTTAAGGGATACAAAGTTACAGCTAGATGGAAGAAATAAATTCTAGTGTTCTGCAGCACAGTGGAATGAATATGGTCAACAATAATTTAGTATATATTTTTACAAAACTAGAGAAGAGGATTTTGAATGTTCACAGTATCAATAAATGATACATGTATGAGGTGATGGATATGCTAATAATTCTGATTTTATTACATATTATAACACATATGAAATATTCTGTATTCCATAATTATGTACAATTATTACGTGTCAACTGAAAATGAAATGTAAAAAATCTTGATGTTTAGAAAATACAAAAGGTATTTGAGGACAAAAACTTGACTAATCACTTTTATGTGCCTTTTAGAACTCATGCCTAAGTTTTATTTTGTAGTTAAGGTTCTTTATTTATTGAATCATATTGATTCATCTAAAGGATATTAGGAAGTCTTAGGAATTCTGCATCATCAAAGATCAAATTATAGTCAGTAGTATTTTAATGTCAAATACCTATACGGAGGGAATTTCACTTTTTGAAAAACAAAAATCCTTGCATACTATACATTTAATAACTTTCTCTACTTTAATGTTAGATGTTCTGGATCACAGAATTCCTGATTATACCAAGTTTTATTATAGTTTTATGAGAGAAAGACCATTAATACTAAACTTCTTTAGAGTAGCATATTATTAAGAGTGACTGTTTCATCCCCATTAAATAATGTCAGGAGCCTAATCTATATTAACAGGTGGGCTGAGAAAATAGGAAGTGTTATAAGCAAGGCACATGGAATTTCATGATAGCCTCCTTCCAAATACACATGGAAATATTCCACTTAAGGCATAGTATGAAAAAATAAGGTTTGAGCCTATAATTTAAAGAAATATCCCTTTTTGATGATAGGAAAAGATACAGACAAATAAAAAAGAGGGTGCCTCTATTTTTGGTAATTATTTATTTGGATGTCAGAGAACTAGATTTATCATGTAATTCAATAAATTTCTGCCTAAGGGTAATCTCTACATAGTCCATCCTAGTGTAACATTGCTTATAAATATCTTTCTGCCTATTTGATACTACTCTTTAATTCTCTTCCGTTATTATTTGAAATATTTGACTCCCTAGAGCTTACATTGCAGCAAATTTGGCCACAATAAATCAGCTGGAGAATAGTAATTCATATAATTACTTCATTCCCAAGGATTGGGAGAGTTAGGGCAATGTGTGCTCACATATTTCATCAGAGGCCAAATATAAAGTCAGCTTGTGAAAGGAGTTACATTGAGTTTCTTTAGGAGGACCATGAAGAGTTCCAGAAGGCTTGGGGAGACTACTGTCAAAATAAGAACAAAAAAGCAAGTTTCCCTTCCAAGTAAACCAAGGGATAAGGCGTAGGAGAAATCGTTTCAAGACACATAAAAAGAATACTCTGCAGCAGATAGTTAACTCTAAGAATTAGGGGGAAAAAAAACTCTTGGATGATAGAATCAATAAAGAAAGCTATTAGGAGAGACATTGAGACTTCAGGGACTATCCTGTTGTCCAATGTATTCCTAACTTTCCTTTTTGAGTGGAAAGTAGTTTTATATTTAATTCAACGTTCTTCTGGAATGGCAATTTTTTGTCTTTATTTTGGAGAGGGAGTCTCGCTCTGTCGCCCAGGTTGGAGTGCAGTGGCATGATCTCGGCTCACTGCAAGCTCCGCCTCCTGGGTTCATGCCATTCTCCTGCCTCAGCCTCCCGAGTAGCTGGGACTACAGGCGCCCGCCACCACGCCTGGCTAATTTTTTTGTATTTCTAGTAGAGACGGGGGTTTCACCATGTTATCCAGGATGGTCTGGATCTCCTGACCTCGTGATCCGCTGGAATGGTAATAATTAATGGATTGATGCTGGCTTTTGCTTGCTGATGGTATTTTCTTCACCTAGGGTCTGATCCTCAGCTTTACCTGGAGTCTCATTTCTCAGTTTGAGAAATGTACTTTACTCATTTCTCAAGGGGAACAGTTTGTGGGACGCTAAGCCAAAAGTAGAAAACGAACTTTTCAACGAAAGGCCAATTATTTATGCACAGAGATAGAATTCTCCCTAAAGTGCCTCTCACATAACACCCACTTAAACTCAGATTGGAAAATTTGACCCCTGTTAAACAGACTGAGATATCTAATGCAACTGGTCAGCATGCTCTTTTCCAATAGGAGAATCCAATTGCCAGTAAGCTAAGACTAGGAAGAAAAGTAGTAGTATGAGAAACAAATGAATTTGCTCATGTACATAGACAATGTCATCTTCATTTTTAAGGGCTATAACCTGGTAAACCAGCAAGTAGTCATTAGTGGAGTCCCCTTTACCCTGGTTCATGCTGAAGTAACACAAACAGTTTTTACTACTCAAATTGTTTTTCAATTGCCCAAATACCCTGTTGTTACATGGTGTCACATTACACTTTCCGAGATGGTATGTTTTCACTCAATTGTTGTATTTTAGACTTTTATGTTGCTTTTTTCTGACCATATCCTCAGATTCCAAATTCATGGAATTTTGATGTACCCACTAAATATATTTACGAATAATGATTGTGACTCAGAAATTGTGGCAATAAAATAAAGTCACAAGAAGACATTTTGGAAGTTGATTGTGGGGTGGCATTTTGTATAGAGGAAAACATGGATACCTTGGAGGCAAACTGACCTCAGTTTGAATCCCTTGTCTGGTACCAACTAGTTGTATAAATCTGGGCAGATACATCACTCAACCACTGTAAACTTCAATACACTCATTCATAAAATATAAATATTGTCAGGTACTTTATGATTTTATGAAGATAAAAATTATTATTACCAAAAAGATCCCTGATATATAGTAAAAATTCAAAAGATAGCTCTAATATTATGATTATGATTATTTTACTGCAGTTTTCTGAGTTGACCAGATCATTATTTTTGTATGCAGGGAAGTAGGCAACAGGTTTAACCTGAACCAATATGCATACATTTGTCAACTTACAGAGGAGAGCAAAGTTATAGTCAGATTCAGCTAAAACACACACACACACACGCACGTACGCACATGCATGCTCCTGGACCTACAATGGGATTACATCCCAATAAACCCACTGTAAGCTGAAAATATTTTCAGTCAAAAGTGCATTTAATATTCCTAACCTGGTAGCTTCATAGCTTGTGAACATCATAGCTTAGCTGAACCTACCTTAAATGTGTTCAGAACACTTATATTAGTCTACACTTGGGCAAAATCATCTGGCAGCGCAAATACTGTACAGTATGGGTTGCTTTACATGGTGATTGTGTGGCTGAGTGTAAGCTGTGGCTTGTCATTGCCCAAGATTGCAAGAGTATGTCCTACCACTTATCTCTCGCCTAGAAAAAGATCAAAATTCAAAATTTGAAGTAAGGTTTCTACTGTGCATCACTTTCTTATCACTTGTAAAGTAAAACAAAACAAACAAAACAAAACATAAGTTGAACCATCGTAAGTTGGGGACTATCTGTATCTATACCTCGGAAGGGTAAAATTCAGGGAAAGTATAGATTTTAATACTCGAACATTTATTTATATTTAGGTATATGACAAGAGATCAATATGAACCTCCAAAGTGGGTAAGGGATAAGCAACATAAGTCTAGTAGCTACTGTGCTGTATTGAAAAAATCTGGCCTTAAGGTATAAAATTGCAATTTATTATCTGCCTGTTGGTATGCCGGGCATTTCCTCATACATCTTTCACCTCGTAATATATTTTTCAGATATGTGTTTCTAGCCCAATTTTACAGATAGAAGAATTAAAGGTGGTTTGCACTACAGAAAACAACAGAATGTAGAGATAAAATGCCTTGTTGTCAGTTACCAAGGAGAGTCCTATACATGGTGAAGGATTGAGCTGCTCAGGAAACATACCTGGCCTAAAGCCAGGAAGGTAACCTTTGCAGAGGGATTCAGAGAGCTCCGTGCTGATACATTCTCTGGGAAGCCTGTCCTCATTCTTAAACCAGGTTCACTCTTCTACTGTTTGCTTCTATGCTTCTATGACACTCTGCTGTTGTGTTCACCACACTTGACTAGAATTATTTGAAGTAATCAAATTCTTTTTAGTGCATGTTTTCTTATTCATTAGACATGACGTTCTGCAGCTAGTATATAACAGGCTTTAGTACATAGATGGTAACAGATGGATGGCTAGATAGTGATGTAAATGTGGCAGATTGATCTTTTCTCCTCCTTCTCACTCCGTTCCTGGAAAAGGGCCTTTGATAGATGGGGAAAAAAATGAATGATTTCATTAGCACAATGAAGAGAAGATTTATCTTTTAAGAGGCAGCCAGTATTAGCAAGAGAATGGCTGTTTTGTCCTGTGAATGTTTATCCTGCAAAACTGAGGGGCTTAATACCCACAATCAGCGATGGGCTCCCACTAGATCTGACAGTAAGTAAATGCACTGGTTTAGATGATGGTACTTACTATGGCAGGAAAAAAAATACAGTGCGCCTTCAAAAGTAGAAACTTACTTTTGCTCATTTAAAGAGAAAATGGTGATGGGGGAGAAGAGTGCTGTGTCACATAGTCATTGAGGAATCCACGCCAACAAGGGCTTTGAGAAATACATTCTACCTGGGAGCCCAAGAGGAAAGGGAAAAGGATTTGTGAAAAGCAAGCTAGCTTTGCCACATTAACCTAAATAGAAAGCCACTCAAGTGTCTAATGCAATTTTTGTGGTTCTCTGAAGACTTGACTCCACAATTTGACTTATATTTCCTTTAAATAATTTTGTCCTGGTGGAGTAAGTCTTGCACTAATACAGATGCAAATACTGGAACATTGTTTTTCTATGCATAACTTGATGGTAGTGATTAATTTATACTCTAGTCAATAAAAACATGCATTTCTTTGTGTATTATGTAACATATACATATATATAGTGTGTGTGTGTGTATATATATATATAAATAAATATAAAAGGGTTTAAGATAAAGATGTGTGCAGCAGACAGTAGATTGGTATGATGTCAGAGAAGGAATTCCTGGATGACTCGGGACTACATTTACTGTGAGTTTCAGTCTGATCTCTGCAGAGGACATGGAGGGACAGAACTGATGCAGTGAGTTTATACATCTTCATTTTCCCTCATTCACTTTTTAAGAAAATTATTTTGTTTATTAACATATATACTTTTTAAGCTTTGAAACAATAAATTTACAGAAGTATTGAAAGTACAGTATAAATATATATATTTTTTGCTGAACCGTTTGAGAGCAAGCAGTAACCTGTTGCCCAAATCACTTCTATTTTAGTGTGCATGTGATTAGCATGTATGGGATGATTTATTACACAGCCATTGTGATTGCAACATCACTGAATTCTCAGACCCCACTCAACAGCCCCATCAATTTTTCCTATTAATGCCCTCTAGAGTAGAATGATACAGTTCAGAATCATGTGTTACATTTGATTATTATGTCTCTTTATTCTCCTTAGGTCTAAAACAGTTACTTAATCTTTCCTTAGCTTTCATGACCTTGCCACTTTTGGAGATTACAGGTCAGTATTTTGTAGTAGAATGCCTCTGAATTTGAGTTTTTCATTATGACTAGATTCAGGTCATGTATCTTTGACAAGAACATCAGAAGTAATGATGTGTTTTTCTCACTGTATCCTGTCAAATGGTGTACAGTTTTTATTATCCCAACTATTAATGATGCTAATTTTGATAATTTGATTCTGATGATGTCTGTCAGGCTTTTCCACTTACCTTTTCGCTTAGTAGATAAGTTTATTGTGGGAAGGAACTTTTAACTATGTAAATATCCTGTTACTCATCAAACTTTTAATCTAGTTGTTTATTTGTATCTGTATTGAGATATATTTTCTTACTTAATTCCATGCATTACCATCCATTATTGTCATTATTTGTTTTGATGTTTAATTTGCTCCCAGTTTGGCCAAGTGGAACTCTTCAATCTGGTTTCTGTGTCTTTTTGACATGTTTCTAACTTCTTGGAGCACTTTCTGTCACAACATTATGATCTAGGCTTGTACTTGCCCTGCCCCAAACCTAAAATCTATTTTCTCAAGGACCACAAAGTTCATTTTAGTGGAGAATGGTATTTAGAAGCCCAGATTTGGGAGGTAGATGTGCTCATTTATATTGGGGTGTCATTGCCCCCAGGCCCTTGCAGCAGATAGCACTTAAAGATATATAAATGTATATACACATAGGCATACATCAATATCTGTATACCTTTCTCTAGCTTTATTGATTAAAAACCATGAGTTTGTACAGATACTTCTAATTCCAATATAGTAGCACAGGGTTTATTCTAGTTTTCTCCTTTCCACATTTGTAACTCATTTATCTGATGGTGAGAAACCTAGCTCCATTGCCTTTATTATACTTTTAAAATTTATCTGCCCACATGTTAACTAACCCACCATCTGCTGCTAATTCCCTCATTCTGTGTTTCCTTCCTTATCTTGTATACACGAGTCTACTACCCTAGGCCATTTTCTTCCCTACCATGGACAATCTCCTGCCTCTGTCTGGCTGACTGTCCACTCCAGGATGCATCCTGGCATGGACTATTCTTGACTCTGCTTGTTTTCTGATACCTCAGGCCAGGCTGCCCCCAAGCTTGGATGCCACCATGGGGTCTGACTCCCAACCAGGATGCCCTTCTCTTGCTTGAGCCCTGAAAATCTGCACCAGTCTGGATCTCTGATAAATACCTGCCTCACCCACTGAGGCTCTGACTTCCTATACTGGGTTTCCCCCACCTCTGGAGGTTGCCCTTTTTATCCTGCTTGATCTCTGACGCCACTTACGGGACCGCCTCTCTGTTGGAATGTTACATTTACCACTCTGGGCTGTCCCCATGTGTTATTTGTCTGTTCACCTTGCTTGGGCTGATGTCCTGCATGGGCACCAGCTTTAACCTTACTTGAGATCTTACACCCCACATCCAGCAACAATCCGCAACCTGGATGTAGCCACCTTTGTGTCACTTTGCTCAGGGTCTCTGACATCTCATTCTACACCATCACAGCTTCCCCAGCCCACCCCTTACCAGTGTGGCCAACTACGTTCCCTTGCTCCACCAGTTACTTTAGGAGTGCATTTTTTAAGGAAGAGAAGGGAAGAAAAAGGGCAAGAACAGTTGCACTGCCTTTTTGAATGAAGATCCTTAGGGGGATGTGGAGTTATTTAAATTTTTGATTTAGTCATTAATTCATAAAGCAAATATATGTAAGCACCTACTCTTTGTCAGGCTCTGATCTGAGTTCTGGGTCTATAGTGCAGTATACAAAACAATGCCCCTGATCCCATGGGTTTATATTCTCATGGAGTTGGAAAGATACTCAATACTAAAGGAACTAATTTGGTTTTGGCCTGCCCATGTAAGGACACTGGGGCATTAATCTGGTAAAGTGGCCACATAATTAGTCCATCCTGTGCTTGGTGCCATGAAGAAAATTAAGGCAAGAATTTTGTAAAGTGATTTGAGCAGACTTAATGGGAAAGGCCGACTATAAGAAAAAAGTCCAAAACAGAAAAGTTGCAGGAATAAATGTCCTGGAGACATAAAAGCTCAAGTACGTTATAGAGAGGTCAGAGTGACTTGATCACTAGTTAGCAATATTTGGGAGAGCTCTTTCAGATACACTAGGGAATTAGATAAGTAATCAACACTTCTGTGGTGCAAAAGCTAGACCCCATGGGTCTGAACTAAGAATATGCCCTAATTAGGACTAAAGTTTAACTTTTCCAAGTAGTAATTTGCAATCAGGTAATATCCAGTGATATTGCCCATATGGTCTTACTGAAGTTAGAAGCACCAGGAGGCAGCTTGGAGCTATCTCAGTGCTGAGTAGAGAGTGATGGAGAGAAAACAAATTTATCTTCCTTGAACTAAGCATATCCTTCCTTGTCTGTTCTGTTTAGACTTGGCTTGTGACTGTGATGCTCCAACCTACAAAAGGGGATACTTAAACTGCCTGAAAGAGAATTTATGGGGATGGGTACCTCTGTTTTCAAGGACAAGGCAACCACTGGTGCAGACAAATCCTTCCACATGTGCTTGAATGAATTGCTCACTTTTAAATTAGTTATATTAGAAAAGTTTAACACCATAGCACCTTGTTTGTGAGGTGGTTTTTAAGGAAGAAGAATAGAGAAAATATTTGCAATGAATTCTGCCAAATAATTCAAAGTCATCTGCTCAACAGTTAAGGAATAGCAAAACCAGCCAGACTGGATTTTTTTTTTCTGTTTATGCCCAGACTTACATCTGAGTTCTCTTTAAGATACTATAAAATCAGAATGTCCCATTCAATTTAAGGTTCAGTACAGCTTGGTATATAGATCAATATAGTGGTTTATGGATTCATTATATTTTGTCATAATGTATGTGGCTTATAGGGCCTTTAGTGGCTCATACTAAGAAAACCGTACCTTTCCTGAGATGATTAAAGAAAGACTGTGAGGAAATACCTGATTCTCTCTCCTTCAAATCTAGCAGAAAATTACCACATTTAACAAGCAAATAAATAATTTCGTGAGAAATCAGCAGATGCTAATACTGACTTTACTAGATGATTTCCACTTTTGTTTTTCGGTTTCTAAAATGTGTTTATGTGAAAATAATCACCCTAACAACCTTAGAAGTTATTTCCTTCTGTAAAATATAGGTATGATTAACAAGAGTATATTTGAACTCATAGGCTCACAGCACAACAAATGTTTGTATTTTCCTTCTTTACTAATTTTCTATCTTTTACATCTATACTTTCACATTGATAATTGTTTAATCCTCACAGATTATGGTAAAAAGTATAGAGAGTTAAAATATTCACATTTTAAACACTTATATTTTATTTTCCCAGTAACTAAAAACTGAAATACCTGTATTTTGGGGAACTCCACTTTCTTCTGGGCTGGTAGGAATTCCTGCCAAATTGACCCTCCCACAGATAGCAGCCATAAACTCTGGGTAAAATTGGAAAAAATTCCTGGCTGGGTGCAGTGGCTCACACCTGTAATCCTAGCACTTTGGAAGGCTGAGACGGGTGGATTGCTTGAGGTCAGGAGTTCAAGACCACCCTGGCCAACATGGTGAAACCCTATCTCTACTTAAAAATACAAAAATTAGCCGGGCATGGTGACGCACACTTGTAATCCCAACTATTTGGGAGGCTGAGGCAGAATGATTTGAACCTGGGAGGCAGAGGCTGCAATGAGTCGAGGTCACACAATGGCACTCCAGGCTGGGTGACAGAGGGAGATTCTGTCTCAGAAAAAAAAAAAAATTCCTGAGGACAGGGGAAAGTGAAGTGATCAAAAGTGAGCAGATTTTCTAGGGGAATTTTACAGAAGAAGGGAAAAACACTGATTGCATTTCCTACTTTTACAGGTTTTAGCCTAAGAGTATGTTGTAGTCACTGATTTGAGGGGCAGATAGAGAGGGTTAAAATCAGATAGAAAACCGTACAATTCTTCTGTCCTGAAGGACCAGAGGGCACAGTTTGAGACAACCACAGCTGTTAGAAAACAGAAAAGAAATCCCAGAAAAGAGAGAACCAGAAACAGAAAGCCCTAAATTCTGAGTATAAAGTTTGCTCAAATCTCTGGCTGGCCCATCAACCATGCATGAGTAGGGTGACCTTCAGGCTCTAAAGCTAAGGACAAAAGAACTGAACTGAGATTTGAACAACCATTCAAAAGGTAGAGTTTAGAGCTTGAGTCCAAACACATTAATTGCCTTTTAAAATAGACAATAAAGGAAAACACTCTTTGGAAGAATATAGTAGATCCTAGGGTCCACAACAAACAATATTCAGGACACAATCCAAAATTTCTTCACGTATGAGAACCAGGAAATTGTGATCTACTTTGAAGCAAAAAGATAATCAGTGGAGACTGACTCCCTCATGACCAAAATGTTAAAAACTAGACAAGTATTTTAAAGCAAGTTTTATGACTATGCTTAGTGAATGTAAAGAAAATATGCTCATGATGTTTGAAGTTATAACATCTCAGAAGGGAAATAAAAACTATAAAACAGAACCAAATAGAAAAAGATATTTCTTATGACTAGTACTTAACCCAGTGTGGGTCACAGAGTAGACAGTTTATTTCTTCATTTTTATTTTTATGACTGATTTTATTTCAAATGGCAGATTAACACAAATTAAACTTTATATCTATTTTTCCAGCTTTATTGAGATATAATTGATAAATAAATTGGAATACATTTAATGTGTACATCATGATGATGTGATATTCATATACACTATGAAATGATTACCACAATCAAACTACTATTAACACAATCAAATCTAATTAACACATCCATCACTTCCCATAGTTACCTTTGTGTTGTGTGTCTGTGAGAACACTTAAAGTCTACAGAGTAGATGCTTTAAAAATATTTGTTAAATATTACTCAGAACTTTTTGATTTTTCTTTAACTTTTTGTCTTGAGTCTTACTTTTTTATTCTTATTGCCTGTTTGCTTAAAATTTGGCTTTATTCTTTAAAGAGTTTTTAGCTCTACCATATTGATTTCTTCATTCAAGCAGTTACTAGGTATGTAGCAGAAGAATGATGATGATGACAATAGTGATGGAGAAGGAGGAGGAGGAGGAGAAAGACAATTTGCTTCATGAAGACAGGAACATTTTATGTATCGCAGGTGCCTAACACAAGACCTGGGACATAGTTAATTACTCTAATTAATATTTACTAAATGGGCTGGGAGTGGTGGCTCATGCCTGTAATCACAGGACTTTGGGAGGTTGAGGTGGGAGGATTGCTTGAGACCGGGAGTTCAAGCCAGCCTAGGCAATATAGGAAGATTCCATCTCCATAAAAATACAAAAAATTAGCCAGGCATGGTGGTTCATGCCAGTAGTCCCAGCTACTTTGGAGGCCAAGGGAGGAGGATCGCTTCAACCGGGGAGACTGAGGCTGCAGTGAGCTCTGATTGCACCACTGCATTCCAGCCTGGGTGACAGAGTGGGGAACCCTGTCTTGAGAAAAGTTTTTACTAAATGAATTAATAAATGAATAAACAAACAAAGGATTGAATACAAATATTCCATAAACTATCTCTGTTTTACTTTATCTTTTATCCACACCTTGCTCTTTTAAATTCTCCTAATGTTGAGCTACCAGTTTCACATTGTCTATTTCTTCATTTCACTCTTTCTTCTTTGTTCTTTTGGGTGCTCAGCACTTTCTCTCTATGGTTTTATTTTTCACCATGTCTTTTCTGAATCTCTTCTTGACCATCTGTTTTTCAATATGGATGAGGTGGAATTCACAGATTTGCCACCATTTCTTTTTCAAACCTCTTGGGGTAAAACAAAAACATTAAATTGTAAGACAGTTCTGTATTGATCATAACTGGCTACCTTGCCTGTGAAAGATGCAGCCTTCTAAGTTGTTATTTTTCTTTCACAGAGCCATGATAGTAGCTCCCTTCAGCAGCACACCATGTAGAGGTTCTTATATTAGACTAACAGCTTTCATAGAATAAACATATAAGGACCTTGCCTTTCAGCAAATTATTCAGAAACTGAATCAACACTGTTACCTTACTAGTAATAATTAAAAGATAATATTGTTTTCATTGCAAGTAAGAGAAACTCAATCTAGCCCAGGCATAGAAAGGTAATTTATTAAGGGTCTTATCATAGAAACTCTGGTTTAAGTGTCAAACCAGGAGATAGAGTGGTTCAAATAATGTCACCAGACTTAGCCATGTGCTCACTATCTCTTTACAGTGCTTCCCTCTTACTTTATTTCAACCTTAGGTGGACGTTCTTTTTATGATAGAAAGATGCCTTCTGGAAGCTCCAAACTCCCATTTAACTTCTCTGAGTCCCTCTCTGGGTGCTTACTCACTGATTAGACAGATTTGGGGCATATGCTATTATGAAAACACTCATTACATCCAGGGCAAGGAATATGCTTTTGCCCAGATTGCCTAATGTGTTCACCTGTAGTGGACATTACTAGTGCCCTGAAAATATCTCCTGATCTTCTTCGCATGCCCTTTTGGCCTATCCTTGAGTACTGTGTGCTTTGCTGCTATTGCCTTGCAGCTGCAATCTTCAGAGGATTGCCCTGAACTGTCTTGACTCAGAGAAAGAGAGAGAAAGAAAGAGAGGTAGAGACATCATGGAAAAGAAAGAATGTCTGTAAGTCTATATTGGTTTTGGGTCAGCCCATAGTAAATTACAAGACTGAGATATAAAAGACAAGCTCCCTTGCTGTGAGGCAAAACAAACTCTAATTTGCAGCTTTATACTTCAGAGCTCTCTGTCTCTGGCATGAAACAGGGTAGAACTTTACCCTAAATCACATGCTTGTATGACTTCCTCCTCTTCCCTATCTTTCTCCCCCCTCTTTCTTGTGGATTATTTGGGAAGCACCTCCTAAAGAAATCATTTGCAATCAATTTCTTGGCTTAGAATCAGCTTCTGAGAGAATCTAACCCAGAAAGTATCCTTGACTGCAGGAGTCCAGACTAATATGGAGTCAGAGCTGGAAAAGGAGGCTAAGGAGAATCAACATGCTGTTACCAGATGGGAAATCAAAGCTGGTAGATTAAAACAATAGTATGAGGTGTAACTTCCAAATTAGTACAAGTTAACTCCTTTTATTGCTTCTTTCAATTCTGTTTTTTTTTTTTTTTTTTTTTTTTTTTACGATGGCAACTATTTCTTCTACAAAATGTGTAGAAATAATTCTCTTTGGCTTGCCTTCTGTCTTTATACTATTAATACAGTTCTGTCTTCCCTTTCTGTTTTGACTTTGGTTGGTTGAGACTCAGATTCCAGCTTATATGGAGATATTTTTGAGATATTGAGAGGTCTCTTCTGTTGTGATCTCTGTGATGCAGTTTGTATAAAATATGTCTGAGCTTGGTCTGTCCATTCCTAATCTTTTTTCATCTTAACATGAGGTAACTCCAGTACTCAAGTTGTATTCTATAGACCACTTGCTTTAAGGGGACAATCTTGATTTATTTCATTTGCCAATTTAATTCCAAAACTTCTCATTACTGGCATAATGAGATATTTTGCATATTTAAATAGCACTTTTCTTTGTTTTTCAGTATCTGGTTTTAAAGAAAAATATAATTTTGTCCATAAAAATGTGTTTTAAGGATTTCGTAATATGAGGGTGCCTTTAATAAGTTCATAGGAAATGCATATTATGAAAAAAACTATACATATTTCAAAGTTGTTGCACAAAAATAAATTTGTAATAACTTGTTATAACCTAGCTGTATAGGATCTAGTTTGAGGTACCAAGAAGGATAAGATATCAGTTTGAAAGGAGCCCCTATCAGAGTAACATGAATTCTGCTAAAACTGAGGCAAAAACAAACATCAAATTTATGGTGAAGCTTGGGTGGAAGAATGTGAAATCATTGATGTTTTACGAAAAGTTTATGGAGACAATGCCACAAATAAATTAGTAGTTTGCAAATGGATAACTCATTTTAAGAAAGGAAGAGGCAGTGTTGAAGATGAAGCTGGCAGCAGCAGATCATCCACATTAATTGGCCAGGAAAAAATTAATTTTATACATGCCCTAATTAAAGAGGGCCGGTGATTGACAGCAGAAACAATAGCAGATACCATAGACATCTCAATTGGTTCAGCTCACCATTCTCACTGAAAAATTAAAGTTGAGCAAATTATCCACTCTCTGGGTACCAAAATCATCGTGCCCAGATTAGCTGCAGATGAGAGCAGAGCTTTCAATGGAAATTTTAAACAAGAGGGATCAAGATCTTGAAGTATTTCTTTGAAGAACTGTAACAGGAGATGAAACATGGCTTTACCAGTATGAACCTGAAGACAAGGCTTAATCAAAGCAATGGCTACCAAGAGGTTGAAATGGTCCAGTCAAAGCAAAAACAGAGTGGTCAAGAGCAAAAATCATAGCAACTTTTTTGGGGGATGCTTAAAGCATTTGACTTGTTGACTTTCTGGAGGGGCAGAGAACAGTAGCATCTGCTTATTATGGGAGTGTTTTGAGAAAGTGAGCCAAAGCTTTAGCAGAAAAGTGCCTAGGAAAGCTTCAACAGAGAGTTCTTCACCACAATGACAACGTTCCAGCTCATTTATTTTATCAAACGGTAATTTTGTAAGAGTTCTGATGGGAAATCACTAGGTAACCATCTTTCTTTTCTGATTTGGCTCCTTGTGACTTGTTTTTGTTTCCTAATCCCAAAAAATCTGTAAAGGGCACTGATATGGTTTGGTTGTGTCCCCACCCAAATCTCATCTTGAATTGTAACTCCCACAATTCCCATATGTTGTGGGAGGGACCCAGTGGGAGGTAATTGAATCATGGGGGTGGGTCTTTCCCATGCTGTTCTTCTGATAGTGAATACGTCTCATGAGATCTGATGGTTTTATAAAGGGGAGTTTCCCTGCAGAAGCTCTCATCTTCTCTTGTTTGCTGCCATGTGAGATGTGCCTTTCACCTTCTGCCATGATTGTGAGGCCTCCCTAGCCATGTGGAACTGTGAGTCCATTAAACCTTTTCCTTTTGTAAATTGCCGAGTCTTGGGTATGTCTCTATCAGCAGCATGAAAATGGACTAATACAGTCACCTAGTGTTCTTCAGTTAATAATGTAAAAAGACTGCATTGATAGTGATTAAATTCCCAGGGCCCTCAGTCCTTTAGGGACGGATTAAGTGCTGGTATCATTGCTTTAAAAAGTGTCTTGAATTTGATGAAGCATATGTTGATAAATAAAGTTTACATTTTTTGTTTTTGTCTTTTAATTCCATTTTCCACAAACTTTTGAAGTTCCCTCATGTGTACCTGCTCTCCTTCAGTCAATGATGGTTTTTTCTCAAGTTATAGTAAGTTGTTAACTATATAACCAGCCATTTCTCTATATGCATTATTTTTATGCAGCTCTAAATGTTTTCGGTACAAGAGTTTTAAGAATCCAAATCTACGTTCTATATTTAGAAATGTCATTGGTTTCAATTTGAACTTTATCTCTAAAATTAAAAATGTTATTTTTACACTGTTAATACTTCTTACTCATATACTTGAGTCATTTCAATATTTTATAAACTTCATTGATAATGTAAACAAAGTCTGTTTAGAAAGAAAGGTCTCAAAAACCCAATTTCAGGTGCCACCTTCTTCCTAAAAGTAGCCTGATTTTATTTTGTGTCACTTTGTTCTTCACTCAAAGTTTTATTTATCATAATGTATAGTAATGTATAGCTTCCCTACATATTCTCTTTTCCTGGTGAATTGAGAGCTTCTCTATAGCTAAACAGTTTTTTGCTTATATTCATGTGTCTAGCATCTAGCACAGTCCCAAATACAAAGCATAATTTCAAAATGTCAGTTGAATCAATGCTTCATGAATAACACATAAAAACACTGAATAATCTGCTAACTTCTGTTGCTGCAATGTCTGCTTTAAAAATAATTGTGCTTATGAGTTGTGGACCCTCAAAGTTGGGAAGGTCTTTAAAATTCACTAGGAAGTTGAGATTCTTCCTAAGAAAATTCAGAAAGCTGGTAAGTTCAGAAGTTGGGATCAAACCCAGGCCTTCTGATTCCATGCTAAAATTCTCTCTTTATTCTTGAATTGGCAACCTGGCATTTGCTCACATCTTTATCCTTGCTTTATGACTTCCTTTGCTCCTGAAACTACTCTTGAAAATGTATGTTATTTAATTCCTTTTTTTATATTAGAATAGCGTGTTTCCTAATATTTTTCTCTTAAATCCATTACTTCTCTTTTATTCTCATTTCTTTAACTGAATCTGTACAGTTTTCTCTGTTTTTTAATTTTCTCAAATTTTGTTACTCTTATTTTATTTCCTTCTATATGTTCTCACATGAATCACTTCTACAAATGGAAGTCCCTACTTTATTTTCTGAAAGTTCATGGCTGTACTTTCTGCTTGGAAGGTTAAAAAATCTTTTAAAATTGTCTCACTATTTTCTGATGTCCTTTTAGTTTAAAATATATAAAATTATATGTTCATATATCATCATAAAATATTCCTTGTAAATAGTTGGAAAATTATTATATCTTGTTATTCAATTGTCTAACAGATGATATGTAACTGGGCACAAAAATACATGAATTCACATATTTAGTTAGAGATCATGTGCAAAAGACAGAATGAGTGACATATACCAAAGTTGAAACACCAAAGGGTCTAAGAACTGGTTTTGAAAGTTTAAAATCCAAAATAATAGTATAAAAATTAAAGATATATTTACAATAAGAAGACAAATAATGAGGTTTAGACCTATTGTGTATCATAGTGATTGCTATAGTTTGGAAATTTATTCTCTCCAAACCTCATGTTGAAATTTGATCCCCGAGGTTGGAGGTGGGGAGGTGTTTGGGTCATGGAGTGGATCCCTCATGAATAGATTAATTTCCTCCCTTAGGAGTGAGTTCTCACTCTATTAGTTCTGTGATAACTGGTTGTTAAAAAGAGCCTGGCACCTCCCCCATCTTATTCTCTCTCTAGCTTCATTTTTCACCATGTGATCTCTACACACATCAGCTCCCCTTCACCTTTGGCCATGAATGGACACAGTCTGAGGATTTCAACAGGTGTCCAATCTTTCAGCCAGCAGAATTGTAAGCCAAGTAAACCTTTTTTTTCTTTAAAAACTCTCCAGTCTCAGGTATTCCTTTCTGGCAATACAAACAGACTAAGACAGTGATACAATATTTCCAGATGACTAAGAGGACAGTCAATTTTTCAACTTCAGCTTCTATTCTGATTTCTTTCTCAATAAGGCTTGCCATAATGGCCTTAAAGAAATGTAGGCCAAAGGTTTAAGGAAGAGTTGTGTTCAACTTTTCAGGTGTGTACAGGTTTGATCACAGGTAGTAAAAAATATTGTATATTCTTGACTAATTTAATTTTGAATTCTGAGTGCCCAGCAGATACTTGCCTGGGGTCTGGTCCAATGCAGGTGCTCACCAACGTTGGCAGAATGAATGGATGTTGTTGCCAACAATAATCTGAAGAAACATGGAAAGTAACAGAAGGTCAGAACCCTAAAACAGGGAAAAATATGTCTTCTGAAAACTATAAAACAATGAGTTTACTGAGGATACCTAGCAGCCTACTAGGAATGGATTGGAAGTATGACCTAGAAAAACAGGAAAGGGGGCTTCAGACAAGCAATTAGATAAAACTATGGGATACATTAAAATGGGCCCAGATTAATGGATTCATGATTTTTCAGATTTATACAGATCCATGATTTTTCTTATCCACCCTTTTGACCACAAAACAAATTATTCCATTGAAATCTTTCTGAAAGACAAACATGTAGAACTATTACAGGGAGAGGTGGCAATTTGGAACTTTATATTCTTGTCTCTTTTCTTGTTCCTTCCTTCTGTGGTGGCCCAGAGGAACCTGCAGAGAGCCATAAATATAGGTTCCCAAATTGAAGCATGCATGGAAATCAGCTGAGGTATGATAAAATGTATAATTCTGTACCTTACCACAAGAGATTCTCATTAACAAAGAAATACCCAAGTATCTCAGCTAATGGCTATGTAAATACTGTCCAGGCTCTGAAAAGCACAATCGGAAACCAGCAAGTAAAGATAAACTGCCGTCTGTGTTCACAGCCTGTTAGGAAGTTAAAAACCTGGGGTAGATGAAATTCTGAAAGGAGTTAAATGCAAACCAGTTGTAAGTTAATATGGAGGGAAGTTTTGTGCCATTAGTACTGTCATTTGGTGTCATGACTAGTTAAATCCTTTTATTTATTGCTTTTTCAGATAGCATTCACAGGACACGTTCAATGTTCATGCAGCAACTGAGAATTTGACATCATATAAACGGAAACAAAAATATCCTTATTTTTCATCTTTTCTACAGAGCTCAGCCTTTTGCTTGTCCCCAGGACAATTCAGCCAACTCAGGAGGCAGCTAATTCTTCTCAAACAGTGACTGTTTTACTTTGTCCCCTTCACTTTCCAGGGGCTATTGCCATATTGCCAGTTTAGCTCTTGTATTCCTCCCTTTTCATCATCCACCTGTGTTTAAAAGTGTCCCAGGTGCTCATGTTCAATTATTCATTGGCATTTCATTCTTGCCATAACAGTTCCTCTCAGTGTGCCCTACTGAATCTTTCCCTTCTATTTTATGTATGTACATTTACATGTAGAATTTTTTCATCTGGAGCTGCATTCTCACCTTTCTTCTAGGTTATTCTCTGGACCATAGCTGTGAATCATTCACCCCAAGTCTGAGAGCAATATGGTGGGCCACGTTCAACCAGGGTTCTGATTTTACCTACTGTGCGTGAGCATGTCACAGGTATCCCTCAGATCCAATTTTTCTTTGTCTCATGAACTGCTCTGTATTACAAAGAAGCTGACATCTATAGGCGGCATATCCCATGTTCCATGTCAAATAACTTCCATCTCTGTTCACCCAAAAGGTGTACTGATGTAAATCTGGAACATGGGAGGAGGAAACACTCCAATTTCCATTCTGTCTCCAGCGGCATGTCTGACAGGGGTGGGACCATCCATGACTCCAACTCCTTTCCAATAGATCAGTCATGTTCCAGTTTCTTTCAGGTAACCCTGACTCTGAGTTTTGGTAATACTGTCTCTTTATCATTTTGTCTCTCCAGCTCTAGGGTATAGTGTGGTTTTGTGTTGCTAATCTCTGAATTACATAGATTTCTCAGCTCCTCCATCACCTGTGTAACCAATCCCCTGAATTAAATTCCCTCTGAATTAAATACTTGAAATTGTGTTTGTTTTTCTGATTAAAACTCCACTGTTACACCATATTACTTCTCACTCTCCATTTCTCCCTTTCCACTTTCTTTCTCTCCTATTTTTAACATTTATTTTAGGTTCAGGTGTTCATGTGCAGGTTTGTTATACAGGCAAATTGCATGTTATGGGGGTTCGGTGTGCAGAGTATTTCATCACCAGGTAAAGAGCATAGTACTGGATAGGTAGTTTTTTGATTATCTCCCTCCCCACACCGAGGGCCTAGTGTCTATTGTTCCCCTCTCTGTATCCTTATGTTCTCACTGTTTAGCTCCCACTTGTAAGTGAGAACGTGCTGTAATTGGTATTCTTTCCCTGCATTTAGTTCACTTAGGCTGATGGCCTCCAGCTCCATCCATGTTCCTGTAAAGGACGTGATCTCATTCTTTTTTATGGCCAGATAGTATTCTATAGTGTATATGTACCATATTTTCTTTATATAGGCTACTATTGATGGGCATTCAGGTTGATTCCATGTCTTTGCTGTTGTGAATAGTGCTGCAGTGAACATCCACATGCATATGTCTTTATAGTAGAACAATTTATATTCCTTTGGGTATATACTCAATAATGGGATTGCTGGGTTGAATGATAATTGTGTTTTAAGTTCTTTGAAGAATTGCCATACTGCTTTCCACAACGGCTGAACTAATTTACATTCCCACCAGCAGTGTAAGCATTCCCTTTTCTTCACAATCTCACCAGCAGCTGTTATGTTTGACTTTTTTAGTAATAGTCATTCTGACTGGTGTGAGATGATGTCTCACTGTGGTTTTGATCTGCATTTCTGTAACGATTAGTGATGTTGAGTATTTTTTTCATATACTTGTTGGCCACGCGTATGTCTTCTTCAGACTCTTCCGTCTTTATTTCTTCTCCTTCTGTTTCTCTTCCTCCTCCTCACTTTGGCAGCCTAGGAACTTCTAAACTTAAATGACAAAGCTTCAATCCTATTTCAGATTTTTCAGTGAAACAGACCACCCTTAAAAAGTTATTATGAAGCATTTTTTTTAATTTGAATTCTGGTTTTGTGTGAGACCTAAAAGTAGTCATGAAAGCTCTTTATAGTTTGGTTTTCTTATGTGTATAAAGAGAATAATACTCAGCTTATAGAATTAATTTGAGGATTAAATAATATAAATCTGCTGAAAAGCATATGTTGTTTGGCAAGTTGTAAGCCCTCAAAATATTTGCTGATCTTGTAGTTTCTATGTTACATGTACAGTTCCTAGAATATGTCCTGGTATTTAAGAAACTTTCAATTCAATATAATGTATCTTCTACATGTATATACTGCTCTACAAAGACTCTTGGAGTTCAGATTGATAAAACAGAAAAAAAAACCCTAAAACTCCTTAATTTTTGAGAAAGTTTAAAATATATTCAGCATACGTGTTTACTAAGGACACGTGAGTATCAAATAACTAAAGTCTTTTAATAACTGTGGGGGTTTTCTTATTGAACTTTGCCTCCACCCTTTAATTCTTTCCAATAGATTGTATAACCAGGAAAATATCAATTTTCTCATTCAGTATGAATCTATCTGTCTTATTTACCATGAACCTTGCAGTTCTTTGGTGCCGTTCTGATACTTCCTTTACTCATTCACTTCCACTGACCCTATTCCTTTCCCTCATCATGACAATGGAGTATTCTAGCCCTCACTTTTGTTAGAATAATTCAGAACCTTTTAAGACACATAGATACAATTTTATTCATTTTTAATGCTAATGTTGCCACATTAAAGATTTAGCAAGGAATTCTAGAAAAATGACTGCCTGCCACAATTTTTTACCTTTCCCTTTTCAACAGTAGTCATCTGTCTCATATGGATCAAATGGCTGCTGGGGCAACACACTCCTGTATGCACATAATGCATTGCGTGCTGTGGGAATACAGGTAGTGAGAACTGGTGTGGACCAGACTAGAGATAGAATACTAACATCTAATAGCCCAGAGAGAAGGATCAGAACTAAGACACTTTCTAAGAGATCTTGACTCAATGATATGTGGGAACAGGACCAGCTATATAACATGAGGATCTAGTGTAAAACAAAAGTGCAGAAACCCTTGTTGAAACGTTATTAGAAAATGTTAGATGATGGCAGAGCATTAAACAAAGCTTGGGTCCTTCTATGTTCAGGGCCTTATGTGGCTGCACAGATTGCACACTCACTATCTAGTCCTGAGTGGGTGTAGGTGTGTTAAGAAAAGGAGGATGCAAACATCAATCTTGTATGATTGTGTCAGACTCCCTAGCCCAAGAATCAAGCAGCTAAACTGATGGGCTGAGTTCTCCCATGTGTGAGGCTCAGGGAGTGTGAGTGGACTGGGAAGCAAAGAGGCTTCCTCCTAATATCTCATCAAGTGACTGGCATCCTGACTGCTACTGTACCACTAGCCCACAGGGTTTGGTTACTTCATCTTATTTGACGCTGATCTGAAATAGCAAATACTATCAATCAATGGTCAAAAGTAAAAAAAAAAAAAAACAAAAACCAACAACAACAAAAAGAGAACTGATAAAAACATTGAAGAAATTTTTAAAAATTTGAGAGAGGGCAAGATGGCCAACTAGACATAGCCAGGTGGAAAAGCTGCCACCAAGGGACCAAGATGATTGGCCTACTCTTAACAGATTTTCAGAGGGAAGGCACTGAGAGTGGACAGAGACATGACACACAAGCGGGCTGAAGGGGCAGAAAGCTGGAAGCCTCGTATGGGGCTACTGTGCACCGAGGCTCATTCCTGGCCCCCAACAACTCCAGGGGTGAGTTGAACTGGCAAGGAGCAACACACTCTTGCCATGAGCCTCTGGAATCCTGGCAGGAGAAGACTCAACCTCCATGGACACTTGAGCTGGCAGAGCTGCTTAGAGAAGTGGTAGGGGAAGCAAGCCAGCCAATGTGGAGGGCAGATTTGGTACGAGAGCCTCTGTAGCAGAGTACAGCCAAGGACAGCCATTCCCCCAGGCTTGACTTTCTCCTATAGGAGACTTTAGCCCTAAGGGAACTGTCAGTCCTGAATTCTGCAGGGTGGTCTTGCCCATCAGATGGGGACATGCAACCTGAGCCACTGCGTAGTCTGCTGGTGTCTCCTAGGTCTCCAGCTTGGCCACATGCACTGGCAGGGCAGCCTCGGGTGCCCTAGGGGCTCCATCATAGCTTCTGGGGGGTGGACCCTACCTGACTGGAGGAGAGCTCCAGCAGTGTAGATTCTACAGCCACACACACAGCCTACCCACTCCCTCCCCTGGGCCCACAGCAACCACCCTCCCCCCATTACTTTCCCAGCATGTGTGTGCGGAAGCAGGTTTTGCTTTCCTTGCCCCAATATGCCCATGTGTGTGCATGCACCCTGCCTTGCCACTGTTGCAACGGAAGTGCAACCTTCCCTCTTCTGACTGACTGCCATTAAAGTCAGAGTATTGGCAGGTACAGAGCCAGCCAGCCCTGCTCCTGCCAGTGCCCACGGTTGCATCATTGCTGCTACAGGAGTGAAACTAGGCAATGACACTTGTAGGCTCAAAATAAAGGAGTGGAGAAAAATCTACCAAGCAAACGGAAAACAGAAAAACACAGTGGTTGCAATCCTAATTTCAGACAAAACAGACTTTAAGCAAACAAAGGTCAAAAAAGACAAGGA
This sequence comes from Homo sapiens, assembly GCF_000001405.40. NCBI lineage: Eukaryota > Metazoa > Chordata > Mammalia > Primates > Hominidae > Homo > Homo sapiens. The sequence continues at coordinate 34,207,211 of NC_000002.12, forward strand.
AGGGAATTACATAATGTTGAAGTGTTCAATTCAACAAAAAGACTTAATATATATATATATAATAGTTATATATATAATAGTTTTACATATATACACATAAATACACACACACACACACACACACACACACACACACACATATATGTCCAACAGAGGCACACCCAGATTCATAAAAGAAGTTCTTACAGACCTGCAAAGAGACTTAGACTCCCACACAAGAATACTAGGGGATGTCAACACCACACTGACAATATTAGATCATTGAGACAGAAAGTTAACAAAGATATTCAGGACTTGAACTCAGCTCTGGGTCAAGTGGACTTGATAGATATCTACGGAACTCTCCACCCCAAAACAACAGAATATACATTCTTCTCATTGCCACATACACTTACTCTAAAATTGATCACATAATCAGAAGTAAAACACTCCTCAGTAAATGCAAAGAAAAAAATACTGAAATCATAACAGTCCCTCAGATCACAGCACAATCAAATTATAATTCAAGATTAAGAAACTCAAAACCACACAACTACGTGGAAATTGAACAACCTTCTCCTGAGTGAATCTTGGGTAAATAATAAAATGAAGTTGGCAATCAATAAGTTCTTTGAAACAAATGAGAACAATGAAACAATGTACCAGAATCTCTGTGACACAGCTAAAGCAGTGTTAAGAGGGAAATATATAGCACTAAATGCCCACATCAAAAAGCTAGAAAGATCTCAAATCAGCAACCTAATGTGACAACTAAAGGAACTAGAGAACCAAGAGCAAACCCCAAAACTAGCAGAAGGCAAGAAATAACCAAAATCAGAGTGGAACTGAAGAAGATAGAGACACAAAAAACCCTTCAAAAAATCAAGAAATCCAGGAGCTGGTTTTCTGAAAGAATAAAATAGATAGACTGTTAGCTAGACTAATAAAAAAGAGATAAGAATCAACTAGACAAGATCAGAAATGGTAAGGGGGGATAGCACCACTGACCTCACAGAAATACAAACCATCAGATAATACTACAAACGCCTCTATGCATATAAACTAGAAAATCTAGAAGAAATTGATTAATTCCAGGACACATACACCTTCCCATGACTGAACCAGAAAGAAATTGAGTCCCTGAACAGACCAATAGTGAGCTCTGAAAATGAGTCAGTAATAAATTGCCTACCAACAAAAGAAAGCTCAGGAATGGATGGATTCACAGCTGAATTCTACCAGATGTATAAAAAGAGCTGGTACTATTCCTACTAAAACTATTCCAAAAAACTGAGGAGTAAGGACTCCTCTCTAACTCATTCTGTGAGGCTGGCATCATCCTGATACCATGACTTGGCAGAGTCACAACAAAAAAAGAAAACTGCAGACGAATATCTTTGATGAACATCAATGCAAAAATCCTCAACAAAATACTGGCAAACTGAATCCAGCAGCACATCAAAAAGCTTATCCAGCATGATTGAGTAGGCTTTATCCCTGGGATGCAAGGTTGGTTCAACATACACAAATCAATCAATGTGATTCATGACATAAACAGAACTAAAGACAAAATCACATGATTTTCTCAATAGATGCAGAAAAGCCTTGGATAAAATTAAACATTCCTTCATGTTAAAAACTCTCAATAAACTAGGAATTGAAGGAACATACCACAAATAAAAGGAACCATCCATGACAATCCCATAAGCAGCATCATACTGAGAACAAAAGCTGGAAGCATTCTTCTTGAAAACCTGCACAAGACAAGGATGCCTTGTATCATCACTTCTATTCAACATAGTACTAGAAGTCCTGGCCGGAATAATCAGGCAAAAGAAGGAAAGAAAGGGCATCCAAATAGGAAGAAAGGAAGTCAAACTATCCCTGTTTGCAGATGACATGATCCTTTATTTAGAAAACCCAATAGTCTTGGCCTCAAAGCTCCTTAAGCTGATAAGAACTTCAGCAAAGTCTCAGGATACAAAATCAATGTACAAAAATCACTAGCCATTCCTATACACTAACAACAGTCAAGGTGAGGGCCAAAACAGGAATGCAATCCCATTCACAATTGCCCCCCAAAAGAATAAAATACCTAGGAGTACATATAACCAGGGAGGTGAAAGAGCTCTACAAGGAGAACTACAAAACACTGCTCGAAGAAATCAGAGATGACACAAACAAATGGGAAAACATTCCGTGCTCATGGATAGGAAGTATCAGTATCAAAATGACCACACTCCACAAAACAATTTATAGGTTCAATGCTATTCTTAGTAAACTACCAATGACATTCTTCACAGAATTAGAAAAGACTATTTAAAAATTCATATGGAACCAAAATAGAGTCCAAATAACAAAGGCAATCTTAAGCAAAAAGAACAAAGCTTGAGGCATCATGCTACCTAGATGAAATAACCAAAACAGCATGGTACTGTTACAAAAGCAGACACATGCATGAATGGAACAGACTAGAGATCCAGAAATACGGCCATACACCTACAACTATCTTCAAAAAACCTGACAAAAACAAGCAATGGGGAAAGGACTTTCTAATCCATAAATGGTGCTGGGAAGTTTCCCAGCTAGTCAGTTACTAGCCATATGCAGAAGATTAAAACTGGACCCCTTTCTTACACCATATACAAAAATCAACTCATGGTGGATTAAAGACTTAAATGTAAAAAAAATAAAAATCCTGGAAGACAACCTAGGCAATATCCTTCTGGTCATAGGAATGGGTAAAGATTTCATGACAAAGATGCCAAAAGCAAATGGCAACAAAAGCAAATTTGACAAATGGAATTAAATTAAAGAACTTTGGCACAGCAAGAGAAACTGTCAACAGAGTAAACAGACAACTACAGAATGGGAGAAAATTTTTGAAAATTATGCATCTGGCAAAGTATCGGGGGAACCAGCCCCCAATATTTCAACATAAGTTCTTTCCTATTTTCCCTAAGTGTCGGCCAGTCTGACAAATAGAGTACAAAAGAAAGAAATTTTACAGCTGGGTCTCCCTGGGTGAAATCACATGTCGGCAGGTTCCGTGATGCCCCCTGAGCCACAAAACCAGCAAGTTTTTATTATGGATTTCAAAAGGGGAGGGGTGTATGAATAGGGAGTGGATCACAGAGATCACATGCTTCAAAGGCAATAAAATATCACAAGGGTAGAGAGGCAGAGTGAGATCACAAGGCCAGGGCAAAACTAGAATTACTGATGAAGGTCCATGTCCCGCTGGGCACACATTGTCATTGATAAACATCTTAACAGTAATCAGGGTTTGAGAGCAGACAACCAGTCTGACTAGAATTTCGCCAGGCTGGAATTTCCCAATCCTAACAAGCCTCGGGGAGCTGCAGGAGACCACGGCATATTTCATCCCTTATCTACAACTGCATAAGACACTCCCAGAGCGGCCATTTTAGAGACCTCCCCCTGGGAATGCATTCGCTTTCCCGGGGCTATTCCTTGCTGAGAAAAGAATTCAGTGATATTTCTCCTATTTGCTTTCTGAAAGAAGACAAATATGACTCTGTTCTGCCTGGCCCCGCAGGCAGTTAGACTTTATGCTTATCTCCCTTGTTCCCTGAAAGTCGCTGTTATCCTGTTCTTTTAGGATGCCCAGATTTCATATTGTTCAAACACACATGTTTTACAAACAATTTGTACAGAAAACGCAATCATCACGGGGTCCTGAGGCGACATACATCCCCAGCTTATGAAGATGATGGGATTAAGAGATTAAAGTAAAGACAGGCATAGGAAACTGTAAGAGTATTGTTTGGGAAAGTGATAAATGTCCATGAAATCTTCACAATTTATGTTCAGAGATTGCAGTAAAGACAGGCGTAAGAGATTATAAAAGTATTAATTTGGGGAACTAATAAATGTCCATGAAATCTTCACAATTTATGTTCTTCTGCCGCAGCTTCAGCCGGTCCCTGCATTTGGGGTCCCTGACTTCCCACAACAGCAAAGGTCTAATATCCAGCATCTATAAGGAACTTTAACAAATTTACAAGAGAAAAACAACCCCACTAAAAAGTGAGCAAAGGACATGAACAGGCAGTTTTCAAAAGAAGACATACATGCGGCCAACAAGCATATTTTTAAAAGCTCAGTATCACTAATCAGTAGAGAAATACAAATCAAAACCACAGTGAGCTACCATCTCACACCAGCCAGAATAGCTATTATTAAAAATAACAGATCTGTCAAAAAATAACAGATATTGGTAAGGTTGAGGAGAAAAAGGAAGGCTTATATGCTGTTCATGGGAGTGTGAATTAGTTCAGCCATTGTGGAAAACAGTGTGGTTATTCCTCAAAGACCTAGAAACAGAACTACCTTTCGACCCAGCAATCCCATTACTGGGTATAGCCAAAGGAATAGAAATTGTTCTGTCATAAAGACATGTGCATGTATATGTTCACTGCAGCACTATTCACAATAGCAAAGAGATAGAACCAACCCAAATGTCCTTCAGTGGTAGACTTGATAGAGAAAACCTGGTAAATATACACCATGGAACACTATGCAGCCACAAAAAAGAGTGAGATCATATTCTTTGCAGATACATGGATGGAGCTGGAGGCCATTATCCTTAGCAAACTAATGCAGGAACAGAAAACCAAATACTGCATGTTGTTACTTATAAGTGGGAGCTAAATATGGAGAACATATGGGCACAAAGAGGAAAATAATAGAAACTGGAGCCTATTTGAGGGTGGGGGGAGGGAGCAGGGAGAGGATCAGGAAAAGTAACTGTTGTGTACTAGGCTTAATATCTGGGCAATGAAGTAATCTGTACAAATCCCCATGACATGAGTTTACCTATATAAGAAGCCTTCACAAGTATCCCTGAAATTAAAAGTTAATGGAAAAAGAAAAAGATCTCTTTTTCTTGTTAAGATTGTATACTGAAAAATATAAGATATTTTGTAAAACTTTAAGATATTTGATAAGATAATTTAATAAAGTGGCTGTGTATAATAGAAACATACCAAAAACCCCCATATTTTCCCTCTAGTATTAACTGTGTTTTTATTAGGGAAGTAGAACTACTTGGAGTATCATGGAAGAGAAAATTTACTGCAGGAATTAAACATTACTCAATGTAGTCCTTGGAAAGTAAAGGTTCCAAAAGAAGAGTTTAAAAAATCAAAGAAAAATAACTAACCCTCATACAGGTATTTCCCAGCTTGCATACCTAGAAGGTAGGTTGATCTGGTTACTGTAGTTGGAACCATGAATAGACTTGCATAGAGGTTCATGGAAGGTTGTGTACATGTCAGTGAATGATATTTGGTTCATCATGGCCACTACCTCTTTGAGTTCACAGTGAAGCGCTGGTGGCAGGTCATTGATGGTCAGTAGAACCAGAGGTTAGGAAGGAGAGTTGGGGAAGAGAAAAAAACAAACAAACTGGAACACGCTTGTGCCTTTATTCAGAGCTATATGGCTGCATCTTCATTTCTACCTCGAATATTCCATGAAACTTCACTTTGGTCAACTCTATCTGTAATTATACAAGGAAAGAAAATCAGGGAAAATTGGTGCCCAGCAAGGCCATGTCTAAAATAGAACAAGTGAACTCAGTTCCTAAAAAGAGAAATAGTCTACTCTCAGTAGCAAAATATCAATACATTATTTACTAATCAATTTAACAAGACCGATGTAAGATCTGCCTGAAGGAAATTATAAAATCTAATGACATTACACAATATTTGGTCTTTCCTTAGAATATTTAATACTTTAAAAATATCAGTTCTTCCAAACTTAATATATACATTTAACACGTTTAGAGTTAGACTCTCAATAGTCCTTTTTAAATAAAATGATGTTTAAGTAGACACATAAGAATAAATCTTCAGGGATACTCAAGGGAGAAATAGAAGTGACTTGTCAAAGAGATTCAGAATATATTAGTAAACGGAAAGCTTCTTCTCATAAATCATTATGATATGGCCACGGCAATAGACAAAGCGGAAACAAGGAAGAGAGAATCCAAAAGTAGATCCTAGTGCATGTGAGCATTTACAAATGAAAGACAAATGCTGCATGATCTCACTCATTGATGGAATCTGAAAGAGCTGATCTTACCAAAGTAGAGAGTAGAACGGTGTTTTCCAGGGACTATGGGGTTAAAGCGGTCGGAAATAAGTTAGTCAAAGGATACAAAATTTCTGTGAGATAAGTAAGTTCAAGAGGTCTATTGTACAATATGGTGACTGTAGTTAACAATATATTGTGTTCTTGAAAAATGCTGAGAGTGGATGTGAAATATTCTCACCACAAAAATGATAACTATGTGAGGTAATACATATGTTAATTAGCTAGATTTAGTCCTTCCCGACTGTATGTATACTTCGAAACAGTATGGTGGCAAACACATACAGTTTTCCCTGTCAATTTAAAATAAATAAATATGACAGTATTTCCATATAAAGGGAAAATAATGGATTATTTAATAATGCAAATAAAAGCAATGAAATATTTAATAGAGCACAACCTATCCGCCAAGAAAAAATTAAAAGTGGGCCCCTTTCTTCTCTATATCAAATGTAATTCCTAGTTGGGTTAGATATTTAAATGTAAAATTTAAAAAAACCTAGTAAGAAAATTCTGGAAGACTATATAAACATGCCAGAAAAAAGCGAAGGCTTCTAACACTCAGAAGCTATAAAACAACAGAGAAGACTAATTGTGTCTGTAAAATCTAAAAGTTCCTATTATGGCAAAGATACTATAAATAAAGTGAATAAACCAACAATAAATTTGGAAAAAAGAACTTGCATAGCAGATAAAACAGCTAACATGCATACTGTATAAAAGACTCAAAAGTTAATAAGAGAAATATAAAAAATAGAAAAATGGCAACAGATGAAGAGAATGTTTCTATCAGTGAGAAGCCATGTAGTCAAAAATAATGAAAAGATGCACGCATACATTAGTAGTCAAGAAAAGAGAGATTAAAGTAATAGATTTAACGTTTTACCTTTTAGACTGGCAAATATTGAAGTGAACATAAAATCTATTGCCGCCTGGGAATGGGAAAAATGGCATGCTCATAAAATGTGAAAAGAAATGTGAGCGCAATCCCTAAACACTTATAAAAAATGCATATACCTTAAAACCCAGTAATCCCTTTCCTAATAATCTATTCCCTACAAAAAAAAAAAGTATCCGTATGTAAGGATTCTCTACAAGGTTGTTTACATCAGCATTGTTCATAGTGGAGAAAAAAAATCAATAAAAAAAGATAAATAAATTATTGTGCTTCCAAACCACTAACAGCAATGAACGAGAACTATGCCAGATACTTTATACCATTTCTATGACATTACATATGTTAGCCCATTTTTCCTATACATGGATATCTGTGTGTAAATACATATATATGTATATATATGAATATGTATGTGACTAGGCATCGAGAAAAAATGTGAAAAGTTACATTTTAGGTTGTTAACTTGGGTCATCTAGTGGGGAGGAGGCAGGAAAGAAGTTAACTGGATGGAGTGGGGAATAAGAGGAAATGCAAAAATGTAAATTACAAATGAAAAATGAATGAAAAGGAATGCATAATTGTATTTCTGCATAAATACATTGTATGTGTATCTTATCCTTGTCATGTAAAATTAGAATTCTGTCACTATGTATATAAAAATACGTTTTAAAACAGGGTTTGAACTAAACCCTTGGCTGGCCCTGAGGTAATGCACCCCTTCCAGAGGTTAAATTTTCCTTTTTTTTTTTTAATTTTTATCTTTTAATATTTCTAGGACCAAGAGGTCAGTATATTGGGTACTGATTGTAAAGTGAAGGCAGAAGTGGCCTTCAGGGGATTTACATCTTGGGTACATTTGCCATTGACTTATTTAATGGGAAGTGAATCATATGCTTTTTCTTTTTGAGAAACTAGAATAAGTTTCTGGGGAGTGCTGAGAAACAGGGCTTAGGACCTGGGACACTGGAAGAATAAGTGTGTTGTCACAGCAATAAGAAACACAGAAGGAGACGCTGCTTTATAGGGAAGGTCACAAATTTAAGTAGAACCGACTGCATTTGAGAAGGTGATTTCAACACTTACAACTGGGCGTCAGCGAGGAGACAGCAGAAAGAGTGGTTAGAAGGTTGGGAGTGGGGAAATGGGCCTTCCTGGGGAGACAGAGGATGATGCAATCACTGAATGAATTTGAGAATGCAGGTCAGAATCTTGGGGATATCATGCTTTAGAGAGAAGAGCAAGGGAGACTAGAAGGGTGAGAAAGGTTAATGCAGAGAAGTAGAACAAGCTGAAGAAAAATGGCCATGGAAGCAAAAAGTGTTCATCTTCAGGGAGAATGTGCCTGATCACTCCAGGGAAATAGAAGGGAGAAGATGCCCTAGGCAGAGAGAAGACAGCGAGATTTGGCAACTCAGGGATATACCACTAATCTTGAGGGGGCATGTGTGCATCCAGTGGGCCATAAATGCTAGATTTGACCCTAGTGGAGGTTCACTCTTCATTAGAGACGAGAGGAAGGAGTGCAAGATGATGTGGAATTTGAGGACGGAGATCATTTAAGACTAACTTGAGGGATGTTTGTGAATCCTTTAAAACACATTATTACTACTTTAAGAAGATAGTAGTACAATTTATCTGTGCCACCAAAATGCTTGTAAAACAGCTACTCAGAACTCAGAGTGGAAATTGGTCTGGAGTGAACATGGCCACTCTATTAGGCTCCTCTTGGGCAACACTAAAGTCCTCTCCACTGCACCTCTTACTCCAGCCGCAGCTGCAGTGATCTGTGCTAGGTGGGCTTCCCCCAGCTTCATGCAGGAGCACCCTGGCAGCATCTCAGGACTGCCCAGTGCATGTCTCTGGCTGGCTGACCTGCAGCTTCTTGTTCACAGGTGTGTGAGACATCCACTGGCACCTACTTGGCACCCACACATGTGGAATCCTGAAGTGTATATGTGTGTGTGTGTGTGTGTGTGTGTGTGTGTGTGTGTTGGGGATGGTGACCCTTAGACCAAAGAATAACTGTCAATAGATAAATACCTCCTTTTCTTTTTCCTAGGGAGACACATGTGCTGAGATATTTTCCATATGACTTCTCATTTGCTCTTTTCAATTACTGCACCGTTTTCTCCATAGTAGCAGTGGCCAACTCCATAATGCATTCTTGTTTCATCTCCCTTCTTCTCTGTTTCGGTTTCCCTATCCCTCATTGCCAACACTGTCTTCCAAATTATTGCACTTAAGCTTTTATTTCTGGCTCTGCCTTCTGGGGAACCCAAGGTAAGATAGCTGCTGTTTAAAGAATAGAAAATAGGGGAGCTGTGTGGTCCAATAAAAAAAAGATAGGGAAAGGAATGAATGTTTTTTTCACAAGCAAGTATGCTTCTGTATCCTTTTATTTCCTTTTTTTTTTTTTCCCAAATGAGCTTAGGTCTTCAGTTACTTTTAAAATGTCTGTAATATGTAGAGATCCTTAGGTGAAAAGCAATAGAAGAACCAAGTGTTCTGTAATAGATCATCAATTAATTGCAGAATATACAAGAGAGGGTAAAATAATTCAACTAATTTTGAATAAAATGCTTTTATAATTAAAATCTGTTAGGAGGAACAGTCCTAATTTTCCTTTATGTGTCTTGAAAATTTGCCAGGAATTTAAAAGTCTTCCATCATTACACATGGCTTCTGGACTTTAACAGTCCCTCAGCTCTTTAGTTAATTTTATGACCTAAACCAAAATTACTTCTTCAGGCTTTCTTTTCTTTTTTATATCACCCAATTTACTAAGATTTTTGGAGATGGTTATTCTGATTATTCTTTTGTTATTGTGTGATCTACTGTAACAATTTATGCTATTCTGAAAGCAGTATTTGAATACACTATTCTCTTTTTGAGGATGATCTGGGAGCTTTCCAGTCTTACGTCTGTCACTTCTTGTCTCAAGGTTGTTCAAAAATTATGTAGTATTAATGCATATCAGAAGCAAGACCAGAATTTGCGCTTTCTCTATTGCATTCAATTAAGAGAACTCATCCAATTACTACCTCTATTTGCTTAGAAGTTATCAGCTCATGATAAGTTTCTCCAAGGGCAGCATCCTAAACCTTTGTGGCTCCTTTATCTTTCCCGCATTTTGTTCTAGGCTAAACCTGTTTGAGCATTCTTCAAACAGAGCAATAAGCTCTTAAAGGAAAACAGCAAATTTGTCCTAGGGTACAAATTTCAATGTCAAACTCTATTTTTGCAATTGAATTAAACCTCTAATTTTGAGCTTGTGAACCTGAACAGAAACCTGGCAGAAGTAAACTGTATCTGTATAGGTCTGATCCCAGTTGCTTACCTTTGGCACCATTAAAATAGACATCTGGAGAATTATAGCACTATGATAAAGTAGGTAGGCTCATGGATGTTGGTGTCAAATTGTCTGAGGCTAATTTCTGACTCTGTCACTTATTATCTGAGTTTGATGCAAGTTACTTAATTTCTCTAAACCTCTATATCATTATCTGTGAGCACAGACAATAAGTACAACCATCTCATCAAATTGCTATGCCTATAGAAAGCACTCCCTGATAGGGGAACATCATACACTGGGGCCTGTCGGGGGTTGGGGGGCTAGGGGAAGGATAGCATTAGGAGAAATACCTGATGTAGATGATGGGTTGATGGGTGCAGCAAACCACCGTGGCACATTTATACCTATGTAACAAACCTGCATGTTCTGTACATATATCCCAGAACTTAAAGTATAATTTTTTAAAAAAAGCACTCTTTGATAACTATTATCATTATTCATTATAGCTGCTAACATAAACTGTAGTCAATTACAATAAATACCTGCAATACCTGTCGTCTTCTTTATGATGAATATGAATTGCCTTTTAAAGATTTTTGAAAAGTAAGGGAGAAAGAGCCAAGGAAACTTGAGATTTAATTAAAAAAATCGATGCTTTTACTGTGTATTGGTAAAGATCATGTTTTCTTGAGCCTAAAAACCTGGGTTCAAATCCCAGTTCTGCCACTTATTAGCTCTTATTAGCACTTAAATGAGCTATTTAACCTTTATGTGCCTATCTTCTCAGTCTGAACAGGAGTTAATTACAGGGCTAACTTCACACAGTTGTTATCAAAGTTTAGTATTTTTTCTTAAACCAGTACCTGGCCAGGCTGGTTTCATAGACACGTGACCTGTGCACACAAGATGCCATGCTCGGAACAATCCAGTGCTTAGGCTTAGATTAATGTTCTGCTGTATCTATCTTAAAATTAATAATAATTTCACATTTTTCTTTTCTTTTTGAGACAGAGTCTCACTCTGTTGCCCAGGCTAGAGTGCAGTGGTGTGATCTCTGCTCACTGCACCCTCTGCCTCCCGGGTTCTAGCAGTTCTCTGCCTCAGCCTCCCGAGTAGCTGGGATTACAGGTGCCCGCCACCATGCCCAGCTAATTTTTGCATTTTTTTTTAGTAGAGACGGGGTTTTACCATCTTGGCCAGGCTGGTCTTGAACTCCTGACCTTGTGATCCACCCGCCTCGTCCTCCCAGAGTGTTGGGATTACAGGCATGAGCCACCACACCCAGCCAATAATTTATTTTTCTTAGTAATGTTAAGCATGCATAAGAGCAGAGAAGGCAGGCTTAATAGGCATGTCCATTCTGTTCCTTGCTGCTGTGTGAGCACATATTATTTGTGATGCCCCATGAGCACCGAATGTTAGTGGACCCAAATGTGTGAGTTCAGTGAGCACAAGGTGAATGTGTTATGTCTATGACTGATTAAAAGAGAGCACAGACAGCTCCAAGACACTATACTTTTTGTTCAAACCAGAACTATCTTCAAAGGCAGAAAGAAGGCAATGGCATTCTAAGAAACAGAAATGACAAAAAAAGCCCTATCATATTATTTCTTACTCATTTTATTTCCCATTATTAGCCAGTCATTTATGCTGAAAATGATGAGGTAGAAGGAAAGAGAAAGAACTCATAGTTCTTTTTCCTTTCAGTTCTTTCTTGCTCATCAGTGAGCTGAAAGTAGACAGTGTTGGTTGAATGTGTCTGTATCAAGACATGAAATAAAAATAGCTGAGTTCTTTTTGTATAGTTTCCTCTGTTCTATCAAGGAAAAATATGTATATGTACAACCTGTGAGATATATGAATTCCACAACTCCAACAGTTCTGCAGGAGATAATGCTCTTACATTTTCATTTAAAATTGGTATTGTACAATATAAAGATTGACAATTAAATTCATGCTAAAATTTTAAAAAAGTTTTCCATATTTAGAATGAAATTAAATTAAATGAAAAACATCATGACAAGTCAAAAGACAGACTGTGGAAGAAAGAAAACGTCTTTATATTTTAATACCTTTTATGGCACTTTTAAATTGTTTTTTGAACAAAGGACTCTATATTTTCATTTTTCATAGGGCCCTACAGATTATATAGCTGGGCCTGGTGCTTGACACATCATTGGTACTATACATGTATATCTATATGTATATATGTGCATACACAGAGGCATATATACCTCAAAGGAATCAGTGGGCGTTGCATATTGTTATATTGGAATATTGCATTCCTAAAAGGAAAATAGAGAATTTATATCTCTGAAAGAAAAATATTCGAACAGGGAAAGGTGGCTTACTCAGTACCTGAACCTGTCCCTGTGAGTTTGACATTCTCCATGGGCTTAGATGCCCATTATTCCTAGATGGGGAAGTTTTTCTTTTATCCCGTAGAAAGTTCTCTATAGCCAGATGGGCAAGGAGCACAGTACCTACTCAGTTTGTTCCTCTTGTCATCCCTTTGGCACTTTTCAGGGTTCCTCTGAAGAACTTTAAAGTTTTTGAAGACTTTCAAATACATTATTTCATCTAAGCCCCACAGTCCTTTTGAAGTAGGTAGTGGAGAAGCTAAAACTAATGTATGTGGCTGGCTAGTTACCAACATCCCCCCCGAGAGGCATTGCCTTCTGAGTTCATCACAGCCCAAGGTCTGACCCCTCTGTGTTACAGATTTAGAAAACAGACACTGTCAGTTTTCCAGAGCTGTACTGGACTTACACATGCTGGTTCACATCAACTAAATCTGCAGGAGAATAAAGTGTAGAACCCAGAAAGCCGATGCTGTAATTTATAGAGAAATATACCTTTCCAGCACACCAGAACATTCTCTCCCTGTAGAAAAACATCCTGGGAAGTTCGATTATCAGAAGGTAGCTCACGAGCATGGAATCAGAATGACGATAGTGGACTGGATAACTCGTATGTTTCAAGGCATCAGCCTCTGATGGTCTGATAGATCTGTCCTCAACAATAAGGAGAACTGGACACATTCACATCATTTTATCTTCCTAGGACGCTTTGTTCTCCAGTCAGTGCTGGAGGCGTGCTGATAATTTATGCCTTCTGTTCTCTTATACCCCTTGCTGATTGATTCATTTTCTGATTCTTTCTTGAGATATGTGATTTTTATCATATATAGTAACAGCCAGATTATTTTCCTTCCTGCTTCTGGCATAGGGAACAATTTTCCTTTCCCGAGGTGTTTTTCATATAGAAGAGATTTCATGTGATATGTGCCAGATTTAAGGTTTAACTCTTAGCTTTTAGGAATGCATTGTTCTCACCTCTGCCTTCAGACAGTGCTGTCCTCATTTTACAAAATGGAAAATAGGCTCAGGAATGTTAATAATGTGGTTCGTGTAAGGAAGCCTGATGTTTACTTGCCTTTGATATTTTTTGTTTATTTTTTGGATTAAAGTAAAATGTTCTTCTTGCTACTGTATTATACTATATTACATCTGTCCTCTTAAAATTTAAATACTTTTTAAAAAATTCAAGACAGCATTATATTAATACTCTACCAATTTTTTTTTACTTGACCTACAAAATATAGTAGAATCTGCCTCTTAGCTATACTTCTGACTTCATATTCTTTCTCTCTCCTACTCACTCCTCATCAGCTACACCCACATGTTCTGGGCAGAGGAAAAAGAACATGTAAAATCACTGAGGAAGACAGTGTGGCGATTCCCCAGGAATCTAGAACCAGAAATACCGTTTGACCCAGCAATCCCATTACTGGGTATATACCCAAAGGATTATAAATCATTCTACCATAAAGACACATGCACGTGTATGTTTATTGCAGCACTATTCACAATAGCAAAGACTTGGAACCAACCCAAATGCCCATCAATGATAGACTGGATAAAGAAAATGTGTCACATATACACCATGGAATACTATACAGCCATAAAAAAGGATGAGTTCATGTCCTTTGCAGGGACATGGATGAAGCTGGAAACCATCATTCTCAGCAAACTAACACAGGAACAGAAAACCAAACACCACATCTTCTGAGTCATAAGTGGGAGTTGAACAATGAGAATACATGGACACAGGGAGGGGAACATCACACATTGGAGCTTGTCGAGGGCTGGGGCTTAGGGGAGGGATAGCATTAGGAGAAATACCTAACGTAGATGACGGGTTGATGGGTGCAGCAAACCACCATGGCACGTGTATACGTATGTAACAAACCTGCAGGTTCTGCACATGTATCCCAGAACTTAAAGTGTAATAATAAAAAAAATTATTTTTCTTCTGCCAAGAATGTTCTTCCCTCAGATGTACCCTTTGTTCCATCCCTTCAGTTCATTCAGAACTCCACCCACATTCAATTCAATCTGACATTAGACCACTATCATCCTCTTTCTCACTACCACACTTTTCTTCATAGAATTTAACACTGTTATTATGTGTCCTTGAAATATTGTATGTTTATTTTGTGTTTATTGTCTCATTCTCCTACTGGAATATAACCTTCAAAGGAGCTCTCTTTGTTTTATTCACTGCTGTATCCTCAGTCTTTTAAACAACCCCATCACATTGGACTATTGTGGAATAAAGAACTACACGTAGGGCACTTAATCAATTCTTGTTCTTACTAAGTGGGTGATATGCACTTTGTTGTCTAACATCCATGTACTATGGTTCTTTCATTGAGCGACTCTGAATGGGTATCCTGTGCAGAGAGTAAATATTCATTAAATGTATACTGAATAAACAGGTAGATAAATCAATAATAAACTATTATGGAATTTAAGAGGAGGAAAATGTCTCTTTCCACTGGATCAGAACTTAGGAAAAGATTCATTAAAAAAAGTAGCCTTTAAATGAGTTCTTTAAAGATAAATTTGATTTAATTCTGTGCTATGGGGATAAAAGGAACTCAATACACATTTGCCAGGTGCTCCATAGCACTCTCTGCTTTGCCAGGTTAGCATCTTAGAAACATCCTAGAATGTAAACTCTATGAGGGCAGACTGTTTCTATCTAGTTCATCTGTACATGCATGCACACATACACACACGTATATATTTATTACATATTTATATATAAAAACAAATAGATATAAATAAAAATAAAATGCTACAAAATTTATAAAAGGTGAGCTTTTAATAAATATGACACGAACGATTCTAAGTGAGGAGGTGAGGTGGAAGTTAGGCCTGTTTTGCAATTATGCCTATGAGTTAGTATTAGGGTTGCCAATAAGATTCAAATATAATTTGGCAAATCTAGAAGCTCATTTTTGTCCAGAGGGAAAAGTTGGAATGATTAGTATGTATACAGTTCAGAATAAGCTTCAAGTTGGTATAAAAGTTTATTATGAAATGTTGACATGATCATTTTTTAAATTAGAGTTTCAGAAAAACCATCAAAGTTTGAATTTTTAGAAGATTATTTGATGAGACTTTGTCTTGTGAAGGTTTTAGTAGTTAAGTTCCGAAACATTATGTGACCTGAAGATAACTGGTGATAATTGACATTCTCCTTTGGGAATATCTCATAGGAATGTGTTTCTTTACAATAAGCGCTGATGTTTCTTATTTCTCCATTATTTACGTTTTTCTCCATTTAAGGGGACTTCTAAAACTTATTCTACATAAGAATTCTCTCTAGGCCACAGTTTTAAAAATCATCTTTTTGTTTTATCTCTAACCCGGACTTTTGCTTCATTCTTTGGGTTCATCACCTCTACTTAAATGTCCCATAAACACATCAAAATTAATCAGCCCAGGCTAAGTTCATCACCAACCCCACCATGCTCTACCCCACCCACTTCATCACCATTCAGTTGATGGCACTACCACCAGCTAGAAATGTGGATGAGGATACACTACAGTGGTTAAAGGGCCTGAGTTTGAAGTACCACTCTGTCACTTTCTACCTGTGAGAACCTGGAAAAAACTTAGCTTTTGCATATTTAAAAGGGGGATTAGAAAAGTACCTACATGCTATGGACTGAATGTTTATATCTCTCCCCAAATTCATAGGGGAAGCCTAATTCCCAATGTGATGGTATCTAGTGATAGGACTTTTGAGAGGTAATCGGGTTATAAAAAGAGACATAAGATAACTTGTTACTTCTCTATCTCTCCATCATATGAGGCCATAACCAGAAAAGGGTCCTCACCAGAAACTGAATTTGCTGGCATGTTAATTTTGAACTTCACAGCTTCCCAAACTGTGAGAAATGCATTTCTGTTGTTTAAGCCGCTCAATCTATGGTAGTTTTGTTATAGTAGGTCAGACCAATTAACATACTACCAGATTAGATTTTTGCTGAATATAACAATGTTTGTAGGACGCTTAACACAGATTATAGTTCTAAGTGTGCAACAAATATTTCTTTAGTGCGTAACATTAATTGATTCATTCATTGAACAACTTTTTGTTGAGTGCCTACCCTGCGCTAGGCTGAAGGATGCAAGACAAACAAGACAGATGTATTTTTGTCACTCATGAAATTTGCATTCTAATGAAAGAGATACAAAACAAGCATCTGTATTGCTATTGGGTCTTAATAAGTACTGTGAAGAAAGGCAAATTAGAGTTTGAGAATGACTAGGGTGAGTGCAAATTTTATTTTTATTTATTTATTTTTTGAGATGGAGTCTTGCTCTGTCGCCCAGGCTGGAGTGCAGTGGTCTCAGCTCACTGCAACTTCTACCTCCTGGGTTCAAGTGATTCTCCTGCCTCAGCCTCTCTAGTAGCTGGGATTATGGGCACCCACCACCATGCCTGGCTATTTTTTTTTTTTTTTTTGGTATTTTTAATAGAGACGGGATCTCACCATGTTGACCAGGCTGGGCTCAAACTCCTGACCTCAAGTGATTTGCCCACCTTGGCCTCCCAAAGTGCTAGGACTACAGGCATGAGCCACTGCGCCCAGCCCTGGTGAGTGCAATCTTAAATACATAAGGGAAGACCTTTGTGAAAAAGTGGTTTTTGATTACAGACCTGAACGAAGTGAGAAGATGAAGCCCTGGCAACACTGGAGGAACATTCCAGATAGAAAGGACTAACAACGACAAGGCTCTGTGACCAGGGTGAGAGTCAGTGTGGTTGGAGTATACAGTAAGCAAAGCAGAGAGGAATATTAGATGTAGACCTAGATCTGCCCAATCACTGACGGCAGGGTAAGCCATAAAAAGGCATTTATATTTTGTTGTGAGTGTAATGAGAAGAGCTCGGAGAGTTTGGAGTAGGAAAGGAACTTAATCTGGTTGACATTTTTTAAAGAACACTGGTTACTGTGTAAAGAAATGGCTGTAAGGAGGCAAGTGTGGAAACTGGGAAACAAAACAGAAGACTGCTGCCTGAGTCCAGGTAAGTCATGACAAAGGACTAGGATGGTGATGGTAGAAGGGCCAAGTGGTCCAATTTGGGATAGATTTGGATTGTAAGCAAGACTGGCTGCAGCCAAATTAAATGTGAAATAGGAGGAAAGAAAGGAATCAAAGATGATTCCTAGGTTTTAAGCCTGAATAATTGGGAGAATGATGTTGCCATTTACCAAGACTTGAAATATTAAGGACGGACCAAGCTACAGACAAGTTCAGGGGGATTCTTTGGGACATGTTGAGTATAAGATGCCTGATACATTTCCAAGTGGAGATGTCAGCTGGGCAGTTGGATTTAGGAGTCGAACACAGCAGAGAGATCAGGGCTTGAAATAAAAATTTGGAAGATATCATAATTTAGAACAGTCATTTTCAACTGGGAGACAGTTTTGCCTTTCAGAGATATTAGTCTGGAGATATTTTTGATTGAAACAACTAGAGTTGCTACTGGCATTTAGCAAGGATACAGATGCCAGAGGTGTTGCTAACTATCCTACAATGCACAGGACAGCCTCGTGCAAGAAAGAATCATTAGACCCAAAATGTCAGTAGTTCTGGGATTAAGAAACTCTGATTTAAGAACCTACTGAAATCTGTGTGACTATATGAGATGGTTTAGGAGGGAGTTTAAACAGAGAATAGAAGAAGGCTGAGGCACTAACATTTTGAGACAAGACACTGTGAGGAGGGTGCAGTTAAGGAACAGCAAGAAAGAGTGGTCATTGAAGGAGAAGGAAAACTGAGAGTATGGTTTGAGAAGCCAAGTAAAGAAAAATATTTCAAAGAGGAAATGATAACTGTCAAATGTTGTTGAAAAGTTACATGAAGATTAGGAACAGACCATTTGATTTGGTGAGATTTTGGAGACAAATGTGTGCAGTGGAGGAACAGACATAAGAGCCTGACAGGAGCAGGTTAAATAGAGAATATGAAGTATGGAGACGGAGAAAGCAAACATAGACAGAGAAAGTGAAGACGTAGGGTGAAGATAGACAGCACGTAGGTTTTAGAAAACATGTTTGTATCGTAAGAATGATCCCATATGGAAGAAGACACTAATAGTCTCTAAGATATAGATACTCATTTGACATTTGTTGCATGCATAAATTATCTTTGGCTCCCTCCCCTTTCCATTCAGTCATAGTTGTAGATATTGTGATGTTCCATCTAAATTCCTTTCAGTGCACCCATTACTCAGCCTGCTATGGGTAATCCAAACTCACTGCCCCTCTTTTCAGGAGAACTGATCCCAACCTTTCCCATAAATGGCATATTCCCTCTCAGGGAAGCCCATAGCAAATGACTGACTGATGAGTGATAAACAGGGCTGGACCTACTTGTCTTAGGGAGGATGAGTTATGTCCTAAAAGCCATCCTACATGGATTAGGTGTTTACTTTACCTGACATGACATTAGGCTTCCATTTTCAGGACATCTCATTGTTCCCTAAAGCTGCCTTTGTTTCAGTCAATGTATCCAAATTTCAGTCAGTAGAACAGAAGAAAAAATGCCAAAAAAGGCATGCCTCACACCTTTAATAAATATTTCTCAGACTTTTCTCACCCTATTTCTGCTTGCATCCCATTGACTAGGCTGACACCTAACTGCAGAGAAGCTGAAACATATAACCTTTAACTGGCAAGTGAGTATCCAGCTAATAACTGGAAGAAGAGGGCAATGCATACTGGCAACACAAGAAGTCTTGGTTATAGAAAGTATCTTCTTCATTGCTGTTTTCTTAGATATAGCATAGGGCTGGCCCATATTAGGTTTCAAGAAATATGGATTAAACTTTGCAGAAATAGTAAACTAATAAATTTGTGTAGTGTCCTACAGATTTCAATATTATATCACTTATTTGCTCATTTGACTCTCAAAATAGACTTATAAAGTAGGTATCACTGTGTCTCTAGATTCCTGTAAAGTAAATTGGCCAAGCCACTCAGCTAGTATGTGGCTAAGAAGAACCTATACTCAGGTCTTATGACTCTAAATATGATTTTTACTCACTACATCAACCATGGGGAAAAAAAAAAGAAGTGTCTAGTTGTTCCTGGGAGATTTTTTTCCCCCTTACCTGGGCAATGAGCTATCAAAGACTAGGTTTGCAACCCCTTTCCCTGGGGAAAACTGACTCCAGTGGTTTTCTTTAGCACAGCTGCAGGGACAGACAAACCAGTTCTAAAAACTTGTTTATCAATTTACCCAGCAGGGCATGAAATGCAGTGAATGCTTGACAACTTTTTAGGGAATAATTTTCTTTTAGATCCTGTGCTTTAAAAACAACATATGGAGATATTTGGTTTTATAACGAAATTATAGCTAGCATGAAATGTTTATTAATCATACCTAATAAATTACAATTTTCCAAACCTAGTTGGAAGTCAGAAACAAGGTATGGTTAATTATTTGCACACCTTAGTCAATACCATTATGTTAGACAGAAGTTGTAGCATTGGAGGGATTTTATATCAACATTTCTATTTATTTTTTCTCCAACTGAATAGTACCTACAGAAATATTATAAAACACACAGGATTTCATTGGACCTTTGAAGGCTGTAGTTCTCTAAGTTCCAATCTGAGGTAGGGTTGACTTTGGCAGGCTAATGATGTGTGGTCCGTTTGAGCTATGGATGTGATGCCGAAAACAAGGTGTGGTCAATAAGAGAAATTTGGGATGAACTTTGAAAGCCAGCAAAGAGGATACCAAAGAGGGCCAGCAGTAAATGAGGTAGTGACTTCAGAACCTGAAAAGCAAGCAACCAAAGAAAAACAAGCTAAAGGTTCTTCATGGTCTCTCCAAATATTTTGGATGGCAATCCCTTGGAATATTCAGTTTTGCTTTTGAGTGTTTCCTCTTAGTTTTTATATTTAGAAATTATTTCAGGGAGATGAAAGGTACCATGAAACTATATTGGGCTTGACCCATTTCTAGTTTTCATTCATTCATTCAAGAAACTTTTTGTGCATATACAAGATGCTATAGACATAGGTTGGGGAAAATTAAAAAAATCACGGTTTATGTTCAATGAACTTACTGTCTATTGATTCTAAATAGTAACTCTCTGTGATAGTTCATTTCACATGTCAACTTGGCTAGACCAGAGTATTCAGATATTTGATCAAACATTCTAGATGTTTCTTTGAATGTACTCTTTACATGTGATGAACATTTAAATTGATAGGCTTTGAGTAAAGCAGATTACCATCCATAATGTAGGTGGGCCTCTTCAAACCAGTTGAATGCTTAAGAGAAAAAGATGAACCTGTCCCAAAAAAGAGGGAATTCTTGCAACAGACTGCCATTGTACTGAAACTACAATTCTTCTCTGGTTCTCCGGCTTTCCAGCCCACCTTGTAGATTTTGGACTTGCCAAGCCTCCACAATTATGGGTGCCCAATTCCTTAAAATAAATCTCTCTTTCTATATATGTGTGCATACATACTATTGGTTATATTTCTCTTGACTAATACACTTTACATGGGACAAGTGGAAAACATCACCAACAAAATAATAGCTTGTTTTAATTTGTCATTTTTATTGCAACTTTTTTTATTTTAGATAGTAGCACTTTACAAATTTACTGGATTAACAGTTTTCAAAGGGCTTTCACATGAGTTTTCCCACTTGTTTATAAAACTTTTGACAGAAAATTAGGATAGAGTTCAATTATCCTCATTTTATAGATTTGAAAAATATTGTTCAGAGAATTTATTACTTACTCAAAATCAGCTGGGAAGTGATAGCACTGGCATCAGTACTCATATACCCTGCCTCATAGTGTAGTAATCTTTCCATGACATGTTCCTGCACCTTTGGGTATGTGAGAATATTCAGTCATGGTAATATACACACACACATACATTATATTAGAATAATACATACTGAAGAAAACCCGTGGACCTTATTGTAAGACAAAAACATTAAAAAGAAAATCTACAAGTTACCTAGGGGAACATCAGTTCAAGCTCAGAGAGAGGGCTACTTCTAACTTTCAGTGGGATAACTCTGGGTATTTCTTGTATGGTTTAGGCAGGAACAGAGCTTCTTTTTTTTCCCTGTGTTCCAGCCTTATGATATCTGTTGGACACAGGAAGAATCAAACATAATAATGTTTCAAGGTCTTGGAAGGCAGGAATGCAATGTTTTCTTAGAAATATGCAGAATATTAAAATCTTTTAATTATTCACACAGCTCAGCCAGGTTTTGATCCCTAACATTAGAAATCAGCACTTAAGGTCCACTCCTTTTAAGGTGGCCAAGTCCAAAAAAAGTCATAGGTTTATCTTGGCTTGGTGTAATTCTGCCATAGGACAATAAAACAAGGTAGTCGTAAATGATTTCAAACACCATTCATTGTCCTATCACAAGCTAATTTCTGCTAAAGTAGCTTCCAGTTTCTGTCGCCTTGTCTACGGGTACTTTTCTCTGCCCTTCCCTCTCAACCCTATCGTGGGCTTTGACTATAGGTGAAACATTAGTTACAGGAATTTGACATGAGCTACTTTGTGGAAGCCTGCCCCTTAACTTGCTCAGCAGCAGCAGTGATTAATATATGGAAACAAAAAAAAAGTGTTTAAAATATTAGACTCACAGGTGGAAATTAACACACACACACACACACACACACACTCACACTGTATTGATTAAGGAATTGAGGGATTACAAATAAAGTAGCTCATTTATGACACTGACATTGATGGACGAAGTAACTTAATCCACACTGGTGGTGGTCTGGGTATCAGTGATGGGACCTGATTCATCTTTGCTTCCCCGAGAAGGTAAAGGGCACAGAGAATGTGCTCAGTAAGACATTTCTCCATGTATGAATGAACACTGAATGTTAATGAGATGCTGTAGCTGGAACATACTCTTCTTTCACTCCATAGGGTAAACTGGGCAATGGGCAGGTTCAAAGTTAGCTTCGGTCAGTCAGATTGATTCCTGGTGAGGACCTGCTTGAAGTCCATGGACAATGGAAGCACCTGAAATGTCTTCCTCTAGAATGCCCTTCAACTGGGACACATTCCCCATTAGAGACCATTCAAATTCCATACTTGTTTGTTAGCAACCTCCTATGCCATCTATAAACTGCTGTTTTCTAAGTTATTAGCATACTTAGGACTCTTTTTCTAGTCCAGAGAATGTGGGCCATTTCCCTCCCTTTGTGCTGCTCATCAGCTTTCCCTTGGGCTGTTGCAGCTCTGTTGTAAGTGCACCTCTAAATGGATTTGGTTTGAACACAATCTGTCACTGCACTTGTGGCAGGGTTATTAGGTGACAAGTGCATTCTTGTGGTTTTTGAAGGAAAACATTTGTGGCAGTGGGGAGCACAACGCCCTGGGAGTCAGGAGACCTGGATTCTCCTCCCAGGAGCTGTGTGAAGTTTGCATGATGACTTTTTTTCTCTCTGACCTAATTTCTGTTTCTGTAATTGAGAAGGTTAGCTCATGTGCTCTTCAGATTTCCCTCCAACTAAATGTCCTCTTGGTTTGCTAAAATGTTTTCCAAATGAGTATTAACTGTTGTATTAGGAAAGGAGGTCTTAGAATTGAGACTGGAGAAGATTGGAGAATAACCAAGCCTTCACAGGCACAGTCTCAACTACATACCAGACACATTGTATGGTATGTATTTTGGTATTTTGCAAACTTATCTGTAAAACTGGCAGAATAATAGTTCCTTCCTCACAAAGTTGTGAAGATTATAATATATGTTGCATTTGAAATAGCAAAAAGCAAGACTCAGGGTAAAACTAAATAAATATTGCTTACTTAGGGGATTGACTGAAAACTGAGAGAGAGACAGAAAGAAAAGGAAAGAGAGGGAAGATGAAACATTCACAACCAGCTGATATTTTAACTTTCACAGGTGGAAATAAAATGCAATAAAAAAGAATTGATTCCAAGCCTTATACTGCAAGTATCACTGATTGTTCATTCAAAGTATGAATGAACAAAAAGTAGTTTTCTATTACAAAGTTTTCTATTACAAAGCTTTTTATTTGTATCAAGAAACATGCTCTTTGCTTGGGGGTATCAGGGGAGGCCTACATATGTAAGCATTTTAAAAAAACTTACCCAAATCATAAATCCATGTAATGATTCTATTGGAAGAATAAACTATGCATGTGTGTAAATGTGTATGTGTGTCAGTGTGTTTGTCAGTTATTACTATTTAGTATTTTTCAAATGATGTACAACAAACATGCAGAAAATGTCTGTTTTGGCATCATTACCCATTTCTCTACAGTCTCTTCCAAACTCCTCCCACAAAACTTAGCAATTTTGGGAGGTAGTTTTGTGTGTATTTCTCCAGGGTTTCCTTATCAAAACTTAATTCCTCTCTTTTGTTTTCATAGAGACAGGGTCTCACTCTATCACTCAGGCTGCAGTGCAGTTATGTGATCATATCTTACTGCAGCCTCAAACTCCTGGGCCCAAGTGATCCTCCTTGCTCAACTTCCTGAGCAGCTCAGACTACTGCACCGAGCTATACCTTGCTTTTGGACCTAACTCTTGATCCTGTAAATCTTTCCACTCAGTAGGGCAGATTATATTTTTCAAAAGTGGTGGCAACAGTAGCTGCCAATCCCACCTGCTTTTCTTCCAATGTGACTTTGACACTGTTTCCATCAAGAGATGGGCCCATGTTCCCACCCCTTGAATCTGGATGGAGTTGAGACCATGGAGAAAATGATGCAGTGGGAAGAGGCTAGAATATAAAAGGTGATGCAGCTTCCTTCTAGCTATGTCTTTAGGATACTGCTCTTGGAACCCAGCCATCATGTAGGAAAACCTAAGCAATCACTGAGAAGCCCTGTGAATGTGTTGTGATTTCAGCGCCAGCGGAGGTTCCATAAGCCAGCATCAAGCACCACATATGTAAGTGAGCAAACCTTCCCGTGATTTTAGCCTCCAGCTAAAGAGGACAGCCAGCCTTCAAGCCTTCCCAGTTAAGGCCCCATATGTCCTGGAACAGAGATAAGCTGTCCTCATGAGGCCTTTTTAAAATTCTTGGCCCAGAGAGAATTTATGAAAATAATAAAGTGGTTATTTTATGTCAGTAAGTTTAAAATGGTTTGTTATGCAGCGTTAGTCAATTAGAACAGAGTTTCTACATTTTTTTTTATTTTTGCAGCTTGATAGTCTATGTTAGAGCTAAATCATATTTTCTTTAACTACATTCTCATAGATATCCACTTGAGTGGTTAAATTTTTTGGCTTTTGAAAAATATCTTCTAATAAATAACCTTGTTCATATATCATTTTAAGTCGATTCAGGTTTATTTATGAATATATTTCCTGAAGTGAGATTTCTGGGGCAATAGTAAATGAATTTGTATGCTTGACTGTTATTTCTCAATTTTCTTTTATAGTCGTTGTATGTACTTACACTTATACCTGTGGTATCTAAGAGCGCTTGTCTCAATACAGTCTTACTAAAGTATATTGTGGCACTTTCAGTTTTTTTGCTATCATAATAAATGAACTATGGTATCCCCTAGTTATAATTTACATTTCTTTTATCGTGTGTGAATTTGAGCGAGGTTTTGTATGAATGTACTTTTAGGTAAACTATCTCTTTGTATCTTATTTTCATGTCTAGGTGCTCTTATTCAATATCAAGTAAGTTAGTCCTGTATCTAAAAAGTGATTTGCAGATATTTTTCATATTCGTCAGTTCCTTTCAGCTGTCCTTACCGTGTTTTGTACAAAGTGGAATTTTTTTTATTTTTTGCTTAAAGTTATCAATATTTTTATGGCTTTTGGATTTTGAGCCTTAATTAAAAAAATACTTTCCCTCTCCCATGTAAAAAATTACTTCTCTATCAGTATACATCATTATATGTGTTATATATATAAAATATATACATACACATAAATATATCTAAAATTTTATATATATTAGTAATATAGAACTTATCAGTACCTATTACTCACATATAGACACATTTTCTACCTAAATATATATATATCAGTTTAATATATGAATACCAGTAATATAGAAATCCCCCTTATTATGTGTTTCAAAAATAAATAAATATAAAAACATGTATCAGTTTAATATCAATATAAATAGTGGCCTTATACTATGTATAAATAGAATATGCAAATATGTAAATTAGTTATATATATAAAATTCACAAAATATCTGTTGAGTACTATTGAACACTATGCATTAAATACTACTTAGTTTTTTACAACCTTTACAATGGGTGTTGAATTTGGCCAAATATGTTTTCAGCCTATTTTCAGATGATCAGATAATATATTTTGTCCAATGAACTCTTGATAATATGATGAATTTTAGATTTAAATCATCCTTTTCTTTTTTGCAATCTGGTCAGGTTTTGGTTTAATCGTAGTTGTTTTATAAAAGAGTTTGAACACTTCCTTCTTATTCCATTGGAATCGTCTCCTCCTTCATGGTTTGCTTAAAGGGCTCATAGTTTCAAACCTCACTTTGAGGCTCTGAGAGATTAAGGTGTACTGGTACTTAAAGACCCTGAGAAACAGCTGGCGTCAAATGCCAGAAACATAAATTAGGGAATCAAGACTTCTGATTTGGTATTCCAATTATGGAATTATTAGCAGTTTGATGTCACTTAATATTTTCATTTATCTTTTTCTTCATTTAATGTTGGAATAATTTAATGATAGTTGCAAATACGGGGTTCACAAAGATCTTAGACATATCCTTCATGAATGTGGAATATGTAGATGATGAAAATCTATATTCACAATAAACATACAAAAGACTGTATCTGTTTTCCACCTCCAGAGCCTTCATTCCCAAACACTCCCTTAATCCCCAGTGCATTAAAAGTGCTTACGTTTTGCTTGTGGGTTTTTATGGACCACATGGACTTTTTTCCTACCAGTCCTTGCTTTTTTAGACCAAAATAAACTATATCAGTTATTTACTTAACCTGCAAATGCTGAGTATGCATGTGGATTTCTTCATTGTTTTAATTGAATCTTTTTTCTACTTTTTCAGAGAGGGACTTTGTGTAGTAAAACTTTTGAAACCTCCTATGTCTGTTAATGTCTTTATTTAGCTCTCACAATTAAATAATAGTATTGGTGGATGTACAATTCTAGGTTCAAAATTATTTACCTTCAATCACTTACACATATGACTTCATTGTATTGTCTCTAGAGTTCAGCTATTTTTGAGCCTGTTACAAATTTGACATCTTATTCTTTGTAAGTACTGCTTTCTCCAGAAACATTTAGAAATTTGTTTTTCTTTAGTATTTTTCCAATATTTTTCTTTAAAAAAGTTTTGAATTTTATCATTGATTTTAAAAAAGTATTTCTCTTCTTTTTCTGTCATTCCCAGTATTAAGTATAGCTTAACTTTACTTTTGAAATTTTTAATCTTTTTTTATTTTTAGTGAGTTTTGGCAGAATTCCTTTATCTGATCTTCCAGGAAATAATTTTGCTATTCTAGTACATATATTTTGTTATATAGCTTATCTGTTAAGTTCTTTATATTTTTGAACATGGATTTCTACTTTGTCCTGCTTCATGTTACTAATACCTTCCCTTATCTCTTTTACAGTATTTTTAATGATTATTTTTAAAACTTAAGTTACCTGGTCCAATATTTGGGCCTTATCTGGCATAGGGTGTCCGTTTTGCACTCTCTCTTTCTCTTTTAAATTGTTATTATGCCCCTCAAATGTCTGGTTATTTTTGCTTTTGAGCTGTAAATAGACAAAATTGAGTAATTCTGGCTTCATGCTCTGAATTATTATAGTATCCTCTCCATGTCCATTGCATGAGAACATACCGAAGACCAGTGCAACTCTTCCTGACACAATGTCATTATATTTGTAGCCAAACCCCAATATGCAATACAAGCCTTATTCTCCTTACCTTGAAACCATGAGGGAAAATATTTGTATTTCAAATCTTTCAGTGTAATCTATTCCCTAGATTAATATTCCTGTTTTCACCGATTGCAGCAAAATAGAAGTTTTTTACTCTAGAAACAGAATGCCAACCCTCTATGCCTAAGGTCATGACTTTAAACTTCCTTTTCTGAGTTGTCTGTTATTGTAGGCTTAGTTGATTTTAAGTTCTTATGGCTCCACCCAAGCCACAAAAGGTCAAGTAGGTGCAAAAGCTGAGGTTGCATTTTGAAAATTGCAGAATGCGTGTTTCTCTAGGTCTGGGGCCAGCTACTAATCTTCTGGGCCCAGTGTAAAATGAAGAAAAAAAAGCAAAGAAAAAGAGCCTGAAAAAGGGTAATGATGGTTACTAAAATAAAAAGTTTTTCTCTGTCTTCGGTGGTCTCACTCACCCTTAACTTGTCACAGTGTTTTTTTAATTTACAATTTAATGTCATTCTAAGTAGGGAAAAGTTGCATTTTGTCTTTTTTTTTCCCCTTGGCCCGCTGCCTAAGGAAAGGTCACATGCTCTCATCACCACCTACTCTGCAAGCTGTTGTTCCCACACCTGACCAGAAAAGTTACATTTTAAATAATTAACAAGAATTTTACCATTCATCTTTATACTATGCAATGCCAATTATAATGCAAATATAAAGGCATTTAAGTTGTTTATGGTGTCACCAAAATTACATAGTTCATACATAAATATTTTGTTCTTACCAAAACAGAAGAAATACTGCACAAAAAAGAACTCAACCCTTTTTATTTTACTTGATGGATATACATTCTAACAACACTTTCTATCCTTGGTTTACAAATTAGTAAGAAAGAACAAAAAGGTAAAGAAACAAAACATAGGTAAGTAACAGGAGTGAGAAAGACTAGGATACGTTTCCTTTGTCGTTGTGCCTCTTAGAATCCCACTGTCTTCTTTCTGGTTCTAACAGAAAGCATAGTCTCTGAGACATGAGTGCCCTTGCCTACTTAGTCCATGCTTGCTTACCTTATACTTGCTGTCTTAGTCTGTTTGGGATGCTACAACAAAATACCATAGACCAGATAGTTTATAAACAACAAAAATTCATTTCTCAGTTCTGAAGGCTGGAAGTCCATGGAGCCTGTGGGTATAGTATCTGGTAAGGGTCTGTTTCCTGGTTCGTAGATAACACCTTGCTGTGTCCTCACATGGCAGGGGACAAACAAGGTCCCTTGGGTCTCTTGTATAAGGGCACTAATCTTATTTATGAAGGCTCCACCCTTATGACCAAATCACCTTTTAATAGTCCCAACTCTTAATGCTATTGTGTTGGGGACTAGGTTTCCACGTATGAATTTTGGAGGGACACAAACATTCAGAACCTAGCATTTGTTTGAAGTTTGGTTCAATTCTCATGTATTGTGAGTTCACCAAAATTCTGTGCTCACAGGGCATCCCCAGTGCTATAAGCAAATTCGGTGGCAAGGAACAGGCAGATATGCATTATCTCCTCTGCTCGTGACCACGCTCCATTGTTCTATTTGACTTCACTTACAAAACGTGAGTTTAATGATAAAGTTATTAACAATTTCAATATGGTTACTGATATGGTTTGGCTGTATCCCCACCCAGATCTCATCGTGAATTGTACTCCCATAATTCCCACATGTTGTGGGAGGGACCTGGTGGGAGATAATTTGAATCATGGGGGCAGTTTCCCCCATACTGTTCTCATGGTAGTGAATAAGTCTCATGAGATCTGATAGTTTTATCAGGGGTTTCCGCTTTTGCATCTTCCCCATTTTGTCTTCCTGCTGCCATGTAAGAAGTGCCTTTTGCCTCCTGCCATGATTCCAAGCCTCCCCAACCATGTTCATAGATAGCACTGTAAGTCCAGTTAAACTTCTTTTTCTTCCCAGTCTCGGGTATGTCTTTATCAGTGGCGTGAAAGAGGTTAATACAGTAAATTGGTACCAGTAGAGTGGGGCATTGCTGAAAAGATACCCGAAAATGTGGAAGTGACTTTGGAACTGGGTAACAGGCAGAGGTTGGAACAGTTTGGAGGGCTCAGAAGAAGACAGGAAAATGTGGGAAAGTTTGGAACTTCCTAGGGACTTGTTGAATGGCTTTGACCAAAAGCCTGATAGTGATATGGACAATAAGGTCCAGGCTGAGGTCATCTCAGATGGAGATGAGGAACTTGCTGGGAACTGGAGTAAAGGTGACTCTTGTTATGTTTTAGCAAAGAGACTGGAGGCATTTTACCCCTGCCCTAGAGATTTGTGGAACTTTGAACTTGAGACGGATGATTTAGGGTATCTGGCAGAAGAACTTTCTAAGCAGCAAAGCATTCAAGAGGTGACTTGGGTGCTGTTAAAGGCATTCAGTTTTATAAGGGAAGCAGAGCATAAAAGTTTAGAAAATTTGCAGCTTGACAGTGTGATAGAAAAGAAAAAAACATTTTCTTAGGAGAAATTCAAACCTGCTGCAGAAATTTGCATAAGTAACAAGGAGCAGAAAGTTAATCCCTAAAACAATGGGGAAAATATCTCTAGGGCATGTCAGAGGTCTTCACGGCAGCCCCTTCTGTCACAGGCCCAGAGGCCTAGGAGAAAATGGCTTCATGGGCTGGGCCCAGGATCCCCGTGTGCTGTGTGCAGCCTAGGGACTTGTTGCCCTGGGTCCCAGCCACTCCAGCCATGACTGAAAGGGGCCGATGTAGAGCTTGGGCCATGGCTTCAGAGGGTGGAAGCCTCTATCCTTGGCAGCTTCCATGTGATGTTGAGCCTATGAGTGCACAGAATTCAAGAATTGGGGTTTGGGAACCTCTGCCTAGATTTCAGAAGATGTATGGAAATGCCTGGATGCCCAGGCAGAAGTTTGCTACAAGGGCAAGGTGCTCATGGAGAACCTCTGCTACAGCAGTGGGGGAAGGGACATGTGGGGCTGGAGCCTACACACACAGTCCCTACCAGAGCACTGCCTAGTGGACCTGTGAGAAGAGGGCCACTGTCCTCCAGACCCCAGAATGGTAGATCCGCCAACAGCTTACACCGTTTGCCTGGAAAAGCTACAGACACGCAATGCCAACCTGTGAAAGCAGCTGGAAGGGAGGCTGTACACTGCAAAGCCACAGGGGTGGAGCTGTCCAAGACCATGGGAACCCATCTGTTGCATTAGCCTGACCTGGATGTGAGACCTGGAGTCAAAGGAAATCATTTTGGAGTTTTAAAATTTGACTGCCCCACTGGATTTTTGACTTGCATGGGCCCTGTAACCCCTTTGTTTTAGCCAGTTTCTTCCATTTGGAATGGCTGTATTTACCCAATACCTTTATCCCCACTGTATCTAGGAAGTAACTAGTTTGCTTTTGATTTTACAGGCTCATAGGTGGAAGGGACTTGTCTCAGATGAGACTTTGGACTGTGGACTTTTGAGTTAATGCTGAAATGAGTTAAGACTTTGGGGGACTGTTGGGAAGGCAAGATTGGTTTTGAAATGTGAGGACATGAGATTTGGAGGGAACAAGGGCGGAATGATATGGTTTGGCTGTGTCCCCACCCAAATCTCGTCTTGAGATTGTACTCCCATAATTCCCATGGGTTGTGGGAGAGACCTGGTGGGAGATAATTTGAATCACGGAAGCAGTTTCCCCCATACTGTTCTCATGGTAGTGAATAAGTCTCACGAGATTGGATGGTTTTATCAGGGGTTTCCGCTTTTGTATCTTATTTTCTTTTGCCACCACCGTGTAAGAAGTGCCTTTCACCTCCTGCCATGATTCTGAGGCCTCCCCAGCCATGTGGAACTATAAGTCCGATTAAACCTCTTTTTCTTCCCAGTCTTGGGTATGTATCTATCAGCAGCATGAAAATGGACTAATATAGTTTTAGCACAGCATTAAACCAAGTCCAGAGCCCTTTTGGATGTAGGGCTCTATGAGACTGCACAGGCTGCCCATTCATGAAGCCAACCCTGCCTGGAACAACTTCAAGGATTCTCACTTTCAGCATTACCCAATGATAAGGGTATTTGCCCTTGATGAGAAAGGAGAAACAATGAGGTGACAGAGGGTTCAGGGATGAAGACGTTAGAGCCACCAATGAACAATTCCATCAGCTTCTCCACTGAGGTGAATGCTGCGCCTGTATTTGAGTTACCTTGTGAGAGGAACGACATTGTAAGGTGCTAGTAGTAAGTGCCCTGCAATTGCACTCAAGGGTCTTGTGCTCTGATCTCAGCTTGGCCCCTACTAGGCATGATACAACTTCTCTGAGTGCCAATGTTCCCATCTACACAATGGGGATAATATTAGATACCTCATAGGGCTTCTGTGAGAAGTAAATAATGAATGATATACGCACATTGTAGGTGCCACTAAATGTCATTTTTTATTCCCACTCAGGAGAGTTATTAATTCTGTGCTACCAAAAATTAATAGGTAGAAAGCCCTGTGCTGAAGAAAATCTGGAAGGAGGATTGAAAACGTCTGCAATTTGGCTCCAACCAGGGCTTCAGTTCCAAGGATAGTAGCAGGCTGACTATTAAAGATGATAATGTCTCTTGATAGTCATTAAGCTTTATAATATCAGTAAATTATTAAAATTATATTTTTAGTAATCACTAATTATTTGATGATAGAACTGCCTATATAGGAGAAATGAACAGTTATGCACCTGAATTATAGCGCTGGACTAATTCCCTTTACTTCTGTTTTAATCTAGGGCTGAAGTTGCCTAGGGTATATTTAAGTGTGTATGTGTGTATGTATATATATATAAATGTATGTATATATGCACACACATACATACATATATATTTATAGTTTCACCTTCTGTAAATGAATTTTATTCAGTTTCCTTCCTATTTGCATGTAAATATGTCACTTCTCATTTCCTGGCAGAGTAAGGGGACCAGCAAATGTTGGCCAGTCTGCTGCTTGGATTCACAATCACCCACCACTAAACTGGCATAGACTTTATTTGTGCTGAGTTTTCTTTTTATTCTGTAAATCTGTGGTTATTGCAATCACTGATGCACGACTATAGGGTCTGTAAGAACATATTCTTGACTGGGAAATGATTCCATGGTTCATTTTACCCTTGACAGCCTACAGAAGTAAGCATAACTCTCCAAAGGACAGCAGGGAGAAGGCAAAAGAGGAAGAAGCAGGCAGGGACCCAAAGGGCACTTGGCCTTTCAAGGGACTGGGCAGGCTAGCAGGCTGTGGGCTCATCTTTAAACGAGGTCCACACACTTCAGAGAACTTGGCCCTGGACTGGGGATATGTTAAAATCTACGGAAAATTCGTCCTGACCCTATCTTTTCTTCTCCCGCATGTTCACCCCCTAAGACACCTATTTCAAGCCATGCTGTATATCTCCATTGACAAAAATATTTCTTAAGCCCTAGACATTTTCCACTCACTTCTAGGTCCGGGGAACTGTAACTCTATATTTAAGAGTGGAGTAGTTCATAAAGCAACCAAACTTTTTTCTCTTCTTTAACTCCAAACTCCCTCAGGGGCCTAGTTTTTTCCTGATATTTAATGAAAAGGTGGGAAGTTTCCATAGTTTACCCAGCCTTCTGGATATGGTAGGTTTAAAAAAAAAAATCCTTGGTTTACAGGTGGTCACAAGAACAGTAATTAAAATAAATCCTCCAGTGTAATAAAAATTCCTTACTTAATTCCAAGTTCACAAATCTCCCTTTTTTCAGTTGAGACCTGCTGTGGTGGGATGATTTTTCCTTTTTCCCATTCCCGTTGTCTTTCACTTCTTATCTATTCCTTCTCAATAGGGAGTCTCTGACTTCCACAAGGAGATGGAGGAAGTATGTGGTAGCAAACATTTTTGTTGACTATCCTCTTTTGAACCGGCATGTTGCCCTTTCCGGATTCCTCATAGATGTTGCTGTCTCATGAGATGCTTTCCTAAGTTTATGGAATACTCTACTTCTCCAGAAAGGACCCACTTTTTAGGAAGGGGTGGGAGATTTCCTTTGACTGGCCACCTAAGTTTCTGGGCTTCACATGTGGTAGCTGGTTGTGCATTCCCTAAAAGCTGTCTTCTTGAGTGGAAATTATCCCAGGCTTGATCCTGGTAAGTGGTTCAGATTTAGTATCTTGGCACATATTATTTTGCTGTTGGCCTTTGGGGTTTAATTCCGTTTCAGCATCCTGTTGTGTTACGATGAGGACAACAAGGGCAGAGACAGCATAGCAGTTGAAAGCAAAGGCTTTAAGCTTGGGTAATATGGCAAGACTCATGTCTACAAAAAAAAAATTAAAATAAATCAACCGGGTGTGGTGGTGCATATCTATAATCCCAGCTACTCCAGAGGATTCTTTGAGGTCAGGAGTTCAAGGCTGCAGTGAGCTATGATTGCACCACTGCACTCCAGCCTAGGCAACAAAGCAAGACCCTCTATCAAAAAGAAAAAAAGAAAAAAAGTAAAAAAGAAAAAAAAGCAAACGCTTTATGGTTCATGTCCTGCATGTTTAACTGAATAGCTGTGTGCAGCTTAACCTCTCTGAGTCTCAATTTCTTTATCTGTAAAGTGGAATGCTAATACCTAATTCAGAGACTTGTTATCGATGAAATGATTATAAGATCTAGCACACAGGCACTCAACCAACATAGGATATTGCACCTGACCTACGATTTCTCAGCAATCACATGGTCCTGGATTTACCCTGTGCCGTGGCAAGAAGCAAGTGGTCCAATACTAGACTTGCCATTACATGCTCTACAACAGTTATGAAAGTGTTTTTCAAAAATACTCCAGCCAGCCACTTAAGAAGAGATCTTTGATGTGTAATGTGTTCAATTTTTAAACTGTCTGCACGTATAATTTCTCATGTCATTTTCATGACATCCATGTAGAGCAGGCAAAAGAAGGCAGTGCATTTGGCCCTCCGTATCCATGGGTTCTGCATCCCTGTATTCAACCAACCCTGGATTGAAAATATTTAAAAAAAATTGCATCTGGTATTGAACACATATAGACTTTTTCATCATTATTCCCTGAACAATATAGTTTAACAACTATTTACCTGGCATTGTACTAGGTACTATATGTGATCTAGAGATAATTTAAAGTATACGGGAAGGTGTACATAGATTATATGCAAACACTACACTATTTTATATAAGGAACTTGAGCATTCATGGATTTTAAGTCAGAGAGGTTCTGAAACCAATTCTCCAGGGATACTAGGGGAAGACTCTATATTTGCCTCTTTACAGATCAGGTGTTTGGCATGTTGTAGGGCAAAGGCTGTAGTGACAGTACTAGACCCAGAACCCAGGTCATCTGGCTTCCCAGTGCTTTTCATGCTGCACTGGCTGTCTCACACTCTGTCACAACATTATTTGCCAAATGAGCTCTGAGTTTAGCATTAAGGTGGAAGAGATGTTATTCCCTGTGGCGATAGTTCAGCTGGAGACTTTAGTAGAGAGAAAAGTTTCTTGCACGCGTGGGTTTTCATCTGTGCAGGTGGCTTTCTGGGGCGAGTGGACAGGAATGAATGTATTTGGTGAGTTACAGGCCTGTGCTGACCTATTAGGGCACTGGTCTCTCCTTTCCTTCTGACAGCACCAGTTTCTCTAAAAATCACCCCATTGACATGCCAATAACAGAGTAGAACATGTTGACATCCAGCTGTTGCTTTCATTACCAATTTGTTTTAATTGGTCTCACACTGTTTTCCCTTCACTTCTTTGTGCGGTGTTGGTTTAACTCTGTCTGAAACCAGCTTGGCTTGAGCTGTAAACCTTTTATGAGGGGAACTTGCTGATGTGTGGAAAGTCAGGGGCAGCTGGCTGGGCCCGGCTGGCAAGTCTGGAACATTCCAGCCCTGACCTTAACCATTCAATGATTTTGTTTGCTCTTTCAGTGTCTCCTTTTTAAAATGTAATTCCTGAAAACTTAAAGAAAGACTATTTCTCTGGCCAAACCTCTAAGAACATTTATTCTAAATGTGTAAGTAACACATTGGTAAACTGAGAATTAGATAAGCTTGGAATGAAGGGTATTT
This sequence comes from Homo sapiens, assembly GCF_000001405.40. NCBI lineage: Eukaryota > Metazoa > Chordata > Mammalia > Primates > Hominidae > Homo > Homo sapiens. The sequence continues at coordinate 34,242,818 of NC_000002.12, forward strand.
GGCAATTATTGCTGTTGTGGGGGATAAAAGCACTTATAATTTAAATAATCATGAGTAGGACATTTTGTTCCAGTCGGCGTTACTAATTAACCACTAAGCAGCAGCTCAGTATGGCGAATGCACTTGGAGGAGGCAGAAGTCCAGATGGTGGGCTGTGATCCAGAAGTTTGAGTGTCAGTCAAGACTGCAAGGTGATTACAAGGTGACCAAGAGGGAGGTGACAGCTGGCATTTGCAGAAAGGTATCTTTGTTGGTACCTGCTGGTGGTGACTACTTACTTAATGTATTGAGTAGTGTGAGATAATAGTTTAATATATTCACAAAGAATCATGATGTAGAATGTATTCATATTGCATAGCTTAGCTTTGATTCTCAGTTATGCTCAAAATGAGCTTTTATACAGGGAAAAAGGAAAACACACACATACACACAGATGCACACACACACATGCACACCCACACACACATACACACATACACAGAGTAAAAACAAGGGGCAAGGTTCCTTTAGGAACCAGTCATTTACTTGCACCAATATTTATTGAGCAACTACCGTCTCCTAGATGTTACAACTGTTCTAGGATCATGTAAAAACGAGACCACTACCCTCAAGAAATTTACAATCCATTAGAAGACAAAAACTAGTGGCTGGGCACGGTGGCTTACGCCTGTAATCCCAGCACTTTGGGAGGCCGAGGCAGGTGGATCATTTGAGCTCAGGAATGTGAGACTAGCCTGGGCAACATGGTGAAACCCCAACTCTACCAAAAATACAAAAATTAGCTGGGTGTGGTGGCATGTGTCTGTGGTCCCAGCTACTTGAGAGACTGAGGCAGGAGGATCACTTGAGCCTGGGAGGTGGAGGTTGCAGTGAGCCAAGATTGTGCCACTGCACTCCAGCCTGGGCAACAGAGCGAGACTTCATCTCAAAAAAAAAAAAAAAAAAAAAGAGATAAACTACCATGAGAAATTTTAATTTAGGAAACAATGTATTAAATGTCACAGTCACAAAGTTTAAAAAGAAAACAGTATCACAGGAACAAGGAAGAGGTTTCTTCTGGAGGATTTATTTAAAACACCAACAGCAATCTTTGCAATAAAAGCAAAACAGGTTTTATTCTGTTCAGTGCAAATTACCTCAGTTGTCTATTGCACCTGCATTCACTAAATAAATATCTCATTCTAAACTGTGACAAAAGCAAGAGTCCCTTTTCTTTTCTTTATTCTTGACTTAAAAATTATGTGATCAGTCTGTTTTGAGATATATATATGTGACTTATATATGCGATATATATATCTTATATATGCAAAAAGATTGTGTCCTTGTAGAACCCACAAAATTTACTTATTTATCCTGCTTTAAAAAGTCAGCTGGACAAGGGGATATGTGGTTGGCTGATCTGAATCCTCAACCCTGAATTGAAAGGGAAGTGTCTCCCCGAAAGGCATGTTTATATAATCGAGAAATTAAGAATATTGGGCTATTTGTTTAACCCATGCTGAGTGCCTCCAATGTGGCAATCTCTGTGCTGGGCATGGTAGTCACCCATACCTAAAGAACACTGAGTCTGGCATGTGTGCAATGCACAAATGCGCATGAACAAATACTTGAAAGGCTAAGAGAGTGGAGTGGTGTTAGGTAGCAAGGAGCTGGGACAGAGAGGTGGTAGGATTGGAGGCAGAGGCACACTTTACAGAGCTCAAAAATTGGCCTTGGCCTATTCTGGTAGCAGTTGTCTACCCCACTCCTGAAAAAATTATCTATGCATTATTTTTGGCACACTGACACAGGTAGGTGGCCAAGGTTCTTTATGTGTTATAACATTGGTCATACTAAATATTGCAAATGTGTAAATTTAAGTAACTTTTATCTGAGACTGGAGATTTATCTGTGTTTGTAAATGGTGACCTTTTGTATAAAATCTACATATAGGCAATGATGAATTCTTAGAATATGACAATGGTATAGTTCAAAATTTCACAAATCCTAAATTACTATAATAAACACATAATAAGCTTTAGGTTTTGCAATGCATTTTTAATTTATTTATTACTTTGGCTTTTCTGACTACAGTGTTAGAAATTTTCTTTCCCAATTATTTGTTTACCTGATTTTTTTACGCATTTTCAATCAACAATTGGTCTGAGGATTTGGTACTAGGTAGCAAATAAGGGAATCACACATGTAACTCGGTGATATTGGAATCCTAAATTACATCCAATTGAATCTGATTAAAGGTTCAAATTTTCAAAATAAAATTTTCAAAATAATTAAAAATGAAAATGTATAGAATTCCTGTCATTTTGTTCATAGATGTCTTAATAATGTGTGATGTAGTGAGTAATGACTCATGGCTTCTGCACCTACTGTCAATGAATTCTACAGCACCACACAATTTGGAGTGGAGTAAGGAACAGATTTCACAGGAGGAACTTCTGAGCCAAGGGTCATAAAGGGTCTTCTTGAAGGAGTATGCTAGGGCCAAGAGACTCCGTTGAATGCACTGTAGTGGGATAGTGTGGTCAGGAGTCCCCAAGATCTCCCTCAGGTGATTTGCTAGAAGCACTCACAGAACTCAGAAAAGCAGTTATTCTCACAGTTGTGGTTTATTATAGTGAAAGGATACAGACTAATGTCAGCAATGGGAAATGCACAGAGGGCGGAGTTCAGGAGACACTAGCATGAGCTTGCAGCCATCTTCTCCCAGTGGATTTGTACGGATACTGCTTTATCGTCCCAACAATATGTGACAACACATGGAGTATTGTAAACCAGGGAAGCTCACTCAATCCTTAGTGTCCAGGGTTTTTATTGAGGGTTGATCACATTGGCACAGAATGTCCACAAGGCTGACCTTAATTATTTGGTCTGAAGTTCCTTCAGAGATCAAACTGCTAACATGTGGCCCACGGTCCCCACTATAAATCACATTGTTAGCATAGACTAATTGGTGTGACCCAAGGTGCCAGATAAACCAAGATGATTTTACTGGGCAGGATGTTCTAAGGGCTTAGAGGTTACCTGCCAGAAGTCAAAAGACAGGCTTTTCTCTGGAATTCTCAGGGTTTGAACATCCTCAGCGACACTGCGTTAACCCTTTACTGCAGTTGGCATTCCAGGGGAGGGTCCTTACCCATTGTACCTATTCATAAGAACAGTTTTATCAATGGGAAGATTGTTGGATCACTGAGGCACTGAATAACTTGTCATTTGTTTAGTGAAGTTGTCAAGAAGGCCAGCTGCATTGCGTATAGGAGACTTTGGAAGCCTAGTGCAGTCCCCTCAAGCTGGAAGAAGGAGGAGCCCTTGGTCTCAGCTGCTTGCAGTCTAGGTAACCAAGAGTGAGTGTTGGCAGTCATCTTTGAACAGTGAATTATCTATAGGGAATTTTATATCCCTAAGATTTGTGCCAGTAAACAGAAATTGACTGATTTGAGGAAATTAAAATGTCCTGCCTGAAGTCAAATTTAAAACTAAAAGGAATTGGAAAGTTAATGTCTGCAGAACAGACTGCAGTTGGCTCAACTATCTTTCTTTTTAGAAGACAATGAAGAAACATTTCCTTCTTGCCTTCTTCCTTCCTTGGTGCTTGCCTGCCTGTCTTCACCAATATACCAGAATTATGGAATGCACTCATACATACTTTACAATGGAATCAAATCTGACAAGTAGGCAGTCCTTGCAGAAACCATGGCACTCTTTCTCTACTTGTGTTATACAGTAAACATCCCTATGAAAGTGATTTGTTTTCCTACGTACCCCTCAACCACTCTACAGAAAATATGAATTATTTTTTAACTCAAGGTTGATGGATGAAAGGGTGGGTAGGGGAGGGATATGACTTGAATTTACACATACTGTGTTTCTCAAAACCTGAAAGCTTACATTCTATTCTAAAGGTCTAGATGAAAGCAAGAGGTAATGTTCAGCTGAATCTCTTAAAATTATAAACTTTCCTAAATTAGCTTGAAAACATATCAGTACTATAAAGATTCTAATTTTTCTATAGCTCAGTGGACTGAGGCTAGTTGATTGTTTAAACTTTGTCCAAATACTCTTGGGTAACAGAGATAGGTAAAAACAAAGCAATGTGACACATTTGGAAGTTGCTGAGTTATGTATCAGAGTGAGAGAAACCTTCTAAAGCCATGATTGAAAAATATGAATAGCTCTTCAGTACACTGACTTTCGTTTTTTAGCCAGGATAAAGTTTTATAAATGTGACCTCAGTACTAAATAAAAGTCATCCCAATTAAAGAGAATTTGCTAAAATGATAATAAAATCCTGGGACAAGTCTTTGGCTGGGTATGAAATTCCCTAAGGAGGTAAGCCACATTCAGTGTGTGCTGCCAAATATTTTTGAGGTTGAATTGCTCTGGGGATTATTATCAATGGGTTTTCATCTCTTCTTTTTGAATCAATGATTTCCTTTGTTGGATTTAGACTGTCTTTGTATTCTCCTGACACTCATAACAAAAGATGCCCGATTTAGAAATGCTGTTTTTTAGAAAAATTCAGTGTCAGGTGAATCATTCTGTCCATTAGCCACCTGTGTTCTTCACTTTTGTCTGCAGTGCGCTCTCTCCAGCGGGGTTTCCCTCATCCTGTGTTGGGCCCAATTTCCACTTGAAAAGTAAATATTCTTTTCTGTCCTCAGCAGTGCTTCAATTTCATTCTCTCTTTATACCCACTTGCTTCTCTGGTTCTCCCAACAACCATCCTGACTCAATCTCTCATTTAGGACTTTCAACTTATCAAGGTGAAAGGCAAGGATAATATTTCAGAATGAAAACATTCGATTTATTGCCACAGAATTCATTGCCAAGAATTTTCCAAACCACTTAGGTATAACAATTATTTGTTTTTATTACTTAGTTTTGCCATTTTACTTTTTCAATAACTATGCTATATATATGCATATATATGCCATATATTTTTATATCTTTTACTTTTATGTCAATTACTGGTCATTCACATTTTCAGCTGAACCAAGCTGTCTAAAAGGCATGTACTACTAGAAATTTGTTCAAAATAGAAAGTCTTGTTCTTTACCTTTTTAAATGGAAGGCAAGGGATTAACTACAGTAGCCAGTTGTGTTTGCTTTAATTTTAGAAGTGGATAACATGGGTATATGGTAAACTCTATTTGAGTAGTAAGAGAATCACACATTCATAAGGTAAAAATACTTAAGTTGGCAGACATCTGTGCTACTAATTCTAGTCTTTATTGAGTTGTCTAATATTAATTGTGTTAGATATTACATATTAAATCCAGAGGATTGCTATAAATTACAGGCTTGATATATTTTTACTGGATGATCAAATATAAGAAAGCTGAGCTCTACCTTCTTAACAAGGATGGGATAAAAATAAACAAATACTCTGAATTACCTAGATGGCTTTTGTTTACAGCACATGGGAGACACTACCATGGTAGGTAAGTGTTTATAAGCTCTGGAGTGAGGCAACTGGTGTTCAACTCTCCTCTTCCACTGACTATCACTGAGATTTTTCGTTAATGGTTCAACTTCTTTAAGCCTATTTTCTCTTATCAGAAAAATGGGAATGACAGTTATACTTATTTCTGAGAGTTCCTATGAAAATTTCCATATAAAGTGTTTGACACATTGCTTATCGCATACTAAATACTCAGAAAATAGTTTTTTTCTCTTTGTAGGTGGAATTGGAATTGCTGTATAGCAAAACTTTCTACAATTGAAATTATTCAGACCACAGGGATACATTTTATAAGCTGACACTCATCAAAGCATATACATGAGAGTAGTTCTTAAGATGCTTCTATTTCTCTAAGGTTATCTAGCTAGAAGTTTTTAGAGATGGTCAGTTCAGCTGGTAACGTCTATCCCAAACATTTTTTTTACCCCAAGACTTGGTTAACACTTCTATGTTAAAATGATGCAGAACTTGTAAACCTCATTCCATTACTGGCTCATGTAGAACGTGATTCAAAACGTAGATTCAATGTTATTTTCTAGAAATAATGCTAAAATATTGACCTGTTTTTGCATTTGTAAACCTCCCTCTGTCTTTTTTGATAGTTGATTTAATGTCTTTGATAAGTATGTTCAATGTCTGGGCTTCCTCAGGGAATAGAAAAAAATCTATTCTTTTTTATTTGAATAGATTTTTTTTGAATAATACTTTTTGTTTCTATGATTTGTGATTTTTTTTTGTTGAAAACTACACAATTGAATATTATGACATGGTTACTCTGAAAATAAAATTCTCCTTCCTCATAGTTTGCTCTTCTTGATTGTTGAAGGCTATAGTCATCTGTTTAGTTACTTTTTCCAGTGATTTTTGCTATGATTATATTCTTTGTCATGTGTATTCACTGAAGTCTTTGTTTCTTTAGTTTGTATTAAGCTAGTGTTTTGACAAAATTTTCTGGACACCAGAGGCTAAAACAGAATAAACAAACACTTACTCCAGTCTTTATGGATTGGCTCTGTGCTGTGGCACTTCTTCAACACTTAGGCCATTTACAACTGTGCCTTAGACTTCACTTCCTGCTTGCACTGAGTCTAGAGATCAGCCAGAGGTGAAAGCTTAGGGTCTTCTCAGATCTTCTGTGAGCATTCATTCTGCCCTGAGCATGAGCATGACTATACATTATTTGTCTCGATCCTAACCTTTTCACCCCAGGTGGCTATACATTTTTCATTCACCTTACAATGTTTCCAAGCAATTCTTGCCACTTTTCCATGAGTTTGAGGGGTGAAATCGAGACTAGTGTCTTGAAGTAGTGTTTCAGATAGCTCCATACAGGTTAGAACAGACGAGCATAATATTTCACGTAAGGGCTATTTTGCCTCCCCTGGAATCAGGTTCCATGTTTCCACACTGGACATGCAGGCTGCCATATTCAAGATGGCTGCTGAGCTGGGGAGGGATTAGGAATGGACAAGTGGAAATACCACAAAGCTTTCACTCTGTTTTCAGGTTGCTTTTTCTTGAAACAGCATTTGCTTGGTTGCTGTAAACTTTTGACTTTATTCTAGAGTTTGGAGGAAGTTAGTTCTAATAGTTTCTGCTGTTTTTTTGTTGTTTCTGTGGCGTGATGAGCATTTGGAGCTGCCTACTTTGCTATTTTGCTGGTGTCATTTCTGTCTCTATCTCTTTTAAATTTGATTGACTTAACATCTGGGCAAAGTTATAAGTATATTTTATATGTTTTTCTTCCACCAACAATGATATCTTGATTTTTTTTTAGGTATGGTTGGTAAAGCCAACATTACTTATTTTAGCATATAATATACAAGGCTTTGTCCTCATAAATTTGTGATAAATTTAAAATTGTGATTTTACCAGACATATCAGTGATTCAAATCTTGTTCAATAAAACAGCATTGGAAAAAGGCAGTTGTTTAAATATACTGATTATTCATTCATATAGTAAAAGCATATTGAAGGTATAATATATTCCAAGCATTGTAGTAATGGATCCCGGGTGTTCACAGTTGTATATAGGATGGACCCTGATCCTGAGCTACTTGAACATACTAACAAGTACTAAAATACAGTGCAATAAATGTCATAAAGTTAGGTTATCTATAAAATGCCAAAGAAACCAAGAGAAGTCAGAGTATAATTATGTGATGAGAATAGCAAAGTTTCAAAAAGGAGGAGACATTTAATCAGAGGCTTAAAAGATGGGTTGGGGTTTAGCAGGCATTCATGATAAGTTGATAACATATCCCACTTGGAATGCCATCTAGATGGAATGAACAGCATGTATAAAGTCTTAAAAATTTAAAGCACAGCCTATTACAGGAATAGAGAACAATTTAGCTGGGCCAGAGGAATTGGCCTGTGGGAGAAGATGCAGGAAGGCAGGCTAGAAAGTTAGGTTGTGGCCAGATCATGAGAGATATTGTGAGCCATGCTGAAGAGTTTAGACTTGATTCTGTATGTGAAAGAATGACATAATCAGACTACCCGAATTAAGACTTCTCACTTTCTTCCTCTATAAATCCAAACCACTTATTCACTAGGCAATGGGAACTAAGCAGCTTTTCAGTAAAAGATATTTTATGTAGAGCGAGGGACCCAGATATGATTTCTGACTACAGTTAGCTCACCCTATGGGCAGTACTTTCTGTGTTACATGCGTTTGTGACTCTCCTTAAATGACTCATCCTATTCCTGTTGATTCCATTTTTAAGAAGACTTTATCACCTTCTTTAGTTCGGTGGGGGCAGGCATAGGACTAGATGCCATGATTTACCTCTGATTTCTTTCTTTCCACTTCAGACTTTCCACTTAAACTGTCTCTCTCTCTCTCTCTCTCTCTCTCTTTCTCTCTCTCTCTATATATATATATACACACACACATATATATAACATATATACACACACATATATATATGCACAAATATATATGTATATATTCATGCTGCTGTTTACACAATCTCTATTCAGACTTCTCTCCTTCCAGATACAATTCCACCTCTTTATATCCTAAATCATGTAATCTAAATCCTTTGAGATTTTCACTGATGATCTCTCTTGCTTGCATTTTCAGTTCAATCCAATCTCTCTCCTTTCCTTATCTGCTAAAGTCCTTGGATGTCCTCATTTTCCCATCATGTAACTCATTTCTTGAATCCCTGGAATTAGAAACCCACCTATTTCAAACCATCTTCTAAAACAGCACTGTTAAAGACAACAGTGATTTCCCAGTTACCCAACTAGGAATGTTAGTTCTACCCCAGTGCTCACTTTCTCATCAGCAATTGACATGTCTCACCTCCAGTGGTTTTTCCCCAAATGAGATTTATCCTGCTAACTGTGTCTCAACACTATTATATTCATTCTCCATACTGCAGAGTCCCTGACACCCCTGAAAGACTTTATGTCCAAGATCATTTTATGGATAAGAGTCTGTCATGGTTTCCTAGATAGCATTGGGCAAAGTGCTATGAACTTGTTATGCCATTGCAGAGAACAGGAAATGCTGCCTCACCTCCTCTGTACACCATTCCTTTGGGCAAATGCTTTCTCTTCTACTGGATTTTTATTTTCAACACCTGCTTGTTACATAAATTTGTCTGCAACTTACCTGTCTCTAATTTATTATTTTTATTTTTGTTTGCAGCCACTTAAAGGTTTTTTTGTTTTGTTTTTAAGTGGCTGCCAAAAACTTGTTTGTGTTTCAGAACTGAAGTTTCCAAGAGCACATAATAAAGTACTGAATAATCTTTAATGTAAAAAAACAATACCAACAACAGCACAATGCAGATAACAGAGAGTCTACTTAGTTCATACCGCACAGATTCCTCTGTTAATTTTGATCAGTATACAAGACGTTGCATTAAAAGGGAAATTCTGAAGGAGACTGCTTTAAAGGAATCTTTCTTAACACTTACACTCTTCTCGTAATAAGAAATGTTTGATGAATCTGTTAACAACAGCACTTCATATTTTTATGGCACTTAACAGACCTTCAAGTGCCTTTATAGACATTATCTCATTTGATCCTAACAACCAATAGGGAGATAAGCCTTATTATCACCTTTGCCAGCTGCTCCCGTTTTCTTTGAATATCTTTTCAATGGACAAACCAGTTTTTCTTCAGTGGAAAAGAGCACATTAGACATGGACATCCCTCTAGATCTCCTTTTCCATTTCTGTAGCAGCCCAATCAACTTTCCCTGACATTCCCAGCTGGCTCTGCTCAATTATTCCTTTCAACTCAAGTTGACTGACTATCCATCAGAATTACTTGTAGAGTTTTTTTTAGGAAACCTCTTTGTGCCTGAGTCTCCCTTTAGACCAATTGCATCAGAATCATACGTCAAGATGAGGAGTGCTCAGGCAGTGGTTGTTTTGTTTTGTTTTGTTTTGTTTTTGAGATGGAGTCTTGCTCTGTCGCCCAGGCTGGAGTGCAGTGGCGTGATCTCAGCCCACTGCAACTTCCACCTCCCGGGTTCAAGCCATTCTCCTGCCTCAGCCTCCTGAGTAGCTGGGACTACAGGCGCCCGCCACCACACCCAGCTAATTTTTGTATTTTTAGTAGAGACAGGGTTTCACCATGTTGGCCAGGATGGTCTCGATCTCCTGACCTTGTAATTCACCAGCCTCGGCCTCCCAAGGTGCTGGGATTACAGGTGTGAGCCACAGCGCCTGGCCAGTGTTTTTTTTTTTTTTGTTGTTGTTTTTAAAGCTCTTTGGGTGAGTTTAATGAGCAGCAAGTTTAAGAACCACTGGTATAGATGCAAAGCTGTTGTCTTCAGAGAAAAAGGAGCAATTTAATTCCATTTTCTAAAAGAAGAAACTTTTACATACTAACCATCACTGCCCTTAGTGGTTCTTCTTTTAAGATAAACAATTTTTGTTCATTCAAATAACAGTAACAATGTATTTATATGTTCATTTATACTTAAAGTATTTTCATACACATTATTTCTCAACTAAACTCTATTTTATAATTAGTATCTCATTTTATAGGAATTGAGGCCCAGTCAGGTTAGGTTGCTGGCTGCAGATTATACAATTTAATAACGTTAGGTTTCTGGCTACAGATTATAGTTTGCGGTATGTTTGCAGTGGGGAGAAGGGAGGAGGTGTACTCCACCTCTCATCCGCTATTCCCCTTTCCTTCCTCTGGCTATTTGGAGTGTGGTCCATGAGTACACAGAATCTGCAGCATTACCTGGAAACTTGTTAAAAATGCAGAATCCCAGGCCATTTCCAAGATCTACTGGCTCAGAATCTGCATTTTAATAACTTGTCTAGGTGATTTAGACTCTCATTAAGGTTTGAAAAAATCCCTGCTTTATACCAAGCTACCTCTTGGATATCTTTAGTCCTGTATTTTGTGGTGTCTTTTTACAAATATATTGCACGTATTGATGTCATGAGGGATACTCTTTCAGCGTTCTTGCCTGTAAGATTTCCTTTGAAGTTTATTTCCCAGTCTTTTCACTGTTACTCAGGGCACTTTCTCCCCAGCTCTCCTACTGCACTGGGAATGAATCTATGATCATTTTATGCTGCTTTGAATTTTGCAGGTACAAGAGCTATGGGGGACCCAGGGAAGATTAATGTTATAATTATTATAATTATATATTATATTATATAATTATATATTATATATATAATTATATAATATATAATATAAATATATAAAAATATATATAAATAAATATATATATAAATAAACATATATATTTATATATAAAATAAATATAAAAATATATAAAAATAAATATATATAAATATATATTATATATATTATAATTATATATATATATTATAATTATAATTATATTAATGTCATAATTTTCCTCTTTTTTCTGAGCCGGAGGGTATAACCTAGGAAAATGCCAGTCAGACCCTTTTTAAAATTTAGATTCTCAGTGGATCTTGCCGAACTCTTGTTCGTTATTATCATTGTTCACAGTCCATAAGAGGACTTCGGGGATCTCATGCAGTAACGTCTTTCCTAATAGGTATTCTCTCTACAAACTTAAATTGAAAAGGTTCCTAGTGATATGCATTGTACTTTAGTGAGCTCTGCTTCCCTAATGAGTTCTTAACCTAAGGAAGTCTCAGAGAAGGCAGAAAGAAGTATGGTGGATGCTGCAATTGAAAGCTTGACTCCCTCTCATGGTTGCTGCAGTTGAAAGAAACAAACAGGCTGTTTTCTGAATTCAAGGCTCTGCTGAAGTGTTGCAGCAGTGTAGGAAGAGGTCCTGATGTCTTGTCTTATGATCTACTGTGCAGTTTCTGTGACATGCCAGACTCAGTGCCCTCAACTTGCTTCACTTACTGCCCTTTTATATCTGTCTCCACCCCCGTATTTTCCCAGACTTAGAGAGTTAATGAATTTATGCTCCTGTTTGGGGAAAAATACACAAAACCCCAGCTATGATCCTAAAGTTAATTTTTAACTTTCCTTTGACTAGGAACTATGTGCATGCCAACTCTGTTTGATATGAGAAAGTAAATGTGGTTAGGAATATAGCTACATTCTTAAAGAAACATACAAATGCATATCATATCTTTAAAAATACAAAAACAAAGCAATACACAGCATCCCTCATTTAAACCCCTACCACTCTTTCTTTATAGCTCTCATGGGGCAGTTATCTTTTCCCTTGTGTTCTAGTATATATTTATTCTTTTTACTTGATTATAAGCTGCTTGGAGTATCTTATTCATCTTGGTGTTTCTTAAGGTGTTTAGATCAGTGCTTTTCCCATACCACAGAGTCTCACTGGGGTCAATGCATATGTCAAATTACATAATGGAGGGAAGGAGAAATATGAGTCAGGGCGTTTGGGCTCTATCCTCATTTCAGACACGGAACAGAAAGAACAACTTGGAGGGAGCAATCAACATCTCCAGGTTTTGTTTCTCATTGGCAAAATGTAGGCATAGGAAAGAAAGATCTTTCAAATCCTTTCTAATACCATGATTTTAGCATTCTGAGTTTGAGATGAGGAGACAGCCATGTAGATTTTCAGGTGAGATGGCAGGCTTAATGATATGCATTTGGGGGTCATTGGCATAAGGGTCTTAATTAAGCCACAAGAGAGGATGAGATCTTACAAAAAGTATGTAGGGTAAGGAATAGTTTAAGGTGGAACTCCTGTCGAACAACTTGTAAAGGACAAATACATAGATTGAATCCTGTGATGATGACTCATAGATAATATTGGATGGGTAGAACAAATAACATGGATAGAGTGTGGTCAGAGAAGACTTACCTTCCCTCCTGCGGGAAGGCAGCTTACAAGTTTGGCTGGGTAGTTCTCTAAGGATGGGATGATCCAATGCTACTTCCTCAGCATTGCTTGACTCTCACACTCTCTGTTTTCTTCTCCATCCCCTCCAGGATTGAAGAAGGTACTAAATGTGGTGTGGGTATTCTACTTCTTGTTCATTTTTATTTGTTTTCATAAATTAAACTTTTATAAATGATATAGTTTTATAAAATAGGAAATTGATGTTAAAATCTTTCTTCTGCAAATGTATAGCTAAAGCCCAAACTCCTTTATATGGTATCAGAGGATCTTCACCATCTGGTGTTTTTCCTTCAGCCTTTTTAAGGCTCAAGTTCTGTCAGTCCCAATCCAAAAATCATCTTACGTGAGCAATGCCAGATGATGATCAATCCACAGATATACCATATTCTTGTGCCGTAGTGTGTCTTTGATTATTTTGCCTCCCTACCTAGCCTAGCTTGCTCACTTTTTCTTTTCTTGGCAAATGTCTATCAGTGTTTAAAACACACCTCAAACATTTCTTTTTTGGGTTATCCTCCTTCTAGGTCATTTTGTAGCTCTCACATTTGTTCCGGTAGCACTTTTGGACATCCTGCCATTTTCTCTTTCATCTTAGCCCATTATTTTAAAGCATGTTTACCTACCGCACTAAGCTGAGTCCATGATGGGTTTATTGTCACCGCATCATGGGTCAAATTTAGAGTGAAATTTTTGGGTAAAGGTTTATATTCATATATCTTGCTCTTTTTTTTTTTTTAATCAACTGAATTCCACACACATTTAGTAAGCTTCTCTCATATTCCTTGTCCTGTGCTGTAAGGAAATAGGAGTGGGTTAAGTCTTGGCAACTGACCACCAACAGTAACTTGGTAAAAATTACATTTCTTCCTGATCCATAGCAAATGTCCAAAGGCACACAGAGGAGGAATATCTCTGACATGCCCTCTGATTTTATTCCTGCTTAATTTCTGATATCGAACATGTTAACAAGATTCTAGGTAGTACGTATTTGTTAGAACATTCTGCTATCCTGTTAAAGTTTACCTTCATTAATTTCTTGTAAAGTGCTCAAAGAGGTGAATAAATCTACACCATGTTTGAGTTGCCTTCAATCCCATAATTAACTAGCACACTGCATCACACATAGAGTCAAAAAAACTTTTAAAATTAATAAATAACCTCTTTCCACAAAAATGTATTTATCAACCAGTACTCTACAAAGTAACTTAAGGCAGGTACAAGAAAATAAAAATTCTAGGGCTAAAGTAATATATTTTGTACAAATGTTATTTCCACAATTAGAATGTAAGCTAACTTTGATTTTTCTTTCAGTCACTTATCTCAAATATTTGAAGAAGTTAACTAGAATAACATCCTAGGCAAGATAGTAACAAATACCTCTGGTTTCTTTTAATAGCTGCCTCCATTTTTTGGTTACAGCTACAACCAATAGTCTCTTTGGTCTAGTTTGCCTGTTTGGTTGTCAATTAACCCAAGTCAAAACTATAGGCAATATTTCACCTCCAGTGTTTCTGCTTTTGCTGATTTTTTTTTTTTTTGCCAAAATACATAGATTTCTCTAAAGATTAGATGTCATTTCTATTGGATCTAAGTAAGCCTTACTGTAACTTCCTATAGTTTGAATTCTTGGCTGCTGCTTAATTTCTTCAAATTCCAGGGAAGGGTTTTCCACTGCCTTTTCAATACCCTTATTATCACAGAGAATTTAAACTCCTTGCACCTTTTCTTTCAAGCAATGGAAAGAGACTAAGAAAAACATGGCACAAAGCACATTGGTTTGAAATTATATATTTACAAATGTCTATCTCCAGAGTATAAATGTTCTCCCTTTTATATTTTTATCTGAGGTAGCTGTTAAAAGAAATTACCACAAAATGAGTAATTTATAAACCTTGAATTCAAGGTACCATCTTGGAAGCAGAGACTGAGCCTTCCTCAGACACTGAACCTACTGGTGCCTTGTTCTTAGACTTCCCAGCCTCCAGAACAGTTAGAAATACATTTATATTGTTTATAAATTACTCATTTTGTGGTAATTTCTTTATAGCAGCACAGCACAAATGGAATAGGACAAATTCTTCAGAAAACTCTCAGGTTTGGTCAGGCGCGGTGGCTCACGCCTGTAATCCCAGCACTTTGGGAGGCCTAGGTGGACGGATCATGAGGTCAGGAGATTGAGACCATCCTGGCTAACACGGTGAAACCCTGTCTCTACTAAAAATACAGAAAATTAGCCGGGCATGATGGCAGGCGCCTGTAGTCTCAGCTACTCGGGAGGCTGAGGCAGGAGAATGGTGTGAACCCGGAAGGCAGAGGTTGCGGTGAGCTGAGATCACGCCACTGCACTCCAGCCTGGGCGACAGAGCAATACTCCATCTCAAAAACAAAAGTTGGGAAAGCAAACAGCTGAGAATTTCCTGTCTGCATAGCAAAGGAAAACCACAGGGTAACACAGGAGCTGACTGGGAGCAGCCGATATTTCAGCACATCAATTATGTGCCAAATACTATGACAGCTACCTCAGATAAAAATAGTGGACATAGGCCGGGCGCATTGGCTCACACCTGTAATCCCAGCACTTTGGGGGGCCAAGGTGGGCAGATCACCTGAGATCAGGAGTTTGAGACCAGCCTGGTCCAACATGGTGAAACTCCATCTCTACTAAAATTACAAAAATTAGCTGGTCATGGTTGTGGGCGCTTAGAATCCCAGCTACTTGGGAGGCTGAGTCAGGAGAATTGCTTGAACCGGAGAGGCGAAGATTGCAGTCAGCCGAGATTGTGCCACTGCACTGCAGCCTGGGCGATAGAGTGAGATTCCATCTCAAATAAATAAATAAATAAAATAAAATAAGTAATAGATATACTGCACATAAGCAAAAGCTTCTTGGAGTTCTTGGTAACTTTTAAGAGTGTGAGGGTTTCTTGACACTAAAACATTTGAGAATCACAGGTCTGGAATGTCACTCATAGCTTGGCACTACCTAACTTTCCAAGTCACTTACCTAACTTTCCACGCCAACCTTCTCTCTCTCAGCAATGACATTTTCAGTCCCTCATCCTATTCCCTTCCAACACAGGTCACTGACGGAAACTCTCTTTCTAACCCTCTGTATCCAGTAACCTGATTTCATTATTCCAGTTGCCATTTCCTTAGTCAAGCCTTTCCTAATCTTCTTAACTAGGTCAAATTTACTATAATAGAGACTCATAGCTTTTCTATCTCGAATTCATTGTCATGGTTATAATTTTACATATGTTTCTGACATGTAGATAATATCTGAAGGCCCACTAACTAAAATGCCATGAGATCAGCACTCTAGTCTGTTTCTGTTCAGTACTGAAGCTCCACTGCCTAGCATAGCACCTGGTGCCTAGTAGAAATGCATGGAACAATTAAAATGAATGAGCAGAAATTGTCACAGGTACAACAGTCTTATCTAAACACGTAGTGTTACAAAGAGTGGAAGTAATATACAAAAAGAAAGCCCAGAGATTCTCAAGGTAGACTCTAATTTTACGAATATTTGGACAGAAAAAGGGTGTAAATGGTCCACCTAGAAGGGAAAATGAGGTGAGTAGGGCCCAGGGATAGAAAAGCACCAATTTGGAAACAATATTTAGCAAGAAGTGAGAGTATCCATAAGGGAGTAGTAGGAGATATGATTAGTAAGACAATCAAAAGTTCAGGCTTTTGAATGTCAACCTCAGACATTTGGGCTTCAAACCATAGATATGGGGAACCCAATAAATGCCTGTGGAAAGGATTGGCAGGAAAAATATTGCATGTTGGGCATATTCTTCTACTAGAAGTATGGAACACAGATTAGAACGGGGGTGGTGAGACTCATTGGGGAGCTACCTGGACTTCCACATAAAATTCCTTTGAATGACTTGTGGCCACACAAAATCTGTTTTCAGAGACCCAGGGACAACATATGTGGTACTGGGATAAATATTTTAAAATAGCGAAGCTGTAATAAAATGAGCTTTTCTCCTTAGTCTTCCAAGTTATTTCCTGATGTTGAAAAGTGTTTTTATAATACAGAGTGTGGACAAATTATGTCTTCCAATGTCCAGTAGAATGGTTCTGGGAACTCAGTTTTCTATCATGGTGGGAGTGATGCGTGTTACCCAGGTTTGCATGACCTGGCCTGGGAAGCTGCAATTGTGCACCTGGTCATGGGTTGTGTGATGTGTTTCATCCCTTTATGGTGCATTCACCAACTGGGTTGTAAACGCCTTCACTTCAGATTGAAATTTTATATACTTGGCATCATGTTACAACCAAAACTTCAATAACTTGAACTGACATGAAAGGTGAAACTATTTTTTTTCATTTTCTCTTAAACAAGTTTATAGTTGTTTGCCTCAAGGAATCACAACAACCATAAGCTCTATAAATGGTTGTTCTACAGATAGAGCATGTGAGCTTAGTCTGTTTTAAAAATCAAACAAATGAAAACATGGAGCCTTATGCCCTAGAACTTTGCTAATAATTTTCCACGTGGGCTTTCCTAGAACTGAAAGTGAATACATGGATGGGAACTCTGATAAGAAAAGCCTTCAGAATTATGGGGAAAAATACATATCCTTTACTATAAATGGAAGAACGTTAAAATTCGTCATCTTTTAAGATGCCAGAATGCATTTGCTACATCCGACTGGTGAGAACTACCATTTATTCATTGCATAGTCAGGGTTGGCACTATATTGGGTCCTTTAAATATATTCATTCTCCAATTAAATTCTCATAAAACCCTGGGTAGTGGTAGTTTATCTCCATTAAAGGAATGATGATTCTTAGACTTAAAAAATTTAAGTAACTTTCCTAAGTTCACACAGCTAATTAGTGTTGGAGATGGGCTTTTCTGACCCACTCATTCACTCACAAAAGACTTTGGAGAACCACTAGTGAACAAGAGCCCTATTCTCATGGAACTTATTATATTCTACAACAGCGGTCCCCGACATTTTTGGCACCAGGGACCAGTTTCATGGAAGACAATGTTTTCACAGACAGAGGGGTTTAGTGGAGGGATGCCTCATGGATGAAACTGCTCCACCTCAGATCATCAGGCATTAGTTAAGATTCTTATAAGGAGCATGCAACCTAGACCTCTAGATTCCATGGTCATGGATAGGAAGAATCAATATTGTTAAAATGGCCATACTGCCCAAAGCAATTTGCAAATTCAACAGTATTCCTATCAAACTACCAAAGTCATTTTTAACTTAATTAGAAGAAGTTATCTAAAATTCATATGGGATAATTAATCCCAAATGCTCTCATGTGGAGCAAGGAGATCTGAAGAAGTCTCCTTACCTTGGGAAGTTATCTTGCCCACTCTCCTCCTGTGCCGTATCCTCTATTCAAAAATATTAAACCTAGGAATCCCAAGAGGACCCACAGACCCTCTGAAGGAAGCCGACTGCTCCTGCACGACCTGGGGGACACCCCAAGTACTGTGAGTACCCAAACTGCAGAAGTGGGCAAGGGAGATCCTCTGCTCCTGATCACACACCCACCCCCGGGGAAACTGAAAGTCTAGTTTGCAGGAGAAGTTTCTGACCGTATGGGGAGCTGAGTCACTTTAGAGACCCGAGCGAAATACAGGGGTAGAGGTAGCAGCAGGAAAGGCCTGGGAGCTCACCGCATCCCTAAGCAGGCCATTCCTGCCTGGCACCACAGGGATCCTTCAGGAGGGTGGCCAGAGGTGCAGGGTAAAATGCCACAGGGAGAAGCAAGTCTCCAGCTGAACCTTGTAACAATTTGAACTCAGCAAGAAGCCTCCTGACCAGAACTCTAGAAAGGGTGCGAATCCAGCATGCAGACTCCACAGGTGGAGGAAGAACCAAAGCCCTTTTCTTTCCCAGCTGGGAGGTGGGTAGCCTGGGGCAAGTTCTCAAGCCCTGATCGTCACTGCCTGGAAATAGACTCGGTGCTGTTGGGTGGGGTGACACCTTGGGAGTGAGACTGGCCCTTCCGATTGCATGGGAGCTGGGTAAGGCCTGTGACTGCCAGCTTTCCCCAACTTCCCTGATAACCTGCATGACTCAGCAGAGGCAGCCATAATCCTCCTAGTTATATAACTCTATTGATCTGGGAACCTCAGCCCCCATCCCTGACAGCAGCCGCAGCAAGATCTGCCCAGAGAGTCTGAGCTCATAGACGTCTAGCTCCGCCTGCACCTGATGTTCCTTCCCTACCCACCCTGGTAGGGGAAGACAAAGGGCATATACTCTTGGGAGTTCTGGGGCTCCACCCACCATCCATTCTCTATACTACCACTGCTGATGCTCTCTGGAAAGCGCCCCCTCCTGGCAGGAGGCCAACCAGCACAAAAATAGAACATTAAACCACCAAAGCTAAGAAGCCTCACAGAGTCCATTTCACCCCCGAGCCATGTCCACCAGAACAGGTGCTGGTATCCACAGCTGAGATACCCGTAGACAGTTCACAACACAGGACTCTATGCAGACAACTCTGAGTACCAGTCCAGAGTTGGGTAGACTTGCTGGGTGGCTAGACACAGAAGAGAGATAACAATCACTGCAGCTCAGTTCACAGGAATCCACATCTGTAGGAAAAGAGGGAGAGTACTATATCAAGGGAACATCCGGTGGGACAAAAGAATCTGAAAAACAGCCTTCAGCACTAGACCTTCCCTCTGACAAAGCCTAAGCAAATGAGAAGGAACCAGAACATTAACTTTGGTAATATGACAAAACAAGGCTCTTTAACCTCCCCCCAAAATCACACTAGTTCGCCAGCAATGGATCCAAACCAAGAAGAAATCCCTGATTTACCTGCAAAAGAATTCAGGAGGTTAGTTATTAAGTGAATCAGGGAGGCAGCAGAGAAAGGCAAAGCCCAAAGCAAACAAATCCAAAAAACGATGCAAGAAGTGAAGAAAGAAATATTCAAGGAAAAAGCATAAAGAAAAAATCCTCAGGAAACATTGGACACACTTATAGAAATGCAAAATGCTCTGGAAAGTCTCAGCAGCCTTGCTAGAGACCTAGATATCCAAATACAAGAAGCACAAAGAACATCTGGGAAATTCATCACAAAAAGGTCATCACCTAGGCACATTTTCATTGGGTTATCTAAAATTAAGAAGGAAAGAATCTTAAGAGCTGTGAGACAAAAGCAGCAGGTAACCTATATATGAAAACCTATCAGGTTAACAGCAGATTTCTCAGTAGGAACCCTACAAGCTAGAAGGGATTGGGGCCCTATCTTCAGCCTCCTCAAGCCAATTATCAGTCAAGAATTTTGTTTCCAGCAAAATTACGTATCACATATGAAGGGAAGATACAGTCTTTTTCAGACAAACAAATGCTGTGATAATTTGCCACTACCAAGCCCCCACTATAAGAACTGCTAAAAGGAGCTCTAAATCTTGAAACTAATCCTGGAAACACATCAAAACAGAACCTCTTTAAAGCATAAATCACACAAGACCTATAAAACAAAAATACAATTTAAAAAGCAAAAACAAAAAACAAAAACAAGTTACACAGGCAACAGAGAGCACAGTGAATGCAATGGTATCTCACATTTCAATACTAACATCAAATGTAAATGACCTAAATGCTCCACTTAACAGATACAGAACTGCAGAATGGATAAGAACTCACCAACCAACTATCTGTTGCCTTCAGGAGACTCACCTAACATATAAGAACTCACATAAACTTAAAGGGGTGGAAAAAGGCGTTTCATGCAAATGGACACCAAAAGTGAGCAGGGGTAGCTATTATATCAGACAAAACAAACTTTAAAACAGTAGCAATTAAAAGAGACAAAGAGGGACATTATATAATGGTAAAAGGCCTTGTCCAACAGGAAAATATCACAATCCTAAACATATATGCACTTAACACTGGAGATCCCAAATTTATAAAACAATTACTAATAGACCAAAGAAATGAGATAGACAGCAACACAATAATAGCAGGTGGCTTCAATAGTCCACTGACAGCACGAGACAGGTCATCAAGACAGAAAGTCAACAAATAAACAATGGATTTAAACTATACCTTGTAACAAACGGACTTAATATATATACAGAAAATCTCATCCAACAACTGCAAAATACACATTCTATTCAACAGCGCATGGAACTGTCTCCAAGATAGACCATATGATAGGCCACAAAATGAGCCTCAATAAATTTAAGAAAATTAAAATTATATCAAGCACTCTCTCAGATCACAGTGGAATAAAGCTGGAAATCAACTCTGAAAGGAACCTTCAAAACCATGCAAATACATGGAAATTAAATAACCTGCTCCTGAATCATCATTTGGGCAAAACCAAAATCAAGATGGAAATTTAAAAATTCTTAGAACTGAATGACAATAATGACACAACCTATCAAAACCTCTGGGATACAGCAAAGGAGGTGCTAAGAGAAAAGTTCATGGCCCTAAACGTCTACATCAAAAAGACTGAAAGAGCACAAACTGACATTCTAAGGTCGCACCTCAAGCAACTAGAGAAATGAGAACGAACCAAACCCAAACCCAGCAGAAGAAAGGAAATAACCAAGATCAGAGCAGAATTAAGTGAAATTGAAACAAAAGAAATACAAAAGATAAATGAAACAAAAAGCTGGTTCCTTGAAAAGATAAATAAAATTGACAGGCCATTAGCAAGATTAACCAAGAAAAGAAGAGAGAAAATCCAAATTACCTCATTAAGAAACAAAATGGAAATATTACAGCTGAAACAACAGAAATACAAAAGATCATTCAAGGCTGCTATGAATACCTTTACACATAAACTGGAAAATCTAAAAGAGATGGATAAATTCCTGGAAAAATAGAACCCTTCTAGCTTAAATCAGGAAGAATTAGATACCCTGAACAGACTAACAACAAGCAGTGAGATTGAAGTGGTAATTTAAAACTCACCAACCACAAAAAATTCCAGGACCAGATGGATTCACAGCAGAATTCTACCAGACATTCAAAGAAGAATTGGTACCAATCCCATTGGCACTATTTTACAAGATAAAGAGGGAACCCTCCCTAATTCATTCTGTGAAGCCAGCATCATCCCAATACCAAAACTAGGAAAGGACATAATCAAAAGAGAAATCTATAGACCCATATCCCTGATGGACACAGGCGCCAAAATCCTTAACAAAATACTAACTAACCAAATCCAAGAACATATGAAAAAGATAACTCACCATGGTCAATTGGATTTCATACCAGGGATGTAGAGATGGTTTAAGATATGCAAGTCAATAAATGTGACACACCATGTAAACAGAATTAAAAACAAAAATCACATGATCATCTCAATAAATGCAGAGAAAGCATTTGACAAATTCCAGCATCTCTTTATGATTAAAAATCTTAGCAAAATGTAATAAAAGCCATCTGTGACAAACCCCGCAGCCAATATAGTGATGGGAAAAAGCTGAAAGCATTTTTTCTGAGACCTGGAACAAGACAAGGATGCCTACTGTTACCACTCCTCTTCAACATAGTACTGGAAGTCCTAGCCAGAGCAATCAGATGGAGAAAGAAATAAAGGGCATCCAAATAGGTAAAGAGGAAGTCAAACTGTCAGTGTTTGCTCACAATATGATCGTTTACCTTGAGAACCCTGAAGACTCCTCCAGAAAGCTCCTAGAACTGATAAAATAATTCAGCAATGTTTCCAGATACAAGGTTAATGTACACAAATCAGTAGCTGTTCTGTACAGCAACAGTGACCAAGCAGAGAATATAATCAAGAACTCAACCCCCTTTACAATGGCTGCCAAAAAAAAAAAAACCCAAAAACAAGCAAACAAAAAAACTTAGAAATATACCTAACCCAGGAGGCAAAAGACTTCTACAAGGAAAACTACAAAACACTGCTGAAAGGGATTATAGGTGACACAAACAAATGGAAACACATCCCATGCTCATGGATGGGTAGAATCAATATTGTGTAAATGACCATATTGCTAAAAGCAACCTACAAATTCAATGCTATCCCCATCCATATACCACCATCATTCTTCACAAAATTAGAAAAAACAATTCTAAAATTCATGTGGAACAAAAAAAGAGCCTGCATAGCCAAACCAAGACTAAGCAAAGAGAACAAATCTGGAGGCATCACATTACCTGATTTCAAACTATACTATAAGGCCATAGTCAACCAAACAACATGGTATTGGTATAAAAATAGGCACACAGACCAATGGAACAGAATAGAGAACCCAGAAATAAAGCAAAATACCTGGCACATAATAGGTTTTTTAGTAAACATTTTTCAAATTAAATAGCTATTTAAGTAACATATGTATGAATAATTAAATAAGTGAATACAAAGTAACATACAATTCAGTTTGGGATGAATTGTACAGATAATAATTACTGTAGAAGATCAAAGAACTTGGTAAGAGAGTTTGGAAGGGAGGTTAAGGTAATTTCATTGGACCTTGAAAGACATCTCAATTATAAATAAGAAATGGCTTTCTCTTTGAGATAAGGAACCCGCATTTGAGAAAAGACAGAGACATAAATGAATATGAGTATTCTTAGAATAATGAAGAAATGTATCTTGAACTGAAAGCTCTCTTTGGAATTGTAATAAGTAACTTTTAATCAGTACTAGTGGCATGCTGGAGGGATTGAATTTATGAATGAATAGAATCAGGAAAACCTGTTATATTCTATGACAATGTAATAATAATCAGATAATATATTTAAGAACCAAGAGTTGAGAACCTAGGTTAAAGTACTAGCAGTTAAAATGGAAATCAAAAAGTAAATTAGAAATTTGTGGGAAATAGCACAAGGAGTAAAATATAGTTAAACCAATAAATATTTCTACCACCCTAGTCCCAGCCATCAAAAATTTCCCTGTCAGTGGTCTTTGACTTGGTCTCTCTAGTATTAGACTTTCATTGCTTTATCTCTCAGTCCCACATCAGCTCACGTTGCTATAATAACCCCTATTCAAAACCCTCAAATAGCTTCCCATTGGTTTAACAAATTAAATCCAAACTGTTAATACAGTCAACAAGGGCCTTTATGGTCTGGGCCAGAGTAATTCTCCAGATTCATTTCCCATCATTGCCCTGGCCCATGCTGCTCTGGCCACTTGGGCCTTCTTGCTGTGATGGGAATATGCCACCACTTTCTATCCTTGTGGTCTTAACCTAGAAGGCTTTTACCTAAAATATTTATGAGGCTGGCATCATCACTCCATTCAATGTTTAGTTCAAATGTTACTGCCCCAGGAAAGACTTATTTCATCACTCTATCAAAATTGATTAAAGTTCATATAGATTCACTTTCTATTCCCTTATCCTGATTTAATTTTCATCATAGATTTCTTCTTTCCATGGAAGCATGTTGTCGAGTTATTTATTGCCTTGCTGGTTATCTGAATCTTTCTCTACCTTTAGAACAAGGGTTTCAAACCCCCAGGCCATGGACTGGCACCTGTCCTTTGCCTGTTAGGAGCCAGGCCGCAGAGCCGGAGGTGAGCTGTGCTCACTGGCACATGACCACTTGAGCTCCGCCTTCTGTCAGATCAGCGGCGGCATTAGATTCTCACTGGAGCACAAACCCTATTATGTTCGTTAGGGAAGATGGCTTGTAGTTTTCTTTTCTCATTGTGCCTTTGTCAGGTTTTGGTATCAAGGTGATGCTGGCTTTGTAGAATGAGTTAGAGAGGAGCCCCTCCTCCTCAATTTTTTGGAATAGTTTCAATAGAATCGATACCAGTTCTTCCTTTGTATGTACAGTAAAATTTAGCTGTGAGTCCATTTGATCTGGGGCTTTTTTGGTGAGTAAGTTTATATACTACTGACTCATTTTCAGAACTCTATAATTATCTGTTCAAGGTTTCAATTTCTTCTCATTCAATCTCTGGAGGTTATGTGTTTTCAGGAATTTATTCATTTCCTCTAGATTTTCTAGTTTGTGTACATAGAGGTGTTCATAATAGTCTGTGAGGATCTTTTGTGCTTCTGTGGGATTGGTGTTAATGTCACCTTTGTCATTTCTGATGATGCTTATTTGGATCTTCTCTCTTTTCTCTTTGCTAATTTAGTTAGCAGTCTTGGTTTTGTTTTTCATTTCGAAGACATAACTTTTGATTTTATTGATTCTTTGTATACATTTTTGGGTCTCAATTTCATTCAGTTCTGATCTGATTTTAGTTATTTCTTTTCTTCTGCTAACTTTAGAGTTTGTTGTTCTAGTACCTCTAGGTGTGGTGTTAGATCATTAATTTGAAAATCTTTCTAACTTTTTGAGGTAGGCATTTAGTGCTATAGGCTTTCCTCTTAACACTGCTTTTGCTGCATCCCAGATATTTTTAATGTTGTGTCTCTGTTTTCATTTATTTCAAAGAATACTTATTTCTGCCTTAATTTAGTTATTCACCCAAATGTCACTGGGTTGTTTAATTTCCATGTAATTGGGTGTGGTGGCTCATGCCTGTAATTCCAGCACTTTGGGAGGCTGAGGCAGGTGGATTGCTTGAGTCCGGGAATTTGAGACCAGCCTGGGCAACGTGGTGAAACCCTGTCTCTATAAAAAATATAAAAATTAGTCAAGTGGTGGCATGTGCCTGTAGTGCCAGCTATTTGGGAAGCTGAGGTGGGAAGATTGCTTGGACTGGGGAAGTCAAGCCTGCAGTCATCTGTGATGATGCCACTGTACTCCAGCCTGGACGACAGAGCGAGACCCTGTCTGAATAATAATAATTATAATAATAATAATAATAAATAATAATAATAATATCCATGTAATTCTGAGATTTTGAGAGATCTTTTTAGTATTGAGCTCTATGTTTATTCCACTGTGGTCTGAGGGTATGTTGGCATTATATCAATTTTTTTGCATTTATTGAGACCTGCTTTTCGGCTGAGCATGTGGTTAATCTTAGAGTATGTTCCATGTGCAGGTGAGGATAATGTGTATTCTGTGGCTGACAGGTGGAGTGTTCTGTAGATGTCTATTAGGTCTGGTTGATCACGGGTCAAATTTAAGTCCAGGATTTCTTTGTTAGTTTTCTGCTTTGGTAATCTGTCAAATGCTATCAGTGAAGTGTTGAAGTCCTCCACTATTATTTTGTAGCTAAGTCTTTTCATAGGTCTAGAAGTTCTTGTTTTATTAATCTGGGTGCTGCAATGTTGGCTATGTATCTATAGAGGATAGTTAAGTATTCTTGTTGAATTGAACCCTTTAGCATTATACAGTGCCCTTTGTCCTTTTTAATTGTTGTTTGTTTAAAGTTTGTTTGATATAGGAGTAGTGACCACTGTTCTTTTTTGTTTTCCATTTGCATGATCGATCTTTCTCTACCCCTTTATTTTAAACCAATGGCTGTCGTTATATTTGAGATGGATCTCTCAAATACAACAGATGGGTGGGTCTTTTTTTTTTTAATTCCACCTTGCAACTCTGTGCCTTTTATTTGGGGGTGTTTAGCCATTTACATTCCTCATTAATATTGATACGTGACCTTTTGATCATATCATGAACTTGTTAGCTGGTTGCTTTATACTTTCTACTGTGTGGTTGCTTTTTAGGCTCTGTGGGCTATGTACTTATGTGAATATTTGCTTATTTTTTAAATCATCTGTTGATGGATGTTTGGGTTGGTTTTAGTTCCTAGCTTTTGTGAATAAAGTTTTTATAAACATTTATAAGTATTTATGTAAAAATACTTTTCTTGAAGAATATTTGCATTTCTCTTTAACACTATGAAAGGAATTGCTGAATCATATGGAAGGTGTATTTTTTAATGGGTAAGAAATTTCCAAACTGTTTCCCTAACTGGTTGTGGAATTTTACACCCCCATCCATAACAGTAATATGTAATAGTTTCAGTTATTCAAAATCTTTGTCAACACTTTGTATTGCCCTTTACTTTTAAAATTTTTATTATAGTGGGTGTAAAGTTATATATCATTGTGGTTTTAATTTGCATTTCCCTAATTAATGATATTGATCATCTTTAGTGTTTGCTTATTTACCATTTGTCTATTTTATTTTATAAAGTGCTTGTTCTAGCCAAGTCCCTATTTTTCTTGTTTTTGAACCACATGAGTTCTTTTTGTATGTGTATGTGTATGTATATACATATATATATTCTCAAATATATATCTCACAGTCTATGCCGTGTTAAAAATATCAAATAGCGTCTTCTGAAGACCAGATATTTTTTATTTTAATAGAGTCCAATTTTTCAATATATTTTTACAGTTTGAGTTTTGTGGTGCCATTTCTAATAATTTTCTACCTGCCTCAAATTATGAGGATTTTATGTTTCTCCTAAATATTTTTAATTTTTAGTTTTCATGTTTCACCTCATGACTCATTTTCAATTAATTTAATTTTCTTGGATGAGGTACTGTTTGGTATTCATTTATTTTTCATATAGAATTCTAGTTGTTTGTTCAAATGACAGGTATCTTCATTGAATTACTTTGGCAACTTGTCAAAAATCAGTTGATGACTTCTGGTTTAAGATCTGACATGTAAGGAGCATGGATGTTATTACTCTCCTGTCCTCACAATGAGAAAAAAAGCAAACAAAGTAAAAATTAATGACTTCTTCTAGATATCAGATAACTGAGGTCACAGAGCAAACCACCACTCTGGAAAGATGAGTGACCTGAATGCAATCACAGTTGAGATCAGCTAGAGTGAAGCAGAAACTCTTGGAGGCAGAAACAAGTGGTAACACTTCTATGGTAATTTTGAGGAATTGCTGGAGTCTGAGTGTAGACTAACTTGATGGTTAGAATTTCTGGGGGCCTAGTTTTGGAGAAAATATTAATAAATGTCCTTCACATCATTAATCATTAGAGAAATGCAGATTAAAACCACAATGAGATATAACTTTACACTCACTATAATAACAATTTTAAAACTAAAACAATTGACAATACCAAGTGTTGACAAAGGTTTTACTAGAGGTAAGACCCATGAAAGGATGAGACCCCCCAACCTCTTAAAACTAGGCCCCACTAGGTTCTCACAGAAAATATCAGAGAACAAAATCTCCTCTCTTTCGGGCAAGAAAAAGGTAAAATTAGACAGTTTTAAATACACCTAGAAAATTCTCCATAAAAATGCCTGCCTCCCAAAGGAAACCACTTTACCTGAATTTTATCTGACATGAAGCAAGGACAATTAGACAACTATAGCCTCCTCGAGCTTTTCTCTCTTACATAGAAGAAAGAAAAATGGCTAGTAAATGACTCTGGCCCACTAAAAAGCTGAGATTCAGTCATAAGATTATAGAATGCTTCTGTTTGTACCACATCAACAGGGCTCCAGTATAGCAGTAGATTACAGCTGACAGAACTGCAAGACACAGATTCAGTTTAAGAAGGAGGTCTGAGAGAAACCCCAAAACAACAGGAGGTAAAAAACAAGCAAACAAAAGAACAAAGAAACTAGACAAAACTGAAGACTCTTGCATCTACATTCACTGCAAACATTAAATACCACTAAGCTCCTAGCCAGGTGTAATGTAAAAACCTCACATTAAAAACTTAGTTAACTCAGTTTCTGCTAATTGACACATTATGTTCAGCTTTCAACAAAAAATTAAGTAAGGAGACGAAACAAGGATCAGAACTAGACTCAGGTATGACATAGATTTTAGAATTATCAGATAGAAAATTTACAATAACTATGATGAATACATTAAGGGTTCTAGTGGGAAGAGTTGACAATATTCCAGAATAGATGTGTGATATAAGCATTGGGAACAATGAAAACTCCACGAAGAAAATCAAAAGGAAATGCAAGAAATAAAAAGCACTGTAACAGAAATGAAGAATGCCTTGGATAGGTTCATCACTAGATTAGACATGACTCAGAAAACAATCAGTGAGCTTGAAGATATGTCAATAGAAACTTATCAACTGAAATGCACAGAGTAAAACAAACAAAAAGATCACTCCAAACCAGAACAGAATATCCAGGACCTGTAGGACCAATACAAAAGGTGTTACATACCAGTCATCGATATACCAGAAAGAGTAGAAAAACAGAAAAGAGAAGAAGAAATATTTAAAACACTAATGGCTGAGAATTGTCCAAAAATAATATTATTTATTACCAATGTACCACACTCATGCAAGATGTAAACAATAGGAGAACCTGTGTTTATAAGGCAGAAGGTGTATGAGAATTCTCTGTGCTGTCCTGTATTAGTTTTTTAAACAATATTTCTTTAAAGTTTTAAGTTTTACTATTTTATAGTTTTTGCCTTAGCAACTAAATTCTTTCCTCTACATACAATTTGCCATTTATTATCTCTTTGCTTCAGCTAGAACAACAACCCTTAGTGTGTCTTATAGTGCATGTCTGCTGTTGACAATTTCTTTCATTTTTTAAATTCATCTGAAAATGTCTATTTCATACTTGTTTTAAAAAGACATTTTGTTGAATATAAAATTTACATGAAATATGAATGTCAAAATATATGAATCATATATGAATTTTATATGATATATTTTATGATTTTCCATTTACTTTTGGTTTTCACCATTTGCCTATCTAGGTGCGATTTTCTTTGTATTGATTCTGCATGGGGTTCTCTTCTTATATAATCAAATTACTGTTAGCCCTAAAGTTAGTTAAATTTTTGACTATTTTGCCTTCAGATATTTTTTCTGCCCTAGTCCCAATCTCCTTTTTTTCTGTGACTCCAGTTATATATATAGAGAGAATGTTTGCTAAGTCCAACAGCTCAATTATCTTGTCCATTCTTTATCTCCTTTTTTTAAAAAAAATTCTCATTTTTTTGCATGCTTAGTAATGTTTACTGTTTACTGTATAGTAGATAATACGTTAAAGAGAAATTATATTCTCTTTAACGGAATGATTTAAAGGAATGATGGTTCCTTTTTAACAAGAAGTTATTCTATAGGATGATCAACCTGAATGTGTGTATTTTTAGTTTCGTTAGCGTGCATCATTGGAAACTCAACATATTTTTAAAAGCTCCTCTATACATTGTATAATTTAAATTGCAAACTTTGTCTTTTCTGTGAATTTTGTCAGTGTTCATTTTAGGTATTGTGATGGTGGATGTAGAGTAACTTTTACTCTGCAATATAGTTTTCACTTCTAAGTGAAATATTCAAAGGTGTAGATTTTATTGTGTTTTATTTGGATAGCGATGGTGTGAACAATGTCTGTCTACTCTGGCCGCTACAACATTCCAAAGTCTCCTACTCTTAACCCCATGGTAGTCATTTGCTAATAAACCTCATGTGGTCTCACCCTGTGTATGCATATCCAAACTTTGGCTGAGGACTCATGGGGAACTTCCACACAGATTTTTAAAACCCACCTCAATCGACACCAGTTGTCTCTAGTTTCCTCCCATGAAGATTTCTGCAGCCTCTGCAACTCAAACTCCTATGTTTGTCTCCTTAGTTTAGCAGACCACTGTGCCCTGCTTGGGCTTCATTTATCTGTGCTATTTTTGGGAAATTGTCTCTGTGGATAGAACTAAGAAAAACATGGGGCTTCCTTATCTCTGTGACTTTGTCCAATTTTATATTTGTTTACGGTAGGACAACTTCAGTATCAGGTACTGTTATAACTAGAAGTCAAAGCCATATGTCTTATATTATTATATTTGAATTGAGTATAATTTGTCTTCAACTTTATTGTAAACCCCTACAGACAAACACTAATTCTTATATTTTATTTGAAACTCCCAGAACCTTGGCATTCGGTGAACATATATTTGTTTCTTTATTCATTCATTAAGTTATTTTACAACCTTTTATTAAGTACCTACCATGTGCCAGACATGGTCCTACGTCCTTACAGGGGAAAATTAACACAGGACTTCCACCTATATTAGCTCATAACCTAATTGAAGATGGGCTGTATTTTGTGGAATAGATATGTAAATTAGTTCTTAAAAAACAATATAGTTTATAGCTATAAAATACAATAGAGGGAAAATAGATTAAATCATTTCTCCTGGATAGTCAGAGATAGCACTGTATTGCAGGTGATTAAAAATTCAGATTTAATTGAATTATCCAACATATGAATATAAATCGTTTTTTAGAGAATAAGGCGACATCAAAATAAGTTTATGCAAAATTAGCAAAAAGAATAATCTTATGACAATATTGCAGGGTGATACTATCGATAGTTACCCATTATGTTGGTGGAGGAAAGGATTCGTTTTATGTTTCTGAAGAAAATGAGGCATCAGTGAGTAACATCCTTTCAAATTTGCAGTTTTTTTCCATAGCGCATGAATGGTCTTGTTCTCATAGCTTTTGTTTTCTGCCATTTTGCAGTGTGTCGTTATTAATTTTTGTGCTATTTAGTTTCTTCCAAAGTGTAGTAAAGTATCAATTAATATTTTATTATCTCAGAAGTGCTTGTTTCTGTGATGAGATTTGCAATGCTTCTGTAGTTGGCTTTGCATATAATTGGCACTGTCCTAGTCACTGCTACTCTGATTGATGCTATAGGCGTTGAAGGCATGTGGCAAAAGGGAATATAAAAGGGAATATGGGATAAAAATCATGAACAAACATACTTCATTTTCAGGTTTCATGATTATGTTAGAAACTGCTGTGTGTACAATCAATTAATCATCAACATTTAAGTGCCTGTTATTTGGGAGATGTAAAAAAGAAAAGTATCAAACATAACTTTGCCCTTCAAGGAGGACTTACAAAGCTTTCATAATCAATATTAGTTGAGAAAGCAAAACACCTGCAGGAAAGAGCCCTGAATGTATTCATTAAATATATTGCACATGTTCAGTGAGCAAAACATTATGGAAGATGCTGAGAAGCTAACAAAGAGGAGTAAGACAGAATATGTGTCTGGAAGATGCTTACAGTCTGGCAGAGTAGACAGATATGCAAGTAAATTGTTACAACACAATGCATAATGAAATACGTGTTAAAGCAACAAAGAAATTATTGAGTACTTATATATTCCATTCATTAGCTCACTTAATCCTCAATGCAACCTATGATTTAAGTACATTATTATTTCCATTTTACAGATTGGAACACTAAGGTATACAGGTATGTGAAGTAACTTACTCAAGATAACCAACTAGTAAGTGACAGAGCTAGTGTATGATTTCAGGCAGCTTGGTTTCCACATTCTACAAATAAAGTTATAATGTGACGCATAAAAGGAAGCAATTCATTCTTAGAGTATAATGCTGAGAGACTTGAAAATATTATAAGCCACGTTATCTTCATGGGTTAATTGTTAGTGATAAGGTATAAGTTGTCTCCAACTGCATGGAGAATACACAGATATAGAAAATATAACCATCTTCTGTTCTCAAAGCTAACACAAATTCTCATGCCACCGTAGAGTAGAAAGGAGCCCAGGATTCCTATATCTGCTACCTACCCACTACCTCCCTAAAAGATCAAGGATTACTGCAAACTATCACTCAAGACCACTCAAGTCCCCTAAGACTTATTTTTCCAAAACCTTATAATTATTTAGTCAGTTCCTTAGATCCTTTTATCCAAGTTTTACCTCTAGAGCACACATATCTCTCCAGTCAGCAGAAATATTTATTCCTCTTTATAAATTATTAAATTAACTTTATGGCTTAAAACTAAGTATCTCATGAATTTTGTTATCATGAATTAGAAATAAGTCTGTATAATGCTTTATAGTGTTCTTCTACATAAATTATCTTATTTAATTTCCATAACAGTGTAGTATGTTAGGGAAGGTTGATATTAACACCTCAATTTTAACCATGAGGAACTGAAGACTTAGGAAAGTTTGAACAACTTTCTTGAATTCATATGGCTGTGTGTTGTTAGGCTTGACTTAGAACTAATCCAGCCTACTCTTTTTTTCTCTCTCTCTTTCTCTCTTTTCTGCTGCCTAGGGCCTGATGATACCTGGGTGTTCAGAAGAATTTGAGTTTATGAAAGTGCAAATGTGGTTATCACAGCTACAATGGTGGTGAATTCATTAGGGCACAGCCACTCCATGAGACCTGGCCTAAAGTAGGCATCCAGGCAGCCTCAGTCATTTGTTAGTATTGTCACAAGTGGCTGAGAACTTCACTATGATAGATTAGAGATGGGAGTGTGTGAACTTTGTAGAAGCAGGGAACTTTGCTGGACTTTGAAGGAGGAATAGCATTTGAAAAGGTGGAGACAATAATGATGCCATTCTGGATAGAGAAGCAGCATGAACAAAGGTACTAATAGAGAGATTGCTAGAAAACGCATTTGGATTATAAACCATATTGTGGGAATTAGTTGGAAATCAAGTTGGATACACAAGATGAGAAGGATATTAGTTTAGAAGTATGACATGGAAAATATGGAGAATATAATACTCTTGAAACAGGGACTAGTATGCTTAATGGGCTGTTTGGGGATCATCAATCCATTTTTGTTTGGAAGAATGAGTAATGTTGAGGCAAGGAGATTAGAGCAAGGTCAGCTGGGAGCTCTATCCTGTATGGTGATGAGGTCTCCAGTTATGAGAATGATGTGGGAATAAAGAGAAAGAGGACATTTTAAATATGGAAATGTTTTGATACAGTGACACACCGGATTCAGAGGATGAGGCATAGAGAAAATTTAAAAATAACTTCAAGGTTTCTGGTTGAGATAAAAAGAATGTTGAAGCCACTTGCAGCAAAAACTGCTAAAGAAAGGGTCTAAGGTTTAGAAAAACATTTTTCTTGCTTGTTGAGTGTGATGTGATGTGATCCACAAGGAGGATGTCCACCAAGAGAAACCTTATGGGCTGATTAGAAAGTGAAGTCGGAAGAATTTGATCTGGAGACTTTGATAAGGGGTGGCATTGAATGCCATCAGATTGGGGGTAAACACAGAGGCATGAATCAGAGAAATAAAAGCAAAGGGTCAATATTGGAGGCTTGTGGAATTGCCTCACTTAGGTGCTGGATGATGTGTGGAAGCCTGAGAGAGAGACCCAAGAAGGAGTGATCAGAGATGCAGAAAGAGAGCCAGGAGAGAGACATGTCAGTGAAGCCAGAAAAGAGAAAGGATCAAGAAGTTGAGTACATCAATAGTTAAAAAAATAAAATACGATCAACAACAGGAACTTAGGAGAAACATATGATTGAGTATAATAATAATGTAAACAAAGGAATTTGGGCAAAAGAATTCAGGTTGAAGAAATTAATCCAGTGTAACTAACACTCTCAGTAAATAAGTGTATTTTTATTAGTTCTAATAGTTTTATTAGTTTATTAAAAGTTCTAAACTAACACTTTTTTTTCTTTTTTGCTGTTTTAAATATACAATGTTACAAAGTCAGTGACCTACATGGCAATTTGTAGAATTCATCCTGAAAGCTGCGGACATAAATATGTCCTTTAGAAATTTCACCCGTTTGGATAAAATTAGTTGAGAAAAGTTAAAAATATTTACAGAAAGAGTGAAATTTAAAAATTAAGTAAGGTACAAATTCTGTGCAATGTTAAAAGTAACCCCAAATCAAAGTTGAAAAAAAAAAGGCACACAGAGGTAGCACTTGCAGACATCCTAAATAAGCTATGTACGTTCAAGCACCTGGTGCTGAGAAAATTTTAGAAGCAGTATATTTAGTCACAGTTCCACTAGCTCATCATGCCTTTGCTATTTTCTAAATTCTGACTTTATTGCTAGAGAGATTTACATGAAAAATGATGCTTTTAAAAGTTTCAACTGTTTCTCCTGTTTATTCCTTCACCTGAAGTCATAATCATATTTCCATAGGAATAAATGATGATTTCACAGGCAAAGGATTATAGCTTTTGGGGGACAATTAGGTGTCAGAATATGAAGTTCTTAAAATGAAGGTCTTGTTTATAGTATCAAGTGTTTGTGACAAACACAATGAGTAGTGATGAAAATGTGCCCCAAAATATGACGTGTCATGTGGGCGATTGTCTACATTCTGAAGAGATTTCTAGCATCTAGAATTTTTTGTTATGGTATGAATTTAAAATAATGGAGGCCGGGTGCAGTGGCTCACGCCTGTAATCCCAGCACTTTTAGAGGCCAAGGAGGGCGGCTCATCTGAGGTCAGGAGTTCGAGACCAGCCTGGCCAACATGGCGAAACCCTGTCTCTACTAAAAATACAAAAATTAGCCAGGCATGGTGGTGCATGCCTGTAATCCCAGCTACTGAGGAGGCCGAGACATGAAAATTGCTTGAACCTAGGAGGCAGAGGTTGCAGTGAGCCAAGATCATGCCACAGCACTCCAGCCTGGGCAACAGAGCAATACTCCATCTCTAAATAAATAAATAAATAAATAAATAGAATAACTCTGCTCAGCCCTGTCATAGGGAGTTCTTGTGAGGAGATATTTCTTTTGTGGCTTAAATTGCTCCTGTAATGTTATGTTGCTACTGCCATTATTGCTACAGAGACTTCATTTGTATTACAGAATGTAGGATACCAAATGTCAGCACATGAAATGTGTCTACATGGAACTAATCCCTGTGATGGTCAGAAGTGAGTAGTGCTCCAGCTAGTTCAACCTAGAGTCAAAATTCAAGAATTCCATAAAACCACTGGGAAAACAATTGTAAAGTGATTCCTGGGGAATTCACTTTTTCTACCCCCAAATCTTATATCCACTGGAGAATATACATTCTCTATTAAGCAGTCAAAGGTGAGCTCTAAGGTGGTACAGATGGAACACTGCTTACCTTTCCAGTGCTTAGCTTAGTGCCTGGCACATGGAAGTCACTCCCCCACACTGGCCCCCTCTGTGTGTGTGTGTGTGTGTGTGTGTGTGTGTGTGTTGAATGAATGAATGAAAAGGAGGATCAGTCAGAAGTGCTTCTGGAAACAGACTACTTTTTGCTCTGTGCCTGTGGGAAAAAAACTCTGCCACACTTTTCCAGGCTAGGATGAAAACTTAGAAGCTACTGCTTCTCTTATGGTTTGATAGCATGGACATTTTCCAACATGATTGTGTGTGTCTTCTGCACTACCAGTTTTTGTTAGATGGTTTCCTGGAAAGGTGTTTCCTAGCTGGTATTGTCGACTGCATCCTCTAGGGAGCACTGAGTAACCTCTATTTAACCTCTCCTGGTATAGGAATATCTTCCCATAATAACCTTCCTACACACTATGCTTACCATCCTGACATGGAGATTGAGGCCAGAGTTACATTAAACATATGTAAAAGTTATACAAACATGCCTTATGAAGTTTGGCTTCCAAATTTGTGAGGAGGAAAGAAAGCATGCTAGAGAAAAGACAGAATAATCTTTTTCCTTTCTTTATTGAAAATTACATGACAAAATCCTTGTCATATGAAGGGGCCATCAAAGGCTATTCAGCTAACGATGTAGGAAAATAGTATTTTAGATATGTGTTGGTTAGTAAATAAATAATAACATGTTAGTTTTCTGGATTTTACAGTTTTTTTTTTTAACATTTGTAATTGATTTGAGATTTCTTGAATCATTCTAATTAAGCATTTGCTTTAATACCTAATTTTGTATTTATAATTTTGTATTATTTTTCTTAAAAAAAGGGGTGCCCAAGTTGTATAAGCTTCAGGCAGTACAAAATCTGTTTCCTGCCTCATATGTCCTGTTGCTTGCATTTCCCTAATGGAAAAAGCCTTATCAACATTTTTGTTAAGAAATGAGAAAATGTCTAAAGGGTTCTGGCATTATTCTGTTTCCACCAGAGAGGCTAGAACCACTTTATGTAATACCCCTGGGGCAATCAGTTTATAGTCACCTCTTTAAAGATGACATAAGAAGTAAAAAAACAAAAACAAAACAAAACAAAAAAAACAAAAAAAGTTCAAAGCAAGTTTCTGGGTTCTCTGCTTTCACAGATGTGGTTCAAAGAGTGCTGAATTTAGAGTCAAAATGTTTGAATTATGATTCCTGACCTGCCTCTCATGAGCTGTGGGACCTTGAGGAGATCCTTTCCCCTCACCGAACCTCAGTCATCTCTATCTCTCAAAGATGGCTTTTATCTTGGCTTATTTCACAAAGGTCTCATGATCAAATGAGATAATATATGTCAAAGAGGCACTGCTGTGATTAAAGTGCACTGGTTTAAGTTGTTGCTGATATTTGTTATTTCTTAGTAAGGAGAAAACATTCTATGACCGAGTAGGAAAGCACCTCCTCTACCCCTATTCAATGTTCTTAATAAGTATGTGTATGAGTCCATTTTCATGCTACCGATAAAGACATACCTGAGAGTAGGCAATTTACAAAAGAAAAAAGCTTAATGGACTCATAGTTCCATGTGGCTGGGGAAGTCTCACTATCATGGTGGAAGGTGAAAGGCAAGTCTCACATGGCAGCAAACAAGAGAAGAGAGCTTGTGCAGGGAAACCTCCCCTTATAAAACCATCAGATCTGGTGAGACTTATTCACTATTATAAGAACAGCATGGGGTAGACCTGCCCCCATGATTCAATCATCTCCCACCAGGTCCCTCCCACAACACGTGGGTATTGTGGGAACTACAATTCAAGATGAGATTTGGGTGGGGAAACAGCCAAACCATATCAGTATGGGTGCTGGAAGATGGCTGGGGGAGACAAGGAGTCAGATGACATGTAGGGGAAGTAAAAGGAGCAATGGGGGTGAGGGACAATGCTAGTTTCATAAATGTCCCAGATAATGAAGCCAAAGAGAAAGGTCATTTGCGGCCTTCCAGCCTGAATTCCTTCAAGCCTGTTTGTGAATGTGATCTCAATTAGTCTATCAGCTGGCTACTGCCTACTAACAACCAGTTAGTTATTTTTGACACTTTTTCTTATAATAATCCATATATTTGATGGTTACTGTATTATATGGAGCTGTCGCCACACCAAGTTTTCCATATCGAAGGCTGCAAAATGAACAATTGTTCTTGTCTTTTGTTTTCAGGATCAGTTGCACAATTCGTGAAGAAATATCATTTGTGGGGGCTATTGGAAAGATTATCCTACTAGGAATGAGGGAATTCTATTTAATCCTAGCTTTTAAAAAGGCAGTATACACTGAAAGTAGGTCGTATACCCTCTCTGAGTTTCATGTTCTTTGTTGGTAAAATAATATCAGCCCAATTGCACCAAAGGCATTTTTAAGATAAAATAATAAAGCGTAGATGTTGAAGAATTTTACCAAGCATAAAATGCTACCCAACTAAATGGTGATATTATTTGCTAAGAACTCCTAATGAGGAGGCAGTTAAATAAATTAACTATGAGATTGAGAAATGGAGAAATCAGCAGATGCAAAATCTACTAATTTGATAATTCCTAGGGCCATTAGTTTGTCATATGTACACATGCACTGACATAAAAATAAATAGAAAGCACTCTTTTCATCTAAAAATGGCTTTTCCTCTTCTGGATAGTTTCATAATGACAATCTGGCATCTATCAATTCCATCTAAAAGCATTGCTTGAAGCATTTAATCAGTCTTTCATAAATGTGCATGTCTGCTGCTTTTATAAATGTGACCAAAAAAAAAGGTTCTGAATATATTTTGCCCTTTTTCTGATTCTCAGACAGAACCACTGACAAGGATTCTAGACTGAAACTTCCCACAATGCACTGATGGTGACTTCCAGACAAATATCAGCTAACCACTGTATACCATCAGCTGCCCACATTGGAAGAAACAAATCAGAAAACCGCTGTTCCATATTCAAAGAAATGAAAGAACGGCATAAGTAAAATGACAGGCTATTAATTCTGGTTTGGAAAGCATGAATAACACTTTTGATGAAGTTTAAATTTCTTTTGGCTCTTCAGAAATGGATAAATCATTTAAAATAAAAATAGATGTTGTTTTACAGAACACTCATTTCTCTCAATATTTATTATTTGGGGGAAAAGTGTTTTTTTAATGATGAAAAATAATGAAGTGTTCACATGAATGCTTCGATATAGCACACAGTTCATTCTCTGATGCCTCAGTGAGCTCTAGACTCAAAAATTATTTGGTATAATTTAAGTAAACGTCCAGTATATAAAATTTTAATTGAAAAGATATGATATTTCATTAAATGCGGTCACACATCACTATTGTCGCCAAATGAGGCTTGGCAGTATCTCCAAGACACTTTTCTACTGACTGGATTTTGTCTTCAGCCTGAGCCAAATGTAGCCTTCAAGATATACGTCAGTTATCATGTGCTGTACAAGAGAGATTATATCTGTATATAGACATGTTATACATTTATATGTTTTCTATCATTTATACAATTTATTTTTATATGAATACTTTTATCTGCAATTTCATTATAAAACTTCAGCAATGTTAGAATAATTATCAATTTGTAAAAGCCTTCCACCTGGAAAAGTATTTATAGTTCTAGGAATTAACAGAATGCTGTGACAGTAAGATACAAAAAGAGAAGAAAGCATTTTGGAAGTAAATATTCCCTGGGAGTCTGTCTAGAATGTGTAAGCAAGAAAGATAAAGGGAGCTCTTTTTGGTTTTTGCAAATTCTTTTTCCCATTTCTGAGATAATGAGCTTTATTTTCTGTTTTTCCTGGGGTTGGCACATTCACCTTGAAGAAGTTTCAGGGAATACCAGTGAGGCATGCACACTACCACTGTGTTTTAATTAGGATCCATTCTCCTACATCATCATATCTAACTTGACTTATGTTCCCTGCAAAGTTATATTAGAACCAAAGAGCCCACAGGACAGCTCTGCCCCGCCTAATTATTCTGAAACTTACTGAAGGGGTTAGTGAGCATGTAGGTATCAACTGCCAGCTTACTGAACAATTCAACGTACCTGGAGAAACTCCTGGACGAATGTAACTCTACCACTTTTCTCTGTTTGCACCAAATTTGGGCATTTACTTTGGAATGCTAGTTTCATGTAACAGTTCATCTTCAACCCTTCCTTCTTCTCCGAAGTCTCCAGGATGACACCTGATGCCACCCACACCAGCAGCACAGTGGCCATTAGTGTAACATAAGTGACCTGCTTCCCATTTTTTTTCTGTATAAGGGGCTACCACACTGGGCTTCTCAGCCA
Organism: Homo sapiens; assembly: GCF_000001405.40. Lineage (NCBI taxonomy): Eukaryota > Metazoa > Chordata > Mammalia > Primates > Hominidae > Homo > Homo sapiens. The sequence goes on from NC_000002.12 coordinate 34,282,593, forward strand.
ATCACTCCTGTCCATATCCTCAAGGATTCACAATTAGTAAGAATCTCAAAGAACTGGTACGCAGGTTCTTCTGCTTATTTTTCATACTTTAATGATTTGGGGGAAAATCTGAAAAGTGGAATCATGCAAGTGTCAAAAAGGGATTCTGAATAATATCTTGTTATGTTTTCTCATTTCACAGTCCTGATTGAGACTTGGGGCAAGCTGAAGTTTTGTTGTGTGTAATTATTGCTATTTTTAAGCTGAAAACACTTTTTTTTTTTTTTTTTTGAGATGGAATCTTGCTCTGTTGCCCAGGCTGGAGTGCAGTGGCACCATCTCAGCTCACTGCAAGCTCCGCCTCCCGGGTTCATGCCATTCTCCTGCCTCAGCCTCCTGAGTAGCTGGGACTACAGGCACCTGCCAACTACACCTGGCTAATTTTTTTGTATTTTTAGTAGAGACAGGGTTTCAACCGTGTTAGCCAGGATGGTCTCCACCTCCTGACCTCGTGATCCGCCCGCCTCGGCCTCCCAAAGTGCTGGAATTACAGGTGTGAGCCACCGCGCCTGGCTTGAAAACACTTTTTGCTTGACAAGGGGTTGGTACTCAAATATACTTTTGGAGTAGATAGTCTCTTTGTTTTGACGGAAAAAATCTAACATCTGAATATATCCTTTAGGGTTCATCTTATAATGCAGAGATGGAGGTACTTCTCAGTTTTCCATAAGAAAACATAGTTTAAAAATGTAGCTCTTTAGAGTGAGATTCTAAATCAAAATTGGTAAAATAAATCCCATGGATGACCAAGGCATAACTGTGGCTCTAAAATGGTTGGACAAATGTGTGGGGAGATTTTCTTTTCTTGATATACTTGAACAGGTTGTGTCTGTAAATTTTGCCTTGCAAATATTACAGAAATGTATATGTCTGTGTAAATGAGAACATGTGAGTGGTGGAAAGAGAGGGAGAGAGAACTTTCGTTGTGGTAGCTCTTCACCTCCCATGGGAGGGCGTAGATGGAAAATCAGCAGGTAAGGCCTTCACGCTTGGGCTTCGTGATGGGGAAGCAAGAAATGAGAAGGGAACGGCCTGTGCTTGGCTTGATTCCACCTGGATTGCCTGACATTCGACTTGGCCTCCCACACAAGAACAAATAACCCAATATATTGATTATAATCTGATATAATTGTTGTTTAGGGACCAAAGGGTAAGTCCATTTTTGTCGTAGGTGTTAATGATTATCATCAGAATAGCTAACACCTACTGAGCACTTATTACATACCAAGCGATATTCTAAATGCTTTACACACGTTAATTGTTGCCCTCACAGTAGCCTCTGAGTTAGGAACAATTGATAGTCCTGTTTTAAAGATGAGAAAACTGAGGCCCATGGAGATCAAGTAACTTTCTCATGGCTCCAGAAAGAAAGGAAGCTGCAAACTGGGAAGGGGCTGAACTTCTAGGGTTGGTGGAGTCAGGTTGCTCTTTATCTTGGGTTTGTGATTTTCCTGATGGAAAATGGTTACCAACAAAGGTAACCATTTATGGCAAGACTTCAGAAGGTCCCTCTCACAGTGGGCTTCCCAACAGGTAGAGGGAAATGAAAAATCCATGAAAGCATCCCACTGGTGAAAGTGCTAGCCACAGGGCACCTGCCATACGGAATTCACCTACATCTGATTAGAATTCGGCCAGTCAGTTAAGGTTTGTTTTGTTTTGTTTTGTTTTTCATCCTTGTCTCTATCTCCGTCTGAAATTCAGTTCCTTGGGTTGCTATATGATTATCTTGTAAATGCATTAAAATGTATTGGTTGATATGATCATAGGCATTAAACTATCCTGACTGCTGTTACATGAAATAGACATAGTTGTAAAGTAAACATGACCAATCTCACTGATTTTTAATTTATGTCTTTCTACCTCCCCGAAGGCAACTACTATCCTGACTTTTGGTATGTGTGTGCGTGCACGTGCATGTGTTTATTAGTGTCTAGCTTTTTATTTTTTATTTTATTTATGTATTTATCTATTTATTTATTTTTTGTGTGTGTTTTTGAGATAGGGTCTTGCTCTGTCACCCAGGCTGGAGTGCAGTGGTGCTATCTCAGCTCACTGCAACTTCCATTCCCCCAGGCTCAAGCGATTCTCCCACCTCAGCCTCTCTAGTAGCTGAAACCACAGGTGCATACCACCATGCCCGGCTAATGTTTTTGTATTTTTGGTAGAGATGGAGTCTTGCCATGTTGCCCACGCTGGTCTTGAACTCCTGAGCTCAAGCAGTTCACCTGTCTTGGCCTCCCAAAGTGTTGGAATTACAGGGGTGAGTCACCATGCCCAGCCTAGCTTTTTAAAAAAGTATTGAATTCAAGTGGTGAGAATAAATATCCATATCTTGTTTATTTAAAAAAAACAACAACTTTTGAGTTCAGGGGTACATGTGCAGGTTTGTTACATAGGTGAACATGTGTCATGGGGGTTTGTTGTACAGATTATTTCGTCACCCAGGTATTAAGCCTAGTACCCATTAGTTATTTTTCCTGATCCTCTCCCTCCTCCCACCCTCCACCCTCCAATAGGCCGCAGTATGTGTTATTCCCCTCTATGTGTCCATGTGTTCTCGTCATTTAGCTCCTACTTATAAGCGAGCTATACATGTGGTATTTGGTTTTCTGTTTCTGTGTTAGTTTGCTAATGATAATGGCCCCCAGATCCATCCGTGTCTCTGCAAAGAACATGTTCTCATTCTTTTTTATGGCTACATAGTATTCCATCATGTATATTCATCTTGTTTCTGATCTCAGAGAAAGTATGTCATTAACCAAAATGTCCCTTCCATTCTTAGTTTACCAGGATGTTCTTTTTGAATCATAGATTGATGGTAAATTTCATTAAACTTTTTCTTTGTCTATTGAGATAAGCACATGAGTCTTCTTCTTTACTCTGTTAAAAGGGTAGAGTACAATGATTGTCTAATTTTCAATCAACATTTCATATCTGAAATAAATCTTATTTATGATATAATTCTTATTGAAATAGTTTTAATATAGTTATTATTTTGTTTGTTTGCATTTATGTTCTTGAGTGAACTGGACCTATGATTTTTCTCGTACTGTTCTTTTTGTGTTTTGTTATCAAGATTACGATGTCCTCATAAAAAGTTGAAGACTGTACCCACTTTTTCTAGTTTTGGAAAACTGTACGTAGCATTGGTGCTGTTTCTTCCTTACATGTTTCGCAGAATTTGCTAGTGAAAATGATTAGTGTAGAGTTCTATTTGCAAAACAATAATATAGTTCAACTTTCTTATTTACAAAACAGAAAAAATCAGGGAAATGAATGATATATTTAGTAAGCAATAACTCAGAAGCAGGTGAACTGCTTCACTAATTTCACTTCCCTGGAATTATCAAATCAGTGTCTTTAATAGTTGAAGGAATATATAGGTTTTTCCATTTTTTTGTTTTGTTTTATAAATTATATTTTCTAAGATTTATTTCATCCAAAAGTTTAGTTATCAAGAAAATTGTTTATATTATCCTGTTACCTTTTTAAATGTCTGATCTATAGATTATGTTTTTTTAATTCTTGATAGAGTAGGACCAAATTAGGTTCTACTCTGTTTTTTAAAGTCGTGATCACATATCACTAGAGGTTCATCAGATTTACTTCTTTTTTTTTTCTAAAATCAAATATTAGCTTTTTTGATATTCCTTATGGAAGAACTCCAGTGAAGTGGCCAGAACTTGGAGATACTGACTTAGTAGTAGTTTAAGTAGGCATTGTGCTAGGGGAATGATGTAGAAGCAGAAGGTCACTTGACTGCAGTGAACCAACACCAGCGAGGAAGCCAAGCCTATCCCAGAGAGACCAGATATTAGAAATTCATCCTTTGAATGTCACGTGAGCCTTTGAGATTGGAATTCAATACTAGAACAGAGAAGGAATTTCAGTAATGAATGAGATGGAATTTTCCTTCCATCCCAGAAGGCCTGAAGTTAGAATTGTATTGGTATTATCAACATTTTCCTAGCTTTACCTTCATAATCTCTCATTTTTGTTTTTCCACAGAGGTGAATCACTTCAAAGAGAAGGACCAGATTCTCATGGACCCCACTGCCATGCTGGCCAGACATCTTGCTGCCATTGTTTTCCTGTTATTTACTCCCAAACAGGTAAATTTCCAGATCTTAAAAGGAGTTATGCTATAAATAAGTTTTTGTATGTGTGTTAGTGTGTGTGCATGTATTATAGGGATTTGATTATAATTTTTAATTAGCACAACTTCAGGTACACATATATCAAAGGAACACTATGAGTATTTGGCAATTAATGTTTGTAAATCACCTTGAGATCCTTGAGGTAGAACGATGCTATATAAATGAATAATGTGGTAATAAAATTAATAATGCATGCACTGACATTCCCAAGCCAGTTGCCTGAAAAAGATCTTGAAGTTGAAGGAGAGCTGTGCAAAATGTAGCTATCTAAATAAGAAAATATTGTCATACTCCCCTTAAGCTATAATGAAAAATATCTGCAAAATACAGAATACAAACATAACCCATGCCTTTGATTTCTAATATATGTATGAATGCTTATCATTTGGATAAGTAAATATTTCACTATTTGTTTATAGTAATTACATCAAGAATTAAAGACTGTAATCATTTATCTGGGATGATATTATGTGGAAACTAATTGGCAGTTGTTTCAACATAATTGCTTAATGTTGTTCAATGATAAATTATGATTCTATTACTAATTCAAGTCTTGTCAATGGCATAATGGATATTTCTGCAAATATTTTTAGAAATAATCTGTAAAAGGCAAAAAAGAGCCTAAGGTGCACTCAAGCCATAAAATAAATGACTTTTCATATCTTCATTTCCTTTCAATATTAAAGGTCAATGATCTTATGCCTCTAACAACATCCTTTCCCTCTGGCACTGCAAAAGGAGGAAGAGGAAGAATATACATGTTTACTCTATGTATGCCACTAAATTCAACCATTTATATTTTGGTCAGTTGAATTCTGAAAGTTCTGAAAATGGCATCAAACTTTATAGAACAAGTAAAATGAGTTGTTTCCCTAATTACACATAGTAAGTTAGGGCACTGTGTTGTTACTAAATAAAACTTTTAGAGTTGAGAAAATAGAAGGAAAAGCATGATTTTATTAGATATTAACTACTTCTACACCCCAATTTCACCACTCTATTTTATACATAGCCAATTTTATATGAGAAACTATATTGTTTATTTTTGTTGCTGTCGTTTGTTTGTTGTCCCCCAACAAGAATATAAGCTCTTTGGAGCAGCATCTTGTCTGTCTTTCTTACATGTGTTTCTACTTTACCTACCCCATAATAAACATTTAAGAAATATTTCTGAATAACTAATTAATGATCAAGAACCCCATTGTTTCCTTCCCCAAACAATGATATTATTATTTGGGGAGATTTTTATTGTTATAGGGAATTATAACAATTCAACTGTTGCTATGAAATTTCCTAATTTCTTGGAAACAAATACCTAAAAGGAAAATAGGAAGGCATAGAACTTGCTTCCTGGGAGTCAGTGCTGTACAGGAGCTGACTTGTGTTGGCTCACAAAAGCTGCTTGTCTTCATTTCCAAGTCTGTGGTTAGTGATGTTACATTGTTTGCTTTCAATAGGCTTTGGAGGGGTATGTAGACCACAGAAATAGGAATATTCCACAAGTCAGGGCCTCCTGCCTCACCCTATCCATGGAGAGCTTGTTAAATATCTAACAGCATACCATGGTGGAGGTAGGGGGAAAATAAAGGTAAACTTGATAATGGATAAGTCATGGAAAATCATGATATAGAATAATATATATATAATAGCTATTTTTTTCTTCTATGCTGATGTCAGAATAGAAAGAGGAAGTGTCTTCAAACTTGGCAAATTTACAAACATAAATTAAAAATAATGAAGTATCCTTATGGTCTTTAAAGCATTCTCATTTAGATAACGCACTTTTACTTCAGGTCTAGGCAAAATGTTTCTCAATTTCAGTACACTAACAGAGTAGAAGAAAGCCGGACAAGTGAGAATGAAGGTTGTTGGAAAAAGCCTAGATTCTACTCCCACTTCTTAATCACAGTTTGTAGACTGAAGTGATTTATATTGAGGTTGGAGACACATACAACTGAGAAATTCTCTAAGAAGTTCAAATGTGCCTAGATTTGGGTAGAACTGTAGGCCCAAAGGTAAGGTTTTAGAAACATCTACATAATTTATGGTCAAGGTTTATAAGTGGATATGACCACAAATTCAGAGAGAAAAAATGCTCAGTTCAGAGAGATGGGAGAAGTTAGAGTACGGGGAACTGTTAGATTTTTAAAAGTAATCATTGATAAATAATTGACATAGGTGGAGATCTTGGATTCTTCAGGGCCACAAAAACTAATGGAATGGTCAAGAGCGTTTATTAACTATAAAACCTTGCAGGGGCTGGGCACGGTGTTTCACACCTGTCATCCCAGCACTTTGAGAGACCAAGGCAGGCAGATCACCTGAGGTCAGGAGTGCGAGACCAGCTTGGCCAACATGGTGAAAACCCGTCTCTACTAAAAATACAAAAATTAGCTGGGCGTGGTGGTGGGCGCCTGTAATCCCAGATACTTGGGAGTCTGAGGCAAGAAAATCGCTTGAACCCGGGAGGCGGAGGTTGCAGTGAGCTGAGATCACACTGTTGCACTCCAGCCCGGGTAAGAAGAGTGAAACTCCATCTCAAAAGCAAAAGGAGAACAACAAACCCTTGCAGGAAGGTCAAAGGTAGATGATGGAGCAGCAACAGCTGACTTGGAAATTCAGTCTTAGAGAGCAGTTTCCATTCAATAGCAGTAATGGAGGCTAAATCAAAAAGGAGTTACTAGTGGATAGGTGCTTTGGGGCAATGAATAATATTAAATTTTTCAAAGGCTGGATATGAAAGGGAGAGAACAGGAGAGCTTCGTAAAGAAATGAGAGTTTATGTATATTTTATTGTTTTGGAATGAAGAAGACAAATATTTTTATGGGTAAGAAGAATCCAATGGAGGCCCGGGTGTGGTGGCTTACTCCTGTAATCCTAGCACTTTGGGAGGCAGAGGCAGGCGGATCACTTGAGGTCGGGAGTTCAAGACCAGCCTTCCCAACGTGGAAAAACCCCGTCTCTACTAAAAATACAAAATTAGCTGGGTGTGGTGGCGCATGCCGGTAATCGCAGCTACTCGGGAGGCTGACGTGGGGAATTGCTTGAACCTGGGAGGCAGAGATTGCAGTGAGCTGAGATCACACCATTGCACTCCAGCCTGGGCAATAAAAGCGAAACTCCATCTCAAAAACATAAGAATCCAATGGAGAAGAAAAGTAAAAAATAAGACACATGATTTAGTCAACAAAATAAAGAGACAAGGGAAAGGATAAAATTATATAGAGATTTGGGTGTTGAGGGAAGGAATTTGGTATATTCAATGGTACTTACGGTCTTTCTCTCAGTCAAATAAAAAAACCAGGCCATATGGTGAGATAGAAACAGGATTATTGTAAAGAAGTAAATATACTACATTTGTCAGAACCTGACAAACGCAGGCTTATTTCTAGGTTTTGCTGCTTATTTTGTAACTTTGGACAAGTCACTTATCATCCTTCAGTCTATTTCCTTAAAAATGAAAATAATAATATCAATCTAGAAGATTTATTTTAGTTTTAGAGCTAACAATAGCTGACATTTATTGAATAATTTATAACTACGAGTTGTTAAATCAATGTTTTGAAGTAAGTGTTATTATTATTCCAATTTTACAAGTAAGGAAACTGAGCTATCCAGAGATTAAGTAACTTTAATAGGGTCACAAAAGTTGTAAGAGGCAGAGCTAGGATTTGAACCTACGCAACCTAGGTTTGAAACTAAAACATCTTAGTACAGTCCTTAACATGTAGAACATTCAATAACTAGAGCTTGTAATTATTGCAAACTTTATTATGTTAAGGACTTGTAATACATTTTCTACCTTTATACAGAGTTAAGCTTGTTAGAATATCATCGGGAAAGAAATTAAACATTTTATGAACATCATGGTCAATTCTGGGTAACAACAGAGGTCGTACCTAATGTTTGATAGAGATGGCTATATTATAGGCATAGATTAGGGCCCAGATATGTTTGCTAGTGCCCTAAATGACTAATTTTATTTTCTTTTTAAATGATATCCTGCAATAGTAGTCCCATCCCAATAATATTAATCACTTCATATAAACTTAGATAATAGAGATTTATATCACTTGAAAGATATCTCTCCCTCATTTCTTTTCCCTTGAGGATTTATAGTGTATCAAGATATTGTTCAGGGAATATTGAGGAACTAGTTTTTACTGCTTATCAGATGAACTTGAACTTGGTATCAACTGACATGTACATTAATTGGGATCCTTAGTCACATCTCACTAATCTGGATCTCTGACATCTGCTTCTATGTTTGTCTCATTTAAAACTAGCACCTTTTATTTTTAGTAATGGAAAACTGGGTAATTTTGAATATGTAGTACAAATAGGTAAGCTAGACAAGTATACTAACAAACAAATTGTTAGCTTGAAGTATTAGAAAGTTGGTAGTAGAGAAGTCCTTGACCAAAACCAGAGAGAATAGCAAAACAGATGGTGGTGAGCCTGGACTCTAGAGATACATTTCCTCTAGGGACATTTTTCAGTTTCCAAATGAGTGATCAATAAGCCAAACAAATATGTGACAGTTTCGTAGGGGTAACTGAACAAAAGCTGAAGTCTTGAGCTTCTCAATGATAGGAAGGGTCTGATAAACTCTCCACTATTTCATTTGAAACACTAAAGTTCTGCTTCCTAGGGATTAGGATGATAGAGAAATAGAATAGCCATCACAGGGAATGAATCATCTAACCTTGACATTGAATTACAGTGACCTCAGATTTCTGGTATTCCCAGGAACCTGGCAAAAACAAATAAATATTCTGTCTGGAAAGATATACCACCTTTCTAAACCTGAAATTATTTATAAAAGCAATTTTTCATATACAATGTCTGGCATGCAATAAAGAATAACTAAACACACAACGCTGTGACACAATATGAATAAAAATCACGAGAAACAATAGAAAATAGAAAAAGACTTTAGAGGATTAAGAAATTTTTTATGAGAAGGATTCTAATATAAATATATTTACATGTTCAAGGAGAGAAAAGAAAAGAGGGAATTTCAGTGGAAACCATTTTTAAAAAGAAGGCAGAATTGAAAAAGTGCAAAAGATATTTAGCACAATACAGTAAGATATGTAAGATACTAAAAAATTTATCAGTAACTAGGTTTCGGTGGGTATGTTTTAAAATGGGTTGAGGACAAATGAACATAGAATTAGTGAAATGATACATCTGTAAGAAAAACACATCCAGAATGAAAAACAGAGACAAAAAATGAAAAATACAAAAACAGAGAGGAGATGACAAAAGATGCAGTGATAAATTTTAATTTGGTGTAAATAAGTTTCAGAAGAAAAGAAATGAGAATGGAACAGAAGGGATATTTTAATAATGACTATGTTTTCAAAAAGAATGCATTAAGCCAGAGATTCAAGGAGCTTTATGAACCCAAATAAGAAAAGTACAAAGAAATCTACTTTTGAACCCTTTAGAACTAAACTGCAGAAAATTCAAGGAAAGATAAAATATGTTAAATTTAGTGAGAGAATTGAGAGATTACACTAAAGTGAAGCAAAATTAGACTGATTTTTGACTTCTTGATAGAAACATGTAAAAAAGCCAAAAACCAAGCAAACACACACACATTCTCTCTCTCTCTCTCTCTCACACACACACACACACACACACACACGCACACACACACATACACACACACACACTGGGGTGTTACCTTTGAATTTCTTAAAGAAAATTCAACCTAGATGTTATACTTAGACAAAAAGATGCATCAATAATGATGATGTAATCAAGACATTTTCAGATCAAAACAAAACATAACACAAGAATTTATCATCACTAAGTTCACACTAAATAAGATGTCCTTATCACAAAAGGAAAGTCAAAGGTTTGGCAGGTTATAAAGCTTCATGAGACTGGTTACTATGTGATTAAATTAGACTGAATATTAATTGTATTATAGACTAGTAATAGCATATGATAGCATGTAAAATATACATATAGATTTAAGACACGTAGCTACAAATCTCTAAGACAAATAAGGTAAACGTAGTTAAAATATTGTAAGCTTTTTGCTATATAACATTAGAATTGATCATTTAAAGAAGCATTTTGTAAACTCAGAGTAACCACTAAAAGAACAGTATGTATATGCATAAATATATATACGTACGCATGTGCATAAGATATGTGTGCATGTACACACACATATTTATATGTATATATATCTTCTGAACTAACAAAGGTGATAAAGGGAATAATAAAATTTCTCAGCCAATCAAATATAATCTAAGGGAGAGGGGAAAGGGAAACTTAGATCAAATAGTACAAATAGAAAACCTATGGTAGGAGGTAGCTATAAAACCATAGCTTTGGAAGTAAGTATAAAAAATTTCTATATCCAACTGGTACAAACAATAAAGACTTATCCTCAGGGCCAAAACAAAAATCTGTTCCTAAATTCCATGCAGTGGTTCTCCTTCAAAATTCTCATGGCTGAAATAAGGTAATCAATAACAGATCAGATTTGGTCGAAGTGCTGAAATTCAGCCAGTCACTTACCTCTATACTTACTCAAAGTCTTATATAAGATTAAGTCCTTGCTTTGTTCAGAGCTCTGGTTCCTGCAAGCAGACTTCTTTAAATAGTGGATAATGCATTATATTCACTCTTGTTTCATATATATTTCAAGGGTAGTCTCTTCCCTTGACAAAATACTGAATATTTTAAGCATTTCAGTTCTCTTAAATTAATATAATAAATGATACTGGAACAGTTAGAAACCTATGTGAAAAAGATTAAATTAGACTACTATCTTGTACCATTCAAAAAAGTAAATTTCAGTTACATTGTAGATCTTAATATGCAAAGGAAAACAACAGTACTTCCAGAAAAATAATACAGAAAATGCCCTAGGGCCTTGGATTAGAAAATGATTTTTTAAATAAAGTTCAAAAAGAACTAACCGTAACAGAAAATATCAATAAATTTGACTATTAAAACTAATATCTACTATTCACCAAAATGAAAACAGATCACTTCTCAAAGTCCATATGGCATATTTTGTACCGCTCAGTCATATAAACAAACCTGTGTTTGTTTCCTGCCTTCTGTACCACACTACATCATGTGGGACCTCTGTGAGCCTACTTTATTCTTTGGGGTGGGATTTTTCAAAAATATATGCCACCCACCAGGACTTCCTCTGGAAAATTAAAGTCATAAGCATCTTACATTTCAGGATACATAACCTTATTTCTAGGGTATATAGTTTTCCTTTCCATCCTCACCCTAATGCTCGCCCATGGTTGGGACAGGGAGAAAGCTCCCTTTTTGTTCCAATCATCGGAGTTTATGTTGGATTCACTCTAAACCTCTTCCTTTCTCTCTCTCCTCCCTTCTCCCTTATCTCACCAGAGGCTCTAATTCCTATGGGGTTGGAGATATTTGCTCTTATATCATCCTGCATACACCCAGATGATTTGAAAAGATATCATTATTATGACATGTCTCAGTTCTTCAGGGCCACAGAGTTCTGGCACATGAGAACCAGGATCCCAAGACTAAAATAGTCTTTTCTCTAATTGATTTCTGCTACGATGAGTTTCAACTGTTACATATTAAACATAAACATTAAAATGAACTTCTAATATCTTACTACATTTTTCTTTCCATGGGATATAACCCTTGGACATACTGCTGCTTCCTATATAGATAAAATGTTTATGGGTTAATGAGAATTACATGAAAAGGAAAATTTATCAGATAATCTATCAAATATTATCCCATTAAACATATTTAAACTTACATATGCTACTACTCATAACCTTCCAATGGCTAGCATTGAGCTTCATTATTTAAGAATATGGAAGAGTTAAAAAAATGGATTGATCACATTGGATGAAAGGGCTTGAAAAGATGTTAAAGATATAAGATCACACACTCTGGAAAATAACATTGAGGTTTTTTTTTTCAAATCTTTATTAATTTATTCAACAGCTATTTATCAGGCACCTAGTATGTGTCTGGTGTTGTAAACAGTCAAAAGTGACACTTTACAGAGCTTATATCCTTATAGTGAGAGACAAAAATAGCAAAAAAAAAAAAAAACAACCTCTAAAGCAATTATATAATAAACAATCAGACATAACACCAAGATAAGAATGATAGTGGGCCTCATTTTTACAGAGTAGTCTGAAGAGGCCTCTTTCTTGTGATGACATTTGAGCAAATAACTAAATGAAGAGGAGAGTAAGCACTAGAGATACCTATGGGTTGACTTTTCCATGTATAAAAGAGTATCGTGGTGTGTTTGAGTTCCATGATGCACAGCAGTGCCTCCAAAGATTTGCAAAGGAAGAAGAGAGTGCTAGACAGGCCAGATTATACAGGCCATCTGTGGTCTTTGGATTTATTCTAAGTGTGATTGAGAAGGAGGAGTCATTGTGAGATTTTGTGCAGGAGAGTATCACGATGTGATTTACATTTTAAAGGATTCATTTTGAGAATAAACCATGGGAAGTAAGTATTGAAGAAGACATTGCAGAAGTCCAAATGTGAGTTCGTGGTGGTTAGGATCGGAGAGATACTGACACACACTCGAGAAGATTCTGTATACATTTCAACTCTCTGCAAGGGGCTAATATATATAGTATTTTGATCAAGTGTTTGCATCATATTTAGAATATAGAGAATAAATTAAAGGAAGTTTAGTAAATTCTTATTAAATCCTGTAGTTACGGGAGTTCTAAAAAACATTAGTTTAGTGGCTTCAGATTATTTATTTTGTTTAGTAGTGTACAATAGGCCATTTCCTCAGATATGAAATAGCAATTTTTTATTCAAAAATATTTCAAGGGTATATTTCCAGTATAGTGTTTGCTTTGAATCATGCTCTATTCCAAATACATCCATATAAGAGGTTTCACTGCATTAAAACTTTTTTTGTTAAAAAAAATTTGTGAAAATACCAGGTTTCTGACTTCCTGAACTCCAGAAATGGTCTAGCTCCAGAATAAATTAATGTTCCTCTTTCTTTTCAGCTAGAAAATTCTCCCCACAAGATGTTTTCCTAGAGCTACTCTTTTTGGTGTAACAAAATGACCAGGTGTCTTTCTTCATGCAATCTGGCGTCTTTCCCCACCCTCATCATTGGTGCAGACACTCTTGGAGTTACACACTAGTTTAAAATGAACATTGGATGAGTCTATACTAGTTTTCAAAGCCTGGCAGGAGAATCACCATCTAGGTTGTAATTAAATTTCAATGAATTGTTGCAGTGAGAAATTATTTAAACAAACCTGGAAACAGTATTTAAATCTTCCCTTTCAAATGGTGAAATTATATACAAAACTATTAAAATGCAAAATCCTAGGATTAACCTCTAACTTTGAGATTAGCTTGGTTTTTGTGTCTCAAATCAGCATTTCATTTCCAAATCCAGAAGAGTTTTTAAAAAATGATTTTTAAATGGCATCCTCTGAGTTCATTATGAAATCTTATTCTAATCCTGTAATAGTATTAATTAAGTCATGGGGAATTTGGCTCTCAGGATTGAAAAATAAATTACTGACAATTTTCTTTTAAAAAAAGATTGATAGGTGGGGATCTATGAAACCCAGGCATACCTAACTTCGAGTACAGGGGTAAACACTGTAAAACATTTTTTTTTTTTAAATCTGAAATGTAGAAGTTGAACAACATCAATAACGTGTCCTGCCTGAATTCACAGGGGAAGCTTCACAGTGATATGAAAATACATCAAATAGCCTTCTTTGGCTTTAATCATTTTTTACAATAGGGATTTTTGTTGTAGCTATTTTATAAAAGCAATACACATTTGTTGCAAAATATTTAAACGTTATAAAATGTATAAAGTAGAAAAGGAAATTCTCCTCTTTTTTTCTATTCCTTTTCCTTGACATACTACCTCCCTGCTTACCCTGAAATAATCGTTGCCAATAGTTTGATAAGTATTTTTTATGATATAGTATATAATATATAGCTGGGCATATGATATAAATATGAAATGTAATATAGTATGTAGTGGACCTCATTGATTTTTACTTATCAATACATCATGAACATTTTACATGTCAAAGCATGATTTGTGTCATTTGTTTAAAGAGCTACATAATATTCCATTGAATCGGTATATCGTGTGTGTACGCACACAACTATTTGTGCATCTGTTATGTTACAGCAATGGAAAAAGCATTTTACATACATTAAGTAGTTTAACTCTTGGGGAGCCTTATGTGATGTCTACTATTAGGATCTTTTTTATGTCACAGGAGATACTAAGACATAAGGAAGTTGAGACACTGTCCAATATCTCAGTATTCAGTATGGCTGGGTCCTGATTCCAAAGCTCATATTCTTTTAACTATGCTACAAATCCTCTCACATTTTAACTGTTAATAGTTATTTTTTCAATTTGAACGAAAGGCTCCATTGAATAAGGAAATGTCATTTTGTATATTTCTAGCCCTTTCTTTTGGATAAATTTCTCAGAGTGCAATAGTTTCAACTCCGATCCTTACTGAGAGAGAAAGACACTCCTAACAATATTTTATGTGGGAGTGCCTATTTCCCCAAACACTTGCTGAATCTAAGATTGATTGAACTTGTTAATTTTGAAAAATTGATGGATGCCGATTAAAAGAATTTAAGTCTCTTTTTTTTTTCTTTTTTTGAAATGGAGTGTCGCTCTGTCACCCAGGCTGGAGTGCAGTGGCACGATCTCGGCTTACTGCAAGATCTACCTCCCGGGTTCACGCCATTCTCCTGCCTCAGCCTCCCGAGTAGCTGGGACTACAGGCGTCCGCCACCACGCCCGGCTAATTTTTTGTTTTTTTTAGTATAGACGGGGTTTCACCGTGTTAGCCAGGATGGTCTCAATCTCCTGACCTCGTGACCCGCCCGCCTTGGCCTCCCAAAGTGAAGTCTCTTTTCAAAATCTTAATGCTTACCTGTGTTTCTTTTATGAGGAACGTCACGGAATCAAGAGTTTTTGTCTTCATTCTTATTAACTTGTAAAAATTCTAAGTTAAAGACATAACCCTTTGTTGTATTTGTTGTAAATATTTTGAAAATTTGATGTTTCTCTTTACATTTTGTTTTCGTGACTTTTTCAAGTCTAATATTTAGGTATAATGGACGTATGCCCATTAAACCTGTGACTTCCTTTTATTAGTCTTCTAGCCATAGTATTCTGCTTAGAAAGATTTAGCCCAAATTTTTAAAAATATTCTCCTTCTTATTCATCTTGTTATTTTTTATTGTTATGTTCTAATTCATATTTAATAATTTTGGTATGCATGATATGCATCTCTGTCATACCAAATGGAGGATTAATTGTCCCTGAATTTACGTGGACTTAGCCCTCAGTCTATATAATTTCCTTCCTAATCTTCAGCATAAATCCATACCTCATACTGTTTCTGTAAAATACTTGTCTTCTCTGTTTCATCCATTATTATGATTCACATCTTATTTGGCCAAATTTAATTCTTAAGCAACTCTTTTCAGAATAACATGATTGGTATTATACCTTCTGAGCCTTTAATGACCAATATAGGTTTTTTTTTCCCTCAGAGATGAAGAATAGGTTAAATATGCCAGAATTTCCTAAATACTCCACTGACTCTCCAATGAGATTTTAACATATTTTAAAGTAGAAGGGGCACTGTTGTCCAATAAATTTGGGAAAGTGTGTTAACAGAATTAAAACTCTTTTTGATGTGTGCGTTTACGTTTGAATTTATTGCAGGGTTTCTCAGAGCTCTTAATAAAACGTGGTGTTTTATGTTTTTCTAGGAAATAAATGTAATATATATTACATTTATAAGTACGCATAAAGTAGGCATAAGATAGGGACTCCCCTCCACTTCAGACTGGGCAAATAGGAAGACCCCAAGTGTATATACGGAAGTATATATACATATATATATATGTACATATATTATATGTATATTATAGATTCTATTATATATGTAATGTACTTGTCCATAGATTTGTTTTTAATAAGTAACACATGTCAATATCTCATACAACAATAACTGGAATGGTTTGGAAAATTATCGTTGCAATTATTGGGGTGTAAAATTTGAGATGCTCTGTTCATTGAGTCTCACGGAGAATCAAATCCTATCAAAATGTAAGGAAAATTTTCCCTGCTTACTTTTACCAGTCTGTTAAAGAATTGAGCTCTAGTCTATGTATTGGAGACTTATCCTGTTTCTTTCTGTATAATAGTCATTCATTTATTCATTAATATTGAATTAATGCCTACTGTATATCAGGAACTCTTCCAAGCCTTAGGAATACAGAATAAAAGAAGTGAGAAAATAATCTTGTGGAAGTTGGTGGAAGGAAGGGGGAAGATAGAAAATAAATAAATGAGTAAAATACAAAGTTTTTCATATGGTCAACAAAATATAAAATAAGGGGCATAGGGAATATGGTGTATATGTGTGCGTGTGCGTGTTTGTGCACATGTGTGTGGTAGGGGTGTAGATTTTGGTATGATTCAGTGTTAAAAATGAGGTGAGAAATGTTTTGCTGAGAAGGTCATATTTTAACAAGAACCTAAAGGAGATGAAAGAGCAAGTCGTGTGTTTGGGATGAACACTGGCATTCAGGACAGGCAAAAAGAACACTGAGTTAATTTTTCTCTTCATGGGTTTGTAAAAGCAGGCCAGCAATTCAAACAACACATATCTCAATGAGAAGATCTTCTATTATTTTAACCTAGGGGACATTTAGGAGATTTGTTACATCTGTATATATCAGCTGTAGGAAGGTTCTAGCTGCACAGTAAGTGACTTTACCCTCTCTTAAACATTCCCTTTTCTACGAGAGCTCCACAAATTTTCCAGGTGCAGCATTTATCCTTAGAGAATTGCCCAGGAGATGATTTGAATTTGTTCTGGAGCTCTGCTGGAAAAGTAATCCACACTCAGCTCTAGGCTCTGACAGGAACCTCTAATTTCTTCATGTGACTAACTTTTGTATTTTCGAAAAAGCTGCCACTCAGCCTACAGAATGGGAGAAAAATTTTGCAATCTACCCATCTGACAAAGGGCTAATATCCAGAATCTACAAAGAACTTAAACAAATTTACAAGAAAAAATCAACCCCATGAAACAGTGGGCAAAGGATATGAATAGACACTTCTCAAAAGAAGACATTTATGCAGCCAACAGACACATGAAAAAATGCTCATCATCACTGGTCATCAGAGAAATGCAAATCCGAACCACAGTGAGATACCATCTCACACCAGTTAGAAGGGAGATCAATAAAAAGTCAGGAAACAACAGATGCTGGAGAGGATGTGGAGAAATAGGAACACTTTTACACTGTTGGTGGGACTGTAAACTAGTTCAACCATTGTGGAAGACAGTGTGGTGATTCCTCAGGGATCTAGAACTAGAAATGCCATTTGACCCAGCCATCCCATTACAGGGTATATACCCAAAGGATTATAAATCATGCTGCTATAAAGACACATGCACATGTATGTTTATTGTGGCACTATTCACAATAGCAAAGACTTGGAACCAACCCAAATGTCCATCAATGATAGACTGGATTAAGAAAATGTGGCACATATACACCACGGAATACTATGCAGCCATAAAAAAGATGAGTACATGTCCTTTGCAGGGACATGTGTGAAACTGGAAACCATCATTCTCAGCAAAGCAACACAAGAAGAGAAAACCAAACACCGCATATTGTCGCTCATAAGCGGGAGTTGAACGATGAGAACACATGGATACAGGGAGGGGAACATCACACACTGGGACCTGTCAGGGGGTGGGGGGCTGGGAGAGGGATAGCGTTAGGAGAAATACCTAATGCAAATGACGAGTTGATGGGTGCAGCAAACCCTGTGTAACTAACCTGCACGTTGTGCACATGTACCCTAGAACTTAAAGTATAATTAAAAAAAAAGTTATCACTCAAAAAGTTAACTTTACTGGCACTGTTTAATATGTTAGTGGGGCAAATGCTCCAATGATTGTTTCAAACTGTGGCTAGTGGGAAGGGGTTGCGGTTGGCTGTCACTGGCACACTAGGCTGTGGGGAAATCTAGCACTGTTTGCTCTCTCCTCTTGGAAAGCATGGTTAACATCATGAGCACTGTAAAAGCCAGGGATGGGATGGCACGTGTCACTCAAGAATTGGAAATTTAAGGCTGGGCACAGTGGCTCACACCTGTAATCCCAGCACTTGGGAGGCCGAGGTGGGTGGATCACTTGAGGTCAGGAGTTTAAGACCAGCCTGGCCAACATGGTTAAATCCCATCTCTACTAAAAATACAAAAAATTAGCCGGGCATGGGGGCATGTACCTGTAATCTCAGTTACTCAGGAGGCTGAGGCAGAAGAATAGCTTGAACCCAGGAGATGGAGGTTGCAGTGAGCTGAGATAGTGCCCTGCACTCCAGCATGGGTGACAGAGTGAGACGCTGTCTCAAGAAAAAAAAAAAAAGAATTGGAAATTTAGGAAAATAGAAATTTTATTCTTTATCACCTTCCCATATTTTCATTTGTCATTCATCTCCACATGTTGTCCCACTGGAAGGTGTTCAGGGGCAGTGGCATGCATGGAGTCATCATCTCCTTTGATAAAAATGCCTTCTTCTGTAATACCTTCTAAAGGACCTGCCTGAGGCTGTTTTACAGTTAACTCCATTTTTTTATAGCAGAAGAGGTATCTCATAACAATACAAATTACAATATAGTACAGCAGCTATGATTTGTCTGTCCCTACCAAATCTCATGTAGGGGGTGGAGTCTAATGAGAAGTGTTTGAGTCATGGGGGCAGATATCTCGTTAGTAGATTAATGCCCTCCCTCAGGGCTGAGTGAGTTCTTACTCTATTAGCTCCCAGGTAGCTTGTTGTTAAAAGGAGCCTGGCAAATCCCTCTTCTCTCTCTTGCTTCCTCTCTTGCCATGTGATCTCTGCACATCTGGGTCCCCTTCACCTCCTCTTATGAGTAGAAGCAGCCTGAGGCCCTCGCCAGAAGTCAGACAGATGCCAGTGCCATGCTTCTTGTACAGCCTGCAGAAAGGTTAGCCAAATAAGCCTCTCTTCTTCATAAATTACCCAGCCTCAGTCATTCCTTTATATCAACACAAAATGGACTAAGACAAAAGTAAATCTATAAATCAGTAACATAGTAGTTTATTATCATTATCAAGTACTATGAACTGTACTACATAATTGTATTAGTATACTTTTATATGATTGACAGCACAGTAGGTTTGTTTACACCAGCATCACCACAAACAGGTGAGTAACGCATTAACCTACAGTGTTACAACAGCTAAGAAATCACTAGGCGATAGGAATTTTTTAGCTTTATTATAGTAGGAGGTCACTGTTAGATACATAGTTGGTTTATCATTGAGTGAAACATTATGAGGCACATGACTGTACTCTGTTTTTCTCTTTCTTCTTTGACTCAGCATAATGTTTGTGCGATTTGTCCAGGGTGTTGTTTACATCACTATTTCTTTCCTGTAGTGTTTCATTGTCTGCAAATACAGCATTTCGTTTATCTATTCACTTGTTGATGAACATTTCTCTTATATCCAGTTTTTGGAGATTTCAAGTAATGCTGCTATGAACATTCACGAACTGTTTCTCCTGGGACCAAATCAATTTGATTCACTGATAGGATCTAACTTCACAAATGAAACTACCTGCCTAGATTGCAGAGCTATAATACTGCTGTTAACACTGCTAGCTGGGAAAATTTTCAACTCTGATGTGGCAGGAAAAATCTTGCTTGTGGGGTTCGTGATAAAGCTTTGCAACAAAGCTTTTTCACTGATGAAAATTTGAAATTGAAAATCATCTAAGAAAAGGCGATGGACAATGGGATGAATCACTATAAATAATAGAGAGTAAAAAGGAAAATATGATACACATGACATCCATAATGTACAGACTGTGTGAATTCTCCAGGAAAACACAGGCAGGCAAACTCTATGGATCAGCCACACAAGTCTGCCATCATGCTGGTAAGAACTATAACAACACTCTACTTGTCAACAAAATTGAGTAAAGATTACATGAGAAAGGCTTGCTGCTAGGCAAGACTATGACACTTAATCCATTGGAATAAACCTCAAGAAATATTAAATAATTAAATACATCACACTTCAGTCACCTTTCATCAGATGACTTTAATCATTCAAATAAAAGTCTTTAGGGAAACTATGTAAAATTCAAACAGATCAGTTCAAGATGCCTCAGAATGCAGCAGATTTTGACATAGACCTTTGTTGTAAGGTGCAATTCAATATAGATTGTAGTGTAGTAACAATTTATGTTATATAGCTTAATTATTTTTGCCTCATATTAGATACTGCTCTGTGAGTGTTATAATGGAATAATGAAAAGGTGCCCAATGAAACTCTCATAAATTTTCTTCAGAGGAAAATATATAGAAATTAATTGGGATTTTTAAAGTAAAATAAAGCTAAGAAACAACACAGAATTCTCCTAGATGGTCCAGAGTCACCATAGAAACACATGGTCTACTGTTGATTTCCTCTCACGGAGAGGGGATTATGCCAAGCGTGAGAAAATTCCTTTTCACTTTTGGCAGATTTTTTTTTTTTAATTCTCCTGGCTCCCACTTCTGTTCTGGTAATTCGGAGACTGTAGACATCAGAGTATAAATTTATGACAGCAGAAATTTGTTCTGCCTGTTTTGTTCACTTTTTTTGGGGTATAAATGTAGGGGGTACAAGTACAGTTTTGTTAATGGATATGTTGCATAGTGGTGAAGTCTGTGCTTTTAGTGTAAGCATCACCTGAATAATATGCATTGTACCTGCTAAGCAATTCCTCATTCCTCACCCCTCTTCCACCCTGCCACCCTTTCAAGTCTCCAGTGTCTATTATTCCACACTCTGTATCCATATTTACACATTATTTAGCTTCCACTTAGAGAACATGTTGAGATTTGACTTTCTGTTTCTGACTTATTTCATTTAAGATAATGGCCATCCAAGTTGCTGCCCAAAATAATTTTATTCCTTTTTATGGTGGAGTCATATTCCATTGTAGATACATATCACATTTTCTTTATCCAAAGAAAACAAAAGTGTTTCGTTCCACTTTAGTATTCTCAGCATCCAGAACGGTGCTGAGTTATGGTCGAATAGTGGATATTCAGTGGAAATTTTTTAATGAACACTGCTTTTGTTTCAGGCCGTATCTGAATTCCATGATGCTCTAGGCTCTGCTATCATTTTAAAAAACGCTGAGATTGAATCTGCAATGTTTTATACTCACCTCAATCACCAAGCAAGCAACAAACAACCTCAATATATTCCTGAGTGTTCACGAAATGATGAGGTGATCCTCATACCCATTTTCCAGAAATATACCTCCATAACACAGTTCAGTCCTAACTGTGGTGCTCTAGTGTACCTACACTGCCATTTATTCAAAGTTGACTGTATCCTCAGCCTTGTGCAAAAAAAGTGTTATATTCATCATTATTCTCATTGTGGAGATGAAATAAGGAGGGCTGCTTCTTCTCTGACATGTTTCGCTTCAACATGAGGCAATAAATTCTCAATTACTTAATTTCCTCCACAGAAAAGGCATTTCACGGCAGTGAGGACATTGGTAAATGTTCAGGGGATGAATGGATGGATGGATGGTTGGAAAAATTTGTAGGAACAAGATCTTCAGAAAATCAAGAACTGATTCTTAGTGTGAAATAGTACATTATAACTTTTATTTGTCTGTAAAGGAACTTTGTAAATTGTGTCCACAGTCAGATAAAACTGTGAAATATCCAAAATTTACTGGGAATTATTTCAAATGTACAAAAGATTTGTATAGTCTTAAGCACACAGGAATGCAGGCTTCTAAGACTCAATCATGGTGTTTAACTTAAAGAAAAAAAAAATAACCAAACTACACATAACCTAGGATTTCATCAAATTATAAGGCTATTAGAATCAGGTAGGAAAACATTTAGATCTGTTTAAACTCCTCAGAAATGCAAAGTTTAATAAAGTATTCAACCTAGGTGAGAGTTGAGAATAAGTAGGCTCTGTAACCTACATGACTAAACAGTTTTGAAATGTCGAAGCCAATGGTACGGTGACTACTACTGATTGTCCAGGCTTTGAGACAAATCTCCCTGGAAGTTTACAGTTCTGTCTTGTCTTCAAGATGTTACCTAACCCCAGTTAAGTGAGATGATAATTTTCTTTCTTACTGGGTATATGTAGTTTACTCCAAGATATTTAGAATTAAATACAAAACAATTAAGAAAATAAAAACATTAGCATTACTATGTTAATTTTAAAAAGATGTCTAATAGATATTTGCCACTTCATGTGCTTCTACATTTTAATAGAACTTGATGTATTAATGTGATAACCTTATAAGTCCAATTTAATACGTAAAATTGAGTAATTGATGTAAGTTTATAATAAGTTAATATCTTACTAGGTTTTTGCACAGTTTTGGAATATCTAAGATAACTATATTCACAGTACTTACAAAGTTTATTTATTTTATGAGAATCATTTAGTACTATAATCTGAAAAGTTTTGTTTTCTAGGTCAATTACAGTCATTCAAAATGGGAATTTCCATGATTAAGTTTATAAATATGGTTAAAATATTTGAGAGTATTTAATAAAATGTATAAAATGAGCCAAACATTATTCAAAGTTCCCTTAAAAGCAATTATTTAAATTTGCTAAGTTGTAAATAGAAAAATAAGACTTGTATGCTAAAGTTAAAAGATTTAAAAATAGGGTTTTGAATTTGTAACCATAAAAAACTGAGATTAATTTTTAATCCAAATGAACTCTGAATAGGCTTTTGAGAACACTCACAAAGAAAACCTCACAGCAACACTGATTTTATCTGCTACGATTTTATAAGCTATTATAGTTACGTTTAGCATAGTCCTCATACCTAAGATCCTTAGTGCTGATTGAGTAAAAATGTAACTTAGTCACCAATAACAATTGCACTTGCAGATGTCACACTTGAGGGTACTGGGTCAAGGAGGCCAAAAATAAAGCTAGTGAGGAAGAGTTTGTCAATATGGGAAAGCTCTTCTGTGTCATAGAACTTAACACCTGAAAAGTTGCCTCGGGGCTAGTTTTAATTTGTTGCAGTGAGACTCAACAGCAGCTTCCAAAAGGGATTTCAGAGCTGTCATGGCATATGGTGGCGGATGAAATCAAAAGGCTCAGAGAAGCATGCATGATATCATCTACATAAGACTGGGAGACCTAGCAGCTCACTGTATACCTGAGAAGGGCCCCAGGGGACGCCCCATTTACTAAAGCAACACATAACACCGGTGAGAGGTGCTGATGTCAATAAAAAGCTGGGTCGTGCCTATCTATGTAGGCCAGGGTTGATGGTACTAGATGCTGGCCATTTAATTTAATAACAGAGGCCATTTAGCAACTCTAAAATACCTAAAACATGGTGGACATACTTACCATTATGGTCAGGAAGGCTGGAGTAGCAGCCACAAGGATATGTAGATATGGATAATAAAGCATAGTGGATCTAGAGAAAAAAAATGGATTGGGTAGTCAATGAGGATATTGCTTAATTCTTATAATCAAAAGTGTTCAAACTTGGGTCAACAGAAGGACAGAAGGCTAGGTCAGCGCCCTGTGAAAGTCACTATGCCTTGACTAGTTTTTGAAAACTGACCTTAGATCCAGAAACTATTAACTGAAGGACTGGCCAAGACCCATGAAGAAGGACCACAGAATAACAAGGCAAGCATATACAGTAAAGATTCACCTTATCCTTCCCTAAAAGACCTACCACTATTTACTTTGAAAACCATACATAGAGAAAAAAGGACTAATTGGCCAGTTCAAGGGTTATTGGATAGAGTCTAAGTTGACTCTGATACTGAGGGACCCAGAGCACCCTCATCGAGGCTCCCCTGATAAAGCAGGCATAGATGAGTCAGCTAGTATACTTATTGCCCATGCTTGTCTTACTGTAAGACCACTGAGGATGTGGATCCATCCAACAATTCCCTGGTTGCCCAATATATAAGAAATATACTTGGCATTGGTAAAACCCACACTCTAGTTTCATGACTTCTAGAGTAAGAACTGTTAGAGTCCAGAGTCCAGAGTCCATGGATCAGGTCAAAACTAGACTACCTGAGATTACATGCTTGCTCTTGTTTGCCTCATTCCTTTGAAAGCTGTTTCAATTGTACTTCCACCTGAAGTCATGGGGACTTTAATCCTTGACTCCACTTCTGCCTCTAGAAAATCCAACCTTCAACCTTATATGTGTTATCATATTGGCCTGTGCCTTAGACTGTTTGTAGTAAATTTGGAGAATTATTTAAGCACTTTGTTGTTTTAAAATGTGAGTGATATATTTATAAATCCTATGTCTTATGAAAAAATTACATTTTTCTTTCAGAAGTTGATACCACGTTTTCTTGGACACACTAAAAATATTCCAAGTAGATATTGTTGAAATAAAATCACTTTCTGGAAGCTATGTTATAGAAGCCTAAAAGTGACTTTGATATTGAAAGTAATCTATATTTCTGTAGTTCCTGCCTGGTTTCTCTGGAAAAATATGTGGAAGATAGCAACTTTCCCAGCAGATACTGCCAACATAAGGACCTTTCACTATCATTTCAAGTACTAAATCAAAGCTTCTTGATTGTGATAGGCTCCTTCTAAAGGCTCAGTATTTGGAGTTCTTCCTCCATACTTTGGTGGGCAAAACTGCAGCTGTGGTTAAGCCTTGATCTGTTTCTCTGGTATGTTATTCCTGACCAATTTTTCTAATTTATAAGTTCATATTTATTTAAGTTTAAGGAATTTATAAATATGGACATCTTTTAAGCTATCACTGTCATACCTTCTCACCTGACAGCAAATGGGCTGAAATAATGTTTAGGGTTGCTAAGAATGTACAAAAGAGAATAGGAATGGAGAAAATTAAATTCTCATTACTCAATATTTCATTTGTGGGCAACTCCAGGACTCATGCCAAGTTTGTTGAATTACAAATGGCTAATGATTCTTTCTGCCGACCCCTCCCCCGGCCATCTAGAGTCATTTAACAATGTAAAAGTGAAAATTGTAACTACCCTCATTAACAACTAGAGGGGTGTGTGTGTGTGTGTGTGTGTGAGCGAGAGAGAGAGAGGGTGTAAGAGTGAAAGATGGGGAAAAGGAGGAGAAGGAAAGAGAAAGAAGATCGGAGGAAAGAAAATATTTAAATGAAAAAAGTCCCGTAAGGAAACAAGCAGACCATGGTAACCACAGTTAATGCCTTTGGAAAAGGAAATAAATACCTCCCTTCTGTGAAAGCTGTAAAGAATTGGAAAATGCTGCTCCCTAAAACAGTGAGCAGGAAAAGTTTAAAAATGACAGCTTTGGTGGAGCAAAATGGTGTTTTTTTGGGGGACACGCAAGGTAAGTGAGGAGCAGATTAATGATTCCTGAGCAGTTGATGATAAGGGCACCCTGTAGGAGTAAATGTCTCAGCAGTGAGTGACTCAGGCTTCATCTTTCAAAGCAGTAGAAAATTTCAAGCCACACTTCTATCTCAGTTTCCTCTATATCACCTTTGGATTTAGTGAAATTAGTCATACGCACAAACAACTTTCTAGTGAGAAGGGGAGATTGACAGAGATAGGCAGTTGTCTCTCAATACCCTTGTAAGAATAAAATCATTTATTTTTAGCTGTCATATGACAAACTAGACCCATTTACTAGTACCCCTGCCCTTGTTAGGAGGTGTGGTTATGATACTAAGTTCTGTACAATAGGTTCTTAGCAGAAGTGAAGTGTAGAACTTCTAACTCATGTTCTAAACAGGAGGGGCCTACCTTTCTCCCACCCTGCCTCCATCATGTTGCTTGGAATGCAAACATGGTGGCAAGACGTTCTGAAACATTGGACAACAATGACATCCCAGGAAAGGCAAAGCAACAGGAGCCTTAATTGACCACATGTATTTTTTCATGTGTTTTTGGCTGCATAAATGTCTTCTTTTGAGAAGTGTCTGTTCATGTCCTTTGCCCACTTTTTGATGTGGTTGTTTGTTTTTTTCTTGTAAATTTGTTTGAGTTCATTGTAGATTCTGGATATTAGCCCTTTGTCAGATGAGTAGGTTGCGAAAATTTTCTCCCATTTTGTAGGTTGCCTGTTCACTCTGATGGTAGTTTCTTTTGCTGTGCAGAAGCTCTTTAGTTTAATTAGATCCCATTTGTCAATTTTGCCTTTTGTTGCCATTGCTTTTGGTGTTTTAGAGAGGAAGTCCTTGCCCATGCCTATGTCCTGAATGGTAATGCCTAGGTTTTCTTCTAGGGTTTTTATGGTTTTAGGTCTAACATTTAAGTCTTTAATCCATCTTGAATTAATTTTTGTATAAGGTGTAAGGAAGGGATCCAGTTTCAGCTTTCTACATATGGCTAGCCAGTTTTCCCAGCACCATTTATTAAATAGGGAATCCTTTCCCCATTGCTTTTTTTTTCTCAGGTTTGTCAAAGATCAGATAGTTGTAGATATGCGGCATTATTTCTGGGGGCTCTGTTCTGTTCCATTGATCTATATCTCTGTTTTGGTACCAGTACTATCACTGGCCATCAGAGAAATGCAAATCAAAACCACAATGAGATACCATCTCACACCAGTTAGAATGGCAATCATTAAAGAGTCAGGAAACAACAGGTGCTGGAGAGGATGTGGAGAAATAGGAACACTTTTACACTGTTGGTGGGACTATAAACTAGTTCAACCATTGTGGAAGTCAGTGTGGCGATTCCTCAGGGATCTAGAACTAGAAATACCATTTGACCCAGCCATCCCATTACTGGGTATATACCCAAAGGACTATAAATCATGCTGCTATAAAGACACATGCACACATATGTTTATTGCGGCACTATTCACAATAGTAAAGACTTGGAACCAATCCAAATGTCCAACAATGATAGACTGGATTAAGAAAATGTGACACATATACACCATGGAATACTATGCAGCCATAAAAAATGATGAGTTCATGTCCTTTGTAGGGACATGGATGAGATTGGAAATCATCATTCTCAGTAAACTGTCATAAGGACAAAAAACCAAACACTGCATGTTCTCACTCATAGGTGGGAATTGAACAATGAGAACACATGGACACAAGAAGGGGAACATCACACTCTGGGGACTGTTGTGGAGTGGGGGGAGGGGAGAGGGATAGCCTAATGCTAAATGACGAGTTAATGGGTGCAGCACACCAGCATGGCACATGTATACATATGTAACTAACCTGCACATTGTGCACATGTACCCTAAAACTTAAAGTATAATAATTAAAAAAAAAATTGACCACATGTAGTACAGCCTTAATAATATACTATTATATGATGGTATAAAATTCTTCTGTCTTATTTAAATCACTGCTGTTTTGAGTTTTTGTTTTATGCAGCTGCAAAAATATCTTTGCTATAATATATAAACTTTGAAGTTTGATACATTTTCTGCAGTTTCCTAAGTTTATGTATTTTCTATCATAATTAAATATTTTCCACCCATGTTCTTAAATTAAAAGTAAAAGCAAGGTAAATGGATAAGACCTATCCCATAGAAAATATTTTTCTGAGGAACGCTCAAAGTGAAATATGAATTACTAATTGAGGACCTTGGTAAAAAGGTAAAGCTGACAACAGTAAAAAAATAATTGAGCTGTAGAATTGGGCCATGTTTGTTTGGCTCCTAACATTAACCATTTTTTTTTTTTTGAGATGGAATTTCTCTCTTGTTGCCCAGGCTGGAGTTCAATGGCGCAATCTCGGCTCACTGCAACCTCCGCCTCCCAGGTTTGGGTGATTCTCCTACGTCAGCCTCCCTAGTAGCTGGGATTACAGGCGTCCGCCACCACACCCAGATAATTTTTTTGTATTTTGTAGTAGAGACAGGGTTTCACTATGTTTGTCAGGCTAGTCTTGAACTCCTGACCCAGGCGATCCACCTGCCTCGGCCTCCCAAAGTGCTGGGATTACAGATATGAGCCACCATGCCCAGCTATATTAACCTTGATATTACAAATCTTGGGTTATAAAAAGGCTCAGAAAATGATAGTATCATGTGGTATTAGTATGTTGATTAGCATTAAGTTGGCCCCAGGCAAATTAACAACTACAGAATATTTAAAAATATATAATTTAGGTCCATTTTTATATTGACCTTTCTGGTATATCTACTGAGGACATACCTGAACAAAAATGTATACAGAATAATAATTATGTATATTTTACAATTGCTGAATTAGAGCCATATGCTTTTTGTATACTCATTAGTACATTCCACAGTCTCCTTCTCACGATGACACTTAATGTTAAATAATTCTCTAAATGAAGGAAGAAAGGGGTTAGACACTGAGGCACCACTTTAGAGTTTTCTTCCCCTAAAGCACTTGTATTTAAATGCCCAAAAAATTTTGGTTGGGATTTTTTTCCCAAGGAACATTTTGACCCCAAAAAGGTGTTTATTGAACATCTCATCCCTGACCTGCCTTACTACTGTTACTATTACCACTAATTACCATAAGACATAGGGGTTGGTAGGTCAAGATAGGAAAGGAGAAGATGGAGGAAAGGAAAGAGGTAATGAAAGGAGAATAGAAAAAGAAAGAGGGAAGAAGCAATAAAAGAGAAAGAACAGTAGGAATCGTACTGTTCGTGGGAAAAAATGAAGTTACAAATTCAGCTTCAACAGAAATAGGTTCACTTATACAAAAGCCTTTGCAGATAACTGAACTACACTGGGACCAGAGTTGTGTACTTCATGTCACTAAGTGACTAAAATGTAAGATATGCTATAAAAATACAAGCTAATAGCAACACAGGATGAGGTCTGACTCTCTGAGCTAAACATTTGTTTTTTTAGCTCATAATCTGTGCTAGAAATGTAGACAAATTTCCTCTGGTCATTTCTGATATATTTTCTTAGAACTCCTTGATAAACATGATTAAAAGAAAAATATGAACAATATCCACAATGTTACTGTATTTGAATTTGCTCATTTTTTTATGAAAGAGGGTTGTCTTTGATAGATTTTACATTAATTTCATGGAGATAGCCTTGATCTCTTTAGTATATAATGAAAGGTCTTGATTCATTGAAGAAAAAAAATACCTGTGGAGTATATTTAGAGATAATGCTAACTGCATTTGGTTGTCATGGAAACTGAAATGTTAAAATAATAATGAAATGATTGGAAAAAAACTTGCATGCAGTTGTTATGGTAACTACCCATTTTGATAAATATTTTTCTTTTTTCTCTAAATTAACCATCTGAGATACTAGCATCTCAAAATTACTGCTATTATACATTTCACGTAAAATGTTTTTCATACTAAGGACATGTTAGCTTAGAAATATCTCACACATATGTGAAGTGACACAACATGAGTGTGTGTGCATTGTGTGTGTGTGTATATATGTGTGTGTATATATGTGTGTGTTTAAGTGTGAGTTTAGTCACAAAACGAGGCATTTCTAGATTGTAAATAGTAACTGAAGTGACTTTTCCAAGTAAGGGGTATTGGAAGCTTCCTCAGTTGGTAGAAGGTAGATAGGTAGTGATTCAGGGAGGTTACTAGCAAAGAAGAATTAGGTTGCTCTGCTGACTGGTGATAAAGAAGAAGGAACGGAAGAGAATTAATTTTTTAAAATGCAGTGTTAGGAACCAGGATTTTACATTTATTTTCTAATTTAGACGAATAATAACCCTTGGAAGTGAGTAGTGTTCTCATTTCACAAGTAAGGAAATGGAATCTTAGAAATGCTAAATAATTTACCCAAGGTCATAGTCAAGTAAGTGTGAAGCCAGGATTTGAATTCACGTATTTCTGTCTTAAAATCCATTCTACTGCTTTGAAAAATGGCTGAATCTATGACTGGCAGAAGAAATATACAAGATGATCCTGGAGCATCTTGCAGTGGCAGAAAGCAGGAGCGATCCCCTAACAAAAAGCCCCACATTGTTAAAGGCCTGTCAAAGGGATACAAGGGACATAGGAAGTAATTGAGCTTCCCAAAGCCTGAACAATTTTAGCACTAAAAGAAATAAAGTAATACTGGCTTATCACTCTAAGCGGGAGATAAATATCTTTGAGACTATATTTGTACAAATAAATGATTGCGTAAATAAATACTTGTGGGAGAATAGACAAATTTCCCCCACAGAAAAATTCCAGGTGAGCTGTACAGACACTCCCCGCTCAAGGAAGTGGAGCATAATTCCCCACTCCTTAAGAGGGGGCTGGGGCCAGGTGTGGTGGCTCACACCTGTAATCCCAGCACTTTGGGAGGCAGAGGCGGGTGGATCACGAGGTCAAAAGATCGAGACCATCCTGGCCAACATGGTGAAACTCCATCTCTACTAAAAGTACAAAAAAATTAGCTGGGCGTGTTGGTGCTTGCCTGTAGTCCCAGGTACTCTGGAGGCTGAGGCAGGAGAGTCGTTTGAACCCAGGAGGTGGAGGTGTGCAGTGAGCCGAAATCGCGCCACTGCACTGCAGCCTGGCGACAGAATGAGACTCCGTCCCAAAAAAAAAAAAAAAAAAAAAAAAAAAAAAAGAGGGGGCTGTACACAATGATGACTTCCTTGCAAAGATTACAGTATGGATTGGGGGAAAAGAGTCATTTGACAGTGGAGAAACTTGATAAATACTGCTACAGCCAAGTAAACAAGGTTAATATCAACAGTGGTAAGTCATGTAGCTGGTATATACCCTTGATATAATGTGATTAGAATTACACTTTACTCCTGTGATCTTCTTCCCCAGAACCTCAAGTCATAGTCTAATTATGAGAAAAACATCAGATTAAGGGTCACTCTACAAAGTATATGACTGAAGAAAGACATTAGATAAAAACTCCTAGGAAAAGAAATCTCCATGAAGCATGGACTTGAGTTAATAATAGTGTGCGGAAATTGGTTCATTAATTGTGACTGATTAGCAACTTCTAACATAAGATATTAATAATAGGAGAAACTGGGATATGTGGAACTCCGTACTATATTTTTAATCTTTTCTGAAAACTTAAAACGATTATAAATGAGAAGTTTATAAAAAAAAGAAACATTCTACATTCATTATATCACAATACAGGCATATCATTTCATTTTATAACTGCTTTTCCTCTTGACATTTGTTTTATTAGGATTTTACCTGGAAAATTATAGTTACATAGTGGAAAATGTGATTTATGGTTGGTCTCCAACCAAACTTTTTATCTCCCAGGGATTTTTGTATCCAGAGCTTTTTTGAAAAATAATTAATAGAGTGAAACGTGTATAAACTGTAAAATGTTTCTTATACCCTTTCTAACTTTTTGACTCCCTTTTCTGTCTGCCAGTGGATGAAATTTCTTTGCCTTTGTATATGTATGTACCAGTGTTGATCTGGATAAATTAGAGACTTATTACTAATCTTTTCTAAAATTAATGCAAATATTATGTATCATGACATCCCTCTATTGCAAAAGTCACTTGTCTCTCCTGAAAAATCTCTCCTGATTTTTCCTTTTTTTTTTTTTTTTTTTTTTTTGAGACAGAGTTTCACTTTTGTTGCCCATACTGGAGTGCAGTGGCATCATCTTGGCTCACTGCAACCTCTGCCTCCTGGGTTCAAGCGATTCTCCTGCTTCAGCCTCCCGAATAGCTGGGATTATAAGCGCCTGCCAACACGCCTGGCTAATTCTTTGTATTTTTAGTAGAAATGGGGTTTCGCCATGTTGAGCAGAGCTGGTCTCAAATTCCTGACCTCAGGTGATCTGATGATTTTTCCTTTTAAAAATCAAAGTGTGTGCAGGCTTAGAATTACCACATTTATTTAGTAACATTGAATATGCAATTTTAACACTTCTATTTTAATCAGGAAAGCTGAACATGAAAAAAACCTACAGGTGTAAAGGTGGTGTCAGGGTTTCTGCAAACCTATTCCTTGTATTTTTTCTTCTTGAAAACTGGCATCAATGCCAATAACCCAGAGATCAGTTAAAATGAAAAAATAGTTAGCCATGTGCCTCTGGTGTTCAAGAGGAGCCAGGTGTTAAAGGGTCGAGTTTCACAGGTGTTTGCTGTAAGATCCTTAGGCTGAAGGCTCATAGAACTGTCACTTATGTTTATTTTATATTTGTATGTTTTAGGATATCTCAAGGATGCTTATGGTTTTTTTCTGTCTCTCACATACGATCTCCTTCATTACTGTGTTCTATGGGACACTGACACCATAGATTATGGTTGTTGAGACCAGAGTTAGGAGTAATAGACATAACTTTTAGACCTATTTCTATCACCTATTAAGTGGCTGTCAGTTTCCTTATCTAACAAACAGGGGCAATAATACCTGACCTGACTTTGGCAAGTTGGTTGATAAATCAAGTAAAATAACTGATGTGATAGCAGCGCTTTTAACTATAAAAACCCATATACATTAGAGAATTATTCCTATTTCTATTGATGAAGAACAACTACACAGAAATGAGCGAAACTAGTTGCAGGTATTGAAGCTCAGAAGATGATAACCTAAAATATGATGCTTTGATATGATGAACTAAAGAATCACCCTCAAGGTGTCTCTGATCTTTCCCCTCCCTCCTGTTTCTCAATCCTCTGTTTCGACCAAAGCACAGGATGAGGCTGTTCCCTAAAGTTCTCTTATCTACCTAGAAACCAGACCTGCCAAAGAGGAACACAATTGCCTTTGATCCCCTCCCTGAAATGCGATTAATCTTTCCAGATTAATAGCATTTAATATCACAGAGGAAAAGACTGAAAATTAAACACCATACTTAGCGCCCAGAGAAACTTTAACCTAAACCACGGTCTATTATCTGGTCCCATTCAATTTCCAAAGAGAATTATTTACTAACAACTGTCTGAACATTGGCCCAATTTATTCTCCTAAGAATCACTTACTGCCATTTGAAATTTTAAATTGCAATTTTAAATTCTGTGAAGAAAAGAGTGTAAAGGATCTGGACCCCTTTGGTCATTCTTGTGATTCTCTTGTGCTTATACACATTAAATAACTCTGTATGTCTTTTTCTCCTATTCATCTACCTATTGTAAGTTCATTTTCAGTGAACCTTTAGAAGGTGAAAGGGAAGCTTTCTCTTGGACTTTACATTTGGAATATAGTATGCCTCTCTAGAAATGAAGAAAAGCTATGTGTAACTATCTGTAAAACTAGTAGTTCACCTTCCACATGATAATAAAGCGTGAGGGCATACTTGACCTGAACTTTAAAAAATGCTTTGTCTACATGAGGATCATAATGAAGAATGTTTGAGGGCTAGTATTCCAGTTGTGTAAACAGAGTCTAGCTATATGTGAGACTGCAGATAGGCAAAATCCTACTTAGTTCCTATTATTTGAAATGTAAAACAGGGGAGCAGTCAAAACAAAACCACAAGAACACACCAATGTACACTGGGAATTGCATAATATTATGGACATTAATATTTTATTTTACAGAGATGGCCTTATGTAAATTCAACTCTTCCTCTCCCTTTCTAGAAAATGCTTGATTTCTCTTTTTCTTGACAAAATTCTGGAATAATTACACTGTTATTTCTATTTCTCTTGTAGTTCAAATTCTACTCTAAGAAACTTCCAGTCAATATTGTCTATGGGTAGAAGAATTAGAAACAGAAACAATAAAGTAGTGGGAAGGTTTGTAGATATTTCTGAGGTTCTGAAGCCAGAGAATG
The DNA here is from genome assembly GCF_000001405.40 of Homo sapiens. Taxonomy (NCBI): domain Eukaryota; kingdom Metazoa; phylum Chordata; class Mammalia; order Primates; family Hominidae; genus Homo; species Homo sapiens. Next base: position 34,316,554 of record NC_000002.12, read on the forward strand.
TGCTTGGGATTTAAGTAGTGGGCGGGTAAGAAGGAATAAATTATTATGAGAGATTGAGTTAAAAAAAAAGAACAAAAAAGGTCAAGTGCTATACTTGGGGAACTGTCTATAAGTTGGAATGTGAAAATGATCTAGTAAAATTAGAGATGGGGTCTGAGGGATAGGGAGAATGTAAAGATAGAGTAAGGAAGATTACACAGCTAGAACAACTTTATTTTCCTGAATATCTTTTTCAATTGCTTTTGAATATAGGCTTATACAGATTTTAAAAATGCTTGTAAATCAGTGAACTAGAAAAGTTTCTACCTTTCAATTCTGATTCAAGCATCATTTCCTCTGAGAACTAGAAAATTAAAAATAAAAACATGCATTAGCCACATCACTACCTTATGAAATCTAATTTAAATATCTCTTCTTTCATTTGATTGAGTCATCGGTCTGTTTATAGCCTTGTTTCAAAGTGTATTGTATTTGAAATTCCTTACTGATGAATTGGAAACTGCAATTAAAAGGATATTGGGAAAACATTATTTTGAGAGTGGAAAAACAGATTCTCACTAAAATAATGTTGGATGGATAATAATTTTATCAGCAACTACCAGCAACTACTCTCTGCATTTCCAACTATAGAGGAACTTTGGTAGTTTTTACGTCTCATTACATCTCATCAATATTAACAAATATAACAACACAAGCTATTGTGGCACTTCTGCTTTTAATTTTTCTTTGATAAAACAGGTCTTGGCTAGTGAAACACGGGCTAATGTTGACCCGGTAGTGTTTTCCAATTTGATGAATCTTCATCTAACCTCTTTAATTCTTGCACATTTTATCATAGACACCAGTGTAAGTGAAGACCTATAATTCTGTCTGCATTGTCTGGACACTATGTGCAATTTCTGTTTCTTTCTGGAACCAGTAAGATGAAGAGTGAGAAATAGGAAATCTTACCAAGCTATAAATTGGCATGAAAATGGTAATAACTATTAGGATGCAAATATTTTTTGATTCATATGTCTCTGTTTCTTACTGAAATAAGAAATAGGAGCAGTTATAATTGTTATATTGAGTAGTTTTCTTTATCCAAAGACTTCTGATTCGATTTCACTGGTATTATTTTCAATTTATTACATTTACTCATTGCCTAGAATAGACTAATTCACATGGAAAAGAATCATTTTAGAAAATAGCTTAGTAAATAATAATATATAAGCCAAATTGTGTTTGTAAATTCAAGGCATATTTGACATCAAGTGGGAGACATTCGCAGGCTGACCTTAAACCTATCTCTAGAGTAGCTCTACTCAAAAGTGGTACTCTACTCTGTCTTTTACAAAATGATGCAATTAGATATTATAGTATCTTAGTTGTCATAGGTACTATGGTTCATGTACAGATCTTTTCACACAAGTACAGATAGAAAAGCCAAAGTGGCTCTGGCCAGCTTCCAAGAACATTTCAGTGCTCTTCAAAGACACTTGGAAATGGACTTCAGGAATGCAAATGTTAAGTTATCTGCGACTAGAACTCAGCAAGATAAATACACCCTTTAAGCAGCAACTAATCGAATTGACTTCCTTTTCCTTTCTGCTTCATGAGAGGCCTGTTCTCCAAGGCTGCATGGCTCCCAGGTGCCTTTGTCTCTGTTTTGTGGTCAACTCTAAATACCTACATTTGCTCTACAGTGACATTAAATGGGTCTTTAGGTGTGCGGTGTGTCCATCTAGACAATTTATCATCCTGATATGGAAGACCCTACAAGATCAGAGTGGTTTTTTTAAAATTTTTCTTTCTGTATTTCCAGAACCTGGAACAGTGCCTGATACAAGAAGACATTAGCTAATGAGTTGAGATTTAATCATTAGATGGACTATAGCTTATTGATCTATAGGTGTATATTAGTGTATTTGTTACAGATAAATTACTCTATCTTGTGAAGTTAAATTTTTTCTCTAAAATCCATATTTTCCCTTTTCCATCCTGTTCTTCCATGGAGTCTTTCAGTCTGCCAAACGAGGGTCCAAACGTCTAGTGCCCTACAGAAGCCTCCAATCCCCTTTGAATTCTTCCCACTACATTCTTCCAGCCTTCCATCTCTCCTGCAACCTATCACTGGCTTAGACTGTTATCTCTCACGATGGAACATCTATGAAGGTTCACATAGATTCACAGAGTTTTTGTTACCTGTATCTGCTCCTTTCCTCCAATTCCTCAGTGGCACAGCAGAGGTCACGTGGCAAACTTCCTTTTTCAAGACTAGTAGGGTATGTGAAATAGGAGGGTTAACCCGCCCTTCTTTTTTTTTTTTTTTTTTTTCGAGATGGGGTCTCGCTCTGTCTCCCAGCCTGGAGTGCAGTGGTGCGATCTCAGCTCACTGCAAGCTCCACCTTCTGGGTTCATGCCATTCTCTTGCCTCAGCCTCCTGAGTAGCTGGGACTACAGGCGCCTGCCACCATGCCTGGCTAATTTTTTATATTTTTAGTAGAGATGGGGTTTCACCGTGTTAGCCAGGATGGTGTCGAACTCCTGACCTCGTGATCCACCCGCCTCGGCCTCCCAAAATGCTGGGATTACAGGTGTGAGCCACCGCACCCGGCCAACCCACCCTTCTTATCTGTCTCCAGAACACAGAGAACAGTTCTCTTTTTAGGAAAATGTTATTTCTTGAACTCCATGTGCCATGTGTGTGAGAGGAAGGGTGGGAGTGACCTTGGCAGCTTGAGATACAACTCAGTATAAAGTAAAACCAAGAGCCATATTACTTTAAAATTTAATGCTGAAGATTTGTAGATCATCAGAAAAATTATTAATTAATCCTGTTCACCCTTTTGATTTCTTTTTGGTCATAACTACTCTGTGATAATATTTACTATTTTCATTTCTCATGGAAAATGGAGAAACTAGCATCTCTCTTATAATGTGCATATTTCTCCATGTTTTCAAAGCTCCTTCAAAGTTCTGTGTATTTCAATAACAACATTGATTTTTAAAAACTAAAGGTACATCTGCTAGGTCTTCTCTTCTTTGTAATTAGTAAACACAACTAATTATAAAAAGGAGAAGACCTAGTGTAATAATTTGTGTTTAAAACACAAATATATATAGGTTTAAAACACTGGACAGAATGAAGGGGCTCAGCATAAAGTGAAACCATATTATATAAGCATATATATATGTGTTTAAAACACTAGACTGTGTGTGTGTGTGTGTGTGTATGTATATATATACTTTATATACTTCCCACTGAACTCTTCATATGTTGCCATGATTACAATTAGACAGGGAGAAAAAAGTGCTGGCACAGCACACTCAAGCTTTACTCAATAATAAGGCATAATTCTAATAACCACCAAATATGTATAAAATAGGTTGAGCTACTTCACAAAGATTGAGAAAATAATAGATTTTACTTTAAAAGGAATTGTCATTTGAATGGAAACCCTAATACCCGACTTCAAACTAAAAGTAACATTAAAATGAAGTCTATAGACCTGAAAAAGAGGCCAGGATCATATTCATGCTGATTAGTGAAACACAAAACGTGACTCTTTTGAATCACAAAATGAGATTCTGAAGCATTTGTTCAAATGTGGCAAATAAATATGTCATCCTTTACTTATATAAAATTGTGATATTCTCTCCCTTGGAATATTTAAGGAATGCATGCAGACATTTTTTTTTCACATCACTCTAGAATCAAACTAACTCGAGTGGCATGTAGTCAAAGAATGTGAAAGAAAATGATTAACAGGAGTAGAAGATTTGTATAAATTAGCTGCTGTCAAAGACAAAATTTAATGATTAGAACTTCCCATTTTAGAAAAACAAAAGTTAGAATGTATAATTATGTGAGGGTTAAAAAGGCTCTTAAAATTTAAAAAAATTTATAAAGGTTAATCAGATTTTTGATGATGGTCTGATTTAGAATCACTTTATTGAAGTTGAAAAGAAGTTTATTTATGCCCCATCCTAAATAATTTATGAGCTGGGGCACCATGAATTTTTTTTCTTTTTTCTTTTTTTTTTTTTTTTGAGACGGAGTCTCACCCTGTCGCCAGGCTGGAGTGCAGTGGCGCAATCTCGGCTCACTGCAACCTCCACCTCCCGGGTTCAAGTGATTCTCCTGTCTCGGCCTCCCAAGTAGTTGGGACTACAGGCACCCGCCACCACACCTGGCTAATTTTTTTTGTATTTTTAGTAGAGATGGGGTTTTACCATGTTGGCCAGGATGGTCTTGATCTCTTGACCTCGTGATCCACCTGCTTTGGCCTCCCAAAGTGCCGGGATTACAGGTGTGAGCCACCGCGCCCGGCTAGAACTTCCCATTTTAGAAAAACGAAAGTTAGAATGTATAATTATGTGAGGGTAAAAAGGCTCTTAAAATTAAAAAAAAAATGTATAAAGGTTAATCAGATTTTTGATGATGGTCTGATATTTAGAATCACTTTCTTGAAGTTGAAAAGAAGTTTATTTATGCCCCAATCCTAAATAATTTATGAGCTGGGGCACCATGAATTTTAAAATAGACTTTAAAATAAAATAATGGGTTTAGATAAGTTACTGGAAAATGCAATACCTAATAAAATTTATTATGAGATGCCTACTATTTCGGATATGACCCTAACATTTTACTATTGATTCAAGGAATATATTCATCTTCTATTGAGAAAGCAGACATGTTGATGCTTCGGTCAGAGAAAAAGCTACTGAGTTGGATGGACCATGGATCTGCCCTAGTTGGGTGTTTATCTTTTTAATGGAACTTATACTTTATGAAATATCTATAGTGGTGAAGCTAAATGTGCTGAGATACGGAAAATGTAAAAAGCATGATTTCCTGTAGCTTTACCAGTGCTCATCTATCTCCCTGTTTACAGCAGGCTCCAGATTGATCTTTGGATGGAAATGGATTAGGGATAAATATGTGTTAATTTAGCATAGCTTTCTGGATTCACACCATCGTAAACTTTAGAAGAAAAATGAGAGGACTTCCTTTCCTTTTCAAAAAGTACAATCCATATTGGGCAGAACCAAAACACATGCCTGAAGAGTATGCATTTAAGGAGTCATTTCTGTGACTGACTTTGTTGTACAACTAAACACAGATGTGAAAAGATTTTCAGTAACATCACATGTGCAAGTTTTCTGGAAGTCTTGAGTAATCTTTTAGAAGTACATGAAATTAAAAATTTTTTAAAACTGATTTGTTTTAATCTCATATGCATGTATATAATTATTTAAATACAGACCCTCACATCAAAACTGAATTCATGTGTCCATATTTATTGAGTACCTTGTTGCAGCAGGCAATGTTCCATACCCTTCTAGATAGGCTAGCTTCGTGCATCATTATTAAAACCTACTGAGAATGAATTTAAGAATGTCAGAGTGATCCACGCCCAGCAGTGAGGTGAAATGAGCTCTTTCCTGCTCACCTCACAGTATCTAAGGTCCTGCTGAAAAAGAAGGACAATCCATGGGGTCGTTGTGAAGGTTAATGATGTGTGCGCGTCCTTTTTTTCCTCAACATATCTGAGGTGCTAACCAGAGTTAGTCTGCAATAGCAGTTTCATGAAGTTGTCAATGTTTGTAAGAATATAGAATGCATGGAGGATCCAAATTAGTGTAAATAATTCATTTACTGTTAGAGAATCAAGTAGATAGATATGGTTGTATATATTTTTTTCGCATGCCATCCATTTACAAACTGGGATTGACAAGAATCTATTAGAAAATATGACTGCACTGTGTTCTCACTCGTAAGTGGGAGTTGAACAATGAGAACACATGGACACAGGGAGGGGAATATCACACACCAGGGCCTGTCGAGGGGCAGTGGGGTAGGGGAGGGATAGCATTAGGAGAAATACCTAATGTAGATGACAGGTTGATGAGTGCAGCAAATCACCATGGGGCGTGTATACCTATGTAACAAACCTGCATGTTCTGCACATGTACCCCAGAACTTAAAGTATTTAAAAAAAGAAAATATGACTGCACTAACAATGTTTCCTTTTCCCAATGTGTCCTTTTCCCAAGTGTTTCACTATATTGGATACTTGAGTTCAATATAAAATTTATAGTTATTCTCAAAGACATACTTGACTTGAGTGGTACAATTACATTTAAACTAGATTCAGTTATTTACATCTTTAAGGGACACTATTCACTATTGCTTTTTTTTTTTTTTTTTTTTTTCACTGAAAGCTCAGCAGACCTATAAAGAGCTTGGCTTTAAAATTCTCAGGCCACAAATGGCAGGTTGATTTATATTTGGTAGTTTAACTTTTCATTATAAACTCAATATTCTTATTGGTTGCATTGTCTCATCAGCACTAACAAAGGGTGGGACCTGATTAACCTACAGAGGACTGATGGCTTGAAGAAATGTCTCCTGTCTTGTTGACAACAGGCTAGTTTCTTGACTATTGAAACTAAGCTCTCATCAGATGTCCAATACCTCATTCATACTCAATACTGTCTAGACTATGGGCTCTTTGATGATAGGGATAGTATTATATTTATTCCTTGACTCTAATAGCACAGCTTGTTATAGAAATTGATATATATTAAGAATCTACAAAATCAAATTCCAGGCTTTAATTTCAACTTGGACAAGAAACCTGTAAAGGGGAAGTTACCTTTGTATGTCTTGTATGTAGCATCAGGTTAATCATAATGCTAGTTGCCTTCAATTTCTGCTGCTGGTTTCTATCCATATTGCACTAGTTACTGACCCCTGAAACCCAATCAAACCTAGGCCTTCAGTGTTTGGGTCATTCCTCCATTGACCTATTCATCTGAGTTATCAGTGAGATCTTTACCTCACTGAGCCTTTGGATTTAAAATTCTATCTCCATTCATTCCCCAAGGAAATACTTGACTCATGTAGTACAATTAAAATCAAAATGAATTTACTAATTTGTTCCTTGAAAGACATCATTCCTTTCTTCACTTAACAAGAGGATTTTTGCTAATTCCTCTTACGTCATCCTTTGCCCACGTTCATCAAAGAACTTTAAAGCAGAAAAGGGGTTAAAAATTCTTGCCTCTACGACTTTCCCTTTCCTGATTTTTGAGACAAGAGAGGTTTTAAGGTGTAGAGAGTTAAGCAACTTGTATAATATTACCAATGGAGTTAGAAGCCTAGCCGAGGATCAACATTCTGGAATCTTCTCTCCACATCATAGGTTTCCTCTGTTTCTTCAGAAACGTTCATTTGTGCCTCAGGCCTTGCTACTATTTCTATTACTCAGCTACCAAAACCCACCTGATTGTCTTTACTTCCACTCAGAAGCGTTTACCATGTTACTAGATTTCTCTGAGTAACTTCCTGGGGATAAGGATTAGTGTTAAGCTTCAGGGAAGGTACCCTAAATTTTACCAGTTGCAAAAACTTCTCGGGTGTCTATGTCTGACAGTTTTAATACCATATCAGAACCTGCTTTAGGGGTTCCTGGGCCCTGGACCCACTTTGGATTTTAGGAGGTAGATTTTGTCCCTTTGACCCCAAAGTATGATGCATTCAGCTTATTGACCTCCCCTATTTCTTCCACATGAAACCATGGATCAGTATTTAGTCCACAGTTTGAACTTTCTTTCTTCCTGGGCCTTGGGAAATATCCTGGTGATATCGAATCCATGTCTACCTGAAATCGGCAGCAGGCTGCCCCTTTGTGAATGTCTTCAGTATTTGCCTAAAGTATCCTTCAGTGACAAACCTTTTTCCACTCTTTAATCCCTGACTTACTTCTGGCCTTGAGAATCACCTTCTGTTTATTGTAGATTGAGGGCAAACTGACAGCCCCAGGCACAGAAGATGAGGTACCCATCATCCAGTGCCAGCTCAATTTTTTCTCTTCTGCCTCTAATTTATTTTATTATTCTCCAGGCATCTGCATTATTAGCAATTTCTTTTTCTGCATCATTTTTTTCATATTTATGTTTCCTTTTCTCCTCTTCCTCCTCCTCAACCTCCTTCTCTTTTTTTTTCTTTCTCTCCCCCTTTTCTTCTCTATCTCTTTAGTCCTTCTCTCCAATCTATAAACATTCTCATCTCTGATCTTCAAACAAAAATAGAATCTTAACCTTACTTGGTCTTATAAAATGATTTACCATTAAGTCTCTTCCTCCAGAAAAATCATTTTTCCTCAGCCCTTCTTTACTTCCCAGCCTACTACACTCTGGCTTATTTTGAACTCACTATCTTTTTATTCCCTGTACTTCTCTGAATACATGTACTTGAAGTTCTCTTACAACCTCTCATTAAAGTGTTGCTGTCAACAGGAATTCCATTTTTCTCTATAATGACACAACTCTACTCTGGCTCGCTAATCCCATGCACACTAATAGCTTCAAATAACTACAAATATTCTGATTATTCCTAAATCAAGGGTCTTGCCCAAAACTCTATTTTGAGATTTAGACTCATACTCTACCATTTGCAGAACATCTCTCTCCACCTGTTGAGTTTTGTAGGTTAAGAATGACCATGTAATTCATTTCCTGACGTGACACTTTTGAGAGGAGAGAGGGTGTTATTAATAATTAAGCTAGAACAACAGGCATAAATCAGCACAGTTCATGCAAATCACCGTGAATGATCATCCTATACAGGTATCTCAAAGGCAGCATGTCACACAGAAGTAAACTAATCAACTTTGTTTCAAACCTCATCTTCCTCCTACATTCTCTAAAGTAATTACTAATACCACCATCGTCTATTCACCCAAGCAAAAAATCTGAAAACATCTTTGATCCCTCCTACTTTTTTACTCTCATACCTTCATCTCAATCCTCCGATTTAGCCTAATGCATATTGCTTGGATGTATCTGTTTCTATTTCTGCTCTCATTATTCAAGTACAGGCTCTCATCTTTATAGCTTGTCCATAATTGCTCTCTCTCCAGTCTTGATCCACCAAAATTCATTCTTGACCCACCAAAATTCATTCTTGACAAGCTGTCAGAATGCAACCACACCACATTACACTGTGGAAAACCCTTCAGTATTTTTCTTCACCTGGAGCAGAAGTTCCCATCCTTTTTAAATTAAAAGTGTTCCACAAACAAATCTTCACAGGGTAAAGTTTGAGCTATTAGTGTTTAATACAACTTATCATTTTGCATGATGCTATAAATGGTACTATACATTTATTTAGGCTTATAGATAAATTTGCAATTAAATAATCGATACAGCTTGCAAACTGTTGAAAAATAAAAATGTATATAAAATTTTATTTTTCAATGTGCTTTTGTTTCTAAGTATGGCTTTTAAGATGCATTATATTAACTCATGACCCCCTGAGGAGCCTCAGTCTAGTTTGAGAAACTGGTTCCTTATTGGCCTGACACAGTAAGTTCTCCATCATCAGGTCATTGCCTATACCTTTTCTCCATTACTCATCTTTTCTCTGTTGCTCACCTCACACCTTCTCAATGAAGGTAATTGCAAACAACTGGCTGGATATGGAGAGAAATCGAGGGATACTGGAGGGATATGGAGTTTTTTCCAGTGGGCTTTTTGACATTTGGTTTATCTGTCTCTCTTGTCTTTCCATTCAAAGCCATCTGGACTCTTTCCCTAGAATAGTCTTTCTAAAACCCTGCTTTTGTTATGCAAAAGAAACATACAATGACTCTTTCCTCCCATATAAGCCCTGTTGTCCTCTGTCTGGTATTCAAGTCCCTGGAAAAATGGATCCCCACACCAATCCAGTCCAGTCTTAAAGCATCCCAATATTCCTCAACATCACACACAGCTTGTTCCAGGCCAGTAGCCCTGCATGTTTCTGGGTGCCCATCCATCACATTCTTACTTCTACTATATTGGCATTGTCCTTGGAGTCTTCCCCTCCTGCATATCTAGACAATCTTCTCAACTCTGTTCTACTTTTAAAAATCCCATTCATTCCTCAAGAACCAACTCAAGTCACTCTTTCTTTAGGAAGCCCTCTTGAGAACTTAAAGCCAAATTAATTCCTACTCTCTGAACTCCTACAAATGTTGAGGGAGTCAGGCAGCTTGTCATAGAAAGAGCATAAGCCTTGAGCTGAGATTCCTGGATTTGGAACCATGTCTGACACTTATTAGCTGTGGGCAGATTATCTGATACTTCAAATCACTCATGAGTAATACACAACTCAAAAGTCTTGGTTCTACAGTAAAAAAAAGTCCATTTTAAACATTACTTGACTGCCTCTCTTACGAAATTTAGATGACAGGAAACGTCTTATATTCCAACTTTGTGGTCAGATTCAGAGAGTTCTCAGTGGTTGACTTGTTGATTGATTAATTTCCTTTCAGATACAAAATCTACACAGAGCAAATTTAAGCCACCTACAGTATTTAATAGTACTCATAATTAAATTCAATTTCTCTTTATTAACTCTGACCCCTTGTAATCCTTTTCATTAATTATGCACGACTTCTACATTATGTTTTCTTTGAACTGCATATTCCTATAGCTGTTTTTACCTTTCACGATTTTCTTTTATTTTAATTTATCCAGTAGTACCATTCTCAGCGCAAAATATTTTTAATATTTGAAATCTACCAAATTTCCCCCATCATATAGAATGAAGGACATGAATACCAGAAATCCAATTATAGCATTGCCATATATAGTTTTTCCTAAATAAAATCACATTTCACTATTTTTATTTGAGCTTTAGTTAGAGCAATTGCTACAGAGGAAATAAATAATAGTAATAGAAAGTTTTCTGAGTTGGTGCTTTTGGAGATACCATTATTTATCACTGTGGCTGTTAGACAAATGTTTATTGCTAGACAGCTAAGGCCAAAAAGAAAAGAGAGATTGAATGAAGACTGCCTGCTGTTGGCATGCATGAGTGTGTGTGTGTGTGTGTGTCTGTCTCTGTGTGTTTCTATATGCATGTGTATGTGTATGTGCACATGTGTTTTCTGTGACATGGAATCATTGTCTAGGGAACAGGAATCTGTCGCAGAAAATAGTAAAATCTTGCATCCATGAAAGAGAAAAAAAGATAAGAGGAAACAGAAAACTATCAGATAACAACTAAATTCCTTGTGTTTACAAAAATAATAATAACAGAACAAACATCTCATATTCCCTGTTCCAGTTTCTGGGACTTCTCCTAGGAAAGACAATTATTATTTTTATTGCTTTTAGTTTGCAAACTTTCTCTCTAATGTGCCAATGGATAGCTCCAAACTAGTAAATAATTACGTATTATACACAAATACTGTGTTTGCCTTTCTACTGTAAACTTCCTAGCCCCAAAGCAAATTAATCTCCTGATTGTGTGCTCTGTTACTTACAGTAAATACATCACCAAATATAGTAGATCGGCAAAATAAGGCCTTTATGATCACCAGAAAAAATTGTGGGCAGTCTAATTTCTAGTAAGTGCTGAGGTATGTCTATGTCCCCACATCTAGAAAACACTGTAGAAAGGAGGTTTAAGTTTAATTTTATCTACATTTTTTCCTCTATGAATAACTTAATTAACAAATGAAAGAATTTTAATAAAGTAGTAAAAGTAATGCAGAAACCATGCTATTCCTTCTTTCCATTTTTATCTGCAACAATAATAATGGACCTACATGGCTCAATTTTTCTAGCACAAAATGTAAAACCCTAACATGTGCCCATTTTTTTTTTCTTTTCTTTGATTACACAACAGAATTTGTTCATTTATCGAAAGCTAGCTCACCCTGTCCCTTCCTTTTTTTCTGGCCTCCATCTTCTCTCATGTTACAATTTTGTTCCCATAGTCACCTCCTCTCTCTCTTCTGCTTCACAAATCGTCTCCTCTTCCCCGCACACACCTGTTTCTTCCTCAGTCTTCTCTGTCTTGGGAAGTGGCACCAACATCTCCCCACCTACTCAATCCCAAACCCAGGAGTCATCCTTGATTCATCACTTTCCTTCATCTCCCAGGACCAAACCATTCTGAAAATTTTGCTCCCAAAGGATATCTCAAACTGTCCATTTTCCCTCTCTTCTCTAACATAACTCTAGACCAAGCCACCCATATCTCTCAGGCAGACTCTCTTGTTTCTCTAATATTTAGGCTTTACATCACATGCAGAGTAGTGTTTTTAAAATGTAAATAAAATCACTTCAGTCCTTTGATTCAATCTCTTCTTAAAATCCTTCCAATACAATTCAAACTTCTCACTGTGGCTCTAACAGGGCCTCGCAGTCCTCCCACATGATCGGGCCCAACCTCTGCTCATCCTCAGCTCACATTGCACCTTCCCTTGCTCATCTCTGTAGCCATAGTGATCTTCTTTCTTCTTTAAAAGATGCCAGTAATGCTGCAGTTGATATTTTGGGTCTTGGCACTTTGGCTACATACTTTCCTTGAAAGTCCTTCCTTAGCTTTTTACAGAGCTGCTCTCTCTCTCATCCTCCAGCTCAAAGGTCACCTCCTTAGACAAGCTTTATGAACACCACTTTCGAATTTAGCCTTCTGTAGCCATCTAGTTACTCTCTATTATGCCTTATTGCTTTATTTCCTTTATGACACTTATCAAAAGCTGTAATGATCCGGTTTTGCTATTTGCTTAGCTTTTTGATCCCGCTTGAATGTAAGCCCCCAGAGAGCAGGAACCTTAAGTGTGTCATTGTTGCCTGTCCAAAATAGTACTTAGCACACCTACAATTATAGGTTCTGGTGTGAATGACACCTCTAGAGTGTTTCAACATGGCATTCCTGAGTGCATCTCTTTCCCTTTGGTGAATCTGTATAATATTTTGCAGGTACTTTTGTGTTTGTACCACAGCTGAAACTTTTCTTTCTGTTAGTCTTACCAGGATAATGATCTTGGCATTATATACGGAAAAGCCACAAGAGGTCTGCAGAATTACCATTTTAAAATCTAAAAAGTCTTCTAATGAACAAAGTAGATTTGAAAAGAATTGACTAGTTCCTATGAAGTTATGAAATCTATAAAATTTGAGACAGAGGTACAAAAAATTAAATCAAATGATGTAGCAGCCTAGGTGGAAGGTTGCATGTGGAAAAAAAAAAGGGGTAGAATGAGGTAAGGATGTGACTCAAGTGTAGAAAAATGGGTAACACTACCACCTGTGTTCTTTAATTTAAGGACTCTAAGATACGGTGCTTAAAAATGGAAGTCAGCCTGACAGTTGGGATTGTGAGAAAAATCACCCTGGCTATCTGCAGCTCCAGACCTCATATTCCTGACCTATATTTCTGGTCCTTATATAATTTTAATCCTTTGAGAAGGTGCATGGGGTGATGTAATTATTTCCTTAACATCATTAACCACAGGAAGATTTAGGATTAAGCATAAATATTTTTAATTGAAACCACACACATAGTGTAAATATTTTTGTGTTAAGAAGGTCATTTAGCATTTTGGTTAGTTTAAGAGAATTAATGTAAAGACAATTTAGTAATGTTTAACAGAATTTGTCTTTTCCAAGTAAAATATTAACCTTATGATTCTAATTTAAAATATGTAATTAAGTAATTGCTTCAGACTTGTAATTTACTAAGACTGTGTTATGTTGGTAAATTTAAATAATCTAAGAATCATCATATCTATAGTTTTAATTTTCTGCTGGTTTTATAATACGTATTAGGGTAGATTTTATTTTATAAGTTAGCCAAAGTACTTAATCAGGAAACTATATTAAATTTACGAATGCAATTTAAAACATTGTGTGTGTTAGTTTATAAATGAGACCATTGCTAAAATTTGCGGGAAATGTAAATAGAATAAAAAGATTTTTATGTTGGATCTCAAGCTTAAAAATAGGGTTTTGAGCATTATAAACAAGCCACCAAATAACTTTTGGACCCTAAAATTACCCTTGAGATATCAAGGGCGGTGAAACGAGAGGTAGAAGGAGATTTGCACTAATCTCTGAGTTTCTTGAATTAAAAAGCCTAGCTGAAGCCAAAATACATCACATTGTTAGGTTGTGAGCCATAACAGACAATGGAAACTATGCATATTAAAAAATTATGAGCTTCAGTCTTTTCTTCAAACTCTGTTCACTACAGGATAATAGTGTTGTCTGCCTGAAGTAGCCTACAGATAAGTGGAAAGTTGCTAAGTTCATCTCGAAAATATGCACAAATACATACATTCTGTACCACTTTCATTCTCACAGAAAACTCTGAAGGTTGGCACTGTTACCGCTATTTTCAAGTGATTCAAAAAGATTAAGTGGTTTACCCAGAATCATATAGCAAGAAAGTGACGAAAGCAGAATTTGAACCCAGAATTTTATAACTCTGAAGCTTTTGGTTTGTCTCACCCTGTTTGCTAATGAGGTAATTCATTATTAGATAACATAGCTACAATTATAATCAATCAGCCTTTATTATATGGCAAGGCCTTGACCTTGAAGTATCAACTGACAGTCAGGTAGAGAGAGGTAGGTAAACTTTTCTGGTGTGGATGACTGAAACTAACAAATATGACTTTTGCCTCCCTTCAAATAATTATACCAGGAAGACAGATGCTTAGGCAACTTATTTGAAGGCTGTATTTGCATTGTGTTTATTGTTTCTTTTTTGAAACAATGGACGCATTCTTACAAACACTGTATTCTGACAATATTATATAAAATTGTGATGGCAATTAATTTAAAACTTCTGAAAGTTCTGTAAATCCTATAACATTGTGGGAAAGCATTTTTTTTGTTTGTTTTGTTTTTTGAAAAGGAGTCTCGCTTTGTCGCCCAGGCTGGAGTGCAGTGGCGCGATCTCGGCTCACTGCAAGCTCCGGCTCCCGGGTTCATGCCATTCTCCTGCTTCAGCTCCCGAGAAGCTGGGACTACAGGCACCCGCCACCGCGCGTGGCTAATGTTTTTTGCATTTTTAGTAGAGACGAGGTTTCACCGTGTTAGCCAGGATGGTCTCAATCTCCTGACCTTGTGATCTGCCCGCCTCGGCCTCCCAAAGTGCTGGGATTACAGGCGTGAGCCACTGCGCCCAGCCTTGGGAAAGAATTTTGATAGTTGTTAAGCCTAGCATTTCACTGGTAAACTGGCCTGTGCCTGTGTGCCCGTGCATGCACAAGTGTGTGTGTGCTCGTGCATGCATGTGTGTGTGTGTGCCCGTGCATGCATGTGTGTGTGTGTGCCCGTGCATGCACGTGTGTGTGTGGGCCCGTGCATGTACGTGTGTGTGTGGTGGTGGTAGTGTTTTCTAGTCAAGTGTGAAACCTGCATTAGCAAGAAATAGTGAGGATGGCATTAAGCCCTTGTAGACTGGGACACTGGCCTTTGTCAGTGCAAACACTAATGTTTTCAAGGTTTTACCGGTTAGGTCCTAACCTGTTGAAGAGAGGCAGCTGTATGCCCGATGGCTTTTCTGGGACTGCAAGAGGGCCCTGATTAGCTTCTTGGACTATGCTATTCAAGTCAAATTTTCAATAATGAATAATAAGGATTTTTATTAGTACCATGACAAAACTCAAAAGGCCAGGTCATTTGTGTTGGACTCACCATGGGCCTCAATCAGTACTAAGTGGGGAAGACACTTGTATGAGTCAGCTGATGGTAGTTTTCTGGCTGTGATACCTCAGGGGCATGAAGCGAGTGTTCAGATCAACCTAGAGGAAGGTCATATTGAGTAGTCACATTGAGTCTGCCTGGTCGGTGGCCCTTACACATATGATTTTGTTAGACGACCAAAGGAACCTGTCCTTTACCCGGCTTCTGGTTTGCATTACATGCAACTCTAGAACCAGTGATAAAGTGAGAACATCATATGAAGCTGGGAGATATGCAGCGTGGCAGAGGTGACAGAAACACAAAGGCTTTAAGGAGTGGGGCCTTATGGTCACCTGTAAATGTCCCTATAGACCAAACCTAGAATTCCTTTTCATTAATGCCTGGGAAATAGTATGGGTTAGTGGATACATGCACAGATTCTATGACCACATTACCTGGATTCAAATCTTGATCTAGCCACTTATTAGCTGTATGACCTTTTAAAATAAAATAAATATTAGCTATTGCTTTAACCTGTAAGAAACTACCTAAAAATTGGATGAACTTTGGGAAAGAGTTGCTCATTCAAGGCGCCCTCAAGATAAGTGTTGCTGAAGATTTTTTTAAGACACTGAAGAATTACACCATGGAAAAGCTCAACTCAGTTACCTTCTAGTTACCTGCCCTTTCTTAACAATGAATTCACTATCAAGCGTGGTTCCTGATCTGCTTTACTCACGGTTTTGGTTTAGAATTCACTATTTTTACAAGGATTTCTCCAATTATAGAAAATATATTCATTTGTAGGTCATTTGAGGAAATTAGTTGTTTAATATTTACATACTTTAATATAGAGTTACCTTTTTATATTGAAAAATAGAGTAGGGAAGCATGGTTTTTTTTTTTTCCCCTCTGGGTTATCATTTAACCAGACCTTAATAAGCTGTCTCTTTGGTCTAAACGAGTGACCTCATGAGCAGCAGCAGCATCACCACCAAGAAGAATGTCAGAAATGCAAAATCTCAGGCCTCACTTCAGAGCTGCTGCATTAGAAATGCTGAGACTAAAGCCACTGCCTAAACCTCCTTTGTTAACCGGCAGTCTTGCTATGGGTTCACTTTAATCCACTATGAACAATGACCCTCTAATGCCCAAAATGAGATGTACACAAGACAATCCATTGGTATATGGAAAGAAAATACTATAAGTTCTATTTACATATTGATGTTGTCCTATTCTAGTTTATATATTTGCGTTTGTATTACAATGTACAAAACATATATGTATATTTATAGGTATGGTATGTATACACACATACATATATACACAAACACACATACACACATACATAATATCATACATACAATGTTTAAATAATTATAAGTTAGCATACCTAATATGAAGTACAGTTTGGAGGTTCTTCAAAAAACTAAAAATTGAGCTACCATATGATCCAGCAATCCCACTGCTGGGTGTGTACCCAAAAGAAAAGAAATTGGTATATCAGAGAGATATCTGCACTCCTATGTTTGTTGCAGAACTATTAGCTAAGATTTGGAAGCAACCTGTGTCCATTCAACAGATGAATGCATAAAGAAAATGTGGTATCTATACACAAGGGAGTACTATTCAGCCATAAAAAAAGAATGAGATCCAGTCAATTGCAGCAACATGGATGGAACTGGAGATCATTATGTTAAGTGAAATAAACCAGGCACAGAAAGTCAAACATCACATGTTCTTACTTATTTGTGGGATCTAGAAATCAAAACAATGAACTCATGGACATAGGGAGTAGAAGGATGGTTACCAGAGGCTGGGAAGTGTAGTTGGGGGTTGAGAGAGAGAGGTGGGGATGGTTAATGTTTACACAAAAAGTAGAAAGAATGAATAAGACCTACCACGTGGTAGCACAATAGGGTGATTATAGTCAATCATAACTTAATTGTCCATTTTAAAATAACTAAAAGTATAATTAGATTGTTGTAACACAAAAAATAAATGTTTGAGGGGATGGATACCCCATTCCCCATCATGCATTTATTTCACATTGCATGCGTGTATCAAAACATCTCACGTACCCCATAAATATGTACACCTGCTATTTACCCACAAACATTTTTTAAAATAAAAATAATTATAATTTGGAGAAATTATAACATATATGTACACAAATACATATAAATATTTTTTCTTACAGATAGGTATGTTGCATAAAAAATTTTGGACACCATTGTTCTGAAGAATATAAGCAGTTATGACATATCCTGAACACCACAATGTCCAGGAAATGAAAACAATTACAGTAAAAGTAGTTTATGTATTTTCATTATAGTTAAAATTCAGCTAGCTCTCCAGGCACTTGCTTCAGATATTCTTACATTGCCAATTGCCAATGGTTATCACAATTAGGTCTGAATAGTTTATCAGATAAGTACAGAATGAGTAATAATCAATGCTTTTGCTCCCCCCAGCTGAAATGAATGACATATATTTTGCTAAATTCTATTGACTAAAGAAATTCAATAATATATATTTGAGCAGAAAATTCCACCTGCCCTTTGCTGGCATTAAAGAGCTTTTAAGTTAAATACAAAAGCAGAGTTGGCTTAGCGAAAATAAATCAGCACTCAGTATGGTCTGCATTATTCTAGGAGTGATGTGCAAGACCCATGCTTCTATTATTCCCTCCTTCTGACTTTGTACTACTTTATTTGCTATTACTTCCAGATGAGGATTAGAGGAGGAAGATATATAAAGCCCACATTTATAAATTAGACTCTTCACTAACATCCAAATAAGTAGCAACATATAGATACGGAATAGGCTTCAAGGCTTGACATACATTTGGAATATCTATTCTTGCCATTCTTTCCACTCATTAACATCTAGTTGAGTGTCTACTATGTAAGTGATACCTGTCTTTGGATTTTCTCAAATGTCTATGATTTTGTATATAATCTCTTAAGTTCCTTTTGTAGTTTCCCAAGAAATTATTCTGGATAAAATAGGAATGCAATAAATTCACATATAAATGGATTTAGGACTTGTTGAATGGCTTACGGATTACTAGGCAAAAATTTGCCTTGACAAGTTATTTCTTGAAATAAAGTGCAGAAAAATACAAAATATTGCTGTAAGAAAATAAAAGAGACCTAAATAAATGCATACATTTACCATGTTTATGTATAAATAGTCAATATTATTAAGAGTTATTTTTCCATGATTTATAAATTCTGAGAAAAGTTTCTATAAACTTAGGAAAGTACTTATTCTTTAGTCAAACTAACAAGTGGTTACCCAAGCTGCTCTAAACCTGTTAAGTTAATCAATGACAACTCACCTCAGTGAATGTGCAAACTGATCAGTGTGAACCCCTTGTTCCTAAATATTAGCAATCCTATTTCAATTTAGTTTAATAAGCACACCTCTAAATGTTAACCAATCTTGCCTCTCTAACCTTGTGTCTATGGATGATGTCCCGTCCACTTGTTCCTCTGAAAGCCCATCAACCTCTGAGTTTCACACTGTTCAAAAATCCTATATAAGGTTAATATTCTATTTTGCTCAGAGAAACAAGCATAGCTTTACCTATTATAGTGAGTGAATTAGTTTGCTAGGGTGTCATAACAAAGTATCACAGACTGGGTGGCTTAATGAAAATGTATTAACTCACCATTCTAGAGATTAGAAGTTCAAGATCAAGGTAGCTGCAGGGTGGTTTTTATTGTGGGGCTCTATCCTTGTTTTGTAGATGGCTGTCTTCTCCCTGTGTCCTCACAGCAAGACTTGGACTCTGATGTCTGTGCCTTAATCTCTTTCTGTAAGGAAACAAGTCATGTTGGACAAAGGCCCACTCTAAAAACCCCACTTTAACTTAATAACTTCTTTTAAGAACCGATCTCCAAATACAATTATATTCTGAAGTACTGAGGGTTAGGACTTCAATATGTGAATTTTGGTTGACACAATTTAGTACAAAAGAGTAAGTAATAAATTCATCTTTGTTTTAAATAATTTTTTTCTCTAGAACTATAGCTTCAGAGCCTGTTTAATGTAGTTTAGTGTTGTGTCCTCCTCAAAAAGACATGTTAATGTTCTAACCCTGGTTCCTAAAAATGCGACCTCATTTGGAAATAGAGTCTTTGAATATATCATCAAGTTAAGATGAGATCATACTTGATTAGAGTAGGTCCCAACTCAATATGGCTAATGTTCTTATATAAATGGGAGAAGACATATAGAGATAGACACACACAGGAGAAAATGCCATGTGACAGTAGAGGAAGAGATTGGAGTCAAACAGCTGTTAGGCAAGGAATGCCAACTACTTCCAACAGTTTTGGGAAAGGAAAACAAAGTTTGAGGACCACTTTCTAAAAAGCTATAGCATTCATTATTGTGATATTGGAATAAAAATGTTTAAAAATAGATCAATGGATCAGAACATTTATAGACTCAATTGATACAGTCAGTTGATTTTAGACAAAGATATCAAGGCACCAAATGTGGAAAAAATAGACTTCTGAGCAAATGAACAACCATATGGGAAAATAGTGAAACTGAACTTCTTTCTACCTGATGCAATAGACAAAAATTAATTTGAAATTGATCACAGAGCCAAATATAAAAGCTCAAACTACAAGCTTACAGAATAAAATATGAAAAATTCTTCACAAATTTAGAGTATAAAAATATTTCTCAGAAAAAAAAATCACAAAAGTTCTAACAATATGTACAAATGGCCAATAAGCATAAGAAAAGATGCTCAATATAATTAGTCATCAGAGAAATGTAAATTATTAATAAAATTAGAGTAAGATATCATTTTATATATACTAGAATGACTATATTAAAATATATATAAAAATTGAAAATATCAAGAGTTGGCAAAAATATGAAGCCACTGAAACTTGAATATATCATTTCTGGGAGTCTACAATAATAGACTTTAGCAAGTATTTTATTAGTTCTTATGTTTTATATACACTACCCTCTGATCCAACAATTTCATTCTTAAGTATTTACCTAAGAGAAATGAAAGCATACACCCACAAAAAGATTTGTACATAAATTTATTATCACAGCTGCATTCATAATAACTAAAAGCTGGGAAGCAGTGGTATGTCAACAGGTAAGTTGTGCTGTATTAATACAAGGTGTGCTATAGTCATACACTGGAATAATATTCAGATAAAAAGTGAATGAACTTTTGATACTCATGGATAAATCTCACAGAATATCAAGTGAAAGGAGTCAGATACAGAACTTTATACTCTGTTATTCCATTTCTATGGAGGTCTAAAGTTGGCAAATCTAATCATTGGTGACAGAAACCAGATCAATGGTTGTTTGGAACAAAAGGTGAGTTTGAGTATTGATGGTGAAGAGGTGAAGCATATTATCTATCTTGATTATGTAGGTAGCTATTCAGCAT
Source organism: Homo sapiens (assembly GCF_000001405.40). NCBI lineage: Eukaryota > Metazoa > Chordata > Mammalia > Primates > Hominidae > Homo > Homo sapiens. The sequence goes on from NC_000002.12 coordinate 34,337,450, forward strand.
ATGCATTTGTCAAAGCTTATCAAACAGCACATTTAAAATTCTTTCCATTTTATTGGGTATATATTAAAGTTCATAAAAGTAGAAAAATAGAGTTTAGAATGTTAGCAAGATGGCAGCATAGGACTCTCCATCAGAAACGTCAATTTCAATTAACTATCCACACACAAAAATACCTTTGCAAGAACTGAAGAAACCAGGTGAGATTACAGCACCAGGGAATAGCACAGAAGTAAGAAGAGATGCATTGAAGAGTGTAGGAAGAACAGTTTTACTTTACTCTGGTCACCCTGCTCTAACCCCAGGCAGCACTACCCAGGGAGAGATACTCTCTAGAATGATACCGAGTGGGTACATCCATAAAAATTAAATTATTTGACTTTCCATTTTCTGCCACATTTAGGTAGTTTAATTTGAGAGTTAAATTTGTATATGAAGTTAGTCCCATGTCCTCACACACACTTGCCTGAGTCACAAAGTAGCTGTCAGGTTTGTGACGTCAGATTAGGTTTCAGTATCTGCTGCTTCATAGGTTCTGAATCATCTGTCTTCCTCAGTCTCTGGTCCTTGATTCAAGATTTAATCCCCACTTGAAACCCCATATTCCTCTTGTTACAAATTCCCTCTTCGAGTATTTTTTCTGGTAAGAGCCACTTCAGTCCACAAATTTAAATTTTATCAAATTTAAATCTCAAGGAATTTCCAGACCCTTTCTCCTATAAATCTGTGGATAGAAATACAAGAGCTAGGCTGGGCGTGGTGGCCCATGCCGGTAATCCCAGCACTTTGGGAAGATGAGGCAGGCGGATCATGAGGTCAAGAGATCGAGACCGTCCTGGCCAACATGGTGAAACCCCATCCCTACTAAAAACACAAAAATTAGCTTGGCATGGTGGCATGCACCTGTAGTCCCAGCTACTCAGGAGGCTGAGGCAGGAGAACCACTTGACCCTGGGAGGCAGAGGTTGCAGTGAGCCGAGATCACGCCACTGCCCTCCAGCCTGGTGACAGAGCAAGACTCCATCTAAAAAAAAAAAAAAAAGACAAGAGCTAGAATTACTATACTTAGATCCATTTAGGATCATCCAAGATTCACATAGAAAACAATATGACTACCTAAATCCAGAATGTCTGCCTGGGATCTTTTATACCCAGAGAGCACCTGCTATATAGTAGCTGTTCAGTAAGTTCCATCCCATTCATTTCTTCCTCTAGGTGCTGTCATAAGAAAGTGTGTAGATCTGAACAGGAGCATGTCTGATGTCTAGAGGGAGTTGTTAGTGTTGAGTACCACAATCTCTTCTTGGAAAATCTTCTTTCCCAGATAGAAATCCGTACAAGAAAAATGGTTAGCATTGCTTTTAGACAGCCTCCTGCCTTACCTGCCCCCTCCAAAGAAAAATTCCCATGTGGTATTTTTTATATTTTAAAAATAGTCCATATTAAAATATTTCAGCTTCTTAGGGGCTTGTTTTAAGTGGTGATAATCTTGAAATAATATTGTGAAATGAGATCAGTTTTGAGTTGGTAGAAGCATTTTGATTATCTTCTGGCCACGGCCATTATTTTGTTCTTTTCCTTAGTAATTGAGACTTAGTGATTCAGTCTTCCATGGATTCCCCAGGATCATGAAATCTGAAAGCAGATTTCTGCATTACCAGGTCATTTTCCCAGTCATGTGGAATTTTTTAAGGAAAATGAAAATGATATATGGAGCTTTGTGCCACAATCGTATCATCTTCAGCTATTTAAGCTTTGGTTGTTCACAAGGTATTAGAATTGACAATTCTTTTGAAATATACTTTATGGCTATTTTTACATTATCAGGAAGTTATTATTAACAAAGTCCATATTATAGTTCCAGTAACCTCTAGGAAGGCAAGAAATTGAAAGGTCATATCAATGATAAAATAAACTGTTCAATTTGTTGGTTTTAAATTTAAAAAAAATCCCAAAGCATATGCAAAAGAATCAATAAAACATAAAGTGGTAGAATTTTGGAGCTGCAAAAAGCCTTAATTTATTTCAGAAGAGGAAAAACATGAAAGCACTTAGTAAACTGTGAAGTACCATATAAATCTATAAAATGTGAATTGTCTTTATCTTTGAAAAATCCCTTATTTTTTATGTGACAGAACAGAGAGATGGGGAAATTAAAAATGTTCTTCAAAAGCTTTTCCATTGCCTTCGCAAAATCATTAGAACCATCACCACCGACCTCTAGACAAATTTTCGCTAACTTTAATCTGCAATTATTAGCTGAATTTCAGCCGTTTTTTTTTTTTTCTGGTCATTCTCATTTAACCCAACATCTGCATATACCACTAAACTAGCCCAGAGTCTGTAAGACTGTATACATAACAAGCATTTTCCAAATTCCCCACAACCACATATTTTTTTAGAAAAGAAATGAATATTTGAGGCATACTTTGTTTTTTTAAAAATCAAGCTGACCAAATACTTTTAGGTCCTAATATATTGTTTTCTTTTATAACGAATAACATTTAACTATTTAAGCATATAGATTCAGGATGAACTTCTCACATTACAAGCTGTTAAGAATGGCTGGTTAAAGAGAGAAAAAGAGGGAACACATTTTACCTTACGAGTTTATCGGAAGATTATGTTAGGGCAGTGAAAGAAATTATTATAATACTCCTTGGAGCAATAGCTTTTGAATGTATTTGATTCATACATCTCTTTCTTCAGAAGAAGGCTTTCCAGGCTTGTGGTAGCCACAAAGCAAAACCCTGTAGTAGAACCACAAAATAGAAAAAGTAAGGAATAAAGGCATACCACATACCACTAGAGAAAAATCACCCGATCATGAAGGAAGACAGCAAGAGAGGAATATGGGAACGGAAGATCTATAGCACAATCAGAACACAATTAACAAAAAGGCAACAGTAAGTTCTTACCTACAAATAATTAACCCCATTGCTTAATGGATTAAATTCTCCAATAAAAAGACATACAGTGACTGAATGGACAAAAACAAACAAACAAATTATATGCTGCCTTCACCTTTCAGGACACACAGACTGAAAGTGAAAGGATTGAAAAATATATTTCATGCAAATTGAAACCTCAAGACATCAGAGGTAGCTATACTTACATCAGATAAAAAGTTTATAAGTCAACAACTATAAAACAAGAAGGCCAATTATACAATGATAAAGGGGTCAATTAATGAAGAGAATAGGACATTGATAAATATATATGCACCCAACATTAGAGCACCTAAATACATACAACGTTTGCCTTATGTAGATCTGAAGGGACAGAGAGACTAAATGAAAGAGCAAATCTATAAAACTCTTAGAATAAAACATAGAAGTAGATCCTCATGACCTTGGATTTGGCAATGTAGTCTTAGATATGACACCAAAACCACAAACATCCCAAGGAACAAATAGAATTCAAAATGGAAAACTTCTGTGTATCAAACAACATTATTAAGTAAGTAAAAAGAACCTAGAGTGAGAAAATATTTGCAAGTCTTATAGTGGATAAGAATGTAGTATATTAGTCCATTTTCCCACTGCTATAAAGAACTACCTGAGCCTAGGTAATTTATAAGCAAAAGAGGTTTTAATTGACACACAGTCCCACATGGCATGGGAGGCCTCAGGAAACTTAACAATTATGGTGGAAGGTGAAGGGAAAGCAAGGCACACCTTACATGGCAGCAGGAAAGAGACAGAGAGCAAAGGGAAGTGCCACACTTTTAAACCATCAGATCTTGTGAGAACTTACTCACTTTTATGAGAACAGCATGCAGGAAACCACCCCCATGATCAAATCACCTCCTACCAAGTCCCTCCCTTGACATGTGGGGATTACAATTCAAGATGAGATTTGGGTAGGGACACAGGGCCAAACCATATCATCTAGTATCCAGAATATATAAAGGACCCTTAGAACTCAGGAATGAAAAGACAAACAACCCAATTAAAATAGGCAAATAATTTTAATAGACATTTCTCTGAACAAGATAGACAAATGGCCAACAAGTACAAGCAAATGTGCTCAACCTTGTCAGTCATTACAGAAATGCAAATCAAAGCAATAATGAGATATCCCTTTACATCCACGATGATGGCTATAGTTGAAAACATGAAAAATAACAAACACTGGTAGGGATCTGGAGAAATTAGAGCCTTGCACATTGCAGGTGGGAATGTAAAATGGTGAAACTGCTGTGGAAGACACATTGGGGGGTTCCTCTAAAGTTAACCATAGAACTACCATAAGACCCGGCAATTTAACTCCTAGGTATATACCTCAAAAAATTCACAACAGGTATTGTAACAAATACTTGTGAGCAAATATTCAGAGCAGCACCCTTGACAACAGCCAAAAGATAGAAACAATCCAGTGTCTATTGAATAATGAATTAATAAGCAAACGTGGTATATATAGTGTTATACAATGGTATTATTCAGACATAAAATGAATGAAGTACTTACAGTTGTTTCAGCGTGGATGAACTTGTAAAACATTATGCTAAGTGGAAAAAGTCAGCCACAAAAGTTCACATATTTTGATTTCATATGTGAAATATCTAGGATAGGCCAATCCATAGAGAGAGAAAGCAGATTAGTGGCCAGGGTTTGGAATGTGGGTTGGGGGAGATAAAATATGAAGTGCCTTTTTAATGAAAATGGGGATTCCTTTTGAGATGATGAAATGTTTTAGGGCTAGATCGAGGTGATTGCTCACAACATTGTGAATGTATTGAACACTAGTGAATTGTACATCCATAAAAAAATGTGGTTTATCATAAGACAGTAATAACACCAACAGAAAGAGCAAGATTTCTATAGGCAGGGTCATATGTCATCTGAAATTAATATTGTTAGCTTAATTGTATCTCACACCGAAAATGTTCTGTTCTATCACTTATTGGTTTAAATTACTCTACGATAGAAGCTATGAAAATATGCCTTTCAGATATTCAACCGCAAAGAGTACTACTTACTGAGAACCCCAGCTTCTGAATTTTGACATCATCACTGTGTTCCCACCAATAGTCCACTTCCTATGGACTGCTCCCAGACAATGACTGAGCCTGGCAGGGATAAGACAGGCCCATTATAGAGGAATGGGGGACCTTTCTGAAAGGTGACTTTGGATCAACGACTTCCTTGGAACTGCAATGCCTTCTAAGGCTCTAACACCCATCTTCCTTCCTTCCCCCTCTCCTTTACAAGGCCAGATCTGCATGTGATCTAACAGCTCGCCTGGTCTTCCTTGAGTCCCTTCCCAATTTCCTTCACAGGTACTTCTCCTTATAAACCTCTTGCATGTTTAGTCTTGTTTTGGCATAAGCTTCACAGAGGATCTGGACTAACACATCTATTTACACTAAAATGAAAAGATGAATTACAGAGTGGTAATAAGTTTTTAAGATCCAACCCAAAAATTCAAAGGCAGTTTGTGCTGTTAGTCTCGTGGTTCACATTTAATGGTAGACCCCTGGAGTTGGAGATTTACTTTTCTCTACTTTGTTGGAAAAAACTTTATAGCGCAGCAATGGTCTAATCAGTAGGTTCTCATCGAATGCTCATAAAGCTATTCAGTAGTTCTTATAGCTGACTTGCTTTTAAAAAATACCTTCTACAAAATAGAGAATGTGTAAATTTCTTCTCTTTGATTTATTAACACTCTTTATTGTATCTTGTGCCAGTACACCAGCTGACTCAATAAAGCTTCAATGGAGATAATGTTAAATGCTAGACTCTGAGGTTGGCTACAGTTCTAGATGTCAATAAGCAAACAATCACTTAGCATGCCCTCTACGGGGAATAGTCTTGATTAATTTAAAAGATTAGATTAATTTCATTGAAGAGACAGATTTCCCCTGTAAACGGGACCAGTTTCAAAAACAAGGGTATCACTCTTTTACTTCTTTAATAATAGTAAATATTTATTCTTTATGACTTTAATAAATAGGAGTAACTCACCAATCATTATCAATTTAACCCCAAGGAGTAGCGTCTTCTTCAGGAATTTAGAGGTATTGTGTCTCTATCTGAATCTCATTTCTGGTTCTGTCATTAGCTGTCATCCTGGCAGAATTTCTCTTCTTTTTGTGGTGGGTGTTAGGGTATTTATCCAAAAACAATAAAGTAATTTCCACATTTAACAAATATGTCTTTGTTTTGCCAACTCTTTATAAATACAACATTCGATTAAAAATCATATAAACTTAGGCTATTACTGATATTTTTGTTTTCTTCTAATCTTTACTAGGCATTAACCAAGTGGTAGACAATGAAAGGATCCAGTACATTCCTTCTTAGTGCTTAATAATAATCAAATATAATGACCTTGAGGTACAAAGAAAGCCCTAATTTCTACACAAATTCTATGTGTTCTAATTTATACATATATATGCATAATGGATCACATATGCATATATATGTGTGTGTGTATTAGATTATAGAGCAATTGTGTAGAGATTAGGACTTTATATCTTTCAGATGTTAAAAGCAAAAATATACATTGAAACTAGTATATGTTTTAGACACTTGTGACTTTAAGACAACCAAGAGGTATTATTAAAATCTATCTACTCATTAAAATGTCAATATAACATTAATTAGTTACATAAATATTTTGTTGGAATGTGATATAGATTTGATTATTCATTTCAACCAGAAAATTATGAATTTCTAAATATTACTGCTAAATACAGTTATCTTGGAAGCTAAAATGTGGTCATCTACAGGGAAGTGATAAAGAAAGAAAAAAATTATTATTTTAAAAGTAGCATTGGCGCTATTAAAGCAGCTTTAAAAGATATGAAAAATCAAAGCAAATTGCTGAAGCTTTAGGGAGTTTCTACAATCCTGGATAAACAATGGATAGGGAAAAGAGAATGATTATATAGTCATAGACTGGAGCTATTTCATATGTTCATTTCTGGTATTTACGTTGTTAATATTTAGGGAGACAGTACTATAGAAAATGTTTTACTACATCTCTGTATTTTAATCTAATAAGTATATCTTAAGGGTTTGTTGTATTTTCAGGCATTTTCAAACCACTTTTAAGTTTTAAACATTTGCCCAGAACTGCGTATCCAATTTTGAAATAAAAGTCGTTAGGTAAATATAATTAGTTTAGTAGATATTTACCTTAAGGTTTACTTTCTGGGATATATTTCTTTCACTAGATTGGCTTGTTGGAAGGAATTGAAGTTAAAAAATCAGTGCTTACCTTTTTGTCACAGATTAGAGGGGAGTGGGAATTGGTTTAAAATGAGCTTGAAACTGGCCTATAAGGAGGAAAAAGGCTTTGACCTTGAACAGCAAAAGACCACAATTACTTTAGGACCTGGAACGTAAAAAAACCATGTAAATCCTCATTTCATATCACCTCACTGATTAGATTTGAAGTGACTATTAAGTCATATCAAGTCTCTCCAGCATAGGACAATGTAGAAAGCCAAAGCGAGTGCTATTTGTGCCACCAGTATAATGAAGCTGTGCTTTGCTCTTTAATTAGCAGAATACCTATGGCGCTGTCCTAGGGCCTAAGTGAAATTTTACATCGAAATCATTATGCTGAAGAGCAGCAAAGGTGTTTCACATGTTAATAGGGGGAAGTAGTATTAAGATTAAAAAGATTTAACCATGTTGCATTTTATTTCAGTAATTACTTAACCATTTTTAACGAAACCTGCCAACTTAGTATCTGTAATTATGGCATGTATTAAAACCAGCCAAGCTGTTAAGTGCACACTCAAATGTGTAGCTACTGCTCTAATACATCACTCAATCATTTTCCATTATACTATGCAACATTAGTCACCATTATTGCAGCGTGCAGCCCTGATAAACACTTAATGCTAAAGGAGAAAGTGTTGGGAATATTGCCTAATGTTCTTTATCTCTGCATTTACATTATGTTTCTCATGTGGTTCTCCTTGCTTCAATTCATCTGGTTTCATTTGTTAAATTTGCACAAATTCTTAACATAAAAGTATCCCCAAATGTGTATGTTGTAATTAGGTTGTAATTCTGAGCAGAGGTTCTAGTGACATTTAAGAGAAAACTGAGAGGCCTAGGGGATCCTGACAACCCAGGGGAATTTAGAAAGGGAATAGTAGAAATAATTGAGCAAATCAGGAGCTGATTATTTTATGCATGGCTACTTACAAAATACAAACTTCCTTACTTACTGTTGTCCTTTATTTCTCTCAATTCAGTCCTTACATCACACCTGTTAAATATCTAGTGCTTTAGTTTGCATCCATTTAAATAAACTTATTGATGGAAATTTGCTTTGTTCAAAATGTCTATCTGCAACTAGGATCATAGGACCTGTTGGCACTCAAGTCTGTCACCTCTTCATAGGTGCAGGTGTCTCACTCAGCCCTTTATCTGTATGTCCCATCACTTCAGACTGTGCTTCCCCTATCCTGAAATGTTTTAAGCATTTCCTGCCTTGGCCTTACTGATTTCAGATAGAGCAGCGTTTTCTGGTACTGTCCTGTTCTCTGGCATCCTCAGCAGAGCTGCAGCCAAGCCACCACTTCATAGCCAGTCAGTAAGCAGTGTTACCAAAGGGTCTTTCTGTTTCAAAATCAAAAGGAAAATCGAAGTTTTCAATATAACCTCACCACATTGCCTCTGAATGTTCATAGCAAATCAAGAACCCTGAATATAGCAAGACAGTGGTTTTAAAATATTGGCTTTCCCTTGAAGGGAGTTGCCTATTGAAGTTTCTATCCTACAGTGTGGGAAATAGAATCAGGATTTTCATCCTATAAATATGTTCTTATTGCAGATAAGACACTGAAGAAAAGAGACTTACCCAAAGCATTTAGGCTGGGTCTTGAAGGAGACTATAAAAGCTTCTCTTTCAATTCATTTATTTATCAGCCCGTGAGTCTCTGGGTTTAGGTCCATCCTGTGTTTTCAGTGCTGTTGTCTTCCAGAATTCCAAATGCGTTTCCCCTTCCTGTCTGCCATTCCAAATTCTATTCAGTTTTAACCCTGCTTCCTCCTACAGGATTATATTAATTAGGTTAGCCCACTTTAACTTTTCATTTTAGGATTTTGATAGCTCTTAGTGCCAGGAATGTAAAATTTAACTGTAAAAGAGTCATCTATACTTCTATTTTTATTTATTTACATTTATTTATTTATTTATTTAATTTTGAGGCAGAGTCTGGCTCTGTAGCTCTGTAGCTGGGACTATAGGCATGTACTACTACCACGCCCAGCTAATTTTTGTATTTTTGGTAGAGACGGGGTTTTACCATGTTGGCTAGGCTGGTCTCCAACTCCCAGCCTCAGGTGATACACCTGCCTCAGCCTCCCAAAGTGCTGGGATTACAGGTGTCAGCCACTGTGCTCAGCCAAGAGTCATCTGTACTTAATAATGATTGCCGTGCCATACAAATCAACTAGAGGTCTTATTAAAATATGGATTCTGACCTGGCACATCTGGTGTAGGGCTCAAGTTTCTGCAATTCTGACCAGCTCCCAAGTAAGTACAGTGCTGCTGATCCCTAGATCATTCTGTAACCTGCAACGTGCTAGTTCACTCATTCCTAAATACAGGTTGACTATCCCTAAATTTGAAATGCTCCAAAATCCAAAATCCTTTGAGCACCAACATGACCCTCAGAGGAAATGTTCATTGGAGCATTTCAGATTTGGGATTTTTAAATTAAGAATGCTCAATTGGTAAAAACTACTGCAAATATTTATTTTACCTGGAGCCCTTTGCAAAATGCTGATTCCTAGGCAGTTTACTTTTTCACATCTGATAAAACAGAATCTACATGGTAGAGGCCCAGGCATCTGTATTCTCCACAAAACATCAGATTATTCTAAGGCACAGCCACTAATTCTAGCCCACTGTCTTTATATTGCTGACAAAAAACTTAGTTCCACAGCATTTGCAATCTTAGGAGTTGACAGATAGGGAATCTACATTTTTCCCCCCATTTAAAAAACTTACTGGTATGAATTTACAGCTTAATTTTTAGCTTTTCTAGACATTTTTACCATCTGTAAAAGGGACATAGTATTACCTAACTCACAAGATTTCTATTAGAGTTGTCAAAGATAATACATGAAGATGTCTAGGCCACAGCAGATGCTGAATTTATTTTTGATAGGACATCATTTCCTAGTTGTATATATATGCATTCTCTTCTAAACTAGATTACAAGCAATTTGAGGGCAGGGATCAATGATATGCTCCCCTTTTTGATTTCACTTCTCCCTACCACAAGGCTGAGAACAGAGCAAATGCTTAATAGATGTGTAATAATGTGGATCAGAACAAACTTCTTCTTGTCTTTTTTTTCTTTTTTGAGACGAAATTTCGCTCTTGTCCAGGTTGGAGTGCAGTGGCACAATCTCGGCTCACTGCAACCTCTGCCTCCCAGGTTCAAGCGATTCTCCCGCCTCAGCCTTCCAAGTAGCTGGGATTACAGGCATGCACCACCGCGCCCAGCTAATTTTGTATTTTTAGTAGAGACGGGGTTTTGCCATGTTGGTCAGGCTGGTTTCGAACCCCTGACCTCAGGTGATCCACCCGCCTCAGCCTCCCAAAGTGGTGGCGCCAGCCACCGCACCCAGCCTTCTTGTCTTTTTAACATACAGTCTGTCTGCTCACGTTAGTTAGTGTTAGGTAGTTATGTTTACAGGACCCTGAACCAAAGGCCACTGAACTGAACTTAGAATTCCCGTGTCCTGAACAGCTCTTCCATGTCTACAGAAAGCTGACCTCACTTTGGATTATACCATACCTCATCAAAGATCAGAATGCTGGGTCAACTAGAAGGTCAATTTGAAATTCAGATAGATTATGGTTTGGGTTTCAAACTGAGAATGCAATTTTGCTTCGATTTTAATTCCCAAATCAACTTACCTTGTAACTAAGCTAACCACTGTAGATGACTCTGGAGTAGAAATAACTCAATCTAATAATTCCCCATCACATTAGTACTGTACTTATTTTTTTTAACTCCTCTCTTCACCACTAGACTACAAAAAGTACCTTAAAGTCAGAGTGTGTTTTTGCCTTTCTCTCCCCAGTGGCACCGCAATATAAGCTATATAGTAGATAGTAGTTTCATGGGCTAAGTCTATACCTTTATAGTTTTTCTGGGTAGGGAACAAGAGAAAATGAATGCTGGCCTGATGTTTATTAGGCTCCCATTCTGAAGTGTTTGCAATACTTTTAGAATACCTTCTAATTTTGTGGTTCCATCAATGCTTCTCAAAGTAATTCTTGCAATTTTCTGGGAAGGGATAGTGGTGGTAAGGAATAGTATGGAGATACAAATATAAAAATAGCCCAGAAGGTAGACTAATTAGAACTCCCAAGCAGTCACAATCCTGACATCATAAACTATTTCTGTACACCAGAGTGGAAGAAGAATAGAATATTTCATCTGTTTATTTCATGGTGCTTTCCCAGGACCTAGAGCAATGACTAGTGCGCAATAAATACGTATTAAGTATATGAGTGAAATAACAAATATTGCTAGTCATGCAAAATTGTTAGATTCCCAAGACACACCTGTGTAAGGGATGGTTCTTGCAAACTAGTTGCTCCTTGGTCAAAGTGATCTGACAACATAATTCATCAACATTCTGGTCACCTTGGTCTCTGTGTGTGGCTACAGTGTGTGTGTTTGTGTGTGTGTGTGTGTGTAATTGTTGAGATTTTACATATCTCAGGTATATGCTATAAAATTATCAGTAAAGCTAAAACCAGAGTAGTGTTTTTCCCTAGTGATTAAAGGGAATTGTATTATCTTTGAGAATGCTTGCCATATTTAAGTAGACCGAAAGGTTTTTGAAGAATAAGAGCCAGTGGGAATTTGTAAGCACATTCAATACATAAATGTATGAGGCCCATTAGGGAGGTTAGGAAGGCTTTCTGTAGATGGGTTGATGACAGATGGCTGAGAAAGTATCTTGGTTTAGGAATGTCTAGGATGGTTGTCAGCCTCATTAAGTAAAATTTTTCAAACTGCTCATTTCCTCCTGACTAAATCCCCATCTTGTTTTCTTATCTTGTACTAGCCATGTTGTCTTCAAAGGGAACAGTCTGTCCAAAATATGCCACATTACAATTTTTTCTAGTGTATTATTTCTGCTATAACAGGCTCATAGTATATTAAAGCAGTTGATTTCTTGCAATTCTTAATTCCAAGCATCTCATTTTACAGATATAGATACTGAGTCTAGAGAAGTTGGAAGCTGTCTGAGGTCACATGACTAGTTAGTGACAAAGCCAGAAATAGAACCCTGACTGTCAGGCCCCTACTTATGCCAGTACCTCATGCTCTGACAAAGAGCTGGGACACAAACATGTCCACTGGCAATCTGGTTCAACAGCGATGCTACATCTGCAAGAAGTTGATTTGGGTTCAATCATATATGTAGCTGTCAAAATCAAATACAGAAATAAAGCTTGGTCTGATTTTATATGAAGCAGCATTTTAAAGTCTGTATCATAGTACATTTTAATTACTCTATTTTTGTCCTAAATATAATACTAGGTTACTTGACATTTCTTAGAGAGTTTTACATAAGCCGAAGATAAAATGCATTTTAAACTGTAAAATATATTTGTATCTGACTTTAGGCAAGCAATTTTTCCTGAAAAAAAAATTAACTTTTTGCAATTAGGTGTTTTTTAACTGTCTTCTCAAGCATGTATCCCCACAAAAATATTACTGACCAAAGTTACCATTAAAAGTAGCTACTCTTGGGAGACCAAAGGAGGCAGATCACCTGAGGTCAGGAGTTCAAGACCAGCCTGGCTAAAATGGTGAAACCCCCGTCTCTACTAAAAATACAAAAAATTAGCTAGGTGTGGTGGCAGGTGCCCATAATCCCAGCTACTATGGAGGCTGAGGCAGGAGAATCTCTTGAACCTGGGAGGCAGAGGTTGCAGTGAGCCAAGATTGCGCCATTGCACTCCAGCCTGGGCAACAAGAGTGAAACTCCAGCTCAAAAAAAAAAAAAAAAATAGTAGCTACTCTTGATGAGATCTACCCTTGATTGTTTACAATTTGTCAAGCACTGTACAAAATTATTGGCAAATATTCTTTGATTATATATGCACAGTAATCTTATGGGACAAATGTTATCTTCATCTTACAGGGAGAATATTGAGATATAGTAAGTTTTTCAAAGTCACGAATTCAAACCTGGGTCTTCCTGAGTCTCTAAAGCTGTACACTTGATCACTCTGCTATACAGCTACCCTGCTCTCTAATTTTAAAATTTGGCTTGAGAAATGGAGTAAATGTTTTAATATTATATGTTTCATAGAGACAGAATAATTCTGATAGATAATTAACTATATTTAAGACAATACTATATATAATCTTCCCTAATCTCCAGACACCAGAGTGAGTTTGACATAATGGAATTTGTACACAACTTGACATCAAGGGACCAGGATGAGAATCTTATTTCAATAACCTACTAGTTAAGTGGTTTTGGTTAAGTTTAATCATTTATCTTTAGTATTTGCAACCATAAATTTGGAATAGTGATATTAGTTGCAGGATTATTGTGAGATTAAAGATAAGTAAATACTTGGCATAATGCTTTTCATATTGGGCAATCAATAAATAGTAGCTATTATCACCATCCTTCTCTCTATTGGTGTCTCCTGCAAGTTTTTTCAGCACAAAAGTTTTCAACAAAGGACACCATTTTCCTCCAAATTTCTGCTTTCTTTCTTTCTTTTTTTTTTTTTTGAGATGGAGTCTTGCTGTGTTGCCCAGGCTGGAGTGCAGTGGCACGATCTCAGCTCACTGCAACCTCCACCTCCCACTGTCAAGCGATTCTTCTGCCTCAGACTCCTGAGTAGCTGGGATTATAGGTGTGTGCCACCACGCCTGGCTAATTTTTGTATTTTTAATAGAGAAGGGGCTTCACCATGTTGCCCAGGCTGGTCTCGAACTCCTGATCTCAGGTGATCCGCCTGCCTCAGCCTCCCAAAGTGCTTGGATTACAGGCGTGAGCCACCACGCCTGGCCAATTGCTGCTTTCTTTGTCAAGATTTTTTTTCTGACAGTTTGGTGACAGATGTGTCAAATTTTATTTCAAATTTCACTAAGGAAGGAAACTTAAGAAGATTAATTTAAAAATCCTCTCTTGGTTGAGGCATTTTATTTGTTAGATAACCCTGATAACTGGATACAAAAAAAAAGAGAATTGCTGTTTAAATGCCATTACTCTTGACTGACAATTAGCTATATACGTAGGTAACAAGTTTCCCAGAAGGGATCTTAATCCATTAACGTCTAGCAGCAAATTGGTTGAGCATTTTTCTGGGTATGTTAATTTCTCTCTAGGAGGAGATTGGACATTCTATTATGAGAAAGTTCCCACCTTCTACCAGGATGGGGCCATGAGTCCTCATTTCCTTCTCCATTAATAGCATCTGGCTTTCCTATCCCAGTATATCTCCTTTTGTACTATTACAGTGGTCTAATAACTGGTCATTATATCATCAGAACCTGTTGTTCCAATTCATCTTCTATATGATAACCAAAATTATTTTTCTAAAATCTAAATCTAATCACACCACTCACTAAGTTAGAAAGTTCTCCATTGCTTAGAAATTGATGTGATTATTACACATTGCATGCCTGTATCAAAACACCTCATGCACCCCATAAATATATACACCTACTATGTACCCACAAACTTTTTTTAACTCTAAAGTCCTTAAACGTGCTTCCTCACAACTTGTTCCCATCCTCCTGCCCAGACTCTTTTTTTTTCTATTTTTTTTTTTTTTTTAATTTTTTTTGAGACAGTCTTGCTCTGTAGCCCAGGCTGGAGGGTGGCAGGGCGATTTCGGTTCACTGCAACCTCCGCTTACCCTGTTCAAGCGAGTTTCCTGTCTCAGCCTCCCGAGTAGCTTGGATTACAGGCATCTACCACCACACTCAGCTAATTTTTTGTATTTTTAGTAAAGACGGGTTTCACCATGTTGACCAGGATGGTCTTGAACTCTTGGCCTCAAGTGATCTGCCCGCCTCTGCCTCCCAAAGTGCTGGGATTATAGCGTGAGCCACCGAGACCCGAGACCGGCTCCAGATCCTATTTCATGAAATCTTTCTTCTATCTGCAGTAGCAAACTAACCCTTTACTGACTATTCTAAGGATTTGGCACACCAAGGTGCCTTTATTTATGCTTTCTTCCTTCTTGTGCTTTTTGGAAGATGTGATTCATTTTATTTTATTTTATTTTATTTTATTTTATTTTATTTTATTTTATTTATTTATGTATTTATGTATTTATTTATTTATTTATTTATTTATTTATTTATTTATTTATTTGAGACGGAGTCTCGCTCCGTTGCCCAGCCTGGAGTGCAGTGGCGCCATCTCGGCTCACTGCAAGCTCCGCCTCCCGGGTTCACGCCATTCTCCTGCCTCAGCCTCCCGAGTAGCTGGGACTACAAGCGCCCGCCACAATGCCCAGCTAATTTTTTGTATTTTTAGTAGAGACGAGGTTTCACCGTGTTAGCCAGGATGGTCTCGATCTCCTGACTTCGTGATCTGCCCGCCTTGGCCTCCCAAAGTGCTGAGATGACAGGCGTGAGCCACGTCGCCCGGCCGATGTGATTCATTTCTAAGGACCCTTATTAAGTGACACCAGTTACCTGAAGTACCTTTCCCAGTATCCCACTGGAATCGCTTTTATTCTCACCTGTTAAGTAATAAGAAGCTTTTTATTGTTTTATTTAACAAACACTGACATTGCACCTAGTATGTGACATATACTATGTTAAGCACTTTATTCACTAATTTGTATTTAGTATAAATATTAACTTACAATCCCATGAAGTAACTATGATTTTGTTTTTATTTTACAGGTTAAAAGCGTGAGGTACAGAGAAGTTAAGTTTTTACTCAAAGTCACATAGATATTAAATGCTGGTGCTAGGTTCAAACTTAGGAAATCTGGTTCTGAGTCCCTCCAGAGCCCATGTTTTTTATCACTATGCTAAAATCCCTCCTATAGACTATTACATATTGCATTATGGATATATTGCAATGCTTAAAACATTACAGTATTTTGGTGTTTACATATCTATCTCTCTACTAAGCTTCCTGAAAACAGAAACTGTTTAATTTCGTTTCCCAGATTGCTGGCTTAGCACCTGACATGAAATGGGTATTCAATAAATGCTTGTTGAATTGAATTGAGTTAAGATTAAAGCCAATTTGTTTGTCTTTCCTCTGCTGATAAATGGACTTGCATGGCAGTTGTTTGCCTTGAGGTTTGTTTCTATAAACTCAGTGGGAGAAAAGGTAAGAAGATAAAAGCAAGTTAGCTCAGCAAAAAAGAAAGACTAGTAAATGATCAGAAAACACCATTAAATACTATCACAGAAGTTCTTTTCAGGAATGAATATTTACTTTAGCCATCTAGTGGGGGAGATAGAAGTTTACACAATAATAGGGTGACTAGGAAGCCTTGTGTCAATAGTGCAATTTGTTTACTGAATAAATCAAAGAGTCGTATACACAATTTGTACACTTTGAACATTGTTAAATGAAGTTGACCTGTATTCTTTGGAAAGGGAAATGCTGCTTCTGATAGAAATCCTGATAGCTCAAGTAGAAAAAGCTGAACTAATTGAATCTTCAAAGGAAAAAAAAAATTACAAATCCCTTTAGAGGGAAAAATATAATAAAAGAGGATAAAACCAAAATAATCATTTAGGCTTTATCATTATGGATTATGAATATTCTCATGGAAGCATTTGGCACTAATGAGCTCTAATAGGACTATAGTATTACAAAGCTGTCGTCATGGCAATTAATAATACATATGATCTCCACT
This sequence comes from Homo sapiens, assembly GCF_000001405.40. NCBI lineage: Eukaryota > Metazoa > Chordata > Mammalia > Primates > Hominidae > Homo > Homo sapiens. The sequence continues at coordinate 34,354,304 of NC_000002.12, forward strand.
GAAATATCAAATAAATCTATGGTAAAATGTATATTGGACTTGAGTAAATGCCAAATGGGTGTAATGGTGAGAGGCATTGATGATGGAAAGATAGCACTGCCTTTTCTCTTATGTAATTCAGTATTCAGGTAAATAAACACACTTCATGTTATAAATGATTGGCTTCTAGTTCTTCCGTCAATGAGTAAGAATTCAATCATATAAAACTACTACAGCTTAATATTCAGTAAAGTAATAGACTCAAAATCAGAATTGTTGAGATGAAAGCACCTTCAAAGTAGGTTATGTTCAAATTCCCACCCAATATAGACGTTTTTTTGCTTCTACAATATTCCTTAAAAATAGTTATTCATTCTCACTAGTTCTACCCATCAGGAAATGTAATACTTTATACAATAATCCTTTCCATTTTTGTCCAGCTTTAGTTTTCAGAGGGGCCAATGAATAGAGCAATATTAATTTAGATCTCACTTGAAGTTCAGCGTTAAAATTCTTCTACACATTTTAAGAAATGAAAAAAGTTTGCAAATAAAATGCATATTTGCTACTCATAAGAAGACTTGCTGCAGTAATCTATAAAGAGGAATCTGTAAATATATTATTAACAACGATTTTTATAAAAAATGGATCAGATAATTTCATATGATTCTTATTCCTTTGGTTAGTCTTAATTAAAACTCTACCTACAACACTTTGTTGGTAATAGAGTTAATGTATTTCTGAAGAATAGAATCCTTTTTATGCAATCTTTAATTCAGCTGTTATTAATATTCATAATATTTGTCTCACTTTGAAAACACCTAGGCTTTGTAATACTTAAATTATTGGAGTGGAGTGCTTAAATTATTCTAAGCAGTGTCTCTCTCCCAAAATGCTTGGAACCTAGTTTTCTGTTTAGCTGGCTCTTTCTGAATGCTGAATGTAGAGGGAGATCCCTTTGTTATCTATGGATTTTGTACTATTACATGCATCATTGTAATACTATGGAACAAGAGTTCAGAACAATGAAATCATTGATGACATCCTAAAGACTTTACATTTAAAAAGCTGAAATAAAACTTACTTTCACTTCTTTGCATTATGATGGACTTAACAAACATTCATTTGGTGTCTGCTATGCACCAGACAGCACTCCTAATACCTCATACTCAACAACATGGGGTTGTTAATACCTCAAAAACTAGGGGTATATAAGTGTTGGAAGCAAAGAAAAAGAAAACAAAACTATGTAATATTCTCTGTAGTAAGCACTTAAAATGGACAAAACTAGTTGCTAAGTGTTTTAAATGCATCTTCTATTATTAAATACATCTCTTACTAGCATTTATTAAATCCTTACCATATGGCAGGTACCATAGTAAATGTTTATAGATATGCGTTTATTCCTCACAACAATCCTATAAAATAGATACAATTGTGGCTGTTGTTTTATCCATTTTATAGATGACAGAAGTGAGGCACAGAGAAGCTTGTGGCATTTTCAAGGATATACAGCACCTTGGTGGCACTGCCAGAAATACATGGCTACTCCATGAACTGTTACGAATACAAACTTCAAATGACCACTTTTTAATTAAATAATTGGAAACATCTACAGGAGAGTCTTCTATCTTTTTTGCTTTAAAGTACAGGCAGCAACAGTACAAAGTAAGAAAGCCATTTTCTAGGAAAGGTGAAAAATAAAACTAGAGGATTCGAAACGGAAATCAGGTTTGATGATAGAGATAATAAAATTTTCTGAAATTTTAGTGAGAACTTGAAAGAGAATATGTAAAGAGGAAAATGATTCAGTAACATCCCTTTAAGACATAAAGTCAGGATATAAATCTCATAATTAGGAGAAAAATGTAAATTGTTTTGTGGTAGATAGTGTGGCTTAAGTTCAGCTGGTTCAAGTTCAGCCCCATAATTAAAAAAAAATGACACAAAGCATGAGTCTTCGATGTCATTTCAATCATAATGCGAAGCAGTTCAATTCACAAACTGTGGTAGTCAGAAGCAGCATTAATTATCCCCTGGGTATCTTTGTCCTCATAGCATAGCACGGGAATATAAGGATTAAAGACAAGATGGGTCTGGTAATGAGGAAAATTCTCTCAAGTGAAGAGATCATTTTTGGGATAACTATTTGTTGGCTCTTGTGCCAGACAATTTAAACACTGCCAGGTCTAACTTTTAGAATACATTTACAGATAAGTCAACTGAGGCTGTGATTTCACAGTGACACAATAAAGTAGAATCAGGTTAAAATCCAGGAGGAATTCTTGTACACCTGCAGGGACACACACATTTCTCTAAAACCTTTCATTCTATTACTCAAGGCTTTTCCTGTTCTACCTCTGTTGGTGATTTATCTCTCTTTAAATACTTTTTCCTAAGTTAAACATACCCATGACTAGACTCAGTCCTCTAGGAAGGGTTTAATCTGGGCTATATAACAGGATAATAAAGCTCCTGTGAGATACTTCATTGTTTAATGGTACAAAGAAAATGAATGATGAGTATGAATTTGCCAACATTGAAGGGCATTCTGCCTATATGTGAATTAAATCTGACAGATCATCATATGCAAGAAATGCCCACACCACCTAAAAATGTGCTTATGTTCGAGAAATGAGATCTATGTTTAGCTGTCAAATAGAATTAGGTGAAGAGAGGATGCAGAACTGTCAAAAACTTGTAGGCTGACAGTGTTTATTCAATGCAGATTGTAAAACAAGACAATTATTACCAGAGAGGCTTTCTCTCTCTGTGGACCTGGATTGGTAGCACGCTATCACCAAAGCATCAACCTGCTTTGGTCATAGTTCAAAAAAATCACTGGCCATCATAAGAAACTTGAATTTCCTTCTAGATAAGGTCAAGAAAGAACAAAATTAGAATTTGTAACTTTAGAAATAGATTTAAGAAATGTTCAGAATAGAGGGGCCATTTGGTATACACATCAAAAACAATTCCTAATTACATTATACATTTAACAACAAATGATTGAGTAGAAGATAAATTTCACCAATGGGATGACCGAGAAGCCCTCTGCAGATTCATTTGACTGATTTAATATGGGGATATACTAAAAGCACAACGCATATTTACAAGGCTATTGTACAGCAAGCAAACTGTGAATTGTGTGAGTGGCCATTGACTCTTTGTGAGGCTTTAAGCCATTTTGATGGCAGAACTGTGGGCCTTTTAGGTTCCCGGGCAACATTAAATAAGCATGGATGCTAATATTGGCAAGGGCCCTAAACAGATCATGCAGGGTAAAACCTGGTGATGAAAATCTCAGCTCATAAGCCAGTCTAAGCAGATGTTCTATGATCAGTCTAATGTAACACTCGGAAGTTTTGGTGGCAGAGAATATGAGATTTGTATACAGCATTTGAGGCCTTGCTCTTCCACCTTTTATTCCCGTGAATTGTCTGAGCCTCAGTTTCCTCATCTGTAGATTAGGCATAAAGAACACTTACTTCCTAGGGTTTATAAGAGGATTAACTATTTTGTTTAGAAGGATAATCAACAAATGGCATAATTTTATGATTGTTAGCAACATGAACACTATGTGTGCCTACCCAGCTTTATGCTAGGTTTTGTGAAGTACAGCAAAACGTTTGAGCCATGTATTTTAAGGAGCTTGGTATCTGGGGAAGGTACAGACACAACAAATAAAAGACAGTTGATCTACTTAAAATATTGGTCATTGGTGATTGGAAGAATAGAAACTTAGATCTGCTTTATGTACATTTTGTTGTTGTTTGTTGAGATAGAGTCTTGCTGTGTTGCCCAGGCTGGAGTGCAATGGCACGATCTCAGCTCACTGCAACTTCTGCCTCCCAGGTTCAAGCGATTCTCTTGCCTCAGCCTCCTGAGTAGCTGGGATTACAGGCATACGCCACCATACCCAGCTAATTTTTGTATTTTTAGCAGAGGTGGGATTTCACCATGTTGGCCAGGCTGATCTTCAACTCCTGACCTCAGGTGATCTGCCCAGCTCGGCCTCCCAAAGTGCTGGGATTACAGGCGTGAGCCACAATGCCCGGCCCATCATGTACAGTTGATTAGATCTATTACCCAGTTTTCTGGCTACCTTTCCTTCTTTTCCCACTAACATACACAAAAATAACCTTGCCTGTAGTGAGCTGGATTTTCAGACGTAGTTGCATCAGTCATTTTACTATTTTGTAGAATTGCAAGGGAACTAAAAAATAATCTTTATCCTCAACTTATAGGCAGAATGATCCTTATCAAGGAGCTTGAGGATTGAGAGGAGACTATGATGTGTATATGCATGTATATGTCGACTATCATATATATGATGTATATATCTGTTTATACACATGAGTATATAATATCTGTATATATATAAGTGTGTGTGTATGCATGTGTGTATACATGAAGGTGAAGTACACTAATCATAATTTACAAGCTCGATAAATTCTCTCTCTCTCACACACACACACATACACGCACACACACACTTGTAAACAATACCCAGATTACAGTGTAGAGCATTTCATCTCTAGAAGAAAACTTCATGCCTAGTGAATAGCTCCTTTCCAAGAGTATTCCAAGGATATACCGACCTGATTTCTATCACCATGGATCCCTTTTGTCTGTTTCAAACTTCACACAAATAGAGTCATGCAGTATGCATTCTTTATTGCTTGGCTTATTTTAGTCATCATTTGTATGTTAGATTTACCCATGTTGTTGTGTATATCAGTAGTTCTTTTTATTGCTATGTAGTATTTTATTAAAATGCACTGTTTTAGTGGGTCTTTAGAAAAGAAAATTACATACTTGCAAAAATCAAATAGAATGTAGCTGGTTGTGGTTCTTCTTTCCTTAAAACTTTAGCCTGCCTTTCCTCTGATAGTATGATGTTGGGTCTATCAAATTTCCTCCTCCTTGGTTTTGGGTACATCTTCAACATCCTGAGGAAATTTCCACTTTTACGTATCTTACTATTGAAATTCCATAGTTCTTAGGGGGTTTTATCTGCTGACAAAATGTTGATTAGCACTGGCCGGGAGAGTTGATAGAGGAGGTTCAGTTCTCTGGAATATGTATTATTGCACTGTCGCTGCATTTTTAGCTCCTAGCCTCTTTTTGCGTAGTAGATGATTAGTAAATATTTGTTGAAGAGGGTTGACTTGCTTCCTTTTTGGCTCTACAAAATTACTCTAACTTGTGCTTACTCCTATTATAAACCTTGCACTTTTCTGGAAAATTGCTCAGAGCTTGTACATTTACCTGAAATGCCTTAATTTGTCCATTTCAATGCTTTCAGTCTTCAATGATATGATTGGACTGAGCAGTATTGTGAGCTTCCTAAAACATAAATCTGCACATAATGGCGCTCAAAAATAAGCTATTAACTATTTTGAAGGATAATCTGGAACAGCAGTGTAGGCGACTTAGCATTTTGAAAATTGTTTTGATGGTACTTTGCTCAGACCTTTAAAAAGACATGATGGATATTGGGGGCAGTAATTTTTAAGTGTCCTATTAAAAATATTTCCCTAAACATTAGAAATTTGGGGAAGCTAACAGTTACCAGACGCATATAACATGTCCAGCAATATATATTATCTCTGACATTCTCAATGGCTCTACAAAGTTTTCATTCTGCAGAAATATAGATGGAAACAGGAATAGAAATTGGAAAATTAGTGAAATTTTTATTATTAAAATGCAAATAAATATAGTTGATATTAATTATTTAAGAAATGAGAAAGTGAAATTAACTCAATTGATAATAATCCATACAATTTTAAATAATTGAGCAAGTGGTGAAAAAAATGGAACGCTATAATTTTTTAAAGTTGTGAGTGCCCATATTTCTACAGGCAATAGAGACTTTGATAGTCCATGACATAACATATATTGTCCAAATGTGAAAGAGGGACCTGGAGAGAATTGAGGCTTCTTACTTGTTTTCTTTCTATTTGTTCTCTTCTCAAATCACAGAGCTTTATTTGAAATGTTTCTAAAGACCCTTGGAGCACATTATTTTCCCTTTATTCAAAAAAAATCTTTGCTTTCTATAGCTTACTTTCTATTATTACCTTGCAACACATTCCACACTATTCTTTATAAAATCTCAACGGTATGGCAGTTTTCTCTTGATGATTACTTAGTTGGAGACCTGCATTATTTCTTCTGCTGTTCATTTTTTCAAGTAAACATTTGTCATGTTCTTTGCTTCTTTTTTTGCCAATGCCGTTTAGCTTCTTACAAATTCTAACTTTATGGTTATGTCTATCTGACTATGAGCAAATGGAATGGAAAAATCTTGGAGTATCAGTTCATCTGGGCTTATTTATGCATCGCTCAACATCTGTGTCTTTCTGAACCCCATCAACTGTAAGGCTAAATGGTAGATACTGGTGAATGAAACCAGAAAGTTTTAGCTAAATTTAACTCGTCAGTTTAATCTGGATTTGTTATGTTCAAGAATGTATATATTTGACTTTGGAAAAGCTTAGTGGAATTAAAAATAGACTGATTTGATCATATGACTAGTCAATACCCCAAATACGGAATCAGAAGGGCTGTTAGAAGCATCATCAGATGAATTTTTTACTATACTATTTCTTCTGTTTAACACTCACTTCCTTTCAATCCTCAGCTAAATTTCCAAGGTCAATAAAAAACAAAATCTGTAAGGGCTCCATTTGCCTGGTTGAAAAGAGTCCTAGCAGGACTCAGGACACCTCTGTTTCCTACGTGCTCCCCTGCAGTTAGATACTACACACAGGCCAGCTGACTATACACACAAGTGACAGAGTTCTCACCTGAGCTACCTTTCAGACAGAATGACTAACTGTCTTAATTCTATGAATTCATCTAGAAGCCATGAATTCTGGCCTCAAAAGTAGTAACAACAGGAATGATGACAATTTAATAGTAATCACTACCATCAATGTATTATTTTGAGCTTCAGGGTAGGAGGAGGAGACGGGTGATTGCCATTGATTTAGCTCCTCAATTCCCATTGAGAACTTTCCATGTGACCATCTGCCACCTCTGAATTCTAAATTATTACTGGGCTAATAATAATAATAATTTCCTCATCTGTTTTTAACCCATCTTGTATCTTCCTTATTTCCTGTCTCATAAATTATTAGGGCATTTCCCAGAGTTTCTTTGCTGCACAGTCATCATTATGAATAACCAGATGAGAATATCTTCTCTGGCCTAATTTTCAGAAATGCAGACTCTGGGTATGTGTTAGAAGAAAGGGAGCTTGGTGGCTGAATTCCTATCAAGTCCTTTCACATCCTTGGCTGAATGACATCTCCAGTTTTCTCTGGGCAAAGAAGTTAGTTTTTAGAATACTTGTTCACAGGCTTATTTGGGAAATAGGCATGAAGGATCTTCTGGTGCCTATAGTCAATAATAATTTAAAATGTTATATTTCACATATTTTGAGCAAAATATTGAATGCCAGTTTCACCTAATGGATTCATTTTCTTTTCAGAAGTTTAGACTTTTTGGAAGTAAACCTTATGAACATGAATAGAGGATTTTCCTGTCCCTATATTCCAGAGATTTGGTAATTTTAAGATTTCAAATGAACAGCTTTGAAATTACATGTTGTTTGTGCACTGAAAACAGCTGGGTATCATGTCCTCTAGCTCTAAGTTGCCTTTCATTAATAACCTATCGCATCTGACTAGGACTGCGGGAAATGAAAGTATAATTCTGGCTAAAGGAATTGGTAGAAATAAGTCATAAGCCCTAGAAAAATGTTGTAACTGTAAGTTTTATCTGTAGCGAAACTATATTAATAAAGTTACTAAAAGTAAAAAGTCATTTACAGCTTGCAGTTGAGGAAACTGTTTTTGTAGGAAAGCTCTTTCCTCAGAATGTTGAACTGGAAGATGGCTCGGTGGGTGATAGGACTTCAGGTGCTGGACAAATGCCAGGAGACTCACTCCGTTAAGGTGTAAGTGTGGAGCTCATGAACATTTGTATCCCATCAAGTAGAAAATTGCTATTCCACCTTGCCATATAAAGTTGGCCAAATGTCTTCCTACTGTTTTTCATTTGTTTAAACTTCTCTAATATGCAGCTAATTTTCTAATTATTATAATATGATACATTTAGCAATAATATTTTGTGAAACTGGCCTAAGTAATTCCTCTTGCAACTGGAGACTGGACAAAAGTTATGGGGGAAAAAAAACAGGAATATTAAAATGATTGTATTAGAGAAATGTTTTCCATACAGGTGTGGTGCATTCTGGATACTGACTCAGGGACTCTGGGCATCTTCCCAGAGACACCCCTAGATATAAAACTTGATGTAGCTTCTTGTAGTTCCTTTATTTCCAACTAGGGCATGGGACTCTTGGCAAGGCTCTGAAGTAGAAAGTACCCTTTATAGACAGATAAAGAAGTACAGACAATCTGATAGTGTAAAGGTGGTTGGGGCATTTGTCTTTTAGGGAAAATAATCCACATAAAACCACCTTTCTCATAGTTTTGTATGTTTAGGGAGAGCCCAATATTTTCAAAAAATGTTTGAAAGGCAGTAATTCCCCAGTGCAAGCCTACATTTTTATTTTTACCTATTATGTACCTAGTTAGCTTTCTGTAACTTCAAGAATTTGTCCTTATTTTCACCTAGCTAATGTGAAAATTTCATGCATTTATCACTTCACCTCATCACCACTGCAATTCTTTTGTTTTTTTCTTTCTGTTCAGTGATCTTTTGTTTTAGGAAAAAGGAGTTAGATTTACAGCCTTGGCAATCAAAGGTGTCTCTTTTAAATAACAGAATAAATATTGTATGGATAGTGAGAGTGTTTTTGTAACTGCAGGCAAGGACCTGTGTCTGCTCCTGTGGTCTCCTCAGCAGGCAGATTTCTGCTAGCACTTGCTGACATTTTCCATAGCAATAAGAGCAGCCAATAAAACAAGTGAAGACCATTGTGTGGCCGAATGGGATAAATGCATAATAAAAAAAGAAACCATAATTAATTCTTGTCTTTGGGATAATGGAATCAGAACCTTGGTGCAGAGACCTCCCTCTACCCCATGAATCATCAGTGTTAGACTTACAGTGCTTTGGGATGTTTTCAATATAATTTGGTTTTGTCGGACATTATATATATAAAATAGAAGATCTTGTTTACAGTACAATTTTAGATCATCTTGGAAGACATTATGTATAAAACAAAACTCTGCTTTAAACAGTAATGGTTAAATTATTAAGCAACGGAAGTGTAGAATTAGTAGTGCAGAAAGTAATGACTTGTGAAAATAAATATAATTTAAAAGCTATCGAAGCCCCCAAAACACTTTAAGCCTTGAGAGAGATGTGACTGTGATCTGAGTCACATATGGCTACAACTTCTATTTCTCAGATTATAGATTACTTCATTTTCTTATTTTCCTTGTTCTGTACAATGACTAAAGATAATTAAATGATGTCAGGGACAAAAACCTCCTGCCTTCTTAATTAACGACCCTTGCTATAGATTAACTTCCCCTTTGTTGTTCTGCTTTGCTTAAACCAGATGACAGAAAACCCATGGCTATTCCAGCCTCTGTAAAAAATGTTAAATGTACCCTTCCCCAAAAGAAACACTGCCTATAACCAATCAAACTGCTGTAACGATGAGCCAAGTTTGTATGAATACCTGGTAATCCTGCTAAAAACTCTATGTCTGCCTATAAATGTTAACTTCCCTGCTTGGGAATGCTGACTCCATTCTTTTAGAGTTGGTGTTTGCAGGTGGGCTTTCCTCAAACTTTGCACGTGCATAAACTCTCTTTAAATTGGATTCTGACTATTTTGATAAATTTAGGGTGACACACATCAAGGATTCAGAGTCAGAAAGTTAACATGGGGACAAGTAGACCAGAAAGCTTCATAGGAATAGATAGCGCTTGACCTTAACCTTGAACAATGAGTGGGCTTCTTGATAGATACAGAGGGGAAAATGATAGAAGCCCTGAAGGTACAGATAAGAAGGGGTTCAAATGAAAAGAGTTGGTTCTCAGGCAGTAACAAGATCACCAACACTTGCTAGAGCAAATGGAATCCAGCTGTGGAGACCTAATAGCTGAGGAAGTCGACCTCTGCTTTGTGGAGTGGATAATGGTTAAGTGGTAACTTTTGAAAGTATTTCTTTTTTTCTTTTTTTGGCTTCTCTGAACTGTGAGAGACAGGGTGATAATTTCCTTTTAAGTAAGTTAAGTAAGCAGAAGTGTTTAAGAATGTAAGACCTTGAAAGCCAATATTGGAGGGAATGAGTTGGCTGTGATGGTTTGCCTGAGGACACTTTGAAGGTAGAATTCATTTCATCTCAAACTTTTCACACTTGGAAATGTCATTTCTGTAAGATTGTGTTAAAGGATCTTGAAATCATTTAAAAAATAGAGACAATAAAAATCCCATCACTGTGCCAAATACTCTACTAGGTGCCTTACATAACGTTATAAGTTAGCTCTTTGCAGCAACTTTATGAGGTAGATGTTACTATGCTCATTTCACAGATAAAAAATTTTAGCTTCAAAGAAGTTATTTGGCTTGCTTGACATCCCAGAAATATGAGGTGGCAGCGCTAGGCTTAACTTCAGGGGACTCTGCCTTTGCATTCATGCTCTTGAGTTATGTGCCATGGAGAGTGGAAAACAATGGACGGTGATCTAGAAGCTTATATATTTTTTTCATGGAGGAGGATCCTTGCACACATGAAATTAAGCCAGACAAAGATCTGAGATAGTACATAACTTAGTGCTCTACTTCAAGGTCAGGCTACAAGTTATTGTCAGTAGCGAGATGAGGTTTCTACTTGTTTCTCCTTCAGTCAACAAGCACTGCTATAATTCCAATTGTGCATATGTGTAAAGTTTACAGGGCACTTTAAAAAATGTTTTAAAATAAACTTCACAAAAACTCATGAATAAGAGGTGGCGGATGTGCATTTTTTTCCACTTTCTTGGAAAGAAAAACTGAGATTCAAGAGGTGCTAAATGGCGGAGTTGGCAATCAAATCCAGTTTTTGTTACTAAGTCTAATGGCATGCTTAATTTCTACGAAGTGTCTGATTGCCAGCACTATGTAGCAATTTTGGCTATTGGAAAGATGACTGAATATGATCTGTTATCTTTGCATTGTATCTGTTCATTATATCTATTGCAGCTTCCAATTTGTTAAAAATTTTGTTTAAAATATTTCTCTCCTTAAAATAACTTCGTTTTTCTAACCCGGTAGGGTTCATATTTTCTAATTAGCTATTCTTGGGATGATCCTCGAGTTAACATTTCTAATTTCTTCTATTCTTTTGGTTCCTAGTTTTAAGATTTCTCTATAAATGCAAAACCATTACCCCTTATGTCAAACAGGATAGAACAATGTTGGCAATGCTGATGAATGAATATGAGAAGTAGGAACCTGGTGTCAGGGAAAGAATCTGTAGGTCCTGTTTCTTTTTGCACAAGTCTAGTTAAGGTTAGTTATTCATTGAATAATTATATTTCATTGAAAGGGCAGAAAAACAACACAGACAAAATCCTGGTTCCTTAAAATGTGCTGTTCTTTCCTTATGGGTAAGGTCCTCCTTTCAGAACTAAATGAGGTTACAAATTGAACTTGTATTTTAGCTTATTAAAGACTTGGTCTCACTTTTAGCACTCAGGACCCTTGGAAGCCTTTGAAAGCCTCCTGCTGCTTTTCCCACAACCTTTGCACCATGACAGCCCGGCCACACTTATCTCTGCCTTGTAGAGCTATGGGAGAAAGTCAGGGTCAAATCATTAGGCATTTGTTACACCAGAAATCAGCATCATTGTAGGAGGTGGGTGACAGCCCTTTTCTGGGAGGGAGAGAGAGAAGGGTATGCATTTTACATTCCCTCTAGTGTAATTTGAGACCACGCCTGCAGGGTCCCCTGCTGCTGCATTCTTCAATGTTTAATCCCTTGTCTGGGGAAAAGCCTACAGCAAAAGCCTCAAGCGTTCTCCTATCACATCATAAGCAGGGAGACTTAAGAATCCTGAGAGGTATTACTACTGGAAGAAAAACGGAAAATGCAGTACAATCGTCCTCAGCGTTAACTACGTTTAAATGCATTCAGCAGTCATACACTAATAATAAAATGAGGAGAAATTTCTTCAGTGAGAAACTATGTTCTGACTCTGTGATTCAATTAAAATGATTTAAAATGAAGTAGGAAAGATTTCCTGTGGCTGTGCGATATCACAGGGCTTCATGCAATTGAAAAGGAAAAATGCAAACACACTAAGAGTATCTGGAGAAAACACATGAGGAATGAATATCAAAGAAATCAACAGGAGAAATCACCTTCCCTAAGTATAATGTCAAGGAAACTCTATTGAAAAAAAAATATTCATAATATCTCCTTCCAGGGGAATATGCAGAAGCAAAGGCAAGCATTTTTAAGACTAGCAAAAACTACACTGGAATTTAAAGCGAAAATTAATAATCTAGCTGACAAAGACCTACGGAAGGTGTTTATATGTTCCATAGGGGAAATAAAATCAATGAAAGAATGAACATATTGCATTTATACATAACTCATGTTTTACGGCATTCTAGTCTCAACACTGTATTTTTGTTATTCCAAATGATTAAGGACCCACTGTAGCCCATTAAGTTTTTCGTGAGATGATGATATGGTAGAATGACAATGAATATTTTGCTGCTATTCATGTTGAGAGGCTTGGAGAGTATACTGGTTGCATGCTTCCAGAAAAGAACAATAAATACTCCTTGCAGGTTTTATGAATTTACTTTTTCTTTAAGGTGGCTTAAACATGTATTTTTAAAAGAATGGGGGTCAGACCTGGCTGATACTCAGCTGTAGGTCCAGTACAGCTGAACAGTTTGTTGATAGCCAGCATCCTTTCTCATTGGTCAGTGCCTAGAAAGAATCAGCTAAATATTTAGAATATAACTCTGAGACAGGGCATATAGTGAATTTATGCCTCCTTTATTTATAATGTGATATAATATGAATTATTACAGCATGTTTTGGTCACAGATCATAAGAGTAGCACATTCTAGCTTCACATGAAATATTGCTTACTTCAGATAGAAAAAAGATATTTGTTTTGAGCTTTACATCTTTTTCTTAAAGAAAAACATCTATTACTGAATATTGAATGAGAAAATAAATATAATATTTTCACTGCTTAGTTATGTTTAATTACTTAGATAATAAATATCTTTCCTTATCCTTAGAGTAAGTATACTGTCTTGTACAATGATATTAAGAACAATATTATTTTAATGTTTAAAATTGTAATTACATATATTCTTCTTTCATTTAAAAGTTTTCTGAAACAAACAAAAAAGACCCACTAAATCTTATAAAATTAAACTGTATTTGTGATTTATTTGTGCAGAAAACATACACAATAAAGTCAAAAATTAAACCTTCCCATGCATAATAATTGTCAAGAATCTGGTAGTATTAAAACATTGAATATTGGACATGAGCTTTGAATTGTTTCTCTAATAGTGATGATAGTTCTTTGCTTCTCATTTAACATGATTTGACTGAGTACCAAGGGAATACCAGATGCTATTGCAGGCAATGAGATTATAGAGGTGAGACCCATGGTCTCTTCTGGATTTTCAGATCTACATTGGGGTCTTTTTTGGGTTTACAAATCTATTCCTATCCTTTCATTACATGACTTTGATGTTTTTACATACTGTGACAGAGATCGATCAGCTCAGAAAGAGTATTCTATTACTGTACAATTGGATAGTAATAATCGTAATGACGTGGGCAAATACTTATTAAATGCTTATTAACATTTGGTTCTAAATGTTTAATTTTACTTAATATAAACAAAATACCTATGATAATGTTTTGTTGCTCTTCCCATTTTATAGAGAGGAAACTGAGAGAAGGTCCAAGTTCAAACAACTTGTAAGTGCCCGAACTGGTGTGCAGAATTCACTGTGACCTGGATATGCATTGATGTAAATTCTAACCTAATAATTCAACCAATCAGAGAACCTATGATATCAGGACTGTTGCATGCATGGATGTTGTCTCTACCCAAATAGATTGTCACCTCTTGAGGAATATTTCTTCTGAACTGTCTCAAGAGATTAACTCAGTCTTGGGTGACAGAGAACCCTCCTGTGTGCATGTTGGTCAAGCTGCAGGGCTCCCTCCCCTGTGGTTAGCTTATGGCCCTCTGGAGGCCTATTGAATCGGAGCTAGGTCTGGCTCTGCAAGGTTTCCTGCCCCTCAGCTAGTGTTTCCCAGAGGCATCAGGCCTTGCCTTTGGAGATGGTGCTCTCCTTTGAGAAGTTTTACTGATATTTTGCTGTTATAGTACTTTTCAGTATCTGCTTTTTCTGCATCCTGGCTCCCTACAATGTAAACCTTCTTATTCCCCTTCCTAGCAATTTCTTTTTCTCTTTCAGCTCTGTGCTCTTGGAAGGGTTTTCATGAGTGATTTGCTGCTATTTCTGAGATTCTCAAGTGCTTAGACTAACTAACTAACACACCCCTTTTGATCTCTTAGGGACTCCCCACATATGGTTTTGTGCTCCTCATCTTGGAGGCTGCGGGGCTGTCTCCTCTTTCAGCTAGTTATTCTTCCAGTTAGTTTCATCACATGGTATCTCCTCTCCTTTTGGAAGAAAGTGTTGTCTATTCGGGTTCCACCTTTGGTTCCACTTCATCTCCTGCCGCTCCTGCTACATAACAGCTGATTCTTCACTGGCCCTGTTGCTAGAGGTTGACGGGTTGAGGGCGCTGGCCACAACTGACTGCCCATACCCTGGGGTTTGGTGACATGTCATCTGTGGCTTTCTGCCCCTCTTTCTTGATCTCATCTGAAGAAAATTATTTTTATTTCTTTCCTAAAAATAGATTTCCTGTTCTCGCTTCATCAATGAAATTTCTTCCCTTTCCTCTCTGAAGGTATTAATGAGATCTTTTCCTTCTTTGTCTGCTGTTCTGCATATTCTCCTTTCCTTCAAATTATTTATTTTGTGTTCGATTTGCTCACTATTTATCACATTATAAACTTTTATCAGATAGTTGGAACCTGGCGAACCTAGGTTGTTTGCTCTGATTTACGAATGGGCATCATGAAAACAATGAAAGTCTTTTGAGTGTGTGTGAGTTTACCCATTCTGAGCTTTAAGACAGGGTAATTGCTGCCTGGCCTGCTTTCTTGAGGAGGCTGTGATGTCAGTAATTTTAGGTACCTGCCTAGAGCCAGTCACGTTTCTTGGAGAAAGACCCTCTCATCTCTTCTCTGAAGGAAGTAGACCTAGCTGCCTTACCTGAAAGCTGAGTGAAGAAATGGAGTTAGGATATTCATGTTTCTTATCACCCTGTTGATAGTGTGGTGTCCCTGACATCAACCTATCCCTGAATTCTGAAATCCTGTATGTTACCCTCTGCAGCAAATGAATGTCTAGTATTTTAACAAGGTAGAGGAGAGGGAACTAAGTCAGGGAGGAGATGTGATTACATCTTGAAAAGTCTCTCTGTTTTTCAGCCCCACCTTCATTTTTTATTGCAAATTTCCCTGGTGCCCCAATTCTTTGAAGGAATCAGCGGTGCAGTTCAGAGTGTGTCTCTGTTTTTCTGACTGCTAAGACAGTTTTGGGTTTTGTTTCTCAGCCTCTAATATTTTATTGCTCTTGTCTCTTGTCCCATTTTGTTGCCTTTGTGGGTTTACGGTGTTTGAGAACAATTTTTATTGTTGTTTTAATGGAATGGTTGAAGGGAAGCAAAAGTAAATTCATGCATTTGGTTCACCACCATTATGCAAAATGAGCTCAAAATTGGCACTGTGATAAATACCCAAGAATATAAAAAATGTGTACCTTTACAAATTATATATTTTTTTGCCATTTTGAGGACAAAGACTCCACATCTTTGAAACATTTATTATTCTACCTTCTGTATTATAATTGTCGCAAGATCTGGAACTTCTGTTATGTCTCAAGTTCCTCTGCAAAGAAATAATCTGTTTTCCTATAGGAAAGATGCTATCCCTTACTATATTACAAATCTAATTTATAGAAAAATGGCTGCCATAGGTTTTTTTAATCTTCTGAAAAATCACTACCTTATATCAACACTATAAAACTAAATCTCTAACAGTATTTTTCTAAACCACTAAATGAGGGGTATTAATTACAAATGCCTAAGATTAAGTTTTAATTATAACTAATGTGTTTCCACTTTGAAAAAGTTTGTTCACCCCCTTCCTTCTAACCAAAGTTCTCTTATTGGCTTTAGTTTACTAATTATTACAGAGAGACAACCTGTTATTTTTAAAAACAAATCTCATTATCTGATTATTTTAGCATGTATTTTTTAGGTATCTATGGTTGTAAAGCAAAGTACCCATAAACCAAGGGGCTGAAAGCAACCATTTTATGTTGCTTACAGTTTTATGTGTCAAGGAATTTGAATGGTCTTGGCTAGGTGGGTTGTCTCTGGTTCACATGACATCATCAGAGTTTCCCAAGACTTGAGGATTGCATTTCAAGATGAAATCTTCACTCATATGGCTGGCACTGCAGTGCTCCTTAGCTTCTCTCTCCACCTGGCATTTTATCTTCCAGGCCCTCTTCATGCGTCTTTGGCTCTTCCAGGCTAGCAGTCTCAGGGTAGTCAGACTTCTTACATTAACAGTTGATTTCCTCCAGAGCAAGGGTTCCATGAGCAAATGTTTCACGAGATAGAAAGTGGAAGCTGACCTGGGCCTGGCATCACACCGCTTGTGTTGTTTTCTGTTGGTCAGAGCAGTTACAGAACCTACCCATTCAAGAGGAGGTGGTATAGAGGCCTCCTCACAATGGGTGAAGTGACAGAGCATGTGCAGTCACCTCTAGCCTGATAATCACACACACACACACACACACACACACACACACACACACACACAGACAGCAAATATATAATATATACTGCCTGTAAAAATACATGACTAATTTCAGGACCTAAAGAAATACATGGCGGCCGAGCGCGGTGGCTCTCGCCTGTAATCACAGCACTTTGGGAGGCCAAGGCAGGCGGATCACCTGAGGTCAAGAGTTCGAGACCAGCCTGCCCAACATGGCAAAACCCCATCTCTACAAAAAATACAAAAAAATAGCTGGGCATGGGGGCAGGCGCCTGTAATCCCAGCTACTTGGGAGGCTGAAGCAGAAGAATCGCTTGAACTGGGAAGGCGGAGGTTGCCGTGAGCTGAGATCACGCCACTGCACTCCAGCCTGTACAAGTAGAGTGAAACTCCGTCTCCAAAAAAAAAAAAATACTTGGCATAATTTTTTGGAGATTATAGATATCTGCTTTATATGGGAGTACCTCAAACACCTTCTTCCCTTCCATTTCTGTCATCTGTTTATATCTTTTTGGTGGAATTTCTGCTAAACTTCTGCTATAGCTTTGACTGATATCTCTTGTGATTGCTGAGAACAAGTCTTCACAGAGAGAATTTTCTGAAGAGCCACCAAACTGCCTATTGGACAGTGCTGGGATTGCCGCCTCATTCCCCAGAGGATGTGGCTGTGTTTGAACCATTATCCACATGCAATTAAGATGGTAGAGCAGTATACAAAGTATCTCCGCCAAGGAAATGTCATCTTTCAAAGCAACAGCTGTAGCAGGAACCATAGCAACCGTCCCTTAATACCAGAAAAAATAACCTCATGGAAAAGACACAATCTTGACTGATCTAGCTGCTTGACCTTATACAAATAATTATATTTCCTATGCATTTAAATTTATAAAGTAGAACCAATCATTCTTCTATCAAGGGATTGTTGTGAGACTGAAATAACACTCACATTGAGTCACAATATCTGGAAAAGAACTGGATATGGGTTTTGGGCTATAATAATTAACATTATTATGTTTTGAGGAGCAATATAAAAATGTATTGGTATAACCAGCTACAGAGGTAATGTACCTTAGCATTCATTATACCTAACTCTATTGATATTTAATGTCAAAATATATTGGGTTCTACAGACTCCCTGAATCTGTGCCACCTACAAGTTCATTCAAGTATTAGTTAAAGTAAGGAGCACTGCCTTTAAGACACGACCAAAACTTCCCAGAGGATGAGCACAGTAGGTTGTCAGTACCTCTCCTCTGATAGTTTTTTATGTGGCAATTTGCTGAGACTCCATCTTAAATCCGTGAGCTTTGTCTGTCCAAAATTCAATAAATTCCACTTTTGCCTGGAGGATATGATGTAAGGAGTCTATCCCTTTCTTGACTTCCGCATGGATGACCAGTTCATTAGGACAGGGTCCTGTCGATATAGGTATCATCACCATTATTATTGTCATCATCATTTTACATATTCTAATCACACATTGATTTCAAAGAATGCAAAACATAAGGCTGCATCCCTGACCTTAGTCACGTACCATTTCGAGGGTGCCCTGTTGATAATAAAGGAGACTATATATATAAAGATGTGGTTTGGGGAGTGTAAGCCATCACTATTACTAGAAAACAACACAAACCAATGCAGCCAGTCTGAGGAAGCTCATGATATGACAGAGAGGCATAACTTGAGTGAATTTGTGGCATCCAGGAAGACTTGCCTCTCTCACCTGTGGCCTGGAGCTTGTGGTCCTGATACAATACGCTTACTAGTAATTACTTTCACAAGAAAGGGGCATTAGCTTCAGAGACCTGCAGATGTGGATTCCAATCTTCACTACATTACTTAATGGTTTTGTGTCTTAAGAAAAGATAGTTAACTACTTTGATACTTGGATTTTTCAGCTGTAAAATGTTTATCTTATAAAAAGTGTTGTGAAATTTAAATGTGATGATATATGTGAAACTCCTAACATTACTTGCACTTAATGTTTACATCAACAACAATTGATTCAGGAAAGCCAGACTTCCCCTTCCCTCCCTCCCTCCGTCCCTCCCTCCCTCCCTCCCTCCCTTCCTTCCTTCCTCTCTCTCTCCCTCCCTCCCTCCTCCCTCTCTCCTTCCCTCCCCGCCTTTCTTCCTTTTTCTTTTTCTTTCTTCCCTTCTTATTACCTCATCTGGATGCCTAGTCAGATTATTCTGAAGCAATTATCAGCTATTATATTACATCCTTGCATCTTGAAATATTTTAATATGTATACTTAAATTATTTTCAAACATAGCATTTGTACTATGATGATACCTAAATTATTAACAATAATTAGTAGAATTATTCTTTATCATCATCATCAAATATTCAGCCAATGTTCACATCTCCTCATCTGCCTTGTAATTATTTTTGCAATCTGTTTGCATTGGGATCAAGATAATGTCCATATATCGCTGATATGTCTTTCAAGGGTCTTTTTAAAAATAAACTTTTTATTTGAAAGTGATTCTAGGTATACAGAAGAGCTGCAAAGCTAGTACAGAGAGTTTTGGTATATCCTTGTGAAAGTTGCAGATGCCAGCATGAAATCACTTTTTGTCAGACCCAAACAAATTAGAGCCAGGAAAGCATGAAGAGGGAGAGCTCGTGCTTGCATATCTGAGATAAAGACTGTCTCAAGGACTTTCTAAAATAACCCGACAAAAAAAATTATTCCTTCTTTAGGACTGCAGCAATAAGATGCTGTAGATAAGATGCTCTTGGAAGAACATCTGCCCAGTAATGGCATCTCCACCAATGAACTGATGCTATCTCTGGCTTTGAGCCTCTGAAATCAATGAACTCTGTTTCCAAGTAGTTTATGTGAACTTCTCCTTGTGTCAACAAAAGCTTGTTTACCCTCCTTTTTCAGGTGCATATATGGCTTGCCATACCCATGGATCTGAGATTATAGTCCTCTTTTGTAATTCCCAAATAAACTCAACATACTTTCAGACATTTTTCTCTGATTTCTTTTTTTAGGTTGACATTCTTTACTCAGTTTTTGCTAATGTTAGCGTCTTACATAATCATGGTACTTCAACACTAAGAAATAACATTACTATAATACTGAAAACTAAACTACAGACTTTATTTGAATTTCACCAGTTTTTCCACTAATCCAGCGAGCATTCTAGGATTCTATATTATATTTAGGTTTAAGTCTCTTTTAAACTCTAATTTTCCTCTAGATCTTTTTTATTGCCATGTTTCATATGATAAGCCAGACATTTTTTAATACACACTTTTAAATGTGAATTGTAACTTTATACGTGCGCTATTTTTAACGTTTCTCTCTACCTTGAATTGGTATTATGTATAAATATTTATCAAATTTAGAATTTATGTATTTATTAGTTGGTATTAAACTGCTTAATGGACAGGGTTGTGTACTTTCATCATGAAATTCCTGAGTCTAGTTTTCTCTCCTTCTGATGTTAGTAGCAATTGATGATCATTGTTTAGATCCATTAACTCATTAGGGGCTACAGAATGGTGATATTCTATCATTCTTCATTGTATATAAACTATTTCAGAATAAGAAATTTTTCCTCTTCAACTGTAAAAGAAGAGAATTTTCCCCCTTTATTTAATAGTTTTCAAAGAAGTGCAGTCATTTCCTGACATCTTTCAGTCATTTATATTTATAATCTACTCTATTTTCATGGCCCTTTTTCAATACTGTTGGTTATAGTTGATAGATATAGATAGTCAGAGAATTTTTAGGTTTATAGAAACATTTGAACAGAAAGGGCAGAGTTTCCATGTACTTCTTCTCCCCACACACAGCTTCCCCTATTATTAACATCATGCACTAATGTAGGATATTTGTTACAATAGGAATCAGTACATTCCTATTAATTAAAGTCCACAGTTTAGATACAGTAGGGTTCACTCTTTGTGATGTGCAAGTCTGTGGATTTTGTGAATATATATCATGTGTCCATCATTACAGTATGACACATAATAGTTCCACTCCCCTAAAAATCCCCTATGTTACACCTATTTATTCCTTCCTTACTCCTAAGCTCTGAAAACCACTGATTTTTTTTTTCTTTTTGCTGTCTCTACACTTTTGCCTTTTCCAGAATGCCATATAGTTAGAGTCCTATAGCATATAGCCTTTCAGACTGGCTTATCTCTCTTAGCAATATGCATTTAAACTTCCTTCATGTCCTTCTGTGGCTTGGTAGCTCATTTCTTTTTATCACTGAAAAATATTCCATTGTCTGGATGTACTGTAGTTTGTTTATCCATTCATCTATTAAAGGACATATTGGTTGCTTCAAGTTTTGACAATTATGAGGAAAGCTGCTATAAACATTCATGTACAGGCTTTTCTGTGGATATAAATTTTCATTTTATTTGAGTAAATACCAAAGAATGCAATTGCTGGGTCAAATAATAAGACTATGTTTCACTTTATTTAAAAAAATGTCCAACTATCTTATGATGTAGTTATATTTTGCATTCTTGCCAGCAATGAATGAGAGTTCCTGTTGCTCCTTACACTTGGCAGCATTTAGAGTGTCAGTGTTTTGGATTTTGCTCATTTCTCGTAGGTGTACAGTGGTATCTCATTGGTTGTTTTTTTGGGTGGGGGAGGGGAACAGTCTGGCTCTGTCATCCAGGCTGGAGTGCAATGGTGCAATCTTGGTTCACTGCAACCTCTGCCTCTTACACTCAGGTGATTCTCCCACCTCAGCTTTCTGATTAGCTGGGACTACAGGCATGCGTTACCATGCCCGACTAATTTTTTTTTCTTTCTTTTTTTTTGGCGATGGAGTTTCGCTCTGTCACTCAGACTGGAGATCATTGGTGCGATCTCTGTTCACTGCAACCTCCGCCTCCTAGGTTCAAATGATTCTCCTGCCTCAGCCTCGTGAGTAGCTGGGATTACAGGCACCCACCATCATGCCTGGCTAAATTTTGTATTTTTGTAGAGACGGGGTTTCACCATATTGCCCAGGCTGGTCTTCAACTCCTGAGCTCAAGCGATCCGCTCACCATGGCCTCCTGAAGTGTAGGGATTACAGCCGTGAGCCATGGCACCTGGCCTATCTCATTGTTTTGATTGTAATTCTCTAATGACATATGATGTTGAGCATCTTTTGATATACTTATTTGACATTTATATGTCTTTTCTGGTGAGATGTCTGTTCAGATTTTTTTACTTATTTTCAGTTGGGTTGTTTGTTTTCTTATTGAAGTTTAAGAATTCTTTGCATATCTTAGATACACATCCTTTATCAGCTATATGTTTTGCCATTTTCTTTTAGTTTATGGATTATCTTCTCATTATCTTAGACCATTTTTTTCACAGAGCAGATGTTTTTAATTTCAATGAAATCCACTTACTGATTTTTTTCTATGGATTGTTCTTTTGGTGTTGTCATCAAGAAAGTAATTGCCAAACCCATGGTAACTTAAATTTTCTCCTATGTTATCTTCTAGAATTTTATAGTTTTGCATTTTACTTTTAGGTATATAACCCATTTTGAGTTATTAGTTGTGAAATGTGAAAAGTCAATGTTCAGACAAACTTTTTTGCATTTGGATGTCTAGTTGTTCCCCTAGCACTGTTATGGTCTCAATATATCTCCCCAGATTTGTGAGTTAAAGCTTAATAGCCAGTGTGACAGTATTAAGAGGTGGGGTCATTAAAACGTGATTAAGTCCTGAGGGCAGAGGCCTCATGGATTAGGACCCTTATAAACAGGCTTAAGAGAGTGGGTTTCCTCTCTTCTCCTTTTCTGCCATGGGAAAGCACAACATTTGTCAACTGTTTTGACCTTCCGCCCTTTCACCATGTGAGGATACCTAGAGGGTGCCATCTATGAGGACAGGGGCCTTCACCAGACACTGAATCTGTCAGCACCTTGATCTTGAACTTCCCAGCCTCCAAAACTGTAAGCCATACATTTCTATTGTTTATACACAAATTATGCAGTCTTAGATGTTTCATTATAGCAGCACGAATGAACTAAGAGAAGCACCATTTGTTACAAACACTATCCTTTCTCCATTAAATTGCTTTTGCTCCTTTGTCAGAGATACATCGACTATATTTTTGTGGGTATATTTCTAGACTCTCTATTCTGTTCCATTGATCTATTTGTCAATTTTGTAGACCAAAATACGAACATTAGAGAGTAGCATAGCCTGTCTGATTAAACACTATTTGGAGTATCTTAGTTATTTTCTGGGTGACAAATTTTGAGAAGAGTCTATCATGAAGTAGAGTATGTTCTTGCATTATTCTAATAATAATCACCCTGTTGTGAAGGTAGTGCTGAGACCTCAATACCATAGGAGTATAGATAACGGAAAAACTCAAAAGCTAGAAAAATGGAGGAACAGATGTGAACACATGATACAGAATGGAAAATATTGGCTGGGCACGGTGGCTCACGTCTGTAATCCCAACACTTTGGGAGGCCAACATGGGCGGATCACTTGAGATCAGGAATTCGAGACCAGCCTGGCCAACATGGTGAAACCCCATCTCTACTAAAAATACAAAAACTAGCTGGGCGTGATGGTGCACGCCTGTAATCTCAGCTACTCGGGAGACTGAGGCAGGAGAATCACTTGAACCTGGGAGGCGGAGGTTGCAGTGAGCCGAGATTGCACCACTGCATTCTAGCCTGAGTGAGAGAGCGAGACTCCATCTCAAAAAAAATATATATATATTAAATGGGTTATGTAAAAGAAAATTTAGACATATTATGTATTTTCACAGTAGTAACTAAGACTAATGGCTAAAACTTGAAAGGAAAACATATTTTTATTAAAGTTTTTTTTTTTTTTGCTAAAAATATACTTGAGGTCTGTGACTCCTTTTCAGTCACTGGATAGAATAAAGCAAATCCCTGGGGTATACTGTGGTAGAGTTGCTACATCAGATGGAATTTTAGGTTAAGAGACATCCGACCAGGTATGGTGGCTCATACCTGTAATCCCAGCACTTTTGGAGGCTGAGTCAGGCAGATTGCCTGAGGTCAGGAGTTGGAGACTAGCCTGGCTAACATGGTGAAACCCCCATCTTTACTAAAAATACAAAAAATAGTCAGGTGTGGTGGCACATGCTTGCAATCCCAGCTACTCGGGAGGCTGAGGCAGAAGAACTGCTTGAACCCAGGAGGCGGAGGTGGCACTGAGCCGAGATCGCACCACTGCACTCCAGCCTAGGTGACAGAGGGAGATTCCATCTCACAAAAAAAAAAAAAAAAAAAAGAAAAAGAAAGAAAAGAAAAAGAAAAAAAAAGGAGACATCCAAAGGTACATCACCACTTGAAGTCTATAATTCTCTTAGAGCTCATCTGAAGAAATAGATTCTGAACATAGGGTACTTGGTGGTGTATAGCCCTAAGTGAGGATTTTAAGCAGCGAGGGCAAGGTAGAAAGGACACAAAAGACTAGCTAGTCGAAGAGAAAGGGTTGGTATAAAGTGAAAAAAGTAGAAAATACAATTCCCTTACTACCACAAGTCTAAGTCTGCAAACACGTGCACTAAAATGGTCCATCATTAGCATGAATAGTAGATCCTTCATTCTTCTCAGACCTATTCTGAAAGACAGCTCATTTTTTGAAGCCTATTTTCTAGAAATAAGAATAGCTTTGAAAACACAAAGCGATTGGGTCAGAACATTCAGGACTGGGACTGACCTCAAGAAAGTAAATTTGTTGTGGACTTTCTGTGGGACAGGATAGCTTATAAGAACAGCTCACCTAGAATTTTATTCCAGTTTAAAGTCAATGTCAAAACAATGCACCATTCAGCACCAAAAGGCTCATACCAGAAGGAATTTTAGTTGCTATGACAGAAAGAGACATCCATAAGCCAGTCAATGAGATAATATGACAAGTTATAACCCTTCTATAAGAAAGCGTTTCTTTGGTTAAGGTCACTTATTAGCAAGGGGTGAATCTCTGGAAAGTAAATGGTTAGCAGGGTTTATTTTTCTTCTTTCATGTGAACTACCTAATAGGATTTTTTCAGCACAGTGAATAATAATTAGTTGGTGTTCTATTCTCTGGTATGAATAAATTGAAACTGAATACTTTTTCTGTTTAAGGGTAAAGCGAAGATGACAATAGCCTCGTTCTGCTAAAAAAAAAAAATCCTTCATCACAATTAGGAAGACAAAAGAAATCAGCTTTGCAGATCATTAGAATTAAATTTGATACCAATTACACTGTCAAAAATGAATATAATTGAATTCAAGTCAGCAAGCTTTGACTATATTATTTATACAAAGATACTTAAAACTCAGTTTAATCAATCTTATAAAGCCTGGGTGTAAATAACATAGTTAGAGTTGGCTGAAGAATTTCATCTGGAATGGAATCAAATTTTCCTTTGATATTCTGTGCAAATAGGTCATATTCAGTGCTGTGGCTTCCAGTTTTTTTCTTAAATGTTAAAACAGTCATTGTAAGAGACCTAACTGACACATTTTCAATTATCTTTACTTTTATGTTGTTATTTTAAATATGTGTAACCGATACTTAAGAAACACTCCAATTAGGGATATAAATCCTTAAACTTGACTTGTGTTGAAGGAGGCACACTAACCTTGGTAAACAGACTCTTGCCATGCTGTACCCTGTGCTTCATTGACATAAGGCCATAAACGCTCCTCCCTGTAAGCTGAACCCTCTACTCCATTCTTCCTATTTCTGTCCATCTGTGTAAAATACACATCCATCAGTAGAACACTTTCAACAGATAACTTTCCAAGACAGCAGAAGTTATTTTTATTGCCCCTTTCAAATGAAGTTTTACTAGAACAAATTTTCATATTCTGCCTCTAAACAAATGCTATTTCTCAAGCAACATGGTTGTACTTAGCTCATTTTAAATTCTGACCAACCTTCTGATTCTGACAGAGTTAGTCCAGTTGTCTGGCCATGTTATATGTGCTTATTAACTTGTTAAAGTAAAAGAAAGAAACACATTATTCAATGAATATACTTATGGGCCATTAATATAATGCCTACTCTTACTTCTAATGAGTGAGATAAATACAAATGAAGAAAAAAGACATTTTTTCTAACTTGCAGAAAATGCCACTCTCTACTAATATTATTACAAAGAATTAAATGGCACAAAATTCCAAATACATTTTTGTCATTAAACAAGCAAATATATGGCAACATAGCTTCACACATATTTTGTATCTGCCCAGATTATTATAATAGTAGTTTCTATTTTTTCCTATTTTATATCCAACCTTTTTTTCCTTTGGCAAATGAAAACTTGAACTGCAGGGTTATAAAATTATATTTGATTTTTTAATCAAAAAATCAAGTACATGAGGGAGTACATGAAGGAGATAAGAAAGGTCTTAGACTAATTAATGAAGGGGCTTGTTAAGCAAGCACTACTAATAAACAGCCTCCCATGTAGTTCTTGGAGGTGAGCTCTCCACCCCACCAAAGCCCTATCATCTAATGACTTCTCCATAGTTCACAAACTGCCTTCCCATTTGTAATGGAGAAAGGGCAGAAACTCTAAGGAAAACATAAGGGTTGCATAGAGATTTCATGTGTAAAGCCAGTGCCACTGGAGGCTGCAGTGATATGTTCAGGCTTCTGAAGCTGTGTCCATTCTCCCCTGGTGGTAAAATGATAAGAATACTTAGGTGAGAGCTAGCAAGGACATGGATGTGAGGCGCAGTGGCCTGTCTGTCCTGCATCCAGCATCACAGAGATGATTCCTACCAGGTGAGAGGAATAAGGAGTCAGAAGTGATGTAACACATCCAAGATAGTCTGTGATGTAGAATATGAAGATATATCAAATTTTAAGTTAAATGTTACCAGCGTAAAGGTCATAGATGGACACCTGGCAGGTAGAATTAAAAAGAGAACATCCAACCTAAAGAGCGAACATTTAGCATTTACTATGAAAACCTTCTGTCCTAAATTACTTCTTTGCCCTTTCTAGAATAAGTATCTTCCCTGAGAGAGCTGGTGCTTTTGAAGTAAAGTCCAAGGTTTCCATCCTTGTATGAACCACTTGGCTTCCGAGGAAAAAGGATAAAAGGACATAAGACAAAGAAACAAATTTCACAAGAGTAATGACAAAGGAAAAGATTTAGAATAACCTAAACTGTATACTATACTAGCACAGATCAAAAACATAGTGTTTCATAAGGCATAGGGATGCCCTTCTTGATTGGTATAATGAGAAGTGAGTCGTTTTTAGCATTCGAAAAATGAGTAGAGATTCCAAACAATAAATAGTTTTGAGATATAAATATAACAAAGTGGAAATCTTCCAAAGTGGATATTTTCTTAGGATATAAACAAACCTTCATTATAGGCTGAACCAAATTAATTATGCATTTCATGTAGTCACTTAATTCTTTCAAACATGTGCCTGACACAGTACTAGATACTAGAGATGCAAAAATAATCTACCTTGAAAAAGACAGGTGTCATTCACATATAATTAATTATAATTGCATCAAATGCTACCAGAAAAAGAATGATATGCATTGCTCTTTTGAAAATTCCTTGTTCTAGCCAAGAAAAGGAACTAAATTTGAAGCAAGAAAGAGGTAAAAGTAACTTCTTGCCAGGCTGACATTCCTATTCCGTTCAACTTTTCTATTTATTATGCCCTAGACTTAATCACTGAGACCTTCGATTCTCTCATTTAGGAATGTCTTTGCCTCCTTCAGGATTAGCTCGAATACTAGTTTCTTGTTGACACTTACTGGGATAGGCAGTAAGAACTAATCATTTCTTTTCTTTACCTCTGGTGTGTTATATCTTTTATAGTTCTTACCACATTTACTTGTTAACATTATTTTCCACTTGAGGATGGAGACTAATTGAAGGCAAGGCTGTTCAACCCTTCTGATGTCCAAGCATATTTGTAGTGTTCTATGAGGTAATGTTTTTTGTCCTCTTGTTTGTTCAATAGTAGGATAAATTATTTTATTTGTCAAATACTTTATAATTGACAGGATAAAAAAGTGGTGAATTAAGTATATGCCCACAGAAGGACTTTTTCACAAAACATTTTTCACTAATGTTTTGGTTATTTATGTTGCTTCAGGAGGCTGTTTTCATATGGGAAAGTGAGAATCCTATTTATTTAAATATCATAAAAATGTCCATCAATAATAGCAATTATTGATATCAATGAGCAGAATTTATTTGGAGCTTCTTTGAACATAAAAGTTTCTCAGACATACTTCATGAAGAAATCCTTCAAAGTTTCCCCAAAACTATGCAAAGATATATAATAAACCAAATATAATAAAGGATTAATCTTCATAGATCAAAATAAATGCCGAGCTAAAATAATTTTCTATTTTCATGATTCTGGAAGCAAAACCATGTATACCCACGGAAGTTTCTTTCTGCATTAGCATGATTTTACTATATTAGGAAAGTTTTGCTCAGGAATAAAAAAGTTAGAAATAATTATTATTAATTTTAGAAACTCCTATAAGCCCATTTAAATGAACATTAGACTGTCGAACTTTTCAATAGATAGCATGGAAAGACTGTTTGCTTGCAAAAACTCTGTCCTTAAAAGCTTGTCTTACTATGTCCATCAGTCCTAAACTATCATATGATGAACCTTACCGAAACCTAAACAAATACATTGCCTTAAACCATCATCAAAACCTCTTAAAAATCCTAATTTTATGGCCGGGCATGGTGGCTCACGCCTGTAATCCCAGCACTTTAGGAGGCCGAGGTGGGCGGATCACGGGGTCAGGAGATCAAGACCATCTTGGCTAACACGGTGAAACTCTGTCTCTACTAAAAATAGAAAAAATTAGCCAGGCATGGTGGTGGGCACCTGTAGTCCCAGCTACTTGGGAGGCTGAGGCAGAAGAATGGCATGAACCCGGGAGGTTGAGGTTGCAGTGAGCTGAGATGGCGCCACTTCACTCCAGCCTGGGCGACAGAGCGAGACTCCATAACAACAACAACAACAACAACAACAACAACAACAACAACAAAAATCCTAACTTTGTTGTTTGCTTCTGAAATTCTACCAAGATTACGTGAAGGTGGTGATATTCCTTACCACGATAAGCAATAAACTCAACTTTTTCTTATCAACAGGTAATTTTGGGAGCATGTTATCCATTTTTTATTGGATGACTAACAAGTCCTTTCTCATTAACCTGCTAGGGTTTTTACACATCAGTTGAACATATTGTTTCCCAGGTTAGGTATGAGTTCAATGAATTTCAGGGTTGGGGAAAAAATAGAAGTTTAAAAAGTGGCGCTTGGTATTTTTATAGAATGTATGAAGCTGGGTTGTCATAAACTGGATAGTGTTTGAAATTTCAAATAAAATATATTTAGGCTTTATTTAAACACAAGAATTGATACCAGATAATTTTCTTTGATTACTTAGTAATTTGGAGTTTATACCTGAATGCTTTTTTTCCACTCAGATAAAAAGGTTGCAGTCTGGTGCTCTGAAACCATAGAAGTAATGAGCTTCCATTCTTAAGTCATCCTAAGTCACTTTATGTAGTTGTCCTTTATGAATACTGGTGCTCTGTGATGTAACAATTATTCGCTTGGTTCTCTTACACAACTTCCCAGAACACTAATGTTTTGGCCATTTATGTAGCTTCAAGTAGCTGAAACAGTATTGGCTTTGGATACAGATGGACCTGAGTTTTACTCTTCATTTTGATTTGTACTACATTTGCTATCATTGAAAATTAAGTAATCTTTCTAAGCTTTCATTTCCTCAACTGCAAGATGAAGATAATACAACTGAATTCCTAGATTTGCCTTGAGGATGAAATGAAATGGGAAATATAAAGTACCTAGTACAGGACCTGGAGTGTAGGAGGCACTAAGTCATTGATAACTATTTTAATCTCTGTTATTTGCCATCTTATCCATGGGCTTCACTTTGATGAGCGCAGTATCTTCTGCTGAATGACTCTACTTTTTTGCTATGATGCGCCTACTCTTCTACTGTTTCTTTAACTGATATTCCTTTCTTCCAAATTATTCCATGTAAAAGGTACTCTTCCAGAGCCTACATTAAATTGTTTGGTGAGCATCAGCTTACTGCAGAGCTGTAAACCTTGGTTTAACCTGCTATCCAAATTGTGAGCGAAAGGCATTGCCTGAGTTAAAATTTTATTTAATGCTTTCCTGAATGTATTGAATCCCCTTATTTTAAACCATAACAATTCGAATGTAACATATAGTCCTAAGTATTTTAAAAATTATCAGTCTTTACTCTCATATGCAGTTCAAGCAATACAATTTAACAATTCTAAGACACTTTATGGCTCATAATAATTTTTTCCAACATCTTATTTCAGATGGTCTATAATGAAGAATTGACTTTTCTTTGTTCTCAAGCAAAGGACCTTTGGTAAGTTTCCAAAACATAAACTCATGTAAGTAAATGGGAACTTTAGAGGTATAATCAATCAGTGATTCAAAATATTCTTTTAGGGACACCTCTAATGGCTATTTTTTCCACATGTCTAAAGGCATTGTGCCTTCTTTGTATGTGAAAACAATTCTATCAATCTACCACAATCATAACAACATTTGTTGGCTTTCCAATAGTGACATTAGAATTACACATTCTAGAAGATACAAATTAGAAGGACTTTGAAGTTGATCTAGTCCAGATAACTTGTAAGCAGCTAGAGGTTCAAGGACTTGCTCAAGTTCACACTACCCATTAATAAGGATTCAGAGATTCATCTGTAGTACTCTGATTCTATAACTCCCAGGCCAGCATCATTTCTACTTTACTTCAGATTTGGTCTGATCTATTTTCTTTCTCACTGTCTCTGCTGAATTAATGACACAAATTTGTGAGATGGATGGCCAGAGCTATTGTCATTTTTCTAAAGAGATATCCATCTGCCCTCTTCAGTTCAACAGAATCCATGCAAACTTTTCTTTCAGTGTCTTCTTTATTTTTGTCAAGCCTGGGAAAATGAGAAAAAAATCTGAGTGTCAGGCATTGCATTGATTTCATTGGAAAGCCTTTTCATCATAAACAACAAATAGTTGTTGAACTCTCACTTTGTTTAGAGTATACTTTATCATTTTCATTTTTTCTCATTCTGCTGGGTGTCTCCCTCTCGATTTTTATGTCTTTTCTAGAGAATATCTTTTGTTTAAAATTATTCTCAGTTTTCCTGCCCCTCAAAAATAAGCCGTGTGTGAGTTTTATTTTATATGCAGGCATTTGCTTGTGGGGAAATGTAAACTTAACATACTGGTTATACTTCATATGGTTACCCCTTCATATAGGGTAACTTCATATGGTAGCCTCCTTCACGAGACAAGGTGATGAAACTGCCTTCTGCAAGACACATTTTTTTAAATTCAGTATCAGGCAAACATACCGTAGCTGTATTACTTTCCTATAAGTAAGTAATTTTGAAAAGAAAAATTTCACAAAGTTGCTGTGGCCATCATGAATATGGGACAAAAGAAGATGCAAAGAAAGACCAGTTCAGTGCTAAATTGCTGAGTCTGGGTGAGGAATAATGATGACTGGAAGAGTGTAGTAGTCTTGAAGATCATGATAAGTATAAGGATTTGGGAAAACACAGCCAAAGGATTTGCTGGTGAACTGGATATGGGGCTTGAGGGAAGAAAAGCAGAAACATAATGTCTACTCTTAAGTTGTTAACAAATTGTGCAATTTCAATGGAAGATATCAGGTTGGCCATTGGCTCTATGGCGTTGGAACTCCTGCGAAGAGGTGGGAATTGTGCAATATTGATGGTATGTTACCAAAGTCATTGGCTAGGTCACACAGAATTAGTGAAGAAATGGAGATGACAGAGCTAAGTACTGAGCAGAAGGAGGTAGACAAGATCCGTGAATAATAAAATTTAGAATGAGAATGTATTTTGGAGGGAGGAAATGGTCAGCTGTGCCAAATGGTGCTGTGAGATTGGTAAAGTGAGGGCAGAAGAATGCCCATTGGTCTTGGCAACTTGCTTCTCATTGATGATCTTGACAAGAAAAATTTTAGTGACATAATAAAGAGGGATGATCAATTGAGGTAAAAGTGAAGAGAAAATGGAAGTGGAAGAGAATGGTGTCAGCAGGAAGAAAATTAGCTCAAGAAGTTCGAAGAGGGGAAAAAATGAGGTTGTGGCTGATAAGGTAGTTACTGCTAAAGGAGTTAGTTTATTTTTATTTTTTACAAGTAAACCAATAAACAGAATTATACAATGTGACTCATTCCGAATTTTTGATTTGTAAAAAATTTGTAATTTTATTTTGTCTACTGCTAATCTTGGCTATTCATTAGGTGACACCAGCCAGCTAGAGGAGAAAAGTTAATTAAACATCCTTTTCAGGTTAAAGTCTAGTCCAATATGATGATTTAAATCATCCTACTGATAAAGATTTCTAGAATAAAAGAATAATCAGGTTCTTATGATGCCTACCCCAGCTTCTTTCTAATATAGTTTCTCTCTTTTGTGTATGGAAGGTGGGTGTTGCTTTCGCATCCCTATGGTGAAGAAAAAGACTCAGATCTTGTGTAGTTTCTTCTTTTCTGGTTGCTGGCCTTTTATTCTGGGTATTTAATGCTGAAGTCTGGGCTCTAACTCAAAGTCAGCTTACTCTTGCAGGATCAATTGTCCCTGGCTCTCTGAGCGTGGACTCTCCGAGTCCTTGTTAAGCCCGTCTCCTACCCTCTAGCCCAGTGCTGGAGACCAGCCAATGTGAAAAAGTCATGTTATGAGACAAGGTAGGCCCCACGGAATACCCATAGGCTATCAACATAACATCCATGCATCCCATGCACTGAGGGCACATCCAAATATTTGAACATCAAGAGCACTCTCTGGTAACCTGACCACATTGCAACCCCAAGTTGGTAAAATTAGGCCTTGGTTTGGTTTGCAAAGCCAGTGAGTCAGAATTGGTCTTCTTTCCTAAGTTATAAAGGCAGAGCCTCCAGTACTATTGGTGATACTTGCATTTATTTAATGCAATGTTTTTTATACTCCTCCAAAGCCAGAGAGAGAAATATGTACTCACATCTGGAATCATCCTTCCATCCTGAGTCAAAAACAACAACAACAACAATAACAACAACAACAAACATGCTTAGCATCTATTCCCCCTTTTTTATGGCTGCGTTTAAATTTTACATCTCTATGCTTTTTCTAAGTATGCAAAAGGAAAGGAATTTAACTCTTCACTTTATCCTCTAGGCTGAAGAATTCCTCAGACCAGTGTTAAGAAAGATTCATTATCTATATTGAACATATTGCCCTTCCTATACATTTTAATATGTTGGTGAAAACAATAATCAAGTAGAGGAAAAGAGACCAATGATGGAAAAAAGAATGATAATTCTAGGAGAGAAGAGCTTGAGTAGGGAAGAAAGGATGGAGTCTGCAATGCATATGGATGTGTTGATTATTGATAGGACCAGAGCCACTTTATCCATTTGAACAGCAGACAAATGGGAAACGTGGGTGAATATGCAGAAGGGTGGGAAATGTAATGGAAGAAATAGGGAAGCCTTCACATCTGATTCCATCCGTGTTTTCTGTGAGATATGAGACTACGTCATCACATGAAATTGAGAAGAGAGAGTGCCAGAGAATTTCACTCTAAAGAAAAGATGATAAATATTTTATAATTTTACCTCATTTCCTGTGTAAGACATTTCTCCCACTTGAAATGTTGGATATTTCTTAACTTTTTCACAACCTTGCCTGTTTTATGACTAATGTCAAAACCTCAATAATTTTTTAAATAAATGTTTAACTGTTCTAGTCATTAAAAAATACGAAACAAAGTAAGTTATAAATTTATACCTTTTATGTGTTAGCAAAAAAGTTATAATACTCAGTGATGGCAAGGTAACTTACTTGTAACTTACATTGCATTAATGCAACTGAAATAAGTGAAAGTGTTTTATTCATTCAGTTACTAATTTATTCATGAACTATTGACTATCTCTTATATGCCAGGCATTGTTTTAGGCACTAGGAATGTATCAGAGAATAAAACAGATGAATATCTCTGTCCTTGATGACCCTTCTTCCTAGTGGGAAGAGAAGATAGATATTAATATTGGTAATAAAATATCAAAAATAAAGACTAATGATTACCAGTTGAGGACTTGTTATATCCCAAATACATTAATTGAATTTTCCACTTATTATATCATTTGATGCTGAAAATAACTCTATTAGGAATATTAAGAAGGGAAGCTGTTAATTAGCAAACCATATAGACTAAGCTTAGTTAGTAGTAGTAAATTACAGAACATGCAGATCATAGAGCTACTGGTAAGTCAGGAACAGAAAACCAAATAGCAGTAGAAATGGCTAGAGTTGGAAGTGAGAGAAGCTTCTGACCTGCAGGCAGTACTCAGAAGTATTGAGTCCTGGCCTCTGTGCCAGGCACTTTCACAGGCATTGTACATACCCTGGGTTGTGTAATCCTCACAAAAGCCCTTTGAGGAGGTATTGTTATCCTCACGTCATGGATGAAAAGACTGGAGGTTATAAACCATGCAGGATCACACAGCACATGGCAGAATCTCTTTCTCTGCAGCTTGGCTCTTCTTTCTCACAGACTCAGAAAAAACGCAGCAGGGAGGCTATTTTTTGAGAAATAATATGTTAAAGTACATGAGAGGGGGAAAAAAAGCCTTCCTGGCATTGCCAAAGATGATAGCATGAATGAAAATAAAATTGGAGAACACATGGCTGCTGATGGAGCTTATAAAGACCATGAAACATATGTGGGAAGATGGAAGAAGACGGAAAGAAATAATAATGAATGAAAAGTAGGACAGTGGATTAGTTCAGCAAGTTTAAACACTGACCTCTGGGCCGGGCACGGTGGCTCACGCCTGTAATCCCAGCAGTTTGGGAGGCCGAGGCGGGCGGATTGCCTGAGCTCAGGAGTTCGAGACCAGCCTGAGCAACACGGTGAAACCGCATCTCTACGAAAATACAAAAAATTAGCCGGGCTTGGCTGCGTGCGCCTGGAGTCCCAGCTACTTGGGAGACCAAGCCGGAGAATCGCTTGAACCCGGGAGGCGGAGGTTGCAGTGAGCCAAGATCGTGCCACTCCACTCAAGCCTGGGCGACAGAGCGAGACTCCGTCTGAAACAACAACAACAACAAACCAAACAAAAACAACACTGACCTCTGTACGCTCAGGTTCCAGGCATCCACCACCCAATCTATTTAAAAAGTTATTGGCAGTCAAAACTAAAACTTGGCCGGGCGGAGTGGCTCACGCCTGTAATCCTAGCACTTTGGGAGGCCGAGGCGGGTGGATCACCTGAGCTCAGGAGTTTGAGACCAGCCTGGCGAACATGGAGAAACCCCGTCTCTATTAAAAATACAAAAATTAGTCGGGCGTGGTGGCACGGGCCTGTAATCCCAGTTACTCCAGAGGCTGAGGCAGGAGAATCGCTTGAACTTGAGAGGTGGAGGTTACAGTAAACCGAGATAGCGTCACTGCACTCCAGGCTGGGTGACAGAGCGAGAATCTGTCTCAAAAACAAAACAAAAAACCAAACAAACAAAAACACAATAAAACAACAACAGCAAAACAAAACAAAACAAAAAACCTAAAACTTGCCGTTGTAATACAGGTCTATAATGTCGGAGGAATTTAACTATATAGTAAATGAAAATTATTCATAATGTGTGGTCATTTTTCTCAGGCAATTGATTTTTGTTAAAATTCTCAGTTTCTGAATCTGGTCATGACATAGATTAAATCAAACTGCCTTAAATTGGAGAAATTCCATGCATACTTATTTTCAGGTAGGGAGGTGAGGACACCTGTATTCCTACCTATGGGGAGAAACAAATGTGTGTTACAGAATTACTGTTCCACTCAATTCCCCAATACTTCCATTTACTACCATCTCTCTTACCTGGGTTTCTCCCAGACCCTTAATAGTCTCTTAACAGGTGTGTCCTTGCCTTTCCTTTTCCTGCACCAATCTATTCTCATCTTACTAGTTAAAGTAATATTGCTAAAATACGAGATGATGTCACTCCTCTGCTTAAAATCTTGGAGTGTTGGGCCGGGCGAGACGGCTCACGCCTGTAATCCCAGCACTTCGGGAGACCGAGGCGGGCAGATCACCTGAGGTCGGGAGTTTGAGATCACTTGACCAACATGGAGAAACCCCGTCTCTACTAAAAATACAAAATTATCCGGGCATGTGGTGCATGCCTGTAATCGCAGCTACTCCGGAGGCTGAGGTACGAGAATCGCTTGAGCCTGGGAGGCGGAGGTTGCGGTGAGCTGAGAACGCGCCATTGTACTCCAGCCTGGGCAGCAAGAGCAAAACTCTGTCTCTAAATAAATAAATAGATAAATAAAATCTTGCAGTGTTGCCCCATTTCATTCAGATTCAAGGCCCACAAGACCTTACATATTTGTGTGTTTATAACTTTTATTATGTTCCATTCCTTTCTTCTGTGTATACCCCTTTCCAGCCATGCCATACTTATTCCCTTCCCATTTCTCTATCATGCCAGGTAGCCTCTCACATTAGAGCCTTTGTTCTAGGGGCTGGTTGTCTCTGCTTAGAAGACTCTCCCCCAGATATCTACATGACTAATACATGACTGTATGATATCTTCCTGCCTCCTGGGGTACCTTGTTCTGTTATCTGAACGTCACTTTTTCCATGAGGCCACTCCAGCTCCGTCTTACTTTGCTCTACTTCTTAGATACTCATAATATATCAGTTTATTATAATAACTGCACATTGTCTATTTTCTGCTGCAAGAGTACTGCTCTAGATAAAAGGAATCTTTGTTTCAGTAGGTGTATGTTAACTGCTAGGTACGTAGTAGACATTCAGTAAATATTTCATAAATGACTGGCTTTTATTTCAATAACTAGTGTTTCATTGCTGAATACAGTGACCTACATACAGCTGGTAATAAGTACAGGGACTGATTGATTTTCTAAACTTTGTAGGTGAATTCACATCTCCCTAATCTAATTTTCCTGGGAATTACAGTGACACAGACCTTTCCATTTGTCTCCTTCTTATGGACAGGCCTCTGTTCATTCTCCTCTAATATTTTGAATTTAGGCATATCATTAAGTTCTACTGAGTGAGGACACTGGGCTTGGACAGTAAATTTCTCTCTTTACTCCTTGCTTGTCCTAAACCAATGGTTGCCTGAGCACATTTACCACCTGTGTCAGTTCGTGGGGGAGAGGTGGAGAAGGGTAGGCCACCGTGTTTCAATTCCTTATCATTTCACTCACACATTTCTTACTTTATCTTTTATACACATATATACCTCAGTACACAAATACATACTATTTGTAATTATGAGAATCGTTGAGACTTGATCATAGCAGTTTTTTCATATCTATAAGCATGTGCAAACTATAAATTATCTTGGTGTATAGGTTTTGATAGGATATTGCTCTTATCCTCAATTTTTTACACGATTTCTCTTATGTTTCTTATGTAGTCTCTTTCTGGTCCTAATGAATAAACTGGCAATTTTTATTGGTATTTGTTCTTTCTGTCAAAGATAGAATATTCTATAATTTTTTTGAAATATAGGAAAATCCTTGCATGGAGTTATCAGGTCATTTCCCCATCAGTATGGATTTGGGATTAATGGAAAAATTTCCAATTAGATCTACCTTATCTTCATCCCCAGTGAAAGTAACTTTATGGTTGTGTATGCTTATCAGTGCAGTTATTTTGTAGTGTTCTAAAAACTCCCTAGTTAAGAGTAATCAGAAAAGCACTTCTGTTTATAGTAAAGTCAGAATGAGTAATTTGAACAAACCCACTTGCTAATTATAATTTAAATATATAGATGAACTAAAAAAAATCTTTCCAAGCATTAAATACCTACCAAGATAATGAAGAGTAATTGGACCAAGATGTAAGAGAAGGAAATCAGAAAGATGAGCCCAGAATTCAGACTGCTTTGCCTTAGGAGTATCTGCTAATCCAGAGGAGCTGCTGAGCAGGTCTTTGACAGAGCTTCAGCGCTTTTGGGACAAAAATTGAAGTCTACAGCTTGCCAAGGGTGAGCTCCCTGGATGAACTTCCGTAGCATAAATGCAGGAACCAAATCTACATGGGAGACTGAGCTAGAAGTCAAACAGTCTTAGAACACATTGCAGACCAGTGTAAGTCATTTTGGTGACCAAGACAAATTAGATTAAGGTGAACCTGGAAAGCTAGCATCTACAGACACCTGTGAAGCAAATGAAAATCATCTCCAGATGATAATAACATTATCTTGGACTCAAAATATTTCTACTACATGTTTCAAATACTGTATCTGGTACACAAGGATAATTAGGGCACAAGGAAAGAAGGCAGCATGAAAGAGAATCGTCACAAATGACAGACGGCAGACAAAGCCCCACAGGTGTGCCCATATAGTGAGAATATTGGGCTCAGATTAGGCAAAACACATTTACTACATTAATGGAAATAAGAACAAACTTTAAAATATTATCAAGGAATTGGAAACTAGATACCATGACATTCTGGTTTTAAAGAAAAGAATTGCCTAGGAAATGCTAAGACTGAAAAATACAAAAACCAAAATGGAGAGCTCAGGTGATGTGTTTGAAGACAGGGTAAACACAGATGAAAATGGAATTCATGAATAAAAAGAGAGGTGAAGAGAAACCATCAACAGTAAAGCTGAAGAGACAAAATATGGAAAGTACAAGATAGAGGGCAAGAGATCCAGAAGATATGGTGAAAAAGTGTAATATATATTTACTTGGAATCCCAGAAGAGAGAAAAGAAGACATAAAGCAGAAAAAAATATTTGAAGAGAAAATAATTCTCCAAAACGTTTGGAAGACACCAAGAAACAGTGTCACAAAGCCTCATTAATTTCAAATAAAACTGTGAAGACTAATTGGCAGGAAGAATAATAGGAATCAGTAAATTATGCTAAATTCAATTGAAGAGTATCTCATTAGGAATACTCTTAATTTTCTGGTACAATCTATGTAAACTATAGTAGAAAACAATCTTACTGGTTAGAGTTCCACTTAATAAAAAATGTGAAAAGATTTATAATTAACATATCAATTATTTGAAAGTATATCTAAAAATGATTGAGAATGGTTTGTTATCTAAATTGGTTATACTTTCTCCTTACATGATACATTTTCTTTGTGAATTCATTTTGTTTCAACAGACAAGGAAAGAAAAATAATTCCAGGTATGTGCAAATTCAGTCTGAGATTGAAAATTAATATATTTTCAGTTTATATATATATTTAGTGTAATGAGATGAAATCACAATTGTCCTATCAGATGGCAAGCTTTATATAAATCTGTTCATATAGAGTTTTAATAGGATATTAAATCAAGGAAAACTGAACTCCCCAATCTTGG
This sequence comes from Homo sapiens, assembly GCF_000001405.40. NCBI lineage: Eukaryota > Metazoa > Chordata > Mammalia > Primates > Hominidae > Homo > Homo sapiens. The sequence goes on from NC_000002.12 coordinate 34,393,576, forward strand.
CTTTTTGCCCCCCGCCCCTGCTGTGGGTTTTTTTTTAACAATTTTTTTTTTTTTGGTGGACATATGGACAGGTTGAATAATGTAGAAGAGCTTAGAAAAAAGCCTTCATACTTCTGTATATCTACTGTCTAAACTTTTAATTAAGAGTGACTGTGGTTGGCATTTATAGATACTGCCATATGTTGGTAGAGAGTATGTAAATGACAAGATTCCCCATATCCTAATTTACTACCTCTGACGTTGAGGTACTCTTTGTGATAAAATTCCAGTCTAAGGCTCAGATGAAGCTTCCAATTACAGAGTGCAATTGTCCTCCTTGAGGTATAGATGCTGGATGGTAACCTCGAAAATTTCCCACCAGAGGCTTAACTGAGAGTGAAGTGATGAAAGAAGGGAAAAGAAATCTTGGCTGATTTTCATGAAATAACCTCCTGCCTGGCACAAGCCCATACTGGGCTTCAGAGTTCATAGAGTCCTGGGGAATGAAACTGAATGAGTCTTCACAGCAGGGCTGGAGTGCCCAGGAGACAAACTGAAGAGTGTTCAGGGCAAAAGAAAGACAGGAGTCAGTGAAACTTGCTAAGGCATAACACTGATATTGGCATCTGTCAGTGACGATGGCCAAACCCCTTCCTCCCCTTCAAGTACAAAGGAAAGAATTTTTTGATGTACAGTATATAGCGAATGGATGTTAAAAATTATGTTTTCTTTTTTAACAACAATGTTTACTGAGAGGTGCTCATCTTATGCATGAAAATGCACACTTTCTGAAATGGGGAGCATGTATTGGAAAGAAATTAGGACAGAAAATGGAGAAAATAAGTGGAATAAAAATGGGGGAGGACAGAATATAAAAATAGCAAAATAAAAACAAAGGAAAAGTACACAGTGAATACCACATTAACATCTGATAATTTCGTTATGCTCCTTATGGAAAGTAGAATGGAGAATATTAAAGTGAAGAAAGTTGCATGCCTTCCTGCCTTCCTGCCTTCCCGCCTTCCCCCCTTCCCTCCTACCTTCCTCTTTCCTAAAAGATACCTTGTGAATTGAGCTGTCAAATGTCATATGATAGACATTCGGGGGAAAAAATGCCTTATTTTACCCCCTAGAAGACTTAGAGTTTGGCCTGTGTAAATTCCTGATACTCTTTCCAATCATTTGAACTTAAGAGTTTAGAGGCCTAGGGAGCTATGTGAAATCTCTCTCAACTGTTCTAAAGCTATTCAAAGTGAATTTTCTAATACACCTACAACGATTAAAAAAAATTCCTTAGGTATATCAGAATATAAGGGTCCTTACTTTTAGGTGGGCATCCTGCAATGTTCCAGGAGAGGAGTCTTGGTCATAGTGGGTTGAAATCTTTCAAGTGTACTAAATCACTAGAGCTTCCATTTGAGGTCCCACTAAACAGCTTTTTACCTACCATGAGGGCTTATTCTCACGTTGTGTCCTGCTCAGTTCTGATAGAAAACAATCAAAAACAACTAAGAACACCAAAAGAATGATCCAGAGCAGTCACAGTCATAAATTTCTGCTTGCATCAAATTTCTCCTGGTTAACAGTTTCCTGCTGAAACTGTTTCTGCAGAATAACTGCTTTCAGCTGCCTCATCCTGCCTTAATAGCAAGTAAGATTTGGGGCCTCTTGTTAGGGACAGAGCAAGGCACCTTGATTCATTAGACAGATAGATGATCTAAGAGATGTCAAAGGAGGGGGAGTCATTAGCTGCCCCCAAGGATCCCAGGAAACATTCCACTTCTTACTGATTGCCAATGTCTTCCCCAGAAGAAAGTGAAACTTCAACAGTAATAATTAGGACAACACATGGGGAACAAAGCAGTTATATTCAAGTAGGTGATAAATATTATTGAAATGATGGATTTTTATGGGACTCTTCATAATTTGACTCTACCTTCCCAACTTTCTTCCCCTGTGTTTGCCTGTGTATATGTTGTACATTGTGGCCAAACAGGAGAGCTCGGTGACCACACAGATTTGAGCCTTTGTTTACATTGTTTTCTCCCTGAATACTCTCCCCACCCATTCATACGGACTCATGGCAATCTCTATCTTTTGGAACCACTTTAAATGCAATCTCTTCCATGTAGCTTCTCTGATGTCTTTACATGAAGGCAGTATTTTTTTTTGTCTTGTTGGTAATATTTTAACCTCATCAGACTTCAAGTGCTCTATTCTGTGTTAATGTTACTTACAGAGATGATTAATTTCATTTCCCGGACCATAAGCATTTTTAAGAAAGAGTCCATGTCTGATTCAAGAGTCCCTGAAACTTTTACAAAGCTAGCACTCATTCTTTTCTTTATTGAGGTATAATTAATAGATACATTAATGCTTTTATTATTTTCTTCATTTCTTCAACAAATATTTTTTGAGCAATTAGTTTTTCTAGGTTCTAGTCTAAGCATTCATGCCATAATAAAGCTTTATTTCTGGTGGGGGAAGACATTCAATAAACAAATTAAAATAGTTCCAATATAGAGTACGTTACAAGTGATAGGTACCATGGAGAAAAGAGAAGAAAGAAAAGAGCAAACAGGGCAATGACTTGTTCAATTTTTAGTGAGGCGGTCAAGGAAGGCCAAGCTGATTCGGTTACATTTGAGCAGACACCTAAGGGAAAAGAGCAAGCCACGTGGCTAACCAGGGAAAGAGCATTGCAGGCAAAAGGGAGAAGTCATGCAAACGCCTTGAGGCATAAACTTGGCTGGAGAGTTTTAGCAATAGAGAGCCAGTGACCCTGGAGAGAACCAGCGAGGGGAAGAGTAGTTGAGGATGAAGTTCCAGAGGCAATGGGAACTCCACTGTGGCTTTGTTCATCATTAGAAGGACTTTAGGTTTTATTTGGAAAGAAATGGGAAACCACTGAAGGAATTTTTTTTTTTTTTTTTTTTTTTGAGACGGAGTCCCGCTCTGTCGCCCAGGCTGGAGTGTATCTCAGCTCACTGCAAGCTCCGCCTCCCGGGTTTACGCCATTCTCCTGCCTCAGCCTCCCAAATAGCTGGGACTACAGGCGCCTGCCACCATGCCCAGCTAATTTTTTTGTGTTTTTAGTAGACACAGGGTTTCACCATGTTAGCCAGGATGGTCTTGATCTCCTGACCTCGTGATCCCCCTGCCAAGGCCTCCCAAAGTGCTGGGATTACAGGCGTGAGCCACCGCGTCCGGCCTACCACTGAAGGATTTTTAAAATCCCACGGGAGTAGGATAATCTGACTTGTGTTAGAAGTTTGTGTTCACGTGGTTGGATTCTGTATATTCAGTAGCAGCAGAAGCCGCCTGCATTGCAGGAATAATAATCCATCCGCAGGCAAGGTCTCTGGTTGTGCAACTAACATTACTTGTTAGATAAAGCACAGTAAGGAACAATATATGCAGGCGTATCTGACTTTTAATTTCCTGTTACCAGGATCACTGTTCCTAAAACAAAATCATAGAGAGCTGAGCACGTGGGGTGTGAAGTATTGACCACTTCAATCTACTTGTTTTACCTTTGTGGCTGAGTTCACTGATTTTCTCAGGGTTTCTATTTAATGGAATTTGATTTTTTTAAAGGGCCATGACTGGGTTTTTAATGCATTTCCTGATGTCAACGATTCACCAAGGATTTTCTAATTATATTACATTCCTTTGAAATTGCACATTCATTTCACACGCCTACTCTGCAGAGGGACACACTCTAAACTTAACTTGTCTACCATACTGACAATATCTAATTAGAAGGAAACAAAAAAAAAATCCAGTTCTGCCTGCATTTTAATAAAAGTATTAGTATAAAGTATATAAAAGTATCATACTCTTATCAAATCTTCCTTGTCCATTAGCCTACAAGGAAATACGAATTACAATTTTATTGCTGCATATTTTTCTTTGCTAAATGCATTTGAATATAAATGAATTCATTGACTTTAAATTTCAGAAGTTGCATATAGGTAAATAGCAGTGGTGAAAATTAATAAAATAAAAAAGCCAACTAATTTCCATCCAGATGTCTTAGACTGTATTGCCCTGAGGAGACCTGGATTTAATTTGGGAGAAATAAAACTAGTCTAATTTCATATTACACTCAGAAAAATTACTTTAGGTATCTTATACCTTTTGGTTCCTATAATGACTTTGTAACTATGAATTCCTATCAGTGAGAATTTAAATAGTTCTAATTAACTAATCTCATTTTAATTGGAATAAGTTTTTTAGCAAGGTATTGGCAGTTTTAAAATAATCATTTTCAGATTAAGAGATAATGTTTTTTCAGATAAAAATAAAAATAACCCCAATATTGATAACCTGATGATAACCTAAATTATAATCATTGGTTACATGGAAAACTATAAATACAGAACTTAAGTGTGTTATCTCTAATTATTTATAACTTTTGGATCATCATGAAAATTATGAGTCATATGAAAGTTTCTTCTCAAAATCTACGATCATTTTTTGCTAAATTAACGAGTAAGAGTAATGCAGCATTGATGATAATAGTCATTGGATGTATTTTTTTGTCTCTGGCACTTAACATTCAGGTCCCTATTTGAGACAAAAAGCTGAGTCTCATGGATGACAAATAATGTGCTGTAGTTAACCTGGCTAGGAAGGGGAAGGGCCAGATTTCAGATCCATGTCTTCATTGCCCTAAGTCCTATCTCTTTACTTTGTACTGTATTTCTTCATCATAAAGATCAGCTTTTTAGGTTTTGATATTTCTAACAATGTTTCAGCTACAATCTTTTGTTCAAGTAAAAAATAATAGCAGTACACCTAAGATAATATATACATAGCTTCATATACTCCTGAAAATTCAACAAAATAGACATGATTCTAAGACTTCAAAAAGAGGATATTAAATGAAACAGCTATAAGAACACAGAGATGGAACTAGGATTTTTGCTTTCATAGGCTGAGGGTGCTTTGTGGTAGCTGATCTGTACAGATTCGGACTTTATCTGATAGAAAATATGTAGCAATAAATGTTAGTTTCTTTTCTCTTTCTATAAATCTTGTTCCCCAATGTATCAGTGACTTAAAAGAGACATGTACAACATGATTAAAAATTTGGATATATACATTCCTGGGGAGGGTGTCGTGTGTGTGTGTGTGTGTGTATTTATATAGTAATAAAATTCAATCTAAGATAATTGCCCTCTAAATATCAAATAGGTCCCAGGCATTTGTTTTTATAAGGGCTCTTGTATTTACATAATAAACTCTTAACCAACATTAAATTGATTATTTTCTTAACTTGCCCCAAACAATCACTGTTCATAAAATAGTGATGATATTTTATAAAATTCGTGATGTGTTAACACATAGAAGAGCAAACACATTTAACATTCTTTTACTTAAATCATGCATATACCAGCTAAAATATTTCTGTGTGCTCTCATAGGTACATATACAACCTTCTGAGATCTGTTGTCTTTGTTTTAATTCCTGGGATAAATGGCCTAATGAGCCCTTTTCATCTTTTTGTGCCAGGCCACCAAAGACACATGTCCCTGAATAGTCAAAGAAAGACTACTCTTGGGTAGACAGGTCGGTGTGGATCCTTGCTCAGTCCAATCAGTTGTGGTCAGGGATTGGAATCATGTAATCCAGAGGCAGCTCAGCAGGGAATGTAGATAAGGTGAGCAATGACAATAAAATTTAAATGTTAACATATAAATGTTCACATTCAAAACAACAACTTCTCAAATAAAAATTGCTAACATTTCAAATGAAAAACCGATGATGATTTTGTTAATCATAAGATCGCAATATAACATAGAACATGTAATGAAGGATACTGACCAACTCATAAGTGTCCCTAGCACAGTGACCAAAAGGGGAAGGTACTATAATTTATGGGGTATGTAAAATGGTTTTAAGAAATAATATGAGATTTGCCTTTAACTACTTAGGTTAACTATTCATCTAGAAGAAAGAAAATACCAGTGCTATGTTATTTCCCTGGGCAGAATTACAGGGGGTGGGTTTTGGAGCCATGTGAGAAACATCTTTAAATCAAAAATGCCCCAAAATGGAAAGCCGTAGCTGTCGTCAGGTCAAATGCCTCCCTTTCAAAGCAGCACAGGCGTTTTTATATCCAGAGAGAAATTGAGCTTGATGATCTGTGAATTCTCATCTTTTAAGAGTCTAAGAAATTAGTTAAGTGTAGTTAAAATTTTACACTTAAATTAATATATCAAATTAGATCATACTAGGCATTTACTGGAACAAATCTCTGAAAATTTCATAATACTGTGTTCAAAAGCTCTTAATGATTTCAAAAAAATCTCCAATTTTCAGTCATAGCTTTTTCTGAAGGTCTCAGGTTGGAAAGAAACACTCGACATCCAATTTCTCTTCTAAAGAGATTTTTATTCTCAAAACTAAGCATTCTGAGCTCCAAGCAATTCATCAGACTAGTGAGGACTTTCTTGGGATGATAAATTTAAACTGTTAACCTTTGGAAATGTGATTCTGAACAGAAGGAAAATGTCCAACATACAGGCTGCTCTCTTAATATTTGGCTAAAACATTGCCTGATATGAGCAAGAGTATATACACTTTAAAAATCTACTTTGAAATACTGTGTGGATGTTCTTTGTACTCAGTGAGGCGTAATACATAACATTCTGCTTCAAGCTATGGAGTAGTGTTGGTAAAATCAAGAATACAGTGTTGAAGTGAATGGGTGAACATGTGGTAAACAATGTCTGATCAGTAACCTCCCTCTAGCCCCAGACAATAGTTGATGATAGATCTTAAGGTATACCCATTCCTGACTTGCTGTTTTCAGATTATTCATGATATGTAGTGTGTCCTGGTTTCTCCTAGTTTATTCGAGAGAGCTTAGGGAGCACATTTTTGGAAAGTGTTGAACGTAGTCACTGCTACTCTCAAAAATCTCTAGAGCAGTATCCGAGTAGGAACAGAGGCCTGTATATTCTATTACAAATCGTATGATTCTGCTCATGTGATAGCTGGGTCACAGTGCCAGAATGGACTCTCTTATTTTCCTGAAATATATTTTAAAGATAATTTATTTAAAACAAATTTAAAGCCAAATGTGGGTTAAAATATAGGGAGAAATCTATGTAGGAAACAATATCTTTATGCTCTTGTTAAAGTTGATTCCCAATAAAGTTTTCCTCCCATCATAAATCCCAGATGAAGGAGAATATGCTTTCTTTCCCAGGTGAATATGGTTCTACCAGTTGTAAAAGATAATGCAGCAAAACATGTACTACTATGTCTTTAGGGTCGGCCAATCAAGATTATTAAATAAACTGTGCTCATTTTCTCTGATGTTGTCATGTTCATGGGGATAAGATAGTAATTAGAAGTTTGCTCAGTACGCTAGGAGAAGCATGGGAAAATCACCTGTAAATGACCCTATGCTTTCAACTCAGGACCTGACTAGATTGCTGAGTGTAGAGCATTTATAATTTGGAGAATCATTCTTTGTAAAATCAGACTGGTATATATAATTTTTGATCCAGCACGCCCATGGGACAAAAGGAGCCTCTGGATACGAAGCTAACCCCAGGAAAAAAAATACTTTTATACATACACCTTTGGGGATGACAAGAAGCTAAGATTTTCTCCAACAAGGCAATGACACTTTTAGTGAAGCAACTATCTTGGATATACCCTTGATGCTGCAAATATCTTGTCTTAAATTTTCTCTCTGGATCTGAAGCTTGATGATCCTAATCCGCTGAGGAGTTGAGTTTTGCTTTACCCAGACAAGTTTTCATGACTCATTGCACTCTATTTGAGGTTATAATGACCGCAGCCTTTCTAATTCTGTCCAGGCCTATATAATGGCCATAGTTCATTCTGAGTCACCATCTCTCTCATATGTGTCTTTGCTGGACTGAGTTGCCATTCAACTATTTCTGTTTTTCCACCCCGAACACCACCAAATACAACTTAGATGGATTTAGTCACTGAGGACTCCACGGCATCTGTAAGGTTCATCTTTCCATGTGGTCCCAAACTCGGTGAACTCTGCCCACTATGCAGCAAATTGACATGAGCAAGAAGACAAACAGAAAAAGACATGAAAATATTGTTCACTACACTTATACACTCATTTTTAAGAAGCTGTCGCTATTGACAATTCAAATTTGAATTGAAGTTAGACTATCATAAGCTAATTATAATTGGCTAGAATGCTAGATAATCATATAGTCATTGATTATAAATACACCAGACAAAGGTGCAGGAATGCCTAGTGGAATGACGAAAACAACTATGAAGAAGATAACACCAGGCAGGACAATGTCAGGGGCAGCCACTGGGACCAAACAAGAAGAATTGAACAAGTAGAGCACCAGATATTGAGGAGTCAATGGGGTAAGCAGTAATCTGTCAGTTAGGTGTAACTGGACAGGTCAAAACAAGAAGTGATCTCCAAAATACCAGATGTAAACAGTAAAACCAGATAATTCAAAGTCATCCCAGCGTCATGAACAACTCTGGAAAACAGTTCCCCAGAAAAAAAAAAAAAAAAAAGATTAATTTAAATTTTGCTAATAATCACATGGTCAGTCCTGCTCCCAGACAGAATTCTAATGGTTAAATTGATATTGCTCTTCACTACTATAGACTAAACATTCTTCACTTCTTATATATCATATAGTCCCTTCACAGTCCCTTAGGCCACTTGACTTTCAGCAACCCCAAACTTAATACCCTTTGTTCATCAGCCTACACTAGCAGAACTCACTTGGTCTGATCAAATTAGTTCATACCCGTTCATTGATGCCAATTTGGAGTATTGTTCTCAACGCTGTTTGTCAGTGCATCCTGTTGGTGAAGCTCTTTTGATTTTAAATTAAACGCTAATTTCTAGCATACCACTTAATGTCCTTTAATCTTCCTTTTAGATAAGATTATGCTTTGTCAAAAATCAGTGGTATTTAGTTAAGACAAATGGAAGCAGTATTTTTCCAGTTATAGGAATCAAATGTAGACTTAGCATCTGCCTACCAAGCTCTGCCAAATAATGTAGTCAGTGCTTAAAGAAATTCTACTTTTGACACCAGTACTGAGACTGTGTCGACAGTTCTTTAATGAAAATTTCTGGAACCAATCAATGACTTTTCCCTGTAACGCATCCTCTTCAGGTAAATGCTAAGATTAATGGGTTATGTTTAGACAGTTGAAGTGTTAAAAGAATTGTTTCTGTTATGCTGATAATTTTTCCTGTGCCAGATATATGAAGCATACTATCCAGACAATAAAAATTGAGGATGTCTCAAATTAAGCAAAAGCTCATTACGTTCACTTCTCAATTAATAAGACATAATAACTTAATAGTACTTAACTTTGTGCCCCTCACTTCTCCTTCATATTCCAGCTGCCAGAATTTGACTGTTCATTTCTAGCCATCTGACATTTCATTAGCACTGTCACCAAAAAGGTGAGAAGGGAATAAAAACGAGGCATAAATTCAATCAATCAGTTTTACAGCTACATAGCGGCGATGGTGACTACTTTGGTGGAGGAGGAGTTCTACAGGAATGGCAAAAATTGAATTTTTAGAGTATTGACAGACCTTACTGTCTACATGTAATGTTCTATTGTCTAGTATTCTCAGCAACTTGGCAGATTGCACAGCAATTTAGGTAGACGTGTATTAACTTAGTAGCACCACCCATTTATCCATGTGACATACCTTATTATCTAAGTAACATTTTCTTGGCCGCTACTAACATGAAATATTCATACTGTTTGCTTTTTGAAAATCTAGCAATTTTACTGTTTGCTATTTTATTATTTTACTTAGTAGTAAAATTAGCTGATTCATTCTGTAATTTGTACAAATCCACCTGGTCATTAGAAGGTTGTAGTTGTTTGAATGTTTTGTTGATTGTGATAAATGACAGAATAGTGGTATGCTGATCATCAAAAACCATAAAAATAAATACTTGCAAATTAATAATCACAAACAGACCTCAGGAAAAATTTCCTCTTTCCTTTTGCATTACACCTCTGCTGTGGACAGAAAGCTTTATGAGATGCAACTTCAGTTTTAGATTGTTTGGGTTCTAAAATAATAGTTCTTAATATTACCACAAATTATAATTATTAGGTTGGTGCAAAAGTAATTGCGGTTTTTGGCATCACTTTCAATGGCAAAAACCGCAATTACTTTTGCACCAATATAATACTCAAAAATTGGTGACATAAATATTTCTATAACTTATTTTAACATAATTACAGAATGAGGGGGAAAAAGTACATTTTATTTTTATTTAGTAATTTTAGCCAGATAAAATGTATTCTTTTATAATGTGAATTTACTTAGTAAATATCTACTATAGATTTTATTAATGAGGATAATAAGTTTTAGACAGTAGTTTTTAGCGAACTATAATTTAAATCTGAGTTGTTCTTGGACTTTTAAAATGTGCAATAATAAATTAAACATCTCACGCAAATATGAACATTTGAATGTGCAAGCATTTCCAGGACTGTTTATATCATTTGTTGAAACTGCTTGTTGAGGACAAGAGAAATTCCAAAATTTTATTGTCCCTAATTCTATTTTGATTTGGTCATCGTCTCACCGTTCATCCATTAAGAGAGAGGCTTTCATAAAGTTACGAATAGTGATAAAGTACACATTTAAAAGAAATAAATTTATTATGTATTTATTTTGATAATATCCACTATATTAAAATCGTGTATTTTCTCAACAAAAAATGTTTCAAAAAACAAAGTCAATTATAAGAGTTTTAATATGCTTTACCCAAATTAAATTTTTTTTTATAAAAGCAGATAAACTCTCTGGCTGTCACCATAATCAACAGTTTCTTACTTGCATATTTTGTGTGAATGTAAAATACATCTGTCATATATGATAAACAATGGATAAAACTTATCTTTTTTAAACTATTAACAAACTATTTTGTTTGCAAAAAAAACCCCTAATTTTTAAAACATATTTTAAAAATGAGGGTAGATACCTGGGCAACTGGCCACCTGGGAAATCTACTTCTCTTATGTTGGAAAAGAAATTAAGTTGAATATCTACCAGTTTTTCTTCACTAAAAGCACTAAAGTGTTAATATGTAGAGTATGTTTTTCACATAGAGTTTACTAGTAATTGCAGTAATAAGTTGGTGTGCAAAAGTAATTGTGGTTTTTGCCATTACTTTTAAATTGCACAATTCTTCTGCACTAACCTAATGATAACCTTTAATTTAGTAGTTAAATAATTTGCCAAAAGTTCAAGACAGCACATTGTACAACTTTTGATACCTCGTTTTCTGCCAACAATAATTCTCAATTTATTTCTTAGAGTAGGAGGTATACCATCAGTACAATTAATGCATGTATGTTTTACATGTAAATGTATAATGATATTTAATGCATCAATTTCTTTCCTGGGTAGCTCCAATTACTTATACAGCAAGAAGTCTGTCATTTCTTTCTTTACCACACAAACACTGCTGACTGACTTCGGCCTCAGTGTTAATTGATTCATTGACTAAATAAGTCCTCTGTAAGACTAGCTTTGAAGGCTTCTGTTAACGTGTTGCAAGATATTGTGACTCATTTTAAAGATTTTAAAAAATAAAACATGCAAGCTATATTGTATGTCGATATAATTATTATTCTCATATTTAGGCAAATCAACTTGAATTTCTCTGTATCTATGTATTAGCATAGTTATTTTGGGAATTGTCTATGCCATTGGCAATTTGGTGAGAGTCGTGCTTTAAACCAGAGTTTGGCAGACTTTTTCTGTAAAGAGCTAAGCAGTATATACTAGGCATGTGGCCACTGTTTGGTTTCTCTTAATTACTCAGCTCTGTTATTGCAGTGTTAAAACAAATGACAAGGTCAGGCACAGTGGCTCACGCCTGTAATCCCAGCACTTTGAGAGGCCAAGGCGGGCGGCTCACAAGGTCAGGAGACCGGGACCATCATGGCTAATACGGTGAAACCTCGTCTCTACTAAAAATATAAAAAATTAGCCGGGCGCAGTGGCGGGCGCCTGTAGTCCCAGCTACTCGGGAGGCTGAGACAGGAGAATGGCGTGAACCCGGGAGGCGGAGCTTGCAGTGAGCCGAGATCGCGCCACTGCACTCCAGCCTGGGTGACGGAGCGAGACTCTGTCTCAAAAAAAAAAAAAGAAGACAAATTGTAAGCAAATGCATGTGTCTATGTTGCAGTAAAACTTTATCTACAAAGATGGTGGGTCAGATTAAGCCTGCAGGTAGTAGTTGCCTGCTTTCAACAGTTCTACATTAGACACTAGACGTATCTGGCATAGGTATTAGCCTCTATTTGGAACTAAATTATATGTCATAGCATTCCTAGTGTTAAGACAGCATTTTAAAACTCAATTGATTTGTAGAATAATAGGAATGCTTGATAGTAGAGGAATGATATAATTTCTAAGATGAGCATGGTTTGGAAATGTATGAGGCTAAAAGAAAGTCTGTAATTACTCGGAACTCCTTAGAGGGAACTGTTCAAGTATAACCTGTTGGTTATTATTAGTGGTTATTATTTTTGCAAAGAAGGGCATGGTTTCCAAAAGAAATATCAGTTTGTTGTACAATTTGGAATTAGAGTATATCGTTAATCTATTCATTTTAAAATTTGAGGACTTGACAATCTGTACTGGTAGTCAAAATCATACTCAATGGAACATAGGTGAAACTAGAGTGATTTTTTGTTGTTGTTGTTCTTTTCTGGTCTAACATGCAATGTTCTATGCAAATGAACACATCAAGGTTCTTATTAAATTTGATGGAACTTTGAAAGCGTGTGTGGGGAGAGCTACTCTATTTCTGGGGGCTCAGTAATTGCCTCTACATAGCATAATTATTATGATGCTTTTTAGGGTCTTAATTTTTTTCATTCTAGGTGGGTTTGGAACATCCATCTATATTTAACAATAGTTTAGGCCAGGCATGGTGGCCCACGCCTGTAATCCCAGCACTTTGGCAGGCCAACACGGGTGGATCATGAGGTCAAGAGACAGAGACCATCCTGGCCAACATGGCAAAACCCCATCTCTACTAAAAATACAAAAAAGAGCCCAGCGTGGTGGCACACGCCTGTAGTCCCAGCTACTTGGGAGGTTGAGGCAGGAGAATCTCTTGAATCTGAGAGGCGGAGGTTGTAGTGAACCGAGATCGCGCCACTGCGCTCCAGCCTGGTGACAGAGAGAGACTGCGTCTCAAACACCAAACAAACAAACAAACAAAACCCAAAGTTTAATTTTTAATTTTTCTGGTTGTTCATGTGGCTCCCAACATTTATTTTTGTTGTACGTTTAGTTCCTTGACTACTTTGGATGATTTTTTATTTTCACTTTGTATTTACAAATTTTAAAACACATGAAAGTTGAGAAAATATACCCCTAGCAATCATATTCAACAACGAATAATTCCCTTATAATCTTTTCTTACAATTTCATATATTTCTCTATTTTAGCTTTGGAGGAGCTAGAGAATTTTAAAGCTTGTCTTTGAAAAGTGCATCATGTGTTTCACCAATAAATACTTAATTATGATCTCCAACTGATACAGACATTTTAAAATAACCATCTTGCCACTATCGTATATCATAGTATTAAAATTTCCTGGAGCTGGGGAGGCAGAAGCTTCAGTTAGCGAGATAGCACCACTGCGCTTCAGCTTCGGTGACAGAGTGAGACTCATAAAAAATATTTTTAATTCTTTAATATTATGTAATATACAGTCCACAAATACATTTGCAAGATTGCTTTAAAAAGCATTTTATGGTGATTTGTTTAAGTCAGGATACAAACAATGTTTTACTATGACCCTATTCATTTATAGACTACTTGTTCTTGAAAAGAGCAGGGAGTTAGAAATAGATTGAACACCCTCTTCAAAGTCCTTCCCTAGACATGGCAATCCACTTACTGAAAACACGTACACAAAAACCTACATGGAGGAATTGCACATCTTTGTTGAAAAACAGAAATAAGGACTTTAAGATCAGGAACAAATAATTAAAATCTTAACAATTTATATGCTGACAAGTCATTGTTGCCTTCTCACCTCCAAAAGTATAAGCCCCAAAGCCTTTACTTAATCCAGGCCTCCAGATCTGTCCTGAGCTAAGATTCCAGGTTTATTTCTTTCTTCCCATGTTATCCTCTAGAAATTCTGCATTTCTTCAGACAGGACTCAGTCCACGCGTTCCCTCTATTTCTGTTGCTCTTCATCTCCCTCATTCATTGTTCTTTATGAATGAAAGTAAAAGGCACAGAACTTGAAACTACAGTTATGCCTCCCTGATTATAATTTCTCTTAAAATTCAAGAAGTCATGAGCCTACTGTGGTGTACTCTTACAGCATCTACACGAATTTCCTATGTCGTGTCCAAAAATTTTAAGTATTTTTAAAAATATTAAGGTAAAAAGAAGAAATAGATCATAATAGAATAGAGAATAAATCAGAAAGGCAGTGGTTCTGCAGTGAAGCTCATGGGAAAGATAAAGGAGAATGGAGAAAAGTAAACTCTGAGCCTAAAATTTTACAGCATCTCTGAAGAAAAGAGAAATAGCAAAAATATGTAAAAGGGATTGGTGATGGCCAAAGATACAGGAAGATGGGGGTCTAGAAATTAACAAATCCTGAGGCGTAAGTACAGTGACAGACACGTGGGTGGGAGGAATGAGTCATCTACCACAAAGAAAAACATTGTTAGTTACAATGTATAAGTATTCATGATAACTACTGGGAGGCAAACGATTGCAAATTGTCCTTTGAGCAAAGGATGGTGAATGACAATGGTGGGAGTGCCCATTAGTACAAATTTGAATGAGTGTAATTTCTCATTGCTTTTTTGAGTCATATTCCGTACTATAATCTAAGGAAAGTCCCTCCTGAACTGAGGTGAGAGTTTGCTTCCAAATCATAGGTTTCTGAGGGGATTCTTAGCCTGTCCTAGGCAATTGTCTGAAAGTTTAGTCCCAGTCCAGACTACCCCCTCCGTGTATGCTCAGTCTATAACAAGTAGCAGGGGAGAGTGATCTGTTTTAGGAAAATATTACTGGCAGAAGAACAAAGGTGGCTTCATGAACAAGTAGCCCCATGAGGAGGGGCAAAGTGGAGTCCGACAAACCATTAGATGACTATTGCAGAGTCAAACTGGAGATGACAAACTGGAACCCAAAATAAAATTGAACCATTCTGCTTTTATTTAGTCAAATTGCATTACTGCATGTTTGACCCCATTGCATAATAATATAAATTCTGATTAGCATAGATTTCCTAGAATTGACAGATAGCATAAAAACTATGTATTTCTTTCTTAATTCTAAGTTGAGCCAAGATTCAGCTGTTTCACTTCACATTCAGTGATTTTATTCATATATTCTTCACCTCTGAGAGCCAACATCAAGTTGAGTCTTGAGATTCCTGTCTTCTTAGCTCAAGCTTGTTCTTGCTTTTGCACATCTGCTCTAATTCCTAAAGCTAATTATATATTAAGGACAATAATAGTTTGACGAACGTGTTGGAGGTTCCTTTTTGGAATTTCCTGATGAGTAAATTTCTCTCTCTCTCTCTGAGTCTCCTAATAGCCTTGCATAAATCTCTGGCTTACACAGAGTTAATTTATAGTTTTTAAAGCTTGCTCTTAATAATGCTATTGGTAAAATCTAATTTAAAGGGCTACTCTTGGTCAAGTCTAGGTAAGGCCACTGTTAAAGTTGGAGTAGAATTTCATTATAGTATCTGTTTTCTGTGTCCTAGATCCTGTATATTTTTCTTAATCAAATGAAAGTATAGGTGAATTAACTCATTTGTATGAGCACTATATAAATAAAGCTGGGTTATTTAGCTTTAGAGATTATTTAGAGGTTGTAATCCTCTAAATGTATCAACTCTTTGGTACTAGCCAGACATGGAATCCACAAAAACAACATAGAAAAAATATGAAAATGTTTGGGGTTTAAAAAAAATCTAAACAGTATAAGTAATTCAAAACTTTATTGATCATGGGCCGGAAGTAATATGTTGCAATAAACACATTAAGATAATTAAATTAACATAGGAAAAAATTCTATAATAGGACAAGTGTCCTCTGTTGTCTTGTTACTTTGTATGGCCTTTAATGCATCTTGATGCCCCTCAGAAAGGGGTAATTGTTGGTGGTTGTGGCTCACCATAGAAATATATTTCTTGCCTATTCAAGTTGTCAATAAACAGAGATTGATAGAAGGAATATACCTGCATCTTAAAGCCTTTTCTTTTTATAATCACTAACATATTGTAAGTTTGTAGAAATAATATTATTCAAATCTGATTTTGGTACATTGTGATAAAATGTGTCTACATATTCTGAGAAAGATAACTGAATAAAAGGATAAAAATCACAGTAAATCCTATTAACTTTTAAAGATAAATAGAAAAGTTGTAAATCCTATATATTGCATTAGAAAATAACTATGAATAAAGAGCAAGAGGTTACAGACTAAAACATTTTTATTTCAACAAAGTCTTTCAAGCCTATAAATACAAATTAATTGTTCTTCTTTGGAACAATTAGATAATTTGGAGGTTTGACATTATGCATCTTGGAATAAACCCTAGGCAACTTCTGTTGCATTCATTAATGAAACAGCGTACATGTTTTCAGACACCCATTTGGAAATGTCACTTTGGCTTGTCTCTCCATGTAGAAAGGAAAGAGAGAAAAGCTTTTCTCAAATCAGTCATTAGTAAAAGTCAAAGAAAATAGAAAAATATACAATGGCAAACATTAAATATAATGCATAAATAAAAATGATATAACATATTCGGCTCATTAACTGTAAAAAAAATTAAATCTTTGTTTACTTAAGTAGTAATTTAACATGTAGCAGGATGATAGAATGTAGATCTAAAATTAAAAATATTTTGGGCTGGGCATGGTGGTTCATGCCTGTAATCCCAGGACTTAGGGAAGCAGAGGAGAGAGAATAGCTTGAGCCCAGGAGTTGAAGACCTGCTTGGGCTACATAGCGAGACCCTGTTCTCCACAAAAAGGAAAAAAAAAAAAAAGACAAAAACAAAAGATTTTAGAGATCACTTATTAAACACTCATGTGCCTCTATTTTAAACAAATAGTGAAGATTGATAAATTAGTACAGTTAAATCTCCAATTTTTTTTTCCTCTTTAACTCACATATTAAATTACAGTGTGAGGTAAGGAGATTAAGAGTCCTTTAAGAGAGAGGAGCAGGATGCTGGGAAAGGAAAAGATGAGAAATAGGACAATTATAACATTATTAAATTTGTGTAAATCTGACTTGGAACAAAAACCTAAAGAAGGCCAAATCATGTGAGATTAATATGCCGAAGTATTAAAATGGGACTCTTTTTCTAGCAGTTTACAATTGACAATAGAAATTAACATTCATGTAAAAATACAACAAACATCTGTACAATAAACTGAGATGCAATAATAATAGACAAATACAAATATACATGCTTTATGTGATAAGTATATTACTAGTAAAGTTATATGCCAATGGATTAAATTACCTTTAATGAACTGGATAAATTCATGGCCTAAAGAAAATTAGTAATTTTTAAAATATATTATGTAATTCAACCAATATATATTAAATGCTATTTGTTAGGTACTGTCCTAGAAACAATGTAAACCATGCTTACCGAAGCAGCCTTTTAACCACACGTTTGATCACTGTAACAGGCTGACTGTGGTACCTGCCTTACCCCATCTTCTGCTATGACTACTGTTTACCTTGGAGGTGGGGTGTCACACCCGTACAGGTACTCTGTCACTCTTATGCCAACCACATCTGATTGGGTATGGAGTAGATATCTGACTAAGGGGGGCATATTTTCATAGGCTTGTTCCAGTAAACTTGAAATCAGGGAATAGGGAGATTGGATGATTTAACCCCCAGATACAGCACTTGTAAAGATAGGAGAGGGGTAGCCATGTTGGCCCAAATAAGATGTAGCAGAAGAGTCAGGCAGACACATTCAGAGGGGCACATTAGAGACAGCCCATGTGGCCCCAGAGAAGGGGAAGTGGAAAGCATAATCTTGTTTCTACACTGTATTTTTTTTTTCATTTTTGCTTTCAATCCCTGTGAAGTGTGGCTATATTCACTGACCCTAAGTTCCAAAAGATACCCATTTGTTCCTTTATCCTTCCCCTTACATTATTGCTTTTACCTATTTATTTGTTGGTTAGTTTTGCTTAAGGAATTTTAGAAGGAATTTTACTAATTTTTTTTGACTTGCAAATAAAGGCACCAGTGCTTACAATTTACATTTTTTTCTATATGTGGTATTGAGACGAAAAAGTCAACAACTTGAAAAAAATCCATTTTGATGTTTAACTTATAGACCGTAAGCAAAAATGCATAATTTATTTCTTGTATATTTGAATATGTCATACTCAAGGAAAACAATTGAGTTTTTAGCAAAATTTTGGAGAAGGGATGAATTTCTGAGTTTAGAAGTACAATAGTTTCAAAGTTAAAATTAGTGGATTTGACAGCATGATTTAAAAACTGCATGCAAAAAAGAAAGATTGTCTTAAAAAACAATCAACTGATTATGTAGACACACTATATAAGACAGTGTTACTACCTTTCTAATATAATTATCCTACAAAAAACTATAAAAATTTTAAGAACTTTACAAATAAATGGACCAACATCCAAGTGCACAAAGATGATTAAACAAAATAATTGATATTACTGTGAAAACACTGGAATCTCTACTTTTAAGTAAACGAATAAATATTCACACAAAATATTTTAAAAAACAGATTTTTTGCTATTAAATTGGAATTTTTTTTTTTTTTTTTTTTTTTTTTTTTTTTGAGACGGAGTCTCGTTCTGTCGCCCAGGCGGGAGTGCTGTGGCGCGATCTCCGCTCACTGCAAGCTCCGCCTTCCGGGTTCACGCCATTCTCCTGCCTCAGCCTCCCGAGTAGCTGGGACTACAGGCGCCCGCCACTGCGCCCGGCTAATTTTTTTGTATTTTTAGTAGAGACGGGGTTTCACCGTGGTCTCGATCTCCTGACCTCGTGATCCGCCCGCCTCGGCCTCCCAAAGTGCTGGGATTACAGGCGTGAGCCACCGCGCCCGGCGGAAATTTATTTTTAAATATTCACTATTGCGCAAGATGGTTTGCAAATGGTAGTTCCATATATTTCAGATAACATTAACTAGTACAACTCTTTTGCAAACTGATTGGAGATACTGCTGTGAGTCAAGAAATGAAGTGTGTGTGTGTGTGTGTGTGTGTGTGTGTACACTCAAGATACAGTCCCAGAAGAGAATTACTAGGCTAAAGGATACAAATATATATTTTTACACACACATAGGTATATTACAGAAAAGATCTATATTAGTGTGTATTTAAAATAAACTCATCACAACATTACACCATGAAGCTTTTTTAAAAAAAACTTGCTGTCCAATTGTTGGAGAATATTTAGAAAATTTGGTAGACACATTGTGGCTTTCCGAGTAAATGCTACACAGTACTGGGAAACCAAACATGAAATAATATCAGATTAAGAAAATAAGCTTTGGCAACTAAGCAAGACCTCATTTCTACAAAAACTAAAAAAATTAGCCAGGCATGGTGGTGCGCACCTGTAGTCCCAGCTGCTCGGAAGACTAAGGCTAGAGGACTCCTTGAGCCCAGAAGTGCAAGGCTGTAGTTGCTTATGATTGCACCACTGCACTCCAGCCTGGGTGACAGAGTGAGACCCTGTCTTTAAAAAAAAAAAACCTGTCTCCCCTTCTCTCTCTCTCTCTATCTAACTATTGCTTATCTAATTATACCTAGATAAATAAATGGATAGCGAGATACATAAAGGGTACATAGATAGATATAATTAGATAAGCAATATTTGCTCAAAACATAAAAAACAGGAAAAAAGAATTGAATAAAATGAACCATAATAATTAAGATAATTTATAGTGATTTTTAACATCTTTAATTCCAAAATGTGTACAATTAATATATATATCCTTGAGTCTAGTTTTTAAAAAATCTCAATACCCATGTGATTAAAATGGCACGCTTGTAACTATTTTTGTAGGTACTTTAATGTTGTTTCTATGTTAATTTCTGAAGCTAAAATTTAATACAACTATTTACAGAAATAGATAACTGGAATCAATCTACATGTCAAAAAAACTAAGAGAATGGCTAAGTAAATTATACTGTTTCTATAAATATTTGGGAAAATAGTATGCCAACTTTACTTACATACAAAGGCAATGTACCAGCATTAGAAAACTTGTATGAATGGTAAGTGAGAAGTTCACTAAACCTATGCTCCCTATCATTACACATATCTTTAATTCTATGCCTATGGGGGAAGAGAATGCAATATTATTTCATTAATAGTATTTGGGGAGGAAAGTTATGAATGTGTTCTTTAAGCTCAAGCTCTCCAAAAATTTGTCATGTTATTTTGTATTTTTTAAAAATTGATATTATTAAACAATGATAAGTCAGAGTTTTTAACTGGAGATTATATGTCATCCGGTATACCAAGAAAAAGTTTCTAAAGCAAACAATAAGACTGTTAGGCATACTGTACATATAGTAGTAATGGGGGGTTTTACCAATGCTTGAAAAAGCAAAAGTAGGCATTGGTTGAAAAAGTGCTACCTTGGAATTGAAAACTGCAATGAAAATGTCGGTTTTAACTAGAATACAATTAATCCAGCTGCTTACACTGTAAGTCTTTATTGAAACTGTGGCTGTTATATCCCTACGAAGGTTTTTTAAAGTTGCTAAGTACGTGCCCATCAGAATAATGGAAAGCATAATTATCCTTATTGTGCTTAGTGACATTGAAACTGCTATTATTCTGTGATTGGAGTTGCATAATTATAGATAATTGCTGCTACTGTATTTTCTGTTCAAATATAGCTGTGCAAAAATTACTTTATTTTAATTAAACATGTTTAGGTTTTTAAAGTTTGGTTTGCTATCATAACCAAACTCTATTTAAATGTCCCAATGGTATATATTTTTCTAACTCTCGCTAATTAGTTTTTTAACAAATCAGCTGTTCAGTTCGTGATAAATTGACCTTGTTCCACTTAACAATCAATTACATGAAATATAAACTTAAATTATTAATGTATTTCCTTTTCAAGTACCTAATTCTAAAAGCAAACATAGAACCTGTTCTAATAATGTTGGTGATACTAGTTTTAGCTCTAGGAGATGGTATCTGTGGGTTAAAAAACGTACTTAAGGGCTTAATGAATATAAAACATATTGATAAACAGCTACAATAAATATGATATGACAGAAGGGACATTAACAAAGAGAATGATAAAACCTGTTTATCAAAATTGTCAATATCTCGGAAAACGTATTGCAATGAGAATCAGCTATGCATAGGGCTGTCTGCACAGAGCTCAATCAATTCCTTTCACACATCGGGCTTTGTACAAAGACCCTGCCAAAACTCACAAAGCATATGCCTCTTTCAGTAACACATACTCAGTTTGGAATTTATTTTTCACTGACTGAGAAACACCCCTGAAGTGGGTGCTAGTGCCCTTCCCACCTTATGGCATAGTCCATTTGTCTGAGATTCATAAACACATTTTACAATATCGTCATTTGCTGTCATTTCTTTTCCCCACATGTGACTGTGTGGTCAGAATTCACTCTTGGAACCAGCCAGGAGTCTTTGGTGAGTTACATGTCATTGGTTTATGCTGCTTTCAGTCTCATGAGCAACTATAACTCCAGTGAGCAAATTCAGGTGATAACATCAGGTACTATGCTCCCTACCTGGGTGACAGAACATTCCTACATTCATCCCTAGTGACACACAATTTACCCATGTAACAAATCTCCACGTGTACCCATGGAAACTAAAATAAAAGTAGTAGAAGAAAAAACAACCAAACAAATTCAGGTGATAAAACATAGTGTGAAATTTCACATATTTCATTTACATTTAAATTAACCCATCCCAAGGCACCTAAAAGTCAAATGCACTGTGGAATGAGGACCTCCTGCAGACATTGGGTCTGCAGCTCTCCAGCAATGAAGTCCCAGGCAGGGAGATAGGGAGAAAGGTGAGGAGTTGAGTATAATGAAAACAGAAAAATGAGGAGTTTTTTTTTTTTTTTTTTTAATTAAAGACCCTTTCTTTAATTCCAAAGCTTGTGCTCACCCTGTTAGCAATAAAACTCTCAGTAAACATTCAGTTCACGTAATCAACTTTTTGAATGGGAAAAAAAGGTCTTTCCAGGGGCAGGCGCACTGTTGAGAAACGTTGGTAAAAATGTGTATCCAAATCTAAACTCATTTTCTTCCTAACCAAGATAGCTTTTCCTTTCGAATGCCTTTGTTTTGCTTCTTTCTCTCTCTCTTTCTCTGCCTATCTCCTATCTATCTATCTATCTGTCTATCTTTCTATCTATCTAATCTTGCTTTGTATTTTTGTGTTTTGCTTGTTGTAAAAGGCATTTTCTAGTTCTCCAAGCCCAGTGTTGACCTGGTCTCCTCTCTTTTCCTTTTCTCTCTCTCATTCTTATGCATACATTCACTGGATATTTTACAAACTTCACCATTCATTCCACTATAAAAGTACATTTTATTTACCTGCTCAAACTTTTCTCCTGCTTTAAGGCCCAACTCAAATGCTACTGTCATCAAATAATCTTTCCTCATTACCCACATCTTAATGTTATGACTTTTAAACTCTGGTTGTTCCTCTCTTATAACAGATATTCTATTTTGCATGACGTGTTCATGTAGTACTTGTTGTTTTATCCTACTAATCTGAAAGTTCTTTAGGGTAAGTGTCCATTGTAGGTATGATATATGTCACAGAAAGTAACATCACTTTCAATTCCACAGTCTGTAAGATGAGAAGAATATAATACTCTTTTAATATTTGAATAAGTATAGGTCCTAATCTAACAAGGAAACTTCCATCTGTTACTTTATATCGATCTTCTTCAAAAAACATAAAGATATGATGACAGTTTTTATATGTAACCGCTTACTATTTATATAGTGGGTTAACTGTGAGATATACTATTTACAGGAGATGGTAATGAAAATAGGCAGCATTCTTTCCACTTAACGATCATGCTCAAGTAGAAGAGTAGTCTCTATAAATATTTTAAATCTTCATAATTGGAAATGCTGATTATAAACATAGACTATTTTAAAATGGAAATTTAAATAAACACCACTCTTAGAGCACAGTCTTGTACATTTCAATTATAGAAGGGAAAAAATAGTGAAAGAAACCCAAAAGATAAATCTTGTCCTACCGTCTGATGAGTGACTCCATGTAATTTACTTAGGACTTACAGATACTATAGACACAGTGGGGGTGAGTGTATTAGTCAAATTTTCCACAGCACATGATAACAGCCCAGATTTTCTACAGCACATGAAAACAGCATTCTGCAGTCAACTTTGCAAAATCCCATTTCCTGGGAGAAGCAAGCTAGTGTGTAGTAGGAGAATGGCTCCTGTCCAAAGCATGTCTTGTTAAAAAAAAAGAGGGCGAGTGAAGCAAGGAAAACATTGAAACATTTTTAACTCCTGAAAATCAGAAAGTTTAACAAGTGTGGCAAAGGAGAAGTGAATATCAGACTTTGATCATGATTTTAGAATTTGAATATGTGGTACATACAGTTTTTATTATAAATTAATTTCATGATATATAAATTATTCGATAATTCTAGAAATAGTGGTCATGTTTTCATGCTTATAACAGGGCTCACATTTTCCTCTGGTTTCATATATTATCACATATGTTATATATGCATATAACTTTTTTGGCCCAAAAAACTATTTTTAAATTATTTTACATTTAAAAGGGTTGTGGGAAATCTATGACTTTGACTTTCATGCTTAAGGACCTTTCAGGCTAATCATTTCAATGCTGTGAAACACTTAAACTTTCTCCAGTGGAATAAAGAATAAACATCATTCTTTCATAGACTTAAAGTTCTGTGGAAAGCATGTCTTCAACTACAGGAGTTTCTAAGACTATACACAGCACACCTTATCAGGGAGGAAAAAAATGACTTAAGTCTAAAACATAGGTTGGCAACCTGTGATCCATAGAACCCTGGGGGCCCCTGAAACATTTTTAAGTGGCCCATGAGGTCAAAACCATTTTTATAATAATATCATATATTTTTTTCTGTTTTATTGTGTTAACATTGCAGTAATTGTGCAAAATTAATGGTGAGTGAAACTGCTGGTGCCTTAGCACAGATGGAGACTGTGGTACCAAACCATACCATTAGTAATTGGGTCCCTCATTGTCACAAACTCACAGGGAAAATAAAAGCCAATTTTATTTAAGAATGTCTTCAATAAAGCAGTAAAAGTTTTACTAAATCTCAACCCTAGAATACATATCTTATTAAAATTTTATGGGATAAGGTGATGAGTAGGAATTGAAAAAAAGTGAATTATTTGATTTTCAGGCTGAATTCGCCACTTTTTCCATGAAATACAATTTTTTCTTGATGAATGTTAGACACACTGTAGTTATTTAGATTTGGTTATTTTGCAAGTATTTTCTCAAAAGTGAAGGAACCCAACCTGTTATTTCAGGTAAACAATTGACAGTGTTCATTGACAATGATAAAATTTGAGCTTTCGGGAAGAACTGAAATTCTGGGAGACTTTTATTTATCACAAGGAGCTTAATAACTTTCTAATATATAAAGACGGTTGTTGTGGATTATTGATGATATTCGCTAATATCATTGAAAAATAAGAGAAAGGAAAAAAGAAAGAGAGGGAGAAAGGAAATGAAAGGAAAGGAAGAAAGGAGGGAGGGAGGAAGGAAGGAAGGTAGGTAGGTAGGTCAGTCTCTGCTACTGGTTCCTGACACAAGCTTCTAAAACCCTTGTAACCTCCCAAGTAACAGGAGTGCCAGCATCATCTTTTGTTCTAACATTTGGTCTTCAATGCCGTTTCTGACACAGAGCTCCTAACTCTCTTGGAATTTCTTTTTTTTTGAGACGGAGTCTCGCTCTGTCGCCCAGGCTGGAGCGCAGTGGCGCGATCTCGGCTCACTGCAAGCTCCGTCTCCCGGGTTCACGCCATTCTCCTGCCTCAGCCTCCCGAGTAGCTGGGACTACAGGCGCCCGCTACCACGCCCGGCTAATTTTTTGTATTTTTAGTAGAGACGGGGTTTCACCGTGTTAGCCAGGATGGTCTCGATCTCCTGACCTCGTGATCCGCCCGCCTCGGCCTCCCAAAGTGCTGGGATTACAGGCGTGAGCCACCGCGCCCGGCCAACTCTCTTGGAATTTCTAATGAGGTAACTCTTGGTAGACTCCTGGATGGGGCTGGTTACCAGAAAGACCAAGCCATGATGAGAACCTTGGAACCTTCATTCCCATCCCCTATTCTCCAGGGAGGGGAGGGGAGCTGATAAGAAGTC
Source organism: Homo sapiens (assembly GCF_000001405.40). NCBI lineage: Eukaryota > Metazoa > Chordata > Mammalia > Primates > Hominidae > Homo > Homo sapiens. The sequence continues at coordinate 34,419,018 of NC_000002.12, forward strand.
AAATAATTAATCATGTCTAGGTGATGAAGCCTCCATTAAAATCTCAAGAATACAAGGTTCTGAGAGCGTCTGGTGTCCACAATTATTTAAAAAGGATAGGGCAAGCACCCACATGGCAAGAGGCTGCTGCGACCCAATGCTACAAGGAAAGAAGTTCCTGTGGTTGGCACCCCATCCAGACCTTGCCTTATATAACTCTTGATCTGGCTGTTCATCTGTCTCCTTTATCATATCTTTTATAATAAGCCAGTAACATAGGTACTTTTCTAAGTTCTCTGACCCTTCATAGAAAATTATCGAATCTGAGCAAAGGGTTGTGGGAACCTCCAATCTGTAGCCAAGATGGACAGAAGTATGGGTCCACTACTTGCAATTGACATCTGATGGGGTGTAGGAGCAGTACTGTGGGACTAAACCCTTAATTTATGTCATAATTTGTGTCATAATTAAATTCTAGGAGAGCCAGTTGTTATCCAGAGAATCAGAGAATTGCTTGGTATGGAAAACCCACAGATTTTGTGTTGGAAGTGAACTGTTGTTTAAGAGTGAAGAGAGAAAAATAGTTATTTGGTTATCCTATTTGGTAATAATTAGCTATATTATTGTACAGTAAACAGTTAACTTAGCAGGCTTAAGTGGTTCTATGCATTCCAGAGAAAGGACTGGCCCTTGACCAGCTCCTAGTAGATAACATCTGAGACTTGGAGTATCCTGCCTAATAAGGGTATTGTGTATGTTTGAGGCCTTGGACCATACTGTATCAGTTGACCAGATAGTTTATACTAACAGTGTGACATATGGTGAACACCTGTTTTTGTATGCCTGAGGCCCTGGACCATACTATATCAGTTTGACTTCTGGGGAGCTAAAGACTAAGTCACTAAAGTCAGTCATGTGAGCACTGCACATCTCTATGTCTGACTTCCAGTGAAAACCATAGACACATGGGTCAGGTCAGTGTCCCTGGCAGGCAATACTTTCCCTATATTGTCATGCTTTGTGCTAATAGAATTAAGTACATTCCTATTTGACTTTTTGTGAACTGAGCCAGAAGATGATCTTGGAGACTGCCAACACAACTAAAATGAAATGTGCCAACATTTAGAACTTCATGACTCAGTGAACCAATACTTTCCAAATGACTAATGAATGTTGCTACAAAGGTATGCATAGATAAAAGATCCAAAATGCAAAATAAACTCATAGATTTGGATGTAGCACAGTATAAACAGTTTATCAATATGGTTTCAGGTTCTACTTTGCAACTAACCTCTAAGAAACTACTGGCACCTGTTGAATTTTAGCATGATATTAAAGAAATAATCCACAATTACCTAAAAAGGATATTAACTTACTCTTCCCTGTTCTGACTGTGTATCTTTGTGAAGTCACCTTTTCTTCATATTCTGCAACCAAGTCAATATATTACAAAAGAGTGAATGCAGAAGCAAATACGAGAATCCAGCTATCTTCTATTAAGCTACAGGTTAATGAGATTTGCAAAAATAAAAAGCAATTTCACTATTCCTACTAAACTGTTTCCTTTTCTAGAAATATATTTTTATAAATGTATATTATGTTAACAGAGTGTAGTTTTATTATTTTAAAATGAATTAATAAATATTTTTAAATTTCTTAAATTTAAACCTAAGTATAGCAAATAGTGATAGATGCCACACATGAAAAAGTTCTTATCCTCAATAATTTTTTAAAGTATATGGGAGTCTTGATGATGAAAAGTTTGAGAACCACTGGCATTGTGGTCAGGTATATTTTCTCCTGCTTCTCCTAGGTTTCTTACACTCTCCTGTTTAGCGGGGCCTGAATAAGGGAAAGGATTTATTCCTTATTTAACTTGCTCTGGTGCAGTCCTTCTTTATTGTTTCTCCCTCTTTCTCTGACTAACACTGGTCATTCTTTAACAGTTTCTGTGTAGCAGGTATGCTCGTTCCCTCTTGGAGTGCCTGGTTGATTTTAGTTTGAAGAATGCAGGATACACAATGTTAAGAACCAAGGAAAATACTCTTTCCACTTCTCTTTCTTTGGAGGCACATGGCCTCTCCGATCTGTTTATTTGTGCTTGTGCACATGTCTGTCCTGCCTGTCTCTTTCTTCTTCTGCTTTATCTACGTTTGGCCCAAACCTGGCTACTCCTCTTTATCTTTATAAATGTGGTATCTTTAAACCATAATTTCCAATTTTAACTCCCACCCTTGACTATATCCTATATACTGTTTCTTTTGAGGTCTCCTTGCCCAGAAGAACAGCCTCTTGGAAGAGTTAATAGCTAGCTGGCTGAAGCCTAACTAAATGCTCCGGTCCACTTGACTCTGGATACACACATGTTCCCTTGCATGGAAGTTGATGTATGTGCCAACAGCTCCACTGCTTCCCAAAACCAGGAATAACCAAAGTTCTTTCTTTCTTTCTTTCTTTCTTTACTTTTTCCCCTGAAGCTGTTCTCAATCTCTTAGGTGATTCTTTGAGAGCCCCCCATCCTTCCCCACCCCACACCACCCTATACTGGGGGACATAAACCCATATGGAACAGGAGTTGTTAAGAAGGATAGTCATCCTTCTTACCTGTGTTATTCAAGGGGCACTTTGGTTTAAGCAAGAATGGGATAAGAATTTGGGGGGGAAAGTAGTAATTTAAAGCAATACCATTATTATGGGAAGGAGCTATGGGAGTTGAGAAGAACATGGTTGTTTGTAAAGGGACTAAGACTCTCCACAGGAGATGAAGTATTTTAATTGGTGGTGCCATCAGCATAAATATGTGTAGAATTCCAAGTGAGGGACATACAGTGAGATGTGTCTGACCTCCTGCTTCCCGTCATGGTCTGAACTTTTTCAGATTTTTATTTCTTTAGAGGAGGGATTCCTCTTGGCTAAGAGGGGGTCCATTCAATCTGTTGAGGAGCTTAAGATTTTATTTTTCATTTTATATTCCAACTCCCCATTGATACTGCTTCTAGCTAAGCTTTTATTTTGTCCCATATCAATACTGGGGTGGTATGCTGCCTGCTCCAGTTTCATCATGTTCCTCATTGGGACCCCTATGGCTAAGGAACTTAGAGTTAAAATACTTACAGCCAATTAAATGTTTTAGGCCAGACAAGAATGGAGGTGGGCAGACACTTAATAACCCAAATTGTCCCTTATAATCATATGTGATAAACCCTGGGCCTGGAGAAATTGAATAGTTTTAAATTCTGCAGGTAAAATAAAGAATTAACAACACTTCAAACAAAAATATCATATGCCTTGCCTAGTTTTGAGAATGACAGGAAAGGATGCTCACAGGTAGCTAAACATTTAAATTATTTACTATCAAGCACAGAATAAATTATATTAATTCAGATAGAGGCAAAACTATTAAGTGAATACAAGCTTGTTGTGTTTCATGAAAGCAGTTTACTTTGATTGTTCCCTTTGCCTGGGTCTAAAGATGAGGCTTTGGTTAACTTGAGTTTGTTATCAAATACTGGCAGGAGTTGGTGTCTCCTCTAGATGAGATATGTGTACCCAGGAATCAAAGCCCTGTAATTTAACAGCACCAGGATTAGTAATAGCACCTGATAAAGGCTTATTCAAAGGGCTGGAGGCTAGAGGTGGTAATACTTGAGTCCGCGACCTGACTGGAAGCTGTAAAAATATTTTACAATTTTTAGTGATTAATTTTTATGGCTTTGATAAACCTCAGCAACAATCCAGAGACTTAAACTAGAATTTGATTATGAGGGTACTTTAACACGTTAAAAGGCCCAAAATATTTGATTGATATGGAACCACAGGTTATTGTAAACAATAGTTACTTATTTATCCAAAGTGATAATGCCCTATACGGTGTGATTACCTCTCTTCATGGGAGGCACACTTAAATAACCTGGAAGGTAAATTTAATGAAGAGAAAAATAATACAGTACCCAAATTTAATCAGACATGAGAAATGTGTATTCAAGATTATGAGTATAGCAGGGGAACATAAAAAGTTTTCTGGTTTCTCTGAAAATTTTGACACATCAGGAAAAACCAAGAGTATGGAATTATTATAGTGGAGGTACACATTGTTTTTATAGACCTCCAAGATAAAATATTACAGCATTAGGGCCTAATAGTTAAAACCAGAGGAAGAAAAGTTACAGGAGGTGATAGAAAAGCTGAAAAAGAGATGTCATCTCAGATCTTCTCAAGTGCAGAAAGAGCTGAAAGCAGCAAGACCTAACAGTTGAATTTCTGAGATAGGAATCTGAGTTTTCAAAAGATACAGGTTGTAGAATTGAAAACTAAAATTTCTCTATAATTTCATTAAGAGCAAATCAGTACCTCAAGAAAATATTGTTTTAACATAGGGAAACATTCTTTAGAAAGACTATTATAAATAATCCCCTTTTAATTACAGCTAACTTAATCACACACAAAATTCCTTTTATATATTCCCCTGTGTGAATCTTACCATGAATTATATAGACCATCTATGACATGCTTTGACTTTCTGACTTGTCCTATGCTCTTTCTTAAATAACCATTCTAATCTATGACCAGAATTTACCATACAAGATCTTTTCTCATATAAAATTACTCTTTTTTCTTATAATCGTCCTCATCAAAAATACGTCTTCACATCCATAACTTTCTTTACCTATCTCTTTCTTGCTTACTGGCTCCTTTTTACCCAGTTTCATAAATAATATTTTGAAGTCCATAATTTGAATAAACTTTTTGATAACTTTTGAATTAGACAAAATTATTCTTTTTCTCAATAAGAACACATTTTTTCGGCACATTTTATATAAACCTAGGAAGGCAGAATTCCTGAATTGCCCACAGATACTAGCATTTTATAGATGAGATTCATTCCATAGTTCCTAAAAACATGTATCCCCACATAATAACCCTTTCTTGTGGTAAAAGACACAGACATCCAATAAGCATCCAAAGTGATTTTAAGGTTTTTAAATTAAACCAGAAATTCACTTTATAATGAGCTTTAATCTCATTATATTTACTTAATAATCATTATTATGTTTTAATAGTTTATTGAAATTTCTTATGAAAACTGTGATATTAGACAAAGCTAGATATCATTTAAAGTGATTTCCTGGCTAATCATTTTTAAGGTCTGAACATTAGATAAACACCTAAATAAGAATCAAAATTGAACACACAGGCATTTTGCTGATAACTCAGATGATCTGATATTTTCATTGAACCAACAATCTTATATTGGTCTTTATATAATTCTGAAGACATTTCTACTCTTATCAATAATTTTAAAACCAGCTTTATCTACCACAGATTTATGTGAAATTGAAAAGCATTTGGACTTGCTTAATTTATGAGTACTCATTTATTTATAATCCAACTGGATATCATGGTAGGTGCAACACATAGCATGATACATGTAAATACACATAAACATATCTAAACACATATACACATACATAAAAAGAGCCAGTAACTTTTACCTCAAAATTCTAGTCATAAGATGGCAATATAAATTCACCCTTTTGTAGAAGTTAGCTGGATTTAAATTATTTCTGACAAGATTGACAGCTGTCTACATGGTTAAAATTTGTTTGCTCTGATAGGTAATCCAAGGAAAGATGTAGATTATAATTTGGTTAAAGTAGTCTTTATGGCAGTTTGATTTTAAAAAAATCCCTTTTATTTCTCTTTTACTCTTCAGTTTCAGAAGAGGAGGAGATTATTATAAACGGAAGGAAGAAAAGAGAAGGAGAGAAAGGAGGGGGGTTAAAGGGATAAAGTGTAACTTTCCCTTTGTTTCTTTAAGAGGGAGAAATAGAGAGAGCCACTCTAACCTGAATAAGAGGCCCCTGGGTGGGACTTTAACCCACAGTTCTGCATGAACAAGACCAATAGAGGTAGAATAGGAAAGAGAAAGGAAGGTAGGGAAAAGGGGATCCTATAGCAGCAAATGTGAATGAGGAAAGAGAGGTAAGGGGTAAAGAGCATTGCTCAAGGGGTACATTTGATGGCTCCAAGCTGCCAGAGAACTCACCCAGCAGTGGAGACACCAAAGAAAGTGTTCACATCACCACTTGTCTGCTGCTGCAGGAAGTCATCTGTCAAGTCAGGGCTCCAGGACCCCAGAAAAATGGGCTTGAGCAAGGAAGCTCATTTGGGGCTTTCAGTTTAAGCAGAGGGAGAAACAGAGACAAGAGACCTGTAGCTAGCCATTGCAGAAAAAAAGGAAGTTCTGACTTTAGGACAGACTAGAAGAGGTTGCTGAATAGGGTGGAATAAGAAAACTAACAAAGAACAAAAGGTGGTTCAGTCTCTAATAAGAACAAAATACATTTGAGACTGACTGCTGATGTAATCACCCTACCCAAATCCAGGATCCCCCACAAATCAATTTATGCCAAATGCCACAAGATACAGAGCATCCAGGAGTCATCCAATGAGGGTCCCCACAACAACTATCAAAAATGCTGGAGCATCTGGGGGTGGCCAGTAGTGAACCCTAAAGGCACACAACTGGGAGCATAGAACAGTGTGACTCTGGCATCTCAGAGTCAGAACAATGGGAGACATCTCAAAATAACGAATAACTCAAAACAAACAAGAGAAGTGTCCAGCCTTACACAGAATATAAAAACAAAAGCCCAGTATCTAAAGCAAAGACTGCAAATGCAATAACAAAATAAGCATAAGCATGCATTTATGCACTAAGAGTGGAAAAGGAAAATGGCTGATCGTTGTAAACTAAAGAGAAAACATCTGAGAGAAAGGGAAGCGAGGCAGATTACAAAGGATATGGCCAGTCAGGTGTGCTGCCATCCCAGGAACCCAGATGATGTGAAACAATGAACTGATTACCAGGCCAGAGGATCATTCCTATTTCCTAGTTCACCTGAAAAGGTAAAGGGGGAAGAAAAGAGTAAAAGAGAAAGTAAATCAGTTAAAGGAGAGAGGGTGACACCAATGGGGAACAAAGGGAACACTCACCTGTCTGTGGAAGCCAAATGATTTGAATTTGGAGTCTGGTTGAGGGTCTCACTCAGGTCCCTGTAGCTTGTTAGCCCCTTCATGGTCATCATGAAGTTATCCCAAACCCTAGAATTGGGGCTTTGCTTAGGAGGGTTCTTGGCTTTGATCGGGAAAAATTAAAGAGTGAGCTGACAGAGCAAAGTGAAAGGAAGTTATTAGAGCCGCAGAGTACAGGGAAATGGCTGCTCTTCCCATAGGAAAAAAAAATAATAGCAGCAGTCCTCATGGATGGCTGGCTACCTATATTTATGGGTATTCCTTAATCATATGATAAATAATGGGCAGATTATTCATGAGTTTTTGGAAAAAGGGGTGGGTAGTTCCTGGAACCAAAGGTTTCTCCCCTTGTTAAACCATACAAGGTAACTTCTGGGTATTGCCATGGCATTTGTAAACTGTCATGGTACTGATAGCAGTTTCTTTTAACATGCCAATTCATCACAATTAGCATATAATGAGCAGTGAGGGCAACTAGAGGTTGCTTTTATTGCCATCTTCGCTTCAGCTGGAATTGGCCTCTTGTTTTGCTGCACCCTGCTTTGATCAGATCCTGTTTTGTTCAGTGGGGTCTTGTGACTGATGCTTGGGAAGCAAGTCCTGCTATTCTACCTCAGTAGGAAGGTGCATTGGAGGTGGCTGAGTCTAGCAGAGTGGATTCTGCTAACTTCTAGCAAATCCAAGGGGAGGTATATGGCTCCAGTTGTTTGTTCTCCCTTTAGAATATAAGGTGCTTAAATTTTCTTTAAGGCCCTGCCTTTGGGCCTTACCAGCCAATTCCCGGGAAGTGTCATTTGACATTCTGTTATATGTTCAGGTATCTGAGTGGACACTGTAATGACGTAAATGATTTTGAATTGCGTAATATATATATATATTCCATGCTATACATATAATTATGATATACATATAATTTCTGATATATATATGTGTGTATATATATATATATATAAATCAGGAAAAAAATTAGAGTGATTCTGGCACTCTAACTCAATTGCTGATAGGCCTTAAATTCTTCCAAAAGAGTAAAATAATGTTATTTTAGGTAAACATAACAAATAGTTATAGAGCATTTGCAAAAGGAAAGAGCTATAGTTTTTGCCTCAAGAAGCTTGTTTAGTGAAAATATGCATCATTAGTTTACCCAGCTGAAGCATGTTACACAAGTTAAACTAGAGAACCAGAAAACTAGAGGAAAGGAATAAATTTCAGCTGGTATGCTAGGAAAACACTTCACGTGGGAAATTTGAGCCTAACTTGGGGGGAAAAAAAGATTTGACCAGGTCAATGTAGTGGTTGCACTGTAATTAAGTACAAAACAAAGAAACAAAGAAAGAAAACACCATACCTGTAGGAGAAATGTATGAGGGCACATACTGGGAAGACACATATCAGGGGTTAATAGAGTAAGGTAAGGAAGAGTTAGGTAGGTGGAATGGGAATGGGTTTGGGCAGAGGATGAGGCTCTCAGGCATATAGGTTAGACTAGCATGCTGATAGAGCACACTTCCCAGCCATCTGAAGGAAGTACATCACTGTGACGTAAATTACTTAGTAATAAACAGAGCTATTTTTAATAAATGTTCATACCAGTTATGTACTACAGTAAAAAGAATACCATAGGGCCACATAGAGATCAATTTTTTTAAGTGCTGCATGAATTTGGGCCTTTTGGCCTTTTTTTTCTCATTAAAAAGGGCAGGAATAAATCTTTTTGCTTTCAGTAATTTATTTTGTTATTAAAAATTATAAAATCATATGGCACTTACTTTCACAGACACTCTGTGTACCGATGTTCTCATTTGCTCTCCCCAAGAATGCAAATTTTTCTTGTCCTGGGAAAGTCAACTAGAGGAATTACAAATAACAATTCTAGATAGAAAAACAGAAAGTAGCAAATTTCAGACTTACTAACTATAGCCATGAAATCATCAAAAAGGATATTGGTTGCCAAAATATATAATTTTCTCAACTTGTGTTAAGGCAAGTTTTTTTTTTTTTTTGGTTATTGTTGTTGTTGTTTGATGCAGAGTCTCACTCTTTCGCCCAGACTGGAATGCATTGGCTCAAACTCAGCTCACTGCAACCTCTGCCTCCTGGGTTCAAGCAATTCTCATGCCTCACGCTCCCCACTAGCTGGGATTACAGGTGTGCACCACCATACCCAGCTAATTTTTATATTTTTGGTAGAGACTGGTTTTTGGCATGTTGGGCAGGCTGGTCTCGAACTCCTGGCCTCAAGTGGTCCACTGGCCTCAGCCTCCCACAGTGCCGGGATTATAGGCGTGAGCCACCGCGCCCAGCTAAGGCAACTTTTCTCCTAAGACAACAAGTTAACCTCTGGCAAGTTTGACTCACATTGCTCCAGCCTTGGGAAAGGTGAATGAAGCTCACCCTATCTGTTTTGATTAATAAAGATTATTAATAATCATCTGGGGTGGGTTGGAGTAAGGGGTTGCTAGGGCCAGGATACCAACAGAGATGGCCTCCCAAATAACAAGAAGCTTGATCCTAGGAAAAAGAAATCCTGGAACAGATTTGGGGTGTGATGGGGCCCATGTTAAGAATCCAAAAGGTACATATGGGGAAAGGACTGCAGACCAAGGTAGCTCTGTGGCAGGATTTCTAATAATCTACCTTAAACCCAATATCAAATAACCTTACCTTACACTGACAAATAATAACATAAAATGAAATTGTAAAGAAGCTGACTAACTTCTTGTCATCCGCTGACAATTCCAGAATAAACAAATATCAATTCTCGTTTCTGAGATGACTTCTGTAACTACATCAGAGAGAACAAGAGAAATAGAAACCACCTTACAAATTAAAGGAGGGAATTTTCATATTCTCCACCTCAAATTCTTTAATTACATTTACATGATGGTTATTTAAAATATAAAGTTCCTACGAATAATTTTGGATGCTAGAGAGTAAAATAAATTGAAATATTTATGTCTTCTTTGGCTTACATTTGAAACTTATTTATAGATTTGTTTATGTTACTGATTACTTATTAAAGGCAGCAATTCTAGCAGTGTACTTAGGATGCTCCAGATAATATTCCCTTCTAGACTTTGATTAAATTTTCATTTTTGGCCAGGTGCAGTGGCTCATGCCTGTAATCCCAGTACTTTGGGAGGCTGACATGGGAGGATTGTTTGAACTTAGGAAGTTGAGGCCAGCTTGGGCAACATAGCAAGACCCTGCCTCTACAAAAATAAAAAGAAGAAAATTTTCTTTTTTTCTTTTTTATACTTTTTGGATTTGGTTTTAATTGGCAAGGTTTTTAGAGAAGTCCAAAGTGTCTGACATAAAAAGGAAAGAGTTATAGTCGTAATTCATCAAGAAATTTGTTTTTCCTTCTAGATATAGTAGGTAATAAACACTTCATGTTAGATACACACAAATAAAAAATTCATTTGCTCATGGCATCAGCAAAATGGCAGCTAATTCTGAAATTGAGTAACCCCATGTAGCAAAAGTCAGCTGTGATTAAACAAAACTGGTCGGTTTCTCTTCCTCTCCTAGCTGAAATAGTAGTTGACCCACCGTACTGGCCTATTATGACCTGAGATAACAATCCAGTTGCCATTCAGCTGAACACTTCCTGAGGCCAGAGACTTTGTCTGCTTGTGTAATAACTCCTGCATTGCCAGTACCTAGAATAGTGCCTGACTTTTAGGAAGTGCTCATTACGTATATGTTTAAAATTTAAATAAATACAAAAGCCTTTCTCATTTTTGTTTCCTCTTCCAACCCAATGTAAAACTTCTTACTAAGGCGAATGGTATAGTTTGTTTTTCTTACTTTGAGTTTTTGTAAACAAATACAAAATACACATAAGCCAGTTAGTTTTCTAAAATGGATTAGAATTAGCACAACAATATTTCTTTACTTACTAATTTTTAAAAAATTTGTCTGTTGTGAGCAGACTTTTGATTAAGCGCTAGAAATTTAAAGATGTGCCATGAGCTTTCTTTTTCAGTAGAGAAGAATGATATAAACAACCATTATTCTGGCTGATTATAGAAAAAGGCATTCGACAAGCAAAGAAAAGCAACTGGCTAATGGGTTTTTTGAGTTAGACAAGGCTTCCTGGAGCAGGTATAACCTGTGTGGGTCTTGCAGGATGAGACAGAGCTCTTAAATCCCTTACTTAAATTAGTTGAACACACATACCTCACATAATCTTGAGAAGTGGGAAGTTTTGTATCTATCTTCTCTATCAGAGCCACCTTGATCCCATGTACATAGGTTTAGAAAAAGAATTTTACCAAATTTCAAAGATATATTATTTTAGCATCCTAGAAAATAACAAATACCAAATCATTTGCTTCTTTAAAAATGTGGTAAGAGTCTACTATAAAAGTTATTATTAGGTAACGCTGGCAGGATCATAGACAAAATGTGCCCCTAAAATATGATTTCAAAATAATATAAGAACATCAAAAAAGAATTGAACCTCCAAGATGTTAGGCTCGACCCTCTCTATTGGTGTCATAATACATTTCTGTTACCCTGAACGTTTTTCTTTGATAGTGAGAATACTGTAGAGAATTTAGCTTCTAGGAAAACAGCTTCCTCTTAATAAATTAAATGGCGAATGCCCTTTCTGATTCATAGTTAACATCTGTTACCCATAATTAATTTTCATCATGAATAAAACAAGCACATTATCAGCAAAAAGTGAGCCAGTCTGGTACATTTTACAGAGAAGGTGGGTGAACGGAAGAGTTTTCGTTTTGTTATCTTTCTCAGGATAAAATAATTCAAAGAGTTCTCTGACTGTTGAAAGAGTTCCTCCTCAGCAATGTGCCTGCTTTACCTGATGATCACAGATCTCTGACTCTTACAGTAGCTAACTTTGAAGAGAACTATATATGGTTTCAGCAGCTTCAATGGAACTTTCTTCCTTTGCACTAAGTACATTCACTTATGGTTTATCATTTTCACTCAGGATCACTTGAAAATTTAGACATAATAGAACTGTTAATGGGATTGCTGGGTCAAATGGTATTTTCTCCTCCTACCTTGATCTGTATCTTATTTTTAACATAAAAAAAATTACATAGTTTTTGTTTTAAAAAAATGAGAAGGATTGATAGTAAAAGGAAAAGTAGGGAGAAGTCAGGGTTGTGAAGAAATTTTTTTCCTACTATTTTGCTTCTGGCTGTCTTGCCGAATTACTTTTAGTTAGCAAGACTGGATGTGCTGCTCAAAAATTCTAATTTAATGTGTATTTTACAATTGTTTTCACTGGGAAGACATAGCTCAAAGATGCCAGCAGGAACTCCCAAGTTTAAAAAACTGAAAAGAAGAAAAAGAATAACACAATAATACTTGAAGCTTTTGCAAATTAGTATAAAACTTGTTAAAATTTCATAGCATTTCTTTTTAGGAGATTTTATTTAAGAAATAATATTCAACTGTGGTGTAGGCATCTTACAGAAACTCTTTTTTCCCCCGTAAAGAAGGTGGGGATGAGATTAACCAAACCTGGTGAAATTGAGTTAGAATTGTAGAAGGACTGAAGAAAATCAACACGCCTAGTAAAAGAAAAGCATTTAGTAGGAGGAGAGGTGAAAGAAATTTCATTATGAAGGCTAGAGTCACAAAAGAAAAGTGTAATTGTGTTAGACTGGATCTTCTGAGAGCAGACAGCAAGGTCGGATTAACCATGCAAACGTTTTATTAGAGGAAACAACTGCTAGGTGATTAAGCTAACATGAAGGAAGCCTGAGAAGGCTGGACGAGCTTTTAGACTGCAATGCAAATCTGTGTGAAGGAGAGGGAAGGAAGGGAAGAATGCAAATCTGTGTGGGTGGAGACATCTTTGATTGCAGTTTACGAATGTTTGGCAAGGTTGTGGAGTTGTCCTCAAGTCAATTAGATGTCAGTGGAGTCCTACTGCTGTTAGTGGGTTATTCAGTGCCTCTTCCAGAGTGAACAGTGGATGCTTTTTGTTTTGCTTTGTTTTGGTTTGGTTTTTATTTTTTTGAGTGCAGTAGCATGATCTAGGCTCACTGCAACCTCTGCCTCCTGGGTTCAAGCAATTCTTCTGCCTCAGGCTCCAGAGTAGAGGGTTTATAGGCACCCACCACTGAGAGGTGAAGCCGCAGGGCTTCTGGGTTGGGTGGGGACTTGGAGAACTTTTCTGTCTAGCTAAAGGATTGTAAATGCACCAATCAGCACTCTGTGTCTAGCTAAAGGCTTGTAAATGCACCAATCAGCACTCTGTAAAAACGCACCAATCAGCGCTCTGTGTCTAGCTAAAGGTTTGTAAATACACCCATTAACACTCTGTAAAAACAGACCAATCAGCACTCTGTAAAATGGACCAATCAGCGCTCTGTAAAATGGACCAATCAGCAGGATGTGGGTGGGGCCAAATAGGGGAATAAAAGCTGGCCACCTGGCAACAGCAGCGGCAATCAGCTTGGGTCCCCTTCCACGCTGTGGGAGCTTTGTTCCTTCGCTCTTCACAATAAATCTTGCTGCTGCTCACTCTTTAGGTCCGCATTACCTTTATGAGCTGTAATACTCACTGCAAAGGTCTGTGGCTTCACTCCTAAAGTCAGCAAGACCACGAACCCACCAGGAGGAACAAACAACTCCAGACGCACCATCTTTAAAAGCTGTAACACTCACTGCGAAGGTCTGCGGCTTCACTCCTGAAGTCAAGCGAGACCACGAACCCACCTGAAGGAAGAAACGCCAGACACATCTGAACATCTGAAGGAAAAAACTCCGGACACACCATCTTTAAGAACTGTAACACTCACCGTGAGTGTCTGCGGCTTCATTCTTGAAGTTAGACCAAGAACCCACTGGAAGGAACAAATTTCGGACACACCACCACATTTGACTAATTTTTGTATTTTTAGTAGAGTTGGGGTTTCACCATGTTGGCCAGGCTGGACTTGAACTCCTGGCCTCAAGTGATCCACCCACATCAGTCTCCCAAACAACTGGGATTACAGGTGTGAGCCACCACACTTACCCACAGAGTGGGTGCTTTTTGATGGACATTGATGTGTGATATAAAGATCATCCTCTTCGTACCCACTCATATTTGTCAGTTCATGTGTCTCTAGCCCAGAATTTTTTGTCTCTGATCTTTTGGTCCTTTTCCTTTTATGATCCTTACCAGAGCAGAGAGCCAGGGCATTGGCCACTGCCTAGGAATCTCTATCTGTATTCCCACTTGCGGCCACTTTCCTTTCTACAGACCCGCTCTTTAGTCATTTCCCCAGTTCCCAAACACATAAATAGAATAGGACTGGACTTTAGCCATCACTGTACTTGTCCCGTAGCAGTCCCCATTCTAATTGTGAGCCACAATGGTGCTTTGGATCCCCCAGATCAAAGTAAACTCAGACAAGTAAACTCAGATACTGTGTCCAATAATCCTGAAAATTTTTGGTTATTTCCCCTTTTCCTCAGTGGACACTCACTCAATAAGTAGGTTCCTTTGTGGAAAGGTTGGGGAATTGTCATGGTATAAGCTTGTCATTGTCTTACAGGGTCCTTTCTTGTAGGGATCCAGGTACATCTTTAGTCTTGGTTCATATCTGGGAACTAAGTGAAGGATTATGATTTTGTATTTGCATGATCACCTTCACTCCCTCTAGTTCTCCATTCCTCCTTCTCTTCCTCCTCCTCCTTCTCTTCCTCCTTCTCTCCCTTCTTCTCCCTTTTTGTTATATGTGTTAAGTGTCTTATTAGTGCCTGCCTATTTTGCTCTTACCACCACGATATCTTGCAGGTTAACTTTTTGGACTATACCCCTGACTTTGCACATCCTCCTGGTAATTATGACCTCCTGGCTTTTGGAAGTTGTATTAGTCAGTGTTCTCTAGAAGGACAGAACTAATAGGAGATATATATATATATATCTCCTATTATATATTATGTATTATATTACATATATAATATATATAGTATATAATATTATATATATTGTATGTGTATATACAAAGGGGAGTTTATTAAGTATTAACTCACAGGATCACAGGGTCCCACAATAGGCCGTCTGCAAGCTGAGGAGCAAGGAGAGCCAGTTTGAGTCCCAAAACTGAAGAACTTGGAGTCCGATGTTCAAGGGCAGGAAGTATCCAGCATGGGAGAAAAATGCAGGCTGGGAGGCTAAACCAGTCTAGCCTTTTCATGTTTTTCTGCCTGCTTTATATCCTGGCCATGCTGGCAGCTGATTAGATGGTGCCCATGCAGAATAGGGGTGAGTCTGCCTTTCCCAGCTCACTGACTCAAATGTTAATCTCCTTTGGCAACACCCTCACAGAGACACCCAGGATCAATACTTTGCATCCTTCAATCCAATCAGGTTGACACTCAGTATTAGCCATCACAGAAGTCAAGCCCTATCATCTGGCCTTGATTATATCAGAGGGCCCATCATACATACAAATGAACCCAGCTTTGTAAACTACCATTGTAGATCTTGAAACCTACTATATCCTGCACAGGATAACTACCACAAAACTTCTTAGTGTTGCTGGGGCCATCTCACCTATGTATTTTGATGGTTTTGGTGGATGCATTGTCCTTTGGGTCCTCCTATGGAACATCATCCTCTGGTGAGTGTTGCCTTACTTAATACTTCCATTCCAGCATGCCCAGTTCCCTCTGCCTTTTTATTCCTTCCTCTACCTTCTGCCGAGGCAAGAAAGGCATTTTTGCTACACTGTGAGTTGGCCATTATTTTTTCCCCAGGCTTCTAAGAGCCATTCCAGGACCAAGATCTTCATATCCTTTTGGGTCATATGTTTTAAGAAAATGCTCTCAAGTCAATGAATTCCTGTTTATCCAGTCTTATGTTCAGGCCTCTTAATCAAGTACATCTAAAATCCAATCCCAGGAGCACTCTTCTGGTGCCTACCAGTGCATATGGCTATATAAATAATTTTTTTTTGCAACTTTTGAAGTGTATAGTTTCTCCTTTATGTTCCCCCTCATCCCAATCAAACCCAGCAAGTCCTTAGCAGGACTTTTCATGGAATTTAATCCTAATTGTTTGCCTGGCAAGCTGGAATGGAGGTTGGAGGTGGGGGGCAGCTCCTGAGCCACCTGTTGCCTTGTTGAGGAACGATTTCTTCAGCATTTCCCAGCACAGTGGAAATGCTAGCTTTGAGAATGTGTGGGCCGTATCTGCAATCCTATACAGTTCAACCTTGATTGCTGAATAAATATTTACAAAGGCCTTCCATCTAGATATCCTTGTCCCATGTTTTGGGAACCCAGATTTCTCCCACTAGGTCTTTTCTCTTTACATAACAAACCTGTCTCAACTGAGCGTTCAAATGTCTCTGGAGATCTGTAGTACTAACAATCAGGTCTTCAGTTTGCCACTCAACTGTGTCTGCCCTTTCACTGCAGGAGAGAAGAGCATCTTTGTAAGCTACCATGATGTCTCTTGGGATCCCACATTTAGACATGTGTTTGTTATTAGTCCTCTACTTCTCATTATCTTTCTGCATGGCATCGATTCAACTTTACAGTAATCAGCCAACTGGGCTCTCTTCATAGGTATTGTTTCTATAACTCTCAAATGCCTGCATTTTTGCATCTGGCACAGAAATCCCCTCCACAGGTACTTTTTCTTAGAACACCAGTAGTGACATCTTTAGCAAATATCCTGCCTTGGTGTGTCAGTGGCTACCTGCACCCCACTTGCCAACCACGATAGGGTCTTCTTCATCTGCCAGGTGGGGGATGAAACAGTCCTAAATCTTCATGTCACTGCTGGTCTTCTTTGGTTGCTCCTGGTACCATTTGTGTTAGTCTAGGTCCTCTGAGAAGTAGATGCCATGTTGTGATGAAATGTGCAAGAATTTTGTTAGGGAGAAAACCAGTGAGAGAAAATATGGAGGAAGCCAGGAAAGGCTGGGAGAGCCTTGAGACTACAATGCAAATCTGACTAAGTGTAGGCGAGAAGGGTAGGCAGAAGTGTCCTGGTCAGCTATGTTGTCTACTGAGGTTCTTCTAGGCCATCAGAGAGTCCTGAGGCAAAGACCTGTGTCTCCCAGCATCTGACCTGCCTTAGAATCTCTGCAGCAATCAGTCATTGATTGGCTGGGAGAAGCTCCTGGACACTGCTGTCCTAAGCCCAAATGTGGTGGTGGATTTCCAAAAATAGCAGCTGGAGCTCCCTCTTGGTCAATCTTGATTCCTGTTGTTGGAGGTATGTGACTTACATTCTCATGTCCACTCCAACTGAAAAAGGAAAATGTAAGATATTTATAAGATGAGGCCATACTCCAATGTTCACACTTATGAAATTTAGGGCACGGTGGCTCACGCCTGTAATCCCAGCACTTTGGGAGGCTGAGGCGGGTGGCTCACAAGGTCAGGAGATTGAGACCATCCTGACTAACATGGTGAAACCCCGTCTCTACTAAAAAATACAAAAAATTAGCCTGGCGTGGTGGCAGGTGCCTGTAGTCCTAGCTACTTGGGAAGCTGAGGCAGGAGAATGGTGTGAACCCAGGAGGCAGAGCTTGCAGTGAGCCAAGATCACGCCACTGCACTCCAGCCTGGGCAACAGAGTGAGACTCTGTCTCAAAACAAAACAAAACAAAAACAAAAACAAACAAAAACAGGAGAAGGTGGAGAAGGTGCTTTTTTGTTGTGAGGGAATCCACTATAAGAAATAATTTGTTTCGCAATGATTTCATACTGGAACAGGCTTTCATTGAAGATTTTGGCATTGTTAAGCCTGAACCTCTATATAGAATGTTAATTTAACCAAATATTGAGCTAATATAGGGTAGAGAAGGTCATATGGTATAGATCTTGTCCCAAAGAAGTCTTCACATAAACCTATAACATTTGGCCATATTTAGACAAAGTTAAACAGGTATCTCTTTAACTGCAGTGATTCTCTGAGTCTTTAATATTCAAAGAGGTATTATGCAAATTACACTACTGTAGGATAATTAAGAATATGATATTGGCCAAAATTTCAGCGATGTAATATTTATACATTGCTGAAAGTTACATTGAGCTTTTTGTCCTTGTCAAATAGACTTTTCAGTAAATCCAGTTTGAGAAATGTTAGCATAGAAAATAATCTCCCAGAGTGGCTTAGAAATGCTTACATTTAAAGGCAAGGTATGAGATTAGTAGCACCATCCTTCTAATTATGATTGTATAAGTTGGTTTTAAAGCATTTTCTTAATGTGTCTAGAAGGTAAACATTATTGTTGATAGTCAATGAGCACATCTTAGTCTCATAACATGTGCACCTCTGTCCAATGTCACTTTTAAAAATGACATATGACAAGTTCTTTAATTGCTTTTGTCTTTTATCTTCTAAGGTGGTCAGCAATCTTAGATTTTGTAAATTACCAGGAGCATACTCTGTCCTAACCCCTAATATTTACAGCAGGTCTCAAGAAAAGCTTCTTTTTCTACAAAGAACTTAGCCAACTCCAGTCATAGTTTAATTAATAAATATCTGAACCGGTAACCAACTCCTCAGTAATGAGAAGTTTAAATCCTGGGAACTAGAAGACAGTTGTGAGAAGAGGTTGAACAGGGAAGCAGTTTCTGTGCTTTTTAGGATTTGTGTTTTCAAATTGTTGGGAATAAAGAGCAGACAATTTTTTTAATAGAGAGGAAATATACTCTAAAACATCTTACCCTGAAGAAATATTTCATTGCTTCAAGATTCTTTAAAATTATTGTGGCTCCAAAGTGGTTTATTATTAGATGGACTAAATCGTGTAAGTCAATGTTATCTTGTAGTTCAAACACATCCAATAACAGGAACTTCTAAGTAACATCAAAGCAGTTGTAAACAGCAACTCAGGAGAATTACAGAAGGCATCCTTAGATTTGATCTATATGTATACATGACACTATGCCTGCCTATTTTAATTAAAATCACTATGTTATACAAAAGTTGATTAATCATAAAGTAAAATTGCTATCAAGGGAAAAATTCTTATTTTCCTATTACATGATTCTTGCCATTATAACATGACACAAAATACTTGCAGTTCTGATGGTAAAAACACTTTGGGATACAGATCTGAGAATGCTTAACTTTTATATGTGTAAAACTCTGATAAAGTCACACCAAAGCTGCATGCTGTGTTGAGTGGCTTGAAAATATGTCTTCAAGAATTTTCAAAGAATTGGGTATTCTGCCAAAAAAAAAAAAATCCTAAAAACAAACAAACAAAAAACAATTTTGTCATTAAAAGGAAAGTTTATGAAAATAACACTCGACATGAATGAATTGAGCTCTGAGTTATTCATACTACTTGATTTTTAAAAAGTATTTCAGACCTATAAGGACGTTTCTGAGGAGGCAGTTAGCTTTACATCTCTCAGATTAAGTTATTGAAGAAAACATCATTTTTTTTTTTTTTTTTTTTTGCAGTCTGGGTCCTAGCTTCAGAGAAGTAAATGTCATTTTCTTACTATCTCTTTGTCATCTTTTTCAAAGACTCAGAGCTTTTGCTGTGGCATTAACCAAAATAGGTAGCAAAGGAGACATCAATGAAGAACACTATCTTCATAAAACTTAATTATTAGTATCCCTCATAATCATACATGCAAGTCCTCAAATAGTATATGATATCTGATGTTACTATTCTTTCTCTTCTTCCAGTTGACTAGAAGAGGTCTACAAACAATTTACAATGCAGATACTGAAGGCTAATCCGGGCCATGAATGGTTTATTCAAGCGTTTGACAAAACATTAACTCCATTTCCCAATAGAAAGTTGAGGTCCCTGGTAAACTTTAAAAAGACTTTTGTTTTTAAATTTAAAAACTTATTTTGGGAAATGCTTTCAAACATAAAAAATAGTTACATGAATATATATTCACTTATAAATTTATATTTGATTACTTCTTTACTTTCTGTCATAACAGGTTATTGCTAGCTTATCTTGTACTTAGCCTGCCCCAGCCCTGGAAATAGCCTCTTAAGAATTTTACTTCTTTTTAGTGGAAAATTGTACCAGAGGTCAAAATCTGAGCATGACTTGTGCTCATTACTACTGGAGTGTCATTGCTTCTTGTCAGCTCAATTCATTCATGTTTGAGAAAGAACTATGAAATATGAGCATGTATACAAATACATATGCATACCTGCAAATAAACACAAACACACACGCGTGTGTGTATATATATAGATATATAAATATGCATGCACATACACATACTTACATACATACATGCATATACATTCTACTAATGAGCACATCCTTGGGTTACTTTCAGATTAAATATAAGAAATACTTATGAAAAGCTCACCATGAGCTGCTTTGTCAACATTTTTCCAGTCATCTTTTGTTGAATGACTCTCATCCTTGAGTAGATTATCATATTACTTTTCATTTCTGCACTATCCTTAATTTTGCCCTCTTATTTCTTACTTTCCTTTCACTGTGTCTTTAAGGACTACACCCTTATTTATATATCTGATTCTGTTCTAGAACCGATGCATCTTCAGGGATGCCACTTCTGGTACTCCACACTTTCAGGCTCCTTTTCTGTGGTTAATTCTATGGCCTACCACATTCTAAAGCATGCTCAGGATATTATCATTTATTTTTGCACATATTCTTTCTGAGTATGATTTTGTCTGTGCTTCATCTCAATTCTTTGCTCTCCTCTACTCTTATGCATGGAGAATTGTTGGTCTTTTCTTCTCTGTTCTCATATCTGCATATTTGTAGCCCAGAGTGAGCAGTGGGAGAGCCACTGGAAATTGTTTTTTTTTCCTCCAAGTTTCAGGTAATTGTAAGGTTGCATTTTCCTGTCTCCCCAAAATACTGAAAGTATTGGTTTTGTGTGGTTAATTTGCTCTTATGGTTGATTTTATGGAGAGTCATTTTTAGGGTGGGTGAAAGAAAATGTTTGATTCTATTTGAAATTAAGCAACAGCCATTGTTCTCCAAACCTGGAACTTCATCAAAAGTTATTATTATTATTATTATTATTATTATTATTGTTTTATTTTATTTGAGATGGAGTCTCACTCTCTCACCCAGGCTGGAGTGCAGTGGCACGATCTCAGCTGACTGCAACTTCCACCTCCCAGGCTCAAGCGATTCTCCTGCCTCAGCCTCCCAAGTAGCTGGGACTATAGGCATGTGCCACCATGCCCAGCTAATTTTTCTGTATATTGAATAGAGACGGGGATTCACCATGTTGGCTGTGTTGGTCTCGAACTCCTGACCTCAGGTGATCCACCTAGCTCAGCCTTCCAAAGTTCTGGGATTACAGACATGAGCCACCTTGCTTGGCCATTACTTTCAATCTTGAGAATGAATCAGTATGGACTTGAAGTGGGTAGAACTGTAATCTCAAAAATTATGAAATCCTATTGGTCAGATTTGAAGGTAGTAGATAGAAAAAGGGAAATGAAAAAGTGAAATGAAAACCGTATTACTATTCTTTAGGGTTTTAGATTCCTGCTTAGAGATACAAAGCCAGGTTTAAGAACAAAAAAAGACTAAAGCACAAAAAAAATTCAGTGATAAAGTAGATGAAGCTACATAAATTCATTGGTTCCTTTTACTGGTCAATGCATCTGATAGATCTACTTCTGAGAAAAGAAACAAAATAGCTTGGCAGTAGGGAAAGTTTCACGTTTACACGCTTTCAATGACAAACTCATTTTCTCAATGTTTGCACTCTTATTTCCAGAACTTAGGCTTTTTGTCTCTTCTGGTATTCATCAGAAAGTTGCATTTTGATCTCTTATCTTGTATTAATAAATGCTTATCTGTCAGTAAATTCTTACCTTTAGAGTCATTAAGGGAGAGAAGAACATCAGGTGTACTTCCATTTAATCTTTTAAAGCAACATTTGAAGTCAAAGATGAATACATTCTTTACTTTCATAGAAGCTATAATTGAAAGTAGTTTCATGTCTTTTGAAAAACTATAAAAATATTACCAGAATAGAATAAAATACTTTTATAGAAACGACTCTTTAAGTTTAAATATTTTTTGGAGTTAGAACTATGAGCCAGATGCTAAGATGTTCAACTAATTTGAGGGGAGTGACCAGGAGGTCAGGAATTGAAAGGGACCAGGCGGGAGATATGGGTAGTGCAGCCATATGGCTGAGGGTCAGAGGAGTGGGGATGACACAGGAGAGTGGAGGAGTAATAGACTGGAAAAGCACTGGGGAGTAAGGTTGTTTTTGATCATCTCCCAAACCAAAGATTTTGGCAAATCAGCAGCATTTAACATAATACAGCTTCCAGGGAAATGGTCCCTTAAACAAGAGCCAAGTGGAGGGAATATTCTGTAATCTGCAGTAATTTGCCTATTTTCTAGGAAATACAAGCTAGGTGAGTGTTGGCACATTCAGGTCAGAGAGGCTTGAAGTACAATACGGAAGAAAACTAAGGATGGCTGGGATGGGAGGAATCACAGATGACCTTTTCTCACATTTCAAACAGAAATCACATACAAAGTAGCTTTAATGCAGGCACAGGTAAGTCTTCCATTTGAGTCTGAAGTTTAAAGAATGGCCCAGGCAAAGGGCTGTAGTAGAAACTGATATCTTATCAGAGGGCACTGAGGCAGACACAGGCAGAAGTCTCTGGTTGAGTAAAAGGCCCAGTGTGTGGGCTTGCAAACAAACCTGTGCAGGTAAAGACCCAGATGAAGTAGGAGATCCACATCTAATCTACTGTGAGCTTTAGTTCTTTCCTTTCAGCAGTGTCTAGATGCTAAATGCCAATCTACTGTCTTCTGGCCTCCAGTAATGCAAATTAGATATCCAAGACAATGTCCTTATTTTTTCCATTACTTAAATTATAGTACGATATACCTAGATAAATGTCCTTTGTTCACAATTCAGTGTGAATTTCAGTGCAATCTTTCAATCTGTAGACTTAGGGTTTTCTTTAGAGATAGCGTCTTCTACTATGACACAATTAATGCACCCCCTCCATCCTTTTCATCTTCTAGAGCTCTCATTATGCAATATTAAATTCACTTTTTCCAAGTTGGGCATGGTGGCTCATGCTTGTAATCCCAGCACTTTGGGAGGTCGAGGCAGGTGGATCACTTGAGGTCAGGAGTTTGAGAGCAGCCTGGCCAACATGGCGAAACCCCAACTCTTCTAAAAATACAAAAATTAGCCGGGCATGATGGCAGGCTCCTGTAATCCCAGCTACTCGGGAGTCTGAGGCATGAGAATCGCTTGAACCCAGGAGGCGGAGGTTGCAGTGAGCTGAGGTCGCGCCATTGTACTCCAGCCTGGGCAATAGAGCAATACTCAGTTTCAATAATAATGATAATAATTAATTAATTAATTAACTTTTTCCTCATTTTTTTTCCTACCTTTTGCCTCTACTTTGAAATGTTTTTCTTGTATTCTACCTTCTAGACTACTGAGGATCACTTGGATGGGAGGCGGGTTTCACTAGTGTCATCTCCAACTTCAGTTCATCCACTGAATTGTTCAGCTGTGAACAATTATGTTAGTGTGCTACATTTTTATTTTGTAAGTTCTGTTATCAGTGTTTTAAATTTGGGCTCTCAGTTGTCATTTACATGTGTTCTATCCATTCTGACTGACATTTTTAGATGATGAGATAGATGGTTAGTCCCTCTGTCTTTAACTCAGGTATAGTAATAGATGAAGCATAATAGATGGAGTGTGTGGTTGCAATTCACAATTGGTAGATTTCCAACCAGCTTTTTCTCCCCTGTAACCTGATCTCAGATACAGAAGCAGGCCTGTTGATCATTTGCACCTGAAGTACCTGGAAGGTGTCCCTAATGGAAATCTACCTGCTCCCTGGTTTCCTTAAGTTTTCACAGTGTCAGTATCATGGAAGTCTTGATCAAATCATTTGGTTCCTGTGGGCATTTTGGGGTCCAGGGAATTAGTTAAGCTTGTTATACATAGGGTTATTGTCAAATGGTATTCTTTCCCTCCTTCCTGAAGAGGTGCTCTCTATATACCTCAGAGTGTCAGGGTCTTCCCAGGATATGCTACTTCTGGCTTCTAGGTTAAGGCTCCCAAATAATGTCTCCAGGTACTTGCCTGGACCACCATGAAGAAAGGCCTGCTCCAGTTATCTGTAATGAGATTCTAGAGTAAGGGTATTGATGAAATACAGGACACTCAGTTAAATGTAAGTTTCAGATAATTTTTTATTAGGTTGGTGCAAAAATAATTGCAATTTTTGCCATTGAAAGAATGGCAATGCTTTGGGAGGCCGAGGTGGGCGGATCATGACGTCAGGAGATTGAGACCATCCTGGCCAACATGGTAAAACCCTGTCTCTACTAAAAATATAAAAATTAGCTGGGCATGGTGGCGCGTACCTGTAATCCCAGCTATTCGAGTGGCTGAGGCAGGAGAATCAACCTCCACCGGGAGGCAGAGGTTGCAGTGAGCCGAGATAGCGCCACTGCACGCCAGCCTGGTGACAGATCGAGACTCACATCTCAAAAAAAAAAAAAAAAAAAAGAGGACAAAAACACAACTACTTTTGCACCAACCTAGTGTAAGTGTGTCCCAAATATTGTATGGGACATACTTACAGTGAAAAAAAAAAAAAAACCCAGCATTTGTTGATTATCTGAAATTTAAATTTAACTGACTGAATATCCTGTATTTTTATTCCCTAAATCTGGCCACTTTAACAAAGAACTCAAGGCCGTCTTGCACACAGCTGCCTGTGGGGTCAAGCAGAAGGCTGATGCAGGAGGGGAAGCTAGGTCGATCTTGAGAAAGGAGGGGAAAAAGGTGCAATTGTTATCACCATGTTCCCAAATCTCTTTTTCTGCAATCTCCTACTTTCCTTTCCACGTTGCCTATTATGTATATTCTGTAGAACAAACAAGACCTTATGAGGTGACCCAGAAAGTAAAAACGACTATAATAAAACCTTTTCCCATTAGAATCATGTTTCTGTGAATAAAAATATTT
Organism: Homo sapiens; assembly: GCF_000001405.40. NCBI lineage: Eukaryota > Metazoa > Chordata > Mammalia > Primates > Hominidae > Homo > Homo sapiens. The sequence continues at coordinate 34,443,969 of NC_000002.12, forward strand.
TAAATATTTTGGTTTCTTTTCTACATCAATGATTTTATTTTTATTATGTTAGGTCACAAAGCAAAATCTAGCAATATACTATTTAAAAAAACCACATTTAAAGTGGATAATTAAAGAAAATAATTAAAATAAAAGGATACCAAACAAAGAGAAATAAAATATTTTTAAAAAGAAAAAGGTAAGAGTGGAAAATCAATATTAGGTTATTAGAAATTTGAGTCTAACATCATTAAAAAGGACAAAGATGTATAAAATTTATTATAATATAATAAAGGCACAATTTTTTAAGAAACTATATTAACCATAAATTTACATATTATAAACATTATAGCTAAAAATCACAAAGACAAGAAATGCGAGAAATATATGACTAGAATATATGACTAGAAATATATGTATAATGGAAAGCTGCCCTATGTGCAGAGGGGCAAGTTTAGTGACCAAAAGAATACCACAATAAAGTGGATACTTTTAAAGGGGAATTATTTTTTAAAAATGAAGAGTTACGGCATTTTTCCTGAAGGGGTTATAAAACAAGGAGTGCTTTCATAGATTACTGGTGGAAATATAAAGCATTACAAGAGTTTGGAAAAGTAATTGGGCATCAGCTATCAAAATTGAACTTTCAAAAATCTTTTGACCCAGCAACCTCATTAGTGGAAATCTTTTCCATAGAAAGGAAAGCAGTAATATATGAAGTCAGATAGATAGGAATCTTTACTGCGGTACTGTTTGCAATGACAAGAGATGGAAAATAAATGAATAACCCAATATAAAAATAAAATTCTACCCTTACTAAAGAATATATATTAGTTGAAAAGAAGGAAATTACAAGAGTTATTAGCTGAGAGAGAAAATGAAAATGTAGAAAAATATATATAAAATATGATTTCATTTTATTTATTTTATATATCACTTACCATATAAATGTGCATAGGGTTGAGTGAATAACGATGAATTTACCTTATATTGGTGGGTATGAGGGACTATTGCAGGTGGAAGGAGAGAGACAAAAATCAGAGGGGAGAGCCACACAGAAGATGAAAAAATGATGAATCCTACCCCACGATGAAAACATTTATAACATGATCACATATATGAACTTATGTGAACATATATATTTCCTTTTGTGTAAATCAATCAAATTAATTGGCTAATTAAAAAACTCTTTGGATCCTTGCCCAATGTATGCCATGACAGGAAAATCTTTGTTCTAGTTTTTGATCTCAGAAGTTATCTTTCTTCTCCCTCTCCTTTGTGATTCCTTTTTATCTGTGTCTTTAATGAAAGTTGGTACCCTCAAAAATTTTGGGTCAGAAGTAGGCATCTGCTTACCAGCCGCAGATCCACACATGTTTGTTTTCAAGTTTGTTTCTCTCTTTTCCTTTCCCTCCTTCCCAAGCATTTCCTGCACAGCTCTGTGTCAGGTGTGGTAGCTCAGAAAACTCTATCACTTGATCTCACTTTTCAAGGAGCCCACAGTACAGTCAGAGACACAAGACATGTACATCCTAAAATACTGCAACTTTAAGATAAACCAATGCAAATGCCCACCTGAGCCAGGACGTAATTAAGCAACACACATACCACCTAAATAATAAGCCAAATAATACAATTCATAGGAGGGGGTATTTCCCATGGGCTGGAGTAATCGAAAGAGAATTTACTGAGGCTATTAGGACAAGAACTAGATTTCTGAAGTGTGTGGATGAGAGTAAGGAGTGTAGAAGTATTCCATGTAAGCACATCTTCTGAAAAAGAAGCCAAATACTCCCTAGAAACCAATGAAGAAACACCATGAAGAAACATTAGCATCCTGTCATTTGGTAAAAGTGTCAGCATTCAGTTTTAATGAGAGTGTCTGTCCTCAGATGCATAACTTTTTGCTAAATAAACCTATGTCCTACTGCTCACTGCACTTAGGCCTGAGAACTGGTCTACTCAATGTGAGAATTCCTTGAGCAGAATAATAGCTAATATTTTCTGGATTATCACTATGTTCCAGGCACTGCTGTAAGTATCCTTTTTCTCTCTCCAATACTTTTGTGAGATTGCTACTGTTATTATCTTTATTTAGAGGTGAGGAGACTGAGTCATGGGAAGGCTAATCCTTGCCCAGAGTCACATTGTTAGTGAGAGGAAGAACTGAGATTGGAGCCTGGGCTCATAATCACTCTGCTGTCACTTTCAATGGTGGCCATATTACAAGGCAGTGTTAGAGTGGCTATTAGACAGGATGTGGGAACAGCTTCATTACATGAGAGTGCACGTTTAATGATACTTATAAAAATGAGATTCTAGTCATACAAACCAACTTCCTGCTGCATCAGAAAAATTCCTGTAGGACCAGTGGTAATTAATGAAAGGAATCTTTAGATTCCTTCACTAAGCAGTGTGGTGGGAATGTTCTAGGGTACACATGGCATATATTAATACTTGCCGTAGAATTTAGACAACTGTCAGCCCATGTGGGAGCTCATATTTAAACTAATTTAAAATAAATGAGTAATTAACATTTCATGAGCTAATGAATCAAACATTTTGCTAAATGAAAAAAAAAATCATGTCTGCAATTCAGCCTTTAATCTTGACTACAATTCCTGTAATTCAATTAAAGAAAAGCTCTTCAGCCTTTGCTTGATTAAATAACACCTTTTTGTTTTTCCTCTAAAACTATCTAGATTTCCATCACACACTACCCACCTTAATACCCACTTGGGATAATAATGCATTTTGACTTTTGTTCAGTTAGTGAATGAAATATGCTGAATATTCTTCTTAGGATCGTTTAAAATGTGCTCCATACTGAAAGTAAATCTCTCTTTGAAAGGGTAGGGAAAGGAAAGTGAGTGGGATTTAGAATAGGAGATTGCAAAAGGTCTTTCAACCTAATTGTTTAAAGATTGTTTTGCTGTTTTCTATATATCTATATGAACTTTATGAGGGTTTTTAAAAAAACGTTTAAGCCCTGTGCTGAGTTCTTTATACAGAATATCCAAATAGACCTCCTTGCAATATTAGGTGGCAGTATTATTACCATCCCTACTGTAAATAGACCCACACATGAATTCAACATTTATTGAGCATCTATTATATGTCAGACATTGTGTTACACTGTGACATTTCTCCCTGTCACAAGGTGGCCCTGCTAGAAGTCTTCACATTCCCTTCAGCTTGGCTCAACTTTCATTAGGTTACTTTATGACTCTAGGTCTCACCTCCCTTTCTCAGAGCATTTGCATTAGAAAACCTGGAATTCCTTTAAATTCTTTCTCTGTTCCTTTCAGAAGTAAATCTTCTACAACCCAGGAAAGTCTTTTTCAAGGCCCTGAGAGCCATCTCTTCCAGAGGTAATCATCAAGGAAGATGAAGCCCCTATCTCCTTATCTCTGTGGGAGGGTAGGGGCCTTTATAAGTGCCAATTAGCAAATACAGATGGCCTAGTCACATTGACCAATCTCCCTTCCCCCTAATACCCTCCAGTACTTTCCTGCTAGCTCACCCTAGTGCTTAAAAGCTCTCCAGCCTTTTGTTTCAATTGGAGTTGAGTTTAATCTCTTACCTTTATTACAATCATCTTGAATAGGCTTCCTTGCTTGTTTAACTGGTTGGGCATTTTTTATCTATAGATCCATTCACATGGAATACATTACGAATGACTTGTAGCCCCCTGGAGTGGTACAATGTGTCATTGTGTGGCCCTGGTCAGGCTATTTTCCAAAAATGGGGTTTGGGGGAATTAACATATGACTACTGTAAGTGCTATGTAAGAAAAGCACAAAGTACTATACGAGTTTTTAACAGTTAATTCCAACCGAAGCGTCTAGGAATACTTTTTAAAAAATAAAAGATCACATCTCATTTCCATTGGGGATCTATCTTGCGGCATAATTAGAACTGTGAAGGTGAAGACAATGTGTGTGACTTCTAGATGGAAAGAACAAAGTGCAACCATCAAAGGGCTGTGACCACATGAGTGTGACAGAAGTAAAAGAATAAAAGGTGAACAATTGGACACTTCCCCCTTACACAAGAGAAAAGAATCAAAGGGAAGTGGTTTCTGCAAGCTGAACTTCTTGGCTACTGTGAGGCAGTAACAGTGAGTGGATGAGGGAAGAAGCCCAGTGAGTCCCTGGTTTGTTTTTCAGTCAAAAAGTGATGTTATTAGCAAAGAGGAAAATAATTCATCTACCAGTGGGTGGGCAAAGAAGCAGTAAGACAAAACGTGAGTAGACTGGGTTTGGGGAACTTGGGGTGGAGTTCTAAATAATAGAAAAGAAAAATCTGCCGGAAATATCTCCTTAGGGTTTGTGGGTGCTTATGTGTATGAACATATTGAAAACTGTTTTTTAAGTTTTGCTAATAATTATCAATGGAATCAATCTTTTGATAGTTTTTGTAAATTTGATAAAGTTATATTTCAAATATTATTGCTTGTTGGATGATGCTTATTTGAAAGAGACACTTACACAGGGACATAATTTTGAGGCTCCTGAGAATTACAAGGGCTTCATCAGGAACTGAAAAATGATTAGTGCCAGAGTGACTAAAATGTAGTGAGGGATGAGGAGAGCGGCATGAAATGAAACACATTAATAGAGAAGTTGGGTAAGGAAGAAGGCTGGGTGAACTCAGCTTGTAAGCAGCAGAAGCTGAATTAAAACCCAGGCCTCGGTAATGCCAAAATACGCATTTTGAACAATGAATTTAATTGAACATTAAGCAAATGAACATTAAATAAATGAGACAAAACCATTCTACTCACCTATGACTGACAGCTTTCAATTTTTCATCAGCACAACCCCAAAACTGCAATAGTAGGCCATGGAATTTAGTATGAAGAAAATACTCAAAGCTACTAAGTAAATGGTTTTACTTAGAGACATTTTGATACAGGTATGCAATGTGTAATAATTCCATCATGGAAAATGGGGTATCCATCCTGTCAAGCATTTATCCTTTGTGGTACAATCCAATTATACTCTTACAGTTATTTAAAAATGTACAGTTAAATTATTAATGACTATAATCACCCTGCTATGCTGTCAAATAGTAGATCTTATTTATTCTAATTTTTTTTTTTTTAATTTACCAATCTTTCCAACCTTCCCCCGACTCCCACTACCTTCCCCAGCCTCTAGTAACCATCTTTCTTCTTTCTATCTCCATGAGTTCAATGTTTTTTATTTTTAGATCCCACAAATAAGTAAGAACATGACGTTTGTCTTTCTGTGCCTGGCTTATTTCATTTAACATAATGACCTCCAGTGTCATCCATGCTGTTGCAAAGGACAGGATCTCATTATTTTTATGGCTGAATAGTAGTAATACATGGTGGATAATTACCACACTTTCTAATCCATTCATCTGTTTATGGACACCTAGGTTGCTTTGAAATCTTGGCCATTGTGAACAGTGCTGCAACAAACATGGAAGTGCAGATATCTCTTTGATACATTGATTTCCTTTCTTTTGGGCATATACCCAGCAGTAGAATTGCTGGATCATATGGTAGCTTATATGGTTTGGCAGTGTCCCCACCCAAATCTCATCTTGAATTTTAATCCCCATATTCCCTACGTGTCATGGGAGGGACCCAGTAGGAGGTAATTTAATCATGGGGGTGGTTTCCCCATGCTGTTCTCATAATAATGAGTGAGTTCTTATGAGATTTGATAGTTTTATAAGCATCTGGCATTTCCCCGGCTGGCACTCATTCTCTCTTCTGCTGCCCTGTGAAGAGGTGCCTTCCACCATGATTGTAAGTTTCTTGCAGCCTCCCCAGCCACGCAGAACTGTGAGTTAATTAAGCCTCTTTTCTTTATAAATTACCCAGTCTTGGGTATTTCTTCATAGCAGCATGAGAATGAACTAATACAGGAGCTCTATTTTTACTTTTCTGAGTAACTTACAAACTGTTCTCCATAGTGGTTGTAGTAATTTACATGCCCACCAACAGTGTATGAGTGTTCCTTTATCTGCACATCCTTACCAGCGTTTGTTATTGCACGTCTTTTGGATATAAGCCATTTTAACTGGGATGAGATGATACCTTATTGCAGTTTCAATATGCAGTTCTCTGATGATCAGCGATGTTGTGCACCATTTCACATGCCTGTTTGTCATTTGTATGTCTTCTTTTGAGAAATGTCTATTCAAATATTTTACCCATCTTTTAATCAAACTATTAAATTTGTTTCTATAGAATTATTTCACCTCCTTATATATTCTGGTTATTAATCATTTGTCAAATGGTGGTTTGCAAATAGTTTCTCCCATTCTTTGGGTTGTAACATTGTCAGTTGTTTCCTTTGATGTGCAGAGCTTTTTAATGATGTGATGCAATTTGTCCATTTTTGCTTTGGTTACCTGTGCTTGTGGGGTATCACTCAAAAAATCTTTACCCAGACCAATGTCTTTGAGAGCTTCACCAAAGTTTTCCTGAAGCAGTTTCATAGTTTGAGGTCTTAGATTTAAGTCTTTAATCCATTTTTATTTAATTTTTGTAGATGGCAAAAGATAGGGGTCTAGTGTCATTCTTGCACATATGGATATATGGTTTTCCCACCACCATTTATTGAAGAGACTTTCCTTTCCCCACTGTGTGTTCTTGGCACCTTTGTAAAAAATGAGTTAACTATAGGCGCATAGATTTATTTCTGGTTTCTCTTTTCTGTTCCACAGGTCTATGTGACTGTTTTTATGCCAGTGCCATGCTGTTTTGATTATTATATCTCTGTGGTATAATTTGAAGTCAGGTATTATGATTTCTCCAGTTTTGTTCTTTTTGCTCAGGATGGCTTTAACTATTTTGGGTGTTTTGTGGTTTCATAAAAATTTTAGGGTTATGTTTTTCTATTTCAGTAAAGCATGTTATTGGTATTTTTATAGAGATTGCATTGAATCTTTAGATTGCTTTCAGTATTACAGACATTTTAACAATATTGATTCTTCTAATCCATGAATGAGGAATATCATTCCATTTTTTCGACGTCTTATTCAACTTCTTGCATTAATGTCTTATAGTTTTCAATATAGAGATCTTTAAATGCTTTGGTTAAATTTATTTCTGGGTATTTTTTAAAAAGTTGTAGCTACTGTAACAGGGATAACGTTCTTGATTTCTTTTTCTGATTATTCGCTTTAGCATATAGAAATGCTACTAATTTTTGAATGTTGATTTTGTATCCTATAACTCTACTGAGTTTATCATTTTTTAATAGTTTTTTGGTAGAAACTTAAGATTTTTTCCAAATGCAAGGTCATATTATCTGCAATCAAGTATAATTTGACTTTTTGCTTTCCAATTTGGATGCCTTTAATTTTTTTCTCTTGTTTGATTTATCTAGCTGGAATTTCCAGTGCTATGTTGAAAAACAGGGGAGGAAGTGGGCATTCTTGTCTTGTTCCAGATATGAGAGAAAAGCCTTTCAGTTTTTTACCATTCAGTTCGATACTACCTGTGGGTCTGTCTTATATGGCTTTTATTGTGTTATGTCCCTCTATATCCAATTTTTTAGGGTTTTTAATCATGAAAGGTGTTGCATTTTATCAAATATTTTTTCAGCATCAAATGAAGTGGTCGTATGGTATTTGTCCTTCATTCTGCTGATTTGATGTATCACATTTATTGATTGGTATGTATTGAACCATCATTGAATCGCTGGGATAAATTCCACTCATTAATGATGCATGATCTTTTTAAGATGAATTCATTTGGAAGCACTTTATTGAGGATTTTTGCATCAGTGTTCATCAGGTATATTGGCCTGCAGTTTTCTATTCATTTATTTAATTTGTCTTTGTCTGGTTTTGGTATCAGGGTAATACTGGCTTCATAGAATGAGTTTGGAGGTATTCTTTCGTCATCTATTTTTTAGAATACTTTGAGTAGGATTGGTATTGGTTCTTTTTTGAATGTGTGATAAAGCAGTGAACCTGTCAGGTCCTGTTCTTGTCTTTGCTAGAAGACTTTTTAAAATGAACTTAATTGCATTAATTATTGGTCTGCTCAGGTTTCAGATTTCTTCCTGGTTCAATCTTTGTAGGTTTTATGTGTCTACAAAGTTATCAATTTCTTCCAGGTTTTCGTTTTTTGGCACATAGTTGCTTGTAACACCCTCTAATGATTCTTTGAATTTCTGCAGTATCAGTTGTAATTTCTCACTTTTCATCTTTAATTTTATTTATTTGGGTCTTCTCTCTTTTTTTCTTAGTTAATTGGGCCAAAGTTTCATCAATTTTGTTTATCTTTAAAAACACCAAAATTTTATTTTGTTGTACTTTTTTTTTTTTTTAAGACAGAGTTTCGCTCTTGTTGTCCAGGCTGGAGTGCAATGACATGATCTTGGCTCACTGCGCCTGGCCTTTGTTGGTCTTTTATATTGCTTTTATTCATTTTAATTTCATTTTTTTCTGTTCTGATTTTCACTATTTCTTTTCCTATACTAATTTTGAGTTTGGTTTGCTCTTGCTTTTCTAGCTCTTTAAGATGCACCATTAGGTTGTTTATTGAAAATTTTTCTACTTTTTTGACATAGGTGCTTACTGCTGTAAACTTTCCTCTTCGTACTACTTTTATTATACCTCACAGGTTTTGATATACTGTGTTTCAATTTTCACTTGTTTCAAGAAATTTTTAAGTTTCTATCTTAATTTCTTCATTGACCCACTGGTCATTCAGGAGCAGACTGTTTAATTACCATATGGTTGTGTAGTTTACAAAATTCCTCTTGTTATTGATTTCTAGTTTTATTCCATTGTGATCTGATGTATTAGTCTGTTCTCATGCTGCTAATAAAGACATACCTGAGACTGGGTAATTTATGAAGGAAAGAAGTTTAATTGACTCATAGTCACACATGGCTGGGGAGGCCTGAAGGCAAATGAGGAGCAAAGTCACATCTTACATGGTGGCAAGCAAGAGAGAGCTTGTGCAGAGTAACTCCCATTTATAAAACCATCAGATCTCTTGAGACTTATTTACTACCATAAGACACCATGGTGAGACTTATTCACACCATGAGAACAATATGGGGGAAACTGCCCCCATGATTCAATTATCTTTACCTGGCCGTGCCCGTGACATGTAGGGATTATTATAATTCAAGGTGAGATTTGTGTGGGGAAACAGCCAAATTATATCATTCCACTCCTGTCCCCTCCCAAATCTCATGTCTTCATATTTCAAAAGTAATCATGCCTTCCCTACAGTCACTTTGCATGGCAAGAGTCACCTTTACACCAGTTGCCAACAAGTTTCTCATCTCCATCTGAGACCACCTCAACCTGGCTTTTATTGTCCATGTCACTCTCGGCATTCTGGTCAAAGCCATTCAACAAGTCTCTAGGAAGTTCCAAACTTTCCCAAATTTTCATATCTTCTTCTGAGCCCTCCAAATTATTCCAATGTCTGCCTGTTACCCAGTTCCAAAGTTGCTTCCACACTTTTGGGAATCTTTACAGAAGCACCCTACTCTACTGGTACAAATTTACTGTATTAGTCTGTTCTTATGTTACTAATAAAGACATATTCAAGAGTGGGTAATTTATGAAGGAATGAAGTTTAATTGACTCACATTTCCACATGGCTGGGGGACCTCACAGTCATGGCTAAAGGCAAATGAAGAGCAAAGTCACGTCTTACATGGTGTCAGGCAAGCGAGTGTTTGTGCAGGGGAACTCCCACTTATGAAACCATCAGATTTCATCAGACTTATTCACATCATGAGAACGGTATGGGGGAAACTGTTCTTTTTTTTTTTTTTTTTTTTTTTGAGACGGGGTCTTGCTTTGTCACCCAGGCTGAAGTACAGTGGTGCCATCTTGGCTCACTGCAACCTTCACCTCCCAGGTTCAAGTGATTCTCCTGCCTCAGCCTCCTGAGTAGCTGGGAGTACAGGTGCACACCACCACACCTGGCTAATTTTTGTTATATTAGTAGAGATGGGGTTTCACCATATTGGTCAGGTTAGCCTCGAACTCCTGACCACAGGTGATCCACCTGCCTCAGCCTCCCGAAGTGCTGGGATTACAGGCTTGAGCCACCATGCCTGGCCCCTGAAACTGTTCTTATGATTCAATTATCTCCACCTGTCCATGCTGTTGACTAGTGGGGATTGTTACAATTCAAGGTGAGATTTGTGTGGGGGCACAGCCAAACTATATCATCAGAGAAGGTATTTGATATAATTTAATTTTTTGTTGAATTTTTAAGACTTGTTCTGTGGTGTTACATATGATCTATCCTTGAGAATGATCTATATGCTGAGGAGAAGTATGTGTATTCTGTGGCCACTGGATAAAATGTTCAGTAAATATCTATTAAGTTCATTTGGTATGTAGTGCAGATTAAGTGTGATGTTTCTTTGTTGATTTCTGTCTGAATAATCTGTCCAATGCTGAAAGTGGAGGTGTCGCAGTTTCCAGCTACTATTGTATTGGGCTCTATCTCCTTCTTTAGTTTTAACAATAGTTGCCTCATGTATCTGGATACTTTAGTGTTGGGTGCTCTTATAGTTGTTATATCCTCTTGCTGAATTGACGCGTTTATCACTATATAATGACCTTCTTTGTCCCTTTATAGTGTTTGTCTTGAAATGTACTGAAAATATTTTATCTGATATAAGTATAGCTACTCCTGCTCTTATTTGGTTTCCATTTTCGTGGCATTTTTTTAATATTACTATTTTTCTCAGTTCCTGTGTGTCTTTATAGGTGAAGTATGTTTCTTGTGGCAACAGATTATTGGGTCTTATTTTTTTAAATCCATTTAGCCACTCTATCTTTTTTTTTTTTTTTTTTTTTTTTTGAGATGGAGTCTCACTCTTTTTCCAGGCTGGAGTGCAGTGGTGTGATCTCAGCTACCTGCAACCTCTGCCTCCTGGGTTCAAGTGATTCTCTGGTCTCAGCTTCCCGGGTAGCTGGGACTACAGGCACGCCACTACACCCAGCTAATTTTTGTATTTTTAATAGAGACGGGGTTTCCCCATGTTGGCCAGGATGGCCTCCCTCTCTTGACCTCGTGATCCAGCCACCTTGGCGTCCCATAGTGCTGGGATTACAGGTGTGAGCCCCTGCACCCAGCCCACTCTATCTTTTGATTGGAGAGTTTAGTCCACTTATAGTCAATATTGTTATTTTTCAGTAAGGACTTCCTCCTGCCATTTTGCTATTGTTTTCTGGTTGTTTTGTGGCCTTCTCTTCTTTATTTTCTTCCTTCATGTCCTCTTTGGAGTGAAGGTGATTTTCTCTGATAGTATGCTTTAATTTCTTGCTTTTTATATTCTGTGTCTGTTGTACATTTAAATGTTGTATTTTTAAATTTGATGTTACCATGAGGCTTGCAAATAATATCTTATAACCCATAATTTTAAACAGAGGACAACTTAATACTAATTGCATAAACAACAAACAAACAAAGAGAGACAAAATTCTTAAAACTCTACATTTCCATTTTATATCCCTGCTTTTTTAACTTTTTTTTGTCTCTATATCGTATTTTACTGTGTATGTCTTGAAAGGTTGTTGTGGTTATTATTTGGATAGATTCATCTTTTGGTCTTCCTACTCAAGATATGAGTAGTTTACACACCACAACTTCAGTGTTATAATTTTTTTTGTTTTTCTGTGTACTTATTATTACTAGTGAATTTTGTACCTCTCGGGTGATTTTCTTATTGTTCATTAATGTTATTTTCTTTCAGATTGAAGAACTCCCTTTAGCATTTCTTGTAGAATGAGGTTGATGTTAATTAAATCCCTCAGTTTTTGTTTGTCTGGGAAAGTCTTTATTTTAGCTTCATGTTTGAAGTATATTTCCATTGGATATAATATTCTATGTTAATAGGGCTTTTTTTTCATTTGGCACTTTAAATATGTTATGCCACTGTCTTCTGGCCTGTAAATTTCCACTGTGAAGTCGCTGACAGATGTATTGGAGTTCCTTTGTATGGTATTTGTTTCTTTTCTCTTGCTACTCTTAGGATTGTTTTTCCTCCTTGATCTTTGGGAGTTTTATTATCAAGTGTCTTGAGGTACTATTATTTGGGTTATATCTGCTTGGCATTCTATACCCTTCTTATACTTGAATATTGCTATCTTTCCCTAGGTTTGGAAAGTTCTCTAGTATTATTCCTTTGAATAAACTTTCTTTTTTTTTTTTTTTTTTGAGATGGAGTGTTGCTCAGTCGCCCAGTGAATAAACTTTCTACCCCAAACTCTCTCTCTTTCTCTCTTCTTTAGGGCCAATATCTCTTAGATTTGTCCTTTCGAGGCAATTTTCTAGGTCTTGTAGGCATGCTTCATTCTTTTTTATTCTTTTTTCTTTTGTTACCTCTGTGTTTTCAAATAGCCTGTCTTCTGGTTCACTAATTATTTCTTGTGCTTGATCAATTCTGCTGTTAATGAACTCTGATGCATTTTTCAGTATGTCAACTGCATTTTCAGTTCCAGAATTTATGCTTGGTACTTTTTAATTATTTCAATTTATTTGTTGAACTTATCTGATGGAATTCTGAATTCCTTTTATGTGTTACCTTGGATTTCATTGAGCTTCCTCAAAACAGCTGTTTTGAATTCTCTGTCTGAAATATTACATATCTCTGTTTCTCTAAGATTGTTCCCTGACAACTTATTTAGTTTATTTGGTGAGGTCATGTTTTCCTGGCTGGTCTTGATGCTTGTGGATATTCTCCACTGTCTGGGCATTAAAGAGTTAGGTATTTACTTAGCCTTGCAGTCTGGGCTTGTTTTTAACCATTGTTCTTGGGAAGGCTTTCCAGGTATTCAAGGGGACTTGGGTGTGGTGATCTCAGTCTTTGGTCACTGTAGCCATACCTGCTTTAGGGGTCAACCCAGACTGAATAATTCTTTGGCTCTTGCAGACTCAGTCTTGGGTAGAATTCCCTGTATTACTAGGCAAAGACTATTTTTCTCTTCCTTTACTTGCCTGCAAACAAACAGAGTCTCTCTCTCTCTTTGTGCTTGGAGTTGGGAACTTTAGAAATCTACCTGGTGCTCTATTCTACTGAGCCTGTGCTGGCCCCCAAGCCTCAAGACAAAGTCATTACCACTCTTCCCTCCCCTTTCCTCGAGTAGAGCAGTATCTCCCCATGGCCACCAGTGACCCAGGACCATGATAAATACTACCTGGTTACCACCAATGTTACTCAAGGTCCACGGGCCCTTCAGTCAGCTTGTCATGAGTGCTGCCAGTCCTGAGTTACTCCCTTAAGGGTACTATGCTCCCCTCTGGCCAAAGGGAGCTCCAGAAATGCTGTCCAGGAGTCATGGTCTGGAATCAGGGATCCCAGGAACCCACTTGTTGCTCTACTCCACTGTGACTGAACTGGTACCCAATCTGCAAGACAGTCCCCTTTACTCTTTCCTCTCTGTATTAGTCCATTCTCATGCTGCTAATAAAGACATACTCGAGACTGGGTAATTTATAAAAGAAAGAGATTTAATGGAATCACAGTTCCACGTGGCTGGGGAGGTCTCACAATCATGGCGGAAGACAAAGAAAGAGCAAAGGGACTTCTTACATGTTGGCGGGCAAAGAGGGCTTGTGCAGGGGAACTCCTATTTATAAAACCATCAGATCTTGTGAGACTTATTTATTATCATGAGAACAGCATGAGAAAGACCCATCCCCATGATTCAGTTACCTCCCACTGGGTCCATTCCGTAACACATAGGAATTATGGGAGGTAAAATTCACGATAAGATTTGGATGGGGACACAGCCAAACCATATCACTCTCCTTTCCTCAGACAGGGTCTCTCTTCTTATCAATCACACCTGGCAATGTGCTGGGTTTAGGTGGATTCCCAAATTTCCCAAGTTCCAAACGTTGATGTGGTTTGGCTCTGTGTTCCCACCCAAATCTCATGTCAAATTGTAATTCCAGGTGTTATGGGAGGGGCCTGATGGGAGTAGATTGGATCATGGGGACAGATTTCCCCCTTGCTGTTCTCATGATAGTGAGTGAGTTCTTACAAGATCTGAGTGTTTAAAAGTGTGGCTCTTCCCCCTTTTGTCTGTCTTTCTCCTGCCCATCATGGTAAGATGTGCCGTGCCTTCCCTTCAACTTCTCCATAATTGTAAGTTTCCTGAGGCCCCCTGAGCCATGTGGAACTGTGAGTCAATTAAACCTCTTTTTTAAATAAATTACCTAGTCTCATGTAGTTATTTATAGTAGTGCGATAACAAACTAATACAGAACATTGGTACCAGGAGTAGGGCACTGCTGTGAAGATACCTGAATATGTGGAAGTGACTTTGGAGCTGGGTAATGGGCAAAAGTTGAAACAGTCTGGAGGGCTCAGAAGAAGACAGGAAGATGTAGGAAAGTTTAGAACTTCCTAGAGACTTATTGAATGATTTTGGCCAAAATACAGATAATGATGTGGACAATGAATTCCAGGCTCTGGTGGTCTCAGATGGTGATGAGAAATTTCTTGGGAACTGGAGCAAAGGTCACTCTTGCTATCCTTTAGCAAAGAGACTGGCTGCATGCTGCCCCTACCCTAGAGATCTGTGGAACTTTAAATTTAGGAGAGATGATTTAGGGTATTTAGTGGAAGAAATTTCTAAGCAGAAAAGAGTTCAAGATATGGCCTGGCTTTTTCTAAAAGTGTATGCTCATAAGTGTGAAGAAAGAGATGCTCTGAAATTAGAACTTATGTTGAAAAGGGAAGCAGAGCAAAGAAGTTTGTTAAATTTGCAGCTTGACCATGTGGTAGAAAAGAAAAACCTATTTTCAGGGGAGAAATTCAAGTTAGCTGCAGAAATTTGCATAAGTAACGAGAAGCCAAATGTTAACAGCCAAGACAATGGGGAAAATGTCTCCAAGGTATGTCAGAGATCTTCACAGCCGTTCCTGCCACCACAGGCCTGGAGGCCTAGGAGGGAAAAATGGTTACATGGGCTGGGCCCAGGGCCCTGTTGCTGCTCTGTGCAGCCTCGGAACTTGGTGCAGTGCATCCCAGACACTTCAGCTCCAGCCGTGGCTAAAAAGAGCCAAGGTACAGCTCAGGCTATTTCTTCAGAGGGTGCAAGTCCCAAGCCCTGGCAGCTTCCACATGGTGTTGGACCTGCAGGTGTGCCAAAGGCAAGAATTGAGGTTTGGAAACCTCTGCCTAGATTTCAGAGGATGTATGGAAACACCTGGATGTCCAGGCAGAAGTCTGTTGCAGCAGTGAAGCCCTCATGGGGAACCTCTATTAGGGCAGTGCAGAGGGGAAATGTGAGGTGTAGCCCCCATACAGTGTTCCCACTGGGGCACTTCCTAGTGGAGCTGTGAGAAGAAGGCCACTGTCTTCCATACCCCAGAATGGCAGATCCATTGACAGCTTGTACCATCCACCTGGAAAAGCCTCAGGCACTCAATGCCAGATCATGAAAGCAGTCACAGAACTGTACCCTTCAGAACCACAGGAATGGGGTTTCCCAAGGCTGTGGGAGCCCACCTCTTGCATCAGTGTGCCCTGATATGAGACATGAAGTGAAAGGGGATTTTGGAGCTTTAAGATTTAATAACTGCCCTGCTGGGTTTTGGACTTGCATGGGGTCTGTAGCCCCATGGTCAATTTGTCCCATTATAAAATGGTCAATTTATCCCTTTTGGAATAGGAACATTTACCCGATACCTCCCTAATGTATCTTGGAAGTAGCTAACTTGTTTTTTATCTTCCAGGCTCATAGGTGGGAGGGACTTGCCATGTCTCAGATGAAACTTTGGACTTGGACTTTTGAGTTAATTCCAGAATGAGTTAAGACTTTGGGGGACTGTTGAGAAGGCATGATTGGTTTCAAAATGTAAGATGGAAATGATATTTGGAAGGGGCCAGGAGCAGAAGGATATGGTTTGGTTCTGTGTCCCCATCCAAATCTCATGTTGAATTGTAATCCCCACATGTCAGGAGAGGGGCCTGGTGGGAGGAGATTGGATCATAGGGGTGGATTTCTTCTTTTCTGTTCTCATGATAGTAAGGGAGTTCTCATGAGATCTGATGGTTTAAAAGTGTGGAACTTCCCCATTCATTCTCTCTCTCTCTCTCTTTCTCTCTTCTGCTCCACAATGGCAAGATGTGACTTGCTTTCCTGTCACTTTATGCCATGATTGTAAGTTTCCTGAGGTTTCCCCAGCCATGTGGAACTGTGAGTCAATTAAACCTCTTTTCTTTGTAAATCACCCAGTATCAGGTTATTTTTCATAGCAGTGTGATAATGGACTCATAATACTTGCAGTCAGTACAGCTGTTAGTCTCACCCAAGGCCCATGGAAAGTATTGCCTGGCTAGCACTGCTGATTATTCAGGGCTCAAGGGCTCTTGATTCAGCAGGTGGTAAATTCTGCCAGGAATGGGTCCCTTTCCTTCAAGGCAGAGGCTTCCCTTCTGGTCCTGGATGTGTCTAGAAATGTCTGGGAGCTAGATCCTGGAATGGAAACTTCAGGACTGTGCTTGGTGATGATGTCTCACTAGCTTGTGTTCACTCCAAGCCCACTGGCTTCAAGCCCAGCATAGCACTAGGCCTTGCCCACAAATTGCAGTCCTTGCGACCTACAGTCCCTTTCAAATTTATTTAGGATCCCGAAGTTCTTTAGCTGATGGTGGTGCTGCTTGCTGGAATTCAGGTTCCCACTGCTGGGACAAATGATTTGCCTTTTGCTAGGGCTGGTCTAAATGCTCCCTCTGTGAGGATTGGCTGAATTCTGCTTCATATTGCTTTCTGCTGTGACAGGGCAACACTGAGTTCCAACGCAAAATTCCACAATCACCGCGCTCTCCCTTTCCCAATTACACGTATTCTGTCTCTGTGCTGTGCAGCTACTAGCTACCACCAGGGGCTAGGAAAGGGGTAGCAATTCAAGACTATCTTTCCTACCCTCTCCAGTGTCTCTTTCCTTAGTATGTGTTAGAATGAGGAACCGTGATTGTTTACTTGATTTTTAGTTCTTATAAAGGTGCTTTTGTGAGAATGGATAGTTGTTCAATTTTGTGTTCCTGCAGGAGACATGATTGCTGGGGGCTTTTATTTGGCCATCTTGCTCCATCTTCTCTGGGGCCCCCAATACAGTTTTATTTCTTTTTCCCTGACAAATTCATTAATCTTATAAATAAAATAAACATATTCATTAATTTAGAAAATAACACATTTTTGATATGAATGTAAACCAGAAATTGTCAATAAAGTAAGGCATTCCTTTTGACACATATACATATATTTCAAATCCTTCTTAAGTGCTCTACCAAGTTCTCATAAAGGCCTACATTTCACTTTTGCAAAATGTGAGCACAACTTTTAATACTAATCTATCCCAGAGAATGTTGGGGAAATCAATACTGTGATGTTCTGTAGAATAGAATATACTTTCTTTATAATAGATGAGATGCTTGCATCATATCCAGCAAGCTCTAAAACATGTTATGTGTTTCCTAAACTATGTATAAAATAGTCCCATAGGTGTACCAGAATTTGCTATTAGGGCAATAAGTTGTTCTGATATAACAGTGATATTGCTAAGTATTGACCAAGAAAATATGAGACAACAGTAGGTGACTTAAAAATCATTGTGAGACCCTGTTTTATAGGGTGATTGTGTTGTAATTATTATTAATGTATAATTACTGCTAAAGATTAGCATTATTGCTCATTGTTCTTCTGAGCTTTTCAAAACTTTCATGTGTAGCCAAAATTGCTAGCATTTGAAGGTGTACAGCAAATAAGAAAGGCTGAGATAAAGACATTAATGCCTTTGTTTAAGGAATGAGCAAAGAAGACACATTTCATGATCAGAATCATAGTTATTAGAAATGGGAATAATGAGATAATAAGAGGTAAGTAGGAATGTGTATCAGAATCTGCAATCTTTCCTCACCTACCTCCTTACAGAATATCTGTTTTCCTCTCCCAGAGATGAGGCAAGTTCAAGTCTTTGGGTTTTCACTAAAAAGGAAAGTGTCTCACCCTTTCCTGGAACTCTCTTCTACTCAGAAGCAAAAGGGATGGAGCCTACCAAGAACTGGGTAGTGACTGAGCTGCCTTTCCTTCAGCAATGTCCCCAACATCATCAGCTACCATAAACACATACATTTACACTCTGTACTCAACACACTTGACTACAGAGTGCCCAGCTCCTTCCTCATGCTCTAAAGTCTAGGCCTCAGTGACTTCTGTTAAAAGGAAAAATCTTTTCAATAGATTTGCAATAAAGGTATCCTTTGACAGGGGCTGGACACCCAAGGAATCCCATTTCTTTGATCCAGGTCCACAACCGCTTCAACTAAGTGTGGTGTATATATTCAGATAGATTTATATGACAAAGTGAAAAGTATTCCTCAGGAAAATTGTCTCCATTATATGACAAATTCATATTTGTGAGAAAGAGAAAAGAGAATAATCATTTATTTCTGGGACAAAGTGGATCTAATCTACAAATATTTTGTGTTTTTAGTTTTCTACTTCAGTCAAACTGATTGAAATTAACCTCTAAAACAAACAAACGAACAAAAACCTTAAGAAAGATTCTCACTTATGTTGGAAAATTGAGGCAACATGAAAGTGATTTGTTATTCTGTAATTACTGTGTAAAGTACTGTGCTAGGTACTGTGAATACAAAATAAATTGGTCACAAGAAATCCTTAGTCTCCATGGGGAAAGTCACTCTTCCCATACTATACAACTCAGAAAATGCCTCTGGATCCTGTTTTTTGCTTTCTCTTTCAAGCACACACTTTCTCTCTTTGTGTATGTGTGTGTGTTTGTGTGTGTGTGTGTGTGTGTGTGTGTGTGTGTATATATATTTATATATATATGTCCCTTTCTATTTTATATAAATATTTATTTAAATTTCTGTCTCTTTCCTTCCAGGAGTCAGGAAGGGCTTTGTATTTAAAATGAACTTTCAATTGAGATGCAATGAATGGATATTGTCAGATAGACAGGGAAGGAAGGGCAAAGAAGGTTTAGGTAGCCCCTGTAAATGGACAAAGTTGTCAATAGTTGGATCTATTTAGGGAATTCTATGCAGTTTAAGATTATTGGAGTGCAGGGTTTAGGGGGGCATTACAGGAATGAAATTGTGGGGAAGAAAGCAGGGGCTAGATTATTATTTAACGATATGAAGCTGCTTGGACCTTATTTTTTAAGAAAGTATGAGTTATTGACTGGTTTTAAAAAGGCTTTGGTGGTTTTAAAATATGGCCATAAATTATCTTATATTCTTCATGTGAACTGTCCTTAGTGACTCACTTCCAAGGAATAGAATGCGGTCGAAGTGACTGTGAGCAACATCTGAAATTAGGATATAAAAAACATTGTGAATTCCTCCTGGCTCTTTCTTGAATTCCTTACTCTGGGCAAATGAGGTGACATACTATAAGGACACTCATGCACCCTTATAGAGAGTCCCACTTGGTAAGGGTCTAAGGTCTCCTGGTAACACCTATGTGAGTAAATCATGTTGGGAGTAGACCACCCAGCTCCAATCAAGCCTTCAGATAGCTGCAACCCTGGCCAACACCTTGACTGCAAGCAACCTCCTGAGATACTTTGAACAAGAACCACCCAGATAAAGTCTTTCTGAATTTCTAACCCTCAACAACTTTGCAACATAATACATGTAGTTTTAGTCACTAAGTTTAGGGTAATTTGCTATGCAGGGATTGATAACTGATAGATATTACTTGATCAGATTGTCATGTTAAAAGGGTCACTCTAGGAGATCAGGATGTGTCTTCTCATTCTTTGTCACTAGATAATGCTTATTCTGACAGTAGAGCTGTGTCTAGAACTTTAATCATGCACCTCTGGATTGAAAAGGCAAGAACTGCCCTAATTTACCATAATACTGTTCAGTGCTGTGATGGGAGAACTCACAAGCAAAAATAAACCTAGAGAATAAATATTAAGCCAACCAATTTAGTCCTGTCTATATGTTTCAGAAAGGAAAGGAAAAACAAAATGAAATACAAGAATGTCAGTGTCATTTCTCATCACTTTGGATTATAGAACTTCAGATTCCTCTTTCCGTTCCTGACTTAATACCAGAGAGCTTCTAAGTGAACACTTCCTATGATAAGGAAACTCATTACCTCCCCGAAACACCCAATTCTCTGTTAACCAGTTCTGGTTGTTAAGTTATTCTTGCTTTGGTTGAGGTGAAATCATACTCCACAAAACCTTACTTAATTCTTCCTAGTTCTACTCTGTCAACCAAACAGAATAAATATTCTCCTTCCACATGACTGGAAGATATTTAAATATTTAATAGTATCTTAAAATAATATTTCCTTTGAAGCACTCTGTGGAAGAAATTTCTACATTGATCTAGAGATTCATCTGGGTGACAACCAAGATTCTATTATTTTATGAAACAGTTGTCATCATAAACCCCACAGATGCAATAAGGAAAATAACAACTACTCTATATTGAGTGATGGCCAGGTGCCAAATGCTCAGAGTTAACCTTTGCAGTAACCCTGCAGAGATGGTTTCATTATTCCACTCGTGTAGATTAGGAAACCAAGTAAAATGCCCATTTGTGTGTAGTTAGTAAGTGATAGAGCTAAGATTTATGTGTAGTTCTGTATTCCTTTTCTTCTTGAGAGGAAAGGGGGAATACCAAAAAAGAGAGAAAGACATAAATTTAAAATTGCAATTTAAATAGCTGTAGTGCTATGTCTTATGTTCGACCTCTTGTAGGTTGATTAACCTTACTATTCTCATTGTAAAGAAGTTTTAGGAGCACGTTGTGCGCATTGAATTGGAAAATATTCTGAGTTCCTGGCCTGTTCTTCCTTTATCATTTTGATCTAAGATCTAAATTCATAGTTTCAGACAATTTAGTTTGACACGTATTTCTCCATCAGTACTGTTAAACTCCTACATTGCTTTAGTTTTTCAGGGAAATACCAGACTTTGTTCAAGCAATTATTTGAATGTTATCATACAAATTTTAAATATTTTCTAAAGTATTTTAATTTTTG
Organism: Homo sapiens; assembly: GCF_000001405.40. Classification (NCBI taxonomy): domain Eukaryota; kingdom Metazoa; phylum Chordata; class Mammalia; order Primates; family Hominidae; genus Homo; species Homo sapiens. Next base: position 34,464,963 of record NC_000002.12, read on the forward strand.
ACTGAAATAGTAAAATGGCTAAATGAAGTAGGAACTATGGATTACAGATATATAAAGGAAAAATAGCATTTTAGGGGTCTTACACATTTGGGATTTGTCCTTTAATAAATTGTTTTTGTTGATTTCAATTTTATTTGCCAGATGTATTTGCTTACCTTAAGGTCCTTGTATAATTACTACAATTAATGAGTTGTTCATTATTTTGCTACCACCATTGATTTTAAATTAATTGATTTTTAAATTCTGACAGTGTCTTCTATTTCTCATACTACTAGTTGCCTTTAGTGCTCCAAGGGCATTGTTTAATTTCAGTGTTCCAAACTTTTATATAAATAGATATATTATGTTAAATAAACACTTGAAAAAGTTTGAAAAACATTTTCCCATGGATCCTAATACAAGTAAGCAGAAATTGTATAGAGATGTATTTTAGTTTTGAATATCAATTTATTATAATAAGACAGAGGGCCTTTGGAAGATAATATTAGTTAAACAGTAAAAGAATTCTGTTTTTAAAAAGAGCCTAAAAGCCTGGGCTTTGAAATCAAAGGGAGTGAACTACTAACAGATGTGCAATATCAGGTTGTAACCTCCCTGTCTTTGGTATTCTCATTGTAAAATAAAGATAATACAGGTTGAGTATCCCTAATCTGAAAATGCAAAATCTGAAATGCTCTGAAATCTGAAACTTTTTGAGCACTGACATGACACCACAAGTAGAAATTCCACATATGACCTCATGTGATGGGTCACAGTCAAAAACACTGTCAAAACTTTGTTTCATGCACAATATTATTAAAAATATTATATCAAATTGCCTTTAGGCTATGTTTATAAGGTGTATATGAAACATAAATGAATTTCATGTTTAGACTTCAGTCCCATTCCCAAGGTATTTTATCATGTATATGCAAATACTCCAAATTCCAAAATTCAAAACACTTCTGGTCCCAAGCATGTTTGATAAGGCACAATCAACCTGTCATATGCTCTTCAGAGATGATGAGTTGATGATATAAGGATTAATGTACAAGGCAGTGAGCAATTATTATTGTCTGTGATTGTGAGGTGATCACATCAACTAAACTGAGATACTTCTAAGAGTAAAAGGAGTGCTAAAATAACTTAAATTACTCTATAATTTTTTTTGAAATATTATTTTGTAGGCCAACTTTGTTATATAAGTAAACCTATTCAAAAATAATTTTAAAAATTATAGTTTCTAAAAATAAGAACTAAGGAAAAGAGTAGCATGGTGGTTGGCAAGATGGCCAATAGGAACAGCTCCGGTCTGCAGCTCCCAGTGAGATCAATGCAGAAGGTGGGTTATTTCTGCATTTCCAACTGAGGTACCTGGCTCATCTCATTGGGACTGGTTAGACAGTGGGTGCAGCCCACGGAGGGCGAGCAGAAGCAGGGTGGGGTGTCACCTCACCTGGGAAGGGCAAGGGATCGGGGAACTCCCTCGCCTAGCCAAGGGAAGCCATGTGCTGTGAGGAAAGGTGCATTCCAGCCCAGATATTACGCTTTTCCCATGGTCTTCCCAGCTTGCAGACCAGGAGATTCCCTCGGGTCACTACACCACCAGGGTGCTGGATTTCAAGCACAAAACTGGACAGATGTTTGGGCAGACACTGAGCTAGCTGCAGTTATTTTTCATGTCCCAGTGGCACCTGGAATGCCAGTGAGACAGAAACATTCACTCTCCTGGAAAGGGGGCTGAAGCCAGGGAGCCAAGTGGTCTAGCCCAGTGGATCCCACCCCCACAGAGCCCAGCAAGCTAAGATCCACTGGCTTGAAAAGGGGATCTCACTGCCAGCACAGCAGTCTGAAGTCGACATGGGATGCCTGGGCTTGGTGGGGGGAGGGACTTCCACCATTACTGAGGCTTGAGTAGGCGGTTTTCCCCTCACAGTATAAACAAAGCTGCCAGGAAATTTGGACTGGGCAGAGCCCTCTGCAGCACGGCAAAGCTGCTGTAGCCAGACTGCCTCTCTAAATTCCTCCTCTCTTGGCAGGGCATCTCTGAAAGAAAGGGAGCAGCCCCAGTCGGGGGCTTATAGATAAAACTCATCTCCCTGGGAAAGAGCACCTGGGGGAAGGGGCAGCAGTGGGCACAGCTTCAGCAGACTTAAATGTTCCTTCCTGCCGGCTCTGAAGAGAGCAGTGGATCTCCCAGCACAGCGCTTGAGCTCTGCTAAGGGACAGATTGCCTCCTCAAGTGGGTCCCTGACCCCTGTGCCTCCCTACTAGGAGACACCTCCCAGCAGGGGTCGACAGACACCTCATACAGGAGAGCTACTGCTGGCATCTGGCGGGTGCCCCTCTGGGACGAAGCTTCCAGAGGAAGGAATAGGCAGCAAACTTTACTGTTTTGCAGCCTCCACTGGTGATCCAGGCAAACAGGGTCTGGAATAGACCTCCAGCAAACTCCAGCAGACCTGCAACACGGGGACCTGACTGTTAGAAGGAAAACTAACAAGCAGAAAGGAATCGCATCAACATCAACAAAAAGGACGTCCACACAGAAACCCCATACAAAGGTCACCATCAAAGACCAAAGGTAGACAAATCCACGAAGATAAGGAAAAACCAGGGCAAAAAGGTTGAAAATTTAAAAAACCAGAATGCCTCTTCTCCTCCAAAGGATCACAACTCCTCGCCAGCAAGGGAAAAACTCTGGATGGAGAGTAAGTTTGATGAATTGACAGAAGTAGGCTTCAGAAGGTGGGTAATAACAAACTCCTCTGAGCTGGAGGAGCATGTTCTAACCCAATGCAAAGAAGTTAAGAACCTTGAAAAAAAGGTTACAGGAATTGCTAACTACAACAACCAGTTTAGAGAAGAACATAAATGACCTGATGAAGCTGAAAAACACAGCACGAGAACTTCGTGAAGCATACACAAATATCAATAGCCAAATCAATCAAGCAGAAGAAAGGATATCAGAGATTAAAGATCAACTTAATGAAATAAAGCGTGAAGACAAGTTTAGAGAAAAAAGAATGAAAAGGAACGTACAAAGCCTCCAAGAAATATGGGACTATGTGAAAAGACCAAACCTACATTTGATTGGTGTACCTGAAAGTGACAGGGAGAATGGAACCAAGTTGGAAAACACTCTTCAGGATATAATCCACGAGAACGTCCCCAACCTAGGAAGACAGGCCAACATTCAAATTCAGGAAATACAGAGAACACCACAAAGATACTCCTCAAGAAGAGCAACCCCAAGACACATAATTGTCAGATTCACCGAGGTTGAAATGAAGGAAAAAATGTTAAGGGCAGCCAGAGAGAAAGGTTGGGTTACCCACAGAGGGAAGCCCATCAGACTAACAGCGGATCTCTCTGCAGAAACCCTACAAGCCAGAAGAGTGGGGGCCAAAATTCAACATTCTTAAAGAAAAGAATTTTAACCCACAATTTCATATCCAGCCAAACTAAGCTTCATAAGTGAAGTAGAAATAAAATTCTTTACAGACAAGCAAATGCTGAGAGACTTCATCCCCACTAGGCCTGCCTTACAAGAGCTCCTGAACGAAGCACTACATACAGAAAGGAAAAACTGGTACCAGCCACTGCAAAAACATACCAAATTATAAAGGCCATCAACACTATGAAGAAACTGCATCAACTAATGGGCAAAACAACCAGCTAGCATCATAATGACAGGATCAGATTAACACATAACAACATTAACCTTAAATGTAAATGGGCTAAATGCCCTAATTAAAAGACACAGACTGGCAAATTGGTTAAATAATCAAGAACTATCAGTGTGTTATATTCAGGAGACCCATCTCACGTGGAAAGACACACACAGGCTCAAAATAAAGGGATGGAGGAATTTTTACCAAGTAAATGGAAAGCAAAAAAAAGCAGGGGTTTCAATCCTAGTCTCTCATAAAACAGACTTTAAACCAACAAAGATCAAAAAAGACAAAGAAAGGCATTACATAATAGTAAAGGGATCAACGCAACAAGAAAATCTAACTATCCTAAATATGTATGCACCCAGTAGAGGAGCGCCCAGATTCATAAAGCAAGTTCTTAGAGACCTACAAAGAGACTTAGACTCCCACACAATAATAGTGGGAGAATTTAACACCCCACTGTCAATATTAGACAAATCAACGAGACAGAAAGTTAACAAGGATATTTAGAACTTGAACTCAGCTCTGTACCAAGCAGACCTAATAGACATCTGTAGAACTCTGCACCCCAAATCAACAGAACATACATTTTTTTAGCACCACATTGCACTTATTCTAAAATTGACCGCCTAATTGGAAGTAAAACACTCCTCAGCAAATGCAAAGTAACGGAAATCATAACAAACAGTCTCTCAGACCACAGTGCAATCAAATTAGAATTTAGGATTAAGAAACTCACTCAAAACTGCACGATTGCATGGAAACTGAGCAACCTGCTCCTGAATGACTACTGGGTAAATAACGAAATTAAGGCAGAAATAAATAAGTTCTTTGAAACCAATGAGAACAAAGAGACAATGTACCAGAATCTCTGGGCCACGGCTAAAGCAGTGTTTAGAGGGAAATTTATAGCACTAAACACCCACAGGAGAAAGCGGGAAAGACCGAAGATTGACACCCTAACATCACAATTAAAAGAACTAGTGAAGCAAGAGCAAACAAAGTCAAAAGCTAGCAGAAGACAAGAAATAACTAAGATCAGAGCAGAACTGAAGGAGACAGAGACATGAAAAATCCTTCAAAAAAATCATGAATCCAGGAGCTAGATTTTTGAAAAGATTAACAAAATAGATCACTAGCCAGATTAATAAAGAAGAAAATAGACAAGAATCAAATAGACACAATAAAAAAATGATAAAGGGGAGATCAACACTGATGCCACAGAAATACAAACTATCATCAGAGAATACTATAAACACCTCTACGCAAATAAACGAGAGAATCTGGAAGAAATGTATAAATTCCTGGACACATACACCCTCCCAAGACTAAACCAGGAAGAAGTCAAATCCCTGAATAGACCAATAACAAGTTCAGAAACTGAGGCAGTAATTAATAGCCTACTGACCAAAAAAAATCCCAGGACCAGACAGATTCACAGCTGAATTCTACCAGAGATAAAAAGGAGAGCTGGTACCACTCCTTCTGAAACTATTCCAAACAATACAAAAAGAGGGACTCCTCCCTAACCCATTTTATGAGGTTTGCATCATCCTGATACCAAAACCTGGCAGAGACACAACAAAAAAAATAAAATTCCAGGCCAATATCCCTGATGAACATCGATGTGAAAATCCTCAATAAAATACTGGCAAATTGAATCCAGAAGCACATCAAAAAGTTTATTCACCATAATCAAGTCGGCTTCATCCCTGGGATGCAAGGCTTGTTCAACATATGCCAATCAATAGATGTAATGCATCACTTAAACAGAACCAATGACAAAAACCACCCGATTATCTCAATAGATGGAGACAAGTTCTTTGATAAAATTCACCACCCCTTCATGCTAAATACTCTCAATAAAGTAGGTATTGATGGAATGTATCTCAAAATAATAAGAACTATTTATGACAAACCCACATCCAATATCATACTGAATCGACAAAAGGTGGGAGCATTCCCTTTGAAAACTGGCACAAGCCGAGGATGCTCTCTCCACTACTTCTATTCAACATAGTATTGGAAGTTTTGGCAGGGACAGTCAGACAAGAGAAATAAATAAACTGTATTCAAATAGGAAGAGAGGAAGTCAAATTGTCTGTGTTTGCAGATGATATGATTGTATATTTAGAAAACCCCATTGTCTTAGCCCAAAATCTCCTTAAGATGATAAGCAACTTCAGCAAAGTCTCAGGATACAAAGTCAATGTGCAAAAATCACAAGCATTCCTATACACCAATAACAGAGAGCCAAACCATGAGTGAACTCCCATTCACAATTGCTACCAAGAGAATAAAATACCTAGGAATACGACTTACAAGGGATGTGAAGGACCTCTTCAAGGAGAACTACAAACCACTGCTAAGGAAATAAGGGAGGACACAAACAAATGGAAAAACATTCCATGCTCATGGATAAGTAGAATCAATATCATTAAAATGGCCATACTGCCCAAAGTAATTTATAGATTCAATGCTATCCCCTTCAAACTACCATTGACTTTCTTCACAGAATTAGAAAAAAATACCTTAAATTTCATATGGAGCCAAAGAAGAGCTCATATATCCAAGACAATCCTAAGCAAAAAGAACAAAGCTGGAGGCATCATGCTACCTGACTTCAAACTATACTACGAGGCTACAGTAACCAAAACAGCATGGTACTGGTACCAAAACAGAGATACAGACCAATGGAACAGAACAGAGGCATCAGAACTAATGCCACACATCTACAACCATCTGATCTTTGACAAACCTGACCAAAAAAAGCAATTGGGAAAGGATTCCCTATTTAATAAATGGTGCTGGGAAAACTGGTAAGCCATATGCAGAAAACGGAAACTGGACACCTTCCTTACACCTTATACAAAAATTAACTCAAGATGGATTAAAGACTTAAATGTAAGACCTAAAACTATAAAAATCCTAGAAGAAAACCTAGGCAATAGCATTCAGGACATAGGCATGGGAAAAGACCTCATGTCTAGAACACCAAAAGCAATGGCAACAAAAGCCAAAATTGACAGATGGGATCTAATTAAACTAAAGAGCTTCTGCACAGCAAAAGAAACCATCATCAGAGTGAACAGTGACCTGCAGAATGGCAGAAAATTTTTGCTATCTGTCCATCTGACAAAGGGCTAATATCCAGAATCTACAAAGAACTTAAACACATTTACAAGAAAAAAAAAAAAACCTTCAAACAGTGGGCAAAGGATATGAACAAACTCTTCTCAAAAGAAGACATTTATGCAGCCAACAAATATATAAAAAAAGCTCATCATCACTGGTCATTAAAGAAATGCAAATCAAAACCACAATGAGATACCATCTCATGCCAGTTAGAATGGCAATCATTAAAAAGTCTGGAAACAACAGATGCTGGAGAGGCTTTGGAGAAATAGGAATGCTTTTACACTGTTGTTGGGAGTGTAAATTAGTTCAACCATTGTGGAAGACAGTGTGGCAATTCCTCAATGATCTAGAACTAGAAATACCATTTGACCCAGCAATCCCATTATTGGGTATATACCCAAAGGATTATAAATAATTCTACTATAGAGACACATGGACATGTATGTTTATTGCAGCACTATTCACAATAGCAAATTCTTGGAACCAACCCAAATGCCCATCAATGATAGACTGGATAAAGAAAATGTGGCACATATATACCATGGGATACTATGCAGCCATAAAAAAGGATGAGTTCATGTCCTTTGCAGGGACATGGGTGAAGCTGGAAACCATCATTCTCAGCAAACTAACACAGGAACAGAACACCAAACACCACATGTCCTCACTCATAGGTGGGAGTTGAACAATGAGAACACATGGACACAGGGAGGGGAACATCACATGTTGGGGCCTGTTGGGGGGTGGGGGGGCTAGGGGAGGGATAGCATTAGGATAAATACCTAATGTAGATGACGGGTGGATGGGTGCAGCAAACCATCATGGCGTGTGTATACCTATGTAACAAACCTGCATGTTCTGCACATGTATCCCAGAACTTGCAGTATTAAAAAAGCAAAAGAACTAAATATATATGCCCAAACTTTAAAGCAACATTAAAAATCTTTATAGTGGATGTTTAAATATTGAAAATTATGTAAACAAAAAGTTTTTTTGTGCATATATACATACTTTAATCTGTTTGTATTTGTTTTTACCTTTTAAAATTTTTTAGACAGGGTTTTGTCTTATCATTCAGGCTGGAGTACAGTGGAAAGATCATAGCTCACTGCAACCTCTAACTCCTTGGCTCCAGCAATCCTCCCATCTTAGCCTCTTTAGTCACAGGACTACAGGCATGGGCCACCACACCCGACACATATATATATATATATATAAATTTTTTTTTTTTCTTTTCTTTTCGAGACAGAATCTCACCCTGTCGCCCAGGCTGGAGTGCAGTGGTGCGATCTCGGCTCACTGCAACCTCCGCTTCCTGGGTTCAAGCAATTCTCTGCCTCAGCCTCCCAAGTAGCTGGGATTACAGACGCCCACCCCCACACCCAGCTAATTTTTGTATTTTTAGTAGAAACGGGGTTTCACCATCTTGGCCAGGCTGGTTTTGAACTCCTGACCTCATGATCCACCCACCTTGGCCCCCCAAAGTGCTGGGACTACAGGTGTGAGCCACCACACTTGGCCCCGACTAATATATTTTTAAAAATGTTTTGTGAAATAAGGTCTCACTGTGTTGTCCAGGCTATTCATGAGCTCTCAGCATCCTAAAGCACTGAGATTTCAGGCGCAAGTCACTGTGCCCAGCTAGTCTCTTAGTTTTCTATGTGTCTAATATTATGTCACTTATATTTCTGTAAAGAAAGAATTTTTAAAAAATATGACATCATTGTCTTTACATAAAATTGCTATAGTCTTCAATTGTATTTAATACTTATTGTATTTAAGTTGTTTATATTTTTAATTAAAAAGTTTGATGTATCAAAATTTTTGAACAATTAAATGTCCAGTTCAGATTATTGCAATATGTGAAATATAATGGTGCTTTTTTTATAGTTTATTTATTTAGTAAGGCAAAACTTTTATCAAATACATAAATTTATTTTTACACATACATGTCTGATGTGGAGTGGAGGAGAGACAGAGAGTTTAATTTCCTGAATAGTAAATTATAATCATCATAAAACATAAAAGTTAACATATTAATGAGACTTTACAAATAAAATGACCAAGCAATAAGTGTATTACATTATCTCCTTTAATATTTACGAAAGCTCTGTGCAGTAGGTATGATTATTTTCATTCTTCAGATTAGAATATCAGGCTCAGAGTGGTTAAATACCCTGATTGGGTCACAGAAAGAACAAATATCAATTCAACAAATAACCTGGAAGTTGAAACATTTTCCTGACTATAATGTCAATGCTTCCACTTTTCACTATATACTATTTCACAGAAATTAAAATCTAGTTGCATTGTATTCAACCTCATTTAATGTTAGGTACATTCTTTAAGACCAAGCATACTGGTTCTGGAGATACACATTTGGACAAAACATGATGTTAGCGGGCTCACAGAGGTTACAGAATTCTGATCTTAGCCAAATTAGGGGCCCAATGGTGACCAATAAATATTGTCATCAGATTCTATCTATATTCCAAAACCAATAATCACATCTTAAAGTAAAATAATCTGAGGTATTTTTTAACCAATAGAATTGCCAAACAGAAGAAAAGTATGTTATTTTCAAGTCCCAGTGATCACTGTTAAATTAAGACACAAATAGATCTGTAACATCATTATCTATGGCCATAAACTCAAACTCACCTCTTATTTCCTCCTTGGAAAATTAATGTGCTTAAACATCAAAAAAGGCTAGCCCTGTACATTTACTATCTCTTTACAGAAAATGTCAGCCAGTACATATCAATTTTTGAAGAAAACAAGAATGGGAGAGACAAAACTTTTTTATTTATTTATTTATTTTTTTGCATATGTACTGTGTTACAGGGAGTCAGGTATTATTTGTAACAGGTATTAAGGCAATCACTCAACTCTCTTGTCTTCTTATGCCCTCACAACAGGGACCTTGGACAAAAACTAAACTTGAAATCTTTTAGGCTTCTCTGGTTGTTCTAAAGTGTTCAGGCCTGGGACTACCCTGGGACTACCCTTAGTTCTACAAGTGCACATACCAGGCAGTTCTGGAAAATGAGTTTTCACATGTTTGTTCTGGCCCTTGTATATTGTAAGGTCAAATGGTGAAAGGACATAGTTCAGTGAAAACTTAAAAATTCATTAGATTTTTCTCTGAGCTCACAAAGGTTAAAAACCCATGGCCATGCATGGTTGCTCATGCCTGTAATCACAGCACTTGGTGGGAGAGGCGGGCAGATCACAAGGTCAGGAGTTTGAGACTAGCCTGGCCAACATGGTGAAACCCCATCTCTACTAAAAATACAAAAATTAGCTGGGGATGGTGGCGGGCGCCTGTAATCCCAGCTACTCAGGAGGCTGAGGCAGGAGAATTGTTTGAATCCGGGATGTGGAGGTTGCAGTGAGCCGAGATTGTGCCACTGCACTCCAGCCTGGGTGACAGGGCAAGACTCTGCCTCAAAAAAAAAAAAAAAAAAATACCCTAAGTGTTGCTTGGAGGCAACACCACGGATTCTGAATAAGAGGGGATCACCCTAGGTCATAGAAGTCAAGTACTCTCTCAGGACAACTTTCCATTCATTGGCTGGTCTGGAAATAATTAGCCTCAAGTGCTTTGTGCATAAAAGCCATAAAATTTTCATTCTTCAGTGTGCTTACATTGTATACTTCATTAACTTCCTGGCATCTCAGTACTTTTAATTATAGAATCTTGATAATAAGTTATTAAATTGAAAAGTTGAGAAAGAGTTTTCTGAGTGGAGTGAGATGTTGAATTAGTTTTAAAATAAATTCTACTGTTTTAAAATTTTTAGCAATAGAATTGTGAAGGGCTTAAGTTGCTTTGGCATTGTAAAAATGACTGGCTGCTTCAAGCTAATTTTTAAAATAAAAATGTCAAGCCGTGTTTATTGCTTATGACTATGTATCTTAAATCACGTCTTCTAATCTGTACCACACTGTTCAAAGGACACATGAAGATACATGAAGTGATACCACTTTTCTGTAATGGTGGATTAAAGAGCTGCGTACATATAGAATTTCTTTCTTTAGGTAACACATTTTTAATAACAAAAGACTACAGAAAACAAAAGTCCTCATCTCCCCACCCCCCATGATTTCTACAATATAGGGGAGAAAAATCACTGAAAGCACATTTTGGTGTATGCATTTATACAATGACCAAAAATTTACCACCATTTTTTTTTTTTTTAAGAAATATGTGTTGGCCAGGCATGGTGGCTCATGCCTGTAATCCCAGCACTTTGGGAGGCCAAGGCAGTCGCATTACCTGAGTTCAGGAGTTCGAGACCAGCATGGCCAACATGGTGAAACCCCCTCTACTAAAAATACAAAAATTAGCCAAGCGTGGTGGCACATGTCTGTAATCCCAGCTACTCGGGAGGCTGAGGCAGGAGAATTGCTTGAGCCCAGGAGGCGGAGGTTGCAGTGAGCTGAGATCATGTCACTGTACTCCAGCCTGGCCGACAGAGTGGGACTGTGTCTCAGAAAAAAAAAAAAGAAAAAAAAGCAAAGGAAAGAAATATGTGTCAACTGTATTTAATCGTAATCTATGTGCCCTGGAGAAGTGAATAAAGGGCATTTTCTCAAGCTCTGCCTAACCTCAAAAACTCAGAAAAATTTCAGAAAGTGTTATAAAGTTTTATAAAAATCTGAACATGATCTGAAACATCATTACATTATATATTTACTATTTGGTTATAGTGCAAAAAAAGAATGTAATGAGAGGTTATTCCCCAGCTTTCCCTCCGTCTTCAATATAAAATTAGTTTTGTTATATTGTGTTTTTCTTCACCAGGTCAATCCACTCCTGGAAATTACCTTCAGCTCTCTTTGAAAATGGCTTCACTGTCTTCATTTATAAGTAAGTTTTGGTTTGTTGCACATACAGTGTAGTCCTAGCATCAATCAATTTATTTTACATGCATTTGTTTTACTGTCTTTTTCTATTGTATGATGAGCATCTTCTCACACTAATGGGACAAAACAGTTTCATAACTGTTTACATTTGTGGATTTTGGTCCTAGTTCTAAGGCTCTGGGCAGCTGGGATAGATGACAAAGTATTTGTCTAACATTTGTTTTGGGGAACGGAGAGGTTTAATTTCAAAACTGAGCTGTTCTTACTCCAAAAATATACCTTTGAAACTATCAGTTGATGCCTCAATCTATTATCCCATTAAACACTCTCCCTATTCAAGAAAACCGTGGCAGGTTTATAATGAGTTAACATCTATATTTTATAAATCCATGGATATCATCTTGCATTAATTGAATGTCTGAGAGCAACAGACCTCTGTCTAGATATGGAGGTTATAGTCATACACGCATCATTTGGACTGATGGGACAAATATCTTCACCTGGGGATAGCAATGCTGCTTAATCTTCTGTGCCAAACATTGTTACTTTCTTAACTGGTATTCATGTTTGCCCCTGGCCCCAGTCCCAACCATGCAAACTAATAGAGAGCTAACTTTGCTCAGAATGTCACCAAGATTAGTTACATTTCCCAATTCCTTGACCAGTCCTGGGTACTGAGATTTTTTAAAACTCCTGGGAACTTATTAGGAAGTTTTGCTTTCCCTCTGTGGATTGCACCCACTCCCCTCATTGCTTTCTTATGCTGGAAGAGGAGATAGAAAATGAACGTGAAGCAGCCATTTTGTGACCATGAGAAAGGACGCCATGCTCTATAGATGTTAGAATAGAAAGATAAAATTTGGGTCACTGATGGCACCTTGAAGCCACTGTACCAGTCCTGGTTGGCTGGTATTTGGGCTTTCTTGTTATGTGACAAAAAATACACCTTTTATTTGCTGAAGACACTATGAGCATCTATTTGTGAGACAGATAGCCAATGAATACTTACCGTTAAAATTGTGAGAACTGAATGAAAACCTATACATCAACTATCCCTGAACATTGAAAAAGCAGTTTATATTGATTAGGTATGTAATTATTGTCTTGTTGTTATTGTGAATGGTTAAGCTCCCACATAGAATTTTAGCAGTATGAAAATCAACTTTGTATAACAGATAGGACATGGAGTCAAACGTATTGACTAGCCACTGGAGATATAAAACTTTCAGTATCTTCTCCCAAGGAGAAGTTCTAAGAAGGCTAAAGATAAATAAAATTTTACAAAACTCTGCGATGGCTCAAAGGAGTGCTTCCTGGAAAAGACATCTGTGTTGGTAAGAAAATAAAAAGATAAAGGAGAAGGAAAACATTTAGAAGCAGAAGCAGTAAGTGAAAAGAATAGAAGCTCAATTGGGGTTCCAAATGCAGTTCAGAGTTATAGAAGCAGAGGATAATAGGCTGATGACGAGGCATGGACCTTATCAGAAAAGAACTTGATGCTGTGTTTACATCTCAGGATTTTATCCTGAAGACAATGGAGTATCTTTGCAGAATTTTAAACCAGGAAGTGTTGTGATTGGCATGTTACATAGGTCACTGGCAGAAGTGTAGAGCATATTTTGGAGAGGAAAAGTCCAGAGTGAGAAAATTCAATTAGAAGTTATGGTGATAGTTCCCCCTGAGAGATGGTAAAAATGGGGAAGTGGGATAGAATGATAACATAAAGGAATTAACAATAAAGTATTTCTTCCCCAATTGTGTGTCTGTGAGAATTTGGTAGAGGATGAGAGTGTGGCAGAAACACAATGTAATAAAATCTCTCACTACAGCAAGTTTCAACCTTGTATTCTGGACTATTAAAATTTGTTATAAATGGTAGCCAGGTGAATAAATACTATTCCTAAGGAAAAAAAAAAAAAAACAGGAAGTTTCAGAACACGGGATGATTTCTTGAAGTGAGATTTTAAAAGAAATCACCATCATTTTGTAGTTAAAAAAATAATTCTCAAGCAACAAGATACCCTTCAATAGCGAAACAGAGAAACAACCCCTGGTATATCCACAAAATGGAATACTATTTTGTAAAAAAAAGAAATGAGCCATCAAGCTTCATACTAACTATATGACTCTAACTATATGGCATTCTGGAAAAGGCAAAACTGTAAAGACAATAAAAAGAGCAGTAGTTGCCTGAAGCTCAGAGTGAGGAGAAAAGAGATAAACAGGAGCACAGGGCATTTTTAGGGCAGTCAAACTATTATGTTTGATACTGTAATGGTGGATACATGACACAATGCATTTGTAAAAACACATGGAACTATACAACATGAAGAATGAACTTTAATGTAAACTCTGGACTTTAGTTAATAATAACATATCACGGCCGGGTGTGGTGGCTCACACCTGTAATCCCAGAACTTTGGGAGGCTGAGGAGGGTGAATCACCTGAAGTCAGGAGTTTGAGACCAGCCTGGCCAACATGGCGAAACCCTGTCTCTACTAAAAATACAAAAATTAGCTGAGCGTGGTGGTGTGCACCTGTAATCCCAGCTACTCGGGAGGCTGAAGCAGGAGAATCACTTGAACCTGGGAAGCAGAGGTTGAAGTGAGCAGAGATCGCACCATTGCACTCCAGCCTGGGCGACAAGAGCAAAACTCCGTCTCAAAAAAAAAAAAAAAAAAAAAAAAAAAAAAAAAAAAAAAAAAAAAAAAAAAAAAAGAAAAATAATAATAATAACGTATCACTACTGGTTTATTAATTGTAACAAATGTACAATAGCAATGCAAGTTGTTGATGGTAGAGGAAACTGTAGGGGCATGTGGGAACTCTGTACATTCTGCCCCATTTTTGCATAAACCAAATTTGGTCTAAAAGTAGTTAAATAGAAAAAAACCTCATCTCTAAATAAAACAAGTTCCTGTAATATTAGGTCATAGAAATATATATTTTTCAAGACAAAGAAGTCTTTGATCTCAGGCTCCTTGGCATAAAAACCATCCTCCAACAGAGGATCTCCTAACTTTACTTTTTCAAATATTTTTCTTAACAAGGAACAGAAACTTTTCTGAGCTTTTAAAAAATATTCTCAGCCTAATATTCCTTATCAGATAAAGGATAATATTCTGCAGAGATTTCAAGTGATAGATTTGTTTTTTCTTTTTTTCTTTTCTTTTCTTTGTTTCTTTCTTTCTTTCTTTCTTTCTTTTTTTTTTTTTTTTGAGACAGGGGTGTCACTCTGTCACCCAGGCTGGAGTGCAGTGGTGTGATCTTGGCTCACTGCAACCTTTGCCTCCCAGGCTTAAGCGACCCTCCCACCTCAGCCTTCTGATTAGGTAGGACCACAGGCACACGCCACCATGCCTAGCTAATTTTTGTATCTTTTGTAGAGATGGGGTTTTGCCATGTTGCCCAGGCTGGTCTGGAACTCCCTGGCTCAAGTGTTCTACCCAAGTGATCTACCCACCTCGGTCTCCTAAAGTGCTGGGATTATAGGCCTGAGCCACCATGCCTGGCCTCAGTTGATAAATTTCTATCTAACACTTTGGATTTTCCTCCTGACTTATGAAATCTTAGGTTTTACAAAACAGTATTTGGACTTTACCCCTTCAGACCCTGCAGTTCGATTGTCAAAATCCCACAAGCATTTGTTACTCCTGTCATATGCAGTATGCACTTCTAGATGTTACCATGGCATCCGATACCATTCATCTCTAAAGAACAGGGAAATTAGTCCATGGGGAAGGTGACATTTTCTTTATAAAAAGCAACCTCTAAAGAGATATCATGTGAATTACATTATTGATCGCCTGTGACTGGTTCTCCACTGATAATTTCTAAGATTCTCAGGTGATTTCTGACTCAAGTGTTTACTTCAGAGTAAAGCCAAATAAATCTGTTTCTATGGTTATAGACAAATATTTGTATGAAACACTTTGAAAATCATACGTGGAAATTCCTTCAAAATTGGTTATTTAAAGTGATGTCATCATATGCCTATATTAGTGTACCACTTTTGACATTGCTGTTTAGGGTCAGATTCCTGGTCAGTATCTTTTTTTTCTACCAAGTATTTTTAGCCAAGCACAGTATTACCAACCTAGATTAAACCTATTTGCTGGGCATAATTCTAAATGACTTAATCACTCTTCACATGAAATATATTCTTCAATGGAGAAAATGCCAAAACTAATCAAAAGAATTTCAGGTGGGGTGCAATGGTGATTCCATAAGAATTCTAAAATGCTTTGAACAATGTGAGCATTACTGAAGTGCCGTATATTCACCTTTATTTAAAGAAAGCTACTTTTATTTGTAGGTTCCTCTGTTAGCAAATCATGCTCTTTTCTTTTTAGTCATATCATAATAAAAATGTTAAAATAAAGGATTCCGAAGGGGGAAAAGTAATAATTTTTTTTCCAACTAGTTCATTTACACCTCATAAATGATGCTAGAAGCATCAACAAAATGTTAAAAACAAAGCATGAATTTAAAGTTTAAATGTTATGAGATACTGATGTTATAAATAATGCCTATATTATTTAGGTACATCTTAGTGCCTCCCAGTAATGTGGTTTAATCCTGAGGTCCCAAATACAAATTCCATCAAACCTCCATTATTTTTGTCATTAATTGTAAAGTTACCAGATACTTAGCAGCACCAGAGATTTCTGTCCTGTTTTTTTTGTTCGTTTGTTTGTTTTGTTTTTCATCAGTATTTGTGACAATGGTTGATCTGTTTGAGCGATTTATGCCTGAGGAAAGATGTAACCTCAACTGGCAATTAAACTGTTTTCCTTATCCAATTTGCAAACAAAATATAATGCATGTGAGAAAGGTGTTTTACCAGATTACCAAACCATAAGCTAGGAAGTAGTTAGCAAGAGCTTATCTTTAAATTCCACTTCACTTGCAGCTGGTAGAAAATGTAGAAAGTGGGGGATAGGTCTCACATTGCCCTCTTTACTCCCCTAATTTGGTTGGTTGATTCAGGTATGAATTTGTCTGGACTCCTCCCTGTAGAGTTACCAGATTTAGCATATAAAAATAAAGGACACCCAGTTAAATTTGAATCTGATATTTAAATTATGCTTATCTCCCAAATATTGCGCAAGCCACACTTACACTAAACATTATATGGTATTTATCTGAACTTCAAATTTAACTGGGCACCCTGTGTTTATCTGGCAAACTTACTCCTCAGCACAGCAAAGTTGGATGCCTTTGCCTGCTTGCCATCACATTGAGGAAGGTCATACGTGTGTGGGGTCTCATGTAACCTGGTAAGGATCATATCTTGGCACACGGAGACAGGTTCATTGGCCTTCAAGGGGCTATGGTCTCTGAGCAACTACTGGGATACAAAAGGTCACATAGATGCTTGGTATGAATATGGTGGTAAAAAATCAATTATCAGCCGGGCACAGTGGCTCACGCCTGTAATCCCAGCACTTTGGGAGGCCAAGAAGTACAGATCACGAGGTCTGGAGATCGAGACCATCCTGGCTAACATGGTGAAACCCCATCTCTAATAAAAATACAAAAAATTAGCCAGGCGTGGTGGCGAGCGTCTGTAATCCCAGCTGCTCGGGAGGCTGAGGCAGGAGAATGGTGTGAACCAGGGAGGCAGAGCTTGCAAGCTTGCAGTGAGCTGAGATTGTGCCACTGCACTCCAGCCCGGGTGACAGAGCAAGACTCCGTCTCAAAAAAGAAAAAAAAATTAATTATCTTGGAATCATTATAAGTTATGGCAATGTGAAATTTATGTACACCTATTCACATTAATATGTTTGTACCTGAGGAGTATGTGTGTGTTTGTGTGTATGTATGTGTGGTGTACCTATAATGAAAATGAAGTCCAGGTCATTTGTTTTGATCCTATCCACACTCTATTGTTCAAGGAAGCCATGAAGAACAATGCTTCCTCCCACAACAAGTCTTCTTATCTTAGTTTTATTTTACTGTAACCTGGCTGCCTTGTAAAAAGTCGCAGCAGAGATTCCTCAGAGTGTTTATCAACCTCAATTGATTTCAAATGGCATCAACACAGCACAGTGGGCACTTAGAAGCTTATGCCACCCCTGTAATTTACATTAGTCTTATTTTAAAGATCCTTTAGTTCACCAGGCATTTGGTAGAATGGAATCACTAAGCCATGACCATTTACTTTATGAAGATGATTGGATTAGTGCTCACCTCACGGATTAGCAATCTTTTGCTAGCCCCATAGAGGTTTCCCCTCTCTTCTGATTGTTTCTTTATAAACAAGTTATTTTATCAGATAGATCAGATAGTGTGTGCCACGTAAACTGGTGGATATATTTGCTTCCAGCAAACCAGTATTCCCTCATCCATATGTTGACTGTGGTTTGGTTAGGCATTCCTTGCAGGTTTGTTTGGTTTTCTTCCCCATTTGGATAAGATCACTGCCAGATTGTTAATTGTAAAAGTTAATTTGTTTCTGAGAATTGCTTACCCCAATTCTTATTCAGCACATTTTAAAATACTTGATTACATCAAGTTTTTCATTTCTAACTTGATGTTAGGAACTCACTTCTTTTTTTGGTTCAGAGGGTTTAGTTTCTCCACCCATGGTGGTTTTGTGAAGTAGTTTTCAGGCCTACATCAGGGCATGTCTTAACTTTTATTGCTAGAACATGCTAATGTTTGCCAATTAAATCAGAATTCTTTTTAATTTTTTAAGCTCATTATTGAAGCCTAATATGCATACAAAATATATAGTCATAAGTGTGCAACATTATTTTTACAAAGAAAATACAAAGTAAATGAATTTGCACAAAGAAAGCATGGCCAGCACCTCAGAAATTCCCCACCCTCAGGCTTCCTTCATGTCATTGTCCATCACCAAGGGTAACTACTGTCTTTACTTTTAACAGCATAATAGAAATGAATCTACTATTTTGTTTCTAGCCTCTTTTGCTCAACATCGTGTTAGTTAAATTAGTCCATATCATTGCATAAATTGTAGTTTGTTCATTCTTATTGCTGTATAATGATGCATTTCATGAATATAACCCCATCTATTTATACATTGAACAGTTGATGGGCATTTGGATACTGATGTTATGAAAATTATTTTGCATGTCTTTTGATGAAGATACACATTTCTTTTGGTACATGCCTAAAAGAGAAACTATTAAACTCTTATTTAATTTTATAACTAACACTTAACTGTTTTATTAGGATTAATACTTCTGAGGCCCCTCAAGCTTTTAACATGGTTGACATTTTAGAGCATAAAAACCTTAAAAATCTGGCTGCAACTTTAGAGCTGGGAACAGAGAACCGTGCAGTGTAATGGGGTATGAATAATGCTTGAGTCTATTGTCTCAGATCTGATCCAAGTCACCTAAACTCTCTATAAAACGGTCATAACAAAATAGTTGCTATTTATCTTACACATTTTATATGAGGATCAAAAATAATTTTTTTCTGTGTGTGTAAGTAAAATCTTAATTATAAATATAAAACATCAAGGATCCACAGTAGTATCTTTGGATATCTGGATATCTTGGGAAAATGTATAGTTAGATCTGGTTACTAGCCTTGTGAACAGGTTTATTCAAAGACCATTAATGGTCAACGTTAGAAATCCACTAGTATATCAACAGGAAATACTTCTCTATAGTCAAGAGTTGAATTCAAGTCCAGGTTTGATCATTTCTATTCAAATAGTCAATTTATCCTAACTTGATGCAGACTCCTTCTGGCATACATCAATGATTTTTAGATATATAATTCACATAGCATATCTCTTGAACACAGCCTACACTTCTAACTTCTTAAACACAGTTCCATAACTAATGCATACTGTGTGTCCTTAAACCTCTGTCCTACATCACACTCTTCCAACCCAGCACATAGTGTCTTCCACATATGACACCCAAAATGTTTTTGGTTTAACTTACCTCTACCTATAGTTTCCCATGAATATTATTTAATCAAAATTTCATTTAGAGTTCTAATCAAATCTTAATTTCCCCAGTAGAGAAAGTAGCTGTCCCTAGTTGTACCAGTTCATGCTCCAACCTAATTAGGATGCCCTGCAGGCTCCCTATGGAGTCAATACCCTTGTAAGTATTTATGAGAAGTCTCATGGAAATTTCTTGTATATACTCACTTTACTAGGTGGTGATTATTCCCTGGTATTCATTGGGACTTGGTGGTGATACACTATTGGAGACATCCTAAGTATTTCGGCTGTATTAGATACATTTCTTTATTTCTTCATTTCCTATGTGTCTACACTGGCTCACTGTCAGACTTAGATAACAGTCCAAAAAAACTAGGTTGAGTGACAAATTTAAGTAAATGAATAAAGATACCATGCTCTGCTCAGAGTTTATTTTTTATCCACTCCAACGATTGTATTAAGTCAAGTTATCATGCCTGGCTTTTTCCCTGAGAAAAAATGTATTCCCAGCAGATCCCCAAGCCTCATGCAAATTAACTTTTGGGTGACTTTAGCCATCAGTTTTTCATGCATATTCAGGGCTGTTAGAATCTCACTTAGCTTCACATAGAGACCCCATGCAAATATTCAATCTTAATCTTTATCTTATCCCAAATGTCATGGTTGATTTCACCAGACTCCTTCATACACTTAAAGCTGTACTGCTTTCCAGTTTGGGGGTAGACAGACGTAATGAATATGGAAACATGAAGTAATTAGGCCATTATTTCTTTTTCACTGAATAGATAAGGCACCTGAAAAAAAAATCACAGGCGAAGCACAATATTTACTTGCAAAGTCAAAATTACAAACATTAATTTAGCAAGAAGTGTGTATATAATCTATTAACCTTTTGTTTTGTTTCCAGCATTCCTATCTCCTTTAGCATCCACACTTACTTCCTTTCCCAGATTAAATCCCATTTTCCATTTTTCTTCCATTGTGAAAGAAAATGATGAGTACGCCTCTATTGATGAGTGCGCCTCTATTTCTCCACCATCCCTCTACCTCTCTGCATGTGTCTGTACCCATGCCACTTACTTTACCTTCCTCCTCTCACAGTGGATGGACTTTTCTACTACTTTCTAAAACTGACTCGGTCACTTGTGTCCTAGTCCCCATCCCACTTTTCCTACTCCAGGCCTTTGCTCCAGCAGTTACGTCTTCAGATTTCCCCTTTCCACTGGACCAGCAATGGCAGGCAATCTTTAGATTGCACTGAGAGTTGTTTAGACTCGCTGCCTGTGCTTCCCCAACTCATTCTTTCTTGAACACACTCCACTCAAGTACTTATCCATGAACAAAACTGAAACCCATTTTTCAAGGTTGCCATTGATTTTATCATTGTCAGAATTAGTGGTCAATTATCAGCCTTCATCTCCCTTAATCTTTAAGATGTTTTTAACATAGATAAAACCATTTGACACTTTTTTTGTTGTTTTTGAGACAGAGTCTCACTCTATTGCCCAGGCTGGAGTGCAGTGGCATGATCTCAGCTCACTGCAACCTCTGCCTCCCGGGTTTAAGACATTCTTGTGCCTCAGCCTCCTGAGTAGCTGAGACTACAGGCGCATGCCACTATGCCCAGCTAAGTTTTGTATTTTTAATAGAGACAGGGTTTCGCCATGTTGCCCAAGGTGGTCTCGAACTCCTGGCCTAAAGTGATCCACCATAGCCTCCCAAACTGTTGGGATTACAGGCATGAGCCTCTGCACCTGGCCTTGGCATATTTTTTACTTGATCTCTCCACTTTCATTTTCCTTTGACTTCACTGTCTACTTGATCTTTGTCTCTTTTATGGTTCACCCTCTTTCTCTTGATCTATACATGTTGCAGTGCCCTTATTAAGCACTGCATTAATTAGATGATCTTTCCATGTTGGACTAGCTACACTGCAATTCAGTTCTTAAGATTCCCAAAATTTTATCTCCAGTCAAAATTCTACCCTGAATTTAGGCTCCTAGTGATGGCTCCACTGGGCTCAGATCAAACTTCACCTGCCACAACTGATCTCTTGACCCCACTCTCCTCAGCTTCCCTGTCTCCCAGTGTTTCCTATGCCCATCTACAGCACCACTCCGAACCTGATACACCAGAATCTTCCCCTTATCCTTGCTGCCTCTCTTTTTATTGCACCGGAGAGCAACACATCTCATATATGCCGCCTTCACAATACATTCAAACAAAAACTCTGAAAAGGTCCACTTCTATAGCATTGTCTGAGGTATTGTTCTTTCCCACATAGATTTTGTACTATACCTTCTGAACTAGTTCTGCTGCTGCCCTCTTACCAAGCCTTCTGTTTGCCCCCCACATATCAACCTTTGAAATATAAAACATGATCTATAACTTTCTTGCTCAAAACTACTCAATGTCTTCTCATCCCAGTGTAATAAACTTCAAGGTTCCTGCCTTGTGCTAAGAATTCCTGCTTTTAGGATCTGGCTCCTGAGACCACACTGGCTGCATAACTTGGCTGTCTTTCCTTTGCTCACACACTTGCAGCAATACTGGCTTTCTTGCTACTTCTTAAACAAGTTAAGCAAGTTCCCATCCCAGGTCATTGTACCTTGTAGTCACCCGGTCTAGAACACATAAACTGTTGCCTCATTTTATGCAAGTTTCTGTCTAAAAGTCTCCTCCCTAGAAATGAAAATAATTTACTTATCAGCCTGTCTACAATAGCCACCCCTACTGGTCAGAACTCCATTACTCTGGGCTATTTTTCATCCTAGAGCACGTGTGTATTCATGGAGTTTTGTTTTTTCCTTCACTTTTGGCCCATTTTAGCCACTTAATTGTAAAATGCATATAGTCAGAGCCTGTATTTTGTTTACCATTCTATTCTTGCACATATAACAGTGTCTGACATGAAGTAGGTGATTAGTAAATATTTGTTAAGTACATGAATTAAATCGGAAGGAAATAACTAATTATTTATCTGGGAATGTTCAGTCTTTTTAGAAGCACCACGAGTTAACAAATGAATCTTGTGTTTGTGAGGACAAATCTCCCCAAATCCCCACTGCAGAAAGAGGAAGGAATTTTTTTCTAAATAGTCTGGTTAAAAAACAGGTGGTGGGGGAGGGAGAGCAATTCAGAGAGACTTTGGGTGTTGGCCAAGTCCAGGAGATGGGAGAATGGATCGCAATTGCCTAATGCAGCTCAGCGATTGGTTTAGCTCCTAACCAGCTTCCTTGCTGCTTCTTTGTTTGACTGACTGTCCTTCACATTCTTCTCTACTGATAGAGTTTGTTTTTTGTTGTTGTTGTTGTTGAGATGGAGTCTCACTGTGTCCAGGCTGGAATGCAGTGGTGGCGTGGTCTCTGCTCACTGCATACTCCACCTCCCAGGTTCATATGATTCTCCTGCCTCAGCCTCCCGAGTAGCTGAGACTGTAGGTGCGTGCCACCACACTTGGCTAATTTTTGTATTTTTAATAGAGATGGGGTTTCACCGTGTTGGCCAGGCTGGTCTCAAACTCCTGACCTCCAGTAATCTGCTGCCTCGGCCTCCCAAAGTACTGGGATTATAGGCCTGAGCTACCTTGCCAGGCCTCTACTATTAGGTTTTAATGATAGCAGAATGGTGAAGTCCATGTGACCGTGGACTTGCTTTTAAGATTTCAAAAACCATTTTTTTTTTTTTTGAGATGAAGTCTTGCTCTTGTCCCCCAGGTTGGAGTGCAATGGCGTGATCTTGGCTTACTGCAACCTCCGCCTCCCGTGTTCAAGTGATTCTCCTGCCTCAGCCTCCCGAGTAGCTGGGATTACAGGCACCTGCCACCACGCCTGGCTAATTTTTGTGTTTTTAGTAGAGACGGGGTTTCACCATGTTGGCCAGGCTGGTCTCAAACTTCCGACCTCAGGTGATCTGCCTGCCTTGGCCTCCCAAAGTGCTGGGATTATAGGCATGAGCCACCACGCCTGGCCTGAAAACTTTTAAGATTTTGAAAAACATGGAAGGAATTTGTAGTATTTTGAAATTACTTATTATGTAGATATGTTCTTTATTTTTCTTTTTAAAATTAAAATAATTGATGTAACACATGTCAAGAGAGATTTTAAACGATAATATTGAAACAAATACCTGGGCACTCACTATTTGGTTGAAGAACTAAAACATTACACTGATATATGTGAGGCTCACTGTGTTCCTCACCTTGTCTAGATTACCTTCCACATACATATACCTTGCAGGAAACCCCTGTCCTGAATGATTAACCATTCCCTTAGTTTCTTTATAGTCTTACTACATATTCATGTTTTCCTGAAAATATCAAGTTTAGTCACTTTGAGTAAAAATAATATTCTATTAGTATCCTTTTATAATTTGCATTTTCACACAAATTACTATCTGGGCAGGCTGCTGGTGGGGAACTGTGTTTTTTTTTTCTAATTTACATTTTTATGTTCCCTTTTATGACTCCCATCTTTCGTGGGCGCTAGCTTTATCTCTTATTTCTTGTTATGCCTGTCAAGACTCACTTTTAGCCACCAGGAATTCATACACGCAATTGGATGAACATGGATTCAGGATATGCCTGCTTCCCTGGATGCTTTCTAGTCGTTTCTAGAGTCCAAGGATTTTTCTTATTTCCTTCTAGTTCAATAGTTAATATAAAATATTTAAAATGTGTATTTGGCACATTTTTTGGATATTCTTTATTGGCTTATCTACTTCTATGGGAGGTTAATCCATCCTATTTCTTTCTTTAATTGTGACACCAACTCTGAGACTGAACTGTTTGAATGTTGGCTTTATGATAGATTTAAATGAGGTCTTACCTTAGGTAAACAATGGTAGAGAGGGCATAAGTGTCTAGGAGATTCCATGAATTTGAAACTAGATACTTTCATGTGACAAAGGCAGGTATGCCCATCTCCTACAATATGAGTGACATCAACACTCAGCCACTGCTTGCTATGTGCCATGCACATTTCTAACCATATTATTTAATTCATTCAGTTAATACTCACAGAGGTTTTATGAGGTAGGTGTGAACTTTATAACATTTTTTAGATCACGAAACTGAGGCACAGAGTGCTTAAGAACCATGCTCAAGTTCACAGTGAAGAAGTAGAAGAGCTGGAATCAAAGAAGTCTAAAGAGAAAAACAGCTGTAATATGTTCACAAGGATCACTGAAGATAAGAAATAGAAGACTAGAGTAAAGAAGAGAGATCTTGAAAATACCAGCCGTTGAGAACTCCCAGTGGGGAAGAAAGATTTTTTTCTCCCTACTCAAATTCAGTCTTCTTGTAAGTTTCTAATCATGTGTGGCCATTTCCAGTGTCATAGCTGACTTTCTTTGGTGTTAGCAAAATCAGGCAGGAAAATAAAAAAAAATAAAATAAGGAAAATAAGAACCAAATACCCTATCAGAGATGTTGGGTTACTTGAAACACTATAGTATAAATACAGCTAAATGCCCTTTAGAGACAAGGATGTGCACTCTCACCACTCTTGTTTAACTTATTGCTGGAAGCTCTTACCAGAGAAATCAGGCAAGAGAAGGAAATAAAAGGCATCTACGTTAGAGAAGAGGAAGCGAAAATTTTCTTTTTTGCAGATGACATGATCTTATATATAGAAAAACTTAAGTACTCCACCAAAAAGGTCTTAGAACTAATAAATTTAGCAGAGTTTCAGGATACAAAATCAGCATAAAAAATCAGTAGCATTTTTACACACCAATAACAAACTAGCTGAAAAAGAAATCAAGAAAGCAATCCCATTTACGATATCTACAAAAAAACCTCTCAGAATAAATTTAATAAAGGAGTTGAAAGATCTCTTCTATGAAAACTACAAAACACTGATGAAAGAAATTGAAGAGGACACCAACAAATGGAAAGATATCCCATGCTCATGGATTAGAAAAATCGATATTGTTAAAATGGCCATATTGCCCAAAGCCATCTACAGATTCAATGCAATCCCTATGAAAATACAACAATTACAGGATTAGAAAAAAGAATTATAAAATTCACAAGGAACCAAAACAAACAAAAAAGCCCAAAGAGCCAAGCAATCCTGAGCCAAAAGAACAAAGATGTAGACATTACCTTACTTGACTTCAAAATATATGACAAGGCTCTCGTACAAAATAGCATGGTATTGATATAAAAGTGAACAAAAGGGACTATATTAAACTAAAACCTTCTGTAAAACAAAGGAAACAATCAGTAGAGGGAAGAGGCAGTCTGTAGAATGGGAGAAAATATTTGTGAACTATTCATCTTATAAGGGACTAATATCCAGAATATACAAGGAACTCAAACAAATCAACAGCGAAACAAAACAAATATTTCTATTAAAAAGTGGGCAAAGGATCTGAACAAATGTTTTTCAAAAGAAAGCATACAAATGGCCAACAGGTGTATGAAAAGATGCTCAAGATTACTAATCATCAGAGAAATGGAAATTAAAACCACAATGAGATATCCCCTTACCCAGTTAAAATGGCTATTATCAAAAAGATAAAAAGCAACAGATGGTGAGGAGGTGGAGAAAAAAGAATGCATACAGTTTTGGTGAGATTTTAAAGTAGTGCAGTAGTGCAGCCATTCTGGAAAACAGTATAAGTTTTCTCAAAAACTAAAAATGGAACTATTATACAATTCAGCAATCCCACTGCTTGGTATTTATCCAAAGGGAAGAAAACCAGTATATCAAAGGGATACCTGCAGTGCCATGTTCATTGCAGCATTAATCACAGTAGCTGAGATATGGAATCAACCTAAGTGACCAGTAATGGACGAAAAGATAAAGAAAATGTGGTATATATACACAATGGAATTCTATTTGGGGGCACAAAAAATAATGAAATCATGGGAGAGAAAATGAATGAATGAATTAAGCCAAGAACAATGAAAGCTTGTGAATCTGGAAAAAGGGCTGAGGAGGTAATAAGTTCTAAATTGGCAGGTTTAATATGTGTACAGAAAGAAAAGAACTGGTGGAAGTACATGAACGCAAAAGGGCATGTTCTGATAAAAATGGGCATCAGAGTCTTATCAAGGAAATACACCAATAAATCAGAGCCGTAGAAATGGTAGTTATGACAGCAGGGATTGGAATCCAAGAATTGGATGCTAAGGCAAGACAACAGGAGTTTCACAACTGGATGACCAAAACATAGCAAGTCAGACTTGACAATAAGCTGGATAAATCTGATTAATGCTCTTAATATTCCCTGCTTCCCAAGAATTAATTTTTCAGTTCATGTGGTAGAGGTTGAAAATAAGGGTAGTAGTTTAGTGGCCACATCTGCTAAGTTTAAAAAGAGCGAGGGACGAGGAGCCAGGTGGACCATTAGCAAGCTTAATATGCCATTAGAACCAGTCTTGGCAGCATGGCCTCTGTCACTTAAGTTAACAAAAACATCATTAAAATGGTCACCTTTCAGCCAGGAAACGACGGATTATTGCCTTCCTGGTCCCACCTTTCTGCTCTGTGTTCTCGTACTTGTTCCTAAAAATCTAGTGCTGTCAGCAAGAGTGGATAACAGGAAGGGGAACATCACACTCTGGGGACTGTTGTGGGGTGGGGGGAGGGGGGAGGGATAGCATTGGGAGATATACCTAATGCTAGATGACGAGTTAGTGGGTGCAGCACACCAGCATGGCACATGTATACGTATGTAACTAACCTGCACAATGTGCCCATGTACCCTAAAACTTAAAGTATAATAATAATGATAAATAAATAAATAAATAAAAAGAAAGAATAAAACAAAATACTTTAAATAAAAATTTTAAAAAATTAAAAAAAAAATCCTTTTTTTAAATTTGCCTCTGACCTAGACTGTGGCTCAAGATTCTGTTGAATAGATGTGTTCAAAACCATCATTAAATATTTTTATCCTGCCAAACAAAATCATAAGAATGCTATTTTAGAATAAATTTATTTGGATACTAAGAAATTCTATTACTACTTTCTATGCCAAATATTTAGTAAATACTGACCTAAATGAGTGTCTTTTACAATATACCCTATTCATGTTGACTGCTTTAATGAAGTGTATGAAGAATAATGAACCTGAAGACTATGGAATTATATGTTACAGATGTATAAAGTCACTAGAGAAAGATGAATAAAGGGAAAAGCAAGTTCAAGTCAATAAAAGATTAAACTAACATTTGGAAGAAGCTAATGGAGGGTCAGCTGGCAATGAAAGCTCAGCCTCTCTCATTGAACTGAGTCCTTGCAAACTCACTAGCCCTTCTCACTGCGTGCACACCACCACAGTAAAAAATGGTAAAATTTTGAGCTAGGGGAGATATTGGAGATTATCTAATCCTTCTAGCCTCTCATGTTGAGGATTGTGTAACCCAGAGAGGTTAAGAGACATGCTTAAAATAAGACAGCGTCATGTGGCAAAAGTAGCCAATTATGGCAAACATTACACAAGTTTCAAGGAAGAAACAAACAGAAACTAAAAAGATCAAGCAGGTGTTTCATTGGGCTTCTTGGGGGAAATGCTTTTGTTAATGATTCATTGTCTTTAGTGTGAAGTTTATCTGATATAATTTCAAAATGATTTTTGTCTTAGTAAGGTCAGATAAGAAAAAATATCCTTAAGGAGACTTTGTGTCAAGAAGAGGAGGAACAAGAAAAGTGAGAGAGAGTGTTAGAGGAGAGAATGATAGAAAGGGAAGTGAAAGCCTTCAAAAGGTAAAAGAGAGCAACATAAGAGACATATTTGTGTGATTCCTTCTTGGACACTTGGATTTGCAACTTGGAAATGTTTCAATTAGAGTGTCATTATATAGCGATCAGTCCTGAGAACTTAATGAGAAGAGTGAATTTTGATTATCTGAAAGTGCTTTCTCACTTAAAAGAGCATTTAATCCAAAGGACAGTCTCAAAGCCTTTAATGGGACAGAACTACTTGCCACAAAAATATAACATCAATAATTTCTCCGTTAGTTTCTCATTATTTGTATACTTTCCAATTAGACTGCAATCCAGGAATCTCTCTCTTTCTCCCTTGCCCCCAACTCTCTCTCTCTGAAACACACACACACACACACACACACACACACACACACACATTCACCATTACCTCTTTGTAATTGGCTCAAGCTTTGCTTTTTGTGTTTGTTTGTTTTGTTTTTGTTTTTGTTTTTGTTTTTTGAGACAGAATTTCACTGTCACCCAGGCTGGAGTGCAGTGGGGTGATCTCGGCTCACTGCAGCCTCATCTCCCTGTCTCAATTGATCCTCCCACCTCAGCCTCCTGAGTAGCTGGGACCACAGGTATGCACCACCATGCCCGGCTGTTTGTTTGTATTTTTAGTAGAGATGGGGGTCTCACCATGTTGACCAGGCTGGTCTCAAACTCCTGAGCTCAAGCAATCCACCTGCCTCGGCCTCCCAAAGTGCTGGGATTACAGGTGTGAGGCACTGCGCCCAGCTGGCTCAAGCTTAAATGTGAAAAAGAAAACATTTTATTTTAAGTAAGTAAAAATGAAATAATTACTTTTCTTCCATTTACCTGCCTGCTATTATTGAGAGGTGACAGCATGCTGGCAGTCCTCAGAGCCCTCGCTTGCTCTCGGCACCTCCCCTGCCTGGGCTCCCACTTTGGTGGCATTTGAGGAGCCCTTCAGCTCCCCCACTGCACTGTGGGAGCCCCTTTCTGGGCTGGCCAAGGCTGGATCACACTCCCTCAGCTTGCAGGGAGGTGTGGAGGGAGAGGCACGAGCGGGAACCAGGGCTGCGTGCGGCGCTTGCGGGCCAGCTGGAGTTCCGGGTGGGTGGGGACTTGGTGGGCCCCGCACTCGGAGCAGCCAGCCAGCCCTGCTGACCCCGGGCAGTGGGGGACTTAGCACCCAGGCCAGTGGCTGCGGAGGGTGTACTGGGTCCTCCAGCAGTGCCAGCCCACTGGCGCTGCGCTCGATTTCTTGCCAGGCCTTGGCTGCCTTCCTACGGGGCAGGGTTCGGGACCTGCAGCCCGCCATGCCTGAGCCTCCCACCCCCTCCGTGGGCTCCTGTGCGGCCCGAGCCTCCCCGACGAGCGCCACCCCCTGCTCCACGGCGCCCAGTCCCATCGACCACCCAAGGGCTGAGGAATGCCAGCGCATGGCACAGGACTGGCAGGCAGCTCCACCTGCAGCCCTGGTGCGGGATCCACTAGGTGAAGCCAGCTGGGCTCCTGAGTCTGGTGGGGACCTGGAGAGTCTTTATATCTAGCTCAGGGATTGTAAATACACCAATCAGCACTCTGTGTTTAGCTCAAGGTTTGTGAGTGCACCAATCGACGCTCTGTATCTAGCTGCTCTGGTGGGGCCTTGGAGAACCTGTGTGTCGAAACTCTGTATCTAACTAATCTGATGGGGACGTGGAGAACCTTTGTATCTAGCTCAGGGATTGTAAACGCACCAATCAGCACCCTGACAAAACAGGCCACTCGGCTCTACCAATCAGCAGGATGTGGGTGGGGCCAGATAAGAGAATAAAAGCAGGCTGCCCGAGCCAGCATTGGCAACCAGCTCTGGTCCCCTTCCACACCGTGGAGGCTTTGTTCTTTCGCTCTTTGCAATAAATCTTGCTACTGCTCGCTCTTTGGTGGGTCCACACTGCTTTTATGAGCTGTAACACTCACCGCGAAGATCTGCAGCTTCACTCCTGAGCCCAGCGAGACGACGAGCCCACCGGGAGGAAGGAACAACTCCAGGCACGCTGCCTTAAGAGCTGTAACACTCACCGCGAAGGTCTGCAGCTTTACTCCTAAGCCAGCGAGACTACGAACCCACCAGAAGGAAGAAACTCTGAACACATCTGAACAGGAGAAGGGACAGACTCCAGACGCGCCACCTTAAGAGCTGTAACACTCACCACGAGGGTCTGCGGCTTCATTCTTGAAGTCAGGGAGACCAAGAACCCACCAATTCTGGACACATTATGACCCAAAATTTTGCAAAAAAAAGAAAAAGATGAAAGTGGTTAAAAATTTAATGAAATAAATATGTGTGAAGTGCCCCCCGTGGCATATTGAGCGGGCTAATTCCTCAGGTGTGTGAAAGAAGAGTCAGCTATCAAATAGTTCATATTAGGCAGATTTTCTTTTTGTCCAGAAAGTTGGAAAATGAGTTTAAGACATGGCAAAACCTCAAAGATACTGCCAAACTAGCAGCAGTTTAAAGAGAAGTCAATAAATTTATCAATTCCAAGTGGCACTTACCACCCAGTGTTTACCAACATTATTGGACCCAGGGAATGTTGTTTTCTGACTAACACAGAGCTTACTGAAAGAATAGTCTTTCAATAACACATAGTTAAAGACAAAGCTTTGGTAATACAGAACTGGAAAATTAGCAAGTACAAAAACAGGGAATTTAATAGTATAAACTGCATACAGAGACAGAAGTAAGAGACTAATAAAAGCTACAGAGAAATATTTGGCTATAAGAGTAGTTCAGCATCAGTAGAGGAGAGGAAAACAGCAGACCTATTTTTACACAAGACAGTCCCATCTCATCATTCATACTGAGGGCAAGTTACACAGCAAGGAGTGAGCAGCTCAGAGCAGCTGTTTGTTACGCAAATGGGGTTTAGAAGATATCATTCTGCCCGCTTAATTTGGTAGGCCCCTTTAACCTCAAAAAAATTGGAATGCAAAATGCTAGTTGGAAAAACATCAAAGCTGAAATATTTGTACTTTCAGACTATATGTCATTATTTTAATTAATTTTATTCTTCTACAACCTATTTTCTAACACACAACTGAGAACATGCTTAGGGCAGCTTTATCACCATATGTTATAAACTGAATCATGCCCTGCCAAAATTAATATACTGAAACCCTAACTCATAATGTAACTGTATTTGGAAATAGGGTCTTTTTTGTAGGTAATGAGTCACATACATGAGACCCTAATCCATTAGAACCGGTGGCCTTACAAGAAAAAGAACAGAGGAGCTCTCTCTCTTTTTGCCATGAAAAGACACAATGAGAAGGCTGCTGTCTGCAAGTGAGAAAGAGAGCCCTCGCCAGCAACTGAATCAGCCAAAACTTGTTTCTGAACTTCTAGTTTCCCAAGCTCTGAGAAAATAAATTTTTATTTTTTGTGATTCAGTCTATGGTGTTTCATTTTGGCCATCCAAGCATATTAATATACCATATATTTGGTATAGATTAACTTTTTCTATCTTAATTCTTTTATTAAAGTATTTAGTGAGCATTTACAATTTGTATGCAATTTCTTAGACAATGGAGGCATAAAGATGAAAATCACCTCTTTGTCATCCTCAAGGAGCTTAATTTCTCTGTTTCTTTTTCTTTCTTTCTTTCTTTCTTTCTTTCTTTCTTTTTCTTTCTCTTTCCTTGTTTCTTTCTTTCTTTCTTTCTTTCTTTCTTTCTTTCTTTCTTTCTTTTCTTTCTTTCTTTCCTTCCTTCCTTCCTTCCTTCCTTCTTTCTTTCTTCTTTTTTTTTTTTCGACAGGGTCTTGTTCTGTTGCTTACGCTGGAGTGCAGTGGTGTCATCTTAGCTCATGGCAACCTCTGTCTCCCGGGTTCAAGTGATCCTCCTGCCTCAGCCTCCCAAGTCGCTGAGATTACAAGTGTGCACCACCAAACTTGGCTAATTTTTGTGCTTTTAGTAGAGACAGGGTTTCACCATGTTTGCCAGGCTGGTCTCAAACTCCTGACCTTGAGTGATCCACCCATGGTGGCCTCCCAAAGTGCTGGGATTACAGGCATGAGTCACCGTGCCCAGCCAAGGAGCTTAATTTCTAATAGCAGAGAGGACAAGTACATAAATAATTAAAAAACAAAGTCAAAAGTTATGAATATCTCATGAGAGTGACAGAAGCATGCTATTATAGTTCATTCAACATTCAACAAATATTTATTGCACACTTTTTGTCTGGCAAGTACCTCGAAGGGTGCTGGTGATACAGTGGAAAAAACCTCTGCCTTCATGGAGTATGTATACTAGTGGGAAGACACAGACATGAAGTAAACAAAAAATATAATGCATTATGTCATGGTAAATGTTTCAGTGTGAAATAAAGCAGGAGGGGGGATAGTAAGTGCTGGCAGTGATAGAGAGTGCTGGGGAGTGCTGGCAAGCCTGGGGGTTTATATGGGAGTTGGTATGAGATCTGCTATTTTCAGGATGGTAGTCAGGTAAGATTTCTCTTAATAAAGTTAAATTTGAACAATCACCTAACAGAATTGAGTAACAGAGCCATTAGAATATTTGGGATTGAAGTGTGGGATACTTTGAAATGTGGCCCCCTAAATTCTGTCATTGAAAATGTCAAGAAATCCCCATTTTATCTGAGCAGGATTATAACTACTTCAACCAACACAGTAGGGAGGAAGTGATGCTGTGTAATCTGAGGCCATGTCATCAAAGCCCACGTAGCTCTCATTTGTTTTCTTGGGATGCCCCCTGTGAGGAAATCCAGTAGCCATGTGAGATATCCACCTACTCCGAGACTACCATTAGAGGGAGAACACATATGGTGTGAGTGTTATGTTTGACAGTCTCAGTTGAGTTTTCAAAGAGTTGTCAAGTAAGAATTGCCTAGCGTGGTCACGGTGGCTCACTCCTGTAATGCCAGCACTTTGGGAGGCCGAGGCTGGCAGATCACAAGGTCAGGAGATCAAGACCATCCTGGCTAATATGGTGAAAACCTGTCTCTACTAAAAATACAAAAAATTAGCCAGGTGTGGTGGCATGTACCTGTAGTCCCAGCTACTCGGGAGGCCGAGGCAGGAGAATCACTTGAACCCAGGAGGCAGAGGTTGCAGTGAGCTGAGATTTCACCACTGCACTCTAGCCTGGGCAACAGAGCGGACTTCGTCTCAAAAAAAAAAAAAAAAAAAAAAAAAAAAAGAATTGCCTAGTGAAGTCCTTCCTGGCTCACAAAATCATAAACAAAATAAATAGTTGTCATTTTATACCAATAAGATGTAGGGTAATTTGTTATGCAGGAATGGTAATTAGAACAGGTGTGGAAGAGTACTCCAGACATGATCAGTAAGAAGCGGCATCAAT
This sequence comes from Homo sapiens, assembly GCF_000001405.40. NCBI lineage: Eukaryota > Metazoa > Chordata > Mammalia > Primates > Hominidae > Homo > Homo sapiens. The sequence continues at coordinate 34,498,608 of NC_000002.12, forward strand.
ATTGTAGGAGGCCTAAACCAAGGTGAGCAAAGGAAAGAGTCAGGGGTGGGGATGGTGTGGTACACATATCAAGTAGGGACTCCTAGGCTCTTCTGTTTTCTTGTGAGTTGAAAACTACTGAAGCATTCTGAGAAGAATTGCATAATCTAACCTCACATTTTTAAAGGATCACTCTCACTGCTTTGTGGAAAAAAGACTTAATGAGCAAGAGTGGAAGCAGGGAGTCCAGTTAAGTGGCTATTGCAATAATCCTGGGGAAAGATGGTGGTGAAAGTGGTCAGAGTCTACATACATTTTAAAGATGGACTTGCTAATGGATTGGATGTGGAAGTGAGAAAAGGAAAGAAATCAAGTTTCATTCTTGGCTTTAGCCAATCAACTGAAAGAATGGAGTTCTCAGTTTCTTATATGGAAAATACAAGCAGAAGAACAGATTTGTAGGGGGAAAATCAATCATGGGATTTGGTTAAATTTAAGATTCATGTTAGACATACAAGTGGAGATTTTTCATAAGTAGATGGATACACAAGTCTATAGTTCAAAGAAGTGGTTGGGACAGCATTATACATTAAGGAATCATGACAGTATAGATGATGTTTTAAAACAAGATCCTGAGTAAGTTTGTGAGGTAGATAAAGAAGAAAAGGGGTCTGAAGTCCGAGTCTCAGAACACTATAAAGAAGCTGGAGAGATTGGAGGAACCAGCAAAATATGCTTTGAAGGAGAGAGAGTGTTGTCTCAGAACTCAAGTGAAGTGAAGAATTTATCAACCAATAATAAAGTAACATTAGGACTGAGAATTGGTCTTTGCTTTTATAGATGTCAAGAGCCATTTTGCTGCATTGGTGGGGAAATCTGATTGGAACCATCAAGAAGGAATCAGGGGAAAGGAATTGGAGACAGCAGAGTTGATAATACTTGAGAAGTTGTTCTGTAGAGAGCCACAAAAAATGGGTGATTTCTAGATGAGAGTGTGAGATTTTTTTTCTTAATTATTGATAAGACATACTGTAGATAGTTCTGATGGAATGGAGGTACTGATGGGAGAATGCTTCAGGTTTTTATGCTGATGGTATTCATCCAGTAAAAGGTAAACATTTGAAGATTAAAGACAAAGTGTACAATTATTACAGCAACTTCCTTGAATAGGAAGAAGGAATATAATTCAGTACATGAGAAGGGGTTGAATTCAGTAGCTGGCAGAGTTCATCCATATTACTAAGCTTGAAGGCAGAGCATGAAGATACAGAATTAAATATGCTTGCAGAATTTGTGGTGGAAGAATGGCAAAGTTCCCTCTTTCTTGCTTATTTTTTTAAGTGATATAAAAATCACATGAGCTGGGAGTGAGTAGTGTGTAAAGGGATATCAGAGAGTTAAGGATATGCAGTAATTGCCTGGGAGACTAAAGAAACTAAAGCAATGTAGCAGGACTGCCAAACAGCTCTAAGAACCCATCTGAAGTCAGTCATAAAATGTGGAAAGTGGGGCCAGCCAGCAGAATTAGGAGTTTATCTTCAGCTACATTCAATTGCCTGATACCACCACAGAGAAGATGGGAAATTGGATTTAGCTAGGGTTGAAGTTTTCCTAGGTGGTATAACACAGTGAGAGGGCAACAAGAGAATGAAGGTGGTATGCAAGGAGATGACCATAATATAAGCTAAGGAAAGAGTGCAGTAGGGATATGAGGGAACAGAGAAAATGTCATAGGATTGATGGGTGGTAGAACTGATAACGTCAAAGTGTCTGGGGAGGCAAAGTATGGGAGTGAGTGATTGGAAAAATAAGAGGTAGGCTGGAGAGGGAAATTCTTGAAATTGAGATTACGGATGTGATACATTATTCTTAATGAAAAATGGAATGTGCCAGCCAGACACGGTGGCTCAATCCTGTAATCCTAGCACTTTGGGAGGCTGAGGCGGGCGGGTTGCCTGAGCTCAGTTCAAGACCAGCCTGGGCAACATGGTGAAACTGTCTCTACTAAAATACAAAAAAAAAAAAAAAAAAAAAATAGCCGAGCATGGTGGTGTGTACCTGTAGTCCTAGCTGCTTGGAAGGCTGAGGCAGGAGAATTGCTTGAGCCCAGGAGGTGGAGGTAGCTGTGAGCCAAGATCCTGCCACTGCACTCCAGCAAGGTGACAGAGTGAGAGTCCGTCTAAAAAAAAAAAAAAAAAAGAAAAATGGAATGTGTCCATGAAAATGGGTAGAGGGCAAGATTATCTACATGAAATTGGAGAGAGGCACACACATATTCTTGAAACGTGGGTGTATGCAAACCATGGAGCCATAGATGACTGAAATAAGGAAGAGTAGCAGGTGTTATAATGTGATGGCATGAGTTTCAAGGTGAGGTGGTAGGTAGGATGGGGGTTGGGGGCCTGTAGTTCCGAGGAAAAAAAATTGAAGTAACATTGAAGAGCAAGAATTATATCCATCTCTTTCCAGGACCAGTAATTTGAGGGTATGGAAAAAAACACAGCCTCTACTTGAGAGAGTCACAGGGAAATTGGTGTCCTCATGGAAGAGCCAGGTTAGAGCAAGTAGATGGACAGTTTAGATTATATGGGTTCATTGGATTTCTTGTGGAGAATGATGTGCACAGGGATGTGGGCACAATGGAATTACCCCCAAGTTCTGCTGGGCAGATTGGGTTGGTAAAACTGGAGAGGAGCGGTTTCTTTCAGGTATATTCAGGGTCTCACTTCTACTGCTAATGTGTGAGGCTGGGGGACAGGCTGTATTATGGGGACCATGTGGATGTAGTTCAAATAAGCGAGTTGTTTTCGTCGAAGGGCTAGGAAAAGTTGTGGGTATTTGAAATTGACATGCTTATTAGATACTCTTATAGAACGCTGTTTTTTTTTTTACCAGAATATTGTACCAATTTTTATTTTATAGTATTTGTTTGTTTTGCTTAATGTCTGCTTACCATGATGGGTTAGTTATAAGCTCCTCAAGGGTAAGGGACAGGTCTAACATATTTGTTCATTTTCACAGTTTGTAGCACAGAGATGCTTGCTATGTACCTATCAATAACTACTGAGAGAGAGAGAGAGAGAGAGAAATAAAGAGAGAGAAATAGACTCAAGAATAGCATTTACACTTACTTGGTATGGGGGTTGTCAAACAGATCCAAGATACATTAAGTTTCTAAAAGTCCAGGTGAAGTCTATGGCAAAGTAGAGGCAATTTGCCCTGCCTAAATGCTTTTAAATATCAACAAAATACATACATACATATATATACATATATATATATGTAATATAAAGATAAATACCCAATATTTAGAATATAGAATGTTTAATAGAATAGAATATGGCTGCCTCAGGCAGCCTCTATCTTCACGCGAGCAGGGGGACTACTATTTTCTATCACCTGAAAATCTCGATGAAAGTGTTTTAGCCTAAAGATGACTTTATGCCTTGCCTTCTCTGCTCTGTTTCTCTGGGAAAAGAATGGAAATAGTTCATGTGTAGTCACATGTTTGAGTGCCTGAAGGGGGCAGGTTTGCTGAAAAGAGACTTACTTTAACAATATATAACTTTTAGGACAGATAGAAGCAAGTTCTGAACAAGTAATAACACTGCGTTTTTGGCCCTTTGGCTCTGAATAACAGCAAAAGTACACTAAACACTTTTTCATTACATTGCTTTTAGTTTCTTTTGGTGCTCTGTGTCTGTATCCTTTTTTAATTTTCTGTGTCATAAGCGGTTTCACGCAGAAGTCTGTGCTTTTAAGATGAGAATTTTGTAGTGATCTCTTGCTAAAATACCAGGCCAGTAAGGCAGTTCAGAGAGTTGAGAATATTTTACTGAAGAATTAGTGTGGCCTGAGTAGGGGGAGATGACCTACATTTTGGGAGAATCCATCTAGAGAAAAGGTCAGCAAACTATTTCCATGAAAAGCCAGAGAGTACATAGTTTGGGCTTTACAGGCGATATGGTCTCTATCCTAACTACTCAGCTCTGCCATTGCAGCATGAAAGCAGCCAGAGACGATGCATAAATAAATGGGTGTGGATGTTTGCCAATAAAACTTTATTTTCAAACCCAGGCAATTGGCTGGATTTGGCCTCTCAGCCATAGTTTGCCAACCCCTGATCCAGAGAATCCAATTGTTGCTGCCACAGTCTGGCCCTAAGTATCTCTTCAACAAGTCCTTCATTAGTTTCCCTGTCTCCGGTTGGCCTCTCACCATTCTGTCCTCCACATGTATGCCAGAGAGATTTTTCTACAACCCATATGAAATCATGTCATTTTTCGGCTTCAGTTCCTTTGTTCTTCGATCATATTGTCTATGTCTGTCACTTAGCCATGTTTGCTGGGCTGGTTCATCTACTGCCTTCTCAGACATGGCTTCAAATTATATCTGCTATTGAAAACTGACTCTTCCACCCATAGGCAAGCCTGTCATCAGGGCCCCACTTTCCCCAACTACATTTCAAGTATGGCTGAAACTTAGGTTCTGTCTTCCCCATTGACACCGAGACTGCCTAGACAGAGGTAATAAAACTTCCTTCATATGAAGGAATCAAGAAATATATTAGTAAGGGTAAAACCTAGCGAGGCAAGATCTCAGCTGTTTTAGGCCTTCAAAGATACTATTTATTCTTTTTTTTTTGTGACAGAGTCTCATTCTGTCACCTAGGCTGGAGTCAGTGCCATGATCTCCACCCACTGCAACCTCAGCCCCCCGGGTTCAAGTGATTCTTTTGCCTCAGCCTCCCAAGTGGCTGGGACTACAGGCGTGCACCACCATACTGGCTAATTTTTGTATTTTTAGTAGAGTCAGGGTTTCACCACGTTGGCCAGGCTGGTCTCAAACTCCTGACCTCATGATCCACCCGTCTCGGCCTTCCAAAGTGCTGGGATTACAGGCATGAGCCACCATGCCTGGCCGATACTATTTCTTCTAATGCACAATTTCACTGAGCTTTGCATGACACTCCTCACAGTCTAGACTGTTCAAAGTCTAGAGTTCCTATATATATACAGCAAACAGATGGAAGGGGTAGTGAATGAAGTAAAATTGTTCAAGTCTAGAGTCCCTAGACTTTGTTCTAAAAGTTCTTAAGGCTGCAATATTTGCTAAGCCCATTTTCACTTCTTGCTGATACCAATGCATAAAGTATGCTTTTATTAAAAAATGCATTTTTAAAACTTGCATTTGATCAGTACTCTAGCCAAGGTCATCCCATTAATCTTGCACTGTTAAGATCTTAGAAAGATATTTCTTTGACCCAGCAATCCCATTACTAGGTATGTACCCAAAGGAATATTAATCATTCCATTATAAAGACACATACACTTGGATGTTTGTTGCAGCACTATTCACGATAGCAAAGACATGAAATCAACCTAAATGCCCATCAATGATAGACTGGATAAAGAAAATGTGGTACATATACACTATGGAATACTATGCAGCCATAAAAAGAATGAGATCATGTGCTTTGCCGGGATATGGATGGAGCTGTAGGCCATTATCCTTAGCAAACTGAGGGGAAACAGGAAACCAAATACTGCATGTTCTCACGTATAAGTGGGAGCTAAATGATGAGAACAACTGGACACATAGAAGAGAACAACACATGCTGGGGCTATTAGAGGGTGGAGGGTAGGAGGAGGGTACTAGGCTTAATACCTGGGTAAAGAAATGATCTGTATAACAAACCCACATGACACACATTTACCTGTGTAACAAACCTGCACATGTACCCTTGAACTTAAAAGTTTAAAAAAAAAAGATCTTACAAAGGCTCAAAAAACTTCTCAACTATTGATTTGCTAATTTTCTAATTGCTTTATTTGAATTAATACATTTAATCCCCAGGGATTCTTTAAAAATAAGTGTGGATTATTGTCTCTGTTTTTTGGTGAGGATACTAAGGGGAAAGGGGCAGAAGTACCTGGTTTGTAGTATACGCTGAAGAACTGGAGTCCCTCACTTGTCCATTTCCTGATATCATTTACTTGTCTCTATTTTTCATTCCAGTCACAGTTGCTACAACTAGTTTTCTGTCTAGAGATGAGGCACTGAAGTACTGTTAAGATGGCTCCACACTCATCTACACACTGACATTAAATGAACATCTATTATACATCTGTACCATAACTGACAGTTGTCTCTTAAATACACTTGATAGATGACAAGAGTGACAAGAAAAAATAATTTTACAAACCCTAAAGGTATATGTAAATGTTAGTAAATGTACTGACTTTCAAACATAATGTAAATGTATTGACGTTCAGACATAATTGTGTTGTATGTAATAAAACACAAACAATATATATATTATAAATAACATACATTACATACATAACACACACATATATAAAGAGAGAGAAGACATATCACATAATGGAAAAGTAAAAATTATTCAACTATGCATTAAAAAAACATGATATGCACAATCATTTGTTCAACACAATTCCTTCTTTGCTCTTTAGTTTTAGCAGGACACTTGGCTTTTATATGCATAGCCTATTGACTTTCTGTCCACACTTGTATAAGTAAAAGTATAGTAAATTACTGAGTTTTCTGATATTAGTCATTGTGTTTCTCAGAAGATATTGCTATATTCTGCAAAGGCTCAGCTATCAGCCTTTTGACACCCTCCTAAAGGAAGATAAACTCAAAAAGGAATTCCTGATTATATAATTTTGTCTAAGTAAAGATAGAGACTTACATTTATAAAACCTCTTTATTCCTTCCAAAGCACCTACACTTTCATTATTTTATTTGATCCTAACAATGGTGTTGTGAGAGGTATAGAAACAATTGTATTGTCCTCATTTTACCCAGGAGGAAACTGAAGCTTAAAAAATGGAAGTAACTGATGCGTGCACACAGATAAGGAGCTGTTCTGAAACTTGCATCAAAGTGTTCTGAGGGACCTGACTGTTAGACAGAAAACTAACAAACAGAAAGGAATAGCATCAACATCAACAAAAAGGGCATCCACACCAAAACCCCATCTGTAGGTCACCATCATCAAAGACAAAAGGTAGATAAAACCACAAAGATGAGGAGAAACCAGAGCAGAGAAGATGAAAATTCTAAAAACAAGAGTGCCCCTTCTTCTCCAAAGGATCACAGCTCCTCGCCAGCAATGGAACAACGCAGGACGGAGAATGATTTTTGACGAGGTGACTGAAGTAGATTTCATAAAGTCAGTAATAACAAACTTCTCTGAGCTAAAGGAGGATGTTCGAACCCAATGCAAGGAAGCTAAAAACCTTGAAAAAAGATTAGACGAATGGCTAACTAGAATAAACAGTGTAGAGAAGACCTTAAATGACCTGATGGAGCTAAAAACCATGGCATGAGAACTATGTGACACATGTACAAGCTTCAGTAGCTGATTCGATCAAGTGGAAGAAAGGGTATCAGTGATTGAAGATCAAATTAATGAAATGAAGCAAGAAGAGAAATTTAGAGAAAAAAGAGTAAAAAGAAATGAACAAAGCCTCCAAGAAATATGGGACTATGTGAAAAGACCAAATCTGCGTTTGATTGGTGTACCTGAAAGTGATGGGGAGAATGGAAGCAAGCTGGAAAACACTCTTCAGGATATTATCCAGGAGAACTTCCCCAAACTAGCAAAGCAGGCCAACATTCAAATTCAGGAAATACAGAGAACATCACAAAGATACTCCTCGAGAAGAGCAACCCCAAGACACATAATTATCAGATTCACCAAGGTTGAAATGAAGGAAAAAATGCAAGGGCAGCCAGAGAGAAAGGTCAGGTTACCCACAAAGGGAAGCCCATCAGACTAACAGAAGATCTCTCTGCAGAAACCCTACAAGCCAGAAGAGAGTGGGGACCAATATTCAACATTCTTAAAGAAAATAATTTTCAACCCAGAATTTCATATCCAGCCAAACTAAGCTTCATAAGTGAAGGAGAAATAAAATCCTTCACAGACAAGCAAATGCTGAGAGATTTTGTCACCACCAGGCCTGCCTTACAAGAGCTTCTGAAGGAAGCACTAAGCATGGAAAGGAATAACTGGTAACAGCCACTGCAAAAACATGCCAATTGTAAAGACCATCGAGGCTAGGAAGAAACTGCATCAACTAATGAGCAAAACAACCAGCTAACATCATAATGACAGGATCAAATTCACACATAACAATATTAACCTTAAATGTAAATGGGCTAAATGCCCCAATTAAAAGGCACAGACTGGCAAATTGGATAAAGAGTCAAGACCCATCAGTGTGCTGTATCCAGGAGACCCATCTCATGTGCAGAGACACACATAGGCTCAAAATAAAGGGATGGAGGAAGATTTACCAAGCAAATAGAAAACAAAAAAAAGCAGGGGTTGCAACCTTAGTCTCTGATAAAACAGACTTTAAACAAACAAAGATCAAAAGAGACAAAGAAGGCCATTACATAATGGTAAAGGGATCAATTCAACAAGAAGAGCTAACTATCTAAATATATATGCATCCAATACAGGAGCACCCAGATTCATAAAGCTAGTCCTGAGAGACCTAAAAAGAGACTTAGAGTCCCACAAAATAATAATGGGAGACTTTAACACCCCACTGTCAATATTATACAGGTCAACGAGACAGAAGGTTAACAAGGATATCCAGGACTTGAATTCAGCTCTGTACCAAGCAGAACTAATAGACATCTACAGAACTCTTCACCCCAAATAAACAGAATATACATTCTTCTCAGCACCACATTGCACTTATTCCAAAATCGACCACATAGTTGGTAGTAAAGCACTCCTCAGCAAATGTAAAAGAACAGAAATCACAACAAACTGTCTCTCAGACCACAGTGCAATCAAATTGAAGTGAGGATTAAGAAAGTCACTCAAAACCACACAACTACATGGAAACTGAACAACCTGCTCCTGAATGACTACTGGGTAAATAACAAAATGAAGGCAGAAATAAAGATGTTCTTTGAAACCAATGAGAACAAAGACACAACGTACCAGAATCTCTGGGACACATTTAAAGCAGTGTGTAGAGGGAAATTTATAGCACTAAATCCCCACAACAGAAAGCAGGAAAGATCTAAAATCCACACCCTAACATCACAATTAAAAGAACTAGAGAAGCAAAAGCAAATAAATTCAAAAGCTAGCAGAAGGCAAGAAATAACTAAGATGAGAGCAGAACTGAAGGAGATACAAAAAAACCTTTCAAAAAATCAATGACTTTTACACTGTTGGTGGGACTGTAAACTAGTTCAATCGTTGTGGAAGTCAGTGTGGCGATTTCTTAGGGATCTAGAACTAGAAATACCATTTGACCCAGCCATCCCATTACTGGGTATATACCCAAAGGATTATAAATCATGCTGCTATAAAGACACATACACACATATGTTTATTGCGGCACTATTCACAATAGCAAAGACTTGAGACCAACTCAAATGTCCATCAATGATAGACTGGATTAAGAAAATGTGGCACATATACGCCATGGAATACTATGCAGCCACAAAAAAGGATGAGTTCATGTCCTTTGTAGGGACATGGATGAAGCTGGAAACCATCATTCTCAGCAAACTATCGCAAGGACAGAAAACCAAACACTGCATGTTCTCACTCATACTTGGGAACTGAACAATGAGAACACTTGGATACAGGATGGGGAACATCACATACCAGGGCCTGTCATGAGGTTGGGGGATGGGGGAGGGATAGCATTAGGAGATATACCTAATGTAAATGATGAGTTAATGGGTGCAGCAAACCAACATGGCACATGTATACATCTATAACAAACCTGCACGTTGTGCACATGTACCCCAGAACTTAAAGTATAATAAAAAAGAAAAAAAAATCAATGAATCCAGGAGCTGGTTTTTTGAAAAGATCAACAAAATTGATGGACTGCTAATAAGACTGCTAACTAATAAAGAAGAAAAGAGAGAAGAATCAAATAGACACAATAAAAAATGATAAAGAGGATATCACCACTGATCCCACAGACATACAAGCTACCATCAGAGAATACCATAAACACCTGTATGCAAAGATACTGGAAAATCTAGAAGAAATGGATAAATTCCTGGACACATACACCCTCCCAAGGCTAAACCAGGAAGAAGTTGAATCACTGAAAAGACCAATAACAGGCTCTGAAATTGAGGCAATAATTAATAGCCTACCAACCAAAAAAAGCCCAGGACCAGACGGATTCACAGCCAAATTCTACCAGAGGTAAAAAGAGGAGCTGGTACCATTCCTTCTGAAATTATTCCAAGCAATAGAAAAAGAGGGAATCCTCCCTAACTCATTTTATGAGGCCAGCATCATCCTGATACCAAAGCCTGGCAGAGACACAACAAAGAAAGATAGTCTTAGACCAATATCCCTCATGAACATCAATGCAAAAATCCTCAATGAATTACTGGTAAACTGAATCCAGCAGCACATCAAAAAGCTTATCCACCATGATCAAGTTGGCTTCATCCCTGGGATGCAAGGCTGGTTCAACATATGCTAATCAATAAATGTAATCCAGCATATAAACAGAACCAAAGACAAAAAGCACATGATTATCTCAATAGATGCACAAAAGGCCTTAGAAAAAATTCAACACCACTTCATGCTAAATACTTGCAATAAACTAGGTATTGATGGAATGTATCTCAAAACAATAAGAGCTATTGATGACAAACCCACAGCCAGCATCATACTGAATGTGCAAAACCTGGAAGCATTCCCTTTGAAAACTGGCACAAAACAGGGAGGCCCTCTCTCACCACTCCTATTCAACATAGTGTTGGAAGTTCTGGCCGGGGCAATCAGGCAGGAGAAGGAAATAAACGGTATTCAATTAGGAAAAGAGGAAGTCAAATTGTCCCTGTTTGCAGATGGTATGTTTGTATATCTAGAAAACCACATCATCTCAGCCCCAAATCTCCTTAAGCTGATAGGCAACTTCAGCAAAGTCTCAGGATACAAAATCAATGTGCAAAAATCACAAGCATTCTTATACACCAATAACAGAGAAACAGAGAGCCAAATCATGAGTGAACTCCCATTCACAATTGCTTCAAGGAGAATAAAATACCTAGGAATACAACTTACAAGGGATGTGAAGGACCTGTTCAAGGAGAACTACAAACCACTGCTCAACAAAATAAAAGAGGACACAAACAAATGGAAGAACATTCCATGCTCATGGATAGGAAGAATCAATATCTTGAAAATGGCCATACTACCAAATGTAATTTATAGATTCAATGCCATCCCCATCAAGCTACCAATGACTTTCTTCACAGTATTGGAAAAAACTACTTTGAAGTTCATATGGAACCAAAAAAGAGCCCGCATCGCCAAGTCAATCCTAAGCCAAAAGAACAAAGCTGGAGGCATCACACTACCTGACTTCAAACTATACTACAAGGCTACAGTAACCAAAACAGCATGGTACTGGCACCAAAACAGAGATATAGACCAATGGAACACAACAGAGCCCTCAGAAATAACACCACACATCTACAGCTATCTGATCTTTGAGAAACATGACAAAAACAAGCAATGGGGAAATGATTCCCTATTTAATAAATGGTGCTGGGAAAACTGGCTAGCCATATGTAGAAAGCTGAAACTGGATCCCTTCCTTACACCTTATACAAAAATTAATTCAAGATGGATGAAAGACTTAAATGTTAGACCTAAAACCATAAAAACTCTAGAAGAAAACCTAGGCAATACCATTCAGGACATAGGCATGGGCAAGGACTTCATGTCTAAAACACCAAAAGCAATGGCAACAAAAGCCAAAATTGACAAAAGAGATCTAATTAAACAAAAGAGCTTCTGCACAGCAAAAGAAACTACCATCAGAGTGAACAGGCAACCTACAGAATGGGAGAAAATTTTTGCAATCAACCCATCTGACAAAGGGCTAATATCCAGAATCTACAATGAACTTAAACAAATTTACAAGAAAAAAATCAAACAACCCCATCAAAAGTGGGCAAAGGATATGAGCAGGCACTTCTCAAAAGAAGACATTTATGCAGCCAAAAGATGCATGAAAAAATGCTCATCATCACTGGTCATCAGAGAAATGCAAATCAAAACCACAATGAGATACCATCTCACACCAGTTAGAATGGCAATCATTAAAAAGTCAGGAAACAACAGGTGCTGTAGAGGATGTGGAGAAATAGGAACACTTTTACACTGTTTGTGGGACTGTAAACGAGTTCAACCATTGTGGAAGACAGTGTGGCGATTCCTCAAAGACCTAGAACTAGTAATACCATTTGACCCAGCCATCCCATTACTGGGTATATACCCAAAGGATTATAAATCATTCTACTCTGAAGACATATGCACACATAAGTTTATTGCATCACCATTCACAACAGCAAAGACTTGGAACCAACCCAAATGTCCAACAATGTTAGACTGGATTAGGAAAATGTGGCACATATACACCATGGAATACTATGCAGCTATAAAAAGGATGAGTTCATGTCCTTTGTAGGGACATGGATGAAGCTGGAAACCATCATTTTGAGCAAACTATTGCAAGGACACAAAACCAAACACCACATGTTCTCACTCATAGGTGGGAATTGAACAGTGAGAACACTTGGACACAGGGCAGGGAACATCACACACCAGGGCCTGTCATGGTGGGGGGATGGGGGAGGGATAGCATTAGGAGAAATACCTAATGTAAATGACGAGTTAATGGGTGCAGCAAAACAACACGGCACATGTACACATATGTAACAAACCTGCACATTGTGCACATGTACCCTAGAACTTAAAGTATAATAATAGTAATATTAATAAAAGTGTTCTGAACTAAAGCCTAGGAAAAGGCGTAAGCACAGTTTCTACTATCTTACTTCTTGAAAAAATACAGCCTGCTGATGTCCTTCAGAAATTTCCCAGAGGAGCTCCCACACTTGCAGATTTCTTGCTGAATTGGCTTTCCTCACCCCGTGCCTCATTTCACACTTGGCTTACCCCCTCAATGGCCAATACTTTCCCACTTGCTGTGCTCCTTATTCTAGGCTTCTAGGCTACCAGTTTTGAAGCCTATTAAAATACATCCTGCTATGTTCTCCTTATTTCTAAATTTTGCTTCTTCCCATCTGGAACGTTAATTCTGGATGTAAATGTATAGGTAACAACCCCTTCGTTTAACAATTGTTGGGGTCATTCCCTTTGTGACTTGTCTTTTTTCTGCTCTCAGAGGCAGCCCACATTGGCACAATCTAACACTACAGTAGACATCCAGCCTGCACCTGCTAATGAGCGCAAAACATTGCTCAATGATAACCAGGTGACTTTAGCTTACAAAATCATTTCATTTTTTATAGCACAGATTTTAAGTGTCTAGTATCTAAATCACTTTCTTCAGCCCAAGGTTAGTCCAAGCAGTAAGACCCTGAGAGCACATGCCTGACATCAGAACTCTCATAAGACATTCAGGAAATACCATATACTGGGGAGGGTACAGACTCAAGAATATGATGGTAATGAAGACACGGAGGATTATAGAGCCCCAATAACTCAGCCAATGGCAAAATTATAAGTTAGAGATAGAAATAATTAGAAAGACACTCAGAAGAGCAAGTTCATAAAGAAAAGTCAAGATATAGGGAGAGAGCCATGAAATTGCCAGAAATAAACCTTACTAAGCTGGCGTTATGTTGAAAGGACTAAGGACCAGATAAGAACTCATTAATAGCATCACATCTCCTCCCTGTTATACAGTGTTGGACATTGCACCTTGTAAGAACCACATTCCTGGGGTTATTATTATTAATACCTAATGAGAAATTATATGAACTAAAACATATTAAATATGCATAACATCTCAAAATATTGGTCTACAGTCTGGCAAATTAGAAACAGAGCTCTGGCTTTGACATTCACACAAGGGTAAGTCAAAATATAAGTTAAAATTAAAGTGAAAAATAGTTTGCTTTGGAAATAAAAGCATACATTATTTCTTAGTACAGAAAATCATATCAACCTTTTTTCATTAGAAAAGTTTTGTTTCGTTCACAAAATGTATTGTGCATCATGAACCATATTTTAAATGTCTCCATCATTTTAAAATGTGTTCCTAGTAATGCATGTAAATGGCTTAAACATGAAAACCAAATGACACAATGATGATATACAGCTGTGCCTACATTGTATACATCTTCTATGACATATTTCACTTGCTCTCTCTATGGCAGTAAAAATCAAGGATTCACTTTTTACTAGTTTAACCAAACACAAACTAAAAGCAATCGCTCTTTACTATTTTGACTGAACACAAACTAAGAGCATAGAAATCATTTTTAAAAACTGTCACCTATAATATGCTGCCAATACATTATAATGGCAATTGCACATATCACATGTTCAGGCATTTACTATAGGGGGTTTACAGCGATGAAAACAAAATGAACACAAGATATATTACATTGCATCTATTTAATGTATGTCAGTTTTTATTATATATGTTGGTCATAAGAAATAATTCTTACCTGACAACCATTATTTTTCCTGTCAGATTCTGGAAAACTAAGGCATACAAAGAAGTGACCCATTTTATTATGAAAAGAATGCCAAAATTTGTGTACTCTTAGCCTAGATCATGAATATTTACCGGCTAAAGCTATCTCTGTATCTGCTTCAAAATTATCCTAATTGGAACAAGGAGTCAAATAGACAAATAAGCATAACAATTGCTTATACAGATAATCAGTGTTTTCAGAGGAACTGAGAGAAAAGTTTCAGAAGACCATGAATATCCCAGTCTCTCCATCCCAGATTGACAGAGAACATTCTGATATAAGAACAAGACAAGGATGCCCACTCTCACCACTTCTATTCAACATAGTATTAGAAGTCCTGGCTGGAGCAATCAGGCAAGAGAAAGACATAAAAGGCATCTAAGTAGGAAGGGAGGAAGTCAAACTATCCCTATTTATAGATGACTTAATTCTATATGGAGAAAACCCCATCGTCTCTGCCCAAAAGCTCCTTGAGCTAATAAGCAACTTCAGCAAAGTTTCAGGCTACAAATTCAATGTGTAAAACAGTAGCATTGCTATACACTAACAGCACCCAAGCCGAGAGTCAAATCAAGAACACCATCCCATTCACAATTGCCAAAAAGAGTAAAATACCTAGGAATACAACTAATGAGGAAGGTGGACGATCTCTACAATGTGAATTACAAAATGCTGCTCAAAGAAATCAGAGATGACACAAACAAATGGAAAAACATTCCATGCTCATGGATAGGAAGAATCAATATCGTAAAAATGGCCTTACTGGCCAAAGCAATGTACAGACTCAAGCTATTCCTGTCAAACTACCAATGACATTTTTCACAGAACTAGAAAAATCTACTCTAAAATTCATATGGAACCAAAAAAGAACCTGAATATCCAAAGCAATCCTAAGCAGAAAGAACAAAGCTGGAGGAATTACATTGCTAGACTTCAAACTGTACTACAAGTAACAGTAATCAAAACAGCCTGGTACTGCTGCAAAAACAGACACATAAACCAGAGGAACAGAATAGAGGGCCCAGAAATAAAGCCACACACCTACAACCGTGTGATATTTGATGAAGCTGACAAAAATAAGCAATGGGGAAAGGGCTCCCTATTCAATAAATGGTGCTGGGATAACTGGTTAGCCATATGCAGAAGACTGAACCTGGGCCCCTTCCTTACACAATATACAAAAATCAACTCATAATGGATTAAGTATATAAATGTAAAACCTAAAACTATAAAAACCTTGGAAGATAACCTAGGAAATGCCATTTTGGACACAGAAACTGGCAAAGATTTCATGACAGAAACACCAAAAACAATTGCAACAAAAGCAAAAGTTGATAAATGGGACCTAATTACAGGAAAGAGCTTCTGGCGCAACGAAAGAAACTCTCAACAAAGTAAACAGACAACCTACAGAATTAAAGAAAATATTTGCAAACTATACACCTGACAAAGATCCGGAATCTATACATCTGACAAAGATCCAGAATCTATAAGAAATTTAAACAAATGTACAAGCAAAATCAAACAATCCAATTAAGTGAGCAAAGGACACGAGCAGACATTTTTCAAAGAAGACATACATACAGCCCACAAGCATATGAAAAAATGCTCAATATCACTCATCATTAGAGAAATGCAAATCAAAATCACAATAAGATACCATCTCATACCAGTCAGAATGGCTACTATGATAAAGTTAAAAAAAAAGAACAACAGATGCTGGTGAGGTTGCTGAAAAAGGGGAACGCTTATACACTGCTAGTGGGAGTGTAAATTAGGTTAACCATTGTGGAAAGCAGTGTAGCAATTCCTCAAAGAACTAAAAATAGAACTACCATTCGATCCAGCAATCCCACTACTGGGTATATACCCAAAGGAATATAAATTGTTCTACTGTAAAGACGCATGCCTGCATACGTTCATCACAGCACTATTCACAATAACAAAGACATGGAGCCAAGCTAAATGCCCATCAACAGTAGACTGGATAAAGAAAATGTGGTACATGTAAAGCAAGGAATACTATGTAGCCATAAAGAAAGAATGAGATCATGTCCTTTGCAGAAACACAGGTGGAACTGGAGGTCATTATCCTTAGCAAACTAACAAAGGAACAGAAAACCAATGCTGCATGTTCTCACTTTTCAGTGGGAGCTAAATAGTGAGAACACATGGACACATAGAGGGAAACAATAGACATTGGGACCAACTTGAGGGAGGAGGAGAGGAGGACGGAGAGGTTCGGAAAACAAAATGATCAGGTACTATGCTTAGGACCTGGGTGATGAAGTAATCTGTACCCCAGGCTCCTGAGTCACAAGTTTACCTATATAACAAACCTGCACATGTACCCTTAAACCTAAAATAAAAATTAAAATATTAAAAAGAAGAATAGCTGAAGTACAATGTTAGCCAAAGCTTTTAAAGGCAACTGTAGAGCACATAAAGGCATTGGTGAGTAGAGGCAGAGAAGTGAAACAAAGAGGTGAATTTAAAGGTCTGTCTGGTAAAACTTGTTTTTAGTAATGAATTCTTGAAAACCTACCCTCACATAGAATATTTGAACAGTTTAATATTATTTTTGGGTGGTCGTTGTTGGAAATATTGCTTATTTTAGATTCCTGTTATTAATAAGTAGCTATTAAGCCACATGCCTTATAAATAAACCTAATAGGATTAAGACAATAACAGTTGGGTTTGCTTTCCTGCCCAAGCACGCTTCTAAAAAAACCAAATGGCCAAGTAAAATGAATCATAATTACTGAAGTACACAGGTCGACTTCCTGCTGAAACCCTGGTGCATAGGTTACAGAGAATTGATCCTGGCACTGGTACATGCCTAAAACATGTCAACCTATGTACTAAGTCTATGTGAAGAGAACATTTATCTCAATTAAATATCTAACTCATTCTAAAAATAACATTTATTTAACATTTAACATTGATAATTCAGATCACTTATGCCAAACTGAAAACTATGCAGATGATTTCTGATATTCAGAAAAGGCTATGGGTTGCTGTTATCGCGTCAAGGAAAATGAGATTGAATTAATAAAGGCAGAATAATGCTGATGGCATATGTATTTGTAAAAGAATAGACACTCTTCTGCAGCACTCAGTAAAGGGTGGTGCTGATATCATCCTACATGATCCTTTGTTCTCATTCCATTTCCCTGGAGCCAAATAAACAGGACATCTTACATTATCTTCTTGATCAGGCTTTTAGTTCTGAGCAGCCTCCATTGCTACCTTTGCTCCTTGATTGACAGTCCATTCTAATATTGATTCTTTAACTGCTGATTTATTGTTTTTGTTTTATCTCATTTCAGAATTCCATCCCCTTTGTGGTCTTTGGTCCTGGTGCTTAACATTATTTTCTCAGATTTCCCTCACCAGCCCTGATTAGATGATTCTTCCTAGCCCCTCATCCCTATGGCTGTGCTCTCTCAGGTACAGTCATCTTGCCCTTCCCACCACCACTCACATGAGTACTCAGCTTGGGCGCTGTCCTTGACCCTAAGAATGGGAACAAGAAGTGGGGTTCGTAAAGTCCAGATGTCTTTCTTAGTTTAAACCTGAGGATATTAATTTAACTGTGCTTTTCAAAGGCAAAACAACACTTGGAATATTAATTGGGTACCTACAGTGTACCAGGCATATTAGAAAGCTTTATCTTAATCTAATCACATCCATGAGAGATCCCTAAGATTATATCTTCATATTTTTACCTGAGGAAACTGAGTTTTAGGTAAAAAAGTTTAAATAATGCAACTGAGATTGCCCATCAATAAATGATGGGGCCAGGAAAAAATTACCTGTCTCCAAAAAGTTGAATACCTTGATATTTAAGTTGGATATCATGATATTTAACCCCAAAATGATTATCTGAAAATTGACTGAATTTATACAAGTAGACGGACTATGAACACTTTACCAATGGTAAACACACATACATACATATGGAGAGGGGGAATATCGCTATGAGTCATCTAGTGGTAAGCTGGCTCTTACCCAAGGGGAACTAGGACAGTGAGAATCTGGATTTAATCCCACTACTCTTATACTTGGTGTCTCCATCATCTAATGCATCATGATTTGCTACACATTTTATGGTGGTCTGGTTGCTTCATTAAAATGGACTCTGTAGCATAATGGTTAGGAGTCCAGCTACAGGGTCACATGCACCTGCAGTTCATGAGCTGCATTACTTGGGGCAAGTCACTTGGTATCTTTGAGTTTCATCTTCCTTATGTTTAGGATTTAAAAATAACAAGTGTGCCGGGCGTGGTGGCTCACGCCTGTAATCCCGGTACTTTGGGAGGCCGAGGCGGGTGGATCATGAGGTGAGGAGATCGAGACCGTCCTGGCTAACACGGCGAAACCCTGTCTCTACTAAAAATACAAAAAATTAGCTGGACATGGTGGCGGGCGCCTGTAGTCCCAGCTACTCGGGAGACTGAGGCAGGAGAATGGCATGAACCCGGGAGGCGGAGCTTGCAGTGAGCCGAGATTGCGCCAGTGCACTCCAGCCTGGGTGACAGAGCAAGACTGTGTCTCAAAAACAAACAAACAAACAAACAAACAAACAACTAAAAAAGAAAAACCAAGCATTTCATTGCTCTTAGAGTTCCTGGCTTGCAGGAAGCACTTGATAAATGTGTACTATTGCTGTTATTATTTATTTATAGTAGTACAGAAGGTGTCACTCTTTTTGTTAGCTGCTCAAAGATGAATTGTCTTGGCAAATGTATAATCCATTTAGCTATTTTTTCTTTAGTTATTTCTGTTTCTGTTTACTGTTTTACAAATTCACAAGCATACTGAGGACATGGCTTCCCTCTAGTGCATGCATGCTCTGTGAACACCTAGAAAGTATTTGCTGCTCAACAATTTCTATGAGTGTCCAGGAAAACTTGCAAATATAGGAAGTTTATAAGTTGCTTTGTTATTGGTCAAAGAATAACTTTCAGGCTGTGTATTATTCCGATATTTTATAATAGCATCTTTTTACTTAGAAACTTTTCTGACAGCAGTTCCTTGATCCATATTGTGCTCTATAAACCTGAGCTCTGGTAACTAAAATTTAAAAGTTAAAATTTTTCATTTTGGCCAAACCATAATTTGGCTGCTCTGTTCATACTCACAGATGAGTTATATGTCCACAACCTTATAACCAAAAGAGAGGATTTAATCTAAACCTCTCATTAATTTAAAACAGCAGAAAACAGGGAACTCTGTTCTAGCAGTGGTGTACTTGGAATTTTGGAATCAATTTTTTCTACTGAGAACAAATAGGAAACCTGAATTAAATGTAAAAAACAATTGTTTAAGGAAATCAGAAAGCTACCACGGTGCCAAGAATGTGTTTGGATCGTATCTAGAAGAGGAGAGATGCCCACAGAGGTAAACAAGGCATTTTGTACAACTTTGTTTTTTCTTGATTGACTATCGATTATAAAGGACATGAAGAGCCAGGTAGAGCTTTATAGAAATTTATATGAATCATGGAATAAAAGTTGAAGTTTAGGGCCACAAGTGAGTGGCACCTATTAAGGGTAATCCAGAAATAGATTATCCTTCTTAAAGAACAAAACCAAGTTTTGAATTTTATTCATCCCAGATTGAGATGATTTCCTTAGCCTAGATGCATATCAGAAATAAAAGTAAGTTATTCCTATAGAAGATAATTTTATAGACAGCTTCAAGTTATCTCTGTAATTTGTCATATACAATATGTAAGATTTTTTTCAAAAATGATCAGGCACACAATTGAAGACCAAGCTACATCTAAACTGGACATTTTTTTTTTAAAAAAGACAATAGAAATGAACTCATAAGAGAGACAGATAATGGAGTTATTATATATCAACTTTAAGATGTTACATGATTAATTTACTCAAGTAATTAAAGATTGGGAATTTTATCACAGAACAGGAAACTATAAACAACCAAGTATAAAATCAAGAACTGTGTCTTAGTCCATTCAGACTGCTATAACAGAACACCATAGACTGAGTGGCTTATAAATAAAAAAAAAATGTGTTTCTCACAGTTCTGGAGGGTGGAAAGTCCAAGACCAAGATGCTGGCAGATTCAGTGTCTGGTGGAGGCCCACTTCCCGGTTCATGGATTGCAGTCCTCTTGCTGTGTCCTTATATTGTGGAAGGGGCAAGGGAGCTCTCTGGGGTCTCTTTTATAGGGACACTAATCTCATTCATGAGGGTGTCACTCTCATGACTTTATCATCTCTTGTAAAGACCAAGTCCAAATATCACCACATTGAGGATTAGGTTTTCACACTGAATTTTGGGGAGGACATAAACCTTCATTCTATAGCAAGCTGAATATTATAATAATGGAAACAACTAACAAATAAAATTAACATTCTATTAGATACTGCTTAAATTACAGTTAAGGACCAGAAGATGTGCAAGAAATGTAAATATTGAAAACATGTCTAAGAAAAAAGGATAGCATAGATACAAAAAAGAAAAAAAATCATATTGAAACAGAGTAAAAATATCTAGTGTAAGATGAAAATGTGAAACAGAGTAGGGCTGAAGCAATATTTGAATAGATAATAAACGACCAATTTCAAAAAGGCAAGATTGTAAAACAGCAACAAAATTCCAGATATAATTATGGTAAAACTGCTAAAAATATATTATCTCAAAAGCAGTCAGTGAAAAACGGCACATTATCTTCAAAAGAGCACCAATAAGACTGACAGCTGACTACTCAACAGAAGTGATGGAAGCCAAAGGAAAATCAAAATGATATTTTGAAAGAATAACAAGATAATAACTGAAAACAATTACGTATCAAAAAATGATCCTTAAAAATGCAAGTTAGAATAAACATTGTTTTTTAGATAAACAAAACTAGAGAGATTTTGTATATGGCAGACCTGCACTAAAGAAGGTAAGAGATGATGTTCTTCAGATAGAATGAAAGCAGTCTCAGGTGGATAATTTGAGATTTTTGAGAGAATGAAGAACAATCTAAATGGTAAATATGTAAGTAAATCTAAAAAATATGAACTGTATGTAACAAAAATAATAAATTATTGAGGCTTAAAATATAATGAGAGAAATTACTTGAGAAGAAGACCACATAGCTTGGGATGATGATTAATAGAATGAAGGCCATTGAATAGTGTAGAAAGTGACAATAGTACTTTTTTACATTAGAGGTTAATAAAATGTAGATATGTGGTAATCACTATGATAAGCACTAAATAAAATGTGTAACTCATGACCTAATGAAAATAAAAAGAAACAGTTTAATAAAACTATTTTAACAACCAGAAAGGCAATAATAAATAAATAGATGAAATAATCTCCTAGTAGATGGGGCAAAAAGAAGGCAAATAGTAAGGTGAAAGTTCTATATCTATATATCTATATTAGTAATAGTATTAATATAAATGGGTTAAACACTCCATTTAAATATGGATTATTAAATTTGGTGAAAAAGAGCAGATATGTGCTTCTTATAAGACACACTTTCAATATAAAAACAGTAATATTTCATTACCTGCAAAGATTGGTAAATTGAACTACAGTGACATTAGAAATTTTTCACCACAATGTCATTAACAGAATATAAATATGTCACAAAATGGGAACATAATTGACACACATATATGTTTTGTACATAACCCTACAATAGAAAAGAGAAATTTTACTCAACAGAAAAAAATGGTGAGAGAGTAGAATAGGTATTTCACACATATGCAGATACTCAAATGGCTATACAGATGTTTGACATTGCTACTTCTCAGGAAATTAGAAGCACAATTTTGGCCAATGCAGGCATACAGTCTAAAATTGATGAAAATTAAAAAGACTGATATACTGCTGTGCTAAGTGTTCATTGCTACAGACACTTTGAAAAACCATTATTATCTACTAAATTTGAAAATATAGGTAGGTGAGGAGGAAGGTAGTACATAGATAGAGCTTTTACTACCTAGCAATTTTATTAATTAACCACACACTACACACACATACATGGACAATCACACGCATACATTTCACACATTTTATGTAAAATACATGTATAAAATGTTCATAACAGCATTAACCAAAATAGTGCAAACAAATAAATTATTTGTCTACTTCAGAATAAAACTAAATTGCAGAATATTCAATATTGAAATAGTATAGAATGAAAAGAATAAAGGCAACAAACTGTTGCCAAACAAAACAACATGAAGGAATATTTCAAAGTATTGCAAAAACAGATGCCAGAAAAATGATCTGTAATAAGAAGTCCTTTATATAAACATCAAAAGGAGACAAAACTAATCCATGGTGTTAGCAGTAAGAATAATAATGACCTTTAAAAAGAAGGAATGTATTGTGAATAGTGCTGCAATAAACATAGGTGTGCATGTGTCTTTATAGTAGCATAATTTATAATCCTTTGGGTATATACCCAGCAATGGAATTGCTGGGTCAAATGGTATTTCTAGTTCTAGATCCTAAGACTTGGAACCAACCCAAATGTCCATCAGTGATAGACTGGATTAAGAAAATGTGGCACATGTACACCATGGAATGCTATGCAGCCATGGAAAAGGATGAGTTCATGTTTTTTGTAGGGACATGGATGAAGCTGGAAACCATCATTCTAAGCAAACTATTGCAAGGACAGAAAACCAAACACCGCAGGTTCTCACTCATAGGTGGGAATTGAACAATGAGAACACTTGGACACAGAGTGGGGAACATCACACACCAGGGCCTGTCATGGGGTCGGGGGCTGGGGGAGGGATAGCATTAGGAGAAATACCTAATGTAAATGACGAGTTAATGGGTGCAGCAAAACAACACGGCACATGTACACATATGTAACAAACCTGCACGTTGTGCACATGTACCCTAGAACTTAAAGTATAATAATAATAAAAAGAAGGAGTGTATAGTGATGCAGGAATGAATAGGGTGTGTTCTGGAGTATAATATTGTAATACTCTAATTTTTTAGCCTAGATGATAGTTATATGGGCTTGGTCTTTTTGTGATAATTCATGGAGCTATACAATGACAAGTTTTGCCTTGCTATATTTTTGTGTTATATTCCAATAAAAGTTTATGTAAAAATAGCAAAAATGACAGGACAGACATTTTCACTTTCCTCTTGTCTGTTTTTTTTTCTTAGGAAATGAAGGCTATACTTTCATATCAAAGTTGTCAGTTAATGGATAGAGACTGGCCTTGTCTGCTTCATAATATACATGTTGTATTTAGAATCTGGAGTCTCTGAGAATGCTTTACGTGTGCAATGAACCTTGTATTTCAACTCAATTATTTATTCTGTTTTTAAACTATGATCTCCTCAGCAGACATTTTATTTGATATTTGCATCTTTTATAGTCAAGAAATGTTAAGAATTCATTTAATCACTAATTCAACTTATATTTATTGAGAACCTGCTATGTACTGTTTAGCATTCTACCATTCTTTGTGTTGGGATTAATTATCAGGATGGAACAGGCTGCTGTTCTTGTGGATTGATTGTAGATAGCTACTCTTTCCTAAATCCACTATGGAGGGGCCATTTCTTTTCCATGGTGCATCATTGAAGTCCTAAAGGATCAAAATAAAAAGTAAAAAATGTCCAGAGTCCCAGTAAATATGTTGCCTTTAAAAGTACCCCTCAGATGGACAGGATTATCTAGAGTTCTCTAAGGCACCATTTTCCATTTTAGAAATGTTTCTGGTTAGAGTGCTGATACAAAAAGAAATCTCTAGAGAGAATGGCATTTCCTTCTGGATCAAAGTTATTAATAATCATAGTTTTAGTCTTGAACCTCTTATTGTTCCAGGAAGACAAGCTAGTGTTCCTGTAATATAGAACCTCTCAAGTCATCTGCATCACTGTGTGTGTCAGGAGATGGAACCATGGCTGCTGGTGGTAGTGATAGCTCACAGCACTCACACTTCATCATTTAATCAATACCACGATGAAAAGTTGAAGGCTAAGTGGTATCCTGTTCAGAAAGGAAAAAATGTTACCATGCTGTATGTGAACAAAATTTTCAGTGTCCGGCAACTCTTACAGATGGAAACATTAAATTAATTATAGGGGGAAGATCCAGTCTGCCTATAAAATTTTGAATACCCCCAAACACTTCTTTATTCAAAAGTAACTGCTGCAGTCAATAACAATGCCTGAAAACCACTCTTAGAGTCACTGCTTGGAATTATTTTCTTAACACTTCTTATAAAAGGTAAATTCCCTTGGAAGACATAATAATTCATTTACACTAAGATGTTAATGACCATTCTCAGAAGATTATTTACCAACTGAGAAGGGCAAAGAACGATGGACTTTTCTAGAGTGTAGCATAAGGGAAGACACTCTTTCTTAGAGTCAGGGAAA
The DNA here is from genome assembly GCF_000001405.40 of Homo sapiens. Classification (NCBI taxonomy): domain Eukaryota; kingdom Metazoa; phylum Chordata; class Mammalia; order Primates; family Hominidae; genus Homo; species Homo sapiens. The sequence goes on from NC_000002.12 coordinate 34,523,522, forward strand.
CCTGAGTTTAAATCCTGCCTCTGGAATGTTCTGTTTATGTGATGTTGAACACATTACATGATTACTCTGAACCACAAGGTTGTGTAAAAAAGAGGAATAAAACACTTTGTTCATGAGGTTCCTGTAAGAAGCAAGTTAATCAATGAAATGCATGTAGCATTATACATTTAGTAGAACGCTTGGCAACAAATAGTTGTCCAATATAGATAATTTCCTGAGAAAAGAAAAAAGTATAAAATGAAATATGTGCTGAAGAAAAATATAGAATTTTAAAATGTGATTTTCTGTGCACTGGTAAATTCTTCTAGAAGATGGAGCAAGCTGTGTGACAATAAAATTTTGAGGCAATGTTGGCCCAGGAGATATTAGAAATATCAAAGAAGGAAAAACAACCAGAAAGAATGGAGAAAGCTTAAACAATCTGTTTGCAAATTAATGTTAGATTGCTAGTAAAAGGGTGAACTAACAGACTGGGAAAATACATTGACATGGTGGGTATGAAAAACCAGGAAAGCAATAAGGTTGAAAAAGACTTGAGGGATTGGTTGTCATCCAATTAATTAGCTGCAACACATGCCTGTGTGATTTCACACCCCACAGAGGGCTCTTCCCACACGGCAATGATGTGAATGCATCCGGAATACCTCATTTAACAGTGCTTCTTCAGTCCCTCGACCTTGAAGGGTGATCAGAGTGATCAAGATGAATGATTAAGAGTTCAGTAGGCTGTTCTCTGATGAAAAAATTAAGTGACTGAGTATGTAGAACTTGATTGGGCTGGTCAATTGCAAGTCAATACAAACTGTTATAACATGACTCATTATTACACAGACAGTCACCAGTCCAATCAAATCTCCAATCCTGACTCTCTGAAGTGAAAATAGGGGATGAGACTGTTGGGTTGTAACCCATGTCCTATTTTGCTAGGATCTGCTGGATTTCTTGATCTGAATCTTGAGCTTGATTGAGCCTCTGGACCTGGGTCCTATTGCTCCCCCTCACCCCCTTCATTCCTGAGCCAATTCTGCTTTATTTCATATTATTACTGTGAGGTACTCATCATCCAACCACATCAGACCCCACATCAGACCGCTGATACTGATCATTGCTTAGAGACATTCTAGAATTTCCTATTTCTCTGCCTTTATTCATCCTGTTTCCTTAGCTTAAAATGCTTTCCTTCAATTCCTATCTAAAGCTGGCCATACTCCAGTTTACTCCTCCAGATCCACCCTCCACACCTGCTCAATGGCTGGGAGGCCGGTTACTTTGGAATGTATCACTTGGCCTTCTTGCCTTCTAGCTTGGTGGTAAAATTTGGCTGATGGGAGGTATTGTCACAGGGTCTGAGGGTGGGAGTGGAAAGATAGAGGGCTTTTCTTTTTTTTCAGTGTCTATCCAAAGCCAGCATTCTCCTACTATAATAATCTCTCTTTGAGGTACAGCTGTGTCTCTCTCACCTTGACCCTTTCATCATAAGGAAGATAAGAACATTGTGTTTTTGTGGGCCTCCGGATGTTATACGATCACTCATTTGTCCCCATAACCTTGCCGGATTGTCTTTAATAATTTCTTCATTAGATTTTCTTCAATCTTTTTTTCTGACAGTGCCATTTGTTCCTTTGTCATATAAGAAATATTTGTCAGTTTCTCCATATGAAATTGATACCTCCTTTGGGCTCCTAATTAAAATAGCTACTGCAGCAAGTATGAAATCTCAGACCATGGGCTATGGTATGCAAAGAGTATAATTGTTTTGTTATAAATCAACTTAATTTTTATTTTCTCTTTTTTTCCTATTCCAACTTGAGGGCAGAAAGTTAGTCATCAATTTGAGATCACCCCACACTCAAAAGAGTATCAGGTTTAGAGGGAGGCTCTATAGCACAGTAAGATAGTGGAGCAACTTGTGCTCAGTCCTCAGTCCATTGATTGAAGTGTACATCTGTAATGGACATAGTAATGCAAGACCCAGATTTCTCTTCAAAGAAGAGCATGTAGCTTCAGTTGGTGAGATTTCTATCTGGAGATGGTCTTTAGTTGATGTCACATTATCAAAGGTTATGACCTTCTTGGGGCTATACATATTCAGTGATAGTTCACTACGGCAATATAAAGTCTCAGCCGTTTTGTTCCAATGCATAACATTTTGAAACACCTTTCTAGTTCCATCATCTATGGGGTTGGATGAGGCCTTGGTTGGACCTGCATCACAACTCTGTTCCTCACCTCCCTACCACAGGTGTTGATCCCAAAGGCATTTCTTAATAAACTTTCTGAATGCTAAACTCTATTTCAGAGCCTGCTTTCCAGGGCTCACAACTTGCAATTGTATCTTTGGTCCTAGCTATTTCTCAATAATCAGCTATAACTGATTATTGTGTCCTTTCTATCCCCTGCCCCTCTCAGATTTGCTTCTGTCCTTCCATGTGTGCTCTATATGTTAGTGCTCTATTGCTGCATAACAATGTTGACACAAACTTAGTGGCTTAAGACAACACATGTTTATTATGTGGCATTTTCTGTGGATCAGAAAGAAGTCTTATACAGCTTGATTGGGCCCTCAGAATTTCATAAGGCTGCAATCAAGGTGTTGGCCAGGGATTCAGCCTCACCTGAGACTCATCTGGTTAAGGAGCCACTTCCAAGCCCATGCAGTTGTTGACAGCATTCATTTCCTTGTAGGATGTTGGATAGTCTTGCTGACTGTCATCTAGAGGCCACCCTCAGCTTCTTACCATGCAGGCCTTCCCAACATGGCCTCTTGTTTCCTCAAAGCCAACAGGGAAAATAATCTCCTATTAAAATGTGTTTCAAATCTTAAGTTATCATGAAAGTGACATCCCATCATGTTTGCTACATTCAGTTGGTTAGAAGCAAGATGAAGTTCCTGTCCATACTCAAGGGGAGGGCCACAGAAAGTATGGATAGCAGGAGGCAGGAATCATGGGGTCATTCCAGAGTCTCTTTACTGCATACTGGAATCTGTAAGATTTCCATGGCCTTGTTTGTCTAAATTCATCAAAGCCGCTATTCTCTTCCTGGGATCTTGCTGTCTTTCTGGGAATCTCCCTGGAGAGCAGGGATCAGAACATTTCTCTGTTGAGCCAAGCAGACTCTTATCTCATTGATGCCCCTTCTGTATCAGATCAAATGAAGACACAAAAATATAAGTGAAGAGAAGTAAGACTCTGGCAATTTTGCTGAAGGTTAGAGTATTAACTATTGCTTAGTTACAGATATCCAGTGAGTGATTTTTTTCTTGTTTTCAGGAAGAGTAGGGAAGGAAAAGGAGTGAAGAGGGGTAGGGAGGAAGGGAGAAGATTAGGGGAAGTATTAATGCATATTAGGACATGCACTTCCTATCCCAGAGACACATGGGGAGACTCAGCAATTCCACGGAGCAACAATTGGTTTTTAAACAAATACTCCTATTGAACATTGAATCTTGAATTTTCCACATTAGAATCTAAATCACTCAGCTTGCCACCAATTCCTATATCTTAGGGATAGAATAGCAAATTTTTTTCAAGTTGTTTTTAGAGAAACCTTAGATACTCAACTAGGCTGAGAAGACGCAGATTCTCATACCATCTCATAAGCCTAAGAAAGCACTTCCCCAGATACCTGCTGACCAGGCCTTAAAGATAGTCCATGTTCTGAAGCAGAAAATGAAGCACTCAGGAGAAAGTTTTGTTAAATAGTATCCGTCCTTTTCCTTGATGTTGGTTGCCAGAGCTATCCCTAAGCATGGATGAATTAGGCCTTCATCTGCTCAGCATGGGTGAAGGCTGCCATCAAATATTTGGGACACAAATCACTTCTGGCACTGCCCTGCTTTAAGTTTACCTTTATTTCCACAAATTTTACCTTCAAGTAGTTTAAAGTTATGATCTAATGTTAACAGTGTATCAGCAGCAAACTCTAAAATCTGTACACATATGAAAGGATTTCCAAGCAATTATCAACGAAGTCAATCTAACTTAGCCCAATGAAGTATTAAAGATATTCTGTGATATTCTTGTATTGAGTGATAACAAACCATACAAATGTATAATATCATGTATAAAATGATTAAGTGGGAATGGGACATATTTTGAGCATTTTGGGGGGCCTGAAAACATATTATTTACTTTGCTTATGTCATTTCATTATATTTTCATATCTACCTTGTAAGGTTGGTGTTAGAACCCTCATTTTGTAGAAAAGAAATCAGGGGCTTACAGAAATTAATAAACTGTCAATATCACAAAACTGGTAGAGATTGACCGAGGATTTAAACCTAAGTCTGTGTCCTATAAATCATGTATTCTACCTGTCATGCTGCCTCCTGGAATTAGTAACAAATTTACATATAACCCTAAGCTACATTGCTGGGACAGCAGGGAGAATGAAAATCTGGAAAGGAGAAACGGAAATACGTGCTCTCAGTCTCTTCTTTTAGAAGAAAGTGTTACGTTTGTAGCAATTTATAAGCTTCTCTTCCCTAGGAGTTTTCTTTCTGGAATTTGAGGCACAGTATCCCCCACAAACAGACTCAGTGAAATGCATCCACTCCCCTTCCATTTTCTCTTAAAGAAGAGTGGCACCAGCCGAAGGGCTTCAACCTAGTACAAACAATAATGGCCTGACAGCTGCCAGATACAATCATTTCTGTTAATCAGAAAACACTTGCTAGAGAGTTAAAGAGAAGGGCTGTAAGAGCTGTGCATGGGAAAACATACACCATCAAACATCAGTGAAATCTTCCTCTGGCATGGACTATCCTTGCCATTCATTTATAAGACAGAGTCGTAATAAATAGGAAGAGAAAGAAGTCTAATTTCTGAGAATAAAAAGCCAAAACTTGTAAGAGATGTATTAGTGGAAAGTAAGTATAGTTAATAATTGACTGATAGGGAAGGAGAGTAGGAAAATGTCAATCAGCTGGAAGTGCTTAAAGAGCACAATATTTGCAATATGTAGGCATTTGATCAACCATAAATGTAATAATTCCTGTTATTATTTTTGGACACTTTACATACAGAGATGGGTGAATTAGCCCACAGAAAGCTGGTTTTGCACTGATAAATCCTGGAGAGAAAACCTCTCCTGTGCATAAGACATATAGAGGAAAATAGCATTTTCTCTGAATTAGACATCAAAGGAAACAGGTTATTTTCTAAAATCCATTAATTTGAAATGTATATACCTTAACATATACAGAAGACAAAGTTTTTTAAAAAACTGTTTTATCATATGTGTTTATTTTTGAGATGGAGTCTCACTGTGTTGCCCAGGCTGGAGTGCAGTGGCACCCTGTCAGCTCACTGCAACCTCCATCTCCTGGGTTCAAGCAATTCTCCTGCCTCAGCCTCCCGAGTAGCTGGGATTACAGGCACCCACCACCATGCCCAGCTATATTTTCATATTTTTAGTAGAGACGAGGTTTCACCATGTTGACCAGGCTGGTCTCGAACTCCTGACCTCAGGTGATTCACCTGCCTCGGCCTCCCAAAGTGTTGGGATGACAGGCATGAGCCACCACACTCTGCCAAAACTGTTTTATTCTTATTAGCACTTTTTCATTAGCAATTCAGGTCAAAGGTTAAAGTTGCTTTCATAGTAAAATCTGTAAGATGAGAGAAATTATTAAGCTCAGAGGCATTTTGCACAGAAATTTTTTAAAATTAAAAAAACTTAATGGATTAAGGATGTAAGCACAGAAAAGTTTAATGACTTAGATTTTGTTTGTCGGAAAGGAAATATGGCCTGGCACCTCCTTTGCAAGGTTCAGTGTCTCAAGGAGGAAAAGTGGGTAACAAAGACTCTAAACTAGACAGGCATGTTGATGGGAGGTTTTGATGTTGTTGAATGGAATGTAGATAAGGTACTATGGAAATGGCTACACTTACTGGGGGAAAATGCAGAAGAGGTGGCTTTTTGCGTTCCTTCTATACTTTCACGTCTTTTTCCTTCCAATCTCAGTTGCTTTTCTCAACTAAGTCCCTTCCCCATCACCCTTTTCCACTGGTGAGTTTTAACTTATCTTTTGCTTTGTTTTCTTGAAAAATGAAGACAGTTTGACAGCTAACCTGTCTTTCCAGGGCTTATCTCCAAGTTCAAACCACTTTGAGTTTGCCCTTCATTGTTTAATACAATGGTTACATAAAAAAGAAATGTTTCCTAATATCTGGCATTTATCTCTTCTTCACTAGAGAAATACTGCAGTATGGACTTAATATTTTTTAACATGCCAGCAACTTGCAAGAACTCCAAGTTATCTTAATACGGGTACATAGGTTGTCAGCAAACTTTCATATTTATTTTTTATTTTATCATAGGTGTGAATGTGTTATATTCATTATATTGACTTTTGGGGTTGATTTCTTTTAGGTGAATATTCTCAGGAGTTCATTAAATTATTGACTGCTCTTAGTCTTTCTATTCATCTCCCCTAACCTAACATAATCATTGCTAGAGGGCATTTTGGCAAACAGAACTGTGTTACCCTAGATAAGTATGCCACTGTAAGCATGCAGCATAAAAGAGCTAGGAATGGCATGCTTCATCAACAGTAGCAGTTGAATTCTCCTTGATGATGTAGATAATAGAATAAGCCTTAGTTTGGTGACAATAGGTAGGCATAGTAACTATGCGCTTGCTTGGTAAAAATGACAGGAAAATGAGAGTTTTGATATATTCTGATGGGAAAGCTGCAATATGCTTCCTAATTGTGCAAATTGAATCCCTTTTTTATATGTTCCCAAGACTGCAATCTTTCTTTTTTGACTTTTTAAGGTAAAGGACAATTACAAAAGGGCCATGCAAGCAAAAATACTTTAAAAATGTTTTAAAGGATGGACAATAAAGGTCAACAAATATTTTTAATAAAAGATTATTTTTTCCCTGATACCGTATATTCCACAGAACATATTTAGTCAAACAATGAAACTCCTGAACAAAATTCTTATGTAGAAATTTATGCAATTTAATACTTAGTACATAATTCCAACTGCATTAATATTTTTAGAGATTATAATGTACTGGAAAAAGAGATACTCACCTTCCTCAAATCTACAGGTTTAGAGTCAAAAGTCACCAACCTTTTGATAGAAACTAGTACATTCTCATTGAGGCTTTGGAGCAATAGAGAGATATATGGAAAGGAATGGAGGAATATATGGGGGAGAATGGAGGTTTACATAGGGAGCACAAGGCAAGTACACAACACCTTCACCTCACTAGGAAAGCCACGAGCCAGGCTGCAGTGATCAAATTATTTGCAATCCCTGTTTCACAGTGGTTTATACCCTACTCTCAGGGCTCTCATGATGCAGGAGCTCTACAAAGGGTTGATTGTAATATTTCCATTCTGATCACCGGTATGGTAAGGCTAAGTACAGGATCACATAGGATGGGGCCCCTAACTCTGACTCAGTTGAGAAGCTCTTTATCTTCTATACAAATTCATTTTCTGTAGGACACATCAGTAGAAAATCCTCAGCATTTGCCCCTTTCTATTGACTCCAAGAATTAGGTTACTGTTTAGACCTTGTATTTAAAACTTAATTCTTAAATCTGAGGAGCAGCCTAAAGAAAGGGAGCATGGGCAAAAGAATATTCCCAATTTTGCACGTTATTTTGTATTTGGTGAGGAATCAGGTGTGTCACCTACTTGCAGTTACAGAGTTGGAGATACTGTAAGGACACTTGCATTTGAGTGAAATCAAAAGTTGTCCAGACATAAGCTATTCTTCTTTACCCATGTAGCAGTGCCCTGAACACTTCCACCACTGTACTTTCTGTGTGTTCTCTTGTTGCCTTTCCTTGGCATTGCTGTAAGAAGTGGTAAAATATTCACTACATTTAGGTTACAGAAGTCTACACCCAGAGGATAAAAACGACTTCTTTAAGGTCAATGACTAGTTCGTAGCCAAGTCATTCCTTCCCAAGCATCCCTCCCTTCAGAAGATAACCTGGGTTTTTGACAAAATATTCAATTTTCTAGAAATTTCTTTATTGAACCAATAGTCCTGAATTGTGTAATTATGTATTTGAATAGAATAGACCAAGGGAAAGCCTGTGGCTCCATTGTTTTAGGCTTGGCTGTGTGCTGCAGCAGTCAGGCAGGTCTGATGCAAACTCATACTTTGGAATATATATATATATATATATATATATATATATATATATATATATATATATATTTTTTTTTTTTTTTTTTTGAGATGGAGTCTCGCTCTGTTGCCCAGGCTGGAGTGCAGTGGCATGATCTCGGCTCACTGCAACCTCTGCCTCCCGGGTTCAAGCAATTCTCCCACCTCAGCCTCCTGAGTACCTGGGATTACAGGCATACACCACCATGCCCAGCTAATTTTTGTATTTTTAGTAGAGATGGGGTTTCACCATGTTGATCAGGCTGTGGAATCAATTTTTAATGCTCAATGCCTGATTAATATCTCTAGATAGTACATGGTTAGGTACAGAACAAAATGTGAGAGGAAAATTACATGTATTTTTAATTTCTAGTGTTATAAGTAAAATAAGGGTGAAGACTAAGAACTTTAATTGTGTATGCTCCTTCCAAAGTCTCTTTCAAAATACCATCAGCAAATTATAGTTAGATTGATTGAGAAAGCACGATCACTGAATCTTTCAGTTAACTAACGGGAAAAGACAGTAAAAGCTATAGTTCTTCTATTAATAACAAAAAGTACTGTACTTTTTGTCACGTTTCTTCCCTTGTAAAATAATTGCTTATTGCTTTTTTCCTTTAATGTAAATTAAATTTTTCTTGAATTTTTCTCTATTTTTAGTTCCCTAATTTAACTAATTATACCCTCTTTGCCTTAGACATTTTCAGTTCTCTAAAAGGCTTGGCTATTGGTTACTAGAAGGGGATTTTTAATCTATCTGATGGCGTAGCACATTCTCAAAAGTAATGAAAGCAAAAAATTATTTTTCCAAAGAAATGCAAAATGACAGTGGCTTAAAATGAAAAAAACTTAAACTCATGTTTTTCATGTTTCTAAAGACTCTTTAATCTGTTGTCAAAACCCAACTACAGCACATGGAGAAATAAGAAAGGATTATTTCACAGGCAATTTGAATTGTTTTTTATTCATAGTAATAAAAATTTTCATTATAGTAAATGAAATTCAAAAGGGCTAAAATATATTAATTTTTCAGTTTATCCTTTTAGTTGGACATAGTATACAACAAAGCATATTTTAATTTTTATCACAAAAATAAAATAATGATTAATCAATAAGCAGAGGTGGGACAAAAGAGATTTCTGTTCAACAAAGGGAATTGAAATTATTTGCGTCATAAATATTCACAGTTTTATTTTTAAATTTGGTGAACTTGCAAATAATTTACAACTGGGAATGGGCGATGAAAAGAATCCAAAGCTATGCCGCTCCTTTTACAACGTTTTAGTAATATATTTCATAATTTCATGGTGCTTATTTCCACTGAGGCACACAGAGCCATTTAAATTTATTTTAACAATGTTTTCAGCCTTAAATTCTGTTTCTGGACAAACTTTAGAACTTTTTTATGTAATATGTTTTTATGAGTTTATCTTAAGATTTAAATAACCAGTCAGGTGTGGTGGCTCACCCCTGTAATCCAGCACTTTGGGAAGCCAAGGCAGGCGGATCACGAGGTCAGGAGTTTGAGACCAGCCTGGCCAACATAGTGAAACCCCGTCTCTACTAAAAATGCAAAAACTTAGCTGGATGTGGTGGCAGGTGCCTGTATTCCCAGCTACTCAGGAGGCTGAGGCAGGAAAATCACTTGAACCTGGGATGCAGAGGTTGCAGTGAACCAAGATCACGCCATTACACTCCAGCCCCGGTGACAGTGCGAGACTCTGTCTGAAAAAAAAAAAAAAAAAAAAGATTTAAATAATCTTGCTAAATGATACAATAAAGAAAAAATGATTATATACTATCACAACTAACAGTTCTTGGCCATAATCATTAACTTTTATAAAAAAAGAATTTTAATATTTTACAGAGTAGAATATTTTACAAATTATAGGAGAGATCTTTTCAAAATTTTTGAATATGTCAATTTATAGATATCACTACTAATAAACATTGTTAATAAACATTTATAATATGAAATTTACTCTTTCTTCTATTAAAATATATTTCTTTTCTCTATCAGAACCTTGACTTCATTATATTAAGATAAGCAAAGAGATGTTTAAACATTGTTGGGCAGCAGAGTTTCATAAGCAAGCGGCTAGTGCAAGCTCAGTGAAAAGGAGCATTTTTATCTTCATTGTTGTTGAAATATGTTATCTTGGAATTGGAAAATGTTTAACTTATCCAGGTAAAAATGCAGTTATTGCTTTATCTACCTCAGAAACCTCCAGAAAGCAGGAATGAACTGATGTTATTATAGCTGTAAAGCACACTGGAAGTTACAAAATGCGTCTCACTTGATCTCTTAACTCTGTGGAGACAAAGACCATTTTCTTCATTTTACAGCTGGAAAACCTGAGGCTCAGACAGATACTGTGGAATGAATTGCCAAGTTTCCACACATAGCCAGTTGTGGCCAGGTATGGTCAGGTCTTCTGCCTCATCATCCAGCACAGTTTATCCTGAGGAAGATAAACTGGGTCAACGAGACAAAGTATGCAAGGTTTTTTTATTGACTATTAATAAAAATTCCCAACTCCTACTGTGCCTCCACCTTTAAAATGCCTGGGGACTGAGGTGTAGGCACAGTATACATATCAACATGCTTATTTTTTCATCTATTATGTGGCAGTACATGAGAAACTGCACAAATATTTTACTTGTCACACTCCCACAATGATTTTTTTTTTACAGAAAAGTAATGAGGGCAAGGGGTGTGATAGGATTCCTGAGGTCCCTTACAGCTCTCATTCTGCAATACTGCCATGCTGAGAGCAGAATAAATGCTCACAAAGAGCACAGCAAATGAATTAAAGCTACTTCAGACAAATGCAAGTTATACTTTGAAAGACAGTAGTCCTGACAGCATCTTATTTCTGACAGCATTCTTGACAGTCATTCTGAGACTGACATAATACTTGGAAAAGGAAACATTTGGAATTTGTTTTTCTCTATTAATTATTTTACACTATGAGTTCTGCAGATTTTACGGAGTATAACCATAGACATACATTTTAGCTATCTATTCATCAGCTCAAAATCTCCTTCAAATTCCTTTTTCTGCCATCCTGAAACAACTTTGCTTTCCCCAGAGATTCAGGCAAATGATTGCATAAGGGCAAAAACTAACCAGATGACGTTTTCATTTTAAAGACCCTTTCAAGGTTCATACTATACAAGTTAGAGGAGCAGTGATTATCGGATCTGAAGTTTAAAGGAAAGGTTTTAAGAAGAGGCAGGGTCATGGATTATGAAAGAGGAGGTGAAGACATTTCAGATGGGGTGAGAAGGAGATTGCAAAAGAGAAGTGGAGGCCTGTGTGCAAAAGTGCGCTGGCAAAATTGTGGTGGGGATTAAGGAAAGCTGGCCTGAAGAGATTAGGAAGGAAACAAAATGAAGTGTGAAAGTTATGAGGTGGGCAGTTAGGAAAAAGTCTTTTGATGTTAGGATGATTTTTTTTTTTTTTTTGCAGCCTTTGGGAAGTTAGCATTTCCAGCTATGGAACCTTTTAAAAATGGAAGTTGAGATTCTTTATCTTCCATTTAATAGCCTGCTTTCATTGTTGCCCTACAAAAATGGAAAATACAGGGTCCTGGTCCCATTCCTGGAGCTCAGGCCTACAGTGTAACTAGATGGGCCCTAGCTTTAGCAGGTTTCTTTAAAGGATGTCAGTAGGGTGGAGAATTCAGGTATCTGCTGACTCCTGCATAAACGTTCTAGCTTAAACTAAATGACCCTTGGTAGTGACATCCAGAGCCCCTTACATGCTGGCCTTGAACCCGTAAGGCTGAAAAATGCCTTTCAGCTTCCTCCTGTGAATTATCTGAGTGACAAAAATAGGAAAACAGGAGGAACACATCTCTCAGTGCTTTGCATCTTGGATGAGATATGACTTCTTTGGTCCCAATAAAATAGTGTTTATTAAAATAATGTTTTAATGAAATTACTCAAAATTTTAGCTCACATTATTCATCTTATATTTCCTTTCACCATTTTATAGTGCCTCAAATAAAATAATGTAATAAATTGGTGATTAGTCATTAGTGAAATAGTAAAGATTCATGTTCACTAAACAATATTATTATCACATTCATCAACATCATATCTTCAATTGCTACTGACTGTATTAGCAATTTTTAATTTGCACATATTTTGTATATTATAAATGTTATAAAAATGAATTTTTGTCACTAAATTAGGTAATATAATTTTTCATGCCACAGATCAGTTTATCAGTTTAGTTGAATAAATAATTGTAATGAATTCTACAATGCATTAAAATATTTGATTTTCTTTAATCACAACCAGAAGTAAAATTAGGTGGACTAAAGAACTATACATAATTGAGTTTATGGGTTGATGGATAAATAGTTACTTTTAATATAAAGCAATAGAACCTAAAGGGATATCAAGTAAATGTTCTGTGCTGGAATTTTATAGTTTGATTCTAACATTATTTTGTGACCTTCTGCCTGGATAGAGACAAATAGATCTGTTACTGTAACAAATGTTCAATTGAAAACATCTCATGGCTGCTGGAACAAAGTGATTGCTTGGCTGAGCTGCCCTTCCTTCCTCCTTTTATTCCTTTCTCCTTCCTTAGGCATGTTTCCATTCCATCACATCACCATCGTCAGTGGACAGTCTGCTTCTTGATTATCTTGCTGTAGCCTCTGTAAATACGTGCCCTGCTGCTGTGATAGAAGAAAATGGCAAACAGGAGTTGGGTGGATATCAGAACACTCCCTGACTTTCAGTAGGAAAAGTGTACCCTTCCCATTCATCTCAAGGCATTCAGGGCATCTGGCAATCATGTAGTGACATTCTTCTCCCCGGAGAATTACCACATTTTTAGGAAAACACTCAGCCTCTAACTGAATGCACTTCCCTCATAAGGCTTCTAAACAGTCTTCAAGCTATATTTCTCCTTCCATTCCATAACTCTGAGACAATGTTTGTGTCCATTTTGTTCTCTTATTCCTCTCACCAGGCTTTTGCTTGCTCTCCACCTTCATGTTTTTTCTCTAATTAAAACCTGAATTCTCTTCATAACATCATTTCACTTTGGACCTTCTTGAATAGGGAGTCTATGGTTTTTATTAATTCAGAATGCCAGTAAAAAGAATGCCAGTAATTTCTGCTTCTATCTCAGATGAATAGGTTATCATCTTTGCTCAACAGTATTTTGTTTATTGAAATCCAAGAATGATCAAAGCGGGAGTGTCACATAGTGTCTTTGGGAGTCAGACAGATCTTAGGAGTCCTAGATTACTAACTTGATGACCCAAATTTGAATTTTTTTTTTGGTTTTTTTTTTGAGATGAAGTCTTACTCTGTCACCAGGTTGGAGTGCAGTGGTGCGATCTAGGCTCACTGCAACCTCCGCCTCCTGGGTTCAAGCGATTCTCCTGCCTCAGCCTGCCGAATAGCTGGGACTACAGGATCGCACCACCATGCCCAGCTAATTTTTGTATTTTTAGTAGAGACGGTTTCACCATGTTGGCCAGGATGGTCTCGATCTCCTGACCTCGTGATCCGCCTGCCTTGGCCTCCCAAAGTGCCGGGATTACAGGCATGAGTCACCAGGCCTGGCCTGAAAAAATTTTTGAAGTGTAAATTCTGTTCTCCTCTAAAATGGAAGTACACAATAGTGGCTTCTTTGCTTTTTTGTGAATGTTAAATAGAATGATGTAAGTGAAATAATTAGCACCATGTATGGCACCTCATAAGAATGCAGTGTTACCACACTTCTCTAATAATGCTACTGTGGATCAATTTTTATTTTTAAAGTGTTGAGGCTGGTGATGTAGTAGTAAGACTATGGGCTTTGAAGGCACATACATCTGAGTTTATGTTCTGCCTTCACCACTGTGTAAATGGGAGATCTTGGATAGTTTATTAACCTTGGCATCTCAGTGTGATTATCTATAAATTGAAGTTATGAACACCTACTTAGCATCTCCAGAGTGAGGGTAAAATGTCCTAATAAAGGTATGTGACTAGAACAATGGCTGCCATATAGTAATTACTTGGCAAATGACAGGCATGGCCTAGAAACAGAATACTCTTCCCATTTTTGTTGTTTTGAGACAAACTCAAAGATGGCCTTGTATATTCCATAACAACTTTAGCATTGGCCTCCTAATTTGTATTTTCCTTTTGTTCTACCATTATTTGAATAACTTCAGAATTACCCTGATTTTTTAATATATATCACATTTGGACCACATTATCATTAATAAATGTTCTAAGATCTTAAAATTTGAAATTACTCTTGCTGACCATCATTATTTCTCCTTACACTCCATCACTTTCCTATTCTTCAAGTTTATCATATCTAAAATATTTTTTGATATAGTCTAGGTGGTTACACAAACACACACAAATGTGCATGTATATATATATGTGTGTGTGTGTGTGTGATCATATTATCTGTAAAGAGAGACAATTTTATTTCCTCTTTTCCGATTTGGGTGCCTTTTTTTTTTTCTCATGTCTGATTGCTCTGATTGGAAATTCCAGTACTATGTTGAATAAAAGTGGTGACAGTGTGCATCCTTATCTTCTTCCAGCTCTTAAAGGAAAGGCTTTCAGCTTTTCCCCATTCACTATGTTACCTGTAGGTTTGTCATATATGGCCTTTATTACGTTGAGATATGTTCCTTTAATGCCTGATTTGTTGGTTTTTGTCTTTCATTCTGTTGATGTGATGCATCATGCTTATTGGTTTATGGATGTTAAACTATCCTTGCATCTCTGGAATAAATCCCACTTGATCATGCTATATTATACTTTTGATGTACTGTTGGATTTTGTTTGCTGATATTTTGTTCAGAATTTTTGTGTCTATGTTCATCAGGGATATTGGCCTATAGTCTCCTTTGTTTGTTGCATTCTTTTCTGGTTTTGGTATCAGGTCCAAATCAATGTTGGCCTCTTCAAATGAGACTGGGAGAATTGCCACCTCTTATGTTTTCTTGAAATAGTTTGAGGAGAATTGGTCTTATTTCTTCTTTTTAAGTTTAGTAGAATTTGGCAGTGAAGCCATGTGGTCCTGGAATTTTCTTTGTTGGGAAACGTTTTATTATTGACTTGATCTTTTACTCATTATTGGTCTGTTCAGGTTTTCAATTTGTTCCTGATTCAATCTTGGTAGGTTGTATGTGTTCAGGAATTCATCCATTTCTTCTAGGTTTTCCAGTATATTAATGTGTAATTTTTTGTAACAGTCTCTAATCTTTATTATTTCTATGGTATCATTTGTAATGTCTCCTTTTTGTTTCTGATTTTGTTTACTTGGATCTTCCCTATTTTATTTTTGGTTAGATAAGCTAGCATTCAATCATGTTGTTTATCTTTTCAAAATAACCAACTTTCTGTTTCATTGATCCTTTGTGTTTTTTGGGGGCTCTTTTTTTGCTTAGGTCTTTATTATTTCTTTTCTTCTACAAATTTGGGGTTTGGTTTGTTCTGGCTTTTTAGTTTCTTGAGTTTCATCATTAGATTATTTTAAATCTTTCTACTTTTTTGATGCATGTGTTTATTGCTATAAAATTCTTACCACTGCTTTTGCTCTATCTTACAGGTTTTGGTATTTGGTGTTTTGATTTTTACTTGTTTCAGAAAAACTTTTTGTTTTCCTGCTTAATTTCTTCCATGACTCATTGATCATTCAGGAGTAGTTGTTTAACTTCTATGTATTTGTACATTTTCCCCAAAGTCCTCATGTTAATTGATTTCTAGTTTTATTGCATTATGGTCTGAGAAGATATTTGATATAATTTTGAGTTTTAAAAATGTGTTGAGACTTGTTTTGTGACCTAACAAATAATCTATCCTGGAGAATGTTTATTGTACTAATGAGGAGACTGTATTCTGTAGCTTTTGGATAAAATGTACTGTAAATGTAATATCTGCTAGGTCTATTTAGTCTAAAGTGCAGTTTAAATCTCATGTTTCTTTGTTAATTTCTGTCTTGATAATATTCATAATGTTGAGAGTGGGGTATTGGAGTCCCAAACAATTATTGTGTTGGAGTCTATCTTTTCCTATAGATCTGATGATATGTGCTTTATGTAGCTCCATGCTCTGGTTTTGGGTGCATATATGTTTAGAATTGTTATATTCTCTTGCTGAATTGACTCTTATATCACTATATAATGACCTTCTTTTACTCTTACTACTATTTTTGACTTAAAGACTGTTTTATCCACTGTTAGGTATAGCTACTCTGCTCACTCTTGGTTTTCCTTCATATGGAATATCTCTTTTCACCCCTTTACTTTCAGTCTATATATGTCTTTACAGGTGAGCTTTATTTTCTTGTAGGCAGCCTCCACAGTTGGGTCATAATTTTTTTAAGCCTTTGGCCAGTCTATATCTTTTAAGTGGAAAGTTTAGTCCATTTACATTTAATATTATTATTAATATGTAAAGAATTATTCTTGTCATTACAGTAATTGGTTTCTGATTGTTTTGTGTATCATTTATTCCTTTATTTCTCTCTTATTGTTTATCATTGTGGTTTGGTGGTTTTCTATAGTGGTAACATTTGAGTTATTTATCTTCCTTATTTATGTGCTTGCTCTACTAGTGGGTTTTATACTTTCATGTGTTTTCATGATGATAGATATATTTATTTTGCTTCCAGGTGCAGGACTTTCTTAAGCATTTTTTGTAGGGCCAGTCTAGTGATGAATTCCCTCAGCTTCTGCTTGTTTAGGAAAGATTTTATTTCCCTTCATTTATGAAGGATAATTTTGCTTGATGTAGTAGCTTTGATTGACAGTTTTTTTTCTTTCATCACTTTGAATATATCATCCCATTCTCTCCTAGCCTGTAAGGTTTCTGCTGAGAAATTTACTGTTAGTATGATGGTGGTTCCTTCATAAGTGACTAGATGCTTTTCTCTTGCTGTTGTTAGAATTCTCTCTTTGTCTTTGACTTTTGACAGTTTGTACATTATGTGCCATTTTCGAAATGTGCCATTTTTGAAGTGTATCTGTTTGGGAATTTCTGAGCTTCCTATATCTGGAAGTTTAAATCTCTTGTTACACTTGGGAAATTTAAGCTATTATTTTGTTAAATAGGTTTTCTATTTCTTTTGTTTCCTCTTCATCTTCTGGGATACTGAAAATTCAGATATTTGGTGCTTTAAGATGTCCCCTGTATCACATAGGCTTTGTTTATTCTTTTTTATTATCTTCTTAAATGTTTGTATCACTAGAGTACTACAAAAGATCTGTCTGTCTTCAGCTTCTGAAATTCTTTCTTCTGCTTGGTCTAATTTATTGTCAATGCTTTTGTCTTTTTGTATTTCAGTCAATAAATTACTCAGTTTTATAATTTCTATTATTTTTGTTTTTATTTTACTTTAAGTTCCGGGATACATGTGCAGAACGTGCAGGTTTGTTACATAGGTATACATGTGCCATGGTGGTTTGCTGCACCTATCAACCTGTCACCTATGTTTTAAGCCCTGCATGCATTAGCTATTTGTCCTGATGCTCTCACTCTCCTCACCCCCACCCTGCCTGACAAACCCCGGGGTGTATTGTTTCCCTCCCTGTATTCATGTGTTCTCATTGTTCAGCTCCCACTTATGAGTGAGAACATGTGAGAACATGTTTGGTTTTCTGTTCCTGTGTTAGTTTGCTGTGGACAATGATTCATCCATGATCTTATTCCCTTTATGGCTGCATAGTATTCCATGGTGTATATGTATCACATTTTTTTAATCCTGTCTATTATTGATGGGCATTTGGGTTGATTCTATGTCTTTGCTATTGTGAATAGTGCTGCAGTAAACATATGTGTGCATGTGTCTTTATAATAGAATGATTTATATATTTTTTGGTATATACCCAGTAATGGGATTGCTGGGTCAAATGGTATTTATGGTTCTAGATCCTTGAGGAATCTCCACACTGTCTTCCACAATGGTTGAACTAATTTACACTCTCACCAACTGTGTGGAGCTTCCTCCACAGCCTCACCAGCATCTGTTGTTTCCTGACTTTAATAATCGCCTTTCTGACAGGAGTGAGATGATGTCTTATTGTGGTTTTGATTTACGTTTCTCTAATGATCAGTGATGTTGAGCTTTTTAAAATATGTTTTTTGGCCACATAAGTGTCTTCTTTTGAGAAGTACCTGTTCATGTCCTTTGCCCACTTTTTAATGTTTTCTTGTAAATTTGTTTAAGTATCTTGTAAATTTTGGATATTAGACCTTTGTCAGATGGGTAGATGGCAAAAATTTTCTCCCATTCTATAGGTTGCCTGTTTGCGCCGATGATAGTTTCTTTTGCTGTGCAGAAACTCTTTAGTTTAATTAGATCCCATTTGTCAATTTTAGCTTTTGTTGCAATTGCTTTTGGTGATTTAGTCATGAAGTCTTTGCCCATGCCTATGTCCTGAATGGTATTGCCTAGGTTTTCTTCTAGGGTTTTTATGGTTTTGGGTTTTACATTTAAGTATTAATCCATCTTGAGTTAATTTTTGTATAAGGTGTAAGGAAGGGGTCCAGTTTCAGTTTTCTGCATATGGCTAGCCAGTTTTCCAGCATGATTTATTAAATAGGGAGTCTTTTTCCCATTGCTTGTTTTTGTCAGGTTGTTGAAGATCAGATGGTTGTAGATGTGTGTTGTTATTTCTGAGGTCTCTATTCTGTTACCTTGGTCTATATATCTGTTTTTGTACCAGTACCATGCTGTCTTGGATACTGTAGCCTTGTAATATAGTTTGAAGTCAGGTAGCATGATGCCTCCAGCTTTGTTTTTTTTTTTTGCTTAGGATTGTCTTGGCTATACAGGCTCTTTTTTGGTTCCATATGGATTTTAGAGTAGTTTTTTTCCAAATTTTTGGAGACTGTCAATGGTAGTTTGATGAGAATAGCATTGAATCTATAAATTACTTTGGGCAGTATGGCCATTTTTATGATATTGATTCTTCCTACCCATGAGGATGGAATGTTTTACCATTTATTTGTATCCTCTCTTATTTCTTTGAGCAGTGGTTTGTACTTCTTCTTGAAGGGGTTCTTCATGTTCCTTGTTAGCTGTATTTCTAGGTATTTTATTCTCTTTTTAGCAATTGTGAATGGGAGTTCATTCATGATTTGGCTCTCTGCTTGTCTGTTATTGGTGTATAGGAATGTTTGTGATTTTTGCACAATGATTTTGTATCCTGAGACTTTGCTGAAGTTGCTTATTAGCTTAAGGAGCTTTTGGGCTGAGACGATGGGGTTTTCTAAATATAGGATCATGTCATCTACAAATAGAGACAATTTGACTTCCTCTCTTCCTATTTGAATATCCTTTATTTCTTTCTCTTGACTGATTGCCCTGGCTAGAACTTCCGATACTATGTTGGAGAGGAGTGAGTTTCTTAATCTTGAGTTCTAATTTGGTTGCATTATGTTCTGAGGAGTGTTTTACTTCCAATTATGTGGTCGATTTTACAGTAAGTGCTATGTGACACTGAAAAGTATGTATATTCTGTTGTTTTTGGGTGGAGGGTTCTGTAAATATGTATTAGGTCCACTTGATTCAGAGCTGAGTTCAAGTCCTGAATATCCTTGTTAATTTTCTGTCTTGATGATCCATCTAATATTGACAGTGTGGTGTTAAAGTCTCCTACTCTTATTGTGTGGGAGTCCAAGTGTCTTTGTAGTTCTCTAAGAACTTGTTTTATGAATCTGGGTTCTACTGTATTGGGTACATATGTATTCAGGATAGTTAGCTGTTGTTGTTGAAGTGATCCTTCTACCATTATGTAATGCCCTTCTTTGTCTTTTTTTATCTTTGTTGGTTTAAAGTCTGTTTTGTCAGAGACTAAAACTGCAACCCCTGTTTTTTTCTGCTTTCCATTTACTTGGTAAATTTTCCTCCATTCCCTTATTGTGAGCCTGTGTGTCTTTGCACATGAGATGGGTCTTCTGAATACAGCATATTGATGGGTCTTGGCTCTTTATTTAATTTGCCTGTCTGTGCCTTTTAATTGGGGCATTTAGCTCACTTACATTTAAGGTTAATATTGTTATGTGTGAATTTGATCCTGTCATCATGATGCTATCTGGTTATTTTGTACACTAGTTGATGTAGTTTCTTCATAGTGTCATTGGTCTTTATATGTTGGTGTGTTTTTGCAGTGTCTGATACCAGTTCTTCCTTTCCATGTTTAGTGTTTCCTTCAGGAGCTATTGCAAGGCAGGCCTGGTGGTGGCAAATTCCCTCAGCATTTGCTTGTCTGAAAAGGATTTTATTTCTCCTTCGCTTATGAAGCTTAGTTTGGACAGATATGAAATTCTGGGTTGAAAATTCTTTTCTTTAAGAATGTTGAATATTGGCCCCCACTCTTTTCTGGGTTGTATGGTTTCTGCTGAGAGATCTGCTGTTAAACCTGATGGGCTTCCCTTTGTAGGTGACCTGGACTTTCTTTCTGGCTGCCCTTAACATTTTTTCCTTCATTTAAACCTTGGAGAATCTGATGATTATGTGCCTAGGGGTTGATCTTCCCAGGGAGTATCTTAGTGAGGTTCTCTGTATTTCCTTAATTTGAATGTTGCCCTGTCTTGCTAGGTTGGGGAAGTTCTCCTGGATAATATCCTGAGGTGTGTTTTCCAACTTGGTTTCATTCTACCTATCTCTTTCAGGTACTCCAGTTGGTTGTAGGTTCACTTTTTTTTTACGTAGTCCCATAGTTCTTGGGGGTTTTGTTCATTCCTTTACATTTTTTTTCTACTCTTGTCTGCTTGCCTTATTTTAGCAAGATAGTCTTCAATCTCTGATATTCTTTCTTCTGCTTGATTGAAATCAGGCTATTAATACTTGTGTATGCTTCACAAAGTTCTCGTGCTGTGTTTTTCAGCTCCAATAGGTCATTTTTGTTATGCTTTAAACTGGTTATTCTAGTTAGCAGCTCCTATAACTTTTTATAATGGTTCTTAGCTTCTTTGCACTGGGTTAGAACATGCTTCTTTACCTCAGCGAAGTTTATTATTACTCACCTTCTGAAACCTCCTTCTGTCAATTCATCCATCTCATCCTCTGTCCAGTTCTATGCCCCTGCTGGAGAGGAGTTGCGATCATTTGGCCTTTTGGGTTTCAGCCTTTTTTTGTTCTTTCTCATCTTCCTGAGTTTGTCTAGTTTCGATCTTTGAGGCTGCTGACCCTTGGATGAGGTTTTTGTGGCGACTTTTTTTGTTGGTGCTGTTGTTGTTGATTTCTGTTTTTTGTTTTTTCTTTCAATGGTCAGGTCTCTCTTCTGTAGGGCTGCTGCAGTTTTCTGAGAGTTCACTTCAGGTCCTATTCATCTGGTTTGCTCCCGCGCCTGGAGATGTCACTCATGGAGGCTGGAGAACAGCAAAGATGGGTGGTTCCTTTGGGATCTCTGACCTTGAGGGGCACCGACCTGATGCCAGTAGGAATGCTCCTATATGAAGTGTCTGATGACCTCTGTTGTAGGGGTCTCACCCAGTTGGGTGGCACAGGAAGCAGAACGCACTTAATGAAGCACTTTGGCTGTCCCTTGGTGAAGGGGGGGGGTGTGTGCTGTGCTGCAGAGAAACCCACTCGTCTATGATGCCCAGATTCCTCAGAGCTAGCAGGAGAAAGACTAAGTCTGCTGGTCCACTTGCACTATAGGCACCCCTCCCCCTAGGGTCTCAGGCCCAGGGAGATCAGAGTTCTGTCCCCAGACCCTGGCTGGAGTTGTTAAAACTCCTTCAGGGAGGCCCCGCCCAGTGAGGATAAATGGATCAGGGTCTGGCCTGAAGAGGCAATCTGGCCATGGTCTGCCACAGCTGGTGTGCTGGGCTGTGGAGAATACCTCTTGGGACCAAGCCATCCAGCCTCCCTGGCTCCAGCAGGGGAAAAGTGTGGCCTGGAGCTACAGTGATGGCTGCTGGGCTGCCCACCTGTAGCTTAGTGGGTTAAATAGCTAGCAGCCACAGTGTTGGCTGCCGCCCCTTCCCCCAGTGAGCTCAAAAGGCTTAGATAGCAAGCAGCAGCTGCAGTGGTGATGGCTGCCCCTCCCAGCCTGGGGAACTCAGCAGGATAAGGCAGATTTCAGCTGCGTGGCTGTTGAGAATCTATGTGGCTCCGTGGTTGGGACCCAAGGCCCTGGTGGTGTGAGCTTATGAGCGGGATCTTCCGATCTGTAGGTTGCACAGTTCCGTGGAAAAAGCACGGTTTCCCATGCTGGGTAGCATGCTCACTCACCACCTCCCTTGGCTGGGGGTGGGTGTTCCCCTGCCGCCTGTGGCTCTCAGGTGGGCCACAACACCACACTGCTCTTCCTTCCTCTCTGTGGGTCACACCAGCCACCTAGTCAGTCCTGATGACTGAACCTGAATACCTCGGTCGCCAGTGCAGGATTTGCATACTGTTTTGGTTCTTTGCAACGGGAGCCTCCGATCATTGCTGCTTCTAGTTGGCCATCTTGGCCCTGCATATAAAAAAGCTCTTTTTTTTTTTTTTAATGATAGCTACTCTTTGGTAAATTTATCATTCATATCCTGTATTTTTTAAATTATTTATTTGTACAGTTTTACTGTGTTCTCTTGTTTCTCACTGATATGGTTAGGCTTTGTGTCCCCATCCAAATCTCATCTTGAATTTTAATCCCCCTAATTCCCACGTGTGTCAAGGGAGACGCCAGGTGGAGGTGATTGAATCATGAGGGCGGTTTCCCCAGGCTGTTCTTATGATAAGGAGTGAGTTCTCACGAGATCTGATGGTTTTATAAGGGGCTCTTCCCCCTTCGCTCAGCACTTCTCCTTCCTGCCTCCTTGTGAAAAAGGTGCCATGCTTCCCCTTCACCTTCTGCCATGATTGTAAGTTTCCTGAGGCCTCCCTAGCCATGCTGAACTGTGAGTCGATTAAACCTTTTTCCTTTGTAAATTACCCGGTTTCGGGAAGTTCTTTACAGCAGTGTGAAAGCAGACTAATACATTCACTGAGGATCTTCATTATCATATTTTGAATTATTTTTCCGAAATTTCATAAATTTATTTTCATTTGACTCTGTTGCTGGAGAATTACTGTGTTCCTTTGGAAGTGTCGTATTTCTTTGCTTTTTAATGTTTCTTATATCCTTACATTGATAGATTCTCATATGGTGTACCAGTCACTTCTTTAGTTTTTTTGAATTTGCTTCTGTAAGGAATTTTCTTGAAGTTGTATCTATGGTGTTCGTTGGGTGGGGTATTTTGGCTTTGTTTCTGGATGTGTACAGTAGTGTAGTCTCTATATGATTTTTTCAGCTGTAAACAGCATCAATGGTGTCTGTGATTTCCTCAGTGAGTTGGGGTGCAGTTGTTATTGGTGGCTGTGATGAAGTTTCCCTGTGGATGGAAATGTCAAGTGGGCCAGTCCTTAGGTCCTAGTAGTGCAGCAATGGGCCAAGCATGCCTGTCTTGGGCCCCATGGTGGCATACACTTGCACTAGTCTTAGCAGGTTTAGGTAGGCCAATTTTGCACCTCTAGGCAGTTTGCTCACATGCCAGTAGTGGCAGAGATGGGCTGGACAGATGGGTGGGTCCTTAGATCCCTGGCAAGTGGGCATGAAATGACTAATGATGATAGCAATGGCAGGATGACCCTCTGGCTCCCAAGAAGTCTCTGCACTGGTTTTGGCATTGGCTTTGATAGGGTGGACAGGGTAGTCCCTAGGCCTGTAGGTGGTGCATGCAGGCAGGTGCCAGGTGTGGTGGTAAGGGCTAGTTGTGTGGTCCTCAACTCAGGTACCCGGGAGAATTCTCATATGGCAACAGTTACGGATGGGGATTTGTAATCCCCAAGCGTTCAGATAGCAAGCTTGGCACTGGAAGTGGCACAGATGGGTCTGGTGGACCTGTCCTTAGGCCCTCTGGTGGTGTGTGCAGGTGCTGGCTGTGGTAAGCACAGATGGGGTTTTAGAACCCCAGCAGAATGCTTGGGTGGGAGTAGCAGGAGCTGCACTGCAGCCCTGCTACTGGAAAAGGCACAGCTGTTGCCAGTGGCAACAGCCACAGGCAGGCAGCTTGGGAGCATGTGCTTCGACTCTAGGTGGTGGCAGGTGGGATAACCTGTCCTTAAGGTGCCAATAAATGCACAGCGGTTCTGCTGCCAGAGGCAGTGGGGTCACCACCAGGGGCTTGTGCTTTAACCCTGGCGGTGGCAGCAGCTGCAGGTGAGGGTTCCTGAGGCATGTAAAAATGCATGGTGGCTTCTCCACTGGTGGGGGCAGTGGGATTGCTGCCAATAGCTCTCACTTTGGCCCTGGCAGCAGCAGCCAGCCATGGCAGTGGCCGTGGACAAAGAATGTCAAAATTTCTCCTGTGGAGACAAAGGAGCTGTTGTTTCCCAGGGCAGGATGTAGTCTGGTAGGGGCTGGGCTCTCAAAATGGCACTGTAGCTGCTTAGCACTCGGGATGTTTGGCACCAGCATGAGCTCCTCCTTTGGATCAATGGCATTGCACTGCCACTAGGCAGCTCCCTATGTTCGTTTCAGGGCCTGCAAGGGTTGAGGTCTCTTGTGCTAGCATAGCAGGAGTCTGAGGTGGGAATGTGGACTGAGGTCTTTCCCTTATCCTTTCTCCACACTAGAGAGTCCTTCTAGCCTCCTAGCCAATCTTACTTGAGCTGGCTGCCTCACTTCCCCCTTCTTCCTTGGTTTAGGTGTTTCCTGTTCTTTCTCTGTTTAATTAGTGTGTTCTCTTTCAGATGATCTATTTGAAGCATGATTACTTGCTATTCTTGCTTTGTGGAGGAGGCCAGTACCAAATGCCTCTAAGCAGCCATTTTGATGCCCCTCCTGTATGTTGACATTTTAGTGTCTGTAAGATCTGTAGTGGTATGTCCATTTTCAGTCCTGATATTGGTAAGTTATTCTTTCTCTCTTTCTCTTTACAGCTTTCTCCCTTCATTCATCTGCCATGCTGATAGTTTATCAATTTTATTAATCTTTTTTGAAGAATCAGTCTTAGTTTTTATGAGTTTTTCTAGATTTTTTCATTAAGAAATTATTTCTGTTCTTTTTATTGTTTCATCTCTTTACATATTTCAGTTTAAATTGTTCTTTATTTTTTAGTTTCTTAATATTGAAGCTTACATCATTGATTTATTTCCTCTTTTTCATAAAAGCATCCCAAATAAACACGTCATCTTATTCCCTACTAAGCCAAACTGTTCTTACAGCTCTATAAGTCATCTTACGAAGTTTCTCTATCATTTAGATTATAAATTTCAATCATCTTTGACTCACCTAAATACTTACATTTGATCTTGCAAATTGTGTTGTATTTTTCTCCAAAAATATTCTTTAAAACCTCTGCAATACTCTAAGTCTTCACCTTTGAACTCCTTTAATACTCTCATATTTTTCATAAAATTAATTGCACCTTATTTTTTCACATCCCAAAGCCTCCATTAACGTTAGTTTTACCCACCTTCCTGATTCACCTCCATTTGTTTTTCTCCTACTCCGTTTTTCTTGGCCTATGGTGAAACTGAGCTATTTACCATCTCGCATATCCTTTGCTTTCAAGCAATGTGCCAGAGATACTTCTCACATTGATCCCCTGACCTTATACAAATTGTATCCATTTATATGTCAATCTCATTTACTCTGGGAGAACTTTTTTGATTTCCTAATTTTATGGAATGACTCATTTCTTGAAATTGCTTAACAGTTTATTGCATTTCACTTAAGACATTTACCTGATACTACTTGAATTATACCTATATTGGGGAATTATACCTATGACGGGAAAAATCTAATTTATCTATTTTTATACTACTTACCACATTAACTACAGGAAAAAAATCATAAATATACTTTGAATTCAATTACCATTGCTGTAGTAAATGGATTATGTTTTTAGACTTGAGGATTACATTCTGTCCCTTAGTCTTCCACATAGTCCTCCATAAATTTCCAATTATTTAAAAGTTACTAAAACCAGAAGCAGTTTCCTAGCTACTCTTCTCTAGAGGGATGCTGGTTCAGTTGTCTAAGAGTGAGTAGAAATAATTAATCTTAAATAAATGAATTTTACTGACTATAACCAGTAGTTTTTTTTTTTCCTCACCCCTGTTTTCCTCTTCCTTCCCACGAGCATGCACCACCTCACCCAGACTCATAAAGGAGGAAACTGGCCATACTTTTCCAATGCTGACTCAAGTTCAACCCATCATGTCTTAGTGGTGGGGCAAGTCCAGAGATGTTTTAAAAGGATATGTGTCAGCACTTTATCTGGATAATTTGAAGCATATTGGCATATTTTTTTTTTTTATCTTGCCATGGTATTTGGATCAGAGCAGCACATTCAACCTTTTGAGTTTACTAAAGATTATTTAAAACTGCCACATAATTACTTTCTAAAAGACAGTATATTGCCTTACAACCCTATGCCAGGTCAATGATATAGACAATGAATCATTAGTACACATTCCAGAAGAGTTCATATCTTCCTTGGAGGTTGCTTGTCTAACCTAGCCTAATTGTGTTTGATGTGCATTTCATGACAGGACAACAGAATGAGTAGGAATGTTTGCTCAGAAAGGTTCTCCTTTGTTGCCCTCCCTTCCCTCTTCCCCCTTGCACTGTTTCAGAAGTGAGCGTGCGGTCTCTCTCTCTCTCTCTCTCTCTCTATGTGTGTGTGTGTGTGTATATGAAAGAATCTTTAATAAATGAATTTTACTGATTATAACCAGTACATATATATATATATAAAACCAGTACATATATATGTGTGTACCAATACATATATATATGTGTGTGTGTGTGTGTGTGTGTGTGTGTGTGTGTGTGTGTGTACTGGTTATATATTTTATTTATATATATTTTATATATATTATATATATTTTATATATATTATATATATATTATATATATATTATATATAATTATATATAATATATATTATATATATTATATATAATTATATATAATATATATTATATATATTATATATATAATATATATATAATATATATATTTTATATATGTATTATATATATTTTATATATATTATATATATTATATATATATTTTATATATATTATATTTTATATATATAATATAACATATATAATATATAATTATATATTATATATATATTATATTATATATAATATATATTATATATAATATAATATATAATTATATATATTATATATTTTATATATTTATATAAAAATTATTTTATATTATTTTATATATAAATATATATTATATATAATATACATTTATATATATAATATATAATATATATAACCAGTGCCCATACATATAAGAGAGAAAGAGAAGAGAGACAATACTCTCATGAGTACTGCTCTCTCTCTGTATATATATAAAATATATATAATATGAGAGTGCTTCTCATAATATATTAAGATAAGTCTCTCATATTATGAAAAGAAAGGCAGTCTTGCAACACCTGTCATTGTAAAATTTAATTTTTGGAAGCAGGCTGCAGGGGGAGGCTTATGAATAATGAGGAGAGAGAAAAAGGAAAATTTTGAGAAAAGAGTAATTTTCGTGGTATTGAAAGATAATTCAAATGCAACAAATCAATAAAACAGATAAATCTGTAAGAAAAGGAACTGCTGGTGAGAATATATATTATATATGTTGTAGTTTTGTTAGTTAAAAAGGCTCACAGGGAAACTAACAGCAGAAAACTAGAGGTTTTTGAATCCCCCATGAACTCGAGGAAGCATCTGTTCCATGTGTTGCAAGGCTGAATGTTAATAATGGTAGTATGCTACAGAGATTTTTTTACTTTGTGTTTTGTGGTCTCCGGCCTGTGAGTTTATTTAGGTATATCACTACTTCCCCAACCTCACCCCTCACCTTCACTTAAAATATGTATATAGTGCTGAAATGGTCACTGGCACAGGTAATAACATTGCAATATTATTTGATAAAATATCTTACAAAGTCCCTGAGAATAATCATTTGAACTCACTATGCTCTTGCTCTCTTCACTGACTTCCCCGCAAAATAAAGGCCCTATGCTTCCAACACATGTGAAATTGGGAGAATAATAAAATGCGATCATTTGTTTTATTATTTACTATTATAAAGAGACCCTTTATAACAGACCCTTTATAATTCAGTGTGCTGTTAGGAAAAAAAAAAAAAGCTCCTCTATTTTATTTCCATAGGTCGTGTGACCAAAAGGATGGAAGCTAATGATGCAGGTAATACAGTATGGATGATGATTTACCTCTGATTTTGTCCATTTGCTCTCTGGGAGCAATTGTTTGCTTGGCCTGAGGAAAGCAGCATAGATGCTATCCGAGAGCCTTGTCAGTTCATTCCTTTTAGCCTTTTGTGAGAGTAAATAGACCTCTTCAGGATTTCATATGAGCAGGCTTGCTGTCACCCTCATCTCAGCTGAGAATTGCTACAGACAGGTATGCTGCAGGCCACTCCTTTTCAGTGAGATAACTAGAATATGTGACCAGCACATTTAGGAAAAATGCCAGGGCCGGGCATGGTGGCTCACACCTGTAATCTCAGCACTTTGGGAGGCTGAGGCAGGCAGATCACCTGAGGTTGGGAGTTCAAGAACAGCCTGGCCAACATGGTGAAACCCCGTCTCTACTAAAAGTACAAAAATTAGCTAGGCGTGGTGGCACATGCCTGTAATCCCAGTTACTCAGGACGCTGAGGCAGGAGAATCGCTTGAGACAGGGAAGCGGAGGTTGTGGTGAGCCAAGATCGCGCCACTACACTCCAGCCTGGGTGACAGAGCGAGACTCCATCTCAAACAAAAAAAAAAAGAAAAAATGCCAGGCCCTAAGTATGACTGGCTGTCACTATGCAGGGAATGATGTTCTGCCAGAATATCTTTCGGTCTTCAGAAGGGTTCCTGAAAGGAATATCTTTGAGCATTCCATATCTGTGCCTTGGTTTTCAAATTAAAACTCTTGACAAGCAACTGTTGACCTGTTGCTTGTCTCAGCATATTTTTAACTTGGCTTTAGTGAACTGACTTACCTTCTAGTTAACCTATACCCAGTTCTGAATCTTGTTCTAACACTGGATCTCTGTTTCTAGAAGGTGTGAATGATATTATAGGGTATTCCTTGGCCTCTATATGAGAACACTGGCTGGTATTAGAGGTGAGAATAAAGCCTAGCTAAGATTTTCACTGGATAGAAGGTAACCTATCCACCACTTCTTTAGCTGTGCCCTCTTCCCAATTAGTTCAACTGCCCATCATGATGCCAATATTTCTATTTTCAAAATGT
Organism: Homo sapiens; assembly: GCF_000001405.40. Lineage (NCBI taxonomy): Eukaryota > Metazoa > Chordata > Mammalia > Primates > Hominidae > Homo > Homo sapiens. The sequence continues at coordinate 34,552,904 of NC_000002.12, forward strand.
ACATTCATTTTAATGTCAATACCTTGGGGTAATGAGGGCCAAATAAAAATCTATTATCAGGTGCTTCAGTCTGTTAGGGCTAATATAACAAAATACCATAGACTCACCGGCTTTAAAACAACAAACATTTACTTCTCAAAGTTTTGGAGGCTGGAAAGTCCAAGATAAAAGTACCAGCAAATTTGCTGTCTGCTGAGGACCCAGGTTCTGGTTTAGAGATGGTGCCTTCTTACTGTGTCCTGATATAGTGGAAAATGACAAGAAACCTCTCTGGGGGCCCTTTTATAATCTGGTTCATTAGGTCTCTGTAGTCACCTCCCAAAGGCTCTACCTCCTAATACTACCACATTGGTGATGAATTTTCAACATATAAATGTTGAGGGGACACAAGTATTCAGACCACAGCATCAAGTAACAGGTCATTAATGTTAAAGCATTATTTGATAGTCAGCTGAGAGAAATATTGAAACATACGTCACTGATAACAGCATAAACAGGTTAGTTTGTGGAAGTTTGGAAGTGAGTAGAGGAAGCAGGTCTTCAATTATGTTGCTTTGTTTTGTTCCCTTTATTAGACAGGCAGTCCCTTCTTCCCTTTCATTTCACCACTGGCCAATTGCTCCCACAATCTCCATTTGTAAATGTTACTACGTTAATAGCCAAAGTAAAATAATTACATAATTAATAATACATTACTGATTTTATTCTGAGGTCAAATTTATTTGAACATACTCTAGTATCTTTTTTTTTATTATACTTTAAGTTTTAGGGTACATGTGCACAACGTGCAGGTTTGTTACATATGTATACATGTGCCATGTTGGTGTGCTGCACCCATTAACTCCTCCTTTAACATTACGTATATCTCCTAATGCTATCCCTCCCCGCTCCTCCCACCCCACAACAGGCCCCGGTGTGTGATGTTCGCCTTCCTGTGTCCATGTGTTCTCATTGTTCAATTCCCACCTATGAGTGAGAACATGCGGTGTTTGGTTTTCTGTCCTTGCAATAGTTTGCTGAGAATGATGGTTTCCAGCTTTATCCATGTACCTACAAAGGACATGAACTCATCCTTTTTTATGGCTGCATAGTATTCCATGGTGTATATGTGCCACATTTTCTTAATCCAGTCTATCATTGTTGGACATTTGGGTTGGTTCCAAGTCTTTGCTATTGTGAATAGTGCTGCAATAAACATATGTGTGCATGTGTCTTCATAGCAGCATGTTTTATAATACTTTGGGTATATACCCAGTAATGGAATGGCTGGGACAAATGGCATTTCTAGTTCTAGATCCCTGAGGAATTGCCACACTGACTTCCACAATGGTTGAACTAGTTTACAGTCCCACCAACAGTGTAAAAGTGTTCCTATTTCTCCACATCCTCTCCAGCACCTGTGGTTTCCTGACTTTTTAATGATCTCCATTCTAATTGGTTGTAAGATGGTATCTCATTGTGGTTTTGATTTGCATTTCTCTGATGGCCAGTGATGATGAGCAATTTTTCATGTGTCTTTTGGCTGCATAGATGTAGTCTTTTGAAAAGTGTCTGTTCATATCCTTTGCCCACTTTTTGATGGGGTTGTTTGCTTTTTTTTTTTCTTGTAAATTTGTTTGAGTTCTTTGTAAATTCTGGATATTAGCCCTTTGTCAGGTGAGTAGATTGCAAAAATTTTCTCCCATTCTGTAGGTTGCCTGTTCACTCTGATGGTAGTTTCTTTTGCTGTGCAGAAGCTCTTTAGTTTAATGAGATCCCATTTGTCAATTGTTGCTTTTGTTGCCATTGCTTTTGGTGTTTTAGACATGAAGTCCTTGCCCATGCCTATGTCCTGAATAGTATTGCCTAGGTTTTCTTCTAGGGTTTTTATGGTTTTAGGTCTAACAGTTAAGTCTTTAATCCATCTTGAATTAATTTTTGTATAAGGTGTAAGAAGGGATCCAGTTTCAGCTTTCTACGAATGGCTAGCCAGTTTTCCCAGCACCATTTATTAAATAGGGAATCTTTTCCCCATTTCTTGTTTTTGTCAGGTTTGTCAGAGATCAGATAGTTGTCGATATGCGGTATTATTTCTGGGTGCTCTGTTCTGTTCCATTGGTCTACATCTCTGTTTTCCTACCAGTACCATGCTGTTTTGGTTACTGTAGCCTTGTAGTATAGTTTGAAGTCAGGTAGCCTGATGCCTCCAGCTTTGTTCTTTTGCCTTAGTATTGTCTCGGCAATGCAGGCTCTTTTTTGGTTCCATATGAACTTTAAAGTAGTTTTTTCCAATTCTGTGAAGAAAGTCATTAGTAGCTTGATGGGGATAGCATTGAATCTGTAAATTACCCTGGGTAATATGGCCATTTTCACGATACTGATTCTTTCTACCCATGAGCGTGGAATGTTCTTCCATTTGTTTGTATCCTCTTTTATTTTGTTGAGCAGTGGTTTGTAGTTCTCTTTGAAGAGGTCCTTCACTTCCCTTGTAATTTGGATTCCTAGGTATTTTATTCTGTTTGAAGCAATTGTGAATGGGAGTTCACTCATGATTTGGCTATTTGTCTGTTATTGGTGTATAAGAATGCTTGTGATTTTTGCACATTGATTTTGTATCCTGAGACTTTGCTGAAGTTGCTTATCAGCTTGAGATTTTGGGCTGAGACAATGGGGTTTTCTAGATATACAGTCATGTCATATGCAAACAGGGACAATTTGACTTCCTCTTTTCCTAATTGAATACCCTTTATTTCCTTCTCCTGCCTGATTGCCCTGGCCAGAAATTCCAACACTATGTTGAATAGGAGTGGTGAGAGAGGGCATCCTTGTCTTGTGCCAGTTTTCAAAGGGAATGCTTCCAGTTTTTGCCCATTCAGTATGACATTGGCTGTGGGTTTGTCATAGATAGCTCTTATTATTCTGAGATACGTCCCATCAATACCTAATTTCTTGAGAGTTTTTAGCATGAAGTGTTGTTGAATTTTGTCAAAGGCCTTTTCTGCATCTATTGAGATAATCATATGGTTTTTGTCTTTGGTTCTATTTATATGCTGGATTACATTTATTGATTTCTGTATGTTGAACCAGCCTTGCATCCCAGGGATGAAGCCCACTTGATCATGGTGGATAAGCTTTTTGATGTGCTGCTGGATTCGGTTTGCCAGTATTTTATTGAGGATTTTTGCACTGATGTTCATCAGGGATATTGGTCTAAAATTCTCTTTTTTTGTTGTGTCTCTGCCAGGCTTTGGTATCAGGAAGATGCTGGCCTCATAAAATGAGTTAGGGAGGATTCCTTCTTTTTCTATTTATTGGAATAGTTTCAGAAGGAGTGGTACCAGCTCCTCCTTGTATCTCTGGTAGAATTCGGCTGTGAATCCATCTGGTCCTGGACTTTTTTTGGTTGGTAAGCTATTAATTATTGCCTCAATTTCAGAGTCTGTTATTGGTGTATTGAGAGATTCAACTTCTTACTGGTTTAGTCTTGGGAGGGTGTATGTGTCGAGGAATTTATCCATCTCTTTTTTTATTATTATTATTATTATACTTTTAGGGTACATGTGCACAATGTGCAGGTTAGTTACATATGTATACATGTGCCATGCTGGTGTGCTGCACCCACTAACTCGTCCTCTAGCATTAGGTATATCCCCCAATGCTATCGCTCCCCCTTCCCCCCAACCCCACAACAGTCCCCAGAGTGTGATGTTCCCATTCCTGTGTCCATATCTTCTCATTGTTCATTTCCCACCTATGAGTGAGAATATGTGGTGTTTGGTTTTTTGTTCTTGTGATAGTTTACTGAGAATGATGATTTCCAATTTCATCCATGTCCCTACAAAGGACATGAACTCATCATTTTTTATGGCTGCATAGTATTCCACGGTGTATATGTGCCACATTTTCTTAATCCAGTCTATCATTGTTGGACATTTGGGTTGGTTCCAGGTCTTTGCTATTGTGAATAGGGCCGCAATAAACATATGTGTGCATGTGTCTTTATAGCAGCATGATTTATAGTCCTTAGGGTATATACCCAGTAATGGGATGGCTGGGTCAAATGGTATTTCTAGTTCTAGATCCCTGAGGAATCGCCACACTGACTTCCACAATGGTTGAACTAGTTTACAGTCCCACCAACAGTGTAAAAGTGTTCCTATTTCTCCACATCCTCTCCAGCACCTGTGGTTTCCTGACTTTTTAATGATCTCCATTCTAATTGGTTGTAAGATGGTATCTCATTGTGGTTTTGATTTGCATTTCTCTGATGGCCAGTGATGATGAGCAATTTTTCATGTGTCTTTTGGCTGCATAAATGTCTTCTTTTGAGAAGTGTCTGTTCATGTCCTTCGCCCACTTTTGGATGGGGTTGTTTGTTTTTTTCTTGTAAATGTGTTTGAGTTCATTGTAGATTCTCCATATTAGCCCTTTGTCAGATGAGTAGGTTGTGAAAATTTTCTCCCATTTTGTAGGTTGCCTGTTCACTCTGATGGTAGTTTCTTTTGCTGTGCAGAAGCTCTTTAGTTTAATTAGATCCCATTTGTCAATTGTTGCTTTTGTTGCCATTGCTTTTGGTGTTTTAGACATGAAGTCCTTGCCCATGCCTATGTCCTCAATGGTAATGCCTAGGTTTTCTTCTAGGGTTTTTATGGTTTTAGGTCTAACATTTAAGTCTTTAATCCATCTTGAATTGGTTTTTGTATAAGGCCTAAGGAAGGGATTCAGTTTCAGCTTTTTACATATGGCTAGCCAGCTTTCCCAGCACCATTTATTAAATAGGGAATCCTTTCCCCATTGCTTGTTTTTCTCAGGTTTGTCAAAGATCAGATAGTTGTAGATGTGCGGCATTATTTCTGAGGGCTCTGTTCTGTTCCATTGATCTATATCTCTGTTTTGGTACCAGTACCATGCTGTTTTGGTTACTGTAGACTTGTAGTATAGTTTGAAGTCAGGTAGTGTGATGCCTCCAGCTTTCTTTTTTTGGCTTAGGTTGACTTGGCGATGTGGGCTCTTTTTTGGTTCCATATGAACTTTAAAGTGGTTTTTTTCCAATTCTGTGAGGAAAGTCATTGGTAGCTTGATGGGGATGGCATTGAATCTATAAATTACCTTGGGCAGTATGGCCATTTTCATGATATTGATTCTTCCTACCCATGAGCATGGAATGTTCTTCCATTTGTTTGTATCCATTTCTTCTAGATTTTCTAGTTTATTTGCATAGAGGTGTTTATAGTATTCTCTGATGGTAGTTTGTATTTCTGTGGGATCGGTGGTGATATCCCTTTTTATCATTTTTTATTGCGTCTATTTGATTCTTCTCTCTTTTCTTCTTCATTAGTCTTGCTAGTGGTCTATCAATTTTGTTGATCTTTTCAAATAACCAGGTCCTGGATTCATTGATTTTTTTGAAGGGTTTTTTGTGTCTCTTTTTCCTTCAGTTCTGCTCTGATCTTAGTTATTTCTTGCCTTCTGCTAGGTTTTGACTGTGTTTGCTGTTGCTTCTCTAGTTGTTTTAATTGTGATGTTACGGTGTCAATTTTTTATCTTTCCTGCTTTCCCTTGTGGGCATTTAGTGCTATAAATTTCCCTCTCCACACAGCTTTGAATGTGTCCCAGAGATTCTGGTTTGTTGTGTCTTTGTTCTCATTGGTTTCAAAGAACATCTTTATTTCTTCCTTCATTTCGTTATGTACCCAGTAGTCGTTCAGGAGCAGGTTGTTCAGTTTCCATGTAGTTGAGCAGTTTTAAGTGAGTTTCTTAATTCTGAATTCTAGTTTGATTGCACTGTGGTCTGAGAGACAGTTTGTTATAATTTCTGTTCTTTTACATTTGCTGAGGAGTGCTTTACTTCCAACTATGTGGTCAGTTTTGGAATAGGTGTGGCGTGCTACTGAAAAGAATGTATATTCTGTTGATTTGGGGTGAAGAGTTCTGTAGATGTCTATCAGGTCCGCTTGGTGCAGAGCTGAGTTCAATTCCATGATATCCTTGTTAGGTTTCTGTCTCATTGATCTGTCTAATGTTGACAGTGGGGTGTTAAAATCTGCCATTATTATTGTGTGGGAGTCTAAGTCTCTTTGTAGGTCTCTAAGGACATGCTCTGTGAATCTGGGTGCTCCTGTATTGGGTGCATATATATTTCGGATAGTTAGCTCTTCTTGAATTGATCCCTTTACCATTATGTAATGGCCTTCTTTGTCTCTTTTGATCTTTGTTGGTTTAAAGTCTGTTTTATCAGAGACTAGGATTGCAACCCCTGCATTTTTTTGTTTTCCATTTGCTTGGTAGATCTTCCTCTATCCCTTTATTTTGAGACTATGTGTGTCTCTGCACATGAGATGGGTTTCCTGAATACAGCACACTGATGGGTCTTGACTCTTTATCCAGCTTGCCAGTGTGTGTCTTTTAATTGGAGTATTTAGCCCATTTACATTTAAGGGTAATATTGTTGTGTGTGAATTTGATCCTGTCATTATGTTGTTAGCTGGTTATTTTGCTCGTTAGTTGATGCAGTTTCTTCCTAGCCTTGATGGTCTTTACAATTTCGCATGTTTTTGCAGTGGCTGGTACCAGTTGTTCCTTTCCATATTTAGTGCTTCCTTCAGGAGCTCTTTTAGGGCAGGCATGGTGGTGAGAAAATCTCTCAGCATTTGCTTTTCTGTAAAGTATTTTATTTCTTCTTCACTTATGAAGCTTAGTTTGGCTGGATATGAAATTCTGGGTTGAAAATTCTTTTCTTTAAGAATGTTGAATATTGGCCCCCACTCTCTTCTGGCTTGTAGAGTTTCTGCCGAGAGATCAGCTTTTAGTCTGATGGGCTTCCCTTTGTGGGTAACCCGACCTTTCTCTCTGGCTGCCCTTAACATTTTTTCCTTCATTTCAACTTTGGTGAATCTGACAGTTATGGGTCTTGGAGTTGCTCTTTTCGAGGAGTATCTTTGTGGCGTTCTCTGTATTTCCTGAATTTTAATGTTGGCCTGCCTTGCTAGATTGGGGAAGTTCTCCTGGGTAATATTCTGCAGAGTGTTTTCCAACTTGGTTCCATTCTCCCCATCACTTTCAGTTACACCAATCCGACACAGATTTGGTCTTTTCACATAGTCCCATATTTCTTGGAGGCTTTGTTCATTTCTGTTTATTCTTATTTCTTTAAACTTCTCTTCTCACTTCATTTCATTCATTTGATCTTCCATCACTGACACCCTTTCTTCCAGTTGATCACATTGATTACTGAGGCTTGTGCATTTCTCACGTAGTTCTCATGCTGTGGTTTTCAGCTCCATCACGCCCTTTAAGGACTTCTCTGCATTGGTTATTCTAGTTAGTCATTCATCTAATTTTTTTTCAAGGTTTTTAACTTCTTTGCCATGGGTTCGAACTTCCTCCTTTAGCTCGGAGTAGTTTGACTGTCTGAAGCCTTCTCTCAACTCATCAAAGTCATTCTCCATCCAGCTTTGTTCCATTGCTGGTGAGGAGCTGCATTCCTTTGGAGGAGGAGAGGCACTCTGATTTTTAGAGTTTCCAGTTTTTCTCCTCTGTTTTTCCCCATCTTTGTGGTTTTATCTACCTTTGGTCTTTGATGATGGTGATGTACAGATGGGGTTTTGGTGTGGTTGTCCTTTCTGTTAGTTAGTTTTCCTTCTAACAGTCAGGACCCTCAGCTGCAGGTCTGTTGGAGTTTGCTGGAGGTCCACTCCAGACCCTGTTTGCCTAGGTATCAGCAGTGGAGGCTGCAGAACAGCGGATATTGGTGAACGGCAATTGTTGCTGCCTGATCGTTCTCTGGAAGTTTTGTCTCAGAGGAGTACCCGGCCGTGTGAGGTGTCAGTCTGCCCCTACTGGGGGGGTGCCTCCCATTTAGGCTACTCTGGGGCCAGGGACCCTCTTGAGGAGGCAGTCTGTCCATTCTCAGATCCCCAGCTGCATGTTGGGAGAACCACTACTCTCTTCAAAGCTGTCAGACAGGGACATTTAAGTCTGCAGAGGTTTCTGCTGCCTTTTGTTTGGCTATGCCCTGCCCCCAGAGGTGGAGTCTACAGAGGCAGGCAGGCCTCCTTGAGCTGCGGTGGGCTCCACCCAGTTCGAACTTCCTGGCCACTTTGTTTACCTACTCAAGGCTCAGTAATGGTGGGCGCCCCTCCCCCAGCCTTGCTGCCACTTTGCAGTTTGATCTCAGACTGCTGTGCTAGCAATCAGTGAGGCTCAGTGGGTGTAGGACCCTCTGAGCCATGTGCGGGATATAATCTCCTGGTGTGCAGTTTGCTAAGACCGTTGGAAAAGTGCAGTGTTAGGGTGGGAGTGACCTGATTTTTCAGGTACCGTCTCTCAGCCCTTTCTTTGACTAGGAAAGGGCATTCCCTGACCCCTTGCGCTTCCTGGGTGAGGTGATGCCTTGCCCTGCTTCAGCTCACTCTCAGTGTGCTGCACCCACTGTCCTGCACCCAGTGTCCGACACTCCCCAGTGAGATGAACCCAGGCCTCAGTTGGAAATGCAGAAATCACCCATCTTCTGTGTCACTCACACTGGGAGCTGTAGACTGGAGGTGTTCCTGTTTGGCCGTCTTGGCTCCACCCCTCTAGTATCTTAATAAAGTCTGTCCATAAACTCCAGTGAAAATGGACATTTCCATGCAACATTTGATTTTACAATTCTTTGTTTTCACATTGAGATTGCCTTCCCATTTTCCCATTTAGTCTATTTTTTGTTTGTCATCCCTTGCCTTTTGTTGAATTCTTATGCACCCTGTTTTGTGGGTATTGTCAGTTCCTCTGGCTTAGATTGTGTCAGTTTACTAATAATGACAATCTCTAGTTTGGAATAAGACTAGAAATGCTGTTAGACATGAAATAAAAGGCACTGTGGAAATTATGTTATCTCTCTCCTTGGAAAGCTTTCAACATACAGGACAGATGTGGGCTGGTTGACACAGCGTCATATTTATCAGAATAGATTCATGTTTTTGTGAGTGCTGAGCCTGCACTTGTTTTCATAATTTTCTGTTTGGTGGTTTAGTATGTATTTTATTGATATTTTTACATGCAGTCATTTTTATAATTATACTTCTCAGGGCATATTAAATTCAACAAACTTTTATTGCTTTCTTACTTCTTGTCAGGCACTGTGGAAGGTACTGTGGTTTCATGGGAACAACAAAGGTCTACTTTTTGCCTCCATCAAGTGTATGGTCTATAAATAATTCATACTAATAACATTTACGTGGTATTTCATAGTTAACCAAACACATTTATTTTTATCTTCTCATTGATCCTCATTGCACTCTGAGAGTAACAAGAGTGGGTATTAACATTCCCATTTCACAGAGGAGGAGAATGGCTTAGAGAGGTAAAGTCAGCTTCTGAAGGTCATGGCTAGTAAGAAACAGACTTAGGGCACTGAGTAGAATAAACTGTATTTTAAAAATTGTCCTACAAAAGATAATAGCCCTTAAATTCCAATAACAGCAATGTGGCCAAAGACATTTGCTTTATCATACCTCCAAATAAGTATTATTAACTTTTTGATTAAAGTAGTTTCCATCATCCACATTAAAAAAAATAGATACAGTGAAAAGAATTGCTGTAAAGGCAAGCCATTTGACACTCTCCATAAAATATTGGTTCTCAGTCGCATAGTTAAATCTTAGAAGCACTAATTTGTATGTCAGACTAATAACATAGTCCAACAGAAGATCAATTTAAATGGACATTTATTTGTTGATTTTTATTTTTAAAGAGACACCAGTAGGATAAAAACCATTTTATAAAAGAAACAGTAATCTTTTTCTTTGCTCCTTCTGGTTCCTGCTGCAATTCTGTCTGGCTCTCTCACGCTTAACACAAAGGCAGATGAAAGTCAGAATACCTCTTTATCATTGGTTGCAAGTATTGCCTTTCTTCTTCCTTTTAAAAAATACACATGATTATTTTAATTAAGAAATTTATTCACATGTAGTTCATGAGACTTTTACATAACGTCATCACTGCAGGTGATCAGCAAACATATGAAAAATATCCAGTACTTTAAAGGAGAAAGAGGTGCTAAAGCTTTTCAAATTATTTTTCTTACCTCTGTGCAGCATTTGACATTCTTAACCACTTTTCTCTTGAAGTTCTCTCGTCCCTTAAATTCTACAACTCTGCATTGCATAATTCTCTTCTTAGCTTCAATTCTCTGATTTTTTCACTTTGCTCATGCTTTCAAAGGTAGTAATACCTTGAACTTGTATTCTTAGGCCTTTTCTGATGGATTTCATCTTCTGATATTATATCTACCTTCACGATTTCATCAGTCACTTAATATGAATAACTCCTTAAATTACATATTTAGTTTTGAATTATCTGTTAAACCCAGTTCACCAAAATATCTGCTGGATAGTATCATCTCACATACTATTACTGGTAATTTGGTATTTTAAAACTGACATTTTACCCTCAAATTTTTTTCACTAAGTGGATGTTTGTCTCCCTTTCTTTCTGTTGGCTATCCTCTTAATCCTCCGGTCTGAAAACTCAGATTTCAACCTACATTTATCCTCCTCCCTGTGCCCCCTTATTTTTAAAGCTATAATATTAATTTCTAAGTCCTGCCAATTTCATTTGTAAATCATAATTCTTTTTGTTTGTTTTATTTACATTGCCACCACCAGATGCTGTGTTATAAGTGTTAGATATATTTTCTAAAACATGCTTACTATCAGTCTGACCATGAGCAAAAGTGTCAGTATCCCTTAATAAGTCAAAAGTCTGATGGGCAAATCTGACTGTAATCTCTCTATGTAACCTTTCCTCACTTATTCAGCTGATACCCCAGTTTAAGTTTTATATTTTGTTCTGGGTGGACATTTTGTCCCATCTTGGTTCTATGGTTCTACCCATGCCATTTCCTCAAGAAAGGACTCCTCCTCTCCTTCCAATCAAATGATAGGAACTACATGAATCTTTAACAGCTCATTTTATTTCCTATATTCTGTGTAAGTCACCACTGATTATTCAGAATCTTTCTTGCTTCTATTTTTCTATAGTAAATCATTTGTCATTCTGCATATAAAAACTTAAAAATTTAATTGTCTTTTATATATAAGTGTTTCCAATTTTCTCAACTGATTTACAAGCTGCTTATTATCAGGGATTATATCCTATCTCTTCTTGCAGCTGCTACAATAACTACTTTAAATGACTTTAGGCAGTCAATAATTGATTGGTTACATATAAAGAAAACAAATTCTTATACAAATTATTTTATATAAATAAGTTTATGCATGCTTTTAAAGATAATTATGAAGAATATGCATTGTAATAATTGCTCATGAATGGGTTGCAACTGTTTCACGCACTCAATAAACTAAGATCAAAAACCCGTTAATCAGCTTCAATTAGTTTGGCAGTCAATAAAGCCCAAAACAGATGACAAACAAATACACTGTTCCAGTGTCTGACACTCTAATCCCAGGCCCAGCTTTCTCCAGGCTGCATCCATTCACTGCTCTTTCTTCTAAATGGGACAATCATCAAGGGAAGATAAACTAACTTACTTGGGGACATAAAATAACAAAAATAAAAGCCCACCTTATGTAAGAGTTGAGCAGCAGTGGCCTGATGGTGGCAGCAATTTTATATATACATAAAACTGAGCCCAGTATATTTTAATCAGATTGGCTTAATGGCCATCAGCAAGCTTCCATAGTGTGTGTTCATGACTGCCTCTTTCTCCCCTTTGTTTGTAAATTCTGGAGACCAGGAGATTTTGAATGCTCTGTGCTTAGCAATTTTGTGTCCATAGCTTGGGTGCAAAATGTATTCATACATCTTTTTTTCCTTAGTGCACAGTATGTGTTTTTTGGCTGTATAAATGTCTTCTTTTGAGAAGTGTCTGTTCATATCCTTTGCCCACTTGTTGATGGGGTTGTTTTTTTTCTCATAAATTTGTTTGAGTTCATTGTGGATTCTCTATATTAGCCCTTTGTCAGATGAGTAGGTTGCAAAAATTTTCTCCCATTCTGTAGGTTGCCTGTTCACTCTGATGGTAGTTTCTTTTGCTGTGCAGAAGCTCTTTAGTTTAATTAGATTCCATTTGTCGATTTTGGCTTTTGTTGCCATTGCTTTTGGTGTTTTAGACATGAAGTCCTTGCCCATGCCTATGTCTTGAATGGTATTGCCTAGGTTTTCTTCTAGGGTTTTTATGGTTTTAGGTCTAACGTTTAAGTCTTTAATCCATCTTGAATTAATTTTTGTATAAGGTGTAAGAAAGTTTCAGCTTTGTACATATGGCTAACCAGTTTTCCCAGCACCATTTATTAAATAGGGAATCCTTTCCCCATTGCTTGTTTTTGTCAGTTTTGTCAAAGATCAGATAGTTGTACTGGTACCAAAACAGAGATATAGACCAATGGAACAGAACAGAGCTCTCAGAAATAATGCTGCATATCTACAACTATTAGCATCTATTTTCAAACTTAGGAAAGACTGAAGCAAAAGAATAGGTGATTATCTGTTGGCTTTCTATGTGGTATGAATAATTCCTGAAGCTCATGATTCAATTTTCAGTAGAATGTATTTATATTTAGATTTCAGAAAGAAACTCTAACTGTAGTGCTTGACAGTTTAGGAACCAGTAATTAGGAAACTCAGACACTTTCCTTCTGGAAAATCATTTGAAATCAAGAAGATTCACCATTTCCTCCCCCATATTAGGGGCTGTTAGCTTGGAGGGCACTAGCTGATTGAGATACTCTTTCTTTGGGGCCCTCCTAGTCTTACAGTTTCTTAATTCCAGTATTTTTATTTCTAAAGATGAGGTTTCCATCAGAAAATGATATCTGGATGACGCCTTGTCGCCGAAGCAAGCTGGGTTTCCTGTTTGTTTTCAGATGGAACACTAATAGGCTGAAACAAGGATGAATCCAATGAGATACTGGGACAGGACACATAAGGATGTACTTGCCTGACCCTGAGAGTGAGTGTCTCCTTACATTTTGTCCCCTGTCCACTTCATTTGCCTCAGTCTAGACCTGGCATCTCTAGTTAGGTAATTGTTATCTTTGAGCTTTAACCATAGGGAAATTAATATATGTGCTGCTGAAGCAAGCACCTACCATGGGGGGAATTAAAATTATTCTGAAAATGACAGAGATGACGTATTTGGCTGGGACATTCGCGCTTCTGCTGTTCAACTAGGGCTCTCATGAGTTTGACACAAAGCTTTTGTTAAAACTGTCTTTGGAACCATTCTGCTCCGGGTAATGTGGCCCCTGACTCAGAGTTTTGGGGACAGAAGATAAACTGACAGTGGCCATCCAGACCTCAACACCCTCAGCTGCTGGTCCCTTGGGGTATTTCACTACAAGCTTTAATGACGTGCCATCCTCTGGAGTCCTAGATCAGCACTTGCAGGCAACTTGACTCACGTTTATTCATATCTCTGCTCATATATTTCCACTTCAGAGGTGGAGAAGCGTCCCTATCATCTTGCTAATATATTGCTTACAGTCACTCCCTATCTATCTTTTAGCCTGCCTTATTTTTCTTCAGAGCACAAATATTGATGAAGAAAGTTCAAGTAATTGCCTATTTTCTCCACTCTGAGTTAGCTCAATGAGAGCAAAAATTTTGTCTGTTTTGTTCTCTGTAGTATCCTCCAAATATAGCAAGATTTGCTGGCACCGAGTAGGCACTCAACAAATATTAAAAGTTAAAATAAGCAAATGTATCTGTAAACAATGCATTTTCTCACAACACTGATTCTCAAAATTGATGGTAATGAGAATCATTTAGTGAGTGGTAATAGTAGTGGAAGAGACAGTAACTTTTAGAATGTGGATTTCCAGACCCATCCCTCTAAATCCTGGGTCCTCAATGAGGGGCGATTTTTCCTTGCGGGAACAATTGGCAGTGTCTGGAGATATTTTTTCTTGTCACTACAGGTGTGTGCGTGTGTATGTCTCTGTGTGTGTGTTTGTATTCCTGGCATCTAGTGAGTAGAGGCCAGGGATTCTGCTAAATATCCTACGAAGCACAGGATAGCCCCTAGGAATTTTCCAGTCCTAAATGTAAAAAGGGCCATGGTCGAGAAACTCTGCTCTAGATTCTAATTTGGTAGGTAAAGTGGGACATTAGATTTTGCATTTTTAACATGTACTCTGAATGATCTGATACAGATGATTCATGGACTCTCAAAATACCATCATCTTCTTTGAATAATTAATTTATTTCTCTGTGGTTCAATCTCATGAGAACATTATTAGGTACACAGAACATTCGATTAAAACATCTAGTATTTTGCACCAATATGCATGATTCTTGTTGATATAAAATAGTTAAAATGAACTTCATGGAGCACCGTCATGACTTATTATTACCAGCGGGAAGCAAGCCAGGGTTAACACCCTCCCTGTCTAGTCAAGTCTTACAGGCTTGTCAGCACCATTGTCAAGGTCTATGCCTACACAATTACCGCATGCAGTCTGCTTTACTGTCCCACAAAAGAAAAGCACTATAGCAGATAACTGCTTCCAGGATCCCTGCTGTCAGAGAAAATAAACAAGTTATAACTTCTCCATGGTCCTGCTACCGAGCATTTTCAATGGTGCCGATTGTGGCTTCATTTGGGCGTTAACATGTTGTTTCTCTCCAGCAAATGGTCCAGCTAACTTTTGACCTTATCTTAGGTCATGTCATATTGATTTCTGACTGAAGTCACTGTTGGAAGATAAGCCTTTACCCTCCCCCACTACACAACTTAATACTACTCTCAATACGCTAATAACATCTAAATAATTTTTGGTGGGCGAGTGAAGTAACATTTCGTATTTTGTGCAATGCATAGCGTCAGCCATTGAAGAGGACATCTTTAGCAGGGTACCCAGCAGGCTGTTAGTCTCCTTGCTCCTGCAATACCATAATCTCAACCGTACCCCCTCTACTTGTTGCTTTACCTACCATTTACAACCACAGCTTCCTTCACTGACCCAAGCTAGGAACCTCTATGCCTCCTTCTTCTACTTACCTGATTTAATTACCTTATATAGTTGTTTCTATTTTTATCATATGGCCCATATCCATTCCCTATTCACCATCTCTGTTTCTGTTTAACCCTTGAAAACCTGTTCCAATATTATAGCTGCTCTCTGTTTAGTCTCCCTTCTACTTTTATCTCTCAACTACCTTTCAATCTACCTTCTGATCTATTTCTGTTTTTCTTTTGGAAATAACTGTTATTATGCAATCCAGTACATATAATTCATAAATGACCACTTACTGTCTATGGAAAAAATGCAAAATCTTCAGATTAACAATAAAGACTCTTCATAACTTGGGCTCTACCTCCTCCTGCTACATCATAAATTGCTTCTCTAGTATTGTAACAAAATTGTACAACTTAATAAGACGTACTCTTTCACATCTCTGCTTTTTCCTGTTTTTGTTTTTTTTTTTGTTTGTTTGTTTGTTTGGCATGGAGTGTACTCTTTTCTCTGATCCTTTATTAGAGAAACTCTTATTTTTACTGAGAGATAAATCTCAAATTAGAAAACATCTAAAAAGTGTTCTTTAATCTCCCTGGACCAGATATAACAGGTGAGTTTCCCTAGGAAGCACACTCTAACACAGAGACTTGCATGTAGGAAGTTTATTGGGGATGTGTCCTTAGAATCGATACTTGTGTAGGTGGAAGGGCAGAAAGGAAACAGTACTGTCCAGAGAGAAGTTGAATTATGATGCAGTCACAACAAAGGGCTCAGCCATTTCTATGAGAAGCTCTGGAGCTAGCATGACCCTTCAGGGTTTTTCTGAATTGGGACAAGGGGACTGGGCCTTTATGCCTCAATACTGAGAAGTGACTGTATGTGGACTGTGCCAGGAAGAAATGTGACATGGGCAAGCCCCAGGGCAAGTTTTAGAGAGGGACTCAGCTGGGAGCTGTAGATAACTCATATTTTATCAGCTGAGGGAATAAGTCCCTTCAGTCCTTAAAGCAGAGACTGGGAGGACCTGAAAGCAGAATGCCATAGCATCCACCATACCAGAGGTACCCATGCCTCCTGCTCAGACCTTTATTATAGAACTTGGCAGTTTGCACAATGGCTACTTGTTCCCATTTCC
This sequence comes from Homo sapiens, assembly GCF_000001405.40. Lineage (NCBI taxonomy): Eukaryota > Metazoa > Chordata > Mammalia > Primates > Hominidae > Homo > Homo sapiens. The sequence continues at coordinate 34,568,978 of NC_000002.12, forward strand.
TGTTCACCACACTAGGCTGTTTTTGAATGAGTGAGTTTGGGAGTTGGGCTTATGGATCAGGAGAAGGTGTGGTATGCATCCCAATGCAGTAAAAGTAGCTTGTGCTAGCCCTACCTTCATTCAGTATAAAAATGTAACTACTTCTATATAACCGATGGATAGCATTGATCTACATATTTGATTACTAGTTTTAAATAAGATTGGCTTCTGTTTCCCAATAATTAAAAATGTGATTAAAACTCCACAAAGCTTTCAATAGGTGATATTTATGTTTCTCCTTAATAAAAGAATTAGCTTTTTAATAACATTAGTAGAATACTAGTGTGCACTTATGAGAAAGAGACACTTTGTCATACAAAAATTTGGGCAAAAGAATGGAAAATAATATTAGATGCCTTTAGTGCCTCGAAACATACTTAGATTCCCTCTTGCTTCTATAAGAAAACATTATTACACGATCAAAGACATATATTGAAAGAAAAAAGCTGTGGCTTTTGAATGCAGCTCATTTAGTTCTGTTCATTAGATGCTAAAGTATAATTAGTTCATTATTATGAATGAAACTGTTCAGGAAATGTAACAGAGTTTTCATAGAAATATATTTAGCATAGCATGCAATTAGTAATTTACGGTTTATACTATTCATCATCAGTCAGTTGATGTCAACATTAAAATTTCATCTTGAACACTGCCTGGCTTCTCTTTGTTTAACTTTAAACTTGAAAGTTAAATTTTAGATGTTTTATTCCTAATTATTAAGTTTTAAGCAAATGATTATATAACTATGAGGTACCAAAGTATTTATGGCCTGAAGCTCAGAAATAATTTGACAAACCAAGGGACACCTGGAGCTACCAGAAACTGGAAGAAGCAAGGAAGGATTCTCCCCAGAACCTTCAAAGAGATACCGTGACACCTTAATTTTGGACTTCTGGCTTCCAGAACTGTAAGAGAATAAATTTGTTAAGTCCTAGGAAATGAATACAGATTTCTATGCCCTCCTAAATGATTGTTTTTAAATAATTAATCAATACTTATTTATACAACTTCCCTCTGTGATATTTGAGGGTTTGGGGGCTTAGAGATCAACCAGCTCTATGTTAACAAGTTTTGGGGCTGCTAGATCCCAGAAAGCCAGCGTACACTTGCTGGGCTCGCTGTAGCACCCAGGGAAACTGAAGCAGCCTGGCACAGGTTTTTACATTGGATGAAACAGAATTCAGGTTTGTAGTGAGTTCTTACAATTTTATGTTGCCTCAGCATCCATTTTAAATATAGATTGGATTTTCTCATATCAGAACTGGGGCTTAGTCACCCTTCAGTTTCCAGTTCTCCACCTTCTCCCAGTTCCTAAAGGTGGTCGACCCAGATATCTGCCTTATAAAACTGCCTCCTGGTGACCATCTCCCTATGGGACAGCTAGATACAACCTATACGACTTGCCCCATTGACCCCCACACGCTGCATGGACTGAGCAGATAGGCTGCAGTGACCACCCCTCAGTTACAGCGTGACTCCATGGAGCTCCTGTCTGCTTGCTCTAAATCTACCAATTAGAACTCTCCAAAGGAAACCTTTGTGGGTGACACCCTGGATCCCAATAAAGCCTCTGGCCCATAGGTCTCTCGCTTTCTTTCTCTTGCTCTCCACCTTCTGGTTGGGCTCACATGTCCAGAGCAGCTTCCCTTTCCCATAGGCTCTACGAGGTCTGCTGCCCTCTTCTGTCTGTGATTTGTAAGCAATACTGTTTCTGTTACTTCATGTGTTTTGCTGTGCTGCCTCTTCTGTGTCTCACCTGACCCGCACTCCCAAACTTAACTCTCCTCCTGGTCAGGGCTCCCCTAGAGGGTGGCTACCTTGGTAGGAATAAACTGGACATAGGTCAAAAAATAGCTGTAAAGGTGTCTGCCAGGATGAAAAAGTTTTCTGTGCAAGGCATACCTGGTCATGGATGAGACACTTATGCATTAGGCCATCCACCAGAAAGAAAAAGTGTCCCATGAAAGACACGTTGTGAATATCCATGATCACATCCCCTGGAGCCCCATCAGGGCAGGGCTATAATTATACCCACTTTCAAAAGAGACCTCAAGACCAAATCACAGGAAGTATACAAGGCTGTTTGTAAATCTCATCCACAAACTGGGACCCCACATTTTTCTCCTTCAAAACAAAGTTCTCCACACTTTGATTAAGAATACTTAGCTCTGCCGGGTGCCATGGCTCATGCCTGTAATCCCAGCACTTTGGGAGGCTGAGGCAGGCGGATCGCGAGGTCAGGAGATCAAGACCATCCTGGGTAACACAGTGAAACCCCGTCTCTACTAAAAATACAAAAAATTAGCCGGGTGTGGTGGTGGGCACCTGTAGTCCCAGTTACTCGGGAGGCTGAGGCAGGAGAATGGTGTGAACATGGGAGGCGGAGCTTGCAGTGAGCCGAGATGGCGCTACTGCACTCCAGCCTGGGTGACAGAGCGAGACTCCGTCTCAAAAAAAAAAAAAAAAAAAAAAAAGCTCAAGTGTTTTATTTTAGAGGTGAAGAAATTAAAACTCTTAAGCTGTAAATATGTATCCACAGTAACACCACGGTTAATTTTGGGCCCATGTATTCGGGTTCTTACTACTTTCTACACCCCATTGGCCCATTGGTTAGGAGGACAATTAAGTCTGATACTGAAACATAAACATTGGTAGCTCAATCAAGTATAATCACTTATATTTGGAAAACAATATTTGTAAATGTGTATTTACATTTATCTTTACACGTTTTCTACTTTCAAACTTTATGATGTTAACTGCGACACTATGAAGATTAACAAAACACGTAGATTACCCTTTACACACTCTACATTTTTGCTACAATCATGATATTTAATCATTATAATAACTTCAGATAAAGTCATTTTCCCAAAGTAAATGGCAGGGCTGGAACTCAAACATTTACTTTCTAGCTCCCAGCCCATTTTTTTCCCTACTGGAATAGCAGCAAAATGTAGTACAAGTAGGGTGACCATGTAATTAATTGTTAAAAGCTGGGTCATTTTAAGAGTGAAGGAAGCATTATTTATAAATACACTGGGACAAGTGGTGTAAACCAGGACTATGCTGATGAAACAGAATATAAAAAATAAGAAGTCTGGGAGATTACTTCGTTTCTTTTAAGCTGAATTTTGAACATTACAAAATTGTAATTTTGTAATTACATTGAACCCGCCAACGTCCTAGTATGTAATGCAGTTCTGATTAAGAAAAAGGCATCTCTTTAAGTTATGCACTGGAGCATTCACTCTCAACACTGTGGTGGAAGCAACAATGCATGCCAAGATAGAGCGTACTACAAATATTTGTAAGAATACCTTGAGTGCTCCTTGAGAAATCAGACTTAATGGGAGATACCCATAATTTTTTTTAGGTTAACTCAAGATGTGGTCCTCTCAGTAGCTATGCATTTTGTAAAGTTCTTGCTCTCTTCTTCCAGCACAGTTGGGCTGATTTTCCTTTGTGATTCTTAAATCCTTCATGCATACCTTTTTAGAGTACTGAATTTATTATACTGTATTTTTTTAAAAAAATTATTATGTTTTGCTGTGCAGAAGCTCTTTAGTTTAATTAGATCCCATTTGTCAATTTTGTCTTTTGTTGCCATTGCTTTTGGTGTTTTGGACATGAAGTCCTTGCCCACGCCTATGTCCTGAATGGTAATGCCTAGGTTTTCTTCTAGGGTTTTTATGGTTTTAGGTTTAACGTTTAAATCTTTAATCCATCTTGAATTGATTTTTGTATAAGGTGTAAGGAAGGGATCCAGTTTCAGCTTTCTACATATGGCTAGCCAGTTTTCCCAGCACCATTTATTAAATAGGGAATCCTTTCCCCATTGCTTGTTTTTCTCAGGTTTGTCAAAGATCAGATAGTTGTAGATATGCGGCATTATTTCTGAGGGCTCTGTTCTGTTCCATTGATCTATATCTCTGTTTTTGTACCAGTACCATGCTGTTTTGGTTACTGTAGCCTTGTAGTATAGTTTGAAGTCAGGTAGTGTGATGCCTCCAGCTTTGTTCTTTTGGCTTAGGATTGACTTGGCAATGCGGGCTCTTTTTTGGTTCCATATGAACTTTAAAGTAGTTTTTTCCAATTCTGTGAAGAAAGTCATTGGTAGCTTGATGGGGATGGCATTGAATCTGTAAATTACCTTGGGCAGTATGGCCATTTTCACGATATTGATTCTTCCTACCCATGAGCATGGAATGTTCTTCCATTTATTTGTCTCCTCTTTTATTTCCTTGAGCAGTGGTTTGTAGTTCTCCTTGAAGAGGTCCTTCACATCCCTTGTAAGTTGGATTCCTAGGTATTTTATTCTCTTTGAAGCAATTGTGAATGGGAGTTCACCCATGATTTGGCTCTCTGTTTGTCTGTTGTTGGTGTATAAGAATGCTTGTGATTTTTGTACATTGATTTTGTATCCTGAGACTTTGCTGAAGTTGCTTATCAGCTTAAGGAGATTTTGGGCTGAGACGATGGGGTTTTCTAGATAAACAATCATGTCATCTGCAAACAGGGACAATTTGACTTCCTCTTTTCCTAATTGAATACCCTTTATTTCCTTCTCCTGCCTGATTGCCCTGGCCAGAACTTCCAACACTATGTTGAATAGGAGCGGTGAGAGAGGGCATCCCTGTCTTGTGCCGGTTTTCAAAGGGAATGCTTCCAGTTTTTGCCCATTCAGTATGATATTGGCTGTGGGTTTGTCATAGATAGCTCTTATTATTTTGAAATACATCCCATCAATACCTAATTTATTGAGAGTTTTTAGCATGAAGGGTTGTTGAATTTTGTCAAAGGCTTTTTCTGCATCTATTGAGATAATCATGTGGTTTTTGTCTTTGGCTCTGTTTATATGCTGGATTACATTTATTGATTTGCGTATATTGAACCAGCCTTGCATCCCAGGGATGAAGCCCACTTGATCATGGTGGATAAGCTTTTTGATGTGCTGCTGGATTCGGTTTGCCAGTATTTTATTGAGGATTTTTGCATCAATGTTCATCAAGGATATTGGTCTAAAATTCTCTTTTTTGGTTGTGTCTCTGCCCGGCTTTGGTATCAGAATGATGCTGGCCTCATAAAATGAGTTAGGGAGGATTCCCTCTTTTTCTATTGATTGGAATAGTTTCAGAAGGAATGGTACCAGTTCCTCCTTGTACCTCTGGTAGAATTCGGCTGTGAATCCATCTGGTCCTGGACTCTTTTTGGTTGGTAAACTATTGATTATTGCCACAATTTCAGAGCCTGTTATTGGTCGATTCAGAGATTCAACTTCTTCCTGGTTTAGTCTTGGGAGAGTGTATGTGTCGAGGAATGTATCCATTTCTTCTAGATTTTCTAGTTTATTTGCGTAGAGGTGTTTGTAGTATTCTCTGATGGTAGTTTGTATTTCTGTGGGATCGGTGGTGATATCCCCTTTATCATTTTTTATTGTGTCTATTTGATTCTTCTCTCTTTTTTTCTTTATTAGTCTTGCTAGCAGTCTATCAATTTTGTTGATCCTTTCAAAAAACCAGCTCCTGGATTCATTGATTTTTTGAAGGGTTTTTTGTGTCTCTATTTCCTTCAGTTCTGCTCTGATTTTAGTTATTTCTTGCCTTCTGCTAGCTTTTGAATGTGTTTGCTCTTGCTTTTCTAGTTCTTTTAATTGTGATGTTAGGGTGTCAATTTTGGATCTTTCCTGCTTTCTCTTGTAGGCATTTAGTGCTATAAATTTCCCTCTACACACTGCTTTGAATGCGTCCCAGAGATTCTGGTATGTGGCGTCTTTGTTCTCGTTGGTTTCAAAGAACATCTTTATTTCTGCCTTCATTTCGTTATGTACCCAGTAGTCATTCAGGAGCAGGTTGTTCAGTTTCCATGTAGTTGAGCGGCTTTGAGTGAGATTCTTAATCCTGAGTTCTAGTTTGATTGCACTGTGGTCTGAGAGATAGTTTGTTATAATTTCTGTTCTTTTACATTTGCTGAGGAGAGCTTTACTTCCAACTATGTGGTCAATTTTGGAATAGGTGTGGTGTGGTGCTGAAAAAAATGTATATTCTGTTGATTTGGGGTGGAGAGTTCTGTAGATGTCTATTAGGTCTGCTTGGTGCAGAGCTGAGTTCAATTCCTGGGTATCCTTGTTGACTTTCTGTCTCGTTGATCTGTCTAATGTTGACAGTGGGGTGTTAAAGTCTCCCATTATTAATGTGTGGGAGTCTAAGTCTCTTTGTAGGTCACTGAGGACTTGCTTTATGAATCTGGGTGCTCCTGTATTGGGTGCATAAATATTTAGGATAGTTAGCTCCTCTTGTTGAATTGATCCCTTTACCATTATGTAATGGCCTTCTTTGTCTCTTTTGATCTTTGTTGGTTTAAAGTCTGTTTTGTCAGAGACTAGGATTGCAACCCCTGCCTTTTTTTGTTTTCCATTGGCTTGGTAGATCTTCCTCCATCCTTTTATTTTGAGCCTATGTGTGTCTCTGCACGTGAGATGGGTTTCCTGAATACAGCACACTGATGGGTCTTGACTCTTTATCTAACTTGCCAGAGTGAACAGGCAACCTACAACATGGGAGAAAATTTTTGCAACCTACTCATCTGACAAAGGGCTAATATCCAGAATCTACAATGAACTCAAACAAATTTACAAGAAAAAAACAAACAACCCCATCAAAAAGTGGGCGAAGGACATGAACAGACACTTCTCAAAAGAAGACATTTATGCAGCCAAAAAACACATGAAGAAATGCTCATCATCACTGGCCATCAGAGAAATGCAAATCAAAACCACTATGAGATATCATCTCACACCAGTTAGAATGGCAATCATTAAAAAGTCAGGAAACAACAGGTGCTGGAGAGGATGCGGAGAAATAGGAACACTTTTACACTGTTGGTGGGACTGTAAACTAGTTCAACCATTGTGGAAGTCAGTGTGGCGATTCCTCAGGGATCTAGAACTAGAAATACCATTTGACCCAGCCATCCCATTACTGGGTATATACCCAAATGAGTATAAATCATGCTGCTATGAAGACACATGCACACGTATGTTTATTGCGGCACTATTCACAATAGCAAAGACTTGGAACCAACCCAAATGTCCAACAATGATAGACTGGATTAAGAAAATGTGGCACATATACACCATGGAATACTATGCAGCCATAAAAAATGATGAGTTCATATCCTTTGTAGGGACATGGATGAAATTGGAAACCATCATTCTCAGTAAACTATCGCAAGAACAAAAAACCAAACACCGCATATTCTCACTCATAGGTGGGAATTGAACAATGAGATCACATGGACACAGGAAGGGGAATATCACACTCTGGGGACTGTGGTGGGGTCGGGGGAGGGGGGAGGGATAGCATTGGGAGATATACCTAATGCTAGATGACACATTAGTGGGTGCAGCGCACCAGCATGGCACATGTATACATATGTAACTAACCTGCACAATGTGCACATGTACCCTAAAACTTAGAGTATAATAAAAAAAAAAAAAAAAAATTATTATGTTTTAATTTTTCATGGCTGTGTCCCTCTGCCCCAGTAGAATGTATATCTTATCACTCTGTGCGGTCCTCGGCACAAAGTGTCAGTTGCTTACCATAGCTAAACTGGATGGGGAAATATTACTATGACCAGGAGAGGGACACAGAAGAACACAGACTTATCTTTCTCAAAATAGAGAAAGAGAAAAAAAAAAGAATCATGTTAATCGCTTGAAGGACTTACACAAAATTTGGCATGCTTAATTTAACAATATCAATAAACATGAAAACAACAGTTACATCTATGTGTATGGTATGTGTCAGATACTGTTTAAAGATGCCTTCACACTGCTTGGACACTAAGAAGCAAACCCATCTTAACATGATTTCACTCTTTCATAGCCTTTGTTAGCATAACTTTCCTACTTCAAAAGACTCTTGCAGGAAGATAAAGGTTCCAAAGGACTATTTTTTATTACAGGATTTCTCAAGACCCATTACCTTTTCAATCGAAATCATCAACAAATTACTGCCTAGGATTCATGACTCACTCTCTCTTCAAAATATTCTCCTTACTGTTTTCACCAATCCTAAACTATCATTATTCTCAGCCAGTCCTCATAAAGATCCTCACTGAAAAAACCTCCTTTCACCTAGACTGCAAAATTTCAGTAAGTCAGACTTTGTCCTTTCCACTTTAAGATGCTATCAGACTCTGCCAATGTGCTGTTCTCCTGAGTAAGTCATAGTCTCAGCTTTGCTTCATTAAAAGTTTATAAACAGCTTTTGCTGTTCTGGGGAGCTTTCAGCAAGCACTTCACCTATAAATAACTTAACTCTCACAGCAACCCCATGAGGTTTAATGTATTATTATTTACATTTTACAGAAGCGACCTAAGCCCAAAGTTACACAGTAAGTAGGTGGGAGAGCTGAAATTTGAATCCAGGCTGTCTAGCCCCATGGCCAGTATATCTGTATTAAATTCCTGGGAGTCATTTAAAAACTACTATAATTGACTTCATTTGGAAGAAATTTCAAAACATTACAATAAATAAAAACATTTCAAAAAAACTACAAGTAAAAATGCAATATTGTATTATTTACAATACATAAATCACTTATTTCTCTGTTCACTTGTTCTGTGTTCTTTCTCCATCTAAAGGAGCAATGATAAACATACTGGCATTTACAATGGTCATGATGCAGGAAGAGTGTCTTAATTCCTAAAAACTTTCTGGCCTTTGAAAAATAACCACTGCATTTATAACCCCCGAATGGCCACAGTAGGTATACATGAATTTCAACTTGAATTTATACTTCTAGGGAAAGATAATAATCAGTTACTAATTTGTTAACAATACTTCTGGAGTAAAAGTCCATGGATAATCAAATGGGGGTGAAAGAAAGGAATTCTCTAAGTGGGTTTTGTTGGGAATTGTCAAAGGTAGGAAGAAATAGGAATATGGATTCTGGAGAGAAAATGTGTAAGGCTAGATTCCTGTCCTGATGACTGTTATACTTGATTTGAATAAAAATGTTTATCCTAGTGCAATAAAGAAAACTTGAATGGCTTACTAATGTTATATGTGATGGATTCAAGGCCCTATATTATGCCAACAACCTAGAAGAATGTGGCAAAACTGACAAAAATTTGCATACAAAAATATAAACTCTGGCTTTTAGATCTGAAAAATAAATTATGTTGAATGCTTTCTAACAACTAAAGCTGATTTACAGTGAATTAGTCAGCCTCAAAATACAGTGAGTCCTCCAATACAAATATTTAAATAGAACATAGGTGGACCTCTTTCTGGAATATTGTATGACAATCATATATAATAACATCTAAAGGTCTTTCTAATTCCTAAATCCATGTTATAGATGTACCAATGTATTTTGGTAGATCTAAGCCATGCATTCAAACTTCAGTAATGTAGCATTTAGTCATTTCTCAATTTACATATCTTACCAGTAAATATTTTTTGGGTGCTGCCTAGAGGATTTGGCAAATCCCTTTTCCCTACTTATATACTTGCGCATATGACTTTGGGCATGTCCAGATGTCCAAAAAAAGGAGACCTGGAGAGAAAATTTATTACAGACTTTGGAGTTAGAAGGCTGGTCTCTGCATCAGAGGTTGCAGAAGAAAGGGAAGATTGGTTTTAATTTCCTGATGTGTCTGAGATTAGATCTTGTCCCTCCGTAACCTTCATGTCAGAATTGACTGTCTGAGTGAATCCAAGATTTCAACTATTTGGAGTGTAGTTGACTTACTATGAGTCACCCTTGAGTAAGCCTGACTGTGGAATAGGAGCCTTTACACTTGACCCTAAGGTTGTTCTGAGCAGTGGTTGTGATAGTAATAGCGTTAGGAGTATCAGTGATTGGAGGGGGTGACTCAACCAGGGATGCTGCAATTCCAGAATAAAGCATCTCAACTTTGAATTTAACAGTGGTAGCATTGTCAAAGCAAGTCACCTTTAGATGACTTAGAGGGCATTAAACCATGATGGCCAGATCAAGGGCTGTTATGCTATAGGGCAAAACCACTTTGGGGCTAACACATTTTTATTTCTTGGCCACCAAAATCCTAGGCATCTGCCATCCAGCACTGATACGGCTTTAAAAAAACTTTTCTGTATTTGAAACTTTTTTATTTAAGTGAGCATAGAAAGCTGAAAAAAATGCTCTTTTGGCTCTTTAAGAAGCAAGCGTGTGTTGGTACATTATTTCTCTCTTTTTTAAAAAAGTTTATTATTGTAAATAATATTATTCTTATTTTTATTGGTGTACAGTACAATTAAAACCTCAATAGACTTGTTTAACTATCACCACTGAGCACTTCCATCTCCCCCCAAAACTCTTTCCTCATCCCTAACCTCTGATTTCCACTGATTTGCTCTCATCCCCTGCTTTTGCCTTTCCAGGCAGTCAAATAAATGGAATCACATATGTGAACTTTTCAGACTGGCTTCTTTCACTCAGCATAATAGTTTTGAGATTCATTTATGTTATTGTGTGTATCAATATTCCCTTCTGATGTTTTATTGCTGGGTGGTATTCTATTGTATAAATATAACACCTTTTGTTTACTCACGCATTCTTCGAAGATATTAGGGTTATTTCCAGCTTGAGGCTATTGCAATAATGCTGGTATAAACATTTGTGCAGAGGTTTCATGTAAACATACATTTTCATTGCTCTAGGGCAAATATCTAGGTGTAGAATTGTAGGTCATATAATAAGTGTCTTTAACTTTAAAATAATATATGAGTTATGAGTAATACGCTACAAGCAAAGGCAACCAAAGTGAAATGGACAAATGAGATCACATGAAGTTAAAAAGCTTCTGCACAGCAAAGGAAACAATCAACAAAGTGAAGAGATAATCCACAGAATGGGAGAAAATATTTGCAAAGTATCCATCTGACAAAGGATTAATAACCAGAATATATAAGGAGCTCAAACAACTCCAGAGGAAAAAATAAAACCTAATAATCTAATTTAAAAATGGGCAAGAGATGTGAATAGACATTTCTCAAAAGAAGTCATACAAATAGCAAACAGGCATATAAAAAGGTGCTCAACATTATTAATCATCAGAGAAATGTAAATCAAAAATGAGATATCATCTCACCCCATTTAAAAATGCCTTTTATCCAAAAGGATAACAAATGCTGGCAAGGATGTGGACAAAAGGGGACATTGGTACACTGTTGGTGGGAATGTAAATTAGTACAAGTACTGTGGAGAACAATTTGGAAGTTCCTCAAGAAACTAAAAATAGAGCTACTACATGATCCAGCATTCCCACTGCTAGGTATATACCTCAAAGAAAGTATGAAGAGATATATGAACTCCCATGTTTGTTGCAGCACTATTCGCACAGCCAAAATTTAGAAGCAACCTCAGTGTTCATCAATAGACAAACAGATAAATAAAATGTGGTACGTATACACAATGGAACACTATTCATCCGTAAGAAAGAGTGAGATCTTGTCATATGCAGCAACATGGCTGGAACTGGAGGTCATTGTGTTTAGTGAAATAAGCCGGGCACAGAAAGACATACTTCACATGTTCTCACTTATTTGTGGGAGCTAAAAATTAAAACTATTGAACTCATGGATATAGAGAGTAGAATAGTGGTTACCAGAGGCTGAGAAAGGGTAATTGGTGGGGGAGAGGGGCTGGTTAATGGGTACGTAGATATAGTTGATGGGTACATAGATGTAGTACATAGATACGTACTACATAGATGTATAGAATGAATATAACCTAGTATTTGACAACACAACAGAGTGACTACAGTCAACAATAATTTATTGTTGATTTTAAAATGAATAAAAGACTGTAAATGGATTATTTGTAACACATAGAAATGATAAATAATGATAAATGCTTGAGACGATGGTTACCCCATTTACCCTGGTGTGATTATTATGCATTTTATACCTGTATCTAATATCTCATGTACCTCTTAAATATATACACCTACTATGTATCCACAATAATTAAAAATCAAAAAATTAAAAAGAAAATACAGTGAAATATATTTTTATAAGAAATGGACTGACATCATTTTGCATTCCCATGAGAGTTCCAGTTGTCTTGCATCGTCAACAAAACTTGAGATTATCAGTGTCGTTTTCCACTCTAAGTAGGTGCATAGTAGAATCTCATTGTGGTTTTATTTTGCATATTTCTAGTACTTAATGACATTGAACTTCTCTTAATGTGCTCATTTGCCATTTGTGTATTTTCTTTGGTTAAGTGCCAGTGGAAAATCTGCTCATCTTTAATTGAATTGTTTACTCTTGAGTTCTGAGAATGCTTTATATATTTACCAAGAATGTATAGTCCTTTGCTTGCCCAGAATATGTAGGCCTTTGATTCAACAAAAATCCTTTGTTCAGTATGTGATTTGCAAATATTTTTTCATCGTCTATAGCCTGTTTTTTCATTCTCTTACCAGAAACTTTCACACAGTAAACATTTTTTTAATGAAGTGAAACATACCAACATTTTATTTTATGAATCATGCTTATTATGTCCCATATAAGAACTTTTGGCCAATGTTAAGGTCACATAGATTTTCTCCTATGATGTTTTTTCCTAAAATTTTGGAGTTTTACATTTTACATGTAGATTTTAAATCTATTTTCAGTTAATTTTGGATGCAGTATGAAGGTTAGGTTGAGGTTTACTTATCTTTTTACATATAGATGCATAATTGTTGCAGTATCATTTATTACAGAGACTACCCTTGCTCCATTGAATTATCTTTGTATTTTCGTCAAAAGTGAATTGACTGTATTTGTGTGAATGTATTTCTGGACTCTATTCTGTTTCATTGATCTATATGTTTTCACCTCTCCAATGCCACATCGTCTTGACTACTCAAGCTTTATAATAAACATTAAAACCAGGTAGTATGAATCTTCCAAATTTATTCATTTTAAAATTATTTCAGTGTTTTACTTCCATTCCCTTTCCACATAAACTTTAGAATCAGGTTGACTACATGTACAAGCTAATACCACAGGGATTTTATTTAGGACTATAGTCAACCTATACATGAATTTGGGGAAAAGTAACATGTTAAATGTATTGTTATATTGTGTTCCAATTCAGGAAATGCAATATATATTTCCACTTATTTAGGTCTCCAATTTCTTTTATTAGTGTTTTGTATTTTTCAGCAAACAGATCCTGTGCATGATTTGTTAGAATTCTACTTGTGTTTCATTCTTGTTTGGTGTTTTATTGTGTCTGTGTGTGTGTATGTACGTGTATATATGTGTGTATATATGTGTGTATGTGTGTATATATATATGTATAAATTTTGACCTTGTATCCTGCAGACATGGTAAACTTATTTATTAGTTCTAGGAGACTTTTATAAGTTCCTTGGGACTTTTTACATAGGTAATCATGACATTTGTAAATAGAAAGAGTTTCATTTCACCCTTTCCAATCTGTATGCCATTTATTTCTTTTTCTTCCTTTATTATACTGGCTAATACTTCTAGCACAATGTTGAATTAGAGTGATGAGATTTAATATCCTTGTTTTGGTTGTAATTTTATGGGAAAATATTGACTGTTTTATGATTACATATATGGGTTAAAACGTGTTTTCTTTTGACGTACTGTATCAGGTTAAGAAAATTCCCTTCTTCACCCTATTAAACCTATTAATGGTTTGGGGAAAATTGGATACCCACATGTAGAAGAATGAAACTGAATCCCTATCTCTCACCTTATACAAAAGTCAACTCAAACTGGATCAAAGGCTGAAATCTAACATCTGAAACTATAAAAATTCTAAAAGATAACCTAGAAAAAACTCTCTGGATATTGGCCCAGGCAAATAATTTATGGCTAAGACCCAAAAAGCAAATGCAACAAAAATAAAAATAAATAGGACATCATTAAACTAAACAGCTTCTGTACCACAAAAGATAAGAGGACAGACAAGACCAGAGGACAGACAAGCCACAGAATAGAAGAAAATATCTGTGAACTATGCATCCGTCAAAGGACTAATATCCAGAATCTACAATGAACTCAAAAAAAAATCAGCAAGAAATAAATAAATAACCCCATCCAACAGTGGGCAAATGACATGAACAGATATTTCTTAAAAGAAGATTTACAAATGACCAACAAACATATGAAAAATGCTCAACATTATTAATCATCATGGAAATGCAAATTAAAACAACAGAGATACTACTTTACCCCTGCAAGAATGGCCATTATTAAAATGTAAAAAAACAATAGATGTTGGCATGGATGTGTTTAAGGGAATGTTTATACACTGCTGGTGAGAATGTAAATTAGTACAACCTCTATGGAAAGCAGTATGGATATTTCTTTTTTATTTTATTTTATTTTTTTGGAGATGGAGTCTTGCTCTGTAATGCAGGCTAGAGTGCAGTGGCATGATCTCAGCTCACTGCAAACTCGGCCTCCTGAGTTCAAGTGATTCTCCTGGCTCAGGCTCCTGAGTAGCTGGGATTACAGGCGCCACCACAGCGCCCGGCTAATTTTTGTATTTTTAATAAAGATGGGGTTTTACCATGTTGGCCAGGCTGTTCTCAAACTCCTGACCTTGTGATCCATCCGCCTCGGCCTCCCAAAGTGTTGGGATTACAGGCATGAGCCACTGCGCCTGGCTAGATATTTCTTAAAGAACTAAAAGTAGATCTACCATTCCATCCAGCAATCTCACTGCTGGTTATATACCCATAGGAAAAGAAATTATTATATCTAAAAGACACTTGCACAAGTATGTTTATCACAGCACAATTTGCAATTGCAAATATATAGAACCAACCTAAGTGCCCATCGACCAATGAGTGGATAAAGAAAATATGGTATATATACACCATGGAATACTACTCAGCTATAAAAGAGAACAAAATAATTTCTTTTGCAGCAACTTCAATGGAGCTGGAGGCAATTATTCTAAGTGAAGTAACTCAGAAATGGAAAACCAAATACCGTATGTTCTCACTTATAAGTGGGATCTCAGCTCTGGATATTCAAGGGTAGGCAGAATGGTACAGTGGACTTTGGAGACTGAGAAGTGGGAAGGTGGCAGAGAGTTGAGGGATAAAAAATTACATATTGGATACAGTGTACTCTACTTGGGTGATGGGTGCAATAAAATCTCAAATTTCACCATACATACAATTCATCCATGTAGCCAAAAAACACTTGTACTGCAAAAGCGAAGGGAATTTTTAAAAAATTAAAAAAGGAAATTCCCTTCTAGTCCTAGTTTCCTGAGAGTTTTTATTACAAAGTGGCATTTTTGACTTCCTTTTGCATTGATTAAAAATAATATTAAGCAGCACTATATATATAGGAAAGGGAGCATATCAGGAGTGCAGAGAAACAGCTCGGTTTATTGCTGAACTACCCTATTCAAATATTTGAATTTGCTAGAGAAAAACATATGTATCATAGCCTAAAATGTTGATTAAGTAATTAATTGCACTGTTTTTCAATCAATGCCCTATCAACTGATGATTTTTTCAAAGTTACTTTTTTTTTTTAAGTGTTTGAGGCTGATTGAACTCAGCTGTCTCATTGCACTTCCCTTTCACTTCTTTGGAAGAGTTAATAATTTGGTTTGCTGTTCTCTAGTGTACAGTATAAGGTTTAGATGGATAATTACATCACACAATACATAGCAAGCCAGACTGCATTGGCCACTACTTGTTTCTGAGTATAATTTAAGGCGCTGACATTGCTTTAAAAACCTCTAAGTGTTTGTAGTTCTCACTATATTAGAAATCACTGCTCCCAGTTGCAGTCTCAAAATAAGGAAGATTAGCCAATGTAGTCCTACTGATATTGCTCAAAATCTACCTTTAGGGGGCCAGGGTTTAGGCATTTATTGGCCTGACCTAATGTAAGGAAGGTCTTGTCTGTCCCTACCTGAAAAATCAACCTTGGGGTTTTTCAGGAGCTGGTGTGAGGCGTACAGTTTTCAAATTTTAGGGTGGCATCTTAAAATTTTATAGCTGACTTTGTAAAACATGCAATATAAACTGCAATGTCACAAGGAATCTCTTTTTTTATTGCCATTATTAGCTATTTCTCCCTCAAGCAATTCTTAGAACATTTTAAAAATTAAACAAATATGGAGAGCATTTAAGAAAATGTGTGGCATGACATAATTACAAATTTAGAACAAAGGCTGTTCATACATTCATTTTCTTACTAGTAAAATGTATTCAGTGGGTTTTGCAGCATTATTTTTGATTCTTGGACTGCACATCTCTGGCCAAATCTTTGTATTCCGTTTACTTCTCTTCCTCAAATCTGTAATGGTACATTACTATACAGAGATTTTACTTATACTATTTTAAGAATCCAGCCATTGCATAAATGTGATAAAAACTTTTCAATTCAACTGTCTCTTTTCCTAGGAGAATTACAGTGAAATATCATTTAATACCGTTGCAACTTATTTGTGCTTCTGAGTTTTCACACATTAACAAAATAATAAAAATCAATTAGTTTACTTATCTATTAGGTTTACCATGGGGGGAATATTTACATAAACTTATATTCACACACAAATATAAAGATGCCTATGTTATACCATGTTCTGTGTCTTATAGTTTGGCAGAGTGAAAAGAAGTCAGGCTTTGGAGTAACAGAACTGCACTTAAAGACTTGTTTGGCCAGTAGTTGAGTAATCTGGACAAATTACTTAACTTTTTGGCTTTTGGCTTCCTTAGGGTAAACTAGGAAGGATAACATCTACCTATTAGAAGTATTGTATTAAACTAGATGAATTACATAAAGTTATAAAAATGACTGGACCACTTAAGGTTCTCAATAAATGATAGTTTCTATCACTATAGTTATATTGCTGATTTTATTGGCAATCTTCAGTGAATGATGATTTGATTTTATCATTCAGCTTGTATGATTCAGCCTATTAAGATTTAGCCCATAAGACCTATATTATCAATTGACCCCACTTATGGCAAGCTAAGAAATATAAAGACAAACGTGAAGTTATATCAGCACATCTGCCTCCAAGTTGCTATGAATTAGGTTTCCCTGGCTCTCATTGCAGTTATATCTCCTTCTCTGAGTTACCATTCTGTAATTTCTGTTTCTTCCCATTAGTAGCAGCTCTACCTGGGCAAGACAGCTAATTTTTAGAAACTGGAAGAAAATACAAAAATGGCAAGGAGGGAGAGAGCATGGTTTAAAAATAGGAGAGTGGGCCGGGTGTTCACACCTGTAATCCCAGCACTTTGGGAGGCTGAGGCGGGTGGATCA
This sequence comes from Homo sapiens, assembly GCF_000001405.40. NCBI lineage: Eukaryota > Metazoa > Chordata > Mammalia > Primates > Hominidae > Homo > Homo sapiens. Next base: position 34,586,314 of record NC_000002.12, read on the forward strand.
CCTGAGGTCAGGAGTTCGAGACCAGCCTGACCAACATGGCAAACCCCATCTCTACTAAAAACACAAAAATTAGCTGGGTGTGGTGGTACGCACCTGTAGTCCCAGCTACTTGGGAGGCTGAGGCAGGAGAATCACTTGAACCCGGGAGGCGGAGGTTGCAGTGAGCTGAGATCACGTCATCACGCCACTGCACTCCAGCCTGGGTGACAGAGTGAGACTCTGTCTCAAAAAAAAAAAAAAAAAATTGGGGAGTGATATTTTATGACTTTAAGCCACGGAATTGATTGCTTTTTGTGACTGTAAATGGTTTTCCCCATTCTCTGATTACTGTCTCCTACCCCTATAGCTTGCATAAGTTATCCAAATATAATAAGTCTTCTACATCATCTTAACCACTGATAACCCTCTCTTATTTCTCCATGTTGGTTCTTCCCATCTCCACCCTGCTGACCTTTCAGTTTTCAACCTATGGCTCTTCATTTATATGTCTCTCCTAACAGAAATCTAAATTCCCTTGCTACTCAATATTTTCATCACTTCCATCTTACACTACTCCAATGGATGTCACTTTGCCTGTATCTGAGCAGGTAAGCAGTGCTGAAGGAATACACTATGAGGAAAAACTTACACCACTACGAATTAAGAGCCACTACATGCTAATATGCCCTCAGCATCCCTAGGAATGTTTACTATGTTGCCCTATAACTGTGTTAATTCTATTTGATTCTCCACAAATATCTAACCCTGTCACCTCTACCTTCATTCTTACCATGTGATGTTACCTTTCTTTTACAAAATTAAATAGAAGCTTTTATACGTGGAGTTACTAAAAATCTGGATGCCAAACCACACATATTTGTATCTGTTCTGATTCTCTCTCTTATCTCCTGTTTATTTCTGCCCATCTCAGAAACCATACACTTGAAGGGTTATTGTTTATCCTCCATCTCTACCTACTTCTCTGTTATCTTTTTTATTACCATTTATGTATGCTCAAGTGTCTTCTGTCTTAAGATCGCACAGGCCGGGCACGGTGGCTCACACCCGTAATCCCAGCACTTTGGGAGGCCGAGGCAGGTGGATCACAAGACCAGAAGATCGAGACCATCCTGGCTAACACGGTGAAACCCTGTCTCTGCTAAAAATACACACAAAAAATTAGCTGACCATGGTGGCGGGTGCCTGTAGTCCCAGCTACTAGGGAGGCTGAGGCAGGAGAATGGCATGAACCCAGGAGGCAGAGCTTGCAGTGAGCTGAGATTGCGCCACTGCACTGCAGCCTGGGTGACAGAGTGAGACTCTGTCTCAAAAAACAAACAAAAAAATCGCACAAACAATTCCTTTGTGCGTACTTCTTTATCTCTCCTCCTTTACAACCTGAGCAATCTATACTATATAAACTGTCCTCATTTCTCATTTCTTCAATTCATTCCATTCTGATTTTTAACCCAGCAAATTCACAGAAATAGAACTTGCCAGGATCAACTATGATTTCCATTTTGTTAAATTTACTGGGTATATTTCATGCTCCCAGTAGCAACCAATAATATTGAAACCATTCCCATTACTCAATACTATTTTTCATTTCCATTACACCAAATTCTCCTGGCCATTTTTCTTCTTCTTAACTCTTTCTTTTCAGTTTCTTTTACTGGATCACTGCCTTCTATCCTGCCTTTATATTTTGGAGACCCTGAAAAGCCCAAATCTGATCATGTCATTCCCTTGCATAACAGCCCTCATTAGCTTCCAATTTTTCTTAGATTAAAAACTAAACTCTTAATTACCTGTAGGCACTGCACAATCTGGGGTCTCTCCAGACTGACCTCTACCACTCACTCCCTCCCTTACTTCCTTTGAGTCCTTAACACTTCCATGCTTTCTCCCATCCCAGGACTTGCATCTAGCAAGCTCTCTTTCTCCCCTCTTTTCCTGGTTAACACTTATTCACGCTTTGGATATCAATTTAAACACTTCCACAGGACGGTCTTCCATAACACTTCTCAAATCACATCCTGCTGCAACAGCCCCCAAACCAAATCATTCCCCTATATTAAATACTTCCTCATGGCCTTGCTTTGGACTTTTCCTTTGAAGCATTAATCATATGAGATCTCATATTTGTATAATTATTTGAATAATGTCAGCCATTACATTTTAAGCTCTGTGAAGGCAGGAAGTATGTCTATTTTCCTTGCCATTTGCTTTTGTTCAGGACTGGCAGAGTGCCTGGCACTTAATGAGGAATCAATAAATGATTGTGGAATCATGTCTTTAATGCCATTTATCTTCCAGCTATAGTGGATTACATAGAGGACAATGCCCTGTATTCCTACTTTTATGTTTTTTTTTTAAGTTTTTATATACATTCTATGTCTTTTTTAAATTCTCTCAATAGCTCTGTAACATGGTTGTTTTTCATTGTATGAGGAAATTGTGGATCAGAGAGTTTGTGACTCAAGATCACACATTAGCAATTGATAAAAATGAGTTTTACATTTAATCTTCTCCTTCAACCCTTTATTGAGATACAATTTATGTACCAGAAAGTTTACCCATTTAAGGTATATGACTCATTAGTTTTTAGAATATTCACAGGATTTTGCAACCCCCTCTATCCTAAAATATGTTCTATATTTTCTAATTTTAGAAAATTTTATCACACTCCAAAGAGAAACATTATACCCATTATTAATCACTCTCCATCTCTTCCTTCACTCCTTCCTCCCTCCCTCTAGTTGTAGGCAAACACAAATTTACTTTATATCTACAGATTTGCTTATTCTGAGCATTTCATATAAGTGGTGTAATACTTTATTTGACCTTCGTGACTAACTACTTTTACCTAGCGTAATGCTTGTAAGGTTTATTGGAGTTATGCCATGTGTTAGCATTTCATTCTTGTTTATGATTCAGTTGTTTTCTATTGTATGGATATGTCACACTCTGTTTACCAATTCAGCAGCCGATCAGCATTTAGGTTGTTTCTGCTACTGGCTACATGTAATGCTGCTTTGAACATTCATACGCAGGTTTGGATGCCCACATGTTTTCATTTCTCTTGGGTACCTACCTAGGATTAGAATTGCTGCATCACATGATAATTATATTTAACATTTTGTTGAACAGCCAAACTGTTTTCCAAAGGGGCTACATCATCTGACATTCTAACTAGGGATGTATGGAGGTTCCAATTTCACTACATGTTTACTGGTATTTAGACTCTATTTGTCTTGTTGATTATAGCCATTCTTGCAAATGTAAAGTGGTATCACATTGTGTTCTTTACATTTTCCTAATGACCAGTGGTGTTGAGGATCATTTAACAAGATTAACCATTCATATATCTTACTTGGAGAAATGTTTATTCAAATCCTTTGGTCATTTGTAACTGGTTATTTATAATTATTGAGTTTTATTAATTCTTTATAAATTCTGAGTGCAAGTCCCTTATCAGCTATATGACCTGAAAATATTTTCTGCCAGTCTGAGGGTTGTCTTCACTTTCTTTTCTTTTCTTTTTTTTTTGTTTGTTTTTTAAAGAAATGGGGTCTTGCTGTGTTGCCCCCGAGGCTGGAGTGCAGTGGTACAATCATAGTTCAGAACAGCCTTGAACTTCTGGGCTCAAGGGATCCTCCCACTTCAGCCATCCAAGTAACTGGGAATACAGGTGTGTGCCATCATGCCTGGCTAATTTTCATGCTTTTTTAAGAAGGGGTCTTGCTGTATTGCTTAGGCTTAGGTTTGTCTCGATACTCCTGGCTTCAAGTGATTCTCCTGCTATGGCCTCCCAAAGTGTGGGGATTATAGACGTGAGCCATCATGCCTGGCCCTTTTCACTTTCTGGATGATGTCTTTGAAACACAAATGACTTCAATTTTGATTAAATACAAATTATAAATCTTCTCTTTGATTGTTTGTGCTAAGAAATCATTGCTTAACCCAAGGTCTCATATATTTAATTCTGTGTGTATTGAAAGAATTTTATGTTTGGCTCTTACATTTAACTCTTTGATACATTTTGAGTTAATTTTTTGTGCATGCTGGAAGAAGGGGGTTGAATGTTATTTTTTATTTATTTATTTTTTTCAGGTAAACATTTAGTTGTCTCAGCACTATTTGTTGAAAAGGCTGTTCATTGAATTATCCTGGCCCTTGTCAAAGATCAATTGATCACATAAATGTTAGGGTTTATTTCTGGATTCTCAATTGTATTCCATTGATTTGTATGTCTATTTTTATGTCAGTAAAAAACTGTCTTGATTAAGGTAGCTTTGCAATAACTTTTTACATTCTGAAGTGTGAGTCCACTACTCTGTTCTTTTTCATGATTATTTCCTTTTAGCTATTCTGAGCCTCTTGCATTTTCTCAATAATTTTAGGAGCAGGTTGGCAATTTCTGCCCCCACCCCCTCAAAAAAAAAGATCAGTTGGGATTCCGATAGGAGTTGTGTTGAATCTATAGATCAATTTATAAAGTATTATCATCTTAATAAGTCCATGATCATGGGATTCCTTTCTATTAAGCTTTAAAAATTTTCTTTCAATGATGTTTTGTACATCATTGTAACTTTAAGTGTACATGTCTTGCATTTAAAAATATTCCTAAGTATTTTATTATTTTGATACTATTTTATTTTTGAGAAAGGATCTCGCTCTGTTACCCAGGCTAGAGTGCAGTGGTGCAATCTCAGCTTACTGTAGTGTCTGCCTCCTGGGCTCAAGTGATCCTCCCACTTCAGCTTCCCAAGTAGCTGGGACTACAGGCACATGCCACAACACTTGGCTAGTGTTTTTTTTGTAGAGGTGAAGTCTCACTATATTGTCCAGGCTGGTCTCAGACTCCTGGGCTCAATAAGTTCTCCTGCCTCAGCCTCCCAAAGTGCTGGGGTTAGAGGTGTGAGCCACTGTGCCTGGCCTTGATACTATTAAGGTTGGAATTGTTTTCATTTTCAGTGTATAAAAATACAATTGATTTTTTTATATTGATCTGGTGTCTTTAAATCATGCTGAACTTGTTTATTAGTTATATTTTTTAGAAGATTTCTTGGGATCGTCTACATACAAGACTATGACAATTGTATATAGAGAAATAGTTTAACTTCTTCCTTCCCAATTGGGATGCTTCTTATTTCATTTTCTTGCCTAATTTCCCTAGCTGGAACCACAAGTGCAATATTGAATAGAGGAGACCAAGGTGGACCTTGTTGTTTTACTTTTGATGTTAGATATTCAGTCTTTGACCATTCAGAATGATGTTAAGTACACGTTTTTCTAGATGCCTTGGATCAGATCAAAGAAGTTCCTTTTACTTTTATTTTGTTGAATTTTTTATCACGTTTCAGATTTTTGTCAAATTTTTTTATGAATCTTATTGATGTGATAATATAATTTTAGCCCTTTATTAATGTGGTGCGTATATTCATTGATTTTTGTGTGTAAATATAATTTTTATTATTCTCCCTTTCTTACTGTAATACTCCTAACTGCAGTGTTCTGCTCTCTCATTTGCTCTATCAGTTGAGTTGTTATTCATGCTTCCAGGCACATTTTAGTGAAAACTTCTTGAAGAATCTCTGCTCTATAGCAATGTGTATTACCATGTGATTCTTTCATAATTTTTATTTTCTCTTAGTCATTCATGTGCATGTCACCTTTATATCACTTCATACTACATAATCACATACATAATAACCTGTATAAGTGTTCTGAGAGGAGGAAACACATCCCATGCTTGTATCATGCAATAGAAGAATTCATAGCAGAATACTACATACAGAACTTACACAAAAAAAGTTGTTCAGTGAATGTTTGCTAAGTTGCAAAAAGTTTCCAGTTTTGTTGTGCCAATCTTTTAATAACTATATCATCAAAAGACTTGATGTAATCACATTATACTCAGACATGCTAAGTTTAAATTACTAACCAGATTTCCATTTTCATTGTCATGTCATTTACTTGGGCTTTCAATCTTCTTGATGTAAAGTAAAGTTATGGAAGAAATTTCAATATGTGGATGAATATTTCTAAAACATTTGAACAAAAAATCCATTTAAAAATGTATCCAACTGGAAAAAGGCATTTTCTGTTTAACTCAAAAAGTAGTTAAGTGTTGAATATTCAGATGACATAGATCCAATCCTCAGCTTTCAAACATTGAAGACAGTTTTATAACACTAAATTTAGCAGCTAAACAAAGCAAAACACCAAAACTTTATTTGTCAAGCTCATGTACTCATAGTATATGCTGAAAATCTAGTCCCTTTCTAGCTTCTTTATGAAAAGAGTTCTGTCTCTGCTCTCCATCATTGGCCTAGGAAGAGTACAAATATTCTCATCAACTGCATTCTTCTTTCAGACTCAAGTGTGAGTGACTCTTTTACACATTCAGTGGTCAGAATTTATAAGAAGTCTGGGATAGGGGATTTAATGCAGCTGCCAGAGGAAATGTTGCTTTGGCCTTGCTGTGGCCCCAAAGATTAGCACGCAGCATATGGTTTCTGCTTTTTGCAGCATAGCAGGTGAGGTGACCATAAAAGGGATTATGTTAATGGGAAGAATCATTTCATAAAGTAAACAATCACTTTATTCATTGTGTAGTCTCCGAATTCACATGTTCACAGTCATTTAATTAACATTTAGTGAGAACCCATTGGGTATAAAATAATATGCTACACATTGGGCATGCTTTTGGGGGTAACAGGTGAGCAAATACAGAAAGAATCACAATCTATTCATATTTTTTTTTCTTTAGGCTTATTAAAAACTAGTTTAAAAATAAAGTTGGCCAGGTACAGTGGCTCACAACTGTAATCTCAGCATTTTGGGAGGCTGAGGCGGGAGGATCACCTGAGCTCAGGAGTTTGAGACTGGCCTGACCAACATGGCGAAAGCCTGTCTCTACTAAAAATACAAAAAAATTTAGCAGGCCTTGGTGACGTGTGCCTGTAGTCCCAGCTACTCGGGAGGCTGAGGCAGGAGAATCGCTTGAACATGGGAGATGGAAATTGCAGTGAACCAAAATCATACCACTGCACTCCAGCCTGGGCAACAGAGTGAGACTCTGTCTCAAGAAAAAAAAAATGTCAAACAGACGTATTTATTTCCTTTCTTTAAAAAAAAAAACAACAAAAAACTAAGGAGTTTTTGTTTGTTTTTGCTTAAGGCATCATGGACTAGACTGGACTGGGGAGAATGATTTCCATCAGTTGAACATGAGACCTTGGAAAAGTCATTTTACCACTTGTATTCAATACATTTATAAAATGAGAGTTTGACTAGAACATCTCTAAGGTGACTTATACCTCTCAAGTTCTATAAATGAGCCTGTGCTGTTCATCCCATTGCCCCACCAGTATGCCAATTTAATATCATGACTACAATAACATTAGCAGAGAATGGCCAAATATTTATCCTTAAGTGCACTTGTCACAGTGTTGCTGAATACATTGGGCTATCCTGAACCTGGAAATGTAGGTAGGGGCTAAGGGACAGTTCAACTATATTATTTTTTTACAAAGAAAACACAGGTAGAGTAAATTATCTGGACACAGAACAATTCTGTTATGTGATTGACAGTGAGCAAATTAAGGAATTCTTTCCACCAGTTTAAGACACTCAACATAGATTTGCTATATTGACAGACTTTGACTGCACATGTGTTAAGTGGTGTACTTCCCAAACTATGTTCCAAAGAATCTTACTGTTCCTCAAGATGTTTTTAAATATTTTCTTTGGGTCTAGAATTCTTTGCTCAAATAATTTTGGAAACTCTTTAGGCTACTCTTAACCTTTGGGAGATTTACAATAACGCGTATTGACTGACTAAAGGTTCTGAAAGTGCTTCAATCAAGAAAGCACAGATTCTCAAACCTGCATAACCACAGTAACTTTTTTCTATGGAGAGCCTAACCGTGGCTCAAGGTTTTCAGATTCAGAAATGCTAATTTCCAGGAATGTTTTCCTGTTGGTTAAATTTTCCAAAGATTTCACTGTAGTTAAAATATTCAAGTTATGATTTATAGTCCTTTGGATATATACCCAGTAATGGGATGGCTGGGTCAAATGGTATTTCTAGTTCTAGATCCCTGAGGAATCGCCACACTGACTTCCACAATGGTTGAACTAGTTTACAGTCCCACCAACAGTGTAAAAGTGTTCCTATTTCTCCACATCCTCTCCAGCACCTGTTGTTTCCTGACTTTTTAATGATCGCCATTCTAACTGGCGTGAGATGGTATCTCATTGTGGTTTTGATTTGCATTTCTCTGATGGCCAGTGATGATGAGCATTTTTTCATGTGTTTTTTTGGCTGCATAAATGTCTTCTTTTGAGAAGTGTCTGTTCATGTCCTTCGCCCACTTTTTGATGGGGTTGTTTTTTTCTTGTAAATTTGTTGGAGTTCATTGTAAATCATGCTGCTATAAAGACACATGCACACGTATGTTTATTGCGGCATTATTCACAATAGCAAAGACTTGGAACCAACCCAAATGTCCAACAATGATAGACTGGATTAAGAAAATGTGGCACATATACACCATGGAATACTACGCAGCCATAAAAAATGATGAGTTCATGTCCTTTGTAGGGACATGGATGAAATTGGAAATCATCATTCTCAGTAAACTATCGCAAGAACAAAAAACCAAACACCGCATATTCTCACTCATAGGTGGGAATTAAACAAAGAGATCACATGGACACAGGAAGGGGAATATCACACTCCGGGGACTGTTGTGGGGTGGGGGGAGGGGGGAGGGATAGCATTGGGAGATATACCTAATGCTAGATGACGAGTTAGTGGGTGCAGTGCACCAGCATGGCACATGTATACATATGTAACTAACCTGCACAATGTGCACATGTACCCTAAAACTTAAAGTATAATAAAAAAAAAAAAGCAAGCAAGAAAAAAAAATATTCAAGTTATGTTGTTTCTGCATTTTTCCTTTGACACCTTGTTGTATGTCATTTCATTATTTATGGCTCAATTTTTTGTGAACACATTTTGTCTATTTTCTGGCTGTTTTCTCAGCTTTTTTATTTTTAAGCCTCTCATCTGCAGCCATATTTTTTGTTCTAACTTTTCCTATTAGACAGTTCTGAGATTTTTGAAAGAGTATACTTTATACTCTTCACATTTAATTTCTGCTTTAATGTTTAGTATTTTAATTCATGGGGTAGGGGGCAATTGGAGGTATTTGGAGTACAACACAGTATTTTTTCTTTGTACCTAGAGAAGTCCCAGAGATGGGTAAAATTAACTATTCCTACTCCATAATTTATAGAAAAAAGAAATGCAGTACAGCTATGCAAAGAATTGCTCCTCAAGAGAGAGACATGCACTTTCTCTTCTATCAGTCACTTTCCTAAGCTCTCGAGATTGACTATCCCCAGAAAGATGATCTTCACAGCTGATTCCAGCTCCTTTGGATTCCCCTTAGTCGTTCCTTCAGAATGGACTTATTTTATGTTACTTTCTCAGCTGTTCTCTGTGTTTTTGGCTTGTTACCTCATAAGAGTATAAACTCCTTGTGGGGAGGTACTGTACATATTTTTACATGTTTGCACGTCCAGAATATTTTTGTTTTCATTCATGAGTTTTAAATAAATATCAGAACACCTGAAGGAATAAAAAGAAATGTGTTTCTACTTGAATTAGATCTCTAATTTACAAACTGAAGATCTGAAGTAACATGGAAATTTGAGGGGCAGGAAAAGCTACCCTCTACAGAAATAACATTCTACACTGAGAGGAATATGACTAAGAGAAAAGGTTTCACATCTCCTGATAATAATTATTCTAGGTTATTTGTATTAACTGTGTCTCATGAGATGTGCCTCACAGGAGTCAAAGGCAAAATCATCCCCATTTCACAAGCGCTAAGGGATTTGCTTAAGGGATCAAAGCAAAGCTTCAATGTAAAGGCCTATCTTCTTCCAATGGCTGTGACCTATCACTGTCCTATGCTGGTGGAAGGGCTGGGCTCTCTGATTCAGATAGCAGTACTTTCTATACATAACAGGGCTTAACTAGCCAATATTTATGGATATATATTGAGAAGCTTTGTAATTTTCAGATGAGAATTGTGGAGGAATATAAAGTCAACAGCAAACACTGGTTATTCTTTCTTCTTTTTCCCCCTGTCAAATAAGTGATTTTATTTAAGCCTGACTAGATGTCACTGTGTGAATTGGGTGATACTGAATTTCATTTCTACAATAAGTTTTTGATATGAAGTGACCAATTATAACTCAGACTGGACTATTTTTCTTGAAATGGCTATAATACCAATAGCTTATTATAGTGGATGAAGAAGGTTAAAGAGAGGATAAAGGAAAAAGAAATTTAAATAAGACTGGATGTATGCGCTGAATTCCATGCAATCTAAACTCCAGATATTAGGAAGTAAATTTCAGTAAATCTAGCTGATTTTTTATCTGACAGTCCACTTCAAAATCTGATATTGACTACAGCTTGCTTCTCTGTGCTCGGATGCTTTTACTGACTTTTCTATTCAGTGCCTTGTGATGCAGTACCAAAATGATTGGCTCAGTATATTTTCCCTTTGGGATTATTGTTGGAATCTTGGAAATCTTACAGATGCATTTATTACATTTCCAAAATTTTAGTGCTTGCTTAACCAACCAGGGGTTTGCTGCTTTATGTAGTGGGGTTCAGGGGAAGAAAATAACTTACTGAAGGTAATACAGATAGTTTCAAAGTTATATCGTAGCTTCTGTTAATGGAGCTTATAACCCCAGAGAAAAGTCTACTATTAAAACGATTTGGGCCAGCATGCAAGAGTGTGGTAATGACTTCTGTGGCTACAGTGGTGGTTGCTATTTGTTATTGTTCTTCTCTTTGTTGTTTTCTGTAAATTTGCTAATTCCCACTGCTACTACCGCACCCTCCACATACATTTTTTTCTTGAAATTTTTTAAAAAGCTTTCTGTGTTATTTTCTATACATAGCATGTTATGAGTTGATTTATTCTGACAAATACAAAAGCATGGCTCTAACTCATTTTAAATATGTAATGGTTATTTTTAAGCCAATCTTGAAACAATGTGAGATTTTATCTTTTATTTTATGTGGCTGACGAAACTCTACTTTTAGAGATCACACAGGTTTTACTTCATCTTTATCTCTGTCTTCCTTTTCTTGTTTTTCCTTATATTAACCTGCTCCCAAATCTGAGGCTTTATTTTATATATTTTTAAATACTCTCAGCAAATTTTTAACAGATTATTGAACATATAGTGATTGTTCTCTATTCTAAAGGGTCATATGTATGAAGGAGTAAAATACTGTAAGAAGTAGGTAAGAAAAATGAGATTTGATTATTTTGCCTGAAGGAAATTTACACTCAACCAGAACTATTGTACAATCATTTTCTATGTTTTTTTACTACCTTCTGAAAGCAGTCCTATGAGATATGTCAGCAGCCTCATGGCTCGATATACAAGTGAGGGAATAGAGGTTTAGAAAAATTAAATAACTGTCTCAAGTTCACAGAGCTATTGGGTAATGTGCACTGTAGTAATCAGGATAGGGTAGGATATGCCGTAGGCATGGAACATCCCTGAAATCTTGCTGGCTTAAAACAGCAAGTTTAATTCTCACTTATGTTCCAGCCCCGTGTATTTTGGACTACCCTCCCATCTTATGATGATACTACCTGGAACACACAGCCTCCAAGGACACATTGGCAGAGGAAGAGGAAGATGGCAGAGACACAAACAGGTGCTTACCTTTTTGATGTGAAAGCAGTGCATTTCATAATCCTTTGAACTGGACCCATAGCTACCGCCAGGGCTCCCACCTAACCAAAAGGGAGGGAACACACATAGAAAATTCAATAAGTCCTAAGTATTTCTGCCATGAAAAGAAACAAATTAAATTTAGTTTGTTGAAGTTCCAAACCTCTTTTCACAGCATCACAGTATGCTTTCTCTAATAATTTCCATTTCAGTCAACAATGAAATTATTTTTCAGAATTCCTTTAACAAATGAAAACCAGAGGCTTCTATCTCATAAATATGACTAAGCAAATATACAGACATGCACACACATATAAATGGTAATTATAATATACATGGAATTTTGTACAGTGTTTATTTTATTAGCCTAACATTTAATAATGAATCATTTTCTATGTCTTATTCTCCAAGAATACATTTGAATGGATGTACCATAATTCATCAAAAGATTTCTCTACTGTTGCAAATTTAAGTTGTTTCAACATTTTGATGATTATAAGTAAGACTGATTAAGTGTGTTTCCTGTTCTCTTCCTTAATTTCACTATATTTACTTCAGATAGATTTCTTGAATGAGAATTCTTGAGTCAAAGGATATTAAGAAATTTAAGGCTTTTTAAAAATCTTACAAAATTGTTTTCCAGAAATGTTGTATTGATATGCACTTTATTAGGTGTGCGTGAGGGAATACCTATCAATCACTTTTTCTCAGATATATATATTTGAATATATATATATCTTCAAGTATTTTTTAGACAGTTTTGCTCTGTTGCCCAGGCTGGAGTGCAGTGATACTATCTTGGCTCACTGTAACCTCTGCCTCCTAGGTTCAAGTGATTCTCATGCCTCAGCCACCCGAGTAGCTGGGATTACAGGTGTGTGCCACCATGCCTTGCTAATTTTTTTATTTTTAGTAAAGACAGGGTTTCGTCATTTGAGCCAAGCTGGTCTTACACTCCTGACCTCAGGTGATCCACCCGTCTCAGCCTCCCAAAGTGCTGGGATTACAGGCATGAGCCACCATGCCCACCTGGAATTTTGTATTTACTTGGTAATTATTTGGAGGTGGGCCTCAATTCTTGTTCTCCTGTAACTGAATCATCATTTTGTCCTTCTGTGAAGAAAGGTAACTTATTTTCTTTATCATTAGCTTTTATTAACTCACAGCTATATTCCAAAATTATAGTCTTCCCTTGTTCTTACAATTTTCATACCTGCTTCAGAGACTGAGAGTAGTCCTGGATCTTTTTATTTTTGTTATTTATTCCATCAGTTCCTTCATTCATATCAATCATTCAGCAAGGGCTTATATTTTTCCTCGTCTCTTATTACATTCTTTTCCCCTTATCTGCCCTTGCAAATGAAATTCCAGATGGCAAAAAGTGCAGAAATGGAGGAAATCCGAAGTTAAGAAAATAACAATACAAGAGGAATACTGCTGCAATGAGAGTCATTAGGTCTTTATGTTTGAATGCAAGTGCATTGAGAATCTTCCAAATAAATTCCATGTAGAGTGGAACTAAATAATGGGGTAAAACATCCATGACTGGATCAGCAATTTGCTTCTCCTGGTATCCAGTTAAATAGCCCTGTGAAAACAAGGTTACTGGTTCAACCTTTATAAGACACTGACAGTGGAAATACTTCTCCGGAATATCAAGCTCATAAGGATGGTTCCTATATCAGGAAACTGACCTCTGCTTTATTCTAGGAGCTATATTACCAGCCTCCTACCTTCTGTTTTTCCATTTGTTTTATTTAATCAGCATAAATGCAGCTTACCATACCTGTTCTATTGATTTTTGTAACAGATTTTAGTAGTACCCACAGACTGAAGCAAAGACAGTTCCCTCTTAACCTTTGATTGATGTATTCTTTTACCACACATGACAAAGTGATAGATGCACTTAGTTAACTTTCTCCAAAATCATTAACGCCATACTCACTGGTTGGCTACTCAGGGGTTGGTTAAGTAGCTGTCATGCATTTGCTACCTGAAACACTGCAATACTGAATAAGGAGCCCATTAATTTTCTTTCAAGATCAACTCCAAAGGGTAGGTATGAAATGCATAGTTAGGAAAGAAGTGGAATAATATACCATAGACTTCAGAGAGATACTGGGTACTACAAAATTACAACCTGAGCCTTAGATTAAAAAAGAGAAAGTAAATTGATTTTCTCTGAATTTATACTTGGGAAAATTGTTTAAAATGCTAACAAGTTTTCTAACAAGCCATAATTTAGCTGTTGAGTTCTCAGGTATACATAGGTAACCTCCAAGTTTTAATCTTGAACCCACCAATACACTCAAGCAGTAGATGACAAATTTTTGTTTTAAAAATCATTTTATATGAGACAGGAATGGAGAATATAGCAAATATAAAATTGAAATAGAAAGTAGTGCTTAAATAGTTACCAAAGGTACCTAACGAATAAATAATTATTCTCCAGAAAAATGGGGAAAAAATGTTACTGACCTAAAAAGTCATCTGTCTATTACTAATACTTTACTGAGGTAATTTAATAGTCCTCTTCTACATTTCATAACAGTATTACTCACATAGACTCTTTAACGTATAACTAGATTTTCCCTTATGGAATAAAAGGTATTGTCTGTCTTTAGCTTTGAATCCACAATAATTTGTCTACTATAGTTAATGAAGCAATAACTAAACTATAAGAACCAATCAATTGAATACCATGCCTCCCCAAAGGCTGAAAAACACTTACTTGCTTTTCTTCTTTCTCCCGGTTGTTATACCCAGGTAAAGAACAAAGAATCTTTTCCTGATATAGTATGTTTTATGTTCTTGGGAAGATTACCTTTATATAGTAACCTTACTCCTTGAACGGCACATAGGAAGTAGAAACAAACAAATAATGTCTTACATCTGTCTTATTATTCCGATAGAATCAGGTTTCCCACTGATTGACAAACAAAAACAACAGACACTTCTAAATAGCCAGGCTCTTCCCCCACAAAAAGTTAATACGGCCGGGTGCTGAGAATACACCTGTAATCTCAGCACTTTGGGAGGCCAAGGCAGGCGGATCACGAGGTCAAGATCATCCTGGCTAACATGGTGAAACCCCGTCTCTACTAAAAATACAAAAATTAGCCGGGTGTGGTGGCGGGCGCCTGTAGTCCCAGCTACTTGGGAGGCTGAGGCAGGAGAATGGCGTGAACCTGGGAGGCGGAGCTTGCAGTGAGCTGAGATCGTGCCACTGCACTCCAGCCTGGGCAATAGAGCGAGACTCCGTCTCAGAAAAAAAAAAAAAAAGAGTTAATACATGTTCAAGGAATCAAAAATGGAGAGGATCTAAAGGAGTGAGCTGGATTGCCCAGCTTTCTGTGGGGAAGAGGGACAAGGGGAGGGGACATTGCCTAGCCTGACCATGAAGAAGTTTGTAACTGATGGGGAAAATGACAGTCACATATTCTAAAAATAAATAGGTATTAAAAGATGTTCATCTGTCCATTCAACAAATATTTTGCATTGATTATATTTCACATGGAGTTCTAGAATCTGGGGAAGACAGTACACATGATAATAGAACTCATGTTCTACTGAGGTAAGAGACAGAATAAACATAGAAACAATTACAGAGTACAGGTTTTGAAACAGGTGCAGAGAAGGTAACAGAGACTCGATGTTGACTGGCACAGGGTAAACTGTAGATTATTTTTTTTAGACATAGTGGTTTAACAAGTGCTTCTCTCACAGGAAACGGGTTTTGAGCAGAAACCTGACTGATGAGGAAGAATGGGTTATTGAAAGACCTGATTGAAGAGTGGTCCAGGCAGAAGAACAGAAAGCTTAAAAGCCCAGAGTTGAAAACAAAGTTCAGGAATAGTAACAAATGGAACAATGGAGAGGAAATGTAGCTGGAGCTAATTATTGTGTGTGAGTGGGAAGGGACAAGGAGAGGATGAGAAATGCTCTATCAGAAATGATTTGTGATCATTTTGGCTGCCATAGTTTCCTAGTCATTTTAGCTAATATGTCATGTCACACTCAAATATCTCAGCTTTATGACCTGAGGTATTAGAATAATAATGTTGTATGTCTCTTATAAAACCATTCCCTTTTTATTGATTTTTGTTCCCAGAGATTATCATGGAGTTATTATGATTTCCATCTAATACTTCCTCATCTTACTGGATTATTGAACAATCAATACTGTTTGTCTACAGAGCAGAAGCCATCTTTATTTCTCTTACCTCTTTTTGGTAAAAACGAAGGAGGGATCACTCTTGCACTGGAAAACCAACAAATCACTGTGGAAACACAAGTAATAACATCGTGTTCTGTGATACATATGAGCAAACTACATTGTTTATTCAGAAAGAATCACTTCTGCTTTCAGCCAGTTTTGTAGCACCCAGACATCTCAAATTGCACACCACAGACAGGCTGCCTTCATTAAGGCAATGCTGAGTCCTGAGGCTGACCTGTATTTCGAGCAGAGAGCTCCCTTTTAAATCTAGGGAGTTGTGAACTAGTCACTGATTTGCCTATTTCTGTCAGAGTTTTGCACTGAAATACCCATTTTAAAAGCAAAAAATATATAACTAAATACCTTTCCATGAAACAAATTTCTGCCCACTTTCATAATCCTACATTACCATTGTTAATATGCATTACATGGGCTGGACATGGTGGCTCATGCCTGTAATCCCAGTACTTTGGGAGGCCGAGGTGGGCAGATCACTTGAGGTCAGGAGTTGGAGACCAGCCTGGCCAATATGGTGAAACCCCGTCTCTACTAAAAATAGAAAAATTAGCCAGGCGTGGTTGCGGGCGCCTGTAATCCCAGCTACTCGGGAGGCTGACGCACGAGAATCGCTTCAACCCGGGAATGAAAGTTGCAGTGAGCTAAGATCACGCCACTGCCCTCCAGCCTGGGCAATAGAGCAAGACTCAGTCTCAAAGAAAAAAAAGCATTACATAACGTGTCTACATGTACTATGTGATTAAACATGAATTATCTCACTTTATGCTCAAAGTATCTTTAGAAATAATTTTTGGCCAGGTGCTGTGCCTCACGCCTGTAATCCCAGCACTTAGGGAGTCTGAGGAGGGCAGATCACTTGAGGCCAGCCTGACCAAAATGGTGAAACCCTGTCTCCACTAAAAATACAAAAATTAGCCGGGTATGGTGGCACGTGCTTGTAATCCCAACTACAAAAAAAAAAGAAAAAAAAAGTTTCTAAGTACCCATAAGTAGTACTCTATGTGTTTTGTCTTTTTGTCTGTCCTTTACTGGACAATAAATCCATAATTATACTTCTTACACCCTCCAATGAAAAACTTAAAATCTCATAAATCACAAACAATACAATACTATATAAAATTATTCACACCTAGAATTTGGAAAACATAGGCACTTGGCTCGGGGCAGATGATGTAATATTGAAAGATGACAGAAAATAAGTAACATTCCAGCCCGATTAGTTTTTATCTACTTTATGCTTTAGAATAATTCATTTGTTCTTTAACTTATATTCATTAATTATCCGGTATATGCCAAGAGAGATTTCAAGCATTTATTATTCATACAGCTGTTGCACTAGGGGGTTAAGAAACAATGAAATAAGTACATTAAAATATTACAATTGTTACAATAGAGTGAGGTAAAAACTCCAGGAGGAAGATTTGTTAAAGGCAGCCCAAATCTGATGGAGGAGGTTAAAGATGAGTTTCAGAGGAGATAGCACTTAAGAAGATGCTACATTTTGGACTGAACCAAATTAAATAGGCATGTTTGGCTCACGAGTCACATAAAATAAATTCTATACTATTCAAATGAATAGAACTATATAGTATGCTATTGTGTTTATGAGTCTGAGCCGAGATAGGAGGCAGGACCGGACTCCACAGGCATGGCTTGGGTACCAGCCTAAATTGAGTACTAGCTAAAATAGGTCCTGGGCAGAAGCGGAGGAGGTTAAAGATGAGTTTCAGAGGAGATAGCACTTAAGAAGATGCTACATTTTGGACTGAACCAAATTAAATAGGCATGTTTGGCTCACGAGTCACATAAAATAAATTCTATACTATTCAAATGAATAGAACTATATAGTATGCTATTGTGTTTATGAGTCTGAGCCGAGATAGGAGGCAGGACCGGACTCCACAGGCATGGCTTGGGTACCAGCCTAAATTGAGTACTAGCTAAAATAGGTCCTGGGCAGAAGCATCTCCCGGTAAGACATGCCCATCAGTGTTCCATGTCAGCTTACCATTGCCATGGCAACACTATGAAGTTACTGTCCCTTTTCATGGCAATGACTAGACAGCCTGGAAGTTAACACCCCTTTTTCTGCATAAACCACCCCTAATTTGCATATAATTAGAAGTGTGTGTAAATATGACTGCTGGACTGCTACTCTGGGCACACTGCCTATGGGGTAGCCCCTGATCCGCAAGGAGTGGTACCTCTGCTGCTGCTGTACACTGCCACTTCAGTAAAGTTGCTACTTAACACCACCAGTTAGCCTTTGAATTCTTTCCTGGGCAAAGTCAAGAACCCTCTTGAGCTATGCCCCAGTCTTGGGGCTTGCCTGTCCTGCATCAGAGCTCTAAGGTAAAGAACTATATGGGCTGGGGATATACATTTTGGATTCCAGGAATATAGCTGAAAAAATCTATAATTACCATTTTGATTTAAAAGAAAGACTGAGAATAGAACCCATTGGAATCTTAATTATTCTAATACTTATGGTATAAAGGCAGAAAAGGAAATCCTGAAAATATGTTGCAAGTGAGTGACCAGAGGTGTGAGAAGAAAACATGCAAGACAATGGAATAGGAGCAGTCTGGGAAGGAGCACATCTCAGGAAAGCAATGCATGGCCCCCTTTGTCATATTTCTGAGCTCTGCCAAGGATGATGAGAACTGAAGAGATTGCTTGACTTTGACAAATTTGAAACTGATGACTAACTGAGATATATCAATTAAGTGGTGGGAGTTTCCTAGACTTTTAAGAGAAAGTTACCATGGCAATGAGGGTAATACAAGTGAGTGAAGCATTTTAAGAAGATGTGGTAAATTTGAACATGTTTATCTGATGCAGAAAATAAAACAATGAAATAAAAAATATAGTAAATTAGGGATTATTTCAAAAGGAAATTTTCCTTAAGAGGCAGGAGGAGATGGGGCTGAGGACAGAGGTAGGTGTACAATTTTCAGAAGTAGAGGTAGGGAAGCTCTTTTCCCCATTAAGCAGATAATATATGTATCTGTTTTAAAGAAATTGAGTCACTAAGTAGGAAATTGATAGAGCTCAAGCTGACATTTTCTGTCTTAAAAAGAATAGTCTTTATCCTAACAGAATGAGTTTAAGACTAGGATTATAGGTTTGAAATGCAACTTTGGGGTCACTGTTAATGTAAAAAGGGAATTATATGATAAAAGGCCACAATTGTCTTTCTTCACACATGATAGACATCATTACTCAATCTCAGCAATTTTTCCAGCTGAGCCCAACTGTACTTTCACAACCCTCCCCCATATACAGTACATTCAGGTAGCCGCTACCAATCAACCGAAATTGTTCCAAGAGTAGAGGTCTCTATATCAGTGACAGGATTACAAATTCAATTTTAAGGTCACTGCACAGATGGTATACACTATAATTTTAGTGATTCCAGTCAGCAAAGTTATGATCTTGTGAGTTAGTTTAGCAACATTTACCAGTTCAGGCACAGTGGAAATGGAAAAGTGTTCAGGCATTTTCAGAAAAGTGGGGCAGAAGGACAGAAGGGTTGAGGGTATATGCAGTACTGGCAAAAGGTAAATGGAGGTGAAGGCCATGAAGTCTAGGCTGGCTAAAAAAGGAAGAGAAGTTTGAGGGACAGTAAGAGACTTCAAGAAGAGAGGAAATCAAAGCAGTCTAGGGATCATAGTCTCACAGTATGTATAATGAGAAAAACAAGAGCTCAAAAAATGAGAGATTGACCACAGTTGCTTCTCTTTGTTCAACCTAATATAAAAACACTGGGCCAGGCGCAGTGGCTGATGTCTGTAATCCCAGCACTTTGGGAGACTGAGGCAGGTGGATAATAAGGTCAAGAGATCGAGAACATCCTGGCCAACATGGTGAAACCCCATCTCTACTAAAAATACAAAAATTAGCTGGGTGTGGTGGTGGGCACCTGTAGTCCCAGCTACTTGGGAGGCTGAGGCAGGAGAATCACTTGAACCCAGGAGGCAGAGGTTGCAGTGAGCCGAGACTGCCACCGCACTCCAGCCTGGTGACAGAGCGAGACTCCAACTCCAAAAAAAAAAAAAAAAAAAAAAAAAATTTGGGTCTTTACTTCTTCAGGTATTCATTTTCTTATGAGGGATCTTGTGTCACATAAAATTTACATTAAATCATTATGCTTTACTCCTATTAATTTATTTTATGTCAAATTCTCAGGCCCAGCCTGGGAGCCCTAAGAGGGTAAAGGTAGTTTTACCTCCGCTGAAATAACAAACATATGACAGTGGACAGTGGAAATGGCTGGATAATCCTGGTGGGTGAAATCATAGAAGGTGCAGATGTCAAGGAACAGTTTGTTAGATGTTCCCAGAATAAATGCTGGATTTGCAGTGTGAACCAAGATGATGACATACTATAGTTCTTGATGAATATGGGCAAAGTGTCAGAAAAATAGTAGGCAATTACGTGGGCTGGGATAAAGGAGGGGATTAATGTTTTGTTTTTTGGAGAGATGGGGGTCTCACTATATTGCACAGTCTGGTCTTGAAGTCCTGGCCTCAAGTGATATTCCTGCCTTGGGCTCCTAAAAATTTTTGGGACCACAGACATGAGCCATTATGTCCAGCAGGGATTTTAACCAAAGATTTAAATGAAGCAGCGTAGAAGTGACAGTGGCATCTAGAAGAATAATTGCTTCCCTTCTTATCTATTGATCTAGACTAAGAAATTAATCCTACATCACTGCAAGGAGCATGTACAACAATATGGAGAACACACGTTCACACACACACACGGGTGCATACATGAGCATGTATGCATGCACATATGTACACATAAACAGTGTGAATAGTATAAAAGATTTCCCAAACAATATTTACTATTAAAAATTGTGATATACTGTGATAATGTATGTTTTAGTCTATCCTATTTTATTGTGTTCTATTGCATTACATAAATGCTGGTAGAAACACGCCCCTTATAGTATTTTTTATTTTTGTACATATATTTATGGGGTACATGAGATGTTTTGATACAAGGATGCAATGTGTAATAATCACATCATGGAGAATGGGGTAGCTGTCCCCACAAGCATTTATCCTTTGTGTTACAAACAATCCAATTATACTCTACTCTTTTAGTTGTTTTACAATGCAGAACTAAATTATTATTGACTATGGTCACCCTATTGTGCTATGAAATAGTAGGTCTTATACATCTTTTTATTTATTCTTTTGTACCCATTAACCATCCCCACTTCTCCCCCAACCCCATTATCCTTCCCAGCCTCTGGTAATCATCCTTCTACTATCTATTTCCATGAGTTCAATTGTTTTGATTTTTAGACCCACAAATAAGTAAGGACGTGCTATGTTTGTTTTTCTGTCCTTGGCTTATTTCACTTCAAATCGCAGTCTCCAGTTCTATCCATTTAGGTATTTAATTTTATTTGTGGCTATTGTAAGTGAGATTACATTTTCATTTCTTTTTCAGATTGTTCATTGTTGGCATATAGAAATACTACTCATTTTTGTGTGTGGATTTTGTAATCCTGTGACTTTACGGAATTGGTTTATCAGTTATAATAGTTTTTTTTTTTGTAGAGTCTTTAGACTTTTTCAAATATGTCATGTCATCTGCAAACAAGAATAATTTGACTTCTTCCTTTCCAGTTTGGATATTATTTACTTCTTTCTCTTGTCTGATTGCTATAGCTAGGACTTTCAGTACTATGTTGAATAATGGGTGAAAGTGGGCATCATTGTCATGCTCCAGATTTTAGAGGAAAGCCTTTCAATTTTCCCACATTTGGTATGATACTGGGTATGAGTCTGTCATATATGGTTTTTATCATGTTGAGGTATGTTCCTTCTACACCGTTTTTTTGAGAATTTTTTTATTATAAATGAATGTTGAATTTTATGAAATGCTTTTTCAACATTAATTGAAATGATCATATGGTTTTTGTCTATCATTCTGTTGATATGATGTATCTTATTTATTAATATGTTTATGTTGAACCATCCTTGCATCTCAGGGACAAATCCTGCTTGGTCATGATAAATGATCTTTCTAATTTAGTATTGAATTCAGTTTGCTAGTGTTTTGTTAAGGATTTTTGCATCAATATTCGTTAAATGTATTGACCTGTAGCTTTCTTTTTTTGATGTGTCTTTGTCTGGGTTTGGTATCAGAGTAATACTGGTCTTGTAAAATGAATTTGGAAGTATTCCGTCTTCTATTCTTTGGAATAGTTTAAATAGGATTGGTAGTAGTTTTTCTTTAAATGTTTGGTGGAATTCAGTAGGGAAGCCATTGGGTCTCAGGCTTTTCTTTGCTGGGAGACTTTTTATTATAGCTTAGATCTTGTTACTTGTTACTGATCTGTTTAGGTTTTGGATTTGTTCATGGTTCAATCTTGGTAGGTTGTATTCATATAGGATTTTTTCTCATTTCTTTTAGATTTTCTAATTTTTTGGAATGTAGTTGCTCAGAGTAACCACTAATAATCCTTTGCATTTCTGTGCTATCAGTTGTAATATATCCTTTTTTTTTCTCTCTGATTTATTTCTTTGGGTCTGGTCCCTTTTTTTTTTTTTTTGTGGTCTAACTTAAGGGTTGTCAATTTTGTTTATCTTTTCAAAAAACCAACTTTTTGTTCTTTTGGTCTTTTGTATTGTTTTTTCATTTCAATTTTATTTATTTCTGCTATTATCTTTATTATTTCTTTTCATATGGTAATTTGGGATTTGGTTTGCTGTTGCTCTTCTAGTTCTTTAAAATGCATCATTGGATTGTTTAATTGAGTTTCTCCTCCTTTTCGATGTGGGCAGGTATTAGTCTGTTCTCATGCTACTAATAAAGACATACCCAAGACATACCCAAGGTTTAATTGACTCATGATCCCAACTGGCTGGGGAGGCCTCACAATCATGGTGGAAGGCAAATGAGGAGCAAAGTTATGTCTTATATGGCAGCAGACATGAGTGCATGTGCAGGGGAAATCATCAGATATCATGAGACTTATTCACTATCACAAGAACAGCATGGGAAAGACCCATCCCCATGATTCGATTACCTCTCACTGGGTCCCTCCTGTGACACACAGGAATTACAGGATCTATAATTCAAGATGAGATTTGGGTTGGGGACACGGCCAAACCATGTAGGGCATTTATAGCTATGTACTTCCCTCTTAGTGCTGCTTTTCCTATATCCCATAGGCTTTGATAGGTTGCATAAACAAACAGATAAGAAGAAAAGTGATAAAAACTGTATGCTTTAATTTCATCCCCTCACTTTTTTACTTTCTGTTTGTTTCTATTTATATCTTTTTGTATTGACTATGCCTTGTAAAGCCGATGTAGTTATTATTTTTGATTGGTTCATCATTTAGTCTTTCTACTTAGAATAAGAGTAATTTACACACCATAGTTACAGGGTTATCATATTCTGTGTTCTTCTGCATTCTTACTATTACTGGTGAGTCTTGTTCCTTCAGGTGATTACTTATTGGTTATTGGTAACATCCTTTTCTTTCTGATTGAAGCACAGCCTTTGGAATTTCTTGCAGGACAGGCATGATGTGGATGAAATCCCTCAGTTTTTGTTTGTCTGCAAAAATCTTTATTTCTTTGTCATGTTTGAAGGATACTTTTGCCAGATATACTATTCTAGGGTAACTTTTTTTTCCTTTATTTCTTGAAATATATGTAGTTCCACTCTCTTCTGGCTGGTAAGGTTTCCACTGAAAAGTCTGCTGCAAGAGGTGTTGGAACTCTATTATATGTTATTTGTTTCTCTTCTCTTGCTGCTGTTAGGATCCTTTGTTTACCTTTGATAATTGGAAGTTTGATTATTAAATTCCTCCAGGTAGTCCTTTTTGGGTTAAATCTGCTTGATATTCTACAACTTTCTTGTACTTGAATATTGGTATCTTTGTCCAGGATTAGGAAGTTATCTATTATCACTTTGAATAAACTTTCTACTTGTATACTTCTCTCACTGCCACCTCTTTAAGGCCAATAAATTTTATATTTTCTAGATTTTGTAGGCATACTTTTTTCTTTAATTCTTTTTTTTTTTTTTTTTTGAGATGGAGTGTCGCCCTATTGCCCAGGCTGGAGTGCAGTGGTGTGATCTCAGCTCACTGCAAGCTCCGCCTTCTGGGTTCACGCCATTCTCTTGCCTCAGCCTCCCGAGCAGCTGGAACTACAGCACCCACCACCACTCCTGGCTAATTTTTTGTATTTTTTGTAGAGACAGGGTTTCACTGTGTTAGCCAGGATGGTCTCGATCTCCTGACCTTGTGATCCACCCGCCTCGGCCTCCCAAAGTGCTGGGATTACAGGCGTGAGCCACGGCACCCGGCCTTTTCTTTAATTCTTTTTGGTTTTGTTTCCTCTTACTGTGTGTTTTCAAATAGGTTGTCTTCAAGCTCACTAGTTCTGTCTTTTGCTTCATCAATTATGCTATTAAAAGACTGATGCATTCTTTAGTATGTCAATTACATTTTTAGCTCCAAAATTTCTGCTTGATTTTTTAAAAATTATCTCTATCTTTAATTATCTTGATCTCATTGTTAAATTTATTGGATAGAATTCTTAATTCATTCTCTATGTTATCTTGAATTTCTTTGAGCTTCCTTAACACAGCTATTGTGAATTCCGATTCACAACACAAAAACAGATATGTGTCTGAAAGGTCACATATCTGTTTTTCCCCAGAATGGGTCACTGGTGCCTTATTTAGTTTATTTGGTGAGGTCATGTTTTCCTGGATTTTCTCTGTACTTGTAGATGTTTATCTGTGTCTGGGCATTGAAGAGTTAGGGATTTATTTTAGTCTTTGCAGTCTGGGCTTATTTGTACCTGTCTTTCTGGGAAGGCTTTTCAGATATTCTAAAGGACTTGTGTGTTGTGATCTAAGCTGTAACTGCATTAGGGTGGCAGCCCAATCCCAGTAGCACTGTGGTTCCTGCAGATTCATAGAGGTACTGCGTTGATAATCTTGGTGAAGATCCAGGAGAATTCTCTGGATTACCAGCAGAGACTCTTGTTCTCTTCTGTACTTTCTTTCAAACAACTGGAGTCTCTTTTTCTGTTCTGAGACATCTGAAGCTTGGGATGTAGTGACATAAGCACCCCTGGCAATCTATTGGATAGTGCAGTGTACTACTTTGCCGTAAAAGTAAGACAGTTAGGCCATTTCCCAAAACTGTGTTACCATATTGGTGTGTATGTGTGTGTTTGTGCGCTGACAAAAGTGCTGTCGCCATTGAATATTGTCAAACTGTCAGCTGTTAGAAAGATCCATAGAAAAACACTCACTCTTTGGTGTTCCTTTTTTCTCACAGAATGATACAAGGTGAGGGTCAGGTGGCATACAGATCAGGTGGAGGGAATCATCTCACTGCAGAGGAATCCTGGACAAAATGTTCTGCCATTTTATGGCTCCATGGAGCTGGGGGAAAGATAGACGGAAGGGTTAGGAGTAGAAAAGTAACGAGTCAAAGTGGGAAAAAGTGCCCCAGCCACGGGCTCCCAATAATGACATCTTGGTGGAGGCAACCCTCCTAGCTTAAATCAGAAACAATTAGATACCCTGAACAGACCAATTACCAGTAGCAAGATTGAAACAGTAATTTAAAAATTACCAACAACAGCAAAAAAAGCCCAGGACCGGATGGATTCACAGCAGAATTCTACCAGATGTTTAAATAATTGGTATCAATCCTTTTGACCCTATTCCGCAAGATAGAGAAAGAAGGAACCCTCCCTGAATCATTCAATGAAGCCAGCATCACCCTAATACCAAAACCAAGAAAGGACACAACCCAAAAAGGACTTGGGATTTTTATTGCTATTGTTATGGATAGCCATTGGAAGATCCTTAAGGTGAGGATCGACAAAAATCAGACTTACTTTTTAACAGACGGTCCCCTTAGCTTCTGTAGGAGAAAGGAACCTAAGAGAACGTCTAGGTGACCTCTTAACAAGTTACTGTACAATTCTAGGTAAGATATAAAAAGACCAATGTGTTAGCAGTGGAGATGAAGAGAAATAAACACATTTAAGCTATGCTTTGAAGGCATAATTTATAAACATATTGAGATATTGTATGTGACATGTGAAGAAACATCAGAAAGACTCAAGCTTTTGCCTTAAACTGCTAGATGCATGGTATGTATACCAGACTGTAGCAGGTTTGTGTGTGCATGTGTGTGTTTCTGTGTAGTGGGGAAAATGACTGGTTCTTTCGTGAGCTTTGTTAAGACTCATGATAATATTGAGATGCCTGTTATATATCAAAGTGGAAAGGGAAAACTGACTATCACATCTATGTCTTTGGTGTTCAAAGAAGCACTTTGGGATAGAGATATAAATTTGTGAGTTTTTAACAGATGAAAATTAAGGCAAAATTAAACCATAATCAACCCAAGGGAGTAAAACTTAGGCTGCATTAAGAATGTCTGCATTATTAAGTGATAGTAGATAACAATATGAAAACAATATTGTGGGCCAATAATTGATAGTATTACACATTATTTATCATATATAAAAACAAAAGTAAGCAATTCCAGATATATACATACTC
Organism: Homo sapiens; assembly: GCF_000001405.40. NCBI lineage: Eukaryota > Metazoa > Chordata > Mammalia > Primates > Hominidae > Homo > Homo sapiens. Next base: position 34,612,883 of record NC_000002.12, read on the forward strand.
CAAAAGTATACCTACCACCCCTACTTTTAAAAGAAAGCACTTAAAGTCATGCTTACAAGCTGTTGAGAATAAATCGAAATTTAGTATTCAGTAATAACTAACTTGTGGGTTTATATTCCTTTACCAGAAATGTGTTATAAAAAATCTGAAATATGGATGCAAATTTATGCACAAAGATGTTCATTGTAAAATTTTTGTAAATAATGAAAATTACAATAAATGTTAGGAAAATGTCCATATGGTGGAATACTAGGAAACCATTGAAAATGATGTTTATGAATAATTTAAATTACACAGGAAAATAATTATGAAACACAGTTAAATAAAAAAGCAGGATATCAAATTATAGGTGCAATATCATTTCTACCAATACGTGCAGAAAAAACATACTGGAAGAAAAAAAAGGAATGTTATTGGTGTTTGCCTCTGGGAGGTAGAATTACTGTTTTTCAGTTTCATTGTTAGTTTTTTGCTCTGTAAGATTTCTGTATCAGTATTACTTCTATGAATAGAAAGCTATATTAGAAAGTTTTAAAACTTGAAAAGGCAGTGAAGAGTTTATAGAAACACGTAATAATATGATAGAAGGCTAAGTATAAATGCAGAATATAAGTATAATACATATTCCCACCAAAATGTACAAAAATAAGTGAATACGTGTGCGTGAACAAGCTTAAAGAGACGCTCACCAAAAAAATAAAATGATGTAATCTGCATTAATAGGAGTTAGAGAATACTGTGAATTTCATGTTACTTGTGAATAGGAAAACAAACACTGAACTTCAACAGTTCCTATTGAAATTCCCTTTAGTATTGCCATCTTATGAATGCAGAAATTAGTGGAAAGAAGGGAAACTGTAAATAGGTCATAGGCAGTGAAGAGAAAAGAGGAAAGAAGAACAAAGTCCAAAAAAAAATCAATCTGAGAAAGAGAAATTCAAGCCTAAGTGCCAAAATGCTGAATAATGATCAGGGACTTAGCACTTCATAGCACTGGCTAGAGCAGGAGGCCTAAATTAGAGGGGTACTAGAGGTAGTAGCTCCAGAATCACCACTACTAGTTGAGGAGAGAGAGAGCGGTGCCCCTTAGAGATATGATAATGATGGAAAAGAGAGAGTGAGAAGAGAAAACTAAAGGTCCTAAAGAAACACTTACAAGATAAGCCAATTTACCCTTCTCTCCCATCACCAATGCCAACTATTAATGAAACTACATGTCACTTATATTGACAGTAGAGCGCACTCTTGAGAAAGAAGCCTTGTCCACAAAATGCCTAGATATAGAAAAATCAGAGCAATATCATACCAGACTATAGAAAAAAGAAAAAAATGAAAGCATTTCAGTTGTTAAAAATTTTCCTTAATATCCAGTATAAAAGAGAACAAAACTATCATAAAACAATCTCAAATTAATCTTACACAAACACTCATATGTATTTGTAAAAAGCACTGAAATTCAAAAATTACCACAAATATATAAATAGTAAATACAAGAGTTGAATTTCAGTGAGAGTTGAACAGAGCTCAGGAAAGAAACTTTAAATAAAAAAGTAAAGAAATAAAATAACATAAAAACAGAATTGAAGGATATAATTCAAGATGCCCAAGGGAGAGTAAAATTGAATGAAATTTTAATAAGAGGCATTGAAAGGAAGAAAGAAACCGTGAATATTCCAGCAATTTCATTACTCGGTATATACTCAAAGGAGTATAAATCATTCTGTTATAAAGACACATGCACATGTGTGTTCACTGCAGCATTATTCACGATAGCAAAGGCATGGAATCAAACTAAATGCCCATCAGTGATAGACTGGATAAAGAAAATGTGGTAAATATACACCATGGAATACTATGCAGCCGCAAAAAATGAGATCATATCCTTTGCAGGAGCATGGATGGAGCTGGAGGCCATTATCCTCAGCAAACTAACACAGAAACAGGAAGCCAAATACTGTGTGTTTTCATTTCTAAGTGGGAGCTAAATGATAAGAACACATGGACACATAGAGGAACACACATGCACTGAGGACTTTTGGAGAGTGGAGGTTGTGAGGAGGGAGAAGATCAGGAAAAATAACTAACGGGTACTAAGCTTAATACCTGGATGATGAAATAATCTAACAACAAACTCCCATGACACAAGTTTACCTATGTAGCAAACCTGCACTTGTACTTCTGAACTTGAGTTTAAATAAAGTAACCATGAATATAAACATGACCAAAAAAAAAAAAAAAGTGGAAAAGTAATAATGGCTGGAGAAAAAGTGGTTGAAATGAAGGACATGCAAAGGAGTTCTACATATATGCAACTGGGATCTCTTAAGAAGAATAATAGGCCGGGCACGGTGGCTCATGCCTGTAATCCCAGCACTTTGGGAGGCCGAGGTGGGCGGATCAGGAGGTCAAGAGATCGAGACCATCCTGGCTAACACGGTGAAACTCCGTCTCTACTAAAAATACAAAAAATTAGCCGGCTGTGGTGGTGGGCGCCTGTAGTCCCAGCTACTCAGGAGGCTGAGGCAGGAGAATGTCGTGAACCCAGGAGGCAGAACTTGTAGTGAGTCGAGATTGTGCCACTGCACTCCAGCCTGGGTGACAGAATGAGACTCCGTCTCAAAAATAATAATAATAATAGTAATGCAATGGAATGAAACTAATATTTATTTTTAAAATCCATAAGTAATTTTCTAGGAAAAATAAAATCCTTACGTCAATATATTGAAAGAACCTATTATACACCTGAAAAACTGAGCCAGGGCAATCACCCTGAAACGTACCACGGTAAAATTTTAGACTTTAAGGTCAAATGAAAAATTCTCAGGGCTTACAGTCAAAATGACCAAGTTATTTATAAGAGTAAGAAAGTAATACAGGCACCAGATATCTCAACAGCACATCAGCGATAGAAAGGCAAGAGGAGAGAAAGATTTTCAAGAAACTCAGAAAAAATAAACAACAAACTCTGATGGCACATGCTACCCATGTAACAAACTTGCACATCCTGCACATGTACCCCAAACTTAAAGTTAAAAAAAGAGAATCATTCATTAAATTTAGCATCTCAGGAGATAATCAAATTTGATCAGGGCAGGATATTTACGTGGTATATAAATTATATGTTGATTCTAAAAGTAAAATCACTTTAATATGTACAAACTATATCATGCAGAATCTGGATAATCCCCTAACCATGTAATTAAAATCAACATTACCAGTAAAGTAAAAATGAAGTAAATTGTGTGCCACAGAATGTAATACTTTAAGGATATGGTATGTCTTATGTCATATTCCGGGCAAAAATACATAACCTGATTGTAATTTTGTAAATTAAAAAGTAATTTACAAGTAAATTAAAAGAAGTGCAAGGTAAAAGTGATCTGTGATGTTGAAGTGAGTAAATTCTCACTCTTTTAATATATGCTCTAAGAATTTGTAGGAGTTCTGGTTTGCTTTAGTTTCTTGGTAACTTCCTGCTTAGTAAACTGAGGCATGTGTGGAATAGAAACAGTTTCCTGCTCCCATATTACCCAAACCTGTAATGTAAAAATAGTTTTGAAACTTCACTCAATTGGAATGTTTACACTCATCAGCCAAAGGGGAGACTTTGGTTACCACGCTGTGCCTGTTGGAAATCAGTCTGAACAGTGTGATCCCACGACGTCCTGAGAAGCATCTCTCTACTACAAAACAGGCAATCTAAAACAGAAAACACACCAATCTGCTATAAATCTACAGATATGAATACTTCATACGTAGTTTGAAATCTCTGCCTTCAATAAGGATAAAAAGATATATATATATATATATATATACACACACACACACACACAAACATAAAATGACTCCATAATTTTAAACATTCTAGCAATGTAACATTTGAAACCCAATTTGTGCATTAATTTTTGTTTTTCATCATTAGGCATTTATTGAGCCTTTATTGTATGTGTTAGATGCACTGATAGTTTCTGAATATTCTAGCCTTGAATAATTTCTCTTCATTTCTAATTTAGTTCGATGCCACATGTGTAGCGACTCAAGCAGTTCTTCACCAATAGGACTACTTAAATGTATCTTCCATACAGTGTGTCAAATATGTGACCTTCAGATATATTTTTATTAAATACAAATCTGACCATGCTATACCCTGTTTTAAATTTTTAATACTTCCCTTGATCTGAAGAATAAAGCCAGCTATCTCAGCATAATTCACATTTCTCTCTCCAAAACTTCTTTCAGTTGATGTAGTGCTTTCTGCTTTTGGAGCAGATCATATCCTTATATACTTTTTCTTAAGCCAATCCTCTTTCTTGGGGTTATTTTCTTTGTGCTTCTGAGGAACATCAAAATGTTCCTTTCTTCACCCAATGATATTAAGAACTCCTAGATCTGGGCTTTCTTGGCTATTATGACTGCCCACACTTGTACTTGAGTTTATTTCTATGTGTCCTGTTTTCTCCTAGCTGTAGGTATAGTACAGGCACCACCTCTTTCTTATCCCAGTGCTCTTTTGGAATGTTTGGATCCTACTATAGTTTTCATAAATATTGGCCAAATGGAAAAATTATGTTTACTATAACTATACAACTAAGTCAACTAGTAAAGAAAATAAAGTGTTAGGAGAAGGGTATATAAAAGAAAAATCCCCCAAAGACTTCAGAAGCAAGAGCACATATTGCACAAATATTCTGAATCCATGTACTGCCCACTGAAATGTTTCAAATTGTACCTAATGATACTCCATTAACAACACCCAAGATGATTTTGAAAACATTAAAGATGTTGGACAGAATTAGACGTCTGACTTGAAATAATTCCAGTGAGACATGGACAAGCAATCACTTTGAAGTAAAAATGTTTATGCAGCACAGCAGAATTATCAAATACCCTACCTACTGCCAAAGAACAGCTACAGCCAAATATTAAGTAACGTAAAAGAAAAAAGGAGCCACAATTCTCTCAATAGGATATAAAGAATAGGCTGTGGTTCAGACGTGTACTTGGGCACAAACAAAGCATACATTCAATCATATTATCTTTCACACAAAACAGGTAGAGAAAATGGGCAGAACATATAATTTTGCATCTCAAAAATTTAACTCATAATAATGCTTTCTTATTCTTGAATAATTATTTGATTTCAATCAAGGGCAATATAAAAAGTAAGAATTTAATTATAAAGTGTGTAACATTTTTATTTACATTATTTTCATATTTTTTCTTGTAAGTAGGTCTACATAAATACTTCAAGTGAGTCAATTATTAAAAGTACTTAAGACTATGAGCAGCCTAAGGATTACATTTCATGGCATAGCTTCCCTTATTTGCATACATAATGACACCTACTTTTAGCAAAGAGGCTTTTGAGAGGTAAGGAGTGGATAATGTACAGAATTTATAAACATTAGCGGTATATCTTTATCCTCTCTTAGCCTCCTGCCTCTACACTATGAAATTTAACTCATGATTCCTTTCAAACTGTTATAAACCATCTAAATTTCTCTTACTACATTTTAATCCCATTTTCTTCTCTATCTGATGGAGAGATGGAGATTACTATTTACAACATTGGCAATAATTATGAAATTATCTTCCCTTTTAATTTCCTAGAAAAAATATGTATAGTCTGTCTTCCTTCTCGAGATTCTTTAGCCATCATTGCTTCCAGTCCCTTTCCAATTCTTCTCAGCAGTCATTTCTCAAAGTATGTGTTCCTGAAAAAAAAAAAAAAAGGTGGGGGGTGGACTTAGACCTGTAAGTCTTCACTAATTAATATGGTGAGAGTCTATTTCACAAGTCTTGTTCATTGAACTTATTGCATAAAGCCTCATGATTTTATTGAGCAAAGAAGACTTTTGCTCCAGTTTCTGGAGAGAACCCCACTGGAAGATTCTTTTGTATTTCAGTCTCACTCCATGGAATACTGAATGTTGTCTGATTGATACAGTTCCAGAAAAGTTCTGTGCTTGCATTTGGCCGGACTCTTGATCTAACTCTTTTGGCCCTGCTTGCTTTCAAGAGAAGCACTTTTCCTGCTCTTCTGCTGCTCCTCTGTGGTAAGTCCATCTGTCTCAGGGCATAGAATCTGTCTTTTTGAGGATCTTCTCTTTCTCTTACTCTTTCTCTCCCAAACTTGAGTAGATACGAAACAGACTGTGCTACCCTCTCCACTTGGCTATGTAAGTGCACCCAGCATTTGTTGTGTCATCCCAGTTTGTCTTCCAGGAAGGCCCTAAGATTTAGTTGGTTAAAAATCGATGTTGAACCCTTCAACTCAAGTATCAAAAGCCCTGTATTTTGTGGTTAACAAAGATGATACTTGGCTAATATTTTTCATCTGCTCCCAGTTGGTCCAGTATAAAGAAGGGAGTAAAGATAATGAGCTAAATTCACCACTTTCTTCAAAAGTCAGGAATTTCTTCCTAATGCCAGTTGAGAATTTGAAGAACTCATCATGTAAAAATATATTTTCATAATATTTAGAAAAGCTTCAATGGTAATATTACCATTTATACCAAAATCCCATTGCATCAACAGATTTTTTAAAATGTCTTTGTAGATCAAATCTAACATTTTAGGTGTCAAAAGTATTTCTCATCAATTAAAGAACATTTTTACAGATAAATACATGAATACTGACAGATTCAGCATTTATTATCAGTGACTGCAAGGTAGATAGTGAAGCAGGAGAACACATGTGTCCCAAATGTTCTGCTGGGCCAGGTTGAAGAATAGAATCCAATCAGGAAAAGATGATTCCACCATCTTTGCAACAGAATTTTACCTACGTGTATCAATCTTTCTGGCTTGAATAGAGTTTCTGGACTTTGATATTATGGCAGAATTATGACTTGTTTTATTTGATTAATCATACGAACAGTAACCCAACCACTTCTTTGAGATATAATCCAAGTTCTTCAGGGAATAATAATAATAGTGATAACAATATTAAGCTTAACAACAATATTTAACATTTATTGGGCAATTACCTTATGTTGATATTCTTTTAAAGGTTTTACATATATTATCTCACAACTGCTTCATGAAGTGGAAAATATCTATATTTTACACATGAGGAAACAGTATAGGATGATTACTTTTCCAAGAGCTACATAAAGAAGAAATAGGATATGATTCAAAGCATAATACCCAGGGCTTGAACTCTTAGGCACCATTTTCTGTTGCTGCTGGGAAGGAAGAGCTGGAGAGTATAGGACGAAGAAAATCATCAGCTGTTTATAGGACCTGGAAAATTTGACTCAGTTTACTAAATGGTGAGTTTGAACCAGAGTTTAGATAAATCTAATGAGGTCAAAGTGCAACCAGAAAAATGTTAACATAATCTAGAAAGGCACTGGGAAGGTAGGATTTTTAAACAAATTCAGAGCCACTTGTGAAATACTGAGGTGTCAAAGGTCAGAAATCCAGGAAATCTAGACAGTCTGAAAGGATGTGGCAGATAGCAAAGGCTATAACTGATATCTGTTCACTGTCCAAGATGGTTAGGTAAACTGAAGGCATTCAGTCATTCAGAAGCTGAAAAGGTAGAAAATGTTGACACCAGCCATTATGGGAGCCTAATTCTTGATGAGGTAGTATTCATCCTTTATACTTATGCACATTTAGAAAGACATCTTGAGAATCTTGGAGCAATTTCTACTTATCCTCTTACAGAGAGAGCATCTGATGCACATAGATGTGCACTCAGTCTGCCTACGTTATTTACTCTAAAATGATACTGTCCTTGCTATTAAAGTATTTATTCACCCTTTTGTGAGATAATCATATACTTAGAATAAAAGGAATGTAATGCTGACAGCTGAAATGTATTGCATGCTCAATATGTGTTAGGCATTATATTAAGCACACTCTGATGGTAAGTTACACATGTGAGAAGTACGCACTAAGTATTTGGTGATAGTGCAGAAAAGATAGTGAGCACAGAACTTGGGCAGTAATGGCAGGATTGATGAGAACAACGCATGCTGGAAGATAATTCTCCATGGGCTTCATTCATTTCTCATATTCTATGAGCAGAAACACTGTTTATACAAACAAGTTTTGTTTAGGACTGTACAAGGATGTTTACATATTCAACAGTCATGGAAGATGGAAATAATGTATCCTTCCCTGCAGAACAAGTCTGTCCAATATGATAAGGATAGTGCTTCTCTCTAAGGTAATGTTTGGGCAGGCTTGCTTGCATCCATTATAAAAGATACAAGTCTCCTAAAATGGCGTTCTTTGGCTGTGACACAAACCCTCTGCATATATAATATCCAACTGGATTGCTTCTTGCTGCTTCCATAGGACTTTGGGACAAGGAGAAGCAGTACACACCTGAAGCTCATAATGTTTGCATACAATCAGTAAGAAAGTCTTTTGTCTCTGATACAAGAGTCTTGTGTCTTCTGCCAACATCCATAAAACTGTCATATGCTAACTTGGCTTTCAAGTAGGGAAAATTCTCAGATACTTTATAGTTCTTGACAATGGGTAAAGAAGGGATAAAACAGAAAATCAGAAATATGTGGGAAGGCATCTCAAACTAAAACAAAAATATATGAATTGATTACGGAACAAAGAACAGACCAGTTTGATTAGACTTAAATATTTGAGAATGAAACTAATGGAAACAAAGGATGGAAAGAAAAGTTGGACTTATATTAGATGTTACAGGACTTGGAGGGATAAGTAGTTTGGAATTTAATCTAGGAGAATCTGAAGAGCCATTGTTAAAGATTCAATGTTTATGTTTCCCCAAATTCATATGTTCGAATCCTAACCTCCAATGTGATAGTTTAGGAAGTGGGGCGTTTGGGATGTAATTAGGTCATGAGAGTAGAACCCTCACGGATGGGTGTAGTGCCCTCACATAAAAGACTTCAAAGAGCTCTCCTGCTCTGCTCTCTGCAATGTGAGGACAAAACTCATCAACCCTGAAGGGGTCCTCACCAAAACGGGACTATGCTGGCACTCTGATCATGGGCACCCAGACCCCAGAACTGTGAACAATAAATCTCACAGTTTGCTGTTTACAATCCACCCAGTCTATGGCAATTCGTTATAGCATCTTGATCTAAGATAGCCATCAAAAGTTTCAGAGCAAAGGGATTCTCTCTTTTTCTGTCTGTGATCTCTCTTCAAAGGCCATATCCAGTACCTTGATTTTACCTATCTATCTGCTTTAGGCAGATCCTTCTCACAATACGCAGCATCTATCTGTATTATATACACAGCAATAATCACATATTTTCAAACTTTTATAGCCAAATTATTATTCACACGTAATTAAAATTTTATATGATTGTAATGCCTAAATAGTGACTTCCACCATTAATTTACTACCAATATTCAGGTGAGAGAAACATGTCATTACCTTTTGGAAATAAATACAACAGAGATCTCTACATTAATTTTGGCTGTAATAAAGTGTAATTTATTACTAAGTTGGATTTACAAAGGAACAAAATTATTTTTGTTATTCCTATGAGAAAGCTGTTTATATGATATATTGGAAATGTGTTCAATTGTTCCTGCTCTTATACATTCCCAAAATAGGTAAATACGGACCCTAGGACTTAAGTGTGAATAAAATTCGATGTTGGGACATGCTTGCATGTATTTATCATTTTGGATTTTGGTGTATCACATAAATTATCTTTTGAAATGCCTTTCATTTCAAAATGGTTCTCACAAGCCTATAGTTAACCAGGTTCATCTATTCACTATAGAAAGAAAAAAAAAACTTGACCTCATCAACTGTGAAGAACATTTCATACTTTATAGTATTATATTTAGAAGGTGATTAATCACAGGTGTTAAGAAAGAATAATTTTTATTAAAACACTAGCAATCAATCAGTATGTCCTTAGTACAGTACTTGTAATCACATTTTAAGCCATGAAAGTTCTTCGACTGCTCTAGGAAGAGCCATAATTTCCAAGTAGAAAAAATAAATTCTTTTCACTAAACATTTGATTAAGGGAATGAGCCCTGGAGGACCCTTTGAACATTTCTCCGTTCAGAAATCAAAAGGTATTTTAAGAATGATATTTATATTTGACCAAGGAGTTGGATAAAGAGAATTACTTTTTGACTCCATCACAAAGTAAGGCACTTCGAAGCTTCTTTCTAAAAAAAAAAGGAATGTTATTTCTGCTCAAAAGTGAAGGTATAATAAATCATCGTGACTCTCAACTCACATGTAAACATTAAAGCTAATTTGTCTCAATGATTGGCTCATTTATTTTTTTCAAGGATACAGAGGGAGGATCCTTTGTTTTTATCACTTACAATATGTAATAAGCTATTTATATCACTAAAGCATTATATATACGTATGAAGTCCTGATACTCTAGCGTTGAGATGACAAATAAATGACAGTGTGCTACTGCTCCGACATTCCATACTTATGGTAGATATTATTCATTGTAGTCTTTCCCACCAAGTTCAGAAATAGCCTCAGATTTCTTCATGAGACAGTTCTTTGGCCAAACACTGCCAAACAATGAAAGTTAGCTCAGGAATCAAATGTGCATTATTGCTCTAATAATATAATACATGTGCTTTCTAAGCCACATGTTAATTCTGGCTGAGGGTGAAATCCCTGGCCAAGTAATAACTCATCTTTAGTTGAATCCATTGTATGCTTGGCTCATTTATTTGTTCATTTAATATTGGCTGTAAAATGGTTATTACAATTTTACTGGTTGAAAATCCATTGAATTTTATATATCTGGAGCTAAAAGACCCCCAAGACATTATCTATTTATGCTGCCTTATATTATGCATGAGAAAGTTTGAAGGCATATAGTGACACATTTACCAAAATTCTACAACCAGCACATGGCATAGCCAAATTCTAGAACCTAGGACATGTGAAGAATTTATTTCATTAAAATCCAGTTCAGGCCACACTTTTGTACCTTAACAAAATGCAGAGAGCAAATCTCAATAGCTTATTGGCAATGAGATTTAATAAACAAGAATTTGAATACTTGGGCTGGTTGATAATAATTACAAAGATTCTTAAATACAGTTACTTAAGTTGTAGCTATGGCAGTTTCTCATGTGTATAATGAGAGTAATATAAATAGCTATCTAATAGGATTATTGTGAGGATTAAATGACTTAATATATATAAAGCATTTAATTATAAGACATGAGAAACTCTTAAAATATATTTTCTATTATATTATTTTTATTTAAAATTCTATTCTTAAAAATGCCATCATAGGCTGGGTGCAGTGGCTCACACCTGTAATCCCAGCACTTGGGAGGCTGAGGCGGGCAGATCACTTGAGAGCAGAAGTTCGAGACCAGCCTGGCCAATATGGTGAAATCCTGTCTATACTAAAAATACAAAAATTAGCCTGGCGTGGTGGCACACATCTGTAATCCCAGATACTCAGGAGGCTGAGGCAGAAGAATTTCTTGAACCCAAGAGGCAGAGGTTGCAGAGAGCCGAGATCGTGCCAGTGTACTCCAGCCTGGGTGACAGAGTAAGACTCTGTCTCAAAAACAAAAGCCACCATTACCAGCTGTATAAATAAATTCTCACAATCCTTAAGGAACTTGTCATCCACATTTTATAAAATCTTTCAGCACACAGAATGTACTAGCACGTTTAACAAGCCATTTAACAAACTTCAAATAAATTTTAAATCAAAATTGAATATGAACACACGGATGGGTGAAGGTGTACACATACATATTCATACACACACATATACCCAAGACACTTTTGCCTGTAAACCTAGACTTAAAGTAAATAGAATGCATCAATGTTTTCAGAAGAGTGAATAAGATCAATCTTAGGGATATAAATTTAGGCAAAAATTATAAAATCTCCTAATCTGTGATACTGTGATAATAAATTAAGGTAAAAAAATTATATGGCCATCTCCTTAGGTAGATAAATAATTTAATATCTATTCTTAATCAAAACACAAGCAAGGTTATATAACCAAAATAGAAATATAAGAAAGCCTAAAATTTCATACAACTCATTTATAAGAAACCTAAGACAAACATTACTGATGTTATATATTTTTTCATTAAATCCAGGAGCAATATAAGGATACCTACTATCATTACCGCTATTTGAATTATATTGAATGCTCAAACTCAGCGTTTTTTAACTAACTTTGTCACACTGATATTTTAGACCAGATAGTTACTTGTTGTGAGAGACTGTCTGATATTGCCAAATGTTGGATAACTAGTACAAACTGTACCCAGTGTATAACTTCCGCTTTAATTAATGAGAAAAGATAAGGAAAAAAAATACAAAGTACACAGACTGGAAAAGAATAAAAGCTATTTTCAGATAATATGATTGATATAACCAATTAAAATGAAAGACAGAAAAATTATGATCCTGACCAAAACCATAAAGTGTTTGAAAATTTGCTTGAGAAAAAAATCTTCGCTGGGATAAAAATTATAAATCTTTAGTACAAAAAATTTCTGATTGAGCAGAGGAAAAGTTCATGTGCATGAATAAGAAAAGTTGATATTATGCAGATAACAGTTTCGCTCAATCAATTTATAAAATCAAAGCAAATCTAATAAACATTGACATACACATAAAATAAATTTGTAAGTTATAGCTAAGAACATTTTTAGCAACAACAATAGTGGACAATTTACCCTATCAGATATCAGAATACTCTATAAAACTATTAAATACATCAATATAGACTTGGCCTCAATTCATGCTGCAACATCAATAAATTTTGAAAACATGCTAAATTACAAATACAAATACAAAAGGCCACACACTATAAAATTTTATTTATATGAGAAGTCCAGTATAGCATACTGACATAGACATAAAATATATTAATGGTGGACATGGTGTGAGGGTAGGAGGGAATTGGGAATGATTGCTAATATGTTTGGGGTTTCTTTTTAGAGTGATTAAAGTGTTCTGGTATTAGATAGGATGATGGTTGCACAACCATGTGAATACACTGTAAACTACTGAATTGCATAATTTAAAGGGGGGAATTTTATGGTATATAAATTATATTGCAATAAAGCTCCAAAAAATATGAAATTGGCCCATAGACAAATTGATGATCAAACATGTCCAATAATCTAATAAATATGTACATATAAACTGTTTTATATCACATAAATTATATTATATTTTTATTCTATGGGAATTATATAGTATATGTAGAGAGAAAGGGATATAAATAATAGTAGTGGTAATTTCAACCCATGAGGGCAAATGTGAACTATCAATAAATTATGTTGTGATATTTGATTCTCTCAGGAAAAAGAAAAAACTGCTTACCTCTCATCATGCACAAGTAAAAAGTTCATATTAGATCAAAAGACAAACATTCTAAAACAACTTTTAACTCATTAGAAAAACATAAATGTAAATAAGCTTCTATAGCAAGAAAGAGTAAGGCTTTCTTACCCAAGTCATAAAATAAAAAAGGCATAATAAAAAGTAAAACGTTGAAAGCTTCAAAATTTAAAATTCTATACAAAAATTTAAATAATGAAAAGACAAAACACTAGAGAATTATTTGCAATCTGAAAAACAGATTACAAAGTAGCAAATAAAAATGCTATAAAATCTTACATATTGATTTTAAAACCTGGAGAAAAGTGTGAAAGATATTAAACATGGCACAAAGAAAAATTAAAGTTAGTAATAATTATTAAATTTGCCTAACGTAAATAGTAACCAAGAAAATGCAAACTATGCCAATGAAATAATTTCTTTCATAAATGTGGCAAAAAAGTGAAAAATCTAGTATGAGTAATTTGTGTTGGAAATTGAAACTTTCACAGACTGTAAGTCATTGTGTACAACCTTTTGATAAAATATTAGAATTACTAGATAATAAATAGGTAAACAGATATATATGTATAAATATTGGGAGGATAGGCCATTGTAATTCATACAGAAATATATTTAAACACTTTCTCCAGGAGGTATGCAATTGTATATATTGTAATATTATTCATAATACTGGAAGACTGAGAAGGAAGCTGTGGTACACTGTGTTTTTTAAGATGTCTGTAATAATATTTCTCATTCCACATGATTTTACAGAAGCATACTACTCTTTCTCTAAATATATAATCTATCTCCCTTCCCCTTAAACTTTTCACTGGAGTTTGTGACTTCTTCAAATAATGGAGTCCTGTGGACTCTATATGAATCAGGTGGGGTAGCTTGACTAATGACTGTTAATCTATTTCCAGGGTGTCTCAACCACATGGTTAACAAGTTACTGATTTCCCAGACTCAGTAACTAAAGGTGAAATAGTTTCCCGCTAGTGTTCTTTCCTGGAACGCTTGTCCTTGGAACACTGCCATCATGCCATGAGGAATTCTAAATAACAGAGAAAGACCTTCATAGAAAAGAACTAAGTTATCAGCTGACGACACATGGCATATAGACAACCCTTCCCACCAAGCCCAACCCAAATACCATATTTATAAGCTCACAATATGATTGTTGTTGACTTTAGCCACTTAGTTTAGGGTAGTTTGTTAGATGACATTAGATAGCAAGACTACAACCTACAGTTTCATTACATGGAAAATAATTACACTACAGTATGTGATATTGTATAGCCTCTTAAAATAATTCATTTTTTTTTTGAGATGGAGTCTTGCTCTGTCACCCAGGCTGGAGTACAGTGGTGCAATCTTGGCTCACTGCAACCTCCACCTCCCAGTTTCAAGCAATTCTCCTGCCTCAGCCTCCTGAGTAGCTGGGACTACAGGTACGCGCCACCACACCCATCTAATTTTTTGTATTTTTAGTAGAGATGGGTTTTCACCGTGTTAGCCAGGATGGTCTTGATCTCCTGACCTCGTGACCTGCCTGCTTTGTCCTCCCAAAGTGCTGGAATTACAGGCATGAGACACTGCAACCAGCCAATAATTAGTTTTTAAATATATATGCTTGTTTGTGTGATGTGTGCAACGTGGGTGTGATGTACATACATATGTACAGATTTTGAAGACATATTGTTAAGTGATAAAAACCAGTTGTGGAGAGGACACAGTGAGATGGCAGAATAGGATTCTCCAGTGATTGTCCCCCCAGGATCTCAAAAAAGAAAATATTCAAGTTTGTGGAATTTAAACAAAAAAATAGCAGAAACTTTCCAAACCTGGAAAAAGATATAAATATCCAGTTAAAAGAAGGCCAAATTAAGTCACAGGATTTGATGACTTCATTGTTTAATTCTAGCAGACATTTAAAAGAACTAATACAAATTCTTTACAAATTCTTCCAATAAATTGAAAAGAAGGGAATACTTCCAAACTTATTTTATAAGGCCACTCTTACCCTGATATCAAAACCAGACAATGACACAATAAGAGTAACAACAACAACACATTCACAGGACAACATCACTGATGGACATAGTGATGGGACACTGATGGGACATTCATCCCAGGAATGCAAGGATGGCTCAAAATATGCACATCAATAAATGTGATATATCATATTAATAGAATGAAGGACAAAATACATTTGATCATTTCAACAGATGCAGAAAAATCATTTGAAACACTAAACAACTGTTCATGATAAAAGTTCTCAACAAGTTAGTTAGATATAGAATGAGTGTACCTAAACACTGTAAAGGCTATATATGACCAGTACAAGTAATATCATACTGAACAAGGAAAGTTTTTCCTGTAAGATCTGGAATAAGAAAAGAACGCACACTCTTGCCACTTGTATTCACTGTAGTATTGGAAGTCATAGCCAGAGCAAGTAGTTAAGAGAAAGAAATAAAAGGCATCCCACATTAGAAAGGAAGAAGTTAAATTGTTCCTGTTTTCAGATGACATGATTTTATGTATAGAAAATTCTAAAGACTCCACCACATAACTTTTAGAACTAATAAACAAATCTAATCTGCAGGATAAAAAACTAACATACAAAAATTAGTAGCATTTTGATCCACCAACATCAAACAATCTGAAAAACAAGAAAACAATTCCATTTACAATAGCTATAAAAAACTTAATAAATTTAAGCAATGAGGTGAAAGAGCTTTACATTGAAAACTATAAAACACTGATGAATGCGACTGAAGAAGACACAAATCAATAGAAAGATATTCTGTGTTTTTGGAATAGAGGAGTTAATATTGTTAAAATGTCTACGGTACCCAAAGCAATCTATAGACTCAATGCAATTCATATTAAAATACCAGTGAAATTCTTAACAGAAATAGTAAACAAAAATCCTAATATTCACATGGAACCACAAAAAACCCCAAGTAGCCAAAGCAATCTTGATTAAAAAGGACAAAGCTGGATGCATCATACTACCAACTTCAAAACATACTACAGTGCTATAGTAGCCAAACAGCATAGTCCTGGCATAAAAACAGACCCAATGGCCAATGCAACAGAATAGAGCCCAGAAAGAAATTTACTACATTCATGGCCAATTGATTTTCAACAAAAGAATCAAGTACATACAATAGGGGAAAGATAATTACTTCCATAAATGGTGTTAGGAAAAATGGATATCCACATGCAGAAGGATTAAATTAAACCTTTATCTCTCACCATGTATAAAAACAACTGAAATGGTAATAACTTAAATGAAAGACCTAAAACTGTTAGAAAAAAAAACATAGGGGAAAAGTTCCATGACATTGGTCTGAGCAATGTTTTTTTCTAGATACATAATGGTTTTCTCAAAAGCACAAAAGCAAAAATAGACAATAGGATTATTTAAAACTTAAAATCTTCTGTACTTCAGAGGAAACAATTAACAAAATGAACAGACAACCTACAAAATGGAAGAAAATATTTGCATCTTATAAGGAGTTCATAGCCAAAATATACAAGGAACTCAAACAACTCAATAGCAAGAAAACAAACAAAAAAATTTAAAAAATGGGCAAAAGACCTGAATAGCTATTTCTCAAAAGAAGACATAAATGGCTCACAGTATATTTTTTAAAAAATACTCATCATCACTATTCATCAGGTAAATGCACATCAATGCCACAGTGAGATATCACCTTACTGTTGTTGGAATAACTAGTATTAAAAAGAAGGTAACAAGTGCTGGAAAGCATGTGGAGAAAGGGAAACCTCACAAGTTGGTGGGAAGGTATATTAGTGTAGTCATTACTGAAAATAGTATTAGATGTTCCACAAAAAATTAAAAATAGATCTACCATGTAATTCAGCAGTCCCATGACTGAGTATATATCCAAAGGAGGTGAAATAAATATGTAAGGGAGAGAGGTATCTGCACCCCCATGTTTATTGTAGCATTATTCACAATAGCCAAGGTACGGAATCAACATAAGTGTCCATAAATGGATGAATGTATGAAGAAAATATCGCACATATGCATAAGAGAAAACTATTCAGCTATAAAAAAGAAGGAACACCTATCATTTGCAACAACATGGATGAACTTGGAGGACATCTTGCTAAGTGAAATAAGCCAGACACAGGAAGATAAATACTGAATGATCTCACTTATATGTGGAATCTAATAAAGCTGAACTCACAGAAGTGGAGAGTAGAATGGTGGTTACCAGATGTTGGAGTGGCTATGGAAAATAAAAGGTGGAGAAATGTAGGTCAAAAGATACATATTTATAGCTAGATAGGAGGGAGAAGTTTTTGTAATGTATTGTACATCACGGTGACTATAGTTAATGATGATATATTGTAGTCCTGAAAAATGCTTAGAGAGTGGATGGTAAGTGTTCTCACCACAAAAATATTAATTATGCAACGTAATGTAATGTATTTGTTAATTAGCTAGATTTAACTATTCCACAATGCATATATCCTGCAAAACGATATGTTGTACATGATAAATGCATACAATTTTATGTCAGTTTTTTGAAGTTAAAAAAACAGTTTGCTCAGTAACACTTAAAATATAGCATTCATTTCCTCCCCACCCAAACAAACAGATTTCCAACTGTGCTTACACCTACAGATCATGTTGTTACCAATGGAAAACAAGTCATGGAAGATATTTTCTTCATCTAATTTTATTAGAATTTTACAGGGAAAATGAATTTATGCCTTACTTTTATACTTAAAAGTAAATATAGAGCAATTTTTTGAAGTCCCAGAAATAAGCTTCAAAAGCCTGTATGAATATAGTTGCAGTGTGGATACAGAAGGAAAGAATGCTTAAATATTTCTAACGGTATTTTAGGATTTGAGTACTGGGAGTTTTGACTGATTTCTATTGTAATTGAAGTCAAAATATCATCAAAATGTTTACAATCCTATCTGAAGCTATGTTTTTATTCTTGATATTTAGAACAATGTGTTTCATAAGTCCTAAAGCAATGTGTGATCAGATATTTGTATTTCTCTCTTTGGTGAAATAAATGGAAACAAATTTGTTGATGCATGTTTTACCACAGCTGTCAGAATTCCCTTGTTACGTGGACGTCCTTCTACCAATCTCTGCCATCCCTTTGCCCTTTCATGACTTCAAACACACATGGACAAATTCCTATTCAACTACATTCAGGAGCAGAAAACCTTCTGTCTTTGATAATTGGAGACAGCACTGCTTTCACTAATACTAACCTTGCTGATTTGTTTTTCTCCAACTATTTTTGGTTATCTCAACTATACTATCAATAGCAATATAACAATAAAATAACCACACCAAAGAGCTAAATTTTAAGTTACAACTAAGTAATTTGCTCAAATACATGAAACTAGAGAGTGATAGTGCCAGGATTTGAACCCCAATCTTTCTGACTTCCAAAGCCAGTGACCCCTATACTATCTCCCTTGATATACTTACACCCCCACATGAAAATGTGCCAGCAACTCTGTCACACTCTTACCAATTCCTGTACTCTCCATTTCTATCGCCGTAGCATTTGCCACCTTCCAAAATCTACTATAGGCATCCTGGAGTCAAAGGTCAACAAGCCTCTCTCAATTCTTCCCCTGCTTTATCCTATTGATGTGGATCTAGCAGATGGTAACAAATAATCTGAGTGTCCTTTTGGGTCATTTCATTTTAGTGCTATACATTTAGAATGTATGAGGCTCAAGACTTAATATAGGAAAGTGTACCCAATATGTCCAAAATTCTAGCCATATGCTTGATGGGTAAGCAGAGTTTACTCAGGTGTATCTGAGTTTTATTTTATGAGTTTTAAAAATCCAAGAATGTGCTCCTTCAGAGATGCCAACATTTTTAATATTTATTCATATCTTCAACTTATACATACAACTTTGTAAACCACATTGTTCATTGAATTTTTTCTCTATTCTCCTTATTCCTCTTTGACTAAATTTAAAATCATTTTGAAAGGTACTTTTTGTTACCGTTCACCCAGTTTGTGAAACATTTTTTTAAGACAAACGATTCTTTGAGTTGATTTTATTTGCAGAAGTATTGTAATATTTTTAATAAAACAAACCTCTGTATAGCAAAATCATCCTATATTATAGCAAAATCATCCTATATTTAAGCAAAAAATTAGCTGTCTACCTTTTCCCTGAAACATATGACTTACTGGGTACTTTCTTTGTTTTTAAAATCTATTGATTAATTACTTGACTCAAGAGATGCTTCTCTGGATCCATTCATAATACCTTAGTTGTTGCTTAGCAACTAGTTTTCCCTTTTTCTTGGCTTTGCGAAGCTACATGTATGGAAGGAGAGGATGAAATTATGGAATGAGATTAAGTAAATGTCTTTAAGTTTCCTAGATATCAAGTGATAGCTAGAAAGTAATAATAAAATGACATGAATCTTTGAATCTTCTTTCCTAGGTGAACATGTCATAGATGGGAACTACACATAAATAATAATAAAATCTTTCCTATAAGATAGATCTTAATTTTACTCTACTTATGTCTTTTATTCAGTTTTGTTTTATTTGTACTTCATAATATACTTTACATTTTGCTTAGCGGTTTCTTAATAACAATCCAATAATTATAGTTAATAAAGTGCCTTTTGTAAATTGTCCTCACATTCAAAATAAAGAAAGAATGGTGAAGGACACATTCAGATTTATCCTAGCATTCCAGTGAGGCATAAATGTCATTCATCACTTTTATGAAATGGAAAATTAGAACTGTTATTTGCAGATCTGTGTCTTTTTCATTGTCAAAAACCTCTCAATATTCTGGTCAATTAGACAATAAGCTATGAGAAAAAAAATCTTAATTATTTGTATTAGTCCACTGATCAGGACAGTTCCTTTCAAGGAGGAATATTTAATAGAAGTTTCTGGAAGCATAAGTGGATGAATGAAAAGCTGCAGAAAAGGGCTTAAGAATGGGTAAGCAAAAATACAAAAACAGTCATGTTCATTCAACAAGACTCAAATGAAGGAATTTCTAATCACTAATTTTATAATAACCTTAAACCTTACCCATAGTTCTCACTGTCGTTTGCCAACTTTCTAGAAGATCCAAAGCCAAAATGTCAAAAATAAGACATGATGATTTTCACAGACTCTCTTAATTCTAAAATAATTGATACTAAGAAGTTTATCACTCTAATAAAGAGATTCTCTAAAGTTTCAACAGACAGACTATAATATACAGAAATAAATGAACAACAATGGACAAAGAGGTTTGGATCAATTTTATGAATAAGATAATATTAGAAACTAATATGATAGAAATGCATAGAGTCAGATGTTTTCTGTATAGTTAGAGAAAGTCACACACAAGCACACACACACACACTGACATATGTGACTGAAACATGCCCAATAAAGTAGGAGGTCTATATCATGAAGCCTTTATTTTGAAAACATGACTATTATTCTTTAACAATACAAATTAATAATATGCAAGAAGACTGACTTTGAATTTATCTGTTTTTGGTATTCTGAAAGCTTACCCAATAATTATCCACATAGGTATTGAGATTCTATGTACCACGTAGTATGCTAAGCACTAAGATATCCAGGCAAAATATGTAGTTTAGACAACAATCGAATAACATGATAATATGAAAATAATTAATGAATATCTTATTATAGCAACCTCTTTAGAGGCTAGCTCCAGGTAAAGCAGAATCATAACTAGAATCAAAGTCTTGATTTACTCCACAGTGCTTTCTTCTTCTTTCTGCTTAATTGCTGTGTGTGTGTATGTGTGTGTGTGTGTGTGTGTGTGTGTGTATGCTGTGTATATAAATGCTGTATATATATGTGTGTATGTATATATACATGTGTATATGTGTGTATCTATCATAGATCATTTATGTGCATATTAAGTGACTAGAGTTATTATATATGTATCTTATTAAGCAATAAAATTAAAATATATACAATGAACACTTCTCTAAAGACTTACTTTCCTATTTATTTTTTAAGAATTTGGAAAAACTCTTGATTTCCCAGTGATAATAATGAAGTTTCTTTGTGAGAAT
Organism: Homo sapiens; assembly: GCF_000001405.40. Classification (NCBI taxonomy): domain Eukaryota; kingdom Metazoa; phylum Chordata; class Mammalia; order Primates; family Hominidae; genus Homo; species Homo sapiens. The sequence continues at coordinate 34,634,290 of NC_000002.12, forward strand.
CAGAGGAATGTCTTTTTTTGGAACAATACAGGTTCTGAACTTCCAGAATAGAATCATATGGATTAGAATCTTACTTCCCTCATGTAATACCTCTGAGATATTAAACAATTTACCTCTCCTTTCTGAAACGCTAATATGTGGTACAAGGCAGTAGCTTTCAGACCTTGAAATGATCCACAGTAATATATAGATTTTACATTAAGATTTAGCACACACGCACGTGCATGCATACACATACACCCCCTCCACACACACACAGAACAAAAAGCTTTTGGAGACTATATTTACCTTTCTATATGTGAGGCACTCTACTAATTTCTATTTTACTTTGTCTATTTTATAAAAAAAAAATCCTTGGCTCCATTCTACCAAATTAATTTCTAGATTTACCATTGGGTTGCAAACTAGTTTGAAAATGTTGAAGTGTGGAGTTAGGAAGTCATCATCCTATAATTTGAGATATTTGTGTATGAGGCATGAGAGCATCTCATCCTGCATTAGCATCTACATGAAATTGTTCAATATTCCACATATACTCTGCTGAATTGATTAAGGACTCAGTGCATTAGATAAAATAAGAAACAAAAAAATTACCAACCTATTGCTTTGTTCTTAATGGTAACTGTTTGATGACTAAGTGGTAGCATGCCACCATTTCCTGCTTTTCTGGGAATTTTAAGAGATTACCAGAAATTAGTTCTTTAAAAATCATAAGTGATATAAACATTACTCTATATTTTATGAAATTATAGCTTTTGGGTGTTACTGTTTAGCTATATAAAGCATAGTACATCTTTTTCTGTGATATTACAAGTTTTTTTTTCTCTGATAGCCTACAGAAAATAAATATTTTTCTTTGTCATTCCTATGCACGTGAAGATGAAGTAAGGTTTGCATGCTTGAAATGAGGAATTCCATTTTGTAGAGTTATATATTCTTAATGCCTTTTCTGCCTTTAGATTTATTTCAGGCAAGAACCCTGAAACACACGGTAGGAACAAAAGATAGAAAGAAGAGTCTTGGGGGGTGGAGCCAAGATGGCCGAATAGGAACAGCTCTGGTCTACAGCTCCCAGCATGAGCGACACAAAAGACAGGTGATTTCTGCATTTCCATCTGAGGTACTGGGTTCATCTCACTAGGGAGTGCCAGACAGTGGGTGCAGGACAGTGGGTGCAGAGCACCATGTGTGAGCCGAAGCAGGGCAAGGCATTGCCTCACTCAGGAAGCAGGGTCAGGGAGTTCCCTTTCCTAGTCAAAGAAAGGGGTGACAGACAGCACCTGGAAAATTGGGTCACTTCCACCCTAATACTGCGCTTTTCCAACGGGCTTAAAAAACGGCACACCAGGAGATTATATCCCGCACATGGCTGGGAGGGTCCTATGCCCACGAAGTCTCCTGATCGCTAGCACAGCAGTCTGAGATCAAACTGCAAGGTGGCAGCCAGGCTGGGGGAGGGGCGCCTGCCATTGCCCAGGCTTGCTTAGGTAAACAAAGCAGCCAGGAAGCTGGAACTGGGTGGAGCCCACCACAGCTCAAGGAGGCCTGCCTGCTCCTGTAGGCTCCACCTCTGGGGGCAGGGTACAGACAAACAAAAAGACAGCAGTAACCTCTGCAGACTTAAACGTCCCTGTCTGACAGCTTTGAAGAGAGTAGTGGTTCTCCCAGCATGCAGCTGAAGATCTGAGAATGGGCAGACTGCCTCCTCAAGTGGGTCCCTGACCCCTGAGCAGCCTAACTGGGAGGCACCCCCCAGTAGGAGCAGACTGATAACTCACACGGCCGGGTACTCCTCTGAGACAAAACTTCCAGAGGAACGATCAGGCAGCAGCATTTGCAGTTCACGAAAATCCACTGTTTTACTGCCACCGCTGTTCTGCAGCCACTGATGCTGATACCCAGGCAAACAGCGTCTGGAGTGGACCTCTAGCAAACTCCAACAGACCTGCAGCTGAGGGTCCTGTCTGTTAGAAGGAAAACTAACAAACAGAAAGGACATCCACACCAAAAACCCATCTGTACATCACACCATCACCAAAGACCAAAACTAGATAAAACCACAAAGATGGGGAAAAAACAGAGCAGAAAAACTGGAAATTCTAAAAAGCAGAGCACCTCTCCTCCTCCAAAGGAAGGCAGTTCCTCATGAGCAATGGAACAAAGCTGGACGGAGAATGACTTTGACGAGGTGAGAGAAGAAGGCTTCAGACAATCAAACTACTCCAAGCTACAGGAGGAAATTCAAACCAACAGCAAAGAAATTAAAAACTTTGAAAAAAAATTAGATGAATGTATAACTAGAATAACCAATGCAGAGAAGTGCTTAAAGGAGCTGATGGAGCTGAAAGCCAAGGCTCGAGAACTACGTAAACAATACAGAAGCCTCAGGAGCCGATGTGATCAACTGGAAGAAAGGGTGTCAGTGATGGAAGATGAAATGAATGAAATGAAGCGAAAAGGAAAGTTTAGAAAAAAAAGAATAAAAAGAAATGAACAAAGTCTCCAAGAAATATGGGACTATGTGAAAAGACCAAATCTACATCTGATTGGTGTACCTGAAAGTGACAGAGAGAATGGAACCAAGTTGGAAAACACTCTGCAGGATATTTTCTAGGAGAACTTCCCTAATCTAGCAAGACAGGCCAACATTCAGATTCAGGAAATACAGAGAATGCCACAAAGATACTCCTCGAGAAGAGCAACTCCAAGACACATAATTGTCAGATTCACCAAAGTTGAAATGAAGGAAAAAATGTTAAGGGCAGCCAGAGAGAAAGGTTGGGTTACCGACAAGGGAAGCCCATCAGACTAACAGCTGATCTCTCAGCAGAAACTCTACAAGCCCGAAGAGAGTGGGGGCCAATATTCAACATTCTTAAAGAAAAGAATTTTCAACCCAAAATTTCATATCCAGCCAAACTAAGCTTCATAAGTGAAGGAGAAATAAAATCCTTTACAGACAAGCAAATGCTGAGAGATTTTGTCACCATCAGGCCTGCCCTAAAAGAGCTCCTGAAGGAAGCACTAAACATGGAAAGGAACAACTGGTACCAGCCACTGCAAAAACATGCCAACTGTAAAGACCATTGAGGCTAGCAAGAAACTGCATCAACTAACGAGCAAAATAACCAGCTAACATCATAATAACAGGATCAAATTCACACACAACAATATTAACATTAAATGTAAATGGACTAAATGCTCCAATTAAAAGACACAGACTGGCAAATTGGATGAAGAGTCAAGACCCATCAGTGTGCTATATTCAGGAAACCCATCTCACGTGCAGAGAAACACATAGGCTCAAAATAAAGGGATGGAGGAATATCTACCAAGCAAATGGAAAAGAAAAAAAGGCAGGGGTTGCAATCCTAGTCTCTGATAAAACAGACTTTAAACCAACAAAGATCAAAGGAGACAAAGAAGGCCATTACATAATGGTAAAGGGATCAACTCAACAAGAAGAGCTAACTATCCTAAATATATATGCACCCAATACAGGAGCACCCACATTCATAAAGCAAGTCCTGAGTGACCTACAAAGAGACTTAGACTCCCACACAATAATAATGGGAGACTTTAACACCCCACTGTCAACATTAGACAGATCAACGAGACAGAAAATTAACAAGGATACCCAGGAATTGAACTCAGCTTTGCACCAAGTGGACCTAATAGACATCTACAGAACTGTCCACTCCAAATCAACAGAATATACATTTTTTTCAGCACACCACACCTACTCCAAAATTGACCACATAGTTGGAAGTAAAGCACTCCTCAGCAAATGTAAAAGAACAGAAATTATAACAAACTGTCTCTCAGACCACAGTGCAATCAAACTAGAACTCAGGATTAAGAAACTCACTCAAAACCACTCAACTACATGGAAACTGAACAACCTGCTCCTGAATGACTACTGGGTACATAACGAAATGAAGGCAGAAATAAAGATGTTCTTTGAAACCAACGAGAACAAAGACACAACATACCAGAATCTCTGGGACACATACAAAGCAGTGTGTAGAGGGAAATTTATAGCACTAAATGCCCACAAGAGAAAGCAGGAAAGATCCAAAATTGACAACCTAACATCACAATTAAAAGAAATAGAAAAGCAAGAGCAAACACATTCAAAAGCTGGCAGAAGTCAAGAAATAACTAAAATCAGAGCAGAACTGAAGGAAATAGAGACACAAAAAACCCTTCAAAAAATTAATGAATCCAGGAGCTGGTATTTTGAAAAGATCAACAAAATTGATAGACTGCTAGCAAGACTAATAAAGAAGAAAAGAGAGAAGAATCAAACAGACTCAATAAAAAATGATAAAGGGGATATCACCACTGATCCCACAGAAATACAAACTACCATCAGAGAATACTACAAACACCTCTACGCAAATAAACTAGAAAAGCTAGAAGAAATGGATAAATTCCTCAACACATACACCCTCCCAAGACTAAACCAGGAAGAAGTTAAATCTCTGAATAGACCAGTAACAGGCTCTGAAATTGTGGCAATAATCAATAGCTTACCAACCAAAAAAAGTCCAGGACCAGATGGATTCACAGCCGAATTCTACCAGAGGTACATAGAGGAGCTGCTACCATTCCTTCTGCAACTATTCCAATCAATAGAAAAAGAGGAAATTCTCCCTGACTCATTTTATGAGGCCAGCATCATACTGATAGCAAAGCCTGGCAGAGACAAAACCAAAAAAGAGAATTTTAGACCAATATCCTTGATGAACATCTATGCAAAAATCCTCAATAAAATACTGGCAAACCGAATCCAGCAGCACATCAAAAAGCTTATCCACCATGATCAAGTGGGCTTCATCCCTGGGATGCAAGGATGGTTCAACATACGCAAATCAATAAACGTAATCCAGCAGATAAACAGAACCAAAGACAAAAACCATATGATTATCTCAATAGATGCAGAAAAGGCCTTTGACAAAATTCAACAACCCTTCATGCTAAAAACTCTGAATACATTAGGTATTGATGGTACATATCTCAAAATAATAATTGCTATCTATGACAAACCCACAGCCAATATCATACTGAATGGGCAGAAACTGGAAGCATTCCCTTTGAAAACTGGCACAAGACAGGGATGCCCTCTCTCACCACTCCTATTCAACATAGTGTTGGAAGTTCTGGCCAGGGCAATCAGGCAGGAGAAGGAAATAAAGGGTATTCAATTAGGAAAAGAGGAAGTCAAATTGTCCGTGTTTGTAAATGACATGATTGTATATCTAGAAAACCCCATTGTCTCAGCCCAAAATCTCCTTAAGCTGATAAGCAACTTCAGCAAAGTCTCAGGATACAAAATCAATGTACAAAAATCACAAGCATTCTTACACACCAATAACAGACAAAGAGAGAGCCAAATCATGAGTGAATTCCCAATCACAATTGCTTCAAAGAGAATAAAATACCAAGGAATCCAACTTACAAGGGATGTGAAGGACTTCTTCAAGGAGAACTACAAACCACTGCTCAATGAAATAAAAGAGGATACAAACAAATGGAAGAACATTACATGCTCATGGGTAGGAAGAATCAATATCGTGAAAATGGCCATACTGTCCAAGGTCATTTATAGATTCAATGCCATCCCCATCAAGCTACCAATGACTTTCTTCACAGAATTGGAAAAAACTACTTTAAAGTTCATATGGAACCAAAAAAGAGCCTGTATCGCCATGTCAATCCTAAGCCAAAAGAACAAAGCTGGAGGCATCACACTACCTGACTTCAAACTATACTGCAAGGCTACAGTAACCAAAACAGTATGGTACTGGTACCAAAACAGAGATATAGATCAATGGAACAGAAGAACAGAGCCCTCAGAAATAATGCTGCTTATCTACAAACTATCCGATCTTTGACAAACCCAACAAAAACAAGCAATGGGGAAAGGATTCCCTATTTAATAAATGGTGCTGGGAAAACTGGCTAGCCATATGTAGAAAGCTGAAACTGGATCCCTTCCTTACACCTTATACAAAAATTAATTCAAGATGGATTAAAGAGTTACATGTTAGACCGAAAACCATAAAAACCCTAGAAGAAAACCTAGGCAATACCATTCAGGACATAGGCATGGGTAAGGACTTCATGTCTAAAACACCAAAAGCAATGGCAACAAAAGCCAAAATTGACAAATGGGATCTCATTAAACTAAAGAGCTTCTGCACAGCAAAAGAAACTACCATCAGAGTGAACAGGCAACCTACAGAATGGGAGAAAATTTTCGCAACCTACTCATTTGACAAAGAGCTAATATCCAGAATCTACAATGAACTCAAACAAATTTACAAGAAAAAAACAAACAACCCCATCAACAAGTGGACGAAGGATATGAACAGATACTTCTCAAAAGAAGACATTTATGCCGCCAAAAAACACATGAAAAAATGCTCACTATCACTGGCCATCAGAGAAATGCAAATCAAAACCGCAATGAGATACCATCTCACACCAGTTAGAATGGTGATCATTAAAAAGTCAGGAAACAACAGGTGCTGGAGAGGATGTAGAGAAATAGGAACACTTTTACACTGATGGTGGGACTGTAAACTAGTTCACCCATTGTGGACGTCAGTGTGGCGATTCCTCAGGGATCTAGAACTAGAAATACCATTTGACCCAGCCATCCCATTACTGGGTATATACCCAAAGGACTATAAATCATGCTGTTATAAAGACACATGCACATGTATATTTATAGCAGCACTATTCACAATAGCAAAGACTTTGAACCAAGCCAAATGTCCAACAATGATAGACTGGATTAAGAAAATGTGGCACATATACACCATGGAATACTATGCAGCCATAAAAAATGATGAGTTCATGTCCTTTGTAGGGACATGGATGAAACTGGAAATCATCATTCTCAGCAAACTATCACAAGGACAAAAAACCAAACACCCCATGTTCTCACTCATAGGTGGGAATTGAACAATGAGAACACATGGACACAGGAAGGGGAACATCACACTCCGGGGACTGTTGTGGGGTGGGGGCAGTGGGGAGGGATAGCATTAGGAGATATACCTAATGCTAAATGATGAGTTAATGGGTGCAGGACACCAACATGGCACATGTGTACATCTGTAACAAACCTGCAGATTGTGCACCTGTACCCTAAAACTTAAAGTATAATAATAATAAAATAAAAATAAAATAAATAAATAAAATGCTAAAATTAAAGAAAAAAAAAGATAAGTCTTATACCTACAACCCATTTCTCTACTCCTGATGTATCTGGACTGTGGCTTACGATCCCTCATGCTGAGATGTTTCTAAACAGGCGTTTCCTAAGTTTAAAACTGTAATGCCAGCTACTCGGGAGGCTGAGGTGGGAGAATCGCTTGAACCCGGGAGGCAGAGGTTGCAGTGAGCCGAGATCGCACCACTGCACTCCAACATGGCGACAGAGCAACACTCTGTCAAAGAAAAGAAAAGAAAAGAAAAACAACAACAACAACAACAACAATTTGAATCAATAAGGTTGTTTTTCCTAAGTTCTCCTTAATTATTATTTTTTTAAAGACCATGGATGTGTCTATATTATATGTTTGGATTAAGAAAACAAATCAAGAGCCATAGAAATTGAAATAATATAAAAAATTCAAAGAAAAGTATCACGTCTACTCCCAGTTTCCTGGAAGAAAAGATCACATTAGCAATGCAAGGTGCGAACTCCTACCTATGTGTCAAGGAGCATGGCATACTATGGTTTCCTTGCAACTTCTTCAACTATGTTTCCCCAGCAGCACAGCATTTGCTCCCCGTGGATGAAAACTGACTACAAGGGTATTTCTAAAAGTTGGAACAAAGGGGCCATACTACCTAGTCTAGGTGTGCCCAGAGTTCAGACTTTGAAAATCTATTCCCAAGGCCTACCATCATCTGATTGCACAGAGAATAGAGACTGGTGAGCGAGGCCAACTCACAGACCACAGAAGCTGGCCAAGAGGATGGCCCATAGGTAAATCTCATTTTTAAAACGCTACCATGGGGAACGAAACTGACAGACGTGTGAATCATGCTCCTCCCACAAAGATCACTTCTTTGGTTGTCCAGTGCTGACACCTGCCTTAGATACCTCCACCTTCCAAACTCTTTCTCCTCCCTTTTTATCTCTTTTCATTGTATGCTTAGTGAATACTTATTTTTTTAATCCTCTTAAAAACAAAACAGAAACAGAAAGAGAAAGGTAGGCAAGCAGGGATAGGGAAGGGCATGGAGAATCTCAGGAGCTCTTAATTCCACATTTCCAAGTTCTAAAAGCTTTTCTGAATCAAAAGATAATTGTATAGGCTTAAGGTTAAACACATATAATCATAGTTTCTTTGGGGAGTCACCATATCTGATGAACAGAAAGGATGATATAACCACAAGCTGGTGGAATTCATAGTCGAGGTCCTTTGACAATGTAATGTGTGCAAAAATGTTGTTTATAAAAAAAACTTTACTGCAAAACTTTTTAGTTCATTAGACCAGAGTGACCAAATCACACACTGGCATACAAATGTTAAGGATGAATTAGCCTTTATTATTTTTGTTATTGTTATTGTTAAATTATTTCCACCAAAATTTAGGAGGTAGAGCCAATGATAAGGTAAGAAACTGCATTACTGATGTAAAAGGAGATGCAGTTTTTTTCTTCTTCAAAACCCCATTTAATAAGCCTCCCCTCTGTCAGACTTTTCCTGACCATATAACCTTTAAGCAGAGCCACACTTACCTCTTCTGTATGCCTCTCAGATATCTAGAGTATCTTAAACGCAAATGTTAGCTAAGTGAATGAGTAAATGAATAAAAAAAAGTTCCCAACCAAATGACATTTAACAAATCAGATATTCCTGTTAATTTGATTTTGTTGAATATTATTAATACAAGCATTTTATTAAAGTACCCAGAGACAGAAAAAACTTGTATTTATATTTGAATTGAATCACCTATTATATCCTTTGTTTTGATAGCATAAACCTGATATTAGTGCTAAACTTTATCATCAAATTTTTTGTAGATAACTTAGATTTTACAAAAGTATTAGGATGTAGCCATAAAAAAGAAAAGAAAAGAAAAAATGCCAATAGAAACTCTTAACTTGGAGTCTTACCTAAAACAATTAATGGTTTTCTCTAGGAAATCTCACAGTATTCACTACAATATATCCAAAGATCCAGCACCCACTTTTCTTTCAGAAAAAAAAAATAGTAACTGCTCATGAGAATAATTGGACGTGACTAGAGTGGGGATTGAGAGTGTTCTAGGTGTTGTTAATAATTGCATTGCTGGGGTTTAGCTGTCTTTTCTCTTTTGAACATTTGTCAGAGGAAACAATACAAGTATACATGTAATACAAGACAAATTGTGGATTGGGTCCATGGTTATCTATAGAGAGACATGGAAGTCAACCAGAGATCATCTTCCCTAATGCCAAGACTTGACTCAAGCTCTCCGAGCAAGAATGGAAAGAAGTCCTGAGCAAGAGCTTATGGCATTGTTTTCCCAGGGTTCAGAACAAATAATTGCTAATGTGTTCTTCCTTACTCTTTAGCTTATTTGAGAGATTACCATGAGCTAAATATAAAGTGCATTATTAAAGATGAGTCTGAGGAAATGACTTTCATCATTAAATATATCATGATTGTATGCAAACAGCTTAAAAATGAAAAAAATAAGCTATCATGATGAAAAGAGAGAGATCGATGGCCCTTTTGGAAGAATAAATGAGTTTATTACTAGAGAAAGCTGACATGGGAAAATTAACTGTCTTGGTAATTCTGTCAAAATATATCTTTAAATCCCAATGTTTATCAGTATCAAATAATGCAAATGTTAAAGACTGTGTCTTTGTGGCTTATTTCAGGTTTATTTCTAAGATGTTTTTATTGTAAAGAATATTGTGAACCTGCCTTGGGACCATTTACAGAGATGTCATGGAATCACAGTGTGGGCCTTTGGACTATGTGGCTTCTAGCTTTTCAGTGCCTTTTGTACAATATGCTCACACATTGATTTGCATGACTATATTAAACTATATTAATTTGCACGACTACGTTAAACTCTATAATTGCTGTTACATTCTCAAATAACTTATAATTATTCCAATACTGATTATTTCATTTGTGGGCAACTCCTCTGTTTTCCTTTTTTTTTTCTTTTACTGTATCTTATGCCACTTCCTCAACAACATCTGAAACATGAATAAGAACGATTCTGAAACATAAATGATGCATTATTCTTACACTTCTTTGCATCTAGTTCTACTTTCATGATTTTTCTGAAATAAATCTCTGAAAATACTCACTAATGAGAAAATGTAACTGATTCCTTTCACTCTCCATACTTATCCTTTCTGTAGCACCTTACGCACGTGAAACAATGGAGTAAGAAAACTCTGTCTGGACGTGTCTTCTCTGGCTTCTGTGATGTCGTGAAGTTATACTCCCTTTTACTCTTGACTGTGTCTTCTGTCTCCTTCATTGACCCTTCTTTCTCATTGACCCTTTATATAAACACGTTAGAGTACATCATTAATATTTTCTCTTTTTCTGTTTCTTTTTTTTTTTTTTTTTTGAGACAGAGTCTCGCTCTGTCGCCCAGGTTGGAGTGCAGTGGCGCAATCTCGGCTCACTGCAAGCTCCGCCTCCCGGGTTCATGCCATTCTCCTGCCTCAGCCTCCCAAGTAGCTGGGACTACAGGCGCCTGCCACTACGCCCGGCTAATTTTTTATATTTTTAGTAGAGACGGGGTTTCACCATGTTAGCCAGGATGGTCTCCATCTCCTGACCTCATGATCCACCTGCTTCGGCCTCCCAAAGTGCTGGGATTACAGGCGTGAGCCACCGCGCCCTGCCTATATTTTCTTTTTCTATAGTCACTCAGTTGGTTACCACATCTTTCAATTTTCTACAGTATAAAGGTGACTCTGAAGTTCACTATAAATGCCTCAGTTTTCTCTTACATTTTGAGAAAATAATTTTAAAATCTACATGTCAAAAAATTTAGGTTTTGGCCAGGCGTGGTGGCTCATGCCTGTGATCCCAGCACTTTGGGAGGCTGAGGCAGGCGGATCATGAGGTCAGGAGATTGAGACCATCCTGGCTAACACGGTGAAACCCCGCCTCTACCAAAAATACAAAAAAATTAGCTGGGCATGGTGGTGCGTGCCTGTAGTCCCTGCTACTTGGGAGGCTGAGGCATGAGAATCGCTTGAACCCGGGAGGCAGAGGTTGCAGTGAGCTGAGATCGAGCCATGGCACTCTAGCCTGGTGACAGAGCAAGACTCCGTCTCAAAAAAAAAAATTAGTTTTATTTTAATTATTTTAGTTTCTCATCCACAGTCTTAGTATGCTTGGGCTGATATGACAAAAGACCTTAGACTGAGTCATTTATAAACAACAGAAATTTACTGCTCATAGTTTTGGAGGCTGGGAAGTCCAAGACCTTAGACTGAGTAATTTATAAACAACAGAAATTTACTGCTCATAGTTCTGGAGGCTGGGAAGTCCAAGATCAAGATGCCAGCAGATTAGGTGTCTGGTGAGGGCCTGTTCCTCATAAATGTCACCTTCTATGTGTTCTCATGTGGCATAAGGAACAAACAAGCTCCCTCAGACCTCTTTTATAAAGTCACTAATCCTGTTCACCACTCTCTAACCTCATGTCTAGTTATTTCCCAAAGGCCCTACCTCTTAATACCAACACATTGGAGATTTTAATGTATGAATTTTAGAGGAACATGAACATTCAGACCATATCATCCATCCATTTCCAAGCCAACTTCTTTCTTTGTCCAAATGTTATCATTTACTGTATCTCCCATATTCAAAATTTGGGGTCAATGTTGACTTTACCTTTTAGCTTGCATGTAAGATTCAGTCACTTGCCAGGTCTTACTGAATTTATAAACTAATTCATATTAGTGCTAAACACTTACTGTATATGACAGATTATATTTAGCACTTTGTATTATGTTATATATAATAATAAATATATGTGTGTGTGTGTTTGTGTATATATATATGTGTGCGTGTGTGTGTGTATATATATATATATATTTATTTATATATATATATATTTAGAGGTGGAGTCTCACTTTGTTGCCCAGGCTGTGTGCAATGGTGCAATCATAGCTTACTGCAGCCTCAAACTCCTGGGTTCATGTAATCTTTTCACCTCAGCCTCCCAAGTAGCTGGTACTACAGGCATGTGCCACCACACCTGGCTATTTAAAAAAAATTGTAGCAATGGGGTCTCACTATTCTGCTCAAGCTAGTCTCAAACTCCTGTGCTCAGTGATCCTCCTGTGCTGGCCTCCCATATTGCTGGGATTACAGGTGTGAGCCACCATGTCCAGCCCATATATTATTTTTATACTCAAAATATGACAGTGAGTGGGTTACTACTGTCCACATTAGGAAAATATTGAAATAAGGGTCTAGTATGTATTAGTAACTTACCTAAGCAAGTCAGAAACTGGAAAGAGCCTGAGATTTAAACCCATTGTTTTTCTTTTTTAACTACAAGATCTGGTGCTCATTCCACCAAACTGTATCACTTTTGTTACATCCATCTACTTCTTTTACATCTATCTACTTCTTTTAAATCTTAATTCCAGATAATAGTACACCTCCCCTTGCCTGTACTCTGACTCTAATTCCATGATGCTCCAAATTTTCCTAAATTTCATCTTTATCATATGACTCTTCAATAAATTTTTTTCCCAACTGTTTGCAAATTATATAGAAACCCATTAAGTTCATCAGGTAGAGGTTTTTGCTATAGTCAGCAGATGCTGACTTGGTATAAGCTAAGCAAAACAAAATAAAAAAACAAAGCAAAACTACACACACACACACACACCCGCCCCGCACACACACACACACACACACACACACACACAATTTATTGGCGGGATATTTAGGAGCTCACTAAAGTAAAAGAGAAACAGGGCCTTGGGAAGGAGGAGAAAGGAGAAAGTGGACAACTTCTAGTAGAGGACTCGTGAAACTTGCATGATGATGCTATAAATGACTGACTCAACTCCAACAGCCATTTGATGCGTGCACTTCCTTGATCAAGACTCAAATTCTTAGGTGACAAAGTGATTGGCCTAGTTTGGGTTGCATGTCCACCTCTTGGCAGAGTGTAGGGGAGAGGAAAAGGACTACATTGATGGTAATTCTAACTGGATCATATGGTAAGAAAACTACTGTTCACCTATGGACTGGAGAAGAGGCACCCATAGACATAAATGACAGGTGTTCATATGCAAGTGCTCCAGTGCAGCTGCAAGAATTATCATGCTGCAGGCAGTTGGTGATAATACCTTCTTCAGTATTATCACCAAGTACCTCTTCCTATTTGTTCAACACAGGAATTTTCTCCATTTTCCACACATGTTGTAAGTAAGCCTTTCAGGCCACTGCTCCCTTTAGAATTTTTGCTTCTCTTGTGTTTTTATCTAACAAAAGTCTTCATATCTATATAGGCCCTGCCCAAATATTACTTTGTTATTACAATTTTAAGATTTCTATAGACAGGTAATTGATCTCTCTTTTCCTTTCCCTTAGCATGTCCTTTTCTCAAAGTGTCCCTTTACTTTCAAAATCTGCCTTGTCTCTTTTCGGCTGAAATGTGAATGCTTTGATCACATGTGCCATGACTTATTCATCTCAGCATCACCGCTAAAGTTGAACACAAGTTTCTGTAAGTTGTAGTGATTAAAAAATATAGGCATAATAATCTTTCTTGTGGCAATTCTCTTACTGTTGGTTCAAAGTGCTGGATTTAATCTACAAGGTGGCAATGTCATTTATCTCCAAACTGTAATATCCTTGATGGGAAATTGCACACAGTATTTATCATTATTGACTATTACATAGTAGGTCATGAATAAATGTGTTGATTCATTCCTTGATTTAATATTTTTAATAGTAATGTAACAGAAGGAAAAAGATAAAGTTACTAAAAGGAGAAGGAAGGAGGACATAAGCTAAAATTGGCTAGAGATTTTACACAGAACACAGCTATGAGGTGGGCATTATCATTCTTAGTTTACTCATGAGAAAATTGAGGTTTATATGGTGTTAATTTCTTACAGGTAATAAAATTTATATCCTAGATTTGTCAAGTACTAAAGACTGCTCTTTATCCTAATTGAGAAGTTTATAAATCTAAAGTAATGCATATACATGATTTTTTAAAAATCCAATAATCCAATGGGTTTTATAATAAAAATGAGCCATACTTTGCCCTAACCTTTCATATTCCTGAGGCAGCCACTCTTAATCATTTCTCTTTGGAGTTACTCTGGTGATTAGCTCAATTTTTCTAGGTGATATGTATGTGTTGCTCTCTGTTGACTGATTATAAGCAGTAGATGGCCATTCTTATAAGCCATAAGTAGCCATTCCTCTTCGAACAAGGAATGAAAAAAACGCTAAGAATAAATTATAGAATACTGTAACAAATCGACAAGATAAATCTGTGTCGCATATAACCCAGTAGGACAAAAATTCTTAGAAGAGGAAATACAGTTGTCCAATCAACATAGGAAACTATTCTAAGCACAACGACTAATCAAGAAACTGTGAAATCTATCAGTGAAATCTCATTTTCAACCAGGAGACTGGAAAATATAAAACCTTAATAATATCGGAATGCAGGAAAATGAACACTCACATGCAGTTTTGTAAGGAGTGGAAATTAGCAAATGCACATTGGAGGGCAATTTGTGCCCAGCCTACTATCCAGTGTTCCACCGCATTGTATTCTAAAGATAGGAACTGGTGCATGTGATCACAGACTTGAGTTTGAGGCTATTTACTGCAACAATGTTTGCACTAGGGAAAACTGGAAACATTTTCAATACTCATCTTTCACAAGTTGCCTGTTTATATTCTTTCCTCTTATTTTAATTGGCTATTTACATTTTTTTTTTGTTTTTAGGAGCTCCAAGACAATTTTGAATATTAATTCCTTGCTTCATGAGTTTTGCAAATATTTTCAGCTAAGCTCCCACTTACTGCCTAACGTCTCCATGTCCTTTCTCCCTTTCAAGGCTTTTCTCTCAGTTCTAATCTACTTTAATTAACAACTTTACCTTCACTTTGTGTTTTAGTTTTAGGATTGTCTTTCTTACCTTAAAGCCCAAAACATATTTTCCTGTATCTTCTGTTACCTTTGTGGTATTGTTTATTTTAATTCTTTCAAAATCCCATTATTCTTATTTTCATGATCCATTGGCATAAAAGGAAAGGAGCTTTATGAATTTTTCTTGCCTTCCAACAATTTTCTAAATCACGTATTCTTTAATATGACTCATATTTGAACCTCAATTTCTTTGACAATTTTTTTTGCCCAGGTTTGCTGACTGCATTCCTTTCTTTCTCGTAGTAAAAGGGAAAAACAAAGTGGACTTTATAAATTGCTTGCTTTCAGCCTTATTTGACCTTATCTCATTGATTTTGTCCTCTTTGCTCTCCCAGATCTGGAGCAATTCAAGAGCTCTGTTGGGCTTATTTTTTTCTTCTGGTCTTCTGAATCTATATAGCAGTCTCCTCTGTTCTGTTTCCTATTTGCACCTGCTGTGCAGAAATTAACAAAATGCCTCATTTATTTTTAATAAGGATTTATAATATTTATATTTCTTTAGTATTATTGTAATTGACACTGTGGGTGGAGGGGTCATGTAATATAGCTCACTATCTTGTAAAAAATCTGCTGCACACCTGTTATCTCTATACTATCTGTTAATATCAAGTGGGATGAGCTGTGTTCTTTTTGGGAAAAAATAATGAGAGACAAGTTTTATGTACGAATTTAAATGGAGTATCTTCAAGTTTCAATTGTTTGAACTCTAATTGGTCCTCGTTAGCAAGATTCAACCATTTTCCTCAATTATATCCATACATATTTTAATCAGGATTCAGTTGGACTCTTTTTGTTCAAAACTACTTATTTCAAATTTCTCAAATGCCTTAAAGTTGAACCAAGCCATACATCTTTTAATGGCCATTCACATCGCTAAACAAAAATGTAAACTTACTTAATATAAAGGACTTATACAAATTATGCAGGCCGCATTCTTGAACTACCATTCTCATCTTTCTTACATGCTTTCCTGCTGCTCCTCCATTCATCTGCCTGGGATGCTTCACTTCCATCGCTACCCCTCCTGGGGTTGATGATACCCTGCTGACAGCTAGAACTCTATCACTGTCAGCTTGTGGGACACTGTTCCAACCTAAGGCACCTCAGCTGCCAACCATTTTTCTATTCTCATTTTCTACTGACTCTCTCTATTGTGATCAAGGGCACAAGTGACACCTTGACTAGTCCAAGCAGACGGAAGAGGATGCATAATGCTGCACAAATAGCAGATACCAAGCTTTTGGCAGATTTCAAAGCTGTCCACATTGAGGAAAAACAACCTAAATATCACTAAAAGACTCTAGCAAAGTCCAATATATCATCTTTCAAACTTTCATTTTTTCTTCAAAGAATAGGTACCTGGTTGTTTTTCCCTGACTTTACTCATTGCAGAATGTATGTATATGAGTTTGGCATGAAAGGAGAGAATTTGGAAGATAGCATCTAGAATGAGAAGCAGGAGAGCTGAAAGACCAAATTGGTGCACAGTGTTAGCCAGGAGATGTCTCTGGTACCTACCTCAGCACTTTTATCTCAATGATGCAATGGAAAGAAGAGGGAGAATTTTAAATGGGAAGAACATAAGAATATAAACAAATTCTTGCCGGCCCAGGTCAGATTGCAAATTAGGGCCACTCATCTCAGAGGTGTTCCCTTCTTTTCTCTTTTGTGTGTGGCTTTTTTACTTTATTTATTTATTTTTTTGAGACGGAGTCTTGCACTGTTGCCCGGCCTGGAGTACAGTGGCATGATATTGGCTCATTGCAACCTCCACCTCCCAGGTTCAAGTGATTCTCCTGCCTCAGCCTCCCAAGTAGCTGGAATTATAGGTGCCCGCCAACACGCTCAGCTAATTTTTTTGTATTTTTAGTAAAGACCGAGTTTCACTATGGCGGCCAGGCTGGTCTTGAACTCCTGACCCCGTGATCCACCCATTCCCCAACGTCCCAAAGTGTTTTTTCATTTTTCAACAATCTTTTTTTCTGCATTCCTCAGGGACTGGATCCCAGAGTAGCTCTTCTAGTTTCTCCTATTCTAAGGAAAAGTGAAATAAATACTTCACCTAATGTTGGTGATTATTTTGCTTCTCAGGGGAAGGTGCATTCTAACTTAAACACACATGATTTGATGGAATAAAATAGAAAGCCTAGAAAAAAGCCCTCACATATATGGTAAAATAAATGTTGACAAGGGTGTCATGTCTCTGTGGGAAGGGCAGCAAAACTTGTTTTCCTCAGAACACAGGCAACATTCATTGTGGCTGTATTGAATGGTACTAGAAAAAAAAGTCTATCCTGGGTGATGGGGTATAAAATCACCTGGTTTCCCAGGATCATACACTTACACCATTGGAGATCTGCTAATACTGAAGGAAAGGGAAGGGCAGGAACTCCTATTCAAAATCAACCTCAGGTAAAAAAGATGTACTGTGGCCATGAGGAGGTTATTATACAAAAGCAAGGGTACAACTGGCAATTAACATTTGACATCATCAATTTTACTGGAATCTTTAAGGAAGTCTTGCACTTTTCTAAAGTAATTTCCAACCCTAAAATTCTGTAATTTATTTTATGTTTGTACATTTTGTACAAAAACAAAATAAATAATCAACTCTTTAATTCAAGGTTTACTATCTGTATTACATTTTGTTGCACTTTTTAAATGTATGAACTAGAAAAAACTATATATTTAAATCTAATTTCTATCAAACTCGATTGAATTTGATTGTATGATAAGCAACTGTTAGATGAAGTAATCTGTAAACTCAAGCAATTGTTCTGGGCCACTATTGTATAAATTCTTATACTAGGCATGAGAATGTACTACCCCGTTCTCCTGAGAGTTGATTAGTTTAATTGTGACTATATATAATTCAACTATTTGCTTCATATTGCCAAACTTCTGCTTAAAAATTTTATACCAGTTTACAGTTTCAATAGCATTACATGGGTCCATTTTTTTGTATCTTCCTCAATGTTGGGAATTCTTCATAAGTTTTAATTGTTTGATAGGTGTGTATTTTATCTCTCTGCTTAATTAGTATTATTTTTACATTATTTTATTTTTGTCTTGTCTTTTAAATTTATTTCTTTGTAAATTATCTACTGACAATTATTGTCTATTAGGAAATATATCTTTAAAAAAAATTTGTAAGAACTCAGAGAGAAGGAAGAAGCCCTGGATATCAAACTGAGTATAGTAATGCAACTTAAAATTGTCCTTCTCGTTCCACTATTATATACAACTTTCTTACTTGCTTGAGAGAAAATTAAACCAATATAAATATTACTTGAAGAGAGTTCTCCCATAATGCAGCTATAATGCTCTGCTATATCACTAGAAGAATTTTCAGCACCATGGACAGCCTCAGAGTTCATCACTGTTTTCAAGGCTATATTGAGGAAAAAATGAGTAAATTTATGAAATTTCATCAAATTACCTGAACTTTCCAGATTATTTATCCAGTTCTACATTATATTTCATAATGCACTGATTAGAAAATTTTGTATATTTTCTTGAAATGATATTTTAATTAAAAATTCTATTGAAGGCTGGGCCTGGTGGCTCACGCTTCTAATCCCAGCACTTTGGGAAGCCGAGGTGGGAGGATCATGAGGTCAGGAGTTCAAGACAAGCCTGACCAACATGGGGAATCCTCGTCTCTACTAAAAATACAAAAATTAGCTGGGTGTGGTGGCGCCCGCCTATAATCCCAGCTACTTAGGAAGCTGAGGCAGGAGAATCACTAGAACCCGGGAGGCAGAGGTTTCAGTGAGCTGATATCATGCCACTGCACTCCAGCCTGGGTGACAGAGTGAGACTGTCTCAAAAAAAAAATCTATTTAAAATAGAAAAGGAATGTGTTTGCTCTTGCTTCTCTAATTCTTTTAATTGTGATGTTAGGGTGTCAATTTTAGCCCTCCCAAGACTAAACCAGGAAGAAGTTGAATCTCTGAATAGACCAATAACAGGCTCTGAAATTGAGGCAATAATTAATAGCCTACCAACCAAAAAAAGTCCAGGACCAGACGGATTCACAGCTGAATTCTACCAGAGGTACAAAGAGTAGCTGGTACCATTCTTTCTGAAACTATTCCAATCAATAGAAAAAGAGAGAATCCTCCTTCACTCATTTTATGAGGCCAGCATCATCCTGATAGCAAAGCCTGGCAGAGACACAACAAAAAAAAGAGAATTTTAGACCAATATCCCTGATGAACATCGATGCAAAAATCCTCAATAAAATACTGGCAAACTGAATCCAGCAGCACATCAAAAAGCTCATCCACCACAATCAAGTTGGCTTCATCCCTGGGATGCAAGGCTGGTTCAACGTACACGAATCAATAAATGTAACCCATCATATAAACAGAACCAAAGACAAAAACCACATGATTATCTCAATAGATGCAGAAAGGGCCTTTGACAAAATTCAACAGCCCTTCATGCTAAAAACTCTCAATAAACTAGGTATTGATGGGACGTATCTCAAAACAATAAGAGCTATTTATGACAAACCCACAGCCAATATCATACTGAATGGGCAAAAACTGGAAACATTCCCTTTGAAAACTGGCCCAAGAAAGGGATGCCCTCTCTCACCACTCCTATTCAGCATAGTGTTGGAAGTTCTGGCCAGGACAATCAGGCAGGAGAAAGAAATAAAAGGGTATTCAATTAGGAAAAGAGGAAGTCAAATTGTCCCTGTTTGCAGATGACATGATTGTATATTTAGAAAACCCCATCTTCTCAGCCCAAAATCTCCTTAAGCTGATAAGCAACTTCAGCAAAGTCTCAGGATACAAAATCAATGTGCAAAAATCACAAGCATTCCTATACAACAATAATAGACACAGAGCCACATCATGAGTGAATTCCCATTCACAATTGCTTCAAAGAGAATAAAATACCTAGGAATCCAACTTACGAGGGATATGAAGGACCTCTTCAAGGAGAACTACAAACCACTGCTCAAGGAAATAAAAGAGGACACAAACAGATGGAAGAACATTCCATGCTCATGGTTAGGAAGAATCAATATTGTGAAAATGGCCATACTGCCCAATGTAATTTATAGATTCAATGCCATCCCCATCAAGCTACCAATGACTTTCTTCACAGAACTGGAAAAAACTACTTTAAAGCTCATATGGAACCAGAAAAGAGTCTGCACTGCCAAGACAATCCTAAGCCAAAAGAACAAAGCTGGAAGCATCACGCTACCTGAATTCAAACTATACTACAAGGCTACAGTAAACAAAGCAGCATGGTACTGGTACCAAAACAGAGATATAGACCAATGGAACAGAACAGAGGCCTCAGAATTAATACCACACATCTACAACCATCTGATCTTTGAGAAACCTGACAAAAACAAGCAATGGGGATAGGATTCCTTATTTAACAAATGGTGCTGGGAAAACTGGCTAGCCATATGTAGAAAGCTGAAACTGGATCCCTTCCTTACACCTTATACAAAAATTAATTCAAGATGGATTAAAGATTTAAATGTTAGACCTAAAACCATAAAAACCCTAGAAGAAAACTTAGGCAATACCGTTCAGGACATAGGCACAGGCAAGGACTTCATATCTAAAACACCAAAAGCAATGGCAACAAATGCCAAAATTGACAAATGGGATCTCATTAAACTAAAGAGCTACACAGCAAAACAAACTACCATCAGAGTGAACAGGCAACCTACAGAATGGGAGAAAATTTTTGCAACCTACTCGTCTGACAAAGGGCTAATATCCAGAATCTACAATGAACTCAAACAAATTTACAAGAAAAAAACAACCCCATCAAAAAGTAGGCAAAGGATATGAACAGACACTTCTCAAAAGAAGACATTTATGAAGCCAACAGACACATGAAAAATTGCTTATCATCACTGGCCATCAGAGAAATGCAAATCAAAACCACAATGAGATACCATCTCACACCAGTTAGAATGGCAATCATTAAAAAGTCGGGAAACAACAGGTGCTGGAGAGGATGTGGAGAAATAGGAACACTTTTACACTGTTGGTGGGACTGTAAACTAGTTCAACCAGTGTGGAAGACAGTGTGGCGATTCCTCAAGGTTCTAGAACTAGAAATACCATTTGACCCAGCCATCCCATTACTGGGTATATACCCAGAGGATTATAAATCATGCTGTTATAGAGACACATGCACACGTATATTTATTGTGGCACTATTCACAATACCAAAGACTTGGAACCAACCCAGATGTCCATCAATGATAGACTGGATTAAGAAAATGTGGCACATATACACCATGGAATACTATGCAGCCATAAAAAGGATGAAAGGACATGGATGAAGATGGAAACCATCATTCTGAGCAAACTGTCACAAGGACAAAAAACCAAATACCACATGTTCTCACTCACAGGTGGGAATTGAACAATGAAAACACTTGGACACTTGGTGGGGAACATCAGACACCGGGGCCTGTCGTGGGGTCGGGGAAGCGGGAAGGGATAGCATTAGAGATATACCTAATGTAAATGATGAGTTAATGGGTGCAGCACACCAACATTGCACATGTGTACATATGTAACAAACCTGCACATTGTGCACATGTATCCTAGAACTTAAAGTATAATAAAAAGAAAAGAAAAGAAAATCAAAAAGATCATTCTAAGACTACAGTGTTCAAACGACCATTACCATAGATGGATAAATGGTCAGGCTACAGAGATATTTCTCAAATATCAATAATAACATAGCCATAATTTCTCCAAATTACAGGTCAATGACTTGGAGGAAATAGCCTTTATCAGAACTGTAAGATCATCTTGTTAAGACTCTCACATTATCTAGTTGTGCAGTCTGAAAAAAGAGTAGGGCCAGAGAATTAGAGGAACAGTACAGCCCTCTACCCAAACCTAACAACTGTAGGTCACCTAAATCTCAAAACCAGTATTCACTCCACCATGCTCTGATGGTAGGTATTCTAGTTATTCTTACATCTGCGGGGACTTTTTTTTTTAATTTCAGGTTAGGTGGAGGCATCAGAGCATGC
This sequence comes from Homo sapiens, assembly GCF_000001405.40. Lineage (NCBI taxonomy): Eukaryota > Metazoa > Chordata > Mammalia > Primates > Hominidae > Homo > Homo sapiens. Next base: position 34,656,509 of record NC_000002.12, read on the forward strand.
TGCTATGCTGTTCAGCATCTCCTCGAAAAGCAGGTCCAGTTTTTCTGCAACTAGTGGCTTTTCTCCAGTTTTGCAATCATAGAGACCAACCTTCATGGGAGGTAGTTGTGAGCTATGGATTCATTTCCCTTGCAACAAGAACAATGTCATAAAAAGCTTTCTGGTAGTTTTGCTTGCCTGTTATAAGCTGTGGCAAGCATTTTAACCATGTTACTAGAGGTTTCCATTACCTTAAGTGACATCTTGCATCGTTGGTGCCAGCATAGCTTGTCACTCAGTACCATAGACCCACATCTGCCTCCCTCCAGATCTGTCCTAGTCACTAAGGCAATTTTGCTTTCTGATGAGTGATTTCAGGCTGAACCAAACCACAGTTTCTTACTCCGTGGTTACGCAAATCACTTCCTCAATCAGAGCAGACAGATTCAGGTAGCAGCATTCATTGACTCCTGATAGAGGGAAAGCTTTCCATCTGATGAGCTGGGAATATTAAGCAGCATTAGAAAAAAAATCAAAGCAAATATGCTGAAAACGTTCGTAAATGCCACGGACAGAAACCAATATATTACTTCTTATAAATGTCCTTATCCAAGCAAACATTCTCAGGTCAAGGGAAAATAGTTATCATATTTTAATAATCTTATTTTGAGTTTATGCTAGAAGTACCAAAGACAACAAAAAATAAAGTACATTGGCAAGAGGAATGTGAAAGATAATATGTGGTGTGGCGTAATTTAAAGATCCTAGTAGTTAAAGTCACAGTGTACTGGTTATGATTGTGACTTTAACTACTAATTAAAGTAAATTGTCAATGTGACTATAAACAAATCACATAATCTATATAGTCCTCCATTTCGTGATACATAACATTGGGATGAATATGAGCCCTTCTAAGACAACTTCTGATCTAACAGTCCTCGATTTTAGTCCTAAGAATAAGACAGCACCAGTCTTGTCAGAGCGTCAAGGGCTTTCTTCCCAGAAAAACTATTTCCTTTGTACTTCATTATCTCTAAAAACACTCCAACACTTTTACAGGTTAGCAGACTAAGACAGACACACATTTCAAATATATTTCTATGATATATATATATATATATATATATATATATATATATATATATATACATGAAAAATCTGTACTGGCAAGGCAAAGGACTTAAATTGCTATCTGCAGACACAGACAAACACAGAAGCAAAAATAATTCCTTTGTGCTTTAGTACACATTACTAAGCAACGTATCTATTTCTTAACTTTATGTAGTGACGCATAGAGGCACTCCAAATTGGGGGTATAATTTATATCTCTTCGTTCACTTTTTAATTTTTCTATCACTTTATGCTGTTTCATAATCATGTAATTGGACACTAGTAGTTATTAAAATTATAATGTATATTTTTAGTTTATAGATGACAAGATATCTATGATATGTTGATGTTAAAAAGATGCTACAGGGAGTTTAGATGATCCAATTATGTTTAATTATAAATTATCAACATATATTACAAACAATTATAAATGCATACACAAATATTTGGTCTAGGAATGGTATTTGGTGATTATCATTAGAAGAGTGTAAGTATTTCACTTTTCACTATTGTTTCAATTTATTATAATGCATAAGCATTACTTTCATAATAATAAAACCCATGATGAAAATATATGTAAATATTTCAAATAAAAGTCTAAAATCATTACAAGTGTGCTTTTTCTAAACCTTAGTAATCATATTTAGATTTAAAATATGTAAATAAATTGCAATTATTTCCTATATTTGTGGCAAAAACAAGTTATATTCCATTTTATGCAACAATATTTTCTACACAAATTGGGGTGTATCTATATAAATAATCGTTCATTTTCAAATTTGAGAAGCAATGAAAATTACTCTCAAAAGCCAACTGCATAGTTTAATGTTGGCACTTATCTGTGAATTCCTCACCTAACAATTTTTGCTATATAGCAGGTGCCCAATGCATGTTTTTAAATAAATGATATATTTTGATATAATGAAATTATAGTAGATAATATATAGATAAGGTATCTTTAACCTTCAGGTCAAGATGAAAACTTAAATGTTAGCCCCTCTTTTTACAGATGAGGAAATGAAGACAGTTTTAAATTGCTGAAGTCTCTGATTGAGTGCCATTAGTGAAGAAAGGCACACAAGTTTTTTGTTTGTCTATTTGTTTGTTTTTCATTTCAAAGGATTTTGTTGATGTGTCTTGGAGGGAAGAATGACCTATTTCTCAGACAAGCTGCATGGCCTCTACAAAATCTAAAATGGTTTGGCTATTAATTTATTGAAAAATAAATTCATACTTTGCTATAAAATGTTTACTGTAAAATATGTTTGAATGCATGTAAAATTTTTATAAAGTAGAAGAAATCCCATAACTTTTTGAGTTATATCACTTATATTCTTTTAGCCCTTTCTTGTGTATGTTTGTGTAATATATATGTACTTTTTTTAATCCAAAGAATTATACTGAACTATCTGGTCTACAGTGTTCTTATTTTACTTACTGAAAATATTTGAACATGTTTGAATTGTATTAAATGTTTTTCTATAATTATATTTTAATAAATCCTTATTATTTCATTTTATTTTATGACTGTGCTATCATTTATTTAAACTACCATGGATTTTCCCCTGAACTTTGGAATGCTAAATTGTCTTGGGTATATAATTGGAGTTTTTCAGGATGAATTATCAATAGAAGTCTTTTCTAAATTACAGAATGCTTCCAGATCCCATGTATTGAAAATATTTTAAATCCAGAGAAGGGGAACAAAGAAAAGTAATATATCTATCAGTGACTGTGATCGCTTCATTTTTTACATCCTGTATTGAAAATATTTTAAATCCAGAGAAGGGGAACAAAGAAAAGTAATATATCTATCAGTGACTGTGATCGCTTTATTTTTTACATCCTCCCCAACACTTGTTATTATCTGTCCTTATAATTATAGCCATATGATAGCTTTTTAACAGAGAAGAAGAAAACTATGCCTCTGAGTCTCTGCCCTCATATACTGGTCAATATTGAGTTGTTTTCTACCTTACTAAGCTGATCTCCCATTGATACCCAAAGATGTGGTCTACCACAGCCAAAATGGTAGATTCAACTGTACTCTTTTTTTTGCATCTGGACATTTTTCTCTTGCAATTTTTTGAGTTCTATTCAACAACAGAATTCAACAATTTTCTGAAAGTTCTATTCAACATCTTGAAAAACTAAAATGTTTCTCATGCTTAGGGTCCAAATATTTAAAAATCTGATTTTCCCATTCTCCCCAGCATTTCAGCTGGAAGTGATATATTCTGCCTTAGAACTTTGGTAGCACTCACTGTTTACCCTCTTCATGCATCACTTTGCATGTTATACCATATACTGTGTCTATGTCTTGCCCTCTAGATCAGCAGTCCCCAACATTTTTGGCACCAAGGACTGGTTTTGTGAAAGACAACTTTTCCATGGATGGGCAGAAGTGCGGGGAGGGATGGTTTCGGGATGAAACTGTTCCACCTCAGATCATCAGGCGTTAATTAGGTTCTAATAAGGTGCCTGCAACCTAGATCCCTGGCATGCGCAGTTCACAATAGGGTTCTCGCTCCTGTGAGAATCTAATTCCCCCTCCGATCTGGGAGGCAGAGTTCAGATGGTCATGCTCCCTGGCCCACTGCTCACCTCTGGCCATGCGGCTGGCTTCCTAACTCCATGGCCCAGGGGTTGGTGACCCCTGCTCTAGATTGCAAGCGCTATCTGCAGCATGATTTGTGTGGCTACAAGAAAGAAGGAGGTAAACTCTGGATTAAGATTGTAATTTTTTTCTAATTCTCTGAGATAATTTTTACATATTTCTAATTTCTTTTAGTAGTTTTACACAATTAAAATATTAGCACATGGGCTTCTAACCTAGTAATTCGTTTTAATGTGAGAATATTTATAACCTTTTGATTAAAAATTCTGAGTCCAAAACTTGTTCAGCAATTGACTACTTACAATACCTTCAGTGAGCATTAATTTTTAAAAAAATCTTTATATATTTAATAGTGTGGAAGACTTTGTAACTCTACAATTTTCATTTATATGGAAGGGTATTGAAGTTTGGCTACCATATTTTCACTTACACAAGTTAAATTTCTCTTTAACCTCTGAAGAAAGCAGGTGAGACAAAGTATCATCATCTCCTCTTTTGTTTCAGGTAGGTCATAAACATTTTATACCTTCTTGGACATAAGAACATACAGACTCTAGATAAGTCTGTAAGCCAATGGTAGATGGCCACATATAAAATCAGGCTTTTTGCCTCAATCTCAGACCTCTAATTTGGCTGCATAATCTTGATTCAGTTCCTAAAGTATCCTGAATTTTGTAAGAAAACAGGATGTTGGCTCTAAGCCATTGCACAGCTGGGGAGAGGATTAGCCATGAAAGAATGAGAATATATACCATCTGCAGAACTTCTTTCCACCCTCACATTCAGCTGTGCATGGGGCAACCCACTGGAAGGAAGGTGCGGTAGAAAGAGGGAGCCGGTGCAGCTGACTTTGACGTGTGGCTAATTGTTTATACTTTAAAGTCGCTAAGAAGAATAAAGTATCTGCCAGTTGTTTTTCTCTCCCCTTTTCTAACCTCCAGTAACTGAGTCAGAAACTTGGGCAATGTGAATTGTCTGGTCTAACTGCCCATCCTGACCTCATTGCTTCCATGGCAGCAGTGTGATTTGAAAGAAAAAAATGCTGTAAATGGGCTAGGTTTCCACAGCCAAAGCTAAGCAGAGAATAGAAACAATTACACAGACAGCTTAGGGAAAGACAGGTAAGGGTTTCAAGATGTATCAGCCAAATAGAAAATTAATTCATTAAAAATTGAAAACATCAATTCGCATCACAGTTCAGTACTTGCTTTGCAGAAGGCTCTAAAAATGATGACCCCAAGTGTTAATGGCAAAGAGATAGAAAGTAACTACATGCCACTCATTTATCCTGCTTGACTCAGACCTCCCAACATCAAACTTTTTGTCCCGATCACCCTCAGCCCCTACTGAGAAAGCCTAGAGCCACAAAACTCTCAATCATTACCTAATCCAAAGTTTTAGGAACTCAGTCTTTGGGCAACCCAGAGAATGATTGTCAGGTGGTTTTCAGCAACTTCTCATCCTCACTTTAATTGCCTCCCCACTCTGTTCATTCCCCCAGGTTCCTTTCCTTTTCTACATTTTCCTACCCAGGGGATATATCCTTCCCTAGCCTCCCAAGATTTCATGTTTTTCCTGAACATCTAAGTATACGAATTACCCTATCTGACCCACAATTCACTGCTATTTCTTTTTTTAAAAAAAACCAGATGTTTATCTTGTAGCTTGTATTAAATATGATAATACAAGAACAGTTTTAACTCTATACTACAGGTTAAAGTTTTACATTTTAATGGGGATTAAGGTGAAACTGGGATGGGTATCTTCTAAAAGCTTAAACCACTGGAGTTACAACAGTGTGGTAATTTCAGGCACTGTGGAGGGATAATGAGGGACCATTTTGGGGCAGGTGTATCCCTATTGCCTGTTAAGCACACTCCTGCCATTCCATGAATAAAGCTGGATGCCTGTTAAATTCGAGCAGTGTTTTATATTTTTTGTTCTTATTCTGGAGGTGAAATATGCTGTCATTATTATGTCAGGTATGTTCTTTATACCTTCTTCACCTCTAACATCTTTATTAATCATTTCAGTACTGCTTCATGTAAAAGTCTAGCAAGGAATGAATTTATTTTGCTTCTGCTCTACTTAAATTTCTATCCTCTCTTCTTTTGCCCTTCTGAGTTAGTGACCAAAGAAAATCTCCTAAATTCTCCTGCTCATAGAAAATGTGAAAAAGAAAATGGCACCACCAATGGGCTACCCTAGTGGCATTTATTTCTTTCAATAAATGTCATGAAAGACATATTTGGAAGAAAAAGAGCCTGAGCTCTACTTTAAATAGACCTAGGTCTGTTTTATTTCTGTTCTTTACCAATCATAAGAACGTTCCAAGATTCCTGCTCTATCTGGGCCTCAGTTTCATCATTTCTAATTTCTAACTATTTACCTTGCAATGTTATTGCTGGGATTGGAAAAAATGTATATGGAGTGCTTAATGGTGTAAATACACAGAGTACAGTGAATGATCAGTATTATTTGAAGGTAACTGTAGTAAGTGTGTTAGGTGTTGCAGAGATGAATTGGGTAGACCTGCTTTCCTCAAATGTTCACAGGCTAGTGGTGATGCTGAGACAGCTATGATCCCAAATATCAAGAAAACTCTGAAATTATGGATTGAACTCTGCCTCCCAAATTTACATGAAGTCTTAGTCCCCGATATAACGAAAGATAGGGCCTTTAGGAGGTAATTCAGATTAAATGAGATGATAAAGGTAGGGCCCTAATGCAATAGAACTGGCATTCTTATAAAAAGAGAAAGAGACATCTGGGACAAGTACACAGAGAGAAAAGATCATGTGAGGACACAGCAGGATGGCAGTCATTTGCAAGCCAAGAAGAAAAGTCTCAGGAGACACCACTCTACCAAGACTTTGATCTTGGACTTCCAGCCTGCAGAACTACAAGAGAACAGGCAGCTGACTTTAGGAGATTAGAGAAGGGAGATAGATTTTATGCTAGTTAGTTTCTAGATGAAGAAAACCTACATGGAAGCAAGACTTGGAGAATAAGTGAGTGTTGAGCAAAGGCAGATGGGGGACACATTTGAGCCCAAGGAAGAGCCTGCAGGTCCAGTAGGGAGATGGAGGCCCAGGGACAGAGCAGAGTAGCTCAGGGGGCTCTCTTCAGGCGTAGCATTATTTCTTCACTTTGGGAAGTTAAGCATGTAAAAAATAAATTTGATTGTGTGTAGACACAACTTTTTGACATTAAAATAATCATAATGATAGAAAATTGCCTCCTTTCCCAGAAAGGTCTGAAGCAATTGTGCTCTGTAGTAATGTAATTCATTTCATTCATTGTGTTAGAATTCCATGTATAAAGGACATGTTTTGAAAAACAGAATTAGGTGTCATTTGACACCGCTTTCTCTCCCAACCAAGAAAATAACAGAACTAAATGTTGTTCTTACATATAAGAGCTTTTGAGTCAAACAGATGGAATTAGATTTCTGGTCTCTCAACTTATTAGCTGTTTGCCTTTGACAAAATCCTTAATTGATGTGAACCTGTTTCCTCATCTACAAACATAATAATAACTCCTACTTTCTACCTTACAGACCTATGTTTATGAGAACAAAACAATGGTGTGCACGCAAGCAGTTAGTATTGTGCCTGGAATACGGTAAGTATTAACTATTATTGTAATCATTATGCTTTGGTACTTATCAGGGAAAAGGATAAAACAGGTTGTTGCCTCTATAGCAGCCATCAAATCAAAGGGGGTGTTATTTGATGAAAACCACTTACTTCCCATTTTTATCCTACCTCCCATCGACATTTATTCCTTTGTTCCTAGCATCAGCGTTAGGCATTTATTTTCTGGGCAAAAGCAGTGATGACTCTAGAAGTCCTTTTGAAAAATACAGATACTTACGAACTAAGTTAAGTTGTTGGCAGTGTTTACCATACAGATTATTTCTTCAGCCAGCTAAAATGAAACTCTAAGGAAAAATACGTTTTGATAAGATTTAGGATGAAGAGACACATGTGTCATACACTCAGGGGAGCAGAGTCTGGTGAAGGGGTTTGGAGCGTGGTGCTGGGCAGCCCTGGATAGCTAAGTCAGCATCACAGCCTTGGGGAGAGGGGGGTAAACCAGAGGAGGGGAGCTCTGCAGATTGCAGTCGTCCATGCATCTCGAAAACAAGGTTGGCCTGGCTTGTCATTTTCCCTGTGGTTTTGCCTCAGTAACTAATTAAATGTAAGTTTATAATAGACTGTTTGTGGTAAAGTATAACACACCTGTCCAAATTCTCACCATTCTTTCGGAGAAACAAGCCAAGCCTCCCTACAGCTTTGCACATGGAATTCTGGGGTTCATGCATTGTTCTCTTGTCAGTACTAGATGAGGAAATCTTCCTGATTAAACTCTTGATCCCCTGAGGAATGTTGCTTATCTTCCAGATATTAACTGATTTAATCCTCATAACAACTTTATGATGTAGAAACTATTATGTCCATCTCTCAGACAAAAAGGCTGAGACACAGATAAATCAAGCCTATAGAAGTTTACAAAAGGGATAAGGGGTAAAGTCAGGACAGTTTCCTTGTTCTTAACCATTAGACTTCTATCAGCAAGTACTATCAGACACAATAGTACTTGATTTTCCCTCTCCCCTTTTAAAAAAATCTATTTGTACCCCAAGGACAAATTCATGGTGCCATGTTAGTCTAATACAATACTTCCTTGTGAGCTGTTTTCTTTGCTTCTGGCTGCTACTTTGATTACATTCACTTAGTACAGCAAAGAGGAGCTGGTTGCTGATATTAATCCAGAATTGATAGAATTCTTAAATGAATAATTTTCCAAATATCTCAAACAGTGGCATTTTCTCTGAGCTCTTTAATCTATTATAGTTTTCCTACAAGTAAAATATAACTAGGGGGAAATATATTAGAAATCCCAGGGATGTCTTATTTCATTTTTTTAAAACTCTGAGATCTTTTCTTTTCAGCTCTTCCTAGAAGAGCTGAAGTTCTAATTTTTCTCCCTAAAATTCAAATGTGTGTGTAATGGCAATGAATATACATATACAAACACACACGACATGTATACATGCATTCATATATACTCCAAAGATCTAAGTTTACTTATTTTTTAAAATTGTTCCTCCAAAAAGCACATATAGCCTAAAAACCTGGAATAGGTCAGTCCTCTTCATCCAGACAGTTCTGCCACTTGTCTTCTCCCTAATGTGCCTTGTTACATTTCATTGACCTTGGATGAGCCTTAATTACGTGTCAATAGTATGAGGTTTTTTTTTTTTTTTTTCTGTTAGCCTGATAACTGATTTATGAAAATGTGGAGAAGAAAGTGAGAAATGATGTCAAAACCTGGTGCAAAACATTCTTGATCTAAAAATCTCTCACAAAACATTGTTGCTTTGGGATCATTCTCATCAATTTTTATATCCTTATCCCTAACAAAGCTAGTAGAACATTGCAGATAACAGTACAGCCAAGGACCAACTGGCCCTGGGCCTAGGAGAAGTCCTTAGGCCAACTTGGCCTAGTGATCCAATCTTTCTGTGCCTCAGTTTCTTCATCTGTAGCATGCAGCTAATAATAATAAATACATAAATCTCTACCTTATAGGGAGGCTGTGAATAGCAAATGGATACACACGTAATTAATTTATATGTTATATATGAATATATAAAATGTATATTAATTATATACACCTATAGTTAATATATGCAGATGTGTGTATTTAAATATGGACACACATCTTTTAAGATGACTTGCACCAAGGACATGTAAGTGCTAAGTTGGTATCTGCTATCATTATTTGTTCACTATTTGTGGCTGCCAATGAGCTTATGATACAGACAGGGAGAGATAGAGAACATATTGCATCGTGATTACATGTGTAGAATCTGAAGTTAGATGGCCTTGGGAAATTTATTTGACCTTTTAGAAGACTATCTGTCACAGTACTAGTATATATTAAAGTTCAATAATTATGATCCTTATTATTATAATTATTAATTCATCATTATTACATCAATTTAAATAGAAATTTCCCAGTATTAGTCTTAATTGTAATATTGAGCCCACATGGAACTGTCCCTAATATAGAATCTACATTCCTATATTGCATATTGCATGTGGTTTGAATCTATTGTAAGTTTCAATATGGTCACAAAAAACTTATTAACACCCTAATAATGAGAAATCAGGCATTGCAATGGACTGTTTGTGTCTCTCACAAATTTATATGTTGAAGCCTTAATTCTCAAGGTGATAGTATTAGGAAGTGGGGTCTTTGGGAGCTAGTTATATCATGAGGATGGAGCCCTCACAATTAGGATTAGCACCTTTATAAGAAGAGAAGTTTGTTCCCCTCTCTCTGCTCTCCATCATGTGAGGATATGAGAAGCAGACCATTTGCAAAAGAGGAAGCTGGTCCTCACCACCCATTGAGTTTGCCGGCACCTTGGTCTCGGATTTACCAGTTTTCAGAACTAAGAGAAATAAATATTTGTTTTATAAGCCACCCATTCTATGGATATTGTCATAGCAGCCGGCACTGACTAAGATATACATTTACCTAAAAAGTTTCTCTTTGATTATTTTCTGCAATGTTTTTATTTTTCTCTGGAAATCCTTGGCTTCTGCCTTGTACTGTGTCTCTTATCGAGTTGGACACACATTATTAGCACAATCAAGTTTCTGTGTAGTAACAGAAGATAGCAGTTCTCTGGAAGAGGATTTCCAATTAATTTCCATGCAGCAAGGCTGCTGCTGCGCTGTCCATCATTGTCAGACACTTCATTCTTCCTACGTGACCAGGAATAACAATGAATGCTTCTAGCAAGAAAACTGCCTGCCAAATCCCGCATCTTTAAAAATGGACTCTAAGCAGGCACCATATAATGAGCCTGACCTCATCTCAGATCTCATGAAAGAATCTATTAACCAACCATCAGGATGTTTATTAACTGTTCCTTACTCACACCTTAGTGGAGCATAATATGAGATTTGCTTTCTTTAATTTACTTTTACAAATAAATCAATTACCTTGTTCCGACTTATGCTTTTAAAGGACTCTGGTCTTTACCACTGTCAACTTTTGTACAGTTTAATGATATGGTAGTGTAGGTAACCATCTTAAACCATCTATTTCCTTTCCTTATATTTAGCTACAGAGAGATACATTGGCTGTTCTCAATACTTCTACTTAGATGAAAAAGGAACATTTTGCATGTCACTCATTTTTTTCAAATCTTCAAACTTCAAAGACAAGTTGGTCTGTAGATTCTTGTTTTTTCTTTTAATTAAAGAGTAACTGTATGAACTTAATATTTTTTAAATGTGGTTATCTTCTAGACTGATGTGGCTTGAATTTGTCTCTTTTATCATATATTACATCATTTAACCAGTTTTGAATAAACAGAATCTAAAAACTAATTCTCTAATGCATAATAAGGTTGAGATTATTTGCATTCACATCTCCCTTAAGATTCAGCTTTTTATTTCCTGCATGACCTTTACCAGACATGCAGACCTTCAGAAGCCTCAATTTTATCATCAGTGAAACAGGAATAATGATAGTACTGTCCCACAGGCTTGTTGTGAGGATTAAAGGGAACGACTCGTTAAGTGCGTTGCAGTTCTACACATACAGTAAGGGCCCAGAACAGGTTTTCTGTCCCTTTTGTTATTATTACCTTAGAAATGTGACATGAGATTCCCACACAAAGGATTAAGATGGTTTTTCAGAGATTTAGAGCCAGAAAATGAAGTATATCATTGATTTTTTTTTCCAGGAACCATGTTTAACATAGGGTTCATAAGCCAGTAAATTCACGCAGGCCTTTGCACTTGCTATGCAGACCTAGGGTAAACGTTCAGGCCTGCAATTAGCTCACCATAGTGGAACTGATATGTATTAGACCTCCTTAGTGGGGAAATCACAATTGAAATTTGTATATATTGACACACTGACAAGAGTCTGGCGCCTGAGGAAAGAGATTCATGGATGGCATGTGCTGATTACAAGAAGAAAAATAATGACCTCTGACTTGCTGTGTTCGTCTCCAAATATTCTACATAATAAATGATTAGCAGCCTTAGAAATAATCTCAGCCTTTTCTTTAAAATGTCTAAATAGTAAGGAGAATAGAATGTAAATGCCTACATCTCCAGATAAACAAATACTATACACTAGGTGAAAACATAGAATAAATCATTAGATACATAGCGTTATTTAGCTAAGTAGTAACGTAAACCAGATGGCAAACAGGCAGCTGTAGGCTGAAATCAGGCAATAGATATGTTTTTCTAGGCCTACACAGTGTTAGATGGGATAGCAGCTAAAACATTTTAAATTATTTATGAGCATTTGCAAAACACAATATTCTATATAAAATTCATATGTACATATACATGCTTTATTAAAAAATACAAGATACGTATAGGCATACACAAGGGAGCCCTGTGTTGAAAGAACACTTTTTTATTTTGAATATGGTGATACTTACAAGAAGCTATACATGTGACAAAAATAAAACTGTGCGATTGTTTAACAAAATTGCATAAAACATACACCCAAATGAGTGCTTATAAAACTGATGAGGTCTGAATAAGCTCTGTGGATTGCACTAATGTTAATTTTTATCAATGTAATTGTACCAATGTTTTGATAGTGTACTATAGTAATGCCAGCCATTACTATTGGGGAGGCTGGGTAAAAGGTGCATAAGACATTTTTGTATATTTCTTACAAAAATAACTTCCTGGAAGTTATAATTATTTCAAAATAAAAAGTTAAAAATTATATGCAAGTCAAGAGACTCTGGCAACAGATTCCCATGTGGCAGTAATTGTCTAGAGTTACATAGCAAGTGCTACTTTATACAAGGCATGGAGGAAAGGAAGTGAGAATTTAAAAACAGGAAGGTAAGAAGAAAGGGAGGAAAGAATGAGAGGACTAAGGGAAGAAGAAGAAATATCTATTTCAAAGACATGGAAATGTTTATAACTATATATATCTACATAACATATAGAAAACTATAAACATATTAAATATATAAAAATCTATATGTAGAAATAAATATATATGATGAACACACGTATACATTTGAAATATATATGTATATATATTTCCATATATCTGAAATGAAAAATAATTACTTCCAAAGAAGACAGTAAAGAAGGACAAAATAGCATTGACTGGTTGTGCAAAAAAAAACACAATATAATGTTAAAATGAATATACTAATATTATTAATGAAACTGAATTATGCACACAGGTAAAAGAATGTGAGATGAATATTATCAGAATTGATATAAAAATCTAGATACTAGCTATTGATAAGACACATATTTAAAACATAAGAACATGAAAATACTGAAAGTTAAATGATGGAAAAATTATTTCAGCAAATCCTAACCAAAATAAAAGCTGCTGGACATATGTTAATATAGATTTTATAGTAACTACATAAAAATTAATGTTTTAGTTCACCAGATGTTATGTGATGTTAAAAATTAAGTTTTAGGTACCTAAATTACTTCAACATATATAAAGCAGATCCTGGAGGCAGAGCAAGATGGCCAAATAGAACCTTCCTCTGATCATCCCCCAGGCAGGAACACCAAATTGAACAATTATCCACACTAGAAAGCACCTTCATAAGAACAAAAAATTAGGTGAATGATCAAAATACCAGCTTGTAATATCATACTTAGAAAAGAGGCATATAAGAGGGTAGGAAGACAGCATTAAATTGCCCAACCCCCTGCAATGGTACGACATGGAGACAGAAACTCTGTGCTTGAGGGAGAAAGAGTGTAGTGACTCTGGGACTTTGCAAGGGAACTCAGTGCTGCTGTGGTCACAGGAGAAAGCTACACAGGGCAGCATCCAGCCAGCACTTACAGAGGAAACATTTAGATCAGTCCTAACTAGAGGAGAATCATGCAATCCAGCCGCTGCAACTTGAGTCCCTCCTAGACCTACCACCACGGGCTAAAGCACTCTGGAGTGCTAAGTAAAGTTGAAAGGCAGCCTAGGCCACATGGACGGCAATTCCTGGGCAAGTCTTGGTGCTGTGCTGGGTTTGGAGCCGGTGGACTTGGGGTGCAGGTAACCCAGAGAGACACCGGCTGGGGCAGCCAAGGGAGTGCTTGTGTCACCCCTCCCCCAACCTAAGGCATCATAGCTTGCCGCTCCTAGAGAGACTCCTTTCTTCCCCTCCAGGAAAGGAGAGAAGAGAGTAAAAAGGACTTTGTCTTGCAACTTGGATAAGAGCTCAGCCACAGTAAGATGAAGCACCAAGCAGAGTTCTGAAACCCCCATTCCAGGCCCTAGCTCCCACACAGTATCATTAGGCACACCCAGGGTCAAAAGGGAACCTGCTGCCCTGAAGTGAAGAACCTAGTCCTGGCAGGATTAATCACTTGTTGACGAAAGAATCCTTAGGCCTTGAATTAACATCAGTGGTAGCCAGACAGTATTCATCACAGACCTTAGGTGACCTAGTACTGTGCGGGCTTCCGGTGTGACCCAGCACATTCCCAGCTGTGGTGACCACAGAGAGAGATGTGTTTTGCTTGAGGACAGAAAAGGGAAGAGTAAAAAGGATTTTATCTTCCAACTTGGGTGCCAGCTCAGCCACAGGAAAATAAGGTAGCAAGTAGATCCCTAAACTTATCAACCCCAGGGTCTAGTTCCTAAACAGCATTTCTAGGTCCACCCTGGGCCAGAAGGAAGCTCCCTCCCTGAAGGGAAAGACACTTGCCTGGCTGCGTTCACCACCTGCTGACTACAGAGCCCATGGGCCTTGAATAAACATAGGCAGTAGACAGACAATAATCACCACAGGACTTGGTGAGACCCAGTACTAGGCTGGCTTCAGATCTTACCCAGCACTTCTTAGTGTGCTGGCCATGGGCACTTGTCTTACCTGTTCCCCAACTCCAGGAAGCTCAGCACAGAGAGAGGGAAACACTCCTTGTTTGAAGGAAAATGAGGAAAGAGAATAAGAGACTCTGCTGATAATCCTGGTAAGGCTCTGTATTAGTTCTCACACTGCTAATAAAGACATACCTGAGACAGGGTAATTTATAAAGGAAAGAGGTTTAATGGACTCACAGTCGCACATGGCTGAGGAGGACTCACAATCATGGCAGAAGGCAAATGAGGAGCAAAGTCATGTCTTACATGGTGACAGGCAAGACAGTGTGTGCAGGGGAACCCCCCTTTATAAAACCATCAGATCTCATGAAATTTATTCCCTATCATGAGAACAGCATGGGAAATACCTGCCCCCATGATTCACTTACCTCCCACTGGGTCTCTCCCACGACAGGGAATTATGGGAGCTACAATTCAAGATGAGATTTAGGTGGGGGCACAGTCAAACCATATCAGGCTCCCAGATCTTACCCAAGAACATGAAGGTGGTACCTCTACAAGTCTGCAACAGTCATAGCATTACCGGGCTTCAGTGCCTTCTAATACAGATACTACGGCAGTGACCAAAGACTTAGATTACAACCCTCAATTCTCTTTTAATACTTAGGAAACCTTCACGGGAAGGATGGGTACAAATAAGCTCAGACTGAGAAGAATGCAATAAATACCCAAACTTTCAATGCCCACACATCAACGAACATCCGTAAGATCATCCAGGAAAACATGACCTCATCAAATGAACTAAATTAGGCACAAGAGAACAATCCCAGGGTGACAGAGACATGTAACCTTTCAGATAGAGAGTTCAAAATAGCAGTTTTGAGGGAACTCAATGAAATTCAAGATAACAGCGAGAAATAATGCCGAAACTTATTAGATAAATTTAATGGAGTTTTTAATAGTTTAACAAAACCAAGAAGAAATTCTAGAGCTGGAGAATGCATCAGAGCCTCTCAACAGCAGAACTGACCAAACAGAAGAATTAATGAGCTTGAAGACAGGCTATTTGAAAATATATAGTTAGAGAGGAGAAAATTTAAGAAACAGTTTAAAAAAATAAAACATGCCTACAAGACCTAGAAAATTGCCTCAGCAAGTCAAATCTAAGAGTTATTGGCTGTAAAGAAGTCATACAGAATGAGACTAGGGTAGAAATTTAATTCAATAAGATAGTAAGAGAGAACTTTTGAAACCTAGAGGAAAATACCAATACTCAAGTACAAGAAGGTCATAGAAAACCAACCAGATTTAACCCCAGTAAGACTACCTCAAGACATTTAATAATCAAACTCCCAAAGGGCAAGAATAAAGAAAGGACCCTAAAAGCAGCAAGAGAAAAGAAACAAAGGAGCAAGTGAGCTTCCATACATGCAAAAGAGCTCCAATACACCTGGCAGCAGACTTTTTAGTGGAAATTTTACCTGCCAGGAGAGAGTGGCATGTCATATTTAAGACACTGGACTTAATCTGCAGCACAGACCAAATGGACTTCATAGATATTTACAGAAGATTTCATCCAATGGCTGCAAAATACACATTCCTTTCCTCAGTGCATGGAACATTCTCAAGGACAGACAGTATGTTAGGCCACAAAACAAGTCTTAAAAATTCAAAAAAATAGAAATTGTATCAAGTATATTATCTGACCACAATGAAATAGAACTAGGAATCAATATCAAGAGGAACTTTGGAAACTACACAAACATATGGAAATTAAACAACATTCTCCTGAATGACCAGTGGGTCAATGAAGAAATTAAGAAGGAAATTTAAAAATAATATTGAAACAAATGAAAATGGAAACCCAACATACCAAAAATTATGAAATACTGCAAAGGCAGTACTAAGAGGAAAGTTTATAGCAATAATCACCTATATCAAACAAGTAGAAAAATTTCAAATAAATAACCTAAAGTTTAATCTTAAAAAACTAGAAAAGCAAGAGCGAAACAAACCCAAAATTAGTAGAAGAAAAGAAATAATAAAGATCGAGCAGAAATAAATAAAATTGAATGAAGAAAACAATTCAAAATAAAAAAGATCTTTAACTTGACTAAGAGAAAAAGAAAAACCCACGTAAGATCAGAGATGAAAAAAGAAGACATTGCAACTGATACTGGAAAACCTATAAGAAATGGATAAATTCCTAGATACATAAAACTCAACAAGATTGAATCATGAAGAATCAAAGAACCTGAATTGACTAATAAAAGGTAATAAGGTCAAAGACAATAAAAAGTATGCCAGCAGCAGGACTCAGTGGCTCATGGCTGTAATCCCAGAACTTTCGGAGGTCGAGGTAGGTGGATCATTTGAGGCCAGGAGTTTAAGACCAGCCTGGCCCAAATGGCGAAACCCTGTCTCTACTAAAAATAAAAAAATTTGGGAGGCTGAGGCAGGAGAATCGCTTAAAACCCAGGGGGCGGAAGTTACAGTGAGCTGAGGTTGTACCACTGCCCTCCAGCCTAGGCCACAGAGTGAGACTTGGTCTCAAAAAAATTAAAAACAGAAATAAAAAATTAAAAAATTAACAAGTCCTGGTGGCTCACACCTGTAATCCCAGCTACTCAGGAGGCTGAGGCAGGAGAATCACTTGAACCCAGGAGGTGGAGGCAGAGGCTGCAGTGAGCCAAGATCATGCCACTGCACTCTAGCCTAGGCAACAGGGTGAGACTCTGTCTCAAAAAAAGAAAAATGTCTCCCAGCAAAGAAAAGCCTGGGACCCTATGGCTTCCCTGCTGAATTTTACCAAATATTTAAAGAACCAATATCAATCCTACCCAAACTTTTCCAAAAGATAGAGGAGGGAATCCTTCTAAACTCATTCTATGAGGCTAGTATTACTCTGATACAAAAGTGAGATAATGACACACTGAAACAAGAAAACTAAAAACCAGTATCTCTGATGAATACTAATGCAAAAATTGCCAAGAAAATACTAGGAAACTGAATTCAACAACACCTTTAAAAGATCATCCATCATGACAAAGTGGGATTTATCCCAGGGATATAAGGATGGTTCAATGCATGCAAATCTCTCAATATGATACATCACATCAACAGAATGAAGGACAAAAACCATGTGATCATTACAGTTGATGCTGAAAAAACATTTGGTAAAATTCAATAACACTTCATGATGATAACCTTCAAAAATGGATTTAGAAGGAGCATATCTCAACACAGTAAAAGCTGTATACATCAGACTCACAGATAGTATCATTCTAAATGGCAAAAAACTGAAAGCCTTTCTTTTAAGATCTGGAAAAAGACATAGATGCCTACTTTCTTCACTGTTACTCAACATAGTACTGTAAGTCCTATCTAGACAAGAGAAAGAAAAAAAAGGGATCCAAATTGGAAAGGAAGAAGTGAAATTATCCTTTTTTTTGCAGATGATATGATCATATATTTGGAAAAACCTAAAGACTCCACCAGAAAACTATCAGAACAAATAAATTTAGTAAAGTTGCACGATACAATATCAATATAAAAATTCAGTAACATATCTGTATGACAACAGTGAACAATCTGGAAAAGAAATCAAGTAAGCCTATTTACAGTAGTTGTGAATACAATAAATATGTAAAAATAAACTTCAACCAAAAAAGTTATAAACCTCTACGATGAAAACTATGAAACATTGATGCAAGGAATTGAAGAGAACACCACAAACTGAAAGGATATTCCACGTTTGTGGATTGGAAGAATCAATATTGTTAAAATTCCCATACTACCCAAATCAATCTACAGATTCAATGCAGGATATGAAATCAAATCCCTATCACAATATCAATGGCATTCTTCACAGAAACAGAAAAAATAATCTTAAAATTTATATGGAACCACAAAAGACCCAGAATAGGCAAAGCAATCCTGAGCAAAAAGAACAAAACTGGAGAAATCATATTATCTCACTTCAAATTATACTACAGAGCTAAACCAAACAGCATGGTACTGGCATAAACAGACACACAGACCAATGGAACTGAATAGACAATACAGAAATAAATCTACCCATCTACAGTGAACTTATTTTCGACAATGGTGCCAAGAACATACATTGGAGAAAACACAGTCCTCAATAGTTGGTGCTGGGGAAACTGGGTATCCATATGCAGAAGAATGACACTGCACTTCTGTTGCTTGCCATAGACAAAAATCACAACAAAATGGATTAAAGACTTAAATCTAATAATTCAGCCTATGAAACTTCTAAAAGAAGTAATTGAAGAAACTCATCAAAACACTGCAGTTGGCAAAGGTTTCTTGAATATTACACCACAAGCACAGGCAACCAAAGCAAAAATTAACTAATGCTTTTTTTTTTTTTTTTTTTTTTTTTTTTGGTAGGGCATGAAGTTTCGCTCTTGTCACCCAGGCTGGAGTACAATGACACGATCTCGGCTCACTGCAACCTCTGCCTCTTGGGTTCAAGCGATTCTCTCAGCCTCCTGAGTAGCTAGGATTACAGGCACCCACCATCACGCCCAGCTAATTTTTGTATTTTTAGTAGAGATGGGGTCTCACCATGTTGGCCAGGCTGGTCTCAAGCTCCTGACCTCAGGTGATCCACCCGCCTTGGCCTCCCAAAGTGCTGGGATTACAGGAGTGAGTCACAGTGCCCAGCCAACAAATGCTATTACATGAAGTTAAAACCTTTCTGCACAACAAAGGAAACAATCAACAAAGTGAAGAGACAACCCACGGAATAGGGGAACATATTTGCAAACTATTCCTCTGACAAGAGATTAATAGCCAGAATATATAAGGAACTCAAATAATTCAATAGGAAAAAAATCTAATAATCTGATTTTTAAGTGGGTAAAAATTGAAATAGACATTTCTCAAAATAAGATATACAAATAGCAAACAGGTATCTGAAAAAGTGCTCAACATTACTGGTCATCATACAAATGTAACTCAAAATTACGAGAGATATTATCTTACCCCAATTAAAATGGCTCTTATTGAAAAGACAGGCAATAAAAAATACTGGTGAGGATGTGGATAAAAGGGTACATTTCTCCAGTGTTGGTGGGAATGCAAATTAGTACTACCACTATTGAGAACACTTTTGAGGTTCCTCCAAAACTAAAACTAGAGCTACCATATGGTTCAACAATCCCACTGCTAGTTATATAACCAAAAGAAAGGAAATCAGTTGATCAAAGAGATATCTGCACTCCTGTGTTTATTGCAGCACTATTCAGAATAGCCAAAATTGGCTATTCTAGACATTTTAAGTAACCTAAGTGTCTGTTAACAGAAGAATGGATAAAGAAAATGTGGTACATATACACAATGGAGTAAAACTCAGCCATAAAAAAGAATGAGATCCTGTCATTTGCAGCAACATGGATGGTACCTGAGGTCATTATGTTAAGTGAGATAAGCCGGGCACAGAAAGACAAACATTGCATATTCTCAATCATTTGGGGGAGTTACAGATGAAAAATTGAACTCATGGAGACAGTAGAATGATGTTTCTCAGAGGCTAGGAAGGGTAGTAGGGATTGAGGTGGGTGGGCAAGTGGGGATAGTTAATGGGTACAAAAACATAGAATGAACATGATCTAGTATTTGATAGCACTACAGGGTGACTACAGGAAAAATTAATCTTTTGCACATTTTTACATAATTGAGGGTATAATTAGAAAGTTTGTAACACAGATAAATGATAAATGTTTGAAGTGATGTATACTCCACTTTCCCTGATGTGATTATTACTCGCTGTATGCTTGTATCCTTAATATAACTCATGTACCCCATAAATATATGCACCCACTATGTACCCATAAAAATTAGAAATAATTTTTTAAAAAAGAAAAAATATATAAAGCAAATTGGATAAAAATCATAGGATAAAACTCACAAATCCCCTGTCAGACTGGAAGTTTTTAGCATGCGTGTTTTTGTAAGTGATAAATCAAATAGACAAAAATGAAAAAAAAAGAGAACATTAGAACAACATAACAAAAGTCTGCTTTAATGCACATATATGAAACCTGTACCCTGCAAGTAAAGAGTACACATTTTAAAAAAAATACCATAGTGAGAGAAGAGAGAGATCCTCTCATATTGTATTATACTCAGTACCTGTTTTAAGAAAAAAACAAGGAAGTGAAATCAAAGACAGGCAGCCCAGTGCCAGGCCCAAAACCAGGCCTGGGCCTGCCTGGCCTAAACCCAGTAGTTAAAAATCAACTCATAACCTAGAAACCAATGTTATTCGTAGATTCCGGACATTGTATAGAAGAACACTGTGAAACTCCCTGCCCTGTTCTGTTTCTCTCTGACCACTGGTGCATGCAGCCCCTGTCACGTATTCCTTGCTTGCTGAAATCAATCACAACCCTTTCATGTGAAATCCTTAGTGTTGTGAGCTCTTAAAAGGGACAGAAATTGTGCACTTGGGGTGCTCGGATTTTAAGGCAGCAGCTTGCCGATCCTCCCAGCTGAATAAAGCCCTTCCTTCTACAACTTGGTGTCTGAGAGGTTTTGTCTGCGGCTCGTCCTTCTACATTTCTTGGTCCCCTGACCGGGAATCGAGGTAACTGAGGGATGGCCGAGGTAGCCCCTTAGGCAGCTTAGGCCTGCCCTGTGGAGCATCCCTGCAGGGGACTCTGGCCAGCCTGAGTGACGTGATCCAAAGAGCACTCCTGGGTAGAAAATTGCCTGGGTGGAACGCCTCACCAGAACAGCACGTAGCAGGCCCCTGTGGAGGATTAACACAGTGGCTGAACACCGGGAAGGAACTGGCACTTGGAGTCCGGACATCTGAAACTTGGTAAGACTCGTCTTTGGAACTTGCCCTACTCCATCTGAGTGGAAGCGTGGCCTGATCACCCACGGTGTGCCTGTATTGGCACTTTTGTTCTGGTTTTGACTTGACTTGACTTGGTAAGACTAGTCTTTGGAACTTGCCCCACTCCATCTGAGTGGAAGTGTGGCCTGATCACCCACGACGTGCCTGCATTGGCACTTTTGTTCTAAACAAGAAAATATGGACAGGATACTTATCTAAATAAAATTACTAAATATTTTGATACTTTATTCCAGTAAATATGGATGCTTAGATAAAAGGGATCATACACAACAGCAACATAATCTTTCCAAAATCACTAAAAGAAAATAAAAAGTTTTATAATCATGTTTTAAATGGCATAAAGAAGTAAATTTTCCATGTTCATAGACTGAAAGTGCTAAATCTAGTAAAGATGTTGTTTCTAAATGTATTCATAAAGTTAATGCACTGCCAATAACATAATATTTTGCCAAAAATTATATTTATTCTAAAATATATGTAGAAGAGAAATAAGTAATGAAGAATCAAATTATTTTTGATAAATGAGATGGGTAGGTATGGGTATGTATGCCATACCAGCTATTAAGATCTACTATATCTTTATTATAGCTAAAATACTGTGATATTGACACAGGCATAGGCAAGTAGAGCAAGGGAAACCTGACACATATAAGTGCTGGTATCACACATCAATGAGCAAAATATTAACTCATAAATGGCATTTTGTTTTAGTTAGCCTTATGAAAAAAATGAAATTAGATTCTTCCTCTAAACTACATACAAAAATAAATTCTAGCAAATTAAAAATGAATACAGGAATATCTGTATGAACTCAGAGTAGTAAAGTCTATCTTCATCAATATACACAAAGAATAAACAATAAATGTAATTATATCGGTAAATAAGTGTTGATATGTTCATACAATGGAATATTATACAGCAACAAATAGAAATGGATCTGTTACTGGTATCAATATGGATGAATCTTGCAGACATACTTTTGAATGGAAAAACCATTGATAAATGAATACATATAGTACATCATGTACGTTAATTTTAACATATGAAAAGCAATTATATTTGATTTTAAAGATACACAATTATATAATAATTACTTGCAGAAGTGCATGAAACTACTAAGAAGCAAATCAATATAATGAATATGTCTGAGAACAGGTAGGTAGGGTGCATAAGAAGAAAAGGTTAGGTATTCAGGAATCTCCAACAGCCTTTGCAATGTTTTACTTCTAAAACTGAATGATGGGTACATAGATATTTACTTCGGTATAGTTTATATCTTCTAGTATATCTGCAATATTTTACAATGAATTTTAAAATAACAGTAACACACACAAGGCTTCTACTCTCCAATCTACCACTGACCCACTATTCCCCACTATGATACAGTTTGAATGAGCAAGCTTAGACTGTTGCGTTTACCTAGAATAGTACTAAAGAGGAAACAAATACTTATTTTAAAAAATTACAGGCATGTAATGTGAAATAAGTACATCATGAATGAGGGGGTATCTGGGTATCTGTCCCCTCAAGCATGTATCCATTGAATTGCAAACCATCAAATTATATTCTTTAAGTTACTTTAAAATGTACATGTTATTACTGACTATAATCACCCCGTTGTGCTATGCAACAGTAAGCCTTATTTATCCAATTTTTTAATTTTTATTTATTTATTTATTTATTTATTTGAGATGAAGTCTCGCTCTGCTGCCCAGGCTGGAGTGCAGTGGTGCAATCTCAGCGCACTGCAAGCTCCGCCTCCCAGGTTCACACCATTCTCCTGCCTCAGCCTCCCGAGTAGCTGGGACTACAGGCACCTGCCACCACGCCCAGCTAATTTTTTGTATTTTTAGTGGAGACAGGGATTCACCGTGTTAGCCAGGATGGTCTTGATCTCCTGACCTTGCGATCCGCCCGCCTCGGCCTCCCAAAGTGCTGGGATTACAGGTGTGAACCAGGCCACTGCGCCCGGCCCCTTTCTATTTTTGTACCCATTAAATATCCCATCTCTCCCCAATCCCCCCACTAGGTTGTTGGAAAGACAAAACACCGAAACCATTTGTTTGGGCTGGGTTATGAATAAAAATGAAACTAGGCTGTTGCAAAGGATAGTCTACTTCACCAAAAAAAAAAAAAGTTTATTTTTTAATAGCAACCTAAAACACTCATTCACTTTAGCTGCTAGCACCCTGTAGGTACTTAAGTTTATGAACACTAATCAACACTAGTACAGAGAAGACACTGTAGAGATATTTTTAGTATTATAATAATTAACACAATATAATTTTCCACTTCTTAGGCTTAGAAAGTTATCTTATCGTTATACAAGACCTGTATAAAAGTAGATGAATGAATGAAGAGATCTATGAAACTGAAGATCAGACATACAGTTTGTAATTCTTCTAAGCTGCTTTGAACCCCTTTGTAATGAAAGAAATGCTACTGCTCAAGAAATTGTAATCATTTTTGCTTATAATTAACATCACTTTATTAATAATTGTTATATTTCAAATTTATTCTCTCTGGCTTGGAAAATTAGCAACAGTGTTGAATAAATTAGGATAATATTAAAAGAAACTATATTTAAAGCAAGCAAAACTTTAGTGGACAGATAAGATTGTACTCATTATAAAGTATATTTACCATGGAGAAGCTGCATCTCCTGTGAGACACCAGAGAAGAGATTTTGATAACCAGATGGCTTTTGCAGCCTGAGAAGTATGCACATTGGCTAGCTACTTGACTCAATTGTTTTGCTTGCATTTTGTGGCATAGCTTTTTCTCAGCTGCGGGCAACAGTTGAATGGACATTAAAATCTCAGAGTTAAAATATAGCTATAGTTTCTTTGAACAAACCTTTCTACCAATGAAAGATGTTGCCTTACAGGTGGTCTTCAAATCTCTACTTGAACATTCTGTTGACCAAGAACTCACTGTCTCTGAGATGGATTGTTTCATTGCTGAAGTGCTTAATTGTTAGATAATCTACCCTTATATGTCTTTCTGTAACTTTCATTCATTGGACCTAGGCCTGTTCCTCTTTTCTGTAAAAACTAAATAGTAATTTTTACAGGTCAGTTGAACAAACATTTGGGGAGCAGCTGCTATCAAGTTAAAGATTAAGACGTGATTTATATACTTACGGATTTTCAACTATTTAGTGCAGAAAGACATTTACATGAACATTTACATATATAGGTATTCCTATTGCCACAACCTGTTTACTGTTGACAAAAAGGTGAATGCATTTCAAGTAGGAAATTACAGAGCTCGTTAACCATGCATCATAAGTAAGGCAGCAAATATCTAATCTTCATCAGTAAGAGTCCCAACTCTTACTAACTGCAACTTTGATAAATGGATATTGCTAAGAATGTGTGTTGGTTGTACTACTGTTCAAGGTGGCTAAGTCCATATATTTCTTTCACTTCTCACTCCAGATTTTGTGAAATGACACCTAAGTTGTATAAAAAGATGTGAATTAATTACTGCTCTCATAATGAGAGAAGTTTCATGAGTGGCTTAAAGACTTTCAAACATGCATGAATATTTGGAGTATAAAGAATAGCAGATGATTCTAGTAGCAAAGTAGAAATGTAAAGAGGAGGAAACTCTAGTAGAAATAAAAACTGTTCTTCCC
This sequence comes from Homo sapiens, assembly GCF_000001405.40. NCBI lineage: Eukaryota > Metazoa > Chordata > Mammalia > Primates > Hominidae > Homo > Homo sapiens. The sequence continues at coordinate 34,681,607 of NC_000002.12, forward strand.
CCACCCACCAGAGCCTTAGTGGGCCTTCAAGATCAGAGACCAGGAGTAGGCTACAAAACAGAGTCATTCATTTATGCTTTTATTCATAATATCAAAAGCAGATTACCACATGCTTTCATCCTCCACCTTTAGAGCATCTAACACCAAGATGAAGACTAGAGATGTGCTGTTTAAAGAAGTTGAAAAATTTATTTACGGTGGGCAAGGACTCAGAGTCAACATCTTATCTTGGCACAAGACAGGAGGTTTGGTGGTTGTAGGAGACCTGTATTCTTTCCACACATGCAAGTGAGAATGAAGTCTTCCACTTGACATACCTCTAACTCTGATATAAAACTCAGTAAGTTTTGGCCAGGTGCAGTGGCTTGCGCCTGTAATCCCAGCACTTTGGGAAGCTGAGGCAGACAGATAAAGAGGTCAGGAGTTCAAGACCAACCTGGCCAACATGGTGAAACCCCGTCTCTACTAAAAATACAAAAATTAGCCAGGCGTGGTGGTGGGGCACCTGTAATCCCAGCTACTCGGAAGGCTGAGGCAGGAGAATCACTTGAAACTGGAAGACAGAGGTTGCACTGAGCCGAGATCACTGCCACTGCACTCCAGTCTGGGCAACAAGAGCGAAACTCCATCTCCAGTTAGTGGGTGCAGCGCACCAGCATGGCACATGTATACATATGTAACTAACCTGCACAATGTGCACATGTACCCTAAAACTTAAAGTATAATTAAAAAAAAAAAAGAAAAATAAAAGAAAAATTTTCAAAGAAATGTAAAAAATAAAAATAAAAATAAAAAAATAAATAAATAAATAAATAAAATAAAACTCAGTACGTTTTTCTCCACAGAGCAACAAAGACACCTATACAAAGTCATAGGAGATCAAGGTCAATAACTAATATTTAACACATATTCATTCACAGATATGAATTGAGAACAAAATAGCACCAGAAATTTTCAAGAAGTGAAGAACAAATGTAGAGAAGCATAATGATAACAAATAGAAAAAAAAAGATGCCCCAAAAAACAGAACTCAAGGAACAGAAAATTGTATTTTGAGTTTCCTTAGAGATTCCAGAACATTCTGCAGTAAATAAAACAAGATCAAGCTTATGTTTTAAAAAATTATCAGAGAATTAGAAAATGTTACTGGAAAGAAAACCATTAAAAAAGTGTTAGAAAATAAAAGAAAAAAAGTCTCAAAAGATAGAGCAAAAAAGTCAAAAAAAATGAGAAAACTCTGAGAGAAACATCAAAGAGAAACATCGAGATAGAGAGGCTAGAATTCCATCATGTGACTAATGCGAACTTTGGAAAGATCAGAAAAAATAGAGACAAGAAACTAGTCAAAAAACTAATTGACATTATTTCACAACATTTAACAACAAATATCAAATTGGGAGAACCTGACAAGTTCCTAGAATGATGGAAAAAGTCCTATTTCTAAACACATTCATGAAATTTCAGAACATTAAAGATACAAAGATGGTCTTAAAGGTGATTGGGGAAAAAAATGCCAGTTTATGGATAAGTGAACGGGAATCAGATTGGCATTAGAAAATGAGGCCGTGAGACAAAGAGAAAATTGTATATTCTTGCCAAGCCATCCATAATCTGAGTAAGGTTATACTCCAAAGTAAAATGAAAACAAAATTAAAAAAACTATATACAGACTTTTAAAATGCACTTAATTTGGAATGCCATATTGAGAACTCTAGTGCATCATTAGAGAATAACTAGCTTTAATTGAAACATGAAGTCAGATGCTTCATTTTGACAAATGTTTTGGTTGAGAACTTGAATGATTTTAGAGTTAAGCCAAAGACATATGCTTCTTATATAAGCAAGCAAAAAAAAGGCAATTGAACCCTTGAAATCCGCAATAAGACAAAAAGGTTATTGAAAGTTGTAATCCAAATTTAAAGCAAACAACTGCTCCATGATTTTGAGTAATTGGCATGGTTTGAGAAAAGGTCAACCATTTAATCCTGACATTATCTTTCAAGGAACTGGAGAAAGAGAAAATTTTAGTTTTCATTTCGTAACTTTCTGTGCTACATGATTTTTTTAACTATGTATTATAGAGGCAATATAATAATGATAACAGAGTTATTGAAAGGCATTTTGTGAGCATAGTCAGCACAGGTAGCCCAGAGTAAGAATATTCAAGGAAGCCTTCTGAGAGGAGATAGATGTGTAATACATTACCAAACAAATTCAGAAGTAATTCTGCAATAAGTGGGAAGGATGGCAAGAAGACAGAGACAGGATAGGGTGGAAGGAATTCCAGCAAGAAGAGAATGAGCAAAGAAAGAGAACAATGAACAATACCCATCTATGTATGCTGGATCTTCCTGTATACTAGCCATTGAAGATACAAAGATAAAGAAGAAATGCTACTTCCTAAATGATTTACAATCAGATGGTGAGGAAAGATAAGCAAGATAGGGCGGCAATACAGTGCTACAATACTGTGCTATTTGGTACTTTGAGTGATGAGATTTTTCTATTGCAAATGGGAGAGCAGGAGCTGGGTTGTGGGACAGCATGAGGACAGTGATTAGTATTGGGACAGTCACTGAAGGGTGTAAGAAAGAGGTTACCAAAGACACATTAAATAATTGTCCAGCAGCTTGAATGCCTTTCTAGCACTAAATTGTCACCCAGCCACATAATAGAATAATACTATTTTTCTCCAAAGTCACTTAACATCCATTTTGAAGGAACCAACATTTTTGGCTGCTTCAAAATGGATGCTAATTGCCTCTGGTTGGTTCAATGGGTGTAGTAGAAGTACAGAAGTTTACTTGAAATTGAAGAGGCTGGTGAAAGAGTAAACCAGATAATTAATATGGCATTCAGGACCACGATGTAAATGGAGATATAGAAGTATAATACATAAACTAAGAAAAGTGCAGGCATTAAAGTTTCGTATGTTTCTTTAAGGGTTAATGAACTCAATAAATGGGATAAGATAGAGAGGGCTAATGATAGGGTAGGAAGGGACATTAAAATAACTGTGTCCTTTTCTGTTTGCATATAACGTTCCTTCCACTCATTTCTGGCTGAGGTAAAGACACTAATATTGCAAGGTCGTTATTGAACTTATTGGGCCAATTACTGAAGTATGACACAGTAGAAATACAGACTGAGTATCCCTTATTCAAAAGGCTTAGGACCAGAAGTATTTGGGATTTTTGATTTTTTTTTAATTCTGGGATATTTGCATTACATTTACCAGTTGAGCATTCCAAATCTGAAAATCTGAAATCTGAGAGGCTCCAACGAACATTTTATTTGAGGGTCAAAAATGTTCATATTTTGGAGCATTTTGGATTTCAGATTTTTGGATTTTGGATGCTCAGCCTGTACCATTTATCGTGGTTAGGATTTGGTAGAAAGGAGAGAAATAGAGGCCCAAGAGACCTAATGTAGGAATCTGAAAAACACACTTGACCTTTCTGAGTCTCATTTTCTTCTCTCTCTAAAGTATTTGAATTAATCTATAACATCATGTAGTCCTCAAATCATTGTACAAAGATCATAAATCAAAATTTAGGGGAACATATAAGTGAGCTTTTTAAAGATCATCCATAAGTAAATATAAAGAACACACATACTAGGGTTGTCTTTCATTACTATTCTCTTTCCCCCAGTTGTAATTATCACAGAAAAAAAGAGTTATTCCCAAAGATAACTGGCTCAGTTACATGAACAATTTACGAATTGATCTCATTTATCAGATATTTATAACCAATAGTCAATCAAATAAAGACTTTTTTATTTTACTTTCCCTCTATCTGATAAGTAAAATAATATTCTAGCATGGTGCTACATTTCAAATAGTACAAAACAAATTAAACTCTTAATGGTCTATAACATATAGACCTAGTCATTGTAAGAATGTCTGTGTCTTCTCTAATATTTTCCTCAAACAGGATACTCAGATCTTTTATGGAAATAAACTGGATGGTATCTTTTGTGTAAATTCTACATTCTAAGTCTCCAAGAGAATTATTTAAATGAGAAATGTGAGTCTCAAATTTCCATTCTAGTGGTGCTGAACACTCTAATTCCAAAGACTTGGTTAAGTCTCTTAATTCTACATGACTAAAGGCTCTCTCTCTCTTTCTGTTTTCCTCTTAACATTGATGGAAAAACTCACATTTCTTCTATTTAAATTTTGCTTCTAGCATCTGGAGCAATTACCTTTATCATTGGATCTTGTATTAGTGTTCTCTAGAAAAAGAGAACCAATATATAAATATACAAGAGGAGATTTTTTATGGGTATTGTCTCAAGAAATTATGGAGGCTGAGAAAGCCCATGGTCTGCCATCAGTGAGCTGGAGAACGAGAGTGGGTGGTGTAATTCAATCTCAGTCTGAAGGCCTGAGAGCCAGGGAAGCTGATGATATGACTCCCAGTCTGAGAAACAGAGTCTCGGATGTTTGAGAACAAAAAAAGATACATGTTCCAGCTCGAGAAGAGAGAATTTGCCCTTCCTCTCCCTTTTTTGTTCTATTAGGGCGCAGTGAATTGGATGATGCCTGACCACATTGGTGAAGGCAGATTTTCTTTACTCAGTGTACTGAATCAAATGCTAATCTGTTGTACAAACACTGTCACAGACACACCTAGAAATAATGTTTTAGCTATTATCTGGACACCCTTAGTCCAGTCAAGTTAATGAATAAAATTAACCATCACAGATGTTAAAAAATGATATTCAGCTTTTTCTGGATATTAGCTTTATCTGTTTATAATAGTCATACATGGCACTTGAATATTCTGACAGATTAATTCAAAGTCCTAGGATTAGTGTGATGTTGGTGTGGTCTAGAAGTGAATTGTGGATGGAAATGTTCTCAGCCAAGTGTATTCACTTTGGGAGAGCTTCAAAGAACAGAATGATTTTGAAATAAGAATATATAATATATAGTCTTACTGGAACCTATGAAAAACTCATGTGTTATCTACTACTCAAGCCAAAAAAATAATTTTTTATGCTTATGTTGTTAAGGATTTACTTGCATCACTTCATTAATTAGCAATTTGTATTGTATCAAGTGGGTCTAATCCTTTTAATAGATTCCAAACAGGCTACTTGGCTATTAAATTCTAGTTTGTTTTATATTTATTCATGAGAAGAAAATGCCATAGAAAGATTCCATGAAGGAAAATGTTTGCTTTGCATTCAGTCTTTCAACAATAAAAAGGAAAAAAAAATAGACGTTGCCAACTGTGTCATATGTATGAATGGTTTTCTACGGGAATTCATATCTTTAGTTGTTCTGTTCCTATTACTTGTTGTCTTCGAAAATGGGTTCCAGCTGGGCGCGGTGGCTCACACCTGTAATCCCAGCACTTTGGGAGGCCAAGGCGGGCGGATCACGAGGTCAGGAGATCAAGACCATCCTAGCTAATACGGTGAAACCCCGTCTCTACTAAAAATACAAAAAAAATTAGATGGGCGTGGTGGCGGGCACCTGTAGTCCCAGCTACTTGGGAGGCTGAGGCAGGATAATGGCGTGAACCCGGGAAGTGGGGCATGCAGTGAGCCGAGATTGCGCCACTGCATTCCAGCCTGGTGAAAGAGCGAGAAGCCATCTCAAAAAAAAAAAAAAAAAAAAAAAACAAAAAAATCAGGATATGAATATATGCTTCTTGATATAGTGGTTGCAAAAAAAGATAAAAATCTTTACATTCCTCATGTTTGCCTTTGTACAGACCCAAATTTCTCACCAACCATTATCTGTAGGAATGACTGTCTCCTCTCTCTCTTATTTGGGTACTGAGAAGCTGAACTGTCTACACCTATCAAATGCTTGCTGGCTGAGTGCTCACAGTCACCCAATTTACTGTCTATATCAGTATTTAGCAAAAGATTTTCTGTAAAGGACCGGAAAGTAAATATTGTAGGCTTTGTAGGCCACCTAAAATCTCTGTTACATATTCTGCTTAAAAAAAAAAAAAAAAAAAAAAACCACCTTGGAAAAGGTTGAAAAATGTGAGAAGCTTTCGTTGCTTCTGAACTCAGCCCCTGGACACAGTTTGCCAGTGCCTGGACTATATATTAGGATGACTTTATTATGCCATTTATTAGCATGACTACTATTCTAGGATATCCTTTCCCAGGCAAGTAGCTTAATTGCTCATTGCAGGAACTTTCCCAAAAACGCCAATTGTTCAATGGAAAGCATCAGCAGAAAATTTTCACCTTGAGTTCCTATTAATTCCTTGCCTCAAAATTTTTTCCTTGCTTTTTTTCACCTGTCTTAAGCCATTATTATTATGATTCTTACCCAATCTGAATTAAGCACATATCTTTTCCCCCACTCTCCAATTTCCATTGGAAGTCCCCCCATCTAAGCCAAACTTTCAATTCTTAATAATTTCTAATCTTGTCTTTTCCAATTTAAGACATTACCAAAGCTCTGTGGATGCAGTGTTCTCTCTCAATTGTGGAAAAATCAGCTTTGCTTATAAATATGTTATTTTGATGAAGGTGATTTGGGTGATATTTGGGGATCTAGCATTTGACAGTCAACAGAATGATTTTGATTTTGTTATGGTGTCTTTCATAGTTCCCCTTTCATTATAGTTATATAAGTGTATGCCTGCCTCTCTACTGGAAAGTAAAATTCAGGCTATCAGGAATTATATATTAATTATATTAAGTATTTTGCACATAGTAGGCATTAATTAGGTATTTGTTGCACTATAGCAATATAGGTAGTGATCTTTATTGAACCACTTTTATTCAATTATTTTTGTTGCTCACATAGGGTTTGCTGTATGAAAGCATCTTTCACTTCTATTCATGTGTGAGACAAAGTGAAAAGGAACGATGTTTCAGGAACATCTTTAAGCCTTCTTAAAATGTACCCAGGAATAATCAATGTCATTTCTCCACAGGATATTTTCTGTGAAAATAGCAATATTTTGTGCCTGGGTTTCTTTGTGTCTTCAACTATTCCCATGACTGCGGATCAGGGCATCCCCACAGTGTAGATCCAATCAAGAAAACACCATTTTCTTCAATTTGACAAAATGGAAAGCAAGAAAAGAAACAAAAAAAGTGTCTCACTAAAAAATAACCAGTCTCGTTGTATGCTGATAGGGTCGAGGGTAGGTGGGGCTGTTCCATTACTGAGATTAATGCCTAATTACCCACGTGTGTGATTTTTACTGCACTCAGATTGCTGGGGAAACAATACGTATTTCCTCAGTAAAATATATGAGTTGGTTTTCTTTTTAAGTCAGAAAACTTGTCAGAAACCAGCATTTGAACTGTTGATCTCTTGGGGAACATTTTGTTGGTATGCTGTTATATTGTCAGACTGCCAATATTCTTTTACCTTTTTTCCTTAAGTTGTAAGCAGGTAACCATGCTATGTAAGCTACAGACTAGAAACATAAAACTAAATACACATCATCAGAAAAACATCTGGAAGGTAATAGGACCAAAGAGAGAGTTTATACATATTGAATCAATATGAATACTTGTTAGGATATGCTAGACATAAATAGTATGTCATTCACATCAGTAAAAGTAATTAGTCTTTCTTTATCCAAAGCACCTCTTCTGGGACTACCTAAAGGAAAAGTGTTACTGGAAAGAAAGGGAGAGTGTGTTTCAGAGACCCTTCCTTCTTTAGATTGAATAGCTCTCCTCTGCTATCAGATCATGTTTTAGAGAAGGGTATGGCTATGTGTTTCATCTCACTAGAATATATTTACCACCTTATCCTTCAGCTCTCAAGATACACAGTTGTTGGTTTCTTCTATGGCATTCTTGTGAAGAGTAAAACAAACAAAGCACACACACATACACACACACACACACAGTTTTTGATTCCATGAAAAGTAGAGGTGACAGATTACACTTCTGATGAATAGGCTCATCTGTTGCAATTTCTCCAGGCTCAGAGTCAAGAGATACGCCAATTCATTGCTAGATTATTTGCCCTGATCTTGGCCTTGCTTGACCTGGCCTATCTAGGTAAGGGAGAAGGAGGGTTTGGCAGAAACAGGATGCATCAGACTCAGATTATGGTCAAGATGGGGTCTTTTATGGCCTGTTCAGCCACTGTCATATAGGCTTTGTTCTGCTGATCTTAAGATCCAAGTGAAACAAATTAGGCTATTAAAATAAAAGCTGGGTTTCCACAGTAATTGTCTTTAATAATAATACCTAACAGGACTTAAAGGGTGAGAGCACTGTCCCTGTTGAGCTTTTGTTATATCAATCCTTTCTATATTTCACACCTACTGTCCCTGTTGAGCTATTGTATCAATCCTTGCTATATTTCACACCTACTTTTTCCAGAACATCATCTGACTTATCAATTCTCACCCTAGTAATGTTTGAAAGAAACCCAGTCGTATAAACAGCCGTCTTATATGGTTCATTTGATAATTTCAAATATACAGGTTTGTTGTAAAAACATATTTATAGACATCCTCTATATTTTGAAGAAAAATTCTGATGGAAATTTATTTTTTGTCTACACTATTTTTGGAAAGATTATGTTTACACAACATGACAAAGGGAATATTTTACCTTACTGAGACATTTTTGAAGCAGTTTATACATCTGAAACAATGACTTGGTAGCAGACCAATGAATATTTGCCAAAATGTTAAAATACTGTGGAGAGAAAAGTCAAATCTTCATTGACGAATGAATGTATAAGTTGTGACATTAATTTATAATGGACCACTAGCAATAAAAAGGACAGAATGATTGACACATGCAGCAACATGAGTGAAATTTAAAACAACTAAGCTGAGAAAAAGTCCGATCCACCCCCATCAAAAAAGAGTGCATACTATATGATTCCATCTTATAATGGTCTAGAAAAAACAAACAAATATACACCTACAGAAAGCATATTAGTGGATAACTGGGAGCAGGAAGTGGGGTTGGCAGAAGGGAGGGATTCAAAAGGGCACAAGACAACTTTGGCGAGTAGTGGATGTGGATATGGTTATTATTTTAACTATCATGATATTTTCAGAGGTTTATATATATATATATATATAGGTCAAAACTTATCAAATTGTACCTTTAAATACATGCTGACCATTAATTTTATGTCAGTCATCCACAAATAAATCTGTAGAAACATAACATCTGAATATCATCAACAAATCTCTCAGTTCCTTTTCTGTTGCTTATAATGGATACTTGAAACTGGAGAATTTATAAAGAAAAAAATATTTCTTACAGTTATAGAGGTTGGGAAGTCCACGGTCAAAGAACCACATTTTATGGGCCTTCTTACTGAGAGAACTCTCTGAAGAGTCCCTAGGCTATACAGGGTATCTCATGGTAAGGGGGTTGAGCCTGCTGGCTTAGGTGTCTCTTCCTCTTCTAATAAAACCACCAGTCCCACTCCTGTGATAACTCATTACTCTACTAATCCATTTATCCATAAATGGATTAGGCCATTCATGAGGGCTCTGACCTCATGACCCAAACACCTCTTACATACCCTATGTCTCAATTCTGCTACTTTGGGGATTAAGTTTCAACATGAGTTTTGGAGGGAACAAACATTCAAATGATAGCAAAATCCTATCAGTTAAATTAAGTAGATGAGGGAGGCTCTCTCTCTGGAAGGTGTATAGATTTTTGAACTTTTAATATATACAAAAGTAGAAGAATCCTGTGGGTGGAGTATTGACAAAATGTTTGTGAGTATGCTATGAAGGCCTTTTTCTTAGCAGTAATAGTACAACAATGCAAATAATCACATAGGTAAAAAGTAACTTGCATTTAAGAGATATAAAATGGTCCAAAATATGATATTTGCAATACTAATAGATGATTTTATTCAATAAATTAAAAAATACTTATTTATATTATTCCACAATACATAGACAAAGAAGGAAAAAGGGAAAGCTAAAAAGAAAAAAGGAAAGGAATGGAAAAATATTTTTTGCCTTAACTTTTAAAATTTCATTTCAACTTTCATTTTAGATCTAGAGAACACATGCAATTTTGTTACATGGGAATACTGTGTTGTGCTGAGGTCTGGAGTATGGATCCCTTCACCCAGGTAGTAAGCATAGTATTCTATAGGTAATTTTTTTTAACCCACCCACCCTCCTTTCTCCACCATCTAGTAGTCCACAGTGTATACTGTCCCCATATTTATGTCTACGTGTGCTCAATGTTTAGCTCCCACTTATAAGTGGGAATATGCAGTATTAGATTTTCTATTTGTGAGTTAATTTGCTTAGGATTATGACCTCTGTCTTCATCCTTGTTGCTGCAGAGGACATTATTTAATTCTTTTTTATGGCTGCATAGTATCCCATAGTGTATATTTACCGAATATTCTTTATCCAATCTAAGCGAACTTAAATCAACAAGCAAATAAAACAAATAACCTCATTAAAAATGAGCAAAGGACATAAACAGATGCTTCTCAAAAGAAGACATACAGATGACCAAAAAACATATGAAAAATGCTCAGCATCACTAATCATCAGAGAAATTCAAACCAAAACCACAATGAGATACCATCTCGCACTAGTCAGAATGGCTATTTTTTTTTTAGCTTATTTATTTATTTTTTTTGAGATGGAGTCTGGCTCTGTTGCCCAGGCTGTAGTGCAGTTGCAGGATCTCCACTCACTGCAACCTCCACCTCCCTGGTTCAAGCAATTCCCCTGCCTCAGCCTCCCGAGTAGCTGGGATTACAGGCTCATGCCACCACGTCCGGCTAATTTTTTTGTATTTTTAGTAGAGATGGGGTTTCACCGTGTTGGCCAGACTGGTCTGGAGCTCCTGATCTCAGGCAATCCACCCACCTTGGCCTCCCAAAGTGCTGGGATTACAGGCGTGAGCCACCGCGCCAGGCCCAGAATGGCTGTTATTAAAAAGGCAAAAAAGAACAGGTGCTGGTGAGGCTTCAGAGAAAAGGGAATGCTTATACAATGTTGATGGGAATGTAAATTAGTCCAACCACTGTGAAAAGCAGTCTCAGAGATTTCTTGAATAACTTAGAACAGAGCTACCATTCAACCAAGCAATCTCTTTACCGGGTATTTACCCAAAATAAAATAAATCATTCTACCAAGAAGACACATGCAGTTGTATGTTCATCACGGTGCTATTCACAATGGCAAAGACATGAAATCAACCTAGGTGCCCATTAATGGCAAAAATATTTTTTTTTTTTTTTTTGAGACGGAGTCTCGCTCTGTCACCCAGGCTGGAGTGCAGTGTTGCGATCTCAGCTCACTGCCAGCTCCACCTCCTGGGTTGGTCCCAGGATGGTCTTGATCTCCTGACCTCGTGATCTGCCCGCCTCGGCCTCCGAAAGTGCTGGGACTACAGGCGTGAGCCACCGCACGCGGCCCAGGCAAAAAGATATTTTGAACATTGGATACAATTCATTCATCCTAAGAATAGTAATAGGTAGATATATAAGATAAATAAACACAGAGCAAATAAAGGCTTTCATGGAATATTCCCACTTTGTAAACTCTAAGAAAATTGTCCTTAAAAGACTTTCAGGGCCACTCCTTTCCTAAAGTGTCATTACATGCAATCATGTAATAATCAGGGGATGGTTAGCTCATGGGCTGTCATCTCCTCAGGTCCGTTACTTTGAGGTAAAAGGAATGAAAAAGGATTTAAAATATTACTTAGTAACCTACACGGATTGAATTCAGGCTGTCAGTTAAGTGGATCATGTTTGAAAACACATTTTGATTTTAAAATAAAACGAGTTGAGAATGGGCAATGAACTAAATGAAGCAAGATAAATCAATTCCTAACTCAGCAACTTCAGGCATCAGCATGGGAAGTGTTTTTAGGCTGAAGTTTTCTTGGTCTCTTATAAATCACACCAGACAGGCCTATGGGTGAGGTAAACTGTATTATGAGAATATCTAAAAACACTACTTCAATGCAATACTAATTTCAAAACAAAATGAACCCCTCCACTAGATATATAATTAATGAGGAATGTTTAGGAATTGCTCAACAATTTGTTTACCATCTCATTTTTTTCCCACCAAGGATATTTAAGAAGAAATAAGGTGGGAATCTGATTAACTTAAAAATAAATTTTATTGTGTGTATTTTAAGATCTACAACATGATGTTATCAGATACATGTATTTAGTTAACATGGTTACTATTGTGGAACAAATTAACATATCCATCACCTCTCGCAGTTATCCATTTTTTTCCCCCGTGGTAAAAGCAGGTATTATCTTTTGTTGCTGTCATCTGCAGTGCTTTTCAGGAACCAAGAATTAGGTTAAAATACACCTAGTGTTTGTAATTAATCTCTAGTGACTACAGACCTATAAAAAGTTGTTCTGCTTATTTTTCATCTTCAGTAAATTGCTAAGGGATCCTGCAGGTTGGTGCTTTATGAGGGAATTTTGGCTAACCAAGCCATATAAATATATTTTCCATTACATTCTTCTCAATTTCCAATCGCTTTAAGATTATTATAACTTAGTTTTAAAAGTCAACCTGTGAAGATCGATTAGGTAAAACTCAAATTAGTCACTTTGGAGGTTTCTGGTAGAAACACAAATGATGTTTGGTGATATCTTTAGTACATACCAGTTCCTACTGCACCATGCCATGGGAATGATATTCAAGAGTGGTGACATGACTGAGGTAGTAAATCCTTTATCATCATGACTGAGAGGATGCAGAAATCTGTGCGGAAGAAAAGAGATTGTGAGCTTTTTGAAGCAGTGACAATATATGATATGAATCTCCATATTCATAATTTGCATATAGAAGCTGCTCAATGAATATTTAAGTTAAAAAAAAAATACAGTCCTTCATGGTAAGGAATTTCATCCCAGTCTCTGCCAACAAGAAGAACTCTTCTGTAATGGGCCATGGGGCAGGCCAGGCCCTCCTTGGCTCTGTGGCTCTGGACTGGGCAGCAGCAACTCTCATCCCTGTGTGGAGCCATCATATCCCCTGTGAACTGCATGTACACATCCAGATGGCCAGTTCCTGCCTTAACTGATGACATTACCTTGTGAAATTCCTTTTCCTGACTCATCCTGGCTCAAAACCTCCCCGACTGAGTACCTTGTGACCCCCAACCCTGCCCGCCTGAGAACATCCCCCTTTAACTGTAATTTTCCTTTACTTACCCAAACCCTATAAAACAGCTCCATCCCTATCTCCCTTCGCTGACTCTCTTTTCGGACTCAGCCCGCCTGCACCCAGGTGATTAAAAAGCTTTATTGCTCACACAAAGCCTGTTTGGTGGTCTCTTCACACGGACGCAAGTGAAATTTGGTGCCTCCCTGCCAATTGTGTCTGACCCCTTCTCTCTGTATCTCTACCCCTTCTCTACTTTTCTGGAGGGCAAGAATCCCCTGACCCCTTCTCTTCGTGTCTCTACCCCTTCTGCACTTTTCTGGAGGGCAAGAACCCCCCAACCCCTTCTCTCCGTGTCTCTACTCTCTTTTCTCTGGGCTTGCCTCCTTCACTATGGGCAAGCTTCTGCCCTCCATTCCCCCTTCTTCTCCCTTAGCCTGTGTTCTTAAAAACCTAAAACCTCTTCAATTCACACCTGACCTAAAACCTAAATGCCTTATTTTCTTCCGCAATGCCGCTTGACCCCAATACAAATTTGACAGTGGTTCCAAATAGCCAGAAAATGGCACTTTCAATTTCTACATCCTACAATATCTAAATAATTCTTATCGTAAAATAGGCAAACAGTCTGAGGTGCCTGATGTCCAGGCATTCTTTGACACCTCGGTCCCTCCCTAGTCTCTGTCCCCAATGCGATTTGTCCCAAATCCTCCTTCTTTCCCTCTCGCCTGTCCCCTCAGTCCCAACCCCAAGTGTTGCTGAGTCTTTCTAATCTTCCTTTTCTACAGACCCATCTGACCTCTCCCCTCATCACCAGGTCAAGCTAGGTCCCAACTCTTCCTCAGCCTCCGCTCCTCCACCCTATAATCCTTTTATCACCTCCCCTCCTCACACCCGGTCCGGCTTACAGTTTTCTTCCTGCACCTGCCCAGCAATGTCCTCTTAAAAAGTGGCTGCAGCCAAAGGCATAGTCAAGGTTGATGCTCCTTTTTCTTTATCCAACCTCTCCCAAATCAGTTAGCGTTTAGACTCTTTCATCAAATATGAAAAACCCAGCCCAGTTCACGGCCCCTTTGGCAGCAACCCTGAGACGCTTTACAGCCCTAGACCCTGAAAGGTCAAAAGGCCGTCTTATTCTCAATATACATTTTATTTTATTACCCAATCTGCACCCAACATTAAATAAAGCTAGAAAAATTAAATTCCAGCCCTCAAACCCCACAACAGGACTTAACTAACCTCACCTTCAAGGTGTACAATAACAGAATAGAGGCAGCCAAGTAGCAACATATTTCTGAGTTGCAATTCCTTACCTCCACTGTGAGAGAAACCTCAACCACATCTCCAGCACACAAGGACTTCTTCCAAACACCTAAACCACAGTGGCCAGGCGTTCCTCCAGGCCTGCCTCCCCCAAGAGCTTGCTACAAGTGCCAGAAATCTGACCACCGGGCCAAGGAATGCCGGCAGCCCAGGATTCCTCCTAAGCCGTGTCCCATCTGTGCGGGACCCCACTGGAAATTGGACTATCAAACTCACCCGGCAGCCACTCCCAGAGCCCCTGGAACTCTGGCCCAAGGCTCTCTGGCTCTTTCCCAGATCTTCTTCGCTTAGTGGCTGAAGACTGACGCTGCCTGATCGCCTCAGAATCTTCTTAGACCATCACAGATGCTTTAAGTAACTCTCACAGTAGAAGGTAAGTCCGTCCCCTTCTTAATCAATACTGAGGCTACCCACTCCACATTACCTTCTTTTCAAGGGCTTGTTTCCTTTGCCTCCATAACTGTTGTCGGTATTGACGGCCAGGCTTCTAAACCTCTTAAAACTCCCCAACTGTGGTGCCAACTTGCACAGCATTCTTTTATGCACTCCTTTTTAGTTATCCCCACCTGCCCAGTTCCCTTATTAGGTCAAGACATTTTAACTAATTATCTGCTTCCCTGACTATTCCTAGGCTACAGCCACACCTCGTTGCCGCCTTTTCCCCCAGTTCAAAGCCGCCTTCACATCCTGCCCTTGCATCTCCCCACCTTAACCCAGAAGTATAAGATACCTCTACTCCCTCCTTGGCGACTGATCATGTACCCCTTACCATCCCATTAAAACCTAATCACTCATACCCCACTCAATGTCAATATCCCATCCCGCAGCATGCCTTAAAAAGATTAAAGCCTGTTTGTCTTCTTATAATAAGAAGAAAAATAAAATGACATAGTGGTAAAGTGTTGGGATGGCAAAAATTTTTTGGGGTGGTATGGAGAAATAATGGGCGATGTTTCTCAGGGCTGCTTCAAGAGGGATTAGGGGTGGCACGGGAACCTAGAGTGGGAGGGATTAAGCAGAAGGAAGATTTTGTGGTAAGGGGGGATATTGTGGGGTTGTTAGAAGAAACATTTGTTGTGTAGAATTATTGATGATGGCCTGGATACAGTTTTGTATGAATCGAAAAGCTAAACGGAGTAAGAGAAGGAGAAAAACAGGTATTAAAGGACTAAGAATTGGGAGGACCTAGGACATCTAATTAGAGAGTGTCCAAGGGGCTTCAGTGTAATTACTTGCTTGGCTGGCAAGTTTTTAGACTCTATCCTTGAGTTTTTTATGTTGTCACACACCAGGCCAGATTGATTTAGGTAAAAACAACACTCTTCATTTAAGAATACACAGAGTCCTCCATTTCCAGCAGTGAGTAAGTCAAGGCCTCAGCGGTTTTGGAGGACAACTGCAGCTAAAGAGTCAACTTGGGCCTGGAGGACTGAAAAAGTTTGTGATATGTCTGTGATGCTAGGAGAGAAGTCATTAGAGAGGCTACGGAAGGTCGTGAAAGAGGTTGAAATGCCTGCTATTCCAGTACCAAGAGCAATAGTGGAGGCAGAAAGTCTTAAACTGACAAGCAAGGGAATTAGTGGAATAACTTTTTTGTCGTGTTGGTGTCATGAGGGGAAGAAGGAGCTCTTCAGTCCTATTTGCAAATTGAATTTTGGGAGTAAGGAAAACTAGTGTGCATGTGCCTGTCCAATTAGCAGGTATACAGAAGTATGTAGAGGATCCACAGAGGAAGAAGAGACCTTGTGCGAGGCAAAACTGGAGATGCAAAGTAAAAAGATGAGAAGGAGTGCTGCAAAGGAGTGTCCTGTACCTAGACTCCTAGGGATCCAGCTAGGGCGGCAGCCGTCAGAGGTTGTAATGGGGACTGATGAGGTAACTGCGAAGAGGGGGAGATTCAATTTTCATGGTGTGTGAAAAAACGTTGAGTACCTACGAGCAACCTTTCACTGTTATTTTCAGGGCTGGGTATAAGTAAACAAGAAGAGGGCTTTGGAGATGAACAGTAAAGGAACGTCGAGCAGGTGAAAGTTACCTAGGGGGATTGCAGTGGGTCTTTGCCTAGAGATACATAAAGGAGCGGCCACAGGAATAGTAATTTGTGTTGTGAGAGGTCCAAATATGGGGGGAGTAGAGTTGATATAAGGAGAAAGGTTTTTGAAGTAAGTGTGGAATAGGGTGGCAGCTTGCTGATGTGAAATGTCTGGGGAGGTCTTGCTGGACCTGTCTAGAAAGTAAATAAGTTCTTCAGGAGGGTAAAGGTGAGGGCTGTTAAAGGAAGTTCAGAGGTGTAAGGAGACAGGAGATATTGCCCAGTCTGTGTTTAAGGTGGAGACAGCTGTGTAGGCACTGGAAGAAAGGGAAATGCAAAGCCAGCAGTTGTTCGCTAAGGAGAGATTAGAAATGGCTAGGAGAGAATGAGTAAGGTTGATAGTGTGGTGGAGATGGCTGGGGAGAAGTAGAGGGTGGCTAAAGAATGGGAATGAGAATAAGAGTGACTCTAAAAGTAAAGAATAGAACTTCATCAGGATGAAATTATTGGAGGGTCCCCTGCCAGCAAAGATCATCTATCCACTCTAAGAGGGAATTAAGAGTTGCCAGTCCTGGGCATGGGCAAATCCTCAAGCTTAATGTGTAGGAAAGGGAGCAGGTCCGAATAATCCCTGAGGAGTAGTAGAATAGCAGATGGAACACTGAGAAGTTATTTCCTTGAGGATAGATTTCCATGATGGAAAGGAAATGAGAGGTTCTGAGAGGTGGGCTGGTGGCTTGTACTATAGCATAGCCTGCCTTTGCTGGTGTGTGGCGATTAGGCCTGGTGGAACTGCGATCAATAAACCAAGCGTGTTCAGGGTGAGGAACAGGAAAGAAGGAAATATGGGGAAATGGGGTGAATGTCAGGTGGATCAGAGAGATACCGTCATGGGAGTCAGGTGTGGTACCCGGAATATTGTGGGAGGCTGGATTGAAGTCCGGGCCAGGAACAATGGTAATTGTGGGAGACTCAACAAAGAGTGAGTACAGCTGAAGGAGCCGGGGAGCAGAAAGTATATGTGTCAGGTGTGAAGAAGAAAATAGATTTTGGAAGTTAGGAGAACTGTAGAGAGTGAGTTGAGCATAGTTCGTGATTTTTTGGGCCTCTAAAAGTATTAAAGCAGCGGCAGCCACTCTATGCAGACATGAGGGCTAGGCTAAAACAGTAAGGTCCAGTTGTTTGGACAGAAGGGCTACAGGGTGCGGTCCCAGCTCTTGTGTAACAATTCTGACCGCACTAACCATGCCTAGGAAGGAAAGGAGTTGTTTTGTAGAAGGGATTGGATTTTGGGAGATTAGTCCGACATGATCAGCAGGGAGAGCACGTGTTTTTATGAGAATTATGCCAAGATAGATAACAGATGAAGAGGAAATTTGGGCTTGACTGAAGTAATAGGAGCTGTCTGTGAAGACTTGCAGCTAATTTGCTGAGCCTGATGGGTGTCAGGGACAGTCCAAGTGAAAGCAAAGAGAGGCTGGGATGAAGGGTGCAAAGGAATAGTAAAGAAAGCATGTTTGAGATCCAGAACAGAATAATGGGTTGTGGAGGGAGGTATTGAGGCTAGGAGAGTATATGGGTTTGGCACCATGGGGTGGGTAGGCAAAACAATTTGGTTGATAAGGCGCAGATCCTGAACTAACCTGTAAGCCTT
The DNA here is from genome assembly GCF_000001405.40 of Homo sapiens. Lineage (NCBI taxonomy): Eukaryota > Metazoa > Chordata > Mammalia > Primates > Hominidae > Homo > Homo sapiens. The sequence goes on from NC_000002.12 coordinate 34,699,710, forward strand.
GTCTGGTTTTAGGACAGGTAAAATGGGGGAATTGTAAGGGGAGTTTATAGGCTTTAAAAGGCCATGCTGTAGCAGGCGAGTGATAACAGGCTTTAATCCTTTTAAGGCATGCTGTGGGATGGGATATTGGCATTGAGCGGGATAAGAGTGATTAGGTTTTAATGGGATGGTAAGGGGTGCATGATCGGTCACCAAGGAGGGAGTAGAGGTGTCTTATACTTGTGGGTTAAGGTGGGGAGATACAAGGTGAGGATGTGAAGGAGGCTTTGAACTGGGGGAAAAGGTGGCAACGAGGTGTGGTTGTGGCTCAGGAATAGTCAGGGAAGCAGATAACTTAGTTAAAGTGTCTTGGCCTAATAAGGGAACTGGGCAGGTGGGGATAACTAAAAAGGAGTGCTTAAAAGAGTATTGGCTAAGTTGGCACCAGAGTTGGGGAGTTTTAAGAGGTTTAGAAGCCTGGCCATCAATACCCACAACAGTTATGAAGGCAAGGGAAACAGGCCCTTGAAAAGAATGTAATGTGGAGTGGTTAGCCTCCATAGAGATTAAGAAGGGGATGGACTTACCCACCACTGTGAGAGTTACCCGAAGCTCAGCATCCAAGATGGTTTAGGGGGCTTCCAAGGTGATCGGGCAGTGTCAGTCTTCAGACTCTAAACTGAGAAGATCTGGGAAGGAGTCAGTTAGAGAGTCTTGGGCCAGATTTCCAGGGGCTCTGTCAGTGGCTGCCAGGTGAGTTGAACAGTCTGATTTTCCATGGGGTCCCACACACCCCCAGAAAAGTGGTACTTGCTGCTAAGGTTGAAGGACCAAGGCAGGCATCCCCATGTGGTCAGACACCTCTGAAACGTGGGTGAGTAATCAGGCAGGCGTCCCCGCGTGATTAAACACCAAGGGAAGAATGTCTTCCTGAGTCTGTGACTGGCATCAGAGTTTTGGGTCCACGGATGAAACGCATCTCCTTCATCTCTACCAGAAAAGGAAAGGAACTGAAATTAAGAGAAAGGAGAGATTGAAGTGTGGCGCCAAGATTGAAAGGAGAAAGAGGTTGAGGGATAGCAAGAGAGGTTGGAGAAGAGAGTAAAAAGAGGCTGCTTACCGGATTTAAAATTGGTGAGATGTTCCTTGGGCTGTTTGGTCTGAGGACCAGAGGTCGTACGTGGATCTTTCTCATGGAACAAAGAGCAGGAGGACAGGGGATTGATCTCCTAAGGGAGGTTCCCCGATCCGAGTCACGGCACCAAATTTCACTCGTGGCCATGTGAAGAGACCACCAAACAGGCTTTCTGTGATCAACAAGGCTGTTAATTTCACCTGGGTGCAGGCAGGATGAGTCCAAAAAGAGAGTCAGTGAAGGGAGATAGGGGTGGGGCCGTTTTTATAAGATTTGGGTAGGTAAAGGAAAATTATAGTGAAAGGAGGGTTGTTCTCTGCCAGGCAGGAGTGGGGGTCACAAGGTGCTCAGTAGGGGAGCTTCTGAGCCACGATGAGCCAGGAGAAGGAATTTCACAAGATAATGTCATCGCTTAAGGCAGGAACAGTCCATTTTCACTTCTTTTGTGGTGGAATGTCATCATTTAAGGCAGGAACCGACCATCTGGATGTGTACGTGCAGGTCACAGGGGATATGATGGCTTAGCTTGGGCTCAGAGGCCTGACACTGTTATCACTCTCCTGCTACAGCATGGTCTTTTAAAGCATATAAACTCTCCTTACAATTCCCCCTTTTTACCTGTCCTAAAGCCAGACAAGCCTTACAGGTTAGTTCAGGATCTGCGCCTTATCAACCGAATTGTTTTGCCTATCCACCCCATGGTGGTGCCAAACCCATGTACTCTCCTATCCTCAATACCTCCCTCCACAACCCATTATTCTGCTCTAGATCTCAAACATGCTTTCTTTACTATTCCTTTGCACCCTTCATCCCAGCCTCTCTTCACTTTCACTTGGACTGACCCTGACACCCATCAGGCTCAGCAAATTACCTGGGCTGTACTGCCGCAAGGCTTCACAGACAGCTCCCATTACTTCAGTCAAGCCCAAATTTCATCCTCATCTGTTACCTATCTCGGCATAATTCTCATAAAAACACACGTGCTCTCCCTGCTGATTGTGTCCCGCTAATCTCCCAAACCTCAATCCCTTCTACAAAACAGCAACTCCTTTCCTTCCTAGGCATGGTTAATGCAGTCAGAATTCTTACACAAGAGCCAGGACCACGCCCTGTAGCCTTTCTGTCCAAACAACTTGACCTTACTATTTTAGCCTAGCCCTCATGTCTGCATGCAGCGGCTGCCACTGCTTTAATACTTTTAGAAGCCCCAAAAATCACAAACTATGCTCAACTTACTCTCTACAGTTCTCCTAACTTCCAAAATCTATTTTCTTCCTCACACCTGACGCATATACTTTCTGCTCCCCGGCTCCTTCAGCTGTACTCACTCTTTGTTGAGTCTCCCACAATTACCATTGTTCCTGGCCCAGACTTCAATCCGGCCTCCCACATTATTCCTGATACCACACCTGAACCTCATGACTGTATCTCTCTGATCCACCTGACATTCACCCCATTTCCCCATATTTCCTTCTTTCCTGTTCCTCACCCTGATCACACTTGGTTTACTGATGGCAGTTCCACCAGGCCTAATCACCACACACTAGCAAAGGCAGGCTATGCTATAGTACAAGCCACTAGCCTGCCTCTTAGAACCTCTCATTTCCTTTCCATCGTGGAAATCTATCCTCAAAGAAATCACTTCTCAATGTTCCATCTGCTATTCTACTACCCCTCAAGGATTGCTCAGGCCCCCTCCCTTTCCTACACATCAAGCTCGAGGATTTGCCCCCGCCCAGGACTGGCAAACTGTGAAATTCCTTTTCCTGGCTCATCCTGGCTCAAAAGCTCCCCCACTGAGAACCTTGTGACCCCACCCCTCCCCACCAGAGAACATCCCCCTTTGACTGTAATTTTCCTTTACCTACCCAAATCCTATAAATCGGCCCCACCCCTATCTCCCTTCGCTGACTCACTTTTCAGACTCAGCTCGCCTGCACCCAGGTGATTAAAAAGCTTTATTGCTCACACAAAGCCTGTTTGGTGGTCTCTTCTCACCAACGCGAGTGAAATACTGGAATAGTGAATGAAACATGTTAGTGAGATGGTCTGAGGAAACCAGAATAATATACTTACTTGAGGGAATCTTTTCATTTTTTTCTTTAAAAAATACGATTAAAAAATGATGTGGAACAACAAAAGGCCGTTTTTGTCCACACCTTTCACTGATGTGATTTCCAAAGCTCCCCCGTCTCCCAAAGGCCTCCACTGATCTGATCATGGTCCTCCATACCACATCACTTTTTAGAAGCCTCAATTACAGTGTAGATCTCATGTGGAATGGTTAGGGTATAAGCCTAATATAATCTATATTTTAAATGTAGGTAAATAACGAGGCTTTCAGGGAAAGGGACATTACAAGGCAACTGACGGGTATGCAGGGGGCAGAGTGAGGAAGGGATATCTCAGAAATAGGCATAGATATTAAAGGAATCACAAGGGGACTGGGAGGAACCAGGAGTGTCAAGAGCCTGGGAGCCTGGTGAAAGAGAAAGGGAACATTGAAGGGGAAAGGGAGAAATCCCTGATAATAAAACATTTTGTTTACATACTCACTTTGCTTAGAGAAATGTACGTTCCTAAGGTAGATTTTAGATTTTTCAAAAGCTATTCTCTCTCTGAAGCTGAACTGTCTGAGGTATTATTTCAAATCTTGGCATTAGTCCCAATCACCGTGGATATACAGATACTATGTGTTCTGGCTCTAGATAATGAAGTCAAGTTTGTCTCTTCTGTAAACATGTATCCTGAATTTTCAAATATCTTTCAAAAGACTGGGCAGCAACAAAGCCTGTAATGAATACATAAATGTATGCATACATAATTAATTTCTGAACATGCAAACAATAAATAAAGTTCCAAAATATTTTGGAACACAGTTGTACTTTGCAACTGGTTAGCAGAAATTATTTTAGTTTCAAAGAAGTCTTAATGTTTTATTTCAGAAATGAAAGTGAGAAGCTTCCCAGTCAACGCTATCCCTTTTAAACCTGAAGTGTTAGAAGGCAAGCAGAAATTTGTCTAAGTTCACAGATGTCTCCAGTCATCTACAGTAGATGTCACTAAGCATTTTCTAATATTTGCGTAGATGCTACTCATTCACTATTTGCTGAATTTTAGAAGGAAAAATTGACCTGTAACCAAAAATCAAGTAAAATAATCTGCATTGACACTAGAAGAAAATAATCGCTTTTCTTAAAATATAAAGAATTATTATCGTGAGGCTTTGTTTACTTTGTTAAAATTTATTTAACATATTTCTTATGCATGTTAATATTTTGAAAGATGTCAATTAATTTTTACATGTTTCACAACATTACTGTTAAACTTTCAGCTCATTTAAATATGCCAAAAGTTATGATATTAGAACATAACAAATTTTGTTTGCTCTAAAGGAAAAGGGCTTATATTTACCTAAAACTTCCCATTTAGTATTTATATAAAAACTTCTTAGCATAGTATTTTCCTGTGGTGTTTCCTCAATAAAGTTTTGTTAGATAAATAAGGTTAAGTCACATGTCACATAAAATATTATTTTCAGAGGCTAGAAGCACTGTGTATTGAAGGTATAGTTTTTATGGCTTTTAAATAAAATGAGGAACTTCTGTAAGTACCTGTTTTGAAAATCGTTTCATTTCAAAACGAAAACCTAAAAGTTATTTGAAATTGTATTCCAAACAAACCAATGGCAGAGGCAATGGCACCAAGAGGTAGCTCTTTCATAAAGTAATAACACTATAATTCTTCAATCTCTATTAAATCTTTTTTTTTTGAGACAGAGTCTGGCTCTGTCGCCCAGGCTGGAGTGCAGTGGTGTAATCTTGGCTCACTGCAAGCTCCGCCTCCCAGGCTCAGGCCATTCTCCTGCCTCAGCCTCCCGAGTAGCTGGGACTACAGGCGCCTGCAACCACGCCCGGCTAATTTTTTGTATTTTTAGTAGAGACGGAGTTTTTTAGTAGAGACGGGGTTTCACTGTGTTAGCCAGGACGGTCTCGATTTCCTGACCTCGTGATCCGCCCGCCTCGGCCTCCCAAAGTGCTGGGATTACAGGCGTGAGCCACCGCGCCTGGCCTATTAAATCCTCTTTAAGGTGGAATATGTGAGTATGTGTGTATAGTATGTCTGTTAAGTAAGGAATGAGGTGTGGCTAAGTCCAGCGTTGGTAAGTAACACAGAATATATAATAGATATTCTAATTTTAATATATAATATGGAATAACAACCAAGATAAAGACAACATTTGAGAAAAATAATTTTAAGCAATTATCCTTACCACTAAATTAAAGTCTGAATGTTTATTCAAGCAAATGTTTTGAAGATTGCCTAAATGTCTGCATTTCAGGAACCAACATTTTTCTTCTCTTCTTTAAATTTATCTTTGAATTAAACCGTATTTATTATTATTGAAGAATAAAACAGATGAATGATTGAATTAGTGAATATTATTATAAAATATGAGAAAATCAAGGCCTTCTTTCAGAATTCTCATCTCTTGAGAAGTTCATAAAACAGCAGCAGTGGTTCTGTTAATGAAAATAAAATTGCTGTGAATTAAAACACACCTTGAAAACCTCCAGCTTTTAGTTGAGATAGAATTACCCATGACAAAGTAAAAAATTTGGTTCACAGATTCTAGCATTTAGCATCAGTGATAAAAAGTAATGAATGTAGTCCAAGTACTGAAGTCTCCCCCTGGAAATTTCTCCTTCCCCTTTTCCTTCCTCCTCCTTCTCTTCCTCCTTTTTCTCCTCCTTCTCTTCCTCCTTTCTCCTCCTTTTCCTCATCCTCCTTCCCGTTTCTTTTATTGCCATTAAGATAAAAAATGATTAACAGAGTCTCTAGCAGAGTCAATTTTACGATAATCAGTAACATATTAACAGAAGAATTTTTTTAATCTCAAAAGCATTTACAAATATTTACCAATATCCTGCTGTGAGGTCACCTTGTTGCTGAACTGAAACCACCTCTAGTGAAACACAAGAGCGATTTAGTAGAAACTCAAGCTTTTTTGGTGTTTAGTTCTGCAGCTGAAAGACAGAACCGTAGATTTTCAATTTTGCTCTGAAAGAGTTAAAGCAGAATTTTTCTTAGTTCCAAATGTAGTTTGTATTGTATTTGAAGCTCCTTTAAGGCTTGTGGCTATTCAGAAATTTCTCTGTGCATTAATTCAAATGTTTACACAGTTGGTAGTAAGGCTCATTCTCCTGTTATAGTGGTTTACAGCAATTTTACCTTCACTGTTGCCTGGACACTTGGCAGGGTGGCTTCATGGGTTTTAACCTATGCAGTTACACAGGGCCCCATGCCCAGAAAGGCCTCGTGCTTAGTTTAATGCTGTAATGTCACCATCTTGAAATTTTTATATTTTTAAACGAAAGACTCCATGCCTTTATTTTGCACTGGGTCCTACAAATGATGCAATGAGTAGAGGCACCTTTTAAAAAGTACAGTAAGACTTCAAGGGTCTGGATGATCCCCAGAGACACAAGTACAAAATCTCTAGTGTTTGAGTACATGTGCCCATTTTGACAAGACAAACAGGGATTATATATACAGCCAGGCTTCTTCAGAGTGGTGTGTCACAATTCACTGAATGAAAGGTAGAGTGATTAAAGTGATCTTTAATAGAAATGTGTAATTTCCTATGATACCAAAAGTTAAGTATCTTTAGAGTCTGTGAGCTAAATGATATTACGTTCTGCTGGGAGAGTGCAATGATCTTATAGGCAAATAAAGGGAAAGAAGCCAGTATTACATGTAGCCACTATATCCTGAACATATTCCTGTCCAAACAATGACCCACCATACACTGAGGACATTGAAGGCAGAATTACTATGAAGATAATACTGATAGTACTACTTATATTTATAAAAAACCATACAGATTTTCTCACAATAATGATACTATTTGAGGTTTTCAATAACTCCATTAGATTCAGAGAAACTAAGTGAGTTATCAAAGCTCATGTAATGAGTAAGTTAGGATAAACTTCAGACAAGTGTCTTTTAAATCAATATTCAGAGCCCTTTTTACCTCTATGTTCCATTTGTTGGAAGTAGTTGAGCCTCTTAGAAGAGGTGTCCCCATAATGTGGTTTTATTGAAGTAGATGAAGTAACCTTTGGTTACCAGTGAGGATCTTAATACTAAAGAATCCTATATCAGGACCATCTTTATTATATGTTTAAATGTTTAAAATTATGTTGAAATCCTAAAACATATTTAAATATGTTTAAATAGTTCAGATATTTAAATCCTAATCCCCAAGATGATGGTATTAGGAGGTATGGTGTTTTGGAGGTGATTAGGTGATTAGGTTCTTGGCAGAGCCCTCATGAATGAAATTAGTGTCCTTATATAAGAGGCTACAATAGACTTCTAGTCCCTTTAGCCATGTGAGAACACAGCAAGAAGGCACCATTTATGAACAAGCAAGTAGGCCCTTAGCAGACAAAGAATCAGCCACCACCTTCATCTTGGACTTCTCATCCTCTAGAAGCATAAGAAAAAAATTTCTATTGTTTATAAGCTACCTTGTTTATGGCATTTTATTATAGCAGCCTAGATGGACTATTTTGTTGGTGGGGAAAGGGAATAGGGTGCCAAAAATGCTGTAGAAGAGAAGGGCAGAAGGGAGAGATGTGGAAAGGAAACCACTGAATTTTAGAATTAAAAGAAAACCCTTTATGTTCTTTCATTTTGTTCATATACACCTCTTTCCCAATCCAACCTGCTGAAAAAGTCCTCTTAATAGCCACTGGAAGGATGAATTTTTACCTTAACATTTACACCTGAGTCCTTCCTGTCAAAATACCACATGCCATTCCATTGTTGAAGAGCTCTAATTGCTTAAAAGGTCTGGCTCAGTTAAGCCAAAATTTGATTCCATGTAAATTTGAATAAAATACAGTCTCTGCTCTCAACTCTAAAGAGGAATACAGCCATAAACGCATAATGCCAATACACATGCAATAAAAACTATAATACAGAAGTCCACACAAACTGTTTAGAAAATAAGAGTTGGCAGAGCACATTCTTGGGATTGCTGGAGAGTTCTACACAGTGCTTGCTTTTTGCCATGGTCTGTGAAGAATGGCAAGTTATTCAGACAGAAAGGAAGCAGCATGGAAGTTTTCTGATTGCTGATCAACCTGATTTTTAAAAATGTTTTAATATTCTATTACATTGCTGCTGCTTCTTTTTGGATGAAATAACTCACTCAAATAATTTTTAGATATTGTGTGTAGCATCCGCATCTGACCAAAAGAAAAGAAAAAAGAATATTCATTCTTTTCTTTGCCCCAGGATATTGTTAGGCTTTGTGTCCCCACCCAAATCTCATCTTGGATTATAATCCCCATAATCCCTATGTGTCAAGGGAGAGACCAGGGAGAGGTAATAGGATCATGGGGGCAGTTTCCCCCATGCTATTCTCGTGATAGTGAGTGAGTTCTCATGACATCTGATGGTTTTATAAGAGGCTTTTCCCACTTTGCTTGGCACTTCTCATTCCTGCCACCTTGTGAAGAATGTGCCTTTCTTCCCCTTTGCCTTCTGCCATGATTGTAAGTTTCCTGAGGCCTCCTCAGCCATGCTTAACTGTGAGTCAGTTAAACCTCTTTCCTTTGTAAATTACCCAGACTTGAGCAGTTCTTCATAGCAGTGTGAAAATGGACTAATACACCCTTTGTATGACTCTTCCTCAATTCTTCACTGTCCTTATTAATGTGGACCACAAAAATTTAAATCCACTTCACAGGTGTGGTCTGCCCATTGCAACAACAAAGAGACTTCATTCCCTGTGGTTAGGGCATTTTCTCAAATATTAGTTTGGGGCCAGTGGCAACATTCTTTTCTTGACTTATGTGAAACCTGTATTTTGACAAATGCTGTATATAACCAATGTTCTACACTAAATTCTTGGACATCAAAGAGAAGGCTTTTATGATCGTTTCTAATTTGGTCTCTTGTTTTGACCTAAATAAATGAATGTTGATTTTGTTGCCTACTAAATTAGCTTTTCCTCCAGCTGCTTCACTTACAAGTTTGAAAAATCTGCTTTAATGCTTTTAAATTTGGGAAAAAAAATACACCCAAATACCCCAGATATCAGTTAAAAACCTTAAACAGAGCTACATGGCATTCCAGCAGCAGCTTACCCAGGTTTCAACAGAACTGAATAAGAAAACTGCTTCAAAGCATCTTGTTTTTTATCTTGTATAGAAATTCGCATGATATCCTGTGTCTTGGTGTTAATACAGTGTATCTACTGCTACCTAAGAGCCTCTTAGCCATTTCATCCAATAGATGAATGAGTCAAGTTTGTCATTATCTACTGTAGTTGAGTTCAACTATATTATAAAAATTTCCATATACTTAAGAAAATCCATTCATGTTCTTTGATTATTTAGAGTTTTGCTAGAATAGTCTCTCCTCCCCTGACTGTAATTTTCTCAAATGACATCTTTTCTCTACTCATTTTGAAAAATCAGAACATTTGCTTAATCTTCCATTTCTGAGCTCATTCTTTCTCCCCCATTTTTAAAATTGTTCAGACTATGATACTACATTTGCAGTCTCTTCAGTATCTTTTTATGTGCTTCTTCCTGACACGCTCACTGGAAATCTTAATTTTATTGTTTGAGGTCTCAAATACATTTCTATAATAAAGATTATTTTTCTGACTCTAGAAGAATGAACTAAAATAGGATTTCAGTTGGAGTATTTTCCCTTTAGGTTGTTGACTTTCTATTTCTTTTTTGTATCATGGACATAATTTTAACAAATATATATGTGTATATATATGTATAGACAGATAGATGATTAGACAGATACAGATATAGATATGGTTTGGCTGTGTCCCCACCCAAATCTCATCTTGAATTATACCTCCCATAATTTCCATGTGTTGTGGGGGGGACCTAGTGGGGGATAATTGAATCATAAGGGCAGTTTCCCCCATACTGTTCTCATGGTAGTGAAAAAGTCTCACAAGATCTGATGGTTATATAAGGGGAAACTCCTTTCACTTGGTCTTCATTCTCTCTTGCTTGTTGCCATGTAAGAGGTGGCTTTTGGCTTCCACCATGATTTTGAGGCCTCTCCAGCCACGTGGAACTGTGAGTCCATCAAACCTCTTTTTCTTTATAAATCACCCAGTCTCAGGTATATCTTATCAGCAATGTGAAATGGACTACAACATATATATATATGTGTGTGTATATATATATGTATGTGTGTACATATATATGTAATGCATATATACATATATACTCTGTTGGCACGTTCTTGAGACTTCAACTCATTATTTGATACTTTTCCTAATTCTCTCTTAATCATGCCATCTTTTAATATTCATTTGTGATTATATATTTCTTTCCATCTTAAAAATGTTTTGTGAATTTGAGATTTTCAGTTATAGTGGGCAGTTTAATAGTTCTGTAGTTGCTAATCACTGATTGCATATTTAGAATTTTTTTGAATCTCTAATTTCTCAAAAGTCATACCCAGAGGGAAGTCCCAGATTTTCTAGGACCTGAAACTTATACAATTGGAGAGAAGGGGTCTTTTTTTTTTTTTTTTTTAAGAAAACCACATAAAACACCTCATTTTTTAAAAAATTTTACAGGACTGTGAATGCAGCCCGTGAAAAAGAGGGTTTTCGGAAGCTTGACATTTATGAGGGTGAGGGTGAGTACACTTCTGGCTATGTCCTTTCAGAGTCTAGCCAAAGAGCTGTAACTGAATTTTGGCTGGTCATTTTGAAAGTGGTTTCAAACAATCTAGCATATATTATCTGCTCAATATGGAGGTCTGAGCTGATTCAAAAGCCACTCCTAACATATAGACATGGGAAAGAAATCAGGGAAAGAATGAGGGAAAGAAACCACCCCAATGGAAAGTCAGTACATGAAACACATGAGAATATTTGAAGACTTGTCCTTGAGACAATAGAATGATCTGAATTACAAGTGAAATGGCTAACTGATTATAAGGGTGAATAGACTCTAAAAGACAGAAACAGCATATTATGGATTAAAAAATAGGAATAATTTTGAAAACAAATAAATATTCTACAAATAAGACAATAAATAATATATAGGGGAATCATTCAATAGAGACCTTAAAAAAGAGACTAATAAACCATAAAAAAGAATAATTGTGCCTGAAGATAGATCTAAACTTTTCTATAGTATAAACATAATTAAAGAGAAGGAAAGAGTGAAAAATGAGGATTAAAGTAAATGACGATATAATGCTAAGTGGCAGCCTATGTGTAGTAGGAGTTTCAGAAGAGATGAATAAATATTGGAAAAGCAAAATTTGAAGGCACAAGAACAGCAATAACAGCAGATATATTTCCTCTATTCCTGTTATTGATGGAAAATCTTCGAAATACTCACCATTAAGTATGTTGTCTGCTGTAGGATTTTGGCAAATAACTTTAAGAATTTTTTTCTATTACTAATTTCCAAAGTTTCCTTTTTTTATTTTTAATGATTGTGAGCAGAATCTATTTGAAGATTTTTCTGTCTCTTTAAAGATGATCATATGTATTTTTCACTCTTAATGAATAATGTAGATAACTTTTTCATTCCTAATACATAAATTATTATACAATGTTGAAGTCAATTTACAAATACAATTTAATCTATCTAAGGATTTGGTACTATGTTTATTAAGTGAAATAATCTATTTGTTTTGAACTGTCCTTGGCTAGTCTGTCATTTTAATTATATAAATCTAAAACAAGTGGGATAACTTCCGCTCCGTTTCTATTCTCTGGAAAAATTTGTGAAAGTCAAAGGTAAACTAGGGAAGTTTGCTAAAACTTGCTTGTAGTAGTATCTGTACATGGTGTCATTGAAGACTAGGAAAAAGGAAAAACTTGTACTACCTATTTAGTTTAATGCCTATTAATCAATTCAGGGTTTCTATTTTTTTCTTGAGATAATTTGATCATATACTTATTTTTAGAAAATTTTAATCACATACACATTTTATATTTTATTGACATTAAAGAGGTCTCATATTTGGTTAAAACTTCAAAATTAGTCACTACTTTCTTTATATTTTGTATCTTTAATGTCTACTATTATATATATGTATGTGTGTATACATATGTGTGTGTGCATATATAGAGAGACAGAGAGAGAAAGAGGGAGATCTGTCTTTGAGCAGTGTTGCTTGAATTTTATCGATTTCATTCATTTCTGAATATAATGAATATTTCATTTTTCCACAATATTTGACTTCAAATAGAAGGATATTATGACCTCAAAATTAGTTTTCAACTTGTTCTAGAAAATCATCATCTGGGTCCTTTATTCGCATAACGCAGTTGGAAATATACTTGCACGATAATATCACTTGTGAATCTCTATTTACTTCTTTTCCCAAGCCCCCCATGATGTTTGCACTCACTCCTCTGGGAAGCCCTCCCTGATAGCCCCTCAGCAAGATCCAGAAGTTCCATCCACTATGCCGTGCCTGTTCTTATTCCATTACAATAGAAGACATGTTCAATTGTTTTGCTTTACTGAATGCAGGTCTCTTTTCTATATTGTAAGTTTCCTGGGAATAAATGCAGTAACTTTTGTTTATGACTTAGAAATCCAAACAATTATCTAGTATTGTGTAGGCACTCAGTAAATCAGTTTGGATTTTTAACATTAATTAACTTTGTTAATTATTCTTGTGCTTCTTGTTAAGAAAATTAGTAGTTAGAATATATTTTGACAGATTAGAAAAGGTTGACTCAGGCCAGGTGCGTTGGCTCACGCCTGTAATCCCAGCACTTTGGAAGGCCGAGGCTGGTGGATCATGAGGTCAGGAGATCCAGACCATCCTGGCTAACATGGTGAAACCCCGTCTCTACTAAAAATACAAAAAATTAACCGGGCATGGTGGTGGGCGCCTGTAGTCCCAGCTACTCGGGAGGCTGAGGCAAGAGAATGGCGTGAACCCGGGAGGCGGAGCTTGCAGTGAGCCGAGACAGTGCCACTGCACTCCAGCCTGGGCCACAGGGCGAGACTCCATCTCAAAAAAAAAACAAAAACAAAAACCAAAAAGAAAGAAAAGGTTGACTCATTCTTCTAAGAAGATAGCACACTTACTTATTTGATAAGTTGGGCCTAATCATTGATTTATAGTTTATCTTGTTCTAGAAATAATTTCAGTGGCTATGTCACACCTGTGTGTGTCTATCTACTTCCACAGCCTTTAGAAGAGACTCCTCAAATACTATTATAGATTTTCTTCTAGGGTGGTGATAGTGTTCCCGCTTTTACCTGTGAATTCATAAATCATACTATATTCTCCAAAGTCTAAAACCGAGCTTCATTGTTTATTGTTTAGACCTGTCATCTCTAAGAATCCATCAAAATAAGTCTCTTGCTCACTGTCTTTCATTGTGTTCTCCTGCTTATACAGTTTGTATAACTTTGATTCATCTCCACTATATTAGTACAATTTCCCCCCTGGTAAGTTTTGATTTAACTAACAAAAAGATCTACAATTGGAAAAGTCTTGCCTTTTAGGCATTTGTTCAAAACCATGGGAATTTGCAATTCCCCCTATGGTCTTGCCACAGATTAAAGTAACAAGACTAATTTCAGTCATTTCTTTAAGATGTTTAATTTAAATCACTTGTTTCAATGAGAATACATTTTATGATTCTGAAAAAAAATTGATTTCATCATGTGATGGCCTAAGGAGAATTTCAGTCCATATTCCTCTTGTTGATTTTGCTGCAGAATTGACAAGCCGACATCAGTCTCCAGAGTGAATCCAAGGAGTGGACCCAAGACATTTGTGTTCTGTGATGTGGTGGCATGTTACCTGTCATCTCCGATGCATAACTCCTAAAGTGCGTCTGGGGCAGTTGTACAGATTGCAGAGGATAATACTCAAGATGTTCTCCAAGGCCAACTAGTCATCAGTTTATTCATGCAAGTATTAATAATACAATTGCTTCTCCAGGTTCTAGCAATTAAAGAAGAAGAAAAAACAAGTGGCCTGAATTTGAACAAAGCAAATATGAGATTTGTGGCTATTGCTTGTAAAAGGGTTGCCTTCACAAATAGCCTTAGAGCAGAGGATTAAGAATCACAGAAAATGTACTTGATTGTGTATACTTTTGCTGTGTGACCTCATCAGTTTGTATATAGACAACCAGAGCTGAGTCCCTTTTCATATGCTGCTCTCTCCATTCAGTACAGTAGATGTTAAACATTGTGTGTAGGTATGCACATGTGTAGGCCGCCATATGTGAGCATGTGTGCAGTTTCATGTATTCAGTGTCTGCTGAAGCAGACTTCGCTAATTACTGTATTACCCTTCTCCTTTTGTTCAAGCCAGGAAACCAGTTTCAGGAACCAGTAAGAAAGACACAAGAAGATATGCCCTTCAGGTCCCTCCATATCTGTAATGCTTGGTTCCTTCATGCCTCTAGAAAATATTTCATGAAAACTGCTGAAAAAAACTTCTTTTCTATGACCAAACTTGAGACAAGCTCCTCTGAGATCCCTTTTTGAGGAGGGCCTGCTTCGAGCTCTGTCCTTGGCCTGTTTAGTCCAGTTTTAGCAAGACTCTTGCTGGATCACTTTAGTGTAAATCCCCTAGCCTCGCTATCTAATAAAATTCCTCATTCCCCACCTTCAATATCTCTTAACATTGGCCTTGCTTCAGCAAGATTCATTTTGAGTAGGTCTAGCAAGTATTCCCCTAGCTTTGATGTTTCCTGCTAGTAATTTTCCATCTACTGACCCTCACCCTCTCCAACATTTCTCCTTGGCTATACACTTCTACTTTTCCTCTTTATATGCAAAGTTAAGCCCAATCTCTCCTCACAGCTAAAAAACTCCACTGTAGTAGCCCCCCATTGAATAGTCTTCCTTACCATTTTTAATGAATGTCACAAATATATGTGTGTGTGTATATATATGTTTTTTTTTATTTTTCCATAAGTTATTGGGGTACAGGCAGTACTTGGTTACATGAGTAAGTTCTTCAGTGGTGATTTGTGAGATTTTGGTGCACCCATCACCCGAGCAGTATACACTGCACCATATTTGTAGTCTTCTATCCTTTGCCTTCCTTCCATTCTTCCCCCCAAGTCCCCAAAGTCCATTGCATCATTCTTATGCCTTTGCATCCTCATAGCTTAGCTCCCACATATCAATGAGAACATACGATATTTGGTTTTCCATTCCTGAGTTACTTCACTTAGAATAATAGTCTCCAATCTCATCCAGGTCATTGCAAATGCTGTTAATTCATTCCTTTTTATGGCTGCATAGTATTCCATCATATATATGCCACAGTTTATCCACTCATTGATTGATGGGCATTTGGGTTGGATCCATGATTTTGCAATTGTGGATTGTGCTACTATAAACATGTGTGTGTAAATATCTTTTTTGAATAATGACATTTTTTCCTTTGGTTTAGATACCCAGTAGTGGGATTGCTGGATCAAATTGTAGTTATACTTTTAGTTCTTTTAGAAATCCACACTGTTTTCCATAGCGGCTGTACTAGTTTACATTCCCACCAGCAGTGTAGTAGTGTTCCCTGTTCACCACATCCATGCCAACATCTACTGTTTTATTGATTTTTTGATTATGGCCATTCTTGCAGGAGTGAAGTGGTATTGCACTGTGGTTTTGATTTGCATTTGCCTGATCATTAGTGATGTTGAGCATTTTTTCATATGTTTGTTGGCCATTTGTATATTTTCACAATATTGATTCTACCCATCCATGAGCATGAGATGTGTTTCTGTTTGTTCATGTCATCTACGATTTCTTTCAGCAGTGTTGTATAGTTTTCCTTACAGAGGTCTTTCAACTCATTGGTTAGGTATATTCCTAAATTTTTTAATTTTTTAATTTTATTTTTTTGCAGCTATTGTAAAAGTGGTGGAGTTCTTGATTCTCTGCTTGGTCGCTGTTGGTGTACAGAAAAGCTACTGATTTGTGTACATTAATCTTGTATATGGGAACTCTGCTGAATTCTTTTATCAGTTCTAGGAGCTTTCTGGAGGAGTCCTTAGGGTTTTCAAGGTAAAAAATCATATCATCAAATAGTGACAGTTTGACTTCGTCTTTACCAATTTGGATGCCCTTGATTTCTTTCTCTTGTCTGATTGCTCTGGTTAGGACTTCCAGTTCTATGTTGAAGAGGAGTGGTGAAAGTAGGCATCCTTGTCTTGTCCCAGTTCCCAAAGGGGATGCTTTCAACTTTTCCCCATTCAGTATTATGTTGGCTGTGGGTATGTCATAGGTGCCTTTTAATTACATTAACGTACGTCCCTTGTATTTTGATTTTGCTGAGAGTTTTAATCATAAAGAGATGCTGGAATTTGTTGAATGCTTTTTCTGCATCTACTAAAATGATCATGTGATTTTTGTTTTTAGTTTTCTTTATGTAGTATATCACATTTATTGACTTGCATATGTTAAACCATCCATGCATCCCTGGTATGAAACCCACTTGATCATGGTGGATTATCTTTTTGGTATGTTGTTGGATTCTGTTAGCTAGTATTTTGTTAAGGATTTTAGCATCTATGTTCATCAAAGATATCGGTCTGTAGTTTTCTTTTTTGATTATGTCCATTCCTGCTTTTGGTATTAGGGTGATGCTGGCCTCATAGAGTTAATTCCTTTTTTCCCTATCTTGTGGAATAGTGTCAAAAGGATTGGTAGCAGTTTTTCTTTGAATGTATGGTAGAATTGTGCTGTGATTCAGTCTAGTCCTGGCCTTTTTTGTTGGTAATTTTTTAATTACTGTTTCAATCTTGCTGCTTGTTAATGGTCTGTTCAGGTTATCTAGTTCTTCCTGATATAAGCTAGGTTGGTTGTATTTTTCCAATAATTTATCCATCTCTTCTAGGTTTTCCATTTTATGTGTGTAAAGGTGTTCATATTAGCCTTGAATGATCTTTTGTATTTCAGTTGTTTCAGTGGTAATATCTCCTGTTTTGTTTCTTAGTGAGGTTATTTGGATTTTCTCTCTTCTTTTCTTGGTTAATCTTGCCAATGGTCTATCAATTTTATTTATCGTTTCAAAGAACCAGCATTTTGTTTCATTTATCTTTTGCATTTGTTTTCGTTTCAATTTCATTTAGTTTTCCTCTGATCTTGGTTACTTCCTTTCTTCTGCTAGGTTTGGATTGGTTTGTTTTTGTTTCTCTAGTTCCTTGAGGTGTGACCTCAGAATGTCCGTTTGTGCTCTTACAGTCTTTTTGATGTAGGCATTTAGGGCCATGAACTTTCCTGTTAGCACCGCCTTTGCTGCATCCCAGAGGTTTTGATAGGTTGTGTCATTATTGTCATTCAGCTGGAAGAATGTTTTAATTTTCATCTTGATTTTATTTTTGACCCAATGTTCATTTAGGAGCAGGTTGTTTAATTTCCATATTTTGCATGGTTTTGAAATTTCCTTTTGCAGTTGCTTTCCAGTTTTATTCCACTGCGGTCTGAGAGAGTGCTTGATATAATTTCAATTATCTTAAATTTATTGAGCCTCGTTGTATGGCCTGTTATATGATCTATCTTGGAGAAAGTTTCATATGCTGTTGAATAGATTGTGTATTCTGCAGTTGTTGGATAAAATGTTCTATATTTATCTGTTAAGTCCATTCATTCCAAGGTATAGTTTAAATCCATTGTTTCTTTGTTGACTTTCTGTCTTGATGACCTGTCTAGGGCTGTGAGTGCAGTATTGAAGTCCCCCACTATTATTGTGTTGCTATGTCATTTCTTAGGTCTATTAGTAATTGTTTTATAAATTTGGGACCTCCAGTGTTAGGTGAATATATGTTTAGGATTGTGATATTTTCCTCTTGGAAAAGGTCTTTTACCATTATATAATGTCCCTCTTTGTCTCTTTTAAATTCTGTTGCTTTAAAGCTTGTTTTGACTGATATAAGAATAGCTACCTCTGCCCCCATTTGGTGTCCATTTGCATGAAATGCCTCTTTCCACCTCTTTAAGTTTATGTGAGTCCTGATGTGCTACATGGGTCTCCTGCAGGCAGCAGATATTTGGTTGGTGAGTTCTTACCCATTCTGCTGTTCTGTATCTTTTAAGTAGACCACTTAGGCCATTTACATTCAACGTTATATTGAAGTATGAGGTACCTTTGAAATCATTGTGCTCTTTGCTGCCTGTGTACTTTGGTTTTTTTGTTTTTTGTTTTTGCTTTTTAACTTGTATTTTTGTCTTACAGATCCTGTGTAATTTATGCTTTAAAGAGGTTCTATTTTGATGTGTTTCCAGGATTTGTTTCAAGATTTAGAGCTCCTTTTAGCAGTTCTCATAGTGGTGGCTTGGTAATGGCAAATTTTGTTAGCATTTGTTTGTTTGAAAAAGACTGTATCTTTCCTTCATATATGATGCTTAGGTTCACTAGATACAAAATTCTTGGCTGATAATTGTTTTGTTTGAGGAGGCTGAAGCTAGGGCCCCATTCCCTTACAGCTTGTAGGGTTTCTGCTGAGAAATCTACTGTTAATCTGAAAGGTTTTCCTTTATAGGTTACCTGCTGCTTCTGTCTCACAGCTCTTAAGATTCTTTCCTGATGATAATGTCCCTATTGTCCCTAACCTGATAACAATGTCCCAATTCATCTTTTTGTGATGAATTTCCAAGGTGTTCTTTGTGCTTCTTGTATTTGGATGTCTAGGTCTCTAGCAAGGCTGGGGAAGTTTTCCTTGATTGTTCCCCCAAATATGTTTTCCAAGCTTTTAGAAGTCTCTTCTTCCTCAGGAACACTGATTATTCTTTGTTTTGGTTGTTTAACATAATCCCAGACTTCTTGGAGGCTTTGTTCATACTTTCTTGTTCTTTTTTTCTTTGTCTTAGTTGGATTGGGTTAATTCAAAGACCTTGTCTTCGAACCCTGAAATTCTTTCTTCAGTTCTATTGCTGAGACTTTCCAGAGCATTTTGCATTTGTAAAAGTGTGTGTGAAGTTTCCTGAATTTTTTATTTGTTTTTAAGCCATCTAGTTTCTTATTTCCCCCTTCAGTTCTTGTAACATATTTTGCATTTCCATGCATTGGGTTTTGCCTTTCTCTGCTCCCTCCCTGATTAGTTTAATAACTAAACTCCTGAATTCTTTTTTGGGTAAATCAGGGATTTCTTCTTGGTTTGGATCCATTGCTGGTGAACTAGTGTGATGTTTTGGGGTGTTGAAGAGCCTCATTTTGTTATATTACCAGGGTTGGTTTTATGGTTCCTTCTCATTTGGGCAGGCTCTGTCACAGGGAAGGTCTAGGGCTGAAGGCTGTTGTTCAGATTCTTTTGTCCCACAGGTGTTCCCTTGATGTAGTATTCTCCCCCTTTTCCTATGGATGTGGCTTCCTGTGAGCCAAACTGCAGTGATTATTGTCTCTCTTCCAGATCTACCCACTCAGTGAGTCTACCTGGCTTCAGTCTGGTACTGGGGGTTGTCTGCACAGAGTCCTGTGATTTGAACAGTCTATGGGTCTCTTAGCCGTTGATACTAGCTATCTGTTTTGGTGGAGGTGGTGCGGCCGGCAGGGGGCGGGGTGTGTGCAATGGACTCCGTGGGGGTTCATAGCTTTGGTGGTTTAATGCTCTATTTTTGTGCTGGTTGGCCTCGTGCCAGGAGGTGGTGCTTTCCAGAGAGCATCAGCCATGGTAGTATGGGGAGGAACCGGTGGTGGGTGGGGCCCTAAAACTCCCAAGATTATATGCATTTTGTCTTCTGCTACCAGGGTGAGTAGGGAAGGTCCATCAGGTGGGGGTGGGTCTAGGCATGTCTGAGCTCAGACTCTCCTTGGGCAGGTCTTGATGCAGCTGCTGTCGGGGGTGGGGGTAAGATTCCCAGATCACTAGAGTTTGTACCTAGGATTATGGCTGCCTCTGCTGAGTCATGCAGGTTGTCAGGGAAGTAGGGGAAAGCTGGCAGTCACAGGCCTCACCCAGCTCCCACGCAAACTGAAGGACCGGTCTCACTTCCACCATGCCCCCCACCCTTAATGGCCCCCAGACTGTTTCCAGGTAGAGAGCGATATGGACTTGAAACCCTGTCCCAGGCTCTCCACCTCCCAGCTGCGAAAGAAAAGGGCTTGGTTCTTCTCTCATCTGTGGAGTCTGCACACTGGATTTGTGCCCTCCCGCAAGTTCTGTCCAGTAGGCTTCTAACAGCATTCAAATTGTTACAAAGTTCTGCTACAGATTTCTTTCTCCCTTGTAGTTTTACCCCCTGCTCCTCTCCCATTGGATCCCTGTGGTGCTAGGCAGGAATGTCCTGCGAGGGGACCCAGCGAGCTCCCAGGGCCTTTCTGCTGCTTCCTGTATCCCTGTGTTTCGCTGGGCTCTCCAAATTGATTCAGCTCCAGGTAAAGTCAGAAACTTTGCCTGCAAACAGACTTTCAGCTTCTCCAGTGGGTGTGTGTGTTTGGGAGAGGAGGGTCTCCTTTCCCACTTCTGCAGTTGGGGCACTCGCATCTTTTGGGGGGTCTCCAGGGTCGTGCAGGAGCAATCCGCTTCCTTCAGAGGGTCTGTGGCTCCTCTTGGGGTTGCTGGTTTGTTCTTGCAGTCGATCTGGAGCTAAAATTTGCAATGTGAGCCCCCATTCAGTGCTCTGTCAGGAGATGCAATCTAGTCCTGCCTCCTGTCCGCCATGATCTCTTATATATATATATATATATATATATATATATATATATATATATTTTAACACTGCCATACAACACTATTTTTTCCACACAGTTGCCAGTGGGTCTCAGGAGCCCCTGGAAGGCATGCATTTGGAATTTCCTAGTGCTGCCTTTTATGTACCTAGAGCATTCCATAGTCTAGGGCTGACCACTTTCTCTTAGAACTTGTAAGAGAAGCCAACAGAATTCAGCAGTCCTTTCTCAACTGTACAGCAAGATAAAAAATAGATATCATCTTTTCACATATTTCTATGGTAACTCCTAGAATACAGAGTGTTACTTGGGAAAATGGGGACAAAGAGGAAAAGGAGGACAAAGGAAATAATGAAAGGAATTATGCAGGATAGTTGAATAAAATCAGATGACATTGTAACCAAACTAAACTGGGTCCATTTGCCCAAACAACAGAAAGACAAAGACTGGAATTTTGCAGTGAGGAAGGTTTATTGTGAGGCAGCTGAAAAGAAGACTAGGGAATGCTCAAATCCATCTACCCAAGCTGGGGGATGTGTTGGGTTTATGAGGATAGTGTAATGAAGTATGATCTGACTGGATCTTGCAATGAGGTGATGCCAGAATGCATGATCTGACTGGATCCTGACCTTCTTGCCTTGTACTTTTTCTTAATTCAGTCCCTGCTTCTCAGTCCTAGCACTTAGGTTCTGCACATGGTTCATCTGGGCATGCTTAGCTCATGTCATCTTCAACTTGGAGGTCCCTGGCGACCAAAAAAACAACTTTCAACTTTGCTACATGACAGTTAAACCAGATTGGTATGATGCAGTTATAACATAGACAAGTTCTTTCAAAGTAGCTGTAATTAAAGTCCAAAATTGTGAGAATTCAATATGAAAATAAAATGTATCTGAATTAGGATATTTCTGTATTTTTAAATTAAATTTGTTTTTTTAAAGAGATTGATACAATTATATATATTTGTCATATAAAACATGACATTCTGAAACACATATACCTTGCAGAATGGCCAAACAAAGCCAATACATCACAGTTGTCATTTTTGTGGTGAGAACACTTACTAATATCTTAGCATTTTTCAGGAATATAATATATTGTTATTAACTGTAGTCACTCTGTTGTAGAATAGATCTTTTGAATTTATTCCTTTTGGCTAACAAAAATGTTGTGTCTTTGGACCAACATCTTTCTTACCCCCTCCATCACCACTGCCCCAGACCCTGTTAACCAACATTCTACTCTCTACCTCCATGAGATCAACTTTTCTAGATTCCACATGCAAGTGAAATTATGTGGTACTTGTCTTTCTGTACCTGTTTTATTTCACTTAACATTATCTTTTAAACAAATGTGAAGAGAGAATTATACCTGAAGAAGGCAATCACTTTTGGAAGCTCTCTTTCCAAGTACAGCAAATAAGCTTGCCTAACCTGACAGTTCAGATAAGATTAAAGACATGTTGCTTGAATTACTACTACAGTTCTTATTCCTTTGTTCCTCACAGGTTTCTGGGATTGGATTCATGAACTCATCCTTTGAACTATTTCAACAAGCTTTTTCATGTAACTAATCTGCGGAAGGTAGAAAGGGGAAAACTGTTGGGTGCTAAAATGACAACTGGTTCAAGGTACAATGGCGAATATTTTTATTTCTGCAACTTTTCTTAGAGGTTGGAAACTGGACTGGGCAGGAAGATTCCTTTTTGTAAGATTAGTCTCCAGTTTTCATCAAGCAGTTTAGTGGGGTATTTTAGGCCCAGTTCCCTCTCCACAGTCCCCAAAGGTCTTCTGTTAACTTTAAATCCGCAAAGAGAGAGATCTCTGCCAAGCAGCAACTGCAAGAGCATGTGGGTCAATGTTACCAGCAGACACTCAAAGCCCATTCCCTTTACTTCAACACCGCTTTATAAATTATCTTAGAGACGTTGTCAGGTTGGTATTAGAGGTGAGTGGTCATGACTTCACGATTTCTCATCTTTCTGAATGCATAGTGGCTGGGAGTGGTGGCTCATGCCTGTAATCCCAGCAGTTTGGGAGGCCGAGGTGGGCAGATTGTTTGACCACAGGAGTTCGAGACCAGCCGGGGTAACATGGCAAGACCCCAATCTCTACCAAAAAAAAAAAAAAAAAATACAAAAATTGTCTGGGTGTGGTGTGCATGCCTGTAGTCCCAAGTCCCAGCTACTCTACTTGGGAGGCTGAGGCAGAAGGATCACCTGAGCCCAGGAAGGCCAAGGCTGCAGTGAGCCCTGATGGTGCCACTGCACTTGACCTTGGGCAACAGAATGAGAATGAGACCCTGTCAAAAAAAAAAAAAAAAAAAAAAAGAAAAAAAAAAAGAAAGAAAAAGAGAGAAAGAGAGAGAAAGAAAGAAAGAAAAGAATGCATAGTGAGATTTTACAGTAAAACTCTTTCTTAGAGGCTAAAAACTCTGGGGATCTCACGATGTGGGTACATTTCTAGAGATAATATTTTAGATCTCTATAGATATTATTTTAATACATCTTTTTCTTTTTGGTTTGACTGTGTATCATATGGCTTTTCTTCTTGGAAGTTATCAAACTTCTCCCTAACTAAGGTCCTTGCATATGCTGACCTGTTTGACATACTCCCACTCTGGTCTACTCATTCTTCAGGTATCATTTTCATTCCTGTCACTACCCCTTAACCCAACCCAGACAAGGTTATTGTGCACTGAATCATTTCAAAATGCCACTTTAAAAATGAGTAAATATTTATGTAATTATGTGTTGAATATACCTCCTCTTTACAAGCATATAAGTCTATGATACAAGTCTATGCTTGTCTCTTCTAATTCTGGTACATCATGTGATATGAGAACCATGGTAGGCAATCAATAATGCAGAGACGAAATGTTTTTATCTTAGAGAGACTCTCACAGAAGTTTCTAGTTTAGAGATGCTTCACTGAAGTTTATGGCCTCAACTTCCTTGGGTCTTGATTACTATCAGTGGATGCAGTGATGGAGGGTAGGTAAAATCCAATGTTATCTACAAGTTCTAGACTACAGCCAACAAACTTTTTCCAAAATAGGCCAGATAATAAATATATTAGGTTTTTTGGGCCATGAAGTCTCTGCTGCAACTACTCAGCTCCACATTTGTAGTGGAAAAGCAGTTATAGATGAAACATAAAATGAATTAGTGTGGCTGTGTTCAAAAAAAGCTATTTTCAAAAACAGCCAGTGGGAAAGCTTTGGTCCTTGAGCCATAGTTTGCAAAATTTTGTTCTAAACAGTAATTCCTTCACTGGAGATTTTAAAAACAGAAAGAGAATACAGACAGCTATACATGTTCTGGTCTATTCCTGTTCTCTAGTATAGCAGCACCTTAAAATTGTATTACTAACAGAGTACAGGAGATTGTATGGAAGGCCTATAGTGATGACTCTTTCATCAGCTTTGTTCGTAATAAATTAACTGTATGTGTTTCAGAGAGTCATATGACTCCAAAATGATTTAACACATGCTGCTACAAGCCAGCCTTCTTAAGTTTTTATTAAATCTTGATTGTTTTGGTCACATAATTTTTATATTAAATCCTGTGATACTCATTGTTTTTCTATAAAAATCATCACATTTCAAGTGTTAGGTAGTGTGTATAGAACTGACAGGTAATAATTTTGACAGGTATGGGATTAAATAGAATCCATCCAAAACCATTTACTTTCCTTATACATTATAGCAGAAGTGGCTAAATTAGAGGGTTGTTCCTGTCTCCATCATGCACTTCTGTCTTCTACTCCATCCCTTGTATATATTGGGGATATTTTGAGCCAAGTGCTAACGTTACTTACACAGCTGATATTTCAGATTAATATGAATGCTGACCGTTTGCCCTCACAACATGCCCACAACACATGGATTATACAGGGGAATTAATCGTTAGCAATGAATTCAACATTTAGCTTTTAACATTTTTATTCTGCCAGTAAGGCCAGAGAATAAATCTATTCTTTCTAGCAGGCAATTATTAATCTCTGGCTTTCACAAACAGCAAACGGCCACTGAATCCAGCTGACAGCATATATTTATTTAAAGATTAATAAGGAGAATTATTTATATTAGTTAAAACGTATTCTTCATTATGTTTAAATCTTTCCAGAGCTATGGCAGGAGTTGGATTGGAGTATACAGAATGGATTAACTTATTCTAATTGTTATCTAAAGTAGAGGCATTGAGCACTGATATGGTTTGGCTGTGTCCTCAACCAAATCTCATCTTGAATCAGTTCCCATAATCCCCACGTGTCAAGGGCGGGACCAGGTGGAGGTAACTGAATCATGGGAACGGTTTCCCTCATGCTGTTCTCATGATAGTGAGTGAGTTCTCACAACATATGATGGTTTTATAAGCGTCTGTCATTTCCGCTGCTGTTACTCATTGTCTCTCCTGATGGCCTCTGGAGAGATGCCTTTGCCATGATTGTGAGTTTCCTGAGGCTTCCTAGCCATGTGGAACTGTGAGTCAATTAAACGTCTTTTCTGTATAAATTACCCAGTCTTGGATATTTCTTCATAGCAGTGTGAGAACGGACTAGCACAAGCATATTTCCAAAATACATTCTGACAGTCATTTAAGATTCATTTCAGAAAGACTATAATCTTGCAATAGACATTACCTAACTTTTTGCTAAGAAAATACATTTTCAAACTCTTCATCCTTTGGTGTGACCAGGTTCAGAGATGTCCCTTCATGTATCTTGTGTTTATATTGCAATTTTGAGTATAATGGGATCAACTACATGAATTAAAGACAGAAATAGGAAGCAGGTTTCAAAAAACATAATTTAAGAACATATAATGGAGGAATAATTGTAGGAGCTTATTCTTTATATTCCAGTTTTATTAGCCAAGTAAAACGATTTCCTTACTCTGTCACTTTTTAGTCATACCAAGAATGTTGTCAGTATTTCTCAAATTATTGTGCAGATTTAGAAGAATCCACGTTATAGTGCAATTTTGAGTCTCTTAAAAGAAAAACAAGGATCTTAAACCAAAGGCACTCTATCCCAAATTTTGTAAGTAACTACTGAATATCTCCAAAGTCTTCTTAGGAATCCTAACAATTTTCATGCTTTTTTTTTGAGATGGAGTCTTGCTCTGTCGCCCAGGCTGGAGTGCAGTGGCACGATCTCGGCTCACTACAAGCTCCACCTCCCAGGTTCACGCCATTCTCCTGCCTCAGCCTCCCAAGTAACTGGGACTACAGGTGCATACCATGCCCGGCATATTTTTTTTTTTTTTTTTTTTTAGTAGAGACGGGGTTTCACCGTGTTAGCCAGGATGGTCTCGATCTCCTGACCTCGTAATCTGCCCGCCTCAGCCTCCCAAAGTGCTGGGATTACAGGCGTGAGCCACTGCGCCTGGCCAATTTTCAGGCTTTTTATTGGTAGATACTTTATAATGTTTCTTTAGTTGGTTTGCAAAAATGGTCATAGCTTCATGGTTGTGGCGTCTGATTTTCCTCATGTCAAGTGTAGCATCTTCCTTGAGTTCTAACCTTCTGTTCACATTATTATGGGAAAGTTATTGAAGAGTTGATGCTTCAGGGACAATTTTGACATTGGCTTTACCCTTGTCATGTCTGTAAAGTGCAAGCTACAATTGAAATGCACCTGCAGTTTGCCACCAGGAGGCATATTTGTCCATTTCTAAAATGGAAATAGTTAAAAATGCATTCACAAGTAGTAATATTTGAGTGGACTTCAATTATTTATGAAATTCTGTACCTATCAGATACAGAAACTGCAAAATGCTACAAAAAATTCATCTAATGTATAATATGGAGTGTAACATTGGAAGAGCAGAGGGGCTGTGAAGTGAGAGTCTCTGTTGACTTTGTCTTTCACAGACTCAAACAAAATACCTTCGATGTGACTTTACTGGCCCCTATTTTAGTCCCCTGAGCCTCAACTTTCTGTATTTCATTGGGCTTTGATCACTAATTTACGTAAATTTCACTAATACTTACTGGAGTTTTCTTACATTTGTTTGCTTAAATGTCAGCAAAAGGAAAATGCAATACTCCAGAATAAAATCATGAACTAAATTAAGAAACAAAGTAAAAAGACTGTGCTTTAAAATATTCTATTATTATTCAGTTTCAACCTTGTTTTTATTGTTTGTATTTCCACTTGTGGATTGTGAGAGAAAAACACAGTTAAAAAGTTGAGTATGTCAGACAGTGGATTGTCCTTGGATAGTGTGTGGTTTGGACTCTTCCACACATTTCCAGTGTTATCGCTCTTTAAGAAGTCCCAATTCTCCTCTGTTCATTCAAACTAAGCTTCTCAAAGTTTCCCCCAGGCACTTCATTTTATCTCATGACTCCTTGAATGTAGGACTGCTTTTTGACAATAATGCATTTTTCTGCTTTTTTCCTTTTCTTGTTTATCCTTAAAGATTTGGCTTCTGTGTTACTTCTTATTAGCAGTGATCCCTGCCTGCCCTCACCGAGCTCAGGGAG
Source organism: Homo sapiens (assembly GCF_000001405.40). Lineage (NCBI taxonomy): Eukaryota > Metazoa > Chordata > Mammalia > Primates > Hominidae > Homo > Homo sapiens. Next base: position 34,726,982 of record NC_000002.12, read on the forward strand.
TTAGGGGACTATTCTTTGTACACATTGTGTCCTGTGCTATCCTTTTCACATCACCTACATTTGTTATACTTAAGAACTTGATTTTTTTTTTTCTCAACATTTTCTACACTTGCTTGCGACTTCTTTGAGAAGAGAAACTGCATTCTTACTTCCCAGTAGCCAATAAGTAGACACATAGTAAACATTTATTGTATGGATGGCTTATGGGGTTTACTACAAGTCTGTTTTGTTTCAGAGAAAGAATTGCCCACTTGTGAGTGGGTCAAACGGTGGAAATTTTCTTGCATGGTTTCAATTTAACATTCCCTTTTCCTAACGTCCAGTGGAATTTTCTGGACCTTGATGATAACTTTTAGGTTATGTGGTGATTTTTAATGTACTTTGAGTCAAACTAAAAATCCGTTGTCGTCTTTGGGACATACTAGACCAAATTAGTTTCGGAGAGTTCATTACATTCCCCATGGCTTCGGAGGTCAAAACCTCTCCTGAAGTTCACTTTACTATAAATAAGTACTTATTTAGATTTTATTTAGGGATGGGTTTATAATGTATACAGATATAATTTGTATTGTAATAATAACACATGGAAGGAAGAAAGTTATAGAGTTAATGAGGAAAAAATTGTATACTGTTGAAACTAAGTTGATGTTATATGAAGTAGATTGTTTTAAGTTAAGTTGCAAATGTAATTCCCAGGGCAATCACTATGAAATAATCCAAAAATAGGAAGTAAAGAAAACAACATGGAAATAAAAATGATATACTAGAATATGTCTATTTAAAACAAAAGAAAGAAGTAATGGAAGAAAACAGAAAAAAAGAAATAAAATATACACGTACCAATTTGGCATAAATAAATCCTACCTAACCAGTAATGAGACTTAAAATGAATGAACTAAACATTTCAATCAAAAGGCAGAGATTGGAAGATTAGTTTAAAAAACATATGATCCAACTAGATGTTGGATAAATGAAACAAAATTTACTTTCAAAGACACAAATAAGTAAGGATTAAAAAAGATGTACCATTCATAAAATGCCCAAAAGAGAGTTGGAATGGTTATACTATATGATGTGTTTTGTTTTTGTTTTCAATGAAATTATAAATGAAAATGAAAACAAATTATACAAAAATTTATAGAATGCAGCTGAAGCAGTGCTCAGAAGGAGATTTTACAGGCCTATTTTTAAAAAGAAGAAAGATGGCAAATCAATAATGCAGCCTTCAATCTTATGAATTTTTTTAAATAAAAAAACATACTAAACCTGGAGCATGTATGAGTAATAATACATACTAATACATATTAATACACAAGGAACAAGCATTAGGGTTCTTCAGAAAGATAGAAACAGTAGGATATATACAGAGAGATGGATAGATATTTGAGAGAAGATGAATTAGGGAAACTGGCTTATACCAGTTCTGGAGGCTAAGAAGTCCCACAGTGGTCTGCCTGCAAGCTGGAGACCCTGGGCGATCTACTACACCCAATAGAGTACTAAGAATGGTGTTTGGAGAATGAGTATGCCAACAAATGTTGTTACAATTTAACCTACAAAAACTGGAGCCTGAATATAGACAGAAGTATTGTCAAATGGATTTTTGAGCAGACAAAGAATGAATTCCTTCCATTAACATTGTATCATTTGACTCCTGGAAAATTTTTTAAAACATATTTATGAATATTTCTTAAATACTGGCCTTAGAACATGATTGAGGGTCTTTCTTCCCTCCAGTTCCCACACAGAGTCCTTTGCTTATCACTGACTAGCAGACTCTTCATTTATAAATTGTTGACAATCTACTTTCTAGAAGATAAACTGATCATTTGTTGTTGTCAAACGATAAGCCTCAAACTATAAGAAAGAAAAAGGAAAAGGAGAAAAAGACAAAAAGAACGTAATATTTTTCCAATTGTTCATATAAAACCTTGGAGTCATCATTGACCCCTTTCTGCCTCTCACACTCCCAGTCCAATCACTCAGATCATCTTGCCCACTTTGTCTTCAAGTTATATACAAAATTTAACCACTTCTTCTCATCTGTACTGCCACCACTGCAGATCAAGCTACCTTCATCTCTTACCTGGATTAGTAAAAAGCTTATAAGTTGATATATCAGCTTCACTACTTATCTCCGCTCCAAGTATTCTCAAAACAACAGCCAGAGTAATCTTACCAGGTTAGTCAGATCTTGTCACTCTTCTGCTCAATACACTTCAGGCATGTCTTCTCCATCAGAATAAAAATCACCATTGAGGAAGACCTACAGGGTCATATATGATATTTCTGACATTCATTTTACACTAATTTTACCTTCCCTCACTGTGCATGAGCTAGTGCTTCCTCATTGTTCCAGGGATGAGCCATTTGCGTCTGCCTTAGTTTTTATGCATTTGCTTTTTCTTATCTTTAGAATGCTTGTCCTCAAGAGTCTACCTGGCTCACTCATTCACTTTACTGGAATGTCACCTTTTCATGAAATTGTGCTGATTCTTCGAGCCATCCTATCTATTATTCTACATATGATCCTTCCTGTCCCTCTTCCTTGCATTTTTTATCCCCTTCCCACTCTCATCATCTAATATACTATACATTTTAATTGTCTTTTGAATTGATCTCAATTTCTCCCACTAGAATGAATGTCCTATAGGGCAGGGATTTTTGCCTGTGTCTAGAGCAGTGCTTGGCACATAAGAAGTTTCTATAAATGTTAGTCCTTCTGGGAGACAGATGCAGAATTGAACTGTTTACACATATTTTTTCACTTTATCTTCCTAATAGCTCTATTATGCTGATATTTGTATCCCCCCCCTTTTTAAGGTGAAGATACTGAAACTGACAGAGGGTAAAATATGTGAATCTAGGTCTTTCTGACTTCAAAGCTATTATTCTTTATTATATCTTAGTTACTTTTACTCAGAAAATAAGTGTTATGTGACAGGTCCTTAGGTCTTTATTTTCCTTTTATCTGGGACTCTATTCAATCTTCCTTTCACTCTCTGACTTTTCATGTTAACACTGCAAAGACGACCCATTGTGAAGCCTGGCTTAGCCACGCTGTCACAAGCTCCTTTAAAATCTCACTAGTTGGAGTGGAGCTGTCAGCCTTTTGTGAACAAGGCAAGCTTCTCACTGAAAGAAAAGGCCAATGACATGGTGTACCTTGTAAAAGCTATCATAGTGGAAAAGAACATGCAGCAATGTTCACATCATGAAGAGAAATGTCACCAGATGCATATAATTTTTAAATTCTTACCTATATTTTTATACACACTACTTGGGTTAACAGTTCTGAGACAATAAAAGAAAGACACAATCACTGTGTTCAGTTCAGTTGCTTCAAATGTAAAAAAAAAAAGGCTGTATAAAAGTGAATATCAGGTTAGTAGTCTGAAATATTGCCTATTGATCTAATCAAAAGAGAACATTCAAAATGAATGTAGTCCAGGTTTATGTAATATTTAGAACAAGTCAAATGCTTAGTACTTTTGTGGTAAAAGTTTTATGATTCTTGAATACTAATGGCAGAAAAGTCAAGGACTGCAATGATAAAGTCGAAATAAAACGTGAAACCAAGTGGAATTGCTAGAATTTGAGTCATTAGGAATGAAGGAAAATCAGAGCAGAAAGAACAGTGTAATGATTTAATAGGAATCTTTGCTTCCTATGTCAGTCCAAGATTTATGTGAACAAGAGTTTTTGAGAACTCATGATGGAAAGGAGAAAAAGGTGAAAAAGGATTTTAAGCCTTAGCTCGTTGATTTTAGATTTGAGATTTGTTAAACTTCTCACAGTGAGTAATAAAAAATTCCATAAAAAGAATATCTGTTGGCCAGGCGCGGTGGCTCACGCCTATAATCCCAGCACTTTGGGAGGCCGAGGCAGGCGGATCACAAGATCAGGAGATCGAGACCATCCTGGCTAACAGGGTGAAACCCGCCTCTACTAAAAATACAAAAAAAATTAGCCGGGCGTGGTGGCAGGCGCCTGTAGTCCCAGCTACTGGGAGGCTGAGGCAGGAGAATGGCGTGAACGTGGGAGGCAGAGCTTGCAGTGAGCCGAGATTGTGCCACTGCAATCCAGCCTGGGCGACGGAGTGAGAGTCTGTCTCAAACAAAAAAAAAAAAGGGAGAATATCTGTTGAAGAAAGTTATCAAAACATATGTGTATGCTTATGAGTGTGTTTCATTATATGTGCATGTATATATATGTATGTGTGAGCATACACACATATATTTCCCAAAAAGCTTATTTTCATGATTTCTCTGTATTGTCAGAATGTGCTAGGATAATACTGGCTGCTTTTACAGATAAAAGCAGAAAAGCTCTCACTCTTCATGACTTGCACTCTAACAAGTTCATTCCTCACTCAATGTATTAGACCCAAGTAGGTGTTCACAGTCAGTCCTGCAGGAAGAGATTAGAGGATCTAGTTACCCAGGGATCATCTCCATTCCTTCCAACTGAAAGGGAAACAAACAAGGAGGAGCACGCCTGGGGAGGTTTTCACAGGCCAGGACTGGAAATGCACATTTCTCTTTTCCTCACATTCCAGTAAGTAGATCTCCATTATATGGCTACGTGTAATACAGCCATGTGCCCAGGAAGAAGACAAGTCTGATTTTGAGAACAGATAGCAATTTGCCTCATTAGAATAGAACATGCTCATTGAACTTTTACTATGGGCAAGGCAGTGATCCAGAAAGTAGAACATACACATTTGAGTATCATTTTTTTTTTTTTGAGAAACCAAATATAGAATACTAATTGTATAGTTTTTTGATAACAATTAAGTTGTTCCATTTGGATTATAAAAATATATAATAGTACCTATTTGGGCTCATGTCATATGTTTTATTAACATGTACTTCCTGGTTTATATCAAATTACAGAATTTTAGAGTTTCAGAATAATTTGAATTTAGAAAGCTATTACTGTAATTATGTGGGGGCATTAATGGAGGCTTGTAATTGTAATGCTGAAAATATAAATTAATTGGCTTGTAAATGAGACAGGTATAGCAAGTAAATGAGGTCCTGAGGGTATATTTTTATTCAGCTACTGAGTTGCAGGATAAAGTCAAAATATTTACCGAGGTTAATGGAATAATTATATAGGATTTATCTATACTATTAAAATTACATTTAAAATATAGAGCTATATTGCTTACCTTAAATTATAAAATGAGCTTTCTCCAAATTCAAAATGCTTGTAATTCACAGTCATTTTTGGATTACTGTAAAAAGGTAACTAACTGCCTTTTTACAATTAGGAATTTATTTACAACTTTCTCTTCCAATCCATTTTCTAGTCTTTTATACAAAAGACTCATCTGCTTTCAAGGTTAGTTCATTTAAGTCATAAGGTAGAGAGAAGCAAGTACAGAATACAACACAGAACCACAGCCATAAGGTAGATTTCTCAAGTACTGTCCCTAATGTTACCGGGGGTCCTTGCTTCCAGAGCTCCCAAGATGGTGGTGGGCCACTTCCAAGATGGTGGCAAGAGTCGTATTCTCTGACCTGGGGTTCTTGGTCTCATGGATTCCAAGGAATGGAATCTTGCGCCATGTGGTGAGTGTTATAACTCTATTAGAAGTCGTGGGTCGCGGAAGGGAACCATGGACCCCAGTGACTAGTGTTCAACTCGATTAGGACGAACCCAGGCACTTAGGCCTGCAGGAACAATGGCAAGCCTTTAACTTGATGTGGAGCAGCAATGGGCGCCTCGCTGGATTAGGAGCACAGTGGGCACCCTGCTGGATCCAGAGGGATGGAAGTCAGCAGAGTGTCTGCCACGGCGTCAAAACAGCAGTGGTGCACTGCCAGCGAAAGCTCAGTTCGAGCTGTAACAAACACGTACCAGTAGAGTATTAAATCTTGCAGTTGCAAGATTTAATAGAGTGAAACAGGGTGAAAACAGAGCTCCCATACAAGGAGGGGACCCAAATGGGGTTGCCGTTGCTGGCTCGAATGCCTGGGTTTATATCCTGATCATTGTCCCTACCGCTGTGCTCTCAGGCAATAGATGATTGGCTATTTCTTTACCTCCTGTTTTTGCCTAATTAGCATTTGGTGAGCTCTCTGATTGGTCAGGTGTGAGCTCAGTTGCAAGCCCCGTGTTTAAAGGTTGATGCGATCACCTTCCCAGCTAGGCTTAGGGATTCTTAGTCGACCTAGGAAATCCAGCTAGTCCTGTCTCTCACTAACAGAGACTTAACATTAACGGTTGGGACTTCCTTGTTTCTCTCACTTTTTTCCTTTCCTTTCCTTTTTTTAAAAAAAATTTTCTTTCTCTTCTTTCCCTCCCTCCCTCCCTCCTTCCCTCCCTCCCTTCCTTCCTTCCTTTCGTTCCCCTTCTGTTTTTTCTTTGTTTTTTTTTCTTTTAATTCTATCAAGTCTTTAGATTGTTTTTCCAGTAGATCCTTAATTTATTTGTTGAAATGAAGAAAGTGGAAGTCAAGCATTTGCTTTCACCTAAGCTACACTCTCTGCTTCTAGGGAATAGTGCTGGAGATCATCACCTTTATATCTCCTTACATGGGGGCAGCTTTTCCAAGAGGAGTTAAGAAACTATTTCACAAAGCATATCAAATTAATCTTCTCAATATCCTTCCAGTTAGCTTATGCCTGGTCGCTTTTCCAAGAAAGCTTCGGATATAAATATCACTCATTTCTATTTGCCTAAACCTTGTGTTTTTTAATTGCCTTTTTGAACTTAAGTGGTTTAATAAATATTCTCCATTTTAAGAAACAATTTTATTCAAGCTCATTAAATATTCTGCATTTGCTTAAATAAAATATGTCACCTAAAAGTTGAAAGCATAGGAGCAAATATATAAATTATTACTTGTATGTTTATAATCCAAATAAAACATCTTCAACAAGAGGTATATAACAGGGTTTTTTAAACCTTGGCATTATTGCCTTTTGAACTAGATAATTCTTTGTTGTGGGGGACTGTCCTTATACTGTAGGATATTTAGCAAGATTCCTGGCTTCTATCCACTAGATGCTAACCAGTTGCAACAACCTAAAATGTCTCCAGATATTGTCAAATGTCCATGAGTGAGAGCACTGGAGGTGTAAAGTTGTATCAGTTGAGAACCACTGGGCATATATTGCAAATAGTCTTTTGTATGCTCTTAACTTTTGATAAAATATCACAGTCCTCCTTAGAGTAACTCACTATCCACAGGGCAAAACTGTTTACATGTAATGTAGCTGTTAATCAATATGGGCTTTAGGCAAGTCTATGCTGAATAAGACTCTGTGGGCTAATTCAATGGTTTTAGGTTTCATAATGACAGAGAAACTAACATGTTTTTGGTATGGTTGAGCCAATTTAGTTACTAAAGAGTCAACAAATTATCTTGATAGGACAAATTGGGTCAATAATTCTACAATAATTTTTTTAGTGTTTTGACATTAAATTCGGGGAGAATACACTAAATAAGAAAGAAGAGTCATATAGCTTAGTTAGAGTTTAATTTTAAGATTATTCTTTAGCTGTTTCATCTGTTTTATTCATTGTTGAAAAAGAAACAATTATCTGGTGAATTTCAATCCTGTAAAAATTCTTTGGGATGAATTTTGCCTAAAAAGGCATTACATATTTTCTATAGTTCTCAGGTTTCGGTTTGTGATGTTTTTGAGAAATACTTAAATTCTGAAACTCTTACAGCCCTCTTCTGACTAGCCTTGGGGCAACTTCAGTAGTAGGAACATTCTAGATGTAAATTAAAACATTTTAGCAAGGTAAAGCTATTCAAAATAATGACTCAGTTTGGCAGTCAGAAAGTAATTCTCCTGGAAGCATTCACACTGGGGTATTCACCAGCAAATGAGAAACACTTAACTAGAAGATTGAAAGGGAAGAATGAAATCATTGTTTCCAATTCTCAGCAGCTTTCACTTCTATTCTTCCTTAACTAGTCAGTTCACAAATTGTTGTGAGAGAATATAGTTTAGGTTAAATCTTCAAGTCTTACCTGTAGTGTTATTTAAGTGATCTTGGTATATGTAATAAACACACAATTGAGCAGCTAATTGTTGCAGCATAACTCCAATCCAATTGCACATTCACTTTCAGGTGCCACAGGGTCTTCTAAGCCCTGGTGAATGCTGTAAAGCAAATACATCTCATTTATCTCTTTGCATATTCCACAAATTTTACCATATAACCTATATGTAGGAACTCTCATTCCATACTTATCTTTAGTCTGTGTATAGAGACAGAATATTGACCGAGAATAGAAAAATAAGGCTGGTTAGATTACCTTTGTCAAGCTTATGCTACACCCTAATGGGGTTCAGGACACACTATCCCAAAATGTAGCTAGACAATGAGTTCTCTGAGAGCAGGATCCACCTATTTGGTTGTAATAGTTTTGTTTCTATAAATGTTGAATGAGTGGATCGATTTATCAAAATAGAGTTTATGAACATAAAAAATTGCCTTATGCAACCAAGTTTGATAATAACAACATGACCTTGATATTAAACTGAAAAAAGGCATCTTCCAGTCTCTACTATTACCACCTCTCCCCAACTATTATAGCCATTCAAATCTCTAACCAGGCTGAATATTAAATAAAATGGTTTACCATCTGATGTTAAGGTATAAAGATAAGATTTTTTTTTTTCTGAATTAAAAAAAATAGTCCAAAGAAGAAGGAAGAAGAAAGGGGATATAATGAGAATGTAAGTATCCAAGAAATATTGACTGTTTTGATTTATGTAATGAAATTAAAAAGTCGAAAGCCAGTTTTAAAGCATTTCAAAGTAATATCACAGAAATTAATTTGAAGGATACATTTAATGTTTTGAATCATAACCTGTCAAGCCTGGCATGCATTTTAACTGAGTTTTAAAAAAAAGCATTCTGACGCTATTGTATGGACATTAGAGTTTTAAATACAACAGAACTACCTAAGAAATAATGATACAATAGAAATCAGTTTCCTGGCTGTAATAAAGTATTTCAGTTGAAATCATGATAAATGTTAAAGGAAATATTTTGATTATTTAAATAACAAAATTGGCTGTTTGTAAAACCTGGTTAAACCTGATAACTTCTAGAACAATATTTCTGATTTTAACTCCATTCTGCTTTCCTTAATTTTGTACAGACACACACATGCACATAAGTTTATTAAATTTTCACAAACTGAACACCCCTGTGCAACCAATACCTGGATCTAAAAAGAGAACATTTTCAACCCACCAAAAGCCCTCATTATGCCTTTTTATCTGTACCTGCCCTCCAAAGTAATTACTAATTATTATGCACTTAAATGATAAGGGCTGTAGAGATATGGATGGGGCACCAAGAGCTTCTGCTACAGTTTACTCCTTGCCCTAACCAGATCCCCGCTTGTCTGGTATTAAGTTTAATCTATCACTGTTTCTTCATGTGGCAGTTGGTCAGTGTTTCACTGAAAAAAACACAATAGAAGAGGTGGGACTATAGTCAGCACTGCTTCATTGATTCTGAAGCTGAAATTTATATTTAGTATTTCTCCACCTCTTTCTCCAATTTTACATTCCCTTCATTCTCAACCAGCCCTCTCACTGTTATGGGTTGCCTATCCAGTAGATAAATATAGAATTTAATCATTCAGAAGTCTGTGCCACTGGATAGCATATCCTTATAAGGCCATCCTTGCTATAATTACCCATTAACAGATATCACTCAACATGGTAACTTAAGAAAGAAAGAATAGCATGCCCTTGTAAGGCCATGCTTTCTATAATTACCCATTAACAGATATCACTCAACATGGTAACTGTCAGGCCTCTGAGTCTAAGCTAAGCCATCGTATCCCCTGTGACATGCACGTATACATCCAGATGGCCTGAAGCAACTGAAGATCCACAAAAGAAGTGAAAATAGCCTTAACTGATGACATTCCACCATTGTGATTTGTTCCTGCCCCACCCTAACTGATACGATATATTCTCCCCTGCCCTTAAGAAGGTACTTTGTAATATTTTCCCCACCCTTGAGAATGTACTTTGTACGCCTATCCCAAATCTATAAGAACTAATGATAATCCCACCACCCTTTGCTGACTCCTTTTTTGGACTCAGCCCACCTGCGCCCAGGTGAAATAAACAGCCTTGTTGCTCACACAAAGCCTGTTTGGTGGACTCTCTTCACATGGACGCGCATGACAGTAACACCAGGAGATTCCCCAAGGACTATCTTAAAGTTTAGACATAATTCTTCTTAACCCCATCAGGTAGTAGCATTCCTAGCTCTTGATGATAATCAAGTTCTATTATTCTTGCTAATATAGTAACTTTGTTTGTTTTGCTTGCTGGTCTTTTGGCAGGAGAAGCGTCAGATAATTAGGCAGCAGTCCAACAATTAGGTTTTGTGGAACTTTTACTATGTCATCTATTTATTGGAATTCCCCCTGGATACCAGGACCCCCTCCAGCAGAGCTTAAAGTTATAGTTACAGGAAGTACAAATTCCTTATGTGGATCCCTGGAAGTGTGATGAGAAGAACCACTGTTTCCAAGATCTATTTATTCTATTTATCAGGCCTATAAAATCATGTAATGGCCATGGCTTCAACTAGACTCCACATCTTGAATCACAGAACTCAACGAATGGCATCAACTACAAGCTGGTATTCTGCTATACATTTAAGAGGCCATTTTAATATTCTATTAGTCTAGCAGCTTCTAAGTGATGAGGGATATGGGGGGACTGGAGGATCCCGTGCTCACTTCCTTTTCTGTAAAAGGAGCTCTTTGATCCAAGGTGACATGGTATGGGATCCAATGACAATAAATCAGTTATTCTGTGAACCCTGATCAAAACTTGACTAAACTTTTGACAGTTAGGTTTTTTCCTGACCACAGACTCCTCACCTTTCTTTTCTTAGAAAATTTACATTGGAAAACAGATGTAAATTTTCTCCAGCCTCTTGCAAGGTTTACAGTCCAGGACTTTGAGGTCCTGGGAGTCATCCTTTTGAAATACAATCATCAAAGAAGATAGTGCTCCAATCTCCTAGTCTCTGTGGGAGGGTTGGAACCTAACTTCAGTAAACTAATCACCAATTAGCAAACACAGAGGGGCTGATCATACTGACCCACTTTCCCACTAAAATGTCTAGTACTTTCCACCAGCTCACCACAGTGCTTAAAAACTCTCCTGTCTTTTGTTTTACTAGAGTTGAGTCCAATCTCTTTCATCTATTGCAATAGTGTTGAATAAAGTCTTCCTTGCCTAACTTGTCATGTGTATTTTTTCTCTGACTGCCTTCAGAGAGTGTTATTGTCCAAGACACTGAAAAATAGAAACACAACCTTCATCTAGAAAATGCAAGAATCTCAGTAAAGATGAATCATTGTTCTGCCACCATGGAAGGCAGCTAGTTGTAGTCAATTAGCCAAAAAGTACCTGGTTGGTTTCCTTGAGGGGATGGCATGCGTATTAATCTGGATCCAGTCAGGACATAGAAATCATAGCAACAATTTAAACAAGAAAAATTAATGTAAGGTATTATTAACTACTAACAGGAGTGAAAGAGTGTTGTACATGTAAGACTGAGAGAGCAAGAACAAGGAAGGAATAAGAACTTAGAAGAGACACCATCCCCCAGCCTGAGAATCAGATCTTATTAGAAAGAGTGTTGCTACCCCAAAAATATGCAAAAGATCAGTGGGGAAGAAGTTTGCTGGAACATGTGGGCTTGGATTGTTGGGTAGAAAAGTCGTGTGGGGTGGTCAAAAAATTACTACAGAGTGTTTGCCACTAGGTCTCTGGCACACTAATTTCCTAGTAGCTACATCACAGGAAAACAAAAGTACACCAGTACCAAGGAGAGAAGCCCCTTCCTCTTACTATAACCTTTCAATGTCCTTCCATTGCCCCCTGTTGACAAAGCTTAACATTGCACCAGCTGGCAAAGGAGAAATGTTCACGGGATTAAGGGCCAGTATCACAGATCAGGTCAAAGAAAGGTGAACTAGGAGTTTACAGACAATAAATTAATAACCAGTGTCATATCAAGGGGTCAGTGTTGGTCTAAATTTCTGACTGGTCACACATTCAGTAGCAGCACTGGCCGCTTAGTGAGAAGGAGCCCATAGTGAAGGTCCCACTTGTGGCCTGACTTTCTCCAATGCTGGCAACTACAATTGTGGGATTATATGCAAGCACTGGAGTGGCTGAAGTCAAAGGGTGGCTAGCCACTGTTAGATGAGTCTTTCTAACCTAGTTGTCTGTGCTTTCTCTGTGATGAATGTTGGTGGGCACCGCCATGAGACACAAAAATCCTCACATTTTATTTACTTTCTCATAGTAAAATCTGCATACTTTTCTTCAAATGTCTGCTCTTCCAGTCTTACTCTGTACTGTTTTTTTTTTTCTTTTTGACTGAGTCTCATTCTCTCATAAGGCTGGAGTGCAGTGGTGCAATCTCAGTTCACAGCAACCTCTGCCTCCTGGGTTCAAGTGATTCTCCTACCTCAGCCTCCCAAGTAGCTGGGACTACGGGCATGTGCCACCACGCCCAGCTAATTTTTTTGTATTTTTAGTAGAGACGGGGTTTCACCATGTTGGCCAGGATGGTCCCGATCTCCTGACCTTGTGATCTGTCCACCTCGGCCTCCCAAAGTGCTGGGATTACAGGCATGAGCCACCGCACCCAGCTGGTTCTTGACGAAGAAACTAGGTCTTTCATCTCTGCCCCAAAATTTATTAATACCCTCAGTGCAAGCGTCTTCTTCTACGTCAAAGTGATAACCTAAAGCTTTGTTCAAAATTCTGTCCATTAGTAAGATTTTCCCTCAATGCTGTTTTCTGAAGCCATTTCTATTTTTGGCTGGTATCAATACATTGGTTTATAGTAACTAGCCTCTTCATAAATCTGGGCCAGATTTACGTCCACAGGCTGGACATAAGGAATTCCATATGAAGTCATAGCTGTGAGCTGAGGATGAGATACTGGAACAACAGAATTTGGTACTTGGAGTCTTGGTCACCTCTTTTTGTAACTTACTTGTCATCTCTGAATTCATGTCTCTGAATTCTGATTAGGCTGTAGGCCTAATTTTTGTCATTGCTATCATATGGTGGATTTATATTGTGCCTATACAACTTCATTATTTGATAGGTTGATAATTCCCAATTTATAATTAGTAGCACCAATAATATCCTTAATAGTCACTTGATATACTGGCACTGGACACTTAGTCCCTTTGAGGTTAAGCTATAAGTTAATAACCAAATACTTATCAGTCAACTTTTTTTTAAACTGTGATTATGAAGATAAGCTCCATAAAGAGAAAAGCTAAGTCTGTCTCATATACTAAGCCTAGTCATCATGAATATTAAAGTTAGGCACATAGTAGGTGTTCAGTAAATATTTGTTGAGTAAATACATCCTAGAGTAACTTCATGGAATTATTTGATGATGAGAGATTTAAATCAGTGCCATAAGTCAGCCGATAACAGGTAATACTTTTTCAATTAGACAATATAAGCATAGCTCAGAATTCAGGTTGTCCTATTTTGCAGCAGCATCAGGAGAAGAGGAGGAACAAGGAAATGAGGAAGAAGAGGAAAAGGAGGAAGAGGAAAAGGAGAAGATAGTATTTTTCGTATCTAAAACTAAGATTTCAACATGCCGTATTCACAGTGTTCAAAGGGTGATACCAGTCAGTGTGGGAGAAGGAGGAGTGTGCTTATTATTTTATCTAGATGTCACTGCTATTTTTTATGAATCAACTTGCTACTTTATTAGAATATGAAATATTTCTTTTGTCTTAAATTTATATATGCTGGTGCAAAACTTCTTGAGAATTATAAAATGGCTATGACCAACTGTAGAGTCATTTTCAGAATCTATAGCTTGCGATTCCAGAAATGAAATGCTATTAAACATTAGCAATTAAAGATGCAGTTGTCGTTACTGACCTAAATTCACCAGTTGTAGTGATACTAACATAAAGATTTACAACATTTTTATGAAACATTAATAATCTGTGACTATGTCAAGGTGGGGCTGGGAGATAAAAGGCAAATACCCTTTCCATTTCACTTATGAAGCTGCTTTACAAGGTTTCAATTAGATCTTTCTTTTTACCCCTGAGAGAAACTAACAAATCTATTGCATTAATTATGGTTTCAAGACAGGATCATGACAGCCAAAATTATAAAATTACAGTCATTGCAGTTGTGTAGGCTCTACTTCTCTCATTCTGTGTGCCTGTAGAGTTGGAATGTAACTTTACAACTGATATCTTAAGAGGCAGTGCAAATGCAGAACAAATATGCTGTGCAGAGCGAGAGAAAGAGAAGTGATAAAGCCAAAGAACATTGTCTGATTAATCAAACAAATCATTGAATGTGGCTTATAATATTTAAAATGCAAGACTTTAATCCATCGATTACCATTTGAAGTATATTCATGTTTTTAAAGAACAGAACACGATTATATTTCAATATATAATTTCTGTACAGCCAAAAAATAAAACACCACAGTAAAATAATGGGAGAAACATAATATTTAAAATGCTTGACAAAATGTTAACATCCTTAATCATAAATGAGCTCTTAGTAACAAAGAGATTAACTTTACAAGGGAAATGAAAAAGAAAAAGAGGAAAATGAAATAGCACAAATGACTTATAAGGTTATGTAAAGATGATATAGCCTAATGTTAATAGATAAAAGGCAATTTCATTATAAATTATATTATCAATGCTTACAAATATTGATACCTAATGTTTGTATGGCTGTAGGAAATGAGGAATTCTCAAATACTGGGAAAATTTACTCCTGTCATGAGAAATTTAGTCAAAATATAGATTTTGCATATTCTTTGCCCTGGCAGTTTCAATCCATAGGAATCATTCCAACAAAGTAGTTGGATGAATTTATATATATATATATATATATATAATATATATATTTTTATATAATATAATATATATTATATAAAAATATTTTTATATAATATAAAATTATATTTTATATAATATAAAATTATATATATATATACACATGAATGTTTACTACATAGAAAATGTGTAAGTGATATATCATCTGCCGAGTAACCACTTAAGTATCAACTGGTTTATAAAATAAGAGATTGGGAGGTGGAATTAGAAAGAAAAAAGGCACTTAAGTAAAAATACTAGATTTCACAACATTCTATGTCCTTTGAATTCTTAAAAAAGATCATGTTTTAATGAATCAGTTTTATGTTTACCCTGCGATAAGTAAAAATTATAAATATATGCATTTTATACTTAGGAAAGCACTGAGATGAAACCCTTTTAATTCCACCATCCTGTCTCCTTTGTTCAATAATGTATATTCATGCTTCTATCAAATTCAGTTTTAGTTTTTCATGTGTATGCATATATGCTTGTATACACACATGCATACATAGAGTGGGAAAGAGCTATCTCTGAATATATATTGTTGTATTTGTGTGTGTTTATATGTGTGTTTGCATATGAATGTTTGTATGTGTGTGTGCATGTAGGTGTAGCTAGAAAGAAAGAAATGGGAACTTTTAACTATGAGTCCACAGAACTGTCCCAAATCACAATACAGCTATTTGAAAATAGAAAGGATTGGCATGGTCATTTATTATTTCCCTTAACATTTTTTTAATCTAAAAACTAATTGAATGCCTCTTCTGAAAAATATATTATGCCAATAATATACCTTATGACTAAGGCAGTCAGCAGGGTAAATTTCCAGATTATTATTTAAAAAGCTATTGTCTGTAGAAAAGAAAAGCCATGCATAAAAATCTTATCTCTTTTGATATGGGTAGTATGTTAAAGAACACTGTCACAGCATTTCCTAAATCTAGAAAATAAAATTTGTTGGAAATATCCGTATTTTAGGATATTGTCTAAAAACATGATTAAAGTTTTAAAATGGAATGTATCAAGTGATCCAGAGCCACTTAGGTAACTAGCTAATGCCATAGATGAAAAGCACTTGCAGGCAGAGATAACTAGTTGTGAGCTGATTTTATATATTCAAAAGGAATGATTTTATTTTTGATGAAATAAAATTTAAAAAATAATGTGCAATCAATTAAAAATCATAATATGCAGGAGACAGACTTAGTAGTATTACATTTAATAATCAAGGCAATGCTTTCTGAAATACCTAACTTGTAGAATAAATCATATTTATAGCATGAATAAATTAGGAAATAGGTGACTGAAAGAGTAGGTTAATTAAAATTAGTGCATTTTCTGAACTGGAAAAGGAAATACCGTGGTGAGCTAGTCTATCAGAGTCTGGCAGTGATTTCAGCCAAAGTAATCAAAGCAGATGGGCATTCAGAAATGACCCCAAAAGACTTTATTTTTATGGTCATATACTGAGTCACAGAGCTTACCATATTATCTTTATTCAAAACATTATTATCACATGAATATTTGTGCAGACTAAATATAATTGCATAACTTCTTGAGAATTAGGCAAGTTATCTATTATACCTTTCTTTCAACTCATTTGCCTCACTTATGAAATAAAGATAATAATAATACTCATCTCCTATGATTTTTTTAAAGATTGAATCAAATAATATATAAGATAGAACATTGGCACAGACTAAAGCTTTCAATAAATGAAAACTAGTACGTTTTAAAATATTAGCTGTGCTTTGACGTTTTTGGTATAGCCCCCATTAAAGACGTTTACAATTTACAATTATGTAAATTTTTGTTTCATTTTATGGTGTTTGGGTTTATAACAGCTTTGCAAGCAGTTAAATAGATTACAACTAAGTAGACTATGCTAATCTAATCAAAGAGGCGACCGAATTAGGCTTCTGTTTTTGTTTTTCTTTAGCAGTTTTATCTATATGAAAATTATCCTCTTCAAGATCTTTCAGGAAAGCTTTTCCACTGTTGGAGCACTTTTAATAAATAGGGTTTTGGTTAAGGGAAGAAAATTAACAAGAGACCTCAAAGAAAATTCACTTCATAAAGGATATAGACTTTTAGATGACATAGCACCTTACAGCGAGTTTGGAGATGGAGAAGAGTCAGCTGGGAAATAAAAAGTCAGCTGGGGAAAAAAAAAAAAGAGTCAGCTGGGAAAAAAAATAAAATAAGATTCAGGGGCTAAAAATGAAATCTGTAATTGGAAAAGGTCTACAAGATCATTATGTCTTTTGAATTGCAAACACCAGGTATTATAACTTATGAGAAAGATGTTTTGGAGTATGCAGACAACAGGTGATCTAATGCTTCTATTTGTTCCTATACGATCAGAGGTCCTAGTTCACATTGCTTATTAATCAGAAAGAAGGTTTTCAATTTATTGGCCTTACTCCTGACCTTTCATTCCGTTGAAACTAAAGAATCCCACATGTTGGTATTGCAAAATGAGACAACTTCATTTACAGTTAGATCTGATTTTATATAGCATATTATATATAGCATATTGTGTTTTAATTTTGTTTTTAGTAGGGGGAGTGGGAGAAGGATGCTGTAACATTCACAAAGATCAAGAATACATGTTATAGACAAACAGGTTTAATTCCTACAAGTGACATATGCTATGTGACTCTGGGCACACATTCTTTAATGTTAAGGCCTGTTCCTTATTTGTTATTTAATCAATAGCACCCACCACAGAGTGTGTATGAAACAATCACACAAGAAATGCATATTGAAAAAGCAAATGGTATTTTTTAACTTCATGTTCTCTTTCCTATTTAAAATGGGAATAAAAATTCTTTATAAATTCGTGGGAATTAAATAACGTCCACTAAACACTGGATAGAGAAAGTACCTGATGTATAGTAAGTCCTCAATCAATAGTAGCTTTTATTATTTGTATTAAAAATATTCAACTGCATGACAAGATTTTTTTTGGACAGAGAGAACTATTACTGCTTTAAACATCAGGCCTGTCAGGAATTTATATCATTTACTATTATTTTATTTATATACAAATTTGTCAATTATTTTGATACACATTAGAAAATAAATTTTTTTATCACTGGATAATTATGACAGAGTTTTAGGTTAGCATTTTTATAGTTCGGTTGGATTTGGAACAGATTTGATACAGATAAATCTTGAAAACCTAAATTAAGTGAGAAAGAAGTTTAATCCCAGGAAACATTTTTGTCCCTTTTTTTACTTTTCCTTCCTTAAATACAGTGGGAATTTAGATGGAAGTGCCAAATGCAGTTCCCTATATGGGGATAAAATTGCCTGGTAAGAAGTTGTTTTTCTTCCTACCAATCGTTTGTTTCCTGGATTTTAATCTATGAAAGTCATCCCAACTGTCCCTTCTTATTATTATCATACTTTTTTAATCAAAGTACTCACTAGATTTGATACACTTTAATTTCAAACCTTAATCAAGCATTGGGTTCATTTCTATGCCATCCTTTTGATTGTCAACATGGCTTCTAAGTGTCATTGAGAACTGTATTGGGAAAAGCCAGCCATTTCTGAAGTCTCCTTATAAGAATTTTCTTTATCTGTTTATTATATAAAGTGCAATTTGTAACTAAGCTGTCCTGTATTTCTTTTGCTGACAGCACTTGCAGCCAGCGAAACAGTTCAGGTCCATGACTTCATCCGATACCCACTGATTACCCAGTACAGGATGATGATTTTTAACTCCAAATCAGCACTAGCTCCCTGATGACTCTAATTCCAGTAATAGCAATATTGCTTCAACAAAAAGAGAAGGACCATCTGAGACCTTCTACATTTATTCTTATACATTAGCTTATCCTGAAGTGTTCAAAAACCTTTGGTGGAGGAGATAGTGGAGGAAAGGGATAATATTTTATTTTTATTAAACTAAAGGTATATTCAGAGGCACTCCTGTTGGCTTAATGGAAAAGGATATGACTCATTAGTAGCTTTTTTTATTGGTAATTTTGGGTACTAGCAGAGGAACAGTATCACTTCTATTCTCTAAGAGCCGAAGTTGATCTATGCTCCTTTTGCCAAGAGAACTGCTCCCAGGGAGGAAAGTCTTTTCTACCATGCCTGTTGGCATTATTGCTCTGTCAATACAGACCTACTTTCTCCACATAGCCTCTAATAGCCCCGAACTTACAGATCTGATAGCCAGGTTCTATCACCTGAGACAACTTTGGATCTTTTGAACTTCTGAGTCCACAATCCTAAAGAAAAAACTATTATTCTAGGGAAAAATTAGGTCTAGTCCCTTGGGTCTATCAATTTTAGCTAAAGTAATATGATTATATAAAATCATAATATCTCCAATAGGAACCAGATGAATATAAGGGGGAGAGGAGAAGTCTTTTGGCAGTTTGTCATGTTTTCTACAGTGTCTCACTTCCACACCCTCTTCCCAATTAGAATTATCCATTTCTGCACAGAATGGTAAAATAATCTATTTTGGGCTACCAGAAAACTATCACCAAACCTCAGCTTGACCTTGTTTGTTAATGTCTCGTTATTGAGTCTAGAAAGTGGTGGTATCTGAGTCCTTAATCATTCAAATTTCTCTGCTGTGTATTAAATTGCAGAACTTACAAAACATGTCAACTAGTTTTCAAATCCTGATCCAATGAATTTCTGGTATTGATTCTAGGTTTAAAATTGCACCGTTTCTCTAGATCCCATTTTACAGTTGATCTTTAAGTGACAATTTGATATATAGTAGCTTTTCATATAATCTATGTTCATATTACTTCCTAGTCTTTTGTAACGGTGGTAGGAGAAATCATTGTCAACCATTTCAATGAACTACAAAGAAATAGATGTACAGAAAAAGTTAAGGAAAAAATATACCAGAAATCTTCCATTAAAAAACAGGCAGATGAATCTGTACAAGATTGTAGTACAAAACTAGCATGAACATTGGGAATCCTAAATCAAAAGCTCTTCACTTAGTTTAAGTTCTTGGGACTTACCACTAATGAGACTTGAAATTCCTTCAAAATTTAGTATAGAATAAAAATCAGATTTCCAGGAAGACTTGTCAAAAATATCTAAGCAATTGAATCAGAAACCTATTGGATTATTTTCTCTTAAGTAGAATACATCATTTTCTTTCCATAAATAGACAACATAAACACCACCTGTTAACAATGATTCAATTAATTCAATCAATAGAGTCAGTCTTGCTTTGAGGATCAAAACTAAGCCAAAACCAAACAAAGCTCAAAACAATGTTTTCCCCACAATAATAGAATATTTGTACCTTAGCTTGTTATAAACATACTAAAAGTAATATGCCATATTAATTAGTCTATGATGTCACAATTGTTGATGACTCATTACTTTTTAATTTTTTTTTTACTTTGGCCTCATCTTTATTCTTACAAGTCTAAAACTCAAAATTAATAAGATAGTGGTAAATCAATGATAAAAAGACCAAAATTATAATTGTTTCTTACATCATATACAAAAATCAACTCAAGATGGATTTAAGACCTAAATGTAAAGCCTAAACTATAAAAACCCTGGATGATAACCTAGGACATTCTGGACATAAGACCTGGCAAACATTTCATGATGAAAATGCCAAAAGCAACTGCAACAAAAACAAAAAAAATTGACAAATGGGACCTAATTAAAGAGCTTCTGCACCATAAAAGTAACTATTAAGAGAGTAAACAGACAACCTACAGAATGGGAAAAAATATTTTCAAGCTATGCATCTAACAAACGTCTAATATACAGGATCTATAAGGAACTTAAATCTACAAGCGAAAACAACCCCCTTAAAAAGTGACCAAGCACATGAACAGACACTTTTCAAAAGAAGACATAGAAGTGGCCAACAAGCATATGAAAAGCTCAACATCACCAATCGTTAGAGAAATGCAAATCAAAACCACAAGGAGATACCATCTCACACTAGTCACAATGGCTATTACTAAAATGTAAAAAATTAACAGATGCTGGAGAGGTTGTGCAAAAAAGGGAATGCTTATACACTGCTGATTGAAATGTAAATTAGTTCAGTCACTTTGGAAAGCAGTTTAAGGATTTCTCAAAAAACTAAAACAGAATTACCATATGACCCAGCAATCCCATTATAGAGAAATATAAATTATTCTACCGTAAAGTCACATATATGTGTACATTCATCACAGCACTGTTCACAATAACAAAATCACGGAATTAACCTAAATGCCTATCAATAGTACAATGGACAAATAAAATAATGTGGTACATATATACCATGGAATACTATGCAGCCATAAAAAATGAGATCATGTCCTTTGTGGGAACATGGATGAAGCTGGAGGCTGTTATTGTACACCAACTAATACAGGGACAGAAACACAAATACTGTATGTTCTTACTTGTAAGTGGGAGCTAAACAATGAGTACATATGAACACAAGGGAACAACACACATCAAGGCCTACTTGAGGGTGAAGGGTGGGATGAGGGTGATGATCAAAAACTATGTATCAGGTACTGATTACCGGGGTGACAAATGATCCCTACACAAAACTGCTGCAACATGCAATTTACCTATATAAGGACATGCACATGTACCCCTGAACCTAAAATAATAGTAAAGAAAAAGAAAATAGTTACAATAAGTTCCATAATATTAATGAGTTAGTTAAGTGGATGCTTTACCTATTGGTTCCATCATGTGTGCTTGTTTAATTATTTTTTTGTATGACAGTTTATTAGAAGCATGATTAATTTTTGAATAAAAAACTCCCTGAAGCTTTCTAGAGAAAAGAATAATATTTTACTGTTTTAAGCAGTATTTAATCTAAACAAACTTTTTATTTATTTAGACACAGGGTCTTGCTGTCATCCAGGCTGGAATGCAGTGGTGTGATCATTGCTCACTGCAGCCTCAAATTCCTAGGCTCAAGCAATCTTCCCACTTCAGCTTCCCAAGTAGCTGGGACCAAAGGAGTGCACCACCACATCTGGCTAATTTATTATTATTATTACTATTATTTGTAGATTCAGAGTCTTGCTATGCTGCCCAGGCTGGTAACTCCTGGCCTCCAATTATCCTTCTGCCTTGGCCTTGCGAAATGCTGCTATTACAGGAATGAGCCACCACATCCAGCCTAAACAAACATACAAAAACAATACTTACAGATTCAATAGATGAGATTGATTATCTCAAAAGTTCCACCGTGGCAAAAGCCCCATGGGGACTGGAATTTCAGTCTATTGGTTTCTATGTTGTATGCCTATTGTCCCAAAGAGAAACTTGGGGCATCATTTCTTATCTCTCATTTTAAAAAGAGGATGCTGCCCAGGCTGGTAACTCCTGGCCTCAAATTATCCTTCTGCCTTGGCCTCGCAAAATGCTGCTATTACAGGAATAAGCCACCACATCCTTGACAGACCTGACAAAAAGAAGAAATGGGGAAAGGATTCCCTATTTAATAAATGGTGCTGGGAAAACTGGCTAGCCATATGTAGAAAGCTGAAACTGGATCCCTTCCTTACACCTTATACAAAAATTAATTCAAGATGGATTAAAGACTTACATGTTAGACCTAAAACCATAAAAACCCTAGAAGAAAACCTAGGCAATACCATTCAGGACATAGGCATGGGCAAGGACTTCATGTCTAAAACACCAAAAGCAATGGCAACAAAAGACAAAATTGACAAATGGGATCTAATTAAACTAAAGAGCTTCTGCACAGCAAAAGAAACCACCATCAGAGTGAACAGGCAACCTACAGAATGGGAGAAAATTTTTGCATCTACTCAGCCTGACAAAGGGCTAATATCCAGAATCTACAATGAACTCAAACAAATTTACAAGAAAAAAACAAACAACCCCATCAAAAAGTGGGCAAAGGATATGAACAGACACTTCTCAAAAGAAGACATTTATACAGCCAAAAAACACATGAAAAAATGCTCATCATCACTGGCCATCAGAGAAATGCAAATCAAAACCACAATGAGATACCATCTCACACCAGTTAGAATGGTGATCATTAAAAAGTCAGGAAACAACAGGTGCTGGAGAGGATGTGGAGAAATATGAAACTTTTACACTGTTGGTGGGACTGTAAACTAGTTCAATCATTGTGGAAGTCAGTGTGGCGATTTCTTAGGGATCTAGAACTAGAAATACCATTTGACCCAGCCATCCCATTACTGGGTATATACCCAAAGGACTATAAATCATGCTGCTATAAAGACACATGCACACGTATGTTTATTGCAGCACTATTCACAATAGCAAAGACTTGGAACCAACCCAAATGTCCAACAATGATAGACTGGATTAAGAAAATGTGGCACATTTACACCATGGAATACTATGCAGCCATAAAAAATGATGAGTTCATGTCCTTTGTAGGGACATGGATGAAGCTGGAAACCATCATTCTCAGCAAACTATCTCAAGGACAAAAAACCAAACACCGCATGTTCTCACTCATGGGTGGGAATTGAACAATGACAACACATGGACACAGGAAGGGGAATATCACACACCAGGGACTGTTGTGGGGTGGGGGGAGGGGGGAGGGATAGCATTAGGAGATAAACCTAATGCTAAATGACGAGTTAATGAGTGCAGCACACCAACATGGCACATGTATACATATGTAATAAACCTGCACATTGTGCACATATACCCTAAAACTTAAAGTATAATAATAAATAAATACCTATTTTATACAAGTTGTCTGACAAAATGCAATAAAAGACAAAGATGCCTAGTTCATTTTATGAAGCTAGTGTGTTTTTGATTACCATAAAGATAATGACAATATAAGAAAAGTATAGGCTTATTTTACATAGGAATATACACACACATGCTTAGGAATGTATGTGTAGCATTAAATATTTGAATATATATCATTAGATATTAAAATATACACATGTAGCATTAAATCTTTTTCTTCTTTTTTTTTTTTTTTTGAGATGGAGTTTTGCTCTTGCTGCCCATGCTAGAGTGTAGTGGCACAATCTCGGCTCACTGCAACCTCCGCCTCGCGGGTTCAAGCAGTTCTTCTGCCTCAGCCTTCCAAGTAGCTGGGATTACAGGCATGTGTCACCATGCCCTGCGAATTTTTGTATTTTTAGTAGAGATGGGGTTTCTCCCTATTGGTAAAGCTGGTCTCAAACTCCCAACCTCAGGTGATCCACTTGCCTCGGCTTCCCAAAGTGCTGGGATTACAGGTGTGAGCCACTGTGCCCGGCTGGCATTAAATCTTAAAATAATACATAAGCTTACCAAATTTCAAGTTTTGTCTTATAATCATAAGATTGGATGTAAATATAAGAATGATTCAGTATAAGAAAAATGTTTCAATGACAGTCAACCCATTAAAAGAAAACAATATTTTTTGTTATCTCTATAAAAATATTTTTTAGTTATCTCTAAAAAAACACTCAGTAAATGAAGACTAGCAGAAAACTTCCTTAACTTGATAAAAATTGTGCACCAAAACCAATAGTAAACAGTATACTTGACAAGGAAATTTTAGACATACTTCTTTTACTATTGGGAACAAAGACATATTTAGCATAGTATTGGAAGTCCTGCCTAATGGTAACAGAAAGAACAATAGAAACAGAAAGAACAGAAAGAACAATAATTAAGAAGTGCAAGGATTAGAAATGGAAATATATAGATCTCATTATATGAAGATATTTATCTACCTAAGGAAAACAGAACAATAGAATAAACATAGAAACAAAAAAGAATAAATGAGAGCCCTGTGAGTTGCCTGGCGCTGGACACAAGATATGTCTGTAAAAGGCAACAGCATTTCTCTACACTTTTTCTAAACAATTACCATCTGAAGGGATATGATTGCCGACAGCACTTTCATACATTTGTTGAGGATGTTGGTGTCCAGAGTAAGAAAAGGTTTGTCAGTTTTCCATTATAAAATGTTTGAACTCTCTAAGCCGAGGTTTTAGCTCCTAAAAGCCCCCCTCCTCCCCCACTGCATGTGCAGGCATCATCTAGCCTTCTTCACATTTCCTCATAGAAACTGGACTTCAGAGAATGAGTGCAAAAAACGGATATTCTGGCTAATGTTATCACTGTGTGTAATGAATTGTCCTGTTTCTCTGAACCAAGAGTCATGTGTCTTCTGCCAGCATCCATGAAACTGTGATAGGCTAACTTATTAGCTTGCATGTCAGGTAAGAATCTCAGAGCTTGACACCACCTAGAAAGTAGGAAACCATCACACCAGCACCTAAAACTTTAACTCATATAGTAACTTAGCTTATCATGCATACCCTATGGAGGAAAAGCTATAAAATTAAGGGTATAAAAGAAGATCTTAATTTTTAAGAGACATTTCATGTTTTAAGAAGGGATGGTTTACTATTATAAATGAATCAGTTGTTCTATTTCAAATTTTATATTTAGATAAGCTTAAAAATCTACAACTTCTATGGAAGCACAATTCATGAATAAACTGATCTTAAATAATTAGGAGTAAAGCAGAGGTATTTGCTAAAATAGAAGAAATATAACAAAATATAGTTATACATACTGTGTGATATTGGCTCAATAACATTAGTTCAAATATGTTGCCATATATATCATATATATGGTATAATACATATTATATATTCTATGGAGCAGAATAGAATACTCAGAGATATAATCTCATCCTAAAAATTGAAGTTCAGTGTTCCTGTAAAACATTAGATCATAAGTTTTATCTAAAACATTCAAATTTCTCCCAGCAGATTACATTTAAAAGCAAAATTTAACAGAAGTGCTCTTGGATTTCTTTTTGGAGTGTTCCTCTAGTCCAGTGTTGAAAAGGCAGGCTCAAGGTTTAATAGCTTAAGCTAGGTAGAAAAGTATCTTGGAAAGTGTTCAGGGACTGACAAAGGGAAGCCTATAAATCAGTGTGAACACAATTGAAGTAAGCGTAGTTAACTTTCAAATTGCTGTACCTATGCCAAACTTCATACATTTGTAATCACAGTTTTTCATAGTGCATTTTAGCGTCCAGTGGTTTGTCTAAACATGGGTGGCAAACTAATCTTCCATGAGTTGAATTATATCCATATAATTTGTCTAGTCCAGAATTTAAGAAACTTGTGAAGGTGAATTTCATTAGAGAGAGAGAATGTTCACAACAGCCTTACCACTTCATATCATCTTTATATAAAGCCACACATTTACCTTACCTACCTAAGCTCATGTGTGTGAATAAGATTGTAATTTGAGGTCTAAATCTGAAAGGATGGGAGCTTTAATTGGTGCAAAAAATCTACCCAGGCCGGAGGCGGTGGCTCACGCGTGTAATCCCAGCACTTTGGGAGGCCGAGGCGGGCGGATCACGAGGTCAGGAGATCGAAACCATCCTGGCTAACACGGTGAAATCCAGTCTCTACTAAAAAATACACACACACAAAAAAAATTAGCTGGGCATGGTGGCCGGCGCCTGTGTTCCAGCTACTCGGGAGGCTGAGGCAGGAGAATGGCATGAACCCGGGAGGTGGAGCTTGCAGTGAGCCGAGATCACGCCACTGTACTCCAGCCTGGGCAACAGAGCGAGACTCTGTCAAAAAAAAAAAAAAAAAAAAAAAAAAAAAATCCTCTACCCAGACTCACTTTTAGGATCATCTCTGTTTTAGTATTCTGAGGTGGGTCTTAGATACTTGGTTTTTTTTCATTTCAGAAATCAAATTTAACATGGAGAAGAGAATGAGTAATTTGCTTCCCTCTGAGCTTCATCCTTTTTCATATGAATCCTGCTCACCAAGAACTTCACAATATATTTTGCCCCAGTTATCCTCACTTTAGGCTTGGCTGTTCAGGTCCACTAGATGGAGGAATTCTACACACAGGTTATTGATCAATGTGTTTCATGCGGCAGACCCATGTTTTTGAAATGATGTCAGAATAATCTGGTCCTTTTTGCTCTGGTTAAAGTTGCATTAGATAACATATATTTTTTTGTATGCCAAATAAATCTAAAAGCCTTAATAACACTGGTTTACATTAATAAGTCAAAATAATAGATAAAACAAATTTAAAAATTTACTGACAATTTTTACAGATATAATAAAATTCAGAAACAGCACAAGGAGCCTCAATGAACGTATTATATTTCCAGTTAATCAGTGATGCCAATGCCAGGTTATTTTAATAGTATAATATGAATAGAAATCATAAAATACCTTTAAAAAAGTGATTTTTGTGAGTAAAGGAACATGCAAATTTTAAAACACTGGCCCTGTTATAAAAATGGATCTTCCCATGTGTGTGCATTTAAGTTGAATTCACTGCTCTGAAGGACACACAGCTGATTTACTCCAAAGAGTGTCCTTTAAATCTCTGAGGTTAACAGGGAACTTGGTAAATTGATAGTGTAGAACCTAGTGAAAGATTTGAATATAAATAGAGGTCCTCAAACTTTACTGCTGACCTTGAGATTTGGAAATAATATTTGTCACATTATTAGAAAGCTACTGCTTTTTCAATGACAAATTATTTGTCATGTGGGGTTGTAATCATTAGACCCCATTTTTTATAGTATTGATTGTTTGTGCAAACACGAGATTTAGTCAGAGTTTTATTTACATTTTTTTCCCAACCTCTCCTGCTAGATTCTATGGTGCTTTAAATATCTTTTATTTTGGACAATTGCAAGGGAAAAACAGTCACATAGAATTTCTTTGTTTTGATGTATAGAATGTAACATTTGAAGTTTAATTACAGTATCATGGTCCTTTTCTCCATTTTAATTACCCTCTATCTATAGATTTTATATCAAATGTGCCATTTTTTATATGGTTCATCCACGAGAAAGAGAAAATCATCTGATAAAATCCACTTGCTTGACCTTTACAGTTAGGTCTTTCTTGGTATTTTTAAGAGCTGTGCCAGCACCTTCAGTAGTCCATGATGTACCTCTGTTAAACAGGAAAAATTTCAGAGAAGCTCTGTTTCAGACAAGGTCACTCCGTGACATGATGCAGTGGGACAAAAACCAACAACAATTCATGATGTTGACTAAGTAAAGAGAAAAACCACATTACTGTACAAACCCTAAAATATCAAACATCCTTCCTTTCCAACTAAAATGAGTGACTGGTATCTATTTACGAATTACAGCTTTAAAGTTGCTCTCATCTTCTCTTCTTCCAATAAGATTTAAAAATTATGGCTCTTAAAATTATGTGCAGTTCCTGATAACATTCAATGCAGACAAAAGCCTTACTTGTTTGAACCCTCCCCCAAATCACCTAACAAAAGGCAGAATCTTGAAAGGACCTTGTAGTAAGTCCTTTCTCATACCCTCTTACCGACACAGCCCATAATCCCCTATGATGTATGTTTTCCTTCCCTGTAATGCCCAATAAGTCCAACTTGTTTTACTGGTGTGTTTCTGCGTATCTCTTTCTAGAGGACATTCTGACCCATTCATTACAACCTTGGTTTGTGTCCTTAAAACACATACACATACACACACACACACACACACACACACACACACACACAGCAAAATAACAACCTAATAAAATCAAGATATATAATAACTTCAGAGTTCATACCTAGTTATTATCTTGAGTCTCAATCAGTGAATTATTTCTAGCATACTTCAGCATTCTATATCTTCAGGCACCAGAAAATTGAACTTGAAAACAAAAAGTAATTCTAGTTGTAGTCTTCAAAACTACTTTCTAAAACTGTTTAAAAAAATCAAAAGGGAACCCAAGATAAAAAAAAAAAAAAGCTGGTATTTTTATTCTATCTAGAGAGAAGCTTGTCAAAAACAATAGTTCCCAAACTCTATTTCATAAATTATTGATTCTCAATTAATTATAAATTAATAATGATTCTTCACAAACTCCTGCAAAATATATGAGTGGAGGCACTTCCTAACTCATTTTATGGGGACAGTGTTACCTTGATATGAAAACCAGACAAAGATATCACAATATAAGAATACTATAGACTGATACATTTTATGAATATAGATGTAAAAATACTCAACAAAATACTACAAACCCAAACCAGCAACATATAATAAATATACATCATGACCAATTATTATTTATTCCAGGAATGTAATATTGGTTTAATATTTGAAAATCAATTAATACATTATCTCTATAGAATAAAAGACAACATTCACATGATCATCTAAATAGAGAATTTAACAAATCTACAACCCTTTCATGATAATACACACTGAATAAATTAGGAACAGAGGGAAACATCCTCAGTCTCATAAAAGGTGCCTACAGCTAACATTCCACAGCTAACATTGTATTTAATGGTGAGAGATTGGATACTTTCCTCCTAAGATCAAGAACAAGACAAGAATGTGCACTCTTGATGTTTCTATTTGTACAGGAGGTTTTAGCTTAAGCAAATAGACAAGAGAAGTAAATAAAAAGTATCTGCATTGGAGAGAAAGAAAAAAGTTCTATTTGAAGATAACATAACTTGGTATATAGAAAATCCTAAAAGATCCAGTAAATAGCTATTAAACTAATAAATAGGTTCAGCATGGTATCAGAATACAAAATTATTATAAAAAATCAATTGTATTTTCATACTTACAAGAAACTATCTAAACATAAAATTGAGAAAACAATTCTATTTACTATAGCAATTTAAAAATAACATTGAAATAAATATAACAAAAGAAGTGCAAAATTTATACCCTGAAGTTTACAAGGCATTGTTGAAATACATTAAAGAAGATCTAAATGGAAAATAATCTATGTGCATATATTTGAAAATTTAACATTGTTGAGACAATACTCACCAATTGATCTACAAAATCAGCATAATCCCTATCAGAATTCTAAATGACTTCTTTGTACAAATTGGTAAGATGATTCTAAATTTCATATGGAATTCCAAAAAATCCAGAATTGTTAAAAAAATCTTGAAAAAGAAGAATAAATTCTAAGTACTTAAACTTATTGATTTCACTACAAAGCAGTGGTAATCAAGACAGTGTAATACTTGATGAAGAATAGACATATAGATTAATGGGAAAAAATTGAGTCCAGATATAAGCATATACATACAGCTATTCAAATAATTTTTGATTGTTGTGCCAAGACAATTCAATAAAGAAAAAAATAGTATTTTCAACAAATATTACTGATACAACTGGGTAGCCATATGCAAAGGAATGAAGTTGGACCTTATATCACACCATATACACATGTTAACTCAAAACAGATCAAAGACATAAATGTAGGAACTAAAATTATAAAACTTTAAGAATAAAATATGGGAGTAAATCTTTGTGTCCTTGGATTTAGCAAAAGGCTATGAACTATGACTCCAAAAACTTGAGCAAGAACAAAAAAGAGATAAAAGTACATAAAATGAACACCATCTGAATTTAAAATTTTTGTCCAAAGGATACCATCAAAAGAGTTAAAAGACATCTTACATAATGGGAGACAATATTTGTAAATATTTTTAGTGGAAAAAATGACACATGAGAAAATTCTTTACTGCTTTTTAGAAAATTATATCTAGAATATACAAAGAAGTAAAAAAATATCCAAAAACAAAAAGACAAATAACCCAATTTTAAAATAGACAAATTACCTATATAGTATCTTTTCAAGGAATTTATGAATATTATTATGAGTTTACATACTGAACGGTATAAATATGATGATGTAAATAAATATTTGAATCAAAGAAGTCACAAGAATACATATGTTATGATTATACTATATAATGTATGAAAACAGGCCAACTTGATGTACTGTGATAGAAGTCAGGACAGCCAGTACTCTTGGTAGGATAGAAACTGGAAGGCAGCACAGAAGTGCTGCTCATGGTGCTGGTAATGTCTTTTTTCTTGATATTGGTACTGTTACAGAGATGTCTATTTCATAAAAAGTCATTGAGCTGTACACTTATGTACATGTGTCTGCATATATACTTACATCAGTGGAAGTATTACCAGTAGATGCTAATAGATGTTTTGTAAAAGTTTTCTGAATTACATTAAGCTTAAGAAACACCCACACATATTAACAGCGTGTTTTTTTCATTTGATTATATGTGTTTTTGTTTTCTTATTTTAAATGTATAATATGCTGTTTTCTAGAAGAGATTGGTGCATTTCAGTGGATAAACCAAAAGTCTAGCAAGACAGATGAAAACAAAGAAAAGTTGAGATAGAAAATAGAACCATATTGAGCACAGTTATTACTGGTTTTTACATATGATTTACATTTTTCCACCAGCTTCTTTTTTTTTTGTATGTCTCATTAAGTACTTCTATCTTTTATTCAGCTCAATGTATAGATACTTAATAATCAGGAAAATAAATGGAGCATCTTTAGTCTGTTCACTGTTAGAATTTTGCCTATTTTGTATTTGCCCAAGTAAAATCTAAAGTATCTCCTTTGGCTGTTTTCTAAATTTCTTCCACTTGTCAATTTTTATACTACCATGAGTGTCAAATAATATGCTATTAAGGAAAACCTCATCAAAACAGTGTTGGTATCTTAGACTGCTAAACTGTGATTTCTTTCTTTCCAGGCTATAAGTTCAGAGTTTCTCCTGCTGCAACTTTACAACTGAGTCAGCTTGAAAAAGATTAATATGGCCAATAATGAAAAAGATTATATGGCCAAGGCTTGTTTTGTAAGTGACATCTATTATTCAGATTAAAAAAATGAAAGAATGATAACTTAAAGCACCTCCATCATAGGCTGAGTGCAGGGAGAATTCAGCTGTCATTTTGCATAAAGCTGGATCATCACTACATTTAATCTTCATTTATCTTTGTACCTTTCTTTCGTCTATCTGTAGATTTTACTGCTGGAAGGTAGTAACCCTACAATATCAAATGAACAAATACATTTACCCTTGTTTGCTGTTAATAGTCTTAGGAACCATATTTCAATTCAATTAATAACTATGTTATTT
Organism: Homo sapiens; assembly: GCF_000001405.40. Classification (NCBI taxonomy): domain Eukaryota; kingdom Metazoa; phylum Chordata; class Mammalia; order Primates; family Hominidae; genus Homo; species Homo sapiens. The sequence continues at coordinate 34,758,834 of NC_000002.12, forward strand.
TTCTTTTCTTCTTTTTTAAAAAAATCTCTTTAGTTAATTCTAGGCAACTATGAGAATATTTTTAAGATTTGTAGGACTCCTGCCTTTAGATAACTTGAATTCTCTTTGATTACTTACGGTACCCATATAAAACTATCAAATATGATACAGTTCATTTCAATCCTTGCCTTACTAGTAGCAGTTCTGGCATCAGGGACTGCTTTATTCGAAAGCGGTAAGTTAAGACAGAACGATCAGTTTGACAGCTTGTACGCTCATTGTCTTGGTAAAATGTTCCACGTGATTGGCTTAGGAATTTTTCTGATGGACAAGTAAGCCAAAGTTGAAGGTTTTCTTGCTTTCAGAGTTTGTTTTGTATTTGCTTGGGCTTTTTATTTTTTATAATATTTTTGTGGATCTCCTGACCTCTTAGTTCTTGAATTTGCTTCAAACCACGGCTGCTGTCAAATACATAAGTAAGCAGACATCCTAACTCTGCGAAGCAAGAAAAATGATTCCTCTGTGAATTTATTGCCTCAAAACCACAAAATTTGGGATTATGCTTGCTATTTCTTATTTTTTTCAAGGCAATTTATTATCGACATTTGATAGAAGAAACATTTTTACAGTTTACTTGCAAATAGTTATGATATATGGACAAGACTGAAAAGATATTCCAATGACAGTCACCATCAGTAGACTCATCTTAAACAGAGGAAAATGATTAAAATATTTCAATAATAATTTTTTTTTTTTGACACTGAGTCTCGCTCTGTCACCCAGGCTGGAGTGCAGTGACGCGATCTCAGCTCATTGCAAGCTCCGCCTTGCGGGTTCACGCCATTCTCCTGCCTCAGCCTCCCAGTAGCTGGGACTACAGGTGCCCGCCAATTTTTTGGAGGCTAATTTTTTGTATTTTTAGTAGTGTCGGGGTTTCACCGTGTTGACCGGGCGCGGTGGCTCACGCCTGTAATCCCAGCACTTTGGGAGGCCGAAGCGGGTGGATCATGAGGTCAGAAGATTGAATAATTTCTTTTTAATGGGAGAAATGACACGTGAGATAAAATTCTTTACTGCTTTTTTGTTCAAAGAACCCTAAAAGGGTTGAGAGGCCTGGCTTCTACTCTTCATTCTGACATTGACACGATATAAAATCAGCCATTTAGCCCTTTGGAATTCAGTTTTTTCACTTCCTTTTAAAATTAAGAGCTTAGGGTAGATTATTTTTAAAGTACAATTTATGCTGTTCCTCTACAATTACCATTTGTTCGTTACTTAATGTGCAAGAAAGTAGACTTAACTCACACCGTCTCTCTTGAGCCTTCTAATGATCCTAGGGAAAAGGCTTTTCCAGCATCTCCATTTTACAGAGAATAAACCATGGCAGAAATGAGGTAAACATCTGGTTCAGGGTAACACAGCTGGGCAGCAACGGAGCCAGGAATCCACTTGATTCTGTGTGACTCCAGTTTCCCTCCATTGTATAATCCTACTCTTGTAGGAGGTAGTATAGTATCTTCCTTAAATGCATGCATTCTGGAACCAGCCTGCCTGGAGGCAGCCTGGCCTGCTATGCAATCCTTAAGAAGTTATTCTAGTCTAGGCCCTGTGCCTCAGTTTGATGGTAAAAGGGGAAAATAATTGTTTTTCCTTCATATGGTTATTGTAAGGTTTCAAAAAATTAATATACATAAGTTGCTTACGATAATGCCTGATATAAAAGCATGCCTTCAGTGTTACTCACTGCTATTATTCTTAACTTTATTCTTATTTCAAAAAGAGAGTCCTATTGGCTACAATGTTCACTATTCAGGTGATGGGTACCCTAAAATTCTAGACTTCAGTTCTATGCTATATTTGCATATAAGAAACCTGTACTTGTACCCTCTAAATATGTAACAGTAAATACTTAAAAAAAAAAAAAAAAAAAGAGAGCCATGAGACTAAAATCACCTCATATATAGATGTGGTCTGATTGCATCAAATATGTCTTTTTATTACTGTTCACTTGGCATGACAATAGTACGGTTCTTGTTTCAAATGGAATTCTGCAAATCAAATGGAATTTCAGTCTTCCCATAATAGCCTTGCAGATTTGATCAAAAATTTAAAATAGAAAATTGCTTTAAGCTAGAATAACTTTACCTGGGCTTCTAACTCTTATTAATTACATGACAATGTTTACTGCAATGGTGAATCATTTATGAGTAATAGACATTCAATTGAATAACACCGCATAATGAGGACTGTTCCAAAGAGGAATATATAGTATGCCCATGTGCATACAACTGGAATGAAATTCAGTACACCTGTGTGTCAACTCCTAACTCTGCCCTTCCATTCTAATAAATAGAAAAAAAAAATCTCTCAGTCTTTATGGGGTTAAATTTCTTTATCTTTAAATTAAATATCTACTTTTTATTAGGGCTATTTTGAAGGTTAAATAAGATAGCATCTATATATAGTGTTCTATAAAGTGTAAACCTCTCTTCAAAACTAAACTACATTTTTATTGAAACAGTCCTTAATTTTAAAAACTCTGCTTCAAATTCAGCCTGATTTTACAATGGCCTTTCATAATACAACAGTTTCTGATTCTGGATGCTTATATTACTGTGCTTGATCTCTTATAAGAGATCAAGCACATCAGCGTTTCTAGGGTTACACAGATTATCTTCTGCAGTGGAGGCTTACTGCAAGAACCCACATATATGAGGGCAAAGGGCATGACCTCACAAATTATATTGTTCTCTCATACTTCCAGAATGTGCAATGAACTTAGAATAATACAATAAGACCCAGGAGCCTGCCTTTTCCTTGCTCACTGAATATGCCAAAAGAGCTTGTTAATGGGCTGCCACTCTGTGAAGAACAACTCAGGCAGAATTTGCTCCTTAGCCTCCCTCTGTCTACCTTGCAATAGGGCAAGCTGTAACAATGATAGCTGCTTTATATGTAATAGAAACTGTTGGCCATTTTCTCGTAATTGAGTGTGTGACCAAGGCTTGATATGGATGAATTACTTCTTCACTTTCTCTGGCACATCCTCTTAGAGGTTTATTTTTTTCTAAATCCCATTTCTTAATCTTAGCCCCCAATTCTATTAATTATTTTTCAACACTGTACATTAAAACAAGTGAACATGCCAAAATTGATTGAGTGATTGAAAACAATTCAGCCATACCTTCTCTTGATTCTGAATTAGCCAGATATCTAAAGGAACCTCTGGAGTTATTAAGCTTCATGCCTGATAACCAATTCCAAGAACCAAAACTATGCTAGAACGTCCTGGACCTAGGTTTTTTGTCCCCCCCAAAGTTAGATTGAAGTATTCTGAGGCATCAAATGTCTATGCCCTGGACCAAATATAATTACTCAGCTTGGAATATAGCCAGATACATTTTCTATTGAAATTTTAATGTCAAGTGGCAAGAGATTTCCATCTACTTTCATTTGAAAAGTTCTTGGGCATGTGTGAGTCATCTTATCTGTTTCTGGAAATAACACTACAATATTTCAATTTTGTTTTTCAATTAACTATTTTCCATCATATTGTCTACATAATTCTATTGCAAATATATTGTTTAAAATCAAATCTGGAAATAACCTATATTCAAAGTTGTTTCTTGTTTCTCTGAGAGTTTCTGGAGGAAGAGATGTAGCTTTGTAGTTTAATTGAATTTTAATCCAATATAATATCATCCTTGTAATTGTCTGGGATTCCAAGACTGGGTTAAATAAGCACCTTTTATGAACTAAAAAAAAGCTCTGTGGACCATTAACTTTTATAATTGAGTTTTAAAATAGCACATGTACAATCAAAAGTGTTGTTTTACTTCTTATTTATGGGGAATTTTATTACTACATGATTTTGGAAAATAATAGAAACCACCGGAGAAACCATATGTCTAAAAACAGAAATAATTTATTAATGCATTTTGTGTGTATTTGGTCATAATGCATATTCTAATGACTTTATAAAATTAATTTAAAGACCAACCCCTGAGAAGCCAATAAGTAATAAGAATTTGATTATAGATAGGCATAGTTCATCTGGTAAACATTAGAATTAACTATTATTGTTTTGACTACTGTGGTTGAATGACTTATATGTAAACACTAAATTAAGTTTTCTTCTTACCAAGATTGAACCCTGATGTAGGGAAATAAATTTATGTCTAGATTACATAACCGAGATGGCCTCACCCATTATCTCTTAGGTAATTCAGATTTGTTGCTTCTCAGCTGACACTGAAAATCCCAGTGACCATATCCTGGTCCTCAACCTGGACCCATGGATCCTTTTTAGCCACGCCACTTAGCTCCAAAATCTCCGTTTCCCCAGTGCTTATTTCAGAGTCCGCCTTGCAAGTATTCTCATTGCTGACCTTGAATGTTTTCTCTTAATATCTTACTCTCGACTTTTTGCTCTTGTGGCCACACCCATCACTGCTTCAGGTGTCTTGTTAGGCTTCTAGAGGAAAAGATAAGGGGTTATGGGAATCGATTTTGAGAAGGCCTGCCCCATCAGTTTTCTAGGCACACTCAGATGTACATGAATTATAATTTAGGCCTGAGCAAAGACAGATGTTACTGTTTCCAGAGAATTATTAACCAATTCAATAGCATGCAGTGTTATATTACATACCATAAAGGTAGGTAATGGTCCTTACCAGGCCTATTTGAACTTATCCTAGTGCCTTCCATAGTATACTGTTCATATGTAAGAAATAAACCTATGCTAAATGATTTAATAAAGGCTGTTTTGAAACTGTTAAGACCAACACTGAAATGTACATCATTCATATAACTCATATATTTATTCAACAGGCATTTGATAAGGACACAATTCATGTCAGCTGCTATATACGCATCGTGTCGTTGAATCACTAATATGTGACTTAAAGAGGTTAGGATACAAACCTAAAGTCACACAGCAAATAAGATATGAATCAGGTCACTAATTCAGGACTGTTTAACTTAAAACCCTATGCTTATTTTGCTCTATCTCATTTCATTTTACATTGCTTAAAGAGATGCAAAAACAGTAGAATAATAAAATTATTGAAAATGAGAATAGTTAACACATATTAAATTCTTTCAATGTGCTATTCTAATGTATTGGTTTCACATTATTTATGTTATGCAATATTTACAAGAATACCCTGTAATAAATATTATTATTGTTCCTTTAATACACATCATAAGTTAAGCCTCAGAGAATCAAGCCATATGCTCTGAAAACGTTAATGGCAAAACTAAATTTTATCCCCTGGCTGCCTTATCTCAAATTCACATGTTTAACCATACGGGTAAACATGAATGGGACAAAAGACTATCAAAATAAGATTGGAGATGAATTATTTACAAGGGAAGATTTTAATCAAGGTAAGTACATAAACTGAGAGAGTTCGTAGAGTTTAGCTACAAATGTGCTATATCTACATATGATGAGAAGTACTCCATACTACCTTGATAAACCTGACAGAGGTTTTCTTTAGGGGAGGTTACATTTTGAAATCATTTATGAAAATCCAGCTCTTCGGAGGGAATTGGGTCAACTCACATAACCAGTTCTATGTAAATGCTTTAACATAGAAGATAAATGAATGGATAAAAGCATTTGGAATATTAGACCTTTGTCAGATGGATAAATTGCAAAAATTTGCTCCCATTCTGTAGGTTCCCTGTCCACTCTGATGATAGTTTATTTTGCTGTACAGAAGCTCTTTAGTTTAATTAGATCTGATTTGTCAGTTTTGGCTTTTGTTGCAATTGCTTTTGGTGTTTTCGTCATGAAGTCTTTGCTCGTGCCTAAGCCCTGAATGGTATTGCCTAGGTTTTCTTCCAGGGTTTTTATGGTTTTACATTTTATGTTTAAGTCTTTAATTCATCTTGAGTTAATTTTTGTATAAGGCATAAGGAAGGGGTCCAATTTCAGTTTTCTGCATAAGGCTCTCCAGGTTTCCCAGCACCATTTATTAAATAGGGAATCATTTCCCCACTGCTTGTTTTTGTCAAATTTGTCGAAGATCATATGGTTGTAGAATCTACAAGGAATTTAAACAAATTTACAAGAAAAAAACAACCCCATTAAAAAGTGGGTGAAGGAAATAAACAGACCCTCCTCATAAGAAGACATTTACGTGGCCAAAGTACGTATGAAAAAAACCTCATCATCACTGGTCATTAGAGAAATGCAAATCAAAACCACAGTGAGATACCATCTCATGCCAGTTAAAATGGCAATCATTAAAAATTCTAGAAACAACAGATGCTGGCAAGGATGCTCAGAAATAGGATCACTTTTACACTGTTGGTGGGAGTGTAAATTAGTTCAACCATTGTGGAAGACAGTGTGGCGATTCTTCAAGGATCTAGAACAAGAAATACCACTTGACCCAGCAATCCCATTACTGGGTATATACGCAAAGGATTATACGTCATTCCACTACAAGGACATATGCATATAAATGTTTATTACAGAACTATTTACAATAGCAAAGACTTGGAACCAACCCAAATGCCCATCAATGATAGACTGGATAAAGAAAACATGGCACATATACACCATGTAATACTATGCGCCATAAAAAAGAATGAGTTCATGTCCTTTGCAGGGACATGGATGAAGCTGGAAACTATCATCCTCAGCAAACTACCACAGGAACAGAAAACCAAATGCCCCATGTTCTCACTTATAAGTGGGAGCTGAACCATGAGAACACATGGACACAGGGAGGGAAACATCACACACCAGGGCCTATTGGTGGGTGAGGGGAAAGAGGAGGGAGAGCATCAGGACAAATACCTAATGCAAGCTGAGCCTAAAACCTATGATGGGTTGATAGGTGCAGCAAACCACCATGGCACATGTATACTTGTGTAACGAATCTGCATGTTCAGCACATGTATCCCAGAACTTAAAAAAAAAAAAGAAAAAGAAAAAGCATTTGGAATTACTTTGGATGAAGTTTTCTAGAACCACAGTGAAAATGGGAAGATTAATGAAGGAATCAGATATAGATTAAGATTTTTGAGGGGTTTTCAGAGCATCCGGATTCTATAGCATGCTTCTAAGAAAAAGGTGTCTACCTTAACTAATACTTTCACCTGTTTCTATATAATAGAATGCTATTGTTACGATCAATACAAGAGATTAAAACATTTCTTAAGATTATTTTTCCAGGATGTAACTTAAAGGCAAATGTACAAAGGATAAAATGAAGCAGCTTTGACCAATGTAACTTAATTTACATTTATTTGATTAGTATTTCCAACTTAAGTTCACATTAAGGAGAACATTTTTATTTATGCATAAAAATATATATCTCATTGTAAAGGTTAATAATGTAGAAAATATGGCAGCAGTTTTCTTCAGTATTGGCTGGGTGTTATATGGAGGAATATTCTACTACTGCCAACTTTCAAGTTTATCACTATTGCCTTTTGAGTGTTATTGAACTAAATGAAAAGGCTCTAGAAAATTTTTATGAGAATTTTCTTATGCATGTTACTTACACTTGGATGAAGTGATTTTACTTATCTTTACTCATAAAATGGTAATGTTTGAGAAGTCTTCCTTTGAGAGGATATAAAAATTTTTTTTTAAGATAAGGGAGAATGGCTTTTCAAAGGATCCTCATGTTTCAATCACTCACTGAAACTTTCACAGAAATTATACCAGCTATGTCAACTCTGAAATACCTCCAACATCATCAACTATGTTAGGGTCTGAGGAATGAGTAGAATAAATAACATTATTTAATTGAAAGAGTCCTGAAATTTTGATTTTTATTTTAGATTCAGGGGGTATATATGCAGTTTTGTTATACAGCTATATTGCCTGATCCTGAAGTTCAGGGTAGGTTGATCCCGTTGCCCGGGTAGTAAGAATAGTATCCAATAGTTAGTTCTCAACCCTTGCCCCTCTCCCTTCTTCCATCCCCTGGTAGTCCCCAGTGTCTACTGTTGTTATCTTTATGTTAATGAGTATACAATATTTAGCTCCCACTTATAAGTGATAACAGGCAGTATTTGGTTTTCTCTTCTGTGCTTATTCACTTAAGATAATGGCCTTCAGCTGCATCCAAGTTGCTGCAAAGGACATGATTTGTTATCTTTCTTTGTTTACTTATTTTTTTGAGATGCAGTCTCGCCCTGTCACCGAGGCTGGAGTGCAATGGTGCAATCTTGGCTCACTGCAACCTTCGCCTCCTGGGTTCAAACAATTCTCCTGACTGAGCCTCCCAAGTAGCTGGGATTACAGGCGCCCACCACCATACCCAGCTAATTTTTGTATTTTTAGTAGAGATGGGGTTTCACCATGTTGGCTAGGCTAGTCTTGAACTCCTGACCTCGTGATCTGCCCACCTCGGCCTCCCAAAGTGCTGGGATTAAAGGTGTGAGCCACCGCGCCTGGCCGATTTGTTATTTTTTATGGCTGTGTAGTATTCCATGGTATATACAAGCCACATTTTCTTTATTCAGTGCACTATTGATGGGAACCTAGGTTGATTCCCTGTCTTTGATATTTTGAATAGTGCCGTCATGAATATATGAGTGCATGTGTGTTTTTGGTTGAATGATTTATTTTAGTTGAACAATTTTTTAATGTACTCAGTAATGGGATCGCTGGGCCAAATGGTAGTTCTGTTTTAAGTTGTTTGAGAAACCTCCAAACTCTTTTCCACAGTCACTAAACTAATTTACATTCCCGCTAAAGGTATAAGCATTCTCTTTTCTCTGTAGCGTCACCAGCATCTGTTGTTTTTTGATTTTTCTTTAAATAATAGTCACTCTGACTGGTTAAGCTACACTATTTTAAAACATTGATTACTATTTATCTTTGTCCATCTTTTAAATATATATATATATATATATACACACACACACGCACACATTGGAGCTTTGATTACAGAAACTACAACTAGCAACACTGTAAGACATTTCAAAAGAGTATCATGCTAGTATTCACCTTCTAAGGAAGACTTCATTTAAATGGGTAATTATACCTGTAACAAATGGAAATATTCAATTACCTGTTTTTGGTTCCTCATTAAAGTCAATGACAATTTACGCAGGAAAAACATATAAAGTAGTATGATTCCACATATCTAATATAGTACCAAGAGCTAGCAATCAGGTAGGATAAGTATCACATTTCAAAACTTCATTTCCCAAGCCTCCATTCACCACTTCTGATAAAACACAATCTCCAAGTAAAAATCAAGTGCTTGTATTAATAGAAATACAACTCCCAAAGTGTTCTTTAACCTTGTGTTTCAATTGGACTGCTACCTATAAGCCTCTCTTACATAGAAAGTGTGAATTTTCAATAGCAAAGACTTGGAACCAACCCAAATGTCCATCAATGATAGACTGGATTAAGAAAATGTGGCACACATACACCATGGAATACTATGCAGCCATAAAAAAGGATGAGTTCATGTCCTTTACAGCAACATGGATGAAGCTGTAAACAATCATTCTCAGCAAACTAACACAGGAACAAAAAACCAAACACCGCATGTTCTCACTCATAAGTGGGAGTTGAACAATGAGAGCACATAGACACAGGGAGGGGAACATCACACACTGGGGCCTGTCGGGGGGTGGGGGGCTGGGGGAGGGATAGCATTAGGACAAATACCTAATGTAAATGATGAGTTGATGGGTGCGGCAAACCAACATGGCACATGTATACCTATGTATCAAACCTGCACGTTGTGCACATGTACCCTAGAACTTAAAGTATAATAAAAAAAAGAAAGTGTGAATTTTTTGCCTGCGTGTGTATGTATGTGCATGCATATATATATCTAATGTATCCCATAAATATATGCACTTACTACGTATACACATATATAGACACGCATATATATATATATATACCTACTATGTATACAGATATACAGACATACACACATGTGCATGCACGTACACACGCAGGCAGAAAATTCACACACAAACATATATATAAAATATTAAACAGTTTATTTTTATTTTACTGGGTACATAGTAGGTGTATATATTCATGGGGCACATGAGATATTTTGATACAGGCATAGAATGCATAATAATTACCTCAGGGTAAATGGGGTATCCATCACCTCAAGCATTTATCCTTTCTTGTGTTACAAACAATCTGATTATACTTTTAGTTATTTTAAAATGTACAATAAACTGTAGTTACCCTGTTATGCTGTCAAATACTAGTTTTTATTCATCCTATCTAATTATGTTTTTGTATCTATTAACCATCTCTATTCTCCCATCTTCACTAGCTTTCCCAGCCTCTGGCAACCATCATTCTATTCTTTATCTCCATGACTTCAATTGTTTAAAATTTTTTAGCTCCCACAAATAAGTGAGAACATGCGAAGTTTGTCTTTCTGTGCCTGGCTCATTTAACATAATTATCTCCAGTTTCATCCATGTTGTTGCAGACCATCGGATCTCATTCTTTCTTGTGGCTATAGTACTCTATTGTGTATATGTACCAAATTTTTATTATCCATGAATCTTTTGATGAACAATTAAGTTGCTTCCAAATCTCGGCTATTCTGAATAGTGATGCAGTAAATATGGGAGTGCAAATATTTCTTTGATTTCCAGATTTCTGATTTCCTTTCTGTATAACTAGCAGTGGGGTTGCTGCATCATATTGGTAGTTCTAATTTTAGTTTCTTGAAGAACCCCCAAACTGTTTTCAATAGTGGTTGCACTAATTTGCATTTCTATGAACAGTGCAGGAAGGTACCCTTTTCTCCACATCCTCACCAGCATTTGTTATTGCCTGTCTTTTGTAAATAAGCTGGGGTATTTTAACTTTTAACTGAGATAAATTGATACCTCATCAGTTTTGGTTTGTATTTCTCTGATGATCAATGATGTTGAGCACCTTTTCATACACGATTGCCATTTGTATATCTTCTTTTTAGAAATGTCTATTCAGAACTTTTGCCCATTTTTAAATCAGAATATTAGTTTTTTTCTTATTGACTTGTTTGAGCTCCTTATACATTCTGGTTAATCCCTTGTCAGATGGATAGTTTGCAAATATTTCTCTCCCATTCTGTGGGTTGTGTCTTCACTTTGTTGATTGCTTTCTTTGCTGTGCAGAAACTTTTTAACTTGAGGTGATCCCATTTGTCCAGTTTTGCTTTGGTTGCTTATGCTTGTGGGGTATTAAAAAAAAAAAAACCTCTGCCCAGCCTAATGTTCTGGAGAGCTTCCCCAACATTTTTTTGTAGTGGTTTCGTAGCTTGGGCTCTCAGATTTGAGTATTTAATCCATTTTGATTTGATTTTTGTCTATGGTGAGAGGTAGTGGTCTAATGTCATTATTTTGCATATGGATATCCAATTATTTCAGACCTATTTACTGAAGACTGTCCTTTCTCCAATGTGTGCTCTTGGCACCTTTGTAAAAAATGAGTTCACTGTAGATGTATAGATTTATGTCTGGGTTCTCTATTCTGATCCATTGGTCTGTAAGTTTGTTTTTATGCCCGTATCATGCTGTTTGGTTTAGTGTAGCTCTGTAGTATAATTTGAAGTCAGGTAATGTAATTCTTCCAGTTTTATTCTTCTTGCTCAGGATGGCTTTGGCTATTCCATGTTTTTTGTGGTCCCATGTAAATTTTAGAATTATTTTTTCTATTTCTGTGAATAATCACTCATATTTTAATAGAGAGATTGATTTGAATATCTAGATTGCTTTGGACAGTGTGGATACTTTAACTGTATTGCTTCTTCCAATCCATAAACATAGAATATTTTTCCATTTTTTTGTTACAGCACATACTACTTTCCTCTGGCTATCATTTCTAAAGATTGTAAAGACTATCCACGCAGGTTAGAATATCCAAAAGTAACATCTTGCCCTTCTTAGTGATCTCATTCCATCCTCACTCCCTTAGACAGATTAAGATACTGTTGCAGATTAGGTCATGGCAATTCTATCAACTTAATCACAAAGAAGTTACTACTTAACTCTTTAATCTTTTCAGTTTTTCTTCTCTAGATTTTGCTTTATATTTCTCTCTTTCTTCAGTTTTTGTGGGACCTTACTTTTCCCGTACCTTTGTGTCCCTTACCTTATGTCCTTTACCTTTCCTTTTTAATTTAACATTTATAGATTTTTTCAATTTCTGTTTTTAATAAAAAAATTGTGTCCTCAGCCCTCTGCTCTTTTGAAGTCATAACTTCTTCAAAATACCTTTATTCAGTGTTCAACTACTATGTGTTTGCTAATCAATAAAAACAGACCTATCTCTTGTATAATCCAGAACTCTATCTCCAGTGGTCTGTCAGACATCTTTGCTTTCATGTCAAAATGAAATAATTCATGCTAAAATGGAAATAATTAAAACAAATAACAAAGAAACAACCTTAGCCTTTTAACATTTGTCAGTTTTTTAAATGACATCATTAGCCACCAAGCAAGCCACCTAAGACAAATTCACTTTTGTTTTTTTAACAGCACTGTCCTCTACCTTGCCCCATCTGATGGCCATCAAATTCCGCTGATTCTACAGCTTTGATAGCTTATCAGCTCTGTTTTCTAGAATTCTTGCCACCCACTTAGTTCAGACTCCTGAAATTTTTTCAAACAGAATAAGGAATCTCTTATTTTGCTTGGCTGTGATCTTATCCTCATATCCTTTGCCAAACAGGCATAAAAGGCTCCAAATTGCTGCAAATCTCATCATATCATTTCCATTAAAATAATCTTAAAGCTCCTTCAGGATTTTATTCAGCATAGAATTTTCATGATACCCATTCAAGATCTGGAACCTGCCCACTGCTCCAGCTTCCTTCTCATGTTTTATGTCTGTGCATTATACATGCAATTCTTTTGCTTGAAATGTGATTCTCTCTTCCCCATCTTTTCCGTCTTTCATCTTTTATTAAAAATTGACCTGGCCGGGCACAGCGGCTCACGCCTGTAATCCCAGCACTTTGGGAGGCTGAGGCGGGTGGATCACGAGGTCAGGAGATCGAGACCATCCTGGCTAACACGGTGAAACCCTGTCTCTACTAAAAATACAAAAAATTAGCCGGGCATGGTGGCGGGCGCCGGTAGTCCCAGCTACTTGGGTGGCTGAGGCAGGAGAATGGCATGAACCCCCCGGGGGGCGGAGTTTGCAGTGAGCCGAGATCGCGCCACTGAACTCCATCTTGGGCGACAGAGCGAGACTCTGTCTCAAAAAAAAAAAAAAAAAAAAAAAAGAAAAGAAAAATTAACTTGAACATAGCCTTCAAAAAATATTTCTTAAGCCACAGCCAAATGTCCACAGCCCTTAATCTGTGCTCTCAGAGGATTCTGCATATTCTTCTTACATAAGAGTATGTGAGAAGTATTCACACTTCAATGTGCTCAATCATTCATTTGTCTGTCCCCTTTATGGCCTAAGCTCTTTGAGGGCAGGAGCTCTGCTTTATTAATTTTAAATCTCTAGCATTTATTACTGAGTCCAGTAAACTAATTGTTAAACAAATATTAAGTAAAGATATAATTGCAAGAAACACACAGAAAATACTTCTATTTTATCTTTCTTGGGAGAGGTGATTACTTTTTATTATACCCTTCCCATTTCTACTGTTACCTATTTCCACTTTTTCTTACAAAATGAGACCTAACCCTAAAAATAATAATAATATTCTTGAAGGATAGTTAGTCTTTAATTCTCTGAATAGCTAGATATTTACAATTACATAATTTCTTGAAAAACATGTGCTGAGTTATGCATTCTCAGGAGACATTCATTTAAATAGCTCAGGACACAGCTAAGTTCCCAGGGGAATAAAGTTAAGAACACACATAGGGATTACAATCTCTAGGAGATAATACGTTGCCTACTTCTTCAGGGGAATTAGGAAATGAGTTGCATATAGCCTCATTAGGAGGACAGAAAGCTACTGTCACTTTTCTAAGAGGTGCTCTGAGCATCATCTATTATTTTTTTCTTTTACGTTGTGCAGCTTATGGAAATAGCTATGATACCATTTACAATTTCTTTTTGGTGAGAGGCAATAGTCCTTTCTGAGTTATGATTATTATTAGTTCTACAAATGCCCTCTGGAATCTGTAAAGTTCATTTGTGCATATTATATTAATTCACTAGCATGATTTTGTTAATTTACAAATCTAATTGCAAATTTCTGGAAAGAAAATATATACACACACATGGAATGTATACACATATGTATACATTCCATATGTGTATATATGTAATGCATACACACAGGTAATGCATACACATATGTAATGTATACACATATACACATATGTGTGTATCTATCTATCTATCTATAGAGAGAATTTGACGAAGCACCAAAGTTGTAAGGCATGAATTCTGTACTAAAGAATTTGGACATTTTTAGGTGTGTGGGGCAGAGGAAGGGAAGATATGCAAACACAGACTAAAATAGGCTAAATGTCCAAGTATCTGGGCTTTAGGTATATTGTTCTCTTAGGAACACCTGTACTCAATTTTTATTTCACTCACTCATGAACACTCAGTTATTAGACAGGTTCTAGCATTCTGATTTGTAATCCTCAAGGATTACCTTAGACTAAGTACCATAGATAACAAATAGCCAGTTTATAATGCAAAATATTATATTGTTAAAGTGACCTGAAGTTTCTTATAACAATAAATAAATGTAATGAAATATTTTCTAATATATTGTCTGCAAATTAATGTGCTTTAAACTCAGAATAATTAGAAGTTACAAGATCTGGCCCTAACGATTGAAAGAGTAATTTCGCTTTTGGAGCCTTTCCTAAGGAAAACACCCGGACTATATTATAAGAAATAGGTTTACACAAGTGATCTTCAAATTAGTGTTATGGTGGCAAACATAATAAAAAATCAGGAAGCAAATAATACTATAGCTAGGCAATGACCAGGCATTAATGCAGCCAATAATATAAACTTTTCTCTAAGTTTATGTCATGAGAAATGCTTTTGCTATGATAAGTAAAGCATTCAGGAGTCAGAAACATCTTTAATGTGTAAGTATGTTATAATTAAGCAAAAATACGCATTAAAAGGGGGTTAGTATTAAATAAATTAAACATTTAGGTAGCTTTTATCTGAGAATTGTCAAACTTTCAATTCTATTTTTATTCTAAGTATTTTATATTTTTAGAATTATGGATACATATTAAAACTATACTAAAAATAAACTTTATGTTTACAATTACATAAAAATAAATGAAATTTAGTTACTATCTATAAAATCTAACAGCAATTTTTTTCTAACTTCCGGAATGACAATTGCTGGTTCTGTCTTCTAATACGCCAGTGAGTAAGTGAAAGGTCACAGAAATTTGAACTTACAGGATTCACTTTGCAGATAGTGTTTTATTATAATTTATTTTTTTAAGTTCTGAAACTTCTAAAATAAGTACTATGTAATATTGTGGCCAAATTGCTTATCACATGTTAATAGTCACTTCTTTATCCCTTTTTTGGCAAATATACACCTCCTTCTATCCCAGCTTTAGTGAGTTTAAAGAGAATGAAAATCAAAGTTTCAATCAACACTGATCCAACTCTCAATTACCTAAAGAGCAAAGGTAAACCTAATAAGAATGTTACAACTCACTTACAACCAAATTATAAACTACTAACCAATTTGGCTGCCAAAGTTGAAGTAGAGAATCACGTTGGTAACGTGTAGAGGTATAAACCATCTTTTCTGTGCTAAAATTGCCTATGTATCATCAAAATTTTAATACTGTTTTTTTGAATAATTCTAATATGTACAATTGCAGAAAACATTTAATGCAAGGTTAAGACAAGAGAAAATATGTATGTTAAATTTCTTATACAGTTGATATCAAAATCAATTGATTATCAGCTGCAAGATGGTCTGAAAATACAGGGGCCAGGGGTAAGAATGGTTATCAGTTCCACTATGTGCATTTTCCAAAATCACAAGAAGAAGAAGATTATTTCCTTTTTAAGAACTTTCCATCTTTGACAAACTTGTAACATATAAAGCTTCAATTGGAATAATAACAATCTTGTGCTTTGTTTTAGCTTAAATAACCCAGTTGGGTCAACACTTCATGTCTGGAACAACAGACTATGTTTAATTCAATTTTAAGGGGAATGGAAAAAGACAGTGAGGGCAATGGAAATATACTACCCTATCGATACAAGGTGAGGAAAGCCAGGAAGGAACAATGGTGGAGAAAACGTCTCTTGAAGGAAATGAAACTAGAAAAGAGATGATTGCCTATCTACTGTATGGAAAATAATATAAGCCATTTAGAATGAAGGTCATTTATTAAAGGGAAGCTTCAGCAATGCTTTTACAGTAGACTTCATCAAATCTCAACATCTATTTGTATTTAATTTCTAGGCTGTCCAATCTCATATTGATGATTGTGGCTACCCACAAATTTTCTGATGTTCATGGATGCATGTTAAAATATCAAGCCAAAAATAGGCAAATCAAAGTAGCATAAAAAAAGTGAGAAAATGATAGTTGGATAGAAAATAGTGATTTATATTTTGGCATTATTTTAGCCATTTGAAAGACTATATTGATATTGCATTCAATTAAATGAAGCACGGGGAAATCAAATTTTAGAAGTAACATAAATTTGTTTCTCCTCAAGAAGACATAGACTTGTTTTAGGCCAGGGGAAAATGACTTCTATCAATATCCATTCTAGCTCAAACACAATGGACATAAACAACTTTTTCACCTTTTTTTTGCTTATTTACTCCACAATACATCATCTGGAAAAAGAAATGTACTCAGGGGCACGTTAAGCTTATGAGGAGCCATAAGGAAGGCATCACTGGTAAGAAGGTTGAGTGTGAACTTACAGAAAAATTGACGTATCACTAAAAAAATTTTTAATGTCTAAGAACAATACATGTAAGGGCTAAGTAAATCATAAGCTGTGAGCCTGTATCTCTGTCCAACTCAATTACATATTCCAAAAAATAACCACAGAACAATGTGCACAGGGTCATAAGTTATCACACACACACACACACACAGGCTATAGACTAAATACCTGCATATGTATATAAGCAATTATATTTTATCACCATGAAACATATCAGCACGTTAATTCAGATTTTAACTTCTATTTTATCTGTGATAACAAAATAAACAAGGCCAAACAGATGGCATAAATACACATGAACTTTGGGGAAAAGGGGGCACAATTAAACTAAATTATATAATTCTAGTTCTCCATAATAGAAATAGCACCTAGGTGTGCAACATATGAGCAAGAGTCAATTCCATACCATAATACTTACATTTTCCACATTTTATACTGTGTGGAGAGAGGCTGGATAGAGTCAGCACTGATGGTTTCAAAGAAGATAACATTTTTATTAATATTGGAATTATACACACACACAGGCACACACTCTCATGGAGACACATTAATTCCATATATGTTTATTCAGAATTACATGTATTTTCTTAATATCCTCTCATGCTAAAATCTCTATGATGGATGACTAGGGTACATTGAATCCATTATGTTGAAGAGACATAATCTTATTTCAATTACATAAATGCAATACTGTATTTATTCTTGTGGGAAGATTGTTCTGATCTCTTTCAAGTCATGGGCTAAGTAAACTTTGGTACCCTAAGATTTTCCAAACCAAGTGAGCATATAGATCCCTATCTACAGCATGTGCACTTTATTATAAAAATTCTAATTTCAAAAGTCATAAACTTCTGAAGGCATAAACAGTAAGTTCTGAGATATAAAGGCAGGATCACAAAAAGCTAAAGCTCCCAATCACTTTATCATCTGTTTGAAGAAACCAATTAAACAATTATGTCAATAAATACCTCAGCCAAAAATTTGTTTTCTTTTATCATAATCTTTCTTTTTACATATATAAAACCTGGCCATATGCCAGGAGTTGTGCTCGATGCTTTTTAAATGTTATCTTCTCTCATAACAACAGAATTTTAAAATATTTTATCAGTGAGAAAACTGAAGCATAGAATAACTTGCTAAGGCCACCCAATGAGTAAAGAGTAGGGATGGTCTTTGAATCTCAACTACAGCCTCTTAGAGCTCATTTTCTTACCTATTACATTATATAGCCCCTTACTTTATTAAATTTGAAGAAGTAGGTTTAAGTAACTAACTCATTAATGATGTTTGGTACAAATTAAATTCCATATTCCAAATTAATGATTCATGGGTTGGAAAGGAGATCCTCAAATTCATCCTAATCCTCCACAGACACCTCCCAGAGTATAATATATCTGGCATATGTCTGGCAATTGTTATATATTTGCTAATCAACAAATGAAAGAATACAGTATGACTACTCAAGTCAACTTAGATGGGGAGATGTCATTATCTAAGGCTTACTGTTTTATGAAATAGTGGCTTTGACTCTGTTTCAAAGTGATAGAACTATTCTTGATGCTGCAATAACTCAATCATTATAAATTCCATAGACACTGGAATCATTACAATTGGTCTTTTCCGTGGTATTCATTAGATTGGGAATTGATTAGAGATAATACCTAAGTTTGAATAAAGGCTTATACATTTTAAAGCATGAAGATAACAGACAACATTGACGACAGCAAAAATAGAATGAAAAGGAACATTATATGCTAGAACTAAAAGTAGTCACTATGTGTATTTGTTGATGCCTAAGATCAGTTATAGTAAATTAAGCTTTCTTAATGGGATTCTGATGCTTTTTCAATATACTTTAGTAAACCAAACCCATTAGAATAACCTTCAATTGTGGTTTGTGTCTTTTTTTAAAAATGACCAAAGATTCTTCTTAATTGTAGAAAGCAATTTAATAAGCAAATATTTAAATATGAACTATATGCAGTTGACAGTCTCTGACTACTAAGAGATCAGACTCTACCAACATTTGGATAATTAATTTTAGTGATAAAAGAGGCAAATGCCAATGGAGAAGTAATCTAAAATGCCTGTGCTTTCTTTTTTTTATTTTTCTTTTTTATTTTTTTGAGATGGAGTTTTGCTCTTGTTGCCCAGGCTGGCATGCAATGGTGTGATCTTGGCTCACTGCAACCTCCGCCTCCCAGGCTCAAGTGATTCTCCTGCCTCAGCCTCCTGAGTAGCTGGGATTACAGGCATGCACTACCACACCCGGCTAATTTTTTGTATTTTTAATAGAGACAGGGTTTCTCCATGTTGGTCAAGCTGGTCTCAAACTCCTGACCTCAGGTGATCCGCCCACCTCAGCCTCCCAAAGTGCTGGGATTATAGGCGTGAGCCACCACACCCGACCTGTGCTTTCTATACCATGTGTGGAAAATTTCTAAGAGGGCTTATCTAAGGGAAAGGCTAATTATTTCAAATGGCTCCTCTGTAAAGTCACAGCTCTGCAACCTCCTGTCAGTTGTGAAACTTTCAGAAAAGAATTGAAAAGATCTCTGGGTGAGTGGGAAAGTGTTGGTTTCCATGGAGAAAATGATTTGGCTCTAGATGACTGCCTGTTCTAGAGAATGATGAGAAACCCCATTGCTGACATAGACTAAACCATAACAATTTTATCTCTAATATATTTGATGAAAATTCTAGACAAAATAGCCATTCTTCATGATCTTCCATTTAATATTCCTTATGACACCATTCAGAAATGAAATGAGTACTCTGGAATTTTTTTTTTTTTTGAGATGGAGTCTCGCTATGTTGCCAAGGCTGGAATTCAGTGGTACGATCTGGGCTTGCTGCAACCTCTGCCTCATGAATTCATGCAATTCTCCTTCCTCAGCCTCCCAAGTAGCTGAGATTACAGACTACGCCACCATGTCCGGCTAATTTTTGTATTTTTTTAGTAGAGACAGGGTTTCACCGTGTTGGCCAGGCTGGTCTCGAACTCCTGCGATCAAGTGATCTGCCTGACTTGGCCTCCCAGATTGCTGGGATTACAGGCGTGAGTCACCGTGCCCGGCTGGAAATATGTTTTTAAATGAAAATTATAATTGTTATTTAATAACGTTACCTATCTAAATAATACTCAACACCTAGACTCCTGAAAAGTGAATTAGCCCCAGAGATATAAATTTTTGTACATCTAGGTCAACAGGAAAATAGAATAAAATAAAATACGAGTAAATCAATTTTCTTTCCCTAAATTTTTCTTGTCATTAATCAAACTAATTTGAATATAGCACTTTTAAAAACAGAACAAAATTAAATTGAGTTTTCACATTTAATGTATTTTAGGTAAACAATATTTTCTAATGCTTTTATTGTCTAATTGCCACCCGATGATTTTGAATCATACAAAGTACAGAAAGTCTGGGAGCAGAGGACAACAGAAACGTAAGAATTTAGGGTATATTTGATTCAGCACCCAGGAAACGACTCACTTTTAAAACAGGGAAAGTCTCTACATTTAAATGTAAAAGAACAAATCTTCCCTCTTAAGTATGCTATTCTCTATTTTGAGATTTCCCAAATCTACTTCTTCCTTCCAATGGCTGTTACATCTTTCTCAAATCT
The DNA here is from genome assembly GCF_000001405.40 of Homo sapiens. Taxonomy (NCBI): domain Eukaryota; kingdom Metazoa; phylum Chordata; class Mammalia; order Primates; family Hominidae; genus Homo; species Homo sapiens. The sequence goes on from NC_000002.12 coordinate 34,779,324, forward strand.
CTCAGTCCCAAGTTTTCACTGTTTCCATATGTCTTCTACAATATTATTTTTACTATCTTCCTTTATATGGCTTTCTAGCTCTGCCCACATGCCCTAACATGGAAACCATGAAAGACTGAGACAATACAGGTAAACAAAATAATTTAAAAATCCATTTACAAAAATGGAAAAATAGCATTTAAGTTTATGCGAAGAGTTACAAAATTTTAGAAAAAACAGCATGTCTCAGGCTCTTTAATTCATGGGCCCAGGCCGGGTGCGGTGCCTCTCGCCTGTAATACCAGCACTTTGGGAGGCCGAGGCGGGTGGATTGCTTGAGGTTGGGAGTTCAAGACCAGCCTGACCAACATGGTGAAACCCATCTCTACTAAAAATACAAAAACTAGCCGGGCATGGTGGCAGGTGCCTGTAATCCTAGCTACTCAGGAGGCTGAGAACCGCTTGAAGCCAGGAGGTGGAGGCTGCAGTGAGCTGAGGTCATTCCACTGTACTCCAGCCTAGGTGACAGAGCAAGACCCCATCTCAAAAAAAAAAAAAAAAAAAATCATGTGCCCTTAAAAATCATAAGACTTTCTTTAGTGTTATTTAAAATTTCAAGGTATATTTTGTGTGGTTTAAACAAATCGAATTATATTGTAAAACAAAGTTTTATATTGAATAGGTTTTTTCTAATTACCCAAACCCTCCTTCAAATTTTTCCTCATTTGATGTGTTATTCATGATGCTTTCCCCTACTAGACAAGTACTTTACCAAATTTTACAAGCAATTGAACAAGGAATTATTTTTCTATATTTAGGTCCCTGCATTGCAGTTTAGAAATCCCCTTGTGAAAATATGGGACAAATATTTGAAATGGAAATCCAAATGTAAATGAAAACATTACATCTGTAGGGGGATTTCTTTAAATCTTTAAATTGTGCAAACCGAAGCCATATCTGTAACCGAATAGATTAATAATCGCAAGCCAGTATGAATCCTATGAAATCTATAGGGACAAATAGCAAACAATCATTTATGGGCCAGGAACTTTATTGACTAAGAACTCACTGTAGTTCCTGTGACTCTCTGCTGCATTGCAGGTGCTAAAGGAATAGGTAAGGGTTAAAATGTAAGGAAAACCTCAACAAAACAATTGTATCAGTCCATTTTCAGGCTGCTGATAAAGAAATACCTGAGACTGGGAAGAAAAAGAGGTTTAATTGGACTTACAGTTCCACATGGCTGGGGAGGCCTCAGAATCATGGTGGAGATGAAAGGCACCTTCTTACATGGTGGCAGCAAGAGAAAATGAAGCAGCAGCAAAAGCAGAAACCCCTGATACACCCATCAGATCTCGTGAGACTTATTCACTATCATGAGAATAGTATGGGAAAGACCAGCCCCCATGATTCAATTACCTCTCCCTGGGTCCTTCCCAAAACACATGGGAATTCTGGGAGATATAATTCAAGGTGAGATTTGGGTGGGGACAAAGCCAAGCCATATAAACGATAAACTCAAACAGGGAAGAGTTTTGTTTGCTTGTTTTTTTTTTTTTTTGTTCTTTTTTCCCCCTTTCCTTTTTCCTGGTTGTCTGGTTTACATGACAACAAAAGCATCTAAGAAATTCAGCTTGTCTAAGATGCCAATCCAAAGTGTCACAGACAGGCTTTCAGTCATAGGACAGGTCATTACTGCAAATGCTGGACCCAGGGGTACTAGGCTTGGACTAAGTTAATGATTATGTGGCAAAAACGTATTCTTTCCATAGGAATGTGGAGGGCTGTAAACGGGGGGAGGACATGGACTTAGAAGCTCCAAGTTGATGAAGAATTTCTACATTTCACTGTTAGAAGGATGCTTGGTTTTCCTACCAAGCCACTACATTGGCTGAATCTAAGGGCTCAAAGTTTAATGCAAGAAAGAAGGAAATGCCAGTTTTCAACAGAATGGTTGGATTTAAGAATCCTAAGTGAAACAATGGAGGTGGAGAGAATCCAAACTGGTAAACCAAACTCAAGTGAGGACAACATGAGGTATCAAATTACAGAGCCAAGAAATTCAGGTGTAAGAACAACTTCAAGTTACAAGGTCCAAGACATAGACTAAAATATGTTAAATGACAAGATCAAACAGATGGTTCATATAGGTGTATTAGGTTGAACAATGGCCCTGCAAAATGTCCGTGTCCTAATACCCAGAATCTGTCAATATGTTACCTTACATGGCCAATGGGTCTTCAAAGATGTGACTAAATCAAGTTTCAAGAGATGGGGAGATTATCCTGGTTTATCTGGGTGAGTTCAATGTAACCACTAGGGTCCGTATAAAAAAGAGGAATGCAGGTGAGAGTCAGAGAAAGTGATGTGATGGCAGGATATATGATGGCAGAAGCAGGGGTCAGAATGATGCAGGGCTACAGTTGAGGAACATGAGAAGCCTCCAGAAACTGGAAGAGACAAGAAAACAATTTTTTCCCTAGCACTTCCAGAAGCAACATAGCCATATCAAACTATTTTAAATGTGTGATCTTTACAACAGCAAGATCACAAATTTATGTTGCTTTACCATGCTTAGTTTGTGGTAATTTGCTATAGCAAGAATAAGGAACAAATACAATAGGAATGGAATAGCGTAAGTCAGAAACACAGGCAGGGAAAGATAACTTAAAAGTTAAAATTCACATACCCTGGTAGTGGGAATGTAAAGCACTGCAGCCATTATGGAAAACAGTATGAAGTTTCCTCAAAAAACTCATAATAAAAGTACCATAAGATCCAGATATTCACTGCTAGGGATATAACCAAAGGAAATTAATATTTCAAAAAGGTATCTGCACAACGATGCTTACTGCAGTGCTGTTTGAAATAGCCAAGATATGAAATGAACCTAAGTGTCCACCCATGGATGAATAAAGAAAATGTATATATACACAATGGAATATTATTCAGCCATTAAAAAGGAATGAAATCCTGTCTTTTGCGGCAACATGGATGGGAACTGACATTATGTTAAGTGAAATAAGTCAGGTAGAGAAAGACAAATATTGTATGTCTTACTCATATGTGGAAGCTAAAAAAATGAATCTAATGGAAATAGAGAGTAGAATTATGGTTAGAAGAGGCTGGAATAGGAAGGCAGTGGGAGGTGAAGAGGAGTTGGTTAATGTGTAAAAATATACAGTTAGATAGAAATAGTAGGTTCTAATATTCAATAGTACTATAGGAAAATTATGGTTAAGAATAATTGTACATTTCAAAACAGCTAGAAAAAAGAATTGTAATATTCTGAACACAAAGAAAATATCAATTTTTGAGGTAATAGATATAACAATTACCCTGATTTGAACATTACACATAGTATACATGTATCAAAATATCATGTGTATCCCCAACATATGTATAACTATGCTATATAAATAACATTAAAAAACTAGTAAAAAATAAGTCATACATGTACCATAGAGATAATAAGAAGGTAGTGATATAGGTACAGGGTTGGTATGGTAGGTCCAAGGAAAAATCAATAGAAAATGTCCTGTCCTTATATTTGTGGTAAGAACCGCCTAGATTTTTTCTTTTTTGTCGACAGGACAAGGCTAAGTCGGTTTCTGTAATCTTGGTATAGCCTATGAATAGGTTCTAACTCACCCCAGACGTAAGCATTTCTGAAGTTCTCTACTTATGGCTAAGGTACTTGTAATGCTCCACTAGACAATGAAAGAGAAAGGACCTAAGCAACAAAAGGCAGAGAATGAGATCCCCTGAGCAAGATTAATTATGAAAGCCTGTCTGGCTTCTGCTCCTCCAGCTATCCAAATGAGCTCATTTGGAGACAGGCTTTCTATCCCCCACTACAGGGTTAGCCATGGATTGAGAAATACACTCTACATGTGCTACAACTCATGCTTGTCATGCCTATGACAGATATTCCACATCAATCAGAGTGCAATTTCTTTCAGAATCTATCACAGTTCAATTTCCCCCTGAAGTGGAGTGCAGCCTCACAATTTTTATTACAGCAAACTACACAGCTATTACCATTTTCTCATAATGCCCACCCCAGATGTAGCTTATTTTCCTTAGCAGGTGTCTTTCCGCCTTCAAAGCTAAGAGGGATCCGCAACTTTAGGGAATGGGAAACTACATGTCAGTTGTTCTCAGGTAAAACCTACTTTCGTGTCTGTTGCAAGGTGACTTTGTTTTTCTGTGCATTTCAAAGATAGCTTTTGCGTGTTTTTAAGGGTATGCCATATCACTTTCAATCTCCAGAAGAAATGAAGACCAAAAGTGTTACTCCAAACCTCCAGGAGGGGCTGACAACTGAAGATCTTAGGTAGTTTTGAATTACATTTTTGGGGGTTTGTCTCTGAATCCTATTGCTAGATATTACTGGAGCTAAAGTCATCTCCCATTTTTAATCCACTATTGATTAAACACACACACACACACACAAATTAACCTGTTCTTAAAACCTGCATTTGCCTTCTCCATTAGACCACTTTTGTTGATGTTAGCTCTTCACTTAATATTTTCAGCCTCAAACTATCCTTGATAGTTTATTTTTTAAAAGAACATCCTTAAATTCTCAATGTTTCTATTGTCTAAAAGTACTATGTGCTAAATAAATATTAATTTTTCTATCTTATTTCTCTATACATTTATAATCCAACAGTAAGGAGGAAATAACATGGATAACATGTTTGTATGACTTGGGCCTGTGGCAGCAATATTCTGTCTATCATTCTCTCTAATGCCAATTCCTTAGCAGAATTTCGGTAGCTCTTAGATTTATTTCCAACCATTCACTTACTGCCAAACTCCTGGCTTGGATTTACCTTTCCCAGAGTGGCCCATATTACCACTGTCTGACACAGGTGATCTGCTCACTGGAATATATTGTTGACACTCAGCTAACAGATAATTGCTTTGTGCCACATGTGCTTCAGAGATGTCAAAAGGAAGAGGACAAAAATGAAATGAAGATGAACAAACAGCAGCACTTTCAGGACTATTAAAAATTATGTATTCATGAACTCAGAGCCCTCTCACCTTTTTGGCAGCCTATCTTGCAGTTTTCTCCAATATTCTGTAGTTGCTCCAATTCATTAGAAAGAGTTATGAAAGCACTACTGAAAAGCAAGCAATCATTACTATGATGACTATTTATAATTATCATGTTGTATTTTGCTGTTGTATGTTGTGTTTTGCCATTGTATGTTGCATTGCTGTCATAAGAACATACAGCTCAATGCCATATAATTGCATTTTATTATTTTAATGACAATTGTGTAATGTGTATTGATAGTCACTAACTCCATTTTCGGATTAAATACATTTAACAGGCCAAATGGAATTTTGCACATTTAAGGGGCACTAACATCTATTATTTACAGGAGAAAAGAGATGCCCTAACCTTAGTTTACACAAAACATCTTTATTTGATGCTAATGGTGGCCAAGGAGCAGTTGGCCAGCAAAGGCAGTTCCTGTCATATGCTTTGAAGTTCCAGATTGCCTAGAACTTCAAATTGGAATGATGCCTGTTATGGCAATTTTCAGGAGAAGTGAAAAAGGAATCTTAAAGATCAAAACTAATTTTTGGGACCATCTGCCGTAAATTATTTTTGTACTAGTTTTTTCATATATAAAGAAATCTTTCATGCATAAATACATACATATTCATATATAAAACTATACAGGCAGTTCTTGCTGTGCACATTTTGATATGCATGTATTTCAGTTATCATAGTTATAGTGAAATAACACCAGTCTCTCAACAATATGGTCCAAATTTCACTTACCATCATATATTAACTATTAGTAGTTACAGGAAGTACCAACATCTCTGCTAGCTCTTTAGTCCATCAGATATCATGTGAGGGACAGAAGCACATCATGCCTGGGATTCACTTCTTTCAAAGCCTGTCAGCTATTGTTCATTGCACATTTTTATGTTACTCAGTTTGCTCACAGACAGCAAAATGTGTAGTTGTGTTGTTTCCTTGTTGTCTCCTTGTCTCCCAGTGATAAACGCCCATGACATTTTACAAAAATGGGCAAAAGAGGGCAGTGGCCAACAAAGATAAAAGTGCGACAAATAAATAAAAAGTAATGCTGAAAGTGAAATCTAAATAGAATATAAATGGATTTGGAGAACAAAAAGGCTATCTATAGAAATAATACTGCCATTGTTCTAGATATAGCCAGAGGAAATTAGTGAATGTAGATTTATCTACACAAATAAGAAACACAGTTGTGATGAGAAGACTGTAGATATCCCAGAGGAAGTAACAGGAACTGAAATCTTTGCAGTAAAAGAACTCTCAGAGATATTTCGTCACATTGAATACACAATGAGTAAAATGTTAGAAGCTGATCCCAACTTAGAAAGAAGCAAGGCAATTTACTATGTCATAGAAAAGATGTGTGTTTAGTTTTGTAATTTTTATAACAAGAAGGCAAACACTGTTCAAACTATCCTTGATAGTTTATTTTTAAAAAGAATATCCTTATATAACCATAGTACTCTGTCCAAACAAGGAAACTGACATTGGTAAACTGTGACATCCATAGAACTTATTCAGATTTTACCAGTTTTACATGCTCACATCTTCTCTCTGTGAGTGTGTGTGTGTGTGTGTGTAATTCTATACAATTTTATTACGTGTAGATTTGTGTAACCTCCCTCATCAAAAAATTCATTCTGATTATAATTTATTGTACATTCTGATTATAACTTATTGTACATTCATGATTTATTGTACATTCTGATTATAATTTATTGTACATTCATGGTTGTCAGTATTTTGGTGTGTAGTATAGTTTCTGAAAGAAAACTAAAGCACAGAAGATAATATATACCAAAAGCACTAGTGTAACAGAAAATGTCTTTAAACTTATTATAAAGTTTCAAATGTTCCTTTTGTACATATTTTAGAGAAAAATAATGTGGTATGTTAGTACAAATAAATGATTAAAGTTTCATCCTCTTAAAAAACAATAAAAAAGAACATCCTTAAATTCTCAATGTTTCTATTGTCTACAAGTACTATGTGCTAAATAAATATTAATTTTTCTATTTTCTTCATTTCTCTATAGATTTATAATCCAACAGTAAGAGAGTTTTTAATGTATTAAGAAAACGTTTTCAAGGGTAACAGGAAATTTGTAATTTTTCTCATTGATTGTTGAGATCATTTGGCATATGTTTTGCTTTTATAGTCATTTTTATAGTATTGCACTATCTTACTGAAAAGCAAAGACTGCCTCTATTTATCCTATGATAAACGGACTCACTTGGAGATCAGACCATTCGAGTAGGTTTGTATAAAGGCTACAAAATCTTCAGTTGATGGTAAGAGAACAACCTGCAGGGCAGGAGAGCAGAAACCATGTTACCTACCATGAATTAGGAAAGGGAAATTGTGAAAAAGGCTCTGCTCTGGAGACTGGAGAAAAGGATTCTATAAACTTAGTTGGGTAGGGAAGGAGCTAGAATCCCAGTAATGAAACTGTATGCTTATGGAAGTATGTGGAGTGATGGAGAAACAAATGCTGTAATTATTCATCATTCATCACTACATTTGAAATTATCTGAGGAAAAAGGAGGAAATAACATGGATAACATGTTTTTCTCTCTCTCATACATACACACACACACACACAATTGTAATGGTTATTGACTTCACAATCCAACTTCATCTTCTATATGTTTAATATGTTTTATCCACCTGGATACCTTAACAGAAAACTAATTCTGGATATGGAACTATAGAGTCAATAAGAAAGACATTTTTAACATGCTGGGATGAATGAAGTTCTAATAAACTACTATAATCACACCTATGGCGAATGAGTTAATATTATCTCTTAATGTTTTGTGTGGCTTCATTTATTCTTCTTCCCTTTACTACATACTAAAAATGAGACAAGTTCTACCTTTTGTGAATTTCATTACACTGAGTGTTTGAGAGTTTTCAGAAACTAATTTATGATGTACTCTGAATAATTTTATGTGTGTATCCAAGGGAGTAATCAATACACCTTCCTTTACAACTGGGAGCTGGGTTCAGCAACTCCAACAGTTCTCTGATTTCCAATTTTATCTCTAAATTCAAGTAAGGTGCAAAATCTTATAACTGGACCTAACATGTAGAATAATAAATGACTTACCAGAGAAGAATGTTGTGATGGTGATCCTGCTTCTCATAGTTTTCAGGTGAGGAAGCCTGTGGGACTCATTCCCACCTGCCTTTCAGAATCACTTCCCTGGTTTATTCTCTGAAAACAGTGGAGGGAGGAGATAACTTATGGAGTAAGTCAGTTTATTGCAAAGGCAATGGGGACTGTATGGCAGAGCACCTTCTTCTGGAGTTTCAGCACAATAAAGACACTGTAGTTAATATTCATTCCAGTAGGACACATGGAAGCATTCTTTTTTTTTTTTTTTTTTGGGAGTCTCGCTCTGTCGCCGAGGCTGGAGTGCAGTGGCACAATCTCAGCTCACTGCAAGCTCTGCCTCCTGGGCTCATGCCATTCTCCTGCCTCAGCCTCCTGAGTAGCTGGGACTACAGGTGACCGCCACCATGCCCGGCTAATTTTTTGTATTTTTAGTAGAGACAGGGTTTCACCATGTTAGCCAGGATGGTCTCGATCTCCTGACCTCGTGATCCACCCGCCTTGGCCTCCCAACGTGCTGGGATTACAGGCATGAGCCACCGCACCCGATGACACATGCTAGCATTCTTTATGTTCATTCCAAGCCCTTTAGTATTGGGTTGTGGGAGATATTTTTTCTGACTTGATCTGTACCCTGGGGTCAGGACGTTACCTGATTCTGAGTCTCAGCTACTTCAACAGTGAAACATATGCTTGTATTTTACCACTAAGTTGAAACATTCTGATTCTGAATTTCATTCAAGTCATGTATATACATAAATGTGTGGTTTGTGTATACATATAAATATACACATATACATAACTTAAAGTTTTTTTTGCTCAGTATCTTTTAGATACCATTCCATATCAGTTTATAGATGGTTCAGTTTTTATAGCTGCCTATTACTTTATTGTGTCTATGTACTATAGTTTATGCAACAAATCTAGTTTGAACATTTAGAAAGTTAGTTATATTATGTAATTACAAATAGTACTGCAGAAAAATATTATTTCCCCATTCAATATACAATAATAAACTTCAAGTCCAAATGGGTTAGAGATTTAAATGAAAAAATGAAACTGTACAGATATTACAGTAAAACAGGACTGACATGGATAAAGACAAGAGAGATTCTTTTTGACTGTTTATGACTCTGTGACCACATACTCTAGGGGGCATTTAGGCTTTGATGATTGATTTAATCATGGTGAGATCATCAATGAATTAGATATTAGATGTCTTTTTCTGCACACATTTTGTATAATTTGCCAGTTTAAGCAAAGTTAGTTACATGCACTTCTATGTTGCCACCTCAGAAACTCCATCATGTGGTATGGTGGTTATTGATCTATATGGTAACCCTACAAAACTGATGATTCCTGAAAATGAAGTATTCATTTTCCTTTCAGATGCACAATATCTCCTACTTTCTGGTTCAATAGGCCTGTAGTGACACCCAGAAATCTGCATTTTCACCAGATTTCAGGAACTTTGCCATAGATGGCCCCAAGAGCCACATTTTACCACATATATTAGGTTGTGAGTTCCCTGAAAGAGAGAGCTGTGTTATATTCATGTTTCTACCGCAAGTATCCCTCTACACAATAAATGCTTGGAAATTTTTTTTAAATAGTTGCTAGTTTCTTTAACAAGAACAAAATAAAAAATGCCTTTGATAGTGACATTATTACCCCCAAGCTTTCAAGATAATACAGTTCAGATTACTTTTTTCTTTCTTTATATACTTTAGTTCCTCTGGAAATATTTTGCCTTCTGTAATAGTTAATTTTATGTGTCAATTTGACTGGGCCACCCAGGGAGTGGCCAGACATTTGGTCAAACATTATTCTGGGTGTTTCCCTGAGAGTGTTTTTGGATAAGATTAGCATTTGGATTGATCGACCCATGAAAGCAGTAAAAGAGATTGTCTTCCCTGTGTGTGTAGCCCTTATCCAATCAACTGAAGAACTGAATAGAACAAAAAGGCTGAGTAAGAGGGAACTTTATCTGCCTGACAAAATGATCTGGGACATTGGTCTTTTACACATGGACTAGAATTTACACCGTCAGCTCTTCACGTTCTTACGACTTTGGAAGCAGACAAGAATTATACAATTAACTCTCCTGGGTCTGCAGTTTGCCAACTGCAGATCTTGTTTCTTCTTGGCCTCCATAATCACATCAGCCAATTCCTTATAAAAATATTCTTATTTATAAATAAATACATATATAACTATATCTATATTAATATTTAAATCTATATGTATATGTCCTACTCTGAAGAACCTTGGCTAATGCATTCATCTAAGCTACTTTAGTGGAGACTCAGTTTAAAACAACAACGCCAAATGGCAATTGTCAGGCCTCTGAGCCCAAGCTAAGCCATCATATCCCCTGTGACCTGCTCCTAAACATCCAGATGGCCTGTTCCTTGCCTTAACTGATGACATTCCACCACAAAAGAAGTGAAAATGGCCGTTCCTTGCCTTAAGTGATGACATTATCTTGTGAAATTCCTTCTCCTGGCTCATCCTGCCTCAAAAGCTCCCCTACTGAGCACCTTGTGACCCCTGCTCCTCCCCCCAGAGAACAACCCCCCTTTGACTGTAATTTTCCTTTACCTACCCAAATCTTATAAAACAGCCCTATCCTTATCTTCCTTCACTGATTCATTTCGGACTCAGCCTGCCTGTACCCAGGTGATTAAAAAGCTTTATTGCTCACACAAAGCCTGTTTGGTGGTCTCTTCACAGGGATGCCAGTGAAATTTGGTGCCGTGACTCGGATCGGGGAACCTCCCTTAGGAGATCAATCCCCTGTCCTCCTGCTCTTTGTTTCGTGAGGAAGATCCACCTACGACCTCTGGTCCTCAGACCAACCAGCCCAAGGAACATCTCACCAATTTTAAATCCGGTAAGCGACCTCTTTTTACTCTCTTCTTCAAACTCTCTCACTATCCCTCAACCTCTTTCTTCTTTCAGTTTTGGTGCCACACTTCAATCTCTCCCTTCTCTTAATTTCAGTTCCTTTCCTTTCCTGGTAGAGACGAAGGAGACGCATTTTATCCGTAGACACAAAACTCCGGTGCTGGTCACAGACTCGGGAAGACAGTCTTCCCTTGGTGTTTAATCACGCGGGGATGCCTGCCTGATTATTCATCCACGTTTCAGAGGTGTCTGACCACGCAGGGACACCTGCCTTGGTCCTTCACCCTTAGTGGTAAGTACCACTTTTCTAGGGGGCAATAAGCCCCCAATCCCTTCTCTTCGTGTCTCTACCCCTTCTCTGCTTTTCTGGGGGGCAAGAACCCCCCAACCTCTTCTCCTTCACCCTTAGCAGCAAGTACCGCTTTTCTGGGGGGCAAGAATCCCCCCCAGCCCCTTGTCTCCATTTCTCTACCCCTTCTCCACTTTTCTGGAGGGCAAGAACCCCCCAACCCCTTCTCTCCGTGTCTCTACTCTCTCTTTTTACTGGGCTTGCCTCCTTCACTATGGGCAACCTTCCACCCTCCATTCCTCCCTCTTCCCCCTTAGCCTCTGTTGTCAAGAACTTAAAACCACTTCAACTCACACCTGACCTAAACCTAAATGCCTTATTTTCTTCTGCAATGCTGCTTGACCCCAGTACAAACTCAACAGCAGTTCCAAATAGCCAGAAAATGGCACTTTCGATTTTTCCATCCTACAAGATCTAAATAATTCTTGTCGTAAAATAGGCAAACAGTCTGAGGTGCCTGATGTCCAGGCATTCTTTTACACATTGGTCCCTCCCTAGCCTCTGTTCCCAATGCGACTCGTCCCAAATCCTCCTTCTTTCCCTCTTGCCTGTCCCCTCAGTCCCAACCCCAAGTGTCGCTGAGTTTTTCTAATCTTCCTTTTCTGCAGACCCATCTGACCTCTCCCCTCCTCCCCAGGCTGCTCCTTGCCAGGCTGAGCTAGGTCCCAATTCTTCCTCAGCCTCCCCACCTCCACCCTATAATCTTTTAATCACTTCCCCTCCTCACACCGGGTCCGGCTTACAGTTTCGTTCTGTGACTAGCCCTCCCCCACCTACCCAGGAATTTCCTCTTAAAAAGATGGCTGGAGCTAAAGGCATAGTCAAAGTTAATGCTCCTTTTTCTTTATCTGACCTCTCCCAAATCAGTTAGCGTTTAGGCTCTTTTTCTTCAAATATGAAAAACCCAGCCCAGTTCATGGCTCATTTGGCAGCCACCCTGAGATGCTTTACAGCCCTAGACCCTAAAAGGTCAAAAGGCCGTCTTATTCTCAATGTACATTTTATTACCCAATTCGCTCCCGACTTTAAATAAAGCTCCAAAAATTAAATTCTGACCCTCAAACCCCACAACAGGACTTAATTAACATCGCCTTCAAGGTGTACAGTAACAGAAAAAAGTTGCAATTCCTTGTCTCCACTGTGAGACAAACCCCAGCCACATCTCCAGCACACAAGAACTTCCAAACGCCTGAACCATAGCGGCCAGGCATTCCTCCAGAACCTCCTCCCCCAGGAGCTTGCTACAAGTGCTGGAAATCTGGCCACTGGGCCAAGGAATGCCCGCAGCCTGGGATTCCTCCTAAGCTGCGTCCCGTCTGTGCGGAACCCCAATGAAAATCGGACTCTTCAACTCACCTGGCAGCCACTCCCAGAGCCCCTGGAACTCTGGCCCAAGGCTCTCTGACTCCTTCCCAGATCTTCTTGGCTTAGCGGCTGAAGACTGACGCTGCCAGTTCGCCTCAGAAGCCCCCTAAACCATCACGGACGCCAAGCTTCGGGTATCTCTCACAGCAGAAGGTAAGTCCGTCCCCTTAATCAATACGGAGGCTACCCACTCCACATTACCTTCTTTTCAAGGGTCTGTTTCCCTTGCCTCCATAACTATTGTGGGTATGGATGGCCAGGCTTCTAAACCTCTTAAAACTCCCCAATTCTGGTGCCAACTTAGACAAAACTCTTTTAAGCACTCCTTTTTAGTTATCTCCACCTGCCCAGTTCCCTTGTTAGGCCAAGACACTTTAACTAAATTGTTTGCTTCCCTGACTATTCCTGGGCTACAGCCACACCTCATTGCTGCCTTTTCCCCCAGTTCAAAGCCTCCTTCATATTCTCCCCCTTGTATCTCCCCACCTTAACCCACAAGTATAAGACACCTCTACTCCCTCGTTAGTGACCGATCATGCACCCCTTACCATCCCACTGAAACCTAATCACTCTTACCCCGCTCAATGCCAATATCCCATCCCACAGCATAATTTAAAAGGATTAAAATCTGTTATCACTCGCCTGCTATAGCATGGCCGTTTAAAACCTATAAACTCCCCTTACAATTCCCCCATCTCAGATGTCCTAAAACCAGACAAGGCTTACAGGTTAGTTCAGGCTCTGCGCCTTATCATCCAAATTGTTTTGCCTATCCACCCCATGGTGCCAAACCCATATACTCTCCTAGCCTCAATACCTCCCTCCACAACCCAGTATTCTATTCTGGATCTCAAACATGCTTTCTTTACTATTCCTTTGCACTCTTCATCTGAGCCTCTCTTTGCTTTCACTTGGACTGACCCTGACACCCATCAGGCTCAGCAAATTACCTGGGCTGTACTGCCGCAAGGCTTTACAGACAGCTCCCATTACTTCAGTCAAGCCCAAATTTCATCCTCATCTGTTACCTATCTCGGCATAATTCTCATAAAAACACACGTGCTCTCCCTGCTGATTGTGTCCCGCTAATCTCCCAAACCTCAATCCCTTCTACAAAACAGCAACTCCTTTCCTTCCTAGGCATGGTTAATGCAGTCAGAATTCTTACACAAGAGCCAGGACCACGCCCTGTAGCCTTTCTGTCCAAACAACTTGACCTTACTATTTTAGCCTAGCCCTCATGTCTGCATGCAGCGGCTGCCACTGCTTTAATACTTTTAGAAGCCCCAAAAATCACAAACTATGCTCAACTTACTCTCTACAGTTCTCCTAACTTCCAAAATCTATTTTCTTCCTCACACCTGACACTTATACTTTCTGCTCCTGGCTCCTTCAGCTGTACTCACTCTTTGTTGAGTCTCCCACGATTACCATTGTTCCTGGTCCAGACTTCAATCTGGCCTCCCACAGTATTCTGGATACCACACCTGACCCCCATGACTGTATCTCTCTGATCCACCTGACATTTACCCCATTTCCCCTTCTTTCCTGTTCCTCACCCTGAACACACTTGGTTTATTGATAGTAGTTCCACCAGGCCTAATCACCACACACCAGCAAAGGCAGGCTATGCTATAGTACAAGCCACCAGCCCGTCTCTTAGAACTTCTCATTTCCTTTCCATCCTAGAAATCTATCCTCAAGGAAATAACTTCTCAGTGTTCCATGTGCTATTCTACTACTCCTCAGGGATTATTCAGGCCCCCTCCCTTCCCTGCAAAGCTGGTGGATTTGCCCTCACCCAGGACTGGCAACTCTTAACTCCCTCTTAGAGTGGATAGATGATCTTTGCTGGCAGGGGACCTTCCAATACTTTCACCCTGATGAAGTTCTATTCTTTACATTTATAGTCACTCTTATTCTCATTCCCATTCTTATGCCACCCTCTACCTCTCCCCCGCCATCTCCACCACACCATCAACCTTACTCATTCTCTCCTAGCCATTTCTAATCCTTCCTTAGTGAACAACCACTAGCTTTGCATTTCCCTTTCTTCCAGAGCTTACACAGCTGTCCCCGCCTTACATGCAGACTAGACAACATCTCCTGTCTCCCTACACCTCTGAACTTCCTTTAATAGCCCTCACCTTTACCCTCCTGAAGAACTCATTTACTTTCTAGACAGGTCCAGCAAGACCTCCCCAGACATTTCACATCAGCAAGCAGCCGCCCTCCTCCGCACTTAATTAAAAAACCTTTCTCCTTATATCCACTCTACTCCCCCCATATTTAGACCTCTCACAACACAAACTATTATTCCTGTGGCTGCTCCTTTATGTATCTTTCATCAAAGACCCACTGCAATCCCCCTAGGTAACCTTTCACCTTCTCGATGTTCCTTTACTCTTCATCTCCATAGCTCTCTTCTTGTTTACTTGTACCCAGCCCTGAAAATAACAGTGAAAGGTTGCACCTATGTTTTCTCATACACCATGAAAATCGATCCTTCCCTTCTAAGCAGTAACCTCATCGGTCCCCATTACACCCTCTGATGGCTGCCGCCCTAGCTGGATCCCTAGGAACTCTAGGTACAAGACACCCCTTTCAGCACTCCTTCTCATCTTTTTACTTTGCATCTCCAGGTTTGCCTCGCACAAGGTCTCTTCTTCCTCTGTGGATCCTCTACCTACATGTGTCTACCTGCTAATTAGGCAGGTACATGCACACTAGTTTTACTTACTCCCAAAATTCAATTTGCAAATAGGACTGAAGAGCTCCCTCTTCCCCTCATGACACCGATACGCCAAAAAAGAGTTATTCCACTAATTCCCTTGCTTGTCAGTTTAAGACTTTCTGCCTCCACTATTGCTCTCGGTACTGGAATAGCAGGCATTTCAACCTCTGTCAGGACCTTCCATAGCCTCTCTAATGATTTCTCTGCTAGCATCACAGACATATCACAAACTTTATCAGTCCTCCAGGCCCAAGGTGACTCTTTAGCTGCAGTTGTCCTCCAAAACCGCCAAGGCCTTGACTTACTGCTGAAAATGGAGGACTCTGTATATTCTTAAATGAAGAGTGTTGTTTTTACCTAAATCAATCTGGCCTGGTGTATAACAACATAAAAAACTCAAGGATAGAGTCTAAAAACTTGCCAACCAAGCAAGTAATTACACTGACGCCCCTTGGACACTCTCTAATTAGATGTCTTAGATCCTCCCAATTCTTAGTCCTTTAATACCTGTTTTTCTCCTCTTATTCCATTTAGTTTATTGATTCATACAAAACCATATCCAGGCCATCACCAATAATTCTACACGACAAGTGTTCCTTCTAACAACCCCGCAATATCACCCCTTACCACAAAATCTTCCTTCAGCTTAATCTCTCCCACTCTAGGTTCCCACGCCACCCCTAATCCCACTAGAAGCAACCCTGAGAAACATCGCCCATTATCTCTCCATACCACCCCCAAAATTTTCACCGCCCCAACACTTCAACACTATTTTGTTTTATTTTTCTTATTAATATAAGACCGGAATGTCAGGCCTCTGAGCCCAAGCTAAGCCATCATATCCCCTGTGACCTGCTCCTACTCATCCAGATGGACTGTTCCTTGCCTTAACTTATGACATTCCACCACAAAAGAAGTGAAAATGGCCGGTCCTTGCCTTAAGTGATGACGTTATCTTGTGAAATTCCTTCTCCTGGCTCATCCTGGCTCAAAAGCTCCCCTACTGAGCACCTTGTCAGCCCCACTCCTGCCTGCCAGAGAACAACCCCCCTTTGACTGTAATTTTCCTTTACCTACCCAAATCTTATAAAAGCGCCCTACCCTTATCTCCCTTCACTGACTCTCTTTTTGGACTCAGCCTGCCTGCACCCAGGTGATTAAAAAGCTTTATTGCGCACACAAACCCTGTTTGGTGGTCTCTTCACAGGGACGCAAGTGAAAGCAATAAAAGCAACAAATCTTTGCTTCAAATTGTGTTTTTCCTTAATGTTGTTTCTTTGCAACTTCATACCACATCTTTTCTAAAATGGACATACATAATGTGTACTCAAAAAAAATTTCTACCTAGTATTATCGCATGTGGGGCTTTGCAAGCAAAATTTCATTAAACGTTTATTTTCAGTTCTAAGTTATTTATTATACTATCTTACAATTGTGTATATATATACACACATTATATATATATGCATACATATATAGTATATATACATTTGTGTTATATATAAAGATAATTCTGTGCTTATATATACATATACTATATACACATATTTGTAGGTTGGTAGATAGATTATTGATGTTTTATATATATACTACCAATATTACTCAAGGAAAAATAAATGTATAAAAGCTTTTTATGTGAGACTAACTTTTAAAATTACTGATATATACAGTTCTGCAAGTTTGAGAATAAAATGCATGGCAGTTATCTTTGAAATCAACAGAAGTGAAACCCAGAAATACGTTTTTTGATTAAAAAAAATTTTTGTCTGAAAATATCAAGGAAATAGAGAATAAAATGAATAGCAGGGAGAACAATAAATTTACTTGGCACAGCCAAATGTTGGCAGATACAAGGAACTGTAAGGCAAGACCAACAAAAATGTGATGGCAAGAAAAGAAAGATGTTAACTTGAAAATAAAGGAAAGAAAAATCAACTTCTGCTGGTGTCTTTGTAGCATGAACAACCCATAAAAGAATCTCACATGGTGGTTTCTTATTACCTGCACTGTCTTCAGCGTGGCACATCAGTTGCTGAGCTGCAGACTGTGCTCATCCAGGCAAAGTGGGAAGGACATGATTGATTAGCCAATAAATGAGATTCATGCAAATGGCCTCTTGGAAATATCTCGAGGCAAAATAAATAATTATTTATTTTATATGCTGTGTGAATTTGTCTATCTAAATAATGCTTGGAGGGCTCCATTTCACTTATTTTATCTACACACACACCACACACACATACACACACACACACACAAACACAGCACGAGACTAAGCCAAAACAAAGTAGACAATTATGTTTCTGATGGCCTTCTTTCTGGTGCCCATATTCACTTTTAATGTCCCCTTGCTGGTTACTTTTCATGGGGTTCTTTTAGCTTCCTGTCGATTACAATTATCGGCCTCTTCCCACCTCTAACTGTTGCTTGTTACAATTATTTGTGTTTTAAGGTAATTCATATTAAAATTAGAATTTTTGTGAGGATCAAAAGCCAAGGTAAAAAAATGAAAAGCGATCATGCTAGGGGAGCAGGATTTCAGGCAGGCTCATTGATCTCTATTTTTCACACAGAATTCCCATCCAGGCTTGTAGACTTTGCCTACTCTGTTGACTTTCCAGGACAGTTATGCACCAGGATGCTTTAGAAAGGAAAGTACAGATGTTGACAACAGACAGACCTGAGCTTGAATTCTGACATTTTATTCTATCTAGTAGCTGTGTTTCTGAGCCTCTGTTTTCTGTAAAATAGTAATAAATATATACCTCCATGATATATAGCTTTGAGAAGAATTTTTAAATGAGATTATACATTCCAAACACATATTAAGTACCTGATTTAGTACTTAAGTGGCAAGTATTAACATGGTTGCTATTATTATTATTAGCTATTGGGAGCCAGATTAGCATTAGGAATAATATTCTCATTTATATGGGTTGTTTGGGAATTAAATTAATAAATCATATTTATAAAAATTCCTGTCACAGCACATGACAGATGCACCCACTCAAATGCAGCTTTCATTTACAAGAAGTAGAGAATGAGATTGTTTTCATTTTATTCAGCTGAACAATTTCTAAACCAGTTTCTGATATCTGAAGTGCAAACCAAAATAGGTCTTTTACTACAGGAATGTATTTTACTAGGATATGCTTTTGGATTTCTCCCCGGTTTCTTTCTTACATTTTCCGAACTCTTGCAGTTCTATTTGTTGAAAGTTCAGGGATGGTAATGACCTCCTATCAGCTTCTGGTAACTAGGATCAAGGATGCTGCTTAAGTCTAAAGCAAAATGGAGAGTGAGCTTTTATTCCTCAGTCCTTTAAGAAAAACATAAATTTGAGATCTCTTTGTATTTGTCTTAAAACCTTGATTGATAAGGAAATAGTTGTTATTTACAGTTAAATGAAAAATGTATTAATTTATTATAGGATTTCAGCTAGGATCAAAGGATAAAGGATAAAATTAAAATATTAATAATGGCCATTTTTAGTTGTAGAAAATATATATTTAATTAGAGCCATGCATACATAAACCAAAATGGACCCTTATGCTCTTATAATAAGGTAAACATTCTGACATCACATTTTCAGCAAATGCTCCCTCTTTTCTGCAACTCAGTCATGCACATCATAAAGTCATTTTGGTCAATGATGGACCACATATTAAATGAAGCCCCATAAGATTATAATTGAGCTGAAAATTTTCTATTACCTAGTAGCTGTGGTAATATGGCAGTGCAAAACATTACCTTTTCTATATTTAGATATGTTTAGATACACAGATACCATTATGTTATATTCGCCTACAACATTCAGTATAGGAACATGCTGTACAAGTTTGTAACCTAGGATCCATAGGTCATACAAGACAGCCTACGTGTGTAGTAGGCTATAACACCTATGTTTGTGTAAGTACGTTCTGTGGTGTTAGCACAATAATGCATTTTTCAGAATGTATCCTGTCGTTAAGTGATAGTTTTAAGTGATTTCTGAACCAAAGGGACTCCTAGACACCCTTCTAGAAGATAAACAATCCTGAAGTCTCACTAGAAAAAAAACTGCTAAATTTTAGTATTTAAAGTTAATGTTTGTGGCACAAATATTCTTATTTCTGAATATTTTATTAAGGTATTTTTAACTTCTTTATTCTGATACTTGCTCATAATGATAGTTAAACCATATCCATATACAATAGTTGAAAAGTAGTCCTAATCTAGCATATATGTATTTCTAATTTTCCCAAAATATTAACACCAATATCCACATGGTTTCTCTTTATACAATATATTCTCTGTCCCAGTATCTTCAAAGTGCTTCCTAAATTATTAGCTTCCAAAAGAGGCCATGAAAACATTTGCCTTTCCCATCTTATTATTTTCATTTCAGAAGATTATCAAACTACAATCATTAATGTTATCAAACTTCAATTATTAATGTCAAAAGAAAAAATTGATTATTCAGATATTCACATCAACTTTACTAAAATGGACATGACAATGGTTTGTTTTAAATAGTTGAATTGGCCTCTAGTATGTTTCTTTTCTTCTTCTTTTCACCTCATTGATTTGTATGTATGACCATGATAACATTACCAGTGACTAAACAAATCAGATTGATCTTATTATATCTTTATTTCAGAAAGGTCACTGAATTGTCATTGTACAATAAAGCATTCGGGAAACATGACCTTGGGAATGCCCTATTTTTTCTTTCTTTCTGTGGAGATAGACAATTTGGTTCATATTGTAAAAGGGCAAATTTGCATACTCTCATCATTTTGGTTTTGGGTTAAGATATTAAGACCTTCCCTCCTCCCTAAAGAAAAAGCAGGCATCTTTCCTCTTCAATTCCTCTAGCTTAATAAAAGCAAAAATTGTAACTGTGCTGAATCATTGAAAGGGCCCTTAACACTGAGTGTATTCTAAACACATCTTCAGGTCTGCTGGCAACTTTGTTCCTTAACCCAAAGCCTGAATACTAATAATGTGAAAAGTCTAATGTTATTCAGGCCACATAACTGCTTTCCTCCTGAAATACCACCTTGTAAAGATAGAGAAAATGGTAAGTTATAAGTAAAAGATGAATATTAAAATAATGCCATTGTCTCATCCAGAAGGTGGGTCAGGTTTTCTGAATTAAAGTAAGTTGATTGCCAGGGAATGACATATTACATATCAAGGTTGGTTATACATGTAGATAAAAATAGGTGGATGCCACTTGAAAGATGCTGTGGTATTAGCTATCTACACCAAACTTCCACAGACAGTGTGCTGAAGTCCCTGAAATTTCTTCTTTTGAATTGTTCATTTGGGTTATTGTCTCCAGAGAGCTTTTGTTAAAAATTATTGTAAGCTTGCAAAAGAGGGTTGATGTATTATAACAAATTATTTATTTATGAGATTGGTGAGTTTTGCTCTGGAAAGAAGGCATAAGATGTGAATGATATGAAACTGAATTCCAAGGAAATTGTTTAGTGACTGTGAACAAGAAACTCTTCCACTAAATTGTAACTCTTTGAACAGAAGGTCCTATTCTTATTTATTTTTTAATATCCTCCACTTTGCTCAGTAGAGTGCAATATATCCATTTCAATATAGGATTTAAGAAGAGATTTCAATTGAAAGAAGCATTAACAGGGATTGAAATGTTTCCGAGGAACTGCTTAAGAAAATCTTGGAAGTGGAGATGCAAACATGTAGGCAAGAATGAGACCATCAACCATATATTTAATTGTAATTACTTCAGTCTTTTTTCAGGAGGACACCCTGACATCAATCTTCAAGCCCTCAAATAATCAGCCTTCAGTTGGGAAAGAATCCAATTCAGGGTGAAAATAGATGAGTTTTTTGCTCTGCTTAGAACCATATTGCAATAGCAGAAATGTGCTTAATATATTTACAAATTCTCAGGGACATCCACCTTTGCCAGTAAGTGCGTCATTAGGCCAGTGTCAAAAGGATTGACGGGCTAGACAGAGGTAAGAACAATAACTTTTCAGTATCTGATAAAGCAGCATTAATGGGGTAGCAGCAAGAGCATGAGCTCTGAAATCCCAAGATCTGGGTTTAATACCTTGGCTTCATGGGACTTTGGAGGTGTGGTTTAACCTTTGTGGGGGTCAGTTACCTTTTCAAAAATGGAAACAACGACATGCATACTTTCACTCGCGTCTGTGTGAAGAGACCACCAAACAGGTTTTGTGTGAGCAATAAAGCTTTATTTCACCTGGGTGCAGGCGGGCTGAGTCCGAAAAGAGTCAGTGAAGGGCGATAGGGGTGGGGCTGTTTTATAAGATTTGGGTAGGTAAAGGAAAATTACAGTTAAAGGGGGGTTGTTCTCTGGTGGGCAGGAGTGGGGGGTCACAAGGTGCTCAGTAGGGGAGCTTCTGAGCCAGGATGAGCCAGGAGAAGGAATTTCACGAGATAATGTCATCAGTTAAGGCAGGAACAGGCCATTTTCATTTCTTTTGTGGTGGAATGTCATCAGTTAAGGCAGGTACCGGCCATCTGGATGTGTATGTGCAGGTCACAGGGGATATGATGGCTTAGCTTGGGCTCAGAGGCCTGACATTCCTGTCTTCTTATATTAATAAGAAAAATAAAACGAAGTGGTGGTAAAGTGTCGGGACGGCGAAAATTTTTGGGGATGGCATGGAGAGATAATGGGCAATATTTCTCAGGGCTGCTTCAAGCGGGATTAGGGGCGGCGTGGGAACCTAGAGTGGGAGAGATTAAGCTGAAGGAAGATTTTGTGGTAAGGGGTGATATTGTGGGACTGCTAGAAGAAACATTTGTCATGTAGAATTATTGGTGATGGCCTGGATACAGTTTTGTATGAATTGAAAAACTAAATGGAATAAGAGAAGGAGAAAAACAGGTGTTAAAGGTCTAAGAATTGGGAGGACTTAGGACATTTAATTAGAGAGTGCTTAAGGAGATTCATCATAGTCCTGCCAGCAAAGATTATTTATTTACTTCAAGAGTTAAGAGTGGCAGTTTGGGGATAGCACCAGGAGTTATCAGCTGTGATGGCTTGGAGAAACAGTGTAAACCGGCAGAGTAAACAAGAGCAGGGCATGTATGAGTAGTTGAGAATGGTGAATAGGAGTATGACTAGACAGAAGACCGTAGGGATAACAAGTTTTTTGGGGCACAGTCCAAGTTGGTCTGGTGTCTGGAATGAAACTGGGGCTTAATAAAAAGGAGCATCCATACAGGAGCTCAAATTGTACCCTGTAGCATTCCAAGGACAGGCCTGAATTCTGAGAAGGGAAAGTTGTGAAAGCCTTGTGCGGTCCTTTTTAAGTTGGTGGCTGAGCTTGGTGAGGTGTGTTTTTAAAAGACCATTAGTCCGTTCTACCTTTCTTGAAGACTGAGGACTGAAAAGGATATAAAGGTTTCACTGAATACCAAGAGCCAAAAAAAATGCTTGGCTGATTTGACTAATAAAGGCTGGTCCGTTATCAGACTGTATAGAGGTGGGAAGGCCAAACCAAGGAATTATGTCTGACAGAAGGGAAGAAATGACCGTGGTGGCCTTGTCAGACCCTGTAGGAAAGGCCTCTACCCATCTAGTGAAAGTGTCTACCCAGACTAAGAGGTATTTTAGTTTTCTGACTTGGGGCATGTTGAGTAAAGCCAATTTGCCAGTCCTGGGTGGGGGCAAATCCTCGAGCTTGATGTGTAGGGAAGGGAAGGGGCCTAAATAATACCTGAGGAGTAGTAGAATAGCAGATGGAACACTGAGAAGTGATTTCTTTGAGGATAGATTTCCACGATGGAAAGGAAATGAGAGGTTTTAAGAGGCGGGCTAGTGGCTAGTACTATAGCATAGCCTGCCTTTGCTGGTGAGTGGCAATTAGGCCAGTTGGAACTGCCATCAATAAACCAAGTGTGATCAGGGTGAGAAACAGGGAAGAAGGACATATGGGGAAATGGGGTGAATGTCAGGTGGATCAGAGAGATGCACTCATGAGGGTCAGGTGTGGTATCTGGAATAATGTGGGAAGCCGGATTGAAGTCCCGGCCAAGAACAATGGTAATTGTGGGACTCAACAAAGAGTGAGCACAGCTGAAGGAGCCAGAGAGCAGAAAGTATATGCGTCAGGTGTGAGGAAGAAAATAGATTTTGGAAGTTATGAGAAAGGTAGAGTGAGTTGAGCATAGTTTGTGATTTTAAGGGCCTCTAAAAGTGTCAAAGCAGTGGCAGCCACTGCACGCAGACATGAGGCCTAGGCTAAAACAGAAAGGTCAAGTTGTTTGGGCAGAAAGCCTACAGGGTGCGGTCCTGGCTCTTGTTAAGAACTCTGACCTTACTAACCATGCCTAGAAAGGAAAGGAGTTGTTTTGTAGAAGGGATTGGGGTTTGGGAGATTAGCCAGACAGGATCAGCAGGGAGAGCACATGTGTTTTTATGAGAATTATGCCGAGATAGGTAACAGATGAGGAAGACATTTGGTCTTGACTGAAGTAATGGGGGCTGTCTGTGAAGACTTGCGGCAATACAGCCTAGGTAATTTGCTGAGCCTGATGGGTGTCAGGGTCAGTCCAAGTGAAAGCAAAGAGAGGCTGGGATGAAGGGTGCAAATGAATAATAAAGAAAGCATGTTTGAGATCTAAAACAGAATAATGGATTGTGGAGGGAGGTGTTGAGGATAGGAGAGTATATGGGTTTGGCACCATGGGGTGGATAGGCAAAACAATTTGGTTGATAAGGCGCAGATCTTGAACTAACCTATAAGCCTTGTCTGGTTTTAGGACAGGTGAAATAGGGGAATTATAAGGGGAGTGTATAGGTTTTAGAAGCCTATGCTGTAGCAGGTGAGTGATAACAGGCTTTATTCCTTTTAAATCGTGCTGTGGGATGGGATATTGGCAATGAGCAGGGTAAGGGTGATGAGGTTTTAATGGGATGGTAATAGGCATGTGATCAGTTGCCAGGGAAGGAGTAGAGATGTCCTATACTTGTGGGTTAAGTTGGGGGGATATGAGAGGAAGACGCAAAGGAGGCTTTGGGTTGGGGAGAAGGGCAGCAATGAGATGCAGCTGTAGTCCAGGAATAGTGAGGGAAGCAGATAATTTAGTTAAAATGTCTTGGCCTAATAAGGGAACTGGGCAGGTGGGGATAACTAAAAAAAAGAGTGCATAAAAGAGTATTGTCTAAGTTGGCACCAGAACTGGGGAGTTTTAAGAGGCTTAGAAGCCTGGCCGTCAATACCTACAACAGTTATGGAGGCAAGGGAAATAGGCCTTTGAAAAGAAGGTAATGTGGAGTGGGTAGCCTACGTATTGACTAAGAAGGGGGTGGACTTACTTTCCACTATGAGAGTTACCTAGTGTGTCTGTGATGGTCTCGTAGGCTTCTGAGGCGATCGGGCAGTGTCAGTCTTCAGCTGCTAAGCCGAGAAGATCTGGGAAGGATTCAGTCAGAGAGCCTTGGGCCAGAGTTCCAGGGGCTCTGGGAGTGGCTGCCAGGTGAGTTGAACGGTCTGATTTTCAGTGGGGTCCTGCAACCTCTGGCAGCTGCGGTTCGGGCATTTGGAGTTCTTGTGTGCTGGAGATGTGGCTGGGGTTTGTCTTACAGTGGAGGTAAGGAATTGCAACTTAGAAATACATTGCTACTTGGTTGCCTCTACTCTGTTATTGTACACCTTGAAGGTGAGGTTAATTAAGCCTTGTTGTGGGGTTTGAGGGCCGGAATTTAATTTTTGGAGTTTTATTTAATGTCAGGAGCGGATTGGGTAATAAAATGTATATTGAGAATAAGACGGCCTTTTGACTTTTTAGGGTCTAGGGCTGTAAAGCGTCTCAGAGTTGCTGCCGAATGAGCCATGAACTGTGCTGGGTTTTTCATATTTGTTGAAAGAGCCTAAAAGCTAACTGATTTGGGAGAGGTCGGATAAAGAAAAAGGAGCATTAACCTTGATTATGCCTTTAGCTTCAGCCACCTTTTTAAGAGGAAATTGCTGGGCAGGTGGGGGAGGGCTAGTCGTGGAACAAAACTGTAAGCCGGACCTGGTGTGAGGAAGGGAGGTGATAAAAGGATTATAGGGTGGAGGAGCAGAGGCTGAGGAAGAATTGGGACCTAGCTCAGCCTGGCAAGGAGGGGAGAGGTCAGATGGGTCTGTAGAAAAGGAAGAGTAGAAAGACTTAGCGACGCTTGGGGTTGGGACTGAGGGGACAGGAGGGAGGGAAAGAAGGAGGATTTGGGACGGGTTGCATTGGGAACAGAGATTTGGGAGGGACTGATGTGTAAAAGAATGCCTGGACGTCGGGCAACTCAGACTGTTTGCCTATTTTACGACAAGAATTATTTAGATCTTGTAGGATGGAAAAATTGAAAGTGCCGTTTTCTGGCTGTTTGGAGCTACTGTCAAGTTTGTATTGGGGTCAAGCAGCATTGCAGAAGAAAATAAGATGCTTAGATTTTAGGTCAGGCGAGAGTTGAAGAGGTTTTAAGTTCTTAAGAACACAGGCTAAGGGAGAAGAAGGAGGAATGGAGGGTGGAAGCTTGCCTATAGTGAAGGAGGCAAGTTTAAAGAGAAGGGTAGAGACATGGAAGGGGTTCAGGGGTTCTTACCTTCTAGAAAAGGGGAAAGGGTTCAGGGCATGGAAATAAGGGTTTAGGGTGCAGAGATAAGAGGTTGGGGCACGGAAAAAGGGGTTGGGACACAGAGATAAGAGGTCGGGGTGAGGAAATAAGGGATCAGGGCACAGAGATAAGAGGTCGTGGCACGGAAATAAGTGGTTGGGGCACGGAAATAAGGGATCGGGGCGTAGAGATAAGAGGTTCAGGCATAGAAATAAGGGATCGGGGGTTCTTGCCCCTAGAAAAGCAGAGAAGGTGTAGAGACATGGACAGAAGGGGTTGGGGGCTTCTTGCCCCTTAGAAAAGTGGTACTTGCCGCTAAGGATGAAGGAGAAGGGGTTGGGGGGTTCTTGCCTTCCAGAAAAGCAGAGAAGGGGTAGAGACATGGAGAGAAGGGGTTGGGGGGTTCTTGCCCCCTAGAAAAGCAGTACTTGCTGCTAAGGGTGAAGAACGAAGGTAGGCATCCCCGCGTCGTCAGATACCTCTGAAACATGGGCGAATAATCAGGCAGGTGTCCTTGTGTGATTAAACACCAAGGGAAGACTGTCTTCCTGAGTCCATGACCAGCACCGGAGTTTTGGGTCCACGGATAAAACGCATCTCCTGTCTCTACTAGAAAAGGAAAGGACCTGAAATTAAGAGAAAGGAGAGATTGAAGGGTGGCACCAAGATTGAAAGGAGAAAGTGGTTAAGGGATAGTGAGAGAGGTTGGAGAAGAGAGTAAGAAGAGGCCGCTTACCGGATTTAAAATTGGAGAGATGTTCCTTGGGCTGGTGGGTCTGAGGATCTGAGGTTGTAGGTGGATCTTTTTCACAGAGCAAAGAGCAAGAGGACAGAGGATTGATCTCCTAAGGGAGGTCCCCCAATCCAAGTCACGGCACCAAATTTCACTCACGTCCGTGTGAAAAGACCACCAAACAGGCTTTGTGTAAGCAATACAGCTATTTATTTCACCTAGGTGCAGGCAGGCTGAGTCCGAAAAGAGAGTCAGCAAAAAGAGATAAAAGTGAGGCCATTTTATAAGATTTAGGTAAGTAAAAAAAAAGTTACAGTCAAAGAAAGGTTGTTCTCTGGGGGGCAGGAGTAGAGGTCACAAGGTGCTCAGTAAAGGAGCTTTTAAGCCAGGATGAGTCAGGAGAAAGACTTTCACAAGATACTGTCATCAGTTAAGGCACGAACAGGCCATTTTCATTTCTTTTGTAGTGGAATGTCATCAGTTAAGGCAAGAACTGGCCATCTAGATGTGTACGTGCAAGTCCCAAAGGCTATGATGGCTTAGCTTAGGCTCAGAGGCCTGACACATACTACTGGATTAAATAATCTTTATCAAACACTAAATCTGGCCTCAAATAATAATAACCTTTATTCCCACTTTATACAGTGAAATGGTTCAAAGAACACTAAAACCGTGTCCCACTATAGTTATTTTCAAGAAACGTTGGTCAGTTTTTAAAAATTGTATTGGAAAGGAACTTTTTGTTGTTCAATAACAAAATAAGAAAAATCAAACAAGAAGAGGGATTATTTCCATTTCTGTTTCCCCATGAAACTTTGATTTTCCTTTACATTTTTTTCCAACTCTGTCATATACTTAGTTTACCACTACTTATGTGAGGATCTTGTTGCATTCTGGTTTCTCTAAAGTATGAAACACAAAAGAAGAAAAGAATGACTGTATCTGGGTCTTTCTTATACATGACCAGACAGGTTAAAAACAGACAAAAAGCAAGTGGAAGGACTGTTTCCAACAGAATAGTAACTGGCATTAAGTTGGAAAGCAGTGGGGAGGGCTGTTCATTTTGTTCTTATTCTTGTTTTTTTTTTTAATAAATGGATTTCAACCATGTTTATAAGATAAACACTGGATGGAAGGATGACTTGAGGTTTGTGGTAGGGACAGGGTAATAATAGCAGAAAAGACAAACAGATATAGATAATGCTGAGAGTGTTGATATAATTATTGGAGATTTTATCAAAAGAAACCTCACAAACAAGATTCAAAGTAAGAGTTTCTCCTATGCAAACTAACATTGTGATTCATGTTGGTCTTTTATGCTTTTCCAGCCTGCTTTCATTATTCTTTCTTTCATTTCAAAACCATACACAGCCGTTCCTCAACAAACACACACAGGCACACAGGATTGATGAGTACAATAAAAACTCACTTGGCTAACATTCTGTTTCCTCACAAGGCCTTGCTTTCTGTTGGGCTGATTCAATAAAATCTATACAAACTGAAAAATTATAATGTATCAACAATCAAAGAATAAAATTGGGTAATGCTGTCTTTGAAACTTAACTCACACGATGTGAGCAGTTAAAAGATCAGACCTGTATTCAGCACTATCACTCCATAGTCCAGATCAATTTTATTGAAATGCCCTATTTATAGAAATAGGATCTCAGACCTCATAAAAGGAGAATGAAAATTCCATATCACAGGAGAGCTCAGAGAATGAGAAAGGCACCATTTGGAAATATAGGGTGATCCTTTGGAACTAGAATATCTCAATATTTTTCATTTTAGAATCCTTTAAAAATGGAATTAGTGATACGAGGAGAAAAGAAGTAATACTTCTTGAGTGCCAGATGTGCTGGATGATATTGATAAATAAATAAATAGGTATACATATGTTCAAATACAGCAAAACAATTAACTATAGAGATGTAATTGTTTTGCCCTTTTCTTCTGGTACATTAAGGAGTTTGCTACTTGCCCATAGTCAATTCATGGCATGATAGCAGATTAGGAATACAAATGCAAGGCTTTTAAACTCAGAGGACAGTTATTTTTATCAATACAATAAGCCATATTTTTATAAGTACAAAAAAAGTTATTTACTATATATAACTTGGTTCTAAGGAAATCGGGGTAAAGAAAATTCTGCTGCTCCTATGATTATTTCTTATAGAGAAACAGAGAATGGTTTCATAAGTATTTTAATTATATGCAGCACCTTCCTAAAATAGAGAGTGAACTTTAGCAAAGGATTTATCATGACTTCCCCATTTATTTAAGCAAACTGCTTCGTTGAAGAACATGGCAGTTTGAGCTCTTTCCACGTCTTCATCTCAAATCTACCACTACATTTTCACATTTAATTAAGTTTGTATTTATGAAGGCTTCCTGTCCCCACAGCAATTCGAGGAAGACATAACTAATACAAAATCTAAATGTCAGCCTCCAGAGAAGTGAGATTTCTTCATGAGAACCAGGCTTTCTGCCCACATTCTCCAGCCTACACTTATACACCAAAGGACACCAGTGTTATTGCTGATCTTATGCAATATGTCTTAAAATAAATGCACACAAGGCCTTACTTCTATTTATTTTCTTCTCATCTAGAAAGTTATAAAATTGCCAATTTTCAATTGCACATTTGAAAAACTGTTCTCATCAACCTATATACAAATGTATGTTGAAAAATATTACTGGGGCTCTCTCCTTTTTCATTTGAATATGACAAGTGTTGGGGAAAAGGCAACTTTTGAAGAAATTGTGACGGATCATATTATACTCTTCCACCTGTGAGTCTAACATTTTATTCTATCTCCAATTAGCTTTTTACTTGCATTATCGTAGTTTTATTCCTTTTTTTTTCTCCATTAAAAAATTATTCATTGTTGCCAGGTGCGGTGGCTCACGCCTGTAATCCCAGCACTTTGGGAGGCAGAGGTGGGAAGATCACCTGAGGTCAGGAGTTTGAGACCAGCCTGGCCAATATGGTGAAACCCTGTCTCAACTAAAAATACAAAAATTAGCTGGGCGTGGTGGCACATGCCTGTAATCCCAGCTACTCGGGAGGCTGAGGCAGGAGAATTGCTTGAACCCAGGAGGCAGAGGTTGCAGTGAGCTGAGATTGTGCCAGTGCACTCCAGCCTGGATAACAAGAGCGAAACTCAGTCTCAAAAAAAAAAAAAATTGTCCATTGTTTTAATCACCTCTAACTTACCCTTTTTTTTTTTTTTTTTTTTTTTTTTTTTTGAGACGGAGTCTTGCTCTGTCGCCCAGGCTGGAGTGCAGTGGCGGGATCTCGGCTCACTGCAAGCTCCGCCTCCCGGGTTCACGCCATTCTCCTGCCTCAGCCTCCCAAGTAGCTGGGACTACAGGCGCCCGCCACTACGCCCGGCTAATTTTTTGTATTTTTAGTAGAGACGGGGTTTCACCGTTTTAGCCGGGATGGTCTCGATAACTTACCCTTTTGATGAGAGAGGGATTCACACCCTCTGGCTATGAGAGAATGGCACACACACTACACTAGACACTAGGAAGATGAGATAGCAATTATTAATCACATCCACTCACAGTCTGGGGGGAAGGGCAGTGCATGCCATGAAGAACCACATGGATATTGCATTTAGGAACAGTGGACAAGTAGAAGCTGTGGCAAAGTGACCCCTGAATCCCAGGGAAGGATGTGATTAGCTTGTTTGAATAGCTCTGCAGGCTGGGAAGGAATTGAAACCTGCTCCTCAGGGATAAGCAAGCACGGTGCTGGTCCCATGATAAGGAAGGTTGCTTGACAAGAGACGTGATCCATGGGAGCAAAGTCAGGAGGAAAACATGTTGTTAGGCCATTTGAAGCTCTTCTGGTTTCACTAGATGTTAAGGCAGCACATAATGTAGAACATTAAATTAGGCTTTATACCTCAGGGGTTTTCATTTATGTTGGCATATATTGAATGAGTACTTACTTTATCTAAGACAACAGACTATATCACTCTGTAATGTCTATAGACTTGGGCTATATGTTACTCAGTTTTAAAGAGTATTTGTTTTCAGGTGAGTGAAAGCAATAGGGAAAGTATTGTTTCCAATATCTTATAGATGAGGACATTTAATTTAGAGAAATCACGTTTGTTTAAGATCCCGCAACTAACCTGTACTTGGTTTGAAATTAGGTCTCTGTTTATGAGATTACCATACTCCTTTTCTTTCTCCATTTGTGCTTTAAGTACATTTGTGGTGGTCAGTGGGCTTAATAAGATGCTTAAACCCTGGGCTAAGTACATTCTCATGCAATCAACCAAACATGGAGAAGGAAAGACCAAGCTTTCTTTCAGGGAATGCTGCTTAGAGTGTCTTTTCTAAGCCACATGTAAGTCCTTTGTTAAACTAAACAGTTGATCTAGAATGGACGGGACATATGCAGTCTCAGATTTGAACATGCCATCATGTATTCAAAACATTTGTTGACCAGTCCAGGCATTCTGACAAAAGCAGAACTGAGATGGACAGTAAACAGATGTATGTTGTTTCATTTTTTTTTTTAATGGCTAGGTGGCTTTAGGCCAAAGCTCCAGAACAACATACAAGCATAATTCTGGCTGCCTGTGCTCAGATGTCTACCCGATCCTTGAATGCATGAGCAAAATAGTTCTTCCAGCCTTGTAGCTGGAAGTACCAGTGTGCCTGGGGCAGTAATTCAACTTAAAGATAAAGATGAGCCAACATATCCCTTATAAAACATAAGACTCAGGATTGTCTGCAAGTTTCATTGTCTCTATCATCTCTTGAGAAATTCCAGAGTTTAAATAGGTCAGCAAATGTTGACCCTTTGAATTCTACAATTAAAAGATGGTTTGCTTTGTCCCTCATACACATTACATTGGAAATGCATTGAGAATGTGAATTTTGGGGTTTACCTGACACTGGCATACATGATTGTCTCTAGGGGAAATGGCTCTCTTCTCTTATTTACTTTGTGTGTGTTTCTGTTTATTTCCCTTATGAGGTTAATAGAAGTTTCTGAATTTGTTGCTATGATTTCTCCCTAAGCAGTAGATTGTTTGTTGTTGTTGTTGTTTGGTTGGTTGGTTTTGTTTTGGTTTTGGCTTCTTGTGCCAAAATCAAATGGAGAAGACAGTGGAAAGCTTTTCCAAAACTGCTAACAGGAGACAGTAAATGGAAAATATTCTGAGCAGATTTATTATTCTCATGCTGGCTTGAGGAGTTTCGTCTCCTTTTGAATGTGATGAAAACACTTCCCCAAACGAATTTCCAGTTTTTATATGTGAATAGGAACTCAGGAATTGACGTATGCATTTTATCTTGAGAATTTTATCAAGTCCCAAAAGAAAAACACAAGCCCAAATAAATATAAAGTATTGTTATAATTCAGATAAATAACCGAGTCCAGTTTCCTTTAGGGTTGTTAACCACTTTGTTAAAAAATAACTTTTGGAAGTAATCTGTCACTCTCTATATGTAAATTTAATGAAACATGGATGAATATTAATAATATATATTTAAACATTTCCTAATCTGTAAGGAACCCATATGGGTTTTAAAATTAATACAACTTCCAACTTTTGGTTTCAAGGCATATACTTACTATATAAATTCAGTCAAATCTTGAAGCCTGGATTAGTTTGGCTACTTACCTGTAGTTTTATTAACTACATTGTCTGTGTTCTAGAGATGATCATGACTTTATTTTTGTTGTTTAAATATAAATTAATGACTAACTTGAATTCAATTATGCTGATAATCATAGAAGTTAGTATGCTTGTTTGGTGTAGGGGTGTGTGTGTATGTGTTTATGTGTTTTCAGAAGTAGTATTGGAAGGGAAATCTCAGCACATATACTAACATTCAATGTTACTATAATCTTTATATTTTCCCATCTTTTCACACAACACACATATGCACACACACATGCACACACATACAGATTCCACATAGACATCCCTGTGAGTACACATCTTTATTAATACTTTTCTTAGTTAATGGAGAAACATTATTTTTCCCAGAGATAATTGAGATTAATTAGCAGTGTTAGGTGAACAAAGAGACACCCAAGTTGGGTTGCAATTCTTTTTGTTTAATTTATATTTTTAGACCGGGCGTGGTGGCTTACGCCTGTAATCCCAGCACTTTGGGAGGCTGAGGCTGGCGAATCACGAGGTCAGGAGATCGAGACCATCCTGGCTAACACAGTGAAATCCCATCTCTACTAAAAATACAAAAAATTAGCTGGGCGTAGTGGCGGCCGCTTGCAGTCCCAGCTACTCGGGAGGCTGAGGCAGGAGAATGGCGTGAACCTGGGAGGGGGAGCTTGCAGTGAGCCCAGATCGCTCCAGCCTGGGCCACAGAGCAAGACTCCATCTCAAAAAAAAAAAAAATGTATTTTTAAATTTTAAATTGATAAAGTATAGCTAGTATATTTAGGAGACACAAACTGATATTATGATTTATGAATATAATATGAAATAAATAAAGCTAATTAATATATTAATCCCCTCAAATACTTCTCTTCCTTAGATGATAACATTTGAACTTTACTCTTGGTGACTTTGAAATGTACTTTCAAAAGCACTTTTTGAAATGTATTTTGAATGATTTTGAATTTCATTTGAGGTTGGTCATGACTTGCAGCCTTATCCTTGGGAAGTAAGATTTTTTTCTTGATTCTTAATTGTAAAATAAATTTCTTTCGTGATAGGTCTCTTTTTTTCTTCTGGGAACTTGATATTCTTCCTCTCACAGACAATGAACACTTTAACTGCTCTTGTTTCCCATTACAATTTGTCTGCTGAGAAACTAAGAGAGATATCTGCTGTCCCAAATTATTGCCTGGATAGAATCTCATGGCCTACATACTAACTTTCAATATTTGGCCTATTTTTATTCTAGCCATATTTTCTATGTCCTGCTAATTTTAATATACATAATTAACCTAAAATTTTGTTTTGGAATATTATAGTCATAATAAACAATTAACCTTATGTCTTTCATTACTCTATCTTAAAGATTTTGGATCTTAAGACAAGAATATGTGCTTAAAAGTACATCAACTGCAGTGCTTCATTGATTTTCTTAATCATGTGACTTAAGTCCAGATAGAATTACTAATTTGCTACAGTCATTTCTTCTGTGAGAAATAGAAGAATCTTTTCATTTATCCTTCACTGTGATGAACTGTATATAGTCTTCTTGGATATAGAGACAGTGCATATACTTTACAAGCAAAAGAATAGTATATATTCCTTTATTAGTAATCTTGAAAAAATTTCTTCAGCCTTCATTAAAGCTGTGAGGAATGCAATGTGTGCACTAAAGATGACATCTATCACTTATTGAATGTTTGCTTTGCATCAGACACAATGCTAAACGCATTTTATCAATTGCCTTATTTAATCTCCACCAGAAACTTGTTTATTGAGTATTCCTTTATTTTAAAAATGAGAAAACTAAAGACCCAGTGATAAATATATGTGCGTGTTCATAAAGTTAACACATGGTAGAGCTAAGATTTTTTTTTTTTTTTTTTTTTTGTTTTTTGAGACAGAGTCTCACTCTGTCACCCAGGCCAGAGTGCTGTGGCGCAATCTCGGCTCACAGCAACCTCCACCTCCTGGGTTCAAGTGATTCTGCTGCCTCAGCCTCCCGAGTAGCTGGGCCTACAGGTGTGTGGCACCACACCCGGCTATATATATATATATATATATATATATATATATATATATATATATATATATAATTTTTTTTTTTTTTTTTTTTTTAGTAGAGACGGGGTTTCACCATGTAGCCAGGATGGTCTCGATCTCCTGACCTCGTGGTCCACCAACCTTGGCCTACCAAAGTGCTGGGATTACAGGTGTGAGCCACAGCGCCCGGCCAAGATTTGAATCTGTATTTGTTAGAAATAATTTATTCATGAGTGTTATTAAATTGCCAATTAAAAAACTGGCATCCAGATGTAGTTTTATTTCTCTTTTATTGTAAAATCCTATTAATACGTAATCCAGAGTTAAGATGGAAAATGTGCTTACAATGTCCTCAGACATCCAGACTCCTTTAATCCTTACCTTTCTGTCATCTTAGGCGTAGTTCACACATCCTCATATTTAGGTGGCAGCACATTGTAGGCAGCTGGAGAAAAAAAGAATGGTCTAAGAGGGAACAAAAGGTTTACTCTAGAAGTCAGTTAAGGAAAGTTCCAGGAAGCTGCCTACTGGCATTTATGCTTATCACTCAGTGGCTATAATTTGCCAAATGGCTACAGGACTGACCAAGCAGATTCTCACTGAGCAGACTTGCATCTCATGTAGCATCCTAAGAAACCGCCTTTGTCAAAGCAACATTCCCTAAGGATGATACTCAGGCTGGATTTCTCACACTGGGCATCTGAATCTTCACTAGAGGAGGTGATATGTTTTGTAATAATATTTTGAGTTGTTCTTTTCAAAAGCTTTTATAAAGACAGCAGAATAATTATTTGAGAAAGAACGACTATTTCCCTGTGGTGTTCAGTAAGTGTTCACCAAATTAATGGCTGAATACATTTATGAAATGATAACTGGCATTTTTGAACAGTCAAATTATACATATATAACAAACTAAAATCAGTGAACAGAAATATTCTGATACAAGCTTCTAGTTTCTCCACACTAAGTAAACAGGGAAAGCCTTTTCAGACATGCATTCATGCATTCAACAATTTTTAAAGTACCTATTATGCACCTGTATTTTCTTAGAATTTGGATATCAAAGAACAAGAAAGAACAAAACCAAAAAAGATAAAACAATTACTACTTTTACATAACCTACATTCTATCAGAGAAAAAATGTATATATATACATTATATATATACATATATATATGAGAAGCGAGAAGTAATTCACAGTATGTTAGATAATTTTAAGTGCTATGCAGAAAATTAAAGCAGGAAGAGGGATAATGATAGCTAAGGGAATATTCCGGAGTGATTTCACACAGAAAATTGATTTTCCATCAAACAAGAATAAGGAAGTCCCAACACTTCCTATGAAAAAGTGTAAATATTTACCTTGGATTTGGCAATTTGAATACAGGATGGCAGGAGGCAGGTAGTGTGGCAGGGAGAGATAAAGACTTCTTGTGTCACTAGTTCGTGGGAAATTTCACATAAGCTTTTGGATTCTAAACGCAGGTATAATGCCATTGTTTCCAAAGACTGTCTTAACTTCTTGTCCTCACTGATGTGAAAAAGTACTTGATCTATGTTTGCAAGTCTGTTTCCACTAAGAAGTGGAATTGGGAATACAGGGTATTTGAAGTCCTGGAAGATATTGCTTCCTTGTTTTGTTACTGACTTTTGCCACAGAACATGGCCTGTCTTATTGCACAAAGAAATCATGAAGAGTGATATGCTCAGAGAGAGCGGTCAACATCCATTGTTTGTTTTGGGGCTAATGATATCTACTTTTTATCTTGCATACACTTTGATTTGTGTGTCCAGATAAAGGGAACAGTTCATTTGAGTGCTATGTTTTCATGAAAAAGGTAGTTGTCTTTGTTAGAATGTAATGCACAGTTGTAGACAACAAAGGGCTAACTTTCTAATAACATTTTATAGTTTCTTCAGACTGCAATTTGTTCATTCCTGTAAGTGTAAGCATATATATTATATATGTGTATATATACATAAAGTATATATACACACCCAATGTGTATATATATACACATATATACACACACACAATGTGTATATATATATACACATATATACACACACACAATGTGTATATATATACACACACACAATGTGTATATACATATATATACACACACGATGTGTGTATATATAGACATACATACACAGACACGATATGTATACATATACACATACATACACACACGATGTGTGTCTATATACACATACACACACACACACGATGTGTGTCTATATACACATACACACACACGCAGTGTGTCTATATACACATACACACGATGTGTGTCTATATACACATACACACACACGATGTGTGTCTATATACACATACATACACACACACGCAGTGTGTCTATATACACATACATACACACACAGTGTGCCTATATACACATATATACACACACACAGTGTGCCTATATACACATATATACACACACAGTGTGTATATAGACCCACACACACACACACACAGTGTGTATATAGACCCACACATACACACACACACAGTGTGTATGTAGACACACACACACACACACAGTATGTAGACACACACACACACACAATGTGTATGTAGACACACACACACACACAGTATGTAGACCCACACACACACACAATGTGTATGTAGACCCACACACACACAGTGTGTATGTAGACCCACACACACACAGTGTGTATGTAGACCCACACACACACACACACAGTGTGTATGTAGACCCACACACACACACACACACACACACAGTGTGTATGTAGACCCACACACACACACACACACACAGTGTGTATGTAGACCCACACACACACACACACACACAGTGTGTATGTAGACCCACACACACACACACACAGTGTGTATGTAGACCCACACACACACACACACAGTGTGTATGTAGACACACACACACACAGTGTGTATGTAGACACACACACACACAGTGTGTATGTAGACACACACACACACACAGTATGTAGACACACACATACACACTGTGTGTATGTAGACACACATACACACTGTGTGTATGTAGACACACACACACACACTGTGTGTATGTAGACACACACACACACACTGTGTGTATGTAGACACACACACATACACACAGTGTGTATGTAGACACACACACATACACACAGTGTGTATGTAGACACACACACATACACACAGTGTGTATGTAGACACACACACATACACACACAGTGTGTATGTAGACACACACACACACAGTGTGTATGTAGACACACACACACACACACAGTGTGTATGTAGACACACACACACACACACACAGTGTGTATGTAGACACACACACACACACACAGTGTGTATGTAGACACACACACACACAGTGTGTATGTAGACACACACACACACACAGTGTGTATGTAGACACACACACACACAGTGTGTATGTAGACACACACACACACAGTGTGTATGTAGACACATACACACACAGTGTGTATGTAGACACACACATACACACACAGTGTGTATGTAGACACACACATACACACACAGTGTGTATGTAGACACATATATACACACACAGTGTGTATGTAGACACACATACACACACAGTGTTATATATAGACACACATACACACACACAGTGTGTATATATATACACACACACACGGTGTGTATATATATACACATATACACACACACGGTGTGTATATATATACACATATACACACACACGGTGTGTTTATATATACACATATACACACACACGGTGTGTGTATACATACACATGTATACACACATACGGTGTGTGTATACATACGCGTATACACACACACACACACACGCACACACACACATATATGTGTGTGTGCTCAGCCCTCTATATCCATGAGTTCTGAATCCGTGGATTCAACGAACTGTCGGTAAAACATATTTCAGAAAATTTCAAAAAGTAAAACTTGAATTTATTGTGCATTGAATACTACATTGAATACACACAAAGAAAGTGATGCATAGGTATTGTATTACATATTATAAGTAATCTAGAGGTTATTTAAAATATACTGGAGGATGTGCACTTGCATACAAATACTATGCCGTTTTATATAAGGGACACTAGCTTTTGTATATTTTGGTATTTGCAGGGGGTCCTGGAAACAATCTCCCATGGACAGAGAGAGATGACTCTGTGTGTGTGTGTGTGTGTGTGTGTGTGTGTGTGTGTGTACACGTGAGTGCCTGTGTGTGTGAGTGTGTGTGTAATTTTTTAAGAAATAATGGGCGATGGAGGATGGCGTATAGGAGCAGAAGATCATGGAGGTGACAACCCATTTCCTGCCCTTGCTCCCTCCCCTGCCACAGGTGCTAGTCTTAGGTGAAGCCATTTCAGATAATAAGCTCTTCTTCGCATCTTCACTTCTCACTGTCATCTTTCTCTCCTCTCTATATTTCTCAGGCTTGTGGAGCCCTAACAGTGCTTCTTGGCTCTTCAGCTTCAGTCAACAAACTGATAGGTTCATCACGAAAGCTCCTGTGGCCTGGAAGCTGTGCCATGGACCCTCGTTTGCATAACCCTTTTAAATTATTGTACTTACTGCATGTTCCTATTGTGCAGAAAATACTACTGTTTCTATTTTGCATAAAAAGGTGCAGAAAATGAACAGTTTAAGAAAGAAGACCCAAGTAATATCTGAACTTTATAGATACACTTTATATATAAAGAAAATGAAATAAATTTGTTAAAATCGCACAAATAATATTCCAGGTATTCTGAAGTTGTGCTTCATTTTCTTTCCTTATGCTGTCATGCTGAGTTAGAGACAACTGGACCATTCAGGCCATACTTATTTAATATAGGTGACTGAAGATGGCCCAAGTCTTGTATGCCATATGAAAAATGCAAAACATTGTGGTTGAGAGCTTGCTTTTGAAGTCAGACAGGTGCATATTTGAATTTCAGCTCCGTCTATTACATTTTTTTTGTCTTACAGGGAGTATCTTAACCTTGCTAGGCCTTAT
Organism: Homo sapiens; assembly: GCF_000001405.40. Classification (NCBI taxonomy): domain Eukaryota; kingdom Metazoa; phylum Chordata; class Mammalia; order Primates; family Hominidae; genus Homo; species Homo sapiens. The sequence goes on from NC_000002.12 coordinate 34,818,861, forward strand.
TTCCCCATGCGCTTAATCAGAAAACTTATTTCTCAGGGCTCTTTAGAAAATTTTAAGATTTGTGGCCACGAGACAACAATTTCATGTGCCTTATTTTAATAAATAGTCTAATCTGTGACATAAATCTTATAATCTTATTTTATACGGGCTATGTTTGGTACTGGGAAGGGTATAGGTTTTGGAGTAAGTTAGAACTGCATTTAAGCTTTCTCTGCCAAATACTAGCAATCTTTGAAAACTGATAGGAATGTACTAATAGAAAAGACACTCATAGAAGGAACATATTTTAAGGAAATTTTCAATTAAGTACTAACCTAGATTATGTAGAACTAGAATTGGAGGTTTGGAGGCCAGGGAGGGAGATAAAAATTTAAAAATTATTAAAGTTACTGGTAAAGAAAGGAAAGTGATGGAAAAGCTGGTTATTTTAAAGATCCTATTTGATTCAGGTAGGGGAAAGGAGGAGTGTAATAGTCTATTTTCAGGCTGCTGATAAAGACATACCTGAGACTGGGCCATTTACAAGAGAATGAGGTTTAATGGCCTTACAGTTCCACGTGACTGGGCAGGTCTCAAAATCATTGTGGAAGGCAAGGAGGAGGTCCTCATGTCTTACCTGGATGGAAGCAGGCAAAGAGAGAGTTTGTGCAGGGAAACTCACATTTTTTAAAACCATCAGGTCAGTGTGGCGATTCCTCAGGGATCTAGAACTAGAAATACCATTTGACCCAGCCATCCCATTACTGGGTATATACCCAAAGGACTATAAATCATGCTGCTATAAAGACACATGCACACGTATGTTTATTGCGGCACTATTCACAATAGCAAAGACTTGGAACCAACCCAGATGTCCAACAATGATAGACTGGATTAAGAAAATGTGGCACATATACACCATGGAATACTATGCAGCCATAAAAAATGATGAGTTCATGTCCTTTGTAGGGACATGGATGAAATTGGAAACCATCATTCTCAGTAAACTATCGCAAGAACAAAAAACCAAACACCGCATATTCTCACTCATAGGTGGGAATTGAACAATGAGATCACATGGACACAGGAAGGGGAATATCACACTCTGAGGACTGTGGTGGGGTCGGGGGAGGGGGGAGGGATAGCATTGGGAGATATACCTAATGCTAGATGACACGTTAGTGGGTGCAGCGCACCAGCATGGCACATGTATACATATGTAACTAACCTGCACAATGTGCACATGTACCCTAAAACTTAGAGTATAATAAAAAAAAAAAATTTAAAAAAAAAATAAATAAATAAAAAAATAAAAGTGAAAAAAAAAAAAAAAAACCATCAGGTCTCATGAGACTTATTCACAATCATGAGAACAGAATGGGAAAGCCTGGCCCCCATGATTCATTTACCTCCTACTGTGTCCTTCCCGCAATGCATGGGAATTCAAGATGAGATTTGGGTGGGGACACAGCCAAACCATATCAAGGGGATAATAAGCCCATAATGGGATTGAAATAGTATGTGTCAATGGGAAAATACTTGGGATAATTTATAAAACGAGTTTCTCAAACTTTTAAGGAACACATTGTGTGAATTTTATGCAAACAGTTAATCATAATTGAAAATGTAAGAAACATTTCCCATTTCATTCTGTGTCAAATACAACCTTGATAACCACACCAGAAACAAAAAGGAAAGTTGCCAATTGATCTCACTGATGCATACAAATGAAATTTTTTTTAATTAATTAAAAAAATTAAATTAAATTAAAAAAAAATCTTAAATCAGCCAGATACAGAAAAAGATAATACATGATAATTAAGTTGCCTCCTGAAAATGCAAGAGTAGTTTAATATTAGGGAAGCTATAAGCCTAAGTCTACACTTGAGAAAATAAGAATTGGAAAATGCCCCTTGAGCATTTTAATAGATGCATCAAAATTTGATAAAATTTGACTCCCACTCATAACTAAAAATATTCACAAACCAGTCACAAGAGTGAATTTAATTGATTTATTAGAGAATATGCATAAAAACAATAACCCTAAAGGAGTTCTCCTGCTGGCAATGACATAATGACTGGAATTAAACTAATCCTTCTACAAAGTTTATCTATAAAAGCTGGATTAAATACATATCTGGGAGAAATAAAGAATATGAGGAAAAAGTAAGCATGTAAATGCCTCTAAATTACTATTGAGTAAAACTCCAATAAAATAATTTAAATATAAAAATACATGCCAGCAATAGTACACAATGCAAGAAAGTGGTAGATAAAGTTAAAATTTTGTGAGGTTGTAAATAAAGTTAAATTTTTTGTGTGTCAAATGGCAAAAGTCCAAATTTAAGGCAGATATTAATACATTAATGACATATGTTGTAATTTCATGAAAACTCACTAAATAAATACAGGTGTATCTTCAGAGTTGTGTGGGTTGGTTCTTTATGCTCATTCCTCTTTCTTATTCTGATTTAACCATAAACAGACTGATCACATTGGGCACTTTTTCTCCCATCTTTGCTGTGTTACATGCCTCAAGTCTTTGACACTTCCCCATAGCAAGGAAAATAAAGAAATGTAAGAAGCAAACTGTCTAAGATCAGAATGGCCCACTGCTTTGAGAGCAACTTTGACTTGAAAGCACCTATCTTGTGCACACTGCAAGTGTAGTCTGTGAGCATGCCTGTTCTGCATGAAGGGGCTTAATATGAAACAATTCTTTTGTCCAAGTGAGCTTACTGTTTCTCAATCCTATCTGTTCCTTTGAAATGAAGAATTGATTAGCACCATCTGTTGTGCTCATCTCTGCTTTTGCATCGATCTAATGCCTCTCCCTTCACCCCAGTCTCACCCAAAACCTCCAGAGTGGCAAGTGATCTTCTGATCATACCAATTTGTACCTCTAGTCTTATCTTCTCACAGAGGCCCTATCACATGACATCAAAATTGTGGAGGGGTGTGTAGACGAGCAAGTTTATATCTACACAACTCAGACTTTTCTGTATGCAGATGCACTCTTTTCCCTATTTTCTTTTGAGAGAAGCTCTTATTCCAGCCAGATGCAAAATCTTGACATCACCTTGTAATTGAGTCACTTGACCTCAAAATGCATTTAATTTTTCCCCTTTTCTCTTTTCTCCCTAGTCTCAAGACATAACCTTGAAGCAAACTGCAGAAGTTTTTTCCCTTAACTTTGAAATACACTTCATGTCCCTCCCTTTCTCACCATATTCTCCCTTCACATTTATCTATCTGCATGATAGTACCTAATTATGTGCTTACTTAGAAGTTCCAGGAGTTAACCGTGAGACAGAGAGACCAAGCCTGAATTTTACAGACCCAGCTGTAAAATTCCAGCGCTTACCTCAAGACAGCTAGTCAACAACTTGGCCATTGTCGACGTGATGCCAGCCTGAACTTCAGGTGGAGTGAGACACAAGATAAGTCACTGAAACAAGACATACAGACCTCAGAATCAGCACAACTTGATATGCCTCCTATGTCAAGTTCCCCTTTTTTACACAACTGCTGCATGCCTTCCATATCAAGTCCCCCCTTTTTAAGCCTGTGCCTTTTCTCTAGAAATTCAAAGTGGCCACTTTGGGTGGGAATCTGGCCACTTCCCCATTACTAGTTTTGGTTAATAAATTTCTTTCTACCGTACCTCAATGTTGTCACTGGACTCTGCAAGTGGCGATCAGACAGAATGCGTTTTGTTACAACCTTTGATTCAGCCTTCTTCACGATGTAGTTTGTGTCTATCTCCACATCATAGTGCAGATTTTTCTCCTGTGTCTTCCTCTAAATTCTACTGCCAGCACATTCATCTCAAAGTGGGATTGCATATCCAGCTTCTTTAAATGCTGCTCTGATAACATTACTTCTCATCTCAAAATGCTACAGTATCTCTCAGTTCTTCATTACTCAATGTCCCTGCCTTACTTGCAACGTCTTCTTTAAGCTGTTTCTGCTTATATAGCATTAATTTTCATGAGTTCTCAGGATATTTCTTTTGCTTCTGCCGAGTCAGATTTACATTTGTTATCTTTCATATACTATTTCATGCTGTTCCACAAACTCATACTACTTTTTTATTTATTTTATTTTTTTGTTACGCTTAAATGCTCTATTCTCTGCTTCCTACATTGTATAAACTATCAAATCTCAATGCAATACTCATTCTTCCATGGATGATTGATAGTCTCCTCTTCCTCAAAGTTTATTCATTTTTATCCCCTCCGAACCGGTACCTACTGTTGGTTAAAAAAAATAGCATTTAAACACTGGCAATAATATGTATTTGTTTACCCAATGGATGAATAATATAAAAATGCATTATTGTTTCTGGTTTCATGTTTGTTAATCTTGTTACTCCTTGTACACTCTAGGCTTGCTAAATGTTTTCTTTTTAACTGGATAGATAGAGATGGGAGAAAGAGAGACAGAGTGGAAGAGAGAGAGGGAAGAACATTGATTTATACTTAAAAAAAATCCCAGATTGTATCTAAAACAGTACTGATTAAAAATCCTTGCTGAATGGTTTTGTAGGTGGACATTTATAGCACATGCATTTTTTAAATCAGAGTATCTGATGTATGTAAATACATCTATATTTTTAATCACAAAAGAATTTGATATTTTAAAACATATTCTTTCTGATTGCTGTTTATATATGAGGATACAGACTGGGAGAGGACGGAAATGACCCTCTGTCCCTTCAGTTCAAAATCTTGATCCAAATGAGGGTAATATAACTGAATATATATGGAAAAATTATACTAACTTAAATTTTACATGCTTTAAAGTATGATAGATACCTCAATAAATAAGTTTAAAGATATTTAAACAAAATATGAGTGAGTTACTTTAATACCTACCCACAGGAAAAACTAATTTCTGCTGGATAATGCAATATTGTAGAAAGAATGTTACTTTCAATGTTGAAGTTAAAATAGTCATTTCTATGGATTTTGAAGCACTCTATAATCTCTAAATAAAGATTTAAAATAAAAACCCAAAAGCCTAAATATAATTATATATGACAGCTTCTAGTAAGAAAATATTCAATAAAGTAATGGCATTACATAAGGAATATAATTCTGGTAAAGAGCAATGGGAAAGTAATCATTCTCTTACATTTTTACAACGTGCTAATGTACAGGCAGTACATTACCTGATATTTCTAATATGTTGACTACAACCACTCCATGAGCTACCAAGCAGACAGTTTGTCTTTACCTCAGAAAAAAATGGTGAAATTTAAAGAGGATACATCATTAGCACAAAGCCCTATAATACTTATTAATGGTTAATTTAGAGAGCAAATTTATGTATGCTCACATCTCTTCCTATTATCTCTATATTAAACCATACGCATAACTTCTGACCATTTACAAACATGTTTAAATTTATGTAAACTCATTAGGGAGTGGGACTAAAATCTAAGCAGAATGATATTTATCTTAAATTGCTTTGTTCTCTGTCTCCTATTTCCTTGATCCTGTTTCATGTGGCCCCAGTGCTACCTAGAGTTGTGTTCTGGCAGTTTTCCCTAGGTGACCATAATTTCACCAAAACATCTCTGATTGCTCACCTTTCTGGCTCTCCGAGTACCTATCATAATATGACTATTGCATTTGTGTTTAAGTTCATGCTTGCTTAGCCATTTTAATAAGAAACTTATGAAACAACGAAAGTTAGTAATAGCATATTGGGCTATGTTCTTCACTAAAGTATCTGGCTCTTCTGGATTAAAATACCATATTGAGATTTTTAAGAGTCAGAATGTAAGAGATCTCCATCTGTAGAATATGAATTATTTCTAGTTTCTTTCCTGAGCCCCAGACTTCTTTGCTGCATTGAATTCAGAGCTAAGGAACTAATCCAGAGAAATTCTGCAGTTATTTGGGATCCACTCTCATCCTTTTAACACTCCAGAATCAAATATAAGCCCCAAGTAAGTAGCTTTTAAATAAGATGAGATGGAGACAGGAGGGGAGGGGAGAGAAAGATGAGCAGAAACACAAACCTTTGCATTCAAAAGGTAGCAATACCACACATCATGTAGCTTCTGGAAAACTCCCTTGTATACTTGTGAAATAATAAGACTAGCAATAGTGTCTTCATATTATAATTAAATTATATTTTACTTTTTGGACCCTCGAAAGGAGCCACACCTTAAGAATCTCGTATCCATGATATTCCTCTGCAACTTAAGGAGGTTGCAGTAAGAGACATTTCATGTGCAACAAATACCTCTCAGCAATATACTGTAATTATATGTTCACATGGCTTTAAGAGCTGTAATTCAAAAAATGACAACTGCACACACAGGACTTGCATGGATATTGGTGTTCCATGGTATTCACTTAGGATAAGGAGGAGTCCTTATCTAGTACCACCCCTCCCAAAGCCTAACAGTAGTCTTCCTCCACAAACGGTCAAGTCTTCCAGAGTATAAAAATAAAATATCTCTTTAAATATAACATCTAAAAACCATATATTATTTTTATTTTGTATATATGTATATACAAAATAATTTACATATACACACATATATTTCTATATATGTATATTATAACAAGTAATATACACATATACACATGGATACACACACAGACATATCTCAGTAGAATATGGTTGAAAGCGAATATTCCATGGTAGGTGCGAATCAGGAAATAAGGAATTTTTTGTGAGATAGATTACACACTAATTTATATTTAATTTTATAGCATCAGTTAATATCCTCATATCTTTTTCCACACCTTTAATTTCAGAATGGAAGCACTTGCAGACACACACAAATGTCCATGAGAGAGAAGGACCAAAGAGTGCTCCAAAAAAAAAATCACTTAGACCCTCCTGAATGATAATTCCAAAGGCTGGAACTACTTTTTGCATAATACTACAGAGTTGCCAAAATCTTTTTTCTTTTTTCCTGCTTAAACACCTTCACTGTTATTTCAGACTATGATCTGTGAATGCCAAGTGTTTGCATTCCTCAGTGTGCACCAACACATTTCTGTTCTTACGGATGTTTTACCCAGCAGGGGCCATTATAGCCCTCATCTCCAGATGGCAGAACAGATCAACAGAGCATATGGCTTTTGGGAAAATAAAAGTGAACCGTTCTTTATTCTTTCTCCGAAACAAGCTTATTTCTGTCTCCTCTGGATTTTTACTTTGAGGTGAAGCTTTCAGAAACCAAAAATTGGTTACTAATGAGTGAGTTCGTGTACTCAAAAATATACAGAATAATTTGAATTAAAAAGTCATTCTGGGTCAAAATAAATCAATGACATTGTTTAGAAAAATGACTGTGCTATTTTACCTGTGTAGCCTCAGTGGGTTATTATCTAAGACTTTGAATGTATTTATACCAAAACAACAGAAAGGGGGAGTACTGGAAAATGTACAGTAAAATGAGCCTAGCCAAGGCAATAGCATTTTATGGACCAATCCATCATCAATGTATTGATTCTTTCATCATCAGTCAAACCAAGACAGACAACTAGAACTTTTAATCTGTTAACTGTCTAGGTAATCTCATACTTGTGAACTCCATTTTGCTTAGGGAATAAACTACAAAATCTAATTGCTTGAGGAAGAAACATATTATTTACTTCAAAACATGGACAAAAGTCTTTGCTCATGTTTTTGAATAAAGAAAAGAGAAAAGTTTACTCCCGACCAGCCTCAGAATGCCATTTTTAGCTTTCTGCAGTTCATGCTGCTACTACCAGAGTATGTTATTTATGCCACTTTCAAACACAGTAACAAAATTATACTTTGTTCATTTGTTTGGTTCACGAAAATGAAGAGCAACTAATAGGCATAATTTCTATACAGGCAATTTAGCTTCGCTCACTGTGTTAGTTTTCTAGGGATTCTATAACAAAGTACTATGAACTAGGTAGTTTGAAATGATAGGAATTCATTTATAAGGTCACATTTACAGGTTCCAGTAGACATGAATTTCATAGAAACACTATTCAATCTAGCACACTAATTTATATGACCATACATCAAATTAACTGCTTTGACAGGACAGTCATAAACAAAATAGCTAGTATAATTAATATTAATAAAGTTTTACACACAACCGCCTCCAGACCTGCAATATAAAATACATGAGAACATCTTGAGAAAGTAACAAAACAATGTTTTAGCCCCCGATTTAATCAGAGTTGTATATCAAATAACTGTAGCTTTGATTTTAGAGAACATCAGTGCATCATATATTCACTTGTTTTTGTCATTTAGTGTTATTAATATCAAAATGACCCATGGCGGCTGGGTGCGGTTGCTCATGCCTGTAATCTCAGCACTTTGGGAGGCCGAGACAGGCAGATCACCTGAGGTCAGGAGTTCAAGACAACAACTGGCCAACATGGTGAAACCCCGTCTCTACTAAAAGTACAAAAATTAGTCAGGCATGGTGGTGAGCGCCTGTAATTCAGGCTACTCAGAAGGCTGAGGCAGGAGAATTGCTTGAACCCGGGAGGCGTAGGTTGCAGTGAGCCAAGATTGTGCCACTGACTCCAGCCTGGGCAACACAGGGAGACTCTGTCTCAAAACAAACAAACTAACAAAAAAAACATGGCTTTAAAACAAACCCCAATTCTTGGTCAGTTGTCTTACTCACTTTCCTTTTTATCTGGGAAGAAACAAGATGTTGTGGTAACCTAGGACACATTGAAGGAGTTAGGAGTTAGTAAGTCATTTTTCTTTCAATATATGTTTATTGAGTGCTTGCCACAGGCCAAGCTGTGGCTTAGATACTGAAGACTGGTAAGCAAACAAAACAGACAAGTTCTTTGTCTTCATTAAACTGACTTTCTAGTGAAGAAAAGTGTAGACTTTACTGCTAGAAACCAATTGACTGCTGATATTGACCTATCAGAGGTCAACAACATAGAACAAGTTGGCGAAAGGTGCAAATAATGAAATGACTCTTATTTTGAAGTTTGCTTAGGAGTAAAGTTTGTTATTCTGATGGCGTTTACATGATACTACTCAGTTGAACAGTCCTGTTGACTCTGTTGAATGTTTAATTTAAGAAGTCTTCCTTCCTCTCAATTGACCATCTTTTCATCATTGTCAAACTCTCTCACAACTACCATAACTAATCCTCTACTGATTCCCATTAATTTTATCTCCTAAGAAAGATTTCCTAAGTATCCATGGTTCAACCACTTCTATGTCTTGACTACTTCTTCTCTATATTCCATCCAGTGCCACTATCCTGAAATCTGGCTGTTAATATCATAGCTTCTACAATTCTATACTTCTATGCATTTGCCTTCCATATATTTTTGTCTTTACAATCTATCCAGAATAAATTTTTTATAAATGAAACTCCAGCCAAATCCTTCTCATATTTAAAATACTTAATGATTTACTATCATACTAGGATAGAAGAAAAATAATCTTAACACATCCTATACATTCTTATGTGAATTGTTACCAACTTATTTCTCATTTTTGCCTATGCCTCTCTAGTCTACCATGCTTCAGCTATAGTAGCCTTCAATCAGTTTCATAATACTCTATATCGGTCACTTATGCCACAGGGCTGTTGGACATATTCTCGCTGCCTGGATTATACATCCTTCTCCTCTTTGTCTAACTTATTATCGTCCTTATAAGTCTCAGACACAGTTTTATTTTCTCAGAGAACACTTTTGACTCTTCTGAGAATGATGCCTCTGTTAAAAATGGCATTTAGTTAGTAATTAAGTGTTTATTAGCATTATTTAAATAATGTTGGTTTCTCTAGCAAGACTATGACCTCCTTGAGAAAAAGGAAGAAAACAGATTTCAGCCATGACTGCACTTGGCACAGAGCCAATTGTCCATTTTTGCTTTGGTCATCTGTGCTTGTGGAGTGTTACTCAAGAAATCTTTGCCCAGTCCAATGTCCTGGAGAGTTTCCCCAATTTTTTTGTAGTTTCATAGTTTGAAATCTTAGATTTAAGTCTTTAATCCATTTTGATTGGATTTTTGTATATGGTGAGAGGTAAGGGTTTAGTGTCATTCTTTTCCATATGGATATCCAGTTTTACCAGCAGCATTTATTGAAGAGACAGTCCTTTCCCCAATGTATGTTCTTGGCACTTTGGTCAAAAATGAGTTCACTGCAGATGTGTGGATTTATTTTTGGGTTCTGTATTCTGTTTCATTGGTCTGTGTTTCTGTTTTTATGCCAGTACCATAATGTTTTGATTACTATAGCTCTGTAGTATAATTTGAAGTCAGATAATGTGATTCCTTCAGTATTGTTCTTTTTGCTCAGGATAGCTTTGGCTATTCTGGGTCTTTTGTGGTTCCATATAAAATTTAAGATTACTTTTTCTATTTTTGTAGAAAATGTCCTTGGTATTTTGATAGAGATTGCATTGAATATGTGGATTGCTTTGGATACTATGGACATTTTAACAATATTGATTCGTCCAATCCATGTACATGGAATATCTCTCCAATTTTTTGTCCCCTCTTCAATTTTTTTCATCAGTGTTTTATAGTTTTCATTGTACAGATCTTTTACTTCTTTGGTTAAATTATTTCTAGTTATTTAATTTTTTTATCCCTATTTTAAATGGAATTCTTTCTTGATTTCTTTTTCAGTTTGTTTGCTGTTGGCATATAGAAATGCCACTGATTTTTGTATGTTGATTTTGTATACTGGATTTGGATGCCCTTTATTTTTCTTGGCTGATTGCTCTAGCTAGTCCTGCAGTACTGTGTTGAATAACAGTGGTGAAAGTGAGCATCCTTGTCATGTTCCCTATCTTAGAGGGAAAGCTTTCAATTTTTCTCCATTTAGAATGATACTAGCTATGTGTCTGTCATATATGGCTTTTATTATGTTGAGATATGTTCCTCTATACTCAGTTTGTCAGGGTTTTTATCATGAAAGTATATTGAATTTTGTCAAATGCCTTTTAAGCATCAATTGAAATGATAAATAGGGATTTGTACTTCCTTCCTTTGATATGATGTATCATATTGTTTGATTTGCATTTATAACCAACCCTTGGATGTACCCCACTAAGTCATAATGAATAATCTTTTTAATGTGTTGTTGAATTCAATTTGCCTGTATTTTGTTGAGTATTTTTGCATCAATATTTATCAGAGATATTTGCTGGTAGTTTCCTTATTTTGATATGTCTTTGTCTGGTTTTGGTATCAGGGTAATACTGGCCTCATAGAATGAGTTTGGAAGTATTCCTTCCTTTATTTTAGAATAGTTTGCATAGGATTGACATTAGCTTTTCTTTAATGAATTTGGTAGAATTCAACAGGAAAACCACTGGGTCCCAGGCTTATTGTTGTTGTTGGGAGATTTTGTATTAAAGCTTCGATCTTGTTACTTTTTGATCTGTTCAGGTTTTGGATTTCTTCATGGTTGTCTCTTGGTAGGTTGTATGTATCTAGGAATTTATTCATTTCTTCTAGATTTCCCAGTTTATTGTTGCACATTGTAGCCAATAATGATCCTTTCAATTTCTGTGGTATTTGTTGTAACATTCTCTTTTATATCTCTGATTTTATTTATTGAGATCTTATCTCATTTTTTCTTTAGTTAATCTGATTAAGAATTTGTCAATTTTTTTTAACTTTTCAACAAACCAACTTTTTGTCTCCATCTTTTGTATTGTTCTCTTCATTTCAATTTCATTTATTTCTTCTCTGATATTTATTATTTATTTGCTTATACTGTTTTGTTTTTGGTTTGCTCTTGCTTTTCTATTTTTAAGATGAATCATTAGGTTCTTTATGTGAAGTTTTTCTAATTTTTTGATGTAGGTGCTTATAGCTATAAATTTCCCTCCAAGTACTGTTTTTGCTGTAACCCACAGGTTTTGGTATGTCTTGTTTCCATTATCATTTCTTTCAATAATTTTTTTAATTTTTTCTTAATTTCTTCATTAACCTACTGGTCATTCAGGAGGATATTGTTTCATTTCCATGTGTCTGTATAGTTTTCCAAATTCCTCTTGTTATTGCTTTCTAGTTCTATTCCATTGTGATTGGAGAAGATGGCTGATATTATTACAAGTTTTTTGGATATTTTAAGACTTGTTTTGTGACCTAACATATGCTCTATCATTGAGAATGATCCATGTGATCCATGAGCTGTTAGTGGTGCTGTTTGGGGTCGGGGGAGGGGTGGTGCAAGCACTCCCTTAGATTTCTCAGCTGGTGTATAAGTAAGCCACATGCCCCCAAAGTCCTCTGTCTCTGAGCCCAGGTCAGGACTAGGACTTGCAGTCTTTATGGCCTACACTGCCTTTCAAGTTTATTTAGAGGTCCAGAGCACTTCAGCCCATCATGCTGAGGCATTCAGAACTCAAGTTCTGAATGCTGGGATGGGCGATTCCACTTTGGCTAGGGGCGATCTGAATGTTCCCTTTGCGGTTGGGTGTCAGCTGAGTTCAGCCCAGTTTTGCTTTCTGCTGTGACAGGGCAGCACTGAGTTCAATGCAGTCTCACAATCACTGCACTCTTCCTCTCCCAGTTGCACAGATTTCTCTGTGTCATGCAGCTGCTATGGGGGGATGGAGGAGGAGTGGCATTGGCAATTCAAGACTGCCTTTCCTACCCTTTTCAGTGCCTCTTTCAGTGATACGAAGCTAAAACCAGATACTGTGAGTACCCACCTGATTTTTGGTTCTTATAAAGTAGTTTGGGTTTTTAAATATGTAGATAGTTGTTAAATATGCTGTTCCTGTGGTGGGGATAATCAGTCGCTCTGTTCCCCAGACAGCATCTCATTTCTGATGCATGTAGATAACTGGATGCTATACTTCATATAAACTAATGGTATGTGCCAGACAAAATGACAATATTTTACACTTATATAACATCTTTGTTCTAATGAGCTCAATAATGATTCTGTGATCTATTTCTTTCTTGTAATGATTTGGAAGTATTTACATGTTTAATACATTTTCATTCAAATATCTTTCTACTGATGAGAAACTAGGTAGTATCAAAAGTAAGACGGAAAGTTTGTTTTCCAAATCAGAGTCACAGATAACAGGAAATAAGCTGAAAGAAATGGTTGAAATTAATCAGCATACCTGTTGTGCTATCTATGAAGTACAGGGCATAATAACAAATTAGTAAAACAGGAAAATATGAAAATGTTCCTAAGAGAAACAATATAAGGCATTCCATTAGTGTTATATAAAACCATAGGATAAAGTACTTTATATAAAATATCATAATGTTCAATTATCTGTTTGAAGCATTTAACCATGTGTTATTTGTCTTTTATATAAATCATTATTGAATTTCAATAATACCGATCTTCTTCCTGCATATAATAATACATGTTATTGTTTACATCTTAATACTGAAGTTTTCTAGTTACAGATTTATCAAGTAGATTCTACAAATAATGTTTTTACATAGCATATTGCTACAATTGCAAATACTAAGTATTTCCTTTTTTTTTTTTTTGGTAATTCTCCAATTTTTTATTGCTTTAAAGTAACGATTCAATTCTTGGACGAAAGTACACAGAAAAGTCTTTTTTATTTATGGCTGGTTATTTTTCCCCCAAAGAATATAATAAACAAGCATATTGGCCACTAGTTTTTCGACCTTACGTAAATCACTTAAATTTTATTTGCCCTATTTTCTGTTTATAAAATGGCCACAATTAAAGTATTCTTGTCTTCCTCAGAGGAATACTGAATTTAATATCAAATATATAAAAGAACTTTGAACATATAAATAAGAAACACATAATCAAGGTACTAACAGTAATAATATTAGTAAAATATTTTTAATTATTTATGAATGATATTTAATAGGCCTTGCTTTTTGTTGGATGAATGTAGCTTGATGCCATGTGAATTTCCAGGTTCTTATTATCACTGATAGTATATAAAATGTATAGGTGGTGTAGAAAAGAATAAAAAGAGACAGTGCCAATGTAGTTCAAAAGTTTGCCAAATTGTTAACTTTTGTTTAATTAATTAAATTCTACTCATTGAAAATCTGTCAGGTCCAGCCACCTGCTATGCCTCAATCTTCAACAATTAACCTGGCTGTTAAAAATAAAAAAGGTGGATTAAATGCACTACACATAAACTTAGTTAAATATATAAGACAAACTACATTGAACATAAATAACATCTCTAATAGAACCATGAAATTGTAATAACTTCAAACCACAACAAAATGTAGACTGTGTGCTCAATAGAGTATAAATTGGTTTCAATTGAAGAAGGATGACAATTACAACTGATCAATATTTTCCTAGAAATAAAGTAGCAAACAGATGTCTCTTGAAAGGCTTTAACAATTATTTTTTGCTGTGACCAATAAAGTCTGAAGACATGTACAGAAGTTAAGCAAAGGTAGGAAGCATCTCTAAACTAATTCATCACACTCTACTAAACAAAATTGGAAATTGGGCCAAAGGATACAGTTCAGGAATATGCACATGATTTCTTCTAAGCCAGAGTTCTGACCAGGAGAAATGACTTCAACGTGAGAAAAGGTAGAAAGAAGAAGGAAAACAAGTGTTAATTCTTAATTAAATACAGACTAATAAAGTCCACATCACCAAGAACCCTGTGAGGCTGCAGCATCACACTGAACCACACTGACCTCGTGTAAAACATGAAAATGCCAAGGATAAAGGAATGATATAGTGAAGTGGTGATATCCTAATTGAAATAATGTGAAGCCCAAGTTTATCATTTCTTTTATTTAATTCTGTATTCTTGACCCATTGTTTGCTGTCTGGGCTGAATAGCACCAATTCTATTCAAAGAAGAAGAATGTACATGAAAGAACAAACATGAATATTATGCATAACAAGAGGATGAACATGCAGAAGAAAAATGAGGATTAAGGTGAAAAGAAGTGGAAAAATGAAGAAAAGAAGGAGAAGAAGAACAACAAGAAGAAAGGAGCAGGAGGAGGAGGAATAGGAGGAAGGGGAGGTGGAGGGGGAGAAGGAAAAGAAGAGGGAAGAGGAGAAGGAATAAGAAGAAGAAAAAAGAGAAGGAGGAGGTGGAGAAGGGGAAGAAGAAGGGGGAGGAGGAGAGGTAGAAGGAGAAGGAAAGAGGAAAAAGAAGAGGAAGGCAAGAAGAAGGAGGAGGAGGAGGAGAAAAAAACAAGTTTTCGTTTAAGATGACGGCAATATAAAAGGCTAATGGCAGATAATAAAGGTAATAAATATTCATTTGAAGAGAGTTAGTTATTACATTCAAGGAAATTTAAAAATATCAAAGTGTTTGTAACAACAATTAAAACAACAGCAACAACAAAAACCCAGCATATGAAAATGGAGCTGGAACAGCTCAGGAAAGAAAATAATGAATATTAAGCCATTATGTTTTCCCTATTTGTATATGCAACCTTATTTTAGATTTTGAAAATGTGTTGATATTACTCTTACATAAAAACATCTCTATAAGTATATTCCCCACAATACTTGATTTGGGTGTGTATTTCTAAATCTGGGTATTCTCAAGTATCCTATTGTGATTCGTAACCCTTTAGAACAATAGTGAAATTTGAGGAAATATTTTTCAAAGTCAAGGCTAATGAACTGGTAATGGTGCCAAATGGCTTAATACACCACAATCAAGTAGTCTTTATTCTGGGTATGCAAGATTCTCGGTATGATACATCATACACAAACCGATAAATTTTATTCACCACATAAACAGCAGTAAAAAACAACAACCACATACTCATCTCAATAAATGCAGGAAAAGCTTTTGATACAATCCAACATCCCTTCATGATAAAAACCCTCATGAATGTAGGCATCAAAGAAACATACTTCAAAATAATAAAAGCCATCTGTGACAAACCACAGTCAACATCATACTGAATGGGCAAAAGCTGGGAGCATTCCCACTGAGAACTGGAACAAGACAAGAATTTCCACTGTCACCACCCTGATTCAACTTAGTACCGGAAGTCCTAGCCAGAGCAATCAAGCAACGGAAAGAAATAAAGGCATCCAAATAGGAAAAGAAAAGGTCAAACTTTCTTCACTGACAATATAATTCTATACTTAGAAAACCCAAAGAACTCTGTCGAAAATCTCCTAGAACTGTTCAACGACTTCAGTAAAGTTTCAGGAGGCAAAATCAATATGCAAATATCAGTGGCATTTTCATATGCCAATAATGTTCAAGTTGAGAGCCAAATCAAGAAAGAATCCCATTTACGATAGTGACAAAAAATGACCTAGGAATACATCTGATATGGTTAGGCTTTGTGTCCCCACCCAAATCTCATTTTGAGTTGTAATCCCATAATCCTCATGTGTGATGGGAGCAACCCGATGGGAGGTAATTGAATCATGAGGATAGTTTCCCCCATGATGTTATCATGATAGTGAAGGAGTTCTCATGAGATCTGATGTTTTATAATCATCTGGCATTTCACCTGCTGGCACTAATTCACTCTCCTGCTGCCCTGTGAAGAGTTGCCTTCACTGTTATTGTAAGTTTCCTGAGGCCTTCCCAGCCATGCAGAAGTGTGAGTCAATTAAAGCTCTTTTCTTTATAAATTACCCAGTTTTGGGCAGTTATTTATAGCAGCTTGAGAACAGACTAATACAACATCTAACCAAGGACATGAAAAATCTCCACAAGAACTACACTGCTGAAAAATACCATGAATGACACAAACAATTGGGAAAACATTTCACACTCATGAATTGGAAGAACTAATCTCATTAAAATGTTCATATGGCTCTAAGCAATCCACAGATTCAGTGCTATTCCTATCAAACTACCAATGCCATTTTTTCATAGAATTAGAAAAAACTATTTTAAAATTCATATGGGACAAAAAAAACGAGCCTGAATAGACAAAGCAATCCTAAACAAAAAGAACAAACCTGGAAGCATTATATTACCTAACTTCAAACTATACTACAAGACTGCAGTAACCAAAACAGCACAGTACTGTTACAGAAGCAGACACATAGAATAATGGAACAGAATAGAGAACTCAGAAAGAAAGCAGCATATCTACACTACCTGATCTTCAAGAAAGTCAATAAGAAAAGCAATGTGGAGAGAAATTTCTATTCAATAAATGGTTCTGGGATAACTGACTATCCGTAAGTAGAAGAAAGAAACTGGACCTCTATCTATCACCATATACAAAAATTAACTGAAAAAGGATGAAAGTCTTCTTATCCATTGAGAACTCCATCTATAAAAATCCTAAAAGAAAACCCAGAAAATACTCTTCTCAACATTAGTCTTGGCAAAGAATTTAGAAGCAAGCCTTCACAAGCAACTGCAATAAAAACAAAAAAGACAAGTGGGGCATAATTAAATGAAAGAGCTTCTTCACAGTAATAGAAATTGTCAATAGAGGAAACACAACCTACAGAATGAGAGGAAATATTTGCAAACCATGATTTGATAACAGTCTAATATCTAGAATTTATAAACAATTTAAATCAACAAGCAATAAATGACCCCATTAAAAAGTGGGCAAAGGACAAGTATAGACACTTCTCAAAAAAAAGACACGCAATAAAAATATTTTTAAAATGATTCTTATTATTATTCACCAGAGAAATGTAAATAAAAACCACAATTACATACCATTGCACACTAGTCAGGATGGTTATTATTAAAAAGTCAGAAAATACCAGATATTGGCAGGGCTATGGAGAAAAGTGAATACTTATATACTGTTGGTGGAAATGCAAATTAGTGCTGCCACTGTGGAATGTAGTTTGTAGATTTAGGAAAGAACTAAAAATAGTACTACCTTTTGACCCAGCAATCTCATTGCTTGCTGTATAACCAAAGCAGAAGAGATCATTCTACCAAAAAGACACATGCACCTGTATGTTCACCACAGTATTCACAATAACAAAGATATGACTCAACCTAGGTAACTATCAACAATAGATTGGATAAAGAAAGTGTGGTACACATACATATAGTACATGCATACACTGTGCAGCCATGAAAAAGAATTAAATGTTTCCTTTGTAGCCACATGAATGTACCTGGAGCTTATTATCCTAAAGTAGCTATCGCGGAAACTGAAACCCAAATACCACATGTTCTCACTTATAAGTGGTAGCCAAACATTGGGTACATGTTGATGTAAAGATGGGAACAATAGAAGCTGAGGGCTACAAGAGCAGGGATCAAGGGATCAAGTGTTAAAAAAATACCTATGGAGTACTATGCTCCCTACTTGGGTGGTGGGTTTAATCACATCCCAAACCTCAGCATCACATAATATACCCTTGTAGCAAATCTGCATATGTACCCTCTGAATCTAAAGTAAAAGTTGAAAAAATTATGTAGCTATTCAATCTTAAATGAAGGGAAGCACAACTCCCCAATCTTTAAGTGTGGGCTGCATTTAGTGCTTTTTTTGAGTACAGTTAGAGAAGAGAGAAAAAAAAAGGGTAACTCTGAGAAACTTTACAGTGGAGAGATCTGATAAACACAACTTTAGCCAATTGATCAAGATCAATACTAACAGTTATAAATGATGTTGGTAGTATGTACTTATGACATGATTTGATGAAAATGGTACTTTACCTCTCTACTCTTCCCCAAAACCCATGAGAAATCATGAGAAAAGTATTAGACTAATACCACCAGAGAGGCATTCTACCTAATAGCTGACTAGTATGTAATAACTTACACAACAATAACAACAAAAAACTACAGGCCAATATCACTGATGAAGATAGATTCAAAAATCATCAAAAAATACTAGCAAACCAAATTCATTTAAAAAGATCACTCTCTATGATCAAGTTGGAATCATCCCAGGAATGCACGGATGGTTCAACATATGCAAATCAATAAACTTGATACATCACATTAACAGAACCAATAACAAAACCATATGATAAATTCAATAGATACTGAAAAAGCATTTAATATAATTCAACATCCCTTTATCAGGAAAACCCTTAACACACTGGGTAGAAGAAACTTTTCTCAAAATGATAAAGGCTGTATATGACAAACCTACGGCTAACATCATATTCAATAGAAAAAAGCTTAAAGCCTTTCCTCTAAAATATAAAACAAGACAAGCGTGTCCAGTGTTATTTTATTCAAGATAATACTAGAAATCTTGGCCAGGGCAATTAGATAAGTGAAAAAAATAAAGAACATACAAATTGGAAAGAAAGATTTCAAATTAGCCTTGTTTTCATGTGACATGATGTTATATTTAGAAAAACCTGAAGACTTCACCAAAAAAAAACTGTTAGGACTGATCAAGAAATTTAATAAAATTGCAGGACACAAAATCAACATACCTAAATCGGTAGAATTTACATACATCAACAGGGAGAAATCTGAAAAATAAATATAAAAAGCAATCCCATTTACAATAGCTACAAACTATAAAATACCTAGGAATTAATTTAACCAAAGAAGTGAAAGATCTATGCAAATAATACTATAAAATACCTATGTAAGAAATTAAGGAGGACACAAAAAATGAAAAGATTCCACGCTCATGGATTGGAAGAATTAATATTGTTGCATTGACAATTCTACCAAAAGCAATTTACAGACTCAATGCAACCTCGAAAGCACGGGCAACCAAAGCAAAAATAGACAAATGGGATTACTTTGAACTAAAAAGCCCAGCAAAGGAAACAATTAACAAAGTGAAGAGACAACCCACAGAATGGGAGAAAATATTTGCAAATTACCCATCTGACAAGGGATTGGTAACTAGAATATATGAGTTCAAATAACTCCATAGCAAATCATCATCGTCATCATCATCATCATCATCATCATCATCATCATCATCTGGCTAAAAAATTGGCAAACAATCTGAATAGACTTTTTTAGAAAAACTTTTGTTTTAGGTTTGGGAGTACAAGAGAAGGTTTATTACATAGGTAGACATGTGTCATGGGGTTTTGTTGTAACACTATTTCAATACCCAGGTATTAAGCCCAGTACCCAATAGTTATCTTTTCTGCTCTTCTCCCTCCTCCCACCTTCACCCTTCAGGTAGACACCAGTGTCTGTTGTTTCCCTCTTTGTGCTCATAAGTTTTTATCATTTTGTTCCCACTTATAAGTGAGAACAGTATTCGGTTCTTCTGTTCCTGCATTAGTTTGCTAAGGATAAGACCCTCCATGTTCCCATAAAAGCCTGGAGTTAAAAAGAATGATCTCATTCTTTTTTATGGTTGCATAGTATTCCATGGTGTATATGAATTAAATTTTCTTTATCCAATCTGTCATTAATGGGCATTTAGGTTGATTGCATGTCCTTGTTATTGTGAATAGGGTTACAATGAACATTTGCATCATGTGTCTTTACATTAGACATACAAATATATGAAAAATGTTCAACATCACTAATCATCAGAGAAATAAAAATCAAAACCACAATGAGATATCATCTCACCTCACTTAAAATGACTTTTATTGAAAAGAAAGGGAATAACAAATACTGGTGAGGATGGTGAGAAAGGGAACCTGTCTTCCCCTGTTGGTGGGAATGTACATTTGTTCAGCCACTATTGAAAACTCTACGGAGGTTCCTCAAAAAACTGAAAATAGAATCACCATAAAATTCAGCAATTCCATGACTGGATATCTATCCAAAAGAAAGAAAATTAATACATCAGAAAGATATCTGCATTCCTGTGTTTATTGCTGTGCTTTTTGCAATAGCCAAAATATAGAATCTACCTCAGTGCCCATCAGGATAAATGAATGGATTAATAAAATATGGCATATATACACAATAGAATATTATTCAGTCATAAAAAGAATAAAATCCTGTCATTTGCAGCAATATAGATGAAACTGGAGGTCACTATGTTACCTAAAATAAGCCAAGCACAAAAAGACAAATATGGCATGGGTTCACTCATATATGAGAGCTAACACGATGAATCTCATGAAGATAGAGTAGATTGGTGGTTACCAGAGGCCAGGAAGGATTGGTGGGGGAAGATGAAGACAGGTTAATTAATGAGTGCAAATACACTGTTTCATAACAGAAATAAAACCTAGTGTTTGATAAATCACTAGGCTGACTATAGTTATAATAACCAATTGTATATTTAAAAAAATCTTGAAATGAGTAATTGGAATATTTCTAGCATAAAAAAGACAAAATATAAAGTGATGGATATTATAATTATACTTATTTGATGTTCAGAAATTATAGTAATGTATTAAATGATCACATATACCACAAAATATATACATCTATTTTGTATCAAATTGAAACAACAAAAGAATAAGTGGTCTCCTGTTCGTGAGGTCCCAACTGGTGCTTTGCAATTGTCACTATTAAAGGGCCTTTTTACATTGAACATGGAAGTTTAAAAGTAGCAAAGCATTCGACTGTAATGTATAGGTCCCAGATTTCTGTGTGGAGGCCTAAACTAAATAAAACTATAATAAATGGGTATGTGGTTGCAACATGCGCATCATGCTCATAAAACTTTAACTAATTTATATATACGCATGTAGAAAATGGAAGAAATATGTAAAAATAACAAAAGTTGCATTATTGTTATGGGACTACAAGTAACTTTCAAAATTTCTTTAAAAGAAAGAAATCATGTAAAGAAGAAAAAAGGCATTAAGTACAAACTAAGGAAATCTGAATAACCTATGGACTTCAGTTAATAATAGTTTCTGACTACTGATTCATTAATTGTAACCAATGTACCAAACTAATGTAAGAGCCATAATACAGGAAACAAGATTGGGATACGTGGGAACTCTGTATTATCTGTTCCAATTCGTTTGTAAGCCTGAAACTAACGTGACAAATAAAATCTATTAAAATTGTCACAGAATCCTGGTTTCCAACCAGAAAGCTTGGAGTTCATATTTTATTTCCTGACCATCCAATTCTGTTTCAGTGTCACTGTGGGTTATCAGCCTCCCAGAGGTGCCAGGAAAATAAGCACAGGGTGCTGGAATCACTGACAACCAGGTGTTCAGACTCAAAGCCAAGAACGCAAATTGGGCACTCAGCAGATGTGTCTGGTTTGGCCATAAGCATTTTTGGCAGATTCTAATGAAAGATCCGGGGAAATGTGTTGGGCATGAAACAATGTAATTTGACTCTCTAAAGTTTCCACGCCAGCAATAAGCTGTCCATTGTGGCAATTTTAATACAGGATGTGTTCCAGGTTTTGTCCATTTCTATTTCTATTTTGGCTATTTATCATCTCTCATATTTGTGAAAAGCAACGTACAAGCAAGATGATTTTTTTTTTATGTGGCCTAGATATACCATTCCAACAGCATGGGACTAACTCAGCATGGGTTAGTTTAATTCCATGGGGTTGGCCATGCATTAAGAAAGATTGTTTTTCAATCTTAGGCTTTGAAAGACACTGAAAATACAGGTGTGAATAGAGCAGAAAATTAAGGGAGGTGGGCTAGCTTTATTCAAATGGTTAGAAATGCAATGCAGGCATGCTTGGAAAAGGTGCATCAAGGTAAATATATTTTAACTTTCCAGACCTACAATATATATTAATATTCACAGGCAATTTATGTTGACATATATATAGTCCCGGAATAAAAATAATTTCAGATGCAATAATGATAATAATAAATATTCAGATGACTTTAGTAAAACTATGCACTTGAATGATAATGAGCCTTCAGGTTATTAATATGTAATCAGAAATAATCAGAAGGGAAATGTGTAATGAAAGCTACACATATTAAAGACAAATACACCTTTTGTTGATAGATGAGGACAAGGATAGAGACAATTCCTCGATCATAGATTATTTGTATCACAATTGGAGGTGAGGACTACAATTAAGAATAGAAGCTTGATTGAACTCATAATCATGGAATTTTTAAAAACATAAAAGTATATTTTATTATTTTTTATCTTTCATAGGAATCAATTCCAAGTGCATCAGAAATGCTCAATACAAGAGAAAGGAATGATGAAATATTGTTAGACTCCTTCGTTTGTGCATATGTGTTTGTGGATGATTTGGAATGACTCCTTAGTGATTTTACTGAAATAATCTTCTCTGGGCATGTCAGTAGACAACATCAGAATATCTGTGAGTTACAGGAGATTCAATAATCATCATGGGTTAATTAATTATGTGTTTTCTGACTTTATGTCAAGAGAAATATTTCCTTTTAAAGGCCCATACTATTACTATCATTTATAAAGATGTTTGATCTTGGTTTAAACATTAAACATTCAATAATTCGTGCTCACTGGCATATTTTTTCAGTATTATTGTGATTTTCTATCTTCAAATTCAACACTACATTGAGGTAAGTGAGGCATTGGGTACAAATTTACAGGGATATGAAAAAAACTTCAATAAATCCAGATAAATACAATTTTACTCCAATACTTTAAAATGTTAAGATACAAACATTTTAAATAAAGACAGCCCTATGCCAAGATGTACTGAATCTTGAAGCCAAAGAAAAGATGTTCTCATGTATATGTTATACTAGTTTCCTGGTTTTAATGAAAGCATGCTCATAAATAATATTTTCAAAATCTATATTTGGAAAAAAATTAAAAACAAAAAATTAAAAAGAATGAGTAAATAAAATATTTAACCTTAAAATAATGTGAGTTCTAATACACCTAATTTTTAATTTTTCAACACTTTTAAGCTACATTA
The DNA here is from genome assembly GCF_000001405.40 of Homo sapiens. NCBI lineage: Eukaryota > Metazoa > Chordata > Mammalia > Primates > Hominidae > Homo > Homo sapiens. The sequence continues at coordinate 34,842,489 of NC_000002.12, forward strand.
ATGTTATGGAAAAATATAAAAATTAAAAAATATAAGCTGGGTTCAGTGGCTCATTCCTGCAATCTTAGCCCTTTGGAAGGCCGAGGCAGGAAGATTGCTTGAAGCGAGGATTTTGAGACCAGCCTGAGCAATAGAGTGAGACCCTTTCTCTACAAAAAAAACTTTTTTAATTAGCTGGGTGTGGTGGCACTAGTCCCACTTATTTAGGAGGCTGAGGTGGTAGGATTGCTTGAGCCCAAAAGTTTGAGGCTGCAGTGAGCTATCATCACACCACTGCACTCCAGCCTGGGTGACAAAGCAAGGCCACCTCTTAAAAATGAAATAAAAGAAAAAAGAAAAAGAAACATATAACATGTACCCGATGAATAAATATGTCTTCTTTGTACCCACAAAATTAAAAATTAAAAAAGTATGAAGACATGTATACAGGGGCACATTTTTTCTTTTTCCTTTTTGCCTTCTATCTTATGCTACTGAACATTTTTCTAATTTCCTCAAGATTCACCATGGCGTGGTAATGTCAGATCCTATCTTTATTTTTTTATATTTTATTCATCATATTTTTTCTCATTAACTTTGATTTTTAAAGTGTTTCACTCAAATATGATGTATCCGAAATATTTTCTTGGATTTCTCAAGTTTAGTGCCCAAGACAAGTGTCTCACTCTCCTCAACCTAACCCTAGCATTGTGTTGGATGAACGATTTATCTTTCTATCATTCGATACCCTCAGGCACTGTAAAGATTGGTACTTTTAACAAGTAGCTTTCTTTCAAAGACAGCACAGCTTTTGTTTACCTTAACAAGGACCAAAGAAACTCTGAGCTGCAACTTTAAAGAAGTAGTAGTTCATTTGAGGAAAAGAGTCTAACCTGTACCGTAAGATTTAAAAAAAAACCTTGTCCTGTTATAATAAATAATAGTTTGTTTGGACTAAATTTTTAAAAAGTGAATAATAATTTCTATCACTTTGAAGAAGATGTCTTTTGATTCTTAATCTTAGGATATCCTATTTTCCTGTCTCATCTTTTGTGTATATCTTTGCCAGTTTTAATGAGGGATGTTAGCTTCTGAGGTCAGGTCTCTGTCTACTATTGTTTTAAATATTTCTGTCCCTGGCTATTGCCTCAAGAAATAAATTCAAACTTTCTGGGTAAAAATTATACATGAATTTAAAAAAAAAAACTAAAAAGATTACTTAACTCTTTCCTGCTTTTTTTTCCCAAAATTTATGAGGGGTTTTTTTTCTTCCTGCTACTAAATCATTCCTAAGAGCAGAGAAACCAAGTTATGCTGGAGCAGATTTCGTTTGTTTAGAGAAAGCCAACAGAATGGCCCTATTAGTCACTCAAATGTAGGATATAAATGGAATAGTTATTTTTGTGGAAGCCCGGGTAATAAAGTAATTAGTCTAAATTAGCAAATATATCAGACCTAATATTCTACATTATAATGTCTAATTGTTGGGAAAAAATCTTCCCAGCTTTGAAGACACCTTGAACATCTTTTTAGTGAATTTTTGATTTTCACCTCCTACATGAAAGCAAGTATGAGAGAGAGAAAGAGCGAGTGCTCAAGTGCTGGAGAGAACTAGGAAGTCAAAAAGAGGAGGGAGGGAGGAGGGAAGAAGAAAGCGGAAAAATGGAAGGCAGCCTGGAATGGCTGAGTGGAAAGATTGGCAATATAATCAAAACTTAGAGTTGGGGAACTAGTGTTGAGCGTAAGAACAGCAGGTATTGGAAATAAAACAACTTCAAGGTTAGATTTGAGATTACATTATTTCTCTTTTTTGACCTCTGAGAGGTTTCCGTCTTACTTTTTGTAGGGTAGCTGCTACTAATCTGCTGTGTAAATGAACTCTATTTGGTCAGTTGATATTGTGTCATTGTAAATGCATAAAATTGAATGATAGTGCTTTGGTGAACCTGGGTAGTTTTTTTTTCCATGTAAATCATACACTGAAGTGCATACCCTGTTCAATCAATATTGTATATTATTAAATTTAGAAAGACACATCTATTTTCCAGGCTAGTCAAATAAGTAAATATATTCTATGTCATGTTTTGGTATAAATTTATGAGGTACAAGTGCAATTTTGTTACATGCATAGATTGCCTAGTGGTGAAGTCAGGGCTTTTAGAATATCCATCACCTAAACAATGTACATTGTATCCATTAGGAGATTTTTCTCATCATTTACTCCCCTTCATTTGTTACCTATAATTGGATATATAGAGAGAAGGAAGGGAGAGATTTTTTTATAAGAAATTGGCTCATGTTAATACAGATGCTGAAAAGTCCCAAGACCTGTCTTTGGCAGTCCCAGAAGAGCCAATGCTGTAGTGCAACTCTGATTCTGAAGGCTCTAATTATGTAAATTTGACTTCAAAAGCTAGCAGGCTCAAGACCCAGAAAGAGCTGCTGTTTCCATTTGAATCTTAAGGCAAGAAAAAAAACCTGTATCCTGGCTCAAAGCAGTCAGGCAGAAGTTCCATTTTACTCTTAGGAAGATCAGCCTTTTTGTTCTATTCTGATCTTCAACTGATTGGATGGGACCTACTCATTAGAGAGTACTATCTGCTTTACTGTCTACTTATTCCAGTGTTAATCTCATCCAGAAAAACCCTAACAGGCACATCCAGAATAACATTTGATCACATATCTAGGCACCAAGTGGTCCAAACTAGTTGTCATATGAAAATAACCATCACGACTTCTGACACCAAAAACTACAAGATAATAAATTTGTATCATGTTAAACCACAGTGTTTGTGGTAATTTGTTACAGCAAGAATAGGTAATTAAGAAACAGTCTTAGCAAAAAAATGCATACTCAATAGGAGAGAATGGAAGAGAAGACCCCTTAGTGATTCTCTATATTCCAGAGAATATTGCCTGTTTCATTTCTAATTGACTTTATTTGCATCTTCTCTCTTCTATTCTTGGCTAATCTCACTAATGGTCCAACAATTTTATTTATCTATTAAAAGAATCAGCTTTTGATTTCATTTATCTTTTGTATTTTTTTGTTTCAATTTAATTTAGTTCTGTTCTGATGTTCGTTATTTCTTTTCTTCTGCTGGGTTTTGATTTGGATTATTCTTGTTTCTCCAGTTCCATGAAGCGTGACATTAAATTGTCTATTTGCGCTCTTTCAAACTTTTTGATGTAGGCATTTAATGCTATGAACTTTCCTCTTAGCACTGCTTTTGCTATACGTCAGAGGTTTTGATAGGTTGTGTCACTATTATCATTTAGTTCAAAGAAATTTTTTTTTTTTTTGAGGTGGAGTCTCGCTCTGTCCCCAGGCTGGAGTGCAGTGGCGCGATCTCCGCTCACCGCAAGCTCCGCCTCCTGGGTTCATGCCATTCTCCTGCCTCAGCCTCCTGAGTAGCTGGGACTACAGGCCCCCACTACCACGCCTGGCTAATTTTTTGTATTTTTAGTACAGACGGGGTTTCATCGTGTTAGCCAGGATGGTCTCCATCTCCTGACCTCGTGATCCGCCTGCCTCGGCCTCCCGAAGTGCTGGGATTACAGGCATGAGCCACTGCACCCAGACAGTTCAAAGAATTTTTTAACTCCCATCTTGATTTCATTGTTGACTCAATGATCATTCAGGAGCAGGTCACTTAATTTCCATGTATTTGTATGACTTTGAGGGTTCCTTTCAGAGTTGTTTTCCATTTTTATTATACTGTGGTCTGAGAGAGTACTTGATAAAATTTCAATTTTCTTAAATTTACAGAGACTTAATTGTGGCCTATTAAGTGGTCTATCTTGTAGAATTTTTCATGTGCTGATGAATAGAATGTATATTCTGCAGTTGTTGGGTAGAATGTTCTGTAAATGTCTGTTAAGTGCATTTGTTGTAGGGTATAGTTTAAGTCCATTGTTTCTTTGTTGAGTTTCTGTCTTGGTGACCTGTCTAGTGCTGTCAGTGGAGTATCAAAGTTCTTCAATATCATTGTGTCACTGTCAGTCTCATTTCTTAGGTATAGTAGTAATTGTTTTTATAAATTTGGGAGCTCCAGTGTTAGGTGCATGTATATGTAGAATTGTGATATTTTCCTGTTGGATTAGTTCTTTTATCATTATATAATGTCCCTCTTTGTCTTTTTAAATTGCTGTTGCTTTAACGTTTGTTTTGTCTGCTGTAAGAATAGCTACTCCTGCTTGCTTTGGGTGTCCATTTGCATGGAATGTCTTTTTCCACTACTTTACCTTAAGTTTATGTGAGTACTTAGGAGTTAGGTGAGTCTCCTGAAGATAGCAGAAACTTGGTTGGTGGTTTCTTATACATTCCATCTTTCTGCACCTTTTAAGTGGAGCATTTAGGTCATGTGTATTTCATGTTAGTAATGAGATGTGAGGTGCTATTCTATTCATTGTGGTATTTGTTGCCTGAATAACTTGGTTTTTTTTCATTGTGTTATGTATGTCCTGTGAGATTTATGCTTTAAACAGGTTCTAATTTGGTATATTTTGAGGATTTGTTTCAAAGTGTAAAACTCCTTTTAGCAGTTCTTGTAGTGCTGGCTTGGTAGTGGCAAATTCTGTCAGCATTTGTTTGTCTAGAAAAGACTGTATCTTTCCTTTGTTTATGAATCTTAGTTTCACTGGACACAAAATTCTTAGCTGATAACTGTTTTGTTTAAGAGGTGTAAAAATAGAACCCTATTCTCCTACCTTGTAAGGTTTCTGCTGAGAAATCTGCTGTTAATCTGGTAAATTTTCCTTTATAGGTTACCTGATGCTTTTGCTTCACAGCCCTTAAGATTCTTTCCTCTTCATCTTGATTTTAGATAACCTGAAGACTAATGTGCCTAGGTGATGATCTTTTAGCAATAAATTTCCCAGGTGTTCTTTGAGCTATTTGTATTTGGATGTCTAGATCTGTAGCAAGGCTGGGGAAGTTTTTTTTCATTTATTCCCTCAAACAAGTTTTCCAAAGTTTCAGATTCCTCTTCTTCCTCGGGAATACCAATGATTCTTAGGTTTGAACAGTTAACCTATGTCCAACCTTCTTGGAGGCTTTGTTCAATTTAAAAAGTTATTTTTTCTTTGTCTTTAATGGATTGGGTTAATTCAAAAGTCTTGTCTTTGAACTCTGAAGTTCTTTCTTTTGCTTGTTCAGTTCTACTGCTGAGACTTTCCAGTGCAATTTGCATTTCTCTAAGTGGGTCCTTGATTTCCAGAAGTTGTGATTGTTGTTTCCTTATAGTATCTATTTCACTGAAGAATTTTTCTGTCATATCCTGTATCATGTTTTTGGTTTCTTTATGTTGGACTTCACCTATCTCTGGTGCCTCCTTGATTAGCTTAATAATCAACCTTATGAATTCTTTTTCTGGCAATTAAGATATTTCACCTTTGTTGGATCCCTTGTGGCTGAACCAGTATGATCTTTGGGGGGTGTTAAAAAACCTAGTTTTGTCATATTATCAGAATTGTTTTCCTGGTTCATTCTCTTTTGAGTAGACTGTCAGAGGGAAGAACTGGGATTCAAGGGTTGCTGTTCAGATTCTTTTGTCCCACAAGGTGTTCCCTTGATGTGGTGTTCTCCCCCTTTTCCTAGGAATGGGGCTTCCTGAGAGCCAAACTATAGTTATTGTTTTTGATCTTCTGGATCTAGCCACCCAGCAGAGCTCCCGAGCTCTGGGCTGCTACTAGGGAGTGTCTGCAAAGAGTCCTGTGATGTGATGCATCTTCAGTGTTTGCAGCCGTGGATACCTGCACCTGCTCTGGTGGAGGTAGCAGAGGAGTAAAGTGGAACTTGGTGTCTTGGTTGTGTTTTTGTTTTAGGGCACTGGTTTGTTTTTGTGTTAGTTGGCCTCCATCCAAGAGGTGGCACTTTCAAGAGCATATCAGCTGCAGTCCTATAGGGAGGATGCAAACTTGCCCTAGAGACATCTGGTTAAGTATTTGGGTTTCTCAGGGGTGGGTAGGGCCATAGAGCTCCCAAGAGATTATGACCTTTGTCTTTGGTTACCAGGGTGGGTAGAGAAAGACCACTAGTTGAGGGCAGGGACAGGCTTGCCTGAGCTTAGCTTCTTCTTGAGGGGGGCTTCTTGCGGCTGTGTGGGGAATGGGGATGTGATTCCCAGTCCAATGGAGTTGTATTCCCAGGGGGATTATGGCTGCCTCTGTTGACTCATACAGGTAACTAGGGAAGTGGGGGAAAACTGGCAGTCACAGGCCTAACCCCACTCCCATGCAGCCTGCAGTACTAAAGAGGCCAGACTCATTCCCACCGTGTCCCCCCAACAGCACCAACTCTATTTCCAGGCAGCTGATGGCCAGGGCTGAGAACCTGCTCCAGACCACCAGCTTCCCCATTGAGAAAGCAAGCAGACTCACAGTTTTTTGGCATCACAGGAAGCCTGCAGCAGTGATCCATTTCCTTCAAAGGGTGGGTGCATTTTCTCAGCTTTCCTGGTATGTTCCTGTGGTAATTCTTGAAGCAGAAGTTCACAATGTGAGTTTCCACATGCTGCTCTGTCCGTTCGAATAGGAGCTGCAAACTAGTTCTGCATCTTATCCAAGAGTTTCTTAAATTGTGTTAAACATACAACTTTGTTTGTTAGTTCTCTGTTGGAATCTAGAGCTTTTATCAACTTTTCAAATGGGCGAGATTCAGTGGCGTCTTGATAACCAGTGGCTTTCTAGAAAACAACAATAACAACAAAATGCCTGATTGGCTGTTTTTGTTGATATCCATGGTATAAATAGTCCTGTGTTGACTGATTTCAAGCTACCAAATGTTTATAAAGCCTTCATAAAATTTTTGAATATTTAATAATTGGCTCTTCTGAGGTAGTCAGTTCTGGCTACAACCCAATATCAGGTAAGAATAGGGAAAAAAGGCACTATGGAATTGCCCATGATTATCAGTATATAATTTAGATCTTGTATATCAATTGCCCTTTAAAATCTTCTATTAATGTATTCAAATATTTTAAGCTCAATTTATCCCAAACTAAATTTATAATGTTTCTCCTCATGTTACTGACAGTTCTAATTTATAAAACCTTACATAATACCCTCAATAGCTTTTGACTGCATAATAATAAATGCCCAGTTTACTGTAGTGGTTTGGATAGTGTCTCCACTCCCAAAATTCATATCCATTTAGAAACTCAAAATAGGACCTTATTAGAAAATGGCGTCTCTGCAAATGTGCTTTGTTAAGGATTTTGAGATGAAGTCATCTTGGATTTAGGGTGAGCCCCAAATTCCTTGACTGGTGACTGTATTAGAGAGGAAGAGGACACAGAGACACATGGTGGGGAAAGGCTTGTGAAATGGAAGCAGAAACCGGAGTTATGCTGCCACAAGCCAAGGAACACCTGGAGCTACCAGAAGCTGGAAAAGACCAGGGGAGGTTCCTCCCTAGAGTCTTTGGAGGAACTGTGGTCCTGATGCACCTTGATTTTGTATTTGTGGCCCCCAGAACTGTGAGAGAATACACTTCTATTGTTTTAGGCTACCCAGTTTGTCAGTTTGTGATAAGTTGCCATGGCGGCCCCAGGAAACCAAAACTCTTACCACGGCATGCAAATGTCTTCATGGCCTAACCACTGTTTATTGCCACAGGCTCATTTTATGATTCATGTCCTATTTTCCAGAACCTCTAAACTACTTACGGATCTCTAAATATATCATGCATGTTTTACTTCCAGTTGTTTGTTCCCTTTGCCCATTCTCTCTGGAAGATGTCAACAACCCTTCTTAGTGTGGCCATTTCCTCCTTCAGTAGTACTTTAATGTTACCTTCTCTGGAAAGTCCTTGTGGACCCATTAAAGATATATGAGGTTACAATGGATTCTTAGAGTATCTTGTGTCTATCTCATCACAACACAATATTATAATTCCCTGTTTACTCTTATTGTCCTCTAGACTGATTGGCTCTGTAGAACAAAGACTGTGCCTTTAACATCATTCTAATTTCTGTGCCTATCACAATGAAAGTCATCTAGAGATGACTCTATAAATATTTGTTAAATGAATTGATGACACAGAAAGATTAGGCACACACACACACCCCACCCCCCACCCCGCCAGGGAAGAAACTTACGTTGAGTAGTAACAGTGCGTCGATACCTTCAAGTGAAGGCAAGCTTTAAATGTATAAACACATCATAGTATGTCCAATTGAATGTGGTCATACATATAAGAGCAAAAAAAAAAAACCTATTTTATGTGAATAGCAGTAGAGGAAATGGGTGGGAAGCTGAAGATGCAAATTTCAGGTAATTTCAACAGGTATCAAATAGTATATGCAGGAACCATATTCACTCAGTGGTTTTCAGTGTCACCATGGTATCAATGGATAGCCATAGGAATTATTAAAAAGCTATTGTAAGAATATATTCTATAATTATAAAAATCGTTCCAAAATCTAATGAACTTACTTGTGAAGTAATGTACATTCTCCTGCAGGGGAAAAAAGGTCGGGATAAATAACTTTAAGGATATTTATATACGTGCTGTACAGCAAGAGATTGGATTAGAAGAAAAACCAGTAATTTTACTCTAGTTTTCATCAAGGGACACAAGCAAATTCATTATTGATTCCTATACTCAGCAATACCGAAGAACACTTTTTCTTGAAGCGTTACTGCTCTATACACTTTGAAATTCTTTTACCACTGGTGATAACACAGTAATAAGAATTAGGGCAATTTAGTTGAATGGTTCAGTATATTGTACTGTCATGAAGTATAGATATGCTGAAGTGAGACAATCCCAAAATATGAAATCAACTTAGTTATAGTCATCTTTCATTATTGAATTGTTTTGTTAATTATTGGATTACCTCATATTCTCACTTACATACTGAATTTGTGTTTTGATTTACTTGTTTATCCTGTTATAATAGATAATAATACTCAGAAATAATAAAATCTGGCATTAGTCTCTTTTTTTATCTAACAGGCATGTTTCTCTGCTATCAACTTTCTTAAAATTATTATCTTTTCATCCTCAAAAATCACTGAGTGCCCCAGGAGTCTGTTAATGGTATAAAGAATAAAATATCTTCTTGTAATTTATGTCATTGGATATAAATATAAATTGAAAATAACCTTTCAATGCATGAGAGAAGCGTCTTGGAACATTTGTTTTCAAGTACCTGATCAGTAAAAATAGTATTTGGAATTAAAATCTGAGTCAATAAAACAGCATTTTCTGCTAAGTACACACACACACACACACATGCGTGCATACACACACATATACACATAATTTCTCAGCAGGCTGTAGCCAAGGGGGCAACAGAATTCAACTGCAGTGAGGCTAATAGGGGCATCAGATACTAAAATAGAATTAAATTGAGAGTCAGGAATTAAACTTAACAGAGAGATTAATAATTCAGCTGGAAACATAGAAACACACATGGTTTCAGCCTTTGCTTGGTGATTGAAAGAAACACACATGGTTTCAGCCTTTGCTTGGTGATTGTGTCATCTGAAAAGTAAATAAATAATGTGAAATGAAATCAATCACACTGTAGACCTTGATACTTTTGGAAGTAGAATACTGACTGCCTGCCAGAGTCCCTGAAGTTAATCCTGTGCCCCGTGGAAGGCTGCTTTCACCAGTTTTTCCTTACGCTGATTTATTGATTGGTCATAGCTGGCAAGCATTAGAGAAAGAAAGAAACTTACTGGCATCATATAATAATGTATATATTACATATCATATATACACAATATATTAAATATATTTATATACACACATTTAAATAGATGCATTATAATTTTACATATTTATTAAGTATAGAATGATATATCCATACCTATAGACAAGTGTAATGATTAATTTAGGGTTACTAGCATATCTATCACATTTATTATTTTTTGTGTTAGGAACATTCAAAATTATCTCTTCTAGGTGTTTGAAAATAGACAATAAATTATTGTTAACTATAGTCATCCTATAGTGCTGTAGAAAACTAGAACTTATTCCTCCTATCTAGCTGTAATTTTGTATTTATTTGCTGTCCTCTCCTTACTTTCTCTCCCTTCTCTTCTTCACAGCCTCTGGTAGTCAGTATTCTACTCTCTACTTCTCCAAGCAAAACTCTTTTAGCACCCATGTATGAGTGAGAAAATGTGGCATTTGTCTTTCTGTGCCTGCCTTATTTTACTTAACTATGTTCCCCAGCCTTATTCATGTTGCTGTGAGTGACTGGATTTTATTACTTGTTATGACTGAATAGTATTCCATTATATATAATCCAATATATAATATATATTAATATACATATAATATACATTTATATATTATATATAAATATATTCTATGTAATATATAATAAATAGGAATATATATAATATTATATATATATCCCATTTTCTTTATCCATGTGTCCATTGATTGACACTATATCTTAGCTATTGTGAATAGTGCTGCAATAAACATGGGATTGCATATTTCTTGTTGATATACTGATTTTATTCCCTTTGAATAAATATCCAGTAGTGAGATTGCTGAATCATAGGGTAGTTCTATTTTTAGTTTTTTGAGGAATCACCATACCGTTTCCATTAAGATTATACTAATTTACATTCTCATCAGCAACATATAAAAGCTTCTTTTTCTCAGCATGCTTGTTAACATTTGTTATTTTCTGTATTTTTTAAAATAGCCGTTCTAACTGAGGTGAGGTGATATCATATTATGGTTTTGCTTTGCATTTGCATTTCCCCAATGATTAATGATGTTTAACATTTTTTAATATACCTGTAGGCCATTTGCATTTCTTGTTTTTGAGAAATAAATATTCAGCTAATTTGCTCACTTTTAATCAGATTTTTGATGTGTTTGAATTCCTTGTATATTCTAGATATTAATCCCTTGACAGATGAATACTTTGCAAATAATTTCTCCCATTCTGTACATTGTCTCTTCACTCTGTTGACTGTTTCTTTTGCTGTAAGAAATATGTTAAAACCAAAAACAAACACTACCCATCTTATTTGTATGATTCTATTTCTCCTAGTCAAAATGGTAGTCAGGAAGGAGAGGCAGAGCTAGATGGCAGAATAGAAAGTTCAACCAACTGTGCACCCCCCATGCAAGGACACCAAGTTACCAACCATCTACACAGAAAAAATACCTGCATAAGAACCAAAAATCAGGTGAGCATTCGTAGTACCTGGTTTTAAATTCATATGGTAAGAAAGGCACTGAAGAGATAGAAAAAACAGTCCTGAGTCGTCGATGCCACTCCTGCCCCAGCCTTGGCAGTGGTGGACTGGTGCCGAGAGCTTCTTGTGGCACTGGGGAAGGGAAAACACCACAATTATGAGGCATTAAACTCAGTGCTGTTCTGTTAGAACAAAAAGGAGAACCAAACAAAACTCAGCTGAGCCTGCCCACAGAGGAAGCATTTAAACCAGCCCTAGCTAGAGGGGAGTCTCAAATCCCAGTGGTCCAAACTTGAGTGCCCACAAACCTCACCAGCGAGAGCCAATGTGTTCTCAATCTCTAAGTAAACTTGACAGGCGGTCTAGGCCATAAGAACTGGAACCCTTAGGCAAGACCAGAGTCGGTGAACCTGGGGGCACACAACATACTGATACACTGGCTGGGGCAGCGAGGAGTGCTGGCATCACCCATGTCCTAACCTCAGGGTGCACAGCTCATGGCTCCAAAAGAGACCCCTTCCTTCTACTTTAAGAAAGGAGAGGGAAGAGTGAGAAGAACTTTTTCTTGCATGTTGGATACCAGCTCAGCCACAGCAGGATAGGGAACTGGTCAGAATCATGAGGCACTAGCTCCCAGATGACATTTCTAGACACATCTTGGGCCAGAATGAAACCCGCCAGCTTGAAGAAAAGGAAACAACCCTGCCAGCATCTATCACCTGCTAACTGATGAGCCCTTGGGTCCTGAAAAACAAACAGCGATACCCAGGTACTTCATCAAAGGCCTTGGTGAGCCTCTGAGACTTGGCTGGCTTCAGGTGAGACTCAGCACATTATCAGCTATGGTGGTTACAGGGCAAAACTCTTCCTGCTTCAGAAGAGGGAAGAGTAAAGGAGACTTTGTCTTGCACCTTAGGTGTCAACATTGCCGCAGGAGGGTAGAGCACCACCTGGATTCTTGAGGTCACTGATTCTAGAACTTCACTCTTGGACAGCATTTCTAGACCTGCCCTGGAGCAGAGGGGAGACCACTGAGCTGAAGGGTGAGCCCCAGGCCAGGCAACATTCACCAAAAGCTGACTTAAGAGAACTTGAGCCTTAAGGGAACATCGGTGGTAGTCTAGCAGGATTTCTTATGGCCAGGAGTGGTCATGGCTACCAGGTGAGGTACCACTGCCTTTGGAAAGGAGAGAAAAGAGTAGAAGGACTATGTCTTGTGCTTTGAGTGCCAGCTCAGCCACAATACAATAGAACAGCAAGTAGATTTCTAAGATTTTGACTCTAATCCCTGACTCCCAGGTGGCACTTCTGGATCCACTCAGGGCCTCAGGGGAACTTGCCACCATGAAGGGAAGGACATAGGCCTGGCTGGCTTTGCCACCTGCTAATTGTAGAGCCATGGGGCCTTGAGTGAACATAGGCAGTAGCCAGGAATTGGTTACAGCAGGCCTTAGGCAAGACTGCGTTGTCCTGGCTTCAGGACTGACGCAATGCAGTCATAGTGGTGGTGGTCACAAGGGTGATTTTGTCACTCCACCACCAGACTTAAGTGGCTCAGAACAAACAGAGAGACTCTGCATGTTTGGGAGAATGTAAGGGAAGAGAACAAGAGTCTCTGACTGGTAATACAGAGAATTATCTGGGAACTTGTCCAAGACCATCAAGGCAGTACCTCTATGTGTCTGCAAGAACCACAGTGCTACTGGGCTTGAGGTATTGCCTAGAGCAGAAACAACTTAGATCATAGCTCCCAAGTCCTTTCAAGTATCTGGAAAGCCTTCCCAAGAGGGACATCTACAAATAGGCCAAGACAGTGAAGACTACCATAAATACATAACTCTTCAATGCTCAGAAACTGAAGAACAACTACTAGCATCATTAACATCTAGGAAAACATGGCCTTACCAAAGGAACTGAATAAGGCATCAGGAAACAATCCTTGAGAAACAGAGATATGTGACCATTCAGACAGAGAATTCAAAATAGCTGTGTTGAGGAAACCCAAAGAAATTTAGGATGACAAAAATAGAGAAGGAATTCATAATTCTATCAGAAAAATTTAACAAAAAGATTAAAATAAGTAAAAAGAATCAAGCAGAAATTCTGGAGCTGAAAAATAATGTAATTGGCATACTGAAGAATGCCTCAGAGATCTTTAACAACAGAATGGATCAAGCAGAAGAAAGAATTAATGAGTTGGAAGACAGACTACTTGGAAATACACAGTGAGAGGAAATTAAAAAAAGAGTAAAAATCAATTCAGCATGCCTACAGGATCTAGCCAATAGCCTCAAAATGGCAAATCTAAGGGTTATTGGTCTTAAAAAGGAGGTAGAGAAATAAATAGGGGTAGAAAGTTTATTCAAAGTGATAATAACAGAGACCTTACCAAATCTAGAGAAAGATATCAATATCCAAGGACAAGAAATTTATAGAACTCCAAGCATATTTAACATAAAGAAGACTCACTCAAGGCATTTAATAATCAAACTCCCAAGGGTCAAAGATAGAGAATCATTTCTTTATCTCTGGATAAAGAAGAGCAAGACAAGCAGCAAGATAAAAAGAAAAGAATAGCGTAGAATGGAGCTCCACTATGTTTGGCAGCAGACTTTTCAATGGAAACCTTACAGACCAGGAGAGACTGACATGACATATTTAAAGAGATGAAGGAAAAAGATATTTTACCCTAGAATAGCATATCCAGTAAAAATATCTTTCAAACATGAAGGAGAAATAAAGAATTTTCCAGGTATACAAAACCTGAGGTATTTCATCAATACCAGACCTGTCCTTCAAGAAATACTAAAGGGAGTACTTCGATCAGAAAGAAATGGTCATTAATGCACAATAACTAATCACCTGAAGGTACAAAACTTACTGGCAATAGTAAGTACGCAAAAAACACAAAATATTATAACATTGTAACTGTGGTGGGTAAACTATTCTTATCCTAATTAAAAAGACTAAATTATGACCCAATCAAAAATAATAACTACAACAACCTTTCAAGCCATACTCAGTATAATAAGATAGAAACAACAAAAAATAAAAAAGCTGGCAGGGGGAAGTTAGGGTGAGTTTTTACTAGTGTTTATTTATTTATTTTTTGCTTATTTGTTTATGCAAATAGTGTTAAGTTGTTATCAAGTTAAAATAATGGGTTATGATAGCATCTGCAAACCTCATGGTAACCTCAATCCAAAAAACATACAATAGATACACAAAATATAAAAATCAAGAAACTAAATCATATCACCAGAGAAAATCATCTTTACTAGAGGAAGACAGGAATAAAAGGAAGAATGAAGAGAATACCACAAAATAACCAGAAAACAAATAACAAAATGACAGGAATATGTCCTTACTTATCAGTAATAATATTGAATGTTAGTGGACTAAATTCTGCAATCCAAAGACATAGACTGGCAGAATGGACGGAAAAACAAGACCCATTGATCTCTTGCCTACAAGTAACACACTTCACCTATGAAGACACACATAGACCAAAAATAAAGAAATGGGAAAAGATATTCCATGCCAATGGAAATGAAAAAGTATCAGGAATCACTATACTTACATTAAAAAAAAGAGATTTCAAGGCAAAAACTATAAAAAGACACAAGGAAGGTTACTGTATTATGATAAAGGGGTCAATTCAGCAAGAGGATATAGCAATTTTACATGTATATGCACCCAACACTGGAGCACGCAAATATGAAAAGGAAATATTATTAGAGCTACAGAAAGAGATAGGTCCCAGTACAAAATAGCTGGAAGTTTCAACATCCCACTTTCAGCTTTGGACAGATCTTCCAGACAGAAAATCAGTAAAGAAACACCACCTTTAATCTGCACTATAGACCAAATGGATCTAATATATACTTAGAGAACATTTCATTCAAGAGATGTGGAATACACATTTTTTTCTTCAGCACATGGATCATTTTCCAGAATAGAATATATTGTAGGTCACAAAACAAGTCTTAAAACATTAAAAAAATGAAATATCAGACAAGATTGGATGTTTTCAGGATGGTATGGTCATAGACAAAAAGACTGAAATTATATCAACCATCTTCTCTAATCACACTGGAATAAAACAAGAAATTAATAACGAGAGGAATTTTGGAAACTGTACATATACATGGAAATTAAACAATATACCTCTGAATGATCAGTAGGTCAGTGGAATAATTGAGAAGGAAACTGAAAAACATCTTGAAACAAATGATAATTGAAACACTTCATACCAAAACCTATGAGACACAGCAAAAGCAGTACTAAGAGGGAAGTTTACATCTGTAAGTGCCTACATCAAAAAGATGAAAAACTTCAAATAAGCAATGTAATGATGCATCTTACAATACTAGAACAGATACTAGAACAATACTAGAATACAGACCGGAAATAAATGAAATTAAAATGAAAAAATTACAAAAGATCAATGAAATAAAAAAAAAATTTTTTTTGAAAAGTTAAACAAAA
The DNA here is from genome assembly GCF_000001405.40 of Homo sapiens. Taxonomy (NCBI): domain Eukaryota; kingdom Metazoa; phylum Chordata; class Mammalia; order Primates; family Hominidae; genus Homo; species Homo sapiens. The sequence goes on from NC_000002.12 coordinate 34,858,131, forward strand.
GTGACAAATCTTTAGCTGGACTAAGAAAAAAGGATAAAAAGATCCAAATAAACAGAATCAGAAATGACAAAGGAGACATTAAAACCAATTGTAGAAATTCAAAGCATCATTAGTGGGTGCTATGAGCAACTCTATACCAATAAACTGGAAAATCTAGAAGAAACGGACAAATTTTTTTTTTTTTTTTTTTTTTGAGGCAGAGTCTCACTCTGTCACCCAGGCTGGAGTGCAGTGGCACTGTCTCAGCTCACTGCAAGCTCTGCCTCCCAGGTTCACGTCATTCTCCTGCCTTAGCCTCCCAAGTGGCTGGGCCTACAGGCGCCCACCACCACGCCCAGCTAATCTTTTTTGTATTTTTAGTAGAGACAGGATTTCACCGTGTTAGCCAGGATGGTCTCTATCTCCTGACCTCGTGATCCGCCTGCCTCGGCCTCCCAAAGTGCTGGGATTACAGGCATGAGCCACCGCGCCCGGCCAAAATGCACAAATTTTTAGACACATACAACCTATCAAGATTGAACCAGAAAGAAATCCAAAACCTGAAGGGTTCATAACAGATAATTAGACTGAAGCCATAATTTAAAAAAAAAATGTCTTTTTATAGGAAAGCCCAGGACCTGACAACTTCACTACTAATTTCTACCAAACATTTAAAGAACTAATACCAATTCTACTCAAACTATTCTGAAAAATAGAGGAAGAGGGAATACTTCCAAACTCATTTTACAAAGTCAGTATTACATTGATACCAAAACCAGACAAAGACCCATTAAAAAAAGAAACTAAAGACCACTATATCTGATGAATATTGATGTGAAAATCCTTAACAAAATACTAGCAAACTGAATTCAACAATACATTAGAAAGATCATTCATCATGACCAAGTGGCATTTATCTATAGGATGCAAGGATGGTTCAACATATGAAAATAAATCAATGGGAATATCGTATCGATATAATGAAAGATAAAAACAATATGATCATTTCAATTGATACTGAAAAAGCATATGATAAAATTCAACATCTCTTCATGATAAAAACTCTCAAAAAACTGAATACAGAAGGAACACACCTCAACATAGTAAAAGCCATATATGACAGACCCGCAGCTAGTATCATACTGAATGGGGAAAATCTGAAAGCCTCTCCTCTAAGATCTGGAACACGACATGGATACCAACTGTCACCACTATTATTCAACGTAGTGCTGGAAATTTTAGTCTGAGCGATCAGACAAGAGAAAGATAAAAAAAAGCATCCAAAATGGAATGGAAGAAGTCAAATTATTTTTGTTTGCTGTTGTTATGAATTTATACTTGGAAAAACCTAAAGACTACAGGAAAGCTATTAGAATTGATAAATTAAGTACAGTTGCATGATAAAAAATCATCAGTAGATATAGAAATCAGTAGTATTTACATATGCCAACAGTGACTATTGTGAAAAAGAAATCAAAATGAGTAATCGCATTTACAGTAGCCACACATGAAATTAAATACCTAGGAACTGACCAAAGAAGCAAAAGATCTCTGTAATAAAAAGTATAAAACATTGATGAAATAATTTGAAGAGGACACAAATATTGGAAGAATACTCCATGTTTATGCATTGGAAAAATCAATATTGTTAAAATGTTCTTATTACCCAAAGCAATCTACAGATTCAATGCAATCCCTATCAAAATAGCAATAACATTCTTCATGAGGAAAAAAAAATTCTAAAGTTTATATGAAATAACAAAAGACCAAGAATAGCCAGAGCTATCCTAAGCAAAAAAAAAAAAAAACAAAACTGGAGGAATCACATTACCTGACTTCAAATTATACTACAGAGCAATACTAACCCAAACAGCATGGTACCTGTATAAAAACAGATACAAAGACCAATGGACATAATACAGAACCCAGATGCAAATTCACACACCTACAGTGAACTCATTTCTGACAAAGGTGCCAAGAACCTACACTGGAGGAAAGATTGTTTCTTCAATAAACGGTGCTGGGAAAACTAGATGTGTATATGCAGAAGAATGAAACTAGACCCTTATCTCTCACCATATACAAATATCAAATCAAAATTAATTAATAACTTTAATACCTGAAACTATGAAACTACTACAAGAAAACTTTAGAGAAAATCACCAGGACATCAATCTTGGGTCTTGGCAAAAGTTTCTTGAGCAATAACCCACAAACACAGGCAACTAAAGAAAAAATGGACAAATGGGATCACATCAAGTTGAAAAGCTTCTGCACAGCAAAGGAAACAATCAACAAAGTGAAGAGACCACCCACACAATGGGAGAAAACATTTGCAAACTACCAATCTCACAAAGGGTTAATAACCAGAATGTGTAAGTAGCTCAAACAACTATGGGAAAACATTGAATAATTTAATTAAAAATGGACAAAAGATTTGAGTAGACATTTCTCAAAAGAAGACATACAAATGATAATCAGGCATATGAAAAGGTGGTTAACATAATTGATCATCAGATAAATGTGAATCAAAATTACAATGAGATAACATCTCACCCCGGTTAAAATGACTCACATCCAAAAGACAGACAATAAAAAATGCTGGTGAGGATGTGGAGAAAAGTAGACACTTGTACACTTTTGGTGGGAATGTAAATTAGTATAACCACTATGGAGAACATTTGAGGGTTCCTCCAAAAACTAAAAGTTGAGCTACTGTATAATCCAGGAATCCCACTCTTGGGTATATACCCAAAAAGAAAGGAAATCAGTATACTGAAGAGATATCTACACTCCTATGTTTGTTGCAGCACTGTTCACAATAGCCAAGATCTGGAGGCAACCTAAGTGTCCATTAACAGATGAATAAAGAAAATGTGGTACATATACACAATGGAATACAATATAGCCATAAAAAAGAATAAGATCCAGTCATTTGCAACAACATGGATGGAAGTGGTGATCATTATATTAAGTGAAATAAGACTGGCACAGGTAGACAAACATCACATGTTCTCACTTATTTATGGGATCTAAAAATCAAAACAATTGAACACATGGACACAGAGAGTTAAATGACAGCTACTTATTTGTGGGATCTAAAAATCAAAAGAATTGAACACATGGACACAGAGAGTTAAAGGACAGCTACCAGAATCCTCAAAGAATGGGTTGTTGAGGGGGAAGGTGTGAACGGTTAGTGGGTTAAAAGAAATAGAAAGAATGAATAAGACCTAGTATTTGATAGCACAACAGGGTGACCATAGTCAATAATAACTGTACATTTTAAAATATTAGGTTGGTGCAAATGTTATTATCGTTTTGGCATTTTAAAGTAATTGCAAAAACCATAATTTCTTTTGCACCTACCTAATAAGTTGAAGGGTGTAATTGGATTGTTTGCAATTTAATGGATAAATGCTTGAGGGGATGGACACCCCATTCTTCATGATGTACTATGTCGCATTGCATGCTTGTATCAAAACATATCAGGTATCCGATAAATATATACACCTAGTATGTACCCACAAAAATTGAAAAATAAATTTAAAAAATTTTTAAAAAAAGAAAAAAAATGTGGTGATTAGTTTTTTCTGCCTATGGTTACACCAGATTTCATTTTCTTCCTATGATATCAGTAGGAAAATTAGTTGCAAACCAGTACAGACTGAATGAGCTGACAGAATGTAATATACAAGTTTAAAATGTATAAACAAATCCATAAAAGCTACTATATAAAATGTGTAGCCACAAGTTGAATAATATGCATTAAGTTTATAAGGCTGTAAGAAAAGAAATGAGTAGTCTATGCAGGCAAGCCAGAATACTTCAGAATTCTCTTGTCAACTCCCACCAATCACACCCCAGCATTTCATAGTCACTGTTTCCACAGTACATTATACATTGACCCACCTTTGAAGGTGTATTATTTTTCTAGGGCTCCCATAACAAAGTACCGTAGACTGGATGGCTTAAGAGACAAATTTATTTTCTCACATTTCTGAAGGCTAGAAGTCCAAGATTATTGTATTGGCAGCTTGATTTCCTCTGAGGCCGCTCCTTGGCTTATAGATGGCCATCTTCTTCCTGTGTCTTCTCATGGTCTTTCCTTTATAATTGTATGTGTCCAAATTTCCTCTTCTTATAAGACACCAGTCATATTGGATTAGAGACCACCCTAATGATTTTATCATAACTTAAGTACCACTTTAAAGACCTATTTCCAATTGCAGACATGTTCTTAATTGCCAAGGTTTAGTACTTCCACAAACGAATTGAAGGGACACAATTCAGTCCATAACAGAGGGTTTTGGATTTGTTCAGGTAGAAAACTATCTTTTAACATCTTAATAGGAGTCCAGTTTCCCTGTCCCTCAAACTCCTCATTCTTGAACAGCTAAGTGTGTTGGAGTGATGTGAGGGTGTTTTGCACATGAGGTAATGATAGGAAGATGAATTATTCTTCCTGGCATGAGCATCATTAAGTCTTACTGGACAGTTAATGAGTTCAGTGCTAGATGCTGATGACTTTATACCTTTGTAAGTAATAGAAGAGAAAAAAAAATTAGTGTATTCCATGGATTCATGGGTACTCTATGGGCATACAAATACAATTCTCTTACAAAGCTGAGGTGTTTATTTTATTTTATTTTTGTCCATAGACATTCACATACCTCATATAGACCCCTCTAGTGTATAATATTAGCCAAAGAGTTTTAACTCCAAAAGCAACAGATGGGTCAACACTAGAAATTCTGAAGTACAAAATGGGGAGGTGTCAAATACATCATAATGTATACACAGCTATGACAAAGATGTATCTCAGTATTTTCCTCTTTTCACTATACACCTGAAAGAATGAGTTTCTGTGATCCACATAGACTTGAGTCAGTTTATTCTCTTGAGACCAAGTTAAAGCATTACTTAACTTTTTCATATAGTCTCTCAACTTTGGGAGGATATTAAAGTCCCTAAGTTATTACTAATCCCTTTATATTTTCTAGGTTAATACAGGACTGTGAAAAAGCTGTGGTTGTTTTTATAGAGGGTGGCTGTAGAACTTAAAAATTATTAAGTTGTATCTAGTTATTTTCCAGTGGCAAAATACAATGTAACAGCCTAAGCAAAATTATTAGGTACACATAGAAGCAGTGCAGGTAAGCAGAATTCTTGAGTACCTATTATGACCAGGAACATAACTAGGTATTTGCATATAGTATCTTAATCTTCACAATAACCTTATAGGTAAATGTTATAATAAGCATTTACAGATGGAGAAAGAGCTAACAGCAGTAACTAAACAATATGCTCCAAGTCACTATATAGTAAGGACCAGAAATTGAACAACTCTACTCTTCTCAAAATCCATGCTCCTATCATTACACATTAAGACTGCTTTTGCTAGTAAAACCATCATCCAGTTCAGTATACTGTGGTTCCTCAAACAACTGGTTCCATGGGACTGGTGTAACTGCATATTAATTTCTTCTTGTCTTCTTCCCTTTTCCAGGTGTTGTATTATTGTTAGGGAATTCTGGTAACCACGATGGGGGTAATGCCAACATGTCTTATTTTTTATTTCATATCAAACACTTTATCAAGAAAATAACACATTTAAACTCAAATGTAATTCAGCATAGCCATCAGACAATGACTTTTACTAATGCTCAATTTTTTTTTTTTTTTAAACTCGTTTTCCTCCTTGTCACCCAGGCTAGAGTGCAATGGTGCGATCTCGGCTCACGCAACCGTTGCCTCCTGGGTTCAAGCAATTCTCCTGCCTCAGCCTCCCGTGTAGCTGGGGTTATAAGCATGTGCCCACACTCCTGGCTAATTTTTTGTATTTTTAGTAGAAACAGGGTTTCACCGTGTCGGCCAGGCTAGTCTCAAACTTCTGACTTCAAGTGATCCGCCAGCCTGCTCAAGTTCTTCTACCATTCATTATTCAGGTATCTGGCACACATCCACATGCACGCACATACACACACACAGAGACACATGCACACTATCTCTTCACATAAGACAAACTTTCAAATCAATTTAATTCTAGCACTGAAAATAGTAATAATTAGTTTCATATAGGTCTGTGAGTGTTTAAAAATTTTCCTAAATACTCCCTGGCTCCACCTGGCAGAGCAGTCCCTAAGTGCCAGGCTACAGTTTTCTATGTCAGGAAATGACTTAAAACCAAAGCCAAGAGTATAACTACCCGCTCCGGATTAAAAGTCATTCATTTGTTTTAATATTGTATACATTTACCCATATTCTTAGATTCTGAAGTATATTCTCCAATATCCAAGTTGGCTTTCCATTTCCTTCATCATTTCCCAGTTTATATGTGTCTAGCTTGAACTTCGGGCCAGATCTGTATATTTGGAGTCACTACTGACTGTTTCTCTTCTCTTAACTCATTAACTTATTTATTTATAAATATTTATTAATCAACTGAAATGTGTTTGGGTGTTTTTTAGTTGCTGGGGTAGAGTACTCTAAAAAGACAAAGTTGCTGTTTTTATGTAGCTTATACGTAATTAGGATGTACAGATAAAAATAATGGTATGGATGTATAAATCTAGGTAGAAATTCAAACTTTAAAGATAAATTAAAGAGTAAAAGGAGATAAAGATATATGAGCCCTAATAATTTGTTAGGGTGGCAGGGAATGTACTCCTAGGGAGCTGATATTTGAACAAAGACCTGAATGGAGTGAGGAAGAAAACTTCTAGATTATTTGGAGGGAGAGTTTCTAGTCAAAAAGGCAACAAGTGCACATGCCCTAAGGCGGTAGCTTTTTGGGGTTCCTTGAAGAACAGCAAAGAAGATGATGTGACTGGAACATTAAGAGCAAAGGAAAACATGGTAGGAATGTGAATACACAAAGTTGTAGCGGTATCCAGAGGCTAGAATATGTAGCCTTTGTGAGTTATGGAAAAACATTTAGATTTTGCTTTCTGTGCTATGAGAAGCCACTAGAAGTGTTTGATTTACTTGGAATCATCCGATCTGATCATGCTTTAAAAGATTACTCTGGCTGCTGTTACTCTGACTGCAGTAAGTAGTGTGGACTGAGAGGTCAAAGCAGCAACAGGAAAAGCAATGAAGGGGTCATATCTGTATGTATACCATAGCATCATGTTGTAAACCTCAAATATACACAATAAATTTTATTTTACTTTTAGTAAGAGGCTGGCATAGCAATCTGGGTGAAATATAGTGGTGACTTAAAATGTAACAGGAACACTGCTGGTGGTAATAAGAGGTCAAATTCTGGATATAATTTACACACACATATTTAGTGTCAATAGAACTTACTAATGGAAAATCAAGAAAAATCTTCAGGTTTGGTATTTGAATTATAACATTGACAGAGATGATGGTGATAGCAAAAACAACATCTTTGGGAGGGTAATGAAGAGCTCATGTTATATTTCAGATATGTACTAGGAATCCTAGTGGATATAACAATTAAGTAGTAATATATGGAAGTATGAAATACAGGAGAAAATTTATGGCTAAACTTGTCATAAATAGGGAAATAGTACCTTTACAGTTATGACCTTAGATGAGACCAAGAAGAGAGGAAATGTAGATCCAGAAAGAACAAAGTTTGAGAATTGAGCCCTAGAACTATCCAATTTTTATAGATTAGACAGAGTTTTCTACAAGGAAAACTGGGAAGGAGTGGCCAAGGCAGTATGTGGAAAATCAGGAGAGTGAAATAACTTAGAAGTCAAGTGAAAAAAGTGATTCGAGTTAAAGGACATGCTAAATGATGCCAAATGTTACTGAGAATGTAAGATGATAACCTAGAATGTGGAAATGTGGAGGCATTTGGTATTATTTGCAATAGCAATTCCAAAGGATGAACAGAGACACGATGCTGGTTGGAGGGAGTTCAAGCAATAATAGGAGAAGAATAAAAATAACAAATATAGACACTTTCTTTGAAGGAAACAGAGAAATGAAATTGTGCATGAAGAAAAATATAATATATGGGGGTGTGTGCACACATGTGCTTATAAACAATCTTTCTCATTGTTTATACACACAATAATTATACACAATGAGAAAGATACAGTAGATACTGAATTAAATTATAGATTCTGAAGAAAGAGGTAATTTTATTATCCACATCCTTACTAGGATCCAGTATACAAAGGAGGGATTTCTTGGGATCAAACAGACGTTATTTGTCATAACTGGGGAGCAGATACAGTAGATGGATTGAAATACAGTAATCTAGGAAGTAGACATGGTCATGGAAATATGTTTCAATTTTCTTCACTTTGCTTTTTTTCCCCCTGGTAAAATGAAAATCAAGGTCATAAACTGAAATGTGAACTAGTTGCCTGGGACAGGAGGAGAATGGATTGACAAGAGGAATCTAATAGGAGTCTTGGGCAGCACAAAGTCCCCACTTGTCATTGAAAACATTGATTTGTAAATGAAGTCACCAGCTTTTCTCTAGTTACATGAGACTGTTGGGTTCACTTATGGAGTAGGCAAAGAATAAACATGTTCTGCCTCGACAGCAGAATATTTTGGAGGGGCAAAGGACCAAGACAGTGGAGTATGAATGAAAATGCATTAGTATAGAGATGAATCATGGAAACAGAGTGGATACAGATGAAATTGAGGAGGTAAAGAGAATGATGGGTAGTGAAATGTTGGTAGGGTCAAGGAATCTTAAATACTGATAGGACTGGGGATTGTGATTCTAGACTGCTAAGTTAGAAAGACAGGTCATACTGTAAAAGCAGACCCATGAAGTGAGTATTATGAGGTACAATAGTAATTGGGAAAAATAGTGTTCAGTAAATAATCCTGAGAATGAGCAATTGAGAAGGGATGGAAGATAAAAGCATCAGTAGTGGGGAGAAAAAGGATGAGAAACACAGTGAGATGGATGAATTATTTTAAAACACCAGCAATAGTGGCCAACATCAGAGTGGAGAGAGAGCAGTAAGCCAAGTGCAAAAAAATCTTCCATGAAAGAGTATATGCCCAGGAAAAAGGAAGTGCCTTCAAAGGAACATAGATGAAGTATCTGATGACAGATAATTTAATTTTTTTATTATTTTTTTGTTTTAGGGATGAGGCAATGAGAAATGAGAAAAAAAGTTCTCTACAGATCCACTATAGTTGTGTTGCTGAGGAAACACAAGCAGCACCATGAGAGGCCTATTGGGGATGTAGTAGTATCTTCAGCCAACACCAACATTACATTCAGAGCAAAAATAAAATGAAGGGGAACTTCAGAGAGGCAGTGGGTATAAGAGGTTTTGCTGATAATAAACAGTGTGCTCTGGAGAGCACAGTGTAAAGAATAAGACCATGAGTCCAGCAATGGTTAGTACACTCTAATGGATATGGAAACCTCTGTGATATGGGATAGCTAAAAAAAAAAAAACAAAACAAACAAACAAACAAAAATCAGGCTTCTAGTGGTGACTTGGTAATCAAGGAATCAGTCAGTATTAATAGTCTCTAAAAGAAAAATAGACAATCAGTTATTACATTAGTTATATTTCTTGGGACTGCTAGGTGGTTTAGAGACTTCAGGAAGGTCAGAGTTCTATGGGTCTCCCTTGAAATCCTGCTGAGAGCAAGACTGAGACAGGTAGAGATGCAATCTAATCAGAAATACTTGTCCTTGGAACAGTTCCTTCCCCCTCCCATTCTGCTACCATAACCCGGGAAAATGTGTCTCCTTTTCTTTTTTATTTTTGTGAATATAGTGCCTATGTCAGAAATGATTAAAGTATATGGCTTACACTTTAACCAGAACAATAGATTATAAGCTCTAGAGGTTTCTATTAGATAATCCAATCATAGATTTACTGCAATTTGACACCTGCCAAATGCTTGCCTAAGACATATGATATTTGAGAGGAAGAATAGCTGGATAGAGAGACTGTGTATCCATGAGGGTCTCTCTTAAGTCACTATCCTTATAATTTAGATCACTAGAATGCAACAGAGCCTAACACATAATTATCTCAGCTTCTCACTGAGCTGTGATTTAGTAATATGCCTTCTCCTTTATAAAGATTCGATAGTAGATGCATGCATTTGAAAATTTCTGTCTTTTAGGAAACCATAGATTATCCATTGTGTTAATTGCTGTCTCTTAAGCAGAGACTTTTGCTATGAATTCATTTTTATCTTTATTTCAAGAAAATAATTGGACTCTATAAAGGAATTTTTGCTAGATGTCTGGCATTTTGCCAGAGGAAAAAAAATTATTTAACGACTCACATTTCCCTCTTTTTCTAGATCTTGGGAGGCCTGGGTCCTAGAAAGCTTAGGATCCTATGCAAAACCCTACTCTAACTCATTTCAAGTGTCTGGAAATGTAGTACATGCCGTGGATGTACGTCAGGTATTCTCTTCTGAACCTTAACTATACTATTAAACTTTATGACAGAATTCAGACTATCTCAAGTTCTTTAAGAAGTAGACTAAGAACAAATACTTAGAATATATAAAATATATCTATTCCATCAATTTTACTCTATGTTAAGAAAAACTCATATTGCTTTTTATGTTATATAAACATAGATTTTCTATGTTCCCAGATAAATCTGAAAAAAAAATCGTATGCATTTATGAGAATGCATCGATCTTAGAGTATGAGGAAAGCGGATAAAATGATGTTAATAATACTCTTAATAGCAGATTCAATTAGTCTATTTTTTTGTGTGTACTTTTAAATACCTTCTTTAGTCATGACAACTTTACAATTTATGATTGTTATTAACCGTGGCAGCTTAGAGAGAGTAATTAAAATTTCTGCTCTCACATTGCCTGTAGATAGCAGAATGGGAGTAAGAATTCATGTCTGTTTGCCTTCAAAGTTTATGCTCTTAACCTTTCATCTATTACCTCCTAACTTCATTAAAGATACTCCATTTTTTCCTGCATTCATATTTTTACTACCTCTGCTTCCAGCCAAAGTTCTTGCAAAGACCCTGGTGCAGAGGCAGAGCAAACCCTCATTACATTGCTGACCTTGTGATTAGAGACCAACTGAAATGGCCCAGGAAGTTTTGCGATTCTCAAGTGTCTTACAAAGCTCAGTAAACATCAATAACAGAAATTCTACTAAGGACTAATACAGTATAATTTTTCCCAAGTGGATATGCTGCCTTCGTTTATTTTACTTTAAAAAGTAATATTAGAGGGAAGGTTTAGATCAGAATGCATCAGCACCTTAAACAAAAGCCAAGAGGAAAACAGACGGGGATAGGCATCTTTGTAACATTTGAATTGTCTAAAATAATTTTTGAAAAATATCTAACAAAACCTTACTCATTTGATCAGTCAATTGAAAAGCTGTGTGGCTCAGTGGGGATTTCATGGGGTTTGAGCTGTTACAACTGGGTTTTCAATTTTGATGTGAGCCTTGATCAGTTGTAAAAACTTGGATCAGTCAGTCAGTCAGTCAGTTATTCTAAACATGGGATACTCATGAGTAGCATAATGATGATAAAATAATATCAAACTCATAAACTGTCCCAAAGATCAAAGGATATTATACTTATGAAGACATTATACTGAGAGGTTTGTGGTAACTTTTTTTTTCTATTTTAATAGACAATGTAAATAAAAGTAGTGGTTTCTACTTTAATGAATGTTTCCATCATGATTCTATAGATTAAAAACATTTATAATGGTGTATTCTTTCAGAAAATACTTTTCTCATATCCCTGGAGCTTAATTTTAATAGAAAAATGTGGTACAGTTTATCTCAGAAAAGAGATTCTTTTACATGCACTACATCTTTTTTAATTCTTAAGGAACATGTGGATTCAGAAATGTATATGGGGCTCCTTTCACTAGTTTTAATTCTTTCTTTTCTGGTTCATGTCCTGAATGCTTTTGAAAAGTAAAAGACCATTGTGGAACTCAGGATCCTCTAAGAGTATGCAGCTAGCTCATTTAATAAGAAACTCTGAGAAGTTAAATTTATCGTGAGCTAGCTTTCCCTGTTCTGTCCTGGGATACATCCTGAATTTACCCTGCAACTCTTTCTTCCTTCTCATTTCTCTCAACCATGCTAAAACCCTTTATTTTTTTCCATCCTAAAGATAGGCATTGAACAATTTGAACAATGGCTTTCTAAGTAAAGTCTTTGAAAATGTGGTTTCAAAGATTACTTCAATGCTCTGAACTAACAGAGCATTTCAGAAAGGTAGTTTTCTGCAATGCTCTGTTAGTGCTAGCCTTCTAGTATTTACATGTAACTTTACTTGAGTCTGAAATGACTATTCATTATATAGTAAATTCTAGCAAGGCAGGAGTTGTTGTTTGTTTCTTTTTAATTTGTATGTTTTCTTGTTTTTTTCCCTTTTGGTATGTTTATTCACTGATTAACCCCTATTAACCAAAACAGAGGTTAGTGCCTAGAAAATATTGCTGAAGAAATAAGTGAATGCATTTCAATTTCAAAAATAAACCTTATGACAAGCATTTCTCAGTACTTTCAGCTAAACAATTATGGACTCATACTGGATTTCATCTCAGAATTAGAAAATACGTAGTAATTTTCTAGGAAGGTAGGTAACAAGGCAAATGCAAAAGCCTATAAGAAGTACCGGCTTTTGATTTGACATTAATGGAGATTAGTTAAAAATAAAAGCAGCTGCTCTGCAATAATAAACAAAAAATTCAACACCCCTCTCTCCCTTACCATTCTGTCACTCTAGTCTTATCTTTTAATTAAAACTGAACTTTAAAATAAATGTGTCTGGCTTCCAAATTTATTAAATGGAATATCAATGGAGATTCTAGATTCAGAAATTGGTATGCTATAGAATGCCTTTTAAAAATAAATGGCCACATCAAAAGCTCTGATTTTATTGAAAGTTCATTTATAGTTCTTCTAATAGAAAGAGTAAAAGAAAGTTGTGAAAATTGAAGCGGCTTAATTTTAGACTCCTTTATAGTATTTTAAAGTGCTCACACAGCTTTTATTTAAAGAATTATTAACTTTTATTAAACATGGAAATTTTGCCAAAAAATGTAAAGTTAATTATGGTTTATATAATGCAAGCCAACTTGAAACTTCTGAATTTATGCTTGCTAATTTTTTATACATTATTTTTGTGCTTTGCTTAAAAGCCATCTGTATTAGTCCATTTTCACACTGCTTTGATGACATACCAGAAACAGGGTAATTTATAAAGAAAAGAGTTTTAATTTACTCTCAGTTCCATATGGCTGGGGAGGCCTCAGGAAACTTACAATCATGGTGGAAGGTGAAACAGGCGTGTCTTACATGGCGACAGGCAAGAGAAGTGCAGAGCAAAGGCGGGGAAAGCCCCTTATAAAACCTTCGGATCTTGTGAGAATTCACTCACTATTATGAAAACAGCATGGGGGAACCGACCCTATGATCTAATCACCTCCTACAAAGTCCCTCCCCCAACATGTGGGAATTACAATTCAGATTACAAGTCAAGATGAGATTTGGGTGGGGACACAGAGCCAGACCATATCACCATCATAACCAAATGCACTGAAGATTATCTCAATCATATAACCTTTGAGTTAGCAGTGATCAGTGGTTGCTATTTCATCTATTATTTTATCACTAGCCAATGCCATAAACTTGTTAATAATAAAAAAAGGTAATAATTTTGTTTATAGGCATATGTGAACCACATACAGACACTTAATTTTTGATTATGCTATGGTATATTTAAAGATCATTGGGTATTTGGAGTATGATTTTTAGTTCTGGTTCTATTACTTTGTATGACTTTGGCTAGTTTAGCACTTTATAGCACCATTATTATTTATAAAAAAAGAATAGTGATCTTTAACCTTGATTAACCCTTTGGATAGGTAGAAGGATAGAATATATGTTGAAATATTTTAGATAATTTAAATTATATCAATGCAAAACATTAAATATTAATCCTTCAGATATAAGATTTTCAAAACAGAAGAGATAATAGTTTTACTATTATATTGATCTTTGTTGCTGTGGTAGTCATTGTTTTATCAATTTGATCTGTTATAAACAATCTGTATCTGCGTATTTGTGAGTATGTTCAGGAGTGAGTGACAGTGCCATATTTAGGTCTTCAAATTTTTGCTGTACCATTTATATCCACTGGGTAGAAACAAATGTTAAAAAAAGGCAAAAATAGAGAAAAAAAAGCAAAGGTTAATTGTAGAAATATAGATGATATTAAATCCTACAATTGATAACATCATAGGAGGTGGTATTGGTCATTTAAAAATAAAATATATAATTACAATGTAATATCATAGAAGAAAGACAAGAGGGTGGTTGTATCTTTTGGCATAAATTCATAAGACTTGCTTGTAAACATAAGCATGTATTATTACCTAGGCTTTGAATTTCAAAATACGGTGTAAACTACTCATGGTAATATAGATCTTGTTAGACAAACGTTCATGTAAAAAATGATCTGCAAGCATTACTGTAAAAGAAAAATAACCTGGATTACTTGAATAGAATGGTTTACAGTGCTCAGTTAAAGTTGATACTTCTTCTACATTGCAGTATTAGGGTTTTTTTTTTTTTTTTAACTTTTAAGTTCAGTGGTACAAATGCAGGTTTGTTACATAGGTAAACTTGTGTCATGGAGGTTTGTTGTGCAGGTTATTTCATTATCCAGGTATTAAGCCTATGACCCACCAGTTATCCTTCCTGATTCTCTCCCTCGTCCCACCTTCCATCCTCCGAAAAGTTCCAGTGCGTGTTGTTCCCCTCTATGTGTCCGTGTGTTCTCATCATTTGGCTCCCACTTATCAGTAAGAACATATATTTGGTTTTCTGTTCCTGTGTTAGTTTGCTAAGGATAACAGCCTCTAAAAAGAGGCAATTTACAATTTAGTGTGTGTCTGGGATGGTAAGAAGTCCGTAAGCCATACACACAAGGAACACGTTAAATACTAGGCCTGATAGAATGCCCCGCCAAAATGCTATCATAGCACTGGGGCACTTTATCATTCTCTGTAACCACATTAAGCTGTCAACCCGATAATATATCATGTTGCTTATTCACTGTAGAATCCCTAGTACCTACTGTATATTAATTCTATAGTATTAATTTTTCTTCTGGAGAAAAAAATCTAAAATCTAAAAGTGTTGTAAGATTGGTGCATTCAAAGTAAGAATGGGCAAAACAAAAAGAATGAGCATTAATATGGAATGCTCAAAAAATAGAATTGATCAAATGGATGGTTCAGTGAGATTAATTTCAGCTCAGTTTAAAGGAAGATATAACCAGAAGACAAGTCTAAATATTGAGCAGGATATTTCCAAAAGTAAAACCCAATCCATCAACAACAATATTTAACCTGAGACTCAATAAACATAGATCAAGATTATTCTGGTAAGGAAATTTCTGTCCTGGGATTGAAGTTTGAATTAAGTAGCATCTAAAAGTCTTTATAGCCTAAATCTCTATTGTTATGTGATTCAGCTCACAAAACAAGAGCCAATAGAAGCATCATCCAAAAGCAAAGATCACAGATCTTTCACCACCAAAGATGAATCACAGTATGGACTGGCCCAGGGCTACCAAAGATGGTCACTTCCAGATTGGTTGGTTTCCTTACTCCATAGAAGACAGGGACCTGATGTCAACACATTTTGGCTTATCTTGTGCTCACCAGCTTCACATTCTGCTTGTAAAGAATGGCACAATTGCCTTTCCAGGACCTTTTCTTGTCCTGTACTTGTATTATATCTCATTGTCCTTTATGAGATCATTAAAATGAATAAACACAGTAATTACATTGCCAGCAAGTAGGGTTAATCTTACTACATGTATCCTAAATGTCCTAACTGTTTTGAAAACCAGCTTGTCTGTGTTTCAAATGTTGAACAACAAAGGTAATGGCTTTTACACCTAGTCAAAGCAATGGTTTTCTTATATGGGATTTTAGATTTGCCACAGGGGAAAAACTGTAATCACTTTGTTCACAATGATAATAGCTTAATGTACATCATTTATTGTGAGGCAGCTGAAATGGTGGTGTAGTTCAGAACTGTGCATTATCTCTGAGGGCCAGAGCAGGACTGCCATTTTTGGCAAGGAACGGCTAGCTATCCGTTTCCTGCCACTTTATTGGAATAATACAGAGATTCATTTGCTTGCTAGGATTTTTTTTTTTTTTTTTTTGGCTATGAAATCTAGAAAATGTATTCTTTGTTACTGCAGTGATGCTCATTTTTGGGTCCATGCTTTTGTTTCTCTCTTCAGTACTTTCTCTCACCTCTTTACTTCATTCACAACCTAGAAAGAACTACAGGGAAAGGATGCAGTACTCCCACCTGAACTCAGCATTGAAAGGTCTTTTGTTCCCTATCTGAGAATGAGATGGAAATCATTCAAAAGGGAATTATGTGAACACAGCTGCCTTATACCAATTTGTGGCCATGTGGATTCTGGTTCTTGGTTCTCCGGAAGCCTCTCCACCTCTACTATGCAAAGGCCTACATAGCCATGAAGAACCCCATGAAAACACTCCAAGACTGAGTTCTACTTGCATTAAGAAGGTCTGCGTTTCCCCTCTTGGAAGGTAGCTGGATTCAATAACTCGCTAAATTATAACACCTACATAAGGAGCAAACTTTCCAGCCTATGGGTGAGAGTTGAGAGCACTGAACGATATTGCTACAGTTTAGTGTAGTGATTGAGAGTGCAGTTTCTAATCAGACTGGTTGGGTTTGAATCTCTGCTCCAGCTCTTATTAGCTGTGTGACTTCAGGCAATTTAATAAACTCCCTCTGAAATAGAATTATAAATAGTGCCAGTATCAAGGGATTGTTATGAGAATTAAATGTGATAATGTCTCTGGAGCACTTAGAACAGTTCCTATTTCATCATAAGTGTAATAAATTCCAACACACTATTACTATTGTTGTCACTCTGCTCCTACTAATATTATTATTATACTGTAAAAGTATTTAATCTCCCACAGATAACCAAGGTAGATAGTCTTATAAGGAAATAAAAATGCAGGAAATGAATTATTCACCTCACCCATAATAAGCCCTCATTTGTATTTCTGGTGGACTGATATTCATGTGTGGATGTACTTTTGGTGAGCTGGTAACCCAGTAGAGGCACAGCTGTTCAGGCACTTAAATGACAATCTTACCCAGGGTAGCATGAGAAAAGAGAAAGATTTATACTTTGTGTCATTGTTACTTTTGTCATAGTTGGTTTCGTTTTAAATCTGCCTTAGCTCCAGGGCTTGCTGAGTACAGAGCCAGCTGGAAAGAAAAGCTCCAATAAGTACTTATTTATCCACTCCTAGTGCATAACATCCTCAATATGTTGGAGGATACAGGGAAAAGGAAATTACAGGTTTCATTTTGCCAAATATTTCTGTCATTTCACATGATAATTTTGGCTTTTCTTGCCATCAATTTGATGTATCTAAAAATACAGACAAATTATCCACGAACAAGGCCACTCAATTGGAGCTGTGTGTGTTAGATTTTGGAGCGAATCCAGATTCCAAAAGTTTGGTTAGTTTCCATTCTCAAGCATGAATTTTTTAGTGTCATTTATATTGAAATGTATCTGAAAATGGATGCATTAGGGAGTTGGTGGAAGTGGCATTTCCTCCAGGGAGCATTCCGTTTACAGCAACACAGTTACATCCTGGAAAGAACTCTACTTGTCTCACTGCATGATAATAACCTATTTCAAATGGTAAAACAAAATTTCTTTTATGTGTCTGTATTTATGCTTTCTCTGGTATATACATAGCTTATCTTCCTGAAATAACATTTTGAAATTCAAAAAAATAGAGCCAAACAAATTGCATGTAACTTTTTCGGTTTTTATTTTATTTATTTATTTCTGTTTGATTGTTTATTTATTTATTTATTTAATTAATTAATTTATTTATTTTGAGATGGAGTCTCACACTGTTGCCCAGGCTGGAGTGTAGTGGCATGATCTCAGCTCACTGCAAGCTCCGCCTCCTGGGTTCAAGCAATTCTCCTGCCTCAGCCTCCCGAGTAGCTGGGATTACAGTCGCATGCCACCGTGCCCCGCTAATTTTTTGTATTGTTAGTAGAAACAGGGTTTCACCATGGTGGCCAGGCCAGTCTCGAACTTCTGACCTCAAGTGATCCATCTACCCTGAATTTCCTAGTCAGCAGCCTCATTCTACCTTGTCAAGATCAGGTTCTGGGAAAGTTCCTTAATGGCTCCTTCTTCATTAGTTTTCCCTATAGTTATCTCTCACACATGGTACTTATTACTGTAAGTAACTAGAAAAAATTAGTAATCTTTATTTTTGAAGTTGGTTACATAGTCAATGACCTGGCACCAATGGTATGCAACAATTAACATTTGTATGATAACATTCTGATTCCACAAGTAACTTATTTTGCTTTAATGCTCTCAAATTAGACTAAGTGGCATATATTTAAGGATTAGAGAATTGTGATGAAATAATATAAAACTTCAGTGCACTTTTCATTAGTTCTCTACAGTTTATCAACAGCATATAATAGATAAAGTATTAAATAGAATACATTTAGATTATAAGTGCAATTTATAAAACATTTCATATGAATTAGATTAATAGTAGTGCAGTCCTTATACCTGAAAGCAAAATTATAGAATATTTCTATTGAATTGGCATTGGTACATTTTTTAAAAATTTATATTACATAAAACGCTTTATTTTAAATAATTTTGCACACAATTAGAAAGCTAACTAAATACCTGGGGTTGTCCTTTTAATAGTATAGGGCAAGCCCCGCTATAAAATGGAGAAACTGGAAAAACATTGAGACGTGAGTTCTAACCTCAATTCAGTTATTTTTGTGAAGGCAGCCATCTCTCTTTTTATCAGTCTTCCAATCTCCTCACCTGGTGATGCTTGCTTTGTTTCAGCTTCTAAACTTTTACTACCTGACTATTCTATTGTACTATCCTATTAATAGATATTTTACTAAACAGCTTATGCTTATTAAAATCAAGAAGCATATATTATATATGTATATATCAGAAAGCCTATGCTATGTGTCTTTGATTCCTGTTATCACCTTGTATAATACTATATGGAAAAAAGACTCTGAATAATCATTTCCTTAAATTACATAAAATGATCATTAGCAGAATTACCTCTATGAAAGTCAGATAAAAATGCTCTCAAGTAATGATATTAACACAGATTCTTGTCATCATGGTGAAATTTCCAGAATGACTTTCTCTTTGAAAATGTGACATTTAAAATCAAGGCATTCTTACTCTGTCAGTAAGCTGCTTAATCAAATTGCTTTGTGGCTTTTAACTTAACATTCTTGCTCTTTGAGTCTCTCCTATTCAAGTTATGGGCTAGGGGTGAGTACTAGGAAAGGAGGGGGCAACATATGCCACTGGAAGTTCCTGACAGGCCGATACATGGTCCTGATTATCATGTCCTGGCACAGTGCCTAGTGAATAATTGATATTCAGTAGATATGTGTTTAATGAATAACAATACACACTCATAAAGTGGTATACGAGAAAAGCTGAGGTTCTTCACAATCTCTAAATCCATTTCTAAAATATGTATTTTCTGGGGAAGAAAATTGAAGAGTGAAGAAGAGAATATGGCAAAACATCATCCATTTCAGTTCTTTAAAAGTAAACTACAGGAAAGCAATTCCAGAGAAGTGAAGACTTCTGAAAATCTTTTCCTTCCAAAAAACAAGGAGAAACTGGTAAAAATGGTCAAAATCAAGTTTTTCAGAACTACTGAAATTAGTCAAAAACTTGGAACAATTCAGAGGAGTTTCTTAAGAGAGTATAAACAGTGTACTTTGTGGCAATTTAACACTTTCAAACTCATTTTGGGTGGCCACTATTACTCTGATTCCAAAACCAGACAAAAAAAATAGCACACATATAACTACAGACAAATATTACTTTGAGTATAGATGCAAAACACCATAACAATACACTATTAAACCAAATCCAGCAGAATATTAAAAGGATTATACATTATGACAAATTGGCATTTATTCCAAGAACTGCAAGTTCAGTTTAATATATGTAAATCAATCAATGTAAAACACCACATTTACAGAATAAAGGACAAAAAAGACACAATCATCCTAATTGATACACAAAAACACCCTTTGACAAAATTTAAGAACGTTTCCTGACAAAAACACTGAGCAAATTAAAAATATAAAGGAATTCCTTCAGCCTGATAAAGGGCATCTGTGAAATACCCACAGCTAATATCATACTTAATAATGAACTGCTGAATGTTTTGACCCTAATGTCAGAAACAGGACAAGGTTGTCTGCTCTTATTACTTTCACTCAACATAGTACTGAAGGTGTTAACCAGGGAAATTAGAAAAGGAAGAGAAATAAAGAACATCCATACTAGAAATATAAAGAGGTAAAATGATTTCTATTTGCAGATGACATGATCTTTTATCTAGAAAATCCTAAAGAGTCTACACACAAAATGTAACCTAGAGTTAATGAGTTTAGCAGATCGGTAGCATCAAAGACATTGAACAGATATTTCTTTAAAGAACATATACGAATTGCCATTAAGCACATGAATTTATGTTCAATATCATTAGATTTTAGAGAAATACGTATTAAAAATGTGATGAAATACAACTGCATACCCAGTGAGAAAATAAAAAAGACAAACTATAGCAAGTCCTAATAAGGATGTGAGTCAGCCGAAATGCTTATATATGACTGGTGGGGTTATAAAAATGCTGCAGCCACTTTGAAAAAGGGTTTGCCATTTCCTCAAACAGTTAAACACAGGATTACAATATTATTCAGCAATTTCAATCATAGTTATATATCCAAGAGAAATGAAAACAAATGTTCACATAAAAATTTGTACACAGATATTAATAGCAGCATTATTGGTAGTAGTTAAGAAGTAAAAATAACCCAAATATGTATCAACTGAATGAATAAACAAAATATAAAATATCCATAAAATGAAATTTCATAAAGAAATGAAGTACTTGTACATGCAATAACATAAATAAACCTTGAAAATATGCTAACTGAAAGAACTGAGTCACAATAGGCCACATATTATGATTTTATTTATATTAATATGCAGAATAGACAAATAGAATGCAGATTAAGGTTTATTAGTGGATAGGGAGAGGGGACAGGAGAGAGGAGTGACTGCTAAGAGGAATGGGGTTTCTTAAAAGGGTTAAAATGTTTTAAAGTTAGCTAGTGAGAATGGTAGCATACCTCTATCTATACAATAAAAAGCACTGAATTGTGCACTTTAAAGGTGTGAGTTTTAAAGTATGTAAATACACTTGAATGAAAGTGTTTTAAAATTACAATTCGAAAAGGCAACACAGTTGCTAAAAATCAAATCCCCACAGATCAATATTTTCTGGTTTTAAACTCATTCATTTTCCAATAATTGATTTGACACCTAAACTTTCAGATTGTATGGATTGGATTATAAAGTATGGATCTTGCCATATGGCAACTCAAAATCCCACATAAAGATTAGCATGTGAAAACAAAAAGCTAAATAAAATGTCCTAAGAAGTAACATATGCTTACAAAGTAATCTGGTGAAACAGGGTGGAGAAGAGAATTTTCTTTCCACTTTGGGGTATGGAAAGTTGTCAGACAAGCTTCACAGAAAAATTAACATTGAGGTCTTTCACAAAGAAAAAGCAAAGGATCTTTCAAATTAATTAGATGAATCTGAATAAAACAGCATTGTAAAATTATGTGGGTTCTTTGGAGGGTAGAAGAATGCGATGTCTTCTCTGATCTGTGATCTCTTTTTGTGATCACAGAAGATTGTCATTTGTATTTTCCAGTAGTAGAATAGATCCATCATGTTTAACCAAACAGTAGAGTACCTTACCTATTTGGAGCAAAGAAGATGATTTAAAATTTTAAATTGTTTTTCAAATGAGGAATTTCCTTTTCATAAAGAAAATGTTATGATAATAAAGCACTCAAAGTTGAAGCATTGAAATGCTTAATGAAGCTACTTTGAAAATATGAAAGAAAAGAGATGAATAAATTTTGTGGAAAGCTCAAAGGACCAGGATCTAATTGAAATTATACCTATAAGTTCTATGGCTTGGATTATACACTGTTGTCAGAAAATCTCTAGAGATTGTGGACAATATTCAACTACTTATAGGCAAAGGGAACTTTTGCATTTCCTTGCAGTAAATCCAGTTTTTTATTAAACTAAGTGTGTAAAGACATTGAAACATATCCTACCCAATCTTCATATTAAGACGTTTCTTTAGGATGTGGTATATAATAGGTGGAAAAAAAGAGTCAATAACATTTCCTTTTACTCAAATTGCAGATATCTTGTTCTGTATCAAGTTCCATATTCATTTTTCTCATTACTGTTATTAGTTAATAAAATAGAAAACTGCATTCATGTTGCTATTTCCGCTTTTAAAATAAAAAGGTATAGGTTCACATGATGAATTTTGTGCTCTCTAAGGAACTATACTAATGAAAAATATCAATAAGTTAAGTACATCTTTTTCTTTCTCTAATATGATTTTTTAAATTAAGGTATAAAATTACATACAGTGACATGCACATGTCTTGAGTATTACAATTACATAATTTTAACAATTGGCAATGAACATTCCTCAATGTTCATGAGGAATATTCTAAAATTTTCTTTGTCTGCTATGTATTTTTCTGAATCTTAACAGAGTATTGTTGGTCTCATTAAATGACCTGGGTGGTTGGGTGCAGTGGCTCACGCCTATAATCCTAGCACTTTGGGAGGCTGAGGCAGGCGGGTCACGAGGTCAAGAGTTCAAGACCAGCCTGACTAACACGGTGAAACCCTATCTCTACTAAAAATACAAAAATTAACCGGGTGTGGTAGCAGGTGCCTATAATCCCAGCTGCTCGTGGGGCTGAGGCAGGAGAATTGCTTGAACCTGGGAGGTGGAGGTTGCAGTGAGCCAAGATCGTGCCACTGCACTCCAGCCTGGGCAACAGAGCAAGACTCCATCTCAGAGGAAAAAAAAAAAAAAAAAAAAAACCTGGGTAGTGTTCTTTCCTATTCCATGTTCTAAACAAGTTTACCTAAAATTTCCCTTCCTTCCTTTTGCTCCTTCTTTAATGTTTAGTATTAATAGTATTCATTAGTAATACCATCTTGGCCTGGAATTCTCCATGTGGAAGTTATTTATTACTAATAATTTAATTCTATTACAAATACGGAATTATTCTCTTATTTGTTTCCTCTTGAATGGGCTTTGCTAATTTGAGATTTTAAAATAATCTATTTTATTGAAGGTAACATATCTACTGGAATAAACATTTTCATGATGATTTCTTATTAGCTTTTTAATGTTTCTATGATGTATGGTGATGTCCTGTCTTTCATTCCTGAAATCAATAATCTATGTTCTTATTCTTGTTTACATGACCAGTCAGTTGATATTTGTTATCTTGTTAGTTATTTTATTTCATCTCTATGTATTACTTGTAAAATACCTTTTCTTCTGGTTTTGATTGAATTAATTGAGTATTATTTATGATTGAATATTATCTTTACTCTTATTTGTCATTTCTAAATTTTATTTTTATTCATTTAGCAGATGAATATAATTTATTTAGGATTTTTAACTTTAACTTATGACAGCCCACGTTCAAATACTATTCTGTATTTTCATGTGTAGTCTAGGAACTGTACATAATATTTCTTTTTTATCATTCCCATTATTTCTATTATTGCTATCACTTGTTTTACTTCTACACATGTTACAAACTACACACTATTTTGCTATTATTTTACATTAAACCATCATTTTTAAAAAATCTTATATATTTACTCACATTTTTCATAATTGTTTCCAGTGTACTTGCTTTTTTTAAATTTTTGTTTTTGTTTTGTTTGGTATAGTTCCAAGTTTCCACTTAATATCATTTTCTTTCTGCCTTAAGAACTTCCTTTAGCAGTTTTGTAGTGCTTTCTACATAAATTCATTTCACTTTTGTATACCTGAGAAAGTCTTTATTTGGCCTTTGTTTTGGGGATATATTTTCAATAAGGGTAAAGTTCAAAGTTGACAAATTTTCATTTATTATTATTGTCAGGACTTAAAGCTGTTGCTCCTTTGTCTCCTACATTGCATTGTTTCTACTAGAAGTTTCCTTACCTTTGTTCATCTTTACATATTGCATCTGCTTTTTTTCTGACTTAAGACCCATTTTATCAACTGTTTTAAGCAGTTAACTGTTATGTACTTGATATAATTTTCATCACATTTTGTATGTTTGCATCTCTGTGTTCATAATTTTCATCAAGTTCAGAAAATGTTTGGCCATTATTTTTTAAAAAATATTTATTCTGCCCCACTCCAACAGCTCACTTGTGGAATTCCAACTTACACAAATATTAGAACCCTTAATATTGCCTCACAGTTCTTCAATATGCTTTGCTTTTTGTTCAAATGTTTTAACCTCTATTTTATGTTTCTGTTTCTGTTTGGGAAATTTCTATTGACCTATCTTAGAGTTCTCTGATTTTTTTCCTTCTGTCACTTCCAGTGCGCTGATTGAAGAATTTTTCTTCTCTAATATTTAATTCTGAATTTAAGCATTTTTATTTGAAACATTTTTCATAGTTTCCATCTCTCTGCTGAAACTTTATATACTTTTTATCTGTTTTCTACCAGTTCCATTAACATATTATTCATGGTTGCTCTAAAATCCTTGTCTGAAATTTTCAACCTATGTGTTATCTCTTTGTCTGGATTTGTTGAGTACTGTATGTTTTGACAGTGGGTCACTTTTTCTTGATTTTATTGTGTCTCATAAAGACATTCAGTGCCAGACATATTAAAATATATTAGCAACAAAGATGAATATTAATTACATCCCAGAATATGCACACTTCTTCTTTTATCTGTTTTTGGGTGTTGAGTCAGAATATTCAGTAATTGAGTTTGAGTTTGGGATTTGTTTCTGCATAGTTACCTCCAATGCACCCCAGGATTCAAATTGTCCTAGAAATGGGCTGCCACTCCCTTATGCATCCTGTGTGACTGATGATTTTTTTCTCATTGTACTGGATTCACCCTCAGCTTTCAGAATGTATTGCATGTCTACTCCATAGAGAAGATCCTCTCTGGTATTTTCCCCTCCTGCTGTTCTTTATTACTTCTTAGCTCAAGGTTTGGTTGGGAGGCAGAGAGAGTCTCTAGAGTCTTCTGTTCCAGATTCAGTCTTATGGAAGCGCCACTTACCTGGACCACCAGAATAACCTTTGTCAAAATGTCTGTGTTCTTCTTTCCCGTGGTAATTGGTGCCACAATGAGATTTGTATCAAATTGGATAGGGGAAGTACCTTATGCAGGCACAGGTTTTCTGCCCTGCCCTTAATGGTCATTGCCTCTCCTTTTATTAAGGCAGCATGCTGCACCCAAGCAGGTTTCCTCTCCCCATGACAGACAGCCTTTTACTATATCTCTCCCTTAACTTCAGTAGACATTTGCATGGGAATAAGGGAGGAGGATTATCTTTTTTTTTTTCTCCAGAAGTGGATAAACTTTGCTTCTACCTCTTCCCTAGAGGCAGTCCATCTTTGCTTAGGAAAAGTATCCTTTCACTTACCTACTGCGTCTGTGAACCACTTGGAGAGTCCCTTTCCGGTACCCCACCTTGCCTTCAATCAATCTTTCTCTCTCTTTCTTTCCTTTCTTTCTTTCCTTTCTTTCCTTCCTTTCTTTCTTTCTTTCTTTCTTTCTTTCTTTCTTTCTTTCTTTCTTTCTTTCTTTCTTTCTCTCTCTCTCTCTCTCTCTCTCTTTCTTTCTCTCTCTCTCTCTCTCTCTCTCTCTTTCTTTCTTTCTCTTTCCTTCCTTCCTTCCCTCCCTCCCTCCCTCCCTTCCTTTCTTCCTTCCTCCCTTCCTCCCTTCCTTCCTTCTTTCTTTTATGGAGTTTCACTCTTGTTGCCTAGGCTGGAATGCAGTGGTGTGATCTCAGCTTACTGCAACCTCTGCCTCACAGGTTCAAGAGATTCTCCTGCCTCAGCCTCCTAAGAAGCTGGAATGACAGGCAACTGCCACCACGCCCAGCTAATTTTGTATTTTTAGTAGAGGTGGGGTTTTGCCAAGTTGACCAGGCTGGTCTCGAACCCCTGACCTCATGATCCACCTGCCTCGGACTCCTAAAGTGTTGAGATTACAGGCGTGAGCCACCATGCCCAGCTGCCTTCAGTCTTTCTTGTAAGCACCTGGTAGTCTGGAGTGGAACAAATGATATAATGAGAACTTGCCTCACATCTGAGACTCACAGTTTTCCAATCTGACACAACATCCTGCGTATACTTGGCCTTTAAAAATAGGTTAAAAATTCAGGTATGGAATTTAATTCCTTTGGTTGCCTTGCAACTGCATGTCTCTGATTGGCTCAAAATAAGTTATTATTTAATAGATTATCCTAGTTTTAACTTGCTATTAGAGTGAGAATACCTTCTTCTGCTTTCTAATTTCAAAAGCTTTCTAAAGCTAAGAATGCTTCTTAGCTTTGTTAAGTCTACGTGAAAGTGGAACACCACATATATTTGATATACTAAATTAATATTATTATCTTCCAGTGTAAAATCTTGCTATTAACTTTCTCTTTATGTCTTTCTCTCATATCTTTATTTTATTTTCTCTCCTTTTCTTCCTTCTTGTCAATATATTAAGTGTATTTTAATATTTTATCTTCATTTAGCTTTACCTCTTTGTTGTTTTTAATGACTGTTTTAGGAATTTATTTTACTGTGTTTTTTTATTTTTTATTTTATTTTATTTTTTTTTTGAGGCGGAGTCTCGCTCTGTTGCCCAGGGTGGAGTGCAGTGGCACCATCTCAGCTCACTGCAACCTCTGCCTCCTGGATTCAAACGATTCTTCTGCCTCAGCCTCCTGAGTAGCTGGGACTACAGGTGCACGCCACCATGCCCAGCTAATTTTTGTATTTTTAGTAGAGATGGGGTTTCACCATATTGGCCAGGCTGGTCTGGAACTCCTGACCTCGTGCTCCACCCGCCTCGGCCTCTGAAAGTGCTGGGATTACAGGCATGAGCCACCGCACCCAGCCTATATTTTTTAATTTTTTAAAAATCGTTGTGGGTACATATTAGGTTTATATATTTGTGGGGTGCATGAGATGTTTTGATACAAGCATGCAATGTGAAATGATCACATCATGAAGAATATGGTATCCATCTCCTCAAGCATTTATACTTTGTTTTAAAAATAATCCAGTTACACTCTTTTGGTTATTTTAAAATGTACAATTAAATTATTATTGACAATAGTCACACTGTTGTACTATGAAACAGAGGATCTTTTTCAGTCGTTCTATTTTTTGTACCCATTAACCATCCCCACTTTCCTCCATTCCCTCTACTACCCTTCCCAGACCCTAGTAAACATCTTTATACTCTCTAGGTCCATGAGTTCAATCGATTTTTAGATCCCACAAATAAGTGAGAACATGAGATGTTTAGATGTGCCTGGTTTAGTTCACTTAACAATATGATCTCCAGTTTCATCCACATTGTTGCAAGTAACTGGCTCTCCTTCTTTTTTATCACTGAATAGTACTCCCTTGTGTATATGTACCACATTTTCTTTCTTTCTCTATCTGTTGACAGCACTTACGTTACTCCAGATCTTAGCTATTTTGAATAGTGCTGCAACAAACATGGGAGTGCATGTATCTCTTTGATATACTGATTTCCTTTCTTTTGGGTATATCCCCAGCAGTGGGATTGCTGGATCATATAGTAGCTAAGCTCTAATTTTAGTTTTTTGAGGAATGTCCAAACTGTTCTCCATAACAATTGTACTAATTTACATTCCCCAGTGTAGGAGGGTTCCCTTTTCTCGACATCCTTGCCAGCTTTGCTATTGCCTGTTTCTTGGATAATGATCATTTTAACTAGGGTGAGATGACATCTCATTGTAGTTTTGATTTGCATTTCTCTGATGATCAATATGTTGATCACCTTTCCATATGCCTATTTTTCATTTACATGTCTTCTTTTGAAAAATGTCTATTCAAATATTTTGCCCAGTTTTTGATTAGATTATTATATTTTTTTCCTATAGAGTTTTTTGAGCTCCTTTTATATTCTTATATATTCTAGTATTAATCCCTTGTCAGATGGATAGTTTGCAAATATTTTCTCCCATTTTTGCTTTGGTTGCCTATGCTTGTGGGGTATTGCTCAAGATATGTTTGCCCCATTACTCCAGAATGTTTCCATAATGTTTTCTTGTAGTAGTTTTATAGTTTGAGGTATTAGATTTAACACTTTAATCCATCTTGATTTGATTTTTGTATATGGTAAGAGATAGAGGTCTAGTTTCATTCTTCGGCATATGTATTTCCAGTTTCCCCAGCACTATTTATTGAAGAGATTGTCTTTTCTCCAGAGTATGTTCTTGGCACCATTGTCAAAAAAGAATTCATTGTAAGTACGGACATTTGTTTCTGGGTTCTCTATTCTGTTCCCTTGGTCTATTTGCTGGTTTTTATGCCAGTATCATTCCGTTTTGTTTACTACAGCTCTGTAGTATAATTCGAAGTCAGGCAATGTGATTACTCCAGTTTTGTTCTCTTTGCTTAGAAAAGATTTTGCTGTTCTTGGTCTTTCGTTGCTCCATAAATTTTTTGTATTGCTTTTCCTATTTCTGTCAAGAATATTATTGGCATTTTGATAGGGATTGCATTAAATCTGTAGATTGCTCATGGTAGTATAAACATTTTAACTATATTGAATCTTTTAGTCCTTGAACATGGAATATTTTTCCATTTTGTTGGTGTCCTCAATTTCTTTCATCAGTGTTTTTTAATTTTTGTTATGGAGAGATTTCATTTCTTTGGTTAATTGCTATGTATTTAATTATATTTGTGGCTATAGTAAATGGGATTACTTTTAAAATTTATTTTTCAGATTGCTCTCTGTTGGCATGTAGAAATGCTACCCATTTTTGTGTGTTGATTTTTGTATCCTGCCACTGTACTGAATTTATCAGTTCTAATAGATTTTTGTGGAATCTTTAGTTTTTTTCAAATATAACATCATATAATCTGCAAACAAGGAAATTTGACTTGTTCTTTTCCAATATGGATGCTTTTTATTTCTTTCTTTTGTCTGATTGCTGTAGCTGGGAATTCCAGTACTACTTTGAATAACAGTGATGAAAGTGCACATCCTTGTCATGTTACTACCATCATTGTTCCCTTATGTCCCAAAGGCTCTTAAATCAGCTTGTGGTGAATGTTTGGCCTGAGACTCACCTTCATAACAGTGGGCTCCCCTCTGGCTCAGGTCAGGTCCAGAAATGCTTTTCAAGGGTCAAGTCGTGAAATTAGGGACCCGAAGAGCCTGCTTGGTGCTCTACCTCCCTGTGGCACCTACGGTGCAAGAAAAAGTCCCCTTTACTTTCCCTCTGCTTTTCTCAAGCAGAAGGAACTTTTCCCCGCAGCCATCACAGCTGGAAATGTGCTGTCTTTCACTTGAAGCCAGCAAATCTCAGAGGCTCACCCAAGTCCCTCGACATAGTACCTGGGTATTGCTGCTGGTTATTCAAGGCCCAAGGGCTCTTCCGTTAGCAGGTGATGAATGCTGCCAGGATGGAGTCCTGCCTTCAAGGCGTTGGGTTCCCTTCTGGCCGGGTTATGTTGTCTGGGAGCTAGGGCTTGGAATGGGGGGTCTCATGACCCTGACAGTTACCCTATCCTGCTGCGGCTGAGCTGGTATCCAAAATGTAAAATAAAGTCCTCCTCACTTTTCCCTCTCCTCTCCTCAGGTGGAAGAAAGGGATCTCTTTTAGAGCAGAGAGCTGTGCAGCCTGAGGCTGAGGGAGGAGTGATGCCAGCGCTCCCTTGGTTGCCCCAACTGATGTCTCAGTATGTTGCATGGCCCTTCAGTCCGGTCTCTGGGACAAGTTCAGCACAAGGACTCCCCTAAGAGTTACAGTCCTTATGGGCTAGGCTGGCTTTCAAGTCTGCTTTGAAAGGCACTTTGGCTCTCAGTGGTGAGGTTCATGGGAACTCAACTTCGGACTGCTGGGATGGGTGATTCCCCTTTGGCTATGGCTGGTTTAAATGCTCCTTCCATGGGTGGGCATCAGCGGAGTTTGGTCTGGTTTTCCTTTCTGCTCTAACAAAACAGCACTGAGTTCAATGCCTCACAATTGCCGTGTTCTCCCTCCCCTAGAGCCCCAAAATTCGTCTCACTGCAATTGCTCTGGGTTGAGGGATAATAGGTGGCACTGGCAATTCAAGACTGTTTTTCTAACTCTTCAGTTCCTCTTTCAGCCATATATAGTTAAACGCCGGTACTATAAGGGCTCACCTAATTTTTTATTCTTATGAAGGTGTTTTTTGTGTGTGTAGATAGTTGTTAAGTTGGTGTACCTGCAGGGGGTGGGGGTAAGGGAACGATTAGTGGAGCTTTCTATTCTGCCATCTTGCTCTGCCTCCTCCAGCCTGTTTTAGGAATTTAAAAATGCACCTATAACTTTTTACAACACAATATAAATTAAAGTGATATAATTTAATGTATAATGTAAAAACTCTTTGATGGTTTACTTCCACTTCTCTTGCTTACTTTGTGCTATTGTAGTCATGCATTTTAATTCTGTCTATATTATAAACCTCACATTTTACTTCTCTATGTGTTACAAACCCCAGAATACATTATTAACATATTTTGCTTTAAGTGGTCAATTGTTTTGAAATTAAGAAACAGTAAAAAATGTCTTCAATATTTTCACTCATATTTATTATATCCAGTGCATCCTTTGTGTAGATGCAGATTGAACCTGGCATTCTATTCCTTGTACATAAATATTTACTTATAACATTTCTTGCATTATGTATCTAGTAGTCACAAATTAATATATCTTTGGTTTATTTTTAAATGTCTTTACATTGTCTTTCTTTATGTAACAACATTTTCACTTGGTATGGAATTCTAGAATGGCAATTTTCCCCTACCCCCAAATTTTAAAGATGTTATTCTATGGAGGTCTGAGCTTGCATTAGTTAGTGAGGAGAAGTTATTAGTATTGCTTATCATTTTTCTCAGATACGTAATTTCTTTAGCTTCCTGTCTTAAAAATTTTCTGTTTTTGCTTTTTAGCACTTTGACTATTATATGGCTGGTAAGGTTTGCTCATTGCTTAGTTTTCTTAGCATTCATTGAGATTTTTGTACCTGTGAGTTGATATTCTCTATCACAACTGAACAATTTTTGGCATTATTTCCTCAATTCTTTTTTCTATTCTTATCTCTCTCTCTCTCCTACTTCCTATACTACAATCACGAAAATGTTAGAATTCTTCATATTTTCTCATAAATTACAAACTTTTTATTTTCTAACAGACTTTTTTCTCTCGAAATTTTTGTTTGAGTAGTTTCTCTTGCCACCTCTTTAAACTTCACTGATTTTCTTCCTTTGTAGGTTTCAGTTTGCTATTATTATATCCAATATATTTTTATTTAAATATTTTTATCTTTTAGTTAAATAAATTTTATTTCATTTTGTTTTATTCTTTATATTACTTTACAGAGAGTACCATTTTTCTCAAACAGTATATTTATTATTCAAAAAATTGACTAAATATTGATGTTTTATATCCCTTAGATGATTTCGATATGATTTTGATATGGTCTGGCTGTGTCCTCACCCAAATCTCATCTTGAATTATAGCTCTCACAATTCCCACATGTTGCAGAAGGGGCCTGGTGGAGATAACTGAATCATGGGAGTGGTTCCCCCCATACTATTCTCATGGTAGTGAATACGTCTCACGAGATCTGATGGTTTTATAAGGGGTTTCCTCTTTTGCTTGGCTCTCATCCTCTCTTTGCCTGCCACCCCATAAGACGTGATTTTGTTTCTCATTCACCTTTTGCCATGATTGTGAGGCCTCCCCAGCCATGTGGAACTGTGAGTCCATAAAACCTTTCTCCTTTACAAGTTACCCAGTCTCAGATATGTCTTTATTAGTAGCGTGAGAACAGATAAATACAGATTTTATGTGTAGCTTTATTCATATTGTTTTTGTTTTTCTTAATTACAGGCAAAACTTCTCTGATTCTTTATGTGCTTAGCATTTTTTATGTTTTTAAAAATAATTTCAATGCTATAGTGTTCAAAGTCTGGATTTTGTTGTCTTTCTTTAAAAAGAATTGAGTTTCATTCTAAGAAGCAATTAATTTAATTGTGGAATAATATGCTACTAATTAGGGATTGATTTAAAGCTTTGTAAGGATAAGTATAGGTTAGGTCTTAATGAATTTCTCAAGTAGTTCTCCTTTTATAGCATGAACTTTTGGAATCTCAGCTGAAAACCTGGGGTATTCAGCATATTCTCTCTACTCTGTCAGATTGGAATTCTTATGTTTGCTTGTACTTTGTGGCCTCTGAGATCTCTGTTCAGTGCTTAGTTTCCCAGTAACTTTTTTTTTTTCCTACAATTCATTAAACTTCATCTTCTATATGTGTAGTGTAGTGTTTGTAAAAATACCTAACTAGGACCATCTGCAAATTCATAGAACTCCTTCTTTGTGCAGCAACCTCCTTTTCAAGACCCTACACAGCAAATTCCAGCCACTTCTGTAGGTCTGGGGTCAGAATATTGCTTCTTCAGCTCATTAATGTTACCATGCTTTGCTTAGGCTCCATTTCATTATATTGTTGCCTGAAAAATGTTTCAAGGCAGACAACTGGGGTAACCATGAGGAATACCTCATGTGTTTCTCTTCCCTCAGGAATGATGTTTCTGCACTGCCTCTTTTCCAATGTCTGAAAAGTATTGCTTTGTGTATTTTGTCCTGTTTTATAGTTGTTTATAATGGAAAGATAATGGGGTACAAATTACTCTATCACGGCCATAAGAAAAGACATTTGATTTTACTTTTGGTATTTAAGAGTGTAATGAGCCCAGTAGTTAGCTTGAGTAAAAATCATCTACCCTAACTAGATCAACTTATTTTAATGGTTACTAACAACAACTAGTATGTTGACAGATGGTTGTAAAAGCATGTATAAATCCGTGGAAGGAACATTTTGGCAATCAGAAGTTAAAACTAAAGAACATAAAACTAGGAAAGTGGTATCTTTTTCCCTTTCACACAGCTATCTGGTTGTTCTTTAATCACCCTGGTGTACCCATCAATAAACTACCCCAAGTTTTTCATTGAAAAAAATAATAAAATTATTATCCAATGGTCTTAGAGAAAAAGTAAGCACACAATAAATAAGAATATGATCATGTCCAATCTAGACTGGAATGCCAATATTTTCACTACCTATTTTAGAATGCAGAAATGACAGCAAATAATAACCTTAAATATCCTTAAGTTATATGTCAGAACAATATAATATTAATTTAGTTGGAATTACGAGATTTCACTGTCAGATATACTAGCTCAGTCCCATCATGGGCAGTTTCTATCTTTGAGGCCAGTTTTTTTTTTTTTTACTATTTATAAAAATTAATATATATATAAACAAGGCATTTAAATTAGGCTTTAATTTATGACTGTATTTGTATACCCAACCACATGTTCTACAAAAAAAGGCCTTTTATTGTAATTAAAATAGTATGTGTTAACATTAATACACTAAATCAGGAAGGGATTAGGTAATTTCATGATACAGACAAAGATTTATGGTGTTCTTTATAGCTGTGCAACCAAAGAGGTTTACATTTGAAGAGATGAGTAGGTTGTATCTTGAGAGAAGACAGAAAAAAAGTATTTGTTTGCAGCTTACATGAGGTAATGACATATGATCATTTTATCATTTTAACTAAGTTGTACAAGTGAATTATAAAGTGAACTGGCTGCACCTTGTGGGTAGAAGGTGGCAAGAATAAGTGAAGTGATACTTATTTTATATTCTTTAACAACCCGTTAGTGGACTGTATGGAGGAATAGCTACCGGTTATTAGTATTTGTCTGAAAAGTCACCGCAGTTGGACATTAAAGGAACCTCAAAAAATTACTTGGTCTAGTCCTCAATATTGAACTAGCTGGAGGCGAAACATTCAAATTTCTATTGCTTTAATTTAATTGGAGTACTTAACCTGTATGGAATACAGATATTTGGCATTGCTTTAATTATGGTTTTTCATCGAAAGGTGGGTATATTAATCTTTATCTGTCTCCTAAATTAAGTCATTTGAAGTTACAATTATTTTAGCATATATATCAGCATATAAGCAAAGCTTGAGAAGAGGCAAAATTTTCTTTATTGTCCCAGAGCAATTTCAGCCTCATTAATTCGTCCTTTATCTGTGACCTGATTTCTCTTTCCTTTTCTTGGCGGCCTTTCCTTCTGTCATCAGAGCTCTATTATTACAATTCCCTGTCCCTCTACTAGAGCCCTCTTTTCACTTTCGAGGCAGTTAGAATAGTGTCCCCATCCCATTCTCATCCACCACACTCACACTGTTAAATTCAAAGCCAGCTAAACAGCTTTACACATCACGACACTCTCTAAACTCTAACTTGAAAATAGTATAACTGCAAGCTCACATATAATAAATTCAAATAAAATATTCTTTTCAATTCAGGAGATTTTTCTGTGTGTTTATGTTCACAAGTAAACCTCTGAAAGGGAAGAAAGAAATAATTTTAGGATCATTCTTTACAGAGCAGATTTCCTACCTTTGTGAAAAATGAAAATTACAACCCTGGTAAAAACATATGGATCAGCAAATGCTCTGGTCTAAATATTACTTTGGCGTTTATGGCACAAAATGCCTCCCTGTTCTGGCTTTCAGCTTTTTCCTATAATAGCACACAGAGAAGCAGTGCCAGCTTGAAGTGCCAAATAAGGTATCCCTCCTAAGGTCTGGTACTAATTGGACAATGCCTGCCCACTGGCCGTCAGTGTTGTGTTAGTATGAGTATCTTTATGCACATAAGTGAGAAATCAAAAAGCCAAGGTTTCTGGTTTTACAAATGTACCTTTCCAGGGTTCATTTTGACTAGTGGGCAATATTTCAGGTATGGGAAAAGTGCTATAACTAGACCAATCTCTAAGTTAGCAGATTTTTGAATTTAATAATTTAAAATACAGAATGAAGTCCAGGGACCAAAGGTTTAAATGAGGCAAATATGTCTAATTAAGGCAAGTTACATTATTTAGAAAGATATATGAGGCAGTCATAAATATTTTGCAGGTTAAAATAAAATTCAAGGCCATGCTAATTTTCCCCATCTCAAAATATAATTGCTAAAGTCCTCTAAATATTACCAAAAAATAGTGCATCAACAGGAGTAAGCTCTTTGTGACAAATTCAACAGCATCTGTGGAGAAATCCTTTCTGTGTCTCTGTCCCTCTGCTGCAATGCCTGATCCATTCATAACTGGCACTCAATCTCTCTGCTCTCAGCAGCACCAGGCTGCCATTACCAAGGACGCAGGGTTTTAACATACTCCACTTCAAAGATTTCTTCAGGGAGAAAAGGGGGATCGCTAAAGAGAGTGGAAAGAAGTAGGGAATGAAATCAGCAGTACCTTCTATTCTGCTCAGACCCCTTCAGTCAGACTTGGAACACTGTTAAGACCTATTGGCTGACAGAGGCCATGATTTCAAATGAGACGCAAATCAGAGGTCCCGACCTTGCACACCTGAAATGGATTCACAGCACTTTTTGACAGAGAAATGATCCTGGGATCTTGGCCAGAGTCCAGTATGGTGATTGCATTCATTTACTCATCTTTTCCCAGCAGTTTTTATTATTAATTGGAATTCTAATACATTGTGAGGTGACACATAGAAAAATTTGCCATGATGTTGCAAAAAGAGTATGTACATAAATTAAGAAGGAGAAAATTAATAATAATTGACATTATTTTATTCTCCATGTGTTCATCTTTTGATATTTATGATATATTTGTATTAAATTCTTGTAAGATACCTTTGTTGTAGCTAAGCAAGAGATTACCATTAGCTATACTTTACTAAGAAGGACACTAAATAATAGAAAGCAAGGATATTTACCCAAAGTTAAGCAGGTAATCTGTAAAAATAAAAAGAAACCAAGCATGTTCCAGTGGACTGAAAAAAAATGTGAGAGTGCCTCTGCTTTTGGTTATATGAAGGAAAGTAAATTATTTACCTAAATGTACTTTCTAGTATCCATTACACTTTAACTAGATTTTGCTTACACAAGAAATGAACAAATTCATTCTCTGCCTAAAAAATGAATGTCATTACCTCCATCCTGTTACACTTCTCAGAGGAAAACCAGTGCTCTCAGTGTGATTTGTTTCTTTTCAGAAAACATACATGTCTGCATCATCACATACGCACACCTATAAGAAAAATTGTTTGTGTGTAACTTTTTTGGTACTAATGACACCATACTTTATCTGGGCTCTGTGCATTTTTCTCACTTAAAAACATAATCTTAAAACTCTGCAACATCTTTGCACCTGTCACTTTGTATACATGGGTGAATGCTTCTCAGGCTAGTTACTGAGACACAAAATTGCTGAGTTAATTGATGTACATAAGTTAATTCTAAGATATCTCCAGAATTGTTTTTGGCTACATATCCATTCTGATTCTTATAGATCCCTATACCTACTGCATTTCTCCCTTTGTAGCAGTTGATGTGGAGTACCCTGCCCCACTAAGGCTACGGACCCACCCTTTAAGTCCTGGTTCAAACACCAGCTTCTAGTGAAACATTCCTATCTCACAACTATAATCAAACTTTCTCTCAGGTGAAACCATACAGTACTTTATCTGTACTCAGGCTGTGACACTAACTATGTAACTCATTGCATTATAATCATTTATATGCAGAGCTTATCTCCCTCTTATCCCCCACTAGGTTGTAAACTTTCTAAGGGCAGGATGCATGCCAACGTTTTTATATTTGAATCCCCACATCTTGTAGTTGTATGCCTTGCATAGGGTTATTCAAAAATCTCAATGAATTAACAAATTGATAAATAAATTGACGCATAATGTAACATTTCATATCAGGCCAGTGGCTACAAAATTCCAGGAAATATCAGTATCACTGTCTATTGTCAATTTCATGGAAGCTTGGTCTAACCTCTAGTTGTCATGTTTCAGTCTAATTACATATTTGCCTTGTTTATGCACCATTTTTTATTACTGATAATGGAAATGATCCTATATATTTTCATGGTAGTCCTTGTTATACCTAGAAACGAATCCTTGTAAACCATTTCTGAATTGTTTTTCTCCACCAGCACCATTCTCAGCTGCAGTGAGAGATAAACTTGTTTTAGATATTCTGAGCATGTGTTTCATTCTGCGTGGCTAATATGACATCACAACAACTCACATCTCTCCCCATAACCCAGTCAGCAAAAGTGATTTTCAAATCACTCAACAACAGCTGGATATCAAGATGAGACGTGTTTTAGTGGATGCAGAAAAACCTCTTTTCTTCCTCCCTCCTTTCTTTTCTCCCTCCCTCCCACTTTCTCTCTGTGTCCCTCTATCTATAAAGACTGGAATCAATTGAAACAAGTTTGAGTTTGGAATACATACAAATTTTAATATATCCACATTAAACCAAAGGCGTTATGGGTAACCCATATGATTTTTAAGGGGAAAATATTCCAGCATTCAAAAATTCATATATGTACCAAAATGAGTATGTGGAGTTGGTTAAAATTAGTTTTATGAAGAACAGCAGTCCGGCCTGCAGCATCTCCCATCTGCAGGCTCCACTGAAACTTCCATTTGAAGATTTTTAAAATAAACTTACAAAATAGTTTTCTCTAGAGTTTTCTATCTCCTTTTTATTATGAAACAGCCAGTATTTGTGTAAAGACCTGCATTGATTCTAATCTTTATCTTTAAAGAACTTTCTATAATTTAATTCCAATAATATGTTCTATATCTTAAGTTTATGGTACTATACCTGGTTTAGAATATGAATACATAATGGTGACTTACTCATGTGGTCTGATTTAGTCCTTCTAGATTGCATTCTGTTTTATGAATTTATAACAGTCCTTGAAACTTACTAAAATTAAATGCTTCTTCTATAATAGTGAATATCTTAATTATTGTGTTTTAAATTTTGCTTTCTTCCTCTCTCCTTTCCTCTCTCCCTGCCTCTCTCTCTCTCTCTGTCTCTGTGTCCCTCTACCTGTAAGCACTGGAATCAATAGAAACAAGTTTGAGTTTGGAATACATACAAATTTTAATATACTTTCATTACACTTAAGGTATTATGAGCAACTTGTATGATTTATGTTATCCTTATTTATAGCAACTTATATAATCCTTATTATACAAATAAAGATCAGCCTTAGATGTAACCCTCAAACGTATGTCCATTCATGGTTGGAACAAATACATTTCATTGTGTAGATCTTTACATGTTTTCATCAGGAATTTTAGAATTTTAATTAAGAGTAAGATTTAAATTCAATAACTAAAATAGCGATATTATTTCTGGTTTTCATGATGCTATTTTTAAAATATAAAACACATTTAAATTTATCTAGATTGTTATTTCTTTCCTGTTTATGCACCAAGCTCTTCAATTTACGTTTACTTTCCCAAAAAAATTTCAAAATATCTTTAATGATAATTTTGAAATAATAAGACCTTGTTATAAAAATGTTTGGTGTATGTATAATATGATAATTGGATCTTCAATTAGATTGATTAGTTCAAAATTAAAATTGTGTCCATTTTCTAAATCGTTACATTTAGAATGACAGCATTCTACAACAGTTCTTCCTTGGAATACGTTAAACACTAGACATACATAATTTACATAATGTGATAAGCCATATATAATACATTTATCTTTACTGTCTCAAAAAGAGAAAAAAGAACTTGGTCATTGCTTCTGGAGGCTGACTTTGTTCTTTGAAAGGTTTCTGGACATTCCTTGTGTAGTGCCTTAAAGGAGATAATCAGGGTCTTCAAATCAGGCTTTGAAGTATATTTCAGGAAACTCATCTTTCAAATGCTTGAATTGGAAATTTGATTGAACACTAAACTCAACATAGGTCTCCATTTAGCTTAGTAAAAAACGGCCTTTAAAACTATTCTTGCCTTCACAGCTGCCAGGAATATTTTTCAAAAATATTTATTGACTGTTTTATAAGGTTAATTGAAATGAAAGACTGGTATCTTTTTTTCTTGAAAAATAGTGGGCATTTGACCTCCACCTGTAAAATAAATAACAGATATCTTATGACTTCTTGATTTATTAGAGAGATGAAATTTTCTTCCTCTCCATTTTAAAAGATGCTTTTTTTTTTTTCTTTTCTGGAAGACTGAGTTTTGGTCTCTCTTACCTGCTTTGTGCCACTTTGCAAGACAATTCTTCTCTTTGCACTAATTGAGTACTGGACTTAGTGGTATCCTTTAGAAAGAAAGTGAATTCTTCTAATGGGGCCAGTGTCTACAATTAGCTTAAGACTGTTAGAGAAAGGAACTAAAACATATTTTTCACTGCAATAATGGTTACGCAGACTTTGAAAATTAAGTAGATTCTTCCCAAAACACTAAGCTACTTGGACTGACATGACAGAAGCAGACTGATCATTAAATTAAACAAAAGATGAGGTGGGCATCAACACAAGTGGTATTAGGGTA
This sequence comes from Homo sapiens, assembly GCF_000001405.40. NCBI lineage: Eukaryota > Metazoa > Chordata > Mammalia > Primates > Hominidae > Homo > Homo sapiens. The sequence goes on from NC_000002.12 coordinate 34,897,741, forward strand.
AATATTTGCGCATTGGGGTGGTTAAAGGAATGTCTTTGCCTTGGAATAGGTCACAGAATGAGGAGAAATTGACACAGTAGAGCATTCCTTCTCTTTTTTAAACTTTGATTTTAGGTTTACGGATCTATGTGCAGGTTTGTTATATAGGCCAATTCATGTTATGGGGGTTTGTTGTGCAGATTATTTCATCACCTGGGTACCAAGCCTAGTATCCAATAGGTATAGTTTCTAATCCTCTTCCACCCCCCACCCTTCACTTTCAAGTAGGTCCCAGAGTCTGTTTTTCCCCTCTCTGTGTCCGTGAATTCTCCTTATTTAGCTCTTTCATATAAGTGAGAACAGAGCATTCTTTCCATATCACGAATTAAAGCATCACATATTTTCTTTTCTCCTTTTAGTTTTTCATCCTGTCACTTTTTTCATCTACTGAGTGACTACTATGATATAGTTACTACACAAGATATTCTCCACATTCTTTCCTTCACATGCTTTATTTTGTTTCCCCCTTGTAATTCTTTTTCTTTCCCCTCATTCATTGTTCCCTGGTCCTGTGTCATCAAGCAGAGTCTATGCTGGCACCTCATGACAAATGCTGTATAGCAAGTTGTTTGGTCACAGGTAGTGACAAAACAAAATCTAAAGCACTAAATTGAAACAAAATTCTTGTTATAAAAAGGCAAGAACCCTGCAATTTTACTGAGTTATAACTCTATTTTATATAAGCAACTAACTGAGTATATTGAGCTACTTTTGTTAGTTTTTCCTTACTTTCCAGCTATATAATATCTTCTTACCCATGGGATAAAATGAAATACAATAGATAAAGGAAACAGGGAACAGAACTGTAACTTTTGAATTATTACCATTTGAAATTTTTTTCAGTTATACACTGACTTTTTAATTAAATATTTTATTTCGTGTTTAATGATTACATTGTGAATTTTTAGATCACTTAAATTGTGTGTTTTAATGAGTTCTAGTCTAATATAGTCAGTGAGGATATGGTTGTTGATATTATTCAGTATAGATAGCTCAAGTTTTGAAAGGATATTTCTACTCAAACTACTTATAACTATCTACATACAGGAGATGATGCTAGCATTTCTTTTGCAAACAACCAATATGATGTACTTTCCATTCGATATTGGGCTAAATATTTCAAAGTTTTGGGCATAACTTTTCACTTGGCTATGAATTTTTATGTTTTAGACCATAGGAGGTTGTCCACACTCTCTAATCCCTTCCATGAGAGGTTTGCAGACGGAAACGTGAGGGCTATTAAGCTAAATTATCCATTTTGTTTTTTAGTTTCTGGGTTTTAGGCATGCAGTATTGAAATGTGAGGAGAAGCTGCAACCCATTATTTTACTTTTGAGTAATCTAGAATGTGTCTTCTTTCCATACAGGAAAGAATGATTTCCCTGTTACAGCATTCCCTGAAGAAAAACAGAATGGGATGTTCTGACCCAGCTATGTATTTTTTAAAAATAACTGAGTTACTGAGTCACTGCACACTCTACCCTCTCTGCACAGTTCCAGACTGCTGCCACTCAGAAACCCAGGCCTCTGCACCACTCAAATGGAACACAAGCACTCAGCAATGGCAGGTTGTTGATCCCTAGCATTCTCTGATATTTTTCTGTTTATTTCTAACCAATCACTCTGGATGGTGCTGTGGAATCACCACTAATCAATGTCCATGAAATGCTAATATGAGAAGGTGATGTACAAACTGTTTTCATAAATTAACTTATTTAAAGATTGACACATGGTATAAAAAAGAAAGACACATAGAATTAAAAATGATGTAATATTAATTATACATACATTGATTATGTATATGCATATATGTGTATGTCTATATGTACCTATATACATATATATGTAAAAAATATGTAAAGACTTTCCTGCCTCCCCTCTTGCCTCTGCCTTCAGTCATTTTCCCCATTATAGCTATAGCAATCTTTCAAAAAACACAAATATCCTATCTCACACCTGTATAAACTAATGGATCCCCATGACTTTTAAAATATTGTGCATCTTCCTTATCAAGGATTACAAGATCCTTTGTTACATGGCTCCTTCACAGCTATCCATTCTGAGCAACTGCCACCCGCTTCTCACCCTACTCTGTGCACTCCTCAATTCATTTACTCCGAATGTCACGAATATCTTGATCCCTCTCAACCCTCAGCCTTTACGTGAGTCATTCTCTGAGTGAAGCATCATGTAACTTCTCTTCCTCCAATGTTTGCCCGGCTAAACAGATACATTCTCTTAAAAAAGAGTATATTTAAAGGTATACAATATGCTGTTATAAGATACATATGTATATAGTAAAATGGTTACTATTGTGGAGCAAATTAACATATCTATAATCTCTCATAGCTACCTATTTTTCCCTCCTGAAGCAAAGAGCAGTGGTTATCTACTTATTTAGCAAAAATCCTGAATCCAAAACACTACTATTAACTATAGTCTTCATATGGTATATTAGATCTTTAGACTTATTCATCCTATGTATCTGCCACTCTGTATTCTTTGACCATGGCATCCTTGACACATCAGCTTATATGGACAGCATTCCCTGATCGCTTTTATACACCCTCAGATGCACATGGAAGACATTGAATAGTGCTTCTCCCCTACATGTACTCTCATGATATTCTCTACTACCCCACCAATAGCTCTCATTGCTTCGTGTTATTATTTCCTGTTTACTCATCTGGATCTCTCACTAGGCTTTTATTATAATGAGGCAGGGAAAGTTTTGACCCCGCTCATCATTGCACATAATGGAAGCAGCATAATGCTATCACATAGCAGAGTAGAATCAATGTTTGCTAAACAAATAAGTAAATAAGTAAATGAGGTTATAGGTAGGGGTTATTTCTGAGTCATACACTATGTAATTATGAAGATTATTTTAAGAACTTCAACAAAATGGTGCTGTTTCCTCAGGCAGGATTTTCAAGAAAGAGAAGCTTACAAGTATAGGAGGATGAGACTACATCCCTAATTTATGATTCTAGGGGCAAAGTCCAATTATATGCTAACATCTTCATGTAATTTATATGGTAACTGTCCACCCCTCACTCCAATCCCAACCTTCCACTTTCTTACACCACAAGATACACTCTATTTAGGGCTTTATGTTCTAGATATTTTGTGAAAATTTGAGGCATTATTTTTATAATTGCAAAACTAGATAGTAAGCCATTATTAGTATTATCAATTAATGAAATCTACAAATAAGCCAACACTGAAGAACTTAATAATGAAAATGTTAATCTACAATTGCCACAAAAGCTGCCTGCAAAATTTTCTCCCTCAAATTTTGCTACCAATAACAACATTATGGGAGAAATAACATGGTGTTACAATAAGAAATGTTATAAAATGTCATAGCTCTATAGTTTAGACCGTGCTGGGTTGTAAAATGGTACAAGGAATTCTCAAAATTTTTTGCTGCTATAGACTGGGAGCTCTTTGTAAAATTGGTGCTGTTCTATGGATAGATAAGATCACAGTTTTCTTGTTGGTGTGATGTTTGTATGCTTCTATTTGACATAGATCACTTACATCTATAAATATAATGAATGAATTAGAAACAGAACCAAGAACCACATTTAATTTCCAGTTAGATTTGTTTATTAGAATTTTACAGTAATAAGACATTTTTCCTTCAGGATTAGAAATCTGTTATATTTACCTTTGAGATCTCATAGTGCCACGTATAATTTATTTCTACATAGAGTGTATCACTGTATGTTTGTTGAATTTGGTTGAAATCAAAATACCTATAGAGTGTGTAAAAGAATTAAATGTATTTTGGCAGAGATTTTCAGTGTTTAAACATATATTTACCACCAACATATTAAAAATTATGACCTATATGGTCTGTATGATCCAGTAATTAAAATATAGGAATGTGTTATCTAAAACAATGTACATATCTGGAGGATGCATAAACATAATTTAGTTGCTTCCACAAAGTAAAAAGGGCAAGTGTATTGTAGTAATTCAGAATATGGGTGTTGGATTCCAATGACCTGGGTTCTAATCCCAGCTCTGCCACTTAATAGGCAACTTTATTTTCAAAAGCATCAGCGAGTTCATCCAAAATAAGAGTAATACAAATGCCAACCCCGTAAGTATGTTCTAAATATAAATATCACAAATGCAAAGTATTTGGCACAGAGCTTGGCTCAGTAAGTACTAACAAAGATTTGCTGTTGTTAGATACACTTGCATTATCTCTTTCTTTCTCAACCTGTAGAAGGGAAGCTGTTGGTAAATAGGAAAAGCAATATAAAATTACTCTGCAGCATGTTATATAATTTTGAGTGAGCATGTGTCCTTATTTACAAATTAATAACAGAAAGTTTGAAGCCCCAGCAAGGAGATCTAGAATAAATCACTTAAATTTTATAAATTCGTACCTATAAATTGAGAAAAACAATAGCTACTTTGGTTAGCTTAAGTAATTGCCATCAAAAGGAATTTTAAAATATAAAACATTAAACAAATGAAATGGACACAAAACATGCTCTTGACTGTGACAGTTTGCACATAGTGACTTTCAATTTTAAATTGTTCACAGACATCACAGGATATTAAAAATATGGATGGCAAGAGCCAGATAAGTGGAAAATTAGTTCTGGAAATAATGTTTGTTCAGGTTGTTAGAGCAAGTCCATTTTTTTCCCTCAGGCAGATATTTTGAAGGTTGTGCTGGCTTCATTTTCTAAAGAGAAGGGAAAAGAACAGAAAGTTAATCATCTCTGTTCATGTGTCATGTACCTGAGAAGCTGCTCAATAAATATTAATTGATGAAGATGATATTGTAAGGACGATGTTTTGTGAAATTGATTCATAAAAGTCAGCCTTCGGCGACTCTACCAATGTGATTGGGTGTGTCCGGCATGTTTTATTTAACTCTTTTTGTAAGAAGATCATGTTAAATTAAACACGTTTGATTGGGATCCTGAGCCTAGGTATTTCTTTCCTTCCTTCCTTCCTTCCTTCCTTCCTTCCTTCCTTCCTTCCTTCCCCCATCCCACTTTATTTCTCTCTCTTTTCCTTTTTAACTTTTTTGTATCCCTACATTGCTTGTTTATATACTGTACACTTAAACCATCATTCTATCTGGTAGAGATAGCAACTAGATCAAGTTTGAAACATGTTTTCTCTTTAGATGTAGCCCTTGAAAATTTTTACTTGATAAACTTGGAAGATCAGAGGAGAGATAAGCTAATGTGTTTTTCTTCAATTGCCATTCACAGACACTCAAGGCTGAGATGGTCTTTCTGAGAAGCCCATTTTATGGAACGTTATGTGACTGTCACGACCTGCAGACATGAGCACTGGGCATAGTAAGCTGGGAATGGATCTGGCCCAGAGACTGGTCTGAAACTTTAGTTTAAAAAATAGCAATGAGAACACATGGACACAGGGAGAGGAACATCACACACTGGGGCCTGTCAGGGGGTGGAGGGCAAGGGGAGAGAGAGCATTAGGACAAATACTTAATGCGTGCGGGGCTTAAAAACTAGATGATGGGTTGATAGGTGCAGCAAACCACCATGGCACATGTGTACCCGGGTAACAAACCTGCACATTCTGCACATGTATCCCAGAACTTAAAGTAGTAAAAAAAAATAGCAGCCTGACTCCCTGGAACGTTATCTTAGTGCTATATATGCCTGAACCAGTACCTAGAATACGTTCCTGCCTTGTATTAATGCCTCATTATTTCACACGACTTTGGCTTACACACAAAGGAATATTTATCACATAAAACCATACCAGAATAGCCTTTTTTAAAAACTCTTTGTTTATCCAAGAGTTTTATTTTTCATGAAATGCAATTATTAATAATTAGAGAAGTCATAGAATTCCTGATTGTAATCTCAAAATATTTATCACTGAGTTGCAGCTTTGCCTTGAGCCCAATCTACGTGCAAAAAAGAGGGGCTTAGCTATGGACGAGAAAGCCAAGTACACAAATAACTAGAACACCTAACAAAATGTCTCAGACTATAGGAATAATCCATGTTATCTAGCAGACTAGAAGGAAATATTGTTTCTGACTTGGTGAGACTGCTGTATTTGTGTGTGTGTGTGTGTGTGTGTGTGTGTGTGTGTGTAATATCTATTTTATGATTTTCTTCATTCCCTCTATAGCCATTTGTCTTGATTAGATTTCTAATAATAGCCCTCTCTTCTAACATGGGAATTTTTTTGTATACATGTCTGAGAGCTGCCTATTTTTATTACCTTTTCCTGTACATACGAGGATCTCTGTCTCTGCCTCTCTCTTCTCACATCTTTGGAATCACAACAGTTTATCCGAAAAAGTCTTGAAATGTATCATTTGGAATCAGTTATTCTGGAGACATGCTGTACTGCCTCTTCAAAGCTTAGATTCAAGCTTTGAATGATTTCTGAATGGTATTCTCATTAAATAAATTAAAATATGTATTTTACTTTTCTTTGTCTCTCATCTTTACAGAGGCCACATCTCCCATTTTCTGTGGTTTTTAACTTTTTATTTATTTTCAGTTATTTTGTTAATTTTTTTTTTTTTTTTTTTGAGACGGAGTCTCACTCTGTCGCCCAGGCTGGAGTGCAGTGGCGCGATCTCGACTCACTGCAAGCTCTGCCTCCTGGGTTCACGCCATTCTCCTGCCTCAGCTTCTGGAGTAGCTGGGACTACAAGCGCCCGCCAGCACACCCAGCTAATTTTTTGTATTTTTAGTAGAGACAGGGTTTCACCGTGTTAGCCAGGATGGTTTGCTAATCGTTTCTTAGTCTCGTCCATTCTGGCATTTATTTGTTCAATTTTACTCAGTCTCCTCTTTTTTTTAATATCTCAAAGTGACCCTTATTTTTGTGCCATTTAATTTTTCTCTTCAATGGCATCTCCAAACAATGGCAGCTTTTTTTTTAATGTCCTTCCCCTGCCATGTCATTTTGTCTTTGTTTTCTTTGTGTGCCTGCTTTAAGCTCTTGTTGTCCAAAGACTATTACTCATATTTGAATGATTTACATTCTTCTGAGACAAGTTATTTTAGGCAGTTTATGTGAAGGAAGGGCTAGCATTCTGTTCTAGAAAAAATTAAAACCTGGAACAGAGTGTGTGTTGGGCGGGAGGGTGGGTGGGGAGGGTAAGACAGAGAGAGAAAAAAAAAACACGAGAATACAAGCGCTTTGGTTTGATTTTCTTTACTTCTAGACATTCCTTATTCTGACAGATAGCTGGCTGGTCACAACTTGTCCTTTCCTCCTCTCTGCTTTACCTTTGGATAAATCCTTCATTAATGCTGCTACTGTGGATTCTCTTATTTATTCCAGCAGCTCTAATCTGTAGTATCTAAAAGGATCCAGAGAAATACACTCAGCAGCGCATGTCTCTTGTTGCCATTATTCCTAACAACAGTGTTGGCTTCTTCTCTCAGGGTGAGGCACCTGCCTTGAGACTCTTTGGATTCTCCTAATCCTGTCTGCTGCACCTGTGGCAGCAGCCATGTTTGATATAAACTTTTCTTGGCCTGACAACCCTCCTCAAGTGTTGCATGTGGCGTTACAGTGTGTCCTAGTTAGATAGAAGAGTTTCCGTGTGTACTTCTTATCCTCCCTCTAATTTCAGAGATAAAAATAGAAAAACATATCCTTATTCTGCCACCTTAAAATGAAAAGTCTTGATAGTCTTTTTTTAAAAATTCTAGCTGTAATTTTATGACATTTATTTGGGATAAAATGGGAAATAGAGTTGTCAGTCTCTTTAGTCGAATCTTTACTGAGGACTATTCATATGTTTTGCATTGACCTGACAACACAAACACAATGAAATAAAAATGATACTAGCTGAGGTTTGAGTGTGCTTACAATATTGTCCTAAGCCTTTACACATATCAGCTCATTTAATCTTCATAATCACCCGATGAAGTAGATGTTATTTTGGGCTGGACTAACTTTAAATACTCAGAAAATAGTATATTGCAGCTTGCAATGTATAGTGTAGCAGAGTTTATGTCGTACTCAGCAAAGCAACTTTACCAGATTCATTATTCAATTTTTACCATTGCTAAATGTGTTTCCCAAGTCAGACAAAACAGTGAGGTCAATAACAGATATACATTTCCTTATCAATCGATTCTTAGAAATATGTCGTTAAACGATTATCACACTTGACAGTGGAAGGACTATGGAAGAGCTAATCCTTTTGAAATTGACAGGAGCTTGGAGATTGGGGCTGGACAGATCACGTAACAGGCTGCTAAGGGCAGGCTTTGCCTAGTCAGGAAAAGCTTGGATGCCCACCTCACTTAGTGTGATCTTTCATGAGAAAAAAAACCCAAATAACTGAAACAGAAGCCTACATCAGCAAATTTCTGTTCCAATATATATGGTAGCATCTCACTCTTTCCAGTTATTTTGTAGTGTTCTCAGTGTGATAATATTCTACTATGGAATGAGGAAAAAGCAATGAAGTAAAGAGGAGATGAAGGCTATTACCATGCATTTTTCTGAAATATTTTTAATTTATTTGCTGCACCCAAAGGAGGAGGCCTCCTCCTTTCTTAATTAGATGTCTGGTGATTATATATGTTTAATTTAGTTGAAACTTTCTGGTGGTCCAGAAAAGTATTGGAATTGGCTGTCTGTATAGGAAGTTAGCCCAGAAACCATTCTGTACTATTTCCTTTCTGCATTATTTTTAATATCAAGTTCATGTTGATTCATATGGTGCTTAGTACAGTAAGTCTTACATAGTGCAAAATCAATAAGTGTTTTTTGAATTAAATGTAAATTCTAGTATGGGTTAAACTATTGCCCTCTTTGTGGTATTCTGTCTGATCAGACTTCTTAATCAAGGTAAGTATCAGACTAACCACAATTATATGACAAAAGAAAAGAAAGTTCCTTAAGAAATGACCAGCAAATAGCTTCTTAGCATTCTTACTATATAACAGTCAAGATTGTAGCACTCAAGATTATATTATTTAGATTCAAACTGACCTGCTTTTAAATTCAAGAGCTACCTTTCCTTGTTGTGAAAATTTGGGTAAATTATTCATATTTTCATTTTCTTCATTTCTAAAGTGAAGCTAATATGTGTTTCCAAGACTTTATGAGGATTAACAGAGAAAAATTAATTGAAACACCTTTCATCAAGGCCACACATTTACTAAAGCAAAAGAGATGAATGCTGTCTCTAAGACTCTTGAAGTTCAAGAGTCTGGGCAGGCCAGGCTGAGAACAAAGTCCCTGAAATTCTGCTAATGCCCTTTTGCTTTTTATTGGGCTAAAAAGCACTTTTTATTGGGCCACTTTAAAATCTATTGTTGCATCTTAAGTCTCATATATGATGGCATCCTTATAGAATGACCTAACCTTTTCTGCAGTAAAAAAAGGTCATTACCCGTTCTCATACAACATCGGTAAGGCAAATCAACATGTGTTCTTATAACAACCAATATATTGAGTAGATCTTTATTACTGAGTGGGAAGATGGCGATAAAAAAATTAGACAAACAAATATAACATTTCTGCCACTTTTTAAAACCATTGATCTCAAGACAAAATATTCTCATAATCTCGGATATGATATGCAATGCATATGGTGTTCCTATCTTCTTTTGGACCATGTATTGCCTTCTCCTGAGCTCCTTCTAGAAGCTTCCATGCTCTTGTCACCAAGAAAGCTGATGAACATGTTTTCATCTCCATCATTTGAGAAAAGGATTTTTAATCCACCAAGTGCTAGAGCTCTGACCCATAACCAGATCTTGTTCTTTTTAAATCTCAATTTCCTACTTCTGCCATCAGAAATGGAGTCTGCTTCTCTAGCCCACCTTGTACAAGATTTCTTAAATGTAGGTTCATTGATAATTAGCTTAATTATTCTTAGAAAAATTTATTACGAATTATTTCGTATGTATTCCACATGTTTATCTTCTATTTTACAGCAAACTTTATATAATAAAAAAAGGAACATCTAGTCATGAGCACACAAAGATATATAATTCCTTTACTCATGAGAGTTCATGAGTTCATTGTAAACAGTTTCAGTCATTTCAGAGTATCATTTTCTTTCCTTTTTGTTTTGTTTTGTTTTTGCTTTTGGTAAAATTATTACCAGGTATTCTTAAGACAGTTTCCTAACCAACATCAAACTTGATATGTGATACATTCAATTAAGAGTAACTGTTGATTATTATTTATTGTTTAAGATAATATGGCATTGCGCATACAGATGGCGCTCTTTCAATCAAAATCTAAGATTTATAAGGCTTTCTTGTTGCCATACTAAGAATAAATAAAAAACACAAGTGGAAGGAAGGAACGAAGGAAGGAAGGAGGAAGGAAGGAAGGAAAAAAAAAAAGTCCCTGGAAAAGTCAGACAGAGATTCAAAGATTGCCACTAAGTGGCACTTTGATCTGGGGCAAGTTTGTTTGTTAACCATTTTGAGCCTCAATATTCTCAGCTCTATGTACCTGTATCTCAAGTATATGGTAGTAGCCAAATGAGTTAATTTATATAAGCACTTATTGCTGTGCTTAAGAAACATAAGGCAGGCCAGGCGCTGGGGCTCATGCCCGTAATCCCAGCACTTTGGGAAGCTGAGGTGGGTGTATCACTTGAGGTCAGGAGTTCGAGATCAGCCTGACCAACATAGTGAGACCCCGCTTCTACTAAAAATACAAAAATTAGCAGGACTTGGTAGTGCTCACCTGTAATCCCAGCTACTCAGGAGGCTGAGGCAGGAGAATCGCTTGAACTAGGAGGCGGAGGTTTCAGTGAGTCGACATTGTGTCACTTTACTCCAGCCTGAGTGACAGACTGAGATTCAATCTCAAAACAACAATAACAAAAAAAAAAAAAGAAAGAAAAGAAATTTAAGGCACAATGTCTATTATTTTTCTTTTGCTCCTCCCCCTATCCTATAGTCATGGACTTTGGCACTTGCAGAGTGAGAGAAAATAATATCTACTGAAACGTATGCTCCTTTTCATCCTGAGTCAAAATAACTCTTTTGGGATATTTTTTAAAAGGGAGACACCTAATGAGATAAGCCTAGTTTATAATTTCATCAAGACTATAGTGCCTAGTACAAATAAAAGCCTTCCTTATTCGATGATGTAGAATTGCATTCTCTTGAGGTGTATCACATATACAGATGAACAAAACTGAATGCCTAGGATCGGGGGAAGGAAAGAACTGTACCCCAATAATAGGATGAACAAATAATTAAGGATGTTTCAGGAAATGTAGAAAAATAATGATTACCAGTAACTTACATTTAATTCTATTGGTCTGATTATACCAAAGTGAATAACAAACCTTATACTTAACCTGTATATGTTCTTATGAAAGGGCTGCCAGAAAACACAAGCTGCCGTGGTCTGGATATTGGGAGTGGGATGTCTTACAATATCGTTTTGATAGCGTTCATCTGTCTAAGGGTTAAAGTGAAAGAAAAAGTGTAGCAAGGACGAGGAGATAAAGGGTCCTTGGCCACTGAAAACACAAGAAGATCATCACTGGTTTTAGCCACTTAGGCAGCCACAGAAAATGTTGATTTTAGAACAGAGTGTCATCCCTTTGACCTTAGGTATCTAATGCTTGGATTTGGGAAAGGAGGACTAATGAAGTTGTATTATCTTCAGTAGGTTCTGGAAACCCTGATGGCAGGCAATGACTTGGAAGGAAACAAATGTCATTAGGACAGTATGTAATGTTGGCTCCTTTCAATATTAAGCACCAGCAACTTCAGAAAAGGCAGGGCCAACAGCAGGAATGGTGACATCTTAAGCAGGTGTCAGTAACCCAGCATTGCATTTGGTGTTAGCAGGGGCAGAAGCATTATACAATTTTGAAGGAAGAAAAGTAAAAAAGCTGACTTTATGTAACAAGGGGATTTCATAGAGCATAGTGAGGTCATCTATGAAGACTTTCAGCACGACTTAGGAAGAATTTGAGTGCAAATGCTTTCTCATGACCTTCTAATGATGGGAGAACATTACAGTCTTTTCAAAAGCAAGAAGTGGAATAGAAGTAAAAATATAATAATTTATTATGCCATTTGATATTTCTTTTCATCCTTTTTTCTCACATCTACATCTCATCCCCAAAATAACTTAAGAAACAAAACAAAGCTTAAGTATATTGATTTGTAAACTAGCCGCATGATCTGCTTCTAGATTGCATGTAGATATTCATAAAAAGTAGACAGTTTTAACTGTGAGTCATAAATTAATTTGCTGAATGCATAAGATGAGAGAGACGAAAGTATTAGTAAAGGAGAGTTTTTAATTATTTTATTTTTACTTTTAGTCTTCCTCCTTTTTAAAAGATTCTAATAGTGAATTTTACTTGGAAAAAGTTAGTTAACCTAACGTTACTGGCCACGCTGCCAGAAGCTGACTTGTTTGGCAAATAGCAAGTATTCCATTTTAAATGTTCACCAAAGAGCACCACCAAGAGGGAGGAAGTAATTGCCTCTGCTTTTAAAACATGTTCTCAAATATATATTTTTAGCACAATGTCAATTTTTGTAAACTGGATTGTTTTTCTCCTCCTTTTGGAGAAACTGAAGTTCAGATTATCAGTTATTTTTAAGTTTCTTGAAAGCAAATGCCTAGAACTCTTTACAATAGAAAAAGCAGATGGTCCTCACACAAAGCAAGCTGAACTGATTTTGCTCCAACATTTTTGGGCTATAGTAACATACTTGAAATCGTGTTATTTATGATGTACTCCTTTTCTTCAGCCAAAATTTTGCCAGTGACTTTGAACACATTTATTAACATTTCACAGCACAGTATGTAATCTGTCTTTGCTTTTGATATTTTGTTCAAAACCAACAGAAGGTCTGCCTCAGAGAATAACAGACAATGATTTGGGAAAAAAAATAGGGCATAAAAAGTTCACTGTTTTCTTCCCTTTAAAAAAAATCTGTGCATTAGGGGAAAGAGCCCAGTGGATCATAGAATGCAACCTAGAAGATCATAGCAATGATATCTTATGGGAACCATCAAGGTTGTAGAAACCAGATGATGTTTCAGATACTGTACAAATCCCTAACAAACTCTGTGATATCATGTGGCATCTGAATCAGTTGAACCGATGGCTGGAGGTTTGGCTTCTTCCTCATTTGAACTTTGTTTTCCTATTAGCTGACATGCTGGTTAAGGGTGTAAAAACTCTAATTAAATCCTGGTTCTGACCTTAGTACTTGTAGGTCCTCAAACTCATAAAGCATCACTTTCCTTATCTTTACAATGGCAAGAAGGAAATAATAAATATTTCATAGGGCTGTTATAAGGTTTAAGTGAGTTAAATAGTGGAAAGTGCTTAGCACAGTTGTTTGCAGATATATAACTCTCAGTAAGTGTTAGTAATTGTAATAAAGCAGGAGCAGGAATCATAACACAAAGATATTCTGTTAATTGTGTGCATATTCCAACACCCATCACAGTCATTGTTATTGGAGGGTTTTCCCTTCTGCACAGAGGATAGGCAGCTTCTCCATCTATGAGACAATCTCACTTTCTAAGAAAGAAAATACAGGAGGAAAAAATTAAGACTTTGTGTTTTTGGTTCTGTGGCAAAGGAAAATGATTAACAATATTGACTTTGGCTATATTATGTTGGGAGTGCTCACATGTGAAAAGAAAGGGAGAGATACAAGGGTTTCTAAACTGAATGTTATAAATGAGCTTCATCACTGGAAAAAGAAAATTTCCATGGCAGCAGCAGATTAAAAGTGAACAATAATAATGAATGGTTGCATAGTTACATAAAAATTTTTTCAATGTATATATTGATTTTTTTCTATTATTTTATCTAATTCCCATAGATACTCTCCATTCTAGAGTTTTTTGTTTTGATTTGTTTTGTTTTGTTTTTTGTTTTGAGACAAGGTCTCACTCTGTTGTCCAGGCTGGAATGCAGTGCCATGATCATGACTCAGTGCAGCCTCGACCTCCTGGGCTCAAGTGCTGCTTGAGCCTCCTGAGGAGCTGGGACTACAGGCATGGATCACCATGCCTAGCTAACTTTATTTTTAAATGTTGGAGAGACAGAGTCTCACTTTGTTGTTCAGGCTTCTAGATATTATTATTATTATATTCATTAGATAAGAAAAAGTGTAGTTTAGAAAGGTTAGGTAAATTGCTTAACATCTCATAGCCGGGCCTACTGACTTGAAACTCCACACTAAACACACACACACACACACACACACACACACACACACACACACAGACACACGGACACATTAACATACATGAACATATATGCATATATATGCACAACACATTTATACACACACACATATTTGAGAGTGAATATGCTATCTGTACCACTGTGTTGAATATACCCAAATATATTCTGCCAAATATAAACACATAATTTGGGGCCATGTAAATTAAGATGTTAGTTGCAAAGATAAAGAATTCACATACACAAATTGTACTTGAAAATGAATTAGAAGTACAGTAGTACTGCCTTATGCATGGTTTCAATTTCAGTTTCAGTGGTTTCAGTTACCCATGGTGAACTGCTGTCCAAAAATAGTTGAGTACAACGCAACATGAATTTTGAGAGACGGGGAGAGATGACCTTACATAGCTATTATTATAGTTTGTTATAATTTTTCTATTATTAATTGTTGTTAATCTCTTAGTGGACCTAATTTATAAATTAACCTTCATCACAGATATGTATGTATAGGAAAAAACATTATATATATGTGTGTATATATATATGTGTGTGTATATATATATTTACATATATATACACATATATATATTCACATATATATGTACACATATCTATATAATTTAGCATTATCCTCAGTTTCAGGCATTCACTGGTGGTCTTGGAACATATACCCCACCGATCATGGAGGACTACTGTAATTGTCCTAGCTCCCTTTGTTCAAATGATTTTTAACATTTCTGATATGAGATTCAGGTGAGTAAAAATATATACAGCTTATATAGAAGCACATTACCTATTAGATTCATTTTATTTGTATCTTTTTTGAAGAATATAATCAATTTTAACAAATTGAATTCATTACTTACTCTGAATTGAATTAAAAATATTTCTTGCCTATCTTATGTGGAAGAGGTCACTGGGGTTTTCAGTCCTCTCAAACACAAGTTATGAATTCATTTCCATTCTTAGGTTGATTCTAGGTATAATGAAAGGCTTTGAACAGAATTCAGAAAACATCTTAAAAATTAAGATTTTAGCATTATTCTAAGCAAAAAATGAAGTCGAAAAGCAGGAAATGGAATTACAATTACTGAGCACTAATATGTTAGAGAGATTTTCACTTATATTGCCGCATTTAATCCTAGTAACATCACAACACTACAACTATTATCCCCATTTGAAAATGAGGAAATACATTTACAGATAAGGTATTGAGAACACCTTACCTAGTAAACGGCAAAACTAGTAAATGGCCTTCAATTGAATATTTTCCCAACTCCTGAGACCACGCTATTGTTACAAAATTACTAGTTTTCTTTCTAATTGAATTTGTCAACCCATAATCATTTTAATAAACTAAAAAGATGAAGGATTAACATTCTCATGTGGCCACTTCTCAATCCTTTCTGCGTTTTCCATTCTCTGTGAGTCCTCGGCTCTCTCTGAATTTCTGAGTGTGCTTTACTGTTAAATCTTACGAGAAAGTTAGGAAACAACCCACTGAAGTTGTTACCACTAATTTGCTTGATAACCTTGGAAAAGATTTTGTATTTCACTGAGCCTCAGTACATAGGCACATAAACTGAATATAATCCTGCCTAATGCAATTAATTAAGAGGAGAAAATAAGACTATATGTACAAAATGTATGCTACAAAATATTTTTATCATGTCTATTTATCCTGTTTTAGGGATTTAATTTGTTGTGAATTAGTGGAAAAGGTAAGTTTGAATTTTATTTTTCATTAGAGAACCAAGGAAAAATAAAGGAATAAACAATGACTAAACCATAAGAAAGACACAAACCAAAAAAAAAAAAAAAATAGAGACAAACTACTGGATTGCAATTATAAATTATACTGAAATAGTTCAGTAAAAATCTTGGCTAAACATCTTGACCCATGCTTCCTTTCTTCCTTTTCCTTTTCCTGTATCAGTCTTGTCTCTTAATGGATATTGTTCAAAGATACTTGGAGTTCTTTTTTTTTTTTTTTGAGATGGAGTCTCACTCTGTCGCCCAGGCTGGAGTGAAGTGGTGCGATCTCAGCTCACTGCAACTTCTGCCTCCCGGGTTCAAGTGATTCTCCTGCCTCAGCCTCCTCAGTAGCTGGGATTGCAGGCACACGCCACCTCGCCCAGCTAATTTTTATATTTTTAGTAGATATGGGGTTTCACCCTGTTGGTCAGGCTGGTGTCAAACTCCTGACCTCGTGATCCGCCCACCTCGGCCTCCCAAAGTGCTGGGTTATCAGGCCTGGGCCACCATGCCCGGCCATACCCAGAGCTCCTATCTGATGTAAATAAACTTATTACCATTGCAGTTCTGACAGAATATTTAGTTCACACCAAAACCTCCTTCTAGATTTGCTTTCAAAGTCAGGATTTTCAGGCTGTGCCTTGCCTGAAATTGCTACCAAGTAGGTCAGCACTTAAACTGGCTTTTTTGGGACCTGGTTTCTCCCTTCCTTCTCTCTCTCTTTGTCTCTCTCATCCCCAGGTAAAATGTACAGAATGTTTGCATTTCTCCAAAGGTTTAATCCCAATGTGATGGTATTAGAAAGGCAGGCTTTTGGAAAGTATAATTAGATCATCAGAGCAGAGACATCATGATGGGATTACTGCCCTTACAAGATGCACCTGAGAGCTGGCTAGCTCTCTGTCTGCCATGTAAAGGCACAGCAAGAAAATGGCTTTGTAAACTAGGAGAAGGCGCCTTGCCAATAACCCAATCCTGCTAACACATTGATCTTGGAATTCCAACCTCTAGCACTGTTAGAAGTAAATGTCGATAATTTAAGCCACAGAGTCTACGGTATTCAGTTACAGCAGCCTGAGCTAAGAAACCAGGTTATATGGTAAGTGCTGTTAATACTTGGCAAAAGTCACTAAAACCCAATTCATGCCTTCAAATACTTAGGAACATTTTGAAGAGACAAGAGTGTAAACAGACAATTTCAATATATTGTAATTGGAACTAGAGCAATTATTCCAGCCTGGTGTTCCGACTAGAGTTCCCACAGAGATAACAGCTTACACTTGAAGGATGAGTAGGTAATGAGCCAATCAATAAGGCATACAAAGGGCTTTCCAGGTAAGAGGAAAAGCAAAAATAAAAGCTCAGTCTGAGGAGCAGTATAGTTCCTGAGATCACATATGCCACACTTTGGCATATAGGATAAAGGTTATCTTTCTTTCTTCCTTTTACATTTTAAATTTTGATGCTGATTTTTAGCAGGTGTTTACATAATATAAAAGTAACCATTTTAAAGTGACCAATTCAGTGGCATTTAGTGCATTTGAGGTAGGGAAACTGGCAGGACTTGTTTCTGGTGATAACCCTGCTGACCAAAACAATATTTGACCCGGAAAGTATAAAGTGAAGAAACTGACAGGAACCAGCAGATGGTGACAAAAGTGATCTCTAGCTGCCCTCATTGCTCATTGACATAAGACACTCCCACCAACACCATGACAATTTATGAATGCCATGGCAACCACCCCAAAGTTACTGCCCCTTTTGTAGAAAGTTCTAAGTAATTCACACCTTAATTTGGATTGCTCAGCCCGTTAATCTGCATGTAACTGGAAGTGAGTTTACATGATATAAATGCAGTTGCCAAGAGCCTGCACATTGTTGACTCTGAGAGCACAGCCTATGAGTTAATCCTGCTCCTCAAGAAGCAATACTGTTTAATAAAAGATAGCCGCCTAACACCACCAGCTTACCCTTGAATTTTTTTCCTTGGCAAAGCCAAGAACCCTCTTGGGCTAAGCCCCAAATATGGGGCTCACAATCCCAGTAGAGTGAGCTTTAAAATTTCCTCTGTGTGGCAGTTGTGTTTATTTTAAAACTGTCTTGCATCACATTCATAATGTTGTGCAACTGTCACGTATATCTAATTCTAAAACATTTTCATCTCACTAAGAAAAAACTCTGTACCCACTAAGCAGTTGCTCCCCATTGCTCCTCCCCTTAACTCCTTAGCAACGATCTTGTTTTTTGTCTTTATGGATTTACCTAATCTAGACATTTCATAGAAATGGAATCACATAATATGTGAACTTTTGTGACTGATGTCTTTCACTTAACATGATTTCAGTGTTCATTCGTGTGACATTTCTCAGTACTTCATTTATTTTTATGGCTGAATAAACAAAACATCATGTATTTATATCACTTATAATATATAATTAAACATGATACAGGAAAGAATGTCAGCACTCAAACACTGGTTCCCTGAGATAATTCAGTCAGACAAAAATAAGGAAAAAACACTAAAGAAGATTGAGCAACTTCCAAGAAATATGGGTCTATGTAAAGAGATCAAATATACCACTCACTGGCATCCTCAAAAGACAAGGAGAGAAAGCAACAACTTGGAAAACATATTTGAGTATATCATCCATGAAAAATTTCCCAACCTTACTAGAGAAATTAACTTCAAATTTAGGAAATGCAGAGAACTACTGTGAGATAGTATATAAGACAGCCATCTTGAATACATATAGACATCAGATTCTTCAAGGTCGAAATGAAAGAAATAATGTTAAAGTCAGCAAGAGAGCAGGGAAAGTGACCTAAAAAGAAACTCCCATTAGGCAAACAACAGGCCTTTCATCAGAAACCTTACAAGCCAGAAGAGATTGGGATCCTATATTCAGCATTATTAAAGAAAAAAATTACAACCAGTAATTTCATATCCAGCCAAACTAAGCTTCATAAGCAAGTTTGAAAAATAAAATACTTTTGAATACTTATTATTCATAGCAAAGTCTGAAAAATAAAATACTTTTCAGACAAAAAAAGACTGAGGGAATTTGCACACAAACTAGAAAATCTAGAAGAAATGGGTAAATTTCTGGAAGCATGCAGCCTCTTATGGTTGAATCAGGAAAAAATTAAATGCCTAAGCAGACCAATTTTGAGTTCTCATATTGAATCTGTAATAAAAAGCCTACCTATCAGAAAAAGCCCAGGACCAGATGGATTCACAGCTGAATTCTACTTGATGTATAAAGAAGAGCTGGTACGATTCCTACTGAAACTATTATAAAGAATTGAGGAGGAGGGACTCCTTTCTAACTCATTCTGTGAGGCCAGCATCATTCTGCCACTGAAACCTGACAGAGACACAACAGAAGAACTTCAGGACAATATCCTTGATGAACTTAGATGAAAATATCCTGAAAAAATACTAGCAAACAAAATTCAGCAGCACATCAAAAAGCTAATCCACTGGCCGGTCACAGTGGCTCACACCTGTAATCTCAGCACTTTGGGAGGCAGAGGAGGGCAGATTCTGAGGTCAAGAGATCAAGACCATCCTGGACAACATGGTGAAACCCTGTCTCTACTACAAATTCAAAAATTAGCTGGGAGTGGTGGCAAGTGCCTTTAGTCCTAGCTACTCGGAAGGCTGAGGCAGGAGAATCGCTTGAACCTGAGAGGCAGAGGTTGCAGTGAGCCAAGATCATGCCACTGCACTCCAGTCTGGTGACAGAGTGAGACTTCATCTCAAAAAAAAAAAAAAAAAAAAAAAAGCTAAAAGCTAATCCACCATTATCAAGTAGATTTTATCCCTGGGATGCAAGGATGGTTTGATAAAATGCCAATTATCCTTAAGTGATCTTTAAATACAGTTCAATCTCCAATCAAAATTGGGTGAGCCTTTTAAAAAAAGAGATTGACAAGCTGATTCTGAAATTTACACAGTGAATCCAAAGGTGTAGAATAACACAATGAAAGAGAAAAACAATGCTGGAAAACTTGCCTTACATGATTACCAGCCTTACAATAAAGTTACAGTAATCTAAACAGTATATTGGCATAAGGATAGCAAATAGATCCATGAAACAAAAGGGTACCCAGAATTATACCTGCACTTACATGGTCAATTGTTTTTTTAAATAAATGATTTGAGATAATTTTAGATTCACATGCAGCTGTGAAAAATATCTTTGGTAACTTTCCCTCAGTTTCTCCCTCTGCTAGCATCTTGCATAGCTATGATATCATATTAAACCAGAAAATTGACCATGATACAATCAACTAAACTTATTCACCTTTTCACCATTTTATATGCCCTAATTTGTGGGTATTTGTATATTTAGTTCCAAGAAATTTTAGCGTATGTGCACATTTGTGTAACGGCTATCACAGTTAACATACAGAACAGTTACATCACAACAAAATTCCTCGTGCTATTTTTTAGAAGCCACTTTTCTACCTAACTACTGTTCCCGTCTTGAACCACTAGCTAACAAGTAATTATTTTTTGATCTCTAGAATTTTGTTATTTCAAGAATGTTGTATAAGACAAATAATGCAGTATAAACTATAATAACCTTTTATGGTTGGATTTTTTTTCACTAGGCACAATGCAGTTAAGATCCATTCAAATAGCTGCATGTATCAATAATTTGAATAAGATTTCCAAATATATTGGGCATTGATGGTTTCCAAATTACAAACCACAATCATACGTTTTCATTTCATAAGATTAAGGATTAAAATACTGCTGGATGAAGATTACATCAGGGGACTGTTATGTAAGAATGGTCAAGTAACATTATTTCTAATGACTTAATAATTGCTAAAGATTATTTTTTGGCGTATTCAAATTTTAAGTCATGGCACTGTAAGATTCAATAAACTAGGTGAAAGGTCTGAGAATTCTTCAGCAAATTTAGCAGAAGCTGCAATTGTTCTCAGGAAGAATAATATCCTTTGCATATTGGATCAATAGGCAGACTATAAGAATTGGTCTTGAGTAAATGCCTCTAGAACATGATCTAGGCTGAACTTTCATAGACATAGCGTTTTTTGTATTATATATTTTTTATGAATGATATGTTTCCTAATTTCCTCCAACACACAAATTGTTATTTTTAATAAGCTTTGATTTTTTAGTTTTAGGTTCATAGTAAAATTGAATGGAAGGGGCAGAGATTTTTTTTAAATTTTACTTTAAGTTCCAGGATACATGTGTGTACACCCCCTAATCCTTAAATGCATAACCTATCCCATTGTCAACATCTCCTACCAGAATGGTACATTTATTACCATAGCTGACACATCACTATCACTAAGAGACCATAGTTTGCACCATGGTTTACTCTCAGTGTTGTATATTTGGTAGGTTTAGACAAATTTATAGTGACCACAATTGTTGTATCAATCAGTCATTTAATTGCTCCCCAAATCCTTTACACTCTGCCTATTCATTCCTCCCTTCCCCCAATCTCTAGTAAGCACCGATCATTTTACTGTCTCCATTGTTTTGCCTTTTCCAGAATGTTATCTAGATGAAATCATTCATTATGTAGTTTTTTTCAGTTAGCAGTATGCATGTATATAGTTTCTTTCACTCAGTAATATGTATTTGAGTTCCCTCCATGTCTTTTTGTGGCTTGATTACGAATTTCTTTTTAGAGCTAAATAATATTCCATTATCTGGATGTACTGCAATTTATCCATTCAACTACTAAAGGACAGCTTGGTTGCTTCCAACTTTTGGCAATTATAAACAAAACTTCTATAAGTTTCCTTATGCAGGTTTTTGTATGGACATAAGTCCATGCATAGTTTTTCAACTCCTTCTGGTAAATATTGTAGAGTGCAGTTGCTGGGTCATATGGTAAGAATATGTTTAGTTTTGTAAGTAATCTTCAAACTGTCTCCCAAAGTGGCTGTACCAGTTTGCATTCCCAGTGGCAATGAATGATATTGCCTATTGGTTTTACATCCTCTCATCATTTGGTTTTGTCAGTGTTTTAAATTTTGGCCACTTTAACAGGTGTGCAGTGGTATCTTACTCTTGTTTTACTTTGCATTTTGCTGATGACAAGATACGGAGCGTCTTCCCATATGCTTATTTTATATATCTCTTTGGTGAGGTGTCTGTTAAGGTCTCACGTCCATTTTAAAATCAGTTTGTCTGTTTTCTGATTGCTGAGTTTTAAGAGTCATTTGTATGTTTTGGATAACAGTCTTTTATCAGATATGACTGTTGCAAATATTTTCTCCCATTATGTGGATTGTCTTTTCATGCTCTTGAAAATGTCTCTTGTAGTGCAGATATTTTTATTTTAATGAAGTCCAGCTTATTGTTTTCTTTATGAATCATGCCTTTGATATTGTATCTAGAAATTTACTGCCAAATACAAGCACTTGTTCATTGTACTATATAGGAAATTGACTAACTTTTGTATATTAATCTTGCATCTAACAACTTGGCTATAATTGTGTATAAGTTGAAAACATTTGTGTAGTTTATTTCAGATTTTCTACAAAGGTAATTATGTATTTTATTTCTTCCTTTCCAACCTATATCCATTTTATTTATTTTTATTTCCTTTTTTTCTATTATTACATTAGTTAAGGCTTCTAGTATGATATAAAAAAATGAGTGGTGAGAAGGGACAGCTTTGTCTTGTTTCTGATCTTAGTGGGAAAGCTTTGAGTTTCTCACCATTAAATCAATGTTTTTCATAATGTGGAAGACATAATTCATGTGATTTTGAGGTGGCATTGTGAAGTAATTGAAGGCAGTGTTGATTTCTGAGTTCCATGGAACAAAACACATATGGGTCTCATTAGTTCAGATAAGTTTTAAACTTATTGTCTACAACACTTGATCTTAGATATTTTCTATACTGTCTTTTAAAAAAATGTTTGTATAATTTTGAATATTCATAGGTTTGTCTTTATATAATTTTTTCCAATATGTGTCAAATAATGAACTGCTTTTAAAATACTAAAATTTTTCCTCAGAAACTTAGCCAATTCAATCAACAAATGTATAGAATCCATTTTAGAACTGTCCAAATATGTATAACTTGGAAAGATTGAAGTATCAGCTTGAAATAGACACAGAAGGAAACTTTATAATTTCAGAGTTCTAACTTAAAGCCTGAAAGAAATAAGATGTCCCTTGGTAAAGCCTTGAACCATTACTGTCTATCTATATAATAACTTTTCCCAAGGCAAATATTGACTATCTGTATACAATAAGAAACCAAAAAATGTCAATTGCATGTATTACTATGGAGAATTTTGTAGAAGAGACTAGGTGATATATCATATTTGCACTAGGCACTACAGAAAAGTGAGGAATATATATTTTAATTGCTTGCATTTTTTTTTAATTTTTTTTGAGACGGAGTCTCACTGTGTTGCCCAGGCTGGGGAGTGCAGTTGGGCGATCTCGGCTCACTGCATGCTCTGTCTCCCATGTTCATGCAATTCTCCTGCCTCAGCTTCTCGAGTAGCTGGGACTACAGGCGCCCGCCACCACACCTGGCTAATTTTTTTTTGTATTTTTAGTAGAGACGAGGTTTCACCATGTTAGCCAGGGTGGTCTTGATTTCCTGACCTTGTGATCCACCGGCCTTGGCCTCCCAAAGTGCTGGGATTATGCTTGCAAATCTTGAACAAACATATAACTTTATAATTTGGTTACTGGTAAAATAAGTATTATACACACAAGTACTAGGGATGATTATTTTCTTTTCTATTAAAATAGTCAGGATAGATCTGTGTACTCCTCAAGTTAAAACATGAGGAGAAAGATTATGCAACTTGTTACTTGAGAAAGTAACAAACTTGTTACTGACAAAGATTATATAATAACTAAAAATATCAACCTGAATGCTAACTTGTTTAACTTATATTTTTAACAATATTAATACATTCGTTTGTTCATAAATATTTTGTAAGATTATCTAATTCTCAGTTGCTGATCAAAGATTTTCTAATATTTACTTTAGGAAAACAAACATTAAAATATCAGCTATAAAATAATTAAAGGTATAACATATTCTGGGAACTCTGTTCACAGTCTTTCAGTTAAACATTTTTTGGCAGTTTTAGTTATACAGTAAATCTCTGTGTATAAATTTGATAATAAATTTGATAGGGTAGTTTCTTAAAAGATGAAGTACTCTGGAGATAATGGTCACAGCAGGACAGTTAAAGATTTATACATAAAGATAGAGTTGAAATTATTAGAAATTCATACTATTCAAGTGAGAGTAGAACAAGGGATCTGCCTTTTTAGAATAGTGAAATTTGTGATTGAAACAATGGCTACCATATCTACAAGAAAATGCCATTTTTGTTGAGTAATTTCTTGGAAGTTAAAGGGATAGGCAGTTATTGAATGCTAAATGTCTTCTTCAAGGCAGCATCATTGAGTAGGTTTGGGGGAATTGGCACATTTTTGTGCTAATATTGATACTAGCTGTCTCAATAAACTGTTTCATTACAGAGTCTGAAAGTAAACTTATCAATAGGCCTTTAGGTCTTAGACAATGTAGAAATTTTGGATTATTTTTCTATTGGGGATCAGTTATTTATTTGAGAGGCCATATGTTTGTCTTAAATGCCAGTTTTTTAGGTCCCTTTGGAAATATCCTTTTACATGATAGAGATATACCAGATCTATAATTTTCCATCCCAATTTAGTCTTCTGACCAAATTCTCATTTAGGTCTTAGATGACTTACAAAAAGAGAGGATAAGGAACAATTTTTATCAGTTGCGACCAATCCAATGTAAAATCTAAAAATATCTTGAAGTCAGTTACTAAAGTCTTCTGGGGATTCATCTATTCCATATTTAAAGTTTGTATTTTATCAAATGATCTTTTAAATAAAAAACTTTATATATATATATATGTGTATATATACAGAGAGAGATTATACATACATATTATACATATAATGTTTTATATTATATATATACACATAAATATATAGTTTTGCCATCTGTTTCTTGTTCTCTAATCTCTGTTGAGAATTACATAGTTGGAATTCTTACTTTCTTTTGTTTTCCACACAGTGGGAAACAAAAAAGACTTCCACCATCTTTGTCCACTGAGGGACTCACACTTAAAAGGATAAATGAATAAAAGTCTTAGAGCCCTGGAATACAGGGGTTGAATGTGATTTGAACTTCAGTGGTAAACTTCTTATCTATCCTCTTGTTTTCTTTGAACTTTTTCAACAGCTCTCCGAGGTATCATTTATGTATCATAAAATGTATCCATCATAATTGTATAATGTGATGACTTTTACTGAAAAGAATTGTACAACTGTGATCACAGTCAAGGCTATGAAATTCTGGTGACACCCAAAATTCCTTCATGAACCTTTACAGGCATACCCTATATCTACCATGAGACCCAAGTGACCACTGATGTTCTTTGTGTCTTTATATTGTTGCCTTTGCTACTAATACCATGTAAATGGAATGAAATAAAATGTAGAATTTTACATCTGGCTATTTTCACTTAGCATAACAAATTTGAGGTCCATCTGTGTTGCAGCATGTATCAATAGTTTGTTTCTTTTCATTGCTGAATAGTGTTGCGTTGTACGGATATTCCACGTTTTGTTTATCCTTTCACTTGATGAACATTTGAGTTGTTTCCAGATTTTGGCTAACAAAAATAAAACTTTTAGGAATGTTTGAATACAAGTATTTGTATGAACATCTGCTTTCATTTATTTGGGTAGAAATGATGGATTAGAATAGATTGTCTTGGGGTAGCTGAATGTTTAATTTATAATGAATAGTCAAAATTGTTTTTTTAATTGATTGTAATATTTTACACTAACTGGCAATGTATCAATAAGAGTTCTAATTTTTCCACATCCTTTCGTAACTTAGTTTTGTTGGATTTCTAGTTAAAATCTTTTGGCTGGCCAGGTTGCTCACGCCTGTAATCCCAGCACTTTGGGAGGCTGAGGTGAGTGGATCACCTGAGGTCAGGAGTTTGAGACCAGCCCGACCAACATGGTGAAACCCCTTCTCTACTAAAAATACAAAAATTAGCTGGGCACGGTCGTGGGCACCTGTAATCCAAGCTACTCAGGAGGCCAAGGCAGGAGAAATGCTTGAACCTGGGAGGCAGAGGTTGCAGTGAGCCGAGATCGCGCCATTGCACTCCAGCCTGGGCAACAAGAGCAAAACTCCATCTCAACAACAACCACAAAAATCTTTCTAGTAGGTATGGAATGGTCTTAAATTTTGATTTTAATTGCAAATTAATTGATCACATTTTGATGTATTTATTAATCTTTCCTATACATTGTTTGGTAAAATGCCTATTCAAAACTTTTGTCCATTTTAAAAATTAGGTCATTTCCTTATTATTTAGTTTTGAGAGTTTGTTTCATATTCAGATATAACTTCTTTATGAGATATGTGATTTACAAATTTCTCCTAAGAAGTGGTTTATATTATTGTTCACTTAATAGTGTTTTCAAGGAGCAGAGCATTTTAATTTTGAAAAAATCCCATTTATCACTTTTTAAATGGATTGTGTGTTTGGTAGTGTATCTAAGAACTTTTAGCCTAACCCAAGGCCATGAAAACTTTCTCCTAATTTTTCTCCCAGGACTTTTAGGATTTTCATTCTTACATTTAGATCTTTGATTTATTTTTAGTTACTTTGTATGCATGGTATGTAGGATGGACTAAGTTAAGCAAAGGAAAATAGATAACTAGGTTTGATTAAAATTAAAACCCTTTGCTCACCAAAATATGCTGTTAATAAAAGAATACATAAGCAAGAATACATAAGCCACAACTGGGAAACATATTTGCAAAATATCTCTCTAACAAAGAACCACTATTCACTATATACAAATTACTCCTATAACTCAATATTAAAATGACAAATAATCCAGTAAAAATGTGCAAAATATTTGAACACACACTTCACTTAAGAAGATGTATAAGTGATGAGCAAGATATGAGAAGTATCCAACTTCATTTAGTCATCAAGTAAATGCAAGTTAAAAACATAATGATACATATGCATAACAGAATGGCTAAAATGAATAATATTAACACCAACAAATGTTGGCAAGGATATAAAACAATAAGTCTCTTACTTACTCTCATGCCTTGCTGATGGCAGTGCAAAATGATAACATCTTGCAAAATGTTCTGGGAATTCTTTCATATTTTATACAAAAATTAAAAAGGCACAGGCACTAGTTTTATGACCCAGAAATTTTACCTAGGTGCTTACCCCCCAATTACAAACTATGTCATCAAAAATATTGTATAACAATATTCACAGCAGCTTTATTTTAATATCCAAAATAGAATGGTACAGATGTCCATCCATAGGTGAATTGTGTTGACACACTAATGCAATAGAATCCTACACAGCAATAAAAAGGAACAAACCACTGATACACAGAATACCATACATAAATCTCAAACATATTACGGTAAGTGTAAGAAGTTTTACCCTAAAGAGAATAATCATATGGAAATATGCAATAAATAGGCAATATAAAGTATGCCAGGCAACCAAGACAGTAATTTTTTCAGTGGGATTAGGATTTGGATTGACTGTTAAGAAGGTATGAGGAAACACTCTGAGAAGACGTCAATGCTCTGTGTGTTGATCGGGTTGGGATTCCACAGGATTTTGTATATATTTGTCAAAACTCAGTGAATGTACTCTTAAGATCTATGCGTTTCATTGTATGTAAATTTGACATGTAAAACAACAAAAATGTTAAGCAAATTTTCAATTCTATAGTTTATAAAATCCATGAGGAATTGTTTAGGTAGAAGTATACTGATGTCTGCCACTTATTTTGAAAGATTTCAGAAACATTACTTCAAATGCATTAAAATATTAGATTAAGAGATGCATTGAAGGATGGTCAAGTAGATACATGTGTGAAAAAGCAAGAACAGTAAAATTTTAATGGTTGAAACTAGGAGGTATGTGAATATTCACTCTAAATTTCAACTTTGCTTAATATTTGAAAAATTTTATGATAAGATATTGGGAAAAAATAAAGAGGTAAGTTTCAATATTTATGAGGTGTTTGTTTGTTACATGGGTGCATATCGTAACCAACATTACTGAATTGTAGTTTTAAGATGCTTGCATTTTACTTTTATATAAATTTTGTTTCAATGAAAAACAAGCCTTTAAATATTTGCTTTAATTTCTATTTGAACAAAGCATTTTAAATAAGAATACTATGTACTGAAGAACTAACTTAGGGAATTACTATAGTAAGATTTCCCTATGTTTGTATTTTCTATGTATATTTTTAAGTAGGAAAAATGTTAATATCATGATGCCAAAATGTGTAGAATATTGCACATTTACTAGATCCTTTCTTAAAGACTTAACATTTAGTCCATGATATTGAAATATTTAACAAAATAAACATTTATCTAGAATACAGGGCACAATGAGAAGTAAAATGAATAAAGGCTTGGATTTTTGGTATCAAGTAACTTACATTCTATTGGTTAGCTTAGAATGTAATGGTAAAGCTGATAGTCTTTGATATGTAGTTCCTGGTAAGAATAGTTCCAGGCACTTTAAGATTAATTTCAAGGTAACAATCCATGGGATGATGAAATACACTAACTTCACTGATTTTGTTTATGATGATCTACAAGGAATACATTTGTCTAGCAAAGAAATAAATTTTTAAATGTTCATATCATCTTGCTTAGAATTAATCCCATGAAAAATGCAAAACAAAGTTTGTTTCACTAGGGAGATCTGTATGACTTAATGTCATTCACAGATAACAGGTCTGTTCATAATAGTTGTTTTGAGAACTTCTCACTGTGATTTTTTAAATACTGCCTTTCTTCAAGGGAGTGCTATCAACCTGGGATTTCTGGTTGTGTGCTCTTACCTCTAAGGGCACATGAAACCGTCCTAGTATAAACACAACATTCTGTCTATATACTCAACTTCACTGCAAGCTGAATAATTTAACATACTCTATTTATTTTTAGAAAACAGAAATACATTATGGAATAGAAAGCAAATTTCCAGGAAGTTTTAAAATAAAATATGTGACTTCAAAGACACTTGTTTGTGCTGGGCTGCTTCAGACTCTGCCCTGGGTCTCCCTGAAGGCACACACAATCTGCTATGCTTTGGGGGACACGTTGATGGAAAAAGAGAAAATCTGCAACTGCAATACAATACCAAGAATGGAATTATGTGGAACTCTACTGGTATAGATTTCATCTTAGCAGGTACAGTTTGGTGAAAAAAGACACTTTTCTTCTCAGTCTCAGACTGTGCTTCTGTAGGGGCCCTTTGACGTTAAACTTAATGATTGTAGTTAAAACCATCCAGGGAAGTGTTTAACATCTAGTTCCAAATAACAGGCACAGAAATCTGTTAGAGATCATGAAATGTCATTGTGGCTCTGTCAAAGAATACATATAGCTCAGCAAGAGAATCTGAAATAATTTCAGGATGTACAGATAGAATAATTACTTCTGAAGGGAAGAGCTATGCAAAAAATATTTAAATAGGTTGGAAAGGTTTTACTCTCTAATCTTCAAAAGTATAATTCCTGAGATCATGTATTAGAATATCAAACTAAACTTGGTGACAGTTCTGAAGAACCAAGCTATTTCACCTGTTCCACCTTTATGTGAAATGTGTCCAGTTGAGGCAAGGGTGTACTAGCCAGTAAGGATAATTGAATGCATTTTTATCCAAACAGTTGTGTTTAAATTCAGAGAGTAAAATCTAAAGAAGTCAAAATGTAGTTTTTACCTTTGGGATATAACTCTGAGAGGAAAAATACCGGTAGTAGAAACAGATTCTTAAAGTTTCTAATATTTAAGGACTGGGTGATAAAAGCAGAGTTAAACAAAGAATCAAAGAATAAGCTACCCAGATGCCCAGAAGAGAGCAAGCATAATGAGGTATCATGGAAAACACATAAATGTTCCCAGAATTTAGGAAAAGAAATAAGAGAAGGTCATACATTCCAAGAACTAGAGAGGTGTTAAGGAGAAAGATGGCTGAGAAAGAACCACTGGATTCTGTAAACACAACCTACTACTGACTTGGGCAAGAAGAGGCTGTTGATTCACAAATCATTTGTTAATTCATCTCATATTCAGAACTTTGCTCTTCGGGTATTGGAATTATGCATAGAACTATCATTCCTAAATCATTAGTTTGTAAGAGCACTATTATTGTCCAAGAGCTTACTCTAAGCTCCATGCATAGAAAAAAGGTAAGAGAACAGATATATTCTGTTCTTTGTTTAATATTTTAATTCCTCATAATTGAATTTAAGCATGCATCACACAACAACAAATAATTTGGGGAAAGACAGTTCTAGATTTTTCTTTTTTAACCAACCGGCTGACACATCCAAGATATCATTAGAACCATAATATTTTACCTGTTCCACCAGTTATGAAATGTGTGCAGTTGAGGCAAGGGCGAACTGACAAGATAAGAAAATAATAATTAAATGCATTTTTGTCCAAACAGTTTGTATTTATATCCAGAATGTGGAAGCTATAAATCTAAAGAAGTCAAAAATGCAGTTTTTATCTTTGGGATATATATCCCAAACTCTGTCTATACCAGCAACTATAAAAATAAATAATGTATCAAAACATTGTAATCATTCTAATAAAAAAGATAAGCCTGGAGAAAATAGGTTTCCCTACAAGCCTTCTATACAACATAAGCCTTGTTATGCCTGTATTTAGTTACAACAATGGAATATAGTGAGGTCTAGAAATTTTTCTTCAAAATTGCTCTCGACTTCTTTGGAAACTAAAACAATTTCTCATTTTCTTAAGGCCTTGTGATCAATCTAGGCCCTGACAATGACACTACTATGTGTTATGATAGCTGAGGACCAACTGCTTTCTTATTCTGTGCTTTCATTCACAGTTCTAAGCAAACACCCTGGTATTCCTTCCTTTTTTCCTTTCCTTCTTTCCTCCCTCCCTCTGTTCCTTCCTCCCTCCCTCCTTCCCTCCTTCCTTCCTTCCTTCCTTATTATTCTTTTTTCTTCTTTCTCCCTCCTTCCCTTCCTCCCTTCTCTCGTCCTTATTTATCTCCTTTCTTTTTCTCTTTCATCCTTCCTTTCTTTAGTAAAGCTACTACATATTTAATAAATATTTAGAAAGTGCTAATTTCATTGTCAAAGGCCCATAAGGAAAAAAATAATAATGAAAACATTACAAAATTCACTAATAAAATTTTCCCAATTTTCTCAACCTCTATTCTGATTTAGCTGGGCTTTATGTGGGTTTTGTTGCAACGGACCAAAGGTAGGTGACAATTGATTTCTTGTATATTCCCTTGTATACCCACTTTAAGTTTAAATCCAGCCATTTAAAAATGAAATGTGTCATCATTTTTATATAATTCAAACTGCTTTTGTTAAACAGGGCTTACCACTCTGGATTAACATTTACTTCCTTTATTTTCACTATTCAATATTATTCAAATACTATACACATTTCTAGTTTCTCCTTACCTCTTCTATGTTTCTGCTCTTTTTCTTAAGGCATAGCCTTAGGAAAAAGAAATGTCTCCCCAATTTGAACACCTTAACTTTGTGTTTACTATCTGTTCCCAAGTAATTGAAAATAAGAAATAGAAATGCTACTTAAAAACAAACCAAACGAAAAAACCATGATTCCACTAGAGTAGTTACAGTCTTTCCCTGGAAGTCTCCATGCTGAATCAGAATGACCCCTACTTCAGAATGCTAAAGACGTAGAAGAGTCAGAAATGATATCTGCATAGAACAGAGATTTGAGTTTGATGCTCTTTCAGATATTTTTCTCACCTTAGGTTGTCTGATTTTATTTCTACACCTTTATGTCCCTTAACTCTTCTACATGAACTCGGTTATCTTTCTCAGAGTCTGAAACTCATTATTTCCTGAATATGTCTGTGCCTTTCTGCTTCCATGCATTTCCTGAAACTTGGCACTTCCCAAAACTTGGCACCTCTACCAGAAAAGCCTTTTGACGTCACTCTTCAATTGTCCATGCCCCTGCTATAATTGCAGGAATGTGAAGGAGGCTGTTACCCATAAGAAAAACCAAGCATTCTAGACTGCAAAAAATCAGCTTACTAACCTTAATAAACTGGATGGGATACCCTTATAAACTGGTGAGATCTAGAAACTTGTCTATCAAAATTGCTCTTCTTTGGAAACAAAAAACAAAAACAACAATCGAGATCAGCTTATTAACCTTAATAAACTGGGTGGGATACCCTTAATAAACTGCTATCGCATCCAGTTTATCAAAGTTAATAAGCCGATCTTGCACTCTAGGGCATTGTCCTCCCTGCTTGTCTTATTTAATTCTTTTTGCTGTGAAAGAGACAGCAATGAATTAATTCCTACGTTCAATGAAGAAAATGACTGCCTTCAAGCTTCGTTTCTTCCACAAATCCTTCAATGATGTGCCTGCCTTCCAAAAAATTGGCAGTAAATGCCAACCTTAGCTCTTTAGTAGCAGGATCATTGCATGAATAATGGGTGGGGGAGAAAAATAAGCATGTAGGGTGATATAAGACATGTGATTCTTCTTCATCACTGCCTCTCATCCAGTGGGCTACTGGCCCCAGTTACTGCCTCAGCAGTAGTGCACTTAATTCAGCATTCATATTATTTTTATTGAATATAAATAACTAATTCAGGCTCTCTGAATGGTAAATTGAACACGTCTATTAGTTCATACTCCTTTCATACTTTATTATAGTTAGCTTAATCACACACAAAATTTATTTCATAAATCGTCTTTTAATGAACCTTATCAAGACTTACACTGACCATCCATAACTTGCTTCAAATTTTTTATTTGTCTTATACTACCTCTTTCTTAAATATTCAATTAAATTGTAGGAAAGAATTTACTATATAAGATCCTTCCTCATACAAAATTACTCTTTCTTCAAATCCTTCCTTGCAAAAAAAAATATATTTTCTATTCATAACTTTATGTCTCTCTTCTGTTCATTGGTTCCCTCATATTTTGAACCTCCCTTTTAATAACTTCTGAATTAGACAAAAGTTTTTTTATTCCAATAAAGAATACATCTTCTTTGACACATTTTATATAAACCTAGGAAAGAAGTCCTGAACTTCCCACCAGACATTGGTATTCTATAGATGAGAACCATTTTGTAATTTTAAGATTTTTACTATACAAAAAGCTCACTGTTTACATGTATTCCATTCACATATATTTAATTTTTTTCAGTTTTACCTAGACCACCTACAAGAAGCAAGATAGTACGCAAACTAGTCACCATTTAAAGTCATTTTAACCATGTTAAAGCCCATGAACATCAGTGATTTACATAGGTGAAAATCTTAAAGTTAAATTTTAGAAGATACAACACTCTCTTCAAACTAATAAGTTTAGACTAGTCTTGTTCAATTTATGAGTGATAATTTAAAAGCCATTTGACAACCTGCTAGACACAATGTGCATCACAATATCTGCATATACACCTAAACAAATAAATCAAATAAAACCCCCTATAAATAACAACTGATTTCAAGTTATTTACAAAATTGAGATTCATCTACCTGTCCAAATCATGTTTGTCCCAGTAGGTATGGAAGACAGAGGCAGAGAAGGGGGTCCTATAACATCAAATAAGGAAGGAAGCAGGTGAACGGTATTGCTCAAAGGGAGATTCTGGAGTTCCTGAGCCACTGCAGAAGTCACCCAACAGTGGTGACACTGAACAAAAATATTCAAGTGGCCACTTGTCTTCCACTGTGGAAAGCCGTTTGTCATGTCAAGGGTCAGAGACCCCAGTAAACTTACTTGAGCAAGGCAACTCTCTGGGCTAGTGAAGATGGTTAACTCTAGAATTGATGGGGTGCTTTTTTGGTCTCTCACCAGGGACAATTAAGATATTCTCATCGTCAGTAGCCCTCTGGCTTACAGTAGTAGGCATACTGATTCTGGCCCATGGGCTGGCAAGTCAGGGCCTCTTCTGGGCATCTCACTGATTCCACAATACTTTCTCAAAATGGGTAGACCTGAGAGGGCAGGGGGCTTGAAGTATTGGCTAATATTTGCACCTTTTGGCTATTTGTTTTATCAACCCTTTTGCCCTGTCCCTATTGTTGCACACTTTAAATGCCATGTTAGGGTTGGCTTATAGGGGTTTGAGGTCCCACTGCTGCTTTTTGTAGCTTCCTTCTGATGTTAGATGCAGATTAGGTAATAAAATGTATACCCGGGAGAGCTTGCCCTTCTGGGGAGTCTGGGTCTGTTTAAGCACATTTCCTGAGTGCCTCAACTGAATGACTTTTCCCTGAGCTATTTCTCTAACCTTGTCATAATTGACTGGCTTAACCACATACTTTTTCCTCTTCTTTTTTCTCACAGCACAGAAGCAGATGACAATATTTGTAAGTCATGACAAGTTAAATCAAAGAACATAGATTAACAAACTCCTCCATAAATTTTTCTGGGTTCTCTGAAAACTGGCCAAATTATTTTCTTGTATAAAGCCAAATTAGACATAAAAATGGCACATGTACTCCAAGTGTTGCCCCATTTCCATCAGCTGCCTCCTACATTTAACATAGGTTTGACTTTAGGGGCTGATATGGGGCCTCATTCCTGGTGGTACTGGTTGAGCTTACTTTCTTGGGCAGTGAGGTCTATTATAGGCTGAGGCTATGGATAAGGGAGAAGGGATGCCTGATGATCTTGCAGTGGGATCCTTCATTAGAGATCTAGTTGGACTCCGCTACCCAGAATTAGAGGACTGAAGAGATTCTGGGGAGGGCGTAGGCCTTCTAAAGGGAGTAGCTAGGAGGAGATCCCTTAGGTGCAGCTTCCTAGTGCCCGGAAGCAACAGGAACCAGTAAAGGGCCATAAAAACCTGTACATAAGGGACTTCTTTTTATTTTCCATCTTTTTTTTACAGAATAAGTCCAATTGTGAAATATCATTACCACTTATAGAACCATGTTTAAGCCAAATCTGTTGGTTTCTAATAGAGATTAACCAATGTTGCAATATAAAGCAAGTATCTTTTTCTTTAAGCCAAATATGAATTTGCTCCAATAGCCTAAATGATACCCATCGTGATTCCCCTGTAATGCTTATCATTGTCCCCATGACTAACAAGGATTTTTACTGGACACAGAAGTTTCTCTAAGTCTAGAAAGAGGGAATACAAGTAGGCCCTTGCTATTTTTCCCTTTTCAGATTCTCACTTCCTGCAGAGAAGGTGTAAGTATAGATATCAAGGTGTTATGAAAGTGGATTATAAGCATCTGCTGGTGAAAGAAATACAACAAAAGAAGTATTTTTATTAAGCAATAAGGAAAAGTAAATAAAGTGATAGTAAGAAAAGAAAATGCTATTATAGAAGTGATAACTTTAGGGCAGAAAAAAAGAAAAGGCAAGACTAAGATTCCCCCAGGGTGGGCCTCCAACACACAATCCTAGAAGGAATGCCAATGCTGAAAACCCCAGAGCATCCAAGGGCTGGCCAACAATACCAAAAGCCAAAAACCTGGAGTACCCAAGCATCAGCCAAGCAGCATCCCCACACCAAATGCCAGAAACCCTGGAGAATCTGAGGACCAACCAAATGCCAAAATCCCTGGAGCATCAGGGAGGCATCCAACAGTGAACCCCAAAGGCCTGGTTGGAGCCACAGAACAACATGACTCTGGCCTCCATGAGTCCACACAATGGGGGACCTCTCACAATCAATTGTCCTGCCTTAAACAATTGCCCAGGGAGGTAAGGCTGGTTCAATATACGCAAATCAATAAATGTAATCCAGTGTATAAACAGAACCAAAGACAAAAACCACGATTATCTCAATAGATGCAGAAAAGGCCTTTGAAAAAATTCAACAACGCTTCATGCTAAAAACTCTCAATAAATTAGGTATTGATGGGACGTATCTCAAATTAATAACAGCTATCTATGACAAACCCACAGCCAATATCATACTGAATGGGCAAAAACTGGAAACATTCCCTTTGAAAACTGGCACAAGACAGGGATGCCCTCTCTCACCACTCCTATTCAACGTAGTGTTGGAAGTTCTGGTCAGGGCAATTAGGCAGGAGAAGGAAATAAAGGATATTCAATTAGGAAAAGAGGAAGTCAAATTGTCCCTGTTTGCAGATGACATGATTATATATCTAGAAAACCCCATTGTCTCAGCCCAAAATCTCCTTAAGCTGATAAGCAACTTCAGCAAAGTCTCAGGATACAAAATCAATGTACAAAAATCACAAGCATCCTTATACACCAATAACAGACAAACAGAGAACCAAATCATGAGTGAACTCCCATTCACAATTGCTTCAAAGAGAATAAAATACCTAGGAATCCAACTTACAAGGGATGTGAAGGACCTCTTCAAGGAGAACTACAAACCACTGCTCAGTGAAATAAAAGAGGATACAAACAAATGGAAGAACATTCCATGCTCATGGGTAGGAAGAATCAATATCGTGAAAATGGCCATACTGCCCAAGGTAACTTATAGATTCAATGCCATCCCCATCAAGCTACCAATGACTTTCTTCACAAATTGGAAAAAACTACTTTAAAGTTCATATGGAACCAAAAAAGAGCCCGCATCGCCAAGTCAATCCTAAGCCAAAACAACAAAGCTGGAGGCATCACGCTACGTGACTTCAAACTATACTACAAGGCTACAGTAACCAAAACAGCATGGTACTGGTACCAAAACAGAGATATAGATCAATGGAACAGAACAGAGCCCTCAGAAATAACACCGCATATCTACAACTATCTGATCTTTGACAAACCTGAGAAAAACAATCAATGGGGAAAGGATTCCCTATTTAATAAATGGTGCTGGGAAAATTGGCTAGCCATATGTAGAAAGCTGAAACTGGATCCCTTCCTTACACCTTATACAAAAATTAATTCAAGATGGATTAAAGACTTAAACATTAGACCTAAAACCATAAAAACCCTAGAAGAAAACCTAGGCATTACCATTCAGGACATAGGCATGGGCAAGGACTTCACGTCTAAAACACCAAAAGCAATGGCAACAGAAGCCAAAATTGACAAATGGGATCTAATTAAACCAAAGAGCTTCTGCACAGCAAAAGAAACTACCATCAGAGTGAACAGTGAACAGGCAACCTACAAAATGGCAGAAAACTTTTGCAACCTACTCATCTGACAAAGGGTTAATATCCAGAATCTACAATGAACTCAAACACATTTGCAGGAAAAAAACAACCCCATCCAAAAGTGGGCAAAGGACATGAACAGACACTTCTCAAAAGAAGACATTTATGCAGCCAAAAAACACATGAAAAAATGCTCACCATCACTGGCCATCAGAGAAATGCAAATCAAAACCACAATGAGATACCATCTCACACCAGTTAGAATGGTGATCATTAAAAAGTCAGGAAACAACAG
This sequence comes from Homo sapiens, assembly GCF_000001405.40. Lineage (NCBI taxonomy): Eukaryota > Metazoa > Chordata > Mammalia > Primates > Hominidae > Homo > Homo sapiens. Next base: position 34,935,217 of record NC_000002.12, read on the forward strand.
GTGCTGGAGAGGATGTGGAGAAATAGGAACACTTTTACACTGTTGGTGGGACTGTAAACTAGTTCAACCATTGTGGAAGTCAGTGTGGCGATTCCTCAGGGATCTAGAACTAGAAATATCATTTGACCCAGCCCTCCCATTACTGGGTATATACCCAAAGGAATATAAATCATGTTGCTATAAAGACACATGCACACGTATGTTTATTGCGGCACTATTCACAATAGCAAAGACTTGGAACCAACCCAAATGTCCAACAATGATAGACTGGATTAAGAAAATGTGGCACACATACACCATGGAATACTATGCAGCCATAAAAAGGATGAGTTCGTGTCCTTTGTAGGGACATGGATGAAATTGGAAATCATCATTCTCAGTAAACTATCACAAGGACAAAAAACCAAACACCGCATGTTCTCACTCATAGGTGGGAATTGAACAATGAGAACACATGGACACAGGAAGGGGAACATCTCACTCTGGGGACCATTGTGGGGTGGGGGAAGGGGGGAGGGATAGCATTAGGAGATATAGCTAACGCTAAATGACGAGTTAATGGATGCAGCACACCAGCATGGCACATGTATACTTATGTAACTAACATGCACATTGTGCACATGTGCCCTAAAACTTAAAGTATAATCATAATAAAATGAAAACAAAACAAAACAAACACACACACACAAAAAAACAATTGCCCAGGGAGTCAAAGAAAAAAAAAGACTTCACACAAAACATTCACTTTTTTAAACAGAAAAATAACATGATTGGCAGAGGAATAAAGTGGAATCGAAGGAGAAAGGACTGGGGGAAGGGGTGACAAGAACACGTTTTGGGGCACTCAAATGACCATGGACTTTTAACTACCACTTAGCCAAAGACTTTTATTCCCTAGCTTAACTAATGTTGGTTGGTGAGTTGGTGGTGGAGGGGAGGGGGCGTTGGGGGATGGCGGTCAGAGAGGACTAGACGAGCCCAAATGGCGTTGACTGATCTTCCATGTGGGACCCAGGTGAAGGTCTCTCCGGGTTTCCTCGGCTTGGGTGGGCTTGGCTGCCATGCCAGAGGCAGCACAGGGATAGGTGACTTGCTGGCCTCCTGGTAGGAGTAGCTGGTTTCACATGAGGCGTCACCATGGCCACTTGCCAATTCCCTCAGCTCTGCTGCCCACTGTGAAGGATGATGGCTCTTAAAAGAGCCTTTGGCTAGTGGGACAGCTCTGTAGTGTTAACAGCTCTTGATTGATACAGACTCAGGGTTAGAGCTCTGCAGCTTTTGACCAATGTCTTGCTGTCTCTTGTCAATCTCTGCCTCTTGCTGTCTCATCCTCCCAGTGTCTCAAGCTTCTTGCTCTCACCATCCTGCTGCCTCTGTCTCTCTTCAATTACCGACTCTCCACTGATCACTGACTACCACCATTGCCACTATCTCACAACCTATGGCTAGTGACTACCATAATGGACAGTGCAAGACAAGACTTTTCTAAAGACATTCAACAAGAGAATTGAACTGAGCAGAAGGTTGCTTTTTGACCTTGGGGTTAGTATCTCACGAGTTAATTATATAATTTGGATATTTAATTGTCTCAGGCTAAGATAATGAGGCATATGTTATGTTCACAGAAAGCATATGCCTTGTCTGGGAATAGCACAGGTTAAGTGCTTAGATCAGGAATGTCTCTTTATATTAAGTAGTGCCTAGTTGGATACACTCCATGTTTACCTCATTCTTTTTTGTTTTCTAAGTCTAATAGTTAATACATTCTTTCTTTAAATATGTTAATCTCTTCAATCAAATTAGAGTCATGTCCTACTTAGGGAAAGTTTTCCACCTTATAGTAACTTGTCTTTCCTTTCTGTATTCCACCATTTTTAGCCTTGAAGAAGAAACTCCTTTTCTCTTACTAACATGGTTTCAGAAAACATTTTATCACAGCTCACAAGTACGGGAAACTGGAATCCATATTCCATGCATATGATTGGCATCTCCTCGTATAAACTCCTATAGACATGAAGCTAGCAGGTTAGCAGGTTGAAAATATGTAGCTAGCAGGTTAGCAAGGTTAGCAAGCTGAAAATATGTAACCTCACAATTCTTATATTTGAAAATATAAATTATATTTTAAATTTGCCAAAATACTCAAAAGTATAACATTTCTGACATGTCAATTACTTTTCATTGTTTTTAGTAAAAAATTAGTTTTTGGTTGTTTCAAATATATTTTATTTATAAACTGTATAAAATAATAATCATTATTTTATACAAGTGTTTCAAAAATGCAATGAGATAATATGCAAAATATATACATTATAAAACTATTTATAAATGACCATATTTAATATCACTAAATATTTATCTTATTTTTGTAACAAGTATGTAAAATTGCAAAGTAAGGAACATACCATTGGTACATGTCAGCACACATTTATAGGTCAGGAATAAATGCACTTTAAATGACAGGAATGGACAAGAAGCACCTTTTTAAAATAGCAAACACTTATAGAAATAAATATGTAAAACTGTAAATACAAATACCATTTTTCCATTATACCTCATTTCTCAATTTCTCATCAGTTATTTTCCTGGCAAGTTATCTCAGCAAAACATATTTTTTACATTATATTTGACAAATAATAGAAGCTTTGCATTGATAAGATTACTGGTTAGTGAAGCTGGCTCCAGGAGCTTTTCTGCTGCAAAGTGGGACATATTGTTTTGTTTATCATGTGCAAAAGAAGAGATCAGACAAAATTATCCTGAAGAATCTTCCTGGACTCTAACATACAGAAATATACATATGACAGGGCTCAAATGTCTCCTGTCCTTGACAGTCACTCTGCCTACCTCTTTGAAACTTAATGAAGATTTTCTAGAACCACTAGGAGAATTGCCAAGTTTCTTGGAAGAATATAAGCTTATCCATAATTTTTCTTTTTCTTTTCTTTTTTTATTATTATTATTTTTTTTCGAGACGGAGTCTTGCTCTGTCGCCAGGCTGGAGCGCAGTGGTGTGATCTCGGCTCACTGCAACCTCCGCCTCCCAGGTTCAAACAATTCTCCTGCCTCAGCTGCCCGAGTAGCTGGGATTACAGGCACACACCACCATGCCCAGCTAATTTTTGTATTTTTAGTAGAGACGGGGTTTCACCATGTTGACCAGGATGGTCTTGATCTCTTGACCTCATGATCTGCCCACCTCGGCCTCCCAAAGTGCTGGGATTACAGGCGTGAGCCACCACACCCAGCCCTATAATTTTTCTTGGAAGAATATAAGCATATCCATGAATCTGGGGCTTCCAAGGCCCCAGAAAATCAGATATCCTGGGTTTGAGTTCGGCTTCTACTATTGCATATAAGACCTTGGGCAAATCACATAATAGCCTTTACCTTCAAAGTCCTCTTATATAAAATAAAGACAGCTTTTACCCTGCCTCTCTCACATGCTTGTTGAGATGTATGGGTGTATGAGTGTTTATATCCATGTGTGCATGTATATGTGTATGTGTATGTATATATACCTAAAAATGCCAAACAATAATAAAATGAAAAGTATTCGTATATTTTATTCAAGTCGAGAAGCATTTCCTCATTTTTACTATCAGCTCTAAGTCAGGTGTGATACTGAGAACTTTACTTCCATTGCCTCTGTTTATCTCTATGAGGTACAGTTACTATTCTTCTTTTCCAGATGAAGAAATTGAGAATTCAAAGTGTTAATTAATTACCTAAAATAAGACTAATGGTAAATGGCATAGCAGGGATTTAAAAATGGGAGTCTAGCCTAACCTCAAAGCCTGTCTAAAGTAATTCTGGAACAATCACAGTAGTTTAGGGTTAGGGCTTGTAATAAGCAATGATAAAAATATACTCTCCATTACTTAGAATTCTGTGACCCTATTTATTCTAGGTGTCCCCCAATATCTCTGACTTCCTATTTCTTTTTTTCTTTTTTCTTTCTTTTTTTTTTTTTTTGAGATGGAGTGTCGTTCTTGTTGCCCAGGCTGGAGGGCAATGGCGCGATCTCGGCTAACCACAACCTCCGCCTCCCAGGTTCAAGCGAATCACCTGCCTCAGCCTCCCGAGTAGCTGGGATTACAGGCATGTGCCACTATGCCCGGCTAATTTTTTGTATTTTAGTAGAGACGGGGTTTCTCCATGTTGGTCATGCTGGTCTTGAATTCCCGACCTCAAGTGATCCGCCCGCCTCAGCCTCCCAAAGTGCTGGGATTACAGGCGTGAGCCACTGCGCCCGGACCTGACTGCCTATTTCATCTGTGAATTTCTAAGCTTCTGTTATCTCACCTGTTAAATTATTTAATGAGATTCAAATCCTACCCAGGTTCCCTGCAGATGTAAACATCTATTTTTGATTTCTATTGGTTGGTTTAGGTCTTTATATTACTCCCCTACAGCAGTGAGTATTTCCTGAATTTGAGGTATTCTTTTGCATCCTTCTTATCTCTCTATCTTTCTTTCTCTACCTCCTCCCTCCAATTTTATTCCAATCTAACATCTCATCTCTATCCTCTACAGTAACAATATCTAAGTCTGTGTGTTCCATTATCCTAAAACAATGCTCTATTGCCTTGCCTTTTAAAACAGCTAATTGTTGTTCTATAAACATTTCTTCAGTTAATGCCCCCACTTCTGAATTATATTACACAAACATTTCGTTCTTCCTTTCCTTCCTTCCACTGCACTTGAAACTGCTCTTTCACAGTCAGCAATGGCCTGTAAAATGCTTTTCTCTTCTTATTTAGTTTACATACTTTTTCGGTGGGAATTAGCACTGTTGGCCACCCTTTCTCTACTCTTTGATTTCCAAAATCTCCTAAGATTCTTACAATTTTCAATAATCTTTATTGAGTTATTAGCTCCTACTTGCTCATTCAAAGAAATAAAGGAGAATGGCAAGCAGGGAGAAATCCACGGTTCTATCTTGTCCCTTGAGGGAATCAGCAAAGACCACTTACATGAGAATGACCATAGGCTATTGTCTTAGTCCATTTTGTGTTGCTATAACAGGGTACCTAAAACTGGATAATTTATAAAGAAATTCATTTCTTACAGTTCTGAGGCTAGGAAATCTAAGGTCAAAGGACTGCATCTGGAGATGGCCTTCTTGCTAGTTGGGACTCTCTGCAGAGTCCTGAGGTGGTGCAGGGCATCGCATGGCAAGAGGGCTTATTACAGATAGTCAAGCTGGCTTTTATAAAATAACCGCTCTCATGATAGCTATCCCATTCCCTTGAAAGTCCCTTAATTCATTAATCTATTAGCCCATGAATAGATTAATACATACATGAGGGCAGAGCCATTACGACCCAATGACCTCCCAAAGGTAACAATGCTGCATTGAGCACCAAATTTCCAACACATGAACTTTTGGGAGACACATTCAAACCACAGCACCTACTTATTTAGGTTTTGCGATAGCAAGAAAATCAGCCACCATCGCTTGCATTTGGCAGATATTCAAAGGCAAACAAGGAAGTTGGAATGCTTTAGAGCAGAAGGCAAAAAAGGGAATGCTTTAGGTATACCTTGGAGGTTGTTGTTATGTGAAAGCTAGAGCTGAGATGATAACCAGCATTCTATGTGATTGGTTTAGGAAGCATATTTGCTTACCCTAGATGATCCTGAGTTGGAAGCAGGGATGGAGGGGATAAAAATTAGGATAGCTAACATGCATTGCCCAAGTTCTGATCATTTGGGGATACTTGCTGTAGAAGCTGTGGTTTGCCTTCTCAAAGTGGTTACTCCTGGACTGTGATTAGAATTCTACTTTTATATACGGCATAGACATTGTTTGCTTCTCTCTCACCATAAATTCCCTATAGAGGCTGCTTTTAGAGAAATTAGCCCTTGCTTCTGACTGTGCTTTTTGTTATTTTTGTTGATTTGTTTCTTTGTTTTTGCCATAGATCATATATAGGCCATAGCCAAAGAGTGAGGACTGAACAGATATTCTCTCTTTCTAACCTGCTTCAACTATAGACATGCTAATGGAACAGTGTGTTCATTATAATTCATACAGTAACTGGGCAATCACATGAGGATAGAGCTTCTTAAATATATGGTAGGGCCATTTTGTTTCCAAAATGGATTTAAAGGTAGATGCCCAACTGGAAATAATGAGCATTTAATTTTTCTCCTGATTTACACAGACCAGAAGACACCTTAAAAATTGGATAGACTACTTTTTATCCATCTTCACTCCTTTTTCTTCCAAATAATTTCATTTTTTCTTCTGTCCTTTAATTCTTCTTCACAGAGAGTGATGCATTTCCTTTCTAAAATCTGTATGGTGTCATCTGAACCAGGTATACCACAGTAATTTGAATCAAGAAGCAGATAAATCATGTGTGATTGATAATAGAGTTATACACTGAGAAAAGAAAATGAATTACAATAAAGAATAATCAGCCCTGTTGAGCTAGAAGGCAGGTAAAATGGGGCTTAATGTCGTATAAATATGAAGCTCTAAGATTTTAGACTTTTATGCAGTACTACCATAAATCATGGCACAAAACATTTCTGTATTTCACAGATCATGCACACACATTTCTTTCTATCATTTGGCAGACACATTTCAAGATTCATTAGCCTAGCTTCTGTTGTGCTTCTTTGAGTAAAATGTGTCCTGTTCCTATATACATCCAAGGAGAGGGCAAAAATATTTCAACAGACCACATATAAGAGCCCTAAAAAACTGAATCTTCCTCCTTTCCCAGAGCAAACTACAAAATTTTCTTTCGATGCTACTCAACCTTATAATGAGACAGTGACACAAAGTTATTTTTATTTATTAATGTTATAATTTTCATGTAAAATTCAATGAATTTTGTCCATAATACTATTACATTTCTATCATATGAAAAATTTCCTCATGCACGTCACCCACCGGTCCATCTAACCTAATCTTAACCCCTTGTCAGAAGCTTATCACTATTCTGATTTCGATTTCCATATATTAGTTTTCTCTGTTCTTGAACTTCATGTAAATTATGTACACTTCATACGGGGTGTATTATTGTGTTTGTGGCCAGTAGTTCTTTCCTTATCATTGCAGTATAGGATTCCATTGTGTTTATATACCACAATTTGTTTATTATCCTATGGATGGAAATTTGAGTTGTTTCTTTCCCATTGAAAAAATAACACTGCTCTAGAGATTCCTTTAGGTATTGTGTGTATATATGCCCTCATGTCTCTTGGACATTGTGGAATTGCTAAGTTATGTCTGCTTAACACTGTAAGAAACTGACAAAGAGTTTTCCAAAATGGCTGTACCATTTTACATTCCACCCAGCAGTATATGATAATTTCTACGCCTCCATATCCTCACTAACTCTGGGTATTGTCAAACTATTACATTATAACCATTTTGATAGATGTAAAATGGTATCTAGTTGTGGCTTTTCACTTTCATTTTCCTGTTGATTAATGATGTCAAGCACCTTTTGCATGTCTTTAGCAATCACTCATATGATCCCTGAAGTGTATATTCATGTCTTCTGCCCATTTTACTGTGTTGTTAGTCTTGTTTGTCTTTTTATTATTAATTTGTTGGTGTACTTTATATATTCTGGAAACAAATCTTTTGGGCTTCAAATTATTCTTGACGTGTGTCTCCACTGGATCTCTACATACTATTAAACATTTTGTTGAAAATTAGGAAATACTTTGTTTAAAATTAAGAAATAGTCTAGACAAACAAAAATTCACTAAGAGTGATGGAACAAACACTTCCAAATCTGTTCACCACACCAGATATGCCAACCATAATTTTCATACAGCAAAATACTGCAAATGTAGTCCAATTATTCTAGTATGCCACTTTCTAGTTGCATTTCCTTATAGCAACATCAGGAAAACACACAGAAAGTAGTTTCGTGTTACTTTTTATCATTCCATGTGCTTATTTATGCTTGTGTAATGCATATGTGTATACCTGATGATAAATAATATTTTAAAACCTGATTATAACAGTATCATGTTATATGTATTTTTCTAATATTGTGTAATTTAGAGTATCTGTAAGAGATGTTTTGAATGTTCTCCCCACAAAGAAGGAATAAATATATGAAGTGATGGATATATTAAATACTCTGACTAGATTTTTACATAATGTATACATGTATTGAAACATCATGCTCTACCTCATAAATATTTAGTATTGTGTGTCAATTTAGAATGAAATTTACAACAATATTTGTAAGGTATATATTGCAGTTATACAAAATGAATAACAAATCAGTATTGAGAAACATGATTACATAAGACTTTAATAAAGGAATCATATTTTAATGGGAAATGGAATAATATAAGTGATATAAATTTTCATAAATTTGTTTTAGGCTTATTGCAATTTCATAAAAATATCAATAAAAGTTAAAATAATTTTATCAATTTTATTTAGAAGAATTAATACAAAGGATCCAATATTATAACTAAAGTAAAAAGGGAAAATTCACTACCGAATTGAAAACCACAATGAGTTCATAGAGGTATAAAATAAAGCACCAAGATACCAAGTGAAAAAAGAGAAAATTACCAAAAAGAAATTAGTAATAACAGCCATTTAATTTATTAAAATATTAAATCCCACGATAATCAAATAAGAACTAATAAAAAGTTATACTATTGTATTGCCATAACTGGGAGTATCAATATAAATTAATTAGTTAGTTTTATTTCAGTTAGTGTTTGAGTATTAACAAAAATATTCATTTTTCTACTCTTCCATATTGATTCTTGTATGCCTACATCTATAGATCTTTGAGTAAAATTCTTTGGAATACGGTTCCTAAGAACAAAATTACTGTCATAAATAAGTTGACATATACAGTTACCTTGCTTGGAACAGGCTTGAAATAAGTTTATTGTCTCAGAGTAAATATAAATAGCTTCCTCTTTCAATCTCAAAGTTGTATGTTTACCCTAATCATAAATTATATGCACATTTAAATGACTTTACAGGTTGCTCTTCACAATGGCTATATTAGTCTATATTGTCTTCAGAAATGTGTCAGAATTTCTATATACCAACATCACTGCTAGCGTAAGGCAATATCCAGCTTTCTGATTCTTTTAGCCAAATAGATATAAATAGTAGCTTACTGTGTTTTTTAATTTTTATTTTTGTGAGTACTAATAATTTTGAGTATATCTTATGCTTATTAGCATCATTGATTTCCTATTTTATAAATTGCATGTTTATACTAATACCATTTTTATCTGTGTACCTCAATATTCCTAACTGATTTTCATAATTAAAAGCAAAATATTAGCTTCAAAGAAACTATGGAATATTAGGACTATAAGCAGCATTTAAGTCAAAGAAAACAAATATTTCCTTGATAACAGAATTCCTCTTAGCTTTTTTTAGATGATTAAATATAATATTATTTGTTCTCAAATATGACCTACATTTAGCTCTGTACCTAATAATACTTTTTATGTTTTATTCAAATGACCTGATTCCACAATCCTGGCATTGAACTTGAAGTCAGGGAGCACAGTGAATAAGGAAATGGGAAAAATAGCCTTGGAACTGAAAGGCTAACTCTGGGCATGACATGAGCTGATGAAGTCTCTGTATGCAGCTGAGCTGGAATATCTATCAGATGCTCTTCTTATAGTCAGCTTCTCCCAGTAGATTTGAGTTAACCTTTAGGAAATAAGATGTAATTTCAATATATGCCCTTCAGACTCTAAGACATTAGGTTTTAACATAGAGCTCCACAAACTTTGTTTAGGTATAAGGAAAAAGGATAAGATATCACTTTCAAAGTTAATGATATAAATCACTGAAGAAAGAAATTAATTTTAATCTCTCAGGTCACACAGCCAGAATCTCCCAGTTTTCTATTTTGTAACTGTTAGCATCCTTTTGTGCAGAAGATGCAACCATTTCCTCAGGAGGTTAACTTAAAATGAGTGCACAGTATAATTAAACACCCTTTGTCTTGGAAAAACATCTCATACTTCAGATTCAAAAAAAAGCACTTTAAAATATTATTAGCGTATTTGACCATTAAGAATTAAGAGTTGTATATGAGAAATTGGGATAAACAATTATAGGAATCTTTCTCCATTTGGCCATCAACTGGGGAAATATCTATGTATGTTATTTTATTTTTTATTATGCCATGTCTTGATAATGACTGTCCCTTTACATTAAAAAATATCTTAACAGACTGTGCATGGTCAGTGTTATAAGTTTAGCCATTTTAATGGCTTATTAATATTACTTCCCCATTGGCTAGATTTATTGCTGAGCAATCAGTCTTTAATGTGACCCCACATTCCAAATCAAGCATAACATGTTCGATTTGGTAGGGCAATTTTAACACTGCTAGCATGGACACTAAATTTTTGTCAGTCTCACTCTGTGTCCTTGGTCAGTTCATTAAATTTTTGGGTGGATGAATATCTTCCTCTGTTAAGTTGATGACATTCTACTTGTCAAGAATGGAAGAAGAAAGAGCTAATTAAATATATGAAACACTTTTAATGCTAACAAGTGTAAAATAAGTGGTAAGTTGAACAGTGTTAAACCTTAATACTTGCACTACATAACTATAAAATATAATTAGTTACAATGTTCACTTTACCTTTTACCCAAAACGATTTGCAATTTGATTATATAAGGCACACAATATAGATAAAGTTTTGGTTCAGGATATATATCAGGTTATTCTTAATTTTACCCAGGAGTGAAAAGGGAATGAAGATGATTGAACAGGTCCAGGATAGTAAGACATTATTCATTATATTAATGACAATAATTTTAGCATGTGAAGTACGAGTTTTTGACATTTTAAATACCCAGATGTAATTTATGTAGTTGGTTGCTTAACCAATTTCACACTTCCTCTAAAATAATCTGTTTATTTTCTATTGTTATCTCTTATTCATTCAACATAGACTCCCCCTCCAGCTTGCTCCTACTCCCAGCTCCAAGCTTAGTTATGACTGGTCTGCAAGTAAACTTAATCCCTGGTGAAAGTATAAAGTTCAGGAACTCTAATTACACCAATTACCTAATGGTATTTCTCTGACCACAGAAATAGATATATGACACAATCCACACCATTTTTTTAAAGTATATTTGCCAGGATTTCCATGAAATAAGTTTACTTTTTAAAAATATTTTAAGAATAAAGGACAACAAAAAAATAAAAATTCTCTTTATCTTCAGATATCTCAGGATATCATGGTATATGATTACAAATCTTGAAACAATTATAGACTTTTTTAATGATGGGAGATGCTAGCCAGAGGCTGAAAACAATATATGGAAAGAAGGATGTAGCATAGGCAGACCAAAGAGTTGGAGGCATAACCATGGGAATTAAGTCAAGTTTGCATTTGTTCTACTTTTGTACTTCCAGTTAAATGAATAGTACATTTAATTCTTGTTTAGGATCAAGTCCCTCTGCATATGGTTGCACAGGTGGTGTTTTATAGAACTCCAGTGGGTGCTATTTGCATAGACTCCAATATGAAGGATGTTTCTGGATTGTTTACTGTGGTGACCCTGAGTCAGGAGTTATGTTACCTCAGGGAAAAGCATCCTAAACAATGCAATGGTTAATGCAACCTGCAGTTAAGATTCTTTCCAATGCTTAACACTGCTAAAAGTTTAATGTTGCTAAAAAGGTTTAGGACTATCTGGATAAAGGTAATATTAGCAAAAGTTTGGGCAATAGCCATAATTCAATTATATTCAGCTTGATTATATTAACATTTTTGCTTAGCACTTACTGTGTGCAAAGCAATATACTAGGGGATACAAAGGTTAAAAATGTCATAAAAATACAGTTCTGACCTTCAGGGATGTTACATAGTTTGAAAAATATATCAACAGAAACATCATACAAAAAAAATCAACAAAAAGCACAAAAATATCCAAGTGGTTAGTAGGAGATTTAAAGAAGTTATAAATGATATATAATTCAGATTCTAAATTGCCTCACTAAAGAGGTGCCTTGAAGTATGCAGCTTGAAAGATTTTGATAAATGTCAATGTAGCAGTGGTATTTTGTAAGCAAAGAGATAGAAACTGAAAAAAAACTGCATATGAAAAGTATGATAATTATTGTGAACAAATCATTAGAGAATTTCAACAACATATTTGAGCTAGCAGCAGGAAAAAAAATTAGTGAATTTTAATATAGATCAAGTAGAAAGTATGCAATCTGAGGAGAAAAAAATTGAAAAAAATAAATACTTGGAGATCCATTATACAACATTATACACACACACACACACACACACACACACACGCACGCACATATTTAATGGTAGTCTGAGAATCAAGAGAAGCAATAGCAATGTGGTGAAATAAATTTTGAAAATATAAGCTTTTCAAATGTGCTAAAAATTGTTAATCTACAGATTTCAGTAGGATAAATACATAAATCACACCTAGACACATCATAGTCAAACTGTTGAACACCAAAGCAAAGGAAAAATCTTCAAAGATGAAAGAAAAAAATCAGATAGCTATTTAGAGGGGAACAGTAACACACGTAAAGGCTGACTGTTCATAATGATGCAGACCAGAGGGCTGTGGGATGGCATATTCAAGTTGTAGGAAGAGACATTGTTAACCAAGAATTCTATATCTAGCAAAACTATACTTCAAAAAAAAAACAAGCGAAAAAAGTCCTGGATAAACACAATTTGAGAGAATGTATTGCTAGACAACTTACCTTTCAAAAATACTAAGAAAAATATCTTCAGCTTTAAATGAAATGACAGGAGAGAGAAGTGCACAGAAATATAAAAAATAATAATTCTGGATTTATACCCTATGTGTATATAGCAATAATAGCTAAAAGGAAGGAGCAGAAAGCAGAGCCGTATTCAAGCAAATTTCCATATTGTGCCAAAATAAAGTCAGTAAAAATCTAAAGTAGATTGTAGTTTACTAATTTGCATATAAACTGTAGAGCAACCACTAAGAAAATAAATCCAAAAAATATTCAAAAAATTAAGAAGAATTAAATGATACATGAAAAGTATTTATTTAGCACAAAAGTAGACAGCAAAAACAAAACAAAACAAAAATCAATGTGAAATACCTAGAAAAATTAAAATATGAGAAAGTTTACTTTTTCTTTGGGTTAAATTAGAAAATACAGAGGGCCTACAATCTTTATAACAAAAGGTAGTTTAAACAAAAATTTTTTTATTATAGTTTAAGTTCTAGGGTACATGTGCACAACGTGCAGATTTGTTACATATGTATACATGTGCCATGTTGGCATGCTGCACCCATTAACTCGTCATTTACATTAGGTATATCTCCTAATGCTATCCCTCCCCTCTCCCCGCAGCCCACAGCAGGCCCCATTGTGTGATGTTCCCCTTCCTGTGTCCATGTGTTCTCATTGTTCAATTCCCATCTATGAGTGAGAACACGCGGTGTTTGGTTTTTTGTCCTTGTGATAGTTTGCTGAGAATGATGGTTTCCAGCTTCATCCATGTCCCTACAAAGGACACGAACTCATCCTTTTTTTATGGTTGCATAGTATTCCATGGTGTATACGTGCCACATTTTCTTAATCCAGTCTATCATTGTTGGACATTTGGGTTGGTTCCAACTCTTTGCTATTGTGAGTAGTGCTGCAATAAACATACGTGTGCATGTGTCTTTATAGCAGCATGATTTATATTCCTTTGGGTACATACCCAGTAATGGGATGGCTGGGTCAAATGGTATTTCTAGTTCTAGATCCCTGAGGAATCACCACACTGACTTCCACAATGGTTGAACTAATTTACAATCCCACCAACAGTGTAAAATTGTTCCTATTTCTCCACATCCTCTCCAGCACCTGTTGTTTCCTGACTTTTTAATGATCACCATTCTAACTGGTGTGAGATGGTATCTCATTGTGGTTTTGATTTGCATTTCTCTGATGGCCAGTGATGGTGGGCATTTTTTCATGTGTCTGTTGGCTGCATAATTGTCTTCTTTTGAGAAGTGTCTGTTCATATCCTTTGCCCACTTTTGGATGGGGTTGTTTGTTTTTTTCTTGTAAATTTGTTTGAGTTCTTTGTAGATTCTGTAGATTAGATGAGTAGATTGCAAAAAATTTCTCCCATTCTGTAGGTTGCCTGTTCAGTTCACTCTAATGGTAGAAGATAGTTTTTCAATTTAGAGAAAAGTGGCCACCTAAGTCAGACTCCTGCTGTTCTACAGAGGCTGGAAGATAAGGCAACATCTTCCTTGATAATTACCTTTGAAAGGGATGGTTCCCAGGTCCTGGAGAAAGTGAAACCTGAGTTGTAAATCTGCTAAAGACCCTTAGAACAGATTTACATCTCAAAGCGGCCAGGAATGATATACAATTACAAGTTTTCTAAAGCAAATGCTCTAAGAAAAGGGAGATTAGAGGCCTTGAGACACAGAAAAAACATTGACTTAAAGTTTGGTCAAGCTGAGGGAAATATTAAGGCATTCTTGCCTTAACAAGCAAAGTATGTCAACAGCAAACTATTAAAAATAAAATAAGATTTCACAATATTACCAAGTAGACCTGATCCCAAGCATTTGAGGTTGTTTACTGATCTTTGACAATGTTGGCAAAAATAAACAATGGGTAAAGGATACCCTATTCAATAAATAATACTGGGAAAACTGACTAGCCATATCCACATGAAACTGGGCCCCTACCTCTCATCACATAAAAAAATTAACTCAAGACGGATTAAAGACAAATTTAATACCTCAAACTATAAAAATCATAGAAGAAAACCTTGGAAAAACTCTTCTGGACATTAGCACAAGCAAAGGATTTATGACTAAGACCTCAAAAGCAAATGCAACAAAAACAAAAATTGACAATTGGTGCTTAATTATACAGCAAAGGAACTATCTACAGAGTACACAGAGAGCCTACAAAATGGGACAAAATATTTGAAAACTATGCATCTGACAAAGGACTAACATCCAGGATCTATACAAAATTCAAACAAATCAACAAGAAAATACAAATAACCCCATTAAAAAGTGGGCAAAGGACATGAAAAGACACTTCTCAAAAGAAAACATACACGTGGCCAACAAAAATATAAAAACATACTGAACATCACTGATCATCAGAAAAACGCAAATTAAAGTCACAATGAGATACTATCTCATACCAGTCAGAATAGTTATTATTAAAAAGTCAAAAAATAATAAATGTTCATGAGGATGAAGAGAAAAGGGAATGCTTATCATTGTTGGTGGGAATGCAAATTAGTTTAACCTCTGTGGAAAACAGTATGGAGATTTCTTAAAGACCTAAAAATAGAAATACCATTCACCCCAGCAATCCCACTACTGGATATCTACCCAAAGGAAAATAAATTGGTTTTCTAAAAAGACGTCTACACTGCTCTGTTTATCACAGCAGTATTCACAATAGCAAAGTAACAGAATCAGCCTAAGTGTCCACCAACAATTGATTGGAAAAAGAAAATATATATATATACCATGGAATACTACACAACCATAAAAAAGAATGAAATCATGTCCTTTGCAGTAACATGGGTGCAGCTGGAGGTCGTCGTCCTAAGATAATTAACTCAGAAACGGAAAACCAAATACTGCATGTTCTCATTTATGAGTGGGAGATCAACAGTGGGTACACAGGTACATAAAGATGGAAACAATAGACATTGGGACTCCAAAAGGCGAGGAGGGAGAAAGGAAGGCAGGAGTGGAAAATTTACCTATTGGACACTATGTTCGCTATTTGTGTGATGGGCTCAGTAGAAGCCCAAACCCCAGAATTACGCAATATATCCAGATAACAAACCCTTATATATACCCCCCGAATTTAAAATTTGAAAACATAGTAAAAAAGAAAAAAGATAACATACCATATTAATAGGGTAAAGCACAGAAAGAACAGGATCACAGCACACCCAGAGAAAATATTTGACAAAATCCAACACCTGTAAACGTTAAATAAACTAACAGTAGAAGGGATATTTCTTAACTTAATAAATGACATCTATGAAAATCTGTATTTAGGAAGAAAGACCAAATGTTGTCTTTCAAAAATTGGGGGAAAGCAACGTATCTGTTAGTTTTCAGGCAATGCAATAGGTAATACAAAAGAATTTAAATATATATATGTGTGTGTACATATATATATATATACACACACTCACATACTTATGCATTTACAAAAAATATATACAGATTGTAAAGGAATAAGTAAGCCTATATTAGCAAATGATACAATTCATTATATAGACTATATAGACTATATATATAGACTATATATATAGTCCTAAAAAATACACACAAATATACCCATTATTACAATTGATTAGTGACTTTAGCAAGATCACTTGATACAAGGTCAAAATGCATAAATAAGTATATCTCTCTAAATTAAAAAAATAAAACTTTTGTAACATTTCTATTCGTAACAGCTTTAGGAAAAATATATAGTCAATTCTCACTATTTCTATACAATCCTCTTGAACACTGAATTAGTGAACATTTACTATTGTTCCTCCTAGGAGGAAAACAGATAGATCTATATCTAATCTATATCTACCTATATACATCAGATACGTAATATGCTATAATTTTAAATTTTAAAAACATCTTATCCTAGTAGATTTTATTTGCTTTATTTTACAAATGAGAAAAGAAGATTCATGATTATTAAGTGATTTGCCTGAAACCACCCCACTTACCGATGCCAATGCTGGAATTCAAGCCTTATACACCTGTCACCAGAGCTGAGGCTTCTTACATTGCATTGCATTGTCCCCACCCTATCTATGCTCTGGCCATCTCTGTATGAAAGCTGAAACAAGAAGAGAGAGCATAACTCTGTTCAACTTCAGCTGGATGTATACATGTCGGCTGACTGAAAGTTTTTTGCCACTTTGCACATGTCCTCAAATTGTCTCAAAAGCACCATGAGTATTGATTTGAAAGTTAAAAATGAATTTTACCAAGTAGGTGAATTCACAAATACAAAAACTGCAGATAATGAGGATTAAGTGTACTTAAAAATAAACTTATCTAAAATGTGCATGACTTTAATCTTGAAAATGATATAATAATGCTGACAAAATTACTGAATGTTTGAATAATTGGTGAGACATTCCACATTTCTCCCTTTTTTTTTTTTTTTTTTTTGAGACCAAGTCGCTCTGTCGCCCAGTCTGGAGTGCAGTGGCGCAATCTCGGCTCACTGCAACCTCCGCCTCCCAGGTTAAAGTGATTCTCCTGCCTCAGCCTCCCAAGCAGCTGAGATTACAGGCATCCACAACTGTGCCCGGCTAATTTTTGTATTTTTAGTAGAGACAGGATTTCACTATGTTGGCCAGGCTGGTCTTGAACTCCTGACCTCAGGTGATCTGCCCTCCTCGGCCTCCCAAATCCTAAAGTACTGGGATTACAGACGTGAGCCACCGCACCTGGCCAATATTTTTAAGATAAAAATTCTCTAAAAGTTTATTTATAGATTTAATAAAATCACTATTAAAATCATAGCAGGCTTTAATTTTATTCTCTGTAGAATTTGACAAACTGGTCCCAAGATTGAAGTAATATGAAAAACCTAGAATAGCTGCAATGATTTTGTAAAAGAACAATGTTGAAGGACATACACTTACCAATATCATAACTTTTTAAGGCTGTGGGAATTAGTATGGGGTGGTACTGGTGTAAGAATTGGCATATAGATCAGTGGAACACAATGGAGAGTTCAGAAATAAACCCCATATGTACAAGTTCAATCAATTTTAAGCAAAGATGTCAGGGAAATTCAATGAGTAAAAGTAGTCTTGTTAAAAAATTGGGTTGATGACACAATAGTATAACCACTAAAAATGTCTTTTACTAACACCATACTAATGCCCAATAAATTTGGCTCATAATGGATCATGAATCTAAATGTAAGAGCTAGAACTATAAAACTATTTGTTCTTACTGAACGAAATATGGGAGAAATGTTTTGATCATGGATTGAGTAAAAAGGTATTAAATGCAATATCAAGAGCATGCATTAGTGAAAAATTCATAAATTAAAATTCACTGGAACTAGAACTTTGTTCTTCAAAATACATTATTAAGAAAGTAAAAATATAAGCCACATATTTTTGATAAAATTAGCAAATTATACATCTGACAATGAATTTGCATTGAGAATTTATAAAGAATCCTTATGTCAATGTTGATATGACAAAATCCAATAACAAGTTCAAAAGACTTCAATAGACATTTCAATAAAGAAGACTACCCATGACTAACAATACATTAAAACATGCTTAACACTATTAGAAATTAAGATAACGCAAGTTAAAACCACAGTAAGATATCACTACATACTTCCTTGGATGGCTATAATAAAAAATGCAGGCAATGCAAAGTTATTTTGACAATGGAAAATCTTGAGTGTTCAAACATTACTGGTGGGGATATAAGATGGCATAGTCATTTTACAGACATTTTGACAATGTATTTAGAAATTAGATATAGTTACCATATGACCGGTAATTCCACTCCAAGCTATGTATCTCAAAAAAATAAGGATATATGTTAACACAAAACTTATATGTGAATGTTTAGAGCAGCATTATTCATAGCTGAAAAGCTGAAAACAAGAATCAATTATAAATTCGTCAACTAGTGGAAGGGTAAAGTATAGTATATCCATACAATGCAATAGTATTCATGAAGAATAAGGGATGCATTACAGAAATAGGCTGAAGTATATATTACCTCATATGTGTTGTGCTATTTGAAAGAAGCCAGACACAAAATACTATATTTTGTAGAATTCATTTATATAAAATATCCAGAATAGGCAAATTATAGATGCAGACATTAGTACTATGGTTTCCTAGGCTTGAAGATGAGAGCAAGGGTAGATTGTAAATGGGAATGTGGGAGTTTTATGAAATAATAGAAATGTTCGAAAACTGAGTTTTGGAATGATTGCAAAAAACTATAAATCTACAAGAAATCTTTGAATTGAACATACGCAACTTTGTGGTACAGAAATTATATCTCAATAAAATGTTTACAAAAAGAACCAATGAGACCATGACTTAGCATGTATTTTGGGACACAGATAAGTCAACTATGTAGTTATAATCCATAATCTTTGGCATTTTACAAAGGATTAAACAGTTGAGAAAACATGGGGAGGAGGAGGAAGCAGTTTTCTAGAAAATTGGAAACTAGTGTTCCTAATGAACAGAAATAGAAAAATTAGGAAGATAAAATTATTTTGGAGAATAGACACTGACATTTATCATTAGGCAGTTAATAAATATGAAGGTGCTGTAGGTTAAATATTAGATTACAGATTAAAAAGTGAGTCAGGATTTGAGAACTATATTTTAGAGTCATATTTGTATATGTGTGTGTGCAGCTATACTTATCTACTGAATTCTAAAATTACCTAATATAATTTAGGTAATTTATGAATAACCAGACGAATTTGTGAATAACCAGATGATTATTCAAAGATAAAGCTAAGGTTTTAGATAATTTTTTTCCAATACCAGTTCTGGTCATCATCTGAATGCCATAAAATGATTTGCCTACTGAGATTAAATAATAGACAACAAACTATTTTGATCATCTTTGTCCTCTCAGCATCTACATTTCAGATGCTAGTTGAGACATCTATAATGTCCATGCTTGCAAGCCTGTATTTTTTTTTTAAGTCTAGACATATCCTTGCTATACTGCAAGAGTCAGCAAATTATGGCTTGTCAGCCAAATCTGACCTGTTACCTTTTCAAAAAAGTTAAGTTTTGTAAAAATGCAGCCACATCCATTTATTTATATGCCATGTAAGGATTTTCTTGGATTACAACAGCAGAGTTGAGTAGTTGTAATAAAACTCTGTGGCTGACCCTTGCTGTATAGCATTCATTGTCTTTCAATGCTCTTTAACAAAATTAGTGTATTAGAATATCATGAATATGTACATATTTTCTATTGCATTTTGATTATTTGATGATAAAGAGTACAACAATTTTTGGTTTTTTAGCTATCGAAAGAGTACTATGAAAATTAGGCAAGATTATGTTTGGATATTTCTTGTAATTCAAATGATTTAAGTTTTTGTTTATTAAGCTACTAATTTGTTTTCCACTTATTTGGAGAAGTCTCTCATATAGTTGTTTTCGAATACTTTAAAACAATGATGATTAGACGTGGCATAGTGGCTCAAACCTCTAATCCCAACACTTTGGGACGCCAAGGCAGGAGGATCAATTGAGACCACGAGTTCAATACCAGCCTGAGTAATATAGCAAGACCTTGTTTTTACAAAAAAAAAAAACCAAAAAAATTAGCCAGTTGCGGTGGTAAGTGCCTCTAGTCCCAGCTACTTGAAAGGCTTAAGCAGAGGACTGTTTGGGCCTAAGGTGTTTGAGGCTGCAGAGAGCTATCATAAGGCCACTGCACTTCTGCTTGGGCAGTAGATTGATATCTGTTTTTATTTGATCTGTATCGATTTGATATCCCAAAAGGCTTAACATTTAGCCATATTATTATTATCGTCATTATTTGTGTTAGGCAATTCTTGCATTGCTACAAAGAAATACCTGAAACTGGGTAAGTTATAAAGAAAAGAGATTTAATTGGCTTATGGTTCTGCAGGCAGTATAAGCATGGCTCTGGCATATGCTTGCCTTCTGGGGAGACCTCAGAGAACTTATAAACATGGGAGAAGGTGAAGGGGGAGCAGACAGGTCACATGTTGGGAGCTGGCACATCACATGGACAGAGCAGGATCAAGAAAGAGAGTAGTGGGGAGATGCCACACTCTTTTGAAACAACCAGATCTCATAAGTACTCACTCGTGAGAACTTACTCACTATCCCAAGAACATCAGCAAGCCGTGAGGTATCTGCTCCCATGATCCAAACACCTCCCAGCAGGACCCTCCTCCAATATTAGGGATTATAATTCAACATGAGATTTGGGCAGGGACAAATATCCAAACTATGTCATTGTTAATATTATATTAATTATGGCATTTTTGTATAAACTTTACCAAACTATAAAAGGGATACACATGCATGCCTATATATAGATATGGACATATAATTTTTCCTTTTATGAAAACTGTGTCATATGGTCAGTACATGTGGTAGTATAACCAATCTTATATGAAGCAGATATACTGCATAGAAGTGAGGGACCTATGATTAGATTCAGGTAAGTTGATTCCTCATACTGTGTTCAGCAAATGCCATGTGTCTTGAAACC
The DNA here is from genome assembly GCF_000001405.40 of Homo sapiens. Classification (NCBI taxonomy): domain Eukaryota; kingdom Metazoa; phylum Chordata; class Mammalia; order Primates; family Hominidae; genus Homo; species Homo sapiens. The sequence goes on from NC_000002.12 coordinate 34,956,482, forward strand.
TCCCTCTTTCTTCTTTACACATTTATTAAGTCTCAAAGCTTGGCACTTTCCTTCACATTTGATCTTATGTTTTCATTTCTATCTCCACCCAAAAAGTATATTGTAATAAAGTCCTAATGGGTTTGATTAGAGTATTTTCCCTTTCAAATAGTTAACATATGTCGATTTCAAAAATAAATAAATAAATAATATATATATGTATATATAACCTATATCTTGCATGGTGAAAGAAAAGTCATGATCTCATTATTAATCTCCATAAAATAAAATTTGAATCTTCCCCTTCAACTGTTCAAAGACTTGCAAAGGATTTTAAATGAAAAAATAATCATCATAATATTATTTAAGATATTCTTCCAGCCTGCAGTTTTAATTCATCTCCTATGATTTAGATAAAACTTTTTATTTAACTACTCTGGGTTCTTTAATAGTATCTTCATATATTTTTGTCTTATTCGTCTGTTTTTTCCTTCTGTTTCTGGGTGGAGGGCCACTTTCTTCTTACCTGATCTTTCTTCCAATTTTAGCTGAATATTATTCAACTTTGAAAGCTCAGTTCAAAAGTTATTCCACATCTCCATAAAGATATTCTGGATTATGAAGATCAAAATATGTCTTAGCATTTACTGTCTGGACTATTTATACACTTAACATGCATGCTGTATATATAAGGTTTAATATTGTCATTGTTTCCATTAGAATTGTTATGTACAGGTTAGCAAAAATATCTCATATTACTGTGTAGTTACTTAAAAATTTTTGCTTTAGGGCTGTGTACATAATAGGCACCAGAAATATTGCTGTGAATTTAACAGCTACCATGTGTTCTTACCACTTCTAGTGGCCCCAATTGAATGATTATAATCAATACAGCCTTAACAGAATTAAAAATTCTGGGAGCAACTAGTTAAGAGCTTCAGAATTAATACAAAAATCATCTCAGGTCCAAAGATTTTTAAGCATGACTTCTGTCTCAACAATATCTGATTGTATGAGATTTTAGGTAGATAAATCTGCCTGACCCTGTCCCAAAGCAAAACTGTCATGAAATAAAGAAAATAGTTTATTTTGAATATCTTTGGTCATGGGAATCATTTATATCATTATACTTGTTTATAGTAGACATGTCTCAAACACGAATGAATCCCCAGTGGTGATACAGACAATTCTGGGATAACCTGTATTTTCAGAGTAATCACAAGTCAAGAGATTCTAGAATTAATATACATTCTGGAGCAGATATTCTGGTCTTGATAAGAACAAAGTGTCTGAATTAGGCATTTGCCCTCACAATTAATGAATAACATACACAAAATGTTGTTTTGTGGTTTTAGTAGAGACAGAGTTTCACCATATAGGCCAGGCTAGTCTGGAATGCCTAACCTCAAGTGATCTGCCTGCCTCAGCCTCCCAAAGTGCTGAGATTACAGGCGTGAGCCACCATGCCCGGCCTGTTTTCTGTATTTTCTTATTTATATTGTAAATTAACGTCTGTACAAATATCTAAACTTGTAAAATGATTGATGAGTTTTTACAATATCGTTGTTAACATATCATTTTTAGATTAAATAATGTTTCCCTGTGTTTTTAGAAACTATTTCTGACAATAGAGTTGGATTATATCTCAATAGATATAACTTACTTTTTGAGGCATCTTAAACTATTAGATAAGCTATTTTTGGCTTCGTAACTTTATTAGATAGACTTGGTAAGCAGCATTGATTTAATTATTTGTCCTGTATTGAAACAAGGAGCTCTTTGTGTGCTCTGAAAAACTGAGATGAATTTTTTTCTAAATGATATAAAATTCAATTTAATGATGAATTTTCTGCCTTAAGAGACCCAACTCCTCCTGAATAAAATTTAAATATTTGTAATGTGTCTTAAAAACAGACCGTATTTTTAGTTTTCTTTATTTTGAGTGAAGATGCATTTTCTATGCATTTGTTGCTTCTAATCAAACAACCAGCTTACAAGTGTTAACTACATAGAACAGATGGCAAAACCTTTGCACATTAGACTTTATATCTGAAAAAGAGACACTTTATTTTAAAATTGCCACTTGGGAACATAAAGTGCTCTCATGAGAAAAACACATTTTACACTCTTAAGGCAGTCCATAAAAGAAAGGCAGATGTTTAAATGACTTCTTAATTAACACAAAACGAACATTTACCTACACTGTGGAGGTGAAGCAGTGCAATTAAGATGAACCTCTTAAAACAGCCTGGGACATATTTTATGCAAAGCAATAGCAAATATTCTATCTCTTAAAATTTTCTGTCTTTTGTATGAAAATAATAGTTTATCCACAATTCACTAATTTGAAAACTATTATAAAAACTATAGCTGTCATTTTCTAGCTCTAATGAAAAATGGTAAAAATGTGCTTAAATCTAAAGGATATTATCATTACTAATAAACATTATTTTCAACGAATTATACAATTATGTTATCCTCTTAAGCACTGAATACTTTTATTACCTAAGGAAACATTTGTTAAGAGACTAGGGAGACTATGTTATTTCTCAAAATGGCCTCATATAAAAAGTATGCATAGCACATTCCTTATAAAATAAACTTGCAGATAGTATAAGTGTTGGACAATCATATGAGACAGACAAAACAATAAAAATAAACCACTTTTACATACAAGAAATTCTTTTTGGTAAACCGAGCATGCTGACATATATTTATAGGGTTAAAGTGACAGGACAGAAAAGAACACTAGACCACCAGACAGGGTGACAGCGAAGTATGCTTTCTACCTAAACAGGGTCTACTGTTTTAATATCTTTAAATAAAAGTTTAGAAATGATGTAAGAAACAATAAAGCCAAGAATGTTTAGGGCTTACCCTCAACTTCCATTCATGTCAATAAGTTTTATTTGCCTTGTAAAAAGCAAGAAGAACAAGGAAATGATAGTGTCCTATTTGGAATAGTTGAAATAAATACAAAGAGGTCATACAAAGTAAAAGACATCCTTTACATCCAAATGGCTTTTCTTCTACAACAAAAGGAATGACTTGAGCTGGAAAAAGAGAATAAATATAAACAAGTATCAGCTTCAAAGTTAACTGTACAGGAAATTTTTTAAAAAGAAGATTAGCATCTAATATCCAAAAATAGGAGTAATAAAGAAATTATACTGGAGATGAAGAGGATAACAAAGTAAAGTTAACATGAAATGACTAAAATAAAAATCATGCACGACCTTAGTGGACTCATAGAGGAAGTCATCAACTGAGGATTCTGATCACTACATTTTTATTGTTTCATTGTAATTACCTGAAAAAATCTTAAAGATTTATATTAAATCTCTAATGGCCCTTTTCCCACAAATAATCCAGTGAAATATTAATTTTTTAATTCTACTTGTATGCCTTGGTTTTGAACAGTTAGTAGAAATAATTTCAAAACACAGCTGGTAAACATCAATGAATATAAAAAAAGGAAAATGTTAGAAAACATTAGGCTAAGTGATGATTTCTTAATTTTATTTAAGTAACAAAATGTGAGTTTCAAAACTACAAACCCAGTTTTGTTATTTTTTAAAAAGTCCTAGAACTTTCATCTTACAAAAAACACATCTTTAAACATATACTGAGTGCACACTATGTTCCAATTGCCATACTAAGAGCAAAATCATAATGATGAACCGAATAAAAAATCCTTCTTATTTTGGAAGAGCACAATTTGATAGGAGAGATGACGTACAAATTATTGACCATGCTATATTAAATGTATTTTAATGAAAATATGTAGAAAATATTACACATTATTGAATGGTTGGATTAGCAAATTTAGTAGCACTAATCAGCAACGTTAACAAAAACACCAGATATGGGTCTCGCAAAACGAGTTAGCGTATATTTTGAAATTGTTTATTTGAGCTTTTAAAAAATATACAAGAAGGCTGGGCGGGCACGGTGGCTCACGCCTGTAATCTCAGCACTTTGGGAGAACGAGGCGGGCGGATCACCAGGTCAGGAGATGGAGATCATCCTGGCCAACATGGTGAAACCCTGTCTCTACTAAAATACAAAAAATTGGGCGTGGTGGTGCATGCCTGTAGTCCCAGCTACTCGGGAGGCTGAGGCAAGGGAATCCCTTGAACCTGGGAGACGGAGATTGCAGTCAGCTGAGATCGCGTCACTGCAGTCCAGCCTGGTGACAGAGCGAGACTCCGTCTCAGAAAATAAAAGAAAAAAATATATATATACAAGAAGAGGCCAGGCACAGAGGCTCATACTTGTAATCCCAGCACTTTAAGAAACTGAGGCGGAAGGAATTGAAGACCAGACTTCATCTCTGCAAACAGAAAAAAATTTTAGTTGGGCATGATGGTGCGGCCTGTAGTGCCAGCTACTCAGGAGGCTGTGGTGGGAGGATCACTTGAACCAAGGAGGTTCCGGATGGGGTGAGCCGTGATCACACCACTGCACTTCAGCCTAGGCAACATGATAAAACCCCATCTCAAAAAAAGTATACATAAATAAATAATATACAAGAAGAAAATATGAAAAACAAATGAGTCACTTAAATCGTGTTTCTTTTTTTCATTGTAATTTTTGGATAATTGTGCTGCCTTATATATACATTTCATGAATATATTTGGAAAGATATTTCATTATTTACTCATGGCTTAAATGTAAAATTGTGGACTAGAAAATATTATAGGTAGAATTTTAATTGGTTTTACAGCTACACTTAAAATATTAATTAGTAGATCCTTTGCCAAACCCGTAACTATTAAAAAAAGATAGGGCATCTTCATGGTGTATACTTTATAACTGTTGTGTCTATATTATGAATAAGGTGTCGGAAAATTTAAAAGATAGCACAACACTTTGGACAGGGATTTTATCAAATATTGGCTTCTAAAAATAATGATTCAAAGTATTCTGCACTTTGACAGTCTGATATAGAGATACTACATGCAAATATAAGATAAATTTTAGAGAAGTAAATGTAAAATGCTGCATTTGAGTTAAAAATACTTAATTGAAGATGTACAGTTTCAAAGATAACTGACAAAGGTTATGATAAACATGAACTGGTATAGTTTAGTTGATCAAAGATATTTTCAGTCATAACTTGAATGCAACTGCTTTAAAAACTAATAAAATATTTTTCTACTTATTAGATGTGTCAAAAATTATATTTATTTAGCCCAATATATCAAGAATATTATAATTTTAACATGTAATCAGTACAAAATAACTATTAATGGAGTGTTTAAGCTCTCTTTTTCTGTTAATTTTGAAATAAATTTTATTGTGTATTTTTAAGGTGCACAACATAAAGTTGTTACTATATTGAAGGAAATTAACATGTCCATCATCTTACACTTAACCTATTTTTGTTGTTGTTGTTTGAAAAAAGCAGTGATATGGTTTCTCCCCACAAAAATTTCATGTCAAATTGTAATCCCCAAGTGCCAAGGGAGATGGCCTGGTGGGAGGTGATTGGATCATAGGGGTGGATTCCCCCTTGCTGTTCTCATGTTAATGAGTGAGTTCTCAGGAGATTTGATGGTTTAAAAGTGTGTGGCACTTCCCCCCTCCTGCTCTCTTTCTCCTGCTATGCCATGGTAAAGATGTGCTTGCTTCCCCTTCCGCCATGATTGTAAGTTTCCTTAGGCCTCCCAGTCCAAAGAACTATGAATCAATTAAACCTGTTTTCTTCATAAATTATCCAGTCTCAGGGAGTTCATTATAGCGCGCAGCTACCATCTACTCATTTAGAAAAAATACTGAATAAAATACACTGTTTTTAACTATAGTCTTCATGTTGTGCATTAGATCTGCAGACTAGTTCATCTAAATTTCTGCTACTTTGTATACTTTGAACTACATCTCTGCATATTTTTCCCCAACCCACCCTTGAATAATCAGTTTTATTTTCTATCATTTGGCTTTTATTTTATTTTTGAAATTCCACATATGATATCATGCAATATTTAGATATTTATTTTTATTTTTATACCATTAAGTCTTACAGTAAATTGATGGAAATGTAGGGCCACGATCTAGAAATATATTAGCTCTACAGCATTTTAAAGAGTTTATACCAGTTCTAGACTCCTGAGTTCAGTTGTGGGTTTCAAAATATGTGAGGAAAAATAAATTACCAATCATTCAAGAGTAGATTGGTAAGGAAATGACTAAAGGCGAGGAAGACTTTTAAACTTAAAGAGAAAACAATTAAATAGAAATGTTAATAATGTATTCAATGTTCTCTAAGTGTCATGAAGAATGTTTATATTATGTTGCTTTAGAGAAATGAAGCAGAATTAGAGTATAAAATGAAAGGTGAAAATTCGAGTTTCAGAGAAGACATAAAAACATTTGCTTAGTTAGGTGTCTAAAATGGTCTGCTTTTTAAACTTTAAACTTTCCATTTAGAAATTGCTCAAGCAAAGACTGAACGATGCATACATTACAGAAGTCTCACACCACACGTAAAGTGAGATAAGAACTTAAACTATCATCAAGAATAAAATACATGAAGCCAATGAAAAAGCCTGAAATCTTATCCAGGATCAATGAAACACTTGAAGAAGTGTAAAAGGCAAGCATAAAAATTTTTTTTTTGGTTTTGTTTGGTTACGTACACTTCTACAACCCCAACAGTTAAGTGTTGTTTTTTTTTTTTTTTTTCTACTCTGTGCACTATCCCCAGGAGACATAAGAGTTCTTAGCACATAACAGTAACAAAACAAATATTTGTTGAACAAATTAATACATACATACATTCTTGAATCATGTAATTCCCAAGGAAGGGGGCACAATTGCCAATGAACATAAACAGGCACTAAAATTGTTAAAGTGCCACTACAAAATACAACCTCAAAAGTAATTCAGCAGATAAAATCAATGAAAAAACTACGTCACACAATAACACAAATGAAAAGATACTATAAATTATGCACATTTAAATGGTTAACGAGGTGAAGGAAGATATAGCAATAGCAGTGAAAGGAGAATTATATTTTGTATGTTGGTAAAAGTAGAACTACAGTAATAAAATTTAGCCATCTGAATTTGAAAAACACTCAGTGGATTTTAAATTACAGATTAGGCACAGCTGAAAAAGAACTGGTAAACTGGAAGGCAGAGTTGAAGAAATTATTTTAAAAAAAGAAATTAGGAAGAAAGTTTACAAGTGGAAAATACAATTAAAACGTCATATATACTATTAACAGAAATTCCAGAGAGAGTATAGTAATGATAATGATAACAATGATAATAAAAGCTTTTGAGAATTTAAAAACAAGGGGCAATGCTTTTACTTCTATTAAGAAGTCTAATTCAGATGAACTCTCCTAACTGAAGACAAACGAAAAGAAGAATCTTGTCAAAATACAGCTTAGAAAACTTCTATAAAAGCATAAAAGGTCTAATACAATAATGAAAATTAACTGGCCATGATTAGGAAGAGGACAGAAATGCAAATATGTGACCTAGGCATTTAGAACATTAAATATAGATAGAAAGGTTGATAGATAGATAGATAGATAGATAGATAGATAGATAGATAGATAGATGATAGGGTATGCAACATGATGTTTTAATGTACATATAAAGTGAAATGATTACTACAGTGTCTGAGGCACTTTAGTCTTGTTAGCATTTGATATTAACAGATAAAGTTCCTAAAAGGCTGGAATATTTGTGTGTGTGTGTGTGCATGTGTGTGTGTGTTGAGGAGTGGCATGTAAAATTTAAGAGACTTTATTAAATCATAGTTTTGGACCCTGAAAGGTATACCTTGAGTAAGATTAAGGCCATACTTATGCAGAACATCCAAGTCTGCAGTTTAAATACCACTTTTTAACCTATAGATCACAATTCCTAAAATTTGAGCAGAATAATCCTGAAGTACCCCAGATCTATGCAAATGCAGACATTTCTTAGCATCATCTTTGGCCTAAGAATATTAACTCAGTACTTTTAAAAACAATGTTCAGTACACAAAGATAATTAGATGCCCAAGAATCAGAAACAACCAGCAGCTTATTCTACTGAAAAAGATGGTGGCAAGGTCCTTTCATCTGTAACAGAATTATACATAATTTTAAAAAAAAGCTCCTGGTATAGTATTCGTGTCCTTCTAGAGACAGAACACCTTGTTGTAGAATATCAAGTGACCATGTAACCAGAAATGCTTATGATGAGCAAGATTCTGTCAGATCCATTAAATCTTAAATGTAGAAGACCTGGAAGCTATCCCTTATAGTGTGAAAGTGGTCCTGCCAGGACTGAGCAAGAATTTAAATTGCACTGCTATAAATAAATAAAGAACCAAAGGGCCCAAGAAAGCCAAATCATCCAGCTTTTATCATTAATAATTTTAGTGTAGACACAATGGACTAATGAGTGAAGTAACCATTCTAAAAAACGTGGAGGCTATGCATGAGTCCAACATAAATGGCTTCTAGTCACTAAGACCAATCTAACTACTGGTTTTGCAAAATGTAGTGTGTACCCACAATGGAGATGAGTGTTGATCTTCAGGTACAATATCATCCATCAAGGAGACCAATTAGTCACGTTTTAGAGGTTAAATTACTTTAGATCCATTTCATTATGGAAAAGGAAGTAATTAATCTTTAATCAACACAAATTACAGGTATGAGTCAATCTTCACTGCGCACAGGACCTTAGCCAGCACCGCTTCTGAAGAGCATCCAGAGACCAAAAGACTCAGTTTAAAACAAAGGACCCACAGGAATGAATACATTACCATAACAATTACTGTCTCTATCCTATAGCACACCACTTGAAGACGACAACCTGGTAGAATGAAGGAGCCATCTTTTGAAGACTCAGCTGAGTCATTAACTTGAACATGATATTCTATAAAAATAGGACACTATCCTCCAGGACATAGAATATACCCGAAATATATAACCTCTATATGGTTCTTTCAGCAATATATAAAACAGATGGGTTTGGGAGCAAAAGGAATAGACTGATTTACAATCATTCCTAGTGACACATTTGGAGAATGTTTGAATTCTCTCCCTGCCACTCTAGGCTCTGCTGGCCTAAAGTTTCTGTTTTCCAGAAAGGGAATTTTTCTGCCAGGAGAAACAGAGTCTTCTTTAAATTGTGGCTGCTACAATTTAAAGTGTGGCTGTCACTCCAGTCTTCCTATTTCAAAAGTTCAGCAAGCATGGTCATTGACCCTCACTATCAGGAGGGTTTAGGACTCTTACCTCCTTGTGGCAGGAAAAAGTATGTTCGGCCAATAGTTATTTGGCTGGTTGATACACTAGAGAGTCCCTTGGCCCTTTCCTAACCATGACAATAAATGAATAGATACAGTAGTGATGGTCTGGGAAGAGCATGCTGACCACAGATTCAGAATCCTCACTCATAAGTGTCTGGGTTATTTCATGTTAAGATTCCTAGAGCAGCAGAAATCCTAGCTAAGGGGGAAGGGACTCTAGAGTAGGTAATATGGTAAGAAGATAATGAGTATCAGTTGTGGCCTTGAGAAAAGTTGCAGTGCACTGGTCTTAGAGGAGGTTTTTCCAGATAAAGCTTACTATTTATTTAAAATAAGTGGTCCTGAGTAGAGAGGCCTCAAGTGGATGCTGTGAGTGCATTGCCTGAATATTCCTAATCACTCATCCTCCAATGGCTGAGGGTGATGGTTGCTGATGAAAAATGCTGTCTCGTTCAAGGTTATACCCTTTTCCCAGGAGAAGCCTACATCCAATGACTGGTTGTTACAGGGAGATAAAGACTTGACCCATTTGCCTCTGTTGGGGCTATGTCTGAAAGCTATGCCATACTCAGAGCGAGCTAAGTGACTAGCTAATGACAATGTTGCAATTTCATGAGAGTTCACTGCCTCCCTCTGCCCAATCCTGTTCTCTTGCTCTCTAAAAGGAGTTATTTTCAAAAGTGACTCCTAGTAAGCCTCTTGCATGAAGTTCTTTGAGTATCAGAGTCTGTTCTCTAGGGTCAGGTGGCCACAGTTATACCTTAAAACAAAAATAATTCAAAACTCAAGCTAGAACTAGAATATTAAACAAAAATACTATGGATTTGGAAAGTATAATAACTGGCTTTAATGAATCCTAAATTCTTTTTATAATTTAGTTAGAAAATATAAACTGAAGACCTTAGATTTTTTAAATTAAATATTGATATAATAAATTTTGTCAAAATTAAGAACCTCTGCTACATAAAATAAACTGTTAGGAGAATGTGAAGACAAATCATAGACTGGGGAAAAGTATTTGCAAATCACATATCTGATAAAGGACTCCTACTTAAACTATTTAAAACATTAAACTCAATTAGAAAACACAATCCAATAAAAATACACAAAAATTTAATAGACACTTCAGGAACAAAAAATTATGGATAGCAAATAAGCAAATGAGAAAACATTTGGCATCATTAATCATTAGAGAAATGCAAATTAAACCTATAATGAAATACTAGTACACACCACACCAACAGAATTTTTAAAATTAAAAATACTAATCACACTGAGTGTCTGTAAGGATCCACTGGAACTTTAATACACTGCTGACTGGAATATAAAATGAAAAAAAAACAGCTTAATAGTTTCTTATAAAGTTAATCATATATCAACCCTGTGACATAACCATTCCATTCCTAGGTATTTGCCCAAAAGAAATAAAAGCATATGCCCATACAAAAACTTGTAAATGAATATTTACTCATAGGAACTTTATTACTGAAAACTCAAAACTAGAACAACCCAAATTTCACCAACAGGTAAGTGAATAAAGAAGTTGTAGTATATACATACAATTTAATACTAACAGTATAAAGAAATAAACTCTTATTGATGCTCATGACAGCATGAATAAATCTCAAAATTATTTTCCCGATATATGATATAATAAGGATTACAGAATACAGCTATACCTTGGTTATATTGCAGGTTTGGTTCCAAACCACTGTAATAAAGTGAGTATCACAATAAAGCAAGTCACACACATTTTTGGTTTTCTACTTCTTATAAAAGGTACATTTACACTACAGTGTAATCTATGCACAATAGCAATATGTTCATAAAAACTAGGTACATAATTAAAATATTTTAATCTTAAAATGCTAATGATCATATGAGCCTTCAGTAAGTCATAATCATTGTGATGGTGGAAGGTCGTGACTTCATGTTGATGGCTGCTAATGATCAGCGTGGTGATTGCTAAAGGTTGGAGTGACTGTGGCAATTATTAAAATATTAATAACATAACAATGAAGTTTGTCACATTGACTCTTCCTTTCACAAAAGATTTCTCTGTAGTATATGATGCTGCTAGATGATATTTTACTTTCAGTAGAACTTCTTTCAAAATTGGAGTCAATCTTCTCACATATTTCCACTGATTTATCAACTAAGTTTATGTAATATTCTCAAGCCTTTTTTTGTCGTTTCAACAATGTTCACAGCATGTTCATCAGAAGTAGATGGAATAGATGTTATCTCAAGAAACCATTTTCTTTATTCATATATAAATAACTCCTCATTGGTTAAAGTTTGATCATGAGATTACAGCAATTCGGTCCCATTTCAGGCTCCACTTCTAATTCTAGTTCTCTTGCTACTTCCACCACATCTGCATTTACTTCCTCCACTGAGGTCTTTAACCCCTTAAAGTCAGCAGGAGGACTGGAACTGACTTCTTTCAAATTCCTGTTAATGTTGATATTTCGACCTCCTTCCATGGATTATGAGTGTTGAATCCTTTCTAGAACGATGAACATTTTTCAGGTTTTCTGTTTACTTTTCCCAGATTCATCAGAGGAATTACTATGTTAATGATAACCTTACCAAAAGTATATCTTAAATAATAAGATTGGAAAGTCAAAATTACTCCTTGATCCATGGGCTGAAGAATGGATAATTTGCTAATAGGCATGAGAACAACGTTAATCTCTTTGTATATCTCCATCAGAGCTCTTGGGTTACCAAATGCATTGTCAATAAGCAGTAATATTTTGAAAGACATCTTTTTTTCTGAACAGTAGGTCTCAACAGTGGGCTTAGAATACTCAGTAAACCATGCTGTGAACAGATGTGCTGTCATCCAGGCTTTGTTGTTTTATTTATAGAGGTAGAGAAGATTTGGCATAATTCTTTAAGACCCTAGGATTTTGGGAATGACAAATAAGCACTGGCTTCGATTTAAAGTCACCAGCTACAGTAGCCCCTAATAAGAAAGTCAGCCTATTCTTTGAATCTTTGAAGCCAGGCATTGGCTTCTCCTCTCTAGCCACTAAAGCCTTAGAAGGCATCTTCTTCCAACAGAAGACTGTTTCATGTACACTGAAAATCTGTGGTTTAGTGTAGCCGTATTCATCAATTATCTTAGGTCGATCTTCTGGTTAACTTGCTACAACTTCTCCATCAGCACTTGCTGCCTCACCTTGTATTTTTATGTTATAAAGATGGCTTTTTCCCCCTTAAACCTCATGAACGAATCTCTGCTAGATTCCAATTTTTCTTAGGCAGCTTCTTCACCTCTTTCAACCTTCACAGACTTGAAGGCACTGATTTGGATTAGGTTTGGGTTCAAGGAAATGCTGTTGCTGGTTCGATCTATCCAGACCACTCAAACTTACTCCACATCAGCAGCAAGGCTGTTTCACTTTCTATTATTTGTGTGTTCCCTGGAGTAGGATTTTAATTTTCTTCAAGAACTTCTTTGCATTCACAACCTCCTTAACAGTTTGATGCAAGAGGCCTTGCTTTCAACCTATCTTGGGTTAAAACATGTCTTCCTCACTAACCTTAATCATTTTTTCTAGCTTTTGATTTGAAGCACAAGAGGTGTGACTCCTCCTTTCACTTGAATCCTTAGAGGCAGGCCATTGTAAGGTTATTAATTGGCCTCATTTCAATACTGTTGTGTCTCAGATACTAGGAAGGTCCAAAGAGAGGCAGAGAGATAAGAGAACAGCTGGTCAATGGAGCAGTCAGTACACACACAACATTCATTGATCATGTTTGCTGTCTTATATGGGCATGGTTTGTGGTGTCCTAAATCAATTACAATGGTAACATCAAATATTACTGATCAAAGATCACCATAATAGGTATAATAATAATGAAAAAGTTTGAAATATTGTAAGAATTACCAAAATGTGACACAGAGGCAAGAAGTGAGCACATGCTGTTGGAAAATGGTGCTGATAGACTTGCTTGACACACGGCGTTGCTACAGACGTTCAATTTGTAAAAACACACTATCTGTGAATCACAATAAAGTGCAATAAAATAGGGTATGTATGTATATGCTACATGACAATATTCGCGTAACATCTCAAAAATAAAATTAATCTATATGACAGAAACCAAGTGTTGTTTGGGATGAAAAGAAGACAGGGGCAATAGGCAGGGAATGTAAAAAGGTAGAAGAAAACTTTTTGGTAAAATAGATATGTTTATTTTCTTAATTATGATGATTTGATGAGTGTTTCTTGTAAAACTGTATGCCTTAAGTATTAATTCAACTAAATACAAAATCAAAATTAAAATATATTTAATTTAAAATTTTAATTTAATTTATAATTCAGCTAATGTGTGCAAGATTGTATGCATATATGTATGGGTGTGTATATAGATATGCATATGTGAGAACTTTTGCAAAATCGGAAGACTTACAAAATTTATTCACACTCTCAATCTACTTAAACCTCCACAGATTTCTCTAATTAGGAAACTTTCTGGTAGTAGGGAGGAGATATATTTTTAACTGTTGACCTCTTGCGGACTCAGGGTTTTGAATTTAGGATCCTCAGAATGGTATCTGAAAAGTTATCTCGTGTTCACTTTCCTCACTCTTTTTTTCAGCTGGAGCAAAGGACACAGCAAAACATAACTCCTTTATTTCTTTGCCAAGGAAGATCTTACATAGACTGATACATTTTTTGAATTAACTAAGCAATTACTTACTGAGCCACAAGTACATGCTAGATACAGGCAAAATATGAGAGAGATTAAAGAATAGTGTCTTAAATTTTCGAGTGGGTTTTTAACTTTATGTAGTATGGAGAATTAAAAGGAAGACATAGAAACATCTTAATAGCAAGAACAGTTTTGTGTGTTTGGCCTAAGGATGGTCCATAAAGAGAATGGATGCTTTTCTTCTCTGAGTTCTGCTTCTCCTTCCTTCCAGTCCATAATACTCTCCTCTGATTGCTACTCTATCCTTCCCATATTTGGCACTGGTGGTTTCCACAGTGTAGAGATTACTGTGTGCCAAAGTGTGGGTTTATTGCTCTCAGCTGACCTGAGCATTTGCTCCTACGTCTTTATCTAAAAGACTGTGCAACAGTTTTGTTTGCAACTTTCCACCAAAGATACCGTCTCCTAACCTGTTTTAGGCATAATATTTAACAAAACAATCAATGATCTTGAATGTTGGGTTGCCTTCTGTTTCTTAATAGCTCTGACAAAATTGTTGATATTTCCTACTGATTTATTGCTGCTTTTAGGGATTGGTTTAACCTAATAGAATACTCTTGTTCCCAACTGAGCGAAATAACTTTTGAGTGAGGAGAGACTTTTGAAGGGCAGTTGTCTTGCACAGATAAGATTGATTGGCTTTTCCTCAAGCAGGAAACCATGATCATTAAATTCTATTATTGTTTTTTTTTCTGAAACTGATAAATTAACAAATTAAACTAAATAACTAATTATCTAAGACATGCAGTACATGAAATTACATAAACAAACAACTAGAAAAAAGTAAACATGTTCAGTCAGCTAAGAAGAGGTTTCTGATTTAAAATGAAATTATTTTAAATATACTGTGAAATAACTCTTCTCTCACTATAGGATATTTTAAATCAGTGGCTGAGAATGTCTTTCTTGAAAGTTAAATTTTTGGCTGGGTGGGGAGGCTCATGCTTGTAATACCAGCACTTTGGGCGGCAGAGGTGGGAGGATTGCTTGAGACCAGGAGTTTCGGACCAGTCTGGGCAACATAGCAATACGAAAAAAAAAAAAAAAATAGCAGGGGGGCATGGTGGCTATGCCTATAGTCCCAGCCACTGGGTTTATGTGTGTGTTGGGGAATGGGGTGTTGTGGTGGAAACTGAGGCAGGAAGATCCCTTGAGCCCGAGAGTTCTAGGCTGCACTGTGCCACAACCTGGAAGACAAAATGAGACTTTGTCTGAAAAAATGTTAAAAATGTATTTTTTAAAAAAAGTTAAATTGTTTTTCAGTTTTCATTTAAAAACAACTCTTCCTCATCTCCTTTCCTTTATAGACTATTGTTCAATTGACAGAGGTCTTTTTTAGTTGCTGTGGTAACAAAAATTAGGTCTGCATTAAAACTGTAGGGAGTAAAATTAGTCAAAGTTTTATAGAAGTTTTACAGTTTTATAAAACTCTCCTTATTCTTCTTTGCTTAGGTTATTTATATTTTTTAGTAAACTTAGGTAAACATAGCACAACAGTGGATATTCAACACCAGTTTTCGGCCGGGCGTGGTGGCTCATGCCTGTAATCCCAGCACTTTGGGAGGCCAAGGTGGGCAGATCACGAGGTCAGGAGATCGAGACCGCTAACACAGTGAAACCCCATCTCTACTAAAAATACAACAAATTAGCTGGGCGTGGTGGCGGTCACCTGTAGTCCCAGCTACTCGGGAGGCTGAGGCAGGAGAATGGCATGAACCCAGGAGGCGGAGCTTGCAGTGAGCAGAGATCGCACCACTGCACTCCAGCCTGGGCAGCAGAACGAGACACTGTCTCAAAACAAACAAATAAATAAACAACCAGTTTTCTCCTTGTCAATAGAACAAGATATTCTTATGAAAAAATAACACTGTTTGACATATTAAGGCGTTGGGTAACATCAAAGAAGGGTTGGAAGTTGTCACAAACCCCATGGTGAGGCTAAATCTACCCTGCTTGGGGAAGTTGATACTGTACTGGGCTTGTAACCCAAGGTCCCCGGCTCTTCAGGTGCACACTACGAAACAGTTAACATACCCGCTTGTAAACATTGTGCCTGGAGTTTCCATTGTTTCAAAAGGTTCCAGGAAGTCCTGACCACAAGAAGCCTAGCTATAGCAAAACAAAAATGGCTGGAACCAGAGATGCCTGAGTTAAAGATGAACTTTGGTGAACTCTCCACATTACCATGCCTAAACCTCCACCTGAGGAGAAGCTTATCTGCCATTTTTTGCACATGTTATGTCTGAAGAAACATGATTGGCAAATGCTCTTGCTCTGCCTTTGCCCCATTTTTATGTACAGTGACTTAGCTATCAAGAACAATAAAGGCCCCGCCTTCACCTTTGTTGGGGGAACAATGTTTTGGAAACGATCCCCAGTGTTCTCCTTACTTGTCACAAATAATAAAATACCCTTGCTAAATTCTACTTGGTTGTGATTACTGGGTAAATGCCTACCAAGTGACTGAAATCACCAGTTGTGTGTGTAGCAGGCTTTTCACAATTTTTTTCTGAGATGTTGGATGGATGGATGGACTGATGGAAACAGTTGTTTTATTTATTTGAGGACATGAATACGATACTATCTGTCATGGTATTTTTTGATTGGGATAATTTAAGGACTCAAGAAATAAGCATTTGCCTTACACTTTAACAGGTGAAAGTACGCAGTTAAGAAATTTCTACTCAAATCAGGTGCTAGTATAACAATTTTATTGTATCACATGTGCTACCTCTTTGTGGGATATATACCAGACATGCATACCTACTCATTGTCTTGCAGCCATAATCCTTTTTGAGACTGTGTCATCTCATTCATAACAATTATTCATGGAGTTCTTCAGCTCACCTCATGAGCTAGAAGACCAGACCTTACTCATTTTCCTGCTCAAAAGAAGATATACAAAGGTCCTCACAGTATTAGAAATACTATGAGAACACCATGGATTATATTATATCTGTAAATACATTTATAATACCATAATAAAATAATATATTTAGAAGCAATTTGTGAATTTTAGAGCACTACACAAAATTTGCTATTATTATTTCTAATGCTGTTACTACCGTGGCTACTACTATGTAGTACTAATAAAGAGGTTCTGACTTTGATCCCAAACTTTGGGCCTTATGAAGACTAAGTATTATTATACCTGTCCTTACTCATTTGTGGAACCTTAAAAGGTTGATTTCCTAGTAGAGAACAGAATAGTGTTACCAGAACCCATGGAAATGGGGAGGAAAGGGGTAATAGGGAGAGGCTGGTCAACAGGTACAAAGTTATAGTTAAACAGGAAGAAAAACTTCTGGTGTTCCATTACACAATAGGGTGACTGTAGTCAATATTAATGTACTGCATATTTCAAGATAGCTAGAAGGTTTTGAATGTTATCATCACAAAGAAATGAAACACATTTAAAGTGATGGATGTGCTAATTAACCTAATTTGATAATTATAGAATATATACATGTATTGAAACATCAGACTATGCCCCATAAATATGTACAATTAGTATGTGTCAATAACAAATAAAATGAAACTTTAGAAATGAGAGCGTCATTTAATATCATAACTTAAAGTCAATGAAATGGATTTAATTCATGATATTTGTTTCATTTATAATATAGTATATTGATATATTTTTGTTTTGGTTTGGGGGATCACTTCATGTTTATAGACATCAGAGAAAATGACCTTGGAAAATATCATTATCATATATTTTAATTTCCCCTAATTAATATCAGCATTGAATCTGGAATATAAAAGGCATATTAAACTATCTTTGAATGTGTCCACTTTTAAAATCTATTTCAATACATGTGCTTATGTATCTCAAATATCTAGGGAGCACTAGCAAATTTCTAAATTTATTTCACTATGTTTATTTTTCTCCCTAACTTCATGGGACTAAAAGTATTGTTTCATGAAATACGTATTAAAAAGATCACTCATTTTTGATCCTATGAATTTATCAGAAAAGGCATTTTTCTACAGGTAGAGGTTTTGAAAGGGTGAAATAAGTTTGGTAACATCTCCCTTTGAGAACGCATATGCAGTAGAGTTTTTTAATTAAAAAAACTTAAGTGCATGTCAAACTGGCTACTTAAAATTAACTTTGGGGACTTTTTGTAAAAGCAATAATCATCTTTTAACAATCCTTTTTAGAGTTTTAAAGTTTAATGCAAAAATCTTTTTTAAACATTTATTTTAGGTTCAGGGGTACATGTGCAGTTTTGCTATATAGATAAATTGTGTGTCGTCATAGCTTGGTGTACAAATTATTTCATTACCCAGGTAAAAAGCATAGTACCTAATAGGTACTTATTTGATCCTAATCCTCCTCCCACCCTCCACCCTCAGCTAAGCCCCAGTGTCTGTTGTTCCATTCTTTGTGCCCATATGTACTCAACGTTTAGCTCCCACTTATAAGTGAGAACATGTGGTATTTGGTTTTCTCTTCCTGTGTTAGTTTGCTTAGAAAAATGACCTCCTTTGGGAGGCCGAGGCGGGTGGATCACGAGGTCCGGAGATCAAGACCACCCTGGCTAACACGGTGGAACCCCGTCTCTACTAAAAATACAAAAAATTAGCCCGACGTAGTGGCGGGCGCCTGTAGTCCCAGCTACTCCGGAGGCTGAGGCAGGAGAATGGCGTGAACCCGGGAGGCGGAGCTTGCAGTGAGCTGAGATTGCGCCACTGCACTCCAGCCTGGGCGACAGAGCCAGACTCCGTCTCAAAAAAAAAAAAAAAAAAAAAAAAATGACCTCCTGTTCCATCCATTCTTTTTTATGGCTTCCTAGTATTCCATGGTGTATAAGTACCACATTTTCTTTATGTAGTCCACCATTGTTGGGTATTCAGGTTGATACCATGTCTTTGCTATTGTGAATAATCCTTCAGTGAACATTCGCATGCATGCGTCTTTATGGTAGAATGATTTATATTCCTTTCCGTTTATACCCAATCATGGATTGCTGGGTCAAATGATAATTCTATTTTAAGTTGTTTGAGAAATCACCAAACTAATTTCCACAATGGCTGGACTAGTTTACATTCCCACCAGCAGTGCATAAGTGGTGCTTAACATCACTGATCATTAGAGAACTGCAAATCAAAACCAGAATGACATACCATCTTGCACCAGTCAAAATGGCTACTATTAATGCAGAATTTCTAAGAAATAAGGTAAAACTTTATTTCTTTTGAGAACAAAGATTGTCAGACACTTTATTATTTATTAAACTGCAGACATTGCGAGAAGCAATGTTTTTATTATGCGTTTTTCTCAATGCAGATTGATTTATATCTATTCATTGCAGTAGATTCTTTTAATGCCCTCTTGATCCTCTGGTTGTCTCTGTATTGTATAATTCAGTAGAAATTACCATAGAACCATGCTATGTATAATTATGGTTGAATCAATAGCCTGTAGAATGAACACATGAAAGCATTAAGGACATTATGATAATTTCAGGATTTGCCCAACTGTTCCTCTAGGTAGACAGGCCACTGCTGAAGTTTTCATCTGTACTGTGCCACCATGTTTTTCTGCAGTTAATGTGGAGGCTGTAAACTGAGCATGTCAGGGAGGTGTTTTAATGTGTCTGCTACCTCTGGATTCCAGATAGTACTTTTTTATGTCAAATAAAACCCTAGTAGGCTGTCGAGAAAACGTTAAAAAATCAAGGGTGAAATGATTATGTTTGCAATATGGTTCTTGAACATTGTTTTGAGTTGCCAGCTAGTAAAATTTGTACTGCAAATGTAGAGACATAAAAACAGTTCACATTCTTCAGTGCAGCTACAGATCTAAAATACGTAGAAACTTATTAACAGTGAATTCCAGTTGAAATTTTCAAAAACAAATTAAAACATACACATGTCATTTGTTTCTGTCTGTGTTTTAAAAAAACTGAAATAATATTTCTTTTTTCTGATGAAATCCCAGGGCTTCCACTCCTGAGAAAAAAAGGAAGGAAATAGAATTCTGGGAGAGAAATAAGGATGAAGAAATTGAGTGAGCCCAATTCCATGTCAGATAATTCTCTCCCTTTTTAAAATATCCAATTGTGTATAGCATGAGTTTTCACTTTCTAGATGCCTTCTTTCAGACAGCTCTCTAAAACTTTGAAGAAAAACTGGATTTTTTGAAAGTTGCCTTTGAGAAATGTTCAGTTAAGTGAAATGTTATTGGATAAAGGAGGAAGATATATTTTTTCCAGCATTGCGTATTAGCTAAAATGAAAAGAAGTGCAGAAGTTTGAGTTTTTATAGTTTGTTTTTCTACAGCTATACTTTGCTTCTTTTGTAAATCTGTCTCATATCCTCATTTTTTCCTCTCATACATGTAATATAGTAGTTAGCTATATAATGATGTTTCAATGACAAAATGCATATACCATGGAAGTCCCATACAATTAAAATACCATATATTTCTGTGCCTTTTTTATGTTTAGATACAGAAATACAATTGACTGCAATATTCAGTATAGTAACATACTATTCAGGTTTATATCCCATGAGGAATAGGCTATACCATATAGCCAAGGTGCATAGTAGGCCATATCATCCAGATTTGAGTTAGAACAATCTATGATGGTCACACAATGATGAAAGTGCCTAATGACACATTTCTCAGAATATATCCTGGTTATCGAGCAACATATGATTGTAATCCATCTGGTCCTCCAGTAGATGTAATAGCTGTTGCAGTAAAAATAGTCACATCTGTTCACATATATGCGGTACAAATGAAGAAACTGAAATTATTCTGTGATCATAATCTGGAGAGTTCACAAGTTTTGCCATATTTTAATATGATTTTTTATATTTATGTCTGCTCTTGAATGAATATGTATAAACCATCAAGTGCTAAAATTTATAGCTAATCAGTTAAAAATGTTGCCATTATTTGTTTATATTTTCAAAGATCCCTGAAAATTTTAAACAAATCTTGAACAAATGAAGAGGCATTGCTTACTCACTTAAGACTATTCAACATCATAAAGATGTCATTTTTCCCAAGTTAATACATGAATTTAATGTTTATTAAAGTTTATTTTACTCTGGGATTTGATATTTATTTAAACTGTATATAAAAAAATGAACAATTCAGAGTAATTAAGTAAACCCTGAAAGAGAAGAGCAACAAGAGAGTAATATTCCTACTGTTATTAACACAGTCTGTGAGACTTCTTTGTGTGAAGCAGTGGTACTGGGCATGCATTGATGAACAGGCCAGTCAAATAATAAAATAAAAAGTCAAAATACAGACCAAATGCATTTAGATATTTTGAATATGGTAAAGATGACAGCTCAACTAATTGGACAGAAGGGGGAATTTTTAATAATGGGGCTGGATAAAAGATAGCATTTGAAAAAGATTATCAAGTTCAATACTTCATACCATACACTAGGATAATTCTAAATTGATCAGATATTTAAATGTGAAAATGAAAGTACGCAAGTACTAGAAGAAAAGATGGTGAGTTCTTCTATAATTTAGGAATGGTAAATACTTAAACTATGACTCAAAATCCAGATCCAATTAAAAATAAGATTGGTAAATCAGACTATTGTACTTAATAATATAAGAAAGAGATATCTTTATGATAAAAACAAAAAATAAGTAAAATAAAAAACAAACCACATATTGGGAAGAAATAAACACAATTTACTTCATAAGGGACTAATGTCTCTAACTCATAAAGAGCTCTGAAAAATGGAGAAATAAAGGCCGGGCACAGTGGCTCACGCCTGTAATCCCAGCACTTTGGGAGGCCAAGGCAGGTGCATTGTCTGAGGTCAGGAGCTCGAGACCAGCCTGGCCAACATGGTGAAACCCTGTCTCTACTAAAAGTACAAAAATTAGCTGGGTGTGGTGGTGGGCGCCTGTATCCCAGCTACTCAGGAGGCTGAGGCAGGAGAATTGCTTGAACCCAGGAAGTGGAGGTTGCAGTGAGCTGAGATTGCACCACTGCACTCCAGCCTGAGCGGCAGGGTGAGATTCCGTCTCAAGAAAAAAAAAAAAGAGAAATAAAAAGACAAAAACCCAATAGAAAAAAATGTAGAAAAAACAGGAGTGGGTTGGGCAAGAAGTTCAAAGAGAAAGCAAGGCTAAAGGCCTTTAAAAACATGGAAAAAACAATCTCACAATGAGAAATTAAAACTACATTCAGATACCATTTCTCATTTATCATATCGACAACACATTTTGCTAGTAAGGTTGTGGATAAATGGGCAATTTCATACATTGCTGGCGAGAATGCAAAATCCTTTAAACTCTAAGGAAAGAATACCTAACAAATTTAATTACACATTTAAAACATGTAACAAAATTACATGTGTTTATCTTTTGATCCAGCAATCGAACTTCAATAAATCCATCCAGAAGATACACTTCCACAAATACAAAGCAACATATAAAATAGTTATTCATTGCAGCATTATTTGTAATAGTGAAAGATTGAGAAAAAAATACAAATGTCTACCGAGAGAACCAGTTTAAATAAACGATATCCACACAGTGGAGTTCTGTGAATCACAAAAAAACGTATGAGAAAGGTCTCTGTGAGTTTAAGAGTCGGATGTTACACTTGAGCAGGGCAGGCAAGAGGGACCCCAGGAATGGTGGGCATTTGTCAAGCTATGGTAAGGTAACTATAAATCTCTGCTTCTAAATAATGAGCAGGATATGGGAGGGACCCTGGCGCTGCCTGGTCTCATTAAGTTAAGGACAGGCAGGCATAAAACTATCCCTCTGAGATAGTAAGTGGCCATGACTGGTGCTGTGAGAGAAATTTTGCACCAGACAGAAAACACCTGGCATTATCAAGACGTAATCATGATAAGATTTCGAGCATGCGCAGTAAAGGGCAAGATGGTGGAATTTCACCAGTATATACAACCTTCCTCTAGGGGCATTCAACCAGTAAGGAAGAACTTTCCCAAGTAAGCATACACACAACTTCAATAAACACGTTGCACATGCAGCCTCTCCCAAGTACTGGCAAAACCATTGCGCATGCAATAATTAAGCGATGGCCCACCCAGCAGAAGAGCAAACGGAGGAGACAGAAAGCCAGGGAAAAGATAGAAGCTATAAAAACTCTAAATCAAGCAGCGAACAGGGCCCTTGATTTTTCAAGTCATTCACTTGGCCCTCTTCCAAGTGTACACTACTTTATCTTATAAACTCTTGCTTTGCTTAAAATAAATTATCCCTTGTGCTTTGAACCTTGCCTGTATTTCTTGTTTAAATTATTTCCTTCAAGAAGAGAAAGAAGTTTCTCTGGATAGCTGCAGACTCACCTGCTGGAAACATGAGTAGACAGAAAAGAATTTTTTTTTTTTCTGAGATACGTTGTTAAGTGAAAAACAAATTAGAGAAGAGTATGTAAAGTATGTTATATTTTGTATAAGAAATATTGAAAAATAAGAATTTATATATTACATATATGCTTAGGTTGCAAATGAAATACCAGAAAGATAAATCAAAATCTTTTGAAAATGGGTAACTAACAGGAGTGGAGGAAGGTGACATGGAAAGGAGAGGGCTGGGCTTTTCTAATGCTCCCTTTTTATGTATTTCTCAATTTTGAACAAGGTAAATATTTAACGTATTTAACAAATAACGTTAAGTTTTATGGGGAAAAAACAAGCCCTATAACTGCACAAAACAGAAGTTAAGGAAACATAATTTTGTCTCAAATGAATAACCACAATCAGACAGAGAAAAGAATAATTTCAAGTAACTTTTGAACACACTACTCTGTGCATCTTTGTGAATATATAGTTTAAGGACAAAAAGAACTGTAAGAAATCTTGTTTCACTAGTAGCTTTATTGTTAGTAGTAATTTTGAAACTAATTTAAGTATATCATAGGATAAAAAAGTAAGTATATTAATGTTTTAGGGGACAATACATTCTGGGTAAGAGAAAAAGAAAAAACTCTAAAATAAAACTATAACTTGGATTCTGATTCTGAATCTGAAAAATGTTTTATTTTTCAAAACTGTACTATTTTCAATAAAACCATAAATGTGTAAAGAAAAAAATCATTGAACCATTTGACAAAAGTGGACGGTCCAGATGTCATATTGTAAAGCATTATAAAGTGGGGGGATGGGGTGAGTAGTGGTACTCATTTTCTAAACCTGAGGGAATTAGAAGGAACAGCGGGATCAGGCAAGGGACACTGAGAAAGGACATGAAGAAAATTTGGAACAGACAGAGACGGAAGGAAAAGAATGATCATATGAGGTATAAATGACATTTGAAACACAGTCATGAGAATCCAAAATCTAGGTGAAAGATTAATTTTAGGAAGATGTTTCTTACTCAGAATAGAAAGGAAGGTGACAGGTGTTACTGAGGTGAAGCTATAGAGTGAGGAACTTATTTGCAGCTGTTCATGTTAGCTGACCACAATAAGTCCCATAATATATGAGCTAGATGTCTAATGGGGGCCAAAGAAAGTGAACCTCCCAGCAGCTTGCTGTGTGCAGTTTAAGGGTTCTGCTAGAAGGTGCAATGGGGCCACAGAAAATGGGCACTGGCCTCAAGGTGGGGGTCCAGGCTCCACATGAGGAGGACAGAAATTAGTTTGGCAGAGAAGAACGGGGAGGAGACAGGACATGCACAGGTGGAGAGGGCTAGAAATGCATGGCCTGCCAGGAAACTGGCCAGAGGTAGGCTGGCTAGAGGGAGTGAGAGGTAGGCCAGCTGGGAAAGACCTCAGAGGCCGTGAGGTTTGAACTTCACACTGGAGGCTACTCAAGGCCAAGGATGGGGTTTAAGCAGCTGAGTGAAATAATCAGATCTAGATTTTAAAATTATTGGAGGAAAAAGAGACTGGAAGGACAGAGACTGTAAGTAGCACCCCTCCACAAGAGATGACAAAGTGGTGAAGAGAGAACAGATTCCGGAGGCATATTTATGAGGTCAAATTGACGGTGGGGAAAGGGTGATATGAGGAATAGAAGCCATGCTAAGGGAAACCCGGCATTCCAGGTACCCTGACCATCCTCTAGACTGGGGAGGGACATCTATGACGAGTAATGAGAACTGAAGCATGTTTACTCAAGTAATTCTGGAATAAAAGACAGCTGGAGTGTCTGGGAGGCAAGATTTTGCGTGAATTTTTGAAGCCCCTTTCAATCTTTATTTTTTAATGTTTATTTTTAAATTACATATATAGAGGATACAAGAGCAGTTTTCTTACATGGGTATTATTGTGTAGTGGTGAAGTCCAAGCTTTTAGTGTAACCACTATCTTAATAGTGTACATTGTACGCATTAGGTGATTTATTATCCCTCATCCACTCCTGCTGTCACACCATTCTAAATATATAACGTCTATTATTCCACTCGCTATGCCCATGTGGACACACTGTTTAGTTCCCAATTATACATGAGAACATGCAATATTTGATTTTCTGTTTCTGCATTAATTCACTCAGGAGAATGCCCTCCAGCTTCATCCACGTTTCTCCAAGTGACATGATTTTGTTCCTTTTTATCACCGCATAGTATTCCATGGAGTATATATACCACATTTTCTGAATCTAGCCACCATTTATGGATACTAGGTTGATTCTGTGTTTTTGCTATTGTGAATAGTGCTGTGATAAACATAAGAGTGCAAGTATCTTTTTGAAATATCAGTTTCTTTTCCTTTGAGTAGATATCAAGTAATGGGACTGCTAGATTAATGGTAGTTTTATTTTTTGTTCTTTGAGATATCTCCATACTGTTTTCCATAGGGCTTGTAGTAATTTACAATCCCACAAAGAGTGTACAAGTGTTATCTTTTTTTCTGCATCCTCACCAACATCTGTGTTTTTTGTTTGTTTGTTTTTTAGTAATAGCCATTCTGGCTAGTATAAGATGATCTCTCATTGTGATTCTAATTTGCAGTTCTTTGATGGTTAGTGATGTTGAGCATTTTTTCATGTTTGTTGGCTATTTGTATGTCTTCTGAAAACCGTCTTTTCATGTCTTTTTCTGATTTTTTAAGGTTATTTGTTGTGTCATTATTTTCCTTATTGAGTTTGCATTCCTGGTAGATTCTGGATATCAGTCCTTTGTCCATACATGCAGAAGTTTGCAAATATTTTCTCCCATTGTGTAGGTTGTCTGTTTGTTGATTATTAGTTTTTCTGGCAGAAGCTTTTTAGTTTAATTAAGTTCCATTTGTCTCTTTTTGTTTTTGTTGCATTTGCTTTTGAGATCTTAATCATAAATTCTTTGTCTAGGTCCAGGTCCTAAAGAGTTTTTAAAATATTTTGTTCTAGAATTTTCATAGTTTAATGTCTTATATTTAAGTCTTTAATCCAACTTGAGTTAATTTTCGTATACAATGGAGATAGGGATCCGCTTTCATTATTCTGCATATGGCTATCCAATTTTCCCAACACCATTTATTGAATAGGGTATCCTTTCAGCGAATGTTTTAGTTACCTTTGCCAAAAATCAGTTGATTGTAGATATATGGCTTTATTTCTGGGTTCCCTATTATGTTCCATTGATCTATTTTTGTACCAGTAACAGGCTGCTTTGATTACTATAGCCTTGTAGTATAGTTTGAAGTAAGGTAATGTGCTGCCTCTAGCTTTGTTATTTTTGATTAGAATTGTTTTGGTTATTAGGTGTCTTTTGCAGTTCCATGTGAATTTTAGGATTTTTTTTCTAATTCTGTGAAAAATGACAATGGAATATTGATAAGAATTGCATGGGATTTTAGATTACATTGAGTAGTATGATCATTTTATATTAATTCTTCCAATCCATAAGCATTGGGTGTTTTTCTATTTGTTTCTGTCACCTATGACTTCTTTCATCAGTATTTTGTACTTTTCCTTCTAGAGATCTTTTACCTCCTTGATTGAGTGTATTCCTAGATATTTTGTTTTATTGTAGCTATTGTAAATATAATTGAGTTATTGATTTGTTTTTAAGCTTGGTCATTATCGGTGTATAAAAAATTTTGTACAACGATTTTGTATCCTGAAGCCTTACTGAATTTATTTATGAAATGCAGGAATCTTTTGGAGGAGTCTTTAGAATTTCCTAGGTATAAGATCGTTATCAGCAGCAAACCAAAATAATTTTACTTCCTCTTTTCCAGTGTGGATAGCTTTTATCTCTTTCTCTTGCTTGATCTCTCTGGCTAGTATTTCCAGTATTACATTGAATCAGAGTGATGAATGTGGGCATCTTTGTCTTGTTCTGGTTCTTAGAGGAAATGTTTTCAAGTTTTCCTCATTTAATATGAGATTGTCGGTCAGTTTTTTATATATGGCCTTCATTATTTTAACAGATGTTTATTCTACAACTAGTTTGGTGAAGGTTTTTTTTTTTATCATGAAGGGATGTTGAGTTGTATCCAATGTTTTCTCTGTATTTATTGAGATAACATAGGATTTTTATTTTTAATTCTATTTATGTGATGATTCACATATATTGATTTGTATATGTCTATTAATTGTCTATTTAATAATAGACTATTAATGTTTTCAACTGTGTTTTTAATTCCTTCAATAAATTTTTCATGTCCAAAAGTGCTTTCGTTTTTCATCTGTCTCTTTGGTAAACTTTTCATTTATGACCTGAATTATTTTTCTGGCTTCTTTGTATTAGTTTTCAAATTTCACCTGGCTTTGTATTAGTTTTCCAATTTCTCACTGACTTTCTTTAAAATCAACATTTTGGATTCTTTATCTAGTACTTCAAGGATTTAACTTTTGTTAGGATCCATTGCTAGAGAGTGAGTGTGATGCTTTTGGGGATGCTGTAACACTATTTTTTCATACTTCCACAACTGTCTCTCTGCTTCCTTTTCTTGTGGATAAGCTGTCTCTCCTTACTATTTTAAAATGTGCTTTGTTTGGATGGATTTTATTTTCCCCTTGAGGATGGGACTATAATGTATTTTGGGACCTCTCAGACACAGAAAATTGCATGCTCTTTTCTCCTTTGTCCGAAAGGTTGCCCCCTTTGTGTGCTGCACTTTCTCTTCCCTTAGGAGCTGCACTCCCCAAGGGCTAGACTATTAATTAATAGACCACTGGGAACCCTGCAGCTTCCCTGTGCTCAGCCAAACCTGTGTGACTGCTACAATCTGAGTGGGTGCTGGAAAATATTTCTGGGGGCTCTGGTAATGTGGAGACACAAGGGTTGAGGTTCTCTGGGCAGGAACCACTATCTCACTGGTACACTCCAGCTCAGGTCTGTGGGAAGGGCGAATGAATCTATGCATGCTGGTGGTCTGGTGTGATGTCCTCAAGAAGTCCCCAAATCACTACTCCCAGTGTTTGGATTTGCGGGGGTAGAAGAACTCTCTCACAGTTTGGACACCAGTAGTCTACTGCAGGGGTAAGCAAAGCCAAGGAGATGACTGCCACCTACCCTTTGACAAAATGTCAAGTCCCTTTGTTTCTTAGCCCATCTCTACCAGCCTCTTGCTCTTTTGCTTTTTCTGTGTCCCAGCCTCATCCTGTGAGTTCTCTTTTAGGTTCCAGCACTCTCCTCTTACTATTCTATTTGATTTATTTACCTGAAACTTTGGTTCTTTTTTCCTAAGGAAAACTAGTGTCTGATGTCTCTAGTCAGCCATCTTAAAAATAAACAAAAAACTTTCCCAATATTAATATCATATATCATATAATTATATATCACAATATAATTATATTATATATCATATTATAATTATATTATATATCACATAATTATAACAGTAATTGTCTTAATATTATTATATATTATATAACATAAATATTAATTGTATTAATATTATATTACATAACATATATAATAATATCAATAATATTGTATTAATATTATTATACATTATATTATTATATATAACTATATTATATATACTGGTGTCTAAACTGTGGGAGAGCTTGTGTGTTTTGGGGGAAAAAAGGAAAAATCCCTCCGATGAGCTTATTTTTCAGTTTAGGTTCCATAATACTACTTTGAGAAAGTAACATTTTGAAAAAATATTTTGGTTATTTTGAAAAGTACTTAGCTTTAGTAAAATAAAAAAATACTCTATATCTTTTTCCCCATAAGCTTGTTTTTAAGGAAAAATGGAGATTCTTGGACCTGGAGTCTCAGAAATAGCTGTTGAAGCTGAGAGAGACTGTGGCAAGCTGCTTAGGTGACATAGCTGCTGGGCTGTGGAGAAGAAACAGCTCTGTCATGATAGCAAACTTTGGCAGGTCCCTTGGCTCCCAGAGGCCCATCCCTGAGCCATCAATCCTCTGAAACAGAAGCCACTTGTCACAGGCTGTTTACAGAGCAGGTCTGCATGGACAAATTGTACTTCCAGGACCCTCTTTTCCTGTTCCTCTTTTCCTCTTTTTCATTTCCTACATCTGTTTTTCCCTTTTTAATCACTTCCTCTTTTAATTATTTCTTTTGATTATATTTTATTGTTCCTTTTAAAGGCTTACTGCCTCCACATCTTGTCCCACTGGAAGGTCTTTAGGGACAATAACATGCATGCATGGAGCTGTCATCTACTATGATAACAATCTTCTGGAATACCTCCTAAAGGACCAGCCTGAGGCTGTTTTACGGTTAACTTTTTCTATATTGGTAGAAGGAGTACACTCTAAAATAACACTGAAAAGTATAGTATAATAAATACATAAACCAGTAACATAGTTGTTTATTATTATTATAAAACATTATGTACCATATATAATTGTATGTGCTACAATTTTATATATTGGCAGATAAGTAGATTTGTTTATATAAACATTACCACAAACATGTGAGTAGTGCATTGTGCTACAACACTGTGATACCTATGATGTCTCTAGGTGATAGAAATGTTTTTACTCCATTATAATCTTATAGAACCATCATCATATACATGGTTCGCCATTGACCAAAACATTATTATGGGATGCATAACTATAGAACCATATACTGCATATTACACGCATATACTACATATATATATTTATGTACATAAATATTACACACAGAGAACATCACAGACTTTATTGGATTTGTTTTAAACAACTTCTGGGGTATCTACTAAATTTTATAAAAAGGATTAGGAGAGATTATTTCGATATGTTGGATAGAATGCTGGGTTGAGGCTCAGGAGCTCTGGTTTAGAGTGTTGGTTTGTAATTTACTACCTATGTCAATTTGGGTTTAATGTTTAAGTTCTTTGAGCCTTCATTTCTTAAAGTACAAATAGGGAATAATAGTACCTGTCTCATAGAGTTATTGTAAGGGTTAAATAAGACAGTGTATATAATAGCATCTGGCAAACCACTGAAATACTTTAAAAACTGAAGAACGCAAATAATTTCACTGATTTCTTATTAACTCAGCATTGTTAATTGAGTTGTTACGGCATATGTTTCTGTTCTTTACATTAAGATATACAGGTATACTCTATCCTTTGGATATATATTGGAGACAAATCACACGAGCCTTTTAAATGTATAGTAACAGCAATATGTATTTGAATGATCCAAAATATCCTAAAATGCTTCAGGGCAGAAGTGTTACAATCAAATTATAAGTCTTCTAAAATTTATTATCTATATAGTTAATAGATTACTAATTACTCTCAGAAGTTCAAATTATCAGACATTCTGAATCAATGTTGTTTATCATTACTACATATAGAAAACAAGTGAAATAAATCATCTGTATTGAAACTATCTGTGCTTTATGACACTAGATATGTTTTGCCCATAATTACTATGCTGTTTCCTAAGTGTCTATAATTGCTGAGCTGAATAATTGATGATTTCTTGTGGCAGAACAAATTACCAAATTTAGTGGTTTAAAACAACAATAATCACTTTATTATTCTCTCTCATGGTTACAGACATTGTCTGAACTCAGCTCGGTGGTTCTCCCTAATGTCTCTCATGAGGCTGTAGTAGAATTGGAGCTGGGATAAAATTATCTCAAGGCTCATATACTCACAGGTCTTGAGTTGAGCAAGGAAGTCTCACACAAGTCGCCCTTGGAATAGCTGGTGCTCGTTGGTCATCGCTTTCTGTTTCTAGGTGTTTCTTCACATGTCTCCATTACAGTGGCTTCAGAGTAGCCACATCTTTACACTAGCTCAGGGCTCAAAAGGCACCTGTGCAGGAAGTGAGAAACAGGATAAATGTGTCACCTCCAAAGAGTTAGCCTCATGCAGTGTCACTCCTGCCACATTCTGTTCATTAAAAGGAAGTCATTAAAGCTGGATCACATTGAAGAGAAGGAATATTAACCTCCTAATTGTGCTATAAAGAGTGTCTAAGAATCTTCAGACAAGTTTTAAAACCACCAAAGTTATTAAAATCCTAACTGATTTTTGATTTACTGTCCTATGGAAGTCTATTATATTATATCAACAAATCTTCTTTTCCTACCTAAAATTGTGAACTAAAGAGAGGTGTTTATGGCTTCTGCTTATTTGAACACCTCAAAATACCAATATGGTGCTTAAAGAATTCTTGCTGATATGACCTTTGCGTCTAAGAATGTTTTAATGCCATAGCAAAGTGACGCCAATTATATGAGTAAAACATTTTTAGGACTGTGGGAGATTTAAATTTTATGGAGTTACTTGATAACAGAAAAAGGATAAGGGGCATTGCATTTTAGCTCTGGGACATTAATATGCTTAATAAAATAAAGATGACTAAGAGGCTAATGATATAAACATTAAGTCCATGGCATGGGATAATGAGCAGAAGAACACTGCCTACTCTGATTGTATTCGTGATGTTATTTTCCAAAGCAATTTTATTATCAAGATAACTTGCTAACACACCTGTTTCTTGTAGCAGTTCTATATTTTAGGTTAGCTGATTCTGGAATCAGAAGATGAGAGTAAGACAGTAATAGTAGATAAAGAATTGATATTCTTACTGATGCTAAAGTGAAACAAAACAAACAAAAAACAGAGCAAAACACCCATGGCAACATGGGCTCAAGAGAAAGCACCACTTCCATTCCATTTTCCTGCCCACACTCCAAAATTTTGAGCCCACCTTACCTTGATGACATTTTCAATCTCTGTATTTTTTAAAATTCCTTAGTGGCAATCATTTTTATCAGGTAAAATGCTTGAAAATTGAAATCAAATGTGAAAAGCACAAATCAAAACCTGAAGCCCACTAAAAGTTTTAGAACAAGTAAGAGAGCTTCAGGAAAGATAATTCATTTGACATCGCCACCATTAACATTATTCTTGAATAAAGCAGGTATTCTGACACTGGACCCAGGCAAGAAAAAACATAATTCCATTACATATCTCGTTCTTACTAAATCAAAATAAAGATAAAAATCCTGACTCAACCATAAACTACTTGTGTGGCCTTAGGGAAGTGTTTTATTTCTCTATAATCTGTAAAACAGTATGCTTATTATAAAGGATTGTTTTCAGACATTTTTAAATAAGATACTTCATAAAAAGTGTTATCACAACATGAAGATCACATGACACACTCCAGAAATATTAGCTCTTACTGACATTTCATTCTTAGTATAAATGCCGTGCATTAGTTTTGGTTAAAAAAAGTGAATTAAACGTTCACAATATTGTAAAACTTTTATGCATAGTATACTATCTCTCTGTGATGACTCATGTACCTGCCACTCATGTAAGTGAGTATGGTAGAGGTGCTCTGAATAAGCTTACCTGATCTCAATTCCCTGCTTTTTTCCCCTTATCCTAGCTAGACACCAGAGATGAAAGTAGGTTCTTCCAGAAAGGATTTGCATTGGCTTCTTTCAACACTGGAGCCATGATCACTCGTAAATACCTTACACTAATGTTAGATTTGAGGTTTTCAAGACCATACAATTAGTGCAAACTTCTAAGCACAAATCTATATGTAACTGAGACTCTGTTTAAGAATTGTCACATGACATGAATCAAGCAAGTCTGTTTGATGACTCCTCTGCAAAGGAAAATTAGTTCTTGTACACCTTTACATTGAGGGTTTAACCTTTTGTGTTAATCTAGTTTTATATGTGGATTTCCTGTTTAGACATTTCATTTTATTTTGGCTACAGGCTTTATTTTATCCCTGTGACTCAGGCAGCCAACAAAAGAGAAGTCTAAAGACTCCAGTGACGGGCAAGACTTATCAGGGTGAAAGCCAGCTTGTTATTTACATAACTTCCAGCTTTCCCATTTTAACTTTCTACTTTAATTCCCTACCTTAACATCATTTTGGACATTGAAGAATCATTCACTTTATTTCAGATCAGCAAGATGTAAAAAAAGACACCTAATGAAAGATTCTGTTTACTTCCAGGGGAATATCTTTGCTAGTATCTAGACTGCCATGCTGCTGTAAACAAACATTGGATTATTAAGTTTTAAACTTAGGTTTTAACGTCTGCAATTACCTTATAGGCAAAGCACAGATGGCATACTTATGATTGCAAATGAGTACGTACATATTACAGCCTTGACAATGTCAAATGAAAAGTGTAGTTCA
The DNA here is from genome assembly GCF_000001405.40 of Homo sapiens. Taxonomy (NCBI): domain Eukaryota; kingdom Metazoa; phylum Chordata; class Mammalia; order Primates; family Hominidae; genus Homo; species Homo sapiens. The sequence goes on from NC_000002.12 coordinate 34,989,930, forward strand.
TGAACTTTCGGTGGTGGAAGAGGAGAAGTGACGAAAATGAAACCTTATATAGTAGTAATTTGATATACTATAGAAATTTGATTGGACAAAAGTTGAGATTTAATTATATAATGTAAAATTGTATTTAAACTCTGAAATTTATGCTTTAGCATTCAACAAATAGAATATAGAAAAAATTGAAACTGTGGAGAGTATAAGTAAAATTAAATTCTTTTCTCCTATAATGAGGAGTTAATTAATAACATTTATAATGGATATGTAAATATACAATTGGTAGGTTTTTTTTTTTTTAGTGACATGATTCTAACTGATAGAAGAACACATAATTGTATCTGCAAATAAAACCAGGAATAAAATGGGTGGGGCAAGAGGTGGATAATGTTGTTTTCCCTTTAGAAAGTTTTCCTAACAGTTTCTGTAGTATTTGATTTTTTTTTAAAAAAATGTGCATGTAGTCCTTTATTCATTAAGCAAACATTTACTTAATGTCTACAATATGTCATACAGAGTTTAAGGGCTAAGAATCTATCCTAAGTGAAGAAAAAAATCTTATTTCATACAATTGATATTCTGGTAAAGGGACACAGAAAATGAATACAACATACAACAGGCAGGGTGCAGTAGCTCATGCCTGTAATCCCAACACTTTGGGAGGCTAAGGCAGATGGCTCATTTGAGGTCAGGAGTTCGAGGGTGGCCAACATGGTGAAACCCCATTTCTACTAAAAAGTACAAAAATTAGCCAGGTGCGGTGGCACTTGCCTGTAATCCCAGCTACTTGGGAGGCTGAGGCAGGATAATAGCTTGAACCAGGGAGGTGGAGGTTGCAGTGAGCTGAGATCACACCACTGTATTCCAGCCTGGGCGATAGAGTGATACCTCATCTAAAAAATAAATACAACAAGTAAACAAATTATATGATATGTTATATGGAGCTGAAAGTAAGGAAAAACAGAGCATGTTAAACATCCAAAATGTATGTGGTAACATTTGAGCAAACATGGAATGATATTTGAGCAAAGACCTAAACTAGGTGAGTTCTTTAGCCATGCATATATTAGGGAAAGGAGTATATCAGAAATAATGCTTGAATGTTCAAGAAATGTAACACCACTAAGTCTGTTGAATGAGCAGAATGAGCAAGCAGAGAGTAATGGGAAATGAGGTTAGAAAAGTATGCGACTTGTTGGCCATTTTAAGGAATTTGGGTTTCACTTAGAGTGAAATGGGGAACATTGAAGTTTAAAGCAGAGAAGTTGAGAGTTAACTCCATGGATTAAAAGGTAGGAATAGAGAGTTCAGTTAAAGGCCACTGTTTTAACACAAAATGAGAGAGCATAGTATTTTGGACCTTGGTTTCAGGGAAGGGAGTGAGTGGGTGTCAGATTCTGAATATGTTTTTAAAATGAGACACAATGATTTCCGGATGGATTGTTCTGGTGTGTGCAGTCAAAGATGGCTCCGAAGTTTGTGGCCTCTGCAATGGAAGAAGAGAATTTTTGTCTGCCTAGAAAGGAAAACCTATGGCTAGAGCAGGTTTATAAGGGAAAAATCATGACTTAGGGTTTAGACATGTTAAGTTTCTGATGTCTACTAGGCATCAAAGTGGAGATCTTAACTGGGAAATTGGTATATGAATTTAGTGGAGTTAGGCAAAAAGATCTCTGATGAAGATACAAGTTTGAAAGTTGTTGACATATTAATGGTACTAATTTATAAGCACAGATGAGATGACCAAGTGAGAGAATACAGATAAAGAGAACTGAAACAATGACTGAATCCTCACACACTCTGGCCACATTCAACTGCCTGTACTGAACAAGGAATAAGCAGAAGTGCTGGATTTAAGTATTTATTTATTTATTTTTTGCCAGAATGATATGAAAATGGGGGTTATATAAACAAATACAAAATGTATATAAAGGGTGAGTATAATAATTACCCATTTAGAGGTGACAACGTGCCAGCAGCCCTCGCTCACTCTCGGCGCCTCCTTGGCCTTGGCATTCGCTCTGGCCACGCCTGAGGGGCCCTTCAGCCCGCCGCTGCGCTGTGGGGGCCCCTCTCTGGGGCTGGCCAAGGCCGGAGCCAGCTCCCTCTGCTCACGGGGAGGTGTGGAGGAAAAGGCGCAGGCGGGAGCCGGGGCTGCACACGGCGCTCGCGGGCCAGCGCGGGTTCCGGGTGGGCACAGACTCGGAGGGCCCCGCACTCTGCAGGGCTGGTGGGTGCCTGCTGGGCTTGATCAGGGGAGGAACTCCCTCTGGGCTGCTGGAGTGCCTGGGCTAGGTGCTGCAAAGTCCCCCAGCGAGTGCCAGTGAGAGGTGAAGCTGGCTGGGCTTCTGGGAAGGGTGAGAACTTAGAAAACTTTTCTGTCAAGCCAAAAGTTTGTAAATGCACCAATCAGCACTCTGTGTCTAGCTAAAGGTTTGTAAATGCACCAATCAGCGCTGTGTGTCTAGCTAATCTAGTGGGGACTTGGAGAACTTTTCTGTTTAGCTAAAGGATTGTAAAAGCACACCAATCAGCACTCTGTGTCTAGCTAAAGGTTTGTAAATGCACCTATCAGCACCTTGTCAAAACGGACCAATCAGCTCTCTGAAAAATGGACCAATCAGCTCTCTGAAAAATGAACCAATCAGCTCTCTGCAAAATGGACCAATCGGCAGGATGTTGGTGGGTTCAGATAAGGGAATAAAAGCAGGCTGCTCCAGCCAGCAGAGGCAACCCGCAGCGGTACCCTTAGGGGGTGTGGAAGATGTGTTCTTTTGCTGTTTGCACTAAATCTTGCTGCTGGTCACCGTTTGGGTCTGTACCACTTTTATGAGGTGTACTGAGCTGTAACACTCACCGCGAAGGTCTGTAGCTTCACTCCTGAAGTCACTGGGAGCACAAACTCACCAGAAGGAACAAATTCTGGACACACGATGTTTAAGAACTGTAACACTAACTGTGAGGATTCGAGGGTCCGCGGCTTCATTCTTGAAGTCAGGGAGACCAAGAACCCACCAATTCCGGACACACCATGAACTTTAATCTGGTTAAGATGATGAGAGAAGACACTGGAGATGGGTAATACCAGTGAAAAGGTGATAGGATCTTAAGAATTGAAAGTCGTAGATAGATAAAAAAATGGGAGGGTTTTGGTGTGGCAACATAGGAAGCTAGTGGCCAGAGAGTGGTTGCCTGCAAAAAGCTTGAAAAGATAGGCAGATGGCTGCATGCAATTAATACATGATTACATAACCTTTACAACAGCATTGTCAAAATGTATAATCTTTATCATTTTTATCCAAAATATTAGAAAATGCTGCTATTGACAGCCCATGTATCTTGAACCTAATACAACTCTTAATCTAATTGCAGAAAGCTTTGATATTACGCTTTATATATTTGTAATTGCATTATTTAATGATATATTCAGAATAAAAACTAGTTTTGAGTCTCTTAGAACTGGGATTGTCTATAAGGGTGCTGTTTTCACGTTTTTTTATTTTAAAAAGTTTACATTAAGTATAAAATGTGTGTGCATGTGTGTATGTGTTAACAAGGGTAGAAGAATGTTATAAATGAAATTAATCATTTAATATACACTGTGAAGCTGAAAATAGGAATTTAATTCTAAGAATAGTTAATATAAATGGAAAACTCATAGTAGGAATCCTTTACTAGGGTATGCCCTAAGTAAAGGGTTAGGTCCACTCTAATACGTAGTTTAGTTATTTTAATGAGTCCCAACTGTAAGACACTTCAAAGCAACTGCGTCCAAATATTTCATTAGTTTGAATCTATAAAATATGAATTACTTAATCTTAAGAGTTGTGAAAACAAGCAGCCTATATTCTTGGACGTCTAACACGCTGACTACAAGGTGTGCCGCCTGTTAACTTGTCATACTTCCCCGGGCAATATGTCTGGCTAGGCCTGTATTCTCCTACACTGTCTCCCTTTCCTGGCCATTTTTATCAAAGGACAAGAATGATGATCTCACCAGATAAAGAATAGTAATTCTTTGTTCAAAGGTACAAAACTCCATTATAATATAAGTAACACAGAGGCATACAGTGGAAAAGTTAGGTGTTTAAAATTTACTGTGAGTATTACTGTGTAATCTATGTAAAGGTACTAACGATAGATGAGAAAGGTTTACTATTTGCTTCTAAAGTAGCACATGTGAATTGATACATCTAAGTTAGAATAAAAATTAAAATCATTTGGTTGTTACTATGTAGTAATTCAATTTTGCATTTTCTATGAAAATAATGTCAGTTTCCCTTTTAGCATTGGTGGAAGAATTATGAGAAACACAAAATATTTGTACTTTAAAATGTCTTAGATTTTAAAAGTTACCATTTATAACATGACCAGTCAAGAAAAATGAAGATAAATGTGAAAATTAGACAATTCATCTCAAATAAGTATTTACCTTAAGTTTAATGATCTAGTTGTTACATATTTAATGAGTTAACTGGTGCATATTAATTAAATCTCCACTGTTTGTTTAAAATCTCTTTTGGAGAATGTCATGCCATCTGGTTAACTTACTTTAAATGACAAAAGCAATAAGTATTTAATTGAATTCCTATTAATGCACTGTGGTCTGTAAACATGTGAGGCTTTTAATGAGCATTTCCCCAGACTTACTGAAGAATATTGTCTAGATAAGAATAAATGTTTTGTTAACTCTTTGTCATTTCTTTGCTGCTAAGAAATAGGTGCAAAATATTGCAAAAATGTCATTAAGAGTGACTCAAATTGTTATTTGAAAATCATCACTTCTAAAAATGTCTTCCTACAGTATTCCTTTATTTCTGACAGTATATCCACAGATGTTAGATTTAACTTTCTCTGATATTTATACTCCAGAAAAACGATGCTGTGAACAGAGACATATACAATTATTGAACCTTAGTGTGACACTGAACAGAATTGTTTAAAGCTCCTGTTTTGAGTTATTCTCCAAGCATGGGTGATGTAAAACTATGAATATGTGCTGGTTAAAAAAATTGACATTTTGAAGAAAGTATAGCTGTATCATTATTTATGAATGAACTGAGTTCTGCAAGTTGTTTGCAAATTGGTTTTAGAACTTGGAAAACTTCTTTCCTAGATAAATCATGGGAAGATTTGGTTCCTTAAGACAGTCTGAAAATAGACCTAACACATACCATGCCACAACCAGAGTTTAAAGTAGCTTTGTTCAGACTGCAGGTCATGACCACACTAACGGGTTCTGAATAAATGTAATAGGCAATGATAATTGTTTGTCTAAATGAAAATAATAGAAAATATCACAATGCCGTAAGAATGCATTTATGAAACCCTTTTTAAGTATCCTGTGTGTCTATATTATATATTTGTATATGTGTTTAAAGTTTTGCCTATACTGAGTTGTAAAATCAAATGCGTTCTACTGTGGGTCATTGCCAAAAAGTTTGAAAATAACTGGTTTAAGCATTCTGTAAAAGCCAATCTCTGTCTAAATTCTGTCCCTGACACAGTTCCAAAAGTTGCTGTCCATCAAAGTATTTTTAAACATTTGAGCCTATGGTTTTGCTAGATAAGCAACATGGAACTGCATTTAGAATTATGTTCCAATGAAAAATTCAGTGAATTTAATTCTGTATGTATATTTCTAAAAATAGTTGTTATTTTCCTCTGTGGTGAATAAATATCAATGGCAAGTAGTTCAAACAAATGAATACAATGCATTTTTATTAATTTTTCTAAAAAAAGATACTAAATCATTTCTGAGTTTAGGTAATGTTTAGAGGAATGAAGCTGCTTTGAGGCCACTCTTTAGATCTTGTATCTTTAAGTTGAGGGGCTCATGTGGGTAAAGAGCCCACTTCAGAAAAAGAAAGAGCTGGGTCACTTAGGGTGTGTATAAGAGAAATTAACATTGATGAACCTCTATTCTTTCTACCAAAGATGGAAACATGGATAAAAGGCATAATTTAACCCATTTCCCATTTGCCCCAAGAATACTCTTATCTCTAATTCTAATCATATACATTTCTATTACATTAGGATTACAGACAAGTTCTGTTTAGAAATAACTCCAATAACTGTTTATATTTTATTTTCACATTGAAAGTCGGTTAGATTTGCTTCAACCTCAAAGAGTGTGTTTATGTAAAATTAAATGAACACCTGCATCGAGCTGCATTTTTTTTTTCTAAATAGGAAATGGGTTAAGGAAGAAAGAGGCCAACAGAGGCCAGTACAGAGGTAATGCAGGTTTTTCCCCCTATAGGTTAATAGTAGAAGCATATCTGGGAAATGAAAAGACAAAACAAAAAAAACAAACCTTGAAAGATGTTTGGTAGGAGGTCTCCTTAAATTTTGTTTTCTTAATATCTATATGGATTACACTTAGAAGATACTAGTCTTGGGGGAATTAGGAGAAAAAATGAAAATGTAAAGTCAGATTATGAATAATTATAGGAAAAGACAGAACTAGGTTGGATAATCTGGCTCGAGAGAAACCAGGAGCCACACTGACATTGATTTTGTTCCTGAAACCCATCCAACCTTTATCATTATGGGTTTTTAATAATAAGCAGTGGAATCTAACTCTTGTTAATTAAACAGAAAATGACTGGCTCACAGATTCTCAGAAAAACTGGAGAAATAGGATTGAATCTAAGCCTCGAAAAATAATACTGAAATGTGTGACAGAGAACTGACGTAATGAGAAAATCATAACTGATGTTGCCATTGGCACTGCTGCCAGGAATTGGACCAAACTCCAGCAGCTACTGAGGCTGTACTAATGCTACTTGTATAGCAGAAACTCCACGTGGCAACTAATGCAGTCCCCCAAGCTGGACAATTTAGGCGTAAACCTGGATGAAAAATGATGGTCCCAGGATCAGCGCTATCTTGAGCACTTATTTTTGTAAATTTTATTTTTAATTGATAAATTGTAATATATATTAATGGGATACTATGTGGTATTTTGATACATGTATACATTGTGAGCAGTACTGAGCCAAAGTTTCAAGTGCTTTTTGCCTGGGGTTGGTGAAGCCTTGGCCACCTGCTTGTATCTAGATGTAGAGGAGGCTGAGAATGCCAGTTTTCTAGATTACTTCTTAAGAAGACTGGACTTTCTAGTCAGAAATTTCCCATCAGTGCAAGTCTTCTAAATATGCTAGGGAATCTAAAAACATTACTCAATATAAACGGCCTTTGCAAGTGCTGCTACTTGTCGAAAGTCTCTTCCTGAAGATCATTAGATGGCTGCCTCTGGAAGTCAGGACTGAAGTTCAATATTACCTCTTTGGGAAGGTCTTCAGCCTGCCTAAAGCAGTCTCCCAACACTTTATGCTCTCTATCAACTGAAGTATCTCATTCATAGTACCTTGCCGGCATCAAAAGTTTAATCTCTTTCTCCCCTCCCCTCCCCTCCCCACTCCTTTTCCCTCCCTCCCTCCCTCCCTCCCTCCCTCCCTCCCTTCCTTCCTTCCTTTTCTTCCTTCTTTCCTTCCTTCCTTCCTTCCCTCCTCCTTTAATCGTCTGCATCTCCCCAGTAGAAGAAAAGGTGCAAGGGTAGAATTCTGTTTTATTCAAAACTCTGTTGTCATCACCAGAGTAGGCCAGGGTGCATGGTAGTGGTGTGGTAGACACTAGATTGAATGGTTTTGAAAAGCAAATATAACAGGAAAGTACTGGACATCTAGAGATCCCAGGGAAATATCTATAGATTGCAGGTTCTACTATATATAGTAGGAATATTAATGGATGTGAGAAACACGCTCACCCATCCAAACCCAAAGAATGGACTTAGAGGCACCAAGAACAGCAAAAGTGAGACTTAATAGTGGTCTTGCAAGATCGGGTGTCTGGTAGGCAGGCACACCCGGGGCAATCACAGCAGGTAATATACCTCCTAGCATGCAAGTCCCTCCCCTACTTCCTCATTAGTCAAATACTATGGGGTTACAATCTTCCCAGACGTCACCTAAGTTTACCCCATCCGCTTCCCCCACTTAAGTTTCAATTTCCCAATAGTGAAACTCTCTTCCCTTTTATGGGCTGACTCCTCCTCTACATTCTGTTCATTTATCGTGACCTTCTAGGAGCACGAGCCGTGCAGTTTGTTACATCTGCAGGCTGGCTGCCAGTGCTTAGATGTATCATGCCTTGAAAATTGACCATTTAAAAGGTTTTCTCACATTGGCTATAAGTGGAAAGAACTACTGGGAAGTGGTTTCTGTGCTCCCCTATACCCTAGTCTCTAGACATACAAGTGTGCAGTTCTCTGAATTGCTGTGAAAAGTTGGTTCTTACAGGGTAAGATTATCATAGTTGGAGATGAGAGAGAAAGCTGTGACTGCATTCAAAGATACTGTCTCAACATTTATTTTTTCTTTCAGTATGGATTGAACAGATAGTGTTAACTTTGTGGCAGGCACTGTACTTACATGATTACATGGGTTTCTTTCTATGCTCTCAATTCTTCAGGTTTTCAAAATTTTTTCCTCTCAAAAGGAAATCAGCCTCCTTGTTGTTAATTTTTTATGTAGTCATGTTTTCCTTCATTGTGATGCTTACATTGATATTGACTAGGCCTCTAAATGTGGGAGAAAACACAATATAAGACTAGAGCTCTTGTCCAGACTGCCTGGGTTCAATTCTCCCATGCATTCTATGTATTAGTTATTTAACTACTCGGCTTCTTCTCTCGGTCATACGACGGAGATTACAATAAGAGCCCTATCACAGGGTAGTCCTGAGTACATGAATTAATATATGTAAAGCAGTTGGAATGCTGCCTGGCAAGTAATAAGCTATATGGAATCGTTTGCTATTATTATTACTTGGAATGGGTTTTTGGTAACTTTATAATTTCTCTGTTGCTTGAGCTTTACTTCCTAAACATTTAAATGACCGATGTGCCCTACTTTCTCTCTCCTGGAATCATTTCTGCTTCCTGCTACTGAAATATTCTCTTGATCCAGTACATTGGCACGAGAAAAGGCCTGGGAAAGATTAGGAGCTTGATCTAGGAACAGATGGAGATGCTCACCAAGAACAATCTTCTCGTTCTTCACTGTTGGACCCAGGCCTGGCCTGTTAACGTTTTTCTCTCTTCCAAAAGATAAAATAGAAAGAGTTCAGCAGACATCCCTAGCCAGATACATTTGTCATGTATTTTCTTTAAGTAAAAAGAACGTTTGAGGCAGAGATAATGTAGAAAGATTTGAATGGTATTAAGTTGCAACATAAAGCTCTCTCTTTATTTAGCAAACACAATAGATTCAGATCATCGAAACTTTACACCTCAGGTCTATAGTCAGCAGCCCCTTAAGTCCTTCCCACTATATCTCCTCTTGTGTTGCAGACCCAGATCTATAGTAATACACAAATAAAATTGATTTTATTTAGTTTTTTTAAAGAATGGTGCCTTATGTATGTGTTGGAGACTAGATGTGTGTATGTGATGTTTGGTCGTGTGTTTATAAGACTATCTGTACTTACTTTAGAGCATTGCTTCTCATACCGGCAAGTAGTTTAGTAAGAAATATGGGCACATACCTAAGCAAAGCCTGCTAATGCTATCTTCTTCCCATGTCTTCAAATGGGGTGGTCCGTTTGAATATATTTAACTACATTTGATTATTCATATTAATTTTGATAAATACTAATACCTTCCATAAGTTTTCAAATCAGCATTTCCTATTTAAAGTTACTTGTAGCTTTACTATTATTTTAAACATTTTACTTAATATGGCTCAAAATGTTGTTCACTAGATTTTTTTCAACACATTTTATATAGAAAGTGAATGTCTGTGTATTTGGTCCTATTGACCTTCTACTTGAATTGTAGGTGTGGAATTACAATTACAGATATGTGGAAGGTGCTCATCTTTTATTGCTGCTTGGATATTTACTCCTACTTAGCAGTAACTTACTCCATGAAAGCTCTAACACTAACATGAATAACAACATCAGAATATAGTCTATTTATTTTCCCATCATCTTTTTCAAGGTAGCCTCCCACAAATTTAGAAAAGTATCTACCTTGCTTAGTCCAAGTTACTTCAGTTACATGAAGGTATTCTGGCATAGCAATAAAACAACCGGAAAGTCCTTTGAGTGTGTTTGAAGTAGACATTTTTCAATACAGTTTCTAATATAAATCTACTGTTTTCTTCTCACGGAGGTGTGAAGGTGTGCAGAGTACCAATAAAGACTTCAGAAACTCGTAAGCACTGTGTGAAGAGTGTTTTTCCTCTGTTCAAGAACAGAATGTTTCAACCTGACAACAAAGATGAGGGTGTCTGTCAGAGATTCAGTTGATAGCTTAAAAAAATTACTACCTACAATTTTTTCTTTGCTGAGTTGAGTTGCAAAACAGTAAGTAGCCACCCTTTGAATGTAAAATGGAAAACAATCATTTTTAAAAATGGCATTGTTTAAAGACAACACGAGAAAAAAAGTGGCCAATATTAAACTCATACTTCAGCTCCAGATTTGCTAATATGCACAGTTACATCTTCTTCTAGGGAAATGTGAGTGCTGCTCACACGATAATTTTAAAATGAATGAACACAGTGAAAGTAGATGAAAATGAGGGTGATAGGGATGCTCAGCTGGAGATCTACCCTCAGGAAGTTGTTTAAAATATTGGCTATTTGGTACCATCTGTTGAATTCTGTACACTAAAAACAATGCTACTCAAAACTCAATTTTTGTGAGCCAGGAATGAAGGATGTCTCTTACAGGGATCATTTAACAGAACTCATTGAACAGGAGGACAACCATCAGTACAATCTCTTCTGACCATTCCACACCACATTAATTTGAAATGGACTGAGAAAATATAAGCATTCATTCATTCCTGCAAACACATAATCCTCAATTTTACACAGTAAGTAGAAGCATCCATCCTATTGTGTGTATAAGTAGGTAAAATAAAAATAGCAATGTGGACAGATGATTTGCTTACTGACTTATGCAGGTCCTTACAGAATTTTGTATAGTATCTCCTCAGTAGTGAGAGGAATTCTATTTTTCTGTTCTGTATTAAATTAAATTTAGAGATTCTAGATTTGCCATTACAGTAGTCACAGTCACCATTATATAGCCTCTTTTCTTGAACTCATCAAATCTTGTTAATGCAAATAGCCAATGATAAGAAAGCAAAGACAGCAAACAAAATCTGTATTTCTTATATTTTTTCATTTTTTATAATTTCCATAGGTTTTGGGGGAACAAGTGGTATTTTGTTAAATGAGGAAGTTCTTTAGTGGTGATTTGCTGCACCCATCACCCAAGCAGTATACACAGAACCCAATTTGTAGTCTTTTGTTCCTCACCCCTTTCTCATTCTTTCCCCTCCAATTCCCCAAGGTCCATTGTATTATTTTTTACGCCTTTGCATCCTGCATCCTTGTAGTTTAGCTCCCACTTTTGAATGAGAACATATGTTGTTTGTTTTTTCATTCCTGAGTTATTTCATTTAGATTAATAGTCTCCAAACCCATTCAGGTTGCTGCAAATGCCATTAATTTATTCCTTTTTATTGCTGAGTAGTAGTCCATCATATATATACCACAGTTTCTTTATCACATTTTTATTGATGGGCATTTGGGCTGGTTCCACATTTTAAGCAAACAAAATATAGAAAGCAAGATTGGTCTTTTATAATTTTGGGATTTTCCAGTTTTTATTGAAGGATTTCACATACTTTTGTTGGTGATGTTGTTTCCTCTGCTTTTTTTTCCCATAGGAAATTATGTGTATGAAATTGATAATTAAGTACACATATTAAGTTCAGTGCTTAGCACAGTGTGTGGCACATAGTAATTATATATGATATATAATATTTGGTGACCAAAATAAGTGAAGGTCAAAAACCCAAGCATTTTCTTGATATGAGAATTTAGAGAATTATAAAATAAAATTAATATTCTTGTTTTGAATAAAATAATGGGAGTATGATGGTTTGTCTACATATATTTGACTGAAGTAGAAAAAAGGATGAAAATTATTTTCATACTATTTTTAATTTTTTAAAGAAACCACTAACTTAAAGTTAACTTATTTTTTCTGAGAAATCTATTTCTAAGTACAATGCATGATTTTATTTACAATCAAGAGCAACAAATATTATATGCACCGTTTGTAAAACATTAGCCATTGTTGATCAGCTGATGATTGTCCTTTTTTTAAATCTATTACTGAGTAATAGATGAAACTCTGAATACATGAAATTGCTAAATGAGTGTCACAATGTTGAGATTAGGGCTACTGACCAGATACTTTTCTACCTAGATAATGCATCTATATGACCTATACACATAGAGCATTATTTCTGATGCCAACACTGATTATACAACCAACAGAAAATTCTCTGTCACTATTGAAGGAGAAAAGTACTTATCATGAAAAGAGTTGCTTTTTGCCTTTCTTTGAAACGCCTGCTTAAACTTTTGATCAACTCAAATGATTTTCAAGGAACACTGAAAAACTTTCTAGAACATTGGTGATAGCATTAAGCATATAAATAAACATGTGTGCATGTATGTAAACATGTAACCATGACTTGCTTAGTCAATGCTTTTCCTCATAAACTTTCTAAGGATTTAGCACAACCAAAAATATAGCTTAATTTAGCTCAGACATGAAGAGTTTTGCTAAAATCATATGTTTATATATGATGCAGAAATGAAATATAAAATGTCTTTCCCAAAGAGAAGCAAAAATGAGCAAAAGATTATGTTCTTATCTCTGAAAAATATTCACTGTAAAGTGAGGTAAGATCAATACTTGAGCTGCTGGGCTGAACTGAAGTAAAAGTAGTGATTGTTTCTTCATGGAAGAAAACAACCATGTATTAAATTTGCATTAACTAAATATTATTATACAGAAGTAACCAAATGAAATGATTTATTAATGTTAACTAGTTATCAGATAGCCAGTTGAATATTGATAGAGTTATAAATTCTGAGTAAATTTCAAAAGAGTTCATGAAGGTTAAATACCCATGATTAAAGTAAAGTTTCAGGATATACATTAATGCACAAACATAAATAGCTCAAAAGAGGTCAGCTGGAAATAACAAGGTAAAGGTGAAATAAGTAAAGTGTTATCGCTAGGGATTTTTATGAGTTAAAAATTATAAAAGTAACCTTTCTCTTTAACAGATGGACTTATCTCTCAAGGCAAAGAATAAAGAAAAACTACTTGGTAAAGTTATTTCTTGAACATTAACAAATGTCTGTCTTTTCTCCTTTTCAATTTCACAATTTCAAATGCAGTATTTTAGTTTGCTATAAAAAATAATGTCTAACAGTACAAATAACCAATTATTAATGGATGAATTATTTTGAAAATTTACACTGCATTTGATAATGGACATTTATTTCCTGTCTTTCCTTCTAGTTTCTAAAACCGATTGTTGAGTGTGTTATTTCTACTTCCTCTTATAAAACAGATTAACGTTCCCATTTAATATTCTAGAAGTTTTGAAAGGTAAGAAACTTGCTCAATGTCCCATAATATTAAGTGTTGAAATTTTCTTATAACTCATCTATGATTATGGTTGGCCATGTTCCCCTCACTAGGTTGACTTCCTACACTTCCTATTGTCTTTGAGAAGCCGTAAGTGTTCTTTCAAAATTGACAAAGGTCATAGAAAAGAAACATGAGAAAATAAAGAGGAAAAAATTGCAACACAGGAAAAAAAATACCAATGGCTTATTATCTGCTCTCCAGATTCAGTACAAGCATGGTGAAGCAAGAATTTGGGGAATTTATTGTTTAATTTAAATTCTTAGCTAATCATTGATTGTTAATCAATAATAGAGGCCAACCAATGGAAGTCAAAGCATAAAATGATCCTAATCATACAATCAAAAAAACAAAGACAGTTTTGAATAAAAGACAACAATAACAAAAACGTCTTGATCCTGCCCTTATGAGGCTTTCAGTTTGGTGGGAAAACAAAACTTGAAATAATTGCAAGAGTGAAGATAGTTACATATAATATGGGAGCTAACCAGTCCAAACAGCCAGCTTGAGAAATTCCTAGTGTAAATGATGTTAGAGAGCTCAATGATCAATGTGACTGAGCTTATTGAAGAAGGTAGGCATGTGTTTCAGGAAGAAATAAAACAGGGATTTGAAACAACATAGTGTTTCAAAATTTAAGAAACTCAACCTGGAGCCGAGAGCATGAGAAAAAATAACTCATATAACAAAATAGTATTTATGTTTTTAAAGGGGAAAAATTGTTGCTATTCAATTTAGTAAATAAACATGTTTAAGAATTTGCTAGTTTAATATGCCAAAATATGTTTACAGATGAGTGCAATTAAGAGAAAATTTCAGAATAATTTATCTTTCAGCAAGAATATGAGTAAGTGGTTATTTAAACTAAATCTCCTTTCTCATTATTTCTCCCCTTTCAAGATACCCCACCTTTTGGGGCGAAACCAGTGTGTTTACCCATAACTCTTGCCTTCCTAAAATATATGAAACCAAACTATACTCTGACTGCCATGCGTGCACTTTCTCAGGAACCTCTTGACACTGTGTTACCTGGGCCATGGTTGCTCCTATTGGCTCTGAATAACCAGCTAGCATCATGATGACAGGATCAAATTCACACATTTGTGATAAGAAATTGAGGCCTTAATAAATAGCCTACCAACCAAAAAAAGCCCAGGACCAGATGGATTTACAGCTGAATTCTACCAGAGGTACACAATAAAATGCATCAAGAAGCTCATTCACCATGATCAAGTAGGCTTCCTCCCTGGGATGAAAGGCTGGTTCAACATATGCAAATCAATAAATGTAATTTATCACATAAACAGAACTAAAGACAAAAAACACATGATCATCATAATAGACACAGAAAAGGCCTTTGATAAAATTCAACATCCCTTCGTGTTAAAAACTCTCAAACTAGGTATTGATGGAACATACCTCAAAATAATAGCCATTTATGATAAACCCATAGCCAATATCATACTGAATGGGCAAAAACTGGAAGCATTTCCCTTGAAACCTGGCACAAGACAAGGATGTTCTCTCTCACCACTCCTACTTGACATAGTATTGGAAGTTCTGGCCAGGGCAGTCAGGCAAGAGAAAGAAATAGAGTATTCAAATAAGAAGAGAGGAAGTCAAACTCTCTGTTTGCAGATGACATAATCCTGTATCTAGAAAAATCCATCATCTCAGCCCAAAAGCTTCTTAAGCTGATAAGTGACTTCAGCAAAGTCTCAGGATTCAAAATCAATATGCAAAAAAAAAAAAAAAACAAAACCCACAGGCATTCCTATAACACCAACAATAGACAAGCAGAGAGCCAAATCATGAATAAACTCCAATTCACAATTGCTACATAGAGAATAAAATACCTAGAAATACAGCTAACAAGGGAAGTGAAGGACCTCTTCAAAGATAACTACAGACCACTGCTCAAGGAAATAAGAGAGAACATAAACAAATGGAAAAACATTCCATGCTCATGGATAGAAAGAATGAACATGGTGAAAATGGTCATACTGCCCAAAGCAATTTATAGTTTCAATGTTATTCACAGTAAACTACCATTGACATTCTTCAGAGAATTAGAAAAAAATATTTTAAAATTTATATGGAACCAAAAAAGAGCCTGTATAGCTAAAACAATCCTAAGGAAAAAGAACAAACCTGGAAGCATCATGCTATCTGACTTCAAACTATACTAAAAGGCTACAGTAACCAAAACAACTTGGTACTGGTACAAAAACAGACACACAGAAAAATGGAAGAGAATAAAGATCTCAGAAATATGACTGCACATCTGCAAACATCTGATCTTTGACCAGCAAGACAAAAACAAGCAATGGGGAAAGGATTCCATGTTTAATAAATGGTGCTAGGAAAAGTGGCTAGTCAAATGCAGAAAATTGAATCTGCACCCTTATATAAAAATTAACTCAAGATGGATTAAGGCTTAAATGTGAAACCTAAAATTATAAAAACCCTAGAAGAAAATCTAGTGAGAGCTGAACAATGACAACACATGGACACAAGGAGGGGAACAACACACACTGGGGCCTATCAGGTGGGAAGGGTTGAGGGAATGAGAGCATCAGGATAAACAGCTAATGCATGTGGGGCTTAATACCTAGGTGATGGGTTGATAGGTGTATCAAACCACCATGTACACATTTACCTGTGTAACAAACCTGTATGTCCTGCACATGTATCCTGAAACTTAATAAAATGAAATAAAATTTAAAAAAAATTACAGAATATAATTTAATATAAAAATTGGGCAAGTATGTGGAAAATGAAATTTTCAAAATCAGTCTAGGTCTGAAATTTCACTGGAAGATAGCGGTTCAGACCCTCTCCTTGAAACATTATGTGGAAGATAATTGGAATTAAGGATTATTCAGGGGTCAAAATAAAATAAAGCTCTGAAATTAATCTCTAAGGAAAGTATAAGTCCTAGGGCAGATGAAATTTTTATTTATCAGCTTTAGAGGAAAAACATCCTGAACAAACAGCATGATCAGAGGGACATAAAGGCAGGCTGATTGTTCAGTAAACATCAAATCTACAGGAAAGCAGACTTGGCAAAGACAGAAAGCCCCTTAGAGAACCGTTGAATAATAATATAGCTCCACAGTAGGTTAAAAAACCTTAAAGGAAAAAAATATTTGATGTTATCTGGTTTTACTTTCAAATCTGGCTTAAAGAATAACTGTGTCAAATTCATCAGCTATGCCATGCCAAATTTTTATAATAACTAGAGATTTGTTACCTTAATCCTAGGTTGAGATCTCTTCTGGTGGTATTTATACTTGCTACATCTTTATATTCCCAGAGGACAGCTATCCTGATTCACTGAAGCTTCTGACTTCCTTTTAGGCTTTACAATGAGGCACAATCTAACCTGTGAATACCAGTAAACAATGTCCACCCCACTGTCAATAAACAAATGCTTGACATAATTCAGTGAGGTACCTCTGATGATTACTTGAACACCTCTGGTGTCTCAAATTGCTTTCAGAATATAGGTCATAAGTCACTAGCCCAATATCATTCAGGGACTCGCCATATGTTAGAACACAAAGGGAACTTAGAGTTCAATTTTAGAGATACTTACTGAATGTCTGGCAGGTTCTAAAATACAGGATTACCAACATGGAGAAACCCCATCTCTACTCAAAATACAAAATTAGCCGGGCTTGGTGGCTCATGCCTGTAATCCCAGCTCCTTGGGAGACTGAGGCGGGAGAATCTCTTGAACCCGGAGGCAGAGGTTGCGGTGAGCCGAGATCGCGCCATTGCACTCCAGCCTGTGCAACAAGAGCGAAACTCCGTCTCAAAAAAAAAAAAAAAAAATCTTTAAGATAAAATATCTCAGTATTTGACAGACAATAATAAAGAGCATGATTAGGTTTTAATTAGGTAGAGAGGAAGATAATAATGATAGTAACAACAACAGTGCATCTACTTAACGAGTACATCCTTTATGCCAGGAGTAGTGCTAAACTTTGCTTGTATTTTCTCATTTGTTTCTCAGAACATTTCCTTCCACCTGTAATACATGCATACACACATACAGATTAGTATGCAAGCTAATGACAGCAGGGGCTTTTCACGGTCTGTTCTTCATCACCTAGAAGTGTTCCTGTCACAAAGTAGGCGTGCAATATAGATTTAGTGAATGAAACAATAAATAAGTGTTCATGGATAAAAAGTCCCATAAGTAAATGCCATTTTATCCCCTAACTATAGGCAAAAAAAGCTGAGGATTCCAAATATTAAGCATATGACATAAGAAGTGAAGACTTGACGGGGCCTCATTTGGCATAACTATATCTGTACAGGATAAACAGGTGAAAGGAGGGTGATTTTGAAAAGGTAAATTGGATTAGATTTGAGGTTCTGATGAAAACTTTTCCACTATACGTAATAAACAGTGAATTATGGCATCAAATGCATTTGAAAGAATTCTGAAATTTTTAAGAAAACAACAGCCAGCTATCTAAATATGTAAGTTTTACTATTATTGAATAGAGATGAGTAAATATCATTACTAAAGTGGACAGTGATGATATTACAAATGAAAGTAGAGGCAAGAGCCAAATAAAATACCATTTTTCATTTTTACACATCATTAAGATCAAGTTTTGTTAAAAGACTGCATGAATTGGCACTATTTAATATAAAGGCAGAAAGCAAATGATGGATTCACTTTGAATGGGACAATGGCAGAAGTGCCAACCTTCTTGACCACCGTTTGCCACCATTTATTAAGGACCTATATATTAAAGCATATTAAGCCTAAATTAACTCAGTCTTACATAGGCTATCTGGAAAATGAAAGGACTTACTGTTCTAAGCACTGAGAACAGTTTGATATAGAGTTTAATTAAAACTAGGCAAAATTAAGATACGAATTTTTTGATTTACATAAGATAAATTGGGGAATGATATTTATTCTAAAATACTTCTCTACATTGCAAAATAATTTATTAACAAATAATTTTGCTAGCAATTTTTCCTAGAGCATAGAAATAGGATTAGATTTACTAATATTTCATAATGCACTTTTAGGTAATTATAAACTGCATAAAATTATACGCTAATTTATTCCAATCTAAAAAATAATTTAAAAATAGGCAATAAAATCTTATTCCCTTAGAATCTAAAACACTGAAAATGATAGTCTTAAAAAGGTAGATTGTGTGTCTAGAAAATAAAATTGGTATTTCAAAATTTTAGAAAAAATAGGTTCCTAATTTCAACACAATAATATTTTGAGTATTTTATGGATGTGTGTGTAGAGACATACATGTTTCTGTGTACTTTGTAAGGACAAATTGCCCTATAGTGAGGACATGACACAAAGCAAACCCATGGTGTAATCACCTAGCCTAGATTTGGAGCCTGTTAGAACTTCCAAAAGTATATTTGGGTTTTGGTTTGTGAATGGTTAATACTGATTAATAAAATAAGAAATAGATTTAGGAAATTGAATACCATGACAAATGCAGCAGTACATTGGGAAAATAATATTTACAGCATTTATGTGATACACTTTATAAAGCAATAAAATAAAGCAAATTGTGATAATTAGAATGCTTATGCCCAAGGGGATTCTTTGCTAGTTTTTGAAATTTTGCTGAAATTTGATTATTCTTTACTTTCTATCTGGATATGTTAGATTTGGAAATTTCAAAATAACCACATAATGACATATAGAAATGTAGGTATATTTAACTACACACACACACAGACACACACACACACACACACACAAACACATTGTCTTCGAGATAATTGGGATCATACAAAGTAGTTCAGCATGCCTTGAATTAGTCATTTAACTCTATATTATATTTCCATGCATTTTAAAACATTCTAGAAAAATTTCAGCTTTGCAGCAAGGCTTATAATTTGAAGTCATAATGATTTCATTTCTTGAATTTTTAATTTTAATACTATAATGTCTTTGTATTTTTGTCAAATCTTTATTAACTTTTTGACAGGTATCTTCAGACTGAATTACTGTGCAAAATGATATGGACATAACTTTAGTGCTTTTATTACCTACTGATGGAAATTTTTGAGAAATACTTTACACTCTTACATTACACGTATAATGTGATATTGCATCTCTCATTACCTACTGGCAGAAAATAAGTAACTTGAAATGTCGTTGGTGAAAAATACTCTCATAATAGTTTAATAGAAATTGTTTTATAGTTTTTTTAGCAATATTTATTTTTATATTTACCCAAATTCCATTTTGTTATATACTTATCATTACTCCTTTGCTGTTATTTCTCTCCTATGTTGATTTAATTATTAGTTTTTTTCAGTTTTCTTTGATTAACTTGAAATAACTATATATTACATTAAATGTTTGACTTTATATTTTTTCACAATTATATTCCTTGCTTGATGTATACCTTATGAGTATGAATTTACCGACTTTTAAAACAAAAGATAATATTTTTAATATCATGCGTATGAATTGTTTTCCACATAGGCAACACAGAAATATTTAAAATACTTATCTTACGGTTAACCATGATTAAAGAATTTGATGTTGATTCCTATTACCCCATATGAAGAACTAAGCAAGTTGATGACATGTTCCTCTAGGGTATGGAAGTCCAAGCATAAGCTACTTGAAAGCATCTGTGACAGCCCACAATCAGTCTGTCTCATTTCTCTTCTGATCCCAAACATGAAACATCTGCAAGAAGTAGAATCTTTTTTCATGTCTGAAGCATCATCCAAAACAAACAAACATAAAGAAACCAAACAAGTAACAAAAACAGCAAATATATAAAATCAATAAATCCCAACTCTGAAATTCTCATTCAATGTGTTTTCCTGTAAAGCTGCTTCCTTTGACTTTGCCACACATTTATACACTAGGTAAAGCTTACTGAACCTCAAATAGAATACGTTTGTTAAAAGGGGTTTTCTCAAATAATATCTCAGATGCCTGCAGTTCCTGTCAATTGTCTGTGTTGGTGTGGATTAAACTGACCTACAGGTTCAAAAGCTTGATGTAATGCAGTGTTTAATCTGGTATAGGCTGCGTTGTTGTTGTTGATGCCTGAAAGCCACCATACGCTGTTTTATTTCCATAAGTTGATTTCATTAGCCAATGAACTTCTCTGAGAAGAAAATAAGAAATGAATGCACTGTTGTTAACTCCTTGAAATAGCGTAAAGTTTTTAATGTGGTGGAGCTATAGGGTTATATTGTGTTACATCAGAAGTCAAGAATGGCATAGCCACAAAATAACTGGCCTTTTCTGTAATGTGTGCTTATACAATGCCAGTGCATTTATCTCATCAGAGTATGGATGATGTGGAGGTGTTCCTGCCTACCAGGCTTCTCTCCTCTATTCATGAGTAAACTCACTGACCTCCTCCTCCCTGCCTCTGACATAATTTTAAACCATAGGTTTAGAGATTCTGAGACACCTTATGTTAGGAGCTCATATTCTGGGTCTGTTGCTGGTCTTGTTCTGATCATAGTTAGTTGTCCCCATGGTTGAGGTATCTTTATCTCAGAGACTTGAATCCTGATATTTCTCTGTGCTTAAAATCTCTAGCTTATTTGGACTTCTGTCCATTTTCTGTTACTTTTATCTGAAACAATTTCTTGTGAGAATTCAATGGAATACTAATAGAGCAATCTCCTGTTATACAGCCAGTGTGTACAAACTGCACACTGGCTTTTCTGGTTAACTTTTCATGGGACCATGTGTCAGATTTCTTATGTACTTTTTTGCTAGTTTGGCAGTTGAGATGTCATGTTGTAAGGTGGTCTTCTCATGTTGAATTAGTTGCTAGAATAATTCTTTACTTGAAAACTCTTCTGATATTGCCTAAAATCTGCAGCATCTGCTTATATTTTACCTTCTTATCTGCTCTTTAGATTTTATACATTATTTTGTAAATTATATACCCTGAATAATTGTATTACTTACAATGTATTTCCCTAGAAATTTACGCTCAATTTCCTAATCATGTTTAATATGAAATTCGAGATATTAGCCAAAAATATGGCACAGTTAAATTTTTAAAATATCTTTTGTTTGCCAAAAGGAAAGATTTATCTTAGATATTTAAGAGATGTGCAAGACATATACTGATTGCTTCACAATTATTAGCATTCCCGTTTGACGTAGTAAGGTAGAGACATGGTATCATAATAACCTTATGTGCATTCTTAAAACTCATTTTAGTCTGTAAGAATGAATATATTGTATTGAAATATTGTGGCCTACTCCCATGCCCCCTTAAATGACTTCATTTTTAATTATGCTTGGCTTTTCCGATTTACTTAATAATCTTTCCTTGTAATATAGAGTAAAATGTGTTAAGATGACAAGTCGTAGCTACCTCACGACATTGCTGAGGATCAAATAAAATTCAGGATTTTAAAACATATGACATTTGTCCTTAGCCTTAATGACAGCCATAATCTTCAGGGATTTCAGCAGATTTCCACATTGCTATCCAATTCAAGGGTCGTATGATTGTGTTAGCCAAGGTAGAGTAGGATAATATAAGTGACCAAAAATTTTATGATCATGCTTAGAATCCAGAAATAAAATAATTCAGACATAAGAACCAAAGGAGTTATGAAAGGTTGAATCACACAGTAACCGAAAGGTGGATAAAGCAAGAATATAAGAGAAATATGTAGACTGTGCTAATTTAAATGTTATCACCTTTTACAGATATTTTTTATGTTTATTATACACTGTGCAACAGTCTTTCAGTATGGTTGACTTGTAGCCTGTAAATGCCAGCTGAAAAGAGAGTAAGAATGGAAAAAAGAATGGCCTATTAAAAGTCAATCTGCACATGAACAAGGCCTAAATATAGTGTAGACAACATTTATTAATGGTGGTTCTTCATCATTCTGATTTCTCTTGGCCTCATCCATGTCAGTATTTCTCCACCTGGTTGGTGAGACAGTAAGCCTCCTCAAGATGTCTTGTTAAATTATCTGATTGAAACCATCGGGGTGGAGCCAAGATGGCTGAATAGGAACAGCTCCAGTCTACAGCTCCCAACGTGAGTGACGCAGAAGATGGGTGATTTCTGCATTTCCAACTGAGGTACCGGGTTCATCTCACTGGGGAGTGTCAGAAAGTGGGTGCGGGACAGTGGGTGCAGCGCACCGAGAGTGAGCTGAAGCAGGGTGAGGCATTGCCTCACCCAGGAAGCGCAAGGGGTCAGGGAATTCCCTTTCCTAGTTAAAGAAAGGGGTGACAAACGGCACCTGGAAAATTGGGTCACTCCCACCCTAATACTACGCTATTCCAATGGTCTTAGCAAATGGCACACCAGGAGATTATATCCCACACATGGCTCAGAGAGTCCTACGTCCACGGAACCTCGCTCATTGCTAGCACAGCAGTCTGAGATCAAACTGCAAGGTGGCAGCAAGGCTGGGGGAGGGGCGCCCACCATTTCCGAGGCTTGAGTAGGTAAACAAAGTGGCCAGGAAGCTCGAACTCTGTGGAGCCCACCACAGTCCAAGGAGGCCTGCCTGCCTCTGTAGACTCCACCTCTGGGGGCAGGGCAAAGCCAAAGAAAAGGCAGCAGAATCCTCTGCAGACTTAAATGTCCCTGTCTGACAGCCTTGAAGAGAGTAGTGGTTCTACCAGCACGCAGCTGGACATCTGAGAACAGACAGACTGCCTCCTCAAGTGGGTCCCTGACCCCTGAATAGCCTAACTGGGAGGCACCCACCAGTAGGGGCAGACTGACATCTCACACGCCCGGATACTCCTCTGAGACAAAACATCCAGAGGAACGATCAGGCAGCAACATCTGCTGTTCACCAATATCTGCTGTTCTGCAGCCTCCGCTGCTGTTACCCAGGCAAACAGGGTCTGGAGTGGACCTCCAGCAAACTCCAACAGACCTGCAGCTGAGGGTCCTGACTGTTAGAAGGAAAACTAACAAACAGAAAGGACATTCACACCAAAACCCCATCTGTACGTCACCATCGTCAAAGACCAAAGCTAGATAAAACCACAAAGATGGGGAAAAAACAGAGCAGAAAAACTGGAAACTCTAAAAATCAGAGTGCCTCTCCTCCTCCAAAGGAACACAGCTCATCACCAGCAACAGAGCAAAGCTGGATGGAGAATGACTTTGATGAGTTGAGAGAAGAAGGCTTCAGACGATCAAACTACACTCCAGCTAAAGAAGGAAGTTCAAACCCATGGCAAAGAAGTTAAAAACCTTGAAAAAAAATTAGGCGAATGGCTAACTAGAATAACGAATGCTGAGAAGTCCTTAAAGGACCTGATGGAGCGGAAAACCAAGGCACGAGAACTGCATGACGAATGCACAAGCCTCAGTAGCTGATTCGATCAACTGGAAGAAGGGCTATCAGTGATGGAAGATGAAATGAATGAAATGAAGTGAGAAGAGAAGTTTAGAGAGAAAAGAATAAAAAGAAATGGACAAAGCCTCCAAGAAATATGGGACTATGTGAAAAGACCAAATCTGTGTCTGATTGGTGTACCTGAAAGTGACGGGGAGAATGGAATCAAGTTGGAAAACACTCTGCAGGATATTATCCAGGAGAACTTCCCCAATCTAGCAAGGCAGGCCAACATTCAAATTCAGGAAATACAGAGAACGCCACAAAGATAATCCTCCAGAAGAGCAACTCCAAGACACATAACTGTCAGATTCACCAAAGTTGAAATGAAGGAAAAAATGTTAAGGGCAGCCAGAGAGAAAGGTCGGCTTACCCACAAAGGGAAGCCCATCAGACTTACTGCTGATCTCTCGGCAGAAACTCTACAAGCCAGAAGACAGTGGGGGCCAATATTCAACATTCCTAAAGAAAAGAATTTTCAACCCAGAATTTCATATCCAGCCAAACTAAGCTTCATAAGTGAAGGAGAAATAAAATACTTTACAGACAAGCAAATGCTGAGAGATTTTGTCACCATCAGGCCTGCCCTAAAAGAGCTCCTGAAGGAAACACTAAACATGGAAAGGAACAACCAGTAGCAGCTACTGCAAAAACATGCCGAATTGTAAAGACCATGGAGGCTAGGAAGAAACTGCATCAACTAACGAGCAAAATAACCAGCTAACATCATAATGACAGGATCAAATTCACACATAACAATATTAACCTTAAATGTAAATGGACTAAATGCTCCAATTAAAAGACACAGACTGGCAAATTGGATAAAGAGTCAAGACCCAGCAGTGTGCTATATTCAGGAAACCCATCTCACATTCAGAGACACACATAGGCTCAAAATAAAGGGATGGAAGAAGATCTACCAAGCAAATGGAAAACAAAAAAAGGCAGGGGTTGCAATCCTAGTCTCTGATAAAACAGACTTTAAACCAACAAAGATAGAAAGAGACGAAGAAGGCCATTACATAATAGTAAAGTGATCAATTCAACAAGAAGAGCTAACTATCCTAAATATATATGCACCCGTACAGGACCACCCAGATTCATAAAGCAAGTCCTTAGAGACCTACAAAGAGACTTAGACTCCCACACAATAATAATGGAAGATTTTAACACCCCACTGTCAACATTAGACAGATCAATGAGACAGAAAGTTAACAAGGATATCCAGGAATTGAATTCAGCTCTGCACCAAGTGGACCTAATAGATATCTACAGAACTCTCCACCCCATATCAACAGAATATACATTCTTCTCAGCACCACACCCCACTTATTCCAAAATTGACCACATAGTTGGAAGTAAAGCACTCCTCAGCAAATGTAAAAGAACAGAAATTTTAACAAACTGTCTCTCAGACCACAGTGAATCAAACTAGAACTCAGGATTAAGAAACTCACTGAAAACCACTCAACTACATGGAAACTGAACAACCTGCTCCTGAATGACTACTGGGTACATAACAAAATGAAGGCAGAAATAAAGATGTTCTTTGAAACCAATGAGAACAAAGACACAACATACCAGAATCTCTGGGACACATTCAAAGCAGTGTGTAGAGGGAAATTTATAGCACTAAACGCCCAGAAGAGAAAGCAGGAAAGATCTGAAATGGACACCCTAACATCACAATTAAAAGAACTAGAGAAGCAAGAGCAAACACATTCAAAAGCCAGCAGAAGGCAAGAAATAACTAAAATCAGAGCAGAACGGAAGGAAATAGAGACACAAAAAACCCTTCAAAAAAATCAATGAATCCAGGAGCTGGTTTTTTGAAAAGATCAACAAAATTGATAGACCACTAGCAAGACTAATAAAGAAGAAAAGAGAGAAGAATCAAATAGATGCAATAAAAAATGATAAAGGGGATATCACCACCGATCCCACAGAAATACAAACTACCATCAGAGAATACTATAAACACCTCTACACAAATAAACTAGAAAATCTAGAAGAAATGGGTAAATTCCTCAACACATACACCCTCCCAAGACTAAACCAGGAAGAAGCTGAATCTCTGAATAGACCAATAACAGGCTCTGAAATTGAGGCAATAATTAATAGCTTACCAACCAAAAAAAGTCCAGGGCCAGATGGATTAACAGCTGAATTCTACCAGAGGTACAAGGAGGAACTGGGACCATTCCTTCTGAAACTATTCTAATCAATAGAAAAAGAGGGAATCCTCCCTAACTCATTTGATGAGGCCACCATCATTCTAATACCAAAGCCTGGCAGAGAGACAACAAAAAAAGAAAATTTTAGACCAATATCCCTGATGAACATGGGTGTAAAAATCCTCAATAAAATACTGGCAAACTGAATCCAGCAGCACATCAAGAAGCTTATCCACCATGATGGGCTTCATACCTGGGATGCAAGGCTGGTTCAACATATGCAAATCAATCAACATAATCCAGCATATAAACAGAACCAAAGACAAAAACCATATGATTATCTCAATAGATGCAGAATATAGGCCTTTGACAAAATCCAACAACCCTTCATGCTAAAAACTCTCAATAAATTAGGTATTGATGGGACATATCTCAAAATAATAAGAGCTATCTATGACACCCACAGCCAATATCATACTGAATGGGCAAAAACTGGAAGCATTCCCTTTGAAAACTGGCACAAGACAGGGATGCCCTCGCTAACCACTCCTATTCAACATAGTGTTGGAAGTTCTAGCCAGGGTAATCAGGCAGGAGAAGGAAATAAAGGGTATTCAATTATGAAAAGAGGAAGTCAAATTGTCCCTGTTTGCAGATGACATGATTGTATATCTAGAAAACCCCATTGTCTCAGCCCAAAATCTCCTTCAGCTGATAAGCAACTTCAGCAAAGTCTCAGGATACAAAATCAATGTACAAAAATCACAAGCATTCTTATACACCAATAACAGACAAACAGAGAGCCACATCGTGAGTGAACTCCCATTCACAATTGCTTCAAAGAGAAAAAAATACCTACGAATCCAACTTACAAGGGATGTGAAGGACCTCTTCAAGGAGAACTACAAACCACTGCTCAATGAAATAAAAGAGGATACAAACAAATGGAAGAACATTCCATGCTCATAAGTAGAAAGAATCAGTATCATGAAAGTGGCCATACTGCCTAAGGTAATTTATAGATTCAATGCCATCCCCATCAAGCTACCAATGACTTTCTTCACAGAATTGGAAAAAACTCCTTTAAAGTTCATATGGAACCAAAAAATAGCTGGCATTGCCAAGTCAATCCTAAGCCAAAAGAACGAAGCTGGAGGCATCACGCTACCTGACTTCAAACTGTACTACAAGACTAAAGTAACCAAAACAGCATGGTACTGGTAACAAAACAGAGATATAGACCAATGGAACAGAACAGAGCCCTCATAAATAATGCCGCTTATCTACAACCCTCTGATCTTTGACAAACCTGAGAAAAACAAGCAATGGGGAAAGGATTCCCTATTTAATAAATGGTGCTGGGAAAACTGGCTAGCCATATGTAGAAAGCTGAAACTGGATCCCTTCCTTACACCTTATACAAATATTAATTCAAGATGGATTAAAGACTTAAACATTAGACCTAAAACCATAAAAACCCTAGAAGAAAACCTAGGCAATACCATTCAGGACATAGGCATTGGCAAGGACTTCATGTCTAAAACACCAAAAGCAATGGCAACAAAAGCCAAAATTGACAAATGGGATCTAATTAAACTAAAGAGCTCCTGCACAGCAAAAGAAACTACCATCAGAGTGAACAGGCAACCTACAGAATGGGAGAAAATTTTCGCAATCTACTCATCTGACAAAGGGCTAATATCCAGAATCTACAATGAACTCAAACAAATTTGCAAGAAAAAAACAACCCCATCAGCAAGTGGGCAAAGGATATGAACAGACACTTCTCAAAAGAAGACATCTATGCAGCCAAAAGACACATGAAAAAATGCTCATCATCACTGGCCATCAGAGAAATGCAAATCAAAACCACAATGAGATACCATCTCACACCAGTTAGAATGGCAATCATTAAAAAGTCAGGAAACAACAGGTGCTGGAGAAGATGTGGAGAAATAGGAACACTTTTACACTGTTGGTGGGACTGTAAACGAGTTCAACCATTGTGGAAGTCAGTGTGGCGATTCCTCAGGGATCTAGAACTAGAAATACCATTTGACCCAGCAATCTCATTACTGGGTATACACCCAAAGGATTATAAATCATGCTACTATAAAGACACATACACACATATGTTTATTGCGGCACTATTCACAATAGCAAAGACTTGGAACCAACCCAAATGTCCAACAATGATAGACTGGATTAAGAAAATGTGGCACATATACACCATGGAATACTATGCAGCCATAAAAAATGATGAGTTCATGTCCTTTGTTGGGACATGGATGAAGCTGGAAACCATCATTCTGAGCAAACTATCGCAAAGACAAAAAACCAAACACCGCATATTCTCACTCATAGGTGGGAATGAACAGTGAGAACACATGGACACAGGAAGGGGAACATCACACACCAGGGCCTGTTGCGGGATGGGGGGAGGTGAGAGGGACAGCATTAGGAGATATACCTAATGTAAATGATGAGTTAATGAGTGCAGCACACCAACATAGCACATGTATACATATGTAACTAACCTGCACATTGTACACATGTACCCTAAAACTTAAACTATAATCAGAATAATAAAAAAGAGAAACCATCATGGCACCATGTTTCCAGGTGGCAACTTGAAACTGATGAATGGCAAGCCTATTTTAACAAGTATATATAGTCAAATAGGACCATTAAGATGGTGAGAAATATGACCTAGCTAAATAAGATTCTTTACTTTTTAATTAATTTACAGATTTAAAAAGACCACAAATCTCATTATTTTATGACTTTCTACAAAGTAAAAAGGTGTTTATTAAATATCTGGATGTGAAGTGTGGCTGAAATCTTTTCATATTGGACGTTGAGTTGCTTTGCATTGATGTTTCATTTCCCTTTTGCACTGTTCTTTAAATAGGTTGATGTGAATGCTAATCAATATCACCTTAAAAAGCTTAATTTTCTAGAATACATCATTCATTCTAAAAATCAAATATATTGTCTTCTTCAATGCTATGCATCTTTATAAATTTGTAGGCTAGAGAAAATAGTAGGAAATAAGTGCTATCCTGAAAGATACTTTAAATAAAAATATCTCTGATGAACAGGATCCTGTCCTTTCAAGGGCCCAAAACTCAATGTCTTTGATTGAAGGGAAAAAGACAGCCCAGCCTGCAAGAAATTCATGATAGAGTTAAGATTCATACTACCAGGACCAACCACAAGATTTAGGGGAAGCAACATGTAAATGGTTTCCAACACAGGTTGTATGCCATCAAAGCATCTGTCAGATGCCAGTAAGTAAGGGCTTCATGGCAGAGGTTAGGAGACAAACTGTCTTCTTTCTTATTTATTTCTGAACTTAATGAGATAAGATGATTCTAGCATAAGAATTTAAACTAACAGTTCAATTTCTTTCAAAATTTTATTGAGCTACATTTAAATACAATAACATTCACAAAACTGAAGTTTTTAAATAAATGGCTTTTAGCAAGTTCATATAGTTGTCCACTTGTCAAGCAATCAAGCTTTAAAACTTTTCATTATTCTTTAAAATTTCCTTGAAATTGGTTGCAGTAAATTTCCACCCCACCTCTCTCCAGCCAGAGGCAACCACTGATTTGCTATCTGTCATAATAAATGTACCCTTTTCAGTCATGTCATATAAAGAAAATTGCACGTTTTGTAGCCTTTTGCAACTGGCTTCTTTCACTTAGCAAAATGTTTTTGAGATAAATTCATACTAAAGTATATATCAGTAGTTTTTTATTTTGTATTATTGAATAGTATGTGAAATGTATAATTTTATTTTTATTTATCTATTCCACCAGTTGATGGGTGTTTGGCTTATTACCAGTTTTGACTATGATGAATTAGGCTAATTTTAACATTCACTTAGAAACTTTGTGTGTATATATAGTTTAATTTATTTTCTGTAGATTACTAAGTGAATAATCTCTATGATGCATAAATTTGTCCATAACTTTATAAGAAACTGTAAAACTGTTTTCCAAAGTGGCTGTCTCACTTTATACTCTCATGTATGAGGAATATGAAGGTTCTCTGATTGCTCCATATTCTAGCCAACACACCTTTTAATTACAGCTATTCTAATAGACGTATAGAGAGATCTCATTGTGGATTAAATTTGTGTTTTCATAATGACTAATGATATTTAGACCTTTCCATGTGCTTATTAGCTATTAAGGAGGAATATGATAAACAATTTTATGTGAGCACACTGGAAAACAGAATGAAATTTCTAAAAAGACAGAAAGTACTATAACTGGCTCAAAAAGAAATATAAAATATAAATATATCCATAACAAACAAAATCCATACTTAAAAATCTTATCAAAAAGATAAGTTCAGGCCAGATGGCTTCTTATTTTATATATACATAAGCACACACACACACACCCACACACACACCCTTTGATGACTGTTGCTCACAATATGGTCAGGCCTTGTTTGTAATTGCTCAGGGTTTGTTTTTTTAATTGCTCATTCCTTTTTTCGTTCCTATTCTCTTGTAGCTGTTGTTTAAATGCTACAGGTTTACCATACTAGAATACTGTTGCACAGTCTGTAGTAAACTTATAAAGTCATTCTAAAACATAATATGAACATATTAAATCATCATAATCTGCTTATTTCATAATCTAACTTTATCCAGTTTCCAGATACCATTTGATTCAACCTTTCATCACTCTTTTAGATCTTATCTTTGAATTATTTTACTCCTACCTCCGAAACCCTATCATACATTTCTTTTAGTCGCCTATATTATACTGCTTTACTTTGTCTGACAAGATCATGGGACCCTTGATTTGGATAGCGGTGTTCAAATCTGCTGTAATCCCTGGAAATTGTGGCTACAGTCATGGTTAGAAAATAATATCATAGGTTTTAACATGCTTGATTTTATTTTATCCTCAGCAATGTTGTGATGATTTATAATTTTAACATGCTGTACTCTGTCATGTAGGGCAAGTTTATAAAATAAATCTGAAAAGCCAGTGGTAATTCAAAGAGGCTTTTACACACACACATATAACATTTAAAGAGCAAATATTCATACACTCTTTTTTTATTACTATACTTTATGTTCTAGGGTAAATGTGCACAATGTACTGGTTTGATACATATGTATACATGTGCCATGTTGGTTTGCTGCACACGTCAACTCATCATTTACATTAGGTATTTCTCCTAATACTATCCCTCCCTTAGCCCCCCAACCCCCGACAGGCCCTGGTGTGTGATGTTTCCCACCCTGTGTCCAGCTGATCTCGTTGTTCAATTCTCACGTATGAGTGAGAACATGCAGTGTTTGATTTTCTGTCCCTGTGGTAGTTTGCTGAGAATGATGGTTTCCAGCTTCATCCATGTCCCTACAAAGGACATAAACTCATCCTTTTTTTGGCTACATAGTATTCCATTGTGTATGTGTGCCACATTTTCTTAATCCGGTCTATCACTCATGGGCATTTGGGTTGGTTCCAAGTCTTTGCTATTGTGAATAGTGCCGCAGTAAACATACATGTGCATGTGTCTTCATAGTAGAATGATTTATAATCCTTTGGGTATATACCCAATAATGGGATTGCTGGGTCAAATGGTGTTTCTGGTTCTAGATCCTTGAGGAATCACCACACTGTCTTCCACAATGGTTGAACTAGTTTACACCCCCACCAACAGTGTAAAAGCGTTCCTGTTTCCCCACATCCTCTCCAGTATCTGTTGTTTTCTGACTTTTTAATGATTGCCATTCCAACTGGCATGAGATGGTATCTCATTGTGGTTTTGATTTGCATTTCTCTGATGCATTTCAGTGATGATGAGCATTTTATCATGTGTCTATTGGTTGCATAGTTGTCTTCTTTTGAGAAGTGTCTGTTCATATCCTTTGCCCACTTTTTGATGGGGTTGTTTGTTTTTTTCTTGTAAATTTGTTTGAGTTCATTGTAGATTCTGGATATTAGCCCTTTTTCAGCTGGTCGATTGCAAAAAGTTTCTCCTCTTCTGTAGGTTGCCTGTTCACTCTGATGGTAGTTTCTTTTGCCGTGCAAAAGCTCTTTAGTTTAATTAGATCCTATTTGTCAATTTTGGCTTTTGTTGTCATTGCTTTTGGTGTTTTAGTCATGAGGTCCTTGCCCATGCTTATGTCCTGAATGGTATTGCCTAGGTTTTCTTCTAGGGTTTTTATGGTTTTAGGTCTGAAACTAGCTAGACATATGTAGAAAGCTGAAACTGGATCCCTTCCTTACACCTCATACAAAAATTAATTCAAGATGGATTAAAGACTTAAGTGTTAGATCATACACTCTTTTAAAAATAGATTAATAGTAGACACCTCACAACTCACTCTATAAAGCCAATATTACTCTAATATCAAGGGCATTACAAGAAAAGAACATTCTAGTACAACATCCCTAGTAACAGAGCGTAAAACGTAATAATATAAAATAAATAACAACACAAATTCAGAGATATACAAAAAATTATTATACACTATGGCCAAGTAAAATTTATCTCAGGAATACTGTTGTTTAACATCTTAAAATCAAACAGTGTATTCCACTGCTTTACCGTAACAAAAGACAAAATCATGTGTTCACCTCAGTAGATGCAATAAAACCATATGGCAAAGTCAAAAATCCATTTTTATAACAAATGTCAACAAGTAAGAGTGAAAGTTAATTTCTTCAACTTGATGTAGAGCACCCATAAAACACTAAAGCGAATGTTACTGGTAAAAGACTACATGCTTTCCCCTTAAAACAATGTTCAATATTATCCTTGAGGTTTTGGCCAGTGAAATAGAACAATACATAGACTTAAAGACATCCAGAATGGAAAGGAAAAAGTAATGTGATCTTTGTTCACAGGTAATATTATCCTTTATGTATAAAATTCTAACATAAAAAGCCTACTTAATATAATAAAGAAGGCTACTAAATCTAATAATCTCAACCTAATAAAAAGACCATTACTGCTACTGATTCTAAATCTAATAAAATCTGCTAAATCTAAAGCTACTAAATATAATAAAAGGGATACTAAATCTAAGAATGAGAGTACAAACTATTAAATTTCTGGTCAATTGATTATTGATACAGATGTCAACGCAAATCAATAGAAAACAAATATTTTCAAAAACTAGTGCAAGAACAATGGGACATGCATGCACACATGCACACACACTCACATACACACATACACATTTACAGTTAGATTCTTAATTCACATAGTACACAATTAAGATAGATCAGAAACCTACATGTAATATCTAAAACTATAAAATTTCTAGTGGAAAGTATATAAGAAAATCTGTATGACTTTGAATTAGGCAAAGTGTTCTTAGGTGTGACAACAAAAATATGAGCTATAAAAGAAAATGTGACAAATTGACCTTTCTAAACATGAAAAAATGGTTTTACTTTAAGTCACCATTAATAAAATGAAAATACAAGCTACAGAATGGTAGAATATTTGTTAGTTTCATAGCTGATAAATGACATATATGCAGAGTATATAAAGAACTTTTACAATTAAAAACAGGAAAATTGGCAAACCAATTCAAAAACAGGCAAAAGGCTTGAATAGACATTTTAACAAGGAAGACATACTAACAGTTGAGTTTTATGGCACTATTGCCAAAAAGAAATTAGGTGTACCTTTGAATTGCTACAGTCTCCAAGCCTATACATGATGAATTAGCATGACTACTTATAATTCTGGCAGAATTATAAGTAGTCATGCTAATTCATCATGTATACACATGCTCTGTACACAAACCATTTGTTGCCACCTGGCTGAATTTTAAAAATTTATTCCTTTCCACAGAACTGGTACAGTGAGTTTGTTAATGCAGTAACAAAATCTATCTTATATATTTAAAGAAAATAAAAATGAGTGGTAAATCTTGCCTTAATCTAAGATTTTTTTTGAAGTAAGTGATCATTCCTGAAATTTTCAAGTGGGAGAAATATCAGACTAATTCCAACTGAATAGCAGAATAGTAATCAAAATTTTAAAAAGGGAATTTATAAATGTATTTATTTTGCTGAGATAGATGACATGAATTCATTACACTTAAATCTTTGCATTCTTAGGCAATGTCTCTGTAGGGCATTGAGCATAATAACTCATCAATTATCAGAAACTGTAGATTCAGTTCACCCAGCATAATTATTGTGCTGAATATACCTTGGTTACAATCAATTATGTCACTGCTGTTACTTTTACAGTATTGCTTTATTATTACAGTTTTCCAACTGGTCATGTCCTTTCCAGTCTAATTCCAAAGCATATATTTATTGCTTTTTTATAAAATAGACAATTACATTTTTATCAGCAAAATTCTGATATTGATTAAATTAATGGTAAATAGAATCTTGAGAGAGTTAATTAAATGGATTACAATCAAATCAATTGTTGTGTGGTCCTTTTTATAAGCACAGATTTTATTTTCATATGATTAAGTTTATAGAATGGAGCCGATGTCCTTTTTCAAAGAGACGAAGGGAAAAGTGTAGCCATCAGCACTTACAGATACTAATGTGATGGTTGCCGTAAAGTCACAAGCCGTTTGCCCAGAACAATAAAGTTTATCATATAGAAATGGACCTGATATCATAACTTGTTATTTGTTGGATAGTAACAATTTATTTGTGAATAAAAATACTTTCAATTTGCTGGTTAAAAATATAGATTGCCAAGCAAAAGTACTGAACACAGAATCTTTCGAAGTTAATTTTTATTTTGTTGTAGGACACAAACAAGCTATCAATATTAAAGCTGTATTTGAAGGTAGTACTTTAACTTCATTTTCTGGAGTTTCACCTAAACAGAAAAACGTAAAGTAGATTCTTTTCTTATGTGTGTTGGAAAAAAAGGCCTCTAAAATAGAGCAATAGTCTTTTTTTTTTTAGCTTTGCAATCGTTTCTCACACTAATACCTAGGGTTGCTAGAATAAAACTTTATATAACGCATTACAATGCAATTTTCCTTAAATTTTACAAAATTGCAGGAACCTCCTTATATTTTATCTTTACTACAATCTCAACCACTTTCTAACCATTGTTACTAACTGGAGTTTAAACATAACGATATAATAATAGCTCTTGCCTACACATCTCCATTAAGCCTTAAGTTTTCAGCGTCAACTGGATAAAATTTATAATTTTTAAGGTAAAATTCAAGGCATTACATGTCTGACATGGCCATAACTAATTGGCTTATTACCCATCCCCTATGAAATCTTTGCTTTCATCAGACTCAAATATTTACACTTGCACACACACACACACACCCCCTGCATTCTCCCAAAGTAAGGCTGTGATCATGCTGCTACCTCTATAAGGAACGCTATTTGGCAATCTCTGTCTTATGAAATCCTAATCATGCCTCAAAGTCTTATCAAGTCTCTTTTTCTGAGAGATCCTTCTGGGTCTTTGGCTGAGTACTAGTATGCATATGACAAAGAGGAAACTAAGGCCAGTAAAAGAACCAATATAAGAGAGTAGATTGATGTATTTCCTGAGCTAACACATGAAAAAGGGAATAATTTGTGCTCTTATAAACTAGAGAGTTAAGTCTTCATAGTATAAGGCATATTAGGTAAAGTCATCAGAAATTCATCACCTTAGTGAGAGAAATTAAGGCTACACTAAATGCTGCTCTGATCTTGCCATTACAAATATTAGAAGGAAGACTTGAAATGATCACACTTACCTGAAAATAACAAAACTGCATGCCAGAACTAAATCCCAAAAAAAGTTATTTAAAGGAATGCAACAAAATCCAGAAACCAATTACAAAAAATCATAAGATCTTGCATCCAATAAAAATCCCCAGACATGCACAGAAGGTGGAATATTTGACACATAGCTAGTAGAAAAATAAATAGTTACAAAGATATCCAGAATTACGGAGGTCAAAGCAACAACAACAACCAGCAATCAAGGACATAAAGGAACACTTATACAATAAGATCTATATTATAAGAAGTTAGAGAAGTATGTGAGCATAATGAAAGTCACACGAAAGTTATAAAATGACACAAATCACACTGTAAAATAAAAACTATTATCAAAATGATAAATATACTGGATAGCATTAATGGTTGAATAGACATTGCAAAAAGGAAGAAAAATAATTTAAAGACATAGCTGTAGAAACAATTTAGAATAAGTCACAGAAATAAACAATAAATGACTGAGATTAGTGACCTGTATAACAGTATCAGATAGTCTACCACCTGTATTCTGATTGGCCTAGAAGGTGGTGAAAGCAAAAAACTTTGGATAAATAATTGCCCAAGTTATTTTGTATTGATGACAATTATGTATCCACTCATTCAAGAAACTCAGAAAACTACAAGCAGAATAAACATAGGGAAAACCATGGCAAGGCATATCAGATTCCACTACTGTATAGGGAATGTCCTTAACCTGATTTAAAAAATTACAAAATCTGTAATTAGCATGGTCCCTATTGATGAATTATGTCCATTCTCAGTTGTATTAAATGTAAGTCTGATGGACCTTATCTATGAATAAGGATTAAAAGTAAATAAAAGCATACAAATTTAAAAGCAGGAAGCAACACTAAATAATCTTCTATGTAGAAAATTCTGTGTAATATTAATAAACTTACTGTAAAAATATGATATTTTTTAAATATCTCAGGGCATTAGATTATCAAAAACATATTAATTCTATTTTTATGTATAAGCCAGGAACAAGGAGATGGAAACAGCAAAAAAAACATAAAATATTTAGTAATATATTTTTTGAAGGTTTACAACACATATACACTCAAAATTGCAAAGAAAAATAGAGAAAATAAAGATGACTAAAATAAATAGAAATATATACTGGGCTTATGGATGGGAGACTTAGTATTGTTAATGTGTTATTTCTCCACTTGATGAACTAAATAAATCTCCATAACTTTGAGAGGAGAGATTGGGATTCAAAATTGATCGGTGGATTCAAAAATTCAAAGAATGTAATATTGCTGCAACTAATTTAATATTTTTTCAGAGAATAAAGTTGCAGGACTTGGAAGACCTAATTCTGAGCTACTGTAATCAAGAAATGATGGAGTTTGTATAAAATATAGATAATTGTAATAGGAAACAGTATCCACAGAGAGACCAATCAAATTATCATTGATTGATTTTCTACTAAATTGCAAAAGTCTTTCAATAACCTCTTCAGCAAATGATGTTGGAACAATTTAAAAATGATATGCAAACAATGAATTTTTGTCCCATACATGGCACCATAAACAAAAATTGATTTAAAATATGTTAAAGGCTCAATAAATGTAAGGCTAAAACTATGAAACTTTTATTAAAACCCAGGAGATAATATGTTATATGAGCTTGGCATAAATTTCATAAGTAAGACATAAAAATATTAAGAATTAAACGGCAAAAGAAACCAAGAAACTGACTTATAAAAGTGTGTGACTGCTCAAAATCTAAAATGAACCTTGGGCTCCCAAAATTTTATGGGCAAGAAGAAAACTTAGAAATCGTTGCAGCCTTCAAGCATGTTTTCCAGTGTTCACTTCAATGCTCAATGTGGCCAAGAGGGGTAAGAGAAAGGAGGAATGCCCCTGAGCATTAAGGCAAGGACAAACAACAAAAATATCAAAAAAGTGAACTGTTTCTAGGGAGCATAATTCAGGTCTAATAATGAAATATTACCTACATCTGTAGTGAACTTCCATCAAAATATCTACCAAATGGGATTTTACTGAATAGGAACTCCACATGTCTGTGGTTTTCCCCATTTCTAAATGTGAAATATTTGTTCTGCTTATAGTTCCTGTTTCATTATTATACAATGAATATGTGCAGTACAAGGAACATATGATTTTATTTTCTACCGACCAGTTTCACCCCCTAATGTAGAAACTCCTGCATATCACCAGAGAGCCTACATTTAAGCTTGATTTATTTCTTAGATGAGATTTTCAGATTGGCCCACTTAGGGAGGGTCTAAGTGTATTTCAGCCAAAGAAAACTGAATAAGCCAATACTTGGTAAACAGAAGGGTAGACAGTGATACTCGTGAATGATCTTCACACAATATTTTTGAAACTTCAACTTCTACCGTAACGAAGAGCAATATTCCATCTGTCTGAGCCATACAGTAAATGTGACACAAAGCAGAGTACTAGATACACCTTTGATATATTAAACCACTGGCATGTTAAATGTTGTTTATTACTCTTCCTAAATTTGCCTATCCTTATTGATGGTCCAGTATGATTTTTACACGAATATCTTACCAAATTAGCTTATCCTGATTGATACTCCAGTATGATTTTTATACCAATATCTGAGTAAACCTTTTTAAAATAGCACATTGGAATTATTGACACAAAATGTATAAATATAATATCAGTAATGAAAATCTAATACTATGTTATCAGATAACATACTGTGACCCACAGGATTTATTAGGAGAATTCAGGGAAGGTTCAAACTCAGAAAAAAATCAACATAATTTATTACCTAAAATATTAAGCATATCACTAGATGTTGAAGGCATTGGATAAAAAATTATAAAACATTTCTAACAGGAATGATAGGAAACTACATAAATATCCAATAATATTTGACTCAAACCAAAGCAAACATTGTTCTGATTGACAAAACACTGAGTACATTTCAGTTAAAATTAGAAACAAGTCAGAAATGCTTTCTTTTATTCCTGTTCTTATGCTAAGGTATTTTTGTCAGGCTAAACATTAAAAAATTGATATCTTTTTTCTAATTGTTTCCTAGGTCCTGTGGAGAAAAAAGTCTGGTCTTTATTGCTAGTGCTTCAAACCCTTTATGTTCTAGAACCACAACAGATGCTATTATTAATAATTTTCCATGATTGTCCAGCCAAATTCTGTTTTTGAAAGCCTGGTCAGCCTCTTTACTCATGATTTGGTGTTACTGCCATACATATTTTATTCTCTGAACCAGGTTTTCTTTGCCCTTTTATGATTACCAGCCTTCATTTATAAGCTAATGTCTCTTTTATGTTTTTATTTTTCCCAAGGCCTCTATTAAGTTCTACCCCTTTCATTAAGACTTCTTGTTTGTGTAGCTTCTGATTGGATCATTATTTGAATACTAATTATTGTAAAATTTGATAATTGTGCATTACTATTTTTACTTTTACTAATCTCTCTCCCATTTCTTCTCTTCCTCCTCTTTTTCCTTTCCCTCTTTCTCTTAAGTTTGTGTTTTGGGTTTGCATTTTATCCTTCCATTCTCAAACAGTAACTGTTAATTCAGGAACACACATTGTCTCAGACTTCTCATTATACTCACATTTATTTATAAGTACATTAAATGCTATTCATATTGATTGATAGATTTAAACTTGTGCAAATACTTTATTTGGTGACCTGATGAAATGCATCTGGAATTATCTATTCCTGTAATAGCAGTACACTGGCTATTTGACCACGATTAAAAATGCCAGAAGCAAATTGAAGGATTTTTTTACAAGGGTTTCAGATTCATATAAATTTGCACTTAAGAATAATGTGTTCAAAAAATATATATAACATTCCATGAAAACAATTCAATAGGATATTAAATCTGTACAATCTTTTTAATTTTATTTTTATGGAAAGAAAAGAAAAATTGTTAATTTTCTACAGTGTCCAAGGCCTAGTATTAAGTGATTTTTCTCTACATTATCTCCACTAATCTTCAAAATGACTCTTCTAGGAGACATTAACACCTATATTTTGCAGATATGGCTCTGACATGTATATATTTCTGGTATATTTTATATGGTTGTGTTTTTATTCACAACCCAGGGTGTTAGTGTACTGGCATTAACATTTCCACCAATTAGACTACTGATTTTTATAGTCCACATATCTCAGTATATAAATAGGTCATATAGAAATGTTGTCATAGCCCTGAATTTGCTTACTGTAGATTATTTTAATATATGTATGTGTTTAGTATATACACATACATATTTTATACACACATATACATATATATCACATATATTATAAAATGATGTCTCAACTTTTGATTTTAACCATGAGGTGACTCTGTTCATAGCAGATAGTTCTTAATGTAGTAGGTCTGTTTCAGTTACTTCAGAAATATCTGAATGCTAAGCATATAGGATAAATGAAAATTAATTTGGCTATTCTTGTACTGTTCAGATCAGGGTTTGGCAGAATGCTATCCATGGAGCACACCACATGAATTATTTTTCTATTGCCATAGAGGTAAAATGTTTTTTACACCTTAAGGGTTGTTAAAAACAGAAAACAATATGTGACAGGGGCATTTACCTACAAAGCTTAAAATATTGAAGTGTCCTTTTTCAGAAAAAAAAATTCTGATCTGTGGTTCAGGCATGCCTAAAGTAAGATATCAAAAGAAGAAAATGGAATATAGATTTGTGTTAAATATTCTAAATTTATTGTGAATTAACATCAATGGTTTAAATGGAAGCCCCTTGATTTTCGAGTGGTCATCATTAATGACATAACTCCACAGATTGTTCCACAGATTGTGTTTTATGCAATTGACACTATTATGTAATAGTGTCAATACTTAGTTGCGACTTAAATTTCTTAAGTACAAATAAAATATTTACAGAAATTTGGTACACAGAATTGAAACCTATATTAAAATAACTAGAATATCAAATGGTTAGCTACTCTCCCTACATAAAAGTGAGAGATAGTGAATGCACAGAGACCAAGACACCAATATTTATAAAGCTGTTTCAGCTAGGAGGAGAAAAGCGTATCTTTCATAACCCATATTTGTAGTATGTGTTTACATAAGAAAAACGTCTTCAATTAGATTAAATTCAGTAATTATGGAGTTGATCTAGTCGAGAAATTTTCATCATCAACTCTTACACAACTTGAAAGATACTCAGTAGAACAAAAATTGTCCTAAATGTTGAAAGAATAAACACTTCATGAAAAAAAAAAGTGACTAGGACATGGGAAGTTTACTTAAAAGAGTAAGAACTAAGGTTTTAGTGTAGCACTACTTCCATATAACCAAAATAAGAATATTTGAAACACTATATCCAAGTAACAACTTTGCTAGGCTTGGTTGCATTGATAATGGCAAGATTAAAATATTTGAAAATATATCACCTGATCAGCCATTTAAATTGATTATATCTGGACATTTTCTATAATAAAGATATTTTGCAATAAAAATAAGTGAGAATTATAAGTGGGATAATTTTAGCTATTAAAAATAATGAAAACGTCCATGTCATAAACTGTTGCTGTGATCACAAATCATAACAAATTTTACAAATGAGGATTTTAATTATTTACATAATATAGTGCAATTATCATGTTTCATAAAATGATAATAATTGCCCCTCAAATGATTGTATTGTTGAATTTACAACTATATTTATAATTTAGAATTGCTACACTAAAATAGTCCACTCCTTTTAATGTCATCAAACCATTGGAGGAATAAATGAGAATATTTTACACAAATATGAACTATTCTAAATAGATATTGAGTAGAAATTTACATAATAGTTGTAATATATTCAGTTTGTTATGTAAAACTTAAATTATCAAAATTTGATGTTTTATTATTGAAAAATACCTTGAAAAATATGTGTTCACTGCAGTGTAAATATAAAAGAAGGACTAGTTTTAGAGTTAATTAAAACTATTTCTTGATATAAACTTGTAAAATTAACAAAAATGAATCACTATGAATATCAGTCTGACGTTGTGAATTCCTGGTGCTTGAAGGTTATATATCTTAAATATATTATGAGAGATTTTAGATTTATCTTATAAATGTGTGCATCACCAATATCGTTAAGATTTTTGCTAGTGGTTTTCGCATCATAAGATAGAGAAAAAGAAAAAAACTGCCTAAAAATGATACCAATGAGACTTCTAAAATTTGTGTTATTTTTTGAAGTCTAGAAAAAAACCGGATATTTATCTCTAGGTTATTGTTAGGGAAACTGAAATTTTAACTTAAAAAATACATTCTGGTTAATTTATGTTGCTGTTGTGCTACCAGAAATGTCTTTATTACTAAGTAGACTCAAAGTATATATAAATGGATGAAAATAAAACAGACACCAAAGGTTGGAAGCATGATTTGATGTACAATAGTCTTCCTTTATTCACAGGATCTATGTTCAGGGCCCTGAAGTGGACACTTGAAAT
Organism: Homo sapiens; assembly: GCF_000001405.40. Taxonomy (NCBI): domain Eukaryota; kingdom Metazoa; phylum Chordata; class Mammalia; order Primates; family Hominidae; genus Homo; species Homo sapiens. The sequence goes on from NC_000002.12 coordinate 35,032,215, forward strand.
CACAGATAGTACTGAAATCTATATGCACTATAGGGTAAGAGATTGACAACAATAGCTAATAATTTTAAGTGAACAAGCATAACAATATACTGTAATAAAAGTTATGTAAATGTGGCCTCTATCAACATATCTTGTACTATACTTATTCTTCTTGTGATCTGTCCATCTGATAACTGAGATGGCCAGTAAGTAACTATTGGATGGGGAGCATAGACAGCATGAATTCACTGGACAAACTAATGATTTATATCCTGGGCAGGACGAACTGGGACGGCACTCGATTTTACCATGCTTCTCAAAATGGCACTCAATTTAAAACATGGTTGCTTATTTCTGGAATTTTCCATTTTACATTTTTGGACCACAGTTGACTATGGGTAACTGTGAAACCACTAAAGTGGAGAGAGGGAGGAGGTGGCAACTCTGCTGAATTCCTTAATATCTAATTGCATGTTATTTTAAATATTATCATGTAGTAAAATTGACTTTTCAAAAATTGGTATACCATTTTATAAATTTTAAAGCATTTAGAGTTGAATCAACACCACCACAAACAGAAAGCTGTATAGTTCCATGAGCTGAAACAATATTTCTTACGGCTTTTCCTTTATAATTAACTTATTTGATAAATATTTTAAAAAGAGATTTATTGCAAAAGAGTTCACATACCATAAAATTTGACAATTTAATATGTACAATTTGGTGGATTTTAGTGTATTCAGAGAATGTACCACTGTAAAGTCAGGGTTCTCCAGAGAGACAGAACAACTAGGAAAGGAAGGAAGGCAGGAAGGCAGGAAGAGAAAGAAGGGAAGAAGGAAGGCAGGAAGAGAAAGAAGGAAAGGAAGAAGGGAAGGAAGGAAGGAAGGGAGGGAGGGAAGGAGGGAGGGCGAGCCAGGGAAGTCCATGGTGTAACTCTCCGTCTGTGATCTAAGGACTGAGAACCCAGTGGGTAAGAGGGGCAGAGGGGTTGTGGTGGTGCAAGTTCCAGTGTCCGAATGCCTGGAGTTCTGATGTCCAAAGGCAGAAGAAGAAGGGTCCCCCAGCTCTAGAATACAGAGTGAATTTACCTTTCCTGTGCCTTTTGGTTGTATGTGGGCTTTCATCCCATTGGATGGTGCCACTTACATTGAGAGCAGATCTTCTTTACTCAGTTCCCTGATTCAAATGCCAAACATTTTCAGAAACACCTTCTCATATATGCCTAGAAATAATGTTTTACCAGCCATTTGTACATCCCTTAATCCAGTGAAGTTGATACCTATAATTTACCATTGTAACCACCATCATCATGATTTATTTTTAGAACATTTTCATCACCCTTCATAAAACAATCTACCCATTAGTACTCACTTCCCACACTTATCTCCCATAACTCTAGGCAACCACTAATCAATCTGCTTTCTGTTTCTAAAGATTTGCTTTTTCTAGACATTTTCTGTAAATGAAATTTTTACTGTAAATTTAATTTCTTGCAACTGAATTCTTTCCCATAGCACAAAGTTTTCAACTAATTAGTTACTCATGCAGTAATGTCACAGAATCCTTAGGGTGTTGCTTCACCAGCCAGAAACCTCTGTGGCTGATGTGCTTTCTGCTTGTACATTGTGCATGCCCATCCAGCTCATTCTGCCCACTCGGCCTGGCTGGCTGTGCTCGGCTCATGCTACCCGCCTAGATTCCACATCTGCCAGGGTGAGCCAGGTGCAGAGTGGTGAGGAGTGTGTGAGTGAGCACAGGATCAAGACAGCCAGGTGTGCCAGCTGTGGGAGGGTGGGCAGCTCCAGGCGTTGGCACAGGTGCTGGCTCCATGAGAGGCTATGGCTGTACAAGGCATACTGCAATGGCTTTCACTGTGGGCATCAGGGAACTCAGTTCCATCTAGAAGCTTGGAGGCACCAGGAATCACAGATCCCCAAAGAGGGTGTCACAGCTCTGGCCCAGGGAGACCCTATGTCTGGGCTCCCACAAGGGTTGTACCTCTTCTCTCCTTCTCATCACCTGCAACGTAGTGAGTGGAGGGCATATTTTAGCCCTGTTTGTGTCACAGCTCTTTCATTCCCACCATTTGGCGGGTCCCATGTTCTTGTTCCACATCCAGGAAGAATGAGGTATGTGGACAACTGGAGGGTGAGCAAGGTGGAGAGGAACTTCATTGAGTGACAGAACAGCTCTCAGATGACCCAAAATGGGTAGCTCCTTTCTGCAGGCCAGTCATCCCAATGAGTGGCCAGCTGTCAGTGGAGAGAAGACCAATGGTGGGGAGCTCCTTCCTGAAGCAGTTAGTCCCGATGTCTGTGTGAGTCTGGCTGAGTCCAAGGTTTTTATGGACTCAGCAGGGAGGAAGTATGTGCTGATTGATCTGTGGGTGGCCATGAGTGGGCCCAGAAAAAGCACCATAAGTTATCACTCTGGGCAGTAGGCTCCACCCAGAACTGGCAGCCCAGCCCCCAGGCTTCAGGACCCCCGGCTTGAAGCCACCTTCAAGTTTCACCTGAACCCATCCCTTTCTGCTCAGGAACCTGTCTGGTCCCTGCCATAAACATGCCATCCATGGCCACCAGGATGTTTGTGCTGAGGGGTGCCAGCAGGCCTACACCAAGCTGCCCTTAGCCCTTAGCCACTTAGTCCCCCTGGTCCCCCTCCCTGAGCTCATTGGTGCCAAAAGTTTCAGAGGGGGCCAAGGCAGGAGGGATGGGACTAACATGTTAGTGCACACCTGGCTGGGTCATAACAGCACCTGGCCTCAGCTTCAACTTTGCTCTGAAATTGGAGTGGGCACCAGGAGCAGTGAGAGTCCAGGGAGTGGGAACAGACATTTCCAAGCCTGCAGGGCTTGGGGGCTTCCTGGGCCCCAAAGAGTGCAGGGATGGCCAGGTACACTGCAGATAGATGACTGAAGCTACACCTGGGAGCACTGGGCTCCTGCCCCTCCAAGTTGGTAGGGGTCAGGGCTCCTGCCTGTTCCCAGCTCCTGCTGGCCCTGTGGAGCATGCAACTCAAGCCATGCCTTCCCCACTGAAGTTGGTGTCTTCCCAGCAGCTGAACGAGTTGGGCTGCTGCTACCATCAGTAACCAAAGTGATTTAATGCTTAATGATCTATACCGTTGGTATTCTAGGAAGAATAGTTGGACAATATATTAGTCCATTTTCATACTGCTATAAAGACATACCTGAAACTGGATAATTTATAAATCAAAGAGGTTTAATAGGTTTAATTGACTAACAGTTACCCATGGCTAGGGAGGCATCAGGAAACTTGCAATCATGGTGGAAGAGGAAGAGGCACATCTTACAACGTAGCAGGCAAGAGAGAGAGAGCAAACAAGAGAAGGGGGAAGAGCTCCTTATAAAACCATCAGATCTTGTGAGACCTCATTATCATGAGAATAGCATGGAGGAAATTGCCCCTATAATACAATTACCTCCCACCAGGTCCCTCCTCAACACGTGAGGATTATGGGGATTATAATTCGAGATGAGATTTGGGTGGGGACACAGATCCAAACCATATCAGAGAAACTACTAAAGTCTTAATTAATTCACACTAAGAGAAAAATTATATATCTGGTAAACAGAATTGGGACTTGAATCAACACAACAGAAAATCATATCTCCAAACAAATGTCCTTTACCTAAATGATCCACTCGTGAAATTTCTGCTTCCCATTCTTGTGACTGCCTTGGAGAGCTAGAGGTTTTATTTCCCAAGGAGAATTTTTTCCACAAAGAGAAAAAACAATGGTTCCCATGTCATTGCCGTGGTGTTATGCTGAAGATTTCATATTTCATTGCTTTTCCCCTCTGTGTTCAAATACTCTGCTTACTGCTGGACCAGTTTACCTGAAGGTGGCACTCCTAGGCAACGTAGACTTACCACCAGCACTTGGCTATAAACTCACAAAAGCAGTAGCTGTGCACAGGCAACATCCTCCTAGAAACTTCTAAACCGATCTCCACCTCACTCACTGCCACATGTCTTTTGTAGTTGTACTATAATAGTAGCTCATAGTTAGCTTCTAGACATTCTTGTAAACTCAGATTTTTCCACCTACTCCAATAGTACAGGAAATCTTGCAAGTCACATTTCTTTGATTTTTAAGTCTCTTATACTTTGCTCTCATTATTTTGTTTGAACTCCTTTGCTTTTTTAAAGATACATTTAGATATCTTACTGTATTTTAGTTTTATTTTTGAAAATCACAGTTTATTAAATCTAAAGTTTTAACTTTCTTTTCATTAAATAACTTCAATAATACAATGATTTACAATTTACCAATGACTTTGGACAAAACTTAAAGGACTCATAAAATCCATGCAACACATTATAGGAATTTAGATTGATTAATAAAATAGTCCTTGAGTCAAATAATTTCTGAAATCAAGTTGATAATAGGCAGCAAAAAGAAAAAAGTGTGTATTTTCACTCTGAAGTACTTCTACTTTACTTTTTTTGTCTGTTTGCACAAAATTTGCAATTCCATATAGCTATATTAAAAGTATCTTAGAATTGTGAGTGCTTAAAAAACATTTCTAAATTTGAAAGCTACAGCGTCTATATTTATTGGTTTTGTAGCTTGCTTACATGGACTTAAACAATAAGTATGCACTGTAATAAAACTATAGTATATTTCTATTCTTAGTTTTTAATTTAGTAAGACTAAGAAAACTGTTCATCATGTCACTGTTCTACCAAATTTATGTTTGCATTATCACTGCAAAATAGTGTTAATGTTAAATTTTTAACCCTTATTTACTATAACATTTATGGTATTCATAAATGTTTAAATATGAAAAAATAAACTTGCAAAGCTTTATTTTGAATTATGAATAAAATTTTAAAATAAATTTTATTGTCATTGTCTTTAACAGATTTTTTTAGAATCATCCGTTAAGTTATATAACAGACATAATTTAACTGTTCGTGGTCTTTTTCAGCTAATGAAGCCAACACGGTAACAGCTCTTTCATTTTTAAGAGTGCAAACAAAAAATTTTTGGACTTGAAAATGAATAAAATTAATTGAGAAACACAGTAAATTGTTCTAACGAAAAGTCAGGCTTTACAAAGTGGTATGTAAATATGCTTTTTATAACTTTCAAAATGCCTCATAAAAATGAGAGTACAGTAGCTGTTCCCAGCAATGCTGTAGGTTTTATCATCAGTGAGTAGCCTCCATTCTGACCTTGATAGAAAGCATTAATTATGCCAAGTCTAAAAAAAATTGTGAAACAAGAAACTGGTTATTCCAGGTGGATTTTCATATTTGACTGCATATTGAAGTGAATTTAGTTCACTCTGCATACTCTCCCACATTATTGGACTGGTGACTCTCAAACTATCCACAGAAGAAAAATATCTTTGTAAAATAAAATCTAAATCAATTAGATAATGAAATAAAATAAAAGAGCAAGCATACAAAATAAAAGTTGATTTTGTTATTAGAGACAATTAATAAAAAATTGCTTGGTCGGAATGGTAAAGAAGTTTAAAAAAGTTTTCTCTCATCATATAGAGGACTGGTTAAAAGTTTGAGGTACTACACCAGTTCACTAACCAGTATTGTATTAGACAACTTCTAGTGCTAACCATGGCAGTATTTGAAAATACATAATGTGCCTTCCAAATATATTCTTGCTTATTTTGTTTTATATTTTATATTTTTAAAGTTTTAAAAATATTTTTTATTACTACTAGTCATTTAGAATTAGGATCTCACTCTGTTGCCCAGGCTGAAGTGCAGTGGTGCAACTGTAGCTCACTGCAACTTCAATCTTCTGGACTCAAGTGACCCTCTAGCTTCAGTCTCCTGAGTAACTGGAGTTACAGACATCCAACACCATGCCTGGGTATATTTTTAAATTTTTTTGTAGAGATGGGGTCTTGGTATGTTTCTCTGGCTGTTCTCTAACTCCTGGCCTTAAGACATCCTCCTGCCTCAGCCTCTCAAAGCATTGGTATTATGGCCATAAGCCAGCACACCTGGCCTGTTGCATATTTTTGAACCATGCATTTGTACTTAAAGACACACAAACAATAAATAATACAGCTCGAAAATTCATACAAAGTAAATAGATTTTGTAGCCACTAACCATAAAAAATGTTATTGTTTGTCAATTAAAAATTCCCAGCACCCTAGAATTCCTGTCTGTGGCCCTTTCTCAGCCAAATACATTTCTCCACATAGGCTACTACTCTACTGATCTCTAATATGATTGGTTTACTTTCTTAAAAATGTCATATAGATGAATCACACATTCTGTAATATTTGGCATTATTTTTCCTTCATGCAGTATTATCACTGTCAGATATGACCATGCTATTATTTCCATTACTATATATTCACCATTGTATAAATAGAGCTCAATGTAATGGGTCACTTTTCTTTTGAGAAACATTTGTGTTATGTATAGATTTCTGGTAGAAATACAACCATAATCAGGTAGTCTAGATTACAGATAATTTTGTTTTCTCTGCTATTAGCTTAACATTCACTACAAATTTATCAGCTTAGACAATACAAGTTTATTGTTATTCAGATCTGTAAGACATGAATCTGACAAGGTCTCAACCAAACTAAGACCAAGGTGTCAACATGGCTGTGTTCATTTCTGGAGACTGTAGGAGTAAATGTAACCCCTCCTCATTTGGGTTTTTGGCAGAATTCAAGTCTATGTGGTTGCAGAACTGTGGTCTCTGTTTTCCTGCTGTCTATAAACTGAGGGCCATATGCAGATTTTGGAAACTGCCTCATCCCATGGTTCATGGACCTTTTTCTCCATCTTCGAAGCCAGCAATTGTGGGTCTAGTCCTTACATAGCATCTTTCTGATTCTTTTTCTCTCTCTTCCCTCTCTGACCAATTATCTCCAATAACTGATGTAAATAGATGGAACCCACTCAGAAAATACAGGTTAGTCTCCCCACCTCAAGGTGTATAAATTTAATCACATCTGCAAAATCATTTTTACCAGATAACGTACAACTTCAGGGGCTTAAACTGTGAACATCTTTGGAAGGCCATTACGCCTACCATGATAATGCAGAAGTTCAACTATTGTTGGACTTTCAAATGGTTTTCTAATTTGTTTGTACCAATTTATACTTTTACTAGCAGTGTAATATGGTTTGGCTCTGTGTCCCCACCTAAATCTCATCTCAAATTGTAATCTCCACATATCAATGGAGGGACTTGGTGGGAGGTGATTGGATCATGGGGGCAGTTTTCCTCATGCTGTTCTTCTGATAGTGAGGGAGTTCTTATGAGACCTGATGGTTTAAAAGTGACAGTTTCCACTGCACTCTCTCTCTCTCTCCTGCTGCCATGTAACATATGCCTTGCTTCACCTTTACCGACTGTCATGATTCTAAGTTTCTTGAGGCCTTCCAAGCTATGTAGAACTGTTAGTCAATTAAACCTTTTCTTTTTATAAATTACCCAGTCTCAGGTATTATCTTTATAGCAGTGTGAAAAGGGACTAATAAAAAACATTGGTAACAGGAGTAGGGTACTGCTATAAAGATAACTTGAAAATGTGGAAGCGACTTTGGACATGGGTAATAGGCAGAGGCTGGAACAGTTTGGAGAACTCAGAAGAAGACAAGAAGATATGGGAAAGGTTGGAACTTCCTAGAGACTTGTTGAATGGTTTTGATCAAAATGCTGAAAGTGATATGGAAAATGAAATGAAGTCCAGGCCGAGGTGGTTTAAGATAGAGATAAAAAACTTATTGGGAAAATTTGTAGCCTGACCATGTGGTAGAAAAGAAAAACTCATTTTCTGGGGAGAAATTCAAGCTGGTTGCATAAATCTGCATAAGTAAAGAGGAGCCTAATGTTAATAGCCAAGACAATGTGAACAATGTCTCCAGGGCATGTCAGAGAACTTAATGACAGCCCCTTCCATCACAGGCTCAGAGGCCTAGGAGGAAAACATAGTTTTGTGGCCCAGGCCCAGGGCCCCACTGCTCTATGAAGCTTTGGGCCTTGGTGCCCTGTGTCCCAGCCACTCCAGTTCCAGCTTTGGCTAAAAGGGGCCAAGGTACAGCTCAGGGCATTGTTTCAGAGAGTGCAAGCTCCAAGCCCTAGTGGCTTTCATGCAGTGGTGAGCCTGCAGGTGCACAAAAGACAAGAGTTGAGGTTTGGGTGCCTCTACCTAGATTTCAGAGGATGTATGGAAACACCTGGATGTTCAGCCAGAAGTCTCCTGCAGTGGTGGAGCCCTCATGGAGAATCTCTACTAGGGCAATGCTGAGGGGAAATTTGGGGTCAGAGCCCCCACACTGAGTCCCCATTGGGGCATTACCTAGTGGATCTCTGAGAAGAGGGCTACCGCCTTCCAGACCCCAGAATAGTGGATCTACTGACAGCTTTTACCATGCACTTGGAAAAGCCACAGGCACTCAACGCCAGCCCATGAAAGCAGCCACGAGGGCTGTAAACTACAGAGCCACAGGGCAGGAGTTTCCCAAGGTCCTGGGAGGACACCCCTTGCATCAGCTCTGGATGTGAGACATGGAGTAAAAGAAAATGTTGGAGTTTTAAGATGAGAACATTTATCCAATGTTTGTACTCCCATTGTATCTTGGAAGTAACAATTTTGTTTTTTGTTTTGTTTTGTTTTACAGGCTCATAGGCAGAAGTGACTTGCCTTGTCTCAGATGAGACTTTGGACTTGTACTTTTGGGTTAATGCTGGAATGAGTTAAGACTTTGGGGGCCTGTTTAGAAGGCATGATTGGTTTTGAAATGTGAAAAGCAATAAAATTTGAGAGGGTCCAGGGGCAGAATGATATGGCTTGGCTCTGTGTCCTCATCCAAGTCTCATCACAAATTGTAATCTTCATCTGTCAAGGGAGAAACCTGGCAGAAGATGATTGGATCATGAGAGAGGTCATTCCCATGCTGTTCTCATGATAGTGAGGGAGTTCTTACAAAATCTGATGGTTTAAAAGTGGCAGTTTCCCTTTCTCCTCTCGCTCTCTCTTCCTGTCATGTAAGTCATGCCTTGCTTTCCCTTAGCCTTCACCATGATTCTAAGTTTCCTGAGGCCTTCCCAGCCATGTGGAACTGTGAGTCAATTAAACCTATTTTCTTCATAAGTTACCCAGTCTCAGGCTGTATCTTTATAGCCATGTGAAAAGTAATACACAGAGTTTAGAAGAGCTAAAATTATTTCATGTATCTGTTAATATTAGGTATATGGCTCATAAATTTTAGTCATTTTGAAAGGTATGTATGTATCTAGTAATAATTTTAGTTTATACTTACCTTACAACATGAAGTTGAGTACCTTTTTGTTTATTTACTGGCCATTTGGGTATCTGTTTTTGTAGATCTACAAACCAATGTTATTCTTTTGTATGAGGTAGGAGTCAACAGTAATTTATCTCACAAGAATATCCAGTTGACTGAGTACTATTTATTGGAAAAAATTGTCTTTTGTAATAAACCAACTATTCATTGATGTGCAAGTTTATTTCTGGACGACTGCTTTGGTTCCTTTGGCTTACTCCTCTATTCTTGCACCAACCCTACTGTTTTCCTTACTATAGTTTTATAGTAAGTATTAACACATGGTAGTCTAAGTTCCCCAAGGTTTTGATTCTTCAAATCACCCTTCTATATTAGCTTGTTGCACTGCCACATATATTTTAGAATTAGCTTCTCAGTTTACACAGACACACATGTGCGCACACACGCACACACACTCTTTGGGATTTAATTATTTTTACATTGAAATACTAGATCATTTTGTGGAAAATTGAAATCACTGCATGGTATATTCTCTCATTTATTTAGTGTTTATTTGATTTCGCTCAGTAGTGTTTTATTGTCTCCTGTGTACAATTTCTAAACATATTTTATTAGTCTTACATCCTGAGTTCATATTAGATGATATTATAAAACAATTTTAATATAACTATAATTGTTTCAACTTCATAAAAATATAATTGATTTTGGGGGTTTGTTTTTATGGTTGATGTTTTTCTCCTATATTGATATTTATGTAATGCTAGGCTTATTAAATGTGTTGCAAATTGTTCCAAACAATTATTTTTCCTCTGTTTTCTGAAATAGATTGTATGAGATTGAAATTATTTCTGTAAGTGTTTGATAAAGTTTACCAATGCAGCCTACATATCTTGGCATTTGCTTTCCAGAAAGATTTTATTTATAAATTATTTATTAAGTTCAGAATTATTATTTATTATTTTTCTTTTGTTCTTGAGTAAATTTTAGTAATTTGAGTATTTTAAAGAATTTTTCTACTTCATCTATGTTTATTGGCATAAAGTTAAATCATATTTTCTTTTAGTATCTTTAGAATATCTTGGGATGTCTTCTTGTTCATTTGTGATATTGGTCATTTGTGTCTTTATTTTCCCTTGATCAATGGAGCTCTAGGTTTCTCATTTTTATCAATCTTTAAAAACGTTTTGGTTTACAAAAATTTTCTCTGTTTCCGGTTTTTATTTCATCTTTTATATTACTGTGGGCTTCATTTGCTCTTTTATTCATGTTTTTATTCATGTTTTTAAGGTATGAACATAAATGACTACTTTGAGATCTTTCTTATTTTCAATGTATAAATTTGTAGATCTAGTTTTTCCTGTAAGCACTATTATAGGTATGTCTAAATATTGCTCATATTATTATTTTAGTTTCATTCATTTCAAAATATTTTATATTTCTTCTTATAATTTTCCCCCTAGGCACATAGATTTTGTTAAGTGGGTTAACTTTCAAATATCTGATTTTTTTCAGATATTTTCTGTTATTGATTTAAAATTTACTGCTATACTTATCAGGTAACATATGTTGTATGAGTTGGCTATTTTTAATATATTATTTTTATGCCCTAGAACTTAACCTGTCTTGGTGAATAATCCTTGTGTACTTGAAAAGGATATAGTTGGTATTTGGGGGTGAAATTGTCCAGTAAATATTAATTCTGGCAGGTTGCTTTTTTGTGTTGATTAGGCCTTTTATATACTTAAAGATTTTTCTCCAGTTTTTAAACATCAACTACTTGTAGAAGATTATGGAAAGTTCCAACTCTAACTGTGGATTTTTCTAACTTACTTTTCTCTTTTATCACATTTTACTTAATTAATTTTGAAGCTCAGTTAATGATTTTATACAAAACTGAGTTTTTATATCTTTTGATAAAATCATCTTTATTATTATGCAATCTCTGTATTTATTCTCGATATATTCCTTTTCTGAAGTCTACTTTCTTGGATATAAATATAGCAACTTTACTTTCTTATGATAAGTTATTGCACAGTAGAACTTCCATGCCTTCGTTGTTATGCGATATGTGTTTTCTTAATTTAAAGTGGGGTCCTTTTAGACAGTCAATTGTTGGGTATTGCTTTTATTAATTTTCTTATCTGTACTTTTTATTTGGAGTATTTATAACATTTGCATGTATTAATATTACTAATATTGTTAGATTTCAATCTACCACCTGCATATATATCTTGCATTTGTGCACTCTGTTTATTGTTTCTTGTTTTCATTCCTTTATTCCTTTTTTTGGATTGAGTAAGAATTTTTTTAACCTTTCCATTTCATGCCACTATAAACTGTACAGTTGTTTTATATATTTTATGTGGTGTTTTGGTAGTTTAAAATGGGAGGCTAAATCCAGTTCCTTTTGTTTCACCACAGATGGAATTTCCACATGCTTTCAGTAGGCTACTTTTGACATAGCCAGTGTAAGAGAGCCTGCCTACATTGGAGGATTACTTTACAAAATTACTTTTTTTCCATCAAAGTAATGATTTTTCAACATAAATGCTTGATACTTATTTCTTTTCAGATCCATAATCTATATCTAATATGTTCTTTTTTGAGTTCTACCTACCACCAACGTGTATATATTGGGATCAGTGATTTAGCTAGTGGTCATAGATGTAACTAGAATGTTTGTTTTGTACATTCATTTCTAATAAAACAATATTATCTACATAGATTAGATAAAACATGTCTAATACAACAATATTTGAAAGTTCAATAAAAATGGCATTTTGTGTCTTACTAAAGATATTTGTAGAAAAACAGCTATGCCATTGTACCCTTATCAGGGTGATGTTTTTGAAGACATATTCTGTAACTGTTCTTGGAATTGCAGAATAAGCATCACAAGATAAAACACAATTTTTTTTCCCAAATTAATGCTAATGACTGTTATTAGCCTTAACAATTTAATTGTATTGGCCTATCTGTACTCATTTAGTAATTAACTCTAGAATCAGCTATTGAATAACATTCACAAATTTTATTAGATTTTAAAAGTAATATGAATTAATTGCAGAAATAATAAAATATAAAAATCTTTTAAAATATAGACAAATACTGCTTACAAAGATAGCCACCATTAGCATTTCAGAGCATATTGTGTTTTTCTTTTTCTTTCAACAAAATTGTTCATATAGTATTTGTATTGTTTGGCATTCTACTCTTGTAACTGAACTAATCATAAATATGTCCCAAATATGTCACTAAATATCTGTAGGTAAGATGTATTTTCATGGTAAACCTAATTATGGATGCTTAGGTTGTTTGCAACAAAAAAGCTCACATCATGCTAATGAAGTAACAGTCTATTTTGGTAGGGGAAAAATGACTTTTACTCTTTGTAAATTTTGCTGGGTACTGTGAGACTTACATAATATATATTCAATACATATACATGTAATATGTACTCAGTAAATAATTGTTAGTTAGAAAGCAGGAATATGTGGAGAATGATATCTGCTACGTTCATTTTAAAACTAAGTAATGTCATATGTAGCATTTTACTGTCTTAGCTTTGAAACATTTTATATAGGCAGATGTTCTTAGTTTCATTGTTTATGTAGAACACATTTTTCCTACAATTGACTTGACTCAGAAGTTGATCTAAATAATAGTGAAGTGATTTTAATAGAATATCTATATTGAATGCCTACTATGTGCTGTGCACTATAGTAATCACTAGGACTACAGACACTAAAGCAAAACACATTATCATTTATCAAAGACCCTATGCCACAAAACTACTAGTTCAATAAATGACAATAATTATTCTCATTACTCTGGCAAGACTAATACAGACTCAGAATTAAAGTAACTTCCTGTCTAGCAAAGAGTGAAAAGATTACAACTTTGCACTTTAATTAACTTCAGTAAACAGAAAATCAATCTTTTCTCCTGAGGGGGAATTCAGTTGCCTAATTTTAAAGTGATAAATAACATTTCTTGAATACTATGTAATTTATTCAAGCATAAAAGTAAATTATGGATGTCTTTCAAAATTCAGCTCATAGTTAAGAATTTTTAAGTATCAATTGTGTGATCTGCACAAACTCTTTCCCTTTAAACTGATGAATTCATGAAAAAATTTAAAAGAGAAGAAATTCACAACTTATATTTATGTATTAATGTATATTCCCTTCAAAGGTGGGGAATGGGAAATGGCAAATGTTATTTTCACAAGTCCCAGGAAGTCACATTACATTCTATTGAGATTAAAAACAGAAAATCCTTGCATTTTAATATTTCAGTAGCAAATGCTCTCATAATTAATATCTGCTTTTAAATTAGGCACAATTTTGAAAAATCTATTAAGAGTCTAAGTGAATATATTTTCTCTAATAATGTTTCAAATGATTTACTAATTCTTTAAGTGTCTGGCTGAGATCCACTTTCTATAATAGCCAACCTTTATTGAATACTTCCTATCATATAAAGTCATATAAGCAATATAGCATTTAATATTAATAGAAAGTTCATATTCATATATATGAATAATAATGTAAAATGATTTTTAATTTATACAGGAGGAGACAAACTTAGAAAGTTGATGTAGCATAAACAGAATAAGCATTTTTTATTTCTGTCTTCTGAGATTCCATATGAATGATAGTTACTATTTTTGTAAGTATTATTCTTCATCAACAAAAAATGGGAGAGTCTAGTGATAAACCTCAGGATTTGAATGTTTTCTGGGGAAGAGAAAGTAGATGGAGGAATACACATGAATTACCATGACAGATGAAACCTACAGTTAAGAAATGCCCTTGACTGGAGTGCATGGAGAAGAATACTGGCCAGCATGGCGGTGCCCAAGAGGAGTTTCAGCCTCAAGGATGGCAGGGGCAACAGAGAGCATATTGAGGAGCAAGGCTGAAAAGAATGAGATATATACTGAAGTTCTTTATATGAACTTCCAACAACTCCTATTTCTAAATCATCATTGCAAGAATATTTGTCAATAAATCTTAGGTCAATAGGTGAGTTTTTCCTTCTTTCAAACCTAAAGAAAACTATCTTAACTTACCTGAATTATCTTGAGAAGATTAGTATATATTGTTTGTAGTGGGTTGAATGGCAGCCTCCCAAAAGATATGTCTACTCAGAATCTGTAAATTTGTCCTTATTTGTAGAAAAGTAAAAGGCCTTTCAAATTTAATTAAACTAAGATTCTCCCCATAAGATCATCCTGGATTGTGCTGGTGGTCCCTAAATCCAATGAAAAAGGAAAAATCCATAAAAAGAGGAGAAGACAGATACAGACAGAGCCTTATGAAGGTGGAGGCAGAGGGTGTAGATGTGCGACATCAAGCTAAGTATTGTCAAGGACTGATTGGAGGTACTGGAGTCTGGAAGAGGCAGTAATGATTCTCATTTAAAGCCTTCAAAGGGACTGTGGTACTGCTGACACCTTGACTTCAGATTTCTGGTCTCTAGAATTGCAATAGAATAAATTCCTGTTGTTTAAAGCCATCAAATTGGTAGTAATTTCTTATAGCATTCCTAGGAACTAAATCAATGCTACATCAGGTAAAAAGCCCTCTAATTACTGGCAATTTAAATTCAAAGACATAATGGTCAGCTATTTTCTGTAAACAAACAACATTACATACAGGGAGCTCTGAAACTGACATCAGTGCTTCATTCTAAAATATGAGTGGATCTGAAATATTTAACCAGTTGTTTGAGAAAAGTCTATAGGTGCAGAGAAAGAACAAGATAAACCAGGAAGAAAACTTCTGGAAGAAAATAAATGTTTTAGAAAAAAGATGATTTCAGTAACAATAATTTAACCACTATCTTCAAGGGCATTTAGGTTGATATTAGGTATTGAAACTATAAACAAAAATAAGACACTTTTGAATAGGAAAATTCAGAAAAATACAAATATGAAGGTTGCCCAAAAAACTAAAAATAGTGTTACCATATGAACCAGAAATTCCTCTCTGTATTTTCTTGAAAGATTTGAAATCAGTGTGTTAAAAGAGATGTCTACATTCCCACGTTCATTGCAGGATTGTTCACAATATCTAAGTTATTAAATCGACCTAAGTGTTCGTTAATAAAGGAATGGATTAAGACATATGGTATATATACACAATAGAATACTATTTAGCCTTAAAAAGAAAAAACTTCTGTTACTTGTGACAACATTGGTGGAATTGGAGAACATTATGCTAAGTGAAATAAGACAAAAATAGAAAGACAAACACTGCATGTCTAAGTTATATGTGGAATCTAAAACAATTGAAGCCATGGAAGTATAGAGTAGAATAGTGATTATGAGGGGTTGGGGGAGGGGGTTGGGAGAATGGGGAGATGATATTCAAAGGGTACAAAGCCTCAGGTAGAAAAATACATATTTTTAGAAAAATAGCACAGCATGCTGAATATAGATAATAATTGAGTACTGCACATTTCAACATTACTGAGAATAAATTTGTAATGTCCTCATCACAAAAAGTCAAAATTGTTTTATTCAAACAAAGTTTTCAATATGATATACAAATTAATATATTGACTAGATACATTGAAGGGTTAATAGATGAAGTAAGAGACCCTTCCAAAAATTCAGACAGATGCAGTGCCATGGGAAGTATTGCCAATATGCAACTAATACTCACAGAAAAAGGGAGCAGAGAACACACAGCAAAAAATATATATATCAAATAAACAGTAAAAGAATGGTCTAAAGAATTCTGAAACATATAAATTAGGAAAGTCCAAACTTTATGTCATAGTGAAATTCAAGAATATAAATGGTAAAAGGAAGGCTCTAAACATTTCCAAAGAAATGGAAAAAAAGGCAGGTGTTTTACAAAAGGAATAACAATGAGATAAAGTTCAAATGTCTCATCACCAATTCTAAGTCCTAGAACATAATAGAGGAAGCCCTTCAAATTTGAGAGGATAAATATAATTAATCTAGACTAATGATATTCCCACAAAATGTTGAATCGTTATTAGAGAATAAAAACATTTCTTCACATGTCATGCCTCCTTAAAGTTTTCTTCCGCAATACAATTTTTAAAAGTCACTTGAGAATAGATTTTATTAATAAGAAAGCGACCTAGATGGAGGAATAAAAGGTATGAAAAGATATTTGATGTAAGGAGGAAAACATTGAAGAGAAGCTTCAGCTTGAAATGTGTTATAGGCTGAGAGGAATCAGTCTAATAAAAATTGAGGAAGAGAGAACTTCAACAGGGTGCTCTTGAAATGAAGAGAATATTTGATAGGATATGTAAGACAATTATAGTTTCAAATTTGTCTCTGCAAATAAAGTTTAAGACTAAGAAAATTTGCAAGTGAATGCAAGTGAAAATAAAATATATCAAGAAACTTGAGAAGAAACCCCATGGTTCATGACATTTAAAAACATATCACTGAATTTAACTGGCTAAATTTGTACTTTTTGCTAAGTTTTTAAACTTGGAATAATGTAAATTCACAGGAAGTTGCAAAGACAGTATATTCCTTTAACCATGTTTCCCCCAATAATTACATTTTTGCTAACTATAGTAGAATATAAAAAACTGACAGATTAACACTCATACAATGTGTATGTACAAATCATTGTCAGTGTGTCACATGGGTAGATTTATGTAAGCACCACAGCGATCAAAATACAGAATTATTTTATCTCCCTAATGTTACTCCTGCCTACGCACCTTTCCAATACCCAGGCAACAAATAATTTATTCTCAATACCTATTTTCTTATTTAAGGATGTTATATAGGTGGAATCATACAATCTTTTTGACCTTTTTTTGTTACACACACAATTAAATACCTTTGAGTTCTATCCACATTTTTAGATGTATAAATATTTTTGTATTGGTGAATAGTAATCTATGGTATAGATGTACCATAGTTTGGTATATTAATTATTATCTATTGCAGTGTGTTTTAGTTAATCCATTGTTTGGCTATTACAAATCAAATTGTTTTGATAAATTATGTATCAGTTTTTTCTGTGGATATAATTTATTCTTTGAGATAAGCATGAATGCTAGGTCATATGGTAAATATATGATCAGTATTTTAAGACATCATGAAACAACTTTCCTTCAGAAAGACTGTACTGTTTTTACATTCCAACCAGTCAGTAGTATATAAGTGATCCAATTTATTTGCATCCTTGTAAGGGTTTGTTATCATTATATTTTATATTTTTTTCGGATAGGTATACAGTAATGTCTCATAATGTTATCTATTTGCATTTTCCTGATGGCTAGTGATGTTCAGTATCTTTTATATGTGCTTACCTGTTATCTGTATAACTGTTTAGTTAGATGTATCTCCATGTCTTCTGTCCACTTTCTAATAGAGATATTTGTATTTTTTTCTTATTGTTGAGATTTAAGAGTTCTTATATAATCTAAAATAATTCCTTTTTCAGATATGTGATCAGAAACTCTTATTTTCCTAGATTTCACCTTATATTTTTGTCTTCTTAACCAAGTCTTATACAGCAAAAATTTTAAATTCTGATGAAGTCCAAGTTGTGAAATATTATTTTTATGAATGATGCTTTTGGTACCATGGTAACATCTTTTTGTGAAGATCCAGGACTGAAATATTTTTTCCTATGATTTTTTACAGAAGTTTTAAAATGTTACATTTTACTTTTAAATCTATGATAAATTTTGAGAGAAATGTTCTGTAATTTACGTGGCTTAGATAAACATTTGTTTTTTATTTCAATATCCAATTTTCCCAGCGTGATGTGTTGAAAAGATTATTCTTCCTCTATTGCACTGTTTTTTAACATATCAAAACTCAAATTGGTGTATTTGCATAGGGTTAATTCTGAGTACTCTATTCTATTCCATTCATTTGTGGATTACTGTACCAACTTGTCTTGAAACTGTTAAGAGTGATTCATAAGATTAGGTTATCCTTTTATAAAATTGTTTACTTTTATTACTTCCTTTGATTTCCCTATACATTTTAGAATAATCATGTCTATATTTACAAAAATTGTCCAGGGATTTTGATAAATGCTGTGTTAAACTTGTACATCAATTTCAGAAGAAATGACAATTTACTACATTGAGCCTTTCAATCCATGAATATGGTATGGCTTTTTATTTATTTAAATCTACATTAATATTCTTTATCAGTGGTTGCAAATTATTTTTTTCTGTTGATTTCCATGTGTTCATTAATTGTATATAGAAATATAATTGCTTTTGTATATAAGTCTTCTATCATGAAACTTTGCTGAACACACTTATTAGTTCTATTTGCTATTTACTATATTACTCGGTATTTTCTCTGAAGATGATCATGCTATCTCCTTGTATGGATAGTTTTATTACTTTCTTTGATGTGTATCACTTTATTTTTGTTTCTTGTCTTATTGTTAAATTTATAACTTCCAGTATCATGTTGAATAGCAGTAGTGAGTGTAGACATGCTTGCTAATAAATTGCTTTGCTATGAAGATTAGTTGATCTGATATTGATAATGTCAATCTTGTTTTCCTTTGATTAGTATCTGTGTATTTTTCTTTTACTTTTGTTTCAACTTGAACAAGCCGTATCTTAATATATGAAGTATGATCTTAGGAGAAAAGCATTCATCCTTTAAGTATTAGATATATCAGCTGTAAGTTGTGTTTAAGTTTTTTTATCAAGGTGAAAACATTTTTCTATTCTTTATTTTATGAGTATTTTTCTTATGATTGGGATTGAATTTTGTCAAATCCTTTCTCTTCATCGGTTGCTATGACTATAAAATGTTCTTTTAAGCCTGTAGATTTAATGTATTACATGGATTAATATTTGGATATTAAACCAATATTTCATCATTAGTGTAAACCCCATTTGGTCATGGATTACACACACACACACACACACACACACACAGACACACACACACACACACAGGGAGAGAGAGAGAAAGAGAGAGATTGAGAGAGACAGAGAGTCAACTGAAGAAACATCCAAAAGATTGTGCAGTTTTTTGTAAGCAGCATATTGTTGGATCACTTTTTTTAAATACATTCTGTCAATCTATAAATTTTAATTGAGTCATTTAATCCATTCACCTCCAAAGTTATTAAGGATATCTACAGTTTTTTCCTGTCATGTTGTTAATTGTTTTCTAGTTGTTTTCATAAATTCTTTGATTGTTTATTTTTCTATGCCTCTGTGGTTTGGTAAAAATCTGCCATGTTGATATTTGATTCCTTTATCTCCCTACATTGTGTCATTGTTTTATAAGCCCTGTGAGTTTTACACATTCATGTGTTTTCATGATGGTGAATATACATTTTTCACTTTCATGTTTGAAATGATTTTGGGCATTTCTTGTAGGGCTAGTCTATTAGCGATGAATTTTCTCAACATTTTCTTGTCTCTGAAAGTTGTTTTTTTTCACTCATTTATGAAGATTTTACTTGCTGGAAAAAATTCTTGACTGACAGGTTTTGTTTTTGTTTTTGTGTTTTTCCCAGCACTTTAAAAGTACCATTCTGGCTGGGCGCAGTGGCTCATGCCTGTAATCCCAGCACTTTGCGGGGCCGAGGCAGTTGGATCATGAGGTCAGGTGATCAAGACCATCCTGGCTAACACGGTGAAACCCTGTCTCTACTAAAAATACAAAAAATTAGCTGGGCATGATGACGGGTGCCTGTAGTCCCAGCTACTTGGGAGGCTGAAGAAGGAGAATGGCATGAACCCAGGAGGCGGAGGTTGCAGTGAGCCGAGATCATGCCACTGCACTGCAGCCTGGGCGACAAAGCAAGACTCTGTCTCAAAAAGAAAAAAAAAGTACCATTCCATTCTCTTCTGGCTTCTAAGTATTCGCTGATAAGTTCTCTATCAGTCTAATGAAGTTTTCCTTTAACTAGATGCTTTTCTCTTGCTAATTTTAAAATTATTTTTTTCACTTTAACATTATACATTCTGATTATATTATGCCACAGTGAAGTACTTTTTGTAATGTATTTTCATGGGGATTACTTATAATGTATATCTGGATTTCTAACTCCCTTGCTAAACTGGGGACGTTTTCATCAATTATTGCCTTAAATAGGCTTTCTAAACTTTTTTATCTCCCCTCTTTGGAATACTGATAATACATAAGTTTAGTTGCTTTAGGTAGTCCATAATGTCTCAAAGTCTGTGATTCTTCTTTTTTCTTCTATTTTTCTTTTTCTTTTTATCTGCCTGGATTATTTTAAAAGATTGGTCGTCGAGTTCTGAGATTCTTTCTTCTGCTAGGTCTAGTCGATTACTGAAGCTTCAAATGTATTTTGTATTTCCTTCAATATATTTTTCAGTTCTAGAATTTCTTTTTTTTTTCCCCAGCATAGCTATACCCCTGGCAAATTTCTCATTAATACCCTAAGTTGATTTTTCTGATTTTATAAATTTGTTTTAAATTATCTCGCCTTTCATTGAGCTTCTTTAAAATCCATGTTTTGAATCATTTATCTGGCATTTCAAGGATTTGTTTTGTGTTGAGATCTGTTGCTGAACAAATGTCATGGTCTCTTGGTGGTGAAGTATTTTCTCTTTTTTTCATGTTTTCTATTATATGTTTTTATATTGATACCTGCATATCTGGTGTAACAGTCACTTCTTCCAATTTTTTGAAATTGCTTTCATACGGGAAGATTTTTTTTCCTGAATCGTACATATATTTTTGGTTGAGTAAGACACTTTAGCTTTGATTTTGGTTGCCTATGGTAGTGTGATCTCTATATGAATTCTCTGACAGTAAATGGGGTCACTGGTATCTGTGATTTCCTTGGTGGCTTAGAAGCACCACTGATTACTTCTATTAGTAGAAGCAATTATGAAGTTTTGCTTGGAACTAGGACACCAGGTATGTCAGTCTCTGGGCCCCAGTGGTGGCAGTTGTGGGTTGAGTGTTCTTATTCTTAGATCAGGAGCAGCTGATAGTGACACTGTTGTTAGTGAATCCTGGAGGTCTTAGGCCTACAGGTGGTTTGTTCAAGTCATAGTAGTAGCAGTGGTGGACTGGGTATGTGGGTGGGTTCTCAGGTCCCTGGGCTTATGTATAACTTATATAGCTATATTCATATCTATAATTTATATATGTATAGATATATACAATCTATAGACATGTATATATAGTATATATGTATATATAGTTATATATCTATATATAACATATATGTATACATAGCATATATCTATACATATATAGATAACATATATCTATACATATGTAAGTTAAACAGACTTTACATCAAAAACAGTAAAATTAAACAAAGACAGTCATTACTCATGATATAGGGATCAATTTAGCAAGAATATATAACAATTCTAAGCCTATATGCACCTCACACTGGAGCACCTAGATATATTAAGCATATAATATTAGATGTCAAACATATGTACTCCAATATAATAAGAGTGGTGTACTTTAGCATCCCATTCACATGTTAGATAGATAATCAAGGCAAAAAATCAAACAAGGAACAAAGGACTTAAATTGGACTTTAGATCAAATGGACTGAACAAATATTTACAAAACATTCTACCCAACAACTGTATCATGTACATTATTCTCTTCATACATGGAACATTCTCCATGATAGACAATAGGTTAGGTTACAAACCTAAGTCTCAATGAAATTTCAATAATCAAAATTATGTGAAATATCTTTCAGACCACAATGGAGTAAAACTAGATATAAATACCAAGAGGAACTTCAGAAACTATACATATATATGAAAATTAAACAACATACTCCTGAAGAATTGGGTCAACAAAGAAATTACCACAAATTTTAAAAATTGTGAAACAAGTGTAAATGGAAACATAAACTACAAAAACCTGTGGGACACACCAAAACAAATGCTAAGAAGGAAGATTATAGCATGAAATACCTACATCAAAAAGATAGAAATATTACAAATAAACAACCTGACACCTCGAGAAGCTAGAAATGCAAGAACAAACCAAACACAAAATTAGCTGCAGAAAAAATAACAAAGAACACAGCAGAACTAAATGAGATAAAGAATTATAAAGAATCATTGAAAAGTTGTTTTTACAAAATGATAAACATACGAACAAACCACTAGCTAGTCTAACCAAGAAAAGAATAGAAAGGATACAAGTTAAAAAAATTAAAATAAAAAAGGAGACACTACAACTGATAAAACAGAAATAAAAAAGATTATTAGGTACTATTATGAATGATGATAGGCTCACAAACTAGAAAACCTGGAAAGAATGGATGAATTCCTGGAAACAATCTACTGTGACTGAACCAGAAAGAAATTAAAAATCCTGAAAAGACTAATAATAAGTGGTTAGATTGAATTAGCAAACAAAAGCACAAGACCAGATGGATCTACTGCCAAAATCTACCAAACTTAATAAAGAAAAATTCCTGAAACTGTTTCAAAAAATCGAGGCAGAGGGAAGTCTTAACTCGCTCTATTATTCTGATACCAAAACCAGATAAAAACACCGGAAAGAAGACTATCCCTGATTAACACAGACACAAAAATCCTCAAGAAAATTCTAGCAAACCAAATCCAACAGCACATCAAAAAGATAGTCTAACATGATCAAATGGGTTTATACCAGGGATGCAAGAATATTTCAACATATTCAAATCAGTAAATGTGATACATCCTATAAACATTATTAAGAACAAAAACCATATGATCCTCTCAATAGATGTACATACAGCATTTGATAAAATTCAGCATCTCTTCATGATAAAACCTCCTACACAAAACATATCAAAGGAGTAGTCTTTAAAATAATAAAAGCCATATATGCCAAACTCACTGTCAACATCATACTGAAAGAGAAACATTTGAAAGCTTTCCCTTTCAAAATTAGAACAAGACAAAAATACCCACTTTAACCACTTCTATTTAATGTAGTACTGATCCGTAATCCATCTTGAGTAGATTTTGTATAAGGTGAGAGATATGGATCCAGTTTCATTCTTCTACATGTGGCTCGCCAATTATCTGAGTACCATTTGTTGAATAGGGTATCCTTTCTCCACTTTATGCTTTTGTTTGCTTTGTCGAAGATCAATTGGCTTTAAGCATTTGGCTTTATTTCTGGGTTTTCTATTCTGTTTTCTTGGTGTGTGTGCCTATTTTTATACCAGTACCATGCTGTTTTGGTGACTGTGGCCTTAGATTATAGTTTAAAGTCAGGTAATGTGATGCCTTCAGATTTGCTCTTTTTACTTAGACTTGCTTTGACTACGTGGGCTTTTTTTGGTTCCATATGAATTTTAGGATTGCTTTATCTAGTTATGTGAAGAATAATGACGGTATTTTGATAGGAATTGCATTGAGCTTGCAGATTGATTTTAGAAGTATGGCTTTGACAGAGTCTTACTGTCACCGGGACTGGAGTGCAGTGGTCAGATTTTGGCTCACTGCTGCCTCTGCCTCCTAGGTTCCAGCGATTTTCCTGCCTCAGCCTCCTGGGTAGCTGGGATTACAGGCACGTGCCACCACACCTGGCTAATTTTTGTATTTTTCGTAGAGACGGGGTTTCACTATGTTGGTCAGGCTGGTCTCAGACTCCTGACCTCAGGTGATCCACCTGCCTCAGCCTCTCAAAGTGCTGGGATTACAGGCATGAGCCACTGTGCCCAGCCTGGAAGTATGGTCATTTTTTTTTTTTTTTTTTTTGAGACGGAGTCTTGCTCTGTCGCCCAGGCTGGAGTGCAGTGGCGCGATCTCGGCTCACTGCAAGCTCCGAAGTATGGCCATTTTCATGATATTGATTCTACCCATCTATGAGCATAGGATGTGTTTTCATTTGTTTGTGGTATCTGTGATTTCTTTCAGCAGTGTTTGTAGTTTTCCTTATAAAGGTTTTTCACCACCTTGGTTAGGTATATTTCTAACTACTTTATTTTTTGCAGCTATTATGAAAGGGGTTGAGTTCTTTGTTTGATTCTTATATTGGTTGCTGTTGATGTATAACAGAGCTACTGATTGTGTACATTAATTTTGTATCCTGAAACGATGCTGAATTCCTTTATCAGTTCTAGGAGTTTTTTGGAGGAGTCTTTAAGGTTTTCTAGTTACACCATCACATCATCAGCAAACAGCAACAGTTTGACTTCCTCTTTACTGATTTGGATGCTCTTTATTTCTTTCTTTTGTCTGATTGCTCTGGCTAGGACTTCCAGTACTATGTTGAATAGAAGTGACAGTGGGCTTCCTTGTCTTGTTCCAGTTCTCAAGTGGAGTGCTTTTAACTTTTCCCTATTTAGTATTATGCTGGCTGTGGGTTTGTAACAGATGGTTTTTATTACATTAAGGTATGTCCCTTCTATGCCAATTTTGCCAAGGATTTTAATCATAAAGGGATGCTGGATTCTGTCAAATGGGTTTTCTGCATCTATTGAGGTGATCATATGATTTTTGCTTTTAATTCTGTTCATGTGGTGTATCACACTTATTGACTTGCATATGTTAAACTATTCCTGTATCTCTGCTATGCAACCCACTTGATCATGGCAGATTATGGTTTTGATATGCTATTGGATTTGGTCAGCTAATATTTTGTTAAGGATTTTTTGCATCTATATTCATCAGGACTATTCTTCTGTAGTTTTCTTTTATTTGTTATGTCCTTTTCTGGGTTCACTATTAGGGTGATTCTGGTTTCACTATTAGGGTAATACTGGCTTCACAGAATAATTTAGGGAAGATTCTCCCTTTCTCTATCTTGTGGAATAGTGTGAATAGAATTGGTACCAATTATTTTTTGACTGTATGCTATAATTAAGCTGTGAATCTGTCTGGTCCTGGACTTGGTTTTGTTAGCAATTTTTTAATTACCATTTTAATCTTGTTGCTTGTTATTGATCTTTTCAGAGTTTCTATTTCTTCCTGGTTGGAGGGTTGTATATTTCCAGGAATTTATATGTGCATGGATAAATTCATGTACATATAGTTTATGTGGATGAAGGTGTTCATAATAGCCATGAATGATCTGTTGTATTTCTGTGGTATCTGTTGTAATATCTCCCATTTCATTTGTAACTGAGCTTTCTGGAACTTCTCTCTTCTTGGTTTACATTGCTAATGGTCTCTCAATTTTATTTATCTTTTCAAAGAACCAGCTTATTGTTTTATTTTTTGTGTTTTTTTATTTTAATTTCTGATGGGTTTGGGTTTGGTTTGTTCTTGTTCCTCTAGTTTCTTGAGGTGTGAGTTTAGATTGTCTAGTTGTGCTCTTTCAGACTTTTTGATATAGGCATTTAAGGCTGTGAACTTTCCTCTTAGCACCACCTTCGGTGTATCCCAGAGGTTTTAATAGGTTGTGCCACCATTATCATACAGTTTATAGAATTTTTAAAATTTTCATCTTTATTTCATTGTTGACCCAGTGATCATTCAGGAGCAGGTTATTTAACTTCCGTGTATTTGCATCATTTTGAGGGCTCCTTTTGGAGTTCATTTTCAGTTTTATTCCACTGTGATTTGAGAGAGTACTTGATACAATTTTAGTTTTCTTAAATTTGTTCAGACTTGTTTTGTGCCCTATCATATGGTCTATCTTGGAGAATGTTCCATGTGCTGATGAATAGGATGTATATTCTGCAGTTGTTGGGTAGAATGTTCAGTAAATAACTGTTAAGTTTATTTCTTCTGGGGTATAGCTTAAATTATTGTTTCTTTGTTGACTTTCTGTCTTGATGAGTGGAGTACTAAACTCCCCTACTATTATTGTGTTGCTGTCTATCTCATTTCTTAGGTCTAATAGTAATTGTTTTATAAATTTGGGAGCTCTAGTGTGAGGTGCATATATATTTAGGATTGTGATATTTTCCTGTTGGACAAGTCCTTTTATCATTATTTAATTTCCCTCTTTTCCTATTTTATCTGCCATCGCTTTAAAGTCTTTGTTGTATGATTTAAGAATAGCTACTCCTGCTTGCTTTTGGTTTCAATTTGCATGGAATATCGTTTTCCACCCCTTTACCTTAAGTTTATGTGAGTCATTATGTGTTAAGTGATTATTTTGAAAACAGCAGATACTTGGTTGGTGAATTCTTATCACTTCTGCCATTCTTTATCTTTTAAGTGGAGCATTTAGGCCATTTACATTCAATGTTAGTATTGCGAAGTCAGGCACTATTCTATTCATCATGCTATTTGTTGCCTGAAGACCTTGGTTATTTTTATATATTTATCACATTTTTTATAGGTCTGTGAGATTTATACCTTAATTAGGTTCTATTTCAGTGTATTTTGAGAATTTGTTTCCAAGATTTAGAGTTCCTTTTAGCAGTTCTTGTAGTGCTGGCTTGGTAATGGTGAATTCTCCCAAAATTTGTTTGTCTGAAAAATATTATATTCCTTCATTTATGAAGTTTAGTTTCACTGGACACAAAATTCTTGGCTGATAATCGTTTTCTTTAATGAGACTGAAGATAGGGCTTCAATCCCTTCTATCTTGTAGGGTTTCTGCTGAGAAATCTGCTGTTAATTTGATAGGTTTTCCTTTATGGGTTAATTGGTGCTTTGGCTTCACAGCTCTTAAGATTCTTTTGTCTCAACTTTAGATAAACTGATGACTTTGTGCCTAGTTGATGAAATCTCAGACCTGAAATCATAAACATTCTAGAAGATAACATCATCAGAATAACCCTTCTAGACGTTGGCTTAGGAATAGACTTCATGCCTAAGAACACAAAAGCAAATGCAACAAAAACAAAGATAAATAGATGGGACTTAACTAAATTAAAAAGCATCTGTACAGCAAAAGAAACAATCAGTAGAGTAAACAGACAACTCATAGAATGCAAGAAAATCATCGCAATCTGTACATCCAACAAAGGGCTAATATCCAGAATCCACAGGGAACTCAAATTAGAAAAAAAAAAAAAAAATTCCACCAGAAAGTGAGCTAAGGACATGAAGAGACAGTTCTCAAAAGAAGACACACAAATGGCCAACAAACATATGAACAAATACTGAACATCACTAATGATCAGTGCAATACAAATCAAAACCACAAGGTAATACCACCTTACTCCTGCAAGAACGGCCATAATCAAAAACTCAGAAAATTAATAGAT
This sequence comes from Homo sapiens, assembly GCF_000001405.40. Taxonomy (NCBI): domain Eukaryota; kingdom Metazoa; phylum Chordata; class Mammalia; order Primates; family Hominidae; genus Homo; species Homo sapiens. The sequence continues at coordinate 35,059,580 of NC_000002.12, forward strand.
GTTGGATAGATGTGGTGAAAAGGGAACACTTTTACACTATTGATGGGAGTGTAAACTAGTACAATCACTGTGATAAACAGTGTGGAGAATTCTTAAAGTACTAGAAGTAGAACTACCATTTGATCCAGCAATCCCACTTCTGGGTATCTACCCAGAGGAAAATAAATTGTTATACAAAAAAGATACTTGCACACTTATGTTTATAGCAGCACAACTTGCAATTGCAAAAATATGGAACCAGCCCAAATGCCCATCAATCAATGAATGGGTAAAGAAATTGTGGTGTGTGTGTATATATATATATATATAAAATATATAATATATATAAATATATATTATATATTATAATATATAATTAATTATGTATTATAATATATAATTAATTATGTATTATAATATATAATTAATTATATATTATAATATATAATATATTATATATATAATATGTATGTATATGTGTATATATAATGAAATACTACTCAGCTATAAGAAGGAAAGAAATAATAGCATTCCCAGCAACTTGAAAAGAATGGAAGACCATTATTCCAAGTGAAGTAACTTAGGGATGGAAAATCAAACATTGTATGCTCTCACTCATAAGTAGGAACTAAGCTATGAGGATGCAAAAGCATAAGAATAATACAGTGGACTCTGGGGACTCAGGTGAAAAAGTGGGAAGGGGGTGAGGGATAAAAGACTACAAATTGCATATAGTGTATATTGCTCAGGTGATAGGTGCACCAAAATCTCAGAAATCACCAATAAAGAACTTATTCATATGTAACCAAACACCACCCGTTTTTCAAAAATCTATGGAAATACATATTTCCACAGATTGTGTGGCTTATACAATAATATAATAATAATGTAGTGCTGGTAATTATATTCAGAGCAGTCAGGCAAGAGAGGGAAATAAAAGGCATCCAGCTTGGAAAAGAGAACATCATATTATCTCTATTCACTGATAATATGATGCTATATCTAGAAAAACCTACAGACTTTGCAAAAAACTGTTAGATACAATAAATGAATTCAGTACAGTTTCAGAATACAAAATCAATATGCAAAAATCAGTAGCATTTTATACACAAATAACAATACAGCAGAGAATCAAATCGGTAAGTTTATCCCATTTACAGTAATTACAAAAAATACCTAAGAGTATGTTTCACCAAGGAAGTGAAAGATCCCTACAAGGAAAACTATAAAACAATGATGAAAGAAATTGTAATTTACACAAACAAATGGAAAAACATACCATGCTCATGAATTGGACAAAATAATATCATTAAAATAACCATACTTCCCATAGCAATCTAAAAATTCTATGCAATTCTTATCAAAATGTAGGTGGTTTTCCAGAAAACTTTAAAAAAAAAAAAACCCTACAACCTATATGGAAACAAAAAAGATTCTGAATAGCCCAATAAACCCTGAGCAAAAACCACAAAGCTGGAAGCATCATATTACCTTACTTCAAATTATGCTACAAGTCTGTAGTAAGCAGAACAGTATGTTACTTCTACAAACACAGACAAATAGATCAATGGAACAGCATAGAGAAATAAAGCCACATATTTACAACCAACTGATCTTTGACAAAATCACAGGAACTGGGGAAATGACAGCCTTTTAACAAGTGGTGCTGGGAAAATTTGATTGCCATATGTAAAAGAATGAAATGGACCCCTATCTCTCATTACATACAAAAACTAACTCAAGATGAATTAATGATTTAAATTTAAGACCTAACGGCTTTGAAATACTAGAAGAAAACCTAGGGAAAACTTTTTGGGCATTAGTCTAGCAAGAAAAAAATCTATGAATAAGACCTTGTGTTGGTCTATTTGTGTTGTTATTAAGAAATACCTGAGATTGGATAAATTATAAATAGAGGAGGTTTCTTTGCTTCATTGTTCTGCAGACTAGACAGGAAACATAGTGCCAGCATAGTGCCACATCACATTTTATCACATAGATATGTACAATTATTTTTCCATTATGAAGAACAATTATTTTTAATTAGAAAGTAAAAAGAAAAAAAATTCTAGTTGTCATCTCCTACTTCAGGCTTTTCCAGAATCATCATGGATGCTCCACCTTACTAGTAGATTTATGTACTTAAAAATGAATAAAACACATTTGTTCCAAACTCAACAGTCAAAAATATTTCTATTTCTGCCAGTCTAAACACTGTAGTCGGGTGTTTATCTCATAAAAAGAAATGGCTATTTTATAATAAGACATCAATTATCATACTTAAATGTGAGGAATGAAAATCTAAATTCATAATTTGGATTCTTATCACATGAATTCACATTGAGCTATGACTTTAACATTAATTTTATCTTATTTAGGTACATTTTTATATATCAACATATGTGGATCTGTATTTATTCACAAACTATAGAATTTCTGGAAATTCTGGTTGACTCAATCAGGCACACTATAAAATATATTAATTAAAGGACACTTAAAATAGTCATTTTAAAAGTGTCCTATAGAGTAACCATAGTAACTTAAGTACATATCTATTATGTGATTACTATATATAAGTTGAATATGGTTTTCTTAAATAAGCATACTGCACATGCTTTTATAGAAACAGTACTTCTTACAAATGATTATTTATAGCAATCTAGAAAATTTTGCAAAGAAAGGCATGTCACATAAGAAAAGAGATTCCATTAATGAGACTGGGATATTGTTAAGTGAACTGATAAAAATAACTTGGAGAAAATTTGGCATCAACTGCCAAATCAAAGAGAAAGTTTACAAAGCAGAAGCTATTCAAACTAACATTTTCAGGATATTAAAAATATTTTCATGATATTAAAATTATTTTGAATAACATTGGTACCTCTTATTACTGGAAAATTATAACATTAGTGTATCGCCTTAATATTAAAAACAGCTATCAGTCAAATATCAGAACTCGTCTAATCCCAGGAAGATGAAATAAAGATGAATAAAATTAGTTCCTCTGGGCCTGTCTCTAGGTGATAATGAATGAGAAGATAAGAGCTAAATGGCTTTTATGAACTAGAGGAGGATAATCACAAGGAGGATAAACTAGTGGAGGATGAGTGCTTTATAGAAAAGGAGAGGTACACACTGAAGTTAGGCAAAATTATATATGACAGTGAATACTATCAGATGGCCACCTGTGAGGGAGTATATTACATCTCATTAAATGAATGGCATCTCTGGGTGATTGGAATTAATATTTGTATACAGTCATCACTGTGTAGTTATAACAGAGATAAATTTTAAAAGCCTCTAATCAATGTTATTATAACATGAATTAAAAAGCTCTAGTTTGCTTGATTTCTTAAAATAATCATTTCTTTTCTTAAAGCAAGTAAACCAAACCAAAACAAAATGATACTAAATAGTCTGAAAATCTAGAGGACTGAATTTCCGACTGAATCTTATATCGATTTGACTACTATTTATTTATTCCTTTATTTATTTTACTTCTGTGTGCTTTAGTTTTCTTATCTGAAAAATAATAAATATCTGAGGTTCCTTTTGGCCTAACAGTCTATAACTCTAATGTTCACTCTTTAATAAGTTACACAGAATGTCTTCCACATATGTGCAGAAAAATAACAAAATTAATGTCTAATTGCAAAATAAGAAAAAAAATAGCTGTTATGATATAGTATGAACTGTATTTTATGCAGTGATTTTTGCCCATATTATGCAAATTATTCCAGTTTCTAAGTTTTACACCTAAAAGAAGCAGAAAGCAAAATAAAAGCCAGAATGATGGATGTATACTCTATTAAATAGTGATGGTCTCTAGAGTCATTAGAAAACAGAACTTCTCCCCAGAAGGATGAAGAACCATGATTACAACAATAGATGATTAACGGATACATAGTAAATAGAGCAAAGTAACATATAGGTGGCTAAGTAGAAAGGTGGGAAATTTCAAGCCCAAATAGCTACATGATTAGTATGTAGCTCCATACTGAACAGTGTTTAGATCTTAGTCAATGCAAGAATAAAGTACCTTTAAAGACCCATCCACTAAATGCCTAAGACAATGTGGCGAAGTCAGTAACAATAATTCAATTGCAATTATCTTCATGTATTTAACATCAAGAATATTAGGCCCCCAAATTAGATCAAACTTTAAAAGTTCAAATTCATGGGCTCAGGGGTCTTCATGAAATTACAAACAGAATCAATAATTTTTTTTTGAGACAAGGTCTTACTCTGTTGCCCAGGCTGGAGTACAGTGGTCCGATTATGGCTCACTGCAGCCTCCACCTCTCAAGGCTCAGTTGATTCTCCTGCTTCGGCCCCCCGAACAGCTGAGACTACAGGCACTCACCAGCACATCCAGCTAATTTTTGTTTGAGCCCAGGATTTCGAGATGAGCCTGGGCAAGAATACATTTCATTGAACTTCGTAGTCCTCTATGTATTTGACATGGATCCAACATTAGTGTGAAAGAGCTATGTCTGGTTTCAAATCTGTATGGAAGTAAAGTGGGGGTTCTTGCCAAAGCTAAGGAAAATAAAGAAGAAAATTCAGGCTAAGTATCATAAATCTTTGGCTTCAAATTTATTCTTGTCTTAAGGACAACAATTACATTAAAGAAGCTGTACTTCACCGAACTGTCTACAAAACAAATTGAAACATGGTGAAATTAAATTCATATATGTATATATAACTGATCATTAATTATTTTTATGCGAGATTATTAGGAGTTATGATAACAAAATGTAATATATTGGGCAGGGCACGGTGGCTCACACCTGTAATCCCAGCACTTTGGGAGGCCGAGGCGGGGGGATCATTTGAGGTCAGGAGTTTGAGACCAGCCTGACCAACATGGTGAAAACCCATCTCGGCTAAATACAAAAAAAATTAGCTGGGCGTGGTGTCGCATGCCTGTAACCCTGGTTACTTGGGAGGCTGAGACAGGAGAATCACTCGAACCTGGGAAGCAGAAGTTGCAGTGAGCCAAGATTGCACCACTGCACTCCAGCCTGGGCAACAGAGTGAAACTCCATCTGAAGAAAAAAAAAAAGTAATATCTCCTGTCTGGTATACTGAGGAACCAATCAGCAAGTAAAGTGCTATATTCCAACTGTGATTCCTAGGACACTCTGTAATGGAGGACATGAAAATGGCTAAAGAATTTGTCTTTTAATATCAAAACCATTGTACAGAAAAAAGAATAATTAATTTTTATAATGAGAATAAAATAATGGTTCAAAAATAAATAATTCAAACTGGAAAAATAAAAATTTTACAAAATCTTATATTCCTTTAAAAGTAACTTACAGCAAATATTTTAAAAGTTAGCAATTATTTCATTATGACAGATGTTACTAACAGGTAGACATTTTCTAGCATTTAATATTCTGAATATTTCTTTGAGTTAATTGTTTATGTAAATGGAAATAATATTTTAGAGATTTTATTGCTTTAAAATTACTGTATTCTTGATAAGTTGTATATGCACGTGTGTGTGTGTGTGTGTGTGTGTATACACACACATGACAGAATTAATTAAACAGCTTTAAAATAAGCCTTTAAGGACTTCTGCTTTTGGAAAGATGGAGTAGATGTGCTTTATGCTATTTATTTCACTAAATAAAACTAAAAACTCTAGACATTACACATAGAATGCCATAAAACTCTGAAGATAGAAGAAAATAAGGCACACTAGTTTGTGGTCTCAGGACACAAGGAGCAACAGTGGGGACATGTGAGTTCCCTGTGGTTTTTTTTTTTTTTCCTCATGTGTTCTTGAGTTGGAGCTGAAAAAACTAGCAATATGTAAACACTAATAAGCATACAAAGGAAAAACAAAACCCAAGAAAAGCCTAACTTCTGTCGACAAAGTACCAGGAAGGGACATCTTGACAAGACAGAAAATTTTAAACAATAATCACTTTACTTCAGCCAGGCATCTAAAAATTTTTTTTGGACCAATTATCATTTACATCAGCAAAAGCCAAGTAGGAAGGCTAGATTTTTACCCTCAACAGAATATAAGGAGACACAACAAGCCCACAGCCAAGGTTGTGTCAGAAAATACTAAATAGGGATCCAGGCATATCTTTGGGTGGTAATAAGCACCCTTTTTCAATAGTGTTAATGAAAACCATATATGGAGCTGGATCCTTCCCACTAGTAGAAACAAGGAGTACCCTCTCAGGTCTCAACAGAGGCTAAGTGAAAAACCTGAAATTGTAACAGCTCCTGGCAGTAATGAGGCAACTTCTCTTTCTCCAACCAGACCAGTGTCAGAGGAAGTCATTTAAAGAGAAGATTCAAATAAGATTCAGAGTCTCATAAGATAACATTCAAAATGTCCAGGTTTCAGTAGAACATCAAGCATCATAACATAATGAGGAAAAGCTCATACAAAAATGAAATAAAATAGGCTGTTAATAGATGACAACATGGATATGATAGACACATTGAAATTATTGGATAACTTTTAAAGCAGATATCCTAAAATGCTTTAATGAGTAATCATAAATATGCAACAAAAGAAAATTTGAAAGTCTCAGCAAATAAATATAATACATAAATATTTTAATGGATACTTTAGAACTGAAATATACCATTACCAAATAATAACATCAATGGACAAGCTCAACAGCAGAATGGGAGGCTGAAGAAAGAATCAGTGAATTACACAACTGACAAAATAGAAATTAGTCAATCCAAACAGCATTAGAAAATCATATAAAAAAGGAAAAAATAAAAGCATCTCAGGGACATGGAGGATTGTAACAAAAGCACTACCATTCATGTAATTGGAATCCCATATGGAAAAAGAAAAAGAAGGTGGTGCTGACAAAGTATATGAAGTAATGCTTGAAAACTTTACAAATATGGCAGAAAAAGATAATACTAGAGTTAAAAATATGAGCAAAACCTTAGAATAACTACAAATAAATCCACAAGATACATCATACTCAAACTTTGAAACCTAAAGAAAAATAAAAAAATCTTGAAAGCAGCGAAAGAGAAACAAGACCTTAGTAATGGTGTAAACAATTTGAATGGCAGTAGATTTCCCTTCAGAAGTCATCAGGAACAAAAGAAAGTGGTATAACATTATTCAAATGATGAAAGAAAAGAACTTACAAGCCAGAATCTAATATCTGAAAAACTATCCTCCAGCAAGAAAGGAATAACAAAACATTAATAATTGGAAAACCACAATAATTTTTTTTCCCAAGATAGTAGATCAGCATGCCTTAGTTACTTAGAAAAATAGCAAGATAAAGATAAACTCTGAAGCTTTAGTTAAGAAGAAAAGTGGGAATCCACTAGAACTGTGAAAGACGCTACAGATCCTAGAGAGAACACAGGTCAACAGCTACAATGACGGCACCTAGCTAAGAAAAGCAAGTTAAGCCCCAGTACGTGAGAGAAGCAAAGAGACTTTCTCTATGAATCACCCTTCCAGTGGGGATTCGAGCTGAGGGAGGGCACTTTGTATCTCTCAATCCCTAAAGCCTACTTGAAGAGAGGCTTGCAGACACTGTGAGGGAAAGACACCAGGAAAAGCTGGAGGCATTTTCCAGACCTGGGACTGAAATCAGGATGCCATTTTTAATCTGGGCACATACAAAGTCAGTCATTCTTTGATGATCCAGTAGCTTGGCTGCTCAGATATTTTATTTTTAGTCTAGAGATTGGCATGCCTGCTGTGGAACAGAGTAGGGGCTTCCATGTCCAAAACTGTGAAAAGTGCCTCAACAATAGGCACTATAATTGTACTCTCCTCCATCACAATCCCGAGGTGAGAGAGGAGCTACTACAGCTGCAGTCTTGGTGACCTGGAACTGACCTGCATGCGCCATTGCTGAATGCCCCACCCTGCTCCCTTGAGACTATGGTGTGATGAGGTCCTGTCTGCTTCACCTCCAGGCAGAAATGGAGGTTTTTGGAACCCTGGTTTACCTGGTTCAGCAGCCTGAGCTGTCCCACACTTTCTCAACACAGATTGTAGTGCAGCATATTCCTCTCCACTCTGTGCCCAGGTAGATCTCCAGGCATTCAGAGAACCTGCTTGCTTGGTCCAGCAGAAAGAGTCACCCCAAACCTCCTTTGCAGAGATCTTGGTACAAAGGGGCCCTCTCTGATCCGTGACCAGGCAAATATCCAGGTATTCAGAAAGCTGATCACCTAGATAAGCAGCCTAATCCACCCCACCCTTCCTATGCAGAAATTCTGGTGCAGAGAGCTCTGCTTCATGCCCAGACAGATCTCCAAGCATTTAAAGCACCTGCTTGTCTAATTCAGCAGCGTGAGTTGTACCAACCCTACTGTGCAAAAATCTTGGTGCAGGGAGTCATTCTCTGCTCCATGCCCAGTCAGATATCCAGGCACCTGGACCATGCACTCTTCTAGATTAGGAGTTTAGGATGCCATTCATCTCCATGCAGATAATTTGGGGCTCAGGAGGTTTCCAAGATTCATGTCTAGGAAAACCTCTGGGCACATGGTGGCTGGCCACTGGATTCTCCCTTGACATTGGTACTGGTTCCTGCCATCAGTATATCTGTAGATGGATCTTTCTGGTGTGGGCCCCACCCTTCATGGTCCCCACCACCTGGGGCTGAACAGGGAGATCGGATCAACTTTGTTTTCCATGAATTAACCCTTTGGCTGAGGCAACAGAGAGCTTCTGCAAGGAAACAAGAGTCAAATACATACCCAGTACATTGGCCATGACTGCCTCTTACCTGTAGGTACCATCCATGGGCTTGTAGGTTGAACTGGATGGCACAATAAAAAACTGGATGGCACAAAAAAAAATAAAAATGGCACAATAAAAAACAAAATAAGTGCACAGGGCTATAGAATTAAAGCTAAATGACTCCACACATCATTCTGTAGTCACATTCCCTAGGGAGGGGGGGAAAAGAATAGGGCAAAAATATTTCAGGGAAAGAAAGAAAAAAAATTCTACCCACACAAAAAATAAAAGTGCCAATGTCTTGAGATAAGAAGGAACAAGCACAAGAATTCTGGCACCATGGAAAATCTGAATATAGTGACATCACCAAAGGATTGCACTAGCTCTTTAGCAATGGGTCCAAAACAAAACAGAAACTTAGAAATGACAGATTAAAAAATTCAAAGTATGAATTGCAAGCATACTCAATGAGATCCGAGACATAATTGAAAATCAACGTAAAGAAGCTTCTAAAGCAATCCAGGAAATGAAGTAAAAAATAAACATCTTAAAAAGAAATCAATGAGAGCTTCTCAAATAAAAAAAAACTCACTTATGGAATTTCAAAATACAGTAGAAAGTTTTATTAATAGACTGGACCAAGCAGAACAAATAATTTCAGAGCTTGACGAATGGTCTTTTGAACTAATCCAGTGAGGAAAAAAATAAAGCAAAAAGAATTTTTTTAAAAAATGAACAAAATCTTTGAGAAATATGGGGGTATGTAAAGAGAACAAACTTATTAATTACCAGCATTCCTGAGAGAAAGAAAAAGAAAACAATCTGGGAAATATATTTGAGAGAGTAATTCAAGAAAACTCTAATTTTGCTAGAGAAGTAGATATCTAGACACAAGAAATCCAGAGAACATTTGTGAAATACTATACAAAATGAACATTATCAAGGCACACAGTCACCAGATTGCCCAAGGTCAACACTAAATAAAAAATCTTAAAGGCAGCTAAGGAAAAAAAAGGAACCCCATCAGGCTAACGGCAATCTTCTCACCAGAATCCTTATAAGCCAGAAGAGACTGTGGGCCTATTTTTAGAATTCTTAAAGAAAATAATTCCAATCAAGAATTTAATATTCTGCCAACCTAAGGCTTATAAGCAAAGAAGAAATAAAACATCTTCCAGACAAACAAGCACTAAAGTAATTTATTACTACTAGACCAGCCTTAAGAAATTCCTAAGGAAGTTTATATACAATGACATAAAAGTATAATATCTGCTACCAAAAACACACACAAGTACATAGCCCACAGACCCAATAAAGCAACCACACAATAGAAACTGCAAAGGCACCAGCTAACAAATTCACAATAAGATTCAAACCTCACATGTTAATATTAAACTTGAAGGTACATGACCTAAATATTCCACTTCAAAGGCACAGAGTGGCAAGTTGGATAAAAAAATAAGACCCATCCATTTACTGTCTTCAAGAGACCCTTCTCACATGTAATGACACCCACAGGCTGAAAGTAAAGGGAAGGATAAATATTCATTATGCAAATAGAAATCAAAAAAGAGCAGAGGTCACTATCTTTTATATCATATAAAATAGACTTTAAAACAACAGTAAAAAAGGATGAAAAAGGGCATTATATAATGATAAAGAGTTTGATTCAACAAGAAGACTTAACTATTCTAAATAAATAAGTACCTACTGTGGGAGCACCCAGATTCATAAAAGAACTACTTCTAGGCTTACAAAAAGACTTAGGCAGTCACACGATAGTCAGGGACTTTAACACCCCACTGATAGCATTAGATTGATCATTGAAGCAGACTCTAACAAGGGAATTCAGGACTTAAACTTGACACTTCACCAATTGGACCTAATGGACATCTACAGAATAGTCCACCCACCAACCACAGAATATACATTCTTCTCATCTGTACATGGAACATAGTCCAAGATTGATCACATGTTTGGCCTTAAAGCAAGTTTTGATAAGTTTAAAATAATCAAGATTCTACCAACCATACTCTACCAACCAGCTCTGTTACTACCAACCAACTCTATTTCACTATAGTGAAATAGAAATAGAAATCAATACCAAAAAGATATCTCACAACCACACAATTACATGGAAATTTAATAACTTTCTCCTGAATGACTTTTGAGTAAACAAGGAAATCAAGGCAGGAATTCTTTTTAAAAATTAAAGTAAATGAAAACAGAGGCACAATATAACAAAAGCACTGAAATGCAACAAAAGAAGTGTTAAGAGAAAACTATGTAGCAGTAAACATCCACCTCAAAAAGTTATAAAGATCTCAAACTAATGATCAAGTATTACACCTAGAGGAACTAGCAAAACAAGAACAAACTAATCCCAAAACCGGCAGAAGAAAAGAAATAACTAAAATAAGAGCAGAAATGAATGAAATTGAGACTCCAAAGTCCATATGAACAATCCAGGACACAAAAGTAGGTTTTTTTAAAGGATAAACAAGATTGATAGACCACTAGCTAGATTAACAAAGAAAAAAAAAAAGAAAAGATGCAAATAAGCACAATCAGAAACAATGAAGGTGACATTACAAACAATCCCAAATAAATACAAAAGATCCTCAAAGACTATCATGAACACCTCTACTCACACAAACTAGAAAACCTAGAGGCAATGAATAAATTCCAGGAGAGACACAAATTTCCTAGATTGAATTAGGAAAAATTTGAAAGGCTAAACAGTCCAACACTGAGTTCCAAAATTGAATTGGTAATAAAAATCTGCCAACTGCCAAAATTCCTTAACCAGATGGATTTACAGCCGAGTTCTATCAGAGGTACAAAGAACAGCCGATACTATTCCTACTAAAACTATTCGAAAAAACTGAGCAGGGGAGACTCTTCCCTAACTCATTCTATGAAGCCAACATCATCCTGATGCCACAACCTGGCAAAGACAAAATGAAAAAAGAAAAGTACAAGCCAATATTTCTGATGAGCATATTTAAAAAATCCTCAACAAAATACTTGCAAACTGAATTCAATAGCACATCAAAAGGTTAATTCACCACGATCAAGTAGATTTAATTCCTGAAATGCAAGGTTGATTAAACATACACATATCAATAAATGTGCTTCATCAAAGAAACTGAATTAAAAACAAAAACCACATGATGATCTCAATAGATGCAAAAAAGCTTTGCTAAAAAACAACATTCCTTCATATAAAACCTCAAGAAACTAGACATAGACAGAACATATGTCAAAATAATAAGAGCCATCTATGACAAACCGACTGCCAACATCGTATGGAATGGGCAAAAACTGGAATATTACCCTTGAGAAACTGAACAAGCCAAGGATGCCTATTCTCACCACTTTTGTTAAACATAATACTGGACATGCTAGCCACAACAATCAGGCAAGAGTGCCTATTCTCACCACTTTTGTTAAACATAATACTGGACATGCTAGCCACAACAATCAGGCAAGAGTAAAAAATCAAAGGCATCCAAATAAGAAAAGAAGAAGTCAAATTATCTCTCTTCACTGATAATATGATTCTATACCTTGAAAACCCTAAAGACTATGCCAAAAGATTCCCGGAACAGATAAACAACTTCAGTAAAGTTTTGGGATACAAAATCAATGTATGAAAATCAGTAGCATTTCTGTACACCAATAAGGTATAAACCTGAGAACCAACTCAAGGAGGCAATCTCATTTTCAATAGTCTCACACAAAAATAAAATAACTAGTAATATATCTAACCAAGGAGGTGAAAAATCTCTAGAGGGAGAACTACAAATCAATGCTGAAAGAAATTTTAGATGAAAAACAAATGGAAGAACAATCCATGCTCATGGATTGAAGAATCAATATCATTAAATGTTCATACTGCCCAAAGCAATCTGAAAATTCAATGCTATTCCTATCAAACTACCAACTTCATTTTCCACAGAACTGGAACAAACTATTCCTTTTAAAACCTTTTATTTTAGGTTTGGAGGTACCTGTGAAGGTTTCTTATATAAGTAAACTCATGGAGGTTTGTTGTATATATTATTTCATCACCCAGGTATTAAGCCCAGTACCCAATAGTTATCTTTTCTGCTCTTCTCCCTTCACCCACCCTCCCCACCTCAAATAGATCCTAGTGTCTGTTGTTTCCTTTTTCATAGAACAGACTATTCTAAAATTAACTTGAAACCAAAAGGCCAAATATCCAAAGCAATTCTAAGCAAAATAAACATAGTTGGAGGCATCACATTATCAAACTTCAAACTATACTATCAGGATACAGTAATCAAAACAGCATGGTACTGGTATAGAAACAGACACATAGACCAATGGAACAGAATTGATAACCCAGAAATAAAGCTACACAAATACAGCCACCAAATATTCAACTAAGTTGCCAAAAATAAGCAATGAGGAAAGGACTTTCTATTCAACAAATGGTGCTGGGATACTTGTGTAGCCATATGCAGAAGAATAACACTGGATCCATATCTTTCACAATATATAAAAATTAACAGATGATGGATTAAAGAATTAAATGTAAGACATCAACCTAAAAAAACCCTAGCAGAAAACCCAGGAACCATTCTGAATATCAGCCACGGGAAAGGATTTATGACTAAGTCCTCAAAAGCAATTGCAACAAAAGCAAAAATTGACAAGTTGGGACACAATTAAACTAAAGAGGTCCTGCACAGAAAAAGAAACTTATCAACAGGGTAAACAGGCAACCTACAGAATGGGAGAAAATATTCACAAACTATGTATGCATCTAACAGAGGTCTAATATCCAGAATCTATCTGAAACTTAAGCAAATCAACCAGCAAAAACCAAATAACCCCATTAAAAAATGTGCAAAATACCTGAATAGATACTTCTCAGAAGAAGACAAACAAGAAGTCATCAAGTATATAAAAAAATGCTCCACATCAGTAATCATCAGAGAAATGCAATTCCAAACCGTGATGAAATACCACCTCACACCTGTCAGAATGGCTATTAATAAAAAGTCAGAAAACAGCAGATGTTGGCAAGGCTGAAGAGAAAAAGGGTACACTAAAGCACTGTTGGTTGAAATGTACATTAGTTCCATCATCATGTAAAGCAGTCTGGAGATTTCTCAGAGAACCTAAAACAAAACAACTATTCAACCCATCAATGTAAAGAAAACAAATTATTCTGCAGAAAAAGACCCATGCATTCGCACGATCACTGGAGCACTGTATATGGTAGCTAGACATGGAATCAATCTAGGTGTCCATAAATGGTTGCTTGGATAAAGAAAATGTGGCATATATACACCTTAGAATAGTATGCAGCCATAATAAAGAATAAAATCATGTCCTTTGTGGCAACAAGGATGCAGCCAGAGGCCATTTTCATAACTAAATTAATGAAGGAAAAGGAAAAGAAAATCTTTTTGCATCAATCTTTTGTGTGGAAATGTGTCTTCATTTGTATAGGAATGGAATCAGTAGGTAGTATGTCAACTCTCTGCAAATTCTGTAGAAAACCACTGCAAAACTTTTGTACCGGTTTGCATTTCCACTAATGTTGCATGAATTTCAGTTGCATGGCATCTTCACCAACAGTTGATGTTGTCTTTCATTTCATTTATTTATAAATCTTGTAAGTGAGAGCTAAACATTGGGTACTCATGGACATAAATCTAGGAACAATAGGTAATGGGGACTACAGGGCGGGAGGGAGTGTGGGAAAGGGTAAGGGTTAAAAAACTAACTGTTGGGTACTATGCTGGGTACCTTGGTGATGGGATCATTTGTACTTCAAACCTTAGCAGCACTCAATGGTCCCATGTAACAAAACTGCACATGTACCCACTGAATCTAAAATATGAGTTGGAAAAAAAAAACCTAAGATAATTGGTTACCAGCATACCTGCCCTAAAAGAATGTTTAAAAATAGTTATCCAAAGATAAAGAAAATGATAATAAAAATGAACCTTGAAATAACAGGAGGGAGAAATAACACAGTAAGCAAAAATATGGGAAATACAATACTTTTCTTCTTTTCATGAGTTTTCTGATGTGTTCGTAGATTTGAAGACTCAATATTATTGAGATGTCATTTTTCCCCAATTACTGCTGGAGCCAACATGTTCCTAAGCAAAATCTGATTTTTTATTCATTTTCTTAAAAATTGACAAGCTATTTCTAAAATGTTTATGAAAAAGCAGCAGGTCTAAAATAATCAAAGCAATATTGAAGAACAACACTGGAGAATTTGTACTATTTGTTTTTAAGTTCCAAAAGAGACAGTAGTTAAAAAAGGCTTGTATTATGAATTTGTGTTCAAGATATCAGTTTTCTTTTATGATTTTTGCTTTTTGTGTACTATGAAATTTTTTGCTCTTTGAGAGAGTTAAGCAAATGACAACAGATATACTAGGAAAAATATTTTAAGACACATATCAGAAAATAACTTATTACACAGAAAACATTCAACAATGAAACAAGTATAAAAATAACCAGTACAGACATTTTCTTAAAGAGAAAGTATAGATGGAAAATAACCATAAAAAAAGATACTAGATAAACTCAAATTAATACCACAAAGGATAGCATTATACACCAATGAAAATGGCTTAGAAAAATGAAAGACAACATCAACTGTTTGGTGAAGATGCCATGCAACTGAAATTCATGCAACATTAGTGGAAATGCAAACCGGTACAATAATTTGGCAGTAGTTTTCTGTAGAATTTGCATAGAGTTGACATACTACCTACTGATTCCATTCCTATACAAATGAAGATACATTTCCACACAAAAGATTTATGCAAATTTATAGGAGTTTTATTCAAAATTACCAAAAACTATATGAAATGTCATTTATATGGCATTGTGGAAAAGGTAAAATTACAGCAACAGGCAAGTGATCAGTAGATGCTTCTGGTCAGAGGTGACTATAAAGGGATAAAAGGAAACTTTGTGGAGTTGATTGTGGTGGTGGTTATGTAACTTATGTGTGTGCAATATATTTATATATACATACATACACACAGATATCTGTGGATGACTTCACGTTGTTCTCTAGTGTTTCTTTGTTCCACACACATTCACATCTCTATTCTGTTTCTCTTTGTTCATGGAGGACTAATTTGATACATTTAATTCATAGGTATGAGGCATCCTTAGAATCACTATTAATATTAATTATAACTTTTATTCTGGTATTAATTTTGTGTCAATTGTTTAAGTTTTTATTCTACCATTTTTTAAATGATATTTTAAATAATTTTTTTAGAGATTTTAAAGAGTTTTCAAGTGTTCAGCTTCTTAAGTCATAGAGAACAGAAGAGATTTAGGGAGTAATGTATATGTCTTACAAAGTATTTTATGTTATACTTAAGTTCATGGATCACATACAAAGGTTTTAAATTAGACAAGGATTTGGGCCCAAGGGAAAAGAATGGTCATATTTACACAACATAAAACTCAGTTATTTTGTTCATTTTGATAAATAATGAGAAATGAGCTAATAGTCTAACCTCAAACTCACTTTTTTTTGTTGTTTGCAAGCTATTATAGACTTCATGCTCTTATAAAATAACCAGTTTTTTTTCCACAGTTTGGTAATATTACAATATAAAAATTTGTGAGAATTATGTTTTTACAAATTGAAATAAAATTTCCAGCACAATTCATATCCATGATCTGCTTTTGAAAAGAATAAAATACACAATACTGCATCTTTTTGTTAAAATGCATAACAGTTTAATGAATACTTAATGATTGTAGATATCATTATGTTATGAACTCTTATTTTTTATGATACTTTTTTCTTCTTTGTTGCCATTGCTATATATTAAAAAATATAAGTAATGATTAGAGGAGAATTCTAATCGTTTGATAATTTTCATTTGTGAACTATAATTATATCTTAACCTAGAAAGACAAGTTGATCCAATGACTTCTGTGAAAAAATAAGCCTAGGATGCTATATATTCCTCTCCACTTCCTTTTATCGGAGCAAGCTTCCTTGAATAACTACTCAATGATGGAATCCACTTATTTCCATTTTGTCCATTTGACTCAACTGAAACTATTTCTAAAGTAAATTACTACTTTTTCATTGGTAGGTATTAACAGCTTCCTATCAGTATTTTAATAGGGGTTTTAGATCATTTTATCATTTGAAATTCTTTGTTCTGGAATGAATTTTTACATTTAATAAATAGAACAAGTCATATTTGCAGCTAATTGCTTAGATAATATTTACACTAATTTGAATAAATGAGTAAGAATATAGTATTTCAAGTTAAATTCCTATTCTCTTACTTAACCCATCTCTGTACTCAGGAAAGAGGCAATATTTGCATTTGAACTTTCTGGATAAAGAATTGCTACATAATTATATTCTAATGTATTCTGACTAATTTGAGAAGCTTCAATGTTGAAACTCAAATAGAAGATATGAAAGTTCTCAGAGGTGTGGAATTTCATTTTGACCTGAGTTCTTTCTGTGATTGCAGATAATGCTGTTCATATCACATGAGATTGAATATTTTTTAAACCTAAAATAATATTAATACCTATTCTAAAAATTCAAATAATAAATTCTTCCATTGTGTCATCTGAGCCACCCCAATTCTTACAGATGAAGTAAGCAACTTACACAGGACACCTTTTAAAGCTATGTACATTTTAAAATAAAGGTTGTAATCAGATACACATCTTTAAAAGATTTTAGTCCAGCCTATCTATACTTTGACAAAGATGGCTTTCATGGATATAGAGCTAGCTATAAAATATAATGCCAACAAGCTATCATTGATATATAGTTTCATGTAAAAGAAGAGTTAGGTATATGGGAGAAAAGCCACAGTCATCTTGAGTAAATTGTAGCTTATTAGAACCAGTCAGGGTAATCGGAAAATTTCAATCCAATGTATATTAGATTATGCCCCCCAAGGTATCAGTGCAGCTGTCCAGATCCCTCATTAAAAAGACCTTTAGCCAACTGGACTTATCAGTATTTCACTGTTGTTTCCTCTTTGCATGGTTACATATAAATGCTTGATTTCCTCGTACAATTGGTCCTTTTCTTTGTGTTTCCAAATCTAACACTTATTTTCAAATTACTAGCAGTGTAAATCAAGAAAATTATCACCCTAAAAAAATTCCTAAACCACAATTTATGAACCCATTAAAATATCTATAAATAATTAGTAAATACTTAGATTAAAATGACTGGAATTTTTATCTTCAGACTCATATTTTGCGTTATTTAACTGATGGCTGCTGCTCAAATAACCAGGTGGCCTGTCAAAACAAAATAAGAATAGAACTGAAAGCAAAATAGTAATGTATCATATTGATTTGCAAACAGCTGCTATAAAGAGGACAAATGAAAACAGTGAATAGATAAGCCAGTAAACTAAGAAGTAACACTGACATCTTTTGAATCTGGCAAACCAGAGTCTGTTCAGACAATGGATTTGTTTTGAATTGCAGAGGAAATACTACTTTATGCAAGTGGGTGATAAACTTATGGAACACATTGCAACAAGCTATGTACTGGTAGGATATGTAATGAATTTTAGAAACATTTAGGCTGATTTACAAAAGGCAGATCAATAAACAGTGTCTAAAGGAAAATGAAGTATCCTAACTACTGAGGCCTCTGCTTGCTTTCAGAGCCCCTGTTAACAAGCAAATATTATACTAGGAGGACCATAGTTATAATGTAATATATAAATTCTTGTATTTCTGTATTGTAATTATCAATCTCCTTTCTCAGCACCAGCAATATATAGTCTCTTCAGAATTTATTCCTCCCTGGATATTGAGCTACGTTATTATTCCTCATGGCTCCTTGTCCAGTTCATATTATTCTAAATATTAAATGTTTGGGTAGTACTTTATGCCTTTATGATATTAGTGCAATAGGTGATGAAACTTACCAAATCTGTGGTATATCTCCACAATAAAATGAACAGACTTAAGCACAAAAGATAACATGCATATTAATTTGCTGTATTGTGTTAAAAGTCACCCTCTGTTTTCAGCCTTCACACATTCTGGAAAACAAACAATAATACATCATTATGTAACAGTTTTTAAAACTCCATTATTTTCTGGATATTTATTAGCTATTGTGGATAGTAATATCTATGACATATTCCTTGCCTTAATAGTAGTTATAATCCACTTGGGGCCATTAAAAATAAAATAATTTAAAAACTGAGAAACTGATTTTGATTTGTCAGTTGAATGATGCAGTGTAAACTTTCTACAGCAGTTTTATAGGTAAATGTTATCACTGAGTATAAGTATGGTAAACGCAGCCTCCATCTGAGATATTCTTAAGGCAAACTAGAGTGTGAAGAGGTTTCTGGCATGAGCTAACAGACAGAGTCTACAGAACACTTAGTATTATAAGAAGTGGTATGGGTAAAAAGTTCAGCTGGACACAAGTGATGAAATAATTTACATCCCAATGTGCCAGTTCTGGGGATGTTTGCCCTCAGATCCATTCCCACCTTTTCTTTGCTATGCTGTGTGTAGCAGGGAGGATAATGGGCTTCATGCAGATTGGTTTTCATCCAAGTTGAACCAATAGGAGACACTGGAGAAAACTAGGAAGGTGGTAGGAAGAGAAAGGCAAAGAAAGATGTGCATCTCTGCCTCTGGTGGTCTCTCTGGCAGTTGCTATACCCTGGGCTTCAGGTTCTAGTAAATCACAACACCCATTTGTCCTTAGAAAATAGAGCTAGAAGATGGCTTTCTGCTAATCTCTACCTCTCTCTCCTTTCTAGTTTACCAATTTTTCTTTTACTTTTTGTATTAGTCCATTTTCATACTGCTGTAAAGAACTGCCTAACTGGGTAATTTGTAAAGGAAAGAGGATTAATTGACTCACAGTTCAGCGTGGCTGGGGAGGCCTCAGGAAATATATGATCATGGTGGAAGGAGAAGGGGAAGCAAGGCACCTTCTTCACAAGGCGGCAGGAAGAAGTGTCAAGCGAAGGGGGAAGAGCCCCTTAAAAATCCATCAGATGTCATGAGA
The DNA here is from genome assembly GCF_000001405.40 of Homo sapiens. Taxonomy (NCBI): domain Eukaryota; kingdom Metazoa; phylum Chordata; class Mammalia; order Primates; family Hominidae; genus Homo; species Homo sapiens. The sequence goes on from NC_000002.12 coordinate 35,079,316, forward strand.
ACTCACTCACTATCACGAGAACAGTGTGAGAGAAACTGCCCCCATGGTCCAATTATCTCCACCTGGTCTCTCCCTTGACACATGGGGGTTGTGGAGATTACAATTCAAGATGAGATTTGGGTAGGGACACAAAGCCTAACCATATCACTTGTGTAAAAGTTTCTTTCTTTAAATTCCATTTGTTTTCAATACACAGAAAAGTTTCTCAGATTATTATTTAACCAGTGCAGGCTAGATTCCAATTAATGTAACTAAACTAGAGTTTGGATTTCCTATAGACAAAAAAAGTGCCCTTTAGGATTATAGAAGGAAGATTTTTATACCTTAATTATCAAAAATTTTCTAAAACAATCCTTTACAGGGTAACATTTTTAGAAACAGTGTAGTTGTACAATTTACATGATTTAAAATTCACCAGTTTTAAGTGTAACAAGTCAATAATTTTAAGTGAATTCTCACTTAGCATAAAATATTGAAAGTTCAATCATGTTGCAACAGGTATCTGCACTTCATTTCATTGCCAAATAATATATTGTATGGATATAGCACATTACTTATTCCATTCAATAGTTGGTTGACTTTTGGATTATTTCCATATTTTGACTATTAGGAATACTGCTATGATAAAAATTTGCCCAAAAGTCTTTGTGTGGACCTGTGTTATTATCTCTCCTGGGTGTATACCTAGGAGATGAATGGTGGGGTCCTAGGCCAAATCTAACATTTTAAGAACAAGAGCTTTCTAGATACTTCGGCATAGCACATGTATTACAGTGAGAAATTTCCCATGAAACTCTTAAATTTTGCCAATTTACCAAAGTCTGTGGCATACTGGATAATACCTACCATAGTAAATTTTTTGTTGCTCAATATTTTAGTGTTAAGAGGGAAGCACAATGCTTGCTGGGGTCTTTTGCATTGTATTGGAACTATGTTCCAATTAGGGAGGTAAATTCTTAACTGATTTACCAAATAATGCAAAAGGCTTCCGTGTCCGAATGGGCCATAGTGCAAAAGGAGACTTTCTATAAGGTCCAGGCTCACTGGTAAGGAGGATCTACGAATTGGTACTCTGTAACCTCATAGGTTCAAGGGCCTGATATATCTTGAAGGAGATATGGAAGTCTCACAAGACCTGACCTATGAGTCACAGTACACATTCTGAGAATTTTGTAGTCAACTAATACTGTCTTTGGCAGTTCTGAGAGTTTTTCTTTGCTTGACAGTGGGCTTAATAGATCCTATGATAAGCCTTAATGAACAAATCAAGAGGAGGCTCCCAGGTTCTCAACCGGTAAAAAGATATTATCATTTTTAGAGACAGCTCCTGGCTTCTTACACAGCTCTCATGGAGTCTGAGTTCCTGAAAATGAATACCAAGAAAACTCTGACTCAAGCAGCACATCATCATTTGGGACCATAAAGTTAGTCATGCCATGAAATGCTTCATCAATGTATAAAAAGCACATTATAATAACATTGGCTGATATTCAAAATGAGAAGCTTTACTCTGTATTTCAGTGGTTCTTTAAAAATTAGTGTGATGTAACAGTGTCTAATAAACTGAAAAAACAAAAGCGAACTAATTTGCTAGTGATCCCAAATTTTAAAAACAAACAAACAAAACCCACAAACTTATGAAATGCATAATTGCATTCAGTTTGTTAGACATTAAAGCAGGATTCACATGTTATCTCTGGCTGGTGCTGTGCATTGTTACACTTTGCTTTTATTTTAGCAATGCATTTAAAAATTACAAATAGATTCATGTTTTCAAACCATAGCTGTGTCAGACACATTTATTACTGTCTGTGAAGCAAGAGTTTTTATTTGAATAATGCGTCATCATTTTCACATGCCAGATATACTGTTGCTTTAAAGTGTTTCCAGAGAAATAAGTCATGAGTTTGTAACTTACTTTATGCAGGAGAAAACAGCTTCTGTTTACCATAATTTCCTCTTGTAGCATTAAATGAAAAGAAGTAATATTTGTTATAACAGCAGGGGTTAGCCTTTTGATAAAAAGGGTATTTTATTTAAAAAAAAATCTGCTGAATAATTGCCAGGAGAGTCATTTTCACATCATGGGAGTAGAGAGGTAGCTTCCCAAATGGTTTGAAGCAAAGAACAACTCATCTTAGAGAGTTCACAGCTGGAGTAATTCCAACAGTGAATGATAAACTTGCTTGATATGACACAGTGGGCAGCTGGTAGAAAAAGTGATATTGATTTTAAATGTGATGGTAACTTCTTATTTAAGGATTTTAATAATAACAATACTTTAAATATAGTTCTTCCTAGTTTTCCAAGATATTCAAATTAATTTTTATGTCTTCATTAATTCTGGAATAAAATTGTATGCAGTAAGTAGAAAGTAAATACTAGATTTTCTTTTCAAAAAGAGGCAAGGTGAGCTCAAATATTGCCACTACTCTTCCAAAGGCAACAAACAAATCCATTACGGGAATTAATTTCAGGCATGAGTAATTTCCTGAAATTAAGTCAATTTCTTCAGAAACACACTGTAAACACCATTTAGATAGTCTTACTACTTTTTTTCCCATTAATGCTTGATCTTGCATTCAGTGTGGTATTCCAAATCTACATATATATTCACATTAAAACCAACTGATTCAATAACATCACAAGAATTCCTTAGAGTTTTTTATTTGAATAATGCCTCATATTCAAATATAAAATGGATTGTTTTAAAGCTTTTAAACAAAAATAAATTATATGCTGGAAAAATACTTTATAACACAAAATTGCATCCATCTACATACAAAAGAGTCCAGAGAGAAAGGCGAGGATCTTGTAATGATGGGAATGGCATCAGTCAGGAATGGTTTTAAACAACTCAAGAATTGAATCGAGAGTGAAGGAGGTGGAACAAGGCGGGGCTAGTCTGCATTCCCCTACACCCAGTCCTTCCTCAGTGTTGTCAGAGTCCCCCAGAGAGCTGAAACTCCACTCCCACTTGGCTTCACATTACATACCTCCTAGTTCACAGGACTCGCTTAGACCAAGCTTCCATTTTGACCTGGCAGCAACAAGGTGGAGTGAAGTGTTTTGGGAAGGCACTATAGTTGGCACTGTACCCCTCCTCCAACTTAGTATGAGCAGGATCCAGATGGAACCTGAGTTTCTGTCCTCCACCAGGCAATAAAGTGAAATGAGGTGATACTGGATAAATGCTTTATTTTCCACTCTGATGTCAGCAGAGCCCAGAGTGGACTGAGCTTATACCCCTACTGAGTGAATGAGACAGTGCTAATTGAAACTGCTTTTACTGGGAAGGTGTCAGTGTGATTCGGGGGAGAACTGTTCTTTTCCATAATCTTCTTCATTGAGGAAGTGTGAATCAATGCTCCACATTTATAAGTATGATTTTAATGGGGCCTACCAGGGGCATGAACATTTATCTCCACCTGAACCTGTATGTAATACCTAAACAGAGTGACTTAAGTTCTAAAAATGAGATTAATGAGGATCCAAAATCTTAGAACATAATACCCAAAATGTCCAGTGCACAATCAGTAGTCACTCATCATACCCAAAGCCAGGAGAACCACACTTAAATATGAAAAGACAATCAATGGGTACTGACATTGAGACAAAATAGATGTAGGAATAATCTGACAAAAATTTTAAAGCAGCTGTATAAAAATGCTTCAACATGCAATTATCAACCACTTAAAAAATAAAATAATAGAAAATATGAGCAAATATTAATAGAAAATACAGAAATTATTAAAGTAAAATTTCAAAACTTTAAAATAACTAAACAATCACTGGATGGACTCAATAATACTACTTATAATCACTCTTAAAAAGGTAAAATAAATATCTAGTTATAAATATAATTGGTAAAACACAAGTTCTATATACCGAAATTTACCAGATACCAATAAAATTAATTAAATAAGATCTAAGTAAATGTAGGTATATCATATTTACAAATGTGAAGTTCTAATACAGTAATAATATCACTTCTTCCCAAATTGATATGCAGATTAACACAATACCTACCAAAAATCCCAGAACAATGTTTTGTATGGAAAAGCTTATATTTAAATTTCACGCCGGGTGCGGTGGCTCACACCTGTAATCCCAGCACTCTGAGAGGCCGAGGCAGGCAGATCACAAGGTCAGGAGATCGAGACCATCCTGGCTAACATGGTGAAACCCCGTCTCTACTAAAAATATAAAAACCTAGCCTGGCGTGGTGGCAGGTGCCTGTAGTCCCAGCTACTTGGGAGACTGAGGCAGGAGAATCGCGTGAACCCAGGAGGTGGAGGTTGCAGTGAGCTGAGATCACGCCACTGCACTCCAGCCTGGGCGACAGAGTGATACTTCACCTCAAAAAAAAGATAAATAAATAAATAAATAAATAAATAAATAAATAAATAAATAAATTTCAACGGAAAGAGTGAGGAATTAAAATGCTAACATAAAATGCTAACAAAAATTTAAAAAACAATAACAAAGTGAGAAGAATTGCTCAATTTTACGCTGAGATTTATCATATGTCTGCAGTTGTTAAGTCAATATGGTTTTGCTGAAGGAATAGACATACTGGCCAATGGAATAGAGAATGCAGAAACAGACTGACACAAATATGACCATTCTATATTTGAGGAAGGTGCAAAAGCAATTAAAATGAATAATGGATAGGCTTTTCAATAAATGGTGCTGGAACAATTAGATATCAGTAGACAAAAAAGGAGAAATAAGAACAAATAATTTTACATAACCTAGACAACATACACAAAAATTAAAATAAACCATGGACTTAAATGTAAAACTTAATAAACTTTGAGCAGAAAGCAGAGGATAACATCTTTGGAACCAAGTGCTAAACAAAGGATTCTTACACACGACATGAAAAACGTGATCCGTAAAATAATAATAAATTGGACTTCATCAAAATTCAACATTTTGTTCTAGGAAAGACCCAGTTAAGAAAAAGAAAGGAAATGACAACTACAGATTTAGAAAAAATATTTATAAACCACATATCTGAAAAAGTCTGGTATCTAGAATATACAAATAATTCACAAATCTCAACAGCAAAAACAAGCAATTCAATTATAAAATGGACATGTATAAAAATATAAATTTTACCAAAGAGGAAAGACGTATGGCATTAGCCTTTAGGGAAATGAAATTAAAAACAATAATAAAATATTACACACATATCAGAACAGTTAAATTAAAAAACAGTGATAATACCAAATGCTTGTGAGGATGCAGAAAAACTGGATCTCTCATACATTGTTGATGAGAATGTAAACTGTTATAACCACTTTGAAAATAGCTTGGCATTTTCTTATAAAACTAAACATGCAGTCACCATACGACTCAGCAATTGCTCTTTTAGATATCTAGCTCTAAAAAATGAACTTATATTTGCGCACATATCTCCACAAGAATGTTAATAGAAAAAAATAAAATATCCAAAGTTTACATATTGTAGAATTCCTTTAATATAGCATTCTCAAAATGTCAAAACTACAGAGAAACAGAATATATTAGTGGTTGCTGGGGCATGGATGAAAATGCGGGGAGATATGTATAAATACAAGGAGGTTATGAGAAGGAGTTCTTTCATGATAATGAAAATATTCTGTGTCTTGATTCTGGTAGCAGTTATATAAATCTCTACACTGGATAAAATTGCACAGAACCTACACACAAACACACACACACAAATGAATTCAGGTTTTAAACATGGAAATTGAATAAGGTTTGTAGACTAGTTAATAATTATACACTGATGTCAGTCTTCTGGTTTTAGCATTGTACTACAGTTATATAACTTGCCACTACTGGAGTATGTTGAGCAAAAGGTACATGAGACTCTGTACACTTTTTTGTATATAATTATTTCAAAAAATGATTTTAAAAAAGAATAAAAACCAATTTAAAATGTAGAGTATAATGTTGCCTTTTCAAAATGTGGGCAAGTACAAACATAAAATGAAATTCCAGCGATAACTCAGTTACATTATTTCTCTACTTACTGAGTAAAAAGAATTCTGAATTTTATATCTGTTAAGAATTTTTTTAATTGTCAGAATTATGCGAGGATGTGAAAATGTTAGGTTCACAATAAGGGATTGAAAGAATTTGCCCGACAGAAACAATTATACTACATTTTAATTAAAATGCAAAAGAATTATTTATCATCAATGATCTTAATAAATTACAATAATTTTATTTGCAAGTTTTATCATCCCCTCACCATAATGGTTATAGACACACTGATACGGCCTGTGCTTTTAGTCAAAATTACTCTAATACTTGGCACAATCAACCTGATAGATATGAATTCACCTAAAAAATTTCTTAAGAGAAAATTTAAATATCTAATAATTAAGAATATATAATTTTATAAGGGTCATAAAGAATGAGTACTAGTTCATATCAGAGCTTTATATCTGGTCTAAGATGAAAACTGCGCAAGTTTAAAGCTATTGCAGGCATATATTTTTGAAGGGTATCATTGAGATTCACCTTGCTTTCTCTCATACTCCACATCCACAGGACCTGCAGATCCTGTTCCCTCTTCCTTCAAGATTCATTTAGCATCCAATTCCTTTCTTGCCATCCTGATATAAGGTACAATCAGCTGCCCCCAGAATTACTGCCATGCTATTCTAAGTGGTTTTCCTCATTCTGCCTTTGCTTCCTATGTTCAGTTATCAACAGAGAACTTCAAGGATACCTTTAAAATGTGAGTCAGGTCATGCCATTTCTCTGCTCAGAAGCCTCCAATGTTTTATCATCTCAATCAGAGAAAAAGCGAAGTTCTTAAAATGTCCTACAAGGTATGACCTGGCCATCTACTACCTGTCTGACCACCTCGCCTCCTACAACTCTCTTGATCACTTTATCCAGCCACATGAGCCTCTTGACTATTCTTTACGACAACAAGCATGCTCCTGATTCGGAACCTTTGTACTTGCTATGTGTTCTGCATTGAACACACTTCTTAAAAATAGATGTGTGGTTCTCCTTTTTTGCCCCTTTCAGGTGTCTCTGCTCAAAGGTCAACTTATCATTGAAGCCTTCTCTGATTACTTTATTTAAGATAGCTCTATCTCCCTCACACTGCCATTAAAAAAATAAAACTCCATGACACTTAACACAATGTGATGCATTTTACTTGGTTATTTACTGAATGTCTCCTATATTCTCCCATAACAAATATGTTTGTTTACTAAATATCTCCCATAAAAACACACATAAAAATAGTATCTACCAAATATTCACATAACTTCCAGCAGCATCATTCTTTTTATATGGATTAGAATTGAGCCATCAGCCCCTTTAAATTGTTCTAGAAGGTAGTCACTATGAATTCAACTCTTCAAAGAAGTACTTTGCCAAACACAACTTCTCTTTAAACTTCTATATCTTTTCCTTTTCCTCCATCCACATTCATTATAGAACATTGAGATATATTGAAAACAAAACAAACAACAACTATTTATTTAAAAGTCTTGAAAACTGAGCAACTTTAAAGGGAATAAAACATTTAGAATTCATTTGAAGCAATAAAGGCAATATAAAATTACTTAATTTGATAAACTGTATTTAATAAAATATGTTTGCTCTACATACTGGCAAAAAACATGTTTGTTTAGGGCTTGATTGTATATATGTTTACTGTACACATATATACTGTACACATATATGTACACATATACTGTACACATACTGTACACATATATGTACACATACTGTACACATACTGTACACATATATGTACACATATATGTGTGCATGTGTGTGTATGTGTGTACTGCATTTAGGGCACCCAGAAATCACAAGGATTTGAAAAGATTATTACCATTTTAAAGATCAGGAATATTCTTTTCAGAGATTAATCTGGAGATTAATGTGTTACAATCTGGAGAGGAAACAACAGATACTGGAGAGGTTGTGGAGAAATAGGAACACTTTTACACTGTTGCTGGGAGTGTAAATTAGTTCAACCATTGTGGAAGACAATGTGGCGATTCCTCAAGGATCTAGAACCAGAAATACCATTTGACCCAGCCATCCCATTCCTGGGTATATACCTAAAGGATTATAAATCATGCTGCTATAAAGACACATGCACATGTATGTTTATTGTGGCACTGTTCACAATAGCAAAGACTTGGAACCAACCCAAATGCCCATCAATGATAAACTGGATAAAGAAAATGTGGCACATATACACCATGGAATACTACGCAGCCATAAAAAGTGATGAGTTCATGTCCTTTGCAGGGACATGGATGAAGCTGGAAACCATCATTTCAGCAAACTAAAACAAGAACAGAAAAGCAAACACCGTATGTTCTCACTCATAAGTGGGAGTTGAACAATGAGAACACATGGACACAGGGAGGGGAACATCACACACTGGGGCCTGTTGGAGGGTGGAGGCCTAGGGGAAGGAGAGCATTAGGAAACATACCTAATGTAGATGACAGGTTGATGGGTGCAGCAAACCACCATGGAACAAACCTGGAAGTTCTGCACATGTATCCCAGAAGTTAACATATAATAAAAAAAAAAAAAAAAAAAAAATAATCAGAGCGAGAATTTGAATCCTGTCTTTCTCTATCCAAAGTGCTTTCATTTTGCTGCTGCTACTATGCTGCTCCTTAGTAATGAGTTTTTGAAAATTGGGAGTGGTGCTGACAATTTCATAATCCATCATAATAAAAATAAAGTAAGCATTTTTATTATTTTCCATAACTGAAAAAATTGGAAACAGTAAATAAACATAAAACTGTTGGTCTTAATAATTAAAATAATTTAAATTTAAGACACTGGATACATTTTTAATGATAATATTCAGTGGTGGCCACAGTTCAGTGAAAAGATAGTTTGTTTCTGCTTCCAACAGTTATAAAAAGAACTATCTTTTGGAGGTCAAATTGGCAATGTATAAATGTATATCAAGAATGTATTCTAAACGTTAATATTTTTTACTCAGTAAGTCAACTCCTGAGATTATATTCTAAGAATCATCACATAATTCTACATAAGGTATGTTCATTACATTTATAAAATAACAAAAAAATTGGTAATATCTTCAGTGCAAATGAGTAAACAATGATCACTATGGAAATTCCATATGAAGAAATTTTATTTAGCTTTAATGTCATGATTTCATGGAATTTCATAACATAATAAATGTTTTTGATATAATCTTAACTAATAGTAACAATTTATAAAATTATATTATGCCATATCATTTCTATTTTCTGTTAAGTCTGTTCCTTTCTGTATGTGACTGGAAGTCAGAAAGTTAGTTTACAGCCTCTTCGTGTTGACAGTGTTTATCTCTGGTGTTGCATCTAAGCAGTAATAAGTTCACTGAGTAATGGGGAAGAGAAGGGGAGGCAAGACTGATTATCTTCATTTGTCCCCAAAGGAGGTCCCATAAGAAGACTGAGAAGTAATTATTGTTCCAAAATAAGCAACTCCCCAGGATAAGCACCAAAAGGAAGTATTCAAGTTCTTAACCAAAAGTCTAATTAATATCAAAGGAGCAGTTGAGTGTGGGAAGAACAGAAGGTATAATTCATTGAAAACTTTAAGACATAAAAGCTATATATGACAAACCACAGCTAATGCCATACTTAATGGGGAGAAGCTTAAAGCTTTTTCTTTAAGATCTGGAACAAAACGAAGATGCCCACTCTCACCATGCTTACCACTCCTATTTCATATAGTACTGGAAGCCCTAGCCAGGGAAATTAGGCAAGATAAAGAAATGAAAGGCATCCATATTGGAAAGGAAGGAGTTAAATGGTCTCTGTTTGCAGATGACATGATCTTTTATATAGAACACCCTATAGACTCCACCAAAAAATTATTAGAACTAATAAACAAGTTCAATAAAGTTGCAGGATATATCAACATACAAAAATCAGTATTGTTTCTATAAATTAATAACAAACTATCCAAAAAAGAAATCAAGAAAACAACCTCGTTTTTAATAGCTACCAAAATATTACTTAGAAATAAATTTAACTAAGGAAGTGAAAGATTTATAAAATAAAAGCTATAAAACATTGATCAAAGGAATTGAAGATGACAAATAAACAGAAATAAATCCCATGTACATGGACTAGAAGAATCCAATTGTTAAATTGTCCATCCTACCCAAAGCCATCTACAGACTGAATGCAATCTCTATCAAAATACAAATAACATTCTTCACAGCAATGGAAAAAAAACAATCCTAAAATGTATGTGGAAGCACAAAAGACCCTGAATAGCCAAATCAATCTTGGGCGAAAAGAGCAGACCTGGAGTATCACACTACCTGACCTCAGAATATACTGCAAAGATATAATAATCAAAACAGGATGATACTGGCGTAAAAACAGACACATAGACCAATGGAAAAAAATAAAGAGCCCAGCTAAATTTACATATTTACAGTTGACTGATTTTTGACAAAGGTGACAAAAACACACACTGAGGAAAGGACAGCCTCTTCACTAAATGGTGTTTGGAAAACGGAACATCGATATGCAGAAGAATTAAACCATTACCTCATGCCATATAGAAAAACCAGCTCACAATAAATATTTAAATTTAAAACAAGAAACTGTAACACTACTAGAAGAAAATGTATCTGAACAGCTGTATAATACTTGTCTGGACAATGAATTTTTGGATATGAACTCAAAAACACAGGCAACAAAAGCAAAAATAGACAAATGGTATTACACTAAACTAAAAAGCACTTGTATAGCAAAGGAAATACTCAATAGAGAGTCAGCCTACAGAGTGGAAGAGCATATTTGCAAATATACATTTGATACGGGTTTAATATTCAAAATATATAAGGAAATCAAGCAACTCAATAGCCAAAAAAAAAAAACCTGATAAAAAATAGTCAAAGGATCTGAATAGTTCTCAAAAAAAGACATGAAATGGCCAAAAAGTATATAAAAAGTGCTTAGTCCTCAGAGAAATGCACATTAGGACCATAATGATATATCACTTCACACTTGTTAGAATGGATACTATCAAAAGACAGAAGATAATGTGTTGGTGAGGATATGGAGAAAGGGGGATTTCCACACACTGTTGGTAGGAATGTAAATTAGTACAGCTATTATGGAAAACAGTATGGAGGTTCTCCAAAAAATTGAAAATAGAACTACCATATGATCTAGCATTCCCACGAATAGATATACATCCAAAGGAAATGGATTTAGTATGGTGAATCGATATCTGCACTCCCATGTTTATTGCAGCATTATTCACAATAGCCAAGATATAGAATCATCTTAATTGTCCATCAGAGGATAAATGGATAAAGAAAATATGGTGTATACACACACAGTGGAATACTACTCAGCCATGAAAATAAGGGAATCTTATCATCTGTAGCAATAGGGATAAACCTGGAGGACATTGTGTTATGTGAAAACTAAGCCAAGCACAGAATGATAAGCATCACACGGTCTTACTCATATGTGGAATCTCGAACTTTGACCCACAGAATTAGAGAGTAGTGTGGTGGTTACCAAGAACGGGGGTGGTGTGGGGATAGGTTGGAGAGATGAGAGGGCATTGGGGAAATGGCAGTTAAAGGATATAAATTTCCAGTTAGAAAGGAGAAATAAGTTTGAGAGATGTATTTTACAACAGGGTGATTATATTTAACATTCTATTGTATTCTAGAAAAATGGTAAGAGAGTAGATTTGAAGTTCTCACCACAAAAATCATAACTATGTGAGGTAATGCATATGTTGATTGGCTAAATTTTTTCATTGCTCAATGTATATATTCTTCAGAACATGATGTTGTACATGGTAAATACATACAATTTTACCTGTCAATTTAAAAACTTTTAAGGCTGTTCTTTTGTTTCACTCTATCTGCTTAAGGTCCCTTACCATCTTCTATGGAGTACTATCTGTAAACTTTTTAATTCTGCCAGAAATCTCACATCCTCTATTTGAGATTAGACTGTGATGTAATATCACCATATACGTATAAGCTATATGTGTTTTTAAGAAAAGTCACTGACCTGTTATAAATGGCTGTATCTTTGCTTTCCAGCAGGGATGGAGCTGGCTCCAACTGTTTTTTTCTATAGTCCAAAATTTATTAAAAGATAAATGACGATGGTAATCTCATAAAGACATGCACTCCACAGTAAATCTGATAGCCTCTCAATAATAAGATCATTAGTTAATTAAAATTTTTATTCTGTCTATAATATTTTCTTAATCTTTTCTATATTTTTTATTGTTTTGTATATTCCCCCATTTTAAAATGAGCATACATTTACATTTCCTTTATACTCAGAAATACATTAACATTGTACCAATGTACTCAAAACATTTCAGCAGTAATGCTTGAAACAATTACCTACAATTTATTTAATATCTGCATAGGATAATAATTTCCAGAATATTTATTGGTTTTACTCAAGGTGAGATATAATAAAAATAACATCGGCTTGGGAAACCAATCTACGTGACCTTGGACTAATCACTTGACTTCAGAGCATTTTTGCAACTTAAAAGCCCAGATTAGCAACACTTAGTTGCCGCAGTTTTTGTGAGATTTAAATAAAAAAAGTTAATATGAAAAATTGTAATGAACAATGTTTATTTTATAGTAGGTGGCTAGGAAGAAAAATGGTAAACTCTAAAATTGATTATTTTTTGAAAAGTTATGGATCCTCAGAGTTCTTTTTTTCTTGTGTTTTCTATGAAATGTCAAATTTTTACAGACAGACTATTTGAATTTTAATAGGTTCTACTCTGCCCCTGCCAACCCTCTATCATCCACTTCCTTCCAAAAATTGATTTTATTGTGGCCTAGATGTAAATGAATAGTTGTAAAGTATGTCCTAAATTTCTAGCAACCTGCAGGGCTCAGGCAGTTTGAATATTTTCAAGCAAGTATTTCTTATCAAAAATTCCTTGAAACATAATAAGACTGTGATTCCTGGCCAAACTCGTGAGCCAGGAAATTAAATCACTATTCTGAATGTCATTGTAGTGGTAGACTTGCTTGTAAGGTGCCTGCAGTAAACAGTTATCCTTAGAAGCTAATTGAAATATTCTTGTGAGAAGGGAGGCTATCAATTGCTGAGAATTATTGGAAAGATTGTATCTAAATATAAAATAGTATAAAAGCAAGTTGAAATTCTGCCTGGTACAATTGATACTTTAAAAGTAGATATGGCTCCTGAGTGAATCAGTCCTCATTATTTGAACAATTTCTCTGTTCTGAGTCTGAGCAAATATTATGATGTAGAAATTGGGATGGAAGCCAGAGAACTCTGAAAAGTTGAAAGCTTGGCTCCCATTCCTAGAATAATATCCACTGAAATAAAGTAAGCCCTTGCCAGCAAGACTAAAGAACATTCAAGCAGATTAACAGTCACAATCAACACACACACACACACACACACACACACACACACACACCTATCATATTAGACTATTGATAACATAAAGAGTCTCTTTGAACTAGTGAGATTGAAGGCAGGTTAGAAATAGGAAATGAGGTTCCAATGCTGTCACCTCTAGAAGCTCAGAAAAGCAGAACTGGTAGTAAGACATACAAGGACACCAAGGACAGTCTTTGAACTCTCTTGAAAGGTATTCAAGCTGTTGGGACTTGATCTGGCTTTGTCTGATAAGATTGAGGATAGTTTCCCTAACAATGGAAAACCACTGTAGGATTTTAACCATGATTTTCCTGAAGTGACTATTTTCAAGTAGATACATATATATACAAAAGTTTTTAGAAATATAATGGTAGAAGTTTAGGGTATAATGACTTAATTTACATAGAGATTAAGACAACTAAAAGTTAGATGCAGTAGTCAAGATTTGCAAGGCCCATGTTTGTAAAACCCTCCTTTAAGAACAAACATTAAGAAAGTGACATTCTTGAAGAAGTAAGGTGGTATCTCACCGTGGTTTTAATTTGCATTACCCTGATAGTTAGTGACGTTGAGCATCTTTTCATATGTTTCTCGACAGTTTGTTTATCTTTTTTTGAGAATTGTCCATTCGGTATGGAGACTCCTTAAAGAACTAAAAGTAGAAATACCATCCAATCCAGTGATCTCGCTACTGGTTATCTACGCAAAGGAAAATAAGTCATTAAATGAACAATGTACTTGCACATGCATGTTTTTAGCAGCAAAATTCACAATTGCAAAAATATGGAACCAGCCTAAACATCCAACAACTAACAAGTGGATAAAGAAAATATGGTATATGTATCCATGGAATTCTACTCAGCCATAAAAAGGAACAAAATAATGGCATTTGCAGAAACCTGGATGGAATTGGAGACCATTATTCTAAGTGAAGTAACTCAGGAATGGAAAACCAAATACCCTATGTTCTCACTTATAAGTGAGAGCTAAGCTATGAGGATGCAAAGACATAAAAATGATATAATAGACTTTGGGGACTCGGCAGGGAAGGGTGAGAGGAGGGTGAGAAATAAAAGGCTACACATTGGGTACAGTGTACACTGCTCAAGTGACGGGTGCACCAAAATCTCAGAAATCACCACTAAAGAATTTATCCATGTAACCAAAAACCACCTGTTCCCCAAAAACTATTGAAATGAAATATAATAAAAAAGAAAGTGCCAGTTGTAAAAATTAAAGGATATGTTAACATTTGACATTTTGAATTCCAAAGCAGATTTTGAGAATAAAAATACAAATACAGTGGTTAAGGTTTTTCTATACAATTGTGGAAAAAAATGTGATTTGAAAATAACTCAGTAAACAAGCGCGTTTGTCAAAATATCATGGAAGCATTTACCTAATTATATATATTGCTATCATTGCATACTTTGACAGTACTTTGGGTGGAGGATGTTATTTAAGTCAAAAATACAAAAAAAAAAAATAATTTGACCACTCATAAACAGTTTGTGGAAATATATCAAAACCTTTTTTTGCATATTGGCACAAATTAAATAAAACTTGTATATAAATGTTCTTTCTTTATATCTAACATCACATTATATTATAAACAATTTCCATGTCATTACATTTTTGCAAACATCATTGAGTAACTAGATAATATTTTGTATTGCATGGATATAACATAATTCATTTTTTCACTTGGAAATTTCACTATCATAATAAAAATTAAACAAACATCTTCTACATAAATATTTGCCGGAAATTATTTTTAGATTTATCTCCAGAAAAATAACTGTCTCTAAGGTTATGAAACCTTTTGTATGTTTTGATTTATACTGTAAAATTCCCTATTAAAAGTATATAGATTTACATTCTCAATTGTATGGTAAGAATATGTTCTTTATAAGCACTTACTATTTAATACCGAATATTATAATTTTTTAAAGTTATTATTTTTCTTAGTGTCACTTTATTTGCCAATACCTTGATGATTAGTGATATTGAGCATTTATTTTTCATACATTTATTAAGCATGTATTAGCAGGGTGTCTTAGTTGTTCAGGTTCCTATACAGAGTACCATAGACTGGGTGGCTTATAAACAACAGAAATTTATTTCCCACAGTTCTGGAGGCTGAGAAGTCCAAGATCAAAGTTCCAACAGATGTGTTGTCTGTTGAGGGCTCACTTCATAGATGGCTGTCTTTTTTCTTTGTCTTCACATGGCAGAAGGGGCAAGGAGTTCTCAGGAATATCTTTCATAGTGGCACTAGTCACAATCATGGGGACTCCACTCTCATAACCTAATTATCTCCCAAAGGCCCCACCTCTACATGCTATCACATTGAGAATGATATATCAACATAAGAATTTTGGGGGAACACAAATATTTAGTCTATCACACAAAACAGTAATTCAGATCAAAGTAATCGTTCAGTTATCCATGCAGGGCAAGATCTAAGTCAGGTTGGCATTGCACAGCCAGCCACTTCGTACTGGCACAGAATATTGGGTGAGAATCCTACCAGATTAAGGTGATATCTCATCCTAGTGACAAGAGAAAGGCTGAGCTTGCAAGTCAAGGATTCGTGACCTCACCTGTATAGGAAGACACAGGATGCAGAATGTGGGAAACCAAGCCATCACTGGAAAAAGGCCAAACATGCATTTGAATTTGTGTTTATTCAAATTATCTGATCTGTTGACTAGTCAATAAGTATTTATATTTACATATAAAATATTTATTTTAATACTTATATTAAATCAGATAGGTTAAGCTATAACTTATCTGATGGATAAATATGCCACATCTTGGCACCCTAGCAGATTAGAGTATGCACACAATTATAGTTCGTAAAAAAATTATCCCCTTTGGGCAAAGGAATCTGCTTTCATATTAGTTTAGGAAATGCCACACTTTCCGCTTTCCTCTTGGAAATTTGCATTGCTCACTAAAGTATTAAACATTCTGAGAAATATTACAGTAAAATAACTGTTTAATTTTAATCCAGCATTTACAGAATGTATTGTCAATTTTGTGTGGCGAGTTTGTTAGTATGTAACATCTATTCACCTCCACTAAGACTGATACTCTTTACAAAACATTTTTTAAAAGCTGATAAAATAAATTAAAATATCAGATTTTAGAGCTATTTAGAAATAGGTTTATGTCCTCATGCTGCCACCCATGAATTATATAACTTACCTAAAATCTCTTGGATGATTACTTAATTTTTCTGGAAATTCATTTTCTTATCTAGAAAATTGAAATTAATAATATAATAATTGATACACAGGACTTGTGTTAAATTAGCAAACCATATATCTATATATTATGAAACATAGAATGTTAATCAAATTTTATTATTATTATTAATATAGATGTCTTTTAAGATATTCAATTTTTAACTGGAAAATCAAAATCAGTTTTTTATATAAATAGGCCTTTTGTGCTAATTTATACACTTAGCATTGTGTATGGGAAGCTTGGTATTTTGAAGTAAACACCCAGTGCCAGACATAGTCTTTTACTTTTTATCATCCATTTGAATTTAAAATATTGGCTTACAAGAAGATGTCTACCATATTTAGGAGGAAAAAAAGTTTTAACATTATTATAAATTAATTGAATAATTTAAAAGTGCATGTATTTTTCACACATTAAAAAACCAACTAAAATGGTCATTTCGTAGTATTCCTGTGACATAAGTAATTCACTAGATTGTCCAGGTTTTCTCCTATGAAGTAAAAAACATGAATTCTACATATATAATATTTACTCTGGGACACTTTAGCTTCTTTATATTTAAAATATGCAAAAAAGATGACTGTGTGTATACGTATATCATATTATAGACATGCCCTTGAAAATTTAGAGGCTTTAAAGATAGATGAGAGTACTAATACCACTTCATTGCTCTATGCATATTTTTGGGAAAACAACAAAATGGCCAATAATAGCTGGGAAAAAAAGGCATAGGCACCATGTATTATTCATGCACACACAAATTCTTGTATTGAATTACATGTACTCATATTTCATTACTTTTCATCGTGCTAGAAATTCAAATTAATCATGATGCCTTTCAGCTGCTCTTGATGACAACAAAAGTCCCTGAGCATTTCTCTCCCTTGAGGCAAAAGAAGGTGAAACTCATTTGCATTGAAAAATACCATTACCTCTAAAATTTAATATTGCTTTTAACTCTCTCCAGCGTTTGGGTGGTTAGCTATGAAATTATGCCTGCTTTATAATTATTTAATTTCAGTCCATAATGAAAAGTGATTATAGAATAGCCAAAGGCTGATATAGTAAGTAGCTCTCAGAACACTTTTTGTTTTCTTCTTTTTTACCATTTTATAGAATTTATATTGAATGAGTTACAGAATATTCCAAAGAATCTCCCTTCTTTTTCAAGACCAGATAACACTACCTTTACAAAGTATATTTGAATTTTTGCATACACTTTGGTTAGTTCTAGAGACAATTGTGATTGGTATTGAATTTTAGTGAAATAGATGAACACATATTGCTCTGGGTTTATTTGATTAGTTAGACTGTGTAGATAAAATGTAAAATTTTATGAATTAAAATATTCATAAATGTCTTCCTTAATCAGAATACTTAATTTTAATAATAGAAACACCCTGCTTCAAACAGATTGAGAGAAAACTCCCAGAAATATAATTTAGAGCAAATAATTTATTAAATGTTCGATGTGGCCAAGAGTATTGTTTCTAATGGTAGAACATCATATCTACTTACGTTGAGAAATTTCTTAGGCACTTTCCTCAGCCTTTGCCCTCTCCACATGACTTGCCTCAAGCAGACTTCTTAAAATCCATATCTTTTTGGCCACAGACTTGAAATCCACATATTCACCCTCACTGGACATGTCCTCTTGAGCATGTTCCAAAAGAGACTCTTTATATTCCTTTTACTGTGTCCTCTGTGTCACTTCCAATTTCTGCTAATATTGCCAAAGGTTATTTTTTTTAAAGATATGTTATGAATAACCCCCTAAAATAACTTGCAGAGATGGTTTAAAAAAAGTAATGAGCCCCATTTCACTCTATGGAATATAATTTTCTCTGACAGCAACTGTGGGACTCTACTCTCTAAACCAGTGCCTAAGTCTTCCTTATGCACAATTTTGAAAATCATCACACTATATTGAACTAGCTACACATCAGCATCTCTCCTTCTCTTGGAATTCAGGACTGTTAGAACTGTTTTCCAAACTGTAGCTGTCGTCTGTATAACTTCAAATCCAATGTGCAGAATAATTTAAAGCCATTACATGGGGATTACTGGGCCAGAAAATATGAAGAGAAATGTTTTCTATATCTGTGAATTGCCTGCCAAAACAGTGCTAACAATACTTTCAAAATTAATAATATTTAATAAGATATGTGTACTCTATGGTATTTTAAACTCAATGTAATAATTTACTCTTTTTATTTAAATTGCAGCTATTTATATTAAATAATATTATATAAACTAGAAAATGTATATTACTTAAATTTTTATCCTCAACACTGGGTAATGTCTAGCATTCTGTTTCCTATTATATAAAATTACTCAAACTTGTACTTATTTAGAACTGTGTACAAAGGATTGAAAAATTATCATTGCCAGGCTTCCTCTATTAGTATTGAAGAGAACATAAAAAGCATACAGAAGCCTTCATCACCAGCTGTTCATTTAAACAATAACCTCCACGTAGCCACATATCCTGTGTGGATGAAAATGTGCTTTTCATAAGAGGAAATGCTAGTCTCCTGTTCCCCTCTCCCCTCAGACATCTTCTTTCCAAATATCTTACCAGTGCAGGGGAATTGAAAACAAAACAAAACACAAAAACCTTCTTCTGAACCAATGTCTAGAAAGTTTAAAGTCTGTTTTATCAGAGACTAGGATTGCAACCCCTGCTTTTTATTGTTTTCCATTTGCTTGGTAGATCTTCCTCCATCCCTTTATTTTGAGCCTTTGTGTGTCTCTGCACGTGAGATGGGTCTCCTGATACGGTTACTCTCTGCTGTTATTTGTCTTAAGCTGTGAATGAATCTTACACCGTTAATAGCAATAAAATTTCTTATCTAGAGGACAGAATTAGTTTAAGTAATTTAAAACTCAGATTTTTCTCTTTATAAAATGCAGTTACCTGCAATTCATGATAGGCTATTTATGTATCATTGTTGCTCAAACAGTGGATATTTAGTGAGTGCATCTTGTATATCATGCCTTGTATTGAAATAATACGTCATATGAAGTGAGGTTTACACAAGGCCTTAGAGTTAATCTCATTTAGTTTTTTAATATAACAAAAGGAAAACATCATATCACAGACAATCTTTGTCTTTAAGCTTACTGGGTACATTTCAGCAGGCTGCTGGGATGGGAAACAGCTAGAATTTGAATGAAGTAATAGCAGGGCAAGCTGTAGGACTTCCCTTGAGAAAATTAAACAGATTGGCCATTGAAAGTTACTTTCATCCTCTTGTTGATACAGAAAGAGGCCCATGGTCATGGCTAGGATGAGAAAGCAGCATTTCTTTTTTCCCCAACTTTTATTTTAAGTTCAGGGGTACACGTGCAGGATGTGCAGGTTTGTTACATAGGTAAACATATGCCTTGGTGGTTTGGTACACAGATCATCCCATCACCTAGGTATTAAGCTCAGCATCCTTAGTTGTTCTTCCTGACACTCTCCCTCCTCCCACCTCCCACCCTCCTACAGGCCCCAGTGTGTGTTATTTCTTGATAATGACAGTACTTGAGCACTGTGTGGCAGCATTGTGATTCTATATAAGTAATACTCTCTGGGAACAGGGCACTCATCAGGGGCTGCGAACCTGGGGAGAAGGATCATGGCAAGGTCATGGGGATCAGAAATAAAGATAGAAGAAACTCCAGTAAAATTCCCTAAAGTAGTTGACATCTGAATAAAGGACATGGAGTGGAGTTTACATGACATCCCCATAAAGGTAAGAATGAGGAGGAAATGGGGCTTGGTGAACATCTAGAATCCAGGGCCGACTGGAGACTCTCTGTGAGACTCTCTGTATATCTGACTTTCTTAATTCCAGTCAGAAATTATTGGTAGGAATAAACCTACGAGAACTTAGGTGGGCTGATTTTGTAGCACAAACTATCAGTATCTACAGATGATGCAGATGCAGCAAACCAATGAAACCCATAGAAAGAAAACAATTTCTCCAAGGTCATGAAGCAGGTCAGTGACTAATTTAGGGACAAATCCCAGATCTTTAAATTTTAGGATCATAATGATTAAACTATTAAACTAAATCTCTAGTCTTTTAATTGGGAGGATAGGGGAAAACACAAATGTTAGTTATGAAGGTAAGTCGAATGAAGAATCAGGTCACATTGTTCGTTCAGTAACACAGTAAAGAAAGAAAATATAGAAATTCCATGATAAACTGTTTCCATAGCTGTCTTCTGTCCACCCTGCTCTGCTTATCTCACATTTAGGGTAGAACAATCTAAAATGCAATAATGTCAGGTAGACTCATCCTATGTATTTGCCAAATGTTTGTTTCTCTCAGAAATCATTTTTTAAAGTACTTCTTTTGAAGCCTGATGCTCCTGAAAATTATTGTGGACAGTATCTTAGGAAGATTAAAACAATAGAAAGGGCATTTATGTGAATATAAATAATAAACTATGTGCAGTTTTACAAGCCAGGCTAAAATTACAAGGGTCATCAATCCTTGTGTTTCAAAGCATAAAATGATAACCAGCTGGAGTTAGGAAAAAATTTTCCCCTGAGGTGTAATATTGAACAATTGGACAGGTGCTTTATAAAAGGTAATTTTTTTTCTGGCCTTCCACTGAAGCACCTAGTTTAGGTCTTTATAAAATGCCAGTCTAACGGGCCATTGATCTTTTCAGCAAATGCAATTTGCTGGAATCTCGCTTTTCCAGAAGTAATCAATAAGAATCTTAAACCCATGTTGAAAAAAATAAAACCATACAAGTGATTTACTAGAAAACCATTTAGAAAAGAGATAGGCAATATTGAAACTTAATGATCCTATAGTCACCAAAAAACAATAAAAGAATGATCATGTTATATATGAAAGTGCATTTATAGTGATAACATTGGAAACATTTATACCTCTATGTACAACATCATTCACGGAAGAAATGAGTTTACTTAGACTTACAGGTGTGGAAATGTGCCTGTATGAAAATTCCAGCATGTTTGATATAACTCACACCTATTTGAAATGAAAACAAAACAGCTTTTGAGTTTACTATTTAGAATCATTCTGAGTTCTTGTCTCTTCTTACATTCACATTTGATTATGAACAGAGTTTGAATGTAGTTTCCAGGCTTTCTAGATTCTGTTTTAAACAACTCTTAAAAGTTTTCATTATGCAGTTGAAGAGAGTAGATAAATTTGTTTGACTGAGTGCATCTTTAGTATATGTTTCAGTGTACCTTCTGTGCTTCCTGAAATACAGCAGGGGGATTTTTCTTGAAACCAGATAATGCTGTATTAGTTAAGGCCTTTGCATGTCCTAATGCTCTGTTCAGCCTGCCAAAAAAGTCAGTGATACAGTGAACATTCAGACTGAAACATCCTGGCTTCCTCTCAGCATCATGGAAAACCTTGAAGTAAGCTGTGACCATCTTATCCAGGACCCATGCAGGCTGGAGAGGGCAGAACCATGTTAGAGAGTGCAGATGCTCCACAACCTCCAAGTGAGGCTTCAGGGAAGTCTGGTCAGCAATAATCTGTTCATTCATTTACAATATTTCCCAATATTTACAACTGTATAATTAAAAATCAACCTGGGACCTTCTTTTTCCATTCTAACTTGTTTCCTCAAAGCTGGACTCTGCTTCTGATTTAATTCCCTCAAATGGCTTCTAAAGTCCAGTGGGGGCAGTATCTATATCCTGAAGGACAGAAAGAGCTGCCTAGCCCTACACTTGCTCGTCTGTCTTCTATCCTGCCCTCTCTTGACAGACACCTTAAAGGCTGCCACTTGCAAATTAAACATACATTTCCCAGATGCATCTTGGGTTTTTGACAAAATTAAAGCAATCCCAATTTTGTAGTTAAATTTTGCCCTTCAGCCTTTTGTAGTTTTTTCAAGTTCACCTGTTTTCCCATTGCAGCATGCTGTTTTTCTGGGGTGCAATGTTCATGGCAAGAGGTGTGAAAAATATTTGCAGAGCAGGCTTAGAGGGAAGCTGCGATTGTTTAGACAGCTACCTTATCTTGGTTTGAGAGGTAATTTAATTTCTGCAATTGATAGGGGATACAAGTTTGGAGCAGAATAGGGAATCTGGATAATTTTTCAAATCTCCCATTTCAAATTTTTACATGGTGAATTTTTAAAGTATGCTCATATTCCAATAATCACAGCTCACTGATAGAGGACAAATATAAGTTCATCAAAACTTTACAAGGCTGGATATAAATCCTATTGTTTAGAAATATACACTAGCATTGGTTACCTACATTAGTACAAATAGTATATAATGTATCATAAATAAATTATGTTCCATCTGGGTAGTGATGAGAGATTTATGTTATGTAATATATATTCTGTCACTGACAACACTGCTATGAGTATTTAAATGTGATGTTTAGTGGGTATATATTTACAGGTAACTAATATGGTCTATCCTCTCAACCCAGACAGTGTCTCATATCTTTAATTGTGTATGGGCCACTTCTGCTTGGAGGTACGGCTCTCGTACAAAACTTCCCACCTTCAATGATAAACTCTTGATCTTTATCCCGGACCAATATTCCCTTCAGTTAGTGTTTCACCTTTTTCTGAGTCACTTGACCTGAGGTCCACGAATTCATCTGTGATTCACTATTTCTCATTTTCCTTTGTTTCATATTTGTACCCTCAACACCCAAATTCATGTAATCATGACCCATTCATGGAACATTGTGATGCTCTTCTAATTGATGATAACACATGGTGCTGTAAAAATAATTCTCCTAAAGTATGTTTTTTTGATCCTATTGGAAACAAATGAACACACATATATAAACATGTTCCAAAATAATAGGTATTGAATGATTAGTAGTGTGTGTAGAAAATTTAAACCTAAAAATAACCAAATAAATACAATTAAATATCAAGATTAATTTTCTTACCTTCCAATGGTATAAAAATTTAAGAAAAACTATAATGCACTAGATTGGCAAATATGGAGGGATTTGAGTCTTACACGCTGTTGATGGATGTCTACATTTGTGATTTTGTTTTGTTTTGATTTGTGTGTGCAATTATAAATTTTTAAAACTCTTCCGAGAAGTATTTTTTAAAAATATTCCTTTGATTCTCAAATATTGTATTTCTAAAATGTGTTATATTGATAAAAATAAGAGCTGTATTTATAAGAGAGCTTATTTTAGCATTGTTTAAAATTTTTGAAAAATCTAAAACAACCAACAGTCCACCAGTAGAAACTTGATTAATATTATTATGAGGCCAGGCGCGGTGGCTCACACCTGTAATCCCAGCACTTTGGGAGGCCAAGGCAGGCAGATCATGAGGTCAGGAGATCGAGACCATCTTGGCTAACACGGTGAAACCCCATCTCTACTAAAAATACAAAAAATTAGCCGGGCGTGGTGGCGGGTGCCTGTAGTCTCAGTTACTCCGGAGGCTGAGGCAGGAGAATGGCGTGAACCCAGGAAGTAGAGCTTGCAGTGAGCAGAGATCATGCCACTGTACTCCAGCCTGGGTGACAGAGTGAGACTCCAAGTCAAAAAAAAATATATATATGTATATATTATGATATATACTTGTAGCAATATAAAGCCATTAAATTTTTTTTCTGTAGGAAAATATCACACAGATGGCTAATTATATGCCATATAAAGCCATTAAGGAAGAAAGGATGGCAAATGCTCCTTTTAGTGAGACTTCTTTGTTATGAGATCTGGGTATAAAAATGTGCAGGTGTGTAAACAGAGGAAGGAGAATTCTGATTAAGTCCCTCAAGAATTGAAGAAAATGGGGTGAGAGACAGAGAACACTGTGAGCTAGGAAAGCTCAAGGAGTAAACCTAACAAGAAAGTTTAAGCAATGGCTACTTTTATACAGTTTATTTTAGTAAGTGCAAATACTTAAAATGAAGTTATTTATAAAGTTTATTTGAGTTGTTTTCTGATAATTAAATAGCATGAGAAATGGGAGGAATTTGAGATATTGCAGTTAGAAAGGGAGCAGTGCACCAAACTTATTCTTAACTTAAAAGTTCATACTCTTACCTAAGGTAAGTCCTAATGTGACACCAACTTAAAGCTGAATTAGACAGGAATATTGCAATGAATAAGCAATGACTATTCACAATCTACTCAGCATAAAACAGGTTCATTAAGAAAGGTTCTGCAATAACACTCTATGTAAGAGTTTATGGAAACAATTAATAGAATAAAATTGATGTAACATTTTATGTACTACTGCATTTTACATATTCTAAGGCAACGAGAAGGCTTTAATACATGAAAATCATCAATATTTTACAATGAAAACAATATCTAAAGTTACTCTTATTACCACAGAATACAAACAAAATAAGTTACTTTAATTGGCCATTACATCTTCATTATTGGAATTATCTAGTATTAACAAAATATTTCATTTTGGAATGTTTATGTAGCTATTACAGGGAGTAGTGCTATTTAAAAATAAACACCTGTTTCTTGTCTTCCCTATAAAATCTTCTAGCTCAGCAATTTAAAATAAGCTGATGTTGCTTTTTCAGTATCATTTGCAATTTTCTGCATGAATTCTTAACAATTTCAAAAACAATGTACTATGTGTGGGGTTGTAGGAATTGAAAAAATTTTCTCCTATATTCTCATATCAATTTGAGCAGATAAATTTATTTTTTAGACGATTTGCTTCCAAAGAGATTGCTATTCTCTTTTTTGTTTCTTATGGCTCATACATACACCTATAAGATATTAAAAATAATTTAAAAGAACTCTAGATTTTGAATTCTAGATTTTGAATTGTTTAAAACTTAATAAGAGAATAGACATGTATTATCACAGTATTTCTTCTATGTCATATTTAGAATAAAAGATATTTGTTGCTTCTTACATGTCATATGTACCTGAACTGTTTCTTGTCACACATATCTAATCTAGCTTAGCTTTATTGATTCCTATAAGACTACATTATCATAATTCCCTATCAGAAATTATGAAGCCATGATTAGTGTTATTTACTTAGTAGTTTATAATAACAATATCTTTTAGTGTTTATAAGTTTTTAACAGCATTGTTTTGTTATATTCCCACCCAAACTTTGGAAATTGGTATTTTATACTCTCATATAAAGAAAATGAGGAGCAGAGAGCTAAGGTGACATACCCAAGGTCACAAAAACAAGTAAATAATAGAGCACAAATTTGAAATTAAGACTTGGAGACTCAGGTTCAACACTTTTCCATTATTTAATTTCTGTGACTTTATTAATGATGTTATAATTACTCATTTATGATGTTAAAATTACACATTCATGTAGCCAATGACATGCTTTATTTTTATTTTACTATATCTAAAACTTTCAAATTAACTATTCATGTAACTAACCAAATATATTTATTCCACCTTATCATGGTTTTAAAAGGCATAATACCTATCAAAATAGCTAAAATAAAAATATAGTGATAATATCAAATGTTGGTGAAGATGAAAAAAGCTGATCATGCTCATGGTTTACCACTGGAAATTTAAAACGATATAACCACTGCCGATGACAGTTCAGTAGTTACTTGTAATACTAAATATGCACTTACCATATGATGTAGAAATAGCACACTTGGGCATTTATTTCAGAGAAATGAAAACTTATTTTTATACAAAATCTGTGCATGAATATTCATAGCAGATTTATTTGTAATACCTCCTGAACTGAAAATGATCCAAATGTCCTTCTAAATGTGAATGATTAAGCAAATTGTGATATATCTGTATCATGAAATACTACTGAGCATTACAAAGAATAAACTTGATACATACAACAGCCAGGATGGAATCTCTTAAGAATTATATTGAATAAAAAAGCCAGTCCCAAAATATTGGAAATGGGTGTGTGAATATAAAAGAGCAGCATGTTGGAAACTTGTGGTGATGGAATAGTTTTGTGCCTTGTTTGTGGTGGTTATGATACAAGTCAACACAGATGATAAAAATGCATAGAACAGATGCCAACATAAATGAGTGCATCTAAAACAGAGGTTTACATAAACTCTGTGGATTATACCAATTTCAACTTTCTGGTTTTGAAATTACATTGTAGTTATATGCAAAATTACCACTGGGGGAAACTAGGTGAAGAGTACACAAGTCCACTCCTTACATTATTTTGTAACTTCCTATGAATCTATAACTACTTAAAACCTTTAAATTTTTTTTTTTTTTTTTTTTGAGACGGAGTCTTGCTCTGTCACCCAGGCTGGAGTGCAGTGGCATGATCTCAGGTCATTGCAAGTACTGCCTCCCGGGTTCACGCCATTCTCCTGCCTCAGCCTCCCAAGTAGCGGGGACTACAGGTGCCCACCACCGCACCTGGCTAATTTTTTGTATTTTTGGTAGAGACGGGGTTTCACCATGTTAGCCAGGATGGTCTCAATCTCCTGACCTTGTGATCCGCCCACCTTGGCCTCCCAAAGTGCTGGGATTATAGGTGTGAGCCACCGCACCCGGCCAAAACCTTTAAATATTTAAAGTAAATGATGAGTGAAATCACAAATGTTTTCCATAAACCTTTTCTACTGGGTATGGCTGAAGACTTGGGGATATAAAAATTTATTAATTGATGATATCACTAAAATTACTAGCTTAAAGAAGACATACACTATATTGCTTGTTGCCTGTCAGAGCTACTTGAAAAAAAAAAAAACAATAAAACAAACAAATAAAAAAACCTTGCCTATGTTATGTCATTTTGCCAGTCACTTTCTAGGTGAGAGTAAAAAGACATTTTGACTATATCTCTGCAGTATTTGCTTCTTCATCTAGACATAAGCTTTGATATATACATGTAGCTTCTTGGAAGATGGGAAGTCAAATCAATATTTTATCAATTTTTTTGTTATACTTTAACTTTTAGGGTACATGTGCACAATGTGCAGGTTAGTTACATATGTATACATGTGCCATGCTGGTGTGCTGCATCCATTAACTTGTCATTTAGCATTAGGTATATCTCCTAATGCTATCCCTCCCCCCTCCCCCCATCCCACAGCAGTCCCCAGAGTGTGATGATCCCCTTCCTGTGTCCATGTATTCTCATTGTTCAATTCCCATCTATGAGTGAGAACATGCAGTGTTTGGTTTTTTCTCCTTGTGATAGTTTACTGAGAATGATGATTTCCAGTTTCATCCATGTCCCTACAAAGGACATGAACTCATCATTTTTTATGGCTGCATAGTATTCCATGGTGTATATGTGCCACATTTTCTTAATCCAGTCTATCATTGTTGGACATTTGGGTTGGTTCCAAGTCTTTGCTATTGTGAATAGTGTTGCAATAAACATATGTGTGCATGTGTCTTTATAGCAGCATGATTTATATTCCTTTGGGTATATACCCAGTAATGGGATGGCTGGGTCAAATGGTTTTTCTAGTTCTAGATCCCTGAGGAATCGCCACACTGACTTCCACAATGGTTGAACTAGCTTACAGTCCCACCAACAGTGTAAAAGTGTTCCTATTTCTCCACATCCTCTCCAGCACCTGTTGTTTCCTGACTTTTTAATGATTGCCATTCTAACAGATGTCAGATGGTATCTCACTGTGGTTTTGATTTGCATTTCTCTGATGGCCAGTGATGATGAGCATTTTTTCATGTGTCTTTTGGCTGCATAAATGTCTTCTTCTGAGAAGTGTCTGTTCATATCCTTTGCCCACTTTTGGATGGGGTTGTTTGTTTTTCTCTTGTAAATTTGTTTGAGTTCATTGTAGATTCTGGATATTAGCCCTTTGTCAGATGAGTAGGTTGCAAAAATTTTCTCCCATTCTGTAGGTTGCCTGTTCACTCTGATGGTAGTTTCTTTTGCTGTGCAGAAGCTCTTTAGTTTAATTAGATCCCATTGTCAATTTTGGCTTTTGTTGCCATTGCTTTTGGTGTTTTAGACATGAAGTCCTTGCCCATGCCTATGTCCTGAATGGTAATGCCTAGGTGTTCTTCTAGGGTTTTTATGGTTTTAGGTCTAATGTTTAAGTCTTTAATCCATCTTGAATTAATTTTTGTATAAGGTGTAAGGAGGGGATCCAGTTTCAGCTTTCTACATATGGCTAGCCAGTTTTCCCAGCACCATTTATTAAATAGGGAATCCTTTCCCCATTGCTTGTTTTTCTCAGGTTTGTCAAAGATCAGATAGTTGTAGATATGCGGCATTATTTCTGAGGGCTCTGTTCTGTTCCATTGATCTATATCTCTGTTTTGGTACCAGTACCATGCTGTTTTGGTTACTGTAGCCTTGTAGTATAGTTTGAAGTCAGGTAGCGTGATGCCTCCAGCTTTGTTCTTTTGGCTCAGGATTGACTTGGCGATGGGGGCTCTTTTTTGGTTCCATATGAACTTTAAAGTAGTTTTTTCCAATTTGTGAAGAAAGTCATTGGTAGCTTGATGGCGATGGCATTGAATGTGTAAATTACCTTGGGCAGTATGGCCATTTTCACGATATTGATTCTTCCTACCCATGAGCATGTAATGTTCTTCCATTTGTTTGTATCCTCTTTTATTTTACTGAGCAGTGGTTTGTAGTCCTCCTTGAAGAGGTCCTTCACATCCCTTGTAAGTTGGATTCCTAGGTATTTTATTCTCTTTGAAGCAATTGTGAATGGGAGTTCACTCATGATTTGGCTCTCTGTTTGTCTGTTGTTGGTGTATAAGAATGCTTGTGATTTTTGTACATTGATTTTGTATCCTGAGACTTTGCTGAAGTTGCTTATCAGCTGAAGGAGATTTTGGGCTGGGACAATGGGGTTTTCTAGATATACAATCATGTCGTCTGCAAACAGGGACAATTTGACTTCCTCTTTTCCTAATTGAATACCCTTTATTTCCTTCTCCTGCCTAATTGCCCTGGCTAGAACTTCCAACACTATGTTGAATAGGAGTGGTTAGCGAGGGCATCCCTGTCTTGTGCCAGTTTTCAAAGGGAATGCTTCCAGTTTTTCCCCATTCAGTATGATATTGGCTGTGGGTTTGTCATAGATAGCTCTTATTATTTTGAGATATGTCCCATCAATACCTAGTTTATTGAGAGTTTTTAGCATGAAGCATTGTTGAATTTTGTCAAAGGCCTTTTCTATATCTATTGAGAGAATCATGTGGTTTTTGTCTTTGGTTCTGTTTATATGCTGGATTACATTTATTGATTTGCATATATTGAACCAGCCTTGCATCCCAGGGATGAAGCCCACTTGATCATGGTGGATCAGCTTTTTGATGTGCTGCTGGATTCGGTTTGCCAGTATTTTATTGAGGATTTTTGCATCAATGTTCATCAAGGATATTGGTCTAAAATTCTGTTTTTTGGTTGTGTCTCTGCCAGGCTTTGGTATCAGGATGATGCTGGCCTCATAAAATGAGTTAGGGAGGATTCCCTCTTTTTCTATTGATTGGAATAGTTTCAGAAGGAATGGTACCAGTTCCTCCTTATACCTCTGGTAGAATTCAGCTGTGAATCCATCTGGTCCTGGACTCTTTTTGGTTGGTAAGCTATTGATTATTGCCACAATATCAGATCCTGTTATTGGTCTATTCAGAGATTCAACTTCTTCCTGGTTTAGTCTTGGGAGAGAGTGTATGTGTCGAGGAATTTATCCATTTCTTCTAGATTTTCTAGTTTATTTGCATAGAGGTGTTTATAGTATTCTCTGATGGTAGTTTGTATTTCTGTGGGATCGGTGGTGATATCCCCTTTATCATTTTTTATTGTGTCTATTTGATTCTTCTCTCTTTTTTTCTTTATTAGTCTTGCTAGCAGTCTATCAATTTTGTTGATACTTTCAAAAAACCAGCTCCTGGATTCATTAATTTTTGAAGGGTTTTTTGTGTCTCTATTTCCTTCCGTTCTGCTCTGATTTTAGTTATTTCTTGCCTTCTGCTAGCTTTTGAATGTGTTTGCTCTTGCTTTTCTAGTTCTTTTAATTGTGATGTAAGGGTGTCAATTTTGGATCTTTCCTTCTTTCTCTTGTGGGCATTTAGTGCTATAAATTTCCCTCTACACACTGCTTTGAATGTGTCCCAGAGATTCTGGTATGTTGTGTCTTTGTTCTCATTGGTTTCAAAGAACATCTTTATTTCTGCCTTCATTTTGTTATGTACCCAGTAGTCATTCAGGAGCAGGTTGTTCAGTTTCCATGTAGTTGAGTGGTTTTCAGTGAGTTTCTTAATCCTGAGTTCTAGTTTGATTGTACTGTGGTCTGAGAGACAGTTTGTTATAATTTCTGTTCTTTTACATTTGCTGAGGAGAGCTTTACTTCCAAATATGTGGTCAATTTTGGACTAGGTGTGTTGTGGTGCTGAAAAAATGTATATTCTGTTGATTTGGGGCAGAGAGTTCTGTAGATGTCTATTAGGTCTGCTTGGTACAGAGCTGAGTTCAATTCCTGGGTATCCTTGTTAACTTTCTGTCTCGTTGATCTGTCTAATGTTGACAGTGGGGGGTTAAAGTCTCCCATGCTTATTGTGCGGTAGTCTAAGTCTCTTTGTAGGTCACTCAGGACTTGCTTTATGAATCTGGGTGCTCCTGTATTGGGTGCATATATATTTAGGATAGTTAGCTCTTCTTGTTGAATTGATCCCTTTACCATTATGTAATGGCCTTCTTCGTCTCTTTTGATCTTTGTTGGTTTAAAGTCTGTTTTATCAGAGACTAGGATTGCAACCCCTGCCTTTTTTTGTTTTCCATTTGCTTGGTAGATCTTCCTCCGTCCTTTTATTTTGAGCCTATGTGTGTCTCTGCACGTGAGATGGGTTTCCTGAATACAGCACACTGCTGGGTCTTGACTCTTTATCCAATTTGCCAGTCTGTGTCTTTTAATTGGAGCATTTAGTCCATTTACATTTAAAGTTAATATTGTTATGTGTGAATTTGATCCTGTCATTATGATGTTAGCTGGTTATTTTGCTCGTTAGTTGATGCAGTTTCTTCCTAGACTCGAAAGTCTTTACATTTTGGCATGAGTTTGCTGTGGCTGGTACCGGTTGTTCCTTTCCATGTTTAGTGCTTCCTTCAGGAGATCTTTTAGGGCAGGCCTGGTGGTGACAAAATCTCTCAGTATTTGCTTGTCTGTAAAAGATTTTATTTCTCCTTCACTTATGAAGCTTAGTTTGGCTGGATATGAAATTCTGGGTTGAAAATTCTTTCCTTTAAGAATGTTGAATATTGGCCCCCACTCTCTTCTGGCTTGTAGAGTTTCTGCTGAGGGATCCGCTGTTAGTCTGATGGGCTTCCCTTTGTGGGTAAGCCGACCTTTCTCTCTGGCTGCCCTTAACATTTTTTCCTTCATTTCAACTTTGGTGAATCTGACAGTTATGTGTCTTGGAGTTGCTCTTCTGGAGGATTATCTTTGTGGCGTTCTCTGTATTTCCTGAATTTGAATGTTGGCCTGCCTTGCTAGATTGGGGAAGTTCTCCTGGATAATATCCTGCAGAGTGTTTTCCAACTTGGTTCCATTCTCCCTGTCACTTTCAGGTACACCAGTCAGACGTAGATTTGGTCTTTTCACATAGTCCCATATTTCTTGGAGGCTTTGTTAGTTTATTTTTATTCTTTTTTCTCCAAACTTCCCTTCTCACTTCATTTCATTCATTTCACCTTCCATCACTGATACCCTTTCTTGCAGTTGATCGCATCAGCTCCAGAGGCTTCTGCATTCTTCACGTAGTTCTCGAGCCTTGGCTTTCAGCTCCATCAGCTCCTTTAAGCACTTCTCTGTATTGGTTATTCTAGCTATACATTTGTCTAAATTTTTTTCAAAGTTTTCAACTTCTTTGCCTTTGGTTTGAATTTCCTCCTGTAGCTCAGAGTAGTTTGATCATCTGAAGCCTTCTTCTCTCAACTCGTCAAAGTCATTCTTTGTCCAGCTTTGTTCCGTTGCTGGTGAGGAACTGCGTTCCTTTGGAGGAGGAGAGGTGCTCTGGTTTTTAGAGTTTCCAGTTTTTCTGCTCTGTTTTTTCCCCATCTTTGTGGTTTTATCTACTTTTGGTCTTTGATGATGGTGTGATGTACAGATGGGTTTTTGGTGTGGATGTCCTTTATGTCTGTTAGTTTTCCGTCTAACAGACAGGACCCTCAGCTGCAGGTCTGTTGGAGTTTGCTAGAGGTCCACTCCAGACGCTGTTTGCCTGGGTGTCAGCAGCGGTGTCTGCAGAACAGCAGATTTTCGTGAACTGCGAATGTTGCTGTCTGATACTTCCTCTGGAAGTTTTGTCTCAGAGGAGTGCCCGGCCGTGTGAGGTGTCAGTCTGCCCATACTGGGGGGTGCCTCCCAGTTAGGCTGCTTGGGGGTCACGTGTCAGGGACCCACTTGAGGAGGCAGTCTGCCTGTTCTCAGATCTCCAGCTGCATGCTGGGAGAACCACTGGTCTCTTCAAAGCTGTCAGACAGGGACATTTAAGTCTGCAGAGGTTACTGCTGTCTTTTTGTTTGTCTGTGCCCTGCCTCCAGAGGTGGAGCCTACAGAGGCAGGCAGGCCTCCTTGAGCTGTGATGGGCTCCACCCAGTTCGAGCTTCCTGGCTGCTTTGTTTACCTAAGCAAGCCTGGGCAGTGGCAGATGCCCCTCCCCCAGCCTCGCTGCTGCCTTGCAGTTTGATCTCAGACTGCTGTGCTAGCAATCAGCGAGACTCCGTGGGTGTAGGACCCTCCAAGCCATGTGTGGGATATAATCTCCTGGTGTGCCGTTTCCTAAGCCCGTCGGAAAAGCACACTATTCGGGTGGGAGTGACCCGATTTTCCAGGTGCCGTCTGTCACCCCTTTTCTTGACCAGGAAAGGGAACTCCCTGACCCCTGGCACTTCCCGAGTGAGGCAATGCCTCACCCTGCTTCAGCTCGTGCACGGTGCACTGCACCCATTGTCCTGTGCCCACTGTCTGGCACTCCCTAGTGAGATGAACCCAGTACCTCCAATGGAAATGCAGAAATCACCCATCTTCCGCATCACTCACGCTGGGAGCTGTAGACCGGAGCTCTTCCTATTCGGCCATCTTGGCTCCTCCCTTATCAATTTTTTAAGAAGTAAATTTTAAAATTTCTTGACCCCCAAAAAAGAAATGAAAATACATCATTCCACAATCTATCCAATGCAGCAAAAGCAGTATTAAACAGAAATTTTTTAACAGCAAATGTATACAAAAAATGTAGAAAGACTTCAAATCAACAACCTAATGGTATATCTCAAACAAGAAAAAATCAAAACCAAAATTAGTTGAAGGAAAGAAATGGGAAATATCAGAGCAGAAAATAAATGAAATTGAGACTAAAAAAATACAGAATATCAACAAAACAGAAAATTTTTTGCTTGAAAACAAACAAAACCAATAAACCTTTAGCTATAATAAGAACAAAAGAGAGAAGACAACAATAAATTAAAATGAAAAATGAGGCAAAACAACTGAGGTTACAAAAGTATAATAGAAAGAATTATTAGAGGCTATCATGGAAAACTATAGGCCAACAATTTGTGAAACTTATAAGATTAAAAAATTCCTGTAAACATACAACATATGAAGACTGAACCAACTAATAATTAGTAACAACATTGAAATTGTAATAAGTTTATCATTAAGGAAAAGCTTAAGGCCTGATATCTTCACTGTTGAATTCTACCAAACATTTAAAGAAGACTGATACCTACTCAACTCAAAAATTTCAAAAAATTGAAGAGGGGAGAATACTTCCATATTAATTCTATCAGGCCAATATTACCATAATGCCAAAATTACAAGAAGAAGAAAAAACTATAGGCCAATATCAGTGAGGAACATAGATGCAAAAATCCTAAAGAAAATGTTAGCAAACTAAATTAAACATGTTAAAAAGACCACTCACCATGATCAAGTTGGATTCATCTCAGATATGTAAATATGGATTAACATATGCAAATGAATAAAATGATATGTAACATTAATATAATCAGCAATTATAAATCATATTATAGTTGTAATAGATGCTAAAAAAGCATTTGATATAATTCAGCATTTACTTATGATGAAAACTCTCAAGATACTGGTTATAAAAAGGACATACATAAAAATAGTAAAGGTCGTATATGACAAACTCACAGGTAATACAGTAAATGGGGAAAATTGAAAGCCCTTTCTCTAAGACCTGGAAAAGTAAAAAGATGCCCAATTTCACCACTTTTATTTAACATAATTTTGAGAGTCCCGGCCAAAGAAATTAGGCAAGAGAAATTAATAAAGGATATCCACATTGGAAAAGAAGAAGTCAAATTAGTTTGTTCACAGATATCATAATTTTATACTTAAAAAAAATCTAAAGAATCCATCAAAAATACTATTATAACTGATAAATAAATTCAGTAAAGTTGCAGGATCCAAAATCAACACATGAAAAGCAATAACATTTATATACTCCAACAGTGAACAATCTGAAAAAGAAACCAAAAACGCAATCCCATTTACAATAGCTACAAAAATTATAAAATATCTAAAAAGAAATGTAGTTGAAGAAATAGATCTATACAAGGAATACTATAAAATCCTGCTAAAAGGAATTGAAGAAGACACATGGAAAATGAAAAGACATTTCATGATATTGTATTGGAAGAATTAATATTGCTAAAATGATAACAACATAAAATACACTACAAATTCAGTGCAATCCCTATCAATAGCAATGACAATCTTCACAGAAATAGAAAAATATCCTAAAATTTATGTGCAATCACGAAAGACAGTGAATAGCCAAAGCGCTTTTGAGCAAAAGCAACAAAGTTGGATTGGGGCAGAGCAAGATGACAGAATCATTCCCCCTACAAGAACACCAGTTTAACAACTGTCTATACAAAATAAACACTTTCATAAGAACCAAAAATCAGGTGAGTACTCTCACTCACAGCACCTGAGTGTAACTTCATATTGCTGAAAGAGACCCTGAAGAGGTAAGAAAATCAGTCTTAAATTGCTGTCAGCACCCTTCCGCCACCCAGTGGCAGTGGCAGCATGATGTGGAGAGTGTTTCTGTTTGCTGAGGAGAGGGAAAGCACACAGCCATTGTGAGGCATTGAAGTCAGTTTCACCCTGTTACAGAAGAAAAGAAAACCGGACCAAACTCAGCTGATGCATACCCACAGAGGGTGTATTTAAACCAACACTAGCCAGAGGGGATTCACTGATAATAGCAAGCTGAACTTGAGTGCCCACAAGCCTTGCCACCATACACAAAAGTGCTCTGGGACCCCAAATAATCTTTAAAGGAAGTCTAGGCCACAAGGACTACAAGTCCTAGGCAAGTCCTATGGCTGAACTGGGTCCAAAGCCAGTGGACTGGGTGGGGGTTGGAGGGGGGCAGATACTGCCTACTGAGACAGCTGGGCAACTAAAGGAGTGCTGGTATCACCCCTGCCCTAACCCCAGGTTGTAAAGCTTGTGACTCTAAGAGAACCCTTTCCTCCACTTGAGGAGAGGTGGGAGAAAAGTGGGGAGGACTTAGTCTTGCATCTTGGATTACTAGCTCTGCTACAGGAGAATAGGGCACAATCAGAGTCATGAACCCACCTTTCCAGGCCCTAGCTTCTGAATGACACTTCTAGACACAAGCTGGGCCAGAAGGAAGCATGCTGCCTTGAAGGGAAATACCCAGTCCTGGCAGGATACATCACCTGCTAATTGAAGAGCTCTTGGGCCCTAAATAACAAGTAGCAATGCCCAGGTATTACCTCCAGTGTTTTGGGTGAGACACTGAGACTTGCTGGTTTCAGGTGAGACTCAGCACATTGCCAGCTCTGGTGGCTACAGGGCAAGACTCCTTCTATTTGAGAAAAGTGGGAAAAGTTAAGGAGACTCTGCCTTGAACCTTAGGTACCAGCTTGGCCACACAGAGATAGAGTGCCAAGTGGGCACTTGTGGTCCCCATTTGCAGGCATTGGCTCTGGGACTACAGATCTGGACCTGTCCTGGGCCAGAGGGTTGCCCATTGCCCTGAAGGATGAGTCCCAGGCCAGGCATCATTCAACACAAACTGACTGAAAAGCTGCTGGACTTTAAGGGAGCATTGGTAGTAGTCTGGGTAGACCCCATGGGCCTGTGGTAGTGATAGACACAGGATGAGGCTTCTCTGCCTTTGAAAAGGAGAGGGAAGAGTGAGAAGGACTGTGTCATGTAGTTTGAGTACCAGCTCAGCCACAGTCTGGTAGAACACCAGGAATAATTCTAAGTGTTTTACTCCAGTCTCTGACTCCTGGATGGCAACTCTGGACCTGCCCAGGGTCTGAAAAGACTTGCCACCCTAAAGAAAAGGACACAGGCTTGGCTGGCTTTGTCACCTGTTGATTGTGGTGCTCTAAGTCCTTGAGCAAACATAGGTTTTTACCAGGAAGTGGTTACAGCAGGCCTTGGGTGAGACCTAGTGTTGTGCTAGCTTCAGGTCTGAGCCAGTACAGTCCTAGTGCTGGTGGCCAAAGGGTGCTGGTGTCACTCCACCCTCAGCTTCAGGTAACTCAGAACAGAGAGAGAGAGACTCTGTTCATTTGAAAAGAAGAGAAGAGAACAAGATTCTCTACCTCATCATCCAGAGTATTCCTCCAGATCTTGTCCAAGACCATCAAGGTGGTGCCTCAATGAATCTGCAAAAACCACAGTGTTATGGGGCTTGGGGTACCCCCATAAGCAGATACAGCTTAGATCATAACACCCAAGTCATTTCAAATATCTGGAAAGCCTTCCCAAGAGGGATGGGTTAAAACAAGCCCAGACTGAGAAGACTAAAATAAATCCTAACTCTTCAATGCCCAGACACAAACAAACATATGCAAATATCAAGACCATCCAGGAAAACATGACCTTACCAAATGAACTAAATAAGGAATCAGGGAGCATTGTTGAGACAAATATATGTGACCTCTCAGACAAATAATTCAAAATAACTGTGTTGAGGAAAATAAATAAATTCAATATAACACAGAAAAGGAATTCAGAATTCTATCAGACAAATTTAAGAAAGAGATTGAAATGATTTTTTTAAAATGAAGCAGATATCCTGGAGCTGAAAAATGCAATTAGGATATTGAAGAATGCATCAGAGTCTCTTTAGAGCAGAACTGATCAGGCAGAAGAAAGAACTGGTGATATTGAAGACAGGCTATTTGAAAACACACAGAGGAGACCAAAAAGAAAAGAAAAAAAATGAAGCACACCTACAATATTTAGAAAACAGCCTCAAATGGCAAGCCTAAGTGTTAGTGGCCCTAGAGGAAGTAGAGAAAGAGATAGGAGTAGAAAGTTTATTTAAAAAGATGTAACAGAAAACTTCCAAAACCTAGAGAAAGATGCCAATATCCAAGTACAAGAAGGTTATAGAACACTTAGCAGATTTAAACCAAAGAAGACTACTTCAGGGCATGTAATAATCAAACTCCCAATGTCAAGGATAAAGAAAGGATCCTAAAAGCAGCAAGAGAAAAAAAAATAACAAAATGGAGCTCCAATATATCTGGCAGCAGACTTTATAATGGAAACCTTACAGGCTAGGAGAAATGACATATTTAAAGTGCCAAAGGAAAGAAACTTTTATCCTAGAATAGGATATCTAGAGAAAATATCCTTTAAGTACAGAGAACAACAGCTGAGGGATTTCATCAACACCACACTTGTCCTATAAGAAATGCTCAAGGGAATACTTAAATTAGAAAGATAATCAGTAAGATAACATCTGAAGGTACAAAACTCACAGGTAATAGTAAGCGCACAGAAAAATACATAATATTATAACACTGTAACAGCAGTATGTAAACTGCTAGTATCTTAAGTAGAAACACTAAACTATGAACCAATTAAGAATTGTAACTATAACAACCTTTTAAGACAGATAGTAGAGTAAATTATAAATAGAAACAACAATGTTAAGAAGTGGGAGGATGACATTAAGGCATAGAGTTTTCATTAGTTTACTTTTTGCTTGTTTGTTTATATAAACAGTGAGGTTTTTATCAGCTTAAAATAATAAATAAGGTTGTATTTGCAAGTGTCATGGTAACCTCAAACCAAAACAAAAACCAGATACATAAAAAATAAAAATCAAGAAATTAAAGCATACTACCAGAGAAAATCACCTTCAGCGAAAGGAAAACATGAAGAAAAGGAAGAAGAAAGAAAATACTACAAAAATAACCAGAAAACAAATAACAAAGTGGCAGGGGTAAGTTCTTATTTACCAATAATAACATTGGATGTAAATGGACTAAACTCTCCAATCAAAAGACATAGAGTGGCTGAATAGATTAAAAAAAAAAAAAAAAGACCAAATGATCTGTTGCCAACAAGAAACACATTTCACCTATAAAGACACACGTAGGATGAAAGAAAAAGTGATGGAAAAGGATATTCTGTGCCAATGGAAACCAAAAAAGAGCAGGAGTAGCTATATTTATATCAGACACAATAGTTTTCATGACAAAAACTATATAAAGAGAAAAAGAAGAGCAATATGTAATGATAAAAGCAGTACTAAATGGGAAGTTTATAGCTCTAAATGCCTACATTACAAATAATTAAAAACAGTCAAATAAATAATCTAAGGATACATCTGAAATAACTAAGTAAGCAGGGGCAGACCAACCCCAAAATTTTTAGGAGAAATAAAATAATAAAAGTCAGAGCAGAAATAAATTACAATTAAAATTAAGACAATATAAAAAATCAATGAAACGACAAGTTGGTTTCTTGAAGAGTTAAACAAAATTGACAAACTGTTAGCCAGACTAAGAAAAAAAGATCCAAATAAATAAAATCACAGATGAAAATGAAGACATTGCAGTGAACATGATAGAAATTCAAAGACTCATTACAAATTCCATGAGCAGTTGCCAATAAATTGGAAAATCTAGAAGAGATGAACAAATTCCTAACACATACAGCCTACCAAGATTGAACCATGAAGAAATCCAAAACCTGAACAGATAAATAACAAGTAATGAGATTAAAGCCATACTAAAATATCACCCAATAAATAAAAGCCTCCAATCCGATGGCTTCACTGCTGAATTTTACCAAACATATAATGAAGAAATAATATCAATCCTACTCAAACTATTCCATAAAATAACAGATGAGGGAATACTTCCAGACTCACACTATGAGGCCAGTATTACCCTGATAGCAAAAACAGATGGCACATTAAAAAAAAAACAATAAACAACAACAACAACAACAACAGCAAAACTGCAGGCCAGTATTTTTGATAAATATTGATGCAAATATTCTCAATGAAATACTACCAAACAAAATTCAACAATACATTAAGAAGATCATTCATCATGACCAAGAGGGATTTATCCAGGGATGCAAAGATGGTTCAACATACACAAATTAATCAATGTAAAACATCACATAAACAGAATAAAGGACAAAAATTCTATGATTGGCCAGATGCAGTGGCTCACACCTGTAATCCTAACACTTTGGGAGGCCAAGGTGGGCAGATCACTTGAGGTGAGAAGTTCCATACTAGCCTGGCCAACATGGTAAAATCCCGTTTCTACTAAAACTACAAAAAAAAAAAAAAAAAAAAAAAAACAAAGTTAGCCAGGCGTGGTAGCATGTGCCTGTAGTCCCAGATATTCACGAGTCTGAGGCAGAATAGCTTGAACCTGGGAGGTGGAGGTTGCAGTGAGCCGAGATTGAACCACTGCACTCCAGCCTGGGGGACAGAGTGAGACTCCATCTCAAAACTAAATAAATAATAATTTTATGATTATTTCACTTGATACTAAAAAAAAATTAATAAAATTTAACATCCCTTCATGACAAAAACCCTCAATAAACTGGGTATGGCAGGAAAATACCTCAACACCCAAAAAAAATAAATAAATAAAAAGCCATATACAATAGACCTGCACCTAGTATTATGCTGAACAGGGAAGAACTGAATGACTTTCATCTAAGATCTAGAGCACGACATGGTTGCCCCTTTCACCATTGATATTCAGCATATTACTGGATATCTTAGCTAGAGCAATCGAAAAAGATTTTTTAAAAAAGGACACACAAATTTGAAAAGAAGAAGTAAAACTATCCTTGTTTGCATATGACATAATCTTGTACTTACTAAAAGATAGTCTCTACAAAAAAATCTATAACTGATTAAAAAAACTGTAACAAATTTACTAAAGTTTCAGTATAGAAAATCAACATGCAAAAATCAGTAGCATTTCTGTATGCCAACAGTGGACAGTGTGAATGGAAATTAAGAAAGTAATCTCATTTATAATAGACACAAATATTATAAAATTAAATACCTAGAAATTAACCAAAGAAGTGAAAGACCTATGATATAGAAATCCATGTATTTACAACCATTTCATTTTTTAAAGGTAGCAATAACATAGAATGGGGAAAGACCAGTCTCTTCAATAGATATTGCTGGGAAAACTGCTAACTATACACAGAAAAAAGAAAATAGACTTCTATCTCTCGCCATATGAAAAATCAAATAAAAGTGAATTTGTCATAAATAATAACTGAAACTTTGAAACCTCCAGAAAAAAAAAATGGAGAAATGCTCCAGGACATGTGTCCTGGCATTTTTTTTTTTTTTTTTTTATCTAAGACCTCAGAAGCACAGGTAACCAAAGCAAAAATAGACAAATGGTATCACATCAAGCCAAAAAGCTTCTGCACAGCAAAGGAAACAATCAATAAAGTGAAGAGACAACACAAAAAATGGAAGAAAGTATCTGCAAACTATCTATCTGATAAAGCCTTAATAACCAGAAAATATAAGGAGCTCAAGCTATTAAATAGCAAATAAAAATCTGATTTAAAAATATGCAAAAGGTCTGAATAGGCATTTCTCAAAAAGTTGTATGAATGGCCAACAGGTATATGAAACAATGCCCAATAGTGAAGATAATCAGAGAAATAAAAAAAATCCTCAGTGAGTTACCATCTTATCCCAGTGAAAATGGCTTTTATCAACAACAACAAAAAATAATAATAATGAATGCTGGTGAGGATACGGGGAAAGGAGAACCCTCATATGCTGTTTGTGGAGATGTAAATTAGTACAGCCACTATGGAAAACATATGGAGGTTTGTCAAAGAACTAAAAATCAAACTATCCCACTGCTTGGTATATACCCCACAAAAGGAAATGTGTATATGAAAGAGATATCTGTACTCTCCTGTTTATACAATAAATTTTGAGAAACACGGAACTAACACACCTGTCAAATTACGAATAATAGGAGTTAATCGATATTACAAGTCTAAATCTTATTCTCTTAAGCACTGAGATTTCTGAAAATAAAGATGCAACTTATTAGGTTGGCGCAAAAGTAATTGCAGTTTTGCCACCGAAAATAATAGCAAGAACTGCAATTTTTTTGCACCAACCTAATAGAATGTCTGAATAGCACTCTTAAGTCCAATGTGCATTTGGAGGATTCAGACCAATCAGGTTATTTGACTACATGATCTCTAAGAAGCCTACAAATTCTGAGATGAAGAGATTATTTGTACGAGAACACGCTGATAATTAATGGTAGACCTGAGCAAGGAGCCCAGGCCTCCTGGATGTACGTCTAGTGCTCCCTTCACCCTACCTATCTTTTCTCTGTTAATCAGGTATACTGGAAAATAAAAACTGCTTGTTAAAAGTTGGTTATGACTGACACTTTCACATAAACTTCATATTTCTTACTTTTTATTACTTAACAGTAGTTTTGATGTTAAATAATCCATTATGTCCTCTGACTATAAACTCAACATAGTGAAACATTTATCCACAACCATCTATTATAAATGTGCAAAAATACACCATGCCATTCAGATTTTTCAGTTGCTTTCAGGTCACTGTGTAAATTACAATGATAGATTGAAATAGGTCATCCATTTCTTTATTCAGCATAAAGTATTATTATCAAAGGTCATTAGGCATCGCATTATTTCCAACACTGGTTTAGTATCCATAGTCATGTGTCTCACAAATTATGCTCTGCAGAACATTACATTTAAAAAATATTCTATAAAGGAAAGTTTCTCATTGCAATATATTCAGCAAATACTGCATATTCTGTATCTCTTCTTGATATTCAATATTAATAAAATTATAAGCTCTGAAAAGCCCTACAATGAAGAATCCCACTCTTCTATGCAGTTTTCCAAGCTTAATTGATCATACAACCTATTTTTCCTGTACAACATATTAACATCCAATATAAATGCTGTTGTATAGATGATAATTAGTTACACCTTTCTAGATTTGCTGGATAAATCTAACAATTGTTAAGATTCTGAATTACCATACATCCAGGGATCTTCCTGTCTGTCAAGTCACATTAGGATCTTAATTCCCTCTGCTACCCAGACAGGGTCTATTCCTGAGATTATCTTCAGTGTGTCGGTCAGTCCTGTTAATACTACACAGGGAATGAATTCATATATCATCAAGAAACTTCATACACCTGTCTCCTGCCACTGTTCATTTCCACTATATGCTCCAGTTATTCACTGACATTAATTGTAGTACTTCCAATTTTTTAGATCTCTACTTTACTGTTCTATAATCTCAGTGAGGATAGGGGTCCTTTCTCTTTAGTCATCACCATATTCTCAGAATCTATAATTGTATCTGGCACTAGAATGTATTTAATATGTATTTAGTGAATAACTGAATGAATGAATAAATGAAATAATGTATTGAATGACTAATAAGGGGCAAATTAGGGGCTTTCAATGTTTACACAGGAGATTGCAGCTGTGGGTTGCAGGGAGATTGTACCTTTCAAGTGCTTTCACTGTTTTTATCATGTATTTTGTAATTACTATTTGTAGTATCCTTAGACAAAGGAGGCTTAAATGTAAGAATTGTATCTCTTTAATTCTCTAACCCCATAATTCTTAATACAATATCTAAACATAATAATACTTAATTTCAAGAAAATAATATTCTATACTGCCAGTGCCTGCTCAACCAAGCAAAATACTATTTTAGGTATAATGTGCTAACTTTACCCAAACCAATAGCTGTGATTATTTCCAAAGATTTTCTTCAAATACGTTTATTAAGTGTACATATACAGTCCTAAATTAATAGGTAAATAAAATAATTTTTCAGATGGGAAAAGTCACATTAAAAGATAGGCATAAAACAGAACTGTTAAACAATGACTTAGGCCCTTTTTAAGAAAAATCAGTAAACACACCTCTAAATCTTGTTCAGGGCCTATTCAATTATTTGACATCGTTGTCATGCTGTATGCCCCAGAAGCAATTTACCCTGTAGCCTCTACCTCACCCAGACCAAATATTCAGCACCCCATGTGTTGACTGTTTACTATCCTATATTAGAATTAGAATTTCTATCCTACACTAGAATTCTTTTTCTTCAACTATTATGTTATACTATTAAGGTTAAATTAATATATGCTAAAGTGTTAATGGATATACTCTATTACTCTGATCAAACATTGTCAATTCAATGTACGGCAATAATATAAATGAGAAATCATGACTGAATATACAATTGTAGACATTGTAGTCAGTCTAATGCAGCCTCTGGATTTAAAATTTTGTGTGAATTGTTTGCTAGAATTTCACTATATCTACTGTACCAAACAAACTACTTGCTCTTAATAATTGTAAAATATGTTCAGGTGCATCTTCAAACACATCTAATGACCGTGTCCAATAATCTGCAGATTTTGGTAACAAAATTCAGCAAAGCCACATATCGTCAGTCATTAAAAGAATACAGAC
Source organism: Homo sapiens (assembly GCF_000001405.40). Classification (NCBI taxonomy): domain Eukaryota; kingdom Metazoa; phylum Chordata; class Mammalia; order Primates; family Hominidae; genus Homo; species Homo sapiens. The sequence continues at coordinate 35,123,728 of NC_000002.12, forward strand.
TATCCAGATGAGGTAATTGTCCCCCTACACCATATTTAAGACAATAAATGCAATTTCAGTGCTACAGTCCATATTATTTGAACTCCTACTATATTCAAGGAAATGTAATTAGTATGCAGGGAGTACAGTGATAACAGAATATAACCATTATCTTCAAGAAAATAAGTCTATACAGCTATTGTCTGTTCAACCAAGAAAAATACTATTTTAGGTACAATGTGCTAGCTCTACCAATGCCAACATTTTATACTTTGTGAATATTTCCAAATTGAAAATTTACATTTTTTAAACCCCTTTAACAAAATGGCCTTTCATACATGATCCCATGTATCTCATATGCTCAATGATGTATGATGCATTACATTAAATAAGAAACTTCTTTGATGTCACATTTTACATTTTAAATGCACATTTTTTGATACCTAAAGCATTGTCTTTATCAGTTGTTTTTTTTTTTTTTTTTTTTTTTTTTTTTTTTTTTTTCCTGAGGCTGAGTCTCTCTCTGTTGCCCAGGCTGGAGTGCAGTGGTGCAATCTCGGCTCACCGCAAGCTCTGCCTCCCAGATTCACGCCATTCTCCTGCCTCAGCCTCCCGAGTAGCTGGGACTACAGGCGCCCGCCACTGCACCCGGCTAATTTTTTGTATTCTTTTAGTAGAGATGGGGTTTCACCATGTTAGCCAGGATGGTCTTGATCTCCTGACCTTGTGATCCTCCCGCCTCGGCCTCCCAAAGTGCTGGGATTACAGGCGTGAGCCACCGTGCCCAGCCTTCAGTTTTTAATATATTAGCATAAAGCATATATATTATTTATTTCAGAGTATGCTAAAAGCATTTTATTAGATTAATTTTTTCTCTTTAGCTTTTCTTGGGTTTAATGAAGTATTTATATACCATTTTTTGTTTTCCTTTTTTTGTTAGTTCATAATGTATACAATCTATTTAATTATTGGAAATATTTCAGCGTTTGTGTCATACTTGATTTATAAAGGTTAAAATTACTTTTTACCTTTGTTATTCTCAGATAGTGTAAGGAACTAAAAAGGATGAAACATTGCTCACCGATATTTGCAATCAAATATCGGTGATCAGTGCCCACATGGTTTTCATAGTACGTAAGTTTTACCTCGTTTTACCTCATTTTACTCAACTCTCATGATTAGCCATCATTTTTTCTATCTTAAAAGTCAATGGAGGGCAGGGCCAAGATGGCCGACTAGAAACAGCAGGGTTCGAAGACTCCCACAAAAAAGAAACATAATAAGCGTGTGAATCCTTCACTGGCAACCAAAGTAACTAGTTCTCTCATCAAAATTGACTAGAAGGCTAGCATGACCCAGGGAGAGAAGGAAGAACAGTGTGGTGCAGCCGCCCACCTGAGAGCCACATGGAAAAGGGGAAGCCCCTCCCCGAAGCAAAGGGAGGCAGTGAGTAAGCATACTACCCAGCCAGGAAAACTGCTTTTTCCACGGAACTCTGTAACCCACGGATCAGAAGATCCCACACTCGAACCCACGCCACTGGGGCCTAGTGTCCCAACCCCGGAACATGCAGATTCTTACAGTCTCTCAGCTAGAATCTGCTTAAGCCTACCAGGGGGGAGGGGCAACCAGCACTGGCTGCGCCAGCCTGAGGCCTAAGCCTTTTGGTCTCCTTGGGGAAGGGGCAGCAGCCAGCACTGGGCCTCACAACTGCCTAACAGGCTAAGCTCCCTGAGCAGGGGAAGGGCGGCACCCATTTCTATGGCCCCAGGCTGCGCTTTTCCCCTGCTAGATCCAGGGAGACTGGATGGCTTGGTCCCAAGACTTGTCCCCACAGCCCAGCACACCAGCTGTGGCTGTCTGTGGCCAGAGTGCCTCTTCAGGCCTAAACCTGTCCCATCCTTCCTTATTGGGCGGGGTTTCCCTGCAGGAGCTCCAATAATTCCAGCCAGAGGCTCAGGGACAGAATTCAGATCTCCTTGGGCCTGAGCCTTAGTGGGAGGGAGGGACACAGTCTCTGCTGACCAGCAGATTCAGCCCCTCCTCCTGGTAGTTCTGTGGAATCTGGGCAGCCCAGATGAGTGGGTTTCCCCCCAAGTGAAGCACACCCTCTCCACCAAGGGACAAAGTGCTTCCTCAAATGGATGCTGCTCCCTGTGCCATCCAACTGGGTGAGACACAAACAGGGGTTGTCAGACACCCTATGCAAGAGTGATCCTACTGGCATCAGGCTGGTGTCCCTTGAGGTCAGAGGTCCCAGAAGAAGGAGTGGGCACCCATCTTTGCTGTTCTCCAGCCTTCTTGAGTGACATCTCCAGGCATGGGAGCGAATCAGATGAATAGGGCCTGAAGTGAACCCTCAGCAAACTGCAGCAGCCCTACAGAAGAAGGACCTGACTATTGAAAGAAAAACAAGCAGAAACTGAAAACAACAGTGTCAACAAAAAGAACAAAAAATGGCCCCACAAAAACCTCATCCAAAGATTAGCAGCCTCAAAGTCCAAAACTAGACAAATTCATGAAGATGTGAAAGAATCACCAAAAAAAAAAAAAAAAACCACACAAACAAACAAAAAAAACTGCTGAAAACCCAAAAGGCCAGAGTGCCTCTTCTCCAAATGATTGCAACGTCTCTCCATCAAGGGCGCAGAACTGGATGGAGAATCAGATGGACGAAATGACAGAAGTGGGCTTCAAGAGATGGATAATAAAAAACTACACTGAGCTAAAGAAGTATGTTCTAACTCAATACAAAGAAGCTAAGAACCTTGATAAAAGGCTACAAGAATTGCTAACTAGAATAACCAGTTTAGAAAGAAGCAAAAACAACCTGATGGAGTTGAAAAACACAGCATAAGAAATTCGTGAAGCATACACAAGTATCAATAGCTGAATCAACCAAGCAGAAGTAAGGATATCAGAGTTTGAAGACCACCTTACTGAAATAAGACATGCAGACAAGAAAAGAGAAAAAAGAATGAAACGGAATGAAGAAAGCCTTTAAGAAATATGGGACTTCATAAAAAGACCAAACCTACGATTGATTGGAGTACCAGAAGGAGAAGGAGAGAATGGAAACAAGCTGGAAAACACACTTCAGGGTATTATCCAGGAGAACTTCCCCAACCTAGCAAGATGGGCCACCATGCAAATTCAGGAAATACAGATAACATCAGTAAGATACTTCACGAGAAGATCAACCCCAAGACATAATTATCAGATTCTCCAAGGTCAAAATGAAGGAAGAACTGTTAAAGGCAGCCAGAGAGAAAGGCCAAGTCACCTACAATGGAATCCCATCACACTAAAAGCAGACTTCTCAGAAGAAACTCTACAAGCCAGAAGAGATTGGAAGCCAATATTCAACCTTCTTAAAGAAAAGAATTTTCAACCCAGAATTTCATATCCAGCCAAACCAAGCTTCATAGGTGGAAGAGAAATAAAATCCTTTCCAGACAAGAAAATGCTGAGGGATTTCATTACCACCAGTCCTGTCCTATAAGAGCTCCTGAAAGAAACACTAAACATAGAAAGGAAAAACTGGTACCAGCCACTGCAAAAACACAGCAAAATATAAAGACCAATGACACTGTGAAGAAACTGCATCAACTAGTGTGCAAAATAACCAAATAGGATCATGATGACAGGGTCAAATTCCCACATAGCAATACTAACCCTAAATGTAAATGGGCTAAATGCCCCAATTAAAAGACAGAAACTGACAAATTGGATAAGGAATCAAGACCCATTGGCGTGCTGTATTCAGGAGAGCCATTTTATGTGCGAAGACACATGCAGGCTCAAAATAAAAGGTTGGAGGAAAATTTATCAAGCAAATGGAAAGCCAAAAAAAAGCAGGGGTTGCAATTCTATTCTCTGACAAAACAGACTTTAAACCAACAAAGATCAAAAAAGACAAAAAAGGGCATTACATAATGGTAAAGGGAATAATTCAACAAGAAGAGCTAGCTATTTAAAATATATATGCACCCAATACAGGAGCACCCAGATTCATAAAGCAAGTTCTTAGAGACCTACAAGGAGACTTAGACTCTCACACAATAATAGTGGGAGACTTTAACACCCCATTGTCAGTATTAGACAGATCAATGAGAAAGAAAATTAGCAAGGATATTCAGGACTTGAACTCAGCTCTGGATCAAGTGGACCTAGTAGACATCTACAGAACTCTTTACTCCAAATTGACAGAATATACATTCTTCTCAGAGCCACATAGCACTTATTCCAAAATTGACCACATAATTAGAAGTAAAACACTCTTCAGCAAATCCAAAAGAACTGAAATCATAACAAGCAGTTTCTCAGACCACAGTGCAACCAAATTAGAACTCAGGATTAAGAAACTCACTCAAAACCACACTATTTCATGTAAATTGAACAACCTGCTCCTGAATGACTCCTGGGTAAATAATGAAATTATGGCAGAAATAAATAAGTTCTTTGAAACCAATGAGAACAAAGAGACAGCATATCAGAATCTCTGGGACACAGCTAAAGCAGTGTTAACAGAAAAATTTAGAGCACTTTCATTAGAAAGCTAGAAAGATCTCACCGTCTGTCACCACTCCTATTCAAGATAGTATTGGAAGCTGTGGCCAGGACAATCAGGCAAGAGATCGAAGAAAAGGGTATTCAGATAGGAAGAGAGGAAGTCAAGCTGTCTCTGTTTGCAGACAACTTGATTTTACATTTAGAAAACCCCTTCATCTCAGTCCAAAAACTTCTTGAACTGATAAGCAACTTCAGCTAAGTCTCAGGATACAAAATCAATGTGCAGAAATCACAAGCATTCCTTTACACCAACGATAGGCAAGAAGAGAGCCAAATCATGGATAAACTCCCATTCACAATCACTACAAACAGAGTAAAATACCTAGGAATACAGCTAGCAAGTGATGTGAAAGACCTCTTCAAAGAGAACTACAAAACACCGCCCAAGAAAATAAGAGAGGACACAAACAAGTGGAAAAACATTCCATCCTCATGGATAGGAAGAATCAATATCGTGAAAATGGCCAAACCATCTGAAGTAATTTATAGAGTCAATGCTATTCCCATCAAACTACCATTGATATTCTTCACAGAGTTAGAAAAAAAACTATTTTAAATTTCATATGGAATCAAAGAAGACCCTGTATAGCCAAGACAATCCTAATCAAAAAGAACAAAGCTGGAAGCATCACGCTACCTGACTTCAAACTATACTACAAGGCTACAGTAACCAAAATAGCATGGTACTGGTATCAAAACAGACATATAAACCAACAGAGCAGAACAGAGACCTCAGAAATAACACTACGCATCTACAACTATCTGATCTTCAACAAACCTGACAAAAACAAGCAATGGGGAAAGAATCTCCTATTCAGTAAATGATGCTGGGAAAACTGGCTAACCATATGCAGAAAACTGAAACTGGACCCCTTCCTTACACCTTGTACAAAAATTAAGTCAGGGTGGATTAAAGACTTAAATTTGAAACCTCAAACCATAAAAACCCTAGAAGAAAACCTAGGCAATACCATTCAGGACATAGGTATGGGCAAAGACTTCATGACAAAAATGATGAAAATATTGCAACAAAAGCCAAAATTGACAAATGGGATCTAATTAAACTGAAGAGCTTCTGCACAGCAAAATAAATTATCATCAGAGTGAACAGGCAACCTACAGAATGGGAGAAAATTCTTGCAATCTACCCATCTGACAAAGGTCTAACATCCAGAGTTTCCAAGGAACTTAAACATATTTACAAGAAAAAAACAACCCCATCAAAAACTGGGCAAAGGATATGGACAGACACTTCTTAAAAGAAGACATTTATGTGGTCAACATATGAAAAAAAACCTCAACATCACTGATCATCAGAGAAATGCAAATCAAAACCACAATGAGATACCATTTCATGCCACTCAGAATAGCGATTATAAAAAAGTCAGGAAATAATAGATGCTAGCAAGGCTATGGAGAAATAGGAACACTTTTACACTGTTGGTAGGAATGTAAATTAGGTTAACCATTGTGAAAGACAGTATGGTAATTCCTCAAGGATCTAGAACCAGAAACAAAGTTGGACCCAGCAATCCCATTACTCATTATATAACCAAAGGAATATAAATTATTCTACTATAAGGGCACACACACACGTATGTTTATTGCATCACTGTTTACAATAATAAAGACATGCAATCAACCCAAATGCCCATCAATGATAGACTGGATATGGAAAATGTGGTACATATAAACCATGGAATAGTACACAGCCATAAAAAGGAATGAGATCATGTCCTTTGCCGGGACATGGATGAAGCTGGAAACCATCATCCCCAGCAAACTAACACAGGAACGGGAAACCAAACACCACATGTTCTCACTCATAAGTGAGAGTTGAAGATTGAGAACACATGGACACAGAGAGGTGAACAACACACAGGAGGACCTGTTGGGGGATGGGGGTTGAGGGGAGGGAACACAGAGGACAGGTAAATAGGTGCAGCAAAACACCATGGCACACATATACCTATGTAACACTGCATGTTCTGCATATATATCCTGTTTTTATTTTTTTAGAAGAAATAAAGAAAAAAATTAAGAAAAGAAAATGATGATAAAGACTGACAAATATTTTCCCCATGTTAAAACAGGTTGATTTCCTTCTACTGAGTTGTAGTCATTATATATTCTGGACATATGTCCTTTAGGAGATACATATTTTTTCTCAGCCATGGCATTATCTTCTCATTTTCTTAACAGTATCTTTTGAGAAGTATAAGTGTTTATTTTGATGAAGTAAATTTTATCAATTTATTTTCTAAAAAAAAAAGTCCATGGTAATTTAGATTTACTCAACATGGATTTGCAGTTTATTTGCTTGTCACTGCTATCTCACTGTTTTCTAGATGATACTCTTTCTTCCTGAAGTGCATTAATTAGTGTTTCTTTGTTTTTCTGAAAATATATTCACTTTTCTTTTACTCCTTGGGAATAATTTAGGGTGTGAACTTTAGGATGGAAGTGATTTTCTTCAGTATTTTGTATTTTTCCTTTTATTACTTTGTAGATGAGAAGTCTGTTATCATCTTAACTTTTGTGATTATTTCTTTTTGTGTCTGATCACTTTTAAAATTAGTTTTTGTTTTTGGTTTTCAACACTTCTACTATATATGTCCAGGTGAGTGTTTTTGCATTATAAAGACGTTCCAGTTTTCTTTAAGACCATCTTGCATTGTCTTTATGAATATTGCCTCACAAAGCTATTTTTTGACAATTTTTAGTTGTATTTTGGAACATCTTGTCTTATTTTTTGTGTCTCTTAATTACACTTCCACAGATCTCTGTGCAGCATTCTGGATAATTTCTTCAGATCTATTTTCTATATGATTAATTATCCCCTCAGCTGTGTATTATTCAATATTTAATTATTCATATTTAATAAAAAACTATACTAGTTTTTTTATTTCTAAAAGTTCATTTTAGTTGTTTTAAATAATCCAATTCATTTTTTCATTCTGCGATTTCTCCGGTAAGTTTTGCTTTTCATTGTAATTTTATTTTTCTATCCTGTGATCCAGTTAGTTTAAGTTTCTTCAGAGAATAGGTTTGCATTAGCTTACGATTACTACTTTAGTACTTCTCCCAGTGTAGTATCAGTGTTTCATTTCTTAGCTTGGGATTTCTCAATAACAAAGGTAGAGTAAATTTGGATGCCACATTCATAAGAGGCAAGGCTTTGGAGTGTCAGTTGCTCAGGAGGCAGTGTGTCCCTATATTAGTCTGTCCCTATGTTAATGCTGCTGATAAAGACATACCTGAGACTGGGCAATTTACAGAAGAAAGGGGTTTAATTGGACTCACACTTCCACATGGCTGGGGAGTCATCACAATGATGGCAGAAGGCAAGGAGGAGCAAGTCACTTCTTATGTAGATGGCGGCAGGCAAAGAGAGCTTGTGCAGGGAACCGCCTGTTTTTAAAACCATCAGATGTCATGAGACTGACTCATTCACTATCATGAGAACAGTGCAGGAAAGACCTGCACCCATAATTCAATCACCTCCCACTGAGTTCCTCCCGTGACATGTGGGAATTGTGGGAGTTACAATTCAAGATGAGATTTGGATGGGGACACATCCAAACCATATCATTCCACCCCTGGCCCCTCCCATGTCCTCACATTTTAAAACAAAACTTCCCAACAGTCCCCCAAAGTCTTAACTCATATCAGCATTAACTCAAAAGTACACAATCCAATGTCTCACCTGAGACAAGGCAAGTCCCTTCTGCCTATAAGCCTGTAAAATCAAAAGCAAGTTAAATACTTCCTAGATATAATGGGGGTACAGGCATTGGGTAAATACAGCTATTCCAAGTGAGAGAAATTGTCCAAAACAAAGGGGCTACAGGCAACAAGAAAGTCCAAAATCCAGCAGGGCAGTAAAATCTTAAAGATCCAAAATGATCTCCTTTGATTCCATGTCTCATATCCAGATTATGCTGATGTAAGAAGTGGGTTCCCATGGTCTTGGGCAGCTCTGTCTCTGTAGCTTTGCAGGGTACAGCCTCCTTCCTGGCTGCTTTCATGGGCTGGCACTGAGTGTCTGCAGCTTTTCCAGGTGCACAGTGCAAGCTGTCAGTGGATCTACCATTCTAGGGTCTGTAGGATGGTGGGCCTCTTCTCACAGCTCCGCTAGGCAGTGCCCCAGTAGGGACTCTGTGTGAGGGCTCCAACTTCACATTTCCCTTCCACACTGTCCTACAAGAAGTTCTCCATGAGAGCCCTGCCCTGCAGCAAACTTCTGCTTGGACATTCAGGTGTTTCCATACCTCTTCTGAAATCTAGGCAGAAGTTCCCAAACCTCAAGTCTTGACTTCTGTGCACTCACAGGCTCAATACAATGTGGAAGCTGACAAACCTTGGGCTTGTACCCTCTGAAGCCATGGCCCGAGCTGTACCTTGGCCCCTTTTAGTCACACCTAGAGGGGCTGGGACACAGGGAACCAAGTCCTTAGCCTGCATGCAGCACGGGGATCCTTGGCCTGGCCCAATAAACCATGTTTTCCTCTTAGGCCTCTAGGCCTGTGATGGGAGTGGCTGCCGTGAAGACCTCTGACATGCCCTGGAGATCCCCATTATCTTGGGGAATAACATTGGGCTCCTCATTACTTATGCAAATTTCTGCAGCCAGCTTGAAATTCTCCTCAGAAAATGGGATTTTCTTTTCTATCATATTGCCGAGCTGCAAATTTTGTAAACTTTTATGCTCTGCTTCCCTTATAAAGCTGAACACCTTTAACAGCACCCAAGTCATGTCTTGAATGCTTTGCTGCTTAGAAATTTCTTCTGCCAGATATCCCAAATAATCTCTTTCAAGTTCAAAGTTCCCCAAATCTCTAGGGCAGGGGCAAAATGCAACCAGTCCGTTGGCTAAATCATAACAAAAGTCAGCTTTGCTCCAGTTCCAAACAAGTTTCTCATCTCCATCTGAGACCACCTCAGCCTGGACCTTATTGTTTATATCACTATTAGCATTTTTGTTCAAAGCCATTCAACAAGTCTTTAGGAAGTCCCAAACTTTTCCACATTTTCCTTTCTTCTTCTGAGCCCCTCAAACTGTTGCAACCTCTGCCTGTTACCCAGTTCCAAACTCGCTTCCCCATTTTTGGGTATCTTTTCAGCAGCACCCCACTATACTGGTACCAGTTTACTGTATTAATCCGTTTTCATGCTGCTGATAAAGACATACCTGAGACTGGGCAATTTACAAAAGAAAGAGGTTTAATTGGACTCACAGTTCCACGTAGCTGGGGAGGCCTCACAATCATGGCAGAAGGACAGGAGGAGCAAGTCACTTTTTACTTAGATGGGTGCAGGCAAAGAGAGCTTGTGCAGAAGACCTCACATTTTTAAAAGCATCAGATCTTGTGAGACTCACTCACTATCACAGAACAGCACAGAAAAGACCTGCCCTCATAATTCAATCACCTCCTACCGAGTTCTTCCCAGGACACATGGGAATTGTGGGAGTTACAATTCAAGATGAGATTTGGGTGGGGTCACGGCCCAACCATATCAATCTCCATTTATAAAAGCTTTAGAAAAGACAATCTTCCTTGTTGTATTAGTTAGCTGGAGGGTGAAGCTTTCCCAGTTCTTTACTTGAACAGGGCAACTCTTCCAAAGTCCCATTAGAAGGAGTCCATTATGGTTCTCTGCACAGATTGTTTCATGTATCTTACATTCTTCAACTAAGTATAGGAAATGATAATAATAACAACAATAAGAATAATATGTTAATGGAGTTAAGTTAACAAATATTACACAGGTTAATTTATTTTAATTGGAATAGCATTTGGTAAACTAAAGAGTGCTATATTTATATGTGTTATTTTGTTAAGCCTCATAAAACAAACTAAGTAAATCTTAATGATATTCTTTCTGCTCCATTAAAATACTTAGACATCCAAATCTTATTACATTATTGGTTTCCAATTACTAATGCTGATTGTATTATCAAAGTAGTATTAGAAAAAAATTCAAAGAAATAGTATATTTTTGTAAGGTAGTGTATACAAAAAAATCTTCTGTAATAGGTAACTTATCTTAATATGATAATCAAAAATGTGAGTAATATTTTTTATATTTTCATGGATTTCTTTTAATATTCTTGATTCTGACTTTTTCACTTTGGTCAATGTTTATTAATTTAGTGGCTTCTATTTAGATGTGTCTCTTAATCTGCTTCGTATAAGGCACCATTTTTCAATGAAACATTAAGATTAGTTCACACCGAGAATTTAGAGGAAGGCTTGTATGCATAGACATCACAAAATGTAGTGCTAGAAATCTAAATTTAGATGGCCATTCACTATCTACTGGCTGTGATTTTAAGATAAATTACTGATACTCCTTTGTTTATCTTGTTCATATGAAAGTGACATAGGGAAGCTCTAATTACTGCTGAGAACCAAAAAAGTACAAATAAACATGTTATTAAATATTGGACAATGAATAACACGTTCATCGTCCAATAACACCCTGAGTATAAAAAATGTATTAATAATTCAAATCATTCAAAAGTTTGACTTATAGAATCACTAATTTTCTTAACTTTTATTCTCAATGTCAAAATATAACAAAAAATAGATTTCTGTTTTGGAACAAAATACATAAAAGATTGGGTTTAAGAAATTCAACTTTAAGAAAAATTCAATAGCATAACATCTATAGAATGGGAGTAGATAATGTACACTACTAAATTTGAATGGCTTTGAAGTCAGGTTTACTAAGGCATAATAAACACACAGCAATATCCACCATTTTGTGGACAGATATATGAGTTACGAGAAACATATATACTTGCTTAACTACAATATTGATTTAAATAAGAGCACTTTTTTTTTTTTTTTTGAGACAGAGCCTCTCTCTGTCGCCCAGGCTGGAGTGCAGTGGCGCAATCGCGCTCACTGCAACCTCCGCCTCCCGGGTTCAAGCGATTCTCTTGCCTCAGCCTCCCGAGTAGCTGGGATTACAGACGAGTGCTACACGCCCGGATAATTTTTTGTATTTTTAGTAGAGATGGGGTTTCACTGTGTTAGCCAAGATGGTCTCGATCTCCTGACCTCGTCATCCGCCCCCCTTGGCCTCCCAAAGTGCTGGGATTACAGATGTGAGCCACCATGCCAGGCCAATAAAGAGCACTTCTATCCCCCACCCCACCATTAACTTCCTTTTATCCTTTTGTAGTCAATTCCTTTCATCATCCCAGCCCCCTGACAGCCACGAATCTTCCTTCTGTCTCCGTAGTTTCCGCTTTTCCAGAATGTTACATAAATGGAATAATATATAGTATTCAGTATAAGGTATGAATATGGCTTCATTCATTTAGCATAATGTGTTTGTGAATTATTCCTGTTGTTTTGTGTGTAAGTATGCTAGTTGCTATTTTCTTTACTGCTGGATATTCTGTTCTTTGGATGTACCACAAGTTATTTATACTTTCATTAGTAGAGGTGTATTTGGGCTGTTTCCAGATTGAGGAGATCGTGAATGAAGCTGCTAAAAAACCGGATGTGTGTATGATTTTTATGAATGTCAGTTTTCATTGCTTTATGGCAAAAACCTAGTAATGAAGTTGCTCAATAATATGGTAAGTGTTTGTTTAACTTTAACAGAAACTGCCAATTCGAAGTAACTATAGGATATTGCATTCCCAGACAGTAATTTATAAACATTTCATTTTGCATCATGGATACACTAGCACTTAGTAATTTCAATGTTTTTGGTTTTGTTTTGATTTTTACTTAGCTATTCTAATTTTATTATATTCAATAATCACTAATAGTATAATAATGATTCATTGTGGTTTTCATTTATACTTTTCTAATGAATAATGATGTTCAACATCTTTTCATGTGTTTATTTGGTATCTGTATATTCTCTTTGATGAAGTCTGTTCAGATCTTTTACAAATTTATATTGGGTTGTTTGTTTACTTAAAACCTGATTTTAAGTCTTTCACCAAATATGTGTTTTACCTATGGTTTATTCCAGCTTGTAGCTTGTATGTTAATTTTATTAATAATGTCTTTTGAAGAGTGGAAGATTTTTTTATTGTGGTAAAAACACAACATGAAAATTATCCTGTTGACACATTTTTAAGTGCTCAATACAAAATTGTTAACTGTAGGCACAGTGTTGCCAGCAGATCTCTATAATCATTATAAATTTCATAACTGAATACATATACTTATTGATCAGCACCTTCCCCATTTCTGCCTCCATTTATCCCCTGGCAGCCTTCCTTCTACTGTTTCTGTGAGTTTGACTGTTTTCAATATGTCGTATATAAGTCATGCAGTATCTGTATTTTTTTTTTGTTTTGAGATGGAGTTTCACTCTTGTCACCCAGGCTGAAGTGCAATGGTGCAATCTTGGCTCACTGCAACCTCTGCCTCCTGGGTTCAAGCCATTCTCCTGTCTCAGCCCCTCAAGTAGCTGGGATTACAGGCTCCGGCCACTACGCCAGGATAATTTTTGTATTTTTAGTAGAGATGGGGTTTCACCATGTTGGTCAGGCTGGTCTCAAACTCCTGACCTCAGGTGATCCGCCCCCCTCGGCCTCCCAAAGTGCTGGGATTACAGGCATGAGCCACTGCACCTGGCCCAGTATCTGTATTTGATTTTGATTGGCTTTCTTCACTTACCATAATGTCCTCCAGGTTCCTCCATGTTGTCACATGTGGCAGGATTCTTTTTCTTTTTTGAAGCTGAATAATATTCAATTTCTGTGTATATCACATTTTCTTTATCTATTATATGTCAATGGACATTTATATTGTTTCTATATCTCGGCTATTGTGAATAATGCTGCCGTGAATAAAAGAATGGAGTTATTTCTTCCAGATCTTGATTTCAGTTTTTTTTGGATGTATTTCCAGAGGTGAGATTGCTGGGTCATATGATAATTCTATTTTTATTTTTTGAGGAACCTCCATACTGTTTTTTCATAGCAGCTCAACCATTTTGCTTTCTCACCAATAGTACATAAATATTCCAATTTTTTCACATTTTCCACCAACACTATTTTTAAACATATAACAGCCATTGAACAGGAGAGAGGTGATACTATAATGCAGTTTTGATCTGTATTTCCCTTTTGAATAGTGATGTTGAGCATCTTTTTATATTCTATTGGCCAAATGTATGTCTTGTTTGGTGACATGTCTATTCAAGTCCCTTACTCATTATTAATCAGGTTATTTGTTTTTTTTTTTAATTTACTATTGAGTAGTAGGAATTTCTTACATGTTTTGGAAACTAACCTCTTCTCTGATACGTGGTTTGCAAATATTTTCTTCTATTCTGTACATTGCCTTTTCACTCTGTTATCTCGTTTTCTGCACAGGAGCAATTTTAGTTTGACGTAATTCAACTTCTCTATATTTTTTGCTATTTTTCTTGTGTTTTTTAATTTATGTTTTGCATAGTTCATTGTTAGTGTATAAAAACTCAACTAGCTTTTGTATGTTCCTTTTGTATCTGAAACTTTACTGATTGTTGCGTTAGTCCTAATGTTTTGCGTGCATGTATGTGTGTGTGTGTGTGTGTGTGTAGTCTTTAGGGTTTTCTCCACTAAGATTTTACCATCTGAAAACAGACATAATTTTACTTAGTGTTTTTTTCTGATTTTAATGTTTTTTATTTCTTTTCCTTGCTTACCTCTTTTGGCGAAGATTTCAGAAGTGGCAAGAATGGGCATCTTTGCCTTATTCTGAATCTTAGAGGAAAAGCTTCCAGGTTTTTACCATTAAATATGTTAGCAGGAAGCTTTTCATATATGACCTTACTTCGGTTTAAGATCTTATTATATCTAGTTTGTTAAGACCTTTTGTCATTAAGATCTGCTGAATTTTTTCAAATGCTTTTTCTGTATCTATTAAGATGATCATGTGACTTTTATCCAAGACTAAATTATAAAGAAATACAAAAATCTGAACAAATAATAATAAGTAAGGAGACTGAGTAATCACAAACATCCCAACAAAGAAAAGCCTAGGAATAGAAGGCTTCAGTAGTAAATTTTATAACACATTTAGAGAATTAACACAAATTATTGTCAAACTTTTCCTCATTTGATGAGGCCAGCATTTATCTTGATACCAAAGTCTGGCAATCAAACTACAGGGAAAAGAAAATTACATTTTTCTGTTTTCCATTTCCTTGGCAGATTTTCCTCCATCCATTTATTTTGAACCTACGTGTGCCATTGCATGTGAGATGGGTCTCTTGAAGACAGCATACAAATGGGTCTTGGTTTTTTTTAATCAAGTTTGCCACTCTGTGCCCTCTAATTGGGTCATTTAGCCCATTTACATTCAAGGTTAGTATTGATATATGTGGATTTGACCCTGTTACCAATATGTTAGCAGATTATTTTGCAGACTTGTTGATGGTTGATGTATAGTGTCACTAGTCTGTGTAGTTCAGTGTGTTTTCATAGTGGCTGGCAATAGACTTTCCTTTCCATATTTAGTACTCTCTTCAGAAGCTCTTGTAAGGGAGATCCGGTGGTAATGAATACCCTCAGCATTTGCTTGTCTGAAAAGGATCTTATTTATCCTTCTCTTATGAAGTGTAGTTTGGCCAATATGAAATTCTAGGTTGGAATTTGTTTTCTTTAAGAATGTTGAATATTGGTCCCCAATCTCTTCTGGCTTATGGAGTTTCTGCTGACAGGCCTGCTGTTAGTCTGATGGGATTACTTTTGTAGGTGATCTGACTTTTCTTTCTAGTTGACTTAAACATTTTTTTTTCATTTTGATCTTAGAGAATCTGATGATTAAGTGTCTTGGGGATGCTCTTCTTGTGAAGTATCTTTCCGGGGTTCGCTGCACTTCCTGAATTTAAATGTTCACCTCTCAAGCTAGGTTGAGGAAGTTCAAACGGATGATATCTTTAAATATGTTTTCCAAGTTGGTTCCATTTTCCCCATCTTTTTCAGGGACACCAATGAATCACCAATTTGGTTTCTTTACATAATATCATATTTTTCAGAAGTTTTGTTGGTTCTTTTTTACTCTTTTTTTCTCTATTTTTGTCTGTCTTATTTTAGAAAGCCAGTCTTCAAGCTCGAGATTCTTTTCTTTGTTTAGTCTATTCTGCTATTAATACTTGTTATTGCACTATTGCATTCTTGTAGTATGTTTTTCAGCTTGATCAAGTAGGTTACATTCTTTTCTACACTGGGTATTTTGTCTTTCAGCTCCTGCACTGTTTTATCATGATATTTAGCTTCCTTGGATTGGGTTTCAGCATACTCCTGTAGCTCAATGATCTTCATGCCTATCCATATTCTGAATTATATTTCTGTCATTTCAGCCATCTCAGCTCAGTTCAGAACTCTTGTTGGAGAGGTTATGCAGTCTTTGGAGGAAAGAACGCACTCTGGCTCTTTGAGTTGTCACAGTTCTTTCTCATATTTGTGGGCTTATCTTTCTTCAGTCTTTGAAATTGCTAATTTTCGATTTTTTAAAAATCCTACTTGATGACTGTGAGGTCATCAAAAGGTGGATTCAGCCTTGTGGCTTGCTTTCTGGAATATTTTAGGAGGCTAACACTCAGCTCCCAACTCCTGGACTGTGGGTTCTAACTCTGTGGGACTTGTCTTGAGACCCAACTTTGTTCTCTGTCCCCTTAAGGTTAGGAATCCACCATGCTGGGGGGAGGGAGGTGCTCCTAGAGTGTTGTCACTACATTCCAAAGGATAGCGTCAGCCAAAACATTTCATTGTGTAGTGACAGCAGGATTGATCCTTGTGTGCATGTGCCACCAGCAAGTGTAGTGGTAGCTGTGGCAGAGTGCTAGCAGGTGCTGGGGTGCTTGCCTCCCTGTGGGCATTCACCACAGAGATGGAGGTAATGCAGCTGGGTGGAGGGCCCCTGCTACTGACTGTGTGTGCAGTGATGTTGGAGGTGGTGTTGGCTCAGGGATGGGCACTGGCGGGCACATATCTGGGTGCAATCTCTGTGCCCTGGAAGCAGAAATAGTCACTCAGGGCAGGGGAGGATCTGCTGTTCTTTGTGCAGTGTTAATGCAAGGGTGGGGGCACTGGCAGGGGTGGGGATGGCTGGCTCTTTGCCTGCCAGGGCTCCATCAGCAATGGTAGTTGGCAGGGCAAGAGGGGAGGAGGGGGTTTGGCAGGGTTGGAGGGAGACTGCACTCCTGTGTGTTCGTGGGGCAGGGAAAGCAAAGCTCACTTGCAAAAACAAGTGCCAGAAAACTGATATAGGGAGTTGCTCTGGGCCCAAAAGAAGCTGCAGTAGGAGGAGGGAAGATGTGGCCTGGTGCATGGTACTAGGGGCTGCCTTGCTGGAGCTCTCCACTGATCAGCCATGGTCCACCAGCACAGAAGCTATTGTGTGAGCACCCAGGGTACCCAAGGATCCCCTGTAAGCAGGTGTGGTTAGGTTGGACCCCCCAAAAGGGTAGAAGATCAAGGGGTGCTTTGGTAAGACTGACCCCGTTGAATGGGCAAAACTGCTTTGCAAATTTCAAGACTGATACCTCCCCTAGAGCTAAAGTCTACTCTGGGAGCAAGTCCAGCCTAGGGACGGGGCATCCCTGGCCATGCTCTGCTAAAGACACTACACCAAATCCTCTGGGCTCCATATCAGCTGGGTTTCTGCCCGCAATTCTTATCTAAGCAGCTCTCCCTCCCAACTTGAGTGTCTGTGGTAATCAAGGGGTCTCCTCCTGCCAGGGTTCCAGAGGCCCATGGTGAGAGCAGGTTTCTCCTTGCCAGTTCAACTCATCAGTCCCCCCAGAGCTTTTGGGGGTCAAGAACGAGTCCAAGTGTACTGTAGTTCCATATAGGATTATCAGCTTTCTCCCCCTTCAACCCAGCTTCTGTGCCTTTTTTCCATAGACTCTCAGTGCTTTACCCTCTGAAGATCTGTTAGGAGCATGCTAGTCATCTCATTCCCATAGTGGGAGTTGTTCCACCTGGCTTGTGTCTAGTCAGCAATGTTTCCTTCCATCATCTGTAAAAAACTTAAGCAAATTTACAAGAAATAAACAACCCCATTAAAAAGTGGGTAAAGAACATGAAGAGACACTTTTCAAAAGAAGACATATATGTGGCCAAAAATCATATGATAAAAAGCTCACTGATCATTAGAGAAATGCAAATCAAAACCACAATGAAATACCATCTCACATGCATCAGGATGGCTCTTACTAAAAAGTCAAAAACTAACAGACTCTGGCAAGGTTGTGGAGATAAAGAAATGCTTATACACTGTTGGCAGGAGCGCAAATTAGTTCAACCATTGTGGAAGACAGTGTGACGGTTCCTTAAAGACCTAAAACAGAAACACCATTTGACCCAGCAATTACATTACTGGATATATAATCAAAGTAATATAAATCATTCTTTTCTAATGACACGTGCACACATGTATTCATTGCAGCACTATTCATAATAGTAAAGACATAGAATCAACCTAAATTTCAATCAATGGTAGACTGGATAGAGAAAATGTGGTACATATACACCACAGAATACTATGCAGCAATAAAAAAGAATGAGATCATGTCCTCTTCAGGGACATGGATGGAGCTGGAAGCCATTATCCTTAACAAACTAATGCAGGAACAGAAAAACAAATACTGCATGTTCTTACCTATAAGTGGGAGCTAAATGATGAGAACACATGGACACACAGAGGGAAACAATACATACTGGGGCCTGTTGGAGAGTGGAGAGTGGAGAGTGGGAGGAGTGAGATGATCAAGAAAAACTAGTAATGTGTACTAGGCTTAATACCTGGGTGATCAGATAATCTGTACAGCAAACCCCCATGACACAAGTTTACCTATACAACAAACCTGCACATGTACCCCTGAACTTAAAATAAAAGTTAAGAAAAAAACAACAACTATGGGTCTATATCTTTGATAAATATAGAAGAAAAAATTCTCAACAAAATACTCGCAAACTGAATTCAACAGCACATTAAAAGGATCATATGCTGTGTCCAAATGGGATTTTATTAGTGGGATGCAATCATGACCAGTATGTATTGTTTCCCTCCATGTCCCTGAAGCTTATTTCTCTTTTCCTTTTGAGACGGGGTTTCACTCTGTTATCCAGGCTAGAGTTCAGTGGCAAGATCTCCACTCACTGCAACCTCCAACTCTAGGGTTCACACGATCCTCCCATCTCATCCTCCCAAGTAGCTGGGACTACAGACACCACACCACCACACCCGGCTAAATTTTGTATTTTTAGTAGAGACGGGGTTTCATCATGTTGCCCAGGCTGGTCTCAAACTCCCGAGCTCAAGCAATCAACCTGTCTTGGCCTTCCAAAGTGCTGTAATTTTTTTATGTGATGCAATCTATGGGTTGAAATTTACTTATGGATGTTCATATTTTCCAGCACAAATTGGTTAAAAGACTCTTTCCACTCTCTCCACTGCATTTATTTTGTACCTTCATTGAAAATCAATTAATTGTGTATGTGGGCCTATTTTGCAACTTTCCATTCTGCTTCATTGATCTGAGTGTCTGTTATTTTGCCAGGTACTGTATTTGTGATGTATATGGCTGGTAGTTTATATTTCTTGTAATGTCACTGATTGATTTTAGTGTCAAGGTAATACTTGCCTTGTAATATGATTTTGAAATTGTTCTTTCTACTTTCATTTATTGTAAGCTTATAAATTTTTTGAAGGGGTACTAATGAAATGAGTGAGGGAAGCTATTTCATTCTGTTAGAACATTAAAAGGGAAATACTTTTACTTTTAAATTAGGTATTTCTTCTGACATGTTTAATGTACGTAACTAGATTGATTTAGAAAGCAGCTAGAAATCCGGATATAATTATTTCCTAACTTTTTGCTTCTAAACTAATACTCTGCTTTGGAGAGTGTAAAAGAGTAAATGTAGCTGCTAGTGAAGAACCAGATTTGTTAAGTACCCCAGGCAAAGCCCTGAAATTCTTGTAAATTGGTGGTAGTGGTGGTGGGAGCCTCAGGAGAATATGGGTAAAGAGGAGATGAAGAGCCTTATGCAATTTTTCTCCTTAGCCTAACATTAATTTTTTTTGAATAAAAAGATAGTGTGAGTACCAAAAGGGTCTTTTGAGATGAAATAATGGAAAAATTCATTTAAATTTGAATGGCTTGATCATACCCTCTAATATTCCTACCAGCACAGTATTATTAATTTTAGGGCTTTAATATTTAAACAATTAAGACATATATTTCATAACCATTTGCAGAACTCTTCTAGGTATAGTTATTTTGCCAAAGAATATGATAATAATCATTTCATTATTTATGAGTTTCATATAAATCATCTAGCATACTACCTCCAATCTAATAAGTATTCAATATACACTAGGTTCCTTGTCTCTTTTAATAGATTTCAAGTAATTTTACATACTAGACTCCATTTCTTACAACTGTATTTATTGTAGAAAGGAATACATAAGTATTATAATTTACAGATGATACAAAGTCTATATATAGAGCATACATATTCTAGCTAATATTAAGTGATCGATAACTGATATTATAAATATAAAATAATTTAACTTGCTAGTACATTGTATTTTCTCAATTCCAAGTGACATCTGAAATATTAGGCAAAGTGAAAAATTAAGACATTGGGTGAAAAACTAGAAAACATTTATAATTACAGAAAATAACATTTTTAAAAGAGTGATCTTCATAGTGGCATGTGTAAACCCCAGAGGGTAGAAAATACAGTCTATTGTGATATAATAATGAGTAGCTAGTATTTCTTGAGTTATTATTCTAGGCACTAGATATATATTTATCAATAAAATTCTCACAGCAACCCTAGAGTATAGATATTTTATTTCAGATGAAGAAATTGAAGCACAAGTAGTGAAGCTAAAAAATATTATGTCTATAAATATTTATTATTAATAAAAGAACAATGTTTAGTTTCAATGATACTCAATGTTTGTATTAATATGAGTGTGTAGCTTTTAAGTAAATAACATTTATAATTTATCAATTCACAAATTGTTTTTAAAATATGTGATCAAAAATTTTAGAGACTTCCAATGAATTATTTTGGAGCTGCTAGCTCCATTTAACCTGAAGGAAAGATATTTAAGCTGTCTTCCACACATCCAAAATTGCTATAACTATTCTAATCAAAAACTAAATGAGTTTAAGATGTTCTCATGAATACTATTTTCACAAAGTTCAATTATAACTTAGAGGCCAAATTAATTAACAAACTGTAAAATGATGGAAACGGTTTTATCAACTTGGGGTCACAAAATAAGTCTTATTTTCAGGTTATATGTCTCTTTATTTTGCTGAAGTTATTGCTGAATAAAGATGTATCATTATGGCTTTCCAAAGGCGATAAAATGTAATTCCACAATTGAAAATGAAGTTTGAAGAGAGGGAGACTGTTTTCTTTTCCCAAGAACTAAATGGTCTACTCTATTCACAGTAAGATCATTTTCTACTCCTTGAGTTGTCAGTCTCAAGATGTGGCTATTTCTAAGGCTGACTATACTGTAGTGATTAGAATATTGCAATTATTTCCAAGTTTCTTCTATCTGATCATAGTTCTCTATAAGAACTTTTCTCATCCCTGATTAGATTTTAAAAATAGATTTTTTTAAAAAAGAAAATAAAAACTTTGTCTTGGTATCTAACAATAGTATAATATTGCAGAAATGGCAGGAATACCAAAAGAGATTTTCTTTCAGTTGGTAAACCAATAGACGTAGAGAGTTGTATAAAATTTCAAAGGAAGTCACACAGAGGATTGAGGAACAATTTATGCAGGAAGTGAATTTGAGTTAAAGGAAAATGGAAATTGGACAAGCAGAGAAAGGATATGGGGTTTCAAAAGTAATGCAATGAGGAATAACGTGAAGGTAGAAAATTGGAAGGTTTCTCTTGATAACAGCAATACAAACCAATTTAATTTATTTTCTTTAAAATGAGTTATTTAACAAATATATATGCTACTTGTATATACCACTGTTCTTAACATTTTAGAAACATTAGCCTGCTTATAATTATCCCAGTCCTATGAAGCAGATGTTAATAGCTGTGTTTCGATGAATAAGTTAAACGTTTAACTAAGTTGTGCCAGGTCACAAAGCTAGGAACTGGCAGAGCTGACATTTGATTCCAGATAGTTTGGTTTCAAATTCTGTGCTCCTGAATGTAATCCTATAATTTATTTTCCAAAATGGGACACTTTGGGGAGCAAAGCAATCTTTACTAATAGTTAAGGAGGCACTACGTATGTAAACTAGGACTGCTCTATACGCAAGGACACCTGGTCATTCTGACTATAAAGTTAGTCAAGCAAATAATATGAAATAGGCATTTTTCTTTCTCATCATATCTTTTGTGGGAATGCCACATATTACATCCAGGTTTAAAGTCAGTCTTATCCCTCTTAATTCTTCCTGGGCCAAATGTATAGTTGTACATTGAATGAAGTTCCTTAACAGAAAATAAACATGTGTGTATTCACATTTGCAAATATCCACACACAAAATTTTTAGGTTTACAAATCCCTCAAGCCAATTTACTGTCCCAGAGGGACTATACTGACTTTATACACAGATTATGAATTCCTGTTTTAGACACATAAAATAATATAAATTTATCAATATTATCTATTAGTTCATTACTATTGTTAACAATAGTAACACTATTACTGAACTATGAAAATATTTGACTCTTAGTTTGCACAAATTTTTATTAAGTATTTTGGATTGAGATCTTCTGTAAAGAACTGTAGTCAGTGAAATCATGTAATATATTTTATCCCTTCAAAGATTTTTATCAGTTTGAAAATCTAACATGTATAGAATAATATTTTATACCATTGGAAGTGCGTAGAATAACTAGAAGATGAATTCAAAAAGGAGTACAAACTTCTACAATCATTATTTCAATATCCTTGTCAAACACTAATTTTATAACAAAAAACTTATTTTCATTTTCAAGTGGTGAAAATTTATAACTTCAGGTTATTATAAGAGATCCATAATACTGCAGAAAAATGAAATTAGCATTTCAAGGAAAATGAGTGCCTGCTAAAACAATTTATTGATTTGGAATTTACCACCAACATGACATAAATTATCATATTTTACTGGCAAGCATATCAGTTCCACCTTACATAGCCATTTTTAAAGTAATAAAAATACATTTTAAATTGGCTGATATGATGTTTGTAGACCTAAAAAGTGATCAAGAATTATAAATATTGAAATTGGAGCTAATCTTTCACATTTGAGAATGTCCATGTATGTAAAAGGATTAGGATAATTAGACCAAATTCAGAATCAGAAAAATTCAGTTAAAATCATACCTTGTGAAGAAATGGACTTTCCATAGTTCTACAAAGCTGAAAGCAGTGGCATTGTTCAAGAGCACCAATTCTTCTTTCTCCTCTGGATGAGGATGCGGCTTTGTTGATGTCATGTTGGGCTTAAGCAGGTTATGCATGTCTGCAAACATTTCCTATTAAGTGTATAGGTGTATCAGTTATTTGTGTCAGTTCTTCATGATCATGATTATTTAGCTCCAAGTATCAAAGTTTAAGTGACATACCAAAGGTTAAACTTAATGAGGCTAGCTAGGACTCACCTTGCATTTGTGCTGTCACTGCCAGATGCCACCCCTCCTTAACATCTCTGAAAGATGCTCTATTGAGAGATGCTGCCTCTGTTCCTGATTTGTGTGGCTATTTCACTTCCAGTAGAGATGTATATATTAGCTTTAAAGGAGAAAATATTATAACTTTATATATGTGGTTGCATATATAATATAATTATATATTATATATTGCATATTACATATGCAACCATTTATAAAGTTATAATACTTTCTCCTTTAAAGCTAAATATTGCATATTATATATGCAAACACATAATCTGCATAATATGCAATATAATATGCAACCACATATGTATACAAACACATATGTATGTGTATATATATATGTGTGTATATATCTGTCAATATATTAATTACATTTGGAAAGCGTAGGTATTCCAAATATTGCAAGCATTTTAAAAAAGCATATCTCTTTTAAAATCTTATGGATAAAATAATTTTGAATTAGAGCCTTTAAAGACTATTTTCACCATAAGATGAGCAATGCTTTTAATTAACCATAATGCTGTTAAAGTTTTCAAATAATTTCCTTTATGTATGCTAAAGATGCCTCTTGAAATCTTGTATGCTCCAGTGTATTTTAACACTTTTATTTTTTAAAAAGTACAACAGTAAACATAAACTCAATCTAGATTAAATCGCAGCAGTTCCAATTTAGGAGAATTGAATTGCTGACTTAAGATACAAATTATTTCCACTATTACAAAAAAAGTTTGAGAGTATTTATAATTTATACTTCCTTATTTATAGTATTACTTACTATTAGTCACTATAAAATAAAACTACCTGAAAAATATAACAGAACTTGCACATTTCCAAAAGCACTGGTCCATGTCTAACAGTTACCTTGGAAGCATGCTATCATTGTATAAAAACAATTTTATAGCACTGTTGGGGATTGTTGCTTCCTTTTTATGTTTATGATCATAGAGAATCTTTACTATTTAAGAATGAGTTTAAATTTTAGAAACAGTCAAAAATCATTTAGAGCTAATTCTGCTCAATGAAAATTGTAATTAAGAAAAACGAAATTGCAGTATTGTTTAAAGAATAGTTTTAAAGATAGCACACCATGAATCTGAAGTCTTTTATGGTGAAAAGACCAATTAAACTCCAAACAAAACCAGAGCTAAAAGCTCAAGAAAGAATGACAACTAAAAATTTCAAGTTTGGTTGCACTTAAGAATTAGGTACATTTTAGTGTTTTAGATATTTAGTCAAAGATATTCATCCTTGACTTTTTAAAAATTTAATCCTGCCAGTGCGTTTTTAAAAATTCTTAATATTGTGAAAAATTTAGATTGATACAGGGTCATTATATATGGAAAACATTTTGTTTGTCTAAGTGAGCTCAATCTTCGATACGGAATGCTAGGATTTTTTTTTTCCTACTTTGAAAAGTGTGAGCAAGGCAGTCAGTCACTACATGGTTCAACTTCAGGGACAACAAGGGCCCTGATGCAAACATTCATCCTATTTGCTCTCTAATTTTCCAGAGGAAACCTAAACAATCATGAACATTTCATCATTTTAGAACCTAAGGTTTTGATCCTGTTTAGCAAACATATCTTTGGAGATGGGACATGCCAGTTTCATCTATTATCAGAGTACACACACACACACATATGCAAACATTAACACAAACACACTGGTAAACAGGTTATGTGAATGGAACATCTAAGAAGTGCTTTTGCTGTTCTTGATAAAGAACAAATTAAAATAAAAATGTTGTGAGAAGAAGTTGATAGTTGGAAAATTTAGCACCATCAAAAGGAGCAAAATGTTATGGGAAGTTGTAAACTTCCATAACAAATATTTTTAAAAAATACTTCTCCAAATTAGACTGTATATATCATATCATTACTGTAATTTTAACAATATTTATTTAAAAGAGTATTAAAATACGATCAATAAATTTTAGAAAAAGACACAAAAGTTCAACAAAATCTTAAATTATTAAGATGACAGATTGCTCCGAGTAAACACTGGACTTGTCAAAATTTAGTCCATTCATTCTCCTTGTATCATTTTAAGTGTTTATTTGTAATTTATATTTTTATTATTTAAACTTTCTTCTGAAAAATTAAAATTAACTCTACTTTTTAATCTCTATATTTTATTTCACAGTATGTTTTAAAGGTTACAGATCTGATAATATTTAGTAATTTAATTTATAAAAGCATTATCATCTGTTTCTAATTATAATTTTTGTGACATTCTATTTTATTCAATTCTGTCTTAAATGAGAATTAAAAATATCTTTCTTTTTTCCATTCCTGCCACCTCTGTCTCATATATAAAGGAGTTGTCTTATGTTTTCTTGGAACAAGAACAAAATATTTAAATGCCACCTTCCACTTCTATCTGTAACCAAATAACCAGTATCAAACATGCCACAAATAATTTTATATATGGACGAAATATTTGAGGCAATTGTTTCTGCCATAGGAAAATAGGTAGCACATACTGTAATATTACAGTATTTATGTGTACAGCCTATTTTTTTGACTTTGCAAAGAAAAATTTTTGGCACCAAAATGAAATAAATATTATCTTCTGTCAAAGTTTCAAATGGTTAAAAACATTTACATATATCATTCCCTTCAAGCTGATCTTTATTTTCACGTATCTTCCTTTCTAGCTCCTGCTTAATGATATGAGGAACCTTGGTACTGGTATTTTTATAATTGTGATCAACTATAAAGACTTTGAGATCATTGATTGTAAACATTTTAAATTACCATTCTAGCTATAAAATAAGAACATTATAAATCTAGAATGTTTAGTGATTTGTTTATTTACTATTTACTTTTACGTTTAGAAATAAATGTATTTTAGCTTTTATGCAGAATATAATCTTTAACAATATATTTATATAAAATGAAATTAATCCCATGATGTCTGACATTTTCATGGAAAGTAAGCCCTGTCTTTTCACCGAGATCATTCATCTCAGTGAGAGTATAAAGATCTACGGCCTTCGTACTTCAAGTGACATGAAAAGATATTTTTATTTCCCTAGTTTCCCATGGATTATTTATCTTATTTTAACATATTTTTCCCAATTTAACTAAAACCTGATCAATTTGTTAATATTACAAGGCAATTTCTCTTTGCCATTTTAAAGTCCATTCACAAAAGAGAAAATTCACATCAAAATGACGATGTATACAGGTACTTTCCCTTTAAGCTTATGAATCTGTAATGAACACTTAAAGGCAAAATAAAAATGTCAAATGGTATTATTTTAACAAACTAAAATAAAAATTATTTAATTTACATATTTTTGGCATCATTTTATATGCCTTGTGTCTGGTCTGTACCATATCGGCTAATCTTCAGCATTGTGGAGTGTGGAACTATTACTCAATACATCTGCATTCATCATAAGAAAAAGTTATATGTGCAAATAGAGTTAATTGGAAGTATTGATAAAGTATGTCATCAAAGTTATCAAAAATAAATTTTTATTACAGTTTTAGAGAGAAGTACATTTTATTTAATGTTAAAATTTTGAAAATATATAATTACCTCTCAAATAATTAAGTACTTTGAGTAAAGCACCTAACATTATAAATGCTCATCAATAGAGTGTGTGCAATAATTTTCAATGCCCTAGTAATTTAAAGTATTATTTAGAGCTTCTATACTTATGCATGGAGATTCTAGTTTATAATTAATGATTACATATACTTATATACATACACATTTATGTACATATGCATAAACAGATAGAGATGCTTTGTTCTTTTTAGCTCATCTAAACACATTTATCTTCACACATATGTCACTATATGCATATATATATTTCTCTCTAGTTTGCTGACTGAAGATCTTGGGATGTATAAGTTTCCAAAATTGTGTGAACCAATTCTTTATAATTATTTTTTTTCTATAGATATATACATCTTATTGGTTTTGTTTCTGTGGGAAACCCAGACTATTATAGGCAACAGTCAGTATGTTACTTTAGAAATACTTGTAAGAATTTTGTCTTCATAAATCATTCTTCAAAATCTATATATACATTTTATTTTATCTTATGTATTGTGTATTCCACAATAAAAACACGAGACATACAAACAAAAGAAATAGTTGCCAATCTTTCTTGAAAAGTATACTTACAAATGCTCTCTCACCTTCTTTTCTTCTGGAGTCTCTTACACAATCTGCTTAAATTCTAGTACAGAAATGGCTAGCACATAATAAAATTCTTCCCTAGGAGTTAAACTTTTAATTTTCATCACATATTTTACTTTTCTTTGTTTCAGAATATTCATTTATTTTTATCCGCAGTAATCTAGGTAGTGAGCTTTAGTTCTCATAAAACATTGGTATGTAAATATTCGCCTTTTTGTGCCGAAGCTTTCTTCTTCTAAACAAACACAAGTGGCAAAAGAAAGGGAAACCATCAAGATACGTAGTTTAATTTTAGCTTAAGATAAGACGAAAGTTTCTGAGAGAAACATATCTCTGACATATTATTTCACTGGCAAATCCACCACATATCTGAAATCTCAGTGGGCTGATGGACTCTCATTACTACAGTGGTTTCAGAGCATCTTTAAACAATTTGCGATTTATGCAAATTTTTGTGTATAGTATATTTTTGGTCAGAAATTACATGGCTTCCATTATATTCTCAAAGTTATCTCAGAACCTTCACAATGAGCCACTATTTCAATGTTCTGGAAGTTCTAGTTATTCCATACTATTCTTAAATATGGTGTTTGAATTACTAATATAACATGACAAATCCTGTTATAATTTCTGTCCCTCAGAAGTGATCATAATGTAGTTTCTCTCTTGTAAGATATATTTATAAGTAAACTAGATTATATGTTTGACTTGAATATGGAAATGAATAGGAAGTATGAAGGACAGCCAATTTTGTATCAATTATATTGTTTCTTGGTTCACAGGATAGATGATGAAACACGCCGAATAACAAATGCTTCAAATTACTACACTATCTCTTTTTTACTTGACATATGTCATATGGCTGCCCAGAGTGCCACTTTACTTTCCAAAAGAATACTACAACACAAAAATAATTGCATCAGTAATTGGGAATATACATTACATCTACTTTGCTTTTTGAAAGTCAAAACATGGTTAAATTACACAAATATGTTAAAGGACCCTGTAAAGTATACATTTCTATCAAAATCAGAGTATGATAGCTCATTCTTCTGGTTTCTTAAATGTTTCTGCCTAGTGAATAGCATTTTCAGTATATAAACTGTAATAGTATGTACTTAACTCTAAATTCATAATGAAAAAAATTATTCCAGGTAGATGTCTATCGAACTTGTTTATTTTTCAAAGAGTTTACTCTTGGTTTCATTAATTATTTTTATGGATTTTTGCATCTGAATTATTTAAGTTCTCTAATTTTATTTTCTTCTGCTACCTTTGGGTTTTCTTTTTTCTTTTTTTCTAGTTCCTTTAGGTACAACGTTAAAATTGTAATTCATCAACTTCTTGATGAAGGCATTTAGGGCTATAAACTTACCTCCTAATACTACTTTAGCAGCATTCCAGAAATTTTGGTAAGTTGTGTCCCCATTTTCATTAATTTCAAATAATTTTTTATTTCTGCCTTAATTACAGTGTTCACCCAGGAGTTACTCAGGAGCAAGTTGTTTAATTTCCATGTATTTGTGTAGTTTTGCGAGATCTTGCTATTGATTTATGTTTTTATTGCACTGTAGTTTGAGAATGTGCTTGCTATGATTTCATTTTTTTTAAAATTTATCGAGACTTACTTCATGACTGAGTATGTGACTGTGTGCCGATGGGAAGAATATATATACTGCAGTTGCTGGAAGAGCGTCTTGTAGATGTCTGTTAGGTTCAGTTAATCAAGTGTCGAGTCTAATTCCTTAGTCCTTTGTTAGTTTTCTGCCTCAAAGATCTGTCTAAAGCTGCCAGTGGGGTGTTGAAGTCTTCCACTATTATCATGTGGTTGTCTAGGTCTTTTTGTACGCCAAGAAGAACTTGCTTTATTAATCTGGGTCCTCCAATTCTGGGCATGTATGTATTTAGGATAGTCTTGTGGATTATACCTCTTATCATTATGTTCCCCTTGAGAATTGAAACAAGGTAAGGATGCCAATTCTCACCACACCTATTAAACTTAGAACTGGAAGTCCTATCTAGAGTAATCAGGCAAGAGAAAGAAATGAAAGGCAGTAAAATAGGAAAAGAAGAACTCAAAGTATCTCTCTGTGCTGATAATGTGATTCTATACTTAGAAAACTGTATAGACTCTGCCCAAGGCTACTAGAACTGATAAAAAAAATTTAGCGAGGTTTCAGGATACAAAATAAATGTACAAAAATCAGTAGCATTTGTATATACAAATAAAGTCTAGGCTGAGAGTCAAATCAAGAGCACAATTTCAATTACAATAGCCAGAAAGACAGTGAAATACCTATGAAGACATTTAAACAAGCAGGTGAAAGATCTCTACAAGGAGGACTGCAAAACACTGCTGAAATAAATTAGAAATGATGAAAATAAATTCAGAAACATTCCATGCTCATAGATCAGAAGAATCAATATTGTTAAAATGGCCACAATCCCCAAAGCAATTTATAGATTCAATTCTATTCTTACCAAACTACAAATGTCATTCTTTACAGAACTAGAAAAAAGCTATTCTAAAATTCATATGGAACCAAGAAAAACCCCCAATAGCCAAAGCAATCCTAAGCAAAAAGATCAAAGCCAGAGGCATCACACCACCAGTCTTCAAATTACACTATAAGTCTACAGTAACCAAAACAGCATGGTACAAGTACAAAAGCAGACACATAGACCAATGGAGCAGAATAGAAAACTCATAAATAAAACTGATCACCTAGAACCATCTGATCTTTGACAAGAATGACAAAAATAAGTAATAGGGAAAGAACTCTCAATTCAATAAATAGTGCTGAGATAACTGGATAATTCTATGTATAAGAATGAAACTACTCCCTTTCCTTTCACCATATACAAAAATTAACTCGAGATGGATTAAAAATTTAAAGGTAAGACCACAAGCTATAAAGATCCTAGAAGAAAACTTAGGACATACTTTTCCTGACATTGACCTTGACAAATAATTTTTGGCTAAGTCCCCAAAAGCAATTACAACAACAACAACAAAAATGACAAGTGGGTCATAATTTAACTCTACAGCCCCTGCACAGCAAGGGAATTACCAACAGAAAAAACAGACAAGCTACTGAATGGAAGAAAATATTTGCAAACTATGATTCCGACAAAGGTCTAATATTTAGAATCTACCAGGAACTTAAACAAATAAAAAGCAAAAAACAAATAACCCTATTTAAAAATTAGCAAAGAATATGAACAGATACTTCTCAAAATAAGACATATAAGTGGCCAACAAACATGAAAAATGTTCATCAGTAATAATCACTGGAGAAATGCAAATTAAAATCACAATGAGATAATATCTCAAGCCAGTCAAATGGCTATTTCTAAA
The DNA here is from genome assembly GCF_000001405.40 of Homo sapiens. NCBI lineage: Eukaryota > Metazoa > Chordata > Mammalia > Primates > Hominidae > Homo > Homo sapiens. The sequence continues at coordinate 35,154,419 of NC_000002.12, forward strand.
AAGTAAAAAACAAACAAAAAAATTGATGCTTTTGAGGCTGCAGATAAAAGGGAATGCTTATATGCTGTTGGTGAAGTGTAAACTAGTTGAGCCACTGTGGAAAGCAGTTTGAAGTTATTTAAAAGAACTTAGAGTAGGGCTACCATCTGACCTAGCATTCCCATTCCAGGGTATACACCCAAACGAAAATAAATCATTATACCAAAAAGACAGACGCACTCATGTTTCCTCACTGCACGATTCACAGTAGCAAAGGCATGGAATCAATCTAGGTACTCGTCAATAATGGATTGGATAAAGAAAATGTTGTACATTATACCATGGAATACTACATAGCCATAAGAAAGAATGAAATCACGTCTTTTGCAGCAGCATGGATGGAGCTGGAGGTCATAATCTCAAGTGAACTAAAGCAGGGACAGAAAACAATATACTGCATGTTCTCATTTGTAAGTGGGAGCTAATCACTGAGCACACATGGACATACACATGGGAACAACAGATACTGCAGACTACTGGAGAAAAGAGGAAGGTAGGAGGGATGTGGGCTGAAAAACTACCTATGGGGTATTATGCTCACCACATGGGTGCAAGATACCCATGTAACAAAGCTGCACATGTGTCCCCTGTATGTAAAATAAAAGTTTAAATGTTTTTAAAAATAAAATAATATTAAGTCATATGTTTCAATGTTGTATGTTTATTGATATGTACACAAAAACATGCATACATACATACAGCTTCAGACGAAGGAAGAGCCAATGTTTCAGTTTGAGTCTGAAGGCAGAATAAAACCTGTGTCCTAGATTGAAAGGCAGTCAGGCAGAAGGATTTTCTTCTTACTCTAGGAAGTCAGTCTTTTTGCTCTATTCAGGCCTTCAAATAATTGTAGGCGGTGTGCCTACATCAGGGAACGCAATCTGTGATACTGGGTCTACTATGTTAATCTCATCCAAAAACATCCTCAACAGACACATCCACATAACGTTTGACCAGTTATCTGGGAATCCTATGTCCAGGCAAGTGGACGCATAAAATTAACCATAATATTGCCAATAACTTAAAGTCTCCCTGTGTGCTCCTTCATGATCATATGCCGCTGTCTAACCCTGAAGGAAAAAAAATAAGATTTTTTAAAAAATTGCCTGTTTATTAACTTTTCAGAATAATTCTGCATTCTTCCATTAGTTTATTGACTCAATATTATATTTGTAAATCACATACATATTGATTCTTGAAGATGTAGTTAATTCATTTTCTTTTGCATAATGAAATATAGTAGTGTAATGGAGTATAGTACTCCATCGCATTTAGGTACCACCTTTCACTTAACAATTCTGCTCTTGATAGACATTTGAAACATTTCCAGATGGGGGACATTATGAATAAATCTGTCTTCTATATTTCTTCTTATGCTTATAAAATTATAGGGCTTTAGGAGTATACTTACTGGGTCATGGGGTATATAAAACTTCAAATGGCATATAAGTTGTCCATATATGTGTGGCTCTTTTTCTAACCTCTATTGTGTTAGAGTGATGTATATGGCTCTTATTGTACAATTCTGCATTGTTTTTACCAAAGTATCTATATTCTCCTTAAATATTATTTTGGCTATTCTTAATTAGTTGCATTTTCATATACATTTCAGAACAGTGTTTAAAATCATATTGAAATTTTTTATTATTTAATTAAACACCTAAATTAGTTTAGATATAATTAATATTTTTAGTAGTGATGTATCTTATCCATAACCATGATAAAACTGTCCATTTATTTATGATTGTCACAAAATTCTTATGCAAATATTGTTAAGTTTATTTCTTGGCATTTCAAAATTTTGGTGATTTTATACATTTTGTTATTTTTTATTTTACATTGGTTAATATTTATAAATCAATGATTTCTGCATACTTATTTTTATGAAATATATTTGACATATGAGATATGTATACTTATTTTTATGGAATACATTTTTATTATTGTAATCATTTAGCTGTTGAGTCCTAAGATTTCTTATGTGCTATAATCCTATTATCTACAAATAATAATTGTTTTCTTTTTTCACTCCGTAATCTATAGTTTTTTTCTTTTTACTTGCCTTACTTCATTGACTAGTAAGAAACTTCATTAACTCGATAACTCTAGTTATAATGTTGAAGAAATGTGATAGTAGGTTTAATTATCATGTTTAGTATTTCAAAAGAAAATTTATCAACATTGTGTGTTATACAGGATAATTGATAAAAATATTATAAAGTGTTTGTAGCAGCTGGGCTTGGAGAGTCGCCTTTCTGATGTAATAATAGCTAAGCCCCTAAGAATGTGCATTTCTATTTCATAACTGATTGCCTGTAGAGCATACCTGAAATGAATATCACATATTTACATAAAAACCTCTATGTTGAGCTTGTGCCATTGGTTTTACCAATCAAATACCCCCATTCTAGGGTCAAGGCATCTACAAAGAACTCTCTCAGTGGCGGGTCAAAATTTAAGAAAAGACTGAATTCTTGCTGAAGTTTCAGGAGTGCTACACTGCCATATAATGTCTAATTCTACCTCTGTTGATAGCATTTGATGTTATTTGAAAGCAGCATATCTTCCCTGGATCAATTATAATTGTTTTTGTATTATACTTGCCTGCATATCCCTAAATCCAGATTTCCAGGATTCAAGCAATACCTTGAGCTACCTGATACAATTGTATTAATTTGGTCTTTTTCTTAAATGATGAAAGCTAATTTCTGTTATTTGTATCTAAGTGCCCTGACTGATATATCTTAGCACTTTCTACACCTAGATTGCTCCTTTCCTCCCTATTCCTCCTCTAATACTTCCATTTTTGTTTTGAATCTATACCACTTAGGACTTTTCTCTTGCTAGTGCTGTCTTTGCTGTGATTATCAATTTTACCTCCCTATTGACTTAGTATTGTCCCATCAGATCAAAAACATGCTTTCATTTAAAAAAATATTAAATCATGCCATCATATTTCTATCCAGCTACTTTCCTATTTCTCTGTTTAGCCTAATTACAAAGCTCTTCCAACTTCTGTACCTGCTGCATTCACTTAGTCATCTCCCAATTGCTCTGCAACCAGCTCGAATCAAACTTTTATATCCACAATTTTATTGAATCTCTCTTCAAGGTCACCCATGATTACCCTATGCCAAAGCCAATAAAAAATGTCCTGTTCTTTCCTAGGAAATCTATCAGTAGCATATAATATAATTGTCACTCTTTTTTTGAAATGATTTCTTTCATTCATTTCAATAACAACAAATCTTCCTACTTCAGTGGTCATTTTTGTTTTGTCTTTTGTTCAGTTCTTCTCTTCTACCAAACTGCTAAATGTTGTACTTTCTTTCCCTGGTATGACCTTCCCCATATATTTCTGCAAGGATACCTTCTTTTTATCCTTCATTTCTAGTATCATGTGTTACCATCCAACATCACTCTCTACAATATTTCTCAACTTTATTTTCGTCACATAACTTAATACAATCAGTCACGTTTTAATTTTAAATTGTATATAAGTATATTTTCTATCTCATTATTCTAGAAGTAATTGCCTCAGAGGGCAGGAGCTTTGATGGCATTATTGTTTGTATCCTCATATATAGATAAACTGTTGGCACACAAGAAACACTGTCTATATATTGGGTCAATATCGACAGTCAAGTTCTGTGCCAGCTCTTTATAATTAATTCATTCTATTTCCATTTGCGCACATGGAAGAATGAAAATAAAACTGAATGAAAACTTAGCTATCATCTTTTCAGTAGAACTGAATATCTCATACAATTTTCTTCCTGCACTAGAATAATAAATTATGCTTATATCACATCTATATTCCTCTAAGCATTTAGTTTACAGAGTCAAGTAATTTTGGAAATTATGCATAATGTACAATCCTCTTAAACAGTCCCTATTTAGATACATATATTAAAGTATATGAAAATATTTAAATGAAAAATCTTGTTTAATTATTTTCCTTTAGATTATCTTAATGTTTTATTTAGTATTTGATTTTAATATTTATTATTTTTTAAGAAGTTTTAGGGGTTAAAAATATATATATCACCTTTCACAGACTACTAAGTCTTAATATTATGCCATGTCAAGTAAAATGTAGAAGACTTAAAACCGTATCTCCCTTTATTTTCCCCTTTTATGTTATAATTTTCTATGTATTATATTTATAATCACTGAAGTTCTGCCACACAATGTTATATCTTGTGCTTTCGGCAGTTTATATTTTTTAAAAATTAAAAGAAAAGCTGTTGATTAACCCAGATTTTACTACTTTTTACTGGTTTATGTTCCTCTTGAAGTTCTAAGTTTCCCTGTGGTAGCATTTCACTTCAGCATAAAGAACTTGCTTTAGCATTTCTTCTATAGCATGTTTGCTGTTGAAAATTTTTCATACTTTTCCTTTATTTAAGAATGTATTTATTTTGCCTCATTCCTGAAGAGTATTTTTGCCAGATTTAGAATTCTAGGTTGACAGTGCTTTCCTTTTCATTACTTTATAGAAGTTCCACTGTCTGCTTGCCTCCATGGTTACTAATGAAAAAATCATAATTACTTGTATTTTTATTTCATGGCATATAATATGTAATTTTTATCTGACTACTTTCAATATTTTGCTTTGGTTTTCAGGCTTTCATAGTACTTTTCTGACCACGGTTTTCTGGAGTTTTTTCGTATGGAGTTTGTAAGCTTCCTGACATGGTAAGTTTATATTTTTCATAAAATTTTAGAATTTTTAGTCATTATTTCCTCATATAAATTTTCTGAATCACCTCAATGTCCTTTCCTTCTGGGACTCCATAGTTATGTTTGTTAGGCCTTTTTAATATTGTCCACAGGTCCAAGACTCGGTTTTATTTGCCTTTTCATTATTATTATTATTTGTAATCTTCATTCTCTGTGCTTTCGATGAAATAATTTCTGCTTCTCTATCCTAAAGCCACGTCTCTCCTCTGTCTTCTTTATTGTGTTATTAGGGGTATCCAGTGAAATTTTTATGTCCAATGTTGTACATTTTATGTCAAAACTAGCATTTGGTTCTTTTAAAGTTTCTGTGTCTCTTTGAGAATGTCTATCTCTTCATCTATTTCAGGATTATAACTGTACTTGATGGAGCACAGTTATAATAGCTGCTTTAGAGTCCTTGATAATTCCCACATCTGAGTCATCTCAAGGTTGGTTTCAATTAACTTTGAGAAATGGCTACTTTTCCCTTTCCCTCTTCTCACATTGTCCTAATTCTTTGTGTGTTAATAACTTTAGGTGGTATCTCAAACATTTTGAATACTAAATTGTGAGATTCTAGGTCTTGTTAAAAATCTCTGAAGAATACTAACTTTTTGTTTCATTCTGTTTAGTCTTGTTTTAGCAGACAATTAATCCAGGTGGTTTTAGACCACAGTTTTGTCTTCTTTCTGTGGACAGCAGTACTAGCACCAATTCAGTTTTCAAAACCTATTCTGCGCTAATTTAGGTTTGCTCCATGCACGTAGCACTGTTGGGACTTTGAGCAGTGGTTTATATGATTGTTTATTTTTCATGTATTTGCTATGCTGATGTAGTTATAGCCTGCAAGTGTTGGACATATCCTGAGCATGAGAGCTTGGCCATTTCATACACAGATTTAGGGGATGTTTTATCTTCAGTTCTCTTTTATAAGGAACACTCTTCATACTCTGTCTTATGAGGTCCCTTTACCTCTTCTCTCACAACAAACTGTGGGTTTTTCTTGGAGCTTCAGTTTTCTATGCTGCTATGGCAGCTGCAACTTCAAAATGCTTACCTGCCTCTAGGGCCAAACTATAAGAGAATAAAAAAGAAAAAAATGAAAACAGGCAGATTTTCCCATATTTACCTTCTTCCAAGTACTCCCTTTCTTCACCTTCTGTACAAAAAGAAAAGCTTCTCTTGGAGTTTTTGCTTCCATTGAAGCTGCCTTCTGCTTGTTGCATGGTTATATCAGGGAGTTAAAATAGGACCAAAACAACGACAACAAATAAAAACTGGGAAACACAATCATATGAGTCACCTCTTCAGATTTTTCTGGTTTGGCTTACTTTTTGAAATCCTCTCAAAATTGCTTTTTGTATATGCCCGCAGTTCTAGTTATAATCTTTTTCCAATAGTGGGTCATAAGACCCTCATTTCCAAGGAGCTCTTCCCCATACATGGGAGGAAGGAATGCTACAGACAGGTCCAGAAGGATCTGAACAGAAAGGCATTGTTGGGTTTACCCCTCTGTCCACTAGCATTAGATCAGACCCTTTGTGTCCAAACATATTTCTGCATGGCTATCCATTCTTCACTGAATCTAAGCATAAAAATAAATAGTTTTTCCGGTATCTTTGGGTCTTCATTCTGAAGGCTGCTATAAACTTTTGATTAAATGAATCTATTACGATTTTGATTAAATAAATCAAAACTTTTGATTAAGTACATTATGCTTTTCATTTGTCTTTTGTTAATAGGAGTGTCAGACATGACTCTTACAGTGAGAAAATGTGTGATATCTGCCCTCCCTTAGAAGAAAGAAAGGCTGAAATTCGATAGGCAGCGATCTAGCTGCCAGAGAGATTTGACTGGCTCCAGGACTTAAGCTGGCCTAGGTGGGAAGATGGCCTCTGGCAACTCTAGAAGTTAGAAACCACCTAGATAGCCTGGAGACTTCAGCTGTCCCGAGTTAATAGGAAGGAAGTCTCTGTTTTCTTTTTTTCTGAATACTTTCCCCCCACCCTCGACCTTGATTCAATTAAATGTGAAACAGAGAAAACAATACTGCTTACTCAGGGTTGTTTTGAAGATTAACTGAGTTTCTACAGTGATAAAAGAGTGACTGACACATATCAAGCTTGCAATAAATGAAATTCTGAAATATTTTTTGTGTAAGCAGTTTCAGAGAAACATAAATGGTAATACAAGTTTATAGATATATATTATTTGTGAAAGAGAGCCTGCAAATATTACTATGAAGCTTATTGACACCAAAGACTTCAAATTAGGTTTCCTAAGAATAGGTTTGGGTATTATTTTAAGGGTAGACTTAAAATAATATAAGAAAATATCAACAACAATACACGGCATGGATTTTCAAATAAGTAGGTACTCAACAATACTAAAACAGATAAAAAATAGTAACCTGAACATTGGACTCTTTATGGTCCATGAAGTGTTGATCTGGGTAGTTTTTATTTTCTTTCTTAAATAACATTTAATTAAATGTAAATACAAGTGAACAATTTTGCATGAAACAATTTCTTTTTATATGTTGAAAAATCTGAAGATCTGGCAACTCGGGGGCTGCATTCTTAGATGGCTCCAATTTGAATGGGTTGTGTCAGTAGCCTCCTTGAGATGGAGCTTCAGTCTCCAAATCTGCAATTAGTTACAGTCCTACTGCTTGCTGTTGTTTCCACTACACTGAACATGGGTGTGAGTTTCCTTTTATCATCAAGTCTTTTTTTTTTTTTTTTTTGAGACGGAGTCTTGCTCTGTCACCCAGGCTGGAGTGCAGTGGCGCTATCTCGGCTCACTGCAAGCTCCACCTCCCGGGTTCACGCCATTCTCCTGCCTCAGCCTCCCCAGTAGCTGGGACCACAGGTGCCCGCCACCGCACCCGGCTAATTTTTTGTTTTTTTTTTTAGTAGAGACGGGGTTTCACCATGTTAGGCAGGATGGTCTCTATCTTCTGACCTCGTGATCCACCCGCCTCTGCCTCCCAAAGTGCTGGGATTACAGGCCTGAGCCACCGCGCCCGGCCCATCAAGTCTTTATTCTTACTTATTTGTTCAAACACTACGGTTGAGAGAAAAATTATACACATACACACATACCCGCGCCCCCACCACACACACAGAGACTGACACAAAGGATTTCAGTTGTGAAACTACAACACTAAGAAAGAAAAATAACTAAATCTCTGTTAAATTTCTTGGCCTCCTACTTGATTTAGTCAGAAAGCCTCTATACAATTCTAAGCCAACACTAATTAATAGGCCATTGCTTTTCAAAGTTTAATGTGGATGTGAATCCCCTAAGGATCTTAAGAAAATGCAAATCTTCACTCAGTAGGACTGGAGTGGGCCTGGGACACTGCAATCCCAATCGGTTCCTGAATGATGCTAATACTAGGATCTGAAAGGTCCACACTGAGTAGCAAGGAGTGTCCTGTAAGGTCTAACTCAAGCACTAGAGTGTTGTTGAAAATAAACCAATTGATAAAACTTTCTATTTCATGAGGAGCTCTGTAAGGCAATCTTCTTTTTTTCTAAAGGATAATTTTGGATACAAGAAAAATCTTTTTCTAATTATTTCTACAAATGTAGTTATTTTTGGCAGATTTTGATGGATGTACATTGATGGATAGCCACGTGGATCCAGAAAATAAAGGTAAGTATGTACCAGAGTGAATCAAGAAAGTCCTAAGATTTGATATGTCAGTCCAGGATTCTCCAACTAGCTTTTCTGTTTCCAACTGAAGACTTCTACTCTGCATTTGACTAAAGCAGAAGATATGCAAGGAAGCTCAGTCTCTCAATTGAGTGGATTCTGAAATTTATCCTGTTGTCTTCAGCTACTAAGGCTAATTTGCAAATCACACTGTGCACGGGTAAGCATAAACTGTAAGCATATATATTAATCTTCATTTTTTTAAATTGTAATCATTCACATATAAGCCTGGTCCACACTTAATTTCTTTCTTGGCTTCATTATTTTTTTTCTGTCAAACATTTTAAATTGCTGTGTTCCAGGTACTTAATATATATATGAGAGTAAGATGTGATGTTTATTCTCTGACATCTCATAGCCTGGTTTCCAGGTACTGGTCCAGCTCTGTTAGCCTCCTGCCTGGAGACAGTAATTTCGTTTCAACTTCACCGGTCCTTTTCCAAGGAACAGGGACCAGGGAGACCCAGGGACCAATCTCTTGGGCCTCAACTTTCTGAGACTTTATTGTATCTAATATGGACCCTTTTGAACATTAAAACTCTTCCCTTGAATATTTTCACCACTTGGATAGAGACCTATGTTTCCATTTACTACCTCCAGATTTGGGATAGAATTCCTGACCCAAATGTGATTCATATTTTAATATCAGATCTGTTTGGAATCTCTATTTTGGGCCAATAGTACCCTCCTCATGTATAAGCCTCAAAGAGCAATTACACTTGGCCTTTACTATTTCTGGACTCTCTATCTCCAAGTATCTCTATCACAGCTCAGCCACATTAATATGAAAGCATAAAGTGGCATGATAAACCAACCCTTTTTAATGTTTTCTCATTCCTGGATGCTGTGTCATTGTCAATTGTAACAATACTCTTTTTTCTTTCTTTTCTTTTCTTTCCAGTTTTATCTCTCCCAATAAATACAATATTCTACATCCTCTGTTGTACTCAGAATTTGGAAATTAACCCCAGTATGCTGATTAATAGTCATAACTATATCTAGATAACAAAATATGCATATATATGAAGGAGGCAGACAATAGGGGAGGGCAGGTTGAAAGTTTTTTTTATCCTAATTTCTTGAAACTCTTCTTACATGAGTCCCCTGACTACTCTTACATATGCATCATTTTCTCTCTCGTGATCACATATGCTTTAAAATATGTAAAATTTATATGAATATATTTTATGCCTGGCTGCATTTTAATACCTTCCGTCAAGGGTTCCAGGGTGAAATAGGAGCACTTAGGAAGCACTGCAATGAATTTACTGCTTATTCAGCATATTGATAGAGTCTTCTCTAAAACAACAAAAAGTGTTGACAGCAAACTGAAGATCTTAAAGGTAAGACAGACTGATCATACTTTAGTTGTTTATAAAGCTAAACTTATACATATTCACACTCAGGTTTTGAGGAAATGAATTCTTATATAGAGTATTTTCTTACCCAGAGTTTACTGTTCCTCGAGTTAAAAAAAATTAAAGAATGAAAATGAGTCTTCGTCATTTTATTCCTTTCTTTTTCCCCATCAACCTTTACATTATTTTCTAATATTTTTCTGAACTTTCTGGCCAATAATCAAGATTTTGAAAAGAATAGGTTGTTTCAATGTCAGTTAGTTCCTTACTAAAGCTTTATTACAACTTTTTTTCTCACTTGTCTATTTCCTTGAGCAAACATGACATGAAGCATTTTCACAAGAGCCTGTTCCCAGAGAAATTAAAGTCAGTGAAAGGCCAGATCACATGGTAACAGATTTAGAAGGAAGGATGAATGATGCATTTCTTAACGGTAACAGAGAAATCAAGTTACATGCACTTATTTCTTTTACTTTTGCAGACCATAAAAATGCAGTTTTTTTATACAACAGCATGTAAAATAATCTTTAATCCAGTATTCTGATTTGTTTTAGGTAATATGTATTAACTAATAGTTTTCGGTTGTTAGTTTATTTTTTTCTGTTCTGAGAAACATAAATGGCATAAATTTGAATGTGAAATAATCAGGTATGAATAATTAAATGATTAAATCATTGGAGTCTAAAGTTCAAACAGAAATAAGAAAATTAGATTATGTGGATAAATATTGACCAGATAAACAAAGAACCTCATTATTTCTTAGTAATGATGGTCTTCCTTCCACAAATGTCAACATCACCTTATAGTCACTCAGATGTGAAACTTAAAGTCTCCTTGATTCAGCTAAATGATACATTCCTTCTGGTACAGTCGATTCACCTAATGAAATATTTTTCCACTTCATCTTACCCTTTGCACTGATCCTGACACAACTCAATCTAGGTACAACCTTTGCACATGACCAACTGGTTTTCTTACTTTCCAGCCTTTTCTCCATCCATCCAGTCTATAATCAGTTTTATGTTCTCAAAACATATGTGTCATAAGTGTTCTTCCATGTTCACAAACCTTCAGTATTTCCAAAAATTTATAAGAGTGGTTCAGCATCTGTATATTATATAAACATCACCTGGGCATTTGATTTAAATGCAGGTATTAAATACCTAGAAACAACTCTAGATACTCTGTTTGAAAAGATTGTCTGGCCAATATTGCTTCTTAAATATTACTCCAGGGTGATTAGAAAGCCGGTGGTCCAAAGTTTCACAAGTGTTATTCTACAGAATAAAGTTTAGTCATTGCCTTCCACAAGTAAAGGCACAATGGACCTTGCTAACTATATCTCTTACCCAACGAAGCAAGTTCTTTACTTTAGCTAAGATTCATATTGATTCTCTTTTCATATCCCCTTTTTCATTATTGCCTTCTCCCACTTATGAAGAAAAGTATGAGTCTTAGTCATCATCAGTCTTTTATAGTGCATTGAGGCGCAAATAAAAAGACGAAGTTATATATCATTATCTGAGATACCTCCTTTAACAAAGACACCATCCTTTTGGGAGGGCTTTATGACGTTCACTGGCTTGTATGTGTGTCTGCATAGTGTAAGGCACGATATATGGAATGGAATTTGTGTTATCCAGTTAGTGTTTTGAAATCAAATTAAGATATAGAGTACTTTAGAGTGACTATTAGGAACACTGACAGTTTTATTTGTATAAGTTTAAAAATAGTATTTTCCAACAATTGTAGAAAAATAGATGATTTCTGACAGAGAGCCTCAAAGTTGCTGGAAACCTGATCCATCTCTTTCTCCCTCTCCCTCTCTCTCTCTCTCTATATATATAATGAAGTTTATAAATATAAACTTATGTTGTATATGAATTATATATGTAAACATGATATATATTTATCATTTTTGTGTATATAATATATAGATATTTATAAATTTGTATGATATATAAACTTTGCATTAAAGGTCTTCCTTTTTTGTTAACATCTACAAAATAAATAAAGTGGTACTCTTAAAAGCAAGATATTCAACCAAAGTATTAGAAATTTCTAAATATTTTCAATGTTATAGAGGGAAATGAAATATTATTCAGCCTTAAAAAAGAAGGAGATTCTACTATTTGAAACAACATGGATGAATGTGGAGGATGTTACTTAGTGAAATAATTCAGTCACAGAAGCGCAGATCCTGGAGGATTCCTCTTATGTGAGACATCTAGAAGTAGACAATAGATTGGTGATTACCAGGGAGTGAAGAAAGGGGGATAAGTTTAATCCTGTTCAATGGGTATGAAGTTAGTTATAAAAGGTATGTAAATTCCAGTGATTTGCTGTACAACATATCACCTATAGTTAACAATAAAGTATTGTACATTTAAAAATTGTTAAAAGGGTACATCTTATGTTTAATGTTCTTACCACAAACAAAGAGAGACACAAGGAAACTTTTGGAGGGGATGGATATATTTATACTTTGCAGTGGTGGTAAAGTGGATACCCATGTTCAAACTTAGTAAATTGTATACATTAATTATGTTCAGTTTGTATCATAATTTTATTTCAATAAAGCTGAAAAAGCACTGCTTTGTATTTTTATTTTAAACATTTATTCATATACATGTCTATTATTTATTTTAAATGTTACTCATATTCATTTTTACCTATTATGCTCTGTTGCCACAGTGAAATTGTAATCTATTGCTGGATATGGATTTTCTTTCACATTTAGGTATTTTCTCTGATACTAAAAATGTGTATTCAATAGATTATTGTTAAATTATAACAAATATTGAATTTATTTCTAAAAGCACAATATAACTCAACTTTATTTACATAGAAGACATACTGAAAATAGATACAAACTGAAAAAAAAAGTTGCTTTCTCCAAGTATTTTAATAATTTTAACAACACTCAGAGAAAAGTCACACTTCCCTGACAGTGATAACTAAATTTTGAAATAAAATTCCAGTCAAGCAAGTATTAACTTTTTTCTAGCAATTTTACATTAAAACTATAGAAAGACTTTCAGAATCAAGAGTACTATGAAACAGGAAGCCTGATTTTCTATCTTAGCTATATCACTTGTTTTCTGTGACCTTAAAACAATTTCTATTCATCTTTTCCTGAACTAAAAAAAAAATGTAAACTTTTACGACTAATTCATCAGATATTTCTTAGGTTAAAATCCAAACAGAAAGTATTTTCACATTAAAGACTTCTGTTATTACAGTGTGGACCAGAGCACACAGAACATGAAAGCAAGTCAATTCCCTAGGCATCTTTAGAAATGTTCTTTTCTTAGAGAGAAAAATTGGAAAACAAATGGATTCAAAAATCTATCTTCAAAATACAGAGTTGGGAAAGGAATCTTATCCATTTCTTCTCATTGTCAAGAAATGACTGCATTAGAGTTCCAAATATATGTAGTACAAAATAATATAATTATGGATGTCTTCACATTTGATGTTGTGACACACCTGATAAGGCCAGTGCACTTGACGTAAAGGCTGACGATTGCTCAATGAGCAGATATGCCACACTTCTATATATTCTGGCAGCTTCTATTACAGTCTGGAGTCAACTCAGGACAACTCTTCATGACTCTATGTCAAGTTGTATTCAAAAACATGTCAACTCTAATGTTCCATCATTTAGACATTTGTAATCGTTCTGGTTAATTACTATTGGAACTGACATCCCATTTTCACTCTACTGCCACATAACCAAGCAAGCTCGATCAACCTCAAATTCATCGCAGCATGGCAACAGAAAGATTTGTTCCCACATGTTCAATTATCATTTCCTTATTTCTCAATGAGAAATTATATTTTCCTATAAATTGCCAACAGTATCTATCAAAAGTCAAGCAATTACATATTTCTGATGGCAATAGAAGCAGAGAGAAAACTTAACAACTTGGATGTTATCCATACTAAGTTTAGGATCTTTTCCCCTCTTCACACAGCTTGGTAGAATTCTTCTAACAAAGACCAAAACTGAAACTTCAGTACATATATTAGATTGGTTCAATATCCAATATCAATATTGAACACTAGTATCAAATCAGATTTTACAATAATATTTTCCTTAGCAATAATTACCAAGGTGGTAATTATAATATTTGGAAGGTTGAATAAGGGAGATTTCTCATTATCTAATATTTTTATATTCAATAATAACATGTTTCTATTCTGAGGAAGATTATTTTTGGGGAGAATTTCTGAATAATAAAGATAAATATTTTCAAGACAGGTGCCAATCAACCCAACTGAAATGTCACAAATTTTCAACAGCAGAGGGCAATCTTCTCTAGCAAAAGTATATGTAGGGTAAAAATCTCTGGCTGTAGATTCTTCACTGATAATATATTTTTGTCTAATTTCTCCCTCTAAAGTAAATAAATAAATATATAAATATATGGGTATATATAATATATGTATTTTAAGGCTATAGATTATACACTAATCTTTTGTGTTTGAACATTTATTATTGTTACTATTATTTTGAATGAAGTGTTCAACAGTAAGCAATAAGGGGCAGGATGAGATCTGTTATCAAATCTTCTTAAGGGTAATGCACCATTTAATGAAGGTTTTATGGACGGGAAACAATGTGCATCACCTAGAAGAAAAACATTACAAAGGACTTGGTACCACCAGTACATTCTGTATTCTGCCATAGACTTACTTATTTAAATTGAAATGAAAGCTGATCCACTATAACCAGAAGGTAACTGACAATCTGATAAAAACAAATTCACTAAGTAATTGCCTGCTACTAATAGCAAGCATCTGTCTTTAGTATAACTTGACCGTTATTTTTGAAAGTCAAAGTGATGTATGCATCAATAGGAAAAGTTATACAGCAAGGAAAATGGTTGGGAATTCAGGTTGAACCTATTGATCCATAGGAGGAAGATTTCAGCCAGTAACCCTAGCCAAAATCAAGTTCTTTTTGGTAGCTTTTCAGTGATTAAGAGTAAATTTGCTGTAGTGCAACTCCATTTACTAAATCATGTGGAAGCTACTACTTTTATTGTCTTTATTAGAATTTTATCTAATGCCTTAACAATATAGTAACACTCTCTTTCTGACCGTTAATGGGCTAATATACCAGACAGATATATAAAATATCAAGTATCAAAATATTTTAATTTGTATTGATTCATATTTTTCTCCAATGTTTAAAATTGATGTTAGGAAACTGAAAAATTGAGTCTCTGTTTATAACTCAGGAAGGAAAACACTCAAAGGAAAGAGCAACCCTGGTTTGAAGGGAGGCAGAAGGGTGATTGAGTGTACATAGCTTCTTAAACCTGCAGAAGGATGTTAGAGTTAAGGGTCTGTAGTATTTTTGCCACAGTCATGGATTGCCTTTTGGTGTCTCAGGGTAGCTCAACCCAGCACTGAAAGTAGTAGAGATCCACAGCAACTAGCTGTAGTGATTTCCATGAATCCCTGAAGTTAGCCTCTCATCACAGAAAAAGGCATTTCTCAGGCACTCCTTAGAGGTTGGTTAATGGAGTCTAAGGATAAAGGAAGACACTTCTTAGAAACTGGCAAGTGAGGAAAAAGACATCATAATGGGTACATCTCTGGGTGGAACATTTAGAATCGCTCTCGAGCCAAAAAGAAAGACTAGACTTTCTCTGGATTAGTAATTCTAATAGTGACAGGTTTTTTTGGTCAAATAAAAACATTCCAATTTAGAGGAATAAGCCAAAGTATGTTTCTTTTATGTATTACATTTTATAGAGGCAAAATCCATTTTAATTATAAGCTAAGTTTATGTAAATATAATTTCCCACTCTCTGTAAATGTAGTAAATATTATAGAAGAAAATTGTTCCATATAATTATATATAAAGGTATAAAATATAACATTATTATCAATTTATATTGTTTATTAGAATGTGTGTGTCCCACCCCTGCAGTACTTCAGCATTCTGAGGTAACAAGACAGTTGGCTTACTGCATCTTAGAAAGGCTTATTGATTTTGTTATTGCTACAACTATCATGGAAGCAGAGGCAGCAATTTCTCAAGCCTAGTTCCAAAAGGATTAAACCTGACAAAGATTTATGTAAGTCAAAATCTTTGTATTCTATTGCAACCATATAACATCATCTTCTTCAGTTTTACCTTCCTCGCATGACCCTAACAGAAACAAATGAGACTAGAAGAAATATTAGGAGGCATCTGAAGAAATAAAAGGAGACATGCTTACCTTTCCACTTTGACTCCAAAACTAGGAAATAATTTTCTTGTTTAAAACCTCATATAGCAATTGATTGCTTTTATGGGTTCTTGGCATACAAAATAATGCCAAGATATTATTGCTTTTTCAAAAGAAAGGCTGATATTTGAGTTTTCATCTATGGCCTGTATTGGGAGAGCAGATACATATTAATATTCAGCTTAAAATATGAAACACAGGTTAAGGGAAATTTATTTTTATGGCAAAAGAAAATGTAGATTATCTGACCCAAAATATCTATCACTGATACTGTATGACTGTCCCATCATTGTATTTTGGGAAGAGCTAACTTGTATTTTGAGTTTCATAGGTTCACAAATTGGGTCCCAGGATGGGTCAGATCCAAAATCTCACTCACACCTGACATATCTGATTTAGATAATTTAGATAATGAGATGTGAGGCCGTTTAGCTGATAAAATTTAGACGAGATTTTAGATTTAAGTTGTAATGATTGAGACTTTTGGAAACCTTGGGCTAGGATGAATATATTTTGCATGTGGAATTGACATGAATCTTTGGGGGCCAGAGGGCAGACTATGGTTGGCAGAATATCAATAATATCCCCAATAATACCATTGTTTGAATCCCAAATATCTGGAAATGTGTTTCTTACACATTTAATGTGTAATCATAATATAGTTTATAGTTTGCAAATATAATATAGTTTGCAAATATGATTAGGTTAAGGAACTTGAGTTGGGGAGCTTATTCTGGATTATTTTAGTGGTCTCAGTCTAATAACATGATACCTTAAATTCAAAGACTTTTTCCTGGCTGGAGTCAGAGGGAGATATGATTATGGAAGAATAGTCAGAGAAATTCAGTGTTGCTCGCTTTAAAAATGGAAGACGGGCATCCTGAGTCAAAGATTATGGGTGGCTTCTAGAAGCTAGAAAAGTCAAGGAAGTGGATTCTCCCCTGGAGCCTCCAGAAAAGAATGCATTCCTGCTGACACCATGTAATCCACCCCAGACATTTAACACACACAACTCTAAAATAATACATTTGTATTGTTTTAAGCCTCAAATTGAGGGTAATTTGTCACAGCAGCAATTAAAAGTAAGACAGATTATAACCATATTAATTAGTTGTGGAGATTACATGTAAAATATATGCAGAGTACTTGCCATATATAGGCATTTTTTAGTGATCAACATTTCCTGACTAATCCCAATACATCTGTATCCTGTTCATTCCTAATTTCTTCAACAATATATAATTTTACCCTTCCCTGTACTCTACTTTATTTATATTTAATATTGAATAGACCGTAGCTTTTGTATTTAATTATATACTTGTTAATGACAGAGTTGAGGCTCATTTTTGTAACTCCTTTACCTTCTTCTATATTTTCATTGTTCATTCACTCAAATATTTGGCAGAAATATATTTTAGACTATAAAATCTATATAGTCTATTCTGTAGATTATTAAAATAGTCAATAAATCAGACTCTGTCATTCTGCATCCACTCATTCTTTATGATAAGCCTATCATTTGCTTTTTAATGAGTGTTTTCAGAGAAAAATCTGTTTAAAATTTTACTCCTATGCATTATTGCTGCCATTACTGGTTATTATTATTATTGCTGCTGCTTTTTTAGAATCAAAAAATAGTATTGGTTTTAGGCTTACTCTGCTTTAATTTTATATATTTACTTTTAAGAATAATGGCATTATTTTTCTTTGGAAAAAATATACATAGGCATTGTAAAATATTTAAAAA
This sequence comes from Homo sapiens, assembly GCF_000001405.40. Lineage (NCBI taxonomy): Eukaryota > Metazoa > Chordata > Mammalia > Primates > Hominidae > Homo > Homo sapiens. Next base: position 35,172,250 of record NC_000002.12, read on the forward strand.
TATAAAAATACAATGAACAAAGTTAAAAACATCCTTTTATACGTAATGAAGGAACATCCATCATTACTATTTGATGACTATTATTTCACATATCCTAAACAGAGAGAAATCAAGAAAAATAGATAAAATAATTTTATAATAGTGAGACAATAATACACATTTTATTTATAAAGTATATTAACATGAATATATATATTTAAAGTATAATTATAATAAGCATGTTCTAAATATTACATAACACTGCAAATAAGAGGATTGCTCAATTTGTTGGCTTTACTTTGGACTATTTACCTCCTCTGAATATATGTGAATTTGAAGTTCCCCAAGGATGTCTCTTAGATCTTTTCAGACTTGTTTGCTTATCTTGACTGCTCATTTCTGACAAGTAAAGGTGTGTAAAACAATTCTTCAGAATAAATCTACTCCTAATCTCCTCACCTTGCATTCAGTTATTAGAAAATTTATTTGTATAGGCAGAAAAAGTTAACAATGCTGAGATGGTATACCTGACGGTATTTTGTTTTTTGTGTGTGTGCTTCCAGAAACAACCTGTTCAGTGGCTGCTGATTAACTCCCCAAGATTGATGTACTGAAGAAGGATGACCTCCCCTTGACACCAATGCTACTAGTCAATAACGACCACTGTGACTCAGAACAAATTCTCTGGGGGCAGGCAGTGAAGCTTCTTCTCTTGTTGACCTTACCAGACCACAAGGCTGAAAATATTCTGTGGCCTGATGCCCTTAAATTGATCATATTAATACAATCAAGCAGAAAAGAAATTAATTTTCCCTCTCTCTCTCTGTCTATATATATACTTACTACTATATATATGTGTGTATATATATGCTATATATGTGTGTGTATATATATAGCAGTACATATAGATATAATTAGTATATATAGAAGTAGTAAATATATAAAAATATATTTGTATTCCTCTTCAGCTCCATACTTGAGATTAAAAAGTATCCTTTAAGAGTTCATACATCTAGACCTCTCTTCTGAAAAGAATAATAATCTCCTGTTTATCTATGCACTTATTTGCTAAATAAAGAAGAATATTGAGCACCCAAAATATGTCTGATATTATTGTAGACACTGTGATATTGGAGGAAAACAAAGAAACAAAGATACAAACATACTTACCTTCATGGAGATTTAGATTTCCTGAGTGTTTTTTGCTACAACACTGCAATTGCTGTCTGCATTGAACACTTAGAACAGGGTCATACAGGTGGTACCTTATATCAAGCTGATGAGTTTCCATAAGTGCCAAGCAAAGGGACAGAATGTCAGGGTTAGAGTCCCTGGGAAATAATCTAGAAAACTCTATTAGAAATAAACGCTGCCCCTCTATGGACCTATAACTCTCATAAAGTTTAACATTTACATGGGAGACACTAGCACTCTCCAAGCCTAAAATACCTTTCACTGGAAATGAGTGTTAAACAAAATCCAAAGTAATGATACATTAATCAATTTAAGTAAATAAGAAAGGTATATTTTATTACTATGGATAATATGGTAAATGATATATATTTAATTTTATTTTCCAGTCATTCATTTTTATCATATAGAAAGGCAATTCATTTTTATATTGACTTTGTATCCTGCAATATTGTTAATTTAGTCTAGTAAGTTTTTAAAAGGCATTTCTTAGAATTTCCGACACATGCAATTATGTTACAAGTAAAATAGTTTGCCTTATTCATTTTAATCTGTATTCATTTTCTTTTCTTTTCTTGCCTATGGTACTGGCTACGACCTCAAGTATCAACTGGTGTTAACAAACATCCCTGCCTTTTTCCAGTCTCTTATTATTTCACTGTTAAGTAGTCTGTTAGCTGTAGGTATCGATAGATTCCCTCTATGAAAATGAATACATTTTCTTCTACCCTAGTGTGTTAAGAACTTTTATTACTCATAAGTACCAAATTTTGTTGAATAATTGTTTTGCCTCCACTGACATAGTCATAGGGTTATATTTGCATTTCCTTGGTAACTAATGATGTTGAGTAACTTTTCATGTGCTTATTGTCCATATAGATATTTTTTGTGACGTGTCTGTTCAAGATGATTACCCTTTTTCATTTAACTGTTTGTTTTGATATTACTGAATTGTAAATGTTTTTTATATATTCTACATATAAGCCTTTTTATGATGTATATTTGTAAATAACTTCTCTCAATCATGACTTGTCCTTTCATTTTTATTAGCTGTTTTAAGAAAAAGTTTTTAATTTTGGTAAAATTTACCTTTTTTTTTTTTTTTCCAGACGGCGTCTCGCTGTGTTACCCAGGCTGGAGTGCAGTGGCGCGATCTCAGCTCACTGCAACCTCACCTCCCGGGTTCAAGTGATTCCTCTGCCTCAGCCTCCGGAGTAGCTGGGACTACAGGTGCGTGCCACCATGCCTGGCTCATTTTTTTTGTATTTTAGTAGAGACGGGGTTTCACCATGTTGGCCAGGATGGCCTCGATTTCCTGACCTTGTGATCCGCCCGCCTCGGCCTTCCAAAGCGCTGGGATTACAGTCATGAGCCACCGTGCCCGGCCAAATGTATCTATTTTTTAATAGTTTGTACTTGTTGTTCTCTATTTAAGAAATGTTGTTTGCCTATCTGAAAACCAAAAAAACAAACAAACAAACAAAAAAAAAACAAACTCACCTTGAATTGTAATAATCCCCAGGTGTCAAAGGCAGGGCCAGGTGGAGATAATTGAATCATAGAAGCGGTTTCCCCAATACTGTTCTCGTGGTAGTGAATAAGTCTCACGAGATCTGATAATTTTATAAATGGGAGTTCCCCTGCATAAGCTCTCTTGCCTGCCGCAAAGTAAGACAGGTATTTGCCTCTTCTTTGCCTTCCGCCGTGATTGTGAGGCCTCCCCAGCCATGTGGAACTGTGAGTTCATTAAAACTCTTTTCTTTATAAATTACCAGTCTCGTGTGTGTCCTTATAGCAGTGTGAGAATGAAGAAATACATTTTTTTCATATTTCACATATAATTTAACAATTTTAGTTAGTATAGATGAATAATTTATCTTGAGGTTTTTTAAATGCATGACTTAAGGAAAAGGTTGACATTTATCCTTCCTCCCAAAGAGGATATGCAGTTATCCCAACACCGCTTGTTGAAAAAGCTTCTTTTATCTTGTAAATTGTCTTCACCACTTTGCCAATAATTAATAGACCATGTAAATGTAGATCTATTTCTGGATTTTATTTTTTTCCATTTCCCTACTGGGCCAATGCCTTGTCTGGATTTGATTGTCTTGATGACTACACTTTGAAATGTCTTCTAAATTGTCCTGCTTTTCAAAGATTCTTCTGACTTTTCTAAATAATTTGCTAATATGTAAATTTTAAAATCAGCTTCTCAACCTCTCACAAAAAAGCCTACTAGAATTTTAATTGGGATTGAATTCCATCTACAAGTCAATTTGGACAGAACGGCCATTTTCAACAATAATGAATTTTTCAGTTCCCAAACATGATGTATTTACTCCATTTACTTTTTTTCTATTTCTCTTTGCAATGTTTTCTAGTTTTCCATTTACCAATTTTATACATTTGTTGTTTATTCCTAGTATATTTTTCTAGATACTAATAATAAACTTTTTTTTATCATTAGACTTCAGTGAAACTTTGTTTTTGAATGCTAATATTATATCTGAAAATCTTTGTACATTCATATATAAGAGCTGGTGGTTTTTGTGTAGATTTCTTAGGATTTTTCTATATAAACAGTTATACAGTCTGAATAAAACAGTTTTGTTTCTTTTGTTTCAATTGTTTGATATGACATTTCTTTTTCTTCTTCTATTTTCTTCCTTTTCTTTTTCTTTTTTTTTTTTTCTTTGAGATGGAGTAGTCTGTTTCTGTTGACCAGGCTGGAGTGCAGTGGTGCAATCTCGGCTCACTGCCACCTCTGCCTCCTGGGCTCCCAGGTTCAAACGATTCTCCTGCCTCATCCTCCCAAGTAGCTGGGATTACAGGTGTGTGCCATCATACCCGGCTAATTTTTGTATTTTTGGTGGAGACAGGGTTTCACCTTGTTGGCCAGGCTGGTCTCGAACTCCTGACCTCAGGTGATCTGTCTGCCTCAGCCTCCCAAAGTGCTAGGATTGTTGTACCCGGCGAGTTAAGAAGACACCACACTTTGAGACGAATTAAGAGTCCTTTATTAAGCCAGTGGCCAAATAGACGGCTAATGCTCAAAATTCTCTCGGCCACGAGGAAAGGGCTCGATTAACTTTTATACCTAGGTTTAGGAAGGGGAGGGGGACTCAAACGTAATAATTCTACAGAAGTAAAAACATGCAAGAATCAAAAGAATCAAAATGGTTACAGAGTGATAATTTAAAAGACAAATGGTTACAAGAAGAGCAAGGGTGCCACGTGCAAGGTTCTAAATCTTTTATTATAATTAGATATAGGGTCTATGCCGGACAGGAACTCAAGGTTTTATGTTGTTATCTCTTGGAGAAAATTCCTGGGAACTTAATACGTTGTTGGTGTTGGTACCTTATCAGTTAATTGGGCTCCTTTGAAATGCTGAGGATCTGTTTACCCAGGCCAACTCCTCACAAAAGGGGTTTGGGTGAGGAGCCCTAGTGTCTTGTAAATTAAGGGGTCAGTTGGAGTTTGTCCGGCTTTCCTAGCTAGAGAGAGTCTTATTTACATGAGAAGCAAGGCTAGGTGATTAAAGAGACAGGCAGGACAAAATTCAAAGTAACCAGTTAAAGTAAAAACACGGTTAGGCATTTCAGGATTACAAGCGTGAGCCACCACGCCCAGCCAACATTTCTTTTTTACCTTGCTTTATTGCACTGGCTAAGAATTATGATTAAATGCTGAATGAAAATAGAACAAACATTTTTGCATTTTTTCCCTGACTTGCAGGATTCAGATTTTAACACTAAGTATGATTATATAACGGTTTTATATTATAGATGCCCTTATCCACTGATAAATTAAAGTTTTCTTCAATTATTAGTATGCTGAGGTTTTTGTCATGAATAGATTTTGAATTACATCAAATATTTCTTGGGCATTCATTTACATATCACTTTATTAATATGGTTAAATATGGTAATTAATTTTCTAAAGTTAATAGAATATTTTCAATATTTGAAATACACCATATTTGGTCATGATGCATTATCTTTTTAAAGTAACTGCTGCAATTCATTTGTTAACATTTTATAAGGATTTTTTAAAAATCTGTTTTCATTTCTGTTGTCTTTGTTTGACATTGGTATCAGAGTAATGCTGACCTAACAAAATGAATTGGAAGATGTTTCCTCTAACTATATTTCCTAAAATCCTTTTGAGGCTGGTATTATTTGTTTATTAAATATTTGATAGAGTTTATCAGTGAAACAATCTGGGCCAGGACTTTTGTTTCCTAGTTGTTAGGAGATTTTTATTACAATTTAATTTATTTAAATGGCATAGATATTTAGATTTCTATTTGTTATCTCCTTTTGAGTCAGTTTTGGCACTGTGTATCTTTCCAGAATTTTTCTGTTTCATGTAGATTCTCAAATGTTTTGGTATAATTTATTCATAATATTCTCATATTATCCAGTCTTTTTCATGATCCTGTATTTTAAGATTTAACCCGCTGGATCTGTCATGACATTCTGTTGCATTACTTATATTGGTAATTTGTATTTTAGATTTTGTATTTTATCAGCCTAGTTACAGGCCAATTAATTATATTGATCTTTACTAATATTTAATTGCATTAACATTCTCTATTTTTTATTATATTCCTTTTTTTTTACTTTGGTTTAATTTGCGTTGTTGTTTCTTGAGGTGGGAACTTCTATCATTAGATTATTGATTTTTAGAACTTTCTTCTTTAAACATGCATCTTTATAAATTTCACTTTAATCATTCATATTTTCTTATTCATATTGTTATAAAAATGTTTTTATTTTTCTTATGATTTCTGTTTTGACTCATGAATTATCTAGAATTATGTTGTTAATTTTCAAATAATTGGAGTTTTCCTAGTTGTCTTACTGCAATTGGTGTCAATTTTAATTCTACTATGTTCGGAGAACACCATATTTGATTTTAATCTTTTCTAGTTTATTATTTTTTTATGGGCCACAATATGGTCTAACTTAGAAAATAGTCCATGTGTATCCACAAAGAACAAGTATGTTACAAGTTTTGGATGTATTCTTCTACACGTATCAATTAAGTAAAGGTGGTGGTTGTGTCTTTCAGACCTATGCCTCTTCTAATTATTTCTCTAGTTGCGTTATCATTTGCTTAGAAAATATGTTGAATTAGTTTTGTATTGATGCTGTCAAAAATTATCACATATTTAGTGGCTTAAAAACAATTCCTATTTACTAACTAACAGCTCTGTAGTTCCTCAGTCCAAGTAAAGCATGGCTCAGCTATTTCTGTTCTCTGGGTTTCACAGGCCCCAGGAAAGTGTCAGCAGGGCTGTGCTCCTTTCTGGGTGTTCTTAGTATGAATCTGCTTCCAATCTCAGTTAGGTTCTTCGAAGAATTCATTTTCATGCTGTTGCAGAAATGAGTTCCCCATTTGCTTGCTGGCTACTGGTGAGAAGTTGCTTTTAGCCATTCATTAGTTCAGGATTTCCTTCCTCCATCTCAGAATCCAGTAATAACAGTTTGTGTTTTCTTCATGCTTCAAATCTTTCTGACCTCCCTTGGGCTTCATCCCCATCTCCTACTTACTTTCTTTCTCTTCTTATGCTTTTTTTTCTGGCTTACTTTTCTGCTTTCCTCTTCTGCTTTTCAGGTCTCACGTGACTGTACTGGGCCCACCTAGACAGTCTAGGATAATCTCCCTACTTTAAGGTCAGCTGTTTGGTAACCTTAGTTACATTTGCAAAGTCACTTTGTAGCAATAATTAGCTTAGTGTTTGACTGATTTAGCAAAGGACAGGAATCTTATTGGAAAATTTTTAGAATTTTGTCTACCGTAGTTGATAACATCTCCAGTCATAATTTTGCATTTTCCTATTTCTCCATTTAATTTTGTTATTTTTATGGCATGTTTCATGAAGCACCTATTTATTAGCCCACACACATTTATTTCTTCTTTATGAATTTACACTTTTATCAGATGAAATTCTTACTGTGTCTATGTAGTACTTTTTGTCTTGAAATCTATTTTATGTGATTTATACCCATTTTGCTTTCTTATTTTTATTATTACCATTTGTATGGTATATCTTTTTTCCATCCATTCGCTCTCAGCATATCTGTATCTTTATATTTAAAATGTTTTTCTTATAGAGAGAATATGGTCAGGTTTTAACTTTTAAAAATGTAACTTTAGGTAGTTCTCTTAGGGTTCCTAAAACTAATATGCTAGACTGCACTTAGTCTTTAGACAGTTGTCAAAAATTCAACCTTTTTTTAAAAAAAATCTTCCTCTATAGCATCTCCAACCTTATTTTACTACTCCTCTCAGAATAAAAGCAAACTTAGTTTTTTTCTTTACATGGAGGGGCTAATCATTTTCTTGTTCAAATTCCTTTACCATTCTCTAAATTATCAGCTTTCTGGTGGGCTTTAAATATTTTAAAACATTATGATATGACATGTGATTCTAGAAAATATGGAGTAAAAGGAATGAGGTTTACTTCCACTTCACACAACAATCTTCAAGACATTGGGCATGTGGCATTAGAAGCCAGCAATCCCTGAGAGAGAAGAAACAGATGAGCCCTAAAATTTGAGGGCTAAGTGCACAGAGACAGTATCCAAAAAGCAGGACAGATAAGTGGAATTCACTTGGAGTCCTGTGGTATACATTAGTATATTAAATCATGATGAAAATAACAATGTAACAAAATAATAATTTAAAAGATATAGATAAAAACTGTGAAACACAGAAAATGCAATAGTTTGATAAATATGTACATCCTTATATACTTAGAAAATGATATATGATTATATTTAGTAAGGTATGTTTTCAACTGTATAACAACAGAATAAAATAAAGAAGGGAGAAAGAAAAATGTTGAGAAGATAGGAATAATACTCTCTTTGTAGATAAGTGTATCATTCCATTTTCATACTGTTATAAAAAACTGGCTGAGACTGGGTAATTTACAAACAAAGGAGGTTTAATTGACTCACAGCTCTGCATGGCTGGGGAAGCCTCAGGAGATTTACAATCATGGTGAAATGTGAATTGGAATAAGGCACCTTCTTCACAAGGCGACAGGAAGGAGAAGTGCAGAGCAAAGGAAGAAGAGCCCCTTATAAAACCATCAGATCTCATGAGAACTCACTCACTATCACAAGAAGAGCATGGAGGTAAACCGCCCCATGATTCAGTTACCTCCACCTGGTCTTTCCCTTGACACCCGGGGATTATGGGGATTACAATTAAAGATGAGATTTGGATGGGAACAGAAAGCCTGACCATATCAATAACCCTTGAATAGTACCTAGAAAAACCTTACAAATACTGTTTCCATGGTCAAACACAAGAAACATCTTTTAAAAGTCAGAAAAAATTTTCAAAATTAAAACTTATTCAATATTTTGAAAATCTTCTCCAATGTAGGTAAACAAACAAAAAACATGAAAACTTTGGAAAGAAAAGACTAAAACTATTTAGAGAACATTTCAAAAATGACATACAGGCAGATGGTTAGAATTAATGCTAGAGTTTTGCCAGGGGGATATTTCTATAATCAATATATAAAAATCAACTCTATGTCCATAAGAAAGAAGATAATTTAAACAAAAAATCAGAGCAGCAAAAATAAAGCATAATTTTCATAAAATATATTCAAAATATTAATATAGATAATGCTAAAATTTATCAAAAGAAAGTTAAAAACACTTAAATAAGTGAAGACATATATATTCTTCATGGAAAAAAGACTTATTACATTAAGGTGGTTGATTTTGCTCAAACTGATTTTCAGATTCTATGTAATTCCAGTCAAAATTTCAGTATTTAAAGGAAACTGACCAGCTACTGCTAAAATGTATGGAAAAATGTGCAAACCTTAGAATGAAGTAAACCTAGAAAAAGAATATTATGTATTTTTGTAACAATTAGTGAAACATTATGAAGTTAGAGTAATTTATATCATATGGCACAGGTGAAATAATAGCAAAAATTATCAATAAACCAGTATAAACAGCTAAGAAACAGGTTCATACATATATTAACACTTTTATAAAGATATATTGCATACTCCTGAGAAAGGCTGAACCCAGCGACAATACTGCAGAGCCCATTAGTTATCCACATAGATAAAATATAATAAATACAAATTGATACTAAGTGAATTTCAAGTGTAAAAATAATGGCAAAATTTTCAAAAGAAAATAAAAAGCCATGTGACCTTATAGAGAGAAGAAAGTTTTTACAAAAGACACAATAATTGGAATAGAAAATATTGATACATTCAACTAAAATTACAGATTTCAATTTATCTCAAAAATCTATTATTTCCTGAGACAAGCCCAAGACTGGGAGATTATGTAACTCACATACTAAATAAATAAAAACTAGTTCAATAAACAAGTAGAACAGTGGGCCAGAAATAGAACAGGAATTCCACATAAGAGAATACATAACAGCAAATAAATATATAAAGAGATAATCAGGAAACTTTATAATAAAAAAAATTAGGTCTAGTAGTGAACCATATTTTCTTTTTTTTTAAATTTTTTTATTATACTTTAAGTTTTAGGGTACATGTGCACAACGTGCAGGTTAGTTACATATATATACATGTGCCCTGTTGATATGCTGCATCCATTAACTCGTCATTTAACCTTAGGTATATCTCCTGATGCTATCCCTCCCCCCTCCCCCCACCCCACAACAGGCCCCGGTGTGTGATGTTCCCCTTCCTGTGTCCATGTGTTCTCATTGTTCAATTCCCATCTATGAGTGAGAACATGTGGTGTTTGGTTTTTTGTCCTTGCGATAGTTTGCTGAGAATGATGGTTCCCAGCTTCATCCATGTTCCTACAAAGGACATGAACTCATCCTTTTTTATGGCTGCATAGTATTCCATGGTGTATATGTGCCACATTTTCTTAATCTGGTCTATCATTGTTGGACATTTGGGTTGGTTACAAGTCTTTGCTATTGTGAATAGTGCCGCAATAAACATACATGTTCATGTGTCTTTATAGCAGCATGTTTTATAATCCTTTGGGTATATACCCAGTAATGGGATGGCTGGGTCAGATGGTATTTCTAGTTCTAGATCCCTGAGGAATCACCGCACTGACTTCCACAATGATTGAACTAGTTTACAGTCCCACCAACAGTGTAAAAGTGTTCCTATTTCTCCACATCCTCTCCAGCACCTGTTGTTTCCTGACTTTTTAATGATCACCATTCTAACTGGTGTGAGATGGTATCTCATTGTGGTTTTGATTTGCATTTCTCTGATGGCCAGTGATGATGAGCATTTTTTCATGTGTCTGTTGGCTGCATAAATGTCTTCTTTTGGAAAGTGTCTATTCATATCCTTCGCCCACTTTTTGATGGGGTTGTTTAATTTTTTCTTGCAAATTTGTTTGAGTTCATTGTAGATTCTGGATATTAGCCCTTTGTCAGATGAGTAGATTGCAAAAATTTTCTCCCATTCTGTAGGTTGCCTGTTCACTCTGATGGTAGTTTCTTTTGTTGTGCAGAAGCTCTTTAGTTTGATTAGGTCCCATTTGTCAATTTTGTCTTTTGTTGCCATTGCTTTTGGTGTTTTAGACATGAAGTCCTTGCCCATGCCTATGTCCTGAATGGTATTGCCTAGGTTTTCTTCCAGGGTTTTTATGGTTTTAGATCTAACGTTTAAGTCTTTAATCCATCTTGAATTAATTTTTGTATAAGGTGAACCATATTTTCATATCCATAGATGTGAAAATATCTGGTGTCTTGACAATGTGGAACAACTGGGATGCTTACACCACGCTGATAGAAGTGTATATTGGTACAGTTTCTTTGAAATTATAACATGCACATAGCCTACAACCTGGTATTCCCCACACTAAGTAAATAAAGTATTTGGAATCTTCCCCTTTTTACTGAGGAATATGTAGAAGAATATTCAAACCAGCATTCTAACCAAGAACAATGAATTAAAAACAACGATGACCATGTATAGAAGCATGTATAAATAGTTTCAGATTGACTCAACTGGATATTATACAAATGAGAAAAAAAAATGAACTGTTATACACTAGTATAGTTGAATCTTAGAATGAGGCAAGATTTTAAAAAAGTAGAAACTATATTATGGTAATTTTAACAAGGACAATCTAAATAATATTTAGAAATGACTGTTTCTTCCCTATAAATCTGTAAGAACAAAAAGGTAAAATAATAAACACAAAATTCAGTTTAGCTTTGAATGTTTTTTAGATTAGCTTTTAGAATATAAACAAGTAAAAGGGATGGACATAGAGCTCACAGGTTTCTTCACTGGTCCTATTAATATTCTATTTCCTAGAGTTCATGAGTGTTACACCTAGTACTATTTTTAAAAAATACATATATAAGGTCGTTTGCATTTCAAATGTCACATAATGAAGTAAAACATGCTCTAGGTTAAACAGCTAAGAAATGGAAGAGGTGGAATACAATATCAGATATCAGCTTCAAAAATAACTCCATTTCCTCTATATCACTTTGTCTCAGTGCAAATGTTGGAATTTCAAATTATCTATTTAAGTTTATTGCATTGATAATGTATGCTGAATGGTTTCTCAGTTAATCATCTTCCCATTTCTTAGGTGTTTGGATAGGCAAGGTGAGTCGACATAGTAACAAATATTAAATTTCAAGCAACCCATGATTTGAATCATGTTAAAGAAAAAAAGGACTGTACTAGAAGTTAGAAGTTATTTCTAGACTTATTTCACTATACCCTCTTTGTCTGAGACAACTTCTAAAAAATTATACAAGAGGAAATAGGTATTTCTTTATGTTTTTATATTTAATGGTTCTTATACAAGCATTGCATTCACTGAAACACCAATTAACTAATTTAATAGTTTGCAAAATGTCTGAACTTTCATTGCATCACCTATTGGAAATAATTCAATTCAAAAAAGCAAAGCAAAAAACCAAAATCAGAGATTTGCTGTTTGGCCTAATATTTTAAAAAATAGAATCCTTATATTTAAGACAAAATATAAAAGTGTTCAGTATCTTAGCGTGCCAGTTTATCAATGTGTTGCCTCTTAGCAAAGAGTTCATTCTTCAGTATCTCTTTCATTATAATGATTGCACCATTTAAGGACTTCTTTACAGTGAGAACAATGTTAAGCTTTGTCAGTAAAATATGCTGGAGGCTCATTTCAGGAAGAAGGGGCTTGTCTCCCTTGTACCATGTACTATACAGTACTCATCCTACAGTGGGACTCTGAGTCCCTCTGCATGACTGCTCACCAGCCTTGGTCATCTGTACCCCAGAGAGTTGTTTCCTGTTTTCCTGGAAACTCTACCACAACCATGTGAACTTTACCATCCAATGGGAGACAACCACGTCCTCTCCAATGAAGTCTGAACCCCAACCCAGAGGAAGAGGCTTCCTTTCAAGTTTGTTCCTCCTTGAGTACTCTTCTTTAGTCCTAGGAAATTCTTTAAAGTTCTCTTGATAGTTTTATAGTTACTCTATCATAGTTTAATAATGTTTTCTGTTAAACTTTCTTCATTTAAACTATTTGTGGTTCCTATCTTTAGATTGGACTCAGACTTATACATATAACGATGGAATCATTATCTCCATTTGATTTCAGTTTCAAATCATTTCTCTTTATTTACACAGCATACATTTAATTCTCTTGATCTGATTTGGTGGCTATTAAATAACTTACAGCAAGAGTTGTGAAGGTTAATAAATAAACTGAAATACACATATTAACAAGAACTGACATATATAGAGGGGACTACTATTGTGGATAGTTTTAGTCATTTAAAAAGGCAATTTTGTTTTTGGATTGGTAGGTGACAAAAAAATGACTTCATAAATGTTTTGCTTACAAGACTATAATCTACCTAAGACCAAGCCCGGTGGAAGAAACCACTCCAAAGTATTTTGGGAAGAAAGAAAAGACCTCTTTTATGACACACATCTACAAAGGACATAAAGAATTATAAGTTGTCAAGTGAGAAAGACAATAGCCCAAATTTATACGGGTATTTGTACTAGAAAGTGTTAGTGAAGGAGATTAAGATATTAGAATTTCCCTATGAGGTAGTTGTTGTCTTACCATAACCGGATGGCCTTTTTGTGTCTATCTAGTGTAGTAATGAATCATTTTCATCCTTCATAATAGACTCCCTTTGGAGGAGTCACAGGACAATTTTGACTCACAATTAACCCTTCTTTATACAGAGTAAGAAGAGAGGGTCATCCCACTGTAATTTCCCTATATGGTTTACTGTCTTATTGATGAAGCCCTTATCCTTGCAATCTTTGTCCATTTTCTACCACTTGAAAACCAATGAAAATTTTCTGTATATTTTCTTCCACAATTAATTTACAAATGACATGATGTGGGAAGGCATCTTACAAAAATTGGCAATAGAGTGTCTTTTATAAAAAAATACAAATTGTTTGAAATATCCAATATACCCCTAGGAAAAATGCCAGTTCTGAAACACTTAAAAAATCTCTGCAGTTGACTAGAAATGACATTTAAACTAAAGGCTTAGAGAGATTTGACAGTGCTCTCTCAAAAGCATTATGACAGCAACCCCTTTATTTCTATGCATTTTATATGAACGACATTTTTTTTTCCTCAACACTGACAGTTGGAGATAGATTCTATTATTACTGAAAAGTACAGACATGGCCCTTTCGCTAAAAATGAAAACACCCATTAGTCATAGATAAATGTTTCTTTTCCCTTTTACCTTATCTATTTTAAGTTACTAATCCTGAGGACAAATATGCCTAGAATGTAAACAAGGTGTTTTTTTTTCTGTAACAATTGTTACATATAATGGGATGACATGTCACTGCGTCACCTGATTCATTGTCAAGTGTCTAACCTATTCTGTAAAGCACTTATCACAGTACTATTCTAGCTTATAATGAAACAGGACTACAACTGTTCTGAACTCGTATTTTTCATTCACTTCCCTAGTTAAAGTTAACATGCAGTTCAGAAAGATGTAATTGACTAACCATGGGAGAGGAAAAAATGACAAAGAAAATATATGATACTCAGGCTACCTAAAATGGAGACCCATATGTCCAGAAGAAAAGATTTTTAGAAACATTTCTCTTTTCTTTTCAAAATGACTGGAACAGTTTTCTGTTAAACAATGGCAGTGGGCAAAGTAGTATCCTTTTGTCTGAAATGCATGTATTTATGTAATACATTCCATAGTACTTTATTTGCCATACAAATTACTATAGTTAAATAAACACTCCAGATAATAAAACAGTAGGAATTATCCTCATTTTAAGAATGTCTGTGCAATATTTGAGCTCTCCTTTTCCCAGATTTAATTTTTTATGATTTTCACCAGCACTTTTTTTTTTTTTTTTCCATTTGAAGGTTGGTAAACTTAGAACAATCAGATTGGGCCCAGCACGGTGGCTCACGCCTGTAATCCCAGCACTTTGGGAGGCCTAGGCGGGCGGATCACGAGGTTAGGAGATGGAGACCATCCTCGCTAACACGGTGAAACCCCGTCTCTACTAAAAATACAAAAAAAAAAAAATTAGCGGGGCGTGGTGGTGGGCACCTGTAATCCCAGCTACTCGCTACTTGCGAGGCTGAGGCAGGAGGATGGCGTGAACCCGGGAGGTGGAGCTTGCAGTGAGCTGAGATCGCTCCACTGCACTCCAGCCTGGGCGACAGAGCAAGACTCCGTCTCAAAAAAAAAAAAAAAAAAAAAAAAAAAAAGATCAGATTGGTAGTTTCTTTTTTTGCAAATGAAAGCAATTGCTTTGTTTCCTGCTTTGCATTTTATATTCTTTAAGCTGAGTCTGCATTTTGTCTTATGAACTATATGAAGCCAGTTTTTCTTTCTTGTTTGTAAAACTGTTCAGGCTGTAATAAATTTAAATGTATGCACCATTGAATATAAATTCTAGATATTATCCTCTAAGAGGACATATGACTAGAGAAGTAGTTTGAAAAATTTTACATTTAATGGATCTACAACTTTATCTTAAATGTTTCCAGTAAATGTATAGTTATTCCATTTTTTGGCAATATTGGGAAATGGTTTTGGATTATTTTTAAATGAATTTTCTTAACTAATCAATAACAAACATAACTAAAATATTGACAATAACCAATAAAAATACAGTAATTAAAATAGCATATTCCTTAAAACATTCAGATAATTTCACTAGTTTTCAATTAAAAAAAAGATGAACCTAAAATTTTGTAATGATACTCTATTTTCTGTGGACATGAAACAAATATAAATAACTGGCAATGTAATGAAATCTGTATATATATTTCAGAAATAAAGTTATAAATACAGTAATAGAAGAGGCTTTGAAATACTAATGTCCTAGCTTCAGCCTGGTGATTTACAACTGTAGTGTTGATTAAGCTTTTGTAGAATGTAACTAAAATTTCATTTAGTTGTTTAACAAATAACTAGCAAAGGGGAAAATTTATGATTGGAAGCATTTTCATTTAAATTGAAAAGCAATTTAAAATAAGGCCTATGGCTATAATAAAATTAGTCATAGAAATGTATATTTTATTGTTTAATTCTTAATATTTATCTGCTATTACACACTTTTAAAATATATTTCTAATTTCTTCCTTTAATTAATCCCTCAAAAATTAACCTCTCAGTTCTCATCATTTTATAGACCATAATTTGACCTGGAAAATAAATGAAAATGATAGAAGAAAAAAGTTTGCTCACTAAAGATGTTTTATACAATTCAGATAAGGCATAGCCAGAGAATGTTGGCTGACCTATTTGATGTGTACTAAGGAATATCAAGCTTCAGTGGATCATTATCTGTGAACCAGGTTAAATGCACTTATATCTGTGTGTCTTTGGAAATTGGAATAAGTTAAAGCCTCTGTAAGATCACCGTTTCTGAACTCAGTACAAAAATTTCTCCCATCTCTTCTTATTCTGCCTATTTAGCCACATATATACATACATCATGTCTCTTCTTCCTAGAAAAGTAATTTTTTTTTGCACAATTCTGCTATTGCTTTACTACTTCTGATTCTCTGCTATGGTTTGATGCTCTGAGCAAAGTTTGAAACAGAGAGATTCCATTTTCTCAGACTACCAATTGGATGAAAAGTAGTCTGCACTGTAATGGGAGATAAGCCATAGCTAGATTATCCTCATGTATGGATTCAGATAGAAACTATTTGGATTAGTCAGAAAGGGATTCTAGAAATAGGGGAATGGGCAGAAAATTCATGGTCCAATGTCATATGATGAACTAATGTCCAAGGGGAGCAAATGAACTTGAATTAGACTGAAGATTTTACTCATATCCAAATTCACCATGGAGCCCATCATCTTCTTTGCTTGACAACATTTGCCAAATTTGGCTTCCACTGGAATTTTATTCTAATCACAAAGTTACATTTCCATTCCCCTTTGGATTATGCTTTTGCTTGATAATTAAATTTCAGAGACTTAGTAGGGAGTGCCACAAATATCGTCTTTCTCACAAAGCCATATTTTTAACATGAAGGACAAGAAGGACAACGAACTAATTTAAAGTTACAAGGGTATTGATCAGAAAAAGCACTGAGCATCCATGAACCAAAGATCTGTCCCAACGAGATCCAGACAACAATCATGCTATCATCAAGAAGATAAAGAACAATTACTTTAGCATGGTAAGAAGTATTTTCCTAGAGTTAATTTATGTTACTTCCAAAATGCTATGGTCTGAGTGTTAGTGACCGCTAGAAATTTTTGTTTTAATTTTATCTTTTTTTTTGACTTTTAAGTTCAGAGATACAAGTGCAGGTTTGTTACATAGGTAAACTTGTGTCATGGGGGGTTTGTTTTACAGATTATGTCATCAGTCAGGTATTAAGCCTAGTACTCATTAGTTATTTTTCCTGATTCTCTCCCTCCTCTCACCTTCCACCTTCTGAAATGCCCCAGTGTGTATTGTTCCCCTCTATGTGTCCATGTGTTCTCATCATTTAGCTCCCACTTATAAGTGAGAACACGTGGTATTTGGTTTTCTGTTCCTGCATTAGTTTGCTGAGGATAATGTCATCCAGCTCCATCCATGTCCCTGCAAAGGACATGATCTTGTTTTGTTTT
This sequence comes from Homo sapiens, assembly GCF_000001405.40. Classification (NCBI taxonomy): domain Eukaryota; kingdom Metazoa; phylum Chordata; class Mammalia; order Primates; family Hominidae; genus Homo; species Homo sapiens. Next base: position 35,189,521 of record NC_000002.12, read on the forward strand.
TTTTTTTAATTGCTGCATAGTATTCCATGGTGCATATGTAGCATATTTTCTTTATCTGGTCTATCACTGATGGGCATTTAGGTTGATTGCATGTCTTTACCGTTGTAAGTAGTGCTGCAATGAACATACTTGTCTATGTGTCTTTATAATACAGAATTGTTATGTTGTAACCTAATAATGTGATAGTGTTAAAAAGTAGCACCTTCCTGGAAGTGAAGTCCTGAGGGCTAATCCCTTATGAACGAAATTAGTTTCCTATAAAAGAGATTGAAGAGAGTTTCCTTCCACCCCATCTGTCATATGAGGACACAGCAAGAGGCTCCATTTATGAAGCCGAGAGTCACTGAATCTATTGGCACCTTGATCTTGAACTTCCCAGCTTCCAGAACTGTGATAAATAAATTTATATTATTTATAAATTAGTCTAAGCTATTTTGTTATAGCAGCCATAACAAACTAAGACACAAGCCGTGTGTAAATAAGTAAATAACCTGTCAATTTCTTTAAAAATAGAGATAATCTCAGCTACTACCTAAATTTGTTAGGAAGATTGCATGAAATAATTGTACAATAAACTTAGCTCTCTGCCTAGTTCACAATACTTGCTCTATAAATACCTACTACTGCTGTTATAAAATCTTTTAGAATCAACACTCACAGCCACTTAAAAAGTTTTCCCCTAAATGTTCTCAATAAAGTTGAAAGATCATATATCACCAGCTTGTTTTCTCTTTCACACTCTTTTTTCCCTGCACTACCAGATATCTCTCTGTGTAAGGAAAATGCCAGGCCATGTGAGGACAGATTAGAAGGCAGCTATCTACAAACTAAGGAGAGTGGCTTCACCAGAAACCAACCTTACTGACACTTTGATCTTGGACTTTCAGCCTTTAGGACCATGAGAAAGTAAATTTCTCTTGTCTAATCCAGCCAGTCTGTGCTGTTTTGTTATGGCGGCCCAAACAGACTAATACACCATAGGATGCAATGCTAGTCTGCATAATTTTTTAGACTTTTCAGTTACTTAGCATATTCTGGAATTGGTTCTGGAAGTGACCTTTTTTGTTTCAATAGTTATTACTGAGTAGTAGAAAGTGTATGTAAATTTGGAATGTCTTTAACATGGCCTTCAAAGTGGGAACCACAGTCAGATATAACGTGACATAAAGTAACAGAAGAAAATCATGTTGATGAGGAATAGTTTGACCATGGATAGGACAAGTTGAGAAACGAATATAGGGGAGGAAACATGGTATCAGATACGTTCTCTCTCTACTGCTTGGTGACAAATGTTACAGAATTCTCTCTGTCCTCTTTTAGATTATTTAGGTGTTCCTCTACCCTTATAATTTCCATCGACGTATGTTGTTATTTCTCCCACTTAAAATAAATATATAATATTACAAATATTTTTCTTAAACCCACTTTCTTCTTCAGCTCCCCAATTCTCTCTTCTCTTTATAGGAAAGTTTCTTCAAAGAGTTTTCTATACTTACTGTTTGTATTTGAATCTCTTTTTTTCCAATTTCTCTTAACTCTAGTCTACTCAGACATTCTTTCCTATCTCTCTAGTCTACTCTGCTATCCAAGAATACCAAATAACCCATATTGTTAAGACCCTTATTCAATTCTCAGGCATAATTTTACTTGACAGCAAAAGCCTTTACTAAGGTTGATCTTTATGTGGCTTCTAGGACACACTCCTAGTTTTCTTCATGACTCTTTAGTGTTCCTTAGTCTCAATTTCTCATGCAACCTATTTTCCTAGGTTTTCTAAGTTTGGGTGCCCAAATGCTAAGTTGTTAAACATCTCTCCTCTACCAACCTACTATCACTTGTTTGGTAATCTCATCTATTCTATTTATTTATATATCATCTGCATACTGCTGATCTCCAAATTCATATCTCCAGTATAAACCTAGAGTTCACTCTCCTATGGCCCAGATTCATATTCCCAACCTCCTAGTCACCGTAATCACTCCTATATTGAACTTGCATCTCCAACTAAACTGCTGATCTCCTCAAGTTAGCTCTATTCATGAGCTTGAACATCTCAGTTAATGACAACCATCTTTAATTTTTCCAAGTAAAAACACTTGGATGGAGTCATCTTTGACTCCATTTTTTCACTCTCATCTAATCCATTAAGAAATATGTTGGTGACCAGGTTTTATTCACCATCTCCAATGCTACTAATCAAATCTCTCCTGGACTGTTGAATTAGCTTCATATCCAACACATTTATTTCATTTATGTCCTCCTAAAATATATGTACATCCAGATAATTATGTTAAAATATAGATTGGATCATATCACAGGATTAGCTGCTAACTACCATTGCTCTCAGAATAAAAATTAAACATTTTATAATGGTATAAAGGGTTCTCACAATTTCACCCTCCTTTATATCTCTGATCTTATCTCCTGTTTACTTTTTACAACTACACCAATAACTTCCAGCCTTGAGCTCTTTTTTCCCTACTGGAACACATTTTCCTTAAATATCTGCAGAGTTCACTCCCTTTCCTTCTTCAAGTCTTTGTATAGTTTCATCATTCTTGAGAGATCCATCTGACCACCCTATTTCATGTTGCAATGCCTTCTTCAGAATTTCCAATACTTTTAACCTCATATTTTTCACAATGTATCAATTTCTAATATTCAATACAATTTTTGTTTGTTATGTTTATATTTTTCTCCTTTCAACACTCCCCACTGCAATACAAACTGCAAGCATGCAAAAATACTACTTTTGAGTCTTCAACATCTAGAACAATGTCTGCACACTGTGCTCAATAAATATTGGTGGGATAAATTAATAGACATTTTGTGAAACATAATTATCAGAATAATCTCATGTCTATATAAGAGTGAGTAGATCAGAAATAAAATGCAGAATAACTAAAATGGCTTGTAATAATTGGCAGTATAAGAATTAAAGTAAGAGAAAAGCTTTTAAAATCAAATAAAACGTTTACTTACTATAAATCTTACTGAACCTCAGTTTTACCACTTTTAAAATGGGAGTAGTATGTTATAACTAAAGGGACATATTGAGGAAGTACTCTAGGACATTGTCCCCATAACTCCTAGCTAGGTTCAGATGGGTGGCCAAGGTGCTGTTTATTAACTACTGGAAATAAGCCTAGGTCATGTAAAACATTAAAGACAGAATAAGCTACATGTATTTGGAAAGACATTTTATTGTTGCCACCTGTCTGGATGCTAGTAACACTAAAACATTTCAGACATATAATTTTGAGTAACTTTTGTTTGACAGAATGAAAGGGAATTGGAAGGCTTGAATAAACATCACAGAGAATCACATTAAGTCTGAAGTGGTTCTCCTGCTAACTAGGTCCTCTTTCATGCTCTTCATAGAAATTCTTGAGGTTAACATAGTAGAAACATTTCTATGTCTACCATAATACATGCCATTTGCATATCAATGACCTTGCCTTTGGAATTTGAAATTTTAGCTGCTTGCTTCAGTTGTTGATAAAGATGAGAAATTTACAACATAGACATAATGTTTGGTGTGGGATATTAAGGAGCCTTGACCTGGATGGTGATCACACAAATATTTTCATTTTATGATAATGCCCAGAGTTTATATTATTATTTATAGGAAACAAATTTATGGTGTTGGAAGTTCACAAAGTACTTGCCTTTTATAATTAAATTTAATTGGAGTCATATGCATGTATTGTTAGATTTCTGGCTTCTATCGCTGTTTTCATTAACATTGAGAAATGTATGTATGACATAATTTTCATTGCTGTACAGTGTTTTATTGAATGAATATACTAAAATTGATTTACTCATTCTTTCTACTTGATATATACTTGAGTTCTTTCAAATTTAAAATAATGCTTCTGTATATACTTTTTGCATAAATGTTGGCACTTTATTTTCAGCATATATCTAGGCATAGTAGGTTCAATTTTAAGAGATAATGTCAGTTTTCTAAAGTAAAAAGACATGGAATCAACCAAGATTCCCATCAATGATAGAATGGATAAAGAAAATATTTTATGTATTTATTATATACATTATATATAATATATATAATTTATATATATATACACACATACACCATGGAATACTACACACCCATAAAAAAGAATAAAATAATGTACTTTGCAGCAACAATAATGAAGCTGGAAGCCATTATCATAAGTGAACTAACACAGGAACAGAAAACAAAATACCTCATGTTCTCACTTAAGTGAGAACTAAACACTGAACATACATGGGCACAAACCTAAGAGCAGTAGACACTGAGGACTGCTTGAGGTGGGAAGGTAGGAGAGAGACATGGGTTGGAAGGCTACCTATTGGGTAGTATACCCACTACCTTAGTGATGGAATCATTTGTACGCCAAGCCTCAGTGCCATGCAGTTTTCCCATGTAGGAAACCTGTACATATACCCCCAAACCTAACATAAAGGTAGAAAAAAGATAAATAGATACATAAATGAAGTGACTGTAGATATATTCCCACTAGCAATGTACTACAGTTCAAGTAGCTCCTCATCTTTGTCAACACTTCTAATTTTAGGTCTCCTCACAGAGAATTGGTGGTGTTGGCATAACACTGCTGTTTAAACTTTTACTGTCTTGTTAGTAGTAAATTTGAAGCAAATCGTCATGTCCCTATGGCTATTTTACATTTGAATAGTCCCTTTAGTGAAGTGTCCATGTATTTTGCCCAATTTTATTGGGCTATCTTTTCCTTTTTTAATTGTAGAAGCTCTTTATAGGTTCTGGATACAACTAATTTTTAAGATTTATTACTTGGAAATATATCGTCCCATTCTGTAGTTTGCCTTTTCATTCTAAGTGTGTCATGGAACAGGCTAGAATAAGAGAGTCCTTATGAACACACATATTCAACTTCGGTATAGTCCAGTTTATCAATACTTCTATCATAGTTTTATGTGTGTGCTGTTTAAGCAATCTTCATATTCCTCAAGGTCTTGAAGCTATTTGTATTTCTGTCACTATGTTATAATCTAGAATTTTTATCATTTTACGTTTCATATTAGTTTAAAATATAAGTGTGAAGGCACAGATTGGAGTCAGAAAAGAGATGCCACTCTTTCCTTTTTTTTCTTTTCTCTAAAAGAACACCAACATAGTAGCATATGAGAGAAAAAAACTAAAGTTGTTATGTTTGTTTATTGATGTGTTTTTTTTAAACAAGTTGACTTTCAAGGTATCAGAAATTGTTGACTTTAAGAAGAGTCAAAGAGAAAGAGAGAAATTCATGATAAAAGCAAAAGAAATACATGTAAGATTGAAGTCCTTGGTAAGGTGAGGAGTGAGGATTTGATATTCATTACAAAGCCCTGGGATTTTCCACTGACAGGAGCAAGGGGCTTTCTTGTCTTATAGAAGAGTGAAAAAAGAGAACATGTGCATGGACATAGGCAAAGAAAGAGAGTGTCTCTTTGAGTTCTCTTATTTACTCACTAAAGTATGATGCAGTGTCATCAGTTGAGAAGGATTGGTAAGAGCAAGACTTTAATGGAGACAACATATTATGTAACTATTAGCAAACACGGGAATGTGAATTGTTGCTCTCAGCTGCTATTCATAGTCTCCCATATATTTTGCATTCCTGAGGGTGTTTTTGAGGATGCGTGTGTGTACTAAATTGAATACGTTTAAAAATTTTTAGAAGTATTTCAATATACTATTTCTTATCCACTGTCTATAGCCTTAAGTGTATCTTTTCAAGATAAACAGCACTTTCTATTTGCAAGAGAAGATTTATCAAAGTAAAAGTGATAGGTCAAAACATGTGTGAACTTGAAGTGAAGGATAATGGTGTTTTTGACCCAGAACCATGCTGAAGTGCAATGAGAACTGGTTATGAATTATCACTATGGCATAAGTCCTTAAACCATGACCTGTTGGCCCACCGAGTGCTATCAAGTGAACCGTAGCAGCAAGGTAATTTCCTACCAGGGTGTAAGTCACATATTAAAAAGGTCCAAGGCATTCTCTCTACAACTGTACTGTAGCAATTTGAAAGCTCTGTAGCAGATAGAACATATTAAGAAATATAAAAAGTGCTTAAAAAGTCTCCCAAGGAAATATTAAACTAAAAAAATGGTAAATTGCAACTTAAATTTCTTTAGGGATTTTATATTTTGCTTATTTTTTTTCATATCTCATGAATGTTGCTTCAGAATTTGTTTAAATTTTTCTTCTTTAGCATTACTAAGTATTGGATTTATAAAATTATCCCAAATAACACAATAAAAGAGAATTTTGAAAGCATAGTGAAATTTATATAAGTGAAGAAAGGAGATATATTTCTTTTTACTTTGAGATAAAAGTTATACCAGAAATTCCTTTTTTAAATTGTATTTATTTTGGGGGGTGTTTTCTTCACTTCTCTCCATTGGTTTTGCTCACTTCTGTTATTTTTTTTTCTGAATTCTTAATAGATCTTTTAAGTGTAAATCTATAGGTGGAAGCTTTCAAACATACATTCAATCTTCAGAATTCAAAAAATCAATTACTCCTTTCCTTTTTTTTTCTCTGTCACTCCTTTTCACTTTATCTCCTTTCTTATTAATAATTAATTTGGACAAAATTAACCATATAATTATCTCTAACATCATCTAGTTAAAGAGTAAATGTGACAAATATATTACTGTAAGTCGGTAGCCTACCATACAAATGACCTTTTACTGACTAACAAACTCATTAATTTATTGGCCCTTTAAATGGACAATTTACTGCACAATTCCGTGAAAGAAATAACAATAGTGATAGTTTTCCCACAGCCACAAATGAGGATCATTCAGTGGTTTGAAACAATAGAAAATACTGGTGATAAACATAAGCTGTTAAGCTAGACTGTTTGAGTTCTGGCTTTCTCATTTAGTTTTTATATGGCAGTACACAAGTTACTGAGACTCAGTTTTCTCATGCATGAATGAAGATAATACCAGTACTTTTAAAATAAAACTGTTGTGATTAAATCATAAAATACGTGAAAGGACTTATTCTGATGCTTAATATATAATAAAGGTTGAATAATGTTACTTAATGTTATTATCAATTTGAAAAAAAATTTGATTACTTTTTTTCCCTCAAACATTTCCACAGTGACACCATTTCCCATTCTTTTTAATTGACAATATGGTAGGCAATTAAAATAGTGTTTTTACATATGTCATATATATGTATAAACATATGTGACACACACACTCATATATGATACATATATATATATATAGTTTCAACCAACTAGCTTTACATTTGTGTTGTTCTCTATAATGGTCGTATACCTTCAAGTAGTAATAATGAGAGACTCTTACTCAGTTTGGGAAAGATCTGCAAAATCATAAAAACTTCTAATGTTATATGGAATATTGTGTTATAATATAGATTAAAACAATATATAATAAAATATTTATCTTTGTAAATTTCTCAAATATGGAGGAAATTCTAGACTAAAATATATTGATGCTTATACTGATCACTATGATTTGTAAGATTATAAAATATTTTTGTTCCTTCTTTTAATTTGGCTTTTATAGAGCAGTTTTTGTTTTTTTAATTAGACTTTGTTTCATAGAGCAGTTTTAGGTTTACAGTAAAATTGTGTCAAAAGTACAGAGTTTCCATATACTCCCTTTCCCCTATGTTTGTATAAAATATCTCCTACTGTTAACATCTTGCATTAATATAGTGCATTTGTATAGTTGATGAGCCACCATTACCTTTGATCCATTATTATTCACTAAATTCCGTAATGTACATAATCTTTTCATAGCTTGATAGCATATTTATTTTTATTACAGAATGATACTTGATTGCATGGGCATATCACAGTTTGATTATATGTTCATCTGTTGCAAGACATCTTAATTACTTTCAAATTTTCTGAGTTACAGGCAAAGCTGCTAGAACATTCATGTGTAGATTTTCGTATACCCAGTCTCAGGTATGTATTTATTAGTAGCATGAGAACAGACTAATAGAGCAAATTGGTGCCAGGTAGTGGGGCACTGCTGTAAAGATATCTGAAAATGTGGAAGCGACTTTCGACCTGGGTAACAGGCAGAGCTTAAAAAGTTTGGAGGGCTCAGAAGAAGATTGGAAAATACAGGAAAGTCTGGAACTTCTAGAGACTTGTTGAATGGTTTTGACCAAAATGCTGTTAGTGATATTGACAATAAAGTCCAGGCTGAGGTCGTCTCAGATGGAGATGAGGAACTTGTTGGGAACTGGGAGTAAAGGTCACTCTTGCTATACAAAGAGACTGGTGGCATTTTGCCCCTGCCCTAGAGATCTGTGGAATTTTGAACTTGAGAGAGATGATTCAGGGTATCTAGTGGAAGAAATTTCTATGCAACAATGCATTCAAGAGGAAGCACAGCATAAAAGTTTGAAAACATTGCAGTGGAAAAGAACACCAATATTATGGGGAGAAAATCAAGCCTGCTGCAGAAATTTGCATAAGTAACCAGCAGCCAAATGCTAATTACCAAGAGAATGGGGAAAATGTCTCCAGGGCATGCCAGAGACCATCATGGCAGCCCCTCCCATTACAGGCTCAGAAGCCTAGGAGGGAAAAATTGGTTTCCTGGGCTGGGTCCAGGGACCCCTTCTGTATGCAGCCTAAGGACTTGGTGCCCTCTGTCCCAGCTGCTTTGGCCGTGTCTAAATGGGGCCAACATAGAGCTCTCAGGCCATTGCTTCCGAGGAAACAAGCCCCAAGCCTTGGTGGCTTTCACGTGGCTTTGAGCACAGAAGTCAAGAGCGGAGGTTTGGGAACCTCCGCCTAGATTTCAGAGGAAGTATGGAAACGCCTGGATATCCAGGCAAGTTTGCTGCAGGGGCGGAGCCCTCATAAAAATCCTTTGCTAGGGCAGCGCAGAAGGGAAATGTGGGGTAGGAGCCCCCACATAGGGTCCCCTGCCCGGGCACTGTTTAATGGAGCTGTGAGAAGGGGCCACCGTCCTGCAGACCCCAGAATGGTAGATCCACTGAAAGCTTGCACCGTGTACCTGGAAAAGCTGCAGACCCTCAATGCCAGCCCATAAAAGCAGCCAGGAAAGGAGCTGTAACCTGCAAAGTCACAGAAGCAGAGCTCCCCAAGACCATGGGAACCCACCTATTGCATCATTGTGACCTGGATGTGAGACCTGGAGTCAAAGGAGACCATTTTGGAGCTTTAAAATTTGACTGCCCCGCTGGATTTTGGAGTTGCACAGGGTCTGTAGCCCCTTCATTTTGGCCAATTTCTCCCATTTGGAATGGGTGTATTTACCCATTGCCCATACCCCCATTGCATCTAGGAAGTAATTGACTTGCTTTTGATTTTACGGTCTCATAGTCAGAAGGGAATTTCCATGTCTCAGATGAGACTTTGGACTGTAGACTTTTGAGTTAATGCTGAAATGAGTTAAGACTTTGTTGGACTGTTGGGAAGGGTATGATTGTGTTTTAAAATGTGACGACATGGGATTTGGGAGGGGCCAGGGGCAGAATGATATGGTTTGGCTGTGTCCCCACCCAAATCTCATCTTGAATTGTAGCTCCCATAATCCCCATGTGTTGTTGGAGAGACTAGGTGGGAAGTAATTGAATCATGGGGGCGGGTCTTGCCCATGTTGTTCTTGTGATAGTGAATAAGTCTCACAAGATCTGATGGTTTTATAAAGGAGAGTTCTCCTACACATGCCCACTTGCCTGCCACCACGTAAGATGTGCTTTTGCTCTCCCTTCACCTTCCTCCATGGTTGTGCGTCCTCCCCAGCCATGTGGAACTGTGAGTCCATTAAACCTCTTTCCTTTATAAACTACCCAGTCTCAGGTATGTGTTTATCAGCAGCGTGATAACAACCTACTTTGTAAGAAATTGCCAAACTGTCTTCTAAAGTGGATGTGTCCTTTTACATTCCCATCAGAAATGAATACAAGCTCTTGTTGTTTGACATTCTTGCCAGTATGTGGTGTTGTAGTGTTTTCAATTTTAGCAACTCCGATCGGTACATAAGGATATGTCAGTGTTTTAATTTGCGATTCCCTGATGACATATGATAGTTAGCATCTTTTAATAGGCTTGTCATTTGTGTATCTTTGGAGAGGTTTCTGTCAGATCTTTTACCCACTTTGTAATTAGGTTGTTTTCTTGCTGCTGAGGTTTGAGTTCTTTGTATATTTTGTTTACAAGTTGTTTATCAGATATGCGTCGTTTTTACATTTTCTCCCACTCTGTGGCTTGTCCTTTCGTTCTATTACCAGTTTCTTTTGCAGAGCAGTTTTTAATTTTAATGAAGTCCAACTTATCAACTTTTCTTTACAAATCATTCTTTTGGTATTACATCTTAAAACTCTTTTCAAATCCAAGGTCACTTCAATATTCTCCAAGATACCTTCTAGACATTTTATTGTTTTGATTTTAACTTAGGTATATGATCCATTTTGAGTTAATTTTTGTGAAAGACGTAAGGTATGTGTTGACAATTTTTTTTTTTTTTGGGCATGTTGATGTCCATCTGTTCCAGGAACCATTTGTCAAAAGGACAATTTTTTTTTTTTCACTTGGATTGTCTTTTTTCCTTTGTCAAAGATCAGTTAACAATATTTGTATGGGTTTATTTTTGGGCTCTCTGTTCAGATGACGTCTGTCTGTTCTGTCACAAATAGACATTGTCTTGATCACTGTGGCTTTACAGTAAGTCTTGAAGTTGAGTAATATCTGTCCTCTAACTTTGTTCTACTTCAGTATTGACTATTCTATGTCTTTTGCCTTTCTTTATATTTTTTAGAACCAGTTTTTCAATATTTACAAAATAGCTTGCTAGAATTTCAACTTGGATGATATTAAATCTATAGGTCAATTTGAGAAGAACTGACATCCTCTTATACATGAATATGGAGAATTTCTCCATCCATTTAGATCTTTGTGGATTTTTCTTTTCTGTCAGAGTCTTTAAGTTTTTCCTAAGTAGATGTTGTAAATTTTTTGTTAAATTTGTACCTAAGTGTTTTTTTTTTTTTTTGAGACAAAGTCTCCCTCTGTTGCCCAGGCTAGAGTGCAGTGGCGCGATCTTGGCTCACTGCAAGCTCCGCCTCCTGGGTTCACGCCATTCTCCTGCCTCAGCCTCCCAAGTAGCTGGGTCTACATACACCCGCCACCACGCCCAGCTAATTTTTTGTATTTTTAGTAGAGACGGGGTTTCACCATGTTAGCCAGGATGGTCTCGATCTCCTGACCTCGTGATCTGCCCACCTCGGCCTCCCAAAGTGCTGGGATTACAGGCGTGAGCTACCACGCCAGGCTCTACCTAAGTATTTTTTTGTACTAATGTAAATGGTGTTGTAGTTTTAATTTCAAATTCCAATTGGTTTTCTTTTTTATATTTATTTTCTAGAGTTGACATAACAAAATACCACCAACTGGGTAGCCCATATTAACAGAAATTTATTTTCTCACAATTACAAATCCTAGAAATTTGAAATAAAATTGTTGGCAGGACCATATTTCCTCTGAAAATTTTATGGAATGGTTTGTTCCATCAGTGTTCCAACTATGTTTGTGGACATAAAGTTGTATATAATATGATTTTATTATCTCTTTAATGTCAGTGAAATGACTCCTCTTTTATTTATAATATTAGTAATTTGTGTCTTTTCTCTTTTTTTGTTTAGCATATATAGAAGTTTGTCAATTTTATTGATATTTTCAATAAATAAGCTTTGGTTTTGTTAATTTTTTCCATTGCTTTACTGTTTTTAATTTTGTTAATTTCTGCTCTGATTTCTGTGATTTATTTTCTTCTGGTCATTTTAGGATTACGTTTTTCTTCTTTCTTCAGTTTTCTAAGAAGCAAGTTTAAATTATCAATTTTAGATTTTTCTTCTTTTCTAATATACACATTCAGTGCTATAAATTTCCCTCTAACCACTAATTTCATGGGGTCTCACAAATTTTGATAAATTGTATCTTCATTTACACTTAGTTCAAAATAGTTTTAAATTTTCTTTTGAAATTTTTTCTTTCAATTATGTGCCATATATAAGCACACTGTTTGATGTACAAACATTTTGGAATTTTCCAGCTATCTTTCTGGTATTGATTGCTGGTTAAATTTCATTTGGCCTGAGAGTATATTTTACGTAACTTTTTCTACCTTTAAATTTGTTGAAGTGTAGTTTTTGGTCCAGAATTTGATCTCTCTTGGTGAATTTTTTTATGTGAGTATGAGGAGGATGTGAGCTCTGCTGTCAATGATTGAAGTACAGGTTGAGCATTCCTAATCTGAAAAGTCAAAATACAAAATGCTCCAAATCTCAAACTTTTTGAGTGCTAATTTGGATGGCCAAGACAGAGATAGCTCTGCTTTCTGATGGTTTGAGGTACACAAACTTTGTTTCATGCACGAAATTATTTACAATATTGTATAGAATTATCTTCAGCTTATGTGTATAAAGTATATATGAAACATAAATAAAATTTTGTGTTTAGACTTTGGTCCCATCCCCTAGATATCTTATTATGTATTCATTACAGCAGGAGAAGCATTTGAAAGTAAATATCTATGTTTAGGCAATAACTAGCAGTGAAGAGTAACTGGAATGTAGTTTGCCTGGGTGAGAGTATCAGGGGATGAGACAGATAAGATCTATTAAGACTAAACCTCAAAAGGCTACACAGAACAATATGCACCAAATATGAAACTTTGTTCTAAGTCACAAAATACTATTTGCTTTTTATTTTCCTAAGAAGAGACAAAATCTAATGTAATATGTAACCTAATACAATGTGAAGGTAATCAAACTCCCCAGCTGTTTACTATTTTTCTTTTTGTTTTTGTTCTTTTTTTGTAAATAAAGTTTTATTGGAACACAACCACATCTATTAATTTCCATGATGGAAGGCTGCTTTCTTGCTATTACAGCAGATTTGAGTAGCTGTGATAGGGAATGGATGGGCTGCAAAACCAAAAATGTTTAGTATCTGGTCTTTTATAGAAAGTTTGCTGACTTCAAAGAAGAGAATATAAAAGCAGGAAGACCAATGGAGGGGTTGTTGCAGTGCTTCTGGCAAGCATGGTGATGGTGTTGAATGAGATAGACTTGACAAGGTTTGTTCAGTAATCATTTGTAGAAACAAACAAAAGAAAAAAAATAGGAATGGTTTGGTCACATATAAGAAGACTAAAGACTGCACCAAAATAGTCAGCAGTACGCCTTAATGGCTGATAATTTTAGATAATGTGATTTCTAAACTTTTAGAGGAAAGGAAATGTTTCTGCATGTATTAATCAGGGTTCTCTAGAGGGACAGGACTAATAGGATTAATGGATATATGAAAGGGAGTTTATTAAGCTGCATTGACTCACACAATCACCAGGTGAAGTCCCACAATAGGTCGCCTGTAAGCTGAGGAGCAACGATGCCAGGCCAAGTCCTAAAACCTCAAAAGAAGAGAAGATGACAATGCAGACTTCAGTCTGTGGCTGGGAGCCTGGGAACCCCTGGCAAACCACTGGTGTAGGTCCAAGAGTCCAAAAGCTGAAGAACTTGGAGTCTAATGTTGAAGGGCAGAAAGCATCCAGCATGGGAGAAAGATGGAGGCCAGACCTAGCCAGTCTAGTCCTTCCATGTTCCTCTGCCTGCTTTTATCCCAGCCATGCTAGCAGCTGATTAGATGGTGCCTATCTAGATTGAGGGTGGGTCTACCTCTCTTAGTCCACTGACTCAAATGTTAATTTCCTTTGCCAACACCCTCACAGACACACGGAGGAACAATACTTTGCATCCTTCAATCCAATCAAGTTGACACTCAATATTAACCAACACACTGCAGTAGATGCTATGATCATTTCTACATGCTCCAAAGATGGTAGGAGGTTAATAAGTATTCCTGCTTGTTAAGTAGAGGTGTGATTTTCTTCAGTGAGAGCATCCTTCATCCTCAAAACTGTTCTAGAGCTGTATATTTTTATTCCACAATCTTTTCTTCATGACAAAATTCTGAGTTTTATTTAGAGGGAATTTTAAAGTAGAGATACTGGTGGCAGGTGATTTTCATATTACTAAGAAGGCAGCTATGGATTTAACAGAGCAAGGGAAGTTCACTAAATTAACTAGAAACTGAGTGAAGGCAGATACCAAATGAGTCCTGGGAATATGAGACAACTTCAAAGACAATTTTCACTGATTGACATTTCACCATTTACAGTGATGAAGGAATAAATGACCATGAGAGAATTTATGTTTTTACTCTATTGAAAAATATTAATCATAAACATAATTTTTAAAACAATGTATAAAATAAATATAAAACCAATATTAAAAAACAAATATAAAATTTATGAGTAAATAGAAATTCTCCATACCATTGCCTGTTGTATGAAAATGTCAACAAAATTCTGAAGTCATGATTAAATATATTTATTTAATATATATAAAAAATATATATATGTATATTCCTTTCTTTTTATCATTTGTTGCTGAGGAATGAGTATCTTTTATCATTATGTAGAAGTTTTATTATTATTAAATTAAAACCACTTGTGCCCAGTTCTAGTCTTGTCCCTGTCGCTTTTATGCCTTGGAAAAAGTAGTTACCTGCCATTTCTCTCTCTCTCTCTCTCTGGGATTCTTACAAATCCTGAGAGATTTTGCCAGTCTTCATGCAACATAAAGCATAAGGTCTTGGAATCAGAAGTCGTCAATCTTAGAGCTTGGAAAAAAGTCATAGAATATAATATTTAAGAGTACAGAATTTTGAAAGCCAAGCGGATCTGGCTTCAAAACTGGTCTCACAATCTAACTCATTTAGCAGCTTACTTAACTCTGTTTCCATTTTTATGTATAAACCGTGGACAGAAAGTCTTTCCTGGGTTTTTGAGGAGTTTTAATGTATTTTTGTACATAAATCATTAAGCCTAGTTTCTGGCACATAGTAGATGTTCAATAAACAGTAGCTTATGTAATTGCTACACCCAAATTTTGCTGACATTCCGTTTTTTTTTTTTTAACACTGTTATTCCTTCTTGTACCATGGTACTTTTTTACTCTTTCCAGTATATAAAATCTCCTGTTTCTGCTTTCTTTGCTTATTCTTCTATCAACTACCCTACTATCCTTGACCCATCATTCTCTTGATTGAGCCTTTTTGTGTATGCTACATCTTTTCTGCCACGCTGCTTCTGGAGGGCTGTAAATATTTACATGTAATTCCTCCCAGGCTGCTAGAATCTGTCTGCTTATTGAATTCCAAAAAAGGTGCTAAAAATAAGTGTGGTGACCATACAATTTACAATCACACAGGGAAAATTTGAGGCTCAAAGTGAATTCTCTCAATAATTACAGCAAGGCATCTGGTATTACCCAGAACCTTCCTAGGCAAACAGGTAAGTATAGTCACCATATTTATAAGCAAAGTTACTGCTGAAATTTTACTTTGAAAGCACAATAAAATGCATTTCCCCATTGCCATCTATCATTCAGGACCTTGCAAATGGTTTCATTTTCTAAAAAGTGCTGATTGTTACGGTTTCTGGATGCTCAGATCAGCTTTATGTACTGAAAGGGAAACTGGCTCCATGCCCCAAATACTTGCAATAAAAAGATGCAGGTGATAGTATCAACAGCAAAAAACCCAGAGGAAATATAAGGCCAGGTAATCACTGACTCTGCGTATTACCATATCCCATTAACCATTTTGACTGTGGAGTTTTATAGTGATTCATTTAGTTGTCCAAATAAAGATTTGATGTAGATGGCCAAAAATAAATTCCCCTACTTTTGCTTACCAAAATACAAACAGTGCCAAAACTCATGAATGACTGCAGCAACAATTAATCTGAATCACGTATCAGATAGCCATAGTCAGTGCAGTTTCTCTGTGAATGCATTAGGTTTAATTTAAAATGGCAAAATAAGGGTAAATAAATCTATAGGTTACTCTCCTAGACTTCTGTTGATCATGTAGAGTAGCTCAGTGATAAAACTGGCAGAAGTTCCCATTAAGTCAGTGAACATTTATGGAGCATATGCTATATGTCAGGCACAGTGCTAGACACTAAAGACAGTGCCCTTGGTGCTGGGAGAGGAGTGGGATAAGCACCTTGTCATGCCTGTCACTGTGTATCACTTAGCTTGCTGGGACATAAATATCAACTCATTTTTTTTTCCATATATGACAGATATGTAGGGTGAAGAGGATATAGCATTTCCCCCCTTTAAAAATAGTAATGAATCATGTATGCCACTCGGTGAAAGTTGGCAATATTTGCTTGTTACCTGAATATTGAAAAGTAGCTTGCCTCTGGATGTTTTATATGTTGCTGGAAACTACCCTATTGCCTCAAACAGAACCTCTGCACCACAATCCTATCTCACAGGTATGAGATGCTGTATGCCTATTGGATGGATGATTTGTGTCCAGGCCATGCCTCTCCTCTTTCTTAAGGCAGTCATTTCTCTTTCTTAACCAATAACCTCTTCCATGAATTTAAGTCTGATTTCTATCAGAATTATGGATAGCCAGACTACCGTATTGATATATCTGATTTGTTCCATGC
This sequence comes from Homo sapiens, assembly GCF_000001405.40. Classification (NCBI taxonomy): domain Eukaryota; kingdom Metazoa; phylum Chordata; class Mammalia; order Primates; family Hominidae; genus Homo; species Homo sapiens. The sequence continues at coordinate 35,206,090 of NC_000002.12, forward strand.
ATTCAGAATTCTTGTCATTATTGATACTTTGCTCCTGTTATGTAGCATTATTAAACTGTCTCAGAGGCTTAGAGTTCTTAACCAGCTTATGTAGTAGTTTCCTAGTACTGCCATAACAAATTAACACAAGTTAGGTGGCTTTAAACAACAGAATCTTATTCTCTTACATTCTGGAGGCTAGAGCTCTGAAGTCAACATGTTGTCAGGACCTTGTGCCGTCTGGGACTATGGATAGAGTAGAACCCTTCCTTGCATCTTCCTAGCTTCTAGTGGTGTCCATCAATCCTTGGCATTCTTTGACTTGCAACTACATCACTCCAATCTCTGCTGCTTTTATCACAAAGTGTTCTCCCTGAGAGTCTATCTTCACATGCTGTTTTCCTCTTACCAAGATACCAGTCTTATTAGAATAGACTCACACTGATGACCTCATCTTAATTTGATTATATCTACAAATACTCTATTTCCAAATACGGTCAGACCCACAAGTACTGGGGTGAGGACTCCAATGTATATTTTTGTGGGACAAAATTCAACTGGTAACAAAGTACGACATCTGAATCTCCTACTGGAGGGCCAGCTTTCAGAGTAAATGCATAACCAAATAAGGCAAATTCTTCATTTACTGAAAGTCTTCCCTGATATCTAGAGCAAAGTGAATTTCTCTCTTAACTCACATTTATGTCTATCGTTGTCATCATTACCATGAATTGTTCATTGTCAGCCTCTCCATCCAATGTGAGGGGGTGGGGTCCTTTAAAAGCATCATAAGGAAGAAAACAAACAAACAAAAAAAGATGGGCCTTGAAGAAAGAATCATTTTCAACTCTAATGTCTCACTAAGCAGGCTGTACGGGATACTGTCTAGTGATTCTGCACTAATAAGTACTTAAGGCTCACCACTCTGATCTCATGAGAAGATACTGATGAAGCTCCCAGCACTAAAGAAAAGGCTGTAACACAGACACTTGAAGTAAACAGTAGCCATATCTGAGATTAGACCTGCAATGGTGACCATATAGGTAACAGTTGGGATGAGACAGAGCCAGAACAACAGTACTAGTTTCCACAACAGCAGGAGACCAGGAAGCTCTGAATCTAGGTAGGGAAGCAAAAGCCTTCATTGCCTATAGTCACAGCCATGACTTTAGTCCATGGTCAAAAGTTTCCAAGAGTGAGAGAGGAAAGGCATTAGCTAAAAACTAACTTAGGGAAAGAGGAGTTGAAACACTTGGTCTGTTATGCACACTTTTCTACTAATTCTTGGGTGATGTTCACAAAAGAGGGGAAAAAAAAGGAGATAAACTTGTTTAATTTTCTTGCAAACTTGCTGATATTTACTTCCAAAAAACTAGACCTAATATTTTCTAGAAAGGAGAGTCCTTATCTGTTGAATATTTGTAACGGAATGTTTCTCATCTAGGATAAATTGTGGTAAACACTCTTAGAATCTATGGATTTATGATGCCTGGCTTCCTTGAAAATGTCACATAAACTAAGCAATTATTTATGGTAGAAAATGAATACATTTCATTACCTAAAATCTTCCTGCTGTGAAAAATTATTTTCATTTATTACCCTGGAGCAGATAGGGTGTCCAGTGAGGACATGTGGAACTCAGGGAGTCATTTGGAATGGCTCTCCCTCGCCCTGCTTTTCCTGTGCTCTTATTTTGTGTTTCTTTGATGTTGTTAGTGAAGCTTGACAGTGGGCAAAATCTCTGATCTGGGTAAGTTTGATGTGTCAATATCATCTTTGAAATAAGCTTTCCCACTGTGTTCTAGTTAAAAGCTTTCATAAGCTTCCATGTCTTCTTTGCGTACAGCAAAACAGGGAAAGGAGGCACAAGGATATGGGAACCCACACTTTTTCCTTAAAGTTGGAGGATATCTGGAATTTACCATAGATAAAAGAACTACTGATGGATGGAAATTCATCAGGCAGACAAATTTGTGGGTTTAAGATTCTCTAAGGAAAATGTTTTTTTTTTGGCACAATATTTACTGATACATCAAGTTTTATTTTTGATTACAAAAATAATAAAAATTTGGAAATTCTAAAATCTTTAAAGTAAACATTCATAACTTTGAGAGACAGAAGTATTTTTGACTTTTTATTAGTTTAATGGTTTCAATTTCTCATTCATTTTATCATCTCTTTTATTAGCAATTTTAAACAGAATTGGGATTGCAATTAATAATGTTTTAAAACCTGTCATTTAACTTCACATATGTATAATGAGAATTTATAGTGCTAAAGTTCTATAAAATAAAAAAAATTCATAATTTACCATTTCATGAATAGAGAAAAATATTTACCAATACCATATTAATCATTTGCATTTTTGACAATTATGAGGAAAGCTGTCATGAATATCTGTGTTCATATAATTGCTATCATTCCACAAAATAATCAATTATATACATTGATTATTATGACTATGCCATACTTTATTTATCTATTCTGTGGTGGAGGGGAAATTGGGTCGTTTCCAGTTTGGGCTTATGCCCAAATATTGTTTCTATGAAGATTTTACTGCCTGTTCTTTGGTGAACATATGTGTACCTAGCAGTGTAATTTTTGGATCATAAGGTGTTGCTATTTTTAGCCCATCTCACACTTTTATCTGGACCTACCCTTGCCTTTATTGTTTCTATGATAAGTTGAATTAGATCCCCAAGCTATTTCTTCTCATGGGTGGGGCGTTTTCTTGGAAGGAAATTTTGGTCATAGTTGTTTAGATTTTCCAGATTGCTACAGCCCCTTCACACTTTCCTCAGACATTTTATGTTCAGCTGCTGTTGGCACACATAAAATGTCTTCCAGTTTCAGCTGCTATTTTCAAGTGGGTACATTGGTCTTTCCGATTCATATTTTTTTAAATTATGGGGTTCTCTGATGTTTCCTTCTACTTCTTTTTGCACAGATGCTGATAATGTGCAGTTCTTACAGTAGTTGGTGATTTGTCCTCACCATTTTGGAGTTCCCTGGAATACAACTTACCATCTTACTATCCAGTTTTGCTGTAGATGCTACCCATGAGTATTTGGTTTTGCTACTACTGTTGGTGTGTCTATTAGAGTTAAGGTTTAAGAAGAATGAAAATCATGCCCCTTTGCTACCATCTCTCTTCAATACTTCTTTTAAAAAATTAAGAGAGAGTATTTTTATTTGAAGAGATTGTGCATGAGAAACTGAACTGATCATTTAAGCCTTTGGACCATGTTATATTTCTCCAGTATTGACTTTGCTCTGGCAGACATGCTAGAGTATAGGACAATCATAATAATCCCATTGAAGATTAGGTTGATAGGGGTGTGAAATCAGTCTATTTATAGCTTACAATTTCTACTAGAATGTAGTTCTTCAGGACTTCCAAATGAGACCCTGAAAGTCTGTTAAGATACCTCTTCTTTAGCAGACACTTATTTTCATTTCTTGTTCCCTCAACCATGTAAGCCTTCCAGAAACCCTTTATGTTTTTCTTGTAATTATATATTGCATTCATTGACATATGAGTGTTAAATAAGGCTTGCATTCTTAGTATTAGCCACATTTGATCATGTATTATCCTTTTTATATATTGCTGTTTTATTTGCTCTTATTTTCTCAAAGAGCTTTGTGCCTATGTTCACGAAATATTGGTCTGTAATTTTCTTGAAATGTTTTTATCTGGTTTGGCATTTAAGTAAGGCTGGCCTCATAAGTTGGGAAATGTTCTCTCCACTTCTATTGTTTTGAAAAATATAATGTAGAGGTGGTATGATTTCTTTCTTATTTATGATTTCTTGCTAAAATATTGTCCTTCTTAAATATCTATTCACCAGTAAAACTATCTTAGTCTGATGTTCTCTTGCTATTGTTTTGTCCTGCGTTTGGAATGTATTTACTAATTCAGTCCTTACTACCTCTAAGTTACAGGGTTAAATAGGTTATCTATCCTTGAATGAGTTTTGGTACTTTGTTTCTTTAAATAAATTGGTCCATTTCATCTCAGCTATCAGATTTGTAGACATAGAGGTGATCACAGTGTTCTCTTATAATGTTACTCATTGCTATGGGATCTGTAATAATGATTACCTTTTTTAAAAATATGCTGTTGGTAATTTTTTCTTCTCTCTTTTTTCTTATTGGTTATTATTTTTAGTTTTATTTTCAAAGAACACTATTGTGTCTTACTAATTTTCTCTATGCTCTTATTATTTTCAATTTTATTAATTTCTGCATTAATTTTCTTCCCTTTGGTTCTATTTGCTTTAAATTTAATGTACTCATCTTTCTTCAGTATCATAAGATGAAAACTTAAGCTATTAATTGTAGGCTCTTCTAGTTTTCAAATAGACATTTAATGCTACAAAAATATACCTTTTAGCACTGATTTAGCAACATTCTAAATATTTTGATGTTATATTTTAAATTTTAATTGGTTATAAAGAAATCTTATATTCTCTTAAGACATCTTATTTTGGGTTATTTGCAGGTGTGCTGGATTGTTTCCAAATACTTGGAAATTTTTCATCTATCTTTCTTTTTTAATTTCAAGTTTAATTCTATTGTGGTCTTAAATTACTTTGTGTGATATCTGTTCTTCTACATTTGTCAAGCTATGTTTTATATCCCTTAGCATAGTCTATTCTGGTGTATGTTCTGAGTGAACTTCAGAAAAATGTGTTTTTATTCTGTTGCTTGAATTTGGAGTGTTCTATAAATGTCAATTAAGTTGATATGTAACACTGTTCAGATGATCTATATTCTTACTGGTTTTCTGCCTGCTTGATACATCAGTTATTGCTACGTGGTATTGAAATTTCCCACTATAGTTCTGGATTTGTGCATTCTTTTATTTTGATCAGTTTTTATCTCATGTCTTTTGATACTCTGCTGGTGTAATACAGTCTTTTAAAATGTGTCATGACCAATTTCTGAGGAACCTGGTTAGTGTCTGGTCAGTCATCTTCTTGAGTATCTAAGTTCACACTCGTAACCACGTAGGCTCTCAGAGTCACTATATACAGTCTCTAATTGCCCCAGGGCCAGGTACCAGATATAGGAACAGCCTCTGTTTCCCAGAGCCTACTGATATTTTTCTTTTTTTCTTTCTTTTTCCTTTTTGAGACGGTGTCTCGCTCGCTCTGTCACCGAGGATGGAGTGCAGTGGCGCGATCTCGGCTCACTGCAAGCTCCGCCTCCCCAGTTCCCGCCATTCTCCTGCTTCAGCCTCCCGAGTAGCTGGGACTACAGGCACCTGCCACCACGCCTGGCTACATTTTTTGTATTTTTAGTAGAGACGGGGTTTTACCCTGTTAGCCAGGATGGTCTCGATCTCCTGACCTCGTGATCCGCCCGCCTGGGCCTTCCAAAGTGCTGAGATTACAGGCGTGAGTCACCACGCCCAGCCGCCTACTGATATTTTTCAAACTAGCCAAACCTCAGCCTGTTTACACAGCCTTGCCGTTTCCTTCTGAAGAAACCTTAGTGGTTCTGTGTGACCTACTATGCTATGGCATGGAGACTATGAAATTATAAACTTTTTCAAGTTTCTCTCTCTTGATCTGGGTCTGGCTTCGTGATACCATATCTAAGGTAATATGGCTGAAGCAGATGATAAGTACACATATGTTTAGGATTGTAATGTCTTTTTGGAGAATTAATTCCTTGATCATTGTGTAATGTTTTCCCTAATTCCTGATCTCTGTTGACCAGAAATCAGCTTTGTGTGAAATTATTATAGCTACTCCAACTTCCTTTTGATTACAGTTAGTATGTTTTATCTTATCTCATCTCTTTACTTTTAATCTATCTGCTTTTTAAATATTTATCACAAATATTATGTAGACATCATCTAGTTGGGTCTTGTTTTTATCCAATCTGTCAGTCTCTCCTTTTTAACTGTATGTTTAAGCCATTTACATGTACAATTATTTAAAATATGTTTATATTAAAGTATTACTGACTTTGTTCTGTTTATTGCATTTGTTTCTTTTTTGGCCTTCTCTGTTTTCACTGAGATTTTTATGCTTTCCTTTTATGTAAGCTATTAACTTATGTACATTTAGAAAATTAGATTGTGCTCTAAGATTTATAATGTAGACTGTTGTTGAAATCCTCCCTAAAATAGCATTCTAGTGCTCATTTATAATGTAAGTACCTTATAGTAAAATACTCCACGTTCCTCCCTCCCATCTCCTGTGACATCGTTGTAATTTATTTTACTTTTATATAGCCTTTAAATACCCAATATATTATATTATTTACATAACACATGTAATTTTAAAACATAGAAATTTATCTTAAAATAGTACTATTTAAACAGTTATCTTTTAGATCAATTTGAAATAAGAAAAATTAATATAAAATGTTTACCTTCATTTATAACTTTTCTCATGCCCTTTCTTTTTTCAGTGTAATTCCATGTGTCTTACCTATATCATTCTTTTGCCTGAAGGAGTTCTTTTAGCATTTTTCTTGAGGCTGGTCAGCTGGCAATTAGGATAATAAGTTATCTATTTTGTTTTCTGAAGAAAGTCTTTAATTCACTTCTATATTTTAAAGGTTGATATATGATGTCTGAACATTTTAGGTAGGTGCATGTGGTATTCAACTGATGTTTTCAATGTCTCCAACATACAATATTTTCATTGTGTATAGAAATTTCGGTTGGCAGATTTTTTTTCCCAAGACTTAAAGATTTTACTCCACTGTCTTCTTGTTTGCAGAATTTGTTACAAAAAATCTTTTTAAATTCTTATTCTTGAGTAGATAAGAAGTCACCCACCCTCCTGCTGGAAGACTTTAAAATGTTCCCTTTTTCTTTGGAAAACAGGACTTTTCTGTGAGGATTTATGTTGATCTGGCTACTAGTGGGTTTTGTTTGACGTATTTTTTATAGCTTTGTGTTCTAGAGATTTCTAATATCCCAACAACCATTTTTTTGATTCCTTTATTAGCTTTGGAACATCCCTTTTTGTTGTCCCTCAGAGAAAGTTTGTCTCTTGCAGCTTTCTTAACTGACATCCGCTATCCATTGGAGGCTTACTAGCCTGGTGCTAGAATGTAGGGGAGGGGCATTCTCTAATCTTAAGTCTAAATTTTTGGAGTGCACTGTTGGTCTTTGTCTTAAAGGTGTGGTCTTCACAAATATCCGTCTTGCAGGAGAAGAGGTTTGTTGCCCTTATCTTCTAGTTCTTTCTGTGACTGCAGCAAGTATTTTCTAGGGTCTCCAGTCAATGCCTTTGAGACCTTTCCCCTAGAGTTCATGACTTCTCATCCCCCCCACACATATGTGAGACAGGGAGGCTAAATTAAAATTGGGGTGGAATGGAATTAACTTCTAGCAGGGATGGGATTTCACTTTTGTCTTCTGGGAAAGTCTTTCTCTGGATTAAGCTTTTTATTTCATAAGCATTATTTGGGGGGATTTCTTATTAATCAAGTCTCAGTATAAATTGTTCTTTGGCTATAGTCCCCTTTTTCCCTGGCTTAGTGGTCATCTGTCCCACTGAATGCTCAAAGGACATTGCACACATCTTTTTTATAAGTTCTCACGTAAGTCAACATTCCAATTATTTGTTTGGGCCTAGAGTCTCTCTTTCTAAATAAGTTATTTTACAAATCAGAAAGCTATCTTTGGCACAATTTTAGCATAATACATAATGTATAATAGGTACTTTATAATACAATTAATTAAGTCAGTGATTCTGTAAATGTACATTGAGCTCCTACCATATAAAGGCATTGTTTAAGTTACTGGAAATACATCAGTAGACAAAACAAATGCAATTTCCAACCTCAGGGAGTGTATATTCTGGTAGGAAGAAGACAAATAACAAGCAATGAAACAAATATAGTATGTCAGGTTGTGCTAAAAGTAAGAAGAGTAAAGTAAATAAACAGTGACGAAGGTTGTTCTTTCACTTTTTTCTTGATAAAATGATCAAGAAAGTTCTCATGTATGAGTTGGCATATGAACATACTTGAATGAAGTGGGAAATTAATTAAACGCTACTGTAATAAGAGTTGAATAATAAATGAATTACAGGGACAAGTGCATTCAAGGGTTCTATGGTTTTCTGCATGTGTTTGACTAATTTTGCTCACAGCTTCTGCTTCCCTCATATTGAGATAATAAGCCAAGTCACAGTCAATTATTTTTGGGAGGGTCTTCAATATGCCTGAGTGATATAATATACTTCTATCAGTTTCAGAAAAGCAATTTGGTCACAGGGAGTAATTTTCACTAGTAGAAAAAGCACTGCCTCCTTTTCAAATCCTACAACAAAGTATTAGATATTGGAGTCATAAATAAAATTTAACCCTTCCATCCTTAAGTGATCTGTATATGCTTTACTATTTAGACCTTGATTCCCCTTAAACAGGCCAACTTAATTTGTAGCTCTATTTGGCTTTGTATAATCTGCTATTATAACAGGTAGTACATTGTTTTGAAGTTAATTGCTTATACATATATATCATCTATAAGTGTGGGAGTTCTTCCAAAGCATGGACTGCATCTTATTCATTAGAAAATTTATCAGGATTCCTGGCACAGAGTTCCTATTAAGTAAGTGTTTGTCAAATTATATTGATGATTAGCCATTTCTACATTTTAAGTACACCTGCCATAACATTGAACAAGCAAATAAATCCAGCGTAGAAAGTTCCTTTAGTATTCATGCAGGGACATCTCGAAGTATAATATTGTTGAGGAATATTTTCCAATTGTCCCTTTTAAATTTATTTTATTTTATTTTATTTTATTTATTTATTTATTATTATTATACTTTAAGTTTTAGAGTACATGTGCACAATGTGCAGGTTTGTTACATATGTATACATGTGCCATGCTGGTGCGCTGCACCCACTAACTCGTCATCTAGCATTAGGTATCTCTCCTAATGCTATCCCTCCCCTCTCCCCCAACCCCACAACAGTCCCCAGAGTGTGTTGTTCCCCTTCCTGTGTCTATGTGTTCTCATTGTTCAATTCCCATCTATGAGTGAGAATATGCGGTGTTTGGTTTTTTGTTCTTGCAATAGTTTACTGAGAATGATGATTTCCAATTTCATCCATGTCCCTACAAAGGACATGAACTCATCCTTTTTTATGGCTGCATAGTATTCCATTCTGTATATGTGCCACATTTTCTTAATCCAGTCTATCATTGTTGGACATTTGGGTTGGTTCCAAGTCTTTGCTATTGTGAATAATGCTGCAATAAACATACATGTGCATGTGTCTTTATAGCAGCATGATTTATAGTCCTTTGGGTATATACCCAGTAATGGGATGGCTGGGTCAAATGGTATTTCTAGTTCTAGATCCCTGAGGAATCGCTACACTGACTTCCACAATGGTTGAACTAGGATCTAAAGAGCTTCTGCACAGCAAAAGAAACTACCATCAGAGTGAACAGGCAACCTACAAAATGGGAGAAAATTTTTGCAACCTACTCATCTGACAAAGGGCTAATATCCAGAATCTACAATGAACTCAAACAAATTTACAAGAAAAAAACAAACAACCCCATCAAAAAGTGGGCAAAGGACATGAACAGACACTTCTCAAAAGAAGACAGTTGTGCAGCCAAAAAACACATGAAAAAATGCTCACCATCACTGGCCATCAGAGAAATGCAAATCAAAACCACAATGAGATACTATGTCACACCAGTTAGAATGGCAATCATTAAAAAGTCAGGAAACAACAGGTGCTGGAGAGGATGTGGAGAAATAGGAACACTTTACACTGTTGATGGGACTGTAAATTTTTTTAATTAAGAATCTTAACAATGAAAGACTTTATTTTGAATCTAAGTGACACACAATAATTTGCTATTTTTTTTGGAGACCTGGAAGTCTGAAACTTTATAGTATTGTCAGCCTTTGGCTACTGAAGAAGTCTCTCCATATTCTGATTACTTCAGATAGGATACACTACCCTGTCATTTCATTGTGCTCTATTAAAAGGTTCTTAATTAAAGAGATCATTAAGAATATTCTAATTCTATTTAATTCTGCATGTAATATATTTGGCAGATTGCTGATGGACATAAAGATAAATAGTATTAAAGATTTTTAAACTTGGCTCAATTTTCTTTTTCTTTGCTATTATAACACTTCTGGAAATATTTTTTAGATGTCGAAGGCCCAGATTCAGACTGGCATAATGAAACTTTACTACTCAATAGATACACACATAGAATTTCATATTGATAAACATTCTCTACCCACATTTTACTAAAAGCCACTCATTTCATGTGTTTCTTTCTGCAGATAATACATCCCGCCTGATTCCTTACTATCCATACCAATGGAAAATAAAATAAATTTTGAAGCATATATTCACATTTCCATGAAACAGTAAAATCATGAGCAACTATATTGCTTTCCCATTGCTCATATAAGATATAGTTGGCTCCTTGTTAGAGTTGAAATAATAAATAAAAAGCCTTGAATTCCTATATTAAAAATGAATATATCAGTTCTGTTCAGGAGAAGGATTAATGTTAAAGGGTCAAAACCACAGACATTCACTCAGGAAGGTTTTGGTGATCTGTGCCTAGAGGACATTTACTGTGCAACTGATTTAAATTTCAAAGTAACATGGGATCAAATTGTTGTATTGAACAGAATTTAAAAAATTTTTCCTTGTCCAAATCATATAAAATGCTAGAGTACATGCATTTAAACTATTAAAAGTATACCTGAGCCCACAGACTTGGAAAGGAAGAGCCTAACTGACCAAAAAGCAAAAGAAAACAAAACAACAACAACAAAAAAATGTCAATTTTGCTAACCAAGAATCAAAGCTAAACAATGCATAAAGTACAAAGACCATATAAGATAAATTGTAGGTTGAAAATGAGACACCTACAAAAGAAGAATAAAGGACTATGTACATTCAGTAGTAAGAATGAAGATCCCAGTCTGAAACTGGATTTTAGGAAACAATGTCCTCATGTATAAACACTGGTCTAGGACTGTATTCTGGAAGTAAGAGTAAATGAAATCACAAAAAATGGAAACCCTGAGCATAAGATATAAAATTTCAGGGCTCAACTTTGTGCAAACCACATAGTAAAGAAACCATAAGTCTAAAATTTTCAATTTTTTAAGAATTGGTGAACCCAATAGGAGAGAGGAGAAAACAACCATAAAAATCATGCTCTGGAAGGCATCCACAAGGCATGAACCACATGAGACTACTGAGGATTTAACCTCATGGAATTTGAACTCCTAGACCACAGATATGTATATGGGCATATAAGAAAGTGCAATGCTAAGAAAGACAACTGTAAATTAAATAACTGGAAGGATTTATATCTGGGGATTCGATATATTAAAGTCACTTGAAAAGACCTTTAATATAAATATTCGAAATGTGTAAATAAATAAAGGGATTGGTAACATCCAGAAAATACAAAGAGGGAAATTAGGGAGCAAGATGAGACAATATAAATCAACAAAGTAGAAATTTTCTTTTTCTTATTTTTTTTTCTTCTATATCTTAGAAGAAACTAGAAGAGAAATTAGAAATCTTAGAAGTAAGGATTACTCATTGCCTGTGAGACGTTAGACATGTTACTTAACCCTGTTCTTTTCAGTTTTCCAGTCTGTAAGATTGGATAACTAATCGAGGTGATGTGGAATTTAACATAGTTAAAGCACTTAGAATAGTGCTTGGTGCAGCATAATCAGTCATTATATATTAGCACTTATTATATAAAATAATGTGACATTTGTAAAATATGAAAAGGCTAAAATGAGCAACTAGATAAAAAGTTCTTGCCTATGTTAATATATATACACACATACACACACACACACACACACACATATTTTTAATATGTATTTTTAATGGCCCCCAAAGTCATTTCATTTGACAACAGGTGCAAGGCAAAACAAAATTTATCCTAAAACCCCCACAATTGTTCTACACTCCTCTTCTGTGGAAATACTTCACCTGGAACTATCTCTTCCTTTTTGCTAACAGTTTAGTGTCTGAGCAGGAAGGCTGGTGTCCCCGTTTCAGGTGACCCTCTTCTTAAAGTCTTAGGGATAATTTCAGCTGCACTGAGTGGCCAAGTGGACCCTGTTCACATGGGAAAGGAATTTGGTCACAGTGCTCCTGGCTGACCCCAGATGCTGTCAATTTCAGCAAGTAACGCTGAATGTCCGTGTGACTTATAAACATTGTTCAAAAATGAGGCTGTGTTAAACTTAAAAGCCAACCTTTCTGCTCAGATCCCTGGATTAAAAAATGGTTTTAAAAATCTATATGATTCTTACCAAAAGGACGGCTATTAAAAATAAGCCAATAAATATCCAGAAACAGGTTTCTCGTGAATGCTTGGTAGAGGAGGCATTCCAATATGATGAAATGATTTCACCATGTTCTTTTATCTATGGGAAATGCAATTTTATCACAGCCCCTTATATAAACCCTCCTGAAACCCCTTCAGTAAATAGCATTCCAATTCAGTCACCAAAGTGAAAATATCTTTGAAAACTGTGAGGTGGCTGGGAGACTGTGCACATCTTGGCAAACATTTTTCAACCTACCAGCAAGAGAGGAGGTAGTTAGAGGCTAGTTAGGCAGATAGAGAGGGAGGGTCTTGGGAGTGGAAAAATACCTGTGAGACCACATCTGCACAGCCCCTGTAGCTAGTGGAAATAAATTTGATTAAGAACTTCCTCTAATGCCAAATGTCTGCTAAGAAGGGACTGTCCTGGCCTAGGAGCAGGTGCAATAGATCAACCTAAGTGTCCTTAACTTGACCCGAGTCATTATAATGTCCTTAACATGACAGTAGCATTGTGGTTTTAGTCCCCTAATGTGTTTTGCTTAGCCATTCATGGGTAATAACCAAGATTCAGTCACTCTGGCCAACCCCAAGCATGCGCAGATGCAATATCAAGGGAGAATATTACCCTTCCCATTTGGGCAGAAACCACAGAAGAATACCTTGTCTTTGCCATATAAAAGAACTCAGCCCCATTTCTGGCAACCTGCTTTCAGGGCACGTCTCTTTGCTGAGAGCTTTCCTTCTGCTTAATAAATCCTACTCTACTCATTCTCTGCTGTCCATGTGCCTTATTCTTCTTGGTCTTGGTACAAGAACTTGGACCTAGCTGAACTAGGGACTAAGCAGACTGCAACATCAAGAGCTTGGGCTTCCTGTGAAGATTATTAGTTTTCTGGTTAAAAGCATTCTTGAAGTCATCAGGAATGGAGGAAGAGAGAGACTCAGCATCTGAGAAGATGAGTTCCTGGTTCCGTATCTGGGACTCAGGAGCCAAACAGCACAATCATGCAGCACATGATGAAGACGTTCCACAGGATGGTGAAGATTCAAAAGTATCTGAGGCTCAGTAAGAATTCCCTCGTGTTGTCACCTGTGCTGGGCTCCCATGCCTCCTTCCCAAAGCCCTGCATGTCCTTCTTTTTCAGCTTAAAGTTGAGCACTGCCCCAGCATTCATCAGCAATGTCCCAAATAGCAGGATGTCTCCAATCATCTTTATAGCCAAAGCACACCAAGGTTAGTATATTTTAACATAAAAGCTAAAAATCAGAAAAAAAAATGGGCAAGGGTGAGGGTCAATATAATAATATTGTATATAAGGTTAAGGAAGTTTCAAAGAAATTTAAACAAATGAGCTTAGAATTAGAAAACAAGAGAAAGTTCAAGGTACCCAAGGATTAGTTCTAGAAATTCCAGTAGATTCATAATATAAACAGGGCACAGGAGAAGGTTAAGAATAATTTATTAAATAATTATTTTTCTGATTTAAAAATCATATTCAGTTCTAAAGATGATTAATAAAATAAATCTACAACTGAACTGTAGATATATCCAAAATTGTATGAAAAAAATATATATATTAAAGTAACTTGTCTGCTTGTAATACTCACTTTCTACTACTATTTTTATTTTATTATTTAGACAAGAATGTTCTTCTTAAGATGAGGCTGGTAGAAAATTTCATTAAGATGAAATTTTAACTTTGCTAAAATAAAATTTCATCAAAATGAACATTTTTAATAAAATTTTATTTTAATGAAAATCCACTTAGACAAAGGATCATGAATATTCCATTCTTGTTCCCTAACATCTCTTCTCATCTGGGCTATCAAAACACCTAGGGAAATCTGATATCAGTCTCTTCTCCCCAATGATCCATGAATCTTACTCTTGATATTATTTGAATGTAGTTGTTCCAAGAGTTGCATCATTCAACAACCAATAAGATGTTACAGCTTGTCCTGCACAGGTAAAGCAACAAACTGAGACATTGGTTATGTAGCACAGAAATAGTTTAATTATTAAAAGGCAGTGAGCAGTAGGACAGGATATATTTCTCAAATCTGCCTCCCCAGGAGCTCAGAGGCTAGAGGTTTTGAAGGAAATTTGATGGGCAGGGGACCAGGGAATGGGTGCTGCTGATTGCTTGAGGATGAAATCAATGTCCAAACTGCCTTTTCATGTTGAGTCAGTTTCTGCGTGGGGGTCATAGAACCAGTTGAGTCAGTTCTTTGGGATGAGTCACAGGTCTGGGTGGCATCAGTTTGCATGCCCGAATGCAGAAGGCTGAAAAATATCTCAAAGACCAATTTTAGGTTTTCACAGCAAAGATGTTATCACTAGGAGCAACTAGGGAAGTTACAAATCTTGTGACCTCCAGCTACATGATTCCTGAGCAGTAAGCAAGCCAGAGAACAATGACTGGTTATTGCTTAACTGTGCTTCTAGCATTGCAGAATTCAGGCACCACCATAATTCTAACATAGTGGCCTTTTCTTAGTTTTACAAAAGCATTTTCAGTCTCTGAACAAGGAGGACCTTATTTTCAGGAAGAGTCTATTAACATCCTTGCTTTTAAGTTAATCTATAAACTAAATTTCTACCATAGTTAGCTTAGCCTACATTCAAGAATGAGGAAGGGCAGTTAGCTTGTGAGGTCAGAAGCAAGATGGAGTCTGTTCCTGTTAGATTTATCTTGCTGTCATAATTTTAGCCAAAGTGGTTTCAATGATAGGGTGATTTCTTTCTTTCTTTTTTGAAGTCAGAAAGTCTTTTCCATAGAGTAGTAATTAGATTCCTTAACAAAAGTTAATGGAGATATGAAACCCTTCAACTTTCTCATATCTATTCTATTCTGATGTGAGCTTTCTATATTATAATTCAGGTAGCCTAATAAGAGTCAAAGTAACCATATGAAGAACAAAGTTTCACTAGGATTGAGCATAATGCTTAGAGTATGGTAGAATCATTTTTAGTTCTTCAGAGTTTTAATGTGTTGAAGAGTTATTTTTGGTTTTTGGTTTTTTTGTTTTATTTTTGAATATAAGAGACTTTTTTCAATCAAAATGAACACAAAAATTCTAAACCAAAATGGAATGTAGCTGGGCAAGGCCCTTACTAAATGCATCCCCAATGTTGTGCTAATGCTAGACTTCACACACTATACACTACATTATCATTGTACAATAATGGTGAGTCTGTGAATGTTCTGAATCAGGTGTCTCCTGTGTTTTGAGATCAAGGCAAGGTTGAGCGTAATAGTTATGGTGAGCTTCTATCACACTTTACTTTGGAAAGGCTCTTACCGTCACACACCCAACCCAATTGTCACAACATATTTCAGTTGGTAATGAATTAATTATGAGCCAATTTAGTTCTGCATGTGTGACAAAGGGAATAGTCATACAGCCTTTCTCATTTTAAAAACACATTTTAACAAAATGCCAGCATAGATGACCCAAGGAATCCAAGAGACCAAGAAAGAGCAGGGGAGTATAAATAAGGACAAGTTTTGAGAACACATGATTTTGGGAATTTCTGAGAGGAATTTATTTTCTATCATTGTTTTGTTTTTATGCATGCACATAATGTGTAGAGTAGTTGTAACTAGCCAGCATAGATTATAAGAGATATTTATCCCCTTTGATGGAAAATTCTGTGGGTTCATGTGCTAGCTCACCATGTCTCGTCCTCATCTGAGAGCAGATATTTCTAACACTAGTTAGTGCTATTTCAAGAAACATCCTGTTCGTTTTCACACACTCACACATTCTCTAAATAAATTCGTAGGATCGAGTTAAAATGTTGGAAGCTGGAGACTGCCCCAAGATAGGACAATGCTTAATTGAGACCATGCAATTTTGATTCTATGAGGTGAATAAGATATGATGAAGGAACTGGAAAATAATTAATCAATCTCTCAGGTTTGTGAATGTGTTGTAAGGCAAAGTTGAAGAGTTTTATGGAGAAATTTTAAAGAGAATCTTTAAAGTTGATAATAAGTTGTCTATACACATCTGTACTTAACCAATTCTATCTACCAAGTTCAGAGCACAAGATCCTAAGCAGTCCCTAAGTAATATTAAAACATGCTGCCAGAAAGCTAAGAATCAATACATCTCCCACCTCTGATGAGTTTATCGGACTTTACATCATTGTATTTGGTACTATAACCTCATTCCTATTTCCATTTTATATTGCTATCTCTAATTACATTAATGAGCAATTTGTATTTATGTAAGAAGTCTTAAGTTTATTTTAAAGTTAGTTATTTGAAAGCAACTTATTGAAAAAATTACTCAAAAAGTCGTAATATATCTTTTAAAATTCTCAGAATAAAATTTTTTGAAGATGTCTACATCTCACATGCAATATATAAGTTGATTTAGGGCAAGGACAGTGTTTTATACACCATACTATACTGCATACCTAAAAAAATGCCTGACACATGGTAGATGTTCAATAAATGTGTTATTTTTGTTCAATCTGGTTATTGGCTTGACAGTAGGTGTATAATACTATATTTGATCAATAAAAATACTGTAATAATATTCTCAGTTTGGTGTGGATGATTAAGAACAGGAAATAGCAGAGAAAAAAAAACCAGTTGTCTCTTTCTTCTTCCCTACTCAGCTTTAGGTTTTAGTTTTTAAGTGTAGCTAAAATACTAATCATTTTGATAGGAAAATCTGCCTCAAAAATACTCTCTAATTTGAATAGAATCCATTTGAATTTATGTATTTCTTCCTTTTTAGTACCAGCTATTTTAAATTATTTAATAGAATAGTCTTAAGGCATTGAAAGGGACCCATTCAGCAGGATTTAAGCCAACAAATCAGTCAGCAATTTCTGGTCATCTCACAGAGGAATTAAGCATTTTATCCACTCTGTGTATATGATATTTCACATGCCTTCATAATAGAGCTATCAATTTTCTGATTTGCAAGCCAGTTGACAGAGTTAATACCCCAAAGGTCTATTTCAATGTTAAGCTCCTAAAATTGTTTTAGACTCCCCATAAATTAAACTAAAGTCCAATCATGTACAATTTTATCCTTTTGCTTTTTGAAAAAGCATGAATTTTGTATTCCAGAAGCAACACTGTTTTAGAAGAGTAGCCCATTGGTTCTATTTCTTTACATTTTGATTTTTGATGCTGACTAAATATTCAGGTTCACTGTAACATGCTCTAAGTCGCACAAGTAACAGTAGAAAATTGCTTAACCTAATATTTTTGAAGTTGACACTTTAAATACTGGCAGAGCCTAACATAGCTGATCTGTCTATGGTTGTTTGCCTTTGTTAGGTAAAATGAGATGGTTTACAAACAGGCAGGCATAAAATTTTGTGTACTATGAGTAAACTACATATTTCAGCTAAAAAATTATATCTTTTGAGAAAAAAGAAATCTTTTTAAAAATACAGAAGATGACAGAGTATGTTTTCTCATGTTCATATTTTACTTGTACAATTGTCCCGCACAGAATATGTTTGTGGTTTGTTAAAAATCAGCTCTATGTGTGACAAGAAGTTTGTTCCTGGATTAGTGTGTATGATTAAGGTTACTGATATCAGTGATATAAACAAACATACTTATGCATTTTATATCATTGTTTTATTTTAAAATTCTGGCCACAAACAATTTTAATAGGACTCGTGCAATAATTTTTTTGCTGATTAAATAAAATTAAGCTGAAGAAGATGAAAATATACATACATATATCTGCTTGCCTATACACATGTGCATAAACAATTATATTAGGCCGGTGCAAAAGTAATTGCAGTTTTTGCCAAACTTCTAAGTGCAAAAACAGCAACTACTTTTGCGCTAACCTAACAGTAGCAAGAATGACACAACCTGGTCCAGCCCACTTCCCCTCTCCTCTTCTGCTCTCTTCTCCAATTTAAGCTCACTCTAAGGCCCCAATTACATCCTGATTACCAGATATTAAGGATATGTTTTAGCCCCTATCCTACTGTATATTTCAGTGCTTGGTTTTATTGACTGGTCCTTATTCCTGTCCCCCAAACACTATTTTTTGAAGAGCTTTTTTTAAATGCCTTTCTGTTATTCTATAGTTTTCAAACTCCAATATTTGTATATCCCATCAAGTTTTCTTCTCACAATATTATGTATAGTCCTGATTCTTCAACATTAATTTCCCTAAGAAGTAGGTCCTCCTCTTCTCTCTTCAACTTAACTCACTTCTCTTCACTCCTCTTTTCTATCTTTTCTTCTCTTCATTTTTAAGGTACTTCCTCTGGAAACTTTCCCTTCATTCATACCAGTAGCTATGACTGCTATCCACCTGCAGGTTAAAATCCTACAGGGGGCTCAATAAATGACACCTTTTTTTCTCCAGCTCACTTCTGGCCATACAGAGAAAAAAAAAGATGGAGACTTTGGCATGTAGAAATAAGAGTATCAAATTTATGTTATTGAAAAAGTCATGTTTTGTGGCCTATATACTTGGATATATAGGACAAAATAATAAATCCCAGTGTAATAGGGGGTTCATTATTTGGAAACCCCTATTATATTTGGGTTCATTATTTTTTCCTACATATCCAACTATGCCCACCAACTCACTGGCAGTAGTGAACCACTGTGGTCTGCTCTGTGGAAAAATGATTTTTCTCCATTAGCACACAATACGGCAAAGAACATCAAAGACAACATACTTTCTGTAGACAAGATGACACTCAACACACAGGACAGTGTCAAAGATTCTGAGTTTTGTACACTCACTTTTTCCTTTTAAGTACTCAGATGTAAATAAAAAGATGGATAGAAGGAAGAGTGATTCAGAAGTAATCTCATCCACAGTGAAACTCCTTTCCACCCTTAACATGAATGATAACCCTCAAATCAGTATTTGCAATGCAATTCTCTATTCTCAGCTGTAGTCTCAGGAATTCTATAAACTAAAATAATTTTACTCAATTCTGTAACTGAACCTTTAAATTCAGCATGTTCAAAATTGAACTTACCATAATCTGCCATCACTTTTCTCTTCTTGTGTTCCTGTATCAGTGAATAACATATGTAGCTAATTCTTTTTTTTTTTTTTTTTTTTGCTAATTCTTAAAATACTGAAAAATATAATCTTTTACTTCATTTCCCACATGTACTTGGTCAACAAAACCTATCAGGTCAACTTCTAACTATTACTTAATCTTAGCTCTTTCTACAATGCCTTCTATCATGGACTTATTTCATGTCTTAATTTCATATCTGTATACCAACAAAGGCATTTAAAACTGGTCTTTGTCCAAAATGCAAATCAAACCCACAATGAGATGTCATCTCACACCAGGCAGAGGAGCTATTATTAAAATGTCAAGAAATAACAGATGCTGACAAGGTTGTGGAGAAAAAGGAACACTTACACACTGTTGGTTGGAGTGTAAATTAGTTCAACCATTGTGGAAGACAGTGTGGCAATTCTTCAAACTCTTAAACACAGAAATACTATTTGGCTCAGGAATCCTATTACTGAGTATATACCCAAAGGAATAGAAATTGTTCTATTATAAAACACATCTATGTGTATGCTCATAGCAGCATTATTTTCAATAGCAAAGATATGAATTAACCTAAATGTCCATCACTGATAGATTGAATTAAGAAATAAGAAAATGTGGTACATATACACCATGGAATGCTATGCAGCGGTAAAAATGGTTGAGATTATGTCCTTTTTAGGGACATGTTTGGAGCTCAAGGCCAGTATCCTTAGCAAACTAATGCAGGAACAAAAAACCAAGTGCCACATGTTCTCACTTATAAGTGGGAACTAAATGATGAGAACACATGGACATATTGTGAGGGAAAAGAGACACTGAAGCCTACTGGAAGGTAGAAGGTAGGAAGAGGGTGAGATCAGGAAAAATAACTAATGGGCACTAGGCTTAATACCTGGGTGATGATGAAATAATTTATTATAACAAAGCCCCGTGACACAAGTATACCTATATAACAAACCTGCACATATACCCCTGAACTGAAAATAAAAGCTAAAAAGAAGACCTAGTGTCAAATAGATCAGTAGAGTGACTATAGTTAATAATAATTTATTGTACCTTTCAAAATGGCTGAAAGAGAATAATTCAAATGTTCCTAGCATCAAAATATCACATGTACCCTGATCATCTATACATTTATTATGTATCAATAAAAAATGAATAAATAATACATAAACAAAAAAAATAAAGGAAAACAGTCTATATCCCTGTCTATTCTACAATACTTTCTCCAAACTGAAATCAAAGTACTGTTTCCACAACAACAACAAAAATACTTATTATTATGGTGGTAGTGATATTGATGGTTACCATCTACTCTGAATGTACTATATGTAAGGCATAATTTAATGTAGGTAATCTAACTGACTATGCACAGACACATGCAAGGTAACATAGGTAGTATTATTACTCTTACTTTAGAGGTGAAAAATTATTTGTCAAAAGTCATACTGTAAGTGGTAGAAAAGGAAATCTGACTCCAGAAATTTAGAAATTAAGCACTTTGCCATACTGCTGGATTTCAAGAGAGCAATTGAATAATTATTTTCTTGAATAAAATCTGTAAGTGGTTTCCCTTTGCCTTTAAAATAATGTCAAAACTCTTGGCCAAACATTTGTGAACTGCTCAGATAATCTGTTTTCTCTTCCTTACTATTTAAATGTCTCAGAGTTTACTTTCATTACGACATCATTTCAAATATAGCTTCCACGGTTTACATTGTGCTCTTCTCTCTACTTTGAAAATCCTGACATGATTACCCTGCTTAGATAATATAAGGAATTCTTGAAATTCTCATAATTAACCCTACCTTCATTTGCCTCTAACTAGTGAGAAATTGTTTATCTTTTATTCATATTCTGTGATATAGGTGGGCCACATTTACTAATGAATGGAGTCACTACTTATTTTGAAGTATGAATAGAGTTAATTCCCAAATACTCCGTCCACCATTTCTCACATGCACATACACAGACTTACTCTTTGGTACTGTCTTCTTTTGTATCCTCCCTCTACCTTGTGACTGGCATATTAACATCTTCCCTGTGGCCTAGTATGCCTAACTAAGACTCTCCCATATGTTCCCTTTTCTCTTTGCTTCCTTTCCCCAGCCTTCCACTGAATTAGTACACTCACTTCCAACTGAACAAGCCTGGCTAAATTTGGGATCCATACTTTCCATCTATTAAGTTTGAATCTCATGGATCTCCCTCACTGGTCTCTAAAATTGGTAAGAGAATTATCTTACATTCATAAGACCATAATTTTAATATGGCTTTGCAAGTTATTAATTACATAAGTGTATGAGCCACCTTGCCTCCATATTGTCAGTTTTCTTACTGAAGAATGTCCATAGAAATAATTATACCCAATGTAGTTATTTTGAGAATTATCTGAGATAATGTATTTAAAAGTAAACAACACATTGCCTTACCTATTAAAAAATCATAGTATGTAAAACCCACAACTAAATATATAAAACTTACACACAAATACATACTGTTGTGCACAAAACGATTTAGTGAATTATGGAAACAATTAAGAAATTTTCACTTAATTTCAATTGGGGATCTATCTTATCAGGTTTATTCTCAAAATATTGAAAATCTAATTGCAATAATAATTTGTATAATAAAGTAATACTCTAAACAGCTTTAACTAGAACATTGATGTTTCATGAATGTGGGCATAATTCTTAATAATCTTTCTCAAAAAAATGGTTTTCAGTATTATTCTTTGGTTTTTGGAGTTAGTAACACTTTCAGAAAAAAGAGAAAAAGAAAGAAATGAGGATTTTTATTTAGGGGAACCTTTCTGTACCATGCCACTATTGACATTTGGAGACAGATGATTCCACATTGCAGGGGATTGACCTGTGCGTTGTAGGATGTTTAGCAATGTCCTTGGATTCTACCACAAGTTACCAATAGCAGATACTGTTCCCACCTGCCGTGTGACGACAAAAAAAGTCTCTGATTGACAAACACTGACTTATATAAATCCAAAATAACTAATGGATGTCTCTCATAAAGTAATTTGGGGGTATTCCTGATAATTGTCAAAGTACTGCTCACTAAGATGAAGCTACCAGTGTGGTAACTATATCAACATCAGGGTACTCCTGAAGAATTTATTATGGTTTCTATAACCTTGCTTATTTTTAATCCCTTAATAACAATATTTATAATCCTCAAATAAATTTCACATCAACATGAGCTTTTTGTGGGTAGAATTTATTTAAATGTAAAGGAATAATGTGATGAGTGTAAAGATACCTTCTTTATTTGAAGTAACTGAAATGTATATCAGCTTTTAAAGCTCCGTGGATGGGACACCTCTACCCTCATCAGTGGAATTCTTACAATGTGACTCAGGGAACAACGTCATTTACAAATGAATACATAAACTAAAAGACAAAGACAACCTTTTCAAAGAGTTGAAGTGAGCATCTGACAGTTTGTTTTCTTTTTCCTTTTTTAAAGGGTCACATAAATATGCACTGGGCATAGGAAATAAAAAGTTTTAATAGTCACTCAGTAAGGAACTACATTAGCAAATTTCACTGACACAAAATTCTGGCCCACATAGGCATTTTGTGGAAGAGCTGCTTTAGAATAAGGCCATTTCCTGTAAGTATCCAGTATAAGACCACAAAAGTACATACACATGGGCAAACCAAGACGTGCGTGAATATGTTCTGTCACTCTTTTTCTCTCTCTTTCTCTCTTCTCTCTCTTCTCTCTCTCTCTCTGTCTGTCTTTTTAGCACTACAAACTGGTCAGCTATAAAGTTATAAAGTTCATGGATATAACGTGTATTCCATGGGCACATAAAAATTTGAGGTGTGCATTGCAGCTAACAAAAGGAAATTTAATAGAAATAAAGTCCTATTGTCAACAAATTAAATAAAATAACTGAAAAGTTATTTAGGAGAAGA
This sequence comes from Homo sapiens, assembly GCF_000001405.40. Classification (NCBI taxonomy): domain Eukaryota; kingdom Metazoa; phylum Chordata; class Mammalia; order Primates; family Hominidae; genus Homo; species Homo sapiens. The sequence goes on from NC_000002.12 coordinate 35,229,353, forward strand.
GACTACAATTAGCAAAAGTTTATGCAAACTCTGGGGTTTTTACTTGGCTGTAATTTCTCTTTGAGACATCAGGGTGATGTGGTTGCCTAAAAGACTAATGCAATTGTAGACCACATTGATAGAAATATAAATTCTAACTCCTGGGGGACAGTATATTTACCACTTGGTGCCAATTAGCCTACAGCTATTTTTGGGAATTCTTGAAAAGTAATAATAATAATGAATCTCAGAGTTATAATGGATTCTTTGCTTTAGAGGTGCTGATTTTGCTCTTTAAGATTCCTATTATTTGATTCTTCAAGATTAGCAATGTTTCAGCTCCCTTTCTTATTGGTTTAAGTAATGTTAAGGCTTCAATTTCATTATCATCTATTAAACTGTACCATCCTATGAAATCTTTATTGCATTATTTTCTCAAAATTTTAACAATTTTTCTCTTAATTACTATATAACAAAGCAGGATTTGTATAATTTTAAATCTAATAAGTCTAGAATTTCTGAAAGATTGTAGGCAATCCCACAGGATTTAGATTTATAGTAAGGAAAGAAACAATCACTCGGTGGCTAAGGCAGCAGATTCAATATCACTTTCTGTGGAAACTAATACAACAATTTATGAAGAACTCTGCAGATACATATCTCTTTACGGTGGGCACACTCGTTTTCTATGCTCCTTTGATAATTATATCCCCCAAATTCATTCCATCCCTGTCTAATCCTTATTCATTAAACTTCTCAAAGTTTGAAAAAGTAAAACAGAGAATAGATTTGAAAAAGGGTTGTAAAATTCCTCACAGTAGAATGGTTTCCACATAATCATAAATGTATTTTTTACTTATTTCTACATGGTTTATAAGATATTGATTCTTTTGTATTAGTTGAGGGTTTATCTGTGATAAATATATGGTCAATTTATTTTTAAAGTTTCATATGTGCTTCAAAGTATGGTTTCTTCTAGAATTGTTGGGTATAGAATCCTCTAACTACTCATTAGAAAAAAAAGTATGATAATACAGTTCTAATTTTCTCTTTGTTTACTAATTATTGCCTGTCAGTTTTAGATACTGTTACAAGTCTTTACAAACGATGATGAATTTATCAGATTCTACTTATAATATTATTTTTTGCTTTACATCTTTTGATTCAGATGTTAGTGCTTTTTATCTGATAATATCATGGTATTATCAACTAACTACACTAACTCTCTTTGGGTTATTCTGCATTTTTATTTCTTGTATGTATTTTTCTATTCCATTATTTTCAGTCATGCTGAGTCATTCTGCTTTAGTTTAGAATAAAAAAGGGACATTCAGGTTTCATTCCAATATGGAATGAGCTTAGAGGTTATAATTACTATCCTTTCAAGAATACAAAAGCTTAACAAACTATAAACAAAAATCAGAGATTTGAAATCAAAGGAAAAATTGGTAGTTTTTATTATATTATAAGATATTTCATTCATTAAAAAAACCTTCTTGATATGTATTGGAGGCATTATGGCCTCCAAATCTTGTGTTGAAATGTAATCACCAATGTTGGAGATATGGGCTGGTGAGAGGTGTTTGAGTGATGGAGGCAGGTCCTTCATGAATGGCTTGGTGCCCTCTTCATGGTAATAAGTGCATTCTCACTCTGAATTCATCTTTAAAACAGTATGGCACCTCCTCCTTCTCTCTTTTCCTCCCTCTCTCACCAAGTGACATGCTGGCTCCCCTTCACCTTCTGCCATGAATGAAAGCTTCCCTAGGCCCTCACCAGAAGCAGATGACAGCACTATGCTTCATGTACAGCCTGCAAAACTCTGAGCCAATAAACCTCTTTTGTTTATAAATTTCTCAGTCTCAGATATTCCATTATAGTAACACAAATGGACTAACACACTCTTTTGAAGTAGTATAGAAATTAAAAATATGGTGGCTTACAGACAAAACAAACTGACATACATTTTTAAAAAATGAACAAAGCTAAATTCAAAGTGGAAATGTCAAACATAAAGTTAAGAACATTTTTCACAATTGAGTAAGATTTTAAGGTGACCAACCGTTAAGGTAGAGTTAATCATGGATAATATTTTTATAATAGGACAAAATCTAATAATAGAAATGAAGGAGAGAGGAGAGTAATCAATAGTGATATTTCCTTAAAAAAGTACTTAATTTAATGAATTTTTCTAATGTTAGATATATAAAGGCTAAGTATGATGGCTAAATATGATGAATGAAAACACACACACGTGCACACACACACACACACACACAAACACAAACACCGTTTTCTCTTTTCAGATTCTTTCATCTATTTCCTATGCATCTCATTGGTTTTCAACATCAAGATGACTTCTAGAGCTCCAGCCACAAAACACAAGCTTCAATCAACAGGAAAAAATAACAGTCTATCTTTAAAGAAAAAAAATCCCTAAAATCTAATTGCAGTGGCCAGTCTTTCCTCATGAATATTTCACAAGAAAAATACTAACTAATGAAAGTAAGTAGAGTCATATTTTAAAAATATGATTAAATTATAGGCATACCCTAACTGTATCAAAAAAGCAACAACATTCAAACCTAGCACAATTCCTGATTAGACCATCTCAACTAATGACCTGACAGAAAAAAGAGATATTTTCATTACCCAATATGAATATTTTTTAACCTTAGTCTACATTGTTCTACAAATAATGCATAAAATCATTAAACACTTAAATATATACACAAAAGAGTAATGAAAACAAACCATTGCCAAGACAGAAGGTGATCAGTAGAATCTGAGTGACAGAAAAACAGGATATTAAATATATAAAACAAATATTTTAAGATAATTATGATATGTTAAAGGATTTATTGGAAATGGTAAATTACTTGCCTTAATAGATAGAGGTTCTAACAGGGAGATTGAAGATATTTTTCAAACAGCAAATAGAAATGGTGGATATATAAAAACATCATATGAGAGATGAGTACTTTGCTTTATTGACTAATCAGTAGACTTAAAAAGGAAAAATTAGTGAACTTAAAAATAGGTCAAACAAAATCAACAATACTGAAACTAAAGAGAACAAAAAAATTAAAAAAGGAAGACAAAAAGAAGATTTAAGAGCCGTGAATTGTCCTCACTATAGGTGTAATTGGAGCTCTAGAGAGAGAACAGAAACAGAATAAGGCAGAAAAACATGATGGGCAATAGATTTCTGAAATAACGAAAATGATCAACCTCAGAAATAAGAAGATCTTTGAACACCAACATACAGACATGTTATATTTAAATTGCTATAAGCAAAAGATAGAGGCAAGATTTGAAATGCTGATCAAGGAGAAACAAAAACATATTTTATAGAGAATAACTAACAATGATTGAAGCATTTTTCTTGTTAGAAAATAGGAACACTACAAGAAAACAGAGGTACATTTAAATTGTAAAGAAAAAAAACACTGTTAACACAGAATTCTTAACTCAGTAAAAATATGTTTTAAAATGAGAGTGGAGGGCAGGCCTGATGGCCAACTAGATGCAGCCGGTGAAATATCTGCCACTGAGGGATCAAGACTCCTAATAGATCTTCAGAAGGAAAGCACTGAGAGTGGATGGAAGGAAACACAAAAGGTTGGCTGAAGGAGGAGAAAGCTGGGAACCCTACATGGGGATACTGTGCAACTGGACTCATTCCTGGCCCCAAGTGGCTCTGGAGGAATGAGTGAGTTGAACTGGCAGGGAACAAACCACTCTCACCACAGGGCTCTGGAACCCCAGCAAGATGGGGAGAATATTTTTCAGGGACACCAATGGAAGAACCAACTTGGAAAACATATTTGAGGATATCATCCATGAGAACTTCCTCAACCGAGCTAGAAAGGCCAACATTCAAATTCAGGAAATGCAAAGAACCCCAGTAGACAACTCACAAGATCATCTCCAAGACACATAATCATCAGATCTCCAAGGCTGAAGTGAAACAAAATATGTTAAAGGCAGCTAGAAAGAAAGGTCAGATCACCTACAAAGGGAAGCCCAGCAGACTAACAGCAGGCCTCTCAGCAGAAGTCCTTGAAGCCAAGAGAGATTGGGAGCCAATGTTCAATATTCTTTTTTTTTTTTTTCCATACTTTAAGTTTTAGGGTACATGTGCACAATGTGCAGGTTTGTTACATATGTATACATGTGCCATGTTGGTGTGCTGCACCCATTAACTCATCATTTACATTAGGTATATCTCCTAATGCTATCCTTCCCCCCTCCCCCAACCCCACAACAGGCCCCGGTTTGTGATGTTCCCCTTCCTGTGTCCATGTGTTCTCATTGTTCAATTCCCACCCATGAGTGAGAGCATGCGGTGTTTGGTTTTTTGTCCTTGCCATAGTTTGCTGAGAATGATGGTTTCCAGCTTCATCTATGTCCCTACAAAGGACATGAACTCATCCTTTTTTATGGCTGCATAGTATTCCATGGTGTATATGTGCCACATTTTCTTAATCCAGCCTATCATTGTTGGACACTTGGGTTGGTTCCAGGTCTTTGCTATTGTGAATACTGCCACAATAAACATATGTGTGCATGTGTCTTTATAGCAGCATGATTTATAATCCTTTGGGTATATACCCAGTAATGGGATGGCTGGGTCAGATGGTATTTCTAGTTCTAGATCCCTGAGGAATCGCCACACTGACTTCCACAATGATTGAACTAGTTTACAGTCCCACCAACAGTGTAAACGTGTTCCTATTTCTCCACATCCTCTCCAGCACTTGTTGTTCCCTGACTTTTTAATGATCACCATTCTAACTGGTGTGAGATGGTATCTCATTGTGGTTTTGATTTGCATTTCTCTGCTGACCAGTGATGATGAGCATTTTTTCATGTGTCTTTTGGCTGCATAAATGTCTTCTTTTGAGAAATGTCTGTTCATATCCTTTGCCCACTTTTTGATGGGGTTGTTTGCTTTTTTCTTGTAAATTTGTTTGAGTTCATTGTAGATTCTGGATATTAGCCCTTTGTCAGATGAGTAGATTGCAAAAATTTTCTCCCATTCCATAGGTTGCCTGTTCACTCTGATGGTAGTTTCTATTGCTGTGCAGAAGCTCTTTAGTTTAATGAGATCCCATTTGTCAATTTTGGCTTTTGTTGCCATTGCTTTTGGTGTTTTAGACATGAAGTCCTTGCCCATGCCTATGTCCTGAATGGTATTGCCTAGGTTTTCTTCTAGGGTGTTTATGGTTTTAGGTCTAACATTTAAGTCTTTAATCCATCTTGAATTAATTTTTGTATAAGGTGTAAGGAAGGGATCCAGTTTCAGCTTTCTACATATGGCTAGCCTGTTTTCCCAGAACCATTTATTAAATAGGGAATCCTTTCCCCATTTCTTGTTTTTGTCAGGTTTGTCAAAGATCAGATGGTTGTAGATATGCAGCATTATTTCTGAGGGCTCTGTTCTGTTCCATTGGTCTATATCTCTGTTTTGGTACCAGTACCATGCTGTTTTGGTTACTGTAGCCTTGTAGTATAATTTGAAGTCAGGTAGCATGATGCCTCCAGCTTTGTTCTTTTGGGTTAGGATTGACTTGGCAATGCGGGCTCTTTTTTGGTTCTATATGAACTTTAAAATAGTTTTTTCCAATTATGTGAAGAAAGTCATTGGTAGCTTGATGGGGATGGCATTGAATCTATAAGTTACCTTGGGCAGTATGGCCATTTTCATGATACTGATTCTTCCTATCCATGAGCATGGAATGTTCTTCCATTTGTTTGTATCCTCTTTTATTTCGTTGAGCAGTGGTTTGTAGTTCTCCTTGAAGAAGTCCTTCACATCCTTTGTAAGTTGGATTCCTAGGTATTTTATTCTCTTTGAAGCAATTGTGAATGGGAGTTCACTCATGATTTGGCTCTCTGTTTGTCTGTTACTGGTGTATAAGAATGCTTGTGATTTTCACACATTGATTTTGTATCCTGAGAATTTGCTGAAGTTGCTTATCAGCTTAAGGAGATTTTGGGCTGAGACGATGGGGTTTTCTAGATATACAATCATGTCATCTGCCAGCAGGGACAATTTGACTTCCTCTTTTCCTAATTGAATACCCTTTATTTCCTTCTCCTGCCTGATTGCCCTGGCCAGAACTTCCAACACTATGTTGAATAGGAGTGGGGAGAGAGGGCATCCCTGTCTTGTGCCAGTTTTCAAAGGGAATGCTTCCAGTTTTTGCCCATTCAGTATGATATTGGCTGTGGGTTTGTCATAGATAGCTCTTATTATTTTGAGATACGTCCCATCAATACCTAATTTATTGAGAGTTTTTAGCATGAAGCCTTGTTGATTTTTGTCAAAGGCCTTTTCTGCATCTATTGAGATAATTATGTGGTTTTTGTCTTTGGTTCTGTTTATATGCTGGATTACGTTTATTGATTAGCATATGTTGAACTAGCCTTGCATCCCAGGGATGAAGCCCACTTGATCATGGTGGATAAGCTTTTGGATATGCTGCTGGATTTGGTATGCCAGTATTTTATTGAGGATATTTGCATCGATGTTCATCAGGGATATTGGTCTAAAATTCTCTTTTTTTGTTGTGTCTCTGCCAGGGTTTGGTATCAGGATGATGCTGGCCTCATAAAATGAGTTAGGGAGGATTCCCTCTTTTTCTATTGATTGGAATAGTTTCAGAAGGAATGGTACCAGCTCCTCCTTGTACCTCTGGTAGAATTCGGCTGTGAATCCATCTAGGCCTGACAAATGGAAAACAAAAAAATGCAGGGTTTGCAATCCTAGTCTCTGATAAAACAAACTTTAAGCCAACAAAGATCAAAAGAGACAAAGAAGGCCATTAAATCATGGTAAAGGGATCAATTCAACAAGAAGAGCTAACTATCCTAAATATATATGCACCTAATACAGGAGCACCCAGATTCATAAAGTAAGTCCTTAGAGACCTACAAAGAGACTTAGACTCCCACACAATAATAATGGGAGACTTTAACACCCCACTGTCAACATTAGACAGGTCAACAAGACAGAAAGTTAACAAGGATATCCAGGGATTGAACTCAGCTCTGTACCAAGCAGACCTAATAGACATCTACAGAACTCTCCACCCCAAATCAACAGAATATACATTCTTCTCAGCACCACCCCGCACTTATTCCAAAATTGACCACATAGTTGGAAGTAAAGCACTCCTCAGCAAATGTAAAAGAACAGAAATTTTAACAAACTGTCTCTCAGACCACAGTGCAATCAAACTAGAACTCAGGATTAAGAAACTCACTCAAAACTGCTCAACTACATGGAAACTGAACAACCTGCTCCTGAATGACTGGGTACATAACAAAATGAAGGTAGAAATAAAGATGTTCTTTGACACCAATGAGAACAAAGACACAACATACCAGAATCTCTGGGACACATTCAAAGCAGTGTGTAGAGGGAAATTTATAGCACTAAATGCCCACAAGAGAAAGCAGGAAAGATCTAAAATGGACATCCTAACATCACAATGAAAAGAACTAGAGAAGCAAGAGCAATCACATTCAAAAGCTAGCAGAAGGCAAGAAATAACTAAGATCAGAGCAGAACTGAAGGAGATAGAGACACAAAAAACTCTTCAAAAAATCAATGAATCCAGGAGCTGGTTTTTTGAAAAGATCAACAAAATTCGTAGACCACTAGCAAGCCTAATAAAGAAGAAAAGAGAGAAGAATCAAATAGATGCAATAAAAATGATAAAGGGGATATCACCACCGATCCCACAGAAATACAAATTACCATCAGAGAATCCTATAAACACCTCTATGCAAATAAACTAGAAAATCTAGAAGAAATGGATAAATTCCTCAACACATACACCCTCCCAAGACTAAACCAGGAAGAAGTTGAATCTCTGAATAGACCAATAATGGGCTCTGAAATTGAGGCAATAATTAATAGCTTACCAATGTTCAACATTCTTAAAGAAAAGAATTTCCAATCTAGAATTTCATATTTGGCCAAACTAAGGCTTCATAAGCGAAGAAGAAATAACATCCTTTTCAGGCAGGCAAATACTGAAGGAATTTGTTACCACCAGATCTGCCTTACAAGAGATCCTGAAGGAATTACTAAATATGGAAAGGAAAGACCATTACCAGCACTACAAAAACACACTGAAGTACCCATACCAGTGACACTATAAAGCAACCACATAAACAACTCTGCAAAATAACCTGCTAACATCATGATGACAGGATCAAATCCACACATATCAACACTAACCTTGAATGTAATAGGCTAAATGCCCAAATTAAAAGACATAGAGTGGAAGCTGAATAAAGAACCAACACTCAATGGTATGTTGTCTTCAAGAGACCCATCTCATATGCAATGACATACATAGGCTCAAAATAAAGGGATGGAGAAAAATCTACCAAGCAAATGGAAAAAAGAAACAAGCAGGGGTTGCAATCTTAATTTCAGACAAAACAGACTTCAAACCAAGAAACATCAAACAAGACAAAGAAAGGCATTACATAACAGTAATGGGTTCAATTCAACAACACGTAACTATTCTAAATATACATGCACCCAACACAGGAGAATCCAGAGTTATAAAGCAAGTTCTTAGAGACATTCAAAAAGACATAGAGTCCCACACAAAAATAGGGGGAGATGTTAACACCACACTGGCAATATTAGACAGATCATAGAGACAGAAGATTAACAAAGATATTCAGAACCTGAACTCAGCACTGGATCAAACAGACCTGATAGACCTCTGCAGAACTCTCCACCCAAAAATAACACAATATACATTCTTCTCATCACCACATGGCACACAGGCTAAAATGTATCACATAATCAGAAGTAAAACACTCCTCAGCAAATGCAAAATAACTGATATCATAACAAAAAGTCTCTTGGACCACAGTGCGATAAAAACAAAAAACACAAAAACCTCGACTCTAAAAAATTCACTGACAGTCATACAATTACATGAAAATTCAATAACCTGCTTCTGAATGACTTTGGGCAAATAATACAATTAAGGCAGAAATCAGGAAGTTCTTTGAAACTAATGAGAAAAAAGATACAACATACTAGTGTCTCTGGAACACAGCTAAGGTAAGTTAAGAGGGAAGTTCACAGCACTAAATGCACTCATCCAAATGTTAGATTTCAAGTTAACCACCTTACATCACAACTGAAAGAATTAGAGAAGCAAGAACAAATCAACCCCAAAGCTAGCAGAAGACAAGAAATAACCAACATCAAAGCTGAACTGAAGGAAGTCAAGACATGAAAAACCATTCAAAAGATCAATGAATCCAGGAGTTGATTTTTTAAAATTATTTAAATAGATAGACTGTTAGCTAGACTAATGAAGAAAAGAGAGAAGATTCAAACACACACAATCAGAAATGACAAAGAAGATACTATCACTGACCCCACATAAATAAAAATAACCATCAGAGAATATTATGAAGAACTCTATGCACACAAACTAGAAAATCTAAACGAAATGAATAAACTCCGGGACACATACACCCTCCCAATCCTGAACCTGGAAGAAATCGAATATCTAAACAGGCCAGTGATGAGGTCTGAAATTGAGTCAGTAATAAATTGCCTACCAACCACAAAAAGTCGAGGACCAGACATATTCACACCGAATTTCACTAAATGTAAAAGAAAGGCTGTATCATACCTGCTGGAACTTTGCAAAAAAATTAAGGAAATAGGGACTCTTCTCTAACTCATTATATGATGTGAGCATCATCCTGATACCAAAACCTGGCATGGACACAATAACAAAAAAAAAAAAGAAAATTCAGGCCAATCTCCTTGATAAACATCAATGCAAAAATCCTAAATAAAATGATGGGAAACCAAATTCAGCAGCACATCGAAATGCTTATCCACCAAGATCAAGTAGGCTTTATGCCTGGGATGCAAAGCTGCTTCAGCATATAGAAATCAATAAATTTAATTCATCATATAAACAGAACTAAAGACAAAAACCATGTGATATCTCAGTAGATGCAGTAACGACTTTTGATCAAATTCGACAATGCTTCCTGTTAAAAACTCTCAACAAAGAAGGTATTAAGGAAACATACCTCAAAATAATAAGAGCCATGTATGACAAACCCACACCCAACATCACACAATAGATAAAAGCTGGAAGCATTCCTTTTGAAAACTGGCACAAGACAAGGATCTTCTCTCTTACCACTTCAACATAGTATTGTCAGTCCTGGCCAGGGCAGTTAGGCAAGAGGAATAAATAAAGAGCATCCAAATAGGAAGAGAGGAAATCAAATTATACCTGTTTGCAGAAAATAAATATGATCCTATATCTAGATAACCCCTTAGTCTTGACCCAAACACTCTAAGGGGATAAACAACTTTAGCAAAGTCTGAGGACACAAAATAAATGTACAAAAGTCACTAGCATTTTTATACACCAACCAACATCTAGCCACGACCCAAGTCAGGAACACAATCTCATTTACAATTGCCCCCCAAAAAAGAATACCTAGAAATACAGCTAACCAGGGAGGTAAAATAACTCCACAAGGAGAACTACAAAACATTGCTCAAAGAAATCAGAAATAACATAAACAAATGGAAAAAGCATTCCATGTTCATGGATAGAAAGAATCAATACCATTAAAATGGCCATATTTCCTGAAGCAATTAATATATTCAATGCTATTCTTATTAAAAGTATCAATGACATTCCTCACAGAACTAGAAAAAAATATTTTAAAATTCATATAGATCCAAAAAGGAGCCCGAATAGCCAAGGCATTCCTAAGCAAAAAGAACAAAGCTGGAGAAATCACACTACCTGACTTCAAACCATTCTACAGGGCTATAGTAACCAAAACACATGATTCTGGTACAAAAACAAACATAACCCAATGGAACAGAATAGAGAACCCAGAAATAAGGATACGCACCTAAACTATCTGATCTTTGACAAACCTGAAAAAAATAAGCAATGGGGAAATGACTCCCTATTTAATTAATGGTGCTGGGATAACTGGAAGGCCATTTGCAGAGCATCCAAACTGGAACCCATCCTTACATAATATATAAAAATTAACTCAAGATGGATTAAAGACTTAAATGTAAAACCAAAAACTATAAAAAACCCTGGAAGAGAACCCAGGCAATACTATTCTGGACATAGGAATGGGCAAAGATGTCATGATGAAGATGCTAAAGGCAATTGCAACAAAAGCAAAAATTGACAAATGACATCTAATTAAATGAAAGAGTATCTGCAGAGCAAAGGAAACTATCAACAGAGGGAACAGACAACTTACAGAATGGGAAAAAATGCAAACTGTGCATCAGATAAAGGTCTAATAACCAATATCTATGAGAAACAAACAAATTAACATGAGAAAAACTTACAACTGCATTAAAAAGTATGCAAAAGACATGAACAGATGCTTTTCAAAAGAAGATATGCATGAGGCCAACAAACGTATGAAGAAATGTTCATCATGACTGATCATTAGAGAAATGCAAATCAAAACAATGATGAGATACTGTTTCACACCAATCAGAATGACTATTACTAAAAAGTAAAAAAATAACAGATGTGAATTAAGTTGTGGAGAAAAAGGAATGCTGATACACTGTTAGTGAGACTGTAAATTAGTTCAGCCATTGTGGAAAACAGTGTGGCAATTCCTTGAAGACCTAAAAACAGAACTGCCATTCAACCTGGCAATCCCATTATTGAATATATACCCAGAGGAATATAAATCCTTCTATCCTAAAGACACATGCATGGCTTTGTTCATCACAGCACTATTCACAATAGCAAAGACATGGAATCAACCTATATGCCCATCAATGGTAGACTGAATAAGAAAAATGTGGTACGTATACACTATGGAATACTAAGCAGCCATAAAGAAAAATGAAATCCTGTCTTTTGCCAGAACATGCATGGAACTGAAGGCCATTATTCTTAGCCAGCTAATGCAGGAACAGAAAACCAAATACCACATGTTCTCACCTACAAGTGAGAGCTAAATGATGAGAACACAGGGTTACAGAGAGGAGAACAACACACAGGGGACCTATGGGAGGGTGGAGAGTGGGAGTAGGTGGAGGATAAGGAAGGGAAAACTAATGGGTACTAGGCTTAATACCTGGGCGAAAAAATAATCTGTACAACAAACCTCCATGACACAAGTTTACCTATATGACAAAACTGCACATGTACCTCTGAATTTAAAAGTTTATTTAAAAAAGTAATTAAAAAAATAAAATTAGGATGAAATAAACATATCTTGAGGGGTAAAAAAAGGAAATAAGAGAATTCCTTGCCTGTGCTATGCAGATTTCTGAAGAAAGTTCTTAAAAAAGCAGAAAATGATACCAGACTAAAATTTGAATCTCTACAAATAAATGAAAAGAATCAGAAATAATAAAACTTAATAGATATCAATATATTTTTCATTAATTTTATTACTTTAAAAGGCAATTTACTATCAAACCCAAAAATAGTAACGTTGTGATAATTCATACACACATATCACAAAAATACATGAAAAATTGGAAGAAAGAATTTGAATATATTGTAAAGTTATTACATAAATCATGAAGTGATAGAATACTATCTAAAGTTAGACTGTGTTAAATTATATATTATAAGCTGTATGTAAACCACTGAAAAGCAGAAAATGAGGTATAAAATAAAGCCATGATGGATATTAATTGAAATAATGAGTAACTCACAATTCATTAAAACTCCAGAAAAAGCAAGATCCAACCACAAGCTGCTTACCAGAAATATGCTTTAAATATACAGGAACTGATAGGTTAAAAGGATGAAAAAAGGATATACCATTAAAAAAATTAAAGTAAAGCTGGGATGACTCTATAATTATCAGACTAAATAGATTAACAAAAATGAAATCTAACAATTATAATGAAGAATGTTACTTAGTGATAAAATAGTCAGTTCACAAAGAATATATGATCATTTAAAACAAGTACGATTTTTGAAAGAAGCCTCAAAATGCATAAAGCAGAATGCAATGGATTGAAAAGAATAAATGGTCAAGTGTATAACTATGGCTTAGTACCTCAACTTTCATCTGTCTGTAATTAATAAAACAACTAGAAAATCAATAACTAAATATATAGAAAACTTGAACACTGTGATCCCAATTTTTTAAACTTGTTTTCACAAATGCCCCGCCTAATAACTTCATAATTTATAATTCTTTGAAGTGCATATAGCAAAGATTCATGGCATTCTAGACCATTAATTTTTTGTAATTTAACCCAACACATTTAAAAGAATTGGAATCACACACAGTATGTTCTTTGACCAAAATAAAGTTGAGCTGGGAATTAATAATAAAACGATATCCAGAAATGTCCAAAATATTTAGAAATTAAACAACTGAATTCTACATAACCCATAAGCCAAAATCAAAATCACAAGAGAAACTGGAAAACATTTTAGATTAAATGGGAATGAAATCACAACAAATCAAAATTTGGGAATTGCAGATAAAATAATGTGAAAATGGAATTCATAGCATTAAATGCTTATCTTAGAAACAAAAAAAATCAAATAATGACATAAGATTCTGTATTTAGAAATGAGAAAAGAAAAACAAAATCAATGCAGCACAATAAAGAAAATATTAAAGATAAACAAGAAATCAATGAAATTGAAATCAAAGATACAGTGGAGAAAATCAATAAATCTAATGAATCTCTAGATTTTAATTATTACAAAAGTGGAGACATTCAGATTACCAATATCAGAAATGGCAGAGGAGATATTACTATAGAACCTGTGGACATTAACAGGACAATAAAAAAAAATTTAAACTATGTGCCAACGAGTGCATAATCTTATATAAAATGAACAAATTACTTGAAAAAGAAACTAACAATACTCACTGGAAAATGAGGAATATTTGGAACAATCATAAAATTATTAAGGTAATAAATTTTAGTTAAGAATCTCCTAACAACTACACAACAAACAATAATCAGACAAAACTTTCTGGAAGGAAATTCTGTCAGTCTTTCAAGGAAGAAACAATATCACATTTTTCAAAAAAGCTTGCATAAAGTTATATTGAAAATTATAACTTTCATCACATTTTAGGAAGCCAGCATTATCCTGATAGAAAATGTAACAGACATTAAAATAAAAGAAAATTTAAGTCTGATATTTTCCAAAAATTTAGACAACAGCAACAACAAGAAAAACTCCTCAACATAATAATACTACATAGAAGCTATAAAGGTATGAAAAAGATAGTAATGACCAAGTGGTGTTTGCATTGGGAGTGCAAGCATTTTTCAACATCCAAAACTCAATCAATGTAGTTTGTTTTCAACAGCTTAAGAAGAGAAGTCATATCACCATGTCAGTAGATGCACAAAAGCAATTGACAACATTCAACACCCAATCATAATTAAGAATGCTAAGTAGCATTGAAATGTAAGAACAAATTATAAACCTGATAAAGATCATTTTAAAAGAAAACCTACATCTCTGATGGTTTTATAAGTAGCTCTTCCCTCTTCACTTGCCACTTCTCCTTCTTGCCACCTTGTGAAGACGACGCCTTGCTTCCCCTTCACCTTTCACCATGATTGTAAGTTTTCTGAGGTCTCCCCAGCCATGCTGAACTGTGAGTCAATTAAATCTCTCCTTTTTTAAAAAATAAATTACCCAGACATGGGCAGTTCTTTATAACAGCATGAGAATAAACTAATACAGGCAGACTGCCAGAAGTTTTAAGACCAGCGTGGTTTCACCTCAAACAAAGGAAATAAAAATTATCAGCAACATGCTTCTTCCTCATTTCCAGAAGTTGATACTTTTTAAAATTTGTATAAATTAAGTAGTACAAGTGCAGTTTTTTACCTGGATATATGGGGTGTTGGTGAAGGCTAGGCTTTTCATGTATACATCACCCAAATAATACAGTAATACATTGTACCCATGAAATACTTTTTCATCACCCACAACCCTCCCACCCTCCACCCTTTGGAGTCTCCATTGTCTGTCATTTCACACTCTATGTCCATGCTTCATCATTATTTACCTCCCTCAGTTTATTTTAGCAGAAAGAGTAGTATAATATTTGAAGTCAGACATAACTGGGTTTTGAATGCCAACTCTAATAGTAACCATCCTTAGCTAGTTTCTTGAACTAACAAAGTTTCAGTTTTCTGACCTGAAAGCTAGGATGATATGTACTTCATAGATTTTACTTTAACTTGAGTCAATTTATGTAAAACATCTATTAGGTTCGTGCAAGAGTTATTGCAGCTTTTGCCATTAAAAATAATGGCAAAGACTGCAATTACTTTTGCAACAACCTAATACTATTCCTAGGACATACTAGGTCTTCAAGTTATTTTTCTTTACCTAAAGAAGTTGTCAAACTTCTTTAAAACAGAAAAACCACTGTTTAAGGCAAGAATCTATTAAAAGACTTTTTATTAGAAAATAAATAATATTAGATAATATATACTATTGTGATTACTCCATATTATTAAATGTAGAATTAGCAGATATTATTTTATAATCAAATCATTATTGAGTAGATACTAGTGTCATATAAGTACTAGCCTCAATGGGAGAAAATAATGAAGGAATAAGTAGGCATGTCTCTTCCATAACGTAGCTTATACCTATGAGGCCCTCATAGCCTTATTGAAATTAATTTAACTTCTTTTATTTCTTAGCTGAATTAGTATTTTTGTAAAGACACAATGTTGTGATTGAGGATGATAGGGACTTTAAATTGGAATGTGAGGCACAGCACAAGAGATTGAGTTGATCCAGGGCAGGCATAGGCAGTACATGTGTACCTAGAGGTCTGGGGAAGTAGGATTGAAAAGATAAGGGTACATAAAGTCCTTAAAGGGACAGGATAAGTTATCAAAATCATAGTTCTCTGTTTTAAAAATTCTACTTATACTTATCCTAGGCAAAGTTAGTCTCTCCATTTTTCACTGTCTTTTACATTATAATGTCATTGATCCCAGGATATAGAATTTATGTTAGTGAAATCTGATGGGGGAATCAAAATTTATTGTATCGATTATGTGAGAAAATTTACCCTAATTTCTAGGCAACCAATTTATGTATGAATTTTTCTGATGCAACCCATTTATATACTAGAGACTGCCTTTATTGACTGTCCATATACCATTTCAACAGAAATAAACAGTATGTGTAAAGAGTTATAAATTCATGCCATACTATCTAACAGACACAGATATCCCTTCAACAATAACAACAAAATGAATTAAAAATGATTACATACACTGCAAACATTTGAAAAACTTAGATTGTGACAAACATTTAACTTTGAAAGCATCACAAAATGTGTCACATGACTAAGACCTCAAGTGATAGAATTTGAATATTTCAGATGAACCGTTAGTGGCAGTGAACTTTGTAAAAGACTTTATGACACCTACAGTGCTGAGTTTTATTTAGAACAAAATTGTTTGGATGAATAAACTGTAGACGCTAAAGATAAATTCAATGTATACATTCACATAGGAACAGGTGGTTTATAGTTCATATTCCAGGAACTGTAACATGACTCTTAAATAGGTTTTACCTGTCATTAATGTGGAAATATGACAGAAGCTCAGAAGAAGGAGGAATATGTCCACTTTTCTCATCTGCAAACCTCATGTACAGAAAAGAATGCCCCATAAGACAGAGAACCACAGCAGTAGGTCAGAGTGATCTACGTGCTTTTTTTTTTTTCCTGCTTCTACGTGCTTTTTTTTTTTCCTGCTTCATCTCATTTTATCCTATTGCCTTGGCTAGGATATAAGACAGGTAAATCATACCCATAAATGATTTTATACCCAGGAAGAAACACAGTCCAAGAAAATATCTTGAAAACGATCTTTTTAAGGATGAACCTGCTTTCCCTCATTTGACTACTTCTATCACAAAGAAAGACACTTTTTTCTTACTTTCAGACTCACCATGAGATAACTCAGCACTTAGCTGAACCTGGACTTCCTGTACCAGCACCTTCTTTCAGACAAGACATAGGAAAGGCTTGGCTGTGATCCACCTTTATGTATTTTAGTACAAGTACTACCTAAGATGTTTAAAACCTATTAGAAATAAATGACTATATCATATGCCCAGGCAGGGCAGAGATCAGCTTGCTATCTGGGCCACAGGTTTAATAAGATGAGGAAAAATGAGTAGGGGTCTTCAAAATGTCAAAATAGTTTGAGAGAGCTGGCCTGTGCAAATTCCATTTCAAAGACTAATGGCAATAATTATTTTAGAAACCCATCCTTAATAAAATACAATAGTCTTCATGATAAAAAGAGAAGCCTATACAGAATTATCTTCCTGCTGAATATGACACTTTCAGCCAGCAAATATTTCCATCCTGACACAAGGGTTGATCACTAGAAACATATCCATTGTTTTCATTTCCCCGGAGGGAGATTAATATGCATTCTATCTTGTACCAGAAGGTGTTTCTGATTGACATGAGGATTGTCATTAGAACATGACCTTAACCCAGTAGTGACTAGTGACATTACTTCAGTCATCAATACCAACTTTTATTTGCAGAATACCATGCAATTCCTATTCACAATACGTCAACTCCTTTTGAAGTCACTTAACTCAGATTCTGTGTGACAGAAAGACAGAACTTAATATCAGAAGCACTGATCTTCAGCAGTCTTGTATGAACATGGCTGACAGGTATAATGGTCATAGGAAGTACAGATAATTAGATCACAAAAATGAATTTCACTGTGGAGAAATATACTCTCCCTTCCTTCCCAGTTTCACTAGTATTAGTCCATTCTCATGCTGCTATAAGGAAATACCTGAGACTGGGTAATTTATTAAAAAAAAAAAGGTTTCATGGGCTCAATGTTCTGCACAGCTGGGAAGGCCTCAGGAAACTTACATGGGAGATGCTGCCCCCGTGGCATGGGGAATACTGCTCCCAGGATTCAATTATCTCTACCTGGTCCTGCCCTTGACATGTGGGGATTATTACAATTCAAGGTGATTTTTTTTTTTTTTTATCAGGGCAGTGGGCACAGCCAAACCATATTATTCCACCACTGGCCCCTTCCAAATCTCATGTCCTTACATTTCAAAACACATTCATGCTCTCCCAGCAGTTTCCAAAAGTCTTAACTTATTCTATCATTATCCCAAGAGTCCCAGGGCAAAGTCTCATCTGAGACAAGGAAAGTCCCTTCTATGAGCCTGTAAAATCAAAAGCAACTTTGTCACTTCCTAGATACAATGAGGATACAGGCATTGGTTAAATATTCCTGCTCCAAGTGGGAACAATTGGCCAAAACAAAGGGGCTACAGGCCCCATGCAAGTCTGAAATCCAGCAGTGCAGTGAAATCTTACAGCTCCAAAATGATCTCCTTTAACTCCATGTCTCACATCCAGGTCATGCTGATGCAAGAGGTGGTCTCCCATGGCCTTGAGCAGCTCTGCCCCTGTGGCTTTGCAGGGTGCAGCCTCCCTCCTGGCTGCTTTCACAGGCTGGCTTTGAGTTCCTGTGGCTTTTCTAGGTGCACAGTACAAACTCTTGGTGAATCTACCATTCTGGGGTCTGGAGAATGGTCGCCCTCTTCTTGTTGGGGGTGCATGGCAACATATTCAAGCTGATGTACAAGGCATTTGAGGTTGGGGCATGTAACAATACTGAGGCACTGTGTGTATGTTATTTGTGCATGGGAATGCCACTCTTTGACCCTGAAAACAGGACAAGGAGTTGAGTGTGTGATAAGGAACGCTGGAAACAGCCTCCTGAGAATACGGTTTGAGTGCTTTTACAAGGCCATAGTTATCTCACAACCTGACCTCAAATGGCCATCTAGTCACTGTTTGTAGTTTAATAAACCCTTTCAATAAATACTTGACAATGGATTCTGGGGTGACACTCTCTCAGAAGAGTGGTCCCCCACCCCACTCAGCTGGAATTGTCTGAGAACTCATTCTTGCCATTCACTGCCAGCTATAGGCTCTGAACTTCTCACAGCTCCACTAGGCAGTGCCCCAGTAGGGACTCTGTGGGGGGCTCTGACCAATATTTCCCTTCTGCACTGTCCTAGCAGAGGTTCTGCATGCTAGAGAGAACCCCTGCATCACAGTTCTGCCTAGGCATCCAAGCATTTCCATACATTCTCTGAAATTGAGGTGGAGGTTCCCAAACCTCAGTTCTTGACTTCTGTGCACCAGCAAGCCCAACACCACATGTAAGCCACCAAGGCTCAGGGCTTGCACCCTCTGAAGCAACAGCATGAGCTGTATCTTTGCCCCTTTTAGCCATGGCTGGAGTTGAAGCAGCTGATACTCGGGGCACCATGTATAGAGTCTGCACAGAGCAGCGGGGTCCTGGGGTGAGCCCAATAAATCATTTTTTCCTCCTAGGCCTCTGGGTCTGTGATGGGAGTGGTTGCTGTGAAGGACTCTGACATGTACCAGAGACATTTTCCCCACTGTCTTGGTAATTAACATTCAACTCCTTGTTACTTATGCAACTTTCTGCAGCAGGCTTGAATTTCTCTCAAGAAAATGAGTTTTTCTTTTCTGTCACCTCATCAGGCTGCGCATTTTCCAAACTTTTATGCTCTGCTTCCTCCTGAATGCTTTGCCACTTAGAAATTTCTTCTGTCAGATACTCTAAATCATCTCTCTCAAGTTCAAAGTGTCATAGATCTCTAGAGCAAGGGCAAAATGCTACCAGTCTCTTTGCATAGCAAGAGTGACCTTTATTCTAGTTCCCAACAGTTCCACATCTCCATTCGAGACGACCTCAGCCTAGACTTTATTGTTAATATAACTATTGGCATTTTGCTCCAAGCCATTCAACAAGTCTCTGGGAAGTTCCAAACTTGCCCTCATCTTCCTGTTTTCTGAGCCTTCCAAATCTCTAGGAAGTTCCAAACTTTCCCACATTTTCTTGTCTTCTTCTGAGCCCTCCAAACTGTTCCAATATCTGCCTGTTACACAGTTCCATAGTTGCTTCCACATTTTTGGGTATCCTTATAGCAGCACTCCACTCCTCATACCAATTTACTGTATCAGCCCATTTTCATATTGTTATAAAGAAGTGCATGAGACTGGGTAATTTATCAAGGAAAGAGGTTTAATTGACTCACAGTTCCGCATGGCTGGAGAGGCCAAATAATTTTTCCTTCTTCATTTCTCTCTACAATGCTGTGACTCCTGTGAGGCTTAAAAATTCTAAGCACAAAGAAGTTTCTTCCTGTAGAGTAGCATGTGAGCATGCTGGCTTTCATTCTAATGTACAGCCTCCAAAGGCTTTTGGTCATTAGTAACTCACCCAAATGCATTGCAGTCAACATGTCCATGTTTCCTTTTGTTATCCAGATGTCAATTCTGTAATTGTTCTCTTTCCTCCTCCTCATATAAATCCCACTTTTCCAAATCTTTGTGGTATATTGAATAGCTGAATCTTCTTGCACAGAAGATCATGCAGTCAAACCTCAGTAAATTTGCCTACTTCAGGCTTGCCAATGTGACTCCTATAGAATCATGTTGGACAAAGTGAACTATCTTTGACTTGCTGGCTCCATCACTTTCTCTCCAGGAATAAGTCCTCTCTTCCTCCAGATACCACATACTTTTCCGTGATTTCTAATGACAACTCCCACTCGTAGTGCAGGGATGAGATCTAGGTCCTATCACAGGGACATTAATCCTCCTGTTTCATTGAATTGTTTTTCTTTTATTCTATAATCAAAATTTTATCTCTCTTTGTGTAGGGAAAAATCAATCTTTCATCTTCACACTTTTATATTCTGTGGAATAAATGTTATCTTCTGAAACTTTAATATAATTACTTAGAACTTAAAAATTACACACACACTATATATATATATATATATATATATATATATATATATATATATATATATAAATTCTTTTTCCTCTCAATATATAGGGATAGAGAGAGAAAGAGTATGATGTATGTAATATATATTATATAGAGAGAGTGAGAGAGTATACTTTTTTTGAGACATCAGCTGGCTACGTTGCCTAGGCTGGAGTGCAGTGGCACAATCTGAGCTCACCACAATCTCTGCCTCCTGAGCTCAAGCTATCCTCCCACTTGAGCCTCCCTATTAGCTAGGACTACTGCAGGCGCATGCCACCACACCTGGCTAATTTTTGTATTTTTTGTAGAGACGGGGTTTCGCTACGTTGCCCAGGGTGCTCCCAAACTCCTGAGCTCAAGCGATTTGCCCACTTCGGCCTGCCAAAGTGCTGGATTACAGGTGTGAACCACCATGTCCACCCTATATTTATTTTTAAATAAGCTTTGATTTGCCTCTAAAATGAGTCTCAAGAATTGTTTTTGAAGTCAAAGACAAAAATTATGTCTATCTCTCAGTTATATTGGCTCCTTCTCTGGGTGTAGTGTACAGAGATTATAATCATTGCTGTTTTCATATCTAATAAAGGGTATTGGGATCCAGTTGTACAGAGCTAAGAGACTAGGAGGTAGGGGAACAACCCTGCCTATTTTCTGAAAATCTGTCTGTTACACATTTAGAAAATGACACACTAATGTTCTTAAAATTAACTTTTTAGAATATACTTAAAGAGCCAAAAAGAATACTATATTGCAATGAAAGAGAGAAAATTATTCACAATATAACTGTTTCTGTTAAAATGCACTTGTATGCATAGATAAAGTTAGGAAATTAAACACAGAGTATAAGTTGTCTTTACATAAGATTCTTGGGTAATTTTTCATTTCTTAATTTTTGATTAACCATTCTTTATAAAATGTCTACGTGAAAACCTTTATTTTTATGTTAAACAGTATTATTTCATATATACTATTAAAATGTTATTTCAACAAAGTTAGAATCATATATTGTTGAAATTGTAAACATGATATATTGAAGTGCAAGCACAAAGGAAGAACAAAATGCAAGAAGCACAGAAAAAGATGATGATTATAACGATAAACAAATCCATTATGTCAGCAAATGTGTACTCATACATGAACAATATGTAGTGGAGAGAGATCATTATTTGTGTCAGATCTTCAAATGAATCTTTGATCTCCAAAATAGATTTAAGTATTTGACTATAGACCACACTAATTTTATAATACAGATGTGAAAATTTAAAATTACTACTGGTGACTCAAATTTTTCTATATTTCACTTTAGTGACGTATCACAAATAGTGTTTAGCCCAATAAAACAATGATGATTTTGTTTCTATTTCTGCCAGCCCTAGTTGTTGTTTGATAACATTAAGCCACAATGACTATCATTCTTTTACTTTTGAAAGTGATTACTCTCTCTCTCTCTTCCTCTGTCCCTTCCTCTCTCTCTCTCTGTTACACGCACACACACTCACACACACACACACACTTTCCATAACCTGGATTTTTTTTAACTTTTCATCTCACTAAAATTTGACACATTCTTCATGTCTCAAATTAAATGTTACCCCTTCAGGGGCACCTCCTGCTCCATATATATTATCTATATTTGACTCATAACCATGAGACCATTTTTCTCTTAGAGCGTTCTTCATATTTTATAGTTGTTATTTTCATTTAAATTTTGTTTTATTTGCTATTTTTTTAACATCCATGACTCTACGTTTGGATGTCAAGAACAAATTCAATTCTGAGAGTATGAATAAAATATATAATGATGAATTATATTAATAGAATGAATAATATTAAGCTATATATTAATACAATAAAGTGTATTGATGTGCCAACAATAGGGAAGAAGAACATATGATTACCATAACTTCAAACAAAAAATCATTTAAAAAATTTGATTCAATACTCATTCATAATTGAATACACACACACGCACACACTAATCCTCCTGAAATCTTGAAGCACAGAATACTTCTTGAGCATTGGAAAAAAAATTAAGTTCAAGACACACGGCAAAAAAAAAAAATTGATGGTAAATTATAAAAGCATTCTTACTAAAGTCAAAAGAAACATAAAAATGCCTGTCTGTATAATTACATAATTTTAGGTTTTTAATCAATTTAATATGACTTGAAACAGAAATAAGAGTTTAATGTTGAAGGAAACACAGACAACATTTTGACCATCTTTAGATGACATAATTATATGCTTTGAAATCCCAATTGATCTAAAAATGCAGCGTATCTCAAACTATACCCAGCCTTTCTCCTACTTCTCAAATTGTGATCCCCTTAGAGGTCAGCTAACTATCCCATTTTTGTCTCCTCATGTGGTATTTAACACAACTGAGAAATCCTAGATAATTTGTAAACACTCAGGGAAATGGTACGATGTGAAATATGAATAATTCACTCCTATATCTTTCCATACCATTCCATCCTCTCCCACCTGCAACACTTCAGTGATAAAAGGGTATCACACTACTCTGTTAGAAGGGATAGACCTTTCAACAATGATGCTGTAACCATCGATACTAACCACCTCTTACTATTCAGGCAGTAATTATGCAAAATAGTATTCCTTCTGAATGGTTTGTTGATGTATGTATCTTCATGGTTACTTATCTAAATTGGTTTGTAAAATGTAAATTTTAAGAGACAATCATATATTTTGCCCAAAGCTAATGTGTAAGTATAAGTGATCATATTCATAATAATAACTTGTTTCTTGTCAAATAGCTATTAAAATACCTATTTACATGTTATTAACACATTGGAATAGTACATCAATGTAAATATATGCTATGTGGCAAATTAATTTCTGTACATTTTGGCTCAGTGTTTACAAAACTAGATAATGTAATTTCTTAAAAAGTTTTAAATATATACCTTAATAAACTACATTCTGTAGAGATTTATATTGAGAATTCTTATAACTTTGAAATTTTGAGGAACACCGCTTCACTTAAGCAAATAGGACTTCTACTTTGAAGTAAAATTGATAGGGACAGGAGGCAGAGAAATTCTAGGCAGAAAAGGGTGGGACCCCTGGCAAAGCGCCACCCTCAAGCCTGAAACTGGGCCCAAAGTGGGAACATGCATTCCTGTTTTACCACTCAAATATTACCTTTTCCAAAACCACCCATGTTCCACCCTGCCCCTTATCCTGTACCCGTAAAAACCCCTAACCCAACTATCAGAGGGCAGAGAAAGGGAGAAGAGGAGAAGCAGCTGGATGTCGGAGACTGTGGTTTGACATTGTAGAGAATCAGCTTGACTTCAGAGGGATGGCTTGATGGCATTGCTTCAGATAGGAGTCTGACCAGGGACAGCCAGACTCTGGGGGAAGATCACCTTCCCACTCCATTCTCCTTCCAGCTCCCCTTCCCTCAATAAAATCCTCTGTATTCACCACCCTTCATTTCATTCATGTGACCTGATTTTTCCTGAACAATGAACAAGAGCTTGGGTGCCATAGGTGTAGACACTGAAGGCTGTTACACTGACCCTCTGTCCTCCCAAAAAGGCTGAGGGCCCACTGAGCTGTTTAATATGTAAGCCGTCCACAGGCAGCAAAGCTAAAAGAGCACTGTAACACACACCCTCTGAGGCTTCAAGGGTCATGGGTACCCTCCTAGATGCTGATGCAAAGCCGCACAAAGTTTTGCTCCTGATGGTGGCCAAAAGTGCTCACTCAGGCTCCCCTACCCACTCACCTGTGTGCTTTCCTTCCTGTGAGGGGTTGAGAGCTGCAGGCTGAGTAAATGAGGCACCCCTGTTGTGATACTTATGCAGGGGTCAAGGAAAATTTCCTGTTTCAGGATGAGGTACCATGACAAGAGCAATAAGTAAACTTATAAGAAATACAGAAATCAATTGTACGAAGGTAGTAGTGAGTTACTGAGGCAAGTAGAACTAGAAGAGCTAACTGTGGATAGGGACAAACATTAGTTTTACCAGGTGGTTATTTGTTAATACTATGTGTGCAAAGGAAGCTGAAAATTCAGTTTTTTACAAACCTTACTCAGAAAATCATTTGGCGGAAACCAGTGGCTTCAAGCATATGGCCACTTTGGCTACCTTATTCTGCAAATACATGGAGTGATAGAGTAAAAACTTAAGTCCAAAATCTTGGAAAAGCAGAGAGGAGCTTTTGGAAATGGGGAAATAAAAAAAAAAAGAAAGAAAGAAAAAGAAATTGAAATCTTCCAGAGTGAGGAGTCTCAAAATGTACCAGGATTTATGTTGAAAACCCTGGAAGGTCACTGGTAACCTGGAGGTTGACTGAGCCTCATGTGGCATGAGACCCATACCCTTCTATTGAATTAAGGTGGTCGCCACCACTGTATTGGCTTAGTAGTAGAAATAATGGTGAACTCATTCTCTAAAAAAGATAACAAAATCTTGAGCAAGTGTAAAAAGTGAAGATATAAACAATCAAAAATATTTAAATAGGCTTAGAAAAAAATGGTAGCAGCTTGAAATAGACTCTTCATCTTTACTGGGAACATCCTGGATAAAAAAGAGATGGAAACTTGGTAACGTCGGATCTCGCACTGCTATAAAGAACTACCCAAGTCTGAGTAATTTATAAAGAACAGTGGTTTAATTGGCTCACAGTTCCACACGCTATACAGGAAGCATGGCTGGGGAAGCCTCCGGAAACTTACAATCATGGTGGAAGGCAAAGGGGAAGCAGGTGCATCTTCACATGGTGGAGCAGGACAGAGAGTTGAAGGGGGAGGTGCTACATACTTTTAAACAACAAGATCTTGTGAAAACTCACTCACTGTCATGAGAACAGCAAGGGAAAAGTCTGACCCCATGATTCCATCACCTCCCACCACGCCCCTCCTCCAACACTGGGAATTACAAATCAACATGAGATTTGGGTGGGGACACAGAGCCAAACCATATCATACCTCCTGACTGTTTACTAGTAAGAGTATTTTTGTATATGGAGTACCTTTAACAGAAGATACTGGGTCTGTGTAGGCTCTTTATTGTAAATAAACCTGGAATTTGTGAAAGTATGGCTAAGTTCCTTGAAAAATGCTAGGTAAGCCATAGAATTAAAATAATATAAATAAGATCCTTAAATAAATTATTTGGCTCATTCTATTCAAGCAATATGTCATATATGTTGCTTATATCTATCTTTATCATTCTGACTAAAGCTAGAGCAAAATGAATCCTTCAGTGGATTTTAAAAAAGACATTTTATAAAGTAAAGAGTTTGTGCCTGATTGTTTCTGACCTTTCTAAGAGAAACTTGGCCTGTCTTTCCCTCTTGCCAGTAACCTTCAAAATATTAGGAAATGTGATACTGTTTAAAATATGCCATTTGTGTTAAGGCTAATTTGACAGTCCAAATGTTTGTGTTATCTCGAAAGCTGTAAGACTGAACATATGACTGAACACTAAGATAAAATAAAAACAGTAGAAACTGGGCCCAGTGGATTATAAGAGAATTAAAATGAATGTAAAATTTAGATTCTTATAATCCATTGAAAGAAATAAGAGTACATGAGTAGACACTGATATAAAAAGCCTAGCAAAGTAAAAGTACATATTGAAATGAAATTAAAAAATAACATTTTGGCAGGCATCAAATAATACTGGGTGTAGACAAGAATTATTAATGAGTTATAAAACTAGTGGGCAAATTTTGAGAGAAACAAGGTAGTTACATAATAACAAACTGTATTCTTACAGGTGACTTATTAAGTATAAAAGATAAAATAGTAACTGTGCAATGAAGAAACCTGACACCACCTTAAACAATAGTCAAATTGAATATCAGCAGTATTTAGTCAAAGTGATAGCACAGGCTTCCCCTTCCCATATAATCTACTAAAAACAACACCATATTACATCTGTGGTATTCCTGTCAAAAGTATATAACCTGATTCTAATGAGGTAATATCATTTAAAAAACCAACTAAAGGACAAGATACTATATGTATATTTATTTATATATACGTACATACATACACAATATACGAAGTAATTTGCCTGTAACTTTCAAAATTTTCAATATTATGAAATACACAAAAGGATCACTTGCTATTTTATATTTAAAAGTAACAAAGATGCATTACGCCTGAATTAGATTAATAATGCTGAATTTTGTTTTGAAGAAGGACTTTTGCGAAGTTGACAAAGCCTGAATAACATTTGATATTAGATAATATTGTATCACCTTTAATTACTTGATTTAGATAGTTGTCATGTGTCTATCTAAGATAATGCTCTTATTTTTAGGAGAAACACATGGAACTCTTTAATGAGAAAGGGACATCATATATGCAACCTACTTTCTAATGCTTCAAAAATACATTTGTGTGCTGCGTGTATAATTATATGAGTGTGTGTGAGTGCATGTGTGTTTGAGAAAGATTGTGTGTGTGTGTGTGTGTGTGTGTGTGTGTGTGTGTGTGAATGTGGAGAGACAGTAAAGATATTGAGGGAGAGAAAGAGTAAATATAGTAAAAATAAAGGTATCCAGGAATTATTTTTCTATTCTTGCAATGTTTAAGTCTGGCTTATTTTTCAAAATTAAAAAAAAAATTACAGGGAAACAAAATGAAGATAAAGAATAAACCTTAGAGTCTTTATTGCCTGGAAATCATCTCTAATAGAAATACTGGGCTGGGCATGGTATCACAACCGGTCATCCCAGCACTTTGTGGGGAGGCCCAGGCAGGAGGATCATTTGAGTCAAGAAATTCAAGACGAGCCTAGGTTACAGGGCTAAACCCTATATCTACAAATAATATAAAAATTTTACCTGGGCATTGTAGATTGTGTCTGTGGTCCCAGCTATGCAAGAGCTGGAGACTAAAGGATCACTTGAGCCTGGGAGATTGAGGCTGCAGTGACCTGTAATTGTGCCTCTGTACTCCAGCTTGCGTGTCAGAGTGAGATCCAGTCTCAAAAAAAATGAAAATAAAATAAAATAAATCCTAAAGTTTCTTTAAGCATGAAGAAATGATCTTTGAGATTAACTTGGAATTTTGGAAAGAATAAAAAGCAATTAAAAGGGAATATATGTGGATAAATATTAGTAAATATTGACAGTATTAATGCAAAAAATGACAGTTGTGGAATAAGTGGAATTAAAATTCATGAGAATATAAATGCAAGAATAACTCATGTTATATGAAGTCAATGTGTTTCTGGTGCTTAGTAACATCAGTGGGGAAATGGTAAGTATAATATTCTCTTTTATGCTGTAAAAAATTCATGCGAACTCTTAAAATATGTATTAATTAAATCCTCCAAGGCAACTAAGATTAGTAAAGGCAAAAGGAACAATTAAAATTTTTAATTATTCCACATAACTAATAAAGGAGAGAAACTGGAACTTTAAAAATGCATTAAATAGAAAATAACATGATATACAGAGACATAAACATATTGATAATTACTTTAAATCAAATTGAACTGAAAATTCTAAGTAGAATTCTACAAAACTCAATTGTATGCATCTTATCAGAGAGACACATTATATACAAATCATTAAACAGTTGAGAGGATATAATAATAAATCATAGAAAATGATACAGCATGTACCCAAAAATATAGTTTTAAATATATAGACTTGAAAAAATAGGCAAATCCATAAACATAGTGGAAGATATTAACATACATGTCATAAATGAATCTCAGAGCTATTTCCAGCTATTGCTTCTGGCCAAACGATTTAATTAGACTGATTCTGCAAAAGATCTGCTGGTCTTATCATGCTACCATATTGAAAAATTAACCTAAAGTATATGTTCAGAAGTGCAGAATTTTATTATGATAGAAGTGGAGGCAGAGGAAGTATGCCAGCATTAATTTAGTCTAATTATCATTTTTTTCTTTTTTTTTTTTTTGAGTTGGATCCTCGCTCTGTCACCCAGGCTGGAGTGCAGTGGCACAATCTCGGCTCACTGCAACCTCTGCCTCCTGGGTTCAAGTGATTCTCCTGCCTCAGCCTCCCAAGTAGCTAGGACTACAGGCATGTGCCACTGCATCCAGCTAATTTTTGTAATTATAGTACAGATGGAGTTTTACCATGTTGACCAGGGTGGTCTCAATCTCTTGACCTTGTGATCCACCCATCTCAGCCTCCCAATGATCATCTAAGTTTTTAAGTACAAAAACTAAAACCAAGAAAGGTAAGATTTTACCAAGATCATGTAACTCTTCACACAAAGCAATAACAAAAGCCAAGTTTTCTAACATTAAATCTAAAATATTTTATCACATTATATTTCTCAATGAAACTCATTTAAGTATAACTAATAAAAGGCAATGATAAATATTTGTACAATCTACTCCATAATTGACCGTAAGAAATCAATGACTCGTGGTTATTCTCACCACACAGTTTTTGAGCTCTTGAAAATAATGTTCTCCAGATATTCAAATCAATTGCTGATACTTTGTCTTTTGTTGTTGTGGCTGCTATTCTTTTTCTCTTTTTAAAGTTGAACTGTTTCTGAATTTGCTCAATGAAACAGATTTATTTGTTATGATTTCTACACAGGCAGAGCCATGAGGATTCTTTCTATAATTTTTTTTTCATTTGTGTTCATTGAGGTGTTTGTAGTAGTTTCTGATGGTTGTTTATTTCTATGGGGTCAGTAGTACCATTCCCTTTGGCATTTCTAATTGTGTTTATTTTGATTTTGTGTCTTTTCTTCATTACTCTAGCTAGTGGCCTGTTTTATTTATTTTTTAAAAAACCAACTCCTAGATTTGTTGATCTTTTGAATAGTTTTTCATATCTCTATTTCCTTCAATTCAGCTCTGATGTTTGTTATTTCTCATCTTGTGCCAGGTTTGGGGTTGATTTTTTTCTTGCTTCTCTAATTCTTTCATTTGTGAAGTTAGGTTGCTAATTTGAGATCTTTCTAACTTTTTGATATGGGCATGTAGTGCTATGAACTGCCCTCTTAACACTGTTTTAGCTGTGTCCCATAGATTCTGGTATGTTGTAACTTTGTTCTCATTATTTTCAAAGAACTTTCGGATTTCTGCTTTAATTTCATTATTTAGCCACTCCAAATCTCTCAGGACCATGTTGTTTAATTCCCATGTAAATGCATGATTTTTAGTGATTTTCATAGTCTTGACTCCTATTTAAAATTTTTTTCAATGTTGGATCTTTTAAGATCAAATATATGTAGATAAAGGGACCATAAAATATGGAGACATTTATGAATACATTTTTGCTTGCAAAATACATCAATACCACATTAAGTTTGTATACGGGCCTGTATTTTAAGTTAGCCATTTATTAGCTTCGCACCCAATGACACTAGCCAAAAACCTAAGAGTCATTCCTGCCTCTGTCTTTTCTTTCATTCTATAATAAATTATAACATTTACTCTTTATTTTACCTAATAACCATCCTTAATTTTGTCATTTTTAATCTCCATCGCCACCATATTAGTCCAAATTAACATAATCTCTCACTTCAATCATTCCCATATTCTTAAAATGCAAAATTGATTATGTTTATCATGCTGCTTCCATCATTTCAAGGGCTTCCCAGTGCTCCCAGAGAAAAAAGCGAAAACTCAAATTCAGCCTAAAACGGTCCTATAATTTTATCCTAATTACTTTTTAATCTTTATCCCAAATCATGTCCGATCTGCTTTCCTGCACACTCCCAGAATTAGCATTATGTTAGTTTTTTTGTATTTACCATGATATACCTTGCCCAACATACATTGTACCTCTGCTAAAATGCCCTTCTGTCCTCAATCAACCAATTCCTTGAAATGATTACATTGTGCCTTGAGTATTACATATTTAGAAAAGTTTCTCTTAACCTTTCTTTCTGGGTCTAAACCTCATCTCAAGGTACTCTTTTAGTAGTCCTTAGAACAGTTGGAAACTTACATTTGTATTAGCAGAACTATAATTAATAACTGTCTATTTATACAGTAAGTAAGTGACATGAAAGCATGGACCATGTCTAGTCTTACTTAAAATCTTGTGAACATTGTCTAACTCATAGTAGTCACACAGAAAAAAAAATTGTAGAATAAACATATAATCTTTGCTCTAACTGAACTAGCATATATCACGGCTAAGCCTCCAATCATTATGAACAAACAATGTTTAGTTAGGCTCCGGTTCTGGATGGTAACACAGCTCCTGTGATAAAGCTGCATAGCAACCAATGCCAAAAATCTAGTACCTTCCATAAAAGCAATCATTTATTTAATGCTTATGGATCTGTAGGTAAGTTTCAATTTGATTAAACTCAGGTAGGATTACCTGGGCTCTGTTGAACTGGGATAAACTACTGGCTTTGAGTTATGTGTAGATCTGCTACAGGAAAATCTTCATTCTGGGGCCTAAACAAAGGCTTCCTGGGCATGCATTCTTTATAACCAAGGCCAGCAACCCCAAGAAAGCCGGTGGTATCTTTTCAAGAATTCTAAAGTCTCATGTTGAAATTATGATTTTTGTACACATTCCATAGTGTAAAGCAACTCACATGACAAAACCACAAATTAGTGGGCAAAAATGTATACTCTACCCACAGGGAAGCTATGGCAAGAGCGGAGGAAGCAGAAAGAACTGTGGACAAATAATACAACCTGTAACAGCTGGTAATTTGTAATGACATTAAAAATTCTTCTGAGTTACTAACATTTAAAAAAATTGAAATTCGAAGTTCTTATCATGACAAAGTCATCAGAATATCAAAAATACCCTGGGGAGATGCTAGGTGCTACCTTACTATCTGGTTAAGAATTACCCATTTACCTGAACTCTGACTTCTACTCAGAATACACATTTCATCCCATTTCATTCACTTTGATCCTCTAGATATAAACATTCCTCTGACCCACTTTGATTACTGTGTTTCAATATTTATCTCTGGAATATACCTCCAGCTATGTTAATGTATACTGGATTTGATACGGAATGGCATGATCCTGTCTTTTGAGCCAATACTAACGGGTAGTTGCCATTGCATTTCCTGCTGCCTATCCCCAACTCTGCTGATACATTCAGTTGAACTATTGGTAAGAATAAAACGGTCCAGGAATCAGAAAATACACTTAAATGTGCTCCAGCTAAAGTAGTAGTATATTAATTTGGGTGTTAGAAGAGAAATTTTAAAAAATATAATAATTATGCCATAGGTTTACATAAAATTTGAACTGCATCCCAGTAGTGTTTTCCCAGTTCCTGACAGTGACGCGTTTCTAGTTAGCCTTTACTATAGAAATTCTAGCATCACAGATATTTTGGAAGCTATGCACAAACTAGTCCTACTAGAAACAAAACAACATCAATCATCAATTAATGTTATTTAAAAAAATAATTTGACTGTCTTAAAAATGAAACTTGATTTCATATATATATATTATGTACATATTATATATATTTTATATATGTATATTCACTTTGATCCTCTAGATATAAACATTGCTCTGACCAAATATATATATGTGTGTATATATATATATGTGTGTGTGTATATATATATGTGTGTATATATATATATATGTGTGTATATATATATGTGTGTGTGTGTATATATATATATATATATATTTGGTTTCCATATGTTACTAATTGTTACTAATGTTTTAGGTCTGAAAAAGTAAATTGTTGCTACACAGTACAGTGATATGAACATACTAAAGAAAAACAACAACAACAGTAGTAACAGCAATAAACTCCCATATTGAAAGGAAACAAAGTTGATTAGCATACTAACCACAATTTTTAAATGCAGCTACAGCATTCCAGCCAGGTGCAGATTCTTTCCTTGTCTTTGAATACCACCAAAACCAAAAATACATACTATGTTTTTTTCTATTACAAAATAAATTCAGATTGATTTACTGTTTGCATGAATAAATAATAAAAATATTTTATCCTGTAGACTCCATCAATTTGTCATTGTTATGTCCGTTTGTCTCATACTTAGCAATTTTAGTTCCTGCTTCATGTGATTATTCCTCAATTATTTGAAAACATCTAGTAGTTTTGCACCAAGATACAGTCTATTTTCCATAATAAGCATTGCCATTACTTCTTCTTTTCTTCTTTAATAATATTTTAAGGACTATAATCCTCTATAAATGCACACATTGGCAAACATTACAAATTTGGTTTTTGAAATAAAATATAGTAATCAAGATGTGGTATGGTCAGGTTGGAATGTGCGTAGGGTTGACTTTATGCCGAAACAGCCGTTAAAATCCCTTCAGCATCATTAATGCAGTTATTCTAAATCTCCTCATGGTTTTCCCTGAGGTAAAATTTACATATACTGAAATGCTCGTATCTTAAATTTTACAATTCAATGAGTTCTCATAAACGTATACACCCAGATTACCACCACCCTGTTCAAGATTGGAAATTTTTCTCACCTCAGAATGCAATTTAATCCCTTCTAGTAGGTCCTGATTCCACACAGGTTAGAAAATATTCAGATTTCAGTTCCCACGTATTGGTTTTGTCTGTTCTAAAAACTCAAATAAACTAAAAAATACAGTATATACTATTTTGTGCCTGCTTTCTTTTGATCAACATATTTTTTGTGACTAATACATGTTACTATGTCCATTTATTTTGTTTTTTATTTTATTTTTTTACTTTAAATTCTGGGATACATGTGCAGAATGTGTAGGTTTGTTACATAGGTATACATGTGCCATGGTGGTTTGCTGCACCTATGAACCTGTCATCTAGGTTTTAAGCCCCACATTCCATAAAGCTGCCATTGACTTTCTTCACAGAATTAGAAAAAAACTACTTTAAATTTCATATGGAACCAGAAAAGAGCCCATATAGTCCAGGCAGTCCTAAGGAAAAAGAACAAAGCTGGAGGCATCACACTACCTGACTTCAAACTATGCTACAAGGCTACAGTAACCAAAACAGCATGGCACTGTTAACAAAACAGATATATAGACCAATGGAATGGAACAAAGACTTCAGAAATAATACCACACATCTACAACCATCTGATCTTTGACAAAACTGTTTGTGAAAATTTTATTGCTGTAGCAGTGCTCCATGGCTAAGACATAACACAGTTTGTTTCCCCATTCACCTGTTTGTGGATATTTAGATTATTTCCTGGTTTTGCTGATTAATAAATCTGTTCTGAACAGTTTATACAAGTTTTTTAAATTTTTTTTTACTTTTTATGTAAAAAAGACATTTAAAAAAAAAATTTTTCTTAGTGTTGATGGCTAGGAGTAAAAGGCCTGTCTCACAGATTAATACATAGTTAGCTTTAGAGGAAACTGCCAGATAGTTCTACAAAATGGTCATATCATTTTACACTCCCATCAGCAATATGTGGGTGTTTTAGTTGCTTCATATTCACCAGTACTTGTTATTGTCAGTCTTTTATATGTTAACAGTTCCATTGTGTAAGACTTGATAATACATTTTTGTTGTAATGTGAATTTTCTTGATCACAAATAAGGTTGATTCTATTTTTTGCCCATGTGTACAATATCATTTGCCTTTTTACTATATATTTGTTAATGCTCCATACATATATTTGATATGAATTATTTTTACTCTTAATAGAATTGTGTATTAATTTGTTATGAATATTTTTCCATTCTATAACTGTCCTACTCATTTTATTTGTGTCTTTTGATAAAGTCAGAATCTATCATTCTGTGTTGAATGTATTGATTACATCCAAGAAATATTTTCTTACTGTAAGTGCACTAATATAGTCTCCTTATTGTCTTCTAGAATTTGTATGTTCCTAGTTACTACATGATACATTTAATTTGTATATGAAGTGAGATGGGTAAAGTTTTATCTATTCATTCTTTTGCATGTATATGTGTATATATACATATATGTGTGTGTGTATATATGTGTATATGTATATGTATATATATATATATACACACACAGACACACATATATTTATATGTAGAATTGTTCCAGCACCATATGTCATAAAGACGTTCTATTGAATTAACTTCGATCATCATTCAAAATAAATACATTTACTGCATAAGGATAAGTATCTTTCTGAATTTTTCTATCTGCTCCATTTATCTGTCCACATTCAAAGCATACTACATTTTCTTGATCAATATAGCTTTATATCTAAATACACAGTTGTGGTTTCTGCTGCTGTTTTTCTTTGCAGTTATTGGCTTTCATCTTATGCATCTTATGCATCTTCAGCCTGAAAAACTTCTTTTCACATTTCCTGTGGTAGAAGTCTGCTGTACATCAATTCTCTAAACTATTGACTGAAAATATTTTCACTTGGCCTACATGTTTGAAGGATACTTTTTTCTATACACAGACTTGTAGGTTGACAAGTTTTTTTTTTCTCTCTCTCTTTAAAGCTCTCATTTGATAATCTTTAACCTTCAGTTTTTCAGGTGAGAAGTCAGCCATATTTTGTCAATGTTACGTGGTCTATAATATGCCTTTATTTTTCCCTCTAGCTGCTTTCAAGAAATGTTCTTTCTCTTTGGTTTCAGCAGATTAACTAGGACATCCCAAGGTATACTTCCTCTCCCCCGTTAGACTTAATTTCTTCAAATATTTCTTCTGCCCCATTCTCTACCTCCTCTTATTTTGAGATTCAATTTGTGCATATTTTAGGGTATTTAATATTTCTCCACGTGCACTGAAGGCTGTATTGGTTTTTCACTCTTTTTTCGTATATCAGTTTGTCTTCAGGTTTACTCATATTTTCTCATGCTGTTAGGCTCTTACTAAGCCTTCCAAGTGAGATTTTCATTTTTACATCTTATTTTTTCTAATGTTTTGATATTGTTCTATTTTAAGCTTCTATCTGCAGAATATTTTAGTAAGTTCATTAATAGTTTTCACTTTTTATACTACATCCTTTAATATAGTTATCTGATTTACTTTACAACCTTTTCTTATAATTAGAACATCTGTAACATTTCCTTTTCTCTTTTGACCATGGATCACATATTCTTGTTTCATGAAACGACTTGTAGTTTTTTGTTTTGTTTTTATTATTACTGTATACTATACATTGTGAGACAAGGAAATGTAGAGACTGAAGTAAATACTATTTTCCCCCACTGAAGGCAAATCTTTTCAGTAATGCTTCAACTCTGGAGTGCTGAGTCAATCCAGTCGGTAGTTAAGATGAATCTCTACTTAATTTAATTAGTTTGGATTAATTTCACTATTAAATGCAAATATTCTAAATACAGAATCAGGAATTTTCTTTCATTAGATCTTAAAACGTAAGCATGAACAACATTCTGGAGACTTTTTTTTCAATTACCCAACCCTCAACTTTCCCAAAAGAGGGAGGATTTTGCTCTGCTTTTCAACCCAACTGCTAGTTTTTTGGATTCCTACAAGTTCTTTCTGCTTTTTAATTCTACCCATGACTTTCTGCACCTAAAGAAATTACTTTCTGTCTTGCTGCTTTACCTAAACTTGAAAGGTTTTTCCAGTTTAGTGGATAGGCCCAAGGTTTCTCAGAAATATTTTTCTGAGCTGCTCGGCCTTGAAACATTCTTAAGAAGGCTCTGGTTCTCGCTGGAAAAAAATCTTATTTGCTTCCGAACAGACTCTTTCAGCTTTCTTACTGTGCATCTAGTCTTCATCATGTTATATCATGCATGTGAAAAAGCACATGAGCAAAATTAGTCTGGTAAATATAAACTCTCATTTTTCTCCAAGATGAGACTTGTTGCTTATGGTAATTTAATTAGCTTAGGTTTTTTTTTTTGCAACCTCAGTCCTCTGATTCTTTTAAGTCTCTGAC
Organism: Homo sapiens; assembly: GCF_000001405.40. Taxonomy (NCBI): domain Eukaryota; kingdom Metazoa; phylum Chordata; class Mammalia; order Primates; family Hominidae; genus Homo; species Homo sapiens. The sequence goes on from NC_000002.12 coordinate 35,266,048, forward strand.
TTTGCAGATTATCAGGCAAGTTTTTGTGGTTAGAATGAGAAGCATATGTTCATTTGATTTCCTTTATCTTAATTAGTGGTCAAAGTTTAGCCCCCTACATTTTTACTTCCCGTCTGGTTTATTTTATTTTGACTTATTTTTAGATAACAAACTTTTAAAAATTTCCTGATATTTCCTATTCTTGAACTATGTATTTGGTTTCCCTGTATTGAATCTCAACAATCCTTAGAGAATTTAGTTTCTATTTGCCTTTGCATCTTTGTATTTTTGGCATACTAGTACTGGCCCCCTGAGTACCTGCCCTGTTAGCTCCCAGTTCTCTTTGCTGGGAGAAGTTTTAATGGTTTCTCAGATCCATTAGCTTTTCATTTGGACACATCATATTTTTTATTTATGTGTGCTTAGTATTGAAACTTATCCTGAAGGTGAGTTCTAATACTGTTCTGAAAAAAAATTAGTATGGGTACATTAAATGTTCTTGAATGTTATTGCTTTGGGTTGTTAGCTCATATATATTTTATTTGCTTATCAAATGGGATCAAAACTCTGATGCTTTTCCTTCTGGGTGAGTGATTTTAGTTAAACTGAGCATTTCCCATTTCAAAATAACACCTCAAAATGCTACATATACTTTTATTATTTTACTAGTAAATACTCGATTTTTTAGTGAGCTATAAAACAAGATTATAGTATTGTTTTTAAAGAACTAAAATGCAGTGTCCATGTTACATTGAAAATTAAATCATGCAGAAAAATTACTAGCAAAATCATACTTACAATATGTTAAGGATGAAAGTTTTATATGACATGTTTTCCTAGTATAGCTAAAACTAAATATATGATAAAATTTCTGGAAAAGGTAAAATTTTGGATTCATATTTTAAATATATTTCAGTACTTTCATGATATGTGGAGAATTACAAAACTTTAAACACACAGAAACTACTCAACTTTAAAGTGTGTTTTATAATCCTGTATGTTATACTCTGTCATAATTAAAAGACAAATTTAGCTCAAGATTTATCTTTATCTAATCCCTCTTCCTTAGATAATTCTCCTACTTTACTGGATATTCATGGCTGCAATCATGAACTTTCTTAATCTGTATACTATGAATTACAATGGTAGAAGTATGACAAATGTGTATTTTTTCTTCTGTTCACATGTACAATTGAAGAAGCCACGTATAACATTTATCAGGAGGTGAGTTTTTATAATTATTTTTATTTTTAACTGACACATAATAATTGTACATATTTATGGAGTACAATGTGATGGCGCCATACAGCTATACATTGTGTAATGATTAAATAAAGGTAATTAGTATATCTATCACCTCAAAAATTTATTATTTCTTTGTAGTGGAAACATTCAAAATTCTCTCTTCTAGCTATTTTGATACATACAATCCCTATGTGTTGACTACAGTAATCCCACTGTTTCAACAGGACATAAAAACGTACTTTTCCTTTCTAATTGTAACAATATGCTGGTTGACCAACTTCTCTCCCTTTCCCCTGCTTGCTTTCCCCAGTCTCTGGTAACCACGGTTTTATTTACTATTACTGTGAAATCAACTTTTTAAGATTCCACATATAAGTAAGAACATATTTGTCTTTCTGTGTCCAGCTTATTTCACTGAACAGAATAGCCCCCAGGTTTATCTGTGCTGTTGCAAAAGACAGAATTTCATGTTCATGGCTAAGTATCTCCCCATTGTGTATATATACCACATTTTCTTAATCATTTGTTAATTCATTTGTTGTTGGACACTTAGGTTTACTATATCCTTTGGTTATTGTGAATAGTGCAGCAATAAATATAGGAGTTCAGTTGTACTTTCAACATATTGACTTTATTTCCTTTGGATATATATCCGATGGTGGCATTGTTGTATGATAAAGTAGTTCTATTTTTAATTTTTTGAGGAATCTCAATACTGTTTTTCATAACACCTGTCCTAATTTCCATTCCCACCAATAGTGTGTAAATGTTCCCTTTTCTCCACATCCTCACTAACACTTGGTACATTTGTCTTTTTGATAATAACCATTTTAACTGGAGTGAAGTGATATCTCATTGTGGTTTTGATTTGCATTTTTCTGATGATTAGTGATGTTGAGTATTTTTTTTCACATACCTCTTTGCATTTCTATGCCTTCTTTTGATAAATGACTATGCCAGTTTTTTGATTGTATTTTAATTGGATAATCATTTTGTTGCTATTGATTTGCTTAAGTTTCTTATATATTATGGATACTAATCCCTTGCTAAATGTGTAGTTTCTGAATATATTTTCCCATTCTGTAGGTTGTCTTTTCACTCTCTTGATTGCTTTTTTTTCCCTGTGCAGAAGCTTTTAAAATATGTTGTAATCCTATCTTTTCATTTTTGCATTTGTTGCCTCTGCTTTTGAATTCGTACTCAAAAAATCTTTGCCCAGTCCAACTTTAGAAAGCATTTACTTCTAGTAGTTTTATACTTTCAGTTTTTGCATTTACATCTTTAATTCATCATAAGTTGATGTTGATGGTGAAAGGTAGGGGTCCAGTTTCATTCATCTGAATGTGAATATCCAATTTGTCTAGAATCAATTATTGAAGAAACTGTCCTGTTTTCAATTTGTTTTCTGGGCAACTTTGTTGAAAATAAGTTGTTTGTAGATGCTTGGATTATTTCCAGGTTCTCTCTTCTGTTCCATTGGTGTATGTGTTGTTTTGATGTCAGTGAAATGCTGTTTTGATTATTGTAGCTTTGTAGTATATTTTGAAGTCAGGTAGTGTGATGTCTCCCACTTTGTTTTTTGCTCAAGATTGCTTAGGCTATGTGAGGTCTTCTGTGGTCCCAAATTTTAGGATTTTTTTTTTCTATTTCTATGAAGAATGTCATCAATACATTGATAGGATTGTATCAAATTTTTAGATTGCTTGGGTGATACAGATATTATAACAATATTAATTCTTTAAATCCATGAACACAAAATGTCTTTCCATTTATTTGTGTCTCCTTTAATTTCTTTCATCAGTATTTTATAATTTTCAATTTGGAGATCTTTCACCTTCTTTGATAAATTCATTTCTAGGTATATTTTTGTGGCTATTGAAAATAGGATTTTTTTCTTTGATTTCTTTTTCAAATAGCTTATATTAGCATATAAAAATGCTACTGATATTTCATATATTTACTTTGTGTTCTGATTCTTTACTAATTTTCTTGTTTGAACTAGAGTTTTTGGTGGAATCTTCAAGGTTTTGTATATATAAGGTCATGTTCTCTATAAGCAAGAACAATTTGATTTCTCCTTTTCAATTTTAATGCCTATCATTAACTTATCTTGCCTAATTGCTCTGGCTAGGACTTCTACTTCTATGATGAATACAAGTATGAAATTGGACATCCTTGTCTTTTTCTAAATCTTAGAGTAAAAGCATTAGATATTTCTCTATTTAGTAAAATGTTAGCTGTGGGTCTGTCATACATGGTCTTTATTGTGTTGGGGCACTTACCTTCTATACCTAATATGTTGAGGGCTTTTATCATGAATGAATGTTGAATTTTATCAAATACTTTTTTTGTGTCTATTGAAGTGATTATTGTCTTTGTCCTTCTTCCTGTTAATGTAACATATAACATATCACATTTACTGAATTATATGTAAATCATCTTTGCATCCCTGAAGTGAGTTCCACTTGACCACAGTGAATGATCTTTTTCATTTGCTATTAAATTCAATTTGCCAGCATTTTGTTGAAGAGATTTGCATCAATGACCACTAGGGATGCTGGACTATTGTTTTCATTTTTCATTACTTGTCTGGTTTTGGTATTAGAACAGTGTTGACCTCATAGAATGAGTTTGTAAGTATTCCTTCTTCAATTTTCTGAAATGGTTTGAGAATATTTGGTTTATAATAATTAGTTTTTCTTTAAGTGTTTAATAGAGTTTCGTAGTGAAATCAGGTCCTGAGTTTCTCTTGAATGGGTAATTTTTTATTACTGATTCAATTTCCTCACTCATTATTGGACTGTTTCTATGTTCTGTTTCTTCATAGGCCTTTCTTGGTAGATTGTATGTGTCCAAGAACTTATTCATTTATTTTAGGGTCTCAAAATTGTTGGCATATAATTGCTCATACTAGTCTCTCATGATCCTTTGTATTTCTGTGGTATCAGTTGCAATGTCTCTGTTTTCATTTCTAATTTTATTTATTTGAGTCATCTCTTTTTTTCTGTGTTCGTCTAAAGTTTGGTTGACTGTTTATATTTTCAAAAAACTATATTTTTGTTTCCTGTAAATTTTTTTTCAGGCTCTGTTTCTGCTCTGATTTTTATGATTTCTTTTATTCTACTAATTTTGGGTTTGGCTTGGTGTTTTAGTTTTTTTTTTTTTTTTTTCAAGTCCTCTGTTGTCCAGGCTGGAGTGCAGTGGCACGATCTTGGCTCACTGCGACCTCTGCCTCCCAGGTTCAAGCAATTCTCCTGCCTCAGCCTCCCGAGTAGCTGGGACTACAGGTGAATGCCACCATGCCCAGCTAATTTTTTGTATTTTAGTGGAGACAGGGTTTCACTGTGTTGTCCAGGCTGGTTTCAAAATCCTGAGCTCAGGCAATCCACCTGCCTCAGCCTCCCAAAGTGCCAGGATTACAGGTATGAGCCACTGTGCCCAGCCCCTTCTTTCTGTTAATGTAACATATCACATTTACTAAATTATATATATTAATTCATCTTTGCATCCCTGAAGTGAATTCCACTTGACCATAGTGAATGATGTTTTTCATGTGCTATTAAATTCAGTTTGCTAGCATTTTGTTGAAGAGATTTGCATCTACGTCCACTAGGGATGCTGGACTATTTTTTTCACTTTTCATTACTTGTCTGGTTTTGGTATTAGAATAATACTGACCTCATAGAATGAATTTGTAAGCATTCCTTCTTCAATTTTCTGAAATGGTTTGAGAATACTTGGGATTAGTTTTTTCTTAAGTGTTTAAAAGAGTTTAGTAGTGTTTTGTGGTCTAACATATTATATATCCTGGAGACTTTTTCATTTGCAATTGAGAATAATGTGTATTCTGCAGCTGTTATATGGAAGATTCTGTCAATGTTTGTTACGCACACTTGTTCTAGAGAGCAGTTTAAGTATGATGTTTCTTTGTTAATTTTCTGTTTGTATAATCTTTCCATGGCTGAAAATGGGGTGTTGAAGTCTTCTACTATTATTGTATTTTAGTTTATCCCTTTAAATCTCATAATATCTGCTTATATATTTGGGTGCTGCATTATTGGATGACTATATATTTACAATTGTTACATCCGCTTAATGAATAATGACATTTTCTGTCTCTTTTTATAGTTTTTGACTTACATTTATCGGATTTAAATACAGATACTCCTGCTCTCTTTTGGTTGCTGTTTGCATGAAATATCTTATTCTATCCCTTCACATACAGTCCTTTTGTGTTCTTATATGTGAAGCCAATATCTCATAGGCAGCATATAGTTGAGTCTTGTTTTTATTTTCATTCAGCCACTCTATAATTGGAGAATTTAATCAATTTACATTTACATTCAATGTTATCATTGATAGGTAAGGACTTACTCCTGCCACTTTGTTGATAGTTTTCTGATTATTTTGTAAATTCTTTGTTCCTTCTTTAACTTCTCTCTCATTGATTACCTTTGTCGTTCTGTAGTTTTCTGATTCCTTTCTCTTTCTTATTTGTGTATCTGCCACAATTTTTTGTGTGATTTTCATGAGGTTAATATAAAACATATTATATCTATAATTAACTATTTGAAGCTGATAATTTAACTTTGGTCACATAAAAGTACTCTAGAATTTTAATCTACCCTCTACACTAAAATTTATATTTTTGTTGTCTTAATTTACAGTTTCGTACAGTGTGTGTTTCTTAACTAATTGTAGCTCTAATGATCTTTGGCCATTTTGACTTTGAATCTTTTTACTAGAGGTTAGAAAGAATTATAAATAAGCAATACGGTGCTTGAGTGTTCTCAGTTTAATTTTGAATTTATCTCTCCTAGTGAATTTTATACTTTCATATGTCTTCACAAATAGTAATGGTTGTGATTATTTTCTTTTCATTTTCAGTTGTAGTACTACCATAAACATTTCTAGTAAAGTCAATCTAATGGTGGTAAATTTCTTCAGCTTTTGTTTGTCTGGTAAAGACTTTATTTCTTGTTCATTCTCTAAGAATACTTTTGCTGCTTATAATATTCTAGGCTAACAGTTTTCTGTTTTTCTTTTCTTCTCAATTTCTATTTTTTTTTTTTTTAGAATATATTATCTCATTGTCTCCTTGATTGCAAGTTTTCTGCTGAGAAATCAGCTGATAGTACCATGGGGATTTCCTTTATGTGACTAGATGTTTTTCTCTTACTACTTTAAAAATTCTCTCTGCATTTGCTCTTCAGCAGTTTGATTATACCGTGCCTATAAGAAGACATTTTTTCATTGAATTTAGTTGGTGACTTTTGAGCTTCCAAGACCTGGATATTCATCTCTTTAAAAATTTGGGAAGACTTTAGCTATTATTTAGTTAAATATGTTTTCTGTGCTTTTTTCCATCTCTTCTCACCCTAGAAATTCCATAATTCAAAGTGTGTTTGCTTAATGGTAACCTTTAGGTATTCTTCATTCATTTTTATTATTTATTTCATTTCACTTCTGCTTGGGTTATTTCAAAAGACCTATTTTCAATCTTAGAATTTTTTTTCTGTTTGATCAGGTTTATTGTTGATGCTTGTGATTGTGTTTTTATGTCATTTGTTATATTCTTCAGTTCCAGATTTCTGTTTTTTTATTTTCTTTTTTTTCTATCTACCTCTTTGTTACTTTTGTCATTTACATCTGGGTGCATTGGCTCTCACGCCTGTAATCCCAACACTTTGGGAGGCCAAGGTGGGTGGATCACCTGGGGTCAGGAGTTTGAGACCAGCCTGACCAACATGGTGAAACCCCGTCTCTACTAAAAATACAAAAATTAGCCTGGTGTGGTGGCACATGCCTGTAATCCTAGCTACTCGGGAGGCAGGAGAATCAATTGAACCTGGGAGGTGGAGCAGTGAGCCAAGATTGTGCCATTGCATTTCAGCCTGGGTGACAAGAGGGAAACTCTGTTTCAAAAAAAAAAAAAAAAGTCTCATTTACATAATGTATTCTTTTATTGAGTTCATTGAATTATTAATCTATTTTATTGTGTGTCACTAAGTTTCCTTAAAATGATAATTTTAAATTACTTTAAAGATACTTTATAAATTTCCTTTTCTCTGGGGTCTCTTACTAGATAATTATTGTGTTATTTTAAAGCTGCCATGTTTCCTTGTTTTTTCATGTTTCTTATGTCCCTACTTTGATATGTGCACATCTGGTGGAACAGTCACCCCTTTCAGTTTCATGGTTCTAAGATGTCAGTTGGGTAGAGTGTATCGGACTTGATTCTGGGTAGACACAGGGGTGTAGTATCTGAGCAGTTTATTCATCTGTAATTTGGGTCAGTCATTACGGGAGTGCCTCAGTAGTCTAGTCTGTGGAAGTTTATTGTGGCAGTGATGTGGCTTTTCTAGGAGCTAGGCACTGGGTGCTACGTTGCTTTTCAGACTGTGTGGGCTCATGTGGTGTATTCACCAACTCAGGGTCAACCTTGCTGGGGGCACGGTCCTGAGCTAGTTCCAGGCAAGGAGTATGTGTCTGTTATGGATCAGCTAAGGAATGGCTTGCTTGGGACAAGGCCACTGGTCTCATTCTCAGGCCAAAGGTGCACAATAGCACATGGCAGTTCAGCTGACTTGGAGTTGTTTTTCTCACTGTATAGGACTACCTGTTCCTTCGGGGGCAGTGTACCTCATGTGATTGGGCACCAGAGTCACAGCCATTCTGCTACGCCTCAGCTCTGAGTAGCTTGGGTGGTCTTGGTACTGTGGCAACATATATGAGCATGATGGAATGAGGACACAGCCTCAAGGATTAAGATAATCAGTGACTACAAACCAATACAACAAAGGGCACTCTAGAGGTAACTCTGGTTTCACGATGATGCCATGGTGTAGTAGTTTAGATAACCAGGATTCGGAGGTACACAATGTAGGCTCCTATTCTGGATCAATGCATCCATGTGAACTCCAGGCAGCTCCACAAACTGGGTGCAGAACTTGTGAGGAGTCGGGGTTTCTCCTGTAGCAAGAACTGCAGGTATATGCAGTGGTAATGGGTCTGTGAGGGGCCTCCTGCTTACCTTTTTCCCAAAAGGGAATGTTTGTCTTAGTTCTGAGTCACTCTTGGCAAGAAAAATGGGGCGGCAGAGACAGGGTACTTTGTTTCCTCTCTCTTTGTTCTATGCTGGCATCCTTTGTCTCTGTGCTACACAGGGATTCTGCCAGTTGCTTGCTGTACTCCAGCACTCTTTTGCAGATATTCTGGACAAATTTTAGTTGCTTGTTTCTTGTTTTTGTTCTTATTTTGTGCCGAAGATGAGTGCCAGGCACCTTTCATCAGCCATCTAGCTGACCACAGGTAAAATTTTTATAATTAAGATACCCATGCCTGGCTTTCCTTGCATCTACCCAATTTGGGGTCCAATAAAATTCCTGGATCTGTTGGCTGCTGTTCTTAATGAATTCATAAAATTTTTCATTAAAATTTCCCTATGTATAGTTTCTATACCACTCTCCTTCTCTCTCTTTCTGAGATTCCAATTACATTTTTTTTGTTAGCCTTCTTGACAATGTCCCATATTTTATTGAGGCTTTGTTCATTTATATATAAGGTAACATAATCAGCTTTGTTTTGGCTTTTAGGTGACATTACAAGTAGGATTGCAAAGCAAAAAATATTCTTATATACATTCAACCAAAGTGCTTATGTCTATTGTCAATTTTTTCAATAAAACGATAACAAAGTAAAATGCAATCTTTTCACAGAAGAATGTATGGCAAATATTTTCTCCCAGTCTGTGTCTTATTTTTATATTCTTTCCCTGATGCCATATTTTCAATAATTGTATATATTAATTTTTACAAAGTCCAATATACTGACTTTTTCTTTTATCTTTAATTCATTCTGTCCTAAGAGATACTGGCATATTTAATTTGCAAATAATTTTTAGTTTTTAAAAAAACAATACTTTCAGCCTTTCTGTTTAGAAATACAATTCAGTTTGAGTCTTTAAAATTTTTCTTTAGTGTGTAGTATAAGGTTAGTTTTCCTTTTTTAAAAAAAAAATTCAGATACTGCTTAGATTCCCAGAAATATTGTGGAATTGCTTAATGTTTTCTCATCAAAATAATTTGGTAACTTTATAAAAAATTAATAAACATATGTATGTATGTATTCTGACACTCTTCTGTATAACTGGCCTATGCCACACTGTCTTCATTTCTGTAGATTTACATTAAGTCTTGAAATTAAATAGTTTAATTCTTCCTATTACATACTTATATTTCAAGATTGTTTTACTATCTTTTTTTTTTTGTATTTACATACACATTTTCTGAACTGATTAACATTTTCTTTAAAAAATGCTTACAAAGATGTTGATTAAAATGTCATTGAATTTATTGGCAAGTTGGGCAAAATTGACATATCAATATTAATCCTTTAAATACATGAACCTAGTACATGTCTCCATAGATTTCAGTTTAATAGCACTCAGAAATATTTTATAGATGTAATATACAGGTTTATACATACATGGCTAAATCTATTCTTTGATATTTTATGTTTTTATGCCATTATAAATACTATTTTGAATGTCATTTTCCAATTTTTCATTACTAGTATATAGTAAAATTTATTTTTATATCCCACATAGTTGCTAAATTCCCTTATTAGTTTAATGTCATGTATTTGCTTTTCAACAATATTTTACCTAGATAATCATGTTTTCTATAAATAAAGACATGTATACTTGTTTCCGATTTGTATACATTTTTTTAAAATTATTTATATGTTAGGACCCCCAGCATATATTGAATGGATTTGATAGTAGTAAATAACCTTGTTCATGCCATTCATCCTTTTGAATTATACTGGATTTGTTTTGATAATATTTTGCTAATATTTTTTGTATATCTACATAAAGGATTTTGATTCATAGTTTTCCTTGCATGTAAAATATTTGTCTGGTTTTGTTATCAGCACAATGCAGACCTGCTAGAATGAGTTGAGAAGGATATTTACTTATTAACAGTAAATTACTTATTTCTTTAAGTTTTAAAGATTTTGTAGTATGTGTTATTTATTCTTAAATGTGTCACAGAATCCATTTGGCCTAGAATTTTCTTTGGGGGAAGGTCTCTGTTTAAGATTCAATTTCGTAGTCTTTCTTTAGTAAATTCTCATTATTTGTGCTTCCAAGAAATTTGTATTTTTCATCTTAATTTTCACCTTATTTTTGTAATTATATATAGCAGAAAATCAACTTAAGTAACTCAAAACAGATGTTATGTTTTAATTAATTTTTTCTGTCCATAAGTGTGGATGACCTCTATTGACATTTACTAATTTTTTTAAAAAATGTTTCTGTTGTGTTTTATCCTCCACTAATCCTGTTGCATGAAATTTTATTATATTTTTAAGTAAGTTATTTCTCAGATATCATTTGCTTCTTTTTATATTTATAAATGTCTTCTAATGGTTCTTAGCTTTTCATATATCAATTCTGTTTTATAGACCTTTATTAGAGTTATCTGAGTTTTCTTAAAGTTATTTTCTGCTTATTTTTTTACCTGGTTCGCTGGATGTGCTTCAAATGATAGATCTGGCTCTTAACTCTATGTTTTATTTCCCCATTCTTTACATGTCAGTGATTTTATATTACATATTGTGCAAAGTGTACAGAATCTGGATACTCTTATACTATTTTGACTATTTGGTTATCTTCTTCTGAAAATCATTGCCTTTTATTCATGCAGGTGATCATTTGACATTGTGGAAGTTTAGTTCAGTCCCTGTTAGAATAGGTCTATTTCTGTTTTTCCTTAGTCTTAAAATCCTTCAGTTCTTGGGTAGTATCTGTAATCCTGAAGTATGGACTGGAGTTTTCATTAAAAAATTGAAATATTTAGTAAACCCCTTGAAATTTGTGGGAGTCGAACTTAAAATATGAATGTCATTCAACCTGTTTCTCTTTTTCTTAAAGTCCAAATTCCTTGCAGTTTTTTCATGACATGGAGTATTGTATATTCCATACATATGTAAGTAAATTCATATATTGCAAGACAGTTTCTATGATTAGATTTTAGAATAAAATTCACCTCTTGGCCTTTTAAAATACCAGTACTTTAAATATGATATTCTTGAAATAAAATCAAGTGGAACTACTGAAAAATTAGAAACAATATAATTCAATTAGAGAAAAGACATTTTATATACTTAAAGAATGTATTACTATCAGTAAAATTAAGTGCACATGTATCTAAATGGGTTTGACACCCAATGTACTATTCAGTGCTAATACATTGTTACGTATGAATACATTTATAAACAAATCAATTCTGTAATTTTTAAATCATAAAATAAAATTGCATATTTTTATCAGCATATATATGTATATGCAGTAAATTTTAAAGATGGATTCAAAAAAGACAAAATAATTACATTCGATAAAACAGTAAGAAGAACAGGATAAGAAAGGACAAAAGGAAATCTTAATTGTAAAGAATTTTAATTTTCTTACAAATTATATAAACTGCAAAATATTACCATAACTTAAATAAAATGGTTGAAAAATTGATGTGGGCAACCTTATTTTTAAATATTTATGTATAATAATAATAAAATAAAATAATTTAAATAAATAAATAAATATTTATGTAACTCCAATTTTTTAAAAAATGTTATTTTTGCCCAGCTTTAATGAAAATTTTCTTTATTGAAGTGTGAATCATGATGATTTGATATATGTATATATTATGAAATGGTTACTACAATCTAGCTAATTAATACATCTATCACCTCACATAATTACCCTTTTAAAGAATTTTATTTAATCTTTCGACCATTTTATTTATTTTTTTAACATTTATTTTAGTTTCAGGGATATATGTGCAGGTTTGTTATATAGGTAAATTATGTGTCATAGGACTTTGATGTACTAATTTTTTGTCACCCAGGTAATATGTGTAGTACACAATAAGTTTTTATTCTATTATCTTTCTCTTTTCACATGCCACCCTCAAGTAGGCCCTGGTGTCTGTTGTTCCATTTTTTGTGTCCATGTGTTCTCAATGTTTAACTCCCATTTATAAGTGAGAACATGCAGTGTTTGATTTTCTGTTCCTGTTATTTCACTTAGGATAATGGCCCCCAGCTGCATCCATGTTACTGCAAAGGACACGATCTCATTCTTTTTTATGACCGTGTAGTGTTCCATGGTGTATATGTACCATATTTACTTTATCCAGTCTAGTGTTGATGGACATTTAAGTTGATTCCATGTCTTTGTTATTGTGAATAGTTATGCAATGAACATACACGTCCATGTTTCTTTGTTGTAGAACAATTGATATTCCTTTGGGTATATACCCAGTAATGGGATTACTGGGTTGAATAGTAATTCTGTTTTGAGTTCTTTAAGAAATCACCAACCAAACTGCTTTCTACAATGGTTGAACTAATTTACATTCCCACCAGCAGTGTATAAGTGTTCCCTTTGCTCTAGAACCTCCCCAACATCTGTTATTTTTTGACTTTTTAATGATAGCCATGACTGGCATTAGATGGTATCTCACTGTGGTTTTATTTGCATTTCTCTAATGATTAGTGATGTTGAGCATTTTTTAAATATGCTTGTGGGCTGCATGTATATCTTCTTTTGAAAACTGTTTATTCATGTCCTTTGTTCACTTTTTAATGGTATTGGTTTTTTTTTTTTTGCTTGTTCTCTGAAGTTGCTTAAAGATTCTGAATATTAGCCCTTTGTCAGATGCAAAATTTGCAAATATTTTCTCTCATTTTGTAAGTAGTCTCTTTATTCTGTTGATAGTTTATTTTGCTGCACAGAAGCTTGTTAGTTTAATTAGGTCCTATTTGACAATTTTTGTTTTTGTTGCAATTACTTTTGGCAACTTTGTCATGGAATCTTTGCCAGGGCCTATGTCCAGAATTGTATTTCCTAGGTTATTTTCCAGAGTTTTTATAACTTTAGGTTTTTCATTAAAGCATTTAATCCATCTTGAATTGATTTTTGTATATGGTAAGGAAGAGGTCCAGTTTTGATCTTCAGTATATGGCTAGCCAGGTATCCTAGCACCATTTATTGAATAGGGAGTCCTTTCTCTGTTGCTTGTTTGTGTCAACTTTATCAAAACTTAGATGGTTTTAGGTGTACAGCTTTATTTCTTGGCTATCTATTCTGCTCCATTGGTCTATGTGTCTGTTTTTGTATGAGCACCATGCTGTTTTGGTTATAGTCGCCTTGTAGTATTGTTTGAAGTTGGGTAACATTATGCCTCCAGCTTTCCTCTTTTTGCTTAGGATTGCCTTGGCTAGTCAGGCTCTTTTTTGGTTCCATGTAAATTTTAGAATAGTTTTTTCTAATTATGTGAGGAATGTCATTTGTAGTTTGATAGGAATAGCACTGAATCTATAAATTGCTTTAGGGAGTATGACCATCTTAACACTATGAATTTTTCTTATCCATGGGCATGGAAAGTTTTTCCATTTTTTTGTGACATCTCTGAATTCTTTGAGCAGTGTTTTGTAATTCCTACTGTAGAGGTATTTCACCTCTGTGGTTAGCTGTATTCTTAGGTATTTTATTCTTTTAGTGGTTATTATGAATGGGATTGGATTCTCTATTTGGATCTCAGCTTGGGTATTGTTGGTGTATAGAAATGTTACTGAGTTTTGTACATTGACTTTGAATCCTGAAACTTTGCTGAAGTTGTTTATCAGATCAAGGGGGTTTTGGACACAGACCGTGGGGTTTCCTAGGTATAGAATCATATCGTCTGCAAACTGAGATACTTTGACTTCCTCTCTTCCTATTTGGGTGCCTTTTATTTTTTTCTCTTGCCTAATTGCTCTGGCCAGGATGTTGAATACTGTGTTGAATAGGAGTGGTGAAAGTGGGTATCCTTGTCTTGTTCCAGTTCTCAAGAGGACTACTTCCAGCAGTTATTATTTTTGTGGTGAGAAGTCTGGATATCTACTCTCTTAGCAAATTGCAAGTATTAAATATAGTATTATTAACTACAGTAACCATGGTGCACATTAGATCTCCAGAACTTATTCACCTTGTGATGCAAGGTTTGTACTTTTTGATCAATGTCTCTCCACTTTCCCACCCCCTAGCAAACACTATTCTATGAGTTTACCATGTTTTAAATGCCACATGCAAGTGAGATTATAGAATATTTGTCTTGCTGTGTCTGGCTTATTTGACTTAGCATTATGTTCTTAGGGTTCATTCATGTTTTCATAAATTGCAGGAATTCCTCCTTTTATATGGCTGAATGATATTTCATTGTGTAAATCATACATTCTTTATTCATTCATTGAAAAATACATAGATTGTTTCTATATCATGGCTATTGTGAGTAATGCTTTAGTAATCACTGGGGTGAATATATCTCTTTGAGATACTGATTTCATTTCTTTTGGATATATACTAAGAAATAGACTGAAGAGTGCTTGTAACATTTTGTTTTAACATTTCTGTTACTTCTTAAAGCTTTTAATGAACTTTGTGCATTGAAATAATTATAGACTAACAAGAAGTTACAAAAGTAGCATAAAGATTTCTCATGTACTCATCACCAATCTTTCTATTATTTTCATTTTGCATAACTAAAGTAGATTACCAAAATTAAGACCTTGACAATAAAACAATATGATTTACAAGACTGTAGGCATTACTGAGATTTCAGCAGTTTTGGCATGATTTCATTTATTGTATGTCTTTGTACATAATTCTATCACATTTGCCACATGCGTAGATTCATAAAACCATCACCACAATCAAGGTACAAAACTCCCTTGTTACCATCAATAAACTTCCTCATGCCAATATCCATTTTAGTCTCATATCCCCACTCCTTGCCTAACTGCTAACCACTGACTTGTTCTCCATTTGTATAATTTTGATTTTAAAATATTTTATAAATTAAAAATAATTTATTAAGTGAAAGTTAATGATACCAACTACTCTCCAGCAAAATATGACCTTAATAAATATCAACGTAACATATTGTGTTAGTCCATTTTGTATTGCTATAAAGAAATACCTGAAACTGGGTAACCTATAAAGAAGAGATTTATTTGGCTCATGGTTCTGCAGGCTGTTCAAGAAACATGAAATCAGCACCTGCTTCTGGTGAAGGCTTCAGGAAGCTTGCAATCATAGGAGAAGTAAAGGAGGAGCAGGCATACTACATGGAGAGAGGGAATACAAGGGAAAGAGAGAGGAGGTACTAGACTCTTTTAAACAACTAGCTCTCCTGTGAACTAAGAGAGTGAGAACTCAGTCACCTCAAAGGCAAAAGGCATTCATGAGAGATCTGCTGCCATGACCCAAACACCTCCCACTAAGCCCCACTTCCAACATTAAAGGTTGCATTTCAACATGAGATTTTCAGGGAACACATACCCAAACTATATCACCTACTAATATAACAAGATGACTTTGGTGTCAAATTAAAAACAAATGGATATACATTTTATTCATAAATGCAAACAAATCTTACCAAGTTTGAAGTTGATATTTCAGCCCCACTTCACCGATTTAATGTTTCTCTATTTTTAATTTTTTTAATTTCACATCACTTTACTCTTTGGAATAAATTCTAAAGAGTACTTTTACTGAGCCGCTGAAGTATAAAATTGCAACGCAGACAAAATTCCACTAAGACAAACTAAAAGGTTTTAAACCATAAAGAAAATGCACCTGTGGATATTCAATCTATTTTAAAATATGTTTAATATTTTTTTCCCAACTAGAAGGAAAGCCTCCACTAATCAGTATGTTAAAAAAAAAAGAGACAATTACAGAGGTTCAAGGGTCACTTTTTAATATGGAATTGACTATTAAAGGCCAGATTCTATCAGAATTTAGAAATTTGGCCCAATATAGTTTGAAGATAACACATGATTTCTCATATTCTATAGTTTTTATGGTAGAGACATCTGAAAAATGGAAGCCTAATGTCCCCATGAGCTATTTCGTTGTTTTCTCAAGGCTCTCAGAAGTGGAACTGCAAGAAGGAATTGATTCAGTGATTACTGCACAATGCCATTCTGGGTTTTGAGCCTTCTGGATATCCTTATTGCTACTATTGCTGTAAAGAAGTATATGCCACTGTGCAATATCGTCAAAAAAAAAAAAAAAACTGTAGTGTCAGTAGAAATGCTGTCAACTTTTTGCTGTTGATGTGTTCATCTGGTTAGAAGCTATGGTTAGATTTATGAAAAGTGTTACCCTGGCATGGAGCAATAATAGTCTGTAACCATACAATATAGTTCAAGTGGTTGTACGATTTTATGAAAGCCTATCAGTATTCTCTACAATCATAGTGAGTTATCTGAAAGTACTCACTGTAATTGTAGAGAAAGTACTCACTATACTGCAACTCTTAGTGGAACAGTTTCAACTAACCCCTTTCACACATACCTTACCTTCACAAATGTACAGAGAAATGAGATAGAAAGCAAAGTAAATGAAAATTCTAGGAACCATTACTACAGAAATATAAACCCACCAATGAACACATATTGCTGTTTACATATAGAGAAAAGGTAAACACTGAATAATGCAATTAAAAAGTGATATGTTTGCCTGTATATTTTACCCAAATAATAATTTAGTTCATCTTGTCCTGAGAAACTTTGGATCAAGTGATTTGACTAGAGACCTAGATAATGATTAAGAGCAAATATCAGCAAACTACTCCCCCGCAAATGCACAGGCAACCTTGAAGAGATGTAGCAGTTAGAGGAGGAGATGAGGGTCGTTTATGAAATTGTCAGAACAGTCAGCAAGTGAGATTTCCCCTGACCAGAGGGAACAGCGCAAGAGCCGGAAAACAAATACCCAAATACCCTCAGAGGAATGCTTTAACCAGAAGCAGTTGAACTTCTGTGGCTATGACCAGAGGAGGCCAGAGCATTGTTTCATTACCTAGGACCTTTGAGTCAGCAGAAGAAATGGAAAAAAGCACATTTTGCCTTAATTTAAAAATGGATCTATTGAATATTAAGGGATTTTTGAACCCAACCAAACGAATGTAAAGAGTTGGAATAATTATCAGGTCAAATGTAAACAGGGCTATCAAGAAAATAAGTATTAATTGAGAACTAAAATGTGCTACTTGTTCCAGGTTCTGGCAGGTTCAATAGATGAATAAGATACATTCTATTGCCTTAAATACAGTCATTGACCTTATATTCTATGGGATTAAAAATCTCACATGTCAATGCGTTTTATATAGAGCATAATGAAGTGACTACACATAAGGCCTAAAGACAATCAAAATGTAGCTAAGGAATAAGATGAACAGCTTTTATAATGTTTCCCTAGAAAAAAAGATTGAGAGAAAATTTCCCAAACATTTTGAATATTACAGTGATGCATATAACCTTATTACTCTTATACATGTTTTGCTTCTTTAGGGTGCATGGCTTTTTTAAAATTTTAAGACTAATACTCACATGTATATGACAAATATGGGCATATTTAAGACCAACATGTATATGCACAAATCTGTATCCATATACATACATGCACACATAAGTATTGTCAATGCATTAGTTCAATTATAGCATTATAGGAAAGAAACAATTGGGTAGTCTGCTAACTTTGATTTTGAAACTTGTCATTGCTGATGTTTTAGTACTGAACTTCTCACTACTGATGTCTGTCTCTTTAAATCAGCATCGCAGATAGCAACAAACAAAATAAAATATTATGTAAACCTTTTCAACTTTGCCAGGGACTCAGAAATGCTGTATCTGTCAGTATTGAGCATTTGTGGCCTAAGGGAAGTGCTGAAATTGTTTGGCAAGTCTCATTTTCCATTTTGATGGTATTTTTATCTTGCTAAAAGAAGCTGTAAAAAGAGCGATTAGGCAGCAAGACTGTGGATTTCTAATTGATGCCCTGGCCTTTAAATCTGCCTTCACACGAGCTGTGATGTCCTAAAGAAACACTTTACTCAAGGGGCCATTAGGCAGAAATGCTCTTTCCTGATAAACGATGTCCTACCCTTTCAATTTGTCTTTCCCAAGGTGGCTCTTTATTTAAGAGCTATCTTGAAGGAGGAGGAATAAGGAGAAATGTGAAGGACTGAAATGTATTTCTTACCATAACAACCCACTTTTTACATTTGTCTTAATTATAGTAGGTACTTAAAAAGGAACCCCTTTTATTGTGAGAAATTTCAGACCAATGATGTCTGTACTATATGTATAATCCTGTATGTTTTATTTTTTTAAGGGAAAAGATGGGATTGTCCTGTGCTTACCTCAAGCCTAGTGAGAATGGTTTCATGGAGGCCTCTCAGTGTGCTTGATATATATCCCCTGCAGATACATAGAGAACAATGGACTAGTGTCTGACACGGATCCTGAAATCTAAAAGTGTGAATGTATGGCAATGAACCTGAGCTGGCAGAGAAGAGATTCTGTTGCACTGGGAAATAGCTACTCTTCGGATGGAAGGGGATTAGTGGCATGGGGTATGTGTGTGTTTCATAGAACAGAAGTGGCATATGCAGAAGAGAAAGGCTACAAAACATCATTTAGTATTCTGCCCCAAAGGACCAACTATAAAGATACCTGTGACCCATCAGAAACAGTCTGGAAAAGAGGAAAATGGAAGTAATATTTTTTTTAAAAACTGAGTAACAGAGAAAGAGGTGTAAATGCACTACTCATTATCACCAAGAACGCAGCTGGTTGCTGCAGAGCAAGTCCTCTGAAGCACCCATGGAGACTCTTCTCAAGAGAAAGACTCAACTTTAAAGACTTACCTTGCACAAAAAAGCACAAATCCACCCCTAGAGTTTTCTCAGACTGGTGTGAACCTCACATTCCCCTTACCTCTTCTCTCTACCCCAACTTAGACACTGATAGAATGAAAAATTGTGGTTATTAGTGTGAAGGAAGAGAAGAAATAATAGGAACAAGAAAAGAGAAACAGCCAACTATATCCCCATCCCTGAGGGGATTACAGTGGTACCTACATACATGTAACCAGCCCTAGCTGGTCTGTGTTACCTGTGAATAAAAATTTAAATTGATCAATACTTTGGGCAATTACATTACTTGTAATTACTGACTTGATTTAGAAGGACGCTAGCATTTCTTTAAAGTGATGGGAAATTCCTGAGTTCCCGTGAGTCTTTATCCAGTGGCAAAATGAGAACTAATGCAGTAAAACATTTGCAAGACAGAAGGGGGCAAAAAATGAAAATATATTTTGCATATATCCCATAAGTCCTGCTCCTTTACAATAACAAGTTTAAATTAGGGTTTCAAATATATTTAATTTCACTTTCTGATTACCCAAATCTTAGCTCATTATGATCTTTTCAAAGATATTATTTTCTGATCATTAAAGCTACATAGCTACCCTTCTTAGCTCTCTATCACATTGCTTGTTTGATAACAGTTGTTGAGCTCCAAAATAATCTTTCTCAGGTAGCTTTTCATTGTCCTTCTCACGTTTCCCAGTAGAATGTAAGTTCCTATGAAGAAGGAACCACCTGGGTGACAGAATAATTCATACCCCTAACTTCAGTGTCATACATATTTACACATACATATTTGTGTGACAAACCTGCACATGAACCCCTTGAACCTAAAATAAAAGTTTAAATAAAAATATTTAAAAACCAAAGTCAATAGAAATGAGTGCTTTTATTCAACATTTGAAAAAGTTATAGAACACATAATATGATTTTGCCATATCCATAATTTATATCATAAAATCCATAATCAATCAGTGGGTAATAAAATATCTATATTTAAAATATCTATATTATATACAAACAAGTTATGAGAAATAATGTTTAGGTTCAGTTATTAAGTAGAACTTAATATTTTTTCTTTTTAAAAAATCTGTGAAAGTTAATTTTTGAAAAGCATTTGATGCTGTATCAAATCTTTTTTTAATATTGCCTTATTTTTGCTAACTTTCCTTGGTTATTAACTTCTTTCTCACCTTTTTGCAATCATTCTCTATTTACCTTCTCTATTTCCATGGATGTTCACCTGATTTTATTTTCTCATTCATAATGTGGAATTTTGATCACTAGATGTACTTCTTTAAGCTCAGATCTTCTGGATAGCTTTCTATTAACACGATGTTCTTCAAATACCCAAGGTCGAGGATCACCAGCACTTTAAGGTTTTTTTCCGGAAATTATGAAAGTATTCCTGCATATAACTAGATCTTTGGATTATTATTTATATAATAATATGAATAATAGCTAATTCTCCCATGAAATTAACTGTTTTAAAATAAATTTCATATACTATACATATTGATATACATAAATCTCATAGTCCTAAAAGATGTACATTAATAACAATCTCATTAAACAACATAAATAAATGTCATCTGAAAAGTTCATTAATTATGTTTTTAAAGTGAAGGGAAATTCCTGAGTTAGAAAATATAAATTAAATAAAACACAAATAATTCCTACATACATACACACGCACACACGTATATGGAGGAGTGAGAGAGAGAGAAAAAGAAAGGTTGTGTGTATTTATATATATACGAGTATTATGATTACATGTTTTGTGTCTTTATAGATATAAATATGGTTAAGTGTTTTTGTCTACTTTGTTAAGGTACAATAATTTACATATTTCTTATTTGTATTTAGAAAAAAAATAAATATCTCTATTCTTCTACCTTTCCAACCGGCCAGAAATGCAATCTAAAGTATGTTGCACACTCATTTCTTTCTCTGTGGAATATACAAGAATCACAGAATTCCAAAAAAAAAAAAAAAAAATCACTCATATATCCACAACCAGCAAAAAACAAACCACACCTTTGGTCCACAGTAACTTTCATTTCTATTATTGTTCCTTCAGCTATATGTCTTTGTCAAGGAGTCTTGGCTGCTTCTCTCAAGTTAATTTTGCCCAGTGATTGCCCATTCAATCTAAAAACATTTTCCCCAGTCATTCATGTAGGCACTTTGTCTCTGGAACTTAGTTATAAATAAAACAGTGCCGTTTACTAAATAGGGTGTCCTTTCCCCAATTTATGTTTTTGTATGCTTAAAGATCAGTTGGTTGTAAGTATTTGGCTTTATATCACAGTTCTCTGTTCTGTTCCCTTGGTCTGTGTATCTACTTTTATACCAGTGCCTTGCTGTTTTGGTAATTATAGTCTTTCAGTATGATTTGAAGTCAAGAAATGTGATGCTTCCAGATTTGTTATTTTTGTTTAGGATTTCTTCAGTTATTTGGGCTCCTTTCTTGTTCCACATTAATTACAGGATTTTTATTGAATTATGTGAAAAATGATGTTGATGTTTTGATAAGAATGGCATTGAATCTGTAGATTGTTCTGGGCAGTATTGTCATTGTCATGATATTGATTATTCCAATCCAGTAGTATGGAATGTGTTTCTACTTGGGTCATCTATGATTTCTTTCAGCACCGTTTTGTAGTTCTCCTTGTAGAGATTTTTACTTCTTTGGTTAAGAATATTTCTAGGTGTTTTTTAGAGCTATTATAAAAGAGATTAAGTTATTGATTTGATTCTCATCTTGGTTAGTATTGGCATATTGCAGTGATACTGATTTGTGTACATTCTTTTTTTAACCTGAGACTTTACTTAATTTGTATATCAAATCTAAGAACATTTTGGAGTAGTCTTGAGGGTTTTCTAGGTATACAATCATATCATCAGTGAATAGTGATAGTTTGACTTCCTCTTTTCCAATTTGGATGTCCTTTATTTATTTCTCTTGCCTGACTGCTCTGGCTAGGACTTCCAGTACTATGTTGAATGGAAGTGGTAAAAGTGAACATCCTTGTCTTCTTCCAGTTCTGAGGGTGAATGCTTTCAACGTTTTCCCGTTCAGTATGATGTTGGTTGTGTGTTTGTCAGGTAATGCTTTTATTATTTTGAGGTAGAATCTATCTATGCATAGTTTTTTGAGGGCTTTTTTCATAAAGCATTGCGAAATTGTATCAAATGCTTTCTGTGAATCTATTGAGATAATTATATGGTTTTGTTTTTTAATTCTGTTTATGTGATGTATCACATTTGTTGACTTGCATATGTTAATCTATCCCTGCATCCCTGAAATAAAACTCAATTGATTATGGTGTATTATCTTTTTGATGTGCTGTTGGATTTGGTTAGCTAACGTTTTGATGAGGATTTTTGCATCTGTGTTCATCGGGGATATTGGTCAATAGAGTTTTTTTGTTGTTGTTATGTTATTTCCTGGTTTTGGTATCAGGGTGATACTGGCTTCATAGAATGACTTAGGGAGGATTACCTATTTCTCAATCTTTTGGAATAGTAGGATTAGTACAAATTCTTTGACTGTCTTACAGAATTCAATTGTGAATCCATCTGGCCCTGGGCTTTTTTTTGTTGGCAATTTTCTTATTACTGATTCACTCACTGCTTGTTATTGATCAGTTCAGGGTTTCTATTTCTTTCTGATTTAATCTAGGAGGGTTGTATGTTTGCAGGGAGTTATCCATTTCATCTAGATTTTCTAGCTTGTTTTCATAGAGGTGTTCATAGTAGTCTCGAATGATTTTTTGTATTTCTGTGGTGTCATTTGTAACATCTCCATTTTTGTTTATAATTGAGATTTTTTAAATCTTTCTTCTTAGTTAAGCTAATGGTTTATCAATTTATCTTTTCAAAGAACCAACTTTTTGTTTCATTGATCTTTTGTATTGTCTTTTTTTGTTTCAATTTCATTTAGTTCTACTCTGATCTTTATTGTTTCTTTTCTTCTGCTAGCTTTGGGTTTGATTTGTTTTTGTTTCTCTAGTTCTTTGAGGTGTGACCTTAGATTGTAAATTTGTAATCTTTCAGACTTTTTGATGTAGGCAATTAGTGCTAAAAACTTTGCTCTTAGCAATGCTTTTGCTGTATCTCAGAAGTTTGATGCCTTCTGTCACTATCGTGATTCATTTCAGAGAAATTTTTAATTTCCGTCTTGATTTTATTATTAATCCAAAAATCGTTCAGGAGCAGATTGTTTAATTTCCAAGTGTTACTGTAGTTTTGAGCATTCCTTTCAAAGCTGATTTCTAGTTTTACTTTACTGTGGTCTAAGAAGATACTTGATATGATTTTGATTTTTGAAAATTAAAATAAATTAGAATTTATTTAGACTTGTTTTGTGGCCTATCATATGGTCTACTTGGAGAATGTTCCATGTGCTGATGAGAAGAATATATATTCTGCAGTTCTGGGGTAGAATGTTTTGTAAATATCTGCTAGGTCCATTTTTTCTAGAGTGTAGTTTACATCTATTGTTTCTTTGTTGACTTTTTATCTCAATGATCTGTCTAGTGCTGTCAGTGGAATGTTAAAATACCCACTATTATCATTGTGTTGCTGTCTATCTCATTTCTTAGGTCTAGTGGTAATTATTTTATGAATCTGAGAGTGCCACAGCTAGGTACATAAGTATTTAAAATTATAATATCTTCTTGCTGGATTATTTTTTCATTATATATTGACCTTTTTTGTGTGTTTTTTTTGTTACCACTGTTTCTTTTAAGTGTGATTTATCTGATATAAGAATAAGTACTCCTGCTTACTTTGTGTGGAATATATTTTTCTACCCCCATAATTTGAGCTTATATGAATCCTTATATATTAGGTAAGTCTCTTGAAGACAGCCGATAATTAGATAATTGGTTTTTGATTTTTTTATCCATTCTGCCAATCTATATCCTTTAATTGGTACATGTAGGCCATTTACATTTAACATTGAGTCATGAGGTAGTGTTCCAGTCTTCATGTTGATTATTACCCACTTTGTAGTCTTTGTTGTATTATTGTTTTATAGGCCCTGTGAGTTTTATGCTTTCAAGATATTGTATTCTGGTGCATATCAACCTTTTGTTTCAAGAGTTGAAATATTCAACATTTCTTGTAGGGCTGGTCTGTTAGTAACAAATTCTCTCAGCATTTGTTTACCTAAAAATTCCTTTATTTCTCCTTCATTTATGAAACTTAGTTTTACTGGATACAAAGTTCTTGTTGACACTTTTTCTGTTGAAGGAGGCTAAAAATAGGAGCCCAGTCCCTTCTGGCTTATAAGGTTTCTGCTGAGAAGTCTGCTGTTAGTCTCATGGGTTTTCCTTTATAGGTTACCTGATGCTTTTTTCTCACTGTTCTTTGAATACTTTTCTTCATGTTGACTTCAAATAGCCTGAAGGTTATATGCCTTGGTGATATACTTTTTGCAATGAATCCCAGAAGTTCTTTGAGCTTTCTGTATTTGGATATCTCTAGCAAGGCCAGGGAAGTTTTTCTCAATTATTCCTTCGGATAATTTTTCCAAACATTTTATCTTCACTTCTCCCTCAGAAATGCCAATTATTATTAGTTTTGGCCATTTTATGTAATTCCATATTTCTTGGAGATTTTGTTTATTTGTTTTGATTCTTTTTTCTTTATTTTTGTTTGATTGGGTTAATTCAAAAGCCATGTCTTTGAGCTTTGAAATCCTTTTTTCTACTTGGTCTAGTCTGTTGTCAAAACTTCCCACTGCATTTTGTAATTCCCTAAATGTGTTATTCATTTCCAGAAGTTCTGATTGTTTTTCATTTTTTCAAAAAAAATTCATTTTAGAAAAGTTTTCATTCATGTCTTGAATTGCTATTTTAAATGTCATTATGTTGTTTTCACCTTTCTCTTGTATCTCCTGAAGTAGCTTAATAATCAACCTTTTGCATTTTTAATCTGGTACTTCAAAGTTTTCATCTTGTTTTGGATTCATTGCTAGAAAGCTAGTGTGATCTTTTGTGAATGTCCTAGAACCATGTTTTGTCATATTGCCAGAATTGTTGTTCTGATTCCTTCTCATTTGGGTAGAGTATTCTTATCATTGTTCTTGACTTTATTTTCAATTTGATTGTATTTGTTTTAATTTATTTTCTCCCTTAAAGATGTGACTTTAATGTTTATAGTTTATTGTAGCCTAGCTTGGCTCTTGGTGCTTTCAGGAGTGAAGACTGTATAAGTTTCTTGGTCATAGAGAGTCTTTGTATGATAGCTTTCTCAGAGGTTGGTTGCAGTAGCAATGTGCTCAGTGTATGAGTAAGTTCAGTATCTCCTGTGAGGATGGAATGGCAGAGGTCTCTTGAAACTTATCTCATTCCCCTATGGTGTGCCCTTTTAAATTTATTTATATTTCCCCAGTATTTACTGGGTTGAATAGTTAAGGCTTTGGGCCAGTAGGTGAGGTGTTCTTGCATAGAAATCAACTGTGGCTAAGGCAGGTGGGTAAATGAAATATCCAATGGTGGGCAGAGGTCCCAGCCTTGACAGAGGTGGTTGGGAGAGCTGTCAGTGAAACATACTGAGGTCTTATCAGGAGGAGGAGTGGGAGCCCCCTCAGCTCCCCTGCCAGTTCAGCAGGAAAGTTATTCACTTCCCAGTCATACTCCCTACCCAGTGTTCTGACTATTCAGATGAGACAGGCACCTCTTTCTACCTGCAGGAATGTTAATGTTTCAAGTAGAGAGGAATTGTGACTCTACCTCTCATGCAAGCCTTAACCTGGACGCCACTCCACCTGTGGGGATGCAGTCACCCTGAAATGTTCCAGAAAGGCTGTCTATGGATGCACCCAGGCTGAGCTCCCATGGAGGAAGCCCCAGCTGTGCTAGCTGTGTCTGCAGGGGTGTACAGGCTGGGGGAAAGACCCTTTTACCAAGACCTTTCATGAGTAGCAGGGCTACCTGACTATTGGGGTAGAGCTGCACACTTTCCCCACTGAGCCCAGCACTGCATCCGCGCCTCTGCTAAAATAAATTTCCCAACAGAGGAAAGTTCTAGAACTCAAGGCCTGCTGTCTGAATTCTTTTGTCCCACGGGGTGTTCCCTTGATGAGATGTACTCCCCCTTTCCCTAGGAGTAGGAGTCCCTGAGAGCAAGACTACTATAAATGCTGCTGCTCCTCTGAGTTTCACCACCGAGTGGGGATGCCACACTTCAGGCTAGTGCTGTGGAATGCCTGCAAGGGATGCAGTGATGTGATCTGTCATCAAATCTCCCAGTAATGAGTACTAGCACCAGCTCTGATGAGGGTGGAAGGGGAGTGGTGTAGACTCTGTGAGATTCCTTGGTTATAAATAACCTTAGTGTGTTAGCTTAGAGCGTTGGCTTTCTCAAATGACAGTTGCAGTAGTAATGAACTGGTCATGGGGACAGGGTTAAGACCTCCTGGTTAGACAGAGTGCTGCAGGCAATGGTGAAAGCTGAGGTCATGCACAAATTTTCTCCTTCCTTGGAGCTATGCTGTTCTACCTGGAGATGCTATAATGGACTGTGTCAGTTGGCCTGCAGCCAATAGGTGGTGCCTACAAAAGAATAGCAGTTGTGGTAGTAGCAGTGGAATTTGTGCTTGTCTTAGGTTATCCTGGGATAGTATTCTGGATTCTCAGGCAATGGGCAAAGCCAGAGAGTTCCCAAAAGTTTCTATATTTTTTTTGTGTTAAACTACTAGGGTGGGTGGAGGGGAAAAGCCAGGTGGAAGTAGGGGCAGGCAGGTCTGTGCTCTGGTTCTCCATGTGCGGGACAAGCAGTGGCCCCAGTGGGGATTGGGAAGCGATTGTCTGGCCACTGGGATCATCTTCCAGAGATGAGTGCAGCGGCCTCTGTTGCACCTTATTCACACAGGAAGTAGAGAGTAGCAGATGGCAGTAAGCCCCACCCATCTGCCATGCACCTGACAAGGCAGGTCTCACATGGCAGTGTTCCACATGCAGCAGCTAGCTAAGTTCTAGGAAGTCCGCACCTAGAACACAAAACTGCCCCAGATCAGAAGCCTTCCCAGTGAAGACAGCTACTGTGGCTTTCAGGCCATGCCCCTCCCAGTCCTCCTGCAAAGCCAGGGTACCTAGCTCCTGCCTTCATTGCTATAGCACACTTCCCATCTGCCCCCAAGTCCTGGCCAAGAGATTCTGGCCCCATTGGAGACTATAACATGAATTTCAGCTGGGAACTCCTCTCAACCTAGTATCACTGCCTTAATTAGCTGGATTACTTCTGCAAGGTCCTCTGTGAGGTAGAATCATAAATGGCTTCTCTCCACCCCTGTTGGAGACAGGGAATACATGCAAGGCTCTTCCTGCTGCTGCTTCTACCTTTATTTTCCCTAGCACTCCCTAAATCCTTTCCATTACTGGGTGGGGTTAAGGCCTTCCTTTGTGGCTTGAATTGCCAGGTTCCCCACTGGGAGTGTTTATCCTGGAGGCAGTTTATCCCCTCTCACACTCTGAAAACTTACAGTTTTCTGCCTGGCTTAACAGTGTAGGCTGCAACCTGCTGCGTCTTTCAAAGGGTCTGTGATTTCTTTCAGTTTTCCTGTTAAGTTCCTGTGTTGCTTCCTCGAAAAAAGTTCACAGTATGAATCTCTACATGCTATTTTGTCTTTCCAGGTGAGAGAGGCATGCTAACAATGCCTCCAATCTGCCATCTTGGAAAAAAAAAAAATGGTGTATTTTCTTTATCCAGTCCACCGTTAATGGGCATCTAGATTGATTCCAAGTCTTTGCTATTGTGAATAGTGCTTCAATAAACATACGAGTGCAAGTGTCTTTTTGGTAGTTCTAAGTTGTTTGAGAAAGCTCCAAACTGCTTTCCACAGTGGCTGAACTAATTTACATTCCCACCAACAGTGTATAAGCATTCCCTTTTCACCACAGCCTTGCCCACATCTGTTTTTTTTTTTTTTTTTTGACTTTTTAATAATGGCTATTCTGACTGGTGTGAGATAATATCTCATTGTAGTTTTGATGTATTTCTTTCCATTTTGATTTGCAATCTCATGTTAGACAAGAGGTCTTCTTGTTTGTTTAATTTCTCTCTCTCTGCATTCATTCCTCATTTTCTAACAAAATTTGTTTGGGCTCCACCAGTGTCCTGGCCACCATTCCAGAATAAATCTTATAGTGATATTTTGGATTTCTATTTCATTGTTGGGTCACTGATATTGCAATATTTAACCCATAGCTGGAGAAAAGTATGTTTTAGTGACTGGTCACCAGCTGTGTTTTGTTGTCCCATTTCTCTATATCTCAAAATTGTCTTTAAGTGTTTGCCCCAAACGATGGTAAGCTGTAGCTTTTGTATACCCCTTCAGGAACAGGGAATGCCGCTCCAGTTCCTATCCTACAGAAAGGAGTCTGCTCTCACTCAGAAGAATAAGGAATACTTCAGGGATGATTCTCATTCTTGCATTAAGGTAGAAGTGTCTGGAGAACTTTTTTAAAAATTGATGCTCAGACTCCATACTCATTCTCCAGTCTTGTTTTTATAATTGCTCTAGAATGGGGACTAGTAAGGGTAACTGAAAGTCACTGATGATTCTGGTACAGTCAGGATTGAAAAACAGTGACCAATTTGAGGCCTGAAGCACAGTGGATCTTGACTTTAGGCCCAACCAGCGTTTGTATTTTACTTTGTTCCTGTTCCGCAGAGCTGTTTACAGTAATAAACTATTGTTCAGTAAGCTGTCCTTTAGTCAGTGCTGAAGACATGGTTGGTGTTCATTAAATATTTGATTGTCAGCATCTTGAGGAATTTGGCTCATTCCCATATTCCCTTGCAAAAATGTTACTAAGGTTCTCGTTAATGTGGCATTGTTTATTTACTGTCTAATGTGTACTAAACTCTATATTAAGAACAACAGACAGAATTGAAAAGCCTTTAAAATTAGAACGGGAAAAAGATAGACAAACAGGTAACACAATAAAGTTGAATAAATATTTAAACCCTGGAAACTGTAACAAGACGATCGCAAGTGCTTTGTTAATCATGACTTGACAAAAACTAAAGAAAAAGGAGGTAAGCATGGGAAAATTGACAGTCAGGTCCAAGGAAATAAAAACAATGTATTTAAAAATGGAAGCTTGAGAAAGCACAAGAGGAATACATATAGTTTAGTTCAATTTGCTGGGAGCTTTGAATGCAGGCATAGGAAAGAACAAGGGAGAGTCTTACGCCCCAGTAAAGGGCTCAGACCTACAAGTACAAAGCATTTAAAGATTTTTAAGGAAAAGCAGACATAGAGAATATTTGAATCACTGGTTTCCATCACTCTTTTAATAATAAAGATAAATATTTCTAATAAAATCGTGTGGGAAATTATAATACCTAAAACAAGTCAAAGCCAGGTGCGGTGGCTCATGCTTGTAATCCTAGCAATTTGGGAAGCTGAGGCAGGCGGAGTGCCTGAGCTCAGGAGTTCAAGACCAGCCTGGGCAACACGGTGAAACCCTGTCTCTACTAAAATACAAAAAATTATCTGGGTGTGATGGCATACGCCTGTAGTCCCAGCTACTGGGGAGGCTGAGGAAGGAGAATTGCTTGAACCTGGGAGGTCGAGGTTGTAGTGAGCCGAGATCGTGCCACTGTACTGGGCAACAGAGTGAGACTCCATCTCCCACATACCAAATAAAATAAATAAAATAAAACAAGTCAAATCCAATGTGACCTGCTTTAAACTGGAAAGGGTTGACACAAATTCTCTCCAGGACAAAGCCTCTACAGAAGCTACACAAAAGAAGTCTCATGCTCACATGGAGGCCAATTTGAAAGCTTCTGCATTAACTAGTGGGCAAAGGATATGGACAGACACTTCTCAAAAGAAGACATTTATGCAGCCAACAGACATGAAAAAATGCTCATCATCACGGGCCATCAGAGAAATGCAAATCAAAACCACAATGAGATACCATTTCACACCAGTTAGAATGGTGATCATTAAAAAGTCAGGAAACAACAGGTACTGGAGAGGATGTGGAGAAATAGGAACACTTTTACACTGTTGATGGGAGTGTAAAGTAGTTCAATCATTGTGGAAGACAGTGTGGCAATTCCTCAAGGATCTAGAACTAGAAATACCATCTGACCCAGCCATCCTATTACTGGGTATATACCCAAAGGATTATAAATCATGCTGCTATAAAGACACATGTACACGTATGTTTATTGCAGCACTATTCACAATAACAAAGACTTGGAACCAACCCAAATGTCCATCAATGATAGACTGGATTAAGGAAATGTCACACATATACACCATGGAATACTATGCAGCCATAAAAAAGGATGAGTTCAAGTCCTTTGTAGGGACATGGATGAAGCTGGAAACCATCATTCTCAGCAAACTATCGCAAGGACAGAAAACCAAACACCACATGCTCTCACTCATAGGTGGGAATTGAACAATGAGAACACATGGACACAGGAAGGGGAACATCACACTCTGGGGCCTGTTGTGGGGTGGGAGGAGGGGGGAGGGATAGCATTAGGAGATATACCTAATGTAAATGACGAGTTAATGGGTGCAGCACACCAACATGGCACATGCATACATATGTAACAAACCTGCACGTTGTGCACATGTACCCTAGAATTAAAGTATAATAATAAAAAAAAGAAAGCTTCTGATATGGAGAAATCTGAAACTAATTATTTATCCAGCTTCCCATCAAAGTTAATTTTATTTTGTTTCCTATAAATCCCTATATTATCATTCAGCAGTACCTTACATATTTCTACTGCCATGGGAGCCAAGGTTTGGGGTAGCTAATGCACAGTAAAGCAATTACCATAAAACATTCTTTAATATTTAGCATAACATTGACCTTCCTAGTGAGTAAGTACATTACTTAAAATATCTTTTCTGACTTATGAGAATAATTAGTCCCAAGTTTATTTTTAAAATATTTTTATAGGTCACATATTAATTTGTTTCCAAAAATATCTCATTGTACTAGTTATCAGATTATTACAGTCCTTTTTCTCAAATGTTCTATATTGATGAACAGTTGCTCAAATATATATATATATGTAAAATATGTTGATAGGTACATATTTGTTCTTATAAATGATGCATATTTTAAAAATCCATTTCTGTGAATAGATCTATCATTTAGTTATAAAGGTCACTTGAAATTAATTATGCATTTGTTTTAAATGTATATAAAGTTGTAACTTTCATTAATACTGTAAATGGAAAAAAACAAACTATAAAATATTTTAAAGAAGTTTATTCTGAAACAATATGAGTGACCATGGCCTGAGGAAACACAGTCTCAAAAAGTCCTGAGGAAGTATCCCCTAGGTGGTTGGGTTACAGTTTGCTCTTATATGTTTCAAGAATACAGGAGTTGCAGGCAAAGACATATGCATAGATTTAACCTGAAAGGTGAGATACCTTGAAGTGGGAGCTTACAGGTTACAGATGGATTGAGAGATTCCTTAATTGGCAATTGTTTAAAATATTAAAGCTCTGTATAAAAATTTGGAGTCAACAGAATGGAATCTTTACGATAAGGCAGCCTGTTAACCAATATACTGGGTCAGAGTGACCTGCAGGAGTGTGTGGCTTAACTCCTGTCTGGCACGACCTTAAGTCATGTTTATATTTTGGTATCTTCTTGTCACAAAGAATCCATTTTGTTAGTCTTTTGATGTCTATTTTAACATTAACACTGGTCAGTTTTCGTAAACTCCGAAAGAGAGGAAATATTACAAGGTGTGTCCAATCTCCCTTCCCATCATGAGCAGGAATTCAGTTTGTAAGGTTTTTCTGGGATCCCCTTGGCCAAGAAGGGGTCTGTTCAGTCAGTGGCAACTTAAGATTTTATTTTTAGTTTTCAATATAGTGGGAGGCATTTCTAAAGGCTGCATGAAAAGCTAATGAGAACTGACCTTCTGTATCAAAAGAAGAGGATAAACAGCATAAATAGACTTAAAAGAGAATATGTGCATTGCATATGCAGTTGGTGTAGGCTAAATAATACAAGCTCACAGGTATTTGCTGAAAATGTGATTAATAACCATGAAATTTAAAATTATCAAAGGTTATTGGGTCCAGTTTGCAAGTGTTTTCTCTCAAATCAAGCAATTCAAAAGCTTTGTAGGAGGTAGGTAGGTATTCAGTCCTCTATAATGGATTTCAGATATTTGATTCTGGGTAATCTGAACAATCACCACCTAAACTTCACTGGTCATTACCAAGGAATATTCTGGAATTTATTCTTTCTTATTAAAAGTAAAGAGAGAGTGGTGGGAGAGAAACAATACGTATGGAGTAGGAAGGGGAGGCAGAAAGGAAAGAAGGAAGGAAGGAAGAGAGGAAGGAAGGATGGGTTAAGAGCTCAGCTTCTTAAACCAAAACAACAAAAAAAATTTTCCTGGTGTTGCCCTCAACATGTCTGACAGTTTTAATATATAAACTAAGCATGTAAACTTAAAATGGTTGTGGGAATTTCCCTAGAGAAAAAAAATCCCAAGCATGATCTGTCAAAAATAATAAAAATAGAACTTTGTCATTCCGTCAGCCAAGGCCCAAAGGAAGTTGAATTAGAGCAGCAGAAGAATGTATTGCTTTTGGCTGAACGACATATCTGATGATGCTAATTATCGTCTTGAACACAGGCATGACTCAGTGGCAAAAGACTGGTGGAAAGGCTGCCAAGATCTGAGACTGTGTGTATACAGGCCCCTGGGATCTGACATGGTTGAAAGGTTTGCTCCTTCCAATTTGCTTTAGGCCATTTACATGACTGAATAGCAATAGAGTCCAAAAAAATATGTTTCGCCACTTACTTGAACATAGGATTACAAGGAGCAAAATGCTCACTATTGTTTCCCTTACTCAAAAGTTGTATTGATTTAGATTTTTTTAAAAAAAGATAAATCTCTATCTGGGAATCTTCCACCTTAACTACTCTCCTTGAATTGATTTTGAAATGCAAACTCTCCAACTAGGTTAATATTTGAATGTGTACATGCAAGATCATAGAGGGGGTCATTTGTTAAAACCAACGAAGCAGAATATAAGTGAATTGAAGTAAGTCTTTACCATACTAGCATTGATGTGCATACAGACATTACCTGCATTACCTGTGTGTGTTTGTAGTGCTTCAGTTGTCTACAGAGAAAAAAAAAGAACATATTTAAAATGAGGTATAGTGTAAACAGCCCTATACTGGAGTCCTGTAGTCTTTAAGCTATTATGAAACAATTATGATTTACCTGATAGAACTTAAGAGATGGAGCTTGGAGTTGACCCAAGATCTTCTGATTGTAGGCCATAAAGTAGCTTTATACTAATTCCTTGAAAGTACTGCATCTCTGAAATGAGGGGCTAAAAAAGAAACTCTGTGAACTTCTGAATTAGGAACAGTTCAAGTATTGTATCTACTTCTCACTAGGTATGATCTCAGATAAATCATATAACCCCATTAAGTTTATTTGCTAATGTATACAGTTGTGATGCTAAATGCACCTCAAAGAACTTTTAACTGTGATAAGGGCCAGACAATGAAACACCAGTGCAGGAAAATGCTCACAAGCATCTTGGCTACCATCTTTCCATGTGAGAAAAGCCTTTAGATAGAATTTTGCAAAATATCTTGCAAACTTAAGTATAATATTACATTGTAGAATGCTGCTTCCTCTCTTTAAATATAAACTTGACCTTATTCATTGGTGATGCTGAATACTAACAAAATAGGAATAGTTTCCAATATGCCTATTATTTCTCTTTCTACGAACCAAGAACCACTCCAAGAGCTTTATATATACAAATTCATTTTATTCATACAACAATCTACAATAGAGCCACAATTTTTATCATCCCCATTTTACAGATAAGGAAATTGCAACACAGGGAGCTTTGCCCAAGGTCCTCCAGATAGTAAATTTAAATTCAGGCAGTCTGGCTCACAGAAATCAAGACTTGAAACCTTGGAGTCACACTGAATTTTATTTTATGCAGTATTCTTTTTTTTTTAAGCTCATGTAATGCCTCCTATCTGTAAACTTTGTTAACCAGTGATAAAATCTTCTTGACATAGGACTTCCTGGACAGCTCACTTCAGTCCCTGCCTATTTGAGATCCCTCCTCACTCTCATTGTCCCTCCCACAATCAATTTTACCAAGTTTACTTACAAAGTAACCAGTTTGATCTTTTAAGAATCAGATCTCCTCTACCTCAAAAACTTTGAGAGTTCCTTTGGCCTTTCAAACAAAATATGAACTTTTGAATCTAGTGCTCAAAGCCTCCCCTGTGTACTGAACCTATATTTTTCCCTTCTGCAAATCAAGCAAATTATAGTTCTAAAATTGAAGTATAGCAGTCTCTAAAACTGTCTTGTTCTTTTTCGCATTATGTCTTTGATAGTGCCATAGCAATATCCTCTTTTCTCAAACCCAATTTCTGCCAGTTGAACTCTAATCTCTGATGTAGGGTACAATTTAAATGAATCTTAACCATTAGACTCCCCCAGTGCCTTCAGCCTAGAAGTGGCTTCCCCTTTTCTGAAGAAAGTGGCACAAACTTCATGCTTTTCCTGATGAGGTTACATAAAGTCCTGATATGTTTATGTAAACCTGTTTGAGTATTTGCATGCATTATAATGGGTCTTTTGTCTGATTTTAAGATTGAAATTTTACACATCCTTATACAATCTTTGCTGCATATCAGTATACTTGGATAAATTAATTCTCAAAAATGTTCATTGAATCGCTGACTGAATGAATAACTCATTGAACTGTGCTGACATTGATGGGTTTTCTACTAAGTTAATTCAATTGTCTGATTACTTAATAGCACTTCAAAAGTTCTGTTATTACACTGTATATGTATTAAAAAGTTAAAAAAGAGAAAAAGCGACTTTGGGAAGCAGAGTAAACTAAAGTGACATTTATCATTGTTCGTTACTGCAGAAGCCAC
The DNA here is from genome assembly GCF_000001405.40 of Homo sapiens. Taxonomy (NCBI): domain Eukaryota; kingdom Metazoa; phylum Chordata; class Mammalia; order Primates; family Hominidae; genus Homo; species Homo sapiens. The sequence goes on from NC_000002.12 coordinate 35,300,993, forward strand.
ATACCTGCATAGATGTATTCTTATCTTGGTTCTACCAAAACATTTCCAATGTATTAACAGACTAATAAAAACAATAGCTGTCAATTAAACAATAAACTCTAACCCTGAATACAAAAATCTCAGGTATAATCCATAAAATCATCATTCTTTAAATGAAATTAATTCTTTGATAAACATATCTGTTAAGTTTTAGAAGAATGAACTTCAGAATTCTGTGACCTCTAAGAAAGTCAAGATCAGGCAGTAATGATCTAATACTTAACTTAGGGATATGTTGTATTTTAAAGTGACTTATAAAATATGTATTAATGTGTGCAAATTTATGTTACAATGTTTTTAAGCAACAGTTTTGTTTAAATACTAAAAAGTAAATAAACATCCATTCTGTTGCAATGAAGACAAGATGAGAACATCTCAGAAATACACAGAGAAACTCAAGAGTCAGCCCCATACTAGCATCTGAATCTGTTGTATTGTTCAGAACATTTTGTGACAGATACTTTGTCTGAGGATGACAGCAGTCTATCACCTTTATGAGATTAAAGCTCTCTTTCAAATATTGGTGCCAACACTGTTCAAATATGTCAGCAAAGTAGAAAATTCAGTGAAAACCCCTGAGGGTGAGATGCCAATTAGGCATAAAGATGCCAAGGTTTGCTCATGAGGGCTGGAAAGCGGGGAGGTCTCTGGGCTGATGTAAATAGCACAGTTTCCTAACACTCACTTATTTTCTAGTCCCACCAATTTTCAGGGATTTTGAAATTTCAGTGTTCTTTTTTTTTTTTTTTTTGGTGGGTGGGCGTGATTGAGTTTAGTGGTAATGTATCATCATCATATACACAGCCTGAAACTATTTAGACAACTTATGGCACTGCTCTTATTAAATAATATGTCAAAACCACAGACAGGCTTAGAAAATCTATTTCTTTTATTTTACCTGGATGTTAAATTGAAACATTCCTTAGTATAACTCTCCATTAAGTTTATGTTGAAGGGCAGTGGGGGAGTTTCAGCCTCTCATCACAGGTCAGCAAAGTAAAATATATGTATATGAATCTGTATGTTAATGTTTCCGTCTCAAATCCTAAAATTTCTTTAATCTTTTATCTCTCTTTTTTCAAAATGTTGTCTCACAAAAGTAATTCACTATTAAATCATCATTAACCACTGGTGAATTACATAAAAGAGCTACTAAATATTGGATATGGTGTAATCTAATTTAATAGACAAGATAAGCAGTTGATATGTTTTGCATGTTTGTTCCCTCCAAATCTCATGTTGAAATGTGATCCTCAATGTTGAAGGTGGGGTCTAGTGGTGGGTGTTTGGGTCGTGGAGGAGAATTCCTCATGAATAGCTTGGTGCTCTACCTGTGGTAATAACTGAGTTCTTGCTTTGAGTTCGTGCAACAGCTGTTTGTTTAAAATAATGTAGCACTGCCCCACTCTCTCTCTCTCGCTCCCTCGCTCCCTCTCCCACCATGTGACACACCAGCTCCCCTTCGCCTTCCATCATGAGTAAAAGCTGCCTGAGTCTTACTAGAAACTGATGCTAGTGCCATGCTTGTTATAGCCTGCAGAACCATGAGGTAAATAAATCTCTTTTCACTATAAATTACCCAGCCTCAGGTATTCCTTTACAGTATTGCAAATGGACTAACACAGTAATGAGGTGGCAGGGATATGGCATTAATGGCACCAATAGCAGGTCAGTTCTCATGGGAAGGGAAGAGAAAATCTCTTAAGCAAAGATGGTGAAATAGCATGGCAAAATGCGCTGAAAACCTGGGAGTATCATCCTATGCTTCTGGGGACATCCGAGGTGCAGGAATTAAAATGTAAGAGTACAAAAACCAATTTAATCAGTTTCTCAAGTAAAAGCAATCATAATACAGACCCAAATACACACACCCAAACATACTCATGCCTTTTAGTACAGGAATGAGGGAAAATAATGTTTAACAAGTCCCCATTTTAAGCCTGACAGTGTGTGTTGGGTCTTTATATCTAATTTAAGAATTTAATATTTAATTTAAGACTCACACAGTGAGAGATAAATATTGTAATCCCCCTTTTACAGATACTCTGGAACATGAAAAAAGTGTCCAACTTAACATAATTTCTCAGATTGAGAAAATGAGCTAGAATACTAAATGAAGCTAAATGGAAAATACTCTTTTCTCTCTCTCTCTCTCTCTCTCTCTCACACACACACACACACACACACACACACAGAATGGAATGTATACTAGATGACAGAATCAGAATTGAGCTAGTTCATGTCAAATTAAAACTACATGTGCTATGATTTAAAACAGAGTGTTAATTGATATTAATTAAAAAACTATCTATATGTTAAATTCCAGCAAACTTCACAAGAATTGGAAAGAGAAGGTGTTGTTAATAGTACCATGTACAAAAGGACAAAAGGGTTTTAGTTGGCAGAAGCTCAAAAGGACTCAAGTTTGTAATGTGACTACTGAAAAGTAATAGAATTTTGGCTGCATTAAGAGCAATACAACATCTGAAGCAAAGGAGGAATAATTCCATCCTGTGTTAAATAAATCAATTGTACAGTAATTTATTCTGTGAAGTTCTGTTTAGCATATTCATGAACAGATATAGAAAAGCTGGGGCACACTCTAAGGAAAGCAATTACAATATTAAAGAGACTAAAAACTACAAGGAGAAGCAGATGAAGAAACTGAGAATGGTAAGCCTAGAAGAAAGAAGACTCAAAATAAGTTGATAATTTTCATTTGAAAGATTACCATATGGATAATCACCCAAAGAAATTTTGGTTGTCTATATAAAAAAAAGAAAAAAAGTCTCTCAAATTATACAGATAAAACATTGCAGAAAAAAGACAAGACATAAATAGCAAACAAAATATATGTGAATATCTTTATGATTTTGGAAAAAAATAATTTCCTAAAACACGTATAAAGAAGACACAACACATAAATGAATAATAAACTTGATTACAAAAATTAAAGTAAATGTATTGCTAAAATTTCAACAAATTCCAAACAAGTGGCAGATGGCAAGATGTCATCTACACTGCTTATCACTGAAAAAAATGGTTATTATCCAAGTGTAAAGAGAACTTATTGAATCAATAATAAGAGATCACACAGTTCAAGATCAGCAATGTATATATATATCATTTCACATAAGACAAAAGTCATTTGGAAAATAAACCCATAAGAAGATGCTCAAATCACTATTCATCAAGAAAATAGCAGGGATATATTTCTCTCTTATCCATATGATTTGAAAAATTTACAAATTGTGAATTACTGGAGACAATGTGAGATAACAGGAATTCATATACTGTTAGGGGAAATATAGTTCACTACATATATTTTATAGGGATTTTCAACAATTTTATTAAATTAAGAGTACTGCTGCCAACTCAGAAATTTTACCTCTAGGTCTATCGAAGACTTGCAGAGCAACATTCATAACACCATTTTTGGTTAGAAACATAATAACAACCACCTATGTGCACAGTGACTGTGAATACATAAAGACATTATAACCATGCAGTAGACCACTATATCTAAGTTCAAATAAATAAATGAGCTGGATGGATATGAGCCAATATTGATAAATATTGCAATAAGAACAAACCATAGTTGAAAAAATACACTTATGGTTGAATTTATAATAATAATTTTCTCTGGGAAGCATGTGAAGGAAATGGGTTTGGGGAGGACTATAGAGAGAGTTTTACCTTTTTCTACTGTTTCTACTATGTTAAAATTGATCTGAAGTAAGTATGAATGAGAGTTTCTTAATGTTGGCTAATTCGGAGTGATGAATAAAAAGGAGTTTGCCATATTAGTTTTTTGACATGTTGTTTAAATTTTTTCTAAGATAAAAAAATGTTTTTTAGAAATGATCTATCTAGATCATTTCTATGCCCAAGAAAGGATGACACTTAGTAGCTATCTGGTTAAAATTTTTCAGATACTGAAAGGACAGCCAAAGAGATCATGAATCCTTGAAGATTTTCAAGGCAAATTAGAATCAGAAATTTCTGCAAAAGTAGTGGAATTGGATGTCGAGTTAAACTAAATTTTGAGGGCCCAACTAACTTGGAGAAAACATAATCTAAATGTGTGATAGATTTTAAAATATCATTTTATTTAATTATATTTTGCTTGTTCTTATCTTGCACTGATGAACATAAATAATATTTAGTTTTAAATTAAAAAAAATTAAAAGCACCACTTAAATCTGTATCCCCAAAAAAGAAATAGAAGAGATTTCAAATTTTAAGCTACAAACTATCTTGGCTTTCTTATTTTCAGCCACGTTGTGACTCTTAGAATCAGCTTCACCAATCGTCTTTGAATTTATGGGTCTCGAGGAGGTAGCCGCATTGTAGCAGAATTGGGAATTTTCCACTTCAACATTTAAATATGGGCAAGCAATCAAACTCGGGATTACTTGTCTGTCACTCTTCACTGATTTTATTTGCTTATTCTTACTCCGAGCCCTTTCGATTCCTCTCTGAACATCTTTGGGAAATATTACTGTGGCATTCAGTCATCCAAGAGAGCTTAACTAACGAAGAGTTGGCCAGTTTTATTCACAGAGATGAAAAGCAGGGAGCTGCATCAATGACCATGACAAGAACCAGCTAGGTAGAGAGAATGGCTAGCCTGGACACATTTCTCCGATGGCCCAGGGATGGCTGTGGGATTTCCTAGCATCAGTGGTAGAAAGTGAATGTCAGTTCAGCTGCTGGGTGAAAAAACACCATAATTTCACAACATGACAAAAAAATCCTATTATGACCTTTGATAATTCAAGACAGCACATTGTTAGGAATTGCTGAGATAGAATAGATTCTTCAGTTTACTTTATAAATTTGATTAAGGATTCATTTTGTTTTCATTTTCATGAGCTATGACACTACATTTAGTCATTGTATTCACAACAGCCTAAACAGTTTCACAGACAGTTTTGTTCCTTTTATACAGACATAATTTTCAAACAATCTAGGTGTACTTTTAGAATGGGAATCCATTTGCTTGATACTTTCCTTGGCATGTGTCTTTTCTACTATGTCAATATGGGAAAGAAAATAAAATAAAGCTAAGAATTCTCATTTTACTTGCTCTGATTTCATGGTATTTTTCAACAGAAGTCACTTGAGTTATTTTTTCCTGATTAACACGTTTCTTCATCAACTATATTTGCAAGCCATTAAATTAGATTGCCTCCTTTTAATCTTTGCTAGCTTCAATTCTCTTATGAGGGAGAATATGTAAACTCTCAAATTTAAAATATATATGTAATTCTTAGCACTCAGAAAAAAATGCTTAATAAAATGACTTTTCATCATAATGTGCCTTAGATACGCAAATATAATAATTTAAACTTTGGATATGCATAATAAATGGGCAATGTTTTAATTAAAGAAGAAAAGCTAAATATCACATGAAAGCAGATGGCATTTTTAAATGCAGTTTCTCTAAGTCTCTATAGAGACTTTATATTTAAAGAAGGACTCAGGCAAGAATACTGCAAAGTAAACAGTAGTGCTTGAAACACCAATTTATATTCCAATATAAAGCTTATCGAAATGTATTTCAAAAGTAGGTAGTGGAATCGTCATGAATTGATTGTATCATTTGACAAACAATGTAGATAATGACAATTCCTCATCTAAATTTTAAAAAGAAAATCTGAACAGTATTAGAAAATCTTCTATTCAGAGTGAATTTTGTTTCTGTCTTGACTTACTGTGGTAAAGTATTTGAGATGGCTGCTGAGTAGGAAAAGATAGTGTCCTCTGTTATTGTTATTTTTATTTATAGTACTCCTGCTGGGACTAATATCTGGGCATTTAGTATCACATAGATAAAACATCTGGAAATATTAACTAAATATTTCTCATTTATTTTGGTATGCTATTCTCACATGAAGCCATTATAGGAGAGAACTCCATAAATTATTTCTGGCTTTACCGACAGCCAAAGGAGAACTAGGTTAGTAAGAAGATTTGTACAGGCTGGGCGAGGTGGCTCACGCCTGTAATCCCAGCACTTTGGGAGGCCGAGACGGGTGGATCACGAGGTTAGGAGATCAAGACCATCCTGGCTAACACAGTGAAACCCTGTCTCTACTAAAAAATACACACACAAAAAAAAATTAGCCAGTCGTGGTGGCAGGCGCCTGTAGTCCCAGCTACTCAGGAGGCTGACGCAGGAGAATGGCGTGAACCTGGGAGGCTGGAGCTTGCAGTGAGCCGAGATCGCGCCACTGCACTCCAGCCTGGGCGACAGAGCAAGACTCCATCTCAAAAAAAAAAAAAAAAAAAAAAGAAGAAGATTTGTACAAAAGAAAGTGATCACCTCACTGTATTTTTTTTTAGTTAAATTTGTTTATATACATTGTTATCAGCCATACATATTATCTTTAAAGGTAAAATAATTTACCTTGTGAAATATACCTTCTAGCTTTTTCTTACATTCATCTCTTTACAACACCACTTGTCAAAGTTGTAATATCCTTTCAAGACCCATTTAAAACAATGAGCCTCCCTGAAACTTTTCCAAACCAGGCCATTCCTTCTACGCATGTCGTATTTGTGTCATCTTTCGTATGTAGGATCACTGTCTTATAGAGCTGTCAATTAAATGTGTGTAATCCAAGGGTCAGCATACTTCCCTTCTGACCCCCTGCTGCCACAGACTGGTCAGGATTATCTTTTACTAATATATTTAAAAGAGAAGAGCATTATCTGAAATCCATTACTGGTCATTACCCAGTTGTTGCTCTTCCCCACGGCTGACTGTTCAGTCCCAGGTCTTTTTACATTTTGAGGCTTAGCACTTCCCTAAACTAGTGGCTTCAGTGGTCTACTGCAGAGGTTCTTGATCCTTATACACTGTTATCAAGTGTTGGGAGTAAATTAAGGGAATCCATGCAGCATGGGCATAATATAGAACTATATGCTTCACATGACAGTCCCCACAGACTAGAGAAAAATATATAAAGACACAAATCAACTTTGTAGAGGGGATTTGTTTATGCATACCCCAGGACATAGTTACCTTTGAGTTTTTCACTCCTGTGAGAGTGATTCCTTCAAACCACCAAGCAAGTATGACTGCGTTTCAGAAAGCCCCACGTCTCCCCATAATTACTAGTCATGTAAGTGATCCAACCCATTTCCTTCATTTTAAGTATTTGAAATGCAATAATCTTCAGCAGCATATTTTGCGAACCAAAACTGTTCAGTCTAGTAGATCATCATCTGAAAGGGTGGGATAGAGTAGAAAAGTTTAAAATAAATGTTGTCACTTTAGGTAATTATTTTTTTTACTGTGAGGAGTATTACATATTCTCCTTGGTTATCTAATTGGGAACCTCAATATTGATTCTAACAAGCAAACACACACACACACACACACACACACACACCACATCTCAAATATTGACCGTATTCATATGCTCAAAGACAGTCAAAAGAAGAAAATCACTTTCCTAAACATAATATACTCTGTTTGGTACCCTGCCCATAATGGGATTATTGCTTCAAAATAACTAGAATCAAAATATTTCTTCCTCATTGTTATAAATACAAGGCACATGCTTATTACAAATATATTAATGGTTTACTTTGTAAAGATCTGGTAGGAGATTTGAAATTAATATTTTTCTGTACTTAAAGGCAGATTTCAATGTTAGAGTAGGTTTACCCAAAATTATATTTTATAATAATGGCCCAAATGAGAATGTATTCATCTCATATAAAAACAAACCTCCAGATTATAGAAAAGTACAAAAGTTTGCTTTCAATTCTATGAAATGTATCATTTCCTCTTCAAGGTAAGATTCATTGAACTTTCCTTATTCATATTTGTATCTCTAATCTTATTACACAGTTGCTATTTAGTAAATGCTTTTATAAATAGTGATCATAAAGACACACACACACACACAAACACAATTGATAACACAGGATGGACTGAAAATAGAAAGTGTGCTGTAATTCATTGTCCTTCCACCCATGGAATAATTCATTCTTTTTCTATTCACTTTCTCATCTTGTTCGACATCAGTTGAATAAAATTTGCAGTTAAGTGAAGAAGTCATATATGTAAAGAAGCTCGGATATGATAATGGGAGAGGCTTTATCATAGCACTATTAGACACTAGGGAAGCATGAGCAACAAATCTGCCTGGGACCAGAGGAAACTTCCATGAAGACAATTTTTGTGGCAAAACGTGTCTGCTGATCTTTCAACCATCATATTATTCTGTCAGGGCTTTTAAGAAACATTTGTTGTCCATTCAGTGTTTTCTAAAAGACTGATTGACTGCCGTAGTTGGGGAGATGTATTCAATTGAAGCCCTAAGAAAGTGCAACCAATGAAAACATGTTTTCTCATTGAATGTTTTGTCCAACAACCTAGAAAAATAAAATTATAAGAGTGTAGACAGTCATATTAAAGATCTGGATAATGAAAGTTCAATAAAACATTTCCACTCTGAGACCTCACTTTAGAGACTTATTTTGTTTTTCTTTTTGTGTTACTGTTGTTGGCTTTACAGCCAATATACCTATTTGAAACCTCCACAGATGACCCTTAAATGAAGCCAATGCTTTTATGCACTTTCAGCCTCAGGCTAACATATCTTATTTACATTTTCACAAAGGAAATAGTTTTTTATTTCTTTGCATTTGATTCATTTTGCGTTTTTTTAAGAACTCAAGATTTTGAGTGCCATAAGTTGCCCTACCTGGGATAGTTTTTCATTGAAACTGTCATGTTTGTATACATATTAAATACATTATAAATCTGAAACAACAAATCCTAAAAACATAATAAACAAACAAAAAATGCTATTGTAGCACGGACTGGTCAAGGGACTCCATTCAGGCATCTGTTCCACCCAGTGAGTAAATAGGTTCATATGCTTAAAACTTTGGTAATGATACAGGTGGCCATAAAGCCCTTGTGCATGACAATTTATAAGCCATCATTCCATGCTAAGATTGTGGTCATGTCTTATGATACTTATTTTAACTAATAAATAAAAGTTATATCTGGATGATGTTTCTTGATAAGGAAATTATAGTGGGCTCAACTGTTATTATGTTATTTGTCTTAACAGATTATCTAATGCAGACAACAGCAGACATGTGCTCACATCTGAGAAAGAGCACTGCTTTAGAGGGTAAATTGGGCCACGCATAGCATAGGTAGAGCTTCTGATAACTAATCAGTGGATTGAAAATGTAGCACGCTAATCTCTGTGGGGGACAAAATGGCATGCCCAAATAAATTCCTCAAATAAAACTATGTGTAAATCATGCTATAGTTTGTGAAAGGTGCAAAGCTAGATAAGACACAATTCCTATTCCTAGACACTTTTCATGCAATATAGATACAGGCATAGACAAATAATCAATTGCAGTCAATGAAAATAAATGTTACTATAATAGAAGATTAGCAAAATGATGTGGAGAAGGTCAGAATATACTTTATCTAGGGTGTGGCATTTGACTTGAACCATTAGTTGAATCTGGAAATATAAAGCATATGGCCATTTTGAAGACTGAAGGAAAAGCTTCTGACTTTTTATTTCGGATGAATAAAATGAGATAAGGTTAAGAAATTGGCTGGCTAATAGACAGCATTGAAGGACAGTCAAAATAGTTTAGGGTTTCTTCTATAGGTAATTAGCAGACATTGAAGAATCTTGAGGAAGGGAGTGATGCTATCTGTCTTATATTTTAGGAAGACAAGGATAACTGGCCTGTGAGTAATTAATTGCAGAGACAATTAATTGCAATAGGGTAGAATAAATATGGTTAAGACCTGGGGCACCTATGTCGAATATAGGAGAGATGAGAATAGAGGCATTAAATAAAAGAGTCGCATGTGGTGAGTTACTGATGTAGAAGATAAAAAATAAACATAAAAAGTAACTCCCAAGGTATTGGCATTGGTATCTTGGAAGTTATTAATCAAATTGGAAACACAGATGATGATCAATTTGAAGGACAAAATGACTGGATTCCAACTAAACACTGTTGAAATCAGGGAATCTAAATTTAGAATCAAAATAAAATATAGACCTGATGTTCCTGGAAGACAGAGGGTGTACATGGAGATGTGGAAAGTATTTACAGAAGTTCCAATAGTTTAAACAAATGGTCTTGAGCCCAGAAAATCTGTCTTTGTAAATTATTTTCATTTAAAGGTTTAACAGAGATGGAGCCTCAAAATGAAATGTAGAAGCAATGGTACGACAATTAGCAAAATGCTGTGGAGAAGATCAGAACATACTTTATCTAGGAGGTGGCATTTAACTTGAACAATTAGCTGAAACTAGAAATATTACAGCATATGGTCATTTTGAAGACTGAAGAAGAATCTGACTTTTTTTGTTTGTATAAAATGTGATAAGGCTGGTAAATTAATTGGATATTAGAGGGCACTGAATTAAAAGCTTTTTAATTCAAAGAATGTAATTAACTCACTTCTTTATTTTCTTTGATTCAATTCATATGAATTTATCTATCATGTAGTAGGTTTTTACTAAATCCAGAGTTATGCAATAGTAAATAAAACATACAAGAATTCCTGTCCTAATGGTTATTACACCCCCCCTTAATAAAACATAGAAGCAGAGATATAATTTATAGCCCTCAAATGAAATAGGAACTAAAAGAAGCCCATGATTTATTTACTTTTTATACTAAGTAGGAAAATGAGCTATATTTTTTTCTTCCTTTATAGGTGGGCATTCACTTGTCAGGCAATCTCTCCTCTAAATTCCAATTCTGATGCCATCCTAGAAAGGTTTATACATGGAGTACCTAGGCCTCAGTTGCAGAGAGCACCCAGTAACACCAATAGATGCTCAACTAATGACAAATGAAAATGGAGAGGTTAAGGTTGAGGGAATGCATTGTGGCCATTCTGTACAAATCCAAAAGCCAAAAGCCAAAAGCCAGCTCTCTTTGAGTTTTTCCACATTTTTCCTTTAGAAAACAGACAAACAAACAAACAGGAGCTATTCGTTGACTTCAGGTCACTTCATAAAACTGGTAAGCCACATTTCAGTAAACATGAGAGCACAAAACAGAGATTTTAGAAGTACTAGTTTATTTTTAAACTATTAGTATAATAAAATGAAAGTATTCAAAACATTTAAAATTAATTTCATACACGATTTACACTAAGTAACTAGAGAACACATTCTACTATATGAAAAAAGATGAAATTGATGGGTGTCAATTATGTGTTTATTGTGAATTTGTTTGAAGTGAATTTATTTTTGGAAATTATTCCCTGCGTGATCTAGAGATCAAATAGTGCTTGCCATAACTACACTGTAGGGATTTTTAAAGCAGAAAATTTCTGGAAATTATTTAGTTATTATCATTTTGTTTTGGTTACCAAATTGGTGTGGTTTTCTAAAAGAGGGAATTAGAGTGAAAATAGAAAAGATAAAAAGGATTAAGGTAATTTACTGCTTGATGTAAGACTAATGAATATTTGAAAATCTCATTTGCGGCTTAGTTCAGCTTGTATTTAAACAATTCACTGAGGGTTCTTTTATATAATTGGAAATAGACATTAATAAGATCCATATCTTATGTATTTGAAACAAGTCATTTCATTATTTCACCAAACATTTATTGATTTCTCAGAATATTTTTCGTAGTTTCTGAAGACACACATTTTAGTGAGATGTGGCACCTAAATTCAAATAAATTAAAGAGCAGGGCAGCGAAGAGGCAAGTCGACCACCAATTACTCTGGGAGAAGTGGAGACACCAGTATCCTCAAAAGCAAAATGGAAGGTACCATAATCAAGAGGAGGGGAATAAAGCAATGTTTTCACAGACCATTACTATTCAGCTACTCACTGCCTGTAATAGTAGCTAAATCGTATCTGAGATTTATTCCAGCTCTCAAAATATAAAAAGTCTAAGATAATTGCAATATAGTTTTAAAAAATCTTTAAAACAAATAGAACAAGGAAGAACAATTAATGTTTTAGTCAGAGTCTTGGATCATTAATACTCTTCATGAGTAAATTCATAATTTGTTCTCCACCATGAGAATTATTCAGAGAGAAATTTCTTAAATCTGCCTGTGGCACACACTGGCTGAAAGGGATAATAAATTCATGAAAGATACAAGAACATTAAGAGTTTTGTTATTCTGGTGGCATGATTTGGGTTACTGAATGTTATAGTGTGTCGCCTGGTTAGAAAATATTTTACTTTTTTACTTCTAGTTACTGTATGGTTTTCTTGGAGAACATTTTTATTTTTATTTTTCTTGAACCATATATTGAAAATAATTAAAGACAAATAACTATTCTGAAATATGATGTCCTAAAAAGGATAAGGTTTATAATATTTTCACTCCATCGAGACTATTAAAAGAGCAAACACAATGCCACTGGACGGACAGAATGAAAGTCAATTCATCTCTGTTCAACATAATTTTCAAGCATTAAGAACATGGTGGCCTTTGTTGTAGTTCCCTGGAATACAACTATATGTGTATATATACACATATATATATACACACACATATATACACACACATATATACACACACATATATACACACACATATATACACATACCTATATATACACACACACATATATACACATACATATATACACATACATACATATATATACACATACATACATATATATAGTCCCTCTCTATATATACATATAGTTGTAGTTCTAGGGAACTACATACATATATATATATATAGAGAGAGAGAGAGAGAGAGAGAGGAGAGAGAGAGAGATTTGGAATCAGTGTCACGTCCCTAAAATGTGATTATCACTTGAGAGAAGAAGATAAGTGCTGAAACTACTGTCATACGAGACAGAATAGAGATACAGATGTGTGGAGGGAGAAGGGTATGATTATGTACCATGGATAATTTGCTGGTGAGCAAAACATTCTAGCCAGACATTAACCAGTCATTAGGATTTTGTCAAAAGATAAAGGAAGAGTATTGAATAGAGCTGGAGCAAAAAGAGCTGAGTATGCTTCAGGAGCTATTATTTATAGATGGATCATAGAGTAATTATTTCAGAATGAATAATGAAAGTTAGGGTTATAATTTGAGACAAGTTTAGAAAGCTAGGTTAGCAGAGAAAGACTATTGAAAGACTATTGAAAATAGTCTAGGATGCCTTGGCTAGTAACTAATGAAGATAAACAGATTAGCACTGATGACGTCAGTGTTCCCTTCCAATGTCATGAGTTTTCTTCTGAAGTATAGTAATTGGACTTTTTTTTTTACACTTCCAAGTTTTCCCATTGTGTGGTTTCTTTGATATGATAAGGGTTTTTTTGCAAAGAATCATAGAGAAATTAGGAATCATGTGGTTATTATACTTGAAAAAACATAGCCAATTTTGTTCCCCAGAAATTTAGAAACTAAAATATATCAGAATTTCAAGAATGATAGGAAAAGTTTCTTTTTTTTTCCTTAGGGTATATTAGCAACTCCAGTGACCCAGTTCTCTTTAAGTATTTTCAGAAGACCATATAATTTCCTCCTGTTATTTTTTCTATGTGGATCGCGCTTCAATGTTTCCTGATTCAATATAGAACATCACCATTGGGCAGTCTTACATCAAATCACCCCTTGGTAGTTGATCTTTTTTTTATTACCAATTAATTCATGATTGTCTGTGGCTCACAATTCAATGCATTGTGACCAGGGCAAAAGAACACCAAAAAAGTAAGAAAAGCATGCAGACTTAACTTTCTGTGGCTGGTTTCCTTAGAAGGAAGCAGCATGGTTGGCACCTAGAATTTTAAAAACTGCCCTCCATGACACACAACTAAATATATTCTTCTTCTCTGGATTAAAAGTCATATAAACAGCATCTGCCACAGAAAACATAAAATGGTGCACTCTGTGATTTGATGTTAATTGCCCAAAATAAGACTAAGGATAAAAATATCTAACTCCATCATGACAGTTAAATTGGCTTGATCAGCAGTAGCTATCCCCTCCCTAACACACACACACACACACACACACACACACAGGCACAAACACACACACACCATTCAGTCATTCCATTCCTCCCCAACAAATATTACTAACACTATTTTAAGCTTAGAACATAGCTTACTAATCATTAGAACTGAAAATGTTTTTAAAGTTTGTACATGCTACATAGAAATTGATCTGTTTCTGAAAAATAATGATAGCATGAAGATACACATTTAACTAATTTATAATACAGATTTAGTAGAGTCTTAAAATCTATGGTAGTCAAAATATTGCTTCCATTTCCTTATGTCTGTTTCTAATCTGTAGGAACACATCAAAAAGATGTCAAAAAGAAAGCAACTCATGAAAGTGGCACTGGGAGCCACCCTTTGCACAATTCCAACAGGTTCTTGGAGAAGACTTTATTAGGATGAAGTGCCAGGGTTTAGATTTGTATTTATGTATTGACTCAATAATTCACTCAATACATGCTTTGACATGTGTAATAGTTCCTCTTCCTTAACAATGTACTGCTCCAAAATTAGTTTATGAGGACTGAAGTCAACATGTAGACGTGTAAACTGTGGAAAATAAGGCAGACTATAATTTTACAAGCGTATGTTAAGGCTTTTATATGCCAAAAAAAGAGAGTCCGATACCATAAATCAAGAATTCTCACAATCTGAGTGGTATATGCAATCTTGATAAGTAGAAAATAAAAATCTTATCCTAGAGAAATGAATTTTCTCACATTAGGTTTTTCTGAAGGACAGTGTTACTACCAGCTATGGAGTCTAAGGTAATTGGTGATGTGTGCAGAGAATTTTAGTGACACATAATTATCTCTTCATTTCCACAACATCTAAACCAGCCCATACTGCAATTAATCGTAGCCTGTGGCCATATAGTTACAAAATACACCATTTGATCATCTGTGAAATGAAAACTGTTGATATAAGCTTTCATGAACAAACTAACAACCTCAGTGGGAGTCCAGTGAAGTGAACAGTGGAGAAGGGCACAAGCCCTCACCTGCAGCCTGACTTTGGGCAAATCTATTCTCAGATCTCACCTCCAATTTTATTAGCTTCCTGGTGTAAATAATGGTGCCTTTCTTTTTCAGTCAGACTCATTGAAATCTCATCCAATTCTTATCAAAGAGATGTACAATGGTTGAAATCCTTTTTAAGAATTAATATCATATAAAGACAGCTGCTTGTAATTGTCTGATAAAGAATTAGGACAAAGGTATCTCTTCCGAGCCTTCTCAGTGGCTAGCTATTTGACTTTGAACATGTTGCTTTACTCTTTTTCTCCATCTATAAAATGAATATATTTGACTAGATATTCCTTAAAATCTTTTCTATTTCTAAACATCTATGACTTTAAATACAAGTTAGTAGTCTGATTTTTTAAAAATACCTGAACATTTAAATATCTCCTTGCTCCTGAATTCTTCAAGTATCAGTAATATTCTTTTGATGTGTGCAAAGCTAATGAAACATTTCTTGGCCACATGATTGAAATAAGCATGTTATTCCAATAAGCAAATGAAGAACTAAAAATCTCGATAAGTAAATGAATATAGGTATTTGTTGCAAGAATTTAAAAATAAGCTGACTTTAATTTTACAGCTTGGAAGTTCTGGATGTGACTGAAAATGTAATGATCCTGAACCTAGTCTGCATTATCCACAAAGCTATTAATCTTAAAATGTTCCAAAACGTGCAGGTTTTACTTTGCTCTCTTAACACATTTTTGCATTTAAAAATCATTCACTTATAACTGATAAAAAGACTAGAGTGGCCATAGAGTTTTCAGTATGCCCCAAGGTGCTTTTTATGATAAGGTTGAATTGGAATGTGCTTCAGGAGACTATCCTTATATTAGGTCTTATGGGTGAGTGCACTGTGTCACTATGATTTATGGTACTCAACTCTGCCTGGGGAGAACATGGGTCTTTTGAGGAGTTGCAGGCATATTTTGGAGAATCATTCTGAGGCTGCTAATTGGAAATTGTCAAAATGTGTTGCTCCAGTCCCATAAGAACTTACCAGACTTACTTTACCAAACCAGCAGCAAATCTGATAACACCTATAATTCATGCATAACTGCTCATAGCTTTCAAACTGGGTTTTTAACTTGACTGAAGATAGTTTGAATATGAGTGACATCCTTGGTCAAAGTATCCTTAGGGTAATTATAGATGATGGAATAGATTCATTTTAGAAATTTCAGATGGTATTAACCCTGGGACAATTCATTCATTGTGTTTGAAAAAAGTGAGTACATTTCTGACCTTAAACAATTTATACTCTAATACAAGGGTCTATAATGGGCAAGCATTAATTTTTTTTTCAAATTTCCTGGGCTAAATGGTCTCAGTAGCAACTAGTTAACTCGGCCATTATCGACCTGAATATATGTTATGAAAAAGATAAATAATTGGGTGTGGTTTTGTTCTAATAAACCATTATGTTGAAAAACAGGCAGCCCATGGGGCATAGTTTGTCCTAGTAGTTTGTCCTCTTATGAAAAGAGAATACATGAGTATAAATCAAATAAGAAAAGCTAAGCCAAGCACAGAAAAGTAAGAAAACTGTGGATATACGTAAGAAATGACAGGAATTTCAAAGAATAAGATTTCTGTGGGCAGAAGAGGTTCCTGCAGGCATCAAAGAATAAGTGTGCATTGAAATGCTGTTCTCAAGCAAAGGATACTTTTCCTTAGGCATGTCTGAGTAAGTGGCTACTTTTGTCTTGTAATTTAAACCATACCCCAAAATACTACCTTAACCTGATCCCTTGACTTACCCTGGAATAGGGTAAAGACACTTAGAATTAGGATACTTGAGTTCAGAACTGCTATTTTATGCACTGCTCTGTGATCCCATGTTAGTTAAATTTTTGACTCTAAGTATGTGAATAAAATATCCTAGAAAAATATGGGCTTTCAGATTTACCAGAATGTACATGGAATCTAAAATTATTACAAATGATTTCTCACCATTTGCAAATAATCAGTTTAAAAAATTTGACTATTGCTTTCCCACTGCTTCAGTTGCCAGGGCTCCTCAATAATTGGTATCCTCTCCTTAGCACATTATTTGTTCTCCTGCTTTTGTCTTTACTAAACCTGTCAAAAACTGATTTCAGGAATAATCTTAGCACTAATATACATCCATCTAGCTTTTCTCCTAAATATGTATCATGGTTTTGTTTTTATTGCATTTGTGGACCAATTATTTACCCCCTCCCCATATCCATATTCTTCGACGTGCGACTTTGTACTTTCTCATAGTCTATGCCCCCATTCCTTGAATATGAAACTAACTTTGTGACTTATTTGACCAATAGAATATTAGCAGATATGATGTGTGATACAAACAGAAGTTTAATAGCATGCTTGCTAATTTTTGCTTGCCTATTTTACATTAGCTATAACCATGAGCTAGCCTGTTGGAGAAAGAGAAATATACAGAGCACTCATGTTTCCTCAGTTGTCAAGGTCATTCTAAATTGGCCAACAGCCGGCTGACACCCAGATATGTAAGTAATTTCAGTCCAAATCAATAGAATAACCTAGACAAACCACAGATTAGTAAATAAATGAATGCTTATGTTTTATACAACTGAAACTTTTTATGCAGGCTTGGTAGCATGAATGTAATATTACATAAACAATGAAGACACGTACTATTATGTGAAAATGCAAGATACCAGTTGCATAGTACTCTAAGTAATACTTATTTCAGATCTGGTGCATTTGTGGTACCAGACAAATCACTTGTTATGAAAAGCAAATAAGAACTGCACTACTCCATAAAATTATTGGAATAATCTCAGTTATGAATCTTCATTCACTCATGAATAAAGACATCCTAAACACAAAATCAATATACCATTTCTAGAGGCAGAAGGATAACATCGCATAGGTGATGTCAGCAAAAACAGGGGAGCAAGGAGCTCCAGTGGCCTATGCCTCTTCCAAAACATGGAACAACTGGTTAAAACTATCAGAATAAACCTCATAGGAACTTTGGATGACAGTCAAGGACTTACAGTAGCCAAACTAATGCTTAATCAGAATAAAGCCTCCTGTAATGAGGTGGGAAAGCTTTGTGGTATTTTAACTTGCCCTTGCCTCACTCTCTTCCCTTCCCAAAATGAGGATAGTCCATGTGCCCAATGCAGATATCTGGTTGGGAAGAAAGTAGAGTGAACCTTGTTTCCGAGGAATTTTTTGTCTGTCTGATCTGTTGTGAAAATCCCTGAAGGAGTAACAAACACAAGAGGCTTACTTTGTTTCACCTAACTTGGCACTCTCATGCTGGTAAAATGACTTTGCAAAGAATATGTTCTAAAATATTAGAGGGCAAGTAAATAAGCCACTCCTACATAGAGCAAAACATAACACTCAGGGCAAGGAACAGATGTGCCAAAAGCCTGGAAGGAAATTTTACATTATATATAATGTAAAATGTGTGTGTGTGTGTCTGCGTGTGTGTGTGTGTGTGTGTGTGTATGTGATGTCAATTGCAAAACTCAGAGTAATCACCAAGAAACATCAATACAAAATATACATAAAATTAGAAGGGAAAATGATACATAAGTACAAAAAGTAATGAAACACAAATAACACAGGAATAAAGCAATTGAGGAACAAAAATGATACGAAACATAAAGAAAAAACCTAAATAAAAAAAGTCTGCTTTACTATCACTTACTTTTATTTTTTTGATTTTTTCATTTTTTATTATACTTTAAGTTTTAGGGTACATGTGCACAACGTGCAGGTTAGTTACATATGCATACATGTGCCAGGTTGGTGTGCCACACCCATTAAATCATCATTTAACATTAGGTATATCTGTTAATGCTATCCCTCCCCTCTCCCCCAACCCCGCAACAGGCCCTGGTGTGAGATGTTCCCCTTCCTGTGTCCATGTGTTCTCGTTGTTCAATTCCCACCTATGAGTAAGAACATGCAGTGTTTGGTTTTTTGTCCTTGCAATACTTTGCTGAGAATGATGCTTTCCAGCTTCATCCATGTCCCTACAAAGGACATGAACTCATCATTTTTTATGGCTGCATAGTATTCCATGGTGTATATGTGCCTCATTTGCTTAATCCAGTCTATCGTTGTTGGACGTTTGGGTTGGTTCCAAGTCTTTACTATTGTGAATAGTGCCACAATAAACATACATGTGCATGTGTCTTTATAGCAGCATGATTTATAATCCTTTGGGTATATACCCAGTAATGGGATTGCTGGGTCAAATGGTATTTCTAGTTCTAGATCCCCGAAGAATCGCCACACTGACTTCCACAATGGTTGAACTAGTTTACAGTCCCACCAACAGTGTAAAAGTGTTCCTATTTCTCCACATCCTCTCCAGCACCTGTTGTTTCCTGACTTTCTATGATCGCCATTCTAACTGGTGTGAGATGGTATCTCATTGTGGTTTTGATTTGCATTTCTCTGATGGCCAGTGATGATGAGCATTTTTTCATGTGTCTGTTGGCTACATAAATGTCTTCTTTTGAGAAGTGTCTGTTCATATCCTTCGCCCACTTTTTGATAGGGTTCTTTGTTTGTTTCTTGTAAATTTGAGTTCATTGTAGATTCTGGATATTAGCCGTTTGTCAGATGAGTAGATTGCAAAAATTTTCTCCCATTCTGTAGGTTGCCTGTTCACTCTGATGGTAGTTTCTTTTGCTGTGCAGAAGCTCTTTAGTTTAATGGGATCCCATTTGTCAATTTTAGCTTTTGTTGCCATTGCTTTTGGTGTTTTAGACATGAAGTCCTTATCCATGCCTATGTCCTGAATGGTATTGCCTAGGTTTTCTTCTAGGGTTTTTATGGTTTTAGGTCTAACATGTAAGTCTTTAATCCATCTTGAATTGATTTTTGTATAAGGTGTAAGGAAGGGTTCCAGTTTCAGCTTTCTATATATGGCTAACCAGTTTTCCCAGCAACATTTATTAAATAGGGAATCCTTTCCCCATTTCTTGTTTTTGTCAGGTTTGTCAAAGATCAGATGGTTGTAGATACATGACATTATTTCTGAGGGCTCTGTTATGTTCCATTTGTCTATATCTCTGTTGTGGTACCAGTACCATGCTGTTTTGGTTACTGTAGCCTTGTAGTATAGTTTGAAATCAGGTAGCATGATGCCTCCAGCTTTGTTCTTTTGGCTTAGGATTGACTTGGCAATGCGGGCTCTTTTTTGGTTCCATATGAACTTTAAAGTAGTTTTTTCCAATTCTGTGAAGAAAGTCATTGGTAGCTTGATGGGGATGGCATTGAATCTATAAATTACCTTGGGCAGTATAGCCATTTTCATGATATTGATTCTTCCTACCCATGAGCATGGAATGTTCTTCCCTTTGTTTGCATCCTCTTTTATTTCATTGAGCAGTGGTTTTTAGTCCTCCTTGAAGAGGTCCTTCACATCCCTTGTAAGTCGGATTCCTAGGTATTTTATTCTCTTTGAAGCAATTGTGAATGGGAGTTCACTCATGATTTGGCTCTCTGTTTGCTGTTATTGGTGTATAAGAATGCTTGTGATTTTTGCACATTGATTTTGTGTCCTGAGACTTTGCTGAAGTTGCTTATCAGCTTAAGGAGATTTTGGGCTGAGACGATGGGGTTTTCTACATATACAATCATGTCATCTACAAACAGGGACAATTTGACTTCCTCTTTTCCTAATTGAATACCCTTTATTTTCTTCTCCTGCCTGATTGCCCTGGCCAGAACTTCTAACACTATGTTGAATAGGAGTGGTGAGAGAGGGCATCCCTGTCTTGTGCCCATTTTCAAAGGGAATGCTTCCAGTTTTTGCCCATTCAGTATGATACTGGCTGTGGGTTTGTCATAGATAGCTCTTATTATTTTGAGATATGTCCCATCAATACCTAATTTATTGAGAGTTTTTAGCATGAAGGGTTGTTGAATTTTGTCAAAGGCCTTTTCTGCATCTATTGAGATAATCATATGGTTATTGTCATTGGTTCTGTTTATATGCTGGATTTCATTTATTGATTTGCATATGTTGAACCAGCCTTGCATCCCAGGGATGAAGCCCACTTGATCATGGTGGATAAGCTTTTTGATGTGCTGCTGGATTCAGTTTGCCAGTATTTTATTGAGGATTTTTGCATAGATGTTCATCAGGAATATTGGTCTAAAATTCTCTTTTTTTGTTGTGTCTCTGCCAGGCTTTGGTATCAGGATGATGCTAGCCTCATAAAATGGGTTAGGGAGGATTCCCTCTTTTTCTATTGATTGGAATAGTTTCAGAAGGAATGGTACCAGTTCCTCCTTGTACCTCTGGTAGAATTCAGCTGTGAATCCATCTGGTCCTGGATTTTTTTTGGTTGGTAAGCTATTAATTATTGCCTCAATTTCAGAACCTGTTATTGGTCTATTGAGAGATTCAACTTCTTCTTGGTTTGGTCTTGGGAGGGTGTATGTGTTGAGGAATTTATCCATTTCTTCTAGATTTTCTAGTTTATTTGCGTAGAGGTGTTTATAGTATTCTCTGATGGTAGTTTGTATTTCTGTGGGATTAGTGGTGATATCCCCTTTATCATTTTTTATTGTATCTATTTGATTCTTCTCTCTTTTCTTCTTTATTAGTCTTGCTGGCCGTCTATCAATTTTGTTTATCTTTTCAAAAAACCAGCTCCTGGATTCATTGATTTTTTGAAGGGTTTTTTGTGTCTCTATTTCCTTCAGTTCTGCTCTGATCTTAGTTATTTCTTGCCTTCTGCTAGCTTTTGAATGTGTTTGCTCTTGCTTCTCTAGTTCTTTTAATTGTGATGTTAGGGTATCCATTTTAGATCTTTCCTGCTTTCTCTTCTGGGCGTTTAGTGCTATAAATTTCCCTCTACACACTGCTTTGAATGTGTCCCAGAGATTCTGGTATGTTGTGTCTTTGTTCTCATTGGTTTCAAAGAACATCTTTATTTCTGCCTTCATTTCGTTATGTACCCAGTAGTCATTCAGGAGCAGGTTGTTCAGTTTCCATGTAGTTGAGCCGTTTTGAGTGAGTTTCTTAATCCTGAGTTCTAGTTTGATTGCACTGTGGTCTGAGAGACAGTTTGTTATAATTTCTGTTCTTTTACATTTGCTGAGGAGTGCTTTACTTCCAACTATGTGGTCAATTTTGGAATAAGTGTGGTGTGGTGCTGAGAAGAATGTATATTCTGTTGATTTGGGGTGGAGAGTTCTGTAGATATCTATTAGGTCTGCTTGGTGCAGAGCTGAATTCAATTCCTGGATATTCTTGTTAACTTTCTGTCTCACTGATCTGTCTAATGTTGACAGTGGGGTGTTAAAGTCTCCCATTATTATTGTGTGGGAGTGTAAGTCTCTTTGTAGGTCACTCAGGACCTGCTTTATGAATCTGGGTGCTCCTGTATTGGGTGCATATATATTGAGGATAGTTAGCTCTTCTTGTTGAATCGATCCCTTTACCATGATTTAATGGCCTTCTTTGTCTCTTCTGATCTTTGTTGGTTTAAAGTCTGTTTTATCAGAGACTAGGATTGCAACCCCTGCCTTTTTTTGTTTTCCATTTGCTTGGTAGATCTTCTTCCGTCCCTTTATTTTGAGCCTATGTGTGTCTCTGCACATAAGGTGGGTTTCCTGAAAACAGCACACTGATGGGTCTTGACTCTTTATCCCATTTGCCAATCCATTTCTTTCAATTGGAGCATTTAGCCCATTTACATTTAAGGTTAATATTATGTGTGAATTTGATCCTGTCATTATGATGTTAGCTGGTGATTTTCCTCGTTAGTTGATGCAGTTTCTTCCTAGCCTCGATGGTCTTTATAATTTGGCATGTTTTTGCAGTGGCTGGTACCGGTTGTTCCTTTCCATGTTTAGTGCTTCCTTCAGGAGCTCTTTTAGGGCAGGCCTGGTGGTGACAAAATCTCTCAGCATTTGCTTGTCTGTAAAGGATTTTATTTCTCCTTCACTTGTGAAGCTTACTTTGGCTGCATATGAAATTCTGGGTTGAAAATTCTTTTCTTTAAGAATGTGGAATATTGGCCCCCACTCTCTTCTGGCTTGTAGAGTTTCTGCCAAGAGATCAGCTGTAAGTCTGATGGGCTTCCCTTTGTGGGTAACGCGACCTTTCTCTCTGGCTGCCCTTAACATTTTTTCCTTCATTTCAACTTTGGTGAATCTGACAATTATGTGTCTTGGAGTTGCTCTTCTGGAGGATTATCTTTGTGGCGTTCTCTGTATTTCCTGAATTTGAATGTTGGCCTGCCTTGCTAGATTGGGGAAGTTCTCCTGAATAATATCCTGCAGAGTGTTTTCCAACTTGGTTGCATTCTCCCCATCACTTTCAGGTACTCCAATCAGATGTAGATTTGGTCTTTTCACATAGTCCCATATTTCTTGGAGGCTTTGTTCATTTCTTTTTATTCTTTTTTCTCTAAATTTCTCTTCTCACTTCATTTCATTCATTTGATCTTCCATCACTGATACCCTTTTTTCCAGTTGATCGAATGTGCTACTGAGGCTTGTGCATTTGTCACATAGTTCTCGTGCCTTGGTTTTCAGCTCCATCAGGTCCTTTCAGGACTTCTCTGCATTGGTTATTCTAGTTAGCCATTCGTCTAATTTTTTTTCAATGTTTTTAACTTCTTTGCCATTGGTTCAAACTTCCTCCTTTAGCTGAAGAGTAGTTTGATCGTCTGAAGCCTTCTTCTCTCAACTCGTCAAAGTCATTCTCCATCCAGCTTTGTTCTGTTGCTGGTGAGGAGCTGCATTCCTTTGGAGGAGGAGAGGCGCTCTGATTTTTAGAGTTTCCAGTTTTTCTGCTCTGTTTTTTCCCCATCTTTGTGGTTTTATCTACCTTTGGTCTTTGATGATGGTGACGTACAGATGGGGTTTTGGTGTGAATGTCCTTTCTGTTTGTTAGTTTTCCTTCTAACAGTCAGGACCCTCAGCTGCAGGTCTGTTGGAGTTTGCTGGAGGTCCACCCCAGACCCTATTTGCCTGGGTATCAGCAGCGGAGGCTGCAGAACAGTGGATACTGGTGAGCAGCAAACGTTGCTGCCTGATCGTTCCTCTGGAAGTTTTGTCTCAGAGGAGTACCCGGCCGTGTGAGGTGTCAGTCTGCCCCTACTGGGGGGTGCCTCCCAGTTAGGCTACTCAGGGGTCAGGGACCCACTTGAGGAGGCAGTCTGCCCATTCTCAGATCTCCAGCTGCGTGCTGGGAGAACCACTACTCTGTTCAAAGCTGTCAGACAGGGATATTAAATCTGCAGAGGATTCTGTTGCCTTTTGTTTGGCTATTCCCTGCCCCCAGAGGTGGAGTCTACAGAGGCAGGCAGTCCTCCTTGAGCTGCGGTGGGCTCCACCCAGTTTGAGCTTCCTGGCCACTTTGTTTACCTACTCAAGCCTCGGCAATGGCGGGTGCCCCTCCCTAGCCTCACTGCCACCTTGCAGTTTGATCTCAGACTGCTGTGCTAGCAATGAGTGAGGCTCTGTAGGTGTAGGACCCTCCGAGCCATGTGCAGGATATAATCTCCTGGTGTGCCGTTTGCTAAGACCACTGGAAAAGCGCAGTATTAGGGTGGGAGTGACCCGATTTTCCAGGTGCTGTCTGTCTCCCCTTTCTTTGACTAGGAAAGGGAATTCCCTGACCCCTTGCGTTTCCTGGGTAAGGCGATGTCTTGCCCTGCTTTAGCTGATTCTGTGTGCGCTGCACCCACTGTCCTGCACCCACTTTCTGACACTCCCCAGTGAGATGAGCCCGGTACCTCAGTTGGAAATGCAGAAATCACCTGTCTTCTGCATCACTCACACTGGGAGCTCTAGACTGGAGCTGTTCCTATTTGGCCATCTTGGCTCCCTCCCAGTTACTTTTAATGTAAGTGAATTAAGCTGTCCAATTAAAAGGCAGAGAAGAACAAAATGGACGCATAAAATAAATCCATCTATATGCCGTCTGTAAGATATTCATTCAGTGTAGAATCAAGACACAGATAGGATGAAAGTGAAAATGGTGGAAAAAATATATTCAATGCAAATAATACACAAAAGAGAAATGGGCTGTCATACTAATATCAGAAAATATATACTTTAAGTCACAAATTGTTACAAGGCATCAGGAAGTATAACAGATATCAACATACACACCTAAAACCAGAACCACAGTATATATGCGGGAAAAATGGAAAGAATCAAGGGATATATAGACATTTATAAAATTATAGTTGGGAACAGCAATGTCATATTTTCAATGCATGTATAATAATTAGACAAAAATAAGAAAGAAGACTTGAAAAAAGAAACAAACTAGAAATCAACTGGACGTAACTGACATACATAGAACACTCCATCCAACAACAGTAGAATACACCATTTCTCAAGTGCACATGGACCAATCTCTAGGATAGCACATATATTAATCTGCAAAACAAGTTTAATAAAATATACTAGAGCTAGTAAATTCAAAAAAGTTTCCAGATACAAAGTCAACTTTCTATACACTTATAAAGAACAATTCTAATAGAAATTAAACAATAATTCTATTTATAATGACACACAAAATAATATAAGAATAAATTTAATCAAGGAAATGAAAGACTTGTACAAAGAATACTTCAAAACATTGCTAAATGAAATTAAAGAAGCCCTAAATAATTGGAAAGACATTCTTTCTTCCTGGATTGGAACATTTGAGGACGTTAATATGTCTATGCATCCCAAAGCAACTTACAGATTCTATGCAATCTCTATCAAAATGCCAATGGTCTTTTTTTTGCTGAAATAGAAAAGCTAGTCTTCAAAGTCATGTGAAATTGCAAGAAACCCTGAATAGCCAAAAAAAATACTGAAAAATAATAATGTTGGAGGGCTTACATTTCCTGACTTCAAAACGTACTGCTAAGTGATCAAAAGGGTGTAGTACTGGCATAAGGATAGGCACATAGACTAATACAAGAGTGCTGAGAGTTGATGAATAAACTCATATGATCTATAGCCAATTGACTTTTGAAAGTGTCACAGCCACTCATTGGCGAAAGAGTAGTCTCTTTAACAAATGGTTGTAATAGTTACGTATCATGCAAAATAACAAAGTTGATTCTTTATTTCACATCACATACAAAAATTAACTCAGATGCATTGAAAAAGTAAATAAAAGAGCTAAAACTCTAAAACTCCTAAGATAGAACAGAAATAAATCATTACAACCTTGGATTTTACAATAGCTTTTTAGGTATAGTACCCAATGCACAAGCAACAAAAGAAGGAGAAAATCATAATTCACAAAAATGTTTAAAAAAATACATCAAAGGACACTAGAAAAACAGTGAAAAGACAATCCATAGAATAGGAGAAAATATTTGCAATCATATGTCTGATAGATGTCTATTATGTACAGTACATGAAACATTTCACTGCTCAACAACAAAAGGACAAACAATGTCATTTAAAAAATGGGCAGAAGACGAGTAGACATTTCTCCAGAGACTAATCACGTGTTCAACAAGCAAATAAAAAGATGTTCAATGTCATTTGTTAAGGCATATTTGTATAGCAGAATATTATTCAGTCATAAAAAGGAATGAAGTACTGATGTATGAATGAACCTTGATAACATTATGCTAAGTAAAAGAAGACAGACATAAAAGGTAAGTATTGCATGATTCTATTCAGATGAGCTATTCCGAATAAACAAATCCACAAAGACAGAAAGACAATTTGTTGTTCTCAGGGAGTGAGTACAGGTGGGAATAGGGGGTGACTGCTTAATGGGTATAGTGTCTCTGTGTGAGGCCATGAGAAAATCTGAAACTAGATAGTGTTAATAGTTGCACAACAGTATAAAGTATTTAACAACACTGAATTGTACCCTCTAAAATGGCTAAGAAGTTAAAGTCCATGTCATGTGAATTTTACCACAGTAACAAAACAGATAATTAATAGAAATAGTCATGTTTGTAGCTTAAGAATACATAAAACATATTACCAACATATTAATCACCTAATGATTAACAGAAGATTTCTGATAATCTCTATATATGCAAAGAGTGTGATACAATGAAACACATATTAAGAATTAAAAAGAAAAAAACCTTAGCAGGAGAATCACAGAAAAGAATTTACTTAATACTTTAGAGGATATCTACTAAAATTTTTCTTCAAATCTTATCCTCAAGGTGAATTATCGGAAGCATTTTATCTAAATTTCAGGACAAAATAATGATCTATTATGACAGCTTTTATTCTACATTATACTAGAAATGCTAGGAAGGGCAGTAATAAAATTTTAAAACACAACAACATAAGTTTATAAGAATTGGAGAAGTAGAATCAAAAGTGTAATAATGTGGATGATTTAATTATCTGTACAGTATATCCTAAAGAATCTACGGAGAAATTACTCTAATAAAGCTTAGAAAAGACACTGCCAGTAACCATATAATATTCTAGTCACTATGAAGAAACATTTTTAAAACAAGTTGCAACTAGCACTCTTCACAGCTTCACAGAAGCAATAAAACATATAAAACATTTTTTTCATTTCCAGGCATATGATCTAGAGAAATTCTTGCACATACGTATCAGAAGACTTGTACATTAATGTTTATAGAAGTATAATTTTTATAGCAAAAAATCAGAAGTAACTCATTAACAAAATGAAATATGACATAAATAAAATATTAATAAAACCATACCATATGGAACAACACAAGTAAATGTCAAAACATAAAATTGAGTAAAAACTAATAAGACACAGAAGACCATAAATAGTTTTATATGTTTTTTAATAGACCTCAAAAAAGAAAATCTAAATAAACAATGCCTTATGTAGGTATTCTTCCAATATTAAGAAAAATAAATAATTTTTAAGATAAGATAGAAAAGTGGTTCACAGTGTGAAACTTGTCAGAGTCAAAATGAAGTCACTTATGTTTAAAAAAAAAGATAGCACTAGGAAAGGCCACACAGAAAGAGTTCTTACACTTGTATGACTAATAACAAAAATTATCACAAAGGACTCTACAAAATTCTCACTCTTGCACAAAGGCCATCACAACCTTACAGGAAAAACACTTCTGCAAGCGTATCTGCCCAGCAACTGCCTGTCCAACCTCGGACTGCTGTCCTTCTTGTTCTTAGTCCTTACAGCCAAAGATAATAATTTCAAGACAATTATGTAGTCCTCATTTTCTCTTTAAAAACTGTCTTCCTTTACCTCCCTGAATATTCATATAGTTTACTACGGTATGTGTATTACCATTAGAATGATCTATTACTGCATAAACATCATTTTCTTTTAGCGACCCTCTCTCTGTTTGTTATTTAGGTTGACATACATGGTGTCTGAAACCACAGCTTGGCTTTCTGCCTTGGTGAGTCTTATCTCAGGCTGAGCCTTCATCTTTTTGTAGAAGTTCTTTATCTTATTTAGGATTTGATTTGGATACACCTGCCTTAAACAAAGGACCTTCCATTCCTCCTGAGATGATAAAATGCTTTTTGTCTGGCAAGTCCTTCCTGGTGTGAAGACAGTATATCTTTTTGGGTTGAGTACTCTAACTTCCATAGAATTTACATTCTGCCTGTAATGCAGGGCTTATCTAGGTGCACTTTTCATCTGTGTACCTAGTTTAGTCTTTTGTTTTATCTGCGTGCCTTGGTTACAGCTTTTGTGAGTACTCATCATGGGTCCTTTTAATTTAGTTTGATTCTTTTCCCTTGTTTATTTCTAAAACTTTTTTGAGAGAAAAATGAACATTATAAATGGTTGGTGCAGAATGGTTAATTAAAAGCCATCTAAAGCACGGATTTAAACTCCTGACATTCTCTGACAGAATAAGTTAAGACTTTCTTTGCTTTTGAGAGGTTAATAAGAACTTGAATGGGATTCTGAGTCATTAAGGCATGCCACATTTTCTGGGACTACAGCTGGTTACATATAATGATGGCTCATTCTTGTGCACATTTTTAAACTGATGGGCAAATTTAATCAAGGAAAATTCATAGCTTAAATGGTCAGTATTTGAACTCTAAAAAACCCTGCAACTATACAGTTAAGATGTAGAGCCATCTAAGTTTTCTCTGCTTTTTTTTCTGCTTACTTTGAATTTGCTGACTTTTCTACTAGTGTTGAGATAAAAGTCACTATTTATGGCATTCCAGTCAACATTAAAAAAAAAAAGTCTTAAAAGTTTCAAATTAATGACTACAAATTACCATAGCACCATGGTAACCAACAACCTAGACATCTTTTGGAAATGTGAATTTAGATTTGCTTGACTAACAATAACTTAGGGTGATGGAATTGTTAATTGAAAGATTAATGATCTAAAAGTAAAGAACTAGAAAAATGTGTAAACGTTAGGCTCTCAGATCAAACAAGTCAAAATCTTGAGCTCAGAGAAATAGCGTAATTTATCTCTGTCTGGTATAAAAGTTTTCATTTATTTGCCACGCAGGATCCAAAAAGAGAAAGCCAGGAAAAAAAGGTTAAAATACCTCCCCATCCACATTTGACTAGTCAAACAAACAACACCAACAGAAAAGAGATGGATTCAAGGCTACTTAGAGATTTAAAATCTGGTGTAGTTAGCCAGAAACCCCTTAGAAATTTTTAGATAATTAGATGAATGATCACTTAGATAAATGACTGCTCATTTAAAATATATAGTAATTAACCTAATTAACCCATATTCCTTTTAGTTCATGTGACATAAGTAAATCCTTAATAAATAATCAGTTTTTAAAAATATTGGTAAAATAAAAAAGGGAATGTTTTCACAATTATCAGCATACATTTTTGCCTGGGTTTAATGGTTTGCTTTATATTTGTTTCAGCTAGATATCTTAAACTGTTAGTGTTTGACATAAAGGATATAAAACTATAAACCCAGCCTAAAAGAGAATGACATTTGTTTGTGCAATTTTTGATGAATTAGCCTAATTTAGTATTGTTGGTTTAATGAAAACAGCTGTATCTTCTGGGTTATTGGCACTATACCTATGTCTTTAAGGTTCTTACTAGGTGAATACCTGATATTCACAGGTTATAAAAATGATTACAGGAAAATAACTTGAAATGATGGCTAGCTTTGGGTAATAGTTTATTTTTCATAAGTAATTTAAATAAAATGCTAAAAATAAATGATATAGTTAAATTTATGTGGAATAGATGTCTATAAGTAAACTTTTCATGTAATTTTAAAACTTTATGTTATATTAAATAATAGATTAAATAAAAGAAACTCATCAAATGTCTAGGTCATTTTGAAATAAAATTTAAAAAGAAACCCTGAAACAACTTACTAAATATAAGTTTGTTATTGGCTGTTTAGACTTTATGTAAAGACTGAATACATTTGGATCTATCAATACACATAAAAAATATATTATGGGGAAACATACTTTTGAAAATTATAAAATGGTTCTCATTTATAAAATACTAATATGTGACTGACAATTCAAGATTTCTTGCTTACTAAGGTTTGACTAATATTTAAGTTCACTGAAATTAAAAAATTGTAATTAATAAATATAATTATCTATATAAAATGTGCCAAAAAGTAAGATGTGTTTTTAATGAAAAAAATACTAAGACAAAAAAGTGCTCATTATTGAGAAAGAAAAAATAGTATTGTCTAATTCAGAGGCTATTTAAAGGTTGTTTGACAAAATTTCTTGTTTGACAAATTTTCGTCCTAAAGTAAAATGCCTGGTTATTTAAGAAAGAGGAATTATAGCACAAAGGAGAAATATAAGTATGACATCAAAATGTCTGAGCAGGTTGAAAAAAGTTCATAAAGAGGGAATTTATGATAGGAATTTTGTGGGTGGTCGAGTTGGCTGTAATTAGAAGGGAATTATATATGCTAAAGATTGAGTTTTGATATTAAAAATACACTAATACAAAATTTAAAATTTGGTCCCTGTATTAGAACAGTAAGATTTTCTTGAAATATGTACCTGCTGTTAGGCAAATGACAAGAGGTTTTGATTTTTTAACTCTGAAATCTGTTTCTTTAACTGCCATTTTTAAAATGCAAGCAGTTTCTATCTCTGCCACAGTTCTTCCTGAGATCCATTTAATTTCCCCAGTTTTGTATTAGAAATGTTGTCTTTTTTCGTTCACAGTGGTAATTTTATCTCTTGAAGTAAGTTTTGTTTACAACTTTTCAAATTTGTATCTCGATTCAACGTTTGCTGTATCTCACACTACATGGGATTTGCTCATTATGCATTATTGTCTTCAACTCTCTTTCTACCCTTAAAAAGCTATGTGTCTTCTGGGCTGGGATGAAAACTTTCTTCTTCAATGTTTTTATCAACTCCTGTAGCTTTTTTTTTCTAACCCTGATGGAGGGTTGCCACAAACCTCAAATTTGTAAAAGATGCAATGTCTGTGAAGTGCAATAAAGCAAAGAGCACTAAAAGCAAAACACAGTCAAATGAAACAAAAATGTTTAGCATGAAGGCCTAGAAAAGCAATGCTTTTCCTCCAGTATAACTTAATTCTGTACTCTTAGCTTTTGTTAATGTATCGAAATTCTTTCATGTAATAAGGATACTTCTCATACTGTTACTAAGAGACATATATATTTCCCCACTCAATGTACTAGTTTTCTTGTTTCCATTCTTCTATAATATAGTGTGCACTCATAACCTTGAACACATTCTTTCTGTCGGATTAATTTTAAGTAACTTTTCATCAGGTTTGACTTTCATGTTATAGAAATAGGCTTTCCATAAGGAGAAGCATCCACACAGGAGGTTTTTCTTTACTTTTTTGGTAACTGACCTAAAAAACACAAAGATTTTATGTTTTATCAAGATTATTTCCTATGTTTTTTTAATTAGGTTTTTGATAACTTAGAAAAATTGAGCTTTAAAATGGTTAAGGTTTTTTACATACATCTAACTTTCTGTGATGAATGTGAAGTCTTTCAGTTATCACTCTGGTTAAATGAATTACTATTATTTCCACAATGACTTGTGATTCTGTTTTGGTCGAGTATTTTGAACATTTTGATGTCTTTGGCAGGCTTCCCCAGGATCAAAATCCTAAGTTAAGTCTTTTGACCTAGAATTAACTTTAGGATTCTCCAGTTGGGCCCCTGGAAGGCATTAAAGAATGTATCTCTCATTTTGTAGATAAATTAAATTGTTAGGCTTATTTGGTAAATTATATGGGAAGCATTTTCAAATAATTGGTGATACTAGATACTCTTTCAGTTACATTTATGGGTACATTATTGATGTAAATGTTTCAAGAAGTATATACATTTATAGAAATATGATATATTAGTACTAGTTTTGGTTATGTTAAATCTTTTTAAAAGTTACATTAATATGGATTTCTTATTGAGGCGAGTGTTCTGAAAGTTATGTAAAATTTATAAAGGTCTGACGGTCCTGAGGTGGTGCTGTCAGTCAAGATTCTTGTTATTATCTTAAAATGCTTTAAAAAATCTTAAGTAATCTTAAAATAACTTAATTTTCTCTTCAGTTGGAAACTTTCATCAGATTTTTAGTTATGGCAAATATAAGTGTTTGTCATCTTTTTTTGTCATGTTTTTCAATTACCTATAGTCTAAAATTGCTTTTCATGGAAAGAACTCTAACAAACAGTCTTGAATACAGATTTCTAATAACTTTAACATTAATAGAATACAAAAAACTTTTCAGAACTCTAATAAAACTGATGGGTTCATGAAACTTGTAATCAAGATCAAGCAGAGCAAAAATTAATTACATGAAATTGAATAAATAATGAAGATATTTTTTAAGACTTTTTATATGTAACCTTACTAGTTCTTTACTTAAATGTTTTGCTTTCCAGATTTAAGGATATTTTCTTTCTTAAGCTTTCTCTAGTTTACATAAATTTGGTAAAGTACACTTTTGTGAACAAAGGTGGAAGCATTTTGTTTCTCTCCTTACTTGATTCTTCCAAAGTTTGGAATCTGTTTGTGAGCATTCTTACTTTTTGTGACAATGGGGTTTGCAGAAGTTTAATAGAAGTCTCATTTCTCTTTATAGCAAGACACAATTAGAAACATTAGGCATTTACCAAGGCTTTGTCAAGAATACTATATTTAAGAAGGTGCATCGAATGCTTGATTTTGAGGATTCCCAGCTTAACAGTGAATGAATAAAAATTGTCATTTCCCATCAGGCCCAGGAAACTTAAGTAAAGTCTGTCTTGCTTTGGTTTCCTATCCTCAAGAGGTTTTTAAATCTGAGACTTCTATATGATCAATGTAGCGAGAAATAATTACATGTCTAAAAAAAAAACACACACACAGAAAACTATGATTTTTAAATAGATATAATTTTTATAGTTATAACTGTAACTATATAAAACTGTTACTGGATTGTAGCCCTGTGAACTGTTTTCACAGTCTTCTTATCTACTTGTAGACTACACTAGATCCTGAATCATTCTAGCTTCCTCCAACCCAGTTTTCTTCCCTGAAGTTACTAAAAATGGAAACTGTTCTGTTCCTAAGACCCTATAAGCTGAATTAGATAAATTTTAAGTAACTGGGTTTCTGCTTGATGTATAAGCCACACAAAAGTTCACCAAACCACCCAGTGGCATGACCAGAGATATTCAAACTAGAAACCAAGATCAGGTATTTGACCAAGACATCAGTACAACAATCATCATTGTGAGACTCTTACCCCCCTTAATAGTACCTTTTTTACTTGGCAGGATAACAGTGTAATTGAAATTTCACAATTAGCTTCTGCTGGTAACATGAAAAAACATGGCCTAGAAGATTCTTCAGTATCCATTGGTTAAAACTATTGTCAATACTATACTGACCTCGATACACTTTTTTGGGAAAGTTGAAACCCATATATACAATACAAAAACCCCTGGCCACATGGTTACAACAGGTCTCACCTAATTCCTTATGGTCTTTTAATTTATTCAATTGGTTGTATTTAATCCTAGGTTTATGGGTCAAATGCATTTTGCAAACTGGAATTGTCATATTACTATTAATTCTTATTTTATTTTTATTGTAAAGCTTGTATCTGTTACTTGTTAAATTTTTGCAGAATTAAAGCTACTAACAGAATAATCACTGGTCTAGTACTTTGAAATAATAGTAAAGGGCTACAGAACAGACTAAATTAAACTTAATCCTGGACTCCAGGTGAACTTAGCCTGAAAGCCATTCCCTTCAAACCTCCCTTTTTGCTTAAATGTGGCTAACAATAGTTTTGACACTCATTTCTAGTTGCCAATCACTCCACCAAAACATGGGACAAGAACAACAAGGTCCATGCTGCCACCACAGAATACAAAAACCTAACTACAGGATGATCAGTTGTTTTTGGAGAAATACTGTGATCAGAAGGAAGAAATGTGAAAGATATCAGAATAAAAATCAAGTTACTATTTTAAAAAACCTGCCAAATAGAGCTAGATAAGATGTGAAGAGCGGGTTCTCACACTTGTATGAATAATAACAAAAATTATTAAAAATGACTCTACAAACTCAAAAATTTGCATGAAGGCCATTACAACCTTACAAAAAAAGAAAAATACTTTTGCAAGCAAATCTGCCAAGCAACTGCCTTTTCAACCTTGGACTGCCTTTTCAACCTTGGTCCCTCTTGTTATTAATCTTTATATCCAAGGATAATACTTTTAAAACAATTATGTAACCATTTTCATTTTTTTCTTTAAAAACCTTTGTCTTCTTTTACCTCCCTGAAATATGCTCACATGTTACTATGAAATGTGTATTTCCATTGCAATGCTCTATTCTCAAATAAGCATCATTTTCTTTTAGAGAGCCTCTCTCTGTTTGCTATTTAGGTTGACAATAGGTAGATGCAATTTTATATGTGATGATCTGATTATATAAGTAGAATTTATATTTTATAGCTAATATATACATTGCATACATACATTTAAATACACATATTTTACTTAAAACATACATATATATAACATACATTATTAATAAATAGAAATACACTTGTTACATCAATAGGAAGTCATTGCAATTCTCCAATGTTGTAACATTAGATTTATGACACAGAAAATTATCCATTGACAGAAATAAGATTGGAAAGTTATGAGCAGTTAGAGTACAAGGTCTAGGGAGGATGTTGCAGTGACACAGAACAGAAGTAATGCAGGACTCTTACAGTGAGGATGGACCAAAGTAAATGAAATTGAAAGGAGACATAGACACTTACAAAAATAATCTGCAGCAGCCATGCACCTTGAGAAGTAAGAATGAGCCATAGGTTGACAAAAAAGGGGTTTGATGACAATCTGCTTAGTTAGATCTCCAGTACCTATTCCCAACTCTTCTTGTCTAAGCTTTCTCGCCTACAAACCCCACAAAACTGAAAGAATATTATCAACAATTAATGGCATCCCTATTCCCTGAGACACAACATTATGGAAATTAGGCCAAATAATAACGCCAAAATGGGTTCTAAGTGTCCAAGTGAAAGGAAGAGTTGCACATTTTTCACTTTAAATAAAAAATACAAATAATTAAGCTTAGTGGAAAAGTCAGGTTGAAAACTGAGAGAGGCCAAAATCTAGCTTTCTTGCACCAAACAGAGAGCCAAGTTGTGAATGCAAAGGAAAAGTTCTTGAAGACAATTAACATTTCCATTCCAGTGAACACGAGAATGATAAGAAAGTAATACAGTCTTATTTCTGATATGAAGAAAGTTTGAGTGGTCCATGTAGAAGATTAAATCAGCCACAACATTCCCTTAAGACAAAACCTAATTAGTAGCAAGGTCCTAATTCTCTTCAATTCTGTGAAGGCTGAGTGAGTTGTGGAAACTACAGAAGAAAAGTTTGAAGCTAGTAGAGGTTGGTTTGAAAGGCTTATAAAAAGGAGCCAGCTCTGTAACATTAAAGTGGAAAGTAAAGCAGCAAGTGCTGATGGAGAAGATGCAGCAAGTTTCTATCAGATCTAACTAAAATCACTGATGAAGGTGGCCACACTACATAAAAGATTTTCAATGTGGACAAAACAACATTCTATTAGAAGACGTCATCAATAACTTTTATAGCCAGAGAGAAGTCATTGCCTGGCTTCAAGTCTTCAAAGGACAAGCTGACTTGCTTGTTAAGAGGCTAATGCAGCTGGTGACTTTTAGTTAAAGCCACTGCTCATTTACCATTCTGAAAATCCTGGAGTCCTTAATAGTTACACTAAATCTACTCTGTCGGTGCTTTATAAATTGAACAACAAAGTCAGAATGATAACACCTCTCTATAAAGCATGGTTTACTGAATAGTTTAAGCCCATTATGGAGGCCTATTGTTCAAAAAATAGAATTCCTTTCAAATTATTACTGCTTATTTACAATGCACAAAGAAGCCCAAGATCTCTAATGGAGAAGAACAAAGAGCCAGCCATCCTGCAGCCCATAGATCAAGGAGTCATTTCAACTTTCAAGTATCATTATTTGAGAAATAACATTTCTTAAGGTGATGGCTGTCATAGGTTTTCCTCTAATGAAACTTGGAAAATTAAATCGAAAACTTTCTGGAATAGACTGACCATTCTAGATGACATTTAGAACATTTGTGATTGATACAATGAGGTCAAGGTATCAACATTAAAAGGAGTTTGAAGAAGTTTATTCTAACCTTCATGGATGACTGTGAGGGGTTCAAAGTTTCAATGGAGGAAAAACTGAAAATGTGATGAAAATAGAGAAGTAGCATTAGAAGTAGACCCTGAAAATGTGACTGAATTGTGGCAGTCTCATGATAAATCTTGAACAGATGCAGAGTCCCTTACTGATGAGCAAAAGAACTGGTTTCCTGAGATGGAATCTACCCTTAATGAAGACACTGTGAATATTGTTAAACCACAAAGGATTCATAATATCTTTATATATAAAGCAGTGGCAGGGTTTGAGAAAACTAACTTCAATTTTGAAAAAAAGTTTTACTGCCGGTAAATGCTATCGAACAGCACCACATACTCTAGAGAAATCTTTTATGAAAGGAAGAGTCCATTGATCCTACAAAGTGCATTGTTGTTTTATTTTAAGAAATTGAAACAGCCACTCCAACTTTCAGCAACCACCATCCTGATGAGTCAGCAGTCATCAGTGTGAATGCAAGACCCTCCTGCAGCAAAAAGATTACAAATCACTGAAGGTTCAGATGATTGTTAGCATTTTTTAGCAATAAAGTACATTTTTAAATTAAAGTATATACTTTTTTAAACAAGTTGCTATTGCACACTCAAATGACTATAGTATGGTGCAAAGCTAACTTTAATAGGCACTGAGAAACCCAAAAATTCCTAAGCCTTACCTTACTGTAATATCTGCTTTACTGTCATTGTCTGGAACTGAAGCATACCATCTCCATGGCACGCCTATATTTTCAAAACCCATAGAACTGTACAACAAATGAGTGAACTCTAAGGTAAACTATGAACTCCAGTTAATAACAGCAAATTAACATTTGTTGTAGCAGATATACCGATTAATGTGAAATATTCATAATAGGGAAAACTGTGCAGTGAGGGTGTGGGCATATTTAGGAGCTCTCTGTGCTTTATCCTTAAATTCACTGTAATTTTTAAACTGTTCTAAATTAAATTTATTAATAAAAATGATCAAAGTCTCTGGACATTATTCTAAAGAAATATAGCAAATGATAAAGTATTTATTCAAGAAAATTTACTAAGACTTAGTAAGAACAGTGAGAATGTGTGACATTTGAGCCGTACCTCTTTCTGTACCTCGTATACTGCCAGCTCATCTTGGAGGAAGCTCCAAGTAAACAAGAAGACAAGGCTCTGTTTTCCCCTACATGCAAATAAATTGTTACCGTAGTCTACTAGTAAAAACAGACCTCCAGCATTTTGTCACCTGCAATTTCAGTTTGAAGAGGCCAAATTCTTAGAACAGCTAAGAAGTCAAGAACTCTTTTGTCCATTCAACCTGAAATCATACATGAAGGCTCTACCCTGGCATGGTAGGCAAAGAGTACTGCATTCTTTATTGCCCTTGCCCTAGCAGGGCAGAAATTCCACACACAGTGAGGCAGGCTGAGAGCACCAGTGGTTACCATACCCCCCAGGCTCAGAAACTTTGCCCAGGGGAGAGGGAATCCATAAGAAAATAGAGCTTCAAAACTCTCCTTAATGAAATTAATCTGAAAAAGGGTAAGGAAATCATGGCTTAAGGACACTCTCAAAAACAATAGTTTATTTTCATTTAAATCAACAAGCTCAACTATAAATCAGGCTGTTCACCAGAAAGATCAGGAAAAGAGACAGCTAGCAAAAGCACTACTAGAATCAGAGCAAACCTCAAATGCTGGACTAAAAACTACCCCTGCCAGAATTTAATTGGATCAGACAGCTGGGAATTTATACTCCAGGGCATTCTTGAAAACTACAGTGTTAAGCTGGCAGTTAGTGGAGCCTAGAGTCTAATACCAAATGAGCTACATAGTTTAACATAGACATTAGAAAAAGAGACAAAGAGAGCCAGCTAAAAATTACTGTCATTCCAGAGTGCAGGAATGACACACATGAACTGTGTGCAGGTTCATGTTTGCACCTTCTGAAGAAGAACAGCAAAGACTAACTGTGAGGGAAATTGGCTTAATTAAAATAGCCTAGTGAAGTCACAAAACGAATTAACAGAAAAGCAGTAAGACTAAGTCTCAGAGATAAGGGAGGGAAATCAGTATCCAGAGTTGTTACAATGTATTACCTAAACTGTTCAGATTTCAACAACAACAAACATTTTCAGAGAGACAAATAAATGGGAAAGACTGTCACACAATGGAAAAAAATAACAAGAAACAGAATCTGCCTGTGAGAGGAACCAGATGTCACATTTAACAAATACTTCAAAGTAATAATTGTAAATATGTACCCAAAACTAATGGAACCCATGCTAAAAGAAGTAAAAAAAAAAATTAATATCTCATTAATAAAGAGATAGAAATTATAACAAGCCAAATAAAAATTCTAGAGTTGAAAACAATAGTAACATTTTTTAATATTACAGAAATAGCACAGTGGATATGAACTGGCAGAAGAAAGAATCAACACACTCGAAGGCAATTTAATAGAGATCATGCAATCTGAAGAATGCAGGAAAAGTAGAATGAAGGAAAATGAAGGGAGCCTCAGAGAACTGTGGGACAAATTTAACTGCACCAACTATAGTGTAATGGAAGTCCTAAAATGAGAGGAAAAAGAAATGAGAAGAAAAATATTCAAAGAAATAATAATTGAAAACTTCCCAAATTGTCTAAAATATATTAATGTACATATCCAAGACTCAATTCCTATAGGTAGGATAAATGTAACAACATACATAACCATATAAATCATGGTAAATATGCTAAAAGACTAAGTTATTGAGAGGGGCAGGATAAAGCAACTCATTATATTTCAGGGAAGCCCCATACAACTTCCAGGTAATTTCCCATTAAAAACTATGAAAACCAAGGGGCAATGGGATATTATACACAAACTGACAAAGAAAAAAATCAGCCAAGCATCTTTCTAAACTATCAACAACAGTATAGAGAAACAATCTTTCAAAAATGAAGGCAACATAAAAATATTAAAAAATAAAGACAAATAAAAAAAACTGGAGAATTTGTTTTTACTTTGCATGGCCTAACAGAAATTCTAAAAGAAGTTATTCAGGCTGAAAGCAAGTAAATCCAGATGAAAACTTAAATTCCTTTTCTAAAAAAAAGAGTGCTAATAAATATTAATTATGTAATTAGTTTTTTTTAAAGTATAAATGCATATATATTCATCTTTATTCTCCTAACAGGTTTAAAATGCAATTGTTTAAAACATGGTGTACATGATTTTATTGCTTGCCTTGTAAAATACACAAATATAGAGTATTTAACAATAACATAACAAAGAACAAGTGGAGAATTAAAGTTGTATCAAAGTAAGACAGTGACACTAGTCATCTCTCAACAGGAATGTTGAGAATCAGAAACAGTAACTAGGAAAGTAAATATAAGAAATACTATGAAATAAGCATGTTTTCCTTTTTTATCAGTTCTGATTAATATTAAGTTATATTAAGTAATAATTATAGTACTGAGTTTGCAACATATAGTATGAATAACATTACTAGGATAAAAATAGGGAAGAGGAAATAGCGCTATATAGGAGTAATATTTGTGTATCTCACTGGAATTAACTTGCTATAGATCTAAATTATATTCTGATAAGTTAAGAGGTATTTGGAACCACTACAGCAACCACTAAAAATAACTAAAAATAAATATAGTGAAAAAAATTAAGGAAATTTAAATCTTACACTAGGTAATGGCCTAATGCAAAAGAAAGCAGTTAAGGAGGAATAGAGGAAAGAAAAAGAGATGGGATATAAAAAATATCTAAAAACAAAAATAACAGATGTAAAGCAATTATAACAATTAAAATGTAAAATTTTTGATAGATTAAACAATCTAATCAAAAGGCAGAGAATGGTGGATTGGATTAGAAAAAGGGATCAAATTATATACTGTCAATATGAGATACTTTAGATTAAAAAATACAAATAAGTTAGATATGCTGTTCTATACCTATAGTCCCAGCTACTCTGAAGGCTGAGGCAGGAGGATCGCTTGAGCCCAGGAGTTTGAGGCCAGCTTGGGCAACAGAGTGAGACACCCCTCTCTTAAAAAGAAAAATGGGTTGAATATAAAATGATACCATACAAACAGCAACTTATATGGAAGGAGGGCAGGGAAGTGCTGGGCAGAGGAGGGTGTGGTCCCTGGCTTAGGGCCCCACTGCCGGGTCTGTGCCCACGGACCTAGGTGAGGACAGGCACTCCTTCCTTCACATCCAAATGTTGCATTTCCCAAGACCACCCTGGCCTGCCATGCCCCCATCCTGTGCCTATAAAAAAACTCTGAGACCCAGTGGCCACCCACTCAAGCAGCTGGATGTCAAGAGGAAGACAATGGTGGAAGAAGACACAGCAGCTTGATGTCAAGAGGACACTGGTGGAAGAGCATGCTGACAGATGCCAGCAAGCCAGCAGGCCTTCAACCAGCTGAATGACAGGGAGTTTGGCTGGGACGGTCAGAGGAGAGCCCGGGCTGCTAAGTGGCCTGAATCCAGGTGAAAACCTCCTTCAAACTCCATCTCCCTTCTGGCTCCCCATCCATCTGCTGAGAACTTCCACTCAATAAAACCTTGCACTCATTCTCCAAGCCAATGTGTGATCCAATTCTTCCAGTACACCAAGGCAAAAAACCTTGTGATACAGAAAGGCCTCTGTCCTTGTGATAAGGCAGGGGGTCTAATTGAGCTAACACAGCTGCCTATGGATGGCTGAACTAAAAGAGCACTCTGTAACACACACCCACTGGGGCTTCAGCTATAAACATTCACTCCTAGACACTGCCATGGTGTCAGAGCCCAACCTGGCCATCTGCATGCTCACCCTAGTGGTTTGAGCAGCAGGGCACTGAAGAAGTGAGCCACACCCCCATCACATGCCCTGAGATGGGGATAAGGGAACTTTTCCCATTTCAACTGGGGGCTCATCCTGGATCTCAGAAGGTGAGTGTGAGTGAATACAAAACTGTAAGGCCTGCCTCTCTTCCAAAACGCTACCACCTCTCTCTCCTGCAGGTAAGAGGCTCTGTTTCCCTTCACAGAGTCTTAAAAACTCTGCCCTAACAGGGCCGGTCAAAACCCTTAGACTTCATTTTTTGTCTCTTTCACAGTTTAAAATGGCTTTTATCTCTTCCATTATAATGTTAAGAGTTTTGCTACGGACTGCAGCAATGTTACTAAGTAAAATGAGCATTTGGCTCAGCCACCAAAGGTGCAAATCAGACCAATTTTTCCTGGAGGTGCCATGTATGCCTCCTCATGACAGCCATAGGCACACACGGCTCAGGGCACCTCTCCTTATCATTTCCCCTCCGAGCTCGGGCATCTAGTGTGCCTGCAGCAGGCAAAGGCCATACCCAACAGCCAGGAGACAGGTGTGGAAGAAAGCTGTGGCAGTACCCGTGATCCCACAGGGCCACCCTCCCACAGACGGGCACTTCTTGCCCACGGCGCCAATGGAACCTTTTCTTCCCTGGCCAAGGAATTCAACCGGGTCTGAACTGGGGGAAAGATACAAGGATTAGAAAGGCCCACTTGCACTGAGCAAGAGGTTTTTCCCCCAGGGTCTCCCCCTTTTGCCCCCTTAAACTGCTTTTCTTTTTTTTCCTTTTCTGAGAGGGCTCCCCCTCCCAAATCTGTTTCTGATAGGGAAGTTAATGGAGGAACGACCCCTGCTGGCTGATAACTGCAAATTCAGCAGGGCACATTTGGGACACTAAACAGATAAAAACCAGCCCCTAAAATACCTTTTCAGTCCCGAACTTGATTCCAAGCTTCAGGCTGAGGCCCTAGAAAGAAAAACCAGGTCTGAGGGATCCGAAGCCAGGCAACAGGAACAATGTAAACAGGCAGGACCAATTCCTGCAGACTAAATGCCCCCACCCCACAGAAGGAGCCCATGGTCCATGGCATAAATAGGCCGAGGCAACTCAAAGTTTGCCGACAGCAGGAAGAAAGGGAGGCATAGTTGAGGGCAGTTGAGTCCTATTCTCTAGGTTTTCCCTGCTTCATGGGTACATACCACATCCGTACCTATGGTCAGCACCTGCCAAAGTCATCGGGGCTCAGGGATAAGAGGTGGAAAAGAAAGGGAGGATGCTTGCTTTCTCTCTCCATCACACCCTGAGTTTTTTCTGAAAGAAGGAAGAGAAATGAGGGACACCTCTATTCCCTGTCTTTCAGAATGGGCAACCAGTTCTCTTTACCACCCCCAGCTTATACTCCTCTAGAGTGTATCCTGAACCATTGGGACTGCTTTGACCCTCAGAATCTGGAGGAAAAGTGCCTCATAGCTCTCTGCACA
Source organism: Homo sapiens (assembly GCF_000001405.40). Taxonomy (NCBI): domain Eukaryota; kingdom Metazoa; phylum Chordata; class Mammalia; order Primates; family Hominidae; genus Homo; species Homo sapiens. Next base: position 35,343,970 of record NC_000002.12, read on the forward strand.
CAGGTTTGTTCAAATTATAATTTACAGCCAGCACTGGCTTGGACTCAGGAAGGAACCATTCATTTCAATACCATCCAGCAGTTGACACTTTTCTGTAGACATGAGGACAGATGGTCTGAGGCCCCATATGTGCAGGCTTTGTATACCTTGCAAGCCAAGGTGTATAAACCTTGCAAAGACCACCCTGTAACGCATGCCCACTGGGGCATTCGTTACCCCCAGCTGTGGGGTTGGAGCCTTCACAACCTGCCCATCTGCATGCTTCCCCTAGAGGTTTGAGCAGCAGGGCACTGAAAGAAGTGAGCCACACTCCCATCACATGCCCTGCAAGTGAGATGAGGGAACTTTTCCCATTTCACAAGCATAATAAAGCTAAAGTGGCTATAATAATATCAGAAAAAAATGAATTTTAAAGCAAAGAAAAATGTACTATAGATTAGGAAATTTTATAATGTTAAAAAGGTCAGTCCATCAGGAATTAATACAAATGATGAACATTTGTAGCAAATAACAAAAGCAAATTACAAATTCCCCAAAATACGTGAAATGAAAACTAAAAGAATTGCAGGAAGAAAGAAACAATTCAACAATAATAGTGGAATCCTCAATATCTAAGTTTCAACAATGTATAGAACTAGGCTGATGATCAACAAGAAACTAGAAGACACCAAAAAAACCCACACATACTAGACCTAAAAGACATCTATAGAACACGTCACCCAGAAACAGCAGAACACACATTCTTCTCAAGTGCACTGTGAGCAATTTTCAGGATAGACCATGTGTTAGGCCACAAAACAAGCCTCATTTAATTTGAATTAGTTGAAAAATATAAAGTACATTTTCTGATCACACTGTAGTGAAATTTAAAAAATAAATAGCAGAAAAAAGAGGAAATTAAGAAAAATATAGAAATTAAACAACCCACTTTTAAACAAAGAACAAGTTAAAGCAGTGGTCATGATAAAAATTAGAAAACAGTTTGAGAGAATGAAAATGAAGACACGACTTATTAAAACATAAAGAATTCAGCTAAAGTAGTGCATAAATGGAAATTTATAGCCATAAATGTGCGTATTTTAAGAAAAATTTCAAATCAACAATCTAACTTTCTACTTAAGGCACTGGAAAAAGAAAAATATATATACCTGGCAATTTGAAGGAAGAAAGTGATAAGGATTAGAACAAAAAATGATGAAATGGAGGATAGAAGAAAAGAGAGTAAACAAAATAAACAGCTGCTTATTAAAAAAAATTTTAAGTGACAAACTTACAGTTAGACTAAACAAGAAATAAGGAAGAAAAATTTACATTATTAATATCAATAATAAAAGGATAGACATTACTACCAAACTTAAGGAAATAAAAAGAATTCTAAGAGAATACTATAAAAAAACGATATGTTAACAAATTAGAACACTTAGATGAAATAGACCAATTCCTTAGAAGGCACACACTACTGAAACTGACTCTAGAGGAAATAAAAAATTCAAATAGATATTTAACAAAATAAATAGAGTTAGTAAGTAAAACATTTATCAAAAGGGAAGGCCCATGACCAGAATATTTCACTGGTAAATTCCACCAAAGAAGAATTAATTAACAATTTTTGATAAACTTAACAATTTTGATAGAAGAGGAGGAAACACTTCTCAACACATTTTATGAGGCTAGCCTTGATACCAAAGCCAGACAAAGATACCACATGAAAAGAAAACTAAAGAAGATCATTTCTTATGAATACCTATTAAAAATTCTCATCATACTAGCAAATGAAATCTAGCAATTATACACCATTTAAAAAGGGATTTGTTTCAGTAATGCAAGTTTAGTTTAACATTTAAAAATAAATAATTGTAATACTTCTCAGTAAAATAAAGGACAAAAGCCACACAATGATCTCAGTAATACATTTGACAAAATCCAACACACTTTTATGGATTAAAAAAAAATACTCAACAAACTGCAAATAGAAGGGAACTCTCTCAACAGAAAACATCATGTACAAAAAGCCCACAGCTAATATCATGCTAACTGGTAAAAGACTGAATGCTTTCCCCTTAAGCTCAGAAATAAGAAAAGGATACCCACTCTTATTGTGTCTATTTGACATTGTGCTAGAGATTCTAGCCAGATAATTTGTTTAAGAAAAATAAATAAGCAAAAAGCATCTAAGTTGGAAAGGAAGAAGTAACACTCTTTATTTGCATAGGATAATGTCTGGTACATTGGAAACCCTATGGAACCCATTAAATAATAATTAGTGCAAATAAGCTCAGCAAGATTACAGAACACAAGCTCATATAGCAAAGTCTATTGTGTTCCTATAAAGAAGCAAGGAACAAGCCAAAAATGAAATGAAGAAAACAATTATATTTATAATAGCATCAAGAAGAATAAAACTACTTACAAATAAATGTAGTAAAAGAAATCTAAACTTATACCTTGAAACCACAAAACATTGTTGACAAAAATTAAAGAAGACTATATGAATTGAAAGACTTTTATGGATCAGAAGACTGAATATTTTTGGGGGGCATAGGGATAATGAAAATGTTCTAAAATTGATTCTGGTAATAATGGATGCTCAACTCTTTGAATATATTAAATGCCATTCAATTGTATAATTTACATGTCTGAATTATATGATATAAGAGTTTTCAATAAAACTGTTTAAAGATAAAAATTATCTTTCAATAAAACTGTTTTAAAAAGTTTATTTTTTATAAAACTGTTTAAAATTATTTTCAAATTGAATTATCTCTATTGTACCCTGTACAATAAATGAAATAAAACCAAATCCAGTACCCTTGAAATATAAACTCTTCTAATGAGAAAAGCAAATCCTAAAAAGGAATGAAAAGGAGAATGATACCTAATTTCTCAGAAGACATAGAACAATCTCTTCAACATTTTAAGAAAAATATACTTTCATCCTTGAATTATATTTTCAGAAAATCATTGAGTATGCATGCACAATGAAACATTTTTCAGGCATTTAAGTTCTCAAAATTTTACTGTTACTGTAACTTCTCTTAGAAAAATATTAGAAGATATATCCAACAATATAAAAGTGTAAGAAAAGCAAATGGGAGACCCATGACCTAGAAATCAAGGTATTAGAGGAGAGACTCAGTGTAATAAGGGGACACAAGGAGCAATGTCTCCAAGAAAATATGATAAGACAGATAATACACTTGATAGATTTGACCAAGAGTTTATAATATTAAAGGTCAGCATGAAAGAATAATAGAAGTGAAATGATAATGAAATTGAAAAACTAAGTGAAAAAAAGAAGAACGTTGCAAAATAAAGTAACATAATTATAGTAGTCGATGCAGGTGTGAATAATTCTTCATTAAAAATTATAAACACTGAACTTCGAATAACCAAAAATAGTTTTATGAGAAGACATATAAAAATAAGAAGAGAATAAGTAAGGTCTAAAATAGTAATAACTAAAAAATACAAATATAAACAAATTATTTAGGGATGTGGAGGCAAATGTCAGAAGTGATGGCTTAAAAATGTGGTGCTGCTGGGTCCAGCAATCCCACTACTGGGTATCTACCCAAAAGGAAAAGAAGTCATTATACGCAAAAGATACTTGCACTCGCATGTTTATAGCAGCACAATTAGTAATTGCAGAAATATGTAACCAGCCCAAATGCTGACGAATCAACGCGTGGATAAGGAAATTGTGATCGATATATACCATGAAATACTATTTAGCCATATAAAAGGAACAAAATAATGGCATTTGTAGCAACCTGGATGGAACCAGAGACCATTATTCTAAGTGAAGTAACTCAGGAATAATGGAAAACCAAATACTGTATGTTCTCACTCATAAGTGGGAGCTAAGCTATGAGGATCCAAAGGCGTAAGAATGATACAGTGGACTTTGGGGACTTGGGGGAAAGTGTGGGAGGGGAGTGAGGGATAACAGACTACAAAGTGAGTGCAGTATATACTGATTGGGTGATGGGTGCACCAAAATCTCACGAATCACCACTAAAGAACTTACTCATGGAACCAAGCACCACCTTTTCACCCCAAACCTATGGAAATTAAGAAAAAAAAAGTGTTGATGCAGATTCATAGATGCATATGGATGAGGTACCAATTGGCTGTTTTTTACTTGTATCTTACAGTCTATTTGACTTGCTAAAGTGTCTGTATTATATCAAAGATAAAATCTGTTATATTATTTTTATTTTTGAAAAGATTTGGATTGGAGAACAGCATCAGGTCCTGAAAATAATAGTTTTCACATGTACAGGACTAAAAGGATTACTTTTCACAAAGTGAGATCAGATGTATTACTTTTAAATATTGAAGGACATTAACCTTGCTTGCTCACATTTTTGCACATCCTCAAATATACTACTCACCCACATTTCATCAGCTGTATATCTTATTTATTATAATGAAAACAAGAGCACTCAGGCTGACATGGCAGCTGTGTATTGAATGAGACAGTAAAAGGCTACACAACCGGTTGCCATAGGTTTGCATTTCTTGCAGTATTTCTAAATACCCAGCTTTGGCAGACCATTTATATACATGCTTAGCAACAATATATTATCTGTCAAATTAAAATGTATATTCATCACAGTTAGATATCATAACATTAAAAATTATAATTATTTTCTTATCTTAGATGACATGTTTTGCTTTTTTCTATAAATCGCCTTTATCTGATTTCATGATGAGTAGCTTGTTTGTGATCCTGTTCGTTTCTTTTGTTATTCTTTACTTTTGATACATTTCACTACCCTGGCTTACCTTTATTTGTGGTCTGGAATGAGAGGAACTATTCAATCGCTATATTAAGTCTCTATATTAGGATCAAACATTAAATCATTTTAATAGGATTTTCTTACATCTGAGTTTTTCATGGGCTCTATCACAAGCTGAATTGACAAGCATATTAAACTAAAACACTGGGAACTTAAAATGATTCAACCTGGGAATTAGGGATGAACAAATTCATAATCCATTTATTTATTGCTTTCAGATCCAGAAATGATTTCATCACATTTTGTCTCAACATTCAGGTATGATTTGCAGATGACTGATAACAACCATCATGTTGTGGAAAAGAACACATCTCTCAGAAAGTTACACATGCGCATCAAGTTTTTGTTTGCCCACTAAGCCCAGGTATTTTATCTACTACATTGAATTCAATTTCGGTCTCAAAATAATAGGTTAAAACTCTTCAAGAAATAGATTATATTACTGAAATGTTCCATTTGTTTAATATACAAGAAATCACATAAATGGTCTTTACTAGCATTAATATCAACAAAAAATGTTATTTTATCCATTATTTGCAATGATTATTTTAGTACGTTGACTCTTTGCTGTTGGTTTATTTAAAAATGGTAAAGCAAAGTTTTTCGCTTACTGACCATTTCTCCAAAGAGTGCACTGAAAACTATTATTGCTCTATGGCTGAGGTTTTACTGTATTTACAATTTACATTATTATCTTTAATATAGAACCAAGATGCGGTAGAATTTTGTTATCTTCCTACTATTTTCTGTGAATAAAGCAGTGAGTGCACGGGCACTTAGGTGTAAACTTTTATTCATGTCCCAGCACCCTCTCTTGCATCATCGCTCCATCAGCCTTGATTCCAATAAAACCATGTATATCTACATCAAGGCTTACAAATAATAAATATGTAGTACTCACTATATACGTACCAAGAATGGATTCATACATTGCACAATTGTAGCCAAATTTAAGTTTAAATGTCTGCAAGTCTGCACACATGATAGTACTTGCGTTTCCAATTAAGGGACTTAATATGTGATTTTCAATGATGGCATTTGATAAAATATTTTGGCAATAGTTCCCTTTGTTTTTCTACAAGGACACAATTTAACTTTGTTGCTGGTTTCTGAGCTACTTTACAAGCAATTGACTAATTTCTGTTAAAAGAAAAACAACTTCAAAAGGCACTTTCATAAATTTGATATCCTCTCTTTCTTTTGTAAGTTTTAGCTAGCAAAATCATCCTGGATAGCGTTACTCTGCACAGGTTCAGGAAAATCTATTGATGCAATAGAAAATTTACCGTGTTTTATTTGAGAATGACAGAAAAATAATCTATGGTTTCAAGGCACTTTGACAAATTTTGTTTAGCAGACAAGATGGTGGGGACTAGGGGAAAAGTGATTGTCTTTACAAAAAGAAATCTAATTTGTAGATATCTATATTACATAACTCAATTGTTTTTGTTTTAGATACATAGTCACCCCACCTGCATATTCACTTTTAGAGAACACACAGGTTCATTTTTTTAATTAATCATATTTCTGAACTTTATTATGCTTTATTGATAACTTCAAGTTTCAAGGTATCATTTTGAGCTAATGGAGGAATGCTTACTACAATTTAGGACATAAAGTAAAAAAACAAAAATGAAAAAGCCAATTTGGAAAATGTAAACAATAGCCCTCAAGAGATGGGAAAATACTTTGGCCAAGACAAGGATCAACCTGTAAACTGAAAGCTATATAAGAAAAACTACTCAAAGTAGTCCTTGATCCAAACAGATGCAATTTTTAAATGTATAATGGTATTTTGGTGAAAACCTGAATCTTACACACAACGAAATCCGTGAAATAACCAGGGACAAATATATCATTAATTTTTACCCCCAAACTGCCAAATTGTTTATAAACTACTTGAGAGTCCACCAGTAACCTTCTGAACACACCTTGGAAATCCCTGCTTTATGGCCTTCTCCAAATCCTACCAAATCCTAAAAGCTAAAAGCTTTCAGCAGCTCATCTGTTTCTTGCCTGTAGCAAATATTTCACTCTTTTAAGTAACCAGGTGGAAGACAGATGGAAGTCCTTAACATCCCTTCTTACAGATGCTTAAAGGAAAAAGAGAAAAAGATAAAAGAATTCCTGCATATGGATAAAAAGCAGAATCTGAGCCAGATGGAAATGCATAAACCCTGGAATCACTGTAGTATTTGGTAAGAAAGCCCTAACTTCTGTGTTCTGCATCTCTGTCTGGCCTCCCTGCAAATTTTTATTGCCCTCTGAAGACACTTTCATATTAGTTGAACAGTCCTTTGGGAGACGAAGAAAGAGTTTAGAACAGTAAATAAAAATGCACACCTCTTACTGAGAACAATCCTTATTGCTTTCTCTTATACATTGGACAGTTCTACAGTGAGCATTAGCCATAGCAATTTTAACTAGAAATTTAGCCAAAATTGCAATGAAGTAATTAATCAGCTAGAATCAGAAAATAATTAGTGTCTGATCAGTTCAATTTAGACACTTTACCTTTCTCAGTCTTTTATGTGAGAGAGCTGGCAGTTCCTGCTAATGCATACTGAGAAGGCAGGTTAGTATCACCCATGCTGGCTTTGGTAATCAAGGCGAGTTTGATGAAATGATTTTACTCAGTTACAATTTCTTCAATCAATGTATAATACATAGAAGTCTATATTTTACCAAGAAAAATCCATAAATTGACAAATTGCAGCACATTCCAAGATGCATGATTTATATTTGTTCACTCATTGTGAAAATTCATCTTTGAATTTCATGATTTTTATAAAGCTTGCTGTGCTTCCAACATGAAAAAATAATAATAATAACAACCCCAGCACTCTCAGAGGCCAAGGCAGGCAGATCACTTGAGGGCAGGAGTTTGAGACAAGCCTGGCCAACATGGTGAAACCCTATCTCTACCAATATTACAAAAAAATTAGTTGGGCATGGTGGTGTGCACTTGTAGTCCCAGCTCCTCTAGAAGCTGAGGCAGGAGCATCCCTTGAACCTAGGAGGTGGAGGTTGCAGTGAGCCGAGATCACACCACTGCACTCCAACCTGGGTGAGATAGATAGAGAGAGAGAGAGAGAGAGAGGAGAGAGAGAGAGAGAGAGAGAGAGAGAGAGAGAGAGAGAGAGAGAGAGCTATTTAATGTTAATTCTAAACTAAATAAAAAGACTATAACAGGCAACTTGTTTATTTTGAAAAGAATTTCATTTTACAGGTATTTTGAGACAATAAAATTAGTAATGCATTTAAACAACCTATCTAGTTTATGCTAGATAGTTCAGTCTAAATTGACGATTAGTCTAAACTGACCATCAGGTTTAAATTGCATGATAGCTGTTCTAACACGTACCATCCTTGACTCTCAAATAGTGTCTATATGGGTGAGAAATATAACTCCCTATAGTTGAAAATCATGATTGGAGGGTTAAATATATTTACGTTTGTTCATTTTTAAACCCTTATATTAAAATTATGTATATGATATACAGCTAATATGTCAACTTTTCATGAAAATGTATCTACAACAGCATATCTAACTGCAAACAGTGAATTTTTTTTTTTTTTTAATTGAGACGGAGCCTCGCTCTGTCGCCCAGGCTGGAGTGCAGTGGCGCGATATCAACTCACTTCAAGCTCCGCCTCCCGGGTTCACGCCATTCTCCTGCCTCAGCCTCCCGAGTAGCTGGGACTACAGGCACCCGCCACCATGCCAGGCTAATTTTTTTTTTTTTTTTTTTTTTTAGTAGAGATGGGGTTTCACCGCGTTAGCCAGGATGGTCTTGATCTCCTGACCTTGTGATCTGCCCGCCTCGGCCTCCCAAAGTACTGGGATTAGAGGCATGAGCCACCGCGCCCAGCCAAACAGTGAACTTTTAAATTTCCGCAATAATCATCATTACTCAGTCAGCGCTTATTCTTCTCCAGTTACTGTGCTACGTCCTTACATGTATTGCTCCTAACTCAATCGGCCTTATAAAGTGGACATCATTAATTTTCCTTTAGAGGTGAAGAAAATGAGTCAGGGAAAGGAAAAATAACTTGTCCGAATCACACAGAAGACAAGGACCTGAGATATTTTTTTCTTGTAATTATTCTTTGTCTGACTTGAAAGATAGTGCCAGGCTCTATAAAACTAGCTGTGTTACACATAGAGACATTTACCATGTGAGCACTGATATTATAGTATAATTGCTTATACATGGAATGTATTTCCTCCATTGGACTGGGAAGTCCTACAAAGCTATACACAAGCTTTCTTTGTATCCTTTAGCTTCATATGAACTATCCAGGTATCTTGTTATATACAGTGTCTGATTCAGTTGGTTTGAGGCTGCCCTGATAATCTGCATTTCTAACAAGCTTCTAGGTGACATAAATGCTTCTTGCCGTAAGAATCATTTTGAGTTGCAAAGCTTTACATACTTAGTCACGCAGATTTTCATGTAAGTATTCACTTAACAAATGTGCCTGAATGCAAGAATGTATGATTTCATGAATGAACAAATAGCTGTCTCAAAGATAACTAGGCAAATTCACAATGTCAGTACCTGGGAAAGTTTCCATAGGCAGCTAACTAAAAATACTTCTCATTTTAGAAAGGTAAGGAGTTACCAAAATACTTACTCAGCGCATCTACTAAAAATACAAGAAATTAGCCGGGCATGGTGGCAGGCGCCCGTAGTCCCAGCTACTCGGGAGGCTGAGGCAGGAGAATGGCGTGAATCTGGGAGGCAGAGCTTGCAGTGAGCCGAGATCACGCCACTGCGCTCCAGCCTGGGGGACAGAGCGAGACTCCGTCTCAAAAAAAAAAAAAAAAAAAAAAGCCTAGGCACCCTCTGGGACAGGCTCTGAGCCAAATGTAAATGTAAATACAATATTCTTCTCTGAGTCTTTGGTCACAACTTCCTGTGCCTGTAATGTTATCCTCCTCTCTGCTCACCACAATCAATTCCTGTCATTTTTCCTAGATCCAGTTGCTGTAATTAATATTTCCTAAACCTTTATCTGATCAATAATTCATCATTCAATTTGCCATGCACATACTTACAACAATTCATTTATTTGTCTTTCAATAAGCATTCATTGGGTACTTACTATGTACCAGGCTTTATGATGGATATTTGCCTACTACACAATATATAAAATTGCATCACGCTCATTTGATTATTAGTCTTCTTGTGTGGATTTTAAGCACATTAAAGGCAAAGATGAAAACCTTATACTTTTTGCACCCCCAGTGCTATTAGAGTATCTTGGTTACTAATAAAAATGTGTGTTTGCTAACTAAGAAATTGTTAAAACTTTGGCTATCTTAAATATAATCTAAATGTGATATAAAAACCAGTACCTTTGATGTTCATGCAAGTCTTGATTAAAATCTGAGCCAATAGATGAGACCCCTGGGTACACACTTCACAATATTGCCATTCATGTGGCCTCCTTCAAAAACATGTTCTTCGTGTCATACCCTCCACTTCTGCCAATTTTTATTCACCTCTTTCACAACCAGTTTTCTAAGGTATCTTAGGGTATTTTTTTGATATCTTTGTGAGAGTTCATATGCATTGCTCACTATGTGTTTCAGAGATACGCATATCTAGAGATTAGGCAAGAGTCTGTCAATCTGTTGAAAAGATTGAGGCCTACTTAATGAGAGAATAGAAATCATATCCCTTCAGGTTAAATTGTAGGTGTTTCCATCAGCTTGTGCCAATCGCCTACACAATTATTGCATATGATGATTCAGATATCCAGATTATAGAATCTGATTATTTGAAAGGCTGGGAAATTGTGGAAGTTTTGAAAGTCAGCAAGCGAATAAAATAACAAGTCACATCAAGAAGTTGTGGCCTGATTTAAAACAAGCACTGCTTTTATTTTCTCCTCTGACTTAAGGCGAAATAAACTGCTTGTCCTCCTAATTTCATCCCTACACAGTAATTGTAAGCTAAATTTTTATTCTATGATAGTAGAAAGAAGAATTTTAGAAATAATAATCTTTCTATGCAAGTTCAATAACACAAGTTTCCTGAGCTACTTTGTTCTTGTCTGGGTGGGTGGCAGTGATAAATGGGAGACAATGCTGGGCTTGTCACACTCCATCAATGACACAAAAATAAGCAATCCAAAAGAGTATAGAGATTTTTTTATTTCTAAAAGAATAATTCCAAATATCACTCCATGTGGAAGTAGATCATTGTAACCATTTTTACATACAATTAGTTCTACAATGCTGTCTTTGGACCTTATTGTCATGGGATTTTTAGGGTGTTGCTTCACCATTCAGAAACCTCAGTGGCTGGGGGCACCTGTGCTTGGGGTTTGCTTGTGCCTGCTGGCTCATTCCACCCACTGAGCTTATTCTGCCCACTCGGCCTGGCAGGCTGCACTCAGCTTGCGCAACCGGCCCATATCCCATGCCTACCAAGGGTGAGCCAGGGGTGGAACGGTGAGGGGTGTGTGAGCAAGTGAGTATGGGATCTGGCCACTGCTCACAGCCCAGGTGTGCCGGCTGCAGTGGGGTAGGCAGCTCTTGGACCAGACATACCACAAGGGGCCTCTGCTGTGTGTCACTGCCATGGCTCGGGGATCCCTGAGGTCTGGGATCCCAGAAGGGCCACAGCTCTTCTCTCCCTCTCATCACTCACAACATGGCAAGTGGGGAGCATGTTTCTGCCTTGTTTGTGTTATAGCACTTTAAATCCCACCATTCATTGGGTCCCAAGTCTTTGTCCCACATCCAGGAAGAATGAGGTATGCAGACAACTGGAGGGTGAGCAAGGTGGAGAGGAGCTTAATTGAGCAACAGACTGCTCTCAGGAGACACAAAGTGGGTAGCTCCTTTTCGCAAGCAGGTCATCCCAATGAGTGTGAGTCTGGCTGAATCTGGGGTTGTTATGTGTTCAGAACAGAGAAAGTGAGTGCTAATTGGTCCATGGGTGGCCAGGGGCAGGACTGGAAAAAGCACCATCAAATTGGCTGAAGCATCATCAATGAAGTTCTTTTTTTTTTGTGAGATAGAATCTCGCTCTGTTGCTCAGGCTGGAGTGCAGTGGTGCGATCTCGGCTCACTGCAAGCTCCACCTCCTGGGTTCATGCCATTCTCCTGCCTCAGCCTCCCAAGTAGCTGGGACTACAGGTGCTGACCACCATGCCCAGCTACTTTTTTGGATTTTTAGTAGAGATGGGGTTTAACCGTGTTATTCAGGATGGTCTCAGTCTCCTGACTTTGTGATCCGCCTGCCTCAGCCTCCCAAAGTGTTGGGATTACAGGCGTGAGCCAACACGCCCGGCCCATCATTGAAGTTCTTATTCTGGGTCATAAACTTTGCCTGGAACTGGCAGCCCAGTCCCCAGGCTTCAAACTGTTCCTAACCTGAAGGTGGGGTTTCATCGGGGACCCACCCCTCTGCCTAGGAACCTGTTTGCCTTTAACATGCCATCCATAGCACCCAGGCTGTGCACGTAGAAACACACCCACAGGCTAGCACCAAGCTGCCCTCAGTTCCCCCAGTACCCCACCCATGCTTGTAAGTGTCCAAAAGTCCAGAGGGGGTCGAGGTGGCAGATGGCTGGTGTGTCAGTGCTGCCATGAACATGTGCACACCCGGCCAGTTTGTGACAGCACCCCAGTTTGGCCACAACTTTGCTCCGCTCCAGAGTGGACACCAGGAGCAGGGAGAGTCCAGGGAGAGGGAGCAGGCACTGCCAAGACTGCAGAGGCAGAGGGGCTGGGCCCCTAAGAGCATAAGGATGCTGGGTCCAGAGGTGGCTGGATGGCTACAGCTGCACATGGGTGCATGGGGCTCCTGCCCTGCCAACTCAGTAGGGGGTGAGGCTCTGACTCGTTCCTAGCCCCCACTGGCTTGGCAGAGCACACAGCCCCAGCTGTGCCTCCCCCACTGCAGCTGGCATTCCCACAGTGGCTGCTCCAGATGGGTCACTGCTGCCATCATTATCAGGGCTCCTGCTCCTTGAAATTCAAGTGTATTCATGTGTTGGGGGGTGGCAATATGGTGGTGTGGTTAATTTCTCATAGAGTTTTCAGTATTTCCAGAAGAAGTCATGTTTCAAGTTGAGGAAGCTGAAGTACAGAGTGGTTAATGAATTCCTCTAATCAATGGAGTAAATTGCTAGCAAACTCAGCAGCAGGATTAAAATCTGAGAGCTCCAACGCAGTTCTTTTTGTACCATATTTTCCCACTTTAATTATAAATCACAACTGCAAAATTCCAGATGATTAAATAGTTTTCTATTAAAAAAAGGCAAGTTGTTTGGACAGCATCATTTTTTTACCTTACAGTCTTTTAAAAGTCTCTGAGTAGGTGTCTTATAGTAAGGAATCAGAGTATCTCCAGGAGATAAGTGAAGAGACAAAAGGGAAATTATGTTATTCTTGGTTGCACATTTATTGAGATTTATCTATTAGGAGGCCTTTGACTGCAAAAACCAGGATGCCCAACCAAAAGTGGCTTAGAAGATAAGGTATTTTTTACCTTAAATAATAATTCTGGAGGCACATGGCTTTTCTATAATTGGTTTCATCAACTCAGAAGTATAACTAATGACACATGTTTCTGTAGTTACATTGAGCCACCTTAACCATGGCCATGTTCTTCTCTCATTGTCACAGGATGGTTGCTTCATAAGACACATGAGACATGGCTACATCCAGGGAAGATGAAGACAAGCATTTCTCCTTGTGTCATTTTGGAGAAAATTTTTTTCCAGAAAATCACCAGTTGGCTTTTCCTCTGATCCCATTGTCCAGAATGGGGTTTTCGTATAGTAGGCTGAGAAAGAAAGAATCTAGAATTTTGGGCTCTGTGGAGGTAGATAGGATTCAGCCTAAATAAGGTAGTAGAGTGATTGGGCCACAGAAAGTGTATGACATATAGGAAGTGCAGGTATTTCAAACAGATACCATTATTCATCCTAACGGCTACCAAAATCCAAATATTATCATTTATAATGGTATTTACAAGATATTTTTAAACTTTCAGGAACTCAATTGTAGAATTTCATATTTTAGCTTTTAAATTCACTTTTACTATAATATTTGTATATTTCTATGTAAACCCAGTAATTTATGTCTGTGGGAAATAAGCCAATTCCAAACAAATGAATAACAGGCAATTGGTAGATGAGGCTAATAGGTTAATACACACAAATACACACACACACCCACACACACTTTAACATTAAACATTTTATGACATATTCTGTAGACATCAAATAAACGTTATTTGAAAAATACCATAGAATATCAACCTTTCTTCTTAAGAGACAATGAAATAGATCTCACCACTATGTGGGTGGTTGGTTAAGATTAAGGCCACAAGGTATTTTTGTTTTTGAAACGGTTTGTTTCAGCTATCCTAAAACTTACATGCAAGGGCAAATAAACTGGAATAATTTCAACAATTTAAAAAGAAGCAAGGTCAAAAGAATCACCATACCTGATTTTACGATTTACTATAAATCTACTCTAATAAAGAAAATGGTATTGGTGAAGAAAGAAATAGGTTCCTGAAATGGAATAAGCAGCATATGCATAGACTTGAACAAATTTAGCCATTTGATATTTGACAAAGGTTAAACAAATAAAAAGGATAGTCTTTGCAGCAAATGGTATTGAAACAATTGGTTCTCTATAGGCAAAAACAATGAACTATGACCTAAACTTCAAACTCATGAAAAAGTCAACTCAAAATAGATCACAGATTTTTTTTTATTATCCTTTAAGTTCTAGGGTACACGTGCACAATGTGCAGCTTTGTTACATATGTATACATGTGCCATGTTGTTGTGCTGCACCCATTAACTCATCTTTACATTACATATATCTCCTAACACTATCCCTCCCCCCTCCCCCCACTCCACAACAGGCCCTGGTGTGTGATGTTCCCCTTCCTGTGTCCAAGTGTTCTCCTTGTTCAATTCCCACCTATGAGTGAGAACATGCAGTGTTTGGTTTTTTGTCCTTGTGATAGTTTGCTGAGAATGATTGTTTCCAGCTTCATCCATGTCCCTACAAAGGACATGAACTCATCGTTTTTTTGTGGCTGCATAGTATTCCATGGTGTATATGTGCCACATTTTCTTAATTCACAATAGCAAAGACTTGGAACCAACCCAAATGTCCATCAATGATAGACTGGATTTAGATTACAGATTTAAATGTAAAATGAAAAACTATAAAAATTTTAGAATAAACTCAGTAGAAAATTATCATAACCCAGAATCAGGACTAGAGTTCTGAGAAACAATCCTAATAGCATGTTCTATGACAAACATGATAAATAAGAGTTTACCAAACTTACAAGCTTTTGTTCTGTCAAAGATACTATCAAGAAAGTGAAGAAACAAGATATGGATTGAAATAAAATATTTCCAAACCATATATCCAGAAAGAATTTGGTATCAAGTCCACACAGAGAACTCTCAAAAACTCAATTAACAAGACAACAAATAATTTAAGAAATGAACAAAAGACTTGAATACACTGTTTACCAAAGATAATATAAGAATGGCAAATAATCACATAAAAAGATGTCCAACATCATTAGCTACTAGGAAAATACAAATTTAAATGACAATAAGGTAAGACTACACAACTCTTAGGGTAACTAAAATAAAATTACAGACTATACAAAATGCAGACAGGGATGCAGAGCAACTGGGACTTTCAGGTATTGCCTGTGGGAATGTGAAATGTTATAGCCACTCTGGAAAACTGTTTAGCAATTCTTATAAATTTAGACATAGACTTAGCATTTAATCCAGCAATCTCATTCCTGAGTATTATACCCTTGAAAAATGAAAATATTTGTTCATGCCAAAACATATACATGTATATTTACAGCAGCTTTACTTATCATTTCTAGAAGTTGGAAACAACCCAAATGACCTTTAAAGGGTCATTTGTATAAACAAATTCTGGTATATCTATACCATGGGACACTATTCAGCAATGAAAAGAAACAAACTGTGGTCACAGGCAGAAATTTGGAAGAATATTAAGAACATTGTGATGAGAGAAATCTGTCCCCAAATTTGAGAGTATCAAGGAAGCAAGTACTATTAAAGACAGCATAGGTTGTGGGGGAAGAGAGGGGGGTGTGTTTGGGAAGAAGCATATGGGGTAGGAATTCTGGGGTGGCTGGCAAAGTTTTTTCTTGACCAATATGATGGTTGCAAAATTATTTGACTTGAAACAGTTTATTAAGGTATGAATTGTGGATTTGTTCTTTTCAGTTCAGTGAGTTTTGCTTTATATATTTTATAGCTTTTTTGTTCTATTATACACATTTAGGATTACTACATTTTGGCAGATTGATCTTTATTGTTATGTAATATCTCTCCCTTTTCTTGGTAATTTTCTTTGAAGTCCACCTTATATGATATTAATATAGCCTCTATAACTTCCTTTTGATCAATTTTCCATGATATGTATTTTTACATTCTTTTGATTTCAAAATATCTATATCAAAATATTTGAAGTGAGATTCTTGAAACAATACATACTTAGTTGTTAAGTGGATTTCTTGATCCACTCTGCCAATCTCTGTATTTTAATTGAGCAGTTAGGCCATTAATATTTAATGTAATTACTGATTTGTTAAGATTTAAATCTTCCCTTGTATGTTTGGTTTGCCGATTGTTCTCTCTTAAATTTTCTGTTATGGAATTCTAATAATTTCTTTACATGCCATAACCTCTGAGAACATTCACCTCACATTATTAGTATATGAGTAACATGGTTAGTGACTATAAAGGAGAAGAAAGCTCAGGATTACATAGACTTTTTCACATTACCTGGTGTGGAGGGGAGAAAGAGTGCAACATGCAGGGGTTTCTGTTGCACAGCTAAGACAAACCAAGACAAAAGGCTGTAATGTTACTTAATTCTTAACTGCTAGGACTCCAAAATATTTTCTAGTGAGAATGAATATGATACTTCGATTCTGAATAAACTGACCTCACATCAACTATATATCTAGTGCTAATTCTGTGGCCCTCCACCTAGAAATATTAAGATGTTGTTGCTCATTCAGAGACCAGTATATGGTTTAGACTTCCTCTTTCATAGGAGGCTCATAAATGTGTCAGACAGAGGGAGGCACCTGATTTAAAGTAGCCAATCAATAATAAGGTTATTTGTTTATAATAGCCTTAGAATGAGAAGATGAATTAGCCCAATTAGATTTTATTTCTTTGAAATCTAAATATAGTGATTAAGAAAAGAAAATAGAAACACAAAGTTATGAAAGTTAATTAACTTTAATGAGCTTATATTAATAAACTATTTTGTATCAAAGAAATATAAGAACATGGGAAACTAAGTATA
The DNA here is from genome assembly GCF_000001405.40 of Homo sapiens. Classification (NCBI taxonomy): domain Eukaryota; kingdom Metazoa; phylum Chordata; class Mammalia; order Primates; family Hominidae; genus Homo; species Homo sapiens. The sequence continues at coordinate 35,361,136 of NC_000002.12, forward strand.
GATTAAGATTTGTTGATGATAAAAATAGGGTATAAAGCATTAAACTGCTTAAAACTAACGTGTTCTCATATCGATATATCTACAGAAAAATAATGCTATTTGGGGTCATCTTACATGTAGGATAATGAGGATATCTGCAATAAACATGAGTTTTCTAGACCTTCTTGAGACCACTTAACCTTCATTACTGTTCACCTCTTTTCTCCATTATGCTAATTAAGGCAGCAAATTAACTTAAAACTTTTAATATTGTATAAACTCCAAGAGTTATTTAAAAACGTATAAAATCAATCCTGGCACAGTGGCTCACGCCTGTAATCTCAACACTTTGGGAGGCTGAGGTGGGCAGATCACCTGAGGTCAGGAGTTAGAGAACAGCCTGGCCAGCATGGTGAAACCCCATCTCTACTAAAAATACAAAAATTAGCTGGGTGTGGTTGTGGGCACCTGTAATCCCAGCTACTTGGGAGGCTGAGGCAGGAGAATCACTTGAACCTGCGAGGCAGAGGTTGTAGTGAGCTGAAATTGCACCACTGGACTCCAGCCTGGGTGACAAGAGTAAAACTCCCTCTCAAAATGAATAAATAAATAAATTAATTAATTAAATGAACATATAAAATCAGTGCAAATCTGTACTATATCGTCATACACAGTTTATCTTTGACCATTAAAACCAATCTCCTCTTCAAAGATTGTATGTCTGAGGTAGAAAAGGTACAATATATTATACAAACATAAAAATGCCTATAATAAATAATACCAGTCTTTAGGGAGGATCCATTAGCTTTTCACTGTGCATGATTCTAATAAATTAATGGACTTTGTTTTCACTTATCTTTTAATAAATGCATTGCATCAACTTTGAATGTAAATATAAGAAAGTTGATCAAACGCAACTTTGCAATAAAGGTTATTTTCATTGAGCACTTGAAAATTATATTTAAATTCTTAGTCAACACTGTAGAGAAAAAGAGTTAATTGGATAATTACACTCTAAAAATATGAGAATGTAACTCTTAACATGGCACATGATTTAATTATTAATAGGCATAATATATTTAAGGAACTCAGTTTTCATTTTGAAATATTTCAGTTTTCAAGATGACTTCGCATTGTTAGCCATAGAGCGTCTCAAGTAAGAAAAATATAAATTTCCATTTCATGTATTTCTAAGGGTATATAAAAATATTACATTAAAAAAATAAGAACTTGTCAAGTGTTGTTACTTATATTTTTATAGATCTTATAAAGTGAGATATCCCTGGTTCATTTTCTCCAACGTAGAATGCATGGAACTAATTTGTTTGCATGAATAGTTATCTGTGAAATAAATATGTGGAAGACATAGGCATGAATATTTTTTCAAAAGAAGAATTTTACACTGCATAATTACTATTATATATATTAGAGCAATGAAAGCCTTTGAAGTCAAATCTCTAATCTACATAATCACAACAGCTTCAGATGATTTACATGCATATAAAAATTGATTATTTATATTATTGTATGTATTTCTAAGTAGTTGTCAATACTATAAAGCCTCCTAAATTATATTAGAAATATGCTAATATTGGTTTTATTTTTATTCATTTAGCATTCAAAAATATGCTTTGAAAATCTACTTTTTTCAAGCACAATTTTTTTTTATTTATAGAGGACAGTGTTTTGGTTCCAAATATAAATAAATATTTATTTAATATTTGCTGAGGCAGATTCTCCTTCCCACAGTTTACTCAATTAGGCTCTTTTAGGGACTATACTAAAATGTATAGAAGTAATAAGGAAGATATTTAGTAAGTCTATGTTTTAATGACATAAAACCTCTCTGGCAAAGAACCAAATAAGCAGTCTTTATGCTGCCTCAAACATCTGCATAAATGCATAGTTTCTGAGCTTTTTAATTTCTTTTTTCTGTAGCACTTTGGCAAGGTGAGTAAATAGCATAAGTTGGCATTTTTTGAGTTTAAAATAAATGTATTTCATGTAAAAATTATTTGAGAAGCTTTGAGTGTGGGACCCCCAGTTCTAAGTGAGGTAGAGAAGGCAAACTTCCTTCTCACTGAATTCAAATATAAAACCTGGACAGGGAGCTTGGAACACATAGTTGAGGACTCAAAACCATCTAGTGGATTGGAGAAGAGCAACAGAATTCAAAGTACTACCAATGCAGCTGTCCTTCCAACAGGCAAGGCCAATTCTACTGATTTTTTCTCTCTCTCTTCCCCTCCCCCACCTCCTACCTTCTCTCTCCACCATTTATCACTCATCTTACTTCTTAGCCCCAGACACAAAATGGTAATTCCATAATGTTGCTTATGAACCCATGATTTTACCTCCTTCCCATAACTTACTCAATTATGCTTCTTTAGGGACTGTACTAAAATGTATAAATTGACCTCTCTAGCTGCATATTTGTGTATTTGATCCTAATTATTATACCAAAAACTCTGGGAACTGAGCTAATGGATGGACTTCCATCTAAGTCCCAGGCTGACCAACAGGTATAAATTAGTAATAGCACTGCAAAGGCTTTGAAAGCTTAACTAGCTTTCAGTGTGGGAACCATAGAGCACAGAAGGTGGGTTGGAATTTGTAGCCAAATCTAAACAGGATAACTGGTGAATAAAACAAAAATATTAAATCATTTGTCACAACATAAAAATTTCATATGTCATTTCAGTAAACATAAATGCAATTGCAGGTCTTCTGCATTTACAAAACTATTAAGTGTTCAGAGTTGAGATGGGAACCCTTGGTCTTGCACCCTAGATAGAACAAGATGTTTTGCCAGTCAATAGCAAAGGGAACCAGGCCACTGCCTGCCTTTTATCTCACCTTGTGCTTTAAATTTAAGTTGAGCTTCTTGATGGTGATATTAATTCAATTCCTTGTGAAATATTTAAATTGGCATCATTTGATATATTGTTTCTCTATATGCAGATGATTTATTATGGTTGTTTGCATACTCAGAATTTTCTTCTGATCATTGATTTCTCAGGTCACAAATAGCTATTTTTAAAACAGAATTTACCTGTCAGTTGGAATAAAATTGAAATCCCATTGCACACTGTGTTTCTCTAATGGCTTAAACTTGTCAGAAACTTGTATATTCCACTGAATTCTTTACTGCCATTAGTTTCTCACTGGTTTGGATTCCTTCACCTCTTCTCTCTCAAAATAAAACAAGGATTTGAAATCATCTTTCATTCTCATCTCTAAGTGAAACTGTTAAAACACACATGATCAATATGTTTGGTCACATGATTTTATTAATAGGTTTTAAGATACTTTCACTTTGCAACTTTGAAATGCCACTTAGATTTACTGTCTTTCTTGGACTACATTAAAAAAAATTATGGTGCATGTTTCTTTTCCACAAGAATTCTCATTGAATTATTGCAACTTCGATGTTATTGTATCAAAACTTTCTTCACTCACTTTTTTGACCATGTATATTTGCTGGCATTAAACCCAAACTCCCAATACTCAGAATTTTTCAATGACAAAGTTGTACATTATATACACTACTTTTGCTGTACTTGCATAGTAATCATTAGATTAAACATTTGTGTCTTCTCTAAGATACATGAAAAAATTTCTTTTGGACAGAGTCCAAGATTTTTCATTTTTGTTTGCCTAGTTCACACCACAGTGCTGGTGAATAGTAGGGATTTAGTAATTGTGGCTCAACTGTAAAGGATTTAACTTACAAATATTTATCCCCTGACTCCATTTTATACTTACTTTATTTTTTCTGTTACTACTATCACAAAGTGTTCAGATATTTTAGGCAGTATTATTATAGTTATCTTTCCATTATTATATATTATACTTAAGACGATTGTTCATGAGAATATATTAAATATACAAAAATTCATTAGTACAAAAAAGAGCTACATGAGCCACCCAAATTAATCAGATTTTCTACCTAAGTAGATCCTTAGTGGTAGCACCAATTAAATATGATGTGATTATAATTCTATCAAGACATTTATGAATACTCTGCTTGTTAATGGCTCCTAAGTTTTCCCAGACTCTAGAAATGGGTAACATTCCATTTCCATTCTGCACATGGTTTCTACACACATCCCTGCATATCTTCCTCTAAACCCCTAACTAATAAAGAATGATCCCATTTTGGGCCCCAAAGAAATACTTTCTGGTATTCAGGCCACCATATAGTTACTATGGTATTGCCTCTGATGCTCTCTTAGAGATACAGTCATGGGTCCTGAGTTGTGGCAGACCAAAGTGGGCACAATCTTCTCATTGATAGATAGATTCTATGGCCCCTCTGCTTAAGTCTGGGTAGGCCCTGTCAAAACTTTGAACAATATAGTACAAGTGACTCTGTGCTACATTTTTTTTTTTTTTTTTTTTTAGACAGAGTCTTGCTCTGTCGCCAGGCTGGAGTGCAGTGTCTCCATCTTGGCTCACTGCAACCTCCGCCTCCTGAGTTCAAGCGATTCCCCTGCCTCAGCCTCCCAAGTAGCTGGGACTACAGGTGTGCACCCCCACGCCTGGGTAATTCTTTTTTCTGTATTTTAGTAGAGATGGGGTTTCACCATATTGGCCAGGCTGGTCTCAAACTCCTGACCTTGTGATCTGCCTTCCTCAGCCTCCCAAAGTGCTGGGATTACAGGCATGAGCCACTGCACCCAGCCTGTGCTACATTTTTAGATGAAGATTTAAGACTGTTAATTTCTATTTCCTGTCCTTTTGAACACTCACTCTTAGAACCCAGATGCTATGCTTTAAGAAAGCCCAAGCAGCCTCATGAAGAGGTCCACACAAAATGTAACTGAAGTCCCTAGCCTATTGCCATTACTAAACTCCCAGGAAGCACCAGTATGTTACCCGTATGAAAGAGGCCATTGTGAAAGTGAATGAAATGATTCACTCCTATTCCCATTTCCCAGCTTAAACACTAGATGGAGCAGAGGAAACCATTTCCTATTACATCCTGCTTACAGTGCAAATTTAGGGTCAAAATAAAATATTGTTGCTGGCTGCAGACATTTGCATAAGTCACGGGGAGCAAATGTTAATCACCAAGACAATGGAGAAAATGTCTCCAGGGCATGTCAGAGACCTTTGCAGCAGCCCCTCCCATCACAGGCCTGAAGGTTTAGGAGGAAAAAATAGTTTTGTGGGCTGAGCCCAGGGTCTGTCTGCTGTGTGCAGTCTAGGGACTTGGTACCCTGGATCCCAGCTTTCCCATCCATGACTAAAAGAGGTCAAAGTATGGCTAGGGCTGTTGCCTCAGAGGGTGGAAGCCCCAAGCCTTGGCAGGTCGGATGTGGTGTTGAGCCTGCAGATGCACAGAAGTCAAGAATTGAGGTTTGGGAACCTCCACCTAGATTTCAGAAGAAGTATGGAAATGGCTGGATGCCCAGGGAGAAGTTTCCTGCAGGGGCCGGGCCCTCATGGAGAACCTCTGCTAGGGCAGTGTGAAAGGGAAATGTGGGGTCAGAGCCCCTACACAGAGTCCCTACTGTAGCACTGCCTAGTGGAGCTGTGAGAAGAGGGCCACCATTCTCCAGACCCCAGAATGGTAGATCCACTGACAGCTTGCATTGTGCGCCTGGAAAAGCCACAGACACTCAATACCAGCCTGTGAAAACAGCCAGGAGGGGGGCTATAACCTGCAAAGCCACAGGGGCAGAGCTGCCCAAGTCCTAAGGAGCCCAATTCTTGCATCAGCGTGACCTGGATTTGAGACATGGAGTCAGAGGAGATAATTTTGGAGCTTTAAGATTTGACTGCCCTGATGGATTTCAGACTTGAATGGTGCCTGTAGCCCCTTTGTTTTGGCCAATTTCTCCCATTTGCAATGGCTGTATTTACCCAATACCTGTACCCCCATTGTATCTAGGAAGTAACTAACTTGCTTTTGATTCTACAGGCTGATAGGCAGAAGGGACTTGCCTTGTCTTGGATGAGACTTTGAACTGTTTTAGTTAATGTTGAAATGAGTTGAGACTTTTGGGGACTGTTGCGAAGACATGATTGGCTTTGAAATGTGAACATATGAGATTTGGGAGGGGTCAGGCGTAGAATGATATGGTTTGGCTCTGTGTCCCACTGAAATCTCATCTTGTAGCTGCCATAATTCCCACGTGTTGTGAGAGGGATCTGGTGGGAGATGATTGACTTATGGGGGCGGGTCTTTCCTGTGTTGTTCCTGTGTTTTGAATGGGTCTCATGAGATTTGATGGCTTTAAAAATGGTAGTTGCTCTGCACAAGCTCTCTTTTTGCCTGCTGCCACCCATGAAAGATGTGACTTGCTCCTCCTTGTCTTCCACCATGATTGTGAGGCCTCCCCAGCCACGTGAAACTAAGTACAATAAACCTCATTTTTGTAAATTGCCCAGTCTTGGGTATGTCTTTAACAGCAGCATGAAAATGGATGAATACACCAATGAACCTTACTTTTGCTTTAAATGCTCACTGAGAATGTTCACTGAAGGACTGAATATGTACATTGCAAAAGGTTAAGTTAGAAATTTAGGATGTTACATTCTGGGAACCTTTATCTTTTCCCATTAAAAGCAGGGTTACTATGTAAAAAATAAATAAGATTTTCATCACAGAAGGAGCCCAAATTATAAGCCTTAGGATTTTACATAATTGCTAAAGGTGGATCACATATTTGCTTCTAATCTATTTAAAAACTACTGCCAAGATATTTAGAGCTTGTCACAATGGCACATTTTTTAATACATTAGCTATTACATATATGTGTTTCTTCCAGTGGACTTAAACATCATGAGAGAAGAGGCTGTGATTCCATATTTTTACTTCCACAGGGCTTGGTTCAGAATCTGTCATATAGCAAGTATTTGCCTGATGGACTAAATAAAATTCATACTTGTATGTAGTGCATCCTATATATACCTCTCTTATTTTCAGTTTAGGAGAAATGTAATCTTACTATTATCATAGAAAGACTAAAAACAGCTTTTGCTTCATATTTTAGGGCTTGCTTTCTTTGCATATAAGTCCAGTGGATTCTTTACTTTGTAGTATGTATGTGTTCAGACACACACACACACACATACACACACATATATACACACACACAAACACATGTGTATGTGTTAATTATACATTCTTACAGAATTATTAGTACCTGGCTTGATAAGGCATTTTTGTTAGTTTCAACTCTTGCATATATTCTGCAATTTTATTCCAACATTCTGTTGTTGTTGTTGTTTTTGGAGAAAATACAGGTAATTTTAAATAAGGTTTATCTTTTGTATTTTTTGTAACAGCATATGGTAACAGAATTGATATTTTCTAGTCTCTATTCACACCTTGACCTAACACAAAGAAATTCATATCACACATTTTAACAGTCCCACATTACATGTTAATCTTAAGGTTTTACCCCCTGTAACTCACTAGTTTTAGTGACTAATGTGAAGTGCCCTGAAAACAAACCCATCATATGGTGACTGCCAATAGTGTAGCGTTATTCTCCCCTACATACCCCGTTACATTCTGTAAATTTAAAGGGAAATTCTAATGCTAATTATCTGAGCCTAGGACTTTAAATTTAACATACAAATACGTAGATACTTGTACTTGTTTTATGTGTATTCAATTACCAGGGTTCTGACTATATTAGATTTCCAACTACTATCAGTACTGAGTATTAATATGCTGAAATATAAGCTAGTATATTCTAAATTATTATCTCCTCTTATTATTGTCTTTAGAATATTGTATGGATTTTTTTTAACCATGTATATATGCTAAATTATGTAAGAATTTTATTTCAGGATAGTAAAGATAACTTTATAAAAATCGCTATAAAAGGAGGTGTAATATTTAATAAATTCCTATAAAATGAAACCTTAATTTTTTTTTCTAAAATCAAAAGAACCTGAAATTCGTCTTTTCATGACCCATTAGGCTTTGACTGCAACCTTCTCAGTCCCTGGGAGATTCGCATTGCCAAATCACATCTAATTATGTTGAACATACCTATACGTGACTATTTTTACAAGTCTTTGAGGCTTTCTTTGGCCACACTGTCCTTTGTCTCTTTGACTCCTATTGCCACTTTGTTGTTTACTTTCCCACTTCTGAATTCCTCCTTCAAGGGCTCCAGTCCAATCGCCAGTGAGACAATTAGCCTCATTTCCTTTGGCCCCGCCCATTCTGCGTTTCTTCTTGCTTTCATGTTTCTCTTCTGTTCTTTGCTATGGACTTCAAGATTATGCATATATAAATATTTAGAAGCAACAAAGATCTTATTACCTTTCTTCAAAATTCATTTCTTTCTGCTATGTTCTGGATTGCTTTTTAAAATGTTTATTTCTAGTATTTTATTTTTATTCTTTTTGTTTCGTTTACCACAACCACCATATGAAATATTAATAAATTTTATTTTTCTCCATTTATTGCTAAAAGTCCCTCCTTCATGTTTTCCTTCTTTTGAAGGTCAAGTAGCTTCCCTGTCATTGTTTTAAGAGAAGCCATCAATTCCTGTAATGCCTTTAATTTTGGCTGACTGCAGCTGCCTTTCTTGGGTAGGATTGGACTTTTTTTATTGTACACTGTTCTTTCAGATATTTTCTATAGAAATCAAAGTTACAATTATGTTCTCACAAAAACAAAATGCATTGCATTCAATTCATATCTTGGGCAACATCTGATGTGTCTTTGAAACCCTTTTATACATTACATCATATTTCCTGCCCATAAAATGAAAACACACGTCAAAACCTCAGTTAGTCTATGTATCTTGGTGAGACTCCTAGCATAACACGCTATAACTAGATTTTTTTCCAGGCAAGGGCCTGGGGGTTAAATACCCTGGGTGGATGGAGTTGGGTATCAGTCCTTCTGCTGCACTGAAATACGTTTTTTCTTAAGGATGATGTTAGTTAAATTTTTATTGTATCTATCCCCACATGGATTTATTTTCATCTCCATAATTATATGGGAGAAAGGCAGGGCTAGACATTGGCATGGAGTAAGATAGGCATGCTATTTATTTGGAGCTCCTCCTAGTCTATATTTCATAAATATTCAACATTAAAAATAGTCCAGGTGTTATATAAATAAAGAATAACAGTATTCAAGTTGTGAACTTTGTACCAGCAATTTATCTTTAGCTCCAACATGTTTATCAAAAGTGGGACGGTGAGGTGGGGAGCCCAAAACTTGGCAGTTAAGAAGATCCATCTTCACGCAAAACAGACACTCACTGTACCTCCTGCCAAAGCCAGTACTCATGCCCCTCAGTTGTGACTAACTTGGTTCCGGCTTTGTTTCTCTTAGTCAGCACAACATTCTACAAACTCTGTGATCACACCATTGTATACCTCCTTCTCTCCCCAGGTGGTTTTACCTTTATCTCTTTTCACTCCTTACCTCTAGCTATGACCATGCTGACTCCTTCGCAGCAAGCATGACCTCCTCACAGGAAGAAAGGCATACTCATCTATAAGGTAAATAAACCAGCAAATGTATTCCTATTTTGTAAATGAGTCACCTGTAGTCCAGAAATATTAATTGACTTTTGTATCAAGATAAATGACTTTAAAAGAGGAGACTAATTTCTCAGACTCTAGGCTCCTTAAAATACTCTCTTCAAAATAGTCATTTAGCCCTATGATAAGAAAATCAGGTAATCTGAAGCTCCTTCCAATAGACTGTTTTTCATTTTCTTCTTCTAGCTAGGCAATATACAGTTCATGGGTAAGCCTACTGTAAGATAGACATAAATTGTCATACATTAATTATATTGTGATTATCCAGTGTTATTGTGTGTGTGTTAATGAAAAGTGGTTGTCAACTAGACATTTCATAGAAGTTCAAAAGTGCAAAATGAATTAAATCTTCACCTACCCATTGTTCAAAGCTCCTCTATTTTCTACAGAAAAATGAAAATGTGTGTCTGGAGGAGGGATGGCCAATATATATCTGCAAAGAGATGACAACTTGAAGCATTTCTCCTGAATAATATAGAACATAGACACAAGGGACATACTTTTCAGATTATTCGGCATACAAAAACTGAGCTCATTTATTCACAGAATTATCAAATGCATATTGATTGGCTTATAGTTGTATTCCTAATGGTTTCCACCTAAAACATCCAAATTTCCTTGTAAAGATATTACAGTGAATATTAGAAAATAGCTGAGGATATGTGTATGGAAAGTAGAGTTACAAGGAGAGAAGCCAATGGGCAGTTTTCGTCTGTCATCCCTGGCCACAGTCTGTTCTGATGGGTAGGTTTCTTGATATGATATCCAGAAACTGAGAGAAGAAGCTGAATTCGGTTAAACACGGAATTATTCTCTCACTGTCCTGCAAACACAGCTTGTACATTTTCACACAGCTGCCTCCCCTTCCCCTACTCTGATTGTAATAAATTCCCTTGTGTCTTTTATTCTTCTGTATCCTGAGTGAGTATTTCAGAGATTTACCTGAGTCTTACTTCCTCCAGCAAGCATTTTCTACATTCTTTTTAGAGAATGCTCTCTAGCTGATATGGTTTGGCTCTGCGTCTCCACCCAAATCTCATGTTGGATTGTAATTCTCAGTGTTGGAGGAGGGTCCTGGTGGGAGATGATTGAGTCATGAGGCAAGACTTCTCCCTTGGTGTTCTTGTGATATAGTTAGCACGAGATCTGGTTGTTAGAAAGTGTTTAACACTTTCCTCTTCTCTCTCTCTCCTCCTGGCCATGGGAAGATGCTTCTGCTTCCTCTGTGCCTTCTGCCATAATTGTAAGTTTATTGAGCCCTCCCCAGAAGCTTGTACAGCCCATAAAAACATGAGCCGATTAAACCTCTTTTCTTTATAAATTACCCAGTCTCAGGTATGCCTTTATAGCAGTGTGAGAACAAACAAATAATAGAAAATTGGTACCAGAGAAGTGGGGCATTGCTATAAAGATACCTGAAAATGTGCAAGCAGCTTTGGAACTGGGTAATGGGCAGAGGTTGGAAGAGTTTGAAGGGCTCAGAAGAAGACAAGAAAATAAAGGAAAGTTTAGTACTTTCTAGAGACTTGTTGAATGGCTGTGACCAAAATGTTGATAGTAATATGGACAATAAAGTCCAGGCTGAGGAGTTCTCTGATGGAGATGAGTAACTTCTTGGGTGACTTAAAGGTCACTCTTGCTATGCTTTAGCAAAGAAACTGGTGGTTTTATCCCTCTGCTCTACGTATCTGTGGAACTTTGAACTTGAGAGAGATGATTTATCATATCTAGTAGAAGAAATGTCTAAGCAGCAAAGTATTAAAGATTTGGCCTGGCTGCTTCTAACAGTGTACACTCACATGTGCACAAAGAAAGTATCTCAAACTGGAACTTAACATTTAAAAGAGAAGTAAAGCATAAAAGTTTTGAAAATTTGCAGCCTGACCATGTGATATTAAAGAAAACCCATTTTCTGGGGAGGAATTCAAGCCTGCTGTAGAAATTTGCATAAGTAAGGAGGATCCAAATGTTAATAGCCAAGACAATGAAGAAAGTGCCTCTGTGGCATTTTGGAGACCTACACAGCAGCCCCTCCCATCAGAGGCCTGAAGGCCTAGAAGGGAAAAAGGGTATCATGAGCCAGGCTCAGTGTTGCACTGCTCTGTGCAGCCTCAGGACATGGCACCCTGCATCGTGGCCACTCCATTTCCAGCTGTGGCTAAAAGGGTCTAAGGTACAGCTTGGGCCATTCCTTCAGAGTGTGCAAGCCCCAAGCCTTGGTAGCTTCCATGTGGTGATAAGCCTGTGAGTTCACAGAAGGCAAAAGTTGAGACTTGGGAGTATCTGCCTAGATTTCAGAGGATGTATGAAAACATCTGGATGTCCAGGCAGAAGTCTTCTGGAGAGGCATAAGCTCTCATGGAAAACCTCTACTAGGGCAGTGTGAGGGGAAGATGTGGGGTTGGAACCCCCACAGAAAGTCCCCACTGTGGAACTGCCTAGTGTAGCTGTGAGAAGAGCCACTGTACTCTAGACCCCAGAATAGCAGATACACCAGCAGCTTGAACTGTGTACCTGGAAAAGCCACAGGCACTCAACACCAGCCTGTGAAAGCAGCATAGGGGGCTTTACCCAGCAGAGCCACAGGGGCAGAGCTGCCCAAGGCTTGGGAGCCACCCTTTGCCTTAATGTGACCTGGAAGTGAGACATAGAGTCAAATGAGATTATTTTGGAGCTTTACGATTTAGTGACTTCCCTGCTGGATTTCTGACTTGTATGGTGTCTGTAGCCCTTTTGTTTTGGCTGATTTCTCCCTTTTGGAGTGGGAGCATTTACCCAATGCCTGTACTCCCATTGTATCTTGGAAGTATCTAATTTATTTTTAATATTACAAGCTCATAAGTGGAAGGGACTTGCCTTGTTTCAGATGAGACTTTGGAGTTGGACTTTTGAGTTAATGCTGGAATGAGTTAAGACTTTGGGAGACTGTTGAGAAGGCGTGATTGTGTTTTGAAATGTGAGAAGTACATAAGATTTGGGAGGAGCCAGGAGCAGAATGATATGGTTTGGCCCTGTGTCCCTACCCAAATCTCATGTTGAATTGAAATTCCTAGTATGGGAGGAGGGGCCTGGTGGGAAGTGATTGAATTATGGAGACAGACTTACCCCTGTTCTTGTGATAGAGTTCTCATGACATCTAGTTGTTTGAAAGTATGTAGCACTCCTCACTTCTCTCTCTCTCTCTCTCTCCTTCTGGCAATTTAAAGATGTACCTGCTTTCCCTTTCACTTCCACCATGATTGTAAGTTTCCTGACACCTCCCCAGAAGTAGAAGCTTGTACATCCCACGGAATCATGAGCCGACTAAATCTCTTTTCTTTATAAATACCCAGTCTCACGTATGCCTCTATAGCAGAGCAAGAAGACACTAATACACTAACTCTTGATTCCTTTGAGATGTGAGTAGGAGGTTCTGTTAGTCTCTCTGACTGACTAGTGAGCAGTCAGGTTAAGAGTACCTACATATGATATATAAGCTCTCCTCAGTTCTAGCACATTCTTTTCAGATTGTCATTCCTTTCCTTTATTTCATGTTTTCTTTTATTTCCTTCTTCACTACCAAATCCTTCAGAAAAACAAGTCTACATTTACCATCTTCAGTAGGGAACCACCTCCTTCTGCATTCTTGGAAACGAGTTTCTATCCATTCCATCATACTGAAGCTATTTTGTAAGATAAAAATGTGTGGTGTAATGCAAGTGTGAAATGAATATGAATTCTGTATGAGATACCAGGGTTTGCCTGTTGGCTCGGCTTGTACTAAATATGCAATTTTGAGCAAGTTATTAATTCTAGATGAGCTTCAGTTCTTTTATTTATCAAAAAGGATATAGTAATAATTCCATACATATATAAAGATAGGAATGCATATATATTTCTTGCCAATATGAAGTAATCAAAATGAGGTGTACTCTCCTGCCTTAAACATTTAAAAAATTTGGACAAAATATATATGAAATAGTAGTTTCAGCACAAGGCAGTGATCTGCAAGAGAAAAGAAACTAACAAAATGGTTCCTATGATTGTTCCACACTGCTGCCTGGAGACAATTTCCAGGCAAACTGGGGGAAACATACAGAACAGCACAGCAAAGGGGAACCCAAATAGGGCTGGCAGATTCTCTCAGTTGATAAGATACATTTGAGATGTCAGAAAGCTAATTTGCCTAGAACTTGCAGAGCACAGTACAAAGAGGACAGAATTGGATAAAGAGGAAAGAACCACATGAAGAAGAAAGTGCTGCATGGAGAGAAACCTGCAAGAGCGAGAGCCCTTGAAATATGCAAAGCGTTCTTCTTGAGGCCTCAGTTGTGTTACACGTAAATTCGGTGCATATAAAGAAAATACTCAAGACTGTGAAAGAAGCACCAGAAAGGACAAGGTGACACAGTCCTCAGAGCTCACAAAGGGCTGAGAATAGCTGAGGTTCCCACCAGCTGTAGTGAAAAACCTCATCATACATAGACCATTAAGTAGAGTTCTCAGAAAGTTTTTTTATCTCAGTAGTGGAACAAAATTAGCCCTAGACTTGAAATCACTCTGGTTCCACTTACCAGATTTTAAAAGCATGCCTCAAATGGCTTGAAATGTTTCCACTTAATTTCATATCAGTCAAAAGCTTACTATCAAAAGAACCTGCAAAATTATACAGTATCCAGAAGGATAATAACTAATGTCTGGCATCCAATTAAAAATTACCAGATATTAAAAGAATCAGGAAAATGTAACCCATAATAAGGAGGAAAACCAAGCAATAGATTTAAACCAAAATATTAACAGCTGATAGAATAAGGTATAAAACAGGTTTTATAGCTATATGCTGTATATTCAAGAAGGTAGAGTGAAGCATGAAAATGTTAAAGAGACATGGAAGATATTTAAAAGACCCAAATTGAACTTCTAGTGATGAAATAGCAAATACAAAATCATTCAGGTTAGTTGCCTATAATTCTCATTTATCTCAACTTCTTAGCAGCTTAGAGCATACATACTAAGATTTATTTAAAATTTCTTTTTCCCTTCAACTTTCACAGACCTCTCTGACCAATACTGCAAGTACCTTGGGCACAGGAAGTAATGGCAAGCTTAAATGGTCCCTGGTTGGAAACACAAGTCAAGATCAGCTTCTGAGTTAAATATTTTATTTATAGATTTAACACAGTGTCTGGCACAGTGTAAGCATGCAATAATATAAATGAAGTGAAAAAAAACTGATAGAGATAGGGATAGGAGTAAAGGGATACAGAAAAGAAAAGAAGTAAGAAGGGAAGGCGGTTTGACCAAAGGAAGGAAAAGGAAGGGGAGAAAGACTGCTGACTTAGCCATAGCACATACAACCACTTCCATTAGTTTTAAAAGCTCAAGAGAATTAACTTGTCTCATAGAGACCTAATGTAAATGTATAGGTTCATTTGCAAGACCGGATCAAGCAAACATATTTAATTATGTCATCTTCCTTAAGTGAAGGCAAATTGAAAGTATTCATTATGCAGTAGTTTAAATTCATTGAGTTAAATACCAAAGTGATATGTAATTTAAGTGTGGAGCACTCTAAAATACTACAAAGCATATGCTGAAGAAGCAGTAAATAAGAATTTATAGAGAAAAGCAAAATCTTCAGTGATGGATTGGGCACTTCAATTAACTAAATCACTCAAAAGCTAGAATTCAGTACACAAGAGAAACATACCTTAATAAGCTACCTATAAACATCCTGACTCATGAAGATGGACCATCTAGAGACTGCAGAGGCTGCTCTATTGAACAGGAGGCATATTTGAAATAACCGAAGAGCAGTCCTGCCGGAAAATAGAAGCAGGAACTTGAATTGATCTCTTCGGGCTTGAAAAACCCTTTGGCCAGAATCAAAATGGTGTTTCGCTCTATTATCCCTTTTGTGGAGGAAGAAGCAAATTATCATAAATCATGCTGTGTATGTTTGTCCCATAAAAAGAGGAGGCATCACAACCTCGCAGGGGGCACTGGTGCTTCCTCAGAGCGACTTCAGTGGGAAATAAGAAGGGAATGAGAGAACAATCACACAACACAAATCTTTAGCAAGCTGATAGCTGAAAAAAACTGTAAACCATATCAAGTTTGGGTACAGTACTCACACTATCATATTAGGGCTTATTTTCTCAAGATTGTGATACTTCACCCCAAAACCTTCTAGTGACTCTATACCTCTATTTTTTATACATATAATTAAGGTATATTTCGAGCTATAACAGGGCAATTGTTTATTCCAGAAACATTTGCTGGGTAAATAACAGTAGGTAAACCCTTGCTTCAGGAATGTTTTGTATCTTAGAAAGTGTTTTTAACATAAATTTTTAAACACACAGAAAATTTGATAAAATAGTATATTAAACACACTTATCAAAGAGTTATTAATATTTTGCTAATCTTGTTGCATCTACTTTCTGCCCTCCCACCTGTCTTCTTTCCCTCCCTCTCTCCCTTCCTCCCTCTCTCCCTTCCTTGCTTCCTTCTCTCTTTGCTAAAATATTTTAAAGTGAATCCTGGGCCGCTTATTGTCAATAAATTACTTCAGGCTATCTTTAAAAAAATGAAGACTTTCCTTAAAGACAAATCCATAATTTTTAAGATACACCTAAAATAATTGATCTTCATTCCTTAATATGCAATAACCAGTTTATAATAAAATTACCATAATTGTCTCAAAGAATATATTTTTGTTAAGTTTGTTCAAATAAGGATAAGAACAAAATATACATATGCATTTGGTTACGTCTTCTAAATTTTTTTAGTTTCCCATAGCAAATTTGTAACTAGTTTATTTGTTGATAAAACTAGATCATTTGGCCTGTAGGCTTTTGCACTTCCTAATGATTACAATGTTATATATATATATATATATATATATGTATAAAATCTATACTTTCTTTCTTTTCTTAACCAGGTAGTTAGATCTAAAGGCTTAGTGATATTTAGGTTAAATTATTTTTGTAATAAGAGGTGTCGCTCGGTACTTCCAATTGCATCGTACCAGAGAGTATGATATCTTTCTGTCTATTTCACTTTTAATGATTTTGACTTTGGTCAGTGGACTTAGGTGTTGTCAGCCTAATCCATTCATTATAAATTAATCACCAACCATTGCCTTAATGGTTTTACATCTACTTTTTTTTTTTTTTTTGAGACGGAGTTTTGCTCTTGTTGCTCAGGCCGGAGTGCCTCCCGAGTAGCTGGGATTACAGGCAACTGCCACCAGGCCCGGCTAATTTTTTTTTGTATATTTAGTAGAGACGGGGTTTCACCATGTTGGCCAGGCTGGTCTCGAACTCCTGACCTCAGGTGATCCACCTGCCTCAACCTCCCAAAGTGCTGGGATTACAGGCATGAACCACCATGCCGGGCCACAACCACTCTTAATGACTGCCTAGATACATTATTTTATTAGGAGTTAAAAAATGGTGATTTTCTAATTCCTTACTCCTTCTGCATTTATTGTCATGAGACAATGATTCATGGGTTTCCTGCATTTCTTCACATTTTGAGAGCAGTTGTGCAAATACACCTTTGCTCCAAAATACCTTTTCAAAGATGTATGTATAATGAACAGGTTCAAAAGATAGGGATGACAACTTTGTCTGGAGCATAGAGCAGGGTTTTTTTTGTGTGTTTTTGTTGTTGTTGTTGTTGTTTGCTTTTTGGTGTAATAAAGATAATGACTTCTTCCGTAGCAAAAGTTGAATAAGTTTGTTTGAAGTCCATTATAAAAGATCATCATTTCCAAAGCTTGAAGTGCCTCTCTTTTAACGGAATTCACTGTGTATGCTGACATCACCTGACCCTCATGACATTACTCTGTAGAAATTGGAGTTTGGGGAACCAATGTAAGAAAATAGCTACTGCTATTGATTAGAGTAATCAACTGTCCTTTTGGTGTTCCCCAGGAGACACTTGTCTCCTGCCAGCAGCCCCAAAACTGGCAGGCTAACTTCTGGGATTTCAAGTAAAGTATCAGGTCTTTCATAATTCTTGATACTAGCTGGGACTCTTCTACAAGGAAGAACTTTATTTTATCACATATTTGGTTCCTCTAGTGGAAGTTCCTATAGAAAAAACAGGATTATGTTTATTTTTCCATTTTTATACACAAGTTTTCAGAATGAAGTGCTATGCATCAAATCCCCAAAATTATCTATTAGTTTTCTTTTATATTTTAAGTTTTTTAGTATCACTACCAACTCGTGAAATGTTATATATTTCAGTTGTTATCATTGAAAACCATGGTTCTGATGCCAAATTGTCCCATTTTTGGCCAGTGGGGACCATTGTTAGTTTTGGTATTCATCTGATGTAATCCCATAGCTTTGGATAGATTCCTTGCTTTCTGGTCCAAATTTCTTTTTATCCCTTTCCAGTCACAGTCCTGAAATCAGTTATTTCTCCAAAGAACATGTTTGTATTTGTGGGAAATTCTACTTGGAGATTACAACTGAGATGCTAGATGTTTTTATTGCTAATGCTTTTATTGTTTCTAAATAATAAAATAAGTGAATATTTTTAGAAAAATATATGAGTTTATAATGATATTTCCAGATGAATACATTAATATTTTAGGGATTTTATTTAACTTGGATGATTTTATTTATATTTGTGTGTATTTTCTCTTATGCTAAAAATATTGGTTCCTAGTCAAATTAAATTAACTACTGATATACTATGTGTACTGTAGGTAAATGACAGATACATGAATTTTAAAATAGCAATATTAATATTACTCTAAAAATAATGCTACTGAATAAAATTTTAAAATTCTTTGTTGTCCTTTTTTTCTTAAGATATATATTCAAAACCTTATATAGTCTAACCCTAGGTTTTACCATGAATTGAAATAATTTTATGTGAATAAGATGCCAACTTTACATATAATTAATGTTTCTATTTATTTTTAATTTTCAAAGATTTCATATGGTAAATTTTCCTTTTTTGGTGTACAGTTACATACGTTTGTACACAGGCATTGATTGTTTTAACTACTATCACAGAAAGCATATAGAATGATTCTAACATTCCCAAAGAATTCCCTTTTTTACAATCAAACCTGTGCTCCACCCCTAAACCTGCCCCTTAGATATATACTATTGAACTGATTTTCTAACATGTGAATTGCAGCCAATAACAATATGTCTTCATCTGTTGGGTTTGTTGGGGGTACTTTGCTAACTATGTTTTATTTACAATGTGACTTAGGGCTTATTTTTTCTTAGTTCGTTGTGTGTGTGTGTGTGTGTGTGTGTGTGTGTGTTGTTTTTTTTTTAAGGAGAATTTAAGAATATTCTAACAGTTACACCTTTGCCTCTATCTTGCATCTGTTTGAACACCAGCTATGTCGCACTGGAAAAACATCATAGTCACAGCGCACCTAACTTACTTGAAAACATGCAGTTTTCTCCCAGGCAGTAAGAAACCAG
This sequence comes from Homo sapiens, assembly GCF_000001405.40. Classification (NCBI taxonomy): domain Eukaryota; kingdom Metazoa; phylum Chordata; class Mammalia; order Primates; family Hominidae; genus Homo; species Homo sapiens. The sequence continues at coordinate 35,380,083 of NC_000002.12, forward strand.
AAATATTTGTGAGGTGCCTATTGTATGCCAAACATTGTGCCAAGGATTTATGCTATAGTTTGAATGTGTTTTCCAAAGTTCATATGTTGGAAACTTAATCTCCAATTTAACAGTGTTGGAAGGTGGGGCCCAATGGCAGGTGTCTAGGATATGAGGGCTCTGGACTCATGAATGGATTAATGTCATTGCCATGGGAGTGGGTTTATTATAACGGTGAATTTGGGCTTCCTTGCCTCCTCTCTTGCGTAAACTCTTTTCCCCTTTGGCCTTTGCCGGGATAACCTGGCAAACAGGCTCTCACCAGATGCAGCCCCTTGATCTTGGACTTCCTAGCCTCCAGAACTTGAGCCAAAAAATGTCTATTTACTATAAATTACCAAACTTCAGGTATTCTGTTAGAGCACCACAAAACAGACTAAGATAATTTACTTCAATGTATTATCTCATTTAATTTTCATAATTAGCCTTTGAATTTAGCATTATTAAACCAATTTAATGCTAGCATATACAGTCTTGAAAAGATTAATTAACTCAGAGTCACGTAACTATGAAAAGTACAGCCCACATTCACAATGATATCTGTCTATATCTCTCTAGTTTCATCCCTCATATCTTCCTATACTTCTTCCTGTAAGGTTTAGTTAAAATTTGAACTATGTCTCTGGTTGGAGAAAAACTAGTAAGCAACTTAAAATCATTGAAATGATAATTTGTATATTAAACCTATAATTCAATAAATGTTGACCTAAATTAAAAATGTAATCTGTATAGCAAAATATCCTCCAAAATCTATATTAAGAAATACAGTTGATCCATTAACAACACAGGGATTGTGGGCACCAAACCCTCACTCACAGGGTCAAAAGTTCATATATAACTTTTGATTCCCCCAAAACTTTACTAGTAGCCTACAGTGACTGGAAGCCTTACTGATAACATAAATTGTGGATGAACACATATTTTACATGTTATATGTATTACATATTATATTTTCAGTGTATTCTCTAGTAAGCTAGAGAAAATAAAATGTTATTAAGAAAAGCATAAGAAGATAAAATATATTTACTATTTATTAAATGGAAATGATCATCATAAAGGTATTTGTTCTCATCTTCACGTCGAGTAGGCTGAGGAGGAGGAGGAAGAGGAGGGGCGGCAGAGGCAGAAGAGATGGAAGAGATGGAAGGCGAGGCAAAAGAGGCAGGCATACTTGGGATACTTTTTATTGAAAAATATACATGTATAAGTGAACTCTACAGTTCAAACCCATGTTGTTCAAGGGCCAACCTTCCAGATAAAGATGATTACTCATAATAATACCTCATTAATAGTGATAAAAATCAGATCATTGCGTTGGGTAAGAGTTAGTGAAAGAAATTACAAAGAGGACAGGGAGCTTTCTGGAGAGATAAAAATATTCCATAGCCTGATTATTGTGGTACTTACATAAATGTACACTTAATATTTGTGAAGTTTATTCTGTGCAAATTAAACCAAATTATTTATGATGCTCTAAACACAATATATGACTAGAGTGTTTACTGACTTCAAGGCCAATAAAACTCCATGGAAAATGAAAACTTAAGCCTACTAGCAAAAATAAAGTATATTGTTCCAATTGAAGTGATTTGAATTACAGTAAATCTTCTACCATTTTTGTAACTCCTCTGATTAGGGAAAATGGAGAATGTCATAACTTAATGGTTTTTGAAATTAAAGATAATAAAAATGAATAAATTCTTACAAAATTAATTTTGTGATAACACATGAATAAATGAAAGCATAAATATAGCAAAAAGTATTAATCGGTTAATTTAATTATGAATAATAACATACATATATAATTAATTTTTAAATAAGCAAAATTAATGTTTTAATTAGAAAATGTTATTTACTAAAAAATGGGAAACCTGATACATGAAACTTACAAAACTATCAAAAATTAGATTCAAAATAATATTCTATGCCATATAATTTTATTGGCAATTGCTTTTCAAATGTTTAAAAAGTGATTATTCTATAAGTGTTCCTAAACAGAAAATATAGAAAGCTTACTGATTCATTGTAGATACAGAATACAAAAATCATTCATATCAAAATAAAAATATATGCAGTTATGTGGATTTTCTTATAAAAATGCACCACAATATTAGAAAATCTACCAATCTAATGTCACATTAATATATTTAAATTTTTTAGTAAGCATCCAAATCCTGTAATTCCAATGATAAGTCTCTATATGGAGAAAAGACATGAAAAGTCTGGCTAATATTTTGTAAAAATTATTTTCATTTATTTCATTTTGAAATGAGAAGTTTCACTTCTGATAATTGCAGGGTAGCTTTTGTAAGGATTGATCCTCCCATGAAAAGCATTATAAACTGTGGACAAAATATAGAAAGGCAAACACACACATACACACTCATATCCCCCCACCCATACACACTCCAATTCACACCTACCTCTATTTGAAGATACTAGAGAGTGAACAAAAGCAAGTACAATCCGGAGAGATTTTGTTCTTTGAAAGAAGAAATGCCAGTGAGGGATTGAATGGCATACTTACTTCACAGGTTTTCCCCAAGAGAACTCTCCAGTTCACATGATCCAGCATATGAAGAACTCAAGCAGAAAACTTCAGTCTTACTGTCTTCAGACTTCAGGAGACAAAGTTCAAGATTGCCTGAGAAGTTAGAAATTGAAGAGGAGAATCCCAGTAAGGAGGGGGCCATGGATGGAGAGTTCACAAACCTACTTATAAACTTTCTTCCAATTTTTAGTAGTTCATGAGTTGTGCATGTGAAGGGGGTGGATACTATGAAATCTGATGTAATACACCCCCTGGAAGGCTGAATAAGTTAAGCAGAAGTTTCAACTGTCATCAATCTCAGAAAAAGAACAGATACTGTCATTTCAATGCTACCAAGTTAAAATGCCTTGGTAAATATCTCATGCTTTGCATTGAAATATTGGAAGTGACATGCTACAGGAGTAAAGACTACATTACACAATTAAAGAGACCAGGCCTAACAAATATAAAATCAAGCCTCTATAAGTTCAAGGTGATAAGCCAGTTTATTAAGTGTTTAATACCAAAAAATTTAGTATTGTTAAAAGGACAATAATAGGTTAAAAGATGTCTACAGCATATCATCCATTCTGTCCATTATAAAGTAAAAATTAAAGGATATATGAACTACCGTAAAAATGTGACATGGACAAAAGTACCTATAAAAATAGACACTGGGATGACCCAGATTTTGAAATCAGCAGATGAGAACTTTAAAACAGCTATTATAAATATGTTCAAAGAAAAAAATATTATCAAAATGAGTTAATAGGTGTAGAATATCAGCTGAGAATTAGGAACTGTAAAAGGAATCCCAATAGAAATTTAAACTGCAATATAAATCTTTTTAATTCCATGGATTGGCATAAATAGGAGATTGGAGACTGTAGAATTAATGTTTATTAAACTTTAAGGCTGAACAATAGACAATACTTTGGAAAACACAGAGAAGGTTAAGAATAAAAGCTTTGATTAACTGCTTTTTTTTTTTTTTTTTTTTTGAGATGGAGCCTCACTCTGTCACCAGGCTAAAGTACAGTGGTGCAATCTCAGCTCACTGCAACCTCCACCTCCCGGGTTCAAGCAATTCTCCTGCCTCAGCCTCCCATGTAGCTGGAACTACAGGTGTGCACCACCATGCCCAGCTCATTTTTGTATTTTTTTTTTTTTAGTAGAGATGGGGTTTCACCATGTTGGCCAGGATGGTCTCGGTCTCTTGACCTTGCGATCTGCCTGCCTTAGCCTCCCAAAGTGTTGGGATTACAGGTGTGAGCCACCGCGCCCGGCCCCTGCATTTTAAGATATGTGTAATTTGATGTGTAGAGGAGAAAATAAAATGGGGGAGAAGAAACAATTGAAGAAATGATAATTGAAACCTTCCCAAATTTGGTGAAATATGTTACTATACAGATACAGAAATCTTAGCAAACCCTAAGCAGGATAAATACAAATACAACCACCCATAGCACATCATATTCAAAGTTCTGAAAATCAAAGATGAAAGTAAAATTGTAAAAACTGATGGGATAAGAGTACAATATACTATATAATGAGGAATAAAAGTATAATTCTTACCCAGATTATCAATAGAAGCAATAGACATATAGGACAATGGAATGACATATTTAAAATGAAAAAAGAAAAAATAGCCTACAATTCTGTATTTAGAAAAAAACTGAACTGATGTTGAAATATAGATATGTTCAGAGTAATAAAGTCTAAGATGCAAACAACACTTGTTTTTGAAAAGTGCTGAAAAAGATCTTCAGACTGAAATATCACAGATGATATCATTATTTGTGTAGAAAAATATAAAAACAAAACTAATAAAACTAATAAATTGTACAAAGTCATTGTGTACCAGGACAATATAAAAAATAATTGTGGTTTTTACATTCCAGTGGAAAATCATTTTCAAATGACAATTAAAATTTTTGACCCATTGCAGTGGGTCATGCCTATAATCCCCGCATTTTGGGAGGCAGAGGCTGCAGAATTGTTTGAGCCCAGAAGTTTGAGACCAGGTTGGGTAACATAGAGAGACCTCATCTCTACAAATAATTTTAAAAATTAGCTGGGCATAGTGGCGCATGCCTGTGGTCCCAGCTACTCAGAAGGCTAAGCGGGGAGAATCACTGGAGCCCAAGAGGTCAAGACTGCAGTGAGCTGTGATTGTGCCACTGCACTCCAGCCTGGGAGGGAAAACAAGACTCTCATCTCAACAAAATATATATACATATATATTTATATATTATATATTATATTATATATTTTATATATAATAGAATTAAAGAAAAGTAAAATACTTGGAAATACAATTAACAAAAGTCTTGCAATGCTCCTACACAGAAACTGAGAAATTGCTGAGAGAAATAAAAGATAACAAATAAATCAAAATATGTTATACCAATGGATTGGAAACTATTATATTGTTTAGAGGTCATTTCTCCCCAAACTGATATATAAATTAAATAAAATCACAATCAAAATCTCTACATAGTTTGATAGAAACTGGAAAGCTGATTCTATCATTTACATGGAAAATATCTAGAATAGCCTAGAGCATCTTAAAGAAGAAAAACAAATGTGGAAGCCTTGTTAGCTTATTTAGAGATGTGCTACAACCTACAGTATTCACAACATGTAGTAGTGAAATAAGAACAGTCATGTATAAGTATAATTGAATATACATACCAAAAATAGACTCACACTTACATAATCATTTGATTTTGTCCAAGCTGTGAAGGCAGTTTACTGGGAAAAGGAGGTGTTTTTAATAAGTAGTGTTGAAAAACCTGATAAATGTGTACCAAAAAAATCTTAACCTTCATCTTTGATATACCTATCTCTAATTCATAAGATAATGGTTATTTTAAAATATTCCTCTTTGAATATGTATATATATGTATATATATAAACTTCTTAATTACAAATATATGAGCTAAACAACTTTATTAGCAAAAAATGCCATTATGGTTATGCTAGCAGGAAATAAAGCAGTACATTTACCTCAAAGTGATATGTAGTAACTAGTGGCTGGCCATTATTCTTTCGGTAGTAACTAGAAGTATCTTGATAAATTACAAGAATCACATTTCTAAAAAACATCAGAGAGCTATGGAAACAAAAATGACTAGATAAAATGAAATCCTATAGAAGGAAGAACTATTCTTCACGGAGCTGAGATTGACAACCAGTTTCTCCTCTGGGGTCTTTGAGTGGCTGAGATTTGGGCTGAAATATGAGGACGGTTTAGCAGAGAATCTCTAGTGGAGGAAACTCCATCACCTTGTGGGGATGAAACTGTCTTGGAGCTTGACTGTAGTGATGGATATACAAATCAACACTGTGATTTAATTGCATAGAAGTGCACACATAATCACATGCACATAAGTAAATGTAAAACTAGGGAAATCTGAATAAGATAAATGGATTATATCACTATAAAATTTATTAGTTTTGATATTGTACTATAGTTGCTCATTTATAACCCACTGACCTTACTCCAGCCCATCTCGCTGTCCCCAGTCCCTGGCAATGACTAATTTTTCCTCCATCTATAATTTTGTCACAATATTTCTCCATTATAGTTTTTTATAATACTAAAACATTTTCTTTTATTTTATACCATAAATAAGCACAAAACATAATAAAATATAATGTTAGAAACTACTGTTCTTTTACTTGGTCTGCATTTGCATATTGGAATTTAATAAATTACTATACTCTATGTGCTTCTATTTTTATCCTATATCCAATGTGTTACGAGCATTATTATCCTCACCTATAGCTTTAACCACTACCAGGTCCTGGAAGTCCCTATAACTCTACCTTTACCGAGACACTTTCTTCTGAGGTCCTGACCTGTTTACCACATGGTCTAATGATCTCTTCATAGCTATTTCAAATACAACATATCCAAAATTGAATCTACCCTTCTCTGCTTTCTTCTCACCTCACATACCCCATACCCTATTTTCTACACATATAATATACATATATATATCTCTACATAGATAGATCTGCAGAAGTATGCAGATCTGTATATGGAATAGGGTATATGAGGTGTTTTATATATATATATATGAAATGAGGTATGTGAGTTGTACATATATATCCATATATATGTGAGTTATACAGATATATATTCATATATATGTATATGTATATGAATGTGAGGAGTGTGTGTATATATATATCTCCTCATGTACATGAGATATATATATATATATCTCCATACACACGGAGAGAGGCTCTAATGACTTCATGCCAAAGTATATGCCTTCAATCACTGTTATAGGTCCCAGTTTCTGTGAATTTTAAATATATCACTACTTGGACAGTAGCTCTAAGGATAATGTTAACTGTCCCTCATTGTATTAGTCCATTTTCACACTGCTGATAAAGACATACCCAAGACTGGGCAATTAACAAAAGAAAGAGGTTGAATGAACTCACAGTTCCACGTAGCTGTGGAGGCCTCACAATCATGGCGGGGGGTGAAAGGCACATCTCACATGACGGCAGACAGGGGCAGAGTGAGAGCCAAGTGAAGGGGGTTTCCCCTTATAAAACCATCAGATCTTGTGAGACTTATTCACTACCACAAGAACAGTGTGGGGGATACTGCCACCATGATTCAATTATCTCCCACTGCTTCTCCCCTGCAACACAAGGGAATTACAGGAGCTACAGTTCAAGATGAGATTTGGGTGGGGACACAGCCAAACCATATCACTCATCATCTTTCTTATTTTCCAGCACATTGCGGGAAAAGCTCACTTCTTTTATGACAAGTCCGTTATTTTACTCCCTATTTAATCTTTTATGTTTCTTATTGATAAAATATTAATAATATAAATTCCTACAAAAAGAAATAATTTTCATGGATTTTTAAAAATGTCATCCAGAAATGCATTTCCTTGCTCTGAGTGTGTATGGTTTGGGGTAGGATTACTATACCTTCCATTTTCTTTAAGACAACTGTCTCAGATGCACTGATGATTTGCTTTCAATAAGAGCCATCAATCCTGTGCTGACTTTACCTCACTTTTTTTTCCCTTAAAATTTTGCAGAAAGAGGGATATGAATAACTAAGAAAATGCTGTGTTTTATGTTGCAATTATGACGATTCAAGGAAAATTTGGGAAGGATGGAGGATTTCATGATTTGAAATAATAAATTACCACAGAATACTTAAGTATAGACAAGAGGGACTTTGGGAGGCTTTCAAATACTGTCCATTGACATGAGCACAGCGAGGTCAAGGACATTAAATACAAAATGTGAGAAAGTAAATAAATTTAACAGGGAAAAATGTCTTTTAAAAACTGAGTAAATGAAATTGAAGGGCTGGATGTGGTGGCTCACACCTGTCATCTCAGCACTTTGGGAGGCCAAGGCAGGAGGATCACTTGAGTTCAGGAGTTTAAGACGAGCCTGGGATCACTATTGTACTATAGTTGCTCATTTATAAACCATAGCAAAACCCCATCTCTACCAATAATAATAATACAAAATATTAGCTGGGCATGGTGGCACAAACCTGTGATCCGAAATACTTTGGAGGCTGAGGTGGGAGGATTGCTTTAGCCTAGGAGTGAAGTTTGCAGCGAGCAGTGAAAGTGGCTTTCAAAAAAAAAAAAAAAAAAAAAAAAAAGAGGAAAGAAATTGAGAACTCCTGTGGGCTAGATTTGCTTTGAGAAATACTGGACTCTCTACATATATTATTAAATATTATTTAAAATAGGAAGTCAAACTCTGTTTTTTGTATATATGAGAAAAAAGTCAAATCAGTAGTGGAAAATTTTATTAATATATGTATGTAATATTAAGAGGTAATGTAAAAGTAATTTAATAGGAAAAAAATTAGGCATTAAAAAATTGCCTAATATGAATGGTATAGTAATTAGACTGGCTGGGAACATTTTCTAAAAATTAAGATAAATATTAAACTCCGTAACTATAGGTGGAGAAGATTAACAACTTATCTAGTGTTTAAACAAATAGAAGATATTTTTTTAAAAACCAACAAAAATGGATTAAAAATAATTCAATAGAAATTATCTTGTCTGCCGTACTAAGATAATTACCCCCAATTTCTGAAATAATTTACTCTTCTAGCTTTACAATCACTGTTCTATCCATTATATTCTTTTATCTTAAAAACAATTATTTGAGCAAGTATTGGCAGTACTTTTTTTTCCTGGCTAAAATAGTGAAATCATTGCTAAATATCTATAATTATTTTTTATTAGATTTGTTCAGAAGGATGGCCAAACTGGCTATTATACTTGCTTTACTGGAAAGAAGCAAATATAAGTACATTCAATTTGTATATTATAGTACTATTGCTAAAACTTGTAATTGTTTTCATTTTAGATGTTTTTAAACATATTGTCATTTTATTTGTTAATTTCTTCCTAATTTAATATAATTATACATTAATTCATATGGAAATCGCCATGTGTAGGAAAGTACAGAAAAATAACAAAAATAAATGTGCTACTTCATGGCCCAGCTTGATGCTTCATTAAATGCAGAGTACACAAAATATGAAATAATAAGGTGGCTGAAAGTTGTATCACTCCTGTCAGAGACCAGGGTTTGAATTCTGCCTCCACCCAATTATGAATTGTGTGACCTCAATACATTTAATTAGCTTTTCTAAGCAACCACTTCATCATTTGTAAAATGTGGATAATATTTTTTCATTTACCTTACTCATTGCCATGGAACTTCCATTTACCTTAAGACAAATAACACCAAAAGACACACATACACACAAACTAGGAGGGATAACTTGCTATAATAGAAACTTCAGATTGCTGTGAGTGGCTAGTCACAGAGTTTTCTTTGAGGAGGTCACATTTATATGTTAGTTATTCTGTGAGTGCTATTTTTAATGAAGATTAGATCTACCTGCTGGGATGCCACAATACACATCCCTCATAAAGCTAAAGTTTAAAAAAAATGAACGAAGTTTTGTCAGTGTTTTGAAAGTTTAAAAGATTACTCAAAATAAGCTGTTTTATGGGATATTAACTTCCATTCTTCACAGTTTCTCTTTCACAGATTATGACTAACTTTAAAACTTTCAACTTCTGTTGCATTTTTTTCTGTCCTCTCTAGACACTGTTTTGTTTGTATTCCAACTGTCAAGTTTAACCTTGTTCTTAAACCTGTTGCTGAGCATGGTGGCTCAGGCCTTGTAATCCCAGCACTTCGGGAGGCCAAGGCAGGCAGATTGTTTGAGGCCAGGAGTTTGAGACCAGCCAGGGCAACATGGAAAAACTCTGTCTCCACAAAAAATACTAAAATTAACCAGACGTGTGTGGTGGTATGTGCCTGTAGTCTTAGCTACTTGGGAGGCTGAGGTAGGAGGATCACCTGACTCTGTGAGGTTGAGGCTGCAGGGAGCTGTGATTGCGCCACTGCACTCCAGCCTGGGCAACAGAGTGAGACTGTCAAAAATAATAATAATAACAAAAAAAATCCTTGAAAAAATGTAAATTGAGAATGTACAATGAGCAACTATTAAGATGATGGTAGAACTGTATATATTTTCAAAAGAGAGTCAATTACAGTAATTACGGGGTTTTTTGGAATAAGAAAAGAGAAAATTTTAGGCAAACTATAATTTTCAAAAGATTTGAGGAACTGGCCATATCAAAAAGCAGGTATATATATTTCCTGTTGCTTATAATTTAAAGAAAAGGCTGAAAATTGTATATTATTAAGTAGAAAAATTTAAGTCATTATTAGGAAAATGTTGTTAAATAAGTAAGAAGTTTAAAAATTGAATAAAGTAATTGAAAAAATATGAATATTCTACTGTTACAGATTCTCAACCAGAAAACACATAATATTATAAAAACTACTTGGTTAAAAAAATAGAGAACAAACTATACTCTGCAGAGGAGGTACAAAATGACTTCAATATTGACTCTTAACTGCAGTGACCTATATCTTCATTGATACTTTGCTACTTATATTCACTGTCTCAGTAAGTCCTCTTAACTGTATCTACATAATGCTTCATATTTTCCCTTTCTTTTGCCAAAGTATAATTGCAAAAAAATTAAAATGTGACTAATTTACAGAATGAATATATGTCAAATATTTATCTAAATTATTGAGGATACCAGTTGAATGAAAAAGTTAGTTTAAAGAAGAACTAAGAAAAATGTGTTTTATATATGCTACCAAAAGGGACATACTAAAACAAGTTTGCAAAATTAGAGGCATAATTAGTTAATGCCCTACAATACACTCTAACTTTGGAACTAAGTTTTTACGGAACAGGGATCATTTGCATCTCGATTGGCCGGGAGGGCAGCTCCAGGCACAGGCACAGTCAATAGCTCCGTGAAAACTTTGGTTGGATCCGATGCACCGCAAACAGCTGCTGCAGGCACCCGTGTCTGGACGAGGGTAACACAGTGGTGCCTGAAAGCTTGGAGATGCTAGAAACCACAGAGCCCCCAAAAGGGTGTCACATCCCTGGCTTGAGGAGCCCCTAGGTCTGGGCTCCCTGAATGGTTGCAGCCTGTTCTCTCCTTCTCATCGCCTGCAACTTCCTTGGGGGGTGTTGGGGAAGGGGGGTGGTTTCAACCCTGTTTGTGTTACAGTTCTTTCAGTCCCAGCAGCCATTCTGTGGGTCCTAAGTTTTTGTCCCGCATCCAGGGAGAATGAGGTATGCGGGCAGTTGGACGGTGAGCAAGGCAGAGAGAAGCTTTATTGAGGAAAGTAACAGCTCTCAGGAGACCCGAAGTGGGTAAATCCGTTCCTCAGGCAGGTCGTACAGACAAGTGTCCAGCTATCAGGAGAGAGGAAATCCAGAGTGGGTACCTCCTATCAGAAGGCAGGTGGTCCCAACCAGGGTCCAGCTCTCAGCAGACAGGACACCCATGGTGGATAGCTACTTTCTGCAGGCAGATCACCTGACCAGTCGAGGAGACCTGAAGTGGGTAGCTCCTTCCTGCAGCTGGTAGTTCCCCTATCTGTATGAGGCTGGTTGAGTAAGGGTTTTTATGGGCTCAGAAGGGAGGAAGTGCATGCTAACTGGTCCATGGGCGGCTATGGGTGGCCTGGGAAAAGCACCGTAAGTTCTCACTCCAGGCTGACGACTCCATCCGAACTGGCAGCCCAGCCCTCAGGCTGCAGGCTGTTCGTGGCTTGAAGGAGGGGTTTCACCAGGGACCTCTCCCTTCCCACCCAGGAGGCTGTCTGTCTCCTGCCAGCATCACCATGCCATCCACAGCACCCCTGCTGACTGCCCCGAGGGGTGCCACAGGCCCGTGTTGAGCTGCCCTCAGCACCTCCTTGGTCTTCCTCCCGTGCTTGTCGGTACCCAAAATCCAGAGGAGGCCGAGGCAGCAGGGGGCTGGTCTGTCAGTGCTGCCCTAAGCGCATGCTCACAACAGGCCAGGTCGCCACAGTGCCTGGGCTCAGCTACAACTTTGCTCTGCACCGGAGTGGGGACCATGAGAGGGAAAGAGGACAGGGAGGGGAAACAGAGACTGCAGGGGCAGGGGCTTCCCGGCCGCCTGGGGTGCAGGGATGCCCAGGTCTTGGAGCTGCAGCTGGGTGGCTGCAGTTGTGCCAGAGAGTATAGGGCTCCTGTCCCGCTGACTCAGTAGGGGACAGGAGCCTGTCCCTGGCCCCGCTGGCGCAGCAGAGCAAGCAGCCCCCCGGCCGCACCTCCCCCGCTGCAGCCGCATCTTTGCAGCAGCGGCTCCTGATGGGACAACACTGTCATGGCTACTACCCAGGTTAAAAACTCCAAAATGTAAAGCAAGCGAAATATTCTTCCGTGCATCTATGAGCCAAATCCTCTCCAAAGATTATCAGTATTCTGATTTTTATCACCTTTAATTATTTTTGCCTATTTTTCACTTCATATAAATGGAATTACAAGAATTATTCTGTTTTTTACTTTGTTTCCTTTGCTCAATATTTTCTCTATGAGACTCATGTGATTTCTTTTTTCTTCTTTTTTTTTTCTTTTTGGAGGCAGAGTCTCGCTCTGCCGCCCAGGCTGGAGTGCAATGGCGCGATCTCGGCTCACTGCAAACTCCACCTCCCGGGTTCAAGCGATTCTCCTGCCTCAGCCTCCCGAGTAGCTGGGACTACAGGCACGCGCCACCACGCCCAGCTAATTTTTTTGTATTTTTAGTAGAGACGGGCTTTCACGGTGTTAGCCAGGTTGGTCTCTATCTCCTGACCTCGTGATCCGCCGCCTCTGCCTCCCAAAGTGCTGGGATTATAGGCGTGAGCCACTGTGCCTGGCCGAGACTCATGTTATTTCTTATGATGATAATTCATTATTTTTAATGCTGCATGGTATTCCATTTTACACATAAATTTTATTGTTTTTGGACAGTTGTTTCTTGTTGGTGCTATGATAACGCTACTATGACTAATACATTGTTATTTTTGCTATAAATTGTCAATTATATTTTATAGATTTTTAATGGAAAAAAGTTTTATATTTATGTACATATTTGCTATTCATTCTCCTCGTCATTCTGTTGAGTAGGTCAGAGTTTTCCATGTGCTGTCTTTTTCCTTAAGTTTCCTCTGATAGTACTTACAGCGTGAGTCTGATGTCCACTAATTCTTTTAACTTTCATTTGTCTGAAAATGTTTCCAGTTAAGCTTTTGGAAGGATATTTTATATTGGACAGGGAATAATAGACTGAGGTTGTTTTGGATTTTTTTTTTTCTCACAGTACTTCACAGATACTGTTCCTTTGTTATTTGCCCTGCTTAGGGTCTACCTAGACATCAACGAATGCTTTTATCTTGATTTTTTTAAATGTCTGATTTGTCTGCTTTTATGCTTTTCTTGTTTTCATTAGTTTCCAGAAATCTAATTTTTATGAGCTTATGTGTGGTTTTCTTTGTATTTCTCCTGCTTGACTGTGGTTGAGTTTCACAAATCTGTGAGTTTATAATTTTTTAGTACATTTGAAAAACTTTTGTTGCTTTTTCAAACGCTACCTTTTTCTGGGACACAGACGTTAGGTCACTTGATGGTATCCTGTAGGTCAATGAAACTCTATTAATTATTTCTTAGCCTTTATTTCTATGTTTCATTTTAGGTCGTTTCTATTGCTAGGTCTTCAAGTTCACTTCCACAGTATCTACAAACTGCTGATAAACCTATTTAGTACATTTTTATTTCAGATATTATATATTTTAATACAATTCATTTTAGGTTTTGTTTTAGGTAGTTTCTATTGCTAGGTCTTCAACTTAACTTTCACAGTATCTACAAACTGCTGATAAACCTATTTAATAAATTTTTATTTCAGATATTATATATTTTAATACAATTCCATTTTTGGGTCTTTTTATAGTCCCCATATATCACATTGTTTTCATGTTGTCTTTTACACTTGATCTTAGCCAAAATGCTGAGAAGCTTTCATGTTTTCCTGTAAATCCTCAAGGATATTTATTAGAGTAGGTTTAAAGTTTTTTTTTTGTTTTGTTTTGTTTTTCTGCTAATTCCATCATCACTGTCATTTGTGTCTATTGCTTGACTTTCCTCATGTTATGGATCACATTTTGCCCTGCACCCCTATCTAGAGTTCTATTTTCATTGAATTCTGGACAATGAATATGTTACACTGTGGAGTATTTATATTCTGTCAGCTTCCTTTAGAGCGTGTTATTTTGGTAGACCATTATGTCACATTCAGATCAGCTTGATGTTTTCAAGGCATGATTTTAGACAGGATGTTTCTACAGTAGCCATTAGGCTGGAGATTATTTAGCATTACTAATCATTACGAATAAGGTACAAACCCAACACTGAATGTCCTGGGCATTCAGTGAAGTTTCTCTACTGTGGCTGGTAAGAGTTTGAACATTTCCCATGGCTGTGTGAGCTGTGAAGATTGTTCAGGTTGCAGTCCCCAGCACTTGTTCTTTTCCTGGCCTCATGGAGTTTCATCCTACATGTGAACAGCTTTGGATTCTGTGAAAGGCTTAAGAGTACCTGATGAAGACTTCTAGAACTCTTTCTATGTTAGCTCCCTATTCTCCAGTGATCTGCTCCACCACTTCTGTCAAACCCTCTTCTAAATTTTATTTCTGTCTCCTTAACTCAGCAAGACTGTCATGTTCCATTTGATTCCCTGTCTGTGATACAGGGTGCAGAAAATGCCTCAAGTAAGAAAACTGGGATAATCATAGGGCTCACCTTGGTTTTATTTATTTTTATTTTTTTGGTTTGTTTTCATTGTCTCAGAAACATTTTCTTTCACTGCCTATTGTCCCATATCTAAAAAGAGTTGTCTTATGTATTTTTGTCCAGTTTGCCAGTTGGCTGAAAGCTATTGGTTGTTTTAAACTCTTTGTTTGCTAACTCTAATAACTGTATTAACTGAGATTCTGCTCTTATTGACTTTTTCATCTTGATTACTCATATTTTTCTGTATATTGATATATCTCATATTTTTGTAGTATAATGGATATTAAGTACAAAATATCCAAAAGACTAAAAGGAATATTTTTCTTCCCTGGGAGAGTACACCATTTATTTTTTCTCTTTGGCAGATAGGGGAGAGTTTGGTCAACTCAAGCTAAACAAAAATGAACTAGTTAGAGGTTGAGTGGAAAATAAAGTTAGACTCTGTACACTTATTTTCCAGTAGTCTGAAGTGCAACATTTATCATGTACTTGTCGTAGAATCCTCCTTTAGCCAGGTTATCTCCCTCAAGTGCCAAGATGTCATCTGTCTAATTTACTTTATTGCTAAATGGGAAGAAATTTTATGACAAATGTTGACTGGTGCTAATACTGATGATTATCAAGACATTTAAAGATCAACAAGGCCTAAGGAATTACCAATATGTTTATTATATATAATGTATAAGATAATACAGGCCGGGCGCGGTGGCTCACGCCTGTAATCCCAGCACTTTCGGAGGCCGAGGCAGGCGGATCACGAGGTCAGGAGATCGAGACCATCTTGGCTAACACGGTGAAACCCCGTCTCTACTAAAAATACAAAAAATTAGCCCGGCGCAGTGGCAGGCGCCTATAGTCCCAGCTACTCGGGAGGCTGAGGCAGGAGAATGGCGTGAACTCGGGAGGCGGAGCTTGCAGTGAGCCTAGATAGCGCCACTGCAGTCCGGCCTGGGTGAAAGAGTGAGACTGCGTCTCAAAAAAAAAAAAAAAAAAAAAAAGATAATACATAAGGAATCTGTATACTGTGGATAAGAGCCTGTGACATTCACAATGCATATGTCATCCAATTATCAGCCCTCATAATAACTTTATAGAGTATTTACTATTTTTTAGGTTTCAGTATGCTTACATTGTTTTTTCTCTTGATAGAATTTGTATTTCCGCTAAGGTTGTCCTAAGTTTTTTTTTTTTTTTTTGAGACGGAGTCTCGCTTTTTCGCCCAGGCTGGAGTGCAGTGGCGCAATCTTGGCTCACTGCAAGCTCCGCCTCCCAGGTTCACGCCATTCTCCTGCTTCAGCCTCCCGAGTAGCTGGGACTACAGGCACCCGCCACCACTCCCTGCTAATTTTTTTGTATTTTTCTTTTTTTAGTAGAGATGGGGTTTCATTGTGTTAACCAGGTTGGTCTGGATCTCCTGACCTCGTGATCCGCCCGCCTCAGCCTCCCAAAGTGCTGGGATTACAGGCGTGAGCTAACGCGCCGGGCCAGTTGTCCTAAATGTAATATGTTAACGGACAGGCTCTATTGCCTGATAGTAAGAATTGCTTGCATTAGTAAGCCTTTTAATACTTCTCAATTCACTCTCTGTAAATGGTTCCTATTCTTATTCTAAGTAATGGTCCTCAACCTTGGATTCACATCAGAATTACATGAGTAGCATTTTAAATCCTGATGTCTGTGCCACAAATATAACCAAGTATATAACAATCCTTGGGGGATCAGTAGTTTTAAAAGATTCTCAGGTGATTCCAATCTGCAGTAGAGGTTGAAAACACAAAACATTGTCCTAAACTTTCTTTTGTTCCTGTAGCTAATTTATATTTATATAGAATATGATTATTTCAGAAGCCATTGATAAACTTACTTTAAAGATTTGTTCCGATTCTGTGTATTGATTTGTCTCTCTAGAACTTTATACATGACCAGGATTTTGTGTATATTTATTTGCATGTGTTTGTCAATAAAAAGTTACTACTTTTTCACAGGTTACATATTGATCCCTGCACAGGATTGAAATTCATTGTCTTTGGGTTGAGTTATTTTTTCTTTTTATTCTTCTCCTGCTACCCCTGGTAAAATGTGCTGCATATTTTAGTAATTTATTTTATCATAAACTTAAGAATCTTTCTTACTTTTTAAAATTTACACCACATAGATTGTTTTTGCTGAATTCTCACTTGTTGAGAAAATTCCAAGGCTAGGTTTACAGACTTCTATGCTGGCATTTCCCAGTATATAAGAAAACAATTAGAGGACATGATACAAGGTCCATAAGTGTGATTCAGTGGCAATTATCCTGAAAACAGAATCTCTGAAGTAGATGGCATTCTAAATCCCTCAAGTATTAATAATAATAATCATAATTCTCAGATACAATCCTGCATTTTTCCTCTCTACTTCTTTCTAAACTGTACGTTTTTTACCATTATTTTATCAGAGTTGTCTCATGATACTGATTGAATTTCCTTCCTTTCACTTCAGATATCTTTAGATTTGGAATATCTTTAACTCATGATTATTTGTATTTCCAGAGTCATGATCTCTTTTTGGTCTTATGGTGAGGTAAGTATGCCGTATGTAATGATTTTCGAGTTTGAAAGATCACAAATTTCTTAAATACTCTGACTCAAGTTCAAGTAATTCTGAGAGCATGCTTGAAGAAATAGGACTTTTAGTGAGAAGCATTCATTAGGAGTAGCAGAGCTGAGAACTGGGAAGAAGTAGAGAAAATGTGACATCCGGCTGTCTCTAAAGAAAAGGTATTTAATTATTGGAGGTTAATAATTTACTTGTAGTTTTTTCTTCTATACTTCGTAGTATAGAAGTATATTTGCAAGTGAACAATTTTCTTCATTTGGCATTCCCTTCAATGTTTGGGTGAACATTCTGCACGTTCTCATATGTGCTTCAAAATATGGTGTTTAAAACTGAACAAAATAAGCATTTTTATAATCATTAATAATATAATGTTATCATATTATTAATCATACTAGTGTGATGTGCTGCCAAATGATGATTGTGTGAGATCTTAATGTCAGCTTCTATTTGTATTTTCAAAGCTCCATTGCCAAGATACAGTTCTTCATGGGAGCTCTCATATTTCTGCATGCCGAGCAAGCAAAAACTGTAATTGCCCTTTTTGTCCAGAGTTCCCTTCCTTCCTTTCCTTTCTCTTTCTTTCTTTCTTTCTTTCTTTTTTTGAGATGGAGTCTCCCAGGCTGGAGTGCAGTGGCAGTGACATGATCTCAGCTCACTGCAACCTCTGCCTCCCAGGTTCAAGTGATTCTTGTCCCTCAGCCTCCCGGGTAGCTGGGATTACAGGCGACCGCCACCACGCCTGGCTATTGTATTTTTAGTACAGATAGGGTTTCACCATGTTGGCCAGGCTGGTATTGAACTCCTGACCTCAAGTAATCCACCCTCCTCGGCCTCCTAAAGTGCTGGGATTACAGGCATGAGCCACCACCCTGAGCCAGAGTACTCTTTCAGGGATGTATGTATAGCAAATATCCTTTGAAGATATTCTGTCTGAATCCACATCCAGGAGCAGGTTTGTTTACTGTACATGATAAACCTCAGAATTTCTCTCCTGTAATGCAGCTCATTGAATGTGGAGATGTAGCCTGGCTCTCTTTACATCATCCTGTGAGAACTGGAGTTTGGGAAACTGTTAAAAATAATGACATTCTGGTCATTGCTACTGATGAGTAATAAACTAACCTTTATCTTTGATCTGGGTGTCTCTTGTCTTCTGCCAGTCCATAAAACTGTCAGGCTAACTTCTTGCTTGCAAATAGGAAAAGATATCAGAAACTATTTTTTCAGTTTTTGACACTCTTAACTTTACACATAGTCTTATTTTTAACTCTAGTTATTTTTCATAAATTTTCATGGGAAGTACGATGTGGTGATGATTCTTTACATCTTATGTGTGGGAGACTGATTGTTTTGACAACTGTTAACTTACTTCAGTAAAATCTCATCTTATGATTTTAGTCTGTAGTTTTATTCCACACATTTAGAAGGTTTTTCTTTTTTTCATTTATAATATGTGCACTATCTCTCAACATTTTGGCATTGACAAATATAAAATTCATATTTAACAAAACGAGTTGAGACATGACTGAGGAGAGAAAGCAGGCCTAAGGCTTGCCACTCAAAAACTTTCTTAGGGATAACAAAAAAATAAATGGATAATCTTCAGATGTGCCTGTCAAACTAGCAACAAAAGCCTCACCCAGTGTCATCAACTGCTTTTTATGATAATCTCTATCAATTTGTCATGTAAAACATTTCTACTGAAGTTAAGATACAATATTTCTAATTCATTCCCTTCATTTGGAAGTTTAATACCCCTGTTGTGAAAGGAAAATGAGGTTATTTTGCTATGCTTTGTCCTTATTGAACTCTTTTTTGCCTCAGCGTTCACATCTTTCGATGCTAAACATGACTAAACATCTGTTTGAAAATAGAGTACACTGCTTTACAGTGTTTAGAAAACATATATTCTCTTTTAGAAAAAGGAAAAAAGTATCCAAATGTCCTTATTATTCTGGCTCCTTCTTTTTCCATATGTGCCAGATATTTTGGTGAGTAATCAGATTGTAGCAGTACATTAAACCTCCAAACAACTCAATGCAATAAGTACAGTCACCATTTTTTATTTCCCAGATTAGGAAATTATTTTCTATGACAATGGAAAAATTTGCCATGGTAATACAACTACCAAGTGGTTCATGTGGGTTTTGGTATAGACATTCTGAGAAAAGAACCCATCCTCTTAACTACATAATTGTCACCACCATATTTTTTCTATTAGCCAGTTATACAGATGCATAATTCCTGCTCCTCCTGGACCATAGCAACATTCCTCCTGTCCTCTCTGTTTTCATTCTACCAAACTGTTTTGGAGGAATCAAATTCAAAGATTTCTTTCCAGGCAAATTATCTGTTCTGCTTATAATGCTAGCTTCTATTTCATATAATAAGATGTGCAATATGTAATTTAATGTGTAATATACAATATCATACAGTAGAGGTAAAATGTCATTATGCATTTGTTATCCCTTGATGTGACAAACTGCCCCACAATTGGGGCGTGGCTTAGCTGGGGGCTTGCTCAGTTTCTTTCACAAGGCTGCATCAAGGTGTCCACTAGGATTGCAATCATCTCAAGTTTGAGCTGTGGTAGAATTCACTTCCAGGTTCATTTGTGGAAGGCTTCAAGTCCTCATTGAATTTTGTATAAAGTTATCTCTAAAAAATCTAATTTGATGCCTTTTAAATTATTTTAATAGTCCTTCATAAACCACATTAGGTAAATTTAATGGAACAACTATTTGTAATATGCCATCTACCACAAATGTATTCTTTTTCATTTCCATAGATTTGGGAAACAAGTGGGATTTGCTTACATGACTAAGTTCTTGAGTGGTGATTTGTGAGATTTTGGTCACCCATCACCCGAGCAGTATACACTGAACTCAATTCATAGTATTTTATCCCTCACCCCCTTCCCACCCTTTACCCCAGAGTCCCCAAAGTCCACTGTATAATTCTTATGCTTTTGCATTCTCATAGCTTAGCTCCCACTTATAAGTGAGAACACACAATGTTTGTTTTTTCATTCCTGAGTTACTTCACTTAGAATAATTGTCTCCAATCCCATCCAGGTTGTGTGAATGCCATTAATTCATTACTTTTTATGGCTGAGTAGTATTCCATCATATATGTATATCACAGTTTCTTTATCCACTCATTGATTTGGGCATTTGGACTGGTTCCACATTTCTGCAATTGTGAACTGTGCTGCTATAAACATACGTGTGCATGTAACTTTTTCGTATAATGACTTCTTTTCCTCTGGGTAGATATCCAGTAGTGGGATTGCTGGATGAAATGGTACTTCTACTTTTAGTATTTTAAGAAATCTTCACACTGTTTTCCATAGTGGTTGTACTATTTTACATTTCTCCCAGAAGTGCAGAAGTTCCCTTTTCACTGCATCCACGCCAATATCTGTTATTTTTTTATTTTTTCTTTATGGCCATTCTTGCGGGAGTAACATGGTATTGAATTGTGGTTTTGATTTGTATTTCCCTGATGATTAGTTATGCAAAAACACAGATCTGGCTTCAAAGTACTGATAGTCAAAGATAGTAAGTAAAACAGGTGCACAGATAATTATAATATTAAGCAGATTTTAAGCATTACCATAAAAACTGTATACTTGAAATAGTAGTTTAAAAGAATTATTTCCCTTTTGAGGGAACTAGAAAAAGATACCCTATCTGTAATGGATAGGCATTGCACTGGATGTGATTGAGTGTACTGGTCAAACCCTACCCATTTATCTTCTGCTCTTCTATAACTTTTTCTTTCCCTATTTATTCTTTAGATTTCAATATTTAATCTGTAATATTTGTCTGTAATATTAAATCAATAATTTTTCTGGACTTAGAATATTTGTTGAAACAGTGGACTGACTTAATCCAACTGTAATGCATTCTGACTAATTATTAATGTACAAGTATACTTTTTTAAATAAATATGCCTATAGCCATTTAAAATCTCCATTTTAATGAGTGATTATGCTTTTGCCATTGAGATTGTTAATAAACTAAAAATTAAAAACTGTGGCTTGCTTAGAGCACTGCAAATTATTATATAGCACCTATTTTATTATACAATATTATAAATCACTATGATAATGAAGTTATACATATACTATATTTATTTTTGCACTCTTAGTACTTAGACTGTGACTAAACCAAGTAGATGCTTTTAAATAATTAGAAAAAGACACAAAATATTATTAAAGCAATTTTGGAATATATTTAAATAAAGAGCTTATTTACTGAACAATAAAAAGGCTTTAAAATTTATTTTTACAGAATAAACACAAAATTTTGAGATTTTCTTGGGAAACAAAAGGCCACAGTTGAAATTTTCAGTTTGTCATCCATCTGACTCTTGTTAGCACCTAACACCCACCTAGTAACATAGAAAGAACTGAAAAATATTTGGGTTCCAAGGTCATGGCCTCTGACTCTACAGTAATAACACACTGAAGAGGCATTATGTATAATAGTCAACAGCACATCCAATGCAGTCTTCCAGAATCCAACCCCAGTTCCAATGGTTATTAACTTTTTTGGCCTTGGACAAGTCATACCGCCTACCAAGCCTCATTTATCATACTTATAAGAAGCTACTCCTAATGCTATATGAAACAAGATGTGCAAAGTTCTTAGCAAACTATTCAGGACACGAAAAACACTTAGTATACGTTAACTGCTATAATTAGCCATAAATAAGGTACTTTGTGTGTATCTGGTGACCCATGCCTTTCCATCACACGTTGTTTATCCCCAAAGGCATATTTTGACTCGAAGAGAATAAAATGTATATGTCACGCTAAAGAAGACCACCTTCATAAATATTAAAGTATTGCTTACAACAGTATATTCTGTGTTATCTAGTGCTGTATGAGGTATAATTGCCACATTTTCAACCCTTTACAAACATAAATGCATGTGATAATTATTTTTTGGTATAAAGGTATGTATTTAGTGTGCCTACAAATACCGAATTATCATTCAGTGAGGTTCAATTTATGAAGAGCTCAGTTCACAATTTCTTCTATACCTCTGCTTTCATTCTTCAGGTGGCTGGCCTTATGAATCATATATCAGATGCTATGTGGCCCTATAATTGCTGGATGGCCTGGTTCACCAACAATTCAAATTAAGATGAAGCAGCCTAAGAATTAAGAGAATGAATTGATTTGACGGTACTCTATTAAATCAATTTAGGCTACTATAAAAGTACTTGTAAAAGAATTATCAGTATTTTATGGTTGCTAGAATTCTATGACCAGTATCTCTTGAGAAAATCGTAATGTCCTCTATATCAATGTATAAGTCTGTATGATATCCCAAATTCTGTTTCTGCCGCTTTCAACTTAGAGGCTGCAGGCTTGCTTTCGGTGAAAATACACAGAATATAAAGCTTTCCCTGTGTAGGATTCTCAAGGAGTGCACCTTTTAGATAAATAAGGGGTTTTGCTCTAGTCTATTTTATTTTTGCAGGGGTTCAATAAAGGTTTTCTGAAATATTCTGTTTCTATTCCTACTAAAAATGGCTACACACTAAATCTAAATTATAGATTTAGTGGAGATGGTAGATTTCAATCATGTAGGTTGCAAACTCAAATGTCAATAACGTCTAGGTAGGTAAGGTCCATGATTAAATATCTCTCTTTAAATTATTTTTTGCCTCATTTGAAAACGGGTGAGGGAGCACTGCTCTTCAGCTCCTTTCAGGTGTTACCATAGAGAATGTGGGCCCAGTTTTCTCAGAGAGATATCTGAAGATATACTATAATTCCAGATTTTTAAATGTTGTCTAACAAAACAAAAGGATACATTTTGTCAGGTTTTTCTTTTTGCTGTTGCTATTTTTCCTATGAGCTTTTCTAAAGCAAATCGTCTTCCAGCCATGTAAAAATGATGCTGGTTAATAAGACTTCATTGCAATGAATTGATGTTCCTATCAGTTTCAAGATTGGCATGACAGATGTTGTTTCTCTGAACTCCTCGCTCCCACACTCCTGGTTGATACCTCGAACAATACAACCTCAAGAAATGGCTATGTAGTCATTATATATAGAAGACTTGTTAATAAACATATGCAAATATATCATTTAAGACATGAATGTAAGGAAAAAGCAATTTAAAATAGATCATTTTCAAAGAATCTGAATTTCAAAACCTTACTAGAAAACAAATATGGCAGAAAAAATAAAAAAGAATTCCAGGGCTTAGACAAGACAGATAATGTCTTATCTCTCGAAGGTAAGTTCTTCTAGCAGAGGTTGGAGATTAATTAATATTTAGAAAGGATTATAAAAATATGCCAAAAACTTAAAGCAAGGTTTTCAGCATTGCATATGAGGGCCATGAGAATTTGGTTTCTTGGTGGCACATAATTAGCAACCCAAACTGCCTTCCAGTTCACTAAAATAATATACTGCTCTTCTCTAAATGCGCTATGATGACAGACCATCAGAATAAAAGAACATTTGGGGTCCATTCACTTATTTAATAAGCATATAATGAATGGGCCAAACACTGGACTAGGTGCTGAAAATATACCTGTGAGCCGTTTGCCCACCACACAAACATACACCAAAAGGATCTCCACCTTTGAAATAGTTAAATCTGAAACAAAGCATAATTGTGGCCTGGTTCACCATATAAAGACGATTTGTCTTTATGTCTTCTTTCTGGGAATTCAGCTTTGGAAATTATACTGGCTTTTTTTTAACCTGAGAACCCTTTTACCTGAGCTATAGCTCAACTTTGTAGATATCTAACACCAAATACAGCATTCTTTTTCTTCTAAATTTATACAGATAATTGACTAAATTCAGGAATTTATTAGTGATATAGCAAGGTATACCCATCAAGAGTAAGACTGTTTTAAGAGGGTAGGATTGGGTATAGTGATTGTGGAGAGCTTCTTCCAGAATCTTAGCTCCTCTGGAGATCTAATAGTTCAAGAAATGCAAAGTCTAGATAGATAGATGGGTTTCTTCTGACTTGTTTAAAGATCATCTTTCTGTGTACTATGTTGAAATATGTTGAAAATAAACTACAGGGGCCAAGCATGGATAAGAAAGTCCAGTTAGGATTTTGCATTAATCCAGGTGAGATATATGCAGTTTCCAAAAGTTTTGTAGCAGTGGAAGTGGTTGAAAAATTACAGAATTTGCTAATGTATTGCATGTGGACCACGAGGGAATGACAGGAGTAAGGGATGATCCAAAACTTTTAGCCTGAGAAACTGGAACTTGTGGAGAGAGAAGGAATTAGTTCAGGGCATGTTAAGTTGAGATGCTTATTAGACTTCCAAATTAAAAGGTCCAGTAGGCAGAAGTCAAACAAGCCTGGATTTGAGGGAACTGGTCTGGACTGGAAATATAAATTTGGCCCACAACAGGATTTCTCATATGTTTATTGAATCAGTAAATGAATATCCATACAGAGATAAGTTAATTCTGTAGTAACATATTCAATATTGCATAGTAAATAATAATGTAGCTGTGTGCCAAGATACTGATGATGTTGTTATGTTTTCAGAAGCTGGCTGGGAGGGTTTTAAAGACAATATAATGGGGAATCTGTCTGGACTATGAGCAGGAAGTGAATCTTTTAAATCTCTGATTCTAGCCTTGGGATACATTCTGAAAGTTGGGATTAATGAGTACAATTGTTTGTGAAGTACACTACCAATATGATTTCTAACAAAGGATGTATCGGTTTATATTCCCACTAGGATAGTACTCAAGTTCTATTTTCACCTTGCATAGGATCGAGTTTTATTATTGCTTTGGCTCATTTATCACTAAATTGACAATGAAAATTATTCATTAAGAGGTGATAAGGGCACTTTCTTTACTGTAAATACTCGTCAGATGTGGATAATATATATCTTAGCTCTGGCTGCCATAACAAAATACCATAGACTGAGTGGCTTAAATAACAGAAATGTATGCGTCACAGTTCTAGAGTCTGGATGTCAAGATCATGGTGCCCCCCAGTTAGGTTCCTTGCAAATGCACTCTTCCTGGCTTGCATGGTCATCTTCTCACTATGTCCTCCTCACTTGGCCCTTCCTCAGTGCTTGCACACAGCGAAAGAGAGAGATCTTTCTTTCTCTTCTTTTTGTCCTAAAGTCACTAGACCCATCATTAAGACCCACCCTCATGATGTAACCCAAACTTAATTACCCCCTGGAAGGCACTACCTTCAAATAACATCACACGGGGAAACAACTTTAGTGTATGGAATTTTTTTGGGGGGACACCAACATTTATCCCATAACAATATACAAACCTAAAAAATAAAAATTCATGGGTGTCCAGAATAAAAAGATGAACAAATTCTAATGTAATACAAGGAGAGAAATGCAAAAAGATAAAGATGACTACAGTATGATCATGTTGACCTCTAACCAGAATTAGGCAGAGGGAATGGAATCAGTACCAGAAGGGAAGTCAGGGATTTAGAGAGCCTCATAAAGAATGCCTTGCTCTGAAGCTTCTTCCCATATATTTGTAGAAAGGTTAGGAAAAGCCTGTGATTCGTTGCAGTCTGAGGATATGGCTTATTTAAAGCTCCTTACCCAGGAAGGTGGGAAGAAGCAGAGTCTTAAATCCAGGAGCAGGAACACGATACACTTCTTCCCACCTTCCTGGGTAAGAAGTTTTAAATAAATTCTCTCACGTGTTTCCCTTTTCTCATTAGCTTACTGGGTTTTTTGTTTTGTTTTGTTTTGTTTTGTTTCCCTCTGAATTACTTGTTTTCCAGAAAACTAACTTTACGAAAACTACTTGAGATATGAGATAAAGTTAATTTCTTCCAGAAATTTGCACTTTTTCTTCCAGGAGACAGAGGATATCAGAGCTAGGTCATGTTAAAGTGATTTCTTCCCTTGAATGTTTATACAGCACCACATGATATGTACTTGGGCCACAAATTGGGGGAAGACTCAACTGTTTTTCCAACTTCTTATGGTATTCTTTCCCTCCTTCTGTTCTTTTTTTTTTTTTGGATACTTGCTCTGTCGCCCAGGTTGGAGTGCAGTAACGCGATCTCGGCTCACTGCAACCTCCACCTTCTGAGTTCAAGCAATTCTCCTGCCTCAGCCTCCCAAGTAGCTGGGATTACAGTAGCCCACCACCACGCCTGGCTAATTTTTGCATTTTTAGTAGAGACGGGGTTTCACCGTGTTGGCCAGGCTGGTTTCAAACTCCTGACCTCAAGTGATTCACCTGCCTCTGCCTCCCAAAGTGCTAGGATTACAGGCGTGAGCCACTGCACCTAGTCTAATTCTGTTCTTTTTAATAACTAGATTTGAAATAACAAATTTTTCTTTTGTTAGCATCTGTAACGAAATTATTTATGTATTTGTTTTTGAGACAGAGTCTCACTTTGTTGCCCAGACTGGAGTGCAGTGGCACAATCTCAGCTCACTGCCACCTCTGTCTCTCGGGTTCAAGCGATTCTCCTACCTCAGCCTCCAGAGTAGCTGGGATTACAGGCCACCACCATCATGCCTGGCTACTTTTCATCTTTTTAGTAGAGATGGGGTTTCAGCATGTTGGCCAGGCTCATCTCGAACTCGTGACCTTAGGTTATCAGACCAGCTCATCCTCCCAAAGTGCTGGATTACAGTCGTGAGCCACCATGCCTGGCCTGTTTTTGTTTTTCTTATACTAATTTTGTAAATTTTGTATTTCCAGCTTCTTGGATCAAGACACTCACCAGATTCTCCAACTTGGGTGGACCTTCTTGTTTCCTCTGTGCTCTGAGACAATAAAAAACAAAACTCAAAGTCATGATTGTTTAGCACATAGCCTTAGAGTGACAAACTTGACCTAAGTTTCTACTTACCTAGCTCAGTTCCTGTCTTCACTTATCTTTTGATCTCAGAATTGCTTTCTTTCCTGCTAGCTCATTAATACAGTGAAAAGACTTTTAAAAAATTGTACCTTAGATTTTAGTTGATGCCAGTGGGACAATCCAGGTACATAGCCCACTATATTACTAAAACTGAATCCTGAGTTGAGAAGGAGAAAATAAATCTTTTAGTATCTGTCTGAACATTTCCCTTAGAGATCAAGATTGTAGCCTAGTTTCCCTTTGGGAAAGGAACAATGACAACCTTTTAATTTTTTATTCTTGTGGTCCGTTAAGCTTACCAACAACTCAATTAAAGATAAATATATAAAAAACAATTTAAAAAACATACTATGATGATGATGACAATGTTGATAAAAGTAGTAAATCTCAAACCAAATAGGAAACTTTTTCATTGTAATCACTTTTAATAAACATATAGTAATATATGGTTTATAACCACTGTAATAAGTACACGTGTTTTGATGGATTTTTAACATACTTGAAATGCGTAAGTGCTATTTTCAACATACAAGTATAGTTCAGTTTTCAGAAAAATAAAATAATATTGTGAACTTTAATATTTGGGAAAACAAAGTTCTTGCTTTTAAGTGTTGATTTATTAGATGTATAAAATGCATTTCAATATTCAAAAGACGATCACTTATTTTAATGTTTAAAGGAATATTAATTGTTCACTAGTCTATGAGATTAAAACATTGAGTGCTAACAATGCACAAGTAATCATGAATGTCCTTTGATGGCATGGAAACTTGGGATATTAGACAGGGCAACAGGACTCAAAAGACCAAGTCTTTGGAATATCCTCAGAAAGTGACTGTTAGTCTTGGTGATTTATGAAATTCTTGCATGGTCAGGGGCTCTGTGTGTCTGTGAGTTTGTGTGTGTGTGTGTGTGTGTGTGTTGGCTGGTGTTGACACAGATTGAGTTTTCATGTTTGAGTATTTAGAAGAGTTAAATTTATAAAGTCAGACTTTGGAAAGTTGGGTAACTGTTCAATATTCCATTTTTTAAAGAAAATGAAATAGTTTTGCATTTTTTTTTGTTGCTTTTCATACAGCTACCCATCTAAAAAAATGTTGAGAGCTTAAAATTTGCTTTGAATAAATGCACTCCTCATTGTAGTCTGGTTTCTGGGTGAGTTCCTTCATCTCCTGTGGAGAGCTCTTTACTGCCTGTAGGGGACCTCCTATAGGGATAGGTAATGTTTTACTCATTCCTACAGGAGGTTCCCCTTAGGAGTTCAGAATCACCATATTTTACTGTTCTAACAGAAGGTGTTACAATAAATATTAAGCAGCTGGATTTCACTCTTCATAATATGGGCACTATATTTCATCAGACTTATTGTTATGACTGAGAAATACTTCAATTTTAACTAACATCTGTAAAATTAGGACAAATGCAATCAAGTTGAATACAAGAGTATAGTTTGGCTAAGAACAATTTTAAATCATTAGTTGTCTTGCTTGTGAGGCCCAGCTCACTTTCAATTTCCTTATTCTATGATATGTGAATAGAGTACCTCATGTTTATCTTGAGTTTTGCTTTCCAAAGTTTTAGTTACCCATTGTCAACTGCAATCTGAAAAAAAGGTGAGTATAGTACAATAAGATATTTTGCAAAGAAACAGAGAGAGATCATGTCCACCTAACATTTATTATGGTATATTGTTATAGTTGTTCTCTTTTATTCTTAGTTATTGTTATTAATCTCTTACTTGCCTAATTTACAAATTAAACTTTATCATAGGTGTGTATGTACAGGAAAAAACTGTGTGTGTGTGTGTGTGTGTTTACATTTCAGCACTTTTTCTATGGTTTTCAGATGTCTGCTGGGGGTCTTGGAAGGTATACCGTTCTGACAAGAGGAGACTATTGTATGTGCTCAGAGTTATTTCTGAGCACCTGTATTGAATACATAGTCCAGTACTTCTAAAATATCTGTGCCATTTCTTCCCCCTAGAAGGTTGGTTAAGAGTTGGTTCAATTGTTATTTGAATGAAAGTAATAAAAGATAATGACAGTGACTTGTCATTTTCTGAATATTAATAATATGAACATGTATCGACAGCTTAGTATATGTCAAGGCTTCTGCTCATTTAATATCTTATTTTATCCTCCCAGGAACAGTATGAAATAAATACTTATTACTCTTTTACAAATGAGAGAGACTTAAGCTCAAAGAAAGTAACTCGTCTAAAGCCACATGGTTACCAAGTAAGGAGTCAAGACAAAAACTTAGTGTCTGTATGGTGTTAAAAAAAAGTATTGAATGACACTTGTAACAACATGGTAAGAAATACTTTATTTGGGACCATCCTGATAGGTATAGGGACCACTGAAACAGGGTCTTGCAGTGGTGAAGAGAGATTGGACTCAATTCTGAATACAGCATGAGTACGTGGGAATTTATAACCAAGGATCAGGTTGGGGGTCAGTGGATGAAAAATTACTAAGAGAAAGTCAGAGGTGATATGGTTTGGCTCTGTGTCCCAACTGAAATCTCATCTTGAATTGTAATCCTCACAAGTCAAGGGAGGGACCTGGTGGGAGGTGACTGAATCATGGGGACAGTTTCCCCCATGCTGTTCTCATGATAGTCAGGGATTTCTCAGGAGATCTAGTTGTTTGATAAGTTTCTGGCATTTCCCCTGCTCTCTCTCTCGCCTGCCACCATGTAAGACACGCCTTGCTTCCCCTTCATCTTCTGCCATGATTGTAAGTTTCCTGAGGCCTCCCCAGCCATGCAGAACTGTGGGTCAATTAAACCTCTTTTGTTTCTAAATTATCCAGTTTCAGGTGGTATCTTTATACCAGTGTGAGAACGAACTAACACAAGGGGTAAGAGGGATTCTGCCTAAAGTGACCTAACAGTATTCTTGCTGAAGACAAACCAGGGTAATTCGAATCACCTGGGGATAGTGGAAAATGAGGAACCTGATCAGATGTAAAGGGAGATCAGATATTAGGGTGGGATGTCTTGACAAACTGACTTAGCAAAGTCAGTTAGAATTGGATTGCTAAAATTGGATTTTACAAGGCACTACACCGATGTTCAGAGAATGTTCAGGAGCCTGACTAAGGTTTGGCTAAGCAGAGAATCTTTGTCAGTAGACGCAGTGCATTTTATCACTAGACTATCGTGTTTCTTTTAAAAACTTAATATGAGCAAAAATACCTGAATTATCACTGGAGAGCTTGGAAAGATGTTTGTCTTTTTTTATCTCAATCTTCTATCCTAGTTCTGGTATGAACTTCTGGGGAATCTTTCAGGCTCTGCGTCAGTGTGCTGCGCCCCCTGCTGGCTGGGGGATCCTTCTGCGTGTATTCTGACCTTGCTTTCTTTTCTCATAAAGTTCCATTTTTGCAGAGCCCACATATTTGTTTCTGAATTAATATTAATCATCTGATTATTTATAATTAGAAAGCTATTATTATAATGTCAGCAGATAGTAAGTGTACAGTGAATATGATCAGTTAGAACTGTTATGTTTTAACAAGGAATATAAGTATTTTAACAGGAAGCTATGGTTCCTTAATAGTAGAAATAGAACAGAACATGTAGAATCTTGACACAATATTCTCTCTGAATATTTTATTTCTAACTTATTAAGATAATTTATTAAATTTAATTATAATAAATTAATTATTCCTGGAAATAGTAATAGTCTTATTTTGTTTAATACTTAAAAATTTTCAAAGACAGAAATTCTAGTTTCCTATAAAAAATATCTGGAAGAAGTTAACTAAAACAGATGAAGAAGACATAGCTGGAGACGGAGGAAATTATAATATAGAAAATACAGTGCCCTTTTTATTTCCATATTTGAGTAACCTTTTCACTCTTGTGATTTCAATGATCTTGTGAGGCCTAAAGTATAGAGATAAAGGTCATGGTTGACTTCTGTTATAAGAAATAGAAACTATTTTATCTTAGAGAAAGTATCATGCTCTGTCAATATTTTTACCATAACACCCCTTAAAGGGTTCAGAGAATCTAGAACAAGCTGTCACATGCTACTGCAAAACATCTTTTCATTATCTTCATTTTAACTTTAAAGTTAATATAAACTTTACATTCTACTTCATGTGAATGTAATAAATATATCCTTGCCAGCCTCCTTGCTGTATCATTTTCCCCTTCTTGAATTCAAAATACAGTAGTGTAACAGTACTCTAATCCTTGGCTTCTATCTTTTCCAATGGACTATCCCAAAGCAAGCTCCAAGCTTAAATTCATTTTATACTGTTTATTTACCTGAAGATAATTTCTGTATTAGTTTTACTCTCTACCCTAGGTTTCACACTCATGTATCTAATATGCTTCCTGAGAGCTGCACTTTAACATCCAGCACATATAAGTAAAATATACCTACAAAAGAGCTCTTGACCATTTTACCTTTTATCATTACCCTGACACTCTTTCCTCATACCATGAAGTTATGTTATATTGAGAGTTTACTCAATATTCAATCCAACATTCTTTGATATTTTTTTTCTTCTCCTATTCCTTCATTTCTAATCGGTAAGTTTACTGATTCTAAAAGAGTGGCATCAATAGCTAATATATTTCCCGCTTGCTATGTTTCAGACTCCGTTCCAAGTGCTTGATAGAGAACATTTTATTAATCTTCATAAAACAGCTAGGAACTATTATTCTTTATGTGATAAGGATGAGAAAACACAAAGACACATTAAAGGATTTGCCTATGTTGAAATTTTAGTATGATTTAAAGCTAGATCTTAAACCCAGCCACTTTTATTCCAGATTCAATGATTTTAGCTACTACACTCTACAATCTCATATAATCTACAGTCTAATCAAGCATGTTTACTTTCTTTATTTCTGCTTCCCAGCACAGTTATCTCTCACTTAAATTGTTGTAATAGCCCATAAGCAGCCTCTCTGTTGACACTTTTTCCTCCTCCTCTCTGTTCCCCGACTGAGCAAGAATATTTTAAGCATATATCCTGTGACTTCCCTTTTTAAAGCCTTTTGAAGGCTTCCAACTCCACTTGGAATAAAGTCCACACTTGTCAGAAGACCTGCCTAGAGAGTCTTACATAATTTATTTTCTGCCTAACACTTCAAGTGTATCTTATGCCTACTGCCACTTCCCCTGACTCTACCTACCACAGTGCCACTCTTTTCTTTCCTTGATTAGCACTACCATTTCTCCATCTTCAGTCTTTGTACTTGTTATTTTCTCTCCTTACCAAAACTCTGCCTGGCCTGCTTTATGGCTTTTTGTCATTCTTCAGATTTCAGTTCAAAAACAACTTCCTCAGAAATATTTATCTGCCCAACTTAGGTAGAGGAGACTCATACGAAATACCCAGACTGTCATGTGTTATTTGCTTATTTTTCTTCCTTGCATTTATAATTATCAGAAATGATTTTTGAAATATAATTATGTATTCATTATCTGGATCCTGAAACTAAAATGTAAACTTCCTAAAGGTAAAAGCATATCAGTTCTAGTCATGATTGAGTCCTCATTGCCTAAAATGTTCTTCAACTGCTCATTTCATGAAATGGAACTTTTAATGCTAAATGTTTGGTCAAATAAAAATATAAAATTGAAGATGTAGGCCAGGCACGGTGGCTCACGCCTGTAAGCCCAGCACTTTGGGAGACCAAGGTGGGTGTATCATGAAGTCAGGAGTTCGAGACCAGACTGGCCAACATGGTGAAGCCCCGTCTCTACTAAATATACAAAAATTAGCCAGGTGTGGTGCCTGGTGCCTGTAATCCCAACTACTCAGGAGGCTGAGGCAGGAGAATTGTTTGCACCCGGGAGGCAGGGGTTGCAGTGAGCTGAGATTGCGCCACTGTACTCCAGCCTGGGTCACAGAGCAAGTCTCTGTCTCGAAAAAAAAAAAAAAGAAGAAGATGTAATGTTTTATTTTAAGACATTTTGTTTTCAATCAGAACTATAGGCAAGTAGAAAAGAAATAAAGAAGGAAAGGAAAGGAAGGGGAGGGGAGGGGAGGAGAGAGGGAGGGAGGGAAGGAAGGAAAAAGAAGGGAAGGAAGAAAAGAGGAAAGGAAGAAAGCCTTTATTATTGTATTTTCTGATTTCTTAAATTCTCTGGCAGAGCCTAATGTGCCTCTAAGGATAATCAATCCCTAATTTTGGAGGCTTGGACTAAGAAAGTAAAATGGTGCCACAATAAACATACGTGTGCATGTGTCTTTATAGCAGCATGATTTATATTCCTTTGGGTATATACCCAGTAATGGGATGGCTGGGTCAAATGGTATTTCTAGTTCTAGATCCCTGAGGAATCACCACACTGTCTTCCACAATGGTTGAACTAGTTTACAGTCCCACCAACAGTGTAAAAGTGTTCCTATTTCTCCACATCCTCTCCAGCACCTGTTGTTTCCTGACTTTTTAATGATCACCATTCTAACTGGTGTGAGATGGTATCTCACTGTGGTTTCAATTTGCATTTCTCTGATGGCCAGTGATGATGAGCATTTCTTCATGTGTCTGTTGGCTGCATAAATGTCTTCTTTTGAGAAGTGTCTGTTCATATCCTTTGCCCACATTTTGATGGAGTTGTTTGTTTTTTTCTCGTAAATTTGTTTGAGTTCTTTGTAGATTCTGGATATTAGCCCTTTGTAGGATGACTAGATTGCAAAAATTTTCTCCCATTCTGTAGGTTGCCTGTTCACTCTGATGGTAGTTTCTTTTGCTGTACAGAAGCTCTTTAGTTTGATTAGATCCCATTTGTCAATTTTGGCTTTTGTTGCCATTGCTTTTGGTGTTTTAGACATGAAGTCCTTGCCCATGCCTATGTCCTGAATGGTATTGCCTACGTTTTCTTCTAGGGTTTTTATGGTTTTAGGTCTAACATGTAAGTCTTTAATCCATCTTGAATTAAGTTTTGTATAAGGTGTAAGGAAGGGATCCAATTTCAGCTTTCTACATATGGCTAGCCAGTTTTCCCAGCACCATTTGTTAAATAGGGAATCCTTTCCCCATTTCTTGTTTTTGTCAGGTTTGTCAAAGATCAGATAGTTGTAGATGTGTGGTATTATTTCTGAGGGCTCTGTTCTGTTCCATTGATGTATATCTCTGTTTTGGTACCAGTACCATGCTGTTCTGGTGACTGTGGCCTTGTAGTATAGTATAAAGTCAGGTAGTGTGATGCCTCCAGCTTTGTTCTTTTGGCTTGCGGCACTACTCACAATAGCAAAGACTTGGAACCAACCCAAATGTCCAAAAATGATAGACTGGATTAGGAAAATGTGGTACATATACACCATGGAATACTACGCGGCCATAAAAAATGATGAGTTCATCTCCTTTGTAGGGACATGGATGAAGCTGGAAACCATCATTCTCAGCAAACTATCGCAAGGACAAAAAAACCAAACACTGCATGTTCTCACTCGTAGGTGGGAATCGAACAATGAGAACACATGGACACAGGACGGGGAATATCACACACCGGGGCTTGTTGTGGGATTGGGGGAGGGGGAGGGATAGCATTGGGAGATATACTTAATGTAAATGACGAGTTAATGGGTGCAGCACACCAACATGGCACATGTATATATATATATATACGTATATATATATATATATACGTGTATATATATATATATACGTATATATATATATATATATATATATATATATATATATATAACAAACCTGCACGTTTTGCACATGTACCCTAGAACTTGAAGTCTTGAAGTATAATAAAATATATATATATATATGTGTGTGTAAAAGAAAGTAAAATGGAAAGACAAAGATGTAAAAACCTCCCATATGCTGTCAAGAATAAACAAACAAGCAAAAAGGAATAGATGAAGAGATTCTAAAAAAATTTCTCGGGAAAGTAGAGATTAAACATGAAGTCAAAAAGATTTTTGTAGCTTTCTTATAACAAAGAGTCTTAAATTATCCCTTGGATTTTAAAGATAGATTAACTTTAATTTTGGTGTATTTATTATGATTTGTATACATAGGGATTAATCAGTAAAATAATTTAAACTCCAGTAACTTGATTTTCATTTATTAAACTCATCTTCAGGTAGATTATATCACTAAACTTAGTTTTTCCATTGTCCAGTGATGAAACACTTCACCTGTTTTTCTATGCCATGCCTCTCCTTTACTCTGCACCTGGTGGCAGCTACTAGAATTGCTGGCATAATGTTGAGAGGTATTAATATTTTTCTATTCTTATTCCTGACTCTTAATGACACCTCAACCATTTTTGTGTATCTTTCATAGTCACTCTATATAGATGTTCTTATTTCCTCGTGTATCTCACCCCACAAACATCCATAGAAATATCAGAAAATAGAACTGCCTCTTTCACATCTCCTTGCGCCACACTCAAGTATTCCTACAGCCAAGAAACGGGGTTATTTAAATGCAAAAATGCTTGCTAGGAGAAAACCGAACTGTGGAGAAGGAGTTCAATGACCAATTCCTACTTCTGAATTCAGTTCTCAATGTAAGCTCTCAAATAAAATCATACTTTTCTTTTGTGCTCTCCACTCTCTCTTTGAAAAGGAGCACCATCAAGGTGTCACTTATTTTCCACGTTTCATCTCCCAGTGACAAGAAAACTTGAAAACGCGCTACAGTCATTTCTAAAGGCATTCCTCGTTCCCTGTGCACCCCCTGACTCCCTTCCCCCAGTGTAACTCAGGGAGAAATATCAAATTGTCTTATGAGTTGTATGGAGTTCTATATTTTGTACATGCTAGCTCGTTGAGTTGCAGCTAAATGTGCTGCCTGTGAGGCACTGTGCTGGCAGTGGTGAGGAAATAAATCATTGCTCAGTGGGAATGATGAAGGTACCTGTGTCACAAGGAATAAGATTCATCCCTTTTATGAATGCTTTATAAGTTGTAAAGTTCTTATGTGCTAAGTCAAGCATTAAAATATTTTTTCCCACATGACAACTTCACAATACATAACATTTGAGGGGGTGGGGAATGTATCAATCAGCCAAAAGTGAGGTAGCCATTTATTTTTTACATTTTTATTCTTACCTATCTATCCTCTACACATAAAAATAATTACACCACAGTCAATTTTCATTTATCTAATTTTGCTTGTTATTTAGCCTGATGACATTCCCACTAGAAGAATCTTCAGTTTCAAAGACATTAAGTTAGGAATTGCCTTAAAAAGTTATCCCATGGAATGAATAAATTCTCTTTCCCAGTGTATAGCATCCTCCTTGCCAATAATCCTAAAGTATTGCCAAAACAGACAGATAAAACCACTTTAACAACAGCTAATATTTCTAGAGCAAAAATTTCCCTGACAACTGCTTTTGTGTGCATCCTAGCTGAAATGAACAAAAACAAACACATGTTTCTGAAGGAAGAGTACTTTCAGAAAGAACAATAAAAAAGAAAGAAAGAAATAAAAAAGGTCTGTTATTTGATCATAGCTATGTTGTACCTGAAACAATAATAAACGATGGAATTAAAAATCTAGCTTTCAATATATTTTACTTACAAAAATAGATAACGTTATTTTATTAAGCAAAAATAGATAATATTATTATATAAAGCACAGCATTCTGGCTTCAACTCCACATTTTCAGAGCCAAACAAAATCACAAGGGAGCTTAGAAAACATGTGTCACTTACTACTTTCTCAGTAAGTCCTTTGTGTATAACAAAGAATAATCTTTGGCAAGGGAAAGAAAATAGAAAATACTAAGATTCTGGTTCTAAAAGCATATGTGGAGGTGTCTTAATAGTTGATTTTCTTTTCCTTCATTGCTGTTGGGATTTTTTTCCAAAGGACACAGCAAGATTTTGTAGAACTTTGTTTACTTCAGCATTAACAGAGCACCTGCTGACAAGTTTATAATATTAAATTTTAGACTTTGAGGCTCCGTAAGTAACTACTAGCAATACAAAGTTGTTTTTTTTCCTTTGGTTTTAAGCCAGTGTGTATATAAATGTATGTGTATGCATGTGTGTCTATGTGCATACATCATTTAATTTAAGAACAAAGGGTAATCTCTTGTGCTTTTGTTATTATAAATTTAACAATAATTTACTAAGAAATTCTAACCATAGAGATTTCTGAACAGCTGTGTTATGTAATTCCATGTTAACATATACTGAAGGGCACTCTTGCCCTATCCTCAAATTGTTCATAAATCAGTAAGCAGATGGGCACCTTGTGGAGAGCAATATTCTGTGAACTTTCGACTCTAATCTGTGACTCAGCCAAACATAAAAGTATTATTTTTTCAATAAGTCATTTTTTTCCCTGAGAAAACCAGTAAATGACAGTACATGAGGTAACAGAGATTTAGATGAAGTATGAATATAGGGTCCTAAAACTGGATAGACATGACACAATTCTGCAGATGAGGAAGGAACTATAAGATTCAGGATACATAATTCTCCTTTCCAACTCTCCAAAATCTGAAGAAAATATATCACAATAAAAAAGAAAGAAAGAACATCATGGAGGAATAAACACAGTGAAGGAATAAAGGAGGGAAGGAAAGAGAGAGAGAGAGAGAGAGCAGTCACTAGAAAATCAGGCATCTTCATCTATATAACATTTGTATAGACCTCATATGGGTTACCTAACAATCTTTGTATTTATCCTTTGGTAATTCTGTTTCATTTTATTTATGTCCCATGAAACCAGTCCACATTTGTTGAAGTCTAATACTGTGCCATTCAGGACTGTTTCAAAATTTTGCTTAAGGACACTCTATTCAATAAATGGTGCTAGGGAATTTGGACAAATATATACAGAAGAATGAAACTGGGCTCTTACCTCTCACCATATACAAAAATTAACTCAAGATTGATTAAAGACTTAAATGTAAGACTGTAAACTATAAAAATCCCAGAAGAAAACCTAGGAAAAAGTCTTTTGGACAGTGGCCTAGCTAAATAATTTATAACCAAGTCTTCAAAAGCAAATGCAACAAAAACAAAAATTGGACAAATGTGACTTAATCATCTGCAGACCAAAAGAAACAATCAACACAGTAAATGGCCTACAGAATGAAAAAAAAAATTGCAAAATATGCATCTGACAAAGGGCTAATATGCAGAATCTACAAGTAATTCAAATAACTGAACAAGAAAAAAAAACCCATTTAAAAGTGGGCAAAAGGCACAAGCAGACACTTCTCATGCAGCCCACAAGCATACAAAAATATGATCAACATAGCTAATCATTAGAGTAATGCAAATCCAAATCACAATAAGATAGCACCTCACATTAGTCAGAATGGCTATTACTAAAAAGTCAGAAAATAATAGATTTTCGTGAGGTTGTGGAGAAAAAGAACTCTTATACAGTGCTGATGGGAATGTAAATCAGTTCAGTCACTGTAGAAAATGGTTTGGAGATTTCTCAAAGAGCTTAAAATAGAATTACCATTCAACCCAGCAATCCCATTATTGGAGATATATGTATCTATATATCAATATATCTATCTCTATATATATATATTATTGGATATATATATATAATTGGATATATATATATATATATACACCATGGAATACTATGCAGCAATAAAAAAGAATGATATCATGTCCTTTGCAGGGACAAGGATGGAGCTGGAGGCCATTATCCTTAGCAAACTCATTCAGGAACAACAAACCAAATACTGCATATTCTCACTTATAAGTGGAAGCTAAATGATGCGAACACGTGAACACTTAGAGGGAAACAACATACACTAGGATGTATTAGAGAGTGGAAGGTGAGAGGAGGGAGAGGATCAAGAAAAATAATTAATGAGTATTAGGCTTAATGTCTGGGTGATGAAATAACCTGCATAAAAAAAACTCTATGACACAAGTTTACCTACATAAA
This sequence comes from Homo sapiens, assembly GCF_000001405.40. NCBI lineage: Eukaryota > Metazoa > Chordata > Mammalia > Primates > Hominidae > Homo > Homo sapiens. The sequence goes on from NC_000002.12 coordinate 35,419,186, forward strand.
AAAAAAAAAACTGCATGTGTATCCTTTAACTTAAAAGTTAAATAATTTTTAAAAAAAACTACCATCAAGAAAGCCAGATGAGATGACTCAGTAGAAAATTAGGAGAAAACCTTGATCAGATATTTCACATGAGGATATCAAATGGACAATAAACATGTTAAGGGACTTCAAGACAGCCTCCAGTTAGCTGTCATTAAGTTGAGAAAGAACATCACACGGTAAAGAAGCGAAGATACACTATACATTTAAAACCTATATCTAAGAAACCCTACGAGTGATTACTGGCACATGGAACTACTGGAAAGAGATCAGTATTGTTTTTGCATTGTCTGAAAGATTTCATGTGTCTGATCTTTAAAAATCTAGTGTCACTTTGTACTTGTCTTTTTTTTTTTTTTTAAGAGCCTAAACCCCTTCAGAGGGCACAACAGTAAACTTTGGCCGTATCTGCATGTTGCTACCTCCACTGGTGCACAGAATGCACATCTGTGGGAGCACGGCTAACTCCACCTTGGTTTCAAAGGATGTCCCAGAGATTCTCAGGGCTCAGGCAGAGAACTGCCACAAAGCAGGGCCACTGCAGAGAGCTCCACTAAGACAATGCCTAGTGGAGCTGTGAGGGTGAGGCCACTGCAGAGAGTCCCCACTAGGACAATGCCTAATGGAGCCATGGGATCAAGGGTTCCTCTGAGACCCATACTGGTGGGGCCACCAGCATGCAACTCCAGCCTGGGAGAGCCTCAAGTATGCAACTGTAAGGTATGAGAGCTGCTATGTGGGCTGGGCCCAGGAAAGCCATGAGGGTGGGGTTACCTAAAGCCTTGGGGGTCCCAACCCCAGCCCTAGTTTGTCTGTGGAACTTCATGTCAAATAATATTGTTCTGAAGCCTTAATGATGGCCCTACTGGGTTTGGGATTTGGTACATACCTGTTCGTTTTTCCTTCTTTCCTATTTCTCCCTTTGAGAATGTTTGTTCTATGCCTATCCCAACATTGTATTTTTGGAAGCATGTAACTTGTGTATTTCACATACTATCAACTGGAGGGGAATTTGCTACAGGATAAATCATATCTTTGAGCCTTACTCATTTGTGATCTAGACAACATTTAGATGAGACTCTGAGTTTTAGACTTTTTAGTTGGTGCTAGAACAAATTAAGACTTCTGTGGCTACTGAGATGGAATGAATGTGTTTTGCATGTGAGAAAGACCTGAATTTTGGGCAAAACGTGGAATGTTATTCTTTGAATATTGTTTCATCCCCAAATTCATATATTAAAACTTAATCCCCAATAGAATATTATTAAGAAATGGGGTTTTTGAGAGATGATTAGGTCACCTCTCCCTCTCCAGAAATGGGATTAGTGCCTGTCTTTATCCATTTAGTGTTGCTATAACAGAAGACCTGAAGCTGGGAAATCCATAAAGAGATTCATTTTGCTCGTGGTCCTGCAGGCTGAGAAGTATGCAAGCCTGGTGCTGGCACCTGCTTGACTTCTGGCAAGGGTCGAAACATGGCAGAGAGGGTGATAGGGGAAGCAGACATGTGTGAAGGAAAAAAAAAGTCAGAGGGGTGTCCTGGCTTTATAACAACTGACTCACAAAAACTAATTCATTCCCATCAGAGCAAATGCAGTTCCCCAAAGAGAGAATGTACTATTATAAGAAGGGCACCAAGCCATTCATGGATCTGCACCCATGACCCAAACATCGCACACTAGGGCCTACCTCCAAACACTGCCACATAGGGGATCAAATTTCAACATGAGTTTTAGTGGGAACAAACAAACTGTATCCAAACTATAGCAGTACCCTCATAAACCAGGTATAAGTTAGCTTGTTTTTCCTTCTGCCATGTGAGGAAACAAAGAAGATGCCATCTATGAGAAACAGACCTTGATCTTGAACTTCACAGCCTTCAGAACTGTGAAAAGTAAATTGTGGTTGTTTATAAATTACCCACTCCAAGGTACTTTATTATTGCAGCAGGAATGAACTAAGACAGCTCTCTTCCCCTGTGTCTTCAAATGATCTTTCCTCTTTTGTCTATGAATCAATGCCATATTTCCTCTGCTTATAAAGACACCAGTTGTATTGGATCAAGTCTCACTCTAATAACCTCATTTTAACTTAATTACCTTTTAAAAGACTCTATCTCCAAATACAGCCACATTCTGAGGTACTGGGGGTTAGAAGTTCAACATATGAATTTTGGTGAACACAATTCAGTCATAAGAATCCCCTCAAAATTCACAAACTCCTTTCCCAACCTCAAATTTGAGCAATATAATAATGGATGGGGGAAAATTTTCAGAGAGTAGATGCAATCGAACAACACCAAACACAATGATTGGGGGAATAATTCCCAGAGAGCAAAATTGCACAACAGGTGAAAAGTATTTACAAAATTTGTCTAGCAAGATTTCAGACTTACTATGGACTGATAACTGCTGTGTCTCCACTCTCATCCTGTTTACTGTGAGCCACTATTGTTTCTTTCAGTTATGTTTTCTATCACTGTACATTGGTTATGTGCTGGAGGATCACTAGGCCACAAGAGTTTTGCAAAGGAAACTTATTACTCTTCTAGAGATTCTACACTTTGCAATGGGTATATTGACTTGTAGAAAGATGAGTATATTGACTTGCAGAAAGATGAGTATATTGGCTTGCAGAAAGATATCCTTATAGGAGGGGGTAGTTAAAGAAAGAGACAAGTATTTGGGGCTGGAAAAGGAGAACTATGACATGGATTAATATGTGTTTACCAAACCCCATTTTCTTTTCAATCTAACACACAGCTAGAATACATTTTCATTTTCCTTGTGTCATGTAATCTGGCCAATGAATTATAGATGAAAATTATGTATGACATTTGTGGGCCTGCCCTTCTACTCTTCCTCTGTAAAACCTACAATTTTTTTTAATTCAAGAAAAATAGCAAATTTAGCTGCATACATAATTTTCATGTAGAGTAGAAAATGGAATCACTGTTTTAGGAAAGTTAGGAAAATAGAGAGGTTATACAGATTGTGTGGAATTGGAGATGAGCTATAGCTACATTTAAGTATCGTTGGGAGTTGTATGCTATAGATGTACTCATACTTTTACTAGTACTTTAAAAAATATTGTCTCCATTTTTCATGGTTGTTCACCAGTAACATGGGAGTGAATGAATTGGGGAGGAGTGCTAAGAGAGAGGAGAAAAGAGGGTTGCCCTACTGGCTGGAGTTAAAAGTGACAGAAAAAAAAAAGAAAAAACTACCTATATATGGTTATACTGGTTTTATCTATGTCTTTGCTAAGCATCTCTCAGGCAGACCGAAGCAATTTAGGTGATATCAGGCCCTATGTAAACTTTGTAGAAACCTTGGAACTCAGATACAATTGACTTATTTAAGGTAATTCAGTGGGTATGTGACAGAGTACGGATTCAATTTGGGTCATTTGAGACGAATGCTTGCACTCTTTCTATTCAGTACCACACAATACTGAATATCCTAATAAGTTTATGTGCAGAGAGCTAAAGACATTCCTCATCCTGCTGAGTTAACAATATAAAGAGACACATGAGATAGTGCACAGATAATTCTTTGTCATCCTGAATCAATTTATCTGTGGTATCTTATACTATATAGTTATATACCATCAAATCACCCATTTTTCAGTTGAGGCTTTTCTTATTGCCATCAATACTTAGAAAATAGTAGGGCTAACATAGCAGCATGTGGCCATGTTTCATATATATATATATAGTCTGCCTTGCAGAGGAAATCACATTAACTTTGTGACAACTCAATCCAATAATTTTGTAGTGTTATAATAATTCAAAATGGTGCACATAAATATATCAATGAAAGGAGCTTGGGCTCTTCTTTCAGAAATACTATGGTAAGATTAATTCAAGTTAGGACATAGTTCAGAATGAGAAAAGCTGGTATAAGAGCATGGAACAAATGGAGCAACCATAAACCAGGAGCTGGGCATAGACAAGTGTCTAAAACAGGAAGCCCGGAAGTCCAGGACGCAGGAGAGAGCACACGGAGAGTCATCAACAATGAAGTATGGAGATGAAAGGGACTGACAATGAGATGAGATCAGGAAGAGGTGTTATCAGGAGCGTGTCTGGTGGCTTAAAACCACAGAAGTTCCTAGATGACTTCCATTCCCGACACAGTTTGTTAATTTTTAAGTGCTAAGAAACATGGATATAGGTGAAAGCCTTTTTTTTTTTTTAATAAAAAGGAGATACAAGAACATACTAGAATGATTATTTTCTTTCTTTGTTTTTTAATTTTTTAATTTCCATAGGTTATTGGGGAACAGGTGGTGTTTGGTTACATGAGTAAATTCTTTAGTGGTGCTTTGTGAGATTTTGGTGCACCCATCACCCGATCAGTACACACTGCACTCAATTTGTAGTCTTTTATCCCTCACCTCCTTCCCACCCTTTCCCCCTGAGTCCCCAAAGTCCGTTGTGTCATTCTTATGTCTTTGCATCCTCACAGCTTAGCTCCCACTTATGAGTGAGAACATATCGTGTTTGGTTTTCCATTCCTTGTGTTAATTCACTTAGAATAATCGTCTCCAATCTCAACCAGGTTGCTGTGAATGCCACTAATTCATTCCTTTTTATAGCTGAGTAGTATTCCATCATATATAATACTACAGCTTCTTTATCCACTCATTGATTGAAGGGCATTTGGGTTGGTTCCACATTTTTGCAATTGCGAATTGTGCTGCTGTAAACATGCATGTGCAAGTATCTTTTTTGTATAATGACTTCTTTTCCTCTGGGTAGATATTCAGTAGTGGGATTACTGGATCAAAAGGTAATTCTACTTTTACCTCCTTAAGGAATCTCCGCAATGTTTTCCATAGTGGTTGTAGTAGTTTACATTCCCACCAGCAGTGTAGAAGTATTCCCTGTTCACCACATCCATGCCAACATCTATTATTTCTTGATTTTTTTTTATTGTGGCCATTCTTGTAGGAGTAAGTTGGTATCATTTTGTGGTTTTGGTTTGCATTTCCCTAATCATTGGTGATGTTGAGCATTTTTTCATGTTTGTTGGCCATTTGTATATCTTCTTTTGAGAATTGTCTTTTCATGTCCTTAGCCCACTTTTTGATGGGATTGTTTGTTTTTTTCTTGCTAATTTGTTTGAGTTCCTTGTATATTCTAGATATTAGTCCTTTGTCAGATGTACAGATTGTGAAGATTTTCTCCCACTCTCTTTAGTGTTTGTTTACTCTGCTGACTGTTCCTTTTGCCATGCAAAAGCTCTTTAAGTTATCTAAGTGTCAGCTGTTTATCTTTGTTTCATTATTTTCTTACATTTATATTTACAAGTTAAATATTTTTTAGAAAGCAGTTTTATTAATACATTTTTTAAATAATTTTATTAATTTATTTTATTTTTATTAATAATATTAATGATATTTGCATTTAATTTTGTCCAAATAGTCTGTTATTTCGACCCACCATAAATAAATCCATAAGTGAACAAGCATTTGTAAAGAGCATCCTATATGCATAAAACCAAAGTAGGCATTATAAAAAAAAAAAAGGAGATTAAAATAAAGTTCCTATCATTGGAGACCCAAAGACTCTGAAAAAATATTAACTATGTGATACTGATTATAAACTGCAGTACAACACAATAGAGAGATTTGATCTGTTTGGATATAATAGTTTTCTTGCATGATTTGGAACTGGGACTTAGTGAGGATTAGATAGGCATAAAGTAAAAGCAAGTCAAAGGAAAATGTGCAAAAGCACCATTCTAGTAAAAGTGAAGCATGTAAACATTTCTGTCCCATATTATCCTACGGACAGATCTTTGTGAGCTTCTTTGATGGTTCATAGATGTTGTATTAGCCAGAGTTCTCCAGAGAGACAGAACTAATAGGATATATGTATATATGAAGGAAAGTTTATTAAGGAGAATTGACTCACATGACCACAATGTGAAGTTCCATGATAGGCCATCTGCAAGCTGAGGAGCGAGGAAGCCAGTAGTGGCTCAGTTCCAGTCCCAAAGCCTCAAAAGTAGGGAAGCTGACAGTGCAGCCTTCAGTCTGTGGCCAAAGGCTGGATAGTCCCTGGCAAACCACTAGTATAAGTCCAAGAGTCCAAAGGCCAAATAACCTGAAGTCTGATGTTCAAGGACAAGAAGCATCCAGCATGGGAGAAAGAGGAAAACCAGAAGACTCAGCAAGCCAGCTTATTCCACCTTCTTTTGCCTGCTTTTTCTAGCCACCATGGTAGCCAATTGGATGGAGGGTGGGTCTTCCTTTCCTAGTCCACTGACTCAAATGTTAATCTCCTATGGCAACACACTCACAGACACACCCAGAAACAAAATTTTGCATTCTTCAATCCAATCAAGTTGACACTTAACCATCACAGAGGTGCATCTAAGTAAAGAAGGGTCTTCCTCTATCTGGAAGGTTGCATTCTTCAACAAAGAGATGCACGGGGAATGGAACAGTTGGAAACTCATGACTGCTTTACAGCCAGCTAAGCAGAATCAACTGTGGCACAAATAACACGCACAAGCAATAGATTTACTATTCTCACTTCAGGTAGAACTTCAGAACAATTCCGCAATGCTGAAGGGATAGATAGGAGAAGCTAGTTCTCCCCTGGGAATTTAGTAAGAAATGTGTGAATAGATTATACAATAACTTGAATACCAGGCAGGGGAGTTAACATTTGATGAAATTACCCTCCTCTCCTCCACTCCAAAACAAATAAACAAAAACAAATTAAACAAGCCTTTTAACAAGAAGTCTAGACTTTTGCATGGGGTGGTGGCGGTGGAGTAGTTGTTATTGACTCCATTCTTTGCCTGAATGGATCTATTTATGTTCCAGTGTTCAGCAAGAAAGAATCTAAGGCTTCCATATATTATATCCCCTCTTTTTATATTAAGCTTTCTTGTTTAGAAGACATGTCCATTAGTCTTCTGTTATTGTTTTTATGAGGATTTGCAAAAATCTCTCTCAGTAGGAGATGTAAATAGCCCTATGTTTCTTTCTTCAGCTAAGCAACTCTACTTAACTATTCTGACATTTCTTCAAACTAATAAATTTACACTGTGAAAATCCAAACTTAGCATTTTTATTTGTACAAGAGTCCCATTTTATTTTGTTACCAGTTTGAAACATTTGAGTTCTTTTTAGAATGTTCCTTTTCTCTCTCTCAGCAAATCTGAGATTTTCTACGTTTATGTCTCTTATATGTCCTCTCTTAGTCCCAACTGCTGTTATCCCTGAGTGAATTTATCATTTTACTCTTGAACTAATGGTTTCTCACCAACAATTGGTGATTAATTAATGTTGAACACTTGCAATAATCTTCAAGTTTATCTCATCATAACACATTCTTTTCAATTAAATCTGTCCTGTACCATTCTGCTGGATTTTTCTTACCAACATATTACTGTCCACTTATTCTACATGCTTCCTTCCATACTCCTGCTCCTCTGAGCACTTCAGCAGAACTTTTCAAACTTGTTTTAACAAAGCACACGTATGTTTAAATGAAATATTACATTGGGTCCCTATATGCATGTGAACAGAAGAGAAAAGTTTCTGTGGATAAGATTGGAGATGGAGGCCAGGCATGGTGGCTCACCCCTATAATCCTAGCACTTTGGGAGGCTGAGGCAGGCAGATAGTTTGAGGTCAGGAGTTCGAGACCAGCCTGGCCAACATGGTGAAACCCTGTCTCTGCTAAAAATACAGAAATTAGCCAGGCGTGATGGCACATGCCTGTGATCCCAGCTACTCGGGAGGCTGAGGCAGGAGAATCATTTGATTCTTGTGGGAGGTAGGAGGAGAAGGAGGAGGCAGGAGGAGGTTGCAGTGAGCTGAGATCACAACACTACATTCCAGCCTGGGTGAGGGAGTGAGAACCTGTTTCAAAAAGCAAACAAACGAAATTGGGAATTGGGGATAGAGGAATGTTGATAGGATATACCTTTCAAAGACCCTCTCTCGTTTATGTCTCTCCTTTCCACTGCAGTACGCCAGGGGCATAGGTTAGAGAGTGTGCTATACAATGCCTGTAAAGCCAAATTTGAAAACAACTGAATTATAGCTCTAGTCAGATCAGTCCCACATCTTCTTACCAATTCAAGCCAGGTATTTACTCAACTAAAAACTCTTGCTCAAGTCAATCTTACTATTTTCTCTAGTCCTCCCCCTGATGCTCTGACTTATCCTTTTTCTAAAATTCATGGCTCTCCTCCTCTATGAAGTTGACTAAGGCAATCGAAGTTTTAATGACCACGTTTTTCTGTCAAACCTATATTTGCCTGTGGGCAGTAAATCTGAAGCATGTGCTACTTTGCATTGATATATGTAAAGAAGATAGATGATTGATGGATTGATTGATTGATAGACCCTATCTCTGCCTTTAATTCCCCACTGCTTTGAACATTGGCACTGCATTTCTTAACTCTTTGTAAACAAAATATTCAAAATGGTGTCAGTATAAAATGTGTTTGTCAATTATGGTAATGTTATTTTATTTAAGATTAGGCCAGCAGCAGTAGCCACATTTTTCAAAATGGAAAATACAAGTAAAAAAGCATATTTAGACATAATATTCATCTATGTAAGAAATAGGTGGTGATAGCAGAGGAACAGTTTGACGATCCTTAATGTGCATTATCAGGTGATCATAAAATGAAGTATCCAAGTAAATAAATTATATACAGTTGAAAGTAAAAGGAAAGCATGACACAATCATCACATAATGTATGGTTAAAAAGGTTCCTTTTTATATTTCTCAAATTGGTACATGTGTTTAAATTATTAAGTAGTGCTGAAAAGGTGCTGCGAACTAGGTAATCTTACAATCTGCCAGTGGCAGTGAAAGGTTATGGGTAAGACTCTTGGTAATGTGCACCTAGAGCCACACAAATATTTTGATTTCTGAAACCTGTAATTTTGTTTCTAAAAGCCTATGTAGTGAAAATAATCACAGATACAGACATATGTTTACATACAAAGATGATAGGATAGTATTATTTATATTAGTGACAAAATGATTTAAATATCCATCAATAGATATTATAACTGGTAAATTATGGTATATATAGTTAATAAAATATTATAAGCCTAATAAATATTTAAGAGAATTTTAATGACTTGGGAACAAATTCATAATAAAGTGGTAAGTGATGAAGCTGAATAATAAGTATTCGTTCAGCGTGTTCATAACTATGTAAAATGGATAGAAAGAAAACAGGAAGAAAACAAATGAAAATATTAACTGTGATTGCCTTCACGCAATAGGGTCTTGTTACTTTATATTTTCTATACCTTTCATTTTTTGTATAGTAAGCATGCATTTACTTATACCAAGACTTTAAAAAAAATTAAATCACTGCTTATAAGACTAAAGGGGAAGGAAGATTTCATATTCTCCTTCACTATAGTCCCACTCTGCAAATGATCAAATTACAGAAGTAAAGGATCAGCCTAACAACTTGGCAAAGATGAACAAAGGACCTGAAGAAAGCTCTGCTCTGCCCCCTGCTGGGAGGGAGTCCAACTCCAACCCATTGCTTCTTGGCCAAGCTGTACCAGCCGCTGGGTCAGAAACTATAGAGTCTTTCAAGCTAGCAAGGGGCTGGATTCTCTAGTTAATAATAATAACAGTAATTTTGGCTTTCTTTGTGATATTTGTGGTATTTGTCAGCTTTTCAACAGTTATAACTTGTTCATTATTTTTCTCATTCTAAAAAAAAAATATTCATTTCCATCCTCAATTTGGTATTGGTAGTTTTAAATTACTTTTTTAAAAAGGACCCTCCAAAGAGTGTAAGCACCAGGGCCCACAAAACCTGAATCCATTCCAACAATAGAAAGGAAGAAATTAGGCCGGTGGCTCACGTCTGTAATCTCAGCACTTTGGGAGGCTGAGGCTGGCGGATCACTGGAGATCAGGAGTTCGACACCAGCCTGACCAACATGGTGAAACCACATCTCTACTAAAAATACAAAAATTAGCAGGGCGTTGTGGCACACACCTGTAATCCCAGCTACTTAGTAGGCTGCGGTAGGAGAATCACTTGCACTTGGGAGGTGGAGGTTGCAGCGAGCTGAGATCCCGCCACTGCACTCCAGCTTGGCAACAGAGCCAGACTCCATTTCAAAAAAAAAAAAAGAAAGAAAGAAAGAAAAAAAGAAAAGAAAAAGAAAGGAAGAAATTATAGGACTGTGGCCAAAGACCTTGGAATCACTTTTATTTACACAAATGTAACCTGTCAAGGATTCAAGGTTGTGACAGGCTTAAGGCAAAGTGTTGGCAGTCACATGTAAAAAGATGTCAAGATGTGTGCTGTTTTGCTGGTTGTGTATTGTACTGTAAAATGTTGGGAAACAAAAAGAAAAACAAGAATTTCAAGAATACTCTCTCCAACTGTCAGTGGGATCCAAGTGGTATCTGAGACAGGAATATGTAGGGCCTTGTACACCATGGTATGATGTTTATTGATTCTTTTGCACATACTTGCAGGCTTTGCATTTATTGAACTATGTAATTCAATACCTTTTTAATCTTTTGGACTTTTTTCCCCCTGCGAAAAAGTCATCGCTGATGATATTCACATATGTGACAAATTAAAATGGAAGTGGTCAGAGCTAGACACAATTATTAGAGCAACAGCTGTAATTCTACCCATTTCTTTTTCACTCAAGTAAAAGTTACACTGAGTAATAATAATAAATAATGAGGCTCTTTTTCTCTAGTCGCTATGTGAGTATAATCCGTTGTTTTATTGTTTAATTTGAATTTGTCTCTCGTTGGCCAGAATTTTTTAACAATACTATAGTGATTTTAGGTAATCTATATCTTGTCCTAGTTTTAGTAGAGGGGATTGTTAAGAATAATGTGATAATTGTGTTTTAGAGAAACATTTTTATCACATTAGGGGTGGGTCTTTCAATTCTTAGATATCTAAGGACTATGTTTCCTCTTTTCTGAAACAAAGGCTGGAGACGTTGTTAGTGCCTTTGCTACATATTTCTAAACTGTTCTATTCTTACTATCATATACTGTCATATCATATACACATATACTATTATATACATATCATATGCAACTACCACATCCTTCTGTCAACCAGGCTATGTGTTAACCACGTTATGTCATTTAATACACTGGTTTTATGAATTAAATAGTATATACTTTTTTGTGGTCATTTCAAGACAGTTTTGGTTTTATAAGGAATATTTTAGTAAGTTTCCCTCATGAAAAACAAAGCTTTGTCAGTTAAGACTCAAGTCCTCACTTCATCCCAAATTTCTGTCTCAAATCCTTAAGTAGCTGTGGAAGCTTATACGCCTTTTCTTTCTACGAACTTTTATATATTTACATATATGACCATATAACATATTTTTATCATTATGATTGCTTACATTTTATATAAATCATATCATGTATATTTTATTAAAACAATTTTTGTCTTAAACATATACTTTGGGTATCTTTTCTGAATAGTACATGTACACATTCTTTATTCTTTTTAATTGCTCCTAAGTTTTCTATAGCAATTATCACACCACAGTTTATTGAAGCATTTCCCAAATTAGGCTGCTTGAATATTTTACCATAATAAATGTTACTAAAAGATAACTTTTTTGTTCATGCTTTCCTGTGCACAGGATCTATAATCAATATTGAGAAATGGTTTTACTGAGTCATAGGATATATTTATTTTTAAAGTTATTAAAATCTTCCAAATTGCCTCCAAAACTTATACTACCAGCACCAATTGAGATTACCAATCTCCCCATATTCTTGCCAAAACTGATATGATGAGACTAAAACCTTTGCAAATATGGTGGACTGAAAAATGATATCTGATTAATTTAATGATTGACATGATTCTGGTTACTACTAAGTTTCAGTCATATTTTCATTGACCCTTGCATTGTTGGGTTTGAATTGCTTATGCATACACTTTGCCCATTTTTAAATTGAAATATTTTTCCTTAATGAAATGTGTGAACACTGATAATTTGTCTGACATAGGTTTCAGATATTTTTTCAACTCTGTTCTCTTTTTAGTATTCAGATGTTTTAAATATTGAATTACATAAATTTACATATTTTTATCCTTCCTGTATTGTACTATTTTTATTTCTTTAGTTCTTCCCTTCCACAAAAGCCATGAGAATATTTTTCTTTGTATTCATTTAATATTTTCTTAAAGAACAAATATCTTATTTAGAGTGCTCATGTAAATGTTATCTTTTTTAATATCTATTTCAGTTGTTCATATATCTAGAATTTATTCTTATGAAGGTATTAGATATAAAGCTAACTTAATTTTTCCAATAGACGATTTTCCTAACACAGTTTGTTGACTAATTGATCATTTCTATACTAATGATCTATACTATTGGCCATTTCTGTACTGTACATATAATGTTTACATTAAATTGTGTTATATTTATGAATTTCTGAGCTCCATATTATGTATTTTCTTACATTGCTACTTGTTTATGTATAAATCTAAATGCTGATAGCACAACTTTAATTACTATACATTTGAAATATATATAGTTACAGGGTACAATAACCTTCCTGTTTCCTATGAACCCATGCAATTTACTCTCCCCACCAATTCTCCTAAAGTTTTTGGCTACACTTACAATCTAATTACTCCACGTATATTTTTACATTGATTTGTCAGATTACATAAAACAATCTTTTTGGTATGCTTTACTGAATCCAGCTCACAGGCAGGACGTTGGTACAGGGAGAATGTAAGATGAACAAGGAACCCCTTGTCATGCTAGAAAATAAGAAGTGCTCAACAAACAAAAGGGTGGGAACATGTTAAAGGGACTTAGAAGCCAAACTGAAAGATGTCCCAATGGACAAAACAGGAAATATCTGAATAACAAAATAAATAAGGTGGTGCTGGATTATAGCAGAAAGTATAAAATCAATGTATGTGAGCCCACATATATAGATAAATGATTGGATAAACAAACAATTAAATGTGAGGAGAAGAGAAAAAAAATCTTCTGTATAGGAGAACCCCCAATAGTAATAATAATACATGTAGACACTTTCACTTCCTGCAGATTAATTATATCATTCTTGAGAAAAATGTAGACTTTGTCATTTCAGGCAATTCCCATAGTTGGACTCAAACTTTAAACTCTGTTCTTTGGAATCAGCTCAAATCTGAAATTCAGTTCTTTTATCATTAGATGGGCTGTTTGTATGTGTGCCTCAGGTTCCTCCAGAGACTGGGACAGAGTTTATACACAGGATTTTGGGCTTTCCTTCTGGCTGTCTCTTCTTCATGATCCTCCTTCCTCTCATTGCATTCTAACAACTATGGTTGTCTGAAACGTGTCCTTTGGCTCTTTAAGATCAGAAGGACATGATTGAGGATGTTTTTATTGAAGTTTTGGCCACCCTGCATTGTGTCTGTGGCCTGTCCTCAGCTGAAAACTATACACACAGGTAACACTGAGCCATCCCCATTTCCAAGTGTCAACACCCCTCTATAATCTGCTTATATTTGCTAATTATCCACTGCCTTCAGGTAGCTTTCACTTCCTGATGTTGTACATCAAGAAGTTGTACAAGTTGGTCTTATTTCTGGGAGAGTGAGTGATATCAGAAACAGACTCTAATGATATCTTTAAATAAACTTTTTTGCCTTAGAATAGTTTTAGATTTATAGAAAATTTGCAAAGAGAGCAGAGAGTTCCCATATACTCCCACCATTTTCTCCTATTATTAACTTCTCATATTACTGTGGTAGATTTATCACAACTAAGAAATCAACATTGTTACAGTACTATTCATAAGCTTCAGATTTTATGTATATTTCATTTATTGTTTGTCTAACATGCTTTTTTTTTAATTGTTCCAGGATTCAATCTAGGATTTCTCATTGCATTTAGTCATTATGTCTCCTAAGTTAGCTCCAGTCTTTGACAGATTTTTTAGTTTTTTTCCTTGTTCTTTATTCTCTTTACAATTTTGAGGGTTACTGATCATGTATTTTGTAGCATGGCACCCGATGTGGGTTTTCTGTGATGCCTTTTCCATAGTTATAATGGGGTTGTGATTTTTAGGAAAAAAATAACTCAGAAGTAAAATGCCCTACTGATCACATTATATTAGGGATATAAGCTATTGGCATGACTTATCACCAATGATGTTATCCTTTATTACCTGGCCAAGATAGTGCCTACCAGGTTTCTCCATTATAAGGTTAAAGTTTTCCCTTTCATACCTTAGTCTTTGAAAGCAAGTCACTAAATACAGCCTGAACACAGGGAGGGAAGGGAGAATGGGAAATTTGGCTTCACTTGCAGGGGCAGAGAGGGAATATCTATATATCTACATAAACTTTTGAAATTTTTCTGTAAAGAAGATTTGACTCTTTTCTACATTGTTATCTTTTCAATAATTTATTTATATCATATGGACTCCTGTATATTTATTTCATACTTTAGGTTATAATTCAATACTATTTTGTTGCTTAAATTGTCAGACTTTGGCCATGACATATCTTCTTCCAGCTTGATTCTTGTAGGTCTTTTTATTTTTATTTTTTCTGTTTGTTTTTTCAGCACCTCTTTATTTTCTGACTATCTCATCTTTGAAATGGGATATGTATTAGTCCATTTTCGTGCTGCTGATTAAGACATATCCAAGACTGGGCAATTTACAAAAGAAAGGGGCTTAATTGGACTCACAGTTCCACATGGCTGTGGAGGCCTCAGAATCACGGTGCAAGGCAAAGAGAAGCAAGTCATATCTTACACGGATGGCGGCAGTCAAAAAGAGAAATTGTGTAGAGAAACTCCCATTTTTAAAACCATCAGATTTCATGAGACCCATTCACTATCATGAGAATGGCACAGGAAAGACCCATACCCATGATTCAATCATCTCCCAATCAGTATCTCCCACAATACGTGGGAATTATGGGAGCTACAAGACAAGATTTGGGTGAGGACACAGAGCCAAACTATATCAGATATTAAAAGTACCAAATCTATAGATTGATTATAGAAATAAATGACTTAATACATATGAAGCATGAAGAGTCCTTAGCACATAATAATCTCTCATTAATTATATTCATGCATTTCCTATTTCTTCAGAAGCTGTCCTTTTCTCAACCACATTTCTTTTCATCTTTTTGGTATTCTCTTGTTTTATAAAAAGATTATTTTCTGGCATCCTTTGAGGATACAAAAAGATTTCTATAATTTTTTCTTATATGTAAAGAATGTTTAGTTTAATGATAGTTTAAGGTAGACAGTATATAAAGCTGGAGACATCTTATAAATGCAACACATTTTACCTTAAGGCATTTTTGCTCATCATCTCTTGAATATACTACATACAGTGCCTTGCATTTCTCTGTCTTGCATTGTTAGCCTCATATATCTTGAGGTACAGGGTCAAACTTAGAAGAGCATAATATATTTTGAAACTGCTAAGTCATAATTAGGTACAATAAAATTCATTAATACATGACTTAATATAACATTTAAAATCTAGATATACCTAGGTTTCTAAAACAGTTTCCCAGCATTGAATTCCCAACATCCTCAGAACCCTACTAGCTTCACTAATTCACTAATGTTTTAAAGTCATTTAAAATTAGCTATTAATGACTGGCAATGGTAATAATATGGTATAGTGTTTAGTGTTGTAAGGATTAAATGAGTTACTATATCTACAGCTCTCAATCCCATGCCTGATAGGTAGTTGTCTTAGAATAGCTAGTTATGCAAATGTCAGGCAACCATCAGGTGACAGTCAGGTGGTTGTTAAACTGTCTCTCTAAAATAACGATTTGTTGCAGCCATGCCAAGGAAATGGGCTCCCAATAGATAGAAAACACCTGAATCTGGTGATCAGCAGCTTCCCAATAAGATTTCAAGAGTTGGGTGAGTGGCCTCTAGCATGTGCACTAAGGGGCAAAATAACGGCATTTAACTGTATATGACCTTCCAACGCTTTACTGTTAAGGGAAAATGCCTCAAATGAGCACGTGTACAACTTCAGTAAACACACTGTGCATGCAGCTCCTCCCAAGTGCTGGCAGGCCACTGCACATACGGACAGCCCACCCCAAGAGAAAACTCAGGGCAGAAGAGTCATAAACCCCAGAACTATGGCAATGTATAAAACCCCATGTCAAGGGTCATACAACAAATTTGGATCTCTTAAGTTGCCCACTTGGCCCTCTTCCAAGTGTACTTTACTTCCTTTCATTTCTGCTCTAAAACTTTTTAATAAACTTTCACTCCACTGTAAAACTTGCCTCGGTCTCTCACTCTGCCTTATGGTAGGCACAAAATCTTTCCTTTCAAGTGGCAAGAAATGAGTTGCTGCAGACCCATACAGATTTGTATCTGCTAACAGTTGTTCTATATATATATAGGTTCTTCTTAAACTAAAAACTTCCTTCTCTTGCTTTTTGTCACATGATATTTTAATGATAAGTTAATATGAGAATTTTAATGAAAAATATATTTTTGGGAATGAAAAAGATACTTTTTTTCTGAGGCCTTTATGTTATATAACATGGTGGTCAAGCCACTGTATTCAAGTGTTTGGTCAACAGACCACTGTAGTAACATTAACATGAAGAACAATATTAGAAAATGTTTACATAAATCCTAATCTATGCCAGATACTTCATTACACATAGTATCTACCAAGCAGCACTTCAGGAAGTTATAATGTTTGATATATTATTTCATCTTATTATGCAGATAAGGACATAATCTTGTCCCAGTAAAGCCCTCATTTTACAGAAAATATATTTTTTTAATGTTTGGTCTCTGTTGTACCACTAAGGTTCTAAAAGAAATGCTTCTATTAAAATGCAGAGTGTCTCCTTCCAATGTAATGATAACATCAGCAAATTTCAGAAGCATTGGGGCAGCTAAAGCTAGAGAATTGATTAACCCTCTTACAAAATGGCTCTAATTCAACTGATTAGATGTTGAACGGTTGTTAAAGTTCAGCTCCAGTGATTCATTGCATTCTTCAGGAGCTCTACCTATCTCATTTAAAGTTACTAGAACTTAAAACGGTCCATATGAATACTTATAAACATGATATTTCTTTGTACTGGAAAATCTATTCATAATAATTCTAATATACATGCAGGGAGCTATTTGTTAGATTCTAAGCTTAGTAAGCAAAGCAGGGAGACCTGTGGTCTTTGCTAATTTAATTTGTTGTCATTCGATGAAGCTGTTCTCATTGTCATTTATCATTAAACATCAGGACCTTGACCCATATGAAATTGTGACTTGAAAACCGAGAAAGAGTACAGCACTCTGCATAGATGAAAAACTCCAGAGAAGACTTCAGTTTCCACACTAAAAATGTCTTTGGGTCGGTAGTCACTATGAGTTAAGAAAGTAGATGTAAGCTTCTCACTGCTTCTTTTTCTAGTTACATATTTTTCCTTGTCTACGGTGGGATGGGATCCATAAAAAATTAAAAAAAGATATGTATCCAAATTTATATATTTGAATAACAATTAGTTTAGTCATTGAAGGAAACAGGCATCAGTAATGGTGGTGTTGTCAGTAACACATCATAACAATAAGGTGTTTAAATGCAAGTTTCCTATGTGCCAGGGAATATGCTAATCCCTTTAGATATTTTTTATTTATTTAAATTTAAATGTACTCTCTGTAGTAGGTATTACTTTTACTCGCGTCCTTGTGAAGAGACCACCAAACAGGCTTTGTGTGAGCAATAAAGCTGTTTATTTCACCTGGGTGCAGGCGGGCTGAGTCTGAAAAGAGAGTCAGTGAAGAGAGACAGGGTGGGGCCGTTTTATAGGATTTGGGTAGGTAAAAGAAAAAGGGGGGTTGTTCTCTGGTGGGCAGGAGTGGGGGGTCCCAAGGTGCTCAGTAGGGGAGCTTTTGAGCCAGGATGAGCCAGGAGAAGGAATTTCACAAGATAATGCCATCAGTTAAAGCAGGAACAGGCCATTTTCACTTCTTTTGTGGTGGAATGTCATCAGTTAAGGCAGGAACCGGCCATCTGGATGTGTAGGTGCAGGTCACAGGGGATATGATGGCTTAGCTTGGGCTCAGAGGCCTGATATTCCTGTCTTCTTATATTAATAAGAAAAATAAAATGAAATAGTGGTAAAGTGTTGGGACGGTGAAAATTTTCTGGGGGTGGTATGGAGAGATAATGGGTGATGTTTCTCAGGGCTGCTTCGAGCGGGATTAGGGGCGGCGTGGGAACCTAGAGTGGGAGAGATTAAGCTGAAGGAAGATTTTGTGGTAAGGGGTGATATTGTGGGGTTGTTAGAAGAAACATTTGTCATGTAGAATTATTGGTGATGGCCTGAATATGGCTTTTATGGATTGAAAACTAAACGGAATAAGAGAAGGAGAAATACAGGTATTAAAGGATTAAGAATTGGGAGGACTTAGGACATCTAATTAGAGAGTGCTTAAAGAGGTTCAGCATAGCCTTGCCAGCAAAGATTATTTATTTACTTCAAGAGTTAAGAGTGGCAGTTTGGGGATAGCACGAGGAGATATCAGCTGTGATGGCTTGGAGAAACAATGTAAACCGGCAATGTAAACAAGAGCAGGGCATGTATGAGTAGTTGAGAATGGTGAACAGGAGTATGACTAGACAGAAAATAGTAGGGATGACAAGTTTTTTGGGGCACAGTCTAAGTTGGTCTGGTGTCTGGGGTGAGACTGGGGCCTAATAAAAAGAGCATCTATACAGGAGCTCAAATGGGCTGTGCCCTGTAGCATTCTGAAGACAGGCCTGACTTCTGAGAAAGGAAAGTCGTAAAAGTATTGTCCAGTCCTTTTTAAGTTGGTGGCTGAGCTTGGTGAGGTGTGTTTTTAAAAGACCTTTAGTCCGTTCTACTTTTCCTGAAGACGGAGGACCATAAGGGATATAAAGGTTTCACTGAATACTAAGAGCCTGAAAAACTGCTTGGCTGATTTGACTAATAAAGGCTGGTCTGTTAGCAGACTGTACAGAGGTGGGAAGGCTAAACTGAGGAATTGTGTCTGACAGAAGGGAAGAAATGACTGCGGTGGCCTTCTCAGACCCTATAGGAAAGGCCTCTAACTATCCAGTGAAAGTGTCTACCTAGACTAAGAGGTATTTTAGTTTTCTGACTCGGGGCATGTTGAGTAAAGCTAATTTGCCAGTCCTGGGTGGGGGCAAATCCCTGAGCTTGATGTGTAGGGAAGGGAAGGGGCCTGAATAATCCCTGAGGAGTAGTAGAATAGCAATTGGAACACTGAGAAGTTATTTCCTTGAGGATAGATCTCCACGATGGAAAGGAAATGAGAGGTTTTAAGAGGTGGGCTAGTGGCTTGTACTATAGCATAGCCTGCCTTTGCTGGTGTGTGGCGATTAGGCCTGGTGGAACTGCCATCAATAAACTAAGTGTGATCAGGGTGAGGAACAGGAAAGAAGAAAATATGGGGAAATGGGGTGAACATCAGGTAGATCAGAGAGATGCAGTCATGAGGGTCAGGTGTGGTATCCGGAATAATGTGGGAGGCCGGATTGAAATCTGGGCCAGGAACAATGGTAATTGTGGGAGACTCAACAAAGAGTGAGTACAGCTGAAGGAGCCAGGGATCAGAAAGTATATGCGTCAGGTGTGAGGAAGAAAATAGATTTTGGAAGTTATGAGAAATGTAGAGAGTGAGCTGAGCATAGTTTGTGATTTTTAGGGCCTCTAAAAGTATTAAGGCGGCAGCAGCTGCTACACGGAGACATGATGGCCAGCCTAAAACAGTAAGATCAAGTTGTTTGGACAAAGGCTACAGGATGTGATCCTGGTCCTTGTGTAAGAATTCTGACTGCATAGCCCTGCACTTCGGCTGTGTGTAATGAAAAGGGTTGGGATGAGTCAGGGAGAGCTAGGATGGATGCAGTCTCTAAAGCTGTTTTCAAGGAACGGAAAGAGGAGTGGGGAAAGGATTTAGGATCTATGGGGTCAGCTAGGTTTCCTTTTGTGAGTTTATATAATGGTTTTGTTAGGATGGCAAAACCAGGTATCCAAAGGCGAAAGTATCCAACCATGCCCAGGAAGGAAAGGACTTGTTGTTTTGTAGAAGGGATTGAGGTTTGGGAGATTAGTGGGACACGATTAGCAGGGAGAGCACATGTGTTTTTACAAGAATTATGCCGAGATAGGTAACAGATGAGGAATAAATTTGGGCTTGACTGAAGTAATGGGGGCTGTCTGTGAAGCTTTGCGGCAGTACAGCCCAGGTAATTTGTGAGCCTGATGGGAGTCAGGGTCAGTCCAAGTGAAAGCGAAGTAGAGGCTGGGATGAAGGGTGCAAAGGAATAGTAAAGAAAGCATGTTTGAGATCCAGAACAGAATAATGGATTGTGGAGGGAGGTATTGAGGATATGAGAGTTTATAGGTTTGGCACCATGGGGTGGATAGGCAAAACAATTTGGTTGATAAGGCGCAGATCCTGAACTAACCTGTAAGTCTTGTCTGGTTTTAGGACAGGTAAAATGGGGAAATTGTAAGGAGAGTTTATAGGCTTTAAAAGGCCATGCTGTAACAGGCGAATGATAACAGACTTTAATCTTTTTAAAGTGTGCTGTGGGATGGGATATTTGCATTGAGAGAGGTAAGGGTGATTAGGTTTTAATGAGATGGTAAGGGGTGCATGATCGGTCACCAAGGAGGGAGTAGAGGTATCTCATACTTGTGGGTTAAGGTGGGGGAATACAAGAGGAGGATGCAAAGGAGGCTTTGGATTGGGAAGAAGGGTGGCAGCGAGATGTGGCTGTAATCCAGGAATAGTCAGGGAAGCAGATAATTTAGTTAAAGTGGCTCGCCCTAATAAGGGAACTGGGCAGGTGGGGATAACTAAAAAGGAGTGCTTAAAAGAGTATTGTTTAAGTTGGCACCAGAGTTGGGGAGTTTTAAGAGGTTTAGAAGCCTGGCCATCAATACCCACAACAGTTATGGAGGCAAGGGAAACAGGCCCTTGAAAAGAAGGTAATGTGGAGTGGATAGGCTCTGTATTGATTAGGGGGACGGACTTACCCTCCACTGTGAGAGTTACCTAAAGCTTAGCGTCTGTGATGGTCTACGGGGCTTCCGAGGAGATCGGGCAGCGTCAGTCTTCAGCCGCTAAGCCGAGAAGATCTGGGAAGGAGTCAGAGAGCCTCCGGCCAGAGTTCCAGCGGCTCTGGGAGTGGCTGCTAGGTGAGTTGAGCAGTTCGATTTCCAGTGGGGTCCCGCACAGATGAGACATGGCTTAAGAGGAATCCCGGGCTGCGGGCATTCCTTGGCCTGGTGGCCAGACTTCTGGCACTTGTAGCAAGCTCCTGGGGGAGGCGTTTCTGGAGGAACGCCTGGCCGCTGTGGTTTAGGCGTTTGGAAGTTCTTGTGTGCTGGAGATGTGGCTGGGGTTTGTCTCATAGTGGAGGCAAGGAATTGCAACTCAGAAATATGTTGCTATTTGGCTGCCTCTATTATTGTACACCTTGAAGGCGAGGTTAATTAAGTCTTGTTGTGGGGTTTGAGGGCCGGAATTTAATTTTTGGAGTTTTATTTAATGTCGGGAGCAGATTGGGTAATAAAATGTATTTTGAGAATAAGATGGCCTTTTGACCTTTTAGGGTCTAGGGCTGTAAAGCGTCTCAGGGCTGCTGCCAAACGAGCCACGAACTGGGCTGGATTTTTATGTTTGATGAAAACGCTATCTGATTTGGGATAAAGAGAAAGGAGCATTAACCTTGACTATGCCTTTAGCTCCAGCCACCTTTTTAAGAGTAAATTGCTGGGCAGGTGGGGGAGGGCTAGTCACGGAACGAAACTGTAAGCCGGACCGGGTGTGAGGAGGGGAGATGATAAAAGGATTACAGGATGAAGGAGCGGAGGCTGAGGAAGAATTGGGACTTAGCTCGGCCTGGCGAGGAGGGGAGAGGTCAGATAGGTCTGTAGAAAAGGAAGATTAGAAAGACTCAGAGATGCTTGGGGTTGGGACTGAGGGACAGGCGGGAAGGAAAGAAGGAAGATTTGGGAGGAGCTGCACTGGGAACAGAGACTAGGGAGGCACTGATGTGTAAAAGAATGCCTGGACATCCAGCACCTCACACCATTTGCCCATTTTATGACAATAATTATTTAGATCTTGTAGGATGGAAAAATTGAAAGTGCCGTTTTCTGGCTATTTGGAACTGTTGTCGTGTTTGTATTGGGGTCAAGCGGCATTTCAGAAGAAAATAAGATGCTTAGATTTTAGGTCAGGTGAGAGTTGAAGAGGTTTTAAGTTCTTAAGAACACAGGCTAAGGGAGAAGAAGGAGGAATGGAAGCTGAAACCTTGCCCATAGTGAAGGAGGCAAGCCCAGAGAAAAGAGAGTAGAGACACAGAGAAGGGGTGGGGCGTTCTTGCCCTCCAGAAAAGCAGAGAAGGGGTTGGGGCATGGAAATAAGGGATCGGGGCACAGAGATAAGAGGTTGGGTTCCTGTCCCTCCCCCAGAAAAGCAGGACATGCCGCTAAGGGTGAAGGACCAAGGCAGGCGTCCCTGTGGGGCCTGACACCTCTGAAACCTCTCTGATTAGAGAGGTGTCCCTGCAATGATTAAACACCAAGGGAAGGCTGCCTTTCCTAGTCCGTGACCGGCGCTGGAGTTTTGGGTCCACGGATAAAACGTGTCTCTGTCTCTACCAGAAAATGAAAGGAATTGAAATTAAGAGAAGGGAGAGATTGAAGAGTGGCACCAAGGTTGAAAGGAGAGAGGTTGAGGGATAGTGAGGGAGGTTGGAGAAGAGAGTAAAAAGAGGCCACTTACCGGATTTGAAATTGGTGAGATGTTTCTTGGGCTGGTTGGTCTGAGGACCCGAGGTTGTAGGTGGATCGTTCTCACAGAGCAAAGAGGAAGAGGACAGGGGATTGATCTCGCAAGGGAGGTCCCCCCGATCTGAGTCACGGTACTAAATTTCACTTGCGTCCGTGTGAAGAGACCACCAAACAGGCTTTGTGTGAGCAATAAAGCTGTTTATTTCACCTGGGTGCAGGCAGGCTGAGTCCGAAAAGAGAGTCAGCGAAGGGAGATAGGGGTGGGGCCATTTTATAGGATTTGGGTAGGTAAAGGAAAAAGGGGGGTTGTTTTCTGGCGGGCAGGAGTGGGGGTCCCAAGGTGCTCAGTAGGGGAGCTTTTGAGCCAGGATGAGCCAGGAGAAGGAATTTCACAAGATAATGCCATCAGTTAAGGCAGGAACAGGCCATTTTCACTTCTTTTGTGGTGGAATGTCATCAGTTAAGGCAGGAACCGGCCATCTGGATGTGTAGGTGCAGGTCACAGGGGATATGATGGCTTAGCTTGGGCTCAGAGGCCTGACAATTACCGTCCTGATTTATGGAATAAAAAACAATTTCAGAAAGTCTGGTTACAGTAAGAGAAGGAACAGATATTTTGAATTAAGTCTAAGTGACTCTACAGCACATGCTTTTAAATAGTATACAAGAGTCCCTCCTCTTCGTGACTCTATGTCACAGCTTAGAGTTGAACTCTGGGAAAATAATGAATCTGTAATGGAAATCTAAAATTAAATATCTATTATGGTCGAGGTGTCTATGCTATTCCAATTAGGAGTTCTTATAAAGTTGCCAGGAGCATTGGCCATGTATTTAAATAATAGAGTCAATTTTGCAAAATTCTACTGTTGCCATTTCTTCTCCTCAGCTTTCCTACATCTTTAGATTTCCCTTTGGATTCCTGCTTCTACTTATACTGTGGACCTGTCATCTCACTCTGGAAAAAATATTTTTATTTACTCTTGATTCCCATGGCTGATATCAGTGATCCACTCACATGCCAAGTCACAGCACTTGCTATTTTCTCTTAATTTATTGATTGATGTCTATGATTCACTAATTTATATGGTTTAAACTAAGCTGGTATAACAACAGATTTCCAAAAGTAAGGTCATAAGGGGAAGATAGAATTTTGAGGAATTGCTCTTATGCTTTATATGTAGCTTCTATTTCTGGGTTTGTTTATTTTCTGGAGATCAGAAAAGAGAAAGAGGAAGTGAAGAGCAAGCAGTTTCCTTCTTAAAGAAATGATCCAGACATGAATACATCACTTTTGCTCAGATACCCAAAACTGACAGCAAGGGAGTCTGGAAAATGTAGTCTGAAATTGCTAATCCTGGTTATCTAGCTGAAACAGAGAGGGGACTTAGCATCCCAGTTCTAAACTGAATAAGTAGAAAATGAATGCTGACATCAATCAACAATCTTTTCCAGAAATTCATGCACTTTAGTTGCAGGTAAGAGGTATACTTTGCCATTTCTTGTCTCATATTCTCACAAGAGCAACCAGCTATGCATGCTTCCTAGCCAGCTTCCTTTACCCACATGTCTCCAAATCAAAGAAAGGATAGATTTTTAAAGTTCTAGAACAACAATCACAACACTCAGCAACGTGTTAAAACTGAACAGAGTTGAAAGCCAATGCAATGATCAGAATCAGACAAAAAGTCAGATCAAAGGAAATAACAAGGAACTTCATAGGCAGGTACATACCAAACAAATCTGCTTAAGAGTTTCTAGGCTTTTTAAAAGTAGGTCTGACCAACATTCTGGCCCACAGAGTTATCTGTTGTTTAGCTGATTGTTCTGGTCTCATTGTTTATTATAAAAGTTCGTATTTGACCTATAGAAAACATTAGACAATTTGTGAAATTATATAGCAGCAGAGGGCTAACATGACTAATTACAAAATAATGCTGATGTCCAAGAATACAATTTTAATCATTAATTGGAATAAATTCCTATCTTCAAGAATTTTGTCTAAAAACTACTTGCATGCGTTCAAGTGGAGTTTTTTTTCCAGAATGTTCTAGATCCAACTTTCCCTTTTGAAGTTTTTAAATGTCTTTCTTTCAATATGATAACCACATCTGAACACAACAGTTCCTATGTGGAGTAAATAGACAAATGTCATGTGTCTACTTGCACAACAGGTTTTGTTTGGTTTTAGCTACCACAGCGGTGTCACTGTTGAACCACATGAGGTCTGTGGCCCAAGATTTTTACATAATTCATATAAATTTTCAGAAACAAAGCAAACCATATTCTGTATAGGTGACAATGATTTTTTCAACCTCAATTCAATATATTACATTTACACCTGTTACATTTCATGGCCTATCACCTCTCAGCTCATTCACAGCCATCTGTACACACCCTTTCATCACCCTAAAATTTTACACACGTGGTTCTCTTTACTTAAATGACTTCTCTCTTTCCATCTAATCAACTACTACTTATACTTTAAACTCAAATTCAGGTATACCTTTCCCTTGGTAGACTTGTATTAACTAACCCCAAGTAATAGGTGCAAACATCGTTGAATTGAATTGCATTCAAGTCCTAAGGTATATAATTTCAAACCATGGTCACAGTTGCTAAAAATGTGCTCTGTTGATGCTTATTGACTATTCAATCCTAAAGGATGAGTTAGAATCATAAATAGGCTAAAGGAGTTGTTGAAGTAAAGTTTGCTGTTGAACTGTATTCTGATAATATGACAATAGTAATTAAAACAAAAATAGTTATCTGTTTTTAAAATGATTATCATACATGACACCATCAAAAAGACATTTGCAAATCAGAAGAAATTATATAATACATACTTTTAATAATCAATTCTGCTAATTATCAATTGTCACTTTGTTACTTTGGGAGGCAAAGTAAATAAGGCAATTAGCAGTTAATTGAATATCCAGATACTCAAGGCAATTTACTGGGCATTTTATTGTGCATTGCTCAATCACCATGACAACTCTCTGTGTTAGACTATTATCCATCATTTAGAAAAAGGAAATAGAAAATTATCTGAGAATAAGAGAAGGTAAAGAACTTTTTGTTGTATGATGGGGCTTAGAAGTCAACTCCAAGTCAAAGATTAGCATACAAGAAGTTTCTTAGGTAGTGCTCCTAAAATCACCATCTTTAGGGGAAGTAAAGAAAGCAGAACTGGCAAAGAAATAACTTGACTGAATGCTGTCTTGAAAAAGATTCAGTCAATTATGAAGAGCTGTGGATGTCCCTGGAGACATGTGCTGATTTGGAGGTGAGGGAGCCAAATGCTTTATACTACTGCATTGACCAGTGATTTGATACAAGATGCCTTGAAATACGGTTGTGACCTTATTTCCAAGGGAATTACTAGACTTTTTTGGCCCAAGGGAAATTACTAGAAAGGGCTGACAACTGACAGCCTCCACTGGCAAATTCCCTAGCAGCTGGACTGAAGAGAAATCTGGACAAAAAAAGTTAAGCATCTAAAGTTAATTTATTGAGCTGTCTGATACACTTGATTCAGATGAGGTCCAGAAGTATTTCTCTCAAAACTTCATCCTCTGTGGCCCCTTTTCCTTGGGAGGTTCTTACAATAGGAGGGATAGTGAGTCAAATTAAGGCCCTGCCCCTGCAGTTAGTCTTAAGAATGTAACTAATGCTTAATATAAACTTCTTAAAATGTTCATTCTAGATTTCACTCACCCTTGTTTAGCACCTTTACTAGTTTAGTTAGCTTTCCTTGTGGGGTCATCCAGACCCTCATTCTTGAGAGGTATGATCTCTTGCTTACCATAACATCTCAGGCCCAGACTGGTGCACTTTTACTATCAGTTGGATACAAGAGTAATATGAAATTTCCAAATGGATCTCTAAAATCCTAAAAATATTCCTCCCTGCCCTGGCAGAAACTTTATCTAGCATCAGCTATGTTTCCTCCTGATCATCAGGGTCAATTACCTATGTTAAGATGTTATTTTTCTTCTTGCATCATTGTCCTAGATTATAAGGACTCAAAACACCCAGGTGGAAATGTATTAATAGTTTAAAGTTCAATTTGACTCTTACTAAGTCTCCTGGTGAAAGTGTTTTTTCTTTGTAAATCATAACTTTTAAGCCCAGATAACCTAGAGCTGTAGGGACAGAAAAACCCATTTCTCCAAAAGAGTCACTTACAGTGAGCAACCAGGGCCCCTCTTCACTGAACTACAAATTCTACCTATTATGAAAGCAGCACAATATAATGGTCATTGATACAGTGTTTAGGCGCTGTCAAGAGGATTTTGCCTCGTCTTTACAGGATATTGTTTCTGAACTGAGACCTGTCTTCGCATTGTTGTTACAGATTAGCCGCTCTTGGACCATATAATATGTGATAAAACAATAGGATTCCATTATGATGTGGTCACTGCATATCTTATTTGCTATAAAATGTACATATAATATTATTTGAATATGCCATATAATTGTATCTAATACTTGTAAGTCCCTGGTTAATGGTCCTAGCTGAGGCCTTTAAGCAGGAACTAAAAACCTATACCTGAAATATATATCAATTCTCATCAAAATAAACCACTGTCCCTTCTAGAATGAAGCAAATTAATGAAGTAAACCTGCTTCAAAGGGGATAATTGGTCCCTTTGAGTGACAGGACTACATCTAGAGGTTAGGTTTAGACTTTGTAGCTAATAGGATGGATATTCATCAATTGTAGTATCTGTACCAGATTGCTAAGTGGGAATCGATACTGTTGAGCCCATCTCTGCCGCCATCACTATTCTGTTCACTTATTCATTGTGCCAGAACTGGGGGAGGGAGGAATAACAGAGGCTGGTTGATGTCAAATAGCCAAGGCATTCTCTGTTTGGCTATTTAGTCCCTTGTCCATGGTGAATAATCACTAGCAAGCATTGACATTCAATACAAAGATTTTTACACTTTGTACCCATTCCTGTAGGCCCATCCACATGCAACTATTCAAGACTTCCTCACCAGTGTTCCACTTTTTCTCTTTTAGGTCTCTGATGAAGTTACCAAGCCATTTATTTTTCACTTTTCAGCTTCTGGCCATTCCTTAAACCATTTACCAATGCTCATGCATCTATATATATACTAATGTCAGGCCATTTCTATTTGAATCCAAAGTGGATCACCAGCTGTGATCCATTTTCAGCTTTTGGTGACTTACGCTAAGCACTCTGATCAGTGAAATAAACATGGTCTTTTTTGTTTTCCTTTATCATTTTGTCATATGAGAGCAACCGTCTGACCACAAAAGCGAGCAAAGGGAGAGATGCTGAATCCACAGAGTGTATGGCAAGGAGTCTGGGTAACATGCTTATGTAACTACTTTGTGGTTTCTGCTTCTGCTAATACTCAATCCCAAATGCACAACTTCCGCTTCACAACAGATTTCTGCTAATCCTCTTTGATTTCATGACTTGGTAGGTTACCAAACAAGCTGTATGGTGGGTAGTTCTGGTCACATGATAACTTTGTATCAGTCACTCTGTATCAACCAGGGCACATTTACCAGCTAATTTGTGCTAACGGCTATAGATTCTCCACCTACCACCAGTTTCTTCATTTCCAGCAGCATTTGGGTGCTCTGGCTCCAAAATCTCATGTGCTTTCTCAGACTACACCTAGTACTGACTCTTACAGGAAGCAGGATTCTGAAATGGAGATTACCATGCTGAAAGTTAATTCAGGAGTGCTCTTGAAATTAATACTTTGGGGAAGGAAAAGAATCAAGATTGGACAGGGGGATAATTTGTGTTGTGGAGTAGGCACAATAAGGCTTCAGACAACCTTACATGGAATTCTGAAGCCAGGATAGTCCTTCAGAATTGTCTCAAGTTGGGACATGAGGTCCAGTCTTTTGCACAACTTACTGACTTGCCAGTGGGTGAGGGCTGTCCTGGGAAGAGGGTGTGACTTTGACAGAGACAGCTGCCTTTAGCCAAGGGGAATTTCTTGAGAGGTTGACAGCTGACACCTGCTAACCTTCCTTCCATGGGGGGTCAGAGGGAAGGATAAGCCTAAAAAGGAGGTGAGCCAACACCATATTTGTGACACTTTGAAAAGTCACTCCATCAGGATGGGACAGAAATTTTAACCCAAGTTTGTTTGTTCTTTATTTTTTCTTAACTCTAAGTCCTATGCTTTCTATCACAACAAGGTTTTATTTGTCATTCCCCATACAGTATTAGAAAAATGTCAAAATATTGTCCAAAGGCACACACACACACACAGTCATACCCACAGCTATAATAATTACTTAAATGCAATTTTTATTCCACTATTTACACTTAAAAATATGGCATAAGCCTTTGAAATTTATTTTTCAATGTGTTATTTGCTAGAAATTTGTCTTTGTGGCCAGGCGTGGTGCCTCACGCCTGTAATCCTAGCACTTTGGGAGGCCGAGGTGGGCAGATCACTTGAGGTCAAGACCAGCCTGGCCAATGTGGTGAAACCCTGTCTCTACCAAAAATATAAAAATTAGCCAAGTGTGGTGGCAGGTGCCTGTAATTCTAGCTACTCGAGAGGCTGAGGCAGCAGAATTGCTTGAACCTGGGAAGTGAAGGTTGCAGTGAGCCGAGATTGCACCACTGCACTCCAGCCAGGGTGACAAAGCAAGGCTCCATTTCAAAAATAAATATATAAATAAATAGAAGAAATCTGTCTTTTTTTTCCTCTTTGATATATTTTGGAAGTTGAAATTGTAGAACAGTTTTAGCACATTTGCATAAATCCTTTAGGCGGGTAATTCTGTGAATTATGCTTAAACAACTGCTAAAGAGATTATAGCTGCCTCTGTGGACATGATCAAAAGAAATCAATCACGTTCTGGTCAATCTGCTTCTTTATTTAAACTATTATTGCAGATCAATGAACAATCAATTAGATTACTACCTGATCACTGTAATTTTGTGATTGAATTGTCTAAAATAACGTGGATCAACCAGAATGTCCATACTGTCATACCAATCATTTACTCTGATGCAGACGAGGGAGTGAGGTAGTATGAAAAGGCAGAATTAATAGTCTCCTTCTTACCTGTGATTTTAGATAGTTAAGCATTCCCAAACCACTTCTTAATCACAAGAAAAAAACTTTTATCTCTTTTTAATCTTTTAGCTATGATGTCATACCTGACCCGAACGGCTTCCATGTCTCTGAGGTTTCAATATTTAATTTGAAGTGTTTTCCTAAATAAAACTTTTCTTTTTTCATTAGCAACACATCGGGCCCTGAATTGTCTTTTATAACTGTTTTGGTTACCATTACCCTACATGTGCTCCAGTGGTGGTGGAATTTCAAATTTTAATGTAGGACATATATGCTAACTTTTAGCGTTTTTTTATCTCTAATGAGATTCCAACCAAATATTTACAGTTGACTAGATATAGACCAGGGGTTAACAACTTTTTCTGTAAAAGGACAGACAGTAAGTTTTTCAGGCTTTGTGGACTATAGTTTCTGTTGAAACTGCCAAATTATACTGAAAGCAGCAATAGACAATGCATAAGTGAATGAGTATGTTTGGGTTCCAGTGAAACTTTATTTACCAAAACAAGCAGCAGGCCAGATTTGACCTGTGGGCTATAGTTCACCTGTGGGTCATAGTTTGCCAACTCTTGATTTATACAATGTCAAATAACTGAACTAGATAAAAAGTGAGTCATTCCATTAATTGAGTGTTTAGTTTACTAAAACCCTACATTTTGATATTTGAAAATACCCAACAGATGGATTGAATATATTTAGCTTAAATCTGACTGTTTGACATTGTGTAAGCGGAGCCATCTATCTGTGCTGTCACAGACTGTGGATGAAGGATGTAGGCAAGCCAAATAGTTCGACCTTCTATTTGTCCCTAAGAAATTCAGCAGTAAATTTCACTGAAAAAAATGTAAGTGCTAGACATTGTTCTAGACACAGAGACCTAAAACTGTAGGTACCCACTTTTTGTATAATTCTATATGCCACATCATGTTTAAAATTAATGTTTAAATTAATTTTAATTTAACATTTAACATTTAATTTAACATTAATGTTTAAAATTAAGTGGACAAAACACAATTTTCATAATTCTAGTCTCAGGCAGTTACTTCATTTTATGTGTGTGGGCATGATTTTTCTGGAAATAAACATCTGTTAAATGTAGCTAAAAGTTAATTTTTAATCATAAAAAGTAATTTCCTTTAATCACCTCCTAGCTTTGCATGTTTTTATTTTCTCCCCTGCTATTTGCTGATCTGTCAGGTCAGAGAATTCAAAAATCTTGTTATTTCTTCCTAAAGAAGTCACAAGCTGATCTATCATTTCTCCTGTTGAAAATATGAGGATTGCTTTTGAGATGTAATGGCTCTCAGATTTATTTATTATTACATTTAATTTTGTATTTTTGGCACATCAAATTCCAAGCTAATGTTTTATGCTGCTTCACCCACAACTTACTATGCAATTGATGCCTTTAGTATATCATTTCTCTCATCTGCTAAGTGTATCTCAGAATGTCATATGACTTTTCTCTAGATCTCTGACATCATGACTATAGTTTATGTGATGCATGAAATGTATCCATTTTTGACTAGTTCATCTTTGGAATGTAAACTGTGCTGCTAGGCAGCAAAATCAGAGGGAAAATTTTATTTGACGGTTAATAGTGTAATCCATTCCATCCTCATATAATACATGTGTTTGTTTCTGCTTAATAATAGATTATACATATTAAATATTTATTACTTCTCTAATATTATATTTTCTTCACATCATAATTAAGTAACATCAGGCAGGCCACTTAATGTAACTGACAGTAATGACTGACCTCGTCTTCAACTATGTATTTTTGTTTTATACCTACAGACCTTGAGATTTTATTTTATTTTTTATTGAGATAGGTTTCTCATTGCCCATAAGTAGGTAATAGCAGGGCTGCTATTAAAATAGACCACCCTTTTCGTCTTCATTATCTACAATGTAGGCCATATATTGAATCAGACTGACCCATTGGCTATAGAAATTTGGTGCTGATTTCTGGTTGAAAAGGACGTAAGTGACACAAAAAGAGTGATCTTGAAAGGGAAGCCTAGCGTTTTGCAGGCGTTGAAGTTATCACTGCAGGGGTGTGCGTGTAGGGGGTGTATGTGTGTGTACAGAATAAAGGAATGAGCTAGAGTAAACTTTTATTTATTTATTTTATTTTATCTGTTCAGAAAAGCTTCTCCCTTTTTTGTGAACTATTCAGGTGGTATTATCAGTGTCTGATAGTCACAGCTGCTGCTTCTCTGTTCAAAGGAATAGTTATGTAACTCATGTTAAACCAGTCATGGTATCTTATCTCAAGGCGATGATGACTTGTTAAGATCTCTCTCCCTCTCTCTTTCTTTGTCTTTCATAAAGGTATATGTGATTGTATTTAGGGACCCCCCTACATAAGATAATCCAGAATAAGCTACCCCTCTCAGAATCCTTAACTTAATCACATTGGAAAAGACTTTTCTGGTTTTTTTGTTGTTGTTGTTCTGTTTGGGGTTTTATTTTGTTTGTTTGTTTTTTGTTTTTTCCAAAGTCAGGCAGCATTCCTTACTTGGAATCCAAGGATTAGGATATGAACATATGTTTTTAGAGGGTGCCATCTGGTTCAGTACAATACCTTTCCATAATTTGGTAAAACTTTCTTTTTCTCACTGCTTTAATTTTTTTCATTTACTATGTTATTTGAAATTAGGTTTTTGCCAATAGCATCTGAAGGAACTCCCAATAAAACACAGATTTTATTATGAGATATCTTGCTGGATTCAAAGAAAAACACAATATAGGTGTTAAAAAAAAAGAATGAATTTATATACATAAAAATTTTCACCAACAGTCATCTAAATGGTCAAGATATCAGTGCAACTTCATTGACTCAGTTGCACTTTAGAAGCAAAAATATCACAGTATTCTTTTTAAACAAAACCACTATATAAACAATATTCATGTGCTATAGAAGATTATTATAAAATAAATTATCTTAACATATTTCATATAAGTGGAGAGATAAAGACTTTTTAAATAATTGGTTTGGGTCAGACTTACCATTTTATTCTTTGTACCAAAACCCAACCAGATTAATTAAATTTCTATGGGTAAAAATGGAATAAAGTATTATAATAAAAACATGTGGAAAATAACAAAAACTTGTAAGAAGAAAAATATTTTAAGTGTATTGCCAAAAGAAGGATATAGAGAGTAAAAAATAAATGTTTAACATTTAAACTTTAATATTTAAAATTTCTTTATATCAGGAATGACGTAAAACTAAAACCTCAATGATAACTGAGATGTTATTTAAGTATATGGCAAAAATCAAGTACTCTTAAAATATACAATATTTCAAATTCAAAAATATTCTACATAATGATAAAAAATAAGAGGATATGAAAAGTCATTGCACAAAAAAATGGCTAATTATTCTGTACTAATAAAGAACTGCAAAATAGAGCAATGAAATATATACACTGTAGTGTTTTGCATTTAACAATACACATTAGATATTTTCCATATCAGGTAGCGCATTTAAATCTAATTCATCCTCATCAATGTTGTCTAGTATTACATAAAATAAATGTACCATTTCGTTTTCCATGTTTCAAAAGTAAAATGGTGGAATTATATCTAGTCTCTTATCCTGTTTTTCTGGCCCTGTATGATAGTAAAATTTACTGATGCTCAATATGTCAGTACATAATTAAAGGTCTTAACCATGTGCATGCTATTTGACTAATCAATTTTACTTACTGGATTATTCCTATATATCTATTTAAAGATGAGCACAAAGATTTAGTAACATCTATAATAAAAACTAAATTAATATTCTAACAACAGATAATTAGACATGCTCTTCTGATAATTTAGAAGACTGGCTATACCGAATGTCTTGAATACAACAACTAGAAGTATTGAATACATTTTTATCTATTTTTAAAAAATATATCATGAAACTGTCAAGAAAAGAAGCATTTTCAGGGGCAAAATACTCAGTGAAAGTTAGAATCTAGAGAAATAAGTGTAGCAGTGAAGGAACATTTGCCCTGTGGGCATTTTTCAGTCCAATCAACTTTAACTTTGATTTTCATGGCTTTGCAACCCCTCAGGGATGAGATATAGAAGATCTAGTAGGAAATGCTCTTCATAGAACTAGGATCACAATAGTCTAATCTCTCAATTTATGGGCGAAGCAAAAATTCCATCGAATCTCCACACCCACATAAAATATATTCTTAGAAGAGGAAAAAGGAAAACAAGAAAAAGCTCAAGAAAAATCTTGAGTTTTGTTCCTGGGTAGAAGGAAAGGAGAAATCTATCTCATGCAGTTTCCCCTTCCAAATTCACACTACAAAGGTGATCTGTAAAAGGTCAAGCCAAGAATTTGATTTCAGTAAGCCCCAGATTTCCTGTGTTTTTAGGTATCTGGTAGACAATGAAAATTTTTAGGGAGTAACCCAACTTCAAAAGGAGTCTCAAAGGACTGCCTCACTTGAAACTCCAAATAACATGACTTTAACAATTAGGGAAAAAGAAGTGAAGAAACAAAGCACAGATGAGACTAAGCAGAAAAGCAAACAAAAATTCCCCTGGGCACAGGATACAAAATAAGCACACTTACTAAATGCAAAAATAAATAAAATGAGATATTCTACATGTGTATATATACATATATATATTATACAATATATATTATATATAATATATATTATATATAATATATTATATATAATATATATTATATATAATATATTATATATAATATATATTATATATAATATATTATATATATGCTCACATATAACCAAATAGAGGAATAATCCTTTTAGAAGTTAAAATGAATGAAACTGAAAGGGCAGTGAATCAGCCAACAACAGATTAAATTTAGAAAAGATTTAACTTCTCTTAGCCAATTAATTCATCTATGCAATTAAAATACTTATAACTGATATCTCATGGGTTTCTGTGTGAATCTAATGCATTGTATGGGAAAACATTATAGAAAATAACAAAGCACTATTTGAATTCAATCATTTGTTTGCTGCTATATATCCATATATTAGCCTGTTATCTGTAAGCTTCACCTACAAATATGGTCAGGCCGTTATTCTACTCTCCTTTTCCTAGGAAAGATAAAAGACAGTAAGATAACCAGATAACCAGGGTTGAGGGGACAGGGAGAACATCAGGGAATCAAATCTGGGTCCTCAGCATAGGAAAGGAGACATGAAAGAAGAAGTGATCAATCCTAGCCATTTTGAATAATTCTGAGAAAAGCACAGAGTCCAGAACTCACTGTTCTTAGCTTAGAGCTGGAACACTGTCATGGAGATTACATGACTTCAACCTGAACATATGTTAAGAGAGACAGCCAGATTGAACTTCATTCCCACCAAATTCCTTGGCAATTTGAAAACTCCAACATAATTTAGATTTTCTTTGAAGAAAGAGTAGAAATAACCTGAAATTGATTGAAATTTTATTTTTGGGGGGCAGAACAAAAGACTGAATGATTATTTGGTTTGAATATTGTAATCAAGAAATAAGTTTTCTATTACTTGAATTCTCAAATATGTGGCTCAAGATTTATATTTATTATCACATGTTCAGTGTTCATCAAGTATTTATTGCACTCCAGAAGAAGAAGTGATCAATCTTAGCCATTTTTAATAATTCTGAGAAAAGCACAGAGTCCAGATCTCACTGCTCTTAGCTTAGAGCTGGAACAGTCTCATGGAGATTACGTGACTTCAATCTGAACATATGATAAGAGGGAGGGACAGATTGAACTTCATTTCCACCAAATTCCTTGTCAATTTGAAAACTTTATAAGGAGGAATAATCCTTTTAGAAATCAAAATGAATGAAAGTGAAAGGGCAATTAATCAGCCAACAACAGATTGAATTTAGGAAAGGATTTAACTTCTCTGAGCCAATTAATTCATCTAAGTCTACCTGCTCTTCTATTGTATCATGGCTGAGCTGGCACTGAAACCACAAGACACAGTTCTTCCCACTCTTCCATTTCCTTTCCAAAGGCAGAGGAGCCTCACCCTTTGGTCAACGCCACCCCAGGCCATGAGGAGTACTGCCAGACTACCACCCATATTCCTTTAAGGCTTAAGGTTTCTTTGGTCAGCTTGTGGTAAATGCTGCCTGACCTGTGACTCACCCTTCAGGGCAGTGGGCTTCCCTCTGGCCCAGGGCAGGTCCAGAAATACCATCCAAGAGTCCCTTTTCCCTCTGCTTTTCTCAAGCAAGAGGAGTTTTGTCCCATAGCCACCACAGCTGGTAATGTGCTGAGTCTCCCCTGAAGCCAGCAAGTCTCAGAGTCTCACCCAATGCCCTCCATGTAGTACCTGAGTATCACCATTATAGAGGGCCCAAGGGCTCTTCAGTTAGCAAGACTGGGCCCTTTCCTTTAAGGCAGCAAGTTCCGCAGCCTGTTAGGAACTGGGCTACACAGCAGAGGTGAGCTGTGGAAAAGTGAGCATTATCTTCTGAGCTCCACCTCCTGTCAGATCAGATCAGCGGTGGCATTAGATTCTCATAGGAGCGTGAACCCTATTGCGAACTCCGCATTCCAGGGCTCTAGGTTGTGTGCTTCTTATGTGACTTTAATGCCTGATGATCTGATGTGAGGTGGAACAGTTTCATGCTGAAACCATCCCCCCACCACCTCTGTCTGTGGAAAAATAGTCTTCCATGAAACCAGTCCCTGGGTGCTAAAAAGGTTGGGGACTGCTGCTCTAATGTGTAAAAGATACTAGTATCCCCTAACTGTATAAAAGATGCCATATCTACATCTATACATTCACATATATACTAACCCAAGTCTTATGTATTTAATAGTAGAATTTTTGTCACTGTGAATGAAAAATCACAGACATGTTTGTTTAAGTGTCTGGTCAATTTTGCTGTTTGCATATTCCAGTAACAACTGGATTTTAGTTTTCTATTAGCTTAATATGACTACTTTGATCAGTTGTAGGGAAATGTTGTAACAATTACATTGATTTTTTTAAATGATCCAGTCACTCTAAGTGCTTTCTGATGATCTCTAATGACTTTGTAAATTCCCCAAATCAAACTTCTTTGTATTTTTCTGTTGGAATTGTAATGACAAGATACCACCTTTTACTACTCATGTAGAGCAGCTGTCCCCAACCTTTTTGGCACCAGGATTCAGTTTTGTGGAAGACTATTTTTCCATGGACAGAGGTAGTGGGGATGGTTTTGGGATGAAACTACTCCATCTCAGATCATCAGATTCTCATAAGGAGTACACAGCCTGGATCCCTCGTATGTACAGTTCACAATAGGTTTCAAGCTCCTATGAGAATCTAATGCTGCCGCTGATTTGAGAGGAGGCAGAGCTCAGACGATAATGTTTGCTCACCTCCTGCTGTGTGGCCCAGTTATCAACAGGCCATGGACTACTAAGGGTCCGTGGCCTGGGGGGTTGAGAACCCCAATCTAGAGAGGTATATTGTGATTTGTAAATTAATAAAAGGTCTTGTGAAATATTTTCTAGTTTCTCATTTATTTGGCTAACTTCATTTAAAAAGTTATACTGTACTTAGAAAGACAATGCCTGCCAGCCTTAAGAAGTCATCTTTAGTTGTATTTCAAACTTATCTTTAGTCATAAGAAGTGGGAAATAAAGGCACAAAGTTATTGTAAAGAAGTATTTGTATTTGTTAAACATCTGGAAACACAACAAGTGAAAGCCAGCATATAGGTTCTTGTGTTATCAAATTATGAAACTGTACTAACCAAAAGAAGTAGAAAAGCATTGTAAATAAAGCATTAACTGTACTTTAGTTCAAGATAAATATTAATAAAAAAATCGGTATTTTTTTCTCCTATGTTTAAAAGTCTTAAATAAGCATTTGTTCTAAGGGGCCATCAATATTTCACGTAGATGACTGGAATAATAGTCATTAGTCATTTCATAGTGTTAAAGTAACAGTTTTATTTGAGTTTTTTTAATGGTAGCTATTTTCTTTGCCTCAGAAGAGTCAAATATTGTCTTGTGACACACTATTAACATATATTAGAATGTGTTTGCTGGTCTCTCCACTAGGGAAAGCAAAGTTTTGTTGTTCTTCCGTCAGATTTTCACCACTGGTAGGAAAGAGTATAAGGTAACAGGAGAGCAGTTTTCCCTTAGAACCTCATTGTTTTATGCTTTTTCCTGCATTAAGTTGTGTTTTAATAGGTAAAGTGCTTTGGACCAATTCTTTTATAATACTGAATTGTAGACACAACAATTTTCTTGCATGGGAGAGGAATGTTTGAAAATGAATCTTGTCTGAAGGGTGATGGGCATATAAGAAATAGCATCATTAATATACACATTGAGTATGTAAGACACATAGGGCTGTGTGCTAGAGAAAGGCACAAATGTGTTTCTCTGGAACAAAGCCTGAAAAGGTCTGGGTCACACAAGGAAACTAGGACTCAAGGTGGACTTATTTCTCAAGGTGGACTTATTTCTCAAGGTGGACTTATTTCCCTATTACTGTTCCTTTTCATTTCTCCGTCTTGTCCAATTTACCTGTACAGTTTTAGTTTTCTCCCTATGACCCTCCTTTTCCTTATTTCCTTTTTAACTTAGCTGTCCTCTTGCCACATTTAGACAGAATTTAAAGTGCCTGTGATATCTAAGCATCTAACATTATGTGGTATAAAAGAATGAAATTGGACCCTTATCATCTTATACTATACAGAAAAATGAACTCAAAATGGATAAAATACTTAAATATAAGACCTGAAACTGTGGGTCTAGCTAGTGATCAGCTTGCTATTAACTAGATGAAAGCAAGTAGAAAAAGTTTCTCGACTTTGGCCTTGGCAATGATTTCTTGGCTATGTCACCAAAAGCAAAAATTGAAAGGTAAAACTACTTTAAACTAAAAAGATGCTGCAATCAATAAAATGAAAAGCAACCTACAGAATGGGAGAAAATATTTGCAAATCATATATCCCATAAATAGTTAATATCCAAAATAGACAAAAAAAATCCTACAACTTAATAGCAAAAGAACCAAACAAAAATCCCTATTAAAAATTAGGAAATGACTTGCTGTGCTCTATTTCCAGCCTTTTGTCCTCTCCGTCACAAGAGGAAGAGTTCCACAGAGTAATAATTGGTTTGGAGAATAGATCATATGCTCTATAATAGACCACTAAATCCACAAGGTTTTTCTCCCATCTAGAAGTGTCACTTTGTTTTAGAAGACCATTCTATTGACTTCTAAGGCCAGCTATTTCTGGGTGGTGACTGCATGGTAAGACCTGTGAATCACATAGATTTGAACTCACTGCCTTGCTTGTTTTGTTATGAAAAAATATTCCTTGGTCCAAAGAAGACACAAAATGAACAAACAAGACATAAATATGACCAAAGATGCTCAACATTCCCAGTCATCAGGAAAACAGACATTAAAGCACAATGAGATATCAGTTCATCAGTTCTCATCTGTTAGAATGTCTATTATCAAAAAAAGAGATAAGTATTGACAGGTGGTAAGGATGTGGATATAAGGATATCCTTCTATACTTCGGTGGAAATATAAATTTTTGTAGCTACCATGTGAAATAATATGGAGGTTCAAAATCTAGCAATCTTATTTCTGGGTATTTATCTAAAGGGATTAAAATCAGAATCATGAAGAGATATCTGTACCTCATGTTCACTGCAGGGTTACTTACAAGAGCCAAGATATGGAAGCAACCTAAATGTTCATTGACAAATGAGTGGATAAAGAAAATGTGTGATACGCATAAAATGAATGTTATTCAGCTTAAAAAAAAAAAGAAAATCTTGCTATTTACAACCACGTGGATAAACCTGGAGGACATTAAGCTAAGGGAAATAAGCCAGACACCGAAAGAAAAATACTACATAATTTCATCTATATGAGGAATCTAAAATTGTCAAGCTAATAAAAACAGAGTAAAATGGTGCTTGCCATTCTTCTGGGGAGAGGGGAAAATGGGTAAGTAATAGTGAAAGGGTACAAAGTTTCCATTGTACAAGATGAATAAGTCCTAGAGATCTGCTGAAAAGAATTGTGTCTATTGTTAGCAATGTTGTGGGTTTTTTTTCTGCCTCATTTTATTTTATTTTATTTATTTTTATTTTTTATTTTATTTTATTATTATTATACTTTAAGTTTTAGCGTACATGTGCACAATGTGCAGGTTAGTTACATATGTATACACGTGCCATGCTGGTGTGCTGCAGCCATTAACTCATCATTTAGCATTAGTTATATCTCCTAAAGGTATCCCTCCCCCCTCCCCCCACCCCACAACAGTCCCCAGCGTGTGATATTACCCTTCCTGTGTCCATGTGTTCTCATTGTTCAATTCCCACCTATGAGTGAGAATATGCGGTGTTTGGTTTTTTGTTCTTGCGATAGTTTACTGAGAATGATGATTTCCAATTTCATCCATGTCCCTACAAAGGACATGAACTCATCATTTTTTATGGCTGCATACAGCAATGTAGTGTTTTATACTTAAATATTTGCTGCGAGGTTAGATCTTATGTTAAGTTTTCTTACCACAAGAAATAATCATAAATAAAGACGGTGAGAGAAAACTTTCAGAGGTGATGGATATATTTATGGCATAGATGGTGGTGATAGTTTCATGGGTGTAAACTGATTTCCAAACTCATCTACTCGTACAATAAATACGTACCGATATTTGCATGTCAATCACACCTCAAAAAGTGATTTAAAACTAAACAAATAAAAAAGTTTATGTAATGACAAAGATCTTTCTACCTTCTGATGGTTTATGTCTTTGATATTCTATGCATATGAACTCCCTACAGAATTTAGGACTTTGGAAATTGTTAATAATTTTTTTTTTCTAGGAGTATAGGTCAAACACTAATTTTTTTTCCTTTGTTTTCCTATAAATGTTCAAGCCAGGTCAGAGCAAACATGTTGCTGAAATATCTTGCCCTTACAGCGAGGTTCCAACTCCATTCTGGACAACCTGTCTGTTCCTTGCTGACATCAAATTTTGCCCTTGAACAAGCAGAGGTTCCATTTTCCTTTCAGAGTAGATTAATAGGCATCTATTTTGTGTGGAACCTCCTTCCAATTTCCTCTCTGCTTGATTCTCTCTGTAAGGCTTTTCATTTTAATTAGGCTAGTCAATTACTCACACAAGAGAATATCTCACATATTTAAAGCCAGTAGAGTTTTTCATCCACTTTTTCAAATGTGGCCTTTTAACTCAGTTAAGAGCTTTTCAAAATCCTTCTTAATAAAAGCACAGATAAGGCATTTATTAAAACTTGAGATTCTCCACTTATTCCCATTATGTTTCAGGCAGGCTATTTCTTAGTCTCATAGTTAGTTATCTTCACAGCTCTCAACAGTTTTCTTTTCCATTTTCGTATTTACAATCTCTATTTTCCCTTTTGTTTATAAGGTAAAATCCCTGAATGATTCAAAGTGCGTTCCAAACAGTAATTGGAAATTGTGTTTGCTGCAAGAATTCATTAGGTTTAGTCCTTAGACCATAAGTCCCAAATCGAAAGAATTTAAAATATAGTTCAGGACACTAAAGCACTCAATGACAGAAGAATTGTGACAATAATAAATTGTAAGTCAAGCCAAATCCTCAAGAGTACTGTGCAGTTGCTCTTTATAAACCTAGCTAATGATCAGCTTATTATTAACTGGATTCACATATTAATGTAGAATGTAAATATGAAAATCTTCTAAAGCACCCAAGACATTCCCTGGTATGGCTGGGTTGCCTCTGCTTTTGAAGGCAAAGTTTTACAAGTCTTTCAATTATCACAGTGGTGTGGCATTGAGTACAGCTAGGGAGAGGTCAATATAGGCTCCAGTCTCTTCACCATAATTGCCTTTTCTGTCTTAATGAGGTGGTGTTAATCATAGGCTAACTAATATATTTAGCCCCAGAGGCAATTTCTAGTTTGGGGTCCTCCCCTTTGTCATTCA
Organism: Homo sapiens; assembly: GCF_000001405.40. Lineage (NCBI taxonomy): Eukaryota > Metazoa > Chordata > Mammalia > Primates > Hominidae > Homo > Homo sapiens. The sequence goes on from NC_000002.12 coordinate 35,461,088, forward strand.
TAATCATATATACTAAAAGCAAAGAGAACATTTTAATATTCTCTTGATATTAACACGGAGTTTGACTTAAGGAAGAAGAATTTTATCTTTTGGGAGGTAATGACTTTTCTGAGTGTGACCATAGTGGAGTAAAGATTCCTTGAGAAAATAAAAATGGCGCACACTCTATATTACAAGCAATATGAATGCACATTGTTTGCATTCCCAGTTCAGTATTCTTTGAGATGCCATACAGCCTGGAGGTTGTGCATAAGGAAAGGAGGTTGAGATCAACCCAAGAGTTACTAACAAATTATTTCCACAAAATCAGGAAACAAAAATGCTCTTTGGAGTTACCAAAGGATCCTATGAAATATATCAGCTCATGTGGCTTAGTTTTACCACTTATACTAATGTTCCTTCTCCTGTTCCTTAAATAGAAGCCACCTTCTCCAATTTTCTTCTAATCCCTTCAACAGTAAATAAACATGGTATTACATTGTGTATGTTTGCCAATTGCCAATAAATTCATTTACATATGATGAAATGTATAATGTATAAAGAAAGCAAGAATGGGAATTTACAAAGCTGAGAACTACATACTTTCCCCAGAAGTGGTCAAACAATGGTGAAATGGATAGGGGCCAAAGAGATGCTTTTAGGGAATTATAGGTTTTGTATTCCTGGTTTCATGCCTATTTTTTTTTCTGGTTGAAATGTTGATACACTTACTTATCTATCCCTATAGTAAAATATCCTGTGATTAAATAAAAAGAGAGTTCTGGGAATCTAGAACAGACGAGTAAAAAAATGTGTGGGAGCATTTCAGAAGAAGGTTGCAACAAACCAGGTCATCTTATACATTTCACAAATGCTAGTTGCATTTTCAGATATCAGTTATGGGTCATGAAAACAAACAAACACAAAAACTATATATAGAATATTTTTTTTCTTGGTTATGTTTGCTTTTTCTTTTCTGTAACTTACAAAGTACACATTGACTTGTTTACTTATTAGAGCAAATACAGTTTCCACATCTTTAGCATACATCTTTGAAGACATGTATACATAAGGATGGTTTGGTCTCATGCTCTGGTACAGATAGAAATATTTTCAATAAAGTTTTATTGTAGAAAATAATTGACAATTTGTATTTCTATCAGTTAATAATTGATAAATTATGTGGTTGACTGTGACTATGTTACGTTACTAGAACAAAATCACGTTCATCAAGCAAAAAATTTGTGTTGAAACTGCTTGAAGTTTATATTTCTATATTAGCAAAGGCAGATGAGTATGCCGTGATCCAGAAATAGATATTCCACTCATGCATCCAATCTCCCCCAGCCAGTCCAGGGCTTACCTAACCAACTGATCAGCCACACTCACTTTGCCTTCCCCATTTCCCGCATATATTTTCATATATGCACAAAACAGAGTCTTCAATCTTCAGTCATTACAAACATCTTTCTTTTCTCCTCCTTCAGTTTCACCCTGCTCTGTGCTAAACTGAGTTCCCTGCTTAGTGGTAAAACTTTGCCACTCAGCCCTCAATCTCTGGTCTCTTTGTCTTCACTTTTTCTTTAATAGTAGAATAATATTTGCTAAAAGCTCTCTGAAAAAGGGCACTGAATCACACAACCAAGACCTTGGTAAAGGTTAAAGTGATGAATGTGAGGAATTTGCACCTCCTTAAAAGATAGAAACAAAATGTCATTACCATTCTGAAATAATTCCAACTTTCTAACTCATCAAATATCTCGTGACAGAGTGCTAAGTTATTTAAAAATTGTGCTAAGAATGTACTGGAAACACCAAGATTTAACCACATACATTCTTCCATATGTCATGTATATACAATGTTAACCCCTGAGATAATTTGTCTTTGCAAGCAATTCTCTCTTCAAACTTAGAAAGTCTGCACAGACTGAAGAAATTATCATTATGCCCACAAAATGGACTGGATTCCTTATTTTTTCTTCTCTTCTCCTTAGGAGGCAAAGAATAAAAGATGAGAGGAATTTGTACTAACGTTGGTTAACTGTTGTTGAGCAGGTTAATAGGTACTGGATGCTGTCTTGAGCACTTTGTATGATTATCTTTTTTGATCACCAAAATGTTGACCTAATTTAAGTTATCATATAGGTCATTATATAAAGCTGAGTAATGCATTTTTTAATAATCAGTCCATTCTTCTAAATATTTTAAACAAGAATATGAGACAACAGAAGATTTAAGAAATGCCACATTTTTACTGGCAATGAGAATAATAATAATAAATGCATTTGTTCATAGTTTTATCTATTTTTAAAAAAATGTTAATTATCTACCTAAACCACGTTTCATGCATAGAACTTTGAACAAGACATACATGTTCTCTACCCTACTAAAGGTATTTTCTGGCTATAAAGAGGATACAGAGGTGGAACTAATTATGCTTGCTAAGAGGATAACACGTGAGATATGAAGATATATGCAGGAAATGGGGAAGGCAATCCATTTAGGGGTCAGAGAAGGTTCACATCAGAAAGTGATATTTAAACAAAACACTAAAAGTTAGAAAAACATTTAGTGGAAGATGAGAATCCAAAAGTCCATGGACAAGAAAGAAAGTAGAAGGTGCTGAATGAAATTCCATTATGCAAGGACAAAGGCAAAGTATTGAGATAGAAATTTTAGACAGAGACAGGAACTAGAATTTGTAGGGATTCTCAAGCTATATTAAGGACTTTGAGTTTTATCCTAAGGTAATGAATACATCGAAACAACCCTGATATGGTAAAAAATATCATCAACTTATAGCCACAAAGCAGTTTCCAAAATGTTGACATAGATAGTCAGAGGAAGAATTCACTGGAAGAAATTTGGAAGGTGGAATTTTTACCCACATTCCAAAGCTCAGGCTCTGATCACTTATCCTCTCATGATCTCTGGCTGTGACCACACTCTTGATCAGAACTTCCTCTTTTGACCATAATTTTAGAGTACAGAGACTCAGAAACTTGAATCAGTACCTATCTCTTATTTTAGGGTTTTCTATTTTTAATGCTTCTTTTTAGGTGAGAATAAGAGTTCTGTTTTCTTCAGTTTGAATACTTCAACCTTTGTTAAGTGAAAATCTCATAGCAGACAACTCCACTTCCAACACCAGTCATCATTCCTTTTTTATTTTATAATGTTCTTTTTGTTTAGGGGTTGGAAAACTTTGTGTGTAAAGGACCAAATACTAAATATTTTAGACATTGTTGTCCATATAACGTTGATCATAACTACTCAACTCTGTCACAGTAGCAGAAGCAGCCATAGACAATATGCAAATGCATGGGTGTCACTAACAGAACTGTGTTTGCAAAAACAAGCCACTAAATTGGACGAGTAGTTTGTCAAGTCCTGCTCTTGACTAATTCACCTGTCCCCAGACTATGTAATGTGTCTCAATATGTTGCTCTTCTAAGTACCCGTCTGGGTGTTTTTCATATCAAGAGTACCGTATTTTGGACCTCATTGCTCCTCTACGACTTATCCCTGTGAAAGTAATAGTACCTGGCTAATGTTATAGTAGATTAATATTTGAGGACAGGATAAAGTCCTAGTTATTATTGAGTTTACTATGGGTTCACATCATTGCCCATGATAAAGACTATATTTCTATCCAATCAGGGTTTTATGGCAGACTCCCTACCTTGTGTCCCATTGTCTTTGGTTCTGATTTCAGTTTTCTATTCCAAATTTGGGTCTGAACTACAGTCCTCATAATTACTCAGTCTTCTGCAGTTTAATGTATTGCCTACGGCTGGATTGTCTAAATACTCCTCAATGCCTCTTTGAAAGGTCTTGACATTGCGTCCATGTTCAAACCTCCTTGAATCTGTGCTTTCAGTAGCTATCCTCCTTCTTTTCATTTTATATATTATATCACGCTTCCATTAATGTTTGAAGTTCATCAGTAGCTCTGTATTCCTCATAGTGAAGAAAAGTAATAGTAGGGTTTAAACAGCGATTCAAATCCCTTTCATGAGAATGCCATTATACAGATCTTATTTTCTTTTTATTTTGAAATATGCAAAAAAATTGTTAAATTTTTATTTAATAATCTTTAAATAAAGATTATTATTCTTATTTGCCAATTCTTATTTGGATTTAACAATATATCTTACCGTATTATTTTGCTCAAAATTGCATTTATATCTCAGTGTTTCCTTTTTTTAAACAAAGTGTTTCTTTTAGTTGTTCTTTGGGCAAATATAATACAGGTATTTTATATATGTAGATTTCTGTATTTTGCCCTAAATTGGCAAATATTTTCCCTTGGAATTTTGAAGCTGTTCTTCTTTGTTTATTTTTTTTCTGTTTCCGTCTTTAATGTGTAATCTTAATCTAATTGCATTTGGATTAAACTCTAGCCTCTTGGAACTGCAGCAGATTCTATTGCACCCCTGCAAGTAGCTTCATGTGCTTCAGCGCCAGGCCACGGCACCTCAGAAAATTCCTCTGTTATACAGTGGACTACAGCCACACCCTCTCCAGTGAGATCTAAAAGCCAGACTCAGGGGTGAGGGTGGGGATAGAGGCTCTTCCAAATTTGATTCTTCCTTGAGTATTCTGTCATCCTTAAATGTAGTGTAGTCTCCTTATATTTGCTATTCCTAAATTATTTGAAGTACTCTTTTACTATTCTATTTTTGATGATAGTTAACCTTTTTTTTATATATATATATACTAGTTAGCAACGTTTTATAGCAGGGGTCAGCAGTAATATGGCCAATAGACCAAATCCTGCCTGCTCTCTCTTACCTGTTCTGCAAATAATAAGGTTTTACTGAAACACCCATATTATCCATGGCTGCTTTTATGCCACAAAGACAGAGCTGATTGAGTAGAGAAAGAACACATATCTATGGCCTGCAAAGGTTAAAACATTTATTGTCTTACCCCTTACAGACAAAAGTTTGCCTACCCATTCTTTAAATAATTTTTGTTGTTGTTGTTCAAACTAACAATGAGTAATTTCTGTCTCTGACTGATACCTTGGTAAAAGAAGTAGTTCTAGGAGACACAGTTTCAAAGATGAGTTTTTTTTTAAATTGTAAATCAGAAAACAATATGCCAATTACTAACTGTGAGCAATTTTTTTTTTTTTTTTTTTTTTTTTTTTTTGAGATGGAGTTTCGCTCTTGTTGCCCTGGCTGGAGTGCAGTGGCGTGATCTCGGCTCACTGCAACCTCCGTCTCCCAGGTTCAAGCGATTCTCCTGCCTCAGCCTCCCGAGTACCTGGGATTCCAGGCGCCCGCCACCACGCCCGGCTAATTTTGTATTTTTAGTAGAGACAGGGTTTCTCCATGTTGGTCAGGCTGGTCTCAAACTCCCGACCTCAGGTGATCCACCCACCTCGGCTTCCCAAAGAGCTGGGTTACCGCCACCGCGCCCTGCAAAAGATGTGATTCTTATATTGGTTTGGTCACACCTTGGGCTTGCCATGGAAATGACTTACTCATAATTCACAAAATATAGCCACAGTGAATCAAGCTACTCTCTCCAGGGATATGGTTCAGATGGTGCCAGCTGAGAGGAGTGAATGATTAACCTTGTTGACAGCAAATTTTGCATACTTGAAAGGACTTTATAGTTGAAGTGTTCCATCCTCACTTTAAATCATTTGGATTTATTTTTTTATCACCATCATAATAACCAAATTAAATCTGAAATATGATAATCTTATGAGGAGTTTTGTGATTATTGTGGAACAGTGTTTGTGGGGGAGGGACATCAGGAAAGAACACAAATCCAACTAAATATATTACCTTATTATTTCCACATAGAGACAAGCTTGGTGATTTTTTATATATAATGTCCACTGTGAAGCTAGAGAAATGATGGCCTTTTAATACATAATATGCTTAACTTTCATGAGATTGACACCAATACACAGATTTCATGTATTGACACCGAGGTACTATAATAGTTCATTTAATTACCACAACCACCTTTGAAGCGGCTAGATTTTGTTCTCATTTTATATAACAAGAAAGTGAGAAGAATCATGTAACTAGCAACTGAGAGAGTCAGGACTAAATTCATTGTTTTATGATGCAAACAATGGAGCATTATTTCCCATACAATATTCTATGTTTCCTTTGACTGATTCCTTTTTTGGCATGGCTTAATGAGTGATGCTAATAAAGACTGCTCTGTAAATTCACTTTCCAAAATAAACACCTCCAGATTTTCTATAAAAATAAGCCATGTTAAAGGAAATAATGATTTCAGATCATGAGAATATAGTAGATTCTTAAGACAAATAAACTTACTCTCAACTCAGTTCTCTAGTAAGCATTGAATGAGTTCCTCAGAATGCTCAACTTAATGTGAAGGTGTAAAAGATAAATACTACAGTATATGGTCCATGTTGTCAGGCAGTTTATGATCTGGTGATACTAACTTATATGTATTGCACACATATTCTGCCTTACAGATCTGTTAACACATCCTGAATATAGTGACCATTTCTCAACATCTCAGCAGCCAGTCCAGTGTCCTGAGCTAAAGAATGTTTGATGATGAAGATAATTTAGCATCTTAGAAACAAAGCTAAAGCTATGTGATTAAGTCAATGATAATACATTAAAAAGTTAAAATAACATTTTTCTAATAAGAAAGAGATTGTTATTATTTTTGACCTCACCTTTTACATCTCAATCCTTTCGTTATTTAGTAAATTGTATTTTTAAAACAATTTCAGTAATATTTCCTGCAAAACAAAGTTTTCACTCCTGTCTCCAGGTGACTGAGTTTGTTGCACCCAGGTGCTGCAGAAGATAAAGTCCATTCGCAGAGGAGCTAGGCTTCCTTATGTATTTCTAATTAATAAACATAAACCAGGAAAAATGTCTCCAGAAAAATATGCGTCAAATATGTATATTTGAAAAATAGTTTCTCAAGTAAATATGTCTGACACATAGTAAAAGTCCACAAGATATGAAATGGATGAGTGAACTAAGTTTTACATTGATAAATAAAATATCCAAGCCAGATTTTGATTAAAAGATATTTTATTTCCATTTCAGTACATATGATAATAGTTAATAGGGGCTGTATTTATTAATCTAAATATTTTCTGTCAAATAAAATGTAAGGGAACAACATAGTTGTTGAATGAAGAAGGAAAAAAAGCTCTCAACACAGGGGTATGCTTGCATGCTTCTGATAATTAGAATAATCTGATAATTGACTTCTTTCTCCCTTCACAGGAGGGTGCCAATTAAAATAAACTACAATTGTGCTTTTTGGTCTTTAGCATCAGAGCAGATGATGTTTGAGTTTATGGCCAGTTTTCTCAATGTGTTGTCCAATTAACCTCAATGGGAATGATTCACATCAAATCCCTGGGGTTCTCGATGAAAGGGAAAGTCAGCCAGGCTGCTACAGGGAAAACAACTTTTATATGTGCTCTAAAGCTCACTGGTGGGCCGTTCTAGTGAAAAACTTGTGCCAGTGGAAACGTTTTACTATTGAGGTAAAAGCCCCCCAGGGTTTCTTTGTATATCACTGAGGTAGAAGAGACTAACTATAAGTGACACAAAGGGAAACTGGGCATATCAGTCTTAGTAGAATCTGACTCATTCCATCAAAGAGCTGAGAAAATGTGTACAATTCCACACGAACTAAAAGAAGTCATGAAGGATCAAATCAGGGAAATGTATAAGACTTCCTGAGAACGGATGTCTGAGATGAATTGTTCTATCAGATACTGGAGTAAATCATTTATTAAACTTAAATATCTGCTTAATTTCCTAATATATTTTAAATATTCAGAGTTAACTGCAATTATGTTTCAGTCATCAGGATTAGCTAATAAGTAATCAATAATATTAACCCCCCAAAGCTAACTACACTAGCTTTGCAGCAAAATAAAAAGAAAATAATCACGTACAATTTTTATAATAGTTTAATATTTATGAGGAATTAATCCATTGACATCAAGGTGGGATGAGAAAATGTTCGGGTTCATACTAAGTTTGTTCACAGTAAGTTCTAGATTATTGAAACCCTTAAGATAATGGTGAACATCAGCCAATTACTGAATGTTCATTCACTCAACAAATAATATTGAGAATGATTGTGAGCCATGTAGTATACTTGACATACTAATTATTGTGAGCCATGTACTAAACTGGGGACAAAATGTTGACTGCCTTCAAGGAGTATTTACAAAATAGAGAAGAAAATGACAGATACATGGGCAATTAATACAAACAGAGATAAATATTTTGATGAGACAAATAACAGGGTCTTGTCAGAACACAGGAGGGACCAAGAAGAAAATAAAGAATTTGAATAACACAACTATATATATGTTTTAATAAATACATGGATAACTCTGAATCCAAAGAAGCATAAACTACTCTTTACAATGAGACCTATAGAATTGGAAGGCATTGATGACATTAGGCCACAAAGAAAATATCCATCAATCTGTGAATGATATCATACACGTATATTGGCTTAATATGAAGAATAAATGAAATTTTTAAACTTGGCCAAACAACCCATATTTATTCCCATACACACTTGTATGTATGTTTAAAGTTTGGTAATTTCTATGCATATCTGTGTACACTCATCTATATATGAAAAATAAGAGCCCTATGTATCAAATCCAAGAGAAAAATATCAAAGATATTCTCAAAAGACAATTTCAAACCTAATATGTATTTTTTAAAGCTAAAGATACCAAGAGAGGAGTATAGAACATTAAATTCTTGCTTTCAACTTTAAAAAGTTATGAAAATATTGAAAATATTTATTTTTATAAACCAGATATTGATGACCAAAGTAAAGAACGAGAAAGGTTAATTTATAACATAAACACTGCTTCTAACCAACTTTAAAGTCTTAAAAAACAAATATTTGCTTTTCTTAATCTAGACACAAATATGGGAAATAAGAATGCTTAGAAGCTGACATTTAACTTTATGCAAAACAGAATTAGCAAAGGAAAACAAACAAAAACTATAAAATAATCTCATATATGATGAAAATTTCATTTATGATGTTCAATGTGAACATGAATACAAATACTCACATTTTAAAATATATCAAATAAGTGCAGTAATTTTAAAATAATTATACTTTTTGACCAACTAGAGCTAATTTCTTAGGTTTAAAAAAGTAATTATTTTTTAAGAGATGGGTTCTCACTATGTTGCCCAGACTAGACTCAAACTCCTGGGTCTAGCAATCCTCTTGCCTCAGCCTCCCAAGCAGCTGGGACAACAGCTCTGTGCCACCACACCTAGCTATGTATTTTTTAAAAAGGTTATTTAAAACAAAATGTTACTGTAATTCAACTCTATCAACCACACCTGGAATAAAAAAATTTTCTTTCCTAAGGCACTTCCCTAATGCACTTCTACAAAAATTCGTAATGTCTCAGATCCAGTTAAAATATTTTCAACAATTGTTACTATTGATCAGCTCCTTTTGTATAGTGACGAATAAAAATTGTATTTATTTATGGTGTTCCAGATGATATTTTGCTATATCTGTCAAATCATTGTGAAATGGCTAAATCAAGCTACTTTATACATACATTACCTCACATACTTTTTTTTTTGGTAGTGAGAAATTTAAAGTGTACTCAGTAATTTGCAAGCTTATAGTAGATTGTTGTTAACTATAGTTATCATACTATACAATAGAATGCTTGAACTTATCTCTTCCAGCTGAGATTTTGTATCCTTTGACTAACATCTTGCTAGACCAATCCCCTAGCTTCTGGAAACCACCATTTTGCTTCTGTGGGTTCAACTTTTTTGGATTCCATATATAAGTGATATTATGTGGTATTTGTCTTTGTGTTCCTGACATTTCTCTCAACGTAGGTTTTCCACGTTTATTTATGTTGTCATCAGGAACAAGATTTCCTTCTTTTTTATGGCTGAAGGGTTTTCCATTGTGTGTATACAGTACATTTTCTTTTTTCATTGACCCAACATTTACCATGCTGAGAGAAGAAAGCAACTCCTCTGTTTAATGAATGGAATCCTCTAAAAACTTCAATACACATATATGAACTTTCAGAAGCATTCTCATTAAATTGGGAAAAACAGAAGGATGCCCTCTTTCACAGTGTCTACCCAGCATCATCTTCAGGATCTAGCCAATACAATAAATCGAAAGGAAAATTTATATATAGTTAATAAATAACCTAAACATATATTTTACAGAAAATATAATTTTTATTCCAAGAGTCAATGTACTCAGTTGCGGTAAAGCAAAGTTACAAGAATTCTATAAGGATCCAGGATCAAAACACAACAATTTTCACATACGTGTCAACTGTTAGGTTGGTGCAAAAGTAATTGTGGTTTTTGAAAGTAACTTGGCGAAAACGACAATGACTTTTGCACCAATCTAATACAATCAACAGTTGTGGGAAGAATTTTAACTTTTCACTCTATGTTTGTACTGTTTTAGTGTCTATGTGCATGTATGTTGTAGTTTATATGTAGGTATTACTCACGTAAAAAATTAGTTTGGTGCTTGCTTCAGCAGCATATATACTAAAATTGGAATAATATAGAGATTAGCATGGCCCCTGTGCAAGGATGACATGCAAATTCATGAAGCGTTCCATATTTTTCCCATGAGATAATTGTCTTCAGTGTCCTGGAGGCCCTCGAGGTGGGCCGGTTGGTAGAATGAGAGGCCCTCCCAGTGGAGGCATGGTGCAGAAACCAGGATTTGGAGCGGGAAGGGGGATTGCTCCACAGCAGTCAATATTCATGGATCTTCAGGCAGCCATACAAATCCTAGTTCCTACAGAATGGTGAATTTCTTCAACCAGCCATCGTGGAGTATGGCCCCAGTCTGTTAACTGCTTAACTTTGTGTGTTTTAAAAAACAGTCAACCTGGCTGCTGTGTGGAGAACAAATATAAGGAGAAAAAATGAAGGCAAAGGGATTTTAGATGGCTGGTTTAGAAGCCTATGAATTGGACTAAAGTGAAGGAAGACATGAAGATAGAGACAAGTGGGTGTATTTTACTTTAAAATTAGAATTGACATATTTTACTTATATGAGTGGTAAGCATGAATGAGTTATTAAGGATAACTCACATATCAAAAGGGAAACAATGGCATGGATGTTAAGGTTATCAGGTAGGCACAACCCTGAATACAGAGTTGTGATGCACTGAGGAGAAAACTAGGAATATCCTAAATATTTGGGAGTAGTTGACACACAGAGAGAAGGCAGAGCACAATCGGAGGGTTGAGAAATAGACATGGGGAAAACCAACTCTTCTTTTGTGATATGGACTAATGAGGGAAGCATGGCTACAGATGTGTCATGTTCAACAATGTACCCATTCTATGTGGGTACCCATAGAAGCCATACACATTAGAAACAAAGATGTTAACTGGTTAGAAGTACAGGTTTTGGAGGCAGACATGTCTGCTACCAGTATCAACATTGCTGCTTAATATCTGGGTTAGTGACTTGGGGCAACTTATTTAATCTCTCTAAGCGTTTGTTTCTTCATCTTTATTGAGAAGAATAATGCCGGTAGTATTTCCCTCATTATAAGCTTGTGAAGATCGCTAAATATATCACATGAACACGACAAATTATGGTCACTGATGCATAGGTAATACTCAGTGAAGGTTTTCTATGACTATTAGAGTTCTGTATGTTATTATTATGCAAGAAATCCACAAATGGTTATTAGTGTCCATTAAACCGTACATTATGAAACATAAATAAAACTATATCATATGTTTAACATTGTGCTTGGCCCCATTGAGAAAGTATAATAATAAATAAATTAATACTAATTTAATAGTAGTAAATTACATTTGAATGAATTGGAAAAGTAGAATAGTGCTGAGTAATTCAGGCTTAAAAACTTCCTATTCCATGATAACTCATTAAGTTAAAGACAACATATAAAATATTTACACACCTATTCCCAGGTGAGAGGCTGGTAATTTTATTAAAAATTTTAAGATTTTCTGGATAATGCATGAATGATGAGGAAACTTTTTTTTCTATTTGGATATAAATTTGGTTTCTTTTTATAATAAAATTTCAATATGTCCTATTGTCTTTTTTGTCTTAGCTAAATGGATTACTTCTATTTATAATTCCTCCAGAAATCAGTGAACTTTATCTTGAGAAATGAAAGATCAAATAGATGATATAGAGAAACAACTCTTTTACCTTCAAATAGGAAATGTAAACTGATAGGAGTCATTGTATTCCAGTCTTCTGGTCTGGAATAACAGTAACTAAATTCATTTGGTTTGTTACACATAAAAAAAGGAACAACTAGTACTGCTTTAGGTACTATAATATGTTTATCCACTTCATAATAGTTTGACATACACATCCTCTTGGTCCACGTTCAGATATTTGACTAACCCCTTTTTAATTTGATATTTCCTAGGGAATGAAATTTTTATTCATTTACAAATTCATTCAACTGACCCATTTGTATTCTGAACAACTGATTTTGTAATCTGAGTTCTATGTTTTCAATATCCGAATGTCATTAGTTTTGGCACAGTTTTACAGTGTTCATGCTCCTATATTCTTAGTAAGTGGATCTAACAGTTTAACAGTAACCAATATTCTGTTCTGCACGTTCATTCTCTTGCCATGTTATACTCTTGCTTTTGCAAGACTGTCTTATATTCTTGTGATTCCTAGTCTGTCATGAGCATTTTGCAGTTGAGGAAGTTATTTCCCCAAGGAGTTTCAAATGAGGATCTCTGTCTTTTAACTTCAAACATTACAAAAAGCCCTACGTCAAAATTTCGGTTCATTTCATGTAGGAATTGGACTGTATTATTTAGTGCTCTTGTCTTTTAAAGTTTAAATTATTATCAAAGTAATTTTAACCATTTGATCTCTTTTGTGATTTTTTTTCATTTTAGGTAAAATTATTTATTAATATCATTATTTCTTAAGTCATGAGTTATAATGTTCAAACTGCTTTAGATTTAAATGGAAAGAGGTAAGTTCATTTTCTGTATGTTTTTCTGACTTAAAGCAAACATTTTACTTAGAATAAAATAGAGCACCACTTTATCATAAGCATAGTTAATCTGACCCCCTCTGAATAAAAGAAAGCCTCATCGAAATTATGTTTATTAGGTATCATATTTTTAAAGAGTAAAACTGCCTTGGAGACAGGATCTCTGGGCTTGAACTTCACCTCTTTTTGTAATACCCTAAATTTTTCATAGTAATTATTTTTCTCAAAGCTTCAAACCAAATTACTTAAGAAAAAATATATTACTAAGATAATAATAATATTATGAATATTGTCCAGGAAAGCAAAATGTATACAGTATAGTCCTATTTTTTCTGCTGTTATTTAGTCATATGTCCCTGCCAAAAATCAATCTCTGGGAAGGAAGTTTTCTCATCTCTAAAGGTTTTGAATAGATGACTTCTAAAATTACCTTCAGATCCAAAAGCCTCTGATTATTTATTCAAGAAAATTGCTTGCTAGGTACAGGAAAATCACCTATTTTTTGAAAAAGATTTAGGAATGAGAATTATAGTGTTTCTTATAATCAACATTCTACTTTACATACAGTATTATCAATTGTTATTTCTAAATTATTTAAAATTTTTACATCGTTCCTAATATATCTATTCCAATTGAATATTTTTTGGATCACTTGTATGATTCTATGTTGTTTTACCCACTGTCTGTTAGTGTAAATTCTAGATAAAAGCAGGGTGTGTTATAATATGTATGAGGCATTTAATTTCCCAGTGTGGCTTTCTTAATGAGATTTTTTAATATTAGGAAATTAAGTGAGCTACACAAAATGGAATAATTTTTAGAGCACAGATTATTTATATTAAATATCACAGTACAAAATATATCATTACTTGTCATTATTACAGTGAGCACAAAATGCTTGCAATATACCAATGATCAGTTGGATGCAAACTTGAATTTTACCGAAGAATCTCACAGGAATGGAACTTCACCTCACTAAGCTACTCTTTTTCCTTAAGTCAGCTGTTCAAATAGTGAAATTATTATTACCCAATATGTCACTATGAATACTATTTTACAATATAGCTCCAACATCAATTGCTTCCTTCTTAAACCAACTCTTATTTCGCATTTCTTTAGGGCAATGTAATTTCTATGTGGGTTGCTAGTTATTTATATACAGACTGAGAATAAACAATCCCTTACCTTTGCTACTTGCAGAGGGTTGGGCGCGAACCAGTCTAGTGGGATGTTTCCAGGGGAGGCTTAAAGTAAACAAAATGGTTACTGGAACTCGCTGACATAAAGTTACCTCAAGAACCAAAGAGTAGCTACACACCAAAGAATAGAAAGCATTGAGGGTAAAATGAGAGAAGCAGGATTTCAAATGGCCACAGGAGGGTAAATGGTTTGAAACCAGAGAAAAACTAAAAGATAACAAGTTTGAAAGAGCCTGAAAAAAAGTAGGGAGTGAGAGAGAACAAGAACCAGTCCGGAAACAGAGTAAATGTGTCTTCTTCAGGGCATACCTCATATCAAATTGAATTAAATACTCTTATTAATATTGCTCAGAAAGTTCTAGTTTTAAGGCACAGATTGAGAATGAAAATTAGAGCTCCTTAAGCAACATGACATATTTGCCTACCAATCTTTACATTTGAATACCTGAGCTTGGCATATAACGTAATGAAGGACAATAAGTAAACAGAGAAAAATGGAAGGATGAACGGGGATAAAAGACACAGAAAGCAATACTTTAAAGGGCAAAGAGAGAACTAAGAAGAAACAGGGAATGCAGCTAAGACTGAAGAGTCTCTAATCTTGTAGATACAAGCAAAACATCAAAGTAAATCTTTTGTGCAATATATTTTCACAGTTTAATTACAATCCCATTAACTGTTCTGTTCCTTAACTTCTACTGTAGTTTACAGGTAGCCTAATGAAAATTGAATAATTTAATCCTCTCTTACCACATAACTTGATCCCATGCTTTTTTGTCCAGCCACTAGCTGATAATAAACATGGGAAATAGATATAGAAGTTTATTTCATTATTTTTTCTCAGTTGAATTGTGTCAAGTCTCTAGCAGTATGAAGTTGTAGCTGTGTAATTCTTTGACTGCCTTAGATTATACTCATAAATCCAAGATAAGCATTTGTGATACATGTAATTTTGCACAGACATTTTGTCAAAAGACAAAGTTTGCTAAGCAAAAATCTGGAACAATTTTTAAAAATTGTGTTTTGAATGAGATAATATGATTAGATGAGTGATAATTAGAAGTCAGATAACTTGGTATAATTTTGAATCAAAAATTTTCACTTTTTAAACTTTTATTTTTAAAAATCGTTTATTGGTTATCTCATCTATAAAATTATCCGTAAAACTGGAATACTAGCATTTGTTTTGGATACTTCAGAATGTCATTTTTAAGAACCTATGAGTAAGGTTCTTAATAAAATGGAAAAGCATTATGAACTACGTAAAATGTTATGCAAGTTAAGATCAAATACTTAACTATTATTGGCATGTCACAGATATTTCAAAGAAACTAGTAGATTTAAGGATGCATATTTATTTTAAATCCAGTTAAATTTATTTGTTCCTCGTTATTGTTAATGGATTAAAAAACATCAAATACTCATTTTCGGGCCAGGCGTGGTGGTTCACGCCTGTAATCTCTGCACTTTGGGAGGCCGAGACGGGCGGATCTCAAGGTCAGGAGATTGAGACCATCCTGGCTAACACGGTGAAACCCCGTCTCTAGTACAATTGCAAAAACTTAGTCGGGCGTGGTGGCGGGCGCCTGTAGTCCCAGCTACTCGGGAGGCTGAGGCAGGAGAATGGCGTGAACCTGGGAGGCGGAGCTCGCAGTGAACCGAGATTGAGCCACTGCAGTCCAGCCTGGGGGACAGAGCGAGACTCCATCTCAAAAAAAAAAATACTCATTTTTATAGCGAATAGTTGTTTTAATTTACAGAAACTTGCATCTGTACAAGTCAAACATTTATATCATTATATTATCCCTTCAGTTATGTTCTGAATATTAAAGGTAGCCCTAGATAAAATGTATAACAGAAAGTCTATCACAAATTTATGATTTTATTATTAATATTTTTCTACAAGTTTATAGGGTGCAAGAAAAATTTTAAGTGGTGGTAGGTCATGAATAGACATTTCTTTTAAAAAAGGCATACAAATGGCCAACAGGTGAATGAAAAACTGCTCAACGTCACTAATCATTAGAGAAATGCAAATAAAAACCACAATGAGATAATTGTCTTACCCAGTCAGAATGGCTATTATTAAAAAGTTAATGACATTCTCTTGGATGGGCTAAGCAACTTATTTTGGCATATACCTAATATTAAAAAATGAAGCCTAATCTTACTATCAGAGTGATTATTTCAGTTTTCTTTTAAAAGTACTTATCTAAGCTTATATATGAAAGTTACAAAAAAGATAAAACATCATCATTGATATTTAAAATCTCAGATAAATATTTTACCTTTTTTTGTTGTTATTTTTGTTGCTAGCTCCTCTCTCCACCTCCATGTATTCACTTGAAACAGCCTAGGTCAATAGCTGCAGAATTTTTTTTTTCATACCCCAGTGGCACCTGGAACACCAGCGAGACAGAACCTTTCACTCCCCTGGAAAGGGGGCTGAAGCCAGGGAACCAAGTGAGTGGTCTCACGCAGCAGGTCCCACTCCCACAGAGCCCAGCAACCTAAGAACCACTGGCGTGAAATTCTCACTGCCAGCCCAAGCAGTCTGAAGTCAACTTTGGATGCTTGAGCCTGGCAGGGAGAGGGGCGTCCACCATTACTGAGGCTTGAGTAGGTGGTTTTCCCCTGAAAATGCTAAGGCCAGGAAGTTCAGACTGGACAGAACTCACCACAACTCGGCAAAGTGGCTGTGGCCAGACTGCCTCTCTAGACTCCTCTTCACTGGGCAGGGCATCTCTGAAAATAAGGCATCAGCCCCAGTCAGGGGCTTATAGATAAAACTCCCATCTCCCTGGGACAGAGCACCTGGGGGAAGGGGTGGCTGGGGGCACAGCTTCAGTAGACTTAAATGTTCCTGCCTGCTGGCTCTGAAGAGAGCAGCAGATCATGACAAGGAGAATTCTCCCAGCACAGCACTGGAGCTCTGCTAAGGCACAGACTGCCTCCTCAAGTGGGTCCCTGACCGCTGTGCCTCCTGACTGGGAGAGATCTCCCAGCAGGGGTCGACAGACACCTCATACAGGAGAGCTCTGGCTAGCATCAGGCCAGTGCCCCTCTGGGATGAAGGTTCCAGAGGAAGGAGCAGGCAGCAATCATTGCTCTTCTGCAAGATCTGCTGGTGATACCTAGGCAAACAGGGTCTGGAGTGGACCTCCAGCAAACTGCAGCAGACCTGCAGAAGAGAGGCCTGACTATTAGAAGAAAAATTAACAGAAAGAAAGCAATAACATCAACATTAACAAAAAAGTACAGCCAACCAAAAACCCCATCCAAAGGTCATCAGCCTCAAAGATCAAAGGTAGATAAATCCATGAAGATGAGGAAAAAACAGCGCAAAAATGCTGAAAATTCCAAAAACCAGAATACCTATTCTCCTCCAAGTGATCACAACTTCCGTCTAGCAAGGGAAGAAAACTGGATGGAGAATGAGTTTGACAAATTGACAGAAGTAGGATTCAGAAGGTGGGTAATAACGAACTCCTCTGAACTAAAGGAGCATGTTCCAACCCAATGCAAGGAAGCTCAGAACCTTGATAAAAGGTTACAGGAACTGCTAACTAGAATAACTAGTTTAGAGAAGAACATAAATGACCTGATGGAGCTGAAAAACACAATACGAGAACTTCGTAAAGCATACACAAGTATAAATAGCCAAATCAATCAAGCAGAACACAGGAAATCAGAGATTGAAGATACACTTACTGAAATAAGGCATGAAGACAAGATTAGAGAAAAAAGAATAAAAGAGAATGAACAAAGCCTCCAAGAAATATGGGACTATGTGAAAAGACCAAACCTGTGATTCATTGGTTTACCTGAAAGTGATGGGGAGAGTGGAACGAATGGAACCAGGCTGGAAATCACACTTCAGGATTTTATTGAGGAGAACGTCCCCAACCTAGAAAGACAGGCCAACATTCAAATTCTGGTAATAATACAGAGAAAATCACTAAGATTCTCCTTGGGAAGAGCAACCCAAAGACACGTAATCATCAGATTCTCCAAGGTTGAAATGAAGGAAAAAAATGTTGAGGGTGGCCAGAGATAAAGGTCAGGTTAACTACAAAGGGAAGCCCATTAGACTAATAGCAGATCTCTCTGCAGAAACCCTACAAGCCAGAAGAGAGTGAGGGCCTATATTCAACATTATTAAAGAAAAGAAAGTTCAACCCAAAATTTCATATCCTGCCAAACTAAGCTTCATAAGCAAAGGAGAAATAAAATCCTTTACAGACAAGCAAATGCTGAGGGATTTTTGTCACTATCCGGCCTGTCTTACAAGAGCTCCTGAAGGAAACACCAATTATGGAAAGGAAAAACCGGTACCAGCCATTGCAAAAACACACCAATATATAAAGACCAATGATACTATGAAGAAACTGCATCAACCAGTGTGCAAAATAACCAGCTAGCATCATAATGACAGGATCAAATTCACACGTAACAATATTAACCCTGAATGTAAATGTGCTAAATGCCCCATTTAAAACATACAGACTAGCAAATTGGGTAAAGAGCTGAGACCCATCAGTGTGCTGTATTCAGGAGACCCATCTTACATGCAAGGACACACATAGGCACAAAATAAAGGGATGGAGGAATATTTACCAAGCAAATGGAAAGCAAAAAAAAAAAAAAAAAAAAAAAAAAAAAAAAAAAGCAGTGGTTGAAATCCTAGTCTCTAATAAAACAGACTTTAAATCAACAAAGATCAAAAAAGACAAAGAAGGGCATTACATAATGGTAAGGGGTCAATGCAACAAAAAGAGCTAACTACCCTAAATATATATGCACCTAATAGAGGAGCACCCACATACATACAACAAGTTCTTAGAGACCTACAAAGAGACTTAGACTCCCACACAATAATAATGGGAGACTTTAACAACCCACTCTCAATATTAGACAGATCAACGAGACAGAAAATTAACAAGGATAATCAGGACTTGAACTCAGCTCTGGATCAAGCAGATCTAACAGACATCTACAGTACTCTTCAGCCCAAATCATCAGAATATACATTTTTCTCTGCACCACATAGCATCTATCCTAAAATCGACCACATAATTGGAAGTAAAACACTCCTCAGCAAATACAAAAGAATAGAAATCATATCAAACAGCCTCTCAGACCAGAGTGCAATCAAATTAGAACTCAGGGTTAAGAAACTTACTCAAAACCTCACAACTACATGGAAACTGAACAACCTGCTTCTGAACAACTACTGGGTAAATAACGAAATTAAGGCAGAAATAAAGAAGTTCTTGGAAACCAATGAGAACAAAGAGACAATGTACCAGAATCTCTGGGACACAGCTAAAGCAATGTGTAGAGGGAAATTTATAGCACTAAATCCCCACATCAGAAAGCAGGAAAGATCTAAAATCGACACCCTAACATCACATTAAAAGAACTAGAGAAGCAAGAGCAAACAATTTCAAAAGCTAGCAGAAGACAAGAAACATCTAAGATCAGAGCAGAACTGAAAGAGATAGAGTCATGAAAGACCCTCCAAAAAAACCAATGAATCCAGGAGCTCATTTTCTGAAAGATTAACAAAATAGATAGACTGCTAGCCAGACTAATAAAGAAGAAAAGAGAGAAGAATCAAAGAGACACAATAAAAAATGACAAAGAAGGTATTACCACTGATCCCACAGAAATACAAACTACCATCAGAGAATACTATAAACACCTCTATGCAAATAAACTAGAAAATCTAGAAGAAATGGATACATTCCTGGACACATACAACCTCCCGAGACTAAATCAGGAGGAAGTCGAATATCTGAATAGAACAATAACAACCAGAAAAAGCCAGAGCCAGACAGATTCACACTCTATTTCTGCCAGAGGTACAAAGAGGAGCTAGTACCATTCCTTCTGAAACTATTCTGAAAAATAGAAAAAGAGGGTCTCCCCCCTAAATCATTTTATGAGGCCAGAATCATCCTGATACCAAAACCTGGCAGAGACACAACAAAAAAGAAAATTTCAGGCCAATATCACTGATGAAAATAAAATAAGATACTGGCAAATTGAATCCAGCAGCACATCTAAAAGCTTATCTACCATGATCAAGTCGACCTCATCCCTGGGATGCAAGGCTGGATCAACATACGCAAATCATTAAACGTAATCCATCACATAAACA
Organism: Homo sapiens; assembly: GCF_000001405.40. NCBI lineage: Eukaryota > Metazoa > Chordata > Mammalia > Primates > Hominidae > Homo > Homo sapiens. The sequence goes on from NC_000002.12 coordinate 35,481,465, forward strand.
GAAGCAATGACAAAAACCACAGGATTGTCTCAATAGATGGGGAAAAGGCCTTCAATAAATTTCAACACCACTTTATGCTAAAAACTCTCAGTAAACTAGGTATTGATGGAACATATCTCAAAATAATATTTATGACAAACCCACAGCCAATATCATACTGAATGGGCAAACGCTAGAAGCATTCCCTTTGAAAACTGGCACAAGACACGATGCCCTGTCTCAGCTCACCACTACAATTCAACATTGTATTGGAAGTTCTGGATAGGGCAATCAGGCAAGAAAAAGAAACAAAAGGTATTCAAATAGGAAGAGAGGAAGTCAATTTGTCTCTGTTTGCAGATGACATGATTGTATATTTAGAAAACTCCATCATCTTATCCCCAAATCTCCTTAAGCTGATAAGCAACTTCAGCATAGTCTAAGGATATAAAATCAGTGTGTGAAAATCACAAGTATTCCTATACACCAAAAATAGACAAGCAGAGAGCCAAATCATGAGTGAACTCCCATGCACAATTGCTACAAAGAGAATAAATTATCCAGGAATACAACTTACAAGGGACATGAAGGACCTCTTCAAGGAGAACTATAAACTACTGCTCAAGAAAATAAGAGAGGACACAAACAAATGGAAAAACATTCCATGCTCATGGATAGGAAGAATAAATATTGTGAAAATGGCCATACTGCCCCAAGGAATTCATAGATTCAATGCTATCCACCTCAAGCTACCATTGTCTTTCTTCACAGAATTAGAAAGAACTACTTTAATTTTCATATGAAACCAAGAAAGAGCCCGTATAGCCAAGAAAATCTTGGAGGCATCATGCTACCTGACTTCAAACTATACTACAAGGCTACAGCAACCAAAACAGCATGGCACTGGTATCAAAACAGATATGTAGGCCAATGGAACAGAACAGAGTCCTCAGAAATAACACCATACATCTACAACCATCAGATCTTTGGCAACCTGACAAAAACTAGCCATGGGGAAAGGATTCCCTATTTAATAAATGGTGCTGGGAAAACTGGCTAGCTATATGCAGAAAACTGAAACTGGACCCCTTCCTTAAACCTTATACAAAAATTAACTCAAGATGGATTAAAGACTTGAATGTAAAACCTAAAACTATAAAAACCCTAGAAGAAAACCTAAGCAATACCGTTCAGGGCATACACGTGGACAAAGACTTCATGACTAAAACACCAAAAGCAATTGCAACAAAAGCCAAAATTGACAAATGGGATCTAATTAAACCAAACAGCTTCTGGACAGCAAAAGAAACTATCATCAGAGTGAATAGGCAAACTACCAAATGGGAGAAAATTTTTGCAATCTATCCATCTGACAAAGGTCTAATATCCAGAAACTACAAGGAACTTAAACAAATTTACAAGAAAAAAAAAAAAAACATCAAAATGTGGGCAAAGGATATAAACAGACACTCTCAAGAGAATACATTTATATAGCAGTATTTACAATAGCCAAGACTTGGAATGAACCCAAATGCCCATCAATGATAGACTGGATAAAGAAAATGTGGCACATATACACCATGGAATACTATGCAGCCATAAAAAAGAATGAGTTCATGTTCTTTACAGGGACATAGATGAAGCTGGAAACCATCATTCTCAGCTAACTAGTAAGAACAGAAAACCAAACACCGCATGTTCTCACTCATAAGTGGGAGTTGAACAGTGAGAACACATGGACACAGGGAGGGGAACATCACACCCCATGGCCTGTTGGGGGCTGGGGGACAAGGAGAGGGAGAGCATTAGGACAAATACCTAACGCATTTGGGGCTTAAAACCTTGATGACAGGTAGATAGGTGCAGCAAACCACCATGGCACATGTATACTATGTAACAAAGCTGCACATTCTGCACATGTATCCCAGAACCTAAAGTAAAATTTTTAAAAAAGTAATATATATATACCTCTAAAATAAAAGAAATAGCCTAGCTCATTTTGTATTTTTCTCTTTTTCAAATGTGTTCACTTTTTAATTTGTCTTTCCAAAAAAGACATTATTAAATAAGGGAAAGCTATTTCTGTAGTGTTTTTTCCAAAAGTTTTAATAGAATATAACATGAAGTCGTCTATTTTTGAGGCTGTATGAGGGTATTTGCCCCTCATTTTTCCTGTCACCGGTTTTTAAAAATATTTTGAATTAAAAGCTTTATTCTTCTTATAATCAGTTGACTTTTTACATTTTTATTATGAAAATATAAAATTATATATAAAGTAATATGATACTCAGTGTGTACCTATGCTGAAAATAAACTAGTGTTTACAATTTGCCATATTTGTGTCAGATATCTTTTTAAAAATAAAATACAGTATTAGAGAGTCTAATAAAGCCCCACTGCTTTCCTTCAAACCCAGCAGTCCTCATAAATTAATAATATCCTAATGTTGATATGCATCATATTCATGTATGTTTTTAAATTTTTACCTTATTTGGTGGTAGCATTAATAAAACATTTGAATTATTATTTTTAAACATACATAAATGAGATCATATGGTAAATATTGTTATATACTGTTTGAATTTTTCATATAATATTATGGTTTTGAAATATATACATGTTTAAACATTTAGAAGAAGTTTATTTCAATTAGACTTTATGGTTCTCTTCTGCGAAAACATCAGATAACTTTGTAGTTCCCTATTGCAGACAGCCAGGTGTTTTTCATGTTTTCATCATTTCAAATAGTAATCGATATCATCTATATGTTTTCATATATATATTTCGTATATATAATATATATTTCATATATATTATATATTTTTGTGTATAATATATATATTTCATATATATTATATATTTTTATGTATAATATATATATTTCATATATATTATATATATTAGATATCAAATTATTCTCCCAAGTTGTTTTAAGTATATACACACCCTCAACAATATCTAATGAATTTTTTTTCATGCACAGCAGCACTTGGTCATTTTAGACATACACATTTTTTCCAGTGTTAAGAGTGTGCATACATATTTTATTTTAATCTGCATTTCTTTGTCTAGAGACATAAGATATCCTCTCCTGAGTCTGTTGTCAAAAAATTTAACTTTCCTTTTGCTTCTGAGAATTTTCAAGTTCCATGGAAAGCCATGTTGAATTTTTACTGTGCTTGCTTTTGATTTATAATTTTATAGATAATTATTTTTCATTTACAATGCAGAAATATATTTTTAAATTTTAACTTCGAGTATGAATATTTATTTATTAGTATTCAATGATATTTTATTTCATAGATGTCAAAGAATGAAGTCTATAAGCTTTTATCCTATGATAATTGTTAAGGTTTGTATTTTCTCCATGACATAGAAATTGTTAGTTTGTCTAAATATTCTGAAATATTTTAAAGTACATGTTCTATTTAGTGGGTAGGAAAATATATATGTATTTAATAATATATGAAAGCCTTAAAAATATTTGTTTTTTTTTAAATAACAGAGTGTTAAGGTTTCTATTTGAAATCTATACACACACACACACACACACACACACACACACACACACAGTTGACCCTTAAACAACACAGGGGTTAGGGGTGCCATTCTTCTATGTAGTTGAAAACGCCTGTGTCACTTTAATGTCTCCAAAAACTTAACTACTGATAGCCTACTTTTGACTAGAAGCCTTACTGATAACATATGCAGTCAATTAACACATACTTTGTATGTTATGTGTATTGTATACTGTATTCTTACAATGAAGTAAGCTAAAGAACAAAATGTTATTAAGAAAATCATAAAAAGTCATTATTTACTATTCATTAAGTGGAAGTAGATCATTATAAGTGTCTTCATCCTCGTTGTCTTCATGTTGAATAGGCTGAGAAGGAAGAGGAAGAGGAGGGTTGGCTCTTGCTCTCTCAGGGGTGGCAGAGGCAAACGAGATGAAGGATGTGGAAGGGGAGGCAGGAGAGGTAGGCACACTGAGTATCACTTTTATTGAAAAAAAATCCATGTGTAAATGGACCTGCTCAGTTCAAATTCATGTTATTCAAGGATAAGCTACATATATATGTGTGTGAGTGTTTGTGTGTATGCAAATCCATCCATATATATATATATTTATGTGACCCGGGGATATACAAGTTAAGCATTTTTATACTTTATTGGTTATTTATTTATTACCTTTAGATAGCACACTTCTTTCTGTTTGCAACTTTAATTTGTTTGCCTATAACTTCAATTGTTTAATTTCTGTGGATTGATTTCTACTAACATATTATGTGCTATTTATATTTATATTTTTGTTTGAATCATTTGGATTAACCCAGTATTATTTTCAGTTTTCTTTGTTCTCTTTCACTTTACTGTTTTGAAAATTATGCATTCAACTTATTTCAGTGTTTATCTTTAAATTTTCAACAGACATATCAACAATGTCTAATGTTAATCGATATTTCTTTATTTCCTCTGACTATATGGAGTTCGGTGTACTTCAGTGGCCAGCAATCACTTCTGTTATCCATATTGTGTATCATTTGGGTTATTATTATTATTATAAAATTAAAATTCATTTAGAAAAAGCCTCTTTTCCAGAATTACTCTCTGTTAGTATTTTTTTAAATGTATATTTTGCTTCTACTCTTTATAACTTTTAAATTGAAAAAAAGTAAAAGTATAGAGCAGTGGCAAGAATACTACAAAAACTTTGGTATATACTTTACTCAGATTCTTCACTCTTTTTTTTGTTTTGTTTTGTTTTTTGTTTTTTGTTTTGAGACGGAGTCTTGCTCTGTTGCCAGGCTGGAGTGCAGTGGCATGATCTCGGCTCCCTGCAACCTCCGCCTCCCAGGTTCAAGCGATTCTACTGCCTCAGCCTCCCAAGCAGCTGGGATTACAGGCGCCTGCCACCATGCCTGGCTACTTTTTTGTATTTCAGTAGAGATGGGGTTTCACCATGTTGTCCAGGATGGTCTCGATCTCCTGACCTCGTGATCTGCCCGCCTCGGCCTCCCAAAGTGCTGGGATTACAGTCGTGAGCCACCGCGCCCGGCCTTAGATTCTTCACTTCTTAAAAGCCTGTCATTCTCATTCGAAATGACAAATCATCAAAGTCAAAAAAGTAATATTTACTTATGAAAAACCCATCCAATCAAAACCTCTATTTAAATTTTGTCAGTTTTCTCTAGAATGTCATGTATAGTTAGAACTGAATTCAAGAGAGCATGTTGAATCTATGTTTCTTACCCTATGTTTCAATTTAAATTGAACCTATGTTTCAATTTAAAATTATTTCTGTCTTATTTATCTCTCATGAACTTGACATTTGTGGTTTTAATTTTCACTTGCCTAGTGACTAACAGTGTTGAGCATCTTTTTATTTGCTTAATTGCTTTCTTTATCTTCTTTGGTGAAGAACCTGTTCAAGAATTTCACACATTTTTATTGTACTGCTTGATTTTTTTTAATTATTGACTTTTGAGGGTTCCTTATCAAATAAGTGTTTTGCAAATATTTTATGCTACAATGAGACTTAGTCTTAAAAATATCTTCAAAAAAAACAGAAGCTTTTTATTTAAATTAAGACAAATTAGTCATATTTAAAAAATGATTTGTGCTCTTCATATCATGTATAAGAATAGTTTTCTAATTACAAAACACAAACATATTCTACTATAATGTATTTTAGAAGTTCTACGTTTTAGGCTTCACATCTGTGTCTTTGTTCCATTTGGTGATCATTTATGCATGTGGAGCAAAGCATAAATATAATTTTATATATTTACATATGGATATCCCTATAGGTATCTTTTTATTTATTCAACGTTATTGGTTGAAATAAATATTTTCTTCTCCTTTGAATTAACTTAGTGCCTTTGTTGAAAATCTGTTAAAGATACATGATGTGCAGGCCTACTTCTGAACTTTCTCTTCTACTTCATTGATCCATTTTATATCCTTATATATTTACTGTCTTGATTACTATAGTTTGAACATGTTCGGCCAGGCTGGTCTCAAGCTCCTGACCTCAGATGATCTGCCTGAATCGGCCTCCCAAAGTGCAGGGATTACAGGCAGGAGCCACCGCTCCCAGCCCAAAGTAGAAATCTTAAGAAAAATAAGAAAGTATTTAAAACTGGTGGATAGGAAAAATATATATATCAAATTTTGTGTGTTGCAGTAAAGGCATACTGAGAGGGAAATTTGTAGCTTAAAATGCTTGCATTTTTGAATGAAGAAAGTCTAAAATTATTGACCTAAGGAATCATAGAAAGAAAACCACAGTAAGTCCAAAGCAAATTTTAAAAAATGGAAATAAGAACATAAAACAAAGAAATAGAAACAACAAGAACAGAACCAGAATTGGTTTCTTTGGAAATAGTATAAATAAAACAAGATGTAATCCTACAAAATATTAATCAACAGAAAGGAAATAAATGATAAACAGAATAATGCAAAACAGAGAACAAAATAGAAAAAAGAAAATGCAGAATGAAATGACAAACTTAAACCCTAATATATTGATTATTACTTTAAATATAATATTCTAAATACACTAATTAAAAGCCAAAAATTGAGAGGATGAATTTAAAAATAACAGCTGTATGCTGCCTACAATATATTTACTTCAAACACAATGGGTATAGGTAGGCTGACAATAAAGGGTGGAAAAATATATACTAATATTAATAAAAAATAGTTTTAAAGCAATAATTATTAACATCAAGTGAAGTAGATTCCAAAGCAAATAAATTACTAGGAACAAAGAGAAATATTACCCAATGATAAAAGTGTCAATCAGTGAAGAAGACATAGCAATCTTAAATGTATATAAACTAAAAAAAGCTTCAAAATATATGAAACTACAACTGATAGAGCTATAAGGAAAAATATACTAATTCCTAATTATTATTGGGGATCTGAGCACTCCTCTCTCACAATTAATAGAACTACTAGACAAAAAAGAAAATAGCAAATATATAGATAAACTAAACTATGCTATCCAATGATAAGATCTGGTTGATGTTGATGAGCACTCCAAACACAGCAAAGTACACATTCTTATCAATGGCTCAATGAACATTTACTACAAAAGACAGTATTCTGGGTCACAAGAAAACCTTCACAAAGTTAACTGAAATTATACAAAATGTATTCTCAGGATGTTATGAAATTAAACTAGGGATAAATAACAGAAAAACAGGAAGTATTTCCAAGTATTTGGAAATACATGGAAATTTAAAAAGCACATTTCCAAACAATATATAGGTCAAAGAGGAAATCTAAAGGAAATTTTAAAATACATAGAACTGAATGAAAATTAAATACCACCTATCAAAATATGTGGAATACAAGTAAGCAGTGCTAAAAGTTAAATTTACACCCCATTTGCTTACATTATAAAAGAGAAAAGATTCCAAATAAATGATTTCAGTATCTACCTCAAAAACACAGAAAAACAAGAGTAAACTAAATCTAAAGAAGAAGAAAGGAAATAATAAAACTCAAAAAGTGGATATAAATTAATAATAGAAAAAATTTAAAAAGTTAATGAAACCAAAAGCAGGTTTTTGGAAAAAATCCATAAAATTCATAAACTATTAGCAAGAATGATAAAAATATAAAGGACACACATGTCAAATATCTGGAATGAAACAGGAGATATAACTACAGATCCTGCAATCATCAAAAGAATAAACAAGGAATACTACAAATGACTTTATCTTCATAAATTCAATAACATAGAAGTAGGCTAATTACTCAAAAAGTACAAATTACCAAACTTCTAAAAAATAAATAAATAACTGGAATAATCTTATAACCATTAAATATATTGAAAGTATAATTCAAAAACTGCCAAGAATAACAATTTTAAACCCAGATGTCCTCTTTTTGAGAATTTTGCTAAATATTTAACAGAGAATTAACATAAATTTTACACACTGTTTTCCAGAAAGTAGAAGAGAATAATTTCCAATTAATTGTGTGAGGTAATATAACACTGATGCCAAACCAAAGATAGTACAAAAAGAAAACTACAGACAAATATCTCTCATGAACTTAGATATAAATATCCTTAAGAATTAACAAATTAGACCACCAACGCATAATAAGAATTATACAACACGAACAATGACCAGTGGAATACAGCAGAAGTGAGGCTAGGCCAATTTTCAGGCCCAAGACTTAAAAAAACAAAACAACAACAACAGCAAAATGGCAATGTCCACTCTCTGTGTCTTGGAACTTGCTCATGAAACTCAGCCACCATTTTTGAAGGAAGGTCAAGTAGCCTACAGAGAAGACCATATCGAAAAATCTAAAGTCCATGGCCCCCAATCTCTGTAAAGACTTTCACAGTCAAAAGCAACTTGTAAACCCTGTGAGTGAGTTATCTTAGAAACAAATCCAGTAGTCTCCAGTCAATTCACCCCAGCTGACATTGTATGAATCTGACATGTGCTTTTCTTCCTGAGTCTTGCAGATACATGAACTAATCAAATTATTAGTCTTGTTCTAAGAAAAGAAGAAAACAGCTACCACTGCCGTTAATGAAATTAAAAGACAACCGATCAACTAAGAAAAAAAATTGCAAGCCACTTTTCCAACAAATGATTTGTATTCAAACTATAAAAAGAACCCTCAAAGGTCATTTAAAACCAAATAATTATAATTTTTAAATGGCAAAAGATAACAGTGACTTCATCCAGGGAGACATATGGAAAGCAAGTAGATGCACGAATAGATACTCAACATCATCACTCATTAGCAGAATGCATATTTAAGCCACAATCAGATACCATTACACAATTGTTACAATATCTAAATTAAATATGATTAACTAATGCATCCAATAATTCCAAATGCTGATGAGGAAGAAACTGCTATAGAAACTCTCCATTATATTTTCTTCTGCTGAAGAGTATTGATCTTGATTTCGATGTTTAAGTAAGCAGGTAATTCGGCCTAACTCAGACTGTAAAACTCTTTCCCCTTATAGTAGCCAGCAACTCAAATTTCAGTTTTATTTAGCCATAGATGAGTTGAATGGAGGTTACCCTACATTGCACAATTTAGGGATTATCCAGAGAATTTAGTGTGTAGTCTGAATACAAGTCATTTGATGGATATGTGATTTGCAGAGTTTATGCACAGAATTTGTGACTCTACTTTCTCTCTCCTTTCTTGGATTTTTCCTCTTCACTCTCTGGCTACCATGTTTGCCCTTGTGGCTGGCCTCTGGAGGCCAATCAGAGGCCAGCCACAAGGACAAACCCAGTGGCACTCTCTGCCAATAAGACAGCAGGTTTTCCACTGGATTTTGACCCATCTCAAATGGTGCTGACTGGTATTCAACTTTAAGAGCAAAATAAAGAGCAACTTTAAGAGCAAAATAAAGCACACTATAGCACTCTTTTCTTCAAAGTGTCGACTGTCATCCAGATTTTATTGACTCTTTAGATAATTTTTTAAAATATTTTGTCCGGAGTTTGTAATTATTAACTGTGGGGGAGCTGGTTTGATGGACAACATTTTTTTCCATATCTTAGTCTTCCTCACTTTAATCAGATGATCGCATTGCTTTCAACTCCAAGTACCTGACCTTTTCTATAACCTTCTTACCATAAGGAATTCCATATTTTTCAACTAAGACGGTCTGTTAGATTTTGTAACCATGTATCAGCTTTGCATATTTTTAGAAAATGATTTAAGGTCTTTTAAAATCTTGTATGAACTTACTTTTCCAAACTTATTTCCTGACACTCCACAATACACAGGATATTTTTTGAGAACTCACTGCTTCTGAAATTCTCCATATAATTTTACACACTTACACTTCTTGGCTGACTAATTCTGTAGTTAGAATGATCTTTCTGTCAGTCTGAAAAAAAAAAAACATTTGTTCAGTTCAGATGTAAGTATCCCACCTGCAAAAATATTTTTCTCATATATGCCTCCAATGAATACTTACTCTTTCTTTGGCAAAAACTTACCACATTGTATGATGGTTTGTACTAAATGTATCTGGCTTCTTCAGTAAATCATCCCCTTCTTGAACAGTTATTCATCTTCGCGCCACAATGGCACCTAGTAGAGCTTCTGTCACATGGCAAGTGCTTGATGAATGAATATTTCAACCTACATTCCTACACATTTTTCCCACAGCTTTTTGGCTAGATGGCTTTGTACCTTCTTCCCAAACACAGCTTTGTCCCTTTACTAGACACTCTGATATTTCAACCGTTAACTTTTAGTTTACCCTTCTGGCCCTGACATAATATTTTTCTTTGATTTTACATGTGCTTATGCACACAACTAGCCTTTGAAACTGACCCATGAATGGTCTTTTTCTGCTCCTGATATATGCCTATTCTTCTAACTTGGAATTCAGCTTTCCCTGATCCACAAACTGTATTTGTAGAATATTTTACCTTCCCAAATAAGGCAGGGGTCTAAAAACTTGAATATAATCAAAACTCCAAGCATTCACAAAAAAAGCAACTCATAGCTTCTATCACCCAATATAGAGCTTTAAAACAGGTTAGTAATTACTTTATTACAGGGTGGGTTTAGTAAGTCATCCAGGTATAGTGACAGGATTATAGTAATTACCATGTTTGCTCAGTCATGTTTTCTCTTCCAGTGACTTTTTAATATTCATGCAGCTGCATGGGTTCTAAATTTTTGTTGGTGTTCATCAAAGGTATTAATTGAATAATCAATGCTCTTGATGAAAAAGGCCTGCCTTTGTGTCATGTGAATTAACATCCAGAAAGTAAAAAGAATCATAGATATTTCACTCTCTGGATGAAGACTTATTTCCAAGGCAAAATTGAATTTGACTGAAAAAAATTGAGCAATAAAGTATTTTATTTTCCATTAAGTTATTGCAAGGAATTTTTGGCAGCAATACAAAAGGGATTCTCAGTAGGGTTTGGGTCCAGGAGTCTAGATGAGCAGGAAGAGACTACAGCAGATTTTACACTGGAAAGAAACCAAAGCAGTTGGCATCCCGAGACGGACTGAGTTACTGTCTTGGGATAGGCAGTGTAGTCAGCAAACATAGGGACTGTCCAGTCAGCAGAACCTATGTCCATCAGACAGGAAGTAGATTGATTGCAAATGTGGTCTCAATTATTCCCCTTACTTTGTCCACAAACCTGTCACTTGATAGGTTTTTCCATTAAGATGTGGAGTCTATTAACCTACCCATGCTATCTAAAATGGCCTTGTAATTATCCCCTGACAGTAAAATGTGGTGAAAGTGATAGTATGTCAGTTCTAGACTTAGCCCTAAGAGATCCTGTATGCTTTTCTTTGTTCTCTTGGAAACCTGAAAAATCAACATGAGAAAAAGAGGTTAACCAGCTGGATGATATGAGACATATGGCTCCCTCACTCTCTGGACCCCAGAAAATAACCGCTAGAACTCCAAAGCTGTGAGGTCAATCTAGATAAGCCATCCCTTAGCCATCCTGCCAGCTGATCACATAGGTAAGAATTAGCCTAAACAAAAGAAATCAAGCTTGGACCAGATCAGAAGAGTCTCCTAGTGGATCTGAATAATTGGAAATTAATTAATTACTAATTAATTAATTATCCCATTGACATTTTATGATTTTTTTTATACTGGTAATGCCTAAATAACAGTGAGACACAGTAGAAAATCAACACAGGTACCATACATTTAGATGTAATCTGGAATGCAGAAGATTTGCCTAGTAACTTTTAATGAAAAAGATGTGTGAACTTTTATCTTGACACAAAACGTTTTTTCCCTTTGTTTTGTTTAATTCATTTAATCAGTAGAGGGAGTTCTGGTATCATATGCCTCCTAGCAAATTTTCTCCTTAACTTGAATATGGAGATCTGACTCTACTTCTTTACATTAGACAGAATCAAGAAGCTGGCAAGTCCAGCTACATTTGGTAAGGTGAGTCTTTAAGGGCTGTGCATAGATATGAGAGCTTAGATCCCAGCCAAAAATCAGACAGCAGGACTGGGAGAGGCAGGTTACCTTATTGGTTATTAACCTAAAGAATTATAGTGACAGGAGGCTGGGCGTGGTGGCTCACAACTGTAATCCCAGTACTTTGGGAGTCTGAGGCAGGTGGATCACGAGGTCAGGAGTTCGAGACCAGCCTGACCAATGTGGTGAAACCCTGTCTCTACTAAAAATAGAAAAAAAAAAATTAGCCGGGCATGGTGGCATGCACCTGTATTCCCAGATACTCAGGAGGCTGAGGCAGGAGAATCGCTTGAACCCGGGAGGCAGAGGTTGCAGTGATCCAACATTGCACGGCTGCACTCCAGCCTGGGCAACAGACAGAGACTCTGTCTCAAAAAATAAATTAATTAATTAATTAGATAAAATAACAATAAAAATAAAATAATTATAGTGACAAGAATAAGTAAATACTGTATAGTTAGGAAACAAATTAGGTATATTTCAAGTCAGAAGTGTTGATTCAGAAGGTCCTGAAACTGGCAGGCACAGCAGCTAAAGAATGTAGCAAAGATAGTAAATATAAAAATAATCAAGAGAAGACCAGACTTAGGATCTAAGTCCACATAAATACTTTCTAGATTTCTTTAACTGATAACCACAAGTGCATAGAACAAACAAGTCTACAATAATATTTTAAAATAAAGGCATATGTTAGTAATCTTGGTGTCAATACTGATAATGAAACAGGGCAATGATGACAGAATTCATTTAGTCAGATGAAAAATTATAAGTAAAAATAAAACTCAAGGTAATTGTGGAATAATGTCCTTCACATATAAAGATGGGAATAGCAACTTTGGATAGTACCATATGTGAATTGAAGTTTTTCACAAGCAATAGGGATGGTTTCACATAGCTTCACCTAGAAGTGTCTATTTGGTATTCCTTTTGACATGTCACATACTTCCGAAAAGGTCTGGCCATTATTAAGGTGCCCTTTTTGATCATGGAATGGTTCTCTTCTTTGCCACCCATACAGCAAATCTTACTACTTTTCTTCTAAGAAGTCGATCACTAACCCTTTCCTGATAATTATGAGAATACACCACCTTCAGTATTCATGCATATTTCAATATGTCTCTGTTTCTACAGCAATTATTCCAGTCTTCCTTCTAAACTGAAAAAGACATGCTGCTTCCTGTAAAAGAAAAAAACAGTTTCTCCTAACTTTCACCTACATTGCATCATTTCATGACTCTTGATGAAAAATATTTTTTTCTTCTATTGTTTCTTTTCTCTTTGTCCTGAAATAAGCAGTATAATGCATAGAAAGGAGAGAGATTTTATCGTTTGCGATGGAAATGATCATTGCGATCATTTGCCTTTGGAAAGTCATTTAACATCTTCCTAATGAAGATGTTAAATAAAATAAAATAATTATAGTGACAGGAATAAGAAAAAACTGTATAGTTAGGAAGCAAATTAAGTATATTTCAAGTCAGAAGTGTTGATTGAGAAGGTCCTGAAACTGGCAGGCACAGCAGCTAAAGAATGTAGCAAAGATAATAAATATAAAAATAATCAAGAGAAGATCAGATTTAGGATCTAAGTCCACATAAATAGTTTCTAGATTTCTTTAACTGATAACCACAAGTGCATAGAACAAACAAGTCTACAATAATATTTTCCTAATAACATCTTCCTAATGAAGATGTTAAATGACTTTATGAACATCTTCATGTGTAAATGGGGAGAGATAAAAATATCCATCTCACATCACTGCTTTTTGCCATGGAGATGAGGCAATCCAGGAAAAGGATGGCACACTCAAAGTAATTAAGGAAATTCAGCAAAGGATCTCTTTCCATGTGTGTAGGTACAGTAAGGAGAAACCAAGAATTATGGTAAATCACCTCAAGGCAAGCAGCAGCACAAAGATGTTACCACCCCCTAGTGTGAAGGTGAGAGGGCAGCTAGTGGAACTTAAAGACAGAGCTGTAGTTTAAAGAGAGTGCTCCCTGGAAGCAGCAGATGGAAAAACTCTCCATGTTTACAGTTCTCACCAAGTAGCACCTATTTGATAGGTAACTATTCCCTCCAGCCAAGGGCTGAGGAGGGGTAAAGAACTGCTTTTCATTGCTGCTAAACTTCCAGTACTTCACCATCTCTCATTTGTTTCCTAACTCTGCCCAGACATCTGCAAATATTCACTTTATTAAAATCTCTTCCTGTGAAATGCCTGAGGTAAATTCTGTAAATGAAATATATTATTAAATATTTGAGGATCTTTCCACTTTACATTCTTGTCTATCTGAAGTAATTGGTGCTGAAGTTTAACTCTTTCTACTTAACAATTCAACTTTTTGTGGCTTCTAGAATTTAACTGCTTTATGTTTCTCCATTAGCCTTGCTTTTTGTCAATTCATTTGAGCATACTTCTCTCTCCTCACAGTTGAGTGTACCCCACGATAAATTTGCATTTCTGCTCCTCATATTTCACTACTTCAAATGGCTCATGAATATTCATTGCTATAATTATTCCTTTGAAATCATGATTCTCAAATATTTATCTTTAGATCTGTCCTATCACCCGAGTGACAGTCTTAAAACGTAGTTATGATAGATGCTTAAAAAATGCCTGGTGGAGTACATGAAATCCCAAGTTTTTACCATAGCTCTAAATATTCTAACATTTCCCTTGCCACTGCCCAATATTTCTTATTGAAAAATATGTGGATTATTTGTTTGATTATAGGCCTTTATTCTCCATTTCCACTTGTAATTACTTTCTGAAACATTATGTGTATTACGTAATTTCAACACATCATCTTTTCTGTCACAGCTTTGATTGCTATAAATATTTACAAAGGAACTATTTCTGTAGTGTTATAAGTAGCTTCCTGATCAAAAACTGAGTTTCAAAAGACAAATTCACACAATCTCTCATGTCTGGGCAGCAACAAGATTCTTCTTTTGTAAATCATTAAAATTATTTCTTCTAATCCCCTAACCCCATAATGAAATAAGAAGCAAGATTGTTTATTCACATTATATCCAATAATTTGTATGTTACATGAGTGTGCAGGTATTATGCTGTTCACCAGGAATTTTGTTATGTTATACCTTATGTCCAAACAAAACGGTACAGGTAGAAATTTAAATTACCACATTAACAAAATAATCTCCAAGGAATAATCTAACATCAGATTTTTATTAAGCACCTACACAGGCCTCGAAATCTCACTTTTAGATTCTACCACTGTGACATCACAGTGCTTGCTCTAAGACACACACACACACACATACACACACACACACACATTTATAATTCTATGATTGAACAATATGACCCTACATACCATGAGTCTATCTAAATACTGACAGAAAAAATACATAAAATTATTTGGCTGTCTAAGATAGAACTAATTATTACTTTAATTTAAATGTGCTGCCTGAATAAATGCTTCACACAGAGTTTTAAAAATTCATTATTTTCCCACCAATTTCCATTTATTATGTGATACACCTGAGTTTCTAAATAACAAATATATATCTGATAGGTTCTGTTTTAACATAATTTAAATTGATCATCACTAGTTATCTTCTACTTTTCTACTGGTAAGCACAAGAAAACAAATTTTCTTGATAACTGTACCTCCATTGTCAATGTCATAGCCTATATTCTGTTTCATTGGATATGTTAGGAAATACACAAAAAGCAAATCACAAAATGTCAATTGTAAGATTGATACAGAGGGACAGCCATTGCCTTCATGTGTGAGGAAACTTCTTGATACAGGTCAGGTGAGGAATGAGTCTTTATAACTATAAGGTGCTTTAATGTTTCTAGTCTATATGTCGGGAATATACACAGTATAATGTAAGTACATTGGCCATGATGTATATCTATACATTTAATCTACTACAGAAAATACTGAGAGTTTAAGTTAGGAGTTGAAATGCAGCTGGCACTTGCTTGCCAAACTGTGTACCCTAATACAAGTTTGCATCTGTCTACAGTAGGACACTTTTTCTAATTTTCTAATTTAAAATAATCCATACTAAAACTGACAAAACAAAAAGAGAAAAATACAAATTTCCAGTATAAACAAAAGAAAAAAGAACATAACTACAGATCCTACAGTCATTGCAAAGCTATTAGGAGGATATCATATGAAACTTTATGTCTATATTTTAAAATTAAGATGAAATAGACAAATTATGTGAAAAATAAAACTTACTAAAATTGATGTAAAAATATAGAAAATTTTAAAAATTATATATTTATTTTTTGTTTGTTTTTGTTTTTAATATATTTTTAATGAGTGGGAAAACTTGTTTTTATTTTTAACTTTTAGGTTCAGGGATACACGTGCAGGTGTATTATATAGGTAAATTACCTGTCATGGGGGTAGGTATACAGATTATTTCATTGCTTCAGTGATAAGTGTGGTATCCAATAGGTATTTTATTTAGAAATTCAATTTTTTAATGCACTGGGATGTGTCTTTAGTCTCAGCAACTGGGAGGCTGAGGCAGGATTGCATGAGCCCAGAAGTACAAGGTCAGTCTGGGCAACCTAGTGAGACCCCATCTCTAAAAAAATAATAAAAAGAAAATATTTTTAAATAAATTTTTAATTTACTTGTGTTTTTACTATCATAATTTCAGAGTTGGTTTTACCAGTAGTTTTCAAATTTTTTTCATGAAAATAAGTGTTAAACTCCTTGGTAAATTATTAGCAAATCTCATGTCATGATACATAAAATGTATATAGCCAACTTGTTTACCTTTCAGTTAAGAATATGAGTTTAACATTTTTTAAAAGTTAATATAATTTACTAAATCAATAGCTAAAAATGGAGAAATCATAAAATCTTTTCAATAGATCTACAAAAAGTATCTGAATAAAATTAGGAGATATTCGTAAGAATTTCCTTATTCTGATAAAAAATATTTACAAAAAACTACAGCAAAAATCAAATTTATAGTAAATTATTAAAATTTCCTTTGAGATTGAGAAAAACACAAAGATCTCTGGTATTTCCAATTGGATTAAACATTGTAGTAGGTAACTGTCAAGGAAATTTTTTTTAAAAAAGAAAAGGGGTTAGAGTTTTAATGGAAAAAATTATTTGCAGTGTTGTTATATAAGTTAAAAGTAATTAAAAATTTTTAAATTTCTTATAAACTATCAGATTTGGTGTAACGAAGATTGTTTCTACAGAGTAAATAAATAATTAGAAAATTAATTTAAAATTGAGTCCATTTCACCAATAACGCCAAACACATTGGAATAATATTAATGAAATAACTACAAGACATCTATATGGTAGGTACAAAGCATTATGAAAAACAATGGAGACTTAACTTGAAGAATAATGTGCAGAGATTAGAGCATTTAATACTGCAAAAATTGCTATTATTCGTTATTATATCAATGGGTATAAATAAATTGACAAGATGATTCCAAACATTACATGGACATGCAAATGATCAAGAAGAATCAAAGCAATCTTGAAAGGAAAGAATACTGTTAGAAGACTTACAATAGCAGATATCACATCCTCTTAAAAGTTACAATAATTTCTAAAACTGCCATTAGCACAGGGCTGGGTAGATAGGCCACAAGACACAAAACAAATTCTATAAATCAACCCACATGTATACGGTCACCAAATTTATGACAACAGTGATATTAAACAAGGTAGAAAAACAATACTATTTTTCAATAAGCAATACTGGAACAATGATTTTCTATGTGGAAAAAGAACTTGAGGCCGGGCACATTGGCGCACGCCTGTCATCCCAGCATCTTGAGAGACCAAGGTGGGAGGATCAGCTGAGATCAGGAGTTTGTGATCAGCCTGGCTGACATGGTAAACTCCGTCTCTAATAAAATACAAACTTAGCCTAGTGTAGTGGCTCATGCCTGTAATCCCAGCTAGTTGGAAGGCTGAGGCAGGAGAATCACCTGAACCTGGGAGGCAGAGGTTGCAGTGAGCCGAGATTGCGCCATTGCACTCCAGCCTGGGCAACAAGAGTGAAACTCCATCTCAAAAGAAAAAAGGAAAAAGAAAAATGAAAAGAACTTGGACCCCTCCTACAGAACACAGACAAAAATCAGTTTCATATTAAATGTAGATATAAATTTAAAAGGTTAAAAAATTTTTTGAAAGAAAGCTATCTTCATGTCCTTGGAGTAGGCAAAATGTTCTTAAAAAAGATGCAGAGGCCGGGCACGGTGGCTCACGCCTGTAATCCCAGCACTTTGGGAGGCCAAGGCGGGCAGATCACGAGGTCAGGAGTTTGAGACCAGCCCGACCAACATGGCGAAACCTCATCTCTACCAAAAACACAAAAAGTAGCTGGGCATGGTGGTGCACACATGTAATCCCAGCTACTTGGGAGGCTGAGGCAGGAGAATCGCTTGAACCCTGGAGGCAGGGGTTGCAGTGAGCTGAGATCGCACCATTGCACTCCAGCCTGGGCGACAGAGTGAGATTCTGTCTAAAAAAAAAAAAAAGAAGAAGAAAGTTGCAGAAAGTGCCAACCACCAACAAAACAAGAAAGATTGACTTCATCAAAATTAATTCTAGTTCGTCAAAACACTAAGAGAGAAAAAAAATGCAACCTACACTTACATTTAGAAGGGGTATTTACAATATGAATATCCAACAAAAGATTGATGATCCAGAATTTCTATTTGTCCATCCTTGCAGACTATATTAAAACCACCTACAGGCTGGGCGCGGTGGCTCACGCCTGTAATCCCAGCACTTTGGGAGGCCGAGGCGGGCGGATCACGAGGTCAGGAGATCGAGACCATCCTGGCTAACATGGTGAAACCCCGTCTCTACTAAAAATACAAAAAATTAGCCGGGCATGGTGGCGGGCGACTGTAGTCCCAGCTACTCTGGAGGCTGAGGCAGGAGAGTGTCGTGAACCCGGGAGGCGGGGCTTGCAGTGAGCCGAGATCGTGCCACTGCAGTCCAGCCTGGGCAACAGAACGAGACTCTGTCTCAAACAACAACAAAAACCACCTACAAATTAAAAAAAAAAAAAAAAAAAAAACTTCACTTTCTCCCTAATCAGAGCCATACAGTTTTGTTTCTGTGAGAAGAATCAAGCAAAGGATGAGAGCTACACCATTTTGTTTCCCTGTCCCTTGAAGGCATAATTTTAAATAAAATTTTTAAGAGAAGGTAAGTTTAAGCATAAATACGAGCTTATGGTCATTTTCAAATGTTTCTCGTCTGACAACATTTAATTTATTCAGGCCTACCTATGGCAGTTTTCTTCTCTAATTAGAACTCTCACACAGATAGAACACAATAATAGCCTGTAGTCCCAGCTACTCGGGAGGCTGAGGCAGGAGAATGGCGTGAACCCAGGAGGCGGAGTTTGCAGTGAGCCGAGATTGCGCCACTGCACTCCAGCCTGGGCAACGGAGCGAGACTCTGTCTCAAAAAAAAAAAAAAAAAAAAACACAATAACTTGCAGAAAAATTTTTAAAAAGCAAATGGAGAGAGAAGACAAGGGAAAATAGAAAAGGGGAAGAAGGAGGAGAAGGAAGCTGAGGAGGAGCAGGAGAAAGGAGATGACAAAGTCAGACTTACAGAACCAAGACGATTTGTATTTTCAATTTCCTATGAAATTCCCAAATGTTAATTTCAGGGGCAAGGAAATGATTGTGCTTATGCGAGTAAACTTTCTTAGCAAACTCAGCCCAGCCTTTAAAATCTTGAAATTCTTTGCACAAATTGCCTTCATTACTTTCTCCCATTTTCTAGCAATTCGCGAGATAAGTTTCTTGTTAGATATTCTTACTAATTTATGAAGGTGAGTCATCAAACATCGTTGTCTGATATATCTCCAGGGAAGTCTAATTATTTTTCAAGTACATTGTGACACGTCAACCTCTTAGTCATTGTATTCCCTTTATCCTATGTTAAATTCAGTTCGTCAAGCAACTGCTCAATTCCTACCTGCTTTGGCATTTACAGTCCTGATTTTGCACATATTTAACTGTTTTATACTTCTCATTCTTTTTTTAACCAACAACACCACATCAAATTTGTCCAATAATTTTATTAGATTTACAAGGCTCTCCTATATGCTAAACACGTTTTATTTGTGAGACTTAAAGGAATATATGCATCATTATCCTTACCCACTGTTTATTCATTTACATATTCTCTATTGTGTTTTTCAAGATTGCTATATTTATTATTTAAACTTAGCATCCTCTGACACATAGAAGCACATACGCCCTTTCAGTAAGCTTTATTGACTCTGTATACTGATTCTGTTTCTTCAATAGAGCTTAATCAAAACAAATAAAATGATATAACATTTAAGTTTCTTGTGTAAAAATGACACACATTCGGAATGTTCTAAGATAGAACTGTTGGTCCAGTTCTTCTTGTTTTATTCTACCCTTCAATCCAGAGTCATTTTGCTTCCAGAAGTATTTCTGCACATACATTAATTGGCCTCTACTTAACTGTAATATCCTCAGAGAATTATGCCAGTCTTCATTTTCTCTACTCCCTTTTCATGGAACTTTATATTTCTCTGAGCATATTTATTCTTGCCTTACTAATGGCTGCAAAGTGACTTTCACATTCTTTACTACTTTACCTCTGATTTCTGCATGGTCCATGCAATTCTGAGGGTTAGCCCATATGGGTCTCCTACTTTAATACATGGTGAAAATTAGATTTACTTGGTCATAAATGTAATACATTAGCCTCCATCTGCCATTATGTTGTTATGTTCAAATTATGAGACTCCTCTTGAAGCTATATTAACATAACAATCAAATCACGTAGTTTTAACTGAGATGGTATTATTTTGTGGTGGCTTAAATGTGTGATGGTTGGAGGTGGGGAGGCTGTATCTGCAGATCTTGGGGCAGGGGCTGAAGTCCCTGTTCCTAGGATCAGAAACTTTCCCCCTTAATTCTATTATTTGAAAACAGTCAGAATGCTATGATTGCTAATGTCTTCCATGACAAATCCTTATACAAGCTCATTTTGCTAAAGGATTCTATGTGGGGTTTCCATTCTACGGAAAGAAGTTCTGCTTCTACCAATGATTCATTTCAGCTAGAGGCAGAGCCCACATTTGTCCTTGGGAGTTGTGGGTAAACAGATGGTCCCCAAATGATGTTTGATTAAATGTCCATCAAATTTTTGTTTAACTGTTTACCTTCACAGTAAAACCTTCCCTGATTATCTTTTCTAAAATTCCAACTCTCTGACCTATCTTAGCAATTTTATAACACTTCCTACTCTTAGCAATTATATAACACTTCCATAGTACTTAAGACCTTCTAAAATGGTATTTACATTATTTTGTTTATTGTTTCTTTCTCTTCACTATAAGCTAAGTTAGCACAGTGTCTACTAATTAGTAAGTCTTCAATTGGTGTTTATTGAGTAAATTACCTTGAGGTAAGCCCAGTTGGATAAAACCCTTTAGAAGTGAGTTAAAATTGTTTTAAATGACTGCTGCAAACCTTTTCACAAATAAGGTGCATTGCTAGGTGATTCTTAGGCCTTACCAATAATTTGAATAATTTTTCAGAAAGCACTGATATTTTAATTAGGTCTCAGAACCCTCTAGCCCATATAATATAATGTAGAAACCCCAAATGATCTCCAAGTAATTTAGTGTTGACAGTTATCCTGACCTGAGATGATCTGGAGTTGGTTGAGCCCTCTTAAACCCTAATGCAATGTTCTGTTCTTTACACCATGAACAGATCCTTCCAAGGAGCGAAACTAGTTATTACAAAAATAAATTAGCCTCATGAAGAGATGAATATATAGTAGAAAACCACTGCTTATAATTGGCCCATCTTTCATCCATGAATTTTGAAACAGGAAAAAAATTAAATATATGTAGTCTCTCAACCTAGGCCCTCCTCAACCTAGAATTTTCACTCTCCTTAGGGTTAGAAAGAATAATTTCGTGGTAAGAGCTGAAAAGCTAGCCATACAAGCAACATGAAAATTAGCAATCCCCTGAAGGTCACAAAGGGGTAGACTCTCCGCTCTTTGACAATAGGATCTTGTTCCCTTCCTCAGGAAGTGCATATAAAAGTCTGAGCAAGCTGGCACAGATAAATCTCCTCATCCAATGATTATATCACCCATGTTCTTGCTTTAAAAGCTTGTAATTTTCACTTTATAAATTAGCTTTTGAGTTTGGGGTCATTACTTTTACTTTACTGCTTTGTTTAATTCATTTGGCAGTATTGGATATGAGAATCGATAGCTTGAAAAAATGTTTAAACAAAGATGATTCTCAATACGAAAATGTGGTTTCTAGTTAGAAGCATACTAAACTCTCGTGAGTCATCATTACATAAAGCCTTATTAGCAAATGCAGAGACAATAAAATGTATTATTTTAGTCCTCATTTTAATCATCAGTTCTACTAAAGATAAATCTGAATCACTGGCCTTAATCACTTAACTATTGAGAACTTATG
Organism: Homo sapiens; assembly: GCF_000001405.40. Taxonomy (NCBI): domain Eukaryota; kingdom Metazoa; phylum Chordata; class Mammalia; order Primates; family Hominidae; genus Homo; species Homo sapiens. Next base: position 35,503,900 of record NC_000002.12, read on the forward strand.
TGGACTAAGTGACCCACCAGTTCATCTACCCTATTCATTCCTGCTTTGAGTTGGAATAGAGCCCAAATTATAGAAAAACAAAAGAAGTAAGCTGCAGGAAACTTGTGGCTAGTAATATAAATAAATCACTTATGTCAAAATAGATAAACAGATATGGCTCCATTACAAAATGAAAAAAAGACTTAATTTACAAAAGCAGGTGGCAGTTTTGACTTGGCCCATGAGTCATAGTTTGCCAACCTCAAGCTTTAATGAATAAAATATCCTAGAAGCAGAAATTATGAAATATTGTTTAATGCACCTACTTAAAGTATATATAGCTAATACATACAGTTCTAATTATGTTACAGTCATGTATCATACATTAATTCTAAATGTTTTATTCATATTAACATATTATTGCTCAGAACTCCTGTACTTGTTCTATTCAACAGAGTAGGAATTGGAAACATAGAGAAGTTAGGTAACCTGTCTATATCAGTTCATAGGACTGCAATGACAAATTACCATAAACTGGGTGGTTTAAGACAACATACATTTATTCTCTACATGTTTGGATGCTAGAAGTCTAGAATCAAGTAGTCAGCAGTGCTATGCTGTCTCTGAAAGCTCTAGGAGGTGATCCTTCCTCGCCTCTTCTTAGCTTTTCCTAGAATCCTTGGCATCTTTTTTCATTGCAGATGCATCACTGAAACTTCTGCCTCTGTCGTCACGTGACATTATCTCAGTGTGTTCCTATCTTTTCTCACCTTCTTATAAAGGCACCAGTCATATTGGAATATAATCTATCCTAATCCAGTATAATCTCATCCTAACAGAATTATGTCTGCCATAACCCCATTTCTAAAGGGTTGAGGGAAGGGGTTAGAACTTCAACATTTCTTTCTATGGACACAACTCAATCCACAACACTGCCTAATAAAATTTTACATTATATGAATAGTACATAGTCATGGGTGCATAACATCAATGATGTTTTCAGTATAAGCACAATTAAAAGAATATTTAATTTTTTTCATTTATAAAATATAGTTTCATAAATGTATAATGTTTAATAACTTTAAATATGTTTATTACAAAATAAAGGTCATATGCTTATCTGAGCACATTTTGGAATTAAGTAAATGATGCCCACAAATTATATTGATATTAATTGGTAAAAGTAATTTTTCAGCCAGGAACAATCATGCCCATTTAGACTAGAGTTGGGAAAATCTGAGGATGATCTGGGGGCATTATGTTGTCTGGTATTGTGGGAAAGTCAGGAATGTCATTCCACGAATGTCAAAACTTATGCAATGCAGGGGACAACTGTACCAACCAAGAACTGTCTTTCTCAAAGTGGCAAAAGATAAATGATAAGCTAACCACAACTGATCTTTCTGAAGCAAATCTAGTGACTTACGACAATCACAACTAAGTCAATGGAGCACTGATAATTCTTGAAAATTCAGAAGAATTCCATCTACATTCATGACTGTGTAGGAGCAACTTTGCAATTTTATATGTTAATATAATACGGTGTTACCTTCTCATCAAGTTCTACTACTGAGCTAATATTGGTTTATGCACACCAACTTTTAGTATCCAAAAGAACTAGCCCTTGCTCTTCACCCCAAATAGATCTGAATGAAATTGTTCATTATTTATGTATAATAAATAAAAAAAAAAAACCTTGAGTTTCTGAATAAATACCTGACCTATTAAGAAGACCCTATTGGCTCACTAGTGGATCTGTAACTTGAAAATCGTTAGTCTACTGTTTTAGACTGCTAAAGACTGATTTCCTGGTGTCTAAGAGCAGGGTCTAGTCCTTTAGCCAAAGACGGCCTTAGAGATTACAGAGGCCATAAAGAATTACTAGAGAGGCATAAAACCAAAACAAGTTTTATTTGTCACTTCTTACCTTCTGGATACCAAAACTTAGTGGAAGGGGATAGAACAGAAAGTCCCTATTTCTTATGGAAAAAAAATTACAGTTCTTTTTTTTTTTTTTAGACAGTGCGCACAAGTTTATGGGGTAGATAAAGGGGGATAGGAGTCTTCTACTTCTTTTGGATTCTTGAGCGACTCAAATTTATCCTTTCTGGTCAGGAGAGAAACTTCACTTCGGTCAAGAGGTTATATAGCTGGTAATAGCAGTGACACAGGCCGGAGGACATGGCCAGTTTTTTTCAAGCTGTCCTGAATAGAAAGTGAGTATATGTCTTTTTTAATGGGTCTAACTGGGAGTATTTAGGGCTGTCATCTAGAGTAGCGAGATACTCACAGTGGAGGCCAGAAAAGCACAATAAACTCACTAGTCTCCTCAAATGGCATCACTGAAAATCAATCACACTCATAATTCAAACAGCATTTGCATGTGAATTTATATCAGGGCACTAAAGCAAAGCTGCATATACTTGGTTGTAATTTTGGGCAGTAGATGTCAAATAATTTATGGGCACTGCATGCTTACTGAATGAAAGCCTTATTAGCAAAGGGGGTCCCAGGATTTGTGAATAGAATTACTGCAAGGACCATCAATATAACTAAACAATGACAAAAGAGGGTATCTTCTTATTCATCGTTTGAAAGATGCTTCAAAAACCAAATTAAAACCAACTTCTCCTTCCAAAATACTGTAATCAGTAGTCCTCCCCCAAACACTAAACTTCTTTCTTTTATTTACTATTACCTTCTTTCTACTTCTCCGAGACATCATTATTAAATTGGCAGTTCTATTTTCTACTGTTTTTTTTTCTGGCTTCTGTCTCAGTAAAGTACTCAAAGAATCATTGAATTTCTAAAGTTAAAGGGGTGTGTCTTTCGAAGAGATGCTTCCATATCAGCTTGTCTTAGAATGTCTGGCTACCCTGGTTCAGTGTCTCTAGCAATTTGGCTTCATCAAAAACAATGTGTTGAGATATTTTATTTACATATAACATATGTGCTTGTGCACATGCAGACACACACACCCGAAATCAACAAGGGAAAAAGGAGCTTAGCTAACAATGAGTCAAGCCATATCTTACCATTGCATCTTCTACCTTTTGCAAGTTCTCCCAGATAGCCAATACAGGACGATTTAGGCCTAATTAAAATGCTTGGAAAACAAAAGAAAGAAATTCCTATCTCATAATAGGCCCATCTTATTACTTATTAATTCTCTAGTACAAAGAGGACCGACAGAATGTTCAGTAAGCAGAACAAGCATTGTTGAAAATGTGCCACCATCAATTACTATTGATTAAGAGTGATGATCAGTGTGTTAAGGACTTTGTGATCTGGAAAAATCTGTTTATGAATCTTAGTCATACTTTTTTCCCTTTTTCTCACAATCTATAGCACATTTTCTCAGTTTTTGTTTTTATTTTTATGTTATACAACAGCAGAGGGCAAAAAGCTTTGCTCATCAGTTTAGCATTAATAAGGGGTGTTATGTGCTTTAACATTATTCTCCAAACACACCAGTGTTCCTGTTTTCTTTGCTTTCTTCTCCTTAGTGGAAAGCTGTCTTCTTCACTAATTAAAATTCATTATCTTCTCCTGAAACAAAGAGGCTGAAAAATTATGAGCTGACTACTTCTATCATGCTTAATAAATCCCTGGAGAACAAACAATGTCCCTTTAGGGGGGTTCTTTTTAAAATTCAAATCTGTTTGGTGACATAGTAGCTTCAATTACATTGTTAGGTTTGCCATTTGTAGCATCCAGCTATGAACATGAAGTGGTCAGATATTCACGATTTATAGCACTCACTCGTCCTTAACGAGCACATGCTTTCAAATATATTCCACATTGACTCTTCACCACTACCTGCAAAATTGTTTCATCATCAGTCTATCTTGGTGAGCAAAAACTCTTGATAGGCTATGATGTTATTCTCCAACATTAATAATCCTAAAATTCAGGCATTTTCCCAGCTTGGCTCAGCCCATCTGACGTTGCCTCTTTTTCGGTTGATATAAATTCATTCGATGTTGTTATCTTTGTTGTTTCTTCTTTACTGCCTATAACATTCCTGTGAGGTTTCTCAATCTGTTTGGTCTATATCAGACAAGTTTAAGTGGGAGTGTGTGCTTGAGAGTTTGGGAGAGAGAAACTCTGACGCTCAGAAGCTACTGATCTCATTTCTCATCACTTACCTGTCTCAGTCCTCACTATTCTGTTTTTCTTGATTAAATTATCCACCATTCTTAATTTTGTCACAATCATTAGTGTTGTAAACTAAGTAATAATTTGCATAACATATAAAATAAAAGAGAAAGATTAAGATAATGGCTTTGAAGCCCAAAGACATTGTTGCTGTGTTTCTTATTACTTATAAAATCTTTAGCAAGATACTCAATGTTCTAGATCTCAGTTTCCTCATCTGCAAGGTAGAAAATAATATCTTCTAGTACAAAGGATTGGTTTAAATTAATATGAATGCAGCCTGGCCAACATGGTGAAACCTCATCTCTACTAAAAATACAAAAATTAACTGGACATGGTGGCAGCCACCTGTAATCCCAGCTACTCGGGAGGCTGAGGCAGAAGAATTGATTAAGCCTGAGAGGCAGAGGTTGCAGTGAGCCAAGATTGCACCACTGCATTCCAGCCTGCGTAACAGAGCAAGACTCTGTCTCAAAAAATCATCATAATAATTAATGTGAATGATGCATGCAATGCATGTAGTTTAGTGGCTGGAATAGGTTATAAAATAGTAATACTTTTTAATAATGACTTTTTTGAGTGACTGTTACATTTCTAATATTCAGTGAGTTTTATGTCACCCAAACCTTCCATATACCTGAGGAGAAAGTAAATTATCTGTGGAAACAGAAAATGTATCAGACTCTTCTCAATGTCCCAGGCTACACAGGAAAAGGATGTGGCCTGGATAAATGAGATGTTTTGATGGTTTCATATGGAAAGGAAAAGTCAGCATTTGGTAGCTTTATTACGTTCTTTCTACTTCTCCGAGACATCATTATTAAATTGGCAGTTCTATTTTCCACTATTTTTTCTGGCTTCTGTCTCTCAATAAAGTACTTGAAGAATCACTGAATTTCTAAAGTGAAAGGAGTGTGTCTTTCAAAGAGATGCTTCCATATCAGCTTGTCTCAGTATGTCTGGCTACGCTGGTTCAGTGTCTCTAGCAATTTGGCTTCATCAAAAACAATGTGTTGAGATATTTTATTTACATATAAGAGTAATGTAACAGGACTTCATAACCTGTCCTCTTATACCACCTCTAAAATCAACCCAATTTGATCACTGTCACTGTCTATGCTTTCTTCTTGTTTTTTCTCAAAGTCTGTTCTACATGGTTGTAAGTTTGTATTTCCACAATTACTTGTCTTTTTCATATTTGTCTAATGAAAGAATGGGTACCAACTCAACACCTGACATTAAGGAACATTGTATACTATCTTTATGGGTATCCGGAGGCTTAGATCAGTTCATAGATACACAAATAATTTTCAGTGGGGTGATAAGGATCGACAGTTGAAGTGGGCCTGTTCTTGATTGGACATGATGCTCTGATGGCCCCTTTACTTCACTCCAAACCTTGTGATTCTAACATTTTACAACATTTTTACCCTCTCTCCACTTGGAACTTTTTTATTTGAATGTGTGTTGGGAAAATGAGGTCTTGGGTGTTGCAATAGTAGACCCTTCTTGAGCACGGCCTGCCATTCGTGTTATTTTGTTTTTGTTTTTAACTGGAAAGAGCCTGCATTAAACTGGTTCTGATGCCAGAGGACTTATTCTCATTCTCAGCTCTTCTATTTCTCCGGCACTCCTCCTTCACACATTTGCAGGCTCTGCCTACCTCTTCAGAGCAAATGCTTTCATTTCCTGCTTCTCTTCTTTTGAGTTCCTAAAGAGAAAGAAAGAAAATATATTCAGGTGTTAGTTAAGAAGCAAACTCTCAATAGTATCTAGCACATGTGGACCAATGTCAAACAGACAGGAGCAAAGGATAAGGGAGAGAGAGAGAAATAGAAGAGAAGAGAGAGACAATAAATAATGAAGAAAGAGAAGATAGAGCCAAAGCTATACTTACTGAGTCCCTGTTTTATCAGCCCATTTACATGGAAGAATGAGTAAAGAAATGGCTGAATGTACTCTTCTAATAGTATTCCATCAAAAATGGAAGGCTCTTTCTTTCAATGGAGGGTGAAGAATAAAGAAACAAGTGCTTTTCAGGGAGATGTCTTCAGATCAGTCTTACGTGCTCCACGTAACACATATCCACATGTTTACAGACAACTTCAGCTGATTGTGCCATAGGCAATTCAAACTAAACATGACCAAAGTTGAAATCACAACCATCAAAACCTGCCTTTCTATAAATAAGTGGCGGATATCTTGGCCATTTCTTCTTCCTCATTCTGCTGTCTGTTCAAGTACAAAACAACATTCTATATTACCACATAAATACTAATAATTGAAAATGCATTATATCTCAGATATTATGTTGAGTACATACTCCATCTTGCTCCATTTTTTCTACAACTCTATAGGGTAAGTTGCATAATCTCCATTTTATGAATGAGAAAACAGAAAATTAGAAAGGTTAAGCACAATTCTGAAGTAATATGCTTCTCAAGTGTATGATCTTAATCAATGTGGACAACCACCACCCCACACCTGGTCTTTTCATCTTACACATTCTGCTATCCTTTGTTATCTTTTGCCTGGAGTCTATTGCAATAGACCAGAAAATTGACCCTTCATTTTCAGACTTGACTCCTTACAATTCATCCTCCACAATCACTGCCTCCGGAGCCCTAATTCTAAAATGCAAATCCAATCAAGCAAATTTTCTGCTATAAAAGTTTCATAGACTCCCCGTCAGGACACAACTGCTGCCTATCTGTAGAATTTGATCTTTTTCCCTTCTCCTACACACATCCTAGGCTCTGCTGACGCTGAATTAATTGTCATTCTCAGGAAATGCCAGGCTCATTCCTGGCTCCTTGCCTTTGTACATGTCATTTCCTTCCTCTGACTAAAATGCAATTATCTCACTTGCCCAGCCTCAGTCTTTGAAAGGCAAACTCTAACTTCATTATGAGTTTAAATTTTACCCCCTTGATGAACCTATCCTTAAGCATATTTCAGCACACACCTGTCAGACTGCAGGCATTACATTACATAATTGCTATGTAGCAGGTATATCCAATTGTAAAAGCCTTGGATAACACAGAGAATCTTTATGTCTGTGTTCCTTGTGACCAACACAGTGACTGGCACATAACAGGTGCTCAATATGCCATTTATTCAATTGAATAAGGACATCCCATACCTCCAGAACTGTATTTAAGATCCCCCTCTTGGAAATGAAACACAATGTAGAATTCTACTTATCAATATTCTGCAGATGACAGTGTGAGCTGATGCTAGATTGAAATTAATAATAAGGAAAATGTACATTGACTCTTTCACTTGCAGTGGGAACCCTTGAGAAAAAGCCACCTTCCAGGGCAAATGCTTTTCTTTCCCATAAAAACAAGCAAATTGTAAAGAAGTACAAATATATGCAATTTTTGAATTTTACTTATCTTATGAAAAGGATAAAAGCTCTGATGAGCCACCTAATTAGAGTTTGAGGAGTTGTAAATAGATTTTTAGGGAGCCATGAAAAATATAGCTATTAGGAAACAAAACGTTCTGAAGGATTGAAGGGTATGCTGAATAATGCAAGGCATAGAGCAAGAACAGAAAGAAAGGAGGTAGGGAAGGCATTAAATTTATGGAGCCATAAGAGTTGTATATATCCTGCCTCCTTAACCTTCACCAGGTGCTGGTAAATTAATAAGGCTCTAAGTTTCATAGTGTTTTTTAAAAATTATTATTATATTTTAAATTCTGGGATACATGTGCACAATGTGCAGGTTTGTTACATAGGTATACACATGACATGGTGGTTTGCTGCACCCATCAACCTGTCATCTACATTACGTATTTCTCTTAATGCTGTCCCTCCCCTAGCCCCCCAACCCCTGACAGGCCCTGGCATGTGATGTTCCCCTCCCTGGGTCCAAGTTTTCTCATTGTTGAACTCCCACTTATGAGTGAGAACGTGCGGTGTTTGGTTCTCTGTTCCTGTATTAGTTTGCTGAGAATGATGGTTTCCAACTTCATCCATGTCCCTGCAAAGGACATGAACTCATCCTTTTTTATGGCTGCATAGTATTCCATGGTATATATGTGCCACATTTTTTTTATCCAGTCTATCATTGATGGGCATTTGGGTTGGTTCCAAGTTTTTGTTATTGTGAATAGTGCTGCCATAAACATATGTTTGCATGTCTTTATAGTAGAGTAATTTATAATCCTGTGGGATTGATGGGTCATATGGTATTTCTGGTTCTAGATCCTTGAGGAATCGCCACACTGTCTTCCACAATGGTAGAACTAATTTGCACTCCCACCAACAGTGTAAAAGTGTTCCTATTTCTCCACATCATCTCCAGTATCTGTTGTTTCCTGACTTTTTATTCATCACCATTGTAACTGGCATGAGATGGTATCTCATTTTGGTTTTGATTTGCATTTCTCTAATGACCAGTGATGATGAGCTTTTTTTCATGTTTGTGGGCCAGATGTCTTCTTTTGAGAAGCGTCTGTTCATATCCTTTGCCCACTTTTTGATGGGGTTGTTGTTTTCTTGTAAATTTGTTTAAGTTATTTGTAGATTCTGGCTGTCAGCCCTTTGTCAGATGAATAGATTGCAAAAATTTTCTCCCATTTGGTAGGTTGCCTGTTCACTCTAATGATAGTTTCTTTTGCTGTGTGGAAGCTCTTTAGTTTAATTAGATCCCATTTGTCAATTTTGGCTTTTGTTGCCATTGCTCTTGGTGTTTCAGTCATGAAGTCTTTGTCTATGCTTATGTCTTGAATGGTATTGCCTAGGTTTTCTTCTAGGGTTTTTATGGTTTTAGGTCTTATGTTTAAGCCTTTAGTCCCTCTTGAGTTAAATTTTATATAAAGTGTAAGGAAGGGGTCTAGTTTCAGTTTTCTGCATACGGCTAGCCAGTTTTCCCAACATCATTTATTAAATACGGAATCCTTTCCCTATTGCTTGCTTTTGTCAGATTTGTCCAAGATCACATGGTTGTACATGTTTGGAGTTATTTCTGAGGCGTCTATTCTGTTCCTTTGGTTTATATATCTGTTTTGGTACCAGTACCATGCTCTTTTGTTTACTGTAGCCTTGTAGTATAGTTTGAAGTCAGGTAGTGTGATGCCTCCAGCTTTGTTCTTTTTGTTGAGGATTGTCTTGGCTATTTGGGCTCTTTTTTGGTTCCATATGAAATTTAAAGTAGTTTTTTCTAATTATATGAAGAAAGTCAATGGTAGCTTAATGGGTACAGCATTGAAGCCATAAATTACTTTGGACATTATGGTCATTTTCATGATATTCATTCTTCCTATCCATGAGCTTGGAATATTTTTCCATTTGTTTGTGTCTTCTCTTATCTCCTTGAGCAATGGTTTATAGTTCTCCTTGAAGAGGTCCTTCACATCCCTTGTAAGTTGGATTCCTAGGTATTTTATTCTCTTTCAGGCAATTGTGAATGGGAGTTCACTCATGATTTGGCTCTCTGTTTGTCTGTTATTGGTGTATAGGAATGTTCGTGATTTTTGCACATTGATTTTGTATTCTGAGACTTCCCTGAAGTTGCTCATCAGCTTAAGGAGATTTTCGCCTAATAAACAATCATGTCATCTGCAAACAGAGACAATTTGGCTTCCTCTCTTCCTATTAGAATACCCTTTATTTCTTTCTCTTGCCTGATTGCCCCAGCCAGAACTTCAGATACTATGTTGAATAGGAGTGGTGAGAGAGGGCATCCTTGTCTTGTGCCGGTTTTCAAAGGGAATGCTTCTAGTTTTGCCCATTCAGTGCGATATTGGCTGTGGGTTTGTCATAAATAGCTCTTATTATTTTGAGATACGTTCCATCAATACCTAGTTTATTGAGAGTTTTTAGCATGAAGAGGTGTTGAATTTTATCGAAGGCCTTTTCTGCATCTATTAAGACAATCGTGGTTTTTGTCATTGGTTCTGTTTTTGTGTTGGATTATGTTATTGATTTGTGTGTGTTGAAGCAGCCTTGAATTCCAGAGATGAAGCCAACTCGATCGTGGTGGATAAGCTTTTTGATGTGCTGCTGGATTCAGTTTGCCAGTATTTTATTGAGGATTTTCGCATAGCTGTTCATCAGGGATATTGGTGTAAAATATTTTTTTTGTTGTTATGTCTCTGCCAGATTTTGGTATCAGGATGATGCTGGACTCATAAAATGAGTTAGGGAGGACTGTTTCTTTTTCTGTTGTTTGGAGTAGTTTCAGAAAGAATGGTGCCAACTCCTCTTTGTACCTCTGGTGGAATTTGGCTATGAATCCATCTGGTCCTGGGCTTTTTTTGGTTGGTGGTCTATTAATTACTGCCTCAATTTCAGAACTTGTTATTGGTCTATTCAGGGATTCCACTTCTTCCTGGTTTAGTCTCGGGAGGATGTATGTGTCTAGAAATTTATCCATTTCTTCTATATTTTCTAGTTTATTTGTGTAGAGGTGTTTATACTATTCTCAGATGATAGTATGTATTTCTGTGGGATCAGTGGTGATATCCCCTTTATCATTTTGTATTGTGTCTATTTAATTCTTCTCTCTTTTCTTTTTTATTCTCTGTCTAATGGTCTATCAATTTTGTTAACCTTTTCAAAAAACCAGCTCCTGGATTCATTGATTTTTTGAAGGGTTTTCTGTTTCTCTATCTCCTTCAGTTCTGCTCTGATCTTAGTTATTTCTTGTCTTCTGGTAGCTTTTTGGTAATATCTACCTGTAGTCACACATCTGGGAAAGTGTTTTCCACCCTCACTTAAAATTTTATACGCCTTCTGGTTTACTATCTGGGTTTAAACTGGAAGGAACTTAGAATGGGTTTGTACTGGTTTGAGACAAACCCATTCTATGGGTTTCAAACCAGTACAAAGAGGAAAATACAAACTGTGAGTCATTTGTGCAAAATGTCAAGCTCTAGCTTGCCTAAATACACACATATCCTAATCAATTAAAAGATGACTCTCATTGGCTCACACATTTATGCCTGCAGCATTTACATCAAATCAATAAAATCCAGGCTGACTCAAAAATAATTAATAAAATGAAATTTAGAAAGTAGGGTTTCTAATTTACATTAGACTGAGCTAGTATTTCAAGTTCCTTCCAACTCTCATTCTAACATTATTCTAGGTTCACCTTTATTTCCCCATTTAGAAAATGTTTTTAATTCAAGATCTTTGGTGGTAAACACAATTTAGGTATTTTAATGGTTGTGATAATCCAAAAGCCAGCTGATAGAAACTGTTAGATTTGTTAGACTAATGTGAAAATATATTTGTGTCAATTATGAAAAATTTTATATAATAATTTATTGAAAAATATACAAATGTTTTGTGAGGTAGTTCTGTCTGAGTGGCTTGTGGGATTTTTCTGGTGGGTAAAGAGAGGTCATTTCCATTTGAATATCAGTTGTATTAATGACAAAAGACCCAGCTGAATTTTTTAAATGAAGTTTGTTTAATCAACATTTCTATATAATTAAATTTTTTATGAAACTGTCTTTTAGCCACTCAAGGACTTCCCGGCATCCTCTCAAGGTTAGGGTCTTTAAATGCCATTACACGGGGTGATGTTTTTTGCCTCTGGGAATCTCTATAACTCATCTACTTTTACATTTCTCAATCCCTATCATTTTCCCTGTTTTTCTCAGTCACAAAACTGGAATCTACTTCAGAGATGTTCTGCCTGAATTGAGATTTAAATTATTTCCAAGTAAAATTCACAAATGCTGATTTAGGTCTCTTGTATCTCTTCTCAACTCCCTCTTCACATACTTGAATTTTAATTACAATTTAATATATGATCCCAATGTATTGCTTTTATATATAAATACGTATCTTGATATAGCATCCTGTGTCAGGTTGTTAATTGCTACCAATAGTGTAACAGACAGACACTTAAAGAAGTAAATAAAGTTAAATTTTCAAAGCTTTCAGAGTATTATGAGATAAGTACTTTCCATACTCTCAATATCTGCTGACAGGGAGTCTAAATTGATATAAGATTTTTTGAAAAATATATATTAAGACTTTGAAGTGTTGGTACCCTTTTGGCTGTGTGATTGCATTTATGATAAACTATATTACAAAATTATTCTTAATTCTAAAATATATTTTAGCACATAGATGCTTCTAGCAGCATGATTTATAAAATTGATCTAATTAATTACAAGTAGGCAGATATAAAAAAGATTATCCTAAAATCATAGGACAAAATATGATCCCATTAATAAAATGTTTAGGATGAATTATGACATCTTTGACAAAATTCTGCATTGCAAATATTGAGTTCAGTGGTAGACTACAAAATTAAATATTTACCAATGCATGAAGTTTGCAAAATATACAAAGGTGAAGAACTAGATGAAAATGCATAAATATCAGTAGCTATGTCTCTGGGTAGTGATATTTACATTCTTATTTTACTTTTTGTAAATTTGTGTATTTTAAAAATATTCAACAATAAAAAACTAAAATTTTATGGTTATAAGAAAAACTTTAATTTTGAACATTTTTATTTTCATTTTTTGTGAGCATATAGTAGATGTATATATTTACAAAGTACATAAGATACTTTGATATAGGCATGCAATGCATAATAATCACATCAGGGTAAACAGAGTATCCATCATCTCAAACATTTATCCATTGTGTTACAAACAATTCAATTATACTCTTTAAGATATTTTTAAAGCATAAATTATTATTGACTAGAGTCACCATGCTGTGCTAGTGATGCAGGATTTTTTAGTCCTTAGTTCAACTAAAATCTGGGTTCTTATCTAATGACCAGGAAAAATTAGGCCCATGGACACATTGAAAGTTGAGGAGTGGAATTCATTAAAAGAAATCTCTTGGCTGGGTGCAGTGGCTCACGTGTGTAATCCCAGCACTTTGGGAGGCTAAGGCGGGAGAATCACAACGTCAGGAGTTCGAGACCAGCCTGGCCAACATGGTGAAACCCCGTTTCTGCTAAAAATACTAAAAATGAGCTGGGCATAGTGGTGGGCGCTTGTAATCCCACCAACTCGGGAGGCTGAGGCAGGAGAATTGCTTCAATCCAGGAGGTGGAGCTTGCAGTGAGCCCAGATCGTGCCACTGCACTCCAGCCTGGGAGACAGAGTGAGACTCTGTCTCAAATAAATAAATAAATAAATAAATAAAATAAAATAAAGCTCTCAGCCAAAAATAAGGGGTCCTGCCAACAGGCTCCCACCTCACAGATTAAATACCAGGCCACCACACAAGAGCTGAAGAGGCCAGGCTCCTTCCCGCTCCATAAGGCATGAATTCCTGGTGTGTCCACCCCACTCTCCCAGTGCATAGGTGGGCCCCCAGTCTGTTGTCGGACATGCCCAGATAAGACCCTGGGCAGGTTCCCCCATCTACATAAAGCATCGATGTAAACACTTGTGGGGTGGGTTGCAGATTCTCTAGGGATCTTCCCTCATCTGTCTCCTGCATCTATCATTCCCCCCTCTAAAGAAGCACATCTAACTGCCCTTAGAAATAAGTCTAGGGACAAAGACCAATCTTAACTGCTTCCTGCTCACAGGGGGCACTGTTTTGGGAAAATGGCAGTCACAGCTCCCTCAGAGGTCTATCTAAGGGTCCCCAGCAGAAGGGGCCATTGTCTGAGGCTCCGGATGCATGACTAGAGTTTGATGGCCTGAAGACTAGAAGAGATAAACCAGGTTATTAGAAAGCATGTATCAAAATGAAATAAGGGGGCAGTAAGGACAGCTCAAAAATCTCAAGATCTTTTACCTGTTTGCACAGGGAGAAGGAAGCCAAAAGACCAACTGGTTAAAAAAAAGCTTTTACCCTTTTGCTGATATGTGAGGCTTCTGGGTTCCTTTCCCCTGAGCCCAATTCTAAGACAAGTTTAAGGTTTGGGAAATTAACTTTTCCCAGGTTGGAGGGTGCATCTGATGGAAGTGTCCCATGTGGGGAGACACCATTACCTATCTGTAAAGAGAGGACAGAGGAGGAAAAGGGAAAACAAACAAACAAAAAAAGGTGTTTTTTTCAAAGGAGTCCCAGGGGTTCAGGATGAATTCAAAAGGGGTACAGACTGAAGATGAATGGCTACTCATCTAGAAAGAGGGGAGTGAGGCATCCCAGGATCCCTTCTCTTCCTAGTGAATACCTGGGGTATGTGAAGGAGAGAAAGTGAGGAGTCTCTCTTTCTTTCTTCTGTCATTATATCCCTAAGTCCCGGCAACCATGACAGGGTACCGCCCATGGGTGTCAAGGTGGCTTTCGCCCTTGTTAACAAGGGGACCTAGGGAGTGGGAATATTTGCTCTTACCCATATACATCCTGTCTTCCCTGCTGTCAGTAGCCTTTGAGTTCCCTAGGCTTCATTTATGCCATGGATACTAGCATGGCCTTTATCCATGAAATAGGAAGCTTGGCTTAAGTGGCAGGAATCAGTCATGCTCACCAGTGCTGTGCCTTTTAACTTCTGTTATCATCTGCCTCTGGATCTCTCAGGTCCAGTTTTCTTTCCTAGGGCTTTGACAGGAAGCTTGGAATGGAGTTTGGGGTAAAAAATATGGGGGGTTGCGTAGACTCCTTAACATAAGCCGAATACTAAGGTGAAGCTGTGTAATAAAGTCCTCCAATAAGGGAGAGAAAAGGATGTCTTGTGACATGCCCAGATAACTGTTGGCTATAGGTATGCTTGCAAAGATCTGGGTGTATGGGGCTTGGCTTTGACTGGCTCCCTTGGTCTTACTTTCCTAAAAAGGAAACCTTTGAGTGATGGGCACCCTATTTATTCCCATCACCTGGCAGGATTTGCAGGATATTTGCTCAGAACTAGAATATGGATCCAGATTTTTACATTACCCATCCCTTTTGTTCTTTCTGAGCTGCCATCTGAGATGTCTGTTTGGTCCACTGGAACAAACAGGGTTAGTCTAAAATGTACAGAAAAACTTAAAAATGACTACTGAATCTAGAATTTAATGACAAATGTTTAAGTTTTGAAACACAATTTCTCTCTCTCCAGTCCTCATTTTTGTTAAAAACAAATCATGATAGGACTGGGTCATTTGCAAAATAAACTTTAGTCTTATGCTTGGCCTGATTATTTCCATAAAGTGCAGCAAGAATAATTATTTCTATGTAGGCTTTTAAAATTTGCTTTAATGGAACTCTGTTTCACAAGGAATCTGAGATAGAACTTTCTAAAGCTGCACCCACCCATGGGTTTGTACCCTCAAATACCTGTGACTTAGGTAAACTCCTCTCTTCTTGAGATCTCAAGAGCATAGGGTTCCTGGGACTGTTGGAAAGTGACATTCTTTACTCATTGCATGTTAGGAACCATGTACAGGGGACTGTGTAGACAAGGTGTGATGCCAGTTTTCCCTCTGTGAGGGACTGTTATTGGCTCTGCAAGTCAAACTTAACTCCTTAAGAGGAAGCATATCCTTCCAGTCAAAACCTTGGTAAAACAACCAGTTTCTCCAATTGTATCCTGTTGCAAAAAAAGAAAAAAAAATGGATTCCTATTGCACAGATGTAAACAACTATATTGCCATAAGTTAAGAATACTCACAACTAGTTTCCAAATTCTGGAGAAGCCAGGCAGAAAGAGAGAGACAAATATGCTCCAAATTTTGTTCACAGGAGTATACCTCACTCAATTATTAAAGGTCATACATAGCTCAAGACAAGTTTCCTTGACTCTGAAAAACGAAACCAGGATCAGGAATGTTCCAAGCAAAAGTCAAAAAGATTACTTCAGTTTCCACAGGCCATTCAGTTAACTCTTGTTCTGCTTGATATTCATGAACATTTCAGCTCTTCAAAAGCCCTGTAAGTTTTTTCTTTATTCCAGTGTCACAATCTCCAAATTACCAGAAACATGCATATGAGAACACCTGTCAAAGTTCTATAGCAGGTTATAAATCATATTTCGAAGAGGATCAAAACAAGACAACAATTGTCTGTGGATAACAAAATGTCCAGAGTAGTTACAGTTGAAAGCATGGTTGACAAAGAAATTTGGTTATCTCCATGGTTTACAATAACTTAAAATAACAACCTTAATTGTGATTGATAGCATATGTGCAGACATTAGAATTTTATAAATCCCATACAATTTTGAAACATACATTAATATTATTCCCTAAAATATAACCTAAGAAGATTAAACATCATTTTGGCAATCCAATGTACCTAAACATGTCAGCTAATTCTGTTTACCTCTCTTCTGGATGATCCGGGGGCCCTCTGTAGTATCCAAAAGCCAGGCACAAGGAAAGACAATTTTGAAACTGAAGTTTGATTTTGGAAGCCTATTAGATGTTAGAGGTTTAAAACACTTGATGTTATGAAATAAAATTCCAGATTACCATAAGTTATTTATTTCACCAAAATGTTGATGCAGAAATTTAAAAAAAATCAAAAACTTTTTATAACCCTTTTGAATTTAGTCAATGTTCACACATGGAACTTCTTTTGCAAGATTAATTTTTACAGTCCTTCCACAACTTGTTTAAATAGCTTTATCTTATCTAATTTTAAACTATCCTTTAACCCCAGGCAAAAATTTACATTTTTATGACATCTGCATTTTACCAATAATCTTTAAGCTGTTTTTATTTGTCAAAGATTAAAGTCATGTGAGGCAAAAGTTACCACGGCTTTTATCTTACCTTTAAAAAATATTTGATCCAAGTGTTTGTCCTTCTTGAAGTCAGTTAATTAGAGCTCTTTTTCATAGACACTACACACAACACATATATAACCACACAGACAAACAGAGGTAGATCTAGTAGTTATAAGATTTTTCATTTGCCAATCTCCCAATTGGATTATTGGCCTCTGGGTGGAGCCCTTTAAGAGCAATGATAGGAAAGCATGCTGTTTCCAGGGCCCAATAAACAGGTATAGTTGGAAGAAAAAAACAGATTTTGAGAGGAATCTATCTGCCTCTAATTCCTGGGATTCCATGAGGAAAACAGAGGTCTCTCCCAAAATGGAATCCATGGTGCCTTTCCTGCTTTTCCCAAGGAGTTCCTGGCCATAAGAAATTATCTTACAGCCTCTCATGTGTGCATTAAGAGTGGCAATGCAAGCTGGGTGCAGTGGCTCACGCCTGTAATACCAGCACTTTGGGAGTCCAAGGTGGGCGGACCACGAGGCCAAGAGATCAAGACCTTCCTGGCTAACACAGTGAAACCCCGTCTCTACTAAAAGTACAAAAATTAGCCAGGTGTGGTGGCGGGCGCCTGTAGTCCCAGCTACTCGGGAGGGTGAGGCAGGAAAATGGTGTGAACCCAGGAGATGGAGGCTGCAGTGAGCCGAGATCACGCCACTGCACTCCAGCCTGGGCAACAGAGCAAGACTCAATCTCAAAAAAAAAAAAGAAAAAAAAAAAGAGTGGCAATGCAAAATGGAGAAGAATAATTCAGTCTACTGAGAAAAAAAAAAAAAAAACTTTTCCAGCAAAACAAGACCCAAGAAAATAAAAACATAAAGGCCTTTCAATTATGCCTATAACTTGCATATCCACTTTTAATTAAGCTGAGCACACTTTAAGAAAATTTGTAGGGCCAGTTTCAGTGACTCATGCCTGTAATCCCAGCACTTTGGCTGGCCGAGGTGGGCAGATCACGAGGTCAGGAGATCAAGACCATCCTGGCTAACACGGTAAAACCCTGTCTCTACTAAAAATACAAAAAATTAGCTGGGCATGGTGGTGGGTGCCTGTAGTCCCAGCTACTCGGGAGGCTGAGGCAGGAGAATGGTGTGAACCCTGGAGGCAGAGCTTGCAGTGAGCCGAGATCGTGCCACTGCACTCCAGCCCGGGCGACAGAGCAAGACTCTGTCTCAAAAAAAAAAAAAAAAAAGAAAATTTGTTTAAATCTCTATTACCTGACTTTAGCCACACCAAGCAGCCAATATTTCTGGCTCTTGAACTTTACCAAAGGTAACCTTCCAGGTGCTCAGAGAAGGGAAAATTCAAGGCAGTTCATTGAGGGAAAAATAATCAGCAAATGGCAAAGGTCATTCAGATATCAAGCCGCAAAGGACTCATTCCCTAAGCCAGGATTGAATTTTACAGGCTGCCACTGTAAAATGGCGGAGACTAAAACAAAGCACTGCCACTTGGTTAAAGGTCATGCTTCCAAGAAAGTAAAACAAGATGGAGGCCTGCAGCAAAGTTTGCCACTGACCAGTTTGCTGGTCAGCCTTGAACAGTGGGCGTATGGAATCCTAGGCCTGCATCCCATCCTAAGGTACCCCTCATTCTGGCAGAACCATACAGAAAGTTATGCAAAGTCACCAGATTGGCTACAGCTTAAGACCAACCTCACAAATCCTTTTTCACAATTAAAACTTTACAGAGAATATAGACAGTGATAGTTGGGGTCCTAGCCTGGTAAAATGTCTTCTAAAAAAAGAAAAAAAAAGCCTTCTGTATAAAAATTAACTGCTGACCTGATGGAGAAAAGAAACAAATAGCTTAAAGTTCAAGGCTGTGTTAACTGCTGACTGGGTGGAGAGAAGGAAAAAAAAAAAAAAACAGTTAAAGTACAGCCCTGGAAAGATGCCTGGAGGAAAAGCTTCTTATTCTTATGCAAATGAGTTCTTCCATCAGGGAGGGAAACTTTTAATTGTTGTTTCTTCCCTGGGGCTTGCACAGAGCTGGACTCCTCAGCCAGGGAAGGGGAAGGCACCATGGATATTGTAGGGAATGCCAGCCAGCCTGCTCTGCCCGGCCCTTGTGCCATGTGTCCCAGCCCCAGTCAGGAGGGAAAGGGGATGGGTAACCACTGCTTGCCTGTTCATCCCGCATGTGCCTGCGGCTGTTGGGGTAAAAAAGATACACGCCATTACAGTCCCGAAAATAAGGAAAATGCTATAGAAAAGACTGGGTGGAACCGAGGCCGACATTCCCAACTCCCAAGAGTGACAGTGGGGGTGGGTGAGGGGTCGCAGTTCCTTCTACCTTTAGAAGAATTCTGAGGACAAGAAAAAGCTCAGAAACAAAAGGGAAAGAGATTTTTTGGTCTGCATTTTACTCACCTTTCCTCATGTCCCCATATGGTCCACCAAAATGGTGCAGGAATTTTTGCTCTTTAATTCAGCTAAAATCCAGGTTCTTGTCTAACGACCAGGAAAAATTAGGTATGCAGACACACTGAAAGGTGAGGAGGGTGGAATTTATTAAAAGAAAGCGCTCAGTGAAAACAAAGGGTCCTGCCAACAGGCTCTCATCTCACAGATTAAATACTAGACCACCATACATGAGCTGAAGAGGCCAGGCTCCTCCCCTCATCATAAGGCACGAATTCCTGGTGGCTCCACCCTATTTCCCCAGTGTGCAGGTGGGCCCCCTAGTCCGTTGTGGGCATGCCCAGAGAAGGCCCTGGGCAGGTTCCCTCATCAGCACAAAAGCATCTGATATAAACACTGTGGGGCAGGTCAGAGATTCTCTGTGGACCCTCCCACATCTGCCGCCTGTATCTATCACTAGCAAATACTAGATCATATTCATTTTTTCTAGCTATTTTTTGTACCCGTTAACCATATCAACTTACCCCCCAACACACACAGACTACCTGTCCCTGCCTCTGGTAACCAACCTTCTACTGTATCGCTGTGAATCCAATTGTTTTAAATTTAAGCTGCCACAAATAAGTGGGGATGTGCAAAGTTTGTCTTTCTGTGCCTGGCTTATTTCACTTAATATAACCACCTTCAGTTTTATCCATCTTGTGGACAATAACAGGATTTCATTCTTTTTAGGGCTAAATAGCACTGCATTGTGTATATGTACCACATTTTCTTTATCCATTTGTTTGTTGATGGACACTTGGTCTCTTCCAAGTCTTAGCTATTGTGAATAGTGCTGCAATAACATGGGAGCTCAGATATCTCTTCAAAACACTAATTTTCTTTCTTTTGGGTACACATTTAGCTGTGGTATTGCTGCATTGCACAATAGTTATACTTTTTGTTTTTTGAGGAAACATCAAACTGTTCTCCATAGTAGTTGTACTAATTTACATTCCCACCAACAGTATATAAAAGGGTTCTCTTTTTTTCCACATCCTTGCTAGCATTTGTTATCGCCTGTCTTTTGGATAAAAGCCATTTTAACTGGGGTAAGATGATATTGTAGTTTTTATTTGCATTCGTCTGATGATCAATGATGTTGAGCACCTTTTCATATGCCTGTTTGCCATTTGCATGTTTCTTTTGAGAAATGTGTATTCCAATCTTTGGCTGATTTTTCAATTGGATGATTAGATTCTCTTTCCTATAGAGTTGTTTGAGCTCCTTTAATATTCTGGTTATTAATCCCTTGTCAGATGAGTAGGTTGCAATTATTTTGTCTGACTCTGTGGGCTGTTTCCTTTTAAAATTATTTTCTTTGCTGTGCAGAAGCTTTTTAACTTGATGTGATTTCGTTTGCCCACTTTTGTTTTGGTTGCCTGTACTCCTGGAATATTACTCAAGAAATCTCTGTCCAGTCCCATGGAGAGCTTCCCTAATGTATTCTTCTAGTACTTTCATAGTATAATGTCTTAGATTTCAGCATTTAATCCATTTTTATTTGACTTTTGCATATGAAAAGTGATATTTTCATTCTCATGCATATGAATATTCAATTTTCCCAGCACCATTTGTTGAAGAGACCATTTTTTTTTTTCATAGTATGTTTTTGACACCTTTGTTTGCCTTCTGTATTTTGCTCTACTGGTCTATGTGTCTCTTTTTATGCCAATACCATGCATTTTGGTTACAATAGTCAGGTAATATGATTCCTCCAGGTTTGTTGTTTTTGCTCAGGATAGTTTTGGTTATTCTGGGTCTTTGGGGGTTCCATATAAATTTTATATATATTTTTTTCTGTTTCTGTGAAGAATGTCATTGGTATTTGGATAGAGATGGCATGGAATCTGCAGATTACTTTGGATAGTCTGGGCATTTTAACAATAATGATTCTCCCAGTCCATGAATATGGAATATTTTTCCATTTTTTGTGTCTTCTTCAATTTCTTGCATCAGTATTTTATACTTTTCATTGTAGAGATCATTCACTTCCTTGATTAAGTTAATTCCTAGGTACTGAATATTATTTGTAGATACTGTAAATGAGATTACTTTCTTGATTTATTTTTCTGATTATTCACTATTGGAATAGAGAAATGCTTGATTTTTGTACGTTGATTTTGTATCCTGCAACTATACGAAAATGGTTTATTAGTTCTAATTTTTTTTTTTTGCTTGAGTCTTTAGGTTTTCCAAATATAAGATTATATCATCTGCAAACAGGGATAATTTGACTCCTTTCTTTCCAGTTTGGATGCCCTTTATTTCTTTCTCTTGTCTGACTGCTCTCAAACTTCCAGTACTGTGTTGAGTAACAGTGGTGTTAGGGGGCATCTTTATCATGTTCCAGATCCTAGAGAAAAGGTTTTCAGTTTCTCCTCATTCAGAATGAGACTAGCTGTGAAATTGTTGTCTATGCCTTTTATTATGTTTATATTCCCTTCATGCTGAGTTTTTTTGAGTGTTTTGATCATGAAGGAATGTTAAATTTTATCAAATGCTTTTTGAGCATCAATTGAAATGATCATGTGGTTTTTATCCTTCATTTTCTTGATATGATTTATCACATTTATTGATTTGCCTATGTTCGACTCTCCTTGCATCCCAGGGATAAATTCTACTTGGTTTTAATAAACGATCTTTTTAATGTGTTGTTGAATTCGATTTGCTAGTATTTTGTTGAGAATTTTTGCATGAAAATACATGAGATATATCAGCCATTGATTTTCTTTTTGTGTTGTGTCTTTGTCTGATTTTGATATTAGAGTAATACCAGCCTTGGAGAATGCATTTGGAAGTATTCCCTCCTCCTCTATTTTTTTGAAATAGTTTGAGTAGAACTTTTATTAGCTCTTCTTTTAATGTTTGGTAAAATTCAGCAGTGAAGCCATTGGGTCCCATACTTTTCTTTGCTGTGAGACTTTTTTTTATTACAGCTTTGATCATCTTACATTTATTGGTCTGTTCAGGTTTTGGATGTTTTCATAGTTAAATCTTGGTATATTGAATGTGTCTAGAAATTGATCTATTTATTCTCAATATTTCAATTCATTGCTGTGTAGTTGCTCCTAGTAGACACTAATGGACCTTTGAATTTTTGCGGTATCAGTTGTAAAGTCTCTCTGATTTTATTTATTTTAGTCTTCTCTTTTTTCTTCTTAGTTAAACTGGCTAAACTTTTTTCGATTTTGTTTTATACTTTCAAAATACAATTTTTTTGTTTTATTGATCATGTGTGTTGTTGTCTTCATTTTTATTTATTTCTGTTCTTACATTTATTATTAGTTTTCCTCTACTAATTTTGGGTTTGATTTGATCTTGCTTTTCCAATTTTTATGATGCATTTTTAGGTTGTTTATTAGATGTTTTTCTCCTTTCTTGATATCACAGCTTTTAGCTACAAACCTATCTTAGTGCTACTTTTGCTATCTACCATAAGTTTTTGAATATTTCCATTATTATTTATCTCAAGAAATCTTTCAATTTTTTAATTACTTAATTAACGCATTGATCATTCAGTAGCGTATTGTTTAATTCCCATGTTTGTGTAGTTTCCAAAATTCCCCTTGTTATTAATATCTAGTTTTATTCCACTGTGGTAGGACAAGATTCCTGTTATTATTTCAATTTTTTTGAATGTTTTTAGTCTTGTTTTGTGACCTAACATATGGTCCATCCTTGAGAATAATCCATGTGATGAAAAGAAAAATGTATATACTGCATTTGTTGGATGAAATATTCTGTAAATATCTATTAGGTCCATTTGGTCTATAGTGCAGATTAAGTCCATTGTTATTTTGTTGATTTTCTGTCTGTAAGATCTGTCCAATGCTGAAAGTGTGTGTTAAGATCTGTCCGGTGCTGAAAGTGTGTGTTGAGGTTGGGTGAGATTTCCAGCTATTATTGTACTGGAGTCTATCTCTCTCTTTCTCTCTAATATTTGCTTTATATCAGAGTTCTTCAGTGTTGAGTGCATATATATTTAAAATAGTTAAATCTTCTGGATTAATTGACTCCTTTATCATAATGACCTTTTCTCGTCTTATGATTTTGTCTTGAAATATATCTTTTCTGATATAAGTAAAGCTTTGCCTGCTCTTCTTTGGTTTCCATTGGCATGGAATATCTTTTTCCATCACTTTATTTTTAAACTATTTATGTCTTTATAGATTAAGTGTAATTCTTGTAGGTAACAAATCATTAGGTCTTGTTTTGGATTCATTCAGCCACTCTATGTCTTTTTATTGGAGGATTTAGTACATTTACATTCCTTGTGTTTATTGATTAGTAAGGACCTAGTCCCACAATTTTGTTGTTTCTTGGTTGTTTTATTGGTCTTCTCTTCCTTGTTTCCTTCCCTCCTGTCTTCCTTTTATTGAAGATAATTGTCTCGGGTGGTATGCTTTAATTTCTTGCTTGTTATTTTTGTGTGTGTGTATCCATTGTATCTTTTCATGAGACTTGCAAATACTATCATGTAACTCATTATTGTAAACTGGTGACAATTTTATACTGCTTGCATGAACAAAGTAGCAAAAATAAAACTGATCAAAATTCTATACTTTAACTTCATTCCCACACTTTTTAACTTTTTGTAGTTTCTATTCTTTCTGTGCCTTGCAAAGTTGTTGTAGTTATTATTTTTTATAGGTTCATTTTTTCATTTTTCTACTTAACAGTAGTTTACACCATTATAATTACAGTATCATAATATTCTGTGTTTTTTTCTGTGTACTTAGTATAACCAGTGAGTTTTGTACCTACAGACAAGTTTCCTGTATCTTATTAAGTTCTTTCTGATCAAAGAACTCCTTTTAGCATTTATTGTAGGTTACGTCTGGTGTTGATGAATTCCTCAGCTTATGTTTTTCTGGGAAAGTCTTTATTTCTCTTTTTATGTTTGAAGGATATTTTTACCAAATATACTATTCTAGGGTACTTTTTTTCTTCTACACTTTAAATATGTCATGCCACTCTCTCCTGCCCTTTAAGCTTTCCACTGAAAAGTCTGCTGTCAGTTGTACTGGGGCTCTATTGTAGGTTATTTCTTTTTGCTCTAGTGCTGCTTTTAGGATTTTGAGGGAGTTTGATTGTTAAGTGTCTTGAGGTAATCTTGTTTGGGTTAAATCTGCTTGGTGTTCTATAACCTTCTTGTACTGGGATATTGATATCTTCTCTAGGTTTGGCAAGTTCTCTGTTAGTACCCTTAGGAATAAAATTTCTACCACTTTTTCTCTACCTCCTCTTTAATGCCAATAACTTAGATTTGGCCCACTGAGGCTACTTTCTAGATCTTGCAGGCATACTTTATGATTTTTATTCTTTTTTTGTTTATCTCCTCTGATTACATATTTTCAAATAGCCTGTCTTGAAGCTGACTAATCCTTTCTTCTGCTTGACCAATTCTGCTATTAACAGACTCTGATGTGTTATTTAGTATGTCAGTTATATTTTTTTAACTCCAGAATTTCTGCTTGATTATTTTTAATGATTTCAATCTTTGTGTTAGATTTACCTGATAGAATTCTGAAATTTTTCTCTGTGTTATCTTGAATTTCTTTGTATTTCCTGTAAACAGCTATTTTGAATTCTCTTTCTGAAAGGTTGCATACCTCTGTTTCTCCAGGATTGGTTTCTGGTAACTTACATTGTCCGTTTGGTGCAGTCATGTGTTTCTGGATGAACTGATGCTTGTGGATGTTTGTCTTTATTTGGGCATTGAAGAATTATGTATCATGTCCTTCAATGGGAATACTTTCCAGGTATTCAAAAGAAGATGAGTATTGTGATCTAAGCCATATCTGCATTAGGGGTCACCCCAAACCCAGTAACACTTTGGTTCTTGAAGATTTATAAAAGTACTGCCTTGGTGGTGTGAACCCCAAAAATCTGAAACCGGTCTCAGTTAATTTAGAAAGTTTATTTTGCCAAGGCTGAGGATGCACGCCCATGACACAGCCTCAGGAGGTTCTGACAACATGTGCCCAAGTTGGTCAGAGCACAGTTTAGTTTTATACATTTTAGGGAGACATGAGACATCAATCAACATATGTAAGATGAACATTGGTTTGGTCTGGAAAGGTGGGATGACTAGAAGCAAAGATAGGACAACTCAAAGCAGGGAGAGGGCTGCCAGGTCACAGGTAAATAAAAGACAAATGGTTGCATTTCTTTGGGATTCTGATTAGCCTCTCCAAAGGAGGCAATCAGGTATGCCTTTATCTCAGTGAGCAGAGGGGTAACTTTGAACAGAATGGAAGGCAGGTTGGCCCTAAGTAGTTTGCAGCTTGACTTTTCCCTTTAGCTTAGTGATTTGGGGGCCTCAAGATTTATTTTCCTATGACAGTGGTCTTGGATAAGATCTGGAAGAATTCTCTGGGTTACCAGGCAGAGACTCTTGTTCCCTTTCTTTACTTTCTCCCAAAGAAACAGAGTCTACCTCTCTATGCTGAGTCACCTAGAGTTGGGGAAGGGGTCATATAAGCATCCCTGTGACCACAACCGTTGAGATTGCACTGGGTTAGACCTGAAGCCAGTAGAACAGTGGGTCTTATCCAAGGCCTAATCTAACCACTACCTGGCTACCACCTATGTTTGCTCTAAGCCCTAAGGCTGTACTATCAGATGGTGTTGAAGTCCTTCTGTTCAGGGTAGCAAGTTCCCGTAGGCACTGGGCTGGTCTAGCGATGCTGGCTGGGAGCCATGGATTGGAGTAAAAAAACTACAGGAATCTACCTCATTCTGTATTCCAATGCAGTGATCTGTCACTCAAACCACAAGACAAAGTCCTTCCCACTCTTTGCTCTTCTTTGCACAGGCAGAGGAACCTCACTTCCTGGCCACCACTGTCACAGGCTCACAGGAACCCCTGCCAAGCTACCGCCAGTGTTCACTTTGGACCCAAGGGCTCTTTAGTCAGCAGGTGATTAAATCCTGCCAGGACTAGGTCTTTCCCTTCAAAGCAGCAAGTTCTACTCTGGCCCAGGGTGTGTCTAGATATGTCATTCAGGATCTAGGGCATGAAATGGGGGCCTTGCAACCCTGCCCAGTTCCCTGTCCTACTGTGGCTCAACTGGTATCCAAGATGCAAGACAAAGTCCTCTTTTCTTTGTCCCATTCTTTTATTATCAAAACACCAGGGGTTTGGTCTAGGTCCTGCTACTCACCACACAAAAAGCCAATCACTGATGTGATGAGTATTGTCAAGGAAGAAGGCTTTAATCAGGTGCTGCAGTCAAGGAGATGGGAGGTCAGTCTCAAATCTATCTCTCTGACCAACTAAAAGTAGGAGTTTATATAGCAGGAAAAAAAATGTAACGATGTATAAGTAAATGGGAACTAGTGAGGGGCAAGGAAGGAATCATGATGATTGAGAGATTTGGCATCACATTGCCAAATGTGGTGCCTGTGGTGATCTGGTGAGTTTCAGATCTTTGATACTTTTTTTTTTTTTTAATTTTTAAGGCCTGAAGTTCATTTCCTGAGGAAAAACCTCAGGTAAAACAAATTTAAGTTTCAAGCATTAAGACCAGAAGGGTCAATTTCCATTTATTAAGGAAAAAAAAAACCTTTTGGGACTATTGGTCTGGTTTCACTCTCCTCAAGAAAAAGAAAGAGGTGTCTTTAGAAGTTGAGCTGCGCTGGCTGGTGATCACAGAGAGTACTCCCTTAGTCACCCCAGCTGGTGTCTTAGTAGGTCACATGGTCCTCAAGTCACTGTCTTCATGCTTAGCGCAGTACTGGGACTCACCTATAAGTTGCATTGTGTCCTAAACTACTTTTCAAGTTTATTTAAGGCTTCTGAGCACATTAGCCTACTGTGGCAAGGCTTGCCAAAACAAGTTTAGACTGCTGAGATGGGCGATTCCCTTCTGGTTAGGGCTGATCTAAATTCCTCCCCCATGGGTGGGTATCTGCTGAGTTCAGCCCAGTTTTGCTTCCTGCCGTGACAGGGCAACACTGAGTTCAATTGCAAAGTCTCCCAATCGCTGCACTCTCTCTTCCCCAAACACACAGATTCTCTGTGCCACACCTTTGCTGCCAACAGATTGAGGAGTAGTGGTGTAATTCAAGTCTGTCTTTTCTACCCTCTTCAGAGCCTCTTTCAGTGATACAAAGTTAAAAAGAGTTACTGTGAGTGCTCACCTGGTTTTTGGTTCTTATGATGGTATTTCCTTTGTGTTGATAGTTGTTAAATTTGGTGTTCCTGTGTGGGGAGCAATCAGTGGAAACTTCTATTTGTCCATCTTGATCTGCCCCTCAGAAAAGCTTTGTTTTTAAATAGGGAAATGAATAAACATTACCAGAAGTTGTTTTAAATATTGTGCTAAAATTTTTGTTTTGGTTTGCAAATAAAAATATTTGCAAAAAATTTATTTTCTTATTTCAAATGGAAATTCTCATATGTCCCTCTGGAACTTGGTGGCAGCTGGAAATGAAGAAATTCACTGGGCAGGTTGAAAATTCTAAAATAGACAGAAAACCAAGTATTCTCAAGGTGATGTTTATGTTGTGTGATCATAATTAAAATGAGCCTTAGTTTAAAAATAGCTAAAAATAAGTAAATAGCTGAATTTGCTTTTAGATAGCTTTTAAGTAAATTTGAAATATGTTATACAAGAACATTCCTTTATACTTTATATTCTGCCTCCAAATTTAGCAATATGTTTTCATTTTCATTTTTTTCTTTTTTCACCTAATTGAACCCTATGTATTTAATATATTAGGAACATTATGCCAATTTGAATCATCTGAGGAATAAAGTATATTAAGTAATTAGCCAAAAACTCTTAAATTCATATATTATATGAAAAGTTATTGTTCAATTCCCACCTATGAGTGAGAACATGCGGTGTTTGGTTTTTTGTCCTTGCAGTAGTTTGCTGAGAATGACAGTTTCCAGTTTCATCCATGTCCCTACAAAGGACATGACCTCTTCATTTTTTATGGCTGCATAGTATTCCATGGTGTATATGTGCCACATTTTCTTAATCCAGTCTATCGTTGTCAGACATTTGGGTTGGTTCCAAGTCTTTGCTATTGTGAATAGTGCTGCAATAAACATACATGTGCATGTGTCTTTATAGCAGCATGATTTATAATCCTTTGGGTATATACCCAGTAATGGGATGGCTGGGTCAAATGGTATTTCTAGTTCTAGATCCCTGAGGAATCGCCACACTGACTTCCACAATGGTCGAACTAGTTTACAGTCCCACCAACAGTGTAAAAGTGTTCCTATTTCTCCACATCCTCTCCAGTACCTGTTGTTTCCTGACTTTTTAATGATCGCCATTCTAACTGGTGTGAGATGGTATCTCAATGTGGTTTTGATTTGCATTTCTCTGATGGCCAGTGATGATGAGCATTTTTTCATGTTTTTTGGCTGCATAAATGTCTTCTTTTGAGAAGTGTCTGTTCATATCCTTCGCCCACTTTTTGATGGGGTCGTTTGTTTTTTTCTTGTAAATTTGTTTGAGTTCTTTGTAGATTCTGGATATTAGCCCTTTGTCAGATGAGTAGGTTGTGAAAATTTTCTCCCATTTTGTAGGTTGCCTGTTCACTCTGATGGTAGTTTCTTTTGCTGTGCAGAAGCTCTTTAGCTTAATTAGATCCCATTTGTCAATTTTGGCTTTTGTTGCCATTGCTTTTGGTGTTTTAGACACGAAGTCCTTGACCATGTCTATGTCCTGAATGGTATTGCCTAGGTTTTCTTCTAGGGTTTTTATGGTTTTAGGTCTAACATTTAAGTCTTTAATCCATCTTGAATTAATTTTTGTATAAGGTGTAAGTAAGGGATCCAGTTTCAGCTTTCTACATATGGCTATCCAGTTTTCCCAGCACCCTTTATTAAATAGGGAATCCTTTCCCCATTGCTTGTTTTTGTCAGGTTTGTCAAAGATCAGATGGTTGTAGATATGTGGGATTATTTCTGAGGGCTCTGTTCTGTTGCATTGATCTATATCTCTGTTTTGGTACCAGTACCATGCTGTTTTGGTTACTATAGCCTTGTAGTATAGTTTGAAACTGGAAACCATCATTCTCAGCAAACTATCACAAGGACAAAAAACCCAACACCACATGTTCTCACTCATAGGTGGGAATTGAACAATGAGAACACATGGACACAGGAAGGGGAACATCACACTCCGGGGACTGTTGTGGGGTGGGGGGAGGGGGGAGGGATAGCATTAGGAGATATACCTAATGCTAAATGACGAGTTAATGGGTGCAGCACACCAACATGGCACATGTATACATATGTAACAAACCTACACATTGTGCACATGTACCCTAAAACTTAAAGTATAATAATAATAAAATAAAATAAAATAAAAAAAGAAAAATTAAATGCAATCTCTTTTTTCACCAATCAGAATTCTGGACAAATAATAAATTTTTAAATTTCAGTATAATACATTTTTATCTTGTACTCATTATTAGTCTTCCACACTATAAAACAAAGCTTTATGAGAGAAAATTTTGTCTTTTTCTTTATTTCTTTATTTAAGGACCTAAGACAATGTCTGTAACATATTAGCTCCTAAAAAATCTACTTACTAATGTAGAAACAAATATATTCAATGTTAGTCTTTAAATTTGTTTTTGTATAAATCTAGACTATTAATATTAACAAAGAGATATGAACACATGTCTATACAAAAACATGTACACTGTCACTCATAGCAGCATTATAAATAATACCCAAAAAGTGAGAATAACTCAAATTATCACCTTGTGAATACATAAATGAAATGTGGTATTTCCATACACTGGAATACTATTCAACATTTTTTTTTTTTTTGAGACAGAGTCTCACTCTGTCGCCCAGGCTGGAGTGCAGTGGCACCATCTTGGCTCAGTGCAAGCTCCGCCTCCCAGGTTCATGTCATTCTCCTGCCTCAGCCTCCCAAGTAGCTGGGACTACAGGCTCCCACCACCACGCGCAGCTAACCTTTTGTATTTTTGGTAGAAACTGGGTTTCACTGTGTTAGCCAGGATGGTCCCGATCTCTTGACCTTGTGATCCGCCTGCCTCAGCCTCCCAAAGTGCTGGGATTATGTATGAGCTGCTAATGTATGCTACTACTTGGATAAATATGAAAAACATCATTTTAAGTGAAAGAAGCTAGATACAAAACAAATTGTATGATTCTGTTCATATAGAAAGTCTAGAAAAGAAAAATTTATAAAGACAGAATGTAGATCAATGGTTTCCAAGGGCCATGGTAGAGTGTGGTGTTTAAATGAAAATGAGAATGAGAATATTTTGGGCTGATGAAAATATTTTTAAAACTGGACTAAATCATTACTAAAATCATTTATTATATACTTAGAATAAAGAGGATTATGATATTTAAACTATTCCACAGTAAAACTAGTTTAAAAAGCATAGTATATAAGTATATATACATAAATATGTATATGTGTGTGTATATATATATATATTCTGTATATATTCTGTTTTCACACACACACACCCACACACACACAAAGAAAAATATGTACAAGAATATACAACTTGTTTCCCTAAATTGAATCAAGAAACTTACTAGTGGTTACATTTGGAACAAAATATTTGAAGGTATGAGAGATTTTTCTCTCATCATGTTTAGCTTTTTAAACAAGGTGAATTCTCAAAACTTATAAATGTATTATTTTTATTTAACAACAATGTCAAAAACATTTTAATTTAAATATGTAAAAATTGAAGTCTCACTTGCCATCTGATTTCCAAAACTTGACCTGTTCTGTATGTATCTTTAAATTAAAATTTGTCTGACTCATACAGTGACCGTATGTATATACTTGCTAGAGAACATTGAACACCGTTGGCTTAATGTCTTTTGATGACTATGATTCTGTCAGAGATAATGCAGCTTTTCATTGAACTCATTATACTTAATATATTATTTAAAACTATCAGCTGATAACCAATTTATTTATCTTTATCCATAATGTGAAGTACTTTCCAGGTCATTTCGTTATGTTTATCTAAATGCTCCCCCATTTCTATTATGCACCAGAATAAGCTGGGGAGCTTATTAAAAATGCATCTTTCAGATCACATCCAAAATATTTCTGTGTTATAGTTTCCTATTGTATTTTGGAAACTGATTTAAAAAAAAAAAAGAATACCAATGATTCTGATGCAGGTGGCCCTCAAACTATGCTTTGCCAAACATTGGTCTTGAGTAAGTCAATCGTAATGGATCTCATATCTAATTGGGGGGATCTCAAAAAAGTCCATTTATTTGGAACTAGGTGTTTTCCAACACATTTGTGGTCTATTAGGGGAAAATACTACACTGTGATGTTTGTATCCTCGAACATAGGTAAGCATTTAGCTAAATAGCAAAATCTATGCTGTTACAACCAGGATGACACCTCCTACTGTCACTCATGATACACAGTGGCAGAGTGACTTCCGAACAGCAAATGTCCTTTCAATGACAGGCGAAGAAACTACACTTAAAAGTTCTCACTGGAGCAATTCCAAGTATAGATTTACAGAATTTATGTAAGTCATATAACACATATCAGCCTGAGACATAGACCAAATGGAATGCAGAACAGGAGAACCAGTAGAATAACACAAGAAGAGAAATTTCTCTCTTAACAATTTCTCCAAATGGAGCTCACAAATTCCCTTATTACAAACACTTAAGAGTTATTACCAAAATTACATGGTTATGTCACTAGTAGGTTCCCATATATCTTATTCATCTAAATTGTTCAGTTAAATCTGAACATTTCATTATCTACTACAATTCGAGTCATTAACTGATCCTTTTATTGTCATGTTAAAATTCAAATTAAAGAAATCCTTTGAGTTTATTAAAAAATGATACAGGCAGCCATACAATGCAAAATTTAGCTTTTACAGGAACAGATAAAATGTAAACATTAAACACACAAACAATAATGTTTTCCTAGGCCGTGCACAGTGGCTCACACCTGTAATCCCAGAACTTTGGGAGGCTGAGGCAGGCACATCATGAGGTCAAGAGATCAAGACCATCCTGACCAACATGGTGAAACCCTGTCTCTACTAAAAATACAAACATTAGCTGGGCATGGTGGCACGCGCCTGTCGTCCCAGCTACTTGGGAGGCTAAGGCGGGAGAATCGCTTGAACTTGGGAGGAGGAGGTTGCAGTGAGCTGAGGTTGCACCACTCTGCACTCCAGCCTGGGTGACAGATTGAGACTCTGTCTCAAAAAAAAAAAAAAAAAGTAATATTTTCTTAAGGAACAAGGAGGGAAACGTAAGTGTGATATGCCAAAAAAGTAATGTGTGTGCATGTGTGTGTTTGCATATATATATACACATGTCTGTGCATATATGTGTGTATAAATATATAGACAGATAGGAATAAAAGTACATGTATAGACCAATGGTAATAAAGTATGACATGAAGACCGTCTTTCATTCAACCACTTGTACCTAAGATAAGGAGAAGAAATAAAGAAAGGAGCAAGGAAAGGAGAAGAAGACGAGGATACACTCTGTCAATAGTAAGATTCTGAGACTTGATTTAAGAGATTTGGTAGGAAATAATATTAGATAACTCTGCCTCAGCCCAGTTGATTCTTTGGGAAATTTGACACAGATCACCCATTTGAACAGCCCTCCAAAGCAAAGGCAAAATATTCCTTTGATTCTTTCCTTGATACATGACTGCCTGACATAGTTATGACACAGAGATAACTATTACACTATCACTCTTCATTGATGAATTACAGGACTTCCTGTAAGCCACTGAGAAAATAATCTGATTTATCTGGTTTTTCTCATTTTAAATCCTAAAACAGAAACTTACTATAGGAAGTCCTTTTTTATATAGTACAAACCAAAGTACTTCAGGTCATTATTTTCCAGTGTATTTTCCTAAAGACCACCTAGGTCAAAGAACTCAGATTTGCTTCTTAAATTTCTATAATCTTGTATTGAAAACAAAATCAACTGAACAGAATTTTAGGATTGATGTTATATATTTTGTATTTTTAACCAATACCCTGAGGGATTCTGGTGAATCCTTCAGAACAGCTCTCTAGATGATGAAGATGACAATACGATTCTGCTGTGCAAGTCTAATTCAGGTTCATGTGCTGATTTGTATTTATCACTGTAGCAGGCCAAATAGTAATCACACAAAGAAATGTGTGTCTTATTTCCTGGAACCTGTATCTGTTACCTTATAAGGAAAAAGGGTTCAAAGACGTGATTAAATTGAGGATCTTGAGATGGAGTGATTACAGTGGATTATTCAGGTGGGTCTTAAATGTTATTGCAAGTGTCCTTATAAGAGAGTGGCAGGAGGAGATGTCATATAGACAGACAGGAGAAGCGATATGCAGATGGAGCAGAGAGAGATTTAGAGATGTTACTCTTGAGGTGGGAGTGATGGAGCCACAAGCCTAGAAATTCCAGTAACCTCCAAATGCTGGAATAGTCCAGGAAGTGATTCTCCCCTACAAAAAAAACCATGACCCAGCTGACACGTTGATTTTGTTCCAGTGCAACTAATTTCAGACTTCTGGCCTCCAGGACTGTAAAGGAACAGAAGGATATTATTTTAAGCCACCAGGTTTTTGGTAATTTGTTAGAGCAACCACAAGAAACTGGTAAAGGCCTCATGGGACAATGAACCAATTAAGCAATAGGTAAATTGACTTAATTCTATTTCCCTTTACTGGATTGAAGGAGAAATTACCTGATTTGTCAGGTTTTCTTTGCAAGCTTTGGGCAGTAATCAGAGTGAGGGCAGTCATAATAGGAAACCAGTAAAATTGTTATTGCACTTTCAAAAATGGCCAGTGAAAGTCAACAAACGTGTTCATGGGACAATTATCCCCTTATTATATCTAAGAGTTATTTCTTGCTAGATCCAAGATGGCAAATGGAAGAACAAATTGTTGTAGCAAGAAAGGAAAGAGAGATGCATATAGCAAGCACCATAATTAGTGGGGAAAGACCACAAAACAGAAACGTATGAAGAAACAAAGTGGCGCAAGAGGGCCAAATGTGTAAAAGGTTGAGTGGTGCATTTATAAATTGAATCTCAAGCATGTAGTAAAAAGCCTAGCACAAAGAAGACAATTAATAAGTGATTGTTGAATTGATAAAACATTTTTAAGGTTCCAGTCTAAAGTATGCACGGCAAAGTGTTAAACTGAGCCCAATATGTAAGCAAGGAGAAATCAGAATGTGGATAATGGTATTTACTGTAACTGAGTCATGGGCTCTAACATGCTGTAATCATTGTTGTGATATAGGAATTGTAGTCAAGATTCATTGTGAACTCTGAAATATTATAAACATCCTCCAGTGGTGTCTTATAGGGACAGTTTAACCAACGGTAGTCCTTATTTTTGTGCCAGGATAGAGAAGGGAGTGGAACATGGATTATGCAGTTCAGTTGTTTAATAAAAATTGGGAGATGGGTAAACAATTACACACCTTAATCTAGAAAAAATAGGCAAGTAGAAATAAGTAGCAGGGCTAGAAGAGTAATTTGGAAGTTCCTTAAATTAAACAGTTTTATTTTACTATTCCCAAGGATTCTGAAAGTTTTTTAATTTTTATTTTTCATTAAAATTTTCTATCAATGTTTGATTTCACTGGAGATGTTAGCTTATTTCATTATCATAGAGCTCTTTATAAGTAGCTTGGGACAGAGCTGATCAAGAAAACCACAGTAAGTAAACTGCTTCTGAAAACCTTTAATAAGTAATGTACTATTATTACTTATTAAAGGTAATACCTATAAAATGAAAATATAACTCCTATTGTCTGAGTATGGGGAAGTCAGCGAACCACTTCTCTTCACTATAAGAGTTTCTTCCAAATGGCAGAATAAATACTCTGGCGACAAAACAAACACCCAAGCCCTTTCTTACTTAAGGTTTTTGGCTATGCATTCCTTTCTCTTGAATAACTCACTTTCTACCCAAGGAAATGTGGAGTCATCTCTCACTGTTCTCCTCCCTCACTTCTCACATTTGATCACTCTCAAAGACAAAGAATTACTCTTTCTCCAACTTCTCGTTGCCTAAAGATGACTTCCCCATTTATTTCCAGGTGGGGACAAAATTTTCATTATCATTACCAATTTAAATTTTCAGTACCTTGATTTGCTTATCACAATGGGGAAGAGGTGACTTCTCCAATTGATGAAGTAGGTTATATTATTTTATTAGGTGGACTAATATGAAAACCAATGCTTGTGCATGGTTTTCCTTCACATTGCTTACCCTCTTTTTCCCTGTTGTTAGCCCCTTTAGCCTCTTAGGTCTAATTGTACTCAAATGTGATGAACTCATTTTACTGCATGTAGAAGATGTAAAAGAAAAAGAAAAAGAAAAACTTAGTTCTAAAAGGTCTGGTTAAGATTTTTCTCTCCTAGGTCCAGTTTCTCTAACCCTGACTGATTTAATAAGTCATTACAGCTCTTTACAATGTCCCTGACTGCCTTTATTTGGGGATGAATAAAATAAAGAATCATCATATTAGTCTCTGGTTCCTGACTCATTCTTTTATTTTGCTTCTCATGGAGTTTTATACTTTGCAGAGTAAACAGATATTTAATTTTGAGCTCATGCTTCCTTATAACTACTCTCTCTTGGTTAAGAACCAGAAAGGAGAAAATGGTGTTTTATTATACTATACCAAACCTCCCAAACTTTATTAGTCCTGTTAATTTTAAGGTTTTAATAATTATCTATTATTTTATTTTGTTTTCTTGCCTTTTTTTTGGGATATTGAGGTCTCTAGATGGAATAACATCAATAAACTTCTAACCAATCTTCAGTCTTTTCTAAAATTCTACTGACATTATGCCCTTTGTGAGATGTATCTTGGTAGATCAATTTCATAGGTGTGAAACCTGTATAGTGACATGGAATGCTGCTCTCAGAAGGGCTCTTCACTTGGTTTGATGATCTGTTATATTTTCAAGTTCTTAATTTTATCTTATAAATTGTGTTCTGTAAGTGGAAGGTGATTTTAAAAATGGGGCATGCATGTGGGCAGAGGAAATACATGCAATATGTGCCCTCTGTTTCTTGATGATTCATTCACACACAGAGTCAATGATGCTCCATGAACACAAAATTCTAGTGAGTCCATAAGCATGGGAGTTCAGTGAGATTTAAAGTTCAAAGTTCAGCTTAATTAATTAACACTAGATTCATGTAAACAAAAATGTTACATTTGCTACAGTAATAATGAATTTCCATTTATCAGGAAAAGGAAATCAGCTTCATCCATTGGAAGAATTCTTTTTTTTCCCCTCCTCTTCAAAAGTACAGATTGACTTAAATTCTAGAAAAGAGTTTAGGAAATTATATTACATAATGAAATATGTTAAATGCCACAAGAAACATGAGTTACCTTCAAGAGATACATATAAAATTGTTTGATGATAGAGTTTTTTATTAAGTCATGAAGGAGAATTTGTTAAATGAGAGCTGGATCAATTTACTCTGTTACAAGTTAGCTAGACTGTCTGAAATATGTTTAAAGAGGATGGAGATTATGCTTTGGGACCAGAGGGTCAATAATACATCTTCCAAAAAGTACTGTCTATCTATGATTCACAAGAATGTTAGACCTAGGATAATATCTGCTCTGCATGAGAAGCTAGCAGATCTTCAGTTCATGCTGAAACTACAGTTAAATTCTAGTAATTGAATCCAAGATAAATGTTGGTAAAGTTTCTGACAAAAAGAGCTTGGCATATCATTTTTAGCTGCCTACAGCCA
Organism: Homo sapiens; assembly: GCF_000001405.40. Taxonomy (NCBI): domain Eukaryota; kingdom Metazoa; phylum Chordata; class Mammalia; order Primates; family Hominidae; genus Homo; species Homo sapiens. The sequence continues at coordinate 35,540,849 of NC_000002.12, forward strand.
AAGTAAATTATATTAATTACACAGAAATTCACAGAATAAATTATAGTTAATTAGCCTGATCCACACAAATTATAATGAAGACAAATGAACTAACTGAATTGCAGCAGATCAGGCAGGATGAGACACTTCTAGATTATATTCCAAATGTGAAATTTTGGTAGTCTGAATCTTTTATGGGGAGAAATCTGGGACTTCTTCACTCAATCCTATTTATATGTCAAAGCTTTTTTTTTTTTTTTTTTTTTTTTTTTGAGGCAAGGTCTTACTCTGTCACCCAGGTCACCCAGACTGGAGTGAAGTGGTCCAATCTTGGCTGACTGCAACCTCCACCTCCCAGGCTCAAACAATCCTCCTGCCTCAGCCTCATGAGTAACTGGGACCGCAGGCATGTGCCACCATGCCCAGCTAATTTTTTGTATTTTTTGTGGAATTGGGGTTTGGCCATGTTGCCCAGACTTGTCTTGAACTCCTGGATTCAAGCAATCTGCCCACTTCAGTTTCCCAAAGAGCCGGGATTAGAGGCATGAGCCACCATGCCCAGCCATTGTATGCTAAAGTATTAATACAATTTTAAAAGATTTTATATTATTTTTTCCACACAGTAAGAAATTTCTTGTTGCTCTGGATTTTCATTTTATCGTATGGCAGAAGGCCTTCCAACTGTCATATCAGAGTGAAGGAAACATGAGGCAGGATAGGAAGGCACAATGTTGCAGGTGTGGCTGAACACAGATGGGGGCCAATAGCGTTTTGCTCCCTCCCTCATTATCTCTCTTTTTCCCTTCCTTCCTTCCTTCCTTCCTTCCTTCCTTCCTTCCTTCCTTCCTTCGTTCCTTCCTTCTCTCCCTCCTTCCTTCCTCTCTTCCTTCTTCCCTTCTTCCTTCCTTCCTTCCTTCCTTTCCTTTTTACTTTCAAATTAGAAAGTTGTGTTATTTTACTGGGAAGGAACCAATTTCCCCCTAATGGCAGAAGATGATAATGTGAGGCAACAGAGACCAGAGGATGGTAGAGGCCAGAGGATAGTATAGAGATAACAGATGATAATGGTTAATTGATTGTCCCACGAAAAAGACAACCCTTAGGGCATATATGATAGAATTATCCAACTCTAGAAAATATTAAACATTTAACAAATTCAGCATCAAACTTGGTCTTGGCCAGATTCTGGCAAATATCATAGAAGATTTTCAATTCATTAACTCATTTATTTATTTATTCACTCAAAAAACATTTGATTATCTTTTGTGTTTGAAGTTACCTGCCCCATATCAGGAGAAGTAGGCAAGCGGGACAAAGATTTAAACATAAGACCAAGAACTATAAAACTACTATTAGTTTGGTGCAAAAGTAAAGGGGTTTGGCCAAAACCACAGTTACCTTTGCACCAATCTAACAGAAGAAAACAGAGGAAAAGCTATACAACACTGGTCTCAGCTATACATATATATTTTAATTTTGACCCCAAAAGTGCAGGCAGCAAAAGAAAATAGACCAATGGGATAATCAAACCAAAAAGCTTCTGTGTAGCAAAGAAAACAACAGAATAAAGAGAACCTATGAATTGGGAGAAATTTTAAGATTCTAAAAGAATCTATAAACTATAAACTTTATACAAGGACAATGAATAATCTGATTAATAATTAGGCAAAGGACTTGAATAGACCTTCCTCAAAAGAAGACATGTGTATATCTAACAGATAAGCAAAACATTCTCAATATCACTGATCACTGGGAAGGAGAAAATTCAGAATCACAATGAGATATCACCTCATACCTATAAGAATGGCTAATTTAGAAAATTTTTAAAAAGACAAAAGATAAGTATTAGCAAGGATATAGAGAAAAGATAACATTTGTGAATTATTGATGGGAATGTAAATTAATGCAGCCACTATGGAAAACATTACGAAGGTTCCTCCAAAAACTAAAAATAGAATTACCAAATGATCCAACAATTCAGTTTCTGGTTATTCACTCAAAATATCTGAAATTAGTAAGTTGAAGAGATGTTTGCAATCCCACGTTTACTGATGCATTATTCACAGTAGTCAAGTTATGGAATCAATGTAAGAGTCCATCGAGGGATGCATAGATAAAGAAAATATGGTATTTATAGTCAGCCCTCTGTATCTGGAGGTTTGGCAACTGCAGAAACAACCAACTGCAGATTAAAAAATCTGAAATAAATAAATATTAACAGTGGAACAATAAAAATGATACAAATCTTAAAAATACAGTGTAACAGCTATTTAGATAGCATTTCCATTGTATTAGGTATTATAGAAAATCTAGAGACAATTTAAAATATATAGAAGAATGAGAATGTGCATAGGTTATAGGTAGACACTACACCATTTTATATAAGGGACTTGAGCGTCTATGGATTTTGGTATGCAGCAGTTCTGGAACCAATTCCCCATGGATACCAAGAAATGACTATACACACAGTGGAATATTATGCATTCATAAAAAGGGAAAAAATTCTGTTATTCATGACAACAAAGATGGAATTAGAGAATATCACCCTAAGTGAAATAAGCCAAACACAGAAAGACAAATACTGCATGTTCCCATTTATATGTGGACTCTAAAACGATGGGACCCATAGAAGCAAGAGTAGAATGGTGGTTACCAGATGCTGGTGAGGAATGTGGAATTGATAGTCAAAGAGTACTAAGCTTAAGTCTGGTAAAAGGAATAAATTATATATTTTTAGATCAATAGCACAGGATGGTAAATATAGCTAATAACTGAGTAATGCACATTACAATGTCACTAAGAGTAAATTTTAAATATTCTTATCACAAAACAAGTTAAATATTTGAGGTGATAGATATGTTTATTAGCTTAATTTAATCGTTCCACATTTTGTTCAAAAATGGTAACACCATTTTGTATCCCATAAATATATATGACTATAATTTGTCAACATGCAAGAAAAAAAGCAAAGGAAATAATACATTTCTCTCTGTGTTAGACATGATTGCATTTTTCAAGATGCCTTTAACCATAGCATAATATATACAGACAATACTGATTGTCCATGGACTTGAGCTATCAATAAATTTTTTTTCAGTAAGAGCTGGCAATTCAAATGGCTTTTTGAAAGATAGCGAGAACTCTTTCAATTAGAATCACCATGGAGAATTTCTGAGCCTTGAACACAAGGCTACTTGTCTTCAAGGCTCAGAGTTCCATCCATGTTGGAATTCTGAGCGTTGCTACTGAGCAATCCTGGAATCAAAAAAGAGAAGGGAGAAAATGACTTTCCAGCATAGTAATTTTTTTAAAGACAAAATATAATTCAAATCATTCTGTATATCTAAAATATGTAATTTATACCTAATTTATAGTAAGTAATCAATATTTATATGTGACCTCAAACTATTTATCTAGAATATCCCTTAATTATGCAGTAAATTTATTATCTAGTCCTAATTTCAGAATAGCATTATTTTGGGTACAGAATACACGTCTTTATTATTACAAAAGCTTATCCTTAATATTTTTTGATGACGTGCCTCAGTAACCCCACTTTGCCTGAAAAATATCTTCCCATGAGTAAATCTTCAGCAAATGCTTAGTAAAGATCTTCAGGTGGTTTTGAAGTCCCTTTCTAACTACAAACCATTGCTATAGGGGAGCCTTCCAGTGTTTGCTTTTATAGTCTAAGGTATTCAACTTACCTCACAAGGCTGTCATATTTACTTGTAATCCAATCTACCCAAGTCTTCATCCATAAAATAACACCAATGACATTTGTAGTTAAAGTGGAATATTATTTAACCATTACCAATTACTGTGAGGATGGAATTTTCCCTAAGAATAACACTGGCTTATTCCCACTTCTTTATTCACTCTGCTAGTAGAGAGTTGTAGTGCCTGGGAGAGCCATGTAGATGTTTGACACAGCACTCCTCCCTTCACTTCGGAGGATGCCTCTTAAAAAAATACTTTATGGAATAAGTTTTACCATGGCCATTCCCCTACATTTTACATATATGACACAAACGGTAGCTCATAATTTATTATTTATATGTATTAGTACATTATTGTTTGAATTGGGCCTGTATAACTTGACCATTGGCAAAGTGAGTTGCTGCTTATCTGTCATTCCTCTATGAAAGTGGTGCACCATCCTATAAAAAGGATGTGCATGCATTATCAGTTCCCCATTAATTGATGTAAAGTTGACTCTCCTTAACAGTTATTATAAAACAAGGAGAGAACTTGTCATGGAAACAATAAAGAATTAAATGATTTGCTCACACTCGATCAAATTCACATAATTTGGATTAGTCACAAACTGAATTTAGGAAAGGAAAAATTTCTCATGTGGCTTTTAATAAGGAGCCCTTGGGGGTAAAAGTGGTTTCTCACCACAGTTATTTTAATATTACAAAATAAAACAGTATTACCAAAGTACGTGACCAGAGCTCTCTGAAATTTATGTTCAGGCCCCGAATTTCTCTCCTAAAGGTATATAGTGTTATCCAGTTCCCTACCTTTCTGGGGAAAGACTTGTTTGATAGACATATGGCATAAAGACTATAAGACACTTGTAAATCTATTTAGCAAGAGAAAGAGGAACAAGAAAGTCTGAGGCAGGAGGGATGCTACGGGAAAACGAATTAGATGGAGCTTGTTGCTAGGAAACAAGGCAAACTAAGTGCATTGGAGTAGTTAGGTGGGTAACTCTTCCAGAATAACAGCCCTGCACATCCATGCAGAGATGGAAGCGGAACAGATTCGCAGCCTATGTCAGGGAACAACACAAACTTTGAAATATAGCCTTGTAGGTACGGAGAAACCTCACTTTATACATACTCTGAGCCAGAAAAAAGAAGAAAAGAGGAGGGGAATAGTCAAAAAATCTTATTAGCCCACATCTATTGTCCATCCCTAAATTAAATTTGAATGTAGCCCAATTTTATTTCAAAGTTATGATATTTCTCACAAGCTCCATTGTAAAGTAGAAATATTCCTATTTAGTAATATTTTATACCCAGAGCAAAAATCAAGGAAATCTTGACAACAATAATCATAGTTTAAGGCGATAAAACAGATGGGGGTATTTCCTGGGTAATGAACTGGCACACTGAGTTTTCAGTTTCCACTGGGGATTGTCTACTCTACATGGTCCAGACAAAACGTCCTATACCACCTTTTTCCTGAATTTCATCTTTAGTTTCTCTCTCTCATTAGTACTGATCATTCTTGTGTTCTGTTCAAATGCATTTAGGGCATTTGATTGTACTATGAGTTTCTAAGGGAAGTGTACTCTCCATTTACTTATATTAATAACATCTAGATTGAGCCATGGATGGCAATAAATACATAAGAAATATTTATCGTATATTTGAAACAATGACTGAATATTTATTTTATTATTCATACATTTTCTTTTCTTTCTTTATATGTGCATATTCTATCTTCCTGAAAAATATTTAAGCCCTTTAAGAATACAGAGAATCCATATTTTTTATTCCTCCCTTAATCAAAGTAGTTTAAAATTAAGCAAAAAACAGATATTTGAAGAGTACTCATTATGTTAAACTGAATAAATCTAGTCAGGTAATTCATTTGGAGAAAGGGCAAAGCTATGCAAGCGAGACTCGAAATAGAATTTGAAAGCAGTTTAATAGCCTCGATTTTTAAATGAGATTGCTGCAGTTTATAACAATGACAGTGACAAAATAAAGTAAAAACAGTAATGGTAAACATTCATTAAATACCTGAGCAACATTCTAAGCACCAAGAATACAGAAAAAAAATTAGACAATAACCTCTGCCTTCACTGAATTTACTATCCAGTTGGGGGAGGCAGACAATAAACCATAAAATATATAGAGTGCTAAATGATGATAGATCCCACAGAGAAAAAAAAAAGCCGGAAAAGGGAAAACAGAATATTGGGATGTGGTAATCCTCAATACTGTGATCTAGGGCAAAGGTTGCATTTGAGTTAGGCTCCACACCAGGTGAGAGAGGAACTGGAGTATCCTGAAAATAATTCTAGGAAGAGAAAACAGCAAATATAAATGTCCTGAATAGGAGGGTGCCTAGTATATGAGGAACAGCAAGGAGAGAAGTGTGCCTAGAGCTGAGTGAGCAAAAAAAAAAAAGGAGAAATAGGAGAAAACGTCAGAGAATTTACAGCAGGTAAATCCTGTTCAACCTTGATGGTCACAGCAATGCCTTTGGCTTTTTCTTTCTGTGACGTGCTGGATAATTGAAAGGAATTGAGAACAGTTATGTCATGCTTGGACTCTTTATTAGAATCTCTTTGACTTCTATTTTAAGAAAAGACTGAGGAAAGTCCAAGAAAAAAACAGCTAGACTATAAAAGGGATGTGGCAATAACCTAAATTTGGTTTGGATCAAGGTGTTATGATGGAAGTAATGAGAAGTGGTAAGATTCTAGAAACATTTTAAAGGTAGAAAAATCAGGTTTTCTGACAGTGTGAATGTAGAGATTTTGGCCTGAACAACTGTAATGATGGTGTTGTCTTTGACAGACATAGAAAATACTGTGGCATACAGGTTTGGCAGTAAATTGTTGTGAGCTTCTTGAAGGATGGGTTAGGATCTTGGTCATATACACGTAAAGATTGCAATGCTTATTAGACAATCAAGTGGCAATGTCTACCAGGCAGTTGGATATACAAGTCTGATGTTCTGGGAAGAGGCCTTACCTATAGATATAAATTTGAGAAAAATATGAGAATTGATTGAATTACATCCTTATTCATGTAAGAGGTAATAAGATCTATTAGGTAAGTGGAATTGATTACTTTTATCAGCAGCAAAGTGAATAAGTTAGAATAATTGGGAACAGATTCAAATAAGGGTTAGATGTAGTAGACAGTTTGTAGAAGTTCTCTCTAATCTTCCATTATTTTCTCAATGAAATAGAAAACAAAGTTAAGAATGACGATGAGGGTTTAGGGTTCCCAAGTATTTTTTTATATTGCAAACATGTTCTGGATCTAATACTTTTTCCCTGTGTCTTGTATTGTCTTTTCCAGGACACTCTAGATGTTCTATATTCAGTATTTTTTCCAATAAATAACAAAAAATTGGCTTTTAGAGTGATTTTTCAGTCACCCCCATTGGCAGCTTAAATCACTTGAATGGCAACACAAGTTGAAAGTCATACCTCTATAAATAAAGATCTGGAGAGTCTCTTAAGTTTCTTACTGCAGCTTTGGCTGAAAGTCAAAAGAAATAAGTAAGGATTAAAATTATTTATTTTTCATATTTAAGATATGAAAGATTGTTCTTTGGCCAAGGTTTCAAGTCGTGCATAAGTAACCATCATTAGAGATAAGATCAGATTAGTACCCGTGCTCTGAAAATCAGTCAAACACCAGCCTGATTCATGTAACTATGAATTCTGAAAGTCAGCCAATCATTAAACTTCATTTTTGAAAATAGACTAATCAGTGATAACCCTGTGCTTCTAAACATTAGTCAATCAACAAATGTTTCAGTTTATTTTCTGTGTTTCTAAGTCAGCTGGTGAACATCAGCCTTAGTACAATGACCACACCAGTAGAGTATGAAGTTCTGTAATCCCTAAACATTCCTACCTCTGAAAGTCTGCCAAGCTTTGATGAGCCAGTCTTTCTGAAACCTTATGTAATGTCATCTGTGACATTACATAAAGACAATGCCTTACAGATATTGCTATTACTTGTAAGCAAAGGAAAACTTCACCTTTTGCTCCAGATATTAGTCAATTTTATTGTTAGTTTGCAAGTTCACAGCCCTTTCAACAACTCGACCCTTGTTTATGGTTACTTATTAATTTGGACTTGTGAGTGACAAATGCAATGTAGATTCCCTGAGATTATTAAATTCAGTCTTTTCAATTCTTGTGGTGGTTTCTATTATCTATTTGTGTTTGTGTTTTTGTATATTTGAATCCTCAAATGCCAAAACACAGAAATAAACTTTGTGATAAATTTTCTGAAGAGTGACATTTACTAAATAAAGAAAATGCTCTTTTGGATCTCTGTGTGTAGTATACAATTACTCATACAATATGGAAAATGGTGGAAAATCAGATATAAGCCAGCATATTGGCATACGTGATATATAAGTTCTTAACTAGTACTATAAATGTGACAAAAAATAAAATTCTGATTAAGGGAAATTCATGTGAAGCAGTAGAAGTTGGAATGCCTTCCATACGATATACATCAGCATCAGTATTTCAGCACAAATATCTTTTGAACATACAGCTACTAAAAGTGTTTTCTGATTCTAAAATCATGAGCAAGTTTTTAAGTACCAAAATGACATCTACTGCAATAATACAAATATATAATAGGGGTATTTACTATGGCAGAGGTAATAAAATATCAGAATGATTCACCATTTTACAAAAGAGCCATGGTGAAAATAATTGCAATGCAGAAAAATATTACCTTTGCCTGTGCAATATTTTCCTCATGAAAAAGACTTCCTTAGAAGGTTATGAAGTGTAAAATCCCTTTTAGATGAAACATCAGAAACAACAGCAAATTGTTGCAGACTCTTTTTTAGTTAGGACGTAATGAGAAAAGTTGTACTGATTTTAGTAGAAGTAATAAAAATACAAATAAAAGTAAAGGTGTAAATATGGAAATGAGATTTATTTAAAGTTGAATCAAAGCATCAATGATTCTTTGTAAGGTGTTAGCTTTTGATCCATATTGTACATGACACTGCTCAAAGAACCTCATGCTATTGGCATTGAATATTTCCTATTGGCACTACAGAGATCACATGAAATTATTTTCTAATTTCAGTATGTATGCTGTCTAACCCAGTGACTAAAGGACTTTCGAGAGTTTGTTGGAATTCAGGATTGTTCAGTTCTCTCATATTCAGAAACCCATGGCTCTCTTTTAACAAATACAGCGAGAGAATATCCAGCTTATTGAAATCACACTTTAGTTCTGAACAGGCCCCTCCCAATGCTTGTTGATTTTCTAAGTAATTCATTGAATGAATTCTATTTATTCCTTGTTAATACTTTTCAACATCTCTTTAACAATAGGATTATGCAAGTTGAAGGAAAAGCAAACTGTGTCATAAAAGTGCTCCATTGCTTAAGAAACTTGTTGAACATGTTAAAGCAAAAAATGATGGAAAAATATCCCTTTCAGTGTCAAAGCTGTTTTAAAAGAGATATTACTTATGAACAAGAAAAGAAATTTCATCTTTAAATGTATCATTATTATGGCATTTGCCGTGAATATCTTTTGAATATATTTTATACTTTGAAGAATTTGATTTTACCTAATGGTTACATGGGAACAAGTGGCATCCTCATGTGTAGTGTTCAACAACAAGGGAATAAAATTTGAAGACAATATTCTTTCTCTTCAGGCCACAGCATTTGAAAAGTCATCAATCAATCCATGCTACAAAATCCTGATAATAGAAAGGAATGAATAAAGTTAGGCCGGAAAAAGGATGGCATTGTAAGTTTCAACAAATCAAGTTTGAAAAGCCAGAGACTTTGTGAACTTTATGCCAGTACATGCTAATATGCTGGCTCATAGTGCCAACATTGAATGTGTTATATCATTAACAATTTTTCAGTGAACAAATGAACAAAATTAATTGGATATGACCACTATAGAAACTGTGTCATTATGGAGTGACATATAAATGGAATACATACTGCAAGGAATTTTATAAGCAAACTCTGTGAAACAAAAAACCATTTGGGAGAGCCAAACCATCAGGGAATATGATTTTTAAAAACAGAGGTAGGTGATTTACATACTTGTTATTTATTTTAGGCAAACAATTATTGTTTAAGTATTTAACATGCCATCTTTTTCTTTTATCACAGTGTACATATACGTAAGCATTTAGATTTAATTCAAATCCTGAGCATCCTGTATTTCTTTGGCTAAATATGACAATCTTAAAAGGGTTGAGATTTTGAGAAGAGATTAAAAGGAATGAGTCACCTTATAAAGTTCCAGAATAAATGAAACAGAAAAATGTAGTGTGATTGTCAGGCAGCATTTTGGGGCCATTTGAAGTCACATATTCAAAATAAGACTAATCAGCATGGATATGTGTTATCTCCAACCCCCTTCAGCTATGTGGGTGACAGCATGAAGTGGACAGAGAGATGTATATAATTAGTGTTATTAGTGTTTATTGGTTTTACCAATTAGTGTTTCAGTTTTACCAATAATATTATTCTATTAGATATATTTCCATTTAAAATAATTATTATTTCACTCCAGTCTGCACTTTCAAACAATATACTATACTCCCTCACAATGAGAGGTAATTATTTAAGACAACTCTTTCTTCCTTACATTATAAGATCTGAAATAAACCAACAAAAGAAAATCAAACCACATTTAATAAAAAATAATTAGTAAACCAGGCATATTGAAAACGTAATCACCAATACTAAAAGATGGTAGAAATTTCTTTTAGCCTTTGTCTCTATATTTGCTCAAAGAAAGTCACATTCATTAGGATCTAACAAAGAGCAAGGAAACTTAATAATCTTTACAAAAGGCAGAAATTAGGCTAGAAGTAAGAATTTAGGAAATGTAGTTTTTAATTATTTCCATGTATTAGTCCATTTTCACACTGCTATAAAGAACCACCTGGGACAGGGTAATTTATAAACAAAAGAGGTTTAATTTCCTCATAGTTCTGAATGGCTAGGGGGACCTCAGGAAACTCATAATTGTGGTAGAGGGTGAAGGGGAAGCAAGACATGTCTTAAATGGTGGCAGGAGAAAGAGAGCAAAGGGAGAAATGTCACACTTTTAAACCATCAGATCTCGTAAGAACTCACTGACTATCAAGAGAACAGCAAAAGAGAAATCCACATCCATGATCCACTCACCTCCCACCATGCCCTTCCCCTGACACATGGGGATGATAATTTGAGATGAGATTTGGGTGAGGATACAGAGCCAAACCATATCAGTCCATTTACCAAGTCAATACCATAAGGGTATTTTGGTAATATCATCAGCGAATGTGGTGTCATTCTCAAGATAATATACAAACGCTGAAGGAAAACATGATCTTACTTGGCACATCATAAGCTTCTCTGAAGATGGAGTAAGATACCTGCAAGCAGAATCATTGATCCAAAACTGTTTCCTTCAGAATACTATCTGAGGTTAACTGTCATTTCTTATAATAATAAGGTTGAAAAAAATTTTAATTATTTAATTATTTAATTTTGGACCTTTATATAGCTGAGGTTCTATTTCCCAATGAATTTTGACTATGGGCAACATATATTTCCTATTGAAAATGTCTGCATTATATTGCAGGGACAGAAGATATTCTCTATTTTTCTACTAGTCCAGTAATACAAATGCTTTTAGACATCCAATGATCTATTTCCTTAGTAAGTCTCTTTCTATTTCAGTGTTTATGCATGAGATTGATCTAATGCCCAAAGGAGAAATATCATCATCAGCTTTTACATTTTCAGAAGGGTGCATATGCGTTTTGCTTCTCTTTTTTATGAAGCTCTTTTTACTGCTTTCTCTTAAGAAAATATTATGAAAAATCCAATTTCCCTACAGATATGTCAGACCGTGCTGTTTCTTGAGAGCTAGAACAAAACCTACTTTCAAGATGACTTATGTAATTTGGAACCAAATAGGTGGGTGTTCAGCTTAAAAAATTCCATAGAATTATCACTTGCAATATTTCCGCAATCTCGAACAGTTACTCATTTATCATTTCTCATCTGTTGTGCATCCACTAATGAGGAGTAAGGCACCACACTGAGCAGAGATTGAACAAACTCATGAATTGTTCTGCACTAAACAGCTGAGCCAAAGAGGAAATCATAAGGAGATTAAACAAATGGCGCTATAATGGAGATATGGAAGAGGTAGGAAAGGGACAGTGGTTCAGGGAGTCGTAAGAAAGTTCCAAAGAAAATGACATTATCATCTTCCTTCTCAACTCACCATTTGTTGGTGTGCGTATTTACATATTTGTTTATGTTTAATAATGTAAGGTATTACATTTTAATGTAATAGTATTTGATCCATGAAAAAGTGTAACATACCTGTATCATATACTAAAGCACAATAATAAAATGAATATCCATGAAACCTCCATCTAATTTATAAAGTAAAATTTTACAATACCATTTCATCCAAGTGTTCCTCCTTACAATTGCCTCTCCCACAAATGTGAGTGCACTATGAATGCTATCTTTATATCCTTTTTTATTTTTATTTACATACAATACTTATATATTCATTCATAAACATTCAATTGCCAGTTTATCTTCTTTTGGACCTTTGTAAAAGCAGTATCTTACTGTAAGTAGGTCTCCTGGATTGATTATATCATATTCATGCGTATTGTACCACATATCTTTATTTCATTCATTTACACATGCAAAATAGCTGAATGGGTGAATGAATCCTTCTACATGCCCATTTTTTTCTGAACATTTGAGGTCTCTCTTTCCTTATTTCTCTTTCCCTTCTTTCTTTCCTGCATCTCTCTCTTTCTCTCCCTTCTTCTTTCTTTCTCTTTATTTTCTCCCCTTCCTTCCCTCTCTTCTTCCTTTTTTCTTTTCTTTCCTTCTTTGTTTCATTCCATCCTTTCTTCCTTCCTTCTTTTTTTCCCTTTTTTTCTTTTTCTTATTACAGCAGTTTTACAATAAGCATTCTTATAGCTGTCTTGATACTTGACAGAGAGAAAGCATAGAATGCATTCCATGGGAGTGAAATTGTTGGATCACAGCTGATGCAAATATTCAGGCTCAAAGAATAATGACAGGTTATTTCTACTCATATTTATACTTCCTCCAGCAATTTGTTGACTCATCTCCTCTCTGATTGTTGGATTTGTCTGGTTTTGTAATTGTTGTGGGATTATCATCAGTGGGAATAAAATCAGGCCAATAGTTTTTAAATGCTAATTTGTATTTCCCTTAGAACTAATAAAGTTAAACATCTTTTCATGAGCTTGTTTGCAACATGTTTCCTCTTCTGTGAGATGCCTGTTTGTGTCCTTTTTTCAATTTTCTATTGAGTTTTGTCCTTTTCTAATTGATTTGTAAGAGTCTTCCTAATCCTTTGCAAATTTCATGTGCTGCAGACATTTGTTTGTGTTTTGTCTTTTCACTGTCTTTAGGTATTTTTCTGTGGGAAAGAAGTTTTTAATGAACATATAGTGAAATTTGTCCATTTTAAATGCTTAACATGTATTTTAATTTGTCTTTCCCTAGCTCAAATTTAGAAAAAAATGTTATTTCTTATTTTCTTTTAAGGTCTCAAATATTCCCCTTGAACCATTCCCCTTATCCTATCTAGAATTAACTTATTGGTATGGTGGAAAGTAAGAATCCAATTTAAGGATCCAATTTACGTGGGCAGTTAATTGTTCAGTCTCACATTTTGAATACTCTTTATTCCACGATGATCTTCAGTTGCACCTTTGAGATATATTAAGTTGTAAAACACAGTCTATTTCCCAGATCTTCATTCTGTTCCATGGGTCAATGTTTTTGTATTTCTGTGCCAATAACATATTGACTTTATCACTAGAGGTTTATAATATACATTGATAGCTGGTAGGATACATTCTTCAGTTTTGGCCATTTTTGGTCTTTTGCTCCTCCAGATAAAGTTTCAAATCAGTTTGTCAAGATTCATGAAAAACCCTGTTGGTATTTTGATCAAAATTGCATTGAATTTCAGATAAATTAAAGGACAGTTGATATGCATATGATTTTGAGCTTTCATTTTTATAGGAATAGTATAGATCTTCATTTCTTTAGGTCCTTCAGAAAAATTGGTTTGATCTGGAGGCTGATCTCCTCCACCAGTTTTATAGCTTAGCAAAATTCTGGCTCAGCTGGTATGAATTCAATAAAGCTCTAGACCAGCATCATCTTTTCCAATAGATACATTATGCAAGCCACATGTGTAATTTAAACTTTTTTAGTAGCCACAGTATTTAAAAAGTAAAAAGACACAGATGAACTTAACTTTAATGAAGTGTTTATTAAACCTACTATATCTAAAATGTTATTTTGACATTAAAGCAATATAAAAATTAATGAGATATTTTGCATTTTATTCAAATTTTGTCTTCAAACTCTAGTGTGTATGATTAAAGCACATCTCACTTTGGACTAACATCATTGGAAGTACTCAATGGCCATACATCACTAGGCACTACTGTATCAGTACAGCTGGGAAATGTCCCCCTTTCTGTTAAGGTCACTCTTCTGAACAGGAAATGTCCTTGAATACATAGTTACATAGAGGTTATTTGGCCCTTTTTTGTCAGCTATAATTATTAGAGAAATAGTCCTCTACTGGAAGCCCATTCATGAAGCAATCTATAGAGTGATATCGAAACAGTATAAAGAAGAGACTTGGTCCTGGCAGATAAGAGACAAGGCAACCAAGGTCCCATGGGTCACACATGTCTAGGGATATTTCCTCCTCTAACTACTTTTTGCCTCCCTTAACAAGCTGACACAAATTACATGCCAGAAGAGAGGCCTCTCCTAACTCAGCTGACCAGGCTGAATTCCTAACCATAAAAAGAAGAAACCAACTCTTTACCTCTTTGAGTAATGTCTTCTGAGGTTACTAAAGCCAGACTTTGGCATTTCCAGAAAGAACCAGACCAGATCCAGGCAGCATAAAGACAAGATAGACTACAGTGCTGACCTTTCAGGGAGTTTTTCCTCACTATAATCTCATTATAGTATTGAAAATCACACCCAGGGGTGGAGACTCAACATGCTAATGTCACATACAACACACTAAGAAACATGTTGTATTAGTCCATTCTCACACTGCTGTAAAGACATACTTGAGGCTGGGTAATGTATAAATGAAAAAGGTTTCTCAGCTCATGGTTCTGCAGGCTGTACAAGCTTCTGCTTCTGGGGAGGCCTTAGAAAACTTACAATCATGGCAGAAGGCCAAGGGGAAGTAGGCACGTCTTCACATGGCTGGCAGGAGAGAGAGGAAGAGAAGTGCTACGCACTTTCAAATAACCAGACCTCATGAGACCTAACTCACTATCAGGATAACAGCAAGGGGGAAATCCACCCCCTGATGAAATCACCTCCCACCAGTTCCTCCCTCAACTTTGGGGATTAAAATTCACATGAAATTTGGGTGGAGACACAGAGTTAAACCATATCACATGTTAAAGTGCAGCAGGTGCTGAAAGTTCCCTGCCTCTGGATGCCTACATGCCACTCCTTTTCTGGCCTCAACTTCTTTAAAATGACAAGAGCAAAGCCCCTTAGAGAGCTGGCACTGGGGTCCTTTTCCCATGCGTTGCTCCCTTGCTTTGCTCAACCTGCAAGCCTATTAAAGTTTGCCTGAGAAAAATTTCTGTTTGACCTGGTGTTCATTTCTATTTATACAAGAGTGAAGACTCAGGGTCAAAGCTATAGTAACAATATCTGTGCTTGAAAAGAATGTTCATTTTCCACTTGTTGGATGCTGAAATCTATATGTTTGTTTAATCAAGCTTATTGATTACATTATTCACATCACATTTATGAATAAATATTTTGTCTGTTTTATCGATT
Source organism: Homo sapiens (assembly GCF_000001405.40). NCBI lineage: Eukaryota > Metazoa > Chordata > Mammalia > Primates > Hominidae > Homo > Homo sapiens. The sequence continues at coordinate 35,556,426 of NC_000002.12, forward strand.
AATAATCGGGGGAAATCTGCTAAAAACTTACCCTATGATAATGGAGTTATCAACATTCCTCTTTAGTTCTATTAATTTGGGCTTCATTTATCCTGTGGCTTTTAAAAAATAGGTACATTCATATTCATAGTTGCTACATTTTGTGTGTGTGTGTGTGTGACAGAGTCTCACTCTGTCACTCAGGCTGGAGTGCAGTGGTGCGTTCTTGGCTCACTGCAACCTCCACCTCCCTTGTTCAAGCTATTCTCCTGCCTCAGCCTCCTGATTGGTTGGGATACTGGGACGCACCACCATGCTCAGCTAATTTTTGTATTTTTAGTAGAGATGGGGTTATACCATGTTGGCCAGCCTGGTCTTGAACTCCATTGTCTCAAGTAATCCACCCGCCTCAGCCTCCCAAAGTGTTGGGATTACAGGTGTGAGCCACCATGCTTGGCCTAGTCACTACATTTTTTCAGTAAATATAATATTTTAATAAATTTATGGATTAGAATTGAGAACATAGAGACTGGTGTTTATCTTCCTGGTTTGACTCTTTGCCTCTTCACTAACTAGTTGTATGGCTATGAGCTAGCCTTTCAGTGCCTTAATTTCTTCATTGGTGAAATGAGGATAATGATAGTAGATATAGAATTGTGGTGAAAATAAAATGATGTATCCAAGATTTTAGGAAAATATCAAGCACATAGTGTATGCTATATTGACATCAGCTATTTTTTAGTTATCATTATTCTTATAATGATAATCATAGGACTATCATTATAAAAACTATGAGGTTTTTCTTAAAAGATAATTATAAGGGTCATTCAGTAATGACTCATTCTATTGCCAATAATGTGTTTTATCTTTGACAGCCCACATTTTCTGATATTGATATTGCATCTTCAGCTTTATTTTATATAGTATTTATCTAGTATAACATTTCTGTCCTTCTTTACATTCACACTTTTCATGCTTCACGTTTATATGTGTCTCTTCTATATGACATATAACATATTCTTCTGCATCAGACTCTAATCTGATAATCAATGGTAACTGTGTTCATGTAAATTTATTCTTTCTACAGATATATTTGGACTTATATGTATCATCTTACATTCTTACCTGAAAGTGTATTATTTGACAGTTATTTTTCCTCAGCACTTGGAAAATATTTTTTCTTGCTTCTTATTTTCATTGTTGCTATGAGGAAGGCTTCTATTAATCACATTTTGATTATTTTGTAGGTGTTGATTATCTGCCTTTCTTTCTGTGGCTGCTTTTAAGAACTCCTTTTTGTGTTTTACTCCCTTTGAAAGTTTCAGCTAATGCAGTAGCCTGATGTTCAATACCTGCCTCTCCTTCCTGCTGGCACAACTTCATTTTAGGATTTTGGAGGCTGCTATCAGCATTTTCCTACAAAGCTACACTGCTTGTCCTTTCTGTTTCAGTTCAATGCATCTAGCATCAATTTCAGACCCTTTTTTTGTTTTTACATCTTGATATGGTTTTTCTGTGCTCCCACCCATATCTCACCTTGAATTGTAATAATCTCCATGTGTCAAGGGCAGTACCAGGTGGAAATAACTGGATCATGGGTTTGGTTTCCCCTATGCTGTTCTTGTGATAATGAGTGAGTCTCACAAGATCTGGTGGTGTTATAGGCATCTGGCATTTCCCCTGCTGACGCTCATTCTCTATCCTGCCACCCTGGGAAGAAGTGTCTTCTGTCATGATTGTAAGTTTCCTGAGGCCTCCCCAGCTATGTAGAACTGTGAGCCAATTAAACCTCTTTTCTCTATAAATTATCCAGTCTTATATATTTCTTCATAGCAGTGTGAGAACAGATAATACCGTAAATTGGTATCACAGAGAGTGGGGTGTTGCTATAAACACATCTGAAAATGTTAAAGCAAATTTGGAACTGGGTAACAGGCAAAGGCTGGAACAGTTTGAAGAACAGTTAAGAAGAAGACAGGAAAATATGAGAAATCTTGAAACTTCCTAGAGTCTTAAAGGTCTCAGAAGACATGAAGATGTGGGAAGCTTTGGAACTTCCTAGAGACTTGTTTGAATGGCTTTGACCAAAATGCTGATAGTGATATGGACAATGAAGTCCAGGCTGAGCTTATCCAGACAGACATAAGAAGCTTGCTGGGAACTTGAGTAAAGATCACTCTTGCTAGGCAAAGAGACTGGTGGCCTTTTTTCCTCTGCCCTAGAGATCTGTGGAAATCTGAACCTGAGAGAGATGATTTAGGGTATCTGGCAGAAGAAATATCTAAGCGGCAAAACCTTCAAGAGGAAGCAGAGCATAAACGTTTGAAAAATTTGCAGCCTGACAATGGGATACAAAAGAAAAACCCATTTTTTTAGAGAGAAATTCAAGCCTGCTGCTGAAATTTGCATAAGTAATGAGCAGAATGTTAGTCACCAAGACAATAGGGAAAATGTCTCCAGTGCATGTCAGAGACCTTTGTGGAAGCCCCTCCTATCAAAGGCCTGGAGGTCTAGAAGGAAAAAATTGTTTCATGGGCCTGGCCCAGAGCACCTCTGCTCTGTGCAGGCTCCGTATATGGTGCCCTTCATCTTGGCTGCTTCAGCTCGAGCTGTGGCTAAAAGGGGACAGTATACAGCTCAGGCCATTGCTTCAGAGTGTGCAAGCCCCAAGCCTTGGTGGCCTACATGTGGTGTTGGGCCAGGGTGGACAGAAGTCAGGAATTGAGGTTTGGGAACCTCCACCTAGATTTCAGAGCATGGATGGAAGTGCCTGGATGGCCAGGCAGAAGTTTGTGCAGGGGTGGACCCCTCATGGAGAACCTCTGCTAGGGCAGTGCAGAAGCAAAGTGTGGGGTTGGAGCCCCCACACAGAGTCCCCACTAAAGAACTGCATAGTGGAGTTGTGAGAAGAGGGCCACTGTCCTCCAGATCCCACAATGGTGTATCCACCGACAGCTTGCACCATACAGCCGGAAAAGCTGCAGGCACTCAATGCCAAACATGAAAGCAGCTGGGAGGGGGGCTGTAAACTGCAAAGCCACAGGGCAGAGCTGTCCAAAGCTGTGAGACCCCCCTCTTGCATCAGCGTGACATGGACGTGAGACATGGAGTCAAAGGAGATGATTTTGGATCTCCTTTAATGACTGCCCTATTGGATTTCAAACTTGCATGGGGCCTGTAGCCCTTTTGTTTAGGCCTATTTCTCCCATTTAGAATGGGTGTATTTACTCAATGACTGTACCCCCATTGTGTCTAGGAAGTAACTAATTTGCTTTTGATTTTATAGGCTCATACACAGAAGGGATTATCTTGTCTCAGATGAAACTTTGGACTTGGACTTTTGGATTAATGCTAGAAAGAACTAAGACTTTGGGGGACTATTGGAAGGGCATGATTGTGTCTTGAAATGTGAGGACATGAGATTTGGGAGGGCCCAGGAGTGGAATGATATGGTTTGGCTCTCTGTCCCCACTGAAATCTCACCTTGAATTGTGATAACCCCCATGTGTCAAGGGCAGTACCAGGTGGAAGTAATTGAATCATGTGGGTGATTTCCACCATGCTGTTCTCCTGATAATGAGTGAGTCTCATAAGATCTGATGGTTTTATAAGTGTCTGGCATTTCCCCTGCTGGCACTCCTTCTCTATCCTGCCGCCTTGGGAAGAGGTGCCTTTGCCATGATTGTAAGTTTCTTGAGGCCTCCCCAGCTATGCAGAACTGTGAGTCAATTAAACTTCTTTTCTTTATAAATTACCCAGTCTTGGGTATTTCTTCATAACAGCGTGAGAACCAACTAATACACATTTTTGGGGGGTTCTTGATATAGGAAATGGGTTAGTGTGTATTTGAAAGTTCCCACACTTCTGCAAGCCCAGTCAACACAACATTAAAAGTATGCTTTATTAAGGTTTTACTTGTTTTTCTGCAGTAGAGTCCTTCAGTATCTAGATATTCCTCTGGGAGTAAAACTTCTTCATTTGTATTTTTAAAAGCACTTTTGCTTTCTACAATTTCATTTCACCACCTAAAAATCCTGTAGGAAATTAATGACTTATCTCTTATGTTTCCATAAAAATTGGTTTCCAAGTTGTATTTCGAGTTTTTAAATGAGAGCTTTCATTTTTTAAAAAAAGTTATAAGTGTTTATATGTGAAAGCTATTTACTATAACTCTATGTCTTCTGGCTTTGTTTCCATGTTTATAAAATCTCCTTCAACACAATTCCGTATATATTTACAAATATTTTTCTATTATATTTATGTTTTTTCTATTAACATTTATATTTATTTTATCTAAAGTTTATTTTAGAGATATGACTGAGTAGGAGTTTCATTTAATTTTTACTGCAGTGATTATTCAATTTTTCTAAGTTTATTCACTGCACAAATCTTTCTTTCATGTTGATTTTAAATGCTGTGTCTATCAGAACAAATTATCTTTATTTCTTGGTTATTTTTCTGGTTCTCCTATTCCAACCATCTCTTCATTTATTATTTTCAGTGTCTTTGTGTCATAATTAATTCAGGTCTATAGTAGAGTAAAAGGATTAATGCAAATATTTCATTACGGTTTTTCTTTTTGGATTTTCTTGACTCTTGCTACACTGTAAATATCCTTCAATGGAGACAAAAAATGTGCTAAGGTTATAATTGTTAAATTTTAAAATTAATTTTGAGATAATCTCTTCATTAACATTTCCTTTTCAAGCAATTATTTGTTTCTTGATTTATGCAACTAGTTAATGCCTGCTATTAGAATTTTGTATTCTCCTTATATGGATCCCCTAAAGTTTATTCCTAAGATGAGTGTATTTTATGATTTTTGTTGTTAGGGAAAATTGCAAACATACCCAAAAGTAAAAAGAATAGTACAATGAACATTTTTTTTACATTATCTGGATTCAATAATTATCAACACATGGCTACTTTTGCTTCATCTATGTCCTTGCCTAGGTTTAAAACACCCGATTTATTTTGAAGCAAATTCTAATAACTGTTATTTTACATGTGCTAATATTTCAATAAGTATCACTAAAAAGATAAGGGCTGATTGTTTTAAATATGTTAACATTATCACAAGTCAAAAATTAAATATAATTTCACAACAAATAAACTCTATATGTTAGAGTTTTCTCATCTAAAAATGGGAGTAATTGATTTATCTCTTAGGTTTATAAGTAAAAGTTACTAAAATTGTTAATAATAAAATGATCTTTTTAATTTTTTTCTATTATACTATGGGTTTCATTGAGGTGCTTTGTGTTGAATCATTATGCATTTGGATCCTGAAGACTCTCTGATAATTATATATTGATATTATAATATATTTCTGGACTCCAGTGATGAATACCTTACTATGTACTTTTATATCTATCTTATAAGTGAGATTACTTTCTAGACCTTTAATTCATTTTTCTCAGTTGTTTAATGCCTGAATTTTACTAGCTCATTTTACTAATTTTCTTTATTTCACTGCAGTGATTTGACTATGATCAGATTTACTTGTTATTAAAATATTTGAAGCTTGTTTATGGAAACAGGAAACATATGGTATTGACAATATTCGGGAAATTAGTTGTTTTTCCATTCCTTTACCTGGCTTTATTTCTTCTCTTTCTGCCTTTATTTTTTTTTCTCTCCCATATTTTTAGTCGACACATAATACAGTTGACCCTTGAACAACGCTGGGGTTAGGGGTGCTGACTCCTTGTGCCATTGAAAATCTTTGTATAGCTTTTGACTCCCGCAAAACTGAATTACTAATAGGCTACTATTGACTTAAAGCCTTCCTATAACATAAAGAGTTGATTAATACATATTATGTATGTGTTATTTTCTGTGTTCTTAGTAGAGAACACAGAAAGTAGAGAAAAGAAAGTGTTATACACAGAAAATAGAGAAAAGAAAGTGTTATTTAAAAAATCATAAGAAAAAACATTTACAGTGCTGTGCTATATTTATGGATACCATAAGTTTACATAGTCTATTTAAAAGATGAATTACCTGTATGCAATGGTGAGTAACTGCAACTGCACACCTCAGTCTACAGTACATATCAAGCAATTCAACTTTTTCTTGTAATGTCATGACTTTTCTTCTGCTTCTTAGGAGCACTTTCATCATCTCTAGTGGCACTTTGTATGGGTCCCTTGGTGTCATTCAAGTTTTATGGTATTGCACTAAACACAATGAAAATTACGTGAGAACTGAAAGAGGCCAATTTTTTACTATAATACGCAATTTACTGGAGAGATGAACTGTTCATGCAGAGATGATTAGCATCTCACAGTATTCTAAGCAGAAACTTGCACTTGCAACACTTGAGTTCACCACAACAGCAGCAGGAGGTGGCTATGACATTATTATAGTATTACAGTAGTACTACAGTTAATTTTTTGCAGTTATGATTTAATACTGCAACTTTGTTTGTTTACATTTCTCTCTACTGCAAATGGCATCACATACAGTCCATAAGTGTTTATGTGCATAAGTTTCAATAAATATAAACTTTGTATTATAGACGTGTGTATTTTATGGTAGCAAATGATAATGTAAACTAGTACCTACATATATTTTATGCATTCATGAGATACCTAAGTTATTCTTAAGATTTTATGATATTTCTAGGCTATGCTGTTCACCTATGAGTTTTTTCTTTTTTTTTATTATTATTATACTTTAAGTTTTAGGGTACATGTGCACAACGTGCAGGTTTCTTACATGTGTATACATGTGCCATGTTGGTGTGCTGTGCCCATTAACTCGTCACTTAGCATTAGGTATATCTCCTAATGCTATCCCTCCCCCCTCGCCCCACCCCACAACAGGCCCCGGTGTGTGATGTTCCCCTTCCTGTGTCCATGTGTTCTCATTGTTCAATTCCCACCTATGAGTGAGAACATGCGGTGTTTGGTTTTTTGTCCTTGCAATAGTTTGCTGAGAATGGCGGTTTCCAGCTTCATCCATGTCCCTACAAAGGACATGAACTCATCATTTTTTATGGCTGCATAGTATTCCATGGTGCATATGTGCCACATTTTCTTAATCCAGTCTATCATTGTTGGACATTTGGGTTGGTTCCAAGTCTTTGCTATTGTGAATAGTGCCACAATAGACATACGTGTGCATGTGTCTTTATAGGAACATGATTTATAATCCTTTGGGTATATACCCAGTAATGGGATGGCTGGGTCAAATGGTATTTCTAGTTCTAGATCCCTGAGGAATTGCCACACTGACTTCCACAATGGTTGAACTAGTTTACAGTCCCACCAACAGTGTAAAAGTGTTCCTATTTCTCCACATCCTCTCCAGCACCTGTTGTTTCCTGACTTTTTAATGATCGCCATTCTAACTGGTGTGAGATGGTATCTCATTGTGGTTTTGATTTGCATTTCTCTGATGGCCAGTGATGATGAGCATTTTTTCATGTGCTTTTTGGCTGCATAAATGTCTTCTTTTAAGAAGTGTCTGTTCATATCCTTTGCCCACTTTTTGATGGGGTTGTTTGTTTTTTTCTTGTAAATTTGTTGGAGTTCATTGTAGATTCTGGATATTAGCCCTTTGTCAGATGAGTAGGTTGCAAAAATTTTCTCCCATTCTGTAGGTTGCCTGTTCACTCTGAGGGTGGTTTCTTTTGCTGTGCAGAAGCTCTTTAGTTTAACTAGATCCCATTTGTCAATTTTGGCTTTTGTTGCCATTGCTTTTGGTGTTTTAGACATGAAGTCCTTGATCATGCCTATGTCCTGAATGGTATTGCCTAGGTTTTCTTCTAGGGTTTTTATGGTTTTAGGTCTTACATGTAAGTCTTTAATCCATCTTGAATTAATTTTTGTATAAGATGTAAGTAAGGGATCCAGTTTCAGCTTTCTACATATGGCTAGCCGGTTTTCCCAGCAACATTTATTAAATAGGGAATCCTTTCCCCATTTCTTGTTTTTGTCAGGTTTGTCAAAGATCAGATAGTTGTAGATATGTGGCATTATTTCTGAGGGCTCTGTTCTGTTGCATTGATCTATATCTCTGTTTTGGTACCAGTACCATGCTGTTTTGGTTACTGTAGCCTTGTAGTATAGTTTGAAGTCAGGTAGCATGATGCCTCCAGCTTTGTTCTTTTGGCTTAGGATTGACTTGGCGATGCGGGCTATTTTTTGGTTCCATATAAAATTTAAAGTAGTTTTTTCCAATTCTGTGAAGAAAGTCATTGGTAGCTTGATGGGGATGGAATTGAATCTATAAATTACCTTTGGCATTATGGCCATTTTCACGATATTGATTCTTCCTACCCATGAGCATGAATGTTCCTCCACTTGTTTGTATCCTCTTTTATTTCACTGAGCAGTGGTTTGTAGTTCTCCTTGAAGATGTCCTTCACATCCCTTGTAAGTTGGATTCCTAGGTATTTTATTCTCTTTGAAGCAATTGTGAATGGGAGTTCACTCATGATTTGGCTCTCTGTTTGTCTGTTATTGGTGTATAAGAATGCTTGTGATTTTTGTACATTGATTTTGTATCCTGAGACTTTGCTGAAGTTGCCTATCAGCTTAAGGAGATTTTGGGCTGAGACGATGGGGTTTTCTAGATATACAATCATGTCATCTGCAAAGAGGGACAATTTGACTTCCTCTTCTCCTAATTGAATGCCCTTTATTTCCTTCTGCTGCCTGATTGCCCTGGCCAGAACTTCCAACACTATGTTGAATAAGAGTGGTGAGAGAGGGCATCCCTGTCTTGTGCCAGTTTTCAAAGGGAATGCTTCCAGTTTTTGCCCATTCAGTATGATATTGGCTGCGGGTGTCATAGATAGCTCTTATTATTTTGAGATATGTCCCATCAATACCTAATTTATTGAGAGTTTTTAGCATGAAGGGTTGTTGAATTTTGTCAAAGGCCTTTTCTGCATCTATTGAGACAATCATGTGGTTTTTGTCTTTGGTTCTGTTTATATGCTGGATTACGTTTATTGATTTTCATATGTTGAACCAGCCTTGCATCCCAGGGATGAAGCCCACTTGATCATGGTGGATAAGCTTTTTGATGTGTTGCTGGATTCGGTTTGCCAGTATTTTATTGAGGATTTTTGCATCAATGTTCATCAAGGATATTGGCCTAAAATTCTCTTTTTTTGTTGTGTCTCTGCCATGCTTTGGTATCAGGATGATGCTGGCCTCATAAAATGAGTTAGGGAGGATTCCCTCTTTTTCTATTGGTTGGAATAGTTTCAGAAGGAATGGTACCAGCTCCTCCTTGTACCTCTGGTAGAATTCGGCTGTGAATCCATCGGGTTCTGGACCTTTTTTGGTTAGTAAGCTATTAATTATTGCCTCAATTTCAGAGCCTGTTATTGGTCTATTCAGAGATTCAAGTTCTTCCTGCTTTAGTCTTGGGAGAGTGTATGTGTCGAGGAATTTACCCATTTCTTCTAGATTTTCTAGTTTATTTGCATGGGGGTGTTTATACTATTCTCTGATGGCAGTTTGTATTTCTGTGGGATCAGTGGTAATATCCCCTTTGTCATTTTTTATTGCATCTATTTGATTCTTCTCTCTTTTCTTCTTTATTAGTCTTGTTAGCAGTCTGTCAGTTTTCCTTGATCTTTTCAGAAAACCAGCTCCTGGATTCATTGATTTTTTTGAAGGGTTTTTTATGTCTCTATTTCCTTCAGTTCTGCTCTGATCTTAGTTATTTCTTGCCTTCTGCTAGCTTTTGAATGTGTTTGCTCTTGCTTCTCTAGTTCTTTTAATTGTGATGTTACGGTGTCAATTTTAGATCTTTCCTGCTTTCTCTTGTGGGCATTTAGTGCTATAAATTTCCCTCTACACACTGCTTTGAATGTGTCCCAGAGATTCTGGTATGTTGTGTCTTTGTTCTCGTAGGTTTCAAAGAACATCTTTATTTCTGCCTTCATTTCGTTACTTACCCAGTAGTCATTCAGGAGCAGGTTGTTCAGTTTCCATGTAGTTGAGCCGTTTTGAGTGAATTTCTTAATCCTGAGTTCTAGTTTGATTGCACTGTGGTCTGAGAGACAGTTTGTTATAATTTCTGTTCTTTTACATTTGCTGAGGAGTGCTTTACTTCCAACTATGTGGTCAGTGTCCGAATAGGGCTGGTGTGGTGCTGAAAAGAATGTATATTCTGTTGATTTGGGGTGGAGAGTTCTGTAGATGTCTATTAGGTCTGCTTGGTCCAGAACTGAGTTCAATTCCTGGATACCCTTGTTAACTTTCTTTCTCATTGATCTCTCTAATGTTGACAGTGGGGTGTTAAAGTCTCCCATTATTATTGTGTGGGAGTCTAAGTCTCTTTGTAGGTCACTAAGGACTTGCTTTATGAATCTGGGTGCTCCTGTATTGGGTGCATATATATTTAGGATAGTTCTTCTTGTTCAATTGATCCCTTTTTACCATTATGTAATGGCCTTCTTTGTCTCTTTTGATCTTTGTTGGTTTAAAGTCTGTTTTATCAGAGACTAGGATTGCAACCCCTGCCTTTCTTTGTTTTCCATTTGCTTGGTAGATCTTCCTCCATCTCTTTATTTTGAGCCTATGTGTGTCTCTGCACATGAGATGGGTTTCCTAAATACAGCACACTGATGGGTCTTGACTCTTTATCCCATTTGCCAGTCTGTGCCTTTTAATTGGAGCATTTAGCCCATTTACATTTAAGTTTAGTGTTGTTATGTGTGAATTTGATCCTGTCATTATGATGTTAGCTGGTTATTTTGCTCGTTAGTTGATGCAGTTTCTTCCTAGCCTCCATGGTCTTTACAATTTGGCATGTTTTTGCAGTGGCTGGTACCGGTTGTTCCTTTCCATGTTTAGTGCTTCCTTCAGGAACTCTTTAGGGCAGGGCTGGTGGTGACAAAATCTCTCAGCATTTGCTTGTCTGTAAAGGATTTTATTTCTCCTTCACTTATAAAGCTTAGTTTGGCTGCATATGAAATTCTGGGTTGAAAATTCTTTTCTTTAAGAATGTTGAATATTGGCCCCCACTCTCTTCTGGCTTGTAGAGTTTCTGCTGAGAGATCAGCTGTTAGTCTGATGGGCTTCCCTTTGTGGGTAACCCGACCTTTCTCTCTGGCTGGCCTTAACATTTTTTCCTTCATTTCAACTTTGGTGAATCTAATAATTATGTGTCTTGGAGTTGCTCTTCTCGAGGAGTATCTTTGTGGCATTCTCTGTATTTCCTGAATTTGAATGTTGGCCTGCCTTGCTAGATTGGGGAAGTTCTCCTGGATAATATCCTGCAGAGTGTTTTCCAACTTGGTTCCATCCTCCCCGTCACTTTCAGGTACACCAATCAGACGTAGATTTGGTCTTTTCACATAGTCCCATATTTCTTGGAGACTTTGTTTGTTTCTTTTTATTCTTTTTACTTTAAACTTCTCTTCATGCTTCATTTCATTCATTTCATCTTCCATCACTGATACCCTTTCGTCCAGATGATCACATCAGTTACTGAGGCTTGTGCATTGGTTCTCGTGCCTTGGTTTTCAGCTCCATCAGGTCCCTTAAGGACTTCTTGGCATTGGTTATTCTAGTTATCCATTTGTCTAATTTTTTTTCAAAATCTTTAACTTCTTTGCCATTGGTTCGAACTTCCTCCTTTAGCTTGGAGTAGTTTGATCTTCTGAAGCCTTCCTCTCTCAACTCATCAAAGTCATTCTCCATCCAGCTTTGTTCTGTTGCTGGTGAGGAGCTGCGATCCTTTGGAGTAGGAGAGGCACTCTGATTTTTAGAGTTTCCTGTTTTTCTGCTCTGTTTTTTCCCCATCTTTGTGGTTTTATCTACCTTTGGTCTTTGATGATGGTGACATACAGATGGGTTTTTGGTGTGGATGTCCTTTCTGTTTGTTAGTTTTCCTTCTATGAGTCAGGACCCTCTGTTGCAGGTCCTTTGGAGTTTACTGGAGGTGCACTCCAGACCCTGTTTGCCTGGGTATCAACAGCGGTGGCTGCGGAACAGCAGATATTGGTGAACCGCAAATGCTGCTGCCTGATAGTTCCTCTGGAAGTTTTGTCTCAGAGGAGTACCCGGCCGTGTGAGGTGTCAGTCTGCCCCTACTAGGGGGTGCCTCCCAGTTAGGCTACTCGGGGGTCAGGGACCCACTTGAGGAGGCAGTCTGCCCATTTTCAGATCTCCAGCTGCGTGCTGGGAGAACCACTACTCTCTTCAAAGCTGTCAGACAGGGACATTTAAATCTGCAGAGGTTATGGCTGTCTTTTGTTTGTCTGTGCCCTGCCCCCAGAGGTGGAGCCTACAGAGGCAGGCAGGCCTCCCTGAGCTGTGGTGGGCTCCACCCAGTTCGAGCTTCCCGGGCCGCTTTGTTTACCTACTCAAGCCTGAGCAATGGCGGACGCCCCTCCCCAAGCCTCGCTGCCGCCTTGCAGTTTGATCTCAGATTGCTGTGCTAGCAATGAGCGAGGCTCCGTGGGCATAGGGCCCTCCGAGCCATGTGCGGGATATAATCTCCTGGTGTGCTGTTTGTTAAGCCCGTTGGAAAAGCGCAGTATTAGGGTGGGAGTGACCCGATTTTCCAGGTGCTGTCTGTCACCCCTTTCTTTGACTAGGAAAGGGAATTCCCTGACCCCTTGCACTTCCCTGGGTGAGGTGATGGCTTACCCTACTTCAGCTCATGCACAGTGTGCTGCACCTACTGTCCTGCACCCACTGTCCAGCACTCCCCAGTGAGATTAACCTGGTGCCTCAGTTGGAAATACAGAAATCACCCGTCTTCTGTGTGGCTCATGCTGGGAGCTGTAGACCAGAGCTGTTCCTATTCGGCCATCTTGGCTCCACCCCCCGAGTTTTTTCAAATTGCTGCAAATCTCCAAAACATTTTCTAACATGTTTATTGAAAAAATGTTGCATATAAGTGGATCCATGCAGTTCAAACCTGTGTTGTTCAAAGTTCAAGTGTAATTGGACATATATGGGAAACAGAGTGATGTTTTGATACACGTATACAATGTGTAATGATCAAATTAGGATAATTAGCATATTAATTATCTCAAACAGCTATCGGGCTGGGTGTGGTGGCTCACATCTGTAATCCCAGAATTTTGGGAAGCCTAGGCAGGAAGATTGCTAGAGGCCAGGAGTTCAAGGCCAGCCTGGGCAAAATGAAACCCTGTCTCTACAAAAAATAAAATAAAATCATTTCTTTGTGTTGGGAACATTGAAAGTCCCCTTTTATGTTTTTGAAAATATGTATTAAATTATTTTAACTGTATTCACCATACATTGCTATAGAACACTAGAACTTTTTCTTCATGTCTACCTGTAATTGTATCTGTTAACCAACTTGTTCCTATACTCCCTTCCCTCCACCCTTCCAAGCCTCATAACCACTATTCTACTCCCTACTTCTATGACTTCAATGTTTTTAAGCTTCCACATGAGTGAAAACATGCAGTATTTATCCCTCTGTGTCTGACATTTCAGTCAATATGATGTCCTTGAGGCTCATCCATGTGGCTATGAATGACAGGGTTTCATTTATTTAGGACCAAATAGTATTCCACTGTGTATATGTACCACACTTTCTTTATCCATGTATTCATTGATAGGCATTTAAGTTGATTCGTATCTTGGCTGTTGTGAATAACATTGCAATAAAAATGGAAGTATAGATATGGCTTTGACCTACTGATTTCCTTTCCTTTGGATAAGTACCTAGTAGTGGGATGGCTGAATCATATAGTAGTCCTACTTTTAATTTTTGGAGAAGCCTTCATACAGCTTCTTATAATGACTGTACTAATTTACATTTACACCAACAGTGTCTAAGGATTTCCTTTTCTCTGCATCCTCTCCAGCCTTTGTTATTTTTTATCTTTTTGACAATAGTTATTCTAACTGGTGTGAAATGAGATAAATGTGGTTTTGATCTGCATTTTTCTGATGATTAGTGATATTGAGCATTTCCTCATGTACTTTTTGGCCTTTTGTATATCTTCTTTTAAAATATATATATTCAAAACGTTTGCCCATTTTTAAATCAGATTATTTGTTGTTGTTTTGCTGTTGAGTTTTTGCTGTTGAGTTCTCTGTGTATTCTAGATATTTGTCTCTTGGATGAAAAGCATGCCACACTTTCTCCCATTCTACAGGTTTTGACTTCATTCTATTCATTGATTTCCTTGATGTGGAGAAGATTTTTTGTTTGATATAGTCCTATTTGTCCACTTTTTTGTTGCCTGTGCATTTGAAGTCTTACCCATAAAGTATATGTGCATTCCAATGCCCTGAAGCATTCCCGTATGTTTTCTTCTAATAGTTTTATAGCTTCAGTGTTACATTTAAGTACTTAATCCATTTTGAATTGATATTTGTAAATGTGGAGATATAGGGATCTACTTTCATTCTTCTGCCTATGAATATCCAGCTTTCTCAGCAGAATTTATTGAAGAGGGTGTCCCTTCCCTAATGCATGTTGAAATTCAGTTGGCTGTAAATATGTGGATTTACCTCTGGGTACTCTATTCTGCTCCATTGGTCCATGTGTCTGTTTTTGACCAGTGTCATGCTGTTTTGGTTACTACAGCTTTGTAGTATATGTTGAAGTCAGGTAGTGTCATGCATCCAGCTTTGTTCTTTTGGCTCAGTATTTATTTGGCTATTCAGGATCTTTTGTGGTTCCATATGAATTTTAGGGTAGATGTTTCTATTTCTATGAAGAATGTCATTGGTGTTTGATAAGAATTGCACTCAATCTGTATATGACTTTGGGTAGTATGCCTACTTTAACAATCTTAATTTTTCCAATCCATAGTCATTTTTTGTTTCTTTTATCTGTGTTTTTTAGTTTTCATTGTAGAGAACTTTTACTTCCTTGATTCAATTTATTTATAGATATTTTACTTTTATAAGGGATTGCTTTCTTGGTTTCTTTTTTGGCTAGTTTGTTATTGGGGTATAGAAATGCTATTGATTTTTGTATGCTGATTTTGAACCCTGCAACTTTGCTAACTTTGTCAATTAGTTCTAACAGCTTTTTTGGTAGAGTTTTTAGGATTTTCTATATAAAATGTCATGTCATCTGCAAACAGGGACAATTCGACTTACTCTTTCCAATTTAAATGCCCTTTATTGATTTATCCTGCATAATTGCCCTAGCTAGGACGTCCCAGATGCTATATTGAAAGTGGGCATCCTTGCCTTGTTCTAGTTCTTTGGAGGAAATTCTGGAAGCTTTTCAGTATGATGTTAGCTTTGGCTTTGTCACATATGGCTTTTATTGTGTTGAAGTATGTTGCTCTTATACCTAATTTGTTGAGAGTTTTTATCAAAAGCTTTTTCTACATCAATTGAGATAATTATATTGTTTTCATTCTTCATTCTTTGATGTGATGTATCACATTTATTGATTTGTGTATGTTGAATCATTCTTGCATCCCTAGGATAAATTCCACTTAATCACAGTGTATTATATTTTTGATGTGCTGTTGATTTCACTTTGCTAGTATTTTACTGAGGTTTCTGGCATCTATCAATTCATCAGGGATATTGGCCTGGAGTTTTCTTTTTGTTGATTTTGTTTGGTTTTGGTATTAGATTAATGCTGGCCTCACAGAATGAGTTAGGAAGAATTCTATCCTCATCGTTTTTTTGGGATAGTTTGAGAAGAATTTGTGTTGAATTATCTTTAACAGTTTGTTAGAATTCAACATTAAAGCCATCTGGTCCTGTACTTTTCTTGGTGAGAGATTTCATTTAATGATTGAATTTTGATACTCATTATTGGTCTGTTCAAGTTTTCTATTCCTTCCTGGTTCAATCTTGGTAGGTTATATGTGTCTAGAAATTTGTCCATTTATTGTAGGCTTCACAATTTTTTCATATATCAATTTTTTACAGTCTAATTTCTTTGGTATCAGTTGTAATGCTTCCTCTTTCATTTCTCATTTTATTTATTTGGGTCTCAACTTTTTTCTTAGGCTAGCTAACAGTTTGTTAATTTTGTTTCAATTTTCAAAAATCTAACTTTTCATTGATCTTTTGCATTTTAGTCTCTATTTTGTTTAGAGAAATGGTTTTATTATTTCTTTCTTCTGCTGCGATATTTCTTATTTCATTACTTCTACTAATTTTGGGTTTCATTTGTTCTTGCTTTGTAGTTCCTTGAGGTACATCATTATGTTGTTTACTTAAAATCTCTCTGCTTTTTTGATGTAGGTGTTTATTGGTATAAACTTTTCTGTTAGTACAGCTATTCCAGTATCTGATAGGTTTTGATGTGTCCTGTTTTATTTTATTTTAAATTAAAACACACTATTTTAAATAAATTTATTTATTTCAAAAAATGTATTTTATTTCTTAGACACATTAGTAATCCAGAAGCAAGTTATTTAATTTCCATGTATTTGTACAATTTCCAAAGTTCCTTTTGTTATTGATTTCTAGTTTTCTTTGTCATCTCAGAAGATATCTGATATGATTTTGATTTTTTAAAATTTGTTGTGACTTGTTTTGTGATGATATAATGAAAATAAGTAATGAAATAATGGTTGATCCTGAGAATGTTCCATGTGCTCATGAGAAAAATGTATATTCTGAAGCTGTTGAATGAAATGTTCTGTAAATATCTGGTATGTCCATTTGGTCTAAGTCTATTTGATCTATCTATTGTAGTTCAAGTCCAATGTTTCTTTGTTGAATTTCTGTCTATATGATCTAATGCTGAGAGTATCTAATGCTGAAAGTGGCATTAAATTCCCCAACAATTATTGTATTGGGATATATCTTTCTCTTTAGCTGTAATAATTTTTGCTTTATATATCTGGGTGGTCTGGGATTAGTTGCATACATATTTATAGTTGTCATATCTTCTCGCTGAATCAATCCCCTTATCATTATGTAATGACCTTCTTTGTCTCCCTTGTTCTTTGAATTAAAATCTATTTTGTCTGACATAAATATTTGTACTCCTGCATGCTTTTGCTTTCTTTTTGTGTGGAATATCTTTTTATGTTTCATTTTTAGTCATGTGTCTTTAATTGTACAGTGAGTTTCTTATACACAGCATATAGTTGGTTCTTATAGTTTTATTCATTTAGCCAATCTATACTTTTCAATTAAAAATTTCAACCATTTACATTAAACATTATTATTGATAGGTGGAGACTTACTCCTGTCATTTTCTTAATTTTTTCTGATATTTTATATTTATTCTTTGTTTCTTCCTCTCTTATTGGTTATCTTTGCATTTGGTGGTTTTCTGTAGTAATGATGTTGGTTTTATTTCTCTTTCTCTTTTGTGTATCTGGTCTACCAGTGGGTTTTATAGTTTCATGTGTTTTCATGATGGTAGATATCATCCTTTTACTTCCCAATGTAGGACTGCCTTAAACATTTTTTCTGTAGGAACATTGTAGTGGTAATCATTTCTCAGGTTTTGCATAACTGTGAGAAACTTTATTTCTTGTTTGTTTCTGAAAGATAGCTTTGGAATATGTAGTATTCTTGGCTAACAATTTTATTTTTTTCAGCAGTTTGAATCTATCATCTTATTCTCTTCTGGCCTATATTTGGTGAGGATCTCCTTATATGTGGTACAACCATTTTTATCTTTTTTTTTTGCTTGTTTCTTTGTTTTAATTCTCTCTTCCTTTGATTTTTGACAGTTTGACTTCACAGTGCCTCAAACAGGACTTTTGGGTTGAATCTATTTGAGGATCTTTAAGCTTCTTGTTTCTGGATGTCTAGATCTCTCCCAAGACTTGGAACAGTTTCAGCTATTACTTCACTAAATAAGTTTTCTATGTTTTATTTTTTATCTCTTTGCCTTCTAAAATTGTCAAAATGCAAATATTTGTTTGCTTAATGTTGTCCCATGTAACACATAGGCTTTCCTCATTTTAAAAATATTTATTTGTTTTTTTTTTCTTTTTGTCTAACTGTGTTGTTTCAAAAGGCCTGTCTTCCAGTTCGGTAATTATTTCTTCTGACTGAATGACTCTATCATTTAAGCTATCAATTATATTTTTTATATTTTATTTTTTCAATTCTCCAGTTCTAAGATTTCTGTTTGGATATTTATTTGTGCAATCTATTTCTTTGTTAAATTTCTCATTCTGATCATGAATTGTTTTCCTAATTTATTTGAGGTCTATGTATGTTCTCATGTATCTCACTGAGTTTCCTTAAGATCACTGGTGTCTGTTACTGGACAATATTTTGTTCCCCTGGAGTTTTCATGTTTCCTTGCTTTTTCATGTTTCTTGGTTTCCTACATTAACGTCTGTGAATCTAGTTGAATAGTCACCTCTTTAAAGTTTATACAGCAGCTTTTGTAGGAAAAGGCTTTTTCTTGTAGATTTGTCTATAGTGTCAGTTGGGTAGGGTATTTTGGCTTTGGTTCTGGATGTGCACAGTAATGTAGTCTCTATAGAAATTCTGAGTCTATCATCAATGTCAGTTGTGTCTCTGTGTTACTCAGTGACCTAGGATGCTATTGTTTCTGGAGGCAGTGGCATGACTTGCTGCAAGAGAAATGCTAGATCCCTGAGGGTGCACATGGGTGGGCAGTGGCCCCAGTGTTGGAGGGATAAATTTGTTAGAGGTAGCAGTGGCAGGCCCAAGTGGCCTGATCTTTAGGCCCCTGGTTGGCAGGCACCAACAGTGCCCAGTCTCAAGTAAGCTGGTTTTTTGGCCCTGGGATAGCATAGTCGTGTGCCAGTGGTGGCAGCAACATGCTGGTCCTAGGCCACTTGAGGGGTGCACATGGACACCAGCTATGGTGGCAGCAGGCCCCAGGTAGGGTGGTTTCAAGCTCTTAGGAAGTGCACGTGGGTGCCAGTGGTGGTGGCAATGGGCCCTACATGGGCTGATCTTCAGGCTCCTGAACAGTGTGCATAGCCACTGATGTTGGCAAATTGGGCTACAGGCAGGCTGATCTGTAGGATATGTGCAAGCACTGCTGCTGTCAGCAGTGGGCCAGTCCTTGGGACCCTGGGTGGTGTGTGCCCACAATGGCCATGGCAGCAGCAGGACCCGAGGGTTGGTCTTCAAGCCACTGAGGAGTGCATTCAGGCACATGGTGATCCCACTGCTGGAGGCACTGGAATTGCTTTCAGCAGCTGCAGCCCCAGGTAAGCAGCTCTCAGTCTCTGGGGAGCACGTGCATTGGCTCCCTGTGTTCTGAGGGCAGCCACTTTGATATTCTCAGGTACCTGTTCCTCAGGGTGTAGGATGCTGCATGGGTTTAGATACCAGAGATGTGGCTTCAACCCCAGGTCTAGCTGATATCAGGATGCTGCAGCACTTTGGGTGGATGTGGGGGAATGTCAGCAGGGCCTCAGGGATATGGAGGTTCAAGGGCTGTTTGTCCCAGAACAGAATGTACTCTGGGGGTAGCCTTGCTCTCAACATGTCACCATGCTGCAGCCTGGGCCATAGGGTGTGGGGGTATCCAACAAAAATTCCCACTCTAGAATAGTACAGTCAGATGGACTCCAGGCAGCTCTCTTTACAAACCTAGGGCCTGTGAGGCCTCAGAGGCTTTTCTGTAGCTAGAATTGCAGGTGTCTGTGGTGGGATTGTGGACTGCTGGGGATCTCCCACTTACCTTATCCCTGAAATGGAGAGTCCCTCTAAAGGCAGGGTGACCCAGGCTAGTTGCTTCATTTCCTTCTCTATGCTGCCGTTTCGAGTTTACGTGTCTCAGAGGGTTTTTTCTTTCCTTGCTGAATTCCAGTGTTCTCCTTTTAGAAGCTCTATTTGATGTGCAGTTATCTATTTTCTGTTTTAGTTCTTTTTTTTTTTTTTAGGAGGTGAGTGCTGAATGCTTCTAGTCAGCCATATTGATGTTCTCTTTCTTACAGTCAGAGTTCTAGTTAACATGCTCCCTGATGCCCTAAAGGATATTATGTATTAATATAGTTGTGTTTTTTTTTGTTTGTTTTTGTTTTTGTTTTTGTTTTTTGAGACAGAGTCTTGCTCTCTTGCTCAGGCTAGAGGGTAGTGGCACAATCTCGGCTAACTGCAACCTCCATCTCCCAGGTTCAAGCAATTCTCCTGCCTCAGCCTTCGGAGTAGCTGGGACTGCAGGTGCATGCCACCATGCCCAGCTAATTTTTGTATATTTAGTAGGACAGGGTTTCACCATGTTGGCCAGGCTGGTCTTAAACTCCTAACCTCAGGTGATCCTCCCTCCTCAGCCTCCCAAAATGCTGGGATTACAGGTGCTAGTATTGATTTTTAAAGACATGAGCCACTGTGCTCTGCCTCGGTATTTGTTATATAATTTTTCTTTATGGTCTTTCTCTCCCATAGAGCGATAAATCATTCATGACAAAATACTTTCAATAAATGTTAACTAAATAAATGAATGAATAAGTAAATATAGATGTAAAGAATGTAATACTCTGGCTGACATAGACATCAGCTGTTTTTGTTTGTTTTTACCCACCAAGAATAAAATGAAATTTCAATCACAGATATTTAGGATAAAGATGATAATCGGCTCCAAAATCACTTTGTTCTTTTGGAGCCCTTAAAACACCAGAGTTCCCAAAATATGTGAATTGCTTGTCTTTGGTTACCTTTTTCGACAGTTATATAGATAGATACATATGTATATAAACATATAAATCTGTATCTATATATATACACACACATATATATCTGTATATATATACTGATATATATATATCTATATATCTCTATCTGTCTAGATACAGATATGTGTATCTGTAGAAAAAATATATATTTCTTGGTCTGGGTCTCCTAAGGAATCTAAATTGATAAATAATACTATGTACTGAGAATAAAAAAGAAACAAATATGTGAAAGGATAAGTGAGAAACAAACTTTCTCAAAATTACAAATTTTACTGTAATGACATCAACCTTTCTTCATGCAGATAGAAAGTACATAAGCTCAGCAAGCGATGATGTTAAAGGCTATAAATTCATTTTTCGATTTGCAGGAGACTTGTTCTCATTCCTGGGGGAAAATATTCAGTATGATTGAGACTCAGTGTCTTTATCTGTTACACACAGTAACATGCTTTACAGGGATTTAGTCCAATAACTTAATAATAATTAAAACTCTGAAAGAAAAATGAAAAACAACTAAGAACTATTAAAATAATTGCAGACATTATATAACAATGAGAATTTTAGATCATATAAAAGCTTTGTTTCTCAAATGTACTCAGCATGAAGCATGACATCGTGAAATGTCTCAGGTTTCTGTTTTAGATCTGAAAATGAATTCATACACACCAGCAGTTTTTGTCAGCTTTACGGCTCAGTATAAAAATTAATCTTGGACAGCCAGGGCTGTTTCTCAATTTCAACTGTCCTAGGAAGAAAACAAATATTTTTTCAATGAGTTATGCACATTTTGCTTCCATTCAACGTCATATGATAGTTCATGCCCTGCACATTTGAAACAAATGCTTGCTTAGATGACGTTCTGGGTATTTCTTTCATATTTTACCTGGTTTCACTATGTTTAATGTTTTTGTTGTCTTTTTACAAAATATATATTTTGAGGTTTTATACATTCCTTGATGTTGTTTCTGTTTTTATGTCTCCATTTTGAGGAAGTTGGTAGAAAGGATGTAGCCTGCTATATATACAGAAAAACTATTAAAATACTTTATGGTAAAAATTAAAGTTTCCGGAGACTCACTGAAAGCAATTTATTCTTAGTGAATATTTCTTATTCACTTTTTCAAGTTATTATCTGTCTGATACAGGAGCCCCCTCCCATACAAACAAGAACAATGAGCATAGATGAATCTACGATCACATTTTGCCCTTCAGGCCATGTTAAAGACAAACCTGGAAGCCCAGTTGCAGACACTTAGCAGCACTCATCAAATGGTAATCATCTATTGCCCATCTGTGCATGTCAGTGCAGTCAATATTCTGCAGAACAAGTAAAACAAAATCTGTCTTTTGCTCAACACACGGCTACAGAATGGTAGGACCCTTAAGTTAGCAGCCAACACTACGTCTCCAGTATGTCTCATTTTATGAATTAAACCTAAAAGTTTAATTCAGAAAGCCATTTTTCACGTTACCTAATCTATCCATTTTTAACACCTCCCATTTTATTTTTCCTTCCCAAAGCATTTGCATCTGAAGCACAAAGATGCAAAATATAACATTATATTTTTCTAGTGTTGTTTCCCTCAAATAATGCTTCACCCTCTCACAGCCCTGTGAGACATGGATATCTCTTCTTTTCAGAGATGAACATAGCTTTTCTCTTGCCAGTTTCCAGCAGTTTTCCTGACATCAAATATAAACACACAGCTGGAGGTCCATGGTTGCCTTTTAGGGAATGAGAAGTCGAAGCTAAAGCAGGTGCCACATTGGTTTGCAAACAGGATTTTTTTAAAGCCTCTATAATTAGCCTCTCTTCCACTACTGCATTACCTTCAGCAGTCCTTGTTTTGAGATTTTCTAATTTCAAGAGACACTTAATTTATAAAACTAGGTGTTAATTTACACATAGCTGCAGTGCTAGACAATATGACTTTTGACATAATTACCACCATAACGGAAAGCTTGTCTGAAGACTGGCATATAGTTATTCCTGTTTTTAAACCATATTTGACTTCACCAATAAGATTTGAGTATTATCAAAATTGCCCAAAGACCATTAACAAGATTTAATAGTTAAAGCCAAAACTATAAAGAATTAACTGTTCAAAAGTGTGTTAATCCTTAATACCAATTTTATAGGGCCACCATTAACTTCTGAAGAAAGGTCAGCATATGCAACTAAATTTCTAAAGTCCAGTGTTTTTAAATACCGGAATATAAGCTGCAAAATCACAGATATATGCTTAAGAAATATTGCCAGTATCATAGATGGAAAGGACAGAAAATGAGGCTTTGCTGAAATGATGCCACACTTTGGTTTCCCCAGGAAGCAGACTTTGAAATGGAGATTTGCCTGAAGTAAATGTACTGAGGAGAGCTTTCAGAATTAACACCTGTGGAAAGAGTGAAGGAGGCAAGATTGGGCAGAGGGAGAAGCTGAAATGCATGCAATCACAGCAAAGGCCTTAGCTGACTCTTTAAGGAGCTCTGGAACTGAGATAATCATGGAAACCAAAAGGGTGTTTTGCCAAACTTAATTGTATTGAAACTCATTAGATAATGGGTGAATGTTACAACACTCAAACAGTGTTTAGGTTTGACTAAATTGATCTGAGTCGCTTGAATATTGTTACCAAAACACCAGGGGTTCCATCTAGGACCTGATGCTTACCACACAGAAAGCCAATCACTGAGACAATGAGTATTGCTGGGGAAGAAGGTTCTAATTAGGTGCTGCAGCTGAGGAGATGGGAGATCTGTCTCAAATTCATCCCCTTGACCAACCAAAATTGGGGGTTTATCCAGTGAGGAAAGAAGGTAACTACATGTATGTGAACATAAATTAGGGAGGGGTAAGAGAGAGGAGTTGGTCTTCAGGTAGTAGATGGTCAGTTAGGCAATCTTGATGAGAGAGGAGTCTTGATGTTTCCTTATCTAGATGCGGTGATCTGGTAAATTTCAACTCCTTGATGCTATCTGAGGGGCCTGATGATTGGTTTCCTGAGAAAGGAACTAAGATTTACAAAATGCAACTTTCTTACATTTTAGGACTTCGAAGTGTCTATGTTTGTTCAAAAGAAACCATAAACATCAGTTCTACCAGACAATCGGGCTGGTTTCAATATCGTAATTTGCCCTGGATTACAATTTGGAGCTCATTTGTATTGTGGTTCTGGAAATTATGTGAAACTCGACTGCCTACTTATGATAGTAGCTTAATAAAATTTTTCTTCCTTTTATATTGAGATTGTTGTTACAAGGACTGTGTTTATTTCTCAATGTTCATACCAATATTCTGGAAACCACTGTTGACTCCTCTTTCTTCCTCATACCACCATCTAGATCTGTCCTAAGCCTTTCAAGGTAAACTACTAAGTTTCTCTTAATTTTTCCTTTTATCTATCCCTTGTTACTATTTCCTTAATTCAAGTCATTAGTTTTTCTTCCTGGGTCTGAAATAATCTTTTAACTGGTTTCTCAGATTTAACTCTTGTCTTCTTTGTTTTGTTATCTGCTCATAGTCAATGTGGTCAATTAGAATTGCAGACTTGCTTATTTCATGCTTTTTAAACTTTTTGTTTTTGTTTTTTTTTTAGCCCTTGGTGTGTAAGTCCAATACAATTAATAAGCGTACAGCTCCTCCAGGATCTGGCACCTGCCAACATGTCTTTCTTTTTTTGAGACAGTCTCACTGTGTCACCAAGGCTGGAGTACAGTGGCACAATCTCAGCTCACTGCAACCTCCACCTCCCGGGTTGAAGTGATCCTCCTGCCTCAGCCTCCCAGGTAGCTGAGATTACAAGCACGTGCCACCACACCCAGCTAATTTTTGTATTTTTAGTAGAGACAGGGTTTCACCATGTTGGCCAGGCTGGTCTCGAACTCCCGACCTCAAGTAATCCAACTGCCTCTGCCTCCCAAAGTGCTGGGATTACAGGTGTGGGCCACCACATCTGGACTCCCACTGACATGTCCATTCTCATATTAGAAAAGCTTTCCTCTCTCCCTCGCTCCTAGTTCAGTTCTTTTCATGTGTCATCCTTTCTCCCACTATGGGCCTTTACCCATGTAATTCTGCAGGCGAAAGTATGCTCCCAGAGCATTCATACTAGCTTTTTCTCTCCACACAAAATAATCCTACCCACACTTATCTTTTGGGCCTCAATGCAAATATCTATTCCACAGGGAGGGCTTTCTTTCACAACTATATTAAGTATTCTGCTGTAGTTCTACCCCATGCTGTTTTTATGTATTATAAAAGCTCA
This sequence comes from Homo sapiens, assembly GCF_000001405.40. Taxonomy (NCBI): domain Eukaryota; kingdom Metazoa; phylum Chordata; class Mammalia; order Primates; family Hominidae; genus Homo; species Homo sapiens. Next base: position 35,581,230 of record NC_000002.12, read on the forward strand.
TCACACTTTGAGCTATTTCAGTTCTCTGGTAGATTGGATGATTCTTTAGGATATAAACCTCATCTGAATTTTTCACCTAGAAAAGGTTTTAAATACTAGGAGACCTTGATTTTTTTTTTTTTTTTTTACTAAAAAATAACATTTTTTCTCATTATAAAATGAGAAAATAATACACATCCACTGGGGAAAAAATGCACTACAGATCTTATAATGCATTATAAAATCATGCACATCCTGTGGGGAACAATAGAAAAAAAGACAGATTCAAAATTTAAAACGATCTATCATCCCACAGTCAAATGATAAGCACTGTTACTCTCTGAGTGATATCATTCCAGTCTTTTTTCTAAGAATGTGAAATCTGTATGAGCATATATTTTTGTGTATACACAAAAGGAGGGGGGTGTGCACATGTCGGGTAGGGAAGACAAACTGTGTGGTACAGAGATTTGACTTTCTGGATTTTTAAAATGTAATGTAGAAGTATTCCTCTATGCCATTGAATATTCTCTTTAACTATGACTTTTAAGGATTCTGTACATATGAACCTACCATCATATAGTTTATCAGTTATCTGTTTTGGGGTATTTAATTTGTTTCCAATTGTTTCCTTGTGTACATAATGCTTAATAAGCCTACTGACATAATTTCAAAAGGGCAACTATGATTACTTAATTTAAATCAATCTTTCTTAGGCTGTTTGGGTAGATAAGTTCCAAAGAAACATATTAATTTTTAAAAAATAGATACTTGTTTTTTAATGGTAAATATTGATGTTGTTGTTTTGTTTATTTTATTTTTCTATTGCCCAAATTGAGGGAAGGAAATAGGTGATGTAGCAATTGGTCCTTATTATACATGCTTCTTACAGTTGTTAGGTGGGAAAGAAGATGATCATATGTAAATATAATACAAATATAATATTACATATATAATTGTAATAATATAAAATTATAACACATATATCTTTCAATAAGAGACAAATTATATAATACACATATGTATAATAAAATAATGTCTATTATTACAAGAAAATTTTTAATAAAACAATAAAATATTCTGATACCAGGTTCACTGTTGTACCAACTGCCATTATGAATCAGAAACAAGTCAAAAACACAAGGAACCTGAGGCTTATGCCATTCCAGGGAATGTAGAGTCATTAAATATAACAGCATTGACAAGTCACTTTAAAAACTTACAACAGTTTTACATTAAATGATTTCAACTTAGTCAAGGTAGCCTCTGTGAATGTATTAGAAAAAGCCAGGCAAAAAGAGCCCCAAATAGAACAACAGACTAAAAATCCATAGTTGGTTGTAGGGGCTTCTCTGGCATGTGCTGACCTAGTTCTCGTCACTACTCTGTTTTTATTTCTCTCATCATGTTCCAGCTGCAATGTGTTTCCTGATGTTGAATATCTGCCATTTCAAAGAAAATCTCCTTTTGTTTCACAGAATATTCGTAATTTTTTCACTCAGAGACCAAATTGTTGTTTAATTCTCTAGACAGTTTAATAATAAAACTATTTTTCAGGTACCCTGACCTAGATTAAAATACACTCTCAGGAAAATGGTTTATTAGAAGATATCTGAAAGTGCTGATTTATCATATATTCTCTATCACTGATAATGATGAGAATCATAATACACTTATACCGTTCATTATATACACACTCTGCTAAGCAGTTTTCATGCTTAGCAATTTTGAATAATCCTCAGTAATCAAAACCCTGTGATGTTGAAATACGATTATGTCCAATTACTGATAAGGAACATGAAGTACAGAAAATAACTTAAGCGGGATCACGTAGCTGGAAAGTAGTAAAGGCAAAATTTGAACCCAGGAAGCTTGAGCTTTAGAGCAAGTGCTTTGAATTTTTACATTCTGCTGCCTCTCATCAAGAGAACTGCTATCTTCCTAGATCACTGGGCACAAAATATTGGATTATAGTAATTTAGGCCAAAACTTGAACCCTAAACCAAAGCTTAAGTCAAATACTAATCCCAATTCTTGATTATAAATGTTTTATTTTCTAACAATTTACCAGCAAATCTTAGCATTGCTCCTTCTAAATCACCAGGAACTCTCCACTCCTGCCTTTGTCAGTTCTCCCGAGGGCACTGGTTCTCCAAATGCACAGTTTAACATCTTCACAAATGAATGCCTGCCACAATGCCCATTTTGGCCTCCAGTCTATTTGATGCCCATCTCTTATCACCATTACTAATTCAAACATCTCTTGCATAACTCGAACTGCATAGCTAACTTCATCTAAACCACAAAGCAGAAAAAAATTATGCAGATGTGCACAGCCAACATGGAAGTCCATTGATTTCTTGGGGCCAAATGTAATGAATTCTCATCACAAATTTTATGTTCATGAATGGGGAGAGAGACTAATAGTAATGAACACTGTCAAAGACCACATTTGACAAAATAGCATACAAGAGATTATAATATAATAATGTCATAATGCTGCAAATAAAGGAAAAACTAAGTTTAGTATCTGGCTCCCTCTGTGATATATGCAAAACTTTGAACAAGTTGCAGAAACACTATGCCTCAGTAGTCACAGAAGTATATTACCTATGTATTTATATAATCTAATATATTTTATAATATAAGGAATGTGTTTAATGCTATGACAAGGCATTAAGAATCTTTAAACCAGTGTGAATGAGTCAAGTCCTGCCTCCTGTTTCCTACCTCATTCCCCTCTCAGAGATTAGATACTCCTTCTAATCTTTTTTTTTTTTTTTTTGAGACAGAGGTCTCACTCTGTCACCTAGGTTGAAGTGCAATGGCACAGTCTCCGCTTACTGCAACCTCCATCTCCCAGGATCAAGCGATGGTCCCACCTCAGCCTCCTGAGTAGCTGGGACCATAGGCATGTGTGACCATGCCTGGTCAATTTTTTGTATTTTTGGTAGAGATGGGGTCTTGCCATGTTGTCCAGACTGGTCTCGAATTTCTGAGCTCAGGCAATCCACCCACCTCAGCATCCCAAAGTGCTGGGATTACAGGTGTGACCCACCATGCCTGGCCTACTTCTACTCTTAATGGTGCTGCAGAAGGGCAGAAGTATGTCTTTTGTAACTGCTCTTGCTGAGCTTATGGACATAGGCCCTGCCTAGTACCAGAAGAGTAAAAATCTCTGGTTACTTGATCTAAGGTGCCAAGAGGCAGGATGCTTTTATTCTCCAGGTCAGTAGATGGGATAGGTTAGAAGCATTGTGCCAGCATTATTTTTACCTGGAACTGTTGTAATTTAGAAGACGCAAACTTTATTAGGAGCTTAAACAAGCAAGGGCCAAAGATTAGTAACAATAAGATAGTTGTCAAAAGTGCTGAGAGAGTTAAAAACCAGGTGAGACTTGCAAAGGCATCTTTGATAGTTGGCCAGAGATAGTTGGGGGTCAGTGCCCTGGTTACATCTATGTAATCAGGTAGGTTACTCATAGCTATTTTGAATTTTTTTTTCTTTTATTTTTTGAGACAGAGTCTTGCTCTATCACCCAGGCTGGAGTGCAATGGCGCGATTTCGGCTTACTGCAAACTCTACCTCCCAGGTTCAAGTGATTATCCTGCCTCAGCCTCCTAAGTAGCTGGGATTACAGGTGCCTGCTCCCACACCCAGCTATTTTTTGTATTTTTTTTTTTTTTTTTTTTTTTTTTTTTTAGTAGAGACAGGGTTTCACCAGGTTGGTCAGGCTGGTCTCAAACTCCTGACCTCAGGTGATCCACCCACCTCAGGCTCCCAAAGTGCAAAGATTACAGTTATGAGCCACCATGCCCGGCCAGGTTTTTTAATGTTAATTTCAACTTGCTCAGAGTTGTTAATATATGTGCGGCAAGTTTTATTAACTGCACAGACTCCACCTTGTTCAACTAGTAAATAATCCAATGCTAGTTTGTGATTGAGGACTACATTTTCCAAAGAGTCTAAGGACTCTTAAATTCCCTTTAATGCCTGACCTGTGTTGGTGGCAAAGGTTTCCAGGGTTTGAGTCAATTTTCTTAGGGCTGACTCACGGAAGACAAAGCTACCCCAGGGTGCTGTTTGTCCTATCATGGTCCCAATTCCTGCCAGAATTAATCCTATTCCTTGCTTACTTCTGGTATAATTGAGTCTTATTAGGTTAGAGACCATGACCCCAGGAGGGGCAAGGGTGGCCAATATACATTCACCTCTGTTTCAGGTTTTTGATATATATGAGGAAGCTGGTCCTAAGACAAAAGGTGACTGGAATGGTTACAGGGTATGACTTCTTCCTATTCATTGCCACAAACAAAAATAAGCCCAGGTGTGGCACAAAAAGAAACCCTACAGGGCGTAATGTTTACCCTTTGCTGCCAAGTTGGGTCTGTAGAGATATTTTTCCCCTGTACCAATGGGGGTTCTCAGATAGTTTTTGTTTTCCAGGCGGGGGAAGTACTCCCACTTTCCCAGACTAGGCCATAGCCCCCAACAGACTGAATGAGTACCACACTCCTAGCTGAAAGGAATGAAGTTTGGCAGGCCCCAACCAGCCTCCAAACCCTTCTAAGCAATATAAGAGTGAAAAACCAAAAGCTAAAATTAAAGTTACACATAAAGAAAAACCAAGAGTAAACCATAGAATTAAGCTATATTGAAGGAAAACACTGCTCCCACAGACCTCTAAGACAAAACAGTGTAGCATTAGGCCACAATAGCAGTTACGATCAAGGAAGAAAAGACAGGAGCTGACAAAAATTGCTAAAAACAGAGAGTTAAATGAATCTGAGAAACTTGAAAAATATCAGAGGATTGGATTGAAAAGCAAAATTTCTGGTAATGTAGCAAATTAATACCTTGAGAAAATTTGATTCCGATATGGAGACCAGTTTTTAGAGTCGACTACAAACGATTTTCTTTAATCTTAGCAAGTTTAATTATACACAAAATTCCTTTCATAGATTCCCCTTATGAACCTCATCGTGACTTACACAGACCATCTACAACATGCTTGAACTTTCTGACTTGGCCTATACTACCTCTTTCTTAAATAAGCAGTCATTTTACTCTATGACAAAACTTTACTATATAATATCCCTCTTCATATAAGGTTACTCTTTCTTTATATCCTTCCTCGCAAAAAAAAATCAAAACAAACAAAAAAAACCCCTGCATTTTCTATCCATAACATTCTTTACATCTCTCTTTCTAACTCACTGGTTCTCTTATATTTTGAACTTCCCCTTTAATAACTTCTGAATTAGACAATTTTTCTCAATAAAGAATACATTTCTTTGGCACATTTTATATAAATCTAGGAAGCAAGAAATCCTGAACTGCCCACCAGATATTGTCATTCTATAGATGAAAAGTATTGCACAGTTAAGACTTTAAACCACACAGTAAACTCAATATTTAAGCATCTATTCCATTCGCATGTATTTAACTCTTTCGCTTTCAACAGTTTTATCTAGACTACCTCTAAGAACCAATATATCACACAAAGCTAGTCACCATTGAAAGCCATTTTAACCATTTTAAAGCCTATGAATATCAGTGATTTACCTAAGTAAAAATCTTAATGTTAAATTTAAGACATAACATTCTCTTCAAACCAATAAGCTCTGACTAGTTTTGTTTAATTTATGAGCACTTTTTTTTATCCATAAGCCAATTTGATAGTATGATAGACACGACACATATCACAATACCTGTATATACACCTAAACAAACACATGAAATAAAACTACCCATACAAGACAACTGGATTCAAGTTACTTACAAAATTGGGACTTATCTACCTGGCCAAATTGTGTTTGCCCCAATATGTATGGAAAAGAGGAGGAGGCAAAGAAGGGAATCCCATAGCATCAAATAACAAAGGTAGGGGGCAAATTGCATTGCTCAAGGTGAGAACCCAGAGTCCCCAAGCCACCAGAGAGCTCACTCAGCAGTGGGGAAACCAAAGAAAAATGTTCAGGCAGCTGCTTGTCTGCCACTGCAGTAAGCTGCTTGGGTCAAGGGTCCAAGACTCCCAGTAAAAATAAACAAGGCAGCTTATTGGAACTAGTGGAAGAAGGTTAGCACTAGTATTGATGGGGAGACTTTTTTTTTTTTTTTGCATCTCTTACTGGGGACAGTTAGGACTTTCTCATTGTCAATGGCCCTCTTGCTCATTGTAGGCACACTGATTCTGGCCCAGGGCTGGTGAGTTCAGGGCTCTTTTCTGGGCATCCCAGACACAGATTTTGTGACATTTTCTCAAGACAGGTAACCCCCAGAGGGAAGGGATTAAAGCAACTGTTAACAATTGCTCTTTTTGGGTATTTCTTTGGTTTCATTTTTTGTTTGTTTTCACCTTTTTTGCTTTTCGTCTATTGCAAACTTTAAAGGCTCTATTTAGGAGTTGGCTCATAGGGCTTTGAAGTCCCATTGCTGATTTTTGTGGCTTCCTCCTACTATCAGGGTCAGGTCGAGTAATAAAATGTACATTCAGGAGAACTTGCCCTTCTGGGGAGTCTGGGTCTGCATTAGCATATTACCTCAATGCCTCACCAAACATCCCTGAAACAAAGGGAGGTTTTCTTCTTTGCCCTTAGTTATTTCTCTAAACTTGTCATAATTCACTGGCTTAACCATACACTTTTTCCTCTACTTTTTTTCCCACAGCACAGCAAGTGGATGAAAATATTTGTAAGTCATGAGATATTAAATCAAAGAACATGGGCAACTTCACAAACTCCTCTATAAACTTTTCTGGATTCTCTGAACACTGTCCAGATTTTTCCTGGTATAAAGCCAAATTATACAAAGAAAATGGCATATGTAATCTAAGTGTTCCCTCACTTCCATTAGCTACCTCCCACCACGGATTTAGGTTTGACTTCAGGGGCTAATATGAGGCCATTCATGGTGGTACTTCTTGGGCTTAATTTCTTGGGCAGTGTGGGGCCTAGGCTGGGGATAGTTGGATAAGGGGGAGAGGTACCTAATGACCTTGGACTGGAATTCTTCTTCATTAGAGAACTGACGGGACCACTCCCTGATAATTGAAGGACTGAAGAGACCCTGGAGAGGGCACAGGCCTTCTATGGGGAGTAGCTTGGAGGGGATCCTTTAGGCATGGCTTTCTGAAAGTAACATGAGACGGTAAAGGGCCATCAAAACCTGTACATAAGGGACCTTCTCCCATTTGCCTTCTGTTTTACAAAGTAAGTCTAATAGTAAAATATCATTATAACATATAGAACTATTTTCAGGCCAAATCTGTTGGCTTTCTAATTTGTATTGAACCCAAATGGTGTTGCAATAGAAAATGAGTTTCTCCTCTATGCTGAATTTGAAATGGCTCCAATCACATAAAAGACACTCTATTGGTGAGAGGGTAATGGTATCAAAAAAGGATTCATGAGGAGTTTTAACTTTGTATGTAGTATTTTATGTTTTATGCTAGGGGTAAATACATTGATATTCAGCCAGTGATTCTTTTGTATGTCTCTAAAATTATTTTTACCGTATTTTTTTAATTGGAGAAAAGTTTTGGGGAGGTATATGGGCATACCAATGTTAGCTAGTGGGGATGTTTTAGAAGACCATAATGTAAGAACATTTTGTTATTCTTTCTTCTTTATAAATCACAGGTCTTGATAATAAGTCCTTGGAGATCACTCACTTAAGGGGGAGACAGGAATTTTTTTAGAGCTTGAGGAGCTAAGTAATTTTTGTTTCATACTGGAGGAAACATTGAGATATTATAAGTAAAAGAAGGAAAGGCAATAATAAAAAGGGGATGTAGATCACAATGCCCAGTGAACCAAGGAGACTAGAAGTTAGCCACTCACTTTTTTATGGGTTCGTTTGATATTAACATCCAAACTTAACATCTGAATACTGTAGCTGAAGAAGTTTACTATACAAGCAAATTTCATTACAATGAACGGAATCCGCTGAAGAATTCTACATAGCTACTATAGCCTCTAGTTATGAATAGAGATGGTGGCAACTGTGAACTCTTCCAAAAATGTTTCATCAATTAATGTACATACAAACAGATGGGTGAATGATTTGGTGGGTGAATAGAAATGCAACATTAGATGAGACATAGCTCAATATGTGGAGGTGTAGAAAAATAATGTTATATTTAATTAATTTTATTATATTTTATTTGTAAAAAAGAAAGCACAAAATTCAGAGAACATACTCTGTCTAAAAAGGTTATTTCTTAAGTTACTCTTTGCTTTAAAAGCTTCGTGAAGGTCTCCTACTTGTAAAAGATACCATGCTGGCAGATATGTTTTACTAATCTGTTCTAACTATGTGATTACAAAATACCATTCAGCCCAGTAAATTTGCATTTGCCTTATTAATATGGCCAATGCCAGACTTTGTTCATGGGCATCTCACACTCCCTTTGCTGTTTCCTAAGGACCAGACTTAGAATACGGGGATCTATTTTAAAAGATATAATTGAAAACTACTTTCTGATATTAATTTCTATAAAATTTAATGCTACACATGAAAGCAGTATAAGAAAAATATATTCTTTCTTTTGTGTTGTTTCTGTTTTACAATTAACTATTATACACACACATACATACACAATCTAATTTCCTTAAGTCTTTTTTTTTCCTACTCCCAGCTAAAGTTAAATTTTGAATACATCCTTAACAATGAATTACACACATAAAATCACGAAGTAAAATTAAGAGTAAACAAGAAAAACTTAATTACATATTAGGTAGAATCAGAGCAAAATAAAAATAATTATTCTCTGTTCTGAAGTTCAGGCTAATGTGACATTTGTAGAGCAGAAAGGGAATGAATTCCAGTGATAATTATTCTCCTTTTAAGTCATTAAATTCAAGTTCTAAGGATAAAATACAGTAATTTTTATCTTAGTGTTTTTAAATGAAGAAAGAAAATCTTGAGCTAATTTCCTAAGTGTACAAACAGGGAGAAAGTCACAAAGGAAGCTCAGAGTACTATATTCACTTAGAAATAGAGACAGGGCCACCCAAGGACCTCAACCTTCACCCCCACCACCCCATCCCCCTGGACTTGATGATCGGGTAGTTAAGCAAGGTGAAGAGAAGAAATTTTGCACACAGTGAGTGGCAGATTTAAATAGGGGAAGTGTTAGATACGATTTGGCAAAATATCATTAATTTGTCACACACCTTACATGTAATATTGCCATATTACAGTTGAACAAATTGAATTCTGAATATTACCTACTAATTCAATGTTCATTAGGCAGCAAAAGTTTGTCTTATTTATTTATGTAATCACTTTTGAAGGCACATATACATTAACTCAACATTTAAGGAGAAATCTGCTTTTACTAGTTGTCTCTAATAATATACGGAGGTTTGGGAACAGACCAGGAACAGCCCTGCTGTAATTGAAAGAAGTATGTCAGTGAAGATAACATAAACTTTGACAGTAAGAATTGTGGTCAAAACACTTTGGCCAAATTTTCTTCTTATGGGCCCTTGCCCTACCTCTCCTAATTGTCCTGAGTTTTTTAACCATCACTGACTCCCTCGAATTCTCCCACCAATAAAAAAATAGAAGTTGCATGAAAAACATGAGATATTGAGCTAAGAATCAAAGTTTTGAAAAAGTTTTAGTAATCACTAAACCATTCACCTTGTTGAAGCAGTAGATAAAAGATACAGTCCAAGGAGATAAGAGTATTTGAGTGATTCAGAAACCAATAAAGAAGGAATAACAAAATCCTGAAATAAAAATAGTACAGTCAGTGAGAGGGAAGAAATACCCGGATAAATAACCCATTTATGGGATTGTTCGCCAACCTAATCAATTATCAATGAAATTCATACATGAGAACCTTCAAAACTAGCTCTGTTTCTGCGCAGTTTCTGTGAGCAATGCTAAGTAAATTGTTATATTTTATTTCCTTAATAAATTGGAAATGATACCATTGGTGTTCAGATATTATAAAAATGTGTAATATATGTTCTCCTACTCTCATTTTAAAAATATTTCATGTTTGAAGAATTTTATAAAACCTTCTGTTAGAATATAAGAAATTCACATTTGTGCTTCAGATTCTGTTATGGTTTGGAATAAAGGATAACCACTTTCAAATCTTCCAAGCTTAAATTAAATTACCCTAAAATTATCCAGGATTGTGGTGTTCATAGCATAGAAATATGTTGACTAATAAAATAGCCACCAGCCATATGTAGCTGGTAAGCACTTTAACAGTGTCTGGTTTAAATTGAAACGTGCTATAAGTGTAAAACACACACCAGATCTCAAAAACTTAATATAAAAAAGAAGAATAAAAATGTATTTATTGGCCGGGCGCGGTGGCTCACGCCTGTAATCCCAGCACTTTGGGAGGCCGAGGCGGGCGGATCACGAGGTCAGGAGATCGAGACCATCCCGGCTAAAACGGTGAAACCCCGTCTCTACTAAAAATACAAAAAATTAGCCGGGCGTAGTGGCAGGCGCCTGTAGTCCCAGCTACTTGGGAGGCTGAGGCAGGAGAATGGCGTGAACCCGGGAGGCGGAGCTTGCAGTGAGCCGAGATCCCGCCACTGCACTCCAGCCTGGGCGACAGAGCGAGACTCCTGTCTCAAAAAAAAAAAAAAAAAAAAATGTATTTATTAACTACCTCTGTTATTACAGAAGTAATGTTTTGGATATATTGGACTAAATAGAAATATTACAGTTAATTTCACCTTTTTTTTAAACATGGCTACTAGAAAATACAAAATTGCATATTTGGCTCATATTTGTGGCCAACATTGTAATTCTGATGAGCAGCACTGTATAGAGAATATTCAAGTGTCATAAGATAAGCACTGTCACTGGTTTGTTTACTGCTGTATCCCATGGAAACGTAACTTTGCATGGAACATAAAATTCATTAAATAGTTGTTAAATGAATAACAAGAGTCAAGATGTTTTGGGCCTGCCTGCCATATGATCCTGAAAAGTTCTTAAAAGCATTATAGAGAGGATTAATAAAAAAAAATTAAGTGAATCAAATGACTATTACTCCAGAAAATGCTTCACAATGAAAAGGCACTCATGTTGTTACTGTTTTACTTTAAACATTTGGTATACAAACCTTCTTAAGATCAAAATACTATGGTAAAAAACTGTGTGATCAAAAAGTACAGTCAGAATATTCTGGATTTCAACAGTGTGATAATTTTTAACAAATAATATTTTGTTCCACTGTTAAATTGTGCTTAATTTCACAAAAATATATTTTAATTTGAGATTTTATTGCAAATACATTATAAACAACACACTAGAACTGATAAAAATAGATGTGAAAATACAATTTCTGATGGCAAAATATAATAAGTAGATGATAATAAATACAGTCTGAAATGAAATTCGGTGGTATCAAAGGGAACATCTATTATCATACAATAGTTTATGCTTAAATCATGCATACTTCAAAATTCTCTTCAAATGATGCATTATAAAGATTATTGTGATGGGAGTTTAACCAAGTATTAGACAATGGCAAATTTCTTTGCTATATAAGGTAATGTAACTAAGGTTTCCTTCTATTAAATTCACACTTTTTAAAAATATAGCAGGCAAAGACTGTCAGGTTCAAGCATTAAGTATTTATTTACTTATAAAATGCACACACTGTGAGGTCTAATGAAAAAATAACATAACCCAGCATTCAAATGCTCATAGTAGGCATCAGAGGAAGGTAAATATTAATTCAGCTTAAGTACTTCTTTGTGCATTGCTCTTTATTGACATAGAAAACACAGATAATCTAAAATTATCTTCTATATAGAGATATAAAAATTGAGAGACTATATAAAGTGCCCTCTCTTTTCAAAAGTGGACCTTAAACACACAACAGTGAAAGTACTGTATGCCAAATGAACACAGGAGCCAACTGTGAAAGAGCTCCCAATGCCCAAAGCTGGAATAATTTGAGCCAAAAAATAAATCATGGCTAGTATGGGAATATAAGCCAAAATATGAAATAAATATCCATGAGTTCATACTAATATAAATAGACAATTGAATAAGTAAATAAATAAATAAATAGCAGATAATAGACAAATCTTCCATGAAGAGTTCCAAAATTAAAAGTATGTGTATACTCCTAGTTCAAGAAGATGGCATATAGCCCCAACTTCTTGACTACAGGATGCCACAGTGACTTCATTTCAAAGAGGAGAATAGAGAAAGGCCAAAAAGAGTACCTTTAGAGGGGAGAAAACTGACAAATAATTCCACAGCCAGACAATCATGGCCCACATAACCAGTGATAAATCATATTTATAGTACATATGTTTGATAATGATATGATAAGAATGTCACTTTATGGCATTCCTTCCAAAAATCCATCATGCCAGTCTAATCATGAGAAAAACACCAGGCAAAATCCATAAGACGTTCTACATTCTTCAAAATACCTGACCATGCTCTTCTAAATTGTCAAGTTCATTTAAAAAAAAAGAAAAAAAGAAAGGCTGGGAAACAGTCACAGTTTCAAGGAGCCTAAGGAGGCATGCAGACTACATGAAGTATGGAATCCTGAATGGGATCCTTCGATAGGAAAGAGACTTTAGGCGAAAATTAAGGAAATTCGAATCAAATATGAACTGTAGTTCATAATAATGCATCAATATTGGTCCATTATATGTGACAGTTGTGCCATACTAATGTGAGATGTTAACAGTAAGGAAAACTGTATATGAAATATATGTGACCTTTCTCACCACGTTTCCGTGAATCTGAAACCATTTCAAAATAAAAAGGTTATTTTTATTTTATGTTATTTTATTTTGGGACAGGATCTCACTCTGTTGCCCAGGCTTAAATGCAGTGGTGCATCTGTGGCTCACCACAGCCTCAGTCTCCTAGGCTCAAGCAATCCTCCCACCTCAGCCTCCAGAGTAGCTGTGACTACAGGCATGTAGCAATGTAGCACTCAGATAATGTTCTAAATTTTTTTTTTTTTTTTTTTTTTTTTTTTTTTTTTTTTTTTTTTTTTGTAGAGAAGAGGTCTTACTATGTTGGCCAGGCTGGTCTTGAACTCTCGGGCTCAAACAATCCTGTCTCGGCATCCCAAAGTGCTGGTATTACAGGCGTGAAAGCAGTAGCACTCAGCCTGAAAAGATTATTTTTGAAAAGATGAAATGGCTATCTATTCTTCACCATCACTTGGCATGTAGTAAAGGCAAGAAGCAAAGAAAACAACCTGAGGTGTTAAGGAGTCCATGTATACAACAATTATTTCTCATGTACATTTGTAAAATGGGGGTAATAATGTTACTGTCCTCAGACGCTTGGAAAACTGAGTTGTATTAGCATGGGCAAAACCCTTATAATTGTACATAACTTATATAGAATGGACTCAAAATTATTTTTATCAATATGATTATTGGTAGTAGCAATATTATTACTCTTCCACTATTTCCCAAAAAGCTGGCATTTGCTATAAATATTTGAGGCAATTTTCTCAATAAGAACACAATGTTAGAGTTATCACTCATTAACTGATTTTGTCAGAAGGAAGGTCTTATGAGCAAAGTTAGAAGGCTGTCAAAAGTCTGAGGTGGATATAGTTATTATAATATACATGATTATCTTATTAATGATCATTTGAAACCTAAAAATAAGGTGACAGTAGAGAAAAGGGCAAGTAAATTTGTAAATTTGGGGTTCTGGCAAAGTTCACTTCCATGTGATCATTATTTTTTAATGTTCTTGAGCTCCCAATATGAAGTGCTAGATTCTGAAGAGGACATAATGATGAGTATAAAGATGTAGTCATTCCACAAGGAGAACTTTATTATTGGTGCACTAAGCAGTGGTCCACAAAATCACAACTTTCCAGCACTAAAAATTCAAAACATATATGCTATCCAATATCTCTGGTCAATAATGTACATTTGGAATACTTAGGAATTGGAAAATGCCCTTTCCAGGATTTTTCATAGCTTGAGTGCTTTATATTTAATATCTATGCAATGGACCTCTGTCCACGAGGTTGTGGTAAGGTTATACATATCTTAATCTGTTTGCTTAGGAGCTATTTTTTATCCTTCCTTCTTCCCTTCTTCTTCATGTATCTGAAGATCCAGCTGTGGACCTGTATCAGCTGATATCAGCTCCTTCTTCCCTTTTCTTACCTTTGCAGGCTTGACTTCCTCAATGCATTTGTTCTATTGTTACCAAAACACCAGGGGTTACTCAATAGAAAGCCAATCACTGAGACAACAAGTATTGCCAGGGAAGAAGGTTGTATTCAGGTGCTGCAGCTGAGCAGATGGGAGATCAGTCTCAAATACATGTCAGCTGGTTAAAATTTTGGGTTTATATAGCAATCAGGTATGGGAAAAAAGGAATTAGGTAAGGGCAAGGTAGAGGAGTTGGTCTATAGGAAGCAGCTCGTCAGTTAAGCAACCATGATGCCTAAGGGGTCTGCGTCTCATTTTCCAGATGCAATAATCTGGTAAGTTTCAATTCCTTGATACTATCTGGAAGGCCTTATGGTTGGTTTCCTGAGAAGAGAACTCACATAAGACAAGTGTAACTTTCATAAATTTTAAGATTGGAAATTTTCTATGTTTATTCAAAAGAAATCATAAACGTGGTTTTATGGGACAATTAGGCCAGTTTTACTATCACTATACTCAGTTTCAAAACCCTAAAAAGAATGTGGGAGTTTATATGTATGTGATGGAATTTAGAGCCAATTACTTACCAGTAATTAACAGCAGACTGCCAACTACCATCAGTTCATCCTTGCTTACAGTTCATTGTAAAGTTTACACTATAAAATTCTCCTGCCTCTACTTCTCCATAATGACAGCTGTGGGAGAGGTTCATAAGACATTTGAGAAAATCCCCTAGAAATGAATATTTTCCATTTCCATCAGGTCTGACAATGCTGCTTGGCAATACTTCTAAACAAATTGTTATTCCCTGCCAACCTGCCTATTCCAACTCTTTCCCACTTATTGCATAAACCCCTCATTCTCTATAGAGGGTATTTCACCCACTTCTCTACACAAAAATCTTTAGCTTTTTTCTCTCTGAATTCTTTCTAGCTTCCTTCTCATCTCAAAGGATGCAGTTTCCCTCCTTCTTGTGCGTTTTTCCTCTTCTGCTTTTGATTTCATGCTCCCTGCCTAGTTCATCAGCTATCCTTTTTGTTTTGGCATTCTCATATGCCTCTACTAAATTACACACATT
Organism: Homo sapiens; assembly: GCF_000001405.40. NCBI lineage: Eukaryota > Metazoa > Chordata > Mammalia > Primates > Hominidae > Homo > Homo sapiens. The sequence continues at coordinate 35,596,426 of NC_000002.12, forward strand.
TAAATACAAAATACACACCGAAATATATACCTGACTACAGCATACATTCCTATGTAAACACTATGTAACAGAGCCACTGACTTCATTATCAGCAGGATGTGGCATTGTAGAATTATTAATCTAGTATACAAAACAATTCCTAATTTAAATTTTTTTAACTGAAAATTTATGGCAAAGTCACCAAAAGAGGAGCATCTTTACAAGACATAGTGCTGCTTCTCTAAAAGTCTCTTCATCCAATTTCATTCTCAATGCTTCACAAACTACAGCTGAGTTTTCACTCTCAATGCCTCACAAACTACAGCTGTCTCCAATCAATCCCATACAATTCCTAGTTTCTAAAAACACTCTCAAAAATCCACTTGAGTAGGCTTTTATCTTTTTCAACTGTCACTCTTGCTCAGGTCTTTATTTAATATATTTTATCCTTTTTATATCTTACAATATCTCTATTTCCCCATTATGTAGGTTCTATAGAAGTCAGAGAAGTTAGTAAGTTAAAGGAAAAGCAAGAATCCTCTCATTCTGGAAAGGTAGGGTTCTGGGAAAAAGATAACAAAATTTATAACATAGTGAGATTTTTATTTTACATCGTAACTTTTTTTTATTTTATATATATATATATTTTTTATTATACTTTAAGTTCTAGGGTACCTGTGCACAACGTGGTTTGTTACATATGTATACATGTGACATGTTAGTGTGCTGCACCCATTAGCTCGTCATTTACATTAGGTTTATCTCCTAATGCTATCCCTCCCCCCTCCCCCCACCCCACAACAGGCCCTGGTATGTGATGTCCCCCTTCCTGTGTCCAAGTGTTCTCACTGTTCAATTCCCACCTATGAGTGAGAACATGCAGTGTTTGGTTTTTTGTCCTTGTGATAGTTTGCTGAGAATGAGACACATGCACACGTATGTTTATTGCAGTACATCGTAACTTTTAAATGCCCTGTCTTTGAATCAGTAAGTTCCTAAACATTTAATCCAATTTTTTTCTCACTAATTAGAAATATGCTTATATATTTGCCTTATAATAAATGAATTGTTTATGCATTACCAACTCATCACTTAATTCAGTGCACTTAGTCCCTCAACTCTGTTAAGATGCTGCTTTTGAAATTCACTAATGACCTCTTAGGAATCAAACCAACAACTTCCTTTCAGATCATAATCCACTTGATCTATATTCATTTTTTGATCTTGATAGCAGATTTATCTATAAAATTCTTATCTTCCATTGACTTTTGATCTACAATTGTCCTCTGACCTGGCTCCCCTCCATTCTCTCACCTTCTGAACAAGGGCACTCTCCATTGTCTTGTCAGCTATCCTTTTCTTTTGCCATCTTTCTGAGCACCCTCCCCAGTTGGCATACTTTCATTATAACCTCCACATGCATTTCTCAATACTCAGCCTTTGCTGATGTTCAGCCGGACTGCCTGGCTTTCTTGGAGCATACACTAAGCCTTTAAATGTTATTCCCACACACTTCCCTTCTATTTTACAAGCCTAACTTTGATCTCACTCTCTCCTCTACCCATGAGACTTTTTTTTATTATACAAACAAGATGAAATGTCTATCTCCTCTGACACCACATGGTACTTTATCTATACTTCTGTCTCATACTAATATAAATACCTGTGCACTATAACAACCATGATATTTTGCACATTATAGGCACTCAACTTGGTGACAGTAAAATAAAAATAGGGATGAGCAGAGGATAATACAAATAAGTGGTACAGAAGAGGACAGAAGTCAAAGGAAAAGGGCTGACACATAATATTGGTAATACTAAAAGCTAAAAGAAGTATCAGACATGTGGAAAGTGCTCTGCATTTTACCAAAATGTGAAAAGAGTAAGAGGAAGGCTGTCCTCTACTTGAGAGAATTGTTTTTGGGAAATAGTTTCAGGAGAAAATGAGAAGTTATAATTTATTGAGGGTAGTAGTGATGGCAGGGTCAGCCTATGTGGAGCCACCACTGCCATGATGCTGGCTGCAGTGGGGGAGGTGCACTGCATGGGAGTGGGGCAGCATGCTCCATAAGGCCAGTGGGAGCCAGGAGCAGGCAGGAGCCCTGCCCTCCAGGTCACAGCTGCATTTGCCCAAGCCCTAACTGCAGACCCAGGTATCCCTGTGCTCTTGGGGGCCAGGAGCTAGCAGGAGCCCCACCCTCCCAGGCAGAGCTGCAGACACCCAAGCTTCCCAAACCACTGCTGTGGACCTGGGCATCCCTGTGCTCTTGGGTTCGGGAGCCAGCAGGAATCCTGCCCTCCCAGGCACAGCTGTAGCTGCCCAAGCCTCAGCTGCAGACCCAGGTATCTATACATTGTAAGGGACCCAGGAAGGCCCCCCTCTTCCCCTGCAAGCTCGGAAATGCCTGCTCCCACTGTCTGGCCTGTCCCCACTTGTGGTACCTGCTCTGATCTCTGAGCAAATTTGAGGCCGAGCCCAGGTGCTGTAGCAACCCAGATGGGTGTGTGCATGCTTGGGGAAGTGTTGACTCTGGACTTTGGGCACTGACAAGCATGGGAGGTGGGGGTGGGGGTGCTGAGGGCAGCTCCATGCTGGCCTGCTGTCACCCCTCAGCCTGAACAGCCTGGTTACTATGAAGAGAGGCAGGAGGCAGACAGACTCTGCTGCAAAAAGGGATGGGTCCTCGATGAAGACCCGCCTTCAAGCCAGGAAAGAACTGAAGCCTGGGGACCGGGCTGTAAGTCCCATGAACAGGAGTGAGAAATTATGGTACTTACTCTGGGGCTGCCCATGGCTGCTGATGGACCAATCAGCACACACTTCCTTCCTTCTGAAGCCCATAAAAACCCTGGACTCAGCCAGACTGGAGGAGATGACAAGACAATCATCTGCAAAAAGGAGCTACCCACTCCAGGGTCTCCTCTCTGCTGAGAGCTGAGCAGAGACAGGATGACCAGCTGCAGAGAGGAGCTACCCACTCCATGGTCTACTCTCTGCTGAAAGCTGAGCAGATGTTGGGACTACCAGTTGTAGAGAAGAGCTACCTACTCCAGGGTCTCATCTCTGCTGAGAGCTAAACACTTATTAAGACACCCTACCTGCAGAAAGGAGCTAATTAATTTGGGTCTCCCCTGAACTGTTCTTTTGCTCAATAAATTTCTTCACCTTGCTCACCCCCAACTTGTCTGTGTACCTCATTCTTCCTAGATGCAGGACCAGGACTCAGGACCTGCTGAATGGTGGGGCTAAAAGAGCTGTAACACAAATAGAGCTGAAACATGCCCTTTGTTTGCCACGTTGTGGGCAAGAAGAAGGAGAGAGAAAAGGAGAGAAGAGCTGTGGCCCTTCAGGGAGCCCAGACCTAGAAGCTCCCCAAGCCAAGACTATGACACTCTCTTTGGTGTTCTGCAGTTTCTGGCATCTCCAAGCTTCTGGGCATCACTGCATTTCCTGGTACCAGCCATGAAAGCTGCTTGCAGTATGCCTGGTCCAGATGCAACTCACAGGGAGCTGGTGCCCAGGCCAGTGCCTAAAGCTGCCTGCCTTCTGCCACCAGCATGCGTAGCTGTGCACAGGGGCTGGACCCCATGCTCACTAGCTCACACACCACTTGCCACTCCACTTGGCCTAGGTGGGCATGGGATCTAGGCCAGTAGCATGAGCTGAGTGCAGCTGAGTGGGCAGAATGAGCCCAGTGCACCTGAGCAAAACTTGGGCAAAGGCGCCTCTGCCCACAGAGGTTTCCAGCTGGAAAGGAATCACTCCAAGGATCCTGTGACAGTAGTAGTGGGAAGACAAGGAAGAAATAAAGCAATATGACTTTGGAAATGGCATAAATTGCTAGAATGGAAGAAGATTTTACATTGGGGAAACCACGAAATAAAATTATGTGGATGAGAGAAAGCAAAAAATAAAATTGTAAATAAAGATGGGGGAGGGGTGCTAAACAGAAAGAGAATCTTGAGAAGAAATTCATAAAGGTGTACTCAACTCTCAGAAGAAACAGGAGGAGGAGTGAAGGGGGCTGGCTAAAGAGGATGGTATTTCAGTGCTCAGAGAAGTTGAACCAGTTTTTCCCCTTTCTTTTCAGGTGTTGGTTTCACCTGTTGTTTTCAACTGTGCTACGGATCCTCAGGGGAAGTTTCCAGATAAATTTCTCCTGATGGGCTGCCAGTGGGTCAGGTTTACATCCTGCTTTATCTGTAGCAGAACAGATAATGAATTTTGAAAAGTGGAAAATATTTTCTTCTTGTTAAGGAAGCTGTACCTATCCCAGTTGGAAACATAGCTATGGGCAAGAGCCAGAGAATTCTCAGGTGCACACAGATCTTGCCCTCCTTTCCATACCTCAGAAGTTCAATTACCAGCATCCTTTCAGCTGCAACCAGAATTTAACTCAATGGTTATCTGGAATGAGATAGAACAAATGATACCTTAAGAGATACAAGTGTTTTATACAATGAGTAAAAAAGTCTATGATAAGCACATTAAAACATGTTTATTATGCAGCAGAACAAATAAGCAAATATCTCTTAGAGTACAGTTTTTCAAAATCAAAGGTATACCAGAATCATTACATTGTCCTGGTATAGCTCTGGCAGGATATGGGGTATGTTTGCACACAGTGTATGGATGTAGGACTGTGTGATGTTTGTGGGGAATATTTGTAATTTGAAAGTAGGTTTCCCCAAAGAGTCTACTGTTTACAAACCTTGCTTTAACAATCACTCTCCTAGAGGAAGGGAATATTTTCAGAGAACAAGTGGAACTGGGCACACAAGGGCAGCATTTGTCTTTGACACATGCACAAAGTGCCCATATTGTATTCATGAAATTGGTATTTTATCAAATATTTTTAGAAGGGTTGCATATTACAAATTCTGCAAAGTATCTTTCAGAAAAATCCTTTTCAAGTATCTTTTCTGGAGCACCAGCTCAACTCCTCTTCTCTTTTTCGAATTGTAACTGTGAGTCATCAAGACTTTCACTCTCTATAAGAAATTCATCAACCCAATCTTGCTATCCCCTTTCTATTCAGAGCTATTTAGTTGTCTCACTGCTTCTTCATCTTGGCTCAGGTCTTTTCTAATGAGAAGTCAAGTAAATGAAATATATGTATATGCCCATGTCAGATTCTGCCTTGTCCCTTTGTGCCTCCTTCTGTCTCTAATAAGGCATACTCTCTGTAGTTTCATGACTGGCCACCCTCTGAGATTACTTCTGACCTTGGACTCAAAACCCTACGATTATTATTAACTGCATGTTTAGCTGCTGAAATACAACTATTCTGGTTACGCAGACCACTTGAGAACCAGTGTCTAGTCACTCAAGATCTTGCAAATTTTTCTCACAACTCCTGCTCTGTCCTCTCTGATTTCCCTGGCCTTAGAGTTTCCTATCCACCAGATCCTGTATGCACTGACCTGCCTGGGTTGCCAGGTTTTGAATTGACCCTCTCTCACATGCATTGTTATTGGTAACAAGCATGTTCATCTTGTCTAATTGCCTCCTAATGCTAACAATTTTTGCTTGCCTTCTCCTGTTGTTGCCACTGTTAGCTATCACACAGTCATTCATGGAATCATCCCTCAGTATCCAGTGGGGATTATTTCCAGGACCTGTCTCATACCAAAATCTGTAGATCCTCAAATCCCTTATTAAATGGCATGGTATTTACATAAACTTATGCACATCCTCCTGCATACTCTAAATCATTTATAGATTACTGTTGACACCTAATACAATGCAAATTATATGCAAATAGTAGATATACTCTATTAGATTTTTTTGTAATTCCTATTCATTTTTGTCATATTGTTATTTTTTATTATTTTTAAAACTATTTTCAATTCATGGTTTGTTGAGTCTGTGGATACAGAACATGCAGATACAAAGGGCTGGTGGGATGACTGTCTACTTGACACTGAACTCTCAGGAATTCAGTCATTGACCAATCTTTTTAATTGTAGTGTGACTTTAACTTCAAATTTTGACTTTTAAAATTAAAGAGGCTTAAAGATTTTGCAGCCCTTCCATCTTTTTGTCCAAGAGATTAGAACACTCAGGTATAACAAATATTTGGCATAGCTGGAAATACAATTAGAGATTTCTAACATCCAACACAGTGCTTTTTGTTTTTGTTTTTGTTTTTGTTTTGTCTCACTCTTGTTTGCCCAGGCTGGAGTGCAATGGCATGATCTCAGCTCACTGCAACCTCCGCCTCCTGGGTTCAAGCAATTCTCCTGCTTCAGCCCAAGCCAGTGCTCATGCCACTGAATCATGCTTCTCTTTGTCAAGTATCTTGAAAAAGTCACTTAACCTCTTGTGGCTTTATTTTTTTCATCTTTATAATATAAATAGCTTCCAAGGTCTCTCTTGAATTACGTTTTATAATTCAGTACTGTATCAATAGCACAAATCTTTTACATTTCTACATATATATAGAGATTGGTTTGATGAACAAGTGAAATATTTGTTTTATTTTAAAAAATTTATGGAGAGGCCGGCAACAATGGATCACACCTGTAATCCTAGCACTTTGGGAGGCCGAGGCAGGAGGATCACCTGAAGTCAGGAGTTCGAGACCAGCCTGGCTAATATGGCAAAACCCCATCTCTACCAAAAATACAAAAATTAGCTGGGCATGTTGGCACACACCTGTAATCCCAGCTACTCAGTAGGTTGAAGCAGGAGAATCACTTGAACTCTGGAGGTGGAGGTTGCAGTGAGCCAAGTTTGAGCCAGTGCACTCCAGCCTGGGCAATAGAGTGATAATCCATCTCAAAAACGAAAAAGACAACAAAAAAAAATTATGGAGAGTTAACAGCATATTTATTTCAAAATATTTCTGCAAAAAAACTTAAGGTGAAAATAAATTTAATCAATGTCTTTTGGTGATTATTGAAAGGTTTAGATAGAATTTCAACATCTCTTTTTATTAATATTTTAGGAAAATTAACATTCACCAATGAATATTAGCATCTAATGAAGTAAATAAATTTATTTTTATGGCAAGGCCTTTTTAGTGATAAATTGGCACTATTGCACCAAAATTTCAAATTATTATTATTTTTGTTTTGAGACAGAGTCTCACTCTGTCACCCAGGCTGGAGTGTAGTGGCGCTATCTCGGCTCACTGCAAGCTCTGCCTCCTGGGTTCACGCCATTCTCCTGCCTCAGCCTCCTGAATAGCTGGGACTACAGGTGCCCGCCACCACGCCCAGCTAATTTTTTTTGTATTTTTAGTAGAGACGAGGTTTCACCGTGTTAGCCAGAATGGTCTCGATCTCCTGACCTCGTGATCTGCCCACCTCGGCCTCCCAAAGTGCTGAGATTACAGGCAATTTCAAATAATTTTAATGTAAACAACAAAACCGGGAACATCAAACCATCATGAGCTTATGGATGCGACTTTGCAAGGCTATCTAGAGTAACCGGGGTGGGCTTCTTGCCCTTTGTGAGCTTAAAATTTAAAGTGGTCATATAAATGCGACATGATTATAAGTAAATGGCATAAAGAAAACAGAACCTAATTAGGACAAGTTCCATTACACTAAATAACATTACCATGAATGATTTATATGCCACAAATACTAGCTTATTTATTTCAACTATTACTTAATAATAAAGTTTACCTTGCTTGGGAAGAGAAGGATCATATACTAGCTAGAGATAATTGCTTAAGTTTCTAATGCTCTTTCCTGGTTGGCAGAATTTGGAAATGGCAGGGAAGGAGAAAGCAGAGAGATTTCAGAATCTCTTCAGACACCACTGCACAAAAAGAGTGTGGTAGTGTGAAACTATTTGCAGTGGGTTATAGAGGAAATTCTCAGAGATAACTAAAAAGAAAAAAGACATAGAAAGAATGAAGACCAGGAATAAGACAGTAGTGTCCTCTGAATTATATTGGTCTACATGTATGATGAGAACACTAATATTATATGGTGCAAGTTAAGCTGGTTTTTCAGAATATTAATAAAACACTAAAGACTTGAGGAATGGTTCTGTTTCAGTTGCATCCCAACCTACTTGCCCCCATCAAGTGTCCAGATTTCAAACATTATCATCTCAGGACATGGTCACAGAATAAGAGTTATTAAATTCATCATTTCAGAAGTGTGGTAATTCTAGATGACAATAGCATTCAGGAAGTGTTCGTGGGACAGGATGGTTCAGAATGAATTGGCCTGCAGATCACTGCAGGTAAGAACATATTCTTTGCTAGACATGTATGAAACAGCTCAATGTCATTACATGAAACTAAGAAAGAATAAAGGCAAAAAATAACCCTGGGGCATATCAATCTAAAAAGGCAGAAAACGTTGGCATGACTCCAGAATCTGATGTTTCTCTCTCTGGGGCTTTCTCTTAAGACTCTGTTGCCCATCAGAACACCTACTCTTTTACCACTGTTTCTTACATGTCTGATTTTCTGCTAGATTATAAGCTATTTAGAGGTGGAGATATTGTCTTTTCATATTCTTATTGACAGTGAAGTTTCCAATAGACAGGAGTCTATCAATGACCATGTTGGCTTCTACGTCCCAGTGCCTCTCAAATCCATCTTTAGTGTAGATGCTTTGGTGATGTGCTTTGGAGCCACATCATCTTGGGCCCAAAGTATAATACCCTCCACACTCATCCCTCTCAAATCCATTTTCTCTTCTCCTAGAAGGGTAATTTTTTTAAGAACAAATATTATCACTTTGCTCCTCTCCTTAAAACCCTAGAGAGCTCCCCTCTTCCTACAAGAAAAATTCCAAGTTCCTTGGGATAAAATTGACACGTTTTCAAGTCAACTCTCATAGCTTTAAACACTGCCTCTTTCCTCATTTATGTATTCTTCCCATGCAGAATTGCCGTATTCACTTACCATATGCATAATTATGCTCCAAGATAATTCTCTACACTGTCCTTTAAAATGATACTTCCTTCTAGCTTTTATAATATTTACAAACCTCTATTTGTACCATTTTGGCATTTTATTTGTAACTAGTAAGTGACAAATATTGTTAGTGAACAGGAATCCTCTCTTTCTGGGCTTATGGTACAATGTACTTCCCCATATCTTTGATGTAGGTATGAACCTTGTGACTTGAAACGCACAGTGAACCCTTGGAGGAAGTGACCTAGGCAGAGGCATTAAATTGCCCGTGCCCAACTCTCCATTTTCTCTCTTTTCTTTGTTGAGGTAATAGTGGAATCACAGTTTGATAAAGAATTGCAATCCTGAGCCACCTCATGGAGGACAGATGCCCTAGAGAGTAAGCCCAGGCCTTTGGCAGAGTGCATCTCAACCGCTTAAATTTGGAAATTGGTTTTTTACTAGAACCTCTTGAATGGAACCGTTAGTTTACATTTCTTTTCTCTACACTGCAGTGTCAAATTATTGAGAGCAACTACTGTGCTCACAATGTTTTGTACAAAGGAAAAAAAAAATAGGGAAATCAACTGAATGATATAATTGCCTAAGTGTGGCTAACGGGCATTTATCCTCTGTTTTTCTTCATTGGCTGCAAAACTCCCGCAGTTTTCGTCTCCTCTGTCCCCACTTGTTCCTGATGTGAAGGCAGCCTGACCAAAACCAAGGCAAAATCCACAGTTCTTCATTTCCTGAGTTGCTACTTTAGGGTATTATGTGTTATAAAATGAGGTATATGAGGAACCAATTCCACAAGAATGACTGTAGCAATATATATGCATCTTGAAAAGAAAAAAAGGTAAAATTGAATTCATTTTCCATGAAAATTTCATGGACAACTACTGAGAAAAAAAGCAATTTCTGGCAGAACCATTTTAAAGGCAAAAAGCTGTAGGTGCAAATAATCCAAATAGCAAATGGATTTGCTCTCTCATCTTGAAGGTAAATTTCATGTTTTCAGCACTAAAAATTTATTAGTACAATTTTTTCCCCTCTTCCTTAGCTCAAGTGGACACCAGTAAACCTTTGCATAAAGTTTTGGACTACTGCCAATGCACATACATCTTTGCTTCCCTCTCTCCTGATTCTGTTCAGCTCGGGATTCTTTGCATAGGGAGTTTGGGATTCCTCTCTCAAGCCACTTTCAAGGGTGGAATTTATTTACCTAGTGATGGTAATTGGGCCTTGGTGGTCTTGTTTATAACCCTTAAATTCCAGTCATCAATCTACACCTCATTTAGAAGCCTTGTCTACTGTATTTTGGCAATTTGCCAATGACTAAAATGCACAGTAAAAATTTCTACATGTGAAAATGAGAAAAAGCAGTCTTGAATTAAGTTGTCAATCCTAAAGCACATTCTAATTTGCTCTGAAACCTTAATTTAAAAATCACAGAGTTGACTTTTCTTCACCTATAAAGTAAAACTTTATCTGACGAATATTTTTCCTAATGGGATAGAGATATCAAAACTTAAAAACAATCAGCAATTATTTCTTAGATGTAAGGAAAATCAGATAACCTATTACAATCTAATGAGCTTCCTGTTAAAAATAATATTAAGTCAAAAATAAATGTTGAGATACCCTTATATGACTTATAACATCAAACACTATGTACAGTGACTATATTTTTCATTTGCAATCCATATATTTCAATAGTGATATAAGTGAAAAAAATTAAATTTCACTATACATTGCACTCGTGTGTACACCAGAACTTGAAATTCTACAACTTATAATAGTTCTGCTGGGCACGGTGACTCATGTCTGTAATCCCAGCATCTACCCCATCTCTACTAAAAATACAAACATTAGCTGGGAGTGGTGGCGTGCTATTCGGGATGCTGATGCAGGAGAATAGCTTGAACCCCGAAGGCGGAGGTTGCAGTGAGCCAAGATTGTGCCACCATTGCACACCAGCCTGGGCGACAGAGCGAGACTCTGTCTCAAAAAAAAAAAAGAAAAAAAAATCTGTTTATTTGGGTTTATGATGAAATTATCTTAAGTATGTTTTAAATCTTTATTTTAATTTCATTATTCAATATTTGCAATCTAGGGAATGTGATGCTGCTTCTTTAACTATAGCAGTTTATAGGAGAAGATAACTTGAACTGTCTTATAAGACAAGTCCTTAGATGTTTACAACTTCAGCTTAATTCTAGGGGTTGTACTTGGATTTCAAAAGACACCTTATCATCTTTCAGAAGAGAGTAGATTTCTCTTCTGTAAAGGCAGAATGAAAAGCATACTTTTCAAATTTGAAAAATATAGTCAGGTTGATTTAAGTGACATTTTCTTGCTTTAAATTATATTAAATAGGCATACTCTTTTTACGTTTCATCTGTAGTAAAGTGAGAGTTAGAAAGAATGGCAAAGTTCTACTCTTCAAAAGACCAAAGCACCAACTAAGCCTATGCATTTTTTTTTCCCTAGAATTCTACGTATGGAAAAGAGCTATTTGTAGCTGCATAAAGAAAAGCTGCCACGCTAGGAAAGACTTTGACCCATCCAGCCTGTGTTGCCTGTCCTGTAAAGTATTTGATTTCAAGGTAAGGATATGGGGTAAGTTACGAAGCTCCCTCAGTGAGATCAAAGGATTAAACCAAGCATAAATAAGTTAGATGTAGGAGAAAAAGATAATTTAGAAATGAAAATTATAAAGGATTCCAAATTTGACCTGTGTATTTAATTATTTTATATGGTGCTCCATAGGACTATTTTTATTAGATTCACACTTAATAGTCTTCCTAAATGCATCTGCATTGAAAAAAAAAGGATTTTATTTGAATCTCTTTGTGTAAGTGATTTGAAAAACATACTGAATTATTTTTAGTTATCTTTAGCTATCTATGGTTTCTGTCTGGCATGGCTAAATAAGTGACCAAAAGAATGCCAGCAACAGATGTCAGCCTATGATTATAGCCTTACTTTTTACTAGGTTATTTAAACCCTTCAAAATAAATGTACATGGTGCCAAAATGCATGTACAGAATTGAACCTTAAACTGTTTTTATACTGCAGGGTTTTACTCTGGCCTAGGGGAACGCAATCTGATTCAGCAAATGTGATCTAATAATGGGACAGAAATTAATGATTAAATAAACCCTTCATAAAATTTGACTCTTCTCTCTTTGAAAGATTGGTTCATATGTGTGTGTGTAAGTGTGTTTAGTTAACACACACAAAGAACCCTTAAATTCAAAATTTAAACCAACGTCATTAAATTGATTGTGAACAGAACTAAGGTGTGATAGATAAGTAGATAGATATAGATAGATAGATATACACATATAGATATATGTGTACATATGTGTGTGTGTATATATATGTATATAACAATTAGATAATAAGGATTCTATCTATAATACTTAAGAATTCAGAGGGAGGTGTTATATTGAAGAAACCAATGCTGCAATATTTTGCAGCTATTCTCAGGGGATGAGTCTGTTTCTCAAGCCTTTGAATCTGGTCTTAGTTAAGTGACTTGTTTTGCCCAATGAGATATTAGCAAATACAAAGCAAGCAGGAGTTTAAAAATGTTTCACATTTGGTCTTGCCCTCTCTTCCTTCTTGTTGGAACCCTGAGACCACTATCTAAGAAAGGATCACCTAGGGGAGGATGAGACCTACCTGTAGCAGAGGCTAACTGCCCCAGCCAATGACCCTGACAATTGTCAGACATGTTAGGGAGGCCTTTCTAGAACGTTTTGGCCCACTTGAGTCATCAACTGATTCACAAGTCAGCCCAGAGCAGAAGTATTGTAGATCAGAAGCAAGGCACAGCTGACCAACAGAATCATAAGCAAATAACATGATTGCTGTTTTATGCTACAAAATGTAGAGTGGTTTGTTACGCAGAAAAAGGGAAAATCATGGTAATTTACCAGAAATATTATCTATAAACAATGAGATTATATCAGAATTGAAAAAAATTAAATTTGATCTCTTCTTAATGTGAAGTCTCAGAACTATTTTGGAAAATCCTGTTTCCCCAGAATGCACATCAGTTTTGTAAGGAGGGAATAATGAATATGTGGTATGGCACAACTCTACTCAGAAGTGACGAGTAAGTTCTATATTACATATCAATGTGGGTAAATTAAAATGTACTTCGAGTACAGTGTGTAAAAGGATTCTGGAACCAACAGGAAAGAGCACCATTACTATTTAATTAATTGCTATTTGAAGACCATCCCAGGGCCTGGTGCAGTGGCTCACGCCTACAATCCCAGCATTTTGGGAGGCCGAGGTGTGTGGATCACCTGAGGTCAGGAGTTCGAGACCAGCCTGGCCAACATGGCAAAATCCCATCTCTACTAAAAATACTAAATGAGCTGGACATGGTGGCAGTTGCCTGTAATCCCAGCTACTCGGAAGGCTGAGGCAGGAGAATCGCTTGAACCCAGAAGGTGGAGGTTGCAGTGAGCTGAGAATGCGCCACTGCACTCCAGCCTGGGCAGCAGAGTGATACTCTGTCTCAAAAAAGACCATTTCAGGTAGGTCAGGAAGGATTGGATATTGAAACATCAAACGGTAGGGAAAGACCAAGGCGCATGTGTTATCTTCATGCAGTAGTTATTCCAAATAGAACAGAATAACACTGTTGAAAGCAGATGTTTTGCAAATCCCCGTGTAGTATCCTAAATTAAATTCAGAGATAGTGTAATCTCCCCACATGTATAATTTAAAAGCTATCAGTAGATTATAATATAAATGAAAAATAGAATGTAATTTGTGATAAAAACAATCTATTAGATACCTTAATATTGGCCAGTGCTACACCACTATCCATAATGCAAATTATTTATTATAAAGAAGACAGTTACAAATATAGAGTGATCTAGGTATGCTGTATCAGCTAGGTGAATACCACAAAGAATATTGTCATCTCTGGAATTACACAGAAGTTTCATTCCTGGAAAATGCAGTGTATATTAAAACCAACTATTGGTGATTATATGTAAAACAGAGTTAAGTTCAAGGCTCAAATGATTGCAAATGGATTTTTCTTTTACCTATAGAAACGTTTAGCAGGTTATTTAAATGCAGGATATTTGAGGTATTCCTTACTGGGTGGTGATGTATCCTTCAATGCAGAAAGTATAACAAGATAGTTTGAACAAGAAAGTTTTCTTAAAATAATGTTGAATGTCTAATAACCTATCATAGGAAGAAACAGCTCATCAGTAAGTAAAATTGTACCATATTTAATCTCTATTCACAATTCATATGGCATTAATTCATTTTTTATCTTCATGATTTATTTGTATTTGACAACGTACTAAATGCAGATACTCCGAATTTCTAAATACTGCTTTTGTATTGCTATCTGGTGTTTACCATTCAACATTACAAAATGACTACCTAACATGGTAGGTGATGATCCAATTTCACTTACTTCCACTATCGTATTTGCTTCTGGTGAAATCTATAATCAATGTTTCCAGCGTTACATCTCTGTAAATATTGTTCACTGCTGAATGTCTTGTAGAATATCTTTTGATCTGCAGTTAATTTTTCTTCCTGGAGTTAAAATAGTTTTATTTTGTTTTTGCGTCTGTTTAGTTTTCTTTGCATATGTAAATTAATTTTCCAGCTCGCTATAATAGTTTCATAAAAACCTGTCAATAATTAGCAATTCTAATAATCTCCTTTCTTTTGAAGTTATCTGTTTAGGCATCCTCCAACTCTCCCTCTACAGTTGGATTGATTACCCTCCTGGCTTTCAGCACAGGTATCACCATGGGCTTTCCATTTCCCATCATACAGGGAATTTTCCTCACCTTTCCTCTGGTTTGATCATGTTTTACCTTCTTTTTCTGGTTTACCGCCTCGTTTTAGTAAAGCACAACTTACATTTATTCCCTGAAAAATAGTAAAAGATGGGGGCAAATGTTTTAGCGACTTAGTACTTGAACCATTGTTTGAAATTCAAATCACTCAGTATTTTGACATGGCTTTCAATTTTGCTATTAAAAACTTCTGGGTGCATGAGGCTTGTGTATAAACCATTGAGCTTCCTTGTAGTGATGGGAATGTAGCAAGGCTTTTCACCTCCAGTCATCCACATAGCACCATTTAGGGATTTTTTTTTCTGAGTACTCCATTTACTAGAAAAGAATTTTGAGTCTCCTCTTTGGAGATGTAGGTAGAAATGTTGGGAAAATGTAAGTCTCTGTTATTGCACAGGGATTTGGGCTGAAAAACAAACTGGAACCTCCCGTTCTTCAGCATAAATATTTTCATAATCACACTCTTTCCCACCTTTTTGGCCAGATGTCTTGGAATCAGAAATCTCTCTGCTTCAATTTATCCTGAGAATACACTGCTCATCTTCTGCAGTGGTTAAGGATGGATAGCCATTTGATTATCCAAGGAGGAGGTGGAGACCCGGGGTTCTAACTGCTCCATATGTGTACTTCTAAATGTCCTTTTTGTTTCCAATCCTCTTTCTTTCATGAAACATGCTGACCTGATTTCTGAGAAAATTTAGATTCTGCTATTGAAACAGACATTCTTCTGGCTATGATGCAGCCCGGTAGAGTTGCTCTTCCTCTTCTCTTACTACATCATTTACCATGCTTCTATCCACTTTCCATCTTCATGTATTCTCATACAGGAAATAATATGTCTCCTATTTAATAAAATATTCAGTTTTATGGGTACTTTATAAAGTACAGTAATTTTTCATTTAGAAAGTATCATCTTTCAGGCATGAATGATTCTAGACACTAAGATATGAGCATAGAAGTTCAGAAGTAATCATCTGCAACCATGTGTGTCCTATAATGGGGAATAAAACAGATGAGAATAAAAAAATAAAAATAAACCATAAAATCCCTAAAAAAAAAGTCCAGGTGCAGTGGCTCAGGCCTGTAATCCTAGCACTTTGGGAGGCTAAAGGGGGCGGCTCACTTGAGGCCAGAAGTTGGAGACCACCCTGACCAACATGGTGAAACCCTGTCTTTACTAAAATTACAAAAATTAGCCGGGCATAATGGCATGTGCCTGTATTACCAGCTTCTCAGGAGGTTGGGATATGAGAATTGCTTGAACCTGGGAAGTGGGAGGTTGCAGTGAGACAAGATCAGGCCACTGCACTCCAGCCGGGGCAACAGAGGGAGACTTTGTCTCAAACAGACAAACAACAATAACAACAAAACCCTAAAAAAAAAAAACAGATGAGTAAACTGAGAATTTATACTTACAATGGCTTAATAGGTAAGTATTCATTTTTTTCTAAGCGTATATTAATTATGTATTAAATGCAAAAGAGAAAAAAACAAAAAAAGAAATTAACTTTATTGAAAACTACTTGAAAAACATGAACAAGAGCTTTTTTCCTTCATAGATATTTATGGCATTCATCCTTCAGTAATAGAAGCAAGAAAAATCTGACAGCAAAACATTGGAGTTTCTTGACAAAAAAAATTATTGGAGTTTTTTGACAAAGCAGTGCTTAACATTGCATGTTTTTGGACAAAAAATTATTAGAGTTTTCTGACAAAGCAATGTTTTATCAAAACAGACAAAAAATTTTTGGAGTTTCTTGACAAAGCAATGTTTTCTACAAAATGAGATTCATTAGATTACTAGTTTGTTTTTTAATGTGTTCAGATAGTAAAATGACTGGATATCATGATGTCCTTTAAGAAATGATATGGAACATTAATTTAATAAATTTCATCCTATGAAATGGTATGTTTTATTTTTAAATCACGAAGTTTCTTTTTCTTCCTAGTTTTCTAAGAGTTTAAAATGAATAAATGTTGTTGAATTTTTGAAAGTTTTTTATGCAGCTATTAAAATAATCGTATGAGTTTTCTTCTTTGGTTTGTTAATCTGGTGGAATTTATTAATAAATTGTTTTAAGTTAAAACATCCTTTTATTTCTATAATGAACCTTCCAACTTGGTCATGGTATGACCCTTTATATATGTTGCCTAGACTTTGATTTGCAAATATTTTGTTTTACATCAATGTTCTTGAATAAAATTAACCTGTAATTTTCCTTTTCTGTACAAAATGTGTCTGTATTCCTATCAATTTAATTGGAGCAATCTATCCACACCCTCCCCTTTTTTGTTTCCTATAATATTTTGTGTACACCAGAGTTAGGTTTCTGAAGTTATTACCTCTCACTAGTGAAGCCATCTGAACTTAAATTAGTGAAAATATTTTTGATGATTGATTAAATATCTTCAATATTATTCATTTCAATTTCTACTTGAATTCATTTTGATGTTATATATTCTGAATAATTAACCTTCCTTATGTGTACTTCTAGATTTATTGGCATAAAATAATTTTTAAGTTCTTTTATTGCCTTTTAAATCTGTAACATTTGTTTTTATATTTTGTTTTAATCCTAAAGTTGTTCATTTGGGATTTATATCTTCTTTCATGATTAGGATCACTGAAAGTCAATCATTATTGTTCTTCTTTTCAAATGATTAATCTTTCCTTTAAGTGATTATTTGATTTATATTTTATTAATATGTACCTGTATCCTGTATCTTTTTTATTGCCTTCAGTATATTTTCTTTGGGTTTATCACGTGTGTGTATGCAATATACAAAGTGAAAATTATAAGTAAATTTCATCAAATATATAGTTTTTCTTTAATAGATGTTTACTAGTTAATTTTATGCATTTTTACTTTTCCTAACATAGTCACTTAAAGCGATGTATTTTTCTTAAGGTTTATTTTAACTTCATCCAAAACTTGAATTATGGTGTTTTTGTTATAATTCAGTTCAAAATTTTAATTTCTATTATGAATTCATTTTTGACTTACCTGTTTTGAAAAATGCGTTCCATCATTTCTTAGCATACAGTGTTTTTCCAATTATCTCCTAAGTATAGATTTCTAGCCTAATTGAAGTATTAGGCTATGATCAAAAAGTAATCTGCATTATTACCTTCCTTTGAAAACTTCTAAGACTTTGTATCCAGCATATGCTCATTTTTTGGAAACATTTTATGTGTTCTGGAATAATATATTCTCTACTTTTATATAAAGTCTGGTTTGTTAAGATATTACTCAAAACTTCTATATAATTATCTTTTATAAAAGTCTTTATTATATTCAAATGTTCTTTTTTAAAAATATATACAGTTTAATTTTTCTGTTTCAGGATCCCATTCATCATACCACATTATGTCTAGTTATCATGCCTCCTTAGGTTCCTTATGGCTATGACAACTTTTCAGGCTTTGTTTTTAATAATCTTGATGAGTTTTGGTTAATACTGGTCAGATATTTTATAGAATGCTGCTCAGTTGAGACTTGCTGCATAATATTCCTAGGATTAGAATGGGTTTAGGTGCTAATGGTGTCTTTTAATGGACACAGGTCTTAATTTTAGTGAAGTCCGGTTTATCAAGCTTTGCTTTTACTAGTGATCCCTTACGTGTCCTCTATGAATAATTATAGTTTACTCTTTGGGAACAAGGATAGTCTCCTATGCTTACTGCAAAAGTTCTACTATTTACCTTTTGTAATTAGATCTGTCCATCTGGGATTGACTTTTGTGTATTGTGTGAAGTGAAGCCAAGGTTTGTTTCCTCCCAAATAGATACCCAGTCAGTATAACAACCTTCATTGTGGAAGTCATGCTTTCACTATGGTAGAACTTGTGTCACCTTTGTCATAAATCAGTTGGCTATAAAACTTCTGGCTTGTTTCTGAACTCTTTATTCTGTTTTCTTGGTCTATTTGTTTATGTTTGTGTTAATAAAAATTTTAATTACTGGATTCATATAATAAATCTTAATGTATAGTATTATGACCCTACCAACCTGTTATTTCCTCTTTAATAGTTGTCCATTTTCAGTATTGTCTTGGCTATGCTTGGCTCTTTACATTTGTATGAACATTTTAGACATAACTTGAATCAACTTGGCAGTTTATATAACAAAATATGTTCTGATTTTAATTGGAATTGCATTTGTATATTGTAATCTGAAGACATATGTTGGTGAAATTAATAGATGTGCTATACTGAGTCTTCCAATCTATGAGTATATGCTATCCTTCTATTGATTTTTCAAACAATATTTTATAGTTTTCTGATTGTTTAAAATGTACGGAAATACAACTGAATTTATTGTATTGACTTATCCAGTGACTTTTTAAAATTCACCTACCGAATTTAACAGGTTACCCATGAACACGTCTAGATTTTTCATTTATAAAATCAGTATTCTGCAAATAATTTTTAAGTTTTTATTCTAATGCTTAAAACTTTTTTCCCCTTGCCTTATTGCATAGGTTGAGACATTCAATAAAGTGTTGTACAGAAGTGATCATTGTAGGCATCTTTATATTCTCCAAATTTTTACTTAAATATTCAATATTTTACCATCAAGTAGATGCTTAATGCAGTTTATTATTGATAACTTATCAGATTAATAAATTTTTTTAGCTTCTTACTTTGCTAAGAGTTATACCATGAATGAGTGATGAATTTTGAATTTTATTAAAATGCCTTTTCTGAATCTACGTTTTTCCTCCTTTATTCTGTGTAGTGACTAACTTTAAATGATTTTTAAATTTTATTCCAAATTATCTTTTCTGCATAATTATACTTGCTCATGATATATTAACCTTTTTAAATATTGCTAGAATTGATTTCCTAATATTGGGGATATAATTTTTCCATTTTCATATCTAATTTTTATATTGATTTAATTTTTTTTCTATTTTGCAGAAAAAATGTTACTGAAATTTTCATAGGGATTGCTTGGAATCTAGATCATTTAGGATAATAGAGGTATTTTTTAACATTAATTATTTCAATCCACAAACATGGCATATCTTTCCATTTATTTGTGTCTTCCTCAATTTCTTTCATAAATGTTTTACAGTTTAACGTACAGGTATTCACTTCCTTGGTTAATTTATTCCTAAGTGTTTTGTTTTATTTGCAATTGCAAATGGGATATTTTTTCTTGAAACTTTTTCAGATAGTTTGTTGTTAGTATTTAGAAATGCTATGTTTTTTTTTATTATACTTTAAGTTTTAGGGTACATGTGCACAAGCTATGAATTTTTGTACGTTGATTTTGTATCATTCAACTTTGCTAAATTTGTTAGTTCTAACAGATTTTGGTAGATTTTTTAAGATTTTCTCTCTATAAGATTATATCATCTGCAAACAGGCAAAATTTAACTTTTTCCTCTCCAATTTGAAAGCCTATTATTTCTTTCTCTTGCCTGATTGTTCTAACTAGCTCTTCCAGTATAATGTTGAATATAAGTGGTACGAGTGGGCATCTAAGTCTTGTTTCTGATCTTAGAAAAAATGCCCTCAACCCTTCCTCATTGAGTATGATGTTAGCTGTGAATTCGTCATACCTGGTGTTTACTTTGTTGAGGTACATTTCTTCTTTTTCTATACCTATTTTCTTGAGAGTTTTTAAAAATGAAAGGATATTGAATTTTGTCAAATAACTTTCCTGCATCTATTTAAATGATCTTTTTTTTCTTTATTTTGTTAATTTGGAATATGACATTTATAGATCTGCAGATGTTGTACCATTCTTCTGTCACTGGGATAAACCCCACCTGATCATGTTGAATAATATTTTTAATGTCATATTGAATTTAGTTTGTTAGTACTTTGTTGAGGATTCTTGCATCTATGTATAAGTGGGATATTGACCTGTAATATTCTTTTCTTGTAGTGTCCTTGTCTGGGTTTTGTGTCAGGATAATGCTAGCCTCATAGAATGAGTATGAAAGTATTCTTTCTTTATTTTATTGGAAGAAATTGAGAAGGACTGGTGTTTGTTTTTCTTTAAATGTTTGGTAAATTCAGCAGAGACACCATCAGATCCTGGGCCTTTCTTTGATGAGAGACTTCTAATTCAATCTCCTTACTTGTTATTGATCTGTTTGGATATTCCTATTTCTTCATGATTCAGTCTTGACAGGTTGTATGTGTCTAAGAATTTCTCCTTACTTGTTATTGGTTTGAGTTTTCTATTTCTTTATGATTTAGTCTTGACAGATTTATGTGCCTAAACATTTATCCATTTCTTCTGGGTTATTCAATTTGTTGGCATATAATTGCTTATAGTAGTTTTATATGATCCTTTATATTTCTGTGGTGTCATCATTATATCTCCTTTTTCATTTCTAACTTTATTTATTCAAGCTTTCTTTCCTTTTTTGTGTGTTAGTCTAGCCGAAGTTTTGTCAATTTGTTGATCCTTACAAATACAACTTAGTTTCAGTGATTTTTCTATTGTTTTTCTAGTTTCTATTTTACTTATTTCTGCTTTTTGTTACTTCTTCCTTTTACTAACTTGGGGCTCAGTTTGTTCTTTTTCTAGTTCCTTCAGTTATAACATTAAGTTGCTTATCCGAAATGTTTCTTATTTTTTGATGTAGGAATTTATTGCTATAAACTTCCCTCTTGGAACTGCTTTTGATGCAACATGTATTGTTATGAGAGGAATTGGCTACATATTTTTTTCTTTCTTACAATATTCTTGTGATAATTTGCCAAAAGGTTATGATAGCCCTTTAAAATGATTTGTAAACATTACCTATTTTCTTTGCTGATGTAAGTTTTGCATAAAATTATTGTTATGTCTATTTTAAATATTTTGAAAAATTCAATAAAAATATATGGATTGATATTAATTTAACATAACACTGGAAGATTAATTTTTAAATATTTTTTGCTTCCGTTTTGATATATCGCATTTTTCTAGGAGGTTATTGGTTTCATATAGAAATTTATCAACAAAACATTGCTCATTATACACTCTTATTTTCAACATAGAGGATTTTTACTGATGCTCTTGTCTTTCATAATTAATAATATTAATAAAATTAGCTAATAATGATAATTTGCACTCCCATCTCGCTTCCTTTCATAATTAATAATATTAATAAAATTACCTAATAATGATAATTTGCACTCCCATCTTGCTTTCTTTCATATCTCTCTTTTTCTCTTTCCTATCTCTTTCACTCTCTCTTTCTCTCCATCATTCTTATCGCAGTCGAGATGATCATGTCAATTTTATATCTTTTCAAAGATAAGCCTAATGATTTTTTTCTATTATATATTTATTTTCTTTCAAAATTTTACCCTTATCTGTATTATTTTCTTCCTTCTACTTTCCTTGAATTCAATTATCTCTTTACAACTTGTTATAGTGGATACCTAAATATAATTAATATTTATAAACTTATTTGAATATATGAATTCTAAACTATAAACTTATCTTAAAACACAGATTTAGCCACAAGTTTGATACACTTATTTAATTTATTATTATTTAGTTTAAAGTATTTTCAAACTTTCATTTTTCTTTCTTTATTGACTTATGGATTTTATAGAATTGCATTTCTTAGTTTCCAAGAAATATCTGGGTACATAAATATTTCAAGTGCTCATAAACATCTTCCAAAATTCAGTACACACATGTTCTACATGCCCTGGAAAATTCTGTACATTCTTTCATTGCTGAAGGAAGTAATCCGTTCATTTCAACCAGGCAACTAGTTTGATCACAATGTTTACATTCTCTATATGCTTACAGTTGTCGTTGTTGTTTTGTTTTCTTGGTGTTTTTTTTTGTTTTTTTTTTTTTGTTGTTGTTGTTGGCTTGTACTATCAGTTACCGGGAGAGTTCTGTTAGTTTTCACTATGATTTTGATTTGTAATTTCTTGTGTAAGTCTGTTAATATTACTATTATATATTTTTAATCTCTGTTGTCAAGTTTATACAAATGTAACAGTGTTATATCCTTTTATTACAATAACCCTTGTATCATTGTGAACTGCTGCTAAGTATCTGTTGTCATATTTCTTATCTCCTTAACTTCTATTATTGACAAGGTAGCTTTCATGTGTGATAGATGTTTTCCCAACATTTTACTTTTAACCTTTTATGTGTCACTATATTTAAATTGTCTTTGTCGGTAATTTTGACTATATTTTTAAAAATCTGTATTTTAAAAATACATATTTAAAGTTGTTCCTACTTTAATCAAAACATTTGTCTACTAACACCTAATGTATTGCTTGACAATAGTTGGCTTTATATTTAGCTTTCAGTTTTTTTTCTATTTGTCCCACATGTTTTATGTTCTTTCTTCTCTCCTTGTGATTCAATTTTTTAAATTATTAATCAACTTTCATTTAATTAGCTTGTCAGCTATACATTTTTAAAAATTATTTCAGTGGTTACAATATGTAAATTTGACTTCTTATAGTTAGAAATAAATTATTTTTTACCTCTTATCTGCAAATGTGATTATCATGAAATACATTTATGCCACTAATTCTTTTTGTGTTATTTCATCATGTATTTTTAATTCCATATATATTTTGTGCTGCTCAATACATTAATACTATTGTTTTGTACAATCAATATCTACCCATATAATAAGTTTTACTAGACCTTTCATTCCCTCATGCATTTCTTAACTTCTGACTATGATCAATCACATTTCTGTCTAATAAATCCTTTTTTTCTCAGTGTTTTCTTCTTTAAGTGCGGATCCGCTGGCAGTAACCTTTTTAGTTTTTGTTTGAGTGGAAATATTTTTATGTCATCTGTATTTTTAAAGGATATTTTCACCTGCAATGGAATTATTTCGAGATAGTTATTTTCTTTTGCCTCTTTAAAAATATCATTCCATTGTATTACCACTTCTTTTGTTTCTGTTTCAAAGCCAGTTGTCAATCTCAATGCCTTTTGCCATCTCTGCATGCAAGATTTTTCCCCTTGTTTTCTGTTATCAAGCTTCACAGGAATACACTTAGGAATGAGTTTCTTCATATTTAACGGGCTTGGGATTCATAATGTGTATTTTTTGTGCAGCTTGGGAATTTTCACAAGTTGGGGAAATTCTCAACAATTCAAATATTGCTTCTGCCTCTATATGCCCTGCCCTTCAGTCTTCACTGTGTCCCATAGGTCACTTATACTCTCTTCTCTAATATCCACATACTTTTTTTCTTCCTTTCTTAAGCCCAGATTATTTTTACTCACTTAACATTCTACTAATTATTACTTAAAGTACTTTTGCTTAACCTGTAGGTAACGCTGTTATCAGTTTCCATTATTACATTTTAGTTCAATAATTTCCATTTGTTTATTTTCCATTAGACAACAGTTCTGTAGTGAAATCCTTCCTGTTATTATCTGTGTTCTTGGATATATTAATCAAGAATGTGTGTCTAGTCTCAGAACTACAACTGGACCATCTGTGTTTTGTTGCTCTTGTTAGTTTCATTTTTCTCATCTTGGCTTTTTCCATATTCCTATTTTTTAATATTTTATTTGAGTGCTAGATATTGTGCATGAAAAATTTAGAGTGGTTAAGTAATATTTGTTTCTTTCAGGTAGAATTGATTCTATCCTTTTTTAGGCAACCTAAGCAGGAGCAGATTAGTTTATTCAACCAAGGAATGAGTTGATTTCAGGATGTGGTATGGTTTTGGGAAAGCTTTGTGGACCTCTATTTGTCAGCTCCTTAGTTTAGCTCTCAGAGATCACAAATGAGAGCCTGAGGAGGGTTTACAGAAGGCCCTGCTCCTTTGCTGGTGAAGAACTCCCATTTTTGTCTCCCCTTTACCATGTCACGCTTTATAACTGTATTGATTTTCAAGTATGCTTTTAGTTTATTTGTCTCTTTCCCCAAGCACCTTAGGAATTCAACAAACGCTACTAGGAAAAGAAACAAAAACAAACACACAAGCAAAAAAAAGAAGAAAAAAAAAAACACACATTTGGCTCGTTTCTCAGGACCTACCTTTTCTCCCACATTTTGGCCTCTCAAATCCTGCCTGCCTTGGGACTCTTGCATTCCAATACTGTCAGGCTGCCAAAGCTGCTCGCTTCTCTGGCTCTTGGTGGCTTCACTCTGCCTGGTTTCACAGTCTCCCACCTAACACTAAGACTTGGTAATTCTGTTATTTGGTAAACTATGACAAAATGGTGGACTCTTCTTCCAATGGCTTCCTCTTCTCTAAGATCTTGGTGTCTTGATGTTGTTTACCTGGTAGCTCTGGATGACTTCGAATAGACCTTAACATATATTTTCCCTGGCTTTTCTCATTGTATTTAGTAGCAACTTTGGTCTGCTGTAACCTATTCATCACAGCCTTCTTCTATGACTTAAGAATTTTTTAATATATTTTTTGTAGCTCTTTAAATCGTCTTTAGCCAGCGAGTTGATCCAAGTATTCTTATGGTTCTATTATCTTGATGTATTTCTAGGCACACATAAATTTCTGTGTGCCAGTTCCAGTGGAGATGGTGGCATTACTTCTACATTTTATAGAGGTTCAGAGATTCTGTTACCCCTTTTACAAAATAAGTGGCAGACTTTAGAGAATATCAGTTTTATATGACACCAAGTCTTAATAGTACAATAAGCTTACAAGCACCCATGATTACTAAAAAATTCAAGCAGTTAAATTATACATTATAGGCTATTTCTAATTTGGTTACCTAATATTAATTTGCTATGTTTTATTCACATGATAATATATTAGCACTCGTTAGAGGATAACGGTAGCAGATGCCTTCATTGTAAAGTCCAAATACATAGAAAAAAATGTTAAACTAAGAAAATTCTATCAGCTTATTTTTTCAAGAAACTGGGATTTTCTTTGATATCATTAACAGATGATATTCAACCAGTTCTTACAGCCCAGAGTAGAAATAATCTGATGACCTCTTTGGTATTACAAGAGGAATCTGCATATTCCATTTATTTACTTGTCTGTTCAATTATTTATTAAGAAACTGACATCTGGATACATTAAAGACATATTATTCATTGTTAGCAGATCTGGGACTAGAATTTTTAATATGTTTTTTAACGTAATAGTAAATACCAGAAATGGATGATTAAATAGTATAAGGCATGGTCTTTGCTCTCTGGGAGCTCTCAGTTTAGTTTATGAAGTTCCAAATAAATGGTATAACCAAAAACTGTATGAGGCCTTATACGATTTCAGAGAAAGCAGAGATAAGTTTGGACAGTATTTATCTAAGTAAGAGAGTTTTAAAAATCTGCAGGAGTTAAGCAAATCAGGAGGAAGAGGCAATGAATTTCAAAAAAATCAAGATATCTTAACAGCTATGTCAACACTTAGTTCTGTACCCATTGCATAGAAAGAAATCACAAAGAAGAGAGGAAAATAGACACCTCCTGAGTTCTGTAGACTAGAAAAAATTTCTTATGATGCTTTTAAATAAACTTTGAAGCCAACTTCTCCTTTAGAAGAGATACCACACTCCATGCTGTCTGCCATGAAGGGCAGAAGAAGGCAAGTGTATCAATCACTCTGTCCAGTTTTGGGTCTTTCAATGTCTGTTCCCATCTCAAATCTTACTACACAATAAGAAGATAAATTGGTTGGGCAACAAGAGCTCTCCGCCATGAAAGGAAGAAGAAGGTAAGTATATCAATCATTCTGTCCAGTTTTGGGGTCTTTTAATGTCTGTCCCCATCTCAAATCTTACTATACAATAAGAAGAGAAATTGGTCGGGCAACAAGAGGAAAGTAGGAATAAGGAATAAAGATTTTTTTAAAAAAAATTTGACACATTGAAGAAAACCACATGTTATCTACAATTTTTTTTACAAGCGAAATACCTGTAATAAAATTTATTTTGCAAGAGAAGAAATAGCCTAAGGGTCTATAATACTGCAGAACAGCTTTCTTGATAGTGAGGTTCATCTTAGTCTTCAGGAAGAGCTTATAAAATGGATTGTTTTCTTCAGTGAGACACTAGGCATTTATTGTGCAACTAGACTGTGTAGAATGTTGGGAACTAGTTCTGAGACAAATGCTGAAGAAGAAACTCACATTACAAATACACAAAGCACATTACTTATGTATTTGGAGAATTTTTATTTCTTAAAATAAACAGTGGGATTTCACTTTAATAGTTTTTTTGTTTGCCTTCACACTTGCCAGCAATGCTGCACTAAAACCAGAAATATAGCCAACCATTTTTGACTAAAATCAGAAGAAAACTGAGTCTTTGGTTAGAAAAAGATACACATAGAGAAGACTGTAAATCACTAGAAAGAAACAATAAAACCTGCTTATTTACATCTTTGCTGCAACAAAATACGTAGATTACAAATGACTTATTCTTGGAAAGAGTGCCTCAAATCCAAATTGTAGCATATCCCACAATCAAAATAAACATGAAAATGCTGTCAAATATGACTCTATGTCCCAAACATCCCATCCTCTGCATTAAAAATGAATGAAATGAGAAAAAGGAAAAAACCATCTGCAATTTAGATTTGTCATTCTTTTGTTATCTTCATGCATTTTATGAAAAAGTGGCTGGCAAAGTACTGAAAACCCTTCAGGAATTCAATTTTTATATATTTGGTTGCAATTTTTATATTTGGAATAACGCTTATTTTGGAATAGACAGCTGTTAAAGTCTGTTATTGCAGACTTTAATGTCTGTTTTTGCCTAGTTGTCATTTTCCTTTAGGCTACAACCCCGTTTTTGCTATAGCTAAAATAAAGAGGTGTTAGACATTACATACTGGAGTGAGAGATGAAACAGGAAGAAAATTTTACGATCATTAGTCAGGGAGCACTGATCAGAGTACAACTGGAAGTTCCATATCTTTGCCTTTAAATTTTTGTCAAAATGTACATGTTCTGGATCATTAAGAAAAGAACATTCAGTACAGCATAAAGTACAAGTCAGTGAGACCCCACTGGGTTCTACGTTCTTCACAACTTTTTTTTTTAATTGCTCTATGATAAAAAAAATTCTCATATATTTTATGAACTTTGCAAAATAGTGATACAACTTTCTCAAGGAGGACTTTGCTAACATACACATATCTTTAATCATATTCCTTAAGGGAGCAAAGGAACCAACTTCCTGATTCAATAGGAGGGTTAAGATGCTACTTTATAAGCCAAGTTGTGCAGCTCTTGAATCAACTGTGTGACAGATGAAAGTGTGTGTGTGTGTGTGTGTGTGTGTGTGTGTGTGTAGCTGTATGACTGTAGGATGTTCTTGGGTCACCTTGCTCCTACTACTGTTGTGATGGCTACTCACACAATGGTTTAATTCAGTCTGGCTCACCAAGAATAGATCTCTCACTTAGCAATTGTTTTCAATAAGAAAAGAAGTACAAGGAAACCTTGGAGGTGCTCAGTTCAGGCATGTGAGCCATTGGAGCCTGTGCCACAACAGGCCCACAAATGATAAGCATGCACAACCGATTGCACAAAGCCAGGGGAGAGACAACCGGGGTGATGTATGTATAAATATCATTCAGTGCTGGGTTTAAATTGAGCAACATTGCAAAGGAGCTTACACAGTTTTTTGACAGACTATAAATACATTGTCACCTACTGTTTGTAATTGAAGAATACATTTACTCATCTTTTTTCCTATTGGTAATGGAAATTTAAGCCCTGCCAATAACTATTCTCCCAAGGACAACCAAAGAAGGATGTAAAGTGCTGTGATTAATAACAGGATTATTTAGTTATGTTTACAGAGCTAGGTGTCCAAAATTTCACGCAAAATTATTAAAATCTCTGAATAAAAAATTTCCATCATGGGGTAACTCAATGCCCACCTCACCCCCAAATAATAATAAGCTACAAAGAGAGATATAGAATCTAGTTTCTGAAGAACACTACAGTTAATTTCTTCATTGATTTGATCCTTTTTAACCCAGTAAAGAGGAGAAAGGTAACTACCATTCTTTGCTTTGTCAAATGTATATTTAATTTTTGGTATATATGTAGATAAGCTGGTGACTTAGCCCTACCCTGAACTATAGAAAAGAATTTATAGTTCAGGGTAGGGCTAAGTCACCAGCATATCTAGATATATACCAGAAAATAGGCCTACAGAAAGTTGTACATTCAGCAAGACAGTTGTGTAGTATAAAACAAAAATATCAGCAACCATTTTATGAATCAATTAAAGAAAGTAATGGATTATCAATATGCAGCTCTTACATCTAGAATCCAAATGAAATATATATACCATTGAAACAAAACAGTAACGTTGCCAGAAACCTCTTCAATTATTTCTGCTAGGTGGGCATCTACTCCCAGGTGTGAGGTGCTTTTGGCTTGCAAAACTGTAGACTTGGAAAATGGCCACATTTGTCCAGAACAGAATTTAAGAGGAACATCAGCTAGGATGCAAGAGCAGATGCTAACACAGCATTGGGAAGAATAACAACGTGAATATTTTGAAAGGGAGGCCCTCTGGGTTTCCTGGGCCAGTGGTTCTGAACTCAGGGTGATTTTCCCCCAGTTGACATTTGACAATGGAAACATTTTAGATTGTCCCAAACTTGGGGTGCTGCTGGAATCCATTACAGTAGAGGCCAGAGATGCTGCTAAACATTCTGCAATGTACAGGGTGGCCCATCACCCAAAGAATTATCAAGCCTCACATGTGATTAGTGCTGATGTTGGGAAATCCTTGGTTAGCCCAAAGGCAGTGTTATTGCAGTGGAAAAAGAATGCTTCTAAACATTGTCATTTTGTCTGTCTGATCTAGTCAAATTAAAACTTCTTGCAGGTAGGGAATTTGTCTGTATTGCTCACTGCTTTATGACTAGCACTTAGGACAATGCCTGGCACACAGTAGCTACTCAATAAATAAGAAATGAATGAGTTGAAGATTGAGAAACCACAGCAGGAGAGGCCTTGGCAGTGTTCTATTTGAGCTGACAGGGACCCCTGGAGTGTCAGAAATAAGTGTACTGGTACCCTAAAACTCCTAACACTGTCCACCTTGTCTGAATATCCTAGGAAACTAATACAAAGAGCTACAGCTTAAAAAAAATAGAACAGATAATGTTTTGTACTGTATATATTTTAGGGGTACGACACAATATTTTTGCATACATATATATATAATGAAATTATTACTACAGTCAATCAAATTAACGTATCCATCATCTCACATAGTTATCTTTCTGCTTGTGTGTGTGTGTGCACATGTGTGTATGGTAAGAGCGCCTAAAATCTTTCTTAGCAAATTTCCAATATGGAATACAATATGCTAGCTAGAGTTCTCATGCTGCGTACATTAGATCTTTTGGCTTATTCATGCTACATAACTGCAACTTTGTACCCTACATCACCCCATCCTCCTACCCCTTGCATCCACCATTTTACTCATTATCACTGTCTTATACCTCCACGTCCTATCCCATTGGAAGGTCTTCAGGGAAAGATAGTAACAGGCACGGAGCTGTTACCTCCTATGATAACAATGCCTTCTTGTGGAATACATCCTGAAGGACTTGCCAGAGGCTGTTTTACAGTTAACTATTTTCTTTCTGTAAGGAGTACACTCCAAAATAACAACTAAAAGTGTGTTACAGTAAATACTAAGTGACAGGAATTTTTCAGCTCCATTATTATCTTATGGGACCACTGTCATTTATGTTGTCCCTCATTGACAAAAACATTGCATGTGATGTATGACTGTAGTAAAAATAGGCATTCTTTAAAGTCAAACAGTTTGATGTAAATATTATTAGATTGGTGCAAAAGTAACTGTGGTTTTGACATTAAAAGTAATATATCTCGCCATTAAAGACATTTAAAAATTATTCCTCAATTCATATTTGTACTAAGCATTCATTTTTACAACATTTTTGGAAAATTCCTGGGGCTAGGAATAGGAGCACAACTATTACTGAGACCAGAAGCCAGAACTGCCAGACCAACATTCATACTGAGAAAAGGATAATGTAGTCCTATGTTGCCAGAACCTGTCCTAACTGAATAACATGAGGGCTGGTTTCGAGCCATCCTTTCTTCTTTCTCAAATCATGATTTGTAATCAAGGGTCTTTAGTCTTTGTCTATATTTAAGTGATTTTATATTATTATCGATTGAATGCGTGTGTCCTCCCCAAATTCATATGTTGAAATCCTAACCTCCTTCCACCGTGTGACGACAGAGTGAGAAGACAGCCTTCTATGAACCAGGAAGTAGGCCCTTATCAGATATCAAATCTGGCACCTTAGTCTGGGCTTCCCAGCCTCCAGAAATGTGAGAAATAAATGCTTGTTACTTAAGCCGCACATTTTATGGTATTTTTGTTATAGCAGCCCAATTAACTAACACATACTTAACACCACTGGTCTTTTTACTATAGTTTTCTCATTCTTGAATGTTTCACTTTAACCTATTTTCTCATTAGCTGGATTTGGTTGTTGAGTAGTTTTCTTTTGGGAATTTTGGTTTTCTTTGTTGGTCAGCAAGGACTCAAGGATATTTTATTCCCTAAAGGATCTCAGGGAAATCTAAATATCTGAAAGTATCTGTCCGTAGCTTTTACACCTGGATGAAATTTTGTGTATGTATTCTAGTATGATACTTTCTTTTTCTCAGGATGATGTGTTTCATCATTGCCTTTGGGCTTTGAATGTTGTTGTAGAAATGTCTAAAATCGGCTTTTTTTTTTTTTTTCATCTTTGTTAGAAAATTTTCTTCCCAGAGTTCTTTTTGTCTCTTCAAGTTTGGTCTCTTAAATAGTATAATTCTCTGTGTTAATTGTCTGTGTCTATTATAATTTGAACACAATTTTTGCTTTTGACCAGCAGATTACACTCAGAATATTGTCTTCTGTTAAATTTCAACATTCTCTGCTCCATTTGTGTGGTTTTCTACTTCTGAGATATTTATAATAGATTATTCCTCTTCCATATATTATTCTATTCTCTATAATGTGTGTGCTCTTTTCCTTGTTATTCAACTTTTAAAAAGGCAAGTTTGTCTTCTACATAATTTTTTTTCTCAGGTGTGTCTAGTCTGTTCATTGATATTTTGAATTTCTTAATTAGCTTTTATACTGCAGCTCATTTGGCTGTCAGGTTTGCTTTTGCACTTAAGAATTATTATTCATTTTAGTCTGTTATCAATTGTCTTATGTTTCAGCTCTGATATTTTGTTTAATATACTTACTACATTCTTTGCTAATGAGTGGCTCTCTTGGGGAATTTTCTTCTGCTTCTTGGACTTATTTTCCATATTGGATTATTTATCTGACTTATTAGCATGTTAGGTTTCTGTCCACCCTGGCACCCCTTGTGATGGCATATTTACAGAGTTGCTATGATTTTCTTTAGAGTCACCCCCGTCACCCCCTTTCAACTGGAACTATCTGTTAAGATTATCTACGTGCTATGTAGGTTGGGAATGTATTCTTCTCAGCCCCTTCCCACAGCCTCTGAGACCGACTCTACAATGCCTTCCATCTACAGTTTGTGGTCTGAGCATTTTATTCTCTGGCCATTCTTTTCTGGGCCTCAGGATTTCAAAGCAATGCAGAGCAAAGCAAAGCTCAGCACTGGTTATATTTTTTGCCTTAAATGGGATTAAATTGTACAAACTTCTCAAAAAATTTTTCCCACTTCACACTATGTCTTAGAAATCATTCCATAGCAATACATTTAAATTTACTTCATTATTTTTTTGATAATTAGCTGCATAAAACCTAACTAAAGATACATGGATAGTCAAGTTGTTTTAAAGAGGGATTTGATGATGATCATAAACATACAGAATAAAAATGATTGGAAAATGTAAATTCAAAAATGATGGCTGGGGAGAAAACAGAATACAAATAGGAGAGTAGGAATCATACAAAAGAATTATGAATGAATAAATTAGTCATGCCATCATCTCAATTTTCTTTTTACATCTCTAGTTATGCCATATTAATTACAGTGCAGAATTTATATATGCACTACAATTTTCCTAGCAGCTATTTTTTTTATTGATATCAACAGTGACTATAGTACTTTCACAAAGTGGGATTATCACTTAAATTTTATTTTATGTAAATTATAGTTCATTCAACATTTTACATTATTTGTTATTGTCTCCCTTTACATGAATTTGTTGGTTTGCCTAATCCATTTTTTTCAACTAAGCTCATTGGTGGTATATTTATATATGCAAACACATAGGTATTCCATACACCTTTCTGCTCCAGATGTTGCTTATTGGAAACCTGCTTATTTGCTTTTGAATATCTTAATAGTAAGTACAAACATGGATTTTCTTATTTTGAGAGCATAAATAAGACAAATAATTTATCAATAACATTCTACTGGTAATAAAACAGAAAACAAATTACCCTATCTTAAATCATACACTTAAGAAAATGCTGTAATTTTTGTAAAAGTTTGAATGTAGTAGTTGATCATTACAGAGTTTCTTAATAATTTTTTTTTTTTTTGCCATCATGCCCATCTTTTCAGGCCTACTTTTGTTTTCTTTTGTATTTTTTGAGATGGAGTCTCGCTCTGTTGCCCAGGCTGGAATGCAATGGTGTGATCTTGGCTCACTGCAACCTCTACCTCCCGGGTTTAATTGATTCTCCTGCCTCAGCCTCCCAAGTAGCTGGGATTACAGGTGCATCCCACCATGCCCGGCTAATTTTTGTATTTTTAGTAGAGATGTGATTTCACCAAACTGACCAGGCTGGTCTCGAACTCCTGAGCTCAAGTGATCCGCCCACCTTGACCTCCCAAAGTGCTGGAATTACAGGCATGAGCCACAGCACCTGGCCAGTCCTACTTATTTTTTAACCTTTCCACTTTACCACAAGCAATACCATGCCTCTTATTCCTCCCAACTTTAGTAAACTTTTGGCCGATAGTGATAGCAATTGATGAGTAATTCAAAGAATACTCTGATTTATATCTCTTTCCTCCTGTCTTATTTGAAAAGCATATTGTAGATAATATGGACTTCGTATTTTCCTTTACTATTGTTAACTTTAATGAAGTAAATTCTACCTCAAACAATGGTTTTCATGTTCGCCAACAAGTTTACTTGAGAAGGCCCTTACTATTGTCTATTTCTATTAATTACTTAGTCTTCTCAGGACAATTCTCTATCTTTCATAGTCAATTGTCTTTCCCTTCCCACACACCTCCTTACTTTTCTCTCACATTCCATTTATCATATTTAATGCTTCCAAACTCATCAGATATTCTTTGTTTTATGTTTTGAGAGAAAGTTTCACTGAGTTGCCCAGGCTAGAGTGCAGTGGCACGATCATAGCTCACTGAGCCTCAAACTCCAGGGCAAAAGGATCCTCCCACCTCAGCAACCCCTCACCCAGAGTAGTTGGGACTCCACCTGTGTGCCACCATGCACAGTTATTTATTTATTTTATTTATTTTTTTAGGAACAGCTTTTTGCCATGCCATGTTGCTCAGGCTGGTCTCAAACTCCTGGGCTCAAGTAGTCCTCCCACTTTGGCCTCCCAAAGTGCTGGGATTACAGGCATGAGCCACCATGCTTGGCCTCATCAGATATTCTTAAGGTAATGATCATGGTTCACTATACCCAGGAAATGGGACATTATAAACTTTCAAATCATATTCTAGAAATTAACCCATCTGTGTCACCTATCTAAATAATCCTTAGAAGTTCAAATCTTCCTAAATCTGTTAATCTTCTGCACATATCTACTTAATATTCTTTTTCTCCAGTATCGTTATTTATGATCAATATAAAACAAAACAATATGTTACTATAATGTTTATTTTATAATTTATGTTCATGTATTTGTTTCTAAAATTTTGATTCTAGTATGTAGTCATTCAACCTAT
This sequence comes from Homo sapiens, assembly GCF_000001405.40. Classification (NCBI taxonomy): domain Eukaryota; kingdom Metazoa; phylum Chordata; class Mammalia; order Primates; family Hominidae; genus Homo; species Homo sapiens. Next base: position 35,630,964 of record NC_000002.12, read on the forward strand.
TAGAAAGTAAGTATATGTATTATGTATGAGCCAGCTTGGGAGACTACACATATATATTTAATTGGTTTTTACAAGATATGAGCCAAGAAATACATCGATGACCTACAGATGAGTTGTATTTTTAAAATGTACTCGAACATTGCAGATTCCACATACAGTGAGCTGTCCTCTGTTACGATTTTGGATGTGAAGTAAAATGCATCATTCTGTTGTGTGAGTAACAGCCTCAGAGATGGTGAACTAGACCCAGGAAGGGAGAAAGCAAGTTAGAAGGTGGATCAAAGGTAGATCTGTGTTAGAAGTGTGGTGGCACTGAATTTAGCAATATTTAAGGAGATTATGGAAATTCGTGTGAATTACAGACAGGTGAGGAGGTCAATTTTTAAATGACACCATTCATAGCCAAAGTTCTGTGACAACATATTCAGAAATTGGAAGTAAATTCTAGTCTAGTAGATGAGTTTTGTCATGAGGGATTCAGATATGGTCAGAAGTAGATTAATTGTACAAACAGGGAAGCAGGAAGATTCAGGGAGTCAGGCAGGAACAGGTACTAGAAACCATGGTAAGGCCAAAATCTAAATAGATTTTTTGTTAGAAAAGAAATTGATATCCAAGTAAAAGCGATGCATGTAGGCTGTAATCTCTGGGTATGAGTACTCATTTCGTGCTTACCCTGTTCCTGCAGAAACAAATTATGTATTAACTCTCCCTCTCACTGGCCATTTCTTCTGTGAATAATTCCCTCTCTCCTATCCCCCCTCCATAACTGTGCATTCAATATATCTTGTATTCTAAGATGTTGCTTATCGTACATTAATTAACATGTGCTAATTTATCATTAATGATATATTTTTAAATTCTTTTATCCACAAGGTAGAAACTTGTAATCGATTTTCTATCAGTAATATTTCTCTTTCATTTAAACACTCCTGATTTCTGGGTATATATCCCTTTTAAGCTAATGAGAAGAGCTTTCAGCTAACTGACTTTTGCTGCAGTTGAAATTTTCAATCTCATCAAGTCTCAACAATCTCTCTTCCCTACACAATGCAAGAATTTCAGTCCCATCAACATTTGTAATTTATTTAAAGCGCGTTGCAAAAAGAGCATAGGCTATGGAGTTAAACCACTATTGTTCAAGTCTCCCCTCTCCTATTGAGTAGATGTATAACTTTAATTCAGCCACTTCACCTTTGTAAGAACTTTCAGCACTCTCGCCTGTAAAGCAGAAATAAAACTAATCACATTTTAGGAATTTTGTAAAGGTTACACAAAATAATATACATTAAAATCTTAGCATATAATTAAAACTGAAAAGATCTTAGAAACTTGTCCCTTTTACTTCATCTCTCTCAAGTTCAAAGTTCCACAGATCTCTAGGCAGGGTCAAAATGCCACCAGTCTCTTTGCTAAGGCATAGCACGAGTGACTTTTATTCCAGTTCCCAACCAGTTCCTCATCTCCATCTGAGAGCACCTCAGCCTGGACTTCATTGTCCATATCACTATCAGCATTTCGGTCAAAGCCATTCAGCAAGACTCTATGAAGTTCAAACTTTCCCACATCTTCTGACCTTCTTCTGAGGACTCCAAACTGTTCCAACCTCACCCTGTTACCCAGTTCCAGAGTCACTTCCACATTTTTGGGTATATTTTTATAGCAGGATCCCACTGTCTACGGTACCGATTTGTTGTATTAGTCCATTTTCTTTTTTCTTTTTCTTTTTTTTTTTTTTTTGAGACGGAGTCTCGCTGTGTCTCCCAGGTTGGAGTACAGTGGCGCGATCTCGGCTCACTGCAAGCTCCGCCTCCCAGGTTCATGCCATTCTCCTGCCTCAGCCCCTCCCAAGTAGCTGGGACTACAGGCGCCCGCCAACACGCCCGGCTAATTTTTTTGTATTTTTAGTAGAAACGGGGTTTCACCGTGTTAGCCAAGATGGTCTCGATCTCCTGACCTCGTGATCCACCCGTCTCGGCCTCCCAAAGTGCTAGGATTACAGGCGTGAGCCACCGCGCCCGGCCAGTCCATTTTCATACTGTTATAAAGAACTGCCTGAGACTGGGTAATTTATAAAGGAAAGAGGTTTAATTGACTCACAGTTCAGCATGTCTGGGGAGGCCTCAGGAAACTTACAAACATGGTGGAAGGCAAAGGGGAATTGTGATTTATATTGAAATACTGCATATAATATTACTGCTGTTTGATTTTATACATTCAAAAGTTAGACATAGCAAAAAAAGACCTTTATATTACATAATGCAAGATCATTCAACAATGATCTCCAAAGAAACTTCTAAATTAAAAATTCATAGAGGACACAGCTGTAAAGTGTTATGAATCAGATTAAGCAAATATATAAATAAAAGAATTATATTCATCTCCACAAAAGCCATATTTTGAAAACATATAATAGCTCATCTAAAATGTACTACACATTTTCTAACATAATATATTTAAATATCAGTGTTTATTAAGCAATATTCGATGTTACCTCGGTGAAATAATGAAATATTGAATTTATTACATCATAAAAGATAACAGAGAGGCTTAATACAAAAATAACTAACTAAATGATAATGACAATTTATTATGTAACATTATAATTTGCATTCCATGATAATCAGCAGCATATTTTGAAAATATATTGAAAGAATATTAGTGTCGGCCGGGCGTGGTGGCTCACGCCTGTAATCCTAGCACTTTGGGAGGCTGAGGCGGGTGGATCATGAGGTCAGGAGATGGAGACCATCCTGGCCAACATGGTGTAACCCCATCTCTACTAAAAATACAAAAATTAGCTGGGTGTGGTGGTGCATGCCTGTAATTCCAGCTACTTGGGAGGCAGAGGAAGGAGAATCCCTTGAACCAGGGAGTTGGAGGTTGCAGTGAGCCGAGATCGTGCCACAGCACTCTAGCCTGGTGACACAGCGAGACTCCATCTCAAAAAAAAAAAAAAAAGAATATTAGTGTCTCTGTGGAAAGGCAATAGTCATAAGAAGCCACCACTAACTTCATATTTCTAAGTAACACTCACAGACGGATGCTGAAAGGCATACAGAAGAGTTAACTTTAAACTTGATGTTTTCTTGTTGTTCTTCTGCATGAGTGACCCTATCGTAAGAGGAACAAACTATTAAGCTTGAACATTTGTGAACATAGGTAAGGACTGACAAGAAAGAAAACAACAAAGTTATGTTGACAAGCATCGGACTATGGAGTCTTTTATAGGGCTTTGCAGTACATAATATGCAATTTCTATGATTGACTATGATGAAAACTGCTTTCAAGCAGGCTAGTCAACCATACCTGGGATCAGTTTCTGGGAGAAAAACAGAAGTTAAAATGTACCTAGTTGCTCTGCTCTTCCATACAGATGCCTAGGTCTCCATAACTGTCCCTGGAAATTCTCAGAGCAACTAAAATGTGACACAAAATTAAATGTCTCAAATAAGTTATTCTCAAACTTTAGTATGCTTAACAAAATTACCTTGACTACCCCAATATCAGGGCCCCAACAACAGGAATTCTGATTCAATCCAATAAGTCAGTGTAGAAATCTGCATTTACAAGCATACGGCGTCAATTAGATAGGGGATCAAGAAGGCTTCTAAGTACATAATATTTAATTTTATTAGATCTCTAAATCTTCTGACACTCGTTGCTTTCAGCAATATTAAGATGTTGAGGATGACCTTATACTTAAGTTCCATACTACTTGAGCATTTAGTTCTACCAAGTGGAAAGGATGATGTGAGCTTTATTCTGCCTCTGTTCTTATCAACAGAGAGTCCAAATGCAAGGGTCAAGGAGTATCAGGAGGAACAACAGCTTCCTCTGATTTATCTTGATACATGCAGGCAATGGTCTTTCACTAGTAAGTATTGGCAAATAGACCATAAACATTGGTTTAGAATTCTACAGTGGTGAAAGAAAAAGCCCATGAACAAGACATTATCGTGATCCAGATGCCAGGATGCAAAGAACGAACTTAATTTATGCAAAACGTGTTTCAATAGTATGTGTTAGTACATAGGGAATCTATGGGGTGGTGTAAAGAGTTGATTTAACAAATCTCTGTGGAATTTCCTGATACCACTCAGGACAAATACTCCATAGTGAACAAGACTTCTACAGCCTTTCTACAGGACAGAAAGCTTTCTACCACTTTCTTAAGACTGCAACTGGTGATAAGGGATCTTGTTAGGAATAAAGAAGAAAAGAAATACATACTGATCTCTCTGGATGAATAAAGCTCTAGTATTTATGAATCATTAAGTCTTCATCATAACCCTGCCTGAAGGGGATAATAGAGTCGTTTTCCAGGCAACAACACTTTTATAGCATCACTTCAATTTTGAAATCATGAGTAGTTCAAGTTATTTTTTCTTAATATCTCTTTGTATGCTATTATGGTGTTACCATGCAAATTGGGAATTAGGTGACAGGGTATGAAAATGTTGTATGTGTGCACATTAAAATGTTGCCATATAGCAGAAAGCAAAAACATTTTCCATAAGTGTGCTGACAGATGAAAATTTTATAGCAGACATCTCTCAGAAGTCATCTGCATTCAAGTTGAATATATGAAGAAATTATATTGTGTCCTCCCTAAGAAAATAATTGCAATTATGAAAACTAAAAACCAAAAACCTAGTCCCTCTACTTGGCCCAATTGACAGGCCACTGCATATTACTTAGTATTTTTTGTATCCTCTTTCCACTTGCAAAGGAAAACAACCTAAAATGCTTTGGCCTGCAGTATTTTAATATGATTTTCCCTTAAAACTCTCCTTTTAAGCTAAAGACAATAGAAAGTAATTTGGTAACACAATATCTTAAAAGTACTAAAGACATTGTAGAATATGAATGCATGAAATGCTCACACTGAGTTTGCAGAAGTGTGCTAATGAGCCACACTTCCATTCTGAAATGTTTCTGCAATTCTTCTATTTGATCCCAAACAGCTTCTCATTTTTAAAACTAATATTTAATAACTTTTGTCTAGATATAAGCATTATTAATTCTAGCAAATGCTCTGTAAAATTTCTACAACTAAAACCAGACTTAGCTTCTTTTATATGTATTTAATATTTAGAGAAAATGAAATTACTTCAATGTAATTCAAATCTCTATCATTATTGCAAGGGAAACCCACTAGTAGGACTTCATATCACAGTCTGCATGATTGTTCACTCTCCATATTTACATTGTTACACCTACACTCATCTTTTCTGATGTAACATATTCAATGAAAACTTCATTCACTCAGCCATTACTGAGATCCCACTCTCTTCTGAGTATTACATTAAGAAATAGAAATAGAAAGTGTTGTCTCAAGGTTCTATCTCCTTTCTGGTCTGTCCCACCACTCTAAGGAACTGCACAGGACCCTGAGCAACAGTCAGTCTCAGCTACCACAGACCACACTTTCTTTCATGCAGTGAATTCTACAGCTGGGTAGAATCAGTGAAGAAATGTAGAAAAATCACTAGACAATTTATTAATTTATCTGACTTTATTAGAGTAAGCATGAGCAGCAATGGGCTTATAGAACTTCAAAAATTTTCAAATAAGTGTATTTATACTAACAAATCCATTTTCCAGTCAACTATCTACCCACAAACAATCACTTCTTTTTCTTCTATACTTCACACAGTTTTCCACTTGGTGTCAAGAGGAGATTGACCAACTGTCTGGGCAAGCCCTTGTGTACCCAATTTAACCTTGGAATGTCCCTCCTTATATTACCATGACTTACTATGCAGAAGACATGGTATTCTCTGTACCTGTTGGATCCAAGATAGTGCTTTCTTGGCATCTTTCCCATATTCCATCATATTATAACTTAAGGTCAAAGCTATCCACATGACAAGATACTTTTTTACCGATCCTAGATTGTGTTAAAATGATAACGTTTTTAACAATCCTTGCACTTTCCAAATCACTTTTTGGTACAGGCATTATCAAAATTTATTTAGGAACTATAATCCAGACTTTAACCTAAAAATATATGTTATGAATTTTACTTTATCAGTTTTTTTCTCCCCACAATAAAGTTAAATAAAATAGACTCCAGGTATCCCAATTAATTTTGCTCATGACTGTGAGCAATCATGATCAATCAACATTACAATCCTTCTTCATTTAAGTTGTAATATTGCCATTTATATTTCAATACAAAAATATATATGTGAAAATGATGCGTTTGTTCATAAGCTAGATGATATATATGTACTAAAATAAGCCTGCTGCTCTACCCAGTTCTTGAGGTCTTCTGATATATACTAGGGTGGTTTGAATTGACGACATTATTTTTGATTCAGTTACTTAACTGAAGGCATTTAAGAGACTACTGTCTCACTGAGAGGAATTTCCACTTTTGGTGGTCACCAAAGGAAGAGCAACCTAATATAGCTAGTTCCAGCTTCATGCAGAAAATCTCACGTTCTCATCTTTATTTTAATACACTTATGAGACAGCAGAGCCCAGAGATAATTAAGATTGTGTTGGATTTGTTTTGCAGGTGTGTGTGTGTGTGTATATATGATATGCTTTACTTTATGTTTCTTTTTTTTGGGTTGGGGGGAGATGGAGCCTTGTTCTGTCGCCCAGGCTGGAGTGCAGTGGTGAGATCTCTGCTCTCTGACTGTAATCACTGCCTCTTGGGTTCAAGCAAACCTCCCACCTCAGCCTCCTGAGTAGCTGGGATTACAGGCCTGCCCCACAATGCCTAGCTAATATTTTTTTTTTTTTTTGAGACAGAGGAGTCTCACTTTGTTGCCCAGGCTGGAGTGCAGTGGTGTGATCTTGGCTCACTGAAACCGCTGCCTCCTAGGTTCAAGTGACTCTCCTACCTCAACCTCCCCAGTAGCTGGGATTACAGGTGTGTGCCACCAGGGCTGGCTAATTTTTGTATTTTTAGTAGAGATGGGGTTTCACCATGTTGGCAAGGCTGGTCTCGAACTCCTGACCTCAAGTGATCCACCTGCCTCAGCCTCCCAAAGTGCTAAGATTACAGGTGTGAGCCACTGCGCCTGGCCCCCTGGCTAATTTTTGTATTTTTAGTAGAAATGGGCTTTCACCATGTGGGCCAGGCTGGTCTGCAACTCCTGGCCTCAAGTGATCCACCCACCTTGGCCTCCCAAAGTGCTAGGATTACAGGCGTGAGCCACCACATGCAGCCTACTTTATAGTTCTTTGCTTTGCTTTGACCTCAATAAAGTTAGATAAGAAATACATGCTATTCTCCATATATTTATTTTAAGTAGATGCTTCTGACTTTAAAAGTAGTATGCAAGTGGAATACTGCTATTGCCACCCATGGTTTTCCAAACCCTTTCCTTTTTCTTTATCAGTAACTATCATGTTGGTAACCTAATTTCCTCTATACCAGAGGTGTTTGGTGTTATTTTTTCTTTTTTTCTTTTTTTCTTTTTTTTTTTTTTTTTGACAGAGTCTTGCTCTGTCGCCCAGGTTGGAGTGCAGTGGTGCGATCTCGGCTCACTGCAAGCTCTGCCTCCGGGGTTCATGCCATTCTCCTGCCTCAGCCTCCCGAGTAGCTGGGACTACAGGCGCCTGCCACCACGCCTGGCTAATTTTGTGTGTGTGTGTGTGTTTTCAGTAGAGACGGGGTTTAACCGTTTTAGCCAGGATGGTCTCAATCTCCTGACCTCGTGATCCACCCGCCTCAGCCTCCCAAAGTGCTGTGATTACAAGCGTGAGCCACCGTGCCCAGTCAGTGTTGTTGTTGTTTGTTTGTTTTTTTAACTGCAATGCACATTTTAATATTTCCTGCTTCTGAATTCATTGATGTGATAGTTCTAATAAATCAAATCTTTCTGAGTAAGAGAGATGTTACTAACAGACAGGTCACAAAACCTTATGTGCCTTCAAATGAATTCAATATTTCTAATTCCTTTTTCCCTCAAGAATGCATTTGCTTTCTACATTGCTTCAGAGTTGAACCCTCAATCATCTGTCAGCATGTGTTCTTAGGGCAACATTTCTGAGATGATAAAAGAATTTTAAACAGGAAAAAGAATCTTAACTATATTTAGTCTAAAAATCTGTCAAGTAGATCGTGAATGGCTACATGGATGTAACCTGATTAGCTCCAGACAAGTGTGAGAAACATAAAAATATAATTCAGCTTGGCTGTGTATCATATCCATTTACAATGGATCATATGTATCATAACGTATTTAGTTTAATTGAGTTAATAAGGAGGGTGCATGTATTCAATTCCATCACATATTGTATTCTACACTTGAAAAAGTACTTCAATGTATATTATCAGATTTAATTCTCACAGCATCCCTGAGACAGATGGTATGATGCCCACTTTACAGATGATGAAATTGAAATTCAAAGAAGTGTTTTAAAGGAAACACTTTATATATTACATTATATATATATAATAAGCAGAAGATGAAAAAGGGGGAAACAGAAAAGATAAGTAGATAATTCTGTCAGCAGCCACAGACATCACAAGAACTCAAAGAGCACAGCACTGGCAGGGTGTGGGAGGCATTTTGCAAACAAGCTTGCCATGCTGCAAAAATTATTCTCCATAAGGGGTTTAGTTGTGAGCTGTTATATATTTTATATATATAACATCCATATATATATGTTTTATATATATAAATAAATTTACTCTTGCCATTGTTTGGGTACTCTAGGAAGCATGCTGGAGGAGGAGCTTAGTTTGCAGGATGTCTGTTAGAGAAAACCCTTGGGATCAACACATGTTGAATAGAGGGGAAGGAAACATAATTGGTCAGATGAAGTCAACCCGTGATAGAGGCTCAGCGACAACCTCAGAGATTTACCCAGGTTTACACAATACCAGGAGAGCAAGAAGTCAACCTAAATTTGCTTTGGCTCAGAACTCAGCTGCCAATTACATTAGTCTAATGCTGAGGAGCTCTGGGTCTGAGAAGCTCTGGGTCCGAAGGGAAGTTAAGTTAATCAGTCACTTCAGAGATTTGTGTCTCTCTCAAATGTTCATTTAGAGTCTCTCTTGTACAACAACATTAATTGATTAATATTTGCAAAGAGCAGTATTACAATTTTAGAAGCACTCTACCCATAAAACTCTCATAGGTCATAGAAAAACAAAATAATTGTCAACTTGACTATGAGATGTTGAAATAGCATGAGAAATCCCAAAGAACCATATGTCTACTTTTGTGAAATGTAATTTGGTCCCAGCAGGAATTAGTCAAAAGAATCAATAAATGGGTCTGTGATTTTTATTCAGTTTCTGAAATACGCAGATTTTGCAATATCACTCAATATCAATCTCTGATTGCTCCTAATAGCCAGTAAAAGTTCAAATGTTCAATAAAGCAAAACACAAACACATTTCAGAAATTCATAGCATTTTCATTTGCATATCATTAATAATGGCTTCAATTAAAGTATAATTTCTTGCTTAGAATGACTCTGAAAACAGATGTCATCACCAGTAATAGTAAACATTTTCTTCCTTTAGGGAAAGGAGTATTTTTAGTTTCCTGGATTCATTAATGAGATATTAAAATTTGGAAACAATGTATATACCTTCTGTATAAACAATATTTTTACTGGTTATAAATGGTAATTCATAAATGTAAACAATTTGATGAAATTCATTAGGAGCATAGCAATATGAGAAAATTTAATGTAATATAGAGAAAAGAATATCAGTATAAAATATGGTTACAGTACTTTGAAAGTTAAAAATAAAAGTTAAAACTAAATTTAAAAATTAATAAGGTAAAAACAAAAGAAACTCCAGTTCATATTGAGAAAGGAATATCATATTTAATTTTCATAACTTTATTTTACTTTCAAAGTCATGTTAGTCTAGACATTAGATAGAGAAGAAAAGGAACTTAAAATAGGAACTTTGATATATAAAACAGTAATTGCAATGCAATGTAGTAAGTTGTATAAAAAAGCTAAGTACAATGATCTTTACTCATGCAGAGGATTATGTAACCTGTACTGGATTTAAAGGAATAGAATATTTACTATCTGGAGAACAGACCATTTCAGGCAAAGAAATCACAGGTGTAATTGTATCAATATATGAAAACACACTGATATCACGAAATTTTTCAAATACTTTTCAGTCGGTCTCCACACGCAAGCTAATTACAGTGCTGCTCATAGTGTGATTCCATAAACTCAGTAAACATTTCCTAACAAAATCATGGCTTCCCTATATGTCTGAAGAACTGTGTCCGTTTGTCAACTCAGACTGTCAACTCTGATGGCGACTGTAAAAATTAAAAGTCTATCTTGTTGTCTGATTAAATTAAGCCATTTCCCATTTTAACATTGTAAATTGAGTAATTTTGTATTTTTGTAAAATAGCATAGAAGGAAGCAGAAGATGAAAAAGGGGGAAACAGAAAAGATAAGTAGATAATTCTATCAGCAGCCACAGACATCACAAGAACTCAAAGAGCACAGCACTGGCAGGGTGTGGGAGGCATTTTGCAAACAAGCTTGCCATGCTACAAAAATTATTCTCCATAATGGGTTTAGTTGTGAGCTGTCGTCTTTTCTTATTTTGCTTTTGTACTTAGCCAAGGGAAATCCTTTACCTTCATGCTTTCTCATTGGCAGAGAGCACAGGGGACAAGTCCGTTGGATTGAAAGTTTAAAGAGGACTATAGAAGCACAAAGAAATAAGGGAGACACGAGGTGAGAAACAGGATGAGCATGGTATTGGAAAGGTCACCAGTTCTGGAATTAGGCAGTCAGTGAAACCAGTACTCATTATTTACAAGCTCTGACTAACATTGGACAAGGTACTTAACTTCTTGATATCTCAACTATAAAAAAAAGGGTATTTTTTTTGCTTTGTTTGGCAGTTTTGAGGACTCCGTAATCCTTTGCTTTATTTTTCTTTGTAACACTTATCATCACTTGTCATAGTACATATTTACTTGATTAGCAGTTGCATATCTCTTCGAACTAATATAACTTCCTGGGATCAGGGACATTTTCTTTGTTCACTGCTAAATTTCCAGGATCTAAAAGAGTCCCTGGTCATAGTGGGAGCTTGGTAAAGAGTTGTCGCTTAAGTTAGTTAGCTTAGTGAATAAATGAAAGAATACGAACCAGAGAGCAGAATGCCGGACACTGCTTAAGCATTTACTAAATGTTAGATAATTGAGGCAAACTTAGATTCAAATGTTGGCGGTTTCATTTACTAATTGTGTGGCCTGTGGCTTCTTAACTGGAAAACAGGAGTGGGGAAGAATTAAAATACCTACCTTTAATGGTTATTGTCAAAGTGAGACAAGTAACTGGGGTAAACAATGCCTGGTAAAATGCTAACTACATGGTAGCAATTATAATAATTCAAAGTAAGAGATTTGTCCAAAAAGATTAGTGCTAAATTTCTGGAGAGTCCATTTTCTCCATAGAGAAAATAGTTCACTTGAAAATGCCCAGAGAAGGAGACAAGAGACCATTATGAGTACATCGTGTTCTTCTGAAGCTAGGCTCGCTATAGCACAATTAGAAACAAACTGAATTTATAAGTAGAATGTAGCCACGGAAATCTAAGCTTTGGGATTCAGAGGCTTATGCATTCATTTTTATTCATAATTACATATGAAAGCTCTTGTTTTTCTAAAGTATGCCTTCCTGAGGGGACTTACATATAACAAAATGATTGTGTATAAAACAAGGCAATACAGAGTTAGATTACTCTTCATTTCTTATTGATAAGAAGGCAGTCTCACAGCATGCTGGATTTAAGTAAACATCTTAAGAAGTAAACACCTTAAAGTGAAAATTGAGCTATCCTCTCTTTGGTCCTAGAGAATGAAGGGAAGGACTCAGTCACATGCCCAATTTGGATCTAAGAATCATCTCCAAAACATCTGTTTTTTCCTAATTGTCCATACTCAGCTAGTTGTTCAAAGCAATGTTTAAAGAGAGAAGAAAAACATGAATTTATTTAACCACGATTACACAAGCAGTGTATGCAAAACAACCACAAAACAATTCACATGTAAATAAGCATGTTAAATTTTAGTAAAATGCTCATATTTTTAAATTGGATGATGAAAAATTCAATATTATTTATTAATGTAAAATTGAATTACACAATTTATTTTATTTTGTTTTGCTATTTTTTATATTCTCCCAGTGTACACAAGAATGATAGTGAGAAAAAAATAGAGTAACCACTTCTGTTGACAAATGTATAAATAAACCCATTTTTATATGTATAAATATCCTGTAAATATCTGAACTATTAGAGTAAAAGTCCAAAATTACAATTCTACTCAGATACAAGAGAAATGTAAGCAGTCATGTCGATGTTTTAAATATATAAATAAATTTACTCTTGCCATTGTTTGGGTACTCTAGGAAGCATGCTGGAGGATGAGCTTAGTTTGCAGGATGTCTGCTAGAGAAAACCCTTGGGATCAACACATGTTGAATAGAGGGGAAGGAAACATAATTGGTCAGATGAAGTCAACCTGTGATAGAGGCTCAGCAACAACCTCAGATGATTGCACAGAAAATTCTGTAGCTAAATTGAACATTATAGTTGCCCAGGGAAGGCCAAAATAGCTGGGCCTTTGGATATGACCTGTTCAGACCTCGGAAAAGCATGACTTTGGAAAAGGTAGCTCTCTGTAGCAAAGACAGTCCTGGAAAGATTGAGAGTTGAAGGCTGTCTGTCAACAGCCCTCATGACAATTAGAGCAATGAGGTCTTCCTTCTTTGAAAGGGTATCTGGGTGATGCTTACCACCTCTAATATTTTTCTCATTCTTAAAGGACATCTAATTGCAACTATACAGTTTGCTGTATATTATGAAGATTATCGTGCAGAAAAAAAAGAAAAACAGATCCAGACTAAATCATAACTTTCTCTTCTGGGTTGAGAAGAAGTAAGAGAAATATTTAAGAACACTTCTCCCATTTATAAAATAAAAAGATAACACAAATTTGAGTTCAGAACTAGATGCTTGAGAGCACTGCATAGCAAGTAAGTTTTTTTAAAAGTAGAAATACACTTAAGGAAAATGCTAATATCAGCACTATGCACAATCTGCACAGCAAGCCTTGGACAGAAGCAATGTGGAAGGGCTAAAACTGATACTTCTTTGTTAAATACAGATTCTAGAGGTGACTGTAGTGGATAGTGCCATGTGCAAACTTGATTCCTTCTTCAAGACTGAGACGTTCATTCCCCCACCTGCCAGAGTGCAGAGCACTGCTATCATTGGAAGGAAGCTAATTCATGCAAAGTGATGCACCATTGTGGAAGGAGTAGACCTTAGGACTAGTTGATGGGAGTAGGGGTGCTAAGATAAAAGTCCAGCTTTCTTCCCTCAATTTGGGGAACCACACTGAAGGGGCATTTCAGGTCCAGAACTTCACACGTGATCAGCTGAGGCCTGTGCTATAACTGTATCGCAGCTCAACTTCTCCATCTGCCCAATCCTACCTCTGTCATTCCTTTACTGTTATTATTCCTTAGGGCACTTTATAATAAACCTTCTCAATGGAAATCTCCATCTCAGAATCTATTTCTTGAAGACCCCGCAGCAGACAGTTTGGTACTAGAAATGGTCCCAGGAAGGAAATTCTAAAATGGGATTTTCAAAGTTGGAATGTCAGCTGACTGACTGGCATGGGGATCTCAGCCTTAGTAATAGCTGGAATACTGATAAGTCTAGCATGCCGTAGTGATGGTATGATTAAAACCTCCTCCATCGTATACCAGGATGGGAAATCACCCAGTGGAAAGCAACACACTGGCTAATTATCTCAAGAGTTTGAGAGATATGGAGGAATATTAATTATACTAAACAATTATGGAATTGATGTTGGTAACTAAGAGCTCCTGATAAACTGAAAATAGTGTAAAGTTCAAAGTAGCTAATCAACAATGTAAGGCAAAGTGTAATAGTCAGAGAGGGTCATCTTTACAGTGTATAAAGAGACTCATATTCAGCAGCAACAGAGAAAATCCATCTTAACCATCTAGGCCTACAGAAATGACCCATTCTACCCTGTTAAAGGCAAGTTCTTGCCTCATTGTTAATCCAGGGAACTTTACCTTATAAACCAACCTGCTCACCCCCATCAGAATCTATCCTTTCCCCCTCTTCTGGCACCAGACCCATACAAATAAAATCTTAGCATTACCTACGTAGGGAAGTGCTGGACTGGCTAAGAGAAGAAAAGGACTATGTTCCAAAAGAGCTGTAGGACCTAGTTACTATGCATCAACAAGATCTGTGGGATTATATGTGTGCTGAATCCTTATGGTGATGGAGCAAAGAGGGTGTAAAATCAGTTGGATAAGGGAGAGTTTGCCAGTTGAACAAAAATGTTTATATCATGGCGAGAATTCCAAGAAACAGTATACTACTAGGATGGAAAGACTGAAAGATTGGATAGAAGTGATGAGCCACAATAAATTGAATAGAAATGCTAAATAGAACTCCAGTGGCAGGTAGTGGAGAAAAAAAATCAAATAGCTAAGAGAAGTCATCATGCTAGTGGTCATGAATATACTGTGTAAGGCAGAAAACCCAAAAGCTGACTATATCTCACAGTATTACCAGGAGCATAACCTGTTTATCAAAGTGATAAGAATTTGGCCAGTGAGAGGGCCACCAGCATTGTTGAGAATCTGTCTGCGTTCTATAGGCTATGTCTAACTATAGGAGGTACTTGTGTTGTATTGGGCTCATTAATAGAAATGGTGATGATAGGTAGTATCTGAAATGTAATAGAGGGCAGATGATGGTACTTAATCATTAAGAGCAAAGGAGGCACAGTTATTTTAATGAGTAGATGAAGAAAAAGTGGCAGCCAGGTTATCTAACTTGAAAGCATTTATGGTGATAGTTAATAGAAGTTGAACTTCCCAGAAGCCAAATAGATACACAGTCAACCACAGTATTATTGATAATCTATACCAGTATTTCTCAATAAGGAGCAATTATGACACCCTCACCTCCACCCAAGAGACATTTGGCAATGTCTAAAGACATTTTTGGCTGTCACAACCTAGAGGGTGCTGTCATAGCTAGCAGATAGAGGGCAGGGATGTTGCTAAAAATTATATGATGCACAAGACAACTCCCCACAACAAAGACTTTTCTGGGCCAGAATGGCAATAGTGCTGATGTTGGGGGGTAAAAAAGAAAACACGATCTATACAAACAGAAGAAATCAAGGATTGTACATTTGGAGGCTGAGGGAAGATGCTTTAAAAAAAAGAAAGAAAAAGTTTAGTCTAGATCTGAGTCAGTTTTCAGATTTGGAGCATATTGACTAATAAAAGGATCCTACAACTCCACAGCTTGGACAAGCACCCAGTCCTTCTCTAGTAAGACTCATGGCCATTTACTTATGTTACAACACACTAGGCAAAGATGAATATATACTCAGTTATTTCAAGGACTGTGAGACATAGGTCTGAGTTGACATTAATCTTTCAGGACGAGAAGTTTATATTTTTGTTGTTGTTTCTTTTTGTTTTTTCATGTTCCTTCCTTTATAGTGAGTCATATAGATTTAAGGTTATAAATGGAGTTTGGGTTCAAGTTTTGCTTACAGTGCATCCACTGGGTCCATAAGTCAATCTGGTGCTTTTTTTCCTTTTCCAAAATATATAATTTGTTGGACATACTTGAGAGTTGTCAGAATTCATATTGTTCCTTGGCTATGGGATAAAAGCTACCGTGCTGGTAAAAGCCTATGCTACAGCAAATAAAATAGATTAACACTCTGGGGGATAATGAATACGTTAGTAAACCCAAAGAGATTAATCCATTTAGAAAACAACTAAAAACCTGGACATAAGGCAATACAAGACATGAGTTGTGCATGTTTACTTGAAGAACAAGGGAATAGGAGCCTCTACAAGTAAATTCCTTACTACCTGATTTTAGCCTCAGGAGAAAGGTCATCCTGACTGTGCACACAACAGCAATAGAGTCCAAATGGAAAATGCCAATTTTTCTATCCCAGAGAACCAGAAAACAGAAACTAGGAAACCAGAAATGCTGGAGTAGATAAATTCTGTGAAGGAAAATTCCAAAGAGGAAATTCCTAAACTCTGTCATTTTACATCTCTGGTTGATCCTTAAACCACTCATGTTGAACGGACTGAAAGCAACCAAGTTAAAATAAAATTAAAAAGTCAGAACCAAGACTGGATCACTTGACCAAAGGAAGGGCTTACAGTTCAAGCCCAGACAACAAAATTACTTGTTAAAGCAAAGGGACAAACACTTATTAGACAAAACTAACAGAATTCATATTCTACATAGCCTAATATCCAGAGTGTTCACAATATATTCTAAAATTACCTGATATACAAGAAAATATAAAATATAAAAGATAAAAGCAATCAAGTCTGGCCCCAAAATGACTAAGAGAAAATGATTTTAAAGTAGCTATTATAACTATCCTCAATAAATAAGAAAAATATGTTTTAAAGAGATAAAAATCTCAACAAAGAAAATAAAGTTTAATCAGAAAGAAGTGGAAAACAAATAGAAATTCTAAAACTAAAAATATAATTTCTGAAATAAAATTCACCAATGAACTTATCAATAGCTAATGAATACAGAAAAGAGTAAGTGAATTTGAAGATAGAACAACAGAAATTACCTAAGATGAAGAAGAAAACATAATTAAAAA
The DNA here is from genome assembly GCF_000001405.40 of Homo sapiens. Taxonomy (NCBI): domain Eukaryota; kingdom Metazoa; phylum Chordata; class Mammalia; order Primates; family Hominidae; genus Homo; species Homo sapiens. The sequence continues at coordinate 35,647,645 of NC_000002.12, forward strand.
AAACAGAGCTTCAGACACTTGCTCGATATTATCAAACTATAAAACATATATGTAATTGAAATACTAGGAGAGAAGAATCAAGCAGAAAAATAAATATTAAAAAATTGAAATTTATTGCCCAAATTTGACTAAAGACAGAGATTTGCAGATCCAATAGGCTAAATGAACACCAAACAGAAAACACACACGCGCGCATGCACGCATACACATGGTGCTAAGGCATATTGTAATCAAACTGTTGAAAGTCAATGATAAAGAGCAAATCCTGAAAGCAGCAAGGAAAAAATGTATTACCTACAGAAAACAACAAATTGATTAATGGCTGGCTTCTCATCAGAAATATGGAGAACACGTAAGAGTAGAACATCTTTCTTGAAGTGCTGAGAAAAAAAAATGCACCCAGTGAAAATATCATTTTGAAATGAAGGCACATTTTGAAATGAAGGCACATGAAAGACATACCCAGAAAAAGGAAAGAAAACCCATCACCAACTGTCCTGCTATACAAAAAAGTACAAAAGAAAGCTCTTTAAGCTAAAGAGAAATAATGCCAGATGAAATTATGGATCCTCAGAAAAGAATGAGAAACCTCAGAAATAATAAGTAACTGTCTTAGTGCAAAATACTATGTGTTTGTCTATTTGCCTTTTCTCATTAATATATTTATAAATTATATGACTTTTCAAAACAAAAAATCATAAGTTTGTTAGGTTGATAATTAATATAGCATTATTACATGTAACAATTATAAAGACAAGTATATGTGAACATATAGGTTTGTAATAGTTCTATAAATTACATAAAGCAGTACTTTATTAAATCTAGGTGGGCTGTAAATAGATCCATATGAATATGAAATCTTTAAGACAGCCATTTAAAAAGGCAAAGTAGTTTACTGTCTTAGTTAATTTGTGCCGCTATGCAAAATATCAGCGACTGAGTAAATTATAACTAATAGAAATTTATTTCTCACATTTCAGGAACTAGGAAGTTCAATATAAAGTTGCCAGCATCCAGGGTTGAACGAGGGCCTTTTTGATGGTCCTCACTTGGCAGAACAGGTGAATTCTGTATTCTCACAGGGAGGAAGGCAGAAGGTCAGTGGGACCTAGCTAGTTTCTTTGAACCTCTTCATAAAAGCATTCATCCATTAATGAGGGCAGAAGCCTCATGGCCTAATCGCCTCTTCAAGGTCCCACCTCTTAATAGTGTTAAATTGGGAATAAAGTTTCAACATAAATTTTGGAGGGCACAGAAATATTTGAACCATAGTATATAACAAAAAAAATTAAAATGGAATTCTAAAAAAATTTTAATAATCCCAGAAAAAGGAGGAAGAAAGGAACAACAAAAACAAAGATAAGCAGAGAAGGAGAAACAACATGGTAGACTCAAACAAAACCATATCCATAGTTTTGTTAAAAGTTATAGACCAAATCATTTTATTTAAAGGCACAGATTAACAAAATATTAAAAACAAGGCAAAACAAAAAAGGTTGAATATTATGCTAACAACAAAAGACAGATTAAAATCATAAAGATAATAGTAGCTAAAATTAAGTGTATATAAAATCAAATACACAAACAGTAAGTATAAGAAAGCAGAATATTAGATAAAATAGGTTTTAAAATGAATATATAACCAGAGATATAGAGACACTTGGTAATAATAAAGGTGTCAATTCATGAGGTAGACATAAAAAATGTTGCTCGAGCATGCTCGAGTAACGGAGTTTCAATATACATAAATTTTAAAAAAAGACAGAATTAAAGAGATAAAAAGACAATTTCACAACCATAACCACATTGAATTAATGGATATTTACAGAACCCTAAACCCAACAAAGGCAACATAAATATTCTTTTTATTTGGCCACAATGTATTCAGCAGAATAGACAATTCTGGGTAACAAAACAAGCCACAATATCTCCTAACATATTGAATGCAAACAGATTATGATCTCAGACCAAAATGAAACTTAAATTAAGAATCAATAACAGTAAAATAACCAGAAAAACTCTACATATTTTTAAATGGAAGAATATATTTTAAAATAAAGATTGGGTCAAAGAAGAAATTACAAAAAAAGAAAATATTTTAACCTAATGGTTAAAAAAAATAAAACTTTTGGGATTTGCCACATAGAGGAAAATGTATAGCTCAAAATGTATGTGTTAGAAAATAAGAAAAATCTTAAGTCAAGTATCCAAATTTCTATGATAAGAAACATAGAAGAGAAAATTAAACCTAAATCAAGCAGGGGCAAAATATTATTAAAGGTACAGCAGAAATCAATGAAGTGAAAAGTATAAACACTGTGGAGAAAATCGATGGAACCAAAACTTAATCATTCAGAAAACACTTAATAATGATTATAAATCTAGCCAAAATGATCAAAAAAAGAAGGAAAGAGATAAATTACTAATATTATGAATTGAAAGAAGGGACATCATTACAGATCCTTCCAGCATTAAAAGGATAATAAAAGAATATTGTGAACAACTTAATATGAATAAATTTAATAACCTAAATGAAATGGACAAATTCTTTGAAAGACAAAATTACTAAATCTAACCCAACAAGAATTAGAAAGTGTAAATAGTCCTGTACCAGTTAAATATATTAAGTTTTTCATTGAAATTATTTTCACAATCAAATTCCAGGCTAGATGGCATCACTGGTAAGCTCAATTCAACATTTGGGACACAAATAACACCAATCCTATGCAAAAATCTTTTAGAAAAAGGAGGAGGAAGTAACACTTTCCAATTTAATCTATAAGGCCAGTTTGCTTAATTCCAAAACCAAATAAAATTAAAGTATTTTTTTTTTTTGAGATGGAGTCTTGCTCTGTTGCCCAGGCTGGAGTGCAGTGGCATGATCTCAGCTCACTGCAACCTCTGCCTCCTGGGTTCAAGCAATTCTTTGCCTCAGCCTCCCGAGTATCTGGGATTACAGTCACTCACCACCACACCCGGCTAATTTTTTGTATTTTTAGTAGAGACAGGGTTTTACCATTTTGGCCATGCTGGCCTTGAACTCCTGACCTCGTGATCCACCTGGCTCGGCCTCCCAAAGTGCTGGGATTACAGGCGTGAGCCACCACGTCCAGCCAAAATTTAAAGTTTTGAAAGCAAAATAACTACAAACCAATACTCCTTATAAACAACTTGCAAAAATCTTTAACCAAATTTAATCAAATGAAACCACATACACATACCAGGACCAAATGGTCTTTATCCCAGAAATGCAAGGCTTGTTAAACATTTGAAAATGAATCAATGTAATTTACCATATTTATAAAATAAAGGAAAAGAACTTTATAGATTTTTCAAGACATGCAAAGGAAAGCATTTAACTAAGCCCCATGCCATCTGTAATTTTAAAATCTTTCAAAAAGCTAAAAATAAATAAGAACTTCCTTAACTTGACTGAGGGCATCTAAAAACAAAAACAAAAACAAAAAAACTATGGCTCTATGGCTGATAGCATACTCAAGGCAAGGCTGTCTACTCTAACCACTTCTAGTTGATATTGTACAATAAAGCAAGAATAATAAATAAATGAAACTCAGATTATCTCATTTATAGACAGCATGATTGTTTATTTAGAAAACCATAAGGACTGTATAAAAACTACTAAAGTCAACAAGCATGTTTAGCAAGGTTGTAATATGTAGCATTAATAATCAAAATACAGTTACATCTCTGTATTTTATCAACAAATAATTAAAAATAAAATAATTCCAGTTATCATAGCCTAAAAATAAAAAATAAAAATAAAATAAAAATAGAAATAAAATTAACAAAATATATGCAAAAACATTGAAAATTATAAACTAGAGGCCAGGTGTAGTGGCTCATGCCTGGAATCCCAGCACTTTGGGAGGCCAAAGTGTGTAGATCACTTGAGATCAGGAGTTCGAGACCAGTCTGACCAACATGGTGAAACCTTGTCTCTACTAAAAATACAAAAGTTAGCAGGCCATGTTGGTGCGGCCCGTAGTCCCAGCTACTAGGGAGGGTGAGGCACGAGAATCGCTTTAACATGGGAGGCAGAGGTTACAGTGAGCCAAGATCAGGCCACTGCACTCCATTCTGGGTGACAGAGCGAGACTTTGTCTCAAAAAAAAAATAGAAAACAATAAACAGCAATAAACTATGTCACAAGGAAATCGAAGAACACCTAATGTTTACAGACTGGTAGACTCAATTTTATCAAGATGGGCAATGTGTGTTGGCATCATCTAATCTGTTGAGGGGCCACATAGAACAAAAAGGCAGAGGAGAAACATATTCACTCTCTCTCTCTCTGTTTGAGCTGGGATGTCTGTCTTCTCCTGCCCTCCTGCTTCTCAGGCCTCTGGACTCAAACTTAGTTACATGAATTATACCACTGACATTCCTGGGTCTCCAGAAATAGATCCACCCTTATATGGCCTATTGACTTACAACAAAGATGGCAAAGTAATTCAATTGAGAAAAGATCAAAAGATCAAATAGTGCTGGAACAACTGGATATCAGTATGGAAAAACATGAACTTCAACCCTCACCTCAGACTGTACACAAAAATTAACTTGAAATAGATTACACAGAAGGTAAAAGGTAAATCTGATAAAGTTTCAGAATAAAACACTGGGTTAGACAATGATTTCTAAAACAGGATACAAAGAGCACAGACTATAAAAAATAAATTTGTAAGACAGATTTTATCATGACTATAAATGTTTGTTTTCTGAATGACATAGTTAACAAACAAAAAGCCAAGCCACATACCACAAGTATTATAAAATACTTATGAAATGGATTTGTACCTGGAATATATAAATGAATCTTATTACTCAACAGTAAGATTAAACAACTAAATTTTTAAGTGAGTAAGAGATTCATAAAGATAGTTTTAAAAAGAACATATGTGAATGAGTAATAAACACATGAAAAGATATTAACATCACTAGGCTTCAGAGAGATGCAAATTAAAATCACAGTGAGGTAAAATTACACACCCACTAGAACAGTCAAAGTTAAATAGACTGACTACAACAATTTTGAGAAAGATGCAGAGGAACTACAATTCTCATACATTGCTAATGTGAATGTAAAATTGTACAGCCACTTTGGAAAAAAGTACAGCAATATCTTACAGAGTTAAACAAGTATCTTTATCCATAGACATTTCATTCGTACATGTGCATTCAAGATAAGTAAAAACATAACTCTACCCAAAGATGTGTACAAAAATATTCATGTCAGTGTTAATTATAACAGATACAACTCAAATACCATCAATTGGTCATCTAGGGTTAACTATTACTCTGTGACAGAAATAAATAATTATTAATAATGCAACACCATACCTCAATCTGAAAGTCATTATGCTAATTATAAATCAAACACAATATATGCCATATGAATCAATTTATATAAAATTATAGAAAAGGTAAAACTATGGTGACAGAAATAAAATCAGTTGGTTCCTCACCTGAGAATTGGGGAGGAAATCAACAGCAAAGGAGCACAGAGGAAGTATCTGAAGTGAAGAAATTGATCTGTATATTAACCACATTGTTAGTATAGGCATGTATACAGTTACCAAAATCCATCAAACTATGTACTTAAACCAAATGAATTTTATTGTAATTAAATAATACCTTAATAAACATTAAGATATTAAAAATATGAGAAAAGTACCCAGTATCACATTCTTGAGAGAATGGCAGAGATTAGTGCAATCTTAAAGACACAAAGATCACTAGAGCAGTGTTTCCCAACATTTCTCTACTTAATTCAAAAATCTGGCCTTCTTTCCAATACCCCCTACCCCAATAAAAATAGATACCCGCATATGAAAGTTGACTCCTGCAAACTTAATCAAGTCATAGCCCAAATTACAGTTACTGTCCCAAATATGATATCTCATGAAAATAGATTAACATAGCTTCAGATGCATGGTATGTGGTTTGAGGTGAATGAATTTTTTCTATCTCTATCAGGAATTAAGATCAGAAACAATTCACAATCATATGGGATAAATAAGAGTACACATGTAGTGTTCATCCCAGTGATAGTAATACTCCCACTCTCCATCCTAATATAGCTCAAAGGAACTTGGGCAATCTAGACATTTCACAAAAACAATTAATTAGTCTACTGTATAGAGTGTCACATAAATTGAACTAGAGGAGTTAAAGTGGCAAGTACATTGGATGACTTGTTAAGTCACTTCAGAAAATGAAATATAAAAAAAAAATGAAGTTTCGGGGGCTCATGACATTAGCAAAGTGTAAGTATTCCATGGTCTGTGTCATGATTAAACATTCCTACAAATGTATAAAAAATTATTTGACTTTATACTTTCCTGTAATAAGAAAGAAACAATGCTTAGAATACCTCTTTTTGTTCTGGAAATAGCATATTTTACTCTTGGGATTTTGTTCCAACCTATTTATCTAGTGATAAGGAAAGCTTCCAGCTTGGAGTGGAGTCCAAAGCAAAACTAGACCTGTAAGAGAAACAGGCTGCTGTAATACAGTCCTAAAACGTCATCCATATGACCTGGCAGGTCTTACCATATTAGAGTATGGGTGGTAGGAAAACATCCCCAGTGGAATTTATGGCAAATTCCAAAAAAAAAAAAAAAAAAAAAGAATAGCAATATAGATCCCTAGGGCCCTGGAGCAAGGCCATTTCATCTGCAGTATTAAATTCTAGACCAATCAAAACAGCATCTAGCACTGTATTTTGTTTCATAAAGATGAAAAAAACTAACCATGAGACCTCAAATGACCATATGACTAAATCTGCTATTCATGAGCATAGGTTTGAAAAGACCCAGCATCATTCTGTAATAGAATGGAAGACACATCCAGGATTTGACATGAGTAGCGTCAAATACTCATTTGTACAGATAAACTGTACAAGCAAATGACTCAGAAACATTTAATCAATTAATGCTGCATTATTACCTCTTCCTTAGCCCAGAAAACAGGCACAGTGTTCTGGAGAAAAATGCATATGCCATACTTACGGAAATGTGCATAAGGTATGAAGATATTTGGTTTGGGGCCATAATCCCAAAAGAAACAGTCCAAATGCTATAATCCAGTATGTTGAAATCCTGAAAGTCTAAAATCTTGAAAATCAAAATCCTGAAAGATCAAAATCCTGAAAATATAATTCTGAAAATAATAATTCCGAAACACTTTTAAAATATGTTAATTTGCATCTTAAATGGGGATTTATTTGTTAAACATACAAAAACACAATAGAACACTTCATAGACCACTTTACACAATAAAATAGAAAATAATAACATTATTTTTGCAAGCATAAACAGGTATACTAATGACAGTTGCATGGGTATAACAGTTATGAGCAGATGAAACACATCATAAAGAAATAGGACAAATAATGAAAAATACAAATGCATATGAATGTGGCTGGTAATTGCATGCACCCAGCTTTATAACTATAATCACCTGAAATACTTTGACAGACAAGTCTTTTGACAAGATGGATCAAAAACTATGATGGGTCACAATCACATATGCAGTCACTAAAAGAGCTGAACTCTTCAGAAATTTTATCTTTCATCAATCCAGATGTGCAAAAAGGACATCTCCATATATTGAGGAAGTTTCAACATTTTTATATACATGCCCAATGCTTATATGCAAAGTCAATTTTCTGATAATGCACTTTCATAGAGTTAAATTTTCAAAAAATACGTAAAACAAATTAGAATCCTCTAAACATCTTTACCTCATTTATACCTTCAGTATTGAAAATGGTACAAAGATGAAATACAGAGCATGGGTAATTATTTATTTCTAATGCTGACAATTTAAAACAGCAAAAATTTAAAAAAAGAGAAGAAAGGAAAAAATGTGAAAAAAAACAGAAAAACTAATGCTAACTTTAACATACGAAAACAAAAATGTATTACAGGAGTAGATTATGGGCAATGGCATAAGGGTAGTCCATAAAAGCTGGCTGGCTTTTATCATCATTACTATATTTTAAAGTCTTGCATTGCAATAAGTAGCTTCTTTTATTTGAAGGGATGGGTAGTTTTGAATTCATTTTTCATGCGGCATTGATCTTTTGCAAATGCTTCTATGATTGGATATACATCCATAAGATCATTCCTTCTTAATGTTTCCATCTTCTGTGCAATGCTTCTATTTTGTTTTGGGTGCATGGAAATACATTTCTCTCATGCACTCTTATACAGACCACAGATTAGGAGTAAACAATACTGTTGCTCTAACAGCAATATTTGCATGTCTTCTTATCCTACTGTGCATGTGATTATTTTTGAACCAGTTAGTAACTTCACTGGTTTCTTCAGGCAAATGTAGCTTTGATTCATTAAAAGCTTCTGGAAGCTTTTAGCAGCTGGAAGGACTGCCAATGCAGACAAAATGACACATTTTAAAACTGATTTTAGGCTTTAAGGATTTTAGATTTTAGGGATTTTGATCTTTTGAGACTTTTTAACATTTGAGATTATGGTATTGGGGATTATATCTTTTGGGATTATGATAGGAACCAAAGATATTTATACCACATAGTTACGCCCACCAGGGAGGATCCACTATGGAGGAAACATTAAACAACCCAACAGGCCAGCCGCGGTGGCTCACATCTGTCATCCCAGCATTTTGGGAAGCCAAGGAAGGCAAATCACTTGAAGTCAGGAGTTCGAGTTCAATCTGGCCAACATGGCAAAACCCTGTCTCTGTCAAAAATACAAAAAGATTAGCCAGTCATGGTGGTGCATGACTGTAGTCTCAGCTACTTGGGAAGCTGAGGCATGAGAATTGCTTGAACTCGGGAGGTGGAGGTTGCACTGAGTCAAGATCGTTGCCACTGCACTCCAGCCTGGGCGACAGCGAGACTCTATCTCAAAAACAAAAACAAAAACAAAAACAAAAAAAAAGAAAAAAGAAAAAAAATAAAACGATAGAAGGATTTTCATCAGTTGATGTCAGCCAGCCTCTCTCATTGGCTACCCCTGTGCTGTCATGGTGAGCCCATGGATGGAGTAGCCATAAAGATAAAGGTGGAAATTTTGCATGAGCTCAAGAACATGGATTTTTACTGACCTAGGACCTAGGCTAATATCTTTTCTTCCACTGCCAATGTCTCCTAGCAACAGACCAATGCTTAATCCTCAACATAGCATTATAGCTTGAGAAATCCAATCAGCCATATCACGGCAAGTTTATTATATTGAACCTCTTCTACCCTGGAAGGTATGTGTATTTATCATAACAAAATCAGTACATAGCTAGGAATGTTTTTGCTGAACTTTCTTGTAGGGCCGTGACTAGCACCACTATCTAAAACTTTTTGAAAGTGTCATCCACCAAAACTTTGGGATCCTACAAAACTTGGGATCCTACAAAACAATGCCATGGAATAGGTAACAATTTTACAACAAAGGAAATGCAGCACTTGGCATATGTCCAGGGTATCCACTCTCAGCCTATAGAAAACTGAAATGGCTTTTTGAAGATGCCGCTTACAAAGGCTGTTCTGCAGGATGGAAATCATCTTCTAGGATGTAATATATACCTTTCATCAATGACCACTCTATGGTGATGTTTTCCCTTAAGTAGCATACATATTTCTAGAAGCCAAGGCATTGAAGTATGATTGGTACCATTTACCATTACTCCCAGTAAGCCACTTGGATAATTTATCATTTTTGTCCCTGCAAATTTAGGCTGTCTTGGTTTAGAGGCCCTGAAGTCCAAAGAAAGAAGGCTTTCATAAAAGGATGTAGTAAGAATCCCATTAAAATTCAAGCTATCATTACGAGCCACTCACTTTGAACTTTTTATAACAAAAGACAAATAGTCAAGGAAGAATCAGCATTCTGTCAGGGATAATTGAACTTGGTCAGTAGAAAGAAGAGAGTTGTTTTTAAACAGTGGTGCAGGAAATAGCACGTGTGGCTCCCAGGCAATCCACTGGGGCTTTAGTTGATAATGTCCTCCTCAATTTTAATGATATATGTATATGATTGAGCAGGACATTACCAACTAATAGTGATAAGGAGCACACACTCCTCAGTGATAAAGGTCTGTGTCACATTACCAGGTAAGGCACTGAAAATAGCAGAGATGCTAACCAAATGTGAGAGAAATCTAGAATGATTAGTGGAAGAGAAGAAAATTGTCAGTAAAGCCTTAAGAACTGCAGTAAGTGAAAACTTTAGTTTTCCCATCAACTTTCTTTAAATATTTCCTCAGGATATAGCGCCAAACAAAATCTTAGAAGAGCTTTTTCCCAAATTAGGTGACTTTACCAAAATAAGTAATTAGATCTGAGCAGTGCAAGAGGTAAACTATAGTAAAGGTTGTGGTGCCCTTGATACCCCTTCAGGAACAAGGCACTTTATTGCCCCAACTTCTGGGACAGCAGGCTGCTGATGGCTTGCATTTTTGTCCTTGTTCATGCATGAATTGCCCTTGGCCAAGGGAGCTGTGTCACCCAATCTCATAGTCCCTCTCCAGTTGAAACCAAATCTAACAGCTGGTTGATGCAGGGATGCAAATGATCAGCCCCCTTGCCTTAATTTGATTGACAGTTCTAAAGGTATCCAAACTCTAGTGAGATCAAGTCAAACTTCACCACTGTTCCACTTCTCCCTCTGCCAACTCCTGTTTCCCTCTCTTCCTCACAGGTTTTGTCCCCAAGAGCACTCTATAGTAAACTTCCCTATGCAAATCTCCAACTATGAGTTTGTCTCTGAGATGCTCTATCTAACACAGAGACCAAGCACCACCTGGCTTCAAGAAGAAGCAAAGTCAAATACTTTCTGGAGAAAAGCAGGTCCAGTTTAGCCCTAAAAAATTAAGATCATGAAATGTTAACCCTGTCAAAAACAACTCACAAGAAAACAAGCTAACATAAGTGAGAGTTAGAAAAAACAACAACAAATCTTAATATTGGAATTACTAGAAAAGAATAAAAAAACTATAAATGAAATGCTTAAAAAACACAAAATCATAAATATGAGAAAGGAAAAAGATTATCAATATGACTTATAAAAGAAATAATTAAATTTAAAAGATGAAAACATAATTAGATTCAATGAATAGGTAAAATATTAGATTAGTTCAGCCAAAGAGAGAATTACTGAACTGAAAGTGAGCGCTAGAGAAATTTATAAGAATGTAGCACATAGCTAAAGAGAGCCAAAATATGAGAGCAAGGCTTACGCGATATGAAGTATAGAATGAAAAGATCTGAAGACACCTCATCACAGTTCAAGAGAAATAGAAGACAGAAGTCATAGGAGAAGCAATATTAGAAGATACAATGGCTGAGAATTTTTCAAAATTCTTGAAACACTAGAATCTATAAATAAATATATGTCATGTACTATATAATAAATAAATAATTAGAAATCGACATCTCAAAACATTCTAACAAAAGTGCAGAAATCAATTATTAAGATTAAATCGGGCCAAATGAAAAGAGAGATCACAGGTGAAGAAATAACAATTAGACTGGCGGAAATGGTGAGAGAAAATAACCATTATTCTAGAATTGTGTCCCCAGCAGAACTATCATCCAAAAATAAATACATGCTTTGTTTATCTCAACTGAAATACCTGTGTTTTGTTTCATTTTTTTTTCCTCATTGGCTTGAAGTTGAATTCCTACTTCTTCCAACTCTACCAATCTTTCTCTTAACTCCATTTCCTGCTTTAGCATAACATATAACATAATGAATCTTTGAGAAAAACATTTTTTATCTAGTTATCTTAGTTTGTTCTGTTCTGCTGTAACAGAATACCAAATATTGAGTAATTTAGAAAAAACAAAAACTTTATTTCTCACAGTTCTGGAGACTGAGAAGTCAGAGATCAAGGTGTCTACAGCAATGGTGTCTGGTGAGCGCTGCTCTCTGCTTCCAAGACCGTGCCTTGAATGTTGCTTCCTCCAGAGAGGAAAATATTGTGTCCTCACATAGCAAGAAGAAGAGGGCAAGGGAGGTGAAATACCTCTGCCAAGCTCTTTTATAACAGTATTAATTCATTTATGAGGTCCTAGCCTTCATGAGCAAGTATCTCCCAAAAGACCCCACCTCCCAATACTGCTGCATTGGAAATTAAGTTTCCAACACATGAATTTTGGAGGATATATTAAGACAATGGCACGAGTCAAGATACGTGTTTCAGAAATGTACAGTATCTCTCTTACCCAATAACTGATAACACAGATTTCATTGTGATATAGTACATGTGGCCCTTTCACATCTGTGCCCTCTGCTACTCACATCTTACATTCACCCAGTTACTTTTATACAAAGAGATCCCAGACCCAGAATGTTGCTGTTGCTAAGAACTATGCCTTTGGGACAAGATACAGGTGCAGCTCTTCTTCTATACCTGGCTCTCTTAAATCTCCTATAAAGTGTGCCATACTGCAGCAATATTCCCTAGGGCAGGAATATTCCCTCATCACCTTTGTACCAATTAGATCTATATTGAGCAAACCCTTAGCATGTCCTTATGTCTCATTTCTTTATAAGCAAAAGATAAACTTCTTGATAGTCAAGAGACTTTTCTTAATTATCTTCCTCATTCTTTCTCTCCTCAGACCTCAGATTTAGGAAATAAACATTCAAATAATAGGCACTCATTAATTATCAATTTAAGAAAAGATAAAAGATTCTTTTAATAGACATTTTGTTTTTGTGTTATGCAAAGGCTGCCTAAAAGAAGCTCATTAGATTAAATGACAGCCTTGTGATAAATTGAGAGTTATAGCTTGTAATTATTTAATACACTATTTCCCATAGCAAATATTTTCATTATTTGGCCTCAAAAATAAAATTGAAATTAAAAGAGAAAGAGTAAAATGATTTGAGTCTAAATTAAATAAGCATACTCCCATACCTCTCACACCAAAATCTAGTCAATTCTTGTTCTGACATGGTTTATTATATAAGAAAGTCCATGTGTAAATTGATGGCAGTTTTCCTAGCAGAATAATAGATAAGCTAATTTAACTTTTTGGCAATATTCTTCTATTTTCTCATTTAGGTGCATCATTATATTAGTCATGGGGAAACGACGAGTTGTACCAAATTGGAACAAAAGATAAATCAAGTTCCCCTGTGAGCATTAAATGTGGTGAACACTTAATTGTAAACCACAAATAATCAGTTTTCAGATGCCTTTTGGAATTTCCTGCTGGAGATAAAGGTATATTAATGATATAGATATAGACATAGATGATGAGATATGGATATAGATATAGATATGTAGATATAGATAGATACATATGCTCAGATGCCCAGTGAATACTAAGCCACATATTTATGTGTAAATTGGAGTGACAAAGTTCCTGCTACAAATCATTCAGATAATTCTTTCCATGAAACTGAATATTGATGCTTTAAGATGGAAAACAGAATCATGGCATACAAAGGTACTAATATTATATTCCATAAACCACCCACAAAGTCCACTTCAAGGAATCTATGAAATCTGTACTTTTGATCATTGCTACTCATAAGTACCTAATAAATTGGGCTTAAACCTAACCCTAAGCCAACATTAGCCAATGGCCACAAATGGGCCTTTAAACAAAACAATAAAACCCAACCCCTAACTTCATTTCCAATAAAATCTTCAAACTTCTAAAATTTCTTCATTGAATTAAAATCTCACTGAGGCCGGGCGCAGTGGCTCACGCCTGTAATCCCAGCACTTTGGGAGGCGAAGTTTGGCGGATCACGAGGTCAGCAGTTTGAGAACAGCCTGACCAACGTGGTGAAACCCCGTCTCTACTAAAAATACAAAAATGAGCTGGGCACGGTGGTGCGCGCGTGTAATCCCAGCTACTCGGGATGCTAAGGCAGGAGAATCGCTTGAACTTGGGAGGCAGAGGTTGCAGTGAGCCGAGATTGCGCCATTGCACTCCAGCCTGGGCGACAGAATGAGACTCCATCTCAAAAAAAACAAAAAACAAAAAACAAAAACACCTCATTGACGCATTTATTTATCTAATCCTCAAAAATTTACTCAGTACTCAGTGTCTTCTGGAACTGCATTAATTTCTAAAGACAAGATAATTAGAATCCTATTCCAACCCTAAACCCTTCAGTGCCTCCTTAACACTGGACTACTATAATTGACCAGGAATGAACATATTATGTATTGCCACTTTGCTCCATTTCATACAGGGCACAATTGACCCATTTCTGTCATAATGTTAATAGGATATCATTAACCTCTAAACAACCACTGCTGCTGAATAACAACTGCTTTACAGACAGAGAAATAGAGATAGAGATCTTGAATTACTAAAAAAAAAATTAGCAGACAGATCTGTGAATAAAACTGCTCTATAGAGGAGGGCATGACACCCCTACAATATAAAAGAAAATAGGTTAAATTAAAAATATTCTTAAAAGGAATTTGAAATTGATAAAAAGTGAAGAACTAACAGTCTCCGTATAGAATTAGTTAACTGCAAATCTTTCATGAGAGCCACCTAACTATGTCATTGTTCAACAGTTCATTTTTCATGAGTTTCTATTTGGAAGGATATGTTGGAGAGTTATTTTATTAAAGATTATCATTTTTGCCAGTTATCATTTTAGAATCACTGAAGAGATTAGTGTTAGCTCTAATTATTCTTCAATTTAATAAGCACTAAAGATAAATGTGCACATTTAAAGGGTTCAAGATCATAACGTTGCATTAATATTCATGCAGTATATGTCAATGCATAACTTACCCCATCCCAAAATGACAAATGAATTTCTAGGTGAACAGGTGTCTGCTGCTTTTGAAGGTATCTTTATCTAGTTGGTGACTACAGACATACTGTTATCAACTAGGCAAGATATTCCTCTTTATTTTAAACACATTGCATTAGTCCATCTTGTGTTGCTATCATGGAATACCTGAGGCTGGGTAATTAACAAAGAAAAGAGGTTTATTTTAGTTCATAGTTCTGCAGGCTGTACAGGAAGGATAGTACCAGCAACTGTTTCTGGTGAGGGCCTCTGGAAGCTTTCAGTCATGGTGGAAAGTGAAGGGAGGCAGGCCTTTCACAAGGTAAGAGAAGGAGCAAGAGCACTGCTAGGCTGTTTTAAACAACCAGCTCACACGTGAACTAATGGAGTGAGAAACCATTACCGTGAGGGGGACACTTCATGAGGGATCTGTCCCCATGACCCATACACTACCCCCCAGGCCCCGCCTCCAACACTAAGGATTATGTTTCAACATGAGATTTGGAAGGGACAAACATCCAAATCATATCACCCATATACCTACATTTTTTTCTTCAGTGAGTTGCAGTTAGAATTAACTAGAATATGGAAGAATCTAATATCTTTCCTCTGTTCTACTATGTCTCATTACACTGTCAAGTATTTACTCAATTCACTTGAGTTTTACAGAACAATGCCATCAATTTGTTTTCCTTCCTTTTTCTGTCATCATGATTTAATTTTACATGTTGTATAACATCATGAAGGTCAGGAATGTTACTTCAATTTCTGCCAGATACTGCTGAGAAACCACAAGAAAATCAATGATATATCTTTTTTTTTTAAAAGGGCAGGGAATGGTAATTGAGAAAAATAATCCCATTCTTCTGCTTATTAGTATGTTACTGATCCACATTTCAAGTAGTAGGAATTGGCCAGGCGTGGTGACTCAAGTCTGTAATCCCAGCACTTTGAGAGGCCGAGGTGGGTGGATCACCTGAGGTCAGGAGTTGGAGACCAGCCTGGAACAACATGGTGAAACCCTATCTCTACTAAAAATACAAAAATTAGCTGGCATGATGGCACATGTCTGTAATCCCAGCTACTAGGGAGGTTGAGGCAAGAGAATCACTTGAACCCGGGAGGCGGAGGTTGCGGTGAGCCGAGATCGCGCCATTGCACTCCAGCCTGGGCAACAAGAGCTAAACACCGTCTCAAAAAAAAAAATAAATAAAAATAAAATAAAAAGAAAAGACAAAAGGGGGGGAAAAAAAGAAATAACATAAAGCATGTATACACATAGGATGTAATACCTTAATGTCACTCCTCATGTGGCTCCAGTATGCGGGCAGATCAAAATGTGACAAACCCTTGGGACAGAATGTGGGTATACCAATCACAATATTTGATATTTAGATGTCACATTACAGTTTAAGACTTGTTGCTCTTCCCGCCATTTGTTAACTTCAAGAAAACCCTGACACACGATAAAAACTAATATTAACAACTGGTATTACCATTGCTACAAAAATCTACTGTAGGAATGAAAATTTTTCAAAATCCATTTAGAGTTAAGGACCTTCTTCACAATGATAAAAAAAATCTAATTAGAGTGAATAGCAGGGAAGAAATACTGGGAGGAGATGTAACCATGCAACTGAGGTGGTTATATTTTTATATATAGTGAGTGTAATGGAAGTATTTATTTTCAATTAAATTTAAATTTGTGAAATATTTGCTTAATACCTAGTAGGCACCCTTCACTATATTATATACTCTTGGACGTGCAAAAATGAAATGATGGAGTTATTACCAACAGGGAGTTTATAATCTCCCAATAGATAAGATGTATTACACATAAATTGGAGAAAATATGATAATAAATGAATCTCCCAACAATGTAAAGATTTCTTACCTATCTATAGTCAAAGAAAAGAAGCTGTTAAACATTTTCTAATCTTTTGCATAAATGTAGCAGATATTTAAAAAAAACACACCAAAACTAATGCTGAGAATGGTAAACTCTCTTTGTGTGGTAAAATCTTATTTTGCTGATGTTGCTGATGATTATATTGATTCTTACTAGACTTTATTCAAATAGCATTTCATTGTTCTTTCTGATGCAGTGATGAAAAAGAGTAAGGATATATTCTTGAAAATATGCAGGCATAGTTGAAATATCACCTTATAATTTTTAACAGTACATTTTGTTTCTCATACTGAAATGAAATTTTCTGTGATTTCTTCAAATGTGCTTGAGTGTATACCACTGTCAACTTAGAAATCAAACACATCCTTCAATGAAGGAATTCACTGGGCAGAGAGTGGTGGAGAAAAATTGTGTGGTCAGTGCCAGTAAACCCATCAGCACTGTAATAGTTTGGGATATTTACGGCAGGGCAGAGAAAATTATAGTAAGCTATTTGATTTAACCATCCATATTGCCTTCCTTAAGGCAAAGTGATAAAAGTCAACATTTTATTTACATCTATATGATGTAATGTTATTTGGGGAGCTATTTGTAAAGTAGCCATAAATAACTTTTTTGTTATTTTGTTAGTTTGGTGGCATAGCTCAACTATTACATGAATTCTTCCAACATTAAACAAACTTCTTCCTACTGATTTCTTTAGTTTCCCATTTTGTGCATAGAAATCTTAATAAAATATTTCAGTGTGCTTGCATACATTATTTTTACTGAAACAATAGAGTAATAGTGATAATAATATATGCTCCTCTCACCACCAGGCCTAGGCATGTGTCTGCCAGAGTCTGTGAATGGAAAGTGGATGATGAGGTTAGGATTATTAAAGCAGGAATGCAAAGAAGGAGTTAATATGTGTCTTCCGATACCTGCAGTTGTGTGTGTTGTGTGTGTGTGTGTGTGTGTGTTGTGTGTGTGTGAGAGAGAGAGAGAGAGAGACAGGAGGGTGGGGGGAGAGAGATTCTTAAAATTCTTTTTTCCAAGCCTAGAGGACTCAAATCATATGACTTGAATGGTGTTGCCAAAAATGCACCTTTTTCTAGGAGAATGTGATGTACAAAATATTCAATTTTTTTTAAAAGGTGCCCATACCAATCCATCCCCTCAACTTCTACTGCCTAGAATTGTGAAGAGAGGAAGCAAAAGTCAGATAAACAAGTACATCAGAGTCAGGATAATCCTTCTCATTTTCTGTTTATTTTCTGTCTCATCCACTAAAATGGAAGCTTCATAGGAGCCAAGAATTTGTATGCTTTGTTACTCATTCTATCTTCAGTGCTTAGAATGATACACATTGTAGGTGTTCAATATTATTTGTCAAATGAAGTAAATGAGTTTATAGCTTTTTCTCTCTTCATAAGTGCATATATTATATCCAATTTATTCTCCACTGTATTCTCACTGCACAGCATATTTTCCAACACATAATAGACACTCAAAAAAGCATTATATGAAGAGAATATATTTTTAAGCACAAGTAAAGAAAATCAGCAATCACCATTTAAATGTTTTGTTTTTTCCCATAGTCACTAGAATTGGAAGATTATAAGAATGGAAATAACTCATAACCTTTCAACACACAAAATAATTATTTTTCTCATCTATGTGCTGAGATAAGAGTCAGGGAGAAGTAGGATACTGAGATATCTCTAATGGCTGTGTTTTACAGGGCATTTGTTATGTCTTAGGTCCTGTCCTGGGCTCTTTACATATGTAACCCTTTTAAGCCTCACAACTTTACTGATAACAGTTTGGCTGTGTCCCCACCCAAAATCTCATCTGGAGTTGTATTCCGAATTGTAATCCCTATGTGTTGGTTGGAGGTGGGGGGGGACCTCGTGGGAGGTGATTAGATCATGGGGGCAGTTCCCGCATGCTGTTCTTGTGATAGTGAGTGAGTTCTCATGAGATCTGATGGTTTTATAAGAGGCTTTTCCCACTTCGCTCTGTACTTCTCTCTCCTGCCACCACGTGAAGAAGGACGTGTTTGCTTCCCCTTCCGCCATGATTGTAAGTTTCCTGAGGACTCTTCAGCCATGGGGAACTGTGAGTCAATTAAACCTCTTTCCTTTAAAAAATTATCTAGTCTCGGGCAGTTCTTTATAGCAGCATGAAAACAGACTAATTCACCTCCTCTGAGTTATTATTACCATTTTCCAGATGAGGAAACTGAGATTCAGAGCGATTAAGCAGTTTGTCCAAGTCCTAAAACAATTAAGCGGTGGAATTTGACCTCAGGTCTTTCTGACATCATAATTCTTACTTGCTTTTCAACTTTACTTGGATTGCCCACTTAGGCATGTACTGAACTATGCCATTTTCTAAAAGGGACTTGAGCATCCGTGAACAGTGGCATGCATAGGGGGGCTCTAGAAACAATCTCCCATGGTTACAGAGGGCCAATGACTGTACTCACATAACAGATGGAGACTGTCTCCTCCTTGACTGAGTACTGATTGGGTCCCAGTTTCCACCCCATTTGCTCACAAAGCATATCTCCCAGGAAATCTGGGAAGACCACACCAGAAACATTTATTTACCTCAAACCAATGGAACTAAGAGAATTATAATCTCAAAATACAGCTTGCCTTCTCTGAAAATTTCTTAAGAAGTTACGCAGACATGTTGGGCTTTTGCTTTATTAATCTCTCACCCTCCGCTGCAATTAACTGCAGTCTGACTTGAAAAATTACTTAATACTTATGCACTCCACTTCCCTTGCCTGTGAAATGGATATATTACTTACCTCACATGGCTTTCCTAAGAATCAAAAATGAGGTTTTTCAAATTTCTGAATGGTAGTAAGCCCTCAAAAATTGGCAGTTATTATGATAAAATGACTCATATTTTTGTGTCTTATGAACAAGGCTGGATACAAACAAGAACATTTAGAATATAAATAAAGATAGTCTTTTATAGTCTGCTATGGTGTAAAGTTCCAAAAGGCAGGACAATAATACCCCCCACCCTTATCCATGGGGTAAAACATGCTAAGATCCCCCAGTGGATGTCTAAAACCACAGACAGTACTGAACCCAATGGCCACCAATCAAAACACATTCCTGTTCATGTCATTCACCCACAGATGTATTGCCTTTTCCATATTAACTAAGCATTTATGCACTGTGGCCGTAATTTTGCAGTTTGAGGTGCAACAGCAAAAGTATTTCTTTAAAAAAAAAATCAACTTTTATTTTAGGTACAGGAGGTACATATGCAGATTTCTTACATGGGAATATTGTGTGATGTTGAGGTTTGGAGTACAGAATCTGTCACTCAGGTAGTAAGCATAGTACCCAATAGGTAGATTTTTTAACCCACTCCCCCAACCCTCTAGTAGTCCACAATGTCTAATGTTCCCATATTTACGTCCATGTGTGTTCAATGTAATCTCCCACTTAAATGAGAACATGCGGTATTTGGTTTTCTGTTCCTGTGTTATTATGTTTAGGATTATGGCCTTGGCTTCATTAACGTTGCTTAAAAAGTATTATTTCATTCTTTTTTATGGCTGCATAGCATTCCATGGTGTGTATGAACCACAATTTCTTTATCCAATCTACCATTGATGGATACCTGGGTTGGTTCCATGTCTGCTACAAATTTATTATCCCTTCTTCTTGATTTCAGTGATCAAAGATTCTTTCTTACTACAGGTATTAGTAATCTCAGCATACAATTATATTTCTTTTCTTATTAAATCACAAACTTCAACCTTGCACTTAAAGGAGTTACATTATAGGCTTCTCTTTTGCATATTCAAATTGCCAGCATCACTACACTAATGCTTTGGGGTTGTTGTTAAGTAAAATAAGGGTTATTTGAACCAAAGCATTGCAATTCCTTTATATTCAATATGATCACCAAGATGGCTACTAAATGATTAACAGGCAGGTAGCGTATACAGTGTGGATATGCTGGACAAAGAAATCCATCCTGATGGGATGGCATGAGATTTCATTATAATACTCAGAAGGGTGCATGCACAGTTTAGAAAGTTAAATTGTTTATTTCTGAAATTTTCCATTTTAATATTTTTATACAGTAGTTAGCCACAGGTAATTGAAACTACAGAGAGCAAAACCACAGATAAGGGCTGGAGGGTACTACTATCATTACTTCATTTTATCAGAAAAAAAGTGAATGAAGGAGACCCCACAAAAAATGGAATAATATTTATAAAGCCAAGTGGAATCACTCTGATTAATACTTTTACCTTGGATGCATCAAGAACTTTTCTTTGTGGCTTCAAAACATTTTATCCATGCCCAGTTTCTGTTACTTTGATACTGGTAAAGAACAATCATTGCCATCATCTGACTGACGTTTAGAGAAAAGCATTTGGTGACATTTTAAATGTTCTACATTTAGACTGTGGCAGAGTTAGGATTATAATCCTGGATTTCAAATCTCTAGTTATAATGCACTCTGCTTTAAAATATATAATTCAGTGGACATTGTTACATTCACATAACTGAAGATACATGGAAGAAAATTCAGTAAATACAATGTTTACAATCATCCACATGTATGGCATAGGGAAAAATAAAATCAACCCTATAATGATTTAATAGCATTTTTTTTCATTTTCTTGATGCTACTTTTCATTTGAATTCTTTTTCCATTTTTTCATTTTTAATTTTCATGGGTACATAGTACACACATATATTTGTGGGATACTTGAGAAATTTTTATACAGGCCTACAATGTATAATAATCACATCAGGGTATATGAGATATTAATCACCTCAAGTATTCATCATTTATTTGTGTTATGAACTGTATTAGTCAGGGTTCTCTAGAGGGACAGAACTCATAATATATGTATATATGAAGGGGAGTTTATTAAGGATTGTTGACTGACAGGATCACAAGGTGAAGTCCCACAATAGGCTGTCTGCAAGCTGAGGAGCAAGGAAGCCAGTCTGAGTTCCAAATCCTCAAAAGTAGGGAAGCCGACAGTGCAGCAAAAGTCTGTGGCCGAAAGCTCAAGAGCCCCTGGTACATCCTGGTGTAAGTCCAAGAGTCCAAAAGCTGAAGAACTTAGAGTCCAATATTGGAGAGCAGGACGCATCCAGCACAGGAGAAAGATAAAGGCCAGAAGACCTTTATCTAGACTAGCAAGTCTAGTCCTTCCATTTTCTTCTGCCTGCTTTATTCTGTCCGCTCTGGCAGCTGATTGTGCCCACCCAGCTTGAGGGTGGGTCAGCTTTTCCCAGTCCACTGACTCAAATGTTAATCTTCTTTGGCAACACCCTCACAGACACATGTAGAAACCAAACTTTGAAGCCTTCAATCCAATCAAACTGACACTCAATATTAACCAGCACACAAACATTCCAATTATATTCCCTCAGTTGTTTTAAAATGTACAACAAATTATTGCTGACTGTAGTTACTCTGCTGTACTATCATCAAATAATAAATCTTATTTATTCTATATAGCTATATTGTCGTACCTATTGACCATCCCCATTTTCCTCCATCCAACTACCCTTCCCAGCCACAGATAACTATCATTCTACTTTCTATCTCTGTGAGTTCAATTGCTTTATTTTTTTTTATTATACTTTAAGTTTTAGGGTACATGTGCACAACATGCAGGTTAGTTACATATGTATACATGTGCCATGTTGGTGTGCTGCACCCATTAACTCGTCATTTAACATTAGGTATATCTCTTAATGCTATCCCTCCCCCCTCCCCCCACCCTACAACAGGCCCCAGTGTGTGATGTTCCCCTTCCCGTGTCCATGTGTTCTCACTGTTCAATTCCCACCTATGAGTGAGAACATGCAGTGTTTGGTTTTTTGTCCTTGCAATAGTTTGCTGAGAATGATGGTTTCCAGCGTCATCCGTGTCCCTACAAAGGACATGAACTCATCATTTTTTATGGCTGCATAGTATTCCACAGTGTATATGTGCCATATTTTCTTAATCCAGTCTACCATTGTTGGACATTTGGCTTGGTTCCAAGTCTTTGCTATTGTGAATAGTGCCACAACTGCTTTACTTTTTAGCTCCCACAAATAAGTGAGAACATGTGAAGTTTATCTTTCTGTACGTGGCTTATTTCACTTAACCTAATGGCCTTCAGTTCCCTCCATGTTGTTGCAAATGATGAGATTTCATTCTTTTTATGGCAGAATAGTACTCCACTGTGTATATGTACCACATTTTCTACATCCATTCATGTGTTGATGGACACTTAGGTTGATTCCAAATCCTGGCTATTATGAATAGTGCTGCAATAAACATGGGAGTGTAGATAGATCTTCAGTATACTAATTTCTCATCTTTTGGTTATATACCTAGCAGCAGGGTTACTAAATCATATAGTATCTCTATTTTTAGTGTTTTGAGGGACATCTGTACTGTTCTCCATAGTGCCTATACTAATTTACATTCCCACCAACAATGTACGAGGGTTCCATTTTCTCCACATACTCACCAGCACTCATTCTTGCCAGACTTTTAGGTAAAAGCCATTTTAACTGGAGTGAGATGATATCTCATTGTACTTTTGATTTACATTTCTCTGATGATCTATGATATCGAGAAATTTTCCAAATACCTGATTACCATTTGCATGTCTTATTCTGAGAAATCTCCATTTGTTCTTTTGCTGGTATTTTAATCAGATTGTTTAGTTTTACTTTATACAGTTGTTTGAGTTCCTTATATATTCTGCTTATTAATCTCTTGTCAGATGGATAGTTTGAAAATATTTCTCTCCCATTCTGTGGTTGTCTCTTTACCTTGTGGGTTCTTTTCTTTGCTGTGCAGGAGCTTTTTAACTTGATGTGATCCCATTTGTCCATTTTTGCTTTGGTTGCCTGTGTTTGTGGGGTATTACTCAAGAAATCTTTGCCAGATCAACATCCTGGAGGGTATTCCCAATATTTTCTTGCAGCAGTTTCATAGTTCCAGGTCTTAGATTAAAGTCTTCAATCTATTTTGATTTGATTTTAGTATATGACAAGAGATAGGGGTCTAGTTTCATTTTTCTTCATATGAATATCCAGTTTTCCCAGCACCACTTATTGAAGACACTTTTCTTTCCCCAAAGCATGTTCTTGGCACCTTTGTTGAAAATGAGCTCATTGTAGATGTACGGATTAATTTCTGGGTTCTCTATTCTGTTCTACTGATGTATGTGTGTTTTTTATGCCAGTACCATGCAGTTTTAGTAACTATAGTGCTATAGCATAATTTGAAGTCAAGTAATATGATTCTTCCTTCCAGTTTGGTGTTTTTGCTCAGGATGACTTTGGCTATTCTGGGACTTTTGTGGTTCCATATAAATTTTAAAATAGTGTTTCTATTTCTGTGAAGAATGTCATTGGTATTTTGATAGTAATTGCATTGAATCTGTAGATTGCTTTGGGTAGTTTAAATATTTTCACTATATTTATTATTCTAATTCATGAATATGAAATATCTTTTCTTTTTTTTATGCTCTCTTCCATTTCTTGCATTAATGTTTTACAGTTTTCATTCTTGAGATCTTTTATTTCTTTGGTTAAGTTTGTTTATAGGTGTTTCATTCTATTTGTAGCTATCGTAAATGGAATTTTTAAAATTTATTTTTCATATTGTCTGCTCTTGGCATTTATAAATGTTACTGATTTTTGTATGTTGATTTTGTATTCTGCAATTTTACTGTATTTATCAGTTCTGATTATACCTTGGTGAAGTCATTAGGTCTTCCCAAATACAAGATCATATCATCTGCAAACACGGACAATTTGACTTATTTCTTTTCAGTTTAGAAGCCCTTCATTTCTTTCTATTTCTTTTCAATTTAGAAGCCCTTCATTTCTTTCTTTTGTCTGATTCCTCTAGACAGGACTTCCAGTAACTTTTAGTTTTTCCTGATTCAGTATGCTACGAGCTGTGGGTCCATTGTATATGGCTTTTATTATATTGAGATATGTTCCTTTTATACCCATTTTAACAGTTTTTATCAAGGAGAGATGTTGAATTCTGTCAAGTGCTTTTTCTGCATCAATTGAAATGATCATATAGTTTATAGTCTTCATTCTGTTGATATAATGTGTCACATTGATAGTGTATGGGGAATCATCCATGCATCCCTGGGATAAATCCCACTTGGTTATGATGAATCATCTTTTTAATGTGTTGTCAAATTTGGTTTGCTATTACTTTGTTGAGAATTTTTGCATTAATATTCATCAGAGATATTGGCCTGTAGTTTTTATTATTATTATTATTATTATTATTTTATATGTCTTCATCTGGTTTTGGTATCAGGGTAATACTGACCTTGTAGAATGAGTTTGGAAGTAGTCTTCCCTTCTCTATTTTTTTTTTTTTTTTTTTTTTTGGAATAGTTTGAGCAGGACTGGTGTCAGTTTTTCTTTAAATATTTGGTAGAATTCAGCAGCAAAACCATTGGGTCCTGTGCTTTTCTTGCTGGGAGAACTTTTGATACTCCTTCCATTAAATTGTTTATTATTTGTCTACATAAGCTTTGAATTTTTTCATGGTTTAATGTTCATAGGTTGTATGTATCTAGGAATTTATCCATTTCTTATAGATTTTCCAATTTATTGGCATATAGTTGCTTAGATTAATCTTTAATGATCTTTTAAATTTTTTCAGTATCAAATTCTCTTCTTTCAGCTGTAATTTTATTTATCTACATCTTCTCTCTTGTTTTCTCAATTAATCTGGCTAAAGATTTGTCAATTTTATCTTTTCAAAAGACCAACTTCTCATTTCATTGATCTTTTGTATTTCAATTTTATTTATTTATTTATGCTCTAATATTTATTTTTTTCTCATTTTGGATTTGGTTTGCTCTTGTTTTGCTGCTTCTTGAACATGTATCATTAGGTTGTTTGAAGTTTTTCTACTTACTTATTGCTATAAACTTTCCTCTTAGTAATGCTATTGCAGCATCCCGTAGGTTTTGGTGTGTTATGTTTCCATTTTTGTTAGCTTCAAGAAATATTTCAATTTCCTTCTTAATTTCTTCATTGACCCACTGGTCATTCAGGAACATATTGTTTAATTTCCATGTATTTGTATGTTTCAAAAATTCTGTTTGTTATTCATTTCTAGGGGATTTTTTCCATGTGATCAGAGAAGGAGCTTGATATTATTGCTTAATTTCCATGTGTTTTGTAGTTTTCAAAGTTGTTCTTGTTATTGATTTCCAGTTTTAGTCCACTGTAGTCAGAAAAGATACTTTATATTGTTTCAAAATTTTTGAATTTTCTAAGACTTGTTTTGTGACCTAACATTTGTTCTGTTCTCGAGAATGATCCATGCACTGAGAATGTGTGTTTCATAGCCATTGAATGAACTGTTCTGTAATTATCTGTTAGGTCAATTTGATCTATAGTACACATTTTTCTTTTTCTTTTTTTTCTTCTTCTTTTTTTTTGAGACAGAGTCTTGCTCTGCGCCCAGGCTGGAGTGCAGTGGCGCGATCTCAGCTCACTGCAACCTCCGCCTCCTGGATTCAAGCAATTCTCCTGTCTCAGCCTCCTGAGTAGCTTGGACTACAGGCACCTGCCACCACGCCTGGCTAATTTTTGTATTTTTAGTAGAGACGAGGTTTTACCATATTGGTAAGACTGGTCTCAAACTCCTGACCTCAGGTGATCCACCTGCCTCGGCCTCCCAAAGTGCTGGGATTACAAGTGTGAGCGACTGCACCCGGCCTATCGTGCAGATTAAGTCCAATGTTTTTTTTTTATTTATTTTTCTATCTAAATTATCTTAAGTCCAAAGTTTCTTTGTTGATTTTTCTATCGAAATTATCTGTCCAGTGTTGAAAGTTGTGTGTTAAGATATCCTACTCTTATTGTGTTGGGGATTATCTTTGTCTTTGGCTCTAATAGTATTTGCTTTCTATATCAGGGTGCCCCAGTGTAGGGTGCATATGTGTTTACAATTGTTGTAGCCTCTTGCTTTGAAACTTTCATCAATATAAAATGAACTTTCTTTTTATAGTTTTGTATTGAAATATATTTTGTCTGATATAATTATAGCTACTCTTTTTTTGTTTTAATTTTCATAAAATATCTTTTTTCCATCCCTTTATTTCAGTCTATGTGTGTTGTTATAAGTGAAGTGTGTTTCTTGTTGGCTATAGATTGTTGGATTTTGTTTTTTTAATATATTAAGTCACTCCTTTTTTGGATTGGAGAATTTAGTCCATTTACATTGAATGTTATTATTGATAAGTAAGGACACTACTGCTGTTTTGTTATTTGTTTTCTGGTTGTTTTGTGGTGTTCCTTCCCTCCCTCCCTCCCTTCCTTCCTTTCTTCTTTCCTTCCTCCCTTCCTTCCTTCCTTCCTGTCTTCTTTCCAGTCTTCCTTTATGTCAATGTGATTTTCTCTGGTGGTATGTTTTAATTCCTTGCTTTATGTTTTTGTGTATCTGTTGTAGGGTTTTTTTTATTATTTTAGGTTATCATGAGGGTTGCAAATAACACCTTTAACCCATTATTTTAAACTGATGACAACTTACCTCTGATTGCAAAAACAAACTAACAAATGATCAGAGAGAAAACTAATAAAAACTATATGCTTTACCTTCAGCCACTTCCAACTTTTTATCTTTTTGTTGTTTCTATTTATATTTCATCAACTGCTTATGCCTTAAAAAGTTGTTGCAGATTTTTTATATATATGTTTGCCTTTTAGTATTACTGCTCAAGATATGAATAGTTTACACACCATAATTACAGTGTGTATTAGTTCATTTTCACCCTGATGATAAAGACATACCCAAGACTGGACAATTTACCAAAAAAAAAAAAAAAAAAAAAGGCTTTAATTGGACTCACAGTTCCATGTGACCAGGGAGGCCTCACAATCATGGCAGAAGGCAAAGAGGAGCAAGTCATATCTTACATGGATAGCAGCAGGCAATGAGAGAGCTTTTGCAGGAAACTCCCATTTTTTAAAGCCATCAGATGTCTTGAGACTTATTCACTATCACAAGAACAGCACAGGAAAGACCTGCTCCCTGATTCGATTATCTCCCACCAGGGCCCTCCCACAACATGTGGGAATTATGGGAGCTTCAAGATGAGATTTGGGTGTGAATACAGAATCAAAGCATATCACAGTGACATAATATTCAGTAATATTCAGAAAACTGTACTGTGTACTTACTGTTACCAGTGAGTTTTGTGCCTTCAGATGAATTGCTCATTAATTTTTTTTTCAAATTGAAGATCTCTTTTTAACATTTCCTGTAAAATAGATTTGGTGTTGACAAAATTCCTCAGACTTTGTTTTTGTCTGGGAAAGTCTTTATTTCTTCTTCATCTGTGAAGCATATTTTCACTGGATATACTATGCTAAGATTAAAGTTTTGTTGTTGTTTTTTTTTCCTTTAGTGCTGTAAGTGTATCATGCCACTCTCTTCTGGCCTTTAAGGTGTCCACTGAGAAATCTGCTGCCACATATATCGAAGCTTCATTATATTTTATTTTTTTATGTTGTCTTGCTGCTGTTAGGATCATTGTTTTTTATCATTGACCTACGGGAGTTTGATTATTAAATGCCTTGAAGTAATCCTCTTTGAGTTAAATCTGCTTGGTGCTCTATATATGACCTTCTTGTACTTGAATATTGGTATCTTTCTGTAGGCTTGGGAAGTTCTCTACATCCTCTTTAAGGCCAATAACTCTTAGTCTGCCCTTTCGAGGCCATTTTCCAGATTCTGTATGTGTGCCTCATTATTTATTTTTCTTTTGGCTCTTCTGACTGTATTTTCAAGTAGCCTGTCTTCAAGCTCACTATTTCTTCTGCTTGGT
The DNA here is from genome assembly GCF_000001405.40 of Homo sapiens. NCBI lineage: Eukaryota > Metazoa > Chordata > Mammalia > Primates > Hominidae > Homo > Homo sapiens. The sequence continues at coordinate 35,676,179 of NC_000002.12, forward strand.
CAATTCTGCTGTTAAGAAACTGATCATTCTTCAGTTTGTCAATTGAATTTTTTAGCTCCAGAATGATTGCTTCTTTTTTTTTAATTATTTCAGTCCCTTTGTTAAATTTCTGATAGGACTCTGAATTCCTTCCCTGTTCTATCTTGGATTTTGTTGAGCTTCCTCAAAACAGCCATTTTGAATTCTCTGTCTGAAAGGTCACAAATCTCTCACTCTGGAATTGGTCACTGATGCCTTATGTAGTTTATTTGGTGAGGTCATGTTTTCCTGGATGGTCTTGAGGCTTGTAGACATTCATTACTTTCTCTGCATGGAAGATTTAGGTGTTTATTTTCATCATCTTCGCAGTCTGGGTTTATTTAGACCAGGCTTTCTTGAGAGGGTTTTCCAAGCATTCAAAGGGAGTTGAGTGTTGTGATCTAAGTCTTTCATTACTTCAGTCATTTGTGCATTAGGTGGTACCCCAAGCTCAGTTTGCCTTTTGAGTTTATTTAGAACCTGACAGCACTTTAGCCTGCAGTGGGAGGGCTTGCTAGAACTTAGGCTCTGACTTCTGGGATGGACAATTCGACACTGGCTAAGTTTGAACTGAATACTCCCTCTGTGGGAAGAGGCCAAATTCTGCCCTGGGTAGCTTTCTGTGGTAACACGTTAGCACTATGTTCCAATGCAAAGTCCCATATTCCCTTTGCCCTCTTTCCCCCAAGTGCACAGATTCCCCCTCTGCATGCCACCCTCTGCTGTCAGGGGATGGAAAAGGGCTTGTGTAGGAAATTCAAGACTGTCTTTCCTACGCTCTTCAGTGCCTCTCTCCTTGATATGATGTTAAAACCAGGTACTATGATCACAAACCTGATTTTTTGTTCTTATGAAAGTGCTTTCTTGGCTGAATGGTTGTTCAATTTGGTGTTCCTGGGGAGAGGTGGGGAAGGAGCAACACTGGAGGGTGCTATTTGGCCATCTGGCTCTGCCTCTTTCATCTGGATTTTGCATTGGGCATATGGACATAATCCCTTGGAACCATCATATTTATTCATCTAACTGCTAGAATCCACTACTTTAATTCATATTTTTCTATAAGTCTGAATATTTAACTCTCCAGGCTATTAATTATGAGAAATATTTACTTCTGAGGTCATCACATTATACACCTCACTCATATTCAAATATTCTTTGAGAAAATAATCTTACTTTAAGTCCAGATTTTATAGTTTAAACTCTTAAAAACCAAAGTCATTGAAATTGACATGACACCAACAATTATTTTATCGGTTTAGTAATATTTTATATACTGTATGGAAATTAAAATTAATAGTTCCAATAGTTTTAAAGTGGATTCTTCAAGAATTTCTATTTGCAAATTTTTGTTATATGTAAACAGAAATGGCTTTACTTCTTTCTTTTTCAACTAGATGTCTTTTATTTCTTTTTCTTGCTGAAATGTCCTGGCCAGAATCTCTAGCACAATGTGGTGTAGAAGTGGCAAAAGCAGATATCTTTGTCTTGTTTCTGATTTTAGGTGAAAAACGCTGAGTCTCTCATCATTAAGAATAATGTTAGTGTTAGCCGTGTGTTTTTGTAGATGCCCTTTATTAGGTAGAAAAAGTTACTTTCTATTCCTACTTTGTTGAGCATTTTTACCATGAAAAGTTGTTGAATTTTGTCAAATGTTTTTTCTGCCTCTATTGAGATGATCAAAGACTTGGGTTTTACTGATTTTGGGATGTTAAACCAACTTGCATTTAGGGGATGAGCCCATTCAATTATGATGTACTAGTCTTTTTAAATGTTGCTGAATTTGGCTTGCCAGTGTTTTGTTGAGGATTTTTATGTCTGTATTCATATGCATACTAATCTGCAGTTTTCTCATTAGGTCCTTGCTTTTATATTAGTTTCCTATGGTTACCATAAAAAGTCATCTCAACATTGATGGCTTAAAGTGACACAAATTTATTCTATAACAGTTCTGGATCTCAGGAGTCAAATATCAGTTTCACTGGGCAGAAACTGAGGCGTTGACTGGGCTGCACTCCCTTCAGAAGTGCTAGAGGAGAATCCATTTCCTTGTCTTTTTCAGATTCCAGAGCTGAATTCTTTAGTTAATGATGCTTTTCTACATTTTCAAACCCAGCAGTGTAACATCTTCCAAATTCTGCTTTCATTATTACATTGTCTTCTGCCATCAGTCCTTCCACCTTTCTCTTATAAGTCTCTGGTTATGCATTTAGTGCTCGCTTGGAAATTACAGAAGACTCTCCTCTTCTCAAGAAACTTAACCACATTTGCAAAGATTTTTTTGTCATATAAGGTAATATTTACAGTTTCTAGGGGTCAGAACCTATGTATTTGGAGGCCATTATTTAGCTTTCCCAGTTTTGTTTGGGTATTAGCTTAACACTAGTCTCATAAAATGAATAGCTGGAGGGGATGGGGCAGAGTGGAGATTGTCTGTTAGTAGGTACATTGTTTCCTTTAGTAAGGAAAAAAATATACTAAAGTCAGCGATAGTTGTACCATGCTGTGAATATACTTTTAAAAGCATTGAATTAAATATTTTAAGTAGTGAGTTATAAGGTATATGAATCATATTCCAATAAGGCTATTAAAAATAAATTAAGTAGGGGCTTTGTTTTCTTTGTTTCTGTAACATACCTACAATGGACAATTTCTTTTCTGATAAAGCACATTCAATTAACGGTAGCAGGAAATCCAAAGTAATGAAAAGAAGTGAGACTAGGTTATTTTTGGCAGCCAGTGGTAAGATTTAGGGTTTGCCAAACCTCTGATCTCTTCAGCTTTCTTAACATTCTATGAATACATGAAGTTAAGATTACATTACTGATATTTTAATTAATGTATTAAAATATATTAATTCCTTATTGCGTATGTATGCCATGCATGTATTGACTTAGCAAATTAGCAAATAAAATTGAGGATGCCACAGTAATGGAAGTGCATGGCTCACACTGGAAGTAGTATTCCAGATATGTCTAAAGACACGATTGGTAATCTGGATATAAAGCTAGACTCAGATGTCATAAACAGAAAGCCAATTTTGAAGAAACGCCATAAAAGGGAAAAATCCCTAGAAAGGTGTGGAAGGGCTGGATGCAATAAAGTTAGGCATTTAACGAATTTGAAACCAGTGTCTAACTAGGAGATAGGATGTGAGGAGAGTGGGTATTCAGGAGGTTGGGAGAGAAATAAAAACCATGGCACACCATGGAAGAAGCATGAAGGTAACTGGATTTCATCCTCAAACAACGGAAATGCGACAAATAATTTTGAACAGTTGAGTGATATAATAATATTTGAATACTTAAAATATTACTTTTGCAACATTTTTCTCTTATGTTGATGAGAAAGAGTGCAAGACCTTATTTAAGGATTCCAATTTTGAAGCTCCTTTGACAATATAAATAGGAGAATATAGTTTGAATTATTCTAGGGTCAACTGGGAGCAAAAACAATAGAATAAAACTAAGAGAAACTTAGGAAATAGACTAATGGGGATCGAGAATGCATTAGATGTTGCAGAAGTAGAGAGATTGGAGTTATAGATGTGGCTACTACCAATTATAACTTGGTTAACAAGAAGGATAGCGGTATTCTCAGTGAGAAAATAGGTTTGGGGAATTAGAGAAGTAAATAAAAAGTTCAGTTTATATACATGTTGACTGAGGTGCCTGCAGGAGACATACAAGTAGACAATATGGATAGGAAATTCATGAGAAAGATTACAGCTAATGAGGCAGATGAGGGGATGCCATCAGAATGTGGGCAATTTGAATCATAGGAATTCCATAAGCTGCACAGTGAGAAGAGAAGTAAGTCCTACATAACACTGACATTTCAGGATGAGGTTCTGAGCGAAGAAATGAGAACTAGCCTGTGACAGGAGAAAGGAATTATAATAATTTTAATATAATAATTTTGCATTGTAATATAATAATTTTATATTATAATAATTATGAAAAACATCAAATTGCCAAGAGTTCTCAGAACAATTACAGGTAGTTGTAAGCACGTTGCTGAACTGATAAATCTGTCTTAAGATATGCATTCCATAAAAAGGAATCCTTATTAATGTAGGCTGTGGGTTACTGACACGCAGTTAGGTTTACTGTTGGCTATTTTATGCTTCATTTTTCTGGTCTCATAACTAGTGAGATCCTTAGATAGATGATCATTGAACTATTTCTTTATACTCTGTAATGAGTTAAGGACCTTGTGTCATAATGTAAATCAACTAAGGCTTGTAAGGAAAGCAAATTAACTGTTTGGTGCAGCTAACATTTACAGGGTGGGGGACATATAAGAATTTTTATATGAAGAATTTTATATGAAGGAAGCAGTGTTGGTATATATGCTGGCACAAGCTTCTGATCTCACCATGGACCATTAATATAGAGTTGTCAGGTAGTCCACTTGAGCAACACTGCCAAGAACTTCCCTTTCTGGCCTTGATAGAACAGCTTGAATCAGACCAAATCTCCTTCTCGAAACTACTATAAAACAAAACAAAATATATAATTTTTAATAGCTTTGCATGTATCAGGATGCAACCAAAGCAGTTAGAATTTGAGGGATCAATATCCCTAATAGAAAGTAACACAATAAGATGAGTCCTACATTTACCACTTTACTCCCTCAGAACATTTGCTGATTTCTAAACTACACATGTGTTGGTCAAGAGGGGGAAAAAAAAAGCATTGGAAACTAGCTTTTTAGCAGTGTTTTTCTACTAAGAAAACAAACATATGAGCTCGAGAACTCCTTATAGAGTGTTGTAAGAATTAAATGAGATAATGTTTCTAAAGTGTAGGGGTTGGGGAATACTTATGAGAAAAAAGAGAGTTTATTTGGAAGCATAGCAGGTCAGGGAGGTAGGACAATGCCATACATTATCCTGGAAGACAGTGGAGAAGATATTTTCCATAATGGAAGAAAGGTCCTAAGTCCCAGAATTACAAAAATATTATGAGCAAGAAAGAAAATGAATAGGCCTCTAGTTTAGATAATTAACAGTTCTTTGGTGAGAAATCTCAATGAAGTAATGAAAATAGAAAGCACATTGTTAGGACTGCATGGAGGCATATGTAGGAAATATTGAGCGCTCTTGAAAAGATTGGTAATGAAAAGGAGATTATATATTTTTAACATGATGAATTATTGATCCCTTGACATTTTCTAACTACTCTGAATTTACTAGCAAATGAATTAACAAGTTGTTTTGATTCCTTTTTACATAAAGGAGAGCCATACTTACAGCTGGGTAAAAAAAAAAATGAACCTTTCACAGCTAAAGGATAAATTATCTTACAGAAAGTTAATCCTAGTTTACATTTCTCTAAGCACTATATGATACTGCCAGAGATGGATAGCTTAAGGCTATAAGAATTTATCCTCTATTTTGTAATTTTTAACATTTTTTTCTACACTGTATATGAATTTATTTAACAATAAAAATATAAAGATGTTACCTGGGGAAATTTTTTTTACCATCTAATATCGGATCCTATTCAACAGAGTATCATGTACTTTTTGCACTCTCCAATGTTACAAACATAATTGGTGACTAAAGATGTTTTATTTTCACTCAGAAAAGACGACTTTCCAAATAACTTCAAAAGCATACACATGTATTTTTTTTGCCAGAAATTAATTTTTATAGAAAGCAAATGGATCATTATCAAAGGTACCAATCTATGACAGTGAAATGACATTATCACATTTAAATAAACAAAACAGAATTAGTACTTTTTTTTTCACAGAAATGAGATTATTTCAGTTTCTCTTCATTTTTAGCCCACACAGGTTTAAGAGGAGTTTTGTCTCACTGAGCACATTAATTAGCAAATTTTGTTAATTATATATTATTCAATAATTACACACTGTTAAATAATTAAAGATTATTCATAGTGACAAAACCTCCAATACCTGACACAGAAAGGTAATTGAATGCCTTAAACAACTTTTGCTGAAATAATTATTCAACATGCCAATAATCCCTTGACAAAGGTGGGGTGGTATCTGAGTATGATGTAGTGAATGCTATCCCATTTTTTAAACTAGACAACAGCAACAAAATACTAAACCAAAATAAGCCTAAAGAAAACCAAAGTAGGCCAGGCGCGGTGGCTCACGCCTATAATCCCAGCACTTTCGGAGGCCAAGGCGGGCGGATCACAAGGTCAAGAAATTGAGACCATCCTGGCCAACGTGGTGAAACCCCATCTCTACTCAAAATACAAGAACTAAGCTGGGCATGGTGGCATGTGCCTGTAGTCCCAGCTACATGGGAAGCTGAGGCAGGAGAATCGCTTGAACCAGAGAGGCAGTGGTTGCAGTGAGCCGAGATCGAGTCACTGCACGGCAGCCGGCAACAGAGCAAGATTCAGCCTCAAAAAAAAAAAAAAGAAAAGAAAAGAAAACTAAATTTAACTTTACTTTGTATTCAACGAAATCATAGAAGAGCAGTCTTTCATTTGTCTTTTTTTTGTGCCCTATTTTAACTTTACTAATGGCCTTAAACTCTGGGATTATCAATACTGATTGTTCCCTTTGGAGTAGATTGTTAATATTTTCTGAACGATAAAATGAACTTTAATTAGGGGTAATATTTCAATATTTTCATCTCTGGACTTGCAAATTTCTAGTAAAATCAAGACCTCATAATTTCTAAATAGTTCTATTTTCCTTCTTTCATTTAACTCCACTTACCCCTCATCCAGTTCTGAATACTCTCCTGCCATGCCAAAGAATTGAAAAGCCCCTTATGGAAATGCATTCCTTAAATCCGAGCTCAATCTGTCTACCTTTAGCCTCTGAACATTTACCTGCTCTTGTCTCATTCTCCATGCATACTTCTATAGCTAATCTATAATATTAAACAAATTATTGTTCAAAACATTAGTGAGTGACTGGAAATTATGTTAGTTATTCTTTCATTGCATTTATTTCAGTATACTTTGAATACGAATTTTCTATGACAGGTACTGTACTAAAATGCTGAGAACAAATAGATGAGCAAAATGAAATCCTTATCCTCAGTAGTTCTCAGACCAGAAAGCTATTAGGAAACAATGCACCATAAGCACTAAATATTATCCAAGAAAGCACTGAAAAGTATGGTTGCAAAGAGGAAAGAGTACTCACCTCTCTCTATCATAAAGCTTTTATTGTCGTTTTGACAGGCATACTCTTGGAGAAAAATTCCATACCCATGGGTATAAGAAAATAACAGCCTAGTAGAAGAAGAACAAAGAAAGATTTGGGGTGGGGCAGAAGGCATTCTGGTGGTCTTTAAATCACATCACATGCATTGTAGCATTCTGCCCACCCCTTCCAGACATGAGGATCCTAAAAAGCTTTGAAAATAACTCTTGTACACAGACATACTCAGCCTCCTGATAGTTTATAAGAAATATAGAAGAATTTTACATATTTACATCCCAAAAGCTTGATGCTTATCAGAAAAGAGGTTAATGACCGTGTGGATAGGCTGTTCATATTTAATGTCCAGGCTACTTCTCTTTGTAAGATAAACTGTTTTTTCCTCAGGCTACTGCTAAGGAAAAACTTTCCATATCCTGTTTTCCTACAGCATAAGGACAGCTGACAGACAAGTGGGGAAACCCTAAGTCAGGGTAGTCAGAGCTTAGACAGTACTGTGAGCTGTGTGTGGTATGAACTATTTCAGAAAGCTTATCTGTGCCATCACACTCCTTCAAACTTTGAACTAGAAGAAGATAAGGAAGTCTTGGCAGTTGGTAATGAGACAGAAGCTGGGAAAATGCTGTGAAGAAAAGTCACGATCTGGGCAGGTCAAAGCCATGTACAAGGCATGACAGAGCTAAAACCTTGGAGAAGCTGAGGAGAAGGTTGCTTGACAATACAGAATGAAATAATACTGTTGACAATCCTGGGTCCTACCATATCCAATACCCAAATCTTACTGCCAAGAATCCTAGATACACCATAAATCCAGAACCACCTTCTAGCTATGGTCTTCTTGAGCCCTTAAGTGATCCATTTCAATTCCAACATTTATATGATTATATGTGTATCTTTTCACTAAACTATTTCATAAACTACATAAGTAGATTTCTGTGCCATGGTTCCACAAAGGCTAGCAACAATTGTGTGTGTGTGTGTGTGTGTGTCTGTGTGTGTATGTGTGTGTGTGTGTTAAAAAATGCAGCAAAGGTATAATCAGGGTAAAAGGTAAAAACTAGGACACTGAAAAGTGTACTATGCTTGTCAGTAAGCCAGGATTCTAAGAAAGATGAGTTTGGAAGAGAAGAGAGATTGAAAGAGAAGTTGGAGGAATACTATGCTAAAGAGGTAGAAGAGAGAGAGAAGGGAACAGAGAAGAGAAAGAGGGTGTGGAAGATAAGTCTGAGTTTATTTAATATGTGGCTACATTTCCTAATGTCGTTACATTAATTTTACCAGATTTAAGAAATTATTGTTATCTCGTTAGTTCTCTCATCAGGGGTAACAATTCTCATATTTTGGTGTACATAAAAATAACCAGTTAGGGAGATTTTTCTTTCTTTTAAGTGAAGGCAGGAATCTATATTTTTAAAGACGTTCCCCCAAGTCATTCTAATGGATACATAAGTTGCTTGGCGAATCGCTGATCTAGGACAGAGAAATAGACACTCTTGTTTGGAGCACCGATTGTTTGTTTTCCCTTTTTCTTTTTAACAGGTACATATGATTGCAGAGAGGGACAAAGCAATGATTAGACAAGTAATAGAATTTATTCAAACAGAAATATTTCTTCTAGAAATAATACCTGAATAACAAAGTTTTTAAAAAGTGATTATTTGAAAATCACTTTGTGCATTAATTTGTAGATGAATTTGTTGTACAGTTGAGATCAAGTTAGACCACAAAATCAAACTGAAATAATTTGAGATGCCACCTCACCAGAAGCTGTAGCTTGAACTATTATAACAGCTCTGTGTTTTACCTTTGATTCTCATTCTTACAGCTAAGCAGAAAGATAAAGTGGATTATCTAAGGTCTCCCTGACAGTAAATGCCCTAGTCTGTATGATGGCAAAGTTATGCCTGTCTTAGTTTCAACCTTGGATCCCACAATACTGAAGTTCATAATACTTTAGCCAGAAATGGCTAGCGACGTAGATATTTAAAACTTGCACCTGCATCTTATATTGTAATAAATCTTCTTATAAAAGCTATGAGAGATTTTTCCACTGTTCAACTTATTCAAGGCATATTTATTATATTATCTCCAGCTACTATATGGCTCTGCACAGCTACTATGTGGCTCTGCTCCATTAAATTATCAACATCTATTTAATGTCACTACCTGACAAACACCATGTGACCTATTGGAAATAATACAACCTCAGTCCTAAAGAAGTTCAAGCTTACAGTCAAATTCCTAGTTTTCTTGAGCATCTTAGAATAAGAAAAAATATATACGTAAAACATAATAATATTAACTCTATATATGGTGTTTACTATGTGCGACATACTCTTCTGAGTACTCTACATTTATTAACTATTCTAATCATCACCACGTAAGTTAGGTACTTATCTACCTCCATTTTCAGATAAGGAAGTTAAGCCCCAGCTATTTTAACAAACTACCCCACACCAATATGACTAGTGGGTGGCAGGGCTAGGATTTGAATCCAGGCAGTCCAGCCAAAGGGTCCATGACCTTACACACTACATTACACTGACTTTCAACTTTTTCACTCAGATCTTTCAAGAAACTACCTGTACCAATGAACTAAACACTGAAAAAGGGTTCTGATATGCACACCTAAATTTTTATAGACATACAAATTTTGAGAGTACTTGTATCATGCTGTAAAGCACTCAGCATTTTATTCACTCTTCATTTGAGAAAATGGAGCCAAGAATTCAATTTTAAAAAATCATTCATGCTATAGAAGCAAATTGGCAATTGGTGTTTTATTTGTTTAATGGGCTGACCCTCTCAGCACCAAAGTACATTATTTTGATGAAACCTATTTCTCAGCAAAATTATTCTAGACAAAACAATTGGTTTTGTTCTCATATCCTCTAATTTTTATGCATTCATTGTTTTCATTTCTTGACGTAGATGCATAGAATTCAAAGACATCTACTTAACTTAAAAATATATCTTCATGACTGTCAAATACTATTGTGTGTGCTTTTACATCTATGCATAAATGCTTTTACATTTCTCATTTTAGCTTTTCTTTAACTTCAACATAACGTTTAACTCAATCAATGTTAATTATTATAAATCTAGTTGCTAAATTTTATTCTTATACTATTCTGTGGCAAGAAGGTAGTATAATTTATTATTTCTCACCACTATGAACATTTAAATATTTTTAACATTTCAACTTTATAAATAATGTGGCACTAAATATTTTTGGACAAATCTCCTGGTCTGGAGAAATGAAAGTGTATGTGGAATATATAACTGGAAGTGGAATTGTTGAGTCATAAAATAAATATTTTGAGTTTTATTAAATTTGTGCTATAGCACTCTCTAAAGTGCACCCTAATTTTAGGAAATACCTATTATTTCCCTTGCTAATTTTTAAACTCAGTTTTTTTACACTTTCTTGTTAAGTTTGTAGAAAATATAAAATATCTGTATCTTTTGAGTACAAACGTCTTATCATGTACAGACGTTAAGACTATTTCCTTATGGTTTGTTATTTGGCTATGACATTTCAATTTTCGTTTTTTTTTTTTGGTATAAGGATTTTAGTACAATTTAATAAAATTTTAAATATATTCATTTTTGGTTAATATTATCTTGAGTTTGACATTCATTATTAGATATTTAATACAACTAGAACTCGTTTTTGTAAACAGTATAACATGAAACTAATTTTTTTCATACGGTTAGCCACTTATTAAATAACTTCATCAACAGCTGACTTATGTAGCAATACCTATGAAGGCATGTTTCTTGACCTGTTATGTTCTACTCTTCTCTTTGTCTAATACTTTCTGAATACTGTACTGTTTTACTCATCATGGCTCTGTAATACCTCTTAATATCTGATAATATTAAATTCTTTTACCTTGGCCTTCTTTTTAAAATTCTTGTAATTTTTCGGTTAGTATCTTTCCTATACAGAATCAGTCAATACTCACCCACTCAAAAATAGAGCAACAAAGAAACTTATTGTGAGTGTAACTGCACTAAATTATTTTTGAAATTCCAAAGAACCAATGGCTATACTGATGGCTCATCTCATGAATATTTTATATTTCTGCATTTATTCAAGTGTTTTTAAATGTCTTTAATAAAGTTTCAAATTATACTTCATGAAGTATTTTCACATTTTTGTTAGTATGTTTCATTTATACTCCATTGATTACATAACTAATGAATTTTTTTCTATTATATTTTCTAATTAGTTAATACAGGTTTAAAAGAAAATCAACATGATTTAAATGATGTCCCTGAACTCAACTAATTTCCTAAGCTATTTTCTCAATTTCATAGCCTACATATTGGTTATTTTGATTTTTCTGTTAAGATTACACTACTGTCTACAAATAATGACACATACATTCAACCTTTTTATCTTATTCACTTTTCTTGTCTTAATTCAGTGACTGTGATCTGCAATGCTATATTAAATGGCAGGAGTGATAGCAGGAATAGTTTTCTTTATTCTAACTGCATCATTAGAATTATTTTAAAGGTTTAGCATGAAACCTGTCCACTTTTCAAGCTTGCTAATTTTAAAGCCCTTGATCAAACGGTACTAAAATAGAATTCCTTATCAATTTCACAGAAATAAAGATTTTTTGTACCATAAGTTAGATGGGTAAGAGACTTATTTGCAAATAAATACGATGTTAGTAGAATGGCAATAGCATTAAGTAGTGGGGCACATTATACGTGGAAGAAGAGTTATCAATGCAGTACAGAGCTCCAAGTAAAATTAGAAAAAATAAATAACAATTAAGTATGAACACATTTTCTGTGTTTTATTATGGGGGAAATTGAGAAGATATTTCAAATGAACTGTGAGTGATTACACACTTATTGAAAAACCACTCAACAATAATTTAACAATTAGTGAATTCAGTGAAAGCATACTTTGAGGGGGTAAGAGATATGCTGAGTGAAGCCTAATCCCTACACCCCACTACGCTGAGGATGGACTAGATTTAATGACTCATTTCCAAAGAATACAGTGGGAATAGGAAAAGTAGTAACTTTACAGTACATAAACTCGAAAAACACTATCTTAACCAAGTAATGAAGGTGAACATCACCAATAATGTCATGTGGATATCACATGATCAGTAATGCCATGTGGATGTCACCCCATATCATGTGACAAAAAGGGCATTGGGTCATGTTATTTCCCAACACTCATAATCCCAGTCTAATCATTAAGAAAACAACAGACAAACCAGATATGAGACATTCTACAGAATACGTAGCCAGTACTCCTCGAGACCATCAAGGTTATGAAAAACAGCAAAGATTGAAAAACTGTCACATACCTAAGGTGACTGAGGAGATATGACAACTAAATGTAACATAGTAATGGATACTGTAAAACAGAAGAGCACATTATAAGAGGATATTAATAGAAAAACCAGCAAAAATAACACAAAGTCAAGAATTTAGTTACTAGTTATATACAGATCTCAGTGTGTTCATTTTGACAGATAAATCACAGTAATGTTAGATGTTAAGAATCAGCAAAACTGGGTGACGTGTGTGTGGAAACTCTGTACTATCACTGCAACTTCTCCATAAATCAAACATTGCAAAATAATAAGATTTTTTTTTAAATCAGGGCATTTGTATTTTCTTGCTTTTGTTTTTTGTGAGATTTTAAAAAAATTCTTTATCTGATTCAGTTGTTTCAGGCTTTTTTACAAGGTAGAGATACAGGAATAGTCACTGTCTTACCTCCTTAATTGTATTATAGTAATCAGTTAACTTTTCTTGATATAAATTTCCCAATATGAGCCCCATTACTAATTTCTAGATTAGAAAAAGATGCAAGAATAGTGGTAAAGCAACAGCAGGATGAATTCAGACCCCAGAGGAACTGGACTGTGCGTTGCCCCTCTCTCTTCCAGAAGACCATTTCTGCCATCCAAAACTTGGCAGTGCAGACTGTTACACAGTCATGGACTCTGAAATTTCTATAGAAATGTTCTATTTGTGCATTAGAAAAGTAAATAGAATTTAAAAGTTAAATAGCAGGTTTTAGGCAATTTACCTATAAAGTTATGTCTGTTTTGTGTATTGTTTGATAAACCTCTTTTTTTAAATCACACCAGCTATTCTACAAAACACTCTAGCAAAGAAGCAAGCAAGAGAAAGAAACAAGAAAGAAAGGGAGAGAGAAAGAAAAGATAAAACCTTTGTTTTATGATTACTATTTCTAATTAGAATATGCTGTTTTGAAAGACTAAGCTGCACTGTCCATGTTTGATATGCTGTCCATCTGAAAGCTGGTGGCCAGGACTCCCAAGGTATCCATAAAACAGATGCCAGTCTATTTAACTATTCTAGTTACATCAGGGCACAACTGAAGAGGTGCCACCTCCCAATATGTTCTATAATTTGGATCAAAAGCCTTCAATATTTATTCCCAAACCCAGTGTGGCAAGAAAATTCATGTGTACATTTTGGCAATGCATGGAGTGAAACCAGAAAATTCAGAAATCATCTGTCTGCCATCATGGCAAGTTCCAACTCAACTCTTTGTTCCTTTTTTCCTCCTTGCAATTTGCTCTTTGAAGAAACTGGGCCATTTGCTCTGCAGATTTTGCACAGTCCGTGTTTTGCAAATTGCATTCCATGGTGTTGTTGAACGTGTTCCTCCCCAACTGCCCCATTACCTGAATTGCTACTGTAATGAGATTAGCTTCCCCATATAAACTATTTTGGTATCCTGAGCTATAGCTTATACAGTAAAGGCAGACAAATTCCTGATTCTTTCTCTTTATCATGTTTCCAAAAATAACTGGTTCTCTAGCATCCTTCAAACGTGTTTAATGAGCTTTTTAATTTTTTTTGGTTTTATTATGAACTCATGGCTTTAAATATATTTGAAATATTTTAATCCACTTCTAATGTTATTATATTCATGCTCAAAATAACCCAAATTTTGTCAGCAGTGTCTAAATAAATTGGCTCCTGGTCATTTGACTCCGATTCAGAACTCTTTGATAGCTTCTTTTTGTTGTTATTGTTGTTGTTGTTTTGTTAATGACAAAATTCTCCAGGTACATTTTGGGTATTTCTAGATCTGGAATCAGCTACTTCATTTTAGTGAGATATGATATTTAGAGGCAACAATCAGCACTATGATTGGTCATTGTTTTCAGTGACCTTTTCAGTGAAAAAAAGCAGGGAATACTAGTTTTTGATAAGATAATTCATAAGCTCACATTGGTATTTAGTTTAAACTCAGGACTTGGAATTTTAACTTAACTTCTTTAATCTTGTATTAATTTATTTTTTGCATTCTGAAAATCCCTATCTCAATGACACTAACCCAGTTCCTTTTGTGCTTCATCACATGCTACAAACATAACAGTCTCAAAATAATACCACCATTATACCAACACAGTCATTGATTTGAAAATACTTTAAGATTTTTGTTTTGCACTTCTTTTTGTCCTTATGTTTACACCAGCTGGGATGTGGCAATTTTAACAAATCCCTTTATACACAGTTACGGTCAGTCATCTGTTATTTTTTCTCTTAATTCTCAGCAACTATAACTAAATTTTGTTTTAGAATTATAATTATGTAAAGTATGTAACATTTTCAAAAATAAAATCCACAAAACAAGTTACCTTTAGGAAAATCTAACTAATACTGCTTTATCCTCTACCATACTCATACCTTCTCTCATAATTGAACTTACCTTTCCATTTAGATATAATTAAATATACACATATATTCAACCATCTTTGTTAGATGGATAGATAGATAAACAAATGCTAGCATACTATATGTATTTTTCTCTACCTTGATATGTTTCATTAAATATAATCCAGAAATCCTACTATAAAACTATTTAGAAATATCCTTTATTGCTTTCTTAGTTATAAAGTGATCCACTCAGGAATAGACCATACTTTGAGTAGTACTGTACTAATGGACATGAAGTTGTTTTCTATTCCTTTGCTAATATAAATAAATAGAACTATTAAAGGGTCTTGTGAATATTTCCATTCATGATTATATTAGTGGAATGAATTCTTTGAAATGGAATTGCTGAGTCAAAGGTAAATTTATGCATAATTTTAAAATATTTTTTCTATTTCTTCTTTTATGATATAAGATTGTAACATACTTGATATCAGATTATAACATTTTGCATACACTTAAACAACATATACTAGTACTTATTTCCTCACTAAAGTTTTGGGTTATTGCCCACATTGTCAATATAATAGTCACCTCAATTTAATTTACATTTCTCTTATTCTAACTAAGGTTGGGAATCTTTACATATTTCAAGAGCCATTTGTGGGTTTTTTGCTGTAAACTCTATAGCTTTTCTCTTCTTTTCTACTAAGTTTTGGGGTTTCTTGAATTTCTGTATTCTTTTTGTTTGGTTGTTTTTTTTTTTCTTTTTGTTTTGTTTTGTTTTTGATACAGGTTCTAGCTCTATCACCCAGGTTGGAGTGCAGTGGTGCAACCATAACTCATTGCAGCCTCCAACTCCTGGCCTCAAGCAATCCCCCCACCTCAGCATCTAGAATAGCTGGGGTCAAAGGTGCACACCATCATGCCTGGCTGATTTTTTTTTTTTTTTTTGTATATATTGGGTTTCACAATTTTGCCAGGGTGTTCTTGAACTACTTGGCTCAAGAGATCCACCTGCCTCGGCCTCCAAAAGTGCTGGGATTACAGGCATAAGCCTGTAAATTTCTTTATTGTATTCTCCCAGCCTTAAAATGTATTTATTTTTTAAAGTTCATTGTATATTACAGATATCATATTTTTGTCTAAACAGAGATTGGTAAACATTTTCCGTAAAGGGCCAAATAGTAAATATTTCAGGTTTTGCAGACAATATGGTCTCTGTCACACCATTTAACTATGCTGTTGTAGCCAGAGATAATACATTAAAAATGAGCAAGGTTGTGTTTCCAAAACACAATTTATAGATACTGAAAACTGAATTACAATTAAACATTATCTATCATAAAATTTTTTTTAATTTTTTCAACAATTTAAAAATGCAAAACCATTTTAAGTTTACAAAATGTATAAAAAAGGCAGGAAGGAAATTTTTTCTTAATTTTTAATTTTTAAAATTTTATGAGTACATTGTGTATAAATTTACGGGGTACATGAGATATTTTGATACAGCCATACAATGCATAATAATCATGTCAGGGTAAATAGGGTATCCATCACCTCAAGCACTTATCTCTTTGTGCTATAAACATTCCAATTATACTCTTTTAGTTATTTGTAAATGTACAATAAATTATTGCTGAACCTAGTTACCCTGTTGTGCTATCAAATACTATATATATCTTGTTCATTATACAAAACTATATTTTCATACCTGTTAATCATCCCCACTACCCGCCTACCCTTCCTAGCCTCCGGCAACCATCATCCTACTTTCTGTCTCCATGAGTCCAGCTATTTTACTTTTTAGCTCTCACAAATGAGTGAGAACATGAGAAGTTTGTCTTTCTGTGTCTGGCTTATTTCACTTAAAATAATGTCCTCCAACTCCATTCATATTGTTGCAAATGATAAAAGCTCATTCTTTTTTGTGGTGGAATAGAACTCTTTTGTGTATAGGCACCACATTTTCTTTATTCATTCATCTGTTGATGGACACAGGTTGCTACTGAATCTTGGCTACTGTGAATAGCACTGCAATAAACATGAGAATGCAGATAGCTCTTTGATACCCTGATTTCCTTTCTTTTCGGGCATTTTCCCAGGGGTGCGATTGCTGGATCATAAGGTTGGTATCTCTATTTTTAGATTTTCAGGAATCTCCATACTGTTCTCCATAGTATCTGTACCAAATCACATTCCCACTAACAGTGTACCAGGGTTCGCTTTTCTCCACATCCTCACCACCATTTGTTACTGCTGGTCTTTTGGATAAAAGCCATTGTAACTGGGGTGAGATGATATCTCATTGTAATTTTAATTTGCATTTCTTGGATGATCAATAATGTTGAGCAGCTTTTCATATGCCTGTTTGCCACTTGTATGTCTTCTTTGAGAAATGTATATTCAGAACTTTTGCCCATATTTGAATCAGATAGTTGATTTTTTTCCTACTGAGCTGTTTGAGCTCCTTATTTACTCTGGCTATTAATCTGTCAGATGGATAGTTTGCAAATATTTTCTCCCATTATGTGAGCTGTTGTTGATTGTTTCCTTTGCTGTGCAGAAACTGTTTAAACTGACGTGATCTCATTTGTCTATTTTTGCTTTGGTTGCCTGTGCTTGTGGGTATTACTTAAGAAATCTTTGCCCAGAATAACATCTTAGACAGTTTCCCCAATGTTCTCCTTTAGTAGATTCATAGCTTCAAGTATTAGATGTAAGTCTTTAATCCATTTTGATTTGACTTTTGCATATGGTGAGGGATAGGGGTCTAGTCTCATTCTTCTGCATATCAATACCCAGTTTTCCCAGCACCAATTATTGAAGAGACTGTTCTTTCCCCAATGTATGCGCTTGGCACTGTTGTCAAAACTGCACTCACTGTAGATATATGGAATTGTTTCTGGATTCTCTATTCTGTTCTATTTTTCTATGTGTCTGTTTCCATGTCAGTACCATGCTGTTTGGGTTACTATAGCTCAGTGTATAATTTGAATTCAAGTAATGTGATACCTCCAGTTTTGTTCTTTTCGCACAGGGTGGCTTTGGCTATTCTGAGTCTTTTATAATTCCATAGAAATTTTAGGATTGCTTCTTCTATTTCTGTGGATGTCATTGGTATTTGGTAGGGATGGCATTGAATCTGTTGATTGCTTTCAGAAGTATGGATATTTTACCAATATTGATTCTTCCAATCCATATACATGGATTATCTTTCCATTTTTCGGTGTCCCTTTCAATTTATCATTGTTTTATAGTTTTCATTGTAGGATCTTTCACTTCTTTGGTTAAGATAATTCCTAGGTATTTTATTTTATCTGTAGCTACTCGAAGTGACATTACCTTTTTAATATTTTTCAGAATGTTCACTGTCAGCATATAGAAATGCTACTAATTTTTGTATGTGGACTTTTATATCTGTCAAGTTTACTGTATTTGTTTATCAGTTCTAGTAGTTTTTTGTGGATTCTTTAGGTTTTCCCAAATATAAGATCACGTCATCAGCAAACAAGGGTAATTTGACTTATACCTTTCCACTGGGGATGCCCTTTATTTCTTTATCTTTTCCAATAGCTGTAGAGAGGACTTTCAGTACTATGTGGAATAACAGGGTGAAAGTGGGTATACTAGTCCTCTTTCAGATTTTAGAGTAAATGTTTCCGTTTTCTCCCATTCAATGCAATAGTAGCTGTGGGTCCATCATATATGGCTTTTATTATGCTAAGGTATGCTCCTTCTATACCTAGTTTTTTGGGGTTTTTATCATGAAGCAGTGTTGAATTTTATCAAGTGCTTTTCAGTATTAATTATAATGATCATATGGCTTTTGTCCTTTATTCTTTTGACATGATGTATTACATTGATTGATTCATGTGTGTTGAACCATGCTGGTATCCCTGGGATAAATTCCAATTGATCACTATTAATGATCTTTTCAATGTATTGTTGAGAACAGTCTGGTAACAGTTTGTTGAGGACTTTTGTATAAGTATTCATCAGAGTTATTGGTCCATAGTTTTTTTTTTTAATGTGTCTTTGTCTGGTTTTGGTATCAGGGTAACACTGGACCCATATAATGAGTTTGTAAGTATTTCCCCCTCCTCTATTTTTTGCAATAGCTTGAGTATGATTTGTGTTCATCCTTCTTTAAATGTTTGTTAGAATTCAGCAGTAAAGCTATCGAGTGCTAGACTTTTCTTAGCTGACAGCCTTTTCAATATGGCTTCTATCTCATTACTCGTTATTGGTCTGTTCAGGTTTTGGCTTTCTTCCTGGTTCAATCTTGGTAGGTTTTATGTGTCTAGGAATTTATGTATTTTCTCTAGATTTTCCAATTTATTGGCCTATAGTTGCTCATAGTAATCTTTCATGATCCTTTGAATTTCTGTGGTATCAATTGTAATGTCTCCCTTTTCATCTCTGACTTTGTTTGGGCCTTTTCTCTTTTTTCCTTCATTACTCTAACTAAAGATTTGTCGATTTTGTTTGTTTAAAAAAAACAACTTTTTGTTTCACTTTTTTGTATTGTTTTCTTCATTTCAAATTTGTTTATTTCTGCTTAGACCTTTATTATTGATTTTCTTCTACTCATTTTAGGTCCAGCTTGCTCTTGCTTTTCTAGTTCTTTATGATGTATCCTTGGGTTATTTATTTGAAGGCTTTTGTGTGTTTTTTTTAAATGTAGGCACTTATGGCTATAAATTTCCCTGTTAGCACTGCTTTTGCTGTATCCCATAGGTTTCGGTATGTTGTGTTTTCATCATCATTTCTTGCAGAGAGCTTTTCAATTTCATTTTTAATTTCTTTATTGACCCACTGGTCACACAAGAGCATATTATTTAATTTCCATGTGTTTATATAGCTTCCAAAATTCCTCTTATTGTTGATTTCTAGTTTTATTCCATTGTGGTCACAGAAGATGCTTGCTATTATCCCAATTATTTTTAATGTTTTAAGACTTGTTTTGTGATCTAACATGTAGTCTATCCTTGAGACAGGTGCTGAAACATAGAATGTGTATCCTGCATCTTTTGGATGAAATGTTGTGTATCTATTAGGTGCTTTTGTTTCATAGTGCAGGTTCGGTCTTATGTTTCTTTTTGATTTCATGTCTGGGAGATCTGTCCAATGCTCAAAGTGGACTGTTGAAGTCTCCAGCCATTATTTTATTAAAGCCTGTCTTCCTCTTTAGTTCTAATAATATTTGTTTTATATATCTGGGTGCTCCAGTGTTGGGTGAATATATATTTATGATCATTATATCCTCTTGCTGAATTGTCCCCTTCATCATTATTTCATGACCTTCTTTGCCCCTTCTTTCCGTTTTTGTCTTGAAATCTATTTTGTCTGAAGTAAGTATAGCTATTCTCATTCTTTTCTGATTTCCATTGGCAAGGAATATCTTTTTCCACTGCTTGATTTTCATTCTATGTGTATCTTTATAGGTGAAGTGTGTTTTTTCAAGTTTATTTGAAACCCCAGAGCATTTTGGCCCACAGTGGCGAGGCTTGTTGAGAAACTCAAGTTCTAACCACTGGGATGAGAGATTACCCTCTGGCTGTCTGGTCTAAATCCTCCCTCCATGTTCAGGCACTGGCTGAGCCCAGCAAAACTTTGCTCTCAGCTGTGACAAGGCAGCACTGAGTTCAATATAAAGTCCCCCAGTCACTTTGCTCTCCCTCCCCCATGTGCACATTCTTTCTCTGCACCACATAGCTGCTGCTAGGAGATGGGGGAACAGTGGCATCAGTGATTCAGGACTGTCTCTGCACTCTTCAAAGCCTCTTTCACTGATATGAAGTTAAAACCAGGTACTATTATTGCTCATCTGATTTTTGGTTCTTGTGATGGTGCTTTTCTGTCTGGAGTAGGTTGTTAAAATTTGGTGTTCTCGTTATGAAGTGGGGTGGGGATATGAATGGTGTAGGCTTCTATTCTGCCATCTTGCACTGCCCCTCCAGCTTTACTTCTTTCTTTACAATTTATACCTATAATTGTTTTCTATTTTCTATTCAAATATTTCCAACACAGTGTTGAGTAGTACTTCCTATGCAATATTAAAGAAAAGTGGAATAATGGACATCTTCACTGCATTTCCAATTTTATCATTAAAGCCTCTGTGTCCACATTAAGTAAGATACTGCCCTTAGGACCACAGTGCATATATTTTATAATGTTATTGAATTATCTATTCATTTTTACTGTTAGCATACAGAGGTCCCAAAATGTGTATTATTTATCTACATCTAAAGAGATTATCTTAATTTTTTTCTCATACTATTAATATGATACATTATTTTGATGGGTTTCCTGATATTGAACTATCCTTGTATTACAAGAATTAACCCTACTAACTCATTATGTATTATGTTTAATGTGTCATGGGATTCTGTTTGTTAATATTTTACATATTTGTTATTTTATCAATATCCATAATGAATGAAATTTGTCTGCAGTCTTCTTTTATAGTTTGATTTTTGTCAGGTTTTGAAATTAAAGTTTCATTAACATCATAGTAAGAAATAAGAGGTTTTCCTTCTTTTCCTATTTTATGGTATCTTAAAATTAGTATTGGTTGTATTTGTTGGCAGAAATCCCTTTTGAAACTTCCCAGAAATGATACATTTAAGAGATAGTACTTTAAATTCTATAACTTCTAAGCCAAATGTCTTTTTAAAATTTTTATCTCTACTAGTGTCACTTTAGGTAGTATTATTTTTCCAGAAAATTGCTTGTTTCTTTTAGATTTTCAAAATAGTTTACTCACAGAGAATTGTGTAAGATAGTCATGTATTTTGAAATAATATTTAGATTTGTGTCATAACTTTTCTTTTGATTATATGATTATGTTTTCTGCTTTATTCAATATTTGATATAGTTTGAGTATTTGTCCCTGCCCAAATCTCATGCTGAGTTGTAATCCCCGATCTTGGAAGTGGGACCACATGGGAAGTGTTTGGATTATGGGAGCAGATCCCTCATGAATGGCTTAAGACATGCATGAACCCCTTGGTGATAAGTGACTTCTCACTCTGAGTTCACACAAGATCTGATTACTTAAAAGTGTGTGACACCTCCCCTCCCCACTATCTCACTCTTGCCTCTGCTTTTGCCATGGAATTTGCCTGTTTCCCTTTGCCTTTTGCCATGATTGAATGCTCCCTGAGGTCTCACCAGAAGCTGAGCAGATGCCAGCACCTTGCTTCCTGTAAAGCCTGCAGAACCTGCGCCAATTAAACCTTTTTTCTTAATAAATTATCCAGTCTCAGGCATTTATTTGTAGCAATGCAAGAACGGCCTAATACAATATCCTATATCTGATTGAAAAAGTTAATAAACTAGAAAACATTCTAACCATATAATTATGAGAAAAGACATGGCAAAAATCTAAAGACTATTTCAAAATGTATAACTATATTACACAATCCTATGCAAAATTTATTAGTTCTACTGAGTTTGTGGTGTTCTTGTTTTTATATAAATACTATGTTTGTACATTCCCTCTTTCCTTGTTTTATTTTGTAATCTTCTGTTATTTTGCTTTTTAGATTAAGTACTAAGGCATTTATTTTATCATTTTACATTTTTATTTAAAGTTTTTAATGTTATAAGTTTTTTCTCTAATTGATTTATTTATGTTATGTAGTTTATCATACATTCCTTTTTGTCATTATTTTCTAAAAAAATTAATTTTTTTGCCAAATTTTCTTTTAATCCAAAAGTTGGTTGAAAATAATTATCTAACTTTTAGATAATTACAAGTTTTAATTTTACTTTTAAATTACTTTTAAAAGTAACTAATAATTTTGTTATACTGTGCTTAGAGATGTTGCTTATGTTACTTTTCTATTTTGCATTTTATGAAGCCTCGCTTGATGCTTAAGACATAGCCAACTTTTATGACTATTACCTACTTAAGCCAAGGAGGTATACTGAAAATTATGTTTATCCACTTGACTTCTATGTGTTCAATGTACTGTTCAATGTACTGTTACTATTAGTGGGCCATTTTCTCTCATCACATCTCTGTAACTACTTTAAGGAAGTTTTTCCTTTTTTCTAGAATGCATAAATACTAGTAACTATTGTACCTTTATTGTGTTTTTTAGTCCATTACATCCATTAAGTGTACTTCTACTATTAGAGTGCCATTTTCTCTTTCTCATCACATCTCTGTAACTAAGAAAGTTTCTCCTTTTTTACAGGATGCATAAATACTAGTAACTATTATACCTTTATTGTGTTTTTTAGTCAATTACATCTATTAAGTATACTTCTACTATTAGTGTGCAATCTTCTCTTTCTCATCACATCTGTGTAACTACTTGAAGAAAGGTTTTCCTTTTTTACAGGATGCATAATACTAGTAACTATTAAACCTTTATTGTGTTTTTAGTCAGTTACAATATAAAGTTCTGTTTCTTTTTTTAATTTTTTGTTCTGAATTCCACAATGTCTAATATCAAATTTGTCATGTCTGGTTTTTTTTCATTGAATTTGCTTGGCATATCTTTCTCTTTCCACTTTTAATATTTCCAAACCTCCTTGTTTTAGCATAATTTTTCTAAACCCAATTGATTTGTTATGTACCTTGCAAAAACCATAGTTTTGTATTTAAATTTGTCAGTCAACTTAAAGTTTGGGTTTCCCTTTTAACAGGTGAGTTAAATTTATTTATATATACGTTGATATGATTGATATATTTAGCTCAGTTCTGGTATATCTGTTTGATATGCATATATATAGTCCTTTTTCTATAAATGTATTGCTTTATTTGACTTCTTATTACTTTGGCACATCTTTTGTTATTTAAATGGGCTATTTAATAATTTTAGAAATATATTTTTTAAATATTTTATTTTTGTTCTAATGATCACCTTTGTATACTCTTATTATAATATCATTAGTCACCTCTTTTTGTTCATCCTGTCTCTTGGTTCCCTGCATTAAGCAACATTAAAATGAGGTAAAAATCTCTATTTTCCCTTTCCCTTCCTTCTCATTTAAGACCTAATCAATGAGTGATCTGATTCTACTTTCCATATAATCTCCCATTTTCCCCTCATTTAAAAAAGCATATTTTGTATGTATGTTATCTGAGCACATATTTTTGTGTATCTCAAATACATATTATACTGTATACTCTACAGTATATATGTTACGTATCATTACAAACTATCTTCCTGTATTCATCATTTTATTTTATTTCTAAGAAAAAGTGTATATTGACGGTTTAACAGCTGTCCTTATGCTTATACTTCTCCAGTCTAGCGGGGCATCTAATGTTTATTTCTTAGAAGTAGATTCCTTAGTATGGGCTCATGAGAAAAATATTCCCTAATTTATTTCATGTTTATTGCATGTCTTGCACGTCTTTATATTTAAAAGTCTTTTTTTGTGGCTATCTCAATATCTTACTCTATTGTCTTCTGGCAAAATGGTTGCTCTTAAGAAAATCTGATGTGAATCTGATTGTCCTTTTCTTTATAAATGATTTGGTCCCTTTTGTCTATATAATTTTTAAAATCATAATTTTCCTGGTGTTGGCTGTTCTGAATACACCTATTCAGTGAGACTTTTCAAAAAGTAAGTTCAAGTCTTCTTTATATAAGTTTATTTATCAAATTATAATATTTAATATTTTTATGTGTTACCAGGGTTTTGGTTTTCTATTTAGAGATATATTTCACATATGTTGGATTAGATAGATAGATATGGATATAGATGGATATAGATGAAATTATAGACACAGATATATAGATAAATTATCTTTCCCACTTTCTGTAAAAGCTTTTATCTATTTATCTAATTCTTTTTGATTAAGTAAAAAGAAATTTATTCTTTT
This sequence comes from Homo sapiens, assembly GCF_000001405.40. Classification (NCBI taxonomy): domain Eukaryota; kingdom Metazoa; phylum Chordata; class Mammalia; order Primates; family Hominidae; genus Homo; species Homo sapiens. Next base: position 35,700,876 of record NC_000002.12, read on the forward strand.
TCATCTTCTATTTATCTTGTGATATTATATTTGCTCTAGTGTTTTTCCTAGCTTAGTCTTTATTTCAAAGGAAATTATCTTTGATTTTAATTCTATCCAGGGCTCTATCAGCTCTCTTCACAAGTCTTTTTATGTCCCATCATGTCATTTTAGAATTTGTTTAACTATGAATTATGCTCTTTTTTCATTATCTCCATCATTACCTTAAATTTCATATCATTTTTGAATTACTGTATTAACATTTTCTTCTGTTTGGGGGCATGTTGTTCTTTCATACTTTCACTGTTTATAAAACCAGTCTTATTCTCATTATTATTGTTTAAAATAATAATTTTTTTTGTAGAATTTAACCATAATCTTATGTTGCTTGATTTCAGCTGAAATATTTTGTACTCTTACAGGAGAGGGAGCTTTAAGATAGATTTCCCACCTTTATATCTCTTCTGATTACTCTCCTGATACTATCATTAAGCACTCAACAATTGCGCCTTTAAATTCTGAACTTCCTTGTCTTTCTTCTCTACACCCTCTTTTATCTGGCTTTCTTTCTGCACATGAAATATCTGTCTTATTCAATTTAGAATCTACTCTTCGCAGTTCCTCCTCAATCTGTGACATTGTCCCGGAAGTAAGGTTACATCTTTCGTTTCCGAAATTAATTGGAACCATCCTACCTGGCTTTGTCCAACCTTTTCCTCCTCTCTTTATTCCCACCTGTAAATTGGGGCCTGCAACAACTGCACAGAGTTTGCTAGTCTCATATTGATTCACTCACACTTTCTACATTGAGAGAGAACCCCTCAGTTTGGGGAAGAATATTTTTTGTGATTTTGTGTTAGATTGTCTGTCTCTCAAGGTCATCAAAGTTTACTTTGCTTTTCTTACTTCCTGATGAATAATTATTTATACAATTGCATTGTATTGCTATTGGTGGTTTGGGACTATCCAATATTATTTGGGAGTTTACTTTGTCACTTAATTTTGTTATGAATGGTATCAATGCAATTTCATTTTTAGATTACTGTTGATTCTGTTTTTTCTGTTGTAAACTAAAGTGCTATATTGTGGAGGATGAGGAAAGAAATCAGGTAAATTAAAAAACTTCACTACTTCTGACACATTCTTGCTATGAAGTTCTTCTACTTAAATTTAAATTAAAAGCATTAGACCATACACACTAAGGAAATTAGAATATTTCTTGTTCTAACAATTTAAAACAAATTTTACTATGTTTCATATTTCAATGGGCTCTAAAAAACAGAATACTAAGAAATGGCAAGCGTGTGAAGCTAAGAAATATGTGTCAAAATTTGTCAATTTGGAAAGTTATTCACAGTACTTTTCAGAAATTTTAAATGAAGCAGTAAATTAAAATTTTGGTTAAAAGTAAACTATGAGTGTTCCTTGATGTTTTTATTTAGGCATATAATTTTTTCTCATAATATTTATCATAAAAACTTGCATTATTCTTTTTCACTACTAAGGTCTAATCTGTAATATTCAAAATAGCTAATTATTTGCCAACCAGCATGCTCCCTCCTGTGTTCAAGAAATCACTTTCTTCAGATTAAGCCACTTCTTAATCAACATATTGGAAAAATACACTCAAATTTCTTAGGACACTCTGATCATTTTATCAAAAATCTATAAAATCTTAACACCTATTAATAGAGTTTGACGGAGTTTGAAGAACGATAAGTGTATCACAATTCACTTAGTGATGAGATCTTGTTTATTCTACATCATGTTTAATTATGCTATTTCATCCTGTTTATTTAGTGAGATATATTTGTATGTTAACACTTGAATTAAACTAATGATTTAATTTTATTCCTTTGAAAATAAACGGTACCCTTTTTCAACATAAAAGTGATATTTAAGTTGTAAACTATGATGTTTCAACTTAAATATATCATGCATGTGAGATATACAAAAAATGGACCATGATTTAATTTTAGATAATTCTATCATGATCTGCAAACAAAATCTTTTATTTTTCCATTAGATTGTAAGTAAAAATTATTTGAAGTAGTGAGTGTAGAAGCTAGTACTCTTATAGACACATGAAAGAGAAATAGCACTCAACTGTAAAAATAATAGAAAAATATACAAATTTAGGATAAAGTTGATATATTAATATATAGTTAACAGAGTAAAATATAAGATATTTTATGTTAGAATATGCTGATAAATCTGACAGCAAATAGATTGATCATTTCTGTAAAAATTACTACAATAAAATTACTAAATATTAAAAAGCTCTAATTCTAAAGGTAAATAAAATTTGCAGAAAAGCATCAAATTTTCCATTTAAAGTGGCAAATAGTTAACGTGCTGTAAAAACATCTCTTCTAATTTACTTTAAAAATAACAGTAAAAATAGAAAAATAAAAGCAAAGACAAATGCATTGTATAAGACTGAGAGACAGCCTGTTGATAGTAAGAACATTGTTTTTCTACCTTCAAAACTTCTGGAGTAGGATTATAATCCTAAATGCGAAAGCTAAACTCCTAAACTTCCAGATGAAAATTTAAGAGAAAATCTAAGTGATATTACCTTAGGCAAAAATTTATTAGGCAAGACTTAAAAAGCACTCACCATAAAAAAATTGTAGATTGGTCTTCAACTAATTTTTCCAGACATCATTAAGGAAATGAAAAGATAAACCACAATTTTGGAGAAAATATTCTCAATGCATACATCAGACAAATAACTTTTTTGTCTAAAATATATGTCATTATTATAATCCAATAATAGAAAACAAGAGCCCCAACCAAAACTTGGCAAAACACTTGAACATACACATCACAAAGGAATATATAAAAATAGCTAATAACCATATACATAGATGCTCAGCATTATTAGTCAGCAGGGAAATGCGAGTTAAAACAGTGAAGGTGCCGGGCGCGGTGGCTCACACCTGTAATCCCACCACTTTGGGAGGCCGAAGTGGGCAGATCACCTGAGGTCAGGAGTTTGAGACCAGCCTGCCAAACATGGTGAAACCCGTCTCTACTAAACATACAAAAATTAGCTAGGCTTGGTGGTGGGCACCTGTAATCACAGCTACTTGGGAGGCTGAGGCAGGAGAATTGCTTGAACCCGGGAGGTGGTGGAGGTTGCAGTGAGCTGAAACTGCACCACTGCACTCCAGCCTGGGCAACAAGAGCAAAACTCTGTCAAAAAACAAAAACAAAAACAAGAAAACACACACACACACAAACCAAAAAGAACAGTGAAGGTATCACTACACACACAATAGAATGGCTAAAATTAAGAAGTCTAACCATGCCAAATGGCAGAACTTCTCTTACTTGATTTTTTTATTCTAGCCTCTCAATTTGAATCATTCTACTGCTTCCTCAACTTCAGTAATCTATTTATGATTAAAAAAGGAACTATGTGAGGAAACAATTTATCAATATTGACAGTTAATAAAATTGAGCACTGATTTTTCAAATGTTAGTAATAAAGGGAAAACTTCACTTTAGGTTTTTCTCCTTCATTGCTAACCTTATATGATCTGGAATGTTTTATGTTGTAAGATAATCAGTGAATTTTCTTACAGCTGCTGGTAACAGTGTGATGAATAAGGAATTTTTTTAAAGTAATTCTCAGGGAGACAAGGTTAAGAGATCCAGCCACTTTTCTCATATGGAAACTTCCTTCCATTAGTCATCTTGGAAGTTCTTCGTGTAACCTTCTTAAAGAGAAGTCAGCAGCTTCCCACAAAGTGCCCAATATTCCATACATTTAAAAATTAGGGGGAAAAGGGCTTAATCATAGTCAGTGATGGAGAAACATTTACCTAAATGGGTAATTTTTAGGAGTATATATCCAGAATCCACAACTATTCAGAAAAATCACTGAAGTGAAAGTCTTAAAAAAAAATAAACAATATAACACAAAACTAAGTCTAGAGGCTCATGAATCCATTACAAAATATTTTAATATTTTCTTGATAAAATGCTGGATAAGTGCAGTATGAGTAAAAGTGAATCTAGAAAATTATTCAATGGCTGCAGGAGACTTATAAGTAAAGAAATCTGAATTAAATAATGCATGAACATGCGTACTTGTCACTGTCTCCTTGATTTTGCTTAAAAGAATGCCTTGCAAAGAGTAGTGGCTTATTAAATATTTATCAAATGAAGGAAGAGCATATATTTAAATTCAAATATGTATGTTTTAAAAAGACAGTTTCACGATGATGATACATAGAAGGAGAGTAATGCCTTCAATTTTTAATAGTCAAGATAACAGATTCAATTGCCATGTGCCCAACACATGGAAACATTTATTAATCCTCATTTGCATCATTACAGTAGAGATGGACAAGAGAGAATGTAGTGATAATAATACAGTTTCCGGTTACCTGTGGGAAAAAATAACTAATCAACTTGATAATCAAACTGACTTTTTGTCTATATTTCAGTCAAAGGCACAAATTTTCCCTCCAAAAAGCTCTGAAACAAGCTATTCTTGCACCATGCTAAATTCAAAATTTCCATTTAACTAAATAACCTTAAAGGTACATGTGAATTGGAGTAATTGTTTCATCTCCCATCCATCAAATGCCATTAAATCTATTGCTTTCTAAATCCCTCATCCTAAATACAGAGACCCAAATACACTGATGTGTTTCTTTAAAGTGAAAATGTTTCTATTCATTCACTTTCTATAGTTATTGTAAATACAACCAGAAAACAAATTTTCCTTCATTGTTCAGCTTCACACTTATTACTATTAAAAAAATAAAGTCTCTCAAGAATTTCAAATGTATTAGCCTATCTTTGAATTTCATTCTACTTTTCTCCAAAAATCTTCTTATGCTGTCTGCACTAGCCTCTTAGTAATGGTATCTATTGAACTCCAGATGATAAGACTTGCAAGGGCAAAAGAGGAATGTGGACTAACAAGCCAAAATGTGTGGTGTTGAGATGCAAACTCTTTTCAGGGAACATGATCAATTCATATCTATGTTTACCATTAAAATTTAGGTTGAAAGCGTCATGGCCGTAATAAAATTATAGCTCCTGCTGGCTCTCAGAATAGGCCTTTTTCAAAAAAATTAAAGGCACAGGTACTAAGGAGCATTTATTGTAAGTATATTTAATTAAGTCTTGGCCATCTGTTTCTGAGGATTGCATTTGTTCTAACATACCATTATAAAATGTTTAATGCTAAGGTTGATAATATTCCCAACTCAGTTGCAGTTTTCCAATACAGTTCTTATTTTTCATTATGGAAAATCCTTTCATTTTATTTCAACAATCTCAGAAAATCTTTATTTACTAATTAACTGTTTTTTTCTTTTGCTTAAACACTTTATGCTTTATCCTGTTAGCATTGTCACAAATGAACTATTGCCCAACATACCTAAATTAAACATTTTACATATTTGGCTACATCCCTTTCCCATTTCCTTTCTTTTTTTTTTTTTTTTTTTTTTGAGACGGAGTCTCGCTCTGTCGCCCAGGCCGGACTGCGGACTGCAGTGGCGCAATCTCGGCTCACTGCAAGCTCCGCCTCCCGAGTTTACGCCATTCTCCTGCCTCAGCCTCCCGAGTAGCTGGGACTACAGGCGCCCGCCACCGCGCCCGGCTAATTTTTTGTATTTTTAGTAGAGACGGGGTTTCACCTTGTTAGCCAGGATGGTCTCCATCTCCTGACGTCATGATCCACCCGCCTCGGCCTCCCAAAGTGCTGGGATTACAGGCGTGAGCCACCGCGCCCGGCCCCCATTTCCTTTCTTGAATCCTTTAACAAAACCTTTGCATCATTTCATGATTTTGAACACACTGTCTTCTTCCTTTTCCCCTGCAGACTGTGCTTTACAAGAGAAATTTTATTTCTTCTCCAGAACTTCTCTGCAAATAACTGATCTTTTCAGTTCCCAAGTTTGTACTGACTGGAGAATCAAAATTTTTGCTCTCCTTAGTCCAACATGTTTCTGAATGTGAGTGTCACCAGCCTCCTCACAAAAGCTCCCTACCTTAATATGTGAGCCTGATTTGCTGGTAGGTCTCTTTCGACCTTCATGATTGCTCAAGGTAATAAAATAATTAATTTGCCAATAGCTTTCTATTTTCAAATTGCCTTATGTAAAAAATAAAATTATTTTTCAAGCACATTATGTATACAACCAAAATGATATTATTTTTTAAAATTTATTATAACCTACTTCATCATGCTTGATTCACATTTGAACTTGCAGAATATTTTGGAAAACTACATGAACTCTTTCAGAAGTGTAGAGTATCAGGCTATCACTGAAACAAAAGGATTAATTCATCATTGGGATATTAAGGCTATTTAAACATCCACGGTAAGCAACGTATTTTAGAATGAGAGACCAACAATAAATAGTTTAGTATTGACCTCCTTAAATTACCCAAACTTCTTTCTTAGAATCTTGCTTAATTATTGAGTTCCAATGTCGCTCCATCATTTCATAAAACAAATAATCATTGCAGCATTTGGGGCTCAGTATTTTACTGTGAAAGAATTTGTGAGTTTTCCTTCAATATTACATTTCTCTTTTCGTCATTGTTGTATATCTACTTTTATTATTCTTCTGCCTTCCTATATGATTGAAATCAAACAATTTAGCAGCACTAAGGATTCTATCACACGGTTTTTCTTTCTCACTGGTTACTGAAGACATTGAATAGATAAGGCTTTACACAAATCCTTCTGATATCATCCTAAACTCTTCCATTGGTCCCCACAGTTCAGTCAGCATGCAGTGCAGATGAGCCTACCTCCGTTCTGTTTGTTAAGGAAAAGAAAATATGGCAGTCAACTGAGAGTAGAGGGAGACAGAAAGTTTTCTATGAGGAGGGGAATAGAGGCAAGCAAATACTCTGAAGATAGAAATACGCTGTGCTGGAATATGATTGCTTCTGATGCATTTGCCAAACTGCAACTCCCAAATGCCCTGATCTACTCAACAGGCTGATACAGAATACTTTATTGCTGAGATTCTTTTTCTTACACCTATTCTAAAACATTTTGAGTCTTGAAAATATTTACCTGATAGATTTTGTTGTTGTTATTGAGATCAGTAATCAGCTGACTCTAGGAATACTCTAATTTTTAAAAATCTGGTCACTTTTAGTCTTTGAGCCAAATAACCGGTTGACTACATTAAATGATGATTGTGTTTTGTTTTTTTCCACTGATGGATAATTGAGTTAAATTGATTTGAACCGTTTTTCTTGTCATCCTCACTTTTATAGATGCCACATGACTGCCCCCTTATATTTCTTTCCCAGTGGATGGACAGTTGGCTTTTCCCTTTGAAGTCCATTTAGCTTTGTTTTTGTTTGGGACCAGCCTAAGACAGAGATTACTGGCTCTAAATTTTTTGTTGCTGTTTGAAGCAAAATCTTCAAAAAGAATCAAGGCTGCCAATCCTTCAGTGCTATGACAGGTTTAGGCATATTAACCGTTCCAACATCACAACAACTTGTTGCATATATATGGGTGTTCAACAGCCAGTTGGGAATGAAATTACTGTTAGTGCATATTCGTGTCACCTAACATGGTTAATGTCAGGATCTGACCTTTTGCTAGACCATTTGCCTGTCAGGTTGCAGAATTGCTGACTATATTTGAAGAATGTGAACAGCATAAGATGCCAGCCTTTATTCCTAGGCAGTCGATCTAACAAGCGGATTAGCAACATACTTTTCCTGAGGGTATGGCTGAACAGTATTATGCAGTAATGTCCCAGGAATTACAAAAGAACAAAGAGAATAAGATTATAAATGAGAAAGGTTAGAAAGTGAGAGATGCAAAAGAAAAATGCAACTGTTGGCAAATGATTATATTACACAATAATTGCATCAGATGTTCCTTGGTTCCTTAGTCTAACTACAGATACATTCTCATTGCTGCTGGACATAGGCTATTTAAGCCTATTCTATATTATTGGAACTTAGAGTTGGGTTATTTTGTCACAAAATGTAGACCCATCAACTGGTTTTATCAGAAAACTTTTATGAGTTTTAAAACAATATTGTTATAAGTTATTTACTGCCCAGCATCCCTATCATGAACTAAGACAGTGTAAAGGTGAAAGAACAAAGAATTTTAAATCAGAAAACAATATGCAAATTACTTGTGAGCAATTTTTTTTTTTTTTTTGAGATGATGGAGTCTCAGTCTGTCACCCAGGCTGGAGTGCAGTGGCGGGATCTCACTTCACTGCAACCTCTGCCGCCCAGGTTCAAGTGATTCTCCTGCCTCAGCCTCCTGAGTAGCTGGGATTACAGGTGCCTGCCACCGCACCTGGCTAATTTTTGTAGTTTTAGTAGAGACGGAGTTTCACCATCTTGGCCAGGCTGGTCTTGAACTCCTGACCTTGTGATTTACCCGCCTCAGGCTTCCACAGTGCTTGGATTACAGGCATGAGCCAATGCGCCCAGCCAACTGTGAGCTGTTTAATTAACCTCTCTAAGTCTCAGTTTACTTAGTTATGCATCTGTAAACTAGAAATGATATTAATGCCTTTCATAGCTGTTTGCGACACACACTCAATTAACAGTTATTATTTATAATAATATATTGTTGGTATTGTTATGTCTAAGAAAAAAATTCTAGAGCAAAATAAATGAAAAAATATTTTTGTAGTCTTGGTTAAGTAAATGTTTCTTATATAAGATGCCTAATTAATTAATTTTAATAAATCAGTTTATATCCTGCAGGCTTGCTAAACTTATTATAATCTAGTATAATGTAATAGCTGTTTTGAAATTCATAATGATTTTCTCCATCCATGGTCATGTTATCTTCAAATAATGCAATCTGTGTGTGTGTGTGTGTGTGTGTGTATGTGTGTGTGTTTTACTGTATTAGTCCATTTGTATCACTAATACCTGAGGCAGGGTAATTTATTTAAAAAACAATATTTAATAGGCTCACAGTTCTGCAGGCTGTACATGAAGTGTTCTGCCATCATCTGCTTCTGATAACTCAGTAAGATGATAATCATGAGAAGGCGAAGGGGGAGCAAGTGGGTCATGTGGGAACAAGAGAGCAAAGCGGGCGGGGAGGGGCCGCACTCTTTAAACAACCAGATCCCACCTGAACTGAGTGAAAACTCACTCATTACTAAGGGGATGGTGCTTAAATATTCATGAGGGACCCGCCTCCATAATCCAATCAAATCTCACCGGCCCTCACCTTCAACACTGGAAATTTCATTTTAACATGAGATTTGGAGAAGATAAACATCCAAATCATATTAGTTACTTACCAAATCTGTATAGTTTTTATTTATTATTCTGCCTTTATCTCGTGACTGGGACCCAAATACAATTTCATTTATGAAAATAGACATCTTTAGTTGCTTACCAATCTTATAAGTGTTACAGAACTAAGTGGTTTTTCATAGATTTTTTTAAAATTAATTAGGAAGTTTCTTCTACTTATATACTGAGAGTTTATTTTTTTGATAATGAATGGATGTTAAATTTTGTCAAAAGCTTTTTTTGTATTTATTAAAACAATGATAAACTTTTCCTTTTTTAACAATGATTGATTTTGTTTTTTTTTTTTTTTTTTTTTTACTATTAAATCAACCTTGTCTTTTTAAAATTAACTGACCCTGGGTTAATGTGATCATTCTAAATATTTATATGCTAATATTTCATTAAGTATTTTTGCCTCTATGTACATTAAAGAAAGATATTTCTTTGTAGTTTTCTTGTATGTTTTGTTGTTTTTTTTGTTTGTTTGGTTTGAGAAGAGTCTTGCTCTGTTGCCCAGGCTGGAGTGCAGTGGCATAATCTTGGCACATTGTAACCTCTGCCTCCCAGATTCAAGCTATTCTCCTGCCTAAGCCTGGGATTACAGGTGCCTGCCATCACACCTGGTTAATTTTTGTATTTTTATTAGAGATGGGGTTTCGCCATGTTGGCAAGCGTGGTCTCCAACTCCTGACCTCAAGTGATCCACCTGCCTCAGCCTCCCAAAGTGCTAGGATTACAGGCATGAGCCACCACACCTGGCCCTTGTATGTTTTCATCTGGTTTGTATGTTAATGTAATGTTGGCCTTCTAAAATGAGTTTAGAAGTGCTCCTTGTCTTCTATTTTATGAAAAAATTTGCTTAGTTTTCTTAATAATTCTTCTTTAAATAATTGATAGATTTCACCCATTTGATAGAATTCATTTGCATCTTGAATTTTCTTTAGAAAGGTTTTTAATTATAAATTTATTTTATTGAAGATGCATCTATTCAGCATTTCTATCATTCTTTGCTTAGTTTCGGTAACTTTTGTCTCTCAGGAAGTTTTTCATTTCATCTGTCATTAAATATATTGGCATAATGTTGTCCTTAATATTTGGTTATTAATCACATTAAGTCTGTAGATTCTATAATTATGTGATTTTTTCAATTCCTGATTTGGTGATGTACATTTCTCTATTTTAATTAGTCTACGTAGAGTTTTATTTTGCATTGTTCTTTTCATTTTTTAGTTTTATTGAATATATTTATCATTGTCCATTTTCTTTTTTTAATCCTCTATCCATTTTCTATTTTACAGACTTTCACTCTGTTTCCTGTTATTTCCTTCATTTCATTTGTATTTAATTTGCTGTTTTTTTCCTGGATTTATAATCTGTGATTCTTCTTAAAGAATCCAAATTTATAAACTTACTTCTATGCATTGCCATAGCTATATTTCACAGTTTTGATATGTTGTTTTTATTTTGTTTTAGTAAAAATATTTTCTAATTTTACTTATAATTCCTAATTTATCCTATTTTTTACTTGCCAGTACATTTTTGTTGTCCAAATATTTTGAGATTTTAGATATATTATATTTTAATAATTTGGAAATTAATTGTATTGAGGGCTATTAATAATAATAAAACACTCTATAATTGTATTTTCTTAAAGCTATTAAGATGACTTCTATAGCTCAGATTATGAACTATTATGATGAAAGTTCATGTGTATTTGGAAAGAATAGGTAATGTTCTGTGGCTGGGTAAGATATTCTATGAATTTCAGTTGGTCAAGTAGTTTCATAGCATTGTTCAGGATTTTCATACTTCTATTAATTTTCTGTGTACTTATTCTTTCAATTACTAAGGAGTATAAAAATATCTAGATAAAGGAATGCTTTTATGTAACACTTCTTTCTGTTCTGTTAGTTTTTGCTTTATTGATTTAGCAGCTTGGCTATATTGTATGCCCACATTTTGGATTTTTGTTTCTTTAATGAATTAAACCAATTATTGTGAAGTCTGGTCTATTTAATAATTCAACCTTCATTCTATTAAGTAAACTTAGGTAGATCCAATAAAAATTCTGAGGATGTGACAAGGATCACCTCTCAGGTGATACATTGTACTTTAATTTTTGTTAGCCTCTCTGTCCTTATGAGACTGCCAAAATCTCTGTTCAGATTCTCAATCTCTCAGGAAGTGCTTATACTTTAAAATTAACAATTGCTACAGGGAAAAAAAAGTGGAAAAAATTTAAGCTCCTATCTAGTGGCTTTCTCCTTTTACAGCTCTTTGCCATGGGAATCTCTTTGCCTTTGTACTTCTCTCATGTCTTTAAATAGATATTTTAAAATATTTTTTGACATTTCTAATGATTTTTATTACATAGTTAACCATTACCAGAATTGATACTCATGTTTTATTTCATCTGTTAAAAAATTTTCAAATTTGACAAAATACTACTGCTATCTATTTTGCATGTGAAACAAGAGTTATATAATATTATTTCTAGATTCTCTAGACTTATAAAATTTGGTGTTAATTGCCTAGGTGTTCCTCTGAACAGATGCTATATTACATGATATGATTAGAAGAGAAATGTAAATTCCAAGGGCTCAGCCATTTTTAATATTCTAAAAGATATGAATCTGGTTTTAGTCTACATTTTAAAAATGCAATTGAAGTAAGATACAGTGATAAAATTTGTTTCTGTGTTTGTGTGTGTGCCTGAATACTTGTGTATTTAGATGAGATGGAACTCTTTTTGCTTCAGATTTAATGCACTACATGTGAGTGAAGTGAAGACTGTCCTTTCTTCATTGAATTGCCCTGGCACATCTGTCAAAAATCAGTTGCCCGCATTTCTATAGGTATATTTCTGGAGTCCCTACTCGACTCCATTGATCTGTATATCTATCATTCTCCCAATAGCACACTGTATTGATTATAACATTATAATTTTGTTATAATAACTTTATATTATTATAATTGGATTATGATTCCTCCAGTGTTATGTTTCTGTTTAAAATTGTTTGGATACTCATGTCATTAAAAATATTTTATGGGTACTAAAAATTAGTCATTATTGAATTTACCAATGTATTCAGAATTACCAACAATGGGCAAACAAATTAACTTTAAGCTAAAAAACTGAGCTACAATTATGCTTAAGATCTAATGTAGCAACAGATGAGTAAACCATCCTGCCTGCCAAGCAACTGTTAGTAGAAAATAACAGCGGAAGAACTCAGCAAAAAGTCAGCTAGAATATGTGAAATACAAAAGGAAAAAATAAAATGTCCAAAGATCTAATTAGTATGAGTGTATTGTAGAATAGAAATTGAAAGGTAGCTCCTGGAGCAATAGAAGGTATAAAGTATAAAGGCCAAAGTGTTATAATCTCTATTTTTGGGTTACCTTCATTGAACCATATTTGTACACAATAAACTACAACCATTTTAATTGTATAGTTCGATGAGTTTTGACACAGAGAAAATTATGAAATTATTGCTACCATCAAGCTATAAGATTTTCATTACCTCCAGAAGGCTACCCTGTGACTCTTCAGTCAATCCACCCCGCCAACCCTGAATCTTTGCATCCAGTGATTTGCTATCTATCACTATAGATTAGATTGAACTTGCCTATTCTAGAGTATCATATGACTGCTATTACATGATTTGTACTCTTCTGTGTCTGGCTTCTTTAGCACAGCATAAAGTTCGATAGGTTCATTCATATCATTGAGTGCATCAGTGATTAATTCCGATTTGTATGGATATACAACTGATTATTCATGCATTTAATGATTGATAGACATTTTTTACTACATCTATTGGATTTCTGTCCACTTATATTTGAGTCTTCTGAGCTCTTTATATATTCTGGATACAAATCCTTTGTGAGATATACGAATATTTTGTTCCAGCTTCTGGCTTGCTTTTTCATTTACTTAGTAATGTCTTTTCCTCATGATTTTTGTGTCATATCCAAAACTGTTTGCCTGTACAAACTGGCTACATTTCTCCTATGTTTTCTTCTAAATGTGTGTAGTTTAGCTTTCATGTTGAGGTTTAATATTTATTTCAAGTTAATTCTTGTATGGTGAAAGGTAAAGATTGAAGTTTATTTTTTCCTTCATGGTTATAGAATTGCTCCGGCACCTTTTGAAAAAAAAAATAAATGTTCATTCCCTCATTAAATTGTGCTGTTATTTGGTCAAATATCAATTTGCCTTTCATAGATAATATCTGGCTTCCTTATTCTGTTTCATTTATCTAAATGCATATTATTTTACTAATATTATGCTATTGTAATTAATTACTCTCGTTTTATAGTGTATCTTGAAATTAGGTACTGCTGGGCCAGTGACTTATTTTTGTAAATAATATTTTTTTAAAAAATAGGCTTCCCCTTTTGTTCATTTTTTTCCTATGGCTGCTTTCCAGATACAACAGCAGAACTGAATAGCTGCAGCAAAGACTCACTATGGTTTTCAAAGTTTAAAGTATATACTATCTGACATTTTATGAAAAGTTTGCTAACCCCTGCTCTATTAAATGCTGAGTTTTAAATAGATTTTCAATAAGTTATATTTACTCAATAATATTGCCATTGAATTTTGTAGTTAATTCGATTAAGAAAAAAAGATAAAATTTAAATTAATTAAAATAAAAAATATATTTTCCTAGCTAATATAGAATATATTAAGGGCAGAGTAAAATTAAAAATTAACTCCAAGGTACCACAATTTTCAAATGAACATATGAAAAAGTTAAATAAATGCTAAAAAAAATTATTACAGCACATACTGTATATTAACAAACCAAATCATTGTATTGCTCAATGCTGTTGAGATTTTAGTAAAACTGCTACAATAATGGATAGCTTGTGGCAACCCAAATTGATTCAACTTTCTTGAATGCAATTTTTTAAAACATTTAAGTTGCGTAATATTGATCGAGTCATTTGATTCAGTAGTCTCACTGTTAGAAATGTGTTTCTAAAAATTCCACATTTATGACACTATTGCCACATTGTTTATAAAAGTTAAAGGTTGATGACAAACTGTCCACAGATAGATAGAGGAATATTTATTCAATAGGATGATATAATTCCATAATAATGAGCATTGTCAGTAGTGTGAGTTCCGTAGGTTTCTATTTACAGTATAATTATTTAGAAATTTTTTAAAAGGTTTCTTGACTATATTTTTAAACCACAATTCAATCTAAAATGGACCTCAAATCCTCAGCAATCTTTGAAATTAGTCTTGGCTCTCACTTTAGTGCCAAATTGCAATGGTCCCAAATACTTGCAATTACTTTGACAGCAATTTTTTCCAACTTTCCTGTCTTCCACATTTAGAATCAGCTGCACCAGCCCCTGCATTTAACTCCCTCCCAGAGGAAGCTTTCTTCTGAAACTTCAAAGCTAAAATCTTCACACATTAATACAATACAGTTATTTTTTCATACTTTGAGGACTTGCTGTTTCATATCATGTCTTCCACAAATTTCTCCAACCCCTTTAGTGCCTTAACCATAATAATGAACATAACGATGTCTCCTCGTGTAGGAGAAGACATTTTTTTCTTTGAATCCCTTAAGCTTCACTTGAAAGTATAGTAATCTACACATACAAATTTTAATTCTTCAACTCAACTCTTACTCTTATATTCATTTTAATCGTGTTTACTTAATATCATTCAGTTCAAAATGCTGTGAAAAAGTTTATTAATGAATTTTTAATATTTAAAGCTTTAACATATACCTTTCCCCTGACTGAGCATCTCCACCCTGCCTATTTACTGGCTAACTAATAAATGGAAGCCTTTCAACCTGGGTCCTTCTTTAGGGAGAGGTGTTTATCTCCTCCTCTACCCTTCCAAAGCACTCTGCCATACATGTATATTGCAGAAATAAAACTATATAGGGACAGTAAGACAAATAGGTACCAAATACTGAAAGAGTACTATATACCAAAATCCCATTCTAAGCTCTTTACAGTCATAATTTTATTTAAATTTTACACAAACTTTATGAGTTAAATTTTATTACTTATATCACTGACAGGTGATAAAATGAGATTTTAAGAGGTGAAATATATTTCCAGGTCACACAGCACTAAATTGTCTAAGACTGAATTAGCCTCTAGGACCTCTTTACAGACATCACGCCATTACCACTCTAATCTTTTGTTTTATTTCTGTCTTACATTATATATTATGTGTATTAAAGAAAATAAAGCCCATTTAGCAACATATGTTGAATGTTTTTCTCATGAATTCAGATATTTTTACTCAGAAGATTCGTGTTTTGATTAAAGATGGTTTTATGTCCTTTATCTCACAGGACTTACTGCACTGATGGTAAATGAATAGAAAGGCCTAAGTTCAGAAAAATGAGAAAAATAGGAGAGGGCCATCTCAGGCAAGAAATTTAATTTTTCCCCCAAAGTTTAAGACGTAGATAAATAAGTATTGATCAGAAAAACACATAGGAAAACAACTACTCAGAACACCACAGAGAAGACAGCAGCCAAGGCATTTTCAGGCCTCTCTTGTCATACCTTAGAAAGATATGGAGCTTGGAAATACACACACTAGGAATGCAGGAGGGAAAGGTGATGCTAAAAACAGGAGAATTTGTTGACAATCTTTAGTGGAACTTCCTCCATCATGAGAAAAAACAAAGCTACAGGTTAGTGTTTACACTGCAGTTTAAAAGAGAAAAAAGAAAAAGCATTATTTATACAAACAAAGAGACTACCTTCTAGCAAAGAATTAGGACACGTAATGTGGGCATTGGTACCCAAGATGCTTGGGGAGCATTCAAGCACCCTCATACCTCAGGATATTGACCAGTCAAAAGAAATTCATGTGCATACTTCTCAGGGTTGTTCACTTATTCACATATCCCTAAGCATGAATAGAAAATACAAACTTCATTTGATCAAATCCTAAGCATGAAGTAGCAGGTGCAAAATTAAAAACAAAAAGAAAACAGATAATAAATGAAAGAAGAGGAAAATATATATACAATAATTTGTAGGAAAATACTTTTAAAATATTAATTTATTTTTATAGATGAAGTATTTAATGCAGTCATAGAAAAACAACATGGAGATATAGAAAAAGAGAAAACAGGAAAGAGTTCTATGTAACTAAAGTTATATTACAAAAATAATGTTCTCAGGAATTGTCCAATGATCAAGTTAAAGGAAAATATTCCAGAATACAGAACAAAAATGTGCAAAAAAATTAAAGAAAATGTACTTCAGTGGGTACAGTGATCTTTCAAATTCCAGAAAGAATGCAGATAAATAATTATATTCTCAAAATCATAACAGTAATAGAAAAAAGTGACTCAGAGCTAAAGTTAAACAGGATTCTTCTCATTTAAAGGACCCAATAGTAATTATCAAATGAAATGACAATCAGCTCACTTAACAACCTCAGTGTGAAATTTCTAAACCCAAATAAATACAAAGACCTGAAACCTATAGAACGGAAGAAAAATTGCCACCTATCAGAAAAAAAAAAAAGCAATCAGACTGGCAGCACACATCTCAGTAACAATATTGTTTACTGGAAGGCAATAAAGAAATACTTTCAAAGGTTCATCAAAAATTTCCTTGAGTTCTATATTCACCCTTGCAATCAATTAAAGGTAAATGTAGTTATTTTAAATATCAGAAATCAGAAGACTTAACTTCCAACACATCTTCTTTTGGGAAATCATTTGATTTATTGGAATAAAACAAAGATGATGATAGAGACTTATAATGCAGAAAATAGGTGAACAGAAAGTCACAACTTTGCAGAAGACAGAAAACATTTAATTTAGAGAGACAAGGCATATGATATGGTTTGGCTCTGCGTCCTCACCTAAATTTTATCTCAAACTGTAATCCCCATGTGTGGAGGGAGGGAGGTGATTGGATCATGGGGGTCATTTCCCTCATGCTGTTCTTGCCAGGGTGAGTGAGTTCTCACAGATCTGATGCGTTTATAAGGGGCTCTCCCCACTTCGCTCTTACTTCACTCTCTCTCTCCTCCCACCTTGTGAAGAAGGTGCCTGCGTCCTCTTCTGCCATGATTGTAAGTTTCCTGAGGGCTCCCCAGCTGCGTGGGACTGTGGGTCAATTAGACCACTTTTGACTCACAGTCTTGGGTATTTCTTTCTAGCAGTGTGAGAATGAACTAATACAGCATGGAATTTCAAAGAAAATTCTCAAAAAAATAAAAATAAAATAAGAGGGCAATAGATGGGATGATAAAATATTTTGTAAATTGAAGTATATGATTAATAGTTTGTAAAAATGTATATTATCATGAAAGTATATAGTACAAGCAGAAATAATTTTTAAAAAATAAGAAAGACTTCCAGAAAGCTCAAAAAAATAATTAAATGTTGGGCAAGAAAATCATACTCTTAAGCATAGAGCAAATGGGCCAAATGGGAACAGTGACTATCAAGGAGAAGAATGGAATGGGATCCAAGCAAAGCTGGAGTAGATAAAAAACTGGAAGCTACCAGGGATATGGAAGAGAAGATATGTTTCTCTCAAGAAGAATAAAGGATGGAAATCAGAAAGTCTAACAAAATTTTAACATAAAATTAATAATATACATGAAAAGCTAGGCATAATATGGCTTGAAGTAGCATGATAAAGTACAAGAAAAAAATGATTGATATTAATATTTTTCTTGGAATGGCACAAAACCTTACTGTGGAAAAAGAAAAGAATATATAATAATGGAAATCTACTTGGGATTTTTAGTAAATAATAGTTACACTATCATCACTATGTAAACACATTTTACTGGAGTGCTTGGGGGCAGAGGAAGAATTAATCTAGAGCTAAAGATTTGATGCCTAAATTATAGTTATGGCATAGAATGTAAATGCAATCAACCTTGACAATGTAAAAGTTGAAGTACAAATGACACAAACCGGGAGCTGAGGGTGGGAGGAAAGCTGGGGAACCAAACTGGAAAGAGTATGAGAGTATAAACAAACAACAAAATTCTCATTTATAGGAGGGAGTATATAGATTACTTTTTAAGTAAGTTCATAAATCAAGAAGCAGCAAAGTAAGCATGTGTTTTAAAATATAGATGTAAAGCAAAAAATGTTTTTCATTATATGGCCTGTTCCATTTGATTTTTAAACTATGTTTTTCTGCGTATATATCTATATGTATGTATACATATAATCATATATAATTATACATATATAAATGTGATAAAAATTTTTAAAAACTCAAATACTATATGTTATCTAATCTAAAATAGTTTGGTGCTTTCTTGTGTTTGATTTTCACGTTTTGACCACAAGTTATTCCTAGCTGATAGCAATTGTAAGACATCATCAACTGTAAAATGCATCTGCATCTCAGAGATATTTAAATTTGAAAATAAATATAAGTACTTTATAATCAGTGCAATTGGATAGATCAAATTTAATTCAGACAGATGTCCCTACTTACAAGAAAATGTAACAGAAACAACTGCAAGGTTTAACAACTAATAGTGAAAAACAATGGTTCATTTCAGAGAATGGCAGGTCAGCATGTTATCAGAGCTGCAGTAGGTGATAGCTCATCGATATATGACAGTAACACACAAATATTGCTGATGAAAAGGCCTCATTCTCTAAAGTGTTGCTGTAAGAAATCTATACATATTGAATGGTTAGTTTACAATTAGGCAATAAAACAAAGGAGCTTAATTATCCATTTACATAAGACAAAAATTAGTCCCCTATGAGAGCTCCAAATAAAATTATCTGAGATTGACCACTGCATGCTATAAATTTCCAATGAGTAAAATGATTTTGCTATCCTAAATTAAGGTCATAAATATTTGCAAAAGGAAAAATATGAGATATGACAACTCTTCTGCTCATTGCAGTTATTCTCTGATTGACAAAATTTGCCTCAGTAAACCAACTGGAGGATGATCCATGGAGATCCTATGAAGATGCAATCATTCATTCATTTCTGACAGAAGACCTCGGTAGCCACAGGTGTCCAGATGAGAGTAAACAGTAAGTTCTGAGATGTTTGGGGGAGCATTATTCCAGTACTGAATTGTTTTAAGCATGGTGAGACTATTCTACTGAGTATTTAAAATGTTTTCAAGTGTCGTAATGGTACTTCAGAGACAGCCCAGCCTTGTTCTTCATAGCAACAATGGATTACTATATAGACTAGTTTAGCAGTAAGTAGCTGGATTGTTGAAGGTAACGTGGTTTTGTAACAGAGGAGAGTTGATTGTTTCTCAGTTTTGGTCATGAATAAAATTAGAAGTTCCATGTACAATAAATTTTTTAAGTCTGCAAAAGTGCATAAAACACATTTGAAATATTTAAGCATTGAGAAAGAGAGAGATAGAGCAAAAAGGTGGAGTAGGACCCTCCAGTTATCATTTCCCTGCAGAAACATCTATTTGAACAAGTATTCACACCAAAAATATTTTCACAAGAGCTATGAAAAGCAGGTAAAAGATCACAGAACCTGATTGTAGTACAATAATACGAAAAGATACACTGAAGAGGGTAAGAAGGACAGTTTTACACTACCCATGTCACCATTCCCCCTACTATAGGCAATATACACAGAGAGAGATTCCATGTACTTGGGAAAAAGGGAGGAAAGTAAGCACAGGATTTTGTCATGGACTGCAACACTGGATCTGTCAAAGTAACCTTGGCACCATATTCCAGGCTGGCACTCACAGAATGACCCTCAGGATCCACCCTGGTACCAGGCAAGACCACACAGCCCCAGCCTTCAGGCTTGCATGGCAGAATTGATCTCTAGCCTGCATACTGACAGGCCTACTTTGGTAGCCCGAGGCTCTAGAAAGCCTTCAGTGTTTATCTGTATTACGTTGAAATTCATTGCGCCTTCTTAAAACAATAATTTTGAAGGCTGTGGACAGCCCTTAGTGTCAGGGAACCTCGGTGACCCCAGAATTCTGGCACATTTCAGTATCATGGCAGTTGCATCTGCCCTGGGCTTCTGCCAGTGCCAGACCCAGTCACAGTGTGCCCCAGATCATTAGCATGCCCCAAGACTTCACTGCCTGCATCTTCCATGGGCTTCTGGCTCACCCCAGTGCCATGCCTGCTGCAGAAATTTCACAAAGCCAGTGTGTGAAAACTAAAATAATACCTAATTCAAATGTGCAAAAATCAATGCTCCATCACAAAAATCAGGGAAACAAGTCATCACCAGACAAAGTGATGGGTCAGTGACTGACACTAAAGAAATGGAAATGTATAAACTGCCTGACAGTTTAATATAATTGTTTTGAGAAAGGTCAATGAATTTCAAGATAATACAAAGAAATAAATCAACAAAATAAGGAAAACAGCAAGAGACCAGAATGAGAAATTTAATAAAAAGATTCAAATAATTTTAAAAGGAAGACAGAAATCATAGAGCTAAAGAGTACAATGAACAAAACAATAAATACAATAAAGAGAATCAATAGCAGAACTGATTAGCAGAAAAAAGGATCTGTGAACTTGAAGATGGGTTATTTAAAAATATTTAGTCAAAGAACAAAAGAAGAAAAAAATGAAAAGGAATGAAGAAAGCTTATGGGATTTATGAGACAACATCAAAAGAGCAAATTTTTGACTCAGAAATTTAAGAAGGAGAAAAGAAAAATAAAGGAATAGAAATCTTATTTAAGAAAGAGTAGCAGTTCCAGAGACTTGGAGTGGAATAACAATTAAACAAAAATCAAGGAAAATAAATAGTAGCAGAAAACATTCTAAACCTAGAAAAGATGTAAATACCTAGGTATAAGAAGGTCAGATTCCTCAAACAGATTCAATCTAAGCAAAACTACCCTAAGATGCTTTAATAGAAATGTCATAAATGTAAGCCAAAGAGAGGATGCTGAAAACAGCAAGAAGAAAGAAACACACATTTTATAAGGAAGTTCCTATACAATAGCAGCAGACATCTCAAAGAAACCTCACAGGCCAGTAGAAAGAGGGATAATATACATAAAGTGTTAAAGGGAAATTAACTGTGAAACAAGAAAACTGTACCCTGAAAAGCTATCCTTCAGAAATGAAGGAGTAATAAAGACTTTCCTAGACAACAAAAACTAAGGAAATTTTTCACCACTAGATCTGTCTTACAAAAAAAATGCTAAAGGGAGTTCTTCAAACTGAAAGAAAAAGATGCTAATGAGTAACACAAAAACATCTGAAAGCATAACACTCACTAGTAAATGTAAGTACACAGTCAAATTCATAATACTCTAATACTGTTAGGGTGGTAAGTAAATCAGTTATATCTTTATTATGAAGGTTGAAAGACAAAATTAATAAAAATTAAAATACCTACAATAATTTAAGGGATATGCAATATAAAAAGATTTAACTTGTTACATCAAAAATTCAACATTTGGGATGGGTAGTAGAGTAAAAATGTATAGTTTGTGTGTGTGTGTGTGTGTGTGTGTATGTATGTGTGTGATCACTATCAACCTGTTTTTAGCTTAAAACAATCTGATGTAACTATAAATGATTTTTGTTTGCTTTATGATAACCCCAAAGCAACAGTCTAAGTAGATCACAAAAAACCACAAACCAAGGTATCAAAACATAAAATTCAAGAAAATCACTTACTTCACCACAAAGGAAGACAGCAAGGAAGAGTGAAATAACAAAATAAATAATCTTTGAAACAACTGAAAATCACTTAACAAAGTGGCAGTAGAAAGTGCTTACTTATTAATAATTACCTTGAATTTAAATAAATTAACATTTCCAATCGTAAGACACAGAGTGGCTGAATATAGTAATACATCTCATTCAATTTCTATTAGATTTACCATTAGGTTTTAGATACATCTTGATGTGATTTGTAAATTGAATATTTTAAAGTTTCATTGTTTTTGCTGGCACACAAAAATACAATTAACTCTTGCATTTTGAATATACATCCAGTAACTCACTTCTTCATTCTTATTTATAGATTATTTTGGAGTTTATACATATAAAAACATAATATATTTGAATAATGATGATTTTATTTCTTTTCTAGTTCTTATTATTTTTAATTCTTTTTGCCATCTTTGCTGACTACAAACAAGCATCCTTGCCTTACTCCTAATCAGAGAGAGAAAGCTTGCAACATTTTACCATTTAATTTTATTTTCACTGTAGTACTTTGCAAAATTCCTTTATCAAGTTGAGAAATTTCCTTCCAATTTTGACTTTACTAAAATATTTTCCTTTTTAAACTTTCATTTATCAAATCCCATTTCTGTATCTATTCAGTCATATGTTCCTTTTTCTTCCTTCTGTTAATGTATTATACTACATATATTGATTTTAGCATGTTAAACCAAACTTGAATTCCTAGGATGAATCTACTTTGGTTGTATTGTCTTTTTAAATATATCACTGGACTAGGGTTCTCGTATTTGAAGATGTTTTCATCTATGTTCTATGAGTTACATTGGACTACAGTTTTTCCCTAATACTCTTACCAAACATGTCAAGATAATATTCAGCTCATAAAATAAATTCAAATAGTTGTCTTACTTATTTATTTTTTAGAGACAAGGTCTCACTCTGTCGTTCAGGCTGGATCACTATGGATAGAAGCTATCATCCCACTAGGGCACTCTAGCTCTGAACTCCTGGGCTCAAGCGATCCTCCCTCCTTCGCCTTCCAAAGTGTTAGGATTGCAGGAGTGAGCCACCTCATCTGGCCAGATTTCTTATTGTTTGGAATTTACATATAGTTAGCTATTTTAACTTTGTTAGGATTCAGCAATAAGTCATCTGCATCTGTACTTTGCTGGAAAGTTTTTAACTGGAGATTTAATTTACTTAAAGTTTAAGAGATTACAGTTTTAAAAGAGTTTAGAAGACTACACAGAATTTTAATTTCTTCTCAAATTAGCAATAATTATTATTTTGTAGAAATCTGTACAAGTCATCTATAGTGCTAATGTATTGGCACAGAAATATTTACAAAAAATATGGTTATATAACCTCATAATCTTTCTCCAACATCGTTTTCGTAATAATATTATTAATATCAGCGGGGCTTTCAGGATGTTCACTTTTTTCACCTTAATAAATCTACTTTAATTCCAAAAGAAATTAATCCAGATTGGACAGTAATGTACAACACAGACTTTTATGTTTCTTTTATAAATATCTAACCTAATATAATTTTCCTTATTTTTATGTGTGCTATAAATAATAATTTTATCTTAGATTTCAGAGTCTTAACAGGATTAAACCATTTTCTTGCAACCACTACTTTATGCGTATGAAGGGTCTGAACCTGCAGTGTCCTCGTTTCTTAAATCCAAGTTAATTACAGTATCCTCTCAAGAAGAAGATTTTCCTAAGTTATTAATGACTTGGTTCCATTTTTTAAAAAAATGGTTTTGGCAAACATGACCACAGAAAATTCTGTTATTCTCTATTGATTCACGATATGAGAAAAAAGGATGATGCACAATTCTACAGAAAAAGTAGGTTTATGGGCAGTTCTGATAGCATTTTACATGGTAAAGTATCAAAAAGTCTAATAAGCATCTCCCTTGCTCAGGGATAAAAGTTATTTTAAAGTATTTCTCTTCTGAATTGCTCAGTAACTTCAGGTGGTTTTCAAATTGAGAGGCAGATTATTGGCATCAAGTTCATCAAATTTACATCTGTTGTGAACAGCGACTTTATAGAAATCAAGAACATCTCTAACGCTGCACAGCTCGTGAAGCCTGGAGTTAGGGACTACAATGGCCATGCCGAGACTGAACTTCAGATTACCATCTTCCAGGGATCTGTCCTCTCAATTACCGGGAAGAAATGAACCAAAACCTCTTTACCAGGTTCAAAACGACTCTCTGGAGATCTTCAGGTGATAAGTATGTTTGGCTTTGTAAGGGTAGGGCATGCCAGAGTATTCCTTTTTCACCTCTTCTGCCACCTCAGCTACCACTGGCTCTTTATCTTTCCTCGATCGAGACCAAAATTGCTATTATTTTGACTTCTTGAGATGAACTCCTAAATCATTTCTTTTCAGCTATTCTTTCATTAATCATTTAAGACCAAATATCTGCCTAAGCATAGCTTTAGGTGGGACCCATATCCTTTGAATATGCAGATTTATATTACTATTTAGCTCAAATATTTTCTGGTTTACAATGTGATTTTTTCTTTGAATCATGAATTTCTTAGAAATGCATAATCTGCAAACTTTTGAAGAGTTTCTAATTAACTTATTGATATTGTCTAATTTCAATTTTTTGTGTTCAGACAACATGTTCTGTATGATTTCAACCATTTGAAATGTTTTATAAGATGTACATTAAAGCTATTCATATGTCCAATTATGGTAAATATTTCATATATACCTAATTCATTCTCTAGTTTTTGAGATTCAAAATGTTCATAATACAGGTTTTGAGATTCAGCATTTCATATGTGTCAGTTAGACTGATTTTGTTAATAATATCGCTTAACTTTCTGTAATTTAGTGATTTTTTATCTGCATATTTTATCAGTTACTAAGAGAGTGGTATTAAAACATCCCATTATGTTTATGGATTTTTCTACTGCAATTTTGATTCTGTTAAAGTTTGAATTTTGTATTTTGAGGTTACGTTGTAAAGTACGTGCAAATTTAGAAATGTTATGTTTCTCCTGAAGAATAAGTTTATTGTCATTGTAAAACATGACGGTTTTATCTCTAATTTTTTGCCCTAAAGTTTACATTGTTTGATATTAAAGCTATGTTCTGCTGGTTAGTGTTTGTGTAATAAACTTGTTTCATCTATTCCCTTGAATCTTTTAGTATTGTCTTCACAGGCAAGTCAGTGAACTTAAATATATTACTGTTATCTAAACTCATCCAAAATTTTATGCTCTTGTTGTTATATATTTACAGCATATACAAAAACACTCTTAAAACATTAATATTATTGTTTTATATCATCTGTTTTCTCTTAGATGAACCACCGTATTTACTCTTTCCCTTGCATTTTACTTTTGTCAGGAGAATACCCTTGATATTTCCTGTGGTATAGGTCTTCCGGCAAAAAGTTTTATGAGTTCTTGTTCATATGAAATGTCTTTACCTTTATTTCCATCTTCACTTCGAAAATTATATTGTAGTTTTTTAGCTTTTGTTGTTTCTATTAAGAAGTTAGCTTGAGTATAATTTATCTTTCTTTGAAAGTAATTGTTTGCCTCCGGCTGTTTTAAGATTTTTCTCTTTCTCATTGGTTTTCATACGTAGAACAGAAGATAATGTTCTACGTATGTGCTAGAGGTTTGTAGTACTTCATGAATTTGTAGCAGTGATATTCATTATATTGACAACACTTCAGGTATTGTCAATTCATTATACTGACAATATTTCAGGTATTACCTATTTAAACATCACTCTTGTCTAGTCTCCCTTTTATCTTTCTAGGATATCAATTGCATGGGTGGTGCAAATTCTCACTGGATCCTCTATGTCTCTTATTCTTTCTTATGTATTTACATTTTTTGTTGTTGTTTTTGGTTCTGTTTTGCTTTTTGTGGTACAGGATGGTTATTTCAGTCCCAGAGAATCTACTGAGTATTCACTACATTATACACACATTGCAGGAAGCTTTGAAGAGTGGAGAAAAAGCAAAAATCATTACATCTGCTCTTAAGAACTTTTCAATCTCTTGGGGAAAAAAAACAAAACAAACAAAAATCGTGGGCTTTCTGAGAAAAGGAGAAGTCTATGTTTTAATGACATTCTGAGTGAGAAAACATTCCAAATTGTATTAAATGATATAATTTGTGTTTCTCTCATCCATCTCATATTAACCTGCACAGAGATGGAGAAAAAGTTAGCCAATCTAGTACTCATTGTGATATCTCATTGACAACCAATCTTGAGGCATTTGTCAAAAAAGTTACTCTAACAGTAAGGTGTAACCCAAATCAAATTAATAAGTAATTTTTGAAGCATTTTTTAATGTCAAAAGACAGTCTTTTATTGCATTTAGCAAGACTGTTGCTTTTAAAATTGTGTGTTTTCTGATTGAATAAGGTAAAATATTTAACTCCATCCTGGCCAGATTATAATACATTTTAGCAAAATTATTTTGCATAAAGCCTTTTGCTTAAAACTTTACCATTTAATGACTCACCTTTACAGAGCACATTACTCTGTTTTATTCTCAACTACAACATTTGGGTAAAGTATAATGCTCTCAATTGTGTGTGACAAGCTCCACTCACCTCCTCTTTGGTAGAAGAATATTAGGAACTGAATGCTATCTGAATATTGATCTAAGATCACTCTTTAATATTCAGCCTTTTTCATTAATTGCCTTTATCATTCAATCTTGGTTCTGTCTTGCTATCAAGGCTATCTCTGCATCAAGAAGAAATTTGTTACCAGCCAAAAAAAGAGGAGGTTTTAATTCACTGCTTTCTCTCTCTAAACACCTCGAGCATTGCAAAAAATAAAAATAAAAAATAAAAAAAGCTATTGCGGTTCCCAGCCATGCCTTTAGAATTTGCTATAACCATCTAATCCTTTATGTTCTCTGGGGTGAGAGTGGTGAGCAGAGAATTCATCTTCCTGCACGGTTTCTGCCAGTTAAGTTCCAATGGCAAAAATACTAACACAATGGCAGGAACAAACAAGAAAACAAATTAATATTGAAACAGTATCCCCTCCTTCATTATCATATTTCTGTCACATTTTGACTTTTTGATTAAATTTATAACTATACTTAGTGAGTAGCAAATTGTATCCACTATCACTACAGCTATAACAAGTATTTTAGGCACTTTTATTTTGCAAGGGATAATGCAAAATATATCTCAGTCAATTTTTTTCATATTCACATTCTTTCCTGATTACTTCCCCTAACCCTAAACTTCTTAAAAACTACTTTAAATTCACCAGTATATGTGTATGTCTTATAGGATTTCTCTTCCATGTGCAATTTCTATGAGTCAACAAAACTGTGTGCTAAATTTGAACATGTACCATTTGGAATCAGAGGGGCTTAGGTTTGACTTCCAGCTTTGACATGCGCTTGCTTGGTCGCCCTGAGCTAGTCAGTTTATCCCTGTGGCTTCTATTCTTTCACTTATTAAAGGGGGAAATAGGAGCTTCCTCACAGTATTGTTCTGAGGATTGGAATTAACATATTTATAATTATTTTTGTATAGACGATAATCAATAATTTTTCCAACAGTAATTATAGAATAATAAGTATTGTTTTGATACACAGTATCTTTCTTTTGATTCATACTATACATAAACATGCCTTGTGACAGAAAATAGATTTGTTTTCCTTTTCATCATAAAATGAATAAGTACCAAAATGGAGAACAATTCTTAGGAATTGTTTTACTGTAAAAGTCCGTTCACTATCTCTGATAATTTTTAAAAGTAGAATTTGAAAGTAGAATAATAGATAGAAAAGTAAGGCCCTAATTATTTTTAATGGAAGGCTCTAGAAGTCAGAAGGATTAGACTTGTCTTCTCCAATCCTACTCCATTTACCACAGATTCACGGAGCTTTAAATTATAGTTAGAGATCACTTTCATTTTGCTACAATTTTTTATATGAATCTTTTTTAAGATTGTCAGGATAGTATTAGGAAGTAGAGGAAGGCTTTAGTTCTAGAGGAGGCATATTCAAATTACGGGTAAAATGAAATCTACGGTTACTATTTGTGTGATATCCAAAACTGAGGACAGAGTATGTTTCTAAGAGGTGGATCAGTGACAAAACTGAATACGATATCAAGTGTTGAGAAGCGGAAAAATAACTAGCCTATACCCCCAGACTTTTAAGCCAAGCCTGGAAAAGCAAGAAAAAGAAAAAGAGAAGAAAATAATACAGAAAGGAAAGAAATTTAAGTGAGCATATTTTTAATTTTCTTGTTTGTTCTAGCCAGAACTTTTCACTGGGGGTATGTCTACCTTTCTGACTGAAAGTAAAATTGGCAGTAGAATAGTAAATACAAAGTAAGCCCCTCATTACTTTTAAGGAAAGGTTCTAGAAGGTGTGAGAATTAGGAATTTTTCTCCAAATGTAATCTTTTTTTTTTTTTTTTACCACAGATTCATATAGCTCAAGATCTCAGAATACACTTTCCCTTTTGTTATGATAGAACAGGGCTCAGTAACTGCCTTTTATCCACACGATCATTAGCCATGAAATAATATATTCTTATTTTCTAAAGAAACTAATTCTTAGAGTGATTCAATAATTCTTCAAGAGGTGACAGAATTTCAGTGGCATTCAACTTAAGGATTCTTCCTTATCTTTTAAGTCCTTTGGATTTTACCTTATAGATAACACAGTTCGGAGCCCACTGAAGATCAAACGCTTTAAGGTACTTACTCATCTTTTATCCAACTTTTCTACCCTTGCATACATTTGTACCCCACCCCACAGATATGTGCTATTCCAGACTCACGGTATTATAGTTTTACAATGTTATTATACCTTCAATGCGTTTTAAAAGAATGGGTGAATTAGCCCATTGTCACACTGCTATAAATATACTACCCAAGACTGGATAAGTCACAAAGGAAAGAGGTTTAATAAACTCACACTTCCACATGGCTGGGAGGCCTCAGGAAACTTACACTTATGGCATAAGGCAAAGGGGAAGCAAGGACCTTCTTCACGTGGCAGCAGGAAAGAGAAGAGTGTATGTAGGAGGAAATGTCACATACTTATAAAACTATCAGATCTCCTGAGAACACACTTGCTACCATGAGAACAACATGGGGGAACCCCCATCCCATGATCCAGTCACCTCCCACCAGGTCTCTTCCTCAACACCTGGAGATGGCAATTCAAGATGACATTTGGGTGGAGACACAAAGCCAAACCATATCAATGGGTAACATTTATTGAGGTCTTACTCTTGCAATAACTGTGTTAAGAATGTTTTAAGCAGTATTTTACATAAACTCACCAGCAACCTAAAGAGACTGGCAATATTTTAAGATCAGGGCTAATCTCTCCAGTGTGACTACCTGTTAAGCAGTTACGACTAGAGCTGCTGTAAAGGATGGAAGTTGCAGCATGAATCGAAGTAAGTTTGCTTAGGGACTCAAGACAAAGACAGATATGTAATGCATGCAGAAAAAGAAGGCTCCAAGTGAGAACAGAGAGTGCTGGCAGAGTGTACAGAGTTATGCATCTTTTTCCAATGCAATTTTATAGATAGGAAGTAAAAGGCTGCAAAATAATAAGAATTGTAAAACCTCAGTCAAAAGAGACTTTTGAAGTTATTTTGCCCAGTATTCCACTTAATATAAAAGTCATCTCTGGGAAAAGGTATAAAGGTAGGTTATTTAGTAGAGTAGAATGATAAAGCTTTAGGTATTAAACTATGGCCCACAACTGCTACTGAAAGCAAATACAACATAAAGAGGGATTGTGAGATAGCCAGTGAAGACATTTGCATAACTAAAAGACTATTCAAGGAGGACATGTGTCCTTGGTGGTGAGACTCAAGACAGGGTCCTTCTGATGATCAGATAATATAAAGTAAACATGGAAGTGAATGGATGCCAGCAGTGTCAGAAGAGGTACCTAAATCAGGGTGTGGCTGAAGGACACGCTCTCAGAAGAGATGCTATAGAAATTAGTTGAAATATAGAAGGACATTACAGGCTAAAAGAAGTAGGGGCAAAAAAAAAAAAAGGCAGAAAAAATGTGAGTATTGTATTGCCAGCACCTTGGTATATGACTAGCCCTTACTCAAAACTTATACAGTGAAGGCACCTCATAATAAGTCTAGCATATTAAATATAAAAACTTGTATTTTGTCCTGAAGGCAAAGTAGAAATGTGGAAAATTGACTGTGGGGATATTCATTTTAAACCAGAAGAACTAGCTTGAAGTCATTTCAGAAATTCCTATGAGAAATGTTAAAAGTTTGAAACCAGACAGTGGTGGTGAAATACAGAAGATTATTTAATCTGTTAAATTAATAGAGCTGGTGATGCAAGGAGAGTGACATTTTCTGGCTTAAACAGCCAGGAAAATAGTGGTATTTTTAATGAATCTCAGGTTCTAATTCATTGGTATAAAAAAACAACAACAACAAGTACTTAGCAAGGGTTATGTATGGAGGGATTCCATATTAGACATGTTAATTTAGCGCAACCTCAAGGAAGGAGATGTCTGAAAGTCTGTTGCATAAACAGCATGGGATTTCCAAAAAGAGAGTTGGGCCAAGTTCAGGTTACAATGAAACATTTTTAGAAGATTGAGCTAATTACACACACACACACACACACACACACAATCATATTTTAATAGTAACAAAATGTGTTTGAGACAGTTTTTAATTCTCACATGGAAAAGATATTCAATAGTAAATCCCATCTTCATTTTCTCTGAGAGAGAAAAGCCATGCCCTGGTTTCCTACATATGGTAGTTGTCCATTTATATCAGGCTATGCTTTTATGCTTTCACTGTAAAGCTATCTTTAGATATATGTAAGGACTTTTTTAGGATTTTATTATTAATGTAATATATCCATAATTAAAATTTATAGATAGAAATGAATACATATTTGTTTCTTACTCCAGGGGTCTAAAACTACAGTTTGTTGTGTTTATTGCTACTTCTGGCAGACTCACAGAAGATGTATATTTATATATAAAACTCATAATAATAGTTGCACTTATCACTGCCACTGGAAACACATTAGGTATAAAATCAGCAAGAAAAAAAAATGCTGAGCTTTCAGGTTTTTGCAGCAATAAGATGCTTATAGCCAAATTGAAAAAGGCTTAACTAAAGAGTTGTGCCTTGCACTGTGAGTTGAAATTCAATAACCTGAGGTTTTTATTGAACCATGAGAAAACAGAGTATCCAAACTTTCATAAAACATGCTTTTTTTGTAAGTCACATATGTTTTTAATCTAGAAACTGTAGCTACTGAATTGTACAATGTGAATTTAATCAGTGGCATATTACTATAAATTAAAAACAATCAATAAATCAAATATAGAGATCAAAGTAAAATCTTCAGCTTGTAACAGTTAATATTTATTTAAATGCTCAGCTTGAAGGTCTTTAAAATTGAAATAGAGACAAAGACAATATAAGACTTCATTGGGTTTGGCATAAAAGCTATACTTTCAACACCAAAAAACAAACATTCATGACATCAGAAAAGTGCTCCAGGCTACAGACAAACCTAAGAATCTAAGAGAAAGAAGAGATTAAGAATTTCTAGTTATGATCTGTATGCTATAAACAGATTGATCTAGGGGGACAGATTATGTTTTCATCTCTTTATCCCAGTGCCTGGTACAAACAGTCCATCACATGATCAAGAGTGGATTATAAATACCTGCAGTAGAATAAAGAACATGAAAGAAATACAGAATATTTTAGTTGTCCAGAACACTAACCCAGCAAAATATTGGCAATGAGAATGATAATGATAAAATGAAAAATTCCATTAATCTGTTCAACATGTCATCAATACTATAAATGAAGAATCCTCTTCTACCATAAAAATTCCAGGAAGAGCCTTCTCTATTATGGGATGCTTCCCATCTTTTCTCAAATATATACAATGGAAAGCAATGGCATCTTTTAACATCTGTCCATCTTCATCAAGTTAGAGTCAACTGAGTAAAACAACTAGGCAGACATTATCTCCTTAATTTATTCTTCATTTCTATGATTTCCAAAACTATGTGATTACTGTAAAAATGACTTTTCCATAAGGCATGCCAATCTATCAACTATATTGAAATAGCTGTACTCTGTAGCTAAAATTTCTAAGTCCTACAAGGTAATGTTTTCACTTCTCAAAAATCTTCTCAGATTATGAACTTAATGGTACTGTTTTAGAAAACTGAAAAGACTTTCTTACTCATAAAAGGAGCAGACCAAAAATGCTCAACTTGCCCTCCACAATTTTGAATGTATATTATTCACCTACTAGGAAAACAGAATCCCACTTTATTAATAATGTTGGTTAGGAACATATATTTAGGATAACAAATACTACCTCATTCTTTCTTCTGTATTACTAATAACACCTCTCAGGAATCGTAATTCTGAGCAGTACAATGTGGTTAAAGATAGAAATATGTAAAAGGTGGTATGAATTTCAGAATGTAAAGGTCACAATGGGAATTGATGGATTCTGGCAGAGGCATTAGTGTACCCTTAGGTTTGTTTCATTATTTCTTGTACAGATTAAATATCAGACTACATTAGATTAACTAGAACAACCTCTACTCTTCATAGTAAAATGCCCAGGCTTCAGAATGAAAAATATACCCTCAGGCTAGAAGATAAATCCAACATTTAAGTGTGTAAGTTCAATTTGCACAGAAGCAGACCATTTTGATATGCACCAAGGTAAAGAGTCTTAGGGGTCTAAAATGCACTAGGGAAAGCAAAACATAAGTAAGAAGAAAAAGAAGAAAATGTACATTGCTAAAGAAAAACCGGGAATAACTCCCAATTCTAAGAGTATTATGGTCTACACCTGAAGATGAAACAATAGAATTACTTCCTTATTGTAAGCATAGGGTCATTTGTTAAAGATAGAAAAACTGGAAAACTAGGACAGAGTCCAACAATAAGAATCCAGATTAAAAATGTTAATAGAGTTACATAATGTTATATAAAAAGTGTATCACTATATGTTCAAAATCTGATAAAATTACAAAAATAAATTTAAGTACCAAGAGGGACCAAAATGGCTTATTAGAAGCAGCTGCAGTCCATGGCTCTCACAAAACAGCAAGTGAATTCTATATCTTCAACTGAGGTATCCAGGTTCTGACATTGGAACTGACTTAGCAGTTGGCTTGACCCATGGAGAGCAAGGAAAGTCAGGGTGGGGCCAGGAGAGGCACGGAGCCAGGGAAGCCCCTACTCCCAACCAAGGGAGGTGGTGAGTGATAGTGTGACCCTTCCCAGAAAACCATGCTTTTCCTATAGATCTTTGCAACCCACGGATCAGGGGATCCCTTTATGAGCCCACATCACCAGAGCCTTGGGTCCAAATCACAGAGCTCTGTAGATTATCAGCAGAGTGGCCACTTCCGTGGACATGCAGGGAAACCCAGGAGTTTTGCATGCTCCAACCCAGGAATTCTGGCAAGGCAGGAGAGCCCATGGATTCTTCTAGTAAGGACCTTGAATCCAGGGAGCAAAGTAGTGTCATTCTGCAGGCTCCACTCCCACAACACCTCACAAATTAAGACCCACTGGCTTGGAATTCCAGCTGGCCAGCAGCAGCAGGTTGGAGACAGCCTGAGATGGACCGAGTTCCAGCAGGAGGGGCAGCTGCCACATTTGCAGTTCAAGTTGGCAGTTCTAGCTTGCTGGCACCCAGGACCAGAGGTATTCCCCCCAAGGCAGCCCAGCTGCTCTGCGTGATTGTGGCCAGTCTGCTTCTTTAAGTGGGACCCCAATACATCCCTCCTCACTGGGTAGGGCCTCCCTGAAGGAATTTCAGCAACTCCAGCCAGAGTTATACAAATAAAACTCTGATCTCTCCCTGGGATGGAGTCCCCAGGGCCAGGGGCAGCTGCTGTCTTTGTGATTCAGCCAACTTAGTCTTTCCAGGCTGCTGGCTCTGAAGAGGCTGGGCAGTCAGTGCAGTGCACCTGCTCTGCCAAGGGACAACCAGACGGCTTCTTTAAGTGAGTCCCTGATCACATTCCTCCTGACTTACTTAGTGGGACCTCCTGACAGAGTCTCCAGATACCTCTTACAGAAGCATTCAATGGGCATCAGGTCAGTGCCCTCCTGGGACAGGGCTCCCAGAGGAAGGAGCAGGCTGCCATCTTTGCTTTTTGCAGCCTTCCCTGGTGATACATCTAGGTGTGGGAGGGGCTGAGGTGACTACATTCTGGAGTGGACCCCCAGCTAACCACAGCAGACCTACTGGAAGAGTGGCCTGATTGTTACAACAAACAAACAGAAAGCAACAACATCAACAAAAAAGACCCTAAAAACCTTATTCAAAGGTCAGTAACCTCAAAGATTGAAGGTAGATAAGCCCATGAAGGTGAGAAAGAATCAATGCAAAAACGCTGAAAACTCAAAAAGCTGGGTGCCTCTTCTCCGCCAAATTACCACAACATCTCTCCAGCAAGGGCACAGAACTGGGCTGAGGCTGAGATGTCTGAATTGACCAAAGTAGGCTTCAGAAGGTGGGTAATAACAAACTTTGCCTTGCTAAAAAAGCATGTTCTAACTCAATGCAAAGAAGCTAAGAATCATGACAAAACAATACGGGAACTGACAACCAAAATAGCCAGTTTACAGAGGAATATAATTGACCCGATGGAGCTGAAAAACAAAACATGAGAACTTCACAAGACAATCACAAGTATCAGTAGCAGAATAGACCAAGCAAAGGAAAGAATCTCAGAGCCTGCAGATCATCTTTCTGAAATAGACAGGAAGACAAGAATAGAGAAAGAAAGGATGAAGAGGAACAAACAAAACCTGCAAGAAATATGGGAGTATGTAAAAGACTGAACCTACGACTAATTGAGGGACCTGAAAAAGATGTGGAGAATGGAAACAAATTGGAAAACGTGCTTCAGTATATCATCCAATGGAACTTCACCAATCTAGAAAGACAGGCAAACCTTTGAATTGAGGAAATCCAGGAACCACAATAAGATACTCCACTAGGAGATCAGCCCTAAGACACTTAATCATCAGATTCTCCAAGGTTGAAATGAAATAAAAAAATGTTGAGGGAAGCCAGAGAGGAAGGCCAAGTCACCTACAAAGGGAAACCCATCAGACTAACAGCAGACTTCTCAGTGGAATTTCTGCAAGGCAGAAGAGATTGGTGTCCAATATTCAACATACTTAAAGAAAAGAATTTCCAACCCAGAATTTCACATCCAGCCAAACTAAGCTTCAGAAGCAAAGGAGAAATAAATATGCTTTTCAGACAAGCAAATGCTGAGGAAATATGTCAGCACCAGGCCTGCCTTGCAAGAGCTCCTGAAAGAAGCACTAAATGTAGAAAGGAACTACAAAAGCACA
Source organism: Homo sapiens (assembly GCF_000001405.40). Classification (NCBI taxonomy): domain Eukaryota; kingdom Metazoa; phylum Chordata; class Mammalia; order Primates; family Hominidae; genus Homo; species Homo sapiens. The sequence continues at coordinate 35,736,188 of NC_000002.12, forward strand.
CTGAAGTACACAGACCAGTGACACTCTGAAGTGACCACATAAACAAGTCTGCAAAATAATGAACTAGCACCATGATGACAGGATGAAATTCACACATAACAATAGTAACCTTAAATGTAAATGAGCTAAATGCCCAAATTAAAAGACACAGAATGGCAAGCTAGATAAATAGTCAAGACCCACTGGTATGCTGCCTTTAGGAGACCCATCTTATGTGCCAAGACACACATAGGCTCAAGATAAATGGATCAAGGAAAATTTATCAAGCAAATGGAAAACAGAAAAAAAGCAATTCTAGTTTTTGACAAAACAGACTTTAAAACACAAAAGATTTTTTAAAAAGACAAAGAAGGGCATTACATAATGTTAAAGGGTTCAATTCAACAAGAAGAGCTACTATCCTAAATATATATACACCCAATACAGGAGCACCCAGATTTATAAAGCAAGTTCTTAAAGACCTTCAAAGAGACTTAGACTCCCACACAATAATAGTGGGAGATTTTAACACCCCACTGACAATATTAGACAGATTATTGAGACAGAAAATTAACAAAGATATTCAGGACCTGAACTCAGCTCTGAATCAAGCAGAACTGTTAGAAATCTACAGAACTTTTAATGGGTGCAGCACACCAGCATGGCACATGTATACATATGTAACTAACCTGCACATTGTGTACATGTACCCTAAAACTTAAAGTATAATAATAATAAAATAAAATAAGAAATCTACAGAACTCTCCACCCAAAAACCAGAGAATATACATTCTTCTCATTGCCACATGGCACTTACTCTAAAATTGATCACATAATTGGAAGTAAATCACTCCTCAGCAAATGTAAAATAACTGAATTTATTAAAAACAGTCTCTCAGACCATGGCATAACCAAATTAGAACTCAAGATTAAGAAACTCACTCAAAACCACACAACTACATGGAAATTGAACAACCTGCTCCTGAATAACTCCTGGGTAAATAAGGAAATGAAGTCAGAAATCAAGAAGTTATTTGAAACTAATGAGATCAAAGGGACAATATATCAGAATCTCTGGGATGCAGCTAAAGCAGTGTTAAGAGGGAAATTTACAGCACTAAATGCCCACATCAAAAAGCTAGAAAGATCTCAATTCAACAACCTAACATCACAACTAAAAGAAGTAGAGAACCAAGAGCAAGCAAACCCCAAAGCTAGCAGAAGAGAAGAAATAACCAAGATCAGAGCAGAACTGAAGGAGATAGAGATACAAAAAACCATTCAAAAAAATTAATACATCCAAGAGCTGGTTATTTGAAAACATCAATAAAATAGACCACTAGTTAGACTAATAAAGAAGAAAAGAGAGAAGAACTAAATAGACACAATCAGAAATGACAAGCAGGATATCACCCCTTACACCACAGAAATAAAAACAACTATCAGACAATACTGTAAACACCTCCATGCATACAAACTAGAAAATCTATAAGAAATGAATAAATTCCTGGACACATACACCCTCACAAGACTCAACAAGGAGAAAACTGAATCACTGAATAGACCAATAACAAGTTCTGAAATTGAGGCAGCAGTAAATAGCCTACCAACGAAAACAAGCCCAGGACCAGATAGATTTACAACTGAATTCTACCAGAGGTACAAAGAAGCACTGGTACCATTGTTATTGAAACTATTCCAAACAGTTGAAAAGGAGGGAGTGCTCCCTAACTCATTTTGTGAGGCCAACGTCATCCTGATACCAAAACCTGGCAGAGATACAACAATAAAATAAAACTTCAGGCGAATATCCCTGATGACCATCAATGCAAAAATCCTCAATAAAATTCTGGCAAACTGAATCCAGCAGCACATCCAAAAGCTTACCCACCATGATCAAGTCAGCTTCATCCTTGGGATGTAAGGTTCAACATACACAAATCAATAAATGTAACCCATCACATAAACAAAAGCAATGACAAAAAACACATGATTATTTCAATAGATGCATAAAAGGCCTTCAATAAAATTCAACATCCTTTTATGTTAAAAACTCTCAATAAACTAGGATTGAAGGAATATACCTCAAAATAGTAAGAGCCATATATGACAAACCAACAGCCACTATCACACTGAATGGGCAAAAGCTGGAAGCATTCCCCCTGAAAACTGGCACAAGACAAGGATGTCCTCTCTCACCACTCCTATTCAACATAACATTGGAAGTTCTGCCCAGGGCAATCAGGTAAGAGAAAGAAATAAAGCATATTCAAATAGGAAGAGAGGAAGTCAAACTGTCTCTGTTTGCAGATGACATGATCCTATATCTAGAAAACCCATTGTTTCAGCCCAAAAGCTTCTTAAGCTAATAAGCAACTTCAGCAAAACCTCAGGATACAAGATCAATGTGCCAAAATCACTAGCATTTCTATACACCAGCAACAGGAAAGCTGAGGGCCAAATTATGAATGAACTCCCATTCACAATTGCTACAAAGGAAACAAAATACCTATGAATACAGCTAAAAAGGGAAGTGAAGGAACTCTTCAAGGAGAACTGCAAACCACTGATTTAAAAAATCAGACAGAACACAAACAAATGGAAAAACATTCCATGCTCATGAATAGGAAGAATCAATATCGTGAAAATGGCCATACTGCCCAAAGTAATTTATAGATTCAATGCTATCCCCATTAAATTACCATTGACATTCTTCACAGAATTAGAAAAATCTATTTTAAAATTCATATGGAACCAAAAAAGAGCTCATATAGCCAAGACAATCCTAAGCAAAAAGAAGAAAGCTGGAGGCATCATGCTCCCCAACTTCAAACTATACTGCAATTCTACAGTAACCAAAACAGCAAAGTACTGCTACAAAACAGACACATAGACCAGAAACATGGGACAGAATAGAGAACTCAGATGCACACCTACAGCCATCTGATCTTCGACAGAAAATTGAAACTGGACCCCTTTCTTACACCTTATACAAAATTAACTCAAGATAGATTAAAGACTTATATATAAAACCCAAAACTATAAAAACCCTAGAAAGAAATCTAGGCAATACCATTCAGGACATAGGCACAGGCAAAGATTTCATGACAAAAACACCAAAAGCAATTACAACAAAAGCAAAAATTGATCAACGAGATCTAATTAAAGAGCTTCTGCATGGCAGAAGAAACTATCACCAGAGGAATAGACAACCTGCAGAATGGGAGAAAATGTTTGCAATCTATCCATCTGAAAGAGGTCTAATATCCAGAGTCTACAAGGAACTTAAACAAATTTACAAGAAAACAAACACCCCCATTAAAAAGTGGGCAAAGGACATGGACACTCCTCAAAAGAAGACGCTAATGTGGCTAACAAACATATGTAAAAAAATCTCAACATCACTGATCATTAGAGAAATGCAAATCAAAACCACAGTAAGATACCATCTCCTGCCAGTCTGAATGGAGATTATTAAAATGTCAGGAAACACTAGGTGCTGACAAGGGTGTGGAGAAAAAGGAAGTCTTTTACACTGCTGATGAGAGTGTAAATTAGTTCAACCATTGTGGAATACAGTGTGGTGACTTCTCAAAGACCTAGAGGCAGAAATACCATTTGACTCAGCAATTTCATTATTGGGTACATACTCAAAGGAATATAAATTCTTCTCTTATTAAGATACATGCACACATATGTTCACTGCAGCACTATCCAACTAGCAAAGACCTGGAATCAATCAACCCAAATGCCCATCAATGATAGACTGGATAAAGAAAATGTGGTACATATACACCATGGAATACTATGCAGCCATAAAAAGGAATAAAACCATGTCTTTTGCAGGGACATGGATGGAGCTGGTAGCTGTTATTCTCAGCAAAACTAATGCAGGAACAGAAAAACAAACACTGCATGTTCTCACTTATAGGTGGGAGCTGAATGACAAGAACACATGGACACATGGAAAGAAGAACACACACTGGGCTGGGCTAGGAGGGGGGCCAGGGGGAGAGAGAGCATCAGGAAGAATAGCTAATGGACTCTGCACTTAATACCTGGGTGATGGGTAGATCTGTCCAGCAAACCACCATGGCACATGTTTACCTATGTAACAAACCTGCACATCCTGCATATGTACCCCCAAACTTAAAATGAAAGTTAAAGAAAAAAAATTTAAATACTCACATTAGCCTAAGAGATATTAATATACCACTCATTGTAACTGATACATTAAGCAGACAAATTAATTAGTAATATATACAGTTGACCCTTGAACAACATGGGAGTAAGGGGCACTGGCCCTTTATGCAGTTGAAAATACACATACAATATCTATTTATTTATTTATTTATTTATTTATTTATTGAGATGGAGAGTCACTCTGTCATCCAGGCTGGAGTGCAGTGGCGAGATCTCAGCTCACCGCAACCTCTGCCTCTCAGGTTCAATCAATTCTCCCGCCTCAGCCTCCCAAGTAGCTGGGACTACAGGCACCTGCCACCACACCTGGCTAATTTTTATAAAATTTAGGTATCTAACTCGTGACCTCAAGTGATCTGCCTTCCTTGGCCTCCCAAAGGGCTAGGATTACAGGCATGAGCCATTGTGCGCGGCCCACATATAACTTTTGACTCTTCTAAAACTTAACTATGAATAGCCTACTGCTGACCAAAAGCCTTACCAATAAGTTGATTATCACATATTTTGTATGGTGCGTTATTGTATACTGTATTCTTACCATTAAGTAAGGTAGAGTAAAGAAAGTGTTATTAAGAAAATTCTAAGGAAGAGGAAATATATTTACTATTCATTAAACAGACGTGGATCATCATAAAGATCTTCATCCTTACCTTGAGTAGGCTAAGGAGGAGGAGTAAGAGAGAGATTGCTCTTGGTGTTTCACCAGTGGCAGAAGTGGAAGAGGTGGAGGAGGTGGAAGGGAAGACAGGTATACTTGGTGTACCTTTACAGAAATACACCATAAGTTTTTGTCTGACTTTTTTGCTTTTTCATTTACCCACAAATGTTTCTATATGGTACCAATCTTTCCACCGTTCTGGTTTCAGTGCTCATATCGTATAAGGGTCTACGTCATAAAAGACGTCAAAAGCAGTCCTGAAAAATCAGAAGCCCTTTTTCAGATTGTCCAATGAAAATTTGATTTCTAGCACTGCTTCTGCTGTTTTCTTCCTCGTGATCTGGCACTGATTCAGAAGCATTCATCTCCATCCAGTCATCTTCTGTTAATTCCTCTGGGGTAGTGTCTCTTAGGTCTTGAATTTCCCTAAAATCTATACCTTAAAACCCTTACCCCTCACCTTTTTTTTTTTTTTTTTTTTGCCATGTCCACAATCTCTCTCCTGATTTCCTTGATTGGCTCTGACAGAAATCATGTGAAGTCATGTATAATATCTGGACACAATTTTCTTCCACAGAAATGTATTCTTTTGGGCTTGATGGGTTTCATGGTTTTCTTATAACAACTATGGCATCTTCAGTGATGTAATCCCTCCAGGCTTTCACGTTCTATCAGGGTTCTTCCATAGCATTGAGAAATCTTAAAGGGTTTCATCTACAATGAGTCATTGAGGTCCTGATGACTCCCTGGTCTAGAGGCTAATAGAGACATTGTATTCGGCAGCATGTTGACTAATTCAGCACCTTTGGTGTTGAACTCATGGGGTTCTGAGTGGCCAGGGGGATTGTCAAAAATCAAAATAACTTTAAAATACAGTCCCTTACTGGTGAGGTGCTTCCTTACTTTAGGAACAAAACATTGATAAAACCAATCCAGAAAAATGGTTTCTCTGTTTCTTGGGAGCACTTCCAGCATCACTCATGGCATTTTATATGGGTCCCATGATGTTATTTAATGTTCAATATTGCAGTGAACACAATTAAAAATACACAAGAACTTCAAGAGATCATCTTTACTGTGATATCCAATTTACTGGAGAGAGGAGCATCTCACTCAGAGATGATTAGCATTGCATAGCATTTTACCTACTTGACAATACTTGAGCTCACCTCAATAGCAATAGAAGGTGGCTATGAAATTATTACACTACTACAGTATGTACTACAGTTAATTTTCTTCAGTTATGACTTTATGCTACATCTTTACATTTGTTTACATTTCTGTCTCCTACAAATAGTGCCATATTTGGTCTGCAAGTGTTTATGTGTATAACTCTTGATAAATTTTAACTTTTCATAATAGATTTGTGTGTATTTTATGATAGTAAATTATATAAATAGACTAATACCTACATATATTTTATGCATTGACATACCTAATTTTGCTTTCTTAAAAAAATTTCTAGGCTACCTGCTTTTTCTGCAAGGTGTTTCAATTGTCAGAATTCTTCAAAATATTTTCCATGATACTTATTGAAAAAAATCCATGTATAAATGGACTCTCACAACTCAAACCCATGTTATTAAAGGGTTACTATATAAGAGTTTAACAACACAGTTAGAAGTTTTATGTAATTGAAATACATGTATAATAGTGTGGACAATAATTTAAAATATACATATTCTCCCTAAGCACAAAAATGGACATTTACAAAAAGCTTAGTTTCATTGTATACCATAAAACAGGCTTTGATTAATTACTATTCATCACAAAAAAATAGAGTAAATAACAACAAAATTTTAATCTACATTTTGTAAATTCATAGATATACTTTTAAATATATCTATATCAAAGAAGAGATTATACTGGAAACTGGTAAATGCTTAGACTTAAAAAGTCACCAAAAATACATTGATAACTCTAAAAATTAAGTAACAACTTTTGACCTATCTCTGTAATTTAAATATCCATAATAACATGTTGAAAAAATGTCTTTTATGTATCAAAAGTATCACATTGATATGGTTTGACTGTGTTCCCACCCAAATTTCATCTTGAAATGTAATCCCCATAATCCCCATGTGTGGAGGGAGGAACCTAGTGGGAGGTGATTGGATCATGGGGCTGTCTCCCTCATGCTGCTGTAGTGATAGTGAGTTCTTACAAGATCTGATGTTTTTGTAAGTGTCTGGCATTTCTCCTGCTTGCATTTCTCTTTCCTGCTTCCATGTGAAGAAGGTTCTTGCTTCCCCCTTCACCTTCTGCCATGACTGAGGCCTCCCCAGCCATGCAGCAGACCTATAAGGTCAATTATACCTTTCTCCTTTATAAATTACCCAATCTTGGGTATTTCTTTATAGCAGTGTGAAAACAGACTAATACGCACACAAATCAAATAGGAAAACTAGAATACAATAAGTTTTACAAAGACAAACAGGTCTTAAATAGGCTCATCAGTAAAACTAACATAGATGAGAAAAGAATCTGTTCTTATGAATATAGGTCAGCAGAAATAATCTCAACTGAAATACACAGAAAGACAAAACCAAAATCTAAGATCTGTAGAATCTTGAAAAAAACAACGGTTGACTTTTAGAATGGTAGCATGAGGAGCTCCAAAAACCCATTCCCCAGTAAAATAACCACAACTGGCAAGAATTATTTCTTTTGAAAAACCCCACTTGAAGTTTCTGGAATTGTCCTGAGGGCTTAGAGGCAATGAAGAAACATTTATTAAAGCAAACCTACTACATTTCAATAAGAACAGTGAGAATCTGTGGCACTTAAGCCAAGACTTGGTCCCTCCCTTGCCCCTTTTCAGCTTAGTATAACAGGAGCTTTATTTCAAATGGGTGTAGCCAAAAGACAGGGTCCTCTTTTTGGTCAGTTAGCTAAGAAGGTAGAGGTTTCACGTAAGAGAGGCTAGAAAAAAATACCAGAAGCTATCACTCCCACACAGTGACATATTTGTAAAGTATGGGTATTATTTGCTCCTTCCTTTCTGAAGCAGTGGTTCAGAGATGTTTTTTGGTAGGGAGGGCAGTTCATGTGAATAGAGAACACTGAAGCTCTCCTAAAAGAAAGTGACTTTATTTGAAACAGAGTATCAGGAAGTTCAAACCTAAATTAATTAAAAAGAAAAAGATTTTGATAGTAAGCAATTAAGAGGAGGTTTGGTATCTCTATGACAGCAACAAGCTAAACTATAGGCCAATTAGTTACCCAGAGAAAATGAGGGAAAATGACAGCTAAATAGAACTCTTCTGGAAGAAATAATCTTCAAAAACAGTTCTCAATAATGACCTTCGTAAATGAGCCAAGATATACTGAATCAGACTGTAAAATAAGTGAGGACCGAGGACATTTTCAAACACAATAGAGCAATCAACAAGAAGTGAATAGAGCCTAATAGCTGAGTGTGATACTAATAGACGATCTAATTTCTAGAGAAATCAGAGAAAGGCACAAAGAGAGCCCTGCTAAAATCACCATCATTGCAGGCTGACTGCACACATGGCCAAAGCTCAGCATACTAAAAAGTGATATCAAAGGCTTCAAACTGCAGCAGACTTGACTAAATCAGTCCAGCCAAGTCACTAAAAACATAAACAAGCAAACAACCAAATGAGTCCTTAAAGGACAGAGAGAATATTATACCGAATTACTACAATACATTATCTAATATGTGAGTTGACAAGAAAAAAAATATGAGACAGACAAAGAAACAGGAAAGTGTGACCAATATAAAAGACAAGCAAGTAACGAAAACTGGCTGTAAGAAAGTCCTGATGTCAGATTTAACAAGGATGTCAAAGCAGCTGTTACAATATATACAATGAACTAAAGGCAACTTTGTTTGTAAAGTAAAACTATGATGATACTGTCTCATCAAATACACAAATACATATAAACCAAGAATGTTATATCCAGCAAAGTTATCTCTCAAAAGTGAAGGCAAAATAAAGACTTTTCCAGATAAATAAAATCGGAGCGAACCAAATACTAGCTGACTCACTTAACAAGAAGTACTTTAGGAACAGGAAGTATTTTAGGCTCAAAGCAAGTAGCCTCAGATAATTTAAAAATAAGACAAAAAGAAAAAGACCACCAGAAAAGGTAATTATGTAATTATGAGTGACAGTATAAATGCATAGTTCCTTATCTTTCTTTTTTTCTGTAAAAAGCATTTGTATAAAACAGGAATGTAATTGTATTTGGGAGCCTATAATATATACGCTTGTATTGCACTTAACAATATCAGCACAAAGGAGAAGGATGATAGGCAGAAAGTATTGGGATTAGAAAATGATAAAATATGGTATTTTAGGAGGGCTGGGGGGGATTTTAAGGGATTAGAAAGTGTTTATATTTTATTTGTGTACATTTCAGGGGTACAAGTACAGTATTGTTACAGGGATGTACTGCATAGTGGTGAAGCCTGGGCTTATAGTGCTGCCATCACCCAAACAGTATACATTGTTCCCATTCATCCCTCACCTCCCTCCCACTGTCCCACCTTTCCTAGTCTTCAATGTCTGTTATTCCACCAGAAATAGTAAATAAGTAGTTTAAGATAAAGAACTATATAACAATATGCTTGCTTTCCTTTTTTTCTCTTAGGTACTTTAATAGCTATAACCTTATATTTAGTTATAAATATAACAATGTATTCCTAGCTTTATTATGTATATAGGTGCAATACATACAACAATAATAGCACAAAAAGAGAAGAAGGAAACAAAACTATATAAATCTAATATTACTATGTCTCACTGATATACAGTTAGTATTAATCTGAAATAGATCTTGATTAACTAAGATGTATATGGTAAGCACAAAAAGAACCACTAAGAAAATAACTCAAAAAATCTAATGAAAAAAATCACTAATGAAATTAAAATATCATGGTAGAAAATATTCATTAAATGCAAAATAAAGCAGAGAGGGAGAAATAGAGTAAAAAATACATGAGATGTATGCAAAACCAAACATAAAGTGGAAAATATATGTTTAACTATATAAATAATAATATCAAATTTTAATGGATTAGATAACCTAATAAAAAGGTAGATGTTATCACACTGGATTACATAAAGTAAGATCTAACCATATACTCTCTGTACAAGACACACTTTATATTCAAAAATACAAAACAATCAAGTGTAAGAGGATGAAAAACACATACCATGCAAAAAGCAACTACAAGAAAGAGGTAGGGCCTATATGACTATCAGATAAAACAGATGTTAATATAAAAATGTTACTAGAGATAAAGAGAAATATTTTACAATGGTAAAAGGGTCAATCCATCAAGAAGATAAAGCAACTATAAACATATAAACACCTAACAACAGAACACCAAAATATTTAGAGCAAAAACTGACTGGATTGCAAAAAGAAATAGACAGTTCAACAATAACAATTAGAAACTTCAATACCCCACTACAATAATAAACAGAACTACTAGGCAAAAGTTCAACAAGAAAAAAGAAGGTTTTAACAACACTATAAATCAACTAGACCTAATAAACATCTATGGATATTTCTACTCACCAACAGCAAAATACACATTCTTCTCAATTACACATGGAACATTCTTCAAGATAGACAATATGCTAGTCATAAAACAAGCCTCATAAAACTTAAACATTGAATTATGTAAAGTATGTTCTCCAATCACAATTGAATAAAAGTATTTTAAAATAACAGAAAAAAATGGGAAATCACAAATATGATGAAACTAAACTACACTTCTAAAGAACACATAGGTCAAAGAAGAAATCACATGGACAATTAGAAAACAGTCAAGATTAATCAAAGTGAAGACACATTATACCAAAACTTCTGTGACTTCCTGCTGGCAAGGAAGAGTGGAGAAAAAAACAACCCCTGGGATGCAGTAAAATCAGTATTTACATGAAAACTTAAGAGCTGTAAATGCTTATATTTTAAACTCTTAAATTAGTCATGTAAACTTTCACCTAAGACACTAGAAAACTAGAACAAACTAAACCCAAAGCAAGTATAAGTAAGGACATAATACATATTTCATTGAAAATTAATGAAATAGGGAGCAGAGAAATATGACATAGGGAAAGCCAACAAAACCAAAAGTTGTTTCTTCAATAAGACATACAGTGTTAACAAAATTTTAGGTAAAGTAAACAAGCAAAAAGAAAAGACTCAAATTACTAAATTCAGGAATAACACAGGAGCTATAACTACCCAATTTACCAAAGTTAAAAGGCTTATAAGAAAATGCCCTGAATAATTGCATAATAACAAATTAGATAAGCTACATAATTAGATAACCTACAAAAACACAACTAGTGAAACTGACTAAAAAATAGAAAATATGAACAAACCTATAATACATAGTTAGTAATTAAAAATATAACCACAAAGAAAAGCCCAGATCCATATGTGTTTATTAATAAGTACTACCAGACATTTAAAAAAGTAATTCCAATCGATCACAAATTGTTATCTACAATATAATGGGAAGAATTTTGTCTCAACTCATTCTATGAGTCAAGTGTTATACTGATATCCAAAACAGGCAAGGATTCCTTTAGGTATTAAGATGGGGGTGGGAGTACTACGTACTATTATCTCTTATTATTATACACAGAAAATTCCTTGAAAAGATACTAGTAAATTAAATCCAGTAATTCAAGAAAGAATTACATACTATAAATAATATAATTTATTGGCCAGGCACGGTGGCTCACACCTGTAATCTCGGCACTTTGGGAGGCAGATCATAAGGTCAGGAAATCGAGACCATCCTGGCTAACACAGTGAAACCCTGTCTCTATTAAAAAAATACAAACAATTAGCCAGGCGTGGTGGCGGGCACCTGTAGTCCCAGCTACTTGGGAGGCTGAGGCAGGAGAATGGCGTGAACCCGGGAATAGGAGCTTGCAGTGAGCCGAGATCACGCCACTGCACTCCAGCCTGGGCAACAAATCGACACTCCATCTCAAAACATATATAACAATAACAATAATAATAATAGAAATTATCCCAGGATTGCAAGGTTTTTTCAACACCTGGAAATAAATTAGTGTAATACACTCTATCAATAAAATAAATAACAAAAAACACATGATCTTCTCAAAAGGTACAGAAACCGCATTGAACAGGATTCAACATCTTTTCATGAAAAAAAATCAACAAAATACCAAGAAACTTCCTGAACCCAATAAAGGTATCTACAATAATAATAATAATAATAATGATAATGATAATGATAATGATAATAATCCCATGTAATGCCATACTTAATGGAGAAAGACCGAATGCATTCCTCTGAAGATCGGGAACAACAAAAGGATGTTCACTCTCTCACTTCTATTTACCATTGTGCTGGAGGTACTACCCAGAGCAATTAGGCAAGAAAATGAAATAAAAGTCATCCAGACAGAAAAAGAAATAAAATTCTATTTATTGGCATATGTCATCATCTTGCATTTTAAAAATTATAAAGATCCAACTAAACAAATATAAGAACTATTAAATAAGTCCAGTGAGGTTGCAAGATACAAGATGAATACATTAAAAATAAATTGTATTTTCATGTTTGCCACAAACAATCCAAAATTGAAATAAAAAAGTAAGCCCATTTGTAATAGTATCAAAAAGAAGAAAAACATAGATATGAATTTACCAAAGTCCATGCAAAAATGTTGCTCTTAAAACTACAAAGGATTGTTGCAAGAAAGTAAAGAAAAACTACATTAATTGAGAGAAATCCTATATTCATGGATGAAACGTTACAAAAATTGCAACATTCTCCCAAATTGACCTATAGATTCAGTGAAATCCCTATCAAAACTTCCTATATTCATGGATGAAATGTTATAAAAATTGTAACATTCTCCCAAATTGATCTACAGATTCAATGAAATACCTATCAAAACTTCAGCTGACTTCTGTGCGGAAATTGACAAGCTTATCCTCATATTCATATAGAAAGTCAAGTGATATCATACTGAATGGGCAAAAACTGGAAGCATTCCCTTTGAAAACTGGCACAACACAGGGATGCCCTCTCTCACCACTCCTATTCAACATAGTGTTGGAAGTTCTGGCCAGGGAAATCAGGAAGGAGAAGGAAATAAAGGGTATTCAATTAGGAAAAGAGGAAGTCAAATTGTCCCTGTTTGCAGATGACATGATTGTATATCTAGAAAACCCCATCGTCTCAGCCCAAAATCTCCTTAAGCTGATAGGCAACTTCAGCAAAGTCTCAGGATACAAAATCAATGTGCAAAAATCACAAGCATTCTTAGACACCAATAACAAACAGACAGCCAAATCATGAGTGAACTCCCATTCACAATTGCTTCAAAGAGAATAAAATACCTAGGAATCCAACTTACAAGGGATGTAAAGGACCTCTTCAAGGAGAACTACAAACCACTGCTCAATGAAATAAAAGAGGATACAAACAAATGGAAGAACATTCCATGCTCATGGGTAGGAAGAATCAATATCGTGAAAATGGCCGTACTGCCCAAGGTAATTTATAGATTCAATGCCATCCCCATCAAGCTACCAATGACTTTCTTCACAGAATTGGAAAAAACTACTTTAAAGTTCATATAGAACCAAAAAAAGAGCCCACATTGCCAAGTCAATCCTAAGCCAAAAGAACAAAGCTGGAGTCATCACGCTACCTGACTTCAAACTATACTACAAGGCTACAGTAACCAAAACAGCATGGTACTGGTACCAAAACAGAGATATAGACCAATGGAACAGGACAGAGCCCTCAGAAATAATGCTGCATATCTACAACCATCTGATCTTTGACAAACCTGACAAAAACAAGAAATGGGGAAAGGATTTGCTATTTAATAAATGGTGCTGGGAAAACTGGCTAGACATATGTAGAAAGCTGAAACTGGATCCCTTCCATACACCTTATACAAAAATTAACTCAAGATGGATTAAAGACTTACATGTTAGACCTAAAATCATAAAAGCCCTAGAAGAAAACCTAGGCAATACCAGTCATGACATAGGCATGGCCAAGGACTTCATGTCTAAAACACCAAAAGCAATGGCAACAAAAGCCAAAATTGACAAATGGGATCTAATTAAACTAAAGAGCTTCTGCACAGCAAAAGAAACTACCATCAGAGTGAACAGGCAACCTACAGAATGGGAGAAAATTTTTGCAGTCTACTCATCTGACAAAAGGCTAATATCCAGAATCTACAATGAACTCCAACAAATTTACAAGAAAAAAACAAACAACCCCATCAAAAAGTTGGCAAAGGACATGAACAGACACTTCTCAAAAGGAGACGTTTATGCAGCCAAAAAACACATGAAAAAATGCTCACCATCACTGGCCATCAGAGAAATGCAAATCAAAACCACAATGAGATACCATCTCACACCAGTTAGAATGGTGATCATTAAAAAGTCAGGAAACAACAGGTGCTGGAGAGGATGTGGAGAAATAGGAACACTTTTACACTGTTGGTGGGACTGTAAACTAGTTCAACCATTGTGGAAGTCAGTGTGGCGATTCCTCAAGGATGTAGAACTAGAAATACCATTTGACCCAGCCATCCCATTACTGGGTATATACCCAAAGGATTATAAATCATGCTGCTATAAAGACACATGCACACGTATGTTTATTGCGGCACTATTCACAATAGCAAAGACTTGGAACCAACCCAAATGTCCAACAATGATAGACTGCATTAAGAAAATGTGGCACATATATACCATGGAATACTATGCAGCCATAAAAAAGGATGAGTTCATGTCCTTTGTAGGGACATGGATGAAGCTGGAAACCATCATTCTCAGCAAACTATAGCAAGGACAAAAACCCAAACACCTCATGTTCTCACTTATAGGTGTGAATTAAACAATGAGAACACATGGACACAGGAAGGGAACATCACACACTGGGGCCTGTTGTGGGGTGGGGGGAGGGGGGAGGGATAGCATTAGGAGATATACCTAATGTTAAATGACGAGTTAATGGGTGCAGCACACCAACATGGCACATGTATACATATGTAACTAACCTGCACGTTGTGCACATGTACCCAAAAACTTAAAGTATAAAAAAAAAAAGAAAGTCAAGTGATAGAGCATAGCCACACACACACACAAAAATGAGCTAAATTAGAGGACTCACACTTAAAGATTTCAAAACTTACTACAAAACTACAATAATAAAAACAGTATGTACTGGCATAAGGATAAACGTGTGTGTGTGTGTGTGTGTGTGTGTGTGTGTGTATGTGTGTATTTTAACTAAAAAGGATTAAAATCCACAAAATAAACTTTTACATGTATGGTGAATCAATTTCTGAAAATGGGGCCAAGACAATTCGAAGAGAAAAAGCATAGTCTTTTCAACAAATGGTGCTGGGGCATTTGCATAGCCACATGAAGAAGGAAAAAGTTAGACCCGTTTCTCACACCAGACACAAAATCTACAAAAATTGGATCACAGACCTAAATATAAGAACTAAAATTATAAATCTCCTAGAAGAAAATATATAAATATATATGTATATAAGACCTCAATATGAGAAAATTATAAATCTCCTAGAAGGAAATATATAAATCTATATCTGTATGATTTTTGGTTACATAAAGCCTTTTTAAATACAACACCAAAAGCATAATCAACAAAAGAAAATATACAAAATTGGGTTTAAGATTCATTGTGCTTCAAATGATATGACATTAACAAAGTGAAAAACACCATGGAAATAAAAATATTTAAAAATAATATATTTGATAAAGGAAGGACTTTTATTTAGAATATGTGAAAATTATTACAACTCAATAATAAAACAATTTTTGAAAATGTGTAAAAAATGTGCATAGACATTCCTCCAGAGAAGATATACAAATGGCCAAATGCACATGACAAGATGCTCAATATCATTAGACATCAGGGAAATGCAAATTAAAATCATAATCTTACAGCAAATCAAAACCATAATCTTCCCACCCACTAGAATGGCTAGAGAATAAAAAGTGTCAGCAGATAGTAAAAAGTGTTAAAAAATTGAAACCCTTGTATAATCCTGGTGAGAAATGAAAATAGTGCAGCCACTTTGGAAAGCAGTCTGTTAATTCCTCAAATGTTATACATGGAGTTATCATATAACCCAACAATTTCACTCCTGCTATATCTCAAGATAAACGAAAATATATATTCACACAAAAATGTGTGCACAAAAGTTTGTAGCAGCACTATTTACAATACCAAAAAGTGAAAACAAACCAAATGTCCATGTACTGATAAATGAAGAAAGTATGTAATATTCATACAATAAAATATTTTTTGTTTTTTGTCTTTTTATTTTTTAAGTTTTTGTGAGTACATAGTAGATGTATATATTCATGGGGTCAAGAGATGTCTTGATACAGGCATGCAACATGAAATAAACACATCATGGAGTATGTGGTATCCATCCCTTCAACCATTTATCCTATGAGTTACAAACAATCTGATTACATTAGTTATTTTAAAATATACAATTAATTTACTATTGATTATATTCACCCTGTTGTGCTATCAAATAGAAAGTCTTATTCATTCTTTCTAATTTTTTCTACACATTTACCATCCCCACTTTCCCACTATCCCCGCCACACCCTTCCCATCCTCTGGTGACCATCCTTCTACTCTCTATGACCATGAGTTCAATTGCTCTGATTTTTAGATTCCACAAATAAGTGAGAACATGCAATGTTTGTCTTTCTGTGCCTAGATTCATTCACTTAACATAAGAATCTCTAATTCCATCTGTGTTGTTGCAAATGACTGGATCTCATACTCTTTTATGGCTGAATACTACTCTCCATTGTGTATGTGCTACCACATTTTCTTTATCCATTTATCTGTTGATGGACATTTAGGTTGCTTACAAATCTTAGCCATTGTGAACAGTGCTGCAACAAACACAGAAGTGCAGATAACTCTTTGACATACTGATTTCCTTTTGGGGGGTATATACCCAGCAACAGGATTGCTGAATTGTATGGTAGCTCTGTTTTTAGTTTTTTGAGAAACGTCCTAACTGTTCTCCATACTGATTGTATTAATTTGCATTCCTGGCAGGGTGCAGTGGCTCACGCCTGTAATCCCAACACTTTGGAAGGCCAAGGGAGGCAAATCACTTGAGCCCAGGAGTTCAAGATCAGTCTGAGCAACATGGTGAGACCCTACCCCTACAAAAAATAAAAAATAAAGTGTAGTTTACGTTCCTACCAACAGTATACAAGGGTTGACTTTTCTTCACATTCTCGTCAGCATTTGCTGTTGCCAGTCTTTTGGATATCAGCCATTTTAACTGGGGTGAGATGATATCTCATTGTAGTTTTGATTTGCATGTCTCTGATGATCAGAAATGTTGGGCACCTTTTCCTATGCCTGTTTGCCATTTGTATGTATTCTTTTATGAAATGTCTGTTCAAATCTCTCACCCATCTTTTGATCAGATCATTAGATTTTTTTTGCCATAAAATTGTTTGAACTCTTTATGTATTTTGGTTATTAATTCCTTGTCAGAAGGGTAGTTTTTGAATATTTTCTCCCATTCTGTGGGCTGTCTCTTCCCTTTGTTGGTTGTATCCTTTATTGTGCAGAAACTTTTTAACTTATGTTATCTCATTTGTGTCCATTTTTGTTTTGGTTGCCTGCACTTATGAGGTATTGCTCAAGAAATTTTTGCCCAGACCAATGACCTGGTTGTTTTTCCCAGTGTTTTCTTGTGATGGTTTCATGGTTTGACATCTTAAATTTAAATCCACTTTGACTTTATTTTTGTATATGGAGAGAGATAGGAGTCTAGTTTCATTCTTTTGCACATGGATATCCAGTTTTCCTAGCACCATTTATTGAAGAGACTGTCTTTTCCCCAGTGTAGATTCTTGGCACCTTTGTCAAAAGTAAGTTTACTATAGGTGGGTGGATTTGTTTCTGGGTTCTCTATCTGTTCCATTGGTCTATGTGTCTGTTTTAATGCCAGTACCAGCCGGGCACGGTGGCTCACGCCTGTAATCCCAGCATTTTGGGAGGCTGAGGTGGGCAGATCATCTGAGGTCAGGAGTTTGAGACCAGCCTGGACAACATGGTGAAACCCCGTCTCTACTAAAAACACAGAAATTAGCCGGGCGTGGTGATGCGTGCCTGTAGTCTTAGCTACTAGGGAGGCTGAGACAGGATGATTGCTTGAACTCAGAGGTTGCAATGAGCCGAGATTGCACCACTGCACTCTAGCCTGGGCAACAGAGTGAGACCCTGTCTCAAATAATAATAATAATGCCAGTACCATTCTGTTTTAGTTACTGTAGCTGGGTAGTATAATTTGAAATCAGGTAATGTGATTCCTCCAGTTTTGTTCTTTCTGCTTAGGATAGCTTTGGGTGTTCTGAGTCTTTTGCAGTTCCACATAAATTCTAGGGCTGTTTTTTTGTTTGTTTGTTTGTTTTCTATTTCTGTGAAAAATGTTATTGATACTTTATAGGGACTGCATTGAATATGTAGATTGCTTTGGGTAGTATGGATATTTTAACACTACTGATTCTTCCAATCCATGAACATGAAGTATCTTTTCATTTTTTATTGTCTTCAATTTCTTTTATTAGTGTGCTATAGTTTTAATTATAGAAATCTTTCACTTCTTTGGTTAATTCCTAGGAATTTAATTTTATGTGTGGCAATTGTAAATGAGACTACTTTTTTATTTCTTTTTCACATTGTTCACTGTTGGCATATAGAAACGCTACTGATTTTTATATGTTGGTTTTGTATCCTGCAACTTTACTAAATCTGTTTATCAGTTCTAATAGCGTTCTTGTGGAGCCTTTGGATTTTTCCAAATATAAGATCATATCATCAGTAAACAAGAATAATTTGACTTATTTTCCAATTTGAATGTTCTTTATATCTTTCTTCTATCTGATTGCTCTAGATAGGACTTCCAATACTATGTTGGATAACAGTGGTAACAGTGGGCATCCTTGTCATGTTCCAGATCTTAGAAGAAATAGTTTCAATTTTTTTCCTTATTCAATATGCTATTAGCCGTGGGTCTGTCATACATGGCTTTTATTACATTCGGATATGTTCCTTCTATCCCGTTTTTTGAGGATTTTTATCATGAAGTGACATTGAATTTTATCAAATTCTTTTTAGCATCAATTTAAATAATCATATGGTTTTTATTCTTTATTCTGAAGATATGATGTAGCACCTTGATTTGTGTGTGTTGAACCATCCTTGCATCCCAGGGATAAATACCACTTTGTCCTGATGAATGATCTTTCTAATATATTGCTAAACTCAATTTACTAATATTTCGTTATTTTGTTGAGGATTTTGGCATAAATATTCATCAGAGATATTGGCCTGTAGTTTTCTTTCTTTTTTTTTTTTTTTTTTGGATGTATCTCTGTCTTGTTTTGATATCAGGGTAATACTGGCCTCATAGAATGAGTCTGGAAGTATCTTCTCTTCTATTTTTTGGAATAGTTTGATTTGGATTGGTATTAGTTCTTTAAATGCTTGGTAGAATTCAGCAGTGAAGCCATCAGCTACCTGGATTTTCTTTACTGGAAGACTTTTTATTAGGGCTTCAATCTCATTACTCATTATTTATCTGTTCAGGCTTTAGAATTCTTCCTGGATCAATCTTTGTAGGTTGTGTGTGTCTAAGAATTTATCAAGGAATTTGTCCAGTTCTTCTAGATTTTCCAATATATTGGCATACAGCTACTCATAGTAGCCACTAATGATTCTTTGAATTTCTGCAGTATCAGTTGTAATGTCTCCTGTTTCATTCGTGATTATCTTTTTTTTATCTTCTCTCTTTTTTTCTTGGTTACTCTGTCTAAACATTTGTCAATTTTGTTTAATTTTCCAAAAATCAACTTTTAGTTTCATTGATCTATTGTGTTGTTTATTTCAATTTCCTTTATTTCTGCTCTGATCTTTATTATTTTTTTTCTTCTACTAATTTTGGGTTTAGTTTGCTCTTGCTTTTCTAGATGCATCATTAGATGGTTTATTTGAAGATTTTCCTCTGTTCAGATGCATGCACTTTTAGCTATTAACTTTCCTCTTAGTAGCTTTAGCTGTAACCCATAGGTTTTGGTATGTTGTGTTTCCATTATCATTTCTTTCAAAACATTTTTCCATTTCCTTCTTAATTTCTTCATTGACTCACTAGTCTTTCAGGAACATATTGTTTAATTTTCATGTATTTATGTAGTTTTTAAAATTCCTTAATTCCTTAATTAAATTATTTTCAGTTTTATTCCATTGTTTTCAGAGAAGATGCTCAATATTATTTCAATATTTTTGAATGTTTTAAGGCTTGCTTTGTGACCTTACATATGGTATATCTTTGAGAATGATCCATGTGCTAAGGAAGAAAATGGGTATTCTGCAGTTCTTGGATGAAATGTTCTGTAAATGTCTATTAGATCCCTTTGGTCTATAGTGCAGATCGAGTCTGATGTTTCTTTGTTGATTTTCTGCCTGGAAGATCTATCCAATGCTGAAAGTTGGGAGCTGAAGTCTCCAGCTTTTATTGTATTGTTATTATGCTTCTCTTTAGCTCTAATAATTTTCTATTATATATCTGTGTGCTTTAGTGTCGGGTACATATATATTTAAAATCGTTATATCCTCTTGCTGAATTCACTGGTTTATCATCATGTAGTGACCATCTTTGTCTTTTCTTACAGTTTTTGTCTCAAAAACTAGGCATTTAATTTTATGTGTGGCAATCTTATGCAAGTATAATGATGCCTGCTCTTGTTTTCCATTGGCATGGAATATCTTTTACCATCCCTTTATTTTCAATCTATATGTGTCTTTATAGGTGAAGTATGTTTCTTCTAGGCAACAGACCAATCGGTCTTGTTTTTTTTAATCCATTAAGCCAGTCTATGTCTTTTGATTGGAGAATTTATGCCATTTGCATTCAATGTTATTATTGATAAGTAAGAACTTACTCCTGCCATTTTGTTATTTGTTTTCTGGTTGTTTTGTGGTCTTCTCTTCCTTCTTCCATTCCTGTCCTCTAGTGAAGATGATTTTCTCTGGTGGCATGATTTAGTTTCTGGATTTTTATTTTTTGTTTATCCATTGTATGTTTTTTGGTTTGAGGTTACCATGAAGCTTGCAAATAATATCTTATAAACTAGTATTTTAACCTAACAATTTAACAGTATTTTGATAAACAAGCAAGCAAAAAAGGAAAACTAATAAAACCTCACTTTAACTTAATCTCCTCACTTTTTAAATTTTCGTTGTTTCTATTTATATCTTATTGTATGGCCTATAACTTGAAAAGTTGTTGTGGTTATTATTTTTTATTGGTTCATCATTTAGTCTTTCTACTTAGGATAAAGTTACTTTACACACCACAGTTACAGTGTTGTAATATTCTGTTTTTCTGTGTAACTACTATTGCCAGTAAGTTTTTTACCCTCAGGTGGTTATTTATTGCTCATTTGTGTCCTTTTCTTTCTGGTTGAAGTACTCTCTTTACCATTTCTTGTAGGATGGCCCTGGCATTGATGAAATCCATCAGCTTTTGTTTGTCTGAGAAAATCTTTAATTTGCCTTCATGTTTAAAGGATATTTTCACCAGATATACTATTTTAGGGTAAAAGTTTTTCTCCCCCTCAGTTCTTTAAATATATCTTGCCATTTTTTCCTGGTCTATAAGGTTTCCACTGAAAAGCCTGCTGCCAGATGTGTTGAAGCTCCATTGATGTTATTCGTTTCTTTCTCTTGCTGCGTTTAGGATCTTTTCTTTATCCTTGACCTTTGGGAGTTTGACCATTAAATTCCTTGAGGTAGTCTTCTCTGTGTTAAATCTGCTTGGTGTTCTATAACCTTCTTATACGCGAATATTGATATCTTTTTCTGGGTTTGGGAAGTTTTCCATAATTATCCAATTGAATAAACTTTCTACACCTATCTCTATCTCTACCTCCTCTTAAATAACAGCAATAACTCTTAGATTTAGCCTTCTGAGGCTATTTTCTAGGTCCTGTAGGTGTATTTCATTGTTTTCTATTCTTTTGTTTGTTTTGTCTCCTTTAACTGTATTTTTAAATAACCTGTCTTTAAGCTCA
The DNA here is from genome assembly GCF_000001405.40 of Homo sapiens. Classification (NCBI taxonomy): domain Eukaryota; kingdom Metazoa; phylum Chordata; class Mammalia; order Primates; family Hominidae; genus Homo; species Homo sapiens. Next base: position 35,758,173 of record NC_000002.12, read on the forward strand.
CTAATTCTTTCTTCTGCTTGATTTATTCTGCTATTAAAGGACTCTGTTGTATTCTTCAGTATGCTAATTGCATTTTTCACCTTGAGAATTTCTGCTTCTTTTTAATTATTTCTATGTCTCAGTTAAATTTCTCTGATAGAATTCTGAGTTCCTTTTCTGTGGTATCTTGAATTTCCTTGATTTTCCTCAACACAGCTATTTTGAATTCTCTGTCTGGAAGGTCACATAAATCTGTTTCTCCAAACTTATAGTGCTTTATTTAGTTCATTTGGAGTAGTCATGTTTCCCTGGATGGTACTGATGCTAGTAGATAGACTTCAATGTCTTGGCATTGAAGAGTTAGTATTTATTATATTCTTCACAGTCTGGGCTTATTTGTAGCTGTTCTTCCTGAGATGGCTTTCCAGTTACTTAAAAAAGTTTGGGTGTTGTAATCTAAGCTATATCTGCCTTAGGGTGCACCCCCAAGCCTAGTAATGCTGTGATTCTTGCAGTCTCACAGAGGTACTGCTTAGATGGTCTTGGACATGATCAGGGAGAATTCTCTGGATTACCAGGCAGAGACTCTTGTTCTTTCCCTTACTTTCTTCTAAACATACAGAGTCTCGGTCTCTCTTCCAAGTCACCTAAAGCTGAGGGTGTAGTAACATAGGCACCCCTGTGGTCATCACCACTATGACTGTACTGGGTGAGACCTGAAGCCAGCACAGCACTGGGTCTCACCCAAGACCAGCTGTAACCACTCCCTGGCTACTGTCTAGGTTCACTCAAAACCCTGGGGCTCTACAATCAGAAGGTGGCAAAGCCAGCCAGGCCTGTGTCCTTCTTTTTAGAGTGGTGAGGTTCTGCAGGCCCTGGGTGGGTCTAGAAGTTGTCCAGGAGTCAGGGACTAGAGTCAAAAATGTTAGAGGTATACCTGGTATTCTATTGTATTGTGGGCCTGGAACATGGGCCTCTTGACTGTGACTGCGGCCCTATCCTGCTGTGGCTGAGCTGCTATCCAAGATGCAAGACAAAGTCCTTCCCCTCTTCCTTCTCCTCTCCTCAAGTGACAGGAAGGGGTCCCTTTTGGAGTCATCAACTGTGCAGCATGCGGTTAGGAGAGAGGTGATGCCAGCACTCCCTTGGTTGCTCTAGCTGGTGTCTCAGTAGGTCGCATGCACCCCCAGTCCACTGTCTTTTGGCCTAGTTCAGCCCTAGGGCTTGACCACAACTTGCAGTCTTTATGGTCTAGACTGCCTTTCAAGTTTACTTAGAGACCAACAGTACATTATCCCTAGGTGGTGAGGTTTGGAGGCACTCAAGTTCAAGTTCAGACCACTAGGATCGGTGATTCCCCTCTCACTAGGGCTCATTTAAATGCTCCCTCTGTGGGGAGGCATCAGCTGAGTTGGTCCCATTTTCTTTATGTTCTCACAGGACAGCACTGAGCTTACTGCCTCACAATTGCTGTATTCTACCTCCCCTAATGCCCAGAGATGCTCTCTGCATCATGCTGCTGCCAGGGGTTGGGGAGGGCTAGTGTTGAGGATTCAGGACTATTTTTTCTATCCCTTCAGTGCCTCTTTCAGTGATATGAGGTTGAAACCAGGTACTGTGAATGCTCACCTGAATTCTGGTTCTTATGAAAGTGGTTTTTTTCTGTGTAGATTGTTGTTAACGAAGTGTCCTTGCAGGCAGTATGATCAGTGGAGCTTTCTATTCTGCCATCTTGCTCTGCCTTTCCCTGTGAAATATTTGAAAATAAAAAACAAACACTGATACTAGCATACCTTGTTTTATTTTGTTTCACTTGGTTACACTTTACAGATATTATAATTTTTTTGAAATTAAGGGTTTGTGGCAACCTTGCATTGTACAACTCTATCTATTGGTGCAGTGTTTCCAACAACATGTGCTCACTTCATGTCTGTGTTTTACATTTTGGTAATTCTCACAATATTTCATATATTTTCATTATTATTATATCTATTATGGTTATCTTGATCAGTGATCTTTGATATTAGTGTTGTAATTGTTTCTTTACCAATTACATGTAATCGATAAAGAGTGTGTGTATTTTGAAAGATCAACCAATTGGCCATTCTTCCATCGCCTCCCCTCACCTTGGGCTTCCCTATTTCCTCAGACACAAGGATATTGAAATTAAGCAAATTAATGACCTTGTAGTGTCTTCTACATGCTTACATAAAGAGTTACACGTGTCTCACTTTAAATCAAAAGCTAGAAATGATTATGCTTAGTGAAGAAGGCATGTCCAAAGATGAGACAGGCCAAAAGCTAGGCCTCTTGTGCCAGACAGTTAGCCAAGTTGTAAATGCAAAGGAAGAGTTCTTGAAAGAAATTAAAATTGCTACTCCAGTGAACAGATGAATAAAAAGAAAGCAAAACAGATTAATTGCTGATATACAGAAGGTTTTAATGGTCTAGATAGAAGATCAAACCAACCATAACATTCCCTTAAGCCAAAGCCTAATCTAGAAGAAGGCACTAACTCTGTTTCATTTTGTGAAGGCTGAGAGAGTGATGAAGCTGAAGAGGAAAAGTTAGAAGCTAGCAGAGGTTGGTTTGCGAGGTTTATGAAATGAAGCCACCTTCATAACATAAAAGTACAAGGTGAAACAGCAAGTGTTAAGGTAGAAGCTGCCGCAAGTCATTCAGAAGATCTAGCCAAGGTCACTGACAAATGTGGTTACACTTAACAGATTTTCTATGTAGATAAAATAGCCTTATGTTGGAAGATGATGCCATCAAAAACTTTCTTAGCTAGAGAAGATAAAAGTCAATGCCTGGCCTCAGAGTTTCAAAGGAAAGGCTGACTCTCTTGTTAAGGGCTAATGTGGCTGATCTGGTAACTTGTGAAGGTAAAGCCAATGCTCAGTTACCATTCCATAAATCCTAGAGCCCTTAATAATTACGCTAAATCTACCCTGTCTGTGCTCTATAAGTAGAATAAAGCCTGGATGACAGCATGATTTACTGGATATTTCAAGCTCATTTTTGTCATTACTGCTCAAAATATATATATATTTCTTTTAAAATATTATTGCTCATTGACAATCCACCTGGTCACCAAAAGCTCTGATGGGAAGGTACAGGGATATTAATGTTATTATATTTTCATCCCTGCTAACACAACATCCATTCTGCATCACATGCATCACGGAGTAATTTTGATTTTCAAGTCTCATTGTTTTAGAAATACATTTTATAGAGGGATAGCTGCCATGGATAGTGATTCCTCTGATGCATCTGGACAAAGTCAATTGAAAACCTTTGAAAAGGATTCACCATTTTAGATTCCATTAAGAACATTTGTGATTCCTTCAAGAAAGTAAAAATATCCACATTAACAGGAGTTTGGAAGAAGTTGATTCCAACCCTCATGGATAACTTGGAGGGATTCAAGACTTCAGTGAAAGAAATAACTACAGATGTTTTGGAAGTAGCAAGAGAGTTAGAATTAGATGCTAAGCCTGAATATATGATGGAATTGCTGTAATATCATAATAAAACTTGAATGAATAAGGAGTTGCTTCTTATGGATGAACAAAGAAAGTGCTTTCTTGAGATGGAGTCTACCTCTGGTAAAGATGCTTTGAACATTGTTGATAATAAGGAATAAAGAATATTACATAAATGTAGATGATAAAGGAGCAACAGAGGTTGAGAGGATTAACTCCAATTTTGAAAGAAGTTCTACTATAGGTAAAATGCTACCAAACAGTATTGCATGCTACAGAGAAGTCTTCCATGAAAGCAAGAATCAATCAATATGGCAAACTTTATTGTTGTCTTATTTAAAGAAACTGCCACAGCCACCCCAATCTTTATCAGCCATCACTCTGGTCAGTCAGAAGCCATGAACATCAAGGGAAGACCCTCCGCCAGCAAAAAGATGACAACTCTCTGAAGGCTCTGATGATCATTACCATTTTTAACAAGGAAGTATTAAGTAAGGTATGTACATTTTTACATAATTTTGTTGCACTCTTAGTAGACTACATTATAATATAAACACAACTTTTAAATGCACTGGGAAACCAAAAGTTTATGTGACTTGCTCTATTGTGATATTCACTTTATTGTGGATGTCTGGAACTGAACCTGCAACATCTCTAAGGTATGCCTGTATATTCTATGACATGGATGATTCTCAGAAACGTTAAGTGTTAAAAGACAGTCATAAAATATCACATAATGTATGGTTTCAATCTTATGAAATGTCCAGGATAGCCGAACATATAGAAAGAGAAAAGTAGATTAATGGTTACCCTGGACTGCAATACAGGAGTTATTGCTAAGACACAGGGAGCCACTGCTAAAAGGTTTTCTTCTGGGATGTTGAAACACTAAAATTTATTGTGGTAATGATCCTACAACTTTGTGAATACACTAAGAATGCTTAAAATGTACATATTAAGTGCATGCATAGGCTTTTTTGATATATAAAGTATATATCGATAAAGTTGTTAATAAGAAAAAATGTGCAACCACAGTATGTATGTGTATATATATTTCTCTGGGTGCAATGGATATGGAAGAACACACGTTTAACTAAGGGTTTTACCAGGTCATAAGTAATTATATGAGATCCACTCTTTAATTACAGCAATTATTAAACACATTATAACTCCTAGACAGACTAGTATAACACCTCACCCTAATGTACTTTTACCTCAGTTCCTAGTACCTGATACATCATGTATGGCTTTCAACCAAAAATTATAAGGCATGTTAAAAGGCAAAGGAAGAAAACACACACAAAAAAATCAGTCTGAAATGAAAAAGCAAGCATCACAACCAGACTAGATATGGCAATATTTTGGAATTATCAGATGGAATTTAAAATTATTCTAACTCATATATTAAGGGCTCTAAAGGAACAAGAAAATAACATGCAAAAACAGATAAGAAATATAAATACAGAAATGGACACCCTAGTAAAGTATCAAATAAAATGTTTGTGTTTAATGGGCTCATCAGTAGACTAGACACAACTGAGAAATTTATCAACTGACACTTCCCAAACTAAAATACAAAGAGAAAAAAAAGAACAAATAAGGAGAACAGAACATTCAAGAACTGTGGGACAACTTCAGAGGTATAACACAGTTATAAATGGAATACCAGAAGAAGAAAAAGAACAGAAGAAATGCATAAAGTGATAATGACCAATTATTTCCAAACCACAGATCTAAGCCAAGAATAAATGCAAAAAAAAAAGTTTCATCTGAGTATATCCTATGCAAACTGCAGAAAACTGACGACAAAGAAAAAAAATCTTAAGCACCCAGGAGATGAGGGACACACATTGCCTGTGAAGAAACAAGGACATTAATTACAGTGGACTTCTTGTAAGAAATCATAAATTCAAGAGAGTTGAGTGAAATAGTTAAAGAGGTGAAAAAAAAAATAGCACCAACCTAGAATTCTCCATCCAGTGAAATTTTTCTTCAAAATTGTAGACAACAAAGATGTTCTCAAACAAAAACTGAAGAAATTTATTGCCCACAGACTTACTCCACATGAACTGTTAAAGGAAGGTTTTCAGGCACAGACAAATTATATCAGACTGAATCTTGGATCTACACAAAGAAATAAAGAGGATAGAAAATTGACAAAATGAAAGAATTTTTTGTAGTTGCATTAAAAGATAACTGTCTTAAAGTACAAAGAGTAGCTATATACTGTTTTTAACATATAAAAACTAAAAGGTTTAACATGATAGCACAGAGGACGAAGGAAGAAAATGGAAATAAAATGTAGGTCATTCAACTACACATAAACCAATATGATAATATTTCACAACAGACTGATTACATTTATATAGATAAATGATAGATAAATAAATAGATAGATAGATAGACATAGATATGGAACAACTAGAAAAGAGCTAGCAAAGTGGTAACATTTAATTGTATTAGTAGTTATATTTAGTGTGAATGCTCTAAATAGGCCAATTGTAAAATACCGATTATCTGAAAGAATACAAAAGTAAGACTCCACTATATGTTTTTTTCCAAGATACTCACTTTAATATCAAATAGATTAAAAGTAAAAGAATGGAGAAAGATAATGCCATGCAAACAGTGAACAAAAGAAGGTTAAGAATATTAATGTTAGATAATGTAAAGTAGACTTTATAATAAGGCATATTATCAGGGCTAATTAAGGATATTACAAGATTGTAAAAGTGAATTCTGTAAGAAGACATAACAATTCTTGATGTGTATACTCAATACAATATATCTTAAAAATAATTGAGGGAGGAAATGACAGAACTAAAAGGAGAAACAAGTAAATCTGTAATTACAGTTGGATAGTTCAACACTTCACTCTAAGTAATTGATAGAAAAAGTAGACAGAGAATCAGTATGAATATAGAAGACCTCAGTAACCCTATCAACCAATAAACCTACTTTAACGTTATAGAACACACTACCCAACAACAGAAAAATATACATTTTTTCAAATGTGCGTGCAACATACACTAAGGCCATATTTTGAGCCAGTAAACAAGCCTTAACAAATTTAAAAGAATACCAATCCTACAAGGCATATCTGTCTATAATTATAATAAAGTAGAAATTAATAACAGCTTGGATACCTCAAATTAAATAATAAATTAAATAATACATTTGTAAATAACTCATGGGTCAAAGGAGAAGTCAAAATAAATTAAAATATTTTGAGCTTAATAAAAATTTAAATACAGCATATCAAAATGTGTAATATATGGTTAAAGTAGTACTTAGATGGAAATTTATAACTTTAAGTGTTTATATTAGAGAAGACAAGTCTTAAATCAATAACCTAAGCTTCTCCCTTTAAAAAAAGCATACAAGGAAAAGAGAAGCAAATTAATACATGATTTTACGGCATATAATTCACAGTTTATATTTAACAGATTGCAGAATTCAAGGTCAATATACAAAAGTTGATAATATACCTATATATCACCATAAAAAATAGGAATTTAAATTTTAAAAAAATTTATAATAGTATTTAAAAATGAAATAGATATATAGCTAATGAAAGGAGTGTCTATATAATAAACACTACACACCATTAATGAAAGAAATCAATTTAGATATAAATAAAGGAAGAGTTATACTGTCTTTAAAGATAAAAAGACAATATTTTTAAGGTCCTAGTTCTCCATAATTGGCTCTATAGATTTAACACCAATCTTAACAAAAAAGCCAGGAATCTGTTTTTTACATATCAACAAACTGGTTCTAAAATTTCTGGGTATAGGTAAACTAATTAGAATATATTTTAATATAAAATATTATATTTATAATGGATTTCAAATTAGATAACCTAATCATTTATTGTACATATTTAAAGACAGTAGAGTTCAGCTGACCCTGAATGTTGAGCTACATATGTTCATGTACTTGTATATGTTTTTGTATTTATAAATGTATAATTTTGCCAAGTTCTAATTCTTGAAAACACTAATTTTCCCAAGTGCAGAAATTTCAGCTATGAATTTCAAATGTGAGATTTGGTGTAATACAAAAGGTCAGATGCCATAAAATCAGCATTTTTTTTACATTCAAAAATTTCAAACACAATTTTCTAGGCTCAGTAAACACGAAACTAGAGAGGCCGACTGTGCCTCAAACTTCTGTTTGAGATTTGTTGTTTATTTATATGTTTATTCATTTTAATGACATACGGTGGGCCTCAATGCAGGTTATACATCTGCAGGTTCAATCAACCAAGAATTGAAAATGTTAGAAGAAGAAGAAAGAGGAGGAAGAGGTGGAGGAGGAGGCAGAAGAGGAGGAGGCAGTGGCAAAAGAAAGAGGTAACAACTCAATAAAAAATAACACAAATACAAATATAGTATAATAACTCTTACATGGTATTAGATATTATAAGTAATCTAGAAATGATTTAAAGTAAACAGGACATTGTGCATAGGTTAGATGCAACTTCTGTGTCATTTTGTGTAACAGACTTGAGCATCCACAGACTTTGGTATGGTGGGTTGGGGATTGCGGGTTGGATTCTGGAACCAATCCCCCATGGATAAGTGAGAAGAGACTGTATTAAGTTGTGTCCTAGGAGATGCCTGGAATATTCTTTCTTCATCATATTCCTGGAGTTCCTCTGAGCTCTTAAAGAATTGCCATAACTGGAAGTCTTTTTTGAACTATATTTGTAGTTCAATTGGGATTACTCAATCAGCAAGCTCAAAATAACAAAGGTAGCTTAAAATGGGAGTTTACTGTCTCAGACAATATAAATTTCAAAGGAGGGGGTGGAACCAAGATGGCTGAATAGGAACAGCTCCAGTCTACAGCTCCAGCTCCCAGCGTGAGAGATGCAGAAGACGAATGATTTCTGCATTTCCAACTGAGATACCGGGTGCATCTCACTGGGGATTGTCAGACAGTGGGTGCAGGACAGTGGGTGCAGTGCACCGAGCCTGAGCCAAAGCAGGGCAAGGCATTGCCTCACCTGGAAAGCACAAGGGGATGGGGAATTCCCTTTCCTAGCCAAGGAAAGGGGTGACGGACGGCACCTGGAAAATCGGGTCACTCCCATCCTAATATTGTGCTTTTCCAACAGTCTTAGCAAATGGCACACCAGGAGATTATATCCCGTGCCTGGCTCGGAGGGTCCTACACCCACGGAGCCTCGCTCATTGCTAGCACAGCAGTCTGAGATCGAACTGCAAGGGGGCAGCGAGGCTGGGGGAGGGGCGCCCGCCATTGACCAGGCTTGAGTAGGTAAACAAAGCAGACCAGAAGCTCGAACTGGGTGGAGCCCACCGCAGCTCAAGGAGGCCTGCCTGCCTCTGTAGACTCCACCTCTGGGGGCAGGGCATAGCCAAACCAAAGGCAGCAGAAACCTCTGCAGACATAAATGCCCCTGTCTGACAGCTTTGAAGAGAGTAGCGGTTCTCCCAGCACGCAGCTGGAGATCTGAGAATGAACAGACTACATCCGCAAGTGGGTCCCTGACCCCTGAGTACCCTAACTAGGAGGCACCCCCCAGTAGGGGCAGACTGACACCTCACACGGCTGGGTACTCCTCTGAGACAAAACTTCCAGAGGAACAATCAGGCAGCAACATTTGCTGTTCACCAATATCCGCTGTTCTGAAGCCTCTGCTGCTGATACCCAGGCAAAGAGGGTCTGGACTGGACCTCCGGCAAACTCCAACAGACCTGCAGCTGAGGGTCCTGACTGTTAGAAGGAAAACTAACAAACAGAAAGGACATCCACACCAAAACCCCATCTGTATGTCACCATCATCAAAGACCAAAGGTAGATAAAACCACAAACATGGGGAAAAGACTGAGCAGAAAAACTGAAAAATCTAAAAATCAGAGCGCCTCTCCCCCTCCAAAGGAATGCAGCTCCTCACCAGCAATGGAACAAAGCTGGATGGAGAATGAATTTGACGAGTTGAGAGAAGAAGGTTTCAGATGATCAAACTACTCTGAGCTAAAGAAGGAAGTTTGAACCCATGGCAAAGAAGTTAAAAACCTCAAAAACAGATTAGACGACTGGTTAACTAGGATAACCAACGCAGAGAAGTCCTTAAAGGACCTGATGGAGCTGAAAACCATGGCATGAGAACTACGTGACAAATGAACAAGCCTCAGTAGCCGATTTCATCAACTGGAAGAAAGGGTATAAGTGATGGAAGATCAAATGAAAGAAAAGAAGCATGAAGAGAAGTTTAGAGAAAAAAGAATAAAAAGAAATGAACAAAGCCTCCAAGAAATATGGGACTATGTGAAAAGACCAAATCTACGTCTGATCGGTGTACCTGAAAGTGACGGGGAGAATGGAACCAAGTTGGAAAACACTCTGTAGGATATTATCCAGGAGAACTTCCCCAATCTAGCAAGGGAGGCCAACATTCAAATACAGACAAGCAAATACTGAGAGATTTTGTCACCACCAAACCTGCCTTACAAGAGCTCCTGAAGGAAGCACTAAACATGGAAAGGAACAACCAGTATGAGCCACTGCAAAAACATGCCAAATAGTAAAGACCATCGAGGCTAGGAAGAAACTGCATCAACTAATGAGCAAAATAACCAGCTAACATCATAATGACAGGATCAAATTCAAATATAACCATATTAACCTTAAATGTAAATGGGCTAAATGCTCCAATTAAAAGACACAGACTGGCAAATTGGATAAAGAGTCAAGACCCAACAGTGTGCTCTATTCAGGAAACCCATCTCACGTGCAGCGACACACATAGGCCCAAAATAAAGGGATGGGAGGAAGATCTACCAAGCAAATGGAAAAAAAAAAGCAGGGGTTGCAATCCTAGTCTCTGATAAAATAGACTTTAAACCAACAAAGATCAAAAGAGACAAAGACGGCCATTACAGAATGGTAAAGGGATCAATTCAACAAGAAGAGCTAACTATCCTAAATATATATGCACCCAATACAGGAGCACCCAGATTCATAAAGCAAGTCCTTAGAGACCTACAAAGAGACTTAGACTACCACACAACAATAATGAGAGACTATAACACCCCACTGTCAACATTAGACAGATCAACAAGACAGAAATTTAACAAGGATATCCAGGAATTGAACTCAGCTCTGCACCAAGGGGACCTAATAGACATCTACAGAACTCTCCACCCCAAATCAACAGAATATACATTCTTTTCAGCACCACACCACACCTATTCCAAAATTGACCACATAGTTGGAAGTAAAGCACTCCTCATCAAATGCAAAAGAACAGAAATTATAACAAACTGTCTCTCAGACCACAGTGCAATCAAACTAGAACCCAGGATTAAAAAACTCACTAAAAATCGCTCAACTACATGGTAACTGAACAAACTGCTCCTGAATGACTACTGGGTACATAGCGAAATGAAGGCAGAAATAAAGATGTTCTTTGAAACCAACGAGAACAAAGACACAACATACCAGAATCTCTGGGACACATTCAAAGCAGTGTGTACAGGGAAATTTATAGCACTAAATGCCCACAAGTGAAAGCAGGAAAGATCAAATATTGACATCCTAACATCACAATTAAAAGAACTAGAGAAGCAAGAGAAATCACATTCAAAAGCTAGCAGAAGGCAAGAAATAACTAAGATCAGAGCAGAACTGAAGGAAATAGAAACACAAAAGACCCTTCAAAAAATCAGTGAATCCAGGATCTGGTTTTTTGAAGAGATCAACAAAATTGATAGACCACTAGCAATACTAATGAAGAAAAGAGAGAAGAATCAAATAGACGCAATACAAAATGATAGAGGGGATGTCACCACCGATCCCACAGAAATACAAACTACCATCAGATAATACTATAAACACCTCTATGCAAATAAACTACAAAATCTGGAAGAAATGGATAAATTCCTCGACACATACACCCTCCCAAGACTAAACCAGGAAGAAGTTGAATCTCTGAATAGACCAATAACGGGCTCTGAAATTGAGGCAATAATTAATAGCTTACCAACCAAAAAAAGTCCAGGACCAGATGGATTCACAGCCGAATTCTACCAGAGGTACAAGGAGGAGCTGGCACCATTCCTTCTGAAACTATTCCAATCAACAGAAAAAGAGGGAATCCTCCCTAACTCATTTTATGAGGCCACCATCATCCTGATACCAAAGCCTGGCAGAGACACAACAAAAAAAGAGAATTTCAGACCAATATCCCTGATGAATATTGATGCAAAAATCCTCAATAAAATACTGGGAAACCGAATCCAGTTGCACATCAAAAAGCTTATCCACCATGACCAAGTGGGCTTCATCCCTGGGATGCAAGGCTGGTTCAACATATGAAAATCAATAAATGTAATCCAGCATATAAACAGAACCAATGACAAAAACCACATGATTATCTCAATAGATGCAGAAAGGGCCTTTGACAAAATTCAACAGCCCTTCATGCTAAAACTCTCAATAACTTAGGTATTGATGGGATGTATCTCAAAATAATAAGAGCTATTTATGACAAACCCGCACCCAATATCATACTGAATGGGCAAAAACTGGAAGCACTCCCTTTGAAAACTGGCACAAGGCAGGGATGCCCTCTCTCACCACTCCTATTCAACATAGTGTTGGAAGTTCTGGCCAGGGCAATCAGGCAGGAGAAAGAAATAAAGCGTATTCAATTAGGAAAAGAGGAAATCAAATTGTCCCTGTTTGCAGATGACATGATTGTATATCTAGAAAACCCCATCGTCTCAGCCCAAAATCTCCTTAAGCTGATAGGCAACTTCAGCAAAGTCTCAGGATACAAAATCAATGTGCAAAAATCACAAGCATTCTTATACACAAATAAAAGACAAACAGAGAGCCAAATCATGAGTGAACTCCCATTCACAACTGCTTCAAAGAGAATAAAATACCTAGGAATCCAACTTACAAGGGATGTGAAGGACCTCTTCAAGGAGAACTACAAACCACTGCTCAATGAAATAAAAGAGGATACAAACAAATGGAAGAACATTCCATGCTCATGGGTAGGAAGAATCAATTTTGTAAAAACGGCCATACTGCCCAAGGTAATTTATAGATTCAATGCTATCCCCGTCAAGCTACCAATGACTTTCTTCACAGAATTGGAAAAAACTACTTTAAAGTTCATATGGAACCAAAAAAGGGCCCGCATTGCCAAGTCAATCCTAAGCCAAAAGAACAAAGCTGGAGTCATCACACTACCTGACTTCAAACCATACTACAAGACTACAGTAACCAAAACAGCATGGTGCTGGTACCAAAACAGAGATATACACCAATGGAACAGGACAGAGCCCTCAGAAATAATGCCACACATCTACAACTATCTGATCTTTGACAAACCTGAGAAAAACAAGAAATGGGGAAAGATTCCCTATTTAATAAACAGTGCTGGGAAAACTAGCTAGCCATATGTAGAAAACTGAAACTGGATCCCTTCCTTACATCTTATACAAAAATTAATTCAAGATGGATTGAAGACTTAAATGTTAGACCTAAAACCATAAAAACCCTAGAACAAAACCTAGGCAATACCATTCAGGACATAGGCATGTTCAAGGACTTCATGTCTAAAACACTAAAAGCAATGGCAACAAAAGCCAAAATTGACAAATGGGATCTAATTAAACTAACGAGCTTCTGCACAGCAAAAGAAACCATCATCAGAGTGAACAGGCAACCTACAGAATGGGAGAAAACTTTTGCAACCTACTCATCTGACAAAGGGCTAATATCCAGAATCTACAATGAACTCCAACAAATTTACAAGAAAAAAACAAACAACCCCATCAAAAATTGGGTGAAGGATATGAACAGACACTTCTCAAAAGAAGACATTTATGCAGCCAAAAGACACATGAAAAAATGCTCATCATCACTGGCCACCAGAGAAATGCAAATCAAAACCACAATGAGATACCATCTCACACCAGTTAGAATGGCAATCATTAAAAAATCAGGAAACAACAGGTGCTGGAGAGGATGTGGAGAAATAGGAACACTTTTACACTGTTGGTGGGACTGTAAACTAGTTCAACCATTGTGGAAGTCAGTGTGGCAATTCCTCAGGGATCTAGAACTAGAAATACCATTTGACCCAGCCATCCCATCACTGGGTATATACCCAAAGGATTATAAATCATGCTGCTATAAAGACACATGCACATGTATGTTTATTGTGGCACTATTCACAATAGCAAAGACTTGGAACCAACCCAAATGTCCAACAATGATAGACTGGATTAAGAAAGTGTGGCACATATACACCATGGAATACTATGCAGGCGTAAAAAATGATGAGTTCATGTCATTTGTAGGGACATGGATGAAGCTGGAAACCATCATTCTCAGTAAACTATCCCAAGGACAAAAAACCAAACACCACATGTTCTCACTCATAGGTGGGAATTGAACAATGAGAACACATGGACACAGGAAGGGAACATCACACCCAGGGGCCTGTTGTGGCGTGGGGGTTGGGGGGAGGGATAGCATTAGGAGATATACCTAATGTTAAATGACGAGTTAATAGGTGCAGCACACCAACATGGCACATGCATATATATGTAACAAACCTGCACGTTGTGCACATGTACCCTAAAACTTAAAGTATACTTAAAAAAAAAAGAAAAAAATAATAAAACAGGATCAAGAGGGCAAAGACTCTCTCCAAGCTGTCCCTGAAGAAGAAATCTGCCTTGGGTACAATGAAATAAATTCTGCCACCAATAATATGAGTTTCAACAGAGAATCCTGAGCTCCCGGTAAGATGCAGGCTGGTTGCAGTGGCTCACACCTGTAGTCTCGGCACTTTGGGAGGCCAAGGCAGGCGGATCACTTGAGGTCAGGAGTTCAAGACCAGCCTGGCCAACATGGTGAAACCCCTTATCTCTACCAAAAGTACAAAAATTAGCCCGGTACAGTGGTAGGTGCCTGTAATCCCAGCTACTCGGGAGGCTGAGGCAAGAGAATTTCTTGAACCCGGGAGGTGGAGGTTGTGATGAGCCGATATAGTGCCACTGCACTCCACCCTGGATGACGATGCAAGACTCTGTCTTAAAAAAAAAAAAAAAATCTAAACCTAGGAGACACCTTGAATGCACCTTGTGAAGTCCTGAGCAAAGGGTCCAGCTGAGCTGTACCTGGATTCCTGACTCAAGGGGAACATGTGAAAACAAATATATGTCGTTTTAACATTCTAAATCTGTGGTCATTTTGTACTCAGCAGTATGAAATAAATGCACTAAATATTGCTTTAAAAGTTTTTATAAATGTGATAGCTTCTTAGATATTTCTCTGTCCCATTATTGTTTTCCCCATAGGAGGTAGATTTTCTCCTTAATAAATTTTGTATCTACCTCTCAAAAAAATATTAATTTCAAAGGTAGATGGTCATTCCAAAATTGGTTCAGGGCTCAAGAGTCTTAAAACTCTGAATTTGCTTCTCTTGTCTTTTGGTGTTTCTTTTAGGATCATATAGATAACTACAGTAATTTTGCTAACAACTGCAATCCAATCAGAAGAAGTGGAATAAAACAATTCTGTAATTCTTTTTATCCATCTCATTCTTTCATCAAGAAGGCACATCTTTCTCAGAAATTTCCTTTCAGGTTTCAGTCATAACAGAGTATTTGCCCACTTGCAAAATATAAGGAAAGTGGAATTATTATAGTTATTTACACTACTAATAATTTATTTTGGGGTTGTCTATGGGTCAGCATTCCCTGCAAAGTGACCCATGCCCAAACAAAATTTGGGTTCTGGAAAAAGTAAAAAGGAAAAAAATAAGGTGGTAGATAACCAGCAGTGATTATCAGCTATAAATATCAATTATAATCTTTGATTTTTATATCTTCTCTTTCTTCTTGTCAGTGTGTACACTCTTTAAATCAGGCACCGTTTCTTACTGTTTAGGGGCCTGCAATGCCTAGTAAAATGCTCGCCAGATAGAAGGTACTTAGTACATATTTACTGACTATTAAATAGATGAATGTGGCTACACTGAAAATATGTACATTGTACTCATGTGCAAATCAAAGTAATTTTATTGTTAAATGTAACTTAAGAATCTTTCTTATAAATGTTCATACCAGCTGATACCAAAAAAGAAAAATTCTTAAATTTGCAAATTAAAAATAACAATGTCTTTTGAATAATCATTTTCTTCAGGGATTTTTTTTTCCACATTCTCTGATCTAACGTGACATCTAGAGGAAATGGGGAAACTCCTGGATACACATGTGGGTTCTTTCTAGTCTCTGTTGTAGGAAGGCTGGTCTTGGCTTATTCTTGGCACCAGCACTTCTCTGTTGAGATAAAATGGATACTGCAACGTTCTTTTGGATGATGTGCTGTTGACCATTGCCAAAGTCTGTGGCCCTTGCCCTAGATCAGAAAATATCCTTAGCTCAGTGGTGGCTCATTATTACCCCAAGTTTCCTCTAATCATCTGGTCCCCTTATCACCCGTGCCATCCTAGGAGGGAGGCAGAAACTAGAGGCTGCTTCTCCATACCATGCAGCTCTATAAAGTCACTCTGTGTCATCAACTTCTCTCAGCCATTGGTCAACTACCATATGGGTAACATTATACTATCACATCATATTGAATGTGAAACCTAGCTAATATACACATATTTTTCCACTTTACATCTTGAGTATCAAGGAAGACACACATGACTACACACACACATACACGTCACTACCACCACCACCAACAGCAATACCAAGAACAACCTCAGATATTCCTGAAGTTTCACAGTGGGAGGAAGGGTACTTAATAACCCACCCACGTGCTTACCCAGGTCAACTCACTCCCTCTTCTGACTGCAAGTTTTTTTTTTTCTTTTCTGTTTTTTTCTCTGTGATGGAAACTTTTTTTCATTGCAGTCTAAGTTCTGTACCTATGACTTATAATAAAACATTATGTTCTATTCCCCAAAATTTGCTCTTAATATTTAAAGGAGATTTTTGAAATTTAGAAGTTTCTCTTAACTTTCAAAAAGCACAGTTTTCTAGATTGCTATTTCATGGGATATATTCCTCCTTTTCTGAAAACATTGAAACTCATTGATTCAGTTAATAAAGAAGAGTAGGGAAATCATAATTTTTAAAATAAATGAAAAATATATGTTTTAATCTTTTCAAATTTATTGAACTCATTGCAGAATACATGAATGAAAATTTTGCTATATGGTGTGGGGTTAAAAGCATGAACAAGATAAAAACACCACCCACAAAGCCATTACAATCCAGTAATATAAGTAAATATAATATATAATCTAATAAAGGTCAGTTTATAAAGAGTGTTTGGGGAGTTTAGAAAAATATATTAGTGACATATTTTTGTTACCTGTTATTGGTACAATACTCATGAGCTAGTGAATCAAGCACCTTGTTCATATTTTGGCCATTCAGAGGATAGACAACATTTTCATTAAGAAAGTAAAATTTGAAGTGGACCCCAAAGTAAAGATGCAAAAAAGTCAGTAATTTCTGGCATGGAGGAAAATACAAACAAAGGCATCACTGTGGACTTACACATGCATATTTGGGACCAAAAACAAGATGGATGGATTTGATGGAATCATTAGAGCATAAATAGGACAATGTGAAATAACAGCAGGATAAGCAGTCGAGGATAAATAAAAGAAACTGTTTACAACAGATTTTAGAGCCTGGACTTTACTCTGCAAGCAATAGTAAAGAAAATTTTCTAACAATGTGGTAATTTTCTCAGAGCTGATCCTTAAACATGTTACTCTGATGTTGCAATGAACAATGACTTGGATAAACCTTGAGACTAAAAAGCACTTATAAGGCAGATTCTGAGTCTAAATTAGGAAAAATGCAATGGCATTAGAAGAAAATATTGATATAGGCTGTTGTTGATATAAAATTATCCAGATTTTACCAACCAGAGAGGTTAGTGTGGAATAGGGGATAGATGAGAATGGAGTTAAGGGTGACTCCAATATGTCCAGCCCAAGTAGCTAGAAGTATGATAGAATTTACCTATGAACACAAGTTAACATGTTAGATACTTCAGTGGGATCAAAAGTTTACTCTCATATTCATTCATGAATCCCAGAAGATTATAATTTAGAACATACATAAATTCTAATGAAAATATTGTGCAAGAAGCAAGAGTGTAAGACAGAATGTGTTCAGAGTTAATGGCAGAGGTCTAAGGAAACTAAGTTAATTCAAATTGTGTCAAATTGTTTTTCTGTTTGTTACAAGATTGATAAAGAGTGGAAAATATAGAAAAGTTATTGGTGATTGAAGAGACTTTAAGAAAGGAAAGGGAATAGACATAAGCTCCCAACAACTTTGCCTGCATACTTTTTAGGATTTTTCTCTGGATGCTTCCCTGGAGCTTAGCCCTTTAGTTGATTGGCATAAAAAGAAGGGAAAATATGCCTGATTCAACTAAGGAAAGAGGAAATGATGCACTTACAAATGAGCCTTAAATACAAATTGCCTGTAAAAGGCCATTTTTGTTGTGTCTTCAATAGGCTCATACCTTGAAGGTGAAATCTGCTTAACTAGGTGGGGGGAGGGGGGCTCAATAATTCCTCTCATCTCAGGGAAGACTACAAGGTCTACCTAAAGAACATGATTAATAATAAAATGGACGTCTCTTTCTCTCTCATGACCTGCTTTGCTTTCTCATCCTCATGATCAAATCTAGTCACCTGAGCCCAACCCATGGACTTCTCATTTTCTGTTACCTATACTTGCTATAATGTTCATGCATTAGTAAGGCAAGTATTTTTTTTTTTGCATTTTTTTGACATAATGTTAACCCTTGAATTGGAGTTACCTGTGTGACTGTTTGCTTCATCCATTATTTTGTGACCAACCAGGGGATAGGACCTGGGGACTGCGTGGAAGAATAACTAAACATTGACAATATCACAAACATATATAAATGAATACTAACATTGTATTTTCTGACTACATAGCAGAGGTTTTAAGAAAATGATATAAATCACTCTATTTGTATAACGCAATAATAGGTAACTATCTATTCTATAAATCAGGGTTTTTTTCAAGGTAAGAATGTTACTGTAAAGGCATAACCCTATCCATCTGGGAAATTAGAGAAACTTCGGGTCAAAAATTGCTGTGATCTTTGAACACTTAACATGTTCTATTTGGAGAGCAATTTTACCCAAGGAAGGCAAGTCTAGCAGTTTGTTAGAATAGGTAAGATTTATGTCATGGTAAACAATAACCTCCATATCTCAATAGCCTAAAAAAGCAGAGGTTTACTTTTCACTCATGTACATTACATGGTTACTGACTACAGTAAATAGAAATACATTTTTCAATTGCTGAAGATTTTGCAGGTAATTCTGAGGTTTAGGGTGGGAAAATCCAGTTCACTATAGGGCACTGGAATGGTTGCATATGTTTCTCACATCCCTATTATCTATTCTATAACATAGATATATAGTGATCATTGAGGAATTATACTAAGCAGCTTGCAACGTTTCTTGTTTAATGCTTACAATAACATCCTGAGAAACTATTCAAGTAAAATCATATGGCTTATCCAATATCTCAGTGCATAAGTAGTAGGTTTGGACTATGAATAATAAGCACAAAGCATGAATGTACATTGATTATTATTCTTATGAGATCATAAATTCACAGGGGCAGATATTGTTACCAGCTGTCTTTGTAATAACTATAGTATCTAACAAAAGAGATCAACAACTAATTTCTGAACAAATAAATTAATGTATAATTAAATAATGTGAAGAATTTTCTATTATAGGATAAATCGGCATAGATAGATAGATAAGCTATAAGACTTTCTCTACAGTTGCAAGGCCCACATATAATATTATAAGTATAAATAAAAAACATGAAATGGTATTATACATTTTAAAAATGATGTTTTCATTATCTTGGAGAAATTATGCAAAGCACAAATGTTTAACAGCAAAGACCCATGGAACTAATAACCTAGAAAGAATCGCTGACCCTAGACAAGCCGGGAGAAGAGATAATCCTATGGGTTATGCAGTGGCTGCTCTTTAATGAGTAGGCCTGATGAGACAACTTATGAAGCTCTAGCTGTAGACTGAGAAATCTGAAGCCAGAAATAACCTAAGGCACCTTTGGTCCCTATTTGAAGTCGAAAGCTATCTATTTTTCAATAGCAGAGTGTGTACCAAAAAAAAAAAAGATAACAAGCTAATTAAGCAAAAGAAGGGATTAATTGAACAGAAATGATCAAAGTAGAGTTTGGCTAAGCTCTTGGTGAAGAAAGGAAAGGAGAGTAGTCATTACTAAGAATAATAATTACCTTGCCTTCTATAGCAGAGAGCAAAGGAGCAAGTTTTGTGACATGCTATTAAACTTTTAATAATGAGCATAACTTGATTGTGTAATATTACCCAGGTAACATTTTAACTTTTTAGGAGCATCTTCAAATATCCCTGGAAAGGCTAGATAAATATTTTCTATACAAAAGATGTTTCTCTGAACCCCAAAACCACTATACAGTACACTAAAATATAAACCACTTCAACTCTCACTTCAGAGTATGGCTCTGAATTGTAACACGTTTCTTTGCTGATCACAAGATTCACAGAATTTATATTAAACATAGAATTATATTAAACATTTAGCTAGAGTACTATATGGAACAATTCCAGCTTCTCTGACCTCAACATCTTACAGATTCTTCTGTAATCCCATGGTTGGTATTTGTTTTGATATGTCCCATTGTGGCCTCCAACATATCCCCCTTTTCTGCATCAATTAAATACAATACAAGCTGAACTCTTACCTAGGCATCACATTGTCATATCCAGAGATTAAAGATTTAGGATCTGGGAAACAAAAACTTAATTTTCCTCCTAACATCCTCTGGATTATATCCAAAGTCACAAAGATTCATGCTTGCTGCATTAGCGTTTAAATAATGTTAAGAAATGCCTCACTATCATATATGTCCTTAAATGTCCTTACACCTGTACTAAGGTAGTCCAATGAACCCTAGCATGTAAAATTGCCTTTCAAAGAAATTATGATTTGTTAGAAAACAAAACTAGCACACAAAGAAACAATAACAAGCATTATAATTACAGACAAGCCATTCTTCTTAAGTTGGATAGCAGAGTGGGATAAACATGGGCCAAGGTTGGAAGTCCAACTCTGCCAGTTACTAACTTCATAACATTGATCAAAACCCTCAACTTATCTCTGTTTCAGCCTCTGTGCTTTATAAATGAAGACTGTAACTTGTGGTGTTTCCAGTGGTTGCAATAGGGGCCGGTGTGACATCCACAATTTTTCTCCTAGCCTCCTAGAAATTCTGCAAGTTACCTAAGGTACAAATTACAATGACATTAAAAATGACAAAACAGAAAAAAATATGAATATGAGAGGCTTTTTAAAGGAAATGTTATAGGGTATGATGACTAAAAAGGGTCTTTATTTAATAAAAATGTTAGCTTAAAACCAATTACTCTAAGTCGAGGAGAATAGAGACTCACTGACAAAGGCAGAGAAGTTAGGGATAAGGACTGGCAAGTGAAGATTAAGGAAGGAAGAAGGAATGTTCCAATATGAACTTGTTTAATCTAAATAGATTTAATTTAAAATATGACATGAAAGTTTAGGAAGCTATTTACTAAAGGGAGTTAAACCTGTGTATAGCCATTTCTTTGAGATGAAACAACACCATAATAGAAATTGCTACCACATAACTATTCTTCCTGAAAGTAGAATCGATAGTATACTATTTCCATCTACATCATAGCATATCCCTAGTTAGGTAAGTTCATTTTTCTTTTTAAAACTGACATTAATTGTCCTCAACTCAACTTTAGAAACACAATACATTAAGAGAAAGAGAATCTAAATATTGTTCAAATACATAAGCCACCTCTTGCTCATACTCACAAAGCAGTAAATTTTTGTGAAATGCTTTAGCTTAATGGTGGCATATAAAAATAAAAATGTACATTATCACTATTGAGTTTGAATGCAGCACATTCATTCATTAGAGCTTCATGCCACTAAATTCAATCTAGTGTGTGGTACAGGAACACAATATGTAATATTTAATACATGAGATGCAAGGCAGATAAAAGGACTTGAGAAATAACTGGATTCTGCCAGCTAAAATATGCATCCAGGCTTTCTGCTTCCTGTGTTGGCATTCAAATTACAGTAAGGGCTAAGAAAAAGTTACTCTTTGATCACCCACCCAAGAACTCATTTTTACTCATAACTAGATGTTGGGATGTTGTGAAACTGGAATTTTAGAAATGTCAATACTGCTGCTAATCAAGATGCTGAATTCATATTGATCTACTTAAAATAGAGATTTTTCATTATAATATGCCCTTTCAGAAACCCATCAAACCATGGTTTTAAAAAACTGAGAGCCAAGTCATATGTATATTTGTGTGTGTGTGTGTATAATTTATATATGTAATTTGATGCCCTGAGTACCTGATATGGTTTGGTTGTGTCCCCACCCAAAACTCAACTTGAATTATATCTCCCAGAATTCCCACATGTTGTAGGAGGGACCCAAGGGGAGGTAATTGAATCATGGAGACCAGTCCTTCCTGTGCTATTCTCATGATAATGAATTAAGTCTCGAGAGATCTGATGGGTTTATCAGGGGTTTCCACTTTTGCTTCTTCCTCATTTTCTCTTGCGGCTGCCATGTAAGAAGTGCCTTTCACCTCCCACCATGATTCCACGTGTGGAACTGTAAGTCCAATTAAATCTCTTTTTTGTTTCCCAGCCTCGGGTATTTCTTTGTCAGCAGTGTGAAAACAGACTAATACAGTAAATTGGTACCAGAAGTAGAATGTTGCTTGAAATATACCCAAAAATGTGGAAGTGACTTTGGAACTGGGTAACAGGCAGAGGTTAGAACAGTTTGGAGGGCTCAGAAGAAGACAGGAAAATGTGGGAAAGTTTGGAACTTCCTAGACACTTGTTGAATGGCTTTGACAAAAGTGCTGATAGTGATATGAACAATAAGGTCCAGGATGAGGTGGTCTGTCTCAGATGGAGATGAGGAACTTGTTGGGAACTGGAGCAAAGGTGACTCTTACTATGTTTTAGCAAAGAGACTGGCAGCATTTTGCCCCTCCCTAGAGATTCGTGGAACTTTGCACTTGAGAGAGATAATTTAGGGTATCTGGCAGAAGAAATTTCTAAGCAGCAAAGCATTCAAAAGGTGACTTGGGTGCTGTTAAAAGCATTCTGTTTTAAAAGGGAAACAGAGCATAAAAGTTCAGAAAATTTGCAGCCTGATGATGCAGTAGAAAAGAAAAACCCATTTTTCGAGGAGATATTCAAGCCAGCTGCAGAAATTTGCATAAGTAGCAAGGACCCTATTGTTAATCCCCAAGATTATGGTGAAAATGTCTCCAGGCCATATCAGAGACCTTCAAGGCAGCCCCTCCCATCACAGGTCTGGAGTGCCAGGAGGAAAAAGTGTTTTTGTGGGCTGGGCCCAGGGTTCTCATGCTGTGTGCAGCCAAAGCACTTGGTGCCCTGTGTCTCAACAGCCCAACTGTGGCCGAAAGGGGCCAACGTAGAGCTCAGGCTGTGGCTTCAAAGGATGGAAGCCCCAAGCCTTGGCAGCTTCCAAGCTTCCAGGTGTTGAGCCTGTGGGTGCACAGAAGTCAGGAACTAAGGTTTGGGAACCTCTGCCTAAATATCAGAAGATGTATGGAGATGCCTGGATGCCCAGGCAAAAGTTTGCTGCAGGGGTGGGGCCCTCATGGAGAACTTTGATAAACCAGTGCAGAAGGGAAATGTGGGGTTGAAGCCCTCACACAGAGTCCCTACTGGGGCACTGCCTAGGGGGGCTGTGAGAAGAGGGCCACCATCCTCCAGACCCCAGAATGGTAGATCCACCAACAGCTTGCACTGTGCACCTGGAAAAGCCACAGACACTCAATGCCAGCCCATGAAAGCAGCCAGGAGGGAGGCTATACCCTGCAAAGCCACAGCGGTGGAACTGCCCAAGACCATGAGAACCTACCTCTTGCATCATTGTGACCTGGATGTGAGACCTGCAGTCAAAGGAGATCATTGTAGAGCTTTAAAATTTGACTGCCCCAGTGGATTTCGGACTTGCATGGGTCCTGTAACCCCTTTGTTTTAGCCAATTTATCTGATTTGGAATGGCTGTATTCACCCTATACCTGTACCCCCATTTTATCTAGGAAGTAACTAGCTTGCTTTTGATTTTATATAGACTCCTAGGCAGAAGGGACTTGCCTTGTCTCAGATGAGTCTTTGGACTGTGGACTTTTGGGTTAATGCTGAAATGAGTTAAGGCTTTAGGCAACTGTTGGAAAGGCATGGTTGGTTTTGAAATGTGAGGACATGAGATTTGGAGGGGCCAGGGTAGAATGATATGGTTTGGTTGTATCCCCACCCAAATCTCAACTTGAATTTTATCTCCCAGGATTCCCATGTGTTGTGGGAGGGACCCAAGAGGAGGTAATTGAATCATGGGGACTGGTCTTTCCTGTGGTATTCTTGCGATAGTGAATTAAGTGTCATGACATCTGATGAGTTTATCAGGGGTTTCTTTTGCTTCTTCCTCATTTTCTCTTGCTGCTGTCATGTAAGAAGTGCCTTTCACCTCCCACCATGAGGCCTCCCCAGCCATGTGGAACTGTAAGTCCAATTAAACCTCTTTTTCTTCCCAGGCTGGAGTATGTCTTTGTCAGCAGAGTGAAAACAGACTAATGTGGTATCTTCTAAATGTAATTATCACCTCCCTCCAGTGACATACAAAATCATATTTTTTTTTCATTTTTTAGTGAACTACCTAATCATGAATTGGGAGATGACATGATTATGGGGAAAAGCCACAGAATTAACTTTAAGATTCTGGATCTCTGTCCTTGATCTGATGCTTATTTGGTCTATTTATTCACAGTCAAAGTTTCTTGGGGGATTAGAAGGGGACAAATATTTGCATCATTCAATTAAAAATATAGTTAGGGGAGTTGAGGGTCACTCAGGGTCAAAACAGATACTTTCTGGCCATTTTGATTAGCACTTTGTTTTTAGAACATTGCCTCGAACAAAGTAGCTGTGATTTCAGCCAAATATTTTTCTGCGTGTCTTGAAATAAATTCTTATCTTCCTGCAGTACTTTATGGTTTTCAGACACATTGTTTTATTTGTTCCACAATGCAGCACTAACAGCTAAGAAAGATAATAAATGCTTTCAGTCTTTTCCTTCAGCTGGGGTGTACCTGGTAACAAGTAACTCATCTTCTCTCCTTACATTAGTTTCTTCATTAACAGTGTTTAATCCAATCTGGTAGAAATGCAATAACAGGATACATTAAGTGCTATTTACCATATTGATGTCTTTTTGCCTACACTGCCTCCCACCCCTCAATCTATCTTGGATTTTTAGAGTCTATTGCATATTTTGTCTGATAAATTTCTTTTCTCCCTTAGCTTCCTAATTATTTTCCTAGAGCTCTATTAGAAAACTGATAAAAAGAAAAGAGATGCTATAGCTTCTGTGGGCATAGGAATGGCAATTCTGCCTTGGGCCACCATAGGCAATAGAATTAGGCTAACCCAAAGTTCTGTTATCCTCTTGACTCATTTTAAATGTTAGAAATATTGAGCCTTTGTTTA
This sequence comes from Homo sapiens, assembly GCF_000001405.40. Classification (NCBI taxonomy): domain Eukaryota; kingdom Metazoa; phylum Chordata; class Mammalia; order Primates; family Hominidae; genus Homo; species Homo sapiens. The sequence continues at coordinate 35,783,326 of NC_000002.12, forward strand.
TTATGAATAAATCTGTGCTCATGGCTGCTTTCATTTTCAACATTTTTGATAAAAGCTTTTGTAAACTCTATGATTTAAACCTAAAAAAGAGAAAATAATTTGGTGAAAATAATGTGACTTATTCATTATCCAGTAGATAAGAAATTAGTATCTTATCTCTAAATCCACATAGAATTAGACATGGGAATCTGATATGAAAAGGAACTTCTCTATGTATTTATTCATTCATAGAAGTGGCTATCAATCATTCATTATTCAACAAACAAGAACTAAGCTCCTATTATATAAAACACACCTTGTCTCTTTTTACATTGTCAAGTGGGGGAAGAATTATAGGAGTGTATGTTTGGAAGTGGAAAAATTCCACTTCCAAGGACAAATTAAAAACTAGCTGTAATAAAAGGTTGTATCGAATATCTTGTTTGTCTCTCCAAACCCACTTTCCCCCTTACTTACCCTGCTGTTAGCCTCAGGAAGTTGACCTACATGGATACATTCCTAGGCTGCCGGCTGGGTTTGACCAATAGGGAGGCTCCTGAGGGTATGAACAGAGTGAGTCAGGTGTTTACTTTTGCCAATTTTTCTTCCTCCTTGCCCTCATTTAGCTCCATCTCTCTATCAATGACTACCTCCTTGCCCTCATTTAGCTCCATCTCTCTATCGATGACTACAGCACCATCATGTGGCTGTCTCCTAAAGCTCTCGATCTGGCAAATTCTTCCTGCCTTTGCTTGTTCGCTCAAAGAAATAGAAACTCAGCTACTGCTGTTCCTAGCCCTAAGGCACCATGCTATCCCTTGTTAGCTTCCGTAAACCCTTCTGTGGCAGTTTAAAACATGTGCAAATCTTTTGTCACTTCTCCTATTGATTGGTGATGGGTAGGACACTTCTACCTGAATCTGGGCTGACCTTAGAGACTTGTTCATAACTTATTCATAACTAATGAATACAGCAGAACCAGGATTCTGTGCCTTCCAAGGCTATCTCATAAGGACCATTCTACTTCTGCTTTACTTGTTAGGACACTTGTGCTTGGAGCCCTACAAGGCCATATAAAAACCTCCGCTAACCTGTGGAAAGCTCCTGTGATGAAGCCCAGCCAAGCCACATGGAAAGACCACATGTATGTGCTCCAGGCAATAGCTCTACCACAAATGTAGACATGTGAATAAAGATGCCTTCCAATGAATCTAATCCCACCCATCAAGGTTATCTCCCCAACGTTAAATCCTCAGACATCATGGAGCAGAAAAGAATCAATCTCTGTGCCTTTCTCTAATTCCTGACCCACAGAATCCCTGGGTATAATAAAATGGTTATTATTTTATGTCACTAAGTTTAGGATGGTCTGTTACACAGAGATGTGGTTCAGAGCACCTACACACGTCTTTGTAAACAGTCCTTTTATTCAATTCTTCTCTAATTGCCCAATTTGAGTGGACTGCCTGTTTGATAGAATCTTGAGGATACAAAAAAATTCCAAGTGTCATATGAGGGGTATGAACAAACTCCTATAGGAGTTAGAAGATAATTCACTAGTTGGCATAATCAGGAAATTCTCCACATGTTTGACTTTGCAGGTTATCAATAACATCTCTTGAATTTTGCTGAATGAGGAAGTGAGATTTTTACTAGGCCTTGAGAAACAGCTGTGATTAGGATGGGATGATATGAGAAAGTGTACTAATGTAGGCAGAAAGAATAGTAAAATAAACAGCACAACAGCAAGAACCTGCACTTAAATAATGAATTTCATAATAGAACAGTCAAGCGGGCACTTAGGCTTCACCCTGCCACCAGGGTGACTTCTCTACATATTTTTCAGTCTTTTCCCTTAGTGCTCAGGTGAAAATGCAAAGTTCGTAACATTGCATTCTAAATCCTCCTGGATTTATCTGCCTTTCTGCCCTCCTCTTTTCTTACCAGGTGTCCCATTCCCACCTGTACTGTAGCCACATTAGCTAACCACAGATTCATCCTGTATGCCTTTATCATTTTGAACATGCAGCTCTTTTTTTGGCCTAGAATATTCTACCCCTTCACCTTCTTCCTTCTAACTTGCATTCACCTTTCAAAAACAAAACATGAGCCTTCTTCACTAGTCTTCCCAGACACTTTCGATGTGACCTATTCATTCACCCTAACTGTTTGCTTAATTTCCTGTGTTCACCCATATTGTAGCACTTATAATATTGATTTACAAAAGCTTTTATTTTTTTGGCATGGCTAGATCATAAACTTCTCAGACAAGGACAGGAATTTAGATCTTATTATGCTTGGCAAAATAAATTAATTACTGGGATGAATTAATGGTTGAGTAAATAGTACTCAATTAATGGAAAGTAAATATTAGAGTAGTGAATTGACAGGTTTTGTGCAATAGATTATCTGTCCCCATGACTGGACACTTGTTTCTGTTCACTTCAGTGGACCTGGCACCTAGAAGACTGTCCATGACAAATTTGTTTGTTGAATGAATAAATGTAGCATTAATGAATGGACAAGAATGAGGAACAGGGTAGAGATTATCATCTTTTTTCTTATTGCCAAGAGGCACAGCCATTTAGAATCATTGCAGCATTGTTAATCCCCAAAACCTTTGGAAAAGAGCAACAGAGTGATATTTCTTCTGCTTTTAGCTCCTGCTTCCCCTCTCATTGGTCAAGTATGGAGTCCTCAAGCACTGAGTTTAATTTACACTTTACTCAAGGGCTTGTTTTTGTCTGAGATGAGGTTCCTGGTTTATCTTTCTGTAGCTATGGATAAGGGTCTGGTTCAATTCCCCTAAAATATTTACACAGTTAATGTGTATTTAAATATTGGTTCGCTTTCATGACTTAAAGTTACCTACCTGAAAATGCTTCTATTTGAAATACTAATTTTATGAAAAGCTCTGATTAATGAAGTACCTTAGGTGTCTTGCTTTTAAATGCCATTTACACGCAGTATTATATGCTATAAAACTTAAGTCCAGTGTGCTAAGAGCTAGTTAATTCTGTTTTGTAAAAGAAACTTTAATAGTTTCCATTTAAATTATTCTTGAGTTTACTGCTATTTTGATAGAGCTTTGTAATGTGAAAAGTCAGAAGTTCTTAAGTTTATTTTAAATGAATTCTAGTTTGAGGAATTATGGACAATTACTTTGAAACAGAGTACCAATTCTCTTACATTCCTCAGAGCTATACTTCCAGTTTTCAGCAAACCAGTTTCTCTCCATAAGCCTGGAGGAAAATATCTATCTGATCTTCAGTAAAATTTTTCCAGAATCATTTCAAAAAATTTTAAGCTAGTTTTATTGTAATTTGAAGTTACTATGGCTGATCAAATCTAATAATCAAATGATCTCTAATTATTATTGCAAATACATTTCACTTCATATTAGCCAGACTACTCCATACACAGATAGTATAATGAATGAATTTCCTTGAAGTCTACAGCTCTATTTGGCTTATTTTTCTCCCAATCACTTTTGTTTCCTTCATTGACTATATTTCAACTGTCCTACAAAATTACTATTTGAAGCTATAATTCTTTGAGTTTAAAGTTTGCCTCATGTAGCATCTGTTGATGTTTGATGTATGATTTGTGCATTGTAAACTACAAGCCATAGAAGACAAGACATTCATTTCCTAGGCCTTCCCAGGTAGGTGATTTGGTTAAAAATTTCCTTAAAAAATACAGAGAATCCAAAACAAATGAGCTAGCTTGACATAATGTCTGTTCTACCTCAGAAGCAAAAGTCGACATTGAAAGAAAAGCATCTAGCCTGCAAGCTTTAAAATTTTAACAAAGTGCCTGGAATCCAGCTATATGCTTAACTTGCATTTCTCTACACTCTTGAGGCGAGTATGTTCCACGTGCGAAAATATTTTCTAATGGAAACACCAAAGAAATATTATGTACAGGAAAGCTCACTGGTCTCAGCAAGGATCCCAAAATTTTCCATGTATTCCAAATGTTCAGAAAGCTGGTTCTACTCACCTTAGTTCTTCTGTCTTTCAGAGCTATGCAATTGCTTCTAAATAGAGTAACGGATTCCACTTACAAAATAGACTGTGGTGCAGTTTATCCCTAAGTGTATCCTCATGGCATCAAGATCACATCCATAAGAAAAAAGAAAAAAAAAAAAAACAACCACAAGGAATTCAGTCAAGTCTAGTCATCAAAACTGAAGCTCAAAGAAAGCTGAGTCAGGAAAGCTAGTTTGTGCCTATAAATTGATTTGATCAAAGACAGCTGAGAAAGAAAAGTCAGTATTGCCTCTCCCAACCCCTAATTATTTGAAAGAATTATATAGAAGATAAACTTCAGGTTTTCACTTTCAATTGAATTCTCATCCCCTGTTAACTACTTTGAAATCTATATTGTGAAACATAAGAAGAAACTAATAAAAGGGTCTATATTACTCAATATAAACTACTGTAAGGGAAATGGATATGCTGCAGTCAAGAATAGGCCAAGGCAGACATCCGGTACAGCATGACTCAGCGAGTTTGGAGTGCAGGCACACAACTCTGCTCATTTTGTGACCACGCCATGTGAGGTATATTAAGTGATCACCCACATGAGCTTGTGCTTGGCTCAGAGCCACTGTTGTCTGTAAAAGGTATAATTACTCTGCAAATGCTGTACAAATGGCTTGCACCTGAGCTTGCTCACACCCAGGCTCACCTGTGCCCAGAGAGAGAGTAAAGCCATGTCAAAATATTCCACGAGTGTTTTGCCAGCTACCTGCCACTGGCCCATCGACTCTCCTCGGACCTTAGTTAGAACCTGACAATTGGAATCACAAACAGGATCCTGAGCTATGCTGCATGAATGGGCTCTGGTGGAAACCTGAGCAACAGTACATGGGTCCCCCATGAGCATGGAGAAGGCGCTGAAGCAGCTGGAAGCACAGAGAACCTAGAAGGAGTGAGCTTTTGCCTGCAGAGTTGGATGGGCATTTTTTACTGTGCTATGAGAATTACACAGCTTGTCCCTGAGGGATGCAGTAGAGGTAAGGGCCCTCCAGGCACAAGTAGGCTGCCTGGAGGCCCAGCTACACAGCTCAGAAAAAGGGTTAGAAGCTGCCATGAATGGGGACCTTCAGGCACTCAATAAGTGACATGCTCACAGATGTGGATAGATTTGATTTTGGCCAGGACTGACTGAAAGAAAATCAATAAGCAGCCCAATAAAGTTATCTTAATTTTGTGGAGACAGCTGTCTCTGGAGCAGCAGTTCCAGAAAATGCCCAGAAGGGAGAAGGACATTACTGCATGACCCAGTCCCACCTGGGTGCTCCAGCTCAAAGACTACGTCCTGTAGCCAGGCAAGAGTGTAAAACCTTTTCTGTTTGATTAGGGAACTGGCCGACGTGCCCCGCTTGAGGGGACACTGGACGACCGAGGCCACATGTGGACTTGGCAATGCGGTGGTTCCTGCGCCTGGATAAGTTTCTGAGCAAGGCTACGTAGATGGTTATAAAGACCAGTCAGTGATAGTGAAACCTGTATCTTTGCACCTTGCCATTGGCCGCCTGGCTCCCTGCTTATGCACTGTGTATGTCTCTCCCATACCTGAATACATTCTGAGGGTGGATGTTTTACACAGCTTGGCAGCTGTGCTACCTGTTACAGACCTGATGGACCACTTGACGACAGAATTGGGACAGTACCACTCTGTGGTGGACTTGACCAATGCATTCTCAATTAACATTGCTCTAGAGAGCCAGGAACCGTTTGCGTTCATGCGAAGGCAACAATGGACTTTCACAGTGTTACCACAGGGCTATATGTATAGCCCTACCATATGTCATGGTCTTGATAATATTATGTTAACCTCTGATTCTCTTGCAGATTTAGAAGCAGCAATGCTCCTCTTGCTTGTGATTGGGTTGGTGCAGCTGAGACTGCCTTCCTGGCAGCCGAGCAGGCTATTCAGTAGGCACAAGCCCTATATGTAGTTGACCAGGGGCGCCCATTTGAGCTGGACGTGCATGTGACCACAGATGGTTTCAGCTGGGGCCTGTGGCAGTGCACAGAGTGCTTGAGAATGCCAGTCGGCTTTTGGTCCCAACGATGGAACGGAGCTGAGCTCCACTATTCCTTAATAGAGAAACAGCTAGCAGCTGTATATGCCACCCTTCAGGCTTGTGAGAGTGTAACAGGATGGGCTGCAGTCATCGTATGGATGACTTACTTACCTGATAGCAGGATAGGTGCGTTCATAGGTATGACCCCCTGGACTAGGATGGCATAGACATCCACTCCGGCAAAGTGGGGCACCTACTTGGTGCAGCAGAGTACGCTGAGCACAAGCCCCTTAGCAGCAGAGTTGCAAGAGGTCTTGGGACCTGTAGTCCTAATGCAAGATAAGGCCATGAGGCCTGAGGTACCCCTAGACCCCGAGTCTTTACCATTTAAGAAAGGGTGCCCTGCCCCCCTCTTCCCCTGCAATTCCCAATGGGGCATGGTACACAGATGGGTCTAGCCAAGGTGCTACTTCTGCCTGGACCGCTGACACAGTCCAAACTAATACTGACACCATATGACTCGAAACCAGGTGTGGACACAGTAGCCAATGGGTTGAACTTACAGCAGTATGTATGGTGATCACCAAGGAGGTGACACCTATGGTAATCTGTACCAATAGCTGGGCGGTCTATTGAGGCTTAACCTTGTGGTTAACTACCTAGAAGTTACAAAAGTGACCAGTTGATCACTGGTCCATGTGGGGCCAGGCCATGTGGCAAGACCTATAGGTGGAAGGATGACCTCCTCCGACCAGGCATGGGGATGAACGGTAACCTCTTGTTGCCTGTCCCAGTGCCCCCAAAGGTAGGAAAATAAAAACCTGGCTTGATGTATAAAGCAATATTAGGGTAACATCACCAGGGGGTGGTTGTGTGCCATAAGCTGGAGTTGTTGCTCCCTGTATTACTGCTATGGCCTCTGGGTCCAGGATTCTGCCCTGTGAGCACATCTCCCCACTAGAAAAACTCCCTCAGCCTAGGGAGTGGAATGTAAGGCCTATGTGTTGGACCTGTGTGTCCAGAGCCTATGTGTAAGACCTGTGTGTCAGACCTGCGTGTTCAAGGCCTATGTCTCCCTCGGCCTAGTGGGTGAAGTGTAAGGAAAATGGATGTGCTGCGGTCAAGAATAGGCCAAGGTAGACATCCCATCCAGATGACTCAGTGAGTTTGGAGCACAGGTGTGCAACTCCGCTCATTATGTAACCACACCACATGAGGCACATTAGGTGATCACCCACGTGAGCTCATGCTTGGCTCAGAGCCACTCTTGTCTGTAAAAGGTATATTTACCCTGCTAATGTTGTACATATGGCTCATGCCTGGGCTCACTCATGCCCAGGCTCACTTGCACCCAGGGAGAGAGTAAAGCCATATTGAAACTATCTACAATTCCTCAAGTGTTTTTTCAGCTACCCACCACTTGCCCACCAACTCCCCTCGGCCTTCAGTTAGAACCTGACAACTACCCTTTAAAAATACATATATGTCATTTTTTAAATTTCTGGCACATGAGTACCCTCATGTAAAAATTAACCTTCCTGCTGAAAACAACTATGAACACTAATTTTTTTATAAGTTTTTACAAATTTTACAAAAATTCAAGAGATGCCCTTGATAGTCAAAAACAAAATGAAAGCAGTAGTCTAGAGAGTTAAATAAACTCTAAAGCTGCCTGCTACTTCAAAGGCACCTGATAATCTCTGGTGACCTTGAGTGGCATTTTTGACAGCTGCATGGAAAGAGGAAGATAAAACCTAGGACCCACCCTTGGAGTGGAGTGTGTTAAAAGACCCCCAAATAAAGAAGAGCCCCTTGTGCTATATCTTCAGGAAAAAGCACAGCAGTACCTAGATTCAATCAACCAACCAACCAACAGATAGGTAGGTAGATAGATAGATTACAGTAGGTATTTAGTCAGGTATGAGCAGAGCAGGAGAGGGCTCCCCCCAACACACACTCCAGGAGTGTTGGGTGACCATCAGGTGATGGTCAGGCAGGTATTAACTATCTCTCTAAAGTAATAGTTGGTCACAGATGATGCCAGGGAAAGGCAGTCTCCTAATAGAAAACACCTGAAACTAGTAATCAGTAGCTTCCTGATAAGATCTCAGGAGTTGGGTGAGTGGTGAGAAGTAACCCAAAAATCCAGAAGTAAGCCAATATATAAAAACCCAAGTCAAAAGATCAAACCACGTACTTACCTTTCATCTCCCTCGCTTGGCCCTCTTCCAAGTGTACTTTTCTTCCTTTCATTCTAAAGCTTACTTTTCTCCTTTTCATTCTAAGGCTTTTTAATCAACTTTCACTCCTGCTCCAAAAGTTGCCTCAGTCTCTCCTTCTGCCTTATGCCCCTCAGTCAAATTCTTTTTCTGAGATGGCAAGAATTGAGGTTGCTGCAGACCTGTATGAATACAGATTTGCTGCCAGTAACAGATAAGATAGATAGATAGATAGATAGATAGATAGATAGATAGATAGATAGATGCATACATACACACATACATGCATACATAGAAGTATGTTTCTTTTCCTAGACTATGTTAGAAGCCATAGCAGAGTTTTTAATACTTTATGTATTGTTTTCTTTTCCTAACCTATGTTAGAAGCTATAGCAGAGTCTTTAACAGTTTTCTTTACTTCATTGTCCAGTGATTTAATTATAAGAGAAAAATTTTTAAGAGAAGTATTGTAAGAAAATGAAAGGGACAAAGAAGTTGAGCCTCCTTCTTTTAAACATGAGGTATCATCATTGTTTCTTAGAAGGAAAACTGCCCTTGCTATAGACTGGAATTTCCTCTTTTTAGAACAAAAGTTTTAGTTCCTTGTACAGTTATCTATTGCTTTTTAACAACCCCAAAGCTTAGTTGCTGAAACCAAAATTTATTTTACTTAAAAATCTTCAATTTGGGCACAGCTATCAGGGATGGGTCATCTCTGCTCCACTTGACATCAGCTGGCACAGTTCAATGGCTAGGGACTAGAACTATTTGAACCCTTGATTATTCAAATATCTAGTGGCCGATGCGAACTGTTGCCTGGGACCTTAGCTGGAGCTAACTGCCAGAACATCAACACGTAAGCTCTCCACGCAGCTTGGGCTTCCTGACAGGTTCATCTCAGGCAAAGTATACTTTATCTGTCTAACAATATTTTTCCTCTCATTTCTGCATTTCTTAGTTGCTTGCTGAAAGCGTCAGGCAGACAAATGTGTTTTTCTGTCTAAAAGAGCCTCTTTAGAAGAACTGGTTCAAAGTTATTTTAACTAAAAATCCTAATAAGAATACTTTCCATAGTGGCAGTATGTGTGGAAACTGGAGGAACATGGACATAGTGAGGATGTAAGCCTCAGGTCACCCTGCTCCATGGGGTCAAATTTCCCCAGCTCTGCCAGCTTCACTTCATCACATTTCCTCTGCCCTAATTCTTTTGAATTTCAGACCCATTCATGAAAACTCTCCTCTCTCTCCACCCTTTTCTGCATTTTCTTCAGCCCAGCTATCAAAATTAGACCAGTGTTACTTTAACCAAAAGGTTTCTATCCAAATAAAGAGCTCAAGTAATTTTCTACTCAAGTGTTTTAATCATTGCATTACAGACTGCACCTAATGAAATCAAACACATCAGCTACAGACTTCCCCTGCATAAGGAGAACACACTGGGTATAAAGGATTCCAGCAAAGTTTGTTAAATCAGGCTCCATCTAAACACACAGGGGCCAGCTTTTTCTAGCACTTGGGGTCTGGGAAGCCTGAAAACAGAAGTATGAATTAGATAGCGTTTCTTTCAGCTGATTCCTTACACCCCCTCTCAGTGGCCTTGTCTGCTTCCAAACACTGAAAGCTTTGTCCTTTGCTTGATTGCTTAGAACGCTCACAGTGAGCCTCACAAGACAATTCCCTCCCTCTGACCCACCAAAACTTTGCATCCAAGTCCTGTTCTCTCAAGCCCTAACCCTCACCTCAACAGCCCAATATATAATTTCATGCTTGGATATTAGTATCTATTTATGGCTAAATTAATTCTTGACACTCTTAAAATTAGGGTTGCTAAAGTAATACTTGTATTCATATCAGTGGACTGGAGTTTAGAACATTTAGCCAGGAGACTTTGTGGCATACTTCAATCACACTGGCCTAAAAACTATCTGGTCTCTGACAATAAGAGTAATTCTATTCACACTGCTCTATATTATAGAAAAGTAAATTAGCTAGTTTTCCTGAACACCCTGCTCCATTATTATTGATCCAACATTACTGTAAATCAAACAAATTATTGCTCATTTACATCTCTATTGCAATGACTTTGGCTATACTCTACTACCAGTATATTCTTGTTGCATTCAGATTGACCTGACATCCCTGCCTAAGCTACTCGCTAATCTCTCTGTCTCTATCCTTCCCCATTACACACTGCACTCAACACAGCAACCGGAGGTTTTCCAGTGAAAGTCAGATTACATGGCTCCTCCTTTCAAAGCAACGTGTTATCTCTCAGATCTTATACTCTTGTTCACTCCCCTCTAGATAACCTCTTTACTTTTTTGGAACTAACCAGGCACATTCTCACCTTAGAGCTTTTATACTTGCTCTTCACTCATCCTGATTCTCTCTTCGCCGAGATACTATTATTGCTCATTTTCTGCTCCAACATTTTGCTTAAAAGTTGCCTTCTCAGAAAGGTACCAGAATATTCTACTTAAGTATGTCTAAACGCCTAGAGCCCCCTTATCTTGCTCTAGTTTTTTCCACAGTTCTTATTTTCTTCTGTTATTGATTTATTTAATTTCATATATTACTGCTGTTCTACCTCTGTTGGAATGTAAACTTCACAGAAGCAGAAATTTTGGACAGTTTTGCTCTCTGATGTACCACCAGCTCCTGTAAAAACAGCCTAGCAAACAGTTGTCGTTCAATAGATAAATATTAAATGAATAAACATTTTTGATACTTCCTTTCTCTCATTTTATATCCTCAGGTTCCACAGGAAAAGTAAAACTTATTCAGGTTCCAAAATTAATGTCAGTTATAAATGTGGCCTTTAGTCAGCTATGTGGTCCAAAGCAACTCTCTTCATCACCTGGTAAGAGATTTGAAAATACATTCTTCTCTCCCCAGTAACCTTTGCTTACCTAATGTAATATGAGTATATTTTATATTCTGGGCTTACCTAATATGATCACACTATTTCTGGGCACAATGTCTCCTCTCTAAATGCCAATGCAATTTATGAAACTTGCATAGCTCAATGGAGTTGGGTCATGAAAAATTATTTGAAAATAAACACGACTAAATGATTTAGTCCCTTAACATCTTGTTCAAATATTTGCTTCATAATAGAGTGACGTTATGGAACTGTGACAATGGAGTCACAGAAGTGCAAACTAATGTGAATGATAGTATATATTGAAGGATTTTATATATAAAAGTGTCTCTAAATTCTTTTAGTATCAGTTCTGTAGCAAAAATCTTTGAGTCATATTGTTAATTGGTTTCTCATTAGGCTTTAAATTCACAAAAGTCAGAGTTTTACATAACTGGACTGAGCTGTATTCAAGAGACTGGAGTAAGCGGAGGAACTAGATTAAGGCTTTTCCAAGGTAAGTCCCAGCATGCATTTCTGTCTAGTTACAGAAGGTGCTTTTTAAATTTAGCTGACTACAAAGACCACTGTCACAGAGATCAATCTTGCTTAGTACAGAGTTTTCAAAAGCATTCTGTCTGGAAATATGCATTGGCTTTACGCACACGTAACAGAGCTATGCTTTGCTTTCCAGGCTATTCACACCTTATTCTACTACTGCTTTTTCACAAAAATGGATTAAGAGGGCACAAGTTTATACCTGCGCCAACACATATAAAAGGAAACCAAAGGGGGACTGAAAGCAGACACAAAATATATCCGGTTCTTTTTAGGCATGATGCCCACATTTCAATAGAACCACTCCTTAAATTCCTTTAGACCTGCACTGAAGATCCCTTCCAGCTCAAATATTCTATGCTTCACTGATTCTTTCAGACCCTTAGGATATTGATGTAAACTAATTTGTGTGGCTGAATTAGGATGAGGCTTCTGATGCTTAAACAGTGACAATTTCACGGTGCAAGAAATATAGGGACGAGAGAGCTAGCTTGGTGGGAAAGAGCTTATTCTGTCAGAATTTTCTCTTTAAAACACAGCAGTGACGTTGTTCAGGTCTAAGCAACTCAAATTTTCCCTGAGGCTGCCAGCCCTTCAACATAGGGAAGGCATGGGCCCCAGGAACAGGACAAAAGGTGGAAATAAGTAGCAGAAAAAATAGTAGGAACATGCCAAAGAGAGAGAAGAACAAAGGACATTGTTCCACCACTGCACAGATATTAGTATAATCTGCTTCATTGCTTTACCTGGTTGAGTTAAAAGGAAATGCAGTTAATTGAAGAAGGAAATATTGATTTTGGAGTCAGGAAGCCTACATAAGGCAACCAACTAGTTTGTGCAGGTGTCTTAATTTCTCTTAGTCCTATTCTCCTTAACTTTAAAATTAAGGAATTTGGCTCTGAAGAGTTAAATGGGTTTGTAATACAGAAGTACTTGGGTTTCCTGGAGGGAAAGAACATCTAGCTCAAAATGTAGCTATTTGGTTGAAATAAAAAGGAATACATAAAAGCATCTGCCACCTATTAGATTCTTGAGTAGTACTTGTTTTAAAACAACAAAGAAATCTTATATGTAATTTGGGGGAGGCGGTCAGAAAGATCAAATAGGAACAAATAAAGATATGAGAATCTAAAATTATTTTTCTTTTACCTTTTCGTTGTGTGTGATGCTTTTAGTTCACCCTAAATTATACATATGACACTGATGCTTCTAGTTCACCCTAAATTATACATATGACACTGGGTAACTTTGCATAAATGAAAAACCTTTCTAAATGGTGGCATGTTGGAAGTCCCAGTTTGCAAGAGATTATGAAACAAGGGCAGTTTTGAAAAGGGACAGGGAAAAACAGACAGAAGCACATGACTGATGTGTTCCAGAAAGGAGCTAAGAGTATAAATTACCAGGCCCAAGGTATGTGGTGCTCTTGATTTCAATCTGAGCCAGTATTCAAGTTCAAGAGATCTGCCCTGAGGAAGCATGGCAGGGCACAGCTCTAGTTGACAGATGTTTTAGGTACAAATAGAAGTTGGGCCATTGCTGGCTGTATCAGTGGGTGGTTCTAAGAGAGTTATCCAAAGCAGAGGACATTCCTGGGGTCCAAGAACCAGTTCAGGGATTTAGGATCCCTTATAAGGGTCAGGGTCAGGCTCAGCTCCATGCCCCGGCCCAGAACATGACTGGAATGGTAATTATACGTCAGAGTCCCAAGTGGAAGTCTAGCCAGGAGACTGGTAAGGACACCCACCCAGAATAAGAAAAGAGCTGCAAATATTCCATCAGCCCAGGCTATCGCTGGTTTAAGGATTAGATAATTTTGAGCCTGCAGGTGGGAGAGTTTTAGAGCCCACAGCTGTGGAAAATGGCACTGGCCCTAATTGGTAACATCTGCAGATGTAGCCAAGCACACACTTTCCCACCAGTTGTAACACATCCCCAAAATGCAGCAACTACAAATATTACCCAACTCCCAGAATGCACTCTAACTACCTACAGTAGAATACAGTATGTCAGGGAGCAGGAAATTTACCACTACAAGGACCCAACTGAAGGGGAAACTAAAAGAGGAGGGAAATGCAGAAGGCAAGTTCCAGATACTTTCTCCTAAAATTTGTACATGCAAATCAGTACCGGGTATATTTCACACCGACTTCACTTGAGTAACTTTCCTTGCAAGATTTTCACAAAATTGAAGGTGTAGAGGACATTTAGATTCCAATTCCAACCCACAGGCATGTGGCAGGTAGTATTTGATCTTTCAGGCTAAAATGGAAGAGCAAGTGCAGATGGAGTGATTTCCTGTGCCAACCAGAAAGCAATAAGCAATGTGGTATCCAACTGCGCAGGGGCATGCACTTCATCCATCCCATTAAAAATCCCGCACACAGGAGAGGAAGTACCTCAGCAGATACAGGAGCCCTAATTTTATCAACAATAGTCCTCTGACAAAGGGAGTGAGTGATTTTCTTCTAAATGAGAACAAATATTTCACAAGCACAGTTGGAAGAACCTAGCAGTTCAAGCTGGCAGTTTTAAAAATACAAACAATTAAATGTTTGGCTATAAAATAATTTCAGAAACCTTATTTAGGACCAAAGCCAGCTCTGGTAGTTTGAAACAAACATAGTGTGTTTCATTAAGGGGCTCGGGAAGTAACATAAAATATTTTCCACCAAATTTGCCTCCAGGTAGTTGTACAGAAATTCAGTCAGCAATTTTAGTATAATTTGAGAAGAAGTAGCAGGCAGTCCCTTCAGCAACTAAAGACACATCTCAAATGATAAATAAAATGGAGTCAACTCAGCTCTAAAGGTAATCAATCCTGCATGGCACTGAGAGTAAAGAAAATAAAGTAGTAAAGGAAACAAACAACACTAATCTTTACATAAAGGAGTTAAGATTCAGTGAGGATGAAGAGTAGGAAAGCCCGTGGAAGAGATGACAAAACAAGCACTCGCTTGAATTCTAAGCAGAATAAGTAACTAGAACCCAAATGGGAAACGGTTAACACAGTCAATCTGTCTACAAACAGATAACGAAATACTAATGAGATTGATTGTTGCTGTTTCAGAAATGAACCAAGAGAATTTACTTTTAAGAGCTTTCGACAGGATCAGACAACCTCTAGCCATCATAAGAGAGAGAAATTCATCCAGCACCCACATGCCAACCTACTCCAAGACCCTGGAAGGGAGTATTCTTATATTTTCCTGACATTCAAACATCATTTACCTTCTAACAGTATGTGAATATAAGGCAGTATAGTAAAATGAATATATCATGGATTTGGTAGCACAGAATTAAGGCTTAAACCTAATTCTGCAAATTACAAGGTATATAACCTTGGCCAGATTCCCTCACCCCTCTAAGCTTTCATATATACAGATATTTTCAAGAGAAGACAGGATCTACTTCATAAGAATGCCTTCAGGATTATATGAGGCAAAGTTGGAAGCCAATGGAATACTCCTCGATTATTGAAAATTCTTGCGAATATATGCAGATCAAAATGGAAATACAACTATATGTAATTCTATTCAATTAGTAAATCTGTCCTGAAATTGAGTTACATCATCTGATTTCATAGATGAAGAAATTGAAACTGATTTCCTAGAGTCTTCTTTCTCTTTTCAAATGACGCCAACCAAATCAGATAAAGCTAAAACAAATCTGTTCAGGCATAGGGTCATCAATCATCTGTGTAAGCTTTTTAATTGTCAACAAAGGACCTCAAAACCATTAAGAATTTTGAGGAATGGAGCCTAATGCCCCGAGAGTCTCTTCTTAATACTGTACCAATTTCCAACTCATCATTTTTTTATATTTGCTTGTTTGCTCATTTGTTTCTCCCCTAGGAGTTTGATCAACTTTGCTGTTTTACTGATACTATTGGCTTTACTAATCACTTGCTTCAGTCTGAGAGTGAAATAGAAATGGAATCCTATTATTTATTTCCCTATAATTTTATAGTTTATTTTGAAATATCTAGAAAATCTAGAAAAATAGACAAGGAACTAACAAACTGTTAGACCCAAAATGTAGACACAGCACAGATCAAAACAAACACAAATCTATCAGACATCACTAACACCCTGTGAAATAATGTAATCTTATTTTCAGAGGTGTAGAGTTGTCAAAATCCCTTACAGCTGGCACTAAGAAAGTGACGGTAATTTGGGGGAGTCCA
The DNA here is from genome assembly GCF_000001405.40 of Homo sapiens. Classification (NCBI taxonomy): domain Eukaryota; kingdom Metazoa; phylum Chordata; class Mammalia; order Primates; family Hominidae; genus Homo; species Homo sapiens. Next base: position 35,799,165 of record NC_000002.12, read on the forward strand.
CGTGGTTCATGACTTAGCTGTGACCCATTAACAGTTTTTCCCATCTCAGTTTATTTCTGCCCTGTTTGCTCTGTCTGAAGGGTATTCTCTAGCCAGTTATTAAAACGAAGCCACCATACAGTGAAGTGAAGCATCTTTATTTATTACTCCAAGGAAACCAGCATTGCCCAGACTCACCAGAGTTATGTAAACATCCTGTCACTTCGAGAACCTCAGGCAGAGTAAATCGATGGAAGACAGTGGTCTAGATTCCACACCCACGCAGACATACATGCTTTTGTTGCTTTTTGTTTGGGCTTTGGTTTATATAGTGTGGTGGTCCCTGAGTACGATCCTCAGGAATCTGTTCTAGAACAAGAACAAGAACAACAACAATAACAACAAAAACCTCACTGCCTGGTGTGGTGACTCGTGCCTGTAATCCCAGCACTTTGGGAAGCCGAGGTGGGCAGATCACTTGAGGTCAGGAGTTCAAGACCAGCCTGGCCAACATGGTAACATTTTCTCTCTACTAAAAATACAAAAATTAGCCAGGCATGGTGGTATGCACCAGTAGTCCCAGCTATTTGGGAGGCTGAGGCAGGAGAATTGCTTGAACCTGGGAGTTGGAGGTTGCAGTGGGCAGAGATCACACCACTACACTCCAGCATGGGAGATAGAGTGAGACTCCGTCAAAAAAAAAGAAAAAAGAAAAGAAAAAAGAGAGAGAAAGAAAAAAGAAAAGTAATTGAGGCATGTGGGCTAACAACATCGACAACAACTGCAAGGTCTATAGAACTGCAGAAACTTAATCCAGTCTATCATTGTTGGACATTTGGGTTGGTTCCAAGTCTTTGCTATTGTGAATAATGCCGCAGTAAACATACATGTGCATGTGTCTTTATAGCAGCATGATTTATAATCCTTTGGGTATATACCCAGTGATGGGATGGCTGGGTCAAATGGTATTTCTAGTTCTAGATCCTTGAGGAATTGCCACACTGACTTCCACAATGGTTGAACTAGTTTACAGTCCCACCAACAGTGTAAAAGTGTTCCTATTTCTCCACATCCTCTCCAGCACCTGTTGTTTCCTGACTTTTTAATGATCGCCATTCTAACTGGTGATTAAGAAAATGTGGCACATACACACCATGGAATACTATGCAGCCATAAAAAATGATCAGTTCATGTCTTGTAGGGACATGGATGAAGCTGGAAACCATCATTCTCAGCAAACTATCACAAGGACAAAAAAACCAAACACCGCATATTCTCACTCATAGGTGGGAATTGAACAGTGAGAACACATGGACACAGGAAGGGGAACATCACACACCGGGGCCTGTTGTGGGGTCAGGGGAGGGGGGAGGGATGGTATTAGGAGATATACCTAATGTTAAATGACGAGTTAATGGGTGCAGCACACCAACATGGCACATGTATACATATGTAACAAACCTGCACATTGTGCACATGTACCCTAAAACTTAAGGTATAATAATAATAATAAAAAAGAACTGCAGAAACTTGAGCCAATCCTAGACCTATCAAATTAGAATCTGTAAGTTACCAAGATCTTAGGAGGTATCTATATGCATTAAAGCTGATAAATGCTATGTTTAGGGCTCAACCTTTAACTTAAGGCAGTTGAGAACCATGCTACCAAGCTAAAATGAGTCAAAAGGGGAAGTGTGAACTGGGAAAATCTGTTAAGTCTGTCCAGTATTATGGGATCAAATTATTGGTTGGTGGGAAGTTGAAAAAAGGAAGGAATGCCATTGATTCCATTCAGCTTGTGCACTGTGGTTTTTTTATATAGTTCTATTGCAGTCTCAGTGGAAGGGCCTCTTAAGTGGGAGGCTCCACAAAGACCAAACCTTGCTGCCTTTTCTTACACTGGATTTTGCCTGTGAGAATAGAGAGGCAGGATTCTCCTGCTGCCACAGAAGGTCCATACTCCTCCTCTTCTCACTACATCAAAAGCCTTGTTCTGATAATTTGCTCCAGAGCCAATCTCTCTATTCTGGTTCCCTTCGTGGATGATTTATCCATCTTACCAGTATGTGATGTGGAGTTCACTAGGCTGACATGATTGTAGAGGAATATTCAGGAGAGGTATGTTTGGTTTATAGTTTCCATAGCTGATTAATCAGCTGGGACTGATAAATGGCCATCCAGGCTGGAATTTAGATAGGAAATTTGTGGAAAATGGAAGTGAGGGATTTTGTAATAGATGCCCTGTATTCACTGCAGCAGGCAGTTAAAATGTGTCCTTTGTCTGAGGGACTGAGCCCTGCAACCTACAATTGCTAGACCTTTGTATCCACTGGCTTCCAGTTACATTTGACAAATGGGAGTCACTGGAAGAGGATTAGAAAGAGCAGAGGAGGAGAGAAGCCATAGAATTTCTCTCATGGCTCTACTTTCAGAACTGTCTCTGGCAATGGCTTCATCTCCTTATAGCTGAATTTCACCGGAGTCCTTTCACCATATTTTCGTCTCATGCAAGGGACTCTTCCTATCATAATTCCAGCTCTGGCTTAGCAAGGCGCCTATCACGGTAATTCCTATTTTTTCCATGCAGCCCTACTCATGGGTTCTGGCGACATCACCTCCTCCCATTGTCCTCCCACAGGGGCTTGGAACAGCATCCAATTACTGCCCCTTCAGCTCTTCTCAAACCTTGTAAACTTGTTCTTTGTGTTTATTTCCTTTTACCGAACAGTTTAGAAAGGTTTCCATTTCACTGGCCTCTCTCTGACTGATACGCTGAACTTATATTCTACAAGCTTAAGCATCAATAGCCTCTCTTTGGGAAATCCGTCCCAGTGGGAAATGTCACTGAAATTAACCTTCAGGCATAGAACGAGAAACATAGAATTTTGTTTCTAGAAAGAGGTTTTGGAATTATCCAAGCCCATCATTTCAGAAATGAGGAGCTATTTCCAAGATACAATAAGTTCCATGCCCAGTCTTATACAGTTATTAAATGGGAATGCCAAGACGAGCTCTGTCCATATTGAGTGTGCTTCCACTGTTCTACATTTCTTCTATGGTATATTTGTTGGCTTCATGAAACCATATGCATGGTTGATACCAAATGTTGTAGATAGATAAATATTTCAGTGCTACTAGCCAAAGTTATATTAGAGGAAATTAATGAGCATGTTCAGAGTAATGTGCTTTACATATACATAAATTTTTACCAAATGTATAGGAACCTATCAAATATAGTTGAAATTAACCATGACAACCTAAATTTCTAATATAGGAGATATTTGTTTTTATGTGAATGGAGATATAAAAGAGACTGAAAGAAGAGTTAAAACATTAAAAAATGACATAAATGGGAAAAAAAGAGCGTTAAGACCATAAAATAGCCTGTTGACAGTTATTGGTGGGGAATTTCATGGGAAGAGAATGACATCAGAGTTAAGTAAACATGGCAAATTAAGAATTTAGAAAAGCAATATGGGATTTACAAGAAAATTATGCAATAATATTTATTTTAAGGGAGAAACATTGCTGAATAAACACCTTAAGAAGTTAAAGAAATGCATTATTGTAAAAGGCACAATCCTGGAGGTGCTGCATAAAATCATCAGACTGAAAGGCTCAATTTAGGGCAGAGATCAATCGACAAGATAAAAGAAAAAAGGAATAAAGTTATTTAAGTGCATTTCTGGCATCTACAGCAGTTCTGAACAGGTGGTATAATGTTGGAATTAAAAACATAAAATCCAAAATCAAACTATTTGGGCTCAAATATAAGCTCTGTCATTTATGTGTTGTGTATATTTGTTAAGGTAGCCCAGGATTCAATTAAAAAAAAAAATAGGAAGGGGGGTGAGGTGCCACTACTGCCCGCATTTTTTGAGTGAGTTCAGCATGTGCGTGAGCGAGTGAGCAAAAAGAAGAGTGCATGGTGGCACCAGGAGGCTGGGCTGAGTGGTTTTGAGAGATTACCTGAAGTTGGATTCAAAAGCAAGATCTACTACTAACTTTGTAATGAAATAAGATATTGAGAAACCATTGATGGTTCTGGGGCAGATGAAGGTACTTACTCGGATAGTTGAGGCCTGTCCCAGAAAGTCATTGTAGTGTTAACTGCAACAAGTTGGTTTATAGCTGATGCTCTCTGGAAAGCACTACCTCCTGGCAGGAGGCCAACTGGCACAAAAATAGAGCATTAAACCACTAAAGCTAAGAACCCTCAGGGAGTCCATTGCACTGCCCCACCCCCCAACATCTTGACTGGAACAGCCGCCGGTATCCACAGCTTAGAGACCCACAGATGGTTCATATCACAGGACTCTGTCCAGACAACCCCCAGTACCAGCCCACAGCCAGGTAGACTCGCTGGTGGCTAGGCCCAGAAGAGAAAATAATCACTGCAGTTCAGTTCATAGGAAGCCATATCCATAGGAAAACAGGGAGAGAACTTCATCAAGGGAACACCTCGTGGGACAAAAGACTCTGAACCACCCTAGACCTTCCCTTTGACAGAGCCTTCAACCCTAGACCTTCCCTCTGACAGAACCTACCCAAATGAGAAGGAACCAGAAAACCAACTCTGGTAATATGAAAAAACAAGGCTCTTCATCACCCCCAAAATATCGCACTAGTTCACCAGCAATGGATCCAAACTCAGAAGAAATCCCTGATTTACCTGAAAAGGAATTCAGGAGGTTAGTTATTAAGCTAATCAGGGAGGGACCAGAGATAGGCAGAGCCCAATGCAAGGAAATCCAAAAAATGATACAAGAAGTGAAAGGAGAAATATTTAAGGAAATAGATAGCTTAAAGAAAAAACAATAAAAAATTCAGGAAACTTTGGACACACTTTTAGAAAAGTGAAATGCTCTGGAAAGTCTCAGCAATAGAATTGAGCAAGTAGAACAAAGGAATTCAGAGCTCGAAGACAAGGTCATTGAATTAACCCAAGCCAACAAAGACAAAGAATAAAGAATAAGAAAATATGAACAAAACCTCCAAGAAGTCTGTGATTATGTTAAACAACCAAACCTAAAAATAATTGGTGTTTCTAAGGAAGAAGAGAATTCTAAAAGCTTGGAAAACATATTTGGGGGAATAATCAAGGAAAACCTCCCTGGCCTTGCTAGAGACCTAGACATCCAAATACAAGAAACACAAAGAATGCCCGGGAAATTCATTGCAAAAAGATCTTCATCTAGGCACATTGTCATCAGGTTATCCGAAGTTAAGATGAAGGAAAGAATCTTAAGAGCTGTGAGCCAGAAGTGATAAAGGAAACCTATAAACGTAAACCTACCAGATTAAAAGCAGACTTCTCAGCAGAAACCCTACAAGATAGAAGGGATTGGGGCCCTATATTCAGCCTCCTCAAACAAAACAATTATCAGCCAAGAATTCTGTATCCAGTGAAACTAAGCATTATATATGAAGGAAAGGTTCAGTCTTTTTCAGACAAACAAATGCTGAGAGAATTTGCCATTACCAAGCCATCACTAAAAGCACTACTAAAAGGAGCTCTAAATCTTGAAACAAATCCTGGAAACACATCAAAACAGAACCTCTTTAAAGCATAAATCGCACAGGACCTATAAAACAAAAACACAAGTTAAAAAGCAAAAACAAACAATAAAAAAAACAAAGTACACAGCCACAAAGAGCAAGGGTACCTCACATTTCAATACACTGAATGTAAATGGCCTAAATGCTCCACTTAAAAGATACAGAACTGCAAAATGGATAAGAACTCACTAACCAACTAGCTGCCGCCTTCAGGAGACTTGCTTAACATATAAGGACTCACATAAAGTAAAGGGGTAGAAAAAGGCAAATGGACACTGAAAATGAGCAGGGGTAGTTATTCTTATATCAGACAAAACAAAATTTAAAGCAATAGCAGTTAAAAGAGACAAAGAGAAACATTATATAATGGTAAAAGGCCTTGTCCAACAGGAAAATATCACAATACTGAACATATATGCACCTAACACTGGAGCTCCCAAATTTATAAAACAATTATTAACAGACCTAATAAATGAGATAGACAGAAACACAATAATAGTGGGGGATTTCAATACTCCACTGACAGTACTAGACAGGTCAAAGACAGAAACTCAACAAAGAAACAATGGATTTAAACTCTACCATGGAAAAAATGGACTTAACAGATATATGCAGAACATTTCATCCAACAATCGCAGAATACACCTTCTATTCAACAGCGCATGGAACTTTCCCCAAGATAGACCATATGATGGGTCATAAAATGAGCCTCAGTACATTTAAGAAAACTGAAATTATATCAGGCACTGTCTCAGACCACAGTGGAATAAAACTGGGAATCAACTCCAAAAGGAACCTTCAACATCAGGAAACTACAGGGAAATTAAATAACCTGCTCCTGAATGAGCACTGGGTCAAAAATGAAATCAATATTGAAATTAAAAAATTCTTCAAACTGAACGACAATAATAACACAACCTATCAAAACCTCTGGGGTACAGCAAAGGTAGGGATAAAAAGAAAGTTCATAGCCCTAAATGCCTATATCAAAAAGACTGAAAGAGCACAAACCGACATTCTAAGGTCACATCTCAAGGAGCTAGAGAAACAAGAACAAATCAAATCCAAACCTAGCAGAAGAAAGGAAATAACCAAGATCAGAGGAGAATTAAATGAAATTGAAGCAAAAACAAATGCAAAAGATAAATGAAACAAAAAGCTGGTTCTTTGAAAAGATAAAGCTGATAGAACATTAGCAAGATTAACCAAGAAAAAAAGAGAGAAAATCCAAATAACCTCACTAAGAAATGAAACAAGATATTACAACTGACACCACTGAAATACAAAAGATCATTCAAGGCTACAATGAACACCATTATGCACATAAACTAGAAAACTTAGAAGAGACGGATAAATTCCTGGAAAAATGCAACCCTCCTAGCTTAAATCAGGAAGAATTAGATACCCTGAACAGACCAATAACAAGCAGCAAGATTGACATGGTAATTTTAAAATTACCAACAATAAAAAGTCCCGGACCAGATGGATTCACAGTAGAATTTTACCAGACATTCAAAGAAGAATTGGTATGAATCGAATATTGCACAAGATAGAGAAAGAAGGAACCCTCCCTACTTCATTCTATGAAGCCAGCATCATCCTAATACCAAAACCAGGAAAGGACATAACCAAAAAAGAACACTACAGACCATTATCTTGGATCAACATAGATGCTAAAATCCTTAATAAAATACTAGCTAACCAAATCCAACAACATATCAAAATGATAATCCACCATGATTAAGTGGGATTCATACCAGGGATGCAGGAGTGGTTTAACATACACAAGTCAATAAATGTAATATACCACATAAACGGAATTAAAAACAAAATCACATGATTATCTCAATAGATGCAGAAAAAGCATTCAATAAAATCCAGCATCCCTTTATGATTAGAACTCTCAGCAAAATCAGCATACAAGGGACATACCTGAATATAATAAAAGCTATCTATGACAAAACCACAGCCAACATAAAACTGAATGGCAAAAGTTGAAAGCATTCTCTCTGAGAACTGGAACAAAACAGGGATGCCCACTCTGACCACTCCTCTTCAACATAGTACTAGAAGTCCTAGCCAGAGCAATCAGACAAGAGAAAGAAATAAAGAGCATCCAAATCAGTAAAGAGGAAGTCAAACTGTCCCTGTTTGCTGACGATATGATGATTTACCTTGAAAACCCTAAGGACTCCTCCAGAAAGCTCTTTGAACTGATAAAAGAATTCAGCAAAGTTTTTGGATACTAGATTAATGTACACAAATCAGTAGCTCTTCTATACACCAACAGTGACCAAGCAGAGAATCAAATCAAGAATTCTACCCATCTTACAATAGCTGGAAAAAAAAAAAAACCACTTAGGAATATACCTAACTACGGAGTCGAAAGACTTCTACAATGAAAGAGGATATACAAATGGCCACCAAATATATAGAAAAAAAAAATGCTCAACATCACTAATGATCAGGGAAACACAAATCAAAACCACAATGCAATACCACCTTACTCCCACAGGAATAGCTATAATCAAAAAATCAAAAAACAGTAGATGTTGGTATGGATGTGGTGAACAGAAAACACTTCTATACTGCTGGTGGGAATGTAAACTAATACAACTGCTGTGGAAAATAGTGTGGAGATTCCTCAAATAAGTAAAAGTAGAACTACCATTTGATCCAGCAATCCCACTACTGGGAATCAACCCAGAGGAAAAGAAGTCATTATTCGAAAAAGATACTTGCACATGCATGTTTATAGCAGCACAATTCACAATTGCAAAATCGTGGAACCAACCCAAATGCCCATCAATCAATAAGTGGATAAAGAAACTCTGGTATATACATACGACGGAATACCACTCAGTTATGAAAAGGAATGTATTAACAGCATTTGCAGTGACCTAGATGAGATTGGAGACTATTATTCTAAGTGAAGTAATTGAGGAATGGAAAACCAAACATTGTATTTTCTCACTGATATGTGGAAGCTAAGCTATGAGGACACAAAGGCATAAGAATGATACAATGGACTCTGGGGACTTGGGGGGAAGATGAGAGGGGGTGAGAGATAAAATACTACAAATATGGTGCAGTATATACTGCTCGGGTGATGGGTGCACCAAAATCTCACAAATCACCACTGAAGAACTTACTCTGTAACCAAACACCACCTGTACTCCAATAACTTATGGAAAAAAAGGAATTAAAAAAATTTCCTTTGGAATAAAAAAAAAGACCCAAAAATATATTAAATGTAAAAGCCAGAAGAAATGTATTTCTTGTTTAAAGAACAGTCTGAGTTTTGCTGATAAGAGATGGCACAAACATTGATTATGGTATGTAGCTAACCATGTTGTGTGACTTAGGCCTAGTTATTTAACTTCTCTGGGCTTCTGGGACTTTCTCTCTCTCTCTCTCTCTCTCTCTCTCTTTCTTTCAGACAGGGTCTCATTCTGTCGCCCAGGCTGCAGTGCAGTAGTATGATCACAGCTTTCCGCAACCCTGCCTCCCAGGGCTCACGGAATCCTCCCACCTCAGCCTCCCAAGTAGCTGGGACTACAGGCACGCACCACCACACCCGGCTAATTTTTTGTATTTTTGACAAAGACGAGGTTTCACCATGTTGCCCAGGCTGGTCTCCAACTCCTAGGCTCAAGCAATCCACCTGCCTTGGTCTCCCAAAGGGATTTTCTATTCTATAATACTTGGATAGTAGTAGTGTTCTTGCATGTAAAATACTTAGAAAAGTAGTAAGCACTCAATAAGAACCAGTTGCTATGCTTTTATTAGTTCAGATTGGCTATTTTTGAAGTTCTGCCCGATACTGATGACTCCATCCTTAAAGATTCATTAACGTCTATTATATAAATTGTCTATTATAGTAACAGAAATGTCTGTTATACAAGTTAGGTTTTCCAAGGAGACTGGTTCTTAAATGTCAGTGTGCATCAGAATCACCTGGAGGTTATAAAAACCCATATTGCTGGACCCCTCCTGGAAGGCTTCTAATTCAGTAAGTATAAGAAGGAGACTGAGAATTTGTAGTTCTAACAAGTTCCAGGGGATGCTGATGCTTATGGTCTGAGGACCACAATTTGAGAACCATCATCCTTGTTTAGGACAAGAGACTGAAAAAGCCTAACCCTACAAAGGCTGACCCTGCTTTGACCATATCTAATCAAGTCTATCCCTGTAATACTCCAATTTGTCTCAGCCCTGCTTCCTCTTTGCACACAGGCTTATAGAATCAGCATATACCTTCCCAACTCCTCCCTTTTTTTTTTTTTTTTTGCTTCCTTTGGCACCTTAAGGTTCTACCAGAGAAGTGAAATCTGCCACCTGGTAACTTAGTAATATATTAAACAATATTTATTTTCTGTGGTCTGCAAATCACAATATACGCATTTTCAAAAATCTGTGAGCAATTATCCATATTGTAAGGAGTTGTTTTAATATACTATCTCATATTGCTTTGTATATATTTGGCAACCTCCCCAACCCTCAGTTTGTAGGTGCTTATGGAATGCAAACTAACTTTGATACTTGCTATGAAAATCAGCTATAATAAGAATATCTCAGTGGACATCAAAGAAGGGATAGTGTACTTTCTACCCTCATTGCTTGAAAGACAAACTCCAAAGTATTTAAATCTCAGGTGGCAAAATAATGACCAATTTGAAATTAGCTGGCAGATATGGTGTTTCACCAGCATGTTACTTGAAAAGGTTTTGTATTTGAATGTTTAGCAGGGTATGACTGCTCCCAGTTAGACCATGTCCTTACCACTATCTATTATATTACAGCTTTCTCACTGTACTGTCCTGTCCCTTAAATATATTTGAACCTGTAACTTTTGCTTTGATGAGTTTTATAATCTGCATTTGTAATTCTTCACTCTCCTTGCCTCCCACTTCCCATAAGACTTCCTTTGTTCACCTACATTTGCTTACTTATTAACAGGCAAATATAAAATTTGCTTCAGCAATATCAAGCCTGCACTTCTAACACACCCTTAGCTGGCTCCAACCACCTCTATCTTCATCTATAAAATGGGAATAATAATAAAATCCCTTAGGTCTTTCAGACAAGATGATAGCCTAAACAGATATAGGTACTTCCCCATCTGGTTAAAAATACATAGTACTTTTTGATAAAACAACTTTTTAAAATCTGAAAGAAAAGTTGATATCCAAAAAAGGAAATATTCTATAGCAAACGTCATAAAAGAGAAAAATCATAAAAAATGATAAGGTGAAGTCCCCATCTCCCATAGAGGCACCAGGATCAGATACACACCTTAAAGGCTAGATTTTTAATGTTTGAGCAGACAGAAGTTAAAGTCAGAAGGCTAAGAACAAAAAAAAAAAAAAAAAAAAGATTTCCAAGTCTGTGACCAGGAACCAAAAAATCTGCATCCGCAAGACCAGAGTTTTGTTAAGCATGAGCCAGTCAATCATGGCTGTGAATAGAACCGGGGCCCAGATTCAGCGCCAAATACAGGGAAGGTAAGAAAAGTAAGATATTCGGCAGGCTGAGGCAGGACAATCACTTGAACCCAGGAGGCTGAAGTCGCAGTAAGCCGAGACTGTGCTGCTGCACTCAAGCCTGAGCAGCAGAGTGAGACTCTGTCTCAAGGAAAATAAATTTTTAAAAATATTAAACCATTTCTTTAAAAGGAAAGAAGAGAATTCATAAAATGAGGATAAAACGTTATGGGGAACTAACAGACTAATTTTTTAGAAAATTGTATAAATGATCAAATATAAACAAAATCTAGTCTTTACTTTTTTTTAAAACATTCTACAGATGCTTAGATGGAGAATTGATGCAGTTGAAAGAAAATGTAGCTGGGTGCAGTGGCTCATGCCTGTAATCGCAGCACTTTGGGAGGCCAAGGCGGGTGGATCACTTGAGGTCAGGAGTTCAAGACCAGCCTGACCAACAAGGTGAAACCCTGTCTCTACTAAAAATACAAAAAGTTGCCGGGTGTGGTGGTGCACACCTATAGTCGCAGGTACTCAGGAGGCTGAGGCAGGAGAATCGCTTGAACCCAGGAAGCGGAGGTTGCAGTGAGCTGAGATTGTACCACTGCACTCCAGCCTGGACAACAGAGAGAGACTCCATCTCAAAAAAAAGAAACTATGTAAAACCATCCAGAATATAACAGAAAGAAATGAGATGAAAAATATGCAAGGGAAGTTCAATTAACATGAATGATAATAAAAAACTAAGAAATGAAGTGGTAACTTTGGTTAAATCTGAAGAGGTAAGTCAGCCTTATACATTTGTGCCATATTTTTCAACTATATTATTAGTGAATATTTGATGAGCATTGTCTCATGCTGGGTAAAGAAGAAAAACAACAATAGTCTCTTGACTTCAAAAGCATTAAAATAACCAGCAGAACAATTGTGATAGTAGCAATGATTATATTAAAATTGTAACTTATAGGCTGAAGTTAAGGAAATTACTGAAGAAAGAATAGAGGTAGTAATTAACTTTGGATTTTAAAAAAGAAGTATTCCAAATTTTACATTGGTTTGGCTACATTTTCTTCACCCATCCATTGCATTTGTCTTCTGCCTCTAGCCTAGCAAGTTATGGTGCCTCACCCTTGTATTCATCCTATGCCACTTCTTTTTATTACTTAGAAGAGCTTCTTTCAGCCAAACCATAAGGTTCTACTTTTTTCCAAACCAATGTTTTTCAGCTCTGTCCATCTTCATCAGAACCACCCGAGATAATTATTAAAATGCCCTCCTCAAACATAACGAATCACGTTCTGCGGGTGAGCTCCAGAAATTTACATTATTGAAAACCCACCTACATGATCTATACACACATTAGATTTGATGAACCAAAGGTCCTCAAAACTTCCCTCTGAAAATAGGTCTTCCTAGCTCCACCCATTCTAAATTATTCTGGTGATCTGGAGATTATTAATTATTCACTGTCTGGAACAGCACTCATTTCCTCAGTATTGCCTAAAGATACCTAATAAAATGCTTTACAAACAAGAAAGGATCACTACCAATTTACCTTGCTTTCTGAGAATGTGGAACATTCACCCAATCCCCAAAGAATCTACAGTGGCTAACTTTGGATCTTCCTTCCCAGGTCCTATTGATTCTGTTAAAATTTTCCTTTCCTCTGTGAGTTTCAAGATAAGGAGCCTAGGAAGATACAGGATATGTATCTAGTAAGGAAAGTGTTGTTACTCTGTTTAATCTCTCTTTAAATACTTAGGCTTAGGAAATTAGTTATAACAAAGAAAAATAACACAATTGGTAACTGAATGATAATGGATTATTTTTAATATCAAATCTCTTAGAGCTGATTTGTACTTCAAGACCCTTATAGCCACTTGATTAGGTTCCTCCATTCGTCCACACTGGGACACATTTCATCATGCTCATGAACCAGAAAAAAATGTCTGTGGCCTTTACCAATCAGGGAGATGAAAGTACAGAACCACAGCAGAGGCAAAAGCCCTGCTGTGTATAATGAACCTGTGAAATTATAATTCTTCTCTCTAGATACTCTACCTGCCTCCCCGTCACAAAGGGCTGCTCATTCTCTTCTTCCTGACCTCCCTGCCCTTGCTGATCAGTATCTCTGCTCTTGCCCTTTCCAACCTTCCGTGGTCTCTACAGATTTTAGGAGACAAGGATATCTATAAAGCTGTAATAATTCCAGTTACAAGTACACTCCAAGGGAAAACGAAGAAACAAAATTAAGCACGGCATTTTTTACTGGACTCGGCCCTGACAGTCTCCTTTTTTCCCACACTGTCTACGTGTTGTTCTATAGTGAATAAACCAGAGTTCAATTTAACAAAATTATGCTCAAGACCCTGAGACTATGCTATAAACAAGGGAATGGGGAAGAGCAGCAGGTTGTGAGAGAAATTTGAAATCAGCTAAAGTTCAGCAACTTTCTGTACTTTCTAATTTTCATTTCTTTCATCTGTAAAATAGGGACATATCCAGTGTAATACAAATGTGAGGGTTACGTGTTGATTGTAAAGCATTATAATGCATTATGCATGATAGAGCAGCCTATTGCCTACAAGAAACTTCTTTAATATTTTCCATTAAATAAAGAAGTAGCATGAGAATATAGAACATTAAATAAACTTAGAAACTTAGAAACTATTAAATAAGCTTATTTAATAGTTTCAATTAAATTGTGAGGTAGCATGAGAATATAGAACATGTCTTAGTCTGCCTGGGTTGCCAATATAGTTCAGATATTTGTCTGTGCCTAATTCTCATGTTGAAATGTAATCCCCAATGTCAGAGTTAGGGCCTGGTGGAAGGTGATTAGGTCATGGAGACAGATGACCAATGGCTTGCTGCTGTCCTCATGGTAGTGAGTTCTCATGAGATTTGGTTGTTTAAAGTGTGTGGCACCTCCCCAACTCACTCTTTCTCCTACTCCTGCTATGTCAGATGCCTGCTTCTGCTTTGCCTGCCACCATGAGTAAAAGCTTCCTAATGCATCCTGGAAGCTTAGCAGCTGCCAGCACTATACTTCTTGTACAGCCTGAAGAACTGTGAGCCAATTAAACCTCTTTTCTTTTAAATTACCCAGTCTCAGATTTTTTTTTTTTTATAGCAATGCAAGAGTGGCCTAACACAGTTGCCGTAACAAACTACCATAGACTGGACTGTTAAACAACAGAAACTTATTTTCTCACAGTTCTGGAGACTGGAAGTCTGAGACCAGGGTGCCAGCATGGTCAGATTTTAGTGATGTTCCTCTCCCTAGCTTGCAGATGGCTGCCTTCTCATCATGTTCTCACATGGTGGAAAGAGAGAGTGAGAGCAAGCTTTCTGGTGTCTCTTCTTATATGGTCCCATTTTATCGTGAGGGCCATCCCCTCATGACTTTATCTAAATCTAGTTATATCCCAAAGGCCCCATCTCTAAATACCATCACATTGGAGATTAGGACTTCAACATATGCATTTGGGATGGACACAAGCATGCACTCCAAAGCAGACACCACCATGGCCCATCTCCCATTTGACTTCTAACTCTTGATATTGATGTTAGATACTTATACACTGAAACTAGAAATAAAGCTTCTCAAGCTGGCATATTGGAGAAACCTGAAAACCTTCCTGAAATCATATTCCTCTTTGTAGTATAGTATAACTCTCCTAGACTTAAGAGTATGCACCGTTAATATCTTTACTAAACAGGGGCTGATGAGCTATGCCTTCACTATGGGTCCAGGGTCAACCATAAGAGGTGGTTATGTGTTGTACTATTGCTGAATGACTTCAGTTAACATTGGGAACAAATCCTGTAAAAATAAAATCAGTTCTTCTGTCCTCAAGACCCCCCTGATCCCTTATTTCCACGCCCCAACCTCTTATCTCGGCGCCCTGATCCCTTATTTCTGCACCCAAACTCTTATCTCTGCACCCCAATCCCTTACTTCCACACCCCGACCTCTTATCTCTGTGCCCTGATCCCTTATTTCTGTGTCCTGACCTCTTATCTCTGTGCCCCAACCCCTTATTTCCATGCACCAACCCCTTTCCCACTTTTCTGGAGGGTAAGAACCTCCCGAACCCCTTCTCTCCTCTCTTTTCTCTGGGCTTGGCTCCTTCACTATGGGCAACCTTCCACCCTCCATTCCTCCTTCTCCCTTAGCCTGTGTTCTCAAGAACTTAAAACCTCTTCAACTCTCACCTGACCTAAAACCTAAACACCTTATTTTTTCTTCTACAATGCCACTTGACTCTAGTACAAACTCAACAGTGGTTCCAAATAGCCAGAAAATGGCACTTTTGAATTTTCCGTCCTAGAAGATTTAAATAATTCTTGTCATAAACAGGCAAATGGTCTGAGGTGCCTGATGTCCAGGCATTCTTTTACACATCGGTCCCTCTCTAGTCTCTGTTCCCAATGTGACTCATCCCAAATCTTCCTTCCCTCCCACCTGTCCCCTCAGTCCCAACCCCAAGTGTCGCTGAGTCTATCTAATCTTCCTTTTCTACAGACCCATCTGACCTCTCCCCTCCTAGCCAGGCCGAGCTAAGTCCCAATTCTTCCTCAGCCTCCACTCCTCCACCCTATAATCCTTTTATCACCTCCCCTCCTCACACCGGGTCCGGCTTACAGTTTCTTTCCGTGACTAGCCCTCCCCCACCTGCCCAGCAATTTCCTTTTTAAAAAGTGGCTGCAGCCAAAGGCATAGTCAAGGTTAATGCTCCTTTTTCTTTATCCGACCTCTCCCAAATCAGTTAGCGTTTAGGCTCTTTCATCAAATATAAAAACCCAGCCCAGTTCACGGCTCATTTGGCAGCAGCCCTGAGACGCTTTACAGCCCTAGACCCTGAAAGGTCAAAAGGCCGTCTTATTCTCAATATACATTTTATTACCCAATCTGCTCCCAACATTAAATAAAACTCCAAAAATTAAATTCCGGCCCTCAAACCCCACAACAGGACTTAATTAACCTCACCTTCAAGGTGTACAATAATAGAGTAGAGGCAGCCAAGTAGCAACATATTTCTGAGTTGCAATTCCTTGCCTCCACCGTGAGACAAACCCCAGCCACATCTCCAGCACACAACTTCCAAACGCCTAAACCGCAGCGGCCAGGCGTTCCTCCAGAAACGCCTTCCCCAGGAGCTTGCTACAAGTGCCAGAAGTCTGGCCACCAGGCCAAGGAATGCCCGCAGCCCGGGATTCCTCCTAAGCCATGTCCCATCTGTGCGGGACCCCACTGGAAATCGGACTGTTCAACTCACCTGGCAGCCACTCCCAGAGCCCCTGGAACTCTGGCCCAAGGCTCTCAGACTGAGTCCTTCCCAGATCTTCTCGGCTTAGAGACTGAAGACTGACGCTGCCCAATCTCCTCGGAAGCCCCGTAGACCATCACAGACGCCGAGCTTTAGGTAACTCTCACAGTGGAGGGTAAGTCCATCCCCTTCTTAATCAATATGGAGGCTAACCACTCCACATTAACTTCTTTTCAAGGGCCTGTTTCCCTTGCCGCCATAACTGTTGTGGGTATCAATGGCCAGGCTTCTAAACCTCTTAAAACTCCCCAACTCTGGTGCCAACTTAGCCAATACTCTTTTAAGCACTCCTTTTTAGTTATCCTCACCTGCCCAGTTCCCTTATTAGGCCGAGACACTTTAACTAAATTATCCCTGACTATTCCTCGGCTACAGCCACACCTCATTGCCACCTTTTCCCCCAGTTCAAAGCCTCCTTCACATCCTCCCCTTGTATCTCCCCACTTTAAGCCACAAGTATAAGACACCTCTACTCCCTCCTTAGCGACTGATCATGCACCCCTTACCATCCCATTAAAACCTAATCACTCTTACCCTGCTCAATGCCAATATCCCATCTCACAGCACGCTTTAAAAGGATTAAAACCTGTTATCACTGGCCTGTTACAGCATGGCCTTTTAAAGCCTATAAACTCTCCTTACAATTCCCCCATTTTACCTGTCCTAAAACCAGACAAGGCTTACAGGTTAGTTCAGGATCTGCACCTTATCAGCCAAATTGTTTTGCCTATCCACCCCATGGTGCCAAACCCATATACTCTCCTATCCTCACTATCTCCCTCTACAACCCATTATTCTGTTCTGGATCTCAAACATGCTTTTTTCTTTACTATTCCTTTGCACCCTTCATCCCAGCCTTTCTTCACTTTCACTTGGACTGACCCAGACACCCACCAGGCTCAGCAAATTACCTGGGCTGTACTGCCGCAAGGCTTCACAGACAGCCCCCATTACTTCAGTCAAGTCCAAATGTCTTCCTCATCTGTTACCTATCTCGGCGTAATTCTCATAAAAACACACGTGCTCTCCCTGCTGATCGTGTCAGACTGATCTCTCAAACCCCAGCACCTTCTACAAAACAAGAACTCCTTTCTTTCCTAGGCATGGTTAGTGCAGTCAGAATTCTTACACAACAGCCGGGACCGCACCTTGTAGCCTTTTTATCCAAAAAACTTGACCTTACTGTTTTGCCTAGCCCTCAAATCTGCATGCATGTGGCAGCTGCCGCTGCCCTAATACTTTTAGAGGCCCTTAAAATCACAAACTATGCTCAACTCACTCTCTACAGTTCTCATAACTTCCAAAATCTATTTTCTTCCTCACACCTGACGCATATACTTTCTGCTCCCCGGCTCCTTCAGCTGTACTCACTCTTTGTTAAGTCCCACAATTACCATTGTTCCTGGCCCGGACTTCAATGCGGCCTCCCACATTATTCCTGATACCACACCTGACCCCCATGACTGTATCTCTCTGATCCACCTGACGTTCACCCCATTTCCCCATATTTCCTTCTTTCCTGTTCCTCACCCTGATCACACTTGGTTTATTGATGGCAGCTCCACCAGGCCTAGTCGCCACACACCAGCAAAGGCAGGCTATGCTGTAGTACAAGCCCCTAGCCCGCCTCTTAGAACCTTTCATTTCCTTTCCATCGTGGAAATCTATCCTCAAGGAAATAACTTCTCAGTGTTCCATCTGCTATTCTACTACTCCTCAGGGATTATTCAGGCCCCCTCCCTTCCCTACACATCAAGCTCGGGGATTTGCCCCCGCCCAGGACTGGTAAATTGACTTTACTCACATGCCTGGAGTCAGGTAACTAAAATACCTCTTAAGTCTAGGTAGACACTTTCACTGGATAAGTAGAGGCCTTTCCTACAGGGTCTGAGAAGGCCACCGCAGTCATTTCTTCCCTTCCATCAGACATAATTCCTCGGTTTGGCCTTCCCACCTCTATACGGTCCGATAGCAGACCAGCCTTTCTTAGTCAAATCAGCCAAGCATTTTTTCAGGCTCTTGGTATTCAGTGAAACCTTTATATCGCTTACAGTCCTCAGTCTTCAGGAAAGGTAGAACAGACTAATGGTCTTTTAAAAACACACCTCACCAAGCTCAGCCACCAACTTAAAAAGGACTGGACAATACTTTCACCACTTTCCCTTCTCAGAATTCAGGCTTGTCCTCGGAATGCTACAGGGTACAGCCCATTTGAGCTCCTGTATGGATGCTCCTTTTTATTAAGCCCCAGTCTCATTCAAGACCAACTTGGACTGTGCCCCAAAAAACTTGTCATCCCTACTATCTTCTGTCTAGTCATACTCCTATTCACTGTTTTCAACTACTCATACATGCCCTGCTCTTGTTTACACTGCCGGTTTACACTGTTTCACCAAGCCATCACAGCTGATATCTCCCTGTGCTATCCCCAAACTGCCACTCTTAACTCTTGAAGTAAATAAATAATCTTTGCTGACAGGACTATGCTGAATCTCCTTAGGCACTCTCTAATTAGATGTCCTAGGTCCTCCCAATTCTTAGACCTTTAATACCTGTTTTTCTCCTTCTCTTATTCCGTTTTTCAATTCATACAAAACTGTATCCAGGCCATCCACCAATAATTCTAAATGATAAATGTTTCTTCTAACAACCCCACAATATCACCCCTTACCACAAAATCTTCCTTCAGCTTAATCTCTCCCACTCTAGGTTCCCACGGCCCCCCAATCCTGCTCGAAGCAGCCCTGAGAAACATCGCCCATTATCTCTCCATACCACCCCCCAAAATTTTCGCCGTCCCAACACTTTACCACTATTTCGTTTTATTTTTCTTATTAATATAAGAAGACAGGAATGTCAGGCCTCTGAGCCCAAGCTAAGCCATCATATCCCCTGTGACCTGCAGGTACACATCCAGATGGCCAGTTCCTGCCTTAACTGATGACATTCCACCACATAAGAAGTGAAAATGGCCTGTTCCTGCCTTAACTGATGACATTATCTTGTGAAATTCCTTCTGGCCCATCCTGGCTCAAAAGCTCCCCTACTGAGCACCTTGTGACCCCCACTCCTGCCCGCCAGAGAACAAATCCCCTTTGACTGTAATTTTCCTTTACCCAAATCCTATAAATTGGCCCCATCCCTATCTCCCTTCCCTGACTCTCTTTTCGGACTCAGCCCACCTGCACCCAGGTGAAATAAACAGCCTTGTTGCTCACACAAAGCCTGTTTGGTGGTCTCTTCACATGGACGTGCATGAAACTGCTGGCACCTTATTTTGAACTTTCTAGTCTCCAGACTGTGAGAAATAAATGTGTGTTATTTAGGCCCCCCAGTCTATGGTATTTTGTTTTAGCAACCTGAGGTATCACTGATAATTTTATAGAAAATACATTTACGAAAAACTATTTTTATCTAAAAAGCAGAGTAGAGAGGGAGTGATAACAGATAACTAAGAAGATTGCGTAAATGGTGGAGTTGATAATCCTATAATAAACCATTGGATTGATAAACTGCTGCTATGATCAAGAAGCATGATTCTGCACTCTGAACATGAAGACACTGAGAATATGTGAGAGGCTGAGAAAGAACAGATGCCACAGAGACAATGGGAAGACAAAGAAATTTTGGATACACAACAGTTTCCCTAGTGAAGTCATTTCTCATAGTGTTTTGCACAACTTTGCTTCTCCGCTCTAGGACAGAATCAACCCAAGTGTTTTATAGCCCAGCTGGCTGGGTGAGGGCAGGCAGACTCAGACAGCCAAGGACTTCTCAACATTTGATTTGTGGCTGTAAGTCTAGCTCGGTCCTGAGATTAAGTGTGAGGATCCAAAAAGATGCAATCTCAAGAAAAAAAAGAGACAGATTTAAAGGTTTTTTCATCACTTGCTATTCTGATTTAAAATTTCATACTTTATCCAAAAGTAATTTTGTTTCCAGAAGTTTGAAGCAAATTTGAATGAAAATTACTCTTTTTAAATGTTCCTCGGTTCCATTCACTCTCTTTAGTTATGTAGCTGAATATTTGTTTTGTAATCATTTATCACTTTAATAGGAAAGGCCTGAAGGGGAAAAAAGGAGTGCTTGTTAGGATATATTTTATTTATTGTAAGAGGTTCTAGCCCCTCGGTCCCAGAAATTGTCTCTTTAGCTCATTCTCCTAAGTCATACTTAATTTACTTCAGAAGCAATGCATATTTTGTGTCACATAGTCTATTTAGCAGAGTTGGGTTTTTTATTACCGAAACTATTTATTCTGTGATATATACTCGTGCACAAAATTTGAAGGACTCCTCTTATTGTATAGTGTTCTCTATTCCATCTGTCATTCATAATAAATTTCTTAAAAATCAAATACAATTTAGATGTTTATTTTTTAAAGAATTATTATTTTATATCCAAATAAAGATAAATATAAATGTAATAATACAATTTGCCACATTATTTGTTTAAAAAGTTACTAGTTTTCCAAGCATGTGATTTCACTGAGTTTTTGTTATGCACCTTTTAACAGGTATTGCACAGGTCAAGAAATGAGGCTGTAGATTGTATAACACCAAAAATTACATTGGCATTTAGGCTACAACATATATTTCTCTATCTTCTCCCTACCTTTTAGAATCTTCGATTCTTGGGTTTCTACAATGGGCTAGGCTGTGAGAGTCTTTTCCAGTGGGTTACAAACACCGGTCCGTGAAGAAGTATGTGAGGATTGATGTAATTAGTGGAATCTTAGAAGTTGTGATCTTAGAGACAGACCAAGTCATGGGAAATACGCAGAATCCAATCTCTTTCTTTTCTTAAATTTATTTTTAATTGCATATAAAAATTCTATGTATTTATCTCGTACGAGTTATTTTGAAATATGCAACATTATGAAAACACTAAATCAAGCTAATTAATATATGCATTATTTCACAGATCGATACTTTCTTCTGTGGTGAGAACATTAAAATCTACTCTCAGCAACTGTCAAGAACAAAATACATTGTTTTAACTATAGTCATCATGTTATACAATAAATCTCTTGAACTCATTCTTCCTGTCTATCTAACTGAAACCTTATATCCTTTGTGCAACAGCTCCCAACTTCTCCCTGCCAACCACCTCAGCCCTTAGAGGTGATCCATTCTACTTTCTACTACAAGTTCAACATTTTTATTATAGATTTCACACTTGAGTGAGATGACGCAGTGTTTATCTTTCTGTGCTTGGCTTATGTCACTTAAGATAATGTCTTCTAGGTTCATCCATGTTGTTGCAAATAACAGAATCTTCTTTTTTAAGGCTAAACAGTATTTCATTGTATGTGTGTGTTTGTATATATACAGTATTTTGTTGTATAAAATACTATATACTATATAAATACAAAATACTATATATACGTATTGATACATATTTATATGTATATACATTTATACATATATATTTATACATATATAGTATATATGTATATATAGCATAAATATAATATATACATATATAGTATAAATATACAATATATTTATACATATAAATATGTGTGTAAATGTACATATATATATTTATTTGTATTCACATATAAACATATTTATATATGTATATATTTATACATACATGTATAACTATACATATAAATATATATGTATAACTAACTATACATATATAGTATTTTTATTGTATTTACATATTGTATATAGTATATATTTATATATGTATAAATACAGTATGAAATACTATACACACACACATACACACACACCACATTTCCTTCATTGATTCAGCCATTGATGGACACTCAGGTTGATTCCAGACCTTGGCTACTGTGAATAATGGTAATTGTAGGTCTTTTTAATATCCATAAAACAGTGATGGCTAGTCAGAGAGGAAGAACATAAAAATAATCCCTTATTCAATTAATCAGTGAAAGATTGTTAAAGGAAGTTATCTACAAGCTCTTTGACATTTTGCAGACTCAAATCAGAAAAAAAAAATTTTGGTAATCTATAACTTAAAACAGAAAAAAAACTGAATTTGAAGAGTTTATGTAACTGAGTACCCCCATTTTTCTAAAAAAGAATGAGTTACCATTTTTTATTTTCTCTACTTTTCCCTTTTCTCTGTTTCCTCCTGTTCCCCACTTCCTACTTAGCCGTTTAGAAATTATAACCTTTTACCTCCCCTTCACCAGACACCTCCTATAGGGTAAGTCCATGTAACTAATGTGCTTTGAAGCTCCAGAGCAGAACTCTCTCCCACCAAGGGACTGCCTCAAGAGATAACAGTTTGTTTGCAACCCAAAGCATGCCTGCTATGAAACTCTCACCCATCAGGAGGTTGCCCCAAGAAACAATAGCCAATCTACAACCCGAAGTATGCCCTGTCTGAAACTCTCTCCCACCTGGAGAGTTTTCAGCTGTTTTTACGACCTAGTCCTGCCCATGAAGGCACCAGCAGTCACCAGCTTGACTGTCTGGTAGATAAGGCAGCAAAGCTAGCACAGGGACCCTCCACCTGCTCACTTCCTTCCCTGTGTGCCATTCATGACATGCCCCCTTCAAAAGCACCTGCTTTCTGCTCCAAAGGGAAGGTGGTACCATTTAGGCAGAAAGCCTGTACTTCTTCCCCTGAGCTAGCTTTGGAATAAAAAGTCACTTTCTCTACACCAGACTTCACTCTTGTTAATTGGACTCTGCAAGTGGCCAGCACTTGAATCTGTGTTTCAGTTACAATTAGACTAAGAATTGCTGTTATAAAAGCAGCTAGAAGCCAGAATATATGTTTTCTCAGTGGTAGAAGGTGAAAAACCTTAGGTCAATAAGCTATCCCAGTTCTTGTGGGATGATAACCACAACTTACCTGGAATAGTAAAGCTATATTCACAGTGGAATAGTGTTTTTCAATGCTGGCAATACTTAGAATTAGAAATATAGGTGATTAAATTTACTTTGTACTTTGGAAGGCTTTGTAAAGTCAGGGGATGACAGAATTTACACATACTTTAAAAGGTTTAAAAAATTTTAATAGAGAGTTATAAATGAAACTGATTATTTAAATACGTTTATTCATTTCAATTTGAGTTTATTGAATGTTATTAACCCCCCCATAGTGATCCTTAAAGTTTACTAGATTTATAAATGGTATAATAAAATTGATATGCCAAATTTAAAGGCTTAAAAGAAATGAAGATTTAAACTATTACATTAATAAACTGAATTCTAATGTAAAGTCTCAAGGAGCAATTTTTTTTTTCTGCTTACAGAAGCCTCTCCCCCAACCCATGGGTGAAAAATAAGAAAAAAACACGAATGTATGGCATTCTCATCAGCAAAATACCTGCCTGTTCCATACTGAGTAAATAACCAGTTAGCCCTGGCTGAATGTCCGTTGTCTACAGGGCCACCTGGAGCCAGCAGTAGCCAGTCGCCTTGCCAACTTTTGTTCTCTCTCAGCAGGAAGAAAAGAGACAAAGCAGCTACTCCTTGACTTTTCTTGGTTCAAAAAGAATACTTGAATTATAACAGAAATGGGAGAGTGAGAGTGAATTTCAATATTTTCACTGTGAAAGACAAAATACACACACAATTAAAGAGATTATTTTGTTCAGCTCTTGCATTAGGGGGAGAATGTTCATTAATGAGGAACGTGTCAAAGATGGGAGAGAGAGAACCTAGAGTTTTATAAAACAAGAGAGCGGTTGAAGAAGGGTAGAAATAGGTCACACCTGGGAATATACTAGATCATCGCAGGGGTCTTAGTTATCAACCTAGCCGTTTCTCAGAACGGAAAAGCAGGGCGTGAATTTCTCGACCATCCTTGCTTTCTAGGAGCACAGGACTCAGATAAAGTTTAACATTTCTATTGAAGGACATCAATATATTTAACTCCAAAGTATATTTTTTGACATATTTTAAGATGGCTGCCGCAGGGCCAGCAGACCAAAATGGTCCTGCAAAACTGTCTTTTGTGGGGGAAATTTGTATATGTAGAGAATCTTCATTAATGTAGTCAGGCATTCCCTTTCTAGGTCTTTCTCACATCTAGGAGAAAGTAACTGAAAGTGACACCTTTCAAAGTCTGAAAAGACACATTTACCATCTATTCTCTCTGGGGGCTACTACCAGTGAGGCTTTGTCTACATAACAAGGCCACTTGTGCTAGCCAAGCCTCTCCCATAACCTGTCATGTCACTAAGACCTGTTCTTGGCCATGCTCTGAGCCCACATTCTTTCTGTACCCAATTGGAGGCTTGAGTCTTCATTCTGAAGGATCCCAGAATGAAATAAATGTGTATGCCTTTTCTCCTATGTATTTGCCTTTTGTGAGTTGATTTTTTTTTCAGCAAACCTTCAGAGGGCCCTTGGCCTCTACATTATCATAAATAGACCCACCTGCAATTAGATTTTCAAAAATGTGTGTGACTTTAAAAATTAGTGTCCTGGAGAAAACTGAACATCTGGTTTTCACTTTATTTTCTTTCTTCTTCTGTGAATCCCAAAAATCTAAGACAGGTCTCAGTTAATTTAGAAAGTTTATTTTGCCAAGACTGAGGACTCGTACCCATGACACGGCCTCAGGAGGTTCTGATGACATGTGCCCAAGGTAGTGAGAACACAGTTTTGTTTTATACATTTTAGGGAGACATGAGACATTGATCAACATATGTAAGATAAACATTGGTTCAGTCTGGAAAGGCAGGACAACTCAAAGCAAAGGCAGGAAGACTTGAAGCAGGGAGGGGGCTTGCAGGTCATAGGTAGGTAAGAGACAAATGGTTGCATTCTTTTGAGTTTCTGATTAGCCTCTCCAAAGGAGGCAACCAGATATGCATTTATCTCAGTGAACAGAGGGGTGACTCAATAGAAGGGCAGGCAGGTTGGCCCTAAGCAGTTCCCCACTTGTCTTTTCCCTTTAGCTTTGTGATTTGCGGGCTCCAAGATTTATTTTCCTTTCACACTCCTTTCCTTTATTTCTTTTTTTCCTTCCTTCCTCTCTTCTTTCCTTTATTCCTTCTTTTTATTTTTGTTACTATTAAATATATCAACTTAAAATACTTGTAGCACAAAAACACATACAAAAAAAATTTCATGTAAGTGTTCTGTATTGGGAATTAACAATATATGTTATTTCACGAAAAACACTGTCCTTTACTCTGAGATCATGTCCTCTCTTTTTTCTTAAGATTTTCTTTCATTTATAAAATGATGGTGATACATGATCCATTTTTGTGTGTCATTTCTTTTTAAAGTAAAAAGGTTAATAACGATATGTTTATCCTCCTAACTTTCGGTTAATCAATTTAGTCATTTGAATCAAACCGTATGGGAGATATTTTTCTGTAAAGTAATGCAGTAGAAGGTGCAACCTGAACATTTCTCAAGTATCCTTCCTGTAGTGCTCTTTCATCACGTAAATATCCCAGGAGAATTAACAGGCTATCATTAACAGCTCAGTATAGAAAAGTTTTCCCATCAACTTCCAACTGGGACGACCTGGGGCAGTTAGAGATTACAGAATGTTTTAGAGAGCGAAAGGAGAGAAAGAGAAGGACCACCTCAGGAGGAGATGGAAGGGCACTCATAAGACACTTGACTTGCATTACAGTTTTGCCAAAGGCCACATTTAGACTCTGCTTAGCTACAATTTAACATTTTTAATCTTTTGTTCCTATATGCACATAAAACAAACGATATAATTATTCAAGCTCATTATCATCTACTCTTACGAGTACAGGCATGAAAGTTGAAGAATCCAACATAAGAAAATCAGTTAGGTCAAAAAAGTCAGAGCAGAGGTTCAGTCAAGAGTGTGGATTAAATCAGAAGTGGCCGGAATCTGGCAGGAGGAAGATTTACTTGGAGCAGTCTTCCTCTTCCTCATCCAAGCAAGGTAAGTGCATACCATTAGCTATGGCTAGATACAAGTAGCTGATTTCGAGTATATTCATGGTGAGCAAAAGGCAGGCACTTACATTAGCACTAAAAGAAATACAGATCAGAAGTCAGAGTCAGGTAAATGAAACACAAAAGAAGTGCATGGGATACAAAGTTGGAATGCCACCTCCTATGTGAAATGCACAGAATAAAAGAGACTTTATGAAGATCTAAAGAAGAAAACCAAGAAATGCACTCATGCCTAATAAAACGAATAGGAAATCTAGTTAACTGTAGCACATGGCCTGATTATTAAAACCATCTTAACAGTCAGAATAAGACAGGTCTCCAAGAATCCATATTTTTCCCATTGGGAGCTAAGTTATTTCTGCAAACCTAGAGTGGGGCAAGTGCTTCAAGTAAAGGTGGCTCAAGTCAAAGGGAAGAGAGGAAATTGTCACAGAAATAATCAAGTGGTTTCAAAATCAGAACCATGTGGCAGTACATTTGGGCACCTGGAACTGGGATCTAGAGAAGACAACTAGGAAAGCTTTGAAGGTCATTAATCAAAGATAAAATGTTACTCTGCATTACTCAAGTCACAAATTACATAGTTCCAATCCAAGAAAGGAATTAAACCCAAAATGTAGAAAAATCTGAGACTGGGGTAGGAAACAAGATGAAGCTTCTAAATGAAATGGAGAGCTATGATACAGTGCGAGGATTCCCTAATTACTCCCAGGTCCTAAGCTACATTAGGAGAAAGAAAATGTAACTAAAAGTAAGCAATACAATATTTTAGAGATATCCTGTTTCCTAATCGTATTAACCAAATGGTCAAGCTAAGCCTAAGAGTATCTATACTTTTTCCATCGGGAGCCAAACTGTTTTTTGAAAAAACTATTCTATAACAAGATGTAAGTGAGAAATAATACGGTTGGCTACAGTTATGTATATAGCTTTTTTCCCACATGTATTTTATATTTCCCATGATATTTTAAAGAAGTTATTCAAGTATTAAAATTTTCCTCTTAACACCTGAAAGATAATACACCCTTAAGCTGATTGAACTGAGCAGGCCCCAGAAGCTCTAAATGTGTCTATCAACCCCTTTAAGCAAATAATATCTGCTCTGAAGCCATATTTTAAACACACAAGTTTGGCTTTTTAGTGTATTGCCACATTATATGCTACACACAGCAAAGCATTAAAAAATTGCATTAAGAATTGCCTTTCCCTCCCCACCAGAAGAATGGAGGAGAAATAACATTTATTGAATATCTAACACATAATAGGGTGTTACGGCACTTCTACTTGTAATGTCTACATTTGTTTGTCATATCTCATTTATATCTCATTTAATTCTAGATGAATTTCTCATATATTTTCCATTAGGTACTTCTACATGTATTACCGCATTTATTTCTCATAAGAGCCTGTAGGTCAAATGTTTTTATTCCAATTTATAGATGAGTAAATTGAGGGTCAGGTATATTAGATAACAAGTCATAAATCACACTTAATGAGGACCAGGGAGGAAACACTTTAGCCTAGACTTGCTGAACCTAAAAAAAATCTGTTTTTCTAACATTTCACTGTTTTTTAGGAATCAACTCTCCAAAGCAGGCATTTGCACACAATGGCCCGTATGAATATGAGGTAGTTTTTGGTATCACCGTAATAGTTGATATCAGTAAAGCCGTCAGAAAATTATATAATAGAAATGACCTTAATTTTTGGTGCCTTCTCAATTCCATTTCTTCCTTCTGTGATATTGTGACATAATAATAAATACATATTTGGCATTTATCCCCAGTTCCTGGCACAGGATTATGTCTCCACTCTTAAAACCCTTGTAACTTCCGGAATGATAAGGATGACAGGAGCATTATAAGCCCCTTTCAACCATACCCGAGTTTATGCTAATGAGGTGACTACAGGCGATGGAAGCAGCTTGTCAGAGGAACCAACCATGTGATTTCAGGGTCAAAATTTTCAGCCCCACCTTCCCTCCTGGGGAGGAAGAGAGGAACTGGAGATTAAGTCTAATCATCAGCGCCCAGCGATTTAATCAAGCATGGCTATGTAACAAAGGCTTCATAAAAACTGTTTTTAAAAAAGGGGTACAGAGAGCTTCTGGGTTGATAAACACATGGAGGTGCTGGGAAGATGATGATGTGCCTGGAGGGCATGGACACTCCCTGCCCCTGCCCCTGCCCCTTACCTTGCCCTATGTACCTCTTCATATGGTTGTTTCTCCTTATCTCTTGTAATATCCTCTATACCAAACCAGTGAATAGAAGTAAGTGATTCCCTGAGTTTTTTGAGCCACTATAGCAAATTATCAAATCCAAGGAGGCAGTCTTGGGACCCCCGATTAAACCTGGTAGATCCGAAGTTCCAGAGGCCAGACTGGAATCTAAACGGGGCAGTTTTGTGGGACTGAGCCTTAACCTGTGGAGTGTGCAGGTTAGGGCAGTTCTGGCAGTTAGGGCCAGAATTAAGTTGAATGGTAGCACATTCACTCACTATTGACCCAGAGTTGAATTGTTTGGCGGGGGTTGGGGGGGTGGGGGAGGTGGGGGAGGGATGGGGTAGTGGTGGGGGGTGGTGGGGGGGTGGTGGGGGGGGTGGCTGGGGGGAGGGGGCAGGGAACCAACATATTTGGTGTCAGAAGTGTTGTCTGTGTCAGTTGTTTTTCTTTTACTTTCCTTCCCCAGTTCACAAATTTCCCCCTCCATGATGCATTTCCTGAATTTCCCTGCCTGTCTCCCCGACACTGCTCTCCACTATACTCACATCTGTGTATATATGATATATGTCTATAAGTCACATCCAGTATATGAGTTGGAATGAGGTTTGGCTGCATACAACAAGAAATCCCGGCCAGGTGCAGTGGCTCACGCCTATAATCCCAGCGCTTTGGGAGGCCGAGGCAGGCAGATCACTTAAGGTCAGGAATTCAATGTCACTAGCCTGGCCAACACGGCAAAACCCTATCTCTACTAACACTACAAAAATTAGCCAGGTGCGGTGGCGGGCACCTGTAATCCCAGCTACTTGGGAGGCTGAGGCAGGAGAATTGCTTGAGCCCCAGAGGTGGAGGTTGCAGTGAGCTGAGATCTCGCCACTGCACTCTAGCCTGGGTGACAGAGCAAGACTGTCTCAAAAAAAAAAAAAAAAAAAAACAGTGCTATGCTTACATAAGACAGAGGTTTATTTAAATATCATATTAAAGAAGGCCAGAGGTAGGGCTTCCAGGACTAGTATAGCAGCTTTACAACATGACCCATCTACCCAGGCTTATTCCACAGTTCTCTTACCATCCCTAGGATGTGGATCCCATCCTCACATATGCCACATGCTTTAACGTGCTAGCTGGAGCACAGATTAACATGGTCAGATTTCCAGTTAAATGTAAGCCTCATATAAAGAAGTATTCCCAGAAATTCCTCCTGAAAACTTTTTCTTATACCTCTGTATTAGGTCCCTAAGTCTTCTGTAATAACATGTAAAAACCAGGTTTTTTAAAATAACAGAAGTCTATTTTCCCACAGTGATGGAGGCTAGAAGTTCAAAATCAAGGTGTCAGCAGAGCTATGCTCTCTCTGAGATCCTGGGTGGAATCCCTCCTTTCCTCCTTTGAGGGCCACCGTCAGCAGCTCAATGCTCGACGTTCCTTCCTTGCAGCTGCGTCACGAAGATCTCTGCCTCTGTCATTACATGGTGTTCTTCCTTTGTTTGTGTCCTCACATGGCACTTTCTGTGTCTCATCTCCTCTTCTTATAAAAACACCAGCCATTGGATTGAGCTCCCACACTCCAAAAGGACCTTATTTTATTACAACTGCAAAGACCTTATTTCCAAACAAGGTCACATTCCAAAGTACTAGAGTTAAGGAATTCAGCATATCCTTTTGAGGAACACAAGTCAACTCATAAGAACCTCATTAGGCAGGATTAGTTGCACGGCTGCAACAATCTGCAATCAAGAGGGGAAATGTCATCTTTAGCTAGATACATTGCCATCCCAAATTAACCCGGTGCTATTACTAAGGGAGAAGAGAATAGATATTGATTCCCTGTCTTAACAAATAGCATTTGTCATTGAGTAAGCACATAGAAACACCCAGCACAGTGCATAGCATATAATAGACCCTCACTAAATACCTTTTTAATGGACAAGTGAATGAGTGTTCTAGAGTTACGTTGATAAGAACAGAGCACAAGGTAATGGGATAAATTTATAAAGTACAATACCCTGTAAAGTCCCATCTCAAAATTGAAAATGCAGACTTTATCTAGAGAAGATATTCTTTATAAACCTTAGAAGCACTGTAACAACCTGGAATGAAGAGCCTGTCAAATTCTGACCCCATTTGCCCAGAAACTGAAAATATTATAAGCCATGATCAAGGAGTCAGAGGGCTTTCTGTCCATACACTACCAATAGGCATTAAACCTGAGCAGTGGTTGGGCTTGTCCAGATGAACACACAAGGACCAAAAGCAAAGGTTTCAAGCAGGAGACCCAGGAGACAAATGCAACTTGAGGAGGTCCTTGGTGTGCTCCAATTTTTTTTTGTATTTTTAATTTATTGCCTACTTTTAAACATGATGAGATTTCATATAGAAATACAAATTTCCAATTTAAACCCTGAGGATCTGGTAATATTTAACTTATATAAACACATAGCAATTATGGGTTTGAGTCTGAGCAGGGGATGTCCACTTCAGATGGGGCAAGCATTTCCTATTTTTCCAATGGCCCCTTTTCACAAATTTATGCCTTTTTCTTGAACTCTGAAGGCATTTGACTAAAGTCATCTAGAATATTCAATGTAGGTGATTTGCATATATGAAAATGTCATCAATTGTAAAGTATTAGTAGTCATTAGGAGATAAACCACTGTAGCTATGGTTATTTCATATTATTAATTATATATATATATACATGTAAAATGTAAATAATACATTTGCTCAGGGTTCTTTCCCACCAGACTGTTGACAGTAGAAAAATATGCCTTTCTTACCATCTCATATTTTGGTGCCATGAAATAGTAAGTTGACTAATGAACAAAGGGAAATGAATGTGTTAGATCTAAATAAACCACTCATAGATGTATCTATTGACCAAGCCATTGAAAAAATACTTATTGAACATACTTCCCAGGATTATTCATGATGCTGGATTTCAGTAATGAAAAAAAGAGACCCAAATCTCTGCCCTCATAGATCTTGTTGTCTAGTGTTTGTATTTAGGGAAAGCAAGGAGACAAATAGGTAATAAACAAACAATTTATAACATAATAGATCAAATCATGATGACTGGTTTTAAGAAAAATAAAAAAGGGGAAGAGGGAAATCTGGGTCAAGATAATTTAAAATAAGGTAGTCAGGGAAAGTGTCACTAAGAAGACAACACTCGAAGATATTGAGGAAATAAGCCATGCTAATTTCTTAAAAAAAGAACCTTCCAAACAGGGTAAAACAAGGACAAGAGGCTTGAGACTATGTAAGCATGACTGGTGTGTTCAAGGGATGGAAAAGAAGGCAGTGTGTCTGGATGAATGAGCTAGAAGGAGAGTAGTGGAAGGCGAGGCCAGGGATGTTGTGGGAGGGTGAATCATGTAGGCTCCTATATGCCATTTTAAGTACCCAGGCTCTATTCTGAGGGTGATGGAAGCCAAGAAGTATTTAGAACAGGGGTGTGATGTCACCTGATACTGTATTTTGAAGGGATAATTTTAGCTGCTATGTTGAATTAGACTGTAGGAAGGAAAGAGGAGAAAACAAAACAATTACTTGAGAATATCCAGCCAAGAGAGAATACTGACTTGGGCCAAAATAAAATGAATGGAAATGATGAAGAGTCTTTATATTTAGAATATATTTTAAAGTAGGATTTGGTCATAGATATGGTCAAGCGTTTTAGATTTGAGAATTTAGAGGGTAAATTAGTCATTCACCAAGAGGGAGAAGACTAAAACAATTCCACTTGGAGGGGGATGGGCAGATGTATATTATTCAGGGTTCTCCAGAGAAACAGAATCAACAGAATACAGATATAGGTATGAAGAGATTTATTATAAGGTATTTGCTCATGCAATTATGAAGGCCAGTAAGTTCCACCATCTGGTGTCTGCAAGCTAGAAACCCAGGAAAGCCAATGGTGGTGTTGAAAGGCCTGAGAGCTAGAGACCCAATTATGGAGATTCCTGTCTGGGTCTGAAGGCCTGAGAACAAGAAGTGTTGAGGGGAGGAGAAGATTGATGTCTCAGCTCACAGAGTCAGGCAGAGGGCCAGTGCAACCTTTCTCTACATTTTTGTTCTATTTAATTGCTCAACAGATTGGATAAAGGCCACCCACATTGGGAAAGATCATCTGTTTTACTTTGCCTACCAATTCAGATGCTAATCTCTTCCAGAAACACCCCCCAAACACAAGCAAAAATAATATTTAACCAACTATCGAGTGGCTCATGGTCCAGTCAAGTTGACTATAAAACTAACCATCGAAGATGGTAAATCAAAAGTTTACTTTAGGACACAAAGTTTCAGATGCTTATCAGATAATCAAATGGGCTAAAGATAAATTTTGGGATTCTACTATTTAAATATGTTAATTAAAACCATGAGGCTGGATGGTATTACTAAAGGAGTGTATGAGAAAGAAGAGTAGAGTTCTGAGGATTGACTATTCCAACACAGTATTCCAATATTTAGAGTTTGAGAGGTTAGGTAAGAAGTAAAGGGGAATTCAGTAAGTTAAGAGTGACACAAAGTGTGTGGTGATCTAGAAACAAAGTGTGAAAGATACATCAAGGAAGAAGGTTGACATTTGGGTCAAGTGCAGCTGATATGTCAAGAAAAATCAAGACTTGAAAACGATTATTCAGTTTAATAGAGAAAAGGGATTTGGTTCCTTGAAAAGAGAGTTTCGATAGAGTAGTGGGTGGAAGAAAACCCTGACTGAGGAGTGTTCCAGACAAAAGCTGGACATAATCAGAGGCAGCAGGTATAGACACCGATTCAACTATTATTCTCTAAAAGGTGACAAAGAAGTGAAAAGTGACCAGAGGAGAATGAGGGGCATTTTGTTTTTCAGTTTGCTTGTTTAAAGATGGGAGAAATCGCAAAGGTTTATAAATCAACTAGTACTATCTAGTAGAAAGGGGAAAACTTTTGAATCAGGAGAGCAGGAAGAAAATATTTAGATGGATGTCTTGAGCCAGGGAGGTGTGAGGCAAGTAGATCAATTACACAAATGGACATTTCATCCTTACCAGATGCACAGTCAGTTCAACCATGGAGGTATAAAGTATAATATATGGGTGCAGATATAGGTATATAGATAGATGCAGTGATGAGAGCTTGTAGACACTGTCTGCTAATTTTCATTATTTTCTCAGCATAGTAGAGGGAGAGATAATTGGTTAAGGGTGAGGATGGAAGAACTAGAAGTTTAGAAAAGAGAGAAGTATTAAACACTTGTATATGAGAGTGATAGTGAATGAACCAGGGCAATAGAAGAGAATGGCTCTGAAGTACTGAGGGCTCACTCGAGATTAAAGGTCATAAATATAAAGTGAGACCAGTCAGCCTGGTTTTATATATGTTGCTCCAACTGCATTTTCTGTGTAGGTGCAGGGACAGTGAAGGTGGAGAGTCATATTTAAACAGGTTTAACATGTTTCCTAGAAAGTATAATAAGGTGAGATGGGTAAGAAAGTGGATAATATGTGTAAAGGAAATATCTGATGCCACATGACAGAATCTAACCTGAGTAAGAAAGCATCTACAGATGTGAGAGGATGGTGAAATACGGTAAAAAAGTGGCAGAATCCATAGATTATACCAATGTGCTCAAAGACTTGTTGAATTGGAGATACTAGGAAATATGAGATGAAAAGACATAGATAGATATTTTTCTTTTTGTTTTTGACACAGAGTCTTGCTCAGTCACCCAGGCTGGAGTGAATGCTGCGGCACGATCATGGCTTACTGCAGACTAGACCTCCTGGGCTCAAATGATCCTGCTGCCTCAGCTTCATGAGTAGATTGAACTACAGGCATGTGCCACCGTGCCTGGGAATTTTTACTTTTTGTAGAGACAGAGTGTCACTCCGTTGCTTAGGCTGGTCTCGAACTTCTGGGCTCAAGCAATCCTCCCACCTTGGCCTCTCAAAATGCTGGGATTACAGGTGCAAGCTAACACACCCAGCCATATGAAGAGATGTTTGAAAAGCGGGATGCTTAAAATTAAGGCTATAAATGTGTTGTCTTTTCGTAATGAGGAGAACTATGTTATGGCCACAGGAGTGAATGACTGTGCTAGGGTGCAGGACAAGATCATTGGAACAAAGTTAGGCAAAGACTTTTGCAACTAGCTTATTCGAAAATTCATTGAAATGGATATTGAAATCGGCAAGAACCATAACTAAGTAGGACAAATATTGGAGTCAGTGGGTGACTACAAAAAAGAAGTGTGGTTTATGGTATGTTTATATCACATGATATTGAAAATTGATTGGTTACAGAGAAAAGGAAGGAAAGGGGCCTGGACGCAGCTATACTGGGCAAAGGCATCTACCCCATCCCAAGACCAGTGTCATAAGAAGTGTGAGAAAGAAAACAGCCATCACTAGAGAGGACAACAGGGAAAACAGGAAAATCATGGAAAAAGTGAAGAAAGCATTAAGAAACGGCTTGTAGACATGAGAGATAAAATCTCTCAATATAACTCTTATAAGCTCTTAAATAACTGAATTCTGGAAGACAGGGTGAAAGGTAACAGTGGGATGGAGTGAGACAAAGGGAGAATCCTTGAGTTTGACAGCTCAGGGTATGAAACCTGATATTCCTGTGGCAACGGACATAAACAGAGATAAAAGAAAAAAGATGGATCAATCTAGACATGTCTGGGATTTGGGTTGAGCGGAGTTAGGCACCGACTTCAGCAGCAATATTTTAAGTAGTGCCAAATTTTAAAATCCATGATAAACAAATGACCATGAACAAGCAATGAGTTTCTGAAAAAAAAATTGTCAGAATTTTAAGTAAAAACAGAATCAGTATTACCGATTTTTCCTTTTGTCCCAGACTCCAATGTGCATGGGCATGGAACTGTTATTAATCCATAGATGTTTTGCAATAATTCTGATTTTTATAAACATTGCACTAAGATAATATTGATCTTAATTGCTGAGACTTACTGGTGCCTCCTTAAGATTTTACCCCTGAGGTCAGTGCCTCAGTGGCCTGATTCTGTCCTTCCCTGGGGGTAGAAAATGTGGGGAAGACCTGTGAGTGCTTTATGAGTAGGGACTAGCAGAGCATGCTGAGTCCTGGAGTTCTGCTAAACATATCGTAATCGTTGATCTCAGCCTGGAATCCTCAGATCTTTCTCTTGATTCTTGACCACGAAAGGTCAAGGTGAGGGGAGGACCCATCTCATCACCACTGCAAATTCATTTATCTTCTTTAGTAGTCAAGCTCTGAGACCTGGATTCAGAGGACCTGATGTATTTGGTATGCCCCGAAGAATGAGATGCTGCTTGATTGTCCAGAGAAAGAGGGAAAATAGCAGGGGTGATGGCCAAAATCTATGCCACTGTTTTTCTTAAATGTGAGTCATTGATTATAAGAAGGACTAGAAGTGTTCTTAGGAAAATGTAATTGCAAATGTGTTCATCTCAAACTTGCCTTGTCCATATTTGATCTTCTAATTTCCCATCCTCACCACAAACTCGGGCTCCTGCAGTCTTCCTCATCTCTGTACATAGCAACTCCATCCTTTAAGTTCCTTAGGACACACTCTGTGCTGTACTGTTTCTCCAGAGGCTACATAGTGATTAAGATGTAACAGGTAAACAAATGAATACAACATGTATTATGAACAAGATAGTGTATTTATCTGTGACAGAAATAACATATGATTAAGACATGAATGCTGTCACGGGAAAGCTTATAATTGAGTAACTACTCAATTATAAGAAAAGGCATAGAATCTGTCTCCATCTCATTCCAAAAAGATAACAATCACTCTAAACGGATTGATGTAATAAAACTAATTTTAAAAACTTGGTGAAGATTGGGAGATGCTAAAGTAAAATGAGGGAAAAGAAAATCAAGTTAGGAGTATACCAAAGTTATACCAAAGGTCGAGAAGCTTTTTTAGAGATAAGGGGCAATTTTGACTCTGAGCTTGCTGATAGTATAAAGTGAAAAGTATATTCAAACATTCAGTTTATCATTCTCCTAAGAATTTAAAATAGTAATGAATAGTAATAACCTTTCTTTAAAGAAGAAAATCTACTCTTGACAGTGAGGCCTGAGGGAATTTTGTCCCATGGGACCTTATAAAGGGGGAAAGTTTAACTGTAATAAATCAACGTTTCAACAACATTCCTGAAGTACATTTAGCAATGTTTCAGAGGTCTAGTCCAGGAAGTTCCATGATGAAGGACAATGACTGTCACAAAACTACAACTCAATGAAAGCCAAAACATTGTGTTCCAAGACCATAATGATTTAGTATCATAAATTACACCAAGATTGAAATTTAAAGTAGCTAGAACAGCAACAGCTTTCACCTTTTGAAGATTTAGAAAACATTTTTGAAACCCAGTGTTTCACAAATAAATTAACCCTGAAAATTTTTTGAACACTGATATGGTTAGGCTCTGTGTCCCTGCCCAAACCTCATCTTGCATTGTAATTCCCAGGTGTTTAGGGAGAGACCTGGTGGGAAGTGATTGGATCATGGGGGCGATTTTCCGCATGCTGTTCTCATGATAGTGAATTCTCACAAGATCTGATGGTATTGTAAATGGCAGTTTTTCCTGTGCTGACACATGCTTTCTCTCGCCTGCCACCATGTAAGACGTGTCTGCTTCCTTCCACCATAATTGTAAGTTTCCTGTAATTGTAAGTTTCCTGAGGCCTTGTGGAACTTTAAATCAATTAAACCTCTTTTCTTCATAAATTACCCAGTCTCAGGTGTTTCTTTATAGCAGTGTGAGAATGGACTAATACAAACACCTTTACTCTTTTACCTTTTATTTTTATTTTTTGTGGGTATACCATGATTCAGGGAACCTAGTTTGTTCTAAAGCTATAGACACACACCCACATACACACACACACACAAACACATAAACACACACACATAAACACACACATTATATAAACTATATATACATATAAAATATGACAAAGAGAGAATTCTGCAGACAACCTTCCACAAATAGTCTTCTGATAATTATTCTCTAGACAACCTTTAGAACAATTTTCTTACAACCAATCTTTTATAAATATTTGGGATATTATAATCTAAAAAATATTTGGACTACCATATTCTGTGTACTAATTTGATATAAATACTTTTATTTGACAGCAAGTCAAGCTGAGGATAGAGTTGATAGCATCTTATGACCAGTTGAAGAATATAACCAGGGCTTATGCATAGACAAATAGTCACCCCACTTCATAATAATTAAAATATGATGAGTTAGGTGGGCTATCTTCAAGACTAAAATACTTTTCACAAGAGTATAATTTAAAAAATAGTCGTATATAGATGATCCCCATGTTATAATAGTTTGACATAATTGTTGCAAAAGCAATATGCATTCAGTAGAAACTATACTTTGAATTTTGATTCTAAATTTTTTACATGTCTATTATAAAATAGGCTTTGTGTTAGATGATTCTGCTGACTGTAGACTAATCTAAGTGTTCTGAGCACATGTAAGGTAGGCTAGGCTGAGCTATAATGTTCAGTCACTTAGGTGTATTAAGTGCATTTGCAACTTAGAAAATTTTTAGCTTACAATGAGTTTATCCAACCCAATCTCACATCAAGGAGCACCTATATTTGACTTTCAAAAAAGAAATATTTATGAATATACTGATCTCTCTTAGAGGTTGGTTATTTTTATTTTCTAAGATATAAAATTAACAATTTTAATGCACTTAGTAACAAGTTGATCTCCAACAGCCAAACAAACAAGTAAGCTAGTTAAATAACTCAAAGAATCCAAAACCTCTAAGTTTCAACTCACAATTTGACTGTCAAGCAGCAAGTAACAAGCACACTCAAAAACAAAGAAAAAGAAACGCTTACTTCATTCACTTTTCTGTCCATATGACAGGTTAGATGAATGTAAAATAGATATGAATGAGGTGGGAATAGTTCACAATCTCTTTACTGAAAAATCAATGAGGTGAGAGCAGACAAGTTAGTACTTCCCATTGTGCACTTGCTCTTCCTAGACAAAATTAAACATTTAACACCATTAACCTGTACCACCTGCCTCAACTCTTGCCACCTTTTTCAGCTCTTGCCACTTCCTAAGACGCTGCTTCTAAAACACAAACACAGCAGCTTTTTCTTTCACTCATCTCTTCTAGACTCTTACATATTTTTGAGCCATGACACAGGGCTGGAACTAGCGTTATGCAACTACTACCACTAAAATTTTCCTGAAATCCATGTTAAGAATGCAAAAAAGATTTGGAGAAATTTGTAATGATTGTGATTGATGTTAGCAATTGATGCTCTGAGCTTAATATTCAAAACCCTGAAAATAAAGGGGGATTTATTGAAAAGATATTCAATCTGCTTCTAAAAAAACTCTTTGTTTCTACTCAACATGCCAAACCAGTCATTTAAGAGTGCTAATTAAAAGTGCTTGACATATAGCCCAGGTCTCATCAAATCATTCTTGGGAGTTTACCAAAATGAACAAAATACCTTCGTATTTGTTTGCATTGTGAGAATTGTTAGTGATCTGAAGAGGTATTTGAGGAGAGTTTGCAAACATAGGGTCTATAATCTATGGTCCTCATTTCCTCCTTCCTTATCTAGCTTCCATGCGCTGTTTTATGGCAGCAATTTTTTCTGTGCTTACAGGTCTCCTCCCTGTCATTAGTCTTTTGTGACCAGATCCCCTTTATTCTTCTACTTATTCATAAACCATGAGTCCCTCTCTTCAGAAGCCTTCAGTCAGAGCAGTAAAAAGTACTTTTCAATACTCTCCCTAACCATTCTATAGTTCATTCTTAAGTTTAAAAATAGTCATAGTGGAAGCATAACTTTTAAATTTCTCCTCCTTCTCAAGAGTTTGTTGTCGTTGCTTCCCACTGCTTCTCATTTAAAGATATTAATCATGAGAAGAGCAATAGAAGTAAATTGTTATGGCAGTTGGGTTGCCAGAGGACGCTCATTCTTACAAAACTTGAATTATGCCAGGTACCCACTAATTTAAACTATATCCTTTTTTCACATAATTAAAATGTTCATGTGACATAGACACAGGAATCAATAATATGATGTACCTTTCTTGCTTATCGGAAAGAAACAATAATAATTAAAGAATGCCTTCAGCATTTTGCATGACAGGTATTTCTAAATTTATGAATGTAAAATAGTGATCTCCCTTTCGGGCAAGATCATGCTTTGCTATTGTGGTAATAATAAAAGCAGTGATGAATATCAAAATAAGAGAAAGCCTTCCTAATGATTCAAAAAATAGTTTTCCAACAATTTCTATCTTGCTAGGAGGAGCACAGCATATGAAAAAGTGTATTTAAGTGGAACCTAATCATCCATGAGAACCAAGATAAAATACTGAAGATGGGTAGAGCAAAAGAATTCAGATTTATTCAAGGAAGGTGCTCCAAGGTTTGGACTGACTATATGAAGGCACTAAAGGGAGATATGAAATAGTCTTCTCAAAGCAGAAACTTCAGAAAGGGAGCTATAATTGTTCAGAGTTTCTTTCATCATTCCAAGATGCCCTGTATTTATGTCTTTTTAAACAATATTGAAACTTTGGCTGAATGCTGGGAGGGACTAGATACCTGTAAAAAGCCTCATACTCTGCATGAAGGTTCAACTGAAAAGAACACTGAAAAATAAAGGCAAGGGTATCGCTGTGTCAGATTTAAAGGGGAAAGCAACACATCAGCTAGCAGCATAGATCCACTGGGAAATGTCTTTCTTATCCTCAAAATTAGCTTGACTAGGAACCCATAAACAATTATAGAAAAAGCCCAAGCATGTGACTTCCCTGCTTTCTCCTGCAGCCTTGTCCTTGCAATGGTGCAGGGTGGCCCCTGAGAAGAGTGAATTCACACAGTCTAAAATAATAATGGGAAAAATAATTCTACCCTTCACACATGTCTGAAAGTTCATCTACCTCCTCAACACCATCCTGGCACAAACTGGGGCCAAGAGCTGTTCATTCTATTCATTTTTCTCCCTTCAACAAAGAAGGAACATTCTCTGAGTACAGAGGACAGAGGAATTCCTTGGCCCTTTTATCCTTTCTTTTTCTGTTGGAGCCTGAGTCCTTGTTTATAAGCTTACATTTATAAGCTCAGTTCCAAAAACGGGTTTCTTTCAGGTATTTGGCAGACTGCTTTCCTTTAATCTTTCACTTTTTTAGAGTCATTTCAAAAGCAGCAGAAAGAAAAGTCAAAGGCAGTTGAAAAGAGGCTGCTATTCCACTAGCTGGAGATATCTTCATGTTTTCTGAAAAACACAGACATGGGTGGTTTCCTGTGAATAGTTCAACAGAAGAAAAAGCAGGCTCTTTCTTCTCAGCTCATCTGCACAACACACCCATCATAGACGTCAGTGAATCAAGTCATCTAATCTCACATGATGCAGATTCTTCTCCTCCTTTTAATTCTGTAAGTACAAAATGTTTCTCAACCAAGTTTATCCAACAGAGCCCAGGTCCAGTCTGCACCTAGAGGCCTTAGAAAATCTATAATGAATGAGGCTGCAATACGTAATTTATTTGGCCCTCTAAGGTTATGTTTACAGGGTAGACAGAAGACTATTACAGTAGGGCTATCCATTCAGTATTCCACAATGAATCAGATTTTGATGCTTAGAAAAATACAATCATATCATACAGGATACAGAATAATTGAAGAAAACTGATCACTGGAGTCTTGCAAATTTACAAAGATGACCCACCCCCAAAAAAACTTGGCAATAACCTTGAAAAATACCATTTAAAAAATAACTATTTCTGATGAAATCGTTTACTGCTTGCCTTAAGAGAAATTTTCTAAGTAAGACATTTTTCCAAGTGGAGAATGCAATAGTGGCAGTGACATTATTTGCAAATCATTGTAATATGATTCTATAGGCATATTATCACATTCTAAAGCAATTTCCAAATGTACCCAGCAATAGATTAAAATATGACAAGAAACAGAACTGCAATGATAACAGAGTAAAAATATATATAAATAGAACTTAATATAGATCGTGCATAATTTAAGTAGATATAGATGTGTAGATATATTACTCTGAGTTTAAATTTGAATATGCTATCTTTAGTCTTAGTCTTTACACGTATTGGATGCATCACTTAGTTGTAATACTGAAGATATTACTATACATATGTAATGGATTTTTCTGTTAGAGTTGAGGTAACACAACCAGTTCCATATCTAGAGCTCCTGTAATAATCAATTCTATCTCATCTTCAAAATTATTTCTCTTCAGAGAAAACAAAGGCTATTTAGACCAGGGGCTGACTCTCAGTTAAATGAGTCCCTATAACACTTCCTACACTTTAGAAAATGTTTCTCCAATCACCTACCTACACACCATCAAGCACAAACATTATGATAAAATTCATGTGCAAGTGTCTATCAATCAGTTTTTAAGCCATAATATATCCAATAAAAGTTAATCTATTCTAGGTCTAAGATATTAGTAGGTTTCTTTTGCTTTCCATGAGGGACAGCAAGACATGGGACTAAGGAGTCAGTGTTCTGGCAGTCTATGGTGATAATTGACTATACGTGATAAATCAGATGGTCACATTGCTGCCATGTGACAGACATTGTCTACTGCCTATTCAACTTTCCTCATTTTTCCTTCTAACTGAACTCCATTTGGTTTACTTTCTTTCAAATAACCATGATTTTCAGGGAGCTGCTTTCAACAATTATTGGAGAAGAGTGAATCTGTTGACCTGTCTAAGCCTATTGCAGAGGTCTCATACCCCTTCCTGGGAAATGGGTTCAGGCATGAGCATAGGATAAAATTCTGTGATTTTTTTTCTCTTTTCACAATCTGTGGATGCTAATTTCTGTCTGTGATGCCTGGTAATTTGATAGCCCGCGAAGGCTTTCAAGGAATGGTTGCATTTGAAATCAAAGGTGTGATAGGCTCCCTAAGACAACATATCCAGAAAAGGGCTTCTTATATTTTGACAATTAATAAGGACAAAAGGAAGAAAGCAGCTTCAAGTTTGTAATAGTAAGAGAAACAGAACAAGCCAACAGACACCACCTCCAGCAGAGGTGGTGTCTTTTGCCTTGGCTGCAGTTCACTTAGCTGTGTCTTTGGTATTTTCCTCAATTAAACCAGAGCTAGGAAGAAAAGCAAATTTTCAACAACTGAAGACAACATTTTGGTGCAGAGAAGTACTGCAGTCATACTACACTACTTAGAATGGCAAATCTAATGAACAAACTATGTCTCCTACAATGCCATGTTAGGGAGGACTCTGAGGCCTAGCCACTGCCTGCTTGAAAGACTGGTGCTTAGGGATGGATGTCTGCCTGGAGCCCAGTGTTGAAGAATGAGCTTGCATGCCAATTATTTGTCATCTTTAGTTTTGTTGATTTAATTAAACTGTGTAATATATGTATATTGCACGTCTATTGAATCCAAAAGTATCTGGTAACAACAATTAATATTTCCATGTTAAATTTCTGCTCCTTATTTATTTATATAATCAGTAAATATGTTGGAAGGGAGAATGAATAACAATTTCTTTATAATGCACAGCAAGAAGTGATAAGTAGCAAGTACTATAACATAAAAATGAAAAACGTGCATTATTCCCTAATTAAAATTAAAGAGTTTATAGCCCTTTCTCTGAGATTTGATGGTTGACTCCTCGAGGTATCTTCAGCATTTTAGACTCATTTGCCTTTTAAAGCCAGATAAAGTTGCAATTAAACCTAAGCCTAAGGCATAGTCAAGAGAAAGTGACAAAGGAAAAGGAGGACATAGAAGACAGTTTACGGGAGAAAATCTGAGAAAACTGAATGAAAGAGACATGAAAGTAGCCTGGAGGCAATGGCCCGTGCCAGTAATCTTAGCATTTCGGAAGGCTGAGGTGGGCAGATCTCTTGAGCTAAGGAGTTTGAGACCAGCCCGGGCAACATGGTGAAACCCTGTCTCTACTAAAAATACAAAAATTAGCAGGGCGTGGTGGCACACACCTGCAGTCCCAGCTACTTGCGGAGCTGAGACAGGAGGATCACTTGAACCTGGGAGGTTGAGGATGCAGTGAGCCAAGATGGCACCACTGCACTCCAGGCTGGGTGAAAAAGTGAGACCTTGTCTCAAAAACCAACATCAACAACAACAACAACAACAAAAAAAAAAAAAAAAAAAAAAAAAAAAAAAAAAAAAGGAAGAGCGAGCCAAGAAAGAGAGATCATGGGAAATGGTCACCAACATTTCTTCATGTGCCATTCAACAACCACCCAGGCAGTCTTATATTGGCCTTAACAGTGTTAATTAGCACAATGTTTGTCTTCTGGACACCTCCTGAATTCTTAATATTTTTGAAATAAAATAGGACTGCACCAAAAATAGATGGTTCCTACCCAAAACTCAATTAACCTAACCTATAATACTAAAATTGTTGTTACTGAAGCCCATTTTCAAAATCCAAACAAAAAGCAACTTCTAGTGTAATGAGAGAACCACTAGTGTTTCCAATAACTCACATACAAAAGATTAATTCTGGAAATGGTGATAAGCCCAGTTTGATGTAAAGTTTCACCATTAGATGGTATCATCTATCAGTTTTAAATCTAGATGAGTTTTTTTAGCCACAATATTTTAATCATTGAAATAAACATGATGGAAGTTGAAAAGAATTGTTTAAAATTATCCTTCTTTATACTTCTCTTTTCTAAACTGTCATAAAGTTAGTTTTCAGTAGAGTATAACAGAATAAAAAAATATCAGAATGCATAGTGTTTGCTTTGTAGCACTTTTATTTCTTTTATGCATATGTATTTGTATATTGAGTCATGTTGATTTCACAGTATTGTTTTTTATCAGTTGTGGTCAAAAAAGTTTGAAAGTCACTAAGTTATACTAACTAAATAAACTTCCCTAATGCTATTTATCTATTCGATTTTTCAATGGAATCATCACTAATGATGTGTATATATAGAGATCTATGGGATGACTGGGAACAATGACAATATACTAAGTCTAATGCAGTGGATTTTTTTAATGTTGCATCCACACACTTATAATTTTCTCAAACAAAATATCAAATATAAAACAGAAAAAGCCCACACAAAATTGCTCCATTTGGAGAAGGGATCTGCTCCCTGCTTCCAGCCACCCCTTTAGACTCCCCGGGGAGAAAGTGTTCACAACACGTGTGTCAGATCTCAGCTCCTCCACAGGGATGTCTGTCATCTTCAACAAGTTGTTCAACTTC
The DNA here is from genome assembly GCF_000001405.40 of Homo sapiens. NCBI lineage: Eukaryota > Metazoa > Chordata > Mammalia > Primates > Hominidae > Homo > Homo sapiens. Next base: position 35,843,880 of record NC_000002.12, read on the forward strand.
TCTGGACTCAACTGTTCCATCGGTAGAATGTAGGATTTATCACCTTATTATTTTCACAGACAAATTGTGAGCATAAATTATGTAATAGATTTCATCTCCCAAGTTCCTAAGTTGTTTCTCGGCTACTGTTTGGTGCCAACTCAATGTTTTTTCAATCATCACAAAGGGTCTTAAAATGTATCAAATAAATTCCTAATAACTAACATATTTAGGTGCCTGCAGCCCTTTCTCAAGATGGTTGAAGACTGTTAATGTTATTAACCTTTTATAAAGCCTGACTCAGAGACCTAGGAAAAACCGATGTCCTGTCTCTAGAAAGTGTCTCATCTCATCCTACACAGAATTCTATTATTTTAGCCTCATTCCTTCAGATCAAAGCCTAAATTGCATTAAAATATGAAAAACCAAATGAAAATATTGCAAGGGAGAGTAAATAGAATCATAGTTACTGAAAATTTAACTCAGGCACTTTTCTAGGAAGACTTTTTTTTCCAGAATATGGAAGTAAACCTAAGGGTACCATATGCCTAATAATAAAATAGTAATGCCACTGAGGTAAATCAAACAGGAAGGGGATAAATCAAACATCAAAGAAACTTCTGTCTACCACTATTGATGATATTGTCTACCACATATTGATGATAATAATACCTTGCATTTGCATTTTGCTTGGTAGTTTACAAAACTATAATACCTCATATGTCGCACTGATTCAATCCCTGTAATATCCATGTGAAATATTTAGATAAATCTCTACAAATTATTTTTTCTAAAATAGTTAAGTAAAGTGAATCTAAGAAAAGCCTGAGTAAATTGCCTAATTTCAAAAGTTAGCAAGTAGTAAAAATATAACCTGGGAAAAGAACCTAGACCTTTGATGCTCTTTTAGGTATATCTGCCTTCTCATTTTGCATGTAACAAAAGCCAAACTTGAGTGAAACAAACATATGAGGTATCTCAACTCTAATCACCAGAAACAGGAGCCCAATAAAGTCTTTGAAGGATAGAAGGATATACCACTTAGCACTACATTACCTTTAAGTTTGCAGTTCAGTAAATTGTTCCCCAGTGGCCTTTAGAAAGTTAACGTAGCATGCTTATTCCATAGTGCCAGGGCAGGTCTCTCTCAAGGGAGAATTGAGTTCTCTAAAAAAAACCAAATTTAAACAAAAATAAAACTCTAAACACAAAGTGTAAGTATTACTACTTGGCCTTTAGGTACGAGGAGTTTCAACATTACCATTCAATGACAAAGGAAACACTGCTACCAACATTTGACAGAATACCATATTTATCAACAGTGAAAATCACTTTATAAACAGGCAGTTATAGCCTTGTAACATGGGGTGAAAATTTATCTCTAACTTCAACATAGTATTTTTATTCCCCAAGTTGAAAATCTGCTACAAGAAAAAGACAATGGACATATTTGATTAGTTGACGCTACTGAAAATGACAGAGAAAACATGAAAATGAATAAACAGTGTGCATCTTTAAATAGCATTTCTGAAGATGGTGACCCTGTGAATCAAATCCAGTTTACTCAAGGGCACTGTTAAAAATGCTTACTATGTTGCTTCTGTTTTCAGTCCAGGAAGTAGTTTAGCTAAGGTTACATTCACTCATATTCAGTTTGCTTTATTAATTCTGCTTGATTTGTGTTCTTATTCTTTGTTATTCTGGCTTAGCATTGTGAGATTTCTGAAGTACTCTGTTAGGGTTATCAAGAGTGTTGTCTCAATAACTCTTATAGATCATTACAATATGGGGGAAAAGATAATGTGCTCCACTGAGTTTTTGAAATAAACATATTTCTGTTTTTAAAGCCACAGAATATTTTGAAAACTTCTTAAATATTATGACGATTACCTAAACTCATCCCAGATTGCTGAGTAGACCACTGTCCTTGCAATTTGACTTCAGGGATCCAACTGCAGCAGGATATTTCCCTGACCCCTTCACGGGACTCAGGACAGGGGTTCCTTGGTAACTCAGTCCGCTGCTCTCAACTTCTCGCAGGAGGAAGCATGCAAGCCAACGAGGCAGAGAACTAGGCAGAAACTGGAGTACATGAGTGCTGGAACCAGCTGGCCACTTCAGCACCAGCAAAAGGGAGCTCCACTCACTTGGACCTGCTATGTTTCACCCTTCATGGGAGAGATCACACAGGTGAGCAGGTTCAGGAGCCAGGGCGAGCGCCTTTGGGTGCCCGCAAGAGCAAAATCCCGTGCACATCCTGCAGCTGCATCTAGCGGTGGGGGGCGGGGGGGGGGGGCCTGCAATGCCTGAAGCCCCAGAGGGCGTGTTACAGTGTTCTTTTAGCTCTGCCATCCACAGATGGCTTAAATATTAACAGCTCAGTGGGCCCACGGCTGCCTTCCACCAGCGAGGGCGAAGGGCCAGTATGACAGCCTTTTGTATCCACACTCGTGGCTTCCGAGCTCTTGTCCAGTGTGCACGAAAAAAATAAGGCCACATGAACAAATTAAAGGATGGTAAATGCGGGGGATTTTATTGCCAATGAAAGTGATTCTCAGTGGGAAGGGGAGCTGAAAAGGGGACGGAAGAGGCAGTGGGGTAATCTTCTCCTGAAGTCCTACCACCTCCAGGTGGATTCTTCTATAAAGTTATGCCATCAAGCTGTCCCTCTGAAGTCAAGCCGCTTGTCTCCGACATCTCACCATAGTCTCCGATGTCCAGCTGCTTCTCCTCTCTGCCAGTTGATTCTGGGGTCTTTATAGGCAGGGCAGGGACATGGGTGGTTTAAGAAAAGGCAACATTTGAGCAGGAAAACAGGGATATAAATTCTCACTTTGGGCTGCAGTCTCAGGCTTTTCGGCTCGAGGATGGGCTTTTCGCCAGGGATCCGCCACTTTTCTGCCTAGAATTTCTCTGCGTCTTGTCCCTATCACAACCATCAACTTCCGGCTCCTTTCAGAATAACTTGTCCTTTTCCTCACTGGTACATGGAATTTAACATTTACAGCTTCTTTTAGCTAAATATTATTGTCATTTAATCAAACATTTCTTAAAAAGTAGATATTTAATTGTACCCTAGTGTAACTGAAGACGTTATTGAACTCTCTGTGTAAATATGCCTTTCCGGCAGAGAAGCAACATTAGATGCCTAGATGGAGTGAAAATGTTTTACCTATCAAAAAAGATACAAAAATATCATAAATGTTACATTTTTTAGTAAGTTTACAAAATGAAATGCCATCCGGTCCAAACCATAGCAACTTTATATGCGGATAAATTCCTTCATCTACTTTCCTCTAAAAATGATATGAGTATGGTATACACTAATAATGTCCTATAGATACCCAGGTACATTAACAAATTCAAATGCATGACGAGACCAGAAAAATGTGAGTTAACTCATATGCAGAGTGAGTTTGAAATAAAATTTTGGTTTTGGTCACCTTTGTTTTTAAAATTTTCTTTTGAGATAATTTCAGACTCGTGGTACAGTTGAAAAAAGTAGCACAGAGGGTTCTTGTATACCGTTCACCCAATTTCCCCTATGTTAACATCTTATATACCCATAGATGATTAATCACATCTATGAAGGTAACCTTGATATAACTGCAACCAAAGTATAGAATGCATTCTGATTTCACCAGTTTTTCCATCAATGTCATTTTTCTGTTCTAGAATCTAATCGAGGATCCTATATTACACACAGTTGTCATGTCCCTTCAGTTTCCTCCAATCTCTGAGAGTTCCTCAGTCTTTGTCTTTCATGACATTGATACTTTCATAGAATACTGGTTACATATTTTGTAGAATTTCCCTTTATTTGGATTAATCTAATGTTTTCTTATAATAAATCAACATTATTAAAAAGGATTTCACAGAATGGTGTAACCTTTTCAGTACATTATGTCTGGGGATAAATGACATTGATATATATTGTTGTTAATATTAACATTGATCACTTAGCTTAGGGTAGTGTCTTTCAGAATTCTCCATTGTACAGTGACTACGTTTTGCTTTGAAATTTATAAATGGTTAAGGGGAGATACTTTGAGGATATCCAGATGTCTTCTGTTTAAATGTTTACCCAATAATTCTGGCATCCATTAGTGGAACTTAACAGTGGCAATTATTACTTATGTGTTTTAATAGTTATTTTCTATTTTTTTCATTCCTTTACATTTATGAATTATAATTCTTCGGTAAGAAAATGTTGTCACTTCTCCCCAGTTTCTTTAACGTCTTATTTACTTGTATCAATATTGATTCATGAATATTTATTTAATTATTTGGGTTACACTACAACACTACAATACTATTATTTTGTTTAGATTGAGCAAAATTGATGGTTGGGAAAATATTCTCCTATGCTCTTTTTTTTTTTTTTTTTTTTTTTTTGAGACACAATCTCCCTCTGTTGCCCAGACTGAAGTGTAGTGGCATGATCTTGGCTCATTGCAACCTCTGCCTCCAGGGTTCAAGCCATTCTCATGCCTCAGCCTCCCAACGTAGCTGGGATTAAAGGCATGTGTCCAATTCTATAAAGAAAGTCATTGGTAGCTTGAAGGGGATGGCATTGAATCTATAAATTACCTTGGGCAGTATGGCCATTTTCACAATATTTATTCTTCCTATCCATGAGCATGGAATGTTCTTCCATTTGTTTGTGTCCTCTTTTATTTCATTGAGCAGTGGTTTGTAGTTCTCCTTGAAGAAGTCCTTCACATCTCTTGTAAGTTGGATTCCTAGGTATTTTATTCTCTTTGAAGCAATCATGAATGGGAGTTCACTCAGGATTTGGCTCTCTGTTACTGTTATTGGTGTATACGAATGCTTGTGATTTTTGCACATTGATGTTGTATCCTGAGACTTTGCTGAAGTTGCTTATCAGCTTAAGGAGATTTCGAGCTGAGATGATGGGGTTTTCTAAATATACAATCATGTCATCTGCAAACAGGGACAATTTGACTTCCTCTTTTCGTCGTTGAATACCCTTTATTTCTTTCTCCTGCCTGATTGCCCTGGCCAGAACTTCCAACACTATGTTGAGTAGGAGTGGTGAGAGACAGCATCCCTGTCTTGTGCCGGTTTTCAAAGGGAATACTTCCAGTTTTTGCCCATTAAATATGATATTGGCTGTGGGTTTGTCATAAATAGCTCTTATTATTTTGAGATACATCCCATCAATACCTAATTTATTGAGAGTTTTAGCATGAAGGGCTGTTGAATTTTGTCAAATGCCTTTTCTGCATCTATTGAGATAATCATGTGGTTTTTGTCCAAGTTCATATGGAACCAAAAAAGAGCCCACATTGCCAAGACAATCCTAAGCCAAAAGAACAAAGCTGGGGGCATCACGCTACCTGACTTCAAACTATACTACAAGCCTACAGTAACCAAAACAGCATGGTACTGGTACCAAAACAGAGATATAGACCAATGGAACAGAACAGAGCCCTCAGAAATAATACCACACATCTACAACCATCTGATCTCTGACAAACCTGACAAAAACAAGAAATGGGGAAAGGATTCCCTATTTAATAAGTGGTATTGGGAAAACTGGCTAGCCATATGTAGAAAGCTGAAACTGGATCCCTTCCTTACAACTTACACAAAAATTAATTCAAGATGGATTAAAGACTTACGTGTTAGACCTAAAACCATAAAAACCCTAGAAGAAAACCTAGGCATTACCATTCAGGACATAGGCATGGGCAAGGACTTCACGTCTAAAACACCAAAAGCAATGGCAACAAAAGCCAAAATTGACAAATGGGATCTAATTAAACTAAAGACCTTCTGCACAGCAAAAGAAACTACCATCAGAGTGAACAGGCAACCTACAAAACGGGAGAAAATTTTTGCAATCTACTCATCTGAAAAAGGGCTAATATCCAGAATCTACAAAGAATTCAAACAAATTTACAAGAAAAAAACAACCCCATCAAAAAGTGGGCAAAGGATATGAACAGACACTTCTCAAAAGAAGACATTTATGCAGCCAAAAGACACATGAAAAAATGCTCATCATCACTGGCCATCAGAGAAATGCAAATCAAAACCACAATGAGATACCATCTCACACCAGTTAGAATGGTGATCATTAAAAAATCAGGAAACAACAGGTGCTGGAGAGGATGTGGAGAAAGAGGAACACTTTTACACTGTTGGTGGGACTGTAAACTAGTTCAGCCATTGTGGAAGACAGTGTGGCGATTCCTCAAGGATCTAGAACTAGAAATACCATTTGACCCAGCAATCCCATTACTGGGTATATACCCAAAGGATTATAAATCATGCTGCTATAAAGTCACATGCACACGTATGTTTATTGCGGCACTATTCACAATAGCAAAGACTTGGAACCAACCCAAATGTCCATCAATGATAGATTGGATTCAGAAAATGTGGTACATATACACCATGGAATACTATACAGCCATAAAAAAGGATGAGTTCATGTCCTTTGTAGGGACATGGGTGAAGCTGGAAACCATCATTCTCAGCAAACTGTCGCAAGGACAAAAACCAAACACCGCATGTTCTCACTCATAGGTGGCAGTTGAACAATGAGAACACTTGGACACAGGAAGGGGAACATCACACACTGGGGCCTGTTGTGGGGTGGTGGGAGAGGGGAGGAATAAATCTTCTTTAGTGAAGGGTCTTTTTGGGTATTTGGCCCAATTTCTAATCAGGTTGCTTGAGTTTGTTGTTGTTGTTGAATTTTAAGAGTTCTTTGCATATTTTGGATAACAGACCTTTAACATATATCTTTTGCGAATATTTTCTCCAAGTCTATGGCTTATCTTTTTATTCTCTTAATAATTCATGGATTGTGACTCTAAAATCATACCTAAAAAGTCATCACTAAACCCAAGGTCACTATAAAAGGGCCAAAGAAGAAGAGAAGTTGGTTAATAGGTACAAAAATACAGCTGATAGAATAAATAAGTTCTAGTGTTGACAGTAGTTCCACTATAGTTAACAAGAATTGATAGTATAATTCAAAACAGGTAGAAAAGATTTGAAATGTTCCCAACACAAAGAAATGATAAATGTTTGAGGTAATAGGTATCCCAGTTACCCCTATTTGCACAATGCACATTCCATGCTTGTATCAAAATATCACATGTACCCCATAAGTATGTACAACATTTATGTATCAATTTTTAGAATACAGAAGGAAAAGTATGTCTTTGCACGTGCCCGAATAGCTTTATATTTGCACATTCAGTTCCCTTTTCCTGGAATGTTCTTTTCACAGACATTTTCAAGACTCTTCACACTTTCTTCAGATCACTGCTCAGAAATCATTTACTCAGAAAAGCCTTCCACGTCTCTTGTATACAAAATTATAACCCACCTCTCTGAACTCACTATCTTTTTTACTTTGGCTTTTCTCCATAATATGTTTATATTTAAGGATATTTGATTAATTAATATAATCATCAGGACTGATTGCTTAAGGGGGTTTAATGTGTTCAATTTGAGTTTATCTAAATTAGTCATTCATTACAAGTCAACATGATTGTTGATTTTTAACACATTTCTAAATACTATTTCAAAATCTGTAAGTTGAATTCAAAGGCTTAATACACGTTTCATTTTATAAATTCACTATGTATTCAAAAGTCAACTAACTGTAAATAATTATTTAAATGTCCAAAATCCTCTCATAGATCTTCTTTGACACCACTCATCCTTCATATTTCCACTTAAAATTAACTTCTTTGGAATATATCTTTTTAATCCCTTAAGTCTGGGTTAAGGCTTCTTGTATATGCCTCTAGAACACCCTTTTCTAAGAATATTTATCCCACAGTACTGTTATTAGCAATTTGTCTCCCAGTACCTAGCACAGTCTCTAGCACATAGCAGGCACTCAAGAAATATTTGTGGAAAGAAAGAGCAAGGATGGAAGGAAGGAATAATGAGAAAGATGGAGAAAGAGAGGGTGAAGGAAGGAAGGAAGCAGCCCTTCTCTACTTATGGGTAGTGAACCTTCAAATATCCTGCATTCTTTTTAACCTCTCCAAGATATCAAAATTTTCACAGTGAAATATATTAAAATATAAGCACCTCTTCAATTCAGTTACACCCCTTATAATTTAAGCTTTGCATTCAAGCTTAAGAAAAAGAGAAAAAAGAAAACATTCTTCCTGACTGTCAAGTAATGCTTAAGCAAACTCCTATTGGTTTACTAACGCTACATCCACGTGGCAAGAATTTTCAGAATATGAAATTCTGTTACTTTTGTATGTTCCATATAGGCCTACGTACAATATACACTATTATGAAATAGTAAATAAAACACCACTGTTTCTTGACTTCACATTTTTTATTTTGTTGCTTGGTTTCTTTGCTCTCAAATTTTCAACTCATCCTTGCCTCTTGAAGCAGAAATTTTAAGGATGGGAGAGGTTTGAGGATAAAGTCTTAGTTCTGCACTCTATCCAAGTCTTTCAGGAGACCCTTCAAGATACTTACATGTGCAAAAGCAGATTATCTTCTTACCTCTCTAGCATTTCACATCAGTCCTCCTCTCTTTCCTCTCTTTCTCCTATCCTTTGTGCCAGCGCCATCCTGTTCATCTTTCTTTAAATACATCATAATCACTAATGCCTTCACATCTGCTATGCCTGTGTTCTGTACTGCCCCCCTCACTTATACTTCTTTTATCTCAACTCTCCACATGAAAATCAATCATCCTGTCCTCTGTGTTCCCAAAGTCTAAACTACATCACTATGTCTACTATACGTTATTTGCGATAAACATAAATATAATTACACCTAGCAAAAAGAAGAACATTTCCCGCCATACTATTGTTTTAGAACTACACTGTGTTTGGTTTAACATGCAAGTTCATTTCAGATAGAAAGGCAAACCTTGAGAGGCCTCGGCATGAGCAGAAAAATTACAAAATCTTTTCTACAGAAGAAAAAATAATTTGCTGGTTTTTTCTCTGGGATACGAAGGAGCAGGGCAAGAGACAAAGGAAATGGTGATGGATGATGAAAAGCTCATGATTTAAAATGTGATTCCAACATGTGTTGCTACATATCTACATTATAAATTCATGAAATGTTTGCATAACAGAGATTTTGTGAAACAATGGTGAACTTTGGAATTTTCCACTCATGTGGCAGAAGTAAAATTATGACAGAAAGGATAGAAGCAATTAGGGAATAACTAAGAAAAAGTATATAAAAATTAAAGTTATAAAGTTTCGGGGGTTTGAAGCAATTTTATACAAACTTCGCACAGCTTGTGATCACTCAGGTTTCATTTTAGGTTCCCTGTCTTGGACCTTACGATCTAGCATGTATTAGCCAGCTACCTCTTGTATGTAATCATCTACTCTCAGACGCAATCGAGGTTGTGGATGTTCTTTCCTTGACTCCAATCTGTTGAAAAAATTGTATAAGGATATAGAGCAGCCTGACCAAGCATAAGTCGTGATTGCTCTTGGAATACACCTCAAAGTCGAAACACAGTTTTGGAAATCACGCTTACTCTGTTTCATGGTGTCAAGCCAGGCACATAGAAAGTGGTATGTGAACTTGGTAGACGAGTAATTCTAAGTAACTCCCACATCAGCAGCTGACTGGAAGTTGTTTTCAATACAGTTTAATTGACACACCATGTTTTAAGAAATTGAAGAAATATTTCCTAGAAGAAGGGATAAAAGTTTGTTGCAAATGCATTTAAACTGTTAAGTTTCCCTCTCCTGTTTTCCCTATTGAGAGAGAAATCCCTAGCACTTAGACTGCTACTATATCATTGCTTATCACGCAGGTACTGGAATCCCTAAACAAGGCTATAGCTACTTTAAATAAGGGACATTTGGGCCGGGCACAGTGGCTCACACCTGTAATCCCAGAACTTTGGGAGACCGAGGTGGGTGGGTCACCTGAGGTCAGGAGTTCAAGACCAGCCTGACCAACATGGTGAAACCCTGTCTCTACTAAAAATACAAAAAATTAGTCAGGCGTGGTGGCGGGCACCTGTAATCCCAGTTACTTGGGAGGCTGAGGCAGGAGAATCGCTTGAACCCACGGGGCAGAGGTTGCGGTGAGCCAAGATTGCACCATTGCACTCCAGCCTGGGCAACAAGAACAAAACCCTGTCTCAAAAAAAAAAAAAAAAAAAAAAAAAAAGGCGGGGGGGATATTTTAAAGCAGCATACACTTAGAGGATGCAGAGGAGAATTTGGTGTTGTAGACAGAACAAACCCCTGAAATGTTGCAATATAACCACTAGTCTTGAGAATGAAGAAGTGATAGCAATTAATAGAAAACTGGGAATATATAACATATGGTTCCAAAGCTACCAGTAGAAATACCGTGCAAACAAAATATCTTATAATGCTAAAATGGGTATTCAGGAAAGTAGAGAAATTCTAGGATTGAAGGTCAAATTTCATACTACCATCAGTAAGAGAATAGACCAGAAACATTTAAAGACATATGGGTCTTTTTAAGTAGGCCATTCAGCAAAATACTCGGAAGTCATTTTGAAAAATTAGTCCCAGAGAGCGGGCTTATAGTAATTCTTTAATAGAAAAATTATGGACAACATGAGCAGGTTTAGAGGCCACAAATTCTTAGAATTAATGACTGTAATTCAGAAAAATTAGAGTGATGTGGCATTAGCAATTCTATGGCACTAAGAAAAAAGTCAGCTTGCCAGACTGAATGTGTGGGGAATTTTAACTGAGGCAAGTATGGTGCAACTGCTAAGAGGTGAGCTTAAACTGGTCCTTCATCCTTAGTAAGATGACATAGCAGTCATGAGTAGTACACAGTGAGTATTTCCCTTCCTTGTCTCTTCCTAGCACATGGTAATATTGCTGTCCCCCATCTCCTTTGCTGTTGGGCATTGCCACCTAACTTGCTTCAACTAATAAAATTAGAGTAGAAGTGATGGAGTCACTTCCAAGTCAAAGACATTCAGAATCAGTACATAAGTTGTCATTCCCATTTCCCACTGCTGCAGTAAATCAAGAAAGCACATGTCAAGATGAAGTCATGGATTCAACCTAAATGCTCATCAGTGATAGACTGTATAAAGAAAATGTGGTACACATATACCATGGAATACTCTGCATCCACAGTAAAAGACAAGAACATGTCCCTTGCAGGGATATAGATGGCACTGGAGGCCATTATCCCTAGCAAACTAACACAGGAACAGTGATATATAAGTCCATTTTCATACTGCTGTGAAGAAATACCTGAGATTGGGTAATTTATAAAGAAAAAGAGGTTTAACGGACTCACAGTTCTACATAGCTAGGGAGGCCTAACAATCATGGAAGAAGGCAAGAGGGAGCAAAGTCACATCTTACATGGTGGTGGGCAAGAGAGTATATGCAGGGGAACTGCCCTTTACAATACCATCAGATCTCGTGAGACTTATTCACCAACATGAAAACAGCACAGAAAAAAATTGCTCCCATGATTAAATTACCTCCCACTGGGTCCCTCCCACGACACATGGGGATTATGGGAACTACAATTCAAGATGAGATTTGGGTGGGGACACAGCCAGACAATATCAAACAGAAAACCAAATACCACATGTTCCTACTTGTAAGTGGAGCTAAATGATGAGAACACATGGAGACATAGAGGGGAACAACATACATGGGGGGCTCTCTGAGGGTGCAAGGTGGGAGAAAGGAGAAGATCAGGAAAAATAACTAATAGGTACTAGGCTCAATACCTGAGTGATGAAGTAATCTTTCCAAAAATCCCCATGACACAAGTTTACCTATGTAACAAACCTGCACTTATGCCCCTGAACTTAAAAAGCTTTAAACAAAAGATAAAGTCTCCATCTGCCTCAGTCTCTGGTTGTCCTCAAAGAACATAGACATATAATATGATTGAAAAATAAACCTACATTGTTGTAAGCTCTGTTAGACACACCCCAAGGTGACACTCAGCACTGTGGACCTCCTGGTGTTTCAGATTTTCCATAATATTCCTCCCCTTGAGTGTGGATGGAATTTTCTTCTATGATTTGCTTATATTCAATACAATTTGGTAAAGATAATGGGAGGAGGTCATTTCTGTGATTATGTTACAACATATATATAACTCTGTCTTGCTGTCAAATGCACCAGAGACTTCCCTCCCTTACCCTGAAGAAGTAAGCTGCCATGAAATAAGGGTCTGTGCTGGAGAAGCTTGTTGGCAATTATTGGAGGCAGCATCTAGAGGCTAAGAGTGGCCTCAAGCATAAAACTGAAGCCTCAGTCCCACAGGCACAATGAGATAAACATTGCCAACAAAACTGGGGAGCTGGGCCAGGCACAGTGGCTCACACCTGTAATCCCAGCCCTTTGGGAGGCTGAGGCGGGTGGATTGCCTGAGGTCAGGAGTTCAAGACCAGCCTGGCCAACGTGGCGAAACCCCATCTCTACTAAAAATACAAAAATTAGCCGTGCATGGTGGCACGCACCTGTAATCTCAGCCACTTGGGAGGCTGAGTCAGGAGAATCACTTAAACCTGGGATGCGGAGGTTGCAGTGAGCTGAGATCACGCCATGGCACTCCAGCCTGGGTGGCACAGCAGGACTTCATCAAAAAAAAAAAAAAAAAAAAAAAAAAAAAAAAAACTGGGGATCTTAGAAATGGATCTTTCTTTAATCAAGCCTCTGATGAAACTACAGCCCCAACCAACATTTTAATTGCCACCTGATGATAGTCTGATACAGAGAACTCAGAACCCCAACTTTTTTTCCTTCAACTTTTAAGTTCTAGGGTGCATGTGCAGAATGTGTAGGTTTGTTACAGAGGTAAACGTGTGGCATCGTGGTTTGCTGCACAGTTCAACTCATCACCAAGGTATTAAGTGCAGCATCTATTAGCTAGTCTTGCTGATGCTCTCCCTCCCCCAACCCCACCCCCGACAGGCCCCAGTGTGTGCTGTTTCCCCACCATGTGTCCATGTAGAACCCCGACTTCTGACCAGAATAAACTGTGGGATAATTAATGGGTGTGTTTTAGGACCCCAAGTTTATGGTAACTTGTTATGCAGCAACAGAAAAATAATACATAAGCCATTGATTTTTGGAAGTTGTTTGTTATTTCAAAATAACCTATTCCATTCCTTCTGACAGAAGGAATCAGAATAAGGTCAAATTTTGTGTTTATACCCTGGTGCAATATACCCAGGTAACAAACCTATAAGGGTACCCCCTGTATCTAAAATGGTGACAGAGCGAGACTCCATCTCAAAAAAAAAACACAAAACAACAACAACAAAAAAAAAACAAAAACAAAAAAAAAGGATGTCCAAGACTTTTGCCTGCAAATTTGTTTATGGTATGAATGGTCCCAGCAACTAACAAACTCCAAAGATCCACTGCTTTTGTTTTCCCAGGTATATATAGTGTGCTATCACATGCAGTGGGCTTGCCCCCATATATGTGGAACAGATTCAAGGTAAAAAACCAGCCAGGAATTCTTTGAGATAGAAATGCTCACCAGCTGATTTAGATCACAATGAGCATGGGCCTCTTAAAATAGTATGCATAGATAAACTTGATTTTTGTATCCCGGAATTCTCAAACTGATTTGAGAATAATGTGCCAAGTTCATTTGCACCACTCGACACCCTCTGGAACACTACCACATACCCTCAGATCTACATGCCTCCTTCTTTGAGATGTGCAATCTTACAACAGTCAGCTATACAAATTAGCTACAGGATAAATGCATGGTAACTTCTGTGTAAGTAATTCTCTCTAGACTCTGAATCTTCAGAGAAGGGACCCGCCTCATTTAGCTGCTGCTTCTCAAAGCTTAGCGTGGTATCTGGCAGTTGATTCATAGTTATTGAAATGGAACGGAAGGGAAAGGAAGGGAAGATAATAGAATGGAATGCCCTGATGGTTTTTTGACTATTGCTCATTGGCCTGGATGTTGATAGAGCTGTAGTTCCAGGACATGATTTGTGGTAGGGAAAGAACAAGAAGACATGACTCTGCTACTGAAAAGGGAGACACCAGATGCAAATGAGATCAATTAGGATTTATTTCGAGAAAATTTGGAATTAGGATTCACTGGAAATAGTATTTGCTGTTCATTTGAATTGAAGGGAAATAAACTCAGCAGCTGTGTGGGTGACCGTATGCACTAAAATGGGAAAAAAAGTTACAAAGCAGAAAGAATAGGGTCATCACAAAGACAGTGCAAAATGGGAAGCCAGGCAGGAAGTGGGAGAGAGGCCAAGAGAGAGAAGTAAAATGACTGACTTCTTGATGACTGAAGACTTCCCATTCCATCCTTGGGTTTATTGCAATTAAATAATTCTTTTATGCTAAAGAAAATTGTGTCTGACTTATTTTGAAGTATAGAATTTATGAAATGTATCTCTAGTAAGACATGGTGTTTCCCCAAGGTCTGGTTATTTTTATGCTAAATTCTAATGTACTATATGGCATGAGCAGGATTCTCCAACAGAGGCTAAAGGATAAAGCAAGGCACTTTGGAAATTTTAAGTGGTAAGAAGAGATTGCATTTAGCACCACCTACCAGAGAGCATTTGTGTTATTCCAAGGCAGGAGTGTTAAATCTTCATAACTTCCTAGTGGGGCCATGGATAGAATTCAGGTAGTTCAGGAACTCCGACAGGAAAAAAAAGATACCCTTAGTTTTATCAACCTCTACCTAAAAAATAGCAATTTCCTTCAATTATGGATGTAGGAAAATAATCAGTAATTTAAAGGAATAACTGTAACTTTGTCATCAATCAAAATCAGACATTTTCATATCTCACTATGATTGTTCTTGAAATCTTGACCTATTATTTAGGTAGATCACAACTTAATGATGGTAGGTAGGTATTAGACCCACCATTAACTAGTGTTATTTAATGCATAAATAAGGAAGCACATAATTATTATATCATAAAATTGTTTAATACTTTGATTCTACATTTCAATATAATTGGCTTTCTTCGTAATCCTATGTATTTTATTATATACATGTTAAAACATTATTCTAAGAAAACCTTCACCAGATTTTCAAATAGGTGCAGGGCAAATAAAAAGATTTAGAAACGCTACTGCAGATACTAAAGACAGGGGAGAATTAGGTAATTTGATTATGAGGATCTAAAGAATCAAATCAATAGAAACCAGGGGAAAACCAGGCAGAACCAGACTCCTAAATTTCTGAGAGTTACTATATTTCTTATGCCCATATTTGGACTTTTTATACCTACTGTGTTAAACATTTGAATGTATCTTTGAAGGATCTTAGCAACAAATATAAAAGATGGAACATTTTGTTTCTGCTATAGTTTAAGTCTCTGTATGCTACAGTTGACGAGACATCAGGCTGTATTATACTGAGTCAAATCACTCAAGTGGACTACCAGTTAAAGAATATAAACGGATTTGGGTTTGGAAGAACTAATGAAAAAAATGTAAACCTTATCACATCCATTATTTATTTTCTCTTATAAAGAAATGTTAAAGTCATTTTTTCATAACTTAAAAACCTATGTTTATATATAGTCTAGTTTTGATTTTAAATAAGTGTTTTGTCAGCCCCCAGTTATCACCTAAACTAATTTGAGAAACAGAATTTGTGACTAGAATTACAAATGAGTGGGTTTGGAACTTATGGCACTTAGGGAGTAAAGGACCATCAACAGTAATTACTTCATTTCCC
Source organism: Homo sapiens (assembly GCF_000001405.40). Lineage (NCBI taxonomy): Eukaryota > Metazoa > Chordata > Mammalia > Primates > Hominidae > Homo > Homo sapiens. The sequence goes on from NC_000002.12 coordinate 35,859,549, forward strand.
CTTGAAGGCCCCTGAGAAGAAAAGTATAGCGTTTTCCTACTGAGGAAACTCAGTGTTCAGTAGACCATGCACAATTATAAAATTAGCTAATTGATAACTTATTAACATTAGAAGCATGCATGTTCATTAGTAGATAGACTTTTAAAATACATTTCTGTTCCAATTCCAAATGAATATTTTAAATGAGACCTATCAAGAAACTTTGTTTTAATTAATTTTATATTTCATCCTTTGTATTGTTTATCTCTGATTAGTTCTAGTCTCTTTTAGAAGTTCAAGCATAAGTAAAGGAAGGCACCCACTATGAGATCTTTGAAGTTTCCTGCAATTACAATTTGATCCTTGTCATTATTCTAAGAATACTGAAAATCATCAGCAAAACTGCAACAGAGAGCAGCCCAGATAAAGAAAGGCCACTTCTGACTGCCTTCTTAACATAGGAAGGCACAATCCTTAGTTCTCAACTGTATGAGGGCAATGAACACTGTATAAAGGAAGAATAGCTGATAGGAGCATAAACATGTGCTCAATATCCCTGAAGATCCATTTTATGAAAAGACAGTTTGAACTATTCCGCTTGATCTACAAAATTCTGTAGTAAATTTTGCTCTGCTGAAAATAAGAATGAAGGGAGAAAAATAGAGATTCCCTCTATATTGCAATGGTCAAACAAAGGTTAACTAAACAATGAAAATGCTTGGTTCTAAAAATCTCTTAATGCTGTGGTTAATGGAAGTGTTTGAAAGCTACTTAATAGAAGGGTAAAGCCACGTGTCCTAGGGAAAGTGATTTCATGGGCCTCAGATAACTCATGAGTAAAAGGAAAAATTTAACAATCCTTTCACAGGGATGTTGTAAGGATTTCAGGAAACAATAAAAGAACAGTGCCTACTAAAGTGCCTGACACATAGCAGATACTCAATACATTTTAGTACCCTGCCTTCTTGTGCTATTTCTTGTATCCCTACTGACCATCAAGTGGAGTAGCACAATCAAGAACAAATGAAATGCATGTTGATTTCAGGTGTCAGGTGAGATAAAATCAAGAGGAAAAACAAACATAAATTTAAAGTGATTGAACTTGAAAAGGGACTAAGGCTAAAGGAAGTAAAGGGAAGAGATGGCAACAAAGGAATACATCTCAAATGAGTAATAAAATAGCTCACGCTTAGATGTCCTTATTTCCGAGTTTGAATCTGAGAGCTTTTTTTAGTTTCTCCTGAGTCTATAGTCTCTGCAGTATTCTCCCTCAATTTCCAGGAAAATTCCTGTCTTTATGATGTTTCCAATAATTTAAAAGATATGAATTTACAGCAGTACATAATAATCTTTCTTATTGCATAGTGTCTTAGGGGTAATTAGAGGATGAAATTTTCTATTTTAGAATGCTTGCTATGGTCTAAATGTGTCTCCCCAAAATTCATATGTTGACATCCTAACCCCCAAGGTGACGACATTAGGAGGCAGGGCCTTTTGGAGGTAATTAGGTCATGAGAGCAGAACCCTCCTGAATAGATTAGTGCCCTTATGAAAGAGGACCAAGTGAGTCCACTGTCCCTTCTGCCAAATGAGAACATAGTGAGAAGTCAACAGCCTGCAACTCGAAAGAGGCCTCTCCCCAGAACTCAACCGACCATGCTGGCACCCTGACCTCACCTCTGGACTTACGAGAAATAATTTTCTGTGTTTAAGCTGCCTAGTTGATGATATTTTGTTATAGGAGCCCAAACAGACTAAGACAATGCCATAGCCCAAATGGCTGCCTTATTGAAGTTAGAATGAGGGACGAGAAAAAGAGAAAGGAAAACAAAGAGATGAAAGGAAAGAAAGAGAAAAGGAGGGAGGGAGATAGAGAAAAAGGCTGAAAGAATGAATATAATTCACTTTTTAAAAATCTGATTTCAATTCGGTGAGTAGAGGTTGGTTTTGAGAACAGAGACTCATCGTGTTTCTGTAAACCAAAGTCCAATAAGGCATGGATTGTTTGCAAAAATAGAAGAAAGTACATCACCCTTCCCTTCTACTTTTTCCTCTAGAATCCTATTTATACTTCTTTGTTGCTATACCTTCAGGAATGCAAAATGGAACTGGTAAAATTCCAGAAAAGGAAAACTAAGGCAATCACAAGGATTCAGAGTGGGACTAGTGCTAGGGAAGACAGCCAGCAAGACAAGAAGGGACTAAAAGGAGTAGAAAGACAAAATCAGGATGCTAAGCAGATTAAAATCTTAAAAATATGAAAATGTGATGATTGATGTGACTAAAACAAGCATAGACTTAACTTTCAAAATCTGAAGTAGTAGGGTGTGTTTCCTTTAAAAGAGATCCTTTTTAAAACTGAGCAAGGTAAACTTAGGACGAAAGGGAGTAGGGAAGGGGAATACTTTTTATACAGAGGATAACAATCTTCTGAAACTCTTAACCCCCAAGAGGTAGGCAATGTCAGCAAATTTAAGTGGATTTTAAAGGGGATTGGCTGGATTTATATACCACAATGCCATCAGTGGAGATTACAAGGAGCTGACGCATGCTCTACCTATAAGGTTGATGTCAGGATGAAAAATTACATCCACTGATGGTTCATTCCCTATGGCCATAGTTTGCACAGATCTGGGGGCTGGATGAAACATTAATTCAAACTAGTCATGGTTATTTCCAAGTTTTTTGGTTTTTTTTTTTTTTTTTTTGAGACAGAGTCTCGCTCTGTCACCCAGGCTGGAGTCCAGTGGTGTGATCTCGGCTCACTGCAGCCTCCGCCTCCTGGGTTCAAAAAATTCTCCTTCTTCAGCCTCCTGAGTAGCTGGGACTATAGGTGCACATCACCACACCCAGCTAATTTTTGTATTTTTTTTAGAAATGGTGTTTCACCATATTGGCCAGGCTGGTCTCAAACCACTTGAGTCCCAGAGTCACACTGACAAACCTCAGGTCACCTAGTTGATTGATAGAAGAATAAGAAAGACAATCAGTTCTTCTAACTCCCAGCTGGATAATTCTCCAAAGTTCATACATGATGGCATTGACTTCATTCTCTCCTCATGGCAAACTATAAATAAAAATATAGGACATAATAGAGGGTATTAGAGGCTATCAAGATATATACCCAGAGCAAGAATCATTGTGGTTCCTTCCTCAATTAGAAAATTAATTTCTTGGTTGTAGTTTAAGGAATTCCTTCTACCTCTTCTATCATATGCCTTGAAATTCACATAAATTTAATTTACTGACTAACTTCTTCAGTTCTCAGTGTTGAAGCTTGAAATAAAGCAAAAACCTCTAAGTGAGATGTATTCTGTTAAAAGAACTTGAAATTATGGAAATCAACCTGATCCATGTCTCACTGACTTTCAATACTCATCCTAGTGAGCAGTTAATACAGAAAGTAAATGATATGGCTACCTAAGGCTTTGCCTGTGTACACACCTCCCATACCCACTGACCTTGGACTAAACCATAGTAAGCATCTCTCCCAGGCTATTCTGAGAAGGTGGAACCACTCAGTGATAGCTCGTGAGCATGTTCCCTCTTTATTAATGTGGAGGCACATATTTTCAGCCATTTTACAGAGAATTGTGCTATTCGGTATTCCTTCTGCAGACTCCATTGAAGTGGATGGTCTCAGATACTTACTGAAAAGAAATGAGACTATTATTTACCATGCAAGATGTATGTTGTACATTAGCTCACTGCAAGGATGTTGCAATTTTATTTCACTCACTGATATTCGGACATATCAAATCCCATGTAAAATTAACCAGTCAAAACCCAGTAAAGCACTGGTCATCAAAAGAACAATCATGGAATCCTATATTAATGCTAGTTATCAGAACTTAGTAACCAAAAGATTGCAAAGTATAAGCACTATGTATTAATTAAAAATGTGAACTACACACAATTATAACCAGCATACAAATGTCCATGAGTAGAAAAGAATAAAAAGAATATGAGAGGACTGTAAAAAAAAAAGAAAAGCCTGTTATTCCAGAAGAATGCAGTCGATCTAGGGTATAAGTTTTGCCTAAGGACTCACTTGCTCTTTAGCACTTCTGAGTGAGTCTTTACTTGGATATAACATGTAAACGTGAAGTGGTTTGTCCATAGAACTTCTGTCGGAACTGCCCAGTGTTAAGAACAGGTCATTGGAATTCTCTGCCCATGCTAGCCAACAGTGCCCTCTTTAAACTCTAAAAAATTCTAGTACTTCATGTTTTATACCACATTAATGACTAAGTTAATTAAGTTGATACTTAATTTTATGTCTTGGGTTTTACAAAATTAGATTATAACCTACTTAAAGGTAATAATCATATTTTAAAATATTTTCAAACTCATTGTGCCCACATGGGGCCTGACATAGTCCATTGATTGAGAAATCATAGATTCCGATAGGCAATCAAAATGGAGCTGGCAAGGAAAAAAGGGGCTGTATTTCAAAGCACATTTATATTTATGACCTGACCTTTAGATTTCTTATAGAGTTTTGGAAATGATTTTTTATAAGATAAAATTATTTCCATGTGTAGTAAATCTGCTATGTCTGACATTTTGGAATAAACAGAATTGTTACTCATCAGAAAAACACATTTAAATATATTTTAAAAAGAAATTCAACTCCTGCGTGGCTATGATATAGTATAATGCTAAGAATAATTTTTTTCATTATAAACAATTCAAAGAGTGGATAGAATAGATGAAGCTACTGTTTTCAGTCACTGGAAAACATAGATTACAGAGCTTTGGTCACTGACAAAAGTAGTCCTTGGCTTTCTGCCAGCAGGCAGTTTCAGGACTAGACAAAGGCAGGAGAAATCCAGAGTCTACTCTCTCTCTCTCTCAGTTGAGGAGACAGAGATAGACGTACAGTGAGGCCAAGGCAGCTAAAATTTTGGCAGGGAGAGGGATAGACACATTCATTATGGGTCAGGCAAAGAACAACTTTCAGGAAAAGAACAATTATTGAGGATCAGTATGGCAAATAATTCCCATGCAGGGCAAGAAATCACTTGAATTTCTACAAGCCAGAATGGAAAGACCCCTCTGTTAATCTATGGGACATTCAGTAGATGCCCCAGAAAACTTATGCTTTAATAATAAAGCAAAACAAGCCTTCAAATGGAGGCTACTCTATAACATCCCTGACCCATAAAGCTCGAAAACAAACCACAAAGGCATCAAAATGATCTGCAAGTAACTGTATTGCTTGTCAGGACAAATTGTATCACTCTTCAAATAAATTCAACAAACTCAGTACTCAAAAATGTAAAATCATAGTGCTTAACAACTAATTAAAACTACTAAATTGTGAAGAGGTGAGCAAATGTAACCTAAACCAGGAGAAAAAAATCAATTAACAGGCAGACATAGTGATGTGTTTATCATAAATGATAAAGATAATGGAATTAGCAGAAAACGATACTAAAACCATTATTATTATGTTCAACATGCTCAAAGATTTAAAGAAAAGCATGAGGAAAAAATAGAAAATATAAGAAAAGACTCAGAAGATGCTTCTAGAAATAAAATGTTTAATACCTGAAATGAACCTATCACTAGAAGGAATTAACAGCAGCTCTGACACTGCAGAAAGAAAGGTTGTGAAATTGAAGATACCCAAAGAGAGCACTGAGAAAAAGAAAAGAAAGACTTTTAAAAAGAGGAATCTCAGGGACTTGTGAGTTAACAGTAAGCCACATAACAAACATATAATTGGAATACCAGAAAAAAAGGAAAGAAAAATATGTTTAGAAATTTAAAATTCTACAGTTGTCCAAAATTTTTCAAATTTGGTGAAAACTATAAAATCACAAGATTCAAGAAAAATCAAAGAACAGCAGAGAACATGAACAGAAAGAAAACCACACCAAATTGCATTATAACCAAATTACTGAAAACTAGAAATAAAGAGAAAGGCCGGGCGCGGTGGCTCACGCCTGTAATCCCAGCACTTTGGGAGGCCGAGGCGGGCGGATCACGAGGTCAGGAGATCGAGACCATCCCGGCTAAAACGGTGAAACCCCGTCTCTACTAAAAATACAAAAAATTAGCCGGGCGTAGTGGCGGGCGCCTGTAGTCCCAGCTACTTGGGAGGCTGAGGCAGGAGAATGGCGTGAACCCGGGAGGCGGAGCTTGCAGTGAGCCGAGATCCCGCCACTGCACTCCAGCCTGGGCGACAGAGCGAGACTCCGTCTCAAAAAAAAAAAAAAAAAAAAAAAAAGAAATAAAGAGAAAAATCTTAAAGGCATATGGAGAAACAAAGACGCATTTTCTACAGAGCGGAAAAAAATGACCACAGACACATCAAAAACTCAGTGAGCCAGAGTCAGTGAAATGGAATCTTTAAAATGATGAAATAAAAAACAACTGCCAACTAGAATACAGTCAGTAGAAATATCTTACAAAAATTAAGCGATGAAGACATTTCAAACAAACAAATCAGAAAGAATGTTTTGCCAGCAAGTGTGCACTAAAATAAATGTTGAAGGAAGTGCTGCAGATACAATAAAAATGATACCAGTTGGAAAAGAGATAACCAAAAAAAGCACCAAAAATTATAAATATAAAAGCATCTTTATTTTATTTTTTAAAAGTATTTAAAAATAATTGGTCATTTAAAGCAAAACTATGATGCAGGTTTTAAATACACACACACAAACACACACACACACATATATATGTATGTTATATATATATACCAAAAAAATGTACCTCAAAAAAATGTACCTCAACAAAACCACAATGGATTGGAAGGGAAATGATTAAGCCAATAGTAGAGATAAAATAAAATATTAACAAAACAAACTTGATTAATAAGTAAAATGAACCTTGATTAATCCAGCAGAAAGAAGAAAAAGAAGAGAAAGGAAATAAAATCAAGTAGCATGATGGTAGATTTAAATCTGTGTCAAAAATTATCTAAGTGTAAATGGCCTACACACTCTAATAATCAGATTATCAGACTGGACAAAAAAGCAATGATGAACTATATATAACATGTCTACATTTTATGTATACCCATTTTAAGTATAAGGTATCAATAGGATAAAAGTAAAAGGAATGCAAAAAGCATATGATGCAAACGCTAATATTAAAAAGCCATAGTGGCTACAGTTAGGTAAAGTAAACTTCAAATAAAGAATTAACAGGGCAATAAAGAGGCATTTTATAACGATAAATGGGTCAATTCCTAATGAAGATATAATAATCCTACACTGTAAATGCCTAAACAGAATTTCAAAAAGCATGAAGCAAAAACTGGCAAAACTGAGAGCAGAAAGAGAAAAATTTACCATTATAATTGGAGATATCAACACTCATATCTTAATAATGATAAAGCATGTAGATAGAATATCAGTGAAGATACAGAAGACTGAGCAGCACAAACAACTTGACCTAATTGACACTTATTTATAGAACACCTTACCAAAGAACAGCAGAATATACATTATTTTTTATTGAATATGGCACATTCACCAAAATAGACCATATGTTGGGCCATAAAACAAGATTCATTCAATTTAAAAAGATTCAAATTCACAGTATGTTCTCTGACAGCAATAGCATTAATGTAGAAATCAACAAGAAAAAGCTATCTGGAAAAGTACCAAATAGTTGGACATTAAACAATACACCTCTAAATAAACATGTCAAAGAAAGAATCACAAAAAGAATTAGAAAATACCTAAAATTTCACAAAAATGAAATCATCAAAACATCAAGATTTCTAAGATGCTGCTAAAACAGTTATTAGAGAGATATTTATAGCCTTAAATACTTATATTAGAAAAGAAGAAAGTTCTAAAAATTAATAAGGTAAGCTTTTAAGAAACTAGAAAGAGGGAAAATAAACACAAATTAGCATAATGAAATTAATAATAAACAATTGAAAATCAATAAAACAGAAAGCAAATAAAAATAGAGAAAAATCAGTTAAAACCAAAGGTGTTTCTTTGAGAAGACCAAAAAACTGATAACTTTCTTACTAGCTTGATCACGAATAAAAAAGGGAAAAGATACAAATTATCAGAAATTAAAGAAGAGACATCGCTAAAGATCTTACAGATGTTAAAATATAATACATGACTTTTTTTTTTTTGAGACAGAGTTTCCCTCTTGTCACCCAAGCTGGAGTGCAATGGCATGATCTCAGTTCATTGCAACCTCCGCCTCCCCAATTCAAGTGATTCTCCTGCCTCAGCCTTCCAAGTAACTGGGATTACAGGTGCCTGCCACCACGCCTAACTAATTTCTATATTTTTAGTAGAGACGGGGTTTCACCATGTTGGCCAGGCTGGTCTTGAACTCCTATCCTCAGGTGATCCACCTCCCTCAGCCTCCCAAAGTGCTGGGATTAAAGGAGTGAGCCATCACACCCTGCCATACATGACAATTTTAATGCCTATATGATATAATATTCTACCATCAAGAAAAACACAAGTTGCTAGAAAATCACAACAAATCAAAAGCCACACAAGGATATAGAAAATCTAATTAGCCTAATATTCATTGAAAACATTGATTTCTCTATCAAATATGTATCTACAGATATCTCTACAAGGTGCTGATTTCATTTTCTTTTAGTATATTCCCAGAAGAGGGACTACTATGTCATTAAGTAGTTCTATTTTTAATATTTTTGAGGAAACTTCATATGGTTTTTCATATAGCTGCACCAATGTACATTCCCACCAAGAGTGTACAAGAGTATATTTTCTCCACACCCTTTCCAACACTTGATGTCTCTTGTCTTTTTTATAATAGCTATTCTACCACGTGTAAGGTGACACCTCATTGTGGCTTTGATTTGTGTTTTCCTGGTGATTAGTGATGTTGAGCACCTTTTCATACACCTTGGCCATTTTTATATCTTCTTTGAAGAAATGTCTATTCAGATCTTTTACCCATTATAAAATCAGGTTATTTGATTTTTTGTGATTGAGGTGTATGTGCTCCTTATATAATTTGGATATTAACCCCTTATCAGAAATATGGTTAGGAAATACTTTCTCCCAACCCATTTGCTCTCTTTCATTTTTGTCAATTGTTTTCTTTACTGCATAGAAGTTTTTAAATTTGATTTGATTAGGAACTTACAGAGGTATCTGTGCTGTCGCGTTCACTGAAACTTAATTCACAATAGCCAAGATATGAAAACAACCTAAGTGTTCATTGATGGATGAATGGATACAGAAATTTTGGTACATATATCACAATGGAATATTATTCAGCCTTTTAAAAAGAAAGAAATTCTGTCATTGACAACAAAATGGATGAACCTAGAAGACATTATGCTAGGTGAAATAAACCAGACACACATAGACAAATACTGCATGATCTCACTTATATGGGAAAGAAGGGGAGTGAGGGGAGGGAGGGAAGGAAGAAAGGAAGGAATTGAAAAGTTGAATACATAGAAACATAGAGTACAAGGATGGTTACCAGGAAGGCAGGGAGGGATGGGAAGATGTAGGTCAAAGGATGAATAAGCCTAGAGATTTAATGTATAACATGAAGATTAAATTAATAATATTGTATTGTTACAATGCGGAAATTGGCTAAAACAGTTAGTAGATTTTAGGTACTCTTACCACCAAAAAAAGGGAAAGGTAAATATGTGAGATGATTAGTATGTTAATTTTATTGACTACAGTAACTATTTTGCTGGGTATAAATATATCAAAACATCACATTGTACACCTTAAATATATGCAATTTTAAAAACTTAAATCTCTCCAGTAAAAAGCTAAGGATCTTATGGCTTCAATAGTCAATTGTGTCAGACATTTATGGAAGAAATAATACCAACCATACACTTTTAGGAAACAGAGAAGGAGAGAATACTTTCCAAATCATTTTGTGAAGCTAGCATCACCCTGATACAAAATCAGACAGAGACATTACAAATGAAAGAACCATAGACCAATATCTATGCATTAAATGAATATACATGCAAAAACCTATTAACAATTTATTGTAAATAAAATCCAACAATATATAAGGATAACATAAGGGGTTTGTTCTGGGAATGCAAAGATGCTATATCATTCAAAAACCAAATAATAGAATTCACCCATTAAAAAATAAAGAAATATATCATCATCTCAAAAGATGCATAAAAAGTACTTAATAAATTTCAAGACAACTTCATGGGGACTGTCAGAAAGATAGTAATAAGAGAGAAAGAACTTCTTCAACCAATAAAGATATCAATGAAAAAGCTATTTTCATTATTATCTAATTGCATTATTAACAGTGAAAAATTGAATGCTTTCCCTCTGAAAATCAGGACTAAGTCATGGATATCCACATTCACCATTTCTATTAAACTTTAGGGCATGCAAAGATTCTTTATATGTTTTTGTGAATAGGTTATATGGCCTTGGAAAAGGATAAGTATGTTTACAATGTTGGCTGCCGAGTTCTTTATATGTCTATGAGTTCAGGTTGTTAATTAAATTGTCTACTTGATCAAAGTGTATTAAAAAATATTCCCATCAGAATTCAGTTTGGGAAAGTTTGGGTAATTCTGCCAATTTTTTCCTCATATGTTTGAGGCTACATTGTTGGATTAATAAATTCAGGACTCAAGATTGTTATAACTTCATAGAGAACTGTTATTTTTATTAAGTGATAATCCTCATTATTCCCAGCAACACATTTGTCTTTGAGTCCATCCATTCTGATAATATTGCTACATCAAATTTTTTTGGATTGGATTTTTTATTTTTCAATCACTTACCTTTCAACTTTCTATACCATCATATTAAAGAGACATATCTTGCAAAATGCTTATAGCTGGATTTAATTTTTGCTTTTGTAGTCTCTCTTTCTCTTTCTCTCTCTCCTTCCCCCGCCCCCGGAAGAAACTCTCAACATGAAATATTCTTATATTTACAATTGTTGTGATAGCTGATATATGTAAATTTATTTTTCTTTTAAATGTTTAATTCCTTTTTAAGTATATACTGTCTTTAGCTTGTAATATTTATCTCTAGTTATATTTGTTACAGAACTGTGATTTTTCATTTGAAGCTCTTTTTTAAGAAGTCTTTTCTAAAAATACATATCAAAAGAGGGGTAAAAAGGCACCAGTTAATGTCTGTTTCTTAATTGAAATTACCAGCCTTTCTTCCAATAGGAAGGTGACATATTTGTGAGAATTTTGGATCTAGAAGGAAACTTAAGAGAGGCTGACACTCATTTTACATGTGAGAAAACTGAAGCCTGGAGTGTGTAGATGTTCAATGTCACAGAGTGAGTAATCACGATCTGATTGAACTGAAGTCACCTAACTCTTTGTCTAGTATTCTTTCCATGGTGTCCTTTTAGATTTATGTTGTACAGACTGTTGAATATCATCAGTTCTGCAATACAATAGTAGCACATGTCTTCCTGAAGGAGCTTGTAAATTGAATCAATTCTGAGATATGCATATTAAGTTAAGAAGCATGCAAAGCAGATGGCAAAATGCAAATGGATTAAGAGCTCCAAGGTTATCCAGACTAGAGTCTATTTAAAGAAATGGTAGTCTGTTTAAGTTTTATCTGTGACTTTGAAAACAATAGGCTCAACCATACAGAGAGATATGAAACAGTCTAACTTAAATTTGCCCTTTGTGAAAAGTGCTTTATTTTAATATCTAGTTTATTATTTCTCATTTATGTATACCTGGCAGTATTCTTTCTCTGCAGCTTCTACTTTTCCATTGAGTACTTAATTTTTTTTTATCATTTATTTCCCCTCAAAGATATTAACCTGCTTGGCATTAATCTGATTTTCTAAGCCATATTTCATTTCCTTTGTTACTTTTCCAGATACCTAAATTTTAAAAATGTTATTTTCAGCTAATACCATCTGGGACATGAAATGAAAACCCTGTGTACAGAGTAATTACCCTATATTTCAAAATGAACTGCTGGGGTAAATTAAATGATGAAGTAATATGTCTTGAGATCTCACGGTGTTGACAATGGAAATGTAGCAGTCATATTCAAAAACAGCTCATACTTTATATGAGAAAAAAAGGGAAATGCTAAAATCTAGTTTCAAATTGAGCTTTAATTTCTAGTTTAACATTCTCTTCTCAGGACATAGAATGCCAGACTTCCTAGCTCAGCAGATCTTTCAAAACCAGCCTTTGAGATTTCGGTCTAGGGCTGCATTCTGAGCATACTCTTTAGGGCAGATAGACCAATTAGGCATTTTTCTGACAGCAGCCAATGTCGTGGGGCCTTTGTTAAATTTCTGTCACATCTTGTACTTATGAAAATGAACTGCGTCCTTGGGAATTTCAAAAGGTAATGAAGCATGGACCGGAGAAGGGCACCAGAGGGAGACAGAGCACAGAACGCGTATGTCGTTGTAGCATCGTGATGGGGGAATGTGGTTTCTAATGATGGTGATGGTTCTCTATGGTACATAGGTCCAAAGAGGCTGAATCAAAATGCCAACCTCATGAATTCTAATGTCCAGAATAACCTAATTTTTGACAAAACTCCTGTGTGCCACCAAGTATTCTGAGAAAATGTAGATATGAAATTGTGTCTATTTTATTTTATATACAGACATATTTAAAGCTGAGAAAGGGCAGACATGAGCTTTCCACACTCTCTTGAGCATACTCTATATTGTATCTGCCCATGTCAGCTCCAATCTCAGCCTTTCACCCCTTGAACTGAAGAGCTCACTGAATGACCAGCTTATCTTGAACCATGCTTCCAACCTCTGGAGCTCGTCCCATTTTACTTTTATTCTTCTCCCTCTGTTCTTTTCCTTCCTGTCCCAGTCTCAGTCCTGCATTTATCTGTTCATCCTCAGATTCCCTGGAACTTCACTTTGAGTGACAAAATCATCCCTTTTTCCCAGAGATGGTCCCAATTTTAGTACTGGAAGTTCCTACTCCCCATCCTTTCTAAGTTGCTCTGAAGATTTACAACTTTCTTCACACCCAACCAAGGGACCAATCCCGCTTCATACTCATTTCTTCAACAGCTTTCTTTGTCTAATAAAACACCAACACACATACCCAAACACCACACACACACACACACACACACACACCGTGCATACACACACACTTTAAAAATATACTAAACAAACCCAGGCCTCGCTTCACTGTAGTTTGACTTAAACGGCACCTTTCTCTTTGCCCCTTCAATATTAGCTAGAACCTCATTCATAAAATTTGCTTCACTCTGCATTTTGTTTGTATTTCGAGCCCCTGTGCTCCCAGGTCAGCCCTGTGCTTAGTAGGTGTTTCTGTCTCTTTGACTCATTTCATCAAGCTTTTAACACTCTCTGACCCTTACTTGCAGGCTCACACTTGCCTTGAATATTGAGCTAACCTAGGAAAGAAAGTGTATATGTCAATAATCCTTCCCTCTTTTCCTCCATGAAATGGAACATGGAATTAACTCACGTTTCCAAGCTGTGGAATTTACTGACCAAAAGTAAATATTCACCTTCTCCATGTGATGTGCTTTCTTCTTCCCTTTTTGGAAGCTTTTAAGGTCTTCCCTTTATCTCTATTGTTCTGAAATGCTGTATATGCTTTTGTAAGGATTATTTTTCATTCATTGTGCTAAAGACTCAATGAGTCTTTCATTGTGAAGATTCATGTCTGCTGATACCTTTTTAAAAATATTCCTTTTCTATTAATTTACACATTCTGTCATTTTTCTTTTCTTTCTAATGGTTATTGTTTATATGTGACATTCTGTTCTTTTTAATAGATGCAACATTTTCTCATTAAGGTGATCATAAAATATAATGCATTTATTTAATGTGTATTGTCATCTTTCTAATAATCAAATAATTCTATTAAAATATATCTTACAATGCCTTTATTTTAGTTATAAGTTAAATTATATAAGTTAAAGAGTTTCATTTTATAATGTTAAGAGTATGACAGTATATAGTGAAGTGAAATTGTTGAAGTTGCTCAAAGGACTGTGGAAAATCTTGTTTCTGGCCTCCGAATTCACAGCCTTACAGTGCTGTTGAAAACTGAGAGCAAACTTAATATATTATATATTTTGTATCTGCCAAAAAATAGATCATCCTAAAAGAGCCACCTCTGTTTTCTCTAGTCTACAGAGGTCAGTTGAAGGACTCACATGCTTTAATCCTAATCAATGTGTTGAATGAAAAATACACGAAGAAAACAATTCCACATAGGGGCAGATTTTTTAAATAATAAGAGAAAAAAAAGAGTGATCATAATAATTAGAAATGAACCAAAGGCCACGTGAATTTTAAGTAAAATAAGTCCCTGGGGATAAAACCAAATTAAAAAGTTATTAATGGAAGTTCTTAATGGCACAGGAGTCCTTAGACAAGGCAGGGGAAAATTGTGAGTCAGCACTGAATTAATAACAAAATGCCCTCTCTATTAACAAAATTATACCACAGTGCAACTGAATAAGATGACATGGGAAGTCACTTCTGCATCAGGCAAGGTAAATACTATAAGAAATATTATAGAAAAATTAGTCCAACCCTTGTTTTAATAGAGAAGCAACTGAGACCAAACGGGAACACTTTCTTAAAGGAAAAACAAACATGTCGTTCTTCACAAGGTGGCAGTAAAGAGAAAAATGAGAGTCAAGCAAAGGGGGCAGCACCTTATAAAACCATCAGATTTTGTGAGAACTTACTCACTATCATGAGAATAACATGGGGAAAACCGTACCCATGATTCAGCTACCTCCCACCGGGTCCCTCCCACCACACACAGGGATTATGGGAACTACAATTCAAGATGAGATTTGGGTGGGAACACAGCCAAACCATATCAGGGGGTACCCTAAGCCCAGTAGCAAGGCTGTGGTTCTTCTAGGCTTGTGGAGGCACTGCCTTGACGATCTTAGACATGTTCCAGGAGAATTCACTGGATTATCAGGCAGAGACTATTGTTCTCTTCCCTCACTTTCTCGGAAAAAAATGAAGTCTCTCTCTCTGTTCTGAGCCAACTAAAGCTGGCGGTGGAGTGACAGGCACCCGAGTGGCCACCACTACTGTGTCTGCACTGAGTCTGACCTGAAGCCAGCACAGCACTGGGTCTTACCCAAGGCCTGCTGTAATAACCCCTTGGCTATGCCTATATTCACTCAAGGCCCTCGGGCTCTACAATCAGCAGGTGGCAAAGCCATCCAGGCCTATATCCTTCCCTTCAGGGTGGCAAGGTCCCCCAGGTCCTTGGTGGGTTCAAACATGCCACCAAGAACGCAGGGACTAAAGTCAAAAATCTTAGTCTACCTGGTTTTCTGTTTTACTGATGCTGATCTGGCACTCAAACCACATTTTGCAGTCCTTCTCACTCTTCCCTCCCCTTTCCAAAGGCTGAGGGGACTCACACCATAGCCACTGTCACCACTGGCCATTGGGAGTACTGTCAGACTACCACTGATGTTCCCTTTTGTTCCAAGAACACTTACGTCATTTTGTGGTGAATGCTGCGTGGCCTGGGACTCAACCTTTGGGGCAGTTGGCTCTCCTCTAATCCAGGGCAGGTACAGAAATGCTGTCCAAGAGTCAAATGTTGGAATCAGGGGCCCCAACAGTCCACTTGGTACTGTATGCCTCCTGTGTCCATGCTGGTACCTGAAGCCAGCAAGTCTCAGAGGCTCAACTAAGGCCCTCAACATAGTGCCTTGGTATCACTGCTTGTTATTTGCAGCCCAAGGGCTCTTCAGTTAGTAGGTGATGAATGCGGCCAAGACCCCTTGAAGACAATGGGTTCCCTTCTGGCCCAGGCTGTGTCTAGAAATGTACAGGAGCTGGGGCCTGTAGCAGGAACCTCACCACTCTGACTGGTGCCCTGTCCTGCTGTGGCTGAGCTGCTATCCAAGATGCAAGACAAAGTCCTCCCTCTCTTTCCTCTCCTCTCCTCAGGTGGCAGGAAGGGGTCTCTTCTGGAGCCCTCAACTGTGCATTGTGGGATTAGGGGAGGGAGATACCAGCACTTTCTTGGCTGCCCCAGCTGGTGTCTCAGTATGTCAGGTGCCCCTACAGTCAACTGTCTCTGGGCCTAGCTCAGCCCTAGGGCTCACCTACGAGTTGCAATCCTTGTGATCTAGAATGCCTTACAAGTTTACTTAGAGAACAAGAGCACTTTGGCCCCCAGTGGTGGGGTTTGGGGGCACTCAAGTTCAGACGGTTGGGATAGGCGATTCCCCTCTGTCTAGGGCTGGTTTAAATGCTCCCTCTGTGGACAGGTGTCAGCTGAGTTTGGTCTAGTTCACCTTTGTGCTCTGACAGGACAGCACTGAGTTCAATGACTCACAATTGCTGTGTTCTCCCTCCTGCAGTACCAGAGAGGGTCTCTATAACACGCCACTGTTGCAGAGGATGTGGGGGGAGCAGTGGCTTCAGTGATTCCAGACTGTATTTTCTATCTCTTCAGTGTCCCTTTCAGGGATATGAGGATAAAACCAGGTACCGTGAGAGCTCACTGATTTTTTGGTTCTTATAAAGATGTTTTTTTTCTGTGTAGATAGTTGTTAAATTGGTGTCCTTGTGGAACCTTCTATTCCGCCATCTTTTACCGCATCTCCCCACCTAGATTAATTAAATTTTTATTCTTTTTTTTTCCCTTGATGTTTTAGAGATTTGATTATCTGAAAGCAAAGACCTGTGCCCATGTCTGTAAAATTACTGTCCTGGATTACAAGTGACTCAGTGGCAAATTATTGTAATTCTACCTGAATGAGGAATGAGGTACCAGAAATTTTGTAATAAGGTCACCTCTGTGGCTTATATTTGGTTGTTGCTCCTGGCAGCCCAGTTCCCAGCCTGGTCCTCCAGCCTTCTACAATTCTGTTAGCTATACAAATAATTATATGATTCATTCGAAACAGGCATTTATTGCTTACACTTAGGAACCTGATTAATACAATTGGCAAAACTATTACACAGCCTTTAAATGAATTACCAAGCAGACCGCACATGGTCTCTTTCTCTAAAGCTTATTACCTCTGAGAACAAGTAGTTTTTTGAGCACCTCTCTTTCCTCAATGTGCATTTTTTCAGCAATCTTGCATTTCATTTTCAACCTGATATCACGTGTTCTGTTTCTTTAAAAATGTGTCACCCTTTTACTTTTTTGGTGTTCATGCCCAGGTTTCTAAAATTCCTATGTATTCCATTTTCTTTTCTATATGCTTTCATGAGATTTGGGCTGGTTGAGATTTGGGCTGGTAGGAAGAGTAAATCTTATTATCTAGGAAGCTATATCGAACTAAAAGTTATTTTATTTTGTATATGTTTTTTCCTGTTTTATTTCTAAAAATAAAATTGCTATATAAGTATAGTTAAAATTCTGTTTATATATGTGTATGTGTGTACACATATATGTGTATGTAAACTACATAGATCATTTGAAGACCCATAGAGTTTCTAACTTAATGAGGATGAGAGAGAAAACAAGCAAAGGCGATGGTATCCCATCTTACTGCACTGATGGGAGGCTATTATCATGATTGATACAGTGAGCTTGCTTTGAAGTTACATTGATTGTCAACCAACTGAATAAACATTCCATCCAAACTTAGGCCACATAGCTCCTCATTTGCTTTCAACAAAAATAATCTGCAGTGTGTTTATTTTCTCTTTTTGTTTGCATGTTTGTTTGCCTAAACCCTTGTTTTAGATGGACTCATGAAAGATAGGGTGGTGTCTATTTATTATGGTAAATTCGATATTTTCTGAGCTTCAGGTCTTCTAATTAAGTCATTACCTAGCTTTATTTAACATAGTGGTTCATTTAATTTTAAAAATAATTGTGCTACCAAAAAACCTTGAATAAAATAAATGTTTTATGAACTGAATCCCACTTTAAGTATATCCAAGTTCATTTAAGTGAATATTTTTAAAGCTAATAAAACTTCAATACTTTTTAATGCAAAGTTGTGGACACATAGTAGATACCCAATCATAATATTTATATGATTGATATTGCCCTCCCCTGCCCAGGAAAAAAACTTCTAATTTACCTAGTTTTTCTTTTTGTTATATTTAAATCTTAGAAGCTTATATTAGGTTTTCCAAAGGTAAGACACACCTGCATATATCTTTTAACGGCTTAATTTTCCACTTGCCTCAACATCACATTTCCTATTAGAGCCCTGAAGGCATTCTCTGTTTCTCTGTTTCCTGTAGCTTTGCTAGTTTTCTTCCGGTGAACTAAGATTTTTCGGGCACTCTATTTTCAATGTACTTTAAACTTCTGACTCTACTCTCTGAATTTTCCTGCTTCTCTTTAAACTTGAGTCAAGCTGTCAACACCACTTATTGAATGCCTGCTGTGAAAAAGATACAAAAGGAATCAAGACAACATTTTCTTTTCTAGGAGAATGTACAATCTACTTGATGAGACAGACTATACATTCCCATTAAAATAGACTAAAACATGCCAAAATAGCTTGAAATAAGAATGTATTAATTAAGTATATAAGTGTTAATATGTACTGTGAAAGAATGCTATGTTCTATAGTACTGAGAGAGACTGATATGGAAATTCCTTTTACATCTGAGTTTTGAATCTCAGGCCTATCAGATGTCATGCCCTTTTACATAACAAATATTTTATGATACTCCCATTATTATCCTAAAATGAAATTAATAAATGATAAAATCTAACAATGAGCATAATTTTAATGAAATTAATATAATGCTACATAAAAGAGAATAAAACAAAAATAATTCATTATCAGATAACATGTATTTTAAAATAAAACTCGTCAGACATGCACACTAGCTGACAACATAGTGTCAGATGATACTTCTCCCGTTGAGAATAATGGGAAGTAGGAAAACAGATCTTTAATGAACAATAGGCCGAGCATTACAGAGCCTTCTTGTTTCAATTTCATTGGTTTCCAAACCTTATTTGCTTCAAAATCATATGAGAGAACTTCTGATTTATCTACATAACACATGCTTACATCGTGCTTACTATGCCTGAAAGTGTTATAAACACTCTACAGATATTACCTCATTTAATCCACTTAACAACCCTTTAACATAGTTCTATTATTGCTTCCATTTTATAGATTAAGAAACAGAGGCATTGAAAGATTAAGTGATTTACCCTGGTCACAAAGCTAATAAATATAGAAGACAAGGTTAAAATCTAAGTCTTCTGGTTTCAGGGTACATGCTAAGGAGCATGTGGATACAGCAGCAGTCTAAATCCCCATTCCCAATCATTTTGATTCAGCAAATCTGGGGTAGGGACAAAGAAATCTATATGTAAGTGAATAAGACTTTTACATATAGTGAGAAGGGCATTGTCTGGTATTTGAGAACCACAGCACTAAACCACAACTCAGTCGGGAGCTACAAGAAGGAGACCTATATGGCTATACTCAAATCTCTGTAGTGGAGTATACAGAGAAACCTAGGAAGAACAGTGAGTCGGGGACTATTTAGACAGAACCTTGAAAGCCAGGCTAATGCACATCACTTTTATAAAATGGTCAATAGGGAACTATGTATTGCACAAAAGAATGAAATATATTGAAAACGCAGCATCGGCGGAAGAGTATGAACAGCATTAATAAACATGAAAATGTAAGTATAATGCATTCAGTAAACACATAAAAGTAATAAATCTGAAGCTGGAAAAAGCACACTGGGTTATATGCATGACGTGAAAAAAATGACAGTATTATCTAACTAGTCATTGAACAGCTTTCAATTATGAGGTGAGCAAGCCAATTAGAGAATTGCAAGATCATAAATGGATCATGGGCACTAGGAGTTAGAAAGTGCTTTTGAGAGCATTTTTTGGAGATTACAAACCCAAACATTATGGGATCAGGCAGACAAGGAAGCAGAATACTTGTAACGCAGTAGCCAGTAGTAGAGAGAGTATCAAATGAGAATGTTCATAGAGGACAGCTGTGACTCTGCTCCAGGCAATTACTCCATGATTATGCTACTTGTTATTTATTTATTTAGTTAGTTAGTTAGTTAGCTATTTATTTATTTATTTATTTAGTTAGTTAGTTAGTTAGGAGTTATTCTGACTTTTAAAGAAAAGCCAGAAATTCAGATTTTAATCAAATAATTCACATCCCACCATGTTACCCTCAAAGATATTTTGGAAATGTTATCATATAATTGTTGAAATAAAGCCTTTTTCACCTCTTCTAGTTTTTATAATGTATCAAAATGGTATGAGACAGAATGTACATTCCCATTAAAACCGACTAAAATATGCCAAAATAGCTTGAAATAATCATGTATTAATTTAGTATAAGTGTTATATGTATTATGAAAGAATGCTATGTTATATAGTATTGAGAAAGATTGATTTGGAAACTCCCTTTACATCTGAGTTTTGAGTCTCAGGCCTATCAGATGTCATGCCTTTTTACATAACAAATATTGTATGATACTCCCATTATTGTCCTGAAATTAAATTAATGATAAAATCATAATTTTTATGAAATTAATATAATGTCTTATCTGCAACATAAAAGAAAATAGAACAAAAGTTTTCTATAGTCACTGCTAGTGACTATAAAAATAGGGACTTTATAAGGCATTTCTGGATGCTCTTTTACCAATTCCTCACTTATGACAGGCTAAAATAAACAAAATTGGCTGTTCCACCTCTAGTGATCCCTGCACTCATAATGCCTCATGATAATAAACTATATGACCTGGGAATCATAAAAAATTAGGTCCAGACTCATGTCTTTTATTTAATAAGCATGTGACCTCTACCAATTTACTTGAATTTCTGTGCCTACTATATAAATTGGAGCTTATAATTCCTAATCTATGTTCCTTATCAGGTTGCTATCAAAAACAAATGATACAATATATATGAAGCATATTGAAGCCCTGAACAAATGCAGTACATTGTGAATATTACTGGACTGGAAATTAGGGAATCTAGTCAATTAGTACCTAGATTGATTTTCTTGTAAAATGAGAAGGTTGATCTAGAGCAGTGATCTCTAACAGAAATGTAATGTGAGCCACATATGTAACTTTAAATATTCTAGAACCTAAATTGAAAAAGGAAAAATAATAGATAAAATTAATTTTAATAATTATTTAATCAATGTATCCAAAATATAATGTCAAAATATAATTAATATAAAATTATTACTGAGAAATTTTACATTTCTCATGCAAAATATTTGACATCTGCTATGTATTTTATATTTACAGCACACTACAATTTCGATTAGTCACATTTTAAGTGCTTGAAAGCCACAGATGGTAGTGACTACTGTAATAGACTGTACAGATCTAGATAATGACCGAGGTCCCCTCAACTCTACCTTAGTGTATAACTCATTATTATATATCTCATTGTGTCTCCATGTTTTTAAATGGCTAAAGCTTAAATTTCCATCAAGACAAATTAAATTAGGACTTGAAATTTTTTTAAATTAGGAGTGTAAAAACCTTGCAAAATGATTCTTTTCCACTCCCATAGAAAAAGATAAGAATTTCAGTATGTAAATAATGACACTTGATATATTTTAAACTGATATAGTCAAAATTAAAAATTTATTCAACAGAAAACTGATTCAGACCTTTCATTGTTTAGAAGGGGCATACACAATTTCATTCATATGAGCTACTTGCTATATTTGTTGTCAAATCAATTGAATGCCAGACATACAATTGAATTTTGAAATCATCACTTTGCTCCAGGAGATAGCTACCACCACATTGACACAAAGAATTTATGTCGTGCAGGTACATCTATCAATATAGTGAAGAAGAAAAAAGATGCAGAGAAAAACTGCCTTAATTCTTTTTTTTGGCATATTGAAATATTGTCTTTCTTTCTGAACATCTTACAATAATTTTTTACAGGATGCAATGGGATCCCATCAGATTCCTTAGCTAACAGAACCTTGACCCAAAGTGCAGGCAATGAGTTAATGAATTAACTCAACACCGGCTTTCAGTCCTGAAAGTAAGATGAAACTTTCTGATGCTTAGAAGCAATGATTGCAGAGATTTCCCCTTGGCCTTCTTTAGGACCAATTCTTAAGTCTGTAAGCATTATATTTGTGTTATAAAGAATGCCCTAAATTCTACTTGTCATGCAGAGAATGCTGCTGATGCAATGCTGTGGCCCAATCTAGAGGGCACCATTTACATTTAATTCTACAGAAGCTGCTGTCATGAGAGATAAATGGGTGTTTGCAATGTGGCAACTTTAATTGACTCTATTTCTCCCAAGAATGTTTAAACATATCGTCTATGTAAATGTATCCCAGTTCGGTATCCATTAGCCCAAACTGTTTAGTTTAGAGGCACCTATACATAGTTTCTTCCTGTAAGTTTTCCAAGTACATATATATAGCCACTTGTTTTACACTTCATATTTCCCCATCTGAGAGTCCTAATTCTTTTAATATTTAGCTAAGAAGCTCTCACTCATCATCCTCTATAGTTGATTAAAATAGCAATGAAGCACCTTCCTTTCTTTACCCTACAGACACTGTTTGAAATATAAATATCAGTGAAAAAAATAGCCGGAGGTAAATTATCCACAAAATGGCACTTCATAGCTAATCACATATTTGCTAATTTTATTATACTGTTTCTATCACAAGTAAATGAAGCAATCTTGTAGAAATGTATTATGTGCATTCTATCAATGAAAACATAAAGTTCACTTTATCACAATTAGCATTACTAAAATCAGAATATTATTTAATCATATGAATTACATATATTTTTATTTGCACATCTACTCTAAAACAAGATACAAAGTGGAGCGTGTGTGTGAATTTGGCATACAGTCTGCCATTAGTCCGAAAACTATAATTTCTTTGGAACTGAAAATCTCATTCAAAGTGATACAAGAAAAGAATAACAAAAGTTAAAGATCTAGGACTAGATCTAAAACTCTCCAGTAAGAAAATCTCACTTCTTAGAATGTGAACAATTTTTAATAAAAGCTATGCATGTGTACAAAAGAGCAAGAGATAAGACGCAAAAACAAAATAGAAAAGAGCAATGATATTCAAACAAGTGATATCAAGGTGGTGTTTATTTTTAGTTGTTTCTTTCTATCAAGCTTCGTTCTTAAATACTTTTTTCACCCTGAAGAGAAAGAACTAGGCAGCATGTGCAGATCCAGGCCTTTACTCTCTTCTTCTCATAGGGCAGGTATTGTACTGGTGAAGTCAAAAGATATGTCCATTGCATGAGGAGGATTAAGAGACTTATAACAATTAGAAAGTGAAGAGTGTCTGAGAGGTTTTTTAAAAAAATGAATGATGATTACCTTGTCCCTTCATATTCCAGGAAGTTGAAATCAACATTTGCCTCTTTCACTTACTTCATTGCCTCTATTAGCAAGAAATCTGCTTTCTTAATTAATCAGCTTTTATGATGTAGAAAAATGTCAGGAGCTAAGAAAAAATCAGATGAGGTCATGTCCTTGAATATTTTGGGAATAATTTGGGATAAAGAAAACAGAATAGTTAATTACTTCTTAAACTGCAACTTTATTTATATATATTTTTTTTGGAGACAGGGTCCTACTCTGTTGCCCAGGTTGGAGTACAGTGGTGTGATCATGGCTCGCTGCAGCTCCGACCTTCCCAGGTTCAGCTGATCCTCCCACCTTAGCCTCCTGAGTAGCTAGGACTACAGGTGCATGTGACCACACCTGGCTAATTTTTTTATTTCTATTTTTATTTATTTATTTATTCATTTATTTATTTTGGTACAGACACGGTTTCACCATGTTGCCCAGGCTGACCACGAACTCCCGGGCTCAAGCAATCCACTTGCCTCAGCCTCTCAAAGTGCTGGGATTACAGGTGTGAGCCCCTATGCTGGCCATTTTGCAATTTTAGATGGCTTACTTTGACATATAAAACTTCTATAATGAATTTGGAAAAAGCTTTGTTCCCTCCAGATTTCACAGAAGCCTCACAAATGCATAATAAAAATAATGAAAAATTTGTCTGTGTGAACCATAAATTTAAAATAAATTTGAGAATGCACTGTAAATTTATATCAAATTTACAGATATAGATATCAATTGTATACAATGGTAGTTTCTAATATACCTTCACTCTGTGGAATGCATGTTATCTACTCTGGAAACAAATGAATTTTATGTTTAACTATCCTTTCTACCCTCTTAATAATAGTTAAATGAATTATTATAAAAGTATTTAAATATGTTCAAGACTCTCTTACCATTTAACAGACCAAACCCCTAATCCTAGTATTCCCCTATAGCTACAATGATAAGTTTTTTTCTCTCTCTTGATTTATCTAAACTCACTGTAACCATTTCTTTACCTATCATTCATTGTTCAACCACTCAAATCTGTCATACTCAGTTCCCCATATCAAAACCACTCTCATAAAATTAATGATTTTCAAATTGTGCAATCCAGTGAAATTTTCTATTCACATAACACTTGATCTCTATATGACATTTGATACTACTGAGCAGGGTTCTCTTATTCTGAGTGATCTCTTCACTTGACTTCCATGGTATCTCATTCTCCAGGTGTGGCTCCCATCTCTCTAGCCACTAAGATTCATACTTCTTTGCAGATTTGCCATTCTGTAACTGGACTGTATATATGGAAACTCCTTAAGGCCTACGTTGATGATTTCCAAATTTGTACCTCTGGGACCAGAAACTTAAAGCAAGCAGCTTACTCACACTTTTGCTCTTGGATGTCTTAAAATAATACCACAAATGCAATAGTTCTGAGAGAAAGTTTTAAACTCCTCAATCTGAAATAAAATCTTGTTATCGTTTAGTGTTCCATATCTCACCAAATAGGCCTATCATTCATGTAATTGAGCAAGTCTAGATTACAGGAATCATCTTTGAATTCTCCCTCTATCTCTTTAATTCACTCCTTTCTACATCTACTCTACATGCTCTAGTCTCACCTAAACTACCATGTTCGCCTCCTTAATAGTGTCATTCTATCCACTTGATTCATCCCACCATTCCTCAGAAACTTTTTACCCTAAAGTTGAAGCAAACCTAATAATTTAAATGTGATCTGGTAAGACTCCTGCCTAAAATCTTCAATAGTTCCCTATTGAACATAGGACAAAAACCAGAATCCTCAAAGCAGGCTCTGAGGATCCCCAAAATTTGCTCGTTCCAGACAACTTTTTCAGCTTCATTTCACACCCTACACTTCTCCCATTCTATTCTTCAGCCATCCTGGCCTTTTGATTCCTAGAGCTCACCATGCAAGCACCAGCCACAGGGTCATTTCACATGCTATTCCTATGTGTAAAGAGACATGCCATCTTCACACCAACCCTACAAAGTTCTTACTTAACTCTAACTCACTCTGTAGACCATAGCTTGAGACTCTCCCTTGGAGAAATTTCCCTGACAATCATGTCTGTGTGATATTCCTTGGTTATACACTGATGCAGGACTGTTTCTTTCCTTCAGGAAACCTATCAAAATGTCTTACTATGTTTGTCTTGGGGTCATATTTTTAATGGCCAACTTCCCTGATACCCTGTAAGTTCCAGGAAAGCAGAATTTCTGATTTTACTCACTGTATATCTCTAATGTTTAGGTTCTTACTGGCGAGGTTCTCATTTGCTTTTAAATTACAATATTTTCATTTGTAGAACATCAGTAAATGGTATTTGAAAGAAAATAAGTTGACAATATGTATAATTACATACCAATACCAATATCCCATCTTATGCCATGCTATATAATGTAATATTGTTTAGATCCTGTTAATTAGGAAAAGCAACCATAGAAATGTAGATGTAAACCTGTAACTCATAAAGATGGAGCTAATAATAACTTCAGAACCAATAACAACTTTACTATCATAAGTATAGATTATTTTTACTGTACTTATAACATAAACATTCTAAAATTGCAGAAAAATTTAGCGAAAACCTAGGCACACACAAAAAATTATGCCTACTTTAAATTCGGCAGGCACTTAGCTTAATTCTCAGTTTTTTTCTCCCCACTGTGAACTTACAAAAATCATTCTGTCCAGATTTTATCTCTTGATCAAGAAAACTTTTTGAAAGAGCTACCAAGTATAAAATGCATATTCTGGTTAGTTTTTTTTTTTTTTTCTCAAGCTCTGTGAGTAGAGAAAAACTCCCAGGATAGTGGTGGAGATAAATTATTTTGCTTAGTTTGGTTCAGTGAGAATCTCATAGTTGCCAACCTCAACACTTCCAAAGGTTACCCTTGTCAAAGCAGGTGCTCTAAGCTTAGTGCTTATAGGCAAAGATGGGCCCTTAAGTCTCATGGCATTGGGTCTAAAAGTAAAATTAATGTAAATAGATAAACAATAGTTTGATTGTTACCCAATGATTTAATACATAGTTATTGAACATTGTCTGGAGTTTATGCAATAGTTACTGATAAAGTATTTA
Source organism: Homo sapiens (assembly GCF_000001405.40). NCBI lineage: Eukaryota > Metazoa > Chordata > Mammalia > Primates > Hominidae > Homo > Homo sapiens. The sequence continues at coordinate 35,885,937 of NC_000002.12, forward strand.
GTGTACAAGTAATAAATACTTTACAGCTAGGCCAAATACAAGTATCTTAACCTGTGATCACCTAGCAGAAATAGAGCGAGATGGAGAGGCAGAATATAAATCCAAAAATTGATTCAAAAATCAACAGCCAATAAAAATAGTCAAAATGAGTATAAGTCCTACATAAGAAGAAAAGGCCAACACTTAAGAAGTCCAGATGCAGGGAGAGAACAAGAAGAATACCACTGTAAAATGAGGTAGACTGTACAATTGCTCTCCTGTCCTATGAGAGGACTATACATCCGCACAGGTTGCCGTGAGCTTTCAGTGTATTTCTGTAGGCAGAATTTACTTCTTGCCTCATTGCTAAGCTAGGCCATTTGACTTACATTGGTCAATCAAGTGGGAGAAGAAACATTTGCCCATTCTGAGCATAGGATTTATAAACCATTCCATGCTTCTGTTAGCACTTTTGCTTTTTTCTCTCTGCTACAAGATGTGTAAATCAAAATTAGGGGCTGCTTCTTCAACCTGGATATTGGAATGAAGAAGACACAAGAGCCACCTGACCTGTGACCACTGCAGCTCCTGTAGTCAACAAATACCATTCATGAGAAATATACCTATACTGTGAGTCAATGAGATTCGGAGATTGTTACTCCAGCCTTACCCAGTGGAAGCAAACTGATCCACTGTGCATCTACCAGGACTACTGTTTTTGTGTGTAATCTAGAGAACTTCACCAAGTCAGGATTGGAATCTTTAAGAAGTCAGGTCTGGACAAGCATGAGCAAGGCTTTGTGCAGAGGCTTGAAAGAAAGGGGGTTATTTTTGCTTTTAGGGAATATATCTTTCATTTGGGAGAACTTTATGATTTCACTAGGCTGTGAATAAAGACTGCAACATGAAGGAATAAAATACCAGAAAACTTTAGGGCTTACTCTCTTCAGAGAGAAATCGTGAGATGTTTCATAGGAAAATTAGAATTTAATGTGAACTTTGAAGGAGGGCAAGATCAACTCCTGTAGGTGAATAGGAGGAATATTCACATTCCTGTGACTGTAAGTACGTAAGTGATATATGAGTTAAAAATAAATTATTTAGGCAGATAGTGAGGGTAACGAAGTCCTTGGTAAGGTTTTTCTTTTAATGAAAAGCAGCCCCCAAATCATTTTCTTTTCTAACAAAAAGCAGCCTATAAAATCAAGCTTCAGACATAGACAAGCAAACTGGAAGCCTGCACAGGTGAACGCCAGCAGTTGTGCCAATAGGAAAAGGCTACCTGGGACAAGGCATCTTCCAAATGGCGGCTCCATCTTCCCTTTTCCTTTCCAATCATGTGTGCAGTAGGGAGCAGACAACATGGCACCAGCCAAGTAGAAAGCCCCTTTGCATAAGAAGAAGATTAGGGTGGGGTGGCCCGCTTCCCCGCAGCGATGTAAATGTCACACCTGGTTCAACCAATCTGTGGGCCAATGTAAATAAAACACAGAGGCTCCTTAAGCCTGCCTATATAATCCAGTGCACTCCACTGCCAGCGAGAGGTCCCACAGGGGTGCCCCTCTATCTCGCAGAAGAGACAGCTATTCTCCTTTCTCTTTCTTTTGCCTATTAAACCTCTGCTCTTAAACTCACTCCTTGTGTGTGTCTGTGTCCTTAATTTCCTTGGCATGAGGCAATGAATCTCAGGTATTTACCCCAGACAATGCTGCTTCATAAGCAAAGTTACAACCTAGGAGGGAAACATAGGTAAACATCTAAGAGTGAAGGCTTCAAATAAGAGAGGATATGAAAACTGGAAATAAAGGCCAAGATCAATTGTACAGTGCCTTTAATTCCAAACTATAGAACATCAATGTTGAGTTTTACCAATTAATTCTCACAGACACCTGAAAATGACATCAAAAAGTTATCATTAGGCCCTTTCCAATATCTCTGGACAGTGATCTGATTTCAGTTTCCCTGTCTTGAGCCACAACCCAGAATAGAATAATTAAACTCAGGAAACTCATACATGGCCTAGTGTTCAGTGAAATCTTTTAGGCATATCTTTAGACAATCAGCTACTGCTCCTTCAGAATTACAAAACTCTGATTTCCAGTGTAGATCTCTGTAGAAACCTGCTGTTTTAAATGCCCAAATAGGAAATGGAGCAATATGAAGCCATTATATACAACATTTCAATTAGCTGTTACTATATATCTATGTACATGTGTTTTTTAATGGTGAATTTTAAGTAATACTAGGCAAAAATATATGCTTTTTAAGGATTACTTTAAATTGCCCATAATTCTATATAACAAGTATTTGATTTAGTAAGCTATTCTTTTCCTTCCACTATTACAATTATCTTACCTTCTCTGTGGAAAATAAATTGGAAGGAAAATAATACAGATTGTAACTCTGCAACTTTATAAATGAGGTTTCAAACATACAAAAATATTTTTATTAAGTGTTATAGCTACAGTTTCTAGTGCTAAATGTGTTTTGTTACATAGAATATTCAACAACTGTAAAGACAATATTGCAATGCTAATTTAACAGTTCAGTACTTCTTGTGTTATTATCTCAGGTCACCTCCTTAATATTTCATTAACATTCTAATAATATTTAGTGTACATTATAAATATTTAGTGTACATTATAAACATCACTATGAATTTTCATGCATCTCTTCTTTAGAAAATCATGAGAGTGATGCTAAAATATTAGGTTGGAATTAACTGGTTTGAAGTAATTTACTCAGTAAGAGTGCTTAGGACTGACTCAAAACCATTTTATAATCAATTAACTCTGTGTCTATATACATGCAGTATGAAACGAAGAATAAAAGCAATTTTCTAAATAATTCAGGCCAAACTGTAAGATCTATTGCTTGTTCATTTATTTTGCTTGTTTGGTTATTTGGTTATTTTTTGTGCTAAAATTACATGTAGCCTGAATACCACAAAGGTATTAATCTATAGTTAACACTTTGCATTAGATATGTAGACATGATATCTATGCTAATTATGTTTTTGTGTAAACAGAAAAAGTTACAAATATAATCTCAGTAATTTCCAGAAGACTCTTATTATTGTGCCTATATTACAATATCAAAGAAAAAAGATTTTCTTTAAACAAATACAATGGTTACAGTGGACCTATTTTTAATTTTTTTAATTTCTAATTTTTGTGGGTACAGAGTAGGTGTATTTATTTATAGGATACATGAGATTTTGATACAGGCATATAATGTATAATAATCACATCAGGGTAAATGGGGTATCCATCACCTTAAGAATGTATCTTCTCTTTCTGTTATATACAATCCAATTATACTTTTAGTTATTTTTAAATGTGCAATAAATTGTTAACTCTTGCCACCCTGTTGTTCTATTAAATACTACAACTTATTCATTCTATCTAACTACATTTTTGTACCTATTACCATAGCCACTTCCCCTGCTCCACCACTGTCCTTCTCAGCCTCTGGAAACCATCATTCTTGGCTCTATCTCCATGAATTCAATTGCTTTCATTTTTTTAGTTCCCACAAATAAATAAGAACATGCAAAGTTTGTTTTTCTGTGGCTGACTTATTACACTTAACATAATGACCTCTGGTTCCATCCATTTGTTGCAAGTGACAGGAACTCATTTTTTTTTATGGCTGAATAGTACTCTATTGTATATATATACCACATTTTTTAATTAATTCACCTATTGATGGACACTTATGTTGCTTCCAGATCTTAGCTATTGTAAACAGTGTTGCAATGACATGGGAATACAAATATCTCTTTGATATACTGCTTTCCTTTCTTTTGGATATATACCTAGCACTGGGATTGCTGGATCACATGGTAATTCTATTTTTAGTGTTTTTGAGGAACCTATAAATTCTTCTCCATAGCGATTGTACTAATTTACACTCTCACCAACACTGCATGAGGGTTCCTTTTCTCCACATCCTCACCAGCATTCATTATTACCTGTCTTTTGGATAAGAGCTATTTTAACTGGGATGAGATGATATCTCATTGTAGTTTTGATTTGCAATTCTCTGATAATCCAAGATGTTATGCACTTTTTCATATACCTGTTTCCCATTTGTATGTCTTCTTTTAAGAAATGTCTATTCAGATATTTTACCCATTTTTAAATCAGATTATTCAATTATTTTTCCCATTGGCTTGTTTGGGCTCTTTATATATTCTGGTTATTTATTGATCCTTTGTCAAATGAATAGTTTGCAAATATTTTCTCAAATTTTGTGGGTTTTCTCTTCACTTTGTTGTCCCCTTTGTTGTTCAGAAGCTTTTTAACTTGATGAATCCCATCTGTCCATTTGTGCTTTGGTTGCCTGTGTTTTTGGAATATCACTCCAGAAATCTTTGCCCAGACCAATATCCTAGAGAGTTTGCACAATGTTTTCTTTTAGTAGTTTCATAGTTTCAGGTATTAGATTTAAGTCTTCAATATATTTTGATTTGATTTTTGTATATGGTTAGAGATACAGGTCTAGTTCCATTCTTCTGTATGTGGATATCCAGTTCTCCCAGCACCAATTATTAACAAGACTGTCCTTTCCCCAGTGTAGGTTCTTGACATCTTTGTTAAAAATAAATTGACTGTAGATGCGTGGATTAATTTCTAGGTTCTCTGTTCTGTTGCATTGGTCTCTGTGTCTGTTTTTATGCCAGTACTATGTTGTTTGGGTTACTATAGATCTGTAGGATAATTTAAAGTCAGGTCACGTGTTTCCTCCAGTTTTGTTCTTTTTATTCAAGGTGGCTTTGGCTATCCTGGGTCTTTTGTGGTTCTACAAAAACTTTAAGATTATTTTTTAAATTTTTGTGAAGAATGTCATCAGTATTTTTAGAGGGATTGCATTGATGCCGTATATTGCTTTGAGTAGTATGGACATTTTAACAATACTGATTCTTCTAATCCATGAACATGCAATATCTTTCCATTTTTTGTATGTCATCTTCAATTTCATTCATCAGTGCTTTACAGTTTTTAGTATAGATATCTTTTACTTCTTTGTTAAGCTTATTTCTATGTGTTTTGTTTTATTTGTAGCTATTATAAATTAGATTACTTTCCTCATTTTTCAGATTGTTCACTGTTGGAATATAAAAGTGCTACTGATTTTTGTATGTTGATTTTGCAACTTTTACTGAAATTCTTTATCAGTTCTAATAGTTATCTGGGGGAGTCTTTAGGGTTTTACAAATGTAAGATTTTATCTTCTGCAAACAAGGATTATTTGACTTCTACCTTTCCAATGCAGATGTCCTTCATTTCTTCCTCTTGTCTGATTGCTGTGGCTAGGACTTCCAGTACTATGCTGAATAATAGTGGTGAAAGTGGGCATCTTTGTCTTGTTCCAGATCTTAGAGCAAAGGCTTCAGTTTTTCCCCATTCAGTATGAAACTAGCTGAGGGTCTGTCATATACAGCTTTTATAATGTTAAAATTCTATACCCAATTTTTTAAGATTTTTTATCCTGAAGGGATGTTGAATTTTACTAAATGCTTTTTCGGCATCAATCAAAAATATCAGGTGCTTTTGTCTTTTATTCTGTTGATATGATATATTACACTGATTGAGTTGCATATGGTGAACTGTCCTTGCATCCCTGAGATAAATCCCACTTTGTCATAATAAATTGTCTTTTTAATATGTGGTTGAATTCAGTTTGCTAATATTTTATTGAAGATATTTGCATCAGGGATAATGGCCTGTACTTTTCTTTTTTTTGAGGTGCCTCTGTCTGGTTTTGGTATCATGCTAATATTGGCCTCAAAGAATGAGTTCAGAAGTATTTCCACTTCCTCTGTTTTTCAGAATAGTTAGAGTTGGTATTAGTTCTTCTTTAAGTGTTTGAAAAATTCAGCAGTTAAGTCATTGTGTCCTGGTCTTTGCTGGGAGAACTTTTATTATGGCTTTCATCTCATCACTTGTTATTGGTCTATTTAAGTTGTGGATTTATTCATGGTTCAACATTGGTAGGTTGTATGTGTCTAGGAATTAATCCGTTTCTTCTAGATTTTTTTATTTATTGACATATAATTACTCATAGTAGCCACTAATGATCTTTTGAATTTCTGTGGTATTGGTTGTAATGTCTCCTTTTTCATCTCTGATTTTATTTATTGGGATCTTCTCTCTTTTTTTCTTAGTCTGGCTAAAGGTTTCTCAGTTTCATAAAACCCAACTCTTCATTTGGTTGATCTTTTGTACTGATTTCTTTGTTTCACTTTCATTTCTGCTGTGATCGTTATTATCTTTTCTTCTAATTTTCATTTTGGTTGGCTCTTGCTTTTCTAGTTATTTAAGATTTATCATTAGGTTGTTTTATCTGAAGTTTCTCTGCTTTTTTATAGACAGTTATTGCTGTAAGCCTTCTTCTTTGTATTGCTTTCACTGTATCCCATACCTCTTGGTATGTTGTGTTTCCATTTTCATTTGTTTCAAGAAATTTTTCAACTTCGTTAACTTCTTCATTGACCCACTGGTCATTCAGGAACATATTGTTTAACTATTATGTGTTTGTATGGTTTCCCAAATTCCTTTGATTATTGATTTCCAGTTTTATTCCATTGTGGACAAAGAAGATACTTGATAGGACTTCAATTTTAAAAAATTTTTAAGATTTGTTTTGTGACCTAACATATAATTTATTCTCGAGAATAATCTATGTGCTAAGGAAAAGAATGTGTGTTCTGCACCCATTGGATGAAATGTTCTATAAATATCTATTAGGTCCATTTGGCCTATAATGCAGATTAAGTCTGATGTTTATTTGTTGATTTTCCATCTGACTCATCTGTCCAGTGCTGAATGTAAGTTGTTAAAGTCTCCAGCTAGTATTGCACTGGGATCTGTCACTCTCTTTAGCTCTAATAATATTTGCTTTACATACCTGGGTGCTCAAGAGTTGAGCACATATATATTTACAATTGCTACATTATCTTGCTAAATTGACTCCTTTGTCACTGTACAATGACCTACTTTATTTCTTTTTCTAGTTTTTGCATTGAAATCTATTTAGTATAATATAAGTATAGCTACTCTTTCTCCATTTTGGTTTCTATTGGCATGGAATATCCTTTTCCAAGCCTTTATTTTCAGTCTATGTGTCTCTTCATAGGTGAAGTGTGTTTCTTGTAAGCAACAGATGTTTAGGTCTTTTTTTTTATTCATTCAGCTACTCTATTTTTTTAATTGGAGAGTTTATTCCATTTACATTCCATATTATTACTGATAAGTAAGGAATTACTCTTGCCATTTTGTTATTTGTTTTCTGGTTGTCATGTGGTCTTCTCTTACTTCTTTCTTTCCTTTCTCTCTTCCTTTTAGTGAAAGTGATATTCTCAAATGGCATGTTTTAATTTCATGTTTTATATATTTTGTGGATCTGTGGTATGTTTTTTTATTTGAGGTAACCATGAGGCTTGCAAATAATATCTGATAATCCCTTATTTTAAACTGATGGCAATTTATCACTAATTGGGTAACAAAAAAACAAACAAGTAAAGAGAAAACTAATAAAAACTGCATAGTTTAACTGCATTCCCCTGATTTTTAACCCCTTGTTGTTTCTACTTTTATTATACTGAAAATTTGTTAGAGTATTATTTTTAGAATTTCTGCTAATGATTTGAGTAGTTTATTCACCACAATTACAGTGTTACACAATTTTGTTTTCCTGTGCACTTACTATTACCAGTGAGTTGTGTACCTTCAGATGATTTTTTTTTTTTTTTTTTTTTTTGCTCATTAATGTCCATTTCTTTCAGCGTGAAGAATTCCCTTTAGCATATCTTGTAGGACAGACCCACCCAGTGTTGATGAAATTTCTTAGCTTTTGTTTTTCTGGGAAAGTCTTTATTTATCCTTCATGTTTGAAGAATACCTTTGCTGATGTACTATTCTAAGACAATAGTTTTTCTCCTTCTACACTTTAAATATGTCATGTCACTTTCTCCTCCCTATATGGTTTCCATTGAGTAGTCAGCTGCCAGACATATTGGAGCTCTATTGTATGTTATTTGTTTCTTTTCTCGCTGCATTTAGGATCCTTTCATTATTCTTGACCTTTGGGAGTTTGATTATTAAATGGCTTGAGGTAGTCCTATTTGAATTAAATCTGCTTGGTGTTATGCAATCTTCTTGTACTTGAATATTGGCATCTTTCTCTAGGTTTGCCAAGTTTTCTGTGATTATCCCTTTGAATAAACTCTATAATCCAATTTCTCTCTCTACCTTCTCTTTAAGGTCAATACTTCTTAAAGTTGCCCTTTTCAGGCCATTTTCTAGATCTTATAGGCATGCTTGATTCCTTTTATTTTTTCTTTTGTCTCCTATGACTGTGTGCTTTCAAATAGTCTGTCTTAAAGTTCACTAATTCTTTCTTATGCTTGATCAATTCTGCTATGAAGAGATTCTGATGCATTCTTGAGCCTGTCAATTTTTCAGCTCCAGAATTTCTACTTGATTCCTTTTAATAATTTGAAACTTGGTGTTAAATTTATCTGGTAGGATTCTGAGTTTCTTCTCTTTGGTGTATTAAATTTTGTTAAACTTTCCCAAAACAGCAATTTTGAATTCTCCATCTCAATGGTCACATTTCTGTCTCTCCAAGATTGGTCACTGGTGACTTACTGAGTACATTTGGTTAGGTCATGGTTTCCTGGATGGTCTTGATGCTTGTAAATGTTTGTCAGTGTCTGGGCACTGAAGAGTTATGTATGTATTGTAGTCTTCACAGTCTGGGCTTGCTTTTACCCAGCCTTCCTGGGAAGGCTTTCCAGGTATTTGAAGGGACTTGGGCATTGTGATCTAAATCTTTGGTCACTATAGCTATATCTGCTTTAGGGGGCACTCCAAGCTCAGTAATGCTGTGGCTCTTGCAGACTCACAGATATACTGGCTTGGTGGTCCTGGGTAAGATCTGGAACTATTCCCTGGATTACCAAGCAAAGACTCTTGTCTTCCCATACTTTCCCCCAAACAGATAGTGAGTGTGAGTGTGTGTGTGTGTGTGTGTGTGTGTGTGTGTGTGTGTGTGTGTCTTGCCCAAGGCCCACAGTAACCACAGTCTGGCTACTGCCAGTGTTCACTTGTGGCCCAAGGGCTTGACAGTGATCAGGTGGCAAATACATCCAGGCTTGTGTTCTTGCCTTCATGGCAGTGAGTTTCCCCAGCCTCAGGCAAGTCTGAGGATGCCATCTGGAAGCGAAGGCCTGAAATCAGGAACCTTAGGAATCTACCTGGTGCTCTACTCTACTGTGGCTGAGCTGGCACCCAAGCTACAAGACAAAGTCCTTCTGACTATTCCCTCCCCTTTCCTCGAGCAGAAAAATCTCTCCCTGTGGCCACCACTGCCTCTGGCCCACAGCAAGTACTGACTGGTTACAGTCAATGTTCACTCAAGGCCAAAGGGCTCATCAGTCAGTTTGTGGTGAATGCTTCCAGGCCTGAGTCTCTTTCTTCAGGGAAGGGTGGGCTCCCCCCTGTCCCAAAGCAGGTCCAGAAATGTCATCCAATAGCCAAGGTCTGGAATTGGGGACCCCAGGAAGTGGCTTGATGCTCTACCCCACTGTGACCAAGCTGGTACCCAAGCTGCAAGACAAAGTCTTCTTTACTCTTTCCTCTCATTTCCTCAACCAAATGGACACTCTCCCCATAGCACCACAGCTGGGAATGTGTTGGATCACACCTGAGGCCAGCACACCTCTGAGTCTCACCCAAGGCCTGCATTGAGTACTGCCTGGCTACCACTGCTGGTTATTTAGGGTCCAAAGGCTCTTTACACAGCAGGAGCCTAATAAATCCTACCAGGACTGGGTCCCTTCCCTTCAAGGCAGAGGATCCCCTTCTATCCCTATCCCAGGGGGATAGGACTACATTTAGGAATGTAGTCCTGTAGCTAGGGCCCGCAATGGGGGCCTCTGGGCTCTGCTGGGTGCCCTATCCTACTGTGGCTGAGTTGGTATCCAGGTTGCAAGACAAAGTCCTCTTTACTCTCCCCTCTCCTTTCCTCAGTCAGAGGGAAGGAATCTCTCCTGGAGCTGTGAGCTGTACTACCTGGGCTTGGGGGAAGGTACACAAGCACTCCCTTGACCACCCCAGCTGGTGTCTCACTAGGTTGCTTGCAGCCTAAGCCCACTGGCTCCAAACCCACAGCACCAGGAGTTGCCCAGGACTTGCAGTCCTTGTGGCCTAGACTGCCTTTCAAGTTTATGTAGGACCCCATAGCCTTTTAGCCCATGATGGTGAGGCTTGCTGGAACTCAGGTTCCCGCTGCTGGGATGGATTATTCACCTCTGGCTAGGGAAGGTCTAGATGCTCCCTCCGTGGGCACTGGATGAGTTTTGCCCCATGTTGCTTTCTGCTGTGACAGGAAACCACTGAGTTCCAACACAAAGTCCCACAGTCGCGCCACTGTGCCTCCCCCAAGCACACAGATTATCTTCCTGTGCCACAAAGATGCTGCTGGGAGATGGAGGAGGGATATTGTAGGGGATTCAAGACTGTCTTTCCTACCATCTTCAGTGCCTCTTGCCTTAATATGATGTTAAAACCAGGTACTGTGATCACTCATCTGATTTTTGGTTCTTTTGGCACTTTCTTGTGTGCTGCTTTTTCAATTTGGTGTTCCTGTGGAGATGGTGGGGGACGATTGCTGGAGGCTTCTATTCAGCCATCTTGCTTTGCCTTTCTCCTGTTTCTTAGTAAACTCAATTTACAAACGGTTATTGAGACCATACCATGAAAAAGGCCCCTTTACTAGGGACTGTAGCCAGAGAGAAACTAGAAGCATTTAACATCCAGTTAAGGAGAAAAGTCTTGGCACCTCAAGCCAAGTTTAAAACAGCATTTTCAAGCTAATTCTAAGTTTGTTCAAGTCACTTTTTTAATAAAAGTGCTTCAGTAACATTCCACTGTACTTGCCTTCTGCTTACCTCTTCAGTTTCCCTCCTAGCCACTCCAGGAGCTAGAGACTCCTTAGATTTCTAAAAATATTCAACATACATAACCATACGTTATTCTCTAATACAGAGATTAGTATTTCTTCCTTGTCAGTTGTTATTTATTTTATGTCTTTGGTCTTTCTACACAGCCTTATTTTTAAAATTATAATTATATAACAGACAGAAAATGCAAAAAGACAAATATACAAAATAACAAATTGTGAAAATAAACATCCTGGTTGCCCCACCCATATCAAGAACCAGTGCATGGCCAGCATCTGGAAGCCCCCTGGGTGGTCTTTCTTCATCATAAAGTCCTCCCTACCCCCCATGTTAACCATACTACTAAATATTCTGAAATTCACTTTTTTTTACAGTGTCACTATCTAATTGTAGATCTCAAAACACCATGGCTTAGTCTGTTGCCTGTTTTTGAAATTGGTATATTGAATCATACAGTAACTTTAAAGTCTGGCTTCTTTTACTTTATATTGTAAAGGTTTATTCACCTTTTGCATGTAACTGCATATATTGAAGTCTAGCATTTTTATGAATGAATATTCAATAGTTTGTTTACCCATTCTAATGTTGATGAACATTTGGGCATTTCCATTTTGAGAGTATAATGAACAGCCTTGCTCTGAACATTCTTGTCCATGTTTCCTAGTTCTTATACATACATGGAACGGAGACTGCTAGATCATATAATGTGTGTTTTTAATGTCTTCCAGATAGTGTCAAGCTGCTTTCCAAAGTGACCATTACCATTTCATATCCTCATTATTAATTTATGAAAGTTCGTTTTGCTCTACAAATTCACCAATATTTGATGCTTTCAACTTTAAAATTTTGCCAAGTTGTAAGTTGTAGAGTGGTATTTAGGTTTTTTGTTTTTGTTTTACACTTTTAGTTCTTCTTTCACAGTAGTTACACATTTAGTTTCCTCTAATGCAACACTGGAAGTTTAAATGATGATAGCATGCAGTCTTCTGTTTTCTGGCCACCAAGAAGATATTTCCCAGGTTGTGCAATTAAATGCAATGCTAGCTCTAAGTTTTCGGTAAGATACACTTTATTAAAGTTCTCTCGTTTTCCTGATTTGTGAATTTCAATCATAACTGGATATTGAATGATAACAAATGTTCCTTTTGTAGCTAATGAGATAATCTCATGATTTTTCTTCATTGTCAGGATAATGTGATAATTACATTTTTTCATATGTTGTAAAACCAACTTTGCACCCTGAAACAAACTGAACTTAGTTGTGATTTATTATTCTTTTTATTTATAAATAGACTTGGCTTACTCATATTTTATTTAGGGTTTTAATATCTACGTTCATGACAGAAATTGGTCGATAATTCTCTTTTCTTGTAAAATGTTTCAGATTTTGGAAATAAGGTTATGTAGCCTTCAAAATATGAATTGAGGAACTTTCATCTGTTTTTTAATCCTGGAAGAATTTGTATAAGAATTAGAAATACTTCTTAAATAGTTGTTAGAATTTTCTGGTGAAGCTTTGGGGCCTCTCTGTGTTGGTGAGTGTGTGTGTGTGTGAAGGATTTTAAATCCGAGTTCTTTAAAAAATATATGACTAAAAATATGTATTTTTTATTGTGCCAGAGTTAAGTCGTATTTTTCTTAGAATGTGTTCATTTCATATAAATGTTAATATTTATTAGCATTGTTTTGTGTAAGATTCTTATGTTTTCTTTGAAATTTCTTTAATAGTTCTGGTGATGGCCTCCCTTAAAATCTCTATTATGTGATTGTATTATATGGAGTAAGTTGTGTTGTTTTCTCTGTTGTTTGCTTCCTTCTACTTTCTGTAAGTTTATTATTCCTTATGCTATCAATTTCTACTTATGGCTTTAGCCGCACCCCACAAAGCTTGGGATTTAGCATTTTGACTTTTATTTCAATGTGTTATCTAATTTCCATTTTAATTTTTTAATCCATGAGTTATCTAAAAATGATTGCTTACTTTCAAATATGTTGGGGTTTCCTATATACCCTTTTGCTTTTTGATTTCTAAATGAATTGTTTTGTGATGAGAAAATATACTCTGTAGAATTTCAGTCCCTCTTTTTATCCAGTGGGATAGCATACTATCAATTTCTGCAAATATCTATGTATGCTTAAAATTACTACATATTTTGTGATTGTTGCATATAAGGTTCTATGTATGTAAATTTGATCAAGTTTGTTAAGTGTGTTACTCAGTGTATGTGTTAGTGAATATCTTTTCTTGTCTGCTTATTCTATGAGTTACGGAAAAAGTTATATTAAAATCTCCTATAATGATTATCAATTTGTATATTTTCCTTCAATTATGTTAATTATTTTTATATGTATTTTTTGCCACACAGTTTAACCATCACATCTCCTTGTGAATTGAATCTTTTATCATTATAAAGTATCTCTCATTACCTCTAGTAAAGAATCTTTAAATTTATTTGCTCTATTTTGTCTGATATAATTGCATCAAACCAGCTTCCTTTTAATAAGCAAATCTCTTTCCATCTGTTTACTTTTAGTCTTTCCATGTCGTATCTTTCACATGTGTCTTTTGTGAACACTGTCTATTTTGAGTTTTGTGTTTTTAAACCCACTGCAATAACCTTTGCCTTTTATATAGAGCATTTAGACTATTAATATTTTGTGCAGTGTATTTTGAGTATACTAGTATATTTGAGTTTATACCTACCATCTTACAATGTAACCTCTATCTGTAATTATTGTTCCATGTTTATTTTCCTCTTTTTTGCATATAATTGACTACTATACTAGTTAGGGTTCCATTAGAGAGTCAGTACCATTAGGAGAGATGATGACATAGATAGATATATTATAGAGTTAAAGGAATTTCTTATATAGATTTTACCTTGTATAATTATCAGAGTTGGTTAAGTAGTCTCTATAAGGCTGTCATCTTCACATTTAATGCTAGAGCTTGAAATCTATGCAGCAGGCAGTTGACAAGGAAATATGGAAGTAAAGTAGAGAGAGCAAGAACAAGTTAGGACCAATAATCATAAGCTAGAGTCCACAGCAAAGACTGAAACCTGTCTCAATCCTCATTGTCTAGAGCCTTAATAGTGTCCTGCAGAAGCCAGGAACCCTCATTATGGAGCTAACTACACACACCCCTTGCTCAAGAGTCAGAGAAGCTGAAGGAGGATCCAAAGAAAGCTGGAGCAATTTCAGGCCTGGCCACCGAGTAAAGTCAATGGGGTAGAACAACAGGTAAAGGGCAACTTGTGTGAGCTAAGCATAAAGGCTGTTGCTTTGCTCCCCCTTCCAAATCCCTCACCAGAATTTTTCTTAGGGATATCCTAACCAGAAACTTATAGGAACACTGGGAAATGTAGTTTAGCCTAGCCAAGTGACACATTGCAAAGCCACCACAACTGTTTTATATTATTTCATGTATTCCATATTTTGGAATTACAAACATATTTATACTCCTTTAATGACTACCCTAACAATTAGTTTGTATGAATACTTTATTCTGAAAGGCCAATATTATTTGCACTTTTACGCTGATCCCAGTTAATACTCCTATTTTAACTCCATTTACCCCCTCCAACATATACGCTATTGTTGTGGTATATTTTCATTCTCTCTCTATTAAAACTCACAAGTAAGTCACTGCTAGGTTAGATTTCACTAAAATTTACCATTTTGTACCTCTTCATTTCTTCCTGCATCCTAAGTTCCTATCTGGGAATATTTTCTATCTGAACAACCCTCTTTAGAATTTCTATTAATGTGAGTTGGCAGATTATGAATTTTTGCAGTTTTTCTTGATAGAGATTTTCTGTGTAATTGATGACAGAAACTATAATTTCACTTTTTAAAAATGCTGATAAATTAGTCAAACTTGGTCTAATTGTTATGCCCATGAAAATAGTCTACATTTCTCTCTGTTGTTTTTTTAAAGATTGTTATCTTTGTTTTGTTTTATGCACTTATATGTATCCAGATGTAGAATATTTTATTATCCCATTTGACATTTTTGGGCCTATTAATTACTTTTCTTTGTTTTTTTATTATACTTTAAGTTATAAGGTACATGTGCACACTGTGCAGCTTTGTTACATATGTATACAAGTGCCATGTTGGTATGCTGCACCCATTAACTCGTGACTTACATTAGGTATATCTCCTAATGGTATGCCTCCCCCCTCCCCCCACCCCACGACAAGCCCCAGTGTGTGATGTTCCCCACGCTGTATCCAAGTGTTCTCATCGTTCAATTCCCACCTATGAGTGAGAACATGCAATGTTTGGTTTTCTGTCCTTGAGATAGTTTGCTCAGAATGATGGTTTCCAGCTTCATCCATGTCCCTACAAAGGACATGAACTCATCCTTTTTTATGGCTGCATAGTATTCCATGGTGTATATGAGCCACATTTTCTTAATCCATTCTATCACTGATGGACATTTGGGTTGGTTCCAAGTCTTTGCTATTGTGAATAGTGCCACAATAAACATACGTGTGCATGTGTCTTTAAGCAGCATGATTTATAATCCTTTGGGTATATACCCAGTAATGGGATGGCTGGGTCAAATGGTAGTTCTAGTTCTACATCCTTGAGGAATCGCCACACTGTCTTCCACAATGGTTGAACTAGTTTACAGTCCTATCAACAGTGTAAAAGTGTTCCTGTTTCTCCACATCCTCTCTAGCACCTGTTGTTTCCTGACTTTTTAATGATCACCATTCTAACTGATGTGAGATGGTATCTCATTGTGGTTTTAATTTGCATTTCTCTGATGGCCAGTGATGATGAGCATTTTTTCATATGTCTGTTGGCTGCATAAATGTCTTCTTTTAAGAAGTGTCTGTTCATATCCTTTGCCCACTTTTTGGTGGGGTTGTTTGATTTTTTCTTGTACATTTGTCTAAGTTCTTTGTAGATTCTGGATATTAGCCCTTTGTCAGATGGGTAGATTGCAAAAATTTTCTCCCATTCTGTAGGTTGCCTGTTCACTCTGATGGTAGATCCCATTTGTCAATTTTGGCTTTTGTTGCCATTGCTTTTGGTGTTTTAGTCATGAAATCCTTAACCATGCCTATGTCCTGAATGGTATTGCCTAGGTTTTCTTCTAGGGTTTTTATGGTTTTAGGTCTAACATGTAAGTCTTTAATCCATCTTGAATTAATTTTTGTATAAGGTGTAAGGAAGGGATCCAGTTTCAGCTTTCTACATATGGCTAGCCAGTTTTCCCAGCACCATTTATTAAATAGGGAATCCTTTCCCCATTTCTTGTTTTTGTCAAGTTTGTCAAAGATCAGATGGGTGCAGATGTGTGGTATTATTTCTGAAGGCTCTGTTCTGTTCCATTGGTCTATATCTATATTTTGGTACCAGTACCATGCTGCTTTGGTTACTGTAGCCTTGTACTATAGTTTGAAGTCAGGTAGCATGATACCTCCAGCTTTGTTCTTTTGGCTTAGGATTGTCTTGGCAATGCGGGCTATTTTTTGGTTCCATATGAACTTTAAAGTAGTTTTTTCCAATTCTGTGAAGAAAATCATTGGTAGCTTGAAGGGGATGGCATTGAATCTATAAATTACCTTGGGCAGTATGGCCATTTTCACAATATTGATTCTTCCTACCCATGAGCATGGAATGTTCTTCCATTTGTTTGTGTCCTCTTCTATTTCATTGAGCAGTGGTTTGTAGTTCTCCTTGAAGAAGTCCTTCACATCCCTTGTAAGTCGGATTCCTAGGTATTTTATTCTCTTTGAAGCAATTGTGAATGGGAGTTCACTCATGATTTGGCTCTCTGTTTGTCTGTTATTCGTGTATAGGAATGCTTGTGATTTTTGCACATTGATTTTCTATCCTGAAACTTTGCTGAAGTTGCTTATCAGCTTAAGGAGATTTTTGGGCTGAGATGATGGGGTTTTCTAGATATACAATCATGTCATCTGCAAACAGGGACAATTTGACTTCCTCTTTTCCTAATTGAATACCCTTTATTTCTTTCTCCTGCCTGATTGCCCTGGCCAGAACTTCCAACACTATGTTGAATAGGAGTGGTGAGAGAGGGCATCCCTGTCTTGTGCCAGTTTTCAAAGGGAATGCTTCCAGTTTTTGCCCATTCAGTATGATATTGGCTGTGGGTCTGTCATAAATAATTCTTATTATTTTGAGATATGTCCCATCAATACCTAATTTATTGAGAGTTTTTAGCAGGAAGGCTCTTGAATTTTGTTGAAGGCCTTTTCTGCATCTATTGAGATAATCATGTGGTTTTTGTCTTTGATTCTGTTTATATGATGGATTATGTTTATTGATTTGCGTATGTTGAACCAGTCTTGCATCCCAGGGATGAAGCCCACTTGATCATGGTGGATAAGCTTTTTGATGTGCTGCTGGATTCAGTTTGCCAGTATTTTATTGAGGGTTTTCGCATCGATGTTCATCAGGGATATTGGTCTAAAATTCTCTTTTTTTCTTGTGTCTCTGCCAGGCTTTGGTATCAGGATGCTGCTGGACTCATAAAATGAGTTACGGAGAAGTCCCTCTTTGTCTATTGATTGGAATAGTTTCAGAAGGAGTGGTACCAGCTCCTCTTTGTACCTCTGGTAGAATTCGGCTATGAATTCGTCTGGACCTGGACTCTTTTTGGTTGGTAGGCCATTAATTATTGCCTCAATTTCAGAGCCTGTTATTGGTCTATTCAGGGATTCAACTTCTTCCTGGTTTAGTCTTCAGAGGGTGTATGGGTCCAGGAATTTATCCATTTCTTCTAGATTTTCAAGTTTATTTGCTTAGAGGTGTTTATAGTATTCTCTGATGGTAGTTTGTATTTCTGTGGGATTGGTGGTGATATCCCCTTTATCATTTTTTATTGCATCTATTTGATTCTTCTCTCTTTTCTTCTTTATTAGTCTTGCTAGCACTCTATTAATTTTGTTGAAGTTTTCAAAAAACCAGCTCCTGGATTCATTGATTTTTTTGAAGGTTTTGTTGTGTCTCTATCTCCTTCAGTTCTGCCCTGGTCTTAGTTATTTCTTGCCTTCTGCTAGCTTTTGAATGTGTTTCTCTTGCTTCTCTAATTCTTTTAATTGTGATGTTAGGGTGTCAATTTTAGATCTTTCCTGCTTCTCTTGTGTGCATTTAGTGCTATACACTTCCCTCTACACACTGCTTTAAATGTGTCCCAGAGATTCTGGTATGTTGTGTCTTTGTTCTCGTTGGTTTCAAAGAACATCTTTATTTCTGCCTTCATTTCGTTACGTACCCAGTAGTCATTCAGGAGCAGGTTGTTCAGTTTCCATGTAGTTGAGCGGTTTTGAGTGAGTTTCTTAATCCTGAGTTCTAGTTTGATTGTACTGTGGTCTGAGAGACAGTTTGTTATAATGTCTGTTTTTTTTACATTTGCTGAAGAGTGCTTTACTTCCAATTATATGGTCAATTTTGGAGTAAGTGCAATGTGGTGCTCAGAAGAATGCATATTCTGTTGATTTGGGGTGGAGAGTTCTGTAGATGTCTGTTAGATCTGTTTGGTGCAGAGCTGAGTTCGATTGCTGGATTCCTTATTAACTTTCTGTCTTGTTGATCTGTCTAATGTTGACAGTGGGGTGTTAAAGTTTCCCATTATTATTGTGTGGGAGTCTAAGTCTCTTTGTATGTCTCTAGGACTTGCTTTATGCATCTGGGTGCTCCTGTATTGGGTGCATATATATTTAGGATAGTAAGCTCTTCAAGTTGAATTGATCCCTTTACCATTATGTAATGGTCTTCTTTGTCTCTTTTGATCTTTGTTGGTTTAAAGTCGGTTTTATCAGAGACTAGGATTGCAACCCCTGCCTTTTTTTGTTTTCCATTTGCTTTGTAGATCTTCCTCCATCCTTTATTTTGAGCCTATGTGTGTCTCTGCACGTGAGATGGGTTTCCTGAATACAGCACACTGACAGGTCTTGACTCTTTATCCAGTTTGCCAGTCTGTGTCTTTTAATTGGAGCATTTAGCCCATTCACATTTAAGGTTAATATTGTTATGTGTGAATTTGATCCTGTCATTATGATGTTAGCTGGTTATTTTGCCAACTAGTTGATGCAGTTTCTTCCTAGCTTTGATAGTCTTTACAATTTGGCATGTTTTTGCAGTGGCTGGTACTGGTTGTTCCTTTCCATGTTTAGTGCTTCCTTCAGAAGCTCTTCTAAGGCAGATTTGATGGTGACAAAATCTCTCAGCATTTGCTTGTCTGTGAAGTATTTTATTTCTCCTTCACTTATGAAGCTTATTTTGGCTGGATATGAAATTCTGGGTTGAAAACTCTTTCCTTTAAGAATGTTGAATATTGGCCCCCACTCTCTTCTGGCTTGTAGAGTTTCTGCTGAGAGATCTGCTGTTAGTCTGATGGGCTTCCCTTTGTGGGTAACCCGACCTTTCTCTCTGGCTGCCCTTAACATTTTTTCCTTCATTTCAACTTTGGTGAATCTGTCAATTATGTGTCTTGCAGTTGCTCTTCTCGAGGAGTATCTTTGTGGCATTCTCTGTATTTCCTAAATTTGAATGTTGGCCTGCCTTGCTAGGTTGGGGAAATTCTCCTGAATAATATCCTGAAGAATGTTTTCCAATTTGGTTCCATTCTCCCCGTCACTTTCAGGTACACCAATCAGATGTAGATTTGGTCTTTTCACATAGTCCCATATTTCTTGGAGGTTTTTTTCATTTCTTTTTACTCTTTTTTCTCTAAACTTCTCTTGTAGCTTCATTTCATTCATTTGATCTTCAATCACTGATACCCTTTCTTCCACTTGATCGAATCGGCTACTGAAGCTTGTGCCTGCGTCATGTAGTTCTTGTGACACAGTTTGCAGCTCCATCAGATCATTTAAGGTCTTCTCTATGCTGTTTTTTCTCATTAGCCATTCATCTAATCTTTTTTCAAGGTTTTTAACTTCTTTGCAGTGGGTTCGAACATCCTCCCTTAGCTCAGAGAAGTTCATTATTAGCGATCGTCTGAAGCCTTCTTCTCTCAACTCGTCAAAGTCATTCTCCGTCCAGCTTTGTCCCGTTGCTGGCGAGGAGCTGCGCTCCTTTGGAGGAGAGGAGGCACTCTGATTTTTAGAATTTTCAGCTTTTCTGCTCTGGTTTCTCCCCATCTTTGTGGTTTTATCTACCTTTGGTCTTTGATAATGGTGACGTACAGATGGGGTTTTGGTGTTGATGACCTTTCTGTTTGTTAGTTTTCCTTGTAACAGTTAGGACCCTCAGCTGCAGGTCTGTTAGAGTTTGCTGGAGGTCCACTCCAGACCCTGCTTGCCTGGGTATCACCAGTGGAGGCTGCAGAACAGCAAATATTGCAGAACAGCAAATGTTGCTGCCTGATCCTTCCTCTGGAAGCTTCGTCTCAGAGGGGTACCCAGCGGTATGAGGTGTCAGTCAGCCCCTACTGGGAGATGTCTCCCAGTTAGGCTACTCAGTGGTCAGGGACCCACTTGAAGAGGCAGTCTGTCTGTTCTCAGATTTCAAACTCCGTGCTGGGAGAACCACTACTCTCTTCAAAGCTGTTAGACAGGGACATTTAAGTCTGCAGAAGTTTCTGCTGCCTTTTGTTCAGCTATGCCCTGCCCCCAGAGGTGGTGTCTACAAAGGCAGGCAGGCCTCTTTGAGCTGTGGTGGGCTCCACCTAATTAGAGCTTCCTGGCCACTTTGTTTACCTACTCAAGCCTCAGCAATGGTGGATGCCACTCCCCCAGCCTCGCTGCTGCCTTGCAGTTCAATCTCAGGCTGCTGTGCTAGCAGTGAGCGAGGCTCCGTGGGCATGGGACCCTCTGAGCCATGCGCGGGATATAATCTCCTGGTGTGTCATTTGCTAAGGCCGTTGGAAAAGTGCAGTATTAGGGTGGGAGTGTTCCAATTTTCCAGGTACCATCTGTCACCGCTTCCCTTGGCTAGGGAAGGGAATTCCCAGACCCCCTGTGCTTCCTGGGTGAGGTGAGGCCCAACCCTGCTTTAGCTCACACACTGTGGGCTGCACCCACTGTCCGGCAAGCCCCAGTGAGATGGACCTGGTACCACAGTTGGAAATGAAGAAATCACCCGTCTTCTGTGTCACTCACGCTGGGAGCTGTAGACTGAAGCTCTTCCTATTTGGCCATCTTGGAACCTCCCCAAGCTATTAATTACTTTTCAAAGCTTGGCCACTATCATCTCATCATCTGTTGCTTCTTCCTCATCTTCTTTCTCCTCTACTCTGGGAATCTAACTAATGAATACGTTTTAGACAGTCTTACTTTATCCATTGTAAGTACCTCCTCAACTATATTTCTGTCTTTTTACTTCTCCATGTTTCATTCTGAATTTCTTACCTATTTTCTCATTCATTAATACTCTTTTCAGCTGTGTCTCATCTGCCACAAGGGCCATCTCTGAGAGATTAAGATCAGTCATATTTTTCAGTTACATCATTTCCAGTTAGATTCTTTTCAAATCTGCAGTGTCGTATTTTGTTGTTTCCAATGCCTTGCAGAAACTTTTCTTATTTAGTTTTTATTTCCAAGAATATAATAAACATAGTGCCATTACATTCTGTGTGGATAATTTGCATGTTTTTGTTCTTGTGAGTTTCTGTTGGTGATTGTTTTTGCTGATTTTAGTTGATATTTCATTGCCTTGTGTGTCTCACTAAGTTTAACTGGTTGCTGGATGCTATATTTGATAAGTTATATTGAAAGTTAATTTAAGGCCTAGGGTATTATCTTGTATGAGAAACCATTTTAGCTATTTTTTGTCTAGATTCCTGGGAAGCTAACCACCCAAGCTCAAGACATCAGAATTTTATGGGATGCCTGGATGACCAGGATACCATTCCTATTCCTACTCTATAGCATAACATTTTCAGTCCTCACCCAGAACAGGGGCCCTCTAACATAAGATGTCAATCTTTGGAAGGGACTAAAATGTGATACTTTTCTTTCAGTTCTAGGAGTTTGTGTCAAAGTTCTGGTGCCTGTTAGCAACTTTCCTAAGAATGGCAGATGAAGAGAGGGAACAGGTGATTTTCTGGAACCTTTTGCTCCTGGTGGTCCTAGGACTATGACTCCTTAGTTCCTTAGTTATCTCTTACGGAGCCCTAGTGCTAACCTGCATTGGAAAAACTCCCCCTGGAGAGAAGTAGCTCAGCTTTAATTTGTTGGCTACTATTAGCCCTCTTTTCCTGGCCTGGTAATATCTTACTATCTTGTAGATTTTTTTATACAAACAATTGTTTTTTTTAATTTTAACCAGTTCTTTTATTTGTCATTATATTGTAAGGATTACTCCAAATTATCTAGTTAGCCATTACTGGAAATGAAACTCTTACAGTCAGCTTTTATTTCAATAAAGTCTCCATTTTTTTCCCGAAGACCACTGAAAATATTTCATCATCATGTATATTCTCCATCCACCTTATCTGAGCTGTCAGTTGAGTCTCAGGCATATTCTCAGATTTCTTGAATTCTCTCTTAAATACTAAAATATAGTTTTATAACCACAATTGTAATCAAAGTGAATTGTATAATTGTTTAAGGTCTTTAGATAACCACAACAGTAATATACCGACAATAATTAACATTTAATTATGCTTACCCTGAGCTAGACAATCTTCTAAGCAATTTCTATTTGTAAGGCTCAGAGAGCTTAAATAACCTGCCCCAGGTCATGTAGTTAGTAAGTGGTGAAGCCTAGACACAGATCTAAGCAGTCTGGCTCCAGATTCCATTCTACAAACCACTATACCACAAATTCCCTGGAAACAGTGATGGTGGTATCTTATTTACCACCTATCTCTACTGCTAATCCAGTGACTTACACACAACAAGTGCTCAGTAAATATTTTTTGGATGAGTACATGAATGAGTTTAATAATTTGTATATCTATTGTAAACATGATAATTTCTATAAAAATGAGAGAAAGATTATATCAGGTTGGATGGTCAGAGAATACATTACAAAGCAGTTAGATTCTAAATTAAGTCTAGAAGCCTGAATCTTGAATGCTAATTATTATTTGAATAGGAAAATAAAAATAATTGAAACGTAGAAGCATAAAAGCACAAATACATCCAAGATCTGCTTATAAATATGTTTGCATGAAGAAAAATGTTTTGGAAGTAATATGTACATTTATTCATAAATATATATTATATATATAAATAAATATATAATATATATTTTACTATAAATATTTATTTATAAATATGTGTTTATATATTATATATTTATTTATATATTTTTATGTATATTTACTTATATATATAATCTTAACATTAATAATAGTTAACATTTTGAACAAAGGTTCTGGAGCAAGTATTTTATATAATTATATCACTTAATATTATAAAACAGATATAATTTACTCCCATTTTATAAATGAGAAACTGAGACACTGAAAGAAGTAATTACCTCAAAATCATACAGCTAGGAAACGGTAAAACTTGAAGGTACAGAATGAGTAGAAGGAAATGAGACAGGAAAATTAAAGGCTGTAACTCAGAAGATTTTCTGTGCCTTCCTAAAGCATTTTGATTTTATCCAGTAGACAATGAAGGGCACAGAAATGCCACTTTTGAGGAGAGAAATGGCCAAAATCCATGGGTATGGAAGAGAAGTCTTGTAGTGGTAGGCATGATGGAATTTTTATCTATACTAAATTTGAAATGAGTTTTCATTCCTTGCACCCTTTCTGATTACGCTGGCATTTGTCTATTTGTGGCTGTTGTTCATCTGTTTGTTGCTCTGTATGTGGTGTTGCAACAAATGCATATCTAAATGGACTCTGTGTCAGACAAGGGGTTGGTTTCCAGAAACACAAGGAATGGAAACAGACAGTGCAAACAATTTTTATGTAATACTGTGCATGATTCCCATTTAAGAAGTAGAAATGGGATGCTGTCTGGGGTGGGGGATAGAAACAAAGGTTACTTAGTCCATCTTGGTCCAGAGGATGTCTGGCAAATGTTTCTAAAAAGATCATACCTAAGCTGATTTGATGAATGGAAAATATGGAAGAAAGGTACATTCCCAGGTAAAGGGACAACACAGGGAAAGGCACAAAAATATGAAATAGCCTGGCGTGTAGGAAACTAGTTCTCAAATGTGTTGGCAGAAGAGATGGCCAGAAGTGCATCTTGGAGGCTCTTAAATATCACAACAAGAAACCTTACCTTTACTCTACAAGATGCCTGGAACCACTGAAAGATTGTACCCAGAGCCTAAGCACGGATAACTATCAACATATTTAGTATATGACTTGTCCTCAGTGAGTTCTTATTAAGAACTTTCTACATGCTCTATGTGTAGCCACTCCACTTCCATTAACCACACAGGGTTTCAATTTTGATGTCTTGATATTTTAAAAATTAGAATTGCTTTTCCTTCCACAGAAGCTGCTCAGAGATTTTTTAAATTTGCAGCAGTCCAAAGCGAACGTGTCTGCAGAAGGAGCCATAAAGGGATAAATCACCCCAAGTATGACACCTTACTGAGTAATGAAAAGCATTGAAGGAGAAAATTCTCATACAAAAAGTAAGATACAAGCCAGGCATGACAGCTCACACCTATAATCACACCTATAATCCCAGCTACTTGGGAGGCTGACGCATGAGGATTGCATGAGGCAATATAGTAAGACCCCTCATTCTTAAAAAAACAATGTGTTAATTAGCTGGATGGCATGGTGCTTATCTGTAGTCCCAGCTACTTGAGAGGCTGAGGCAGGAGGATACTTTGAGCCCAGGAGTTTGAGGCTGCAATGAACTACAATTGTGCCACTGCACTCCATCTCGCATAACAGAGTGAGAGCTCATCTCAAAAAAATAATTAAAACATAAAAAACTGTATGAAAAACTACAAGGGAGGAATCTAGGGTTAACAATAGCAATGTAGATGTGGCGGAGGGGGGGGAAAGGCTTCCTCCTCTATTACTGTCAAATGGTTTATTTGTGCCAGATATTTTCAAGTGGAGAATAACAAAGATATAGCCAGCGAAGCAAGTAGCTTCAGAATCAACCTCCCAACAAGGGTTCCTAAGCAGCTCTGATGAAATTCATAAGAAATTATCACCAGAGTCAGTGTGAAGCAGCAATAGCTGCAGATACAAGGCTATCTGTGAGCTGAAAACCTCTTCTTGATCACTGTTTTTATGGGGTGTTATGTGCCTGGCACAACTTACCTCAGGAGCTGGACTTGGATACAGGGAGGAGAATGGAGACAGAATAAAAGCTTCTCATGGAATAAGTGTCCATGGGGCTTGTGGGTCTCTTGCCTGAAGCCAACCCCACTGTCACAAATGAGAAACATACCTAAGATGCTTTTTTATTTCATTGAGTAAAGTTCACTTTCTACACAATCATCCCATTATAGTCTGTCTTCTCTCTATATATGTCTCTATAAATTTTATCTATAAAATATATTCAAACTAAAATGTTATGAAGCACTACCTTTCATACTTTGATCATTTATTCACATTTCACCTTGAAGAAGAACTGTCCCTCATAGTTAGGCACAGATTTTATTCATGTTGGCACCACCTTGACCAGGAAGTAGATTTCTAAGAATTTTGGATAAAGAAGACTTTTCATAAAAGATATGTGCTTCCAATGACATAGATAGTAAAAATTCTAATTGATGCTGTTGGAATTTGACATGCATAGCTTTGTCTATTGCATTACCTTCACGTCAATCCTATATGTAGTCAGAGAAATGGGGCATCAATGAGGTAAATAGAGTAGAAAAAGCTTCACAGATTTTAAAGTTTAAAAATCTAGTTATGAATTAACCTTATAGAACAAATTCAAAAGCAACCAAAAATCTTATAAAACATAATGGCAAGTTTAAAAATGTTTTCCACCTTCAACCATACAACTTTAGGGCCAATTTAATGTGTATAAGTTAAAAACAAAACAAAAGGTCTTATTCTCTATGGTACTGGATAAGTGAACTGAAGGCATCTCACACTAAGGACGTGCTTCTATTTGAAAGCCTTAACCAGTCTCAGTAGCTTCTGTCTTTTTGGAGTTTCTTCTCTCTTTGCTTCATGAATTGTGTGAGGCTTTTGCTGAATATAAACAGTGCATCTCTCATTAGTGCCACAGACAATAGCTGCCTGCATCAATATTACAGGCTAACATTCTCCTTAGTGTCTTGTACTCAGGCATCTCTGCTTCCACTCTTTGTGACCAACCTACTCCTGTTAACCAGGCAGGTGCTACTTGATGTCCTACTGCCAGACATGCTTTCAACATAACCAGTCCAAAAGAGCAGAGTTAGCCCAGGATTTTATATACATGTAGCAACTTATTGGAAATGTAAGTCACTGTAAAATAAAACCCAACAAAATGGAGAGATGATCAAATCAAAGCAGACACACTGAAAGCATTTGACACTACCAAATTACAATATACCCCTCCTGGTCAGTTTAAAGAAAACAATAGACAGCAACAGAATCTAAAAAGAAAGTATTACTCCCTGTAAGTGGTTTGGCCAATTCTCAGATACAAGAAAAGTCTCTTTGAAGGTGCAACTTCAAATGATGAAATAGGTTATAACTGCAAAATCTAACACAAAACAGACAGAATTTAGTCCCTTGAGAAATTGAAGTTGAAGAGAGTCACAGTGTAAACCACAAATGAAGGATGTGGAAAATGGTCACCATCAATTTCAGCGGCTTTGGAAGGCATTTGGCAGCCTGTGCAGAAACACCAAATAATACCAAGTGATGGATTTAGCCCTGCTGTCACTGCTGAGCTGATGGATACAAATCACTCACCTTTTAAACTCCAAGTTGCAAAACTAGGATGCATTTGAGCTGTAGGGGGATCAAATGGATGAATGTTGGATACCAGCAAATCAGAAGGTACATACCCCAATGTAGTCTGTATCAACTTTCTTAAATTGGTTGCAGTAAAGAAAATTAATGTTCTCACTAAATTGTAAGAACTGGATTCTCATATCCAATGGTTTTATAATGATAGTCTAAGGAAAGGTAATGCAGTGGATGCTTCAGGTAAGGGACATTCCCAGGATGAGTTCCAATGCAGCAGGTGGGTGGGCCTGTGCCACCTCTGCATAAATCTGAGCAGAGGACAGAGTGTGAGCCAAGGTCATTTACCAGCCATGTGAACCTGACGTAGCCATATCAAAGGAATGTAAAAATGTAAATAAATATAATACAAGGTTGTCTGAGGGTTGAAAGAATTAATTCTGCAAAAATACACTGAAATGTATATGTCTAAGGATGGCCATTTAAAGCCAATCAACCAATTCTTCCTCCTCCCCAAATTTCTCTGAAATGACTAAAATACAAGCTTAAATTGTATTTTTAAACTTTATTAGTGCTGAAAAACAGGAAAGATACTTGTCATTAATACAAATATTTTTAAAGGATTTATTTAAGATGTAGTAAAGGTAAGATCAGGTTATGGAAAATAATAACCATTTGTCAAATCAATCAAAGTGATGGAGGTAAAGAAGGGACCCTATTGGCTTCTAAGTGAGCAGGGCTTTCCAACAGAGCTCTGGAAACTACTGAGCTAAAACTGCCAGGAGCTGTACAAATTCAAGAAATGAAAAGATTTCAGAAACTGCCCCAGTGCCCACCCAGATATATAGAAACTCACTGCGGCACTCATTTTCATCCTTCCAGCTAATGTGGCCAGCCCACAGGAAAGCCACGGGCCTTGCCACTCCAGACTCATACAAACACAGCCATGTCAGTAAGACAAGGAGTGAGATCTCACACACACCCATAAATGGTAAGAGAGTTAGGCCAAATCCCATTTTCTCTGATAGCTGTTTCCATTCTTCCCTTGAATAGAAGACTTTTTGATGGATTACAGGCATCCCAACCTTCCATTTCTTAGGGTAGTGGGTGGGGATAGGCCATAGATCAGGTGGCAGAAAACAAATCACTTAAACAACTTCAGGAACTGCAAGTATAAATATGGACACATACACACAACCTTTGCAGCAAAGCTAATTTTCCTGCCAAAATAAGAAAGTTCTTTCTTATAGCCAACATCCTAATTCTCAATTTCTGGCACTAAGGATAATACAGGAAACAAAATAGATACAAATTCCCACTCTTTCATGCTAATATTCTAAAATAAGCTTATTTTATTTTCTACCTAAAACTGGCCCTCTAGTTTGTATTGCAGCTGGGGAAAGAAGAACTGCATCTAGAAAAATATAACAATTATTACATCCATAAAAAAGATAAACCAAAGACAAGGAAAGAAGTTTTTCAGATGAAAAAAATATATGACAACTAAACTAAAAAATTGAGCTGAGGCAGTAAAGAACAGAGTGGATACTGTAGCAAAACAAATATTTGATTCAGAAACAGGAATAATCAAACTTTGTCTATAAGGGATAAGCTAGTAAATATTTTAAACTGTGGATTCGACATAACAGTCCCTCTTGCTACTGCTGCTGCTGTTTCTGCTTCTTCTTTTTTAAACATTCAGAGAAAAGAAATGTTTACATCCTAAAGAAAAATAAAAACTATATTCACATCAGACTTATTTTTTGTTATATTAATTACCAGAGGACAACAGAGCAATACCTCCATTTTTACAAGTTGGGGATCTAGCTAAGCCATGCCTTGCAGGTGCCAGAGAAACAGAAAGAGTTTCCAATGTTTAATGACCCAATAGTATACTAGCTGCTTATCCTTCCAGGATACAAATATCTGAAGATGTACTTAGATGACAGAAAAACACATTTTTTTTAAAGCAGCTCAAGAAGAAAATTGAGGCTTAAAATCCAGTGACAAACTTTTAAGATGTTGGCATAAGTCTGAGTTTAGGAAACACATTCCGTTCTTTCAAATAGAAAAAAATTAAAACGCTAAAGACATGGAAGTAAAAAATTGGTAAGGACTTCAGATTCACAGTTCATGCTCTGGAGTGTGTGCCTCAAATACAGAAGAACTTTTTTAAAAATTTAGAGAGGATATCAGGTTTCCAGCTTCTGAGGATAACTGAGGATTGGCTCACTTAGCCGTTTCTTTCTCTACCTCAAGACATGTCATTCAAGGGCCTTCTTTAGTTATGCTTTAATGCACTTGTGGTTGCAATATTTCCGTGGGAAGTATCCCAGAAGTATCCCCCAGGTTATAGTGGCGGGCTTTAACAGAAGCACATACTACATGACTTCATTCATTTACTCACTTGCGAGATATAGCATGCCAGGCACTTTCTAGTGCTAGGGATAAAAGGGAACAAAACAGACACTAATATCCACTTTCATAGTGCCTATATTCTAAAGTAAGCTTATCGTCTCTTCTACTTGAAGCCTTGCCCCCATTTTGTGTTGCAAAGAAAAGCAGGGCTGCAGGAAAAGCCTCCCAACCAATAAGGGCTCTTTGTTTTATTTTTCTTCTTGCTTTATTTCTAACTTTGATTTTGAAGGTGTTAAGAAAAAGATCTCTCGGCAACCCCACTTTACTGGTGAGAAGTAGAAGTGACCACTAGAGAAAGCAGTATATTAGTTAAGAATCAGAGGTGTGGAATCAGGGCATCTGGCTTTGAACTCTGATTTCATCAGTCAGAGATACTAGCTATAGGACCTCAAGCAAATTCCTGAACTTCCTGGGCCTCAGTTTTCTTGTCTACATGATAAAGACTGATAAGATTTGCCTTAGGAAGTTGTCGTGGGGATTAAATAATATATACGGTAAAAAGGGCTGAGAATAGTGTCAGGTATGTAAAAAGTGCCCAGTAATCCCTACACTCACATTTCATTGTTACAGTTAATTCAAAACGATAAGCCCTTTGAAATATGGCTATAATAATCTAATAATAACAATGGTGACTGATCACTGAACCTTTATTTCCTTATTTTTTAAATGAACATAATAGGAGTACTCCTAATTCCCTCTCTGCAGTGTGCGCACACACATGCGGTTGTGAAGATATAAAGAAGAAAAGAATCATCATTTAGAAATCATTACAAGCCAACTATAACTTGAACTCAGGTAATTCTGACTCCAGAAATTTTCAGTTCTGCTTGTGCTGCCTCCTTAGAAAAAGTGTCTTAATTCATTAGTCCAAATAACCCAATTCAACTTAATCCCCTTGGGACAATGCAAAAGCTTTGAGCTGAGTGTCACTTATCCTGGCACTTTGGCATTTTTTTTTTTTTTTTTTTGAGATGGAGTTTCGCTCTTGTTGCCCAGGCTGGAGTGCAATGGCACAATCTCGGCTCACCGCAACCTCTGCCTCGCAGGTTCAAGCGATTCTCCTGCCTCAGCCTCCTGAGTAGCTGGGATTACACCATGCCCAGCTAATTTTGTATTTTTAGTAGCAATGGGGTTTCTCCATGTTGGTCAGGCTGGTCTCGAACTCCTGACCTCACATGATCCACGCTCCTTGGCCTCCCAAAGTGCTGGGATTACAGGCGTGAGCCACCGCTCCCAGCTGGCCTTTTTGTTTTTTAATGACAAAAGGCTTTTATGAAAAGAAAAGTATAGTTTAGAAAATGGCATTATGACATTATAGGATATAAAAATAAAGCAGACTGAGCCCTTTGGGAAGAACCCATTGCCCTCAGAGAAGAGCTTAATATATCACACTAAGAGAAAAGCAATCCTTAGAAAAGGGCAAAACCAATCATCTGACAGGAACCACACACTGGACAGGGTGTTGAGCTACCAGCTCAAGGGCAGAGAAAGAGCAAGAGATACAGGGAGGTCATGACAGAAGGGTGCCATTGGAAGGGCCACTGGCCTTACAGTGGCCTCCACCTCTGTTTAACACTAATCGTAGCAAGAGTAAGCACTTAACAGTGTTTTAACACTAATAATATCAATGGTAAGCCCTATAAAATGCCTGCTTCACAAGGGGCATTGTGCTGATGGCTTTATTGCATTCAAATCTCACATTATTAAGGAAGATCCTATTGTTATTCTAATTTCTAGATTAGAGTAGTGAAGCTCGGGGAGGTTAGAATATTATCCCAAGAATATAAAACTAATAAGTGGAGTTGCTAGGAACTAAATAATGAATTCTTGAGAAGCAAGTCACTAAATTGAATTAAACAAAATTAATTATTTTTATTTAATTAGCATGAATCATTTTTCAAGGAAGAAAGTATATTGTGACACTGATTTTAACACAATTTCTTTATAATCATTTAATTACCCACTTAGAATCATGCATGTACGCATTTAGCCAACATTTTCAAAGGGGCTACTAAATACAAAACACTTAGCTTGGCAATGTAGGAGGTTGGGTTTTCTAATCCCAAAAAACGATCAAGTTACAATAGAAGATACTCCTAACATTCCCAAGAAGTACTTCTCCACACCAGAAGAGTGCATTGGCTAACATAAGTAAATGTAGAAGCCCTTGTATAACCTGTTGCCAGATTCAAGCACATCCATCTCCTGCCTTCCTGCACAGCCTAACGTTGCCTGAACCTTCTCCCATAGGAGAACACAGACTCATGCTGTCTCAGACTTTACTAGATAATATTAAGATAAGTTTTTCTGACTTCAGTGCTGTGATATTTAACAAAATGCTGAGAAAATTAAGAAAATGTTATCTACTAACTAGAGGGCAATTTTATAAAATGTAAAAATAAAAGGAAGAGAGATTGGGCAGAAGGAAGTGGAGAGGCAATGCAGCCCCACTAAAATCTCAGTCAACCCCATAGGAAACTCCAGTGCTGGATGCTCCTTCAGAGTTATCTTCAGTAGGGGTGAAGGGGTCAGACTCTCATACCTCCATGTTGGTTAGACAATGGACGCAAGTTGCCCTTGGAAGGACCTTGTATTAGTCAGGGTTCTCCAGAGGGAAAGGACTAAGAGGATATATTTTTATATACATACACATATATATATATATATATAAATAAAAGGAATATATATCTATATTTATATATATCTAATTATATATATATAAATTATATATATCTAATTATATATATATAAATTATATATATCTAATTATATATATATAAATTATATATATTTATATATGTATATATATAAAAGGAAGTTCATATATATATATAAAAGGAAGTATATATATATGTATATATACATATATATATACAAAGGAAGTTTATTAAGGAGAATTGGCTCACATGATCATAAGGTGAAGTCCCACAACAGGCTGTCTTCAAGCTGAGGAGTCAGGAAGCCAGTAGCGGCTCAGTCAAAGTCCCAAAGCCTCAAAGGTAGGGAAATCGACAGTGTAGCCTTCAGTCTGTGGCCAAGAGCCCGAGAGCCCCTGGCAAACGAAAGTCCAAGAGTCCAAAGGCCAAAGAACCTGGAGTCTGATCAAGGGTAGGAAGCATCCAGCACGGGAGAAAGATGAATGCTGGAAGATTCAGCAAGCCAGCTTATTCCACTTTCTTCCACCTGCTTTTTCCAGCCATGTTGGCAGTCAACTGGATGGTGGTCACCCACATTGAGGG
Organism: Homo sapiens; assembly: GCF_000001405.40. Classification (NCBI taxonomy): domain Eukaryota; kingdom Metazoa; phylum Chordata; class Mammalia; order Primates; family Hominidae; genus Homo; species Homo sapiens. The sequence goes on from NC_000002.12 coordinate 35,918,314, forward strand.
TGGGTCTTGCTCTCCCAGCCCACTGACTCAAATGTTAATCTCCCCTGGCAACACCCTCACAGACATATCCGGAAATAATACTTTGCATCCTTCAATCCAACAAGTTGACACTTAATATTAACCATCACAGACCTTCAGTGAAAGAGTGTTTTTCCTGGCTCTATCTTCCAAAAGAAATTCTCAAAGAGGGCTGATAACTGATTGCTATCTTTTAGTAACTCTCAGGAACTGATTAAATAAATCCTTAATTTCTAAAGAGGGGAGGTCAAGGCAGTGCACCACAATCACAACAGTTCATACTGTGTGCCACCTGGATACTTTTCTTTCATATCTTCTTCTTTTCTGAGAGCAGCTCCTGCAGGACTCCAGTGCTCTTACCTTCCTGGGGGACATGTAGAAGGAGAAATTTAGTGGAATGGCCTATAGCCCCTGTTACTGTATCTGGTCTTAGAGCCACAGGTACTAACATTGTCTGCCTTTTCCTCCCAGTCTAAATTCCCTTCACCCTCATCCTGCACAAGGCTGATCTTACTGATGTAGCTGCATGACCCAGACCCTCATCCCTGATGGGGTTTGCTAAGCCCCTAATAACTATGCTTTTCTCAGGTCACGGTTACTGAATTTGTCCTTCCATCAAAATTGGTCAAAGTTTTACCAAGAGACGTCCAAGTGGTCACTTGGATTCTAGAGGTTATCTTCCCTGTCCCACTGAGTGACAGCAGCCCTGTTTCCCATAATGATCACAATCAGTTGCTCCTACAGCATGGGGACTCCGGTTTTGCCACTGCTCCCTTGGCATGAGAAGTGCAATGTACATACACAGCAGCCATAGCTACAGTTTGATGAAACCCTTGCTATGGCCGCTGGTAGAATTCTTTCCCCTCTCTATGAATATTCACTTATAAACCTGCATAGCCCAGAGTTTCAGGATGGGGAGCACAAATTTCCTAAGTGGGTCATTGGAGGGATGGTAAGTAGAGTTAATCCTGCTTCTAACCCTTGGTACCCACGAATCATCTATTCCATCTATTATTCTATCTACAAATCTTTAATTTAAATTGAATCACTTCATCCTGTATGATGTTGCTTCATCTTTTTATTATCACTTCTGACCTGCAGCTTCAGCAATGCCATCGATAGGCCATTCCATCACACCATCAAGCTGTCAGCTTCAGCATGGAGCAATAGTCCCACTGTTATGGGCCCACTCTCACTCTCACACTTCCTTTACTGAAAATTAGCTAACCAGAAGCAATATTATGTGGGATGTCATGCTGGTAGATTAAAAACTCTGTAAGCATGCAGTTACTGCTGCTGGCTCAGGAAAGGTAAACTCTTATTGGGAATTCACGTCTGGTCTTTTCAAAATGAATTGCTGCCCCTTCCAGAAAGGAAAGAGTCGGCCAGGCGCGGTGGCTCATGCCTGTAATCCCAGCACTTTGGGAGGCCGAGGCGGGTGGATCACGAGGTCAGGAGATCGAGACCACGGTGAAACCCCGTCTGTACTAAAAATACAAAAAATTAGCCGGGCGTGGTGGCGGGCGCCTGTATTCCAGCTACTCAGGAGGCTGAGGGAGGAGAATGGCATGACCCCGGGAGGCGGAGCTGCACTGCAGTGAGCTGAGCTCGCACCACTGCACTCCAGCCTGGGCGATACAGTAAGACTCCATCTCAAAAAAAAAGAAGAAAGAAGGAAGGAAGGAAGGAAGGAAGGAAGGAAGGAGAGTCTAAGATAGTTAAAGTAGCTAGGAAGGAAGGAAAGAAAAGAAAAGAAAAAGGAAAAGAAAAGAAAAAAGAAAAGAAAAGAAAAGAGTCTAAGATAGTTAAAGTAGCTAGTTGGTGACCTCAGAAGATGATGTCATGTTGAGGGATCACTGTTGGTCTCAGTCACTGACAGTTGGCCATTCAGCAATATCAGTAGTTAATCAACCATAATATGTAAGAGTTCAAATTGCTGGGCCTATGCATTTCTCTATGCCTGTCACCAAGGCTATTTCATCCACATGACCATTGGCCCAGCATTACTGTGGCTGATGACAGAACTTAGCTGACATCAATTGGCTAAGACATTTTGTCTACCTGACTTTTTATTGTCTCTTTTTTGATGAATACTCTCTACTAGGTATTAACATAAAATATGACAATCTTCACATGTTGTGTCCACTCTCCTATGTCCACTCACATGCCTCTAATCCAGACCTCCTTGTCCTCAATTTTCTAATATTTGTTCTTATATGATTTTGATCATGATATTCATGCTCAGCAATCCACTGTATTCTAACTTTAAACCACTTTTATTTCTACACAAAGTTAATAACCATATGCACCAACAAAAGCTCTGCCATTGTGAGCATTTTTCTCATCTCTTACAAGGCTACACTGGAGAGAGGCTTTAGTGGGGCCTCCATTAATTTTTGGTTTGCACTATTGAACTGGCCCATTGATGAGCCATATTCAGACCTTTTACTGCCTCTGTGACAGTATGGCAGTCTCACAGAGGCAGGCAATAGGAGCTGAGGGAGAGACACTGGAGGAATAGTGGTAAATAACTTGGGCCTCTGAGTAACTGCTTGCACAGCTTGTTTCTATCCCCCAGTCATAATCAGAATTGATCCCACAGTTATTGCTCCCATTATGCAATGACTTGTTGTTGGTTCTCACAACTTATTATTTGGCAGGTGATATGGTTTGACTCTGTGTCCCCACTCAAATCTCACCTTGAATTGTAATAATCCCCATGTGTCAAGGGTGGGACCAGGTGGAGATAATTGAATCATGGGAGCGGTTTCCCCCATTCTGTTCTCATGATAGCAAGTGAGTCTCAGAGATCTGATGGTTGTATAAGCGTCTGGCATTTCCCCTCATTCTTACACTCATTCTCTCTCCTGCCACCCTGTGAAGAGGTTCCTTTTGTCATGATTGTAAGTTTCCTGAGGCCTCCCCAGCCATGTAGAATTGTGAGTCAATTAAACCTCTTTCCTTTATAAACTGCCCAGTCTCGAGCAGTTCTTTATAGCAGCTTGAGAATGGACTAACAGTGTAGGTCTAAGAGAAGCACATTCATAAAAAGAAGTTACGGCTGCATGGTTGCTTGGTGTCCCACAGTCAGCTGCTCTGTCTTTATCAGGACCCAGGAGAATGCCAGAAGTTGTTTCTTCAAAAGGTATATAATATTATACAGTGTATCATGCATTGTCTTGCTCCAAAATCCTAGAGAGTCTGTATAGTGGTTCTCTTACTGGGGCAAGCCATAAAATCCATATGGTATCTTTTTCCAAAAAATAATACAACTAATAGCCTCTATTTGCTTAGGTGTCCAGTCATCCCTGCTGCAATTAGTGATTCCAGTTCTATAATGGTATCACCTACTCTCAGTCCTGGCCCACAGAGGAGAGCTACTACTGACCATCTAAGTTGTATTAGTGCCCCTTTTTCCAGTACATTCTTATTGCTTTAGTAAGTAACATACCTTCAAGTCCTTTCTGTGGAATATTTGGTGGGTTTTATTGACAGTAATTGTTGAATGCATTCTATCATGCTCATTTTTCTGAGCCTTTTAATTCATTCTTCTACCATCTTCTGTGGAAATTCTAGTATTTCTGCATCACTTAGTTTAGATCATTGTTTTCTTCCTATTAATATATTTAGGAGCTATACTAGCAGTGTATTCACTCAAGGGACACTCAGCAGGGTGATCAAATATGTATTTTGGAAAGTGCTTTAACCTACCTAAACCCTTTTTATTCAAACTTAGTCCCACGACCTTTGGTCCAGCATGCTCAAAATCCAGTCCCATGCTTCTGGGACAGTAAGTCCCAGCTTCTGCCAGTGCATGTTAGCTAGGTCCTTCATTCCTTTGAGAGATAGTTCCTTTCTTCCCTTAGTAGGCTCAATACTTCCCCAGATGGATTATAAAGTGACTTTGCCACAGTTATTTCCTCAAAGCCCAGGAATGGTGGTTAAGAGCATATACAAGAGGGAAATACCTGTTATATTGTGATGGAGAGGCCTCTGCCTAATGGTCTAGCAAGGTAGGTGTGCTATCCCTTTATAAGAATGAGTGAACTTCTTTCTCAGGCTTATAGGGTTAAGGAGAATCTCGAAACTCAACATAATCAGGCATCAATCCGGACAGCCTCATCCCATGTGCCAGGATCTCAGACATTGCTTTGGTTGGGAATTGAAACTTTAGCTTGATTGTTCTTATGATTAAGTCTCAGACCTAGTCCTCAACTTCTCTTCCCTTCTGCTACAGGAAGTAAGAACTTCTTCATATGCTACCCAACAGGTCCTCTAGCCTTCATACTTAACTTGTATTTGCTGACTGATTACTTTGTCCAGCGTATCAGTGGAGCTTGGCAATAGCTCCTCTGTTTTCTTCATCCACTCTTAATACCAGCTGTAACATGGTAGGTTCTCTGAGAAGCAGAGTTTGAGATAAGGGATTAACATACAGGACATTGAATAGAGAGTTCTCTTGGGGTCAAAAATAGTGGAAAGGAAGAGAAGAAGGCAAGATATTCAGAGGGTAAAGTTGAGCTGCAATGCAGTTCCAAGAAAGTCCTCAGCCAATGTGCAAAAGGATTTCTGGAGGTGGGATGGGCTTCAGAGTTGTCCTGAGTTAGAACAAAAGGACCAGACCTTTATATCCCTTTGTTGATCTGTATTTGGGTGTCGCCTGCCCTTGGAAGGAAGTTTGACCTTAGGCAAGACAATATTCTTCATTCAAAGCAATCCCCAAAGAGGGCTAGCAGCTGAGTGCCCTTGTCCCGCAACACTCTCAACAGCTGGGGGAATAAGATCTTTATTCCTGATAGTGGATCTGGTAGCATTTTACGAATCTTCTTCTACAATCAGCCTAAATTTCCTGAAGGATATGGTATCATGAGAATGTCTTTAAAAGGGACATACAAACCAAACTAGTCTGCTTGCTTATCACTTGTCTTCTCAAAGAAAGTACATTATGTTGGACTAATCCCGAAATAGTTCTATAAAAAACATTTATAAGTGTTCATTTAAGTTGTCCCCAACCCAGGCCTTTATATGTCTCTAGCTTCTTCTGAATCAGAATATTTATCTACAATCCAGGATGGAGGAAACAAATGGCAATAAAGAACACTAAAATAACAGTGAAAAACTTCATAAGGGATACAATATTATTATGAGAGAGAAAAAGATTTCATTATTTCAGAAAAGCGGTTTGCCAAATTTCTGCTTATCCCTTCAATAAAGATAATACATTTAACAATTTCACCTCACTGTTGGAAATCACTTATAAGTTGTCAATTTACATAGTTAATGCCATAGAAACCCTGTCTGACTTATTTTATTCTCAACATCAACAATTTCTCACTGTCACTTTTTTCCCAAAAATAAAATTGTCCTTACTATAAGAATATGTCTTAGGAATAATCATTCTTAGCAGGTTAAATTTTGCTCTACTTTTTTCTCTCAAGTTTTAAGCTCTTCCAATAAGAACAATTCCAGTTTACCTGTTAAAGATCAAGGTGTATGTTCCATTTCTTTTGTAAGCAAATACTAATGCACTACGTGGCTTTAATTTCTTATTTTTACTACTTCTGATTTATTATAAAGCTATTGTTATATATAACCACTGTTTCTTTTTATTTTTAATTCCTTATCATTAGAATAGTTCATTTATTATCCAGTTATTTGTAAGTAAGCAAAACAAAAGGAAAACATCAGAGGTCAATTGACTCTCCTTAAAGACTTGCATCGTGCACACATGGACATAAGTGTGGTAAAAATAGACACTGTGGACCATTAGAGGGTGGTGGGGGGTGCGTTAAAAAACTACCTATTGGGTACTATGCTCACTACCAGGGTGACAGGATCCATAATCCAAGTACTGCAAACCTCAGCATCATGCAATAGTCCCATGTAACAAATCTGCACATGTATCTACTGTATCTAAACTAAAAGTTGAAATAATTAAAAAAATCTCATATCAAACTAAAGGAGCTTCCCAGGGGTTAATGCATGACAACAACTCAGTCTATAGCATGGGTAAGGGGGAATATTAAATATACATACTACAGATTTTCAGATTACCAGTATTCACTTTTTTCAGAATGAATGGGTAGTTCTTATTCCATTTCCAAAAATGATATCAATTGCTTATGAAAATCCTTGGCATGGTATGCCTACAGGCCATAGATATCCTTAATTTTGAAACTGAAGTAAATTGACTTTTTCAAACATTAGGCTCCTTTGTCATTCTAGATTTTATTCTCAAGTCTTTAAAACTTTAAAAATCAGATTCAGGAAGTTGTAGCTAGCTACTGCTTGCTTCCAGCATCCATTCCATCCCAAGAAATAATAACCACTTTCTAAAACCATCCCTTCCCCGTTCCTTCCTCTCCAGCCCCCATGTAATTTTCCTCATGAATTGGCTCTGGTTGGTTTAAATAAATCAGGGGATTCAATCTCTTTGGCCAAATAGATTAGTTAAGGAATGGGCAGGTAACCCAAACAGAGCCAATGAAATCTATAGGCTTTCAAATTCTTTTTTTCTTCTGCAACTGGGATTTGGAAGAGGTAAAGCTTGGTGCTCCTATGTTCATATTGCTATCGCAATGCAACCAACCTAAAAATGTCAGCAATCACTGAGGAAAGTGCGAACAACAGACTCAGAGAACTTGTTCCTAACAACTTTGTTTAAGTATCTGAATTAAGCCATGCTGAAAGCTTGTCTTAATGCTGGACTGTCAGTTTTGTGACCTAATAAATTCTCCTTTCTGTTTAAGCTGGCTCAGTTAGATTTTCTGGCCAGCAGCCAAAGGAATACTAACTGAAACCTAAGGGAAACTGGCCATTGATCCAAACGGCAATTGGGGTAGAATTAGCTCTTCATTAAAAATAGGCAAATGGGAAATTCCAAACACTATGTTAACCTTTTTACTCCTTCTAGAATGTTTATGTATCACCAGGAACTCTTCAACAGGAATGAAGTGAATAAAAATATATACAAGGAAAGCCAAATGGGGAGTCATCAGGGAAAATATCATTACCCTGCCGAAGTAAAATTACCTTGTTAAATTCACCAAAATCCGAGTTCTGTTTCTCAGTCTTGCATATTTAGAAATTGAAATAAAATAAATTAGTATATCTTCATCAGTCTTTTGATGAGTACCAATATCAAACAAATTCACACTAGGCTAATATATAAAACCTAATGGCAATTTGGTTAAAAACAGTTCTCTATTCATTTAATTTCCAGGTGTCTAAATTCTCTGTTCAAAGTATTTCTTACCTTTTTTTTTTTTTTTTTTTTTTTTTGGTAAAGATGGATATAAAGCCAAAAGAGGGCATAAACCTGAAGCATATTTCAATGTTTCTCAAACAAAGACAGTAACTACTCCCAAAAGTATTTGAATTTAACAGTGACTGGTAGTATTTGTGGGGATATTACCGGGGCTTAGTGACCGGGGCTAAGATGCTACTCACATAGAAACACTCAGATCCTGAGCAAAATGCCAATACATACTAAGTTTGCAGTGAGGCCTCTCAGAATGTACAAATCCCCAGATTCAATACACTTTATTTTTTCTTATTATGTGCTTGCTCCAGAGGCAATGACAGTCTATACCCCTGTGGTCCCCTAGCACACAGCATGTGGTCTCTGAATATCATTTTGCACTAACAGAAACTAAGCGTTCATAAGAGAAAGGGCTAATTCCATGCCTGGTGCAGGAAATATACAAGATGAACTCTGGCCGTCTTGTGTCAGAAAGCAAGGAGGCTATCAAAGACTAATGAATTCATGTCACAGACACAGAGGAGCCAAATTAAAGGGGCTTCCACTGGCCTACAAGAGGGTCAATGAAAAATACGAGAAAAAAAAAAGAAAGAAAAGAAAAAAAGAGTAATTACAATGGATTGCAACACATCAAATATATTTTTAAAAACTCATGAGTTCAAAACAACACTTTTTGAAAAATAAAAGTCATTGTTTACCATAATGGACCAACTCAAAATTCTACAAATTAATAAAAAAGAATCAATATTTATGCTTTTCCTCCACCTACTGTATTTCAGGATAACCAAATATTTGATAAGAGAATTTTTTTCTATAGAATTCCTGATAATAAGTACAACAAGACTAGTAAAATTAGAAAATCATCCTTTTGTAAACTGAATTTTACTAATAGTGGTTCTAAGCAACAGTCATAAATAGATGCAAAACTTAATGGTGCAATAGAAAGTAATAAGCGCCACCTATGTTTATCTTGTCCAAAACTGCCGAAGTTGAATCAAATGGATTCTTAAAAAAAAAAAAGAAAGAAGAAAAGAAATCAGTTTAAAAGAAATAAGGAAGGAAAGACTTATTTTTAAAACTCCTCTCCTGAAAGAATGATCAGCCAAATTCATGATATGGTGCATTCTACAAGACAAATGGTCTGGTTTCTGCAAAAAATAAAAATAAATAAATAAATCAGAGATATGGAGAGAAAAGAAGGAAAAGGACTGTTGTGAAATTAAAAAGACTTAAAAAACTTAACAGTCAAACATGATGTGAGGCTTTGTTCGCAATTTGATTTGAACAAACCAACTGTTAGGATAATTTTGAGACAATTAGGGAAATTTAAACATGGCTTGAGTATTAGATAGTGTTAAAAAACAGTTGTTAACATTTTTGGGTAGATAACGTCAGTAGGGGTACATAAAAATTTTATTGTCAATTAGTGAAGCATACTAATGATTTAGGAGAAAAATAACATGATAGCTAGAATCCTTTAAAATAGTTCTGAGAAATAAAAAAGTTTGTGGAGGGGAAATAGAAGACAAAAGACTGGCAAAACATTAATCACTATTGAAGCTGGTTTATTATATCACTTTTTATACTTATGTGTATGTCATCCTTAATAAACTAGTTCTCAAAAGACAGTACTAGAAATAATAGCCAAAGCTTGTTTCTGTAAGTTCCATTTTAATAAGTACTTTCATTAGGTAGGTGATATGGTTTAGCTGTGCCCCCACCCAGATCTTATCTTGAATTGTAGCCCCGATAATTCCCATGTGTTGTGGGAGGGGCCTGGTGGCAGATAACTGAATCATGCGGGCGGTTTCCCCCATACTGTTCTCATGGCAGTGAATAAGTCTCATGAGATCTGATGGTTTTTTAAGGGGAAACCCCTTTCACTTGGCTCTCATTCTCTCTCTTGTCTGCCACCACGTAAGACGTGCTTTGTGCCTTCTGCCATGATCGTGAAGCCTCCCCAGCCACGTGAAACTGTGAGTCCACTGAAACTCTTTTTCTTTATAAATTACCCCGTCTCGGGTATGTCTTTATCAACAGCATGAAAATGGACTAATACAGTAAGTTTATAGTGATTAAGCTAAAGGTAGTCTTCATGGCAGCTTAATTCTTTCAGTTGCTCAGGACAAGAACCTGGATACCATCCTTGATACTTCTTTTTCTTTCATATCCCACATTGACTTCATCAGTAACTGTTGGTTGTTACCTTTGACACGTATCCTGAATCTGACTCCTTCTCATCACTTGAACTGTATCTCTCTTTTTCCAGGCTATTGCCATTTCTTGTCTGAATTATGGCAGAAGATTCCTAATTGGCATTCCTGCTTCTGTCTTTTTGCTCTTTTGGCTAATTATCAACAGGGCAGCCAACGGGGTCCTGTTCAAGGCTAGAACATGTCACACCTTTGTTCACCAACTCTGCTTCTGCTTCTTCAGTGGTTTCTCATCTCACTGAGTATTTTTTTTTTTAAAGAGAATCTCACTGTCAGCCTGGAGTGTGGTGGCAAGAACTCAGCTCACTGCAATCTTTACCTCCTGTCCTCAAGCGATTCTCCCACCTCAGCCTCCAGAGTAGCTGAGATTACAGGCATGTGCCACCATGCCTGGCTAACTTTTTTTGTACCTTTAGTAGAGACAAGGTTTTGCCCTGTTGTCTGGGCTGGTCTCAAACTTATCGCCTCAAGTGATCTGCTCCTTTGGCCTCCCAAAGTGCTGGGATTACAGGTTTGAGCCACCATGCCCAGCCTACATCTCACTGAGATTTAAAAATCTCTTAACATACGCTAAGTGCAATGCTCACACCTATAATCCCAGCACTTTGGGATGTGGAGGAGGGCGGATCGCTTGAGGTCAGGATTTGGAGACCAGCCTGGGCAACGTGGCAAAACCCCATCTCTACAAACAACAAAATTAGCTGGACGTGGTGGTGCATGCCCTTATTCCCAGCTACTTGGGAGGCTGAGGTAGGAGGATCGTTTGAGCCCAAGAGGCAGAGGTTGCAGGGAGGTGGAGGTTGCAGGGAGGCAGAGGTTGCAGTGTGCAGAGATTGCCCCACTACACTCTAGCCTAGGTGACAGAGGTAGACCCTATCTCAAAAAAAAAAAAAAATCTTTAATAGAGCCTATAGGGTTCTATGTGATGGGGACCACTATTTCTTATTACTCTCCTCTCCTCTTTACTCACTCCATTCTACCCAGACTGGCCTCCTTAACATTTCTTGGGCATAACAGTATTCTCCAGCCTCAGGGCTTTTGCATCTGCTGTTCCCTCTGCCGGATACGCATTTCCCCCAACACCCACAGGGCTTGCTCTTTCTTTTAGCTCCTTATCCAAATGACATCTTCCCAGAATTCCTTTTAATTAAATTCTCCATCCTACTCCTCTTATTTTTTAAAACCTCTCAAAAACATCCAACACATATATGTTGAACTTATTTATATTGTTTATTTCTATGTTCTCTCACTTTTTTTTCAAAAGGAATTTATGATGCTTTTGTTCACTGACACCTTAGCACTCAGAAAAGTGCCTGGGACATAGTAAGTATTCAATAGTTATTTGTTGAATTAATAAATTAAGCTATTATTCTAGTAGCATTGTTCACGGCCCTCAAGGTTCCTTATTCTCCCAACTGCATTGCCTTGATTAGTTTTAACAGTCAGGGCAAGCTTACTTCTTTCACTATTCATTCATTCATTCATTCATTAAAATCATATTTATTGAGCTCCTTCTATTCATTAGGAACTGAGAATACAATAACTAATCAGATAGATATGCCATGCACTCTCCTACAATCATCTTCCTTAGGAAAAAAGGGACACTTCACTGTTATCCAGTTTAGTCTATATAGGTGTTCAATCAACTATCCCAGGCCCTAGGGCAAATCTTCATAAAAAGCTTGCAAGCTATGCATCCTACAAAAGAATTATAGTAGTGCTGTGAGTTATACAGCTCTGCGCAGCCTTTAGGAGGGTATGAAGCTGGTTGAAGTCACAGAGCTAATTGCCTCTTGCCATGAGATTCTTCATCTGGGGCTCTTCTAAGAGCAGCCCAAGAAGAGCGGGAAATGAGAGCATTCTCCATGACCTCCTCAGGTAGTGAGCAACACAAACACACCCAGCACTCATTGTTGTGCCCTGATGCTCCTGAGGAGCGACCCCAGACAAAAGGACAAAGTCACTGCTGGAAACACTCAAGGAGAACCATACAGAGCAACAACCAAACCTACAGCCAAATAGGGAAGAAGGAAAACTCCCCATGGGTGCAGTTCCATGCAGTTAGTTAATAATAGAAGTCTTCCCATAACCCAGAGACTCCTGCCTGTTTGTTTCCTTGCAGTGGTATCCACACTAACTATGGGGTCACTGCTCTAACAACACATGCACGTTTTGCAAATCAGAGCTTCATCATTATTTTAAAATACTTAGATTCAAAATACTTGTTTACTATCACAAGGAATTGTAACTTTGCATTTGTCAATGGAAGAAAGGGGATACTATATTCTTTAAGTCTAATTTCAACTGTTGTAAATGTTTGAATTGCTATGAGAATGGTTTTACATTTGTATCATCTATTTGTAGAAACAAAGTTTGTTGTTGATAATTATCGAAAATGAAGACATCATCATTTTGAAAAGTCTTAATCAGAAATTGCTTGTCATCATTTCAAATATGAAAGCCTGATATAAAATAATAGTTATGTTCACTGAAGCAAAATTAAGTTACTCATTTGAAATTCCAAGATTTTATTTGGACATATTCTTCCAAATAAAGACAGTATTTTCACTAAGACTTTGCTGTATAAAGAGATGTAATTCTCTTTATAAATGCCCTAAATATTCCAAAAATTTCTTTGATTTATCCAAGTGAATATTACCATCTTCTATATGAGCTTTGACATGAAACAAGATTGGGAAGCACTCCACTTGGGAAACATGTATGCCATGAATGAATCCATTTGCCTCTTACATGCGGACATCTTCAGACAGCCAATATTTCCCATAGCATTTCAAACTCCATTCTCTCATGGTTTGATTCCTGTGCAGACAGAAGCAAGCACAAGTGACAGGAATAGGCTTCCTGTGCTATCATTGAATTCCTCCAGTCCCTTAATAGGAGATCGATAAAGCTTCACTCTTTTGAAGGCAAAATTATACCACTGTCTTGGAATGTCATTATAGACAGTATGTGAGTTTAGTAAGAGGATGTATTGAAGGTGCAGATTCCCGGTCCAAATTAGACTAACTACTTCAGGGTCAAAGAAGTAAGCCAAAATCATTTCAATCCCCACCAAAACATCATTTGCCACATTTATTACACTATATGAGCCTATGCCACAGGAAAAGAGTTGTAGGTTGAAATTAGCATTGCTGCCTTTGATACCTTGAATATCTTTTAGGCCTGCCTACCTTTTTTTCCCAAAGAACTTACAACTGCAGCACCTAAGAGCTACCCTTATTAGTAATGGGATTCATTCCTGATTATTAAAATGGTGTATAATCAAAGCAAAGTGACCTCAGCATGGTGAGACAGGTGTGCAATTTGCTGACGACGTGGTGGCAGCTGCTTTCCCATTTGTAAGTGTTTCTTTCCTATTTGGAAATGGAAGGACCATTTAACCCTAGATGAGGCTTTATCTTCTGCATATCCATCATCACTGCGGCTTATTCAAAGAAGCATTCTGTGAATGGTGTGTTAGACCATTCACAGATATTGTGAATGACGTAATCAACTATTATGACAGATAACACCTGAAAAGTAGTAATTATAGTAGGAAAAATAAAAATCATATATGTGCTAATGGTGTGAGAAGTGGAGGCCAGTATATTTCCAACCCCTTTGTAGCCCCCTAGCAGGGAAATAAAATTTTACCCGTAAGAAAAATCTAAAAACATTAAGTTTTTTAGATTTTTAAAACTTTAGTAAAATAAAGTTTTACCCCTAAGAAAAATCTAAACTATTTATTGATTTGATGGAATAAGTAAAGATGCAAAATTGTCTTTAATATTTCTGGTACACTAAGAAGACAGTGCTGATAGTGCTGATGTTCAGTCTTTGTTCAGGCATGAGGAAAAATTCTGAACGGTGAACCCGCTGAAACTCTCTGACCTGGTAAAGCCTTAGCTAAATAGGTAAGCCTGTTCTCTCAGACTCATGGCTTCCAAGCAAAGCTATGTGCTGTGGTTTCATTTTTAAACAAGACATTCTTTCCTGCTGCAGAAATTGAGAAGTTGAGTTTATAGAGAGAATGCATGACGTACTGTTGAGTGTTCCCGTCAGGAAGGCAGAACTCCATAGATTGTAAACAAGTATATTAATAATGATGCTAATACTAGCTCTGTTATGTGGCTGGATAGAGCAAGACACTACAAAATACCTCACACACATTCTCATTTGGTCCTCAGAGTGCTCTTACATGTTTCCTATTGCTATCTCCATCTTACCAATGAGGAAAATAAGACTTAGAATTTGAACAAGCATCTGAACCCAAATATGTCTGACTCCAAATGTCACGGCTACATTTCCTCTAATAAACGCACATTAAAGTCCTTATATTTTACACATCAGACCTAAAAAAGCTTTTCCACTCTATGATAGCTTTTAAATTCTTTCGACCTTTTTGGAAAAATACAGTAATTTGTACTGCTTTACAAGCTTGTATTAATTGTTAAATTGCAAAATTATTTTTTACCTTTGGGAAACCCTTTTGTTAATATTTAGAGTCAATCTGAAGGAGGATTTGAGTATTTCAGTATATACTTGCAGAATCGTTAAGCACTGATCACTGAGATTGTAACCCCTGTGCAACAAGAGGACACCCAAGGCCAGAAAGGTCAAGAAGAAATTTTCCAGTTCATTGGCTCTGCCCAGAACTGCCTTGGTGAATCACATTCCACACAGCCTCTCGGTGCTGAGCTAGCATCTATGTAGATCAAAGCTATGCCCAGAATGGCTAATTCATGCGCTAAACCTAAATGTCAAAGTTTGTTAAACACATATTCCTTTAGTAAAACTATCTAACTGGGGAACCCACTGAAAGAAGTGATGGAACATATTATTGGTCTAGATGCAGATTTGCAGGTTTTTATTTACTGCCGTGAGAAGGAGCTAAACAATAATAGCAGTGTCATAGCAATAGCCTAGCTAGGGAAAGAGTGAGATTCTTCAGAGAGAAGTATGTAAAGAGAATAGTGAGACTGTAGTTTCTAGTGATTCATGATGCAGAGGTTCCTAATAGATTGTTCCACCAGTCTTTCCTAACCACATTGAATATGAATGCATTATTGAATGAATAAATCAGTAGCTAAATGATATAAAGGCTTTCAATGTATCAACCCAGTCGCTCATTCTTAATCTCTTTGCTCCTTTTCTTCACCCTTAGTTTCCTTCTCCCTCTTAATGAGGAATGCATTACGACTACAAAAGTGTAATAACGCCACCACTCCCACCACCACCACATACACACCCTCATTTCTTCTAGGGTAGAATACTTGCTAGGCAGCCTCATTGATCCAAAGGCAAAAACCTGCATCTCTCTCTCTTTGCCTCTTTTCTTCACCCCCATTTCAAACACCCAGCTAACTACAAGAAAGCACATATGGGACTGCTCACAGTGACTCACCATTATTATTGCAACAGTATCTTTCTTTAAACCTCTTATAGTACTATCAAAATTAGTGGTGTTTGGACAGTCATAGCATGACAAAGTAGGAATCCTGTCTACCATCCCTCCCAGCTTTAACTCACGTAGGAAAAGGAGAGGAAAAGTGACAAACACTACCTAAGAGGATGCTTGCAATATGCTAGACAAAGTGCCATGTGTATAAACCATAACATATTATCCTGGTTAACATGAGATTCTCATACGAAGTTTGTGCAGTGTTCATTTTTTGCCATCCTCACTGGTTCTACAACCAGTCATTCCTATGTACTCTGGAGAGACAAAGCCAACATAATTATATTTGACATGTTCAGAGATACAGAAACTGGATAATCCTTGATTTCCCTGGGACCTAGAAGCTCAATGAGAAATACTTAAATCCTACACCCCTCAATTAAGCTGAAGCCTTATATAGCCATGTCTGATGGAACCGTGTAGGCATGATTGGTCATGGCAGAAAAGAACATAAGTCTCCAAGATAAAAGCATTGCAAGTGGTAAATGAGTCTGAGAGGGCAGGACTTCTCAAATGCATTTTGCCTGAATGTTGGAAAGAACATATTGTTGGTGTTAGGTGTGAGGCTGCATATAATCCCATCCTCCATCTTTGCTATTACTTATGCCAGCTGTGAGTTAAAAATAGAAGAGATTATGAAACTAGGGGCTTTAGCTCCTTTGCTCCAGAATCTCCTTAATGAACAAAGTAGTGAGCAGCTGAACTCTATAAAAGGAAGAAGAAACTTCCAAAGAAGTTCTGGCATTATGCAAGGGTGTCAGGTCCAATCTTGCAGAGACACAAGGTATTGTGTCCAGTCCTTAAACATTCATCACACACCAAGATTTGCAAGGATCGGCAAAGTCCCTCAGGCCAACCATAGCTTCTTGGCTCATGCTTTTCTGATTTTAAACTTTCTTTTTAATATTGGCTTGTCAGTTTTCCTTATGCTATTATGAGCATATCTATGCATTTAAGAAGATGGTTGTTATATATTTTACAAGATTTCTAATTGTTTTATAACGAGACCATTTTCAGATCCCAGTCTCCATATTCCACTAAATTTAAGTGCCCTTGTTTTTAAAAGAACTCTTTCTAAAATAGATTTGTGTAAGGCTGCTGTTGAAACAATAAATTAACTGATTTTCGACTGGGCCTTCAGTTACTTCAATCTGTTCTTGCCTAATACTATTTGTTCTCTGAAACACCAGCAGACCTCTTCTGAACTTAAGAGTCCACAGATGTAGTTCCCTTTACTTACTACTAATACGTGGGTATGATTGATTAACTAATTATAAAAATTATAAAAAGATTTTACTTTTTATAAGTGTTAGGGAAGGTGTCACTTAGCTTATCCATCTTTTATTTTAAACAGAAGCTATCTCTCTCTTTCTGTATACTCACTGGCTCTCTCAGCCTTCATTTAAGGGGAAAAACATGAAATGAAGTATGTAACCACTCATTTGAAAGACAATTTGATATTTGGTTCTTCCTAGGGGTATACAATCTGCAGACATGGTACAAAGAAAGTAGTGCACTGAGGAGGCTGTAAACAATGAAGTAGGGCACAAAAATGCTGGTTGGATTACTCATATAAGCCTAACACTGAGCCAGTTTCCCAAATTCCTGTTGTACCTTAATAGAGTTCTCTAGGCATATAAGCTATTCCCTGGGTGCACATTAAACACTTTCAAAACTACATTCTCTTAGGCTTCTGGGGAAGTAAATTCATTAAAATGGGCTTCCCCACTAGACTGAAAAATTGAATGCAGTTTCGTTACATACTCTATCAGCAAAGGAAAGATGACTTCAAAAGTTTATCGATGGCCGGGCGCGGTGGCTCACGCCTGTAATCCCAGCACTTTGGGAGGCTGAGACGGGCAGATCACGAGGTCAGGAGATCAAGACCAACCTGGCTAACATGGTGAAACCCCGTCCCTACTAAAAAATACAAAAAATTAGCCGGGCTTGGTGGCGGGCGCCTGTAGTTGCAGCTACTCGGGAGGCTGAGGCAGGAGAATGGCGTGAACCCAGCAGGTGGAGCTTGCAGTGAGCCGAGATCACGCCACTGCACTCCAGCCTGGGCGACAGAGCGAGACTCCATCTCAAAAAAAAAAAAAAAAAAAAAAAAAAGTTTATCGATTTGGCAACAATTCTGAACTATTTACAGAAAAATAAGTACTTTTGCTTAATACTCCATTCTTGCTCCAGATTTCCAACTCACAGCCACATAGCTCTACAGTAGGTAAGCCTGGGTAAAGTCTCAAAAGAAGAATTCTATGGCATGGAGCATAGTGATGCTTGCCCATCCTTTTCCCTCTGATTCCTATGTAAAACATCAACAATGGAGTAATCGCCTGGGCATAGCAGAGGGAAGTTGAAAAATAGGGACACAGAGAAGTAATGAGGAAAATTAGGAAAACACATGGAAACAAGACAATTGTGGGATTCCAGGTTGGTTGCAAACTCACCAATGGATAGGTGGGTCTGGCAAAAATATTAGACCCAGGATAAGAGAATAAGTACTAAGTACATAGCCTTCCCCTAACTACAAACATATCTCTTTTGCAAATAGATTTAAAGGAGAGTAAGAAAAGGGTCACATAGAATCTTGAAAAAGCAAAGACTACAAAAAAAAAAAAGAAATAAAAAAGAAGCTGGTAAGTGAAGCTTCAGTGTACTTGAAGAAAGGTGATTAGAGGCCATGGGATGTTAAAATAGGACCATGGAACTTTAACTATGAACATGAAAGTAAACTGGTGGGGAAAAAGGAGGGATATGTCAACACTTTTTTAAAGGAGGCTTAAAAAATAATCTGAAAACTTTTAGGTCAGGTCCAGAGATAGTTGCACATAAAAGTGACTGAGGCTCTGGTCTTGCATCCAATTTACCTTCAAAGTTCCCTTTGAAGACCTGCACATCGAGGATGATACAGGCAGTACTATAAACTTAGAATAGAATTGGGCTTGGGACAAAATTTAGGAGGATTTGCTGCAAACGTTAAGAGAAATGTAAATAGGCTAAACAGAAAGAAAAGAAAGCACTGAAGATTCACGCCTCCTGTGTGAGCTAACGCTACATGCCTCAGAAATAAGAGGATCTTAAAGTCAGGACAACGTTCACATTTTCACCAATAAAAACATCTTAATATAGTAAACATAATCATTTACTTAATAAAGTATATATAATCATTTACTTTGACCCAGAAGTCTACTTACAGGACACTACTAAAGACACACTTAAAAATGTAGAAAATGCTTTATGCACACATATATTTACTAGAGGGTTGTCCATAATTGTGAAACATAAATGTCCAACAATAGGCAGATAGTTAAATAAATAAAAATTTTTTGAAGATCTATAAATGAGACTTATAAATCCAGGCAATAACATGAAAAAAATATTGTTAAATTTTAAATGCAGGCCTTAATATAGAGATGCTTAAACATTTTTAGTACAGTGAAAAAAAAATTGTAAGAATAAAATCAAATAATGGAAAATCATAAAAATGTCCATTTTTGCATTTGGATAGTAGGACTACAGGCTTTTGTCATTGTCCTTCTCCTCCTTCACTTCCTCCTCTGCTTTCTCATCTTTTTTTATTTTTTTAATTCTCAGGTTGTATTTAACAAGCTTGTATTATTTTTTAAATGATTTTTTAAAGGTAGGACAGAGGGAAAAGCCCATCTGAGTTCTTTCATATGGAAAATGGTAGTCTCAGATGGCCAACTTAAGCACACATCAGAATTATCTAAGTTCATGATTCTGTAGGACTTGGGTAGGACCAGAGATTTTGCATGTTCTCAGATAATACTGATGCTGCTCATCAAAGGACCCCACTTTGGGAACTGCTCTAAGAGAAATGCTAATTTTCCATCCTCCTGATTCTCAAGATTTTACCCACCTGTCCAATCATAGAAGCCCTACACTTGTAGTGTAGTGAAATTGCTTCTACAAAATTATGATGCAACATTTTGCCCTTGACCTGTATCCAGGGTCAAAGCAAATATAACACTTTTTTTTCTTGGGAAAGGAGATGGAGAACATCATTTTTTGTGTGTTTCAAGGTGCCTTCAAAAATAAAATAAAATAAAAAATGTCTATGTTTAAAACACTTTCAGAGAACAAATAGGAAAGAATTTAATCCTTTATTAATTACTTTATCCAGCAATGGGAACTGATTTGTAACTATACATTTGTGTCTCTGCTTTATTCTTGGTTTTAAGATGGTTTTTAAAAATATAGGAAAGACACAAGATATAAAAAGTTGCAAATAAATAGCTGAAAAAATCAGGACAAACAGACCACACAAAGCAGATGGCATAACCCTATCTTCTTTACTTCGGGTGGGTTTGCATTTACCATTGTACTTAGCTTCCTCAAGCTTGTTTAATATATATATATTTTTTCTATATTTAAACTCCTCTTACTTCGTCTTACACCCTTCAGAGCGGCTTTGAGGACTTTTTTGCAAATAGTTCTTCCTTCCTATCCCCACCTTCCCATCCAACTATCTCAAATGATAGAAAGATGCTTATACTCCTGTTTCTCACATAATTAATCTTTGGCTAAATGTTAATAAATACAAGGTTATGTTCAACTGGCAACACAAATGAAAATATTTAGGGGCAAGAATATTTAAATACACTGCCTCCAATATAGTTTTAAATATTTGTTTGAATATCTCAACAAAGCCTTAAGAAACAAAAGCTTCAAGAATATGAAAACCCCTCCAAGATCAAATAAAAGTGCTACAGGCATTATAATGAACTTCACTCAACATCTCAAATCTAACCAGCTGAAAATGTTTTTTTTTCCTTTGTAAGCAGCACTCTATTCCACTTTTGGAAATGAGGATCCTGTCCAACAATGGAAAAGCAGCATATTGTCCTATAAATCAAACAAAATGTCCTTGACTCACTCATCCTCCAGAGGAGCCCTGCCTTTTGGTACCAGCTACTTAGCATATATTAAAGGAGCAGATTCCAATAATTTTGCTTTTGTGCTAAAAGACCACAGGCTTCTTTTTGTTTACAATACAGAAAAATGTCACTCTTATTTCCAATGTACTGGCTTCTGCTCACCTAAACTCTGGAAACTCTAGTCCCTTGTTGCATAAGGACACACTCAGAGCTCAAAACAAAGAAGCAATTTTAAAATTAGGGATTGAGGTAATTACACATATTAGGAAAGCAGAATATTGTAACCCAGGGGCAAGTAGGTCAGCAGCAAATTTAAGTGAGACCCACTGTACTGTAAATACCTGCTTGCTTCTTGCTGATTTTGGCAACACATGATTATAACCTAAATAACACACGAAAATTACAATTGGCAGAATCGATAAAACAATAGAACCCTATATAAGGGAGAAGTTTTTATGTTCTACTTTTTTAAACAGCAAACCACATGATTGGTGTTTGCTTACTTAATAAGGCTGTTGGGGATAATGTTTTCAGAGTTGACGCATTATCAATTCAAATCAGTAATTCAATATACAGATGAAACTTGTCAGTGATATTGATGTAGTTCAGAGTTGTTTGGAATCAAAGTAAGCTCAGAATGAAGTGTTGATAGAAATTATTTTAAAGAAGTACTTATTAGGTTCCTTCTGCATACAAAGTCTTGAATAAGACCCTGGAGAGACAGATAAATTGTAAACATCTTTGAGAAATATTGTGTACAAGGATAAACTGACAGAACTGCAACATGGAAAGAATTCAATGTGTTTGTATTCCATTTTTTAAGAGAAACATTCTGACATAATTGGTTCAGACTTTGCCCGCTAGGGAGTACTGAGCACTCACCCGGGGTCAGATGCTTGATATAAACATTACCTCATTTAATCCTTACAACAGTCTTGAAAGGCATTTTGTACCATTTTACGAAAGAGGAAAAAATGAAGCTCAAAGAGTTTAAGCAACTGTCTCAAAATAGCAATGTTAATAGGAATCAGAATTAGGATTTGAAGCCAGGACCGCCTGATTTTTTTCAAAATTCTGTTTCCTACAACAAACCAGGCTGCCAAGCAGCAGTCTCCCCCACGTTTTGAGGACTTTGTCATTCAGTGCCTCAGTGATTTCTCATGTCTAAGACAAAGAGTACTCCATTCTTAAGAGTAATCTTATTTTCCTGATCTTATTTTCCTGAAGCATGAAATATACTCAGGTAGCCTTCAGAAAACAGGCACTTCCTATAGGCACTTGGACACACTTACGAAACCATCAACTGGAAATTAAAACCTACTCATACATTCCTTCTAAACAAAATGAAGAAGTTTGAAACTATTTTGAAGAAACACATATGAACAGTTTAATCTCGATGTCTCAGGAAAACTTTTTTATGAAACCACACAATATATTTAAAAAAAAAAAAAAAAAACTCTTCTGGAGTACTTTTACTCATGTACCCAAGCTCAATCATGGATTGATGGCATCATCATTGCGTACATTTGTGCAGTTATTCAACAAACACTCATTGTGTACTCACTGTGTGTGAGTACTCACCCACTGAGTGAGTGAATGCCAAATGCATTCTGCATCATTCCAGTTTCCACTATCCATTGTGCATACTTGTATTTCCATGGGCAGTGTCCCACCTTGCATTAACATCCCTATTTTCTAATTTTTTTTTCAAGCGAGGGGACAGAGTCTCGCTCTGTCTCCCAGGCTGGAGTGCAGTGGCAGTATCTCAGCTTACTGCAACCTCTGCCTCCCAGGTTCAAGCGATTCTTCTGCCTCACCCTTTTGAGTAGCTGGGATTACAGGCATGCACCACAACGCCTAGCAAATTTTTGTATGTTTAGTAGAGATGTGGTTTCACTATGTTGGGCAAGCTTGTCTCGAACTCCTGACCTCAGGTGATCCACCATCTCTGCCTCCCAAAGTGCTGAGATTACAGCCATAAGCCACCATGCCCGGTCAGAAATACTTATTTTTAAAGATTCAGTTCAAGTGGTGCCTCTTCTGCAAAGTTTTTTCTTTTATCTTAACCAAGTGCAATCTTTCATTACCCTGTTGTCATTCTCATAGAATTTTGTTTATCACTCTACATGGTAATGCATTCTATTTATTTATATACAGTATACTTATTGATTCAACAAACATTTATTGAATGCTTTCTAAGTGTTCCTCTAAGTCAGTGCTAAATTTTGAGTCTACAGAAATTAGAATTATGCAAAAGATATTCCAGCTTGGGTTCATTACCTAGTGGAAGATGCTCAGCTTTATGCCTCATGTAAGACTGAAAATTATTTGATGTTTCAAGCTATGTCATGTTCATATATGAAAGCATTACATAAACCAGCACCTGGTTTTTCCTATAGACACTTCAAAAGTAGTTGCTTAACCGAATTGGCTTAAAATAGCATGCAATACTTGCAGTGAAAACAACAAATAGTTATGTATAAGGAGAATGTAGCATTGGTATTATTATCTTGTTATTTCATGGTACATGAAAGTAAGATATTTATTTTTTCTAGAGTATAAAACTAAGAATAGACTGACTAAATGGATGAAATTCCATGTTTATAAGCATATAGGAGGGCTCACTAGATCCTTAAATGAACGCAATTTGACATTAAATGAATTTTGAATATATTACTGACTAAATTTCAAGAAACATTAAATAAATTACATCATGAAAATGCCTTAGGCAGCATGCTCACAGGGGAATATCCACATATAACAATTGACAACACATAAAAATCATGTCCATTTCTTTCTCCCAGTGTTGTAAATGCATTCCTCTGCATTTTCATTCAAATAAAAAATGATGAGACAGTGAAGCTTATTTCAAGGTTGATTTAAATTTTGCATGGGTAGATAAGTTGATTCTTTATTTTAGTCAGCCTCAGTCCCACTGTTTTAAAATCCTAATGTGGGTCATTCAATTTTTTTCAGTACTTTTTCTATCCTTCTAAGTCCTTACTCCTTACAGTTGATTTCTAGATCTAAATGACTTGCTATCTTCACTTTTTCCACCAGTACCACAAAAGAAGATAATATGTATATATTACTCTTTGAAAGTTTTGTTTCATTGGCATCACTTAAGTCAGTGTAGATCTGGAGAAATGGGTCTTTAAAAGGCCTTTTCCAGTGATAGCTAAATGTCTTGCATAATTTATTAGGAGTTTACTATGTCAATAATTTGTAAAATACTCAAATCTCACCTTTCATATTCTACTTACTCATGATATTTCTGTAACAGAGTAAATTCAAATTGTTGATTTAATCTAATTTTAGTGTCCCATGGAAATTTGGGAAAAAATAAGCCAAATGGTGAAGATGGGGAAAAGTTCTATACATGTTCTCAAATGTAAACTTTGATAATCTTACAGCCTGATAAACTCAGTGTTTGGGCAATCCTCAAGGCTGAAGCAGATTCAGACATGAAAAAGCAAATGAAAACAGAGGGGTTATGGCAACAAAGAAAAAATGAGCAGAGGGGTAATTTGGAAGAAGAAGGCTGGTGCTCCGTGCCTAAAAGAAGTCAGTTAAGAAAGCACACTTCTGAAAGTGGACTATCAGTTTTCGCTCAGGTTTTAACACAGAATGAATGAAAGACAAATTTTGTTTAGCTTTCTAAACATCACTTGAAGGTAAACAATAAAGGATGGAAAGGAAGCAACGCATTTACTCTTGGTCAGACTGAAGATCTCTTTAGTAACCTGTAAACTCTCTTCCAGTCATCTCAGTAGTAGAAGAGAGTGTATTTGAAAGCTTCTAATTACCCACCTCCTGCTGAGCAGTCCTGAACCAGGTTAGGTTCGGCAGGTGCATCAGTCAACAGTTCGGGCCAGTACATCTTATTGAAGATCATTACATCCACCTCTGGTTATATGGTTTTTATTCCCAGCTTCATATTTTTATTCCTAGCTTCATATTTTGAAAATTCTCAAATTGAAAGTTGAAAGACTAGTACAATAAATACCTGAATATCCTTCACTCATATTCACGAATTGTTAGCATTTTATCACATTTTCTTTTTCTGTGTGTATAAGTATTGAAGGTATGTCATACTTTTTTTAAACAGTTTGAAAATCAGTTACAGAAATAATGACACTCCACCCTTAACTATTTAATTATGCATCTCATAAGGATAAGAACACCATTATGCAAAGGAAAAACAGCAGTATTATTTACTATGAAAAATGTCCCCAATTATTTCAGAAATGTATTTTATAACTTGTTAATATAGAGGATTTAATGAATATCAAAGCATTGCATTTGATTCTTATGCCTGTTTAGCCTCTGTTAATTTAGATATCATGTACTTTCATGTTTGTTTTTCAAGACATTGTTTTTTTTATTTTTTTTTTTATGAAGTCTCACTCTGTCACCAGGCTGGAGTGCAGTGGCGCAATCTTGGCTCACTGCAACCTCCACCTCCTGGGTACAAGTGACCTTCCTGCCTCAGCCTCCCTTGTAGCTGGGACTACAGACGTGCACCACCATACCTGACTAATTTTTGTATTTTTAGTAGGGACGGGGTTTCCCACGTTAGCAAGGCTGATCTCCAATTCCTGACCACAGGTGATCTACCCACCTCGGCCTCCCAAAGTGCTGGGATTACAGGCATGAGCCATCATGCCCAGCCAAGATATTGATTTTTTATCAAGAGGTGTCCAAGCAAGTTATTATAAAGAACAGACCACATTTTGAATTTTCTGGTTGCTTTCTTATTAATGGATTCAGGTTAAATATCTTTGGAAAGAATAACATAGGTGGTGTTGGTACGTTTTATTATATCCCATTAGGAGACACAAGATGTCAGGTTGTCACACTAATAGTGATGTTAAGTTTGATTGCTCGGTTAAGGGACTGACTGCCAGATCTATTTACAAGAGTATATTTTCCTTCTAGAATTAAATGAGTAAATAATTTGTGGAGTGAATCAATTGAGTTTGACTAAATGTCCTGTATTCCAACCACATTCCACCTAAAAGTTTAGTATCCACTGGAAAACCTTGCCAAACTCAGTTACTATATTTGAGGTTGTCAGCGGTGATCCTCTAATTCTTATCGTCTGCATGAGTTTGGCTAATAGGAATTGTTAACCTTCAAATATCACAAAAAGGCTATTTGAAAAATAAATAAAGGCTAGCCCCTCCCCCAAATTACCTAGAAAACTCTAGGTATTTACCACGTAGAATAGTAAGAAAAGTTATAAAGAAAATTGAATAGCATAATTACCAAAGAAAAGAGAAAAAATGGGTGAGACAAGGTGAAATATTTTTAAATTCCAAATAAGAGATAAGCAATTCAAATTGATATCAAAATAAATACAGTAAAGGAAGAAAGCAGCTTTAAAAGTCAAAGCAGCTGTGAAAAGACACCAAGAAGCTTTAAATGTATATAACCAAGTGAAAGAGGCCAATTCAAAAAGGCTATTTACTGTATGACTCCAACCATATGATATTCTTGAAAAGTCAAAACTATGCCAAAAGTAGACAATGCCAAACAAGAACCAAGGAATATGCTTGGGAAGAAACAAGGTCATACACAAGTTCTCAGTGACTTCGAAATTAAACTCAATTTAAGCTAAACACACAAAAAAGCAGATCATTTTGATGGCAGAATTGACTCAAGATCTTTCAGGAAACATTAGTTCCAGTCAACTAAACACAATAAAGAGAAAAAGTAAATAAAATCAGGTACATGCACGTTTAAAAATCAAAACAAATGCAAGTCTGATTATAAAACAAGCCCCAACCACTCGGCCAAATTATCGTCTATTGTTGAAAAAAAGTGGGGATGGCATGGGATGTTTTAAAAGAACATCAGAAATCCCCAGTAAAAGTTCCAGTAAGTTAGAGACTTCCAGATACCATGTATGTTAATCTTTTTTTTAATCTAAAAGTTACCCTTCTGATGATAAAAAGAAATCAACAAGCTATATCTATTTGTAACACAAATTTTAATGGGCATAAGTTCCTAGGCAGAGCGTGGGAAAGTCCAATTCTCTTTACATACATTAATCTAGCAGCTACACAAGTCAAAACCCCACTAACAATTTCTGATTATTTAATTGGAACATGATCTATGAGAGGTTGCTCTACAGGCAAGCCTAAATGTTCCACTCTCTTTTGTGGCTGCTTGTACACATCGACATTGATTGACAGAATTCTACTCTATGCCTCACAACACACATATTACACACCTCGATCCCAAGAACCTTTAAATATTATATATCAGTCTCATGAACATGCTATGTTAGATGGCCAACTGTCCTATGCAAATGTAATTAAGGCTATGAATCAGTTACTAATCAGTTAATTTTAAAATTGATTATTCCAGACTATTGGGATGGATCCCACGTAATCACATATGTACTTAGAGGCATAAAAGAAATTTAGAAACATTAGAAAGACTTGACATGCTCTTGTTCCTCAAAGATGGTAGAGGGGACCATGTGAGAATGAAGAAATTAAGGCGACCTCTAGGAGTTGAGGGTAGCCCTTTCTGACAACCAGCAAGGAAGCAGGGACCTCAGAACTATAAACAGAACTGAGTTCTGACAAGAACCTGAGTATGCCTGGAGGTCATTGTTCCCTAAAGCTGCCAAATAGGAAACCAGCTTGTCTGATACCTTGATTTTGGCCTTCTTAACGCTAAGCTGAACCTACTAAACTTCCAACCTCCAGAATGGTGAGATAATAAATCTGTGCCGATTCAAGACACTGCACATGTGCTCATTTGTTACACAGCACTAGAAAACTAACACACCACAGACCACCACACCAAGAGCTTTCCTTCAAAACCCCAAAGGACAATAGTTCCCTCATTACTGTCCTCACAAAGCACCCCCACACATACACCTTCATATTTATCTGCTAAGCATTGATATATATTTGCTAACCAATAGCCAGTTCATGCTGTCTACCAGAACTTGCTTGACTTCCCTTTGCTGAACTGCGCAAGCCCCTACTCTAGGCTAACTTCTGAGTTTTAAGCAGCTGCTCTGCTTTCCTGTTATTGACTAGAAATGCCCCTGCTACCCTACCCTGAATGTCTTCTTTGCTGGAGCAGCTACCACACTGTTCTGTGTACCAATGCATGACTTACACTGCTGGGGTCCAGCCTTTGCTACACCACACTGTATTGCTGCTGGTGTAACCACACTGCCACTGTGCCTGATACCACTGCTTAGCTCTCTTTCTTTGCTTTCAAACTAGTAGAAAGGCCCTCTGCTTAGCTCTCTTTCCTTGCTTTCAAACTAGTAGATCAAATACAGAGGGATTTCAAACCTCTATCTTTCAATTTCCTGCCATGGGGTTTATAATAGTCAGCTCAAGCTGCCATAACAAAATACCTCTGACTGGATGACTTAAAAAAAAAAAGATTTATTTTCTCATAGTTCTAGAAGCTGGAAGTCTAAGATCAGGTTGTCAGCATCATTGGGTTCTGGTAAGGGCTCTCTTCCTGACTTGCAGACAGCTGCCTTCTTGCTGTGTTCTCACGTGTCAGAGAGATCAAGCTGCCCGGTATCTTTTCTTACCAAGGCATTAATCCCATCATGAGGATCCCACCCTCATGACCTCATCTAAACTTAATTATCTCTCAAAGGCACCTTCTCCAAATACAATCACACTGGGGATCAGGGCTTTATCATATGAATTTTGGGGATCCCAATGTGGTCCATAGCAAGGTCTTCCTAGGAAAACAGGATGTTAGTTTTTGTTTCCCTCCAAGAAATTAACAATTTAAAAATAATAGATACTTTATTTCACACCACTGATTCTAAACTTGAACAATGATTCTCTATGTTTTCTTTCAATGCCAGGATAATATCATCTCCTTTTAACTCTCATCCCTCCTTCTTTATATCACTATTCTAACTTTCCATCGGAAGCAATGTCTCTCTTCCCTCTATACAAGATTAGGACATACGTAGAAGGTTTGTAGCTATCAGTTCATGTTCTCCTCTTTTCTCTGTGTAATCCAATGGTGTGAATCCCTCAGAATATTTTCTATTGACTAAAAATTGGCAAAATAGGTCTACAATTTGGGACAAGAGAGGCCATATACTACAGGTTGGCAAACTTTTTCTGTGAAAGTCCAAATAATAAATATTTTAGGCTCTGGAGGACTCTGTCACAACTACCCAACTGTGCCCTCACCATTTAGAAATGGTCATAGAAAAAAAAAAAAAAAAGAAAAGAAAAGAAAATGTGTAAACAAATGGGCATGGCTGTGTTCCATTACAGCTGTGAAGGCTGGAATTAAAACTCCACATATTTTTACATGTCACAAAATTCTTCTTTTGATTTTTTCAACTGTTTAAAAATGTAGAAAACACTTTTAGCTTGTGCCCTCTAGAAAACCTGGCAGCAAGCCTGATTTGGCTCTCAGGCTGTACTTTGTCCATCCCTGCCATAAACTAAGAGAGAGGAGCTTCAGAAGAATCAAGTTTCTCTCACCACTTTTTTCTCTCTATATTACCATCTGTTTACTAACCCAGAGCCTTTGCTAAAGTCTTATCTAAATATTCCCCGTGGGTTTCAGCTGTTCTGTTGGGAATTACATCTCAGGACAGAACAGTAAAGAGAAAGCAGGGTCCCCAGGGCCTGGCAGGCAATAAGAACGCCCTAAAGGACAAAGTTCTTTTCCTGAGCTCTGCTCTCCCAGCCATATAGAGATTTTTCAGCTATGTTGGAGAATTAGGGTTTGTGTTTATCAATGGCGGTAAGATTTCAGGTTTTCCTTAGAGTCACTAGGCTTTTTTTTTTTTTAGGTTTCTTCCTGGTCATCACGAGGAATCTCTTCTTCCTTCAGTCTTCATCCCCAACAAGATGACACCACTTCCTTCCTTTTACCATAGATGATCTGGGATTCACAGAGAGAGGAAATCTGTAGTAGGAGCTTTAGATTCACTCTAGTGTTGGCTCCAGATTGGATCTTGGATGTTACCTCTGTTGATTCTTTACTTTTGCTCCAACAATTCTGCATCAGTGTGTATGCCTGTATATATGGGGGTGTGAGGATTCGAGTGCCAGTTATTTTTACAGTAATCTTTCCAGCGCCCAATCCTCACAGCTCTCCTATATTTATAACACAAAATGCACAGTAGATTTGAAGTCAAACAATCTGGTGTTTGGCTTCAGTTCCTCTCTTGTAAAGCTATGCAAAGTTGAACAAATCAATTGGCCTCTTGGACCTCAGAACTGAAGGAGCATAATAATGCTTTCTCTACCCCTATTTTGGGGTGGGTGAGAGGAGCAAATAAAACAATATATACCAATGCCTTTTGGAAAATATAAGCTGCTATAAAAATTGGGGGCACTGTGATTACTATTACTCATTTGTTTTAATAACCGATCTGATACTTTGGCTTTGAAAACTTGTCCCAGAAATTTTCTTAGTTTATCTCTATTCCTAAAAATGCTTATGCTGTTTAGCTCTCAGTTACAAATACCACTTGAGCATTTAACAATGTAGTATGTCCAGCCTTGTATGTCTCTTATAAAGTTAGAAACTCAAAGTTTGGTAGGCCCCAGTAGCCTAGGGAATAGGCTGGCACTGGAAGATTTGGAGTGAAAAGGCCTTTGATGCCGGCCCTCACTCCAATTCAGCAAACTAAATTCCTTATTTCATTTCCTACTCCCAGTGAATTACAATGTGGCAAGGTACTCTGAAAGAGCATTTAATCATAGTGCAAGTCATAAGACAGGTTATTAATAAGTGATTATTTCTCATAACAAAGAAGCTTGTTATAGTCAGAGCTATTGTTTATACTTACAAGAAATGCTCTTCTGCTTAAAATGAAGTTGGTTCCCACTTTTAATATAGTTTGAGTAAGTGTGAGTAATTAGAACATAAAACTGGATGAAATAACAAAGGATCCTCAGAAACGTTCACAGAATCTTTGCCACATGATAATGGGGCAAATATCAACCCACGGTTTTAACTTTCTCAGTCCCAGATGCTACTATCAACACACATAGATATCCTCTATATTCATAAAGACCTGAAATGAACATACTAGAACCATGGAAGTAGAAGAGATCTCAAGACTATAGGCAATTTAATCAACAAAAAAATGCAATCGAGACCTATCAGGTAAGTGTTTTGCCCAGTTCACAATGAAAGTCAGTGAGAGAACAGGTCTAGCGTCCAGGTTTCCAAACCCCTGGCCCAGCGCCTTTCTGCTCCATGAACTTGTCTGTAGAGTGAAGGTGCACATTGGCTACCTATTAGAGAATTCAATGAAACAATGCAAGTGGTGAACAAAATATGGTTGGGTGTAGGAGGAAATAAAAAGACAAATGAGAAGAACATAAAAGCAGGAGAACAGGGATTTCTTCCTTATTCTTATTTTACTCACCAGAAATCATGTTCCTCATATTCATCTCAAGGCTATGGTGATTCTGGGAATTCTGCCTGATGCTGGAGACTTAGAAAAGAATGTTCTCTAACCACTTCCACACAAATAATGTAATAGACTACCAGTCTCTGGACACTTGTGCCACCTGCAAGAGCATCATTATCCTATTGTTCTTCTGTGTCTGGACAAGGGTGACACCACGCTCAGGCCCTAGAAACATGAGCATGAGAGTGAAGTAACCCCTTAATGATGAGTTTTCTCAGCAAACACTGTTGTTCTTGAGACTAGAACATATTGAACTCCTAGCAAAGGTTAGTAAGTATTGAGTCTCCCCTTCCTTTACTTAAGGATTACTAAGGATTTTCAATTCAGGGAGAAAAGAGCATTCTTGTAGAAATAAGAACACACAAAAAATCTATAAAGAAAATTAAAAATTAAATCCAAAGTTCATATGATCACAATGAAAAGACAGGTTTTGCAAGAACATATACAAACAAACGATATATATTAAACACATTAGAATGTGTTCTTGCAGTTGAAAAGGAAAATGGGATTGTGGATAAAGGGAATAAATAGAGAAAATAAACAAAATAGAATTTTAAAAGTGTTTGTTTGTTGGGGGCATAGAGTAGTAGTGACAGCAGTACTATCTTCCTACAAGAAATATCCATTCATTATGAACCATATCACTTGACCTGACTACATAAGGAACTCAGGTGTCCAAGTTGTTAAGTCCATGGCACAAATTTGTAATAAAATCTTACATTCTGTGGTTTTTATAAGAGTGACCTGTGAGAGCTCTATTAAAACGCAAAATGCTATAAATTACTGCATTCAACCAGGAGAGAGAGACAGCTGGGAATGAAAGGAAAAAAAATTGCCAACTGAAACACATTGTTGGGCCGATTGGATTTACTCTAACACCTAAGGTTTCACAGCGGGTTGTAAAATGACCATTTGGTTTTCTTTCTATAATGAGCTACTGAGAATATTAGCATCCTGACAATTTTTACATATGGAGTGAACACAGGATGTGGCAGTGATGAGAAGGAAAAAACTCCAGGGACATGAGGAGGAGCCTCAAATGAAGCCTAGGGTTTAATCCTGGAAAGTGTGTGGAAAGAACAAAGATTGATGCAAGAGGAACCACGGAACCTACCAAGACACAAGGCTTTCTGCCAACAAGGAGGTTTTTCTTTGCAGGATGAACTTGTACGTTCAGGAAATTCAGCAGCAGGTTTAATTTTTAGTTGGCTATTTTTAAAATACGAAACATAAGAAATAGCCATACCCCTCAAAATATATGGCCCCTGGAATCCAAAGGAGGTTGTTGTCATAAAATTTAAAGCTTAATGCAACTTTCCACAAAAGTTCTTATTTTCTGCCCCTCCACCTTCCCCCACACTTCATGAATAGCCCGTTTTCAGTAGCTTTCATTTCTGTTCCTACGTAAGGTATTAGCTCACTCTCTTCTTCCCCTTGGCCTCTGGCCTTGAGAGAGATTCTGGGTACTGCATGGAGGAGAGCAACACAGGGCAACTCTTCAGCTGCTCCACTTCCTCCTCAGGTGTCAACCAAGTTCACCCAGCACCTCTTTATTTAAGAAGCCTTGTCCAGAAACCAGAGGGTACTGGGAAGAGTGGTGAGCCACAAGGATTGGCTACATTCTAAACCATTTAATAACCGCCTTCTCAGAGTGACACTAGAGAAAAGCAAGCTGGCTCCAAGAGGCTTCTTGACAGTATGGAATAAAAGTCCAGAATAGTCCCTCTGTACCATGTCTGTTTGTTAGAGTCACCCAGGGGAGCTTTAAAAATATACCCATGCTCAGGTCCAACCCCAAACTAATTAAATCAGAATCTCTGAGGGTGGGGGTTAGCCTGAGTATTATTAAAGCCCCTTGGATAATTGTAATAGACAGTCGGGGTGAGAAACTATTGTTCTAGAAGATCTAAGGAACAGATAATTAATATAATCTAGTTGCTTATTAAGGGCATTTTTCTAACAAAACATTTAATTAGTAGCTAATCAAGGCAGCTGAAATGGAGAATTAAACCCAGGCTTTGTCTCACGGCACTTTTTGAGATCAGAGCCAGATGCTAATTTATAAAGTGACAAATTACAGAAGGCTGAGAAGAATGGAAGAGAGTAAGGTATGCTGGAAGGTGGGTGGACTTCAGCAAAAGGGAACTTTCACAGCTTCTGAGAGTGGGAACCGTTTCAGGCATCTTCAAATTCTCCTCACCTAACACAGTGAGTGTCTGCACATAGCGGGTTTATAACTCCCATAATGTGACTGAACAGTCAGGATTCTTTTGGTCTGTCCAATAAATCCAGATTTTCAAGTGTTTTCCTCCTGAAAAGCAGTATCCTTTCAGTGGGCACCCGCAGGCAAGATGGGATGGTGACATGAGGGCACATGGAACTGACTGATAATTTGGTGCCTCTTACAACTGATAATCACTTTCAGTGTTGGCTGGCCATTATTTAGGAGAAGCCAAAGGCTTCTTTGGGGAAGGACAGAGAAAGTGCTGGTAGTAATCCAGCTCTCATTTTGTGTATAAACCAATCAGCACTGGTACCAAACTTGAATACAGTGCTTTGCAAAACAAAAGCCCTGTAGTTAACTAATCTACCCTACTCAAAATAATTTAGTGACAATCTGTTGTCACTCAAACTTGTTGCTGGAGGTATCATCTCAATCACCCCCAAGTGGTTCCTTTTTCAATATTTCTACTAACTACATCAGTATTTTCCCTCAAAAGGACCCAGGTAGATAAAACTTGGTGCTTGTTTATAGGTCCTTGGTTCCCCAGAAATGTACCTATGCCTGGAGAAGGTTCATATCCAGCTTATTTTCCTGATTAATTTTCAATACTGCCACATTGCAAGGCACAAACTCAGAAATTTTCTGGGTCCTATTGGAAATCTCATTTTCATTGCCAGACCCTCTTACTCACCTTCATGTTTTCCCAACTGAAGCATTACTCAATTCCCTGCATTGGCTCCAGGTCAATTCCCCACTGCTCCTCCTTGGAAATTCTGTGCTTCCATCGTACTGTAATACTTGACTATCCATGAATTCAACCCACTCTTTGCCACCTGTGAACATTTTATCATGCTGCTTCTTATCTTTCATCTCTGCTGCAAAATCTAATCTAAAAAGTTTGTCTCAAATGCCATCATGTAATAAAACTCTTTTAGAACCAATTATGATTTTCTCTTTCCTGAGCCTCTATGACATTTGGCAATTCTTTTGTAGCATTCATACTGTTTTACTCCATGTACGTGTAGGTCTGTAATAGTTAGAATCTTTCAGTTACAAGTAACATAAAACTCACTCATGCTGCTAATACAACACAATATTTAACTGAGAAGTTGAGAAATAGAACAGACTTTCAGGCATGGTTAAAGCAGAAGCTGAGGTCCAAATATCTGCGACTCTTCAATTCTTCTCACTCAGTTCTATGTGTTGGCTTCGTCCTCAGAGATGACTTCCCTCATGGTAGTATGTTGGCTGCTGGCAGCAACCATACCTTTCTCTTTCGCCTATGACAGATACAGGATATATTATCCCATAATAATTGAAAAATGAAATTTTGAGTTTCTTGCTGACTGAACCTGTTTGCCAAGAATCTCTTTAATCATAGAAATGTCATGCATTGATTGGCTCCAGCCTAAACCGGTCACTGTAGCACTGGAGTTTGTTTTAGATCAGGGGTTGGCACTGCCACAAACTGCACAGAGCAAAGGGAGCAAATATGGCCCACAACCTGCTTCTGTAAATGAAATTTTATTGTAACACAGCCATACCCATTTGTTTATGTTCTCACTGTGGCTATTACAAGGATAGAGGTAAATTGTGACAGAGACTATTCAGCTCCATAAAACCTAAAATTGTTACACTCTGGCCCTTCAGAGAAAAAGTTTCCCAATCCCTGGTTTAGACAAATTAAGGCACATCCTTGAAACTGGGCTTAGGGCTATTTCGTTGCTACATAAGGAAGGAGAGGAGGGTCCCCAAAAGAAAATCTGGGTTTTACTAGGAAAGGGGGAGAGGATCTTTGAAAGCACTGACCAAACTGTACTTTTTTTTAATGCTTTCTTTATAAATTATATCTAAACAATATACTTAATTTACCACTAATATAGTCACAGGTAAAATGTACTCTTCGACACATATGATGGATTCTTTTTTTTTTTTTTTTAACTTTAAGTTACAGGATACATGTGCAGAATGTGCCACTTTGTTACATAGGTATAAATGTGCCATGGTGGTTTACTGCACCTATCAATCCATCATCTAGGTTTTAAGCCCTGCATACATTCGGTATTTGTCCTAATGCTCACCCTCCCCTTGCCCTCCACCCCACCAAGAGGTCCTGGTGTGTGTTGCTCCCCTCCCTTTGTCCATGTGTTCTCATTGGTCAACTCCCACTTATGAGTGAGAACATGTGGTGTTTGGTTTTCTGTTCCTGTGTTAGTTTGCTGAGGATGATGGCTTCCAGCTTCATCCACGTCCCTGCAAAGGCCATGATCTCATTCTTTTTTATAGCTGCATAGTATTCCATGGTGTACATGTATCATATTTTCTTTATCCAGTCTATCGTTCATGGGCATTTGGGTTGGTTCCAAGTACTTGCTATTGTATATAGTGCTGCAATAAACATATGTATGCATGTGTCTTTATAGTAGAATGATTTATAATCCTTTGGGTATATACCCAGTAATGGGATTGCTGGGTCAAATTGAATTTCTGGTTCTAAACCTTGAGGAATCGCCACACTGCCTTCCGCAATGGTTGAACTATTTTACACTCCCACCAACAGCATAAAAGCATTCCTACTTCTCCATAGCCTCGCCAGCATCTGTTGTTTCTTGACTTTTTAATAATTGCCATTCTGACTGGCACAAACTGTACTTATTTTCATACTTTGCGCAATGATTCGAATCAAATTCAACTCAATAATTTAATGGATATTTGAGTCTAATCGTTGCATTCTTTCCTTTTAACTTCCTTTTCCCTTTCCTCTGGGAATGTAGGTACTGAATACTCTAGAAATTCTCTCGGGTGTAATGCAAAGTTTCTCCAGCTTGCTTTTTCCATTATTTTGTCGAGAGAAATTAATGGATGTGACATTGGACTTATAATCACCTCTGTTTATGTGCCCCCATCAACTATAAACCCTAAAAACACTGCAGGAACTTCAAGAAGGGAGAAGGACATCTATTTCTTAGAAAAAAATAAGACTGAAAATTCTGTAACTACACTAAGTAAAATCTGCTTATTGTGTCTCACACACTTTACAAATATAGGTTAAGTTTTAAAGTACACTCTTCCTTTTTTATAATCCTATAGTAAATTCATATTTTCATGGAATAACCAAGACAGATCTGCAGAATTTAGTTTAGATTTCCTGGGTTTCTGAATGATATAATTCTCATTATTTGAAATGAAAATAAAGCTAAAAGTACACGTAATCATTTAATATTCACAGTTCTGCCATGAGGAAATCATACATCTGACTGGAATATTTTGAATATAAATGAAGCCTACATACCTGAATTATTTTACTGAATAAAATGCCAATTGTTTCATGAAGCCAGTTCATCAACTGTCATTCCTGTTGGGTTATTAATGGTATATATTAGCCTACTGCTTTATCCCTCTTATACAATGCTAATTTTTTAAAAAGCAGGGGATAGGATAAGGACTGAGTATGGAGAGCAGCAAAAATTACATATTAATTGCAATAAAAACCACAGCACTATAAAAAATACTTACGCTACACTAAGAACCAAAATAGTCAATGCTGTATGTGAATATCAAAAACTGAAAAAATAAAAAGTAAAAACAACCTAATTTTTTCAAAACAAACTGCATAATTTCATCCTGAAAAGAGAAATTGGACAGATGAGGATTTGATGCCATGACTTACACTGAGGTTAGAAACCTGCAATTTCTGAGGATTAAAATACTAGAAGATTCAAAACTGCAATTCTGTTTGACATTTGAATGGTCATTTACTATTCAGTTCCCTCCTTGATCACTCGAAGGAAACAAGTATTCTCCGGCTGCAAATTGGAGAAGACTGCTCCTGTGTACCCACTGCACACCACAAAGGGAAACGTCTCACCTCCTAACACCTAATGTCTTCTCTTCCTGTTTGGATTATGCATTGCCTGCAATGGATTTCAAAACAACCTTGAAATGTTTTCATATTAGAAACTCATTACCTGATATTACCCACTGATTCTTCTCTGTCCAAAATATAATTTTATGTCCTTAATGTATCAGCATAAACAAACCACTTTTGATACTTGTGTCTACTCACACACTGTGGAATTGATTATAACTCAGATTCAGTTATTCTGATTCACCATGGTTCTTTAGGGCAGCCTCTAGAGTCAAATATTCTGTTTCTTCCTTGCAAACTGTAAACCACCCTTGCCTGAAAGCTATGTGTAATTTGTCTGATTTTGCAAAAATATACGGCCTGTAGCACTATAGATTGCAATGAAATATAGAAACTTTTACTTTGGTTTAAACATTGAATTTCCTCAAAAACCAACTTTAGTCTCTCAAAACTTTTCATCACCCAGTAATTATTACGGTTCCCATCTATATATAGTCAGTAACTTCTGACTCTTCCACTCTACTTCCCAGTGGGAGTAAGAGTTCCAGACAACAGAACTGAAACTGTTTCACCTATTTTATAAAACATCAAAGGTTAAGGTGAAACTTATGTCACTTTTTTTCTTCCTCAGTAGCTTTCTGCTTCCTTCTATCCTACCTGATCTGGTCTTCAAGCAGTCATTCATGAACTGTGTTGAAAGTTCCTTTTTATTTTATTTTTTTGAGACAGAATCTCACTCTGTCACCTAGGCTGGAGTGCAGTGGCATGATCTCCGCTCACTGCAACCTCCGCCTACCAGGTTCAAGCGATTCTCCTGCCTCAGCCTCTACAGTGGCTGGGATTACAGGCGCACACCACCATACCCGGCTAATTTTTGTATTTTTAGTAGAGATGGGGTTTCACCATGTTATCCAGGCTGGTCTCAAACTCCTAACCTCAAGTGGTGTGCCCACCTCAGCCTCCCAAAGTTCTGTGATTACAGGTGTGAGGCACTGCACCAGGTCAACTCTACAATTTAGATGTGACTGTGTTGTAGTGTCGCGTTCTATCGTAGACATGAGAAAATTGGAGAGATATATATACATATATAATTTATATATACATATAAAATTTATATATAATATATAATATTTATATATACATATAAAATTTATATATAATATATAATATTTATATATACATATAAAATTTATATATAATATATAATATTTATATATACATATAAAATTTATATATAATATATAATATTTATATATACATATAAAATTTATATATAATATTTATATATAAATTTTATATATAATATGTATTTATATATAAAATTTATATATAATATATATTATATATAAAATTTATATATAACATATAATATTTATATATAAAATTTATATATAACATATATTTATATATAATTTATATATAACATATAATATTTATATATAATATATATTTATTTATACAATTTATATATAATATATAATACTTATATATACATACATAATTTATATGATATATATTATATATATAATTTATATGATATATATTATATATATAATTTATATGATATATATATTATATATATAATTTATATGATATATATATTATATATATAATTTATATGATATATATATTATATATATAATTTATATGATATATATATTATATATATAATTTATATAATATATATTATATATATAATTTATATAATATATATTATATATAATTTATATATAACATATTTTTATATACATATATAATTTATATATAATATATATTTACATATACATATATAATTTTTATATAATATAAAATATTTCTATATACATATATAATTTTTATATAATATATATTTCTATATACATGTCTAATTTTTATATAATATATATTTCTATATACATATATAATTTTTATATAATATATAATATTTTTATATACATAATTTTTATATAATATATATTTACATATACATATATAATTTTTATATAATATATATTTATATATACATATATAATTTTTACATAATATATATTATATATACATATATAATTTATATACAACATATAATATATACATATATAATTTATATACAACATATAATATTTATGTATACATATATAATGTATACACAATATATAATATTTATATATACATATATAATTTATATGTAATATATACATATATAATTTATATGTAATATATATACATGTATAATTTATATGTAGTATATATACATGTATAATTTATATGTAGTATATATTTACACACACACGTATAATTTATATGTAGTATGTATTTACACACATGTATAATTTATATGTAGTATGTATTTACACACACACGTATAATTTATATGTAGTATGTATTTACACACACACGTATAATTTATATGTAGTATGTATTTACACACACGTATAATTTATATGTAGTATGTATTTACACACACGTATAATTTATATGTAGTATGTATTTACACACACGTATAATTTATAAGTAGTATGTATTTACACACACGTATAATTTATATGTAGTATGTATTTACACACACACGTATAATTTATACGTAGTATGTATTTACACACACGTATAATTTATATGTAGTATGTATTTACACACACACGTATAATTTATATGTAGTATGTATTTACACACGTATAATTTATATGTAGTATGTATTTACACATACATGTATAATTATATGTAGTATACATTTACACATACATGTATAATTATATGTAATATATATTTACATATATAATTATAGATAATATATATTTACATATACATATATAATTATATATAATATATAATGTTTACATATACATATATAATTATATATAATATATATTTAAATATACATATACAATTATATATAATATATATTTACATATGCATATATAATTATAGATAATATATATTTACATATACATATATAATTATATATAATATATAATGTTTACATATACATATATAATTATATATAATATATATTTAAATATACATATACAATTATATATAATATATATTTACATATGCATATATAATTATAGATAATATATATTTACATATACATATATAATTATATATAATATATATTTACATATACATATATAATGTATATATAATATATAATATTTACATATACATATATAATTTATATATAATATATATTATATATATTATATATTACATATATTATATTATATATTACATATTAATATATATAATATTCTTCTCAGATGCTATGGTCCACTGCTGTTAAGACTTCACCCAAGTAAAGCAGGAAAAGGAGAGAATAATGGCATGGTACCTTCATATTTGAAGTTACACTGAGATATAGATGAGGATATTGGCTGTTCGTGTGTGTGTGTATGTGTGTGTGTGTGTGTGTGTGCCTGTCTGTCTTTGTGTCAGCATGGGCACATCCAAGTAAATCCAAGTGACAAAGTGGAGATAGGACAAAGAAAATATATCAATAAAGGATGTATCAATAAATTATGGAAAGGAGAGAACCTATACAATTTAGTCCTACAGATAGGTCAAATGAATGTTGAATGAACGAATCAACCAGATAAGACAACACGGAATGTATTGCTAACTCTATTGAATAAGTCTTGTAGGGGGCAAAGCAAGGTCTGATTCCTTGAGATTTTGAAGTCTGGCTTAAGGCAGATTTTTTAGTGTGGGCGTTTGATTGGGATGGAGTAAAGATCTTGGTATAACAGCCTTGGATTTGTAGAAACAACAAAGTGGGGATTTTGAGGTGAGAGTTTCAGAGTGTTAGAAAGTAAACAGACCAGTGGCACTTTTTTTTTTTTTTTTTTTGAGACGGAGTCTTGCTCTGTCACCCAGGCTGGAGTGCAGTGGCGGATCTCAGCTCCCTGCAAGCTCCGCCTCTTGGGTTCACACCATTTTCCTGCCTCAGCCTCCTGAGTAGCTGGGACTACAGGCACCCACCACCACAGCCAGCTCCCTTTTTTTTTTTTTTTTTTTTTGTATTTGTAGTAGAGACAGGGTTTTGCTGTGTTAGCCAGGATGGTCTCGATCTCCTGACCTTGTGATCCACCTGCCTCGGCCTCCCAAAGTGCTGGGATTACGGCATCAGCCACCATACCCGGCCACCATAGGGACTTTCTATAGAATAGTGAATAGGCCAGGAAATCCCTGGAATGAATAATAAAGCTAATCACAATTTTTATCTTCCTGGGCAAGAGTCTCCTGGAATAGCAAAGTCATGTTGAGGCAGACATAGTGATAGCAGATCCTATATTTACAATCCCTGTAAACTTGCAAATCATTTACCCTCTGTATGTCTCATTTTCCCCATCTCTAAAATGGGAATACCATTTACCTCGTAGCTTGCCTGTAAAGACTAAATGGGGTATTTGTTAAGTTCTAGGCATAGTACCTGACATAAAACAGGTCTTCAACAAATACTTATTTTCCTTCCCTCTTCCCTAATTTCCGGACTCTCGCTCCAAGGATTCAGCCAGCTTTTAAATCTACCTCACGAGTTTCCTCTTTCCACTTTCCTGTCTCCAAGGACAGCTGTCAATAATGACACAACCCTCCCAAATGTGTTTTGCTGGGTATTGTGGGAAATAAGTATGTGAGATCTTTTCATTTTAAACTTTTAGTTTTAATCACTCTGGAGGAATAGAGGTGAAGAAATTGTACAATTTCCAAATAACTCAGGAAATGCATGTCCTAGTTATTCCCAGGTTTATTGACACATCCAAGCTAGGCCTCTCTTTATTTCTCTTGGCCAACTTATTTCTTAGAAGTGTCCTATATTATCTTCATATTTGTATTATATTTTTATTCATTTTTTAAATTTATATGTTTAAAGTGACTGATAACAGCTTAATATGTCACCTATTGCAAAGTAATGTGCATATCAAATGCACATTGTATATACAGACTGACAGTGACCAGACCATGTATGAAAATAGAACCCTGACCAGCAGCCTCTGCAACAACCAGTTCAAGAAGCCACACCATGATTTTTGCAGTAATTGCATGGCCCAAAATGGTCAAGACTTGCTCAACAACTGCCAGATTCCCTAATTTTTTCTGTCTCCAACTCAGAACAACTCACAGAATGGCAAACATATTTCCCAAACCAATCATACAAAATGCCACATTTCTAATTAGCACACCTTCAGCTTTTCTGTGCCAACTACCTCTAATCACAGCACACATACAGTCCTCCTTTTCTTCTTTTTTATTTTTTTTGCTATAAAGCTTTACCATTTCCTGACCTGTCTTTCAGTCTCTACCAAATGCAAGTGACTCCATTGTTGTAGCAAGCTCTGAATAAATAGCCTCTGCTTGTTCTCATTTAGGTATTCTTTATTTCTACACAAGAAGCCTTCCACAAAAGCCACAGTCCACATTCACCTTCAGATATCCACTTGCTGAACAGATCACTCCTATGGGAACACCTGGTTTCCTCTTATTCTTCCAGCACTCAATGGAAAGTACACATGCCTCCTCACCAGCTTGTGCCACAAGCCAGGGATTAACATGTAATGATTTTCATTACCCCAATCCACAAAGTTTACGCTGAAGACTCACTGTTAGATCCTCTGAGTTCAAAAATTTATCTCCAAGGAGTAGGCCTCAGACACCAGAGCACAATTAGGTGGCAAAGAAATTTAGCTGCTCAACAAAGTAGCTGATCCCCTGCTTACTGAAAGTCAGGTCATAAAAATAATGACAGGACAATGAACTGGATTTCAGGCCCCATTTTAGTTGGCCAGAAGAACACCCGTGTGCCTTCTTAAGTTTGAGTAGATTTTATGAGTCTGTGTGAGAAAGAGAGATTTAATTCTCAGAGAAATCCTATGACATCAATAGGTGAGAAAACCAAGTTCAATGACATGAGCATACCCACAGCCAAGGAGAAACTATCTGGCTGCTATTAAGGACAAGTACATATTGCCTGATTCTGTTATACCCTAAAGAAATACATAGTGTATTTCCCAAAGAACAAGTTCACATGAGAAAACCAATGTCAAGCTCATGGAAATGTGAGTCATATTAACATTCGTTCAACTTAGGAATTTAATTAGCTCTTCCTGAGTGCCAGATACAGCAGGGGATCTGTATGGTATTTTACTACTGTTCTGGCCCTTATCACATTGCTCTGTAATCATCAGATGTCTTTCAGTCTCTCCTTGGTGTTAGAGACAATTTTTTTTTTTTGTATCCTAAAATCTTAACACACTTTGTAGCACATCACAGACAGACAGACTATAAATGTTTGCTGAATGGATGTGGAAATTTTGTGAGGAATTCAAGAGATTTGAGACAGAGGGCTATATTGGCACAAAGTAGCTGTGAAAATTAGGTCAGCTAACCTATCTAGCACTGAGACAGGAGAGTTTCCCCTGATCCCCTCGTGGGACTTGTGACAGGGGTGGCTCATTTACTTGGCCGCCATGCTTGAACCCCTTGTTGGAGGGGGAGCACACAGGTAAATGGATGCAGGAGCTGGGGTGAATGCATTTGGGTGTCAGTGAAAACAAATCCCATACTGGCCCATGGCAGCATCTGGGGGTTGCCCACAATCTCTGGAGCCCCAGAGGGCATGTGTTACAAACAATGCTCTTTTGGCATTTGCCACCCGCAGACAGCTAAGTGTTAAACCAGCTCAGTGGAGGGTCAGGGTGACAGCCTTTTACACCCTGCCCTCTTGGTACCCAGGTTCTTGTCTGGCAGCCAGGAAGAATCGGGTCACATGGACTTGAAGGATAATGAATGCAAAGATTTTATTGAGTGGTGGAAATGGCTCTTAGTAGGATGGGGAGCTGGAAAGGGGATGGAGTGGAAAGATAATCTTTCCCTGAAGTTTGGCGAACTCCTCTCCAACCATCGTCTCTGATGTCCAGCTGTCTCTTCTCTTCTCAATATTCAGACACTTCTTCTCTTCTCTCCTACTCTGCCATGCCACTCTGCTCCTCTGTCAGTGGAGTTTGGGGTTTTTATGGGCAAAGGATACGGGGCACGATGGGCCAAAAGGCAACATTCAAGTGGGAAAATGGGGGTGTGACATTCTCATTTAGGGCCATGAGTCCAGGCTGGAGGGTAGAACTCTTGTCAGGGATTCCACAATTTTCTACCTAGTATTTCCCTACCCAGTCCATATCAGCCCTGTTATACAACGTGGGACTTGCCCTAGATCAGTGCTTCTCAATCTTTTTTGTTTCATTATTATTCCCCAAGAAGTCACTCTGCTAAAAAATTCTACCACACCTATACTACGTATATGTTTATGGAATGTATTACACCTGTGTTTTATAGGACTTTCTTCATCTCCCATTTGATTTCTTAAATTTTACCAATTATCACAAATTGTACTTTAGCCTTCAGGGAGGTGAGGAGCCACGTGA
The DNA here is from genome assembly GCF_000001405.40 of Homo sapiens. Classification (NCBI taxonomy): domain Eukaryota; kingdom Metazoa; phylum Chordata; class Mammalia; order Primates; family Hominidae; genus Homo; species Homo sapiens. The sequence goes on from NC_000002.12 coordinate 35,962,092, forward strand.
AGTGAAGTCCATAATTTTGACAGTAAAAATTATAGGATCAGGAAAAACATGAAGCTTATTCTGATTATACATAATCAGGTTCCTCCTCTTCTAAGAACCTTGCCTTTGGATCAGGGAGCAGGGAGCAGGTAGAAATCTCATGGTACTGCTTTATGTTTTGTACTATTTTTCTCCCAAGGGCCCCCATGCTTCTAGACCTCACTCACAAATGATGTACAATAAAGGAGAAGCTGCCACTTATGAATCAAGTCCTGGAGTGAGCAAGCCAAAGCCTCTAACTGTGAACTCCTCAACAGGAACTCTAACATCACACATTTAATCTGAACGTTCTGATTTTTGCCCTAAGTATTTAAGTCTCTTGGCTTAAAATCAAGGAACAAGCATATACTTGACAGTAGACTTAATAATTTGTGCCTGAATTTATTTATATTGCATTACAATTGAATAAAGATTAAAATAACGATTTGTCTCCTTCAGTACAACATGCTATGCTGAAGTTATGTAGGCTCATTTTTACATTTTTATGCAATAATATAATTCTCTGTTATTTGTTCTCCCCCCGCCCCCCTTCCTCCATCCCTCAGAATTCTTCAGTACTTTCTCTCCTTCCCTCAGAATTCTCCAGTATGATTGATGGACAAATGAAGTCTATAACAAATCCAAGCTATATCATAATGGGTCATGAGGGAACATTACAGTGATACTGCCTTCAAAAATATTGCCATGGTAACTAGCAACATTTGGTTTTGAATGCAGTGAGAGAAAATGACTGTCTCAACAAACAAAAGAAAAAATATCAGTCAAGGATATAGAGTGATTTTGCCTTGTAACTTGATTAACAAAGCACTCTGTGAGGAGCCTCACTCAGTGGTAGCATTATCCTTCATTTCCTTGGCTTTGACAAGAATAAACAGTAGGACAAGGAAAGCAAACTAGGACTGGGTAATACGCTAATGAAAACTCCAGTTATAAAATGTAATATTGGGGGCTGGGTTGCCAGAGACTGGGCTTTCAGTGAATAGATTTCGGTAGTCGTTTACTAAAGGGTATACTAAACCAGCAATGTTAAAACCCAGGTCTAGTCAATTTCTGTTCAGTTTAGTTCAAGATAGTCACAGGTCCCTGCTGAACATAATTTCAAAGCCTATGCTATCCTCTCACCAGACTTCCCTAAATATACCAAGTCAAACTAATTCCCAGAAGGTTTTTTTTCTTTTCAGATAATCCCTTCATCTCCCACCCAATCAGATGGGCTTTCCATACATTTTGTCCTGTTCAGCTTTTCAGATTTGGTTTTACAAATCATTAGAATACGCTTGTCATTAAAAGATATATGTGCTGTTGCATATTTGATGATATTGTTTTGAAGTTAGAGCCATCCTGTTTGAAAACAGCAGTTTCCATAGGAACAGGTTTTCCTACTAGATCTTACAAGGAGAAGTATGTCATAAATAATTGGCAATGCCCTGAGGGAGCTGTTAAACACCCAAAGAAAGCCAAGAAAAGAAAAAGAAGAGAGATGCCAGAGGACAGCCACACAATGACATTCCATAAGGGTAAGGAAAATGCTGTCTAAATACCCTTGATATTGATTGAGGTAATAAATTAAACTTTCAGATTCCAAATCAATACCTGAAATGCAGTGCTGAGTTAATTCTAGCGCAGTTAAAAGAAAAGTGGTCATAAATAAAAGACCAGATCACATTCAGTATTAATAACTCTCCTATCCAGGAGTGAATTAATGGCACTCAGTTCCCTATTACATAAATTAATAAGATAAGTAAAAAAAAAAAAAAGAGCATATATTATTGTTCAATGAGGCTTTCTTAAATGCAAAGATTTCTCTTCAGGAAGGGCTACTCACCCATAAAGAAATTGGCAGCCAGGATGCAGGAATCGGCCTGTTGTTACGACAGAGATGGGGGAAGTGGCCACTTAGGCCCTTTGCTCTGGGCTCTTTTTTGCATAGAATGTTGATTTTTAATCTTATCTCTTCCTTTCATTTTCTCTCCAAGCCTGCTCCTCCCGCTTTAATCTCTAGCTATAGCTCTATCTTTGCTGATTTCCCACAGGGAAAGATGTCACTTGGAATTTAAAACTAGCTAGAGGGGAACAAAAAGAAAAACCTATGGCCTGTATCTGGGATTCCTGTGAAGTAAAAAAAAATGTATGTTGGGCAGGACGCGGTGGCTCACGCCTGTAATCCCAGCAGTTTGGGTCGCCGAGGTGTGTGGATCACCTGAGCTCAGGAGTTTGAGGCCAGCTTGACCAACATGGTGAAACCCCGTCTCTACTAAAAATACAAAAAATCAGCCGGGCGTGGCGGCAGGCGCCCTAATCCCAGCTACTATGGAGGCTGAGGCAGGAGAATTGATTGAACCTGGGAGCCGGAGGCGGCGGTTGCAGTGAGCGGAGAGATCACGCCATTGCACTCCAGCCTGGGCAACGAAAAACAAAAACAAACAAAAAAAAGTACGTTGGAGACCTGGAGTAAATATGGAAAAGGTAAAGCTATTCTTTGAGATACTTATTTAGGAGATCCCTCTATAAGGACTCTGTTTACATGGACCCTCCCCTGCCTTTAGTTGAAAACTGACAAAAGATTTAGACCCTGACTGCAAGATGAGTTCCTCCTCCTCTTTCAGGCTCTGGTCGGTTCCATAGACCTCTGCAGGGGCAGCTGCTCATCCAGTGAAATACTGGAGCCCCTCTTTCCTTAGTTCCCCTTACCATAGCTGTGGCAGGCCAGCTAATTTTTCAGATATAAATCTACTACATACACTAGGAGAATTCAACAAGAAAACAATTCAAAAAAAATGGAGACCACGTATCTACAGACAAGTTTTCAAAGTCCATGATCATAAAAGGAAAACTCCCTAAGATCCCAAAGTTGTCAGAAGGTACTTGTCTTGTCCTAGCTTTGTTTCTCTGATATCTTCATGTGGTGAATGTGGTTTACACGGAGTTAAGATGCAAAATTCTAGGTTTTAATAAAAGGAGTATGTTTGCTGTACTGCACAGAAAGGATCATTAAGCCCAAAGATTTTGACAACAATTAGGATAACTTTTTGGCGGTTTAGAGCCAGAGAAAGGGCAAGGAAAAGATCCCTTTGAAAATAAATTGCCTGAATTAAAAAGAGGAGAAAGGAGGAGGAGGAGGAGGAAAAATATGACAAAAGTTTTTCGAAGTGTTTTGTAGGAAAACAGAACTTTCTTAAGTTTTCCATGATAAAGCCCAGAATATAAGGTGGATAAGGATTCTCTTTTAAAAGTCCAGAAGCTAGGCAATTGCACACTATGTGGCTAAGAATTCCCTTAATTTACTCAAATAAGTAGTGGGATAATGCATACTCTGGTCTCAGAAAGAAGAAGAGAAACCAGAGCAAATCGTGACACAGATATTGCTTTTAACCACATAGGATTAAGAATGTCATTATTTCTCAGAGAGAAAAGATTTGAAAATATATATTATTAAAATTAATTTTAAATAGTAATAGTGCTTAATTTAACTGGATATAATTTTCATACTAGTTTATCTCAGTTTCCTTGGATGGGCTCCTCAGCTTGCAGACCTCTTGATGGAGAAACCACAGCTTACTCTGTGATGGGCAATTTTATATATCAACTTACATGGGCCACAGATGCCCAGATATTTGGTTAAACATTATTTCTGAGTGTGTCTGTGAGGGTGTTTCCAGGTGATATTTGCATATGAATCCATAAACTGTGTGAAGTAGAGTGCCCTCCCCAACGTGAATGGGCCTCATCCAATTCAATGAGGGCTTGCATAAAACAAAAAGGTAGAGGAGGGAAGAATTTGCAGTCTCTGCTTAACTGCTTGAGCTAGAACATCAGTCTTCTCATGCCCTCATACTGGGGCTTACACCACCAGCTTCCTGGGTCTCCAGCTGTCAGAAGACATCTCTTGGGACTTAGCCTCCATATTTGTGTGAGCCAATTCCTAAATATTATACACATACACACACATAATATACATATATATGTGCATATATACTTAGTGTTTGTGTATATATGCATATATTTAAAACCTGTGTGTGTGTGTGTGTGTGTGTGTGTGTGTGTGTGTATTCCTCTGGACAACCTTATCCCTTTTCCATGTTTATATCCACTTTCTAGAAAATGATGTCATCTAGTTCAATGGTTTGTCATTGTTGTTTTTGAGAGAAGTTCTCACTCTGTCCCTCAGGCTGGAGTGCAGTGGCATGATCATGGCTCACTGCAGCCTCGACCTCCTGGCTCAAGCGATCCAACCACCTCAGCCTCCTGAGTAGCTGAGACCACTGGTGCGAGCCACCACACTTGGCTGTTTTTTAATATATTTTTTGTAGAGACAAGGTCTCCCTGTGTTGCCCAGCTGGTCTTGAGAACTGGCCTCAAGGGATTATCCCACCTTGGCCTCCCAAAATGCTGAGATTATGGGCATGAGCCACTGCACTTGGCCCAGTTCAGTGGTTTTAAATTAGGTCTATACACTGAAAATTCAAAAATTTGTTTATTCCCTATATCCTCTAGATTATAGACTTGTATATAACTGCCTATACAATATATTCACTTGTATATCTCATAGACATCTCAAACTTACTATGTCTTAAAATGAACTCAATCTCTCCTACACATCCACTCTTCCCATCTTTTACATGTCAATAAAAGGCAACCTCATTCACCTTGCTAGGCCGGGAACTAGGTATTATCCCTGACACATTTCTCTCCCAAAATTTATATTCAGTCCATCAAGAAATCCTGCTAGTTCTTGCCTTCCAAGTTATATTCAGTATTCAATTGCTCTCTATAGCTTTCACCTTTACCTAGTGAGCCCTAATGAATCACACAGTTCCTTGAATCCATACCCCTTTGTAGTATGATTTTGTCTTCTCCCTTCAACAGGTGGAATCTATTTCTCTACTAGTTGACGTAAGGGCACGATTTATGGTAAATACAAGCTCTTACACAAGGAACAGTAGATAAAACAGATATCTTAGAGGTACTCCTGGAACTGGGGTTAATCAGAAGGCACCATGGCAAATTAGCGTCCAAGATGGAGTTGCCTCCACACTAGTCCTTGAAAGTTGTAAGTTGCTTTGACCAAGACCAAGTTCAATGCTTCTCTTATGGAAAAGTACTCACATTATTCTTTTTGTTGTGAGCTAAACTAGCTGGTTTATTTATGAAATCACATTTTGACTTGAAAGCATATCTGACAAACTATAGTTATTCAGAGTTGATTATTTGGAAGAATATTTTCCTTAAAAATGAACAAATTACCTGTCACTTCAAGTATAAAAACGGACAGGATTTGATTCTGGTCATAAAATTTTGAGTTTACAAGGGAAAATTGGAATTTGGGAATACTTGTATTTACTATGGTGAGGTACATAGCTTTCCAATACTTAGGGACTATACTATACTATACTATACTATACTAATGAATAATATGCACCAATGTTTTGATAATCTGTATAACTCAGGGAACCTAATATTTTCCAAATGACCAATGCATGATATCCCAAAATAACATTCAAAGTGTAAGAGAGACCAGTGGATTTTAGCATAACAGAGTATTAAAAGCACATTGATATGATTGCAGATTTATCATTGCAACTTACCTTTAAGAATCTAACACCTGTAGAATTTTAGCATAGTATCAAAGAATATCTATAATCATCTTTAAAAGCTAATAAAATACTTCCTCTTGCCTCACACATTTGTGTGAGGCTGACTTTTCTTAGAATACTTCAACCCATATAACCTATAACAATTGATTGAATTCAGAAGCAGAGATGAAAATCCAACTGACTTCTAAGAAGAAAAGAAATCTGCAATAATTGCAAGAGATTTGCATTAAAAAGATTTGCAGCAATTTAAAACAATGCCACTCGCTAAATTTTTTTTGTTTTAGAAAATATACGATTTTTTCATATAATGTTATTTATGCTAATATTCCATGAGTTTATTATTATTGGATGTTTTTAACTTTTGTCAGTTTAATTTCCAATACATGTAATATATATTGATTAATATAGCTCACACAGAATAAAGTTCTCTGATATCCTCAATCATTTTTAAGAGGCTAAAGGAGCCTGGAACCAAAAATTTTGAAAATTGATCATTTAAAAAATTCTGGTCTAGACTAGTAGGGGATGAAAGATTAATAGCCTCAGCCAACTTCCACACATGTATATCTGACTGTGTGAGACCAAGGAGCCCCCTGCTATCTTGACAACTGTCTGAAAATGCACAAGTGAGCCATGAACATGCCAAGCACATTTCCACCTCAGGTCCTCTCAACTCGTACTCTGCCGGGAATGTGCTTTCTTCCAAAACAGAGCTGGCTTGCTACCTCACTTGATTCTGGTGTCTGCTCAGATGTCACTTTATCAAGGATACCTTCTCTGATTACCTTATAAGAAACAGCAAATAGAACCTATCATTTTCTATCATGTTATCCTGATTTAATTTTTCTCTTTTAAATTTTAATTTTTCTTATGAGAAATTCAAAAGTACAAACAATAGTATAACAAACTCCTGATATACTCATTACCTAGATTTTTAATTAATAACATTTTAACATGTTAACTGAATCTATTTTTTTATTGATGAATTATTAAAGAAATCTAGACATCATGACATTTTACTCCTCTTATACGCTTCAGTATATGTCCCCAAAACATAAGGATATTTTCTTATATAACTGCAGGATTTTTACCATACTTAAAAAAATTAACAATTTTTAATACAATCATATTTCCCAAGCTGACATAAAATGTTGTTATTGTTGTTTTTTATTGCAAATTCTTAAAGGTAATATTTATAAACTGTTTAAGATTTTAACACTTCCAAGAAAAAAAATGGCGGTTCTGATAGCTCTGCATCCTCCACAATATTAGCTAATACCAGTCTTTTTTACTGAATCTTTACTAATGGATGTGTAGTAGTATCTCATTTTAGTGTTTTTATTTGAATGATGAACAACGATATTGAATGCTTTTCATGTGTTTGTCATTCATGTCTTTGTGATGCAAAATGCTTATTGGTCTTTTGTCAATTTTTTCTTGCTGTTTTTGTCATGTCAGATAAACATTTTATGAATGTTTTATCACAGTGCCTGTTCTATTTTCTTAAAGCTATCTCTATTATGAACCAAAGTTTTAAATTTTAATAGTATCTAGTTTATTATTTATTTTTATGATGTTTGCTTTCTGTGTCCTAAGAAATCTTTGCCCACTCCATTCACAAACACATTCTCCTGTGTTTTCTTCTAGAGGCTTTGTAGTTTTGCTTTTATGTTCATTTTCAATCTCAAATTACTTTTGGTGTATGGTGTGAGGTAAAGGTTGAAGCTCATCTTTTTGCATATGTGTATCCAACTGTTCCATGTGCTGAAAAGACTTTCTCTTCTCTGCTGAGTTGTACTAAGAAAAGCATAGCTTCGTTATTGTGGTATTCGTGCCAAAAATAATTACCTGAATCTGAGTTTGGTCATTAGGAAACATTAAATGGACCAAAGATGAATGTCATCTTACAGAATGTAAGGCTTGTGCTTTTTAAAACTATCAATGATATGAAATCCAGGAAAATATTGAGACCTGCTCCAAGACAGAAGAGACTGAAAATAAATCATGACCAAATACAGTGTTTGTTCTTGGATAAGATTCTGGAACATAAAGAAAAAAGAACCGTTTTAGATCACTTGATAGAATTTGAATGGTGTCTGTGGATTTGAGGGTAGTGTTGTATCAATGTTCATTTCCTGACTTGGAAATAGGTATGTGGTCATGTACTTTGTTTTGGAGTGTTTAGGGACAATGGGGCATTAAGAGTACAACTTGCTCTCAAACATACTCTAAAAAAATAACAAATGATAATGGAGAAAGTGAGAAAGTGATGAAGCAGCTGCAATGAAATAGTAATAGCTAAGAAACCTGGATGGAGGGGCAGGGAGGATATAGTTCTTTGTTCTAAACTTGCAACTTTTCTGTTTGTTCAAAATCATTTCAAAATAAATTATTATAGAAAAGAATTAATCAGAGTGGCATTCAAGACACATTGCTTTAGGCCAGTTCAAAAGTGATTGCAACACATTTGGAAATAATTTGGGTAAAATATAATCAAGAATCATAAAAAATGTCTGTATTCTTTGACTCAGCAATCTAATTCTTGAGAGTTTACTTAATATTAATCATAATAAATAAAGTATGCAGAAAATAAGCATTGCAGAATTATGTGTGATAGAAAAAAAATTATTAAAGAGCCCCAATATTTAACAATGAGGGACAGTTTAAATCATGTTACACTGACTTGATGAAATATAGAAGTTAAAAATAAAGTACAGAGACCTTTTAAGAGAAACAAAATATATGGTTAACTTGGAAGCAGAATACAAAAATTTATCTCTTAAAGTTTATAATTTAAACAGTGTAATTTTCAAGTACAAAGGAATTGGAGATACATTTGTGTTTCTTCTTATGCTGGTATAATGTTTTTTCCATAATAAATATTTTATGGGAGTTCCAGCACCAAGTGACTACAAACTCTGTGAGTTTGAATTTCAGTGGAAATCAAGTAAAAATCTAATAACAGTTATCAGGAGCTCTTTTAATGACTTCCGTCCATTAACATAGAAAAAATGCCAAGATGAGCATGAGTAAAAATTAAAATGTGTGCAGAATAAGCACATACAAATAACCTTATCTTTGCTTAAACACTTCGTAGCTACTCTATGAAACACAGGTAATAATAATAATGTAAATGGTTGTGGCTGTGAAAAGAGACATTTTGAAAAAAACGCAATGTGATTTAGTCATTAAAAGATGATGGAATATAAGTTGAATTCAGGGTTTTGAACTTAGAAAATTAGCAAAAATGATAATTTTATTAACAGAAAATAATTGAGAGGGGAAATTTGTCTTATGGGTAGAATGATGAAGTCACCCTTGGGTATGTTTCATCTAAGGTGACAACTAACTTAAAAGTGTGTATTTGGGAGTATCATGGTAATATAGTTCAAAGAGGATGGAATGAGAGGCGTAACTTAAAAGTTGTATTAATATAGCTAAGGGTAGATAAAGATGATTTAATTTTAAGGCAATATCTTGAAAGCAGAGACTGAACAGCGGAATAAATAAAGCTTTCTGAATTTTTACTTTAAACAGAAATATCTCTCTTGTTGATGGCTTAGAGCTCATTCTTGATACTTATCTAGTCTGACAACCTATGCCTTTCAGTTGGAGTTTTTAGTCCATTTTCATTTAATATTATTGATATGATTGTATTTTGGTCTATTATTTTTGTTATTGACTGCATGTTTATGTCCCCTCAAAATTGTATGTTGAAATCCTAACAACAAGTGTGATGATATTGGGAGGCAGAGCCTTTAGCATGTAATTTAAGTCATGAGGGTGGAGCCCTCGTGAATGGGATTAATGCCTTTGTTAAAGAGATGCCTGAGAGCTCTCTTGCTCTGCTCTTGACCATGTGAATATACAACAAGAAGTTAGCTGTCTGCAGCTTGGAACAGGGTTTTCTCCAATGTCTTCCTAAACTGCATGACCTCTAATATGAGTTGACCTCTTCTAGCTCTCAGCCTTGAAGCAGGAAATCTCTTCTAGGTCTTGTGAATACTGCCCTGCATATGTGCAGCTCAATCCTTGGCCAATTATATATGAGGAACTCCCACAAACTTCTGGATTTTCCTCACCGTTCAGCTCCTCTCCTTAGGTATGCTGTTCCATACCTGCAGTTTCAGCAGACTGGAACTTTAATCCTCTACTTCCTCAGCCCGGCAGTATGACTATTCTGCTCAGGCTCTTTAGGTTGATTTAATCGCAATCTTAATTTTTGGTGTTAATTATTACTGTTTTACTTGTCTTTCTAGTTGTGTGTGTTATACGTGAACACATATATGTGTTCTTTTACTTTTAATTTCCAGCTGACATGTTTACTGTGTATAGTCTATGCTTTTATACTAAACACTATTTTTGATATTCATATGTGCTGATGCATGTAGCTGTGGCTTCATTTTCTATGATCTATCAACATATGAATATACTAAAATATAGTATGGCCATCTTACTGCTGATGAACATTTGCGCTGCTTCCACTTTTTTGCTATTACAAAAATTTTGCACAGGGTGGTGTTATACACATCGTCAGGTATACACGTGCCCCTGTTTCTGTAAGCTCTGTGTATCTACAAGTGAAATTTTCGAAGTCTTTGGTATGGAAATTTTAAAACTTAAAAGATAATTTCAAATAGGTTTTCAAAGAGCTCTTTTCAATACACTCTGAAACACAGCCCATGAGAGTTTCCATTGCTCAACATACTTATCAATATTTAGTTCTATCCAACTTATAAATTTTAGCCACTATGGTGGATGAAAATCTTATTTTATTGTACTTAATCTGCCTTTCCCTGACTACTAAGGAGGCTAAGCATATTTTCATATGTTTGTGGGTCATGCATATTTCCCCTAGCAAAAAGTATCTATATATACTTATTGCCCATTTTTCTACAATGTTGCCTTTTTAAATTTATAGGCATTCTTTATATAGTATGGGTATTAATAATATCTTGGTTATGATGTTTATCAAATAGCTTGGCTTATCTCTTTCTCTCAATGGTCACTTTTGAAGACCAGAAGTTTTTCATTTGAATATAAGCAAATTTCTCAGTCTTTTCCTTATCATAAGAGCTCTTTGTGTCTTGTATAAAAATTCCTCTATACTGCAAGGATGTGCCTTTATTCTCCCTTGTTCTTTTCTGAAGTTTTACAATTTTACTTCTGTTATTTGTTATTGTTCCAATTGAATTTGATGTTTGTGTATGTTATGAAGTAGAGATTCATATTCACCTTTCCATTCAACAGTATTCCCAGTATCATTTATTGAGGAGTCCCTTTTTTACTCTCTGTTCAGCCACACCAGTTCCTTTAATTATCATACTTTCATATTTGAGCATGAATCCATTTTTAAGCCCACTATTCCAGTCCATTGTTACATGTGAACTGGCGGATCTCCTTTTTAGGTTGCTGCTATAAATATAGTCCCACTCCCTACATTTTCTGGTCTCTGTGGCTTTTTAGACTTTCTGGCTTTAACTCTCAGTTTCATATTCACAAAAAGAGGATCCAATGGACCCAAATTAATCAGATGTCTACTCCAAGTCCCATTAGATATAACATGGGATCAGAGTCTCCACATAGCACATATATGGCCACTAGGGGCCCACCTCTACCTCCAGACAAGATGAAGCCTTTTGTTCCCAGGAATGGTAGAAGCATCATACTGTAACCATTCACAATCTCAGAAAAGTTTGACCAAATTCTTTTCAGAAGCTTCTCAGCAAAGAGCCCCCAAAATAATTCTGAAAATAAAATATACTTATTAACAAGACAAGGATTTATTCGAATGATAATTGATAATACTCCAGAGGGTGCTATGGAAGGAGCATGTGTATGTTGATGGCAGGAACTTAAGTTCATACAACTTTTCCAGAGAGCAAATAGGCAGTATCTATCAAACACTTTAAAAAGGTGTAGACCTTGTGATTGAATAATTCTAAGACATTATCTTATGAGAATAATCATAAGTTTATGAAAAGATGTCTTAGGGCAGTTTTCCCAGAAGCAGACCCCAGGCAGGGATTTATTGCCAGTGATTTATCAAGGAAATGCTCCCATGGGAAAGTGGTAAACAAGTGAAGGAAGTAGAAGGAGAAAAAGAGAGGAAGCCAAGTAAGGGTGCGATTTCAGGGAACGTTCCAGGCAAGCGTCAGCTGATTCTTCAGGGAAACTCAGGAGTTGAAGTCATGCCTTGGTGTTGTCCCATCAGAGACAAAGTTCCTGTGCAGTCATAGCTGGACACCTGCCAGTCATTGTTTAAGCACTGAATTTCCAAGGCACTTAATGACGTTGTTACAACAGGTGTTTTATTCACAGAGTTAATTATAATAGCAAAAAGAAACCAAAACAAAACTGAAATGATGTAATTAACCATAAAAAATAATAAAAATATCATCATTAAACATCTAAAACTTAATATTTAATAATATTTAATATTTAATAAAATGGCAAAATGATCATGACCATGCGTTTTAAATAGCAAAATATAAAATTATGCACACAGTAAGAGCTAAATTATATTGTAGGGAGGGAGGGATCCCACATTAACATGTATGAATATAAATAGGTAAGTTGCATCAGGCTTGATGCCGAATCCCTTGTGGACACATTTAGATGCCTCAGAATTGGCCAAATGAAGTTTTCTGTAACCTCACAATATGTGGCTAAAATTTAGATGAAGCATGAAAAATTTCAGCAAACAAGACTTTAAAATATATACATATAAGAAATAGAAATTTTAAATGGAAATGACTTTTTCAACCTTAACTATAGGATTGGCACTTTCACATTACTGTGTAATCCATTTAACATCCCTGGGCAACAAAGAACTTTATCATCCATGGTTTACACCTGTTTCAAGCAGCATTTTTCTGATCTCTTTTAAAAAATGAATTCTAGATTATACCAGATTATTTAATTTTATATATATATATATATATATACACACACACACACACACACACACACACACACATGACCCCATCACATTCTTTACATTAGGGTTTATTTTACTATAGTAACAGTCCTCACAGTAAAGCAGAATCTGAAAATGCATGTAGAACTGTAAATTAAATGTTAAATATCTCATTTTATTTTATTGCCTCTAACAAAAATGAATCATTTATTTTAAAGTTATTTAAAGGTTATTCTAGAGATATATAGCAAGAGCATTATCCTAACTATGGGTAAGAAATTTGCTTTGAAAGATAATTTATTTATTTTAAAAATTATTTATTTTTTATTGCTTATCAGCTTAAGGAGATTTTGGGCTGAGACGATGGGGTTTTCTAAATTATACAATCTTGTCATCTGGAAACAGACAATTTGACTTCCTGTCTTCCTATTTGAATACTCTTTTTTTTCCACACATTATTCCTCACTTTTGAAATCAACTGTATTCTTCTTTCATGTTTTCAGACACTATTTATTTTCCAAGACCCAACTCCAATCCCACCTCTGGTGATATTTCTTCAAATATGTTAGTTTGGATTTCTTCTCATCTCTTCACTTACAGGCACTGCTACACAGTTTACTTCCTGAATGGTCTTGGTTTAATATATACCTTACATCTTGTTTTGCTCCCAGCTAGACGGTAAAATTAGAGAGGGTAAATACTCTAGATTCTATTCTTGTCTATACAGCAACCATTACAGTTAAGGGATTATAGTAGGTTTGAATATATATATATATGTGTGTGTGTGTGTGTGTGTGTGTGTGTGTGTGTGTGTGTGTGTATACACATACATACATACATATGTATGCATTGGCTAGTAATACTTTGTCTCTATTCTATAGAAAACAATTTACTGTCTAGTTGGATAAACAGCCAATGAAATTAATGATTGCAATATGCTAGATAGATAATTTTAGCATGAAGAACAGCCATTATCACAGAGAAAATGTAGAACCACCAAAGGATTTTGCCCATAGAGCGACATGATTAAGTTGCATTTTTTTAAAGTCACTGTCAGCATGATGGCTGGAGATGGGGAAGCTACAGTGATAAGCCAGGCACTTGTCTAATGGCAGTGGCACTGTAGAGAGACAAAGAGATTAGATAAATACTTAGGAGGTATAATTAATAGGCACAGCTGTGGAACATATAGGGAGGTTTAAATGGCAGTTTTCAGGCTTGAACAGTGGAGTGAACAGACATATTATTTAAGAGAAAAGAAGAACAGATATGGGAAGATGATGGCTTCATGTTTGATCATGTTGAGACTGCGGTATTGAATAGCCAAGTAGAGATGTTCAGGAAAATATGCTAAGATGAATGTCACAAGAAAAATGTTTGATGGAGTTGAAGATTTAGAAATCACTTGCATATAGATATTAATTATAATTTAAAACCATGGAAGTAGATGGGCTCTACCCAAAAAAAGAGGACATGATAAAAAGAGAAAAGGACCTAAAACCCCAAGAAGTACCAACATTTAAAAGTTAAATAGAATAGGAGCTCTCAAAGTAGACTGAAATGAGAGACCAGAGAAACAGAAGGAAAATCAGGGGAGTGAGATCTTTGGAAGACAAGAGAAGAGAGCGCTTAAAGGAGCAGTTAGTAGCTTATAATGTTAAATGTTCCCAAATGACCAAACAAGAAAAGGACTGAAATGTGGGCATTTAATTTATAGATAAAGGTCATTCTTGACCCAAATGATTGTGGTGATGTAGCAAAGGCAGGGCCAAATGAGAGTAGGAGAAGTGAATGGAAGGTAAGAGAGTAAATACATCAAGTAGAGAGAACTCCTTCAATTGTCTATTCTTTTGTCTATTCTATTTACACTGTGGAGTATATTACAGAGTTAGTTGGTTTTCTAAGTCAGTATAAGGCCCAATCAAGGTTAAAGTTTATGCAGATTAACTGTTATTTTTAACAACAATCTATTAATCTATTAAGAAGTCCTTAAAATAGATTACAAGGACTTCTTTGATTTGTCTCTTATGTGGCTGAATTCCTTGATCTTTGAGGCCACTCCCCAGCATCTCATCATGTTTACGTCCTGTTACCCGAAAGTACCAGAGTGTTTCAGGCTTCCCATTTTTATACACAATGCTTTTCTCTGCATGCATTGCATTTCACGTCATACTTTCTCCACCTGACAAACTCCTCCACATCCTTTTATGATTCATTCAGCTCCCCTTCTCTTCAAAGCCTCCCATGATATTTTTCTCCTTCGATGTAAGAGAGATGCCTCTAATACCAACACCGTGCTTTGTATCTGTCTCTTTTATGGCAACTGTATAGTCCAAATCCACACACTTTGAGTATTTCCTTAAAGGACTTTGCCACATTTTCTTTGAATAGAGACAAATTCCTCAGAAAATCATAGTTAGCAATGCCTATTTTATTATAATCCACTGAGATCTTATATTTTCCACAGCAAGGAGAGGTATTTTATGTTACAATACCTAAAAATAATTTTTGGTTGTTTCTAATATTAAGCAGAGATGACGTGTATGAATACCATCAATATCTGAAATGAACTGTAGCACACACTTCCATAATGGAAATAGTTCTTAAGGTCAATTTAACCATTTACTGAATTTTCCCATGTCTCACAAATGTTATCAGCTTTAGGAAGTAATGAGTGTGTCACTCCCAGATGAAGTTTAGAAGTATTAGGAGCCACCATGTTGGAAATGAATATGAGGGGAAAAAAAGCTCTATAGGAAATAAGGATTTGGGAGAAAGTAAAGAATGATCTTTCTGTCCCTCAAGGAAGAAAACAACTCTAATGGTGATGCTATAATGTGCAAGAAATGGTAAAAGATAATAATCCTCTTCCAAACTATTAGCCATCATTAAGTGGAAAATAAAAGTAAAAATAAAGAAAGTAAATTATATAATCTTCAAATTCAGCTGACGTATTGATGAACTAAAATGATAGGAAATAAGATAAAAATGCATTGTTAGTAAAATGCATGAAAGGGAGATTCCATCCTGAATATAGATACTAGTCAGATATTAGAATTACAGAGATTATTATGCAAAATATAATCATTCTGGAGGAAAATAGTATGATCAATTTTGTTAAAACCTATTCAAACCTATTTTGTAGCTCATTATAGAATAGAAAAGGTAATTAAACATGTAAAACTGCTACCAAATCCAGTTTCAAAGCATTAAGCCTAGAAATATTTATATTCCTTTTAAAAATAAATCTAACATAGAACTGTAGATTCAGAGAGTATGAAGCAGAACAGATAAATAATGCATCCAATTTAGTTAATAATTTTTCTATTTTTTCTCTGGACTGAAACTCTGCACAGGCATGGAAGCAAATTGCTTCAGAAACTATGAGAAAGGAAATCAAGCTAGTAATATGGAATTGGACCAAACATAGACTATGATGTCAAAAGGATTTTTTTTTCAGAATCAATAGGTGATGAAAGACTTATGAAAATTATCCAGAGATTTATTTGATCAAAACCATATGGCATCCCAACCAAGGCAGCTTTGTAGTAAAGCTAGTCAATTTTTGTATGGTTGGTGCTCAAAGCATGCCTTTTTTTTAACAACAAAAGTAATTGCCTTTCAGTTTCCAAAATATAGCGTGTTAATATTATTTTTAAAAATTTTGAATTGGTAACACATTCACACTTTTCAATATGAAAGCAATACAGTAGAAAGTCTGATTGCTCTCTTTGTCCCTCACTCAGTTAAACTTTTGTGAGTTTCTTGTTGCATATCCTTTCAGTTTCTTTATGAAAATGAAAGTGAATATGAATACACCAGAGTGTTTTCACCCTTTTTACCCAGGAAAAGTTACAGTCACTGTTTCTCACATTATTGTTATCATTAAATGCATATATTGGAAATCTTTCTATAGCAATAGCATTTTCAGATTTATATAAATTATTTTGGGAAAAATATACATTATCTCATAGTATTTATGATCTTCTAATTTTCACTCTTTCCAAATTACTTTTACTTTTTTTTCTGTTTTACATTTTTGCTTTCTTTTTTTTTGATAAAGTTAGATTGTGGTTTATCTGTCTTATTATTTGTTGAAATACAAATAAGTACACATAAAATATATACATATATAATTTTAATGGAAACTCCACTATATATTAAATTGGAAAAACTGACTTCTTTGTAATTTTTATCTTCCCATCCAAGAACAATGATATGATCTTAATTTTGCCCAATCTTTTTTGTCATTTAGCAAATTTTATTTTTCATGTTTGTTCCTTGCTTTCTAATTAAATATCTTACCTATCTTTTGAATGCTTGAATAGTAGGAGTCTAGCAGTTGAATAAATATTCTTCTTCATATTCAGAATGGTTCAAAGTGCTGGATTTCTTTTTCTTTTTTTGTTTTTGCAAAACATAATTATTAAGTGAAAGTGCTTTGGAGTCCATTAGGTTGTCTTTGGACCCACACCTCACCATGTTCTAACTGTAGGACTTTGGGCAAGTTATCTAATCTCTGTGGGCTTCATTTTTCTTATCTGTAATATGAGAATGATTATAATAATAGTGCCTTTATCATAGGCTTGTTGTGATAATTAACTGAGTAATAGATATATGGCCTAGTAATGTTCCCTGGCATAATAAGCACATGAAAATGATGATAATGATGATGATAATGATAAAGTAGAAGAGTCACTTGATTTGATCACCCTGGCAAGGAATGTGCAAGGGGTGGGTATGTGTGTTTATGTGTGTCTCAATAAACATCTGCTTAAGCAAATTCAATTTGCTTCCCTTTAATTGTCACAAAACTAACTTATTACCAATTATCCTGTTTCTCAAGACAAAGTTGAAGAATGCACCCCTTATTCCTCTTTCTCACATACCTCCAACTCGCAGGCAAGTCCTGTGGTTTTTCCTGTAAAATATAACCTGATTCACACTCCTGTGCATAGTCTCCACTGCTAACACTGCATTCCAAACCTTCATCTCCAGCGTGGTCTGTTGTATTCACTTCCTAACACTTCTTCCTAGCTCCATCTCTCATCCTCACACAGCCTTTTCATATAGCAGCCATAGCGGTTTTTTTTTTTTTAATTTAACTTAAATTAGATTTCATTATTCCTTGCAAAATTTCCTAGTGGCTTTCCATCAGATGAACTCCAATTTATCTACAGTGGCTTAATGGACCTCCATGATGTGACTTCTGCCTGTATCTCCAATGCGAACTGGCATTCAGCTCCTCCCTCAATCCACACCAGCCACAACGGCTTTTCTGCTATTCCTTGGACAGCCACGATCTTCCTGCCACAAGACTTTGTATTTGGCTTTTTTTGTTGTTGTTTGTTTGTTTAATATTAAAATCTAACCCTTAAATCTACTATATAGATGGTTTTCTCACTATTTTCAGGTCTTGGCTCAAATGTGGGGTTGTCAGATTAGAAAATAAAAATGCAAGACGCCTAGTTAAATTTGAATTTCAAATAAACAATAAGTAATTGTATATTCTATGTCCCAAACGTTGCATGTGACATACTCACGCTAAAAAGTTGCCATTTATCAAAAATTCAAATTTAATTGCTCATCCTGCATTTTATTTGACCATATTACAATTATCTCCTCAGAGAAGTCTTCTCCGATTACTCTTTATACGATAGACTCCTCCTTTTCTCTCTTACTCTCTAATTTCCTACTAGCTTTATTTTTCTTCATAGTACTTAAAACAACCTGAAGTGTTTTTTACTTTTTCTGTTTATGGGATAATTTTTCTATGTAAAAATGTAGATTTTATGAAGACAGAAAATTTTTCTTTTATTAAACCCTATTTCCAATGCTCAAAATATAATGGATGCTCGAAATACATGTAATGAATGGGTGGCAAACAGTTATGCTAAACTTAACACACCCAAGATCCTTTCGTACATTTTTTTTGAACATGGACTATTTCTAAAGAAATTTAAAGGTAATTCTATCATACAGACTCGGAAATTTAAAAATCAATGTGAGACTGTTCCTTAAGACACCTTCATGGACAAACCATAAAACGTCATCTTCTTCACTTTTATGTTACCCTTATGCAACATCCAGTCTCAGTTAAGATTCTTTCTTAGATGGTTAAAAACAAATTAAAATCTAAAGCAGAACATTAACTTGTAGATGTAGGAGAAAATTAGAATTCGACCATTAGAAATATGAAGTCTCAGAAACCTAAAAGATTTTCCCAATGCCATGAAGTTAACAGAAGCTAACTTTTTAAAAATACTTTTTACTGTTTTATCTCTTCTGTGTTACAAGTTCTGCGAAAACTAAGCCTTTACCTATTCAGTTGACTGATTGATTGCTTACAGCACCTTCAAGAGTCCTGACACATAGTAGATACTCAGTAAATATTTGTGGTTGCTGATGAATGGATGAACTCTTGTGACCTTCAGCCAAATGGTCTTCCATAAGATATGACGTATTGTTATATTTAACCATGATGGGCATTTACTTAATTAAATCAATTATTTCATTTAAAAACCTGAAGAAAAAATAATTTATCGTATTATAAATAAGCCCCAAGTTATCGGCATCTAATTAAGACACAATATCCACATATAAAAAGAAAATCCCATCTTTAGTAATTAATTGACTCAACCCTCATAAAATGACATATGAGAAACACAAAGCTTTACATTTTCTTTAATTTATACAAGAGTAGATTTATGAGATCAAATACTACTAATGAACGTCCTTGGGGCATATCAAATAATAACCTGTCTTCAGTGTATTTCAATGGTCATAAAACTTGTGCTCATTGTCTTGCTAAAAGAACAACTGCTTTGCCAAAGGATTTGATGACAAGAGACAATTTTATGAAAGCAAAACAGAGCAAGTATTATATCTTCAAAGGTGAGCTGTTTCCAGAAGTATAAATCAGGGGATTTTTGCGTGGACTGGAGACACATGAGTTACAGAGAAGCACAGGGAAGGAAGGTGGTCCACCTAAATGGTTATAGGGTCTGATAGATAAATGAGTAAAAAAGGATACCAGAAGAATACATGTTTTACCTAAAAAAGGATACCACAAGAATACATGTTTTCTATTCAGCAAGAAAAAACATGGCCCTACCATAGCCAGATCTTTCAATTTTTTCAAAAGAAGTTAAAATTTCTGATTTTGTAAAAATATGAAATCAGTTGTGTTATAAATATCATATAAGCCAAACAAAATTGAGGGTTAGACTGAATATGAATGTGAGAGAAGAAATAATCATACAGAAAAAAGAAGTTGGATGTACAGATAATATAGGGAGAAAAATAATTACTTTTTAAAATTTAGCTAACATAAGTGGAAAGATAAGAAAATCATTGTATCCATAAAAAATGCTATTAAATTATTTTTTAAAAAATGAAAGAACTTTGAAATGAAAAACATAACAGTCAAAATGTAAAATTAATTGTGTGGAAAAATCACTTGAAAGAATGGGGGTTAAAGTCAAAATAGTCTTTCAGGCATTATAACAAAAAGGCAATCAGAGAGAAAAAAATAAGAGAATTAGAGGATCATTCAAGGATGTCTTTCCTCCATATTACAGGAGTTTCAGAAAAAGAAAAGTGTGAAAATGGAAGGGAAGACCTTGTCAAATCAATAGTACAGAATAATTTCCCCAAAGTGTTGGAAATTAATTTCTAGTTTGAAGGGACCACCAAATGCCCAATGGAATACATTTTTAAAGATCCACATTTCATTGTAAAACTTCAGAAGCTAGGGAATAAAACCTCTTAATATTTTCAAGTGGACTTCAGTAGCCCTTCAATGCAGAACTATGGCTTATAAACAATGAGACATCAGAATGATGTCAGGTTTCTCAACTGCAATCCTAAATCCTAAAATGGTCTCAATGCTTTCAAAATTCTATGGGAAACTGATTTTCAAGCTAGGATTCTAAACAAAGTCAAACTATCAATAATTATGGCAAAATTGTCATTTTCACACAAATATTTAGTAACATACTTTCTATGCTATTTTAAATCAAGAAACAAGGATATATATAATACAAGAAATAGGAGATTCAACACAAAAAAATGATGTTCTAAAACAACAAATGTACTATAGTCTTGGAGAGGAATTAGTTCAGTCGGGAGCAGGAGAAGAAAGGTTAAAGGAGAAGGAAGTCTCTGGTACAGATGTGAGGAGTGCAAAGTGTTTTCTGTGTTAGTGCACTTTGTTTTGCAGGATGAGTGAGAGAGAGAGAAGCAGAGAGACGGAGATAGAGAGAGAGAGGAGGAGGAGGAAGAGAAAAAGAAAAGGAGGAGGGAAGACAGAGGAGTTGAGGTTATTCACAAGGAAGTTATGATAATTATGAATGTGGGGATCTATGCTGAGGAAAGATACAAGTGGAGACCATGAGTTGTCATACAGAGCAAATGGAAAATTCTGTCTTGAATCTTCAACTCTGTCTCCTAAATTTTAAACTGATTCCCTATCACTTTATTTGCGTATTTACTTGAGTACTCTGCGGGTCCCTAAGCAGAATTTCCAAAAAGGAAGCCATCATTGTCCCCAGATGTTTTCCTCATGTAATCCCTCTTGAAATTAATGGTTTATAGTCCAGAACCAGGAAGTTATGATTATTTTCCTGCAACTGAAACATATTATTTCCAAAGTACATTATTTCCTTTCCATCTTCCCAGACATTGCCTTAAAGTTCTCATCAATCTTTACTGATCTCTTATAATAGCCTCCAATCATTTCCCCTGCTCCTAATTTCTCACTCTTTCAATATATCCTCTACACTGATTTTATTATTCCCCAGAAGAAACCATTTAATAGTTTCTTGTTCCCATAGAATAATGCTCATCATGGCTAGTAAAATATTTAAAGAGAATTTCAATCTATCTTTGAAGCTTCATTTCCTATTGTTCCAATCCCCCTAAATGACTTGACATTACCTAATGTACTTTTTCTCAGATCCCTGTCTAATTAAAATACCCCAAAAGTGAGTAGGGCTGGAAAAATGATTCAGAAAATGATCCATTCATTCTTAGCTATAAAAAATCAATGTGAATGATTCATTCATTAAATCATTGTACTGATGGTTATTTTCTAACTATATGTATTTCTCACAGCAGCTCTGGATTTTGGGATTATTATTATCATTTTACAGGTGAAGAAAATTATTCTCATGGGATTTAGTCAATTTGATCAAGATCTTGAAGCAGTAAATGACACAGGGCCCATATTAACCAAAATTCTAGGTAAATTAAAAGCCTATTTTTCAGAGATGGCATGACCTTATATATAGAAAATCCTAAGGAATCCACTAATAAACACTTTAGCAAAGTTGCAAGATGCATCAAATATACAAAAATAGTTTATACACTAGTATTGAATAAATCTGAAAATAAAATAATAAAATATTCCATTTACAGTAGCATCAAAAATTAAAATATTTAGGAACAAATTTAACAGAAAAAGTTCAAGGTTTGTACACTGAAAACTAAAATAACATTATTGAAATGAATTAAAGAAGACCAAATAAATGGAAAGGCATTCCATGTTCATGAAAATATTTCACATTATAAAGATAGCAATATTCCTCAACTTTTTCTGCAGATTCAATGCAATCTCTATCAAAACCCTAGCTGCCTCTGTTTGCAGAAATTGGCAAGATGATATTAAAATTCATATGGAAATGCAAAGGACTCAGAACAGTCAAAACAATTTTGAAAAAGAACAAAGTTAGAGAACTCAAACTTTAAGATTTTAAACTTACTACAGAGTTACCATAATCAAGACAGAGTGGTATAGACATAAGGATAGACATAGACCAATAAATCAATGGAACAGAATTTAGTTTCAGAAATAAACCCTCACATTTATGGCCAACTGATTTTCAACAGAAGGGCCAAGACAATTCAATATGAAAAGAATAATCTTTTTAATAGATATTGCTGGTACATTGCCAAATGCAGAAGAATCAATTACCACTACCCTCATACCACATACAAAAATTAACTCAAAATAGATCAAAGACCTAAATGTAAGAACTATAAAACTCTTAAAAGAAAACAAAGGCATAAATCCTTGGCCTTGGGTTAGGCAATGGGGTTTCTTAAATATGACCCCAAAAGCATAAGCAACAAAAGACAAATAAATTGTATTTCATCAAAAGCAAAAGCTTTTGTACTCCAAAGGATACTATTAAGAAAGTAAAAAGATAGCCCACAGAATTGGAGATAATATTTGCAGGTCATATATTTCATTTGGGACATAAATGCAGAATATAAAAAGAACACTTGTAACTCAATAATGAAAGGACAGATAACCCCATTTTTAAAAAAGCAAAGAATTTGAATAGCCAATTTTCTAAATAAGATTTACAAATGGTCTATAAGTACATGAAAAGTTGTTTAAAATCATTAGTCATGAGGAAAATGGAAATCAAAACCACAATGAGATACAACTTCACACTTGCTAGGACAGCTATAATAAAAAAAAAAAAAGTAGAAAATAACATGTGTATGAGATTGAGGAGAAATTGAAACCTTCCGTATTTCGCATTTTTTCATTGTTGATTTACATTGCTGATGGGAATGTAAAACGGTATGGCTGTTTTGGGAAACAGTTTAGCAATTTCTCAGAAAGTTAAACATAGAATTACCATATGACCCAGAAATTCCACTAGTAGGTATATATCCAAGACATTCAAAAACATAAAATCACACAAAAAGCTTTACATATTAGTAATGCTATTCATAATGGTCAAAAGATTAAAATAACCCAAATGTCAATGATGAATGGATACACAAAATGTGGTATAACCTATATAACTGCCCATTGAAATTACTGAAGTACTGATAATGCTACAATAAGGGTGACACTTGAAAACATTATGCTAACTGAAAAAAGCTAGACACAAAAGGCCATGTATTGTATGATCCCATTTCTATGAAATGTCCAGAATAGCAAATCCATAGAGACAAAAAGTAGATTAGTGGTTGCCAGAGGCTTGGAGGTGGGAGATGAGAAACAGGGAGTGATTTGTAAGAGGTTTCTTTTTGGGGTGATATAAAGTGTTCTGGGCCAGGCGTGGTGGTTCACGCCTGTAATCCCAGCACTTTGGGAGGTGGAGGCAGGAGGATTACTTGAGGTCAGGAGTTTGAGACCAGCCTGGCCAACATGCTGAAAACCCATCTCTGCTAAAAATAGAAAGAAAAAAAAAATTAGCCGGGCGTGGTGGCGGGTGCCTGTAATCTGAGCTACTCTGGAGGCTGAGACAATGAGAATCCTTTGAACCCGGGAGGTGCAGGTTGCTGTGGGCCGAGATCACGCCATTGCACTCCAGCCTGGGAGACAAGAGTGAAACTCCATCTCAAAAAAAAAAAAAAAAAAAACTGTTCTGCAACTACATAATGGTGACGGTTGTACAACTTTGTGAATATACTTAAAATCAGCAAATTGTATAATTTAATAGCGTTAATTTTATGGTATGTGAATTATGTTTTCAGTTTCAAAAAAAATGGTTATTTGGTTCAGATATGACCATCATTCACCAAAGAGCCAAATATTTAAGACCAAAAACTAGAACTTTGCTGGAGATTTCTAAGGCGGCAGAAATCAGGAAAATAAAATAGTTTTTAGCATTTAACTTTAATCAAAGCAAACAAAAGATTTGCCTCTACTTTCAGAGTTCAAAAGTGCACCAAGCAGAGGGAATGTCCATGAGAGAATGGAACAATAGGAAATAGGACAGTTGTTTAGTATGCTGGGAGTGTGAGATGCATACAGGGGAGTGATGGGTAATATTTGGGAAAATATAGACAAGGGTCTATTATGATAGGATAAGGAAATAAACCAAGTAGTTCTAAAACTAGCATTACTAAAAGTCAGCTGAGAAAATTTTGAAAACTGTGCACTTTCCTCGTTGCTATCACTGCAGAGCTGCTGATTTTATACATATCAAAGGGTCCATAAATACGTGATTCCGGGTGATTCTAATGTGTATCCAGGTTCCGCAAATGCTCTGGTAGGCAATGTCTGTAATGAAAGTCCTGGTAAGTACTGAGGAGGTTCTGAATTAAAGCAGTAGTAATGAAGGTATAAAGGAAAGAAAAGATTAGAAGGACATTAGAGAGGCTTAGGAAAATTCATTTCACAAACTCATTCTTTCAACATATTTTTATTAAATGAGTACCTGCTCTGTAGGAAGCAAAGGGTCTAAAATGGCAAAATCAATCCTCACAGAGCTTTTAATCTATTTGACAAAATATAGGATTACAAAAGAGGAAGAATATAAGTGATAATGTTAGGCTTTCTAGAAAGACTGGCTGAATAAGTGGTTGATGTTGGCACCATTCATCAGAATGGGTAATATAATGATAGTAGCAGCAAGCCTCTGTGTGCCAGATAGGGACTTTACCCATATTCACTGATATTGAATGAGTGCCTCATAGTGGCCATATCTGAATCATCATCCCTGTTTTAGAGTTGTGCAAACTCTGGCGCCGGGAGGGAAGCCCACTGCCTCATGTGCTACACCAGGGGTTGAGGAGATGGAGCCACATTTGAACAAGTTCTGGCTCTAGAGAGAGCCAATAGTGAAGTCAATGCTCTGCTGGGCCAAAATCTCATTTTTGTTGGATTACCCCACCCCTAACTCCCATCACCAGAGTCCTCAATATTTATTCCAGAGATGACACTCTTCATTTGAGGTCTACAGATGAGTTTCAGGAGGCCCATGAATCCTTGAAATGGAATGGAAATTGTACAGGCGTGTGTGGGCTTACTTGCATTCTTCTTGGAGAGAGATTCCATAGCTTCAGTAAAATGAGTCTATATCCAAAAATGTTTAAAAATCTATATTTTGGCACCCATTTAGCCCATTTCATCACATGTATGAAGAAATTTGTAGGAGAAAGCTCCCTGTGCATGAGTCTCGTCATGATGCTTTAGCCTGGAAGCCCCTCCTCTCCCACCCTCCTTCCTAGCTCTCTCAGGAACGCATTGCAAAGCAAGATACCAAGTCTTTCTGCATGGTGCATCCAACCTTAATGCCACAACTGAGGCCTTCCAATACAGAGAAAAGCATGGGTCTGTTCCTTTGCCACCCTCTTTAATACTAAAGTTTTTTCTTGTCTTTAAACAAATTACTACTAAATTTCATGAATGTACTAACATGTCTAAAAGTGACTTTTCTGAGCCACTTGTCTCACATCTTGCCTACTTGCTTTGCTCTCCTGCAAAGTGTATCTGACCACAGTTCCCATTGACTTCAAAGAGAGCTCTCCCCATGAAGGAGCACCACAGGTTGAGGGGACCACATCAGTTGGTCCTGGAGTATTTCTGTGGTGTCTGCTTTACCTAGGAGAGGCATGTTTCTTCTAATAGTAGCCCAGTCTTTCAAGATAAAGTTCTAATTTCAGAACATTTTCCAGTTAGGTTTAATTTTTAAAGAACGTTTCATAGTAATTGTATTAGGCTGTTCTCATATTGCTATCAAGAAATACTTGAGACCATGTAATTTATAAAGAAAGAGGTTTAATTGACTCAGTTCTGCAGGGCGTACAGGAAGCATGATGTTGGCATCTGCTTGACTTCTGGGAAGGCCTCAGGTAACTTAGAATCATGGCAGAAGGTAAAGGGGGAGTAGGCACTTCACATGGCCGTACCAGGAGCAAGAGAGCAGGGGGAGGTGCCATACACTTTTAAGCAACCAGATCTCATGAGAACACAGTCACTGTCATGAGAACAGCACCAAGGAGATGGTGCTAAACCATTCATGAGAAATCCACCCCACGATCCAATCACCTCCCTCCAGGCCCCACGTCCAACATTCGGAATTACAATCCGACATGAGATTTGGGTGGGGACGCTCCAAACTATATCAGTAGTTTTTCAAAAGCAGTATCTAATGTTGCTGCATATCTTGGGAGTTGGGGGAAAGAAGGAAGAGAGAGACATTTTAAAGGCCAGCTTGGTATTAGAGCATTTTTTTTAAATGTGGCTAATGAGCCACCAGTATTAGAACCACCAAGGATTCCTGTTAAAAACTACAGATTTCGGCTCGATACAGTGGCTCACACCTGAAGTTTAAGCTACTTGGGAGACAGAGGTAGGAGAACTGCTTGAGCCCAGGAACCCAGGAGTACAAGGCTGCAGTGTGTTATGATTGCACCACTGCACTCCACCCTGGGTAACAGAGTGAGACCCTGTCTCTAAAAACAACACAACAACAACAAACAAACACACACACACACACACACACACACACACACACACACACAAATGTTCTGAACTGAGCTCTTCATTGTTAACAAGCTCTCCAGAGATTCTTGTGCAATCTGGAAGTGGCCTAAATGGCTGAGGAATATCAGAAACTAGATTTCATAGTGGAGTACTGAAATTGTGGGATGCTCTATCATATTTCTAGAGGTTGTTCAGCCAAACAGCTAGTTTCCTTTAATTCCTATACAACCTCAAGGGCAGACAGATTGATGCAGACTAGAGGCAGGCACTGGGTGGTCCCCTATTGCCACAGGGCTTTCAGAGTCACTAACTAAATCCCACCTTGAAGCAAATGCTGTGGGTTGGAGAGCTCCAGCTTACACTTTCTCACAGTGCTGACTTCCTTGCAGCAGGTTTAGCAGTGTAAGCTTTGCAAGCCAAGAGGCTCTATTGGGGTAAACATATTTCAAGAGCTTATGAGAAAAAAGATTTCAAGGGCATAGAGATGAAAGAAAGAATTGTTTTTAAATCTCCCCTCCTTGTGTCATTTCACTCCCAACTATTTACCCTGGACTGAACTCAAAAGTGAAAGTGGGGAAGAAAGACCCAGCTACCAAAACTGAACAATCTGGGTAGTTAAATAACTATGGAAATGCCCTCCCTTCCTTTGCCCAACTGCCAAATCTCACTTTGATCTCCTTAGTTTTCAGTCAATTCTTCAAATACCCTCCTAACTCAATCTTTTCGGTCCTCTGACTCTCTCAAAGGCTTAACCTCCAGCTCACCCCCAAATGCCCTCCTATCTTGCTCAATCCCAGAACCACCCACAATCT
Source organism: Homo sapiens (assembly GCF_000001405.40). NCBI lineage: Eukaryota > Metazoa > Chordata > Mammalia > Primates > Hominidae > Homo > Homo sapiens. Next base: position 35,989,689 of record NC_000002.12, read on the forward strand.
CCGTTTTAATGACTCATCCCAACAGGCACAATCTCCCACAGAGCCAACCTTTGGGCTCTGCTCATCCTCTCCAATGAACAGCAGGTGCAGAGTCCTCCTTTGTTCTTCGGTCTCCTGCAGCAATTAAGGAGAGAACTAAAGGGCCATTTGGTGAGTGGAATCGTGCTGGTCAGGAGCAAGCAAGCCTGAAGAGGGTGCTTACTTTTCTCTAATTTGCTTTGATAGAGCTGCCACAGGGCTGCATGTGTTACAGTCACAACACTCCTAATCATAACCAAATTCTAATTTTAAAAATAGCTAAATTCCATGAGGCTGGCCCTGTGTTAACTGCTTTAAATACAGCATGCCATTTAATCCTTTCAACCATCCAGTAAGTTGGACTCCATTATTTTCCCCATTTTAGAGATAAAAAAACTGAGGCTTAGAAGGGTTAAGTTACTCAGTTAAAATGTAATACAGATATTAATTGATGAAGCTGAGATTCAAATTCAGGACTTTGATTCCACAGTGCAAGCCCTTTAATAGGATTATGACAGTTTTGAATCCTATAGCATGGTTTTGCCTGCAAGTAACAAAATACCTTAGACAAGATGGGGTAGCTATTTCAGATTACAAGACTAAAGTCACATGTTTCCAGGATTAGCGAAGTCAAAGTCATAAGCTCTTCAGTGTCAGGGCATGGGTCATATTCTGTGCAATGTTCTCGCCTTTATCCTTAGGATCATAAGATGGCTACCATGTTGCCAAACATCATTTCTTCCTGCGAAAACATCCAAGGGCAGAAAATAAATGGGGAAGATGTCTCTTATTACATGTGTCTTTTTTTTTTTTTTTTTTTTTTGAGACAGAGTTTCACTCTTGTTGCCCAGGTTGGAGTGCAATTGTGCGATCTCGGCTCACCGCAACCTCTGCCTCCCAGGTTCAAGCGATTTTCCTGCCTCGGCCTCCCAAGTAGCTGGAATTACAGGCGTGCGCCACCACGCCCGGCTATTTTTGTATTTTTAGTAGAGACAGGGTATCTCCATGTTGGTCAGGCTGGTCTCGAACTCCCAACCTCAGGTGATCCAACCACCTCGGCCTCCCAAAGTGCTGGGATTACAGGCGTGAGCCACCGCGCCCAGACTACATGTGTCTATTTTGAACGAGAAGAAAAATATTTCCCAGAATTCCCCAAAAGACACTCCCTTCTAAGTCGCTGGTCAGAACTGAGTCACCTGCCCTACCCTTCCTTACGCAGTTGCTGGTGAAAGCGAATAGGATTATCTAGCCTTGTTTAAGTCTAACCGTGATTTACCCTATGCAGCCTGAAAAAGAGCCCACTTCCCCTGGGCACACTGCTGCTCACGTGAGTGCCTGAAAAAAATCTGTCAGCAGAGAATGAGAGGGCAAATGGTTATTCTGTATAGCAGTGCCTCCCACACATATTTTTCCATTTTGTCCCTTAACTCTCCTGGATAATCCAGATTTCCATTTGCTTATCCAGGTTGCTGAATCTCCTGTCCAGTATGAAAATGCACCATATATTCTATACGGGTTTAAGCAATGAAAAAAAAAATACTAAGTAAGAAAATTTTGGTGTATTTTGTTTATTTATTTATTTATTTATTTTGAGACAGAGTCTTGTTCTGTCATCCAGGCTGTACTACAGTGGCACAATCTCAGCTCACTGCACCCTCCATCCCCCAGGTTCAAGCAATTCTCCTACCTCAGCCACCTGAGTAGCTGGGATTACAGGCGCACACCACCTCTCCCGGTTAATTTTTGTATTTTTAGTAGAGACGAGGTTACACCATGTTGGTCAGGCTGGTCTTGAGCTCCTGACCTCAAGTGATCCACCTGCCTTGGCCTCCCAAAGTGCTGGGATTACAGCCATGAGCCACCATGCCTGATCAAATTTTAGTGTATTTTAATCAAATACAAAAATATGTGAGTCAAATGATAATGATAGGGCTATTATTCCCAAATAATTATCAGACTTAAAAAGGTCAAATTATCTTTCAACTTATAATATTCCTACGCTATGTCACATAATCCTCTTCCATAGCTCTTTACTGACGTTTCATAGAGCTTCTATTTTCTTTTATAAACTTCTTATGTCTCAAAATTTCTTCATCGTCTACCTCAGTTTTATATGAAAACATTTATGGATGAGAGAGGTTATAAATTTTTCTGTTTTTTTAATTGTCCAAATACTTCCACAAAAATAATGCTATTTTATGCTGTTTTCCAAGTTGGTACAATACCTTCACAAAATATAAATTGACCTGAATAATTGGAAGTTTATGTCATCAGGTAGTTTACCAAACTGAGACATTCTGATTCTAAATGTTGGGTAATTGGAAGCTTCTAAATAAGAAGGATATTTTATTAATGTGTAATTTCTTTTCTTTTCTATTTTATATAACAAATCTCTTCAACCCATTGGAATCACTTGGGAGTAGAGAAGCTTCTGTCATCTTGCGTCTCCCATAGCCCTGGCTCATACATACCATACATAGTGCTGCAGGTGCTTTTACCTTCTTGCTGCTCCTAGCAGTTAGTTCTTTCACATCTCCAAGTTGGCCTGCCTCAACTAATCCCCCATTTTGTTTTATTTTAAAACATCATTTAGAAGCCTTTTGAAACTTATCTGTTTTTAGAAAAGTACCACTCATTCTAAAGCATTCTTTCCACTCCAGAACTCACATAATTATATTTTCAGGTTAAAAATAATATTAGAATAATAGTGCCAACTTCTTCCATTTTATAAATTAGAAAACTTGGACCTGGATGAAGTGAGGCTGCTTGTTCACCATCATGCAGCTCCTTCAGAAGATCTTCTGCTCCACAAGCTAACAAGAATAGGGATGACAGAAGCAAATAGGACAGCTGGTGGGGGCATCAGTGAAAGGAAAGAGTAGAAGGTCTAGGAGTCCTGGGGCGGGGCAGAGGAGAACTTCCATCTAAGGGCCAAAGAAGTGGGGTGGCGTGGACTTAATGTTTCCTTGTCCTTGACTATAGACCCTCCTCTCACCAACTTGCAAATAACTCCCCTCCAAGAAGAGTTCCATGCTTTTGACCATGACCATCCCTAATTCAGTGCTGCTAGGCAATCCATTACTAAATTCTGCAGGGTAAACAACATTGTTTTCTGCAAAACTCATCTCAAGAGAAATAAACCTATAAATGAGATTGCATTACTTGTGTCTGTTAATTGCAAGTGACTGAAACTCATATTTCAATTGTGCATTAAGCAATGAGGCTCAGATAACCAAAAATGTTACCCGGATTCTTGCTCACCATCCATTGTCTCTACTTTTCATAGTGATATGCCAGCCTCATTATTTCATAGTGATGATGAACTTGGTAAGAACACTCGCTGGCCTCACTGGCAAAAGGAGAATTGGCCCCTACTATCCCTAGTTCCCCAAGCCCAGTGTGAGTCATGGGCCTATTCTTCCACCAGAAAAAAAAAAAAAATAATGCAGGAGAAGAGAATTACCTGGGATCCACAAGACCTCAGCAGCTGCCATGTCCCTCCTGGATGGGAGCAGGGGAAGACCTTCTTAGTAGGTGGGAAGGTGCTGAGCAAATAAATTATTAATTGTCCACTACAAGCTTGTGTTTGGGAGGCAGTGATAAAAGTGTTCTACTCAGTAAATATTTCTTTAACCTAAAGGGAATATAATGGTATTTCAGGGCTTTATAATATATAAGTATAGATAAATAGATGTCAGATAACCAATAACTGGTAAGAAATCTGATATAGGGAACCAAAAATAACAAATATAAAGTAACAAAATCAGTACTCATAAGAATATCCTATTGATCTCAGCACAGACATGTCATGTTTTAATTAAAATTGTGACATTTGCTTTGAATACCTATAGGAGGTCATCATTTAAATAAATATATATACATAGTTGTATTTAGATTTGTTGTGTTTAATTGCGTTTAGATTAACTTAGTTGCATTTGACAGAACCTTCCAATATTTTAAATAGGGATACACACTCACACATGTATACTTACAAATTATAAATATATAAAATTTATTTTACAAGTATTAAAATCCCAATTCAAAGTAACTTAAACAAAAAAAGAAGTCTGTCTATATGTTTTCATCATAAATAGCAGTAAGTCCTGCAGATAGTTGCAGCTCCATCAGAGAGTGGTTTGAGTTTTTCCTGACTGCTTTGGATTCTGATTGATAAAGAAATGCATTTGTCTCCCTCCTTCTCGTGATTGGATATTACTAATTTTTTAAAAACTTTTATTTTGATTAAATTAGTTTTAAGTTATAAATTTTTCTATTAGTTATATTTAACATGTCTTCATATAGTTATTGTTTAAATTTTCTGTTCTGGAATTGCCTGTACATACAATTTGCCCATTTCTCTATTTAATGGTGTGACTTTTTCTTACTTTTAGGGAATAACTTTAATTTATCAGAATTGAACCTTTGCCTGTTATTTTATTGCAAATATATTCTTGCTATGTTTGTTGTATGTTATCTCTGGCAATCCAAACTTTATTTTTATCTGCTCAAATCTATTATATTTGCCTTTATGATATGTTTAAATTATTTATAACCAAAAATTATTCAAAATATTCTTGTGTGGTTTATTCTGATAAATCATATTTTATTTTTCTAATGAGGTTTTTCATTCATCTGGAATTTACTTTTATATTATTTAAGTTGAATATCAAACTTTATTTCCTTCTAAATTGATACTCAAAAAATATTTATCAAATAATATTTATCAAATATTATCAGTCAAATAGTCAAAAAAGTATTTATCAAATAAGCCATTCTTTTCTCTGCAGAATGGAATAGAATCTCTAGCATATATTTAATTCTCATGTATACTCAAGCTTATCTGGGGCCCTCTGTTCAACTCTGTTGCTCTACTTGCTCATTCCTCTTTTTAATCAGTACATTTGTTGACAGTTTTAATATCTGGGGTAGGACAAATCCCCTTCTATTACATATCTTTTTCAGTATTTTCTTAGCAATGTTATACATGGTTCTTTAACATGGCATTTGATATCCATGTTTGTCTCTACAGTTTTCCCCCCTCTCTTTACCCTTCTGCTCTGTATGTTGGGATTCTGACATCTGTGGACTGTTTCACCCTGAATCTCTTGCCTCTTGTTTCCATTCAAGTTTGGCCAATGAGAGGCACTGACAGAAAATTGAAGGGCAGACATGTTATTTGTTCCCTCAGTTCCTTCCCAGCAGGGCTACCAGTCCCTCCTGGCTTCCTTCCTGTAGGCCACAGTTCTCCAGTGATCCTCTCCTGCAACTGTGGTTGGAATTCTGGTTGCAACTTCCTCTCCTGCCCCCGTTAGGCCTGGGAATGGTAATGTGAGAGCCAAGTGGCTTCACTGTCTCCTGTGGGTCCCTCTTCACCCTCTCCAAACCTTTGTAAATCATCCCTTTATTAAACTTTCCTTAGTTACTCCATTTTAATGTGCCATCTGTTTTCTGCCAAGAAGCTAATGATATCTAGGGAACTGTAGAAATGAACTCAGGAGGTACCACTGGGATTATTATAGGAATACATTAAATGTATGTAATAATTTGGGAGCATTTCTATGTTTGTTAGTGCATATTCCCCTTGAGAGCATGGTCACTTCTCATTTTTTCTTCAATGAATGTTTTTTAAGCAGTTTTTTTTTTTAATTCATGTTAGTTTATTTCTGGGAAGTTTATGAACAATGTTGCTATTAAGATTAGAATAATTTTGAAAATTTCCATTCTAACATGTTTCCGTCACTATAAAGGAAAGCCATTAAGTTATATATTTATTATGTATCTAAGTAATTTACTGTATTCTCTTATCGTTTATAATTGACTTTTTTTCTAACTCGTCATAATCTAGGTTTACAAACAACTCGTATGAAAATCATGATAATTTTATTTCTTGTTTCCAAAGGTTGGTACCATTTACTTTATTCTTTTGTTATGTAGCATGACCTATAAATGCAAAATAAAATTGAGAATAGTTATTTTTAGGAATGATTACACTCTTGTATTCGGTTTTATCATTGGTGACTGGTATTTTATCATTCATTAGGGTTTATTTTCCTTTTTTCTGTAAAACAATTCTTACCATTGTTATTCCCAATTTATTTTTGTTCTTAAAATCGGTTATTTTAATTCAATTATTTACCATAGTCTATCGCTACTGAGATGTTTTCTCTTTAGGATTTAACATTAGATCTTAATTTTGAAACATTTTGGCATCTCTGGAATAAACTCTATTTGGCCACAACATATTATTATTATTACTTTAGAACACTGGTGAATTCTATTTTCTAAAATTATAATCAGGATATTTCACTCTATATTCACAGGTGACCTAAATTTTATGCTATTCGTTCAAGCTTTTATTCTATTTATATTTATATTGAAAAGTGATATGTTTGCTTTCATTTCTATCTTGTTTTATGTTAATTTTTAGTATACTCCTTTTTTCTTGTGTTTTTCTACTTTTACGGGTTTAATCAAATTATTGTTGTGTTCTGTTTATTTTGATTTGTATTTAAATTGTCCCCTATCAACAATTTGAAAATAGTAAAATGTGTTTAACTTTCTTATTAAAACCCATACTTCTCTGTTTTGTTGAAAATAATAACACTTTGATCATTCCCCATAATGAGAGAATCTTAATATTTTACTTTCCCACTCCCTTGCACCATTTCTAAATCCTAGATTTTTTCAAATTACTTTAGAAATTTAATTTCATATTAAGTTTTTCCTTAGCGTATGCCTCTTCTCTTCTTTGTGTGTTTAACACCAACATTACATTTTGCAATCACTTTATCCTCACCCACATAAGCTCACCTACATACTTTCCTGGATTCACTGCTCACTACCTATTTATGGTATTCTTTATATTCTACTTGTTTTAGATCTGTATTTAAATTTACTATTATTTATGCTGGGGTATATCCTTAAGTAATTTTGAATGGAAAAATAAGTAGAATACTTTGAGTTTCTATGTATCCTGGAAATTTATATGAATGATAACCTTTCAGAAAGTAGAATTTTATACCACAGTGCTTTCTCCCTCACAAGTTTATAAATGTTATTCCACTAGCTTTGAGTGTGGCATATAAGAAGTCAACATCAAACTTGTTTCTTTCCCATTATATGTAAACTTCTCTAACTGTCTGAGAAATATATATATTTTTCTCTATCCACAGAGGCCAGAAATTTTGCAAATATACGTCTAGTTGTGGATCTTTTCATCCCCTCTGCATGGCATTTAGTCAGCCCTTTTGATCTTTTTTTTCAGATCTGGAAGCTGAAGATTATTGCTTTGATTATTGATTCCATTTCCATCTGCTCCTTTTGCTGCTTGGAATGCCGATGATAATTTGCATGTTATTTCTCCAGGGCTGTCCTCCGTGTCTCTTATCTTTTCAGTCATGATTTACATCTCTTAGGATTTCTCCTTTGTGTTGAAACATGGTTTTGCCATTTAATCTTCTGATCACAAACCCAGATTTTCACAGTATTGATTCCGTTTCCACTTTTCCTGGTGCAGCTTCTCCAGGTGGAGACACCTGCTTCAGCTTTCCAGCTATGTCTCCTTCCAGAGCTTTCTTAGCCTGCTCCTGTTACAAATGAGAGTCTCTGCAGCACACGCTTTCATCCCAGCTCTTCTGCAGTGGTGGACTGTCAGGCAGTGAAAGATACAAGAGTGTCTCCACCAGCAGATGGAAGCTGACAGGGCTGAACGGCATCCTTTAAACTGAGGCTTAGCCCAGAGTCTTCTCCAGTGTAGAGAACCATCCTTTCCCAGCTCCATGGAAAAGGAATAATTCTGCCCTACCTGCTCATTGCCCTCAGACAATTGGTGTCAGCAGGAAAAACATTTATTCTGGGGATGCACATAGCAAGAGGACAGATCTGTTCCTCTGTCTGCATTAGCTGGGGCGCTCCACCTGAATTAACTGTGAGTCAGAGGTTCTCACCATGGGCTTTCCAAAGAGTCAGTGCCACATTAAATGACTCAATCATCTTAGCACTGACAACAGTGGTGCCTTGAACTTGTATCTTCTCATCAGTGAATCTGGCCATACGTAACATTTACTGTCTCATCCAGATTTGTCATTTCTAGAGCAGATTTAGGCTAGTACTTTAGGGACCTAATAGCAGGAAGGTCATAAGGGTATATGATCAGGCCATTTTCACACATTAATGTTAATCTTTATTGTTTGGGGGAGGACTTCTTTCTCACTAAAACGTTATTCATTTTGTACAAAGTTCAAACATTTGAGAAATATACAGTGTACTAATAGGAACATTGTATATTTAGAATATTCTCATTGCTATAATCGCACATTCCCATCCTACTCTACCCACCCCACTTCCAAATCACCATTAACGATTTGATATGATTTTTCTTAAGGTTATTTTTCTATGCATCTACTATTATAATAAGGATAAAATTTATAGTCAAAAGTTTAAATATATGAAATAAAAATGAGTTATCTTTACTTTTATAATGAATTCGTATCTAGCTCTGAAACCTCAGCCTACCTAATGTACTGTGATCAATTTCAGGATTAAATATACTGATTTCCTGATGGACTCAGGTTTATGATTCAGTCACATGCTAGCTTATGGTTTATTCCCAGGTTTTTCTCTGCCTCCACTGTTCTCTCACTTATTCTGTGTTCTTATGGGTTTGCGAGCTTGCTGCCCAATAGGGTTAGTAAGAAGGAAGAGATCATTCTTTAGACTGGAGCCATTGTTAGGCAGCAGGACTCTGCAGATCTGTCACTCACATCTGCCCCCACATTTCCTAGAGCTTCCTCAGCTTTCAGCCCAGCTGGTGTTTTCTGCGTAGGGCTTCTTTGGAGATTTCCACCACATAGGCTGACAATCCATGAAGTGGGCTGTCTGCTCCTCACTGCTGCTATGATTTTACCCTCACACTATGATTCTGCAAATTCTTCGCAGGCCTCCTGGTCCTTCCTCTCTGTTACTTCTATATCTCACTCAGGAACAATTTAACTCTCTCTACTCCTTGTAGAAGCCAAAGGAAATGCTCTCCTATATCCTTTTTCTCCTATCTCCACAGCCAAAGAGCCATTTCTTCTGTTCTTTCATACCTTATTGTCCTTGAATACTTCAACTAGCTTCCCCCTTAAAGAATTACCTACAGGCTTCCTTACTCTTAGATCCTCTCAAACAACAAGGGGAAATCTGGTTTTCTTCTGTCTCCACTCCCATTGTGTGTGTGTGTGTGTGTGTGTGTGTGTGTGTGTGTGTGTGTGTATGTGTGTGTGTGAATGTCCATTAGTGGGGTAGAAGGCAGGAAAAAGCAACAAACTTAAACACTCCATTTTATCCCAATTCTCCCTCCTTCTTTGCCAAAGTCAGCTACCCTCTTTTCATGCTTTACCAACGCATCTTTCCTTTCACACTAGGAAAGAAGAACAAAACTAATAGTTGCCATAACAAATTATGGGCATCAAAATATTAGTCTATCACAAATTAAAACCTTACATAGCAATAAAACATACCAACACTTTATTGTTGCACTCTCAGATATGCAAAGATTCCAGTATACATAAGCTTTTTCCCTCACCCAAATTACACAAATATTGCATGGAATGTACTAAACAATTCTTCATAGTTTATTTGAAATTCAAATGTATCTGGGTATCCTGTATTTTATCTGGAATCTCTCAATAGTCCCTTATAAATGAATAGGCTCTTGACCAGCCTGCATTCTCATTCATCTGTATATTACCCTGTGGGATAAAACACGCACAGTGCCAGCTTTTCTTCTCTATGCTCCATTGTCTTCAGAATTCTAATTTGGTAATTCAGCATTTGGTTGGTTGGTTGGTTTTCAGTACCTTCAAGCAAATTTTCAAAATATATTTTATCTATTATCCACTTGGTCTCAGAGAGAGGGTTGACATTGAATTGCCTATCATATCTAGAAAACATGGGTTCCCTTGTTTATTTCTAAACCTGTTCCATACTGTGATCTACAAGGTGTCAAAGTGTTGCTACCCATGTGACCTCAGGAGTTATATTTTTGAACAAAACAATCATCCTAGAAACAAAGTAAAGTAGTAGGCCCAGCCCCAGGCACTGTACTGGCTGTGAGGGCTTCTCATTAAGGGAGGGTACCTCCAAGGACATAGTGTGTATGGCAGCCGATCTCAGAGGGATAAGTCACCTCCGGACTACTTCTAGCTCTTCTATTAAGCACTGAAACTTTGACCTCCAGAAAATCAATAAATCTTCTTCTCTCCTCCTCCCAAAATGTTTCACTAAACTTGAGAATTTGAGGACTCCTCCAGTTTCTGGTAAAGTATGGATTTTTCCGAAAAGACTGAACTGCTCTAGTGAAACCGAGGCTCCAAGCTGCACTCTACACACACAAATGGTTCCATCCAGAGTCCTGCTGATATATGCTATAGAGTCAAGGTGGGCAACCTCCCACTTGATCATACATCCTTCAGGTAACGTTAGACATTCAGCCACAGAAACAAAGGGATTGTTATAAAGCCATGTTCAATTCCAAAGTATGCCCTGTAAACTGCTATCTAATGTTAACAGACTGGTAACATTTCAAGGGTATGTTTTAACCACAGCTCCTTTACAATAAGATCATATTATACATTCTATGTTGCAATTTGATTTCATATCTTTGTGAAATCTTATGTACATACATATAGTCCTGTCTTATTCCTTTTAACATATGAAATGTTTAATTGCATTAATATGCCATAGTTTGACATTATGTTAAAATTCAAAATTGACAAAGTTTTTCTTATAGTCTTATAAAAAAAATCTTACTACATATATTTAATTTGATAGAATAATGTAACTGAGAAAAATGGTTTGTTTCTTCTAGTCTCTCAAATTAATATCTGGGCATATTTAAGCATTAGCAGACCAGCGGCAGCTTTATCAGCATTTATCCTGAAATTACATCCCAGTCATATTGCAAACCTGCACAGGCTACATGGCTCTGGGAGCCAGAGGGTTGTTCATTATTGTTTTCCTTGTCCCTAGTCGGCCTTCTTCACATTCCCTGTGGCAGCTACTCTAAGACGCTATGATCCCTTTTAAGCCTGCTTTCCCAGCTCTTCACACTAAGTTCTCAATATTGCCTTGTGTTCCACAGGGAAAACAGAAATATTTGAGCAGAACCCTCACCTTACTTTACTGCAACCTCTGACTGGCTTGAAACATTCTCATCCTTTTTGCTAGTGTCCTGTCTGAGCAAAAGTACTTGTCTTCTCCACCTGAACTCTATGAGATGGTCAGATGCCGCAAGAGAATTCAAATAAATGTGTAGATACCCAGTCGATAAACTACATGTAAAGTTAACATGAGTGCCTGGCCTGGAAGGCCTGAAATGGAAGAAAACTGCACATGGAGAGGAGAAAGGGGGGAAAGATAAACAATATATTAACAACACTACCCCGAAAATAACAGGACTTCCTGATATTAAAGAGTGAAATAAAGTTGGAGAATTCAAGCAGAGATCTCCTTCAGTGCCTAATAATACTTAACATTCTGAATGACAAGGGTGTGTGATATTAGCTGTGATTTTATAGAACTGAGACAATAAGAGGACTTCTCAAACAACAGAAAAAAAAAATTTTGTCCTTATTAAGCCCAAACCACAGATTACTTGTTCCAATATTAAAGATTATTTCTCCTTTTAAATGAGTACATGTATGATGTGAAATGTTCTTTAAAAGACATTGCAATTATCCAAATAAAGCACAGCGATACATTTTGGAAAATGTAGCCACACATCACAAGGTTATACACATTTCTCAACATACAGATTATATGTTACAGTATTTAAATATTAAGGGACCGGAATCCACTACTCTTTGTGGATCCTTAGGGAGCCTGTGTGAGGAGTTATTTGGGCTTGGCAGTCAAGAAAAAGTGCTTTGAAGTTAAGCAAACCTGGATTCTAATCCCAACTAGACCACTTGTACAACCTTCTACAGATTACTGAAATGACTTATAAGTACTTTTCCAAGCCATGGTTTTCTCCTGCATAAATAGGGCTGAGAACATCTACCTCATAGCATTGGCGTTATGAAGATGAAATAAGCTCATATAGACCACATAGCTCAGCATATAATTCCATTAATAAATAGTAGCTATTATGATTAGTATCATTAGAAATAATTATTTAAAACTAACATCAGTTGCATATACATGGTTTAAGTGTGTTCCGATATGTTTTAAAAGTTTGTTTAAATTTAACTCAGTTTCTGAAATACTAACTAGGCTATGACTTCCTTTATTTACTAAATGTAAAATGTATTTAAGTGGGATCAGACTAAAATACACATTTTATTTATGCGTATTTGATGATGAAGATTTATAACTTCATATGTGTATTGCTATACATGTATTGCTATTATACATGAGGAAATACCACGATATAGAAGCAGAGAGCCTGGGAAGCCCCAGAGGTTAGCAGCAGAAGATAAGTGGAGCTAGAGAGAGAATAGTAGCACCTTAGAATAGCACAAGCTGTGATGATGCTCCAGGAACATGCATTTGAAGGCAGTTATGTTTCCTCTAATTTTGTTTTACTTTTTCATGCTTGCCATCCCTGAAAATATTATTAAAAAAACTAATAAGGCTTTCTAAATGACTGGTGTTGGTAAGTAGTCAAATATTTAGAGGCCAACGGTCTTTAATCACCTAAGTGCTTTTCTATGAATACTGATGTGACAAAGGTTCATATTTAATTGATTCCAAAGTGACTCTATGCTAAGTAATGGTTCACTAAAGAATTTGAGAGCCTAGTTACTACCAATTAAAAAGTACACATCTTCTTCTATGTCAGAGTTGTTACCAGACGTGTCAGAGCAAGTCACCAGGTCAACAAGACAAGGTGGACAGAAGTAGTAAACATAAGCATGTCTGTATGCATTTGTGCAGCTGTGGGAGGAAAGATGGAGAAGCAGCGACTTCCAATTATTTTTAAAATTTGTCTTATAGATCTAAGTAAATTTCCTTTGAAAGGCCCTAGTTGACTTCATCAAAATGTTACATTTTGAGGATTAAATACAAGAAAGCCAGCGTAATCTAAGTTTACCAATTACTGATACTAGAAATAAATGTTTTGTTGCAGCATAATGAATCCGAACAAGGCCTGTGTAGTCCTCTAATCTTGCTAAAGGGCACATATATATTTCAGATATTCATAAATATTTCCTCTACTATTAGCACTTTTTATTATTGCAAGAGCTAAATGTAAATCTCAGAAGCTCTATTCCATTAATGTGTAAAATTACCATCTTCTCACATCGACCTATCACTGCAATCATTATTCTAACCAGAAGCATGCTAGAATGGTTTGAAAGCCAGAAGAGAGTAATCAGTGATTTAAATCACTTGTCCTATTACCTATTCACAGAAACCACCAAGAGAAGTTAGTTGACTTTTAGGAGAATCAGAGCAGCTGGAAAGAAAGATAAGGAGACAGGAAGTTGTGGTGAATGCCTATTTTCACTGAGCTTTTCTGTGAAGTTTAATGAAAAGAATGTTGTATTCTTTAAAGACATTTTAATTCCATTTTCATAAAGGTGGAGGAGAGTATGTATGATGCCATTTCTTTAACAAATACTGTATTTATGATAAATATTAAATTCAGCCAACGTTGCCAAGTAATCATCCACCTAGGTAATGCATTACTATTATGTTTAGCAAAGTCCTTCATATATGAATTTAAATTATCTTAAATCACACAGCTGTTGTATGTTTCACATTTAATTATTGCTTTGATGATTATAGTAAAGAAAGGCTCTCCTCTTATACCTCCCCAGACACATATAAATAAACATAAGCATGGGAATATATATAGGCATGTCAGAAGAACACTAATATACTTTAAAAGTTTAGTTTTGCTGTTTACAGATGAGTACAGTAGCTTTTTGAAGTGCATTCTTCTAAAAAAGACAATTCTTCAACCCATCCCAAATAGCAATTAAACTTTTGAGGACTAATGACATGAAGAAAACAGTCACTCTCTTTAGTTTTCCTAAATGTTTTAACTAAATGGAAAAAAAAATAAGTGACGGTTTGGTCAGTTAAAACTTTTAAAAAATTATTTCTTTGTTGAGAAAGATGTTATTATTTTATTCAATATATAGGTTTCATGGACCTAAGACGTGCTGCATAATATTCTCAACATTGTAAAAGGTAATAAAGCTGTCAGCTCTAAGGAACCTCATCATTTGTTGAGAAAAATTAAAAATGAAATAATTCAAGAACAACAGAAACCGTAATATCAGGCACCAAAATAATTGCAAATGTTTCACAATTATAAAAAGGGAGCGCTTACCATGAAAATTCAGTATGTTAGAAGTCTTTAAGGAGAAGGCTGGGTTTTAATGATTTCCTAAAAGAGATTTAGGATTAGAAAGGAAGAAAAGATGGCATGCTTTCCTTTCTCAAGATTACTATTTTTGTTGAATATTTTCTATTTTCCCTTCAAATATACATTCACAATATCATATTCTAGTATAAACCAGAAACAATATACTCTTGATATCTGAAAGAGATATACTGGAGAACTTTTTAATCTTCAATCCACAAATGCTGCACTACTGTAAGATGTTTCCCCATAAAATAAAGTAAAATTGATTAAGTATTTCAAGTTGCCCTTTCTGTACCTTTATAAGATTTACTGTATAGAAGAAAACTTTGAGAAACACTGCAATTGGGAGTACTGGATTCTCTTTCTGGCTCAGAGAAGGGGACACATTCATAGAACGACCTCACCAAGATGACAAATGATGGACCTTTGGGTTACTCAACAGTTTAGAAAAATCTCTCTCCTAAGGGTTTGCACTATAATCGACGGTGAAAAAATTAATGTGCACATCTGAATCATGCCTGGAGCTTTTCAAAAATACAGATGCTGCATATGCCCTCTTGCACATTCTGAGGAGGACCGAGACATTTGCATTTTTTTAAAGATTTTTTAATTGAGACTGTGTCTGGCTCTGACACCCAGTCTGGAATGCAGTGGTGCAATCACAGCTCACTGCAGCCTTGATCCTCCCATCCTAGCTTCCTAAGTAGCTGGAACTACAAGTACACACCACCATACCTGACGAATTATTTTAGTTTTTGTAGAGATGAGGTCTCGCTATGTTTCTCAGGCTGGTCTCCAACTCCTGGGTTTAACTGATCCTTGTACCTCGGCCTCCCAAAGTGCTGGGATGACAGGTGTGAGCCACTGCATTCAGCCTTCAAAGTTTTATAAAGGGATTCTGATGTTCACCTACTAGAACCACCTACTAAAACCACCTACACAGGTTGAGCATTCCTAATCCAAAAACCCAGAATCCGAATGTTCCAAAATCTGAATTTGTTTCATGCAGAAAATTATTTAAAATGTTAATATTAATAAAATTATCCTCAGGCTATGTGTGTAAGGTTCATATGAAACGTAAATAAATTTTGTGTTTAGGTTTGGGTCTCATCCCCTGAGATATCTCATTAGGTACATACAAATATTCCAAAATTTGAAAAAATCCCAAATGCTTCTGGTCCCAAGAATTTCAGATAAAGGATACTCAACCTGTACTAGAAAAGTGATCTGCCCAAATTGTCTCATTAAATCATATTAAAAATAGGTGTCTCAGAAGTATATGCAAGAGAAAATTCTGATGAGTAATTAACCCCATTCTGACATGTCAGAATTTCCTCTTGCATATCCTTCTGAAACACAAATCACTTTAAATATCTGCATTGAAACAGTTACTTGGTTATCAAAATCAGGACAATTAAATATCAAATGCTTCCCATAAGAGATGAGTAGGTATAAAATGTCTAGAAACCTCGGAGTTATGAGGTAGTCATGAAACTATTATTTCAGTCTTTAAGAATTGTTTTGTGTATACTCTGAACCAGTGTAGAAGACCATGTAGTGTTTTAGAGAGATAAGACAGCTTTATATTTACATTTATTCATCATCTGTAATCATATAGTGAATAAAACCAGCTCACAGAAGAGTATTTCAAAAAGAATTTGGGTGAAATTGTATTTATTTAGGCTAACCTTGTTTAAGGAGCCCAATTGTTGCTTCTTATATATTATAGAAGTTCACCTAAGTTAAATGCCCATCTCCTGCCAATCTTAGTAATACTCATTCACTTTCCCTCCGTGTTTATCCACAAGAAAATTACTTTATAAAAAATATGCTGCTGATTCTCTGAAAAATGAAAATCTGTTTCATTGGAAATATTAGTACAAGAAATTTCTCAGGAAGTCTATAAATTTTTTCTCAAAAAAATATGTTTTCTTGGAAAGGAATATTAAATATTTAAATATGTAAACTCTTTAAATATTAGCGGGTAACATTAATTGAAATTCAAAAACAAATAACTCAGGAAAAATTTTTATTAAATTGATGTATTAGTTTGCTATGGCTATTGTAACAAATGACCACAAACTTGATGGCTTAAAAGAACACACATTTATTCGCATACAATTCTGAAGACAGAAGTTCAAAATCAGTTTCAGTCCGGGCACAGTGGCTCACGCCTGTAATCCCCGCACCTTGGGGAGCCGAGGCATCTGGATCACGAGGTCGGGAATTCAAGACCAGCCTGACCAACATGGTGAAACCCCGTCTCTACTAAAAATACAAAAATTAGCTGGACAAGGTAGTGCGTGCCTGTAGTCCCAGCTATTTGGGAGGCTGAGGCAGGAGAATCACTTGAACCCTGGAGGCGGGCGTTGCAGTGAGCCGAGATTGTGCCACTGCACTCCGGCCTAGGCAGCAAAACGAGGCTCCATCTTAAAGAAGGAAAGAAAGAAGGAAAGAAAAAGAGGGGGGAGGGGAGGGGAGGGGAGGGGAGGGGAAGGGATGGGAGGGAAGGGAAGGGAAGAGAAGAGAAGAGAAGATCAGATCAGTTTCACTGGGCTGAAATTACGGTGTTGGCAGGACTGCACTTCCTGGGTAGGGTCTAATGGAGATTGGTTTTCTTAACCTTCTCTAGCTTCTAGAGCTGCATTTCCTGCATTCCTTGGCTCAGGGTTCCTTGGCTCCATCTTCAAGGCCAGCAGCAAAGCATCTTCAAATCTCCCTCCTCTATAGTCAAATCTTTCTCTGCCTCCTTTTTATGAGGACTTATGTGATAACATCTAAAACCTACCATAATTATCCAGGACAATCCCCCCACTCAAAGGATTGTGGATTATCTCTTAATTTAATCACATCTGCAAAGGCCCTTTTTTCATACAAGGTAGCATTTACTGGTTCCAGGGATTAAAACCTGTTCATCTTTGAGGGCCATTATTAGCTGACTAGAGTTGAAAAGATGATTCTTTATTTATTTAGAAGAATAAACAAGTAATAACAGATGAAAAAAATTCAAACAACAGCAAGGAGGGGAAATTTTTTTACTGGGTACTAAAATATACCTTAAACCTGCAATAATTACAGAAAAAGGCACCAGTGTAGGTTTCCAGCTAGCCTTCTTGAAAACATGATAAAAGAATGTGTGATTTTTTTAAAAAGCATGATCAACCAATGAGGAAGAAATGGATAATTCAGAAAATATTGAGTTATGCTTTTTTTAAAAAAAATAAAGACAAATTGTATCATTGACACCATACCGTAGGAAATATTTTAGAATGCCTAAAGGGTTAAATAATAAGTGGGAATAAAAAAGAAGTATGTTTGACAAAATTTAGGTAGACATTTAACTTGGTCACACACGAGGATATTTAACTTAGTCACACTAAATATAAAGGTAGAGGGAAAAGGCTATAAAGGCCTGAGTATACAGTCACTGAGTATACAAAAATTTTAAAAGATTAGGAGAAATACCTAATGTAAATGATGGGTTGAAGGCTGCAGCAAACCACCATGGCATGTGTATACCTATGTAACAAACCTGCACGTTCTGCACACGTATCCCAGAACTTAAAGTATAATAAAAATAAATAAAATTGTTCAAAGATTATCAACCAAAAGTGTAAACAAAATGAAAAATCAGCAATAAATCTGAAAAATCTTTGCAGTAATGTTATAGACAAGTATTTCATAGTCTTAATATAAAATTGGTCCTACATATTAATAAAAAAACTAGAATGGGAAAATGCACAAAAATTGCATAGCTAGAAAAATAAATACAAATATTTAAAACAGATGAAAATACGATTACTCATGAGAAATCAAATAAATGCAAGTTATGGTTTTTAAAAGTGCCACTTCTTGCCTATAAAATTGCATTATTTTTGAAGAATAAATACTCAGTGCTGCTCATAGTATGTAAGACAGGTATTCTCAAATGCTACTCACAGGAATTCAAATTGTAATCTTTCCAGAAAGATGAAATTTTTCAACACGTATCAAGTCTTTAAAAGGTATATTATCTTTAATCCTGTAATTCCACTTCCTATAGTGAATTCTAAAAAAATAATTAAAGGTATAAATTTTTATCTACAAATATGTTCCTAGTAAGGCTTCTTAAAATAATGTTAAAACGTGAAAAGAAGATATACTATAAAACAGAAGTGGTTAAATAAGCCAGTGTGATCCATGTGACCAAATAATATACAAATATTCAGTAGTTATGCCATAAATAGACTTTCAGTGGGAGTAAAATACATATTGTAAACCACTAGGTTATTATTATTACATAATTCAAAATTAAATACATATCCAAATAGAAACTCACATTGTATACAGTTGTCAGAATTTTACTACACAAATCTTATGTGGACAAGTGAATTCCATCAATAATAAAATTTAATAACAACTGTAATATTGGCTCTAAAGAGACAGAGACTAAGAATAGGGGATAACTGAACCTCAAGGGAAGTCTCCGTAGATACTTATGAAAGGCCTCTCTGAGGTGATGACATTTAACCTGAGATCTGAAGGAAAAAACTAAGAGACCCAGCAAAGAGTCTATTGAACAGCATTCTGGGCAGAGGGACCTGCCCATTCACAAGCTTTATGGGAGAGAAGAATGTAGCAGATTCAAGGCTTTAAAAAGAGGCCAGTGGGGCTGGAAGGAGTGGGTAAGAGCAGAGAGGCTGGGGACATGTTGGCAGAGGTAATAAGCACGCAGATGGCATAGCCATTCACGCTACTGTGGTACTTATACCTGATGTTCATGGTTCCAGTTATTTAATATGCCATATTTGTGAATATCAGTATTCTTCAACTAAATATCAAGATTGATCAATACTTTCGGTCCAATGTTAAAAAAAAATCTCATTTAACTATATTATTTCCCCATTTTATAAGCTTTGAAAGTACCTTAGCCAAGATCACATTGCTAGCAAGTGGCAGAGTGGAATTTGAACTAGGGTTATGACAACGCAGAGCCTGTCCTTTTAGCCACTCTTTCTTGGTGCTTTTCTAGAATATTAACACATAATTTAAAGATTGTTATTTTGTGATGAAAAAAAAACAAGTACTTCACAGAGCCATTTACTAATTGTGTCATTTTAACTGTGTGTCTCTAGGCCTCACTTATTTTTATCTCTAAGTAGGGTCAGTCACACACTCTTACTTTACAAGTAACTAATAACATACAATATATGCAAATGTTCTTTGTAAACTGTAATGGAGGACAGTTATCATACCTCTAAATGAAAGGAGATTGACTCAGTGTCTGGTGACTACATGAAGAAGCTCACAGATGAAGCAACATGCATAAAATAATTTTTAAAAATTCAAGAAATAAGTTCACAATAATAACTCTAAAGACTTGCTTCAAATTACAAAGCTCCGTTAAATCAATTGTAACATTTCTGTTATTACCACATTATATGGCCATAATGAAGATAATAAATACCTGGCATTTACAGAGTTTCTTTCATCTAAATATTCCCATAGAGCTCAAACAACTTTATGTGCAAATTGATTATGAGCTATATACAGGTGAGACAGAACAGGAGTATAAATCACACTAACAACAATGTGGCTCACTCTTCTTTCCACCAGTTTCTTTCAAGTTTACTAATTGATGGATGAATAAGAGCCAAATGTTTTTTAAAATAATAAAAATGGAAGATAATTCTAACAAGCCTCTTATCAACGGCCCACATTCTAGCAAAAGGAGTTAGAAAGTCGAATAGTTTGATATTATAGTCATCATTTGTGTTTTAGTGATTAAGACAGGGCTATACTTCAGAAGAGAGATCAGCTTTATAAATCACCTGAATATGAGAGAAAGCACAGAACTTCCTTCCTGGCAGGCCATGGCAATGCTGGTCTATGTCTGTCTCCTGGCATTTTCCCAAACAATGAGAACCAAATGTTGATGCTTTCATTCTTTCATTGTTTTGTGTTTCAAAAGGCAGAGTCCAATTCTCACCTCATAATCTCAGTAAAATAGTACATGAATTCTAATGTTACTGGAATACTTTTAATTATGCTTGGAACAACCATGTGTGAATCCACTTTTTTAACAGTAAGTTATATAAAATCTAAATGTAGGTCAAGTATTTCTGATAAAAATTTAGCATCCAAATTGAGATGTGCTGAAGGTGAAATAATGCACACAATATTTCAAAAATTATTAAGAAAAAAAGAATGCATCCCAGCACCCTGGGAGGCCCAGGTGGGAGGATCACTTGAGCCCAGGAGTTTGAAACCAGCCTATGTAACAAAGTGAGACCTTGTCTCTATGGAAAAAAAAAAAAAAAAAAAGCCAGGCATGGTGGCATGTGCCTGCAATCCAAGCTACTTGAAAAGCTAAGATGGGAGGGTCAATTGAACCCAGGAGTTTGAGGCTGTAGACAGCTGTAATTGTGTCACTGCACTCTAGCCCCGAAGACAGAGTGAGACTCTGTCTTAAAAAAAGAAAAAAAGAAAAAGAAAAGAAAGTAAAATATTATATTAACAGTTTTTATTTTTATATTGAGTACAAGTTGAAATGATAATGTTTTAGACATATTAGGTTAAATAAAGTATATTTTTAAAGCTGTTTCTCTTTAACTCATTTTTTAATGTGGCTATTATGATATTTTAAATTGCATGTGCAGCCCTTATGATATGTGATTTGGACAACTGTTTTGGAGGTTTGAATTTTATTTCCATCTTCCTGCATATCCTCATGATGGCAGGAATCAGATGTCACTCAGAGAACTCAACCCAGCTGAAGAATGCAATATATATTTTCAGTGTTGGCTCGAACACTGGGATGCAGTCCTTCTATCCTTGCATCATTGTCCCACTCTCTGGGCCCATCCTTTAGCTTCCGGACCTTTATCCTATCAGTCTCTTGGCCCTTTTTTGGCCTCTATCAATGTCTTCAGCTGCCCACACTCGCCTTTTACAATCCTAGCTCTTTGCTCCTGAGTCCTATTAACCCACTCATAGACAATCCATTGAACTCCCTGTAGAAGCTGTTGAAACCCTTTTCCAGGTCTTCCCAAGTTCCCTGGCCCTTACCCACACACCAACAGATTGAGAGAAATTCAAGGCCAACGGGTTTCTTAGCTCCCTTCCTCAAAGACTTCCTCAACCTCAAAGACTTCCTAAATCATTCCTTGACCACATCTTTTTCTTTCCATTTTTTTCTTCACTCCAAATCCAATGACCGGCTCTTCACCCATGTATCTCCTTCCTCATTCTAAGTGGCTAGGCTTAATCAGCCATCCCTCCTCAGCCTCTCATTACTTCAACTTCTTCCTGCCTGTTGATGACCTTTTACCCCTTCAAATGAGTAGGCCCTGACCCTACTCCTGGACACAGCAGGGAGAGTGACCTAAGAAATAGTCTTCTTCGGCTTCTCTGAGCCCAGGTCCTTTATCCAGGCTACCAGGAGAGTCACATGTTCCCATTCTACAATTCAAGGTTTCCTCCAATCAGTAATACTGACTAGTAAGACAGTTAGTGACCTTATTTTATAAATATATGACTTCTAATCGAATACTGATTTCATCCCAAAACAGAAAGTAAGGTAAAAAGCCTGCAGTACCAAGAAAAATCTCAGAATACAAGCTTATATTTTTGTGTTTTTGCAAAGCTCCACAAGCATCCCTCCTTTGTTCTGTCTTTACTCTCTCCTGGTTCCTGTCCAGGACGTCCTCCCAGGTTTCTGTGCTGGAACCAGATCAGACCCACACTTCCTGCCATTATCATGTCATTATAATACCAGGAGTGGCTGGTGCCCAGGCTCCCTTGTTTAGCCCCTCTTCAGTCCTTCCTTGGAGATAACCTTATTGCTAGTTGGTTTCCCTCCAAGTGTGTGCACACCACATGTGACCAAAACTGCTGTGATAAAAACTACTTAGAGCCAGATATAGTTTTCTAGCAGTTATCTGATGCCCACTGATGTTAAATTGACCAATTTTCCATTCTTCTTATCCTTTGAGCCTGTTTTCTTTTTTTTTTTTTACCAGAGATCTACTACTTTCATTTGCTTACATCTGTGTGTTTCTCCAGCAAGATGATAACTAATTTTATGTGTCATTAATTCTCTGTGATGCTCCCTTCATTCCTTCTCCACCTACACACGCATTCTAGGCATATTCCCAGAATTCGCCCTCTGACCTATTTCCTTCTCTAGCTCCTGTCTTACCTCTTGCCTTTTATTAACTCCTCAACCTCATGTAATCTGAGTTCCTCCCTCATTTCTCTAGGGAAATTGCTTTTCTATATTATTAATATCTACCTGATTAGCAAATTCAAGTCTTCTTCACATTCTTCATCTACTCAGTTTATCTTCTATTCATAACTCATTCTCTTAGCTTTCTTGATAGGAAATACTCCTAGTTTCATAATTGGGCTTAGCCAGCACCTATTCTTCAGCCAGACTTTCTGTAAATATACCTCAGGGTTCTAGGCTCTCTCTTTGCCTTCTACCCTCTATAACTTAATTATTATTGCTCTGTAATAATTATTACCAAATATGCTCCCCATTTCT
Source organism: Homo sapiens (assembly GCF_000001405.40). Classification (NCBI taxonomy): domain Eukaryota; kingdom Metazoa; phylum Chordata; class Mammalia; order Primates; family Hominidae; genus Homo; species Homo sapiens. The sequence continues at coordinate 36,012,590 of NC_000002.12, forward strand.
GATTCAGTCCATGCATCTTTAATTACATGTGGAACATCATTCCATGGATAACCTATAGGCATTTGAAAATTAATGTATACACCACTGAACACACCATATGCTACTAGTTCTTCCTCTTTACTCCCAAACTTCGTCTGTTATATTCTGTATCTCAGTAAATAGAATCACCCTCCCCCCTGTATCCTTCAGGCTCAAAAATTTGGAGACATCCTTAAGTACTTTATATTTCTATTAAAATGTTTTCTTTCCCTTCTCCATCCAAGCATAAAATCCTATCAATTGATTTTTGAGGTATCTCTTATTCTCAGTCCTTCAATCTGGTCTCATTGACGTTGTCCTAGATCCAGCCATCATTAAAGCTTATCAGGGGCATTCTAAGAATTTCCTAAGCGCTCTCTCCTCTTTCACCCTGTCACCAATGTTAGCTCTAAACCTAAGCCCTATCATCTTATATATCACTCCCCTTCCCAAAACATTCAATGGTTCCCAATGACACATAAAATGAATATGCTTGATGAATTGGATGCAGCAGATTTTCCACATTGCCTCTCACTGTGCCATCCCTGTTGGAGCTGGTGCTGTGGTCACATATGCATGCATTGCAAACATTTCCTACAATTTCCTGACTGTGCCTTTCCCATGATGTCCCCTGAGCCTTCAATACTCTGACCTCATTTCCCACTATTGAATTTCTACAGTCTTTAAGCAATGCTTCCTCTATCAGGTCTGCTAAGGATTCCTTCAGACAAAGCTAACCTCTTGATTCTCTTTTCCCTATTGCACGTTCTACCTCAACTTAATTCTCACAATAGGCTGTAGTGTTTCTTCTCTTTGTGACAGTCTCCAGTGAATTGTGAGTTCCTAGAAGCAGAAGCCATATTTCATTCAACTTCATATCCCTTGCAGTGCTCTGTCAGAGTACTTCCTCTGAGTAGTCAGATACAAAATAAAGGTTTACTTAGTTGTTAAGAAACTAGATTGCAACAGAAGACAATCTTCCTTTAGAACTTATATGACTCTAAGACGAGTTCTAATATTTGCCACGCTGGTGAGGGTGGTGGATTAATATCCTTCTTTAAAGCTAAACGAACACTCAGAAGCCCTGAGTGTGGCATAGCTTTTGAAGATTAGAATCACTTTCCATTGAGAAAGCCTAGCTTTTCCTATATTCCTTCCCCTTCTCTTTTTGTCATTTTAAGTAAAAAAATGGAATTGCATAAAATCTCCAAAAGTCACATTAAAAAGTAAAAATATGTATACTTCCTATGACTGAACTCACAGGAGCTGTCCTTCAGATAATATTAATATCTTGGGTTTCTTTATATTATGTCCTTTTACTACTATTCAACCAATATATACTAAGGACATGATATGACCCTAACGTTATGCATAGCATTTTGGTGATTGAAATAATGCAAGATACAGACCCAGGTGAAAGTTAGTAAAGAATTTCCCATGGAACTGAGCCTTGGAAAAGGCTCAGGGCATGAACAGATAGATGGATAGATGGAGAAAATGGAAAGGGCTTTCCTAGATGGAGGAATAGAAAAGAAACAATGAGCAAAGGCAAACAAACAATTGTAACGTGTGTTATTAAAGGGTGGAGACAATCAGGTAGGCAGACTGATCAGAATAGATGGTTTATCCTAAAACAATAATAATATATTAGTACTAACCTTCAGTGAAATCAGATGAAGGAGTACAGTATGTAAAACAAACAGAATTGGAGCTACTACCATAAAGAGAGGAGGGAAATGAGAGATTGTGACCTGACTGCTTGCTGAGTGGCCTCTGACAACCCTCTCCTCACAGTCCCAGGCCCTCCCTCGAGCTCCTCTCAGTGTAACTGGAAAATCACCAGCCAAGTGAAAAACAGAAAATAAGATCAAATTGGTAGAATGGGGGCCAAATTATGGGGAGCCATGTTACCTGATCTTAGGATCAGGTAATTCAGGAAAGAGAACTCTTAATTCAGTTCTCTTTCTCATACTGCACATATTGGAGCTTTATAATTTGTATGCTAAATAAATCTCTCTTTGTGTCCACATGGCTTGTTCCATGCTCTGTACACATCTAATACCCCCCAAAATTTTAAAAAACTTTAAACGAATGGATAAATGAATGGCTGAGTCAATACCAGCCTCCACTGAAGTAAACAATGTTTTCCCAAAGTCTTCGTCAATGTTAATAGTTTTCTGCAATCTAGTTTATCCCCACCCACTGCCAGCAGGAAATTAAGCTTTGGACTTGAATGCACAAGACTTAGGCTGAGGCAGCCTTACCAGAAGACTCCACTGTGACTCCGCTTATATCAGAGCTTAAAGATGCACATCCAAGGGTTTTATATAATGATTCCCAAAAGGGAAAATAATCCCAAAGCACAGTTATTTCCCAATGCCTTAATAATCCACAAGCTTCTTAAAGGTACAGGGCTCTATGTTAGCTACTTGACAGATCTCAGAGGAAATGCAGATCCTTTATTAAGAAAGATATTTGTTCATTTAAATAAATTAATTAAAAAAATAAACAGTGAGAAAGAAATACACCTCCAGCACAATGTGGTCCCAGGTCTAGCAAAAATTTCAGCACATACAAATAACTTTAGTGTGTGGGATAGACATCTGGGAGCGGGCTTTAAAGGATGACAATGGGCTGTTTTCTATTACGTTCTTGTAACCTGTTGGGCCACAGACACATATGCTTGTGTTCTTTCAACCTGGAGATAATACAAGTAGAGAGGCATCATGATTAAGAAAGAATTAATGCATCCAGGGATAGGGCCAATAAAAACTATAGGTTTTGCATTTCATCCAAATAGAAAATTTCAAAAACCTCCTAGATTTATAAGGAAAGAAAAGCAGCAGTTTGGTTTAAAAAAAAGAAAATAGGCCAGGCGCAGTGGCTCACGCCTGTAATCTCAGCACTTTGGGAGGCCGAGGCAGGCAGATCACAAAGTCAAGAGATCGAGACCATCTTGGCCAACATGGTGAAATGCCATCTCTACTAAAACTACAAAAATTAGTTGGGCGTGGTGGCGTGCACCTGTAGTCCCAGCTACTTGGGAGGCTGAGGCAGGAGAATCACTTGAACCTGGGAGGCAGAAGTTGCAGTGAGCTGAGATCACGCCATGGCACTCCAGCCTGGTGACAGAGCGAGACTCTATCTCAAAATAAACAAATAAACAAATATTTTTAAAAGACTGCCATCATTTTTAGGATACCTCAATCTTCCCCTAAGTAACTGTTACCCCACTATTGGTCTCTTATGTGTGAGAACAAAATGAAAAAGCCATGCAACTGTAATTATAGTTTTTAAAAATTCCTTCTTTTTCTCTTTTACTTTGTATGTACTTAGGTTTTTCTTACTGTATAGCTTATAATCCCCTATATTTTGATTTCTGACTAATCAATCTCATTCTCAGCTAGGACAAAACATTTATTCAACAATGTTTTATGAGGCATCTACTTGGTGCCAGGCAAGATGTTAGTTGTAGAGGATACACAAATTTTAAATTTTATTGAATTTTAAATGAATAATTACAAACAAACATGCAGAATCCTTACTTCTTTTCAAATTCAGAGTCTAGGACGGGAGACAAACATCCATCAGATAATCATAAAAACAAATATAATGTCACAATTTTCACATAAGATATATGGGATCATGTAAGGATAACGGGAATCCACCTCTTTGGTGAATTCACAGGAGTGTCCCTTAAAATGTAACATTTGTGCTTAGAGAGAAAGGATGTATAGAAATAAACTAGATAAGAGAGTAGAGTGGAGCAGGGCATAGTAAGGATGAAAATCATAACCAGCAGAAAAGATGCTGCTCTCAAGGTTCTCACTAGGACCAGCGGGTTAGTACAGAGATGGCAGGAGAGTGGCATGGTTCAGGAAGAGACTGAAGAAATTAGTAGCAGACAGCCATGGCACGCAGCACATTGTAGGTCATGACATGAATTTTGGTTTTATCTTAAGTACAATGTGAATCTTGTGGGAAGTTTCCAGAAGTCAGGGATGAAGTGCCATAATCAGATCTACTTTTGGAAAAAGTTGCTTTGGTTGCATTATTTAGGGGCAGGAGAGCTTTAAGGTAATTCAGAGATAATAACAGTTTGGACTAGAGTTGCAGTTATGAAGATAGAAAGTAGGTGAAATGTAAAGACATACAGAAGGAAAATCTACACAACACTGACAATAGGAATTGAGGGAGAGAAAAGTATCAAGGAGAGACAAAGACTCTGCTGTATAAAAGTAAATGGATTTCAATAATGAGATAACACTACACACCTATTAGAATAGCTAAAATCCAAAGCTCTGGCATCACATGCTGACAAGAATGTGTAGCAATAGGAACTCACATTCATTACTGGTGGAAATGCAAAATGGCACAACCACTTTGGAAGACAGGTTGGCAGTTTCTGACAAAGCTAAACATAATCTTAACATATGATCCAGGATTACACTCCCAGGTATTTTTCTAAATGAGCTAAAGAATATGTTCGCACAGAAACCTATACACTAATGTTTATAACAGCTTTTATTCATAATTGCCAAAATGTGGAAGCAACTAAGATGTCCTTCAGTAAGTGAATGGGCATACAAATTGTAGTACATTCATACAATAGAATATTCTTTAGCAATAAAAAGAAATGATCTATCAAGGAACAAAAAGACATGAAGGAAACATTAATGCATATTTCTAATTGAAAGAAGCTAATCTGAAAAGGCTGCATGCTCTATAATTTCAATTACATGACATTTTAAAAGAAGCAAAGCTATGGATACAGTAAAAAAAAAAAAAAGTGATTGCCATGGTTCAGGGTTTGGGGAAGGGATGGAGGGATAAATAAGTGGACCATGGGGGATTTTTAGTGGAGTGAAGCTATTGTGAATGACAATATAAGGTGAATATATGACATTGTACATTTGGCAAAACCAGTAGAATTATGCAGTACCACGAGTAAATCCTAATGTAAACTATAGACTCTGCTTAATAATAATGTATCAGTATTGGTTTATACATTATAACAAATGTACCACATCAATGCAAAATAATAATAAGGTTAATTAAGTACAGAAGGAGAGGGTATACATGGAAACTCTCTGTACTTTCTGCTCAGCTTTTCTCTAAATCTAAAATTTCTCTAAGAAATAGCCTATTCAATTAAAAAAAAACTTCAAATACAGTTTTTTTTAAAAGACGACAGATGGCAATAATGTTTCCTTAAGTGAGAATGACTGGAAAAAAGCCACCTTGGGAGAAAGAACATTATATTTGTTTCAGATTCGTTGAGTGTAAGGTACCTTAAAATATCTAAAGGACATGTGAAAGAGAAGTTGAACTTCAGGTCTAGAGTTCAGAAGAAAGGTATAAGCTAAAAATATAAATATTAATCATTTGCAAATGGATGGTATTCGATGCTAAAAACAGTGATGGAATCTCCCACGTGAGATTACACTGAAGCACTACATGCCTCAGCCTCCATGTCTTGCTTTTGGAACTGACTACTATTAACATAAGGGACAAGAAAGGAAATAAGAGAGAATGGCTGTATTTGGTATTGGGTTTGTTCATGTTTTTGTTTTGTTTGAGTTTGTAAAAAGCATGTGTTGGAGAAATTTTGGAAGAAAGACTCTTAGAAAACTGGCCAAGAAATAAAGAGAAAAAGATGAGCCTGGGGACCAGAAATAAGTCTCTCTCAGCTAAAGCAAAAGTCACAGAGGAGAAAATACCCGTGGTGAAACCCAGTTAAAGAACTAGTTGTAGGCGGGGCACGGTGGCTCACGCCTGTAATCCCAACACTTTGGGAGGCCGAGGCGGGCGGATCACGAGGTCAGAAGCTCGAGACCAGCAGCCTGGCCAACATAGTGAAACCTCGTCTCTACTAAAAATACAAAAAATTAGCCAGGTGTGGTGGTAGGCGCCTGTAGTCCCAGCTATTTGGGAGGCTGAGGCAGGAGAATCTCTTGAACCCAGGAGGCAGAGGTTGCAGTGAGCGGACATCGTGCCACTGCACTCCAGCCTGGCGACAGAGCAAGACTCTGTCTCAAAAAAAAAAGAACTAGTTGTCATCTCTTCTGGTAAAATTAACTAGGATGTTAGTGATTCATTAAAAACCAGGGTGGGCACACAGAGACTACTATATTATCTGTGGATCCTCGGCATGAATATAAGGTGAATTGAGAGTTTCATAAACCAGTGGGGGATTAAAGCCAGTGAGAGTAGAAAGGGGGGTGAGAAGTTTAGCTGGAACAGATTTCAGTAGATATTCTCGTGCTAATCCTTGTTACATCTATAAAGGATAGCCCTGAAATAGTTGTACTATATGCCCCCCTTGAAAAGATATTCAGCTTGGCTTCTGAAGGAAACAGAACTTATTGCATATAAAAAGACCTTAGGAAATTTGGGAGAATGGGTAGTCTGGAACAGGAACAGGTTGTACCTCACAGTTTTACATACTCATTTAGGAGGGCTTACATAAGCATTTCAGGGTAGGATGACTAGGGCTAAAGTCTCTCATTTCCAGGAATTCTCAAGAATCTAGATGCAGCCTATATAACTTATGTCCCATAACTAAGTTTTCTTCAATGTGAATATAACGTTTTGATATGGCTCTTGGGAAGAGTGAATGCCTAGTATTCCATGTATTTCCATAAGTACTGATGCAGGGATTAGGACACTCCAGGAATAACCTATAAAACAAAAAATTACATGCACATATTTATTGAGACAGTGACCTCTGTTAATAGCAAACTGGATAATTTAAACCAACTTTCCCCCTTGGAATAATTAAAACTACTAGACATTAGAAAGCTAACGAAATAGTGAACAACTGTCAGAACTTGATATGGAGGAGTGTAGATACATAGAAAGGTGAGCCCGGCTTTTCAAGCTCCTTTTCCTTGGCAACACTTGTCAGTTTCAGAGAGGATGGCCAAGAAAGTGAGGAGTGTTTTGGGTCATCTTCTGGGGCTAAGTGGATAGAAATTGGAAATCATAACCTACTAATAGTGGCCCTGGTCACTACCTTTTCCCTTGGGTTTACAATTAGGAATAAAGGTGAACTCCAAGGAGGAAGTACATAGGTCTTCGTAGGTACTAAAAAACTCAGTTTCAAATATGTTTTATCTCTAAGATTGGAATTAAAGTGTTCCTAAATTGCCAGTGCCCTCAGATACCTGGCAGAAGCAAATTATAAGTCCGTCTCTGAAAGAAGATAGCATTATCTAGGCCATACATTGTTTCTACACATAATTTTGCAAATATAATGCCTCACATACAATCATAAACAACAGGGCATATAAGGATGAGGAGATAAGACTATGTGAACAGAAACAATAGAAGCAGTAGACAACAGAAACAGACCCCTGGGGCTCAATATATTCAAATTGTCAACACAGCCTGAAAAAAAAAAAAACTATACTTACTGTGTTTGAGCAATAAAAAATTGATTAAAAATTTTAGCATAAAAGTAAAAGCTATTGACATAGCACGAAATGCAAATTCTAGAACTGAAAAATGAAGTAACCAAAAATAAAAAATCAGTGGGTTTAAGTGTGGATTAGACATGCCTAAGGGGATAGTGGCAAAATAGAAGAGAGATAAAAAAAAATGCCTCAAAGAAAATATAAAGACAGCAGACCACTGAAAAAATAAAAGGAAGGGAAAAAACCAGACACATAGAAAATAGTCATAAAGTCTAATACACACAGATTTGGAGTGTCAGAGGAGAACAGGGGATGAGACAGAAGCAGCAGTGAAGAGATAACTGCTGAAAAATCTTCCAAACTATGAGAAACATTAAGCCTCAGAGTCTAGAAACCCTGAGAACTTCAAGCAAGATAAAATAAAATAAAACAAAGCAAAACAAAACTACACATAGGCACCTTATATTAAAACTACTAATACTAAAAGAAAACTAAAGAACTTAAAAACAGGTTAAAAAAGAGAGATTATCTTTTAAGGATCAGCCATTACAGTAACCTCTGACTCGTTAACAAAAACTGTAAAATTCAGAAGACCTGGGATATCTTCAAAATACTGAGGGAAAAGCTCAGATAATGTAAAATTATATTCCAAGTGGAAAATATCATTTAAAAATTAAGATAACCATAAATAGATTTTCAGAAAAGCAAATATGATAAAATGTATTATCATCAGACCCACATTAAAGTAAATAGTAAAGGGTACTTTTTAGTGAAGGGTACATTAAAGTAAGTAGTGAAAGATAATTATCTCAGATGAGGACTCTTCAATAAATAAAGGAAAAGAAAGCATTGAAATTCAGGAAAATATAAATTGATAGTGATTGAGTACATCAATATTAGTAATGTCTTGAAATTAAAATATACATTAAAATGAAATACAATACAAAAATGGCTTATAAGTTGGAACGGGAGAGAATTAAGTGTTCTAAGGAGACTGCATTGTCAATAGTTATGTACAGACAAGAGTATATATCCTTACATATACAAGAGTGTATATACATACATATATACATACATATACTCTTGTCTGTAGCTACATATGCAAGAGTGATACATACATATACTCTTGTCTGTAGATAACTATTGAGAAGATAGTTTAAGAGTGTACATCCTCTAAACACACTGAAGAAAAATAATAGAATGATACAAACAGATAAAAAAGGAGAGAAAAAGGAATACAGTCATGTACTACATAAAAACGTTTCAGTCAATGATGGACCGTGTGTATATACAACAGTGGTCCCAGAAGATTATAATGGAGTTGAAAAATTCTTGTTTCTTTCTGACATTGTAGCCATCATAATGGTAATGTAACATTATACTGCAACACATTACTCATGTGTTTCTAGTGATGCTGGTGTAAATCAATTTACTCCACTGCCAGTCATATAAAAGTATAGCATATACAATTATGTACAGTACATAGTACTTGATAGTCATAAGTGACTGTGTAACTGGTTTATGTATTCACTATACTATTCTTTTTATTGTGATTTTAGAGTATACTCCTTGTACTTCTACAAAAAAAAGGCTAACTGCAAAACAGCCTTAGGCAGGTCCTTCAGGAGGTATTCCAAAGAAGGCATCGTTACCAGAGGAGATGACAGCTCCATACTTGCTACTGCCCCTGAACACCTCCCAGTGGGACAAGGTGTGGAGGTGGAAGACAGTGATATTGATGATCCTGACCCTGTGTAGGCCTAGACTAGTGTGTGTGGTGTCTTCATTTTTGACAAAAAAGTTTAAAAAGCAAAAAATTTAAAGATTTAAAAATAGAAAAAAGCATATTGAATAAGGATATAAGGAAAGAGAATAATTTTGTACAGCTCTACAGTGTATTTGTGTTTTAAGCTAAGTATTATTAAAAGAGTCAAAAAGCTTCTAAAAACTAAAAAAAATTACAAATTTTAAAAGTTACAGTATAATTAAAGAAAACATGTTTTATAAATTTAGTGTAGCCTAAGTATACAGTGTTTATAAAGTCTGTATTAGCATAGAGTAATGTCACAGGACTTCACACTCACTCACTACTCACTCGCTGACACACAGAGCAATTTTCAGACTTGAAAACCCCATTCATAGTAGGTGCCCTATATGGTGTACCTTTTTTTTTTTTGTCTTTTATACCATACTTTTACTGTACCTTTTCTATGTTTAGATACACAAACACCATTGTGTTAAAATTGCCTACAGTATTCAGTACAGTAACATGCTGTACAGGTTTGTAGCATACGAGCAATAGGCTATACAATATAATCTAGGTGTGTAGTAGGCTATACCACCTAGGTTTGTGTAAGCACACCTCACACAATGGTGAAATGGCCAAACTTCTTAGAACATATCCCTCTCATTAAGTGATGCATGACTGTATAGAACAGTAAGATTGCAAATTTAAACCACAGTACATCAGTAATTAAAGCAAATGAACTAAATATTCCAATTCAAAGACATATGTTGTCAGGCTGCATTTTAAAATAATTTTATATGTCTTACATAAGACAATAAGGATATAGTAAACTTGAAAAGCAAAGAATAGAAGATCATGACCAAGAGAAAGCTTGTGCCATTACATTAACATCAAAGTAAAATTTAAGAGAAAAAGCATTACTAGAGGGAAAGAAGTACACACCATAAAGACAAAATATTTGATTTACCAGGAAGATATCAAATTTCTAAATTTTCGCCACCTAATAAAATAGCTTCGGCCAGGGGCGGTGGCTCACACTTGTAATCCCAGCACTTTGGGAGGCCAAGGCAAGTGGATCACCTGAGGTCAGGAGTTTGAGACCAGCCTGGTCAACATAGTGAAATCCCGCCTCTACTAAAAATACAAAAATTAGCCAGGCATGGTGGCGGGCACCTATAATCTCAGTTACTCGGGAGGCTGAGGCAGGAGAATCGCTTGAACCCAGGAGGCAGAGGTTGCAATGAGCTGAGATCGTACCATTGCATTCCAACCTGAGTGATAAGAGTGAAACTCTGTCTCAAAAAAAAAAAAAAGCTTCCATTCTTTAATGCAAAATCTCTATAGGACTAAAAGAAGAAATAAACAATTCTATAATCATATTGGAGGATTTTTAACACATCACTCTCAGTAACTGATAGAACAAGCTGACAAAATTCAGTAAAAACATAGAATATTTGAATAGCATAATTAATTAATTTGATCAATTAAACATATACTGTATAGAACAATTTTCCCAAAAACTGCAGAATAACTATTTTTTAAAATACATATGACATTTGTAAAAATTAACTATATTCTGGGTAATTAACAAGCATCAACACATTTTAAATAATTGAAATCGCAGTCTATGGTATCTGGCAACAATTCCATTTAATTAGAAGTTAATAACTGTGGTGATGTGTGCCTGTAGTCACAGCTACTTGGGAGGCTGAGGCAGGAGAATCTCATGAGCCTAGGAGGTAGAGGCCGCAGTGAGCCATGATCATGCAACTGCACGCCAACTTGGGTGACACAGCCAGATTTTGTCTCAAAAAAGAAGGAGAAGAAATTAATAACAAAAGATAGCTAGAAAAATCATATTTTGAAACCAAGAAATACAGTTCCAAAATAAGCCATATGTCAATGTAAAACATTGCCATTTAAATCAGAAAAAAAATATTTTAAACTAAATTATGACTATGGTCTGAATGTTTGTGTCCTCCTCAGAATTCATGCTGAAATTCTAATTTGAAGGTGATGATATTAAAAGGTGGGGCTTTTTGGGAGGTGAGTAGGTCACAAGGGTAGAGCTCTTGTGAATAGGTTTAGTGTCCTTATAGAAGAGACCCCAGAGAGCTGTCTTGCCCGTCCACCAGGTGAGGACATAGCTAGAGGCTCCATCTATAAATCAGAAAGCAGACCTCAGCAAATACCAAATCTGACGGGTTGTTTACAGATACACAATGGAATCTTGGTCAACCATAAAAACGAATGAAATCTTATCATTCGAAGAAACATTGATGAAATAGAGGACATTATGTTAAGTGTTTTTAAATCCATCACAGAAAGACAAATATCACATGTTCTCACTCATGTGGATGCTTTAAAAAACAATTGAACTCAGAGAGAGACTGAATGATGGTTAGCAGATTCTGGGAAAGGTAGTGGGACGTGGGGAATAAAGAAGGGTTGGTTAATGGGTACAAAAATACAGTTAGATGGAATAAGATCTAGTGTTTGATAGCACAATAGAGTGGCTATAGTTAACAATAATTTATTGTATATTTCGAAATAACTAAAAGAATGGAATTGGAAAGTTCCTAACACAAAGAAATAATAAATACTTGAGGTGGGGGGTATCCCAATTGTCCTGATCTGATCATTACACATTATATACTTGTATCAAAATATCACATGTACCCATAAATATGTACAACAATTATGTATCCATAAAAATTAAAAGTATTTTTTTAGTCTGGGCGCAGTGGCACAGGCCTGTAATCCCAGCACTTTGGGAGGCCAAGGTGAGTGGATCACCTGAGGTCAGGAGTTCTAGAACAGCCTGGCCAACATGGTGAAACCCCATCTCTACTAAAAATACAAAAAAAAATTAGCCAGGCTTGGTGGCGCATGCCTGTAATCCCAACTACTCAGGGGGCTGAGGTCGGAGAATCGCTTGAAACCGGGAGGCGGAGGTTGCAGTGAGCTGAGATCGCACCATTGAACTCCAGCCAGGGTGACAAGAGTGAAACTCAGTCTCAAAAAAAAAAAAAGTATTTTTTAAAAAAAGAATTGGCAACACAGATTTTGCATATACATGCCAATGAGAGTGAGTGAATGTGACACACAGAGAAAAAGTAATTAGAATACAATAAACAAAATTGCATAAAAGCAATTACTCAGGACTTTTGAGGAAGCAAAAGGAAAAAGGGAGGAAAAGGCGAAAGAAGGAAGAGAGAGAGAAGGAACATGAAAACAAAATGAATTTTGATTCATGCCTTAAGGTTGTATTCATGGCTTTCAATCTTTTCTCTCCCTCATGTGGTTTAAGGATGCTCGCCTAAGGCCTAGAGATTTTTCAGCCAAACTTGGAGGAGTAAGATAGGATCTAAGGGAAGAACTCAGTGGGCCAGGTTTGGGGATGACTCCCTACCTCATTTCCAACAGAGTAGCTCTGCTTTTATCTGTTTGAATGTATTGGGCTTCTCTATAAGTCTAGATTTAAAGGGATTGGGTTTTTTAAAGCATTAATTTTATAAACAAGGAAAACAACTCTGAAAGGATGGAGTCACTACCCCAAGGTCGTAGAGACACTGGCAGAGTCATCTGGCTAAACCAGGTCTTTTGAGTCCTCAATATATGCTTTTTCCACTACAACAGAGATGACGCAAACCATCATGTTCTCTAGGGGTATGAAAGTAGCCCTAAAACAAAGCAAACAAGCCAACAAAGGAAAGAAAATATGGCTCTGTTATTTGCCGTGACCTGTGCCTATTTTAGTATGTTACACTTTTTGTCAGCAAGATCTCTAACTTCACCTCCCCAAGTCTACATCTACAGAGACGCTTGTGCTCTCTGAACTTGATCCCTTAACTCCCTTAACCTGTTGACTTTCCTGACGCACAATTAGCCAGCACTGAACTGTTACCTACCAGACCTCTATGACTAGAAAAGAGAAAAAAAAAATCCTCGTCTGTAGACTTTCAGAAAATTCATCCACGTGATTAAACCACTGAATACCATTAATTGTTGAAAGCATTCAGAGGTATTTACAATTTAAAAGGTAAAAACATTTCTATGAACTAAATAATTTGTGGAAAATGTGACTTTTGTAAAATAGTAACTAAATATATTGCTTTCTGGTAGCAAATATTTTGCTTAAAAACACTATCATATAGTGGTCCAAAGGGACTGGCATTATATATGTTTCAATGTAGTTGAAAAGGAAGGTTAATGGGGCTGATATTTTGACCCCCAAATGCTGATGACTAATGAGAACTTATTGCCTAAAGCACACGAGATAGCAAAATAAAATCAAACTCATAGAAATCAATAATTAAACAGTTGTTGACAAATTCCATCCACCTATTTTTTCTGGCAGATATATGTTTGTGATTTTCATTTTAAGATTTGTCAGTCATTGGCATGGCTCATGCCTGTAATTCCAGTACTTTGGGAGGCCAAGTGCCTCTTTGATCTTAAGCATCAATGAAAACTCATTGATAGATAGAGGAACACTTGAAGCCAGGAGTTGGAGATCAGCCTGGGCAACATAGTGAGACCCCTGTCTCTACAAAAATAAAAAAATTAGCCAAGCATGGTGGCATGTCCCTGTAGTCCCAGCTACTCAGGAAGTGAAGGTGGGAGAGTTACTTGAGCCCAGGAGTTTGAGGTTACAGTGAGCTATGATTGTGCCCTGCACTCCTCTGGTGCATATAGCCTCTCATCACTAATTCCACTGATAAATCCTGCAGGGAATATAAACAGCCTCTCATCTCACTATTTGATGGCGTAAAAAGGCCTATGCCTGACACCTAGAGCTTTAGCCTGCCCTTTCTGAACCAGATGGGCTTGCATAGAGACAGAAAGGAGAAGGGCTCTGTGTCTGGGTTAACAGAGTGACACCATGTCTCCAAGAAACAAATAATAATAATAATAATAATATTTATCAATGGCAGTTATAGTATGATGGCACTGGATGCTTAATTCTAAGTAAAAAGCAGTAAAAACTGCAAAAACCATTTTAAAAAAGCTTCTTCTCAAGAATGTCATTCCTGAAGATGAGTTTACAAATGCAACAGCTCATCTGCACCATCAGGTACTTAAAGCATTAGTTACACAAACTCTATAGAAGCTTACTGACATTGGGGCTCAGTAGTTGACACGCTAAGCTCATAAACAAGTTTCTAGTGCAAAATCTTAGGGGAAATCAAGAAACTCTCAGTAATCCAGATAAATAAAACAATGTAAAGATTAATAGCAAAACTAAAAGACCAAGCTCTTTAATTCAGTAATTTTGGCACTGTGTACATATCTTGTAAGTGTATAGGCTTTGGGACAGCTTTTTCTCTCTCCTGTTATTTAAAAGCTTCTATTCACTTACTTGTGGAATTCTGGAAGATGGTTATAGTTACCAGAATTCACTATTCTATGTCAGTGGAGTATTGTATTAATTCAATAGTATCCTCATCAGACTCCTCCAGATCCATAAAGTTATCTAAATATAAGTGTATCTTCAAAACTCATACATGTACACATACGCAAACATTTCTAGAGTCCCCTGCCTGATTCAGCAAACATTTATTGAGGGCTTTGCAGTCATCAGGTGCTGTAGGATTTGAGGATTCAAAAACTGAAGGAAAAAAATTCCTATGTCCTTTACACCTTTTTTAAACACTCATTTCTCAATTATTTGTGGAACTGAAGGGTAAAATTCTGTCTTATGGTTAAATCCCAGGTGAACTGATGATGGAATAGCTAATATTACAAGAACAAAGAAACCTTTCACAGTAAACGTAGGATTGGACCACATTTAAGTCTTCTGTCTCAATGGAATAGGAACTGAGAGCAGGTGCAAATGTGGGACACATGTCTGGAAGGATAATGATGCAGCACGGTGTCTGGGTATTCTCTAATCCATCAGGAATAAAATTGACTGGATTAGAGCTTTCCTAGGGAGGAGAGGTCAGGGAACAAAGCCCTTTTCCTTTCTGTCTCTAGGCAAGTCTATCTGGTTCAGAAAGGGTGGGCTAAAGCTCTAGGTGTCAGATGTAGGCCCTTTTATGCCATCAAATAGTGAGATGAGAGGCTCTTTATTCTCCCTATAGGGTATCAGTGGAATTGGTGATGAGAGGCAACATGCATCAATGAAAACTCATTATGACTCATCCCTTTGCAATTATCTAAGGGTCTCCCTCTGTGATAAAGAAATCATCAAAGAAATAGAACTTAACTGATTTAAAACGGTTTTTTTAAGTCATAAAGAATTGAAGGTTCCATAAAATGGAATCACATCAAAAGTGAGTCATTTGCCTGCATCATTGACAAGCTTTTTTTCCTGCCAATGAAGTCAGAGAACCACATTTATTCAGCTCTAAAATGGTAGCTTCAAACTCTACTACTTTCCTAACCACAGGCAGAACATCAATAATCACCACCTGAATTTGTAGTAGAGACAAATACTATCTTGACACCTGCAAGCAAGGCTTAACTAATGTTCTGTATATTGTAAGAAGCTGTGCAGTTCTTACCTTCATTTACAAATAGCCTGGTAAAATGGAAAAGCATGACTTAGGGATCTAGGAAGAACTGTTCTCTTATTTTGGGGTTGGCTTTTTCCTCCTGCGGCACTTCCCATCTTCTTGCCTACTTTCCTGCCCATCATCCTTTCTCCCAAAGAATCAGGAAATCTATAAGAAAGCAATTTACTGTATCCCAAGGCCCCTCTGGGGATGGTGTCCACATTACCCAGACGGTGCCTCTTTGATCTTTAGCTATTATTTTATATTTTCCTATCCGTCAATTACCAACTCCCCTTGAGGGTCTCACATGGCTATTTTTTTTCACCTAATTGCCGTCTATAAGGCATTACACCAAAGAGCAACAAAATACACAATCTTTCTAAGTAGACACGAAACATTTACCTAGAAAGACCATATTCTGGCCCGTAAAACAAATCTTAATAAACTTATAAGGATTGAAGTCATACAAACATTTTCTCTGACCATAATTTAAAAAACTAAAAATCAATAACAGGATGATACCTGGAAAATTTCAAATTATGAAACTAACACATTACTTATTATTTTTAATTAATAAAAATTATGTACATTTATGGCTGCAATGTGATGTTTAGATGTATGTAAACATTGTGGGATGATTAAATCAAGCTAATTAACATACCCATCACTTTACATAGTTACTGTGGTGAAAATATTTAAAATTTACTCTTAGCAAGTTTGAAATACATAATACATTATTATTGACTATAGTCACCATACTGTGCAATAGATCTCAAAAACTTATTTCTCCTGCTAGCTGAAGCTTTCTACCCTATGACCAACATCTTCCCATCCCCCACCCCATCCCCAACTTCTGGTAACTACCATTGTACTATCTCTTTCTGTGAGTTCTACTTTTTAAAATTCCACATATAAGTGAGATCATGTAGTATTTGTCTTTCTTTGCCTGGCTTATTTCACTTAGCAAAATATCCTCCAGTTTCACCCATGTTGCTGCAAATGACAGGGTTTCCTTCTATTTTGCGGTTGAGCATTATTTTATTGTGTATATATACCATATTTTCTTTATCCATTCATATATAGATGGACATTGAAGTTGATTCCATATCTTGGCTATTGTAAATAGTCCTGCAATGAACAGTGCAATGAACAGCTTCAAGAGTGCAGATATCTCTTCAACATACTGATTTCACATCTATTTTAGACTATTGCCTCAATCTTTCAATTAACTATGATTCCTCAATTTTTGCAATCAAGATTCCATCAAGGACTTACCATGTGCACTACAGTTATGAAAACCCATCAGGAAGCTGCCTCTCATAGTTCTAAGTCCTTCCATGGATTGGTGTGTGTTTGGCCCACACCATGTTTTATAAAAAACTCAAATAACTTGCCAATCATTTTTAAGTTAGAAGATTAAATGAAAATATAAATTTCTACCTTTTAGAGAAATTGGACAACGTGGCAATATTAGGACTGTACTCCATATGGCAACATTGCCTGGGGCTGAGTAGGGCTTGCTGGTTTTAGAGGTGCAGGCTACTCGATTTGCCACAGTCAGTCCTAATACGTTTTACTCATATTATTGCTGGACAGCTTTTAGGCATGCAGTTTATAACCCTTATGGCTGGTGAATCAGTGGCACTATTCATCAGTGTGCAAAATGGCACTTGGACCTAATACATTTATAATCTCTAAACCACTGGTAGAAAGTCATCATCATCATCATTATCATCATCATCAACGTTTTTTGACATTCACAACTCATGATAAATGTTTATTGAGTGCTTACTATATGCTAAGCACTCTCTTAAATATTTTTTATAGATTAACTTATTTAATTTTCACACAATTCTGAGAGAAGTACTAATATGACTCGTATCTTAAAGGTAAGAAAGCTATGGCACAGAGAGGTTAAGTGGTTTGTCTGGTCATATGGCTCATAAGTGGTATTGTTGGAAAAAAAAAAGAGAGTTGTAAAGCTGCTCTGAAAAAATTAAGTGCCATACAAATCTAAAATCTATGCTCATTTCTATCATTGGTGTGATAGCATACCCATTTCAACAATTTATCTGGTGGGTAGGCACAATTCTTATTACCAAAAAAAAAAAAATAGACTGCCAGATCTATGCTCATTATTTTCTTCCTAAAAATGAATAAAGGAATGTATACAAATAGAAAAATACATAAGACATATGCAGAAAGGAATAACTTGGGAAGGAAGTAAAAATATAGCTATGATAATAGATTAAGGTAGATTGTTAATTTAGCCTTAAAACTTAAAATTATCACATTAATTAATTATAATTTTTAATTTACCTAGTTTTTGTTTTTCAAATAGTGCTGGACATTTTATAAAACCTGACAACAGGCTTTCCATGCTACTCTGATGCAGATATAATGTTTGAGGCTCAACTAACACCAGTACATCCAGTCCTTACACTTATCTCAATGCCTTTCCGTAAATCTCTTTACTCCTGTGGTAGCTTAAGGCTATTTTCAACAACAAGAAAGTAAAAAAGGCAATTGTAGTCTTTCTTCAAATAAAACCTCCTCCTTCCCCATTTGCATTCCCTGGATATGAACTTTATTGGATGTCCCAAAAGCCAAATAGTAAAAGCAGAGTCTGGAAGATAGTAATGGATGTAATATTTCAGTGCCTACATGTTATTAATGACTGGCATTATTTCACTTTACAGTTTGTGAATTTCTTTCACATTTTCTCTTTAATCTTCACCACAACCCTGTAAGATATTAATGCATGGGTGACTGGTAATATCACAATATAAATGTGACTTTTCTTGACATAGAATATTATGGGCATATAAAAATAAAGGGCATCAGCTGTGAATTTCTGAATTATTTAGATTGTTAATATGATTTCATTATTTGGATCCAGGAGGGACTTTACAGATCCTCTGGACCAACTACTTCATTTTCCAGAGAGGAAGCCAATTGCCAGTGAGTTAGTGGCAGATCCAGGGCAAGAAACACAGTCCTGATTCCTATTTCAGATATCTCTCCACTATAACACACCACATTTTCTGAAAATAAAAAGGCAAAAGAATATATAGTTTTCCTCGCTTTGCAAAAGTAGGTTCTATGTACAAAGGTAAGATACAAGGAAGAAATTTTAAACAACCATAAAATATAATTAGTAGAACACCAGTGTGGGTGAAAAACAGATTTATTTCATCAGCAAAAGAGATGGGAGGTTGGGGGGAAGTAATAACCCCCATTTCACAGACTGTAGTTTTCAATAAAGGAATCTCACTTCTGAAAGTGAAAGTCACACTAAATACTGATTTCATAGCTTACCACACAGATTTTTAATTGTCACAATTTATTAGCATTGCTCATTCAGTGATTCAGTTGTCTTCTCCTTGACAGCTGAAATGCAATTCACTGTATAAAGTTTCTGTGTTCAACTTTATTAATCATTACTTACTGTGACGTATACTATGCTTAGCAGTACTAAGTGAAGGTCCAGAATAAATAGTGTCCCTGACACCAGTCAGTTAGCATTCCAGCCTCTTCACAGCTTTAGAGTTGCAACTATAGATGGATTGTTTGTGTTCCCAAGGGCAGCCCCTCTACCTGTGTCTGCATCTCATTGCCTCTCATTTATGTCTCAGCAATGCTCCAACAATTGTCCCTCTCTCTCCTGCATCATCAATTTATCCTTCTCTACTAGTTAGCTTCCATCAACCCCCAAATATGCTGCAATGTTTTTCACCTTAACCTTTAAAAAATTCCTGGGATCTCACCTCCCTCCCCAACGGTCATATTTTTCTGCTGTGCTTGATAGAAACATTCCTAGGAAGATGTGTTGGTACTTTCTCCATTTCATTTCCTCCATTCTCTATTGACCCATCACCAATCAGGCTGCTCTGTCAACGCCATTAATGACCTCCTCATTGCTATATTCACTGGTGAGTTCTCAGTCTTCATTTTCGTTTACTCCTCAACAATATTTGACTCCTCAGCAATATTTGAATATTAATCATTCCATCTTAAAATGCATTCTTCACACAGCCTCTGACATCACTCTTTTGGTTTTTCTCCTTTTTCTCTGGTGACTTTTTCTCAGTCAGTCTCTTTTCTGGATACTTATCATATCCCTATCTTTCAGTAGTGTCTCTGCATACAGTCATCTGAGTATCTCTCATCTCCACCTGTCATCTCGTCCTTAAGGGTCACATTCATTTTTTATGATTTTATGTATCATCTGTATGATTTTCAAATTTATATCTCAAACCAAGACTTATGAATTTCTCTACGAAATCCAGAATCTTATATTCAACTTTTACTTAACAGTCAATATTGCTCTTGGATATCTGAAGAGCATCTTGAAATTAATTGGTCACAGATCTCAGTCATTCTCAGACCCCAACAAAACAGGACATCTCCCCCCACACTCTTCAACATGTCTTTAAATAATTACTCAATCCTTTAAGCTACACAGGTCTCTCATTGGGTCCTGATCACCCTTTATAGCAGTCACATCCATTACCCTGACAATACCTATTTGTGTGTGTGTGTGTGTGTGTGTGTGTGTGTGTGTGTGTGTGTGTCTGTGTGTGAAGCAGTCTCTCACTCTGTCACCCAAGATGGAGTGCAGTGACACAATCATAGCTCATTACAGCCTCAAACTGCTAAGCTCAAGTGATCCTCCTGCCTCAGCCTCCTAAGTAGCTGGGACTGTAGTCATGAGCCACTATATCTGGCTAATTTTTTATTTTTGTAGTGATAGGTGTCACTTTGTTGCCCAAGGTGGTCTCAAACTCCTAGCCTCCTCCCTTGGCCTCCCGAAGTACTGGGATTACAGTGAGTCATCATGCTTAGCCCTATTCTTCTTTTATATTAATCAGAATTCTCCAGGGAAACAGAAAAAATGGATGGACAAATGGATGGATGAATGGATGGATGGATGGATGGATGGATGGATGGATGGATGGATATGGATAGAGATAACTAGCTAGCTAGATAGGTAGGTAGATAGATAGATAGATAGATAGATAGATAGATAGATAGATAGATAGATAATTTCTTATAAGATATTGGCTCATCTAATTATGAAGGGTAAGAAATTTCATGATCTGCAGTCTGCAAACTGAAGACACAGGAAAGCCAGTGGCATAGTTCGAAGGCCTGAAAGCCAGAGTTCATGGTGCAAAAGAATTCAAAGTCTGAAGGCCTGAGAATCAGGACCTCCAAGAACAGGAGAAGACTAATGTCCCAGTCCAAGCAATCAGGAAGAGAAGGCAAATTCCCTCTCTCTCTCCACCATTTTGTTTTACTCAGACCCTCAATTGATTCAATTATGCCCATCCATATTGGAGAAAACAATTCCACTTCACTCAATCCACTGAATAAAATGCTAATCTCTTCCAAAAACGCCCTCACAGACAACATGCAGAAATAATGCTTAACCAGACATCTGGGCATCCTGTAATCCAGTCAAATTGACACATAAAATTAACCATCACACTTTCTCTGCTTAATGTTTCCTCTTAGGCACTTACCACTACCTGGCATATAAATACTAGAGTGTAAACTCCATGAGGCAACAGCTTTGTTTGTTTCGCCCACTGTTGTATCCTGACCACCTAGAACCCTGCCTGTATTATAAGCAGGTACATAAATATCAGCTAAATTAAAGCAATCTTTCAGAAATAAATATTCCTTAGCACATAGTCTTCTTTATAAATAAGAATTCATCATAACTCTGTTAGCTCCTCAAATCCTCCTGAGTCTTTCATTTCCTCTCTACATCATCCACTCCAGCTACTCATACCCAGTGGTGCCAGCCTGAACCCTACCACCACTTAGAAATGGATCACCTAGGAGACCTCTAGCATCCAGTCCTCTGCTCATAATCTTCTGGGTCCTCCATAGGTTACCAGTGAGATATCCTTCGTGGAATCCTTCCTTATTCAGCTTGGGCTGCATTGTTAGTCCCCTGAACAGTTCTATGAGCCATCATAACAGTTGAATCCCCTTGCCTTACTGGTTGGTTTTTGTTGTTGTTGTTTGTTTTGTTTTGTTTTTCAGTGTTGTTGTTTGGTTGGTTTTTTTTTGTTTGCATTTGACGACTCAAGTCCCTGATTTAAAACAATATAGCTACAAATATAAGCAAGCCAGCATAAACCCACTTTCTAAGCCAGATTGCCTGGGTTCAAATAAATATTGGTTTTAATACTTACCAGTTATGTAGGTTTAAGCAAATTTCTTCACTGAAAGCCTCAATTTCCTCATTGATATAATGAAAATAATAATTGTACTTATTTCAGAGGCTACTTGTGAAGACTAAATGAGCTAATCTAAGTAAAGTTCTTATCATAGTAAGTTACTATTGCCATTAAAGTACCCAAATTGTTGAGCATGGCAAAAGGATATCACAAAAACACCATACATATTAGTGCCCCTACAATGTATGGGGTTTCCAATCTGGCTCAGTACTGTATTTATTTATTGATCCTTTGTTTTTCTGCCTCTCTCATCTGGCTGCCCTTTACTCTCCTCTCAAGTACTTAACTTCTAACAGGGTCCGCGTTTCCATCCATCTTTTCCTCTTCCTTCCAGTCTCCTGGACAAGGAATCATTTTATTCAAGGACAACTTGTCTATTTTTGCTCTTGACACCTTCCACTCTGCTCCATTCTCCTTCTCTCACCGAATTCTTAGTCTCTTTTTCACGACTGACACTATCTCTCAGCTTATTAAAATGATCAGGCTTATCTATAGGTTTTTTGTTTTCACCTTTTTAAGTTTCCTTTACTTTGTGATCCCTCTTACATACCGTCCTCCTGATCTCATTCTTTTCAGCCAAGCTTCTTGAATGAGTAGTCCTCATATTATCAATTCTCCATTTCCCATTAAACTCTTAACCCCTTAAACTTATTCTTTGAGCATTTTGCTTAAAGAATAAATATTTTTGAACACATGATTTAAAAGTTACCTAACATGTCCTAAACTTTCACATCATTTTGAAATTTCCATCTCCCACAATAGAAATATTTTTGTAGCGTAATAAACTATTAATTATTTCTCTTGATAATAACAGTGGAGTCAGCAATTATAATTTTTCTAGCAACATTTGGGTGAGTTCTTTTCACGTGAAAAAGTTTGCCTATATTTTAAAATATATTCTCAGTGAAATGAGGCCAGATATTTTCATTTACATTTTTTGCATTTTTGTCTCAATATTAACCTTCCCAACGTTAGCTACTTATTGAATATTTATTGTTAATAAATACATAACTAATAAATTTTAATTACAAGTTTTATGAATAGACAAATAATACTTGTGTTGATTGATAATACATTTGATTTCTGTCTATTTGCATTTGCTGTTTTGTGGAACTATATTTCATTAAACAAAAAAAATGCAGTCGCCATCAAGATTCCTTTTTGAGGCAGCTAGGAAGTACTAAAACCATCATTCAATTCAGTCAAGTGAAACTCATCGAATAGTTAATTGCTCCAATGAAAAAAAGATTGATTGGTTTTCCACTTTTTCAGTAAGTTAATTTTACTTTGTGAAATCACCTCTTGAAGACAGCTTTCTAAATCGTCAGACATTGGCCTCAGACTGTTCATCATTCAACACTTTCTAAGTTAGAAGTAGAGACTGCAAAAAACTCACTTGGTAGGAAGGGAAATTATGTGGAGGAGTGGAGTGTGCCAGTCAATTTGTCAGGTGCTTTCTCATTAAGGACTTCAGAGATAAGGGTCAGTCTTTGGGAATAGATTCTAAACACACACTTTCTTATTAAACGGTTTTACAAAAAGCCAAATTCCAAACCATTTGGAGCTTTGAAGATAAGGGTACACACATTGCCAAGTTCCTATCAACTGAGCTGCCATTGTTATTAATTATTGTAATAATGGCTCACACACAAGAGGCATTACCTGACGCGCATTGACTCTGCATTTTCAACTACAAATGGAGAAACCACAATAATAACAGATGTGGGGCAAATGTAGCGGTCCCTTTCCATCAAATGGCTTCTGTTACGAATAATCAAAATTTTTATATTTAATTTAGTCCAATTGATATGGTTTCACTTTTTTCTTTAACTGAAAATGACTGTCCAACATTGACAACATTCACTAGATCAATAGTTTGTAAATACCTATGAAGAACCAAAGGAACTGCAAAGATGTAAAAACCAGGTCCTCATTCTTAAGTGTTTAATAGCCAATAGGGGAGCTAGGTAACATATACCACAATACAAAGCCATATACAGCTGATGTGAGCAGTACAGAGTGTCTTCGTGGGTCAGAGAAGGAAGGGGTCCCTTTTATCTGGGGAAATCAAGGCAAGCCGATGAATTCTTTTTGGATGGTAAGAACTTCAGGATAGATGATTGGAACTGCAAGAGAAGAGCACATTCAAGTGAAGAGAATAACTCAAGCAGAAGGACCTTCATGCATATTTAACAGGTGGTGAGTAGACCAGTTTGCCTGGAAGACAGGTTTGTTTAAATGAGCGAGGTATAAAAATGGAAATGTAATTTTGGAATATATAAGGTAAAAAGACCAGAAATAGGGTAATGGAGTTAAAGTTAAAAAAAGGAAATGTATCACAATAGCAAAGATGTGGAATCAACCTAGGTCCCCATCAGTGATGGATTGGGTAAAGAAAATGTAGTACATATACACCATGAAATACTACACAGCCATGAAAAGGATGAAATCACATTCTTTGCAGCAACATAGATGCTGCTGGAGGCCATTATCCTAAGTGAATTAATACATGAACAGAAAACCAAATACCACATGTTCTCACTTACAGGTAGGAGCTAATCATTGGGTACACATAGATATAAAGATGGCAAAAATAGAAACTGGGGACTACTAAAGGGGGGAAGGAAGAGAGAGGGCAAGGGTTGAAAAACTAACTACTGAGTACTATGCTCAGTACCTGGGTGATGGGATCATTAATACCCTAAACCTCAACTTCGTACAATATATCCAGGTAACAAACTTGCACGTGCACTCCCTCAAGATAAAATAAATTTTTTTAAAAAAAGAGAATGCCATTTAAACTCTGTTTTAACATATACCAAGGATAATTCCCAAACTTGTCATATATCCCCAAATAGATTTAAAACCAAAGTGTTCAGTCATTCCACAATTCTGTAAATAATTCCATTTTGATGTTTTTTATTTTCCATTGTGTTGATGTTGTCGCAATCACTTTCTAGCCATTTTATGTCCCAGATTCAGGTCATCCTTATGTTCATACTCTTCTTTTTCATTTTTTTAATATTTTTTAATAAGCTTTTTATTTTAGGGTAGTTTTAGATTTACAGAAAAGTTGCAAAGATATTACAGACTTCCTACATGCCCAGCATCCATTTTCCTCTGCTGTTAAGATCTCATATGGTGTGTTTTTCACAAGTAACATCATAACCAACACTGATACATTATCACTAAGTAAAGTCCATGCTGTATTCATATTCATTTAGTTTTTATCTAATGTGATGTTTGCCATTCCAAGATCCTATTTGGTATACCACATTATGTTTAATTTTCAAATTTATTTAGACCGTGACAGTTTCTCAGGCTTTCTTTGGTTTCGGTGTCTCTAAGGAAGACTGGTCAGATATTTTGTAGAATGTTCCTCAATATGGGTTTGTTGGATGTTTTTCTCATGATTGGAGTGGAGATGTGAGTTTTGGGGAGAAAGATACAGAGGTAAAGCGTCAATTTTATCACATCATGTCAAGGGCACCCATTATCAAAGTGACATCAATGTTGATGTTAAGCTTGATCACATGGTTGAGATAGTGTTTCTCAGGTTTCTGCACTGCAAAGGAACTATTTTTCCACATTTTTCATACTGTGCTCTTTGGAAGACAGTCACTATATTTATCCCACATTTAAGGAATGGGAGAATTATGCTTCACCTTCTTGAGAGTAAAGTATCTACATAAATTATTTGAAATTTTACAAATAAGATTTGTTTATTGCCTCTCATTTATTTGTTTATTGAATCATATATTTATGTCAGTATGAACTCATAGGTATATATTTTATACCTTGATTACAATCTAATACTATGTTGTTAATTTTGTTACTCAAATTATTCCAACTTTAGCCATCGAGAGTTCTTTCTTGGTTTCTGGATCCTTTGACATATCTCCGTTAGATTTTCTCTTTAGCTTTTCTTTATTTTCTGTTACTATAATATAGTCTAAGCCTATTTTGTCTATTCCCTGGCCCTGCTCTAGAGTTAGCCACTTCTCCAAGGAGGCCTGGTTTCCTTACATAGAGAATGGCATTTGAAACCAAGGTCTGGGCTCTGGATGTGCTCATTGCATCTGCATTGTCATTGCTTCTAGGCCCTCTCAGTAAATGGAGCTCAGAAATATATGTATATGCACTAACTCGTGTATACATAGATATTTATTATTATTTCTATATTTAGTTATTTGTATCCATATTGAACTAATTATGAGTTCATATTGAGGTATCCAACTGTAATCCAGTACTAAATGATTTATTCTTGTCTTCCCCCTTTGCTTACTTGTAACTTCCTATTACAACAGTAAGAAATCTCCTGCCATCCAGACATATATAACCTATTTGTTCAATCCTAGTATACATGCATAGTGGTTTCAGAATTGTTCATCTGTACTGCCGGGAGAAGCAACTTTAACAACTAGACTACAGTATGTATATATAGTTCCTTTTATCTTTACTCTTAGTCTCCACTCATTTCCAAAGTTATTTAGGTCTGCACCTTTTCTTTTAATTAATAAATTTTATTTTTAGAGAAGCTTTACGTTTGCAGAAAAATCTAGCAGAAATTACAGAGAACCACCATATGCCTCTTTTCCTGCCTGCTCACTGTTTTCATGTTTTCTCCTATTATTAATATATTTCCTTTGTATGATGCAATTGATACACAAATATTGATACATTATTATTAACTAGAGTCCATTGTTTACATTAGGGTTCATTCTTTGTGTTAAGCAGTTTTATGAGTTTTGACAAATGTATAATTTCATATATCCACCATTACAGTATGATATATAATAGTTTCACCACCACTAAAACCCCCTGTGTTTTATCTAGCCAATCTTACTCCTTCCCCAAAGCTCTGGCAATGACTGAACTATATAATGTCTAAGGTTTTGTCTTTTCTAGAATATCTATAAAAAATGAAATGATAGAGCATATGGTTTTTTTCAACCTGGTTTCTATCACTTAACAGTACGCATTTAAGGTTCTTTGTGTCTCTTCGAGGTTTGATGATTCATTTATTTTTATTACTCAATAATATTCCATTGTATGGATGGACTATATCTACTTACCTATTGAAGGACATCTTAGTTGCTTACAGTTTTGGTGATTATTAATAAAGTTACTATAAACATCCCTGCGTGTAAATTTTCAAGTCAATTGTGTAAATATCTAAGAGCATATGTGGTAAGATTTTAGTTTTGGCAGAAACTACCAACCTGTCTTCCAAAGCAGTGGTGCCATTTTTATTTTCCACCGGCAATGATTGAGACTTTCTGTTGTTCAGTATCCTTAGTAGTAATTGATATTGTCAGATTTTGGATTTTAGTAATTCTAATACATGTGTAATATTTTTCATTGCTGT
This sequence comes from Homo sapiens, assembly GCF_000001405.40. Taxonomy (NCBI): domain Eukaryota; kingdom Metazoa; phylum Chordata; class Mammalia; order Primates; family Hominidae; genus Homo; species Homo sapiens. The sequence continues at coordinate 36,039,889 of NC_000002.12, forward strand.
TTTAATTTGCAGTTCCTCAATGGCAAATTATTTTAGGTATCTTTTTTTGTGTGCTTATTTTTCATTTGTATATTTTCTTTGGGGAGGTGCCTATTTGATCTTTGCCATTATTCATTGGATTGTTTGTTCTTTTTGTTTAATTTTAATAGTTTTTGTATGTTCTAGATATATATATTCTAAATATTCTGGGTATTTATCAGGTATGTGATTTGCAAATATTTTCTCCCAGTCTATGGCTTATGTTTTTCATTCTCTTAATAGTGTGTCTTGCAGAGTCATTTGTTTTAAAAACTTTGAATTTAATGAGTAATTTTTAACACTTATGAATTCAGCATTATTTTTGTACTGGTCTAATGTAAATTTACTCTGTTCACATCTTTCAATTATTCATGTTTTTGTCATCTGTTCAGATGGAGTTAGTCTCTCTACAATGTCTTTAGTCCACTTTGATTCAAAATTAAGAGAACTAGGAAGGACCCATCATCATGAAAGGCCACAGCATCCTGTGTTTCCCCAGTAATGTCACCATTCCTTTCCTCACAGTACTCATTTGGGAGAATATCAAAGGGGAAAGTTTGTTTTTCTGAGAGTCATCTCCAGCTACAATTCCATCATAGAAAAACAAGAAGCCAGTGAAGTGAAAAGAAAATAGATTCCATACCATTTAAAATGATTGCACTAATTTCATGTAGTGGTAAACATTAATTTATTCAGCAGTAGATTTCAATTATGTTTCTAATTTGTAAATGTTGCCCTCCAGTAGATCTCAAATTAGAGGGCTAAGCACTAAGGAATGGAAAGGCAATGACATTGCAATTAGAAAGTCTTCTAAAATGTTCACTTAACTATTTGAGAAGGTAGTAAATGGTTCACGTTATTTATTAATAAAAGGCATATATGACATTTGATTTATATGGCATTCATAACAATGTTTCTTTGACTGGTTTTCATTTTCTGTTTTGAAGCTATCTAGTTATATCTGAATCTTCCCTGGAATGGTTGATATTTTAATAAGTTTGAAGATTGCCATGGAAAATAATTATCTGGCTACTCTAAAAGATATTACAAGAACTCATCTAATTCTTATTATAAAGGGATTTGTTGTGTGCAACAGAGCACCAGAAATAAGAAAGCCATTTTCATCATATTCCCAACATTGTGAGAAGATACCAAAAGAGATCCTTGTCTAATCCTTTTTAATTTTTTTTTCAGATTCCCCATCATGTTTTGTAGCCTCTCCAATCCCTAAGAAATGTGAGAGTCAGACAGAACAGTATTTACAGTCACAGTTTAGCTTAAACAATTTGGGAATCTCTCTCTGAGGTTTAGTTTCTACAACTAAAAAGGAAATAGGAAAAACGCATGCCTTATAAGCTTATTGTGAGGGCTAATTGAAGTAATGAAGATGAAATCTGCACAGCCACGAGGGTAATGTTAGCTTCCCATTCTTTGTATGTTGAATTTTCTTTCCTTTGAAATATACTCACCATAAGCTTTCATAGTTCATATAGGATGCCAGAGTCATGGACTTAGTGTTCTATTTCATTTCTTTTTAAAAAATACCAAATCTCACGCACATTATAGTCCAGCTGCCCTCTTGCCACACTTTCCATGGGCCTACCCTTCATGCGGGAGCTCCCCCACCCAAGGTCCCCTCTCCATGGCCTCCCCTGCAAGCAAGCTCTGAATGAAGGACATTACACATTCCAGCATACTTTGAATATCATTTGCATATTTATTTCCATGAAGGTAAGAGTTGTGTCCTCTTACCTTCACAATAAGTTCTCAGAAATTGTTTAGGAATCAATGAAAGGTAGGAAAAGAGGAAGGGAGAGAGGGAAGGAAGGAAGGAACGCAGGAAGGAAGGAAGGAAGGAAGGAAGGGAGGGAGGGAGGGAGGGAGGGAGGGAGGGAAGTTTATCGTTTGAAGACAGGCATGAAGAGCTTTTTCTCCTTTTTGCAAGCACCCCCTAGAGAATAAAGCAAACTTATTTTTTCTTTATTAGATCAGTGGGAACTTTAAGAAACCTGCAGCACATTAGTGTAAAGGAAGTTCTGTTTAGCTTCCTCTACTAAGCCTAAATGACTCCTCGTGGTTTGTCTTGTTATCACTCTCAATATTTATGGTGAGATCTGGGCAAAACTTCGAAGGCTTTGAATTCTCTGAGCCCTCAAATTTCTTCTTGCACTGCTCTAATAATATAAAACTCTCCAGATTTCTTTTCACCCTGCAAATGGTCTCAAGCATCATTTATGCATGTGGCTGCAATGAAACAATGCAGGCTTCACTCCAACTGGGCAAGTTTGTTTTGCCAGATATTTAACTTTAATGAAGTCCTATTGAATAAAACTTAAATGCCAGAGAAAGGTTTTTAAAATTGCAGATGGGATTCGAGAGGATGTTGGAAAATTATCCCCTTGACACCGAAAATTTTCCCCAAGCCAGCACTAAAGTCCAGTAGTTTTAGGGAGCGGTGGATTAGATAGGATCCCCAAGCTGATCTTTATCAGAAAGTACCACTGAGAACTTGGAAGTGCTCTTCAGAACAAAGTGGGGCCAAAGCTGGAGCTGCTTGGGTCCAGGCATCACATGCCAAGGGTCACTTGGTTTCACACTAGGAGTTTCTTAGACCTAGAGCTACCCCACCAAAATAACAAGTCTCTCAGAACACCCAGCCTGCTGTATTCTCCCTGGCCCCAGTCCTCTCCCCTTTTCTGATCTTAGTTCCCTTAACTCTATCATCTGGTTTCCAATCTCCCTTTCAGTGTATGAAAGGAATCTGTCTTGGAAAAGTCCGTCTAAACAAGGAAAAAACATTTAAACTTTCTGGACTGAAAATCATTATTCACAAAATATTTATTGAGACCAGCACAGTGGTTCACGCCTGTAATCCCAGCACTTTGGGAGACCAAGGCGGGAAGATCACCTGAGGTCAGCAGTTAAAGACCAGCCTGGCCAAAATGGCAAAACCCCGTCTCTACTAAAAAAAAATAAACACATAAATTAGCCAGCCATGGTGGCGCACATCTGTAATCCTAGCTACTCAGGAGGCTGAGGCAGGAGAATCACTTGAACTTGGTAGGCAGAGGTTGCAGTGAGCTGAGATCACGCCATTGCACTCCAGCCCGGGAGAGAGAGCAAGACTCCATCTCAAAAAGAAAAAAGAAAAGAAAAAAAAACTATTTATTGAATATATAGCACATCATGTGGTACTACAGAAAGTAAGATGAGCTCAGGCACAATTTCTATCCTTGCAATGCTTATACTTATAAAAGTATTCCAGTTCAATGAGGATTCTTTTTTCATTTGTTAGTTCATTACCCTCTCAATAAAGGCATTTTCTGTTTCCAGTGTATTAGGATTTATGTGGGGCAACAAAAGAGGGTTTTCTCTCTTCTCCATCTTTTGTCAAATGTTTTCTTTGTTTAAAGCTAGTACAATGCCACTTTAGTTAAATCACATTTGCTTTTTTGTAATATAACTGTCATGTCAAAACTATTGTATTATTGTGGAAGTTAGTAAATACAAAAATTGCATTTTCAGAATAAAATGACATAAAACTCATTTTTATTTTATCCTTTGACTTTCCCTATGTATGGATCTTCCAGCAAAGTGCTACATTGAATTTTTTTCTCTGTAATTTTTCTCAGGGTCATTTGCCTATCTCTCCCTTCCCTGTACACAAGCACAAACACCTGCCAAAGACAACCAATGAGTCCCTGGCCGGAGTCAGAGGCAATCCAGTCATGAACATTCCTGCTGAAAACCTAGTGCTTCAGGGACATGCTTGTCTCCTGCTCTCTCTAGAAGTAGTGAAAAATCTGAAGATGACACACATTGTGGGGTCCCCAGAAATGGAAAAGCTTTGGGTCATTTAATCATCACATGCACATATGATATTGTGTGGATTCTTTTAATTGAACTTCTTTGTGGAACATTATACTGAGTGTTTGCAAATGGGAATGAACCCAAAGCTGTTTACTAGGGCATAATTTTCCCCCAGTACTGATGGACTCACACCAAGTGCAAGTACAAAATACTGACTTGGTCCTTCATGCTAGAGGGTTTCTTTAATGCAAGGGTTATATATTATAGACTGCAGTACATCTATGGGTGTTTGATGTGTAAACATAAAGAAGTATTGAAAACAACCTTTCAGTCTGTCGGCCAAAAAAATCTTAAAAGTTTAGTTCACCAGGATCTTTATTGGATTGGCTAGCAGTGTCTAAAATAAATGTTTCCTTTGTCAATTTTTCAGTGAATTTGTCAAAAACAAATAGAAAGATTTTCAGTGAGCTTTATTCTGTGTGTAAACACAATGCTATTTATTCATGAAAGAAAACTACTTCATGAAAACCAAATTACTACTGTGCCAACCAATTTTGTCAAAGCTCTCTTAAGGTCTATAAAATTTTTTGCAATGCATTTTGGTTTTAGAAAGATGATGGCAATTCTTTCCTCTAGATGATGTGGAAGTAATAGGCTATGATCTATACGACTACAGGGAAACATAAAGCACAGTTTGACCCTTCCTGGCCACCTCTAGTTTGAATCAATATTGCAACTATTATATAAACAAACATAATCAAATCATTTGGAGTGTTAAGAGCCAGAGGATTGCAAAAGGCTCTGTAGGGGGTATAAGGGCTCTTTTGATTCTTTCAGATTGACTGGGGAGCTGCCTCATCTTAATGATGCTAATTCAAACTGAAACCACTCCAAAAGGAGAGAAATGAGATATTAAGAAGCAGATGACCTTTGAATCTATTTACACTTCTGGGCAAAACCAGCAGTGAGGCTGTGAGGAGATGTGAAGGCTATTCTCTAGAAGGAGTCTTGTGTCGCCCGCACCTGCTTGAAAACACGGAGAGCCGCAGGAAAGTTTTCACAACATTGGCCTTCTATTTTTCAGGCAAACTCTGCCTCCAAACAAACAAACAAAAATTGATTTTGCTTTGTTTTGTTCCATTTTTCAAGAAAGCAATCATCTTATCATCTTTCTGTATTGTTGCCTCCAGTAATTAGACCCAGTGTCTGGGGCCTGTCAAAAGCACTGTACTAGTTAGCCATCAAGTCACTTTAATTAAATTGAATAAATAAAGCAGTAAACATTGTTTATGGTTTATTAAAAGTGCAATTGATTGCATACTGAAATATTCAGAAACCTCTGAATAAATCAACCAGTTAGAAATTTCAATATTTTCAGACAGGGCAAATTTATCCTATAAGTACATGCAAAAGTAAAAACTATCCCCTTGTAGTCTTATATGTACAACTTTATGGAATAAGCCAAAGACTTAGAGGGAAATTTAGAGACATTTTTTATTCATGAAAGACTAACTTATTCCAGCTTAAATTGCCCACATCTTTAGTCTTGAAAGTTTCCCAAATGATTCAAATATCCTATTAACCTATCCCTATGTCTCATAAAAACAAGACATTCTTCTTATTTAACTTAAATCCTTTCTCATACAATTATCTCTAACCTTCGGAATGAAGGGAAATTGAGCCAGTAAGAACCATAATGAAAATGCTGTATATCTATCTTGCCCTCTATTTGTGCAGTATCCAGCTCTTTTGGCTCTACACAGACAGGACTCTTGCTAAGGTCACCACTTACTTGAGTACATGCCCCCCAAAATAGACATTCGTTGGTTGATAGAACTAAAGTAAGATCTAAGTTCCCAGTATCTGTAATGATATGTTAAATCAGTCTAATTGATCTGTTGACATTATCTTAGTGTCTTTAACTGCCTTTCTGAAAAAGATATCTGAGGTTGAAACCCAAGAGGCTGAGTACTGTCAGCCTCTTTTGAATTCTCCTCTTATTTGATCTTATTGCAGAGTTTAACACAAATCACCCTCCCTCTTTACCAGGCTTCCCCAGTCACTCCACATTTGGTTCTCTAATTGTTTCTTCTTACTTCCTTTTGCTTCCTCTGTCCTCTATCCTTAGTAAATTCAGGTAATTCAGTTCTCTTTTTTTCTACATTCCTTTGGTGATCTCATCACTTCCAATGGCTTCATCAACCAGTTTACATTAACTCTTAGATTCATCTCATGGGCTTTAGCTTTCCTCCTAAACTCGATCCAATTTCCTGCTGCTTACCAGAAGTACTAAGAGCCTACCAGGCATCACCCCTAACAAGTTTATTTCTTTCCAAACCTGCTATGCCTTTATTGGTGACATCACTCTCCATATAATGGAAAGCCCAAACCAAGGACTTCAGAGTCACCTTTATCACCCCTTACTTCCTTACCCTCTAATTATTTGGTAACCAGAATACACCTGTTATGCTACCAAAATGTCTCTTGGTATATCTGCTCTTCTCTTTCCACTGCCACTGACTTGGTCCTCAGAGTTTCTTATCTGGTCCACTCTTATCTGAGCAGGTCACCTCATCATCATTCTTAAACCTATCCACTCTCCTTCTGGCATTTATGCCTCAGAGATCTTTTAAAAGTATAAATCCACCTTGCAGAACAAAAACAGAACTGACAAAATTTCTTTGATGGCTCACTTTTGCCTGCAGCTACAAATTCAACTAGCCTGTGGCGAGCACATTACACCCACTAGATACTGCAGTAGTTATCACAGCATGCGTTATGTCTAAAGAGCATCACATTGAAGATTAGGAAAGTAGGTTCTCATCTCATATATGGGTCCATACATTTCCTCTCCAGTCCTAAGTTTTACCATTGTAAGCAAAAGGGTTGTACTAGATGATTTCTAAGGGTCTTTCAACCTCAGATAACATTTTCAGAAAGGCAGTTAAATATAGTAAGATAATGTCAACAGATCAATTAGACTGCTTTGGGACATCATTACAGATATTGGGAACTTAATTCTTACTTTAGTTCTATCAACCAACAAATGTCTATTTTGGGGGTAATCTGTTTTGCATCAGGCAAGCAGGGGGGCGTAGAAGCATGAATCAGTTCTAAGCACCTAGGAACTTTTGATCTAGTTGTGAAAAAAAAAAAAAAACAGATTGTGTTACTAACCAGGATATAAAACACTCATAGTCTATACTGCTTAAATCAATGACTGAATCAATCCATAAATAAAGAGAACAAATAAATCTTCTGTGCAGAAGTATCCCAAATACTCTGTGGACATACTTGCCCTCAAGGAGGTAGAGCATAACTCCCCAACCATTAAATATGGGCTACACATCATGACTTTCTTCCAAAAGTACAGTGTGACAAGATGGGGAGTTTTAAAAAAAGAGTCACTTTACAGCAGAGAAACCTGACAAACACTACCTAGGCCAGGTGATCAAGGTTAACATCAACAGTGATAAGGTACATTGACAGTATGTACCCGTGACATGATGTGATAAAAATAGCACTTTATTTCTGTGGTTTCCTTCCCCAAATCCCATAACCCTCTTCTAATCATGAGTAAAACAGCACACAAACCCAAATTGTGGGACACTTTACAAGATACCTTACCAGTACTCCTCAAAACACAATCAAGGTCATAGCAAAAAAGGAAAGTCTCACAAACTATCAGATTCAAGAGGAGCCTAAGGAGACATGATGACTAAATGCTGTGTGTTATCCTGGATGGGCTGCTAAAAGACAAAAAAGACATTAGATAAAAACTAAAGATGGCCTGGGCACGGTGGCTCATGCCCGTAATCCCAGCACTTCGGGAGGCCAAGGTGGCAGATCACGAGGTTAAAAGTTTGCGAACAGTCTGGCCAACAGAGTGAAACCCAGTCTCTACTAAAAATTCAAAAAATTAGCTAGGCGTGGTGGCGGGCACCTGTAATCCCAGCTACTCGGAAGGCTGAGGCAGGAGAATCGCGTGAACCTGGGAGGTGGAGGTTTTAGTGAACCGAGATCACACCATTGCACTCCAGCCGGGGTGACAGTGTGAGACTCCATCTCAAAAAAAAAAGAAACCTAAAGATATCTTAGCAAATTTCAAGTATATAATTAATTGTTATCAACTACAATCACTATGCTGTACATTAGGTCTCCAGGACTGATTCATCTTATAAATTTATAACTGCAAGTGTATGCCATTTGACCAACATCTCCCCTTTAGCAAAGCTCTACACTCTTGCAAAGATCTACTCTTTGTACTGACAGAGTAGATCTCAAGTCTTCTCACCACACACACACACACACACACACACACACACACACACACACACAAAATGGTAACTAGGTGAGGCAATAAATATGTTAGTTTGATTGTAGTATCATTTTACAATGTGTATGTATATCAAGATATCACTTTGTATACCTCGAATGTAATTTTTATTTGTCAATCATATCTCAATAAATTTGAGGGAAAACAGAAAAAAATGAAATCTAACCATAGTGTGGACTTGTATTGATAATATTGTGTTATCAGTTCATTAATTGTGACAAATGTACCATGTTATGTGTAATGTTAATAGTAGCAGAAACCAGTTATGGGGAATATGCCTGTCTATACTAGCTTCTCAATTTTTTGTACATCTAAAACTATTCTAAAAGTAAAACCTTATTTTAAAAATAGAACATTCATTCATTCAACAGACTTTTTTTTTAATGTTCATATTGTTACAACCACTTTGCCATGCACCAAGGACAAAGAAATAAATGGCATGGAGCATACTATATGATTTAGACCAGTAACTGAGTGCAATGGTGTATTAGTCCATTTTCACACTGCTGATAAAGACATACCTGAGACTGGGCAATTTACAAAAGAATGAGGTTTAATTAGACTCATGGTTCCACAAGGCTGAGGAGGCCTCACAATCATGGCAGAAGGCAAGGAGGAGCAAGTCACATCTTACGTGGATGGCAGCAGGCAAAAAAAGAGCTTGTGCAGGGAAACTCCCATTTTTAAAACCGACAGATCTCGTGAGACTCATTCACCATTATGAGAACAGTGCAGGAAAGACCCACCCTCATACTTCAATCACCTCCCACCACACGTGGGAATTGTGGGAGTTATAACACAAGATTTGGGTGGGGACACAGCCAAATCACATCAAATGGTAATTCAGAGGAAGATGAGGTCACTTCTGGCTGGGTGTTATAGGGGAATACTGGAGAGGAAGGAGTCAAGAGTAGGCTACATCTACTTTACAATATATGGGTGAGTTTTACTTATGCCTACAAGGCAAGGAAATTTCCCCGGTAAATAGAAAAAAATAAAAATAGAATAATCAAGCAAAACAAACTCTGCACAGATCATGCAAGTGGGAAAAAGTACTAAGGTTCCCTGTAGAAGTGTCCCTCAGCAGTTGGTACACAACACAGCTGATGAGTGGTTTAGATCAGTGTTCACAAACATTGAATGTTTGTGTCCCCCCCCCAAAAAGTCCTATGTTGAAGACCAAACTCCTAATGTGATGTATGTGGAGGTGGGGCCTTTGGAAGATAATTAGATTTAGATTAATCCATGGGGAAGGAGAAGAAGAAGAAGAAGAGACCAGATCTCTCTTTTTCTCTTACATGTTAGGACACAGCAAGACACAGCCATCTGCAAGGCAGGAAAAGGACCATTACCAAGAACCTGACCACTCTGGCACCCTGATCTTGAGCTTCTCAGCCTCCAGAACTATGACAAATAAATGACTGTTGTTTAAGCCAGGCAGTATAAGATATTTTGTTATGGCACTTGAGGAACATTAAATGATCAGTCAGCTGCCTACCAGCAATGCTCATCACAAAATCCTTGTGTTATGAGTGTCTTGGTTTGTACATCAGTTGGTAGAACTCGAGAAGCAATATTCCTTAGGTCCCCTGTAAAAGTCTTTTAACTTATAATATACCCATGTTCTAACATTGCCTGAATAGTATCACAAAACAAAATCATCATGTTTGTCACTCCCCCCAAAGAAGGTAAGTCAATTAGACAGGAAGCCTGTTTGCTGCTAAGGAGGCCAGCCCTGGGGGTGAAGGACCTGTCGTTGTGTGCCTAAGATCCCCAATTATTAAGTAAGAGATATGAAGTGAGAATCTACTTTTCTTACCTCCACTGTGATGCTCTTTTTTTTATGTTTTTGTTTTTTCAAAAACTTTTATGTTGGGTTCAAGGGTACATGTGCCGGTTTGCTATATAGGTAAATTGCGTGTCACAGGAGTTTTGTGTGCAGATTATTTCACCATAATAGTTCTCCATGGGTTCTCCATGGGTAGTTTTCCTATCCTCGCCCTCATCTCACCTTCCACCCTCAACTAGGCCTCATTATCTGTTGTTCCCTTCTTTGTGTTCATGTGTACTCAATATTTCACTCCCACCTATAAGTGAGAACATGCAGTATTTGGTTTTCTGTTCCTGTGTTAATTTACTTAGGATAATGGCCTCACGCTCTATCCACATTGCTATGAAGGACATTATATCTTGCTTTTTATGGCTGTGTAGTATTCCACGGTGTACATGTGCCACATTTTCTTTATCCAGTCTACTGTTGATGAGCATTTAGGCTGATTCTGTGCCTTTGCTATTGTGAATAGTGCTGTGATAAACATATGTGTGCATGTCTTTATTGTAGAACAATTTATATTCCTTTGGGAATATACCTAATAATGTGATTGCTCGGTCAAATGGTAGTTGTTTTGATTTCTTTGAGAAATCACCAAACTGCTTTCCACATTGGCCGAACTAATTTACATTCCCACTAGCAGTGTATAAGCATTCACTTTTCTCTGCAACCTCACTATCATCTGTTATTTTTTGACTTTTCAGTAATAGCCATTCTGACTAGTGTGAGGTGTTATCTCATTGTGATTTTGATTTGCATATCTCTAATGGCTAGTGATGTTGTGTATTTTCTCATATGCTTGTTGGCTGCATGTTTGTCTTCTTTTGAAAAGTGTCTGTTCATGTCCTTTGCCCATCTTGTAATGGGGTTATTTGTTTTTAGCTTGTTAGTTTGTTTGTAGTTAGGTTCTTTATAGATTCCTGGATATTAGACCTTTTTCACGTGCATAGCGCGCAAATATTTTCTCCCATTCTGTAGGTTGTCTGTTTACTCTGTTGATAGTTTCTTTTGCTGTGCAGGAGCTCTTAAGTTTAATTAGATCCCATTTGTCAATTTTTGTTTTGTTGTAATTGCTTTTGGAGTCTTCATCATGAAATCTTTGCCAGAGCCAATGTACAGAATGATATTTCCTAGGTTATCTTGCAGAGTTTTTATAGTTTTAGGTTTTACATTTAAGTATTTAATCCATCTTGGGTCGAGCTTTGTATGTGGTATAAGGAAAGAGTCCATTTTCAGTCTTCTGCATATGGCTAGCCGGTTATCCCAGCACCGTTTATTGAACAAGGAGTCCTTTCTACATTACTTGTTTTTGTCGACTTTGTTGAAGATCAGATGGTTGTAGATGTGTGGCTTTATTTATGCCCATAAATATCTCCCTTTATTTATGCTGGTAATGGTCTTTCCTTTCCATGTTTAGCACTCCCTTAGGAACCTCTTGTAAGGCAGGTCTGGTGGTTATGAATTCTTTTAGAATTTGCTTGTCTGCAGAATGATCTTATTTCTCCTTCACCTAGGAAGCTTAGTTTGGCTGGATATGAAATTTTTTGGTTGGAATTACTTTTCTTTAAGAATTCTCAGGATAGGTCCTCAATCTCTTCCAGTTTATAGAATTTCTGCTGAAAGGTCTGCTGATGGATTTCCCTTTGTAGGTAACCTGCCCCTTCTCTCTAGTTACCTTTAACATTTTTTTCTTTCATTTCGACCTTAAAGAATATGACGACTATGTGTCTTGGGGATGGTCATCTTGTATAGAATCTCACAGAGATTCTCTGCATTTCCTGAATTTGAATGTTGGCCTCTCTAGTGAGGTTGGAGAAATTTCCATGGATGATATTCTAAAACATGTTTTCAGTTGTTTTCTTTCTCTCCCTCTCTTTCAGGGATGTCAGTGAATTATATATTTGGTCTCTTTATGTAATTCCATATTTCTCATAAATTTTGTTCATTCTTTTATTGTGTTTTCTTTATTTCTGTATGACTGAGCTATTTTGGAGAACCATTCTTCAAGTTCTGAGATTCTTTTCCCACCTTGGTCCATTCTGCTGTTAATACCTGTGACCGAATTCTGAAATTCTTGAAGTGAGTTTTTCAGTTCTAACAGCTTTGTTATTTCTTAAAGTCTAAAATTTGTCTTTCAGCTCCTATGTCATTGTATTGTGTTCCTTAGATTTCTTGGACTAGGTTTCAGCTTCCTCTTGAATCTCAATGATCTTCATTCCTATCCATATTCTGAATTCTATTTCTGTCATTTCAGCCATTTTGGCCTAGTAAAACCAATGCTGGGGAACTAGTGCAGTTGTTTGGCACTAAGAAGACACTCTGGCTTTTTGAGTTGCCAGAGTTCTTGTACTGGATCTTTATTATCTGCGTGGGATGAAATTCCTTCAGTCTTTGAAGTTGCTATCCTTTGGATGGGATTTTTTTGCTTTTATCTTCTTTGATTCTCCCTTCCTCGGTGTTCATTAGGGGTCAGAAACAAATCCTGGTGCTTGGTAGCCCCTTTTGGGTTCCTCATTTCCTCCCACTTCAGCCTAGCATCTGTGTCCTCCCTCCATCCATTCTTGATGCCTTCCTTCTGAATATCTGCTTGGAGTGTGGGTAGCAGTCTTCCCAGTGTCCCAGCTGGGAGGTCCTTCTGGCTGTGTCTAGTCAGCCATTTTCTCTTATTCTTTGTGATGCTCTTTGGATAAAATCATTAAATGCATCTGTCCTCTTTCCTCCCTCATCACCAGCCATTCCACCATCAATCTCATACAGACATTGAGGCAATATCAGGAGTGAAAACAAAAAAAAATTAAGAATTAGTAAAGCTAGAAGAGTATGGCTTCCAGGCACACTGGGATGACAGAATTTGACATGAGAAACAAGAGCAAATGACTTGAAACCAGCCTGAAAAGCTGAGTAAGATTATCCACCTGCCCAGCACAGTTGTCTGAGGGTAGGTAAACTTGGGTTTGAGAAAGTTTGTCATCAAAATCTAAAGTCAATTCTGTTTAATACACAAGCTTAAAGGCATAAACATGGGTTCCAGGCAATACATGAAGGCAAGTAGTATGAAAACATTGTCATTCAGTGCAGAAAAACAGGACGTGGAAACCAACTAACTGAGATCTGGGCTAGAGTATGGTGAGGACAAAGTCCATGTTTCTCAGGGAGATGATCAGCAGGACCAGAGAAGTTGAGAGCACTATCTAAGCACACTAGAGTTGAATCAGCCTTCCAGTTCCTGCAGGAGAACTGAAATACTAAACCAGAACCTGAGACCAGACCAGGATTAGTGAAGGCCAGGCTCTGTGAAGATGCAGCTGTGAGTTTACTTCAGTCACAGTAAATATCAGACTACATAAACATAGCTAACCCTGGACTCTGCCTATTGCTGGAGGCCCAGAGTTAGCTGGAAACCCCACGTGTTCTTTAGTCTGCTCAGCACCGATCAGATGCTTGGTAGGGCCAAGCCTAGGGAAAGAGGCTTTCTCTAACCACAGCTGAGCAAGGCTAGAGAAGTCAGGGGCTAGCAAACAGGGCCTGTAGCCGCACAAGAGAAGGATGAGTCCTAAGCAGACAAAGTGAATTAGATTAGAAAGTTTCTGCGGCCAGGCATAACTATAGCTCTCCCTAAGTACCCACTCCTATGGAAGAAACTCACATGAAATGAATATACAGTAAGATTTGGGCAAATAAAGATACCAGCTAGGTTTTCAAAAAATATGTGTCCTGAGTATCTCCTGCTGAACAGATGGTACCATTTGCAAAACATTCAGTCTTACAAGAAGAGAAGGGGGAAGATCGATTTCTTTCATCATATAAAGGGAACTACAGAAAAGTGAGAGAGGATACATAGCTACCCTCTAATTTTAGTCAAACAGAACCTTGTTGTTTATAACACTTTTTTTAAAATTGCCCTCACAAAAGAGATTTCCCATAATATATCTAGTAGATTGTATTCTGTGTTAAAGTATCACATGAAATCCAACAACCTGAGGGCTCATTCAGTTCTTTTAAAATCAAGCCAAACACAATTATTTTTCAGGGCCCCACAGTGATTTATCCAGAAGGAATATTCCCTTGACTGAAAGTAAAATGTTCACCCCTGTGTGCCTAATTAGGTTTTCCAGGGCACCCGGCAGACAGTGGCAACAGCCATGCTGTGCAAGTGAAATTAAGAATCAGATCGTTGTCTAGCAAGTGAGAAGTGCATCTGGCCAATTAAGAGAGTACTTTTGTTCCCACGAGTTCTAACTTTTTCAGGAGACACTCTTCATTATATTCCCTAAAGAAAAATTCTTTTAAAAATTGGATTATATGAGACTGGAATGGTAGTGTGAGCCGAGGAATGGCAAGGCTGCTGGTATGGCAAAACCAGGGATAGGCAGGACATACTTTTCTCATCAATCCGCCAGAGAGGAGCAAATGATGGCAGCTGTCATCTCATGCCCCTTCTGCTGAAAGTGCCTGGAAGGCACAGAGAGTATCAGGGAGGTCACAGCAGCTCCTTGAAAACAGACCAGTTCTAGATGTTGTCCTAAAGTACCTTATATGTTACTTTGCAACTCAAGGACTTTCCTTACTTTTCCTTTCTTTCACTGTGAGATAATTTTCTGTGAACTCATTTTTTTATTAGCTCAGTTTGAAGACTTGTTCATTTTAAAGATTAAGGATATGGGCATTGGAGACTGCATGGAAATGCTCTACTGCTGGTGCCTTCTGCTTTCCCCAATATATAGTGTTCAAATGTGTTCACATTTCTGAAAAGGAGTACATCCTGGAAAGGGATTGGAGAAGGATGACTTACCAGAGGGAGTAAAATAATTCCAGGCACATGGATTTATACCAGAACATCTGCTTTACAGACCCTCTCCATAGAAAGCTAGAGAGTCTTGAAAATAAGAACACAAACTCTCAATTTGATCAAGAAGACACTTCAGCAGCTGTAGCTTGGGTATGCTTTTGTCTTTGTTTTTGTTTTTCCCAAGGGATATAGAAAATAAAGAGAAAATCCAGGCTGTTCGTCAACAAAAGAAACATCTACTGACCTATCTGCTGTCTAAAGCATTAGTTTTGCGGCTCTCCAATTACCTGTGCATATTGCATATTTACTTCTCTTGCCTCTGCTCTTTAAGAACAGGAATCTCCTCTGGGAGAGATGAAGACATTTCTCATTCTGAGGAATATGTGCCAACTCGCCAGCTAAGGACCTTGAACAAACACAATAAACATTTGCTCCCTTACGACCTGTCACTCGATATTGTTCAGTCTCCCAGAAATAAAAGACTTAGATGCACTCATGAGCATGCAAAGCCTTGGATTTTGTCTTCTTGTGTTAGTATCTGTAAATCTGGGAAAGCCTAACAATTATTTATTTCCAAAAGAATATTTAATTCTGATTTCCCATTAATATATACAAATATGATATTTACTTTGAAAGAGTTTCAAAGCTATAGGAATGAATAATATGAGTTCTTAAAATACATAATAGAGTTATGGATAATACTTATTTTCATAAATGAATATTACATGTCATTTTTAAGACTATTTGTATTCTGATTTCCTCAATAGTTTACTCAAGGGATCAATTAGCGAATCTCATCTTCTAAAATTAGATTTTAGTTTCCATCTCTTTAAGAGAAGATGATGAATAATATAGATATTGATTTCCAAATTTGTTGATTTCAAGGAGAATGAGATGCAGAAAGGACCTTAATTTTCACATAATTGATTTTAAACAACCCATTTATACAAATAATGTTTGATAAAAGATTCATTAAATTACATGAAAATAGTACTGACTCATTAGCATAAAATATAATGTATAGGATATTTTGCAGCCTTAGGTAGTCATTATTCCTGTCAATTTTTTTAAATAAATTATCAACACCATTGCAGAGTCAAATAACTTCTTAATCCAATAAACATTTACTCTAAATGCTAGAGGGGAAAATCTCTGCCCAGATAGTTTGGAAAAAGTAGTGTTTTTTTGCTATTTACTGTGTGAGAAGAGCAGAAGGAAATGGGGACATAGAAGAGGAAAAAAGGATCAGGAGTGGAGAATCTTCACTGGATTGCTGTAGGGCCAGTCTCTTTTAAACTCGAAAACTCCATGACTCTTACATGCATTACAGTGGCCTTTTTATTTATTTATTTATTTATTTATTTATTTATTTATTTATTTTTTATTATACTTTAAGTTCTGGGATACATGTGCAGAACATGCAGGTTTGTTACATAGGTATATACATGCCATGGTGGTTTGCTGCACCCATCAACCTGTCATCTACATTAGGTATTTCTCCTAATGCTCTCCCTCCTGTAGCACCCCACACGCCGACAGGCCCTGGTGTGTGATGTTCCCCTCCCTGTTTCCATGTATTCTCATTGTTCAACTCCCACTCATGAGTGAGAACATGTGGTATTTGGTTCTCTGTTACTTTACAGAGAATGATGGTTTCCAGCTTCATCCATGTCCCTGCAAAGGAAATGAACTCATCCTTTTTTATGGCTGCATAGTATTCCATGGTGTATATGTGCCACATTTACTTTATCCAGTCTATCATTGATGGGCGTTTGGGTTAAGTCACTCAGATATACACCGGCTCTTTCAGTAACCACCCCCCAACCCAGTTTTAAAATAATGTCCCTTTTCTGATTCTTTCCCTCCCTTAAGTTGCTGTTGTGGATTTCTAATGTAACAGTAAACAATCTGATATACCCATTTCCATCAAGTACTATGAATTTGGTTCTTGGTTCATGAATGGTGGCTAGATTTTTTATGAAGGCAGGAAGGAAGAAGGAGGGAGGTAAACAAAGAGAAAGATAAAAGGAAATAAGGAAGTAAAGAAAGAAGGGAGGGAAGAAGGTAAAGAAAGAAGGGAGGGAAGAGACTAAAGAAAGGAAGAAGGGAGGGAGGAAGGGAAAGAAGAAAGAAAGAAAGAAAGAGACAGAAAGAAAGAAAGAAAAGAAAGAAAGAAGAAAGAGAGAGAGAGAAAGAAAAGAAAGAAAGAAGAAAGAGAGAAAGAGAAAGGAAGAAAGAAAGAATCATAGAAACAAAGAAAAAGAAAGAAAGGAAAGAAAGAAAGAAACATAGAAACAAAGAAAGAAAGAAGAGAGGAGGGAGGGAGAGAGGGAGAGAGGGAGGGAGGGAGGAAAGGAAGGAAGGAAGGAAGAAGGAAGGAAGGAAGAAGGAAGGAAGGAAGGAAGGAAGTCAGTCTCCAAAATCTCTCTCTCTATATATGTGTGTGTGTGTGTGTGTGTGTCTGTGTGTGTGTGTGTGTGATTCCAGAAATTACGAAGGTGAGGTATATATGCAAAGAGTATGCATTGATGGGGGATGGAGTTTCAGGGAAATATTAGGTTTCTTTTTTGGTATTTCCTATGCACCCCAAGTAGATGGTGGCCCATTTTACTTAACCTTGCTGTGACTCTGGGACAAGACTTTTCCCTAACACAATTGGATTATTCTTTCACCATTTGCTAGCTATTTCTTTAGGAGATATCTGAGGCACACTTAGCTCAGTCGCTTAGCTTTTTCAGCAACTGGGATATAGAAAACAGGATTCTGATCTTGCCGTCAGAAGACCTGAATTATTTCTATTACCAGCTATGTGACCTTGGTGAGTTACTTAAATCCTTCTGAGTCTCAAAACTAGTTCCCGTAAAATTCTTAAAATAAGACCTAACTCATAGGTTGTATGTGCCATACCAGCTGTGAAATTGGAGGTCATGAGGTATACAGTCTAAAGCAAAGAGGACAAATTAATTTCAACTCAAGGAACACATCTAGTTAAATTACAATAACTACCTGTAAAGCTTAGAAGGAATGTGGGCCATGGCCAAGCTCAGGAGTGGGAATATGAGTGACACATAAGTGCCATCCCTGATATCAGGTATTATTTATTATTTAACTTTCAAAGGACTATCTCAGGTGTCATCTCATTCCTTCATGATTGATCGAACCTAATCAGTCTGCTCCCTTAATATAATAGAGAAGTCAGATCTGTAAGTTTACTCACTCAATGAGAAGCTGTTTAAATAAAAATATCAATAAGTGTAAACAGTACTATGTTTTACCATCTTTTTTTATTCTTCAAAATCAGATAGTCTATGGAAAAAAAAAAAACACCAGTCAAAGACATCTAGCAAAACTCTTCTTAAGATGAAAAAAGTTTTTAATACTTCAATCTGTGGTTTTTGTTCTTTATGGGCAGAGGGCAACATCTGACATTGTTTTCCTTTTTAACAGTCAATGTGACTATTTGACTCAAAGAGAGGATTCAAGTGCAGTAGAATAAAGCTGCTAGAGAAATAAAGCAGGAAGTTTCAAATTAAAGAAGAATGGAGTGGAGATTGTGAGGAAATGCAGATCAAAGTGACAGGGTTGAGGGGAGAAGAAGGGACAAAAGAAATGGCAGATAAGAGCAGAAAGACCAAAGCCAGGGTAAAGTGCAGTGAAAAGGAAAGAAGTCAGAAGGAAATATGTTTTCATTTATACTACTCCGGAAGGGTATTTTAAAAGGAATATGATGTCACTTCCGTGTCGGTATAGCAAAGATATTTCATAATACATAATTGTATTCCTTTTTGTCCATCAGGACCAAATTATTGCTTTCTCTAGAATTAATTTTTCTACTTTTTAGCAGAGCTTCAGAGAAATACTAAAATGATTTCATTTTTAAGAACTCATGTTTACTTATGGCACCCTTAAGAACATTCCCAAGATAAATATAAACAAATCTAATCTTACTCTCACAATGTGCTTCCCATGAAGTTTAGTCACTGAAATAGATGTACCACACAAAGGAGAATCAGTGCCAAACCTAATCTCACACTTTTAAGAATCATAAATCTTTACTTTTTAAATGAACATTCAAGCAACAATGATGTCCCTGTTACAGAAGTAATGTTACTTTAAAATGTTGCATTCCTTGACAAGTTTGCAAGTATGAACATAACACTTGTGGATCTTACTAGTGACAAAAAAAGGAATTTGCAGTTACTTTTAGTTTTAGTTTTATTTGCATTTGAACATTACAATAGATTGGAATTTTGGAATTTGTCTAGACTACAAAATTTTGCTCAGGAAAGTATAGATATGTTTCCCTTGCCCCGAAGAATGAATTTCTACTGTACTCTGTGATTGCATCTCGCAAATGAATCTTTATAGAGGAAGACTCTCTGCATATGCCTATGTCTCACACAGTCAGCTCAGCATATGTGACCATCTCAGTCCTCAGCCTGCCTCCCAGGTAGTTCCCTAAAAGTGTCCCACAGGCAACTCTGGCCTCAACTAGTAACAGATTTTGCTAGATTGTTTCACTTCCCAGGGGTGTGATTCAACATGATACATGATCTGACTCATGTAATAGGTCTACAAATTTTTTATTAAAATGTGACTTATGAAACAGTGCAAACATTCAGTATAGATCAAAGGCTTAGCAAACTATATATTCATTAGCTGGAATATTATACAGCCATCACAGATTATATTTAAACACATTTTTAAAGATAAAATAACAATTTTTAAAAATCAGTATTCAAAATTGTATATATGCTATAATTGTATATATATAGTGGGAAAAATAAAATTAAGCTTGTATAAAAATAAAACTAAGCATGTGTAAAAAGAAATATACGGTAACTGTGACTAGGTAGCTGGACTGTAGTGATTTTTTTATCTATATTTCTATTTATTTTCAGCATTTGCTTAAATGAGATTATGCTGCTTTAATAATGAATATGCTTGTATTTTAAAGTATTTGACAAAAAGGCCGATTTTGTTTTTGTTTTTCCTCTTAAATTTATTTTTTACTTTTTTTTTTTTTTTCTAATGAGGGAGGATCAAGGCAAAGCATAGCAAGGGTCAAAAACAGGAAGATTCAAGTTGGGGACCTAGGATCAGATATGGAAGCTGCCATAAAGAGATAAGAAAGCAAGTAAGCAAGTAAGCACAGCTGCAGGTTTATTGCTATAGGTCAAAGTTACAAACTGAGATCAGCCCACCAAGAGATAGAAAGAGGAACAGAAACTTAGCTCTAAGACCAGAAAAGGAGGAAAGGAAGAGGAGGCAACACCCTAGTATATCATGGGACATCTCATATGTAACTCATTGAGTCTTCATATTTTCTTTCTTTCTTCATACTTCTTTCATGAACTTTGGAGAGAGCTAAGAACCAGACAGGACTTTAAACTTTGGAGAGAACTAAGAACCAGCCAAAGCTTATGGCCCTTTAATCATTCAGTATAAATTCCTCCAGGGCCAAGCACCATCTCTGGCACTGGGGAAGCAACAACGAACAAAAAAGGATAGCCCCACACTCCTGGGGTTGATAGTCTTGATGGGGAGAGTTGACAAAAATATAGAAAAATTAATCAGTTAGATAACTAGCTAGTGTCAGGAACGAATAAGGGCATAAAGACAATAAGATAGGATCACATGACCAGGAAGTGTACTTCCCACAGTCAGGGCAGAACTTTTTAAAGAGGTAACACCCGAATTGAAGCATGATGATACAAAAACCAGTAAAGACCTGAGGGAAGGATGTTACAGCTTTAGAGGACAATCTCACATCAAGCCAGCTCCTGCAGAACACAAGAACCTCAGTGAGAGGAGATAAACCAAGGCGGGGAGTCTGTTAAAGAAGACAAGGAGGACACTTGCTCTCATCTCAACTCTGGGTGAAAGAAATTGGGAGGTAGAAAAGTTTCCCTGAAAATTTATGTTTACAAACTGGAACTCACTTGGGTTATAGCCAGAATATACACTACTAGTATAGTGGGGAGGATATAAAGCTTAGAAGTTAGTTTGAACTTAGTGTTTACTTTTCATAAACAAAAGAAAATTAACTTTAGAGGAAAGCAACTTAAAACTGGTCCTCAAAAAAACTCCTACAGGTTATGTTCCATAAAACATGTGTTCACAGAAAACAAAAACAACAGACTCAGAAAGACTGCCAATATTAGGATTATCAAATGGGTAGCCTAAATAATTATCCTTAATGCAGTTATAAAAACTAAAGTATCTGTCTCAAGTATAATAGAAACAGTAGACTGAAAATAATGAAACATACTTGGGAAAGAATTAAATAAAGCTTCTAGAAAAAAATCAAACAAATATTTTAAAAACTGAAATTACAAAATCAACAAATGGATTAAAGAGCAGATTAGGCACAAATGGGAAAACACATATAAAACTACTTTTTAGAGTAAATATAAAGTACTCAACAAAATTAGGGATTAATAGAATTATGCATGCAAAGCTGGCTATCCCAGATTACTACCAAATAGAATGTTAGAGAAGAGAGTATTTCTAGAGGTTAGCTTATCAAGCATCCTCTCAGAACAAAAATTCCCCCCTGGAGGCTCCTTTTATTCAGAGTGTGAGCTCCAAGACAGAAGGGACCAGTGTGACTTATTCACCAGCAGATCTCCAGCATTGGAAATAGTTGTTGGTTAAGTGCTCAATACACATTTGTTAACCGAATGAGTGAATAAATGAATAATGACATATTTAATAATAGTTGGTAGAAAGCCTACAATGATATTTGGAAACTTTAGTCTAATTCTGGGAATACACATCTCTAAAACATCTGGTTTAAAAAAATGAAAGATTCAGCCCACTAGAAAATAATTTTTGTGCCAAATGCCAAGAGATTGACATATAGAGATTTGAGTTTCTGTATATCACTGAATGGTTTGACAGTGGTTCTCTCTTCTTATGCCCTTATTTAGTTGTTGTGCTGACAAAATTCAAGCAATACTCCACCTCCGCAATCTGTTTCATCTCCCACACTCCCTGCACATTTTGAGATACTGAATCTAAAATTTGTAAATGCTAGTGAATGAGGCTCTGATGCAGTCTTCAGAATTGGAAAACTCTTTATCAATCCTAGCAGATTAGCCCAAGCTTATCTTTAATGCAGCATATCAGTTGAGGAGGTGGCAGGGAAAATAATAAGTAAATAGTTTTCACTGCTAAATCACTTTCAGTTCATGCCACATTGTATATTACATGCCTACTCTCTTCTGTCCACAATTAGATTTTTCTGGTGCTCAGGTGGATGTGATTCCATCAGTACAAATTAGCTGAAAACCCAGCCATTTCATCTACACGGCGATCTACAGATTCACAGATATGATGCCATCCCCAAAGGATCAACTTTATGCTGGGCATTTCATCTACAAAGCCACCCCCAAGTTACCAAAGGAGGCAAAATGGTAGCTCTCTGCATACGTATAATGGACTCTCAGTGCTCCTGCTTTTAAGCAGGATCATTTCTGTTCACATGAATGGAATAGATTTTCTAAAATGGATAGAATCCTAGAAAAACGACATAATGACCAGGCTCTGCAAATCAGCTGTAATCGTTATACCCTGAAAACCTAATTGAACTAAAAAACTCGAGAGTGATAACCAGAAGTCAGATATGTATGACAAGCTTGTAACTAAATTACTAAAAAGTTGGCATTGCCATTTTTCATGTCCAGCTATAAATGCCTAGGCAAGAAGCCTTACACAATGTTTCACTCTTTTCTAAACGCTACAAGCTGAAGAATACTATCTCCTTCCTGCATAGAATGTTATGGAAGAAAGAACAGTTAGTCTAAAGTCCAGGCCTGCTCTAAAAGAGCTCTTGAAGGAAACACTAAACATGGAAAGGAACAACCAGTACCAGCCACTGCAAAAACATGCCAAATTGTAAAGACCATCAAGGCTAGGAAGAAACTGCGTCAACTAACGAGCAAAATCACCAGCTAACATCATGATGACAGGATCAAATTCACACATAACAATATTAACCTTAAATGTAAATGGGCTAAATGCTCCAATTAAAAGACACAGACTGGCAAATTGGATAAAGAGTCAAGACCTATCAGTGTGCTGTATTCAGGAAACCCATCCCACGTGCAGAGACACATATAGGCTCAAAATAAAGGGATAGAGGAAGATCTACCAAGCAAATGGAAAACAAAAAAAGGCAGGGGTTGCAATCCTAGCCTCTGATAAAACAGACTTTAAACCAACAAAAATCGAAAGAGACAAAGAAGGTCATTACATAATAGTAAAGGGATCAATTCAACAAGAACTAACTAACTATCCTAAATATATATGCACCTAATACGGGAGCACCCAGGTTCATAAAGCAAGTCCTTAGAGACCTACAAAGAGACTTAGACTCCCACACAATAATAATGGGAGACTTTAACACCCCACTGTCAACATTAGACAGATCAATGAGACAGAAAGTTAAAAAGGATACCCAGGAACGGAACTCAGCTCTGCACCAAGTGGACCTAATAGATATCTACAGAACTCTCCACCCCAAATCAACAGAATATACATTCTTTTCAGCACCACACCACAGCTATTCCAAAATAGTTCTACACAGTTGGAAGTAAAGCACTCCTCAGCAAATGTAAAAGATCAGACATTATAACAAACTGTCTCTCAGACCACAGTGCAATCAAACTAGAACTCAGGATTAAGAAATTTACTCAAAACCACTCAACTACATGGAAACTGAACAACCTGCTCCTGAATGACTACTGGGTACATAGCAAAATGAAGGCAGAAATAAAGATGTTATTTGAAACCAACGAGAACAAAGACACAACATATCAGAATCTCTGGGACACATTCAAAGCAGTGTGTAGAGGGAAATCTATAGCACTAAATGCCCACAAGAGAAAGCAGGAAAGATCTAAAATTGACACCCTAACATCACAATTAAAAGAACTAGAGAAGCAAGAGCAAACACAGTCAAAAGCTAGCAGAAGGCAAGAAATAACTAAGATCAGAGCAGAGCTGAAGGAAATAGAGACACAAAAAACCCTTCAAAAAATCAATGAATCCAGGAGCTGGTTTTTTGAAAGATCAACAAAATTGATAGACTGCTAGCAAGACTAATAAAGAAGAAAAGAGAGAAGAATCAAATGGACACAATAAAACATGATAAAGAAGATATCACCAGCGATCCCACAGAAATACAAACTACCATCAGAGAATACTATAAACACCCCTACTCAAATAAACTGGAAAATCTAGGAGAAACGGATAAATTCCTCGACACATACACCCTCCCAAGACTAAACCAGGAAGAAGTTGAATCTCTGAATAGACCAATAACAGGATCTGAAATTGAGGCAATAATTAATACCTTACCAACCAAAAAAAGTCCAGGACCAGATGGATTCACAGACGAATTCTACCAGAGGTACAAGGAGGAACTGGTACCATTCCTTCTGAAACTATTCCAATCAATAAAAAAAGAGGGAATCCTCCCTAACTCATTTTATGAGGCCAGCATCATCCTGATACCAAAGCCTGGCAGAGACACAACAAAAAAAGAATTTTAGACCAATATCCCTCATGAACATCGATGCAAAAATCCTCAAGAAAATACTGGCAAACTTAATCCAGCAGCACATCAAAAAGCTTATCCACCATGATCAAGTGGGCTTCATCCCTGGGATGCAAGGCTGGCTCAACATATGCAAATCAATAAACGTAATCCAGCATATAAACAGAACCAACGACAAAAACCACATGATTATCTCAACAGATGCAGAAAAGGCCTTTGACAAAATTCAACAACGCTTCATGCTAAAAACTCTCAATAAATTAGGTATTGATGGGACGTATCTCAAAATAATAAGAGCTATCTATGATAAACCCACAGCTAATATCATACTGAATGGGCAAAAACTGGAAGCATTCCCTTTGAAAACTGGCACAAGACACGGATGCCCTCTCTCACCACTCCTATTCAACATAGTGTTGGAAGTTCTGGCCAGGGCAATCAGGCAGGAGAAGGAAATAAAGGGTATTCAGTTAGGAAAAGAGGAAGTCAAATTGTCCCTGTTTGCAGATGACATGATTGTATATCTAGAAAACCCCATCATCTCAGCCCAAAATCTCCTTAAGCTGATAGGCAACTTTAGCAAAGTCTCAGGATACAAAATCAATGTACAAAAATCACAAGCATTCTTATACACCAATAACAGACAAACAGAGAGCCAAATCATGAGTGAACTCCCATTCACAATTGCTTCAAAGAGAATAAAATACCTAGGAATCCAACTTACAAGGGATGTGAAGGACCTCTTTAAAGAGAACTACAAACCACTGCTCAATGAAATAAAAGAGGATACAAACAAGTGGAAGAACATTCCATGCTCATGGGTAGGAAGAATCAATATCGTGAAAATGGCCATACTGCCCAAGGTAATTTATAGATCAATGCCACCCCCGTCAAGCTACCAATGACTTTCTTCACAGAATTGGAAAAAAAACTACTTAAAATTTCATATGGAACCAAAAAAGAGCCCGCATTGCCAAGTCAATACTAAGCCAAAAGAACAAAGCTGGAGGCATCATGCTACCTGACTTCAAACTATACTACAAGGCTACAGTAACCAAAACAGCATGGTACTGGTACCAAAACAGAGATATAGACCAATGGAACAGAACAGAGCCCTCAGAAATAATGCCGCATGTCTACAACTATCTGATCTTTGACAAACCCAACAAAAACAAGAAATGGGGAAACTATTCCTTATTTAATAAATGGTGCTGGGAAAACTGGCTAGCCATATGTAGAAAGCTGAAACTGGATCCCTTCCTTACACCTTATACAAAAATTAATTCAAGATGGATTAAAGACTTACATGTTAGACCTAAAACCATAGAAACCCTAGAAGAAAACCTTGGTAATACCATTCAGGACATAGGCATGGGCAAGGACTTCATGTCTAAAACACCAAAAGCAATGGCAACAAAAGCCAAAATTGACAAATGGGATCTAATTAAACTAAAGAGCTGCTGCACAGCAAAAGAAACTACTATCAGAGTGAACAGGCAACCTACAGAATGGGAGAAAATTTTTGCAATCTACTCATCTGACAAAGGGCTAATATCCAGAATCTACAATGAACTCAAATAAATTTACAAGAAAAAACGAACAACTCCATCAAAAAGCGGGCAAAGGATATGAATAGACACTTCTCAAAAGAAGACATTTATGCAGACAAAAGACACATGAAAAATTGCTCGTCATCACTGGCCATCAGAGAAATGCAAATCAAAACCACAATGAGATACCATCTCACACCAGTTAGAATGGCGATCATTAAAAAGTCAGGAAACAACAGGCACTGGAGAGGCTGTGAAGAAACAGGAACACTTTTACACTGTTGGTGGGACTGTAAACTAGTTCAACCATTGTGGAAGTCAGTGTGGTGATTCCTCAGGGATCTAGAACTAGAACTACCATTTGACCCAGCCATCCCATCACTGGGTATATACCCAAAGGATTATAAAACATGCTCCTATAAAGACACATGCACACGTATGTTTATTGTGGCACTATTCACAATAGCAAAGACTTGGAACCAACCCAAATGTCCAACAATGATAGACTGGATTAAGAAAATGTGGCACATATACACCATGGAATACTATGCAGCCATAAAAAAGGATGAGTTCATGTCCTTTGTAGGGACATTGATGAAGCTGGAAACCATCATTCTCAGCAAACTATCGCAAGGACAAAAAACCAAACACCGCATGTTCTCACTCATAGGTGGGAATTGAACAATGAGAACACATGGACACAGGAAGGGGAACATCACACACCGGGGCCTGTTGTGGGGTGGGGGGAGGGGGGAGGGATAGCATTAGGAGATATACCTAATGTTAAATGACGAGTTAATGGGTGCAGCACACCAACATGGCATATGTAACAAACCTGCATGTTGTGCACATGTACCCTAAAACTTAAAGTATGATAAATAATAATAATAATAAAGTTCAAGCGATAGTTTTTCAAAGACCTCTGAGAGTTAAGCCAATTCCTACAGAACATTTACTAAATTCCCATTCTTTACTCACCCACAGCCCAGTTGCTTCATACAGTTTGAAATTTGATTGCCAGTTTAGAAAAGCCTCAGTCCATTTGTATTCGGCTCAGAGACATTTTTAATAATGTTTACAGTCTCAAACACTGTGTGGACAAGTGCTGGAGAGAACCAGCATGTGCAGCTCTCTCCAGCAACAGGTACCAGAAAATGCCTGCAGGCATAGGGGTGAAATATCCTCTCTTGAAAGAAACAAATACGTGTTGTGGGGCAATCTCTCAACAAGCTTCTCAGTGTTCGACTATGAAGCAAATAAGAAACCTGGTTTGCAAGGGTAAGTTTCCAAGCATCTTTCACAGCTATATGACACAAACTTCCACAATGTCATATAAGAATGTGCTGTTTCAGATATTAATGACTTTGCAACTGCATGCAAAGGGACGAGTATGTATACATTGGAGGCAGGTTGACCAGAAAGGTAAAGGCGTGCCCATTTCTGATTGCATTTATGTTGGTACTACAGCAAGCTCTTGGAATAAATGACTAGAATGATTTGAAAATTGCTTTGATGCTATAGATATTGGTGCTGATAACATAGGGAAAGTTTTATTACTAAACTCTACTGGGCCTAAAAGTATGCTGGAAAGAATGCAAGTATGTATGAGATACATAAAGATGTATTAACAGAACACTCTAGTATAAAGCTGAACATCAATCATGACAAATGTTGGATCCCAAATTTGCCAGAATGTAAATTATTATAGACAGAGGAGAATATACCATTAGATTGTACAACATGGCAGAAATGCACAACATTTTCTACAAATATCTTTAACTATGAAGGTTTATTCCCATCCCTGGCAATTCCTCAATCAATGTGATATGTTCCTCTGGAATTGATACAGCGTTCTAAAATTTCTTAAACCTACATCAGCACCCTGGAGGTTAGCATCGGGAAGGTTCATTTTCTTAAGGTGTATAGAGCACTTAGGGAAGGTAGAAAAGGAGTCATCTTAGCTTGGGATTTGGCAGCATGACATTAAAGTAATGGAAATGAAGGGGGATTTCTGTCAATCATCTAGTGCTTGATATATTCTCAAAACAGAAAACCTCTAGACATTTAAGTTTTTTTGCATTCTGAAGTCAAAAAATCCAGTCTCTAGTCTGAATTTTTTACTTCCCTCGCCACCCAGATGTTTTGAAGAGGCATAAACCCAGATTTAAATTAAAGCCTTGAATCACATTTCAAAAATCATAGACAAAGAATTTATCTATGATTATTTTTCTCCATATTAAAAATCATATCTAGGATCTAAGCTCATAAAAGTGAGCAACTTCACCCTTTTCTTCACGATATGCTTCACTTCTGAAGAGAGAAAACATGACTATTTTAGCATCACCTATAGTTTCATGCTTTAAACATCACCTAAGGTATATTCATGAACCAGAAAAGGCCTTATTACTGTTATACAATTCCATTTTGGCATCTACTCAGCCATGAAAGCAGTTTCATTTTTATGGGAAATGTGCCAGATGGCATATGCACTGCATGGTTGAAACAAACACTCAGAACTCAATTCTGCTGCAAGTTATTTACTGGAAGGAACATTTGGTCATGTGGTTATAACTCCATGTGGTACTTTAAAGGTGACTGAAGCCCTATGTTAGGAAATACTTTTGTTCACATTATTTCAATTTTTTTAAATTTATTTTTGGCAAAAGAGGGGTGTGACTTTTGGAGTTGTTGAGAATCACCCTGCTGATAACTGAAATGTCGATTGGTATTGATGTGTGAAATCTGGCCCAAGCATAGCTTCTAAAGAAACCATATTTTCCATTTTAAAAAATCATATGCCAGCCAATACAGGTAGAGTGGGTTGGGAAAGACACATAAGATTGTCTCTGGATGGAGAGTAAAATCTCTAGATCATTAAATTGAATGGCACAGGATTCATGAGCTGGTAGAGTTCTTTCAATACTGATTTTTTTTAATGGAGAGATAAATTCAAACATACCTTCCTTCAAAGAAAAATAAGTGTTAAATGAATAATATGATATCTATAAGCAAGAACGACATTAATAGTATAGTATACTATATAAGAGACATATACATATGTGAGACAGATAGACCATTGTATTAATCTGTTTTCATGCTGCTGATAAAGACATATCCAAGACTCAGTGATTTAAAACGAAAAGGAGGTTTAACGGACTCAAGTTCCACGTGGTTGTGGAGGCTTCACAATCATGGCAGAAGGTGAAAGGCACATCTTACATGGCAGCAAGCAAGAGAGAGAATGAAAGCCAAGTGAAAGGGGTTTCCCCTTATAAAATCATCACATCTCATGATACTTATTCACTACCACGAGAACTCTATGGGAGGAACCACCCCCATGATTCAGTTATCTCCCACCAGGTCCCTCCCACAGCATATGGGAATTATGGGAGCTACAATTCAAGTTGAGATTTGGGTGGGAACACAGCCAAACCATATCAACCATGATGACATTCAATGAACGTGAACAAATATTGACCACATGCTACCTGCCTGGCATTGTGCCAGGTGAGAAAAGAGACATATGACCTCATCTTGCTTATTATTTTAGTTGACGAATTCAAGAAAGCAATCCTTTCACAATAGCTACCACAAATTAAAATAAAATAAAATACCTAGAGATAAATTTAACCAAAGAGTTGAAAGATCTCTATAAGGAAAACTATAAAATACTAATGAAATAAATTGAAGAGAATATAAACAAATGGAAAAACCTCCCATGTTCACAAATAGGAAGAATTAATAGTGTTAAGATGATCATACTACTCAAAGCAATCTACAGATTCAATGCAATCACTATCAAAATACCAGTGTCGTTCTTCGCAGAAATAGAAAAAAAATCCTAAAATTCGTATGCAACCACAAAAGACTCCAAATAGCCGAAGTAATCCTGAGCAGAAAGAACAAAGCTGGAAGAATACCAAACTTCAAAATATATTACAAAGCGATAGTAACTAAAAGAGCATGATACTGGCATAAAAGCAGATGCATAGACCAATGCAACCACACAGAAAGCCGCAAAATTAATCCATACATCTATAGCCAACTGAAATTTTACAAAGGCCTCAAGGACATTCATTAAAGAAAGGATAGTCTTGTAAATAAATGGTATTATGAAAACTGGATATCCATATGCAGAAGAATGAAACTAGACCACCACCTCTCACCCTATAAAAAATAAACTCAAAATGGATTACAGACCTAAATGTAAGATCCAAAACTATAAAACTACTAAAAGAAAACATAGGAAAAACACCTCAAAACATTTGTCTGGAAAAAGATTTTGTGAGTAAGACCTCAAAAGCACAGGCAACAAAAGCAAAAATAAACAAATGTGATTAAAACAAACTAAAAAGCTTCTGCACAGAAAAAGAATCAATCAACAGAATGAAAAGAGAACTTAGAGAAGAGGAGAAAATATCTGCAAACTATTCATTCAAAAGAGAATTAATATCCAGAATATACAAAGAATTCAAACATCTGAATAGAAAAAAACTAAACAGTCTGATTTAAAAATTAGCAAGTGACCTGAACAGACATTTCTCAAAAGAAGACATACAAATAGACAACAAATATATGAAAAAATGTTCGACATCGCCATCATCAGGGAAACGCAAATCAAAACCACAGTGAGATATCATCTCACCTCAGTTAGAATGGCTATTATTTTTTAAAAAGACAGAAAATAACAAATGATAGCGAAGATGCACAGAAAAAGGAACTTGTTTGTAGTAGAAATGTAAACTAGCACAGCTAGGGAGAACAGTATGGAGGTTGCTCAAAAACTACCGATAGAACTACCATATTCTCCAGCAATCTCACCAGTGGCCATTTACCCAAAGGAAAGGAAATAAGTATATCAAAGAGACATCTGCACCCCCATGTTTATTGTAATAGTATTCACAATATCCAAGATATGGAATCAACCCATGTCTAACAACAGATGAATGGATTTAAACGTGGTATATATACACAATAAAATGTAATTCAGCCACACAAAAGGATGCAATCCTGCCAACAAGATTTAACTGCATAAAGTAGAGCTAAAATTGAATACAATATTGTCAAAACATGAGACAATATGGTGGTCTTAGCAGCTCTCCTCCCAGTAAGCTACTACAAATCCCTGTGGAGATTTGAGGTGAGCCTTACCTCTCTGGCTACCAGAGCTCTATTGCCATTTCTTGGGATTGGGTCAGAGGGGATCTAGTCTTTGTCCTTGCATTGAAAGTTGCTAGTTGCCAGGTGTGACTCATGCCTGTAATCCCAGCACTTTGGGAGGCTGAGGTAGGCGGACTGCTTGAACCCAGGAGTTCAAGATCAGCCTGGGCAACATAGTGAAACCTCATCTCTACTAAAAATACAAAAAATTAGCTGGCATGGTGGCATGCATCTGTAGTCCCAGCTACTCAGGAGATTGAGGCAGAAAGATCCCTTGAGCCTGGGAGATCGAGGCTGCAGAGAGTCATAATTACACCACTACTCTCCAGCTTGGGTGACAGACCAAGATCCAGTCAAAAAAAAGAAAAAAGAAATTGCTATCATTTTGAGCTAAACTTTGAGCCAGCATGCCCTGAGCTTACCTGTCCTAAATCCATGTCCAATCTGCCCACCACTCCATCCACTGATTAATAACTTACTTCTGCCTTCCAAGTTGTATATTCTTTGTAGATAAATACAAGTTCGAATTGTCATTTGTCATGTCTATACTGATGAAAACGGGACTCAGATCCCTTGCAAGAGTAACGGAATAAGGAGCCCACAAAGGCATCTGAAGTTTGAAAGAGCTGAAAGAGGCATTAACAAGAAGAAGGGAACCAAAATAAAGAGGATAGGCTGGCAGCAAACCTCACTCACACAGTTACCCAGAGCAGGTTCCTCTGTGTTGCCCCCAAAACTAATCAAAAACCTGATGATGAGTAGCCACCAATGAAGACATTTCTTCTTTTTTTTTTTAAGACATTTCTTAGACTCAGAACCACCTGGCTGAAAAGGACCTTGGAGATCATCTGTGTATTTTCATTTTGCAGAGTCAAAAATAACTCACTTGAGGACATCAGCTTGAGTGTCGGTGCTCTTTCTAATGTCATGTGATACTTCTGGGGACAGACCTGTGCTGGACACTGTAGGTGGATGCACTTCCTGTTGGAGGAAAGGAGGTAAACCTAGCAGCTCTGCTAAAGAATCAGTTCTTGGGGTTTTTTTTCTGATTTATTTTTAATCCCTGAGTTGGTACTATGCTGTCTAATTTTCTAATTTGATGCCTGTGTACTTCTAAACCAGCTCATAGCATTTCAACAGGGTCAATATGAGGGTGAGGCAAGAGAGATGCCTTATATGATCCTAACAGTGACTGTCTCCTTAAATTTTGCATCTTAGCTGTCTTACTCACCACACATTAGACCCAGCCCTGCATTTTAACACATCTAACAAACTGCAGTGCCTGCTTTATTTGTACAGGTCAAGATAGAGAATCGAGGAGCCAGCTATTTAGATGATTAGGCAAAAAACAACACACATACATAAAATGAAGCTGTTACTTAATTCATCACTTTTTCCTGAATACTTATTATATTAGCAAAACAGAGATGAAGCCCCTATAGCTAAGAACTATGAAAATATGGATAGTTAACTTGAGTACGTTAAAGGATTCCAAACCCAAAGTAATCACATCGCCAGCAGACTTAATTTAAGATACTTCCAAATTTCAATACCTGACCTGACCTATGGGTTTTAAATTTAATTTGAAATACAATTTTTCATCTAAATTATGGAAGTAATAATTACCTTAAAGGGGGAAAAACTGCTAGTGCTATTGCCATATGACCAATGGAAGAGAATAATAAGTAAATGGAGAATTGGCAGAAATCAAAAGGCACATATAACATATGATCGTTTGTTGGAATATATAGCCTCTCAGCTTTTGAAATATAGACTAGGTTAGGGTGTGACTTCTCTTTTGGATAAGCAGTGCTCTTTGAATTAGGGCACTTAACTCTGCCAGCACCAAGGGCTGAACTGATCAATAATATACATCTCATGTTGTACTGTAATGAGCCCAATCAGTCTTTTGGGCTGGGAGTGTTGGGTATAATGCTTGACAGAATAAGTACAGCTCATGTGATGGACAACTCTTAGTCTCAGTCTCACAAGAGCCTGAATGTGAATGTCAAGGAGGAGTCAGAGAGTATAGTGACAGTGAGAAGTCGGAACTCATTTTGTTGCACTATTAGAAATCCAAGGCAAACCCAAACCAGCTTAAACATCCAAAGGAAGTTGGTTCACTCAGGGAATCCAAGGTAGGGTTGAATAATCAAAAACTAGTAAGATTGGGGATTTATTTGGGCCTCAGGAACAACTAGGGCTAGAACCAGGATCATGAATGTCATAATGTCATAAATTTCTCTCTCTCTTCCCCCACCCCCCACGTCCCTTTCTCTTTCTCTCTTTTCTTTGTGCTCTTTGTGTCTTTCTCATATTGGATTCCTTCTCTCCCACTGCAGACCATTTTTCTCCAAATATCAGAAAATTTATCCTGAAGAACAAGGTCATGTAAGAAAATGACATCACTAAAATAGCTACACCGAAATTTCATTGAGAAAAGAGTAGGCAAAAAAGGGGGTTGTTAGAGAAATAATTCCACAGATGTCCTTTTAGCAATCATTCTAAATGTTACATAAAACCAAAGACTAGTTTACCCTTTAAAGAGGAAGACAACCCCAACAGATGTGGTGTTAGAATCTAGGTATTTCCTTATTTTACATAATTTAAAATTTAGAGGGAAGAGAATGAGGACATTTGGGTTACTTTCAGAGATTACATAATATACTTGTGTTTATGTGCCTACCTTTCCTGTTTTGGGGAGCCTAACTTCTTCTTGTCATGAAGGAAAAATAGGAACAGGAAAATATTGGGTATTGGCCCTAGTTTCAGGAAGATAAACTCGAAGAGATGGTGCGGCAACCCCCTGATTACACCATCCCAGAGAAGCATCCTCCATGTTTCCAATAGCCAGTGGGAGAAGCAACATTTGAGGCAGTGTGGTGTTGTTATTGTTATTATCGTTGCTATTTTTATTTGGAGGAGTGAGACAGCAGGAGGCCTATTGCTGTAGATCTTAACATAATACAATTTCTTAGAACAATGCTCCACAGATACTTCTCCCCTGCCCTGATTTGAAGTAGTTCCCTAACCTGTTTAATAGACGATAAATACATTAATTATTTACATTAATTAATGTAAATATTTGCATTAATACATTACAGTGCCATTGCACATCCACAGAACTTATTAATTAATCCATTAAGTAATTATTAGATTTCAAGATTGACCTGCACATGGGAAATAGAGGAATGTAAACTGTAGAAACCTTCTGGGGGACAATTTGCAAATATTAATTAACATTCTTAAATTCTATCAGTCAGCAATTCTCCAAAAGGATAGAAGAGTTGACTCTACTTTCCTAATCATAATAACAGCAATAATAATGAAACAACCAAGCAACATCAACAATAAGTATTATTACTTGTAAATCAAAACAACTAACATTGATTGACAGTTTGCAATGCAGAAGTACAGCTCTGGAAGTGTTATGTGCATGTGATCGCTCCACTTTCCTTGGAAATAACAAGAGTTCAGTTTCCAACTGAAGCATATATTCTTAAGACCCTCAAAATCCAGCAAGGCATGCTTACAAAAATCCAGCCTATTAATTAATCTAATAGTTAGGCACATAATAAATGTTTAAAATCCAGTATTTAAACAATAGAGACTCTTCACTCTAGACCACAATTTCCAGAATTCTGCTGCCAAATGTTGTCAACAGAAAGAAGGAAAGTATTTATTTGCTCCCTCGGATACTCTAGGGTTTTCCTGTATGGCAGTGATTCCTGAATAGTAGCAATTTTGTCATACGACTGAACAAATTCATCAATCTAGTCATGAGGTATTCCTGACCAATAGTACAGTCTATAGGTACTATCACACCAAAAAAGAAAAAAAATCCTAAGAGTTAGTCACATCCCCCACAGAATCCATTTTCTGTAAAGAGATTGCATTCCCTTTGCATTCTTTTTCCAATTCAGAAAGAGGGC
Organism: Homo sapiens; assembly: GCF_000001405.40. Lineage (NCBI taxonomy): Eukaryota > Metazoa > Chordata > Mammalia > Primates > Hominidae > Homo > Homo sapiens. The sequence goes on from NC_000002.12 coordinate 36,074,877, forward strand.
CTTGTCCTTTTGGGTTCTTCCTAGATTTCAAAACTTAATTCAAAAATATTTATTTTGTGCCTATAAGGACACATTGCTTGAATGAGCCAACAACATAAATGTTACACTCAACTGTGCTTTGCCTGTAGCTCTTAAGATTTTTCCCCTTAAATTAGTAAAACATACAAAATTCAGATGGCAGCATATGGTGCCTTCCATGGAAACATTTCCTTTAAATTATTGAGAATTCTGCAATCTGATTCCACTTTAATAAACACATGAAAACTACCTCTTACATTATAAATGTGTAACTAGCTAGATTAAGTATTTTCATATGCTTTGCTGATTTTTCCAATACCTTCAGGAGTTAGACTAAATGCTTTATGTTTAATCGAAAGGTATGATGCATGCTATTTATCGTCTATTAAGCATCAACTTGAATATTTCCAAAATATGAAAGGAAGTGAGCGTCTGCATCTAGGCAGAGCAAACAACCCAGCCCTGAGGCTTAATACTTTACAGTGCCATTGCACATCCACAGAACTTATAAATTAATCCATTAAGTAATTATCCTTCAAATTTCAAGATGAACCTGCACATGGGAAATAGAGGAATGTAAATTATAGAAACCTCCTGGGGGGGAAATTTGCAAATGTTCATTAACATCCTTAAAATTGTCTATTTGAACCAGAAATTCCACGTCTTAGAATTCACCTTAAAGCAGCAAAGAAATACACAAAAGAATTTATATTTATCACAGCATTATTTATAGCAGTGTAATGGCATGCTCCAACCTTTGATTTTATAATAGGGTAAAATTTTCAGTCAATACTCAAATTATGATGCTTATGCAGGAAGTTGCTTATGCAGGAAGTAAGCTGACCTGCATAAGGTCTCTCATATATGTATGTGTGTATGTATATGTATACGTATATGTATATGTATATGTATATGTATATGTATATGTATATGTATATGTATATGTATATGTACACACCAAAATGTTACCAGTGATTATCGCTGGATGGTTGGGTTACATACAATTTTTGTTTTATTTTTAATATTTATCCTGCAGTTTCCAAATTTTTAACACAAATTATTATTTCCATTACTTTAACCAATTAATACAGTACATATTATAAAAGCTATCAAGGTAGTAAATATGGGCCGTTGCCCAGCCTCCCACCAATGACCTCCTCCTTCAGAAAATGTATGCTTGAAAACCTTGGTTTTCTGCTTGCCTAAGAAAGCTCCCAGGAAGCTTCTGACACCAGCTTTTTAAACTGTGCAGTGCCCCTCAATTGTAATATTGTGATCTAGTCACATCCCACATGCATTACTCCTACTTGCTCATTTTATGAATGAAAACACAGATGATGGGCTCACTGGCAAAGTCACACAGGTGCATCATCTCAGGTAGAATTTACATTTGTGTCAGTTAATTGTCAAGCTTGTTTATTCAAGAGTCGAATTTTGCAGATTCCATTTCTCTTCAGAGTGGAGATCCCCACCGATGGAATATGAAGTCTGCAAAATTTTTCACTTTATCCTAGAAACCACTGGGTTCAGGATAAATCCAGATAGGCAGCATCCTACCCACCCATATGTATAAGGAGCAGTTCAAACTAAATTTTTAGAGTCTCTTCCGATAGCATCCCGTTGCCCACTCAATGATTTTCAGACCTCTTACCCTGAAATTTTCGATTCTCTATATATGCACTGTCCTCAAGACCATGGCTGGCTATATTGATTTCTATTTCCAGATGATTTTCTTTTTACCCATTTTTACTTACAATAATATAAACATATACACTGTTTTTCAGTTTTCATGCATTTTTATGCTGCTGCCACTGCTTAAAATTCCCTGCCCCATATGGATTATGTCCACCCATCAAATACCATGGCTTGCTTTTACCTGCATCTACATCAGACCCAACTAGCCTAATCTAACTTCTGGTTCTGCTGGAATCCTATCAAAACTGCCAACATTTTTTCTAAACTTCTCAAGTTTTAAAATATATTTCCTCATTTTCTGTGAAAGCAATGCCTGCATAATAATGCTGATATTATCCTAATAAAAACTTAAACATCTGCATGTAAATTATGCTACACCATCAACAGGATTCCAAGACAGAAAGCAGGATTTGAGAAGGGAAAATGGGCAAGTAAATTCTCATATCTATTTAATTACAGAGCACTCATGTAAAATTTCCTTTGGCTGCCTCCATCAACATAGCAATGACTTGCATACCACTTTGACAGGGCAATTTCATCTACTTGGCAAAGTAAAAGGGAAAATAAAATATCATCTATCCCTTTGATTTGATTCATTTCTTCTTTCATTTTTAGCTTATTAGTTTGTATGCATTTCTAAGAGCCACCAAAATATAATGACATAAAAACAAAAGAAAAATCAGAGAAAGGCAGGTTGTGGCCAGTTGATGAGTGACTTTTAGGTCAAGCTATGAAGTTTGAAAATAACCTATAGGCAAAGGGGATCCTCATGGGTATTTCAGGGGACTAGCTTGATCAGATTTGTTTCTCAGGAAGATGTACTAGTATTGATGGAGAAATGAGGTATGGGGACCTACGGCGATGATCAGGCAAACAGTGACTTAAGGTGTAGGAAATTTGGAAGAAGGGGTAGGGATAAACAGTAGAGATCACACTATAAATGGTTCTGAAAAGCAGCATGATGATTCTTTGACTCTAGGGAGTGTTGTTCTATGTGTGTGGTAGAAAACTGGCTTTTAAAGAATATTTTTGAAAACAAACATTAGAATTTTTAATGTTGTATGTCTATTATCACCTATAGAAAAAAAAGCAGTAGATGCAAACCACAGCTAGCTCAATTCTAATGCCAAAAAAGAAAGTGAGCACTGCAAATTGTTCCCGTCTCTAATCTGCCCATCTGTGAGTTTGAAATGACAAAAAGTGAAAAAGAAGTCTCCTCTAGACAGAATAATTTCATAAAGAATGATTTCCTAATAGAAACAATATAATACATAAAAAGAGGAAGCTATAAAAAGCAGAGGGTTAAGTATCCAGTAAGTCCAAATGCCAAATGTTGAGTTGCTAAAATAGATGAGGGTTACTGGAGTTTTTCCTGAAATGAAGCTTTTAGACTGCTTGTCAATTCATCCAACAGCAGTTTATCACAACATAGGCTGACAGATCACACCATATTTTAATATTAACTCATCCACAGCTCCAAACTCAGGTGCTTCAAGAAGTCTAAAGTCCAGGGATGCTGTAAACAGGTTTAGCTGCCCAGGTTTTCTCAGCCTTGAAGATTAACTCCCATGCCCTTGATTCATTCTCATGACGTGCAGAGGAGAGGAGTGTTGGTGTCTTAGTAAGTCCCTTTCTGCGCACGTAAGATGATAATCGTCAAAAAAAATGGAAAGCTGGGCACTTTAATTTTCTACCATCTGTAATCATATGCAAACTGTGATAAAGCCAAAAATGAAGTCAAGGTGCTAGGGCTTCTAACATGTTATTTATTGTGTCACTTTTTTTTTTTTTTTTTTTTTTTGGAATATAGATCTGGAGAAAATAAGCTGTTTGCAACACGGTAATTCAGTTATATGATGCACTCATTCAAAATCCCATTTTAAGTGACAGGTCATCATTATAGAGGAACCACATGATTTGGATAGGGGCTGGCACAGATTCTAGCGAACAGCCGTACTCCTTTATTTGGGTGGTTACATCATAAATCCGAGTGGACCAAAGTGAAGATGAACCATTTTTTAAGAGTAGAAACCCCATGCTCACTCAGAGTAGAGGGCCGCGCAGGCAAGCTAACAGCTTCTGTAGACCTTGGATGGGGCTGCCAAGTTTCCACTAGGTGGGAATTTCTGATGCAATAAATGACACACCTAAAACAATAACTGAATCTAAAACACTACCACCCTAAAAATGCCTTTAAAACATGAAATTTCTGTAGGATAATAAATCATACAGGAACAAAGTTAAAATTCAAGCTTATATGTGTTAGCAAAATTAGGTACGATATAGTCCAATTTAAATGTTTATCTAATAATGAATAAGCCTAATATATTGGGTTACATGCATACATTTAAAATGTGAGAACTACTCTAGGCTCCAACTAGAGCTAGAAAATTACCTGCTTCTATGTTATAGTGACTGCAGTTTTTAAGGAAGAAATTCTAAACACCTCATTTCTCAGCAAACCAACAAGATGTAGTGGAATAAACACAAGCTTCAGAGGCAGATGTGGCTTCAAACTCCACCTCTACTACCTAGCGACAATATGACTTCACTGGTTGTAAATGTTGGATAACTATATTGGCTTCATTGGTTAAAGTAAAGGTAACAAGTAGAAAACACCTCATAGAATTCATGTTAATTTCCATCTCCCTTCATCCATTTTTTTCCCTGGTTTGAAATCAAGCAAAGCTCTTTCAGCCTCCAAAGGGATCAATTATGGCAGTGGTTGGTCCCAAGCAAGTCTGTGTGTTAAGAGGCATCCCACGTGGTTTCTTGTTCATTTCATTTAGGGTGCCTTCACTGCAGCTTCCTTCCATTTTCTGACTCCTTAAAGATGAATTTGTGTTTCTGCCTGGAATACAAATTGCTTGAGTTGCACTTATGTCTGGTCCTGACAGCTAAGATAAAAGTTTCATGGAGAAGTGGATTGTGCCCAGGCAACAGCAAAGAAAATGCAACCTCTCGAATTGGCTTAATTGTACTATTTTCAAAAAACTGTTGAAACTATTACCTCCTCTGTTTCAGTTTTTAAAGCTTTTGGTTAAAAAAAAAAACCTCTTGTTAGTCCCATAATTTGTACTTGCACAGAAGAGATCTAAATGTATTTCCTGAGTATATTTTATAAAAATATCAGGGACGACAGAAATATCAAGGTTGGGCTCTCTAAGAGAAAAACAAAGTTCTCACTTCCATAGTTTTCATTCCTATATGATACTAAAGTGTTCTGCCTGGTTTTAAAGAATTAAAACACCAACATTCATGCAAGTAGCACAAAGAAGGGGTATCCCCCTGCTCAGTTCCTCCTGCAACAAATTCTCAACATCCAGGGCATCCAGAAGATGGCAGAAATTCAGTCTAGAAGCTCTTTCCTCAAGTGTTCATCAAGGGCCCTTCAACCCAACACTGCTTAGACTTCCACTTTTGCAAAAGGAAGGGCACAGAGTGAGCTTATCCTAGCCTCAGCTGAATCTATAAAAGGTGTTCCATGCTGCCTAGTTAATTATTCTGGTATCTTGATTATGCAGGAATAAAGCACAGGGAAAATTTTCTCATTTTCTTGGTTACAAAATATTAACGATGAGATTAAACAATGGATTAACAGACTCTGTTAGATATGATGCTGAGATGAAGTGTTCACACACTGGGAGTATTTGTCCTCTGCTTCCAAGAAGGTTTCTTCCTCCTGCATTTTGAACATGAGGACAAAATGAGAGAGTACACTCATAGTTTATGTTCATGGCTCTGATAAGAATGTGACATATCATGAAAAAACACAAACTTATGCCCACAGTTCAAACTATAAGACAGAAATATTCTGTCCAGGGGGGCAAAGCACAGGTGAAAGGGGAAGAAGAAAGAAATAGTAGCCTATACACAGTAAATACTCAACAAATATCAATTGTTTTTGTTGTTATTGTTGTGATCATTGTTTGGTTGTCATCATTACCAAGGGTAAGTGCTGGGTAAGTTGACTAGATGGCAGTCAAAACAAAATAGACAGAAAAAAAGAGAAATAGACAAATATGAAGAGATATTTGAGAAAATTTTAGAAAGGAAGATGAAAAGGAAAAAAGATAAGAGGATATATAAAGAAATAGAAATTACGTAATTAGGAATGCTTTGGAACTTTATTAAATAGGTAAGTATAGGTCCGTGTCAGCCATAAGGCACTGATGCTTTAGAAGAAAATTGATTGCATAAATGAGAGGTTATTTTGTTCTTAAGGGAAAACGCATAGAAAATTCACAGAGTATATAAAACTTCAGTCTATCTTTCTAAACGGACCTCTCCCAGGGCCTGTTTCTCATTTTGTTCTGAGCTGTGCAGAGCACATTTAAGTACAGGACTTCACATATGTTGACTTTCAAAGAAGAACTTCACTTCGGGAGCTCTTCAGGGACTACAGCAAGATGAGAAACAGAACTTGGGTGCTTTTCATCTTTGAACAGTCTGCTCTTCTTTCATTGTCACAAATACACAGTGCCCATTTTTCAGATGCTACAGTCTCATATCTACAGCAGCTGACATACAGAAAAGAAACAGATATCTTAAGAGTCTTTTCTGAGGCTTTTGTTAAGCATGAAACTTTTTAAGAACAACTCAGGTTTCTCAGAATTAACTCATAATTTTCTACGCTTAATGTTTTTAATGATAATTCTAGTATAACAAAAAAAGTTTAAAACTGTGTCATACTGAACCTTTAGTTCAATTTAGCCAATTACCAGATCAGCCCTCCATTTTCTCCCTCCAAATGCATGGCCCTGTAATATCTGACCTTGAGTTCATAGAGGTCGTGTCTCTATAAACAACATACACTTGAAATTTGCCTAATCATGGAATGCCAAGTGTCTTACTACCCAAATTGTACTCACCATTTCACTGAACTGGTTTTCAATTTCCAGCATATTGTCAGCTAGTGTGATGTTTACTGTTCAGTAAGTTAGTTCTCTATTATACAGGAATCAATCCAACCCTCTAAACATATAGAAAAGTACACAATTGCTCTTCTGAAGTGAGAAAATGTACATGCATCCATGGCAGATTAGCACACTGGTGAATTTAACTGTGGCCACAATTCAAGTCCAGGCCATTTATGTGGATAAAGCCTCAGTGCACACTCAAGAGCCATCACCTGTCTTGTGAATGAACCAACTAACTCACTAAACCTTTATTATTAATGTTGCTCACAATGTTCTAGACACTATGCTATAGGATTTGCATGTGGTGTATGTTTTATTTTCAGAAACAACACAATGAAATCAGTGAATTACACTAGGCAAATTTACAGATCAGGAAACTATGGCTGAGCGAATGAAGTCACTCCCAAAGCCACACAGCTAGCTCGTGTCAAAGTCAGGTTAGAATCCAGGTCTTTCTGTCTCCAGAGCCATGCTCAGAAATACTCTTCACTAGCTTCAGTGCACATATCACCTGGAGGCAATTTCTTATTTATTTCTGTACCCTCTTGAACTGGAAATGCCTTCTGCTTTGACCAATGGAAGACAGTAGAACTGATGTTGCACTAGATGCAGGCATAACTATCCATAGTCTGGAATCATTTGCTTCCTATCTCTTTAAGCCAAAAGGCTACCCTGACACCATCATTCCATGAGAAGCCAAGAATACAGAGAAAGGCCCCTAAGGTTGAGATAGCATGTGGGTGTGGGGGCGGAGGGAGAAAGAGAGAGATTGAGAGAGAACCAACAACAGACTACCAAGTAATAACATGCCATATACAAGATAAGATGGCACCTCAGAGGCTTTGAGGTGGTTCCTCCCACTCTGGCCATCCCAGCGGGCACCATGTTCAGCAGAAACGCACAAAGTGGTTCCTCCCACTCTGCCCATCCCAGCGGGCACCATGTTCAGCAGAAACGCACAAAGTTATATGCAGAATAAATGGTTATTTCAAGTCCTAAACCTTGGAGTCATTTGTCATGGAGTAATAAATGACTGAAATACACTACCATACATAATTATAAATATCTATATATACAAACCTATATACTGAAAACAAAATAAAAAATGCTTTATGAAGAATAGAATTTTAATAAAAAACCAGGGTAATTGAGTAAAATTTTTTCCTGGAATTATTTGAAAATTTTCTTGTTTTCTCATTTTCACCTTGAATGTGTAGATACAGCCATAGAATTCTGACTCTGTGGTCAAGATTTTATAATAGTTTATATATTTTAAACTTCAACATATTTGATGTACTGACATTTATGACATATTTTCCTTTAATTTTGTATTTCCCCTTACCTTTAGAGCAACTGCAAAATTGTGCTGTCTCCTACAGGGGTATAAGGTACATGCAAAGATCTACATTCCCCTCTTTTGCACCAGAGTCATCTGTTCAGAGATAGAAGTCAGTCTAGGTTATTAAATGGATTTGTATATGTTCTGCTCTAGAGAGCTGAATTGGTACAGGAAATCTTCATTATCATAAGTTTCCAGATGAACACAAATCCAGAGTGAAATTTAACAAATTTTTAACTTGCATAAGCAATAGTTGAGTTTTCGGCATTATTCCATATTCATGCTGGAGATGTAATGGCATCTTATCCTTTTACCCTCATGCCTAGACACTCTGCACAGAAAATCCTGCCTTGATCATTAAAATTGATGCACATAGCAAATCATTGAATAACTGCGTTCATCCCCATCTGCTACGGAGGCACAGTGCCACACAGATGTGCTCCACCAGGACTTTTGAGGCATAACAATCAACCGAAGATGGAATTAGACATAAACCATGCTGATTGCAACAACAGTTCTGCCCAGTCCAACTTTCTGTTTAGCCCTGGGCAAAATATTTCAATAGAAAACATTATGGCTGTTATGTGTGGACATAATCAATTACAAAGGCTTAGTGTCTGGGTCAACTTGATGGAAATTATATCTAAAGTTTCTAAAATTTCCCACCATGTAATGATGACCTTTCCCTTCACTATCAATGGCCATGTTACCCTCTGCAATTGGAACACTGTGTCTTTCCCCTTACCTAAGTTGGATCTCTACCTTATCCTAACCCACAAGCGTTCCCTCCTTGTCATTCTTTAGTTTATTTCTAAGTGAAATTTTCATAAAATCTGTGCCAACCTGCCTCCCATCCCTCAAATCTTCAGCTCTACTTTCTGTCCTAATCCCTCATTCAGTTTTATGGTTTATCTATAGTTTATAGCCAATCACTTCCTCTAATAATTCAGACTCATGTAACCAACTGTTTGGGGGGCATCTCCACCTGGACATACACAGGCACCTCAATCCAAATGCATCGCAAACTGAATCCACTATCTTCAACTCACCAATTCCCATTTTAAGGAATGGCAGTATCATCCACCCAGTACCACAAATCCTCTCCCTTTCTCCAAACCTTCCATCAGTTACCAAGCCCTGCCATGTTTTATCTCCTCATAAGTCTCAAATTCAGCCCCTGCTTGAAACCCTTCTACCACAGCCTTAGTTCAACAGCTCATTAGCTCTCACTTCAACTATTGAAAAAGCTTTCAGTCTTCACACATTAGCTCCTCTAAAGTAATAGCAGTTAACATTTATTGAGTGCTACCAGGACTCAGGTACTTTCCAGGTTTCTTATACATATTAATAGGTGCTTTTATGATTCCCTATTTTAAATATTTAAAAAGTGAGGCAGAGAGATTAAGTTACTTGCCCAATATCACATCTAAACACGGTAGAAGCAGAGTAGGAATCCAAGCAGTCTGGCTAAGCTTTTAACTACTCTACTCCACTACCTGTTCTTGGCTTTCATTTGTTTGAAGTGGCTGCCAATCACTCACAGACATAAAAGCAGGCTCCCCAGAAAAGTGTTCAGAGCTCTTTTTAATGGAACTCCTACCTACTGCTCTCATGTATCTCCAGGCTTTCCCCCTTCCCTGGTCTTTGCTTTCTATGTGCAGATCTGCTCAGGACTCTTCAGTCAACTCTTTCACCACTCCAGGTTTCTGTCTTACCTCTCACTTTCACACATTTCCACTCTCCATCTTTCCATCAATCACTCTCCCATTAACCTTTTGTCCTCAGGCTTCCATCATCTTTCATCTGAACATGCTTTTTTAGAATCACCAAGGCCTCTCTGGTGATTGACAAACTGAATGTTGTGAATTGTACAGTCAAACCCCTTTGAGCTCCAGCCCAGCCTCTTTCTAGCTATGTGATCTTCAATAAGTTATTTAACCTCTCTGTGCTAGTAATTATATCTCTTTCATCTACCCTTCTCTCAAGTATATCTACCTTCCTTCTATCCTGATACTGTCAAACTCCCCCCCTCCCACTTTTATTTTGACACTCTCATCTACACCTGTTTTTCTTAGACCTGTGCCCCAGGACTTTGCCTCTGCTTCTCCCCTTCCACCCAGTCCATGCTTGGCCACTTACTGACTGCATGGTCTTTGACATTTAACTTATCTGACAATGGATCCTCACTTATAATATGTGAGTAATAATAATTATCTTCATACTTCAGTGTACTGTATAAGAATTAATTAACATATTATATATGAAGCTATGTTAAAAACTCTGAAGAGCCACTCACATGGTAATGTGGTTGTTGTATGAAAGTGTGTGTATATGTGTGTAATATATATATAATTTTAAGACAACCTTAAACTTAAAGAAAAATTGCAAGGATAGCATAAGAAACATTTTTTGAACCATGTGAAAGAATATTGCCAAATTTATGCCCCAATCACAACCTAATACTTAGTGTATATTTCCTACAAACAAGAACATTGCCCAACATAATAACAATACAACCAACAAAACCAGGAAATTAACACTGATATGTTACTACCATCTAATTCTCAGATGCTTCATGCATTTCCAAATGTCCCAATAATGTCCTTTATAGCAAAATCATCCAATTCAGAATCACACATTACATTTAGTTGTCATTATTCTTTAATCTCCTTCACTCAGAACAGTTCCTCAGCTTTTCGTCTACTTATATGACATTGAAGTGCTTGAAGGTTAATGAACAGTTATTTTGTTAAAGGTCTATCAATTTCAGTTTGTTGTTCTCCATGATTCGACTGTGGATATGGGTCTTTGGTAGAAATATCACAGAAGTGATGTTGCATTTTTCTCATTGCATTCTCTTAGGGGTGCATGATTTTTATTTGTCCCCTTATCAATGATGTTAACTTTGATCACTTCATTAAGGTGGTGAACTTACTTTTTCACTGTGAATTTACTTCCCACTCCCACCATCAATACGTATTTTGTGGAGAAAGTTCTTTGCAGAAGAGGTACTTTGAAACTTACTGTCTCATCAAAGTTGCAATTTATTTATTTATTTATATCACTCTGAACTAATGATTTCTTATTTTATTCAATGTCTCATTTATTTTGAGGCTTAAATAGCTCAACATTTGGCCAGCGAAAGCCAAAATATGTCATTTTAATATGCTTCTCTTCTTTTTGCACTCCTTACTTTATGGTCCAAAAATCTGTTTCAGGCTTATGTTATATTTTCCTTGTCCCAGCTATGGGTCAGTTATTTCTGCATTGAGACCTTGTTCCTTTTAGTGCTTTAAGTGGAGAATGATGTTTTGAAGCCAACGTATCAGCTCTAGCTGTATTGCTTGCTGGAGTGGTGATTGCTGTTCCAAGACCTTCTTACTGGAGAGAGTTAGGAAACATACCTATTATTCCACACACACACACACACACCAAATATGGACAAGTTTAAGAGAACATTCTCTGTGAATTCCCTTCCTGAATAATTCCATCCCAAAGGCATTAGGTGGGGCAAAGCAAGGGAGACATCCACATGGAAGCCCAGGCTACTGTGAGAAGTTGGAGTCCAAGCAGGGTAAGGAGTATGTCCATGTGGAGGAGAGGAAGGCCCCGTGTGAGATGTTGGAAGCCAAACAGGGCATCCATGCATGGGAGTAGTCTGGCATGGGTGTCACAGCATGGGCTGGGTGAGGACTCTGTCCATTCAGAGAAGGGGCTTGGTGAGGAATGTCAGATCCCAGGCGGGATGAGCAGCATCCACACTAGGGAAGGCTACACGTGGAACATAGGGCCTCAGGGTGAAGAGGGCATCAATGTATACAGGTGGTGTATCCGAGTTTGAGCACGGTGAACAGGAAAGTGTCCATGTGTGATGGAAAATCTAGTATGGGATGTGAGAAGGGCATCCACAGAGAGGAGTGGATGGTGGTGGTGATGGCTGATTAGTTACACACAGGAATATTAATTGAATGTGTGACACATGCACTCCTTACCCTGCTTGTGTGCCAACATCTCACACCAGGCCAGACCTCCATGTGTACATTTTTCTTGTTTGAGCCCAACCAATGGCTTTGGTACTGAATTATTCAGGAAGGAAAAAGGAAAGAAAAAAGAAAGAACTGTTGTATTATTTTACTTATCTTATTTTTTGGCATCTTTTCTTCCATTCACAGCCAATATTCTCTTACAAGTTATTTGTCCATATTTGCTGACTTCATTTTCTCAGTCTTTACTGATTCCTTAGCCCACTTCCATCTGGCTTTAGCCCTCATCCCTTTCCAATGTGACCAAGTCATGGATGACTTCCTTATTTCTAAATCCAAAAGACGTTTTTCAGTCCTCTTGCTGCTTGATCTGTTGGAGGCATTTGACACGTTCGCCTCTGAAAATAGCCTATTCCCTTGGCTTCCATGACCCAGTACTCTCACGATATCCTCCTACCTCTCTGGCTACTTCTCAGCCTCCTTAAAAACCTTTTCTTCCTTTGGCCATTTCTCAAATGTTGGCACTACTAAAGGCTCAGTCCCAAGCCTTCTGCTCTTCTCACTCTTCACACTCCCACATCTCAGTACTGCTTTGGCTCCAATTCTTATCTCTATGCTAACATTTTAGAAATCTTTATCTCTATCTCTGCAAGTCTGACTTTGAGCTCCAAAAACATACACCCCACTGTCTATCGTACATTTATTCGACTCAGCAATATTTACTGATCACCTGCTACTCATTGTGTGCACTATTCCAGGTTCTTACCAACTCCATGTATATGTGTTTAAGTCACCTAAAACTCAACACACACGAGATAATGGTGTTGTCTTAACCTCTCCTCCATAACCTATGCACACTTCCAGCATTCTCTATCTCAGTAAATGCCATGATCTCTTCCCCCCTGCTGAAGCCAGAAATGTCTGACCCCTAGCCACTCATCCTTGAATCTAATCAATCAAGACGTCTTACTTCTCCTATCTTTTACATATTTTCCTAAGTCTGTTGAATTCTCTCTGTCTCCACCATTATTTCTAAACTACAGTCTTCTAACTCCCCTCCCTGCCTCCAGACTTTCCCTTTACGAACACAAATTTTCAATCTAATCTCTACATGGCAGCCAGAATAGTCCTTCTTTTTCATTGTTGGTGTTTGTTTGTTTGTCTGTTTGTTTTAGAGACATAGTCTCACTCTGTCACCCAGGCTGGAGTGCAGCGGCGCGATCTCGGTTCACTGCAACCTTCACCTCCCAGGTTCAAGCAATTCTCATACCTCAGCCTCTTGAGTAGCTGGGATTACAGGCATGTGCCATCATCCCCAGCTAATTTTTGTATTTTTAGTAAAGACAGGGTTTCACCATGTTGGCCAGGGTGGTCTGGAACTCCCGGCATCAAGTGATCCGCCCACCTCAGGCTTTCAAAGTGCTGGTATTACAGGCATGAGCCACTCCGCTAAACCAGAATATTCATTTTGAAATACAAATCTAGCCAAGGAAAGTGATGAGGGACTGTGCTACCAGCCCCAGGTACTAGGCTTTTCCCACAGATTTTTGCAATCCTCAGATTAGGAGATTCCCTCGTGAGCCTGCGCCACCAGGGCCCTGGGTTTCAAGCACAAAACTGGGCGGCTGTTTGGGCAGGCACTGAGCTAACTACAGGAGGTTTTTTGTACTCCAGTGGCGCCTGGAACTCCAGAGATACAGGAGAACCGTCCACTTCCCTGGAAAGGGGGCTGAAGCCAGGGAGCCAACCAGCCTCACTCAGCGGGTCCCACTCCCATGGAGCCCAGCAAGCTAAGAACCACTGGCTTGAAATTCTCACAGCCAGCACAGCAGTCTGGAGTTGACCTGGGATGGTGAGGGGAGGGGCATCCACCATTACTGAGGCTTTAGTAGGCGGTTTTCCCCTGACAGTGCTAAGTAGACTGGGAGGTTTGGACTGGGCAGAATTCACCACAGTGCAGCAAAGCAGCTCCGGCCAGACTGCCTCTCTAGATTCCTCCTCACTGGGCAGGGCATCTCTGAAAGAAAGGCACCATCCCCAGTCAGAGGCTTATAGATAAAACTCTCATATTCCTGGGACAGAGTACCTGGGGGAGGGGCAGCTGCTGTGGAAGCTTCAGAAGACTTAATCTTTCCTGCCTGCAGGCTCTGAAGAGAACTGCAGATCCTGACAAGGGTGACTCTCCCAGCACAGTGCACTAGCTCTGCTAAGGGACAGACTGATTCCTCAAGTGGGTCCCTGACCCCCGTGCCTCCTGACTGGGAGACACCTCCCAAAAGGGGTCAACAGACACCTCATACAGGAGAGCTCCAGCTGGCATCAAGCCAATGCCCCTCTGGGACAAAGCTCCCAATGGAAGGAGCGGGCAGCAATCTTTTTTGTTCTGCAACCTCCACTGGTGATACCCAGGCAAACAGGGTCTGGAGTGGACCTCTAGCAAACTGTAGTAGACCTGCAGAAGAGGGGCTTGACTGTTAGAAGAAAAACTAACAAACAGAAAGCAATGAAAACAATGACATCAACAAAACAGACCCCCCTACAAATACCCCATCCAAAGATCATCAGCCTCAAAGATTGAAGGTAGATAAATCCACGAAGATGAGGAAAAACTAGCACAAAAACACTGAAAATTCCAAAAGCCAGAAAGCCTCTTCTCCTCCAAATGATCGCAACTCCTCTCCAGCAAGGGCGCAAAACAGAACAAAGAATGAGACTCATGAATTGACAGAAGTAGGCTTCAGAAGGTAGGTAATAAACTCCTCTGAGCTACAGAAGCATGTTCTAACCCAATGCAAGGAAGCTCAGAACCTTGTTAAAAGGTTACAGGAACTGCTAACTAGAGTAACCAGTTTAGAGAGGAACGTAATTGACTTGATGGAGCTGAAAAACACAGCTGGAGAACTTCGTGAAGCATACACAAGTATCAATAGCCAAACTGATCAAGCGGAAGAAAGGATACCAGAGATTGAGAACCACCTTGCTTAAATAAGGCATGCAGACAAGATTAGAGAAAAAAAGAATGAAAAGGAACAAACAAAGCCTCCAAGAAATATGGGACTATGTGAAAAGACCAAACCTACGATTGACTGGTGTACCTGAAAGTGACAGGAAGAATGGAACCAACTTGGAAAACACACTTTAAGATGTTATCCAGGAGAACTTCCCCAACCTAGAAAGACAGGCCAACATTCAAATTCAGGACATACAGAGAACACCACTAAGATACTACACGAGAAGATCAACTCCAAGATACATAATCATCAGATTCAACAAAGTTGAAATGAAGGAAAACATTTTAAGGGCAGCCAGAGAGAAAGGTCGGCTTACCCACAAAGGGAAGCCCATCAGACTAACAGCTGATCTCTTGGCAGAAACTCTACAAGCCAGAAGAGAGTGGGGGCCAATATTCAACATTCTTAAAGAATTTTCAACCCAGAATTTCATATCCAGCCAAACTAAGCTTCATAAGTGAAGGAGAAATAAAATCCTTTCCAAACAAGCAAATGCTGAGGGATTTTGTCATCACCAGGCCTGCCTTACAAGAGATCCTGAAGGAAGCAATAATGTGGAAAGGAAAAACTGGTACAAGCCACTGCAAAAACACACCAAAATATAAAGACTAATGACACTATGAAGAAACTGCATCAATTAGTGTGCAAAATAACCAGCTAGCATCATGACAAAATCAAATTCATAGTTACTTAACAATATCAACCTTTAATGTGAATGAGTTAAACGCCCCGATTAAAAGACACAGTCTTGCAAATTGGATAAAGAGTCAAGACCAATTGGTGTGCTATAATCAGGAGACCTGTCTCACATGCAAAGACACACATAGGCACAAAATAAAGGGATGGAGGAATATTTACCAAGCAAATGGAAAGCAAAAAAAAAAAAAAAAAAAAAAAAAAGGAGGGGTTGCAATCCTAGTCTCTGATAAAACAGATTTTAAACCAACAAAGATCAAAAAAAGACAAAGAAGGACATTACATAATGGTAAAGGAATCAACGCAACAAGAAGAGCTAACTATCCTAAATATATATGCACCCAATCCAGGAGCACCCAGATTCATAAAACAAGTTCTTAGAGACCTACAAAGAGACTTAGACTCTCACACAATAATAGTGGGACACTCCACTGTCGATATTAGACAGATCAACAACACAGAAAATCAACAAGGATATTCAGAACTTGAATTCAGCTCTGGATCACGTGGACCTAATAGACATCTACAGAACTCTCCACCCCAAATCAACAGAATATACATTATCCTCAGTGCAACATAGCACTTATTCTAATATCAACAACATAATTAGAAGTAAAACACTCCTCATCAAATGCAAAAGAACTGAAATCAGTGCAATCAAATTAGAACTCAGGATTAAGAAACTCACTCAAAACCACACAACTCCATGGAAATTGAACAACGTGCTCCTGAATGACTCCTGGGTAAATAACAAAATTAAGGCAAAAATCAAGAAGTTCTTTAAAACCAATGAGAACAAAAAAACAATATATCAGAATCTCTGGGACACAGCTAAAGCAGTGTTAAGAGGGAAATTTACAGCACTAAATGCCCACATCAGAAAGCTGGAAAGATCTCAAATCGACACCCGAACATCATAATTAAAAGAACTAAAGAAGGAAGAGCAAACAAATTCAAAAGCTAGCAGAAAACAAGAAATAACTAAGGTCAGATCAGAACTGAAGGAGATAGAGACACAAAAAACCCTTCAACAAAAAATCAATGAATCCAGGAGCTGTTTTTTTTTAAATAATAATAATAATAACAAAAT
The DNA here is from genome assembly GCF_000001405.40 of Homo sapiens. NCBI lineage: Eukaryota > Metazoa > Chordata > Mammalia > Primates > Hominidae > Homo > Homo sapiens. Next base: position 36,091,628 of record NC_000002.12, read on the forward strand.
AGACCACTAGCTAGACTAATAAAGAAAAAAGAGAGAAGAATCAAATAGACACAATAGAAAATGATAAAGGGGATATCACCACTAATCCCACAGAAATACAAACTACCATCAGAGAATACTATAAACACCTCTATGCAAATAGACTAGAAAATCTAGAAGAAACAGATAAATTCCTGGACACATATACCCCCTCACAAGACTAAACCAGGAAGAAGTTAAATACCTAAATAGACCAATAACAAGTTCTGAAACTGAGGCAGTAACTAGCAGCCTACCAAGGAAAAAAAGCCCAGGACCAGAAGGATTCACAGCCAAATTCTACCAGAGGTACAAAGAGGAGCTGATACCATTTCTTCTGAAACTATTCTAAACAACTGAAAAAGAGGAACTCCTCCCTAACTCATTTTATGAGGCCAGCATCATCCTGATTCTGAGAGGTGACAGCATGCTGGCAGCCCTCGCAGCCCTCGCTCACTCTCAGCGCCTCCTCGGCCTCGGCGCCCACTCTGGCCGCACTTGAGGAGCCCTTCAGCCCGCTGCTGCACTGTGGGAGCCCCTCTCTGGGCTGGCTGAGGCCCGAGCCGGCTCCCTCAGCTTGCAGGGAGGTGTGGAGGGAGAGGCGCAGGCGGGAACTGGGGCTGCATGCAGCACTTGTGGGCCAGCATGAGTTCCAGGTGGGAGTGGGCTCGGTGGGCCCCGCACTCGGAGCAGCCAGCTGGCACTGCTGGCTGTGGGCAGTGATGGGCTTAGCACCCGGGCCAGCAGCTGTGGAGGGTGCACCGGGTCCCCCAGCAGTGCCGGTCCACCAGGGCTGCGCTTGAATTCTCACCAGGCCTCAGCTGCCTCCCTGTGGGGCAGGGCTCAGGACCTGCAGCCCACCATGCCTGAGCCTCCCCACCACCATGGGCTCCTGCACAGCCTGAGCCTCCCCAATGAGTGCCGCCCCCTGCTCCACGGCACCCAGTCCCATCGACCGCCCAAGGGCTGAGGAGTGGGGGCACATGGCGCAGGACTGGCAGACAGCTCCACCCTGCAGCCCCGGTGCGGGATCCACTAGGTGAAGCCAGCTGGGCTCCTGAGTCTAGTGGGGACTTGGAGAACTTTTATGTCTAGCTGGAGGATTGTATATGTACTAATCAGCACCCTGTGTCTAGCTCAAGGTTTGTAAACGCACAAATCAGCACTCTGTAGCTAGCTAATCTGGTGGGGACTTGGAGAACCTTTATGTCTAGCTAAAGGATTGTAAATATACCAATCAGCACTCTGTGTCTAGCTCAAGGTTTGTAAATGCACCAATCGGCACTCTGTATCTAGCTAATCTGGTGGGGACTTGGAGAACTTTTGTGTCTAGCTCAGGGATTGTAAACACACCAATCAGCACCCTGTCAAAACAGACCAATCAGCTCTCTGTAAAACAGACCAATCAGCTCTCTGTAAAATGGACCAATCAGCAGGATGTGGGTGGGGCCAGATAAGGGAATAAAAGCAGGCTGCCTGAGCCAGAAGTGGCAACCCCCTGGGGTCCCCTTCCACACTGTGGAAGCTTTGTTCTTTCACTCTTTGCAATAAATCTTGCTGCTGCTCACTCTTTGGGTCCACACTGCCTTTGTGAGCTGTAACACTCACCGTGAAGGTCTGCAGCTTCACTCCTGAGCCAGCGAGACCATGAACCCACTGGAAGGAAGAAACTCTGAACACATCTGAACACCAGGAGGAACAAACAACTCTGGACATGTCACCTTTAAGAACTGTAACACTCACCGCGAGGGTCTGCAGCTTCATTCTTGAACTCAGTGAGACCAAGAACACACCAACTCTGGACACAATTCCAAAACCTCACAGAGACACAACAAAAAAAGAAAACTTCAGGCCAATATCCCTGATGAACATCAATGCAGAAATCCTCAATAAAATACCGGCAAACCAAATCCAGCAGCACATCAAAAAGCTTATCCACCGCGATCAAGTTGGCTTCATCTCTGGGATGAAAGGCTGGTTCAACATACACAAATCAATAAACATAAACCATCACATAAACAGAACCAATGACAAAAAACACATGATTATCTCAACAAACGCAGAGAAGGCCTTCAATAACATTCAACATCCCTTCATGTTAAAAACTCTCAATAAACTACGTGTTGATGGAACATATCTCAAAGTAATAAGAGCTATTTCAGACAAACTCATAGCCAATATCATATTGATTGGGCAAAAGCTGGAAGCATTCCCTTTGAAAACTGGCACAAGACAAGGATGCTCTCTCTCACCACTCCTATTCAAAATAGTATTGGAAGTTCTGGCCAGGGCATTCAGGCAAGAGAAAGAAATAAAGCGTATTCAAATAGGAAGTGAGGAAGTCAAATTGTCTCTGTTTGTAGATGACATGATTGTATATTTAGAATACGCCATCGTCTCAGTCCAAAAACTCCTTAAGCTGATAAGCAACTTCAGCAAATTCTCAGCATACAAAATCAATGTGCAAAAATCCCAAGCATTCCTATACATCAACAATAGACAAGCAAACAGCCAAATCATGAATGAACTCCCATTCACAATTGCCACAAAGAGAATAAAATACCTAGGATGACAGCTTACAAGAGACATGAAGGACCTCTTCAAGGAGAACTACAAACCACTGCTCAATGAAATAAGGGAGAACACAAACAAATGGAAAAACATTCCATGCTCATGGATAGGAAGAATCAGTATCGTGAAAATGGCCATACTGCCCAAAGTAATTTATAGATTCAATGCTATTCCCATTAAACTATCATTGACTTTCTTCACAGAATTAGAAAAAATTACTTTAATTTAAATTTATGGAACCAAAAAAGAGCCTGTATAGCCAGGACAATCCTAAGCAAAAAGAACAAAGCTGAAGGCATCACGCTACCTGACTTCAAACTATACTACAAGGCCACAGTAACCAAAACAGCATGGTACTGATAGCAAAACAGATATATAGACCAATGGAAGAGAACAGAGACCTCAAAAATAACATCACACACCTACAACCATCTGATCTTCAACAAACCTGACAAAAGCAAGCAATGGGGAAAGGATTCCCTGTTTAATAAATGGTGTGGGAAAACTGGCCAGCCATATGCAGAAAACTGAAACTGGACCCCTTCCTTACACCTTATACAAAAATTAACTCAAGATGGATTAAAGATTTAGGTGTAAAACCCAAAACCATAAAAACCCTAGAAGACAATGTAGGCAACACCATTCAGGACACAGGCATGGGCAAAGACTTCATGACTAAAACACCAAAAACAATTGCAACAAAAGCCAAAATTGACAAATGGGATCTAATTAAACTAAAGAGCTTCTGGAAAGCCAAAGAAACTAGCATCAATGTGAACAGGCAACCTACAGAATGGGAGAAAATATTTGCAATCTACCCATCTGACAAAGGTCTAACAGCCAGAATGTACAAAGTACTTAACAAATTTACAGGGGAAAAAAAAAAACCTCATCAAAAAGTGGGCAAATGGTATGAATAGACACTTCTTAAAATAAGACATTCATGTGGCCAAGAAACATATGAGAAAAGCTCATCATCACTGATCATTAGAGAAATGCAAATCAAAAGCACTATGAGATTCCATCTCACGACAGTAAGAATGGCCATTATTAAAAGTCAGGAAACAATAAACGCTGGCGAGGCTGCGGAGAAATTGGTGCACTTTCATACTGTTGGTGGGATTGTAAATTAGTTCAACCATTGTGGAAGACAGTGTGGCAATTCCTCAAGGATCAAAACCAGAAATACCATTTGACCTAGCAATTCATTTACTGGCTATATACCCAAAGGAGTATAAATCATTCTACCATAAAGACACATGTACACATATGTTTATTGCAGCACTATGTTTATTGCATAGTACACATATGTTTATTGCAGCAAAGACAAGGAACCAACCCGAATGCCCATTAATGATGGACTGGATAAAGAAAATGTGGTACATATATATCACGGAATACTATGCAGCCATAAAAAGAATGAGATCATGTCCTTTGCAGGAACATGGATGAGGTTGGAAGCCATCATTCTCAGCAAACTAACACAGGAACAGAAAACCAAACACTGCATGTTCTCACTCATAAGTGGGAGTTGAACAATGAGAACACATGGACACAGGCAGGGGAACATGACACACCAGGGCCTGCCAGTGGCGGGGAAAGAGGAGGGAGAGGATTAGGACAAATACCTAATGCATTCAGGGCTTAAAACCTAGAGGATGGGTTGACAGGTGCAGCAAGCCACCATGGCCAATGTATACCTATGCAACACACCTGCACAGTCTGCACATGTAACCCAGAACTTAAAGTAAAATAAAATAAAGTAATAAAATAAAATAAAGAAATACAAGTCTAATCATGTGACTCCCCAGCTTTTAAGTCTTTCATATGGGTTTCCTTTGCATTTGAGCTAAAGAGAAAATGTTTGAACAAAGCTGTCCGTAATTGAGTCCGCTTAGGTCTTCAGACACACTCTTTCTGTATAGTCAACCAACATCTGCAGGCCCCAAATGGTTCTCTCTGTCCTATAACCAACCTCCCACTATCTCCTGCTACCTGAACCTAGAAACACCTTATCTCATGCACTTTGACTAATGAACTTCTACTCACCCTTAGGTCTCAGTGCAAATGTCATCTCCTCAATGAAGCCTTCTCTGATACATAACCATGGTTAGATCATCTGTTCACTGGAGCATCCTCATCATATCACATAACATGCTTACTCCCCAGTAATTGCTCCTTTAGAGGTCTCTTTTCTCAAAAGAATTGAATGAAGTCAAGGATCCTGTCTATTTTCCACCATCTATGCCTCACACAGTGACAAATGCACAGCAAGAGCTCAATAAAAATTTGCTAAATGGAGGAATGAATTACTGCATCTATAAAAACAAACTAGAGCCTATTAATGTTAGGTTGTTCTTTTACAATTAGAAACATCATGAACTGATTTTAATGCATTCCATTCATGTCAACAGATTAATATGTGATACTGTATCATGTAATTGTTGAGGACAGGGTTCAGAGGAAGCCTGTCTTCTTTCAAATCCAGCCTCTCCCCTACTCACCATGTATCCTGAGCAGCTACTACCTTTCCTGCACTTCTGTTTCCCCATCTGTCATATGTTGTGTTGAAGATTAAATGAGGCAATATGTGTAAATCAGTTAGAATCATGCCTGACACAACTTACAGACACATCATATAAATAAAGTTAATATTATTATCATTGTGATATTTTTATTTAAACAACAGCCTTGCCTTGCCTCCCTTGATCATTAGGAATAGACTTGAAAGATAAGATGTTTTAGGAAGGAGACAGAATAGTAAACAAGATGGCCCAGTCTAAGCCTGCAGTCTGGGCACAATTTTGAACAGCACCTCCGTGTGATATCGATAGTGTCTCAATGCTGTCTATCTCAAAGTTACCCTCAGTAGAGGATAAGTTGTTATGTCAAATCTAAACAAAGGGGACTCCAGAGCCTCTGCATGTGTTGTGTGCATAATCTCCACTCTAGCCCTGCAGCCAGAAACCCTGGTCCCTCCCTTGCAGGACTGTTTAAGGCTCACCATAGCAACACATACACACTGAGACTTCCCACTCACATCTGGGGATCACGCATTGCTCCAGGCTGTGCATGACTCCTCCCAAGTGTCACATTTGTTCTAAATGGTACTTAAGTCACTGGAGGAGGGATACTACAGAAAGTGGCCAGCTTAGCAACAGAAGTGCCTTTATGAGTTGCTTGTCCTATAATCTGTTCTCTGTTGATGCCATATTGATCCCCAAATGAAGACGGCCATAAGAGCAATGGAAATGTAAAATGGACAATGTTCTTAAAAGGTTATTTAAAAATACCTGGCACAATATTTAATGCATAAACAAAACATATTTACATTGTTTAAATGGCCAAAAAAAAAAGGAGAATAAAAAGTAAGATTTAGAAAGTAGTTAAAAAAAAGTCCCTGTCTGACAGCTTTGAAGAGAGCAGTGGTTCTCCCAGCATGCAGCTGGATATCTGAGAACGGGCAGACTGCCTCCTCAAGTGGGTCCCTGAACACTGACCCCCTGAGCAGCCTAACTGGGAGGCACCCCCCAGTAGGGGCACACTGACACCTCACACGGCCGGGTACTCCCCTGAGACAAAACTTCCAGAGGAACGATCAGACAGCAGGATTCGTGGTTCATGAAAATCCACTGTTCTGCAGCCACCGCTGCTGCTACCCAGGCAAACAGGGTCTGGAGTGGACCTCCAGCAAACTCCAACAGACCTGCAGCTGAGGGTCCTATCTGTTAGAAGGAAAACTAACAAACAGAAAGGACATCCACACCAAAAACCCATCTGTACATCACCATCATCAAAGACCAAAAGTAGATAAAACCACAAAGATGGGGAAAAAACAGAGCAGAAAAACTGGAAACTCTAAAAAGCAGAGCACCTCTCCTCCTCCAAAGGAACGCAGCTCCTCAACAGCAATGGAACAAAGCTGGATGGAGAATGACTTTGACGAATTGAGAGAAGAAGGCTTCAGATGATCAAACTACTCTGAGCTACAAGAGGAAATTCAAACCAAAGACAAAAACGTTGAAAACTGTGAAAAAAATTTAGACGAATGTATAACTAGAATAACCAATACAGAGAAGTGCTTAAAGGAACTGATGGAGCTGAAAGCCAAGGCTTGAGAACTACATGAAGAATGAAGAAGCCTCAGGAGCTGATGTGATCAACTGGAAGAAAGGGTATCAGTGACGGAAGATGAAATGAATGAAATGAAGTGAGAAGAGAAGTTTAGAGAAAAAAGAATAAAAAGAAATGAACAAAACCTCCAAGAAATATGGGACTGTGTGAAAAGACCAAATCTATGTCTGATTGGTGTACCTGAAAGTGACGGGGAGAATGGAACCAAGTTGGAAAACACTCTGCAGGATGTTATCCAGGAGAACTTCCCCAATCTAGCAAGGCAGGCCAACATTCAAATTCAGGAAATACAGAGAACACCACTAAGATACTCCTCGAGAAGAGCAACTCCAAGACACATAATTGTCAGATTCACCAAAGTTGAAATGAAGGAAAAAATGTTAAGGGCAGCCAGAGAGAAAGGTCGGCTTACCCACAAAGGGAAGCCCATCAGACTAACAGCTGATCTCTCAGCAGAAACTCTACAAGCCAGAAGAGAGTGGGGGCCAATATTCAACATTCTTAAAGAAAAGAATTTCCAACCCAGAATTTCATATCCAGCCAAACTAAGCTTCATAAGTGAAGGAGAAATAAAATACTTTACAGACAAGCAAATGCTGAGAGATTTTGTCACCACCAGGCCTGCCCTACAAGAGCTCCTGAAGGAACCACTAAACATGGAAAGGAACAACCGGTACCAGCCACTGCAAAATCATGCCAAATTGTAAAGACCATCAAGGCTAGGAAGAAACTGCATCAACTAACGAGCAAAATAACAAGCTAACGTCATAATGACAGGATCAAATTCACACATAACAATATTAACTTTAAATGTAAATGGACTAAATGCTCCAATTAAAAGACACAGACTGGCAAATTGGAAAAAGAGTCAAGACCCATCAGTGTGCTGTATTCAGGAAACCCATCTCATGTGCAGAGACGCACATAGGCTCAAAATAAAAGGATGGAGGAAGATCTACCAAGCAAATGGAAAACAAAAAAAGGTAGGGGTTGCAATCCTAGTCTCTGATAAAAGAGACTTTAAACCAACAAAGATCAAAAGAGACAAAGAAGGCCATTACATAATGGTAAAGGGATCAATTCAACAAGAAGAGCTAACTATGCTAAATATATATGCACCCAATACAAGAGCACCCAGATTCATAAAGCAACTCCTGACTGACCTACAAAGAGATTTAGACTCCCACACAATAATAATGGGAGACTTTAACACCCCACTGTCAACATTAGACAGATCAACGAGACAGAAAGTTAACAAGGATACCCAGGAATTGAACTCAGCTCTGCACCAAGCGGACCTAATAGACATCTACAGAACTCTCCACCCCAAATCAAGAGAATATACATTTTTTTTCAGTACCACACCACACCTATTCCAAAATTGACCACAGAGTTGGAAGTAAAGCTCTCCTGAGCAAACGTAAAAGATCAGACATTATAACAAACTGTCTCTCAGACCACAGTGCAATCAAACTAGAACTCAGGATTAAGAAACTCACTCAAAAATGCTCAACTACATATAAACTGAACAACCTGCTCCTGAATGACTACTGGGTACATAATGAAATGAAGGCAGAAATAAAGATGTTCTTTGAAACCAACGAGAACAAAGACACAACATACCAGAATCTCTGGGACACATTCAAAGCAGTGTGTAGAGGGAAATTTATAGCACTAAATGCCCACAAGAGAAAGAAGGAAAGATCCAAAATTGACACCCTAACATCACAATTAAAAGAACTAGAAAAGCAAGAGCAAACACATTCAAAGGCTAGCAGAAGGCAAGAAATAACTAAAATCAGAGCAGAACTGAAGGAAATAGAGACACAAAAAACCCTTCAAAAAATTAATGAATCCAGGAGCTGGTTTTTTGAAAGGATCAACAAAATTGATAGACTGCTAGCAAGACTAATAAAGAAGAAAAGAGAGAAGAATCAAAGAGACGCAATAAAAAATGATAAAGGGGATATCACCACTGCTCCCATAGAAATACAAACTACCATCAGAGAATACTACAAACACCTCTATGCAAATAAACTAGAAAATCTAGAATAAATGGATAAATTCCTCGACACATACACCCTCCCAAGACTAAACCAGGAAGAAGTTGAATCTCTGAATAGACCAATAACAGGCTCTGAAGTTGTGGCAATAATCAATAGCTTACCAACCAAAAAGAGTCCAGGACCAGATGGAATCACAGCCGATTTCTATCAGAGGTACAAGGAGGAACTGGTACCATTCCTTCTGAAACTATTCCAATCAATAGAAAAAGAGGGAATCCTCCCTAACTCATTTTATGAGGCCATCATCATCCTGATACCAAAGCCTGGCAGAGACACAACCAAAAAAGAGAGTTTTAGACCAATATCCTTGATGAACATTGATGCAAAAATCCTCAATAAAATACAGGCAAACTGAATCCAGCAGCACATCAAAAAGCTTATCCACCATGATCAAGTGGGCTTCATCCCTGGGATGCAAGGCTGGTTCAACATACGCAAATCAATAAATGTAATCCAGCATATAAACAGAACCAAAGACAAAAACTACATGACTATCTCAATAGATGCAGAAAAGGCCTTTGACAAAATTCAACAACCCTTCATGCTAAAAACTCTCAATAAATTAGGTATTGATGGGACGTATTTCAAAATAATAAGAGCTATCTATGACAAACCCACAGCCAATATCATACTGAATGGGCAAAAACTGGAAGCATTCCCTTTGAAAACTGGCACAAGACAGGGATGCCCTCTCTCACCACTCCTATTCAACATAGTTTTAGAAGTTCTGGCCAGGGCAATTATGCAGGAGAAGGAAATAAAGGGTATTCAGTTAGGAAAAGAGGAAGTCAAATTGTCCCTGTTTGCAGATGACATGATTCTATATCTAGAAAACCCCATCATCTCAGCCCAAAATCTCCTTAAGCTGATAGGCAACTTCAGCAAAGTCTCAGGATACAAAATCAACGTGCAAAAATCACAAGCATTCTTATACACCAATAACAAACAAACAGAGAGCCAAATCATGAGTGAACTCCCATCCACAATTGCTTCAAAGAGAATAAAATACCTAGCAATCCAACTTACAAGGGACGTGAAGGACCTCTTCAAGGAGAACTACAAACCACTGCTCAATGAAATAAAAGAGGATACAAACAAGTGGAAGAACATTCCATGCTCATGGGTAGGAAGAATCAATATCATGAAAATGGCCATACTGCCCAAGGTAATTTATAGATTCAATGCCATCCCCATCAAGCTACCAATGACTTTCTTCACAGACCTGGAAAAAACTACTTTAAAGTTCATATGGAACCAAAAAAGAGCCCGCATTGCCAACTCAATCATAAGCCAAAAGAACAAAGCTGGAGGCATCACGCTACCTGACTTCAAACTATACTACAAGGCTACAGTAACCAAAACAGCATGGTACTGGTATCAAAACAGAGATATAGATCAATGGAACAGAACAGAGCCCTCAGAAATAATGCCGCATATCTACAACTATCTGATCTTTGACAAACCTGAGAAAAACAAGCAATGAGGAAAGGATTCCCTATTTAATAAATGGTGCTGGGAAAACTGGTTAGCCATCTGTAGAAAGCTGAAACTGGATCCCTTCTTCACACCTTATACAAAAATTAATTCAAGATGGATTAAAGACTTAAACATTTGACCTAAAACCATAAAAACCCTAGAAGAAAACCTAGGCATTATCATTCAGGACATAGGCATGGGCAAGGACTTCATGTCTAAAACACCAAAAGCAATGGCAACAAAAGCCAAAATTGACAAATGGGATCTCATTAAACTAAAGAGCTTCTGCACAGCAAAAGAAACTACCATCAGAGTGAACAGGCAACGTACAGTATGGGAGAAAATTTTTGCAACCTACTCATCTGACAAAGGGCTAATATCCAGAATCTACAATGAACTCAAACAAATGTACAAGAAAAAACAAACAACCCCATCAAAAAGTGGGTGAAGGACATGAACAGACACTTCTCAAAAGAAGACATTTATGCAGCCAAAAGACACATGAGAAAATGCCCACCACGACTGGCTATCAGAGAAATGCAAATCAAAACCACAATGAGTTAGAATGGCGATCATTAAAAAGTCAGGAAACAACAGGTGCTGGAGAGGATGTGGAGAAATAGGAACACTTTTACACTGTTGGTGGGACTGTAAACTAGTTCAACCATTGTGGAAGTCAATGTGGTGATTCCTCAAGGATCTAGAACTAGAAATACCATTTGACCCAGCCATCCCATCACTGGGTATATACCCAAAGGACTATAAATCATGCTGCTATAAAGACACATGCACACGTATGTTTATTGTGGCACTATTCACAATAGCAAAGACTTGGAACCAACCCAAATGTCCAACAATGATAGACTGGATTAAGAAAATGTGGCACATATACACCATGGAATACTATGCAGCCATAAAAAATGATGAGTTCATGTCCTTTGTAGGGACAGGATGAAATTGGAAATCATCATTCTCAGCAAACTATCTCAAGAACAAAAAACCAAACACCGCATATTCTCACTCATAGGTGGGAATTGAACAATGAGAACACATGGACACAGGAAGGGGAACATCACACTCTGGGGACTGTTGTGGGGTGGGGGGAAGGGGGAGACATAGCATTAGGAGATATACCTAATGTTAAATGATGAGTTAATGGATGCAGCACACCAGCATGGCGCATGTATACATATGTAACTAACCTGCACATTGTGCACATGTACCCTAAAACTTAAAGTATAATAATAAAATTAAAATTAAAATTAAAATTAAAAAAAAGAAAGTAGTTAAAAATTGGCCTATAAGATAAAAGTTTAGCTTTTTTTTTTTTTTGGTTTTAGAAACTTATGACAACTGTCTTGAAATGTAAAACCAGCTTTTCTCATAGAGAGATTTTTAAAACTTTTAAATAATGTATACATAAAATGAAAAGTACCTGGAAAATAATATACATTTCTAAAAAGAAAATCTAGATTATTTGTTTTAAATGATGGAAAATGTATTTTCTATGCTAAAAATAAGCGTTATTTACAACCTATGTGGCAAATCTACTTGATTAACAGAGAATTCGTAAGGAAGACATTCTTCCTTACTTCCAGCAAATATGAGCATAACAAACCTGGATGAGAAATTAGACATCAATCCACCTAGACTAAATCCATACACGATTTCTATCAGCATACAAAATGTGGCATAGAATCAGAACCTGAAAAGATACTATTAACAATAAGTAAGGCAATGACCAGACACCAAATCACTGCATTATCTAGGGATGAAGAGGAGGACTTTGGTCCAAACCCAGGCTCCTTCACTTAATCAGCTTCTTAATCATATACACCTCTGTTTCCTCATCTGTAATTTGGGTATAAAAACATACTTACCTAAAGGGTTTTTGTGGGTACTAAGTTAGCTAATATTTTTTAAGTGCTATACAATGCCTGGCACATGATAAGCCTTCATAAGCCTTCAGTAAATGTTAGCTCTAACCATATTTATCAAATTCATTTCCACTGCACTCTAACTAATGCTTTCCTATATGCCAGTGAACATGGACATCATTCCTGGAATTGTTTGAGATTTGGGTTTCCTTGCATTTATGCCAAGAAGGAGTTTTAGCTTCAGGGTTAACAAAAGCTGAGAAACAATTCCAGCTTCTTCATTTGCAGGTAGTGAAACTTTAGATGAGCAGTTTAAATTCCCTTTGCTTCAGTTTCCTCATCTTTAAAATGGAATAACACCTGTCTTATTGGATTGTAATAAACGTTTACTGAAATAATCTGTGTAAAGTGCCAAACACAAAATCATGTTTCATAAACAGCAAACAATATTATAGAAACTAAGAAGAATAAGGACAACTATTCCATTGATATTTTACTGAGATATATTAAAATGGAAATTCAAGGCCAGGCGTGGTGGCTCACACCTGTAACCCTATCACTTTGGAAGGCAGAGATGGGAGGATCACTTGAGGCCAGGAGTTTGAGACCAGCCTGGCCAACATGGTGAAACCCTGCCTGTACTAAAAATACAAAAATTAGCTGGGCGTGGTGGCACACACCTATGGTCCCAGCTACTCAGGAGGCTGAGGCATGAGAATTCCTTGAACCCGGGAAGCAGAGGTTGCAAGTGGAGGTTGCAGTGAGCCAAGATCGTGCCACTGCATTCCAGCCTGGGGGAAAGAGCAAGCCCTTGTCTCAAAAAAAAAAAAAAAAAGGAAATTCAAGCAAATAAATAATGTTTCAAATACATGCCAGTTCAGCAAGTAGAGGGAAATTCCTAGTGAAGTGATTCTATGTTGTCCTTCCCAATGATTGGGAGAGTCTGATGTGCTAATTATAAAATAATTTAATACCTAAGTCTTTTGTGGGTTTTGGCAACATAGAAAAAAAGGCTTACTTGGTATGAATTGCTATAATGGAATATTTATCAGAAGAAGCTAACTTTATCCACTACAGAATGCTTTTTGATGTCATTAACCTACAGAAATGATTTTAGGAAAGTAGTGGAAAAGTATCCACAGGGTGAGGTGACAAGAAGCTTTCTTTTGCTCCTAAAGGCTACATTGAGTAATGTAGCAAGCAACAGTCCTCTGGAGTCCAGTGAGTAAGTAATCAGAGAGCACCTGAAACAAAGGCCTTCAAAAAGTCTTCAGATTCCTTGTATTAATCACATTAATACTGACTCTCAGAAGACACTGTGTAATTATTAAATAAGGTGACTTCTCTGCAAAACTACAAAATCTATAGACCTAAAAATCTAAGTAATATAAATCATGATCAACATGCTCCCTGTTGGCTCTGGAGAAAATAGTTTAATAAAAAGAATATTATACTTGTACTCATGACACCCAAGTTCAAAATTCTACGCTGCCACATACAGATACATAGACACTGTGGCTTACCCACCTGCCCAAGTCTCAGCTTCCTCCTCTGTGGAATAAGAATACACTGACTTCCTTATTTCTGCCTTCATTTCATTATGTACCCAGTAGTCATTCAGGAGCAGGTTGTTCAGTTTCCACGTAGTTGAGCGGTTTTGAGTCAGTTTCTTAATCCCGGGTTCTAGTTTGATGGCATTGTGGTCTGAGAGACAGTTTGTTATAATTTCTGTTCTTTTACATTTGCTGAGGAGAGCTTTACTTCCAACTATGTGGTCAATTTTGGAATAGGTGTGGTGTGGTGCTGAAAAGAATGTATATTATGTTGATTTGGGGTGGAGAGTTCTGTAGATGTCTATTAGGTCCGCTTGGTGCAGAGCTGAGTTCAATTCCTGGATATCCTTGTTAACTTTCTGTCTCGTTGATCTGTCTAATGTTGACAGTGGGGTGTTAAAGTCTCCCATTATTATTGTGTGGGAGTCTAAATCTCTTTGTAGGTCACCAAGGACTTGCTTTATGAATCTGGGTGCTCCTGTATTGGGTGCATATATATTTAGGATAGTTAGTTCTTCTTGTTGAATTGATCCCTTTATAATTATGTAATGGCCTTCTTTGTCTCTTTTGATCTTTGTTGGTTTAAAGTCTGTTTAATCGACTAGGATTGCAACCCCTGCTTTTTTTTGTTTTCCATTTGCTTGGTAGATCTTCCTCCATCCTTTTATTTTGAGCCTATGTGTTTCTCTGCACTTGAGATGGGTTTCCTGAATACAGCACACTGATGGGTCTTGACTCTTTTTCCAATTTGCCAGTCTGTGTCTTTTAATTGGAGCATTTAGCCCATTTACATTTAAGGTTAGTATTGTTATGTGTGAATTTGATCCTGTCATTATGATGTTAGCTGGTTATTTTGCTCGTTAGTTGATGCAGTTTCTTCCTAGCCTCGATGGTCTTTACAATTTGGCAGGTTTTTGCAGTGGCTGGTACCGGTTGTTCCTTTCCATGCTTAGTGGTTCCTTCAGGAGCTCTTGTAGGGCAGGCCTGGTGGTGACAAAATCTCTCAGCATTTGCTTGTCTGTAAAGTATTTTATTTCTCCTTCACTTATGAAGCTTAGTTTGGCTGGATATGAAATTCTGGGTTGGAAATTCTTTTCTTTAAGAATGTTGAATATTGGCCCCCACTCTCTTCTGGCTTGTAGAGTTTCTGCTGAGAGATCAGCTGTTAGTCTGATGGGCTTCCCTTTGTGGGTAAGCCGACCTTTCTCTCTGGCTGCCCTTAACATTTTTTCCTTCATTTCAACTTTGGTGAATCTGACAATTATGTGTCTTGGAGTTGCTCTTCTCGAGGAGTATCTTAATGGTGTTCTCTGTATTTCCTGAATTTGAATGTTGGCCTGCCTTGCTAGATTGGGGAAGTTCTCCTGGATAATATCCCACAGTGTGTTTTCCAACTTGGTTCCATTCTCCCCGTCACTTTCAGGTACACCAATCAGATGTAGATTTGGTCTTTTCACACAGTCCCATATTTCTTGGAGGCTTTGTTCCTTTCTTTTTATTCTTTTTTCTCTAAACTTCTCTTCTTGCTTCATTTCATTCATTTCGTCTTCCATCGCTGATACCCTTTCTTCCAGTTGATCACATCAGCTACTGAGGATTGTGCATCCGTCACATAGTTCTCGTGCCGTCTCAAAATAATAATAGCTATCTATGACAAACCCACAGCCAATATCATACTGAATGGGCAAAAACTGGAAGCATTCCCTTTGAAAACTGGCACAAGACAGGGATGCCCTCTCTCACCACTCCTATTCAACATAGTGTTGGAAGTTCTGGCCAGGGCAATCAGGCAGGAGAAGGAAATAAAGGGTATTCAATTAGGAAAAGAGGAAGTCAAATTGTCCCTGTTTGCAGATGACATGATTGTATATCTAGAAAACCCCATCGTCTCAGCCCAAAATCTCCTTAGGCTGATAAGCAACTTCAGCAAAGTCTCAGGATACAAAATCAATGTGCAAAAATCACAAGCATTCTTATACACCAATAACAGACAAACAGAGAGCCAAATCATGAGTGAACTCCCATCCACAATTGCTTCAAAGAGAATAAAATACCTAGGAATCCAACTTACAAGGGATGTGAAAGACCTCTTCAAGGAGAACTACAAACCACTGCTCAATGAAATAAAAGAGGATACAAACAAATGGAAGAACATTCCATGCTCATGGGTAGGAAGAATCAATATCGTGAAAATGGCCATACTGCCCAAGGTAATTTATAGATTCAATGCCATCCCCATCAAGCTACCAATGACTTTCTTCACAGAATTGGAAAAAACTACTTTAAAGTTCATATGGAACCAAAAAAGAGCCCACATTGCCAAGTCAATCCTAAGCCAAAAGAATAAAGCTGGAAGCATCATGCTACCTGACTTCAAACTATACTACAAGGCTACGGTAACCAAAACAGCATGGTACTGGTACCAAAACAGAGATATAGACCAATGGAACAGAACAGAGGTCTCAGAAATAATGCCACATATCTACAACTATCTGATCTTTGCAAACCTGACAAAAACAAGCGATGGGGAAAGGATTCCCTATTTAATAAATGGTGCTGGGAAAACTGGCTGGCCATATGTAGAAAGCTGAAACTGGATCCCTTCCTTACACCTTATACAAAAATTAATTCAAGATGGATTAAAGACTTACATGTTAGACCTAAAATCATAAAAACCCTAGAAGAAAACCTAGGCAATACCATTCAGGACATAGGCATGTGCAAGGACTTCATGTCTAAAACACCAAAAGCAATGGCAACAAAAGACAAAATTGACAAATGGGATCTCATTAAACTAAAGAGCTTCTGCACAGCAAAAGAAACTACCATCAGAGTGAACAGGCAACAGAATGGGAGAAAATTTTTGCAACCTACTCATCTGACAAAGGGCTAATATCCAGAATCTACAATGAACTCAAACAAATTTACAAGAAAAAAACAACCCCATCAACAAGTGGGAGAAGGATATGAACAGACACTTCTCAAAAGAAGACGTTTATGCAGCCAAAAGACACATGAAAAAATGCTCATCATCACTGGCCATCAGAGAAATGCAAATCAAAACCACAATGAGATACCATCTCACACCAGTTAGAATGGCGATCATTAAAAAGTCAGGAAACAACAGGCACTGGAGAGGCTGTGAAGAAATAGGAACACTTTTACACTGTTGGTGGGACTGTAAACTAGTTCAACCATTGTGGAAGTCAGTGTGGCGATTCCTCAGGGATCTAGAACTAGTAATACCATTTGACCCAGCCATCCCATTACTGGGTATATACCGAAAGGATTATAAATCATGCTGCTATAAAGACACATGCACACGTAGGTTTATTGCGGCACTATTCACAATAGCAAAGACTTGGAACCAACCCAAATGTCCAACAATGATAGACTGGATTATGAAAATGTGGCACATATACATACACCATGGAATACTATGCAGCCATAGACAATGATGAGTTCATGTCCTTTGTAGGGACATGGATGAAGCTGGAAACCATCATTCTCAGCAAACTATTGCAAGGACCAAAAACCAAACACCGCATGTTCTCCCTCATAGGTGGGAATTGAACAATGAGAACACATGGACACAGGAAGGGGAACATCAGACACCAAGGCCTGTTGTGGAGGGGGGAGGGATAGCATCAGGAGATATACCTAATGTTAAATGACGAGTTAATGGGTGTGGCACACCAACACGGCACATGTATACATATGTAACAAACCTGCACATTGTGCACATGTACGCTAAAACTTAAAGTATAATAATAATAATTAAAAAAAGAATACACTGACTTCAGCACATTGTTGTGAAGGTTGAATGAGATAAAGTACATTCATTGCTGACTCAAAATAAAATCTACAAATACACTGATTCAACTAATCATCAAATCAATTCGGTTACTTTCAACATTAAATGAATAATCGTTACATTAGTTAATATTTATTATTTATTTACTATGTACCAGATGCTAGGTTAAACAACTTTTATTAATTATCTCATAGTTTCTCACAACAAGTCTATAAAAACAGTTCTATTACAATCTCTTTCTCTCATTTTAAGAAAAGAAGATTTAGAGAGGTAAAGTAACCAGTCTATAGTTACACAAGAGCCAAGTTTTCCAACCAGGGTATGACAGGTTTTTCTCACACCAAAGCCTATATGCTTCCACATTATTGGTTTTTAAATTATTTCTTAATAGCAGAGTACTTTATTTAAATGACATATTTTGTAAAAGCTAAACACATACCCCAAATAAAGGCCGATCTACCTGGATTCAATCAGGGATGGAGAACTCTACTCTCACAATGGCCTTAGAAATACTTCAGAGGAACCCTGGAACTCAAAAAACACAGTGCTCCACAAAACACATTATTACTATGATGATCACACCTTTTTCACATTTATGATTTTGACAGTTCAAAACCCACTGGAAAGATCTATGACAAGTAATAATTTATCATGTTTCTAAGGCATTAATTTGAATCTTGTATGGCAGAACTGTCGGGAGCAAGTCACTTAGTTGGTAAGTGAGCTTTCTTAGACTGTAAGAATATGCACAGGTTATGCATGATTTATGATACACATGTGATTTGGGAGAAAGCCAGGAGCCTGGATAAACATTTCCTAGTTCATGAATTTGGGGCTTTCTAAACAATTTAGGGCATACTATTAGTAAAATGTCTAGTTTCTCCAATTCCTGGTTACTGCAGATTAGTAGAATATGTCTTCCATTTTAAAAAATTTGTATTGATACATAATATTTGTACATATTTATGGTATACATGTGATACTCTGATACATATGTACAATGTGTAATCATCAAATCAGGATATTCAGGATATCTATCACCTCGAACATTTATTGTGTTAAGAATGTTTCAAATCTTCTCTTCTAGCTATTTTGAAATACATAACATATTGTTGTTAACCATAGTCACCCTACTGTGCTATCAAACACTAGAAATTATTCCTTCTATGTAACTATATGTTTGTACCCATTCACCAACCTGTCTTCATGTCTCCAGTCCCCACATCCTTCCCAGCCCCTGGGAGCTATAATTCTACTTTCTACCTCTACAAGATAAACATTTTTAGCTCCCACAAATGAGTGGGAAACATGAGATACTTGTCTTTCTGTGCCTAGCTTATTTCACTTAATATAATGACCTTCAGTTCCATCCACATTGCTGCAAATAACAGAATTTCATTCTTTTCAAGGCTGAATAGTATTCTATTGCATATATGTACCATAAATTCTTTATCCATTCATCCACTGATTGACACTTAGTTTGACTCCATATCTTGGCTATTCTGAATAGTGCTTCAGTAAACATGGGGATACAAGCATCCCTTTGATATAATGATCTCCTTTCCTTTGGACAAATACCCAGAAATAGGATTGCTGGATCATATGGTAGTTCCACTTTTGGTTTTTTGAGAAATTTCTATACTGTTTTCCATAATGGTAGTACAAATTTACATTTCCATCAACAGTGTGTGAGAGTTCATTTTACCCCACATCCTTGCCAGCATTTTTTGTCTTTTTTATAATAGCCATTTTAACTGAGGTAAAATAGCATCTCATTGTGGTTTTGATTTGCATTTCCCTAATAATTAGTGATGTTAAGTATTTTTTCATAAACCTGTTAACCATGTGTATGTCTTATTTTAATAAATGTCTATTCAGATCCTTTGTCCACTTTTGAATGGGATTATTGTTATTATTATTTTTATTGTTATTGTTACTGTTAAGTTCCCTGTACATTCTGGATATCAGTGCCTTGTTAAATGAATAGCTTTCAAATATTATCTCCCATTTTACAGGTTGTCTGTTCACTCTGTTGGTTGTTTCCCTTACTGTGCAGAAACTTTTTAGTTTACTATAATAAACTACATTGAAATACAGAACATCCAAGATGTTATCATATCATCTTGGAATTTACAATAGTAAGGAAGCGTAAATTTTGAATTAAGTCGAAGCTGAATTCTAGGAATTAGAAAACAAAAACTTCAAAAAATGGAAAAATATAATTTCATGACTAAAGAATTTATAAGTGAAAATATTTACAAAAAATGAAAATGTTTTCACTATTCTTTACAAATCATCACTCTAATTATGAATAACATAATTAAGAATAAAAAGTAAGATATTAAAAAAGAAACATATCTAGTGAATACTGACAACTCTTTGATGAACTCAGTTTCAGTGTGTTCAAAAATGTAGGTTTACATAAATCAGTAGACACCTAGTCCTTTAGACAGCTTGATTCCTTTATGAAGAATTTTTGTTGTTGTTAGTCCTGAGTGAGTTTCTCATGGCCCAACAACAAAATAATTTTAAATTACCTACAAATCAACTTGAAAACATTGAAAATCTTGCTGATTTTTCTTTTAGTTTTGGGAGAAGTGAAA
The DNA here is from genome assembly GCF_000001405.40 of Homo sapiens. NCBI lineage: Eukaryota > Metazoa > Chordata > Mammalia > Primates > Hominidae > Homo > Homo sapiens. The sequence goes on from NC_000002.12 coordinate 36,111,740, forward strand.
AAGCTTGGTTTCTTGAAGAATATTACTTGATCCACTACTAAATATATTTTTATTTGTTGTGGTTTGTAGCTGCTGAGAGTTGCTTACTTTCTTTCTTTACGTTTTTTCTCTCTTTATGTTTTTGCTCTCTTTCTAACACCACAGGTATTCCAGTATTCCCTTTGTTGTATGTAAGTACTTTGTTTCTTACCATCGCATGCCTCTAACATCAAAGCTGAGCAATAACATGGTTTTGAGGTTGATTTTCCTCCAAAGCAAAGGCAAGTACAGAGATGGAAGTATGTTTGCATCAACATGTATTTACTGGGCTTCAGTTACGTAGCTCAGCTATGTAGGTCAGTAGGTTTAAGGTTTGATACTGAACAATAAAAGACATTAAAAGATAGACAACAGCTAGAAATCAGTTCTACACTAGGTGAGCCTTTCACATCTCTGGATTATATTTTAGACCCTGCACTCACCTTACCTCGTAGAGAGAATGTTAATGAGAAATGTTCACATGAAATTTTCTTCTGCATTTTATAAAAGTGCTGTCAGTGACATTTTATTTTTTATCATTCTATGTCCCCTTTTGTAGTCCTCACATAAAAAACATCTTAGTACCTAGACACATGAAGTGCCTAAATGTCTACCAACAGGACAATGCATAAGTAAGTTATGGTATTTCCACATGACAGAGTATTACACAGGTATTAAAGTAATAATTTTGAAGACTATTTAAAAGCTGGAAAATGTTTATAACACAAGTGTCTTTTTTTTTTAATGTTTTTTTTTTTTATTATTATACTCTAAGTTTTAGGGAACATGTGCACATTGTGCAGGTTAGTTACATATGTATACATGTGCCATGCTGGTGCGCTGCACCCACTAACGTGTCATCTAGCATTAGGTATATCTCCCAATGCTATCCCTCCCCCCTCCCCCGACCCCACCACAGTCCCCAGAGTGTGATATTCCCCTTCCTGTGTCCATGTGATCTCATTGTTCAATTCCCACCTATGAGTGAGAATATGCGGTGTTTGGTTTTTTGTTCTTGCGATAGTTTACTGAGAATGATGGTTTCCGATTTCATCCATGTCCCTACAAAGGACATGAACTCATCATTTTTTATGGCTGCATAGTATTCCATGGTGTATATGTGCCACATTTTCTTAATCCAGTCTATCATTGTTGGACATTTGGGTTGGTTCCAAGTCTTTGCTATTGTGAATAGTGCCGCAATAAACATACGTGTGCATGTGTCTTTATAGCAGCATGATTTATAGTCCTTTGGGTATATACCCAGTAATGGGATGGCTGGGTCAAATGGTATTTCTAGTTCTAGATCCCTGAGGAATCGCCACACTGACTTCCACAATGGTTGAACTAGTTTACAGTCCCACCAACAGTGTAAAAGTGTTCCTATTTCTCCACATCCTCTCCAGCACCTGTTGTTTCCTGACTTTTTAATGATTGCCATTCTAACTGGTGTGAGATGATATCTCATAGTGGTTTTGATTTGCATTTCTCTGATGGCCAGTGATGATGAGCATTTCTTCATGTGTTTTTTGGCTGCATAAATGTCTTCTTTTGAGAAGTGTCTGTTCATGTCCTTCGCCCACTTTTTGATGCGGTTGTTTGTTTTTTTCTTGTAAATTTGTTTGAGTTCATTGTAGATTCTGGATATTAGCCCTTTGTCAGATGAGTAGGTTGCGAAAATTTTCTCCCATGTTGTAGGTTGCCTGTTCACTCTGATGGTAGTTTCTTTTGCTGTGCAGAAGCTCTTTAGTTTAATGAGATCCCATTTGTCAATTTTGGCTTTTGTTGCCATTGCTTTTGGTGTTTTGGACATGAAGTCCTTGCCCACGCCTATGTCCTGAATGGTAATGCCTAGGTTTTCTTCTAGGGTTTTTATGGTTTTAGGTCTAACGTTTAAATCTTTAATCCATCTTGAATTGATTTTTGTATAAGGTGTAAGGAAGGGATCCAGTTTCAGCTTTCTACATATGGCTAGCCAGTTTTCCCAGCACCATTTGTTAAATAGGGAATCCTTTCCCCATTGCTTGTTTTTCTCAGGTTTGTCAAAGATCAGATAGTTGTAGATATGCGGCATTATTTCTGAGGGCTCTGTTCTGTTCCATTGATCTATATCTCTGTTTTGGTACCAGTACCATGCTGTTTTGGTTACTGTAGCCTTGTAGTATAGTTTGAAGTCAGGTAGTGTGATGCCTCCAGCTTTGTTCTTTTGGCTTAGGATTGACTTGGCGATGCGGGCTCTTTTTTGGTTCCATATGAACTTTAAAGTAGTTTTTTCCAATTCTGTGAAGAAAGTCATTGGTAGCTTGATGGGGATGGCATTGAATCTGTAAATTACCTTGGGCAGTATGGCCATTTTCACGATACTGATTCTTCCTACCCATGAGCATGGAATGTTCTTCCATTTGTTTGTGTCCTCTTTTATTTCCTTGAGCAGTGGTTTGTAGTTCTCCTTGAAGAGGTCCTTCACATCCCTTGTAAGTTGGATTCCTAGGTATTTTATTCTCTTTGAAGCAATTGTGAGTGGGAGTTCACTCATGATTTGGCTCTCTGTTTGTCTGTTGTTGGTGTATAAGAATGCTTCTGATTTTTGTACATTGATTTTGTATCCTGAGACTTTGCTGAAGTTGCTTATCAGCTTAAGGAGATTTTGGGCTGAGACGATGGGGTTTTCTAGATAAACAATCATGTCGTCTGCAAACAGGGACAATTTGACTTCCTCTTTTCCTAATTGAATACCCTTTATTTCCTTCTCCTGCCTGATTGCCCTGGCCAGAACTTCCAACACTATGTTGAATAGGAGCGGTGAGAGAGGGCATCCCTGTCTTGTGCCAGTTTTCAAAGGGAATGCTTCCAGTTTTTGCCCATTCAGTATGATATTGGCTGTGGGTTTGTCATAGATAGCTCTTATTATTTTGAAATACGTCCCATCAATACCTAATTTATTGAGAGTTTTTAGCATGAAGGGTTGTTGAATTTTGTCAAAGGCTTTTTCTGCATCTATTGAGATAATCATGTGGTTTTTGTCTTTGGCTCAGTTTATATGCTGGATTACATTTATTGATTTGCGTATATTGAACCAGCCTTGCATCCCAGGGATGAAGCCCACTTGATCATGGTGGATAAGCTTTTTGATGTGCTGCTGGATTCGGTTTCCCAGTATTTTATTGAGGATTTTTGCATCAATGTTCATCAAGGATATTGGTCTAAAATTCTCTTTTTTGGTTGTGTCTCTGCCCGGCTTTGGTATCAGAATGATGCTGGCCTCATAAAATGAGTTAGGGAAGATTCCCTCTTTTTCTATTGATTGGAATAGTTTCAGAAGGAATGGTACCAGTTCCTCCTTGTACCTCTGGTAGAATTCGGCTGTGAATCCATCTGGTCCTGGACTCTTTTTGGTTGGTAAACTATTGATTATTGCCACAATTTCAGAGCCTGTTATTGGTCTATTCAGAGATTCAACTTCTTCCTGGTTTAGTCTTGGGAGAGTGTATGTGTCGAGGAATGTATCCATTTCTTCTAGATTTTCTAGTTTATTTGCGTAGAGGTGTTTGTAGTATTCTCTGATGGTAGTTTGTATTTCTGTGGGATCGGTGGTGATATCCCCTTTATCATTTTTTATTGTGTCTATTTGATTCTTCTCTCTTTTTTTCTTTATTAGTCTTGCTAGCAGTCTATCAATTTTGTTGATCCTTTCAAAAAACCAGCTCCTGGATTCATTGATTTTTTGAAGGGTTTTTTGTGTCTCTATTTCCTTCAGTTCTGCTCTGATTTTAGTTATTTCTTGCCTTCTGCTAGCTTTTGAATGTGTTTGCTCTTGCTTTTCTAGTTCTTTTAATTGTGATGTTAGGGTGTCAATTTTGGATCTTTCCTGCTTTCTCTTGTAGGCATTTAGTGCTATAAATTTCCCTCTACACACTGCTTTGAATGCGTCCCAGAGATTCTGGTATGTGGTGTCTTTGTTCTCGTTGGTTTCAAAGAACATCTTTATTTCTGCCTTCATTTCGTTATATACCCAGTAGTCATTCAGGAGCAGGTTGTTCAGTTTCCATGTAGTTGAGCGGCTTTGAGTGAGATTCTTAATCCTGAGTTCTAGTTTGATTGCACTGTGGTCTGAGAGATAGTTTGTTATAATTTCTGTTCTTTTACATTTGCTGAGGAGAGCTTTACTTCCAACTATGTGGTCAATTTTGGAATAGGTGTGGTGTGGTGCTGAAAAAAATGTATATTCTGTTGATTTGGGGTGGAGAGTTCTGTAGATGTCTATTAGGTCTGCTTGGTGCAGAGCTGAGTTCAATTCCTGGGTATCCTTGTTGACTTTCTGTCTCGTTGATCTGTCTAATGTTGACAGTGGGGTGTTAAAGTCTCCCATTATTAATGTGTGGGAGTCTAAGTCTCTTTGTAGGTCACTCAGGACTTGCTTTATGAATCTGGGTTCTCCTGTATTGGGTGCATAAATATTTAGGATAGTTAGCTCCTCTTGTTGAATTGATCTCTTTACCATTATGTAATGGCCTTCTTTGTCTCTTTTGATCTTTGTTGGTTTAAAGTCTGTTTTATCAGAGACTAGGATTGCAACCGCTGCCTTTTTTTGTTTTCCATTTGCTTGGTAGATCTTCCTCCATCCTTTTATTTTGAGCCTATGTGTGTCTCTGCACGTGAGATGGGTTTCCTGAATACAGCACACTGATGGGTCTTGACTCTTTATCCAACTTGCCAGTCTGTGTCTTTTAATTGCAGAATTTAGTCCATTTATATTTAAAGTTAATATTGTTATGTGTGAATTTGATCCTGTCATTATGATGTTAGCTGGTGATTTTGCTCATTAGTTGATGCAGTTTCTTCCTAGTCTCGATGGTCTTTACATTTTGGCATGATTTTGCAGCGGCTGGTACCGGTTGTTCCTTTCCATGTTTAGCGCTTCCTTCAGGAGCTCTTTTAGGGCAGGCCTGGTGGTGACAAAATCTCTCAGCATTTGCTTGTCTATAAAGTATTTTATTTCTCCTTCACTTATGAAGCTTAGTTTGGCTGGATATGAAATTCTGGGTTGAAAATTCTTTTCTTTAAGAATGTTGAATATTGGCCCCCACTCTCTTCTGGCTTGTAGGGTTTCTGCCGAGAGATCCGCTGTTAGTCTGATGGGCTTCCCTTTGTGGGTAAGCCGACCTTTCTCTCTGGCTGCCCTTAACATTTTTTCCTTCATTTCAACTTTGGTGAATCTGACAATTATGTGTCTTGGAGTTGCTCTTCTCGAGGAGTATCTTTGTGGCGTTCTCTGTATTTCCTGAATCTGAACGTTGGCCTGCCTTGCTAGATTGGGGAAGTTCTCCTGGATAATATCCTGCAGAGTGTTTTCCAACTTGGTTCCATTCTCCACATCACTTTCAGGTACACCAATCAGACGTAGATTTGGTCTTTTCACATAGTCCCATATTTCTTGGAGGCTTTGCTCATTTCTTTTTATTCTTTTTTCTCTAAACTTCCCTTCTCGCTTCATTTCATTCATTTCATCTTCCATTGCTGATACCCTTTCTTCCAGTTGATCGCATCGGCTCCTGAGGCTTCTGCATTCTTCACGTAGTTCTCGAGCCTTGGTTTTCAGCTCCATCAGCTCCTTTAAGCACTTCTCTGTATTGGTTATTCTAGTTATACATTCTTCTAAATTTTTTTCAAAGTTTTCAACTTCTTTGCCTTTGGTTTAATGTCCTCCCGTAGCTCAGAGTAATTTGATCGTCTGAAGCCTTCTTCTCTCAGCTCATCAAAATCATTCTCCATCCAGCTTTGTTCTGTTGCTGGCGAGGAACTGCGTTCCTTTGGAGGAGGAGAGGCGCTCTGTGTTTTAGAGTTTCCAGTTTTTCTGTTCTGTTTTTTCCCCATCTTTGTGGTTTTATCTACTTTTGGTCTTTGATGATGGTGATGTACAGATGGGTTTTCGGTGTAGATGTCCTTTCTGGTTGTTAGTTTTCCTTCTAACAGACAGGACCCTCAGCTGCAGGTCTGTTGGAATACCCTGCCGTGTGAGGTGTCAGTGTGCCCCTGCTGGGGGGTGCCTCCCAGTTAGGCTGCTCGGGGTTCAGGGGTCAGGGACCCACTTGAGGAGGCAGTCTGCCCGTTCTCAGATCTCCAGCTGCGTGCTGGGAGAACCACTGCTCTCTTCAAAGCTGTCAGACAGGGACACTTAAGTCTGCAGAGGTTACTGCTGTCTTTTTGTTTGTCTGTGCCCTGCCCCCAGAGGTGGAGCCTACAGAGGCAGGCAGGCCTCCTTGAGCTGTGGTGGGCTCCACCCAGTTCGAGCTTCCCGGCTGCTTTGTTTACGTAAGCAAGCCTGGGCAATGGCGGGCCCCCCTCCCCCAGCCTCGTTGCCGCCTTGCAGTTTGATCTCAGACTGCTGTGCTAGCAATCAGCGAGATTCCGTGGGCGTAGGACCCTCTGAGCCAGGTGTGGGATATCGTCTCGTGGTGCGCCGTTTCTTAAGCCGGTCTGAAAAGCGCAATATTCGGGTGGGAGTGACCCGATTTTCCAGGTGCGTCCGTCACCCCTTTCTTTGACTCGGAAAGGGAACTCCCTGACCCCTTGCGCTTCCCAGGTGAGGCAATGCCTCGCCCTGCTTCGGCTCGCGCACGGTGCGCACACACACTGGCCTGCGCCCACTGTCTGGCACTCCCTAGTGAGATGAACCCGGTACCTCAGATGGAAATGCAGAAATCACCCGTCTTCTGCGTCGCTCACGCTGGGAGCTGTAGACCGGAGCTGTTCCTATTCGGCCATCTTGGCTCCTCCTCCCCCAAGTGTCATTTTTAAATCGATACAAAATGACATCTACATTGTGATCACATGTATAAAAAATATATTCAAAAAAGACTAGAATGAACATTGAAATATAAACAATGTACTAGGAATGAGATTATAGGTGAATTTTCTCCTCTTAAAAATACATTTTTTGAGTGGTGCCAAAAAATATATAAGTATGATAAATGTCCCCTCTCATAACATTTGGTATTTATTTCTTATGATTCTCTTTTTGTCTTGAGAACAAGGAAGCTTAAAGCTACATATGATATTCAGTAGCATACTATGTGAGCGTCTATGGCTAGCATTTGTTCTTCCCTTTCAAGACCTTGATTTTACCCCTTATCTTCTTTTTAGAAGGACTAAAAATGAAGAAAAATAAACACGTGACATCCTTATCTTCAAATAGCTTGCCATATGCTTAGAGATACATTTTATATGGTTAGAGATGTTAAGAAATGTGTAATGATTAGATTGAGGCAATGCGCTGTTTGGAAGAACATCATAGAGAAGATGAGCCCCTTCAATGCATCCTTTTGGGGATTACATGACGTTGATAGATATCACTGGAGCTTCTTTGGTTAAGGTGGTGTCCCCAGATTTCTCCACTGTAAAGTCACTACTTTTCCCTTTGTAAGTATTGTATCTTCAGAGGAAGACACTTTGCGACCCTACAAATGTTCTATTTCCCTCAAACTTTCATCTACTGATTTTTAGCACCCATTAGTGGATCTCAACTATGGCAATTTTTAATTTGATTTTTACTCATTCTAATGGTAATTTTTCTACTCCCTTCATTCCTTTAATATTTATTATTTGGATTTCTTCTATAAGGAAATTATGTCCCTTCTCCCCCATTGTTATATTTATTCAGCTATTTGTTAATATAAGGATATTTATTTTATTCTTTGGGTTATAATCCAATATTGACATTATTTTGTTGCTCAAATTATTGGAGATTTGGCCAATGGGAACTCTTTGGGCTCTTGTGCCATTTAGACATAAACCTAACCATTGTTCTTTTTTTTTTTTTTTTTTTACTTCTTTGCTTTATATCACCCCAAGATACTCCAGGGTCATCCTGTATTTTTCCTATTCTAGCACTGGAATGGACCACTTCTCTAGGAAACTAACCATTGTTTCTTTTATTGAAGATTAGTATTTAGAAACCAGGATCTGAGGACTAGGTGGGCTCATTGCTACTGGATGTCATTGCTTCTAGGAACTCTCAGCAGACTAAGCTTCTCAGGGATACTTCTCCTTGGCTGTAGTTATGAGCCCAGCATATTCCTTATACCTTATCATGCCCCAGGAATGCAGTCCTCCCACCACCATTCTCCTCCCCCCACTATAATGGGTTTTTCCAGTTTACAATAAACAACTGTTTGTTGCCCTTTACCATACAGATTGATGCTTTTGTTTCAGAGGAGAAATTAATGAGAGGGGACCAGATGGGATTCTGTAGCCCTCTTCCAGCAGCTGCTTTTCTCATAACTTCACTTTTAAGGGCACTTTCCTAGGACTCTCTCCAGCCTCTTCTGCAAGTGCTCAGGAGGGTTTATGGAGACAAAGCCTGAAGAGATTGTGGATACACCCAATTTCTCTGGTTCCTACTGCCTTCACCACTGCATATCCAGCCTCTGCCAATTCTCTAATCACCCCAATGTGTCTCTTCTTACCATCGTCTACTCGTGTCTACACCAGGCAAGTCATTGATCATTTGTCTCTCCCTAAAGTGGTCTCTCCCTTCTTATATTTTGGGACAGGTAGTTACCCTGTGACAGTTCTCTGGCAGATTCAAGAAAAGTCATGAATTTGCAAGTTGTCTGGCTTTGTTTTCCATTATAAGAATTGGAAAAATGCTCTTTTGCTCTCTGCCTCCCTAAGCAGAAATGTGTTTTATTTGTGAAATCAGCCCTGCTATATTTACTCATCTGTTTTTGGAATAGTTTCAGTAGAAATGATACCAGTTATTCTTTGTATCTCTGGTAGAATTCAGCTATAAATCTGCCCGGTCCTGGTCTTTTTTTTTTTTTTTTTCATTTGTAGGCTATTTATTACTGCCTCAATTTCAGAACTCATTATTGGTCTATTTGGGGATTCAGTTTCTCCCTGGATCAGTCTTGGGAGGTGTAAGTGTCCAGGAATTCATCCATTTCTTCTAGATGTTCCAGTTTACATGCATAGACGTGTTTAGTATTCTCTGATGGTTGTTTGTACATCTGTGGAATCAGTGGTGATATCCCTCTTAGCATTTCTGATTGTGCGTATTTGATTCTTCTCTCTTTTTTCTTTATTAGTCTAGCTAGCAGTCTATCTATTTTATTAATTTTTTCAAAAAACCAGCTCCTGGATTTGTTGATTTTTTTCGAAGGGTGTTTGTGTCTCTATCTGCTTCAGTTCTGCTCTGATCTCAGTTATTTCTTGTCTTCTGCTAGCTTTGTGGTTTGTTTGCTCTTGCTTCTCTAGTTCTTTTAATTGTGATGTTAGGGTGTCGATTTGAGATCCTTCCAGCTTTCTGATGTAGGCATTTAGTACTATAAATTTCCCTCTTAACACTGCTTTAGCTGTATCCCAGAGATTCTGGTATGTTGTCTCTTTTCTCATTGGTTTCAAAGAACTTCTTGATTTCTGCCTTCATTTTGTTATTTACCCAGGAGTCATTCAGGAGCAAGTTGCTCAATTTCCATGTAGTGGTGTGGTTTTGAGTGAATTTCTTAGTCTTGAGTTCTAATTTGAATGGACTGTGGTCTGAGAGATGGTTTCTTATTATTTCAACTCCTTTGCATTTGCTGAAGAGTGTTCTAATTCTGATTATCAGTTTTAGAGTAAGTGCCATGTGGTGATAAGAAGAATGTATATTCTGTTGTTTTGGGGTGGAGAGTTCTGTAGATATCTCTCAGCTTTGCATGATCCAGAGCTGCATTCAGGTCCTGAATATCTTCATTAATTTTCCGTCTCAATGATCTGTCTAATAATGACAGTGGGGTTTTAAAGTCTCCAACTATTATTGTATGTGAGTCTAAGTCTCTTTGTAGGTCTCAAAGAACTTACTTTATGAATATGGGTGCTTCTATATTGGGTGCATATATATTTAGGATAGTTAGATTTTCTTGTTGAATTGAACACTTTACCATTACTCTCTGGGTCTCCCTTCAGGGTCAGCAGCTCAACTGTTTCCCTCTGGATGCAAGCAAGCCAAGCTATGTCCCTTTTCCATCTGCAAAGACAGACAGCTCTGGCTCTCTCTCTCTCTCTCTTTCCCTGGGCACAAGCACACCCGTAAAGTGTCAGCAGGGCAATTATACCTTTTACAGACAATAGTGGTGAAGAGCCAAGTGCTAGCCTTCCCATGTTATGGCTACATAGCTGTGTTTACAATATACACAGAATTGTGCACCTGTGCTACAAACTCCCTGAGTCATGCAGGATGTTTACCTCGGCCTATCCTGCCTGACTGCAGCGCAGCCATGTTCCTTACACCTTGGTTTTTCCCTTACCTGGAGGTATTACCAATAAAGGCTGTGAAACAGCAAAGATGCCAGCCTGCTTCTTCCTCTGGGAACTCCATCCCAGGGTGGCTATTGACTTATTGCCAGCCTGGACACTCTTGTAGGTGTCTGGAGACCCCTGTTGGGAGGTGTTACCCAGTCAGAAGGGACGGGATCAGGAGCCTGCTTAAAGAAGCAGTTTGGCTGCTTTTTGCTAGAGCAGATGTGCTACACTGAAGTTAACCCTTCCCCATCCAGACCACCTGAGCTCTCCAGAGCCAGCACGCTGGAAAGGCCAGAGAGACATCGGCTGCCTTTTCCTCCAGTGGCTCCATCCCAGGAAGAGATCAGAGTTCTGTCTGTATAACCCTGGCTGGAGTTGCTGAAATTCTCACAGGGAGGGCCCTCCCACTGAGGAGGGATGGATTGGGATCCCCCTTAAAGAAGCACTCTGATCACGATTTGGCACAGCTGTTCTGTACTGTGGGTAACTCATCCTTGACAGGACCACCTGGCCTCCCTGGAGCCAGGAGGCTAGAACTTCTGAGCTGACTAAACTGCAGAAATGGAGGCTGCCGCTCCCCTTTGGGGCTTCATCCCAGGTAAAGATCAGAGTTCTTTCCATATATCCCTGGCTGGAGTTGCTGAAATTCCCACAGGTAGGCCCCTCCCAGTGAGAAAAGATGGATTGGGGTCCCACTTAAAAAAGCAGTCTGGCTGCGATCTGGCATAACAGCTGTGCTGCATTGTGGGGGATTCCTCCTCGTCCAGACCACCTGGACTCCCCAGCTGGCTAGAATGGCTAGGTCGACCTAACTGCAGAAATGATGGCTGCACCTCCCCTGGGAACTTGTCCATCTCAGGCAGTCTCCAGCTGGCTGGAATTCAAGCCAGTGGGTCTTAACTTGTGAGGTGTTCTGCAAGTAGGTCCCACAGAAATGATGCTGCTTGGCTCCCTGGATACAGCCCCCTTCCTAGGGGAGTATAGGAATGGCTCTCCCACCTTGCCAGGATTCCCAGGGCCGGAGTCTGTAAAATTCCTGGGTTTCTGTGTGAGCCTGAGCGACTGCTCTGCTGAGACTCTGCACAGCTTTGTGTATCGGACCCAAGGCTCTGATGGCACGGGCTCACAAGGGGATCTCCTGATCCATGGGTTACAAACATTTGTGGAAGAAGCCTGCTTTCCCCTGGTGGGGTTGCACATTCACTGCGTTCCTTGGCTGAGGGTGAGGGTTCCTTTGGCTCCGCGCCACTCCTGGGTGGGCCATCGCCCACTCTGCTTTTCTTCACTCTCCATGGATGGAGCCATCTACCTAGTCAGTCTCAATGCGAGAACCTGGATATTTCAGTTAAAGGTGCTGAGTTCACTCACTGTTTTCATTATTCTCCATGAGAGCCATGGACTGCACCTGTTTCTCATCAACTACCTTGGCCACTCCACCCTCTGTGGATAACTTTAAAGCTCAGAAAACAACCTTGCCATCTTTCCCTCAATAAAAACAATATCTCAATTATGGATCAAGATTCTGGAAAATCTGGCAGGTAGGATAGTCCTTCTGTGGAGGAACCAGGACTAGTTAATTTTCTTGAGCCTTAGATCCTTCAACTAGGTTAAAAAATGAAAGCATTGACCTAATTATGTCTAACCTATGGGTTAGAGCATAGGACTCAGTTAAGGTGAAAATGTTTTTCAGGCAAGGTATCCTCCTTAATTTATTAACATTTTAGAAAAATTCTTAAGACATTATCTCTAGGTCTGAGACATTACAACACATAGAGGTATGCTTTTGGCGGGAAAGACAGTCAACAGCCAGAAAATAGGGAAAGAACCTTTGAAGAAATGGGCTCCTGAGGAAGGTAATATTGAAAGGAAAAAGATTCCTACAGAAAGACAGCAAGTAGATTTGACAAACAAGCATGGTCTACTTCAAAATGTTGCAGAGAATAAGCAGGAAGACCATTCATTTGTGAGTTTCCATTCTGACAATTTTTGTTGGACTTGCAATAGCTCAAGTCCTAAGGAAAGGAAAACATTTTCCGAAAATTATATATCTGAATGACAGCAAAAACTACATTCGTTAGTGATATGTAGAGCAAGGACAGAATCAGTAAAGAATGGAATTGACTATTTTGATTTGAGTCATAGACATGACTTATGAACCCTACACAAATCATTTGATGAGAATGACTAAGATCACAGTCTGGAAGGAAAGCCACATAGTCAACCACTCATTTATTTGAAGTATGATTGTAATTAACAAACAACATACATTTTGAATCTCTGAAATCAATTTTTAATTTTTCCCTCACCAAAGAATTGGGGGAAACCTCTTACCCCAGAACCAGTAAGAGAAGATGTCTTTCTTCCAGTCATTTCTTGCCTTTACTGTTGTGATTATTTTTTCAGGCTCACATCATTTCCATGGTTTTATTCCACACCAGCCAGCACTGAAAAAGTTTTTAAATTTCCATCACAGCGCACGGAAAATTGTCAAGTCTCTGTCCTTCCACGTGTTTCCAGGACTAAGATATACTTAATGACAATTCTAAGTGCAATTGGTCCCTTCAATAGACTCTGAAAAAATGCATGCTTTCAATTACGTTAGAACACAAAAAAATGACACTTTTTCTGATGTGCCTAGCCCTGCAGTTATCTCTGATCTCAGCATTCTGAATTCTAGGCAGCTATTTTGAAGTTGGTGATCAGCATTATGTCTACCATGTCATCTGTTTTGGTCAGAAGAGTAACTCACTGATTAGAGTTTGAGCTGAAAATACATTTCTTGTTGGGAAGAAACCATTACAGAGATTCAAACACTACTAAACCCCTTCCCAAATACAGTGAGATTCAAGAGTTTATCATCTCAAAGACACATAAAGACATGGCTTTTTTTAAAAGCAATAATAATATCGCTACCCATCTAATGAGGCAAGAATCTCTGTAGATATCTTTACCAATCCTCAGACACCCCAAGCAATTAGACAGGACTTAGTAACTCCACAGTTCAGGTGAAATTAGGTTATTGGATACAGTGGGAATGCTAGAAAAATATATATATTTTGTTAAATCTTCTGTAACAATGCTTCTCAAACTTCAGGTTATAACTCAATTATTAGTGCGTTCTGAAATCAATTTAGTGGTTTGTAATGGGCATTTTCTTTTAAATTAGAGTGGAATAAAAAAAGGAAAGGAAAGAAGAGAAGAGGAAAGGCTAAAATGCACACATAAGTGTAGGCATTATTTCATGGACCTTTTGACTGTTATAAAGAATAATCAAGCACTTCACCTTTTCATTCAGTAAGCATATTTTAGGTAACTCGTTTAAACAGTTTAGTGCACGTACAGATGGCAGCTGAAGTCTGAATCCTGTATCCATTCACATTCTACAAAGGAATATCTCTTCTTCCTCCCCCCTGCCTAGAAATATCCTTCTTATGAATGCTGTGGGCCTTAAAGTTCAGCAAGTTCTGACTGTACCACACAGCTACTAATAGATCCAAACTCTAGGTCAAGTTGTTCATGTCCATCCAAGGCCATTACAGATCCTGAAACATTGTCACAGCTGAGGGCTGGAGTTTATTGAATGGGAAAAGGGAAAGCAAACAAAACATAGAGGAGATTAGTTTAAAAGAGATGGCAACTACTTATAATATCATACTATGAAAATAATTCTTCACGTCTGCTGAACAACATCTCAGGTTCTCCTTTAAATCAGGACAAAGAAACTAAAGGAAAACAAGATTAAAAAGTAAATTCAAATTACTTGGAACTAGGCAGAGAATGCCCAATAGACCGACAAACAGCGAAGCACTGTTCAGTGAGGGAACTACTGGGATCCCCAGAGGGGCCAGGCTCTCAGGCAATAATTAACACCCATGTGCCGCTGTGAGCTCAACCTCATGCTGGTTGTCTTGTACACTTACCCTAAACAGAGCACAGTCTTTTCATCCACCCAATAAACCCAGAGCAGAGATCAATCTCTGTCGGAGGGTCGGTGACCCCTGAAAATCTGGTCATGTCGTCTCTTTATTTAAAACTCTCAGTGTCTCTCTAATACTCTTAGTAAAAAGAAATCCAAATGCCTTAATGTGACCTGCAAGCTCCACTTGTACTGTCCCTGACTCCCTGACTTAGCTTTTCAGTCTCACTGTCTTTGGCTTCCATCTAACCTCTACAATTATCCCCAATGAACTTATTTGCCAAACATTTCCTGAACAGCAAATTTGGGCACATGCTCTTCACATTAACTGAAACACATTTCCCATCCTGTAAACTCCACCTTCAGTTCTTACCTCCCTTTCTCTACTAAACCTTCATCACCTCATACTTTCTCTTGCCGATGTTGCTGGCCCGTCTCCTGTGTCCCTACAATATCCTGTCCTTCCAGACTATAAATTTCCAAACTATATTCTAGTCATCTGTTTTCTTTCCTAGGAACACAGCACCACATCCCATAGGGTACAAACACTGCAACAGCAACTAGGTCTTCTAGTTCGTGGTGCTTATTTCTTGATCTTTGTTTCTTGCTTATCCCCAGATCTTATTCAGTGATGGGCAATAATAAACTTTTTATGATCTTTGTTGCCACCATTACTGTGTTCTCAACGTATATTGAACTCTAGGTCTCCTCTGGGGCTGGTTTTTCACTCACTGTATGTATACCTTCTTTTTGCTTAAATTTGGTCATCTGTGAAATGAAGGTTATGGATAGGATTACATGAAATAATGAAGGTAAAACCCTCAGTGCAGTTCCTGGCACGTAAGCATCCCATTCATGCTAATTATTAGATTGATGCAAAGGTAATCGCGGTTTTTGCAACTGAAATTGTAATGGCAAAAACCGCGGGTACTTTTGCATCAACCTAATATTTTACCCTTTTCTCTGTTCTCTAATGCCTGTATAGGGACACCTGTCTCACCTAATTGCAACCATTCCTCTGCCCATCCCCTCCACCTGTCTGGGGAGAACACCTGGGCACTGAGAACATCTTATGCATTCCCCTTGGCCATCCCTACTGACTAAGGTAAAATTCTGGGAGCCAAGTTTAGCCAAGATCTTAAGAAACTGCTCAGAAAAAATTATATGGATTTCTGGATTTTAAATATCACCAGCCTCTTCACTGAGTCCTTTTCTGGAGCTACTGCTGACACCCTGACCAGAAGTTGTTGTATGTAGAAGATGTCTCTATTTAGCCAACCCCTTGGGGCTAACTGAACTGGATGTTCACCTTCAGTGAATACCTTCTGTGTCTCCAAATTGTTGTGGAGGATTCTGTTGTGGCAAATGCACTGAGAGATGCAAAGATCTGTATTCTAGTCCCTGATCTGTCACATAGTAGCTGGTGACTTTGGACAAATTCCTTAACATGTTTCCACCTCAGTTTTATCATCAGTAAAATCTGAAGGATTGAACAGATCATCTTCTATGTTCCTTTGCGGCTAAAATATTCTTTGATTCTGCGCTCCCATTCTTGGGGTATGTTTTAGTCTGAATTCTAGCAAAAAAAAAAAAGCCAAACAAACAGATGGCACTCTCAAAGTAGGTATTTGAGGAGAATTTAATAAATGGACTATTTATAAAGACGTGGGCAGGATGTAGGGAGACCACAAAGCGTAATGTAAACCCCAGGGCTAGTAATGGCAGAAAACCTCAACCATTCATTCACTTTCCAGAGCCCAGAGAGGCAGGCAAGGGAAGGGTCCCCCAACAATAGCAGCGGCTTTGGCATGGAGGAAGCCAGGCTGAGGTGATCCCCCAGGGAGGGAGTCAAGGGACTATTCACATGCCCAGCCCCCACCTCCCATTTGGGCTCCTCATTAGCCAACCAAATAGAATCCAGAGAACAAGAGGGCTCACTGATGCAATCCATAAGGTCAGCCACACAGAGCACAATACAGGTGGAGGAGGCTATAGAGGGACAATCAGAAGATGACAGCCTCCAGAGATGCTGATGACACAGTGATAGAACCTGGGTTCAGAGAGTCTTTTTGCACATGATGAGTTGTAATAATGCACACAAAAACATTTTTATTTTCTGAGTTTTGCCAGACCCTTGACATTCTAGTTAAGCATAAATCATTTGCAATTCCTTTAAAGAAATGGCACTGTTACCCCCAGCTATATCAAATAAACCATAGGTTAGTGAAATATGAAAAATTTGTATGTTACCATACAGTCTTTTTGGAAAGTAACTTATGGCAACATAAAATGTTTAATGTCGCCTAATAACCTATGCATCTTATTATAAAAATAGTTTTGTTTAGATGATCTGCAGAGTATCCTTTTGAGGGCAGTCTAAATTATTATTATCCAATTCTTATGTAGATTTATAATTAATCTAACAACTATGATCTGACCATGAATATGCCTTTGCCATCTGGTGTCTTTACCCTGAATTTGATCATGAATAATACATAACCATCTGACAGCTGAATCCAATCCATAATGCAGCCATACGTGATGCAGATCCATCCATAGTATACTAATTTGCATTCTCCATCATTTTTGTCTAATTCTTACCCAGAGCTTTTTCATTGAGTTTCAGCCACCAGGGGAACAATCCACCTACAGACTTGGCCATATGGGATGCAGTGCATATTCTCCAGTGTCCTGGGCCTGATCCTAATTGTCACCATCCGAGCCAAAATGTGTCACTCCAAACATGGGCAGGGGTGCTCTTGGGCATTCATAAGATGCTTAATGGGGCTTTCAGCACAGTGTTGCTGACAGTGTGTGTTTTAATTAGACTTCTAAGTGCACATTTATTTTTCCCACTAGACCAGTCCTACATGTAGGTGAAAGAGACAGCCACGTGATTGTAGGTGTCAGACAGTTGTTGTCGAGCACGGCCACCTTAAAATAAGTGAAGTGTAAGTATTTTAAATTATAAGGCAAACAAACTGTTCCCCACCTGACCTCATCATCCCACCCTTCTCTGCTGTGACATCTGCAATTTCCCAGGGAGCTGGTACTCATCTATGACTTCTTCTTTTAGTAGGCACATCTGGATTGGTGGAGGCTTTAAAAATCTCTGCTTCATGTCTCCCATCTATGTACATTCTAATTCAAGTGCGTATAAAACACAGTGTTTGCCAAAATGAAAAACTTTTTTGTGGGCCCAGTTTGGCTAGCAGACCACCAGGTTATGAACTTTGTTTCATATGATTACTAAGCTATTTCTCTCCACCAATCTTGAGCCTGAAGCATTCTAACAAGTAGGGCCTGGAATATTTGCAGTTCACAGCCAAGATCTATTCCCCTTAACAAATTAGTTCTATACTTCCTATAAAATCTCTATTACTGTGAGCAGAAATAAAGGCTTGGAGGGTAATTTAGTGCTGAAAGAAATCTGAGGTCTGGGCGCAGTCGCTCACGCCTGTAATCCCAGCACCTTGGGAGGCCAAGGCGGGTGGATCACCTGAGGTCAGGAGTTCGAGACCAGCCTGGCCAACATGGCAAAACCCCATCTCTACTAAAAATACAAAAATTACCCAGGGAAATTACCTGGGCATGGTGGCAGGCGCCTGTAGTCCCAGCTATTCGGGAGGCTGAGGCAGGAGAATCGCTTGAACCTGGGAGGCGGAGGTTGCAGTGAGCCAAGATCGCACCACTGCACTCCAGCCTGGGTGACAGAGTGAGTCTCCATCTCAAAAAAAAAAAAAAGAAAGAAAAAAGAAAAAGAAATCTGAGTTAAATTTTGTAGTTGTTGAATTTGAAGTGAGAGTAGGCCCACTATCCTTTATATTTGAAAATAGTACCACCTGAATTTAAACATGACATAATGTATATGTATAAATGTGATGGCAAGTGTTCTAAGTGGTTATTTATTTATTCCACAAGGTGTACTTACCAAAATTGGTATTTGCTTTTTTTTTTTTTTTTTTTTTTTTGAGACAGAGTCTCACTCTGTCACCCAGGCTGGAGTGCAGTGGCCCAATCTCGGCTCACTGCAACCTCTGCCTCCTGGGTTCAAGCAATTCTCCTCCCTTAGCCTCCCAAGTAGCTGGGACTACAGGCACGTGCCATCACACCCGGCTAATTTTTTGTATTTTTAGCAGAGACAGGGTTTTACCCTGTTAGCCAGGATGGTCTTGATCTCCTGACCTCGTGATCTGCCCACCTTGGCCTCCCAAAGTGATGGGATTACAGGCATGAGTCACCGCGCCTAGCCAGTATTTTTTTTTTAACTGTGACTGTAAATAGCAGATCCTGTAGTTCCATTTCCATTGAACCTTCTAATTTCAGCCAGAGTCATTATTGAAAAGCCACTGCATTTGTTGCTGGAGATGTGGCCCAGTTTGTCTTGCATAGGTCCACCTGCTCTGTGCTTATGACCACATCTTTATGTCCACAACTAACTGAAAGGAGAAGGACCTAACTCAAGGGTATAAGGCAAGTAACCCTCAAGTCAGCCAGTGGCCCACCAAGTGGGCTAGTACCAGGGCTTTGGCCTTCTGGAAAGAAGCCCATGGGCCAAACTGATCAGAAATACATTCTTGGGCAACTTGAATATGAGATGTAGAGATTCGGCAGTTGTTGATGGGGGAAGAAGCTGAGAGACTCTCAGAGAAGGCAGTAAACAGAAACCAAGAGTGGGCAGAAGCTGTGACATAAGCAGAAGAGCGGCAGGAGTAGGTGGATTTGAGACAGAATTGGAGTCATCCCATAGTGGATGGAAAGAGGCAGGAGAATGGGTGCATGCTGCTTGGTGAGGGAGTGAGATAGCCAGGTGCCAAGCTGGGGTTCTAGTTAAATTGCCAATTTCCATATTTATCTTCTCTGTCTAACCCCAAAAAGTACTTGATTGCAATCCTGTCCAAAAAAAAGCCTGTTTAATCATGTAATTTCTGAAAGATTCTGAGAAAATTAATAGGTTTAAAATGGAATAAAATTGGTTTCTGTATTTTCAAATTAAGTCTCTTTAATGACCAAGAGTGATGTGTACCTATAATTCTTATATTTCTATTTGGAATCTACTCTTTCTGCCCTCTACTTATATAATTAGTGTTGCTGAATAGGGTCTGAGACTTTTGAGAAAGGTAATCCTTCATTGAGTAGCTCCTGTGCATTGCAAGGCATTTAGCATCATGGGCTCAATGAATGCCTAAAGTGACCCTCCCTCCTTCCCATTGCAACATTTAAAAATAAATCCACACATTTTCAAACGTCCACTGGGGAGTAGTACTGATCCCAGTTAAGAACTATTGATCCAAGGCTTCCCATTCTTCCTGGGACAGCTCAAATCCCACCTTCTCTTTATTTCTTTGATTATTCGAGACTATATTGATTTCTGTACCTTCTTTGAATTCCAGCTGCACTTAGAGTCAATAATGCATCATTGAGTTCTTAATTGTGTTCTAATCGTTTCATGTATGTTGGTTTCCCTTCTCAGCTTGCTCATAAATTCTTTTAAGAGCAGCAACAGTGTCCAAGATATCTGTTGTATCACACATAGTGCCTAACTAAGTACTGAGTGGTTAATGAATTCTAACCGGCTCCTCATAATTTAGTCTCTGCTTATCTCTTCAACAATGTTTCCTACCGTATCTCCACCAACATCCCTGTCCCTTGTCCCTCCAGCAGCTAGAAGAAGCTCATCAGAGTTTCCTAAACATACCTTATTGGTTCAACATTATGCCTCCACATAATGCTGTACTTTTTGCATGCAAAATGCACTTCAATTGACTTTCTTCTAGGTAAAATCTTATCCAGTCTTCAAATTCCAGCCTCTCTGGTGAATTACTCCCTTCTCTGTCATTTTTATATACTTGTATTGATGAATAACTTCTCTGTTTACTTGGTTCTTGCTCCTAAAAAGGGCAGTAACTGTGTCTAATTGATTTCCTTGACTCCTAGCATGACAACTGGCACTCACTAGAAGCTGAATAAATGCTGGTTGATTATAGCTGATTATACCATATTTTTAACATTCATAAGCATGAGCCACACCATAAAGAATAGAGAAGACTGTTGGTCACTAAATAGAGGCAGCTATTTCCTTTTCCTTCACTGCACCTTGCTTTTTGCTAAATAACTCTTAAGAAATAGAATGCAGGTGCCCCACTGCTGTTCAGAGCTTGATTCCAACTTACATATATTAGACGGTTTCATTAATGTACCTGAAGCAGTCAACTTGGTTGTGCCTTGTTTAATTTATCTCATTTTACAATTGTAAAAGGAGCAAACGAAATGCTGAAGACACTACATCAGCTGTTACAGCGAGAAATTTACTCAAACTGAACACTCAACTGGGAGGGAAAAAAAACCTGTGTTTTATTAGAATAGATTGTTTCATTCCTATTTAGCACTTGACTTGAAGAGGCCTCCCCTGTGACTCCCCTGTCGTAGAGAACAGTGATAGCCATATGATTATAAAGAATGTCCTACAAAATAATAATAAAAATAATCCTATGGGAAACATTGTCAGCTAATACACTATTAAAGAGAGAAGCATTTATAGATACACATGAATTAACAGGGGTTCTGGACTCAAAACTCTTTTAAAAAAAACATAGCCCTGGTGAGGAAAGTCTGGAAATCAGCCATGGTCTCTATTTGGCTCCAGTAATGACTGATGGAGTTCTCGTTGATAAGGAAAAGACAAAGAAATGAGTCAGGGACATACTAATTGCTGATGGGCCAAAGACCTGGATCCTGCGAAGTGCCAAGGCCTTCATCAGGAATTGAAAAAGACACTTCCTCCATGTCACTCTGTGAGACCGCTTCATATCACCAGGGACCACCAAGGTGGGTGGGACTGGACACCCACAGACACTAAGAGAACCGGAAGCCACAACCTCAACATCAAGAGGACACTGAGTGAGGAATGGAAGAGAGAAGAATTCCACAAGTTGAACTGCAGTTCATTGCTTTCCTGATATTTCTATTTCTAGAAACTAAGTTTCCACCAATTAAACAAGTTGTTGACTACGCCCCAAACTTAATAGAAGTTTCATTACAGAATGCGTGGAAGTGGCAGCACAATGTATGAAATGCATTGTTGAGGGAACTCTATTAGAAGAGAAATGTCTGCCTTTGACAATGCTTATTAATATGCACACGTTTTTATATTAACTTCTTTGTATAAATTGTATTTGTTTTATATTTGGCATGTTGGCAGGGACAGGTAAAAGGGCATCAGTCATTTCTTTTGTGAAATTGAGATAATAGTTCCCTTCCAATGTTGTGGTATGGAGTAGAAATAATAAATGTCATATATCACTGCACCAGACACAGAGGAAGGGTGTAGTCAATGGTTAATATTATGATATACATCAAGGGTTGAAGGATAGAGTATCGCTGTCTCACCAGATTAGCATACCACTTAACCAAATATTTTGATCATACTAAAAGCTATTCAAAGGGATCAAATAAGCCATTTGAATCCTTTTCTCAAAGGAGAGCCCCTAAAATTACATTTTGCCTCAGGCTCACTCGCTTATTTAGTAACTAATTTCTTTTCTGAAATTTAGGAGCACAGATTACAATTCTGGTACCCCAAGAAATATTTTAAAACAAATCATTGCCACCCACCCACCTGATAGCTTCTAGATATTTCTTCCGTCATCTTTTCCACGGGTTTTACTACTCTTCTGGTCAGAGAAGGAAGCACCATGATGTAATGGAAAGGGCTTGACCTTTGGTATTAGAAAGATTTGAGTTTCAATACAGATTTTTTAAATTATTGGCCATGAAACATCGACAGGTTACTTAATTTGCCTGAATCTCATTCTGCTTATCTACAAATCAGTGTAGGTGGGTGTATGCAGTATTGGGGAGAGATTATAGATAATGGGCTAGAGATTTGCCAGAACAAAAATAGGATTAATAGTCCTAGTTCGTGCTACATAAGTAATGGATTCTGTTTATTATTGTGTTATTGCTACATCTCTACTCTCACCCCTCCCCCAAAATTATTAGGTTGGTGCAAAAGTAACTGCGATTTTTGCCATTACCTTTAATGGCACAAAGCTCAGTTTCTTCTCGCCAACCTAATAATAGCTCAACAATAATTTAGGGCAAGAATATTAGATTAGGAATTATAAGCCCTTCATTTTACTGCAAGTACTATTTATTTCCTGTAAAATATTTGGCAGTTTGATTTGCCTCTCTGAGCCTTATTTTCCTTTTCTGCAAAAATGAGTTGGTAAATAGGGATTATGTAAAATGTCTCTTTTACCCTTGAAATTCTGTTTCCATCGTTAATTTTGTTTCCTCCCTGAGGCTATCACCTCATTTTTTGAAAAATCTCATTTTGTTTTGTTTTGGTTTTAACTATTAATATTGAAATAATATTAGATATACAGACAATTTTCAAAACTAATGCAGAGTTTTCATATATCCTTCACCAAGATTCCCCTAACCTTGGTACAATACTATAAACTCAACTATAGGTTTCATTCAATGTGATGACTAATTTTATACATCAACTTGACTAGGCTCAGAGATACCCAGAGAGCTGGTACAACATTGCTTCTGGGTGTGTCTGTGAGGGTGTTTCTGCAAGAGATTAGCATTTGAATCAGCAGATTCAACTGAGTAAAGGAGATTGTCTTCACCAATGTGGATGGCCATCCAATCCACTGAGGGCTCCAATAGAACCAAAAGATAAAAGGAGGGCAAATTCTCTCTCTCTTATTGAGCTGGGACATTCATCTTCTCCTGCCCTCAGACGTAGATGCTCCTGGTTCTCAGGCTTTTGCACTCAAACCGAGACTTAGACTTCTGCACTCCCAACCCCTTAGTTCTCAGGCCTTCAGAATTGGACCAAGACTTATGCCATTTGCTCCCTGGTTCTCAGGCTTTTGGACTCAGACTGAATTACACCACCAGCTTTCCTGGTTCCCCAGCTTGCAGACGGCAGACTGTGGGACTTCTCAGCCCCCATAATAGCATTGAGTGAATTCCCACTTCAGACACATAAATATTATATTGGTTCTGTTTCTCTGGAAGACCTTGACTAACACATTCAGATCCTCCAGTTTATTCCCTAATGTCATTTTTCTGTGCCAGAACCCAATCCAGGATCCTACATTTAGTCATCGTGTCTCTTTAGTCTCCTCCAATCTGTGACAGTTTCTCAGTCTTTCCTTGACTTTCACAATTTTGACAATTTTGAGGAGTGTTTGTCAGATATTATGTAGAATAACCCTCAGTTGGGGTTTGTTGGATGTTTTCTCATGATTAAATTAAGGTTGTGGGTTTGGGGAAAGAATATTGCAGAGATGAAGTACCCTTGTCATGTCATACCAAATATATGATATCAACATGACTTGTTACTGATAATGACTCATTATTGGTGATATTGTCATCTTGACCACTTGATTAAAGTGGTATCTTCCAGATTCCTCCACTGAAGAGCTACTATTCTTTTTCTTTACATTATCTATTCTTTAAAGCAGGTCCCTGAGTCCAGCCCACACTCAAGAGGAGGAAAATAAAACTCTACCTCCTGGACAAAGCTGTATCAAATAATTTTGTAATCCCCTAATTATAAGCTATTTGGATGGAGCTTTCAGACAGCAAGAAGAAACCTTCCAAATACCCAGAGGCAGTATTCAAATACATTACTCTGGGTTCCCTAATTATCTACCATGACAGAATAAATGTTTGACTTCAACTGAGCCTGTAAACACTCTTGATAATTGACCAAATCCCAGGTATGCCATACGCCTACCAGAAAGATGTACAAGCTAATATTGGGAAAGTATAGAAATAATTATTTCAAGTATTTTGGAACTATACTGTGGTATGTATTAAAAGGACAAAAATACTTTTATCTCAGCACCAACTTTACCAATGAAATAATCTCTAGACAAAAAAAAAAAAAAGCAATGCTATAGGGTAACTATGTTGTTTAAGGTAAGGATATGTCTCTGATGGCAGGTATGGGGTATGGGAGAGACAACTGTGTGTTCATAAAATCCTGATTTATTTATGATTTTTCCTCCCTGGTACAACAGAGAGACCAAACTTTCTAGCCCATTATAGTTAGATAGGAGCATAAATTCCAGATCTGGCCTCTAAAACCTCCTGTGTACTCCCTCCTTTTCTCTTGTCTGCTGACTGAAGTTAGGAGTTTCATTGGAAGCCTCTGAGGTACTATGGGAGGGAGAAGGCACTAGCTAGATAGAGCCTATGTCCCCAGATGGCTGCAAAGACCACAGCCCCTGCTGACCCTTACTGAACTGTGAAGTGAATGAGAAATGAGGCTGTCTTGTGTTAACCCACTGAGATTCAGGGGTTGTTTGTTATAGTCAGATTCACCTGACTAAAATAGATGGAAGTCCCCAGAGGGTAGAATTTGTTTCCACTAAATTGCTTGTCTAGGGCCTAGCACAGTCCCATGTGCAGATGGGACCTAAATGCCTTTGAAGATGAAGAAAAGAGAATAACAAATCCCGCATCACTGCAGAGAGGCATTTGGTTTGCAGGAATAAGTACAGCTAAACTCTGCACCTGGTTTTCTATGAAGTTTTCACAAAGATTACCTGCGAAAAAAAAAACAAAAAACAAAAAAAATGGAAGGATAAAATTCCACTGAAAATGGTGGCAGAAACAATAGGCTTAAAAACAGCTCAGGTTAAATGGAAGTTTCCCAGAGGTTTCTGATTCACAATTTTGAGGCAATATAGTAGCAATTATTTCAAGTATTCTTCAATTACACTCTGGTGTGCATTAATAGCACAAAAATCTTTTTATCTCAGCACCAATTTTACCAATGGCAAGTTGGATAGGAAATAAAGCATAATCAAACTTAGCGAAACATAAATTGAGATACTTGACTAGATTTCTATAGCTTTCTAAGAAACTGCCTACCTGGTCATTGTAAAGACGTTAATTCTAACAACCCTGCATATGAACACCCTCTGAGAGTTAACATATTGATATTGAATAATACTTTCTCCAGGCATTTGGAAGCTTTTATCTTGCTGTCTGAAAGCTCTATCCAATAGCTTATAATTAGGGGATTACAAATTCTTTGACATAACTTTGTCTAGGAGGTGGTGCTTTCTTTATTCCCCTCCTCTTGAATGTGAGCTGGACTTAGAGACTTGCTTCTAAAGAATAGAGTGTGTTAGGGAAAAAAATAGCAGCATTTCAGTGGAGAAACCTGGCAGACACCACCTTAACCAAGTAATCAAGGTGACAGCATTATCAGTAATAAGTCATGCTGATATCATGTACTTCTTGACATGATGTGATGAGAAGGGACTTTACTTCTGCAGTATTCTTTCCCCAAACTCATAGCCCCAGTCTAATCATGAGAAAACATCAGACAAACCCCAACTGAGGGACATTCTACAACTCCACTTCATCAAGAGTTGGTGCCTTTCCATTGCCATATATCCCATAAAAAGCCCCATTCTGCTATATTAACAACAGGAACCCAGTTTTTGTGATCAAACCTCAACACCTGATATTACACTGAGTACATTATTCTTTTCCTACTTTCATTGTATAGTGAGACTTATTTATAGGAACTCTATTTTGTTGAAGTTTCATGTGTAGTCAACACTGAGGTCCATCCTGGCTTCCCTCTCCTCTCATGTCCTTGAGAATATCCCAAAGACACAAGCTTTTTGCTCTGACCTTAAGAACTTGTGACCAACAAGAATGAATTCACCAAAAACTTCTGGACTGACTATGATTCTCACATTTAGTATGTCCATATTTTGCACACACTGAGCATTTTTAGTGAGCCTGCAGAGAAATGTTGCCACCATCACTGTGGCAAGTTACATAAGGAAGTTTGTGGCTTCCTGCCTTCTCTGGTCCAGCCTTCAGAGGACTGACTAAGAACAGCTGAGCTTTATGCATTATAACATCGTTCACTGATATTGGAGAGGGCTCCATGTCATCATGTATGTAGTTGTAGTTGTTTTAACTATGAAAAGACAAAACCCAACACGTACTTCAGGAAAAATGCAGAGGAAAGACATAGCTAAGAAAGGACTAGCTCCCTTACGAGAGGTAATTTAATCACCAATTCATTAATTTAATAGCTGCTATGGACTCATTCACTGATGACCAACCCCATGCATGAACTCCCTCTGAGAGCTGACATATTGATATTGGCAAAATGGATTCATGTTAACTACAATAAGCTGTGAACAAATTCTACTAAATTAACTCCGCTCCATGTCACACAATTCCTAATATTTAGGGTTGGGTTCCAATGCCTGGATGGATATTAAAGCAATCCAAACATGATTGGAATTCACCTCAAATTTTCTCTGAGGAAATCAGTCTTTTATCCTAGCTGTTGCGTTTGGCAGAGTAAGCTCAATGAAATGCCCTCTTTGGAGTAGTTTTTACTAAATCTAATTATGCTGCCTAGTTTGTGGATCCTGCTGTTTTCTATTTGGTTTCTCTGTTTTCCTTTTTTTCTGGGTGTGAGGGGTGTTACTTCCTTAGTATTCCTATTACAGAACAAGTTCTCCTCAACCCCATTCATCTCTTGTGGATATAAGAAATCATTAGCCTAGCGCTTCAAGGGCCTTCAAGTGGGTTTAGTCTTACCCAGGGATTAACCATTTGGCTGTCTATGTAAGGGTGACTATATACTTTATCTCCCAAATTGGGACACTTTTTAGAGAGCTATTATTGATTATGCCTTGACAACGGGCATAAACCAGGGCTGTCTTGGACAAACTAGGGCATATGACAACACTACTGGGAATTCAAAGCAGAGCTCTGTGCTCCTATGTCTCAGATATTATAAAATCATCCACAAGACATTTATTTCCTTCAGGGGACTTACAAAACCGGCCTGTTTACATTACATCAGCTAAAGACAGTGTAGTATAGTGGTTAAGCACTAGGGCCCTGGCACCCCGCCCACCACCACCACACCACCTGCCCATAACCTTTGAATGATGCCTTCCTATCTCCCAGCTATAGAACCAGATCTCCTGGGCTCAAATTCCAGCACTTTCATCTCTGAGATGTGTGACTTTGGAAAGTCACTTCACCTTCTGAGTCTCAGTTTCCTTATCTATAAAATGACAATAAAATTTGAAAATGATTCATAAGATTATGAAGAATAAGTGAATCAATAAACTAATTAGTCAAAGGTCTGGCATGTTGTAAACACTCAATTATATATTGTCTATTTTAGCAATCTTTTTCTTCATGAGAACATATCATGGATGAGGGGTGACTTCCAGTCTTGCCCACTTGTAAATACTTGATTATCCTCCCTGTTTGGTCAGGCAACCCTTCTGACTAAGTACTCTGTGCTGATGTGACTGGTTATTTTGGGCTCTGACTATTGCCTAGGCATTTTTGTCTACCCATTATTTCTTCACACAGTGGCTCCTTTTTATTTTCAGTATTTTTATAAAGTTGCCTCCAGCCAAGTACACTGTGTACCATTTCACCATTCAGAGTCACTTTATACAATAAAGTGTTAAGGAGCACACCAAAATGAATCTGCAACTTCACTTTTAGTGACACATGACTCTTGTCTCCATATCTTCATATCAGGCATTGGTTTCTAGCCTATTACAGCCTGAAGGTTACAAAGGAATGCATCTTTAGAATAGTCATTAGTATCTTCTGCTAGAATATGCATGACTCTTCGTGACAATTTAATACATCTTACATGAAAATTACAATGGAGCCACATTTTAGCAAAGAAATGGTGAAAAAAGGGGTGTGTTCCAGGTCTCATAAGGAACATGATCGTCATTCTTGCCTGTGTATTGTGCCCCTGGATACAACATCTCATCCAATCTAAAAACAGAAAAAAGACCTACCCTGATCTCTCAGTAGCATGAAGTCAAAATTATTTATGTGAATCATTATTAGAGGCAAGAGAGAAACAAATACGCTACATTGTGCTCTTAAGCATTTTGTTTATTTACATTCATTTATTAAGCTAGTTAGACTTAATTTCAACGTCGTATTTTTAACTTTGCAGGAAAGGGAGGGAGGCTAGAGGAGAATAGTCCTCAACAGCCATAGAACACATACCCCTCCTCCACTCCATAATCATCATTATCATCATTTTAATTGCAATCAGCACCGACAATTACTGAGCATTTCTCCACTTCTGGCATTTTACATGCCTAGTCTCACTTAATCCTTAAAATTATTTTAAGATATAGGTTCTGTCAGCAGCACCACAGTGCATGACGCAGTATGAGGAAACGGAGGTATATTAAAGTTAAATGACTTGGCAATCCACGAAGTGAAACATAAAACCAGGTCAGGATAGATTTAACACTCACATTAACTACAAGGTTATATCTTGTGTCTTCGTGACAGGAGATATGGAATAACTATTCCTGTCAAATGTACAAAAAGCACATGTTTACTGACTGTAAGTCTGTACAAATATTTTTAATTCATGAAGAGTAGCATGTAAATATCACACCTATACAATACTATTTTACCAAAGTATGCAATTAGTGAGAATCCTAGTATGCTATTGTGTGCTTTGCAAGACAGACATCTTGGAATTTGAAAGTAACAACCAGCTGGTAACCATCTTTCTTAAAGCTATTTTATTCCTCTGTCCAACAAAGTTTATGCCAAAGTTCAAGACCAAGAATGCTTCTTCACAGAGTTGGACCTTGCAGTTGTTTCACTGATGAATGACTTCCATGTCAAAGAGACTAGGCAAATGTTCTAGAGTGTTTCACTGCCATTATACCTTAAATGTTTTAAGATTGGTTACATCTGTACTCTCATATTGAGGGAATTTTCTAAGGAGCAAATGGTATGTTCTGGAGACTTCAGTATAAGACTAAGCATAAAAATCATCATAGTAGGCCAGGCACGGTGGCTTACGCCTGTAATCCCAGCACTTTGGGAGGCCAAGGCCGGCAGATCACGAGGTCAGGAAATCGAGACCATCCTGGCTAACACGGTGAAACCCTGTCTCTACTAAAAATACAAAAAATTAGCCGGGCGTGGTGGCGCGCGCCTGTAGTCCCGGCTACTCGGGAGGCTGAGGCAGGAGAATGGCGTGAACCTGGGAGGCGGAGCTTGCGGTGAGCCGAGATTGCAGCACTGCACTCCAGCCTGGGCGACAGAACAAAACTCTGTCTCAAAAAAAATTAAATTAAATTAAATTAAATTTAAAAAAATCATCATAGTAAGTAACATGTAAAGCACTTAATAGGTCCTAAGTACTTCATATATATAAATTTATTTCATCATCCCAATAAACTTATGAAATAGTGGCAATTTTAGTGCCATGTTACAATTAAAGAAACTGAAAGGTAGTCACTCTAAGTGGTGGGGCCATGATACCTTGGGGTGAAAAATATCTCAGCATTAATCTGTGTCCTTGATTCCAAACTGGGGCAGAGCTAGGTTAGCACCAGAAATATGAACCTAGACTGGACTGGCTGTCATTTATTGAGCATTTACAATTCCTTGGCATAGCACTAAGTACAATAAGAATAGTATCTTACTGCACCCCCACTTAAATCCTTCATGGTAGGAATTATCATTCCAGTTTTACAGAGATGAAACCAAGATTCACAGGGTTTAATTGCTTGTTGTCACACAATGATAAGTGGCACAATCAGTATTTAGACCCAGGTGTATTCATCTGTAAGTCTGTGTTTTAACTTCCATGACATAGAGGAAACCCTTATTTAGATCAAATTTTTTTCTGCCACTTGAACGTTGTATCTTTTGCTTTTTTCCTTCCAGAGATTATTCTTAATTTGTTAAGTCCCATTCTTATGCATATTTTTCTCTATCTATGTTTAAGTTTATTGATATCCATGTCTCCCAAACAAGTAAAAAACTTGAGCACATATTTCCTTAAATCTCCTTTACCCTTGCATTGGTAGTATTAAGTAGTATGTTGATTCTTTATTGGTAAAATGATACAGTTTTTTAAAAATCATTTAAAAATCATTTTTAAAAACCATATCTCCTTCAGACATTAATAAGCTTGGTCAACTTCTTCATAAAAGTTTTATTTCCCATATCTATTTCTCCATACAAATTGATTACAATGGACTGAATGTTTGTATTTCCCCAAAATTTACATGTTGACATTTTCTTCCCCAAGGTGATGTGGTTAGGAAGTTGGGCCTTTGGGGGGTGATTAGGTTATGAGTGTGGAGCACTCATTAATAGGATTAGTGCTCTTATAAGAAGGACTCCAGAGAGCTAGGAAGCCCCTTCCTCCATATGCATGTACAAGAAGAAGCTCTCAGTGCAACCCAGAAGAGGGCCCTCATCAGATCCTGACAATACTGGCACCCTAATCTCAGACTTCCGGCCTCCAGAACAATAAGAAATAAGTGTATATAGTTTATAAGCCACTCAATCTATGGTACTTTGTTATAGCAACCGAAGTGGACTAAGACATTGATCTTGCCTTTTGGCAGAACACGTCTCCCGGGAGCATTTCAAATAGGTTCTTTTCTTTTTTTTTCCTTCAACTTTTATTTTAAGTTCCGGGGTACATGGGCAGGAGGTGCAGGCTTGTCACATAGGTAAACGTGTGCCATGGTGGTTTGCTGCACAGACCAACCCATCACCTAGATATTAAGCCCAGCATCCATCAGCTATTCTCCTTGATACTCTCCCTCCCCAAGCCCCGACACAGGCCCCAGTGTGTGTTGTTCCCTACCATGTGTCCATGTGTTCTATCATTCAGCTCCCTCTTATAAGTAAGAACATGTGTTGTATGATTTTCTGTTCCTCCATTAGTTTGCTGAGGATAATGGCCTCCAGCTCCATCCATGTCCCTGCAAAGGATATGATCTTGTTCCTTTCAAATAGGATCTTTGAGTGAGAAACTTTCTTAAACTTTGTAGGTTTGAGAATTTCTTTATTAAAATGGTAGTTAATCTGGGTGGGTTTTTCCTTGAAAACTCTGAGGACATTATGTGGTGTTAAATGTTGAGAAGCCTGACATATTCTGGCATTTCTTAGGGTCTTTTCTTTTGACCTAGAAGCTTTTAAAATTTTCTCTTTGTCTTTATGCTCTTAAATTTTGCTATAAACTGTCTGGATATTCATTTTTGTTTTTCACAGTCTTGTTTAGTATACTATCAGCCTTTTTTCCTGAGCTCTTATCTTTCTTTAATCCTGAGAAATTCTTGTTCATATTTCTTCCTCTGTTGGTCCTTTTTCACTTTCTGAGAATTCTATTTGGATTTTGACACATTTATTTCTGTGTTCCGTGACTCTCAACACTTCTCATGGGTTCCAACTCTTCCTGATATTTTCCCTTCCCAGTATCTTCCAGGTAGTTTTGTGACCCAACCTTTCAGTTCACTAATTTGTATGTCAGCTGTACCCATTCTGCAATTTCAACTGTTCCTCTAATTTTTTTATCTGAAAAGTTATGTTTTCAAGTCAAATTTTTTAATTAATTCTTCTTTTTCCTGCTGCATGCTTTCAAAAACTCCCCTTATCTCTCTGAGAATGTTCATTTAGGATCATTTTACATTCATATTCTGTTTCATTAGCTCTGCTTTCTCCGGAAAGGCCTATTAACTTCAGTTATCATTCTTATTTAGAAATATTTCATCTTTTTTTCCTGGGGAGCACTTCTTTTATTCCTTTAGGCAGTGGCTTTGGCCCTAGCTTGGGTTTCTTCAGAGACTGGAGGTGCTGGGGAGTTGCCTTGGGGCAGAATACACTTCTAGTACTGCAATCTGGACTCAGCTATTCCAGTCCGGCTACCCAAGTTCCCTGTTGCCCCCAGTCTCACAGGATGTCTTCCCTGGGCACTGTTCTCTGCATCAGTGGGGCAGCCACCCCTTGTTATGCTTGCCTGGTGTAAGAGGATGGGGTAGGAATGGAGGGCACACACAGTGGCCAGTTCGCCTACCTGACTCCCTTGCCATGGGCTTTCCACCCTAGAAAGACAGCGACAAGTTCCTGTTAACTTGCGCTATGAGTGTGAGAAGATGCAATAAACTGCTGTGACCCCACATTGAATTTCCAGGTTCAGCCCCACCAGGAAAATATGAAGGAAAGAAAAGCATTATTTGTAAGAGAGAACTTCACAAATTCTCTCCCATCATCTTTCTTCTGTTTCCTTTGCTCTCCCACCAAAATTAAGACCAGTCCTCTCTTTCTTTCTAAGCAACTTTTGATTTTGCGTTAGTTACTGAGACTCTCAATGTCTCTA
Organism: Homo sapiens; assembly: GCF_000001405.40. NCBI lineage: Eukaryota > Metazoa > Chordata > Mammalia > Primates > Hominidae > Homo > Homo sapiens. Next base: position 36,144,151 of record NC_000002.12, read on the forward strand.
TATCTCCTGTGCTCAGTTTCATGGGTGAATGACCTATGTGGTTACACAGGATCCCACGCTTACAAGGGCCCCACACATAGTTTAATACTCTTCTGTTACCATCTTGAAATTCTAGATACTTTCTGAACAGGAGGCCCAGCACTTTGATTTGTGGAATGCACCACAAATTATGTAGCCATTGCCGCCTGTGGCATTTCCAAGTTTGACTTCAGCAGCTTGTATTGAATCACCAAGTTATCCAAGACTAACTAAAGTTATATTTCTAGAGAATTCACTCCAAAGTTCCCTCTACATAGTTAAGCAGTGACTATTTCTTCAGCTTTAACAAAGTTCCAACAAATTACTTTTGGAGGAAAGAGGGATGGTTCAGAAGAGCATCTCTTGCTAGCTAAAAGAAGCAGCACCTTTAAGCCACCTGCCTCAGATATTGAGAGGAACTGGAGGATCCTGAGATATCCACCACCACTACCACCACCCCTTTCCCACCTTCTGCCTTTTTTGTTTACTTTGGTAAATCTGAGTTTGGGAATCACAAACTTTGGTAGATGAAGCTTCATGGTTTATTGTAACCCAAAATAGTGTATAGATGCATGCAAAATCTAGAAAAATATTTTCCTGGAAATAGGGCATATAGTTTTTACAGATTATCAGACATTCAGATAAAGAAAAGGCTATAAAGGTTACCTGCAAGCCATGGGTTCTGTGTGTGTGTGTGTGTGTGCCTGTGTGTGCGTGTGTGTGTGTGTGCGTGTAAGACAAAATTCAGTTTTTCCTAGAGAGATGCACACACATGCAGAGCACAACACATAAAAGATTTTCTCACCAGAGACTATATTGTCTTACCATGAAGGTATGATCTAATTATTGATGAGATACACTTGAGATTAGGATATTCTGCATATTTTTTGCTTTTAATGTCAAATTTAAAAAGGATCAACAGACACAAATCCTGCTCAAAATGATTCACTTCTTGTTAATCCCCTTTCCAGGTTTCCTTCCTTTGCAGCTTTCTAATTGCAACAATCCAAATGATAATTATTATTTTTATAATTTTCCCAATTGTGTGTGACAATGATAGAGGTAATTTATTGCAAAGGTTTTCATTTATGCTAATTATAATATGTTAGAGTTGTCTATTAGCAAACATCTCTTTAAAGTAAGGAAAGGCCATTCACTTTCAGTGTTACTGAATCCACTGCTTTTCCTTCCAAATTTCTCTTCCTTCCCAAACACTGCCCTGTTCCACCTCAGGGGTACAAAGTCCTGACCACTCCAATTAATTAATAGCTTTTGACAAAGAGAAGAAATAAAATTCATGGCTTATTTTTTTTCTAGCTCACATTGATAATTCAGAGTCAAAGGTTAGAAATGTACAGTGATGGGCATTCTGATGCATTCCCTAGCATTAGAGTCAAAGACTAGTAAAAGCTTATAGAAGGAGAAAATGAAGAAATAAATACATACTAGTAACAATAGCTGACATTTATGGTGTTTTATTTTCCTGATGATATTTTACAGATATTTTCAAACAACCTATACCTAAAGCATTATCATCAACACATTTACATATGAGGAAACTGAGGCACGGAGAAATAAAATTATTTGACCACCATCAAATAAGTAGTTAGTAGAGGATTCAGGACTTGACCAGGCAGTTAGATTCTAGAAGTCAATGCTTATAACCACGACATCATATCTGCTTCCAGAATCAGAGCTTCTTGTTATCATGAGAACACCGGAGCTACCACACATCTCATGTCGTTGTCAGTTTGGGTTGCTATCACAAAATACTATAGACTGGTGGCTTAAACAACAAGCGCTGATTCCTCACAGTTCTGGAGGCTGGGGTGACCAACATCAAGGTGGTGGCAGAGCCAGTGTCTGGCCAGGGCGTGCTTCCTGGCTTGTGCACAGCTGCCTTTTGCATCTTCACATGGCAGAGAAGGAGAGCAAGCATACTCTCTCCTGCCTCCATTCTTGAGAACTTCACCATCATGCCCTAATCACCTTTCAAAGGGCCTGTATCCTAATACCATCACATCTGGGGTGAGTATTTCGATCTAATTAATATAATTCCAACTAATAGCAAACAAGTTAGATCACATGATTAGTCTATGCTGATTTATTACAAGTGAACATGAAATATCCTATAGGATTTTTGAAATAATGAAAACATACTAAAGAGCCCCATGAGGCCTGCAAAGAATGCAGGAAATGCCAATTTGGGGAAGCACAGACCTACTCCTTTCCATGGAAGCAATGCCCTGTTTTCTACACCCCTCAGCTTCTAACCCATGTCCAACTTATAGTTAGGATTGAATAAACATTTGCTGAATTCAACTAAATTATTATTGTTATTATTATTATTATTATTATTATTATTATTATTATTGAAATGGAGTCTCGCTCTGTGGCCCAGGCTGGAGTGCAGTGACGCATTCTCCACTCACTGCAACCTCCACCTCCTGGGTTCAAGTGAGCATCCTGCCTCAGCCTCCTGATTACAGGCGCCCACCACCACGCCTGGCTAATTTTTGTAGTTTTAGTATGAGGTCGCAAACTCCTGACCTCAAGTGATCCGCCCACCTCTGCCTCCCAAAATGCTGGGATTACACGCATGAGCCACCGCGCCCAGCTGAACTAAATTAAATATAACCTTGCACTAGTCACATCTCTGAAGCTAAATTTCTCCACCTGTAAAACGAAAAGGTGAATCTAGATCAATGGCTTTTAGCCCTGGCTGTACATGAGCATCACCCAGAGAGCTTATAAGAAGAATTTATGTTCCAGCTCCACCCCAAGATTTTGATCTAAAGTAGGTTACACGCTGTCCTTCCCTTTTTGAGGTTTCCAGTGATTCTAACATGAAGCTAGAGTTGAAAACCACAGACTAGTGATTCTCAAAATTTGTTGTCTGGACAAGCAACCTCAATCCATCAATAACTCAAGATCACACTGAAAATAGCTCTCCTTTATCTTGCATAGAGGTGTAGACAGATGAGAAATATTTTTTCCCATAGAACAACTGCTTGATTAGCTAGCATACTTAATTTCTTCCAAACCATTAGATGCGTGTGTTACAGTTGGTTCCAGTGCTACTGCGTGGTGGAGACCCCTAACCTAATTTCCCAAACTCCTTGCCACCCACTGCAACCAAATCTCCTGGGAGGCGGAGTTGATCGATATGCTTGAACTGAGAGTTACATCCCAGTTATTCTCTTTTCCTCTTCTTGACTTCTAGCAGCATTCATTTTTTTCCAGCAACTGTCATTTTTGAAGTCTCTTATTCAAGGAAAATTTAGAAAAGGGAGCTTCAAATTGAAGTAAATGGAGAAAAGTTTAATTTTCCTCTCCTCTGATTAGATACTCAAATTTGGAAATTTATAAATGTTTCCAGCTCCAAAATGCTTTTTTAAAGTCATTTACATAATCCTGTTGAGAATGCCATATGAGTATGGATCAAAGGCCGAGTCGTCACTCTTGTGACTTTCCTCCCATCCCGAGATTAGCTTCCTTAGCATGCTCTGAGAGCTAATGGACACTTTCCTCTAAACCTAATGCAGCACTAGCAATGTTTTTCTCTGTAGATTTGGAATGTTAAATTAAAGATTATGCAACCGCTTTTTTTAGAAGCAATTTATGTGGAGGGCAGAGTGCTCTGTCTTAGGTTAAGCAGTTTCATTTTCAGCTATTTTGCTAGCAAGAAGAGATAATGCTTTCTAAGAACATAAATGTGTGCATCTTCCTTACCACTATGCCTCTCTCATTTTGACTCAGATGAGATCCTCAGTCTCATTTCTGAAATAGTCCTGAGGGAGTTTTTTTAAATGTTTCCGAGAACAAACAAATCTCTGGCATTATAGTCGAATTTATCATATTTTTGCACTTTGTAAAAAAAGGAGATAAACAATTACCACAGTGAAGAAAACAAATATTTTAAACCCACAAATGCACACATGTATAAATATGAATCTGCCTGTGTGTATTATGAGTAGAATCAGAGAAAGCTTAGCAAGAGTCCAGGTTCTGTCACTTACTAGTTGCGTAATTGTGGATAGGTTATTTTACCTGTCATAATTTCTGTTTCCCTTCTGATAAAAATGACAGTGTAATAATAACTTCCTGAGCTATTGTCAGTATTAAACAGATCACTCAGAGTCCTTATTTGAACAATATAATGAGACCCTATCTCTATAAAAATGAAATTCTAGCCAGGTGTGGTGGTGCACACCTGTAGTCCCAGCTATTTGGGAGGCTGAGGTGAGAGAATTGCTTGAGCCCAGAAGGTAGAGGCTACAGTGAGCTATGATCATGCCACCGCACTCCAGCCTGGGCAACAGAGTGAAACCTTCTCTCAAAAACAAACAAAAATGTCCTTATTGCTGTGTCTGAATAGGTAATTTTTAAAAATTCAGTAGTTTTGGGAGTACAGGTGGTTTTTGGTTACATAGATCAGTTATTTAGCGATGATTTCTGAGATTTTATTATACCTGTCACGTGAGCAGTGGTGTACACTGTACCCAGTATGTAGTCCATTCTTCCTCACCCACCTCCCAACCTTTCCCCTCCGAGTCCCCAAAGTCCATTATATCACTCTTATGTTTTTGCGTCCTCATAGCTTAGCTTCCACTTATAAGTGAGAACATTGATATTTGGTTTTTCCACTCCTGAATTACTTCACTTAGAATAATGGCCTCCATCTCCATCCAAGTTGCTGCAAAAGATATTGTTTCATTCATTTTTATGGCTGAGTAGTATTCCATAGTGTATATATCTGAATAGGTAACTTCTTAATCAAGTTTATTAAGAGATTGGTAGCGGTGGTGGCAGTTCTTGTACGTGTGAGTTTCTTTTTTTATATAATTTCAACTTTTATTTTACATTCAGGGTGTATATGTGCAGGTTTCTTACATGCGTATATTGCATGATGCTGAGGTTTGGAATACAAATGATCCTGTCACCGAGATAGTGAGCACAGTACCCAACAGTTATTTTTTCAACCCTGGCTCTCCTCCCACCCTCCCCGCTCTAATTAGTCCCCAGTGCTTATTGTTGCCAGTAGGTGTAAGTTTCTATGCACTATGATGGTACCACATACCACTATGAATCAAAGACATCCTTTGATTATTCTAGCGGTGGTGATGAGCTTCACTGCCCATTCACATTTATCTATTGATGTGCTGGTAAATATTCAGTAACTGGCCCTTGAGGGTGGAGGATAGAGAAGCCCTGATTTGTAGCATTTTAATCGTGTAAATACTCCCTTCATGGCAAATTTCAAGCCACCAGCAAAGGGTGACATCAGTGAACAACGATCGGGAAGCACCGCACATGACTGGCTCCTGGGCTCCGGCTCCAGCACACTGCTACTCCATTTATCAGACAGCTCTGGGTACCAGCAGCACGGAATTGCTCGGTGTGACTACAGATTGTCCTCTCTGAGAAGAAACTAAGTATTTCACAGGGATAAAATTAGTCCATGCTTATATTACACATGAAGTCGCTGAATAAAGTACCTGACAACTATGTCTAAGGCTCATCTTGGAGAGTCTTGATCAAGAGAAGAACTGTATAATATTAGAGCAGGAAGGTGCCAGAGATACCATCAAGCCTCCAATACAATCCCCAATTCTGAAAAGGAAACTTGAGCACCAAGAATTATGACATTAGGTGACTCGCCCACATTCCTACTGCTGTTTACTAATAATAGTTGGATTAAAAACCATATCTGTTTGCCTCCTGGTTCTTTTTTCTACTACTCCTGCCAGCAAGGCTTGTACACTGTCAGGCCACTCAGTGACAGAACTCAATAACAGGGGAAGAACACGTATTTATTTGCTGCAATTCATCTCGGAATACTATGCATTTTTAATCAGTCAAGAAAAAAATGCTCAACACCACTATTCATTAGAAAAATGCAAATCAAGACCACAATGAGTTACTATTACACACCAGTCAGAATGGCTACTGTTAAGTCGAAAAATAACATGCTGGTGAGTTTGCCAGGGGTATGGGGGGAAGGGAACACTGCTAGTAGGGATTGCAAATTAGTTCAGCCATTGTAGAAAGTGGTATGGCACTTCCTCAAAGAACTTAAAACATAATTACCATTTCATCCCAGCAATGCCATTATTGGGTATATACCCAAAGGAGTATAAATCATTTTACCATAAAGACACATGTATGCATATGTTCATCACAGCACTATTCACAATAGCAAAGACATAGAATCAATCTAAATGCCCACTAACAGTAGACTGATTTTTGTATCATACTTTAAGAACAGTAGACTGAATTTTTAAAATGTGGTGTATATATACACCATGGAATACTATCCAGCCATAAAAAAAAAGAATGAGAACATGTCCTTTGCCGCCACATGGATTGAGCTGGAGGACATTATCCTAAGCAAACTAACACAGGAACAGAAAATCAAATATTGCATGCTATCACTTACAAGTGGGAGATAAACAATGAGAACACATGGACACAAAGAGGAGAACAACAGACACTGGGATCTACTTGAGGGTAGAGGATGGGAGGAGGGAGAGGATCAGAGAAATACTTACTATGCTTATTACCTGGGTGATGAAATAATCTGTACATGAGACCCCCATGACACAAGTTTACCATATAACAAACCTGTACAGCCCTGAACCTTAAATAAAAGTTAAAAGAAAAAAAAGTAAATAAAATAATACAAAGTATAGATAAAAAGCAAAATAATAATAATAAAGCATGGGTTTTGGGATTTTTTTTTTTTTTTTTTTTACAAAAAAAGAAGTCTTTTCTCAAACAACTACAAAGGCACTTAGCTATAACACTGGCCTTGGGGAGCGCACTTTACATGAGGTAGAGTTAATGAGATGCTCTGGGCATTATCAGAAAGGAGTCCTCTTTTAAAATAAGCAAACATAGAAGGGCCTTACAGGAGAGATCAAATGATGACAAGACTTGGATGTCTTATATTCTCCTTTTAAAATTAATTTGTTTAAATTTTTTAAATATGTGAGCAACTTTATGTGCCAGACATCACTTTTCTAGGTGCTGCAGATGCAGATGAACTAGGCAGATAAAGCTCTTGCTTTATGGAGCTTTTTTCTGGGTGGGGAGTGGGTGTAGGGATTAAGGAGAACACAAAATAATTAATAATGTATCTTATAGTTGCAGCAACTGTATATGCAAAGAAAAGAGAATCAAAGTAAGAAGAAAGAACAATGGCAGGCAGTGGAAGAGGATACCACTTAAATATGGAGATCAGAGAAAAGACCTCTCTGAAGAGATAACCTTTTGAAAGAGACCTGAAAGAAATAAAGATCTGGAGGAAATTTGCCACAGTGAGAGAAAAATACTAAATGTTAAGGCCCCAAACAAGCTTCTTGTGTTTGAGGAACAGCAGATGGGCTGAGGAAAGGTTAATAAGAAATGAGGATCCTGTAGGGCTAGCATCATCATGGAAATTTGTTTTGGAATTTATTCTAATCATGATGGGAAGCCTTAAGTGAGGGAAGTGACTTCCTCTGGCTCTGGCTGCTGCATGAATAACCGGGCTTGAAAGAGCTAAGAGCAGAAGCAGGGATTTGGCTCTAGCAGTAGTCCAGTTGAGAGATGATGATGTCTTAGACTACCATTGTTGTGGAGATGCTGAAATATGACTGAATTCAGGACGGATTTCGGAAATATTGCTATCAAGATTTTTCTGGCAGACTGGACATGAGATATTAGGGAAAAGGATGAATCATTGAGGACTCCTAGTTCTTAGGCCTGAGCCCCTTAATTTCTGGAACTCAGCCCCCATCATTTAATTTATGATGCTGCCAGTAATAGAATGGGTAAAACTGAGGGAAAGGCAAGTGGAAGAGGACAGGAGTAAAGAGTACTTCTTCATACATGCTAAGTTTGAGATGACTAATGAAAACCTAAAGATAAATACAGATGGTGAACTAAGGGAAGAAGTTTAGTCTAGAAATATAAATGTTAGTGTCATCGACATTTAATTGACAATTAAAGTCAAAGGATTAGTGAAACAACCCAATATAGGATTTAGAGAAGAGGTCCAAGGACTGAGTCCTAAGGTATTCCACTGTTTAAAGGGGTGAAGAAGAGGAAGGTCCCACCAACAGCCTGACGAAGGGTATCCAGGGTGGGAGAAGAGCAACAGGACATTGTGTAATCCAGAAACCAAGTGAAGAAAGCACTTCCAGGAGGAGGTAATAACTAATGATGTGTCTGTTGGAATTTGAGTAAGGAGACAACTTGAAATCAACCAGTGTGTTTTAATGGAGGTCAATGGTAATACTGCCAAAACAGTTTCAGGGTAGGAGTAGGAAAGAAAGCCTCACTGAAGAGAATTAAGGGGAGAGCAAGAGATTAAGAAATGAAGACAGCAAGAATTGACCACTCTATTTAAGAAAATGGAATTTTTTGAGATGGAAGATATTTCAGTATGTTTGTATGCTCCTGTAAGTAATCTAGTGTAGGGGGCAAGAGTTTATGTTGAGGAAAATATAACCATAGTTGTAATTCACTTGTGCAGATGAGAGAACATGGGTCCAGTGTACCAGGAGGGACTTAGATAATTTCAATAACAGTTTGCCCATTATGGCAGGAGGAAGACAGAGCACATGGGCAAAAATGTGGGTAGGTTGGAAAATGCAGTGAGAAGATATGTTGAACCTCTCTACCAATAACTTCTATTTTCAAAACTGAAATAAGATCCTAGATGACCAGCTAAGAGTGAGGTTGATTCAAAGAGTGTGAAGGTTTCATAAAGAAAGAATAAATGTGACTATAGTAGTAACTGGATGACACAGAGTGGAAGCAAGATCATCAAAGGACAATCTTGGATAGAGGGAAGGGCATGGGAGTACATTGTCTATGTGAATAGTGATGTTACCAAGAATGATGACAGAATTTGTGGGAGTAAAAAGACAAACCAGGCATATAAACATTTAATGAATTAGGGAGAGTGTCTCGGAGGGCAATTGTTGATTCCAACACGGAGGGGTAGTAGATGGTATAGTCTGAGGCAGGTATGTCAGAGAGCCTGTGTAAACCGAAATTCAGGAAAGTAAAACTATTTACCTAAAACAAAGTAATAAAATGGCACATAGTAAACACACACAAACACACACACACATAAATACACAAGTGCACATACACACAGAAGTGCACAATATACATACATATACACAACTAGAAATCTATACACCACACCTCAATCCTCCTATCCTCGGCAAAAGAATACATTTACAATCTCTAGCAATTCTGTTGACCTTAAAACAGTTTAACTACCAAGAATTTGACATCGCACGTATATGAAGAAAGTTGAAGACATAAGATCAAAGTGAATTTTCCTTCATTCCTTTCTTGCCCATTTAGATTTTACTTCTTCTTTCTTTGCCTTTCTTTTTGTCATGTAGAAAACAGAGCCACACTCTACACATCCTGAATCCTGAAAAATCAGAAGACTTAACCTTAATCAAGTGCTGTTACCTCTTCTGAGTTCAATTCCAAGTAAGTAGGGAATTTGGGAGCAGGTAGAGGGATGCCTTGTCCCCAGCTCAATTCCCAGCTGGCCCTCCTTTTTCTGCAGAGTGCAGAGGCATGACAACAAGGAAGAATACAGTACTGAATCTACAGCATCGTGGTTGTCAGCTGCAGGTCATGACTGTTCAGTAGATTGTGAAATCAACTAATTAGGTCTTGACCAGCACTTCTTTTTTAAATAAAATGCAATGAAAAATTAATTTTTTAAAAAAAGGAATGAAAAATTATGAGTGCATTAAATATAATGAGGGTAAAATTTGGGGAAAAACATAGCTTACATGAAAATTATACATAAATGTATATGAATATACATTGTGAAAATACTCATACACATATCTATACTGAGTAATGATGTAAAATATATTTCTTAATATGGGTCATAGTCAACAACGTTTGAAAGCAACTGTCTTAGTGAATCCTATCAACTCTGATAGATACTGAATTCCAACTTCTTTATATTAAAAAAGATGGATTCCAGAAACTGTATCTCCTCCCCCATCCTCTTTCCATGTATCAGTTTGTATGCCCATCTGCCTACTGAATATCCCACTAACTCCTAAATTCAAGTTGCTCTTCGATTACCACCTTCATTTCAACCCGGAGACTCTCCTCAATGTGATTATGTCTCTAAAGTAATTCATCCATTCACTCATGCAAACCTTCAGAGTTAGCCAGGCAGCTGCCAGGATGTTTAGACTATCCTTCTCAGCTGCATCTGTTCCAATTTTGTCCTATCCATCTAAATGCCAACATCTTAATTTACCCTCAGTACTGCTGCACTATACTAGCACCAGATGTACCAGCCTATAATCTAAACTGTATAGCCCATATACCACAGCCAATTCCATCCTCTAAAACACCATGCTAATAAAAGGTGCCTCTGATCAAAAAATATTCAGTAGTTCCCCAAAATTTATCAAATAAAACCTAACATACATTTTCTTTTCTCTACTTTTATTTTAAGTTCCAGGGTACATGGGCAGGATGTGCAGGTTTGTTACATAGGTAAATGTGTGCCATGGTGAAGTGCGGCACATGTCAACCCATCATCTAGGTGTTAAGCCCAGTATCCATTATAAACACACCTTTACATGCAGTTGAATTGTTGCGGCCTGGAGCTCAGAGATCTTGTGTTACAAATCTTAGTATCACCCTTTCCACCTAACAGGGTAATTATATAAAGCAGGCACACAATAAATGTTTGAAGAATGAATAATAAATACAGAACAGTGATATTAAACCATCATCCTATAAAATAAAAACAGAAAGCTTTCCCTATTCATTAATAATTATATTAATCAGAATTTCTTCACATGATCCAAAACCCTTAAATTCTTAAGAAGGCTAAAAAAAGATTAGGTCAGCTGACATTATATTCCAAGCTACCTAGATAAATACCACTCAGTCAATGCAATATACAAAGGAGCATGGCATTAAAACTGAATGAATTCATTTGTATAAACAGATAAAATGATTTATGTCCATGACATTAGCACTATATAGATTTTCATTACATTATTTAACTTAAATTATGGTTAGTTCCAACAAAGAGCACAAAATAAAGGTTTTTATATAAGTAAATAAGTTAGACTGTTTGGAAGAGATGACTCAAGTCTCTCTATATATATTTCTCATATGTATGTCCAAACTATGCAGAAATGATTGACAGGATGGCCGAAAATTACTTCTACTCTCATAAAAGCACATATTAAACAATAATGGGAAAATAATCTCAATGCACCAACTATACATGAAAACTAGGCTGAAATCAAACCTGACAGCTCAGTCCCAAAATGCACATTCAATCTAATAGGAAAGAGTGTCAGCAGAAAATAATTACCTGTTACCCTCACCCTGTTTTCAGCAAAATTAACACTAACGTGTTTCAAGTTGTTGTTGGAGAAAATTTCAACACACAGGTTAATCTTATCTTTAATTATAAAAAAAATGGTGCACACATTTTTAACATGCAAATTCAATCATATATGCTGAGTTTGAGGAAGTTTTGCCACCATGGAGAAAATATCTTTCTTTTGGAACAATGGTACCAGGTGCTAATAAATGCATTTCTATTTTCGGTTGTAATTTGATTCTACCCACAAAGGAATGTGTAAGACAGAAACAAAGATAAGAGAAAATTACATCTAAGTGTTGTTTAGTTTTAGCATTAACTATCTGGATACATATGAATATTTGTATAAAAAGAATTCTAACTTTACAAATATATGAGGAAGCATCATATTTGCATAGTATTTTATAGTTTATAAAGCATTTTACAGGTGTTGCCACACTCTTCCTACAAAACTTTCAGGGCTATTACATTGGCGTGATACTATAATATTATAATGCCATCAAAAGTGATGTTGTAGAAGAATATTTGTGCACACAATCATATGGATGTTAATATTAGAGCAGGAATGACCCTTCAGAATGGCAGAGAACTTTCTAGTTAATTCTTTCTTGCATTTTCCTGCTACTTATTTGACATTAACTCCTTCAACGAAAATGGCTCGGTAACACAAGGCAATTGCAAAAACGTTTTGTCCTAGTTGTCATTGTTGTACCACAATAACTACCTTCCATAGAGTAAGCTCTGTGATTTCTCCCCAAACTACCAACTTAAGTAACTGTGCCTCAAGGAGACAACATAGTACAATGCCCAAATATTATGGATAGATCTGGGCTGCCTGGGTTGAAAGTCGAAAGTTGGCTCTGCCATTTACTGTGTTCTCAGGCAAGTTTCTTAACTGTTCTCTATAGATGCATAAAATGGTGATCAGAATTTCTCCTATAAAAAACAAATTTTAGGCCGGGCGCAGTGGCTTACATCTGTAATCCCAACACTTTGAGAAGCTGAGGCGGGCGGATCGCTTGAGGTCAGGAGTTTGAGACCAGCCTGGCCAACATGGCAAAAGCCCGTCTCTACTAAAAATACAAAAATTAGCCAGGTGTGGTGGCACATGCCTGTAGTCCCAGCTACTCGGGAGGCTAAGGCAGGAGAATCACATGAACCTGGGTGGCAGAGGTTGCAGTGAGCCAAGATTGTGCCACAGCACTCCAACCTGGGTGACAGAGCAAGACTCCATCTCAAAAATAAAAAATAAAAAACCCCACAAATTTTATGAGTACTTCTGATTCTGAACAGGATGGAGTAGACACACTTCTCCCTATTCTGCCTGTCAGATAAGCTAAAACCCTGGTCTACAAAATCAAGATTCATAGAAGATCAGTAAATAGTACTTTATGAAAATTAAAAGTTAAAAAGTTAAACTTCACACAAAGTTTTTCTGTGTGAAGAACTCTGTGAAGGGGATTAAAAGACAAGCTACAGATTGGGAAAAACATTTACTAGCCACATTTCTGAGGACTCATATCCAAAAAAGTAAAGAACTTTCAAACTCAACAGTAAAATATCAAACAATCTGTATTAGTTCATTCTCACATTGCTATGAAGAACTACCTGAGACTGGGTAATTTATGAATAAAAGAGGTTTAATTGACTCACAGTTCCACAGGCTGTACAGGAAGCATGACTGGGAGGCCTCAGGAGACTTAGAAGCATGATGAAATGGTGAAGGAGAAGCAAACACCTTCCTCACTTGGCAGAAAGGGAGAGAGAGAGCAAAGGGGGAAGTGTCACACACTTTCAAACAACCAGATCTCATGAGAACTGGCTATCATGAGAATATCAAGGGGGAACTCTACCCCCATGATCCAATCACCTCCCACCAGGTCCTTCCCCAACAGCGGAGATTACAGTTCAACATGAGATTTGGGTGGGGAAACAGAGAATTGCTAGAGGAATCTATACATGAAAACATGGCATAGAAATACACATACACATTGTACCATGTCAATTTACTGATATTACTGTTCTGTATTTATGAAAGATACAATCTTTGGGGGAAACTGGGTAAAGGATCTCTCTGTACTAGCTTTGCATTTTCTTATGATCTTAATATAATTAATTAGGATCTTATAATCTGAAATTATTTAAAAATAAAAAAGAGAATCTGACTCATAAAAAAAAGAATATCTCCTACCTCAGAGGATTGCTTTGAGGATTAAATAAGATAATACACATAAAACATTTAGTAGGTGGCAAGTAGTAAATAGTTTTTTGGTTTTTTTTTTTTTCCTTCAAAGTGCAATGCCAAATCTATGGGTGGCATCATAAATCATGGATTATAAAGGAAGACAATGCATTTCTTGTGTTAAAACCACGGGAACCTCTCCTCATGCCTTTCTTGTTCTATGAGTGTTAGGAGGGGCACAATTGTGCAGAGAGTGGAAAGCATATTAAAGTGTAATGAACACTAAAGCTTTTGAAATCTTTGTGAAAGCATGTCTCTTTCACAAGTAGAGTGAAGTTTACACCAAACCAAGGTTAGGTAGAGCCTGCCTCCCACAATATGGTACATGTCATACGGCCAGTACAATCTACTGTTCAGCCAACCAATCACTGTCTCACTTTAATTAGTTGGAGGAACTTGAAGGGCCACAGTGACCGGAAAGAGGGAGATGTCTCTTAGCAGCTCTAACAGTGGAATAATGTCCTAACAAATTGACAAGTAAAAAAGCAGCTTAACAAAAATTATAGACAGCATTTTAATAAAATAATAGCAATTTTGAGTGATGAGATTATGTGAATTTTTGGGGGGGATAATTTTAGATTTACAGAAAAGTTGCAAAGATAGTAGAGAGAAGTTTCCATATTCCTTTGACCTAATTTCCCCTAATGTGAACATCCTATGTAACTATAGTACGTTTGTTAAAACTAAGAGATTGATATCATTACCTCTTTAATAACTAAACTCCAGACTATTTGGATTTCACCAGTTTTTCCACTTGATGTTCTTTGTCTATTCCAGGATCCTGCGTTGCACTTAGTAGCCATGTCTCCTTAACCGACAATTTTTAAGACTTTCTTTGTTTATCATGGCTATGATAGTTTTGAGAAGTTACTGGTCAGATATTTTGTAAACTGGCCCTCTGTTTGGATCTATCTGATTTTTTTTCTCATTATTCAACTAGGATTATAGGTTTTTCCCATTATTAGACTGGGATTATAGGTTTTTCCCATTATTAGACTGGGATTATAGGTTTTTGAGATGGATACCAGAAAGGTGAAGTGTCCTTCTCAGTGCACCAGATCAGGGGAATTCAAGACATCAACATGACTCATCACCCATGATATTAACCATGATCACATGGGTGAGATGAGATCTGCCAGGTATCTCCACTGTAAATGTACTATTTTTTGCTTTCTATACCAAGATCTGAGGACGCGTGTGCTTGTTGCTGTTGGGTTGTCAGTTTCTGGGCTCTCTTAGAAGACAGAGCTAGTAAAAAATTATGAGTGATTTTTATTTTCCTCTTTTGTCTTGTTCATATTTTCTAAATGTTCTGCAATAAGTGTCATCTCTGTTTCTTCTTGCAGCTGCAGCAAATTACCACCAACTAAGTGCCTTAAAAGGCACAAATTTATTATCTTACAATTTTGATATCTACAAGTCTAAGTGGGTCTTCACTGGCCAAAATTAAGGGGTCCATAGCTGGGACCACAGGTGCGTGCCACAACACCCGGCTAAAGTTTTTTGTATTTTAGTAGAGACAGGGTTTCACCATGTTGTCCAGGGTGTTCTCAAACTCCTGAGCTCAGATGATCCACCTGCCTCAGCCTCCCAAAGTGCTGGGATTACAGGCATGAGCCACCACGCCTAGCCTGGTTTCTACCTTCTTAATATTATCTTAGTAGCACTGTTCTTGTGGCACTACATGGTAATATGGTATTGTTTGTATCACCAAAAAAAGGGGGCACAGATAAAAAAAGGGACACGAATAAAAGGTTGAAGATGATGAATATGTTTATTACTTGGATTGTGGTGTTAATTTCTTGGGCTTATGCATGCATCCAAGCTCATTAAATTGTACACATTAAAATATGTGCAGGTTTTTAATATCAATCATACCTTAATAAAGCTGCTTTAAAAATGCAATAGACCTAACACTAGAATTTTCATTCTACAGAGTGGCTTGGCTCTCTACAGTTGTCACCGTATGTTCTTCAAAGACAACAGAAAACAAAGTCACTGGACCCCATATAAAGATGCTAGAAATGCAGATTCAGGAAATTCCCAGTTTTCCCACTAAATCATGGGTCACAGCACCTCTCTTTTACACCACCCCACTCTGCCACTACCACAATCTTGGAGCTTAAAATAAAGATTAGATTTTTTTTCTGTCACACTATCAGGGCAACTATTTTTGAAACTCCCAGTGACAAGTAATAATGGAAGGAAGTAATAGAAACTAAAATAATATGTGGTTGGTAAATAAACCTTAATAAGGCAAAATTTAATAAATAAGCACAAAGAAAAATGTCCACTCTTACTAGTTTGTATAAATTGAAGCAACATTTATGAGGCATTTTAAAATAAGAAAAAGGCTGAGATTGTTTAACAGCTCACAACTTTCGGGGTAGTTTCTGTGGAATTTGAATACTCATTTACTGCTGGTTGGCACTGGAAATTGGTACAACCATTTTTAGACAGCAATAGGAAAATTACCAGAACCATACAAATTTTCAAGAATTTTGATTCAAAAAATTCTTCTCCTGGGAATTAAGAAATAAATTATTCAACAACATTAAAAATCTACATGCATAAAATATTTATTTTCAAAAACCTAGAAACACCCTAAACACACAACAATAGCAAAATGATTTAGTAAATTATAGTACATCAACTTGATGGAAAATTGTGTAGTCATTAAAATAATCATTATAAAGTAAATGCAGAAATACAGATAATATTTATGGTTTACAGTTTGAGTAAAAAAAGAATATAGAGAAGCATGTGTTCTATGAATGTAACTGTAAAAATATCTATTCGTGTAGAAATATACCACATTTTCTCAATTCTAAAAGGCATATTTTTAACATGTCAACAGCTATGAAATAAGGATACATCTTACAATCAATATAGACTTGTGTTTTAACTGGAAGAACTTTTTCTTAGTGGTGATAAAATAATGATACATCTTAGAGTAGATGAAAGATGATACTAGAAGAAAATTCACAAACATGAGACTGTTGTGTTAAACTTGAGAAATTCTAAGTGTTTCATTTTGCCTTTGTTGAAAATTAAATTTTTTTCAGCAATAACTTTTAAAGAATAACGAATGGATAGAGTTAAATGCTTTTGACAGGTGGTGGAAAATTCTAGAGGTTTATGCATCTGTAAAAAAAGTGTCATGCTCAGTGAGTAAGCCTTCTTTTAGGAGGAAGAGTATGGAAGGAATTCTAAAAGAAGGAGTCTATTTTTAGCAAGAAAGAGGAATGAAGGGAAAGGAGACTTCAAAATGTTTCCTAATCTACCTTGTGATTTCTGGGATGTAGTTTTCTTTTAAATCTAACTTCAAAAGGATCAGGAATCTTGTGCCATGGAGAAAAATTTAGAAACTGAAAATAATTAAGTGACTGTCTTCCTGATCACCTTTCATTAAAAGTGATTCCAAATTAAATGTAATTAAATTTGGCATGACAGATTTGAAAGTGTTATACAAAAATCTTGCCAAAAACAATGATATAAATTTACATGGGGTCAAATATACTCCTTAGTTTTCAAAATACAAGTAAATGGTGAAGACTATAAATGTAAAAAAAAAAAAAAGTATGATTAGGAAAGCAACAGATGCCACTATATTTCGTGGTAAAATGTATTATAAGCATATTGAGTTTTTAATCAACTATAATTAGAGTGAATAAAATAAATGAGATGTCAATAATTTATTTTTCTTTTATTTTTTCCTATAAGAACATATGAGATGAGACTTATTTAGATTTGAGGTCAAGAGTAGGTGCAACCCAGGAAGAGTAGGCTAAGTAAGAAAACTAAGTTGGAAAAATATCTCCTAAACCTGTAATCATCAGAAACTAGAAATTCTAATTATAATTATGTGTCCCAAATTATGTATCCATAGCTCACAGACTACCCATATCCATCCTCCATTTCTTCCTCAGTGGCAGAGCTCCTGTTTTTAGGGGGGCACATAACACCAGGAACAGTATCCGCTGCAGTCTTGCGGCTAAGCTCAGGGTAATATGATATAACCCAAAGATTTTTATGACCCGCTGGACCCCTCTTTATACCTCTTTTAAAAAGGAGCATGAGTAGACTTTCACCCTTCCTCAGTTTCCCCTGTTGTCAACCTGCAGTTGGTATAATGGCTGGAATTTTAAGAACCGTCTCAGTTCATGAGGTTGACACAATGACTAGTAGCCAGTTTTAGGACTGATGGAGCTGAAAAGATCTTCGAACCTGATGACTCCATGGGTGTGCTCTACCAGCTTTGAATGGTTTACCCCTAGACGTCCACTACACATGACAGAGAATAAACATCTGTCTTGTTTCAGCTACAACTATTTCTAGTATTTGGTACTTACAGCTGAACCCAATTCTTAACTGACATATCAAATATAAGCTATTTTGTTCTAGCTTTATCAAGAACTGTTATAACATTCCTCTGAGAATATGCAGGGTTGTTTTTTTTTTTTTTTTTACCTAGTTTCCCAAATTGAAGAATTAATCAATAAGTACCAGTACCCACTAGATGTTCTACCCTATGCTCTACTTTTTTTTTTTTTTTTTTTTTTGAGACAGAGTCTTGCTCTGTTGTCCAGGCTGGAATGCAGTGGCGCGATCTCGGCTCACTGCAACCTCCTCTTCCCGGGTTCAAGCGATTCTTCTGCCTCAGCCTCCTGAGTAGCTGGGACTATAGGCAAACGCCACCACACCTGGCTAATTTTTGTATTTTTAGTAGAGACGGGGTTTCACCATATTGGCCAGGCTGGTCTCGAAATCCTGACCTCATGATCCACCCTCCTCGGCCTCCCAAAGTGCTGGGATTACAGGCGTGAGCCACCGCGCCCAGCCCTACGCTCTGCTTTTATGGTTTGGCACGAAGGGAAAACAAGATGAGAAGGAACTTCGAAACAAAAACGATGTAGCTGGATACGGTGGCGAGGAAGAAGAGAGCCAAGAAGTGCCGGATCCTCTCTTCCCTGTCTAGTATTCATTGGGTTTTAGATGTGTCTTTGGCAGACTTGAGAGCGGGGAAGAAACCTCTTAAAGCTTTGGATTTCAGTCAGAAAACATTCTTAGTCTTGGCTCTGTGATATTAGAATCTTTCTGGAGCTACTCTTGGATGCTTTCCATACATAATCATATAATAATCTCTACTAGGTATGACATCTTCTGGATAAAATGAGATAAAATTTGCAGAAATGTCCATTTTTATCATTTTTGTGGGCCTGGACTTCTTGAAATAAGAAGGTTAGACATGCTTTCCCTATCAAGACTTCTCCTAAACACTGCTCTTTGTCTAGAATTCATTTTATGACCATCCCTTCATCCCATCATTTTAAAACTTTCTGAAATTCCACTTCCTGGACACAATTTTTTTTTTTTTTTTTAGACGGAGTCTTGCTCTGTCACCCAGGCTGGAGTGCAGTGGCGCAATCTTGGCTCAATGCAACCTCCACCTCCTGGGTTCAAGCGATTATCCTGCCTCAGCCCCCTGAGTAGCTGAGATTACAAGCATGTGCCATCACACCTAGCTAATTTTTGTATTTTTAGTAGAGACGGGGTTTCACCATGTTGGTCAGGCTGGTCTCAAACTCCTGACCTCGTGATCTGCCTGCCTCGGCCTCCCAAAGTGCTGGGATTACAGGCGTGAGCCACTGTGCCCGGCCCCTGGACACAATTCTTAAAACCATTTTCCCCTCAGCTGCCAAACAAGGTATTTCATGTGTGTGCACTTGATTATGAAAAATTCTGCTTATCTCTGAATACATTTTTGGTGCTTACTTAATGGTCAACTTCCACAGAAAAATAAACTTGGGCCTTATTTTCAACTGTTCGTTCAACTCGTGTTCAATCATTGACCATGTGCTTATCACTGTGGGTATTAAATAGATATTTTCTGAGGACAGAAGTTATGTTTGTGGAGATGCTAAAGATAAGAATAATGCAGCACACTATGTGACTAAGAGTCAATTAATAATTAATAATGTACTCTCAATTAATAATGAAGAGTCACTCATAAAAAATGCAAGCATGAGTTCTGTGCTTTCTACTTCATATCCAAAGCCTGCTGGAAGAAGATATTAATGGAAGAACTTTTGGGAGGTAGTCTTTCCATTTTTTTTAGCATTTCAGATTTTACCCTGGAATCAAGCTAACCCCTCAGAAAAGGACATACTCAGCCTGAACAATATTGGCCTTTGAGATGGGACTCATCTCTGTCACTTACTGAGGAATGATGCTAGAGTCACACAGCTGCATGTGGTTTTTTGAAGAACGTCATCCACAGCCCTTAGGGGAAGTTCCACATCAGCAATTTGTTTAGATTTTAATCTAATGAAGTATTTGTTTTTCACCAAAATTGGTATGATTATCCTCCCTGGACATTAAAACTATATTCCAGGCCAACTTTTTGTTTTCACTTTGGCTGCCCAAAAAGGTAGAGTCCAATTTCCTGTTCATCTCTAACAACTAGTAAGACCCATCCAATAAGAATATGTATGGGTCTTATGATCTTCTCCTTCCTCCCATCTCCCAATCCCAGTCTTAACTTTCCTCTGACTTGCACTTATATTTGCTCTAATTTTAACACTTTTTTTCTCTCCTATTTACATATCATTGTTTTGAGGTATGTGTTTGTCATTAGCAACTTAAAATAAGTTATGGAACAAGGCAAAGAATACCTGAGTATTTAAAATAAATTTAAAAATAAAATAGAAATCCAAGTTATATATAATTCAGATAAACAGTGAATGCCTTGAAGTATTCTAAGGACTTGACTCCTAAGGTCTGTGTCACCCTGCACCATGCCTGCCTGTCCAGACATGCCATCCTAATACTCTGTAGTTTTCCCACCACAAATCAGATCCTGTACAATACCCCTCTGGAAAATATCCCTCATTTTGTAGAGTTGGAAACATTGACCAGAAAAAAAAATCACTTTTCTCCAAGGCAATTGGTAGAATTCCATACAACAAGAGCTCTTTGAGGTCATCCAGCTCTGGTTTTACCATGCTATTGAATTGGTCTCCACAGATGACCACAAGAAAATGAGTACACTTTTGCACCAGAGCCTTTTCCAAGAAAGTTGCCATATTGACGCAGGTCTCAAATTATAAAGTCACTTGCTTAGTTTTTAATTTGATAAGACAATTAAAAAGTTGACAATTGGCCAGGAGCAGTGGCTCACACCTGTAATCACAGCACTTTGGGGGGCTGAGGCAGATCATGAGGTCAGGAGATCGAGACCATCCTGGCTAACATGGTGAAACCCCGTCTCTACTAAACATACAAAAAATTAGCCGGGCATGGTGGTGGGCACCTGTAGTCCCAACTACTCGGGAGGCTGAGGCAGGAGGATGGCGTGAACCCGGGAGGCAGAGGTTGCAGTGAGTGGAGATCCTGCCACTGCACTCCAGCCTGGGTGAAAAAGCGAGACTCCGACTCAAAAAAAAAAAAAAAAAAAAGTTGACAATTGAGTTCAAGCTGGTTAATAGCTGACTGGGGTAAACTATTCTATAACAAACATGTACTCTGTCAGGTAATAATTAAACATTAACTAAGCCTCTAATATTTGCAAGCTGCTGTACAGGACTAAATATAAATATGTCATAAGTACATCACTTGAAAAGCTTATAATGGAATGAAGAAGAGTAAATGAATACTCAGAAGCCCATAAATATTACACAGATAACTCATTCTTCAAATGCTGTACAAGAAGTGTAAAGTGCTTCCATTAAGTAGAATAAGATTTCATGGAAGCCATGAATTTTGGGAGAATTCTTGTAATGTGTATAGCATATTAGCAGGTAAACAGAAGTATGACAGGCAAGGGGAAAGAATGAGCAAACGGTACCCAGCCCAAAGGTAAAGCACTTGGCTCATCATGCTGTAAAATGCTGGAGAGTAAGATTAGGGAAGAACATTGGCATAGACTGATAAAGTTTGTTCTTCAGTCCCCATATTCTCTACAGAACAGGGAAAGCCTTTACATACAGCCCTCAAATGTCATTTCCAAGGCTGGAGACTGTGTAAGGCTAACCTAATTTGTGTGTGTGTGTGCGCGCGTGTGTGCGCGCGCGCGCTGTATTTTACATCAAAGTAAAACTGCCAGTCACAAAAAGACGGCTATTGTATGATTTCACCTTTATGAGATACCTACAGTAGACAAATTCATAGAGACACAAGTAGAATGGGGGTTGTCATGAACTGTGGGGAAGGGGGAATAAGAAGTTGTTGTTTATGGGATGCCAGAGTTTTTCATTTTCCAAAATGAAAAGAGTTCTGGAGATGGATGGTGGTGAAGGTTTCACAGTAATGTGAATGTTCTTAATGTCAATAAACCTCATACTTCAAAACGGTTAAGATGGCAAATTTTATGTTTATTTTACTACAATTATAAAAATAAGTGTTTGAAAACCACTGATCTCAATAAACAACAAAAAAGTTTTAAAATGTTTTTGTTCTTAATTCAGTAGAAAGTGAGATATTCTTGAATGCTTCCAAGAAAAGGAGTGATGACTTCAGACATTTATTGAGAGGTTTAATCTGGAACCAGAGTGAAGGATGGATTGCAGGGGAGAAAGAGGTAGGTGGAAAATAAGTAAGAGACTAATCCAGTTTCCTATATGGGAAGTATTTATTTAATACCTTACTGTACAGCAAATGTTGATTCTGTACCTATTATGTACACTGCATACAAAATCACACACAAAATCACTACTAATAAACAGAATAATTTACTAATGAAACTGAGCTTTGATAATGTTCAACAGTAACAGGTTTATGGGATACAGAAATCTATGATCATAGCATAGTTTAACTATCTCAATCATTTCAGTTGAAAAGAAATCAAAGATTGCCAACAGTGTCTTTGGACATTTTTTTACTCTGGCAATCATAGCAGCAAGGGGTCTGGCTTTCTGAACATCAGTGAATGGAAGTGTTTACTTTAGTAAATCCAGCCCTTGCTTTCAAAATTCAAGTGATTCCCTTCTAACCCACTAAGGCTTTTGCTCTATGGCCACACATCTGAACAGGAGAAAAACCTTCAAAAAGGTGATTTCTGTCACACTCGGGACCAATCTGAAATTTAGACCTAATGCAAAAAGTAATTTATTTCATGCTTTTCCATAGTTCTATTAAAAATGCAATTAGCCTCAATCGTGCATATCCAATTCAGCAAATTTCTACTTAAAATCTACTTTGGGCACATTGTTTTAAAACATTTTGCAGTTCCAAGTTTATTTAAATGTGTTCGCTAAGGAGTCATTTCTGGATGCTGCTATCCATTTTATAGCCCCATATTATATGCCCTTGCATGCCTTATCACACATTCTGTCAAAGCTGACCCTCTGAAACCCTTTTAGGCTCAGCTATCCCTTACACTACATACAGGAAGGTTGATCTAAAATGTTTCAAATCTCTCCATTTGTTAAGTAATGGTGATTTACTTTGTCAATGATATTTTTTGAGAACTTAAAAAAAAACTCATTGTGCACATGTACCCTAAAACTTGAAGTATAATAATGTAAAAAAATGAAAAAAAAACCTCAAAAAATAAAATAAAAAATCTGTTCCTGCTCCCCCCCCCCCCCCCACACACACACACACACACTCACATGATATGTTAACATTTTTTAAATATGGGGGTTTTTTAAATCAACATTCTAAATCAAATTAAAGCCTCTTTCTCATCTACCCTCTAACCAGGTTTCTTCCCTCCTTCTTGGAAACAACTCTTACCAGTGGTTTGCTATTTAACCTCCCAGTCCATTTTGATACTTGGATACATATGCATGTATCCATAAATACTATATACTGTTACTTTTGTGTTGATTTTTAACATTTAAACACTTTGCATCATAAAATCATCTTGTTCTGTGATATTTTCACTTAATAGTATTTTTTGAGATCCATCCAGATTTAGGTGGAGAGGTTGTATTCATTCCTTTTTACCACTGGATTGTATTGCAGTGTATGAACAAACTCTATGGTATTTATTCTCTTAGGATATTTTATTATTGTTTTCATTTAGGTGGTTTCAAAGATTTACTTTCACAAACACTTCTGAATGAGAAGCAAACTCTACGATATTTATTCTCTTAGGATATTTTATTATTGTTTTCATTTAGGTGGTTTCAAAGATGTACTTTCACAAACACTTCTGAATGAGAAGCAGCTTTGCGAAGACCCACTCATGCATTAGAAGAGTTTCTTCAGTGATTAAAGAATAAAAATATCTTTTTTAGAAAGAAGAGTTTCTTTAGGACACAGAAGTAAAACACATGTGCACTTTCTCGTGTCTGTTAATTTGTTTTGAAACTTCCAAATCACTCTACAAAATGGCTGTATCATTTATACCTCACTTACTGTTTCAGTACTTTTCATTTTGTGATACTCTGACTGGTGAAAAATGTGACTAATTATTGTTTCCATTTGCATCCCCAAGATCACTAGTAAGGAAGCCTGAGTGAAGAAAGCCTCCGTGACTGGGACATAAAGAGATGACAGCATTGTCAGCAGCTCTGTCTTTGCAGGAACTTGTGTCATGGTGGATTGCATAACCCCAAAGGCTCAAAGAGGTGCCAGAGTAAGATCTCCAGCCTCCAAAAAGTCCTGCACATTGTACTATGTCTAGCAAGTCTTCCAGTGTTGCATAAAAATACGAAGCAAAGAACTTGCCTCCTGTGTGGAGTGACAGAGTGAAGAGCAGCCTAAGTACAACTGTCTACCCAAGAGTCACATTTGAAAACATAGAAATGTTCTGTTCAAAGCAGTAGGCACCAGCATGCCTCACTGAAGTAAAAGTTTGAAATGAGGCCACACACAGTGGCTCATGCCTTTAATCCTAGCACTCTGGGGGCCAAGGCAGGTGGACCACTTGAGTCCAGGAGTTGGAGACCAGCCTGGGCAACACAGTGAAACCCCGTCTCTACAAAAAAAAAAAAAATACAAAAAACAGCCAGCATGGTGGCACATGCCTGTAGTCCCAGCTACCTGGGAGGCTAAGGCAAGAAGATTACTTGAGCCCAGAAGGTCAAGGCTGCAGTGAGCCATGATCACACCACTACTCCAGCCTGGGCAACAGAGTGAGATCCTGTCTCAAAAAAAAAAGTTTGAAATGGGCCTGGTTTATAATTTGGGTTCTTATAATACTACTTTGAGCACATCTCCCCTTTCTTTTTTTTTTTTCCTGTCTTCCTTAATGCACCATGAAACCTCCCTCCTTAGCCTAGCACTCCACGGTGAAATAAGAAAACTAACTAGAAATCAGATGTTAGCCCTGGGGCCAGCATTCCTGGTAAATTAAATAATGCAACACCTTTGTTAAAACATTTTTTCTGCTGAGTCTTTTCTTTCTTATGAAAGAATAAAATGATGCCAAAGGCCATAATCTAGGACTTGATGACTCTCTTGGTCTAGTGTTCCCTTCCTCACCTCTAGCTAAGCTCAGGATTTGGTCCTGTCTGCTGACCTCCACCTGTCTGTATGTGTGTGTGTCTCACACACACACTCACACAACCATTACCTGTCTCAAATTGCTTGCTTCTTTATCACACCCCATGGGAGTCAGATGGCTCCATCATGGCCTCAGTAAGACTCGGCCATTGCCCTCCTCCTCCCTTTACAGCCAGGCTCCCTGTACCTTCCTTGGTGTCAGTTTATCCACCTTTTGCTGATCCCCTCTATGGGAAGAAGGTGAACTAGGGAAAATCCCAGGACACCGTTCTATTTCCCCATCACCCGCAACAGTTGGTTCTCCATCTGTCATTAATTCCACAAGGAACTAGGCTAGGCCCTTGAGACACAAAGACACAAAGAATTAAGTAAGATTCTACAAGGGAAGAGAAAATCCATGAAAATGTGATTTGTGTAAATTACTGTAATGAATTTGTCAAGCAGTATGTTCAGAGCACTACACGAATGCAAAAGCTTTACTTTACAAAGGAAGAAGAGGGTCCTTCCACTGGGGAAAAAAACAGGAAAGCACAGGAAAGGAGGTTGCATATGCAAAAGGGTGGAACCAAAAAGAACATAGCATATTCAGGTTTGTACTGCTAAAGTAAAGGAGACATGGAGATAAATGGTAGAGCTTTATTATGTCAATTATTCTAATGGAAGATTTTCAGTCCATACAAGCAACAGAGAATGAGACAATAGCAGCTAGCAGAAGGTTTTCTAGAAAGCCTCAGCATCTTCAGTGAGGAGGCTTCACTGAAGAGGGGTAAAATATACCAGAGGGTTCAGCACCAGAGACAGAGCAGCAATAAATCTACAAGTCTATGGAGAGCAGCTTGGAAAAGAAATACGGCCTTGAAATTAATCTGTCTAGTCAAAGATTAGACCATGAGCAATTACCTCTACCCCTTGGTCTAATTTTACTATAGGGAAACAGAGGGAAATTAATCTAGCCCAAGAAACCCTATAAGTTATTTTTCCCAAGTTGCACACATTGAAAAATCGTTAAGTATACGCATATTTGAAAAGGCATATACCAACATTCTAGCCATCTCTTATAGCATCCCTCAAAATACCATCTCCTCAACATGCCATGAGTATTTCTGGTATGTGGTAGTGCATTACTGGACTTCCCAAATATCACTTTGGTGGTTATTACTTAACAATCATTTATCCGAGAGAAATAAAGACGTGTCTATACAAAAACCTGCATGTAAATTTGGAAGCAGCTTTATTGATAATTGCCCCAAACTGGAAACACCTCAACTGCTTAATGAAAAAACAAAATGTGGTAAATCCGTAAAATAAAATATTAGTTAGCAATTAAAAGTAACAAACTATTGACATGTGACAATTTGGATAAGCCACAGGGGCATTATGCTAAGTGGGAGTAGAGGGGAAGCCAGACTCAAAGGAATTCTTACTATGTAGCTTTACTTACATGACATTCCAGGAGAGATAAATTATACTGCTGCATGATATGAGACTGGTTTTTCTCCCTTCACCTGTTGTGACAGATGCTAAAATAGTACTGCTGTTCTCACTGTCTGGTTGGTCAGGAGAAGACAGATGACCACCCGATGACCACAGTGGGAAGAAGATGGACAGATGGTGCTCTAGGGAAAGCATATTGAGACCACCTGCCTCAGAAGAGAGGAACCAGGGCAAGTTGTAGCTTTACCTATTAAGAGATGCAGTGTTTAACCATGATGAAAATGCAAGACTGCTCATATGACAAGTGAGAGCTGAGAACAGCATGTGAAATCTGGAAGTGAGGCAGAAGATGTGGGTCTGGGGAATGCACTGCACCAGAGAATTTTCAATTACTATTGAACTTTCACATTCCTCTTAGGTGGCAACCAAACCATGTGCAGGAATCTCTCTGGCACAACGAGTAAGGGAGAGAACAAAAACCACCCAGGTTTTGCCTAGACATTTGTGTATGTGTCTGTAAAGTTAGGGCATGGAGAGTATGGCAGACAGACTGGCTCTATGACCCCTGCCTCTTGGTATTCATAGCCTTGTACTATTTCCTCTCTTTGAGTATGGAAAAGATCTGTGACCAATAAAATATGACAGGGGTAATAGGATGTCACTCCTGTGATTATGTTATATAAGAATCCATCTTGCTAGCCAGCTTTCTCTAGGGTTTTGCTTTCCTCACTGGCTTTGAAGAAGCAAGCTGCTGTAAGTCTTATAGCCACAAGAAAGTGAATTATTCCAACAACCTGAGTTTGAAGTGGCAGAGCCTCCAGAACCCCAGTTAAGCCTCCAGATGAGAATGCAGCCTTGATGTACACCTTGATAGAAGCCTTGCAGAGGACCTAATTTTTTGGACTCCTGACCCAGAAAAGCTGTGAGATAATAAATATGTGCTTTTTTACGCTGTTGAATATATGGTAATTTGCTACACAGCATAGAAAATTAATGCAGGTGGGTACACTTCATTTGTGGTTTCTTATATATCCAATACAGTAAAAAATAATTTTTTGAATCCTATATACAGAAATAAAAAGGTCATGCCATGCTGGTTCTTTTAGCCCCACAACAGCAAAACACTGCATAGCCTCTCTGCTCTGCAGATAAGAGACCAAACTCCTAGACAGATGAGTCTGCAGTATGTGAAACCAGACTAGACCACGATAGACAAGACCTGAACACCCTCAGGTCTTGTCCATGGGATCTAGCATTCACAGAAGAAATTGGTGAAACAAATTATAGGTGTTTAGAAAATTAAATCATCAAAGCAAAGCATGTTTCTACCTTCCAACCTAGAAAGAGATTTTAAACTCTAGTCTCCACCTACTCTTTCTGATGCTGATACAACCCAATCAAGCGAGGCTGCTGCAGGTGAATTCTCACTGGATCTACTGCAGAGACAGAATGTTTTCACTGTGGGCTACACAGAACCTATATAACCATCTTGTCCCGGAGTTCTATACTCCTGTCACACCTTTTAGTGTTAGTACTCACCTTGTTTCCTCTTGCCATGAGGCATTGGCACATGTTGATCCCTGATATGCTTTTTTCTCTGATTTTCACATAGTTAATTTCTTCCTCAGATCTCAGCTCAGGTGACATTGCCCCAGAGAAATCTGCTCTTACCTCTGGAAGTAGACCTAATGCCCAGTGACAGGTCCTCAGGGTACGAAAGATCAAACCTACTCAACACTTGTCACAGCTTAACAATCCATTGGCATGTGTGATTACTTGCTTAATGTGAGCTTAGTGACTAGCCTCTTTCTCAGCCATGTGAGCAGACACAAGGACAGATTTTGACTTCCCATTGACTTTCCAGTAACTTGTCAGCATTGAGCTGAGAGCTTGGCAGATAGTAAGGTTCAATAAGCATTCATTCAATAAAGAAAATAAAATATATTTGTCTAAAATAATTGAAGAAAATATAAGCCCATGCCTGAAAGTCAGGAGACCTGGGTGTGAACCAGCTTTCCACTTCTGCTCCTCAGCCTCCCCAGTGCCTTGTGAGTTCTTTAGATCTCCGATTTCCTGATAATATCATCAGCACTATTAGTTACTAGTTACTGACCTTGTCACCACTGTCCTTTTCTTCACATTGCCTCTTCGAGGAAACAAAGATGGGAAGACCTTTGAAATTCTGTTTCATTTCCTCAGATCTCCACACATTTTCAACAAAAGTTTCTCAAAAGGACTCCAGGCTGCATGCAAACCACAGAACCCGTTGGGGCCTAAAGTTAAAAGGTCATGTTGTGTAGAATGGTCCTCTTAGTCATCTGGGAACAATAACTAAAACATATAAATTACAGAACCGTGATGGCTGGCTGCCGTATCCATGGAAACAGATGTTGGCTTGGCCAAAGTGCTTTATAATGATTATGATTAATCATCCTTGAAATCACTGTTATTTATTGGCGTATAACTGATGGAACCATGTTGGAAGGGCTATATTGCACAGTTTTACAAATTTTCAGTTGTTAGAGCTAGTACCCTGACTATAAAATAGGAAAAATGTTCTTTAAAATGTACTCATTAAATATCAAAGAGAATGGGAAAATACAAAAGCCATAGCTTGGAATAAAAGTCAATAAAAACATTGTGCCAACACGAGTCACTATGTTCAAAATAAATTTTCTTCCATGCTCCATATAAACTTGGTGCTAAAAGAATGTTTAAATAAGTGGGAGCCCTGTTTTGTGAGTGCTTTCTAAATCTTGTTCACAATTCTGCTTTATCTGTGTTTAAGTCAGAACCATAAGCCTAGCAAAAGGTTATGAGTTCATTTATTGTTGGCCCTTCCTTTAGTCAGTCTTCTTTGTCACTAGTATTTTGCCATTTTTGTGAAGTTGTAGATATTGTGAATTTGGATCCTTTTGCACCACACTACTTAAGTGTGATTTATTTTAATTCATTCATATTGCACATGTTTAAAATTATTAAAGTTTGACAAGAATTTGGAAAGAGTCTTCATTCAAACTTTTTTTGCATGGAGCTAGGGGGCACTTTGTAGAGACAGGAAGCATCTTGTTCTTCTAGAGCTTTCTCAGCTTCTTCATCTTCTGTCCTGATTCCCCATTCCCACCCTGACCAATAAGCCCAACAGGCACCTAACAAAGCATGCACAACCTTGACTTTTCCTCACATATGCCAGGACGTACACCTGAAACAGGAAAAGACAAAAGGGTGTGCCAAGAAACCCCGGGGCCACTATGAGCTTGGGTGCATTCCTGATGCATGTTTTCCCGGAACACGTCCATACTCCTCAAATCCATGTGGCATTGTTTTCAGTGACAGTAGAAGACTGTGAGGAAGGGCCAGAGCCTCGGGTGCTGTTAGCACAAGTCTTTCCTAAACACATCCAAAAAGCTACTGCCATATCATTCTTGATCTAGTGCCACAAATAAACATCAATGCTTGGGCCCTGGGCAATGCTCTTTGAACAGCTCTGGGATTGTTCTGAACAATGCTCTGATTGTCTGTGGGGTGGGGTAGCTAGAGAGAGTGGGAGTGGGTGCTTAGAGTCTGCTATAGCAGCCATGCTAGAATAAGTTCCAAGCGTCATGAGTAATAGCCACTGCTAACATGCAGAGAGGCTCTGAGATGTGTGTATGGCCACTGTCCCTGCAAACCTTCTGTCCTGCTATATACTTAATAGACCTAGAAAGTGACTCATAATGTTTGTGCAGCTGGGATTGATAAAGAAACCTGGGTAAATTGGAAACTCATAAACAAAATAAAAACATTTTAAAGGAGGCAAGATTTCTGACTATTCATCAGTAATTTTGACGAAAAATTTGTATATTCACCAGCAATTTGACTAAAATGTCCTTTTATAATACATCATAGAAAGACAAAAATGGAGATTGTGGGCTAAGTATTTATACATGCAGGCAAGGAGGAGGGCGTCCCCAAGGAGGCACGCAGGGCTTCTGTGTCTTCAATCCAGAGAATGCAGAGATACCTCAGAAGGTAATTTGACCAAACTCTCTGACCATTCCAGAACTGAGAATTACCATTCTCTGTTTTTAATTGCCTCAGAAAGAAGACTCTATGATCTCATTTCAAAGTATAGTCAAGAGATGCATTATAAAATATAACGAAGAGCAGTACTAGTTGACATAAATCTATCCCCATGGTTCTAACTGGGGATGATTTTGCTATCTGGGAAACATACAGCAATGTCGAAAAACACTTTTTATTGTTACAACTGGTGAGGAAGGCAGGTGTTCCTGATGTCTAGTGGTAGAAATCATGGATGCTGCTAAACCTCCTATAATACACAGCACAGACTCACACAGTAAAAATATATCCAGCCCAAAAGGTCAAAACTGCCAAGATTGAAAAACACTGATACAGACAAATAACTGATGTGGCTAAATTATTCCTCTCTGAAACAGCTGAGTAAGGGCAAAAGATTCATAGTTTCAATACTTGGATTAATCATTAAAGGCATCTGCATAGACAATGCCTCGGTCCCAGAATACTACATTAATTTCATTGAAGGATATTACTGAGAATTACTCAAGTAAAATGAACAGACATTTTTTAGTGCCTACCAACATGCAGGCAGACTCTGTCTTCATAAGGGCCACTATTTGAGAGGTAGGGAATGATGTGCACGTGAAACTCTGTCTAGGTATTTTAGATGAGGACGCAATCCACTAGTTTGAGTAATTGTAATGTGGGAAGTTGACTTTAACTCTTAAGCTAGTTATGCATCACTTTCTAATAACGTAACTTGGTCATAGGTTGGAATTCTCGATTTAATTAATACCATTCACTATTCTAAATACTTTGCATTCATTATTTTATCGTATTCTCCAAACAACTCTATGAAGTAGGAACTGTTATTCTCATCTTATAGATGAGCCAGAATTCTAGCAGGGACTATCTCCAGAATGAGTGTGCATAACCATCATGCCACACAGGTTTTGTAGAAATGAGGGGACAAATGATTTTGGTCAAAGGACATCACCTTTCCATCACTGGCCCCTCACCTCCAAGGGAAGGAGCTGATGGTCTTTCATGTCCTCTTAGCACCAGTATTTATTATTCTAGCACCGAAAGGAAGACAATTTTTCAACAAAATAGTCATCTTGGCATTTACTTTCACGCTGTGGAGGTAAATTTTCAAATTATCTGTAAAACCGGTAATCTGCGATATTGACTCTGAAAGCCATTTTATCTTAACTTACATTCTTCGAATCGGATATCAGCCCTTGTCATTGCCTCCTCAAGGTCAATTCAATTTCATCTTGATTATAAAAATATAGTCTACACCTCATATTCATTTAATTAGTTCATTCATTCAACAAATATATACTGATTTTCTACCACATGCTGATCAATAGGCTGAATACTTAGGATATACTGGTGATCAACTACACATAAACCCCTAACTTCATGGAACTAATCAATGAAAATAGAGCCTTGAAAATAAAATATTTCCAGGTAAATAAGGTAGGCATAATGTTTATCTTTGAATTATTTGAATTTTTGCCATCCTTATTCCCCTAAATACCCAATTTATACCTATTCTTATAACGTATAGAGTTTTTCCACATTTGTTTTTCAAATAGACATAGGCATAACCCCTGGAAGGCATGAATAAAATTGAAAGAATGCTGTCATTTAACTTTTTCTGAAACATTTAAATAACATAAAGATGTATTAAGCAAAAAGATACTAATATGATTTTCTTACTGCAATGATTTTTTTCCAGAGATCTTCTAGGTTTCACACAAATGTAAATCAGGCTGGAAGCGGTGGCTCACGCCTGTAATCCCAGCTCTTAGGGAGGCCGAGGCGGGCAGATCACGAGGTCAGGAGATCGAGACCATCCTGGCTAATACGGTGAAACCCCATCTCTACTAAAAATACAAAAAAATTAGCCAGGCGAGGTGGCGGGTGCCTGTAGTCCCAGCTATTTGGGAGGCTGAGGCTGGAGAATGGTGTGAAACCGGGAGATAGAGCTTGCAGTGAGCCAAGACCACGCCACTGCACTCCATCCAGCCTGGGTGACAGAGCAAGACTCAGTCTCAAAAAAAAAAAAAAAAAAGTAAATCAATGAAAATATTTTCACAAATTTATACCTAAAATAAAATGTATCAGGCTGAGACATTAAAATCAATTTTATTTTTATACAATGCTCCTTTTTCCATGTTCTATTTTAAAGAACTCAGTTGAGCTGCTTTGTTATATCACCTTAACTATGATAAGGAAGATTTTTTTCTATCAGATCCCTTGTCAAAACCATTTACTCTTCCTTTATATGTTTTTCATGTTGCTCCCTGCACCTGGAAGCCCCTATTTTTTCCTCCACCAATAGCAGCAGCATTCATTTCAAAGCCCTATTTGAGATTATTTCATTTATGTATATGTGTTTATTTTTATACTTTGATCTAGCCCAAAAACATTTGAAGTAGACAATAATAAGACATGTAGAAGATGACCCAATAGCATCAGTTAAAAGTGGGGCAAGAGAAGAAAGTAAAACAAGAGTAGAGATGAAACAGAGCCAGGAATGAATCTAAAACTGCATATTACAATAGCCCACATATGTCCAATGGGTGGGCCATAAATCCAGCCCTAAATTTTCTGGCAGCCAGAAAAAAGAAATCTTATCAGTTTTACAATTCATAGCAACCATGATACACTAACAATCCAAATTTCCCAAGGAAGTCTAATTATTCTTGGTACTCAGACCAGACAAAAACTCTCCCTGAGATCGTCATAAGTGGGTGACGTAATGAACAATCACCACAGCTTCCTCACTGTTCATACAAGATCCACAGGGCTGATTATTAAGATGATTCTTGTGGTAGACTGGCAGCACATGCTCAAACACTGTACAGGGAAAGGATGTTTTTCTGGAAAGAAGGAAAGACAGAAATGACTAATATAACCAAAGAAATGTTCCAGCTTCCAATGATCAGCTTTGACCTAGCTATATAATTTAGAATGTATGGAGGCAGATAAAACTTAGCAATCTTCTCTTAATATTCTTCCTCTTAGCTTTTGATCAATACTCTTTTGGTGACAAACTTGTTATTAAATGTGGCAAATGCATTGAAAATGGCTGTTCCCTGTGCCATTGAGTCCATCCTCCAGTATCTGAACACACCAAGAGCTGGGCTAGGGTTTTATCCTCTTGCAGAAGCTGGGGAGTTCATAAAGGCACATATCCAATGGACAGCTGGGCCACTCACCGTGAGGTGAGCAGAGAGACTACTTAGGATTATTTTTAGAAAGTTATTTTGAACCCACTGCAGACCCAGATAAACAGTAGTTGAGGCCCCAAAGTTCTATTCCATTTAGTATCCCCAAATAATATGCCCATTTAGTATGCCCAAGTATTAGCCCGAATAAGCCAAAGGTAATTAGACACTGCTTTGGCCAAAATAAAAATCAACATAGCACTGAAAATATCATTATCTTTGAGCAGAATATTTCCTATTGTGTGTCTCAAGATAAGCCATTATGAAATGCACATCAAGGAAATAGCAATAAGTTGTATGGGATTGTTAGTTATTTATAAGCCAGCTAAAAGATGAGAATATCTAGCAAAGACAATCACTTGTTTGGAAAAAGAAAAAAAGAAGAAAAGGCTAAAAGGCTTATCAGTGGCCTTTCTTTTGGACAATAATTGGCCAGCAGGGTCAGAGGCCTATTGAGGTCACTCCTTGTTTAAAATAATAGAACCATAATATTCACGGAAAAAAGAATGTGCTACTTTTCTCAATACCAGGAGAGGGAGGGGTTGAAGTCAGCTCAACCAGATCATTAAGAACCAAGTCTGAAAGAGGGAAACCTACACACAATCCTTTGTAACCCCAAAGACAATGGTCTGCTGTGTTAAAAGACTATTTCTATTGGCTCTGCTCCCAGAAGAATCATAATAAGGTCAGTTTTACAAAAACAACTAAACCTGGGGCTCTGTCTAGATTACGCATATACTCTTCAAGCAGCCAAATCTTGTACACAAGGATCAAGACCATGGAACTGTCAATAAATTCAGTAACAATGTGATATTTCCAGTGTGTTTCTCTAGAAGGGAATAAAGAGGATAGCAGCGGGCTATAAAAGAGTAAGCTTTGCTTTGTGCTTTCTGCTCCTCATACAAAACATTGGCCTATGAAAACTAAACTTGTAATTTGACAATCAAATACCTGGCATACAATTTAGGGCCATTGTCCAATAATGGAAGGCTATAACTTGGAATAGGTATTGTCCTTTTAGAATATAGAATAAATTAAACTATTCATTTAATCAGTTTAAATGATTAAAATGGGGCTGTCCCTGTAGCATAAATAATGGTAGGAAAGTTGGTGAAAGTGGTCCTTGATTTGGAGGAAAAAAATCTTCCCTAGCATCTAACAACCTTGCCTAACGCAATGACTTAGCTCAGATTCTGACATAAATTATGTTTTTCGATAAGTATTTTGAGGTAGTGAGAAACTTGAAAAACGTTTTCAAAAACTTGAAAAACGTTTTCAATTGTATAAGTTTCCAAGTGGTCATGTGAGATTTTTGTTTCATGTGATACCTCATTAACCTCACCGCAGAGGGTTTAAGTTCTCCCTCTCCCTCTCCCTCTCCCTCTCCCCACGGTCTCCCTCTCCCTACGGTCTCCCTCTGATGCCGAGCCGAAGCTGGACTGTACTGCTGCCATCTTGGCTCACTGCAACCTCCCTGCCTGATTCTCCTGCCTCAGCCTGCCGAGTGCCTGCGATTGCAGGCACACGCCGCCACGCCTGACTGGTTTTCGTATTTTTTTTGGTGGAGACGGGGTTTCGCTGTATTGGCGGGGCTGGTCTCCAGCTCCTAACCGCGAGTGATCCGCCAGCCTCGGCCTCCCAAGGTGCCGGGATTGCAGACGGAGTCCGGTTCACTCAGTGCTCAATGGTGCCCAGGCTGGGAGTGCAGTGGCGTGATCTCGGCTTGCTACAACCTCCACCTCCCAGCCGCCTGCCTTGGCCTCCCAAAGTGCCGAGATTGCAGCCTCTGCCCAGCCGCCACCCCGTCTGGGAAGTGAGGAGCGTCTCTGCCTGGCTGCCCATCGTCTGGGACGTGAGGAGCCCCTCTGCCTGGCTGCCCAGTCTGGAAAGCGAGGAGCGTTTCTGCCCAGCCGCCATCCCATCTAGGAAGTGAGGAGCGCCTCGTCCCGGCCGCCATCCCATCTAGGAAGTGAGGAGCGTCTCTGCCCTGCCGCCCATCGTCTGAGATGTGGGGAGCGCCTCTGCCCCGCCGCCCCGTCTGGGATGTGAGGAGCGCCTCTGCCCGGCGGCGACCCCGTCTGGGAGGTGAGGAGTGTCTCTGCCCGGCCGCCCCGTCTGAGAAGTGAGGAGACCCTCCGCTTGGCAACTGCCCCATCTGAGAAGTAAGGAGCCCCTCCGCCCGGCAGCCGCCCCGTCTGAGAAGTGAGGAGCCCCTCCGCCCGGCAGCCGCCCCGTCTGGGAAGTGAGGAGCCCCTCCGCCCGGCAGCCACCCCATCTGGGAAGTGAGGAGCGTCTCCGCCTGGCAGCCACCCTGTCTGGGAGGGAGGTGGGGGTCAGCCCCCGCCAGGCCAGACACCCCGTCCGGGAGGTGAGGGGCGCCTCTGCCCGGCCGCCCCTACTGGGAAGTGAGGAGCCCCTCTGCCCGGCCAGCTGCCCCGTCTGGGAGGGAGGTGGGGGGGTCAGTCCCCCGCCCGGCCAGCCGCCCCGTCCGGGAGGAAGGTGGGGGGTCAGCCCCCCGCCCGGCCAGCTGCCCCGTCGGGGATGGAGGTCGGGGAGGTCAGCCCGCCGCCCGGCCAGCCACCCCATCCGGGAGGGAGGTGGGGGAGTCAGCTCCCCGCCCGGCCAGCCGCCCCGTCTGGAAGGTGAGGGACGCCTCTGCCCGGCCACCCCTACTGGGAAGTGAGGAGCCCCTCTGCCCGGCCACCACCCCGTCTGGGAGGTGTACCCAACAGCTCACTGAGAACGGGCCATGATGACAATGGCGGTTTTGTGGAATAGAAAGGGGGGAAAGGTGGGGAAAAGATTGAGAAATCGGATGGTTGCCGTGTCTGTGTAGAAAGAAGTAGACATGGGAGACTTTTCATTTTGTTCTGTACTAAGAAAAATTCTTCTGCCTTGGGATCCTGTTGATCTGTGACCTTACCCCCAACCCTATGCTCTCTGAAACATGTGCTGTGTCCACTCAGGGTTGAATGGATTAAGGGCGGTGCAAGATGTGCTTTGTTAAACAGTTGCTTGAGGGCAGCATGCTCGTTAAGAGTCATCGCCACTCCCTAATCTCAAGTACCCAGGGACACAAACACTGCGGAAGGCTGCAGGGTCCTCAGCCTAGGAAAACCAGAGACCTGTGTTCACTTGTTTATCTGCTGACCTTCCCTCCACTATTGTCCTATGACCCTGCCAAATCCCCCTCTGCGAGAAACACCCAAGAATGATCAATAAAAGAAAAAAAAAAAAAAAGTTGTTCCACTTTCTGCTGATATTGGAAATGAGGTACCCTCTTGAGAGTTTAAATAGTCCTCAGCTAATAAGAGGCCACTTCACTCACTCAAAAACCACTCTCAACCTGTATTAGCTCCCTAGGGCTGCCGTAACAAAGTAACTTGATTATTTCCATAAAGGCCCTGTTTAAAAATAAGGTCATATTCTGAGATACTGGGGTTAAGACTTCATCATATTTTTTTGAAAATGAAACCCACAACACAATGCCAAATGACCTATTCTGCAAGATCAAAAAAGATTCTTCAGAACGGACTGCTTTAAGCAGTGATGAGACCTTGCCCATCCAACAACAAGTGATCCTGAAACTAAAGAACAAAGAACAATGACCCCTCTGCTCCCCACCACAAGAAAGGGATAGCTCTGTCACTCCTTTAGGAGCTGATATGAACGCGATATGTGCCCTTCTTTTCTTTTCCATAGAAGAGAGGTGATACGGGGTTGTGACTGAGGCAGAAAAACTGGAGCCACGAGGCCTGGGTTCAAATTCCAGCACCACTACCTATTAGCAGTGGAATTTTCAGTAAGTCTTTTATCATCTCTGATCTGCACCTAATTAGTCTTCAAAATGGAAATAATAGAACTTACCTCCTAGGGATCTTGTGAGATGTAAATGACTCTCTCCATAGATAAACAGATAGATAGATAGATATCTATATAGAGAGATATATATATAGAGAGAGAGAGAGAGAGAGACAGATAGATCTAGATATATAGGTAGGTATATATCTATATAGATCTATATATAGATACAGATCTATATATAGATGTATATATAGATCTATATCTATATATAGATCTATATCTATATATAGATCTATATCTACATATAGATCTATATCTATATATAGATCTATACCTAGATATAGATATATATATAGGTGGGTATATATATCTATATATAGATATATATATAGGTGGGTATATATATCTATATATAGATATATATATAGGTGGGTATACATATCTATATATAGATATATATATAGGTGGGTATACATATCTATATATAGATATATATATAGGTGGGTATACATATCTATATATAGATATATATATAGGTGGGTATACATATCTATATATAGACATATATAGGTGGGTATACATATCTACAAATAGACATATATAGGTGGGTATACATATCTACATATAGACATATATAGGTGGGTATACATATCTACATATAGACATATATAGGTGGGTATACATATCTATATATAGACATATATAGGTGGGTATACATATCTATATATAGACATATATAGGTGGTTATACATATCTATATATAGACATATATTGGTGGGTATATATATCTATATATAGACATATATAGGTGGGTATATATATCTATATATAGACATATATAGGTGGGTATATATATCTATATATAGACATATATAGGTGGGTATATATATCTATATATAGACATATATAGGTGGGTATATATATCTATATATAGACATATATAGGTGGGTATATATATCTATATATAGACATATATAGGTGGGTATATATATCTATATATAGATATATATAGGTGGGTATATATATCTATATATAGATATATATAGGTGGGTATATATATCTATATATAGATATATATAGGTGGGTATATATATCTATATATAGATAGATATAGGTGGGTATATATATCTATATATAGATATATATACCTATATATAGATATATAGATATATACCTATATATAAATAGGTAGGTATATATATATCTATATATAGATACATAGGTATAGATATCTTAGATATATCTATCTATCGATACATAGGTATATATCTATATCTATCGATACATAGGTATATATCTATATCTATCGATACATAGGTATATATCTATATCTATCGATACATAGGTATATATCTATATCTATCGATACATAGGTATATATCTATATCTATCGATACATAGGTATATATCTATATCTATCGATACATAGGTATATATCTATATCTATCGATACATAGGTATATATCTATATCTATCGATACATAGGTATATATCTATATCTATCGATACATAGGTATATATCTATATCTATCGATACATAGGTATATATCTATATCTATCGATACATGGGTATATATCTATATCTATCGATACATGGGTATATATCTATATCTATCGATACATGGGTATATATCTATATCTATCTATCGATACATGGGTATATATCTATATCTATCTATCGATACATGGGTATATATCTATATCTATCTATCGATACATGGGTATATATCTATATCTATCTATCGATACATGGGTATATATCTATATCTATCTATCGATACATGGGTATATATCTATATCTATCTATCGATACATGGGTATATATCTATATCTATCTATCGATACATGGGTATATATCTATATCTATCTATCGATACATGGGTATATATCTATATCTATCTATCGATACATGGGTATATATCTATATCTATCTATCGATACATGGGTATATATCTATATCTATCTATCGATACATGGGTATATATCTATATCTATCTATCGATACATGGGTATATATCTATATCTATCTATCGATACATGGGTATATATCTATATCTATCTATCGATACATGGGTATATATCTATATCTATCTATCGATACATGGGTATATATCTATATCTATCTATCGATACATGGGTATATATCTATATCTATCTATCGATACATGGGTATATATCTATATCTATCTATCGATACATGGGTATATATCTATATCTATCTATGGATACATGGGTATATATCTATATCTATCTATGGATACATGGGTATATATCTATATCTATCTATGGATACATGGGTATATATCTATATCTATCTATGGATACATGGGTATATATCTATATCTATCTATGGATACATGGGTATATATCTATATCTATCTATAGATACATGGGTATATATCTATATCTATCTATAGATACATGGGTATATATCTATATCTATAGATACATGGGTATATATCTATATCTATCTATAGATACATGGGTATATATCTATATCTATCTATAGATACATGGGTATATATCTATATCTATCTATAGATACATGGGTATATATCTATATCTATCTATAGATATATGGGTATATATCTATATCTATAGATAGATATATGGGTATATATCTATATCTATCTATAGATAGATATAGGTAGGTATATATATCTATATATAGATACATAGGTATATATATATCTATATATAGATACATAGGTATATATATATCTATATATAGATACATAGGTATATATATATCTATATATAGATACATAGGTATATATATCTATATATAGATACATAGGTATATATATATCTATGTATAGATACACAGGTATGTATCTATATATACCTATATATCTATATATACCTATATATCTATGTATAGATATACATACCTATGTATCTAGACATAGATATATATACCTATGTATCTATATATAGATATATATATCTACCTATATATATCTATATATAGGTAGATATCTATATATAGATATAGATAGATATATACCTATATATATACCTATATATATACCTATATACATATATAGGTATATATAGATATATATACCTATGTATATAGATATATATAAGTAGGTATATATCTATATATAGATATATATATATACATATATACATATACACATGTGTGTGTATACATATAGATTTAAATGCCTCTCTCTATATATAGACATATAGAGCTATAGATAGATAGATACACCTATGTAGATATATATCTCTCTACATATATAGAGAGAAGCATTTTAATATATATATATACAGTATTTAGAACAGAAATTGGCACACAGCCAATTAATGCTAATGTAGGTGTTTTAAAATCAGACAGTTTAAATAAAGACATTATTTTTAATTATGAGGAGTAATGCTCACCATCTCAACAGGAGACTGATTATCAAGGAAGCTAGATTCCCCAGGTACCCCCTTAATGACTCTCATTTCATATCCTCTCTACTCAACTGTGATTCCTTTTTTATGCCCCTCCTCAATTAAAAATTATAACAAAGAAGTCTCTCAGTCTCATTCCACCTCACTCTGATCATCTTGCTCAATTTGATCAACACATCAATATTAGAAGGCAATTGCTTCTTGGACTAGTATCTTCATATCTGGACAACTTGCTTCCTCCAGATTACCATAAGAAAGTTCCCCAAAACTTGCTTATTTTCCATTTCTTCTACACCCTATAAAACTTACAGCAGTGTGAGGCACATAAGCAAGTGCTGGGTAAATCTCAAATAATTGGAAGGTAAATACAAACAAAACTTAAGTAGTAGGAAGAGGATTCTTTATTGCAAACAAATTTGCATATCCAATTATCATTTTTTTGAACTCTTATTGTTCACAAATGTTCAGAAAACTCCAGCAAGGGCATAGAATGAAAACCTGAGGAAAGATGATGGCTGGAAAAGATTGGCTTCATGCCTAATGTTGCTTTATCATGATTCTGGCAGGTAATCAATAGGAAACTCTGTTGCATAGACATAAATCATAATTGAGTTTTCATCAGGCCTGTGCCAAATCTGTGCCTGTATGAAATCTAGGATCCTGGTGCCAAGGTGCCTTATCAGTCCATATGCAAATATGCCTTTTGATGAAATCAAAGAACAGTGGAATTCTGACGAGATTGAAGCCTTGTGCTGCCAAAGCCAGGTAGACACTTAACTCTTCCATTGGCCAATGACTAAACAACGACCGCAAAGGGCAGCCTTTCTCAGACGACGTTGTTCCTTAGATGCTCAAGGGCATTCAAAAATGGGAAGAAAATCAACCATAATGGCAATGCTCCCTAAGAGCCTATGAACAAGGACCTTTCTCCAAAATCCCTGAAAACTTTATTTGAAATGTATTGAAAGACCATCAACTAACACTGAAGAAAAGCACATTGTTTTCTCAAGGCAAAAGAGAAAACATGGTATTAAAGACTAATCTCCTCTAAATGTTAGCAAATAGGATGAAATTTCTAGACTTTCATCCTTTTCTCAAAGACAATACATCTGAAACTCAAGTAAATTTAAAAGGAATAAATTTAGTTCTATTCTTATTTGAGGGCAGATGATGACATTAAGATGCATAACCATGCTTACAGATTTATAAGGATCAGTACTTTTGAAATTCTTTTGAATATTTCTTAAAATACACTTTTTTAAAGATCAACCCTCAGAATTTTTTAAAACCCACTGGCAAGTGACTAGCCTGGAAAAAAAATGTATCTAGGTATTTGTTCAACCATCCAGACTGCCCTCCATGCTTTCCCACAACACACACACAAAGAAAGATTCCCCAGATCCATACGGTCCACTACAGTTGCCACTATACACAGGTGGCTATTTAAATTTAAATTAACTAAACATAATTAAAATACAAAATTCAGTTCCTCACTCATGCTAGCTACATTTCAAGCGCTCAATACTCATGTGGCTAGTGGCTCTCATGCACTGCAAGCATAAAACATTTACATAATTGCAGAAAGTTGTGTTGAACAGCTCTGTAAGACTACACCATTCCCTTTGCTTGCAGAAAGACCTGAGCGTTGTCTCATCATAGAAGGTGGGCCTCCTTTTCTCTCGAGGTTCTCCAGAGAAGCCCAATCTCACTAGCAAATAATGTGCCCCCACAGAAAGGGCCACAATTTTCTTTCCCTGAGCCTGGAAGCATAACGAAAGAACTAATAGGATTTTGATAAGGCCAGCAA
This sequence comes from Homo sapiens, assembly GCF_000001405.40. NCBI lineage: Eukaryota > Metazoa > Chordata > Mammalia > Primates > Hominidae > Homo > Homo sapiens. Next base: position 36,186,951 of record NC_000002.12, read on the forward strand.
TTCTCAACTGGATTGAGGAAGGAGAGGCAAATCAAATTTGCTATGAGTGTCTTTTCCATACACACACATTTGAGAATTTCTGCAGATTACAAAACATTTACCAATAGGGCATTATTGTACTTGCAAAAGGTATGAGTGCTAAAACAGCATTAGAAACCACTGGCTTAAATGACTGATAATTATCATAAGAGCAGCTCTTTACAGACATTACTATTTTCTTGAAACTGTACAGGATGATTTTTACATATTTTGGTTTAATTTGCCAAAAAAAACCTTTGAGATAGGTACTAGTGTTATCACTACTTTACAGGTCAGAAAGGCTGCCCAAATCACACAAGTGGTATGTGGTATAGGTAGACTTAATACCATGGCTGGATGATTCTAAAGCCCATGCTATACGTTCTTCTAAACCTGCTCCATGATGTGGAAACTATGGATCATAAGCCATAAACAGCTCACCTAGAGTTTGTATATGGTCTGCATAAAGTTGGGAGCCTTTTATTTTCCTGATAGATAAGCTCAGGCCCTTGAATAATCTAATTCAAACATTTCCAGCCCTGCCCATAAGCAATTCCTGCCTGCTCCCTACACTTCCACACAAACCTAGTCAGAACCTTTTTCTGGTTGGAGTCTTTGATGCTCTAGCTGTCAAGACTGACAGCCAGGGCTCTGGCTCTTGGGTCAATGGTTGTGTCATATCCCTGGTAAGTGTGTCAGTGACTTGCCATGGTGTGAGTCAAACAGGTAATTTCCTAAATATCACATATATTTATACGGATGCAACTAGGATGAGACAGAAAAGGCAGATGAAAACTATTTTTTATATAAAAGAACCTACTGTGTCTTTTCTGTGTACCAAGCATATTGATCCTTTCCTTGTTTGCAATAGAATGTTTTTAAAGAATGAAAAGAGGTTACTGGAGGAAAAAAAGCATATTTTGCAGTTAAGTAACTTAGAAGGTAGATCAAAGGAAAAAATTGCCATTTTCAAAAATATTCAATGACAAAAATTGTTTATATATGCAGTATTACAATCAAATCCTATAGAGTGTCTAGTTATATATTTTCTGAAATATTTACTCAAACAAAGGAAAGCTTTAAATGATAAGGAAATGAAATCGTGCTTAACCATTGTTTCCAATATTGCGTTCTCTGACTTAAAAGATCATTTTAAATTATGTATGTGTGCATGTGTGTGTATTAGCCCTTCTAACATCATTTATTTTATTTATTTTATATAAGCTTTATGCTTAGAGATGCTGAAAAGAATAGCAAAGCAAATAAGAAAAAAAGATAAAAATGGAGATGGTAGGGAATGACTACTTACTATTATGTAATACAAAAGACAGCACTCACTAAACCTAGTTGAACTATTTTTGGTCAAATGAAATTAAGCAAAAAGTGCTGAAGCAAAAATCAACAGAGGCAATGATGTTGATAAAAAGGTTAGCACCTGTTGTTTGGTAAGCAGAACAGACTGTGAGAAGTCATATTGTTCTAGCTAACTCCAAGATGTTTGATTAACAGGAATTGCAAACTAAAATGCCCATAGGGATGAGGCAGATAATATAATGAGTGAAGAAAGCTGATAATACAAAAAATAACAATGTATTTGCAATGATTATTGGCAAAAAGATTTGTGTGGGAAGATGTCTCGTAGAGCTTGGCAAGCTTTTCCAAGTCTTACCTGACATCTCATCATTGGGACGAGGTTGATATTCTATTTTGTTGTTTTTAAAACTGGGAGGATGGGTGACTACCAAAATTCTATTCCAGACTTTTGTTCCCCAAGACCACTCAAGTTTCCTAATTTTTCTTGAAGTTAAGAGCAGCTTGGGGAGATAATCATCTGGAATGCTGACTCCATGACCCTTTCCCCAGTGAAACAACCATAACCAGCTCAAATTATTTTTAAAAAACCATTTTAAATCTCTGCAAATAGTGCTAAGGTCATACAATACATGGTGAACGATTTATTGAGAAAATAAGAATAGTGAGTTTGTAACATTTCAGCCATAACCTGCTCTTCCCCATACCAGATCAGCAGGACACAGGTAGATGCAGCCAAGAACATAGGATTCCCTCTTCCCTTAGCTCCCAGTCTAAGGTGACAGTATCTCCCCCAAAGGGAGAAGCCACCAGCCTTTTTATATTCCCTAGCTCTGTGCTGCAGAAGCTCTAATCCAGACCAGAGTAGCTGAGAGATCTGGGATTCCCTTCCTAAACTCAACCCCTCATCATAAGGCAGAAGCCCTCCCCTAGGCATGCCATAATGGGAATAGTGAGCCCTGATCAACTTCAACTGAGCTTATTCATAGGGCAGAGTCTCCATACCAATAAGACCAGATGCTATCACTCCAATCCAATATCCCTTTTGTAAAGCAGCAGCATCACTCTGAGATCAGACCACTGTTCTCACCTCCATCTCTAAAGCAGTGGTGCAAATATTTTTCTCAGCCAGAGACGAAGGTCTCAAGAATAAAGCACTCTGTAGATATTCCTAAAAGGACTGACTTTACTTGGAACAGAGCATGGGAAAGTTCAAGTCTAAGGAAAATGTCCAAAACAATGGAAATTTTGGTTGTAAGCAATTAAGAGGGATTGGTAGCTCCATGGTAGCAACAAGCTAAACCTTATACCGCTGTAAGTTTAAGAAAAAGAACCAGGGAAAGAGACGTCTAAGAAGAGCCTTTGTGGTATCAAAACAAGCCTCAAAACTGGCCTCAAAGATTGCCCCTGTTACAGGCGACCAAATTTAATTGAATCAGACAGTAGAGCAATTCGTGCCCACAATGTATGTTTTGCTATGACACCAAAAGCACAAACAACAAAAGAAAATAAATAAATACATTGGACTTCATCACAATTAGCAAGTTTTGAGGTGGGAGGATTGCTCAGTTGAGACCAGGAGTTCAAGGCCACAAATGGGCAACAAAATGAGACCCAGTCACTAAAAACAAACAAACAAAAAACCTTTCTGCACTTAACACGACATCATCAAGAAAATGAAAGGGAGAAGATACTTGTCAAATCATATATCTGACAAAGGACATGTATCCATCATATACAAAGAACTCACACTCAGCAGTAAAAAGACACATAACCCAAATAAAAATAGGCAAAGCATTTGAACACACAGCTCTCTAAAAGAAGATATATAAATAACCAATAACACATGAAGACATGTACAAGATCATTAGCAATAAGGAAATCCGAATCCAAACCACAATGAGATACCAATTCAGTCACTAGCATAGCTATAATGAAAAATGTAAAATGGTGTGGCCATTTGGGAGAAACAGTTTAGCAGTTCCTTGAAGTGTAAAACATGGATTTAGCCTATGACTCAGCAATTCCAATTTTAGGTATATGCCCAAAGGAAATGAAAACATATGTCCACTCAAAAACTAGCACATAAGTGTTCATAAAAATATTATTTATAATAGTCCCAAATTGGAAACAACCCAAAATGTTCATCAACTGATGAATGGATAAATAAAATTTGGTATAGCCATGCATTGGAATATTATTCAGCAATAAAAAAATGAAGTATTTATACATGCCAAAACATGGATGAACCTTGAAAACTTTATGCTAACTTAAAGAATCCAGCTAGAAAAGATCACATATTGTATGATTGCATTAATACAAAATTTTCAGAAGATGCACGCTCTATAGAAAGACACAATAGGGTGGGTTGAGGGAAATAAGGAGTGACATAATAGGTATAGAGTTTCCTTTTGGAGTGATAAAAATGTTTTAAAATGTATTGTGGTGATGGCTACACAATTCTATGAATATATTAAAAACCACTAACTTGTACACTTGGGGTAAGTTTTATGGTATGCAAATTATAATACAATAAAACTGGCTTCTGTTTTTGTTTAAAACACACAGCAATTCAGGATTCTAAAATAAGATCACTTTTTAAATGTTCAAAACAACCTGGAGATGTAAATATTCTCTCATACAACTTAACAATACTTGCTCAGATAAATGGACAAAATTTTCAGTAATTTTGCAGAAGGCCAGAGAAAGGAATATATATTTAGCTTAATCTTTTACAAACTGACTCCAACAATGAAATTTTGGCTTTTATTTCTTATATATTTAAACATGTTTAATGCAATGCTTGAAAGAAGCTATGTAATTCGAAGAGAATTGATTCTACAATGACACTAGAAAGTGGCAGATTAATAAATATACTTGGTTCACGTCAACTATTTTGTAGCTTCCTTGGACCTCTATCTTGAGAAATGAATGAGCTGGCATCAGGTTGTGCAGTAAAAAACAGGGCCTTTCAGGGTAAAAGGTCAGAAAGGACACTTTATATTCTAAGACGGCCTAAAAATTAGAATTTTTACATTACCTCCAAGTGAGTTTATAACACAGTCATGGAAGTATGAAAGCACACTGTTAGGATCAAAAGAATGTTCATCGTGCATCTTGTGATGATTTGTTTTATATATCAGTGTGACTTGGCCACAAGGTGCCAGACATTTGGTCTAATATTATTCTGGCTGAGTCTGTGAAAGTGTTTCAAGATGTGATTGACATTTGAATCAGTAGACTGAGTAAAGCAGATTGCCTTCCCTAATGTGTGTGGGCCCCAACCAATAAACTTAAGACCTGAATAGAACAAAAAGGCGAAGTAAGAGGGAAGTCATGCCTGAATGCTTGAGCTGGCACTTTGGACTTCTCTGATGTCCAGACTCAGACTAAAACATCAGCTCTTTTTTGGTCTCCAGGCTGCCTGTTTTCAGATGAACCTAATCCCATTGGCTCTTCTGGTTCTCAAACCTTCAGACTCAGACTGGAAGTACGCATGGCCTCTTCTCAGTCTCCAACTTAATGACTGCAGATCTTGAGACATCTCAGCCTCCATAATTGTGTGAGCCAATTTTTTATACTAAATACCATTATTTATAGGATTATTATTTTTATTTTAGTAAAAATAATCAATAGGATATATAGACAGAGATTATTGGTTATTTTCCCTAGAGAACCTTGACTGATATACGTTTTTAATTTTCTGCTGTTCTACCAGATCACAATTCTTACAACAGTCTATGAATAAATGTTGTTGTCAATCCTTTAATTATATTGTTAGTAGTGTGATTACATCACATTATATAGTGTTAGTCTACGAGTGTTGAAAATGTTTTTCACTAAAGTAATATTTATAATATCTTACAATTTTTGAAACCTTATTTTGGCTTCTATAGAAGTTTTAATTTCTAGAAGTGTTACATAATGGCAATGGTTCAATTATTTTTCTCAAGCCTAGAAAAACTCTGGTGGAAAAACCTGGACCACCAGTCAGAGCACTTAGCTCCCCATTAACTTGTAGTACCATGATCGATCTTAAACTCTACTTATACCTTGGAGTAATCAAATGGATGTTGATGGTGATCATTCCCATCCTTCTTTGCCAATAGGGTTTATGTGAGGATCAAATCAGATAAGAGATATAGAAAATGCATTTAAAGAAGGGAAGTATACAATAGTGATATAAATTTACCGTGTCGAGCAAATATATAAGAATAATGCAATGGACTTTGGGGACTCAGAAGAAGGGGTGAGTAAGGGACTACACATTGGGTACGGTGTACACTGCTCAGGTGATGGGTCCACAAAAATCTCAGAAATCACCACTGAAGAAGAATTTATTCATGTAACGAAACACCGCCTGTTCCCCAAACATCTATTGAAATTTGAAATAATTAATTAAATTAAAAATGTAGATGAATAAACATAGATATAATTTTTAAAATAAAAAAAGTTTACTGTGTCTAAGTAGTTACATGTTATTAATATTTTAGTATTGACTGAAACATTTTCAAGGACAATAGAGAAAACACAATGTGCACCTGAAATAGAATGAAATCTATAAATTAGAATAAAATTTGAGCTTACTGCATGCATATAATGCAAAAAAATGCTAGATCATTTTCTGCTTCTTTAATTTACAGTACAATTTGGAATGAGAAGTAAACTTGCTATATCCATGCAACAGATAAACTATTAAATTAATTTCATTAAGCCAAACCTCATAAGAAACAGTATTGTTTATTGACATGGAAAGGCACTCCACTTAGACTATGATAGAGATGCTTATGAATATAGTGATTTTCATGTAATACCACCAAAGAAAAGCCTGTTTCACAGAGAGAATCATGTTATTTGAAACTGCCAAAAACTTTGAAGCCCAGTGCCAGGTATTGCATAAGTGCCTCATTAATATTTGTAGACTGATTAGAGGGAAAAAGCACTTATGTATAAATAAGGTCATGGAATATAGGAACGTGGAGATAATTCTTTCACTCAGTATTTCAATACCATGTCATTTGGAGCCTGAAACATAAGTGAATAGAGAACTTGGAGAAGTTCCAGAAAAATGCAGTGAAAATGATTAAAGAGTTGGAAAATGGGATCTATAAATCATGACTACAGGAATTGGGAGTTATTTAACCCAAACAGAAAAGCTATATGAATGCACCAGATTCATGTGTCTGAAACTTAGAGGGTGAGATTTGCCATGACCCATCCACACAGGTGTACAAGCAGAATCAAATTCAGAAGCAACAAAGATTTTTTCAAAATATTCCTATTATTTCTGTAATTATCTATTTCTCTTGTGTTTTCAAAGAAACCAACAGCAGCCCTGGGACAAGGGCTACAAACATTTTACCAGGTGCCACTGAGGGCCAGGCACCTTGCTAGGCATTGTGGAGAAAAAGGAGTAGGGCATGGTCCTTAACCTCCAGGATTGTGGGGATCAGTTGGAGGAGACAAACATGTAAAGAGACTTGCAGGATGTCTGAAAACCTCCTGTAATAAAAGAATATGCAAAGCTGTTGAGTGGTTCTAAGATTGGTACAATCAAGTTTATGTGGGATGCTGGGGTGGAGGAGGAGCTGTTTCATCACAGTCTTCAAGCTGGGAGTGAGCTTGCTGGGAAGAAGCTGGCAGGAGGATGATAAGGCTGTTCTCTAAGGATAGGAGAGCAAGTGCAAAACATCCATGTGAAAAATAGTGAGAGCCTGAACCAATTGGATTAGGAAGAGCATATACAAGAAATGTTACTACCACTCCTTTGCAGATGAAGAAATTGAGGTTCAAGGATCTTGGTAACTTGTGAAACGTTAGCAATAATTAATACTAGAGCTGGAATTTGAATCCACAATTTCTGATTTTCTACAAATCCCTGTTACTCATTTAGCCATCCTAATATTCCATGGTTTAACAGACAAGCACTTCTTTCCATTAGAACTGAAGTTGTTATAAACAGAAAATCCATCTTATAGAGTAATTTGGTGGTGGGGGGAGAGAAATGTCATAGGCACACACACACACACACACACACGCACACACATGAGTTATTTGTAAATATAAAGAAGTATAATTTAGTCAGTCATTTAACAAAGAATAAACCATCTTATCTTTATTTGTTCTGTTACACCCTGCATAGTGAAGAGAAATAAAGTGAAATTAGATCATTTTCAATGTGTTGTTTGAAGTCAAAATAAAATGCAGTATCATACTTGCACTGTTAGGAAATACTTTTTGTTATTGCTCCTGCTGCAGCTTCACATCATTTCTTTTCTTTGTGTTTCAAATTGAACTGTTTTGCGGGCCTTGAGTCAGTATAACAATATTTTTTGAAAAAATTCTAGATTAACACCTGCAAAATACAGGAGAGGCAAACAAGAGGACCAAACAAGAGTAAGTGTATTAAGGAGTTAGCAATTTAATTTATTTTATTATTTTATATGTTTCTCCATAGTCTGAGCCTGCCTAATAAAATTACTCCTGAATTTCTGCACTTTAAGAATCTAGTATTATTTAAATCTCAGTTTTCTGTCTCAATAACTGACTGAAATGAAGAAAAAATCTGGTCCCACTCTTTTTATATCTATTTTGAAAGTTTAAGTACGATAAATTTCACAGGAAAAAAAAATTGGCAAAAATAAAACAATATTTTGAGACATCCTGCTATTTTTCAGAAAGTTCTTAGGCAATCTCCCAGTTAAAGAAGTTGCTCTAGAAGAACTCATACCAATATTCCTACCTGACCACATCTTCAAAATGTCCTTCTTTTATCCCGCCACATGTGATAAAATCACCTCAAAATTTAATATTAGAGGATGAGTTCCTTTTGTTCAATTTCCAAGTGTCCTAACTGCAATTCTATCCCATTTGTGGGTAGCAGAATGAGGACATGAACGCTGCCCCGTTCCCCACACTCGCTCTTCCGCCTCTCCTTGCACAGAGCTCTATAATAAATGAGGAATGCACAATCAGGCCTGGGGTTCCCATCTGCTTGTGATTACCTCTATGCACTTGCCTGGAAGACAACACTGGAAAGTCACTGAAAAGCAGGGCAATTTCTTCGTCATTAGTTTGTAAGAATCGTGGCTGCCCTGATATGATTTAGAACATGAACACCATGACCTAAATGTTCTCAGAGGGTAATAGTCTCACTGCTCTGTCCCTTTTGGGGAACTCCCAGGTTATTTTCCGAGAAAGAGTGAATGCTTCTGAAAGGTAATAGTTCAAAGTACAAGCTTTAGTACACATCTGAACTCTTGAATGCATGTCAAGCTAACCTAAAAAATTGAGAAGTTCTATCATATCCTATTAGTGAACACTGATCATGTCTGACACTACTGAGGAGAGAGTTAAAGTTTAGAGACTTCCAGGAGGTGATGTCCATACACTGGCAGAGATATCACACAAGCTGGTCTCTGCAAGGACAGGTCTCCCAGGTGAGGGTGGGAGGCAGAAGCTGCAGGTGCACGAGCCAGAGGAGCAGTATGAGCTCATATCCTAAGAAAAATGGCTCAGGTTAAAATTGGAGACATGCATTTGAACATATCATCTAGGTAAGGAGATCCTGGGGTAGGAAACAGGACCTGGAAAAAAGAGAGAGAAAAGTAGGGAGTTCAGGAAAATTGCATCAACAGGATTATATCCATCCTCAGTGGTGTACAGTGTGGATGGGCCAGATTTATTTAGAGGTTCATGGCTGGAGTTGAACTTGCCCCAAGAGACCCTCTCCGCCATCAGGGCTGAGTTTACCTAATCCGGAGTACACTCCTAAATCAGAGATGCATTCTTACACTGTTATTGAGGCTGTGTTCTTACTGGGTCCTGGATGAATGGGATCCAAGGAACTATTTAGAGCATATTCCAGCTGCCTCCAAGAAGCAGATGTGAATTACTGGGTTCTATCAGAATTGGTAGGGTTTCAGCAGTGAGGCCAGGGGCTGGTAAACCACAGTTGCGATGCACATGAGGAAAAGCGATGGAGTCAGCTGCCACAGGTACATCACCCTCATTCTTGGCCCCCAGCACGTAGTGTCTGTGTGTCATAAGAAAGAGGTCACAGAGCCTTTAGGGTGACCTGAAATTCTAGCAATTGCCAGAGTAATGGTGAAACCAGGAGGTACAGAAAGAAGTGGAAGGGATACCCAAGAGACTAAAAAGCAGTGGAGTTTCATGTGTGAAATCCACAAGGGCTGCTGAGTGGACCAGTCATGTGACCTTTAAAATATATAGTTTTGAATGTATTCCTCTCAGATCAGGTTGATAGGCTTGCTCTGGTCCTTTGTCTGCAAATTTTGGAAAGGTGAATGGAAGCATAAATAAACAGCATCCTCCAAACTGGGATGTAAGTGGTCCCCGGCTGTCTTAGGATCCAGGAGGTTTCCTAGATGTACAGAGCATCAGGATATGGTGCCCCTGGAGGGAAGGATTGGAGTAGGGAACAAGCCTTCATTTGATTTGTTATGGAAGATGCCTGCATCAGGGAAGGCTAGGACATGAGGTGGCAAAAATGATGCCAAGATCTGAATGGCTTAAAAGAACAGAGTTCATTTCTCATGCAGGCTGTATGTCCTTTGGGGGTTAGCTGGGGCACAGGAAGAGGCACTGTACTTCATTCATTCTCATTCAAGGACCAAGACCAAGGGAGATTTCCTCTGTGTGCTGCTACACTCGCCATGGCAAGAATAGGAGAATGTGGCAAATCATGCACCAGCCCTTAAAACTTCAGCCCATGGCCGGGTGCAGTGGCTCACGCCTATAATCCCAGCACTTTGGGAGGCCGAGGTAGGAGGATCACCTGAGGTCAGGAGTTCAAGACCAACCAGGCCAACATGGTGAAACCTCACCTCTACTAAAAATACAAAAATTAGCCAGGCACGGTGGCAGGTGCCTGTAATCCCAGCTACTCAGGAGGCTGAGGCAGGAGAATTACTTGAACCCAGGAGGCAGAGGTTGCAGTGAGCCGAGATCATGCCATTGCACTACAGCCTAGGCAACAAGAGTGAAACTGCATCTCAAAAAAAAAAAAGAAAAAAACTTCAGCCCACAGGGGATATTTGTCATTCCTGCTCATATTTCATTAGCCACAGCATGGTCATGTGGCCCTATGGGGGCAGTGAAGTACAATATTTCCACTTGTCCAAAGGGAGGGCTAAAAATATTTCATAAACAGCACAAATGACTACCAAAATGCATACTTCATTAGGATGGCTCTTGGTGGGGGCAGGGGGCTCTGAAATTATAGTGTGGCTGAACAGTTCAGTAATTCAACAGACAAGAGACAGCAACTAAGGCGTTGCCACCCTCACCTGACCTCAGTACTCTCCTCGACCTGGGAATAGATTTTAAGTATCAATTTCCATGATAAGCTGAATAATGCCACCTCCAGATATGTCCACGTCCTAATGCACAGAATCTGTGACTATGTTACCTTATATGGCAAAATGGACTTTGTATGGGGTGATTAAGGATCTTGAGACAGAGAGGTTATGCTGAATTATCCAGGTGGGCCCCATGTAATCACAAAAGCCCTTAGAAGAGGGAGACAGGACTGTGAGTCAGAGAAGGAGATGTGATGACAGAGTCGGAATAAGAGAGAAATTGAGAGATGCTGCACTGCTGGCTTTGAAGAGGGAGGAAAAGGTTAGAATCCAAAGAAGGCAGATAGTCTTTAAAACCTGGAAAATGTAAGAAAATAGATTCTTGAATAGAGCCTCCCGAAAGAACATAGTCCTGCCTACACCTTGATTTTAGTAGTTACAGCATTTCAGACTCCTGAACTCCAGAACTACAATTTGTTCCAGTAGCAATTGGAAATGAATACAATGTCCCAGAAAATGTGATGTAAGATGTAGAGGATCAGATGACAGTCAGAGCCTGGAATGGGCAAGGTTAGATGACCTGAAGCTTTATTGCAAAGATGCAGCATCCATATATGATAAGTATGAGTTTCATTCCCAGCGCTCAAACCTATTGACCTGGGAGAGCAAGCAGCTCCAACTCCAAAGGTAGTTCCAACAGGAAAAGTTATGTTTGAAATGAATAAAACACAACCTCAAATGTGCAATAAAACATGCCTTTCTTCCTCCTAACCTTCCCCTCTTCACATTTTCTCCTCTCAGCCTCAATTCCTTTCCATTTTAGTTGAGCCCAGCAGCAGAAGCCAAAGCTGATCAGGGTGCTTCCATTATTCAAACACCTTCAACTGCAGACTATTGCATAGTTTCAGCATTGGAGAGGATATTTTAAAAGTAATAGGGCCAACCACACATCCAAAACTTAAATCTGCTCCAAGATTAATAGCCAAACACCTCTGATGAGTGGGAACTCCCTGCTTCTCAAGATAGTCTTGAGTGGCTTGATAGAAATCTCACCTTCAGATTAGTTCGTTTTCATGCTGCAGTAATGAGCTTTTTTAATTATTATTATACTTTAAGTTTTAGGGTACATGTGCACAACATGCAGGTTTGTTACATATGTATACATGTGCCATGTTGGTGTGCTGCACCCATTAACTTGTCATTTAGCATTAGGTATATCTCCTAATGCTATCCCTCCCCCGTCACCCCCACCCCACAACAGTCCCCAGTGTGTGATGTTCCCCTTCCTGTGTCCACATGTTCTCATTGTTCAATTCCCACCTATGAGTGAGAACATGCGGTGTTTGGTTTTTTGTCCTTGCGATAGTTTGCTGAGAATGATGATTTCCAGCTAATGAGCTTCTTTTGATGAAGTGGATGGAAGAAGACTGAGACCTAGACATCTCCCAGGTACTAGAGTTCCCTATAAAAATAACCTACAGCACAGGTACCAGGATAATGAAGGGAAGGGAGGAGAAAACAGACCCTAGGAAGTAAGAAGTGTAGCATATCCCAGGAAAAAAGCAAGTCAGAATTGCTCTTGACCTGCTCCAGTGTGTTTCTTCATAACGGTGTAGGATCAAAGAGGCTACCTTTCAAAAATGTGTCCTAGAATAAATCAGCCCCATTGTTAAGTTATCTCATATGCAATAACATAGCAGCCAAAAGACTTTGAAGTAACTGCCATTGTTTTTAGAATTAATTGGCCCAAATCTATATTTTCTTTTTTTTTTTTTTTTTTTTTGAGACGGAGTTTCACTCTATCACCCAGGCTGGAGTGCAGTGGTATGATCTCAGCTCACTGCAACCTCCACCACCCAGGTTCAAGCGATCCTCCTGCCTCAGCCTCCCAAGTAGCTGGGATTACAGGCAACCGCCACCATGCCCAGCTAATTTTTGTATTTTTTGTAGAGACAGGGTTTCACCATGTTGGCCAGGCTGGTCTCAAACGACTGACCTCAGGAGATCCTCCCGCCTCGGTCTCCCAAAATGCTGGGATTACAGGCGTGAGCCACTGAGCCTGGCCCCAAATCTATATTTTCTATTTACTTCCCATCCAAATCCATTCCAGGCCTTTCTCTGCTCTGGTCTGGGTCTAACCCAGGAGGCTATCCTGGGAGGCTAATCCAGGAGGTCTTAGCCAGGAGGCTAACCCCAATGGCCAGCATCACGCAAGATCACTTGTCCTCTGGTTTCTGGTTGGATTTGGCCAATGGTAGACACTTACAGAAGATAATAAATTGGGAGGAGATGAGATTGGGTGATTTATTATCCTGCCTAGGCAAATCAATTCTGATAAATCACCCAGTTCCTCCCCTGTGGCTTCAGTTAGCCTCTTGTTCCAGTAACAAAAATTCCTTTCCCTACTCTTTTAAGTCTGAGGATGGTAACAATTTCCTGTTGCTGCTCTTCCCTGGGTGCTTGAACATCCCTTAGTAGTTCTCTAAAACCTGCCCACACATTTGTAAGTTGCTCCTTTATTGAATTCTCTTTAAAATCCCAGTTGAATGTACCTTCTGTTTCTTATCAGGACTCTGGCTAATAGACTGGTCTTTCTGCTTGCACTGTTGCCCTTCTCCTAAAAAGTTATCATTTTAAAACACGAGCTGCATCATGTCATTCCTTTGCTCAACACACTCTAGTGGCTTCTCCTCTCACCAAGACTCCTAACAACGACATATGGTCCCTATCTCAACCTTATTTAACCAATCACAACTTTATAGAAAAAATGTTTTAATTGTCATTAAATGAAAGCACATATTGATATGGTTTGGTTATGTCCCTACCCAAATCTCATCTTGATTTGTAACACCCACAATTCCCATGTGTCATAGGAGGAGCCCAGTGGGAGGTAATTGAATCATGGGGGCAGGTCTTTCCTGTACTGTTCTCCCGATACTGAATAAGTCTGAGATCTGATGGCTTTAAAGATGGGAGTTTCCCTGCACAAGCTCTCTTTTTGCCTGCTGCCATCCACGGAAGATGTGACTTGCTCCTCCTTGCCTTCCACCATGATTGTGAGGCCTCCGCAGCCATGTGGAACTATAAGTCCAATAAATCTCTTTCTTTCGTAAATTGCCCAGTCCCAGGTGTGTCTTTATCAGCAGCATGAGAACAGACTAATACACATATTATGCAACATACCTAAATATATAATTTCAAAACATATTAATATAATGGCCTGAGGAATAAAAGAAAAACATTTGTAATAAAATAAATTTCACTTTCAAAATACTCAAGCACAACTACAACAGAAGACAAAATAAAGTAGTCAGAAGGTTGCATCCATATGTAGAACCACCAAAAACAAAAACAGACATATTTAGATGGCAACTGACAAACTGGCAAAAGACAAATGGATTGCCATCAGTGACATGATTTTTCCTCTATGGTTGTGCCAGTTAGTAGTTCATTGCCTTTCAGTTCTAAATGTATCCTTCATTGCCTGCTCCATGAAAATAGAGCTGAGTTCTTTAAATATTTTTTCTTTTTATAATGTTAACCTATGTCAGTAGAGGGTGCAGGAGGTAAGAGATTTCCTTCCTGGTTCCCTTGCACTACTCTGCAAGATCCTGTAGTGTTTTGGCTTTTACAGCACGTAGTTCTTGCAGCATGGGCAGCTTCTTCAGTGCCAGCTTCGTGTAGCATGACTGCTTCTCTGGGGTCCAGATCCTGCAGTGCATGCAGTTTCTTCATCACCCAACTCCTGAAGTGCCTGTAGCTCCTCCAGTACCAGACTCCTGCAGCATGACCGCTTCTTGAGCGTCTAGCTCTGTAATTAATAGTGGTCAGCAGCACCTAGCAGCCAATAGTTCCTTCAGCACACCCTTCACTCAGTGTGTGTGTCTGTGTGTGTGTGTGTAAAGTTGGGGTCTCACTCTGTCACCCATGCTGTATTCCAGTGATGTGATCATAGCTCACTGCAGCCTCCAACTGCTGGGCTCAATTCTCCTGCCTCAGCCTCCCAAGCTGGTAGGACTACAGCTGTGTGCCATCACACAGGACTTCTTTTAGTTTTTGTAGAGAGGAGGTTTCATTATGTTGCTCAGACTGGTCTCAAACTCTTGGCCTAAAAGGATCCTCCTGTCTCAGCTCCCCTCAAGTGCTGGTATCCTGGGGACAAGCTACTGTACCCCGCCCTCTCACTCATTTTATAGTCGATCATTTCTGAGAAACATTTCCCAATGACTGGCTTTCCCTATCACCTGATTTTTTTTAATGTCCCAAGGGGTGGATTTTCAGTGCTGAATCCCAACAACTTCTTTACCATCTAATGGGCCATGGCCATGCCCTCTCCAACAAGTACTGGCTCTCAGCATGCATCCAACCTGGGTGGGTGGGTCTTCCTTGCGTGGTCTCCCTCAGCCGTAGGGATAGTGGTAATCATATCTGTCATTCCTGTATTCTTTAAGATTCTCTTCCTACTAATCTGTCCCTTATTATTCTAATTCTATGTTATCATTAATAATAAATTATATTAAATTTTTCCTGCTTAAATTACCATGTGATTTATTTCTGATTAGATTCTGGCATGTACAATTGTGAATAACTCTTAGTTAAGTTTCTGAGAAAATAAAACCATTTTCTTTTATATGCATAGTAGTTGCATTCCTAAGAAATTCCATAATTATAAAATACTACCAAAAAAACCCCCTTTGTGTTTATATGTAAAATACAGTTAGGTTCTAGACTCAGAAAACTTTAGTTTTTCACCTGCATTCAGGGATTCCACTTATAGCTGTATAGACTGTGCTCGACACAATCTCATGGAGCCACCACGCCCAGCTGATCCCTATCAATGATGCTTCCCAAAGATTCTGCCATCCACATCTGCACAATTATATGTAGCATCTCTATAATACACAAATACTCATCCATATATGTGAAAGTTACATGAGATATAAGACAATTCTTCACTGCAGGACTGTCCCACCTATTGCAGTACATCTAGCGTCCCTATTCTCCACTCATGATGACAATAGCACACCCCAATCATTCTGACAACCAAAAATCCTCCACAAATTTACAAATTGCCCCTCTGGGAACAACAGCCAACCAGCCAACACGTGCTTCTTTTTTTAATTTTAATTTTTTTGTACCGTGATCATAACACTTAACGTGAAGTCTACCCTCTTAACACATTTTGAAGTACACAGTACAACAATG
This sequence comes from Homo sapiens, assembly GCF_000001405.40. Taxonomy (NCBI): domain Eukaryota; kingdom Metazoa; phylum Chordata; class Mammalia; order Primates; family Hominidae; genus Homo; species Homo sapiens. Next base: position 36,202,805 of record NC_000002.12, read on the forward strand.
GTAGGCACAAAGTTCTACAGCAGATCTCTATAATTTATTTATCAGGTCTCATCTTTTAAACTCTCATTTTTGCTTGGATTATACCAATCTTCTTGGGATTTTTTTAAACAGTCCATGTTCTCTCCTTCCTCAAGAGTCTTGACAACTTACTGTTTCTCTGCATGGAACAGTTTTAGCCTTAATCTCCAAACATTCCTTCACTCCTTCAAATCCCTGCTCAAACATTACCTTATCAAAGCTATATAAATTAGTAATTCTATATCCGTACCAGCACTTCTTTTCCCTCTTATTTTGCTTTATTTTTTAACATCATGATCACTGTCTACAGCGGCATTTATATTTGATGTATTTATTTTCCGTAAACCCTCACTAGCACTTAAGTTTCATGAGGCCAGGGACTTGACTGTTATGTTCACTATGGTATCCTCAGCACCTAGAACAGTGCTGTACTTGTGCGAGGAGCCCAATAATTATTTGTACAATGAATAATGACACATGCTCATAACACTCATAATAACACATGCTCAGTAGCAACCCTTTTTCCATTTATTCATGTCAATAAATTCACTCACTTCACTTCCTCTATCACTTCCCAAAAGAAGAAAAGATCAGAGAGTTGTCGAGTTCTGTTTTAGAATATTAGATTACATTGATTTCTTGTATGAGAAGATGAATGCAGAGTAGTTTTCACATGAGAAGATGTGTACTCTCACTAAGTTCATTTAAGATAAGTGCGCCTCCATAGAGGTTTGGAAGGAAAAGATAAGGATGTAAACTGATTCTGGCATGACACAGGCATTTGACATGCATTATCGTATTTAATCTGTACAGACATCCTGGAAAAAAAAAGGAACTAAACCTATTTCATCTAAGAGAAAATTAAAGCTCATTGATATTAAGTAACTAGAGTGAAATTCAAAACCATGTTCGTCGGACTCCAAAATCTATGGCCATTTTACCACATGACTAGAATGAGACAATGAAATATGTTGAACATAAATGCAATTTCCCCAGAATTTGGTCATCATTTTAAAGGTCACAATTTGGCCAGGCACAGTGGTTCACGCCTGTAATCCCAACACTTTTGGAGGCCGAGGCAGGCAGATCACAAGGACAGGAGATCGAGACCATCCTGGCTAACACGGTGAAACCCCGTCTCTACTAAAAATACAAAAAAATTAGCTGGGCATGGTGGCATGCGCCTGTAGTCCCAGCTACTTGAGAGGCTGAGGCAGGAGAATCGCTGGAACCCAGGAGGCAGAGGTTGCAGTGAGCCGAGGTCATGCCACTGCTCTCCAGCCTGGGCAACAGAGTGAGACTGTCTCAAAAATAAATAAATAAATGTCACAATTTCTAGATAAATATCCTGATTTATTTCCTAGAATATATATTCCACATCATTTATGAATATTATTTAGCAACACTTGAAAAATAAAGTCAACTTGTCCTTTTCTTTCAGTGAATTATGCAAGATTTTGGCTTATACACATGGCAAACTCTTGTTTAAAGTCAATTTATTAATTAAAGCACCTATTCTGCTGAATGAATTGCTCTGTTGATATTATTGACAGTTTATATTCTGCCTACTTAATTACTGTGTTCCAAAATAATAAATTTCTTTTGGCATACCAAGGCCAAGGTAAAATTATGAAACAGATAGATTCTTCCATGCTCCTCTTCTTCCTTCCTTGTTAGAATTTGGCTCAAGGAGAACAGAAATACAAAGGGAACACAGACTGCAAGGAGAGCTGTCTACTCAACAATGGATCTGATCCCTAAATGGTAGTAACCAGAACCCAGGTAGACCAATATGCATTCCAGTAGCCAGTGCTCATGGCTTTGGGCCAGTGTTCTTATCCTTACAATCAAAGAGATATTAATCACTCCTATGTGGACCATATTGTGTGTTTTCTACATTATTATTTAATCTTCACAACATAAAGATTTATTGTTAGCTCTAATTACAAATAAGAGGTTGAGAACCTCGACTAAACTTAGATATAAATGAGTTGGAAGGCAACCCAGGTCCATCTGACTCTAGGGCTCATGCCCTTGGCCACTGTGGTGCAGGATAAGAACAACCCATGCCAGAGAGGGAGGAGTGTCACAATTCCCAGTGGCCAGTTTTTGGAAACATGATCCTTAGCTAGTGGCTGGATAGGAAAGGGCTAGTATCTGCACCCCCGCAGAAGAGCAAGACACAACCAAGTGTACCCAGGCCCCAGGTAAGTGTGTTAGGGTGCCAGGGCAGGCTCCAAATCTCATCCAGGGGCTGGAAGGCTAAAGCAAGAAACAGACTCAGGGCAGGACACAAGAGTAAATCAGCGCAACAGGAGTAAAGAAATGCATGTCAGGTGTATGAATGCCTAAGTCTCTTCCCAGGTACACCACTTCCCCGGTAACATATTTAATCTGTGATTCCACAGGCCAATGAATCTCCTTCGTATAAGGCACTGAGCGTGGCAGCTTGTGGATGGAGCTCTATACAAGGGCTATCCTGTGAATAAAAAGCTACAGAAGATGACCTTTCAACCCAGCAAAAATCATCAAGACCCTTAAACATGTACCTTATTGACTTGATTCACTCAACTAACATTTCTTGAGTACACACAATGTACTAGACACTTTTTCAAGTTTAGGCTTTTGAGATTCCACTCAAATTCTAATAGTCTAAATATATATTTTTGCTCATCCTCTTTAGATTTGCACCTGTTTTTAACTACTTATATTCCTGAGATATATATCCTGAAATTTAACCTAGTAAGGGTTTTCCAGATAGAAAAAGAAAAGGAATGCCAGGCCAGGAAATATGTGGTATGAACAAATGTCCTGAAATGTGAAAGATCTCTATCTGCTTAGGGAAAGGTAGGATGTACAAAGTGGGTGGAACATAAAGTGGAGGAGGTGGTGCTTGGGGATGACAAAGTCACCATCTTTATTTTATTCTGTGGGGAATTTTCTGGTCATGGAGGAAAATGATGTAGAAATAGCTGAAGTCAGGTGGGACTTTTGTACTATACCTCATATTACACTCATTCTTCCTGTCACTTTAGCTTTGCAATTAATGTTACTCTGTGGAGGAATGTGCTTTGAAATCCAATCACTTTAATTTAGGATCTCTTCCAAGGAAGGTTTGATTTCTGTGAGAAAAACCTGGATGGATTCCCAGCTTCTCCTCAGTCTAGCCTTCATTCACAGCACGGATTCCTCATTCTCTTTGATCATGAATTTTCAGAACATCAGATATAACCAATATTCAAACATGAGTTCAATAAACCCATCCAAAGCCAAATTAAAATGTTTTCACAATATTTCTCGTTTTAGATTGGCCATGTCTTACTCACTCACCAGAGTGAAGAGTCATCTCCTTTTGACCATCAGACCTGCCATGCACTGCCGCCTGAACAAGAGTGTGCAACAGGGAAGAAAAGTGGAAGCTAAAATCCAGCACCAGCTCTGCTCTTGAAGTTGTGTAGCCTGAAAAAAATGGCAGTGTACACCTCAAAAATAAAGCATCTGGTTTTTCCCATGTGAAGAAACTATTTAGGATACTAGAAGTTATGGGGCTCACCAGAGAAAAACAGATTTATCTGACACATTTACTACTACTATTTCAACCAAAAAGAACAATGACAAAAGAGAAATAGTCTGTCTAGAAGAAAATGAGTTGAACTCTAGGACAATAACAAAAATGTAATTTTATATAAAATAATACAATATATGCAAATAAGTGCCTGCTACATCATAAGAGCAATGATGGTTACTTACTATGATTGGTAATAATGTTTGTATCATTATTATCATTTTGAGGTTATTAGGAGTATTTATGTAATTGACTTTTTTAAAAGTTGCAAATGAATCCATGGCTAATGTGCTGTTATTTCACCGTAAATTGAATGTAATGTTTCTGATCTATTAAAGAATACTTAAACTCATGATTTTTTTAAATCTGACATAAATATGGCAATGTCTTATCTTTTGACAGAACTGGGTGGCAAGGTACCCTCGAGTATTATTCTTGTTCATTTTTATAATTTTAAATGTTTTATAATTTTAAATAATATACAAATACTCGAATTTCCCCTGATAGAAAAGACAGCCTTGATACTGGAAGTGGGGGCAAGGAGTCTCTGGCACTAAGTCAAGTACCTGAGATCTGCTCCCGTTTACTACCTGTGTGACCTTGAGCTGGTCAATTTACTACCTCTCTGACCACGAGTTTTCTCACTTATAAAATACAAGAATTGGACTGGATGATATCTCGGGTTCTTTACTCTCAAATTTTATGACCAAGTCTATTTTTTGACAGCTAAAAAAGATAGGGCTAATTTTAATGCATATTGTCTGTCCTTATATCTTGCATATAACTGATTGCAAATGCCTAGAAGCTAAAATGAAGTGTCAAAGAAGTGCCATCTGCTTCTATTACTGATTATATTATGAAGCTGCCTCAAGTTTGTTTTTTGTTAACATTTAGTGAAAAACAGAAGTTGGCAGGAAATGTGTTGTAAACAATGTTGCCCCCATACATTTATTGAATAATTCATAACCAGTATATGGTAGAAGCATAATTTTTAAAACGGCGTTTTCCCCAAATACCTGAGTGTTCTGACATCAGTAACAAATGATTTCTTTGGCATTACTTTGAAAATTACAGTGTTTAAAGATGATGTCTCAGATTCAATTTGTTTTATTCTTATCAATTTCCATTGAATCAATTTTGCTGTATTACACCGGAATAAAATATTTGCCATAGTTGACTACCCCATTTATTAGTTTTTATGTATACTTTTTCATTTTTTCCAGCTTTATTGAAACATAATTGTCAAACAAAAATTGTGTACATTTAAGGTGTGCAACATGATGTTCTGATATATGTATGCATTGTGAAATAATTACAATTAAACTAATTAACACATCCATTAACTCACCTAGTTACCATTTGTGTGGAAGGGAGAGAACAGGACACTTAAGACCTACCACCTTAGCAAATTTCAAATATACAATAGAGTGTTATTAACTGTGGCCCTCATGTTGTACATTAGATCTCCAGAACTTATTCCTCCTGCATAACTGAAACTTTGCACCCTTGAATTAATATCTCTCCATTTCCCCTAACCCCCAACCCTTGGTAACCACCATTCTACTCTCTGCTTTTATGAATTCTCCTTTTTACATTTCACATATAAGTGAGATCATACAGCATTTATCTTTCTTATCTAATATTGCACTATGTCTTCTGGGTATATCCATGTTGCTGCAAATAGCAGCATTTCCCTCTTTTTGAGCTGAATAATATTCCACTGTATATATACGCCAGATTTTCTTCATCTATTCATGCATCCATAGATACTTAGGTTGTTTTCTTATCTTGTCTATTCTGAACAGTGCTGCAGTGAGCATGGGCACGCAGATACCCCTTCAAGATTCTAATCTCACTTACTTTGGATAAATATTCAAAAGTGGAAGTACTGAATCATATGATAGTTCTACTTAAAGTTTTTTTGAGGAAACTTCCATACTGTTCTCCATAATATCTGTACCAACTGGTATACCCACCAACAGTGTACAAATCTTCCCTTCTTTCCACATCCTCACCAACATTTGTTATCTTTTGTCTTTTTGATAATAGCCATTCTAACATGTATGAAGTAATATCTTGTGATTTCTATTTGAATTTCTCAGATTAATGATGTTGAGAAACTTTTCATATTCCTGTTGGCTATTTGTATGTTTTACTTGGAGAAATTTCTATTCAGGTTCTTTTCTCATTTTTTAATCAGTTGATTGTGTGGGGCATGTTGTTATGTGTTATTTTAATTTTTATGTATTTCAGGTATTAACCCCTTATCAAATACATGGTTTGCAAACATATTCTCCCATTCTATACATTGACTCTTCACTCTATTGACTGTTTTCTTTGCTGTACAGAAGCTCCTTAGTTTAATGCCATCCCACCTGTCCAATGTTGCTTTCGTTTCTTGTGCTTTTGGAGTCATGTCCAAAAAATCATTGCCTGTAGCTATGGCAAGAAGCTTTTTCCCTATGTTTTCTTCTAGAAGTTTTACACTTTCAGGTCTTACATTTAAATCTTATTCCAGTTTGAGTTGATATTAGTATATGCATGAAATAAGAGTCCAATTTTATTCTTTTGCATGTAGGCGTCTAACTTTCCCAGCGCCATTTAGTAAAGAGACTGTCCTTTCCCCATTGTGGGCTCTTGACACTCCTGTCAAAGATTATAAATAGGTGTCTATTACTGTAAACTTCTGACTTAGAACTACTTTTGCTGCATCTCATAAGTTGTGATGTTGATGTTGTATTTTTATTTTTGTTTATGTCAAGTTATCTTTTTTTTTTGAGACGGAGTCTTGCTCTGTCACCCAGGCTGGAGTGCAGTGGCACGATCTCGGCTCACTGCAAGCTCCGCCTCCCGGGTTCACGCCATTCTCCTGCCTCAGCCTCCTGAGTAGCTGGGACTACAGGCGCCTGCCACCGCGTCCGGCTAATTTTTTTTTTTTTTTTTTTTTTTTGTATTTTTAGTAGAGACGGGGTTTCACCGTGTTCTCGATCTTCTGACCTCGTGATCCGCCCACCTCGGCCTCCCAAAGTGCTGGGATTACAGGCATGAGCCACCACTCCCACTAAGGTATTCCTTTACTTCTCTTTTGATTTCCTCTTTGATGCATTGGTTCTTCAGGAGCATGTTGTTTAATTTCTACATATTTGTGAATTTTCCAAGCTTCCTCCTGTTACTGATTTTTATTTTCATACCAATATGATCAGAAAATAAATTTGGTATTATTTCAACCTTCTCAAATTGCTAAGACTTGTTTTGTGGCCGAACATGGTCTATCCTGGAGAATGTTCCACATGTGCTTGAGAAGAATGTGGATTTTGCTGCTGTTGGATAGTGTTCTGTGTATATTTCCATTTGCTTTCTAGTGTTATTCAAGTCCACTGTCTCCTTATTGATTTTCTGCCTAGATGATCCAACTATTGTTTAAAATGGTATGTTGAAATCCCCTACCATCATTGTATTGCTATATATTTCTTCCTTCAGTTCTGTTAATATTTGCATTATATATTTAGATGTTCTGATGTTGAGTGCATATATACTTACAATTGTTATATCCTACTGACGAATTGACTCCATTGTCATTATATAATTATCTTCTTTGTTTCTTGTTGACAGGTTTATTACTTAAAGTTTTTCTGTCTGATATAAGTATAGCCACCTCTGCTCCCTTTTGATACCATTTGTATAGAATATCTTTTTCTATTTATTCATTTTTGGTTTATGAATCTCTTATAGGTAGCCTAGTGTTGGATATTGTTGTTTTTTTATCTGTTCATCCATGCTATTTCTTTTGATTGGAGAATTTGACCCATTTATATTTAAAGTAATTATTGGTAGGTAAGGACTTACTATTGCCATTTTATCAATTATTTTCTCTTTTATACTTCCCTTGTTTCTTCTTCCTGTTCTTTCTATGTGATTCGATTTTTTTTAAATAGTGGTATACATTGATTTCTTTTCTTATTTTGTGTATCTGTTGCAAGATTGTTTTTATTGTTTTTCATTTGTTTTTGCGTGTGTGGTTACATAAACATCTTATATTTGTCTATTTTAAGCCTATAACAACTTAACTTCAATTGCATAGATAAACTCTACACTTGTATTTCTCCATACTCCCCAGACTTTATTGATGTCACAATTTATATCTTGTATATTGTGTAACCATTAACAAGTTACTATAGCTGTAGTTATGTTTAATACTTTTGTTTTTTCATTTTTACACTAAATTTAAGATATTTATGTACCACCATTACAGTATTAGAATATTCTGAATTTGACTATATACGTAACTTTACCAATGAGCTGTAACCTTTTATATGTTTTCATGTTACTAATTAATATCCTTCTGTTTTAACCTAAATAACTTACTTTAACATTTCTTGTAAGGCAGGTCTAGCAGTAATCAACTCTCTCAGCTTTTGTTTGTCTGGGAAAGTATCTCTCCTTCATTTCTAAAGGACACTTTTATACAGCATTGTTGGGTTCTTTTTCTTTCAGCATTTTAATGTATCAGTCCACTCTCTCCTGGCCTGCAAGGTTTCTGCTGAGAAATTTTCTGATAGCCTTGTGATGGTTCCATTGCATGTTATCAGTTTTTCTCTTGCTTTTCTATTGCTGCTTTCAAATCTGTCTGGGTCTTGAGAATTTGATTATAACGTGTCTCAGTGTAATCATCTTGGGGCTTATCCTATTTGAGATCAAGGTTATAAAAAGTTATAAAATCTGGTAAAATGCTAAGACATAAAGTTATTATATAAAAGATGGTAAAGTACTAAGGCCAGTCCACAAAAAAACTATTTAACTGGCAACAAAATTCCACATTGTTAAATGACTCCAAAGCTCTTCTGGGTCCTACATGTCTTAGTACTTTCAGAGACTTAGTTCCCTTAGTTCCCAGTTCTGCTCTGAGCTGGGGCCCCCTGAGCTATAACCCCAATCTCTGCAACTCCAGGCTGGAGAGCTGAGCAGCTGTTGGGAGTAGGGCCTGTGGAGCCTCTGTTGCTAGGCAGCTTACACCTCAGGAAAGCAAGATTTAAAACATGTGGACACATCAGTAATATTTACTGCCTTAATTTTCCCTCTTGTTTATACTCCAAGAGTCTAATTTTATAACACCTGATATTTTGCACTTTTAATGTCTTTCTAGTATTTTTTTTTCTGAGTCTTTAAGTGGCCAGTTTTTTAGAGCCAATCTGAGGAATTTTAATACGCAATTATAAACCCACAATGGTCCATATATTTGGTTCCTCCTTTTCTGCCACCAACAACTTGAACCCTGGAATCACCAATAATCCACTAGAAACATAAGTGTTGGTGATTCAATGTGAATGAAAGAAAGGAAAAGGGTAAAGAAAACTCAGACATATTGAAGTCACAGTATCTTGAAAATGTGCGCATTGCAGATCTTCATTCATTCTTTTCTGGTTCATTCTCAGCTCCGATGTAATCTATTTGCAGAGCTTTTCCTGATCCCACCTCCATCTCCAGGCTTGTTATGTGAGTCTCCTCTGTGCTTCTGTATTTCCTATGTCTCTCTCTATAATCGTCTTTATGGTATGGCATTAAAACTATCTATTTATATGCCTGTCTCTTCCATTAGACTATAACCTTCTTGAAGGTAAGAACTTTGACTTATCTGTCCTTTAATCCCCAACACCTAGCACAGTACCTATATTTAGTAAGTGCTCAATACATTTTTATGGAAAAAATGAGTGTCTATGAGGCTCCAAACATTATGTTGGATATGTAATAAATATTTGGATGTATATAATATTACAATGCATAATCACATCTAATTCCAGCAAAAACCTTATAAGATAAGTATTCCTATAGCTAATTTAAAGGGATTACCACTGAAGGGATCCGAACTGGAACTGAAATCCAGGTGACAGAAACTCCAAAGCCCAGTGCCTATCACCACTTCCTGTTGCTTGTGTGAGCTATTGCCACTGCAAGATGCTGCATTATTCACTTTTTATTTCCCAGAATAAGCCATCTATTTGTTCTCTTCCATTAATAGGTAATCAAGAATCGGTAAGATTTGTTTGCATTTATATTGTCTTAAACATTACACTTAAGAATCTAGTCAAGTAGCCATTTGTCTACTGATGTCCAACAGACAGCATTAGCCATGTAGCTTTGATATAATAACTGAGACATAATTCTTTTAGAAATCTCATGAGCCCTTCAGTATAAGTTGTGTAGGCTGTATATGTAAAGTCCTGTCTTTTCTGTTACTTATAAAATCTTATTTTCATCCGCTGTATAAATGGCCTAGAGATGATGTAAAGATTCATCTGGCCCTTGTGGGCACCATCATCGTGAATTAATAGATGAAATATAGTGTGCACACATACTTGGGAAACACCACTATTTGTATTCTCTATAGTCTTATATTTTCCATTCACAGGCTACAGGATCAGAAAGGAAATCTGGAATCATTACAAATGACAGCAGAAAAGCAGAGCTCATTCATTTCCAAATGGCAACAAATTGATCAGGAGACCAAGTTTCAGGACCCTGGTGCCCTACTCCTGAGAGTGACAAGATTAAAAAGGATAAAACATTGCTGCTAAGAAGAGGAACCATCTCAGAAAACTTGGAAAGTGACTCCAAGATATGGTCAAAGCATGGACTTCTAGTCAATTTCCCTGGTCCAGATGCAAGATGAGGTCATCCCCAAGGATCAAGATGAAGGTTCTGGGTTGGCATAAGAGTATGGGACACCTGGAAGGATACCCTGGATTGCTGTCTCAGGTAGAATTTGCTTTCATGGTATCTAAGGTCAAACCAAGCACTTTTATTCTTGGAGGCCCAGTTTAGTCCGTATATGTGGGTCATTAAAACATTATTGTTAGAAGGGAGTCATTCATATCAACCAGTTTTCGCCCTTTGAATTTTTGCCTTCAGTATCCTCCATGGGATATTAGGGCCCATTTGGAGACTACAAGTAGGAATCCATGTTTCCAGATGATCTAGGAACCTCATCCAAATAAAAGATCTTCATCCTCCTCCTTGGCAATTCAAACTTTGGTGACAAGCCCAAATTCAGGGCTCAATCAAGGAAGTTGTTTCTGTCTAGTTCCCTTGCCCTGCTGTAAACTTAAAATCTGGCTCTATCGAAGAGTAACCAGTAATTGGACTCTTAAGATAAGTAAAACTTCTTTTTAGTTTTTGTGATTATTTCAGCGAGTAGGAAAATTTCTTCTTTAGTCCAACAGGAAGTAAGCACCCTATCTCTCCCTCACCTTCCATCTTCTTCTCCTCCTCTCTCTCTAATTCTTATTACTTTTTCTACATAATATTGTGTAAGTGACAACAGGTTGAAGAAGACAGTGCTTAGCAATACCATATATCTGCAGCTTAAGGTGTCACAAATTCAAACAATAAAAGAGGTTTTGTTACCAATGAGAAGAAACTGAAAAAAGACTCACCTAAAAGATTCAAAAAGATGCATATTTTACTAAAATTTTATGAATGCCCTACTATGTTATGCAAAATGCTTTAAGTGTTGTGATGACAAAAACGTTCTGAGTTGCACATAATGACAATAGAATTTAAACTAACATATGCAAAGTCAATGGAGTTTATTGGAAAGACCTCTGAAGGGTTGCACCGAAGCCAGAATAAAGGATTCAGACTAGCTCAGGAATACAGCTGGGACTGGGGTATCTTCCGACCCAGAAGCACCAAATAGTGCATTAATCCTTTCCCAGGGAACCAGAAAAAAATTTCTCTTCTCACAGTAATTTATTTCTTTTTTTTTTTCTCTATCTGCTTCATTCTTCTTTCTAACTGCAGACATTCTTCTGCTCATAAGTTTATAGGATAGACCCTGACCACCGATAATCACTTAGTTTTACACTCTATGGTATAAATACTCAGAAAGACATAACTCCCTATTTCTCTCTGCTCCCATCCAAATTTCTATTTAGACTCTTAAATGAGTCACTGAATTAAGTAACCCCTAAGTAGGCTTGAAGATAGTGAACTGCCAATAATAAATATAATTTAAGAGATTTCATGAAAAATATATGACAAAATTTCCATGACATCCTTACGGATGTGATGATAAAATAAGAAATAAGATATTATATTAAAACCACAGGGTTTACATCATTGAAAAGTACAATAGTTTGCACATTCCTAACTGGAATAGCAAAGACTTATGAAAAATGAAAACAGTAGAAAAACAAGAAAAATATTATTAAATATATGTGGGCGGTATAGCGGGAGCATATCGGATACTCTGGGATGCAGACACAGAGATGAAGTTAGGAGGTGCAAGAAGTTTTTGAGAAGATAACACCTGAGAAAGACAAAAGGAGGAGGAAGCAGGACTGGGGAGGACAAAGCTCAGATCACAATGTAGATTTGACCAAATCTCAGCCAAACTAAAGGGAAGCTCTGCAGCAAAGATTGCCTGTTAGAGGAAGCCAGCACTGGATAGAAATGACCAGGGCCTAGCACCCCTGCCATGCTTAGTTACTGACTGCGGGCTGCCAGAGATGAGTGTAGCCTTGGCTTGAAAGCTGAGACAAGCCCTGAAAGCATTTGCAGCAACAAATGGTCTGCTGACTGCACTCCCTGCAGCTGACTAGCAAATTCCTTCTCCAGGAGAGATTTAAGTGATACAAGTCCACTTTAACAGTATATAAAAGTAGAATGACAGGAAAGTGGATAAAAGCCGGCATTTCTACCAACAGAAAAAGCATTTTCATTTTCTTGCACCTTTACCAACATGGAATATTATGATATGTGGGTGTGGTATCATTCTTTAGATGTTCAAGTTTACTAGTATAAAAATATGCATAGCATTTTCTTGTGTTTAAATATATATATATATGTAAACTTCCATAACTATTGTTACAAAAAACTGTAGAATGACATTTATCTTCTTTTTTTTTAACTGCAGAGAATCCATTTCTTTCTGTAAGAGCACTCTGTTTTTTGTTTTGTTTTGTTTTGTTTTGTTTTCTGGGAGAATCATCTCTCTTGCACACTGTACTGTCAATGAAAGAGAAATGCCAGCATTTAGGCTAAATTGTGTCTCCCCCCTCCCCCACAAAATTTATTATGTTAAGCCGGGTACGGTGGCTCACACCTGTAATCCCAGCACTTTGAGAGGCCGAGGTGGGTGGATCACCTGACGTCAGGAGTTCAAGACCAGCCTGGTCAATATGGTGAAACCCTGTCTCTACTAAAAATACAAAAACTAGCTGGGTGTGGTGGCACGTACCTGTAAACCCAGCTACTCTGGAGGCTGAGGCACAAGAATCACTTGAATCCAGGAGGCAGAGGTTGCAGTGAGCTGAGATCGTGCCACTGCACTCCAGCCTGCGTGACAGAGTGAAATTGTGTCTCAAAACAATAATAATAATAATAATAATAAAAGGTCTAACCCCCCGTAACTCAAAATATATACATATTTGAAGACAGGATCTTTAAAGAGGTAACTGAGTGGAAATTAGTTTATTAGGGCAGGCCCTAATCCAATGTGACTGGTGTCCTTATGAGAAGAGGAAATCGGGACACAGACACGTGCAGAGGGAGGACCATGTGAAGGCACAGGAGCAGAAGGTGGCCATCTGCAAGCTCAGGGTAAACACGTGGATCAGATCCTCCTCTCACAGCCCTGAGAAGGAACTAGCCCTGCTGACGTCTTGATCGGGATCTTCCATCCTCTAGAAGCATGAGAAAATAGTGTATTTAAGCAGCTCTGTCTGTGGTACTTTGCTGCTGTAGCCCTAGAGTACAGCCAGTTTTCTCATTCCCACTACGAAAGAAAAGAGGAACAGATCCTTCCCTCACACTCCCAGGTGTAACTGGGGAGCAGGTACGTGATCTAAGCCCCACCAGTCAGAAGACAGTTCTCAAGACACAGAATCCCAGAGTCATCCAGACAGAGGCACTGCAGAGGTTATTCATGGTTGTAGCAGCGGTGGTAGCAACACTGGCATTCTGCTAGGCTCATTCTGGCTCTGAACAGCTTGCTATGCTCCCTAACTTCTTAGACGTCACCCCCACCTATTATCTGCTTCATTTCTTGTTTTTATTCCCCTCCTCCACAATATCCCTCCAGTAAGTTCCTTACTTAAGATTTGATTCCGTTGGTTTCAACCAGGAATCACAGCTGATACAGAAAGTCCATCCATTACAAAATAAATCAATTAGGCAACAAAACTTAGGGTGGAGAATTCCTTCTGAAAATATTCCAATCAATAGAAAAAGAGGGAATCCTCCCTAACTCATTTTATGAGGCCAGCATCATCCTAATACCAAAGCCTGGCAGAGACACAACAAAAAAAGAGAATTTTAGACCAATATCCCTGATGAACATCAATGCACAAATCCTCAAGAAAATACTGGCAAACCGAATCCAGCAGCACATCAAAAAGCTTATCCACCATGATCAAGTGGGCTTCATCCCTGGGATGCAAGGCTGGCTCAACATACACAAATCAGTAAATGTAATCCAGCATATAAACAGAACCAAAGACAAAAACCACATGATTCTCTCAATAGATGCAGAAAAGGCCTTTGACAAAATTCAACAACCCTTCATGCTAAAAACTCTCAATAAATTAGGTATTGATGGGACGTATCTCAAAATAATAAGAGCTATCTATGACAAACCCACAGCCAATGTCATCCTGAATGGTCAAAAACTGGAAGCATTCCCTTTGAAAACTGGCACAAGACAGGGATGCCCTCTCTCACCACTCCTATTCAACATAGTGTTGGAAGTTCTGGCCAGGGCAATTAGGCAGGAGAAGGAAATAAAGGGCATTCAATTAGGAAAAGAGGAAGTCAAATTGTCCCTGTCTGCAGACGACATGATTGTATATCCATAAAACCACATCATCTCAGCCCAAAATCTCCTTAAGCTGATAAGCAACTTCAGCAAAGTCTCAGGATACAAAATCAATGTGCAAAAATCACAAGCATTCTTATACACCAATAACAGACAAACAGAGAGCCAAATCATGAGTGAACTCCCATTCACAATTACTTCAAAGAGAATAAAATACCTAGGAATCCAACTTACAAGGGATGTGAAGGACCTCTTCAAGGAGAACTACAAACCACTGCTCAGTGAAATAAAAGAGGATACAAACCAATGGAAGAACATTCCATGCTCATGGGCAGGAAGAATCAATATCGTGAAAATGGCCATACTGCCCAAGGTAATTTATAGATTCAATGCCATCCCTATCAAGCTACCAATGACTTTCTTCACAGAATTGGAAAAAACTATTTTAAATTTTATATGGAACCAAAAAAGGGCCTGCATCGCCAAGTCAATCCTAAAGCAAAAGAACAAAGCTGGAGGCATCACGCTACCTGACTTCAAACTATACTACAAGGCTACAGTAACCAAAACAGCATGGTACTGGTATCAAAACAGAGATATAGACCAATGGAACAGAACAGAGCCCTCAGAAATAATGCCACACATCTACAACTATCTGATCTTTGACAAACCTGACAAAAACAAGCAATGGGGAAAGGATTCCCTATTTAATAAATGGTGCTGGGAAAACCGGCTAGCCACATGTAGAAAGCTGAAACTGGATCCCTTCCTTACACCTTATACAAAAATTAACTCAAGATGGATTAAAGACTTAAATGTTAGACTTAAAACCATTAAAACCCTAGAAGAAAACCTAGGCAATACCATTCAGGACATAGACATGGGCAAGGACTTCATGTCTAAAACACCAAAAGCAATGGCAACAAAAGACAAAATTGACAAATGGGATCTAATTAAACTAAAGAGCTTCTGCACAGCCAAAGAAACTAACATCAGAGTGAACAGGCAACCTACAGAATGGGAAAAAATTTTTGCAATCTACTCATCTGACAAAGGGCTAATATCCAGAATCTACAAAGAACTCAAACAAATTTACAAAAAAAAAAACAAACAACGCCATCAACAAGTGGGCGAAGGACATGAACAGACATTTCTCAAAAGAAGATATTTATGCAGCCAAAAGACACACGAAAAAATGCTCATCATCACTGGCCATCAGAGAAATGCAAATCAAAACCATAATGAGATACCATCTCACGCCAGTTAAAATGGCGATCATTAAAAAGTCAGGGAACAACAGGTGCTGGAGAGGATGTGGAGAAATAGGAACACTTTTACACTGTTGGTGGGACTGTAAACTAGTTCAACCATTGTGGAAGTCAGTGTGGCGATTCCTCAGGGATCTAGAACTAGAAATACCATTTGACCCAGCCATCCCATTACTGGGTATATACCCAAAGGATTACAAATCATGCTCCTATAAAGACACATGCACACGTATGTTTATTGTGGCACTATTCACAATAGCAAAGACTTGGAACCAACCCAAATGTCCAACAATGATAGACTGGATTAAGAAAATGTGGCACATATACACCATGGAATACTACGCAGCCATAAAAAATGATAAGTTCATGTCCTTTGTAGGGACATGGATGAAGCTGGAAACCATCATTCTCAGCAAACTATCACAAGGACCGAAAACCAAACACCACATGTTCTCACTCATAGGTGGGAACTGAACAATGAAAACACATGGACACAGGAAGGGGAACATCACAGACTGGGGCCTGTTATGGGGGGAGGGGGGAGGGATAGCATTAGGAGATATACCTAATGTTAAATGACGAGTTAACGGGTGCAGCACACCAACATGGCACATGTATACATATGTAACTAACCCGCACGTTGTGCACATGTACCCTAAAACTTAAAGTATAATTAAAAAAAAAAAAAGAAAAAAGAAAAAAAAAACTTATGGTGGAGAAAGTGTTCATTGATGGGGTAACAAATAAAAATATTATTTACCTTCCTCAAAACGAAACAAAATGAAAAAGCATTTCAGGAGGAGGTAGATATAAATTGCTGCTTTTTGTTTTTTTAGACGGAGTCTTGCTCTGTCACCTGGCTGGAGTGCAGTGGTATGATCTCGGCTCACTACAACCTCCACCTCCCAGGTTCAAGCCATTCCCCTGCACGCTGGTGTCGAACTCCTGACCTCAGGTGATTCACCTGCCTCGACCTCTCCAAGTGCTGGAATTACAGGCGTGAGCCACCGCACCTGGCCAAATTGCTGCATTTAATGGCTCAAAAAGCAACCTTCGAGGCATTACTGCTGAGACTTTCCCGTAAATAATATGCTATACAGATCGTGTCTGCTTTTTCAAATTTTAAACCATTCTTTATTAACTAAAAATGTAATACTTTTTTATATATATGCATAATTTTATATATATGTGTTATACACACACACACACACACATACACACACACACACACACACATATACATACATACGGAGTCTCACTCTGCTGCCCAGGCTGCAGTGCAGTGGTGCAATCTTGGCTTACTGCAACCTCTGTCTCCCGGGTTCAAACGATTCTCCTGCCTCAGCCTTCAGACTAGCTGGCACTACAGGCACCTGCCACACACCTGGCTAATTTTTGTATTTTTAGTAGAGCTGGGGTTTCACCATATTGCCCAAGCTGGTCTCCAGCTCCTGACCTCAGGTGATCCTCCCACCTCAGCGTCCCAAAATGCTGGGATTACAGGCATGTGCCACCGCACCCGGATATACATTCTGACTTGCCTTCTTCCTCATTTCACTCTAGCAAGCCACAGGTAAAGATTTGTAAAACTTACTAGACTTTTCACAATTTGTTGTGGCATTTAAATTTTGGGGGGAGAAATTTTCCATTCATATTTTGAAAAGGAAGAATACAAATCAACGTCCTCCTGCACTGCCCCACAGACCAGAGCTCACAAATATAAAATCTCACTATCTCAGAAGCCTCGGTTTACACAGCAAAGTGCATGTTACCTGGATTCAATACTAGGTAGATAATTATATGCTAATAATGTTGATTAATGTTGCCTTGCTACTTAGAAGTAAATCTCTAATAGGGTAACTTTCCTTAGTCGTATTTGGTGAATAATTTTTTCAGGGCCTCGACAAAGGCATAGGAGGTGTCCATTTCAAATTAAAAAGGCACAAAACTGAAAGAGATAACCAATGTGTTAGACACAAGCTACAATTTAAAATGGCACTGACTAACACAGAATTAAAAACAACAGATGACATTTTAAAATTTGTTGAATTATTTTAAAATCTTAAATTTAGTACCAAAATTCCAATGACAATACACGTGTTTTCAAAATGTTCAAGGCAAACAATCTAACTGAGCAAGGTATAAGGAAACTAACTGAGACATAGAGAACATAGAAGACAATTTCCTATTTTTATAAGAGCATAGATATGTGTGTATACATACGTGTGTGTGTGCATGTGTGTAAATGCATGAAATCAGGATCAGAAAGATAAGCACTAAATTGTTGAATGCTTAGCTGTAAACAGGAGTGTTTTGGAAGGTGGAGTGAAATAAAAGAGTCTCTTATTTTATTCTAGATATTTGTTAGTTATGAAACTTTTACAGAAAGAATTTTTATGTATTAATTGTATAATAAAAGATTAATTAATCAAGTATATAAAGTGCACGTTAAGAACTCTGAATTTCACCTTATGCTTCAAGGTAAAATTTGTATGCCCAAATTACAGGAAAAATTAGCCCTATCCTTCACTGAGCTCACCACACCTCATCAGGAAAAATGTATTTGATCCTCAGAAGAATGTTTGCCAAAGTAAGGTGTATACAAGGAAGGAAAATCATAATTGTTAGGGGTTTCAAATCTATTTCATAAGTTGAAAGAAACAGAACTGATTAACACAGTGAAGAATAAATCAGAGTGGTTAAGACTTTGCAAATATTTTAAACAACATTAAGCAAAGGAGTCAAAAGGTTTAACTAAAGGATATAACCAGCATCAGTGGAAGTATAAGGAGGCGGATTTTTCTGTCACTATCAGAAATTCTAACCATTACAGCTGCCCCAAAATGCAGTAAGTCATTATGAGGTAATTAACTCCCCATCTCTGGGTGGGGCTAGGTGACCCACAAAGATGCTGTGAAAAGAACGCTGGTACTTTAGTGTTGTACTAACTATATAATGTCTAGGCTTGTTCTCTAATAAATTTTATCTGGAGTACCCTTTCTTCATAGATTCAAATTATCATGCTCATGTTCTGTATTAGTTTCCAAGGACTGCCATAAGAAAGTACCCTAACTGGGTGGCTTAAAAGAGAAATGTATTGATTCACAGTTTTAGGAGCTAGAAGTTTGAATCACAACGCTGTCAGGGCCATGCTCCCTCCAAAGCCTCCAGGGAAGAATGCTTACTATGTTTTCTAACTTGTGATGATTGCTGTTAAACCTTAGTATTCCTTGGCTTTTACATGCACCACTCTGATCTCTGCCTCTGTATGTCTGTGTCTCTGTTTACTCTTACGAAAACACCAGTCATCGAATTCGAATTCGATGGCCTTCTCTCCTGTATGTCTGTGTCTCTGTTTACTCTTACGAAAACACCAGTCATCGAATTTGAATTCGTCCTAATCCAGGATAACTGCATCTTAATTTAAGCAATTTCATCTGCAAAGACCCTATTTCCAAATAAGGTCACATTCTGAGGTTCCAGGTGGACATGTTTTTTGAGGCGGGGAACGCTATTCAGTCCAGTGTATGTTGAAATTATGAATTTTTGAACATTTTATTCTGAGTGTGTTGGTGCTGTACTTGAAGCCCAATCTTACAACCATAATTCTGAAGGTAAATGGAAGAACCATAGAGATTGGAAATGGAAGAGAAAGTGTAAGTACTATATACGGAAGATGCAGAAGAACTTGAGATGAGGAGCAGAAATAAGTATGGATGACTATGCTTTAGATTCTTCTGAAGCAAAGTACAAGATCTTCTGTAAAATTGGTGTGATTTTTTTATAACTGTAATTTTAATATTCTTGGATGCCATTTACATGGCACCATGTATAATAGATACGTTAATATTAGTTTGCTTTCTTTGTAATCAAAGATAATGCTACCAACAAAGTAACCTATTAGTGTTTATAAATGTGGACTCTTGGCCATCTCTCTATGAACAGTCATTTCCTGGCATCCCACTGCAGCAAAGTATTGAGAGCTGGAATGATTCCCAAGAAACTATATTGAAATTTACTGTTTTCTCATTAAAGTCAGACAATTGCAGTGTAGAGTATAAATTATGCCTCCATTTAAATTACATGTTTTCCTTTAAACAAGGAAGAATTCCTTCCTATTGTAATCTTCATAAGTCTATCTATAAATCCATAAGCGAAAGGGAGAGTTTTAAAAAATATTCCCAAATAAATTTTAGCATGAAATTTCGCAATATGCTAGCATTACATTCAATCTTGCCTAATTGAGAAATGACTATTCCATATAAGTGATTTTTCTAGTTAATTGTCAGAAACTCCTAACAGAGTTTGCTTTCTTTGAAATCTTAACTACTTTTATGAGACCGCCCCTTAAATGTATTCCACTGGCTTATATTTGTGAGTAAATCTTAGTACATTATATTTAATACTATTTTCATGGTTTCAATTGAAAGTTACATATTTGCAGTGGGCCGAGTGGTGGCTCTGCAAAATTCATATTGTGAAGCCTTGACACCCAGTATCTCAGAATGTGAATGTAGTTGGAGATAAGGTCTTTGAAGAGATGATTGAACTGGGAGGAGTGGCTCACGCCTGTAATCCCAGCACTCTGGAAGGCTGAGGCTGATGGATCGCTGGAGTTCAGGAGTTTGAGACCAGCCTGGCCAACATGATGAAATCCCATCTCTACTAAAAATACAAAAATTAGCCAGGCACAGTGGTGTACACCTGTAGTCCCAGCTACTTAGAAGGCTAAAGCAGGAGAGTTGCTTGAGCCCAGGAGATGGAAGTTGCAGTGAGCTAAGTTTACACCATTGTACTCCAGCCTGGGCGACAGAGCCAGACCCTGTCTCGAAATAAATAAAAATAAAGAGACGACTGACTTAAAATGAGGCTGTTAGGGTGGGCCCTAACCCAAATTTATAAGAAGAAGAAATTTGGACACACAAAGAAACATCAGGCATGCATGCACACACAGAGGAAAGACCATGTCCTCACATGCAAAGCACATGTTCTCACATGTAAAGCACATGTTCTCACACAGCAAAGAATGTGGTCATCTGCAAGCCAAAAAGACAGGTTTCAGAAGAAATCAAAGCTGCCTACAGTTTGTTCTTTAACTTCTAGTCTCTAGGAATATGAGAAAATAAATTTCTGATGATTAAACCCTCAGTCTGTGGTCTTTTGTTATGGCAGCCTGAGCAAACTAATAAAATGTCTTAACTTCTGAAACCCGCAAATAATACCTTACATAACAAAGGAGTGAATAGTACTTTATATGGCAAAGAAGTGATAGAGTTAAAGATCTTAGCGGGGAGAACAGCAGATCCAGGATTACGTGAGTGAGCTCCAAATGCCATTACAAGTATCTTTATAAGTGAGCAACAGGTGGAGTTTAAAGACACACAGAAGAAAAGAGAGTGTGAAGAGATCTGTCAAAGAAAGCCCACAGCCATTAGAAGCTGGAAGAGGCAAGGAAGAGACTCTCCTCTAGAGGATCTGGGGGGAGCATGGTCCTGCCAACTTCTGGCTTCCAGACCAGTGAGAGAATAAATTTCTGTTTTTTTAAACCCTAAGTTTGTGGTTATTTGTTAATAACAGCCCTGGGAAACTAACACAACAGTATATTTGATTTTGATATAGTCATGTCCTCATGACTCTTAGCATATGGAGAATTTCTAATTGACTCCAGACTATACTGCAGTTATAATTGCACTGGAAGTATTTGCTCTTTTCTGACACTATCACTGATAAATATGTTATTTTTTATAATTCATTAATTCAAGACAAATTAATGCATCACAAATTATTTAGGAGTCAAAGTGCCTTATGACCTTTCCTTTCCTCAACTTTTCTAATCTATTTTTTCTGTAGATGTATTAAACACAAAGCTCCACATATTTAAAGTTTAAAACTAGATTTGCTTCAAATCAGTATTAGACAGCAAGGGGCACTCTATCTTCTATGTGGGGTAAAGTTTATGGCTTTGCAAGTATCGTTTTCCTTTTTTAACAGCATTTTGCTTAACTTTCAATGAGTTTGTTGTTATTTACCATATTTTTGAGGTTTTCAGAAGTCTGATCACTAGCTACTAACAGATTGGTGTCAATTTATCAAAAACATTTTCTAAACAAATATTGTTTTATGTCTTCACACAATGAAATTTTACCCTGCAAGTGTGCTATTTAATACCTTTATTGATTCTTTCAAACTCTGTTTAAAATCTTAAAAATCTAGAACAAACATTTTAATTCATTTAAGGCCAAGATCAGAGTTTGGATTGCCAATATAAAAGTAAAATTATGGTTGCTTCAGTATAATTGTAGCTAAACATAGAATTACAGGGCTCAATAAAGAAAAAGTTCATTTGGAAAACAATACAGTTTAAAATTTTTCTGTGATAAGTTAGTAACCAAGGACGATCAACCTCAATCTTATAAATATTTCATATGTAGCTACTTGATGCCATGTACACTGCTAAGAGCTGATAGGGATTTATAGATAAGTAAGACATCTTGCCTTCAAGGAGTTAATAGTCAAGAGAATGGTTTGCAGAGAGACTGATGTCAAATGAATGTGGTCTTGTAATTTCACACTTTGAGTCTTCACCAAATAGACCCCACAATTCTGAAAATATATCAGAGAAACAAAAAAATGATAAAAAGAAAAGAAAAAGATCAAAATAGTGTTCAAATATAAATGTATATCCCTACTCATATCTGTATCTATCTATTGGTGTCATGTGTGTGTGTGTGCGTGTGTGTGTGAGAGAGAGAGAGAGACAGAGAGAAAGAGAATCTCCAGATCTGCAGAGTTCCTGGACTAGAAGTTAGCAAAGGCAGCCATTTGCTTTGGATCTTAGTGAATGAAAGGAATAAAAGTGCTTCATGAATACAAGATCAATGTAAGCCTTACTGTTCAAAGCTGAGACTGGAATAAGACTCCAACACCTATGAAAGGAGCCTGAAAACCCCTGTACTTAAAACTACCTGGGACCATAATTTATGTAAACCTGTATATCTAAAGGAGACAGATCTGACCTCAAGGTCAAGAACAGGAACAAATTGTCATCTGGTTTGTTGACTGGATCTGCAATATTATCATTATCAGAACAGGACATGAAGTCAGTGAATTTGAAAACAGAAAATTAATACCAAAAATCAACAAAACAAAATATGATTCTTTGAAATGATCAATAAAATTGATACACCTCTAACCAGGTTAATTAAGATTAAAAAGAGAGATGACACAAATTGTCAATATCAGAAATGAAAGATGAACATCACTACAGATCCCAAGGACATTAAATGAATAATAAAGAAATATTATGAACAATTCTATGCCCACAAATCTTATAACCTAGATGAAATGGACCAATTTATTGAAAGACACAATCTGCCAAAACTCACAAAAGAAAAAATAAACAATTTAAATAGCCCAATATCTAGTAAAGAAATTGAATCAGTAAATAAAACCTTCCAAAACAGAAAGAACCAGACCTAGATAGGTTAACTGGTGAATTCTACCAAACATTTAAGGAAGAAATTAAACCAATTTTCTACAATCTCTTCCAGAAGATAGAAGCAGAGGGAATACTTTCTAACCTATTCTATGAGACCAGCATTAGCCTTATACCAAAGCTAGACAAAGATATTACAAGGAAAAAAACTACAGACTAAGATGTCTCATGAATATAGATGCAAATATCCTGAAAAAAAATTAGCAAATTGAAACCTATCATGTATAAAAAAGAATTATACAACATGACCAAATGGGATTTATCCCAGATATGCAATAGGGGTTCAATGTCCAAAATCAATTAATGTAATCCATAAAATGAACAGGCTAAGAAGAAAAGTCATTTAACCATATCAATAGATACAGGAAAAAGCACTGGACAAATTCAACACCCATTCATGATAAAATCTCTCAACAAACTAGGAAGAGAGAGGAACTTTCTCAACTGGACAAAAAATATCTTAAAAAATTTTTATAAAACCCTACATCTAACTTCATACTAAATAGTGAGAGACCTAACTCTTCCCACTATGGTCAGGAACAAGGCAAGGATGCCCCGTCTCACCACCAATTTTCAACATTGTACTGGAAGTCCTAGCCAATGTAATAAGACAAGAAGAGAAAACAAAAGATACATTGAATGGGAAGAAAAAAATAAAACCCTCTTTGTTTGCAGTGGCAAAATTGTCTACATAGAAAAATACAAAAGAATTCACGCACAAAAATCTGGACTAATACACAATTATAGCCAGGTTGCAGGATACAAGGTTGATGTACAGAAGCTGATCATTTTCCTATATACCAGCAACGAGCAAGTGGAATTTGAAATTAAAAACACAATGCCATTTACATAAGCCTAATAAAATACGTATAAAATCTATATTTGGAAAACTACAAAAGTCTAATGAAAGAAATTTTAAAACTAAACAGATGGAGAGACGTTTTGTATTTATGGATAAGAAGACTCAGCAGTGTCAAGATATCAGTTTTTCCCAAGTTTATCTACAGAGTCAATGCAACCCCAGTCAAAAATCCCAACAGTTATTTCATAACTGTTTTTTAAATCAGTTATTTCAAAACTGATTTAAAATTCTGTATACATAGACAAAAGACTCAGAATAGCTAACACTACATTGAAGAAGACCAAAGTCAGAAGACTGACACTACCAAACATCAAAATTTACTACAAAGCTACAGTAATCCAGACAATATGATATTAGTAAAAAAATAAATACATCAATGAAACCAAATGGAGAACCCAAAGACAGGCCCACATATAATCAACTGATCTTTGACAAAGAAGCAAAAGCAATACAATGGAGAAAAGATAATCTTTGTAGGCCAAGGCAAGAGGATCACCTGAGGTTAGGAGTTTGAGACCACCCTGGTCAACATGGTGAAACCCCATCTCTACTAAAAAATACAAAAATTAGCCAGTTGTGGTGGCCCGTGCCTGTAATCCCAGTTACTCGGGAGGCTGAGGCAGGAGAATTGTTTGAACCTGGGAGGCAGAGGTTACAGTGAGCTGAGATCATGCCACTGCACTCCAGCCTGGGTGACAGAGCGAGACTCCATCTCAAAAAAAAAAAAAAAAGATAATCTTTTTAACAAATGATACTGCAATAACTAAACACTCAATGAATGTAGACACAGACCTTAAATCCTTCACAGAAAGCTCAAAATTGATTATAAACCTAAATGTAAAACACAAAACTTTAAAACTCAACTACTAGAAGATAACATAGGAGAAAATCTAGATGTTATAGAATATGGCAATGACTTTTTAGATATAACACCAAAGGCACAATCCATGAACAAAACAATTGATAAGCTAGACTTCATTAAAATTGAAAACATCTGTTCTACAAAAGACATTATTAACAGAATGAGATGACAAGCCACAGACTAGAAGAAAATATTTGCCAAAATATTTATCCTTTACCTGATATAGAACTATTACCCAAAATATACAAAGAACATTTAAAACTCACCGATAAGAAAACAAAGTAACATGATTTTAAAATGGGCAATTGTGCATGGATTGCTTGAGCAATCATCTGTCTGCCTGGGTGAGAGTGAGACCCTGTCTCAAAAAAAAAGGTGGGGAGGCAAAACATCTGAACAGACACCTCACCAAAAAAAGACATACAGATGGCTAATAAGCATATGAAAACATGCTCAACTTCATTGATATTAGGGAACTGCAAATTAAAACAACAATGAGACACTACTATATACCTATTAAAGTGGCTAAAATCTGAAATACCAATACCACCAAATGCTGGTGAGGATATGCAGCAACAGGAACTCTCATCCATT
Source organism: Homo sapiens (assembly GCF_000001405.40). Classification (NCBI taxonomy): domain Eukaryota; kingdom Metazoa; phylum Chordata; class Mammalia; order Primates; family Hominidae; genus Homo; species Homo sapiens. The sequence goes on from NC_000002.12 coordinate 36,228,279, forward strand.
GCTGGTGAAAATGCAAATTGTACAGCTACTTTGAAGACAGTTTAGCAGCTTCTTACAAAACTAGAGATACTCCACATCCTATGATCCAGCAATCATACTCCTTAGTATTTACACAAGGGAGTGGACAACTTGTGTTCACACAAAAGTGCATACACCAGTGTTTACAACAGCTTTATTCATAATTGCCCAAACTTGGAAGCAACCACGATATCTCTCAGTAGAAGAATGGATACAACACTGTGATATACACAGACAATGGCATTTTATTTACACTAGAAAGAAATGAACTATCGAGCCATGAAAAGACATGGAGAAACCTTAAATGCATATTACCAAGTGAATAAAGCCAATCTGAGAAGGATACATACTTCATGATTCCAACTATTTGACATTCTGGAAAAGGCAAAGCTATGGAGACACAAAAAGATCAGTTGTTGCCAGGGGTTAAGGGAGAGGGAGAGATGAATTGCAGAGCACAGGGGATTTCTAGGGCAGAGATACTACTCTGTATGATACTATAATGGTAAATACATATCATAATACATTTGTTAAAACCCATAGAAGGTATGACATCAAATGTAACTCCATTGTAAATTATGGACTGGTGGTGATAACGATAAATCAAGACAGATTCATTGATTATAACAAATGTACTATCGTTTAGGATATTAATGAGGAAGGTTATGCATGTGGAGGCAGGATGTATAAGTGGATCAAATGTCCATCAACAGATGAATGAATAAACAAAATGTGGTATATGTACAATGGATTATAATTCAGCCTTAAGAAGGAAGTTCTGACCACATGCAATAACATAGATGAACCTTGAGAAAATTCTATTAAGTTAAATAAGCTAGTCACGATAAGACAAAAACTATATGACTGCATTTATATGAAGTATCTAGAATAGTCAAATTCATAGAAACAGAAAGTTGAATTGTTGGTTGCCAGGGCCTACATAAAGCAATATATTAGTTTACTATGGCCGCCATAACAAAATACCAAAAATGGACTTGCTTAAACATCAGAATTTATTTTTTCACAGTTCTGGAGGCTAGAAGTCAAAGAATAAGGTGGCAGGTTTGCTTTCTGCTGAAGCCTCTTTTCTTGGCTTGCAGATGACTACCTTCTTGCTGTGTCCTCACATGGTCTTTTCTGTGTGTATGCATTCAACTCTGGTGTCTCTTTTTGAGTCCAATTTACCTCCTCTTATAAAGGACACCAGTCAAATTGGATTAAGGCCCACCCTAACAGCCTCATGTAAACATAATCATCTCTTTGAAGACCCTATTTCCAACTACAGTCACATTCTAAAATACAGGGGTTAGAACTTCAACATGTAAATTTTGGAGTGACTCAATTCATCCCATAATGGAGACATAGAAAGTGGCTGTTTAATAGGTATAGAATTTCAACTTTGCAAGATGAAAAAGTTCTGGAGATTGGTTGCAAAACAATTTAAATATATTTAACACTACTCACTGTACACTTAAAAATGGTTAACATGGTAAATTTTATGTGTATTTAACCACAATTAAAAATATTAAGTTTTCAAAAAGGTTAAAATATACCTGATTTAAAACAACGGAGGAAAGAACCAGGGAAACTGAAGTGAAATCGATAGAAATTGCTCATTCGTACAACAGAGAAAAAATTAACCTCAAATAAACAAACAAAACCCCAGAGCATTGGGGACCTATGGGATGAGATCCTAAAATCTAATGTTTTTATTTTTGGAGTCCAATAAGGAGAAAAGAAGGAGTCGAGATTTAAAAAAAAAAAAAAAAAGTGAAGCTAAAAATAATATTTAAAGGAAAAAGTTGTAGTGTTTGACAGCATGGTAGGGTGACTACAGTTAACAACAATATATTATATATTCAAAAATAACCAGAAGAGAATATTTAAAATGTTTCCAACACAATTAAATGATAAATATTCAAGGTGACAGATATACTAAATACCCTGACTTGATCATTACACATTATTTGCATATGATTTGTTTGCATTTACATATGATATTCTCTGTCAGATGCAAACATATCATATTCTGTGTCAGAATATCATATGTAAAAGATAAATATGTATAAATATTGTGTAGCAATAAAAAGCAAAAATGAAATGTTCACAAAATCCACAAATGTGTAAAAAGAATTATGCTCCATGACCAAGTTAGAGTTATTCCAGGTATGCAAAGCAGTTTCATCATTTGAATATCATTTTAATATATCATATCAGCAGGATAAAAAGAAAAAAACATATGGTCGTATCAGTGGATGCAGAAAGAGCATTTGACAAAATCCAATACCTATTGATGACAAAAACTCTCAGCAAACCAGAAGTAGAGAGGAATTTCCACACCTTGATAAAAAACATTTTCTTAAAAAAACTTACAGCTAATATCATACTTAATGGTGAAAGATTGAATGTTTTCTAAGATTAGAAACAGATCAAGGATGTCTACTCTCACTGCTCCTATTCAACATATTACTGAGATTTTTAGCCAGCACATAAGGAAAAAAAATGAAAAGAAAGAAAATAAAAAGTAAAAGGCATATAGATTAAAAAAGAAGAAATAAAAAGCCCTTTCTATTTGCAGATGATATGATTGCCTACATAGAAAATCTTAAGCAATCCATAAATAAATAAATAAATAAATAAATAAATAAATCCTCTTAGTACTAAGTGAGCTTAGCAAAGTTTCAGAATACAAAGTGAACACATAAAAATCAGTTGGGTTTTTGACAATGATATTAACAATGATAATGCGGAAACCAAAACTAAAAACACAATACCATTTTTAACTATTACAAATAAAATGAAATACTTGGATATAAATATTTTTAAAAAAGTACAGAATCTGCATGGTGAAAATCACAAAATGCTGATGAAAGTAATCAAAGAGCACCTAAATAAATGAAGAGACATTGTGTGGTTCATTGATTAGAAGACTCCACAAAGATATCAATTATTTCCAAATCAATCTGTAATTTTAATGTAATTTCTATTAAAATCCTAGCAGAGCTTTTGTACAATAGACAAGTTCATTTTAAATTTTATGTGGAAAGGCAAAAGACCTAGAATAGCTAAAAACAATTTTTCAAAACATAATTAAGTAGAAAGAATCACTCTACATGCTGTTAAGTTTGCTATATAGCTACGGTGCTTAAGACTGTATGGTATTGGCATATTGATAGACATTGCAATGAGATAAGAATAAGAAACCCAGAAATAGACCCACACAAATGTGCCTAACTGGTTTTTTAACAAAGGTTTAAAATTAATGCAACAAATGGTGCTAGAGCTTTTTAACATTCATTGCATAAAAAAAAAAGAACTACCGCCACCTAAACTTACATCTTACACAAAATCTAACTCAAAATGGTTTATGAACAGTCAACAATAATTCAATTAGAAAATGGGCAAAAGACTTGAACAGACATTTCACTGAAGAGAATATAAAGCTAACAAATAAGCACATAAGATTTTCAACTTCATTAGCCATCATTAGCAAAATGCTAATTAAAATTACAATGAGATGTCACGACACACCTATAAGAGTGACTAAAATAGAAAGTGTGATAGCACCAAATGATGGTGTGGCAGTAGAGACACTAGACCACTCATACTCATGGTGGAAACATAAAATGGTACGACATCAGAACATCTTAGAGTTCTGGTTTTCATAAACCCCTATCTGTTTCTGGTGACCAAGGATTTAATTTTCTTTCTTATGGGTTCAGATCAAAATTTAATTCTGCATTATCTTAGTCTTCCATTTTACAGGAACCACAAAAACTTGTTTGAATTTCCTAATACATACATACATACATATATACATATCAAGCAAAACTGTGTATATTTAAAAAATAAAGTTTTTTTTAAATTAAATACATCTATCTGCTTGTGTATACTCAAATGTACACACAAACACTTTATTTTTTTAAACGCATAGTTTTTCTGAAAATAAAGATTTTGCTTATTTTCATTTTGTTCTTTTCACCTTTCTAAATTTAAAATATAAAAATAAACTTCATTTTTAAAAATAAATAAATGTATTTGATATCAACATAACCTTCAAGAACTAAGATAATTCCTACATTTATCATCTTCATTTATCATCTTTTATTTAGCTTTTAAAAATAACAAAAATTTCAAAAATTTCTTTCCTACCTCTTTATTCCATTATTCAACATTATCCATATGTTAATTTTTCATTAATCAAAATAGGACTTGGATCATTTAAAGTCTACCTTTGAGTGTGTTACCAGTTCTATTAAACCAGTCATTTTCTAATCTCTTAAAATCTTTTCCAATTTTATGCCTCAAAAAGAGGTCATTATCTAAATTCTGGAAGGCACCTAGAGACGGAAATATTGGCCAAAATTAATTAAATGAGCCCACTGCAAGAAAGCTCTTTTGGTGCCTTATGGAAATTTTGAGTTGTATGTAATACTATTTTAAAAGCACAAATCAAATGGTAAAATTAGACTAAAGGGATACCATCATATCAATTTTTACGTTGTCCTTAGTTCTGCTATTTTGACTTCTGTCCTCTTACTGGTAGACTTTAAGACTTAAAAGCTCATTATAAAAGATTTCAATCCGTTTCCCTGACTTTAACACTCCCTAGAAGTGTGAATTTTTTTCCTTTTTATTCCTACTGTGAGGGTATAACAGTTATATTATTCCTAGTGAATTTTCCCATAGCATTCAATCTGAATCAATTGAGATAATAAATCTTTGTGCTACATCTGCACTCAAAACTAGACACTTAATTTTCAAGATACCATATTTTAATCAGTCATCAGGGGACTCTTACCTGTCTCCAGTCTGGCTGTTTCAGAGGTAATTGGCATTAACAGAGCACTGAGGTGATTCCCAATCTAATCTCAATGTTAGTGAATTAGTGTATCTAAAATTGTAGATATAAAATGACCCTGAGCATCTAACCTCAGAAGTGGTGGCCTGAGACCAAGTTCGAATATTCTTATGGAGGGAACACTTTATAGGCTTACCAAGGATGGAAACAAAACACAGTCCTTCACTTTTCATAGGAAGAATAACAAAAGGGTGATCCATATGCCCTACATAATTACTAATCCCAAACATCCATCCTCCATCATTGTCAGAATAGCCAATCAAAGAATAGCACCAGGTCAGTATTTTTCAGCTTTATTAATGTAAGTATATTCCTATCAGGAGCTGAATCCCTAGTAGAGAATTAGAAGGTCTTCCCTGAGATATCCATTGTGCCTATCACTAACACTGCAAATCCAGGGAGAAAACTCACAAGCTTGAGTTGGCTTTGCATTCTCTTCTATAGCAAAGTGGAAGCAAACCAATACTCTAAAGTGTGACACGGGTTAAATAAGGAAAGCTTCAAACCACCTAAATAATCAAGTTATTGCAAATGGGAAAATGTCTTTTGAAAACAAGATGATAAGCGCTAAGAATAGATTTACATTTATGAAGTGCTCAGTTAATATTTGTTAAGTTCAACTGATAGATTAAATTGATCCAGTGTCAGAATGTTAATAAAAATTTAAGAACCGGGGTGGAGAGGTGGAGGGCAGAAAAAGCCCTTAATTTGTAGTGCTGCAGATTTCTGTGATGAAAATACTTGCACCACGGTTAATGCTTCCAACATAACGTCTGAACAGGGAATTGGGAAGAGATGCTAACTAACAGCTCTCACTGGCTGGTTGTATGGCTGGTTCCAGTACTCCACTGTGAACAAGACAAAAAAAAGACACTCAAAAAATATGTCTTAAGTGCCTATTAGGTGCTGGGCTATACCTTCATCATCATGAGTAATTTAGGCACAAGAGATATGTTTCACTGACCTCTGCATATTCCTTCGCATTGTCAAATATGGTGCACATTACATAGTAGATGCTCAAAACACATCTGTGGACAGAAATGGTATATTTACTTTTCACTCACAGTGTTCTGCCTGGAGTTCTGTATGGCTCATTCGGGATTCACCCCAGAGTTCACCCAAACTTCAACCTACATTTTTTAACCCCTCTAACTACTAACTTTGATACCCAACCAATGTTTATATTTTCTCCTGGTCCTGCCAGCTTGTCAGTTAACCCAGCTCTTCTCAGTTTGCAGTCTAAGATTCCTCTGCTGGCTACGTGTTCACCGCTCTCCCCGGGTCTCGCCCTCGGTGGCTTCCAATCCTTCCCTTCCCTCCCATATACACCCCCAGACAGGCCCCACCCAGTCAGCTGCACAAGCAGGACTCACATACCTGGAACACTCTTGACATATCTTTCTGTTATTCTTCTTGATTTCTCAACTTGTCTTTGGGAATTTTGTGGGGGGACTAGTGAAATCCATCTCTCTTTTTTTTTTTTTTTTTTGGAGAGGCAGTCTCGCTCTATCGCCTAGGCTGGAGTGCAGCGGCACCATCTTGGCTCACTGCAACCTCCACCTCCCAGGTTCAAGCAATTCCCCTGCCTCAGCCCCCTGAGTAGCTGAAATTACAGGCACCCGCCATCATGTCTGGCTAATTTTTGTATTTTTAGTAGAGATGGGGTTTCACCATGTCAGCCAGGCTGGTCTCAAACTTCTGGCCTCAAGTGATCTGCCCACCTCGGCCTCCCAAAGTGCTGGGATTACAGGCGTGAGCCACCTTGCCCAGCCCTATCTGCCTATTCTTGATTCTGATGTCTGACCTTCTGTCTCATTCCCCAAGGGAACCACAGCTTCTTACTGAAGAACCTCTAAGCTTCTGTTACTGCTTATAGCTCCTCAGGTCCTTTTGCTCTTTACTTTGGCATTATGCTGGGTTACTCTTAAAATTCCTTTTAATTAGCTATGTTTGAATCTGATTTTATATGAATATTCCCTGAGGTGTGATGCTGATTGACTCTTTTTTTATGAACAAAATTAATAAAATGTCCACTGATAGGATTTGCCTGTAGTCATCCTCTTTCAAACTGGGCTTCAATCAAAGCTACGTATCTTCAAATAGCTGGGTTACTTCACAATGATTCTTTTTTTTTCTTTTAATTCAACCACTGTATCCCATTCTTTTCCAAAAATATGAAGAACAAGAATGTCTTATTTTATTCTGCAAATTAAATCCTAGAAAAAATTAGAAAACTTAAGTAAACCCAATAGGAGATACGAAAACTAAAGACTAAGAAAATGTGGAGGTATTATCAACTGTACTCAAGTTTTCACTCTAGCATTCCTCTGGAAGCTTCCTCTGCTTTCCCCAGCTAATTTCTGAAAGTGCTAGACTGCAGTGAAAAGGAGCCAGGCCCCGCTCTGGTGGAGCTTAGTGAAACTGGGACCGAGATCACATCCAAACTCCAAGCTCAGTTGATTCAAGCGGTGATGATAAAGCATTCAGGTCAAGACACCTGCTGATTTGGGAATCCTGGTCTTTGGGATCTGACAGGGTAGCATCTCTGGCAGCTCAAAGGCTAGTACAGTAGCCCTGAAAGTCTGGGTACAAGCTCAAGTTAGAAGTACAGGGATGAAGTGAAAACCTCAGGTTCAGCCTTAGAAAGTAGAAGGTAAAATTGGAGAATCAAGCCAATCATAGAGGGGAGTGCCTGAGGGTCTCAGAGATATTTTGTGCCTGAGTCTGATGTGATTAACACATAAAACCTATACATTTTTAATATATACAACTTGTTGAGTTTAGATATAAGTATACACCAGTGAAACTATCAACAAAGTTTCCTCCTGCCCTTTTTATTTTTTTAGTATTTGTATGTGTTTATGTGTGTTAAGAACACCTAGCATAAGATCTACCCTCTTAGCAAATTTTTAGTATACTGGCAGAGGCCTTTTCAACCACATCCTTGCAACTGGGTTCACACCTATTACCCATAAAGTCCTTGCAGAAACATGAATTCTTGAGGCCAAATGTATTAATATTATTCAACTTTAGAAATAATAATTTATCTTTATATTTTCATGTATGAATTTACTGTTTACCATTTATGAATCAGGTTATTATTTCTCTATGGGGGAGGCATACATGGAATGGCTGAGATATAATGAAATCTGACACTCAAAATAAATGTTAAAAATAAGAACTATTAGGAAATAACCTCAGTAAAATAAATGGTATGATAAAAGATCTTAGATCTTCTAAGTAGAATTTTTTAGGTTGTTGTTTTATGTTAAATAGTTGCAACTTTAGAAAAATCTATAAAATGTGAGGAGGAAAAGGTTTTAAATAGAATAATGTTAAAACTATTATATTTTAGTGAATTATATTTTGAGTCAAAATTTGGTATTTATAATGAGCTTCAAGAGTACACAATTTTTTTAAATGTATGCTGAGACAATATTTAAGCTAAAGAGGCAAATTTTGCCAAATGCATGTACAGAGATGAACAAGCAAATAAAGAGATCCCAACAAAAGGGCTCCATTTTATAGCATTACTAAACCTTCATTGATATTCCCCATTCCTGAAGTCGCAAAGTCCTTGATTTCTTCAGTACATTGTTTCATCATAAGACTATTACAAATATAGGGGTTTTAAAACTCTAGTTAGAAAATTATGAATTCTGGTTGTTAGCTATCTGTAGGCATCAAAATATACTTCCCAGAGGGCCAGCATTTTACAAACAGGCGTAGAGCCACAATAAATTAAAACTTAGAGTAAAAATCACCAGTCTTTTGAATTGTGGAAATTATAAAATAAAACTTTCCCACTCTGGAGATGGCATTGCCAACATGTGTTTTTAGTCATAAACATGTCACACTTTACTGTTTCACACCAATCTCCATAACCACACTCTTTCCTCATACAAGAGCAGAATCTGTCTGCCTGGCAGTTAGGTGCTGGTAAACAGTGTCAGAAAAGCAAGTCTTCCATTATTTAGTCATGAGAAAAGCATAAGGAGAGGTAGAACCAAGAACCAAATGTCAATGATATTGCCAATTCCTACTAAACCCTCTGAAATGGGCAACTAATCTGTATGTCCATTGTTCACTCCATGACAACTCCTTCAAGAAAATCCTACCAGGTGATCAGGCTTATCCCAGACAACCTCAGAGAAACTCAAGAAGCACCAAATGAACAAATCACCTGACCTCAAGAGAAACCACAATTTCCATGACCATCCTTGGCTCAAAGAGGAGAATTTGGTCCAATAAGTAGGGACATGGTATATTTACTAATGAGCTATTGTGTTTATTTTCAAATTCTTGGTCCATTTCTTCTACAGCACCTTGCTTATCCGCACCCTTTAGTCACTAAGGGCTAGCATCAGCAGCGGTAAGGCTGCAGCAAAAATTCTCAAATCTCAGTTGCACAGTGTGTTTCTTGAGCATATCATGGGTGACTGCCAGTTCCATTTATCCCCAACCCTGACTTTGGTTAGGAGGGTCTCCATTCTTAAAATAGTTCCCAAATGGCTCTGTACTACCATGCAATAGACATCAGCTCTGTCTCAGGAATTTTTCTTGTTTTCAATTTAACTTCTATGAGACATTATTTTAAAGCAATTCACATATTTTGGAACAGGTTTCACATTACCACTTTGTGAAAAAGTTAATGAGCTTTCATTGCTAAAAGTAATTTGGAGTCATTAGGTATCAAAAAAGGGCATGGTCCATTTATTCCAACCTGAATTTTTTTGTATCTTATTGACCCTCCTTCTAGTAAGCATTTGCTTTACTATCCACAGAGCAGGCATAATGAGCAAGTCCCCTTGCACTGACTTCACGCAATCTAATGTTAGGTAGGCGTGAGAAGCAGAAAGTACCTTTCAATTCCATTCAGCAAGAATCCACAGTATACTTACAATTTCCCTGAACTATGCTAAGCATTTTGAGACCTATAAAGCTGTAAAAAAGATTCTCTGACCTCGAGTTGCTTATAATCTTGTTGCAGTAACTCATAAATCCACTGGCAAATAACACAGGATGTCATAAATTATTAACGTAACCAAGAAATCCCTCCCATATGTGTGCACGTGCACACACACACACACACACACACACTTTACACTGTAGAATGCTGAAAGGATTCCAAGACTGTAAATTCCATCTTCCTTCTCTTCTTCCAAAAATGGCCCTATGCTTTCACAGTATGCTGGATTGTCAAGCCCTGAAGGAATAATGCTTAACATTCCAAAGAATTATCCCCACTTTTCCCTCACGTCGTTGGGCAGTTGGCATTTATCTTTATATATGGTGGTAAGGAGATGGAAACCAGAAATGGGATCCATATCACGGAATTCAAGAGAAAGGACTTTGAAAAATACAAAGAGCTATATGAGTATAAAAAACTGTTAGATGATTGTCTAAAGGCAAGAACAAAAAGACTACATTAACAGGATCATTTTCTTCTCAGAAAAAAATTGCAGGAGCGTCTACCCAAGCCTGTAATAGAAAATTGGCCTGTGGAGTTACAAGATTGGTTACAAGATTTGATATAAAATAATCTCACCTCACCTATCAATCATTCCATGTGAACTATATCCAGTATAAGCTATGCTTATACTAACTGGTTAAACAAAAGGATCAAACGTAATTGTCATTTGCTCTGTAACAGTGTTTTTCAATTAGATTATAATGGATGATCCTAGTATATATGAATAAAAAATTATCAACAAATTATTACATACATAACCGCACCATAGAACATTATATTTAAAGGCAAATTATTTGTTAAAAGAAAAATGGTATCCATGTAGACCACTCTCCGTGAGTGCTCAATGCAATAACTGCATCCATTACTACCCCAAGTTGAAGGGAATGAATGAAAAGACCACTATGCTGTAAATCGCTTAGAAGCAGAATTTAGTTAATTGAGAAATTATGTTCAGGCTAACCTATCCAGATAGCGTCATATCTATGTGGAGTAAGTTAATAGAAATTCCATGCTAGCTCCATGAATTGGTTCAATAACAGGAAAAAATACAGATGAGGAGGAAGAGAGAACTGGCAATGTGAAGTGACACGTTTCAAAAACAATTCCTTTGTACTTATTCAGAGCTCCAAATCCATCCATACACATCACGGGAAATGTGACGATGCCCATGCACTTATCATTAGATTCACTCTCCAAAATGTCAACTACCAGAAATTAAACTCTTCCTGTAGGCCAGCTTGGTTTTTAAACACTATGTCTAATCTCGCAGCAACACCAGGACATAGGCTTCATTGTTGTACAGCTTTACAGATAAGGAAGTTGGGACTCGAAAGAGTTAAATGAGTTGCCCAAAGTCACAAAGCTATTAAATGACCAAGACAGGACTGGGATGAAGCTCTTGAGTATGAAGTTTGTGTAATATGTCCACTATGGCTAGCTGTATTAGTCCATCTTCACATTGCTAATACATACATACCTGACACTGGGTAATTTATGAAGAAGAGGAGGTTTCATGGACTCATAGTTCCATGTGGCTGGGGAGGCCTCACAATCATAGTGGAAAGCAAAAGGCACATCTTACATGGCAGCAGACAAGACAGAATGAGAGCAAAGAGAAAAGGGAAACCCCTTATAAAACCATCAGATCTCGTGAGACTTATTCACTACCATGAGAACAGTATGGGGGAAACTGCCCCCATGATTCAATCATCTCCCACCAAGTCCCTCCCATAACACAAGGGAATTATGGGAGCTACAAGTCAAGACGAGATTTGGGTGGGGACACAGAGCCAAACCATATCACTAGCTGTTTGCCAAGTAACAGAGAGGAAAAAGATTCAGAAATAACATTTGTCTCTGTCTGGGTATTTGCCTTAAACTGCAAGCTCCTGGAGGGCAGGGCAGCATGTGTTCCTACCTGGTTCTCCTTATATGGCACTAAGCAGTATGAGCAGGTGCTGTGGAATATCATTTGGTACTGAGAACAATAAAGAAGCAAGAACACAGATGATGGTAGGAGCCTAGCTTGCTGTCCTGCCTCTGAATTTATAAAAGGTCTCAGGAATGACATGCAGGATAGGGAAATATACAGCCTCTGAGCCTTGGTAGCTACATACAACTCACGATGCACACTGTCAATCTTGCTATGTTAACCGGCAAATGTCCAAAGGAGGCATTAAATCATTGCCAGAGACCACTCAGCTCACATTACGTTGTACTGAAGGGGGAGGAGGGGCAGATTTCAGAGTCCCACCTTCTTCCAAGCCCCCGCACTCTCCTCTATGTCTGCCCCGCAGCTCAGGCCTGGAATTTTATGTGCAGCAAAAAATCAAAGGTAAAATAAATGCTGAACAGCGATTGCTGTCATTGCCTTCCCCGCAGTCATTTCGCTATTAGCTGTTGGAGGAGCAGACCGTGTAGGCTGACGAGATCTGAGTAAGGACGAGGGATGAGATGTCAAGGCAGGGAACACGGCTGCCTTTGCGAGGTGGCTTTGACTCGCGCTGCAGACATCACACGTCAGCTCGGTGGAGACAGCAAGCAAACCCAACTGCAGCCGCAGAGAGGAAGCAAAAGAGGAGTGTGTGAAAAGATCAGCATATTCAGCCTGCCAATTATTTTCCTCCCTCCCCAACCCCACCCCCAAACACAAGTTCCTTAATATTAATAGTGCTGGAAATCGCAGCAATGAGCACATTGTTGGGGTGAAACTGAACATTACTCTCTAAATGAGATCCTGGGTGTGAAAGCAGAAGGTCCTCTCTGTCTCCCAGATCAGAACATTATCTGAGGCCAACAGCTCTGCAGCAGCTCTTAACCTCAAGAAAAGGGCTCGGCATTTCTGGTTCCCCAATAAAGCCACAGCACACCCTGGGACTGTTCAAATTATGGATACACACACACACACACACACACACACACACACACACACTCAAAGGAGATTATTACTAAGCTTGGGCTACAGCTTAAGAGGCATAAGTGGCATTCTCTTATTCCTCTGACTTGAATCCCTACACCTGTTACCCAAACTTCACTCACTGTTCTCCTCCACAAAAACACATTGTATCTTTGACATTACTATCAGTTTTGATATCAGAAGAATATGTGCCCAGGCAGCAGCATGACATATGTTGAAAGAGCTAGAACACTTGGAACTCTAACCTACTTTTATGAGACTTTTTTTTCTGGGTACGAGTCCCTTAGCCCATCCTTAAAGAAATATGACCAGCACCCATTCCCATCATTTAACTTTCCCAGATTAGAATTGAAACCTCTTCCCAACTGTACTGCAGGAGGTAGAAACTAATAGTTCTTTCTGAAGATTAAACCCTCTTAACCTTCAGGTGAAGAAATAAATATTATGCTGTTAAAGGATGAACCCCAGTCTAATGTCTATTAAATTCTTCCTGGCAGATTTTCCAGAGGTACAATAAGCAAAAGGAAAGAATAATATTTTCAATTTGTTAGATAAATGTAGGCAGGATTGGAGGAAAATAAATGAAGAGTACTTGCTTAGACTCTCGTATCGCTAATAACCCTGGAACATAATCTGAAGGGTTATTTAACCCCAGAGAGTTCAGGCTAGTGATGGAGGTCTCTGTGGGAGCAAGGTTTAGTCTCTGGATAATAGGCCTGCAAGGCCTGGGAAGTTAGCAGTGCCCCAGCAAGCAAGATGCATTTCAGAGAAAATCCTAATGGAAATTGGGAAGTCATCTATCAGTAAAGAACTGAGTGATCTTATCATGGGTTAGGAAGAAACAAGCAATTTCAGAAGCATTTGGGTAACTAGGATTTTACACCAATATATGAAATACCAGGGCTGGGATTGTAAGACTGGTGCAGGGGCTCCTGATAACTATTTATTCATGCATTAAACCATTATTGTGTACCTATTATGTCCTACACTCTGTGATCATTGCTGCTAACGCAAAGACAAATAGGATGTAGTCTTCAAGCAGCTTACCACGTCTACCGGGAGAGATAGTGAAGAGTCAATACATGACAATTTCAGAAGGGAATGCTTCCAAAATGGAGTGAGGATCTCTCCAAATTTAGGAGGGCATGGGTATCTACAGTAAGCAGAAACTGATAATTCCTTCTTTACAAATTTTTCTAAAATCTGCCATACTCCAAATATAATTCTCCATCTGAAAAAAAAATCATGAGAGACTTTAAAGGAAATGTGAACTAGTAATTATATTATACAAGCTAATCCCACAAATAATCATATGAAACATAAAAAATTTCATTAACACCTAAGCCCGTCTGTATTTATTTTGTCTCATTCAATAGCACATCATGACTCTGTTTCCATGGCTCCAAAACAACATGGAAATTTGGTCAGGTCAGTCAAATAAAAAGTCAAATGAGTTTTTAAAAGACAAAAAGACACAAACTGAAATGGTTGCTATCTTCATCCTTTACAGGCACAGTCTAAAGCCTATTTGTTTCTCTTTGTTGGCTGTCTGCTTTCATACTGATTCTCAAATCCCTTTTCTCTACTATTTTATATAATACACAACTTTGCCTGAGTTAAATTGCATATAATATCTTAATACATCATCTTCCAATCATTAATTTTCATCAGAGAATGTCAGCAAGGAATTATGTCAGATTACTTGAACCAGATTTTTTCTCATAAATCCATTGTAACCTCTATATAGCCTTCTTTTCTATCAGAAAGTATCCATCTCTCTTGGAAGCTTCTTAAATTTTTTTGAAAATAAAGTTAAACTTACTCAAACTGCCCTTGTCTTTCTTCTTTAACAAATGTTTATTGAGTTTCTATTATTTGAAAAGCATTTAGTAACATGTTGAGGATTAAGGACAAATATAGTCTCTGATTTACAGGTAGAGTGAGATTTTCCATGCTGTTTTGAAGAAAAGGCAAGTTATCCCATAATGACAAGAAGTTGTTCTCAGTTGGAACTGGAACCAACACCTCCTTGAAAGACTTGTTGAGAGGCCGACCCAGTGCAGAATTTCCACTGACTGTTCAACCCTCCACCAATCCCCACATCAAAAAAAAAGTCAACCATGGGGCCAGATGAGGTGGGTACTACAGGGTTTATGAAAAGAAGATAAAGGAATAAGAGATGCTCCCCTGTGAGAAGCCAATATAATTATCTGTGAAGCCTGGAGGTTCCAGAAAGATGGAGTTACTGACAACTGGCTCCCTGGCTGGGGGCTTGCTGAGCTGCAGTACCCCTAGGTCCATGCTGGCAACACCCCAGGGAGGAGCATGCTAAGGGATCCTTAGGAGAGAGTTCTAGAACTCTGAAGGTATGTTGGTGTTATTTTTTGGTCTGTTTCCCCAACTGTGGACAGGAGGAAGTAAGTGCTTCAGAGGTTTATCTTAAAGTTTATAGGTCATTCTTGAATATAAAGCAGGCTGCCTATTTCTGGCTCCTTAGAGACTTACAAGGGATAGAGACCACTGGAGCAGCCCATGCCAGTGGAAATTAAAGGGTTTGGCATTCCTAGGCAGCCTTTCCCAGCTCTTCACAGCCCTCAGAGCATGTGGAAAAGCATTCCACTTTCATAGAATACAGTACAGAAATGAGCTGAGAATACCCTGGCAGTTTCTGAGCCAATAGATAGGATGTCTAATCCAAAGAAGTGTACTGCTGGAGAAGTGAAGGGATACATGGCTATTCCTTGAGGGAATGTTTCAGTGATAAGGAAGGCTGGGGCAATGATAAATGCCACCCAGTGAAGACCAAGCACACCATCTGGTTGGAAACCTTAATGCCAGCAGATACTATCAACATCCTCAGCTGGAACCAGATTGGCCTAAGGGAAGATGTGAAACCACCACACATGGGCAGTCAAGTAAAAACACTTCTGCCTCCCCATATGCTTGCTTCCATCTTGCCTACCACGCCACAGAAGTCAATGCCCAGGAAAGGACTTAGGGGAGAGGGGACTAAGCACCAGGCCTCAGCCCCCACCTCCTTCACATCCAGCTTCCACGGCAACAGCTGAGGAGAAGATGAGATTTGATTGAGATTAATAGTAAAGCTTTTAAAATAAACACATTTAAGTCTCCAACTAGTGATCATTATTTCATAAAATAAAATAATTTCTTGTATAGGTCAATTAGTTGCTACCTACACATGTATAAGCTTATTTTAATTTTCCTGTAATTTTTATATATTTAGGAGGTGCAAGTACAGATTTCTAACATGCATATATTGCATAGTGGTGAGGTCTGGGCCTTTTGTATACCCATCACCCGAATAGTGAACATTGTACCCAATAGGTAACTTATCAGCCCTTTCCCCACTCCCACTATCCCACATTTTAGAGTCGCTAATGTCTATTATTCCATTCTGTATGTCCATGTGTTCCCATTGTTTAGCTCCCACTTACAAGTGAGAACATGGGGTATTTGACTTCCTGTTTCTGAGTTATTTCACTTAGCATAATGGTCTGCAGTTCCATCCATATTGCTGCTAAAGACATTTCATTTTTATGGCTGAGTACTATTCCAAGGTATACATATGCCCAATTTTCTTTATCTAATCCTCCATTTGGAGACACAGGTTGATTCCATACCTTTACTATTGTGAATAGTGCTGTGATAAACATATGAGTACAGGTAACTTCTTTTTTTCTTCTTCTTCTTCTTCTTTTTGAGATGGAGTCTTGTTCTTTTGCCCAAGCTGGAGTGCAGTGGTGCAATCTTGGCTCACTGCACCCTCCGCCTCCTGGGTTTAAGCGATTCTCCTGCCTCAGCCTCCCGAGTAGCTGGGACTACAGGTGCCTGCCACCATGCCCAGCCAATTTTTGTATTTTTAGTAGAGACGGGGTTTCACCATGTTGACCAGGATGATCTCGATCTCCTGATCTCAAGTGATCCACCTGCCTTGGCCTCCCAAGTGCTGGGATTACAGGCATGAGCCACCGTGCCCAGCCGAGGTATCTTCTTGGTATCATGATTTCTTTCCCTTTAGGTAGATACCCAGTAGCAGGATTGCTTATACACACAGAAACCTAAAAGTTGCATCAAATGTTTGGTTGCTTCAACAATTATCAAGATAATTGGCATTTTTTCCCTTTCATCAAATCGTTTATCATCATCCTTCTGTTAATCATTGAATATGACTTATTATAACTAGAAAAGAGCACATAGCATATACTGAAGGTCCTAAAATAAAAATTGATTTTAATGGATTGGTTTGCATAAAAAATATTCAAATGTACTTTATTTTCAGTTTTCCAAAAATGTCACTAACATACCCTTTAAAATATTCACATTAATAATAAATACTATATTTCAAAAAAATACATTCATTGAAGAAGTAAAATGAAGGAATGAAATACAAAATGTAAAAAATATTGCTTCCTTATGACTTCCTTGCAAAAATTATTTGTGTCTAGGTATAACTGATTAGTGTGGCTACTTTGACTAAAGGAGAATAAATAACATTGCAAGAAAAGTGAAGTGTATTTTAAGAATACAAAAGACATCTTGGATCTCAGAACTGGTGGAGAATTTTCCAGAGATTTCAAGAACCTAGAAGCAAGGAAGCCCTATAATCCCTCTCTTGGGGCCTCTCAATTTCTCTCTGGATTCTTGTTCCATTGTCAGCTTTTCACTAAAGAGACTCTTAAGCTGTCATGGTTTATTCTGGCTCATAAGTTTGCTACAACACTCAGTATCCTGACTCTTTGACCTTAGGTTCCACAACCAACTGGCAACTTCCCTTCATGTTTCTTAGTTCAAAGAAACAAGTGAGAAAACCGTACTGGTTCATATTTTTGTCCTAAACCAAGAGATAACAGCCAAAGCAGATATGGGCTACCCTTGGATCTTCATCACTCAGACTTTTTCAGCAAGGTGGGATACAGTACTTGAAGAAATTGAGCCCCTAGTGAACTCTAGTCCTAGGTCCCACCATAGAGAATCACGTAACAGCTGAGAAAAGGATTTTGACTAAACTTTATTTATATTATGCATAGTTTTATTTCTATTGAATTTCATTACAAATAAAATAGCCTTTTTAAAATCCATCTTATAATCTCACTTTGTGGCAGAAATTGAATCCCTTTAAGAAAAGATTTTCCATCTTATTTTTGGACCATAACATCACTGGGGTCATCAAAGATTTCAAAGACCCTACAGGTCATCTATCCCATATTTCCTCACTTATTAGTCCCCAAAATTTTACCGGAATTTTAAATTTTTTAATTGCAAGTAAATTATTCACACTTAGTAGAATGGAAAATACAAACATTTTCATGGTATAGGTAAAAATGCATTTAAATCACCTGAAGAAAAATTGCAGTTGCCTCTACACTCTAAAAACCACTTCCTGCATGGAAAAGAGAGCTCATAACCACAAAAGAAATTCTACCCAGAAGGAAACTCTTTCTGTCATCGAACTTAACCACATCCCCTCTTGTTCTTTACTCAGTGGAAATTAAAAATAATCTTTCTCAAATGAGCTAAGAAAAGCAACACCTCCTTTCTTACACAGCCACCTCTTATTAAGTACATCCTAAGTTAAAGACTTTTCTTACATATTGCTGAATTTGACTTAAAATTTGGAGGTCCTCATGAGCTCAATTTTCTCTTACCTTAAAAGGTTCTCAAGGTCAACTACAGGACTTCCTTGAAGCAAATCCAAATGACTTTGCCTTTTGGGTACAACACGTTTTTCTCATACAGCACCCTCAGTTTAACCCCATGAAACAATGAAGAATAAGAGGGCTAGAACTAGTGGCTTCTACAAACTAAATGTTAGTATTTTGTTTCCATATCATAGGCCTAATTGTAATATACTAACTAAAATATAAGAATGTATTTTTATTCTTCCCTGCTTTTGAACAGAAAATAACCAAACTATCAGTTCTATCTAATTAACAATGCCATGCTAATTTCACAACAGTATTTCCAAAATGACACACAAGGTGAATATGCTTCCGGAAAACATTAAAGATAATTCACTTGCAATACACTTGCAAAGATGAGACTCCAGGAATGAGTAATAACAAATGCAGATCCAAGTGCATTTGGAGGATCAGGAATGGATTGAACAGCACCTCCATTCTCCCCAGGTAGGACAGAGTTGATGGGTAAAATTAAGTAAGTTAGAATGTTCTGATGCATTCCTGAAGTATAAGCAGCCTTCTCCAGCCACCTCTAGCTCATTCTCCTCTAGTACATTCTTTCTCTTCCCAGTCAGGGACCCTGAAGCTGGTGTTCTTACAGGAAGCGCAGTCTTATCAATAATTCCCACACATGGCTGGGCACCAAAACCACCAGGATTAGTTGCTAAAAACACAGGATCTTGGGACCGCCCTGGTCGTTTTGAATCAGAAACCTGAAGAAAGATATAGTTAATCTATATTACCTAGCTAATTCCTAAGCAACCAGCCTGGTTCCAAACCCAAATCAAGCACTTGGGAGCTTCTGCCTGCATATAATGTTTAGGTTCCCTTCCTCAGATTGTGTGGCTATTGGCAGGAGAGTAAGGAAATCAAAAGGATTTCAGTAAGCCAATAGCAAAATTGGCAAAAAACAACACAATTCATACACACACACACAAACACACACATGCACACACTGTGCAAATGGCTGTTTAACACATGAAAAAATGATCCTCCTCATAACAAGACTAATACCTGTGAAAACCACACTGAGATACCATTTCTTACCTGTCAGACTGGCAAAAATTAAAAAGTATAACAATATATTCCGTTGCTGAGGCAGCAGGGGATACAAGAACTCTCACACATTTTTAGTCAGGATGCAAACTGATGTGATCTTAATGGAGGGGAATTCGGCAATGCCTAACAAAATTACATAGAGCGTTCCTTTGCATCTGAACCCAACAATCTCTCCTCTAGGAATTTACACGGAAGAAATACTTCCAACAATATCAAAATATGTATGCACATCTGTTTCCAATAATTGCAAAATCCTCACTCACCCTCTACCATTTTACCTGTGCCCTGTTCATGGCTAGAAAAACACATTTCAGTCAACAAGAGCACATCCATGTAGATAAGATCCTAGAGATACCTAAATTTGTGGTATGAGGAAAACTAAAGTTATACTTAAGAAATACGGCCCCCCAAAAAAACCGTACCTGACAGAGGCTGCACCAGTGCTTTCCAGAAACATTTTTCTCGTGTACAGAATTTTCTTTGGATGAGATACACCCTAGAAAATTAAATATGAAGAGAAGGAAGATTCCAGATCTTCTTCAGAGTCTCTCTGCACTCACTCTGAGAAGCCATCTTGGACTTCTAGATGTTGGCCTTCCCGCGTGATTCTGCCTCTGGCTCTGCCTTCCCTGCGGTTCTCTTTGGTTTTTTTGTTTGATTGTTTTTTTATTATACTTTAAGTTCTAGGGTGCATGTGCACAACGTGCAGGTTTGTTATATTTGTATACATGCGCCATGTTGGTGTGCTGCACCCATTAACTCGTCATTTACATTAGGTATATCTCCTGCGGTGCTCTTTGATCTAGTGTCTCATTTACACATAATTTCATCAAGGGCATTAAAATTCCCTCGCCAGGCCCTGAGGAAGCTTCTCTTCACATACCCACCCAAGAGCCAAGCAACTGGCTTTGAATGTACTTGTTAATTAAAAAAAAAAAAAAAATACGTTACAAAATTAAGGCAGAGGTTACTGTGTAACGACAACTATGGGAAGTAGAAAATGGTGGCACATAACAGCCTGCATCCCCACTACTCAGAATTAAGCTTTTTTTCCTATTTACTTTTATTTTATAATTTTTTGTAATTGATTTTAAAAAGTTTATGTACGGTGTACAATGTGATGCTTTGATATACGTATGCATTGTGGAGTGAGTAAATCAAGCTAATTAGCGTGTCCATCTCCTCACATACTTATTTTTAGTGGTGAAAACATTTAAAATCTACTCTCTCAGCAATTCATATATACATACATTGTTATTAACTAGCGTCAACATGCTGTTTAGTAGAGCTCCAGAACTTATTGATCCTGTGTAACTGCAACTTTTTATCCTTTAACCAAAATCTCCCCATTCCCACCCATCCTAGCCCTTTGTAAACCCCCATTATATTCTCTGCTTCTATTAGTTTGACTTTTTGGAATTTCATACAAGATCATGCCATAGTTGCCTTTGTTGTCACAAATGACAGGATTTCCTTTTTTAAGACTGAATAGTATTCCATTGTGTGCATATACCACCTTATCTTTATTCATTCATTCATTGATGGACACAGGTTAATTCCATATCTCAGCTAATATGAATAATGCTGCAATGAATATGGAAATGTAGATTTCCCTTTAAGACACTGATTTTGTTTCCTTTGAATATATGCCCAGAAGTGGAATTGATGGATCATATGGTAGTTCTATATTTAACTTTTTGAGGAAAATCCATACTCTTTTCCATAATGGCTGTACTAGGCTTTTATTTTTTATAGCATTTTTTTCAGGCATACTGTCTCAGCAGCTCTCACTCAGTAATTCATCATTAAATAGTTTTTTGAATTCAAATGTATAGAACTTTATTGCAATTTAAAGGTATATATATGTGTATATATATGTGTATATATGTGTATATATGTATATATGTGTATATGTGTATATATATGTATATATGTATATATATATGTGTGTGTGTGTATATATATATATATATATAGCTAAATTAACAAAAACGGTAAGTGGTCAAAAATTTAGTGCATCCTAATTAGTTTCATCCATTCCTCCAAAATTTAGGGCCTAAAATAATGCAGTAACTTCTGGAGTAGCAGCAATATGTATACTGGATTATGCTTTCTTACAAAAGTGATTTTTTAATAGGCACCAAGTAGAAAGAATCTGCATCATTTAAGAGTCCCCTGTGTGGAAGAATCTGTTCTATTTTATGTTTGTTGATTTGAAAGGGTATTTCAGAAAGAATGGGAAAATGAGCCCAGGAGATCAATATTCTGAACAATTAACCTATAAACAAATAAAAAACACAGTATATGGGCTACTTAATGTCACATCTCTATAGACAGACAACAATACATTTGTAAGCAAGCTTGACATGATGGATATAACTAGATTAGTGGCATACTTTGCCAAAACAAAAGCACATGTGCTTTCTTTCATTGTTCCATGTTGTGAGAGATGCTCTCTGCCTTTCCCTCTCTTTAATCCTCTCACCCTGATCTTCATCAATAATTTGGACATTTATATAATAGCTTTGCAAAAGAAAAAGCAGAGGCAAACTTACCCATTGTGAGGCTCAAGTTTAAGCCATTTTTTTAGGACTCCAAGGGAAATACCACACAAAAGACATAAGAAGCTATGGCTTGCCTAGTTTCCTGAAGATGATGTTGGATCTGTATATGCACTCACAGCTTACCATTTTGGTGACAAATCAATGGTTCCCAACTATGACTGTACATTAGAATCTACTCAGAGGTTTGTAAAAATACTCACTTCTCCCCCCACCTAGCCACCCAGCCAATTGACATGGAATCTCAAAAAGTTGGGCTCAACACCTTTAGTTCTTAAAAACTCCAGATTTTTAAAAAAATCTATCCCTGAGGCACAGGGATAGTTGAGATCAACTTCATTAAATAAAGAAATCTCCTTTTTGTTCCAGTCCACAAACTGTATCAATAAGCCCAAAACTTTATAAGCCACCAATATTACCCTTTCTTGCCTGCTGGAAAAGTCTAAGTGGAATTGTTATTTAAGATACTTTGACTGGATCCCAGGAAGCATAGTTTCTGAAAGATATTCATTTATGCCAGAAATAAAAATTATCTTTAAAACCAGAATAGAAAATTTTAATGACCAAGAATTTGCAGAAAACACATTGATAACATATCTCCTAGAGATAAACCAATTTCAATATATTTGAAATATATATCTATTCTTAAATATCTATTTTTGTATTTTAGAAAATATGTGCTAGTATTATTACCTACTTGTTTGTTTTGAGTTGCATGAAATATAGAACCATGTTAACATAGAATTGAGATATTTATATAAAATGTAAAACCTTACACAGTTGTCCTAAATGAAAGAGAAGAAATACAACAGATAAAGTAGTGTTATTTTCCTCAACTTTGGTCCTTCTCAACTCTTTATAATAGTTTCCCTTTCTATGAGTGGTAAGAATTCATGAGATTGTAACATAGAACATATCTTCCAAAGAGGATGACACTGCTTTTTAAATAATAAAGACTAGATTAATTATTAAAAGGAAATATAAAGAAATTTACAAGGGAGACATTTCATGAAAAATAGCTACCTGTTCTTTGAAAGAAAGAAAAGGTGTAGCATATTCTTTATCGACTACTTCCTCCTCTGGGGGAAAAGAAAGGTGAGTGCTTTGACAATATTTATGTGAGCAAGATGAAATAATGGAGACAATGCCAGCTGCCAAGGAGATCAAATCCATGGAAAAGAAAAATACAAGCAGTAGGTGTAGGGGGAAGAAAGAAAAGCATTAAAAATTAAAGCCAGACAATAACTGCAAGAGAGAATTTAACATCTGAAAAGACTTTTGAATTACAGATAGTGCTAACAATGGAAGATGTGTCTAGAGAAAACAAGGTAAGGGAAAGAGTAACCAAAAAGAGTTTTAAAAAATAAGCAGAATAAAAATTATATCATTTGGTTTTATCACTTTAATGAACATAAGCCAAAGGGTAAGGTTACAGGCAAAGGTTTATTTCACCTGTGTACTTTCATCAGTTCCCAAGTCAACAAATATGTGGACAGAATATGACAATCTTGAAAGCAAAAAAATGGAAATGGGCACTAAAGCTCAATGCATATGTTATTGTTGACATGTTTCACCTTTGCTTTCAGGTACTTCAAAATATTTGCTTCTGGAATCTCGTATCCCAGTCTGTATTTGGACTCAATAGTCCATTGGCCAAATTTTTGTCCAGGCTTATCTTCAGCTTTTTTAGTTTCACATGGCAAGGGAAACAATGGAATAATCTGCCTGCTTTATAAAGGCAAGTCCAACTCAGCCCAGCCTGCTGTTCCTTTGCAGGTTGCCTTGGGGCGGAGTGGGAGAAGTGTTGCTGAAGAGAGAGAAGAGACTTCAGTGGCAACCTCATTTTTCTGCACACCAATACTAAAGCAATGTGCTGCTTTGAGATGAAATAAAATTGTAAATAGTTCTCACCTTCATCCCTCTCCATCCCTAATTTGTAAAATAAAAATATGATGGTTTTTGTTTTGTTTTAATTCATGTTATTTTCTTTGCGGAAGGTGTGACTGTTGGTAGCAATTTACAAAACTGGCACTTTTTGTATACTTGAATTGAGTGTTTGTCTTTTATTATTTCAGTTCAGGGAAATATTTTCCTAGATCACTGCCCCGTAGGACTATGCGATAGGTTATAATAATTGACGTCAAAGAATACTATTGTACATGCATTCTATGCAAGGAATGCTATTATACATGCATTCAATCTAAGGCAGTGGTAAAAGTGATCATTGTTATCTGAAATCTTTGCTGAGATTTTTTTGAGAGCACGTATAAATAAGCTCAAAACACTCAGAAGTATTTATTTCAATTTTTCTATAAGTAAAACATTCATTTAAGGCTGTATTTTATATTAGCTAGTGATTAATAAATAATTCAAAATTCCCCATATAGGTGCTTTGGATTTTAGTTAAAGTTATCAATAATCTTTGAATTTTTAGTTTCCCAGAAGACAATGGGTGACTACTGGGGGAAAAATTAACTTACAAATACAAAAGCTCTGAACGTTTATGCAACTAACCTAGTACTACTGAGTAAAGCTCTCTATGCATTTAGTCAACAGCTATTTACTAAGTATCTACTCTGTGCCTGGTACTTTACTACAATCATTTCTTAGGCTTGTCAATGAAACTGAATTTTATTTGCCTCCAATAAACTCCTAGACAAGGGGAGAAACAAAAAGTTAAACCATTATTATATTAGTGGCCCTTATAGAGTGATCCCAGATCAGCATCACCAGGGAACTTGCCAAAAATGTAAATTCTGAGACCCTGCCTCAGACATTCTCAATTAGCAATCGCAGGGCAGAACCCACCAATCTGTAGTTTAGCGAATTCCCTAGGTGTTTCTAATGAATACCAAATTTGAGCACCATCGTATTATCACATGTACTTCAAGGCAGTCACCAGACCATGAATAATTAATGACGTGTTCTTTATTCCTCCTTGGGAACTAGTTCACACACTTCCAGGGGTGATTATCGAGATTTGAAAAGTGAGGCAGGTGACATGGGAAGGAAGTTGTAGGCAAAAATCAATGGGATAAATAAAAACCTGTAAGAAATTATTTTGCATATAAGGTTTAAATGTCTGTTGTAACCTGTTTAAATGAGATTTTTTTAAATAATGTCCTTGAGTAAGTTGGGCTTGTAACTGCAAGCCCTAAAACAATTTATTCTAGTTGTGTGGCAATTGCTACGGACATGAGATGATCGCATATGGCAGAAGGGCAAAGTACAACTAAGTTGCCTCCATATATGTTCTGCTCACTGGACAATTTATCTGGGGCTGAAAAAACTTTTAACTGTTGAAAATGTTGTCATGAGCTTGATGTGCTCCTGACATGCAGGCACTGTGTCTCTATTATTCTCACATTTTGGCTTCTGTCTTTGGAAAAAATAATTGGTGGTGAAGGAACTCAGAAAATATATGTATGTTTTATGTCATTCTAAGTGGTCAAGTGCCTAAAGCAATATTCAGCCAAAGCTGTAGCTGACGCCGAATATCAAATTCATCATAGCTTCCGGGATTTGACAATAAATCTTAAATTTTAGCAAAAAATTACTACTACAATTTTATTATTAACAGTTCAGGAGTCGATTTTTAAATGCTTGATATAGCGCAGGAACAATCATTTCTTAGCCTTGTCAATGGCTGAAATGCTTCTGTGGTCACTGTACTGTAAATTTATGATACTAAGTAGACACTTAATTTCAACCAAGATAAGTCGAAGAACAAGATATCTCTTGGGTGTCTCACTTTTCCCCAGCACTTATTTCTTTTCTTCATACTCTTTACAATTCTAAATCAAAGGTGATTTATTATAGATATTGTTGAGCAAGATTTTGAACACTTTTTTCTTCATAAAATATTAAGATGGAAAAGTTGGCATTCTGCTTTAATTCAACCTCAGATGATGTGAAGAATAATCAAATAGACTTTTTTCTTGAAACACAGCACTAATGCACGTGGCTACAAAGCTACAAGAGAGCAGAAATTTATTCTGTTCACTGATGCTCCCAAGTATGTAGAAAAGTGGTAATAAGCACATAATAGGTACCCAGTAAGCATTGATGTAATAAACGGAAGGTCAAATGAATTTAAATAACTACAAAACTAAAAACGGTTCTTAAAGTTTATTATTTATTTGTTTATTTTTGAGATGGAGTCTCACTTTATCTCGCTCAGGCTGGAGTGCAGTGGTGCAATCTCAGCTCACTGCAGCCTCCACCTCCCAAGTTCAAGAGATTCTCCTGTCTCAGCCTCCTGAGTAGCTGAGACTACAGGTGCGTGCCACCACCTGGCTAATTTTTTGTATTTTTAGTAGAGATGGGGTTTCACCATGTTGCCCAGGCTGGTCTTGAAGTCCTGACCTCAGGTGATCCACTCACCTCGGCCTCCAAAAGTGCTAGGATTACAGGCATGAGCTATGGTGCCTGGCCTAAAGTTTGTTTTGAATATCACAAATAGTAGTATGCCAAACGACTCCACAGTATTCAAATTATTGTATATAGCCATGAAAACTATTAAATAGAAGATAATGAGGATGAACCAAAAATTAAAGCATACTTTAGAGCCACAAGAATTAAAACAGCAGGATAGAAATGGAGGATTATGTGGACAGACTAAAGGAATCAAATAGGAAATCTGAATGTAGCCTCAAATACATGTGGGAATTCATTGGAGTTTGCCCTGGTATGTTGTATGAAAACAATTTGATCTTTTACCATATGGCTATCCATAGGTCTCAACTCCATTCATTAAAAAGCCCATCTTTGTGCCAAGTGATTTGAGATTTTACCTTTATCATACATCCAATTCCCACATAAAGCAACTTCAAAAGCACACATTTAGTATACTTTTTCCAATCATACATTATTCTTTAGATGTAAAGAATTAGAAACAATAAAAAGAAATTGTGCTATCTATATTATTCTTCTCTGTATTATCATTTAAATAATTTTAAAGATCTATTGACTGACAATGACTAATTTTTTCTAAAATTATACTCCTAATAAAATATTTTTAATACTTATATTAACCATAGTTTTCTCAGTTTCAACTTTAAAACAAAAACTCTTTTGTGATCATAAAATTGTAGCATTTTACTTTTGTATTTGTTTTTATTGATGAAAGTTTTTTTGATGTCACTTCAACTTTTATTTTAGATTCAGGGGGTACATGTGCAGGTTTGTTACATGGGTACATTGTGTGATGCTGAGGTTTCGGATATAAATGATCCCATCACCCAGGTGGTGAGCATAATACCCAATTGTTAGTTTTTCAACTCTTGCTTCCCTCCCTCCCTCCCCCTCCAAGCAGTCCCCAGTGTCTGTTGTTGCCGTCTTTTTGTCCATGAGTACCAAGTGTTTAGTTCCCGCTTAGAAGTGAGAACGTGCAGTATTTGGTTTTCTGTTCCTGTGTTAATTCATTTAGATGCCCTTAAATGCTCTTAAATTCACTTAAATGCTCACTATATGACAATGACCTCCAGCTGCATCTGTGTTGCTGCAACGGACATGATTTTATTCTTTTTTATGCTGTATAGTATTCCATGGTGTATATGTACTACATTTTCTTTATCCAATCCATCACTGATGGACATCTAGGCTGACTGCATGTCTTTGCTATCGTGAATAGGGCAGCAATGAAAGTGCAAGTGCATGTGTCTTTTTGGTAGAATGATTTGTTTCCTTTTGGATATATGCCCAGTAATGGGATTTCTGTGTTGAACGGTAGTTCTGTTTTAAGTTCTTGGAGAAATTGCCAAACTGCTTTCCACAGTGGCTGCCCTGATTTACATTCCCATCAATAGTTTATAACTATTCCCTTTCTCCATAGCCTCACCAGCATCTGTTATTTTTTGACTTTTTAATAATAGCCACTCTGTCTGGTGTGAGATAGTATCTCATTGTAGCTTTGATTTGCATTTCTCTGGTGATTACTGGTGTTGAGCATTTTTTCAGTGTTTGTTGGCCATGTGTATATCTTCTTTTGAGAAGTATCTGTTCATGTCTTTTGCCTACTTTTTAATGCGGTAATATGGTTTTTGCTTGTTGAATTTTTTAATTTCCTTATAGATTCTGGATACTAGACCTTTGTCAGATGCATAGTTTGTATTTTCTCCCCTCCTGTAGATTGTCTGTTTACTCTGTTGATGGTTTCTTTTGCTGTGCAGAAGCTCTTTAGTTTAATTAGCTCCCACTTGTCAATTTTTGTTTTTGTTGCAATTGCTTTTGAGGTCTGAGTCATAAATTATTTCTAAAGGCAGATGTGCAGAATGGTGTTTTTTAGGTTTTCTTCTAAAATTCTTATAGTTTGAGATCTTACACTGAAATCTTTAATCCATCTTGAGTTAATGTTTGTATATGTTGAAAGGCAGGGGTACTGTTTCATTCTCCTGCATGTGGCTAGCTAGCTATTACAGCACTACTGAATAGGAAGTCCTCTCCCCATTTACTACTCATGTTCCTTGCTAGCTCCACACTCCTGCCCAACCTCACAACTTTGGGAGACCCACACCAACTCATTTCATGATTTCATTCAGTCTTCTATCTTTAAATGCTCACTATATGACAATGAGTACCAAATTTAAATCTCTAGACCAGATCTCTCTTCTGAACTCAAAACTGAACATCTAATCTTCCTTCCCAAAATGATCCACTCAGTCCTCATTTTAATTGATGGGGAATAATCTTTGACTCCTCTTTTTTAAATCTCACTTTTCTGAGATTTGATCACCTTCACTTTCAACCTTATCTACTTGTCGCTGCCTTCACTATGACACTCATTCAAACTACCACCATCACTAACCTAAATGACTGCAATAAGCTCCTAATTGGATTTCCTCCTACAATCTCCTTTCCACACAGCCCCCATTTAACACATAAATCAGACTGTGTCATTCCTCTGCTCAAAGTCTTTAATGGCTCCCTTTCTCACTCAGGAGCCAAAGCCCTCGGAATGTTCTACAAATTCCCATATGATCTGGCTTTCCATTATTCATCTAACTTTGTCTCCTATCATTCTTCCCTCATTCTTCAATCGAGTACATTGACCTTACACACTCCAGATATCTGCTTAGCTAACTCTCTCTCCTCCTTGAAACCCTTGCCCAAACGTTACCTTCTCAATGAAATCTCTCCTAAAAATCCTATTTAAAAGCGCACCATGCCTCTTATCCCCAGTATTCCAAATATCTTTGCCGTGGGCATTTTTTTTTCAAGCCACTTATTGCCTTCTATGAAGTTTGCTTATTTATTATGTGTATTGCAAATTTTATGTATCCTTTCTCTACAGTGTAAGCTCCATGAAGGAAGGAATTTTTCTCTGCAGGCACCTCAAGTGTTGCTGCCACATAGTAAGGACTTAATACAATATTTGTTAAACGAATATATGAATTTGTGCTAAGAATGAGCAGAAAAGTGTCTTTTTTGGAAATAGGCAAATCAACTATCAAATAGGAGAAGTCATTATTTTCTGTCAATTTTAATTAACCACAAAACTAATATTGAAGGGGAAACAGTAAAGAAAGATTTAAACAGAGTTTGAAAATAGTCTTTTAAAGGAAAAAGAATATAAATAGCTATTTTCAGCAGGCTTCTATTGGTGAATATCTAGCTTATCTGTAGTTTAATGATGTATCTATTTCCATTTTTATTCGTATGTGGTTGCCTGTATGTGTAACGTGCCTCTAGAATGAATTACTGGTAGTGGACTCACTGGGTCATAAAGTATGTACAATTTAAATTTTAAATGACATTACCAAATTGCCTTTTATGATTGTGCATTTATTTACAATGACATTATCAGGGTATATACATGCTTATATGTTATAAGTTTTCTACAATAGCCTCTTTAGTATTGCAATAAAAGAAATATTAATATACACACATGAAAAACATAGCCATTTTAATTATTGGTATTTTCAAAAAATATTTCAATAAAGTATAAATATAATGACCAAAAGGGAAGTGAGAGTCAAATGGGGAATGATGAGTGAATGCATTATGATGAAATTAATAAATGCTGTATGAATTAATGGAGGGACGGATAGATAGGTGGGTGAATGGGTGGGTGGATGAATAGATAGATGAATGGGTGGATGGATGGGTGGAGGATCGATGGATGGATGGATGGATGGATGGATGGATGGATGATCAGAGGAATATTGAATGAGTAGGTACTTGGCAAGAGGTGGTAAATATGCAAGAGGGGCAAATGGGAAAACAGAGTTACCTGGTTCCATGCAATAATCAGGACAACATCAGAAAAGTAACTGCTTTGATAGAAAAAAAAGCTAATTGAAGGAAACAGTTGAAAACCATGTTTTGTTTCTTTTCTAACTAATTTCAAGAGAATAGCATGAATTAGAATATAGGAAACATCAACAAAAGCTTCCCTTCTCACAAAGCAAAACACTCGTGACTGCTTGAATAAAACAAGTGTCAGTATGAAGCTGACTGGGAATCAGATGGTGATGTTTCTAAAATTAAATTGTAAACTATGTTCTCATCTCACACATTGCAGCCTAGTGACTGCTTCAGAGATGCAGAGTAACTTGGAAGACTTGGGCATTAAAAGTAATGACTAACCTTTAGCATAGGGAACTCTTCTCAAAGAGGGGGGATGTTTTAAATCCATAAAAATCATTATGGAAACGACAGAAACCCCTGATATTACCTGGTCACCCCAATCAGCATATCTCAGATTCCCTTTCCTTCACAGAAAAGTGATCCCAGGCCCTAATGTGTTCTGACTGGATATTACCTTCCTAAGAATACATGACATCAAAAATCCTCTTTGTCTCTATTACCTCTACACAAATTCTAGTTCTTTCTTTCTAATCAATGTCAGTACCCTGAGATTATTAACACAGCCTCTCTCAATCCCTTGAACAACATATCTCTTTAGATAATTATGAAAGAATATGTTAAGAATAAGAAAATTTGCATGGAACTATGCCTGGCTGACAAAAACCAGTGGGAATGAAACGAACATATGCTTAGAAGTCAGAGAGACCTGAGTTTGAATCTTGACTCTGCTATTTCTAGTTGGATAAATCTCTGAGCCTCTAGCTCTTCATCTTGAAATACTTAACACTGATGTGTTATATATTAAGTTGGTCTATAGAAGCACTAACACATTATAGCCTTCCATTTTTGAATAATGGTCCTCTAGATAAAATACAAAGGGAAACCAGATGTGCCTTTATAATCTGTCATTATATATTGATTATTGATTTGGGGAGTTGAGTAATTTGGAATTTACTTATTTCAAAAAATTTACTGGTCAAGAAAGCCAAGTACTTCTGTCAGTTGTTACACCTGCAGATAGCATTTTGGTGTCTTTCACTGATGAAGTTCAGGGCACCTTCTAAATTTATGAAACATCTGTTTAAGCAGCTGGTTATTCATTAAATAAAAATAAAAATGTACCACTTTTCCCTGGCAATGCTAATAAATGGGAACAGGTGATGATCCCAAAAGAGATTATGATTATAAATGAATGTATTGAAATTCTTCACTATTTTTATAGAGGCATCAAAATAAAAACATATAAAAAGTGAAAGAGGAGCTCGTGGAGCCCCTGGAATACACTGGGGACCCTAGGGTAATGGCTCACCTGCATGTCCCACTCCACTTAGATACCACATTCTACATGGAAATTCACCAGGATCAAAACTAATATTCTTTCTGCATCACTCCCTAAATTTACCACCTGAAAATTTCTAGTTAGTAGCAATAGGGCAATTTCTAAAACTCAAATTCCAATCATTACTACATGAAAAGGCAACATTTTGTGAAACTCATGTTGAAAAGTCTGCCTCTAACTATGAGGACTAAGCAATAATTTTTGAGACAGGAAAATGGGATTCTACTCGTGTGACAAGTAAGGAAACAGAAATTAACTGACTTGAAACTATACTAAGCGTTTTGACCTAAATGATCATATTTGATCAAAAACTCAAGATTCAACTTCCAGCTTCCCATCAGTTGTCAACACCTTTTTATTAGAAGGGTGCTTAGAAACTAGAAAACAAGTCAAGTCATTTGAATTTAGCAGTGCAACAACTGGGAGATGGTCTTCTGCTTTGCTCCTTATCCCTCACCTTACCCAAGTGACCAGTGAACTTTTCTGCACCGTTTTCTCTTTGCAGATTCCCCCCACAATCATGGAACTGAAAAGTTCCAGCACCCATATGGTAAAGCAAGGTCAATAAAAAGGACAATACTTTCATTGTGTGCCAGACTCAAGAGTTGCTTTTAGAATTTAGGAGCAAGAGATGCTGAACTGTTATGAGTTGCTGTGATGATGCATAATTAGACGGTGATTTAACACAGAGCTAAAAAAATAAAAATGACAGTAATCATGGGGGGAAAGAATAAAATAGCAATGAAAGCAGTTAAATGAGCCGAAGTGCCTGGTGTTTCGTGATGTGTATCTGTTAGTAATTTCTCAGACGGTAACAATAGAGGTAATTTCACAAATAACAGGGATTCATCAATTCACAATAGCACTCACTGGTATTTAAGACCAAAGAAAAGGAATTGTATTTGGCTTATCAACTTAAAGAAATAGTTATGAAACTTGGGCCTAGCCTGCACATTACAAAGTAAAATGGAGAACTGATCCTTAATCAGGAAAATTCAAAGCTGTACAAATCTGAATTATAATGACTTTCAAGGTAGATAATTGCTTTGGAGAAAGTTGCCCAAAATTAAGAAAAGGTTAATAATGGTGTTTTATGGGTAAGACAGATAGACTGCTTCCTGTCACCTTCAGAATACTCTCTGGCTGTTGCATTCCTCTCCAGCTTCACTTAAACACGCATCAAAAGCATTCAAAATTCTAGCCATGGAAAGCCACCCTCATTATCCCCATCGAGCTTAGCTTTTCCACACCTGTGCACATGTGATTTCGCCTAACATTTCACTAGGACAGCAACTCATCCCTCAATGTTGAGTTCAAGTGACATTTCTCCCAAGCTACTCCTGCTGACTGTGGTCTCCTTATCCTCCAGAATGCCCACAGATTGCTGCTCTGTACTTCCATCCCACCACATGGCATTAATCACTGTATAATAACTGGTTTGTAGCTCTTTCTTTCACACTAGCTGGGGTTCCTTAAGAGCAATGATTGCATTTCTTTGCTGTTTCCTCAGTCCTTGAGACATAATACCTGCACAACAAATGTTGATGAATGAATGAGAGAATTAAAGTATCAACAGTGAGAAAAATAAGTATTGAATCACTCTCCCCACTATCATTCTCTTCCCAGTATCTATGAAAGATACATAAGGGAACTGTCCATAAGTTCCTCCTTATTCAAAAATTGCTTCTAACTCAAGGGATAATTTCAAAAAGTTTTAAGAATACGTTGACTCAAAATGTCCCTACAACTACAGTGAATGAAAAATGGGAGAGTGATAAAAAACACATGCAATATGGCTTATCTTATTTAAATCTGGCATTTGAAAAGATTTATATTATACTCCATGATAAAATGAGAGTAGCAAAATAATCCTAGCTAATGATTTTCCTTTTTTCTGTTATTCAGCTGTTATTATATCTATTATATATGTTTAATTAGAAGTTGCTGTAATTTTTAATGTTCTATATATGTTATATATATGTTTGATATATGTTATATATATATACACACACACATACATACACACACACACACACACACACACACACACACACACACACAGAGTATATATGTTTTATATATATGAGATGTGGTCTTTCTCTGTTGCCTAGGCTGGAGTGTGGTGCCATGATCATACATTGCTGCAGCCTCGGATTCCTGGGCTCAAGCAATCTTTCCCAACTCAGCCTCCAGAATCACTGGGATTACAAGTGCAAGCCACAGAATTGCTATGATTTAGAAAAATCTCAAAGTTGTTGAAACATAAAAAATGTGAGCCTTCTACTGCTCTTTTTTTTCTAAACCACAAGATATTTTTAAATCTCTTTATTTTCAGTGTTACTGTATAACAAACAGCACGTTGATTTTCCCCAAGAAAACAAAGTGCAACAGAAAAATGAGCAATGTAGTAATTAAAAACCAAAGTAAAAAATGATATAAGCCTTTTAAAAAGTCATAAAATCGTGTGTTTACTTGAAGAAAAGAGAATATTTTATGTGCATCACTATTATAGGAACTAAAATTTACAATTTATCAATATGAGCATGTAAAGAGAGATAAGCAATCCTGCACTGATGCAAAATGATTATGCAAATAGAAAAGCTTTTAAAATTATTGCCTATAATCTTTCAACATAGGATAATTGGCTTTTCCCCTTTGCCTAAGCTGTCTTTAGTCCAGCAATTGTGTTTCAATTTTTTCCTTCTTAGTCACAACCAATTTATTTTTTCTTTTTCCTTCTTGGGAATCATCATAATCTTTATACTCATTTAACCCCAGTGGAATGGTAGAATGATTACCCAAGTGAATCAGTTCTGGCTCAAAGAAATCATTTAACATTTCCTGAAGTAAAATGAATATGATTTGAGAGGATGGAGTGAGGGAGGCCACAGAACGATGGAACAAGGGACTGAAGTACTGGGGGTTTCTTGTAATTGTTAAGTACATAAAATCCATATACTTATAGAACAAACTGAGCATTGCTTGGTGTGACAAGATGGCATTTTACCATGTTTACTATACCCAACTTTCTTTTTTTGTCAACTTTATGGAAGTGGAGCCCTACAGAAGGGAAATCATAATGTAGAAAAATAAAATATTTATGCCTTAATTCAGAAAGCACAATTCATTCCAGATTTCAGCGCACAATGTGAGCACTTTACAGTACTTTACGGTGCTAAGGCAAGGACTGTGGGTGCTTGTGTCCCACCTGAAACAAGATTAGGCAAACATCAATAAACTAGCATTGGCCTGTGGAGAGGGAAATGTTTTTTCCTCTCTTCTCAACAAGCATATCGTAGACTCCTACTGCGGAATATGCCCACAATCCCTCCATTCTTTCCGCTCAGT
Organism: Homo sapiens; assembly: GCF_000001405.40. NCBI lineage: Eukaryota > Metazoa > Chordata > Mammalia > Primates > Hominidae > Homo > Homo sapiens. The sequence continues at coordinate 36,263,360 of NC_000002.12, forward strand.
TCCATTCATGGTTCCCAAAGACACTGCTGATATAGCCATCTGAGGAAGTCAAGCCAATGAATTCATTCCCTGGATGTTTGGACTTGAAACCAGAGAGAGCCAAGGCACTATCCCTTCAGGAGCTAGCAACTATCAGCGCTATGTTTTCCTCCATGTGGCAATAACTGTTAGTGATAAGAGAAATGAATAAACATGAACTATACAGGAAACATTCCTCATTGTCCTTCCACTAAAAGAGGAAAACCACCAGACAGGACTTGTCTATGTAGGTCATTATCTTTCAGCTCTAACAACACCACTGTTGATAAGATCAGAGGTCCAACAGGCCTTCTTCTGATATCTTTCCACTCCTCAGTCAATAGCGCCTCTATTCATCTAACGGTATTAGTCAGGAACCTGAAAGCACCTCAAATATATTTTTCCATCGTTTACTATATCCAGTCTAATTACAAGCCCAGTTGATGGTAAATAATAATTATCTCTGGAATCAAATTCCACCTCGAATGCTACTACTCTGATTCCAGATACATACATCCCTACCTGATTTCAACAATAACCTCATAATTATTCTCCTTAAACCAATAAGCAGAATTAAACCCCATACTTATTTTATTCACACATGCAACCAGAGCGATCTTTTCCAATGTATATCTAAAATCATGGGACCTTCTGCCTCCACCTTATGTTTAAACTCTCCAGTGGCATCTTATACCAAGCTACATAAAGACAAACATGCTTAAAATGGCCTATAGATCCTAATTTGTTGACCCCTGCCTATCTATTAGCACCATCTTGCACATCAACACCACACTGCCCAAACCTATAAATACCAGGGGAATCCTTTTTAATCAATCAACTTTTCCTTATTAGGTGGCTATGGTTCTTGAGTCCCCTTTGCTTCAAAGAGTTGTTTAGCCTGACCAGCATCACTGACTATAAAAGATATTCCATCACTCCTGGTGGTTACCAGGATGGATCTGCCACACAGCCAGCCCCTCTGTTGGTACTATTGCCAAGGTATAGAAAAGAGTATAGTCTGTTTGACAGCTATTATGCTTTGTTTAAATGCAATTTTAAATGCAGGAGTTTCTAAGTGTGTTATTCATGCCAGTGATTTCTGCAAAAAATAAACATTTTGTAAAACTGCTAAAAGACTTCACAAATTGAGCAAAGCAAAGAATTTTTTGCAGGACAAGAGGCAGCAGAATAAATTCTGAGAACTACCTAAAAGAACTACCTAAATTCACTCAGCGATGGGTACTCATTAAAAGTGCAAACTCTTGTGTTTAATCCAATACCTACTATATTAGAATCTCTTGGGGCCAGGAACCTAGAATCTGTATTTTAATAAGTACCTCAAGGTGATACTTTTCCACCTTAAATCAGTGAAAGTCAAATGAGAGAAGAATTCCCAGGATCAGGCCCTCAGGAATATCATTTAGAGGCCATGTAAAGACGATGGAAAGGACGAGAGAGGTTATAAAAAAGCCATCAGAGGCAGAAGATAAGCCAGAAGACAAGTGTCATGGAAGTCAAGAAAATGAGATTTTTTTCAAGGAGAAAGAGGCCAACTTAGATGAATAGTAATGTGTAGACTTGTAAGATGAGAACTTAATGTAACCGGCCTTCAGCTCCCAGCAACTTAAAAGTTTCTGTTTGATTTGGCAACATAGAAATAATTAATGACTTACTGTCACCAATTTCAGTCAAATGCTAGAGATGAAGGTCATAATAAAGTGGGCTAAACACTGATTGAAAAGAAAAACTGAGAACAACCCAGTACCCATCAAAAGGAGAATACACTTGTAAATATGATCAATTCACCCTATGAAATGCTATGTAAAAGTAAAAATGAATTAATTACAGCCACATAGTGCAATGTAGAAAAATCTTGATAGTATGAGTAAAAAATTATGTCTAAGAAGGCTACATTGAAGCAAGTCTTCATGTAATTTCAAAAATAATTAATATTAAATATATATTTTACACATGAATAATTATTTGATAAAATAATTTTAAGGTAAAGGAAATAATAAACATAAAATGTCAAAACTTGTTCCCTTTGATGTCAGTTAGACAGAAGAATGTGTTTTTAAAATCTATTGCACAGCATGATGACTATAATTAACAATAATGTAATGTGTATTTCAAAATTCCTAAGAGAGCAGATTTTAAATGCTCACACACACAAAAAAAAGTATTTGAGAGATAGACATGTTAGTTATCCTGATTTAATCATTCCATAATGTATACACATATCAAAACATCACACTATACCTCATGAATGTATACAATTACTATTTGTCAATTAAAATAAAATAAAAAGGAAAAAAATACTTGGTCCCTCTGAGGGATGGGAATGTAGGGGAATCGTATAAACAAACAGCACATAGAGATAGGTGAACATGTGTTGTTTCATTCCACATGTGTTTATAATATCATTTCTATCACATGTATTTATTATATCATGTAAAAGTAAATACATGGGTTCTGTTTCTGGCATGACAGCCTAAGAAGCTCCATGGAGTCCCCCCTCCCTAATGCTAGAAAAATTGGTAAAAAAAAAAAAAAATTTATGGAAAAAGAGCAACCATTTAAAGTCTCTGGAAAGGATCCTAAGGGCATACATCAAATGAAGAAATATTTGTTCAATAAAATCTACTAAAATGTGGTAAGAACAGCAAGAGCCCGCGGTTATTTCAACCAAGACCTATTCTTCCCTTTCTTTCCGCCCTCTCCTCCCCCGAGCTCTGTGAGATGGAAACTTCTCTCCAGGCTGGGACAGCTGAGAACACAGAGTTTTCTCTCCTACCCAGCTCCCAGTCAGAGGGCTCTGTTCGCAGGAAAGGCAGGGTGTCAGCGTTTCTCATCATTTCCCCAGCTACCTGTTGTTCATTTGAAGTTCAAGGTGAGTATAGCCAAGAGGTGCATGCTCCCTTCTTCTGTCCAGTCCCTACTTATAGGAGAGAGGCTCTATATTGTGTTAGATGCCACTGAAAATACTGAGCCACTAATCACCCTTACCCTGGTTCAGAGGTAGAGTTCATACACAGGGAGAGGCAAACCAAGAAGACTTGAGACCTCTGTCTGCCTCCAATGAGTGCTCAGCTCCTAAAGTGAGAGTGTGACTCAAAGAGAAGCACACCATTGTCCCCCGACTCCAGAGATTTTACCTAAGGGGAGAGAGCAGGCAGAAAAACACATATCCCCTAGCCTCTTTCCCATCAACAAAAAAACTGTCTTCATTATCAAGAGAGTGTGGAAAAATTCAGGCCTAAAAGCACCCTAAGAAACAGTGGAAGTTGTGGTGAAAGGCAACTGGGAGGAGACTGGCAGACGCATTGTACATACAGGCTACGCTGTCAGCTAGCTAGTTTGCCTAAGAGAACCAAGGAAAGAGACAGCTGGGAGGAGCCCTCTTGTGACAAACAATAACAACAACAGCAACAACCTTCAAACATTGAATTCAGAAACTATCCCTTTAAAGGTGATCAAATTTGATTGGGTAAGTCTGTGACACAGTTTATACCCAGGGCATTGTTGAAAACATGAATCAACTACCAAAATTACTGTCATCCCAGAGTGGCTATGACCACACCCAAGCCTGAAGAGCAACATGAAAGGCTTTGGACTGCATGGGAAGAATAGATGCCACTATAGTAATACAGTCAGTCAGTTAAATTTAAAAAAAAGAAACAAAAGAACAATAACAAGCCCCATAAGGGGGTGACCAGTGCTGAGTTGCTATATTATATAAAATGTCCAGATTCAGCAAAAAAAAAAAAATATGAGACATGCAAAGAAACAGGAAAACGTGACCTACACACTGGGAAAAAATCAGGCAAAAGAAACTGCCTGTTGAGAGGAACCAGATGTTAAGTTTAACAGATAAAGTCTTAAAAGAAGCCATTGTGAATAACTTCAAAGAACTAAAAGAAACCACAATTAAACAAGTAAAGAAATGTGTAATCACAAGGTCACATCAAATAAAGAATGTCAATAAAGATGTAACAATTACTAGGAAGGAGGAGGAAGAGGAAGAGGGGAGGGGGGAAGTCAGAATCCTGGAGTTGAAAAACACAACTGAAATGAAAAATTTATGAGAGAGGCTCAATAGTATATTTGAACTGGCGGAAGAAAGAATTAGAAACCTTGAAGATAGATTGATAAAAATTATGCAATTCAAGGAAAAAAGAAGAAATGAAAACAGCTTCAGAAAAGTATGAGATATTAAGTCATCAACACATACATAATGGGAGTACTAGAAGGATTACTACTAAACTATAGTAATCAAGATAAAATGGTGTTGATATAAGAATAAGCAATGGAATTTAGAGTCCAGAAATAAATCCTCACATTTATTGATTTTTTTTCACAAGGCTACCAAGACAATTCACTGGGCAAAAGAACAGTTTTTTCAACAAATGGTGCTGACACAACTGGATAGCAACATGGAAAATAATAAGTTAGACCCCTAACTCATACCATATATAAAAATTAACTCAAATTAGATCAAAGACCTAATTACAGGAGCTAAACTGTAAAACTCTTAGAAGACATAAAAGTAAATCTTTATGACCTCAGGTTTCACAATAGACTCCTAGGTATAACAGCAAAACCTAAATAGCAAATGAAAAATAGATAATTTGCACCTCATTAAGATTTAAAACATTTGTGCTTCGAAGAACACTATCAACAAAGTGAAAAAACAACCCACAGAATAGAAGAAAATCACTGATCACAAATCACCATAAAATACATGATAATAATGAAATTGAAATATTGCAAGAATTACCAAAATGTGATACAGGGACATGAAGTGAGTGCACGCTGTTAGAAAAATTGTGCCAATAGACTTGCTCAATGCAGGGTTGCTACAAACCTTCAATTAAAAAAATAAAAAGCAGTATCTGTGAAGCTCAATAAAGCAAAAATGAGGTATGTCTATATTTGCTTACTGTTCCAACCTTTAAAAGTATTAACTTATTTAATCCTCAAAACAATCCTATGAGGTAGGTATAATTAATTTCCCAATTTTTCAGATAAGAAAAAATGAGGCTTACATTAAATAAACTGCCTAACATCACAAAACTAATATTTGGAGGAGCCACCTCCCAAACAAAGGCAAAAGATGCAAATAAATCATTTAACCTAATCTTAGTATTATTACCTTAAATCATAGACTTATTTATAATAGTCTGTTAATCTGTTTTTTATTTCGAATAATATTCTAAATGAATACTTCATGTGTAATTATTTGTTGTTTTTGTACTTGTAATTCTCAATTAGAAAGTTATTTTACTAGATAAAGCAAAACTTGAATGGTGTACATCTATCTCTCTGACCATTTAGACTATAAAGCAATAGTCCACATATCACCCTCCTCAGGTTGATTAAAATGTGTATTTGTGTATGTTTAAATGTATTCATAAATACTTCTCTTATTCTACAAAGATTTAAAATGACTTCCGGGAAAGAAAATAAAAAATATCAATATATGAGTTAAAAATGTCAAGACAAAAAAATCTAAATTAGATTAAAAGATCAAGCCTCCAGATAGAAGCCTCTGGGCTTCTTGCAGGAGTGACTTTGAGCAGAGCCATGATGTATACATGAACCATTAAGAAGCACATTCTCAGAGTAAACAGGGGTGCACAATATGAAATCTCATACTGATCACATATGCCAGTGTGATTGCAGGGTTTATTTTTAGGAGTTTCATTTGGGGATCTTTTTCCAAACTTCGTGAGGCAGTTTTTCAGTTGTTTCTCATTGACCACTGATAGCTGGATGTGCCATTTTAAGCTTGATGCTAGATATATCAAGTTTACTTTTCTGAGTGTCTTTATAAAATCAATTATGACAGTATCATTTCTCTGATTTAATATGCTTCTCAAAACATTTTTTCTTTATTTTGGCACATTTTTTCTACTGTTTATTATCATGGGGAAATGAATCTGGAGAGCATTTTACACAAAATTGTCTGGTTTCTGGAACTCAATACATTTTATAGTGCTTGAAACATTTCATTGTCCGTGCTGGTCATTTTGCTTTCCTCAAACATAAACTTATATTGATTCATGATATACGATGCTCCTTTTTCATTATTCCAGCTAGGTGCACTTTCAGATTCTTTTTTCCCCAAAGTTTACTCTTCACAAAAGCATTAAATATAGCATGAGATGGAGTTCTGTGACTTTGTCACAAAAGTAATAATTTTCAGCTAAGGATGCAGTTTCAGTTTTTATTATAGTCCACATTCTGAATATTATATTTGCAGATTTGTGTCAACTTTCCCCACGTCTTTTCTCAAGAAATATATTACACTAATGTTGGCAACTTATAAATCTAGAATTATTATGTGTAAAAAATATTCTGAAGAAAAGAGATACTGGTACCTAATGCTATCCTTAAATGGGAACATAATGGAACTATACAAATATTAGTCAATTAAAATTTAAACCTGAAGCTGGAGAACCAAGTGACAAGGGTAAGAAAGATACTATTTTTCCCAGGAAACCAAATAACTTGACTTTAGGTCAACCTTGTGGAATGCAGTCAGGAAAAACAAAATAAGAAATGAGATGCAACTGGCACGAAGACACTGCAGGAAAAAAAAAAAGTGGCTCAGTAACTCCAGAGTAAGAAGAGGATACAGGTACACATTGCCCCTTTATTACATGGAAAGAAAAGCAATAATAGCAAATACCTAAGAGCCATAAGTTTAAAATTGTTTTGTTGAGGATTTTTTTTTCCAAACTGAGTCAAGCCTCACCGCTGAGATGAAAAACTTAGAAAAATGGCTAGTACCTTGAAGAAACTATCTTAAGTGATATCAATATTGTGAATTCCTATTGTACTTATTGTCTAGATACGCTAATTTAACAAAAACATATATTGTCCTGATTTTTATCTGATTGTTTCATACTTAAACACACATACTTACACCTGTATGTTAGTATATTCTAATTTGATTATAAATTTCTTGAGTGGGGAAATGATTTTATACTGATTTGACATATACCAGTTTTCAACTCAGAACAAAGAAGATAGCAGATAGTCCAAAATATTTGTTAAATTGAATTATGATGGGTAAAACATCTGATTAAATGTATGAAAAATGCCTTTCAGGAGATCTGACTTTCAGAAATGTAAAATATAATACACTGTAGCAGCTTCTATTTAATCTCGATTATTCTGATGATGTCTTAGATATATATTTTCATTATAAACTTAAGGGCTTTTAGTTTTTAATTTTTTGTTAAATATGAGGGAAAACGCAGAAAGATTTAGTCAAAGAGGGACTTTTCATTGAAAAATTGTAGACAATCAGTTTGGATTGTTCATAATTTTTAAAAAATCAGCATTCATTGTATACCTCATACAACCAGTGGACATAAAATGATTCAAGTACAGAAACAAGAGCTGCTATACCCAGAAAAGGATTTTAACTGCATTTCTCAAGGGGAGCAATGGCAATCATTCGCTTTCAGCTCTGACCCAACCTAGGAGTTCCTGTTCCATCAAAAAAGCCTCCCCAGCCCGCTAGGCAGGCAGAATGCCGATCATGAAGAACACAAAGACAGCATGCAGAGAGCTCAGAAACAGAGCTTCAAGATCTGAAAACCCAAAAGGAAGTCACTCCCAGGGTGGTAAATTATCAATACTAGAGACCAGCAGATAACAAAAAGAAATCACAGAAGAGCTGCATCCTTTCGACAGGTTAGTGAGCAGTATATTTATAATGTAGATTTAAAGCTACCGTATACCAATGGCCTGATCTTTTTTTTCTTTTTTGTGATTAGTAATAAGGGCCTGGATCTAGAGGTGGGTATAGCCCCATGAAAGACAGCACAAGACAAGGATGGTTTAAGACATACTGAAGATTATTCTAGACCAGGGCCAGCTAAAACAAAGACACAAATTGAGCCCAGCCAGAAAACAAACAAAAATATTAGTTACAAGATATTATTGTTCATCATATACAAGTATCCTGAAGTGGAGGTATTGTAGTGTGGTGGACTGAGTGCACTGAGCAGAGAGAGTTGGCTCAGATCCTGGCTCTGGTGCTTTCTATTTGATCCTGGAAACAGGAAACTAACCATCCTGTGTCTCAGTAGCGCTTACTTCACATGCTGTGAAAATTACATGCAGTTATTTGAAAGCCCATACTCTGGTAAGTGGACAGCAAGTAGTACCTGTTTTTATTATGTTCTTTATCCTGTTGTTATAGTTATTCTTCTTTTGAGACAAATGAATAGGATTTTGTTCATGGTTCTCATTCTCTAGTGTCACTTCAGTTACTTTCAAATATGCCTAAGTTTTCTTTGTAAATCCAGAGTTACAGTTACATCTCCAAAGTCAAGAAGCAAAATGAGTAAGTAAATCCTACTCCATAGAGGTGGCCTAACAAACCAGTGCCTGTTCTGGGATGCCATTGAAAATAATGGCAGGGGTTTTCACTATTTTTCTCAGCCTTTGTCTTGATAATTGTAAGAGTCCAGGAGGCCAGTGATGATTATTGGAAGGCATAGCAAAAGCACCACTGTTTTATTACAATTTTTAGATCCAAGAACATTAGACATCAGAATCTTTAAAATACCCTGTGTAGAGGGTTCAATATAAACTACGTAGTAAATGCTATTTCATCATTGAAGAAAGAAGGAACAGGAAATTATACAGGTCAATCAACTTCAAAATAATCATGTTAATTATTAAATAAAATAATGCGCTTGTTTCTCTTCAAATGATACTAAATAAAGCTAAATCCTAGACTCTATAGTAAACAGCATAATGTGAATTACAGCAAAACACTGAAGATTCAGATTTGACACTTTTAAGCCTCTAATTGACATACCATCATTTGATAAGTGAAGTTGCTCAATTACTGTTACTTCCTTTGAACTGGTGCTACTTTAGAAGACACAATTATCAGAAACGTTTGACTGTCACTGTCACTAAGTATGTGTTATTCACTTTTGAGAAGGGGAGTTAGAAGATCTGGAGCAAAAATGCCAGACAGTCAGCATCACTGAACCCCTTGCACCTCTACACTTTGCCCTCACCTGCTTCCACCTCACTGTCTCCTTCCAGAAGGGAGTGATGTTCCTGCAATGAGTCATTTGGGCTCAGTGCATTGCAACCCTGAACTCTTGGAAGACACTTTTCTCTTCTTGATCTGTTTGGCTTAATATGCGCATCAAAAATGAAATAAAATAAAACAAAAATAAAGAAGTAATATAAGGCCCAAGAGTAAATACTAGACCACAGCTATCATAAAGAAGAGTTCAGCCAGGCACGGTTGCTCACTCCTGTAATCTTAGCACTTTGGGAGGCCGAGGCGGGCGGATCGCTGGAGCTCAGGAGTTTGAGACCAGCCTGGCCAACATGGCGAAACACCAGCTTTACAAAAAATATAACAAAAAAAAAAAAATTAGCCTGGTATGGTGGCACACGCCTCTAGTCCCACATGCTCAGGAGGTTGAGGAGGGAGAATCACTTAAGCCCAGAAGGTCAAGGCTGCAGTGAGCCATGATCGCACCACTGCACTCCAGCCTGGGCAACAGAACAAGATCCCATCTCAAAAAAAAAAAAAACAGTTATGTTTTCTACTGTGTGTACATGTGTGTGTGTCAAGAGGGAAGATTCTGCTGGTGATTTAACTACTCTCTTTAAGTACTATTCATGCAGCTATGTTCCCATAGAACATTCTACTCTGGCTTCAAATTTGTTTACACATAAAAATATGTCTTCAGATTTAATTTGTGATGTATTCTAATAAGCATATATCGAAAGAATCACCTGGTTATATGCCAGTGGAGTGATTACTTACTGCCCAGTTACTTGCACAGGGCCACATTTTTCAGTTCCTGGAAATAGAGTTGGCAACATTACCATTTTTTAGAATTACCTATTTGCCCAAAATAGTGTATTTTTACTATGCCAATTGTAATTTGATAGAGAAAACGACATTTGGTTTCAGAATTTCTCAAATCTAGCAAAGATTTCAAACACTTCTAACAACAAGTTTAAGAACAAGAAAAAAAATGACTAAAATAACTTACTTCCACACTTTCCACAGGTTTCTTGCAGAAGTTAGAACTAAGAAGACTTTTCCTTAAAAACTATTCGTTTGAAAAGTTTGAACGACTGGATGAAAATGATTGACAGAATGTTTCCTTCAAAATAAGTGACTGCCACATATAGCTCAGTGCCATTCACAGGGAAAGCCCTTAATAAATGCCTGTTGATGGATGTATATATTTTAAGTACATATTCCATTAGCATCACTGTTCTACATTCTTTGTACCATAACATTCCAATTAAACATGAAGTGGCAGTATTTTGCAATTGTGGCTTCAGGTTCAATCATTTAGCCAGTCGACAAACATTTATTAAGTTCCTGCTACGCATTTATTTATTCACTCAATGCCTGCAGTACGCCAGGCACTGGCCTTAGCTTGGGAGACTCAACAGTGTATCCAATTGAAAGTTTCCATTTCCTCCAGAAATTTGCAGACTGCTGATGACAGAGAAGAAATAAACAAGGAAGCAAATAAATACATTTGTAAGACTATTCAAGTATTGCTAAGTGCATAAAACCGAATAATGAGATACAGTTTGACTTGAAGGAGAGGGAAGACCCACTTTAGGCATCAAAGACAGAAAAAGTTTCTCTGAGAAATTGGCTTCTGAAATCAATATAGTTAGCCATTCAAATACTTAGAGAAAGAAATTTCCAGGTAGACAGAAGAATTGGGGTAAAGGCATGGAAATGAGAATGATTTTAGTTACATCAAGTAACAAAAAATATATAAATGGCTGAAGAAAATGATAAGTATTTTGATTTCATCTTAACTGCAATGAGAAGACATCTGAGGATGCTCTTAAGTCCAGTTTATTAAAGAATCCTTTGCCCACACACACAAAGCACTCACTTTAAGGATACAGTTAATAAGTTTTAGCAAATGTATAGAGTCAGGTAACCAACACCCCACCATCATAATTAAAATATAGAATATTTCCATCACTCTAAAAAGTTGCCTCATGCCCTTTTGCAGTCAATCACAAGCCACTGGAAAACATTATAATTCTGTCATATAAATGGAATCATAAAGAATGTCAAATAAATAAAATCTTACAGTATACAGTATGCAATCTTCTGGCTTCTTTTACTTAGCATAATGCTTCTGAGATTTGTCCGTCTCATTGCATGTTGATTTTGAGATTCTACTGGATACCTAACAAGCAGTGTTGATTCAGCAGCTAAGTATAGAAGACTACACAAAAGACAACAAGTATTGACAATGATGTGGAGAAAAGGAAACCCATGTTGGTGGGAAGTAAATTGGTACAGCTATTACAGAAAACAATATGGAGGCTCCTCAAATGATTAATAGAACCATTCTATGATCCAGCAATTCCATTTCTGGTTCTATAGCCAAAGGAAATGAAATCAGTATCTTGAAGAGATATCTACACCCCCATGTTCATTGCAACATTATTCACAATAGCCAAGATACAAAGTCAACCTAAGTGTTCATCAATGGATGAAAGAATAAAGAAAATGGGTGTATATACACAATGGAATATTATTCAGCCTCAAGAAAGAAGGAAATTCTGCCACTGGCAACAAAATGGGTGAACCTAGAGGACATTATGCTAAGTGAAATAAGCCAAGCACAGAGGGACAGATATTGCAAGTTCTCCTTCATATGTGTAACGTAAAAAGTTGAACTTATGGAAACAGAATAGAACATTTACATAAGTTAAACTTATAGAAACAGCATTACCAGGGGCTGGGAGGTGAGAGAAATGGGGAGATGTTGATTTTATATATATATATAAAATTTTTATTTGACTTTAATAAAGCTGGGAGAAAAAAGTATATCCAGCAGGTCCTCAAATATGTCTTTTCATCCAATGTTGTTTCATTTTAAAATTAATGAGAAAAAAATGTGATTCCCAGCCAGGGCCACTGTGTGTGTGGAGATTGCATGTTCTCCCCATTTCTGCATGGGTTTTCTCTGGGTACTCCAGTTGCCACCTACATCCCAAAGATGTGCATGGCAGGTGAATCGGCGTATCTCTATGGTCCCAAGTCTGAGTGAGTGAGTGTGTGTGTGTTTGAGTGTGCCCTGCAATGGAAGGGCAGCTGTCCAGGTTTCGCTCCCATCTTGCACCTGGAGCTGCTGGGATAGGATCCAGCCACCAGCGATCCTCAACTGGAATAAGTGGGTAAATAATTATCTTACTTGTCTTATTAATCTTTCTGTAATGTATGTATAGCTCATATTTATCTCAATACTTAATATTAGAAGTGTCTTGGTCTTTATTTGGAAGTTTGGTGATGGTTTTGTGACCAGAAATATGTCATAGGAACTTAACTCTTGTTTACACCAATTAACTTATGGTAAAATTATTTTCATTAGGCATTGTTTTGCTTAAAGCTGCACTTTCCAAGAACCTATTGACAATGTTAAGTGAGGGCTTTCTGTGCAAGTCTGGAGTTCAAGGCAAAGATCAGATCAGGAGAAAAAATCCTGAAGTCTAGATAGTATTTAAAACCATGGGATTAGGTGATATCACCAAACCACATCTAGATAGTATTTAAAACCATGAGGTTAGGTGATATCACCAAAGGAAAAAAATGAAAGATCAAGCCCTGGGGTCCTACACATGTTAAAAAGAGGTGAAGGAGGCAGAGATTAAGGAAAAATATCCAGTGAAGATGAAAGAAGGTAAGTAAGAAGCCCAAAGAAGGCGGCATTTCAAAAAGGAGAGGATGGTTAACTGTGCCAGGTATGAAGTAGAATGAGAACTTGCCATTGATTTGTCAAGGTAGAAATCACTGATTACCTTAATAAGTGCAGTGTGAATGGCCCTGTGCCAGACATTGAAAAATGCTTGGCAAAACTATAGAGTCAGTACAAAGATCGGTGGTTGCCAGGAATTATAGAGAGGGAAAATCAACAGGTGGAGTACAGAAAATTTTTAAGACAGTAAAAACACTCTATGATACTATAATGGTGGATACATGTCATCGTACATTTGTCCAAGCTCATAGAACATACAACAGAAAGAGTGATCCTTAATGTGAACTATAGACTTTGAGTGACAATGATGTGTCAATGTAGGTTCATCAGTTATAATAACTGTACCATTCTGGTGGGGATATTGATAATGCAGAAGACTGTGAATAATGGGGAGAAGTGGGGCAGGGGGTATATGGGAAATCTCTGTACCTTCCTCTAAATCTTGCTGTGAACCTAAATTTGCTCTGAAATAAATAGCACCTTTAGTTTTTAAAAAGTGCTTGGAATGCCACTGTGAATAAAGCAGAAGTAATAACACCCAGCCTCTTGGAAATTGCAGTCTAATATGTGTGCCTTCAGTTTGGTTCTTTATTAACTGCATACAGCAACTGGGAATTGAACATGTAACTAACTATTCAGCAGAAGAGTTTAGAACTCTGGAGAAAATTTGAATTCTTTGGTTCTTCCTCTTTTCCCCGCAACAAAAATTTTAATACAATTTCACTAAGGAAAATGGAACATTATCATCTTAATGCTAATCATGGTCGGGTGGTAGATAATCATTTTCCTTATCTGATATTTAGAGATATTTATCCTTTTATGAATTAATAATTCAGAATGTGTTTGAAGACATAACCAATTAGCTGTAGTAATTTGCATTTTAATGTTTTTTCATTAGTTTCCTAAGTCCTTTTCCCTGGTTTCTGTAACAAAAATGCTATCTTTCAAAGGTGAATAGCTTTTTTGTATTTGCTTGGTAATGAGCTTTCTTTAATTATCATTTGGCCAATTTTATAGATTTCAAAGAAAATATAGCTATTAGCGTTGAAAGACTGGCAAGCCCATGTGTATTAGCCAGGTTCTCTAGAGAAACAGGACCAACAGGATATATGTAAAGAGATTTGTAATAAAGAATTGACTCATGTGGTTATGGAGGCAGGCAAGTCCCAAGATCTTCAGGGTGAGTCAGCAAGCTGGAGACTGACTCAGGAGAGTCGATGGTGTTTCAGCCTGTCTGAAAGCCTGAGAACCAAGAAAGCCAATGATATAGTTCTTAGCAGCAGCAGGCTCAAGACCGAGGAAAAGCCAGTATTTCATTTTGAGTCTAAAGGCAGGAAAATAAAAAAAATTGATACCCTAGTTTGAAGGTGTCAGACAGGAATAATTCTGTCTTGTTTGAGGGAGGGTCAGCCTTCTCAAACTAGTCAAGCCTTCAACTGATTAGATGAGGCCCACTCACATTAGGGAGGACAATCTGCTTTACTCAGTCTACCAATTCCAGGGTTAATCTCATCCAAAAACACCCTCAAAGAAACACCCAGAATAATGTCTGACCAAATAGCTGAGCATCTCATGACCCAATCAAACTAACATAAAATTAACCATCACACTGTGTGATACTTTCATTCTTTAGCTTGGTGCCAGAATTCTTTTTCCATTTAAATGTAATCAGTAGATTTTGTTATTTGTTGTTGTTTCTAGATATTGTGGTGGTTGTTATTTTATTGCTTTTGCTAAGCTTTTATGTGAATTGAACACGGACCAATATTCACCAAGCATCAACTATGAACTCCACAGAGTGCTGTATACTTAACTTATTTAATCCAAACCTCACTGGTATATTCCCTACAGGGCATTTCAGGAAGACAAATGACAAATGAGCATAAGACACCACACAAGTGAAACCATGCATCATAAAATTATTTCTTCCACCAAATGCACACAGATTTTTATTCTCAGGCCTGACTCACCAAGGGCAAAAAGGACTGAGATAGAGATGTGTGTGGTATAGTATAAATCTAACTGACAAGCTTTTAAAACATAAGTCCATTATTGTCATTAATAAATGTTAGTTAAGTACACTGGAAACACCATTAACCATCTGTGGTTTAATTGTTAATTGTTCAATAAGCAAACTTTCACTCTGAGTGGTATCTTTAAGCCATGCAGGGGTTTCCTCTAATCACCTGGTTTATGAAAACTCGTGAAAGTAGGTTGTAAATATTTATAGATTTATGTCAACAAAATAAGTCTCATGGTTCTCTACAGCAGCATAAAGGAAAAGAAGAGAAACAACATATAAACTAAAATAAAAACTGAAAAGAATACATCCTTCACAAACATTAACTCAAAATGGAAGGTAGGCCTAATTATAAATCACAAAACTATAAAACGCTTAGAAGATAACATAGGAGAAAACCTAGGTAACCCTGGATATGGTAATGACCTTTTAGATACAGCACAAAGGTACAATCCATGAAAAAAATAACTGATAAGCAGGACTTATTAAAATGTAAAACTTCTGCTCTGCAAAACACATAATCTAGAGAATGAGAAAACAGCCACCAGCTGGGAGAAAATATTTGCAAAACACATATCTGATAAATAACTATTATCCAAAATATACAAAGAATTCATAAACTCAACAATAAGAAAACAAACAATCCAATTAAAAATGGGTTAAAGATCCTGAACAGACACCTCACCAAATACGATGTACAGATGGCAAATAAGCTTATGAAAACATGCCTCACAGCATATGTCATCAGGGAGACACAAATTAAAACAACGAGATATCCCTATACACCTATTAGAATGGCCAAAATTCAAAACACTGATAACACCAAATGCTGTTGAGGATGTGGAACAACAGAAACTCTCATTCATTGCTGATGGAAGTAGAAAATGATATGGCCACTTTGGAAGACAGTTTGGTGGCTTCTCCCAAAACTAATCGAATTCATGTTGCGAGAAGTCAGGGACCCCGAACGGAGGGACCTGCTGAAGCCCTGAAGCCGTGACAGAAAAACATAAATTGTGAAGATTTCATGGACATTTATTACTTCCCCAATCAATACCCTTATAACTTCCTGTGCCTGTCTTTACTTTAATCTCTTAATCCCATGATCTTTGTAAGCTGAGGACGTATGTCCCTCAGGACCCTGTCATGATTGCGTTAACTGCACAAATTGTTCATAAAGCATGTGTGTTTGAACAATATGAAATCTAGGCACCTTGAAAAAAGAACAAGATAACAGCAATATTCAGGGAACAAGGGAGATAACCATTAGGTCTGACTGCCTGGGAGCCAGGCAGGACAGAGCCATATTTCTCTTATTACCAAAAACGGGTAAGAGAAATATCACTGAATCCGTTCCCCAGTAAGGAATATTAATAATTAACAGCCCTGGGAAAAGAATGCATTCCCGGGGGGGCCTCTAAAATGGCCGCTCTGGGGGGTGCCTGCCTTATGCAGTTGCAGATAAGGGATGAAACACGCCCTGGCCTCCTACAGCGCTCCCAGGCTTGCTAGGATTAGGAAATTCCAGCCTGGCGAATTCTAGTCAGACCAGTTCTCTGCTCTTGAAACCTGTTTCCTGCTAAGATGTTTATCAATGACAATGTGTGCCCAGTGGGACATGGACCTTCATTAGTAATTCTAGTTTCACCCTGGCCTTATGACCTTGCCCTGCCCATTTGCCTTGTGATATTTTGTTGCCCTTGAAGTATGTGATCTCTGTGACCCACACCCTATTCGTACACTCCCTCCCCTTTGAAAATTACTAATAAAAACTTGCTGGTTTTATGGTTCAGGGGGCATCAGGGAACCTGCTGACATGTGATGTCTCCCCCAGACACCCAACTTTAAAATTTCTCTCTTTTGTACTCTTTCCCTTTATTTCTCAGGCCGGCTGACACTTAGGAAAATAGAAAAAGAACCTACGTTGAAATACTGGGGGCTGGTTCCCCCGATACTTACCACGTGATCTAGCAATGATGCTCATTGATATTGACCCAAAGGAGCTAAAAAAATTATGTCCACATAAAAACTTGCACGCAGATGTTTATAGCAGTTTTATTCACAATTGCTGTATTAGTCCGTTTTCATGAGGCTGATAAAGACATACCAGAGACTGAGTAATTTATACAAGAAAAAGGTTTAATGTGCTTGCAGTTCCACGTGTCTGGGGAAGCCTCACAATCATGGCAGAAGGCAAGGAGGAGCAAGTCACATATTACATGGATGGCAGCAGGCAAAGAGAGAGAGCCCTTGTGCAGGCAAATTCCCATTTTTAAAACCATCAGATATTGTGAGACTTATTCACTATCACAAAAACAGTACGGGAAAGATCTGCCTCCATGATTCAATTACCTCCCACCAGGTTCCTCCCACGAAACGTGGGAATTTTAGGGGTACAATTCAAGATGAGATTTGGGTGAGGACACAGCCAAACCATATCATTCCACTCGGCCTCTCCCAAATCTCATGTCCTCACATTTCAAAACCAATCATGCCTGCCCAACAGTCCCCCAAAGTCTTAACTCATTTCAGCATTAACTCAAAAGTTCACAGTCCAAAGTCTCATCTGAGAAAAAGCAAGTCCCTTTTGCCTATGAGCCTGTAAAATCAAAGGCAAGATACAATGGGGGTACAGGCATTGGGTAAACACAGCCTGTGCCAAATGGGAGAAATTGGTCAAAACAAAGAGACCACAGGCCCCATACAAGTCTGAAATCCAGCAGGGCAGTCAAATCTTAAAGCACCAAAATGATCTCCTTTGACTCCATGTCTCACATCCAGGTCATGCTGTTGCAAGAGGTGGGTTCCCTTGTTCTTGGGCAGCTCTGCCCCTGTGGCACTTCAGCCTCCCGAGTAGCTGGGATTACAGGCATGCACCACCATGCCCAGCTAATTTGTGTGTTTTTAGTAGAGACAGGGTTTCACCATGTTGGCCAAGCTGGTCTCAAACTCCTGGCCTCAAGTGATCCACCTGCCTTGGCCTCCCAAAGGGCTGGGTTTATAGGTGTGAGCCACCATGCCTGGCCAATGTTTGGCTTTCTTAGACTTCCCCTTCTTAACACACACACTACTCTAAATACTAGGTCTTTAATTCCATAAATGCCCCCCACAGATCTGTAACCAACAGTCTTGCCACAATAACAAACAGCACCAAAATCTCAGTTGCCTGATACACACAAAGGTCTGATGCATGTCTGGATGATATCCTCAATCCAAGTGCTCAAAGATGGCTCAGGGATCTGCCTGCTTCCACCTTATGATACTCCCTCTCACACATTCCAAGACTCACCACAGCAGGGGAAGAGAACATGGGAGGGTTCCATGCCACAAATGAAATGCTTCAGCATAGAAGCCACAGTCATCTCACTATCCAAAGGCCAGAACCCACTGCATGGGTGGCAGGGAAGTGTCCTTCTCTCATGTGCCCAGAAGAGGAACATCAGAAATGGGTGGGCACTGGAAGTTTTGATATACTAGTCTTAACTAAACAGTGTCCAAGCTCTCAACCCTTCTTACTCTGCAAAATCTGCCCAGAATCTGAATTGTAAAGGTGACAAAAACTTTACATTCTCACACTTCTGTCCCCTCTTGATATAGTTAGCAATTTAAGTAAGAAGAAAGGCCTTATCCTGGGTCCTCTCATGACATCAGAGAGGACATCTTTGATCATTTGTATGATTTTTTCCATGCCATGACTCTTCTACTCTAAGTTGAACTCTTTTCTTCTCAACTTCAGACTCATATCAAATGTCTGCTTGATAGCTCCACTTGTGTGGCTAATAAATATCTCAAACCAATGTGTCCCAAACTGAACTCCTTAGTTTTATGCAAAAATCTGCTCCACAAATCTCAATTGATGGTAACTCCATTTTTCTAGTTTCTCAGGCCAAAATCTTGGTGTTATCCCTGATTCCTCTCTATCACACCCCACATCCAATCCATCAGGAAATTCTTTTGGCTCTAACTTCAAAATATATTCATGGCTGACATAAACTGACCAAGTCATCATTTTGGTGTTTTAGTGCCTCTTCCACAAGGGAGACTCTCTGGTATATATCAACACATGATGCAAATATCTTCACACTCTTGCCTCCTTCCATACATTCATCCACGAGCCTCTTCCCCAGACCTCTTTGTCCCCAATCTGCTAATCTCGCTCCTTCCAGAACATGATCAACAAGCTAAGTCATTTACCACTGCCCATCAGTCCACATTCATTCTTCCCTTGGGCAATTTCTCTTCCTACACAAAATGAATTACCAAGTATAAAGCCCAAAATTGTGCCCACTGGGAAATTTACCTTCCCCACTGTCTTTCAGGGACACTTGGAATGGGGCTGCAATGCAGCAGCAATGTTGACATTTACAAACATGCCAGGACAACCCATCCATGAACCAAGCTTGGATTTTTCTCACCTGTCAGCTGGTCATAAGAAACCCCATGAGACCTAGATGTGAACAAGAGAGAAGGCAATGGTGCAACTGTGATGGGTGGCATGGGAATTTGGGTTTCTGTTCTTGCAACCTACCTGTACTCTCTTCCTTCCGAAGCCTGATACCAGATGTACTCCTTTCATACTATGACAGATGATTCATGAATCCAACTTGGTGAGTCTAACGGTACCTAGCACATGATAGGAATTTCTAGCCTACCACTTTCTGTCTTCTGCTAGGGTCATAACATGACAAGATCTGTTTTCCAAGTGATATGTGGTTCTCTGTTGCAGAGAGCATGCACTTGCTCCAGAAGACTAGGGATCTACTCCACACTCTCCTGTTGGAGCTTGGCACTGCCTTCAGTGCAGCATCCTTGTCTCCCACAGATATCTCTAATACTCTGAGGTCTTCCAGATCATTTTGCCCAAGCAACATGTCTGCTTGTGCCACAGCCTGGATGTGCTATGGAGAACTTTCTTGCTCTGGACCCCACTCAAAATTAACTGTTTTTCCCATCACCCCATAAAATGGTTGGAGTAGTATCTACAAGTGCAAAATATGCTGCCTCCAAAACCTGAGGAGGCTTTCCAAGTTTTATACTGCTTCCTTAGTTATTTGGTGAACCCCTGAATCTGTAGAGTTTAACTCCCACTCTCTGAAACACAACCATCTTACTAAGGCATCCAGAGTGCCTGCTACTTGTAGCTCCTGTGATGGTTAATTTTATAGGTCAACTTGAGTGGGTGCAAGACTGCCCAGATATTTGATTAGAAAATATTCTGAGTATGCCTGTGAGGATGTTTCTGGGTGATATCAACTTTTAACTCAGTAAACTGAATAAAGCAGATTGGCCTCCCCAGTGTGTGTGGACCTCATCCAATCTGTTGAAGGACTGAATAGAACATAAAGGCTGAGTAAGGGAGAATTTGTTCTCTCTGCCTGATTGCCTTCACGTTGGAACTTTGGTCTTCTCCTGCCTTTGGACTTGTACCCAGACTTGAACTATACCACCGGCTCTTCTGGGTCTATGGCTTGCTGCAGATCAAGGGGTTTCTCAGCCTTCATAATCACTTGAACCAATTCCAGTCAATCAGTCAGTCAATTAAACCTATTGGTTCTGTTTCTCTGGAGAACCCTGACTAATACGAGGGTCTACTCTAAACTTACAAGTATTGTACACTCCAAGAAACACTTATAATGGTACATTTTTTTTAATGTCAGGTCAAGAAAGAGACCATGAAAGAAAGGAAAATGGTGTTCTCTTACTTTTTAAACAAGAATTCCACTTTTTACAACTTTTAAGTTCAAGGGTCCATGTGCAGGTTACACAGGTAAACTTGTGTCATGGGAGTTTGTTGTACAGATTATTTCATCACCCAGGTGTTAAGCCTAATATCTATTAGTTATTTTTCCTGATCCTCTCCCTCTTCCCATCTCCGCCCTCCAAAAGGCTCTAGTGTGTGTGATTCCCTTCTATGTGTCCATGTGTTCTCATCATTTAGCTTCCATTTATAAGTGAGAACATGCAGTATTTGGTTTTCTGTTCCCGCATTAGTTTGTTAAGGATAATGGCCTTCAGCTCCATCCATTTCCCTGCAAAGAACGTGGTCTCATTCTTTTTAATGGCTGTATAGTATTCCATGGTGTATATGTACCACATTTTGTTAATCCAATCTGTCATTGATGGATTTAGGTTGACTCCATGTCTTTGCTCCTGTGAATAGCGCTGCAATGAACATACACATGTATGTGTCTTTATAACAGAATAATTTATATTCCTTTGGAATCCCACATTTTTTATTTGCACCAAACTCTGCCACTAGATTCTTCATTTCTGAAATAGTATCTCCTATTGTCAGCCCACAGAAGAAGGCAAGCTTCTTAGCAATGCTGATGTCCCCTCTGCATGGTGTATCCCTTATGACCTTGGCAGAGTGTTTCCTCCCAAGGAAGACAGTCAGCTGGCAAGTGTTCAAGTCTCCCATATTAGAGTACTCTTTACATGCCTGCTTCTCTCTACTCATTTTTCCTTTTCTCCACAGTCTGCCCTGGCTGTTCTGACATCTCTACTTCTTTTCATGTGGCCCATCACTTTTTCCAAGCCTCCTGATCTATCCCAGTGATACATTAGAAATCATCTTCTGGGTTCCTTTCCACGGTGCTAAATGCTGTATCACAAGAACATGCCCCCATATTGACAATTCTTCATTACCCACCTTTAGTCTCCCCCCTTGATCCAGAACCCCCATATCCACTCTCAGTCATCCTCCTCACTGATTTGGGTGAACCAGGTCCATCTGCTCCTTTGGTCGTCCCAATACCCACCCAGTTGAGTCTTGCTGAGATATAGCCCTGGTAATTGGTCTGGTGACCAGGAAGAAAATAGGGGAAGATCCTAAGAAAGCCAGGATTGTCTTATAAAGCACCTACTTTATTGGAGGTTTCTGCATTGTCTTCAAGTAAAGGGGAGGGGGTGGTTCTATCTTCCAATAAAGGGGAAAGTCCACAAGGTTCAGAGAAATTGTCAATTCAGGGTGCTCTTGTGTATCTACATAGACACCATCCCAAATCTCATGGTACACTCTTTCCCTATCAGGCTCTGGCTTTGGTCTAGGGTAAAAAAGGTTAAACCCTGTTGAATGCAGTCAAATATCATCAGACTAATTATCAGACTTGCTGTCTAAGAATTAGCCTCCTGACAGCTCATCTACATCACTCTATGTGCGAAATTAACCTATTTGTTACTCAAACCTCACAGCCTCTCTGTTCCAAAGCTGTCTTGATAACACCCCTATCCTTGCAATAACCCATGCTCAAAACTCAAAGTATCTCTTTCAATCCCTCTATTTCTCAAAAAGTAAAATCTATCTCACAATTTTGCACTTCCGTGACTTCCATGTGTAATTCCTCGCTGCCACTTTTGCAATTTCTCTTTGTCATCTTCACTTCCATCACCCAAAGTCACGTTCCCTTTTATTGATTAGAACCTCCTCACTGGTCTTGCTACCTCTAGATAACCTTCATATTTATCTTGTATATGAACATCAGATTAGTCCTCCAGCAGCCAACCTGTGTCATATGATGAGACTTTTCAAAAACTGTCAACAATAAATACTAAAGTACAACCCCTTTAAAGAGCTAATCAGTGTCCTCCATGACCTGACTCTACTCTGGCATTACATAACCTTCCCTTTTATTTTTTACAAGTATTTCCCTCTGTACATCACTCTTCCTAAATTGTGTGACCTTATTCTCCATCCTTTCCTCACCCTTTCCTCCCACTGTTTATCTACTAGCTCTATTAGCTTGTGTGGGAAATCCACTTACATTCAACCTCCATGATGCAGTCTGGTGAGGAATAGAGCTCTATGGTTAAATGGCCAGACTCTAGAGCCAAACTGCACCACTTATTGCAAGCTATTTAATCTCTATGCCTTCGTTTTGCTTCCTGAAAAAATGGGGATTGGGGCAGAAGAAGTGAGAGAATAATAGCATCCACCTTACAGGGTGTTTGCAAGAATTAAATGAGCTAATAAATGATTAAGATAGTCCAAGCCTGGTATTTGGTTAGTTAGCAATTAACAGAAATTGACTATTCATATTAACTATCACCTCCTTCTAATAGTCTTCCCTGATCCCTCTAGTAAAAATAACCTCTTCCTTCTCCCAAATAGAACGATGACTTTTTTTGTCCTTCTCTAATGATTTTTATCACTTCCTACCATGGGGTATTTATTTTTATAGACATTCTATTTTGTCTGTAGAATATAAGCTTCAGTTCATCATTGTTCCTCCCGACTCAATAAATTTCGTATATTTAGCATTAAATTGAATGAAGAACTTGTTGGTTGTCAGACTGAATGTAACTATGGTGAGAGGGGTAGGCTTTTTTTTTCCACTCTGTTAGAAGTTATCTTCACTGTCATACCCTGAAGCAAATTTCATCAAAATAAAGGAATATCTGCATGTCCTATTCCTGCCTAGATTCTCTTTTGCATTTATTATTTCTCACCAAATGTAAGCCATTTGCACAAAATAGCCATGACAATGAACTATTAAATGGAACCAACAACCATTGTCTCTGCTCCCCACCCTTCGTAAGCACCACAGCAAATAAGGCAAACCTTAACGAAGATCCACAGATAAGAGGCTTCTGCAGTTGCCTTCTCCTCCTTGTGAATTCCTTACCACGGGTTGCGTCTCAATAATGGCACTTTTATTCTGCTTCCACATTGCGGACATTTACACATAGGTCTTATACTCACTCCTTTGCTATTAAAATGGAAGCTCCTAAGATTCTCGACAACAGCTCATTTATTTTTGTATCCCCTACAGTGCCTTGCACTGTGCTGAAAATAGAATGAATCGATACTATGTATTTGAACCACAGAAAAAGGAATCTTGATTTGTGAATGTTGAAATTCAGTGAGAGTGTAGGAAGGAAAACATTATCTGGAAAGAAATCCAAATGACATAAAAACAGTGTTGAGCTATATATGAAATAATCCAGCACTCAAAAAGCAAAGTTCTGAGTCTTTACCATAAAAGTTCAAAGTTTTTTACTGTAGCCTAGTGAAGAAACATGAAATTAGGAGTTGAATTGAATTAGTTTTGAATATGTGTGTACCATTCATTAGATATTTAACCTTGAACATATTATTTACACTTCCTGAGTTTCAGAACCTCTTATTGAGAGTGAAAGGAATGTTCATCTTGTATCCTTGAGTCAAGATTTAAATGAGGAAAGATATAAAGGTATCCTGAATAAGGCTCAGTATATAAAGCATATACAGTAAGTGACTAATAATGCTAGTTCTGTTGAATATGACTTGATACGTGCTAGTATGTAAAAAAATAAACAATGCAAGCCCAGCTTATCTTTCAGGAAGAGCCAAGAGACATGACATCAGCCATTAACTGAACAAAAGGAGACGAAATGAGTTAAGACAAGACAATAAGCACAGGCCTTTGTGAATATTGGGAAAAGACCAAGCTCATGTGCTGGGTATGATGCAATGCTTCTCTGTCTCTTCTTCTAAGTCCTGCAAAACATTTAAGATATAAAATGGGAATTGATTTTATCAGAACAATTCACAGAATAATTGAACCAGAAAATGTGTATTTCACTTTTACAGAGATGATTTTCAAGAACACTCATAGCTTATACAGAGTCCCTCATGGAAAAAAGAACCACCGAAATGAAACCTTGATCGATGACCACAGAGGAGGAAACTAGAGTAGGGGTGCATGTCCTAACATTAGAGTAGTTTCAAAAATAGCCCCCAAAGGGATTCTTAAGTTCCTCAAGCAAAGTGGGAGAGCAAACAGAAGACACAGAAGATTTGCTGTTCTGTGTGTCCCCTTAGCCAATGCCCTTCCTTCCCCACACCCCTATCTGTTGATTCTTGGGCCTCTGTGATTCATGACAGCATCATCATGGAAACTGGGGGCCACACCAAAGAAAATGGTTGCACCCAGGAAATCATCGACACTAAGTTTTCACAATTTGAATGATCTAAGCACCCATACTACCACTGATGCCACCTCATCTAACTTGTCCAACTCTCTTCCATCACTACTATCCTTCGTCACCAAGCCATGCCTGCTGCAGGGAGAGCCAGAACCACAGAATCCAAAGCTCTAAAGAGAGTACAGTTTCCACTCACTGGTTTTCCAAGGGCTTAGTGGTACTTCTGCCCAAATCCAAAAATCATAGACTTAGAAACAATACTTCAACGGGGGAAAAACAAAACCTTCAAAATACTTCCTGCAATATGATATTCCAGGGGTGAAAAGTGATTATGAAAATCCTTGGTGTTACAGTCAGTGGAATGATACACCCTATGTACTGAAGGATGTATGTCCAAAAGAAAGTTGGACTTACAGGAGCTTTTATAAGAGGAAAGCTTGTTTGTTTCCTCTTGTAAACAAGGGTTGCTTCCTGGAAGATTTCAACAAGGAGGGTTAGAAACAATGACATGAACCAAATAAATGATGCAAATAAATTAAAAACAACAACAATAACCAGCCTCTGGAATTAGAAGTGATTACATACACCATGACTTATGATAGGGGAAATTATGACAAATGCGTAAAAGTATAACTTTGAAGTCTAATGGGTTGGTCACGTTTCTCCATACAAATAACCACACCACACTCACAACCATAAGATATATTTCAAAAGACTAGAGTTTCCTCCACTTCAAGCTTTCTCTTCTCAGATCTTTCCAACTGCAGCTTTTGTCCTCATGTTAGCAATGACTATAGCAGGCAAAGGTTAGAGTCTGCATAAATGAAGCTGGTCCCCTTTGTTTGATGGATCCAACATTACACCGACCAAGTAAACATCCTCCTTTCTTAGCACCATAGACACACTGGCTCTCCCTCCTCATTTCGCCTGATAGAAAATGCACCAAGCTACAAATGTATGTGTTATCAAAGTGCCAAGGCCAAATCCAAAACAATTAGTGTAAAATCAATTTAATCAATCAAAACAAATTACAAATATGGCACTGTATTATTGTATGTACATGTATTGAATTATATGTCATTGTTATCATTGGATTATTGTATTTCAATAAATTGCAGTGCAAAAAACTTACTTTTCAAGCACATGCTATATGAAAAACATAACATTTTCATCAAGTAGAAATTGAAAATAAGTGTTAAAATGTTCAATGTAAAGCATATAATTAATATATGATTTCACAGTCCAGGTCAGTTGAAATATTATTACAGAGAAGAGCAATTAAGAGAATTTTAAATTACTAAAGCTTATTAATAAATGAGAAAATGATATTAGAAACAACTATATTTAATGAAGTCAAATGAAACTATATTTATTTAGTACTGTCTCTTCACAGCTTTAGATAAAAGTTTATTCTAGAACAATGACCTAAAATATAAGAGGTCTTTAATTTATTAGGTGCTCCCTTAATGTATTTACTAGTGGTATCCAGTGAATCCCTAGTATGTAAAATGTGTTTATTCCAAAATTTAAATAATCATTGGCTGAATTTTGGCAAGTAGGCAATATAGTCTCTACTTCATGCAATAATTGCAAATGTAATAAGAGATTTATCAAGGCATAGCCAAGGACGGAGTTTACATTGTGTCTTATTTTATTGTATTTACAGCTAATATATATTGAGTGCTCACTCTGTACTAAGCACTTGATCAGCATTGTTTCATTTAATGCTAGAAACATTCCTATGAGGTTGGTAATAACGATTGCCTCCATTTGACAAAAATTAGGAACCTGAGGCAAAGAGAACTTGGGTAGCTTGCCAAGGTCACACACTAGTAAATGGCAGAGTCATGACCTAAATGAAGTCCACTACCAGTTCTCCATTGGATTGCATCAGAATGTCTGGGCTATTTGCAGGTAATGGGATCTCAGTTAAATCTTGGATTTTGCCTAAAACAGACATTATTTCTGAGTATTAAAATGTTAAATGTGTTGTGTGATTTAAAAAATATTTATGAAATCCAAACTCTTTCATTTATTAATGGCTGGTTAATGGTTTGTAAATAAAGCTCAACCTGTTAAGCCAAACAAACAAAAAATTAGCTTATTAGTTTGGAATGTAAATTGAGAACTCATTAACTGGCTACTGTTTTTCCTGCTGCTATATTTGGTCTTTAGTTAGCACATGGAGTGTATAGCAAGAATAGAGGAGGTTGGCTTTCCTGGTAAGAAAACGCATAAAACCTTTCAACTTTATTAAATCCTCCAAATCTCTGCTATCCCCATCTGTTGCCATGTAGTATTACAGCATGTGCTATGCAGTGCAAAGACACAATGTTAACGGGGTTGAGAAAATGGGCTCATTCTTCCTTAGAAGCAAAAATCTGGCACTTTTCCTTGACCACAGAAAACACCAGAAATTCTTGGCCATCTACTTTGCAGATGCCAGCTACTGATTGTCAGTATGGTCAGGCAACAGCCTATGAGCGGCATTAACCAAATACATCACGACTAATGGAAAAACACTCAAAATGTATGCCACTGCTAAGGGTGTGTTAGTAATAACATTTTTGCACACAAACAACAGACACATTTATTACTTGACTTTTCATTCATTGACGAATCATTATGGGAAGGCACTAGATAGATGGGCATAGCATGCAAAAATAAATATTTGTTCTCAGCTAGTCATTTCTTCTCGCTTTTGACTGCATTATCCTGTAACATCTGTTTCTCAAACAATGGTAGGTTATAGAATTATGACACAAATACTTAACAGAATTCCATTCCTCAGAGAAAAACAAAAATAAAGCCTCAGGGCTCTGATTAGCTTTATTAGAGTGCTAGAAATAGGACTATATTACTGGAAAAACACTTCGAGATACTGCTCTTTGAATCAGAATAATTAGTATCTGAAACAAGAGAACTATGTTGTCTTTCTAAATGTTAACTCCAAAAATTCTGGAGTTAACAAAAATGTTAACTCCAGAAAATTGTGAGGTCCAAACCCTGCTGTCTTCACCATGATGATGGGCTGTGAGTCCTAATACAGTGTTCCTTTTGGAAATGACCAGAAGTAGAAGACAGGGCCTTGGATGTTAAACTCTAATTGAACCCAAGTCTCATAAGATTGATCTCCATTCTATAATTTTAGGATTTGTCTTGTCGTTATCATCCCTTTTATAATCAGCGTCAAATAAAATCTCCTGCTACTTTTACAAACATTCTGAAGTTGACGCATGCTAGCAAGTAAGCTTGTCAAACTTCAGAAATGCATCTACAGGAGAAATGTTGGGATTTTAAAAGCAAACACAGACTCCAATCTTTACCTTGGCAATCTTTAACTTGCCAAGTTACTTACTGCATAGTATTAACAACATTTATTCTACATAGCAAAGTCACCAGGCCTGCTTGCTCAGTGGATAGACTGAGCTTGGTAAGGAGTCCTCCGGTGCATCAGCTTAGCTGATCCTGGCATTCACAAAGTAGGAAGCTGACTGTGTATTTTGTGGGCTTCACCTTTTGCCTCGACCAGAAATCCTCACTATTAAAGCGTATTGTAAGATTCAGATACAGAAGAAGAATGCCCCCCTGGGGACACATGGTCATACTAAGCTCCAGGGGACACTACTACAGTTACCCTGGGATAATAATGGATCCCAGAGGGTGTCTCAGTGGAAGATTGGGACAGGAAGGACCCATCTCAAAGTTAGGAGATCCATGCTAGGAGCCTGAAAGCTAGAGAGGTGGAAGGAAAATACCAAAGAAGATAGCCTGAGTCACCAGGATAGCTATTATACTATCAAGAGGCTCATAAATCTGCTCTTGAAATAGAGTTGCCAGACTTAAATAAATATGCAGGATACACAGACACTCCAATAAATTTGAATTTCAGATAAACAACAGATAATTTTTTAGTATAAGTATGTCCCATGCAATATTCGGGACATCTGTACATTAAAAACTCATGTTTACCTGAAATTCAAATTTAAATAGGCATTTTGCATTTTATCTGGTCCCCTTACTCCTTGGAATGACTGATTTTCAGTCTGAGTTATATCTACATGCCTGGGTTTAGCAGAGCAGTGATTCTCTTAAGTGTAGTTCCTTCACCAGAAGCAGCAGTAGTAGCTAAGAAGCTGTTAGAAATGCAGATTATCCAGGCCAGGCGTGGTGGCTCACGCCCATAATTCCAACACTTTGGGAGGTCAAGACGGGTGGATTGCTTGAGGCCAGGAGTTCAAGACCAACCGGGCAACATGGCAAAACCCCATCTCTACAAAAATTAGCTGGGTGTGGTGGCACATGCCTATAGTCCCAGGTGCTAGGGAGGCTGAGTTGGGAGGATCACTTGAGCCTGGGAAGTCAAGGCTGCAGTGAACTATGATTAGGCCACTGAATTTCAGCCTAGGTGGTAGAGCAAGACCCTGTCTTGGGAAAAAAAAAAAAAGAAGACAAAGGCCTGGCACAGTGGCTAATGCCTATATGCCCATAATCCCAAGCATTTTGGGAGGCCAAGCCAGGAGGATCACCTGAGGTCGGGAGTTGAAGACCAGCCTGGCCAAGATGGCAAAATCCTGTCTCTACTAAAAGTACAAAAATTAGCCAGCCATGGTAGAGTGCACCTGTAATCCCAGCTACTCAGGAGGCTAAGGCAGGAGACCCAGGAACCAGAGGCTGCAGTGAGTCAAGAATGTGCCATTGCACTCTAGCCTGGGCAACAGAGTGAGACTCTGTCTCAAAAAAAAAAAAAAAGAAAGAAAGAAAGAAAGAAACGCAAATTCTCATTCCCATAGCAGACCTACTCCAGGGGTAGGGTCCAGCAATTATACCAAAATCTCTGGGAGATTCTACTGTACACTCAAGTTGGAGAAAGCGAGCATTAGAAGCCCTAGAAACAGCACTTAGTACATAGTATTAACAACATTTATTCTACATAGCAAAGTCACCAGGCCTGCTTGCTCAGTGAACAGACTGAGATTGATAAGGAGTCCTCTCTGGTACACCAGAACTGTAGAGGTTAGGAGAGATAAAATGAATAAAAGATAACCTGATTGAAGGAGAAAGGGAGTCAGGAACAATCCCAGGTACATCGGCGGTATTGAAAACACTATTTGATTCTCCACTTCTGTGTATTCTGGCTGTGCTCATTAGGTTTGGTTTCTGCCATTTCCTAGTTCCCTCCAGCAACTATTAGTAAGACTGTTATAATAAAGAGTTTGCAAGCTTATCTTCAGGGACACTGAAGATGGAAACACCAGCCATTTTTGAAGGGAGAGTGACTTAATAGAAAAAAAAAAAAAAATGAAGTCTTGGGCCTGGGGCAAAAAAAAGGAAATAGCCTCCAAGGACCTACAAATAAGCCCTGGAGGATTCCAAGCAGAAAGATGCTTGCTTTCCTGGCAGGAGTACGGTGCTGAGCCTTAAGGCTAGCTTTCTCCGCTCACTGTCATGCTTAGGGAGGAAACACCGCGCAGCCCCTCCCTGTGAATCCCGCAGTGTGCCAGCGTGTTGCAGTGAATGGGGAGAAGGCCAGGCTAGTGCCTCTGTCTAACCATGATCCCATAATCTGGTTCAAGCTACCTGACAAGACTGTTCCAGAACATCTGTGGTGTCTGCCTGGGTCGGTCCCTTCCCCACACCAGCTTCCCAGAAGGCTGACCTGGCTGCAAACCCTCCCCCTCCTCCTAACTAGCAAAACTTGATTCTCATTTAAGCTAAAGACGTAAAGCTCTCTTCTTACTTTGGAAATGCAGAGGGAAGGAACTCAATGTATCTTAACTGACTCTTAAATTCATCTGTTCTTTGCTTAAGTAGAACGATGCAGTGTAGCCTAGTGGTTAAGGGCACAAGCTCCCCAGCCTTGCTCTGCACTTGGCAACTCTGCCTGTTTTCTCTCTGTAGATAATCATATCACCTGTCTTTGTGTACTGCTGTGAGGATTAAATAATCAATGCATCTAAAGTTTAAAACAATACCCGGCTCACAGAAAGGGCTCAATAAGTGTTAGCTATTATTTTTACTAATTATTACTACTGCCACTAGTATCACCATTGCCAATTGAAGTCATATTCCCTGGATTCAGTGTTTGGATCGGAAGGAAGAAAAGAGTTCTATAACATCAGGGAGATAAAACACTTAGTTCTCTAGGCTGTGCTCCCCAAAATTGTTCTGTGCTTCCTAAGAATCAACTTAGAAGCTTATTATATATACAAATTCTGGGTCTCCATGTCACAGCTCTGATTTGGCCAGCACCACGTGGAGCCCCAGAATCTGCATGTGTAATAAGTACTCTCGGAGTGTCTGATGGTTTCTGAGGTTCAGGAACCACTGCTCTGGGAGAGGGCATTTCTCAAACCACAGGTGACCGCAGCTTTCCTGAATGACACATTCTTCCATTCCATCAATGTCTTCCTTCCACTTCAAGTTAACCTCTTGAAAAGTTAATTGATGCAAAGTATGAAATGATGTATTATGAGACTCTCAGCTCTGTTGGCATCCAGAGAGGCTATTTCACCATAGTGATGAAAGAGCAGTAATAATAGCTGCATGTGTTGAGAATTTACAGTATGCCAGGCACTGTACCAGGCAGCTTTTATACATGACATCTATCCTTTATAGGAAAGTAGTAGTATTCTCATTTTACAAATGAGAAAACAGGAAGACCAAGAAGTTAAGCATTTTGCCAAGGTCATTCTACTGTGAAATGACATAGCCAAGATTCAGGTCTGTAAGACAATAAAGCTGAGGTATTTTCCTCCATTCCAGTAGCTCTCAATCATTATAGTGTGTGGCATGGGAAGAGGGGAGTCACTTGAAAAACTCTCTAAAAAGTCAGATTCCTGGGCCCAAAACACAAAGATGCTGGTTCAATAAGTCCAGTTGGGGCCTAGAAACCTGCGTTTTAATAGGCAGCCCATTTAATTCTGATGCAGGTGGTTTAGCTTACATTTTGAGAAGCAGTACTCAATACAATTTATCTCACCTTGATTTAAAATCCCTTCAATTCTGGTGAATATAAAAGAGGTTCAAATAAGTCCAAGAATTTCCTAGAATGATAGTTTCATGTTAATTTGTAAATGTTTAAATAAAAGTTATGTGATTAGCACTTGCTTTGAAGAAATCTTAACTTTTGTTATCTCCTCAAATGGCAGCAGATAAATAACCAAGCTCCCTTTTGGATTATGTCTGCAATAGAGATACTACTCTGAGGAAGATTAATTGTCTTCAAAGGGCTCTTGTTGTTGCTTTTTGTTTTCTAGCCATGGTGCCTAGATGAAATATACTTCCTTTTACATTATCTTGAAAGTAGAAATTATGTTCAGGTTCATGAGTGGAAGACACAGACTTTCCCATTTTTCTTTATTCTAAAATAACTACAAAAATCCTTTAAACATCTGCAGTGCAGACAAGTAGAAAATTACTAACATTTACAACACAGTGTACAATAATATCAATTATAAAGTTTATGCACAGAACCAGAAAAACAATGACTTCACTTAATCTCAAAACCCAGATATAATCTTGATACGAGTCCCCTGTACAGGTTGGTTGTGAACATTTGCTCCAGGCCACAGAACATTAGTTCCCTTTCTAGAAAGCACAGGCTACATGCCTGACCCATAGTCCCAGGAAGGCAGAGGGGACCCTTGTCACAAATCAGCTGAGTGAGGAAAAAACTTGAGTTGTGACAGAGACTCAAAATTGAAAGAATGCCAAAATATCCCATTCTGAGATAAGTGCGAAGAGACAGCTCTCTCCTGCATGTTGCCCTCAAAAGCATCAAAATGGGCAGGCCAGATAGATGGAAAGAGGCCTTAGTCAGCTCTCTTAACCTTTCCAAGCCTCAGTTTCCTCATCTGTAAATTGGCTGTAGGAGACGGGGGACACAAGAGACAATTCCTTTCTAATGGAGTTGTTATAAGGATTATATGAGTTCATTTTTATGCAGTTCTTACCACAGTGCCCAGTAAAATGGCGTGTAGAAAATACTCAAAAAATATTGCAATTATTAATTTTCCAACAACAAATAAGTTAGAAATACTAAAAAGGCTGCAGGACATAGTAAAAAGGAAAGGGAATGTATTAGTCCGTTCTCACATTGCTGTAAAGAACTACCTGAGACTGGGTAGTTTACAAAGAAAAGAGATTTAATTGACTCACAGTTCTGCAGGCTGTGCAGAAGGGATGGCTGGGGAGGCCTCAGGAAACTCACAGTCAAGGCAGAAGGCAAAGGGGAAGTAGGCACATCTTCACATGGCAACAGGAGAGAAAGAGTGAAGAGGGAAGTGCTACACACCTTTAAACAACCAGATCTTGTGAGAACTCACTATCAGGAGAACAACATGAGGGAAATCTGCACCCGTGATCCAATCACCTCCCACTAGGCCCCTCCTCCAATACTGAAGATCTTAATTCAACATGAGATTTAGGTGGGGACACAGAGCCAAACTATATCAGGGAGATGGTCAAATAGTGTTTTCAGTAGTCTTTTAACAGTCATTACATTACTCACGTTAGCGAAGTGCCTCGGTTTAAAATAAATAGCTGCACAACCTGATCATAAAGAAGTACTATATGATCATTTGCAGAGGAGGCAATCTGGTGAGTACACCTTTCACTAATGTTTCAGGCAACAAATTTTACCTAAATACAAATGAGTTCACATCAGGCTCTTCTAAGGTGTCAATGTTCCCTGCTACAGAAAAGCTAAGGAAATCTGTCTGTGTTCTTTTTGTAACAAATGCCTGCTAATCGAAAGTAAAAGACTCTCTCAGGCTTTACTTCTCAGGTACAAAGCACTATTTCTCTGATTAATGATCCAGATATCTGCAGTAACTGCAAAGCGAACGTTCTCTAGTTCTAACAGAGTCAGCTACCTCTGCCCAGGTGTTAAGCCCGTGCCCTCATCCTGGGGGGTGTTTGGTAATTAGCAGTGCCAGCAGGTGTTTGCACTTGCTGCTGTTCCTGGTAGTTAAGCATATGTGTCAGGTCCCTGTTGCAGGGAGAAGAAAAGGGGAAATAAATGATTCACCCTAGCTCCAGCAAGGTCAGCTCCTTCCAGAAGAAAAAACAGACTTTTTGTCTCTGCATCAAGCACTCTCCTTGTTCATCCTCTAAAATCCTCAGCTAATTTTGAAGTTAGCATTGGCACTTGCTCCTGCTTTCATTTAGCAATACCTCTTTAGGATGGCTCTCTCCAAATGGCTCTCTTGAAATTTGCTGTGCTCTGGGCCTTTATGACCTGATTTTCTGCAATTAAAATTCCTCTTTCTTGAAATGTACCACATTCTCTCCAACTCTACTCCCTGACTGTCAAGGGATTGCTTAGCCAGGCTAATAAGGAATTTTGCTAAGGGATGATGAGTGCCCGAGTGTTGTGGGAAAAAGATTTTATTCCACATTAACCTTGCTCCCACAAAATATACTCAGATGACTGGCTCTGTGTAGGGTCTGGAGGAAGCAAGATTTGTAGCATTTGCCAATTTCCATGGTGTAAATTCTCCCACATGGCCAATGCCAAGGTACCAACATGGCAGAGCTAGGAAGAGATCCACAGAATCGGCTCTCATATATTGGTATGAGTGCACTCCAGCACACCCCTGGCTCCTGCAGGATTCACAGTGATTTCCTAAGTGTCATGATTCCCAGGAAGTGAGAATATTATGACTAGATGTGGTTGATTTAAGAGACATTTTAAGGCAAAAAGGGGTCACATGGAATATTTAAGATTGCATTGCAGACTTCTGCAAGATAGCAAAATAAACTCACATGTTTAATTCGTCTCCTTCCAGACAGCCTCTTAAAAAAAAAAAAAACTAAATGATAAAAAATGTATAAACCTACAGCAAGAAACGAGGGGAGGAAAGCCATCAGAGGATGATAGATTTTGGCAAATTTCTGTGAGACAGAAAGCAGATGGAGCGGTGACAGATAACACAGGGCCGAGGCAGCCGCCCCAGAAACACTTGCAGAAAGGACACCGATGGAAACCTGATCTGGCTTGCCCAGAGCTCTACACTCTGGGAAGACAAAGACTGTGGAATGGGTGAGGAAAGGAACTAAAAGTCACAAGGAGTATTGGGAAGTCACATGGTTCATGCTATCGGAAATGCTTGGTACCTGCTGGATGACAAATAATGGGGTGAAAACATCTAGAGGGAAACCCCGCAAATCTGGGGAGGTTTGAACTACATAACTCTTCAAGATCCCTGGAATTCCAACCAGATGAACATCCTCAGAGACTCCACCCTAGCGATTCAGATCAATCACCAAGTGTTGGAGTATCTAGTTCTACCCAGCCTTGGGAGGCCTCTCAAATGCATATATATATATCAGTCAACGAGCAACTGTGTTAGTGTGTGCTTACTGCAAGAGCAGCCTAAATACTTTGTACTGAGCAAGGTGTCACCTGATACTTCAACAGAGAAGAATATGGGAGCAGACAATTGAGACATTTAGCCTACTTAGTATTTTGAGAAACACAAACTTGAGGTGGCAGATGACTCTGCTGTCAGGTAAAAGGCTGTGACCCTGAAGAACTTGCTTATTTCACAAACATTCTCATCTCAAAGTCTATATAAGCACCCTGTGCATCCATTAAACAAATATAGGTGCACCTACTAAGTACCAGTTCTCTGCTACATGTTGAGGAGACAAAGAGATGAGTCAGGCTGGGCGCAGTGGCTCATGTCTGTAATCCCAGCACCTTGTGAGGCTGAGAAGAGAGGATTGCTTGAGGCCAGGAGTTCGAGAACAGCCTGGGCAACAAAGTGAGACACCAACTTTACAAGAAACATAAAAAATTGGTGGCATGTGCCTGTAGTCCCTACTTGGGAGGCTGAGGTAGGAAGATAGCTTGAGCCCAGGAGTTACAGTTTGCAGTGAGCTAGGATGATGCCACTGCACTCCAGCCTGGGTGATGGTGTGAGATACTGTCTTTAAAAAATAAAACTTAAAAATGAAAAATTTAAAAAAATAATCAGGTAAGGTTTGACCTGAATTTGCTTTCATAGAGCAGGAGCAATAAAATTTGTCTCCATATAACTGTGAGGACACAGGAGCCAACAGTGCCATGAGAGAGGAAGAGGGTGGCAAGGCGGTTCCTAAGGGAGATGGAATATTTCCAGCTGGGAGTGGGGGACATTGGGATGCCAGGGATGCCAGACAAAACACAGGACACACATGTAAATCTGTTTTTTGGCTTTAAAGATTTATTTGGGGGAGGGGACATCACACTTCTACTCAGTGAAAAGAAACATCCAGAGGTCTTTTATTTTTTTTACGTCTATTATGCAATGACTCCAGAGGGAAGAGGTTCCAGCAGCTCAGGCTCCTTCCCATTGGTTCTTACACAGTGTTCTCTAATGGAGCAGGCTGGCGCTTCAGTCAAACCCAGGTACCTTTCTCTTTGGCTTCCTTGTTTTTCTGATCATTTTCCTTCACACATTTCAGGAAGCTATCTTGACTCTCAGAGTGCTTAACGTGCACAATCTACACATCAATTCTCTTGGCAAGAATCTTGCCCCTACCTTGTTTATTTACAAAAATGCCAACAGCATGCTGGGTAGTATTGTAGACTCTTCCAGTTTTGCCATGGTAACACTTGTGGGGCCTTCCTTTTTGGACAGTACCCATTCCCTTGATGTCTACAATATTACCTTTCTTATAAGAGCAACTCAATATTTTCTGAAAGGCCTGGAGGACATCTATCAGGTGCCTCTCCTCTTTCCCTCTACGTTCATCACTTTGGCAAATTACTGAAAGATGGCAGTTCCAGCCAAAAGGCCCAGTTAAATTTTAATTTCAGATAAACAACAAATATTTTTTCAGTAAAACCTTGAAAACCACTGTGGCTTGGTTTATAGGGCAGGTAGGATATACATTGTCATGGAGACTGGGGACAATGCATTCCAGGAAAATAGGAAATACAGTTAGTTTTTCCATTTTTGAGTTAAATATCACCTTCCCATAAGAGTCTTCTCTGATTTCCGTGTTTAAAATCTCAACCTCCTGGCCAGGCATGGTGGCTCACGCCTGTAATCCCAGCAGTTTGGGAGGCTGAGGTGGATCACTTGAGGTTAGGAGTTTGAGACCAGCCTGGCCAACATGGTGAAACCCCACCTCTACTAAAAATACCAAAAAAAGAAAAAAAAAAAACCAGGCATTGTGGTGCATGCCTGTAATCCCAGCTACTCGGTAGGCTGAGGCAGGAGAATCACTTGAGCCCAGGAAGCGGAGGTTGTGGTGAGCCAAGTTCCTGCCACCACACTCCAGCCTGGGCGACAGAGTGAGACGCCATCTCACAAAAAAAAACACAGAAATCTCACCCTCCTGTTCCTGCAGTATTTTTCTCCATAGCATTCCTCACTACATGACATATCATGTCTTTGTTTGTTTATTGTTTCTCTCTCCCTTCCAGAATATTAGTGCAGGAAAAGTTGTCTATGTTTGTTCACTATTATATTCCTATGCCTCCAACAATGCATGGAATAAAGTAGGTGCTCAAAAGATATTTTTGACTGAATGAATGACAAATGAACAAGTAAATAAACAAAATTGGCAAGACTAATTTTTTTCCTCGTGACTGACACTGGAAAAATACTTAGTTTGTGTTTGTTGAAACGTGAAAACACTAATACAATCCCAACCCTGATGTGGCATTCAAACTGAATGGGGACAGAAAAAGACGGTAACAGAAGAAACTACGGGATCTTAAAGAAACATGAATTTAACCAAGAATCACAAATAGTGTATGCAAAACCTGTTTCACTTCTGCCAAGCCAGGGGCTGTTGCAGTGATTGTAGAACTCAGGTCAGCAACTGAATCACTCTGAGAGGTTGGACTTGGGCAATGATCTCACTGGCCAAGAAGGAGGCAGAGTCTCTAGCCCCTCTCAGCATCCAGAACAGTCTAATTCCTTGCCCGGGGAACCACTTTCCTCCACAGACCACATGTCCTCAGAAGGCAAACACCACCACTGTATTAGTCCGTTTTCACACTGCTATAAAGATATACCGGAGGCTGGGTAATTTATAAAGAAAGGTTTAATTGCCTCAAAGTTCTGCATGGCTAGGAAGGCCTCAGGAAACACAATCATGGTGGAGGTGGAAGCAGGCATGTCTTACACGGCAGCAGGCCAGAGAGCATGTGACAGAAGCATAAGGGGAAGAGCCCCCCCAAAACCATCAGATCTCATGAGAACTCACTCACTATCATGAGAACAGCATGGGGGAAACTGCAACTATGATCCAGTCACCTCCCACCAGGTCCCTCCCTCAACACCTGGGGATTGCGATTCAAGATGAGATTTGGGTGGGGTACAAAGCCAAACCATTTCAACCACCTAGCATTCTGATGCTGGTTTCCTCCAGAGCAATTGCCCAGCCTCAGTGATGTCCTTCAGAGGTAATAAAGAGACCAAGTGAAGGAGGGGCATGTATCCCAAATAGAAAGGGATCATATATTAAAACAAAAATCAGGAAAGCCTACTTTTACATACCACCTGTGGGAGTCAGGGATTGTGTGGAGGTTTCTCAGATTCTGCACATTGTCGCTATGCCCCTCCCTGATCTCAGGAGAAGCCTACACAAAAGCGACATCTCCTGCAAATAAAGTCAGGCTTGGTCCCTGTCAACCTGCTCTTGTATAACATGCTCCCTGTCAAGAAAGACGCATGCATCTGTAGATGTTAATTGACAGGTAGATTTAAGATAGGAGACTCTCAGAAAAGAGGAATCTGATGGAACTTCCACTTAACAGCTACTGCATCACTAAGACCATTTATCACTTAGCTAATACAGTCAGTGTATTCCTAATACTTTCTGAATTTACAGGTCACCAAACTGCTTTAAAAAAATCAACAAGTGCAGATAGAGCTCTGTTTCTTACATGGCAGTATATTTGCGCCGCTAGCTTCCTGTTTCTCCACTTCCTCACTAGGAAGTGACATCTCAAGACCTTAATTTTCTGTTATTAAATTGCCACTCACTGTCTTTTATGTACTTGTGACACTTAGACAAACACTGCGTGATGGTGGCGGGGTGGTAGGGGCTGCGGAGGTAGAGATGGAAGGAGGAGAAAATGAAAGCAAAGGAAAAGAAAGGAAAACAAAATCTAGAATATAATTGAGTCATGTTTCTAAAGAAACAGTAAACAATGAGAATAGAAAACAAGGCCGGGCACAGTGGCTCACACCTGTAATCCCAGCACTTTGGGAGGCCAAGGCAGGCGGATTACCTGAGGTCAGGAGTTTGAGACCAGCCTAGTCAACATGGTGAGGCCAAACCCCATATCTACTAAAAAAAAAAAAAATACAAAAAAAAAAAAATTAGCCAGGCATGGTGGCACGTGCCTGTAATTCTAGCTACTCAGGAGGCTGAGACACGAGAATCACTTGAACCCAGGAGGCAGAGGCTGCAGTGAACCAAGATCACACCACTGTGCTCCAGCCTGCTGTGAGACTCCATCACAAAGTGAGACTCCACCTCAAAAAAAAAAAACACCACAATATAAGACCCTGCTTAGAGCACACACCCCTTTAAAACAATGGAGACTTAAATGGCATAAAACTGAATTGGCAAACTCTGAGCTATTTAAAGACTTGTTCACTCATGTATTCCCAGGGCTGAGAAGAGAGTCTGGCACATAGTAGGCACTCAATAAATATGCATCAACTGAATACATCAATTCATTGGATTAATTTGCATATCTTGGTCAAGGAAAGTATTACATATGGTATTCTTATTTGAAACATTTTACATCAATAGAACTAAAATGTAACAGGGAGCTTTCAATGTATCTATGACATTGAGGACAAAAAAACAGTCTTTGCCCAAGCCTTGGCTCAGAGTGGGTAAGTGTATACTATAACTCGGGTGGCACCACTGCCTGGATACTAACATCTAAGAAGAGGATAAAACTTCCCCCAAGTTAATCAATGAGTCTCGGGCAACTCCTAATAGTGTTTTCCTTCTGGGAGGCCTGCCCATGTGTGCTCCATTCCCAGGGAGCATACAGCCCAGATGGTCCTTCCCATTGACAAAATGTGACAACATGACACCATTACAATTTTGGCAGGAGATCGACACATTCCTTATTCTGATACTACAGGCTTAACTAGGCCAATGAAATCTAAGGCATTTTGTGTCATTATTTCAGTCCTTACTCTTTCCAGAAATTATCATCGCAATTATAGATGGACATCACAGCATCCATTAGAAAGGCAGTTCATGATATTCTAAATTCTTGATGTTCCTCCAGAAAGAATCAAATTACCAGGAGATGCAGGCTGGAATGATGTGAAGGGAGCGAAATGAAGTAGGGGGAGGGGCAGGGTCCAGGGTTCAAGTATCATCCCTGCCTTCTAGCCAGGGATTTCTCTCTACAAATCTCAGTGAGTGTCCCACGCAAGTCAATTTAAACCTAAAATCCTTAGTACGAGGAATAACATGTAGAGGAAAAAGGCACTAAGCAAGTTTCAGAATGTTCCCTGCATGGGCTACATTGCCTGCTGACAGGAACCCAGCTGACAGGTAGGGTGGAATCTTCAGGAGCACAGGTGGGAGCAAGTCAGAGCATCAAGCTGTTAAAGTGGAGAGCAGAGATGTGGGAAAATGATTTTTTAGAAATTCAGACATCTAGCATTGTGGGATCCGCTGAGTCCCTCATTTGCTTTTTTATTTCTCTTTTTCCATGAAAATAATGATTCTACGTACTCTGCCCTGTGATGGTTATGAAGTAGAATAAAACATTGTTCCAAAAAGATTTCCTGGCTGGGCACGGTGGCTCACGCCTGTAATCCCAGCACTTTGGGAGGCCAAGGCGGGCGGATCATGAGGTCAGAAGCTCAAAACCATCCTGGCTAACACGGTGAAACCCCATCTCTACTAAAAATACAAAAAAAATTAGCTGGGCGTGGTGGCGGGGCGCCTGTAGTCCCAGCTACTCGGGAGGCTGAGGCAGGAGAATGGCGTGAACCCAGGAGGCGGAGCTTGCAGTGCGCCGAGATTGCGCCACTGCACTCCAGCCTGGGCGACACAGCGAGACTCCATCTCAAAAAAAAAAAAAAAAAAAAAAGATTTCCTGAACATCTCCTGTTTACCAGACATGGAGCTGGGTAGGCACTGAGGATACAGAAGTGAGTTAAGACACAGACTTTGCCCTCCTGGAGTTTCCCAGCTAGGATAGGAGTTCACACCCAGAATCTACATTCTTCTTGAGTACAAAGTCAAGGCTATTGTTTCTTCCTTCAAGAAACAAACATGGAAAATTAGAAATAAACTTGCCATAATTCATGGAATCTCCAACCCAAAACTTTTTGACCAAAAGTCTGGAAGACAATTAGTTACCATCAAAGATGTCAGTTGGCCTTATTAAGTAAAAGGTTGCCAACCAATGAGCTAGAAAGGCATTAAAAAAATGTTCTGGCAGAAATGCTGCCTACATTTCCCCAGACTTCATGAAGTTGTGGGTGCAGATAATGTCACGGACACAGAAATAATGCACAGCACATTGGCTTTTATTCCCACTTACTTTAAAAAGTCAAAGCCTCCCCTACTTATATCTGGGAAAGCCCAAAAATGTGCCAGGATTAGGAGACAGTCTAGGATGCACACTTTCTGCCACTTGCTTCTCCTTCACCCTCTGCTTGATGTCCACTTCATCGAATGTGTCTCTCTTTCATCACTGGTACCATTCCTCTATTGAGACATTCATGCCTGTGATACCTGTACCCTCCCAAAAGATGCCAACCCTTGAGGTACCAAAACAGCTCTAGAAAGAAGAAGTGATTGTCTCTTGCGTATTTACATTACACATCATGTATGTCCTATGTCTCACAGGACCCTCATGGAAACAGGGCTTAGGGACCATGCCTCCCTCGCTCTTCCTCCCATGTAAGTTATCCCAACAAAATAGACACAGACTCTCGTTGGTCTCCCACCTGCCTTCCCCCACATCTAAAAAATGAGTCATGCCTGACATGTCTGAACCCAGTGGTCAGCATGGCTCAAGTTCAAACTAGAGTCCTTGAAGAAGAACCTGCTGAATCCTAGGCTTCTGCGAAAGAGCCAGTAAATATGTAGCTCATTTATTCTTCAAAAAACTCAGAACACAAACTAAGTGTTGAATACTTGGAATACCTTGATCATTTTTCTTAAAAAGACATAGTCCCGCTACTTTTAAAACTAGTAAATCCAAAACACAAAAATACGTAATTACTAGCAAAGACAAAGTATTATGAAAGAAATAAAGAGCGATGGAAAAAAGATATTCATAGCTTACCAAAACACAGCCGAAATTTGGGGGCAAGTTCAAGAGTTTTGAACAATGTTTTATTGTCTCTTTACATGTTGACTAAGTACAGATCTATTGAGTTGGAACAAAATGTCATGCAGGTCATTCTTAACAACTCAGTAGGTCCTACAGAAGGTAGCACCTTGTACTTTCTCATTTTAGTGATCACCCACAGACTACTGTTAGGTCACTGAAGAGGATTTGCAACTGCTCTCAGGTTTTTGGACACAAAAGATTATGCTCTGCTCTTTGTATGTGAGCTGTGAAGTGTTAAGTCCTTCCATCTTGGTGCTGTCCACACACAATAATGTTCATAATTACATTATCCAGATTAGTGATTAAAAAAATAAAATGCTAAGCCAGTGTCATCCACCGACAACGTTAACCCAGGTGGATAGACATTAAGTCAGTACTACTATATGAACATCAGTGCTTCCATATAACATCAGTACTTCCTGCCGATGTTAATGCCATGTGGAATGAAATAAAACCCACTAGACTCCAAATATGCTGTCTGTATTACTCTCTTCTTCCACACATTGCCCAAAGGAAACTAGTCTTCTCACATGATCAGCTCTTCACAGAATAACTGCGATGACCATGGAGTATCCTCAGGTCTTCCATATATTTATCAACTAAAGTTTTTATTCTTTTATG
Organism: Homo sapiens; assembly: GCF_000001405.40. Taxonomy (NCBI): domain Eukaryota; kingdom Metazoa; phylum Chordata; class Mammalia; order Primates; family Hominidae; genus Homo; species Homo sapiens. Next base: position 36,306,051 of record NC_000002.12, read on the forward strand.
ATCCCACATCAGAGATGCACAAGTTTCCTGGTGACATTTTGTGTCAAACTCTGTATGAACTGAGTTCCCAGAGGCTATTTACATTTAACATCACTACAGCTATGGGTTTGCATTAGGTATTCAGTGTTTTTCTGAGGCTTTATGTAAATCAATTACTTTAAGAGCTAATAACATGTCCCAGTGACTTCAATTATAACTTCAAAGAATAGCTCCCACTGGGACTATGCAGGCCATAACACATATAGAGACACATGTAGAGAACATCCTGTCTTTGTCAATGCATGGTCTACATGCATGTAGTTGCCTGCCTTATATTGTGTTGGGCAAATGTACAAATCAATTAACATGCTCTTCAGTGACCAATTATTAATGCATTTATTAAATTATGTCATATTAAATCAGTATTGCAATCAGATACTCTTACCGATCTTGAAAATCTGACTTTCTAAAAATCACAAATTTCATGCAATTGTTCCAGATATTTTATATGACCCCATATCTTCTTGTCTGAAGAAGTGTTCCTTGAAGCAATGCTCAGAGTATGCAACAAGATATTACTGGGAATTTCAGTGCAATTCATGCAATTTTTTTAAATTGTTAAATATTAATTGACTATATACTGATTAGTGAATGCCACAGCCAAATTAAAATTTCTAATAAAGTATATTGATGACATGTTTCCATCTGGAAACAACAACTGTTTAACAAAAAACTAAACAATACATTTTCTAGAAGCACACAGCTGGTACAGCAGTTAAACATGTAAACAATAATTATATATATCACATATGTAATGTGATACTAATGAAATACTGATTAATTATGGTAAGAAAATAATAAATATAATCAGAAATATGATTGGTGCTTTATCAAATTACATATTGTCACAGTAATACTGTACTCCATCTTCCAATAGCAAAAGGAAGAAAAATATAAGTCTAGATACACACACACACACACACACACCTGCATGTAGAAGAGCTATACATGGTAAGTTCAGGAAAGGAAATTTTACAATAGCACGGTTAGAACTAACTACTTCCCAATGCTGTTCAACTCCCTCTTCTAGTCCATGTTCATTCAAAAACAAAAAAAATTGACTCACATATTGGTGGAGGAACTGGCTCTGAAAATTCCAAATTCTGCCCCTTCACATGGATTCTTGAAGCAATTAGAATAGGCAGTGATCAGGGGCAGGCATGGTGTCTCATGCTTATAATCTCAGCACTTTGAGAGATTGAGCTGGGAGTCTCTCTTGAGGCCAAAAGTTTGAGAATAGCCTAGGCAACATATGGAGATCCCATCTCTACAAAAAAATTAAAATAAAAAGAATAGGCAGTGGTTTTTTTCATGCTAACAATACTTCTTTGCCCACCTAACAAATTCTACCCATCCTTAACATCCCAGCCCAATCACTACTTTTTCATTGATATCTTCAGTGTTTCCCACCCTGCCACACCCACCCACCACAGCAAAAACAAACTTTTTTTACATTTATCGGTTCACTACAAAGGATATTTTAATGAATCCAAACAGATGGTCAGATGAAGAGATTCACAGGGCAAGATCTGGAAGGGTCCCAAGTGTGGGAGCTCCTGTCCCTGAGGACTTGGCAGCATGTGAATGTGTAAGCCTCCATGTGTTTGGCTATCTGAAAACTCCCTGGCCTTTTCGATTTTTGTGGAAGCTTCACTACACAGGCACGATTGACAATTAAGTTACTGTTGGACCCTGCACATATCATACCCTCTGCAGTGCCCTTAAGTGACTATACTGAGATTGTTTATAAATATATCTCCCCTCTGGTTCATGAGCCCTTTAGGACTAGGAATTGCATCCATGTGTTTTCAGCTTGTATCGCCAATGTCAAGCACAATACCTGGCATGGGGCGGACAAGCATTCAATAAGTATTTGTTGAATTTCTTAATTAAATTAAATTAAAATTGATGAGAGTCTCATTTCTCATTTCTGCCAGAGATGTTGGATGGAATTAATCTGATACTTTCACTCTTGACTTCACTGGGTGAAACTATACTTCTGTTTTATAGTTCTTAATTATTTTTGGATACTTTACTTGCCATTACCTTGACCTAATCATGCATATTTTTATGAAAGTGTATCACCTCTCATCTGTGGCTTCTTCCTGGACGCTTTTCTATACATTATAGGAAGAATGTATCATTATATGGCAAAAAGAGTGAAAACAGTTGCCCAAAGTCATGGTTCTATCCCTGGCACCTGAATTTTCATAGGCAGGTCATTTAAGCTCTCCAAGCCTCCATTTTCTCATTTTTAAAGAGAGAATAAAAATGTCTTCCTTGCAGGCAGACACCTTTGCTGTTCTGCAGCCTCCACTGGTGGCACCTCCATGTGCAGGAGAGACCCAGGTGAATAGGGTCTGGAATGAACCCCCAGCAAACCGCAGCAGCCCTACAGAAGAAGAGCCTGACTGTTAAAAGAAAAACAAATAGAAAGCAACAACAAGAACAACATCAACAAAAAGTCCCCACAAAAACTCTATCCAAAGATCAGCAGCCTCAAAGATAAACTCATGAAGATGAGAAAGAACCAATGAAAAAATGCTGAAAACTCAAAAAGCCAGAGTGTCTCTTCTCCTCCAAATGATTGAAACACCTCTCCAGCAAGGCCACAGAACTAGGCTGAGGCTGAGATGAATGAACTGACAGAAGTGGGCTTCAGAAGGTGAGTAATAACAAACTTTGCTAAGCAAAAGGAGCATGTCCTAACCCAATGCAAAGAAGCTAAGAACCATGATAAAACATTATAGGAGCAATTGACCAGAATAACCAGTTGATAGAGAATAACTTGATGGAGCTGAAAAACACAACATGAGAACTTCACAATGTAATCACAAGTATCAACAGCAGAACAGATCAAGCAGAGGAAAGACTTTCAGAGCTTGAAGACTATCTTGCTGAAAAAAGACAGGCAGATAAGATTAAAGAAAACATAATGAAAAGGAATGAACAAAACCTCCAAGAACGGCTGGGTGCAGTGGTTCATGCCTGTAATCCAGCACTTTGGAAGGCCAAGGGGGACAGATCATGAGGTCAGCAGTTTGAGACCAGCCTGGCCACCATGGCGAAACCCTGTCTCTACTAAAAATACAAAAATTAGCTGGGCATGGTGGCAGGTGCCTGTAATCGCAGCTACTTGGGAGGCTGAGACAGGAGAATCATTTGAACCCAGGAGGCGAGGTTGCAGTGAGTCGAGATTGTGCCATTGCACTCCATCCTGGGTGACAGGGAGAGACTCCATCTCCAAAAAAAAAAAACCCTCCATATGGGGTTGTATAAAAAGACCAAACCTATGACTGATTGGAATACCACAAGAGATGAGGAGAATGGAACCAAGTTGGAAAACATACATCAGGATATCATCCAGGAGAACTTACCAAGCCTACCAAGTCAGGCCAACATTCAAATTCAGGAAACCCAAAGAACCCCAGTAAGATACTCCATGAGAAGATCAACACCAAGACATATAATCATCAGATTCTCCAAGGCTGAAATGAAGGAAAAAATGTTAAGGGCAGCCACAGGGAAAGGCCAGACCACCCATTAGATGAACAGCAGACCTCTCCGCAGAAACCCTACAAGCCAGAGGAGATTGGGAGCCAATATTCAACATTCTTAAAGAAAAGAATTGCCAACCCAGAATTTCTTATTTGGTGAAATGAAGCTTCATAAGTGAAGGAGAAATAAAATCCTTTTCAGACAAGCAAATTTTGAGGGAATTTATTACCATCAGGCCTGCCTTGCAAGAGCTCCTGAGGAAAGCACTAAATATGGAATGGAAAAACCATTACCACCTACTACAAAAACCAATGTCACTATGAAGCAACTACATCAACAAGTCTGCTAAATAACCAGGTAGCATCATGATAACAGGATCAAATTCACACATAACAATATTTACCTTAAATGTAAATAAGCTAAATGCCCCAATTGAAAGACTCAGAATGGCTATCTGGATAAACAGTTAAGACCCATCAGTGTGCTGTATTCATGAGACCCATCTCACATGCATAGACACACATAGGCTCAAAATAAAGGGATGGAAGAAAATTTACCAACCAAATGGAAAGCAGGAAAAAAAGTAGGGGTTACAATCCCAGTTTCTGACAAAACAGACTTTAAATTAACAAAGATCAAAAAACACAAAGAAAGGCATTACATGTGGTAAAGGACTCAATTCAACAAGAAAAGCTAACTATCCCAAATATATATACACCCAATACAGTAGCACCCAGATTCATAAAAAAAAGCTCCTAGAGACCTACAAAAGGACTTAGACTCCCACACAATAATAATGGGAGACTTTAATGCCCAACTGTCAATATTAGACAGATTATTGAGACAGAAAATTCACAAAGATATTCAGGAGTTGAACTCAGCTCTGGATCAAGTGGACCTGATAGATATCTATGTAACTCTCCTCCCAAAAACAACAGAATATACATTCTTCTCAGCTCCATATGGCACTTACTCTAAAATGCATCACATAATTGAAAGTAAAACACTACTCAGCAAATGCAAAAGAACTGAAATCATAACAAACAGTCTCTCAGACCACAGTGCAATCAAATTAGAACTCAAGATTAAGAAACTCACTCGAAACCACATGACTACATGAAAATTGAACAATATGCTCCTGAAATGACTCCTGGGTAAATGATGAACTTAAGGCAGAAATCAAGAAGTTCTTTGAAACCAAGGAGAACAAAGAGACAATGTACCAGAATCTCTGGGATGCAGCTAAAACAGTGTTAAGAGGGAAATTTAAAGCACTAACTGCCCACATCAAAAAGCTAGAAAGATCTCAAATCAACCCCCTAGCATCACAACTAAAACAACTGGAGAACCAAGAGCAAGAAAACCCCAAAGCTAGTAGAAGATGAGAAATAACCAAGATCAAGCAGAACTGAGGGAGACACAGACACAAAAAAACCTTTAAAAAATCAACGAATCCAGGAGGTAGATTTTGAAAAAAATAATAAAATAGATAGACCACTAGCTAGACTAAAAAAGAAGAAAAGAGAGAAGAATCAAATAGATACAATCAGAAATAAGGGGGATATCACCACTGACCCCACAGACATACAAACAATCATGAGAGAATACCATAAATACTTCTGTACTAATAAACTAGAAAATCTAGAAGAAGTGGATAAATTCCTGGACACATGCCCACTCTCAAGACTGAATGAGGAAGAAGTTGAATCCCTGAATAGACCCATTATAAGCTCTGAAATTGAAGCAGTGATAAATAGCCTACCAACTAAAAACAGCCCAGAACCGAAGAGATTTACAACTGAATTCTACCAGAGATACAAAAAGGAGCTGGCACCATTTCTTCTGAAACTATTCCAAATCAAAGAAAAGGAGGGACTCCTCCCTAACTCATTTTATGAGGCCTGTATCATCCTGATACCAAAATCTGGCAGAAATACAACAACAAAAAAGGAAACTTCAGGCAAATATCCCTGATGAACATTTATGTAAAAATCCTCAATAAAATACTGGTAAACTGAATCCAGCAGCTCATCAAAAAGCTATCCACCAAGATCAAGTCATCTTCATCCCTGAGATGCAAGGCTGCTTCAACTTTTGCAATTCAATAAATGTAATTCATCACATAAACAGAACTAAAGACAAAAATCACATGATAACCTCAATAGACACAGAAAAGGCCTTCGATAAAATTCAACATCCCTTCATGTTAAAAATTCTCAATAAACTGGCTCAAATAACAAGAGCCATTTATGAAAACCTCACGGCTAATATCATACTGAATGGGTAAAAGCTGAAAGCATTCCCCTTGAAAAACAGCACAAGACAAGGATGCCCTCTCTCACCACTCCTATTCAACACAGAATTGGAAGTTCTGCTGATCAGGGCAATCAGGCAAGAGAAATAAATAAAGCCTATTCAAATTGAAAGAGAGGAAGTCAAACTGTCTCTGTATGCAGATCACATGGTCCTATCATCAGAAAACCCCATCATCTCAGCCCCAAAGCTTCTTATGCTGATAAGCAACTTCAGCAAAGTCAGGATACAAAATCAATGTGCAAAAATCACAAGCATTCCAAGCAGAAAGCCAAATAATGAATGAACCCCCATTTGCAATTGCTACAAAGATGATAAAATACCTAGGAACACAGCTAACAAGGGAAGTGAAGGGCCACTTCATGGATAACTATAAACCACTGCTCAAGGAAATAAGGAAGGACACAAACGAACCTTCCATCCTCGTGAACAGGAAGAACCTATATTGTGAAAATGGTCACACTCACCAAAATAATTTATAGATTCAATACTATTCCCACCAAACTACCATTAACATTCTTCACAGAATTCTGGTAGAATTCGCCTGTGAATCTGTCTGGTCCTGGACTTTTTTTGGTTGGTATATTATTTATGGCCTCAATTTCAGAGCCTGTTATTGGTCTAGTCAGAGATTCAACTTCTTCCTTGTTTAGTCTTGGGAGGGTGTATGTGTCCAGGAATTTATCCATTTCTTCTAGATTTTCCAGTTTATTTGCATAGAGGTGTTTATAGTATTTTCTGATGGCAGTTTGTATTTCTGTGGGATCTGTGGTGATATCCCCTTTATCATTTTTTATTGCATCTATTTGATTCTTCTCTCTTTTCTTCCTTATTAGTCTTGCTAGCAGTCAATCAATTTTGTTGATCTTTTCAAAAAACCAGATCCTGGATTCATTGATTTTTTTGAAGGGGTTTTTTTTTGTCTCTATCTACTTCAGTTCTGCTCTGATCTTCGTTATTTCTTGCCTTCTTCTAGCTTTTGAATTTGTTTGCTTTTGCTTCTCTAGTTCTTTTAATTGTGATGTTAGGGTGTTGATTTTAGATCTTTCCTGCTTTCTCTTATGGGCATTTAGTGCTATAAATTTCCCTCTACACACTGCTTTGAATGTGTCCCAGAGATTCTGGTATATTGTGTCTTTGTTCTCACTGGTTTCAAAGAACATCTTTATTTCTGCCTTCATTTTGTTATGTACCCAGCAGTCATTCAGGAGCAGGTTGTTCAGTTTCCATGTAGCTGTGTGGTTTTGAATGAGTTTCTTAATCCTGAGTTCTAATTTGATTGCACTGTGGTCTGAAGGACCGTTTGTTGTGATTTCTGTTCTTTTACATTAGCTGAGGAGTGCTTTACTTCCAATTACGTGGTCAATTTTGGAATAAGTGCAGGGTGGTGCTGAGAAGAATGTATATTCTGTTGATTTGGGGTGGAGAGTTCTGTAGATGTCTATTAGGTCCACTTGGTGCAGAGCTGAGTTCAAGTCCTGGATATCCTTGTTAACCTTCTGTCTCATTGATCTGTCTAATATTGACAGTAGGGTGTTAAAGTCTCCCATTATTATTGTGTGGGAGTCTAAGTCTCTTTGTAGGTCTCTAAGGACTTGCTTTATGAGTCTGGGTGGTCCTGTATTGGGTGCATATATATTTAGGATAGTTAGCTCTTCTTGTTGAATTGATCCCTTTACCATTATGTAATGGCCTTCTTTGTCTCTTTTGATCTTTTTTGGTTTAAAGTCTGTTTTATCAGAGACTAGGATTGCAACACCTGCTCTTTTTTTTTTTTTGCCTTCCGTTTCTGTGGTAGCTCTTCCTCCATCCCTTTATTTTGAGCCTATGTGTGTCTCTACACGTGAGATGGGTCTCCTGAATACAGCACACTGATGGGTCTTGACTCTTTATCCAATTTGCCAGTCTGTGTCTTTTAATTGGAGCATTTAGCCCATTTACATTTAAGGTTAATATTGTTATATGTGAATTTGATCCTGTCATTATGATGTTAGCTGGTTATTTTGCCAGTTAGTTGATGCAGTTTCTTCCTAGCCTCGATGGTCTTTACAATTGGCATGTTTTTGCAGTGGCTGGTACTGGTTGTTCCTTTCCATGTTTAGTGCTTCCTTCAGGAGTTCTTGTAAGGCAGGCCTGGTGGTGACAAAATCTCTCAGCATTTGCTTGTCTGTAAAGGATTTTATTTCTCCTTCACTTATGAAGCTTAGTTTGGCTGAATATGAAATTCTGGGTTGAAAATTCTTTTCTTTAAGGATGTTGAATATTGGCCCCCACTCTCTTCTGGCTTGTAGAGTTTCTCCCAAGAGATCCTCTGTTAATCTGATGGGCTTCCCTTTGTGGGTAACCCGACCTTTCTCTCTGGCTGCCCTTAACATTTTTTCCTTCATTTCAACCTTGGTGAATCTGACAATTATATGCCTTGGGGTTGCTCTTCTCGAGGAGTATCTTTGTGGTGTTCTCTGTATTTCCTGAATTTGAATGTTGGCCTGCCTTGCTAGGTTGGGGAAGTTCTCCTGGATAATATCCTGAAGAGTGTTTTCCAACTTGGTTTCATTCTCCTCATCACTTTTAGGTACACCAATCAAATGTAGATTTGGTCTTTTCACATAGTCCCATATTTCTTGGAGGCTTTGTTCATTTCTTTTTCTCTTTTTTCTCTAAACTTCTCTTCTCACTGTATTTCATTAATTTGATCTTCAATCACTGATACCCTTTCTTCCACTTGATTGAATCGGCTATTGAAGCTTGTGCATGCGTCATGTAGTTCTCGTGCCATGGTTTTCAGCTCCATCAGGTCATTTAAGGTATTCTCTACACTGGTTATTCTAGTTAGCCATTTGTCTAATGTTTTTTCAAGGTTTTTAGCTTCTTTGTGATGGGTTCTAACATCCTCCTTTAGCTCAGAGAAGTTTGTTATTACTGACTTTCTGAAGCCTACTTCTGTCAGCTCATCAAAGTCATTCTCCATCTAGCTTTGTTACGTTGCTGGCAAGGGCTGCAATCCTTTGTAGGAGAAGAGGCACTCTGGATTTTGGAATTTTCAGCTTTTCTGCTCTGATTTCTCCCCATCTTTATGGTTTTATCTACCCTTGGTCTTTGATGTTGGTGACCTACAGATGGGGTTTTGGTGTGGATGTCCTTTTTGTTGATGTTGATGCTATTCCTTTCTGTTTGTTTGTTTTCCTTCTAACAGTCAGGTCCCTCAGCTGCAGGTCTGTTGGAGTTTGCTGGAGGTCCACTTCAGACCCTGTTTGCCTAGGTATCACCAGTGGAGGCTGCAGCACAGCAAATATTGCAGAACAGCAAATATTGCTGCCTGATCCTTTGTCTGGAAGCTTCGTCCCAGAGGGACACCCACCTGTATGAGGTGTCAGTCAGCCCCTACTGGGATGTGTCTCCCAGTTAGGCTACACGGGGGTCAGAGACCCACTTGAGGAGGCAGTCTGTCAGTTCTCAGACCTCAAACACCATGCTGGGAGAACCACTGCTCTCTTCAGAGCTGTCAGACAGAGTCACAGGGTCATTTAACTCTGCAGAAGTTTCTGCTGCCTTTCGCTCAGCTATGCCCTGCCCCCAGAGGTGGGATCTACAGAAGCATCAGGCCTTGCAGAGCTGCAGTGGGCTCTGCCCAGTTCGAACTTCCCCAGCCGCTTTGTTTACCTACTCAAGCCTCAGCAATGGTGGAAAACCCTCCCCCTGCCAGGCTGCTGCTCACGGGTCGATCTCAGACTGCTGCACTAGCAGTGAGCAAGGCTCCGTGGACATGGGACCCGCCAAGCCAGGTGTGGGATATAATCTCCTGGTGTGCCATTTGCTAAGCCTGTTGGAAAAGTGTGGTATTTGGGCGGGAGTGTCCTGATTTTCCAGGTACAGTCTGTTATGGCTTTCCTTGGCTAGGAAAGGGAAATCCCCTGACCCCTTGTGCTTCCTGGGTGATGCGATGCCCTGCCCTGCTTCGGCTTACCCTCCATGGGCTGCACCCACTGTCCAACCAGTCCCAATGAGATGAACCTGGTACCTCAGTTGGAAATGCAGAAATCACCGTCTTCTGCATCTATCACGCTGGGAGCTGCAGACCAGAGCAGTTCCTTTTTGGCCACCTTGGAACAGAATCTCTGGAGTCTCTTTTAAAGACATTAATCCCATTCATGCGGCCTCATGACTAATAGCCTCCCATAGGCCCCCACCTCTTAATACAATCAATTGAGGATTAGGTATCACCATGTGACTTTTGAGGGAACACAAACATTCAGACCGTAGCACCCTCCAAAGGTCGGAAATGAGGCCAACACACAACTGAACAGGAGCTTCACTTAAGGCACTTTGGAATGTAAATAACCAAACCTAACTCCAGCTAGTTTGTCAAAAAAGCAGTTAGGCTTCCAGATAGAAGTGAAATTGGAAGCTAGAACTACATTAGGAACCTAGAAGAGGTGTTTTCTTCATTTCTCATCTCTGCTTCTCTTTACCTGCCTGATTCATTTGTTTTTCATTCTCTATGACCTGTTTTCTCAATTTGTCTGTTCATAGCCATCAATCCCCTGCAATTCCACCTCTCCCTGGCCCACCAATGCTCAGTTTTCATATGGCCATCAGTTCCAGAAACATACAGAAATTAACTGAATTGAGTTTGTACCCTGTTCTCATCAGCACTAGTGGAAAAGACATAGGAGAGCATCCCAAGCTGTACATATGGGAATCAGAATGGCCCCTGTGAATGGACAGGAAGTTCTCAGAAGCCATTTGGATTGCAGAGATAATCAGGTATACCTGCATGGAATATAGATTTGCACAAAGTAATGTATTTGAGAGTCTAAAGTATAGGAAATTAAGTAATATCAGAATCAGTCAAATCAAGTTACAGATTTTACTACCTTAACTACCACCCCATCCCCCTGACCAATGGTAGCTCAGGTTTTAAAGCATCAGTAGGTTGTAAGACAAATACCCTTTGTCTTTATTCTATTTAGACCACCCTCTGTCTACTAAGTTACCTCGTTAGCTTTACTTCTGATCTTTGGAAGAAGACTGGATAGTAGAAAGAGTAGCTTTCCATCTGAGCTTGTAACCATCTAAGAAAAACTGATCAATCTGCTTCCAACCATCTTGCAAGAACAATACCTTCCTTGTCCACACACACCCCAGATGCAAGGTGAGATCCTGATAATATAGGGAGTGGTTGAGGTGTGGAAGGAAAGAGAATCCATGGCCAATCTTGGTGAGAGGTTTTTCCTCAAGCTGGGGCAGTGATTAAACACACCCCTGTTACATGGACAATAACTTAATTATCATGCTAATATGCAATTACAAACTGAGGTGAGTGCTCCAAAGGAAAAAAAATTTAACAGCACCTAAGAAAAGGATCTGACCTAGAATGGAGGGTCAGGGATGGTTTTCCTCCAAAAATGGCATTTGAGCTGAATTTTCAATGACAAGTGGGAGTTAACTAGACAAAGGGAAGAAGAGCATGGCAATGCGAGGACCATGGTGTGTTCTAAGAGCTGGACAAGAGTCAATGTGGGCTGCAGAAGAGAAAGTGATTTAATGTAAGACTGGGAGGAAAATGCAGATCATGCAACGGCTAGTAAGTCAGATTAAGAACATTGATAGTTAAGCCAGGAAAGATGGGAAGCCATGGAAGGAATTTAAGTTGTGAAAAGATCCCTCTGACTGTAGTGTGGAAAATGGATGAAGAGACACCAGAGTGAAAGCAAGGAGGTTATTCCACGTATCCAATCAATAGATAATAAGCAGCTGGGCATGGTGGCTCACACCTGTAATCCCAGCACTTTGGGAGGCCAAGGTAGGTGGATCACGAGGTCAAGGGATCAAGACCATCCTGGTGAACCCCTGTCTCTACTATAAATACAAAAATTAGCTGGGCATGGTGGCACATGCCTGTAATCCCAGCTACTCAGGAGGCTAAGGCAGGAGAATCACTTGAACCCAGGAGGCAGAGGTTGCAGTCAGCTGAGATAGTGCCACTCCACTCCAGCCTGGTGACAGAGCAAGACCCTGTCTCAAAAAAAAAAAAAAAAAAAAAAAAAAAAAGACAGAGAGAGAGAGAATAGTCAAAGACTAATGGATTTCTTCTGCTCTTCCCAACTTGTTTCTGGTCTTTCATACGACTTTAGACCTCAAAAGTCCTTGACATTGTGAAAGACCTCATTCCCACTTTCTATAGTTAGTTTTCTCTTTGTTGTTGTCATTGTTTGTTTCAGGACCTTAACATTTTAATTCTGCCCTATATCACTTTCCCTTTTTAAAAAACCTCATTCTATTTATAAGAACCATCTTGGATTTTAAAATATACACTAAAACAATTTAACATCCCAGACTTATACTTACCCACATCCCTGACCCTGTCTTATTCTGAGAGATTTCCCCTCTTCTCAGTTTCTTATTATTCTTTGGGTGTTATCCTTGGTTTTAAGTGCTACACTTTGAGGACCATTAAAAAAAATGTGTCCAGAGAATAATAATCAAGATAGTGAATAAACCTCAAACACAGGAGATTTGTGAAATCTCAATATTTTGCTTAACAAAGGGAAACCTTTGGGATTGAAATGGCAGATGCCTTCCAAATGCTATCACTAGAAATAAGTAGAAATTTTTTTTTTTCCTGTGTTACCCAAATGGTCAAAAATAGGACTAATTGTAGGATATCAAATGTGTACAAATGTATGCTTAAATATAGCAACCTTAGATCTTTCTATTTATTGTCTGAAAGTGGAATAGGCTATTTTGAGATGCAGTGAACTTTCAATCCTTGGAGATATTTAAATAGAATCTGGACAGTCACATGACAAGAAGTTGGGGAGAATCAACCACCAGATGGAGCTGAAACAGAGTGAACTTCCAGGTCCACCTTGAACCTTCCCCTCTAGTGCCTCTATTGTTCCATCAGCAACACTAATGCAGGGGACAGTGGACATGGGCCTTATTTTTAGGCCCCAGGTGACTTAGAGGAGACCACATCCCTGAGAGAGTCAGGCTGCTGCTTTTAAGGTGCGAGTGTGTGTTTAGGTAACTGCATTTCAAAAAGGTGTCTACTATTTTTTTTCCTTTGGTTAGTCATTGGTTGCAATTATCTAAATTTCAGTCCCTTCCATTAGCATGGATTATCATTTAACTACAACACAGAATGCATACTTCTTGCTACTGATTTACATAAGACAGTTACACTTAAATCAGTCATCAAATTGGTAAAAGACAAATTGCTATTTTAAAATACGTTTTTAAACAAGATTTTTCAGGAAAGAAAAACCTATACAGACCTTAATTTCTTTTAAAAGCCCACATTTTATGTGCTTCAGATAAGCAGATTTGGTGATATTTATTTAAACTTGGCATGCCTAGTAATTACAACATAATATTTGGTATTGAGTAGATTCTGGTTACAAGTTTCTTTTCCAACACCTGGACAATTTAGCCCAAAAGGAAAAAAGCAAAGAAGAAATTGGTCATGCTGACATGACCCTAAAACTTAATTCAGTCATTGTATTCTACCTTTTCCTCATCTCCCCAAACACACAAGAACAACAGTACTAATTATTGCTCTGCAGATGTATTAAATTTCCAATGTTAAGCTCTGTATATGGAGATGGCTTCAGCAACCCAATGAAGCAGAAGTTCTGCCTCCCCCTCACACCATACATACATAAAAGCTCATATTAAAAACCCCTTCCATCAAAATAGCTAGAAAAGAATAATTCAAATGTTCCTAGAATCAAGAAAAAAATAAATATTTAAGATGATGAATATCTCAGTTACCCTGATTTGAAAATCTTTACACAGGCCGGGCGCGGTGGCTCACGCCTGTAATCCCAGCACTTTCGGAGGCCGAGACAGGCAGATCATGAGGTCAGGAGATCGAGACCATCCTGGCTAACATGGTGAAACCCCGTCTCTACTAAAAACACAAAAAAAATTAGCCGGGTGTGGTGGCGGGTGCCTGTAGTCCCAGCTACTTGGGAGGCTGAGGCAGGAGAATGGCATGAATCTGGGAGGCGGCGCTTGCAGTGAGCCCATATCCCGCCACTGCACTCCAGCCTGGGCGACAGACCAAGACTCCGTCTCAAAAAAAGAAAAAGAAAAAAAAAGAAAATCTTTACACATTATATGAATGTATCAAACTATCACAAGTACCCTGAAAATTTGTGCATCTCTTATATTTCGATTTTTTAATCCCTTCCATATATCCTACTCTCACCACCTTCACTCTCAATGTTTAAAAGAAAACATCCTCTTTTGTTACTATATGTCACTCTTGCTTCTTTTTACTTTAAACTCGTAGCCGCTCTTCCTTTACCCCTGTTGCGTGTATGTGTCTATGTCTATACACACATATGCCTGTTTCCCTGATATTTCAGTGCAATATTCCAAGCGTATCTCTTTCCACACCCCTGTTTTTCTCTCACAATCAGGTCAGAGGAAGTGGAGGGAGAACAACAAACAGTAATGGACCAAAAAATATTCAGATAATGACCTGTCTTTTAACTTCTTACAGTAATACGTGGTACTTTTGAGTATTTATACTTTTCATCTTTAAAAATGTGTCTTTGAACATCTGCAGAACTTGCATGACTATCAAATATAATAAGAGCATGAATTTTGGTGATGATAAACTTGGGTTTTAATGTAAGATAATATTCATATAGTCAGATCACACAAGTATTGGGAGAATCATTGTGCACTGCTGTGGGCATAGCATGTGTTACAGCCATTCAGGAAACAATCTGTTAGTACCTAGTGAAATTAAGTAACATAACACATACAGTCCAGCAGTCCCATTCCTGGGCATATGTTGAATGATAGACAACATTAATAGATATTATAAGCCTAGTTAATACAGAAAAATCAGAAGCAGAATGAAACTTATAGCCAAATTTTTGCTTATGTATATTAAAAACACACACATCCACCAATACCACTATACATTTTATAAAGATTCATGTGTATCTTTGCATATATATGTAAACAAGTATATAATATATTTGATTTGTATATCAATATATACAATACAAATATATATATTCGTATATATTGATATACGAATATATATATTTGTATGTATTTATATACGAATATATATATTTGTATATATTATATATGTGCATAAAATATATATATTTGTATATATATTACATATATACAAATCTATAAATTGATGTCTATCAGGTAGGAGAAGTAGACACAGGATGAAGAGGAAATAAAAAAATAAGATAGGGACATTTCACAATTAACAGTAACATTAACTGTGAACTGAGAACCACAACTCAATTATGTCCACTTGAAGTTTAATAAATTTTAAAAATATACAATAAAACAAAAGTAATGCATACATACCATAAAAATGTTTAAACTCATAAAGGTATAAACAAATCACTTTCCATCAGCTTCTGATACACCAGACGCATTCGTTTTCTACTGCTGCATAACAAAATATAGTGCCCAGTGCATGGAAAACACATATTACCCTTCCTTTTTGTGCACTTTATCAACAATTTAATGAATTAAATAATCCCAAATAGGGATCATTCTGGATCTTCCAAATTAGTTGAGAGAAAAGGGGTGCCCATAGAAGAGTAATAAAGATAGAAAGATAAGTAACTTTGAGCAAGGATAGAGAATAGTGTCCCTCTTTGCTCCCTGATCAAATTGGTCTCTCTGTTTCCTATAGCCTAATCTTGTCCAGTTTGATTGCCTTGATCAAGACCTGTCCCTCTTCCCATTATCTTTATTAATTGAAACATACACCCTCAAATCTATACTCTCTGTGTCTTTCAAGGGGATATATAGATAATATAACTTAAAACAATATTGTGACATAACTGGATTTAACGTTAATGTGCTCTTGAGGAGCACCATGTAGCATATACATCTAAGCAAGAATGTTTTTACTTACATAATGTACATAACCCAGGGATAAGAGTTCATTGGTGCAAACAGCAAACATCACTCCAGGTAGGAAGAGCCCACTGATGAGTGGATATTTGAGGCAGGGGAAATACTTGCAGTCATAGCTTCAAATTACACCATGAAAGTGGCCTTCTTCTCTTAAAGTTTGCTCTGCTGAGAAGAGCTCAGGAATCTAAGAAGATGCTGCACCTGACTGGGTGTGACTCCTACAGGAAGACCCCATACGTGACTCTTCAGCTTTCAACATGTGTTTCTTCATGAAGAAACAGCTTTTCCTTGCTCTAAACTCAAAAAAAAAAAAAAAGAAGAAGAAGAAGATTGATGTGAGAAGGGACCCAAGAGGGTTTTCTTTCTGATCTAAATAAAAGACTTTCTCTGGCAAGGAAGAGGAAATCAAACTCATTGTGTGTGGTATTGTGCCTTTGTCTCCCAAGGGAAAGAACAGCTTTTCCAAGGAATAGAATTCTTTCTTGCCTTTGCATCCACCAGTGTAGGGATCTGTGCAGACTGACACCTAGTGGTCTCCAGAACTCCTTTAGTAGCAAGAGTAAGAAGAACGTGTATGTGTGTGTGTTTCAGGCTTCGCGAAGCATCCTTTCTTCTTCCTACAGATTCCTAAACTATGAAAAAACTGAGTTGTTAATTGGTCTTGATTCCAATACCACATCTTTCTGACCATTAATATTTAATATCTGAGCAGCCCATAGATGTCACCAACTAGAAAGGAACAATGATTCTGATGTGTGAGAGCAATAATTTTGTCCAAATATGGAATAGAAAAGGCAGCAACAAAGCAAAGTATCCAATCCATCAGAATTCAAAGAATCAGTGGCTTCTGTAGTTGGAGTCTTCTGAGTTTATGCCAGAGTTCATCTCCACAAGATCCCACTCTGCCTTTAACACTTCACCCGGTGAACTTTTCCACTAGCCCATCTGTACTCCTGGTTGGACTGGAGAAGTTAAGGGGCTGAGAAGTGTATAATGTACTTGGGAAATCTGAATTTATCCTGGTAATTGATTGCTCTCCAGGAACCACTGGAAAACTCCTCCATGGTACATTAAGAGAGGTGTTTGTACTTCCTCCTACCAATAGATTATCTTCTAAAGAAGGCTCCAGAAAATTTTGAATTTGGCTTCCAAGGGTCTACGTTGACAAGAACTTCTTTTTAGGTAACACACAAAATGAAAATGGAGGGAAGCCAACTAGAAGGTATCAGACTTAAATCTTATAAATTCCATTTGGGGGATCAAAAAATTATAATACACATGACTGAGTTTGGCCACCAAAACAGGTAATAAGAGTAGATGCTGGAAAATAATACTGGAGGAAAGAATTTGGTGGGAGAAGTTAAAATAAATTAGCTCACATCTGTTGCGGGAAGTCAGGGACCCCGAACGGAGGGACTGGCTGAAGCCATGGCAGAAGAACATAAATTGTGAAGATTTCATGGACATTTATTAGTTCCCCAAATTAATATTTTTATAATTTCTTATGTCTGTCTTTACTGCAATCTCCGAACATAAACTGTGAAGATTTCATGGATACTTATCACTTCCCCAATCAATACCCTTGTGATTTCCTATGCCTGTCTTTACTTTAATCTCTTAATCCCGTCATCTTCGTAAACTGAGGAGGATGTATGTCACCTCAGGACCCTGTGATGATTGCGTTAACTGCACAAATTGTAGAGCACGTGTGTTTGAACAATATGAAATCTGGGCACCTTGAAAAAAGAACAGGATAACAGCAATGTTCAGGGAACAAGGGAGATAACCTTAAATTCTGACTGCCAGTGAGCCAGGAAGAACAGAGCCATATTTCTCTTCTTTCAAAAGCAAATGGGAGAAATATTGCTGAATTCTTTTTCTCAGCAAGGAACATCCCTGAGAAAGAGAATGTGTCCTGAGGGGAGGCCTCTGAAATGGCCGCTTTGGGGATGGCTGTCTTTTATTGTCATAGCTGATGGATGAAATAAGCCCTGGTCTCCTGTAGCGCTCCCAGGCTTATTAGGATGAGGAAATTCCCACCTAATAAATTTTGGTCAGACTGGTTGTCTGCTCTCAAACCCTGTCTCCTGATAAGATGTTACCAATGACAATGCATGCCTGAAACTTCATTAGCAATTCTAATTTCGCCCCAGTCCTGTGGTCCTGTGATCTTGCCCTGCCTCCATTTGCCTTATGATATCTTATTACCTTGTGAAGCATGTGATTTCTGTGACCCACACCCTATTCGTACACTCCCTCCCCTTTTGAAAATCACTAATAAAAACTTGCTGGTTTTACGGCTCGGGGGGCATCACGGAACCTGCCGACATGTGATGTCTCCTCCAGCCACCCAGCTTTAAAATTTCTCTCTTTTGTGCTCTTTCCCTTTATTTCTCAGACTGGCTGACACTTAGGGAAAATAGAAAAGAATCTACATGAAATATTGGGGGTGAATTTCACCTGATACACATCCTAGTAGAAACCTGGGAGAATTGGTTTTCCCAGCTTTATAAACTAAAGGTTAACTGGCCCCAAACTTTGCAAGTCCCAGGCCAATTTTTACCTGAGACCTGGTAACAATTCATTACATTTTATAATTGATTTTAAAAGCTCATGCCAAATAGGATTCAGAGAATACTTTCTGTCCACAAAATTGAAAGGTGGACTCTGATGATTGACAAATGTGTTTCTCTTCGTCATCTCTACAGGCATGACTCTATCTGGTTGGACTTAGAAGACCTCTCCCAACCCATTACTTTGTAAGTTTTTCAACCCCAAAATGCATTGCAGTTTTTTTAATGAGCATCAAACCTGTTCAACCCAAAACTTTACATACATTTTTTCTCTACTTTTTATAGTTTCATGTTTTTGTCATCTTTAAATTTTCCCTTTAGAGCACTGTTGACTCCATGACCAGTCAGTTCTGCCCTACATTGCATTAGCTCAATAAAGATTCACCATTTTTAAGTGAATACATTGTAACAAACCTGCACATGTAACCCCTGAATCTAATATTAAAAGTAACAATAAGTAAAATAAGATAAAATGAATACAGAACCTGTGTCTTACCATATGGTTCGGTTTATGGTTGTTAGCAATATTTTTAATGTTATTTTAAAGATCTTTTTGAAGAAATAATTTCAAATGGGGTAAAATGAGTATCAGTTTGATGGTCCTTTTAATCAATGTTGTCATACAGTGGTTGATTTTTCATTTTTGTTTTCAAAGACCTGGATGCATGTACTCCCCATTCTCAAAAAATAAAATAAAATAATAAAGATAAGCATTCTCATACATACAGATGGCTTCATTCTACTGTCATGCATTTATTGGTCTTAATAGACAGTCAGCCCTACTTTCTACACCAAAGAGTTACAGTCAAACATTAGAAAAAAAAACAAAACCTATAGAAAAGTAGTTCATTCAAGAAATCAGGTGGACAATTTGTAGGTAATTCTTAGACTGCCCAAGGTAATACATTCTACTGGTGTTTTACCACATTATTGTATATCCCACATGGGCACTTGGTTATACCTCTTACAAAATATTTTTAGACTGATAACATTGTGGACATGATTAAGTACCCAAGTTCTGGGGTCTTGAATATTATTCTTCAATGAACTGGAGTGAAAACAAAACTGCTTCTTGAGGAGAATTTTGGCCCAAACCAGGAGTCCCACTCCTCACCTTTTTGTGCATGTTTCCAGGAAAGGTGTCAGGGGAAGAGTGGCCTTTCATTGTGGGCATGTGTCCTTCCTTCTCAGGTTCTTCAGCTGTCCTCAGAGAATTTAATCCCTATCCCCAACTCTGCTGATTGGAAGAATACTCAGCTCACTTCTTTTAAAATATGCACAAAATCTTCTACTTGGTGCTTTTTACATCAGAAATGAGCAATTTGAATTCAAAGTCATTCAATATTTATCAAAAGTTGAGTTAAAGATAATACAGAAATTCTTCAGAAAAAAACCTATGAGCCTCTTCTTGCATCAAGAAGATAACTTAAGAAAAATAAAACAGTAAATTTAGAAAACTTGATTTCTAAGAAGAGGCATTAATTTGAAATATAAAACAATACAAGAAAAGTTTAGATATTCCTAGAATTATTTTACTAGAAAAGTTTGGAATATATTTCTAATTTTTGAGGTAAAATCATGGAAGAAAAATAAATATATAAAGAGGCAACTGTGACTGTGTGTGTGTGTGTGTGTGTGTGTGTGTGTGTGTGTGTATCAAATTTATCTGCCATTGACAGGTAAAGAATCCCGGTGTGCCTGGAGGATATCAGATCCTGGAAGACAAATGTTCTTCCTTCCTCCATTGACATGCACTATTCTCTTTAGGAATATTATATTCAAGGTCCCAATGTGACTTTGAATATATACAACAAGTTCAAACAGCCTTCTAGCTTTATTGGCCACTGAGGTAATACTTCCCTTCCTTATCCTTCCTTATGCATGGATGCCACAATACAATTTTCCATGCAGCTGAGAGATAATGTGATTCTGTCTTCCATTCCTCTCACCTCCCTGATTCTCTGCTCCAACCTGTCTAATTCAAACAGAGAATCACCTGGTGCTTAGCTGGCAGCTTGTTTGATTGCTGCCTGTTTCCTGCGTGTTTCTTGAGGAGACACAGAAGGCAGAAGAACAGGCTGTTTAAAGACATCTGTGTGGGGGGTGCGTGAGTGCACACACACACGGTGTGTGTCTGAGGAAACACGCATTTCCTGGTGGGTATTCCCCCCATAAAATTCCCAAATAACAGGATCCAAACATACATGAAACAAAACTTACAGAATTGAATAGAAAATAGACAATTCAATATGAATAATTGGAGATTTTAATCCTCACTTGCAATAATGGAAAGAACAACACAACTGAATATCAGCAAGGAAATAAAGGACTTGAGCAACACTGCACAGCAACTTAATTTAGCAGACATCTATAGAACACAGCAGAATCCAGCAACAGCAGAACACACTTTCTTCTCAAGCTCACATGGAACATTTTATAGGACAGACCATATGTTAGGCCATAAAATAAACTTCAGTAAATTTTTAAAAAGAGAATAATACAAAGTATGTTCTCCTACCACAATAAAATGAAATTAGAAGTAAATAACAGAAAGAAATTTGAGAAATTTACTAATATGTAAAAATTACACAACACACTCCTAAATAACCAATGGGTAAGAAAAGAAATAAAAAAAAAATTAGAAAAATGCATCGAGATGAATCACAATGAAAATACAGCATATCGTAATTATGGAACACAATGAAAACAGTACTTAGATATTTATAGCTGTAAATACCTATATTTAAAAAGAAGAAAAATCTTAAATTGATATCTTAACCTTTTGTCTTAAGAAACTAGAAAAAGAACAAACAAAAGCAAGGGGGAAGAAGAAAAGGATAAATACTGAAGTGTAAATAAATAAATAACAAGAAACCAATAGAGAACATAAGCAAAAGTAAAATTTGGTTCTTTGAAAAGATTAATACAATTGACAAATGTTTAGCTAGACTGGGCCAAGAAACAAGAAAAAGAGTAAAATTACTAAAATCAGAAATGAAAGAAGGAATATTACTACCAACCTTACAAAAATAAGAAGGATTATAAGGGAAGACAAAAAACAATTGTATTCTAATAAAGTAAATAATCTAGATAAAATGGACAAATTCACAGAAAAAATGAAACTATCAAAACTGATTCAAGAAGAAGCAGAATATCTGAATACACCAATTACAAGTAAAGAGATTGAACCAGCAATTTTAAAAAGGTTTCTTAATCTTCCCAGGATGAGAGGGCTTCACTGGTGAATTCTACCAATTGTTTAAAGAAGAATCAATATCAATCCTTCACAAAATTTCTAAAATTCAGAAGCAGCAAGAATATTTCTCAGCGTATTCTATGAGGCTACCATTAACCTGATTCTAAAAAACACAAAGGCATCACAAGAAACAAAAACTACAAACCAATATCCCTTATGAACATAGATTCAAAATTCCTCAAAAATATTCTAGAAAACTAAATCCAGCAACATATAAAAAGTACACCATAACCAAGTGAGATTTATCCCAAGAAGGTAAGGTTGGTTCGGTATATAAAAATCAACCACGTAATATACCATAATAATAGAATATAGAACAAAAACTACATGATCATCTCAATAGACAGAAAAAAGCATTTGCCAAAATCCATCACCATTTCATCAATAAAAATACTGCATCACTTAGGAATAGAAAGGAACTTCCTTAACCTGATAAAGAGCATCTATGAAAAACCCACGGGTAACGTTATACTTAATGAAAAAGACTGAAAGCTTTCCCTCTAAATCAAAAATAAGATAAATATGTCCACTCTTTATACTTCTACTCAACACTCTGCTGGAGGTTCTAGTCAGGGCAATTAGACAAGAAAAAGAAATAACAGGTATCCATATTGGGAAAGAAGTAAAATCATCTCTATTTGCAAATGTCTTAAATTTATACATAGAAAATTCCGAATAACCCCTTAAAAACTATTAGAACTAATAAGTTCAGTAAGGTTGCAGAATACAGATCAATATACAAAAGTCAATAGTGTGTTTTTTTACACTATCAATGAATAATCTGAAAACAAAATTAAGAAAACAATTCCATTTACAATATCAAAAGGAATAAAACACCTAGGAATAAATTTAATAAAATGAGTAACAACTAGTACTCTGAAAACTACAAAACATTGTTGAAAGAAATTAAAGAATATCTAGATTAAGGCAAAGATATCCCAAGATCATGTATTTAAAAGCTTAATACTGTTAAAATGGCAATAATCCAAAAGTTGATCTACAGATTAAATGGAATCTCTGTCAAAATTTCTACTGACTTTTTTTGCAGAAGTTGACAAGCTGATCCTGAGATTTATATGGAAATGCAAGACTCGGAATAGCTAAAAGAATTTGAAAAAGAACATAGTTGGAGGACTCAAATTTCCTGACTTCAAACTTATTATAAAACTGCAGAAATGAAGAGTGTGATACTGGCATAAGGGTAGGTATAAACATCATTGGAATAGATTTGGGAGTCTAGAAATAAACCCTACATTTATGGTCAGCTTATTTTGGGGAATCAATTGAGAATAGTGAAATCCATAGAGACAGAAAATTGATTAGCGGGGTTGTCAGGGGCTAGAGGGAGGAAAGAATGGAGAGTGACTGCTAGTACTTACAGGACTTTTGGTGGATGATGAAAATTTTGTGGAACTGCATAATAGTGATGGTTGCACAACTTTATGAACATATTAAAACCACTGGATTGCACACTTTGTTAAAAAATGTATGAATGGATGAATGAATGAATGACTATTCCAAATCATCCTCACACTTCTAGACATTTATCAAAGTTTGCCCTATTATATGATTATTTCTGAACATGGATGGCCTCCCCATATAGATTGTATGATGCTTAAGGAAAAGAATCACACGCCATTTACTCTTGTATCAAGAAAAATATTTATACCTGGTAGGAGATCAATAAACCCTTGTTGAATAAATTGATATCCCCAACACTCCAAGCTTTCTAACACTTATGTTTCCCTAAGAGCCTTCAATATGCTTGAGTAGACTCCAAAACCACAGATCCAGCCTCACCCACTCAGCTTCTTTGAGATCTGCAGCAGTTGCTTGCCAGATAATTAGAACCAAGAGCTTGTTTATGTCAATGCTGATTTTATTCCATTCCTTGTCTGAAGAGCTATTTTGCTAAAGTGTTTTTCATTAGGAGTTAAGTGATTCAATTCTGTGTTATACTCATCTTCCTCGTCTTCCAATAATCCAGCCTTTACTATGTCCCAGCCCCCTCTTCTTCTCCAGTCTCCCCTGTCCTTCTACATCTTCTGCTTTCTAAATTTGGAATTCTGTAGCCAAACAATGCACATTTTTTTGTTTTTATTGTCCTGGTCTTGCGGAAGGTTGATAGTTACCTCCACTCTGTGCTTTGGCACTCATTTATTCATCCATTCATTTATTCAACCAATACCTATGAACACCTAATATATACCCCCACACTGTTCCAGTTGCTCTGTTGCTCTGATTAATTTTGTTTTTACTCGTTGACATGGAAATGAAGTGTGTGTTTGCTTATGCAGCCAAAGGAATTTGTGTCGCACATCCTCTGAGAATGTTAGAGGAATTTGGTGTTTGTATGTGCTAATACCTAGTGATAAACTAGCAGACTCATTGATTAATAATTTCCATATTTGAAGGATCTTGAAACATGAATCAACTCCTTTTCATCTACCATAGGTACCAGTATTTTAATCAATTCGAATTTCAAATCCTTCTTGCAAATTTAAGCAAATTGCCATCTGTTGCTCAGGTTGCACTGGTTATGGCTTCAGTGTTACTGTTACCTTTGCAGCTTAAGTCAAAAAGGAAAAAGAAGAAGGAATAATTGTTGAGCATTAACATCTTGCTTATATAGGCATTCCTGACATATAATTACTGGCAGCTATCCAGAAAATGTGGCCTAGTTTCTGGAGGCCTGTTTAGTCTGCCATATTAAAAGATGCACAATAATGTAATCAACTCAAGAATTTGATTATCTGTACCTATATATTTTCTTTTTAATAGTGTAACAAAATCCTTCAGTCCCATTTTAAGAAAGCCTCAGAAACTGTTAGGCTTCATGCTGAGCTGAGTTCAAACTTATTATAAAACTGCAGAAATGAAGAGTGTGATACTGGCATAAGGGCAGGTACAAACAGAGAGAGGCCTAGATGTTCTGTGTGTGACTATCTGAGCAATGATTTAGGTGGGCAGAGCCGCCAGCTTCCAGACTGGCAGACCCAGTTTCAGGAGAGACAGTATCAGAGCACGGTGCTTGCTTGGGCCTGCCCCTTTCTCTCACTCCTCAAACAACCATTAGTCCTGTTTTCCAGCAGCTGCCTGTAGAGGAACCAAAAACAATTTTTTTTTTAATCAACCCTCACTCTGGTCTTCATGGAAAGCTGCCTACTTTGCTGTTGGGCCTCTCAGATTGCATGTTTGATCTATCAGGAACTGGCCTTCCTCCACCAACTCAGAATTCTCTCTAGTCTGGTAAGTAAATGTGTGCATCTGAACATTGAAATGTTTTTAAATCCTGAAACCAATTCAGAGGACTGTAGATCTGGAAGGCTGCTTAGAGCCTTGTTTAGTCCAGAGACCAGTAGCATCAGCATCACTTGGGTAATGCAGAAATGCCAATTATTAGACTTATTCCAGACTTTTACTGACTTAGAATCTCTGAGGGTGGGGCACAGAGATCTGAATGTTTCAAAGCCCTAAAGGTGATCCTGATACTAACTAAAGTTTGAGATGCCCTGGCATGTTTGTTATTCTGTGCCATTCTTCACATTCTGACCTCTTGCCTAAAGCCGGTTCACTTCTTTCTCAGAACCTATGGCCTGAATACCTGTTCCATTGTATCTTGCCCCTGTCACTGTTTCCCCTAGATGAGAGTTACTGATTCCAGCCTCCATTGTCCTCTCTGGACTGAACTCTGTATCTGCAGGCTCATTCCTGCACTTTCTTACTTTTCTGAGCTCAGTCTCTCACCTGTCTGCCTATGCGAGCTACCTTCATGCTTCAATTCCAACCTTTCTTCCTGCCTACAACTCCCCTCTTCTGACCTTACTGCAGAGGGTGAAATCTACACATTAAAGCTACCAGAGCATGATGCCTATTAACACAGGTATCCAAAAAGTTCTCTGTGCCATCTGTCTTTCCCCCTTGCTGCCTATCTTCCACACAGCTGCCAGTTATTTTCCTAAGGAACAAAACTGATACTATCGTCCGCTAAAAAGTCTTACAGACTTGCAATTACAGGCACAATTTTCTGCAGGATAAAGTTCAAATTCCTTAGCGTGATATCCAAAACCCTCCACAGCCTATAACTAATTTATATCCTGAATTTCATTGCTATTGTCCCTCTCACCCCCAGCACTACACCTCTCTCATGTCAGCCTCACATGTCTGACAATCTACTTGTCAGGCGTCAGTGCCTTTGCACCTGTTATTTCCTCTGCCTGATTTGCTCTTCTTCTTACTTCGCCGGTGACTAGTTTTTTAAGACTCAATTCAAGTGCCATCCCTTCAGTAAGGCTCTCACCACCTCCTTCAGGCTGAGTTACATGCACTTTTCCCTGGGCACTTGGTTGACAATTTTCATCTCATCACTTGTGACATTGTGCTTGAATTGTCAGTTTATATATCTTCTTTACAAACTAGAAACTGTTCATGCACAGAGAGAGTGTCTTGTCTTAATTGAAATTAAGAGCCTAATATGGTGGAGGGGCATGTTGTAGAAACTCAATAAATACTGCCAAATGAATATTCGGATTCTTAAGAAGTGTGCCCCAAGGAAATGCTGTAATAAGGAAGCTTGCTTTATAAATGTGCATGAGGTAAACCCCTTTGTAAATCAGGGATCCATTTTGTAAAGAAATAAATTACTTTGTGATATAAAATAGTCAATCCCTGATTCGTCTGTATAGTATTTCCATATCTATTATTATCCTAATATAATAGCATACCTATTATTTTTTCAAGCATATCTGCAATTTATACTGGCTTTCTAATTCGGAAAGTTCGTTGCTTATTCCGGGTACCTGAAGGTTTGTTTTATTCCAACTTCTGATAGACTAGGGTTTTCTAGAAAAAGACAAGGAATGTATGTGAGTTGTGACTTGTGAGTGCATGGAATTTAAAATATAAAAAAAGTTTAAAAGCTTCATTTTTAATATATGAAATAAATCTTATAGGTTTTTATGAAATTTTGTAGGTTTTTATGAAAAAATCTAAATCACTTTAAGTACTACTAAATTCAAGTTGTTTAAAGAAAATTCCATGTCATCTATAATACGTGTATGATACAATAGTCACCCTTTATCTTTGCGGGATATATTCCCAAACCCCCACTGGATATCTGAAATGGAAGATAGTACCAAGCCCTATAGAGACTATTTTTCCTATACATACATCCTATGATTTGATTTAATACCATTTCCATCTTAACTAAGCACTTATCACACCTGTGGCTATAACTTTTGTAGTTTGAAGTGCAGCAGCAAAACTAGAAGAAATTTCTTTTTCCTCGTTCACAATGTCATGGATAGATTTGTTCTTACTGTAGATCTTAGCAGCCTCAGCAACTGATTTTTTCTCTTTCCTTATTGAGTCAATTACTTTCACCTTTTCTTTTCTTTTCTTTTTTTTTTTTTTTTTTTTTTTTGACGGATTTTTGCTGTCGCCCAGGCTGGAGTGCAGTGGTGCCAGCTTGGCTCACTGCAACATCCATCTCCCGGGTTCAAGTGATTCTCCTGCCTCATCCTCCCAAGTAACTGGGATTACAGGCACCTGCCACCATGCCCAGCTAATTTTTGTCTTTTTAGTAGAGACTGGGTTTTGCCTTGTTGACCAGGCTAGTCTCGAACTCCTGACCTCAGGTGATCTGCCCACCTCGGCCTCCCAAAGTGCTGGGATTACAGGCATGAGCCACCATGCCCAGCCTTTACCTTTTCACTTAAAGCACTTTACAGCTTCTCATTCCCATATTTGAATTGCTAGCATCACTACTCTTGTGCTTTGGGGCCATTATTAAGTAAAATAAGAGTTCCTTGAACACAAGCACTTTGATACCACAGTAGCCAATCTGATAACCTAGATGGCTACTAAGTGACTAATGGGTGAGTAGTGTATACAGCATAGGTACCTAAACAAAGGGATGGTTCACATCCTAGGTGGGACAGAGCTGGAAGGTGTGAGATTTCATCATGCTACTTAGAACAGTAAGAGATTTAAAACTTATGAATTGTTTATTTCTGAGATTTTCCATTTAGTATTTTTGGACTGCGGTTGACTGGGGGTAACTGACACTGCTGAAGGTGAAACCATGGATAAAGGAAACTGCTGTATTCTCACGTGTAACATCACCGGAGCCACCAGCAGGCTTATGATTTCTATTTGATAGGTGAAGGGTGCCTTACAGCCTTTGTAACTAGTGCCCTCTAGGGCTATGCAGTTCCCTACCTACACAATGATTCTTGACGACTTCAATGTAAAATAAAAGGTCTATGCTTCATCACAAACAGTTTTCTTCTAGCTCTTAGTGGAGTCTCCCCTATACCAGTGATTTTTTATGGGGTAGTGCTTTATGGCTACAATGATTGTAGGAGAGTGGTGTTCCTGACACACAATAGGCAGGGCAAAGGAACGATATGCTTCCAAAACTTTATGGACCAGTCCTTTAAACAAAGAATTGTCTATGTCCTGCACCCTTTTTTTTTAATGTCCTGCTAACTTTTTTATGAAAGCAAAAAGAGTTGTTTATAATTATCTTCACCTAGAATCTAATGCTGTTTTACATATAAACAAAAAGTAGTTTTACAGTCCTAATATATACTGAGTTTTTCAGGAATGCAACAATCCAGTAAATAAAAAGTTGTTATTTTTTAACTTTACAACTTTACCAAGAGTTCTTGGTAAATGACTGTTTGCCGTTCTAAAAAAAATAAAATATATCACTCAAAGAAATGCTGTTCCTGGAATTTAGGTCACCAACATAGCACCTATACCAGTCTGCATTCGTAGCTGTTCAAGTCACAGGAGATGCTGTGCAGGGGTGCAAGCATATGCCTACTATTCTGTGTCTTCTGATGGAATTGTGTCTAAGCATTTCCATATTGAAATACAGAATATTCTATTACAAATGGTTTTCTTTTAATTCATCCTTGTTTTAGTTAGAGAATTATATTAATTTTTAAGATTATATATATCTAAACACATAAATATAAATTTATAACTATACTGATATATATAGCTATATATAGTTATAGTATATATAAATTTGTATATAAAAATTATGTATATGTAAATATATATATCCATATATAGTAGCTATATATATATAATTTATAGCTAACCCATGTATATATAGCTATATATATGGGTATAGCTATAAATTACATCTAAAGAAAGTATAAAGGACCTTACAAAATATTTGTTATTAAAAGGGACAATGTGGTCTTAAATGGTTGAGAACATCTGCCATAGGTTGTACATTCTCTCTTCAAATTGTTGCCTTATGGAAAAAAAGAACTTTAAGCCCCATTTTCACCAGTTCCAGCTCATAACCATTTCAATTTCTGAATTAAAATTAAACTCAAAACATTATTCCCAATTATTATTTGAGGTTAAACTACAAGTTTCCTGAAGAAAATATGTACAGATTGTTTGTTTTTATTTTTTAAAACTTATTAATCATTTGTTTTTGGAATTTTTCACTTAATACTTTCAGATGTCAGTTGCCTGCAGGTAGCTAAAACTGAAGAAGTGAACTCACAGATAAAGGAGGACTACTATATATATATACAAATTAATGAGTGTTGACATTTATTTGAATAGAAACTAGGGGCATCTTTTTTCCCTTTAGCTTTAGTTGACATGTAATAATTAATATGTACAGTTTTGTTTTGTTTTGTTTTGTTTTTTGAAACAGGATCTCACTCTGTCGCCCAGGCTGGAGTGCAGTGGCACGATCTCGGCTCACTGTAGACTCTGCCTCCCTGATTCAAGCAATTCTCATGCATTCCTTCCTTTCTTTCTTTCCTCCATTTTTAAGATATACACTGAGTAACTACTTTGTTGTCAGTCACAGTTTCTCAATGAACAAGAGAGACCAGTCTCTGCTTTGATGGAGCTTATACTGAAATTAATGAAGACAGACTACAAATCAGCAAGAAGAAAAACTCCTATTAGTAATAAACATTTTACAGAGAATTGCAAAGGATTATGTGTTGGTTGTGCTAGACAGACCAAATGGCTGTTTTACATGGGGTAGTTAGAGGAGATTTCTTTGAGAGGGTAATCTTTAGGCTGAAATACTAACGACTAGAAGTGAGCCATTCAGGTATGAGGCAGAACCGTATGCCAGGCAGGGGGAACAGCTTGCACCAAGCCCTAAGCTGAGAAGGGAACAAGCTTAGAGACAAGAGAACATAGTAGTACGTGGAGGTGGAGGGATGGGAAAGAATAGGGGTGGGTCAGACATAGCGAGGAAGGGGAAAGTCAACAGATTGGAAGTGTCGATGAATTGCTGCTGTGATGAATATTCCACAGTAGGTGAGCTGTAAGAATAGAAGGATGAGGGAAGGAAGGAAGGAAGGAAGGAAGGAAAGAAGGAAAGGAGGGAGGGAGGGAGGCAAGAGAGGGCGACAAAGGAACTATGTAAAATAAATGTTAGTAAAGAAGCATTCCCCCACATTTTTAAAGTAAACACAAGAGGAGACTATGAAAAACATAATAAAAGTCATGACAATTGTGATGTGACAAGCTCTGACTCCCCTGATCTCCCTTAAGGAAAGCTGCTCATTTGTTTACTTCTCTCTTTTTTCTTCACCCATTTGTTCTATCAGGATTTATTAAACTTATACTATTTCCCAGGTTCTGTGCCAGGCACTAGGGCTGTATAAATCAGACACGTTCCCCACCTATGGGGAGAACCCAGGTTATCAAAAGAAACAACTATATCAATATGAGACAGCACAGGGTGAGAAGTGCCAGTACACAGGCTTTTAGAAAGAACAGTCATGGCACAGGCGGGAAAATGAATAGCTTTCCTTAAGAGGGATCAGGGAAGTCAAAGCTTGTCACACCATCACTGTCATGACTTTTATTTATTTATTTATTTACTTACTTATTTATTTATTTATTTTTGTTTTGCTTTGTTTTGTTTTGATTTTTGATGCTGTTCCTCATCCAAATCATTGAGCATGAACGCAGTAAAGCATGCACTTATAAGATATGCACTTACATGGATGTTAAAAACATGAGTTTTAAAGCCAGCCTAAGTTCACATCCTCATGCAACTACTTCCTAGCTAAATGAGTTTGGACAAATTACTTAACCTGTTTGTACCTCAGTTTCCCCATTTATAAAATGGATATGATGACAAAATCGACCTCATAGTACTGTATGAGAAATTATGAAGTTAATCTACGTGTATCAATTAGCTTTCGATACATAGAAAACTTCCCAAAAGCTTAATAATTTAAAACAACGATTATAATTATCAGCTCATACGTCTTTTGTGTTGACAGTTTGCATGGGGTTCAACCAAGCAGTTCTTCTGCTGGTCTCTCCTAGATGCATTCATGTGCTGGGAGTCAGTGCACAGATCTGCTTGGGCTGGCTTGTCCCACCTGGTCTCACTCATATGTCTTGCACTTGGCTGGGGTGGCTGAGCCATGTATCACCCGCATGTAGTAGCCTCACTGGACTTTTTCACGAGGTGACTGGGTTCTAAAGGCTGGAAACGCAAGGTCACACACCCGTGCCCAAGCACTTTTCAAGCCTTACGACACATGTGCTAATATCTCACTGGTTTAAGCAAGCCATATGACCAAGTCCAGAGTGAAGAGGTAAAGTAATAGACACTACTTCTTGATAGGAGATTCAATATATTGTGGTCATTTAAAAAATATATATATATAAATATAAATATATACATATATATAATATATACCACAACACAAGCACTTAGGATGGTGGCTAGCACATAGTATGCCTTATTTAATAAACTAGTTAACATTACATGAGGCTACACTTGTGCAGATGCTTTACAACCCAGCCCATATCACACCCACTCTAAGTAAAAATGAAAATAAATTGTAAAATTGGAAGTAGAGACAGGAAGTAGAATCAGAATGAAACATCCTCACACAGTTTTATATTACAGAAAAAATGCTAGTACTACCAAACATGCAAAGCTGAACTCCACTTACAAGAGGCTGTTCAGATTTCTGTATTTTCAGCATGGCTTAGTGGGCAGGAAGGTGTAGGGTACTAGGTCATGGTTTCTGGAATCAACTGCTCTAAGTTAGAATTCTAGCTTGCTATTTACTAGCTGGGTAGCCTCAGACTAATTACCTAACAACTCTGCGCTTCCATTTTTGTAGCTACAGTATTGGAGAAATGGTAAATTGTAACTCCTGGGGTCTTTGGGAGGATTAAATGAAGCATAGTGTATAAAGTGCTGCTGGTGTATAGTGAGCATCCAATAAATGTTAGCTATTTTTCTTTAATTTTTTAAGAATAAAAAATAGTCTGGTGTTGTTCAGAGATGTCCGACCTTGGTAGCACATTGGAATTACTAGGGGAGCATAAAAATACTGATTTTTGCCTCTTTGACCCACCCCAGAGATTCTGATATAAATGAATGGTCTGGAGCGAGGCCCTTGCCCAGTGGATTTTAAAAGCTCTCAAGGTAATTCTAATGCACAGCTAAAATTCAGAACTACAGGTCTTGTTGAACAGGACATTAGAGATGATCCAGGGCAAACTCATCATTTCATAAGTGAGAAAATTGAGGCTCAAAGAGGTGATAGGAATTGCTTAGTGACAGCCAGGTGGTGGACAGAAAAACCAAATCCAGGTACCCTGACTCCTGCTCATAGCTCTGTCCCTTTCATCTGGCCACCGCAAGAACAGGTTAGCCAAGGTCAGCCTGGCTGTGATCCTCATCACCGAGAAGTGATAGCCAGGAAAGAGGAAGCTGAACTCCTGTTAAGCCTACCTGATGCCAAATTCTATGTTCCTAAATTAACTCCAAGAATAATTTTGGTCTCTCTTGATGCTTAATCTTTCCCCTATACTTTCAGGTTTGATTCATAGTGGATTCAGATTCTGCCTATGTTAGTTTAAATTAGGCTTTTATTTCATTTCTTCAGTTTTCCTTAGAGATAAAATTCCATCTTATATACACATTCATGCATGCTCAGAGCTACATTTCAAAGGGGAAAAAAGCAGACTTCTTCTTCCCTTCTTTCCTTCCTTCCTTCCTTCCTTCCTGCCACCCTCCCCTTCTCTCTCTTCCTTTTCCCTCCTTCATCCTTCCTCTGACCCAACCCTATGAAGGACATTTATCTTAGATTACTATCTTCTTTGACGATTGTGAATAATCATGTAAAGAATTGCCTTCTCCTTTTAAATCCTTTATGGAAGTGGTAGTGTTCCTTGGTTCATAATAACAATTCTACTGAATTGCCAATAATTCTCAGAATCAGGGGTCATCCTCCCCACAGTGTCAAGAAAGACAGAGGAGGTTCTGTGACTGTGATTTGGTGAGAGATTGACTCATTAGGGCTAAGATAAATGGACGGTTAGCTAGCAATGTCAGGAATTTCTGAGTAGTAGGTAGAGAATTCAAAGAAAATTCCTTTTCTTTTTTTTCTCTTCAGTGTTTGCCTTTACAAATATTAGCCTTTTGTAATTTTCTCAGAGCTTCCAATTACTAAGATTAAAGGTAATAAATTCAATGAGCCAGAGAAAGGTGAGTATCAAGCAAGTTTCTCAGAAACGTGGCCTTTTAAAAAGGAAATATTTTTACATGAATAGCGTTGGATA
This sequence comes from Homo sapiens, assembly GCF_000001405.40. Taxonomy (NCBI): domain Eukaryota; kingdom Metazoa; phylum Chordata; class Mammalia; order Primates; family Hominidae; genus Homo; species Homo sapiens. The sequence goes on from NC_000002.12 coordinate 36,339,231, forward strand.
CCAAATTAAATATGCAATATGATCTCATTTTCTCATTTTTGTTTATGTACATATATGATTATCTATCCCACCAAGAGTGGGATCATAGGTGATACTTTTTATTTGTTGTTGATTTGTATCTTCTTATTCTTCTATAATGAATATGTATTATGTATCAAAAAAGCAAAGAAATCATTATTTTAAAAACAAAACAAATGCTAAATATTGATCTTAGAATTAAACCCTGCAGCCGTTTTTTAATATTCACTATTCCCAAATTGTTTTCATATGATATTTGGAATCTTAAGAGAGTTATAAAATTAACTGACTTCTCGAATCACTTATTGATTCATGTGTGTATATGTGTGTGTGCACACACACTCAAGTCTGTTGTATTTTTGGCCTTTATTTCAAGCCCCACATCACCTTAGGCCAATTTGTATCATTTCCCTGGCCTTCTCAGCATTTGTGACATTTCTAATTCCATCTGCAGATTTAATTAACGTGCTGCTTATTCACTCTTCCACATCACTGATAACAAGAGACATAAAACTGGACACAGTGCTGACTGCTGCACCACCTAGATACCTCCCACCATCGGATGCCTCCTTCTGCTTTACCTAGTTTTCAAGTCAAGCTGATTGAAACTGATTTTGCAAGTAAAATTCACTCAGACATTGCATCAAATGATTTATGAAGTCCATGCAGCCGTGTGGTGTCCCATTAATCACAGACACTACAATAATCTATTTGTGTGCAGCAGTCCTCATAAATCGGAATAAAATAAATTCCACAAGCACATCTTCAGCTTTTGCAACAGGGCACATGGTATTATTCAGAGCATCATCCACATAATGCAATGTTAGCCGACTTGCAGATTCCTGAGCTTGGTCAAGCAAGTAAAAATATGCATTCATTTACCAATGCATGCCAAAGCTAAAAAAAATTACAGCTTGTTCATCTACCGGGTGAGAGAATTTCTTTAGGCCTCAGCTCTCAAATTTTTTATGAAAGCTGATGTGAATAAACAGAGCAAATGAGGTGCAATAATAAAAGCGGTGAGATGATGTTGTTAACAAATAGTCCAGAAATATACCTCCAAATAAATGTTGAGAATTTAAGTATCATTATCATTTGGAGACTCTTATTTCCATAATGCTATGAAACAATTTTGTAAATTCTCTTCTGAGACTGATCTTTCACATGACAAAAGAATGTCTTCAGACATGGCAAGTTCATTTCATTTGAGCGTATTTCATTTCTTGAAAACAATGCAAAATTATTGTGACCTGTGTCCAGTAAAGACTGTGAATGATTCACCTAGATAACAGTAATTTTTTAAAATGCAGAGTTTTTGTTTTTCCTAAGTATAAAGAGAAAATATACTATAAAATAAAGATTTAACAATATAAAAATACATTGAAGACAATAAAAATTGTGTAAAATCCTAACACACAAAGATAGTAACTCTTCATGTATTGGAGATATCTTTACCGAACTGTGTCGATATTTGTCTGTTTTTGTGTAGATAGATATGGAGATGAATACAGATATAAATAAAATAATGTAAGATGAGATTCTACCATAATTATTATATTATTATCTGCGTTTTTAACATCAACAATATATTGCGGATATCTTTGCAAAACAATAAATATAGAACCACATCATCAATTTAATAACTATAATTTTCCATTACATAGACTTATTTAGTCAACACTCCGTTACTCAACATTTAGTTTATTTCCAAATTTTCAACTATAAACAACACTATGATGAACATCCTCACTCCTAGATATTTGTGCCCTTGACCTAGAGTGCAGTGGCACAATCATGGCTCACTGCAGCCTCAACCTCCCAGTCTCAAGCAATCTTCCCACCTCAGCTTTCTAAGTAGCTGGGACTACAAGCACATGTCACCACACCTGGCTAATTTTTTAATTTTCTGTAGAGATGGGGTCCTGCTGTGTTGCCCAGGCTGTTCTCGAGTTCCTGGCCTCAAGCCAGGGAGGCCTGCTTCCCGAAAGTACTGGGATTACCAGAGTGAGCCACTGTGCCAGGCCCTCATTATCTTCTTTGAAGAAGAGTTCTTAGAATCAGAAATTGTCTTAGAATATGTGTTCTGGGAAAAAGAATTTTTTTCTTGGAATTGTGATATCTAAATCAGGATATGTCCAGCTAATATTTTGATACATGTTTCCAAACTGCTTTCCAGAAAAAATGTACCAAGTTATATTACCACCAATAATTCATGAAAGTATTTATTGGCCCCATTCTTGCCAATCCTGGATATTGCTAGTCTTTAGAAATATTTGTCATTTGATAGATAAAAAGCATTTTCTCATTGTTTTAACTTGTGTGTCTTTGACTGTATTTGGTTAAACATCTTTTTATAAGTTCATGGGTGAATTATATTTCTTCTTTGAGAAGTTAACTATTCTTGTATATTTCCATGGGTTGGGCAATATTCATCAATTTTACTTATTTAAGAAACTATCTTTATACTAAGGTAATAGTGTTTCTCATCAAATCAAATATATGAACCTAACAAGTCTAATTTGTTTGTAGATTTGTAATTAGATAAGAGATCAGTTGCAAAAACACTTTGAGAAATGTCAACATTCTTAGAAAGGGTATACTTTTCCAAGGTGACAATGCTAGCGCTTTGAAAAGCAACATTCATCTGTTTATCTGATTCTTGTATATTTGTTTAAATAAAACATTATCATTCTTTAGGTTATATCAAGAGCTTGTGCTTTGGAATCAAACTGCCTATCTTCAAATCCTGAGCCTCCCACATATAATCTAGGTTATCTAAGACATATTATTTAACTACGCTGTGCCTAAGTTTCCACATCTTTAAAATGAAGATAATAATAGTCCCTCTTGCATAGAGTTGTTGGAGAATTAAATGAAAGGATGCACATAAAGCATGTAGAAAAGAGTTGGGAGCAATTCAAGTGCTCAGTAAATATTAAATTGGAATATTTTAGATTCATGATCTGTTCACATTTAGACCACCAAGTGTACTTTAAGGCACTTTCTTTCTTTTTATTTTATTTTGTTTGTTTGTTTGTTTGTTTGTTTATTTATTTATTTATTTATTTGAGGCAGAGTTTCGCTCTTGTTGCCCAGGCTGGAGTGCAATGGTGCCATCTCATCTCACTGCAACCTCTACCTCCCGGGTTCAAGTGATTCTCCTGCCTCAGCCTCCTGAGTAGTTGGGATTACAGACATGTGCCACCACACACAGCTAATTTTGTATTTTTAGTAGAGACAGGGTTTCACCTTGTTGGCCAGGCTGGTTTCGAACTCCTGACCTCAGGTGATCCACCCCCTTCAGCCTCCCAAAGTGCTGGGATTACAGGCGTGAATCGCTGCACCCAACCTAAGGCCCTTTTTTTTTTTTTTTTTTGAGACGGAGTCTCGCTGTCGCCCAGGCTGGAGTGCAGTGGCGTGATCTCGGCTCACTGCAAGCTCCGCCTCCGGGGTTCACGCCATTCTCTTGCCTCAGCCTCCCGAGCAGCTGGGACTACAGGCGCTCGCCACCTTGCCCGGCTTATTTTTTGTATTCTCAGTAGAGACGGGGTTTCACCGTGTTAGCCAGGATGGTCTCGATCTCCTGACCTCGTGATCTGCCCGCCTCGGCCTCCCAAAGTGCTGGGATTACAGGCGTGAGCCACCGCGCCTGGCCCTAAGGCACTTTTAAAATGAGTGTTTTACTGCTCTACTTGCAGATAAGCTTCCCTGATGATATGCTTAGACTCCCACAATTTTATTTTAGGAACTTAAAAAAAAAAGTTTATAATGAGAAACAAACCAAAAGGAACTCTCCCTTTACTCCTTTGGTGGCTTTCAGAATGTAACAAGAAGAAAGATGTTTACATCTTTGCACAGTTCTTTTTTTAAATTTTTATTTTTTTTATAATTTCAACTTTTATTTTAGATTCAGGGGGTACATGTGCAGGTTTGTTACAAGGATATATTGCATTTGCACAGTTCTGACACTGACAAATGCAGTATCTGCATCACCTAGACAGGTTTTAGATAGCTGAGGAACAGGACAATGATGAAATCAATTTATCACTTTAGGCCAGTTTGTCTCATTTCCCTGGCCATTTCAGCATTTAAGAAGACAAGGAGATGGGAAAGACCTAGAAGCTCTATTGGTCAGTAGGCCTTAGGTGAACTCATGGTTCTGAATAAGGTAAATGGCCACCACCCAAAGCAGCAAGTAAGGACATGGAAGTACCATACAACCTAGCAGGATGTTCTAATGTGGAATACGATAAACAGACCAGATTCAGTGTACAATGAGTTGGTTCTAGATTGAGAGCACTACCGTGCCACAGTGAGGCACGAAGTCACCGAGTCCCAGATCTGAATCCTAACCCAGGCGCATGCATTATGTCCTCAGAATATTTATGTAATTTCTGTGAAGCTTTTTTTCACAGTTCCCCATCTGTAAAAATCTGTCTGGTCACACCTTATGATGAGATTACTATGAGAGTTAAAAGAGAAGAGATATCCAAAGCATTTAGCATACAGTCAGTTTCATGTGCTCAATTAATGGTTGCTAGGAAGCAGAGGAGACAGTAAAAATATTTAAGAACTAAAATGCATGAGCACTGATTAATCAGAACGGATGCCTGACCAATGAGGTCAATTAGAAAGGATTCCCGGTGAATAAAAAAGTTGGCCCAACCAATAAGAAGGACCACAGCCCTGCATACCCTACTGGCACATACTATTTCTTAGAGAAAAGAAGGGGTTTTCATATTGACTAAGGATGCCAGAATTTGGGGCACAGAGAAAAAAGTAAATATCCAATAGAGCTACACCTGGCATGCCACATACAAAATCAGATGAAGGTAAAAAATAGTACTATGGCAGAGTTCTGTATTCTAGAGACTGCTACTCTGGTACCAGGCAAAGTGCCTCAAGGTAGGATGATAGTGTCTGGTGCACAGAAAGACAGGTGGTGCCCATCAGAAACTCAAGCACTAGGCAGGGCGCAGTGGCTCACACCTATAATCCCAGCACTTTGGGAGGCTGAGGTAGGCCGATTGCTTGAGCTCAGGAGTTCGAGACCAGCCTGGTCAACATGGTGAAACCCCACCTCTACAAAAAAATAGAAAAATTAGCCAGGCATGGCGGCACATGCTTGTAGTACCAGCTACTCAGGGGGCTAAGGTGGGAGGATCACCTGAGCCCTGTTGAGAGAAAGAGAGGAAAGAAAAGGAAGGAAGGGAAGGGAAGGAGGGAATGAGAGAGGGAGGGAGGGAGGAAGGAAGGAAGGAAGGAAGGAAGGAAGGAAGGAAGGAAGGAAGGAAGGAAGGAAGGAAGGAAGAATACGGAAGAGAGGAAAGGAAGGAAGAATGAAAGGAAGGATAAAAGGAAAGGAAAGGAGAGGGGAGCGGAGGGGAGGGAGGGGAGAAGGGAGGGGAGGGGAGAAGGAAAAGGTAAGGTAGGCACCAAATGCCCAGGCCACAGAGCCCTATCCCAGACACCATCATCTAATCAGCAGATGTTAGAATGCACACAACCCGGTGTCCAGGCAAAAGTAATAATGAGATAGTAAAAAGAGACGAGAACTGGTAACAAATTTATTAACTTTAAATAGTGGCAATTGGAGGTAGAGGATACTTTTGTACTGTCTGCTCAAGACTAGAACTGGAGTCTGAGCTAATCCAGAGATAGATAAACAGGTAACCCGCTGATACACAGGATGGTGGAGGAGGGTTTCAAACTATTCCAAACTACATCTGCTGCTAAGAGTTAACATATTTAAAGTCACCAGCACCCCAAGATTTCATTTTCCTCATCTGCAAAATGAAAGAGTTGGATCTGGGTATATCTGAAGGCTTTTCCAATGCTTTTAAACTTTTTGTATTTCTTAGAAGAAATCTCAGAGAAAAGAGCAGGCACCCTTGGATACAGTACTAAAAGTAGTCCTTCTTAGTACAAAGGGCTTGTACTTTCATCCAAAATTTCGATACCTAATAGATATTAAATAATACTATATTTTATACTTAGGTTATTCACCTGAGAAACATGGTTTTAGTGAAAAGCTAGGAGCTTTTTTCAGGTTCTAGCTGTTCAGCAAAGCAAAGTAAATAACAAAATGGAAAACGAAAGGTAGATTTAATCCATTAAACTCAGAAGCTCCTAATCTATTTTGGAATTTTTAAATCTATCAATGCATACTTGGTTTTACACCACTGCTCATTATCCCACAGCTATGCTATTTGATAAGTCTCTCAATGGTTTCCTTGTTTCCACTCGTTGTTCTTCTGTTACTCTACTGCCATAATTTCAATTTTCTATTAAAAATGCCACCATTTGTAAGCAAAAATGTTACTTTATACGCTACCGAGAAAGAAAACTAACACTGTCAAACTATAATATGCCATTAAATGTAGGTAGGATGCATCTTACTTATAGAACTGTTAAAATATTTTAAAAGTATGTCTTAAAATCAGTGCAGTATGGTATCTTTACAAATGGGAATCTGATGATGTCACTTGTCTCTAAAAGTTCCACTTGTCTCTGAAACCCTATAGGATGAAGTCTAAACTCTGCTGCAGATTTTGGGTCTTCATCATCCAACCCAATATTACCATCCTCTCTCCTAACATTTACCACTGAGCAACCAGTTGCCTCAAAGTTAATTTTTCCTTCCATTGCAAAAGTCTATGTTCTCTTTCTTATTTCAACATTTATTGAATTCATACTATGTTCCAAACTCTATTTTAGGCACTTCACTGTTTTTGTTTTGTTTGTTTGTTTTTGGTTTTGTTTTTTGGCTTGGAATCTCTTCCTCTTCCTCCCCTACCCTATACACCTGGTAAATATCTATTTTTCCTTCAAGATCCAATCCAACTATCTTTTCTTTTGTAAAAGGGAATTTTGTGAAACTCCCCAGTTTCCTCATGTAGACCTGATTTGGTAAACTTCTACTGCACTATGTTGAAAATGTTGATTTACCAATTGCCCACACTAGATAGTAGGTCCTTTGAGTGCAAGGAAAGTGACATTTATTTTTGCAATCAGTCTAGTGATTAGGAAAGTAGGATTCAGTTTCCTGGCTTCAGAGTTCCTATCCTGCCCAATAAGAAATCATGCACCCTAAGTGGGGAGACAGGTAAGTAACACGACAGGATAACTGCAGACTGCCAAGGGAGCATAGTGATTACGAAGTGAAGTCCTTGGCTTTGATTCTCACACAGACTAGAAATACCCCTATATTTTAGAACCAGACTAGAGCCCATCTCACAAACTTTTTGAAAGTAGCAAACATTCAGTGAATAGCTAACCCTATTACAATTTTTAAAAAGTCAATCATAAGAAATGCTAGGAGAATTATTGAGCATCTATTATATGCTCAGAATCCTTTAGGTACGTATTTCCTAAGTGACTGGTGAGAGAAAGGAAATTCAAACAAATAAGATATTCAAACTCACAGAGACAGTGACAAACACTGTCAGAATTTGATCCTGGGTCAACTTGATTTCCAAGAGTTTTTTCTTTCTATTAGAGCACTTCGCAGCACGATGCCTCATCATCATTGAGGACATTCCTAATTTAATCAATTGCTTGTCAAGGAAAAATAGAAAAATCCTGTTCTTCAAACACTTGTGATTGGCATTGCTGGTTAGCTTTTCTTCCTGGCAAAATCTAAATGGGAAACATGACATGGTCTTTGGCAATAATCAGCTGATGTTGGAAACACTCTTGGAATCTATTTCTTATAGTTTTTTTCTGCATGGTTTCATGCCTTATGAGCTCAATGTTCCATTTTTTCTGGCTAATCTCAAACCAGTAGTCATTTACCCAGTCATAGTTCATTGGCAACTAGCTTTTAGGCAATGAACTTGATTTGTTTTATGAACTTTAGTTTGAGGTTGAAAAAGTTGGTGAAGTATAACAAATATAACCAATAAGATGATCAAGACACATTAAGCTACCAACAATAATGATAAGGAATATGGATATGATAACCTTAGAACCTGATATCAAAATATCAAAATATTCTTTAAGTTTAAATGATAATAGGAAGTGGTACTGATTTTATAGTTCATAATAACCCTGTGGATATGAAGGACTTGTGAAAGGGAGAAAATGTGGGTTTGAAGAGTCTCATTCTCTTTTGAGCTTATAGGATCTTGGTTACTACAATAAAGTCATGAGCAGAGATGGTCTGAGAGTGTGAAAGTTCAGGAATTAAAACCCACTGGGTAGCATAATAGAAATGGCCATTCTCCCAACTGAGTAAGGTGAAAGGTTTTTATATTATTTAATTTCTATTAATCAGTACTAATAAAATGCTAAGGCCTACTTGGAATATTATGATACTGAAAATAATTTAAATGCCAGGATTGGTAACCTAATCTTTACACGTTCATTACATAGTCAACAAACAAATGCAGGTGAGTTGTAAGTACGTGTCAAATTGCATTTCTTTTCTGAGAACATGAATAAATGTTTAATGTTATTTCTTTTTTTATTTTTTTGTGACAGAGTCTCGCTCTGTCACCCAGGCTGGAGTACAATGGCACGATCTCTACTGCTCACTACAACCTCCACTTCCCAGGTTCAAGAGATTCTCCCACCTCAGCCTCCCGAGTAGCTGGAATTACAGGTGTGCACCACCATGTCCGGCTAATTTTTGTACTTTTAGTAGAGATGGGGTTTCACCATATTGGCCAGGACTGGTCTCAAACTCCTGACCTCAAGTGATCCGCCCACCTCGACCTCCCAAAGTGTTGGGATTATAGGCGTGAACTACCATGCCCGGCCAATGTTATTTCTATTTAAGTCAAAATTGTGTGAGGGGAGGCTAATTGCTATAACAAGCCCCAAATCTCAGTGACTTATCACAGTAAATATTCATTTGTCACTCAAATCAGAGACCACTGAAATTGAATGAGGTATGTGTATGTATGTGAGAGGTCTGCTTCATGCAGTCACTCAAGGACCCAGGATCCATCCACCTAGTGGTTCTAGACTCTTCTAGTGCTTCAGAGTCCTCTATGCAGAGCCCTGCCATCCCCCAGCAGAATGGGAATAAGATAATATGCCGGATTGTGGAGAGGGTCCTGAGGCCAGCCCTGGAAAAGATCCTCATCACTTCCATCCACATTTCATGGCTCCAGCTCACTGCAAGAAAGCTGGTAAGTGTCATCTAGCTGTGTGTCAGAAATGAAGAGAAGGAACAGAGATACTGGTGAGCACCACCATTTCCCACCTGAAAATAGGTAATGAATTTTCATTTGAATGACACAGCAGTTGCATGATACATAGGACATGAGCACAAAATATCAGTATTCTAAAGAACATCATAATACCAGGATTTACATTCAAATGAGTGATGTCCATTTGCCAGCAGTTACCTGGAAAAGCTGTCTGCTTTTTCCATGGATACCATTAATGCCTACTTTTATTTAAAAACTCTTCTTTTGCTATTTTCTCTAGAACATGTTTTGGTTCTGTATAATACTCTCAACAATGGTAAATCTTCCTTTGAGGGTGAATTTGATAAAGATTATAAGAAGTAAATTAGAGCCAGTTTGGTGAATGAAGATAATCTGCTTCACTTATTATACGTTGGGTCAGATAGGACAAACAATGTGTCTTATTTCTCAAGGGACTACACAAGGCAATTCCAAAACAAACATTACACAAATGTGTATGTCAATGATGTCATTGTTGAAATAAATTGACCTGTATTTCTTAACACAGATGCCACACAGATTTGGGGAAGAATTTCTACAATTTGGATGTATGACTCTTCAGGTTATTGAAAGCACATAGTAGAATAGGCAGTGGGGTAGAAAGAGAAGACAGAGAGGTGGGTAGCATTGCAACAGATGGAAATTCCTCCTCTTCACTATAATGCATGACCGGGTCCTCTCTTCTCATTTTCTTATACTTGTTTTTTCCAGCTTTCCAAAAAATGTCTGTAAGCGCAGGATAAATTTCCTTAACCTGTGGAGGGTCTCGATAATTTATTCCCTTTTATTAGTTCAGTTTTATAAAAAACACTCCTTCCTGGGAGAAATTTTTAATTGAGTACATAACACTTTCTTTAAAAACCACACAGCAAATAATTTGCCAGGTTACATGATTTGGCAATTTGTAAGGTTAAAACATTTGGTGATCCACAGCTAAACTCTCCTAATGTTGAACATTTTAAAGGATGGAATGAAATAATAAATGTGAAAGGAATTTTTTATGTTAAAAAAAATTTTAAAGCTTTACAATGTAAGGTGCTTTTAAAGCAAGAAGAAATGGTTTTTAACCTGAAGGGCCTCTACACTGGAGAGATGGGAACTTGTATTAAGTGTTTGAGGAAATTTGCGTGAATAAGTTTCTGGAAGGCAATCTGGCCATGCATGTCAAAGTGGGCATAACTTTTGACCCACAAACAATAATTTCACTTTAGGTATTTGCCAAGGAAAATAATTGGACAAGTGTTTGAAGATTTGGCTTAAAGGAAATATATTGCAGCTTTGTTTATAATAGTGAAAATGTAAAGCACACAAAACCCCTAAACTTATGTTAATATGGAATCAGTTAAATATAATGCAATATGTACATTCAGTGGAATAACAATCAATGGTAAAAAGGATGCAGTTATTGATTCTAAAGATCAATATGCCATGTATATGTGAAAGTTAAAGCCAATTTTGAGGTAGATACATATCCCATTTTATATTTTATACTGTATGGGGAAAATAAACCTTCAAGGATGTGTCACAAATGTTATCAGTGGTTTTATCTCACCTGAGATAAAACCATTATAGGTGATGTTTTTCTTTCTTCTTTTTTTCTTTTTTACTTGTCTGTCTTTTCTCTTTTTTCCCCCAGTGAGCATGTATTTGTTAAAAAACATACATTAGAAGTAATATTGCATAGAGTGGATTCTGTCCCCATACTGCCTAGGTTTGAATTCCAATTTTTCCTTTACTGGAAAAGTAAGAGACAGTGTGTCACTCTGTCACCCAGCCTGGAAGGCAGTGGTGTAATTTCGGCTCACCTCAGCCTCAACTTCACAAGCTCATGCAATCCTGCCACCTTAGCCTCCTGAATACAGGCACATCCCACCATGCCTGGCTAGTTCATTATTATTATTATTTTGTAGATATGGGTTCTCCTTATGTTGCCTAAGCTGGTCTCAAACTCCTGGGCTCCAGCGATCCACCCAGTTTGGCCTCCCAAAGTGCTGAGATTGCAGGCATGAGCCACCGCACCCACCCCAATTTTTCCTTTTAAATAGGTGTAAATGTACCTGTAAAATGCAGTACCTACCTCATCAGCTTTTATGGAGGATTAAATGTGGTAATATTGTAAGGTAATTAAAAAATATGCACATGGCAAACGTTACATAAATATTTGTTATTCAGTAGTTAGGAAAGCAATGATCTTATTTCCATTTTGAGAAAACGCTGATCAGTATTTAAACTTCTCAAAGAAGACAAGATATTGTCATAGATGTTAGCAATTTTAAATGAGGTCCACAAAAAACAACAAAACTGAAAAGAAAAGCAGCTCACCATTACCCAACTTACTGAATTGAGGTAGTTAAACACACAGGCCCTTAAGGCAGAATAGGACTGAGTTCTAAGCTTAATATCCATACACATAGCTCTGAGACCTTGACAAGCCACACAACCTCCTATAACTCAGATTCCTCACCTGTAAAAAATGAAGACAACGTAAGGCACTAGAGATAATAGAAACCATTGGTCTTACAGCGCTCTTCCGTAGATTACTTAAAATAACCTATATGAAGCACTTAGCATGTTGACTAGCAATTAATAAGATCTTTATTAGTGTCAGCTATTACTATTATCATTACCAATTACTGCTCTTTAAAATAAGTCAGAGACCAAAATGAGTCTGAGAAAATATCACAGAGGCTAAAACCCCAAGATGAGACAGACTGTCAAAACAAGGCCAACAGAAGATCCTAAGAAAGAAAAAAAAAAAAGCAAATATCTGATCCAGCAGATGTTGCACAGCAATGGATGCTAAGATAACAGAGAGCAGGGATTCCAGCTCAAGCATAAAACTTGAGGAGACACTCAATTAGAAGGACTCTAAAAATAACAATAGAAAAGGAGAGCAATCATTTTATCCACACGATACCCTGTATGGTTGGTATTCTTGTCTCTGTTTTACAGAGAAGACAGATTCAGAAAGGATAAATACCTTGTTTAAACTTGTACACAGAGAGAGAGAGAGAGAGAGAGAGAGAGAGTGTGTGTGTGTGTGTGTGTGTGTCAGGATCCTAGGCCAAACATCAAAGAGAACCTGTGTTCTGTGCAGATGTCTTGTAAACCTTGTGGTAGTTCTGCAGCAGCTATCATTCACAGGCAGAGTAAATAAGAACCCACTTAGCAAAAATAAGGTATTACGTGGTGATAATAGAGTTCAATTTCAGATTAAGAGTCCAACATCCAGATGGTTGAGCCTCCAAACTAGGGTCTGTCTATATCACTGCAGTGCCAAGCCTAGATTAAGTGAGAACCCATATATAGGTGATCCCAGCTGAGGAGACCAGAGAGATGGCCTAAGAGGGTAAAACGGGCCAGACCTGCTACCCTGGTTTATTCGTACCACTTTCTAATATGTATGCAACGTTTTCATAACACAATGAGGTTTCTTCTCTTGTGCAACTCAATTCCAAGAGTATGTGAGTCAAACTCAAAGGCAACTTCTACATTCTTCTTTTCATTTCAGGAAGAGAAAATACAAAGTGCAACTCAATTCCAAGAGTATGTGAGCCAAACTCAAAGGCAACTTCTACATTTTTCTTTTCATTTCAGGAAGAGAAAATACAGAGTGTGACTATAGGTGGACTAGACACTGTATCGGAAAGGCGGGGTCTAATACTAACATTCTGTCTATTGCCCTCTCATTTCCACTTTCTGCTTAGGCCAACAAATGGGCACTTTGATTTTCGACATTTTCAACAATTTATTAATCCCCAGGATGGCCAATAGAGGGCAGACGATCTCTTCTTCTAGACCTCCATCAGAAATACTTCGTAATTCCTGGTTCGTTGCAGACCTGTTCCCCAACCCCTCCCCCACCCCCCCACCACCCCCACCCCAAACTTCGATGACTCCCTCCTGCCCATACCATCCCTTTCAAGTACTGATTTTGAGGTATTTACTAAAACCAAGAGAGAAGGGCTGCAGACAATAATATTCAAATATCATTTTGACTGTAATTCTTCACTCTCCCTTTTTCAACTCATTCATGCATGCATTTTTATAAATCCTGCCCTCTCCAATAAGCTGACAAGCTAATTGGGTTCAGAGTTATTTAAATAACTATAATGTAACATGATAAATGCTACAAGCAGAGGTACTTACAAATGCTGTAGAACAGATAAAGAAGCTCAAGAAGGCTTCTCAGAAAGGGAGGCCTTTCATGTGTGGCTCTAATTCTTAACATTCGTTCATGACTTTCAGGGTCCATTCAATTTCAGGGTAATTCTTCCTAGTCCACTTTCACCCGTGACACCTGATTGTCATCATGTTGGGCTCACCCAAACTCTTTCTGTAACCATAGTCTGGTCTTTGAAGATAAGAAAATACTTTTGTATTCGAGCCTCAGTATCATTGCCTCAGCTTCTCACTACCTCATTATCATCCCTCCTGGATCCCAGAGAAGAAAGAGCTGTTTCATAACTGAGCTCCTGATTCACACACTGGTTTCAGAAAAGCTGCCAGGACCTTGCAGGTTTCTCATTCGCCACTAGTCACTGGCTTCAAGGAATCCTATTTTCTCTATTGCTTCTATGACTATTAATTTTATGCCAAAGGGCATGTGTAATGTAACTTGATTTTTTTTTTCTTTTTGAGCTGATACAATCATCTTCATCTTAAAGAATCTCCCTAGTCCTTTCTAAACCTGACTTGAATTCCTGTGAGAAGTCAACCTTTCTCATGTTGTATCTGTCCATCTACCTTCCAGGTGGTTCTACTTCTGAAGTCCCAGGAACAATGAATAGTCATCTCCAAATTATCCTTTGCCTGTGCTCATCTGTAGCTTTCCTTAATCCTTAATATATCCCCTTAAAAATAAATAGAAGCTAAACTTTGACAATGCTTATTACCTCCTTCTTTCCTAACCACAGTAGCTTTCTCACTTCTGCCTTTTTCTCATCACCTGACCTTGGCTTTTCCTGCAGGTCCTACAATGTTATCTGCTACATTTTAATGTCTTTATACTTGCATTTGAACAGAAATACAGATAACCTCCTCTGCAAGAGTGGGAGGGACCTTTTAACACAGAGCAATGATGACAGTTTGTTGGCAAATCCCACACTGAAGTGCTGGTGCCTTGTTCGGTGACAAGAAAGAACAATGTTTAACAATGTGTGTTTTATTTTTCTTCAGTTTTTTTGTTTGTTTGTTTTTGAGACAGAGTCTTGCTCTGTCGCCCAGGCTGGAGTGCAATGACGCAATCTCGGCTCACTGCAACCTTCACCTCCTGGGTTCAAGTGATTCTCCTGCCTCAGCCTCCTGAGTAGCTGGGATTACAGGCATGCGCTACCACACCCGGCTAATTTTTGTATTTTTGATAGAGACAGGGTTTCACCATGTTTCACCATGTTGGCCAGGCTGGTCTCGAATTCCTTACCTCAAGTGATCTGCCCACCTTGGCCTCCCAAAGTGCTGGGATTATAGGCATGAGCCACCACGCCCAGTCTCTTCGGTTTTTCTAATAGAAAACCTAGCATATTTTAAACGATTTTGCCACTTAACACTTATTATGGACCCACAGGGTATGAGGGCCTTTGGAGATCATCTAATCGGACTTCCCACCCAACTACAGGAATCATTTCATTGCAACAACTCTTTAAACCCGTCTAGAAAATGCAATGCTCTCTCCCCTTTTCCACGGTTGAACATCTTCCTCATGGCCCTATAATAATCAATGATAATTAATGAGCCTCTTCCTCTCCTTGGACAAAGAAATATGATAGGAGAAATGTTTAGTTTGCTGATGCCCATCATGGGGGAATAGTCCACTGGTAACTCTGGCTTTTGGGTTCAGGATTAGACAGAGTGGTTAAACTAAAATATTTATCGTAAGTATGAATTTGTTCCACAAACATAACATTTCAAAGGTAGCTTTGTTTCCTCTTTCCTTGCACTGCCAGCTATTAACTTTCGGTTCATTAGTCACGATTTTCAGAATCCACTTGGCTGCCACCTTCCTGCAGCCAGACCATCTTGGATCAGAGGGTGGGCCAGCCATTCCCACGTCACACCTGCCACGGGATCGATTTTTTCCCCCATTGACCACAGTCACTTTTTGTCAATTAATTAATGTTATTCACCTGGTACCCATCTTGTGAATGGTAGGTCACTACGGAGCGGATTACTACTTCATATCCCATCAATGACAGAGCCATCATTACGAAAACCTTTTCTGACAACCACTGAAGAGAAACCATCTCCACACCGTGCATTTTGCATCACTTCCGTTGCTTCTTTACCTGATTTATCACAAAGACTATGTACCACACATCTTCTTTATTAATGCATTGACAATCAGTGAAGACAATGAAAACCCACCACTTTTGTCCGTGAACTGAGAAAGAAAATGGCAATGTCATATGGCATTAATGATGCATGAGATCTATGGGTGTAGTGTCACGTCTAGGCGTGTAGTAATCCAGTCTTCGGCCTTACTCCAGGGAGAAAGATTCAGCTTTGTTACTTTCCAGTCACTCTCTCCCGTAACACAGCACCTTGGCACAGAAAGCAGAGCGACAAAACCCAGAATGAGGACAGTTAAAATTCAACTCAAGCTACAGCCATCCCAACGGTCCTCCCCAGCTCCCGCGGAATATTTACCAAGACCGTTTAAAGCACTTAATTAATTCACTTCAGCTTCGCTGGAGAGGTCTCAGGGTTCCCGAGACTCCATTACATAATATCTTTCACAAAGTCTATTCCCAGCTCGAATGGAAGATGGATTCTCATCCAGTGTGCGGAGGTTCCATGCCTTTGCTTCCCTTTCCCGGAGTTCGATCCGGCGATACCCTCCCGAGGCTGCAGCCATCGCCCCGGCCCCGAGCTTCTGGGGTACCCGCCACTCTTCGAACTCCAATCTGGCCCCGAAGGTGCAGCCGCCTCGCCCTCCTGGCTCCCAGGCCGGCCGCTGCGGCCACGGTGCCAGCGAGCGCCCGGGACACCGCGACTCTCGCTGCTCGCTGGGTGCGCCCCAAGCCCATCCGCAGCGCACCCGCGGCGCCGGGGCCAGAGCCGCAGCTCGGTGGCACGGCCGGCTCGGTGCGCCGGGCTCGGGGAGGAGGAGATCGGGAAGAGGTGGAGGCGTGTGAGGGAGGGAGGAAGGGCCCGGCCGCCCGAGAGGGGGAGGGGGAGGCGGAGGGGGCCGGCCGGGCCGGGGAGGGGGGGCAGCCAATGAGCGGCGCGCGGCGCGTGGGGGTGGGGGGAAGGTCTGGGGGAGGAGGTAGGATGGGGGAGGGCGCAGCCCGAGCGGCTGAGGCTCCAGCCATAAACAAGCGCCCGGAGGAGCGGCGCAGGAGTGAGGCGAGCGGGGCGCGCGGAGCGGACGCCGCGGATCTTGTGCTGCGCCACCGCGCCCACTCGGCAGCTCGGGAGGCGGGGACCGGCCCGGAGGCTGCGCCGCTGCGGGGCCGGCCGACTCGGAGGAGGAGAGGGAGGAGGCGCCGCCGGCCCGGGCTGGAGCCGAGCGCAGCAGCCACCGCCGCCGCCGCGCCAGAAGTTTGGGTTGAACCGGAGCTGCCGGGAGGAAACTTTTTTCTTTTTTCCCCCTCCCTCCCGGGAGGAGGAGGAGGAGGAGGAGGGGAAGCTGCCGCCGGCGCCAAGGCTCGTGGGCTCGGGGTCGGCGCGGCCCGCAGAAGGGGCGGGGGCCTCGCCCCGCGAGGGGAGGCGCGCCCCGGGGGCCCCGAGAGGGGCGGTGAGGACCGCGGGCTGCTGGTGCGGCGGCGGCGGCGCGTGTGCCCCGCGCAGGGGAGGGCGCCCGCCCCGCTCCCGGCCCGGCTGCGAGGAGGAGGCGGCGGCGGCGCAGGAGGATGTACTTGGTGGCGGGGGACAGGGGGTTGGCCGGCTGCGGGCACCTCCTGGTCTCGCTGCTGGGGCTGCTGCTGCTGCTGGCGCGCTCCGGCACCCGGGCGCTGGTCTGCCTGCCCTGTGACGAGTCCAAGTGCGAGGAGCCCAGGAACTGCCCGGGGAGCATCGTGCAGGGCGTCTGCGGCTGCTGCTACACGTGCGCCAGCCAGAGGAACGAGAGCTGCGGCGGCACCTTCGGGATTTACGGAACCTGCGACCGGGGGCTGCGTTGTGTCATCCGCCCCCCGCTCAATGGCGACTCCCTCACCGAGTACGAAGCGGGCGTTTGCGAAGGTACGGCCGCCCGCTGCGGGCCCCCTCCCACCTGGCCTGCGCCGCCCCCTCGGCGCTGGTTGTGCCGAACAAAGTTTGGGCGAGACTTTCTGGAGGAAAGAGGGCTCTGCGGGAAGAGGGGCGGCCGCCGCCCCCAGGAGAGTGCCCCCGCGGCCCTGCGTTCCCTCTCCTTGTTCCCCCCGACGCTTAGGCAGTCGCGGGCGAGGTTGGGTATGGTGGGTGGGGGCGAGCGAGTGGAGGATCGCCCCTGTCCCCGCGCAGACGCGCACACGTGTGGCCGTTCCTGCTGGGACTGGGTGGCCCGGCCTTGCTCCCCGAGGTGGGGGCGCCGCGGGCGGGGGGCACTGCAGATTCTGCCGCGCGCGAGCCCCTCGGGGAGCCCGGCCCTACCGCCCTCCCCGCACTGGCGCAGTGTGGCACCGTGAGCCGCACGCCGGCCGCGAAAGTCCTTTTTCTGTTGGCGGAGGAGACGTGTCTCCAGCTCGCACTCCCCGAGTGACTCTTATTATTTTTTCCTTGAGCTCTTCCTTCACCCCTTCCTCCTCCTCCGCAGATAAATCAGTTTCAGCCGCGGAATATGTCAGCCCAGGGGAAGTTACACACGGTGGTTACTCATTTATTTGCCCATTGTAAACGGTCAAAGGCTTTCTCTCCTGAAAGGAAAGGGGGGTGGGGGTTGCACCTGGGAGTAAAAAGTTGTTGCTATTAGTGGCTGCTTTTTAATATCAGATACCCGCGTGTTTCCTGTCGTGTTGCCGGTTCCTCCTTTTTGTTTGTTTGACAGCGGGGATTGTTCTGCTGGCTTCTCCAGCACGCATTGTGCTCCGCGGTGTCGAGATTGACGGTGGGAGAAACAGATTAGATTAGTGGAGTCTTTCTCGTTGGGGAGCCAATGTTAGTGCGTGTTGGCTTTAATCCCTGCCCGCTTGCGTCGGCCTTCAGGGTGCCTGGTCTGGTTTGGGGTCTAGAGCGAGGCAGTGAGTTATTTTGATGTGGCTAACGGGGGCACGGTTCGGTAAGCATCAGTTAAAAGTGGGATCCCTGCTCTGGCTGACGTTGGGCTGATGATGCTGTTCCGGGGGCATCCTGGCGAGTGAGCAGAGCGCACGCAGCAGCCTCGTTTCTGGGGAGGCGGCGAGGAGGGACAGGCGCCCTCTGCCCGGCGTGCCTTCCTCACTACTCACAGCCAGCACCGTCCAGGGAACGGTTTATTCCGAAGCATCTTTGTGTGTGTTTGTTTAGTATGCTGGGATACTGAAAAAGGAGGTGACAGCCTTAAGGATAACAATGGACCTATTAAAAGGCTTCAGTGCTGTGATTCTCTCTAAATACGCACAGACACACACATAGGTACTTATTTATACCTGAATAGTTTGGGGTTTGGACAGTTCAGGAAAATAGGGGAGGGTTTTCTGGTTTGGAAGCTAGTGGGCAGTGATGAGTGAAGGGAACTCTTCTCAGAGGGGAGGGACTTGCTCTTGCTTTGCTGCACACGTAAGACATTGGGTTAGAAGAGATCATTTGCCTGAAGTACAAAAAAGCCTCTCACCTGGTATTGTCCCCTTTTATAACTTGTTTTTATGCCTTACCTCAAGAAAAATGGCCATGAGATTAACTTCTGATACCATTGTATGTGTTTTGACTTTGGGAATTCTGAATGACCTAGACTAAAAGATGCATCTTTGAACCCTGCCGCTTCAAGTGTATAACTTAATCCGGCCTCTCGTAAATCTGAAAAGAACAGGCGACATGAAACACAGTTAAATGCAGTGGAAACTGCTGTGTTCCAAGAAGGACTTTTGCAGGTTCTGAAGATTCTAACCCTTGTTTTGTTTCTTCTTAGTCTGTTTCTGGTGAAGGAAGTGCTCAGGGAACATTTACAGTAATCGAGTGTTGTGGCAGCAATATCCCATGTCACAGTATAGAGTTATTTTGGCAGTTTCGTGAGCCTTTCATTCCTCTGAAATGATGTGATCCCTCATAGCTTCCTTTTTTCTGGCAACACCCTGTGTGCTTGGTATTCGCTTTGAAATGCTTGGAAGGGTTTGTTGACATGATTATATCTCAATTAGTTTCTCTAGAAACACTTTTTATTTTACAGGCCTGTTTTCAACTATCAATATTGTGTGTCCAGGGCACTTCCTTTAAAAAAAAAAATACTGAAAACAGCAGTCAACTTGCATTCTAAATCTGTGAAACCAAAGTAAGGACAGTGTTACCTGGCATGATATAATGGTTGGATTTAGACAGATATTTTCAATCGTGTGTTTACAATTTCAGTGTTTTCACTTAACGACAAGATTTATGGAAAGCATGGGATAAGTGATACCCCAACCGCCCCCCGCCTGCCATTTTTAAAAAAAGAATTAGAGGAGCCTTCAGATGTCAGCAGTTACCTAGAAGGTATTGATTATCTCTTGTTTTTCTGTGAGTTTACAAGAAATTTCGGAATGGCCAGTGTTTCCCTCAGTTTCCATTTTTATTCAGAAATTCACGTGGTGAAGCATGGTTATCATAACTAACATGAATAGGAATCAATATATTTTATTCATGTTGAAGTCTCTTTTGCTGCAATTTTTGCACTAAAATGACCCCTACTGGTTGTATCTGTTAATGAAAACTCTTGAAAACTTATTTAATTGGCTACGTTGTAAAAACATATTGCATGTTATAGAAATATTATCATGACTAATCTCCCTGCTTTCGATGACATAATTTAAATACAAATTATATTCTCTGTTTGCCAACTTGCAGTAATTTTTAGCAGTGTTTACTCTCATACTGGCTTTGTAGGGGAAAAAAATTACGTTTTTAACTGCAGTTCACAAAATGAGTTAGATAAATCATGGGCAGAAATGGGCCCCTTTCAGCTTGTGGCTCACAGCCTTAGGTTTTTAAGGCATGCTGGTCTAGTTGGCTCTCAGTAAAAGTACATTGAACAAACGGAAGAACAATCCTATCCATAGAAAGAATGCTGAAGGAAAAAAAATATTTTCTGAATGATTAAATAATGTGATGAGTTGTGTCCTGTGCACCATGTGAGATGTGCACTTGGATTTCTTTTCCGCATTGTTTAGATTGTTATTAAATAAATTCTAATTGAATTATTCCTTTTGTGGTGGGGGCTGGGGGTGGTAAGTGCATTTGAAAAAATGAGCATGGAGCCTGATACCTAAAAGTTTTTCCTACTTTCTGTCAGTCTAGAAAGTGCTTTTTGGAACTTAGGAGAGTGCAGGTCTTTTTCCTCTTTCCATTCGTCTGCTAAGACCTCCTGTTGCTCTTTGCAGCATCCTAACTGGCCTGTTTTCTTGGCCAGGCTGCCTGCCTCCAGGAAAATCACCTAGAAGCCAGAGAAACAAGTGTGGATCCTGAACCCCTGAGAAAGAAATCTGGATGGAAGACATCTTTGGAGGATCGAAGGCAGAGTTTAGAAAAATTAATGAAGTGAGATTTTCTAGAAAGAAGATTTTGATTGGACAGTGAGAATTATGTTTTGAGCTAAGGGGTTGAGAGCCATTTCTTCTCCCATGTGTCATAGCGCTTTATGCTTCTATAAGGAGTGAGGCAAGGTGAGAGAGCATGACCAGCCTCTCTGGGCAGTTAAAGGGCAGATGGTGACTTGCTTTGGCAGTTTGTACAGACAGAGTGATGAGGAACCAGGTGGAGACTACTTGAGTCACTGTTCCGAGGACTCTGTTGTATTAGATTCAGGTGATAGCTAGATCAGATAAGCACCAATTTTTTTCTTGGTGACTATTTACTCAGTAGCTTCATATTTTGGAACTTAGCATTCCATCTTTTTCACCATTGCTATCTAAAAACGACCTCTTTCAGAACGCAATCCTCCTTTTATTTCCCCCAGGAATTTTAACTGTTCCTTTTACCCATTTTTCATTGGGCAGTGTGTAAGAGAACTATGTATACATAGTGGGGTACTTACAGCAAAAAACAGAATTTTGTTTCCTGAAACTTGCCATGCAAAGTTTCTTTGCTTATCCCTGGAAGACAGTCAGTGAAGATGATGGCTGCTTGGAAGAAAATGTATGCGGGATCTGCTCCAGAAAGCAGGCTGCAGGAGGCCAGATAATGAACCCAAACATTTCATTCTGCACAAGCCGCATGGAAACTACTCTCACCACTCTGTAGTAGGGCCTGAAGTTAAGAGTCCACGAATTTTAATTCACTCATTAAGTAACGGGAGGGGGGCAAAATATCAGCTTCTATAGTTAGAAAAATTAAGCTCTTGGCTTTGTTTTGGAATAATGGGTTTCATTTTTCCTCTCAGAAGTCCTTAGGTAGACAGGGAGCCCTTAGATCCCAGAGAGGAACAAGCAGAGGGCCTATAACATTATGTTAACAGGGAATGGGAAGAGAAACCAACGAAGTAAACAAGGAAATAATTAGTTCCTCCCAAAAGTAAATATTGGCAAAACATGGAGAGACCAACTATTCACTGCACTTAAATAAATGACAGGACTCAGTGACCTTCACTTTGATTGCCAGGCTTATAGAATCTTCCCTGTTATTGAGGAGTCCTGTCACATAAAACACTTGGCAAAGGGCAGATGGATTGTGTATTATCAGAATGGCAAAAATAGCAAGTCTGGAGATATTTGTTGCCATTCACACATATTGTACACTGACCAGGAAAATCTCCAAGCAAGAGGTTGGCAGTAGGGTTGTAAGCAGTCAGATTAATATATGAAGAAAACTGAACAGTCCTTAATCTGTGTAGGCATTACATCCATTTGTAGGAGGTATTTGGTGACTTGGTACAGGTTTCTTTGTTTTGTGTGGTTTGTTGAAGATGCAATGACCGGGATGAATGAGTGAACAGCTGGGTGAGGCAGGGGATGGGCATTATGAAGTTGGGGGATATATTGTAGATGAAACAGATGACCCTAAGGAGGTAATGAGGGGGTGGACTAAAGAATGACGAATGGGAGAAGGGAAAATATTGAATTCATCTTAGCACAAGTATATCATCCTTTGAAGAATAATCCAAAACACATTCCAGACATTAATTGTGAAATTCCTGAAAAATGTGGGTGTGCTTAACATCTCCCAGGCTATGGTGCAAGCAGAGATGATAGTGTTGCTTTAGCCTGTAAATACAAGAGGGTAGGAGGTGGTAAAATGAGTGGAAGGGAAATACATTTAGTGAAGCGGGTTCCTGTAACACTGTGTTCCGTATGGCACGTTTGGTATCAGGATTTTGGAGACACCCCAGTAAAGCTCATTTAATTATTTGAGGGAGAAACAGTAGACTAGCCAAGCATGCATGAATAACACATTGAAAGCTTTCCTTCTCAGAGGTCTAATTCTGCAAAGCTGCATTTTCAAAGATCTGACTTGCCTTTGCATGGAAATCAGTCATTCATTCATTGGTCTTCTATGCTGTACAAGGCCTTCTGCTGGGGTGAGGGGGAAACTAGGGAGCCCGGGGACCTCTCCAACATATTCTTTGCTCTGTACACTTAATCAAGATAAGAAATAAAGACAGCAAGACTGCAAAAAGTCTATTATGTAGACTTGCAAAAAGTCTACATAATAATATAAATTCAAGCCAAGTAGAAGTGATTTTGCAAGTCTGTGTATGATTAATTGGCTAGTGAAATATATGGATAAAATTAGTTGTAGGAATTAAAGCATCTGAAGTGATCTCTTGAGGCTCTGGTGGCAAAGCAGAAAGGGGAATTTGAATTTGAACTAGGTTTAAAAGTGTGAGTAGTAGCCCTTTCTTTTGGCAGGGGAGGTGATCCTACCCATTCTCCTTAGAGCCTGTGCAATTGGTCTCAGTGTTTCTCAACATCTAAGAATGAAGCTGCATTCTTAATGCTTTAGTAGCTGTGCTTCAAAACGGCAAGTTTCCTTTTGAGAGTGATTTTCTCTTTGTTCTAGCTTGTTTCACTAGGCGGATAAGCGTGGGCAGTAAACTGGGAGGTGTCCCTTTATCAGCACCTCTCAGCTTCACCCACCCTGCTGCTTGCCCTGGGCAGTAGCCTGGTCACATCTTTGAAAACCTCTGTTTAGTCAAGACTTCCTAAGTCAAGACAGAGGAATGGTTGAATATACCTCTATGTAAGAATACCCTCAAGGTAAACACTAAACTCTTACGTGTTTTATCTTGGGCCCACATGAAAAAAGTAAATGTTTTTAAAGAACCTATTTTCCTTTGTTAGTTGCAAAGTGAACAGGTATCAATTCCTTACCTCCCTCCTCCAGTCCCAGTTAATTCCCCACATGAAAATACCTACATGTTGGTGGAAAAGTGTAATGTTCAAGAACTTGGGGCCGGCCGTGGTGTCTCATGCCTGTAATCCCAGCACTTTGTGGGGCTGAGGCAGATGGATCGCCTGAGGTCAGGAGTTCAAGACTAGTCTGGCCAACATGGTGAAACCTTGTCTCTACTAAGAATACAAAAAAATTAGCCAGGCTTGGTGGCAGGCCCCTGTAATCCCAGCTACTAGGGAGGCTGAGGTGGGAGAATTGCTTGAACCCAGGAAGCAGAGGCTGCAGTGAGCTGAAATCGCACCACTGCACTCCAGCCTGGGCGACAAAGCAAGACCCTGTCTCAAAAAAAAAAAAAAAAAAAGAACTTGGTTTCTGGGGTCAAATCTGCACTCTGCTTCTGTGTGTCTCAGTTTTCTCATCTGTGTAGTCAGGTTAATGATAGGGTTGCTATAAGGACTCAGTGCATCCCTAATGAGCAGTTAAAAGAATGACTGGCACATGGAACATGCTTACTAACAAGGCTACTAACCAGTATAAGTGAAACAATTTTACTTGGGCTCAGTCTCTTGTTCTCTTAATCCCCATCTACCTCAGTCATTGATGGTAAGCAGTTAAGGAGGTTGGGCTCTTAGAAAGGGAGCAAATTGTTACTGAATTCAGCAGTCGTCGCCGCCCCCCCCCCCCATGACTATCTTTTTATACCTTGTCTAAATGATTTCTACAAAGTTTGTATATTTTGAGTAATGTTTTAGGTCTGATATTATTTTGCATTGATTTGTAGGAATTATAAATGTAACCATTTATCTGTGAACAAATAATTAAAAATACTTAATTTGGGGAGGAGGCGGGAACCTAGATGTGCTATAATCAGCAGTGTGCACTTTGCTTCACATTATCTTCTGGGAGGAAATTTTGCTCCTAGCTCCTGAGTGTGCACACTGATGACCACTGCAGGATTTGGCCTGGCTTGAGCAAAGAAACAGCTCGACGCCATGGGGGCTATGGTTCCAACCTGCTGCTGCAGTTGGTATAAACTAGGCAAAACCAGAAGTCAGAGGATTATCCATTCCTCTTGTTCTTTTTCTAGCTCTACCTGTTCTTCTGCCATTCTTCTGCCTGAAAATATTCATGAGCATCGCCTATGGGTCTTGTCTCTGTGCTTTACAGTAGTGACATCACTTGTGTAAGCCAGTTTTTCTGTTAGTCGTCGGTACCTCCTAGGTTCGCTGTGGGGGTTAAGTGAGATAAAACTGTGCTTCTGAAATTTTAGTGTGCACACAAATCACCTAGGTATTTAAAATTGCAAGTCTGATTAAGTTAGTCTGGGGTGATGCCTGTGATTCTACATTTCTAACAAATTTCTGGCTGATGCCAGTGTCACAGGTGCCAGGACCACACTTTTAAGTAGCACAAAGCTAGTACCTATGTATACAGCATGTATCACAGAGTATGCATATTAAAAGACCTGATAAATGTTACCTGCTATTATAGTCATTATTTTTCAGCCAAAATAAATAAGATATGGTCCTTGTTTTCACACAGGCCATGATCTGATGGTAAACTGGAAAAGCAGACAATTCATTACAATCAGTTCAGTAAGCCATGAGATAACGGAAATGCCAAGCATGTCAGGAGCAAGTAAGAGGGAGTCTAACCCAAATCTGACCACCAGGAAAAGTTTAGTGGAGGATGCAGCAACAAGAAAGACCTGAGGGTCTCCTCTCCTCCCTCCTTTTTTCCTGCACTTCTTGTGCAGGATGTTTTAGGAAAAAGAAAATAGGGCTTGGGGCTAGACAAACCTGCATTGAAATCTTAAATCTGTTATTTTTTTAATCGTGAGATCAGCTTGTTTAGTTTCTCTGAGCTTCAGTTCCCTCATCTGTGAAACTGGAATATTAATAGCTTTCTATTAAGTAAATATTGTAGTGAGGATTAGAGATTTATATATATGATTACATAGATGTATATATAAGATTGTGTGTGTGTGTGTATAGTATGTATGTGTATATGCTAGTTTCTGGTACCAAATAGATTTTTTAAAATAATATTAATTTTAATTTCCATTCTATTTTCTATCCTTTCCCATTTTCCTCTTTGTTAGCTTTCTCTGTAAGTTTAAAAATTTACCTTGTGGGCACACATTTCCTCCAAACTTAACTAAATCTCTTCAAAGGGGTGGGAGTTTCGAGGGGGAATTCAAATGTCAGATGTTTGTCAAAGAGAAAAGAACCGTGAAGTACCGAGAACAGGGGGCTGGGAATACAGGGTCTATGCACCAAGGAAACATGCGTTGGTTTGATCCAGTGCAACTACAGTTCCCAGCGCCTTTGGCATTTCAGCAGAATGTGAACACTTGCTTGATTTTGTGGTTTGAGCCCCTACATCCAAAGAGCTATTTCAAATTAATATTTATTTAAAAATGGCCTTTTAATATTAATGGCATATGGTTTTATGACAGTGAATTAAATTTCCTTTTATTGTTAGAACTTTTTGAGGATTTCTGGACATCACTGGAGACGTTGGAGACCCCAAGGATATAGCCAGGCCAGGTTGATATATCTCACTGAGGTTACAGAAGGAAGCAGCGGCAAGCCTAGCCGATTCAGAGACCACTGCGGGCTTGGGAATGAGCAGGAGAGGGTGTGAGGGCCAGAGGCCATCTGTGTTGCTTTTCTCTCTCCCAGTCATTCTAGCCATCTTTGATGTGGACTAATAGTCGAGGTTGGCCATGGGTTTGCACTGTCTCTAGGGAGTCTTTGTGATATAGTGCGGGGTAGGAAGAACACCTAGAATCAAAATATCTAATGTTACTAGCTGTTTAGTTCTTAGTGTGGGTATGGTCCCATTTTAGGAGAACAGAACTATGAACTATGTTTGTGTTTTTTTTTTTTTTTTGAGACAGAGTCTCACTCTGTTGCCAGGCTGAAGTGCAGTGGCATGATCTCAGCTCACTGCAACCTCTGACTCCCTGGTTCAAGCGATTCTCCTGCCTCAGCCTCCTGAGTAGCTGGGATTACAGGCATGTGCCACCACGCCCAACTACTTTGTGTATTTTTAGTGGAGACCACGTTTCACCATGTTGGCCAGGATGGTCTCTCGACCTCGTGATCTGCCCACCTTGGCCTCCCAAAGTGCTGGGATTACAGGCGTGAGCCACCGCGCCCAGCCCAGAACTACATTTGCTTAACTGTGACTCTTTCCTTTGTACCTGAAAATAAGTATCATTTTTATCCAGTAAATATTGGCTGATAATTCATAAGGCAGATGCTTTAAATTGGCTATTGTAGAACAAGGAGAAAGAACTTGATGAAGAGAAAAATCCTTGGAATCAGTGGTTTACAACTTTTTTTTTCCTTCCTGATGATCAAACCGTATTATCGCATAGTAGAAATTGGATTTTCTTCCAGAAACTACTTTAGTACCTCTCATTTGTAGCACTTCTATCAAGAGTGCTGGTATTCGGACATGTAACCTACAAACAAAATCAGAAAGATGTCAAAATAACACCCTAATTCAGACTATCCTGAGAACATTTGTCTTCTGAATATTTAAGAAAAAAAAATAAGTGTTAATTATATTGTAGGGTGTTACCATTTTGTATTTCAAGTTCCTGAGAAGAGAATTTGAACAGTTTGCTATTTGGAAATTTTAGCAACCAGCTACCTTGCCTATGGAAAGATTAAAAAAAAAAGGAGAGGGAGTAGATGGTGGTCCATAGGCTGTAACTGGAAACTATGCCTGTCTTATTTAGCATTTCAAAACAAAAACCATAAACAAACATCTCAGATTCAAAACAGAAAGGAATTTCTGGCAGGGCAGAATGAAACCTGAGACTGCAGAGTCCCAGTCTACAAGAGGTAACTTATTTAGCTTCTTATCCAAAGGCCACAGCAAAACGTTTCACAGCTGTGATTAAACAAAAGGCATCTTTTGTTGGAGAATTGTGATACTTCTTTTTAAGACTGCGAAAGACCTGCCAAAATAAGGCAAAGCTACCTTGAGGATGTTTGACCTGAACTAGACTTTATGAAGTAGTTGGACCACTTCAGGCCTTATGGTGTGAGGAGTGTGGGATGCATAGGCTTGGACCTTTCTGTGTGTGTGTTTATAAGTCTGTAGAGACAGAATATTCCATCATGTTATCAAATGCAGATCTCGAAAACCTTTTCTCACTTCCCATATTTGGGAGCTTTGCTTTTTTTGAAAAGTATGGGCTTTTACAGTCTGAGTGAGGAAAAGGGATGGATTTTAGACAGTTTTGTCTGTGGAAGTCAAAGTAGAAGGATTTTTAAACAGTTGGAGACAGAATGGGTATACTGTGTGCTTTTCAGAACCACTGAGTTCCTATATTTCAGGCAGATTTTAAGAAAACTTATTACCACTACCTATCACATCAAAATGAAAGACCAAATAAATTTCTGTGTTTTAATCAAGACTGTGACTGTATTTGTGTATATCCTAGCTTGTTTCAGAAAGGGTTTGAGGCTGCCCAGAAAGGTGAATATTACAGAATTCTTGTATGTGATAACATGATAAAGGAGAAAAAAACAGCCATGGCTTTTGAATCCCCCTTCATCTCTTAATAGCCCAGTGACTTAAATAAAACCCTTCAACTTCCCTTGGCATGACTTTGCCTTAATTTGTCAAAAGGGAATTAAATAGTTACCTACCTCAAGACAGGGGAACTGAATCAGATGATATCTTAAGGTTCTACTGGTCATAAGATCTATGCTTTTATGACCTAGAAGTGATAGACAGGAGTCGAATATTACCTTGTGTTTGCAGAGCCAGGGAAGGAAAAAGTGATAGTGTCTACATGACTGCCAGGTGCTGTAGACAGAAGGGCTTAGAGGAAAAGATCAAGAGTTCCTCCATGGTTATGTTTATCAAGCGGCAGTGGAGACAGTAAAGCGTAGTATTGGGAAGTTAGTGACAGCTTTTAAATGCCTGAAGTCTTTTAAATCATATTCACCGTGGCTGAGTCTGGATTCAGGGTAGAACTCAAACCTCTCTTATGTGTTTGCTGCCTTCCCTTTCTCCATTTTCTTATGTACTTCATTAATTATTAAGACTATGAGGTAGGTAGGTGACAGAGACTGCAAAGGGAGAAGCTAGAGCGAAGACAGGCCAAAACTTGCCCAAATTCACATGCTCATTTCTGCCTCTGACACTAGGAGAGAGTTGAGTAATTGCTCTTCTTCCTAATACTGCAGGCAGCAGCCAAATTCTCCACATTCTTTTACCTTTGCTGCTGTTTTCACTTGCCAGGGAGTTTCCTTAAGGAGCAGACTGAATTTAAAGAAACATAGCAGTAATAGTGCATGAAAGGGGGTGTGGGGTCGCTGGCCAAACGTGGCATGTTGGTGCCTCACGTTGGGAGGATGAAAGGATGATTCCTGCAGAGGGACATGCTGCACACTGCGCAAGCTCCCTCACCTCTGTGTACAGCTGAGCCACTGACCAGGAAGCTCTTTGCTTGTATGTGAGACAGCAAATATTCACTAAATATGTTTCAAGTACAAGCCAACTGCGAAGCTTGGAAAGTTGTCCAGAAACTTCACCCTTCCTTTGCATGTTGTCCAGCGGCAGGACGTTGAGCAAGGTTAGGTAGTATGAACCTGCGGCTCTAAAACTTAAAGTAATAGGCATTATTCGAAAGAAAATGATGCCCAGCACGGCTTCCAGTGTATATTAGCAATCAGCTTGTTTGCCTTGTGGTTATTACATTTTTTGCCAAGAGCAGCCTTCCAGAATGAGGTACTAGTTAATTCCCATTGGGCATTTATTCATTAATAAGTCTGCTGAATGTGAAATATTCCATTTGGGAGTATGTCATATGAGAAAACTCAGTGGCTAATTATTACATAGCTCTCTTCCATGATTCTCACTTTCAGCGCAGTTACCTAAGCCACCATTTCCTAGGTATGTAAACTTAGATAATTTTTAGTTTTCTGTAATACTTTTTGCTTTTTGCTCCAGAAAATTTTTTTTCACTCCAATCTGTGAAATTGTTAAAAGTTTACTAATAACTGGATAAACATTTTATGTTGTACTATGGCTTGCTCTTTCTTTCCATTTTAAAAAGATAATATCAAAAGTTAAATCCTGTTCCAGATCTTACCGTCTCTCTTCCAGGCTAGATTTCTGGGATGGGGTGGTGTTAATTTACTAACCTGAGCTTTTGCCCAATCTAGGGTCTCCTTTACTCTTTTCTGGTGTATAAATAGGTCTTTATTTGCTTTTCTTCCAGGTTGGTTGGTGCATATTAGCTTAAGAACTTTTAAACCTCTGCGGCAGTAATGAGAATCTGCATGCCAAGGGCCCAGCATTTCTCTACAAAGCAGCCCATGAGTGCATGTGT
Source organism: Homo sapiens (assembly GCF_000001405.40). NCBI lineage: Eukaryota > Metazoa > Chordata > Mammalia > Primates > Hominidae > Homo > Homo sapiens. Next base: position 36,369,219 of record NC_000002.12, read on the forward strand.
GTTTGCTGTAGTGAAGGGTCTATGTTAGAAGGTGAGTTAGAGACCCCACTTGCCCACATCTGTGTGCTGTGGTTTGGCCCTCCTCCTCTGGTGAATCCCTACCACAGCCCAGTGCCTGCTGGATCTCAAGTGTCCTGAAAGCCATTGGAAAGATGCTTTCCAGCAGTCTTAACATTTGCCTCCATGTTCTTTCCAGCAAGGATGAGTGCACACAGCTTTCCAGCTACTGGGCAACCCAGCCATTGACAGAAGGTGGTGCAAGAGTCAATTCCTCTGTGAGGATCCCTTCCAATAACAGTGTCTGCATTAACGACAAAAAGTTCTGTAAAAATGTTTGCAGGGGGAGCTTTTGACCTGCAAACATTTCTACAGAACTTTTTGCCATATAGGAACATATGAAATGTTATATGTAATATAGGTCAGAAATGTTGCCATATAGGAACATTCGAGAAGATGATAAATGTGAGGAAAGTGATAAAAGTTTATACAACAAGGATCTGTACAAGATTGTGGTAGATTTGCTGGCCTAAAAAGATGTACTCAGGGTAGTGAACTATTTCTGTAGCATCAGCCACTGGGCCCCTGAGTGGGAATACTCTTTGAGAGACAGGAAGCTAATTCCTTCTTTGAATGTGTAGTTAACTTTGTGCCATTGGATGTAGGGTGTGCACGTGCATGTGTATTTTTTCAGTTGCTGAGGGCACAACACAGACAAAGAATACCGTGCATTGTATTATGGATGTGCTGGAAACAACGCCCCAGCTTGAAGCAAGTTGACTGTAGTATCTACTCTGTAGATCAGCAAACTGAAAATGACTTCTTAATAAAAGGTCGCACATTGTTTTACTTACTGCATTTGAAAAAACAGTTCTAATTAAGATGCTTTGGGTTTTAAACTGCCTGTTAATTGGGATATCTATAAGTGGGCAAGTAGAGCTTCTGAATATTGCTGACTTATTTCTTAGTGATTGGGACAAAAGCTTTTTTTTTTTTTTTTTAAATAGTATGCCATCATTAAACAGTTTTTGACCTTACGCAGAAACTTTAAATGTGACAGCAGAAAGAAGCAGCAGAAATTTACAGTGAGAAATGGAAGACCTCTGTAGGTAAATAAGTAAAATGAAAGAAGCCAGAGGTGTTTTTTGTTGGCAGTAGATGAAATTATTTTCAAACACTGCCCTGGGAAAAGGTGAGCCCTCAGCAACCAAGTTTATTGACTGTCTATTCAGGAAATTGTATTAGTTGCTTTGGAAAGAGAAAGGAAAAAGAAAAGACTTTCTGCCAACTGAGGGCTGGAAAACTTGAGGGAGATAAAGTATTTACATGCTTTAATAACATAAAGCATGTCCAAAAGAAATACATAATTACAGCTATGTTTGGCACTGAAAATAATCCAGGTTATTATATTTTTAAAATTGTGTGTGAATATGTAAGTGAATGCCCTTGAGTCAGAAATGCTTGAGTGATAATATTTCTTGAGAGAATGGAAAAGTAGATGGTATTAGGAGCTAAAAAGAGAGAGAAGGGATAAAGGATGACCACTAGTTAAGAAGGAACAGTGAACTTTTTTTCTTTAGAGGGGACATATTTCATATGCATAGTTATTCCCCCTCTACTTCTAATCTTAGTATAATAAGCATTTAACTTCCCATAGGACCTTAGCAGTCTGCATGTTATTACTAAAAGCCCACAGGTAAGGGAAAATTAGACCCCTAAATTAAAGACCTGACCATCTTGCTCCTGAAGTTTTAGGTTTTCCAACTTTATTTCCAGTGTATCTTGGACAAAGACCCTTTGAGAGCTCAGAAAATTAGGAGATGTGGTCAACACATTCTTCTTAATATCTAGTGCAACCAAAGACTTGGCCAGCAACTAAGGCCAGCAACTGGAAAATGGGTGTGGTGTCAGGTTTCAGACGCCCCCATAGTTGTCTTCACGTCCTTTAATATGTGTTGGCATCCCTCAAGCCCTGCCAGTTTATGCTCTTTCCTTTGTGAAGCCTTCCTGCCCTGCCCAGGAAAAAGTAATGCCATCCCCCATCCCCCATCCCCCAGTGACCATAAATAGCACTTTCTCCTTCCCCTGTTATAGCACTTTTCATACTGTGTTAGAGTTCACATTTCTGTCTCTCTGCCTCATTGTGATCTATTTGAGTGCCAGGATTGTGTGTTATTCTAGCGCTTGGCACACAGGAAGAACTCAATGAGCATTTGTTGACTAAATCTAGACTCAAGGTCATCCAAGATATTATACAAAAACTTTTTCATCGAACCATTTGGTCTGCATTGTGGAAACTGAAACGAATGGCACTCCCCGTTAAGAGAATCCCAGTGAGAAGCCATAGCATTGCAGGAGGAAGCTCAAACTGGTTAACTTTGCTCATGCCGATCAGTCTTAGAATTTTTTGTAATGTTTCCATGATGAATTAGTTTCAGCTGTATTTTTTTGGCAAATATTTAAAGATAATTTTTATTTGTGTGGACTTTTCTTCTTGTCAGTTTGTCATAAAGGTGTCATCTTTCATTCACTAACCCCTTATCAGCTTATAGGAATTTTCCTCGTGGGTGGTTGCTTGTAACCTTCTCTTGACTGCCAGGGATCTGATATACTAAACGGTTGAGATACTGTGGTGATCAGCTGCTTGTAAACAATAACTGATAAATCGGTTATAAATTATCAACACACTTCAGATGACCATATCATCATGACTTGGTGATAGCAAAATAGACTTCTGAATTCTCAGCTAATCCAGGATTGTGTCTTAACAAACATTTATGTTGATTAATCAGGAGGGTGTTTAGTTTAAGAAACATGTACTGAATGTTCAATATGTGAGTGCCAAGTGCAGTGTGGTGCAACCTGTTTACTGCTTCAGGTGATCTCCAGATATCCTAAGGAATTTTTAACTGTACAGCTTCTTTGGGGAAGGAAATCCTAAGCCAACAACCTGAGGGTGGAAGTGTGTGACTGGGAATAATTAAAATGCCTCACAATGGTTCGAGCAGGAATTCCATAGGAATGCACTTTAAGGCATTTAGGAAAGCAAAATTCCGTTTGGATTTACTCCAAACCCTATGACTTCAGAGACAGGAATTTTTGATGATTAGTGGCTGGAGCCCCAACTTGTTATTTAGTAATTCCACATTCAGTGTGGAATTGTTTTTTCTGTAGCACTAGTTATAAGTTCTTTGTTTGTTTTTCTAAAGGTTTTAAGGAGGTTTACAAATTAAGATGGAATAAGACATTAGAAACTTAAGGATACATAGCAAATTAAAACCTTGATACATTTGGTGCTAAGCTTTTCAGCTGCTAAAGATAGAGAGTTTTGGCCAAGATAAAGTATATAGAGTCAAAGACACATGCAGAATTCTCCTGGATATAAGTTCAGGTACCTGTGCCATTTTATCACTTTAGTCAATGTGCCCATTTTCTTAGGGCAGGTTTAATTTTCTGCTGCGGCATGGCCCTTCAGCTTTCCCAAGTTTACGATGCTCATCTCATACCTGATGGAAATTGTTGATAATGTTAGTGTATGGTTGGTGGCTTTCCCAGTAGCCCACTTCAGATCCTTTTATTGGTCATCACCAGTTACAAAAGTTTTAGGAAAGGGAAGGAGAGAAGCTGGAACTGATGGCTAAGTAAAGTTATAGCTGTAGAGCTCTGGTTGTCCATAATGAACAGTGGCAATGAACAGTGAAGATTTAAGCAAGGTTATTTTTTGAGGGTCCACTGATGATTTTCCTATAACTCGTTAAAAATATTTTTAAAACTTTTATATGGCTTCATATAAAAAAAGCTTAAAAATCTGTTCCCAGACTTCCTAGGCAGGTATGTTTTCTTTTCAGTGTTGCCTTCTCTAAGACTTTATCAGCAGAAGGAGTATTTGAGCTGATGGCAAATGCTGCCAAAATGAGAAGTGTGTGTGTTTCTCAAAACTCATGATCCCACAGTTAAATCGAGGGTGTGGGTAAAGGACCCAGAACTGTTCTTGCTGATGGAATAGCACACTTTTCCTCAGACATTAGTAGAGTAAATGAATGGAGGCAGAGGATTGGGAAACACTCTTGAAGGAGGGAGTGCCCATCAGCCTGTAAGCCAAAGTAAACAGTTCTTGTAACTGAAAAATAGACTTCCTGGAAGGAGAGAACCAGAGAAGTGGGTGTGAAGTGCAACCAGCAAGTACCATTTTCAGTGATACAGACAGCTGGCTTAACCTGAGTCCTGACAAGAACCTCTCAGAGCTATTTGGGGAAATCAGTTGCTTGAACCAGCCTTTGACTGGCCTATCGTTCCTACAGCTGTACCCAAAGATGGCACTTGGGGAGAAAAGGTCACATTTGTTTGTGATAGAGAAAGCAAACCGATGGGGCATTTTGAGAGGTAGAAATGAAGTCATCATTTGCGGAGCCGGTGGACCAGCAGAATGGCCGTGGGAAGGTATCCCTGAACCTGTATGTGTGGAAATGCAGGCATTCTCTGTCAGTCTTTTGTCACAGTGAGAAAATGTCATTACAGTGGACAGCTATGCACACGTTGGAGATTATGTGATGTGTGCATGTGCATCCATGTGTACAACATACACCCATGCAAAAATTGCTCACAGGGTCATGTGCGTGTCCTGGTAGTCTGTTATGTCCATTCTTCTGTAATAGGAGTATGTTTTTCAAACTGAAGCTGTTAGGTTCTGTTAATTCCAACAGAACAAAAAAAAATCTGCCTCTGGCCATCATTCGTTAATTTACATAGATTAGATACATGTAGTCTGTCTCCTAAGTGGCTTACATAAAGCCGTGGGCGTCTTTTCCTGTGTCTCCTCTTCGGCAGTTCCTAAGGCACCTACCAGGTTTATAGTTGCTGATGTCCTACCCATACTATGTGTCAAGAAAGGTAGACTCAAAAAGGATTGATGCAGATATTCCTTAGAAGTTTTCATGCCCAAAGATTCTTGGACCTTAGTTGCATGAGGGAAGAGGCCTTGCCTCGTGAAAGGAGACCGAAGCCCCTTATTAAAGGGGTCACTCAGAAAAAGGTGTTATCTAAATTCCCTCTTTGTAGTTTTATTTCTTCAATGTATTCCCCATCACTAGCTGTGTGTGCTGGAGCCAAATGTTGGGCCCACTGCCATCTTTTAAAGAATGCTACTGTAAAGGGATAACTTTACTAGACAGTTTGGGAAATAGAAGAAACAATTATCTAAAATGCTCTTGTTCCAAACACAAAAACTAGCTTCATGTTTTTGTGTATAACCCTGCCTAGTCTTACTCTGTAGACATCCTTCCCCCCACACCCATCGTGTATGTTTTTTATCCCCATCTAACATTATATCAAATACATTGTCCTATGTTGCTACCTTGTCTTCATTATTATGATTTGTCAAGCAATTGGGTTGTACTGACTGCAGTGTTACTCCTCATTTCCTTTCCCCCTTTCTTTTCCATACTACTTAAAAAGCAAGAAAGGAAAAAAAATTCTATTTAAGAGAAAATCCTATGTAGTCGTAATGGAATTTATTTTCCTGAGTGCCTGGGCGTGCTCCAAACAGATAGCTGTGATTGTGTCATCTCTTCTTACTAAGCATCTGACCACTCACTACCTGTGCATCTGATCCCTAGGCTCATGGCATGAGGGCTGTGGCTCTTGATGTTTTTTTTTTTGATGTGCTTAGTATCACCAGAACTGTATTGACTCTAAGAGTATGGAAGCTTTGTAAAGTTAACTAACGATTTGTAGGTTTTGTGCAAATAGCCAGCTCTCCAGGTAGAGACATTTTAATTCTGTTGCTTTTTTTTTTTGTAGCATATTATTATATTGCAGATGTTTACTTAGTATGAAAAATGGATATAATTAAGTTCTAAATGGGTACTAGATATTAACTTCAAAATGAATTTGCAACTTGTATGCTTTGCATATGCCGTATGCTTTGCATATGCCATATGCTGTTGTTTCCAAGGATGTAAAGCAGTTTTCCACTTCCACCATCTTATAAATTAAAACCAGAGGGCTAGACGTTATCCAGCAAGGGACCTACAAAATTCGAAAAAAAACTTCGGATCATTATCAGGATTAAGTTTGTTGAAATTGTATCAGGAAAATAGACTTTTCCTTGTATTATTATTGACTCATATAATGCAACTCATACTGGTTTCATATTCAGAAGGTATATAGCACCTGTTGTAATATTTCAGGTTGATTTCTGCAATCTTTATTTAAAAATACAAATCCGCAAAGCAAATTGCATAAACGGTATACAAAATGAAATCACCAGGCTTCAAATATATTTTATGTAAATGTTAAGTGCTCTTTAGATTAGCAAAAGGAAGACAAACATTTTGATTACCTCTTTAATACTAAATTTTTGTTTCTGAATTATAAATCTTTGAAGATATAATTAGTGTAAGATATATACCAATCAACATAGTCCAGAAAACCCTGAACCTGGCTGCTTATTAGTTGGAAAGAGTACCTATTTAGACTTTCTAAGCCACAGTATGTGGCTAAGTGATTAATATGCACTATTACACTTTCACAAATACTTTTTGGACCAACATATTGACTTAAGGGAGCATACTTTGTACTAAAAAACTAATTTGAAGGTGAAATCACAGCAAATTTAACAGTTCAACCTTGTGTATTTGTAGAGTTTTAGTTGGATCATAGGATAATGACATTAGCTAAAGTCAGCAAGCATGTAAAATAAACATTTTGAAGTTTAATAGTCATTTATGTTCTACAATAATAAATATTTGGCACCCACCATAACCACCACTACCAAAATATGTATGCTGAAATTGTGTCTCCAGGATGAATAAAGAGGTGTAAGGCAAGCTGACACCCATTAGAAAAAAAGGTTTAGAAAGGGAGAGAGGGCCTGGACTTCCCTAAGCTTAACCCCAACATAGGGCCTGTAGCTCCTGTTGGAACCAATTTATAAAACTTCAAGGTGGGAATCAATAGATTGTTTCCAGTGTTATATAGTTCCTCTTTAATCAGTTGATCTTCAACCAAAGCTTCAAGTGGTTTTTGTTTTTATTTATTGCCAAAAGCTTCTTAACCAATGTGATTATAAATGTTTAAATTCATTTACAGTGAAATGGATTTGTATCTTCCTTGCTCTACAGTAGATAGTGAAGCCTCCGTGACCTGTGTAAGCTGCAGGTTGAGGAGAATGTTTAAACAGTAGGCGAGCGTTCATACAGTGTCCCTGGACTGCATTTCCTTGCTTACAGAGCCTTGGAGCTGGGCCAACTCGCATGAGCGGGAGGAGGAGAGGCTCAGTTTTGAGAGCCCTGGGTTTATTTCTGGCTGTGGGGATACGAGAATGTGGGAGAAGGTGTAAACATAGTTTGAGGGAGGTCGTAGACTTGGAGGTTCTTGCCAGGGGTAAATGCTGGCTGGATTTGTTTATGGATGGATTTGATTATAGCTGCTTCACGCTTTTACCTCTGGAGTTGGTGCTTCCAAGGGGTGATGCTCATTGTCTGGATCTCCTTTAGTGGGCATCTCAGAATTCTTTGCTGCACCAACCACAGCATTTCTTTTCCCTTTCTTTTGGTATTTGTATTCAAATGCCTGACTTCCTGACCTGCTGTGAGGGTTTTTAAAAATAATGAACACCAAGCTTCTTGGGAAAAGACAGGTATGTAAATACTGCAAGCTTATAGCATTTGGGGGATGGAGTTGTGGGATTTTGGAGTTTGTGACCCCCATGTGTCTGTGTATCACTCTCTCTAATGTAGAGAGACAGAGCAGCAGTTCCTGAGCTCTGTCTTTTGTCTCTTCATGGGTTGGTCACTGATTTCCCCTTTCAGGGTCTGAATCCCTTTCCCTTGCCTCCCCCCATGTGGGTTCCGGAAGGCCCACATCCAACAGCTGCCCTTGGTCAACCCCCAGCCCTGCACACAGGTGTTTTCTGCTGTTCAGAGCTCAGGGGCGCTGTCCAGCCAGCTGATGACAGCTCACTGGTGGCGCTGGTCTCACTCCAGTGCTGGCTCTGCCCTCTTGGCCCTGTTGCTTCCTCCTTGGAGGATTAGTCACCCCAGTCTTGGGGCATTTTACCCACCTGTATGACTAGCACACATTGCATCCACTTGCCAAGGAGTGTTAGGGATACAGTCTCAAGAAAACCTGCCCAGTAGAAATGACTTCCTCTGGAGAAATTTAGATGATAAATTCCATAGGGAGAAATCATGTTTTATTAATGAGAAACAAAATCGTGCACTAGTGGGAGTTCAGGCTCAGAAGCCAGTGCATAGTCCAGCCTGGCGACCTGGCATGGTGTGTTACCCTGGCCAAAGCTCCCCAACCTCTGTTCATGATTTCCCTCTGTAAAATGGGAATAACAATAGTATCCATTTCTTTTGGGTGGTTATAAGGAATACTTAAGTTAACTCATTCATGTAAAGCACTTGAATAGTGGCTTGTATACAGTAAGCACACAGTAAATGTACATTGTCATTGTATCTTTGTACCTCAACATCTGAAACTATGGTTTATACATAGCACATACTCATTCATGCTTTGTTGAGTAAATGTAATATTCAGAAGGTGGGAAAGTGATTTCCTTCTCTCTTATCATAAAATAAGAGTTATATTTGGTTGAAATAAGGCATCATAGGCCTGAAGACATTTACTCCCTGGCTGCTGGCAGGGGAGTAGAATGTTCCAAACTCTATGTTGATAACTGGGTGCCTATGATTTGTTAATCATACCTAACAAACTCAGTCTGTCAGGTGTTTCAGTAAAATTTACTGACTCCCAAGGTAATTTTGAAAGGACAAAGCCATCAGGTGATTTGTTTTCAATAAGCATTATTGGGATATTTCAGACTCCAACATGTGCAGTGGAGATATTAACGAGACTTTACCCTTTCTAAACTTAGGGGCTTACTCTGCATTGTAACGTATGTTTGCTTTTAAGGCGATAGATGGGTAGATAGATGCTCTGTAATTGAATAGCCTACTGGGCTTCTGTGTAGCACAGCACTGTGTAAGTCGCAGGTGTTCAGTAAATGTATTTTAAATCAATGAGTAATTGATGGGATATTTTTCTTCACATTACATCACATTGAAGATGCTTGTGAGGAAGTTTTGTTCATGATTGTCCTCCTAGGCAGGCGCCACCTAACATGTTTCTCTCTAGCTGCGGGGTATTGAATTTGAGGCTGCTCTCAGCATTACTGCTCATCTCAAAGAGGAACAAATGGTCCCCCAAATGGTCCAGATGCAACAGTAGGGAAAGGAGTGCCACCATTCATTCTGAGGTGCCTGGGCCATACTCTGGATGAAGCTCACAGCTCTAACGTAAGGCGGTAAGTCATTTTTTTTTTAAACTTAAGGAAGTTAATTTGAAAGTTTATGCTGATGCCATTTCATATGACAGAGACTAAAGGGTATACGTCCTTGTGTTCTCTTGGTGGGGACTGCTGTCCTAAAGGTAAAAGATTTTGATCCAGAGGTTGGATTGTTCCTCGTGTGGCAACAGTCCTCTGACCTCAGTCATTTTCAAAGTCTAATGTCTTTTTGGCTAACAAAAGACATCAAGCTAGAGATTAAAATTTGCAGAAGATGGGAGTTTTTTTGTTGTTTTCGGTTTTTTTTTTTTTTTTTTTTGAGACGGAGTCTCACTCTGTCACCCAGGCTGGAGTGCAGGTGATCATATCTACAAAGGTGACAAGAACATGAACCTGCAGTCCTGTTATCAGCATTTTGTAAGTGCTTCTTCTCATTCTAAAAATATGTATTGATTTTAAAAATGAATTCTGTAACAGGATAGCAACAGTAGTAAAAATCCTTTTTATGGAGAAATTTAGAGCTTTCAGCTAACATACACACATACTCATTCAAATGAAACAGCTTGTCTTGTTTTAAAGAAATATTTCTGTTGTCCATTGTACAAATTTTAATAACTTGTCTTTCCTTTTTTTAGGTCTCTGTGTTCCAGATTTTTTTTTGTAACTATGAAATCCTTGCCTTGTAGTCAACTTAAAATGAAATAAATTTATCAGTGCAAATGAGTACACTGTGGTTCTTGTGTGGCAAAATTATGCAGGTGGTTTGAAGGATTCATTGTTTTATTAAAAGACTAGAAGAATGTACAAATGCTTTCCTTCTTTCTCATGTTTCTCTCACCCAAACTGAAGTGGTCCATTTAAAATCTGATCTTCATAAAAGGAAGAGTTGTCACAGGACATCTGATTTATGAGCCATCTGATTTGCTTCTGCTGTAGTTCCACACTCTGCTGGGGTACAAAAATCAGGCACTTTTATTTCAGCCCTGACAACAGTGCGGCCTTCCCAAAGTATGAGAAGAGCAGCGTGCAGAGGTAATGTGCAGTCTTCCGAACAGAGCACTGAACTGGTTTTTAATGAAGGGTAATATGTACTTGGGGTCCAAACTCTAGTTAATTCCGGAAAACATATCCTCTCACTAGTGTTGGGTCTTAGTAAATGAGTGTTCTGTGTTGAATCCTTGCTTGAGAGGAAGGAGGTCATAATTGGTCAGGGATTCTATTTCTTTCTTTCTCTCTTTTTTTTTTTTTTTTTTTTTTAAAGAAAAGCAATTGCTTAGAATGAGATGAATCTATATCAGGGTATGTTTTTGTAGGATCATATTAATCATCTTACCCACAGACTGACTTTGTGGTCAAACTTTACTCATAAGGATTTATTAAAAGCAATGGTTTGGTTAAAAAAAAAAAAAAAAGGTATGTTTATGGGAGGAATGTAGACATTTAGTTGAAGTACAGTTGATAGACTTTGACCACTCAGGGATATTTTCTCCATGGACTGTCTTACAGAGGCAGAGCCTAACTGCATATGCTTCTTATGACTCTGATGCATGAATGGCAGCCCTAAATGGGCTCCTCTTCACTTATTCCTTCTCCCCAATCTCCCCAGCACTGTGTTCTGTTTCCTTCCCTGCAAGAGTCTGCGTTTATCAGTCAGGTACTCCTGTCCTCAGAGTGCCAGGCCAGCTCTGCATCCTTCTCCACAAGACCAGGCTGAAGTCTGCCTGTTCACCTGTTGATGCTACACAGTTTGAGCTCAAGCTCCTTATTCTTTGCCGGCTTCCCTTTTTTGAGTTCCAGTGGAGTGGTACTCTTGTGTCAGAGGGATTCAGCACTGCCCACTATGTCATGGTACTCTGCGCTGCTCCTCTTGGGTCTGGATGGGGCCACAGTTGTCCAGTCCCATCATGCTGCAGCCCTAAGCTCCAGAGGGTGACCTTGATAGGATGCACATCCTGGAGCTTAATTTCATAAGCCTTGGGGGCCTGCAAGCAGGAGGAGTTGGAAGCCCTTGAGAGGCCAGATCCTGTGGGTTTGAGCGCAGAGTCTACAGAGTTAAAACCTGCAGAACAAAGAAATCAAAAGAAGGACATAAAGAAAGTTTGGGAGACATTGAGTCTGCAAAGCAAAGAAATCCAGTATTGCAAGGGGAAGATTTTGCTTTGGGAGGTTGAAGTTTTGTTTGCCCTCCGAATGAAAGTGGTATTTCTGTTCGTTAGCCAAAAAATCATCAGACTTTGAAAATCAGTGAGGTCAGAGGACTGTTGCCACACCAGGAATCAGAATTGTGGCATTGGAAGTTTCTTCAGAAAAGCACCTTTAGGCCCGCCCAACTTTACAGATTAAGGAAGTGAGACCCATAAAAGTTTGTCATGTTCTCTTATTTTAAAAGATATCTCGACCATGTCTGCAGTTATGGCCTCTTTTTCCTGCCTCACCCAAAGGGGTCGAGGAGCTTTCTCTTGCCCACTCTGGAGAGAACTCCTGGGGCCCCCCCGCTGCTCTCCCTGCCCCATGACTTTGTCCCAGAATACAGAACACAGTGGGCTGGATCAGCCTCTGCTGAACTTTTCCCTGCCAGCCTCCCTGCCCGCCTTCTTGCCCCCGCCCCTACCCCCCACACAGGAATCTAGAGCCCTCCCAGTGGTGGTGTGAAGCCTCTGGAATGTGGCACTCTGACCCCTGGCAGTTGAGTGTCCTGGATGGACCTGGCCTGGGAAACAGGAAGGACTCGGGGGAGGGGGAAGGAGTGCCCCATGGCCTTGAGGTGGGATGGAGGGAAAGGAAATGCTGCCCAGCGCGGCCCCACAGGCAGCTCCCGCTAGACTCCCACACTGGGGGCGGGGCTGGCAGGGCAGGGAGCCGGCAGGTTTCCTCAGACCAGGCCTGTGGCCCCGGGGCCTCTGGCAGAGCCAGGCTCAGGAAGGTGAACTGCCAGAGCAGTTGGGGTGAGGAGGAAAGGATGTGAGGGGAAGGAGGAGGAGCAGGCCAGAATGCAGAAGCAATTGTAGTAGGAGAGGACAAAGGTGATGGATGAGAAAAGGAATGTCCAGTGACTGTGTGGACTAGACACACTTCTCACTTTAGAAACCAAGTATATTAGAAAGCGGAAAAGACCCTCCTAAAGAAACTTCCAGCCAGGTGCAGTGGCTCGTGCCTGTAATCCCAGCTACTCAGGAGGCTGAGGCAGGAGAATTGCCTGAACCGGGGAGGCAGAGGTTGCAGTGAGCCGAGATTACGCTACTGTACTCCAGCCTGTATGATAGAGTGAGACTTCGTCTCAAAAAAAACCTTCCATGCCATTTTTATTTTAGAGTAAAGCACACCCCATTTGGATACCCCAGTGCTTTTTAACATGCTCAGCCTTGGCAAAGATAGGGTCACTGGGGTTAGTGAAAGGGGTGGGTGCACATGCAAGTGTGAGGCCAACTGTTACTCACCTGTCCCTTTCTGTTTTCTTTCATTGGTGGACCCACCTGGACCACACTTGGGTCTGTTACCTCCCTCAAAGAGGTTTCCAGAAAAACCTGAGGACGTGCCTCAGGGTGATGATATGCCCAGCAGCTCTTTGCTCCTCTCCGGGATTAGGGAACCTTGTATCCTCAACTTCCTCCTAATTAAAGCCTTTGGCAGAATCAGGATGCAGAACCAGGGCCTGGAACCGCCTCAGTAAACCCCTGTGGAACCACTAGCAGATCATGCTGTTTCCAAACTGCGCGTGTTGGCAAGCCAGCTTTTCACTGGGGATGTTTAAAATTAAATTCCATGCTCTTGGGAAAGGAATAGAAACTATAGGCAGAGTCTGTTTCTGAAACACCTGTTTTAAGTGGAAAGCGATCCTAACTGCTGCCATACCTGAAGGGCTTGTGTTTCCTGTGCAGCTGGAATCTCTCTGTGCTGAGTAAATTAACTTCTGTGCCCAGGGTAGTCTTGAATGATAATTAGTGCTCCGTGGCCATGCCACACATCCTGTCTGAAGCAAGGGTGCTAATAATGTCCTTTCCTCTCTTCTCACAAGACATTATATGAAGTCCTAGGAATAGTGGTCCTGGTGCTAAATAGAAATGTCGTGGTTATGGCACTAATTTATTGGGCCTGCCAGCCCAGGTGTGCAGCATCCCTTTCCTCCACCCGATTGATAAGACACCAGGTGAGGTCCAGTGTGATGCTCCAGGCAGTGCTGCAGCTGAGTTGGCCTGTGTCTCCTGGCTCAAGGGGTGCATCTTCTGGTCTGCCTTGAGAACTTACCAGTCTTCCATAAATTGGAAGTTCAAAGCAATGGAATGAACAATGGAGAGAACAAGCACATACACATAAGTTAAAAGCTGTGCATCTCTGTATATTCTAATCCTTTGAAACTTGGTGATCATTATTGTTCATTACATAGGATATGGATTTGATCAGAGCATCCTTTGGGAGTTGTCTGCATTTGGTATTTCCTTTTATATCCTGAAAGCTGTTAGTTCTTGAAAGGTGTATTGAACCTAATAAAATAGTAATTAGAGGTATTTCCACAAATTGTGAGCTTTGTCATTTGGATAGTGTTTTTGAGACTTCTTTTCCACTCTAAATACCAACTTTAAATAGAATAATATGACAGAATTATGATCTTGAAAAATTTATCTACTTAACTGCATGTGGGAATACATATTTCTGTAGCATGTGGAAAAAGGACTGAGTGATGCATACCTGTTATATTTACATTTTCTTTTGGAAGCAAATTATTTTCTACATGTGTATGTTTATGCCTACATGTGTTCTAATTTGAAATGTAAAAATCTATAAAAAATTTTTCCTTGACTGCTATGTTTTAAAATATCTGAAAGTTACCTGCTTCCTAGTCCTTGGAAGGCCTGAATTATTATAAAGTTTATTTCTTTGCATCTCAATCATTCCCAAAAGATTTTAAATATGAATGCATAAGTAGTGAATAAACAAACCTGAAAGTTTGATACCTACAGAACATTTTTAAAGCTGCTTCTTTTTTTCCATGCAGTATTGTTAGTAGAGTATAATACTAGTTATGTCGTAGAGCAGTCACTTACTCATTTATTTACTTCAGCAAGTGGATATTGGGGCCTGCTGTGTGTTCAGCACAGAGTGAGTATAGAAATGAGGGAAGCAGTTTCTGCTCTCAAGAAGCTCAGCAATGCCTTAGGATAAGGGAAGTGCTGGGGGCGGGTGTGCTGGAAAGAGAGAGGGATGGGTGGAAGAAAATTGAAAATCAGACTTCTTTGAAGAAAAGATACTTAAGCTGGGCACACTATGGTAGTAGCAGCTTTCTAGGTAGACCGGAGGAAAAAAAAGTGTTCCTAAGCAGAGAAATGGGATCCGTAAAGGCCCATTGGAGTGAACATGCATAGTATACTCAGGGAATCAGTTGATTGAGTAAATATTTATGGAGGCCCTACTATGTGCTGAGCCCTGTTCCAGGTGCAGAAGATACAGCAGTGAACGAGACAAAAATTCTTACCAACTGGAGCTTTCTGATAGACAGAATCAGCCAAATTAGTAAGGAAAACATACAGCATACAAGAGGAGAGAAGTGCTACGGAGAAAAATAAAGCTGAGAAAGGGGACAGAGACAACCACAGTGGTATCTGGTTTGCAGTTTTAATGGTCTGCCAAAGTCTTGCCAGAAGTTGAGGTTGATTGAAGACCTGAAGGTGTGCTGGAGTGAACCATGCACACACCTGGAGTAGGATGTTCCAGACAGAGGGAACACAAGTGCCAAAGCCTTGAGGCTGCAGTAGCCGGGGAAGGGAAGAGCAGCTGTCTGCACAGTGGGAGGTAACTGGACGGTCAGCTAGGGCTAGGCACAGGCCTCATTTATCAGTGTGAGGGGTCAGACTTGACCCTGTGGTCAGGAGAGTGCCATCATAGATTTATAGATACGGCTTGTGCTGTCATCTCTGGGACCCCCAAAGTGAGGACCCAGTGAGTTGGAGCTGAGTGTCTGTTAGGTATAGAGGTAAGATACTACACAAAGGAAACTCAGTTTTGTGAAAAACGTGTAAATATGTTTTTCAAACATGTTCTTAAGACTTTTTAATCTTTCTATGTTCTTGTTGTCTGGTTTATTTCCCATGAATGTTAGGGATCAGATCACTGCTGTGTAAATAATAGTCCACCCAAGGTATTCATATGCATTTCTTGACATGGCCTAAGGCAAGAGTCCTGCTTTCCATTGTCCCCTAATTTATATTTGCTTCTTTCTGGAGAGTTTTAAAATGAATTTCAAGGGCTTGATGCCTTTAAAATCAGTGGATCAGGCCCTGTGTTGCGAGATTTCTTAATGGGCCACAGTTGTCTCTGTGATTCTCATTTCCAGTTTATAGCACTACTGTCCACCTAAACATACACTAACCATGTGGATCTTAATGATGTTTTAAGAAAAAAGGTTTTGACATACATGCCAGACTTCCACTTAAGATGAAACTGGGCAACTAGGAAATGGTATGCCGTACATATGAAGCACTGTTTATTGAATATTGGTGGCAAATTTTGTTTTGTTGCTAGGACCAGATTCTTGGAGTGTGTAGTAGGAATAAATAAGACCAAACACAATCTTGCTTCACTGAAAAAAAAAAAAAAATCAAAGGTTTGGGTTTTTAGGCAAGATATTTAGGGAAGATATTTCTTTGTAGACCAGTATTAGAGTTAATGGCAAGGATCAGTAGTATAATCGTTGGAATTTATGTCACTCTTTCATTTATCTTCCACTTGGTTTATTTTGAAGACTTCAGATAAATTATTAAGGTAAAGTGCATAGGAGTGCTGAAGTTGATTTGTAAAAGCATTCCTTGCAAAAATGATTGCTAGCTGATTTCACAAAGTTGTTATCCTGAAAAGATTCCTTATTGCAACTTCCAGATCATTACACCTTTTAAAAACTATTATTTGCTTTTCAGGAGTATTGCTGTATATGAAGGTCTTAGCAAAGAACCTCTCGTTTTCCTCGATGATAGATTAGTTGAGATCATGTTTATATTGGTGGGTTTTCAGTTCTGATGGCTCTGCAGCTCTGTTCCTTGGCTGCAAGGTGTCATAGAGGGGCCTCTGCTTGTCCTGGTGGTTAAAGGACCATCAGCAGGAGTCTCCAGGCCGTATTACTGGAGACGGACCTCACCAGAGTGAGATGGGAGAATTAGTGGTGTTCCTGTCCTTCTTTTCCCTGATGCTCAGGTCTTCCGGATTGACATTAACTTGAAATTTTGCCCAGCCTTTGACTACCTCACTTTCCTGTTTCTTCAGCTCCTCATGTCCCCTGCTGGGTGACAGCCTATATGGGATTTAGACCTAGGTTGCTCAGCTTCCCTCCTCAGTAAAACTGATGAATCCATGGAGAGTGCTTATTCCAGTGTCTGGCACATAGAAAGTGCTCAGTGAGTGTTAGCTGTTATCAGAAGATTAGTCTCAGGGGGTGAAATGTGCTTTATTATCTGTGCTACCTCTTCACCTAGTATAATGAAAAATGTATATCCTTCACAGTGCTTATTTTCAGAGCACCATGTGTATTTAATTGTTAGAAGGTCTAGTCACATTTCTTTTCACTCTAGTGGTTCACACTTTTGGATGTGTGCAATTCCCATACCTAGTCTTCTGGTTTACTCTTGGTGATTTGACTAACAGATTTTAGGTTAGAGCATCCATTAATATTTATAAAATGGTACTGTGCATTATTCATGTCCTCAAGTCACATTCTGGCAAGAAGCATTAACGTGTGTCACATTATCTAATTATTGTCATAATACACAGAAGTGGCAGGAAGGGAGATTAAAAGTTTATTATTTAAGTTATTATTTATTTATCTAACATGGTTGAGGCATATTATATTCATTCACTCTTTTGACATGTCATAAATATTGATTTGTGGAAGTGTTGCTTGATACAGTATTGAGGTTAAAATAAAACTTGCGCTAATATTAATATTTCACAAGTAGGAAGACTGAGATCCAAAGATGTTTCTCTGTTATTTCTAAATAATTGACTTTCTTCCTCTACCAACAAACTTACTTTCCAGAAAAAGTTTGCTGCTCAAAGATTCACATTGCTTTGATTAAATTCATGTGCTCGTCCTCTCTATCCCTATTTATTCCTTCTGCAGGTATTTATTTTGCTAAGCTACTATTTGCTAAGCCCTATGATAGTTCAGTGATGAAGAGTAAAAAGTAGATCGTTAGTTTCAAAGAACCCACTTCGGGTAAAGGAGATTAGATGAACAATTTCATTGTGCTGCTGTAAGTGAAGTAATTTTAATAGATATGCAGTAGAAGTCCTACACTGGAAATAGTACTTAATTCAGTCCCTATAGAGTGGGGAAACCTAAAGGAAGTATTAACCACTGAGGAGAAGTTTCCAGTGCAGATGAAGAGAAGTAGCTTTCTAGGCAGAGAGAACAGCCATGAATGTCATGAAACAACATGGGACATTCAGGCAATTCATAGTCACTAAGTCTTACTGGAGGAAGAGGAAGGCATGGCAGAGATGAGGTTGAAGAAGTTTGCTGGGATCAAGTCTAAACTGGCTTTGTGTTATTCCATGCCGGGTACTCAAATGACTGCATGTTGGACTTCATTTTGTAGACCATTGCTTTGCAACTCCATATCCTTAAGAAGTTTGGTTAGGCTGTTCTCTTAACACTCCTTGCTGGGTGTTACTTACATTAAAGCACCTCTGTAGGAGGATAAAACACTGTGAACCAGGTATGTAAGAGACAGCTAATGACCTGGCTTAATCCAAGGATGTCTTTTTAGAGTATCCTGATGAAGAGATCAAATAGGAAATAATTAGACATTTCTCCAAAATACTTTTTTCCTCAACCAAGATTTATTAATTTTTAAGTAAGAGTATGTTTGATAACTGAAAATTGATATCCTTTGAAGCTGGATAAACATGCAGTTACATTTTTTACTGGACATTCAAGTTCAGAGACAGCTGCGTTGCTTAATCATGGCATGTGTCTGAATAGAAGGCTGATCTAGCACAGCACAAACATGGAACAGGGGAGAAGACCTGAGATTTTCCTTGGAAACTATTGGATTTTACTCTCAAAGCAGAGGGAATATAAGAGAGTTAAGGTCTGTGCCACAAAGTGCAGCTAGGAAAACATGTAAATGGGCATTAAATACCTACCTTGGTGATTTAAAAAATTTCGGAAATGGAGCCATTCAGTGTCTAACTTTGAGTAACTTCCTGGTAAAACCTCAAAAGAGAAAGTGATTGAAAAAATAGACATCAGAGTATCTGGATGAGTTAACATGCTGTGTGAGACTACTCATTAAAAGCCATTTATAAGATGTCTTAATAATCTTTCTCAAGAACCAGTTTTTTAATTTTGTTAACTGTTTTTGTTGCTTTTACTTTCTCCATAGATTTATTATTTCCATCCTCCTTGATTCTTTGGACTTACTCTGTTGCTCTTTTTTCAAGTTGGATGCTTAGTTCATTCTTTTTTTTTTTTTCAGCTTGTCTTATGCCCTGTGAAATTTCCCTTTAAACACTGTCTTAACTGTGTCCCCATCAATGTTGACATATGGTACTTCCACTGTTCTTCATTTTTAAGTATTTGGTAAGTTCCCTATAAACCCCTCACATTAAAAAATCTTTTTATTATAGAAACTTCCAAATATATACAGAAGTAGAGACAGTTGTGTAATGACAGAGTGCTTCAGCAGTTGTCAGTTCATAGCCAATCCTGTTTTATTAAACGAGATTTACTGAGACCTCAGCTAGTAAATCCTCTAAGAATGGAGATACTGGAAAGGTCCTGGAAAGTGATATTTATTACATTAAAAGACCTTTGGCTTGCCTTACTCTACATAGTGACTTTGTTTTCAAAACAAAGTCTAATTGGTCTGATAATGGAACATTATTTTAAATTTAAATTATGACTGCCATAGGCATATGATTCTCTGGCACTGTCCCCAATAAATTGTTAGCATTGTACAATTTCAATAAAGATGCTAGAATCAAACACAAGGATAAAGTCTAAAGGGGCCTCATGGATTATCCATTCTATGTCCTTTTTGTAATTAAAAAATTGGAGCTTAGAGAGCTAAATGCCTTGTTTGGGGTCCTGCCGTGAATGAGTGACAGAGCTAAGGTTGTGGTCTCCTGGGCCAAGGTCCTCTCCATTACACCATCCCCCTCTGGGCTGTTTCTTCGTATGCAGTTTAAGATGGCCCCTAGGTTAGGCAGAACTGTGAAGTAGGAGAGTTGTGTCCCGTAGCCCCAATTTCTCCTGTCCTTATCATTTCTTGTTTCATGAAACATGAAACATGAAACTGGTGCTTCTCTGTTAGTTGTATTGCTGAGGTGTATGATGAAAAGTACAGCAATGGGACATATACTTAATAACAAATATTTTGCTGTAAGTTGATTTATTATATTGGATCAGTACTGCTTGTTTTTCAGTGATTTCCTCACTTGGACATAATACAAATCAGTGTTCTTGTTGTTTGTTATACATTTAGACATTTACATCAGTTTAAAAGTTAGTCTTCAACAAATATTTGTGTCCACACTTTAGTATTCCATTGTTTGAAAGATTCAGGCTTTGTCCACTCTGGTTTATAGTTACATATGCTTAAAATTTTTTCACTTTGTGGAAATGTCTGTAAAATACATTTTTGTAACATGAATCATTTCTACTGATAACCATAAATTTGCCCTTCCTGCTTTGCACTGATTGCGGCACAAGGAAGAGAAAGAGAAGGAAGCACCAGCTTTGGGAACATAGGCCTTAAGCTTGAAGCAGAGAGAATGAAAGCAGACTGTATTAGATTCCTCCTCGAGCAGAACGGAATGCCTGATAACAGCCAGCCAGGAGCTGGGGGAGTTAAGAGCAGCGATTTTACATTACACTGGAGTTTTTAGGCTGGCATGAAAAGAGATGCCAGTATTAGCTATTTGCATCTTCCTGTAGCCACAGGGATATGTGAACAGCTGGAGAATTAATTTGATATATATTCCCAGGAGCTTCTCTTCTGCCAACAGAATTCCATTACTGTGAGCTTCTGCGTGTGTACTGTGAATTTGTTTCTTGCTTTTTAATATCTGCTATAGCATATTTCTGGTAAGTGGATTGCCATATAATAGGATGCAGCCATCTCTTGGTTTGGAGTAAACTCTATTAACCTAAACAGATACAAGGTGGAAAAGGTAAGAATCTGAGCATACAAATGCCTTCCACCTTCAGGCTGGCAGAAATTTCATGTGAACACACAGTACTTTGTCCAGTACGTGCACTCATACCTGAAATGTTTTGTTTCATGTTAGTGGAATTTCACACACCAGCAAGCAGATGGAAAGATATGTTGAAGAGCATAGAGGTTGAATCCAGGACCACTCAGGCTAGTGTTGCCACAGCTCGTTCCTGTAGCTCCTTAGCACAGGGGGCTATATCTGCTGGAGCTGCTTCTTCACATATCTGGTGTTCGTTATGCCTCCACACATCTTGTAAGAGGCCTCATGCTTCATATCCTTCTCAGTGCCCACTTTCCTGCCCTCAGGATGGAAACTTCTCTCCAACTAGCCTTTGCATTGAAAATCTTTCATGTCAAATGTAGAAGGAAAGAATTTCAGGCATCACCGAGAATATTGAAAGATATTCTTAGAGGAGAAAGACTAAGTCCAGGACAAGACTGAATGTAGCTATTGGAAGTACAGGTGTTTCCTGCCTTGGCAATATAAGTTGTTCACTCTTATAAAGCAAATAAAAAAACCTACTCATATTCTGCAAAATCATTCATTACACTAAAAATAAGAGAGCTGTTGGGAAAAAATAGGGTTGGGGAAGGTCACTCAAGACCTATGCATCTGTGTGTATAGAGGATAAATGCAAACAATAAGAACTCAAATAAAAATACTGGCCCAGGTGAGCTGTCCCTGGCATTTATTTGCACCTGGATCTCTGGTAGCCCATGCTTTGCAGCCCTCCACACTCCGAAGCTCATTCTGCCTCCTTTCAGGGCACGGGGTGTTGAAGATACTTACTTTTCATGTGGAACGGTGTTACCAGAATTAAACATAACATCCAGTAGTTTCTTCATCATTGTTTTTATGGGGGTTTTTTGTTTGTTTGTTTGTTTTGTTTTGTTTTTAGTACAGGGGCAAGTGTCTCCAGCCTTCTCATTTCTGCTTGCAGTTTCCCCAGATAGTTTAATACAGAGGACATTTTAACCACGAGAGCAGTCATTTCTTGCACTAAAGAAAGGAATTTAAGCAAAATTTTCAGCCTTTTCTTCAGGTCTTCCATATACTGGTAAGACTTAACTGTGAGAAAACTTGCTCCTGATACTTATTTTTATTTATTTATTTTTTTGACAGAGTCTTGCTCTGTCGCCCAGGCTCAAGTGCAGTGGTGCGATTTTGGCTCACTGCAACCTCCACCTCCCAGGTTCAAGCAATTCTCATGCCTCAGCCTCCCAATTAGCTGGGATTACAGGCATGCGCCACCATACCCGGCTAATTTTTGTGTTTTTTGTAGAGACAGGGTTTCGTCATGTTGCCCAGGCTGGTCTTGAACTCCTGGGGTGAAGTCATCTGCCTTTCTTAGTCTCCCAAAGTGCTGGGATTACAGGTGTGAGCCATTGCGCCTGGCCAACTTTTGATTTTTTTTTTTTTTTTTTTTTTTTTTTTTGAGTTGGAGTCTTGCTCTGTCACCCAGGCTGGAGTGCAGTGACATGATCTGGGCTCACTGCAAGCTCCGCCTCTGGGTTCATGACATTCTCCTGCCTCAGCCTCCCGAGAAGCTGGGACTACAGGCGCCCGCCACCACGCCAGCTAATTTTTTTGTATTTTTAGTGGAGATGGGGTTTCACCGTGTTAGCCAGGATGGTCTCGATCTCCTGACCTCGTGATCCGCCCATCTCGGCTTCCCAAAGTGCTGAGATTACAAGCGTGAGCCACCGCGCCCGGCCCACTTTTGATTTTTTTAGAACATTAATGTGCTGGGAAAAATCACATGAGAACCAGCAGAACCGCTGTATTATACTGACACCATTTTCCTATTTACCAGTTACATATTGGCTAAATCACATTAAAGAAACATTCATTTTTATGGTTCCACGGTAACTGTTAGAAGAGGTACCCAGCATTCTTTTGTTATTCCTTGGCCTAGGTGTACCTGCAGGACATGCTCTTTAGAACAGCAGTTCTCAAAGTGTGGGCTACAGACCGCTTAGAAGCCTGAAGCCCTTTTTGGGTGGTAAATCAGGTCAAAACTAATTCCATAATCCTATTAACATTTTATTTGCTTTTTTTTCTTTTTCCACTTTGCACTAATGGTGCAAAAAAAAAAAAAAATGGTACATAAAACTCCTGATACTTTAGTATGAATAGAGGTTGTGGCACCAAATTGTGCTAGTAAGTTACTGTATTCACCGTGTACTTTCAGTAAAGCAAAATGGTAAGGAATTAAAATAATAAAATAAAAATTAGTTTCCTTGAATGCCCTTGATCGAAGCAATACAAATTATTAAGTTTATTACATTTCAGCCCTCAATTATACATCTTATTAATGTTCTGTGGGATGAAATGGGAAATACACATAAAGTAATTCTGCTGCATACTGAAGTACAGAGCTTGTCATGAGAAAAAGTGTTATATTTCAAGATGTCTTCTGAACATCCAAGTGGAAGTGTTGGTTTAGCAGTTTAATATACCTGGCACTTCACTGTAGTACTCAATATTGGACATATTTGAACATATATGAATTTGAATATATTTATGAAATTAGGTTTCTCTCTTTTATACTTAGAGAAAGTAACTTATGTAATATCCTAATTTGGTATCTTGCAGAAATTATAAACTTAAAAATACATTTGCAGAGGTACCTCAGTTGTCTTCACCTTTCAGGCTAGGAGACTACATCTTGTCACATTTAGGGTACCAGGAAAAAACCTACTTCATATAGTTAAAAACCAGTACCTCTGTTTTTAACTTTTTTTTTTTCCTGACCAGTCCAAGGAGAAACCAGGAGCTATGTTAGAGAATCAGAACCTTGATTCTTGTGCTGTGTATGTGGATTTACTTAGGAAAAGAGAGATTTTAAAACATAATTTGCCAACTGCTGTTAGCAGAACTCTTGGGCTCAGATTTGATTTCCATAATCCAACCTCATTACATTTTTGCTTTCAGTCCTTGTTGATTTTGTTAAATTATTTTAAAATATAGTGTTCTGTAATTGAATACCAGAAAAGCATTTGTCTCAGTAGCATGTTGTACTTGATCCTATGAAGCGGTGGTTGCTAGGGAAACCATTTCCCAAGAAGAAAAACAAAGTATTGATTAGGAGCGGGCAGAGAATTGAAAGAGTTTACTCTCAAAAAAAAGAAAATAAAAGTGTCTACGATGTTGTTAGCTTTAGAGTCAGTGATGCTTCCTGGCTGAACATAGTGGCAGCAATGTTTCTGAGGGGAATGGTCACCTTTACCTGAGCATCTTCAGGTGAGTCTGCTGCTGCTGCCAGGAAACTTCTGCTGAGAAAGCAGCAGAAAACAGCAAGGGGCCAGCGGCCTCATCAAAGGCCTTTTAGCTGTGATTCCAGATTTGAGGGAAATGGTCTTCCTGTGGGGAGGCAGAGAAAAGCATCTGGCAGTGAAAACCAATTAGCTGTGAGATGGGCTGCTTGGAAGGACTGTTGATGCCAGCCAGGTGATAAGAAGTTGAAGTCTTAGAGCTGAACGGGGGGAAGAGAGTAATGATAGATGATGCCTAGTGAGAAATGTGCCCAGTATTCCAAGCATTTCTTTGAAATGTGTGCCTCATACAGTGCTGTAATGATAAGCTTTTAAAATAGGATTTGTATTGTTTAAACATGTTCTTTATATTATCTTGAAACATAGTTTTCCTTGTGATGTTTTGTATATATGTGTGTGTATATATGTATACACACACACATTTTTTAATTAGACACTTTTTTTGTTAAAGACACAACTGCATTGACCATACCAGTGACATATATGTGTGTCTATATACACATATATGTATAATACATATATATACATGTGTGTATATATGCATATGTGAGGCTTCTTTGTCTACCGGGGAATTATGGCTTACATAAAACCACTATGGTAGGGGACAACAGGTCTGTGCAGATGTTTGCGGGAGCATAGAGGATGGAGCAGCTTATTCTCCTGGGGCAGGTAGAGAAGGCTTCTCAAAAGAGGTAACATCTGAGCTAGGTTTTGAAGGATGAGCAGGAGATAGCAGAGGAAGAAGGGAAGGAGGTATTCCAGGTGGACGACACTCCCGAGTAAAGCATGGGAGCAGTTCCTGCGTGTTTCTGGTAAGAGCCTCAAGTGTGCCTAGAGCATTAGGATGTGAGAGCGACTGGTGAAAAATGAGTCTGCAGAAGTAGCTACAAGCCATGCCATGAAGAAGCTGATATTCAGCAGTAAGAAGCTGGGACATTTTCTTATTGCCAAGAGAGAATTACTGGGCAGGTTTGTTTTTTGAGGAAGATGGATCTGGGGACATTGTGGGGAATGAGGTGGAGAGACAAGAGAATAGTGGCAGGGAGCCAGGTTAGAAGACATTGTGGTAATTCAGGAGAGTGGTGTCTTCAGGGAGTTCCAGTTAGAATGGTGGGAAGGGATGTTTACTGTGGAAAAAATTCTGCAATAGGATCAACTCAATAACTGCACATATTTATAAGAACAGTAATAAAGATTTCCTCTTAAAACTGTGAAGGAAAGGAGGACAAATATACATGGCTTCCAGTAGTTCAAATGTTACTTGAATTTCTTACAAGTTTTTTTTAATTCCTAGGGCTAAACTGCCTTTCAGTTATAAATTTGCATATGTAGTCACAAAAATTCCTTCATGGCAAATCTGACTGAACTGTAGTAAAATGCTAGTACTACTGGCATGTTAACAGTTAAACAGATAAGAAATCACTTGGATGCACATTTTGTTATAACTGAAGACAAATATCACCTTCTTTTCTATGTTGAATTTTTTCAATATGGTGTTTTTCTTCTTTTTCTGATTTTCCTTTCAGAGTACTTTACTAATTTCATTGTTGTCTTGAAGATAGGAATGTACCTTTATGTGTCTATGTTATATTTGTGTGTGTGTGTATGTTGCTTCTCTCTGTCTATATATATAAAACATATATATATATCTTATATATGTATGTTGTTTCTCAGAACCAAATTTAGGCTAAATAGGAGAACAGATTTTAAATAAAACATAAATTGTGTGTCGGTATAAACTTCAAATCTGAAAGATAATCATTTTACTAAAAGCTGAGGCTTTGATCAAATAAGTGAGCCTGATCTCCTGAAATCTAAAACAAGAGATTTTCTATTCTCCCTTTTCAAAGGACCGCCCTGAAGCTCTTTATGTAGTAGATGACATTCTTGTAACGACCTCTTGATGAGAAAATTATTTATTTCAGTCAGGAAGAGCAGACTTTTACTTCACTTACGTACTGAGCAATGATGCCAGCAATAAAAGCTTACCCTATAAAAATAAGAGCCATTTGTTTGTACTGTCTTTTTTTTTTTTTTTTTTTTTTGAGGCGGAGTTTCACTTTGTTGCCCAGGCTGGAGTGCAGTGGCATGATCTTGGCTGACGACAACCTCTGCTTCTCTGTTTCAAACAATTATCCCCCTTCAGCCTCCTGAGTAACTGGGACCACAGGCATGCGCCACCATGTCCAGCTAATTTTTGTATTTTTAATGGAGATGGGGTTTCACCATGTTGGCCAGGCTGATGGCCAGGTGATCTGCCTGTCTTGGCCTCCCAAAACGCTGGGATTACAGGCATGAGCCACCACTCCCAGCCAAAAACAGATTTTTAAGATGGCATTTATACCTGCCTTAGTTTGAGCAAGAGGTTTAAGGTTTCTTAAATTCAGGTACTTTAAAAAATTCTCTTCAGATATGCTTATCAGAAACATGTTTACTATGTAACAGTCAGTTCCCATTTCAGGTGGGTAAAGTATCTGTTAAAGATAATGTTAAGTGTGAAAAAACCCCATATAATGGCCCAAGGATTCACAGAGAGAAATAGTCTAATTTCCTATGAGGAATATTATGAAGAATTGAGCCTGCATATGATTCTGTCATATTCATTGCATTTTTTGGAGCTGAGTCCCATGATAGCTCTTTTTAAAATCGACCTTATTTATTGTGACCTGCTCCATTCCATGATCAGAACCTGATTTGGTCTCAGCCTTTGTATTCAGTTACCTCAGCCTGTCACTAAGCTGCACCACTTTAGTTTTTTTGTTGTTTCTGGCTTTGGGTTGGCAGTGATGGATACTATCAGTCTCCCCAAACGCATTAGAGGGGATCCCCTCCATTGTAACTCTTTTGGTGGTGTCTGATTTTTGATGTTGATTATTAGCTGCCTTAATGTAGTAAGTTGAAGAGCTGTTTTAAACCTGAAGTTGGTCTCTATCAATAGAGTAAAAAATTAGCTTTTTAAAGAGAGTCTCACCCTGTTTCCCAGACCGGAATGCAGTGGCGTGATCAACCTCGTGGGCTCAAGTGATCCTCCCACCTCAAACTCCTGAGTGCTGGGACCACAGGCATGCACAACCATTCCCAGCTAATTTTTTGTTTTGTTTTTGTAGAGACTGGGTCTCACTGTGTTGCCCAGGCTGGTCATGAACTCCTGGGCTCAAGTAATCCCCGTGCCTTGGTCTCTGAAAGTGTTGGGATTACAGGCATGAGCCACTGTGCCTGGCCAAAAAAGAGCTCTTTAAAAAATAATTTTGTAGATTGACAAATGTGACTCTTGTAATTTTATTGAACATGAAAAAACCCAGGAATCTTTATTTGATATTAAACATTTTTAAAGGCATCTCAGTTGTTGTTGTAATAACACATTAAGAGAAGTAGTGGTTTTTTATTTCCAACCTTTGTGCATATAGCTATTTAATGCCTACATGGATGGCTATTATTTCACTTTTTTCAGTTATTATGAAGAGATTGGGTTTCATTCATTTGTAAAGTTTCAGCCAGACTGCCTTTCACAAATTGATTTGTCAAAATTGAATGTTAATCTTGACATCCCAGTGCGTTTTTGCCCGCGAACAGGCCTTTGAATGAAGCTGCAAACACACATTATCTGGTTGTTAATTGTTTTACAGATGAGAACTGGACTGATGACCAACTGCTTGGTTTTAAACCATGCAATGAAAACCTTATTGCTGGCTGCAATATAATCAATGGGAAATGTGAATGTAACACCATTCGAACCTGCAGCAATCCCTTTGAGTTTCCAAGTCAGGATATGTGCCTTTCAGCTTTAAAGAGAATTGAAGGTAAGCATTAATTTTTGTTAACCATCCAGTCGTAAGCCTTAGCATTATGTAACCCTGAGTAGTAATAGTATTTGAGCTTGAAAAGGCAAAGACAAGTTTACAGAGAGTGGTAGTTTGTATAATCCCAACTAAGATGCATAAAGTTTACCAGGTGCTTATGTGGTGGGTGTGTTTCCGAGACGCTATGGAATGGCGGTGCTGTGGTGGTGTGAGCAGGGCCCTCTGTGCCAGCCCTCCTAGGCCACCTCTGCATAATGGATGATTTCACAAGCGGTGTGCTTGAGATCAGCATCTGTTGTCACCAGGTCCATTCTGTTTGATTTACCGTAGGATGGTGCTCCATGAGGAGTCTGCTAATTAGAAATGCGGCTCATCTGGCATGAAAGAGTTATCTCTTTAGCAGAAATGGGAGAATTATGCAGTGATGATTGAAGGCTTAGGTTGGTTTTGCTGGAGGGCAGGAATCACATAGGGCGTGGAGGGATCATTAGGCTCTTCACCTCTGGAGATAAGTCAGAAATTGCATTCAAGTAACAAGAAAATTATACTGATATGGCTCATAACTTTTGTACATTCATACATACAACCAAGAAAAAACTTCAAGAAATTGAATATATGACTCATCACCACAGTAATCTTGAGTGAAGTACCCAGAGCTTGGTGCCATGGCTCATAGCCAAAAGGGGTAAAGCCTGGGTTTGGGTCTCAGCTCTGCCGCTAACCAGCATTAAACTCTCGTAGCCCCAGTTTCTTCTTGAGGGAAAAAAGTACTGAAAGAGGCATTCTTAAATATACCTCTTATCTCTAAAATGATGTCGTTGTAAGATGGAGTGATTGGTAATATAATACCAAGGATTCTTAAAGTCCAAAAATCAAGCTTATAAGGGCAGTAAAGCAGGACTGAAGTTTTGGAAATGTACTTAGTTTCCAAGTTATATTAAATGGTAAGGAAGAAGAAATTTGCAGTAGCCTACAAAATAACATTTCTCTTTGTATTTACCAGTGCTCCTGAATCATTAGAAAAGAATAGAGTAGAAAACAATAGAAATAACATTTGCGAATTGCAGAGGATCCTAGAGAACATTTAGTCCAGTCCTTGAACTTGAACACTGGGAAACTGAGTTTCCACGCATTTGATGAGTATCAGTGCTAGTACTAATCACACCAAGTATTCTTCCTGTCACATCATGACTTAAACAATGCCATGGGTTACCTAACTCATTTCTGTTGTTCGGTTGCCCTTTGCTCCCCACACCCATTGCCTGCCACAAAAGGGTATTTTGCCAACTTCAGTATGTAAACATTTAGGGATATAGATGACGTGATCACATGTCTGTTTACATAGTTAATAATTTACGCATACACATTTAAACTTACTCATATAAAGTCATACACAATTTAGAATCATTACTTTTTGCTATTCTTACATTTCAGGAAGCTGTCCTAAATGGTGAGTGCGTCACCATTGCTGTCATTGTCTCTACTCAGGCCCCCTTCCAGGTCATTTAATCCCCTGCTCCTGAACATGCCCTCTTCACTGCCACCTAAGTTGTTTGAGATGCAGCAGATTTTGAATCTAAGGATGATGCTATCCCAGGAAGTTTTGTCCCAAAACCCAGTGTCTCGTCACATAAAATTAGGACAATTGCATTTGTAATTAGTTAGGCGTGTATTTATGATCTTTGCAATGTGGAGATTGACATGTGGAGATTAACTTTATTGATTTTTAAAGTGATTCTAAAAAGGCTGTTTGTGAGATCCAGCATTTCCAATTTTGAGATCATTCCCACAGGAATAATTACCGTATCTGATTGAATTTCTTTACTTGTTATTTTCCAACTTATTATTTCAGATGGCTTCTATGTAATCCAAATGTGGAATTAGTTGAGGTCATTTAAGGTTAATGTATCTTCTACAAACAGTGCTTTGTTATTCAAAATAAAGTACCAGGCAGTATGTGAGATCTTGTAAGAAGTCAGGATTAGGGGATTTCCCTTTTCTGAGAAGGAATTTTGAAGGAAAAAGCATACTTATATTCAGGTATATATTGTATATGAAAGAATTAGTGATGAAATCATACTTAATAAATAGTCACGTCGTTAATAGTGACAGAGACTTGGAATGCTATAGGACCTCAATGCCAAGAAAGTATGATTTGGAATTGTGTGATAAGGTATCATGGAGGGTAGACTGAACGATTTAGAATAGTGATGATGATAGATTTCAGAAGTGAGGCCAACATGGACGAAAGAAGAAAATGTGGAAGTGGGAATCTGCATGACTTACATGGAATACACTTGGGAAACTGGTCTGAAAGAGCAGAGTTTTATGTTGGTGGACAATAGGAAATAAAGATTGGAGGGAGGATAGGACCAGATTATGAAATGTCTTAAACATTGTGCAACAAGCTTAAGCCGGGTAATATGAGCAATCAGAAATCATTATAGGTTTATGAACAGACAGAATCAGAAAGAAGATGGTGAAGTCAACATTAGGCAGACTTTGGTTGTGGTGGAATGCAAACTGGATTAGCAGAGGGAGATAATGGCAGTCAAGAGGCTCGTTGGAGAGCTTTTCAGCTGTTTAGATGTGTTACCACAAGAAACTGGACTAGAGTGGCAGCAGGAAAACAGCAAAGAAGAGATGGATATGCACCATTTTGATGGAAGAACCTACGGTATCTGCTAGCAGGAAAGGGAAGGATGAAAATTACACAAAGATGATTCTAGGGTTTCTAACCTGAAATAGAATGATAGTGCAAGTAATAGAAGTAGGAAGACTTTTGAGGAGTCTCGTGATAAAATGGTACTGAAAATAGGGGTAATTATTTTAGGGCAATGTAGAGGTCAAGAAGAGCTTAAGAAAATATAGGAGATACTACAGCATGTTTGGATCATGACCGGAATGATTTAGTAAGAAGGAAAAGCCAATAATGTAAGAAAGGCGATTGCAGGAGCAAAGACTTTAAGGAATAAAAAGGACAAAATTGTTTGTTTCTCAGGGAAGTATAAAAGAAGGTCATCATCTGACATTGAGATGGAAGAAAGGGTGTGGAAAATCAAAGAGAAAGAGGAAAATGTAAACAGACATCTTTAAAGGAGAGGACAAATGAATTAACTAGGGAAATGTAGTAGGGTCACCTACTGGTGCTGACAGCTTACTTGAGGTTAGTGGTTATGCCTTTGAAAAGAGGCTGGCCAGCACAGTTGCGTGATTTTCTCTAGTTCTTATGTAGGTGTGCAGTTTAGGTAGAGAGGTAGCCGGTTGGGTATTTTCTTGACCATTCTGGTAGAAAGAGAGAGAGGGAGTCATGGGGATTGATGATTATATAAGAGAACTTTATGGTGATTGACCATTTAATCTACACTGAGAAGGAGACAAAATCAGGGAGTCAGTGATATGGAGAGTAGAGGGGAGGTTCTAGTGGGATTGAAGAATTAATGGAGTGAGATAGCTAAGGAAGCAAGTAGAAATGAATACTTGAAGAGAAAGTTATTATTGGTTGTAATGAGGGTTAGAAATTACTATGGATGATGTAGTTGATTGAAGAGGGGTGAAGAACAACATCACTGGGGGTGGGAGGTCAGATAGGTGAGTCAGGATGGAGTGCCTCTACCAATGATGAAGATGCCAAGGAATAGTAGCAGGGAAGAGACATGGAGCCAGAGGTTCTGCAGGTAAATGCCACACCTCCGTGTGGCTGGTGATAACCTAATTGCTTATGCTTCAAGTGGAGAAAGTTTTATTTTTTAAAGGGGAAAAGGAAGAATGATCTTTAAGTAGCAGTGAGAACAAAGAGGATACCTATGCCCCTTCCAGGATTTATGGAATGTGGGAGATAAAGCCATTCCCATTTGAGAAGACTTCAAGGGAAAAAGAGTAATCAGGTACTACCTAGGTTTCAATTTACACAAGAAGGTGAAGGGAACATCCAGATGGAAGAATGAGGGCAGAAAGAATTTTGTTGATAAGCTCTAGAAGGCACAGAATGGGATTTGGGAGGGAGGCTTGTACAGGGCATGGGTGATTTTGCAAAGCCAGGAGGGGTTAAGAGTGCAGTGATGATGGATGACCTGGCGAATTTAGACTTGCTCTCGAATCTCTTACAGGAAGGTGAATAGTCTAGTTAAAGCCTCCTTTTAGGGACTCTTCTTTGAGTAGTTTATAGTATTAAGGGTGTGCAGTGGTGGGGATAGGGCAAGCAGAATGGTATTCTTGGCAGAGCATAATGAGAAAACATGGGTCTCCATTTCTGTGTTTTTGGTGGTGATGCTGAAAATGAATTCGAAATGTTGCTATAACATTTTTTAAAACGTGTGGAAGTCATTGCAGGCCATTTCAATGTTATAGACTTATGGAGAATACTGGAAATTTCTGGGCATTGAAAAAGTTCCTGTGTATTACTTATGTTTGTTTAAAAGGAGTTGGTCCTCAATTTTACTCAGTGTTTTCTTTTCTAAAATACTTGAACATATCACCATAAAATCAGTTTGTTAAAAATATAAAGGAAATAGGATACTGGATAACAGTCAGCCGTGGCTTAGTGCAGAATAGTTTGTCAGAGTGATCTGTATTTTCTAAGGAAGAAGTCTGATAAAGGGAATGACCTGCAAGTTATCCCACCTTGATCTTAACAAAGTTTATGCTTCCGTGCCTTACTACTTATTCATCAGTGATTTGGGATATGTTAGACTGAGCACCACAAAAGTTAAATTAGTGCACCATGGGCACATCAGTTTGATGCAGTAGTAAAAGCAGTGCCAGCCTCTATAGCGCCAGCCTCTGCAGCTGCCACAGGTGTGTTCTAGGGGTCTCTCTGGGCTCAGTGGTCATAAGTAATGTCAATACCAAAGGTTTCCATGATGCAGTGAATAAGTTGAACTTTTAAGTTTGCCTATAATTCCAAGTTGGGTACATGGCTTTTAAAAAAATTATTGTAATTCAGTGGTCATAATTCAAGAATTAATCAGAAATGTGAAACCATGCCACATTTGGTGAAGAATATAAAACACCCTGGAAATCATTCATCTGTTTATTTCATCCAGCAAGTATTTATGAAATGCCAGATACATACGTGACACTGTTGTAGTTGTTGAGGATACAGCTCTCATGGAGCTTAACTCCAAAGGGGGACTTGGACTGAAGTCCTGCCACCGGAACTCTAGCATGGAGACACTTTCAGCTGTAGCAAGAAACCTTCTGCCATCCCCTAAGTACAGGGAAGACAGAGGCTCCCAGCTCTGTGCCCACCCACATTTTTATACAGGGCTGAAGGTCCATGGGGAGCCTGGGTGTCATGCACCAAGGGTGTCTCCTAGGTTTCTCAAACTTGAGAGAGCCTGATGGTCACACAGGCAGTAAATACATAAATAAACAAGAAAATAGCATATGGTATGATAAAAGCTTTGGAAAACAGTAACCAGTATGCTGTGATAGAGAATTACTTGGAAAATTGCTGTATTCAGGGACCTCAGGGACATATTCTATGAAGGAAGGGCAGTCCAAACTGAAATCTCAAAGCCCAAAGGAGTTTGCCTTATGATGACCTGAGGAGAGAGAATTCCATATGGACGGAACAGCAACTGCAAAAGCTCTAAGGAGAGAACAAGCTTGGTGTGTTGAAGGACTAGCAAGAAGAAACAGCGTGACCAGAATGGGGGGGAGGGAGGGGTAAGGGCCAGACCACCTGAGCCCTTGTAGAAGATGATGAGATGTATGGATTTTGTGATGAGTACACAGGAAAGCCATTAAAGGATTGTGAGCAAAGGTTTGACATGATTTGTCTTTTAAAAGATGAATATGGTGGAAAAAGAGACTGGTTGGGGTAGGGAGATGTAAGAGTATGAACAGAGCTGGCTGGTAGGGGTTCTTTTAGTAGTTCATGTAAGAGATAATGGGGACTCGTACCTGAGAGCTGGAGATGAAGAGAATTAGGTGCATTCGAGATACCATTGGAAATAGAATTAGCAGGAGTTGTTAATATGGATGTTGAGGGAAAGAGAAATCAAAGAGTACTCTTCGATGTGGAGTTTAAGCAAATTGTAGTGCCCTTTACTAGAGGGAGGACCAGATTTAGGAAGGACCCAGGAGTTTTGGGCAAATTAAATTTGACATCCACATAGAACTATTTGTCACAAGCAATTTTTAAATGTAATTCAGTAACTCATTAAGTAGAATTCATACATACATGCTCTATGGTGTATAATTACAAAGAGATATCCCTGAGAAAAGTCAAATCTCTCCAGAAAAAGTTATAACCTCATCAGGAGTTTGTATAGAAAAATAAGAATAACCTACTTTGCAGTGATTTATCACCAGGCAGAAACTGGCTGAAGAGGTGTCTGTGTTATCCATAAAATGTGTTTTCATCATTGCTGCATCACACATCACATGGGTTAGATTGGTGTAGAATATGTGGAACCTAGTGCTGCTTGCACAGTGAACATTTTGCAAAAGGAGGAAGACA
Source organism: Homo sapiens (assembly GCF_000001405.40). Classification (NCBI taxonomy): domain Eukaryota; kingdom Metazoa; phylum Chordata; class Mammalia; order Primates; family Hominidae; genus Homo; species Homo sapiens. Next base: position 36,403,254 of record NC_000002.12, read on the forward strand.
CTTAGGGCTTTAGATAATTCTCCTCTGTTTTAGCTGAAAACGTTTGGAGAACGTTGAATGGTTTATGATTTTTGGCTGTTTTGAATTATTTCCTCTATATAGAGAAAAAATAGACAATCAAAAATTGGCGTGTGATACTATACATCATTGTTTTATATTGAGTGGACAAATAAGAACCGTGTTGCATTCATAAGATGGATAAATCAAGGAAGGTTTTGTGGAGGAACTAGGAATTGGGTCCAACTCTGAGAAATTTGTTGATTGGCTCAGCAGAAGGGAAGGAGAGTTTAAGAGCAGCCTTGGATAGAAAAGAGAGGACGGACAGAGAGGTACAGATAGGAAGATACTAAGGAGGCCAAATCAGTGGGCTTCAGTGGCTGATTGACTTTCGGGGATGAAGAAAGGGAAGACTTCCAGATTGTGGGAGGACTATTATCAAGATAAATGCTGGAGAGGAGGTGGTCAGGATAGATTTTGGGAGGATGATAGGATATATTGTGGTGTCATTTATTAGAATGTGAAATACAAGGAGAGCAGCTTTGTGGGAGGTTGGATGAGGTAGGTACTCTGTTTGGTTATGTTTGAGGTATCTATGGAGAATCAAGGGGAGGATGAGAGTTACAGGTCTGGAACTCAGAGAGAGATCTGAGCTGGAGATAAGAATTTATGAGTCACCCTCTGAGGGAGACTGTGGTGTCTAATGACTTTTTGAGTACATAAATGATGTGAGGAGTATGAGCATTTTTAGGAAGATTAATGTGACAGTAATGTGCATAATGGAGGAAAAAAGTGACTGGCAATGTTAACACACCAAGAGTGATACCAAGTGTATCTTATACAAAAGGACCCCGTGCAGGGAAGCTGGCACAGGAAGTGACTCCTCTGTTAGCATGGTAGAAGAAAATCCAAGGGTTGCTACTGTTAGCCAAGTGAAAGTCTAAAACACAATTGCCAGTGCCCATGATATTGAGATGTATAAAATGGAATACATTATTTTAATTAATTGTTAATTGATTGGTTGACTAATTTATACTCCCTTGTTCAAAAAAGCCTTTAAAAGTATCTGACTATAGTAGAGCTGGTCAGACCCACACCTGGAATTAGGGCTAGTTCAGAGTAGAAGCACTGAAATGATTAAGTAATTGGATAGAGAGGTCAAGAAATAGGATTATAGTCATAGACTCTTTCAGTCCAGAAGGTACTCAGCATTCTCTACAAGTACCTTCCGAGGCGACCGCTTTCAGTTTAGAGCTGCTTTAATTGTTGATTCATTCATGCATTTATTCATGTATTCATTCAAAAAGAATGTATTGAGCACATGCCATGTGCCACTACACCTCAGATTCACTAGGGCAAATTTAGTTTGCTTTTACCTGAGGACTATTTTCTAAATGACCTAAATTGCAACACATTTTCAATATACTATGGGAGCTTGCTTTGTTTTTTTGTTTTTATATTTTGATTTTACATTGTATGGCTATGTTCTCTGAAATGAAACTAATTTTTACACAAAGACTTCTGTTTTATAGCCTTTTTTCTTTTCATTTTTAAAAGCGCAGATAACAGTTGCCTCAGATCATTAACTTAATTATCCTGTACTCTAAATTTACTATTTCAGTGCTACCTAAGGAAATGGTAATATCATGAGTTTTTTATTCCATTTTTAGTTTTTTACATTTCACTTATTTCACTTCCTTTTTTTCTTTACACAAGTAAAGCGTACGTGCTAAATTTTATTCTCGATTGTTACCTCGTCCTTGGTCTAGAGGCTGTAGTACAACCCTGTGCTGTGTGTGGCCTAATAAAATGTTGTAAATCTTATGTCATCTGTAATGTTTGTCAGTAAACAAATCTTTAGTATTTAGAAAGAAATATTATGCCATTTTTTATTTATATAACTTTTTTTCTCAAAAGCATTTTGGGTATTTTTTATGTGCGTGGGAGAAAATGCTCACAGAAAACACCCAAGTAAATGTGATCTGGTGGAGCTGGGAGTATTAGCATTCATGCCGCCTTTGAAATAGTGCAACAGAATTTCCTCTTAATGTTCCTGCCACTAGAACCGCTTCATGGAGACACTTTTCAGCTGTAGCAAGAAACCTGCTGCCATTGCATAAGTACAGGGAAGACAGAGGCTCCCAGCTCTGCCCCTACCCGCTGTCCCATACGGAGCTGAAGGTCCATGGGGAGCCTGGGTATCATGCACTGAGGGTGTCTCCTAAGTTTCTCAAACTTGAGAGAGCTTGATGGTCACACAGAGAGCTGGCTTAACTAGGACTAGACTAGGGCTAGGGAAATCTGCATTTCCAGCAAGCCCCAGGAGAAGCTGCTGCTGCCCATTTTCACCACAGTTTGAGTAGAAAAGTTATAGAGTGTTTATGTGAATCGACTTCGCTGCACAGAGAAATGGATTTGTTGTGCTGGTGTCAGAGAACATCATATCTTCAAGTAGTCACTGGACCTAATTTTGATTTCCACTACTTCTTTCATTGTTTTTTTAAAAAAGCATATCTTATACATTGCTTTGCTTCAAATGTTAATACATGGTAATGATTTCATTATGCAATTAAAAAATTTTTTTCTCAAGTAAATGTTAAATTAAAAATGAAATATTTCATATTATACAGGACCTCATGGTAAGGGACAAAACAAACCCTGGGACTCGGATGCTGGAAAAATCATTTGCTTTTAATAGAGTTGATCCTTTTCATAGGTTTACCCATTTGGTCTTTGCTAAACTTTACAAATATGTCTAAAACTTTATGTCTATGGATTTTTTTTGGCAATTATATTGATCTCCTGTATGGCATTAAATGCCATTATTTCAAAATATTTCCTAATATGTTATTGACTGTATTAGAAATAATCATTAATTCACAAAATCAGATATACTGAAAATTAAATTATATGTTCTCCAAAAATATAATTGCTGTTTACTATGAGAGTATTATATAGCAGAGTTAAACTAATAAGACAGTCGTTACAAATTATCACCACTGTAATTGTTCCATTGGAGGGAGGATGGAAATGGGTGGGTTTTGTACATTTTATAAGGTTTATGAAGTTTAAGGGAAAGGATTTTGGGGAAAGCTCTTGGCCTTTCCAAACTGCTGTTAATATACTCATTGATAGTGGAATATATGACCTTTGATGGCACTTGGGAAGCTAAAGGAAAAATCAGCTGGGACCTTGATGATAACGAGGTCCCTGACCCACCCGGAAGGTGAGGTTAAATGTGTTTTCCTTTGGTCAAGGGAAGGGAATTCCAGATCCTTTGCTCATGTCAGGAAAAACCTTTGTGGGGGCCAGGACTTAGTGTTTTAAACTTGATAAGTCTTACTAGTTTAACTCTGCTAATATTTGACCCCTCCCCCCCCCCCAAAAAAAAACAAAAAAAGATAACCTCTCAAACTGATTCTCTTACTCGTCCTGAAACCAAGCATTCTGTATTGCAAGGGCCATGCCCTCTTTGCTTCAGGACTTTCATGTGTACAGATTCCTAAATTTTAAGTTACACAGCTGCTTCATCAAACTTACTCATCATAGATTCTAGTTTTCTTAGGCTAGTTACATCTGAAAGTGGTATTATGCTTGTGAATGTGTTGCTTTAGCTCATATAATTTGTTTAAAAAGTTTATTTTAGAGGAATCCAGTTAACACTGCTTATCAAGTTTAGAAACACTAAGTCCTGGCCCCCTCGAAGGTTTTTCCTGACATGAGCAGAGGATCTGGAATTCCCTTCCCTTGACCAAAGGAAAACACGTTTAACCTCACCTTCTGCGTGGGTCAGGGATCTCATTATCATCAAGGTCCCAGCTGATTTTTCCTTTAGCTTCCCAAGTGCCATCAAAGGTACTTGTTTATAAGGCAGTAAGACCATTATGCAACTTTAAATTTTATCCCACTCTGTTTGTAAAGACAATCACAAATTGACAATATTCTTTGTCTTTTCTTTTTTGGAGCATATATACAGAAGCACACACACATATACATATTCGTGTGTATGTATATGTATATCTGTAAACACAGATATGTAAAGTGACTTTAAAATACAAGTACATGTGTTTCATTTTAAATTCTAGCGATGTCATTGGGAAAGAAAGTGTAGACAAAGTTACATATTTTTGTAAGTAGTGTACTTTTATTTACGTTGACAGTTAATATTTAAAAATTTTTTGTTACAGATACAAATTTTGGGGAGAATTGTCCTTAGAAACATGTTTTAAATCGTTGTTCTGATGTCTTGATAACTGGTACCAGGAAAATAAAAGGGTTACCAAAAGGCAGAAACCAGTTTCAAATTATCTGGGAAATAAAAACAGGAAACTCAGGGAACTTGGCCTGAGACCAGTTGGAGAGGAGCAGTTGTTGGTTGAATAATTATACCTGCATTTTAACTGTTGGAAGTCATACAGCGACCTTCTGGTTGTTGTGATTTCTTGTGCCCGTCAAAAAAAAAAAAAAAAAAGGAAGTCACGATTAAATATCTTATGTCCAGTTACCAACAGGAGTGTGAGTGTAAAGGAGCCTCTTTATTCCTACACATTAGGTTACAAAAAGGATTGGTATAAAAAACAAATTTTCCAGTTGACATTTAGAGTGATACTTTCTATACAGTCATCTGTAAACAGCATAATAATGTTCTATACCATTCATTCATGGATTTTTTTTCACCTTCTTCTTTGCTTTAACTCTTAACTCTGAGCTTTGAAGCCATCTCTTCTGTCCAAAGATGTGCCTAGTTCAAGCACTTTTCTGTCCTCTTTCCATACCTAATCCCAGGTTGGTTAAAGGAGCACCAGAAGTTGTAGGTGAGCAGGTTTTGCTACATCTGGGCTTTATTTCAGGATTAAATAGAATGTACTTACTATGTGTTTTTAAAAGAGACTTATTGTTAATATTGCAAGGACAAAAACAACCTGACAGGTTGAGCCAGATAAATGGTGTTCTTGAGGGCCGTGCCTAAAACTTCACCAACCCAGGATGCCTAAAAAATGTTGGTCTAATGACTGACCTTAGCAGGGTGACATGTTCACTGCTGGGGTAGCCCTGAGCACTCCTGCGCGTGTTTGTGGTTTCTGACTTGGCTGTAGGTGACCTCTCAGTTTTTCCCAGGGCTCGGCGTGTGCTCTGTAACACAGAGCTGCTGAGTTGCTGCTTTGCCCAGCTGTGTCCGGCTAAGCCCTGGCCCCCACAAAGGTTTTTCCTGACATGAGAAAGGATCTGGAATCCCAGCCCGGGAGGCCTTCTGAGCTGCTGGCAAAGGATGCTGTGAGTGGAGACCACTCCCCATGGCAGAGCTCCCTTCCCTCTAAGGGGAGCTGGAGCTGTCCCTTCTGTGTCCACAGGGGTTCTCCGCCTCCTGCAGAGCGGAGCTGCAGCCCCAGGCTTGTCTCCATCAACCAGAGGGTTTGCATAAGCAGGAGCTGTCAGGCAATTAAAACCTCGTTAGTTAGTGTAATTAGTATTCCAAGACCATGATCTGGGATTTTGGACAACTCAACCAAGCTGGACAGTTTATATCCTGCTTATGAGAAGAAAAAAAAAAAGTCTGTGCAAGGGAAGTTCAAGAAAGAGTCTGGGAGCATAACCACTTTAGCATAAACTCACAGACAGTCAAAAAAGTGATCATTTCAAATGTTCTTATAATTTTATCACTATAGGTAAGGAATCTCTATTAGACACTGTGTTTTTTCTACTCTCCTGTCTTGCCAGTATTATATATTTACTAGTATCTTGATTAAGAGATCCTCAGAGGGGAAAAAAAAAAAGCTCTTTTAAATAAAGAGAGTTTTAATTAAAAAAGAAAATAATTTGCTAATGGGAGGAAGCAGGGCTGAATGCATACCATCATACGTAAAAATATACCACTAAGCAAAGCCCTACTTTCCTCCAGTTCTTGTTGAAGGTTAATAGAGCTAACCTTACATGAAAATTGTAAAGATTGCCAAATTTGTCTTTTTCCCACTATGCCCTCCCTATTCTTTTAGTTTTTTTCCACCTCAGAAGCCCAGCATCATCTTTCTCTCGTTTCCACCAGTAACTATAATCTAGGAAAAATTTTAAATTTAAATTTACCCTTTTTGATTGGTTGTACCCTAGAGTGTTACCTCTGCCAGCATCCCCACATTTTAATCTTAATTGTGAAATTCATATTGAATTCAATCCAGAAAGAAGGAGCAAGGATTTCTGCAGTCAATGATACCCCTTCCTGACTGAGCCCTGCTCACTTGGGGAGGATTGTCCTGGGGCTGGCCCATTGCATAGGGGCATTTGAGATGAATATGGAAAGGACCTCGCCCTAAGAAGTCTAGTGGGAGAGATCATAGACACAAGGAGTTATAATGAGGGTAGAGCAGCCATACCCAGTCTGAATAGTGTTATGCCCGGTAGACATTCTAGAAGACATTGATAAACAAGAATCAAAGCTAACTTTAATCAGTTTAAAAGCTACTTTGTGATTTATAGACACATATGTTTACTTCTAGAATTGGCACTTCTTTGTTCTTTGTGAAATGTGTAACTTAAGAAAGGTATTTAGGAGCACTAAAATTAAATATTTGAGTTTTTTTAAAGAAGCATTCTAATAATAAAATTTGACTCATTCCCTAGTTCATATTGACCTTCACTAAGCATACTGTTCTGGGGCATTTGAATAATTTGTTTCAAAAGCTATGAGACCATTCTTTTAATGGTGCATACGCTCTAAGATAAGAATAATGGATTCCCATTGGTTGATGATACATGCAAAGGTAGGGATATACTCTTACAGTGTGCCTTCCTGCTTTTGATTCGTGGTTTCTCTTGCTAAGTGTTTTCTGCATCAGGAGGAGGTGACAGCAGTAAGTGGTGCCTGTAAAGTTGGAAAAGGGAAGGAATTAACATGAATTAATGTCTGTGTGAGTTTTTAAGGAACTGGAATGTCCCTCTAAATCGAGGATGTGTTTTTTTTGTTTCTGGTTGACAACTTCCTAGTTTTCCTACACTTCATTATTCTTTTCTCTGTCACTGGGATTTTTTTTTCAATTTCCCGAAAAGCAAATGAAGTGCTTTATCCTTATCAGTAGCCTTTCTTTTCCTGTTCCAATAACAAAAGAACAATACAGGAATTTAATAATGTTAAAAAATTGCTGTGTCTTTTTCTTAATATATCCATTTATTTGTCTGCAGATAAAATCCAAGTTTTACAGACATAGAGGAAAGCTGTTTATATAAGTAAAATGAGCTACTATTGTATCTTGTCCTTGTCAGGGTTTTCTTTTTTTGTCTTTTCACCCAGTTTAGAAAGTGGATTTTTTTTTTCTCTTTAAAATGTGTGCCCATGTTCTGTTATTAAGAGGAAAAGTCCTGAAAATACAAAGATAGGTGAAAACACTGGTTATCCTCTAACAGAAGGACACTTTAAAGATTCCTAAAACACATTCTGATCTTGTTTATGTATCTATATTCTATTAAATATTGTTATTTACTCTTCCTGCTGCTTTGGAAAAAAAAAAAGTCCAATCTGCCTCACAGACCTTTTATAAATATCAGAGTTGTGGTTTTGCAACAGTGTACATGAAAAGACACTTGTTTCAGTGTTTGAGTTCATGGCAGGGTGCATTAACGTGGCGTCTGCAAGTATCCTTGAAGCCACATTGAGGAGGGAACTTGGGACTTGTTCCATGGTGGTCCTGCTCTGACCTCAGAGGACCTTGCTTGCTGACTTTTTTAAGGCATGAAACAAATTCTCATATTCTCAGTCGTGTCTGACGCAGATCTGGGTACTAGTCAGGGTTCTAAACTGCCTAAATAAATATCTTGCATATAACATCTAAAGTGACATTTATCTCTGTGGTACTAAAAAGAAAATACTATTCCACTTACATGTTCTTGGTGCCCTTTGGCATTTTGATTGCTAATTACAATAGGACCTTCAGATTGCCTTCTGATTGAGACCTAACTTATTTCTGTTTCATCTGGAATTTTTCAAATACAATTATTATGTGGTGTTAACACTTCATTGCAGCATGGAACTCCCAAAAATGTTGTGTATATATTCTTTCATGCCTCTCAGCCTGGCTTCATGTCTGTCTAGGTACAGGTCTTATTATAATGTTGCCCTTGGGGGTCCTTTTGATATATCAAGAACTAAACCTCTTTAGTCAGGAGAGTGTATTCTGTATGGATTTATAATAAATAGTCTGTGTTCATATGCATAGGAAATAATGCATTTTCTGAAAAAAATTATGCATGTCACTTGTATTTTTTGTACTTTATGTGCCGGAAGAACATTGTATACAAATATGTCCCATGTGCATGTATGAATTTATATAGCTACATGTATATAAGCACATATACATCCATGATGATATCATAGGTAATATGTGGAAATAAGTGCAACCATGTGATTATTTTTATCTTATTCTTTGTGTGTGTGTGTGTGTGTGTGTACAGTTACCTGTGTGCTATTAAATGTGACAGTGCCGATAATAGTGTTACATTCTCTGGTTAAGTGTTTCCTGAGAATTTTGGTCTTCCTTAATGGTGCACATTAGTTATAGACTCTTAACCCGTGAGATACATTCCAGTGGTTCGTTTCTAAGAATCGATGTAATATTATGCACTTTGTAAATAGCTTATAGAGGATAAGCTATGACTCCTGAAATAAATATTATTCAAACTGCTTCCATTTTCATTTCCCTTATCACTATAACAACCACACCCAACTTTGCAATTAAATTGTGTTGTCTATCTGCTTCCCGCACACTAGTGAAGCTGACCCTATTGAATTCAAAGGAAATATGAGAGATAAAGTCGAAAACTGTCTTCCTTTTGTTGACATTTCTAAAGCAACAAGTCAGAAAGCTTGACTCCCTTTAGGTAGACCAGAGCTGCTACGGGTCATGATTAGATGGTATGTCCACTAGTAACTGTGATGACGCCCAACAGAATTATTTGAAACATTCTCAGTAAATAACCAAGAACTCCAGTAAGCAAAAGGGGAGTAGCTGTTAACTTGCAGTTTCAGTTTTCTACAAATGGGGGCGCAGGGGGTGGGGGGCGCACGGAATACCGAGGACAAAGGTAAAGATCGACATAGAATGGAAGTCACCAGATTTCTGCGTTTAACCCATTCTTGCCCAGCCCAAGTGAAATTGTGTTTTGGAGAAGCCTCCATATTTGGCCATCGAGAGATTGGCAGTGGGAATTCTTGGCTGTATTTTACTGCTCTCTTTATTGAAATATTTGCCACATCTGACAGTTCTGTCACTGTTCAGTTCAGAGGGATTTTTAAATCATATACTGACTTTGATGCTTCATGGATTTGTATTATTTGTGTATTCCTCAGTCATACTAACCTTTGTATCAAGATTTTTGCCATATGACTCATATCAAAGTTTTTAAGACATATTTAAAACAAATGAATTTTAAATAGTGGCCCATTTGCTATATGTTAAATTTGATATACAAAATTTTATACATCTTAAATTTATATATCTTTGATATCTTAAATTTGGTATACAAATGGTGGCCCATTTGATATATGTTTGCTTAACATAATGTAACATGATTGATTTTGTTATATTTCCCATGAGCTGAGGTACTGTTGTTTTCTATTACCAGAGAAGACATTTCAGATCTTTTAAATCTTATGTGAAGTACTTCCTAAGAAGAGAAGTAAAATGAGTATATCTCACATTAGTTACTATTATCTGCAGCATCAAAAATAAATGAATATCCCCAGGAAAAAGGTTATAAAATTACAACACCTAGACACATTGAGGTAGGTAGTAAATGTGAAATGGGCTTACGAATGACTTTATTCACTTACTGGCATTTGGGAGGGACTCAGGCTGTCAGGAAAATGAACCAATCTGTATTAATATAAAGCGCTAGAAATATAAATAAATCATGTTTGAAAGCGATACCAGGATTTTCCTTGAATGCTGCTGAATAAATTCTGCTTGTTAAATGTCAGTGAAATGTATGTCACCTGCATGCATAAAGTGAGAGGGCCACAAAAAACATCCACTTACCACTTTGAAATATGTAAGCCCTTTAATGTTCCTTTGACCTTCAGTTAAAGGACATAGTCTCATAGCAGAGGAAATGCCTCAAATTCTAGCATCTGGGTTTGTTTCTTTATACTTTTTTGGCATAGTTACAACAGTAGGGCTTTTCTGTCCTTTAATTTTTTTCACAGTACAGTCAACACAGGCTTTTCACACAAGCGGGAAAGGACGGTTGTGAGGCCAAAAGCAATATGTTTCTTCTCTGTGCTCCACGGCAGAGCCTAATTGAATGGCTTGTTGTTTCAGAGAGAGCCCAGAACCAACAAGCAGACAAACAGAATCCCACACAAATACAAATTGCGTATAAAATTAGATACCTACACACGTGCGTATCAATGGATATGTACTAAAAATGCAGTCAGCGATCTCTTATTTTGAGCTCATTGGCTTAGTCACCGTGTTCCAATTCTTTCATCTTTGCAGTTTTTGGATTTTCATCTGAATTTTCAGCTGGCTAAAGATGTTTCTTCTACAGCTGAAAAGAGAACCTAGTTTCATTACATACACTTGTAAAGTGTATGTATTTGGATGGGGGTGCTCTATTTCAGCCCTATTCATATGTCAACCATATTGTCATTTATCATTAGCAAAAGGTCACTTTTAAGCTTTGCAGAATGAAACGGTGAGATCCGATTTTCCATTAATTAAAAAATATACATCATAACAGTATGCTGGAGACATCTTCATATATTTGTGTTTTCCCTGCTTTACATCCAATAGGTTTCTGTGTATGAGCTTCTCCTGAGACTGAATAATAGCAGCACACCCTAATGCACCTTTTTTAATGGGAATTCAGTTGGGTACCATATGCCTTTCTCACTGCTGAAGGCCTTCATGCTTTGGCATCTCTGCTCTCATCTTACCGGTGATTGTGGGCCATTTGTCTGGTTCTGACATGGAAATATTAGGAAGCAGTGCTGTTATATACAAATCCTTATAGCCTTAAAATTAAATGCAGCTCTCAAAAGCAGCCTAAAAGTTAAATGACACACAAAAGCTTGTTTTGTCTGAAGTTTATATGTTTATTCTGTAGAGTTACATTGGATAGGGTAGTTATCAGCCCTTAGCAAATGCCTACTTAGTTTTCCTTAATCTGTTATTCATTCATTCATTCAACAAATATTTATTGAGCGCCTGCTCTGTTCAGACACTGTGCTAGATTCAGGGCAAACAAGACAGATAAGGTTCTAGTCCCCCCCCGAGCTTTCAGTCTTAAGTGGCAAAAATAAAATTATGTGATTGCTGTTGACGTACAGGGTACTGAGACTGAGATAGGATAGCTTGAGAAAGTCTCTCCTCTGAAGAGCTGATGTTTTAAGTTGGACTGAAAGGTAAGAAGGAGCTGGCTGTGCAAAGAGCTCGTGGAAGAACATTCTAGACAGAGTGAACTTGCCCATGTTCAGTGACCCCAGTATGGGAGAAAGAGTTTTGTGTCCCGAGGGACTTAAAGTTGTGATGTGGCTGTAGTGTATTGAGTGAGTGTTGGGGAGAGTGGCAGAAGAGGAAGCTGGAGAGGCAGGGAAGGGCTCAGTTACACAGACAACATGGTAAGGAGTTTGGATTTTATTCTAAGTATAATAGGAATCCATGAAAGAGTTTGAAGCTTCAGATGGAGATGAGAGGATGCCCTTTTTAAGATCAACTGTGGCTGCCATGTGGAAAATGGATTGTAGCGGGAAGCTAGAGTAGAATCAGAAACATTATTTAGGCCACTGAAGAAGAGCCCAGCCAGGAGACTGCTATGTGGCTGGACCAGGGTGCTAGCAGAGGAGTTGGATAGATTCTCTGTTCCATTTGGAAATACAGTTAAAAGGGCTCAATTAGGTTGGATTTGGGGGTGAGGTTGGGGGTAGACTTCAGAGTGACCCCAGGGTTCTGGCTTGAGCAGTTGGTACCATTTCCTAAGATGGGTAAGACTGGGCAAAAACTAAGGGGAGTCAAAATTACCTGCTTGAGAAACTGAGAGTATACTGGAGGCAGAAGTGATTCTGAGTCCTTTTCTTCGTGTGGTGATGCTATTTGGAAATCAAGTCATTAGAGTGTTTCACTACCTGGAACACATCAGTAAAATTGTGAAAATTCCACCTTGGTAGCTCTTGGTTACAGCTCTTCAGCTTTGTCTTGTGCTGTTTTATCTAATCCTCTGTCTCTTCTGTAGGCTGTTTCTCTGACCTTTGGAGAAGGCTTTTGTTTCTTCCCCAGGGATGTCAACACAACCCATATCCCAATTTGTTTGGCTTCCCTTTAAAATTGTTCATAGATTCTTTCTGTAAGTTTTTCACTACATGCATCTACTATTTCAGGCATGATTATCGTCACACTAGAATCCCGGTGGAACCAAGGCTAGCTGGGGGAAATGAAAGATTGTGAGTGTCATATCTCATGCACACTCCAGAGCATGTGGAGAAGCCCATACCATTTAAATCATTCTTCCTCCATCCCCTAACTGAGGACTTATGTGGTAGGACCTTATTATACTTAGTCTATGTCTGTGTGCTTATCATACCACATTTTATTTTCCTGTGTGCCTGCCAATATCCTCTGAAAGCAGGGACGGTGCCTGGCATCTAGGGGATAGTTAATGAGTGTCTGATGATTTAAAAAAATAATGGATTGGGGCTGGGCACAGTGGCTCACGCCTGTAATCCCAGCACTTTGGGGGGCCAAGGCACGCGGATCACTTAAGGTCAGGAGTTCAAGACCAGCCAGGGCAACATGGTGAAACCCTGTCTCTACTAAAAATATAAAAATTAGCTTGGCATGGTAGGGTGTGCCTGTAATCCCAGCTACTCAGGAGGCTGAGGCAGGAGAATCACTTGAACCTGGGAGGTGGAGGTTACAGTGAGCAGAGATCGTGCCACTGCACTCCAGTCTGGGTGATAGGGTGGGATTTTGTCTCAAAATAATAATAATAATAATAATAATGGATTGGAACTATGGAACTAAATTATAAAAGATAACTTTCATGATATGCTAAAAAATGGGACTTTATTGCCATTGAGGAACCTAAATTATAAAAGATAACTTTCATGATATGCTAAAAGAATGGGAACTTTATTGCCATTGCAAGCTTGTGAGGAGAGAGGTAGCATGTGAAGTTAAGACTAGAATGACCGGTTCCTTGATTGAAAACAATCAATAAAGGTGCTGTGAACAGATTATCAGAAAGTATCTGTAAGTATAAAACACATTCAGAATTTAGAAAACAAGATGTAACTCCTACTACAACACTGCGTTTGTCTTCTGAAAGGAAGAGACATCACAGGTTTAGTATTTTTTGACCTGTCATTTGATTTTAGTTTACGCCTAATTTCATTTAAGCTTATCCTTTTGGCCATAGTCCCATTTCTTTTCAGTGTTTTTGCTGCCAGTTTTTCAGATACAGAAGGAAAGTCATATTTGCTGTGTGCAGTTGGAAGAAACCCTGGCACAGTTCCTCCAGAAACCAAAGACAGAAATTATTAGCCATATCCAGACCAGTAGCTGACTGGCTCCAATTCTTCCTCCCATGAGCTTTCCTGATTAATGGGAGAATCTGTTCTGTAGTCGAACAGCCTCTTTCCTGAGCCCAGTCTGTCCTGGCTTCAGAGCATGACCAGCTGTGCAGCTGAAGCCATTGCCAGGGCTCTGTTTCTGATTCTGCTCCTCAGCATGTTGGAGGTGTTGGACGGGGAAGCAGAGGGGTGGGAAGAGCATCCAGGTCAGTTTAGATGTTTCAGCAGGTAACAGACGTGGCACCGTCCACCCAGAATCCCGCCACTCCCATTGGACTCTGTCCTCTTCAGAAGGCTGTCATTCTGCATGGTGCAGATGTTGCAGTCCTTCCCTTATTCTTTTGTCTTTTTGTCCAGACCACTTAGCTCCTGTGTCTGTGGTGATTAAATGCTTTGTAACTTTTTCTGACATCCTTTTCTTCACCCCTCTTCTCTCTTCCCCTACTGTCTCGCCCACCATACCTCTTCTGTTTTCTGTTTGCCTTTCTTTCCTCTCAGCTATTGCATTTTCCCCTTTACACTGAAATAGCTTTGTTTATTGGCCTGTTTCCAGCAATATTAACATATTTCAATTTTTTACTCACCTGTTTACCAATTTAACAAAGCTAAGGTGGTTCATGGCAGTATTTGGGGCCTGAAATATGAAATACTGTCATAGCAGATTGTATACGTTCAATTTCTGTTACCTTTCTCTTACCTTTCTTCCTTATTCTAGACTCAATCTATTTCATTTCAGGGGTCTGTTATCTGAGTGTTTGGAGTTTGGGATCCTTGTAGGATCTTCAAAGCTAAAGACCTATCTCCACTGCATCTCTGAGATCTTAAAAACAATAATATGAAGATCCAGAATAAATTGGTGTCAGTTAAACTCTAACCAAAGAAGGTTTAAATGCAGTGAGCATTTGAGTGATAAATAAGGTACGGCCCGAACTCAAGAGGCTTCCAGTTTTCTTGGGGAGACAGGCATGAACACCACTCACTAGAATAGAAAGTAGAATGAAATAAGTACTTTCATAATTTACAGGTACGAGAAAAATGCACAGGATTACTGAGAAAGGAGTTATATTCTGACTAGGAAAATCAGAAATTGTGGCATTTTCTGTGAACATTGAAGGATGAACAGGATTTCAGTAAATGGAGAAGAAAGGCAGGAGGGCTTCCTAGACCAAGGAGGTGATGGTGGTGGTGGGTGGAGGAGAATTGTGCATGCCGATCTTCTGTGCAGCACTGGGTGGCAGGCACATTGCACCTAAATGAGCACTGACTATGCTTTCAAGAAGTTGGGACTAAGGGAACAGGTGCAGGTTAGAATTGTAGCCTGAAGGTAAAGTAAGAGCTCAAGGAGGAGTGTTTACTTCCTGAATTTTAGAAATGTAGCATGTTTATAAATAGAGCCAGCAGAGAGGGAGAAATTCAAGGCACAGTGCAGGAGTGCAAGGCCCCAGGTAACACGACAGACTCTTCTTTGAGTCCTGCCTCTCTCACTTTTCATGTTTGAGCTCTTTTTATTGTTTGCTTTTTGAGATGGTCTCGCTCTGACACCCAAGGAGAAGTGCAGTGGTGCAATTATGGTTCACTGCAGCCTCCACCTCCCCAGGCTCAGCTTCCCAAGTAGCTGGGAATATATGTGCACACCACCCTGCCTGGCGAATTTTTGTATTTTTTGTAAAGATGGCATTTCACTGTGTTGCCTGGGCTGGTCTTGAACTCCTGGGCTCAGGCAGTCCACCCACCTCGGCCTCCCAAAGTGCTGGCATTACAGGGGTGAGCCACCGTGCCCAGCCACTTGAGCTCTTTATTCTGCCATGTCCGGGTTCCCCTTTTCTATGCAATGCAGAGGTGGTATAAAGCCACTAAACCAAGGAATCAGCTTCAGAAACAAGGTAAAGCTGCCTTCACTCAATGGGAAATCACATCTATAGATCACCGCTCTGTTGGCAGGGTCAGATGACTGAGGTGTCTTGTGTCTTGATCAAAAGTTTTGTTTCCACTGGGTCTCTGTCCTGAGGTCTCCATGGATCTGTGACCTTGGACAAGTCATTTAACCCCTAGGCACCTTCCTTGCCCTCTCTGTTAAAATGAGATGATGGTCCCAGCGCTGTCTTAGGCCTCTGTGTCACCACCACTGGAGTTGTTTAAAATCCAGGCTGTATAGGTTCTGTCTCCTCTTCTCCTCCCACTGCCTTCCCCACTTCTCCTTCCTCTCTCCTGCTGTAGTCATTAGCCTGATGTATCCTGACAGTATCCCTGTAATAAATATAAGTGGAATTTGCTAATTAAATGCTAGCATTTTTAAAGAAAGTTTCCAGCAATTGGTAGAGTAGCTGAGTGGTTTATAGGCTTCCTATTCAAGAGGGAGGTGTCCTAAGGTTTAAAATTAAGGTTCTAGTCATAAAGGAGGCTTTTATTATTAGGACAACATGGTAATTTGGTTGAGAGAGGACTTACTCTCTGCAACATTAAAACATACATATACTTTTGACAGTTTCAGTAGTAGCTTTGTCCTTTTGATTTACTTCTTTGGACAGTTGTGATTGACATCAGATTGAACACATGGTTCAGTAAAAACTACAGCTCCTTGAAGTACTTTTGTTAATATTCTAATCTCCTATTTGCATCATTAACAAGAGCACATTTTATTGCCGCTTGAAATAGACTCATTGACATCCCAGAATAGGTAGTTTTGATATTAGCTACTTGTTAATGCTGCCCAGGCCATTCACATTCCATGTTCTTGATAATGTACCACGTTCTTAGTACACAGCCCTTACTTACCACATTGAAGAGACTGAATGCACTGATTTTAAGAAGGAGGTCTTGTGCCTCCTAGGGGGACTAGCTCTTTTAGTATTATTTCTCTTATTTCTGAAGCTTATGTTAGAATCTGAGCATAAAGCTTCATTTCATTTTCCCTGGAGCCAATTATGATCTCAAAATGAGAAGTGCATGAGTAAATAAATTTAAAGGGGGCTTTTGGGAAATGTTCTGACATAGGCGATCTGCGCAGCACATCTGAAATACCTGGGATGTGGTTATATACAGTGGTCATCATATTCAGTGGTGACATTCAGAAATGATGGCAGTTTATAAATAATCCTAATTTGTAGCAAATATGTGGCTTTAAGGCCCTGTGATGTGATTGTTTTCTTTGTTCTGTTGATCTTGTGACTTTAAAGTGGCATTCAGTTCTCTGTTCATTTTAAATGTTTGTCGCTTCTGACTTCTGTTTCCTCTTATTGTTTTCTGTTTTTGTGTTTGAGCCCTTAACTCAGGTGTATTTATTTCCCCCTCCCAACTTCCTGCCCTCTTTCTTCTTCTGATATCTTCTCTTTGATAACCATGTCTTCCATGTTTAGTGTTCTCTTGCCCTCCAGCAACCTATGTTAGTTTGGTTCATTTGTTTAAAAACAAATCTCCTATTTTTGAGAATGAGAATGTGGTGTTATTAACTAACATTTAGAGCATGCTTATATATCAGATGTCCCCAGGCATTTTCTATGGATTATGTTATTTAATATACCCAAGAATCCCATGAAGTAAGTTAAAGGGGTGAAGTAACTTGCCCAAGATTTCACAGCAGGGAGAGGTAGAGCCGAGGTTGGAACCCAGATGGTTTCATTCTGGATCTCCTATTCATAACCAATCCTGTTACTTTATTGTCTCAACTGTTCAGTCCGTCAAGATTTAATGATCACCAGCGTTGTCCCAGGCACAGTGCAGACACAAGGACACTAGATCCCTTTCTCTTGCCATATGTACGGGGTCTTAAGTGCCATTTGAGAGGTTCTTCCATAGCACCTGTGCATGCCAGTGCCTAACTCTTTTCAAAAGTTCAGGAGGTCTTCATCCCTGTGGAGCTGAGGTTTGCAGGATAATTAAGAGTTTGCCAGCTGGGGAAGCAGAGAAGGCATAGGGACATGGGGTAAGAAAGGAGAGCACAGTCGACACTGCAACAGCTCTCATGTGACTGGAGCATAGGTGCTGCCATAGCAGAACAGATGGGCAGTTGGGGAATACGTCGTGGGGTTGGTTGAGTCCAGGTGGCCAAGGGCTTTGAGTGTCATGGCACAGAATTTGGACTTCATTTTTCAGCCATTTAGGAAGCTAGTACAACCTTCTTGAGTCTCTCCTGCCTGTTTTGCCTCATTCCACAGAGGCCACTGGAGATCTGGAAACCCCGTGGTGTTTAACATTGGCAGCTGAGACCTCTACGTGATCAGCTTAGAGGAAATTTTATTGCAGTAGCATTGTAAAAACTAGTGTTTTCATACAGTCTTTTGATCCTTGGTCCCGCATAACTACTGTTAAATCCAAAACCATAAGCAGAAATTTAACATGAGTGCTTATATTCTTAACTTGTAAGATGAATACAGAGATACTTTCCAAAGAAGTTTTTAATGTAAATTTAAATGTATGACTTTTATGCAGGTATGGTATGTGCTTTTTCCTGATTAAATTTCCTTTTTGGGGGAGAAATTGAGAATTTAAATGATGTCATGAAACAAAAGGCTTTGGATACTGTTGAAAAGCTGCAATCAGTACTGTTTAAAATGCTTACTCACTATTACAATTAATCTTTATAAAGCAAACATCTTTCTTGATGGGACTTTTTTCAAAAACCATTTTTATTAGTCTGTTTTCTGGTGGTAGTAAGATGACTAGATATGAGCCCAGTTTAAACTCAAATTCTTACTTTTCCACTTTCAGTAAGAAAAATAATTAGCATTAACATTTCAGTGGAATTGCAAATATATTGCCCTAGCTTACTCAGGGAAAGGGAATTACCAGCTGGCGAAAAAGCAGTAGAATGAAGTGTAGTCAGGCGTTATCTCACATTGAGATTCTTAGGTGGGGACTCTTTGAAACAAATCTCAAAAAAATTTTAAAATCCAGAAGATGGCCTCTTTTCACAGCCATTACCTTGGAGGCCCATTTTCTTGTCCTAACGTAGCTGCCCTTGCATGAAGGAGGAATGTTTTTTGTGTCTCTTGCTCTTTCCCTCCTTTCTTTCCTTCTTTCCTTTTTTTATTTTTAATTGCCTTCAGTGTTTGCAGCAGTTTTTTCAATGCCTTTGGTAATGGCAAACTTTGATTTTTTGAAGTTGGATTTAATTTTGGGAAACAGCCAAAAGGCATATGGAGTCATACCTGATTAATAAAATAGGTAAGCACTTTGGAGAATTCTATTTTTGCTAAAACATAAGCTTAAACTATTAGGCACTGAGGCAGATTTTATTGTATATCTCATGAACTGCCTTTAAAGAAAATGTCAAAAGGAACATTACAGAAAAATGTTGAGAAGTGGCAGAATTGGGATACTAGATAGCTTCCTTAGGTGACTTTGAAGAACAATTTTATTGATGTGAATTTATAAGTCCTATTATTTTGTTTCTTGGGGGATTTGTCTCTATTTTGCGGTTTTATCTTATATATTCAATATAGTTAATGTTCTTTAATTAAAAAAAATCTTTAGGATACTTTAGTAGCACTCAGTCTTTAATTTGAATGTCTGTTAGTGTAGTACTATATATGTGGGGATATACCTGTACCAGTTAATAGAGTGTGTAGTTAATAAAAGGTGGCAGGGTGGTAAACCTTTCTCCCCCTGCATAATTGAATAGTTTTAAGTGCCATTTGAAATCCTGAATATCCAAGATTGGATTCCAATAACTGTGTAGCCTGAGAAGCTTTGCTGTCAGCAGCTGCTGGTGTTTGTAAGAGTTATTTCACTACTTATCGCTCTTCAGATTCACCATGAATTTAGGTAGTAATTTACCATTGCAGAAGGGGCAAGCTCTGCTTCTGATAGTGTTATGATACTATGTTTTTGCTTCCTTAATGATACGATTCTTGAGGTAGAAAAATTAAAAATATGTGGTATAAATCAGCTTCATGAATTAAATTCCCCAGATTTAATGATGACAGTTTTATTCCTGGGATGCTTACGCTATAACTCCCTAAATGCTTCATTTAATACTTCGGAAATGGTTGTTCTCATAGGAGCTGTTATTGCAAAGTCAGTAATGGCTCTGGGGCTGAAATTTGCTTTCTTAATTCTAGTCCATTGTCTTTTGTTGTCATGTTTCCTCAGTTTCCTTAGATATGTCACACCAAGGACTGGTTACAGAAATACTGCAGTGCATTATCCAATCTAAGCCTGCTTTACTTTCTTTCAAATGAGCTTTTAAGCATATAAGTAGCGTATATAATGGAAACAGAATTTAGGGTGCTTAGGTAAGAAAGGAATTACTTCCATACTAGAGTATTTTACAGCTTTGTTTGATCTCTTAATTGTCTAGATCAGAGATTCTTGGGTACTTTCAAATTCATTTTAATGTACCATAGCCCTTTAAAAATGACAAATAAATTTAGGCAGTTTGTTTTCAGAACTGATTTGAAGAATTTCAGCATACTATTTAAGGTAAGTAGTCCTATACTGGGGATCCTAAGCTAGAGTCAGCTTGGACTCGTTGAACCACGTGACCACCCAGGGTTTCCTATAGAGCACGTTTTTAGCTATTTAAAATAATTACCATGCTGGACCTGGAGACCTGTGAATAGTCCATAAAGTTAATTACACCTTGAGACACACCCTCTGCTCAGCTACTCAAGTACCGTATCCACTTTACAATGTTCCTTTGTTAACAAGATCTATGTGGTTGAAGTATGTATTATAGTAATGTGCAATTCATTGTGTACAGACATTTCCAAAGTAAGATGATGGTAATAATTACACAGTAAAAGAGTTCAGGCCTTTTGCGATTGTTGTGTAGCTAGGATCGGAAGGCTTTGTAAACTTGATATGTTTTTGCATACTTTGGGTTGGTGCTACCTGATTATGGTACTAAAGTATTTGAGTCCTCTGCCCTTGTATCATTTGTTTGTTAGACTTTACATTGTTGACTGGGTTCCATGATTTATAAAAAGATCCCAGAATCTTTTGTAACTATTTAAAGGTCAGCAGCTAATGATAATCAGAACTAATAATAGATGCTTACTTATGCACCAGGTATTAGTCTAAGCCATTGATGTGTTAGTTAATACCTCTCAACAAGTAAGTGAGGTAGAGACTTTTATTATTTTATAGATGAGGAAGCTGAAGCTAGGAAAGGTGACTGAGGCCCACAGACTTGTAGTAAGTGGTAGAACAAACTAGGCAGACAGGTACGTAGGTAGGTGGATAGAAAGAAATAGAGAAAAAAAGAGATTTAAGAATAGTAGAAGGTGTCAGTAAAGGATATAATAGCTGATTTCCTGCCTGCTGTGGTCTAGGCATTATGTTGGGCTACAAGGAAACAAAAATGTATGAAACTCAGGCCCAGTCCTCATGGAAATCACATTTGGTCATGGATTACCCTGATATAAGTGTAAATAATTAATGATGCAATGTGAACATTTTATAAAGTAGGTTGTGCATAAAGTCTACGAAAATAGACTGAGAGAAGGAATCCAACTTGTAGGGGAGGCAGAGATGAAGAGATATTCACAGAGGAGAAGGCTTTTGCTTAAAGATGACCACAGTGCCCTTTGAGAGTGGGAACCATGTATTGTTCAACCGTGTCTCTCCAGATCTCTAGCAAAGTGCCCAGGATGTCATGGTTGCTCAGTAAATGTTGGGTGGTAGGTGGTAGCAGTCTGGCCAGATGGGTGAATGTTGGGGAAGAGCATTGTAGGAGATGGACATATCTGATGAAAAGCACAGAGGCAGATAAGGCCATGGTATGCTCATCCACAGTAGGGCTGTGTCCTTGGGAAGTAGGACATATGGGAGCATGGCCACTGTGCTACTTCACACATCACTCTCCTTTTACTTTTAGTCTCTACTCCCAACATCCTCACTTTACCTGCTTTAAATCGTATTTGTATTTCAAAACCCTGATAAAAATTTCTCACTTCCTCCGTGAAGTTTTTTCAGCAGTTGCCATGCACCCTAGTCTCTCCTTTCTCTAGTCACAATCCTTTTTGTTCCTGCCACTCATGAGCCTCAATGGATATCTCACTTACACTGATTTGATCTTTACAAATTGTATGCATGTATTAAATTATCATATGTACCCACCCCCAAAATATAACAGATTGCCTGCAGTCACCTCTTTGATTATTGTTTTCTTTTGTTAAATTATTTCCTCTATTCTCTCTTCTTGGAGTGCAGAGAACCTTAGGATTCATATGCTACCCTTCCTATTGGTACAAGAGGACACGGAAGCCCATTGAGATGAAAATAATTGTCCAAATCACGTAAGCAGTTAAAGTCAGGCCCGGGACTGAGTCCATGGCTGAGACCAATCCATGCTAGCTAATGTTCCTCTTGTTCTTCCGAGCTCAGTAGTGAGTTTGTGGAGGTGAGGGACTGGGTATCATACTCACTGTGGGTCAAGTAGCTGCTCAGGAACATTTGCAAATGAA
Organism: Homo sapiens; assembly: GCF_000001405.40. Taxonomy (NCBI): domain Eukaryota; kingdom Metazoa; phylum Chordata; class Mammalia; order Primates; family Hominidae; genus Homo; species Homo sapiens. Next base: position 36,425,208 of record NC_000002.12, read on the forward strand.
AGAATGAATACCACTTGGCTTTCTGAGTAATATAAGGATAATGTGGTTCCCAGCCTTAATAAACAGCTCTAGCAGACTAAACATATTGATAGTAAGCCCTCAACTGTTAGATATACTCATTCAGAAATAATATCAGAAGATCAACTGCTGAGCAGAATTTTCATGTTAAAACTATTTCACTAGGAGTACTGGTACAGGTCGGTGTTAGACTCATTACTGAAAACTCACTTGAAGAACTCTATTAGCTTTACATATTTCTAGCAGATTAAACTTAGATTACTTACTTTTAAATTATTATTGGAAGTTAGTCTAAGTTATTTTCCAATATAGAATCATTGTCTTAATTTAATAATTCTTGCTTCACAATAACATAATTTGGAACGGAAATTAGATTCCAGAGTGCCCTTGTAATTACAAATTGAAAAATCCTTTTCTGACTCAAAAGGGGGCTTACTGGTGACAAATTCCATTATCAGCAACATTCTCATCAGAGGCTCAGATGAGGTGGTGCCTTCTGATGCATTCTTAAGTGGGTAATGGGTAGAAGAGTTAGGTGTGAGGTTATTGCTAAATACGAATAACCATGAATTATACAAGATTTATTACTCAGAAACCAACAGAGTAGAGCCTTGCAATTCATTGCTTTAACATTCATGAATTCAGTTATTTATGAAACAGTGACCCAGAGGATCCATGTCATGTAGTGGTTTGTCATTTGAATCAGGTGAAGCCCCTGTGCAGGGGAAAATCACTTAGCTGGTGACAAGCCAACCACCCAATTGTTTTTAGCCCATTATCACATATGTAGGAAGTCATGAACTAGTCAAAACTGTTTTCTTTGTGAAAGAAGGCCTGGTGATGGGAGTGCAGAGGAATAACATGTTCCTAGAAAGTGATGATTCTTTACCAAAAAACAGAAATCTGGGACCAATTAAAAAGCCGGCATGCTGTATTTGGCAATAGATTGAATCTCTGAAATGCATAGTCCAGAACCAAGAAGAGCAATTTCTGGAAATACCTCAGTGAGTGTACTGGCCAGTGTAAAATTTCACTTTCTGGGACAATTATGATCCATCCGTTTTTTATAGGAGGCCCAGTAATGATATCTTGACTGAATTGCCTTTTTGAGTTACAATCATTAATCTTGAAGGTCATTTGAGATGTCTCAAGTCTCTTATTTAAGTCTTTGAGATCAAGTAAAATCCCTAGCATGTATCAATAGCCACCTGTATCAAACATTGTGTATGTTTTTTAAATAAAGAATATCTGGCTATAGGATTCCCTTAGCCTCTTTGGAAGAAATTATCTTGAATAGGGAAGATAGTGAAGAACTGGTATGTCCAAGTAGAACTAGGAATTAGAGCAATAGTCTGGATCCTGGAGCTCAGAAAATGGGCAGTAAGTCAGGGACAAAAGGTGGCTTCTTAATCTGTTGTTAAAAATTACTTAGAGTAGAAATTCACATTGAGCCAGTCCATCAAGCTCCCAGTATCACTAAAGAAAACCTGTGGTACTACCACTCCCCCTTGTTTATATCTGACCTCCCACAAGGCTCCTTTTTTGTATGTGTAGTGCTTTCCCTATTCCAGACACATTTTTATGTTTTTTAATTATAACATGGACAAAGGATAGCATTGACATAAACCCCAAATTTTAATAAATGACTTTCCTGAAAATGAGAGTAGCAGTGACTTTAAAAATGGTAAGAAAAGGAGCCGTGCGCAGTGGCTCACGCCTGTAATCCCAGCACTTTGGGAGGCTGAGGCGGGTGGATCACGAGGTCAGGAATTCAAGACCAGCCTGACTAACATGGTGAAACCCCATCTCTGCTAAAAATACAAAAATTAGCCGGGTGTAGTGGTGTGCGCCTATAATCCCAACTACTCAGGAGGCTAAGGAAGGAGAATTGCTTGAACCTGGGAGGCAGATGTTGCAGTGAGCCGAGATCGCACCACTGCACTCCAGCCTGGGTGACAGAGTGAAACTCTGTCTCAAAAAAAAAAAAGAAAGAAAAGAAAAAGAAGAGGAGAAAATGGGGAAGAAATAGAGAAGGCTGGCTTCATCCTCCTCATTTGCTAGGTAGGAGATCTGCAGTGCCTTCACAAGACTAGGGAGGCAGATGCATCCACTCAATATAGGGATAGAGTCTTTCAGCCATCAGCAGGAGATGTTCAGGTAATTAACTTCCCCTCATAAAACCAAGGATCAGAACAAGAGCAGAGAAGCACTGTTTGAACTGTGAGGAAGCCATGGCAGCATGAGAGGGTCTTGTAGACAGAAAGCTTTCAGAGGTGGGAGCCGTAACAAGCCAAGGCCTGAAGCAGACACACAACTTCCACAGGAAGCATTCTACCATCTTTCATGTTGAGACACCCTGTCTAGTCTTACCAGTGGCTCTGGTGGAAGAGCTTCTACTTTCCTCTGGCTGGACTTCATCTTCTGAATGGGTTAAGGAGACTGCCAGAGGTCTAAACTTCTGGGGATTCAGTTGTTACAGAGAAGTCCCTATGGTATGGAGGCCCTAGGTTGTTCCTCATGGGCGCTCTCTCTGTCTAGGGCTCCAGCCCCAAGACCCTTGGTGTACAGACAGATTGCCCTTGTATTCCATCTTGCAGGCCTGCCCTGGCTCCCATTCCTAGCCCATTTGTTCACTGTGTCTCAGGGGGCGAGGCTCCGCCTGTGTGGCTGGGTAGCCTATCAGCACCTGGCTGGTGGACAGCACTATAGCTGTCCTATGACTAAAGGTTGCTCTTCTGACCTTTCTTAGCCACTCCACTAATAAAGGGTTATTTTTGTGTTGGTTTGGTTTGTATGTTTAGCTGATTTCATGATAAAGGAACTTTGTAATCAAACACTTTTTCAGCTAGATTCTAAGCAATTTTAAATATTATGTAAGAGATCAAATAACTATCAGTGTAAGATGCAGACTACAGACTGAAAAATGAGAAGGTTAGGATGATGACTGTGTGTTTTGATGGAAGCAGTGCAGGACTTCCCAGGAGACTGGGCTTCTGGCCCTGCCTTGACATTCATAGGTAAATGACCCTTGGGCAAGTCATTTGGCTTTTCTAAGTCACTGTTTTCTTTACTCATATCTACGAATTTCTGATTAAGACAACTTTTCTTCTCCTTTGACAAGTAAGTCTTGTAGACAGAATCATTCCCACATTTGTATGTAATATTGATTCCCCTATTCTCTTGTAGTTAAAGCTTCAAATCTCTAATTCATCTTTTTTGTAGGAAGGATTAGATTGATTTATTGAAAATTCTGAGCTATAGAATACTGTAGAAGAAGCCTGGGCTTTCTGCTTAAAGTTCATATATACAGAAAATCTAGGCTTGTGGATGACAAAGCGTTTTCTGTACCTCATTGCTTTTATTAAAATACCCAACTTATTATAGTGTCTCTTATTTAGCAGTTGGTTAAATATTCCTGGAGTTAATGAGTAAGAATCTTCTATCTTGTAACAAATAGATGTAGAGCTTTGGTAAGAAGTACACATATTACTTGTTTGAGTGTTTCTCAAGTGATTCAGAATGCTTTACTTACATTCGCTCTTAAGGCAAAATACTTCCATTATTCTTACAGTTCATTGTCTTAGGAAACTTGTTGCAGAAGTTTCTAATTGTCCCCATATACATGTGTTCATTCTCCTCTTCCTGCGTAGATATAAAATGTTTAAAGATACAGTCACCCAGAATAAAGACACCGTTGAGGGAGGTGTGGCCACGTGACTGAGTCCTGGTCCATGAAGTGAGCATAAATGACAGTGCTCCTTTTCCCATAATGCTGTTTAGAGTTGCGCCTTCCCCTTCTACTTTTCCCCTCTCCCACAGTTGGAATACCATATGGACAAGGGCTGCACCGTAGGGATTGAATGGGCAAAAAAGCTGAAAGGAACTTAGGTCCCTAGCACCTGTGTGGAGCCCAATCCCCATAACATTTATAGAATTAAATTTCATGACACTCTTATTGCACATAACACAAATTCCCAACTACTGGCATGTGGCTTTGTGAGAGCTGTTTCACCATAATCTGTTGAGACTTATTTGTGGAATCATGATGTCCCGTGACATTTGAAAATGGAAGAGAATCCTGGAATATGGGAGCAACACTGACGCAGAACACAGTGTTCACTTTGGAAGCAGTCATGATCTCTTCTTGCTGTGGAAGCCTCAACAGTTTGCCTGTTCCCTCCATTGTACTCCTCTCTGAATTCTCTCTCAGGCCTAGATGCTGGGCTCTGTGTGGGTTGCTGTATGGTATAGAAGAGGATGAGATTGGCGGGGACGGCTCTTGTTCAGGTCCATCAAGACTGTCGCTGTCCTCTATACCTTGAGCCAGCTCTACTGTGCATTTATAGAAAAGAGAGACCAGCACACAGAAAGAGAGAAAGCAGCTGTTTTTAGGGGGAGGAGAGAAGATGGTGGAGCTTACAAGAGACTGATGTTTGCAAGTGGATATGGTATAAAGTAGTAGTTCTCAAAGCACGGTGCCTAGACAGCAGCATCAGGAGCCTGTGAATTTGTTAGAAGCACACATCCTGAGGCTTCACCCAAGACCAGGGGATAAGATTTGGCAATCTGTGCTTAAAAAAGCGTTTGCCTTGCTCACTTCTGAGAACCAGTGGTCTAAAGAGTGTTGGGAAGCCTGACAGTGGTAGTTACAAGGGTGTACCCTGATGGGAGTCCTGGGATCAAAAAGACTTGAACTAGAAGTAAGGGACCAGGTGAGGGAGCATTCCCTTCAGAGAGAGTTGTTAAAATAAGCCGGGGTTCTCATGATGCTGCTGAAAGGAGTGTAAGTACTGTACCTCCTGTGTTTGGGACCAAGGGTGTATCTAGCCTTAGGCTTCCATTCCAGCACATCCCGTCAGCCAGATGTGCAAAAGTTCCTCCGTATACACACTGTACTGCTTAAATTGCTGGTATTTTGAAATAGAAAAAGGTGCTTATAAACCCATACTGACTGTGATGAACAGGGAGTACTTTTTCCACCTACCTCTGCTTGGGAGGCTGAACCCCATCTTGCCCTGGAAGATGGCTTTGAGCCAGAAGCCAAGCCCTTTAATGGCTATGAAGGGGGGAAAAAGTATGATTTCCATGTAAGGGCTACCAAGAATATAAGTACCTATTTAATAAATTATTTGTTGAAATGCCTTTTCTATTTTGGTAGTTGAAGTTTGAAAAATGTTTGGAGTACTATAATTATCATTTCTGGGAAAAAAATACACATTGCAGTATTTTTGTTTTTGCTACAGGTCAAGTTGTAGTTCAGGATGGAAAGTAAACACATCCCTTTGCTCAGCTGCAGCTCACATATTTGTAGTCTCTGGGTGCCCTCTTGGCAGTCGTGGTGGATACCCAAAGGACACAAACAGGGCATAGAAACGCGGGGCTCCATCAGGGGCTTGCCCCAGTGCAAGTCTGATTAGGAAGTTTGCTGGAGCCGAAGGAATGGCCCAGAAGGGTGGAGATGCCTTCACAGAAGGAGTCCTAGGACCAGAATGAGGCTGTTCTCAGAGGCATGCCCACCTCTGGGAGGGGTCTGCAGAAGCACTTTCTCACCAGGGAGAGCCTTTATGGTATGGGTCTAAACACTGGGAGATCTTTGTTTGTTTTTGGAGGCACTCCTTACCATTCTATGCCATCTTGTCAATTTGACAACTTTGTAAACAGGGCCCATCCACACATCTTGAATGTAGAAATAGCTGAGAACAGTCTCCAGGAGAAATTACCTATATAAGGCTGCTTCCTTCCTTCTCTCCAGAGTGGAGACGATTTATAAAGAGAAAGTATTGGAAGCTGACAGAGAAACAGCACTTGAGAGTAAAACTTTTGGCATGTAAGAGGACTGTGTGTGTGTGTACCCATGCCTATGAGTGTGTGTCTGTGTTTCAGAATCAACTTTACCTTTCTGAGACATAGCAAGCATGGAGTGATTACATCTGTGCCTTGGGACATCGCGTTAGGTGTTAGGTTTAAAACAAACTGAGGAGAAAACATAAGAACCTGTGAGTACTCTGTGTGTGTGTATATGTATATACACATATATGTATGAAATGTTTTTATACTTACACACTTTATATTTTACATAATATGAAAAAGTATATATTCTTTTACTCTCCAAGGCAGTCTTGTAGAATAAATGTCTTTATGCCCTGTACACTCTATTCAGCACCCTCTTTTTGTTCTTGCTATATCATTTTAATTACATAAGTAAAGTCACTTTCAGAAATCTCAGATCAACACACGATATTCTTTGAAGTCTTTCTAAAAACATCTGAAATCCATATGCCACCTCTGGGACTCGGGAATTTTTTGACAATATTACGATAATACCCTTGGTTTATTGTTCCTTGTCTTTAAAATCACGTAAGATCACACTTTCTACTACACTACTAAAAACTCTATAGAGTGTTGACAAATACTGGAGGTTTAAAGGAACATGACTGGCTGCTCCTTTAATTCAGCAAGCGTTTGTCGGTCTTCCTTGAATGAGCAGGAACTGAGCATCCTTGGAACCTGACTGCATAGGAAGGGCTCTCAGAACATCTGGTTGGAATATGTTCATAGGAGACACCCACAAGGGCCAGCCCCTCATTTTACAGATGAACACCAGACCCTTCACTCTGACATATTTAAAATCTGACATTTTATTATGTACTTTTTTCAAATTGCTGTCATTGTTGCACAAAGGAAGAACCAAGTTACCGTGTCCCTTCCTCAGTGGAGGAAAAGTTGATAGAGGTTTTATTTGTTGTTCTAAAATGGATGCCACCTTCCGGTAAACATTACTTGGGGAGTTCTTAATTTCTAATGTTTATGCCTCTGTGACATTTTCAAGCTGTTATAAAGAGTCTTCTTAAAATGTTGCTGAGCTGGCTATACAAATTTAGTTCATTTAATTTACCTCATTAGTCATTTGTCCCATTCTCTAATAATTTTGATTCCTTTTTTGTGGGTCAGTGTTTATGGCAAAATGTGTTCGGTGGGGGAGGTATTCAGAGAAGACTGTAGTTTATTAGGTAAAATTAAACGTTTTGAAACCAGTCTTTAGTTCTTTGTACATTTATCTAAACCATCCTTAGGCCTTATTTTATTGCCAGATTTTTAAAAAAATAAATTCATTGTTACATTTTGAAATTTGTTATGGTGTGTGAATATATAAATATAATTATTTGAATGGCAATTTTTTCTGGGAGTAGGTTGGATATATTTTTCTGGTGTGAATTAACAGATGAAATAAAATGTCTCTGAACTCAGTAAATATTTGAAAACTGTTTTAAAATTCAGTAGGATGCAAACAGGCCACATTTGGCATCCGGCTCTCCCACTCCCCAGTCCTTCCACCCCACTACCTCCCATAAAAGGCAAATCCTGGAAGCCACTCTGAACTTTTTTCCTTCCTCCCAGGAAGCTCTGACTTTTCCAGGAAGATTCCAGGGAACACTAGTTGGATCCGATTTCCTAAGAATTAAAGCAGCTTTAAATCTCCTGGGAGTGTAGAGGATGAAGGGGTTGAGGGTCCCTAGAACAATAGGTCAGCATTGACTGCAGATTGGAGTCAGCTGGGGAACTGTAAAAAAAAATATATACCGATACCAGGGTACCACTTCCAGTAATTCTGTTTAATTGGAATTGGTCTGGGGTGCACTCTGAGCTTTTGGATTTTTAATCTTCTCCTAGGGTTTTTAATGGGCAGCCGAGGTTGACAGTCATTATTCTGGCACTAAATTTTCAAACTATAGTATGCATGAGAATCACCTCTAGGGTTTGTTCAAACCCAGATTACCGAGCCCCACTCCCAGCATTTCTGATTCTGTAGGTCTGGTGGGCCTTAGAATTTGCACTTCTAGCGAGCTCCTTAGGAGATGCCGATGCTGCTGGTGCAAGGATCATTGTTTGAGAACCATCACTTTAGAGCAGTTCATCTCAAACTTTACTGTGCATCTTGCTAAAATGCAGATTCTGATTCAGTAGGACTGGAGTGAGGTCTAAGTTTCTGCATTTCCAGCAAGCTCCCAAGCTCCCAGGTGTTGCTGAGGCTACTGGTCTAGGGGCCACACTTTAAGTAACAAATCTCTAATCTAAAGCATCATTATGAATGCAATTCCATAACATCGTTTGGGAAGAAAAGATGTGTGGTTCAGGAGATTCCTAGAGGCACGGTGGGGCCGATATATGCCTTAGACCTGGTGGCAGGCAGAGATCTGGAGGGCTCAGTGCTTCTTTGGCACTTGGCCAGCTGTGGCTTGCCAGGGTGTTGGAACATGCCCTTGGCGAAGCTGTACTGTCAATAGGGAGCTTCATTGTAAAGATTCTCTGTTTGCTTGGAGTAAGGCAGTGGTTCTCAGGCCCAATTGCACAATAGAATCACCCTGGGAGCTATTTAAACAAGTACTAATGCCCAGGCTCCTCCCCCAGAATTTCTGATTTAATTGGTTTGAGGTGGGATCCAGACAGTGGTATTTTTAAAATCTTTGTGAGTGATTTTAATGCACAGCCAGGGTTGAGAACCACTGAATTAAGAAATCACGTTACAGTCTTACAGATCACTTTTTTCCCTTTATATTTGGCTAAGTTATACTGCACAGTGATGCAAACTAGCTTTATTAGGTAGTCAAAAACAATTTAATATGGCATTTTTGACAAACCACCAAGAAAAGACTCTGCAAAGATTCCGTCGCTGTTAAATCCTAAATTCGGAGTCTTAAGATAGTGCTGGGAAAGTGCAGTGGGTGTTTCTGAACGAGCTTGAAATATGAAATATTTCTGGGACTGTATCAACAAGTCTAATTTTTTCCCCTTGGGGTTATGATTGTGCGGAACAAGTCTTCACAGCAAAGCTTGCCAAAAAAGGTTATGATAAAATCATGGAATGTGTATGAAAAGAATTCACAGTGTAACTTTAAAGGAGTCAGTCTCTAAATTTAAAAACTTAGGGATGACATACGTATTACATTTGTAATAAAAGTTTTAAGAACAAAGTAATGCTGAATATAAGAAAGTTCCTCCTTTTATCACATGATATCTCTAAGGCCAAGGAACAAGTGAAATAGAACAGCCAGCAAGAAAGTAATGAGGATACGCTAAAGACACTGAACCTCTTTATCTTTGCAAATTAATTTTGTCCTCTGTATTTAAGCAAAAATGTAGCTATTGACTAAATATACAGATACCAGCAACGCCGAGTAGGAAAGTTGAAGCTCTTCTTGCTTTTGGCATTATGGACGACTAGTGGGAAAATCATGGGCTTTGGCAGTTCTGCCACTTGCTTTGTGACCTTGGCCAAGTTTCTTATCCTCTCTGGGTCTCTCTCTTCATCTGTCAAGTAGACATGAAGATATAATCTCTTCTTCACACAGGAGTACAAAGGCGTGTGAGAATGAGTAGAGGCGTGCCCCACACGTAGGAGATGCTCAATTAGTAGAGATTTCTTTCATTTCTCCAGCATGACCATGAGAATTTAATGCTTAATAAGAAGCATTATCCATCAAAACATTTTTCTTGTTGAGTCTTTATTGGTATTTTCTGCCTATTAATTGTATCAGTTTAGATTTCTTATTAATAATCATGAAGTCTGTTTTTCCACTTGAAGAGTAGGCCCTTTCTTCTTGCTTTAGAGCCATCATTTTTGCCATTCCCTTTGTCTGGAACACTCTTGCTTTGTGTTTTGTGTGCTTTCTCCCTTCTTTCATGCAAGCCTGTGTTGCGATGCCATGTCAGAGATACCTTCCTTCACTCGCCTGGTGACACATGGCACCCGTATCACTGAATATGCTGCAAAGCCTTTATCATAACCTGGCATGGTGCTGTGTAGCTTTTTATTGTCTGTCTTCTCCAGAATTGTAATTCTCAAGGTTGGTCTCCCTGTGCTACTGAGTGACCAAGGGCCCCCGTGATACTCTAGGCTGATACCACGGCTACTCTAGGGCTTTAGATTATAAAAGACATCAGAGGGAGGTGTCGGAAAAAACAGTGACCCCAGACTCTTCTCTTGACTTTGTGTTCTACCTACTAAATTTCCGCTATCAAATATAATCCAAATTTGGGGTCCTTTGAATTCCCCGAAGTAGCTTGAACCGCCCAAGGATTGTCTCAGGATGGCTGTGTATCTCACTGTGTGTGTGTGTGTGTGTGAGTGAGAGAGAGACAGAGAGAGAGAATGAAGAACGAGAAGAGATTTCAAAATAGAAGTTTTCAGTGTCAGATGTATGGGACTCTACAAACTTTAAATAGAAATAATGGTAATCTGCCAATGTAATTTTTATCTTCTTTTTTTTTCCTCTTACTACCAGTAGTTTTTCATTTGTCTTTGTGTTTTATTTAAATTTGCTTTTAAGCAGAAGCTCTTGCATGCATTTGCTTCTCGTAGATCATGATTGTATTAGGTTGGTGCAAAAGTAATCGCAGTTTTTGTCATTACTTTCAATGGCAAAAACAGCGATTGCTTTTGCACCAACCTATACTTCCTTGACATATGGACCTGAAGAGGGCCTAAAAATGGCCAAGATCCAGTCATACACATTAAAGTGACCAGGATTGATAGAAACTTTCCAGGGTTATGGTAAAATCATTTTATATTGGGTGAGCCTGTCAATATTTTAATACTAACTTCTTAAAGATTATTAAGATGATGAAACCAGGTTATTTTTCCATAGTTACTTCTGTTGCAAGTGATATTGTCACTTTGGTCTTTCTATATCTGGGCAGGCTTTTTTTTTTTTTAATGTCTGTTGCACTGTTATCAGTGTAATCAGACATAGAAGTTATTTTAAGTATTATATATAGATCTGTTAGACACCATAGGGAAAGAGTTAGGAGAGACTTCAAATAGATAAAATTAAAAATTCAGAAGTAATGTCAGAAAAACTTTCTAATTGATGGAGTGGCTGTAGTTTTATCCTTATTTTCTCCATGGAAAAAACATAGAATAGAGACAGAGAAGAATAAATAAAATCTGATGGGAGAATTTATAGAAAAGGCTGAAAAAAAAGGTTTCAGAAAAACAATTCCTGATGTTATGGTAATTGTACTACATTTAAGTGACAAGCTGATGACTAGTTCGGGGCAGAGGAAGATGCAGGGTGAGTAGGGATTCTAGATAATTTATTGAAAGGTGAATAGAGGGTTGAAAGAAGAGAAAAAGGAATGTTAATTACAAAATAAGAAAGATGGAGACTTTTGAAATCTAAATTATTTGAAAGCATAACTTCACAATTTGAAGGCTTGAATCTTATGCCTGCTAGTCATGAAGTTAAAAACATAGCTTTGAAAAATTAAAGTAAGTGCTGGAAATTTGAAGAGAAGTTACTGGCTCGTAGTAGATTTTACAGATCCCTCTTGGAAATCAGGTAAAAAATGGGAGGTATAGGTAATCAGAATGTCATAATTAAGCTTGATTTAATAGATAACGCAAGATTATATGTAATAAACAGAGGATATATGTTCTTTTCAAATACCCATCTATTTTAAAATTGGTTATGAGACCACACATACATACACACACGTGCTAAAAACCAAAAACATGCAAAACTCAAGAAGTTAACAAAAGTAGAGAATTGTACAGCCTACATTCCATTCTCTGGCAACCAGGCAGTAAGACTATAAATTAAAAAAGAAAGCTCCCCAAAATGTAGCTATGCAGAAATTTAATATCACTCTTCTAAAAAGTCTTTAAAAAGGAAACATATAAATTACTTAGCAACAAGTCACACTGAAAGCAATACATTATCAAAAATCAGAATATAACCAAAGCAATATTTGATTGAAATATTCAAAGCATAATTAAAATTGTTTGTATAATAACTCTTTAAGAAATGTGTTTGTTATAAGACAACCAAATAGAAATGAACCAAGCATTAATCTTAAAACACTAGAGGAGGCTGGGCACGGTGGCGCACGCCTGTCATCCCAGCACTTTGGGAGGCCGAGGCGGGCAGATCACGAGGTCAGGAGATCGAGACCATCCTGGCTAACACGGTGAAACCGTATCTGTACTAAAAATACAAAAAATTAGCCGGGCGAGGTGGTGGGCGCCTGTAGTCCCAGCTACTCCGGAGGCTGAGGCAGGAGAATGGCGTGAACCGGGGAGGCAGAGCTTGCAGTGAACCAAGATTGCACCACTGTACTCCAGCCTGGGTGACAGAGCGAGACTCCATCTCAAAAAAAAAAAGAGTTAGTGTAACTTTGAAACTAAAATTGGATAAGGCCAACATAAAAAGAGAGAGAACTAAAGATGAACATTACTCAAGTTTATAAATTTAAAAATCTTAAAATGTTAGGAAGTCAAATTCAACAGGATCTTTAAAAACAGTTTATTCTTAGAACACAAGGATGATTTAAAATCCAACCGATTATATTAATAAAGAGAAAGCCAGTGTGATTGATCATCTTGAAAAGTTGAAAAGCATTTAATAAGATTTAACCTGCATTTTTAACATTCTTACATCCCTTCTAGCCGTCAAACTCTGATCGACTTACACTTAAGACTGTGTCTTTGGTAGCCTACCCTATTCCACTTTTATTACAAAGGCAGCTCTTAAGACATAAATCCATCTCTTCAGGCTCGAACTGCAAAACACACGTCGAGAGGTGACAATGTTGGGACTGTCAAAAAGAACTTAAAGAGTGGGATAACCAGCCGGGCGCGGTGGCTCACTCCTGTAATCCCAGCACTTTGGGAGGCTGAGGCGGGTGGATCACAACATCAGAAGATCGAGACCAGCCCGGCCAACATGGTGAAACCCCATCTCTACTAAAAATACAAAAATTAGCTGGATGTGGTGGCACGCACCCGTAGTCCCAGCTACTCAGGAGGCTGGGACAGAAAAATTGCTTGAACCCAGGAGGTGGAGGTTGCAGTGAGCTGAGATTGTGCCACTGTACTCCAGCCTGGCAACAGAGCAAGACTCCATCTCAAAAAAAAAAAACAAAAAAAAAGAGTGGGATAACCAGTAAGATCTAATATGTTGGGTTTTAATGGAGATGTTTAATTGAAGCATATGTTTCAAAATTCTGATTATTACATACTAAATATTTTGTAAAATAAAAATGTAATAGAATATGATAAGAATATATTAATGACAGCAAATTAACAAGAGTAGGAATTAAGTGCTATTTGCAATCAAAGTCACAAAGCTTTTCTTAATTATAAAACAATGTGTTTGCCAGATAAGCAGTCTACCAAATGCAGTTTACAAACTCCAACTTAATCTGCATACATTCAAGATTCGCCTTCTCCTCCTCACCTCTTTGATTTATTCTCCTCCACACTGATGGGGCTCTGAGAGTGGAATTCCTTATTAGTTAATCATGTTCTCTTCTCACGGCAGTTCCTTGGGGGGTTATACTATGAAAGTGGGCTAGATGGATTCTCTGAGACTCCTGTTTGACCCAAGCACATGTGGCGTATAGGCTGTAGCTCCCATGAGACATGCAGTGAGATAAGACTGGTAAGAGGGAGCAGGGATGTAGCTAACCCGGTAGCTTTAACAAAAACCACATTTCTGAAAGGGAAGGAGCTGTGCCCAGAGAAATCAGCTGATGACTCAGGATCACAGTAGTGATTCCTGAGACAGGAGTCATATTATTACAGAGGAACATAGCTGGAACTGGATGGACCAAGTTTCACATCACCACATCACCATTTACTAGCTGTGTGACCTTGGGCAAATAAATCTGAATCTCAGTTTCATCATCTGTAAAATGGAGCAAATAATAACTAACCTTCTGGGGTTATTGTGACATGAGCACATGGCATGTGTGTTAATGAAGTCTGTTCTTAGGACAGAGGCTGTTTTATTTTCCATTCTGCTTTAAGCTGCTTATTGGATATTGGCATGTGGGTGATAGCCACAGGGAGGGTAGAGGCCTGCAAATGAATGTTTCCCCTGAGTGAGGCACAGGTGCCATGAAGTGGTATTCTATCCAACAGGAAAATTAAGTGTAGTCATAAGGTAGGTGGCAGAAGGAAGGCAGCATTAAGACTCAACCCATCTCATCTCGTTCTCCAACACACCCGGTACCCAGCTGTGGTAAACAGTGCTAGTATTTGTCTTCCTCCATATTCTTTCTTGCCAAGTGCCTTTCCAACCTCCTCCCACGTCTCCTTCCTCCCCAGATATTGTGTGCCTTCCTGTTGTTGCCCAGGTTCCCAAAGTCCTATCTTTCTAAGAAGGGACCTGTTTTTCTGAATTATTCTCTTCCTCTTTCTATATAATCAAATCTCTAATTTGTCCCATAGTGAACGGTACAGTCTTGAAAATGGCATAAGGGGTTCTAAATCGCCAGGTACCCCTGCTGCTCATCCAACCTCATCTCCTGTTTGTCCTCTCACTGTGCCTCAGCCACACTGACGTTCTTACTCTTCCTGGGACACACAAGCCTGCGTCAGCAGTTCCTTCTGCTGGGATGCTCTTCTCCAAAGTATCTCCGTGGCTCGTCCCCTCACTCCTTCAAGTCTTTGTTCAGCCGTAAACTTCTCAATCATGCCCATCCATTCTCACCACATTGTAACTGCTACCCACTTCTTCTAAGCATTCCAATTCCCTCTTACTCTGTTCTTGTTTTCCCCTCATAGCACATATCACCCTTTACTACTATATAATTTGCTTCTTTATAATGTTTGTTACTTATGTTCTGTCATCCTCCACCACCATATCAACTAACAAGGTCAGGAACCTGTGTCTTTCCTCTTTACTGACATATCCCAAGCTGCTGAAGCAACAGGTGCTCAGTCAATGTTTCAGTGAATTTACTAGAACTATAAGTATGAAGAGTCTCCTATATTATGTCTTAGGTAGACAAGAAATAGATAAGGAAGAGGAAAGATACAGCAATCAAGGTAGAAAATGACTAGAGGAACAGGCATGGTTTTAAAAAGAGATCCACTGCTATGATATCAAGACCTGAGTGGACTGGAATGAGGTGACCTGGATTCTTGCTTTAAGTTTACCAATGACCTTAGCCAGGTCACTTAAGCTCTGGGGCCTCAGACGTTCTTTATCTACAAAATGAGAAAACTAAACTAGGTGACCTTTTGGGTCTTATCCTACTACCCAATTCTGTGTTTGGGTTTTACTTTAGGAAGACCAATTAACACTTACGGAAACATTGCCTGGTACTAACTGGCATCAATTTCACCTAATGTCTCCTGAACTCCCCATCTCCCACCAAAGGTCCTGGGCTGGGATGATGTCTTTTAGTCTATTTCCATCTTTTCCTCAAGGGCCTTATGTTCGTATAGGTCTCTTAAAACTCAACCCAAGAAGCTAAACTGTGGACTGGGGTTTCAGAAGCCAGGGCTTTGCTCCTCCATCGTAAAATCTGAGTAAACCCACATTGTTTTATTTTTCGCATCTCTAAAATTGAGATACAGCAATGGGTCGGCAGATAATATTAGACAGAGGGGAATAAGGTGCATTTGATGGAGCTCTGCTAGAAATAGAAGCACATCAGGTGCCATTTCAGGAAATTACACGGGAATTTGGCTCATTATCCATCTTGCTAAGCTGCCACATCGTAAAGTCACAGACTATTAATAGAATACCATTGATAACTCAGAGTGTGCAGGTAGAGTTCCTCCATGTTGATTGTCGTACACATTGTCTCCAGTTTCTGAAGTAGCCATGATTTGTTTGTGTTTTAAGGTACACTGTTTTCAAAGAACAGCCTTTAAAGCTCTTTTGAATTCAAAGATCTTTCAGTTACTCAAGGAATGGGTCCAGTTTTCAGATTCTCCACGCCATGGGTGCATCTTCCCTTCAGCTTTCTTCATTTTGGTCATTGCTCCAGATGTTCATTGTTTAACACAAGTGGGTAGGGAGACGGAGAAGAAGGGAATTTCAGGCTCATATTTTGGTGTCATGGGCAGATCTTGGGTGAGGTTTTCATTGTTAGTTAAACTAAGTTTGAAGGTTTACACTGAATTTCTTTCCCTACCGTCCTCTTTGGCTACTTAAATAGATCATCAGGACTGTTTGTTCTTCTGTTGAAAGTGCCCCACACTGCCCTGGGCATAAGCTAAATTCTTTCTCTCCCTTTTAGAAGAGAAGCCAGATTGCTCCAAGGCCCGCTGTGAAGTCCAGTTCTCTCCACGTTGTCCTGAAGATTCTGTTCTGATCGAGGGTTATGCTCCTCCTGGGGAGTGCTGTCCCTTACCCAGCCGCTGCGTGTGCAACCCCGCAGGCTGTCTGCGCAAAGTCTGCCAGCCGGGAAACCTGAACATACTAGTGTCAAAAGCCTCAGGGAAGCCGGGAGAGTGCTGTGACCTCTATGAGTGCAAACCAGGTATGCACGAGCTCTGTCTCAGCAGCCTTGTTCCTTTGCATCAGAGGGTAGCAGATCCCTCCTCAGCCACCCCTGGCCTCTCCTTTCACACGAAGATGGGCCTTCTCACCGGTGTCCTGTGAATCTGCCACTTTGGGCTAATGGCAGCTTGACTTCTGGCCTTCTAGTCAGAGAACCAGAGTGATCATCCACTGGTACATAAGCGCCTTCGGAGAGCGAGCGTGTCTTTTCCTCTTTTCTTCTTTTTTTCCTTCAAAGTATGCTTGACTGGGGAGGTAGGGTTAAAATTTATGGTACTATGGCAATCTGCTTCATTTCCCCAGAGAAGGTCAGAGACCTTATTTGCAGCTATATCTGCCACTTTGAATTATTACATTTAAAAACAATCATCATACGTAAAACAGAAAGTTATTTTTAGATGAATACATGCATCAAAACGCCAGAAGTTTCATAATGCAACACTCAGCCCCAATCTTTCTCTTTGCCAATTCCCCCGCATCTGCCCTCTTTACTTTATAGCATGTGCCAAGTCATCTTTGACTGTTTACTCACCCTCTTTGCCAACATTTGATGTACTGTTGTATCCCAGCTGTTTCTTGCTTTATATTATTTCTAACATCCTTGCTCTTGTGGCAGCATTTCCGATGTGGTCTGTGAACACTTCTGAGTTATAGCGATTTCCTCTTTGCAAGTTTCTAATCATCGGCCAGTTGTTTTTTTGTTTGGGTTTTTCTTTTTCTTTCTTTCTTTTTTTTTTTTAACTGCTAGATAAACGCTCCAAGCAAAGTGATCCTTTGTCCGTCTCTTGAACTATTCTATCAATCAGAAATGCCTCTGGCTAACTGTCACTATCCATGTAACCACTGCTGGTTTAATTCTTTCTCTGTCTTCATTGTAGCTCTTAAATATCTCATCCCCACCTCTTTCCTTACACAGAAAATTTGAGGAATATTGCAGTTCTATAGCATTAACTGGAGTAACATGTCGACACTAGGACTGGGTTTGTGGAAGCAAGGAGACTTTGGACATTTGTCAAGAGCTAGTATTTCATTTAGGGACTCCAAAAGCAAGTAAATATAACAATAAACGGTGCCTCTCTGTTTGCCCCTTTCAGTTTTCGGCGTGGACTGCAGGACTGTGGAATGCCCTCCTGTTCAGCAGACCGCGTGTCCCCCGGACAGCTATGAAACTCAAGTCAGACTAACTGCAGATGGTTGCTGTACTTTGCCAACAAGGTTAGTTTGCCATTAGTTTGTCAAGTTTTCTCCTCATTTGTTAGCATCATCTAAGGTACATTTTGAGCATGCAGTTTGTTTTCCCATGAGAAACCTAGTCCTTTCCTGTTTCTCTGGAAGAAATCACTGAACTGTTTGCATTACTTGGTATTTATATGTATCTTTCCTCAGATCAAAACCAGGTGTCATCAGGTTAAGTCGTTAAACCTTATAGATTCTTTCTGTAAGGGTGCCTGTACACTTTTGAGGGCTGGGACCTATATAAGCAAATATGCCCCTCTGTATATAGATAGGGAGGCAGGCAGTGAGGTGTCTATCAAGAGTAGACACATCATTTGATCCTCTGCAGTGAATCTTGTAGGTGCTTAAACAACATGTTCAATGTGATGAAACATTGGGACCCTTGATGTTTGGAATCACACATCTACCCAGACCCATTTCTTGCTGAGGTCAAGAGGAGTCTTAATTCTTACAATGCTTTCTGGAATAACAAACACATCTCTCTTTGGCTTGACTGCGGGGAAGAGCCACTGTCATTTTAACCCTAGTAGCAGGGCATGCACTTAGCCCCCTAGAACTAGTTTTTCTCTAGAACATGAGGATCTCCGGGTCCTGTCCTTTTTAGTCTACAAAGCACCACCATAGAGCTGTCCCTCCTTCGTACTTGGCTTTGGGGAAGACTGTTCTTGGAAATGTAGGGTTTACAGTCTGTTTTCCCCCGACTACTCACCCCTCTTCTCTGCCATGACCTCCCTTCCATCTTTTGCAGGTCAACAAGCCATCTTTATGACTAAGTCATTTCATGTTTTTCAGCTTTCGTTCTGCGTTTAATAGGATGAGTTAAAACTGTGCCTTATTTAACTCAATTTCCAACCTCTTCTTCCTCAGTCCCAGTGCTAGGCATTTAGCTTCTGGGTTTGTTGCATGAGTACCTGTGATTATGCAAATGGTTGGATAAGATAGGAGTAGATGTGGTCCATAGGTAAGGTAAGTATCAGTTATCTGTCCGTAATTGAAGAGACATCCAGAATTTGTTCTGATAATTACTTTTTCCTTCTTTCTTCTCATAAAATAAGTTAAATCCTTGGCATCTCCTAGCCTTTGTTCTGTCAAACCTAGTATTCTCTAAGACATATCCTTTATACTGTATTATAAAACAGATGCAAAGATTTTTGTGAAGATAACATACATTGGTGCAGCCACCTTCCTATGACATTAGAATATGATAATTTATGTGCAGATGCTTAGGAAGGGGTGAAATATCTTGCAAACATAAGGTATTACTAATCAGTAAAGGAGATAAATGGAGCATCGCTAACAGTAACAGATGTCCCTTCAGGGTCTTCCTGAAAAGGAAGGTGGTACATTATATTGGAGAACCTAATTAATCAAAACTAAGCCGGTTGTTAACGAGGTAGTCCTTTAGTGAGGAAAATGGACAATTCTCAGTTCACTATTATAAATGCCACATAGAGCCATCTGCACATAGGAGGCACGGTCAGCTATTTTTTCAGTCACTCTAGGGGGTTGAAATGGGTAGAAGCTACAGGAAGGTATATTTAGTCTCAATTTAAGAAGAAACTTTCCCACAACTAGTGATGTTCTGTAATGAATTGGCTGCTTCCTGAGGCAGACAGAGCTCCTTGGAGCTGGATAGATTTCTTTCCGTCTGGATGGCCACCTGCCCGGAATGCTTACAAGAATTGTATTAGGTTGGAAAGGAGGTTGAACTAGCTGCCTTCCATTTTATCCTCAAGCTTCTGTGAGTCTAGAAAATAAAACTTGAAGATGATTATTACTGTGTTGACATAATTTTGACTTCAGCATTCAAAAATGAAGAATGGCCAGAGTTAAATTTGCCTCTAATGAAGACATTGAAAACATAGAGAAGGAAGTCATTCAACATCCCACTGTAAATTATTTGCAGAGAAGGGATAGGTTCTCACAGCTCTTTAGTTTCCTGTATGTCAGATCATCAGTGACCCATACTCATCCCCTGCTCATTTGTTCGCTTTGAACAGGGTCTCCTCCTCCAGCTCTCTCACGAGTCCTGTGCCTTTGCAGTTGCCACTACCTCTTCCCGGACTCCCTTCTGCATACATATAGGCAGCTTCTACCTCTCCTTCAAGACTGCATTTCCTGCTCTTTGAAGTGTTGTCACTCTTCGGCCCCTGAAGATGACTTAAGTGTCCCTCTCTGCTCCCTTGTCATCCATCCCCTGTGTATCTTTTTATCATAGCACTTTTCATAACACATTGAACATACTGATGTTTTTTTGTCTGTCTCTCCTGTCCTGTGTGATTGTCAAGGAAAGGGAGTATTTTGTAGCCTCTTGTACCTAAATATAATGTGTCAGCCCACATCTGTTGGTGAATGAATGGATGAACAAACAGGCCCTCTCTTAGCCAAGATGATTTATATGTTGAAGAAAAGAAAAAGAATGAATATTTTTAGTTTCTAGTTACCTTCCTGCCATTGGGTTGTAATACTACTCCCTGTCTCATTTTCAAATCCTTGCACTTTTCCCCCAGTCCCCACTTTATGGTGCGGTACTCCTCAATCCTGTAGAAACCCTCCATTCCAAGCACAGCAGTCATCTCTCACAGCATGGGATGCCTTTCACTCTCCATTCCATCTCTTTTCATATTGCTCATCCAGCAGGACTCTAATTAATTTCTCCTCTGTCCACGTGGTCTTCATGCTTCAACCAACAGGTCCCACTGCCTAGAAACTTCCCACATAATCCTTTCCTATGCTGTCAGTTAATTATCGACTTTCATACATTGTTACTGAATTGTCGAATGCGTGAAGTCTTGTCTTATCAGCTATACGATGTTCCTAAAGGTCAGGAATTGTGTCATCTTTTCTTTTCCTCTGTATGCATTAGTGCTGAATGAGTCGGTAAATGCAGAATATACTCAAGCTGTGGCTTAGACCCATTCAGCCTAGTTTAGCATATTCAGTGGATTCCTGCTTACTAAGGAGGGTGATGGGATGATAGGTTGTACATTGATTAGAGAATAACAACCCAAATAATCATGTGAAAATGGAAAAAAAAAAGCCTAACATGTAATAATAATGGTAGTATTTTAAGAGAAAAACTACGTAACTTTATTCTTGTGTGTGAGCCATGTCAAATGTCCACTCTTTAAGAGCATATTTAGGCATAAAGAAGAAGATTATAGAACATATAAGATCCTATTATGATTATTTGACTTTTACCAGCATACTTATAAGAGCATTGTTAAGAAATTAGAGCCATTTGAGAGCAAAGCTGATTATGTGGAGAAATCAGGGGAGAAAGCTATTTACATTTTAGGACATAATAAGGTAAAATATCTGAAACTTTAGCTGTAAAGAATTACATTCAGTGAAAGTAACAACTCCCTTTTTATAAGAATTTATTGCACTTTCATGGGCTAGAAAGTGGGTTTGTGGACTTTTCTCCCCTATCTTGAAGAATACATTCCTCCCTCCTTCATTCCCATCCAAATGGAATTGCCCTTCCCTATGAGACTATTTCACCCATTCGGGCCCTTAACTGCCCCATTTCTGTGTGAGCTTGATTTGTTAGTTTTCTCTGGAATTGTATGTTTTCAGTTGATTCATTCATCTATTCATCAAACATGAATTGAGTTCTTAAGAGTGACAGACACTATTCTCCGGATGTTCTTACTGTGCATGGGTTTCACTTTCCACTTCTATCCCTCACAAATACTGGTTTTCCCTTCTACCTGTGGCCTTTGTGAGTATAGGCTCTTCCTTATTTCCTTGCTGCCTTTCTGTCTTGTTTAATGGCCTTTCATTTTCACTTCTTTTGTGTCTTTTCTCTTGAACTTCATCCTGTTTAAACATCATTCTTGTGTGTGATGTAATTAATTTTTAACCATTATTTGATTCTTCCTTCCCTCAACTTGGCATAGATTTCCAGGCATCCCGCCGTTTCTTTTTATCCTTTTTTCTTCTGTTGGCATGAAGACATGATATGAGTTATATGGCAGTGCATTCTACCTTTCAGGAGAGGGTGGAGAGGGATAAGAATTAGTGGCTCTGGGACTTATACTGGGCCTAAACACTACACAGTGACAAAAAGGGAAAATGGGACTGTCTGTGAGGTTTAGGACACCTTGTGGTCCTTGAAAGTCCCTTTGTGAGTGTCTGCATGTGTGTGCATGTACAGATGCTGCTGTGCATAAGAGAATTTACAACAGAAACTTAAAAGACAGATACATTAATGCAAATTATTTCTTTGCAGGGAAGAAAAAAACCAAGATAGTCTTTAAGTGACATATAGATAACAATAGCAGTCACACCTTAAATGTGTAAAGTGCCTTGCTGTTTATAAAGCATTTTCCCTATTCATATCTTACCATCACTTTAATTCTATGAGGAATTTATAGGTATGAGAATGGAGATTGAGATAATAAGAGACTTGCAGAAAATCACAAATTTTCCTTGGTACAAGAGACAGAGCAGGTTCAAGGCTTCAACCCAGGTTTTTTAATTTTTTTTTTATTGAAAACCCTGTGCTCTTTCCACTGGAGCTTTTTTGATAACAATGTTTTGTTGTTTTTAAGTCCAAGAAATATATCGGGGAATATGAATTTATATCTCACCAACACATTTCTATCTGCATACCACATACGTGTTTCAGTTATTCACTGCTGTGTAACAACCGCCCCAAAAGAAGTAGCTGAAAATGACAAAGATTTATTCTTTGTCCTGATTCTGTGTGTTGACTGAGCAGTTCTTCTGTAGCCAGCTGGCAGGTTGACTGAGACTGGATGTCCCTCCCATGTTTGGAAACTCAGCTGGGATGGCTGGAAAGACCCCTCTCCCTACATGATGTCAGAAGCAGGAGAGGAAGTTGCAAAGCCTTTGGAGACCAAGAGTTGGAAGTTACAGAACACTTCTGCCATGTTCTGTTGGTCAAAGGAAGTCCCAGGTCAAGCCCTCATTCAAAGGTTTGGAAAGTAGGTTCCACTTCTTGATGAGATAAGCCACAAAGAATTTGTGGCCATTTTTAATCCACCCTAATCTACATTTAACCAAGATAGATGCCCTTTAGTTTTCATTTTCTGATTGCAGGAATTTGGTGGTGTGTTTCAGAAACGTGATTCTTTTCCAAAAACTCATGCCCTTCTGGCCCTGGAACTCTGGGTCTTCAGGTGAAATTCGGGCAGCATTATAGTTAAGCCCCCTGTGTGCCCAGCAGCTCTTTTTCTGCTTCTTTCTTCACTTGCCATTTGGCAGTCCACCCAGGAGCAGACACGTGATTTAAGAGCCTCTGAGCCACCGCTTCAGCTTTAATATCATTTAGCCAACCATTATTTTTAACCTTCCGCTTCTTGAAGAGTGCTGTGACCACCTAGGTTAAACTAGGTTTTCTCCCATCATACAAAAGGGAATGCTACTTTGGGATACCAGAAAATCTGCCTGATAAAACCGGGTCCATTTTTAAAACAAAACAAAGCTTGCAAAGATGTTGAATAGAGATTCTCCTCTGTAATGGTTGAGCTTACCTGAGAGAAATGGATTCACCAGAGGCAGATGCATTTGAAGGATGGATCCAGCCTGGGCTATACATCTGAGAGTCCATGTTCTCCTGGTGTCCACCAGCCCAGACCTCAGCCCAACTGGGCTATTTCTCAAGAAGATAGAGAGTTCTAAGACCACAGTGTTTTCTCTGCACTTCCTACTCCTTGCTCTCTCCAGTGTTTGGACCTAATTTTACAGACTCTTCACTTTGCCTCCGTAATTTTTCACCAGTGTTTCAGATACAGGCTTACACGGTAGACATTAACTAGTTAAAAATCTAGACAGTAATACCTCCACCTTACTCACTTTCACTGTAAGTCACGAGTTTTTTAAATACCCTACGCCTTTTGATAAGTAACTTTGTACCTTTTTATTATTGACAAGTCACCTATTTTAAATTTATTTTTATGAAATTTGTCCCAAACTTTTTGTTCTAAAAGTTCTGTTATCAATTTGTTTTATAAATATGCCGTTCTTAAAAGTTATTGAGAAAAGTCCAATCCAGCTATTTTAAGGTAGAAATAAATTAAGTCATTGTTTATAATGTCCAAAAACTTAAAATAGAGTTTCTTCTGGGTTGTGTGCATTTCAGAAAGCCAGATTCCCAAGCTCCCTCCTGGCTCCTGCCTCTCTCTGACCAAGGGCCTGATACTCTTCCAGAACCTATATCTGGAACATGTGTATCTCTTGTGTTCTGAGACACTAGACCAAAAATCCTATTTTATTTTTAAATCAATCTTCAGAAGTATTTTTTTGACTTGTTTTTTTTTTTTTCCTTAGCTTCAAGGTAATTAAAAATGTTAGATTATCTGTCAGCTAATATGTTGACTAATATGTGACTTCTGTTTTCACCAAAAAATGTAATAGAATATGTTGGACACATGAAATTCTAAGTACAATTTCACTAGAAATATTGACAAGCCAGAATCACAGAGCTCAACACAGGAGGCAGGCTGTATCACTCTCCTGTTTCATAGAGGGAGCATTGTGGAGCTGGAAGGGTCCTAGCCGGTGCACATCAGCGGAACAGGTCTGTCTGGCACTTACCACTGAGCTGCACTGTCCCTTGTGGCCCTGGGCTCACTCACCACCAGGCCCTCTCCAGTCCTGCCTCTCAGGAGCCCTAACATTCTGTGTCATGCACTTTGTTATTGTCTGTAAGCAGACACATACCTGTGAGTAAACCATTCCGTAGCTAAAGAATACTCCTCTGCACATCACCTGGTGCTGTTCAGAAAGGGCACGAATCATGTGTCCAGAGCTAGAATCCAGGCCCACTTCGGCATGAGTTTGGGTGAGGCTCTCACATTGTCTGGCTCGGTTTTCCAGTCGAAGAAAGGAGGGGAGGAAGGATTTGATTGTCTCAAAAGTAACTTCTACCTCTAAATTCTTTGACTTTCCAAAAGCCTTTAGAAGGGAAGGAACCCAAGCCGCTAGCGACAGGAGACTCCTGGGAAACAAAGGTAAAGAAAAATTTTAGGAAATTTCAGAGCTCAGAAAATAATGGGAGAGATATATGGCTCGCCTAGGGATAAGAAAAGGAGAAAGTCCAGGGGAAGTTATAAAAGAATTATGGGTTTTTTCTTTAAACTTTCTTAAAAAAACAAAACAAAAAAAAACCTTAGAAACAGCAAAATGAAATAAACTACTAGAGTAATGATTTAAGCCAGGGTAATCAGAACTGGTTGGATTGTGAAAGCTGAGTAACAATTCAGTAAAATAGATTACGTATTTGGTCAGTGGTTAGTTGACTATTGTTAGTTAACCTTTTTTTTTTCTTTACATCTATAAATAGATAGTCCCTACGTAGCAGAAGCAGAGAATATCTGGCCAAAGGCTGACTCCGCAAGATAAGGATTTACTCTGTTAAACTGCTTTCTAATAGAATGTCGATATCTCTGCCTGTCAGCCTGCCTTGGTAAATGTGCTGGAGAGGGCCATGTGTGTATGGTTCCTGGTGCCCACACAGGCTCACCTGTGTGAAACTGCATCAGCCCATACATGGCTACTTGCTGGCTCCTGGACCCATATTTGCACTTGTTTCTCCCCTTCTGTTGCCACATCACTTTCCCTGAGGTCGGATTGTGTGTGTGTCTTCTCTGTCTTCAGCTGCTCCGTATTCATATTGTTCTTTTCTGTGTTTTACATTTAATCGTGCATACACACACAGAATAATATTCATGGACAAGTTTTAGGTTCTCTTTTCCTAACTTTATGATTGGACCATTTCTTTCTGTCTCTTAAAATGAAAAAAGATCTACTCAAAGTGACTTTTTTCCTTGTTTGAACCTCAGCTTTATTTCTCTCCCATAAAACATTGACCTTAGAAGGCAATTTCCCACTCATATCCTGTCCTATCATCACAGCTCCAAACTCTGTAACTCCAGGAAAGGAAATAAGATAAAAGGAAGGATGGTAGTCCCATTGTGTCTGAAAAATATGTCAAATATACAGCCCATGACCAGAGCGAAGGTCATCAATGTCGTTTGCTTTCACTATAACATCTAAATATTTGCACCAAGCTGCTTCAATTTGAAATTGTGCTCTCAAGAAAATTCATTTTGTTGGTGCTGTCTTGCATTATGATAATAGAATCTTAGCAGATTGCTAGCACACTGTTTCTTGTGAATAGATAGAGATGTTTAGAAGAAGTTTTCTGGGGTTCCAGAATTCACAGCCTGAAATTGACTCATACTGGATGAGGCCAGCCGAATGGAATCTTTGGCAGGTTATCCCTTCCCTTCAGAAGCACTTGAGTTAAATCCAATTAATCTAACCACATAGCTACAGTGAGTGAAAACAAGGTACAGATTTTAAAATGCTCCAATCGGTTAAAACAGTTAAATAATTACATACTCATCGAGGACCTCATGGAAGGCAGAACACTGGGCTTGGTGTGGGGTATAGTGGTGAATAAAATGTGGCACATGCTTTAAAGAGTCTTAACATCTTACAGATATGACCAATGCCAGTTTCAAAAAGGCTCCCAAGTTTTGGAAGGTAATAAGAAGGAAACACACAACATGCACACACACACACAGTCATCTGCCCTCAAGGAAAGAATCAATTAATAGACAGTCTTTCTACCAAACAATGAAAACCAAATTTAAGAAAAACCATACAGTAATATGCCAGCTTTAAATCCAAACTGAGAAATCAAGGACCTCAAAAAGCACATATACATATGGAACAACAGATGACAATTTTTTCTTATCCCTCCCTTCCCTCCTGAAAACTCAATAGGACAGGAGGGATTTTCTTATTCCTCTGTTCTGGAACATCTGTCTGCTTCTGAGAAATGGAACGAGCAGCAGGATCAAGAATCCTTTAGTGCTCTGTGTGCTCAAATGCTTATCCTTCCGTGGTAGAGCTTTCCAAAGTTTGTCAACTCTTATCTCCAGAGCTACAGCCCATAACTCTGCGGTTTGAAGCCTTTAGGAGGGTGTTGGGAGGTGGGAGGATCACGCAAGAGTCAGAGGCTGTCAACACAGTGCGCATCAACCCAACCTGACAAATATGTCAAAGCCAGAAACTTCCTGAGGGTGGCTTGGAACTGTCAGGGTCATGTTCAGAGCTCAGAAAGCACTTCTTTTTTTCTTCTTGGAGACAGTTTTAAGTTTTTTTAGGCCATCAAATAATATTTCCTGTAGATCCATGTGCTTTTTACCATTGTGCTAGGCAATTAAGTTGCTTATATCATGCCTACTCAAGCTAACCAGTTTTAACTATCCCTGCATATGCATTTTCAAAGGGACTTTATCTAATTAAGAGTGTTGTAATTCATTATCATGTCCATCTGTTCTAAGATAGTGTCTCAGAGAAGATGGCACTTAACAGTTTGGGTTTTTTTTTTTTAAGATTGATCTGTTAGTAGACAAATTTCCATAATTCAGTTCATTTTTGTTGTTGTCGTTCCCTTTAATTTGAATAATTTCTCCAGCTGCTTTTTGGGAGTAAATAAAATTAAGTTATATAATAAGTAAAATATGCATTAGCACAGCACAGATTTAAAACATTCCTGACTCCTGACATACTATTATGGTAGCATTCTCTCTGTTTTTAAACACATGCAGAAAAAAATTTGGAAGTGTATTTGAAGCTCATCTTTCTCAACTAAGAAAAGAACATCTATTCTGTTGCCCTCTGTCACAGTAATTTTTGGCCCAAAAGAGCGAGTCAACTCATGACTAAAAAAGCCAGAGTCTATATTAAACTCTGATGTTTTTAAAACAAAATAATTGTAGGAATTCCATGTTATTATTGGACCTATCCCCAGATTGAAGAAAATATGCTTTCCTAGAAGTAAAGCCATTGCCCATTGGAAATGAACTGTCTCCCTAGTAGAGTGTTTGATTTGTCAATAATTCTCTTCAGATGCGTGCGTGCTGTGTTTCCTGTACTAGGGCCTTAGGCTTTTTTTATCTCACCTTAAATTTGACCTAGTGTCTAGCCTTATTTTGTATTTGTCTTAGTCCCGAAAACAAGCAGGGAAGGCTCTCAGTCAGTGGCTTCCAGTTTAATCCGAGTGGTCATGGATATCACCAGACACTGTATATGTGGCCCTCCGAGTCGGACTGAGAGAAGGTAACTTAACTGAATTCCGTAAGCCTTTCAGTAAAGTTGAAAGCGGAATCCACAGCGTGATAATATTGAAACTCAGAGGTCTCTCCATACCCTCTTTTGCTATGTCATCATCATGGCACATGCAAACAGAACAGCTCTGCAAAAATGCTTTGTGAAATTACTTGCATAGCTAATAAGCAAGTCTAAAATGTAAAAGCCCTACCTGTAATGAAAATACCAAAAGCAACCCAAATCACGGAATATATTTTACTCTTCATGTACACCTTTACATTGGATATGGCTTATTGGGTTCCCCATCATTGTAGTTGCAACAGTTTGCAGATAATTCAGGGTTATATTTGGTAGACATTTAATTGCTAATTAGAACCCAGGAGGTAGAGACAGCTGGTTTCTCTTGGCCTTGGTCAGTCTGTTGTGAATGTATTATACAGCAAGTGGTTTGTAAATTATTCTTTCCTGACTTTGCTTTTGATTGAAAAGAAAGGAAGTTATATGTCATGGCTCTTATGATAATATGATCAGGGACTTTGATTTCCATAGCTAGATCATGAAGAGTTTTAATGATAATTCCTAAGACATTAGATTGTGGATTCTTTGAGGGCAAGGACCCACCCTATATATTTCATTCTCATCAGTACCTAGCACGGGTAAGTAATGAATGCTTTTAACTAAATTAGATAGACAATTAGTCTGCAGCAAAAGTCCTAGCATCAAAACCCCATAGTGTTCTTGGATTGTTCAGGGAGCAGATATTTTGAGCATTTGTCATGTGCCAGGCATTGGGCTACCCAGCAGGAATAAAATATAGTCGCTGATGTCTAAGAGCATATATTATAAAGGGAAGGCAAATATGTATAAGTCATTGTAGTTTAAAGTGTTGTGTGCTTTGGTAGTAGAAGTGTGCAAAAAACACAAAGTTAGCAAAGCAAACACATGCTAATTCCTATTTGGAGAACGGTCAGATTTGACTTTTGAACTGAGTCTTTAAGAATGAGTCAGAGTTCACAAGATGGAGAAAGAGAGAAGGGCATTCTAGGCTGTTGTTGATTTTTCGACTTGTAATGTGTCTTGCAGCTTAAAACATTAACACTAATCCCACCTACCTTTATGATTCAAGAAAAAGGGAATTCATGACAATGTTGGGTTTTCTTGAGATAACCACTCCATTGCAAGACTGCATTACTTGTTTAAGGTGTTTTGTTACTTTCCTGTTTCTTACAAGTGAAGACGCTTCTTAGTATGGTAGGCAAGGCCCCATATTACTCAGCCCTGACCTCCCTCTCTGGCCATGACTCCTGCCAGTACCCCCATAATAACCCCAGTCCTCCTCTCAGTACATAGTGTACTTCTGGTGGGCTAACCTATTAGTTTAAACTTAACACACTGTATTCTTTCTTGCCTTTGTAAATTTAGTGTGTTCTTTCCTCTATCTGGAATGCCTTCCCTCTGTGCCCACTCCCCCACATTTGATGGTCATTTCACAAACTGCCACTCACACCCCTCACCACCACCACACACAAACACACACACACACATACAGCATCAGCTGTTTATCTTTGTGCTGCTAGTTAGAGAAGGCATCATGGAAGAAGTGATCGTCAGGAATGAACCGAGGTCTCTGAGGCATGATGGGGGGCTTCAGGGTAGAAGATGCAGAGTAGCTCTGACTTTTCTCTAGCTGCTCTTAACAGCTTGAGTATCAGCACAGAGGAAGTCAAAGGGTTGAATCACAGTTTGCAGTTAGTAGTTCTTGGGGCTGAATTTTACCCCAAGACATGTTTTCTTTAATGTGCCCCTTTTTTTCTATTTTTAAATTAGTCACTGATATTTAAAAACTGGCATACTTCACGTAAAAATCTGGCTTCTCTTGAGTACATGGAAGGTATGCCCTCATTGAGTTTACCCTTTGGCATGGAATGAGTAGTGATGCCCTGTTAGAGGTCACAGACCTTCTTGAGGTGTCTAGAGTCCCCCTCTACTCTTCTAGGATTCCTGCCTGATTCAGGTTTGCCATCTCTGGGATTAAGTAAGTTGGGTTTGGGAGACAGATACAGAAGGAGGATAAAGAGGCAGGAAAGGTAAAGGCGTTAGGAAGATGGTGGTTCAAGTGAAACACCGTGGGTTTTGGGCTCCGTTGTTAAAGAGGTACAGTCAGGAGGAGGTTCAGGCCGCAGAGAAAAGGAAACGATCTGGGGAGTAGATGTCTCAGTGACTTTGAAGTGTCAGTGTGGTAGAGCATGGGCCAGGGAGAACTGGAAGGATGGACCATTGTGATCAGCAGATAGGATGTGTGACTTCAGAGAGTTCAGAGAGCTGTGGCTGCAGGACTGAGTCACCGAAGTAGAGGGGGCAACAAGGGTCACTGGATTCCAAAAGATCAAGTGAGGCCAGAGTATTGAAAATACTTTGTCCACATAGACTCTCAAGCCTCTCAGATTATAATCATATAAAACAGCTAACAGGTGTTGTGTGCTTCTGTGTTCCAGGCACTATCCTGGGTGCTTTTCATCAGTTCGTTTAATCCACATAGCAGTCATATGATATGTGGGTACTTTAATCATCCCCACTGTACATAGGCTACAATTGAGGCTTAGAGAGATTACTTAACTTACTCAAGGTCACATAGTTCCTAAGCGGCCAGAACTTGAACCTAAGACTGTGTTGTTGCCAAAGTGCATTCCCCAAACCTCTGCCCTCTAAAGCGTTGGATAGGAGACAGAGTCACCGGAAGGGAAGGTTTGCATGAGAGAGGAAAGCAACCATGTGCAAGTAGCCAGTGGTCAACTTGGAGAATGCTGACCTCCCTTCCATCCCAGGTGAATAAGTGAGTAGGATGTGGGGATTCTCAGTCTCACTGGAGATGGCTATAAGGAAATAGAATCTTTAGGGGAGAGCCAGGTAAATGTTAGAAACAAATTCGAGTGGTGCATTGTGTGATATGTTCGGAGGATGGGGGAGTTTGTCTGCAGAGGAAAGTTTGGAGGAAGCAGGGGAGTCAGTTGGAAGGGATGAGTCCCAGAGCAGTGCTCTCTGGGGATGTGCATTCCTTGGAGGATGAGAGACAATACGGTCTTTCACTTTGCACTGATGACAAGGATGAGAGGCTGGGAATTGACTGCCCAAAGGAATCCAAGTGGATGCATGCTTAAAGTCATCTGTTTCAGCACTAGCTCAGGCCCCAGATGGTTCTGGCGGCCTGAAGGAGTGTTAGCAGCCAGGCAATGGAGGCTTTGCTCAGATTTTCAAGTAGAAGGTTAGTCCAGACATCGTTGGTGTTTGTTCTTTGTGTGCTCTGGGGAGAGGATTTAATAGTCAACCTCCCATTGTGTTCTCATTTGTGGTTATATATAAAAGCTTCCCTAAACTAAATTCCCTAAACTTAGGGCCAGAACCCTGTGTATCCCCAGCCGCAATCCAGCTTAGTACCTGCTGCATGTACACACTCGGTAAACAGCTACAAAATCATTACGTGTTCATAAACAAGCTGATTCATTGTTCCAAAGCATCTATTTTCTGAGGCAGTTGGAAATTCCACTCTGAAGTGGGAATAACCTATGTTGCTAAACTAAAACTTATTCTCCACTTCCCAGCCCAGTTCTCCTTTCCACAGCGTGATGTGCCAGTTTCCCTTCCTCCTTTTCCAAACTAGTCCTTCATGCAGCTCTCACTCCCATCCTGTCTTACTCTCTAAAGCCATCCTACCAGCCGTGAAAGCAGATGCCATTGTCTTCCCCTAGACCTACGGAAGTGAAGGCAGGGAGCCTTCCGTTCCTGGGACTTGGCCAGCTCTCGATGTGTGATATCGGATTGTTGAGCTGGACTGAGTGGCCCAGGATTTCTGCCAGATCCCAGCTGTAACATTTCAACAGGGGCACGGGCCCTGCGATTACTTTCAGCTGTGTTTCTGCTGTGTCTGTCTCCACCCCCCCACCACCCACCGCTGGGGTTGAGTCCCTTCAAAACTAACCCTGATTTTTTTTTTTTTTAGCCACTCACGTCAAGGTAGTAATTTGTGAAAGATGCCGTTGTTTTCTCCCCACCACACCTACTTTCTGTGGGGCAGAGTCCTAGAAGATAATTGTTAAATTCTTATAGGAACCACGTAGACTTACAACTTCTGTTCTCCTGCAGCTTATACCACTTTCCTTTCAACTTAGCACCTTAAGATAAGCTTCCGGAGCCACATGCCAGCCTCGAGGAGGAAGCTAGGAAGAGAAGAGCTTAATGGCTGCTTTATTATTATTACCAGTAGTAGGAAGGCAAGGGAATATTTTATTTTATTTTTATTTATTTTATAAATTTTTTATTTCCATAGGTTTTTGGGAAACAGGTAGTATTTGGTTACATAAGTTCTTTAGCGGTGATTTGTGAGATTTTGGGGCACCCATCACCTGAACAGTATACACTGAACCCAAACCTAATTGTCTTTAACTTATACCTTCCCTACATGTGAGCATGTCCTTTGATTCCTCCCCCCAGAAAAAAACAAAGCGTAAAACAACAACAACGAAAGGCAGAGTGATTTTTTCTGGTGGTCTTCAAAGGGAAAGTGTTGAAGAAGGTACAGTTTCTGCTCACTGTACACAGGGGAGGGATGGCTGCGGGGGGAGAGTGTGATCCCCAGGGCAGGGCTGCACTTGCTGTGGCTACAGCACATCTGTCAGTGTTAGGGGGTGTAAATGCCAGGAAATCACGCAGGAATAAGCTTGAGACAGGGGAGAAAGGGTGAAGGAGGGTTAGTTATTCATACACAGATAGTAGTAAATCTCTTATGGTGAGGCACGAGGAAAACTGTGAGCCTAAGGAACTTTCATAGGGAGGAGTGCTGTTTTCCATAAGAAGGGTTGGACCCTCAGATAGGAAACCTGTTTCTTTTTGGATATTTTATTTGCAGCCTTTAAAAAAAAAAAAACTTACACATTCCTGGAAAGAGTAAGAAATTTAATCAGTAGAAAGATAGTACATCGAATTTAATTAAAGTTGCAGCTACTTTTTATAGAATAGCACTGTGTTTTATATGTCATTATAATTTCCATTCCCGACAAGCTATTTCATTAACACACTGTGTAGAATCCTAGTAACACAAGGGCTTTGCCCTTTTTGCTCCTCATTTATCCTTGTTTCCTGACTAAAGGGCGACCTCCCACCCACCTGTAAGTAGTTTTTAATTTATAGGCGGTCATGTCTCCACTTTTGAAGGCCTCAAGCACTCACTTCCGGTGTGTAGTAGATCCAGTATTGAAAGAAATCTTTTCCAGAAGACCTCACTGACTTGTTTTCCTCTAGGATACGGGCAGAGGAAGATCAGAGTCTGCTGGGGAAGATGAGGAATATGATGGCTTGCTGCTTCCGAGCTGCCTCCTCTGCAGAAGGAGCCTACTATGGGGAATGTTAGGATAACATCAGCACCCACACCAGGAGGATACCTCTGGGGTGACGGGGCGAGGCAGAGGTTGAGGGGCATTCCTGTTCTTTGCTGAAAGGGCTGTGGGAGGGGCAAACAGGACTCCTAGCCCTGTGGCCTCCTCCAGGAATCTCCTGTAGGTTATCTTCCTTTAAGGTTTTTCTGGTCATTGTAGTAAAACAAACTGTTGACCCTTGCGCTTAGTTATGTAGGGTCTGAAACATGCCTAGTGGTAGGGAGACAACAGCATCTAGCATGTTGTTTCTTTTCCGGCCTTGCTTAGAGTTCTTTAGTAGGGAAAAAAAAGTTATATAATTATTATGCCCCCACGAAAAACAAAACGTCACCAGTGCAAAGGCCCTATCTTGAGCTGGGCCTGAAGGTTGAGGTGCTTGGAGAGGAGGAGGATCAGGGGAGTAAGGGACACAAGGTGACTGATGTTCCTGAAGGACAGGGTGCAGGTGAGTGAGAAGAGGATGAGCTGAGGTCAGTTTGCAGCAGTGACGGGAATGGGAATGGCAGTGATAGAATCAAAGGATTTTATATTTAGAGAAGAGTTTATTATGATCCACCTGTCTCACTTTATGGATGAGAAAACAGTCTGCAAGAGTTTAAGTAGCTTGCTAGCAGTCACACATTTTTCTTCTTTGGGTGACAGTATTGGATAAATTGGTAATATTTCTGTTCTTTTCTTCCCTCGTGGTATCTCTCACTTTTAAGCAATGGTATTCAGGCAGGAAGGAGTCTTTGTAAGTGATCTAAAACAAGTACTAGTAATCATTGTTCTCATTATAATGTTAAAACTAGTTGTACTTGTTTTTTGCTTTTTTGTTTTTTTTTAGTGGAAAGTACAAATTAAACTGTGACCACCCAGGCTTTGCGCATCTAGGCACAAAGTTCTTGGAAAGTGGATTGCAAATTCCCATCAGCAGACTCTCCTGGAGAGCCTATTATATGGGCAGATTCTGGAGCCGCTCCCCAAACCTGCAGAAAAACAATGTTTGAGTGGGTACCCTGGCATCTGCATTTTAAACACATTCCATAGTCTTTCCTTCCACATACTAATTTTGAAAAGCACTGTACCTAGAAGCTTGCAGTCTAAAATGTATAAAAATAAAAAATATAAAACAATACATGGTCTAACCCCTGACTTAGTATCCATGAAAAAGTTTATTTCAGATTATTGGTTGGGTACCTTTATCATTTTTTTACTATTATTTATAAGACAAGTAAGACATGCCCCCTGCACTAGAGGAATTCACAGGAGAAACAGTCTGATTTTGATTTAGTATGATGGGCCGATGCACTTCAAGAGTTACTACCGTTACGTACTGTTGCAAGTCAGAGGAGGGAAAATTAATCCTGTTTGTTTTTTGACCAGAGAAGGTCTTACAGGGTAGATGGTCTTAAGGTTGTGGGGAATTCACCAGGGGCAAGGGAGAGGCAGGGATTTGAGGCTGGGTGGACATGAGCTGTGGCTGGAGTGATAAGGGGTGGTGGCAGGTGATTGAGTGACATCAGATCATCATTGTTGCTGGAGTGTAGGGTGTGTGCAGGAACCAGTAGAATATGGAAACTAATAACAGGTAGAGGCAGACTTAGGAGCACCTTGCAAGCTATGCCCAGGAGCTCGGACTCTGACCTTCTGGCCTGCCTGGGATTGTCTGTGAAGTCCAGGAAGCAAAGGACATGAAGGGAAAGCTTAAATGTGTACTCACCGCCCTTCAGTCAGCAGAACCTCCTAAGGGGGTGAGTGCCCTCTAGGGGTTTCCATGATTTCTGAGTTCCATTGTACTCAGGCACTCAGGTGCCCACTGAGCTTGAATCCATTACCTACTTGAGAAAAAAAAAAGACAGCTTTACCAAGTCCCACCTGGCTGCAGCTGTGGTTACATTATGCAAAAATTTATTAATGTGGTACCTCGATTGATCATTATATTAACTCTAAGGATTACATTAGAGGCTTTATTTTTCTGGTTACTTGCAAATACAGGTTGCATCTTCTTTGAAGTTAAAAAGCCCTTAGCCCACATATTGTATGATTCCATTTATATGAACTATCCAGAATTGGCAAGTCCATAGAGACAGAACATAAATTAGTGGTTGCTAAGGGCCGGAGATCAGGGGAAAGGGAGTGACTGCTAGTGAGTACAGGATTTCTTTTTGAGATGATGAAAATGTTCTGAAATTAGGTACTAGTGATGGTTATACAACCTTGTGAGTATAAAACCACTGAATTGTGTACTTTAAAAGGGTGAATACTTATCGTAAGTGAATTATATCTCAATAAAGCTGTTTTGTTTCATTTTTTAAAACCTTAGCACTTCTGCTCAAGGTCATGCAAATAGCTCTGCCTGGGGTGGCCTTTATGAATTCACAGTAGAGAAATCTCAGTGCTCTCCTCACTTTCTTTTGTGTTTTTGTTTTGTTGTGTTACTGTTATTCCTGTCTTGTTCCTCTGCAGTTCACTTCCACTTAAGAAACATTTATATGACTAGACATGATAGGTACTAGAAGAGCTTATGTTAAGGTGAGTCCTCAAGTTACCACAAAATAGAGAAAGAGGGTGCTGTAAGAAAAGTGTGGTGTTTGGGGGTTCAGAGAAGAAGCTGTTATCCGAGGTTGGCCTAGAAAGACAACTGGGCATAAGGGCTGGATGAGGAATGTGCAGAGGCCATTAGGGCAGGCAGTGCAGAGACAGCAAAGTGCGGACTTATTTGGAGAAAAGAGCATGACCGTAGCAATGGAAAATGAAGGGAAATACTGGGAAACAGAATTGAGAAAGGGTTATATGGACTTCAGAGTGTTGAATGCTAGGCTGAGAAAGTGATACATAAAATGAGGAGTAATGGAAGATAAATTTTGACTGCAGAAGTTTGGGAACTGAGCCTTAGGATGGGTGTAGCATGGTTTGGGAGAGACAGAGACGTGGGCAGGGGGAGATTGGACTAGAACTGGAAATTGGGGAGAGGGCTTCAGAAATGAGGGGTAAGTGTTGAAATCAGCTCACTGCAGCTTTTCTCATGAAATGCTGTTTGCTCTGCCCCTTTTGTGTTCTCCTTTCCTTTGCTTGCTCCTTATCCAGAGATGGGGATAAAGGGAGGGAAAGATTAGGGAGGACAAAAAGAATTAAAATGAAGAGAAAGAATGTGGTGAGGACGGTACAGGTTGCATGCGTCAGTTCTTCTGTAGTTCAGCATTTCCTGTTCATGACTCAGTAGAGGAAAATCTAGTCTCTTCTAGTGGAAAACACAGAGAACAGGAAACCCTATTTAAAATCAGGTCACTTGACTAAGCTGTGTAACTCCTGTTCCCATCGGTGAAAGGGAAGAATACCTCCTGCAGTGTGTGTTAACCAGAGAATCTAGAATAATCTTACTGAAGAATTTTTTAAAACTACATGGGACTCATATCATTTGTAGATATAACAGACTTCCTGGGCAAATATGGGTCATGATGGGGTCCCCTTTTGTTACCTGACAGAGTGAATGTAAACATACCTGTTAAAAGATAACTCATGTGAGTTGTATTATGTTGAAAATAAGGAATTGCTATTTGACCATTTCGAACTGCAAAACTGGCAGTTTCAGTAAGGTTTTAACCTAATAGATAGCTACCCAATAGATATCTGACCTAAGCCCAGATTTTTACCTTTTGTGGTTCTTTCATCAGCTCTTTCTTGATTAAGATGCTAATTTCACGTTCAGGGGAAGCTGTGAAAAGTCAAAAGATGGCAACAGGTAGATCAGAAGGCTTTGCAGGGAAGGAAACAAGGAGACAGGAGCTGGGGTCACACCAGCTAGCAAAACCAGGATCTTTATTATGCAGTCAGTTTAGTTGTAAAGATTCAGCATAAAACATTTTCCTTTCCTAGGTGGGTTAATAGGTGGTTGGGTGCAACTTCAGCTCTTCTGTAGCCTGCTGGAGACAACTTGTAAGGGACTTTAAAAAAAAAATAGGAATATTTAAATGTTAGGAAGACGTAATGCATATAATGTTTACTCTTTGGGTGACAGGTACACTAAAAGCTCACACTTCACCTCTATGCAATATATGTCTATAAGAAACTTGCACTTGTACTCCCTAAATGTATTTTTTAAATTGTAAATTTTTTAAACAAATGTTGGGAAAATAGGTCAAACATAAAAGGGGAAAAAAGACTTCATGGCAGACTTAGTCATGGTGTTCAGTGTGGTGTGACTCCTAACAGCATAGCAGAGAACCCAGCACGTAAGTGCACGTGTTCAGTAAAGGTTGTTCAAGTGTTGAAGGACAACATCTGAAGAGGTATTTTTTGGTTGACTGTACACTCTCAGGTGTTTAGAGTAGAATGATTCCCTGGAGCACGTGTGTAGGCAAGAATGTGGAATCATAGAAGATTTGTAAGAGAAGGTTAATCAGCTATTCTTGCGGGATGCTTTCATTGTAATCACATCTACACATTGGGGCCAGGGTGTGGCCTGTCAGTATTCTAGCCCCATTTATCTATAAACTCCAGAGAGTTTTAAGTTGTACAGAGTGCCAAGTACAATAAATGTAAACAATATAATGTTACTGTTATATCACAGCAGTATGATTATGTGCTTACCACTGCAATGGCTAGGGATATAAGCGTGACAAAGTATGGGATGACCTTATCAGGCACTAAAAGCCCAGCTCACATTTACTCAGCGCTAGAAAATGATTGTCCTGCAGGAATATAGCGTATGAATTGAGAGCTCCAAGCTCTACTCACACAAAACAGGCAAACCTTTACTTGAAACCACTGGTAGAAATACAATTGCAGCAAAACCTGAATGACCTAACACCCTCTTCTCCCAGGAATCCAATAGAACTGCCACCCCACATGGAAGAATCCTCAAGGAGCCTACCTTGGGGTGATAGTGGGGTGTTTAAAGCCACCTTTCCAGTGGCTTTAATAGTCCTTGATGCAAATCATAACCTAAAGTAATTTCTTT
Source organism: Homo sapiens (assembly GCF_000001405.40). NCBI lineage: Eukaryota > Metazoa > Chordata > Mammalia > Primates > Hominidae > Homo > Homo sapiens. The sequence continues at coordinate 36,463,220 of NC_000002.12, forward strand.
TCTAGTTCCATGGTTAACTATAAATGTAATTAAATCTCTGGGCCTCATTATTGAAGTACTTGTGGACTATAAGCATATTTTAATTTATTAAAGATCCAAAGAACAATAAGTGAACAAACCAATTACTTAAATAAGAAGGGGGGACAAAAGCACAATTAATGAATGTATTGATAGTTTTCCCTGCTGGGAACATTACCTTTCCTGATCTTGACCTCTACCGTATGTAAATACCCACATACTTCCTGCCAGGATGTCTTTTTTTAGGATGTCTTCCTTTTACTCCTGTCAACCTGGGAACTCCCGCCGTCATCTTCTCCACCCTCTGACCCATACATCTCTCCCCAGGGGAGTCCCAGGGCAGAAATCTAGCGGCTCTTTCCTCATCTTACATTCACATGCTGACACCCAGCTGCCCTAAGTTTCCTGTGTCCTGCCTCTCTTTCATTGTAGCAGATGCAACATTTTGTCTCCTCTTATTTCACCTGCCCGTATTTGCCAGGCTTCTGCGTTTAGCAATTTTTGCAGCAGCATCGAAGTTAGGGGTGAGAGCCAGCACAGCCAGCTTGCAGCTCATGGAACACCCCCATTCATGCGTGCAGAGAGATCGATGCTCAGGTGGGAGCTTAAGATCCAAAAAATTAAGACTTTCAGCTTCCAAGATAGCTGTCATAAAGTTCACTTACTACAGCTTAGGCCCTCTCTTTATAAAGAGCTCCTCAGTCTTCAGTCCGTTTCTTTTATTGTGCACAGTCATAAATTAAATATTGCTCAAGATGAGAGTGGACTTAAGACAATCACACTGACAAGAAAATACTAAAAAGCTAATAACTTAATCATTGAACCAGGAGTCAGAAAATCTCTGAAAAACCCTAAACATCAGTTGCAGCAAAGGAGCAACATGAGGCCATTTAGCACGGGAACACTCACTCTGTATTAGCCTGTGCAAGCATCGATTCACAGAAGAGCATAACAGATACATATGAAGATGTCCCTGAGTCAGCCAGAAAATGTTTGTTACGCTCAATACCAGTCTGGTTAAGTAAGAAATGAGGTAATGCATTTTAGAAATATTTCTGTCAAAATGGTTAAAGTTAAAAATTGGGGTGTACATAAAGGAGACAAGCCTTAGTTATTTGAAAGCAAATTATGGTAGAACCCCTCCTGCCTTCCCATTTCCCAGTGACACCAGATAAAGGAGGCAGTGTCGTATAGACCAGGTACTTTGCCACAGCCACTGCCACTTTGTTTGTGGTCTCCCGACTTCTATGTTGTTGTTTATTCATGGGGTTTTCCTTCCCTTTTCTTTGGTTTCAGATGCGAGTGTCTCTCTGGCTTATGTGGTTTCCCCGTGTGTGAGGTGGGATCCACTCCCCGCATAGTCTCTCGTGGCGATGGGACACCTGGAAAGTGCTGTGATGTCTTTGAATGTGTTAATGGTACGTGGGGTTTCTCTTGTTCTCAGAGAGTGTACATTTGTGCAGAGGAGGAGGAGGGAGGGTTCAACTTAGCTGCTTCTGCCTTTTACAAAGCAGGGATTACCTTCAGGGGCTTGCTGAAGGGCACTCAAAAAGGTTTGCTTAAGATCCACAGTGCAGTAAAGAAAGTTAGGTTAGGAACTATCATTCCACCCATCAGAAGGAGGATTCTGGAAATGTAATAGCAGATTGCATGTAGCTGTCATACTCAGCTGTGTTACAGAATTTCCAAAACTTAGGGATTTCAGGAAAAGGATCCTGGAGCCTGTGAGAGTTTTCCTGCTGTCACTCAGTAACTGGTCCCATGGCTGTCGGGAGGTGACCTGGCTAAAACTGCATTGGGCCTGCCACACTTGGGAACAAGAAAAACATGGCTCATCTTGTTTAGCATTTTCCTACTTAGAACATCTTTGCACCTGATCTTAGCCAAAAGGCTGAGAGGCGGTGGGGAAGACATCTTTAATCAGTGGTTGGTCACTGATAGCGGCCTGCTGTAGGCTTGACCCACGTGGCCCTGAAAAAGGATTCTTGGGTCACGAGATTCCTTCTGACAGAATCTGCCTCTCCCTTTCACTTTATATGGGAGGATTTGGTGTTTGGTGGCTTGATGTTGATTGAGTTTAGGTGCTAGAAGGAAGGGGAACCTGCAACATGCTTCTCTACCAGAATATTCATTAACAAAAAATAAAATAAACAAGTTACATGTCAATAACCATTCAGAGCATTATTTAGTCAATACTTGTATACACAGGAAGATGGAGATGGATTTGGACAAATACAACAAAATTACACATAGAAATATTCATATCAAATACTTCCTGTAGGAATTCAGATGTCATAAGGTCTCCTGCCCTCCCAAGGCAAGAAAGGTTATGTTGCAGTTGAGTCCTATTTGGTTGCATCCTGTGATTTTTAGGCCCGTGGCCAAGTTGTTTTTTATTGTTTATTTTTGCTTTGAAGAAACACTTGCAGTATGGCTTTATGGTTAAGAAAGAACACAGACTAGAATTAATAACCTCAGTTTGAAAATTGGGTCCTCCACTCACTAGCTGAGTTAACTTTGAGGAAGCTTCTTGGTTTCCCTGGGCCTCAGTTTCTACATCTCTAAAATGGACTGAATAACAGTAAATTAAACAAGGTATTATAGGTGAACTACCTTGAATTTTGCCTCAGATGTAAATAATCTTTAGTATTCTTTTTTTTTTTTTTGAGACAGAGTCTCGCCCTGTCGCCCAGGCTGGAGTGCAGTGGCGCAATCTCGGCTCACTGCAAGCTCTGCCTCCCAGGTTCACGCCATTCTCCTACCTCAGCCTCCCAAGTAGCTGGGACTACAGGCGCCCGCCACCACACGCGGCTAATTTTTTTGTATTTTTAGTAGAGACAGGGTTTCACTGTGTTAACCAGGATGGTCTTGATCTCCTGCCCTCGTGATCCACCCGCCTCGGCCTCCCAAGGTACTGGGATTACACGTGTGAGCCACTGCTTCCGGCCAATAATCTTCTGTGTGCACACTTTCTATTCACATCCAGAGGCACAGTTCTGGACATTGGGGATGGGGGATAGAGATGGTAAGGTTGAACTTCCTGACTTACAGACCTTATAAATACAAGCATACAGGAAAGGGGAACAGAAAAAGTTCTGTGCACTTAAATCACCTCTCGGTGCTTCTCCCCACTCTGGTCATTATTTAGCCAGTAATCACATCCATTAAACACAAGCAAATGGCCAAGCAGACCTTTTTTCTGGAGGTGCTACAGTTTGATTTATGATAGGTGAGATTCTGTGAATACTTGTACCACTGGAGACAGAAATAGTCACTGCTTCCCTGGGTTCCCAGCATCTCAGATATGCTTCATCCAGTGCTCATCACTTGGAAAAGACTTAACGCTCATGCCTGTCTCTCACTCCAAAATGTGAACTGCTGGAGGACAGGAGTCTGTCACATTCATCCTTGTGTCTGTAGTTGTTAGCCTATTATCTGCCTCACAGAGGACACCCAGATTTTGTTGCATGAGCCAGTGAATGATCTAATTCGTATCATCTTAGTTCCCTCTAGAGGTGTCTGTTAAATGTCAGCCCATAAATGGGTTACTTTGTAGGAATCCTCCATCTATTTACTGCCCTACACTTTAATCTTAAGTCATTTGTCCCCTGAAAATATCATCTCTAGTAGAAAGATTTGCTGGTGTTTCCTATGGGTGAGGAACCGGAGTGCCCTTCTTCTCTCCTTGCTTCTTGGTTCTAGATACCCATGGGTCATTCCTTTCTTATCAGAACATAGACTTTATGTCTTGCTCCAGTCTGATGTGTCTCAAACTACTAATAGCCGTACCTCCACCTTAGCAACCTTGGGATCAGTCTGCAGGGCCTGTCCTCATTTATTGCCACTTATTATAGAGCCCTGACTTCTGGAATAGGATTTGCCATCTGTCCTGAGAAGATGTTGAGTGGACAAAACACAGTCACTACATCTCTGGTCGTTGCTTCTTTCTTGCCACCATAAACTTGTTGAGTGATCTTTGCTTTCTTCCTAATCCTGTGGAACTGTGTCTATTGATATATCAGTCATTCACCTGTAGAGGAGACTAGGAACTAATACTGTGAAGATTCATAATCCTACAGAATATTGTTAAGAACATTGTCTCAAAGCCTGCATTTTTCTTCTTTTGATATATACATTCATACTCATACACACACATATATATTGATAGATGAATGTGTCTGTGTATGTATATATAAATATACTTACCACCTAGTGTCCTGGAAAAATCTGTTGTTGTAAGGTCACCATTAGAAGATACTACATATCAAAGATTCATTATCATCACTTAGAAAAGCAGAGGTCTATTTTATATGTATAAAACCACTCGCTTATACACAGAGGATCTGAGGAAACTTTACAGTGAGAACAGATTCTATAAGATAGTGATAAAATATTTATGAGAAAGGAGACTCACAGCCATAGAATTGTAAGTAAAAGTTGAAAGTGAAAAATCAAACAGAAAGCACCCACGGGTATACAGTCCATCAGTGCCTATGCAGTTGTGGGAGTTAAATGTTAAATTAGGCCCCCAGTTTTCTGGCCATCAAAGTGAAAAAGGAGATAGGGTCAAATACGCTGTTCTTATTTTCAAAGAGGAAAAAACCTGCTGGATGGGACAACTGTCTCTCTAATAGAGATTTTTCATATGGAAAGGAATGGATTTCATCCCACTGAATGATGAAGTTGATCATGTGCTTAATTGCGTTAACACCACAAATGCAGAAACTGGTTTCCTGGGATTGTTCTCAATAAAAAGCAAAGGCAAAATATTAAAATACAACTCAGTTCCAAAAGGTCAGATTGACACAGCTAGACCGTAGGTGCTTGGAACATTGTTTCTCAATTTTGCAAACTGCCCAACCATGGTGAGGTAGATCCAAAGACCCCAGTTCAGAAGACTGTGGGTAGAATGTTAACATGACTGACCCCACATGCAGAAATGGATTATGCACTGCCGCACTCACTTCCTATGCTGCCATCCATGTGATCCATATGCTTATGTTTTTTTCTTTTTAAAATCAACTTTAAAGTGAAAACATACAATTTTAAAATACACAGAACTCGAAAACTCGTGAGTTTTGAAAACACTAGCCTGATGAGTAGATGCAGAGAGAGCATCCTCCATAAATATTACTTTGTTTTTGTAGTTTGATTTTATTTTGTTGTGGCGGAGGGATGGGAGAGTTGCAGACCAGTTCATGACAGTTTGTAACTGCATTCTCTGACAAGCGCCGAAAGGAGAACTTATGAGGCTTTGGCTGAACAAGATCCTTGTTATTTAGAAACCAAAGGAACAGGTGGTATGATTATGTTTCTTTTATGTGAACTTAGAAGTCATCAAAATCATCACCTAGAAATATGACCTCCAAAGCAGTGTTGTAACAGCCCTCCACCTTCGTCAAGAACCCACTGTATGTCTGCTCCTGCCCACAAACAAATGTCCCATCAGCCGTCAGCTGGAGCTGGACAATGGCCTCTACTGTTAGATGGGTGGATGCTCTCCACTTAACACAGTACCCCCTGCTGTCTTACACATGGCCCACCTCTCGTTCCTGGAGGCATTTGGGTTTGAAATCCTAGGTGTAGAGTGTGCAAGTGATTATTTGGTTTCTTAGATACGAGCATTTGTCCAACGTATATACACAAACATCTAGATAAAATGGAATATCTTGGTTGGAAAGTCGTAGCCAAAAGCTGACTCTGTCTGTATGACCTACTTATAAAACGTTCCCCAAGTGAGTAAATGAATTAGTCTATAGTATTGTTATTGGATAGAAGCCAGTTGAAACTACCAGAAATATTTTTAGCCTTACGGTATTTAATACTGAACCATTTGTTCTGACAGCATAGTTAGCAGGGCCAGATATATATTGAGGCTAGCCCCCATTCACAGCTCTAAACAAGTCATCAGCACAAAAGAGGAAGAGTACCCTCTTCCCAGTGGTGCCAAGAGTGGTGGGTGGATGGGGTGGGGATGGGAGCATTACTTGTGTATGGCACAACTAGCCAAAAGCAACTTCAGGGGGTTATGAAGTAAGTTCAGAGAAAGGGGATCTGAATACAACTTAGCGTGTGTTTTTAGCCTGTTTTGTGCCATTTGAAATACTTCTGTTTTGGAGCACTGTCCCTGTAGCACTCTGCTTCTCACAGCAGTATTAAAATGCAGCACTAACAGTGAGGAGCCTGGATGAAGGTCATGTTGCCCACCCAGTAATTAGTTCCTGTTTTATTCAGGCATATACGAAAGGCTAATAAAAACTGGAAGTAATCTTATGTTGGCCCTGACAGAATTTTCTCTAAGACAGTAACATGTGAAATCACCATTTAAAGGGGAGCCGTACCCAGCATCAGCTTGCTCCTCATGTAAAATTTTGGCCTAGAAAATTCAGACCTGCAGGCTGTTAATTTTCAAAAAAAAACACTAGTACAGAAAACATTAAGAACCCACTGTCTATATAGCAATTATGCTCATAATGTTTCTAAGGACGTAATGTCTTCTACTGATAGAATAATGGAGATATTCTGGCACTTTGAGAGCAATACTCCACTCAGTATGTGTTTATTGAGCACCCCTCGTGTTCCTGGGGCCTTGTTAAGCTAATTTTGTTAAAGAGTGATACACATTGTTGTAATCCTTTCTAAGGGTTGTTCTCTTCCCCTTTTCCTGAAATAGGATATGCTTGGTGTCCTCCAGCACACACACACACTTCCCCTCTTCTCCCTGTGGAATAAGCCAATTGAAACTAGCAAACATATTTTTAGTCTTATAGTATTTAATACCGAGCCATTAATTATGAGAGTATAGTTAGCAAGACCAGATATTTATTGAGGCTAGTCCACATTCACAACTTTAAGAACATGTCATCAGTATAATTAATAAAGGGAAAACTTAAGGATTTAAAAACACACAGAACTCAAGAACTCCTGAGTTTTGAAAACACTAGCCTGAATGAACAGATGGAGAGAACATCCTCCATGAATAGTCCTTCTCTTTTCACTTTGGTTTTAATTTGTTTTGGTGGAGGGATGGGACAAGCTGCATGTCGAAGCTGCAGAGAGTTATCTAGAAGATTTAGCTATGAAAAGTGATGAAGGTGGCTACACTAAACAACAGATATTCAGTGTAGAGGAAGCAGCCTTCTATGGAAAGAAGATGCCACCTGGGACTTTCATAACAAGAGAGAAGCAGTCAATGCCTGGCTTCAAAGAATAGGCTGATTCTTATTAGGGGCTAATGCAGCTGATAACTTTAAGCTAAACCCCACGGCTGTTAAGAATTATGCTAAATCTACTCTGCCTGTGCTTTATAAATGGAACAACAAAGCCTGGATGACAGCATGGTTTATTGATTATTTTAAGCCCACCATTGAGACCTACTACTCAGAAAAAGAGATTTCTTCCAAAATATTACTGCTCATTGACAATGCACCTGGTCTCCCAAGAGCTCTGATGGAGGTGTACAAGATTAGTGTTGTTTTCGTGCCTAACACAACATCCATTCTGCAGCCCATGGACCAAGGAGTCATTTCAACTTTCAAGTCTTGTTAATTAAGAAAAACATTTCATAAGATTAGCTGCTGTAGATAGTCATTCCTCTGATGGATCAGAACTAAATCAATTGAAAACCTTCTGCAAAGGATTCACTCACCATTCTAGATGCCATTAAGAACACAGGTGATTCAGGGGAAGGTGTCAGAATATTAACATGGAGTTTGGAAGAAGTTGATTCCAACCCTCATGAATGACTTTGAGGAGCTGAAGACCTCAGTGGAAGAAGTAACTGCAGATGTAGTAGAAGGAGCAAGAGAACTAGAATTAAATGTGGAACCTGCAGAATGTGACTGAATTGCTGCAATCTCATGATAAAACTGGAAAGGATGAGGAGTTTCTTCTTATCGATGAGCAAAGAAAGTAGTTTCTTGAGATAGAATCTACTCCTGGTGAGGATGCTGTGACAACATCTTCACCAGATAAAACGACAACCAGGGATTTAGACTATTACATAAATTTAGTTGATAAAGCAACAGCAGGGTTTTAGAGGATTGACTCCAGTTTTGAAACAAGTTCTACTGTAAGTAAAATGCTATCAAACAGCATCACATGCTACAAAGAAATCTTTCATGAAAGGAAGAGTTAGTCAATGTGGCAAACTTCATTATTGTGTTATTTAAAGAAATTGCCACAGCCACCCCAACCTTCAGCAACCACCATCCTTATCAGTCAGCAGCCATCAGCATCAAGGCAATACCCTCCACCAGCAGAAAGATTACTATTTACTGAAGGCTCAGATGATCGTTAGCAGTTTTTAGCAATAAAGTATTTTAAATTAAGGAATGTATATTGTTTTTTAGACATAATGCTATTGTATACTTAATAGACTATAGCAGGGGTGTCCAATCTTTTGGCTTCCCTGGGCCACATTGGAAGAAGAAGATTGTCTTGGGCCACATGTAAAATACACTAACACTAATGATAGCTGATTAGCTTAAACACACACACACACACACACACACACACACACACCATCTTACAATGTTTTAAGAAAGTTTGCATTCAAAGCCATCCTAGGCCTCATGTGGCCCGCAGGCTGCAGGTTAGACAAGTATGGACTACAGTACAGTGTAAACATAACTTTTAAATGCACTGGGAAGCCAAAAAGTTTGTGTGACTTGCTTGAGCTGGTCTGGAACTGAACCCACAATATCTTTGAGGTGTATCTATCACCATCCACCAATCAGTGTAGTTTGGTAGGCAGTAGCATGTACTAATAGTCTATATTACAAAATTCTCTTTTAGGAGTTCTGAAGTATATTCAAGAAGGAAGGGAAGATCCCAGAACTTAGAAACTTAAAGTTTAATTTTGCAGACGCAAAACACATACAAAAAATCACTAAAAAGGCACTTCTGTGCTTCATATTGAGAAGTACAAATTACACAGTAAATTATTTCTTCATAACACTTTTCCACATCCACTTAAATCATCCTTTTGTGGAGATTGTGGCAATCTCCACACTGTTCTGAGATTCACATCTACCCCTGATAGGTGAAGAAGTAATTGGTCATTGCTCCTCAAAAACCACAGGTAGCCTTTTTATCATATACTTTTCTTAAGAGCCTCTATAAATCTCTTTGAACATCAAACAGATTTCATTGTGTTGTGTGACTTTTTTCACCCTTAAAGATTGATTGTGTTTCCAGGCTGTGTTTTTAGGATTCTCCATCTTTCTCACTTCCACTCCCTTGATCCTTGTGCTTTTGCTAGTGAAACCTAAGTGCCACAGTTCTCTCGTCAGTCCCATCCCCTCCTGCTTAAGCTTCTGCACACCCTACCATAAAAACAAGTCCACTTGAAGCAGCTTTATTCATAACCAGAACCTGCCCTCCACACTTCCTCAGATCATGCACCAGGGTTGTGGCTTCACCCAGATGGTAGCTGTGGTTGATCAACTCAACCAAATAATTAGTATTGATTGGTTTATTTTTTTTAGTTTCCATGGATGTTCATTTTGTTAGAGTACAGTATTTTGCCTCGCTCTACAGCCTGCAAATTTAATGTATAAAAGTACTCCGTTTTCTATACTTTTTGGAACTTATAGTGTAGCTGCACAATTCCTTTCAATCCCAACTCAGATTAGTTTGTTAGCTAAAAGTATATAGAAGAATTCTGAGCCATGGTAAGATGATTCTTTTTTAACATTAATTTTCTGAAAAAATGTTGTATCCATGTAGCACTAAGGAAGGAGTTTAAACATTCACATGTAGTACGTGTGCACACATAAAATCACTGCCTCATTCATGTGACTTTAAGCAAATCACGTCATCTCTTTAAGTTTCATCTTCATTATCGAAAAAACTGGTACTAATAATACTCGTTCTGTCTTCTTAGCGGGGTTGTTATAAAATAAATATAAAGTAATTGTCCTTGAGTACAATGCAAATGCAAATATCCTCCAAATGCGGTGAAAGTATTTTAGACATGCAAGGGGACATATTAAATGATTTGGGGATGGACAGAAGAGCCCTTGAAAGATGGGGATATCATCATCCAGCTTTCACCGGCAGATTGAGCAGGGCTCATCACCTCAGGAGAACTTTCTTCAGCTTGGGAGTACTTTTTTTAAAAATAGCTTTAGGAGACACCATGCAATTTACCAACTTAAGTTGTGCAATTCTGTTGTTTTCAGTGTATGCTCAGAGTTCTGCAATCATCAACACAATCAGTTTCAGAACATTTTCATCAAGCCATCAGAAAACTCCTGAACTGATTGCAGTCACTGCCCATTTTCCCCCTAAGCTCTCAGATCTAGGCAACCACTAATCTACTTTCTATCTCTATGGACGTGCCTATGATGGGTGTTTCATATAAGTAGAGTTATATAATATTAATACCTTGTCTTTTGTGACTGGCTTCTTTCACTTAGCATAATATTTTCAAGTGTCATTCATGTTATATTGCATATCAGAACTTCATTTCTTTTTATGGCCACGTAATATTTTATTGTATAGATATACTACTTTTTGTTTATATATCAGTTAATGGATATTTAGGTTCGTTCTTTCTTGGCTCTTGGGCTGCTAGGAACATTTGTTTATAGTGCTTTTTTGTGGGTATATATTTTCATTTCTCTTGGGTATATACCTAGGAGTAGAGTTGCTTGATGATATGATAACTCAAATTAAGGAACTCACAAACTGTTTTCCAAAGCAGCTGTGCTTTTACATCCTCACTAAAAATCTATGAGAATTCCAGTTTCTCCACATCCTCATCAGTGCTCGTTACTATTTTTTAATTATATCCATCATAGTGGGTGTGAAATGGTGTTCATTGCAGCTTAGATTTGAATTCCCCGAGTGACTAATGATTCGAGCATCTTTTCATGTGTTTATTGTCCATTTCTGTCTTATTTGAAGAAGTGTCTGTTCAAAGGTTTGCCCGTTTTGATTAGATTATTTTTATCGTTTAATTATGGGAGTTCTCGGTACCAGTTTTTTTAAATCAGATATATGATTGCAAATACTTTCTCCCAATCTGTAGGGTTGTCTTTTTACCTTTTTGATGGTGTCCTTTTAAGTCCCAAAATTGATGAAGTCCAGTTTATCTGTTTTGTTCCTTTGTTGCTTATGCTTTGAATGTCACATCTAAGAAACCACTCCCTAATCAAAGGCCACAAAGATTAACTCTTATGCTTCCTTCTAAGAGCACTGTAGGTGTAGCTGTTGTATTTAGATCATAACTCTATGATTCATTTTGAGTTAATTTTTGTATATGGTGTGAGGCATAGGGTTTTCTTCTTTATTCTTTTGCATGTAGATAATGCAAAAGACTTTCAACCTCAGGCCTGGCATGGTGGCTCACACCTGTCATCCTAGCACTTTGGGAGGCCAAGGTGGTTGGATCACTTGAGGTCAGAGGAGTTCAAGACCAGCCTGGCCAACATGGTCTTTACTAAAAATACAAAAATTAGCTGGGCATGGTGTCATGCACCTGTAGTCCCAGATACTTGGGAGGCTGAGGCAGGAGAATCACTTGAACCCAGGAGGTAAAGGTTGCAGTGAGCTCAGATGACGCCACTCCACTCCAGCCTGGGTGACAGAGTGAGACTCTATATCAAAAAAAAAAAAAAAAAAAGACTTTGAACCCCACTGAGTCTTGGCCATCTTGTCAAAATACCTGTAAATGTGATAGTTTATTCCTGAACTCTCAATTCCATTGAACTATATATCTATCCCTGTGGCAGTACCACATAGTCTTGATTACTATAGCATTGTATTATGTTTTGAAATTAGGAAGTAGGAGTTCTCTAACTTTGTTCTCCCTTTTAAGATTGTTTTGGCAATTCTGGGTCCCTTGCATTTTCATATGAATTTTATGATCAGCTTATCAATTTCTACAAAAGAGCCAGCTAGGAGTTTGATAGAGATTGCATTGAACATGTAGATCAATTTGGGGAATATTTCCATTTAAACAATGTTGTCTTTCAATCCATGAACACGGGATGTCCCGTTTACTTAGGCCTTTTTAGTTTTTTGAAAATGTTTTGTTATTTTCAAAATACAAGTTTGTACTTATGTTATTACATTTATTCCTAAGTATTGTATACTTTTTGATGCTATTGTGATTGGAATTGTTTTCTTCATTTTCTGATTGTTCATTGCTAGGGTATACAAACACAATTTGGGGAGTTGCAATTGTACTCTGCAACCTTGTTGAACTTGTTTATACATTCTGATAGTTTTTTAGTGGATCCCTTAAAACTGTTTACATACAAGATCATGTCATCTGCAATTAGAGATAGTTTTACTTCTTCCTTTCCAATCTGGATGCTTTTAATTTATTTATTTTTCCTAATTGCTCTGGCTAGAATTTTCATTACTATGTCGAATTGAAGTGGTGAGAACACACCTCATTGTCTTGTTCCTGATCTTAGGGGGAAAGCACTTGGACTTTTGCCATTAAGTATGAGGTTAGCTGTAGGACTTTTGAGGATGCCATTTATCAAGTTGAGGAAGTTCCGTTCTATTCCTAGTTGGTTGAGCATTTTTATCATGAAAGAATATTAGATTCTGTCAGATGCCAAAAACTGTGTCTATCGAATGATCATGTTGCTTTTTTTCCTTATTGTGTGACATATCGTATTAACATTAATATTTTGGATGTTAAACCAACCTTGCATTCTTGGAATAAGTCTCACTTGGTCATGGTGTATAATTTTGTTTATATGTTGCTGGATGTGGTCTGCTAGTAATTTTTTTTAAGATTTTTGTGTCTACATTTATAATATACTGATCTGTAGTTGTGTTTTCTTGTCTTGGTGGGAGTTATTTTAAATCAACTAAAATTAAAGAATGAATGTAGGGAGAGTGTTTCAAGGCAGAGAAAAATTTAAAAATCATTGATATCGTGATGAGACTTCTAAATATGGGACTATGAGTCCTCAGCAGAACATAACCCTGAAGCACAATGGAAGGAGCACAAGGTTTCAGTTGAAGAGCTACTGTTTTGGCTTCTGTCGTTTGCTGTGTGACTTTGAGTAAACTACCTAGGATTTCCTCACTTTTAAACTCAGGATAATAATACCTATGTCAGACCTTCATTATAGGGATTAAGTGAGGTGATACATATAGAGAGTATTTTGTTAAAGGCCAAACACTATTAAAATTATACGTGTTTATACCATGTACAGAGAAAAAGAATTTAAGAGAGAGCACTGGGGGAACAGAACATCACCACTTCAAAAAAGACCATAATAAAATTTTTGAAGCAGAACAAAACCTAATGTGGAGGCAGGATCATTCATTTGAGGTAGACAATGATTTAACCAAACAAATAGAATCACTTTAAAGCACATACCAGATATGTGAGTGTCATGGTCATAAAGTTTAGCTTTGTCTGGGATGGAAGGAAGTCAGTGTAGATTTTCCTAGGGGGAATTTCTGTTCCTTGGTGTAAACTGGATAACAGTGTGTTTTATTTTATTTTGTTTTGCTTCACTTTATTGTTTTCTGTTACATGAACTTACATTGAGTTGAGTAAATTTCCATCAACTTATAACCTCCTATTAGAAATTTTCTAGAGGCTGTTTGAAAAACATCAAAGGACACAACTAAAAAATGACTACAAATATGCCTTGTTTGTTTTAACTCTTTTCAGATACAAAGCCAGCCTGCGTATTTAACAATGTGGAATATTATGATGGAGACATGTTTCGAATGGACAACTGTCGGTTCTGTCGATGCCAAGGGGGCGTTGCCATCTGCTTCACCGCCCAGTGTGGTGAGATAAACTGCGAGAGGTACTACGTGCCCGAAGGAGAGTGCTGCCCAGTGTGTGAAGGTAAGAAAAGGTGCTAATTACAGATTAACAGGAGCATACATGGTATAGAGTTCTAAAATCAAAATCGTCCTAATTCAGTCTCATCCAAAAGTAAAGGAATATTGAAGTTCCTTTTTTAGCCTTTTTTAAGACACCATGGTCTGTCTTTTAGCATGTTAAAGCCAGGTAGAGTGTGTGGAAACACTTCCCTAAGGGAAGCTATGCCTGGGTGTAGACAATGGGTCACCTCTTTCCACAGGCAACGTGAGATGTCCCAGAGTTGTTTTCCGTTCCTCCCCTGCAGTTCTAGCAATTCCTCAGCAAGTCCTAGGGCAAAGCTTTATCTTCACCCTGGCATTAGAGCTCACCACCTCCTCACCTCAGATTGCTCAGTTAGGATAATGTGGGCCTCACCCTGACAGTCTCAGCCTGCCGGCCCAGAGAGGAACTAACTCTGCCACTGTCGTAATACCCAGGACCCTCCAGGGAGATCAGGGACCTGCTACTGCTTCTCTGAAAATATGTGGTGGTTCACATGGGGTCGTGGTATCAGGTCACCACCTGGTGACACCAACTCAAGGCCCAGCCAGGTGTCAGGTGTGACTCTCAGGAATCTGCTTTGTCTGGATTCCCCTTTTCTCTCCAAGAAGTAATATGTTCATGTTCCTTCAACAGGCTGCATCTTCCCATCACTGATGTTCATAAACAATAAGCATTTCAAAACAGTTGCTCTGAATATCACTCCCTGCAACCCACACATTTTACAGATTAGGATGTTGAAGTTCAGAAGAGAAAAGTCACTTGCCTGTAAAGTCACTTTACACTGCAGCCAGTAACAATAACCCCGTGCCTGACTGTGTCTATAGTGTTCTTCTGACAACACAACACTGTTTCCCCAGAAAGGAAGGTCTTGTGAGCCTTCCTGTCCTAACCAGGCCCCAGATCTTCAATCTGAAGTCGCATGTGTTAATCTTATGCCTGATCTCTGCACACAAAGTGGGAGGGCACAGTGTCATGCCACTTTCCATACTTCCTCATTTTCATAAAATTTTCTCCTTTTGATATTTGAGCAATATTTACAACATAATATTGAAGATCTGAAAATGTTTAAAGTATAAAAATTGCATTCCTAACATAGTTCATAACAGTGAGTTCTTTTCCCTACTAGAGGTTATTTTACCCAACATAGGAGAAAAGTAGTTTATTTTTTAGGTGATGTTGACAATTAAAAAGAATTACTTCAAATTTTTAACCTTTCTAATTGTTTTGTTCCCTACCTGCCCCCAGTCTGCAATAGTTCTGAAACTGTGCAGCAGTTGATGCTGTAAAAATGTAGATACGAACCTCTGTGTAGTCATCATACTGAGTTGTCTGGGCATGGATCCAGTTATGTCTCACTTCCTGGAATTCAGATCCAGGCTCAACGTAGAAAAATATGTATTCTAATACTTTTTACACAGGAATTTAAAAAATCTTCTCTTGCTCAGGTCCATTGGCCGCCTCCCTCTCTGGCAGACTGCCTTCCTAACGCTGTGATGGCATTATTTTAAATGCTGACCTTCTAACTGACTTTATTATAATGTCCCACTATGTCCTTAGAATAATGATGACCAAACTCTATGAACTGTCTGGATTCCTCTCTCAGCACAGCAGTAGTTGTTTGTTGAAGCCAGTTTTTTATGTATTTCTGAGAAAGAAAATTGAGTAATTTATCTGGTTGCTCTCAATAGAGGGATAAGAGAGGGTTTCATATGCAGTATTTATATACTTGTCAGTAACCTCAGAAACTTTTTTTTTTTTACAGTAGCTTTGGCTACTTCTGTCTCCCACCTGGGGCTGCAGCTTAGCTTCCCAACTTATGGGAGAAAAAATGGCCTAAGTTCACAGCGCTCCTCCAAGGCACAGTGACCCATGGTATGTCTAGACTAGCCTTGTCATGAACAAGTCCACAGCAAGACCACTGTTGCCCACATGGTCGTGCAGGTACATGAGATAGAGTTTTAGAAGTAACAATATCACTCTGACTTAGGGCATTGTTGCTTCCGCTTTACAGTTAGGGAAGTTGAGGTTTGATAAACATTTATGTCTACAACTGCGAAGACATTGTCAGAGCCTAAAATGGAGTCATGTTTTCTAATTACCAACCCACAGCTCTTGCCACAAAGCTTTCCAACTTTACAGAGTGATAACACCTGCACATTGGTTTTTAGACTACAGATCCTCTTCTCTGGGACTGCTGTGTCAGGATGAGTAGACATAAATTCAGTGTGACAGCTTCTTTTGCATGCACCCCCAGAGACTCCTCATGCAACCCTGCGCTTCTGTTGATCACAGTGGGAATAGAACTGCTGATGACTAGAACCCAGGGAAAAAATGTCTCTGGGTACTGACAGAGATAAGATTTAGAAGATGCTCAGTCTAACTCTGAACTCATGTTCTCATTTAGATCCAGTGTATCCTTTTAATAATCCCGCTGGCTGCTATGCCAATGGCCTGATCCTTGCCCACGGAGACCGGTGGCGGGAAGACGACTGCACATTCTGCCAGTGCGTCAACGGTGAACGCCACTGCGTTGCGACCGTCTGCGGACAGACCTGCACAAACCCTGTGAAAGTGCCTGGGGAGTGTTGCCCTGTGTGCGAAGGTAAATCTTGCAGATGCTAATGAGTCCCTGGTGAATGTCTTCTGTTGGAGAAGCTTCTACCAGCGTACGTTCTTGTTTGTTTATTTCCTTGGGCATAATGTCTGCTTCACGCTGTTACCAGTTGCCAACAAATTTATCAAACAGCTCAAACTGATGATTTGAGGAAAGGTTGCACATGTGAAATGAGAATAGTGTGGTCATTATTTTGCCATTGCAAATATGCGCGTCTGAATACTTTACAGTATAAGAATATGTACATTTTAATTAAGTTCACTTTGAACCTAATTAACACCCAAAGGTCAGCCTAACAAAATGAAATTGAAAATGAGACCGATGAGTCAATCTTAGCACCTTTGACTTGTGATGCTTCCATATGCCCAAGCGTCCTGGCAACTAGAAGAAAAGACTGGAACCATGAAAGCCAATTTCCACTGCCTAGTGCCGTCACCGAGTATCTGTTCTACTTCTCATATACCAATGGCTGTGGCTTTGCAATTCCTCTAGTGCTGTTATTTATGTCGTGGTTACCTGCATTTGCTATCTCTCTTCTTGTTCAGTGGAGGGAAGCCTGAGGCATCCTGGACTAGTTTTTCTGTCCCGACTCCTATTCCAGCTCATTTCCTCCATCCTGGGAAGATTCTCTGCATACTTAACTCATGTCAGTCTTTAATCTTGTGTCCATGTGTGTTAGTGCAGACAAGGGCTTGAATATTTGTACAGACATTTCTAATAGAGGGTATCCAGCATTAAGAAGTACATTTGCATAGTAAAATGAACTAATGTGGATCAAAAATTAATCCATGTTGAAGATGGATCTTTCTAGAATTTCTAAAAACAGATATTGAAAAATGGACTTATCTTTCCAGAAAGTCAGTTAAGTAGACTAAGTCTTTTAAGTGCGAAGAAATCTTGTGCTTCCACCGAAATGTTAATAAACTCAGACTCCAGAGTTTGCCTGACTAGCTTCATCAGCCTCTGAGGGGCTAGACTTATTAAAGACCTTAAAAATCATATAAAAGTTTAAGCTTGAGGCCTCTCTTTCTGTTGACATCACCGATTCCCTTGTCATTACTGTACTCAGAGTGCAGCTGCCACACTCCAGAACTTTACAGCTTCCAGATGACCAGTTTTGTGGAAGTCACCCACCCCTGCATGTATATATACTCCTCCCATTCCCTAAAGGCAGCATTTCAGTGCTGAAAAAAAAAGAGCATGTAGAAATACATATGATGGTTGTATAGTCGGCCTTACAGGAAAGGGTGCCTTACTGAAGCAGATGAAGATAAGAATGTCAGTCCCTAAGAATTAGGGACAATCTGTTGCCAACTTGAAATATTTAATTACGAATATTTGGGACACACGGTAAGGAATATGAAAAGCATAAATTCATAATCCAGTAAACATTAGCCTTTTAACCTCATGGGTCTTATGTCATAAATTCAAAATAAAACTTTAAAAACTTGTTGAATAAAAGAGCCTTTCCTCTGGAAGTAAATGAAAGGAAGGCTGATCCTTTTGCACCCACCTTTTGCATTTATCAGCATATCCATCATGAAGAGTGGAGAAGGAAGGCAGTTGGTGAACAGGTAGATATATATATAACTCATTTATTACCATTTTCTTAGCACACATTGATGTTTGGGTAAGGAGTGAAACTTAGTGTGGTCACTTAGAATTTGGTCTCTGCAACATCTGCATAGAGTTGTAATCTAATCATCTACTGTTTGAGAAAAGAGTTACAGTTTTGGTGAGCCATTAATTTGAAAAAATTAAGAACCTCCTGGAATTCAGATACAGCATTGGACACAAAGATAAGTAAGAGATAACCTTTAACTTTGAAGAGCCTATTTAGGCTGAGTTTTGAATTAAACCAGAAGAAAGGGAATGTCCCCGTTGAGGTATGGTGGGGTAAGTGCATCACATTTGTACCCAATTTCATTTAACCTTCAGAGCAACACTGCTGAAGCCTTTATTATCCCATTTTGGAGATGAAGACATTCAGGTTTAAGGCGATTTAGATCATTTCCCCCAAGGGTATAGTTGCCATTGTGTGGCTGAGTGAAGATCAACGGAAGTTTGTCAGATTCGGCTCCATTTGTGCTTGCTTCCCCTGCCCCACACAGCATCCCAGCCTAACTCATGCCCTGCTTCTAGTGTCCTCACCCATCTCTACTCACCTCTGGCTTTTGGCTCTGTTGAGGAGTGAGGGCAGTCAGCGGAGGCAAGGGAGGAAATCATTTTGCAGTTTGAAAACTACTCCAGGTATTTTGAATGTGATCGTCCACCTACTGTCTCCTCGCAGTTTGAAGACCTCAGGGGAAAGATGCCTTTGAGATGCATCCCTGAGTTCACTTCTAGAGCCTCAGGTCTGGGCAGCCCCCTCCACCTCAACAGAGCTCAGCATCCTTGTCATTTCAGCGGTAAAGTTCTGCTGGCCTTTTTTCCTCTCTGTCTCTTTCATGCTCTGGCTCTGATCTCTCATCAAACGTTTCAGAAGATTCCATTTTCTGGTTCTCAGAAATAATTTATCTTGCTTTTCTTGTTTTTGTTTTTAACTTAGTTGAGTAGTGAGTTTCATATGAATGTATTTACTCTCCAATAATGCTTTCATTTTAAGATGTATTAATAATAAGAACACAGATTATTTTAGTATAGGATTAAAAAACAGTGCACAGCTTAAGATAATGATACTAAAGGGTTATTTATGGCTACTAATAATAAACTTACAAAATAACACAAGGTGAATGGATCTTACTGCTTAGTTTATAGGGTCCAAGAAAGTCTCTGGGATCATTTGAAGACATTTTTTCTCAGCAGTCATTCAATATCATACTTAAATATAATTTCAAATGATTTCAGAGTAGCAAAAGGATTGTATGAAATAAGAAAAAGTGCAAGGTGTTAATGTGCAATAAATAAGCAATCACCCAGAAATAGTTAGAGGAAAACCAGAAACACTGGTATTTACTTAGTTTATACACACAATAAATTCCTCTGTGCACAGTTGCGTAACCAGTGTTGGCCCTTACCCTATTAGCTACAGTCTCTAGGTACATCGTCAGAGTATGAAATTAGATGAAAGGACCCCACACAAGGATTGTGGTTTTAGATTCTAAGTAAACTAACAGCATCACTAAATATGGCGTGTTAGGACCTCCAGGGAGGAAGAACCTTATTGTGGCTGTTGTTACTGGAGACACATACCTTCCAAATGACAAGATAATGTGTCTTTTGGTTACTCCTGGAGGACTAGGGACATGAACCTGGGGGCCCTTAAAGACTAGGCTGTTACTTGACAGCTAACTTGATTCACAAGTACCTAAGTGCTTTTTAAATTGGCACTTAAGTACTCTCATGATGAATTCTTAGCAAGTTATTGTCAACACCCAATTCAGGTATACAGATAAGCCTTTCCAGTCTGTTAACTGATTATATTCTCACATTTTGCTTTGTTGACTTTTCTCTACATCTCTTGTTTATCGATCTCATTATTTTTATTTTCTGACCCCTGTGAAGAGCTAGGGTGGAAACGTGTGGAATAGCATATAAAGTTTTCAGTTGAATGGCATACATAGACGACACAGCCTTAATCTCCTTAAAAACTAAAAACAAAAAAGAGATTGGACGGCAGAATTAGGTCTTCATCTGCAGGGCCACTGTTATTTGTAACCCTTAATGACAGTGGCTAACATTTCATACAATTGTTATGTGTCAGGTTTAAGTGCTTTAAGAGGAGCAACTAATTTGAGATCCTCACAGCATCCCTTCGGTATGGGTGCTGTCATCCCAGTTTACCATCAGAGAACACAAAGTTCGGAGGCCATGTAATTTGCCCAGGGTCATACAGCTCATAAGTGACAGCACAGTGTGTCCCCAGGACCAGACCCTGGACCCTGAATGGACAGTGCCTCTGCGCTGCAGTGCATTATACCCTGAAAGAGGCTCCATCCCCCTGTAAAGAAAGAATTTGGCATATTCTTTTGAATCCCTAAAACAACATGTGATGTGTAAGTAGATGCTCAAAATTTTTAAATGAGTAAATAATAAGTGAGGACAGTGAGGAGGAAAGAAAGACTGGAGCAGGAAGTCCCAACCAGACCCTTCATACAGATCTTCTTTTTAGTTGAGTGAGGGAGCAGACCCTGATACAGGGTTACCTTAACCAGAGCGTCAAAAGCTGATGGCCATTGGGACCCCTGATCTACTAGTTGAAGGAAGAATAATGTCAGCATGCTTATCACTGAAAACACATTTTGAGAACATAAGTAAGAGTGTTATGGAAGTGTGTGACATGAGGTGGGCCTACATGTCTACAGGCCAGTTGGACCAGTTTCCTGCATTGACGGTTCACCCTTCTGATGGGCACTCAGCTCTGGGCTCCATCCCTGTGTCAGCCTCATGGGCCTTCCAAGACTGATGTGTATTCTGTGGTTTATTCTGTCCCAGTTCAGCCCCTGAAGTCCAGAATCACAGAGTTTAAC
Organism: Homo sapiens; assembly: GCF_000001405.40. Lineage (NCBI taxonomy): Eukaryota > Metazoa > Chordata > Mammalia > Primates > Hominidae > Homo > Homo sapiens. The sequence continues at coordinate 36,484,176 of NC_000002.12, forward strand.
TGGGGCTTCCCAGACCCTCTAAGGCTAATGCTTGCTGCCACGTTAATGTACTGTTTTTAAGACGCCTTGTGCATGGTGTAGGTGCCACTGCATTTCAGTTACTTACACGGGCAAGGATTTTTTTTACATTGTCATTAGATATTGAGAATTATTTGCTGATTTTTTTTTTCAATAATAGCAAGTATAAATGCTGCCAAAGCTGATTCTTAATGTCAGAGGGATCCTGAGGAGAGGTTGCCATTTCCATTAGAAATCTATTTTGTGATTGAAGGTAAGATAAGGTATCGGGGAGGGAAGTTTTGGCTACATGACATCTATAACATCCCCGTGATTACTCAATAAGAAAAATTCAAGAGATGTGGACAGGTGTGTGGCCAGCTTAGCTGTGACACCTGATGCAAGAGATTAGAGCTTCCTGGGGACTTTGAAGTCTTGATGTCAGACCTGATCTGCCTTCTCATCTTGGGCTGCGGCTGGACCCTGCCCAGGTGGCCACTGTGATCTGAGTGTTCTTCAGGCCTCCTTAGGTGCACCATCTCCTGCACGGAGGAGCTGATGATTTTGATGACCTTAGGGATTTTGAAGCCAACACCAGAGTATCACTTTTCAAGAACTAGGAACAACTTAGGTAATATTTTAAAAGGTAGCATTCAGAATTATACTCAGGTTGCCAGTAAAAAAATTCCGTGCTAGCGGTTGGGCAAATGGGTAGTTTCCCCTCTACTATTTCTGTCTGTCTGAAAACAAAGCAAAATCCATGTTCTATCTCTAACAGGAAGTCAAAGAGTTATTTGTAGATTGTTAAAGCTGGATGAGAGGTATATCAGAGTCCATAGTATTCAGTATTTTTTAAGTTTTCTTCTTAATAAAAAGTTAAAATTGCTATTTGCAGACATATTATCAGATACCCAGCTGAGTTTCAGGCCTAATAATTCTGCTAACCTGGACTTAACTCTTGAAGTAGAGGATAGAGGAATAAGAGATTCACTGTGCATGGATTCCTTCTAATTCTGGGTTTAGGATGGAATGTGGTTGAACCAAAAAATCCACTATCTTTCTTCCTGCCACCTGGCTTTCTTGGATCTCTTACTTAGGGAATCCTGGTCCTACTTGGGACAGTGTTGAAGACTGGATGTCAGGCACGTCTTGACCTATGTGGATTTAGTAAGCCACTTCAGTCTCAGCTCACCCAATACTGTAAGTTGTGCTCCTCTAAAAGGCTGGAGTTCTGTGAGCTGTCAAATATATTGTCGTCTTCTTCATCAATCCCAAATTTATGGAAGCACTATATTCTCTCCCTGAAGGCTGATGATATAGCTTGAATCAAGCTGCCCTTCTAATGAGATTTCCACTGGGCTGCCAGAAAAGTCTGTACCAGGCACATATCTGGGTGGGAATTCTTTGAAACAAGAAAAAATGTTTCCAGCCCTGCCCATAATGCTTCCTCACTGAACAGTATCTCAAATGATTAAGCTACTGCTTTTGTGGCACGGAGTCAAACATAGTTTGGCTGACCCCAAGAGGCAGTGAAGTCAAAGATGCCATAGGGTCACATGTTATTAACATTCTGGTACATAACAGGGATCAAAACTCAGTTTATGGGTGGTATTGCTTCAGTGCCATATACGATGCTATTATTAGTAAGCCAAGAATAATAAAATATTCGTAATAGCCTAAAGACTGTTAGGCATGTGTTTTATCCTTTAACTCTAAACGTCCTGGAAACTAGTTCCATAAATGGAAATTAAAATATAACACAGTCTATTTTTTGCTTGTCCAAATAAGGTCATATGTTGGGTAACAAATGCGTAGCAAATGACTGTTTCTTAACCTAGGTCTTTAACATAAACATCAGAAATTTTTCAATGTTGAATATTGTCATATTTTGATTTTTCTCTGATCATTTAAAATGTCTTTACATATTTGCAATAAAACTAGAATATAGGTAAAGTAAATGCAAAAGACACTCACATCCAGCCTTAATATATCACTTTCAAGATTTTGTGATTTTTCACAGCTATATAGAAATATGTACATTATATGAGTGGCTTTCTTTACATGTTAGATCCACCACTTACATTAATAGTTAAACAAGTGTAGAAATAAATGTTGTAGAAGTAGTTTAATAGAGAAGAAATGTTTATTCTTACTTATACCTAGGAGTTCTGCTGCTGGTTCTCCAAGTCCAGCATGTCTTTGCTTGTGTCGGTAATGCCTTGCTCTTTGTACTTGATTTTGAGTAAGACTGTCATACTGAACCAAGTTTTACGAGTAAAAATGAAGATTGGTCTTATACTCTTAATTTGCTAGATGACCAAACTGATCAATGCCTTAAATGTTCAGAATTGTTGAGAGCTAATTCTGAAACACATGATTAGAAATTCCTCTGCCCCTGAGTTTACAGAGCTCAGCTGTTAAGTATTTCCCTGTTGAAGTGGCGTGCAAGGGGGTGGGTTGCTCTTTATTTCCTCTGCTGTCTACTTCCCATACCTAAAAGGGTATTATTGCTGGGAGTCTCATAATTTTCCTACTAAGACAATAATTGCATCTAATAGATCAGACTTGGGCCTGCTAATTTTCATCTAATCAACAGAGGCAGGAAAACATAGTCTGGAATGCTAACTATGTGAATGAAAAATATTTAGTCATTCTTGAAATGATAGGAATGTTTTTCCAACAAGCTTAAATAAACACAATCTCTTTTGAGACTGTGCTAAACTTTTTTTGGATGAGACAACTCTTAGGCAACCAAACAGAAGTTAATGAAGGTTATTAAGAGACATGCCCTTCAGAAAAGGCCTGCAGACTTTAAAAAGAAAAGATTCCATCTTCTTTATGCTGCAACCATTGATAAATAGCAGAATTGGTTTACTTTTTAGCTTTTGTCTACCCAGTAGAATTTAACATTTTAATTAGTAATCATACTGCCCAATGTTCAACAGATACCATTTTACCTAACATGGCTATATGAGACCATCTTATTTTAAAATCCTCATCTTCATCTCCTACTGTTTGCCTCAGTTCCAAGGAATTCATTGGACTCAACACTCCTGTATTTATAGCACCTGATTACACTTTTCCTATGAAGCATGTTTGTTTATTCCCACCAACACAAGGTCCCGCCAGATAATAAAATTATTTTTAAACATACTAAAATGTACATATTCAAGTGAAGTGTTTTTCCTTTCACAAGTTATATGGGAAAAATGTATACTTACTCCAGGGATACAGTCATTCAGAATATTTTTGGTGCCTCTCTTTTGAAACTGACTTTAGAGATCATAGCACATCCTTTTGAATATCCTTAGCTTTGTAAACCCTTGACTTTGAAGGTTTATTAGACTCTAGGAAATAGCCAAAGTCATTTATGTTGAAGTCTGGTTTAAAAAAAAAAAAAAGGTGGCCGATCTAGCTGAGTAAAACTGTTTAGAGGAAGCAAAAAGTGACAGTAAAATAAAGGCACTTTGTCTTCTATGACATAGTAATTTGCTCTGAAAGCAACTATGAAGAGGTTTCAAACAGAATTTTAACATGAACAGCATTTTGGCATAAGAATATAGCCTCTAAAAGTGAGTACTTTTATCAATAACACTTATTTGTAAGTATAACTCCTGGTGTGTTTATAAAAAAAATCAATTCACCTACTACATAGTATTTTTATGACTTCTAGGGATTAGAGGCATGTATTTAAATGGTCATATACTGTATTACAACGTTTTTCTGAAATTGCAGGTGTTCTATTCCAACATTTTTTTCAAATACATTAGACTAAAATAATTTGCCTACAGAAACAGGTCAAAATAGGTTGCGATTCTAATATAATTTATTTTTAGTATTTTAGTTATCCAATTCCACTTCTAGTTATACCATACTGTTTCCTGGTATAGTCTTAAGTATATCCTATAAAAACAGAATGATTTCACATTGCTTAATATATGAGGGTTAGCACTGAAGATAGTGAAAAATCCAGTGAGTCACTGTTAAACCCCCATTAGAACTTTTCTGTGTTGTATCTATCTGATTATTGAAGATACAGTGTCACACAAGCATATAAACCATCTGTTGCAATACTATTTTAAAATCGTAGGACAGGTTCAAAGAGGGGAAATGTCCATTAAAGAACGCCTCTTGCGCATGTGTGGGTCTCCCCATCACAGGTGGCTGATGAGGTGGCAGGAGCAGCATCATACCCACCTATCAGCCTCTTAATTTGAGAGCCCCAAATACTCCCCTGCATGAGCTCCCAGAATGCAGATTGGGAAATCTGTTGCCAGGGGACTCAGCAAAGCCAGATCTTGGTCCAGGGGTCATACCATCAGTTTAATCTAAATTTGATGTGCTTTGAGCAATACGGGACATGTAACATGTTTCTGAAATTTGCCAGAAAGCATGCATTTTGTTTTATAAATATTTTGAGTTTAAGTTGATCAGCAGTTTGACCAAATTTTTATTTACCATTTATATCTACAGAATACCTGTTTACACCTCAGTGGAGTTTAACTTTCGCATCTGAGAGATTAGCTGGATTTATCTGGTTTGTTTGAAACAGCCTAGTTCAGGTATATGGACCATTTGAGATCACAGAATTTAATGCTAGCTGCCAGTAAAAAGATGCAGTCCCAGGCTCCAGCTCTTACTTTGCAGCAGCCTAGTGAAACACAACTAAGAATCCTCAAGATCCTAAGGCCAAGTACTTGATCCTTGTGGACCCTGCAAATCATGTAACTTTCACATTGGCTGCCGGAGCAAACCGAGAGTTGATTTGCAAGCCACCGCTCGACCAGCACCAGAACTCAAAGCATGCGTTCTGTGTGCTTACCTCATCCCTGACTGCAGCTTATTCTTTTCTAGCTAAAATTTACCTGGATCCCCATTTCCTTACTTTAAAAAAGTATTCATTCATGATATAATTTGAGACTGCCTTGGATCTATTACATAATCTAATGAGGTATATTTATGTGCTTCTTTATGTATAATCAGTGCCTACCATTTGCCCGTGCCTGTGCCTTTGTGCCTTGCATGGTGGTTGAACCCCCTTAGTTTGCCTATCAGTAGGAAGACAGGAGATCATGTTGTTTTTCACCTTAATGGACAGCTATTGCCCTGCATGTCAGCTCACTTTTAAAACAATTCAAGGAGTCTCTATTTGTTAGGGAAGCTGTAATATGTTTGGAGATAATAAGCTATCCACTTGGGATGGCCTCGGGCCTTGCATACGGAGAGGGTCGGCAAGCTCAGATCTTTTCAAAGCCATAAATCTCTCATCCTTTCTGGGAATCAAGTTTTTAAAAGATTCCATGGAGATTTTATGTTAGACGAATTCCACAGGGGGTGTGTCCCATAGTCCTGTGACAGAGATACTAAGAACATGACTCATTGCATGAGGAGCCCCTACAATTCTTGTTATGAAAGTACTGGTTGAATTTTCTCTTACTGTTGACATATGTTTGAGATCCCTGACTTCCTAACACTGAGATCTGCTCGTTAAAGACAGTTTTTAGAAATAGGTCTTCTGTGTCTTTCAACTTGAGAGTGGCAAGAAACACTGGCAAAGATAAAAAGTAGTATAAATGATTCTGTGATGAGTTTGCCCTTGTCCCTAAAGATCTAGCAAGGCCCCCATCATGAGAGAGGAAGAACAGGGGCCAGGCACACAGAGTCATTGTTTCGACCCACATTGGATTAGCTGATTACTAAGAGATTTCTGTTCTCTTGGAGACATCATAGACATAGTCAAAATGTAGAACAATGATATCAGACTGCTACTCAGCAAATGTGAAAGGCGTCACTGGCTGGTCACTAACGTGCTCCAAAGCTTACCAGACCATATGAAAAGATAGCACAGACCCACCCACCGTCTCAGATGCTTTTCACGTTATCAGTGGAGACAAAAAATGATGCTTAAGTTACAACAGGCAGGGTTCAGAATGCTGAACCAATTGCCATACTATTTATCAGCTGTGCATTTGAGGTCTGTGAAAGGGCTAAGAATTCATTAATTAGCCATTACCTGAGACCAGTTATAGCTCTGAGCAGACAAGATCAGCATGACATCAATAATTACAACAAGAAGTAATGTTGCTGTCACCCTTACAGTATAGTCTTTTCTTGACAAGCTTGTTTGAGCATTATTGGAATATTGTGAGGTAGAAATAATGAGTATTCCCATTTTCTGGAAGCCCAGAGAGGTCCATCATAACATGTTAGCCTAATGAGAGAGCAGGGACTCAAGCTATGTTTTCTGACTCCAAATCCATGACCTTGGCATTGCTTCCCAGTAGACCCCCATTGTGAGAAGACGGGATGAGAAAAATAAGATGATGAATGTCAAAGTACTTGATCATTGTGGCTTAGATTCAAAGGCCAGTCCACTCCTGGCTCCATCCCCATTGCTGAGACCCGGTTACTGTTATTCTGAACTCTGTGGCCCAGCCTTTGATCCCGGGTTCTTCTGATGAGCCTCTGACTGGAATTTTGACCTTGCTGTTTGACTTCTGGGAGAGCTGGATCCGTTTTCTGCTTCTACTTGTTTATTCCTGCATCCTCCCACCTAGGGACATTACTCAACCCAAGAGCCCCGACCCACTCTCCCATCCTGTCAGGCTTGACCTCTGCCCATTCTTGTGCATATCCATCCAAATTCTAGGCCCCAGGCCCTAACCATTGGCACTTAAGTCCCCACTGAGTAACTGAGCTGCTCAGCCTCCATCAGTCTGCCAGGCACCAGGATACCATCATCAGCACGTGTGCATTCTGCTATGCACTCTTCCTTTTCTTTCTCTGATTCTTGTCAGTCTCTAATTAAGCCGGTTGTCAATTTGCCAAGCAGTCAGCAAAAGTGCCCATAACTTCACGCAGTAGAAGATGAGCTCCTGAGTTGAATGACTGCCTAGCTGTTTTCAGGATTATTTTAATAACACTTTTTATTTGGCATTATCAAGGAGTAGGGTAGTTCCAGAAGTGAATTCTCCAGATAATTAAAATTTGGGATGTCAGATCTTACATTAAGAATTTTATAGGAGGCCTTCTATAATGCTTTGTGTACTTTTCTGCCTTCTTAAGCCAAAGATACAGATCATATGATCGTATTTTAACCCATCTCAGGAAACCGAGTGTCATCACTGAGTAATCTCATTTTGGACGGCTTGGATTTGGGGATTTGCACTCCATTTTCACCATTATTAAGTGTGTCAGGTTTACAACAGCCTTAAGATCTGGCTTTCTGCTTCAGTGGAGCTCATTTATTGTGTACCTCCTATGTGCAAAAGACTGCCACAGTGGTGTGGACCCTAAGGAACTTACTGTCTAATCTTCTAAAAGTTAGAAAATTAGAGATACAGCCTCTTAGGACAATTTTGAATGGGAGCTCTTCTTTGCCAAATAATGTTACACTGACTTTAGGTGCTTAGATGTCTTTCGTTTTCCCGTTTTGTTCATTCATTGAGCAGTTCTATAGACCAAACTGTACTAGGTGCTGAGGTTATAAACAATGAATGAAGTATTGTCCCTAACGTGCAGACCCTTCCTCCCTGGTTTTCAACCATTTGCCAGAAGGGTAGGTTCCAGTTACCAAAAGTCTGACCGCCTGACCCATCCTCCAAGTTGAAAATAGCTACTTAAATGTGCACACACACAAACCCGCATACCTATTAATGTAACACATTATTTCCACTTAAAGCTACCAAAATATAATTCCTATGAACATTAGCAATAAAAAGAATAAGAATAAAATGTAAGACAAGTATAAAAGATCTAGATTCTTAGAATCCAGTGATAATTTTGTGAGCTATCTCAAGCTGGATTCCTGGAAAAAGATACCCCACTCTATAAAAAAAAATTTTAATTTGTCTTTTGTGGTCTTTTAATAATCTCAATAATGCTACCATCTTTTCCTATTAAATATGTTTTTGGTAAAGGAAGAAAAATATTAATATGTCTAACAGCCAAGATTCCTTGGGAAAAGCATACAAAATTAATAAATAGGTCTAAAATAAATACATGGTTGCTTCCTTTTCCGATCACAAAATAATACAAATCTTGGGAACATTTGCACACTGTTCATTTTAAAATAAAATAAACTGCTCTGAGATAAGTACTTCAGAAATTACAAGGATGTAGGTGTTGTTATGAGAAGTGTACAAAGGGAAAAAGGATAACCAAATGTGTAGCGGCTAAAAGAATTTGAAAACTCCAACCGTAAGAGACTTTTTTCCATGACTTAATGAGGCTTTCTTAAGTACACATTCAGATGCTACGGAAATTCCCACTTCCAGATTAGGGAATTTTTGTATCTTCAATTTTTTTTTTTTCTTATTGTCTGCTTTAGTAGAGTTTTCCCTCTAGCTTCATTTGGGAAAATTTCATCTTCACTGTACTTTCCTTCCCAAGATGCAATTATGTTGACAATTTAGTGATTTATTTGAAAGGTGTTCTGACCAGTTATGGGTCACATTTGAAAAGCATCTGTGTTAACAGCTTGACATATGAAAATACAGCAAAACAGACAAGCTTTGATGCTGTCTTGGCCAGCCTTATCTCCAGTTTTATGGCCCTGGCTAGGAGACCTGATATATTTAGCCATTGAACTGCCATGTCAAGTCAGTGACATTTTGGAATTTTCCTACTCATTGGATATTCACGTTGCTTAACCACGTTCAGCCCCCTCCAACCCCCCAATCCCTGCCCAAAATAGAAAAATAAAACTACCTTAAGAAAGAGCGCCTGAAGTAAGTCTGAAAAGAAAGCATAATTGTTCATTTTTGTCTCTCATAATCAAATAAGCAGGCTTGGGAATTTACAAAGAAGAGCTATGTAAAATCTGCAAAGCATTATTAAAGCCTGAAAGAAGAGGTAATAAGAGAAACGAGAGACAGATAGGAATTGTTAGCTTCATTTATCTTAATACTTCCACCTGAGTATTTTTTCACTTGTAAAGAAATGTAAGAATGTGTGTGTCTTTAAAAAGTACTTTTTCTGTAATCCCAGCACTTTAGGAGGCTGAGGTAGGAAGATTGCTTGAGGTCAGGAGTTCGAGACCAGACTGGGCAACATAGTGAGACCTCATCTCGAAAGAAGAAGAAGAAAAATAAATAAAAAGGAAAAAAAAAAGCATTGTTTTCTAGAAATTTGCCTACAAAGAGGTTTTTCCAGAAAGACTTTTCTTAGTGTGTGGGTGTGTGTGCATATGAATGCATAGGAACAGAGGGTGCTGGCAGACAGCTGCTTTCCACAGCCAGGCCTGCAGTTTACCAGAGGACAGCACAGTGAGGCAGCAGTCCTAGAGACCATCAGAATCTGGAAACAGAGTTAATTACCCTCCTGACAAGACAGTACTACACACAGACCCAACAGGGATGGCTGTGTATGCCTTCCACAGTTGTACATTTACAGAGTCACCCACCCATACTCAAGAACTGCTAATTGGTTGTCAGCTTTCCCAGGGCTGCTAATCAGAAAGAGTGCTTCACACATTTCTCAAAGGAGATAATTAATATTATTTCTGAGGGAGAACCAGCTCATAGTAATCTATCTAAGAACCTTGTATGGATTAATTCAAAACCAGCAGTTCAGTGGAGTAATACAGATTAGACAGCAATTTAAAAGCATCCATTAATATTGTCATTTAGGCTACATATACCTGAAATATAAAAATTATTGTATTGTTTCAGAAGTGAATATATATAATTATACATTTAAAAATAACTGAGGATCAAAGTATGTTCATTTTTATTGTTCTCCCAGAGTTGTTGAACTATATAATGTGAGGGTAAGACTGATCTACAAACTTTATACCAGCATCTTAAAAGGCTGAATTTGAGTTTCAGCTTCTTACTTCCTTGGCCAGTTTTTGGAGAATTTCTCATAAAATAAACTAACAAAAGGCAAGAAAGTAGAGAGCTTAGATTTGTTTGCTTAACACATTTATAACACCTGAATAACCGAATATGTATTTATGGTTTAGTACCGTGGCCTTGAAGTTAGATTCATGATTTTCATTTTAACTTTATATTTTTAATCAAATTAATTGTGATCCCAGTAGCTTAATTTCGCCATTGAGTAGATAAAATTGCTCCTAGGAAATATGTGAGCATCAATATAAAATACCGATGGTGTTTTTCAATAACAGTGTCTGAAGCTCTCTAATTTGTAAAAAATACTAACATTTTCCTGGAAATAATTTTACTGACAAGACATCTGTTAGGCTTTTTAGGTTATGAAAGAAGTAACCCTAAATTTTTAATAAATGTAAAATAAAGAATCAACATGTGTTTGTGTATGTTATTGCACGTTAGAAGATATTTTCTTTCAAAATTTTGTTTTCTAAGACTTGGGATAAGAATTGGTGGCTGAGCATCTGCACTCCTGACACAATCCCAAGGGTTCTTTAAAAATAGCTCTTCTGGACAGTGTAAGGTGCTTGGAGGGTCTCTAAAAATCGTTCAAGAAAACAACAGGTAGAGGAGAGGAAAGTTTCCCACTCAGATGCTGAGTAGAAAACAGCAAACCAATGTAGACATAACAAACACCCATTTTTGTTCTTTATTGCTTCTAGGCTCAGAATATTTTAGAATTCTTCTCCACAAGGAAGCTGTTGGAGGGTTCCCTTTAGAAATAGTTGTAGCCAAAGACAGTGAATTCCTGCTGTTTCAAGCCTTCTTCCTTTGGAGGACATTAAGGTATTTCTTTGATTCCTCAGCTGATTCAATACAAGATGAGATAGAATTTCAAGGTGATCCTATAAACAGTACTTCACTGAATTTCCCCTCTCCAAAACCCCACCTCTGTGCAAGGATTTCCTCATTCTCCTAAATGAGGAAATCTAAGAACATTTCTCTCCTTTGAAAGAGGCCTACTAACACATTTCTACCAAGCTAGTTTAACGGGGGACAGTTTTCTTTGCTCCAAGCAGCAAGTATCATGTACAGGGATGCATCAGTGCCGCCAGAAATCTTAGCAGGACCTCTGTTCAATTGAACTTTGTTTACGAAACACGCCAAAGATAGGGGATCACCATCATCCTAGAAAGGCTTGTATTCTCCGACACACAGTTTCAGTGCCATACCCCCTGTAACATAGGAGCACAGAAATGTAGGATTTAAATGAGAATCTTCTGGTCTTCAGACCAAAATCCGACAGGCAATTTCCGTATTCAAAGCACTGTTGCATAGACTAGAGAAAAGTCTGGGATAATAACAATTCCTGATGAGCAAATTTCAGAATGCTCTAACTTTTAGACAAGCAGAATGTATATTTCACATACTTTGCTCACACTCCCTCAAGCCTCTTTATTTATTTATTTATTTTTTTTTTTTTTTTTTTTTGGATGAGAAACAGTCATACTGAGATACTATGATTCTAGATTCTTTAAAATCACCTCTTCTCCCACCAGGAACTCTCTTGGATAAAAGCTATGTTAAGAATCTGACCAGCTCTTGGTCATTATTCTTTAAGAACTATAAATATAATATTGATTTGAAATGCTTTAATTGAGAACAGTGTCAAATATGTCTCACTTTGGAGCTAATTATTTAGCATAAGAAATTGAATCTCAGTTGTCTCATGGCACTTGTTTCCAAAAAATTGCCCTGACATTAGTAATAGGATCAGTTCTGAGATTATATAATAATATGTTGGACTGGAAGCAAACTCTCAAATATGTTTAACAATAATGTGAGATTTTTTTCTAGATAATTCATAAATAGGTAGATAGTCTATATACTTACCGGTCATATTTTTGTCGTAATGTTGTTCTCATGGAAATCTAACTACTCTGGCTATGGTCTCACATGATAGGAAACCAAGCACTAAAATGTTGGGAGAATGACGAAAGGCAGTACACTATAATGGATGACTTCAATTGAAATGCCAGGAGACAACTAGTTGCCTGCAAATGTGTACAACTCAACAGTTACTCCAATTACATAGGGTATTAGCAGTAAGGACCCAAGACACATGTGTTACCACCCGGAAAAAAACTTTAAAATTTGTTCCAGTTTGTGTCTGAGTAGGAAAATGAGATGTATTTGTTAAATGTAATAAAATGAGATGCCAAGTGTTAAAATGTCTTCTTAAGAAAACCTAGATTTCTAGCTATATTTAACATATCACAATGACTATTGTTGTGTTCACCCTAATCTATTGAGGGGAAATTGAATAGTTCTAATGTAAATTGAAAGTTTTCATGAATAAAAGATTTTGTTGTGTTTTTCTGTGTTTAATGTTAAATATTGAGGGTATAAAAATTTGAAATGGCTGTACTTCCCTGTTTCTTTCATCTAATATAGGTCATAAGTGAATGGGAAAATACTAATTTCAGAGGCACAAAATGATTTTTTGCTTCTTGCATGCTACAGCGTTGAGGCTTGGAAGGTATCCCATGGGACTTGTTTTACCTGAAATATTTAACACACACATTGTAAGACCAGCACATACTGAACGGCCCTTTATGCAATTTTATTTGTTCAAGTGAACAAAACCTGTTATGCTGAATATTTTAGGAAAACATATTGAACATATTTCCTCTCCTGGAGAAATGTGTGTTAGATGTACATCTGTGACTGTGTACCTAACTGTTGAAGCCATTTGGATAGATTGGCTTCTGTGACTGATACGGGGCTGCCCAAGTCAGCATTGTGGTTCTGATCCTCAAATAACCCAGTCCATTTGTTCCTTTCACTTTCTAGCCACAGATCACAACCTTAATCGCATGTTAATCTAATATATTTTTTAAAAAACAGCACATACATCACTATTGAGAGCAAATATCATTTAGAGGTAGAAGATCATCTTTGTAAAAGTTGGACGATGGATTCTCTAAGCAAATCCCTAAAATTCACTGCTGCTAAAATTCCATACTACCCTATGATATGATGATTATACATTTTTCAAGGTCAGTTTAATCTTCAGTATATACTTTTCCATAGTATGTTTTCTGAAGGCAAAATTTTCTCATAAATTTCACATATTAAATGTCAGTAAAGAATAGAAGATTTTGGTATGTGTAGATATGCTTAAGACATTTCTTTACCCATAAGCTGTCCAGGAAAGCAGTGTGCCTAGAGTTCAGAATTCTTCCCTCAACTTTGGCCTAATCGCTCTAGAACATAGAAGTCCTTTCTCACTGGGATAACCTGTGGTGGGTTTACTTAAACCTGATACTTGCCTTCTACGCTCTCTCATATTTGTGGTTAGAGTAATTTTGACAAAACATTGGCAGTCTTGGGACTGAAGACTGGAATAGAATCATTATTTGGGGTAGCTAAGAAAAGTAGTGATAAAAGAAAGACTAATAGGTTTGAGAACTAAAGATGTTTGCAGTAAATTTTAAGAGAATGGAGGGGAGCAGCAATACGCTAACTCAGGATGTCTTAAAACAACTAAACTTTAGTTATTTTTTGATGTTTACAGTTATCTGTCAGGAAGAATACCTTGGTTATTGAAGGAAATTAGAAACTACATCAGTGAAAAGTTTATATAAAAATTTTAGTAAGATGCTGTTCTTTGTAATAAGAATAGAGAATGTGCTATACTCACTTGATACATATTTTTACTGGGAGAATGCTGATCTAAGCATCTCTTTAGTAAGTCATCGTTGCCTGCTACCTGTGAAGAGTTGAATCACTGTCCCCTTTTAGTAGATGGATAAAAATTTAGAACTCTTGATCTCAGCAGTGGCAGCTAAAACACTTATTTTGATCTCTCTTCCCTGGTAACAGGAGATGAAACTTGAGAAAACAGTGTGGACTAATGGATAGAGTGTTGGACAGGAGGTTGGGAACCTCTGTTCTGTTCTATTCCCAGCCTGCTACTGGGTTACTATGTAAACTTAGATAAGCCAGTTACCCTCTCTGCACCTCATATTTTCCATCTGCGAAAATGTAGGTAGAGACATTCTATACTCAGCTCTTTCACAAAGATATTGTGAGCAACAGCTTACTTTGAAGACGTTAGTATATTTTTGTTGAAAAGATGTTGCATAAGTATGTCAGTGCCTCTGTTCCCTTTGGCAACACCGTTCCCACAACCTGGCATTATATAAACTGTCCCTTATTGATGCATTGAGAAACAGGTACCATTACAGCAGATTTTGTGTTGCACAGAAGCTGAGAGTGTGACTGGAGTCAGACTGCCTGGGTTTGAATCTTGGGTCCACCACAAACTAATGCTGTAACCATGGGCAGGTCAGTGTGCTAGATTTCCTCATCTGTAAATTGAGGATAATAATAGCACCCACCTCATTGGAATATGGTAAAGCTGGAAGGCATTTATGAACAGCACTTTAAACCTTATATAAATACATAATATGCTTTATGTAAGTATATGTAGTTACCGTTATTACCCAAAGCAATTCTTCATTAATATGGTAAAGCGTCACCTCTGGTCTTGCTTTGTTTAGTGCCCTTATTCCCAGCATGGCTGCTCACTCTTTGTCCTGAATGTGTGTATCTCCCTCTGCTCCCACAAGTCTCTGGGCCCTGAGGATAAGTGTGTAGTTATCTGTCGTATCATCTACCATAAGTGAGGGAGTGCCACATAAAAGATAAAAGAAATCCAGGTGTTTTAAGCTAGTCTCAAAAACTGATTTATTAATTTGGAAAAAAAATAGTAACCGATTTCAGAAGTATTACAGAATGGGACTGAGATAATTGATAGTTGACAGCTGTATCCTGATTATTATAAAAAATAAACCGGAAAACATCAGGAAGAAATAGAAGAGCAGTTAACAATTTAAACAGAGTTCATGTTAACCTCTCTCGTCTGCTTCCAGTAGTGGTGACCATCAGAGAAGAATTGTGTGAAGGTACCAAAAACTGCATGAATTGCTCAAACGCAAAGAAGCAGAGTGTTCACATTTTCAAAAATCTGAACACAAATATATCTGTTTCAGGGGTTAAAGATATTACTGGAGCATAAAAGTTTACGATTTGATGACAATTACTGATTTGATTTTTGTAACATTATGGTGTGGAATTTCAAAAATTGAATAGCATCTAAAAGGTAATCATATGTTTCATTGGTTATTTTTTTCTCTATTTATTATTAGAACCAACCATCATCACAGTTGATCCACCTGCATGTGGGGAGTTATCAAACTGCACTCTGACAGGGAAGGACTGCATTAATGGTTTCAAACGCGATCACAATGGTTGTCGGACCTGTCAGTGCATAAACAGTGAGTAGACAGAAGACTGTATGTTTTTTCTGAGGCCTAATATGATATTGTCAAAGCATATTATGTAATTGAATATCTTTTTCACTTCTGTTCAGACATTCCCTTGACAACCTGAAAAAAAGGGGAAAAAAGTTATTTTTAACACAAACAAATACATAGTCATTTGGGAGAAAGGAGCTGCTGCTTTATTGTGTTTTTTTCTCTGTTTCCTTGATGGCCAGTTGCATCAGGAGTGCAACCTGGAGTGGCTTTGGAGTGCATCCTTCCAGCCACCCAGAACGCTCTCCCTTTAGTACACTTGCCAGGTCATCCAGTGACAAGGAGGTCACCCACGCATACAGTGTCACATTCCGCATATGACAGCCATAATCCTTAGACTGTGCTTCACTTTGTTGACCCCAGCTTTGCCTCCATGCAGATTCCAATCATGTATCCAGGCCCTGCCCTCTAGAGTATAGAAGAGTATATTGTATTTCTTCCAGAAAAAAATAAAATAATACACACACACCCCACCCCCATATATGTTAAAACCATTTCGAATTCCCCTAATTCTTCTGCCGGAATAAACATCCTCATTCTCCTTGACCATTCTTCAGGTGACAGTTCCTAGAACTTTGTTGATCTTTACCATCATTTGACACACAATATGTCATTGTCTTTACATAAAATATGGCCCACAATCAAGATACTCCAGAATGGGCAGGCATGGTGGCTCACGCTTATAATTTCAGCACTCTGGGAGGCTAAGGCAGGCAGATCACTGGAGCTCAGGAGTTCAAGACCAGCCTGGACGACATGGCGAGATCCCAGCCTCTACCAAAAATACAAAAAAAAATAGCTAAGCATGGTGGTATGCGCCAGTGGTCCCAGCTACTCGGGAGGCTGAGGTGGGAGGATCGCTTGAGCCTGGTGGGGCAAAGGTCACAGTGAGCTGAGAGCGCATTACTGCACTCCAGCCTGGATGACAGCAAAAGACACTGTCTCAGAAAAAGGTACTCCACAATTTGGTCTGCTGAATACAGTGCTACTGTGTGGCCTAAGTTTGCATTAGCTCCTTGAATTGCACTTCGTTGGCTGATATTGAGGTTATAAGTAGCTAAAAACACTAGGAACTTTTTTACATCACCTGCTGTTAGGTGGTTCTCATCTGTTCTGTAATAGAACGTTTGATTTTTTTTTTAAACGATATAAATACCCGGCCAAATATAACAAGAAATTATCCGAATCATTTTAAACCATTTTCTAACTAGTTGGGATATTTTTGAATCTCAATAATGTGATCTTATACTTTATGCCTCCCAGCTTATATTAAATAAGCACAACTTATATATCCTTATCTAAATCACTGAATTAAAATAAACTGCACAGAACCAAGGACAAAGACCTGCAGAATGATGCTGAACATAGCTGCTTACAGTAGTCCTAAGCATTTATACCTTGAGTAGAGTTATTTAGCTGACAACATATATCTCCACAAGAAATCTTGAAAGACACTTCGCCCGTATCTTGTCTGAAGTCAAAATATATTGCAAAATACATCAGAGCATTCCTTTGCTGGAAACCCTATTTTTAAAATGAGCTGAAGTTATAGGGGCCTGGCTTATTTTTCCAGAATCTGTACTGGCTCCTGGTAGTCAGTGCTTTATTCCCCTAAATGTCACAAATCATATATTTAACAATTATTTCTGAAGAATTTTCAGTTGTGAATGTCAATTTATGTAGTTTTTAGAACACTTTGTCCCTTTTGAATTGACATTTGGCCTATTTTCTTAAATCTCTTTCCATTCTCTTCGATCTCTCTCACACACAGTACTGGTTCTGTAATAAGCGGGCTTTCTGTGGGCCTGTGGTTGTAATTACCATGGCTCAGAGACTTGGACTTAACGTAGACAGATGCTCACTTTCTGATTTATCAGTTATCTCAGGCTTTAACATACCACTTAACCTTAATTATTTGTCACTATTTTAAAAATATTTTTGAAGAAGATACAAAATAGGAGTTAAGCCATTCTGCTTCCTCAGTTACATGTGACCATCACACTATCTACAGTGGCGTTAGTGCTAAAACTGAGTTTATAAAACGCCTGTTGGCCAGGCGTGGTGGCTCACACCTATAATCCCAGCACTTTGGGAGGCTAAGGTGGATGGATTGCTTGACCTCAGGAGTTCGAAACCAGCCTGGGCAACATGGCAAAACCCCATCTCTACAAAAAAAAATACAAAAGCTAGCCAGGCATGATAGCAAGGGCCTGTAGTTCCAGCTACTCAAGAGTCTAAGGTGGGGCGATCTCTTGAGCTCGGGAAGTCGAGGCCGCAGCTAGCTGTGATTGTGCCACTGCACTCCAGCCTGGGTGACAGAGCAAGACCCTTTTTCAAAAAACTAACAAACAAAAAAAAAACTCTTGTTGAGCTTGTAGTTACTACCATCTTTAAATTTCCTATAAGCCTCTACCCATTTGGGGGTATTCTGACTTCCTACACTTGATTCTGTTCGGGGAAGGGTCAGTCCCTGTTGCCTTTTATACCTCCCTTTAGAAAGCCAAGTTCACTAGAGTTGCCTTGGCAGCCCAAGTTTTCTCAAATGGCCAACCTTGTTTTTTGAACAAGATAATTAGTAATTGTCATGAAGTGTTTATATTTTAATCCTTCTAATGCCTCTTACATTAAGAAAGCTACATCTTTCTTAACATGGGATCATATATATTAATACATTTTTTCTGAGTTTCTAAAAAGTCTAAAAATACAGATTTCATTGTGTCCAGTCACCTCACCTACACTTGCGCCTGGGTTTTGCTATTGTGAAATCTTGGCCACCCGGTCATGCTTATCTAAGACTTCGGTCACTTCACACGGAATCTTTCATCATTAAGTTCAAAGAAGCAGTTTCCCTCAACTGCCTTTGAAGGAAGAGTCAAAATATGTCCCTTGGCAAATAGTCACTGGCAAATAGTCATTTGGCAAGTTGAGACTATAAGGAGGATGCATATTTACCCTATCTTTAGGTTAGTGTTTTGTTTGGCATTTTAAAAGGATCATCAGCATGTGCTACCTGAGTGCACCTCTGTTTCATTCACACTTAGGAAGAAATAGGTACAGGAGGAGACCATTGCATTTTGTATCAATAAATTTATTATTTGCAAATTGTACCCATTTATACAGATAGCTGGCCTTCCTTCCTTCCTTTTTTCACCTAATATAAACAGAGCACCTGCCACATTCTAGGTAGTATTCTAGGTATTAAGGCCACAAAGATGACTAAAATGCAAGACCTTCCCTAAGGAAAAAAGTCTTCTGTAGCATAAACACTCATGAAATATCACTACTTTAAGCCAAAAGCTATAACGTACAAATGTAAATTATTTTAAGAGGAAGCTTTGGTCCTTCAGCAGAACCCAGGCTTATGTTCACACCAGAGTAGAGAAAGAACTGCCCGTCTCCCAGGGCTCTACTTGGTGCTCAGCAGATACTGGCTGAGTGAATAAAAAGGAAACCTTCAGGATCAGAGATGCCTTTGGATATCATTCTTGCCTGAGATCTCCCTTTGAGGTCTTGCTATTCTAATAATATATCCATCTTATTTTGGATTCTTCTTAAAGTTAGTCTTGTCATCTCGCTCACTGCCCCACTGTATACCTAAAGACTTACTTCAACACTGATTGGAATTTTTCAGGTTGTCCTATACAGAAGTCTAGACATACAGCATTCTGCTGTCACCTCCCCCATTCGTATTAGCAATCCAGGTTATTTGGCAACTTTGGAAGCCACACCTTTGGGATGTCAGTCAAATCAAACCAAATTTCCAGGTCCTGGGTTTTGTCAGATTCTTGCGATCGTATGCAACTCTCCTCTCAGGCTCTGCACAGCAGCTTTTGTGTTGCACAGAAGCTGAGAGTGTGACTGGAGTCAGACTGCCTGGGTTTGAATCTTGGGTCCACCACAAATTATGCTGACTTCCACATGGGTAATAAAGGCAAGTTGCTTTACTTCTTTGGGACTCTGTGTCCACATATGTAAAGGGCAAATAATAGTACCTAACTAATGGGTTATTTTGAGGACTAAATAAATGAATGAATGCAAAGCTAACTCTGGCTGGCATATGGCCGTTGCTTACTCTGCACTGTAACTATTTTATAGCATCTTCTTCTGAGTCGGCCCAAGCTAGCCAACATGGAAAGCCCCCAGCGTCCCCGCCCCCCTTTGTTCCCACCCCATCAGCCTGCCTCCAGTTCTTCCTGCCCTCTAAGGACACTCACACCAACAGCTTTCCTTTTACTTTTTCATTTCATTGTAACCCTCAAATATTATCTTTCTCCTCCTTGGTTTTAGAGAAGGGAGTTTCTTATAGCCAACTATGGAATAATAGGTTGTTTTTTTTCTATTGCAGCTGCTTTATATAGGTATTTATTTTGTCCCAAATTCACCCTTACATTATTTTTCTGCATCCCATCAAAACCTTTTTCACATACAGTAGTCCTAAGCATTTATACCTGTTTTCTCTTAAGGATTAGGCCTAGTTTCCATTAGCTTCTAGATTTTTTTTTTATACAGGGTCTTGCTTTGTTACCCAGATTGGAATTCAGTGGTGCAAACACAGCTCACTGCAGCCTCAACCTCCCAGGCTCAAGCGATCCTCCCACCTGAGCCTCCCAAGTAACTGGGACTACAGGCACTGCCACCACACCCAGCTCATTTTTTTTGTATTTTTTTGTAGAGACAAGGTTTTGCCACATTGTCCAGGCAGGTCACGAACTCCTGGCGTCAAGCAATCTGCCCGACTCGATCTCCTAAAGTGCTGAGATTACAGGTGTGAGGCACCGTACCTGGCCCTTCAAGATTTCTTAAAACAAGGCCAGCACCCCACAAGTATTTCTTCTGTCTTCGTTGATTTGTTGTTCTTCATTCACTCATTATTTTATTCATCTAGCATTTGTTGAGTGCCTACTATATCCTAAAGAAGATTAAAAATAGTCCTTACCCTTGACTCACATTGGTAATTTGTTGGTAATATTAGTCATATGTTAATATGTTGTAAAGAGACAACATAATCTAGCATATTTTAGGCAGTCACATTAGGATTGAAATCAAAACCCTATAGAAACATGTGCTTCAAAAGTATGTGGCAAGTATATGATACAGAATTCTTTCATTTGAACATAACGTAATTTGCCGTTTTAATCGGTAACAAATAACATTCTTGTAACACTAAGAAAAGTAGTACTCCAGGACATACAGAAAGTTTACATTATCCCTGACTCAGTTCCTCAAAAACTTGTTTAGAATAAAAAATGTTTTTAAAAGTATGATAGCAACAAAGTTTAAAACTAAAATGATTTTAAAATGATATAAAGCAACTAGTAACCTAACACTTTGTAGATACAAGCTTTTAACAACATTGCTCTTTAACCAGTGTCTTTTGCTAATAGACGTAATATACCTGCTTACTACATAAACTCTGTATGAAAGGCATCTGCATGAATTAAGTAGCATCAGTCTTTTGGCATCTTAGTGTACACATCTTTAAATCAAGTGGATTTGATCAGATTATTTGTAAGTTCTCTTCCAATTTTAACATTCTTTAATTGTAGACATTAATAGTGCTTTTTCTAGAAACTGATGCAGACTTGTAGAATTCTGCATCAGTCAGCAGAGAGGAAAGAGCCTTCATATTTTTCATGAAATATGTATCTGAATCAAACATCACAAGAAGGTTGCAGCATCAAATATAGGGAGGCAGGCTCCTTGTTTTATTTCACTGTAATTCTAAACTAACACCTATCAGGGTCAAAATTGGGACCACCATTTGTAATGTTGCATTTCTTTACTTAGTAGTCTTGGGAACTTCATGGCCATCCTGAACTGATAATAGGTTTGTAGGAATTGCCAGCATCTAAGAGTTTAAAATACACTAAGTCCTCACTTAACATCCTCTGTAGATTCTTGGAAACTATGACTTTACGTGAAATGACATGTAACAAAACCAGTTTTACCAGAGGCTAATTGATATAAACAAGAGTTAAGTTCCTACCATATATTTCTGGTCACGAAAACATCACCAAACTTCTAAATAAAGACCTAAAACATTTCTAATAGTAACAATTAAAGTAAGCATGAGTTATATATACATTTAAGAAAGGTTAACAAAAAACAAGTACAATGATGATTCCCCATTTTTAATGAATCAGTGAGTGATAGTGGTTGTAGTGGTGCTGTGTTGAATGACATGTAACAAAACCAGTTTTACCAGAGGCTAATTGATATAAACAAGAGTTAAGTTCCTACCATATATTTCTGGTCACGAAAACATCACCAAACTTCTAAATAAAGACCTAAAACATTTCTAATAGTAACAATTAAAGTAAGCATGAGTTATATATACATTTAAGAAAGGTTAACAAAAAACAAGTACAATGATGATTCCCCATTTTTAATGAATCAGTGAGTGATAGTGGTTGTAGTGGTGCTGTGTTGAATCAACGAATAAATGTTTGCAAAGCAAACATTGTAAGGAGCACCTCCTTCTGCCATGCAGTTCAAACACATACCATACCCAGTGTGGCAGGCTCACTGAACGCTGTTGTCCTGCAGTGTTTATTGTTGTACGTTTGTGTGATTATCACCTGCTTTAACAGATTTGTATTTTATAAGAATTTGTATTTATTCACTCATTTATTTTCCAACTTGCTTATTCCAGTCCAGGGTTGAGGGTGGCCACAGCCCATCCCAGCAGCTCTGCAAGCTGCAAGGTAGGAATCGACCTTGAACAGGACACCATCCCATTGCAGGGTGCACACACACACACACACACACACACTCTCTCTCTCTCTCTCTCTCTCTCACACACACACACACACACACACACACACACACACTCAGATTAGGACCATGTAGATACCCCAGTTCACCTAACGTGCACATCTTTGGGATGTGAGAGTACCCAGAGAAAACCCACACAGCATGAGAGAACATGCAGTCTCCACACAGAGAGTGGCCCCAACCGAGAACTGGTTTTTATTCCCCTCCTAAAAGTTATGACACAATGATGTTGAACAAAACCATTGCTGTTTGAGGACCTGCTGTACTACAGCAAAGAAGTATGCAGTACTCCTCTAGGGGACACCATCCACAGTGTGTTCTCCATGGAGGTTACGTTGTATTTATATATAATGAATGGCGCCCCCGACAGCTGTGTCACGTTTTGAGCATAGGAGCAAACATTCCTATTTTTCCAGAATGAACAGAGTTTTACTACATAGTTGCTATCGACCGGCCATGCTGTACAGGCCCTGTACTTTGCCATTGTTCATCACTTTCTCTTCAATCGTAACTTCTCCCCATGTATTAGAAAGCAATTTTAGATCACGGTAAAGTCATGACGCTGAAAAATTAGGAACATAAAGCCACCTTTTTCTGCGTGGTTGCCTCAAGTGATGTACTAAAGCTTTACAAACAAACATATAAACCCCTACCCTTCTATGAATACTGTTTTTCTACTCTTTATTTATGTTTTTATTTATTTATTTTTTTTTTAGACACAGGTTCTCACCCTGTCACCCAGGCTGGTGTGCAGTGGTGCAGTCACAGCTCTCACTGCAGCCTCGACCTCCTGGGTTCAAGTAATCCTCTTGCCTCAGCCTCCCAAGTAGCTGGGATTACATTCACTCACCACCACACCCAGCTAATGTTTTATTTTCTGGCAGAGGCAAGGTCTCACTATGTTGCACAGGCTGGTCTCAAACTCTTGGCCTCAAGCAATTCTCCCACCTCAGCTTCCCAAAGTGCTGGGATTACAGGTTCCAGCCAGCCGCAGTCAGTCTCCTCTTTATTTAAATGTTTGCTATGATGATGCATTTCTCTTAAGAAAACTTCATAATTGACATATGTGGATTTAGGACTACCTTCCAGTTTTTAATGTTGTCTATTTCTGAACTAGAAGATGGTATTTTGAGATGTTTTGGCAAGTGCTAGTATTTCAGGAAAATTTCAATGTTATCAGAGTAAGTTATTTTCATGCTGTCATTTCTCTGATAATATAGCAGTCTTGATGACAGTGGAGGAGTAGGTAACAAGAACATTGATTGATGCATTTAGTTAGCAAATGTTGTTGAATACCCACTCTGTACCAAATACCATGGTTGTCCCTATACAGTGTGTGCCTAAAGATACTAGGGCCTGGGCCTAGAGCTCCCTCTATTGGGAAGCTGAATGTAGATGGGCCAGAGCATAACATGCAGGAGAATGGTCCCAATTCAGGGCAGCACTAGAGCATCCCACTCCTAGGAGGCATAGCCAGTCTCCTTCTAATGAATGTCCTGTATTTTTATTTAAATGTACCAGCCTTTGTTTGAAATTCCATTCCATTGCAAAGCAGAGGTAGATTACAGACTAGTTTTTATCACATTGTTTAAACTTGAATGGAGACACAACAGTTTTCTTTAAAGGTGAAGCACATTCAAGATCAAGGTCTGTGGAAAAACTCCTTCTTTATTGCAGGACCAGAAAAATAAAGGCACCAAGGTGCTCAGGCTCCAAAATTGCAGGGAATTTAATCCCAAGGGATGTTGACTGACTCTGGGAGGTTTTCAGGGTGTTTTTAATTCATCTGTTTCCCAACATAATTCATTTGTAGCCATGACCTAAGCATTCTTGTGACAGAAAAATGGGTTCACAATTGACATCTGTGTTAGAGAAACATGACTAATAAAGTCTTCTTTTTTCACCATTCCCTTAATAATGGGGAATGAAAAATTATGACCTTTCAAGTCATATAATTACAAATTTCTAAATGAACCATTTAGAATTTCTCTTTTAAGGATGCAAATTAGTAATCAGTTGCTTTACAGTGTAATACAGGCACATGAGGTTATATTTATATGTGTAATAAAAGGTTTATGATAATGACAGAGTAGAAAATTACACCATAAATCACATTTTCCTTCTTAAAAGATAGCAAATTAAATATGCAAATATTGCCAACTGAGATTCACAAAAGATGCTATCTTGAAATATTTATGTAAAACACGGACCCATTTCACCTATTCATTGTAGTTAAGTTTTAATTTTAGATTATAATATAAGTGTGTTTTGAGGGGACAGATGCGTTCTGTTTTTCCCAGTGACTTCTGTGTTATTACAATATTCATGCTTAAAGGACGGCCAGATAAAATAAAAATTTGTTCATCATTCCAATAATTAGACTCTGCTTCCCATTTCACCAGTCCATGTAGAACAATATTCAAACATTGCTGTACTTTGGCCATCACCATATTAACTTCCCTTCTTTAAATTTGATTGTCTTTCAAATTCTATATTTAATTCACACAGGTCTCAACTTGCTTGCTTTATATAATTAAGCATGCTTTTTTTCTTTTTAACCTTAAACATTTCTATTTCCCTTTTCTCTCGTAAGCCCTATATAACCTTTTAAAATCATTTTAGAAGACTTCTATTAGGCTAATAACTTCAGTAATGTTGCTAGTCACCATTGCTACTTTCCTTTTTGCTCTTCTAAAATAGTATTGTAACTGACTAGCAGAGGACAGTTAAACATCACTCCAGATTCTGCTAACGGGATACTTTGAACACTTCAAATAGTGGTTACTTAAACCTTAATATGAGTATTTTTTCAACACACACATTTTTTAGCCTGTGAACTAAAAAGCCTATTATGTAAGTATATCCAAATACAGGGGTATTTGTCAGCACATAGAGAAAAAACATATCTAAATGTAACACTGAATATTTTAATTACTATCATTTTGTAAAAGATGTACTTTTTTGAAAGTAATAGTAAGAAATCCCTTATGCTGCATACAATATGCAGTATTATATGATAGCATCTAACACCCATAAAAGTAGTTGTCATGTGGATATTTAAAAACATGCGTTATGGGATGGGCGCAGTGACTCACACCTGTAACCCCAGCACTTGGGAAGCTGACACTGGCGGATCACTTGAGGTCAGGAGTTCAAGAAGAACCTGGCAACATTTAGTAGAGAAGGCGAAACCGCATCTCTACTAAAAATACAAAAATTAGCTGGGCGTGGTGGTGCATGCCTGTAATCACAGATGCTTGGGAGGCTGAGGTGGGAGAATCACTTGAACCCAGGAGACAGAAGTTGCAGTGAGCCGAAATCACGCCACTGTACTCCAGTCTAAATGACAGAGCGAGAGATTCTGTCTCCAACAAAAGAAAAAAGGACATGCATTATTATGGACATGCAATAGAAATAAAACATATAATGAAAATTGGACTGTAAATTTCTAATTCCCACATAATGTAAATGGTCATCAGTGGTTTGAAGTGATTTATAAAGTTCATGGAAAAATGATCTCAGTCATTAATTGTAATAGTTATCAGCCTGCTGTTCACTCAGAGCCTACCAGATTTGAGTACACTTTAGAAATCTATGCATTTCAAAGTTGGACTTTATTTTGTTTATTATTACCAAAACATGGAGTCATGTGATAACCATGAAATAGCACAGTCTATGCTTTTTAATGATAACCAGTGCCATGGTAGAGCTGAGAAATTGAGATCTGTGGAAGAGTGGAGGATTCAGGGACCGTATTTCAGCATCGAAGTGTTCTGCTCTGTTCATCTTTGGAAGAAACATGCCGTCTCTGTGTCTTCACAGCCGAGGAACTATGTTCAGAACGTAAACAAGGCTGCACCTTGAACTGTCCCTTCGGTTTCCTTACTGATGCCCAAAACTGTGAGATCTGTGAGTGCCGCCCAAGGCCCAAGAAGTGCAGACCCATAATCTGTGACAAGTATTGTCCACTTGGATTGCTGTACGTATTTGTTAATTCAGAAAAGCTATTATGAAGTGCAACTTGGTGAAATGTTTCTACACATTTTGTTTTATATGTTGTTTGTGAATTAATCTATGGTATATTGAGCCCAGAATGTCTATACTTGTTTTGTTAGGTGATTCAGAAAGCAGGGAGAAGGTTGTATCTCCAAAAAAAAAGAATCAAGTTTTACTTTTACTTTTTATGGACATGGGCCAGACACACCCTTTGTGCCTGTTATATGAGACTTTCCCATAGCAGAGTCCTTTAGACACTGCTGGCAAGATTAGGAGATGGAATTGTGAGGTCCCAGTGTTGGAAGTGCTACAACTCTTCACACCTGTCCCAAGGTCTATTTGTGATCATTTATTTAACACATACTTTAAGATCAATTGAAGACCGACCCCCCACTCACTTGAAATACAGTGCATCCTTAGCTGCCATGCCTAGGTGTCTCACCTTGGAACTAGTCAGCGTTTCGTATTTTTTTCTTTATCTAGCGTTAGATTTTTATGAATTTTCTTGGAGCTAAGGGCCATTACTTTTATTTTTTAATATACTTTATTGAGTCAAACCCCATGAGAATCTAGATTATTCCAGGGGGGGAAATAGACACTTCATATTTGTTTCTTTCGTGTCTGTATAAGCACCTATATTTGCCTTTATATCAGGTTGATGCCTTTAGAAAAATCACCTTAATTTATATTTTTCCCTTTGCTGTCTTTCTTTCATTTCAATCTGTCTTTCCAATTTGATATGTTTATGTAGTGCTAGATTCCTTTTCTTTTTTTTTTTTTTTTTTTTCAGGCAGGGTAGTGCTCTGCCACCCAGGCCGTAGTGCAGTGGCACAAGCATGGCTCACTGCAGCCTCAACCTCCCAGGCTGTCAGTCCTCCCACCTCAGCCTCAGCCTCAGCCTCAGCCTCCCGAGTAGCTGGGACTAGAGGCATGCGCCACCATGCCCAACTAATTTTTGTATTTTTTGGAGAGATGGGGTTTCACCATGTTTCCCAGGCTGATCTGGAACTCCTGGCTCAAGCGATCAGCCTACCTTGGCCTTCCAAAGTGCTGGGATTACAGGCATGAGCCACTGTGCCTGGCCTAGTGCTAGTAATTATAAGGGACTTAGACCTATCATCTCTTTCCCATCTTCTGTCAGTCATCTTTTTCATTCTTCATTTAAAAATTCTAGGTTTGGGAGGGGTCGTCTTTATAATTTTCATTGGATAATTAAATTGGAAACATTGTTCCGTAAAATTCCCCAAATAAAATAATGAATCATCATCATTCTTAATCCTAAAATAAGAATATGATGTCAATAAGAGTATTATGTCTTAGCCTAACTGCTCATATAAAATGAAGTAGTTGTATCACAATAGTAGGTAGCTTCAACCACTTGCTACAGTATCATGACAGTTCAGAATCAAGGCTGTGTTCAAATCCAACCGTCATGTTGGAGAAAAATCTCTTAGGAGATTGTAGATTTCACTTTGTATTCCTGTCAGCACATTCAGGGAGGACCCAGTTGGACACCTTGGACAACTGAATATTATACTGGCTAGAACACATGTGTTAAGGACACACACCAAAAGAGAATTCTTGGCCAGACACCACGTGGGAGTGTCAGGATGAAGGCAGCAGTTGGTGCCCCTTTTATGTACCTGCTGACTAAAGAATTACTTTCTGCATGCAGCAGATACTTCCAGAAGGGAGGGAGGGAGGGAGGGACGGATGGATCGTAGGTGGGTGGGTGGGTGGATGGATGGAGAAACAAATGAGTACACAGATAAACCAACAAAATCTCCTTCACTTTCCTATTCATGGAGTTGCACATTCATCTTTTTATTGTGGTGTACCACTCTCCCTAATTAAATCAACAGTCATGTCATTGAGATTCTGAGAGCCACATCCTAGAAGCACGTAAGTGCTTGGGCAACTCTCTGCCTTGGTCATGAGTAAGTGGTGGTAATGGCCACAGGGAGCTAATTACCCATCACTCCAGGAATCTTTGAGAGCAAAAGTCAAGTCATTCTGTTTAATAGCAATATCACTTTATTGACCCTTGGTCTGAGTGCTTGGGCATCATTTGAGACTTTGTGATTTTCTGACCTCTGACAAAATTTTAATTACCCAGGAAGAATAAGCACGGCTGTGACATCTGTCGCTGTAAGAAATGTCCAGAGCTCTCATGCAGTAAGATCTGCCCCTTGGGTTTCCAGCAGGACAGTCACGGCTGTCTTATCTGCAAGTGCAGAGGTAAGTGTGTACACATGGCCCTTCCCCCTCAAAGCAGCCAGGGGCACCGAAACAAGGAACATAAGGACACCCTGTAATGAAATGGTTTCGGTGGTTGCTGCCTATTCTAACACAAATGTCAGTCTCTGTGGGACCGTCCCACAGGACTCCCTTTTCCTTTCATTTTTATGAAGTAAAAGCTCAGAATAGAATGTAAAGTAAGTATATGATGGACAAGCACATTGACTAAATTAATCACTTCCTAGCTCTTTTTACTTCTATCAGGAACTTTAGCCTAAAGCACAATTATCTGAACCTCTATAGAGCTTCTCTCTGTTCAGGAGTAAGATTAATAAAACTGCAACAGTAAATAGCCCCATTTCAAAGTTCTAGAGGGTGGGTATAGCTCAGAAGTTAGCTGCTGTATTTCCAGATAACAGTTTTCCATGAGAATTTAGCCTTTGGCTGAATAAGCACATGCCAGCCCACAGCTGTGAATAAGCACAGAGCCTGGATATCCCTGCTGCCTGAGGCTTCTCCAGGGAGCTTCCTGAAGCCACTGAGCATGCACCCTGACCGCCGTTTCTGCCTTTACCCCAGCTCCAGCCCTGCTGCCTATCCCTTTTTATGTTGTACTTGTCAGCATGATGCACAGATTAAACTATAAAAGATTCCTAAACTTTGTTTTACGATTTTTCAAAACTGGACAGTTACCACCTTAATGGTGTTTCTAAGGGGTTGGAGTAAACAAAAATCTAGTCACTGCTTTAATTGTTCTGCTGAACAAAACTCTGTTATTTGCAAGGGGCCCAGGATGTCCCCATTGGATGAAGCTTCTAGAGCGATTTTTCTGAATACATTCAACATATTTGTAAAATTTGTTATAAAATCAGTGCTTGTTTATTGTATAAAATATGAGAAAGTACAGTGGAAGGAATAAAAAATCAGCGATCATCCCACGAATTGGAGAGAAACTATTTGCCGGTTTTTTTCTCTCTTTTCTTTTTTCAAGATTGAGAACATACTGACTTAAATTCTTTTCATGAACATGTCCCATGTCACAAACTGTCCTGTGTTAGACGTAATTGTTGGTGGCTGGGGTCCAGTCCATGTACAGACTCTGTAGCCTGTTTCTCCTGTGCAGTAGCCACTTCTTTACCAGGCTGCCTTTTGTCTGTCCAGAGGCCTCTGCTTCAGCTGGGCCACCCATCCTGTCGGGCACTTGTCTCACCGTGGATGGTCATCATCATAAAAATGAGGAGAGCTGGCACGATGGGTGCCGGGAATGCTACTGTCTCAATGGACGGGAAATGTGTGCCCTGATCACCTGCCCGGTGCCTGCCTGTGGCAACCCCACCATTCACCCTGGACAGTGCTGCCCATCATGTGCAGGTAAAAGCTGGCTGCCATCTGTGTGCTCCATAAGCAAATGACTTCTGCCTTGCAGGGCCCTAGACACATTTGTAACTCTGGGGAGGTTGGAGGGGACAACCCCTGGAACACTTTTCAGCACTGTGTGGTTTTTGTCAACCACCACCACAGAATCATCCAGGCACTATCAGTGAAGAACCAAAGACCAGAGAAAATTCTATCATTGTAGAAATGGCTCTCCTCCTTTTTGAATGATTGACTCAGTTATGTAAGGTCTTTGGACTACATTTTTGTAAAGGTTTGTGGGCTGATGTTCTTACATTCCAGCTCTCCATTTTATTGATAGCATATTAAGTCTGAATGTCCTCATTAATATGAGGGGATTGGTACTAGTTTTATCCCATAAAACCTTATCACATTTAAAGTAATGTTTGAGAGGGAGAAACTTTTTGAAGTCTGTGGCTATTGCTCTTTTTTAAATTAATAGACATGTGGCACTCTTGCCAAATGGAGAGATTTAGAGTGACCACACGTCCAAAACATTTAAAATCATAATCATGGTAATCAGGATAAGTTACTAGAAAACCAGAACAGATTTGTAATTCAAGGGAGTCTGAATTATGATTGTCAATAACAGTAATTATAACCATAAACTTCATCTAGTACGTTTTATCCAAAGAGCTCAACACAGTCTTATATCTATTATTTCCCTCTCTGTGCAGGCCACTTTGAGTTAGGGAAAAACACATTGAGGCAGTTTCTCATTTGGAAAACAGACACAGAAAGATTGACTGTCTTACCAAGAGTAAAATAGTATGTCCACCAAAAGGCCTGGGAGAAATGAAGTCTCTCAAATCTTGTATCAGATTTCTTTCAAAGTTAAGTCTACTGTCAGATTTTGGAGGATGATTGTTTTTCCTCTGGTCAGTCCAGGTCCTGTATCTCCCTGTGCGTGAGTCCACCTGTGCAAAAGGTGTAGCCGGGAGCCTGAGGCCTGGTCCTTGTGCAACAAGACTAGCCTGGGAGGGAAACTGACCTTGTTCGCCATGGTTGGGGAGCAGGGGAGAGGGACACTTGAAGTCCCTTTCAGCTCTGAGATTCTGCACAGCTCAATAGCTACAGTATCAGAGTGACAGGCAGCTCCCATACCTTGTAGAAAACGAGATTACAATGCAGAAGAGATGACTCTTTTTATTTTGTTTTGTTTCCCTGTAGTTCAGTTAGAGGTGCTCCATGTCAGAACTCTTTCCTTTTTTCCGATATTTTGCTAGTTAAGTGTGAAAAACTGCTAGAGTCCCCTGCATAAGAAGGTAAATGAGGACTTTAATATGATAGAACTCTGTGTTGACTCTTTGGGGAGGGAAAAATCATGTGTTTGCATGAAGACCCCTGCTTTAATTATAGGTGTGAATGCATAGAGGAGGGATTTGTACCTGGGTCTTTGCTAAACATGTCCTCAATGAAGAATTCTAACAGCTAGATTGGTAGAAATGCAAAGACATTAAGAATGGATAATTGACCTGAGAACTGAAAATCAGTAGAACCAGAAAGATCTTTCTCTATTACAGAGTCATGGAAAGTTCTTACGTAAGCACACGTGAAGTTGTTGTTGATACCTTACTGTGGGTGTGTCAACATCTGGATATACGTGTATGAAAACACATTTCTGTAGATGGATGTGTAGAGGTAAATGTTTTCTGCAAATCTTTAGCATGTTGCCACATAAGCCTCCTTCTGATTAGAGACTCCAGAGCTGTTGCATTCACGGACTCCTACTTTAAAGAATATTTTTCTCCCCTCTTCATTCCAAGATCAGCTGTTTTTCTTCTTGGGATACATGAGTATCTCCCGAACTCTTCTAATGAATATTTACTAAATGATAGTGTCTCTCAGATTTTCTGTCTTCCATACACTCTACATTTGAGTTTCTCTTTTGTCTCCATGTCTCTGGCCCCTCTTGTGTTTTGCCTTGAGGCATATCGTACGGCAAAAAGGTGAGCCAGAAAGCATACCTGCAAACACGCACGTCAGATTTCTTCTGACCACTTCCGTACATGTCAGCATTTAACAAGGCAGTAATTGTCAGTCCTCTCTAAGCCCTTTTTGAAAGCAATAAGGGAGGCTTTTGCTATATTCATTTATCGATACTCTTTGGGACTTTTTGTTTCTCTGTAAACCACAGATGCACATTTACCATCTTGTTCAGCACAGTTTTCATTGTAATTCTCTTCCTCTCTCTTGTTCTTATACTGGAAAGTTGGTTACAGTTGCTTGTGAATGTAAGCATTGATTGATGAGTATCAGTTTTCTGTGATACTGTCCCTGGGTCTAAGTTCCAGCCTTTTGTAATTCCCTTGAGATAAAGCTGTATTAGAAGTTGTTACCCTCTTAACTGGAAATCAGCCCACATCACTTAATTTCATTAGTATTGTTGACTCTCATGCTAACCACCACTTTGAAAGTCATAGCCCCAATTCACTCCTAAGAAGATTTCAGCTCTGAGCATCTCTGCATATATGGGCCCATTCTGGGGCGTGACTTCCACTGAGCTCCAAGCATGAGCTAGCCGTGATGTCTCCAGACTCTTTCTCGGCGGGATTCAACACTGTCAACACATTCCTGAAGTGCTTGTTGCATTTGGATTACGTGACTATGGTTAATGTCTTCATACTTCTCATTTCCCCAGCAAAACTTCAGGGCAACTCCCAGCCCCTCTTCAGACATTTTCAACATTAAATTCCCTCTCTATCAGTGTCATCTCTCCAAGAGACCAAAACTACCTCTCCTCTGGGGAAAGAAATGATAGTTTTCACCAGCCTGCCAGCATTTACCTCTCTTCATGATGATATTGCCAAGCACATGTTTAGTCTCAGGTGAGGGTTTTCAGACTGTTGATTCTACAGGAGCATTCCTGCTCAGTTTGCTGGCAGCTGGCTTAGATTGGGGTGTGGCCTGCTCGACAGCAGGACATATTTCCAAGCATAAAAGTACTCAGGATCCCAGAAATAATAAAGCAGATAGGGCATCGATCATTTGGAAGTTTTATTTAATCTGGAGACATATCCATGATCCAAACAACCATAGACTTGGGTTGCAGTTTCCCTCGTCTCTCCCTGAGCTCTCAGTTTCCTCATGCATAAAATAAGGTGACTGTAAGGAATAAATGAAATAACACATGTGAAGTGCTTAGCATGGAAATAACTGAACCGTACCAAGTATTCTGTAAATGAGAGATCTGAATCCGAGACAGTTCCTACACATTCACAGAAATGCCAGAAGAGGCCCCTGTTCTCATCTCTAGAGTGGGAGTCCCCTCCCTGTAATTTAATGATCTTATTGAATTCTCTTATTACTGTTGACAGACTTAAACCACTTGAACCTCACGTCCTAATATTAGCTCTTTTGCCATTGTCTTCTGTTTCCATGCATGGAATATTTTCTTCACTATTCTCTTAATAAGAATAGAGCGAGATGCTCTTCACAGTTCATCTCTTCTATCCCTTAAAGCAAACAGCACCAGGCTTTCAAGAGTTGGAAAGATTGCAGATG
Source organism: Homo sapiens (assembly GCF_000001405.40). Lineage (NCBI taxonomy): Eukaryota > Metazoa > Chordata > Mammalia > Primates > Hominidae > Homo > Homo sapiens. Next base: position 36,517,294 of record NC_000002.12, read on the forward strand.
AATAATGTGTTCTGATTTTGTGTCATTTCCCAGATGACTTTGTGGTGCAGAAGCCAGAGCTCAGTACTCCCTCCATTTGCCACGCCCCTGGAGGAGAATACTTTGTGGAAGGAGAAACGTGGAACATTGACTCCTGTACTCAGTGCACCTGCCACAGCGGACGGGTGCTGTGTGAGACAGAGGTGTGCCCACCGCTGCTCTGCCAGAACCCCTCACGCACCCAGGATTCCTGCTGCCCACAGTGTACAGGTAAGCGACACCATGCCTTGTGGGTGCTTGGTGGGGAAGGATGCAGCTCTGGGTGTTGTCATTCTGTGGGACCCACAGGGCAGGATCAGCCCCATATGGGAGTGTGCCAAACCCAGTATCCCATCAGGAACAGCTGGCAGCCTGCTTCCTGCATGTATTCTCTTTATCAACCACCTATTTATGCAGTCAGCATGCCTCACACCTGAGATGACTGTGAAACAAAAAAGGAGACTGTTGCTCTTGCCAATTTTTTTCCTTAACCCTGCATCTCAAACTCGAGGCGTATACCTAAGTAGAGAAAGTCCCACCGCACCAAATTAACCAAACGATTCTGTTACTGTGAAAAGTCATCTTTATGTAACAAATGAGAAGAATAGTTATTTATAAATAATGTAAACAAAATTCTTTGTAAATAAAATTCTTTGAAATATAAGGGTGGCGAAGAGACTTTGAAATATGCATAATGCCACCCCCTCCAAGTTGGGATGATTAGTAAGTTAATGCCAAAAAGCATTAAGTGACTAGCACTGCACATGTATAAGGAGTGCTATTATTTTCTACTTTTTATTTCTCAGATAATCTGACCTTAGCAGGTAAATGTATGGCCATGAAACTTGTTAGAAGGAAATTTGTCAAGATGTTAATCATAAGTTACTGGTTTTATATAACTTTAGTAGTACTTTTAATTAATACTAGATGTGACTTTTTCAAAAGATATTTAAATATAAAATTATCAAGTTGACAGGACTAGTTTTGTTTTGTTGTTGTTGCTTCTTATTCCCATATTTCAACTTAAATCAATAACCATTTACTTTCTAAACATATTCTTAGAGCATTTCTGCTCAGCAAAACATAAACCCTTGTATTTTATTACTTCTTTTTTTTAACATTGGATTATCTAGTCAGCTGGCCAGAATCTGTTGTTCCGTCATTATGTGCAGCATCATCAGTGTCTAAATTTTTTATAAGTTTATGTTGATGGCATTTTTGGAATTGATCAGATGAACTTATAGGGATAGCCACATTACTGGCTGTTGTCATCATGCACGGCAGCCCAAGTATTACCATTTTAGTACAGAACTGTTAATCTGAGAAGCTTAATTAGCACTACAGCTTTTCTAGTATAAGAAATAGTTCATATGTGTTACATTTTTAGGATATGCATGACCTATGATTTCCTAATTTGTTGTCATCACAATTCACTCAGATTCAAACCCTACTGATGTTTTTTGTTAATATATAGCAGTGACTTTACTTACATCACCTTGGTAGAAACTACTTAGAGTGATCTTTTCCTTGGTGATAATGAATTTATGTACTTTTAGCTATTTAGTTTACAAATATTTGTAGAATGCCTGAATTGAACTATGGGGATTCCAAGGTTAATGAAAACAGACATGATTCCTGTCCTGGAGCAATAGCCGAAAAGCCAAACAATCCAATATTCCACGTTAAGTCAATAATGATAAAGTAAGAGGTGTGCCTTGAAAGGGAGGATTCAAGAACATAGGCAATCCGGGAAACTAAAGCAGCAAATACCCCTGGTGCTATTTGTGTTAGGATCTGAGTGATGAACTTAGGGATTAACTAAGGGAGTGGCACTGGGGGAGGAAATGCCTCCAGGACCACTAGCTGAAATTCATTGATGGGACACCTTACTGAACTCAGAGGTTCCACCCATAAAGAGAAGGAGAGCTATGTGGAGGTGGGAACCTCTGAGTATGCTAACATGGGTGGCATGTGCAGAGGCCCATGGGTTCTAGCCAAGCAAGGCAGTGGTAGTCCTGCATTCCTTTCCATCTTTCCAAAGAACAGGCAACCCCTCATGTGCCTGGCTTTGACTTCTCATTCATTAACTTAGGCCTGGATTTTTTTCTTTACCTCTAACTAAAGGATGTTTCTGGACTTTTTCATTCATCGTTGTATTGAGATACAAAAAAATAAAAAGCCTTAAAACTCAAATTATCAGTTTCTTCCCATCACAGTAATTCTCAACAGTGGCATTGATAAGTGGCATATTACACATGTAGAAAAATATCATCTCTAATCTTAGGACACTTGCATTCTAAAATGGCCCAAAAGTCATAGCTCCACAGTGGGATAACAGCTTCCAAAGGGTCGAATCCCTCATGATGCTTCCATCTGTAGGGTGCCTTGTCATTTCCTCTCTTCAGCTTTCCCTCTTCTCTGGCCTGGTTTAAAGCAAGGTCTGGTGAGGAAATGAGGAAAGATTGCACATCACTGCAAGTGAAGCTACTTCACCAGCATACAAAAGGGAGAGGGTAAAATAGCACTTGTTTCTTTCCATAAGTTTAAAATTTTCTTTCCTTTATTTTTAGAGTTGGAAAAAAGCATGGCAGAGAAGAGCGAGGGAGGTAGAAAATAGAAAAAAGGAAACACTGAAAACAGTGAAAACACTGGTAAAGATCAAATAAAGGAGTAAACGTTTGGAAACAGAAGTGTAAAGAAAAGGGTCTAGAGCAGGAAAAATGAGAAAAGAGGCCCAAAGAAGGGAGATGCTGTGGGTAAGATTCCAAATGACATTGTCGGTCAGGGTTGGGCCAGGAGCCTCCTGCCTGGTGGAAGGAAACCTGCAGACTCTACCTCGGCTCCAGCCCTCACACCGTCACTGCCAGCGTATCCTGATGTCCTCTGGGTTATTTCCAGGCCTCAGTGAGAGCCCTGCAGATTCCAGGCTGTTCGTTTCACTGTCATTCCATAGCTTCAGCACGGCTGTCCCTTCTTCTTCTTTTCAGTTTTTAGACAGAGGTTGGGCAATGCTTGCATGAGCTAAGTTAACGTAAGTCACAAAAACCTCATGGAGATTTGCAGGGCCTAGTGTGAACAAGAGGGTGTTGTCCTTATTTCTAGCCAAAGCAAAAGTTAGCACTGGTCAGTCTCTTAGAGAAGAAATTATCCCTCGACGTAGATAACCACGAAAAGGTCATTGAGAAAGTCATCCCATCTTACTATCTCTAACCTATGTGGGTGGGATCTGTGGAATCATATCTGTAATAGGACCTAGAGTACCATGGAGCCGTGGAACCAATGGCTGTTCTTCAACTTATGCCTGCTGCCTTTGGGACTAGTCATAGGAGATACAGTTACTCAGTTTAAAGGAGAGGGTATGGGCCAATCCCATTATGCTGGCTTTCCTGTCCCTCAGAGAAGGTCCACAATGAAGTAACTGCCTTGGTCCTCAAAAAGGCCCTTCTTGTCACATCCTGCTTACTGGCTGTGGGGTATATTCATGAGGTGGATAGAAGGAAAAAGTGGCATGTAGAGCTTCTGGATCATATGGCAACTACATGTCTCAGTTGTTTCTGGTTCTTGACTAAAAATAACAGAGCTCATGAAGTTGGTTCTGGGAAGAACATACGACAACTCTTTTGATTGTGTATGCATTGAGAAAATGTGGCCCTCTTAGAGCTTTGCTAGGTAGGGCTGTCGTGGCTGTGTCTAGACTCTTGAGTGGTGAAGTTGATTAGAAGTGCTCTCTTATCAGTTGGACTATGACATTTCTAAACTGGAAACGCACCCACTTACATTTTCCTTTCTGATATCTCAATCATATTGCTGCTTGAAGTTACAATTTTCATTGATTTTAGTGGAAACCGATGCCCAAAGTGCTATCTGGATTTTCTGGTGACATTTTCTGTTGCAAGTTGTAACTAGATCTGGGGACTTCCAGGTCTCAGTCTTTAGATAGCAAAGACACAGATGATTTGCACATGATTTCTCTGTGGTTGCATCCTTATGAGTGATTTAGATTTCTTATCTTTCAGTCATTAATGTGAATTCCTGAACATTGGAATGTTGCATTTAGGTGGTTTTTGGTAGTCTGGTACAATGAGAATTTGTCTGAATATTGATTGGTCAAAATTGCATGTGGCCACAAGTAAGAGAAAATCCAGCTACAATTTGTAAGTAAATAGAGGTCTATTTTACATATATGACAAGACATTTGGAGGCAGATGTTTATCAGCATTGATTCAGTGGCTCAGTGGGGTCAAGGCCTTTCTCTTCTGATAGGGGTGTCACAGCCGTGATCAACGCACTCCTATCAAGGCAGGAATAATGTGGAAGGATGATGGCAGAACATATCTACCCTTCTTTGAAGAAAGTGAAAGCTTTCCCAGAAATCCCTTCGTTAGCCATTAGGTCCCATTAGCTACGGCTAGATGATGGGGCCACCCTAGTTTCAAGGGAGCCTAGGAAAGCAGGGAACAGAATTGTCCCATTTACTTACATGCATTGTAATCCAAGTCCTGGGACTTCCCCAAAGAAAACCAGGATTTCATTAAGGAAGAAAGAGCGGATGTTATATAAACAACTAACAGAATAACTGTAACATCTCTTTTTTGATCTTTGTTATTTTGTTTAAAAATTTAAGACCCTTCCCGAATCATACTTTCTGATTTGTTACTGCGTCATGTATTTAAGGAGGCACCGAAAGCCATCATGACTGGGTGTGCTTTGAAACACACTATGTTGCATAGTTGCTGGCCAACAGCATCTTCTTTGCTGACCTATATGTTCATTTTTCCAGATCAACCTTTTCGGCCTTCCTTGTCCCGCAATAACAGCGTACCTAATTACTGCAAAAATGATGAAGGGGATATATTCCTGGCAGCTGAGTCCTGGAAGCCTGACGTTTGTACCAGCTGCATCTGCATTGATAGCGTAATTAGCTGTTTCTCTGAGTCCTGCCCTTCTGTATCCTGTGAAAGACCTGTCTTGAGAAAAGGCCAGTGTTGTCCCTACTGCATAGGTAAGACCAAGGAAAAAAAAATCCCTCATCTCTACCAGTTGTCACTAAATCTGTATTGACAGCCATTTGCTAGATCAATTAATATTTTTGAAACTGGTTTTTTCCCTGCTTGACATGTCACACAGACCCAGTGTAGCAACACTGAGCAGAAGAAAGATATGGAAGATGTACTCCCAAGAGGAGGTGCTGTAAGAATAAATAAATGAGGCCAGGAGTGGTGGCTCACGCCTGCAATCCCAGCACTTTGGGAGGCCGAGGCAGACGGATCACTTGAGGTCAGGAGTTCAAGACCAGCCTGGCCAACATGATGAAACCCCGTCTCTACCAAAAATACAGAAATTAGCTGTGTGTGGTGGCACACACCTGTAATCCCAGCTACTCCGGAGGCTGAGGCAGGAGAATCACTTGAACACGGGAGGCGGAGGTTACAGTGAGCCAAGATTGTGCCACTGCACTCCAGCCTGGGTGACAGAGCAAGACTCCATCTCAAAAAAAAAAAAAAGAAGAAGAAGAAGAAGGAGAAAGAAATGTTCTCTGAGAATGTCATACTGTTACAGCACTGTCGTGTTCTATCGGGGTCCTTGGCCAGTTCAGGGTTTTCAATTTCAGAACTCTGTTTCTCCAGCCTATTTTTTACAGTGGTTTTTTTTTTCTTTTTTTAGACAGATTCTCACTCTGTCACCCAGGCTGGAGTGCAGTGGTGCAATCTCAGCTTGCTGCAACCTCCGCCTCCTGGGTTCAAGTAATTCTCCTGCCTCAGCCTCCCTAGTAGCTGGAATTACAGGTGCCTGCCACCTCGCCTAGCTAATTTTTGTATTTTAGTAGAGATGGGGACAGTGGTGTTTTTTTCCAGATAGAAACACCAAGTCTCATATTAGAGCCCACTTAGTGTATAAAGCTTGCTGCTGCCTTGAGATCAACTAAATATGAAATATTAATTTAATCTCCCAGTTGTTCCTGTCTTCTGGCACTTAATGGATTCTGTTTCAACCACGTGGTTGTCCCTGTCAGTGGCCTAGGCACACAGAGTGAGGCCTGAGTAACTCTAGAGCCCTCACCTTCTTGTGACCCGTGGTGGTGATGCATCTTTGTGAGCAGAGGATCTATGTATATTAGCACCTAACATCTGGAGCAAAACTAGTCCTATGGACATAAGCCAGATGCTGTTCCGAGGTCCAAAAGGTGAGACAGCTGGCAGTTCTATCAAGGACAGCCCGTGTTCCCTGGGCTTTCACCCTCTTTTAACGCTTTTGTGTCCAGTAAAGCTCAAAGTCAAATGAAAGACAATGACACGTCTTAATCAGATAGTGCACCTATAATCAGAGTAGCAGATGAAAAAGTTTACAGTCTGTACTAATTGCACATTTATTGTTGGGGATTTTCCATGTTTTCTAAACACAAGTCATTGCATATATCTGGAGTGATAGATGGGGAATAAAGGAGATCTGGCTACACAGTTTTGTGGCATTTCTGATAGATAAGCTGAGGAATGGTGGCCATAACTCAAGCTCATGAGGACATCTCCCTGTCCTTGTCTTGTGACTTCTGGCCACTAGACAGGGCCACTCTGAGTCTTTTACTCTGCGTGTTGGTATATGAGATGGAAATGCCTGTTCTTAGGAATTTTACACAGATTTTCTTACTGTAATGGTCAAAGAGTAATAAAAGTTCTGTTTTAAAAGCTAGATGGCCAAAGAGTAATAAAAGTTCTGTTTTAAAAGCTAGATTCTCTCTTTTAATAGGGTTACCATCCATATAATTTATTCTTCAAACCACGATGCTTTTGAGAGTGAAAAGGGGGCTGTTAATAATTCTGATGGGACAATAGTCATACATAGATCAGGAGTGTCCCAAGCAAACTGGATATGTGGTAGCCCTGCATTTTAGCACCGGCTTCTCTGTACTCTACCCCTAAGCTTTCTAGCTCCTAAGTGGAGCGAAAAATGTATCAAGGCATATATCCAATTTAGTGCTACTTACCTTTTCAAAGAGCTGACCAAAATTCACGCAACAAAATGACACTGCCTTTGGTGAGATCTAAATGAAAGCTATAACTAAGCTATTCTTTCAGGCTGGGTAAGGGGAAAGTATAGCCAATATCCCCATAGTTATATATCAAAACTTTTTTTTTTAACTTTTTAAGTTCAGAGGTACAAGTGCAGTAAAGCTTTAATACTAAAGGAAATAGTTCACAAGTCAACCAGGGATACTTATGTCATACTTGGGAAACCAGGGCCCAGGAGGTCTGAGAATTGCATGTTACCTTCAGAGGAAAAATCTAACAGCAGATCTCTCGTGTGTTGAAAATTCTCAGATTGTTTTGTGTAAATTTATTGTTGTTTTGCTACTTAATTGTTAAATTTGTAATTAGTAAATTATTCGACTAGTAAATTTGTTTTCATGTGATAGTAGATAATCATCTCTCACAAAACCAATTTAACAAATTCAAAATTATGAAGAGAAACCTGCAAATCGTAGTATTCTGTAGTCTTTCTTTTTATTTTTTATTTTTTTGCCTTCATACTTTCTATTCCAATTCCTGCATCTAGATTATACATTCTTCATTGGTGTAGAAAAAAAGGACCAGTTTGGCTCAAATTTGTGATTTTGATTTTAAGTTGGACTGCAGCACTTTTGCTAAATTGTGGTTCATATGAGCTCGTAATGGTATAGTGGACATTTTGATTCTGATCTGTCTCCCTCCACAACTTCCCTCCCCCTCCCAAACTGATGCACGTATAATTTTATCATATAAACCCATGACTTAGCTTCAGGGGACCATGTTGGGAAGACTTAACATTTGATGAACTGTAACCGTGTACCTTATTCACTCGTTCATCTTAATAATTTATATGTGTTGTATTATTGAAATAGTCATTAAGCCCTCTTCTGTCTGCATCATATTTACTTTGCAAGTAGCGTTGTTAGATAGGCCTTCATCCTTTCTTATCTAGCCCTGCTATATCTAAACATACGAAGTCAAGTTCATGACTATGATATAGGGATTTCCTGTCTGACTCTCCGGTTTGCGTTTGGGCTTGTTCTCTTATCAACTAAGAAGTCCTGACTTCCAGTCAGCTTGGTCCCTATATAAGGGTGCCAAGCCTGGCCAGCACAAGCACACCCAAAGGCAGTTGCCAGCTGTGCTTCATTGGCAGAGCCTTTATCACCATCCAGAGGTCACTGAGCAAAGGAAAAACATGGAAACACACCATCAGGCGGCATGTCTTAAAGCACCCAATTGTTTTTCCAGTGGGCACCAAAGACCAGTGCTCGCATTGTTTCCTGGTTTAGGCTTTCTCAGTTTTAACTCAGATTATCATCTATTCTCAGGATCTTGTGTATCTCACTGTTAGAATGTACAGACTATCTCACCCCAGCCCACAGTGCTGACCTCACCTTGGCTGTAGGGCTCTTCCATGGATGAATGTTCTCCCTAATTAGTCAAATACAGATCTCTAAAAACCTCAAACTCACAATTAAGGGACCTCTTTTATTAGTGGTCAAAAAAAAAGTATGCATGTGAAGTATCCTTTTTTCCTACTGTAAGAAAAATGAAAAGTGGTGATTCTACCAAAAATAGTTTTCTGATTACAAGTATTTGTGTTCCTTGTGTCAAATTGTCAAGTCACTAATGAGCAATGATAATGCTTCTCTTTTGATGTTCGAGGGCCTCATATTATGTGTGCTAATTTAATAGGATATGTAATATAGACATAATTAATAGGATTGATGATTAATTTTGAAAAGTGAACAGCTTTGTCTAGTTTCTTATAATATCCATCATTAGGGAATTCATTGTTCTACTAGAAAGAAACTAAGTAGTAATTACCCATTCACTTTAATGGAACATCTTCTGATTCCCTAATTTTTTTTTGTACTCTGGTTTTCTAAGTAAATACATTCAAACTTAGATTTTATTTTCATAAGCTGACTATAATGAAGGGTTAAAGGATGAAGAACAAGAATCAAAAGTTGACAAGTATGACGCAGGTGGAGATAAAAGGTCTGGTGGGAATTCTGATGGGTGAAAAGAGATTTCATATGTGGTTCCTTGTAAACAGCAAATGCCTCTGTTATGACCTACTTAGCCATGCAAGAGTGTACTCGTTTCTAAAGCATCCCATGGCCATTTCACTGATGACATGCTACATGCCTTTCTCAAACCTTGCCAGAGCAAAAATTATTTCAGTGCTTTCAGTGAAGTCTTTATTTCATGACTTCAAGGAGGATAGCAGAGAAGTAAATTAGCAGCCCTCATACCACACCACTCATATGCCTGTGGGGATACTCATATCCCCATATGAGCCCTGACCACATCAACCTTGCTCTAATGTTCGTGTTGGTGATGCTTCTGCCCATACTGAGTGCCAGACTCTGGCAGCTTCTGGAGGGGGGACCGTGAGTCTTTCAGTGGATCCTCCCTGTGTCCAGGGGTCAGTCATTCCTGGTCAGATATTAAAAAGAAAAAGTACTACTTTGATCGTAACGTCTATCTTAGGTTAATTTCCAGGATTTTCAAGCCCACTTCATTGCTGCATCATACCTGTTGACTTTGGAAGTCAAGATGCTCAGGTATGTCCCCCAGTTAAGCCACTCTAGGTGATCAGGACTGACGTTGAATAAATAGCTCATGTGTTGGCTAAGTCTTAAGTGTTAGTATGTAGAACATTGTTTTGAAAATTATGACTTGGCAAGTATTTGTTAGTAACTACGTGTTATTTTAGAAGATATTTCAAGGTCAGATTTTTAAAGTCATTTGTTGGCTAGAAATTCTTGAGTCAGTGTATCTTTCTCACTTCAGAAATTGTGGATGATTGTTTGTGTTTATTATATATAATATAAATATTTACTTATACATTATATAAAATAAATACAAGTATATATGTGGCTCATAACTTCCATGTGAACTAAGTTAAAATGTTCTGATTACATGCCTTCTAATCAGCGAGTATCATTGAAGTGTTTTTAAGTGTCATATATCTTTAAGGATCTGTGAAAATGAGTTCTATTATAGGTAGATGGTACACTAAAAATTTCTTACAGGTTGTATTAATACCTCTGTTTGATTAGAAGTTAGCTATTTTTATATTTATATATTTACTAATATTCGAAGTGGGACTTTGCCATGGAGCTGGCTTAGCTTGTGTTGTGACTGTATTTCTTCTCAACTGGCTGTGATACTGTCACTGTATAGTGATCTTCTCCATAGTGATCTTCAACTCGCAAATGATTAAATAATACTTAACCTTAATAGGGAAATGTCTATACCTTATATCAAGTCAATACATTATTCCTTTTGCTTAGATTTCTGTTTATTTAAACATAACTCTACTAAACTGGTATCTTAGAGATATATAGCATCTCTTTGGAACATCTGTTGGTCATTGTGTATTTAATTCAGCCCAAGAATCAATTATAGTAAATATTTAATTCAGGCATCTTTAAGCTATACAACCCATGAAACTTAATGTTACGCATTTCGAAACCATAATGATATGATGGTGCCCACCTTCATTGGAACATTTTTCACCGCTGCTTCTCCAGTGTATTTTCTTAAAATTAAAAGCTTCTGCACATTGGAAAGAGAACTTCCCTTGGAGCCAGAGCATTATAATCACAGCTCTGTCACATTCTAGCTTTATGTCTCGGTGATATGATGTAACCCTAGTTCAGTTTCCTCATCTATAAGATGGCAATAATAATATTGTCCTGTGCTTCACAAAAGTGCCAAGAATATTAAATGACATAATGTACATATGCAAAAATACTTTATAAACAGTAAACACAATTTAAGTGTATATTGATTCAGTAGAATTGCTGCTCTCGTAACACAGATTGCAGCTGATCTGAGTAACATTATCAAATAGATTCTAGTGTCTCACTGTTAAATGTAGCGTCTGGCTTTCTACAAGAGAAATGCCTGGATATAACATCTCAGTGATGAGCTTTTCGAGGCCGAGAATATCTTAGATAATGCTTTGGCAGTGTACCTCATCCTGCCTGCTCCCATCTTAAAAAGCCCATGTCACTTTGGTCACTCCATCGTAACCCAGGTAGAAACAGTGTGCTTTCTGTAGCTCAGCTGTGTTGTGACAGGGCCTTGCCCACAAACCACACTGTTCTTTCATACCTCTAGACATTATCAGAAGTGAGAAAATAGGGCTCATTTATTTTGGTTTATGTTGAGAGGCTAGTCCCATTTGAAGAGTCTGAACTTACTGTGCATGATCCACTGTGATTCCTGGGAACAGAGTACGTGGCATTTATCATCAGGGCGCACCCTCATAGGGAGATGTATACCTCCTGCACATTCTTCAGTGCTGTCAGTTACTGTGGACCTACACGGAGGCCCAGGTTGTCACAGTTAGTGCTAAAAAGATTGAAACAAAAGATGAGAGGTGTGATTTGAAAGAAGGGGAAACAGGATGATTTTCTGTGTATTGTTTAGAGAGTATAAAAATGAAAACATTCTGGTTGTCGTGCACCATGCTAACTTTGGAACTGGTCTAAAGTTATCACAACAAAAATAAGCAGTGTTTGATTTCAGTTTGTTTGGGTCTTACCCTATGCCCTAGGAAGCAACTGATCTTGCTGCTTCCATAAGCAGCTTTCTCTTCTCACTTCAGTATCCTTTCCAGGCCCCCGGCTGTGTAAACAGAAATTCAAGTTGTTCTGGTTAACTTGGGAAAAACCCCTAAGCTGCATAGTCTTTAGGTGTGCTCCGCTCCAGCCCCACGTTCTTAATTTAAAGAGCTCTGCTGCACGGAAGTTAGGCTGCTGCACTGCTATTTCCAGAGAGATCCAACAGTATCTGCCTTTCTCTTATTTTGGTCCAGGAGGCCAAACCTGATTTTGTACCCTCTAGTGGTCAAGGATATGGGGGAAGACCCCATCACAAGAGGGCCCACCTGATAAGAACCCTCTGGAGACTGCTGGCAGAGTCTTCTTAACAGGACTTGGACTGTGACCAGATAAAACATCTTCTATAGGTGCAGAAACTGGCCAATCTGGAAGGTCCAATGGCTTCTACGTTAAGGTTTTCTTAACAAGATGGTATACCCCGACTTTTACATGGATTGCTTCTTTTAAGTCCTAAAAGAAGTTGTATTTCTTCCTCCTTATTTGGGCCACCTTGATCTTTAGTTGTTTCTGCCTGCCTTTTAAAATGACATTTTTATATTTCCAAAATGATTTATGTGAATAATGTCCATGTACCTGTAGATGCATCTTGGATTGTAGGCCCTACTATGACATGAGACCACATTTAAAGTTGAAAATAAAATGTTTCCTTCAACAACTATCCATGAAGTGCTTAATCAACCCATAACAAATGCTTAACACAAGGAGTAAGCTCTATTACTGAGAAATTGTGTCCTCTGCATGCAGTGGTTCTCAGCCAAAAGTGACTGTGTTTACTAGTTTGGTGAGATTTCTTTTTGTAGAACTAGGACTTGGAAGCCTGAGCAATCACCTATTTCTTTCTAGTATGTTGAAGAAATCTGATAGGCTCTTTTAACCTTTATAAATTACTTGCACTTCCTACCCTAAGAAATAAATGAAATAAAATAAAACAAAAATGGAATTCTAAGAAAAGCCTTAAACTGTGGCCAAATCTGCTTTCACAGCAATTAAGATTGAGGCAGTATGGAGAGGTAGGAGTCAGCCGACATGACAGCATGTACCTCATTTTTTTAAAAGAAAGATGGATTAAGATCAGATTTTTTTTTATTGGAAGCTAAAAGTTATAAAGTAAAATACCCAAAGATTTAATTAAATCAGTAAGCATTTGTTGCATTTTTAACCAGAATTCTTTAATCATTTCCTGACAGAATGACTGTGTATTAGATCTCTGCCTCATTGAAATTGTCTAGGCCCCCTGCATCTGTTTTGAGCAAGACTTCAGTTGAGTTCCATCTTTTCATTCTTTTACAGTCTGTAAAGGCCTGGTGAGTCAGCGCATTGAAAATCAGTCATCATCTTCTGTCTATGAGTTCTTAGTGGCCCGTACATTATTTTCTCAGATCCCTGCATCATTACAATTTCCATGTGTTTAAGTCTCTTCTTTATGTTTTTTAAAAAAACAAGTGAAGCCAGTTTCTCAAACAGGAGGTGCTCACATTCTATTTATTCTCCAAGTGTGGAGTTTGTGCCCAGCATGTGACCGACAATACAGAATGAAAAGCACATGACAAGCCAGGGATTTCAGTGTCTTGTTAGAAAGTGAAATGAAAGTGGTATTTTATTCCTTTGTGGCTTAGAGAGTGCTGTAATGCATTGTTACAGGTATAAACTAACATTTTTAGAAGTACTTCCCCTATTCTTGCCCAGGTCAGCTATGTCATTGGTAATACTTGGCTGCCTTTTCTACCGCTCCCCTTTCTAAATCTCATGTTACCCATAGTATACATGGGCCCTTTGTATGCCTGCCTAAATGACTTCACTGAAGTTTTCTGTAAATCCCTCAAACCTCAAACTTAAGAACCCAAACTGTAATATCATGTTATTAGCAGGACCAGCTGTCTGCGCGTCTTTTCCAGACACTGGGCTCATCCATTTGGATATGGACTCCCACAAAGCTGACGAGACCCTCTGGGTGCAGGAGCGTCTCCTGAGGACCAAGGCCTTGAATGCCTTGTTCACGTCTGCATCCCCAACACTTAGGATGACACTCGGGGGGCCTTGATCTCAATGTGTGGGAAGAACAAATGCCCCCGTTATAGTACTGTGTTGGCTTGTTTTGCAGTGAGACTTATTCTGAGATTAAGAGCTGCATTTAGCTTCTTGGCCACCAGGATCCCAGAGTAAATTACTTTTCAGGACTCTAAATAGTACGCAGGAGATTTGAAAGAACTGATGCAATTTCTAAAGCAGCCTGACTTCCTCCCAGGAGGTTACTCCCACACCAAGCCTCTGACTTCATGACCACCAGATTTAGAAATTGAAGTATCTATGTAAGAAGTTGCCTCCTAGGCAGAAATCAAGAAATCCAACTATAACATAGGTTAGAGTCCATTTTGGTTTTTATATCCTTCCACAGAGGAAAGAGGAGGAAGAATCTGGAGATGCGTTTTTGGTTTTTGGTTTTTTGTTTTTTTTTTTTTCCAGAGGCTCATGTATATCCTACATCATGGTCAGTTTCAGAGCAGGGCTGTGCCACCATCTCAGTGACTCCTGGAATACTAAATTGGATCTTTGTAGAGGAAGAAAATAACACAGTTCTAGATTTTCCCTAGCTGTTAATTAGTTTTATGGCATAATTAAAATAGCTCAGGAGTAAAAACAAAGTCCAGCCTTAACAGCCTGTTAAGTCTTCTTTTCTTATCTTGAAAAGAGGTAAGATAATGAAGTTTAAACAGTTGAAGAAGTTAACCGGAAAGGAATTAACATTTCAAGGCCTTGCCGCTTCTTCCTCCTCTTGTGATATGAACCAGAATTGAGGGAAAATAGGCAGGAGGGAACCCACACTGAATTTTCCAGACTCTACTGCTGAAAGACATTGTATATTTTTATTGTAATCATATGTGATGCAAGATAATATTGCTCATATCTGAATCCCAAAAGAAAAGAAGATGTTTGTCTGAGCATCCCATGAGGTAAGCAGCCCCATGGAAGGACCAGCTGCATCCAGCAAAGGGCTCCAGGTCCCTGACGTAGTTGACGGTGATGGCAGAAGTAAATCTTTGTATTCTTGCAGAGACTTTGTTTCTGAAAGAGGCCAAAAGTCATTTCAAACTGAATCTGACGGATAAGATAGGGGCCATAGCTGAGAAAAATAAGTAGCGAAGCCGATCTAAACCAAGGTGTAACTGTGAAATAGTAACCATCTTCTTTGCACGTTTCAAAATTGGCCCTGGACGCCATCGCAAGAGGAAAATTCCAAAGCTGTGCAGCAGCGGCAGTACCATTGGAAGAGTTTACAGCCTACCAGGACTACTTAGAAGGGGATCATGTTTATTTGGATATATAACCCCTGATTGGTTTGTTTTAAAAATAAACGTTATTATGTTAGTGTCATACCTCATGGTTTCCTTGGAACATTCTCCTCTAATCCTCTTTGAGAGAGTGGGAGGGAGAGATTGTGAGGGGAGAGAGAAGTGTTAAACAGAGATGTTCCTAAGGAGGACCAGGAATCCTAAATTACCTAAATAACCCACTTGGTTATCTCCACTCCTTGATAGCACTGTGTGAGGTATGATGCAGTCAGGTAAAGGACAATTTATCTTTGAAGACAAAGATAAATTCGAGTCCCCATTTTCAAGAGTCAGTGAGAAGTAACAGCTTGTTTGTGTGGCACTGATTGATCCTTGTCCGGGCAAGTGGTCCCTCCACAGGTTATCCGGCTTGGCACACAACAGACAGAGGTGCTGGCGGACTGTGGAACCAGACCCGCTGTGGTTCCCCTCCTCACCCTGCCACTTCCTAGCTGTGCATCTTGGACAACTGATTGAATCTTGTGCCTCATTTTTCTGTAGAATTGAAACAATACCCTGACCCATTGGGCAATGGAGATCAAATGGCATTGATGCAGGTAACATGCTTAACACAGGGCCTGGTATGTAGTGGGCATTCAGTAAGTGGAAGTTACGATTATTATTAGGTATCAAAGAACAAAACTTAATTGTCAGAATAAGCAAACCAGTTGGAATAATAAACGTAGCCTTTAGAGTTAAATGGCACAACCCTGATAGCCACACATAAACTGTTTTGGTTATTTTTCGTTGGATATTCCCAGTCTTTATTTCTACATCCCTCTTCAGGCTGAGTGCTTAAAATACATTTATATGTAGTCTCAATTAGATTATGCTGTTTCCCCCAAAAGACTACAGTGACTATTATTTTAATTTATAGAACCTCGAATTGCATGGAATAGCTACCACATCTCCCTTTAAACCTGGTAGCTTCCAAAACTTCCTGATGGCGTTTTCGCAAATGGGTCCCTATGTGTCATTGAAGGAGACAGTGTATCTAGGAAAAGAAATGAGGATACTGAGCAAGGTGTTGGTGGCTCATGCCTATAATTCCAGCATTTTGGGAGACTAAGGCAGGTAGCTAGCTTGAGGCCAGGAGTTCAAGACCAGCCTGGCCAACACAATGAGACCCCATCTCCACAAAAAAAAAAAAAAAAAACCCTAAAAATTATCCAGGCATAATGGTGCATACTAGTAGTCCTAACTACTCAGGAGGTTAAAGTAGGAGGATCACTTGAGCCCAGAAGTTCAAAGAGCTATGATTGCACCACTACACTCCAGCCTGGGCAACAGAGTGAGACCCTGTCTCTTGAGAAAAAGAAAAAAGTTATTGGTTTTCCCATTGCCTCCAAGGCATTCAGAGTGGTTGTTCTTTCTCATAATATCATTTTATAAATATTCTTTTAGACAGTGATCTCATACAGTTACTGAAAGAGTATTTACATAAACCCTGTATGCTGTAGCTCAGCATTTGATCTTTGATATTTCTTCTGTGGTTTTGATACATCAGTTGAAATTATTCTACATAGGTCAGTATCATTCAGAAAACACCACACATCATAGCCAGGTGCTTTAGGTCCACGCTCAGTCTAAGTTCTTCCCATCATTATTCTCGTGTGTGGAGAGAGGAAGGGAAGGAAAGAAGGAATGAAGGAGAGAGGGAAGGAAAGAGGGTGGGAGGGAAAGGGAAGGAAGGAGAGAGGGGGAAGGAAGGAAGGAAGGAAAGGAGGGAGGGAGGGTGAAAAGGAGAGAAGGAAGGACAGAGGGAGAAGGAAGGAAGGTGAGGGAGTGGGAAGGAGAGAGGGGAAAGGAAGGAAGGAGGGAGGGAAGGAGGGGAAAGGAGGGAAGAATGAGGGAGAGGGCAGGAAGGGGGAAGAAGGAAGGAAGGAAGGAGGGAGTGGGAAGGAAGGAGGGAGAAAAGGATGGGAAAGATAAGGAAGGAAGGAGGGTGGGGAAGGAGGGAGGGGGAAGGAGGAAAGAAAGGATGGAGGGGACAGGAAGGAGGGATGAGAAAGGAAGGAGGGAGGGGGAAGGAAAGAAGGAGAAAAGGAGGGAGGGAGGAGGAGGGAAGGAAAGAGGGAGGGAAGGGGAAGGAAGGGAGGGAGGGGGAAGGAAGGAAGGGAAAAATACAGACAGGAAGGAAGGGGACAGGAAGGGAGGGAGAGAGGGAGGGGAGGGACAGGAAGGAAAATATAGGCAGGAAGGAAGGGAAGGACAGGGAGGGAGAGAGGGATAGGGAAGGGAGGGAGAGGAAGGAAGGGAGAGAGGGAGGGACAGGAAGGAAGGGAGGAAGGAAGGGAGAGACAGGAAGAGGGAGGGAGGGACAGGAAGGAAGGAAGGAAAATACAGACAGGAAGGGAAAGGAAGGGAAGGAAGGAAGGAAATACAGGAAGGAAAAGGAAGACAGGAAGAAGGAAAAGGAAGACAGGAAGAAGGAAAAGGAAGATGGAAGGAAGGAAGGAAAGAAAAAAAAAAGAATATAGACAGTATAGACCACTGCTTGGCCTTGAGTCAGAAGAGTTATGGACAAGATGGAATGAGGAGTTTTACCTCCTGTCTGGTTTCTTTGTACGGTAACACTGTTACTCAAATTTTATTCAGTGATATTGCATTGTATGGGCCAAGGTTCATGTAAAATATAATCAGTGATACTGCTCTATCAAACATTGCTTCTTTTCATAAAGAATTCTCAGCAAAATAGACTCTAAATTTGATGGCCAAAACTAATGTCCTCAATGCAGTGTCCAGGCTCAGTCTAAGTTCTTCCCATCATTATTCTCATGTGTATGGAGAGAGGAAGGAAAGAAGGAATGAAGGAGAGAGGGAAGGAGGGAGGGAGGGAGGGAGGGAAGGGGAAGGAAGGAGAGAGGGGGAAGGAAGGAGGACAGGAGGGAGGGAGGGAGGGTAAAAAGGAGGGAAGGAAGGATGGAGGGAGAAGGAAGGAAGGTGAGGGAGGGGGAAGGAGAGAGGGGAAAGGAAGTTCAGAGTACTACTTAAATTAGGCATCATTGGATGATTCTGTTCAGCCAATTTGACACGTGCATTTTGGATACCTTAGTGAAGTCGCCTCTTTTAAGGATTCCATATTAATCAAGAACTTCTATCATGAGTTTCTTTTGAAAGCCTCCAAATGAGTTTTTAGCCTAATAACTAGTGTGCCAGAAAATTTCTGTGGAGCATCTACAAACATAGGGAAGTGCATTTTTTAATAGATACTGAAAAATTGATTTCTGATTACAACTAGAACTTTCCATGATTACTTAATGCCCCTTGTTGAACCTTAGACAGCAGTAATGAGAAAAATGATAGAAGTTGTTGACAACATAAGAGATGATGCATTTAACACTCGATCTCAGTTTCTTCCTTGGACTTGTTTCTAACACCCTCCCAATGGATTGAGATTTGTATCTGTGGAGTAAAAATTTTACAATATTAGGCCATTATTAGTGCCATTTATAAAGGTGCATATGCTTGAGTATTGTCTGCCCTCCTTATCCATAACCACAGATTGAAAATATTTTTAAAAACATACAAATTTCAAAATATAGTATAACAACTATTTACATAGCATTTACATCGTGTTAGGTATTGCAAGTAATCTAGAGATGGCCTAAAGTATACAGGGGGATGTGAGTAGGTATATACAAATACTACGCTGTTTTATATTAGGGACTTGGCACATGAGCGTCTTTGGATTTTGGTATCCATGGGGTCCTAGAACCAGTCTCCCAAGGGACAATTGTAATTGGTAAGAAGAAAATGTAGAGACCACAGATCGGTGAGCATTTCTGTCTGTGACCTTCCTCTGGAAAAGCTCAGTCTGAAGCACAAACTGGGTCTTCATAGAGAGGCACTTCCAGCTGCCTCAGAGCACTCGCTGCAAAGCTTCGGGCTGCTCAGAGAAAATGGCTCCTGATGCCATTATGGGCTTCTCGTCGTGCCCTGAGATGTGCTGGGTTCTGTTTCTTGTGTCTATTCAATGAATTCTGACCCTTCAAGAGCTTCCCAGATGCTTTCCAGGAAGAACCCTGGGCCCTGGGGACGACTGCCTTCCTAAGGAACTTTCCTTCTAGATGCCTTTGTAGTTTTTCATGTTTAAGTGACAAGTAGTGAGTGGCGCTGCTTGTAGAATCTGAACACAAAATGTCCCCGGATTAGTAGGTGTCATCCAGTTATCAGTCTCGTGCTCACACCCCCGCCACCGGGTTTCGATTTGCCCATCTCTGCTTTGCTGCTGGATCTGCTGGTCCTTGGGGCCTCACTCTGAACCACATTCTTGTGTGCTAGAGGGAAATTTCTGTGTGTGAAATGTGGCCACTAGGGAGTCAGTAAGTTCAGGTACACCAGGAAAAGGCGTTGAGTCCCAGAGAAAGGAACCTTCAAGGAGAAGCTTGGAAGAGGGAGGAAATGAGTGTGACAAGGGACCATGGGAAGAAGGAGCAGAATGTTTAAACTGAAATCCCTGTATATACTGTACAGACAAATAGCTCTTTTTTTCTCAAAAACCAGTTTTCTGGGGGAAAAAAATGGATTGCCATGAAATGAAGCTGTTTTTAAAGTAGAAATGTCCTTGTAGGTGAGAGAAATCTACGCAGCATCCCTGGAAAATGAAGGAAGTGGTTATCTCGGTGCTGACTCCCACTCAAGGGTTGCAGAGGAAACCTGCTAGTTCCTTGTGATGTTGCCATTATCACTCCTTACCATTCCCCTGTATTGTTTACAAAACAGGAACTTCTTGAATCCATCTCTGTAAATAAACTCAGCTGGACTTTTTATCAATCTCTTTATCTCTTTCTAGATGACAGTCTAAGGACACTTATCTAACAGGTACCATTCCCTGCCGGTTGTGGTAGTGACCACCCTGTGCTAGCCTCAGTGGCCACAAGATGAGAGCCCTGAGGGTCCTCCTAAGGAAATGAAAGACTAGGGAAACAAAAGTTTCACCAAGTTCCAGAAGTCCTAAAGCATACTGTGATTATACAAAGCTATCCCTTGATCTCTCACGTCTAATAAGATCGTGTGCGTTGTCACATCAGCGACTCCATCATGTGCTGTTCTTTTCACTAGAAGACACAATTCCAAAGAAGGTGGTGTGCCACTTCAGTGGGAAGGCCTATGCCGACGAGGAGCGGTGGGACCTTGACAGCTGCACCCACTGCTACTGCCTGCAGGGCCAGACCCTCTGCTCGACCGTCAGCTGCCCCCCTCTGCCCTGTGTTGAGCCCATCAACGTGGAAGGAAGTTGCTGCCCAATGTGTCCAGGTATCTAAGCCACCATCCTTCCATTTGTCAAGCTGTAATGTTGATTTAAGATGAAATCGAAGCAGAGCTCGACCTGCCCCTTCTTTCATTCGTTCACACGGCCCAAGTAGCGTGTCAGGCCCAGTTAGCGCCTCCACCCAAAGACCCTATGGGTAACTTGGAAAACTATGACCATCCCGATGAGGGGCAGATTTTGGTTCCATGCCAGAATTCCTCGGGTTCTTTTCTTCTCATTTGCATTCTCTAAACTTTAGTATAACCAACCTGTTAATGACACCTGCCCTATTAGACTAGCACAGTTTTAGTGCAGTGTTGGACTAGCCTAGAGAAGATGGTCCAAGATGGGACCCAGAAGGGAAGATGCTTAAAAGCCATTACACTGTGAAAATATATTAGAACCAAAGTGGAAGACCTGCATTTAAAGAATATAGTTCTGGTTCATTCTTTTTTTACTTCATCAGTTCCAGCCAGTACCCATACCATCCACGCAGCCTTCTCCCAAGCCCTCAGCTGAACTGCCCATCTCTTTCCACACTTAACGCAACCACTGAGTGTACCCCAGCTGGCTGTTGTGAATCCCCATGCCTACATCTTTCCCCACGCCCCACTCTTTGTGTCTGCTGCATTATCCCTCTCATAGTTTCAAACCTAAGTCCTTCTCAGCTGCCCAGAGCCTCACCTAGCCCTTCTCCTAGTTTCCATGCCTGCATCTCCTGCCAAACAATTCCTCTTTCCCCTGCGTCTAATCCCAGAAATGTAAGACCTGAGCCCTCTCCCTGGGGACTGACCCCTAGACACACAGATTTCCCGGTGGTATAGACCACACAGACCCAAGTGAAGGCTCACTCTAAGATCTCATTGAGGTCCTCAGCGAGTCAGGAGCTTTTCTGTCTTACCTCGATTCTCATGTTTTCTCGCAGCATTATATTAGAGAACCTTGTTGTATTCAATACAGGGAGCTGGGAACCATGCCAATTCACAAGTGCATCTGTACTATGCAGTTGTAAGATAGGGCAGTTGTTAAACCCAAAGAGTTTAAGTGAGCTCTGCACATGTTGGCCTTTTGTTTAGGCGTTGTGCAGACTAGCCCCAATTGAGCATTTCTAAAAATGTCCATTTATCTCCTAAAAAGGATAGGATGTTCTGCAAGGTAAGGGGGTGGAACCATTTTTCAGAGCCTTCAGTTGGGTTCTCTTTATAGTTTTCCATATACACACTTGCTGTGTATATGGAAAAAGCAAGTCTTAAGTGCTTTAAATGAGAATAAGAAAAAATATATGGTTTTCCACTGGAATTATTTTATCTAGTGTATATTCACCTATGTTTCACAAATTTCATACCAGTTTCCCCAGTAATATGCTTTTAATGATATAAATGATGAAACTTGACCTTATTTATTTCACGAAGAGTCATTTAATGCCTTTTATGTGCCAAGCACTGTTCTAGGCACTGGGGACACAGCAGTGAACCAAATAGCAGTGCACACGGAGCTTACGTTGTAGTAGGGAGAAGCCAGGCAGCTAACAGGTAAACAGTAACTAGGTAGCCACCAAGATGGGGATCCGGCTCTGGAGAAAGGCATAGCAAGACAGAGAGGCTGGGGAGAAGTGGGGCAGGCAGGTTGTTTTGTATTATGTAGAATGGTCAGGGAGCACCTTACCAACAAGATGAGATTTAATGAAGAGACCCAGAATTGCAGTTCTCATGGGGAACAGGCAGAACCTCTGGGTATAGCCAGCGCCAAGGCCCTGGAGTGGGAACGTGCTGTGCGTGTTCAAGGTAGAGCAGTGTTCAAGGTGCATGTTCAGGAGGAGCTGTGTGGAGGTAACTCAGTGAGCATGGAGGAGGTAAGAGGTGGGGCAGAGAGGCAGCCACGGCCAGACACAAAGGGTCTCGCAGATGAGTGCAAGATTGTATTGAGTGAGATGAAACCTTGGAAGGTTTGGAGCAGGGAGCGACAGGATCTGACTTACCTTTGAATGGGATTTCTCTGGTGCTGGGTTGAACATAGACTGTGGGGCATGGAGGTCAATAGTGAAAGCAGAGAGACCAACTTGGAGACTTTTTTAAGAATCCGGGCGAGAGATGACAGTGACTTGGACAGGGTGGTAGCCGTGGAGGTGGGGAGAAGTGGGCAGGTTCTGACTATGCCATATGAGTCGCATCAGTAGGATTTCAATGTATGCGGGGAGTGAGTGGAAGAGGAGCCAAGGATGACTACGACATTTTGGTTTGGGGCATTTTTAGCTTGAAATAGTCATTCAGCATCAAAGTGGAGCTAATGAATAGACAAATATCTAATCTGGGCTTCAGGAAAGAAACTGAAAGTAGATCTACAAATTTGAAAGTTTAGCCATAGGTGGTTTCTAGTCTCAAGGTTTTTAAGCCTTGAGACTAGATGAGAGCACCGAAGGGTAAGAATAAATAGAAAAGAAAAGAGAGCGCAGGACCGAGCCCTGAGACCTTCTGACTTTTGGAGACTGAGCAGGTGCAGAGGGCCTAGCAAAAGAAATAGAGAAGGAGCACCAGGAATAAAGGAAGAAGCCAAGAGGGTCAGTGACATGGAAACCAGGTGGAGAAAGGGTTTCTGGTAGGAAAGAGTAAACTGCTCAATCAAGCGCCACTGTTAGCCACGTAAGATGCGATGTGGGAACAGACTTGTGCACTTAGCACTGCTGTAATGAACTTCACAGAAGTACAGTGGTGGAGGCAAAGTCTAATCAGAGTGATTTCAAGAAAGAATGGGAGAGGTGAATTCAATTCACCTCTCCCATTGCGAGTTATGGTTATGCAACTCTCATGCAGACCATAAGTGCCAAGTTCATGAATAAGACAGACTGTGAAGTTGAGGGTCCTTGGAGGGTTTCACAGAGAAAGGACATGAGCTAGATTTTAAAGGACAGATGTGCTGTCTTCATTGGAGTGAAGAGGATAACCCAACCAAGACCTGAGATGGGAAAAGTCAAGGCCGGTGCCTCTAAGGTCAAGGCCAGTGCCTCTGGAGCAGTGAGTTTTAGTAGCAGTAGGTAAGGACAGAAACAGTAGCTTTGGCAAGGATTTTTCAGGCCTTAATTATCAAATGAAGAGTGTAGATTTTGTTCTTTATAGGGAATGGGGAGGCTTATTTTTGAGCAGCTGAATGACATGTTCACAAAGATGTTTTGGGGTAACCTTTGTGTAACAGGGTGGTGTGCAGGAAGGACTAAAGCAGAGAGAGACCAGAGGCCAGGACAGCTGTAACAGGCACTGCAAATGTCCTCGGTGTGATAACAAGGACCCAAATTCAGGTAGTGGTGGTAGAAATAGAGGTCAATTCATTCTCCTTGGTTTGTGAGTTTGATAAGAGAGAGTACAGATATTGCTAACATCCTTGTTCATCATTAGAGATTTCTCCAGTGACTTCTCAGTTAAGATTTACTATTGGGTTGAAATTTAATTTCTGTTAACTCTCCTTTCTGCATCTGCTGTATTCCTGATGAAACATTTTTCTATCTTTAAGCAAATACTGCAATCAGTTGAGCTTTTGCCACCTTCTGTTTGATCCAGTATGGGCTGCCAGGAAGGCTGTATTCCTGTCCCATTCTTGCATCGGTTCATTGTGTGATCTTAGTCAAGACTCACCACCAAAGTTTCACGCTTCCATTTCTCATCTGGATAGCACATGCCACCTCCCAGAAATGCTGTGAGGATTATACCATCTCAGAAATGATGGTGTGGGAGCACTTCCCGGTCTGTCCAGCAAACAAGAACCTTGCTTCTTCCTTTAGACATAGCAACTAACATTCTGAATATCCTCTTTCTTTACAAAACAGTTTCACCTTTACCATCTTTGGATATGAGTACAGAACCTATGAGCTGTTAGGTGATTAGCACCTGTCTCTTTACAGAAGAAACTGAGGCTCAGGAAAGGTAAGAGGGTTATCCGAAGTCATGGAGCTGGTTAGCAGAGGATGAGACCCCTGCTCCTAAATTGACCTCAGGTTCCATCTCCCAAAAAAATGCTGACCTCAGCTTGTAAGCACCAAGCACCTCGCCCCGTATTCCAGAAGAGGACATTTTAAGGAAGGCAACTCTTAGAGATGACCAGATGCCTCTGAAAGTAAAATATATCCCCAGTAAATTATCTTGAGTTCCTCCAAAGCGCAGGTCAAGTATGAGCACAGGAGCGATTGTGACCGTGTGCCCGTGATCTTCGTGGTAGGGCTGGATGTAGCTTTGTGTAAATCTCCCTGGCACTGTCCATCTGTAATGCCAACAGCTGTAAAGGGCTCTTCTAGTAAATACCAGAAGGGTTATATTTTAGAGTCTTGGGTTGAAGGCGGTCTTTGGCCATAGAAGGCGGCCTGGGTCTAGGCGTGGAAACAAATAGCATTCCCACTTCTTTTTGTTTCAACAAGCAGTTTTTTAACTGAAAGAATTGTTCTTTTTGGCAAAACTGCTCAGAGGCAGCTTCCCTTTTATGTTCAAATTAAAGGGAAATGACTCTCTTCCCTTGGACTTGAGGACTGTGAACTGGAGCTGTGCGTGTTCTGTGATAAAGAAGGAGGTGTGGGTGGATTTTAATCAGAGCTGAACTGAGTGGTGGAGTGAGCTAATACACAGGACAGGTTATGAGCTGCTGGAAGTAAGAAGTGGCTGTCAGGCATCACTCATCAGGAGAGACCCATGGGGGCCAGGATTGGTCTCACTCAAAACTGTATGCCCAAAACCAGTGCCTGCCATGTAGGAAGTGCTCAGGAAATATTTGTTGAACAAATGGTAATACAATTAATCACTGAAGAAGACATCCTCCTTCACCATAGACAGATCCTTCTAACTTTCCCTGCTGTTTCCAAGTAGAGCCCCTGTGGGAAGAGGACTCACTGTCATGCCTCAGCTTGGTGGAGTTTCACCGGAAATCTACCCATATGCAGGGTCAAGGCAAAAGAATTCCAAAGTTACGTCTCTCCCTCTCACTCAGGAAAAAACCTGAGGTGGAACTGAATCAATCCCAGCTCTGGGGCCTCTGCAGAAACTTTTACTACTTAGCCATTGACATTTACAGGTTTGTTGGAATTGGTGTCGCATTTGCCCTTTACACTGAGGCCTCAGAAACCAGTGGCAGTTCGGCCCCTATTGTCATAGGAAGGCTCAGTGTGAAGCCCTGGACTAGGCAGGGGAGGGGCAGAAGGGTGTGTGTGGCACTGAAAGGTGTCAAGTAAATGGCGACATGGCTTTTCTGCCCATATTCACCCAGGAAATTCATACCACACATGAGAGTTTTTCAGTGGGTGCATTAAATACCATCCCCCTGCACACACCTCCCGGAATCACCTAGTCCAGACCTACCGAATCAGGACCTGTGAGAGTCAGCACATTTTCTAAGCTCTTTGGGTAATTCTGATATGATTTTTAAAAATTTGAGAGTCACTGGTTTGTGCTCAGGCCCCTGCACCTGCAAATGGTAATGTTTTCAGTAACTTCTATTTTTAATTCTCGAGTTTGCAGGGATGCACTGAACCTGTAGAAACTATAATTGTTCCCAGTTCTTTTTATGTTTAAAGGTTTTATAATATAACTAAGAAAGCAGAAGACTATTCTTGGAGGCAACAAGATAACTTGGGCTTTGGAATCACAGAACTGCATTTGAATCCCAGCTCTACCACTTACTAGATGCATGATTTTGAGCGATTTAACTTAACCTCTCTGGGTTTCTTTCCCTGGCTGGGTACCCAGTTAACTCATGGGGGAAGCTTAGCAAGTACTCTCTTCTCTATCACTTTCCTCTTCTCTCAAAGTCATCTTAAGGTTTACTTCTCAAAAGCCTGTTAACTTTGAGACAGAAAACAATCACTCTGAGCAGAGGGGATTATTAATCCTATTTTAATTTATATACTTATACTGTATATTTTATGTTGGTCTAAATTAGGCTATGGTGAGTATTTAGGATCCTACGTGTTGAGTAATTGCTTTATAAAAAAATCAGTGAATAATATGGCAGGATCTGCCCGAAAGGAAATACGTGCATGACACAAACTTTTATTGTCACATTTTGAAAACAGGTTCTGAAGAATTAATTGCTTTAAAATGTGGGGCTAGTTGTCGTTAGCTGGATGAAGTATAAATACAAAGAAATATTTGTAGGAGCTGAGAAAAGTTCTGATTTTTTTTTTTTTTAAAAAGACCTGATATTTGAGATAAATAATATTCTTCTGTTTGTTTTATGTTGTAGTATAATACCTATCTGATCAAACTGGATAATGTAAATATATTTACTGAAGATCAGCTTCTAATCTAAATGGTTCCAGTGGTAACATAATGGACATCTGAGACTTATACTCATGAGGTCTACCTACAGTCCATTCCCATTTAGGGGAAGAGAAAGGAGAGGAAATGGCCAAGAAGTCCATAAGAAGTGGACAGTGCTTTAACTTTTTCAAGTTTTGCTAACATATTTTATGTAAGTTATTCAATACCCCCATATTAAAGAGCAGCAGCTATTAAACACCAACATTTATTAGCTGCTGGAAAGTAATAAATAACTTCAGCTAGTCCCCTTCAGTTTCCATAAAATTATAAAACCAACACCATTTGACGTGAAAAAGCAGTTTTTGACCCTGGTGGAGTAGAGAATTCTTTCATCTTTTAAATGTTATAAGACATGTTTCTCCTCACTGCAAAGCTCGTGATTCTCTAGCATGAGTGATGAATGATGTAAATGGCAGAAACTGCATCTTTCATGTCCCAGGAAATGTGGTCTTGAATTGAGTGCACCATTTGGATTGAGAATACAAAAGCCAACAATACAGCAGCTTCATCATCTCTTAGGAAAAATGTTCCCTTCTTTTAGAAATGTATGTCCCAGAACCAACCAATATACCCATTGAGAAGACAAACCATCGAGGAGAGGTTGACCTGGAGGTTCCCCTGTGGCCCACGCCTAGTGAAAATGATATCGTCCATCTCCCTAGAGGTAAGCATTGAAGGCAGCTGAGATCTGCTAGTTTTCTATGTGGTCTACTTAGGTGTTTTCTAATTTTTAAAATTTCCTATGAGTAACTTTTAAAATGACTTGCTGAAGTAAATTCAAATAACTATTCCCGGGCAGACCTGCTTGGCTGAAACATATTTACACCACACATTGATAAAATAAGTCAGCAGGTAACTGGATTAAATGCCTCCTTCCTGGCCCTCTGTGCTCAGAGACTTTGTGATGACGGAAATAAATGGAAATAAATATGTTCCTAGTCATAAGAGCCTGGTATCTGGAACTTCTAAGCCATCTCTCAAACGTATGTATATATAAACTTTGTAAGGAGAGTAATCATGAATTAGTCACTGTCTCTTGTAGATTCCGCACTGAGCATTTGTACATTAGGTTACCCTCTACTTCTGGGCAGTTTTCACTTCATGTGAGCTAAACTTATCACCTATGTTGATTTTTCTAGTCACCAGGTTTACTCCATGCCTTTTTATCTTGCTCTATCCTTTCAGTCTGTGCGTAATAAAGATGTTATTTTGTCTCCCAATAGCTGTCACTATTTCCTTTTCTATAAAAGTAGACCTCTTCTTGATCAGTAGTATAAACTTGCTCTTAGCCGTGACTCAGTACTGCCTCCTGTGTCCTCCAACCATATTTTCCAAATCATTGCTATATAACTTATATTTCTTTTGGAAGAAGCAATATTCATTGCTTGAGAGAGATTAATTGTCTGTTACTCTAGATATTCTAAACGTTATGCTTGGATCAAACCAGATGACCAGAAAGTCAAATTCCTGGACCTAGTGTTTTTGGCTCTCTGTATAATTGTTCTGAGTGTGCTTTAGCATTATGCTTACATTCATTCAGTCAGTAAATATTAGTGCCTGCTGTATGCCAGACCCTGTTCTAGAGGCTAGACTTCAACATACTGTAAGTACGACTATTCTTATGACTGAAGACCTGTGCATTGCATAGTATCTATGTTATAAAGCCCCTAAAGAGAAATTTTCTCATGCATCAATAGCAAGAAAATGTATGCTTCTCCTAGGCAACTGATTTGTTTTAACCTAAAAGACATTGTGAATCGTATTAAAGACTGATAGTTGTTTCCGTTTTTGGCTTTGGCTGCTACAAAGCTCAAAGCTAACTTTGATGGCTTGGTTTTAGCACAGAAACAGAACTGGAAGACTGAATTTTGTAAACAGACCTCACTTGCAGCTTCATTTTTCTTTCACCAAGACCTTCCTTAATTTATATCTTATTCTTCTTGTATGACACATATTCCTAAAACTGCTTTCTATTTGATTTGGAATATGGGAAAGTAAAATTCATTCTTTTATTCATTGTATATTTAAAATCTGAATTCATCAATAAAATGTTACTCTTTGACATTTTTCTTGATGCTGGAAAATATGTTTCTATAAAGTTTTATTGCCATCTGCACTGGCTAAAATGATTAGGAATGTTTTCTACCTCCCATTCCTCCCTGCTCCCACCACCCCTCCAGAACACACACAGAAGCATATCATTTAAAATCTGAGTTTTAAACCACAGTGTTACATACCACAAAGCTCTGTCACTTCATGAGCTGAATTTCCAGAACAATTTAGGAGTAACTCCTTTTGATACTGTGTGTCATGTGTCTTTAACTAAATTGATTTTTAATGCATTTAGAAAACCTGACTACAATGATTTATTTGAAACAAAACAGAATATAAAAATAAGGAAACTTTAGGGAGTGCCCCCTATTGGTATGTGTTTAACCTTATTTTTGTCTGCAACATTCATTGTAAGAGAGATATTTTAAAAGAACATAAAGGTCATCATTCATAAGTGCAAAACTAAATGTAGTCACCTATGCGATATAATTCATTAAGGCAGAAAAATGATCTAATAGGCCTAAGCAAGATTTTCAACAAGTTTATGAAAAGTAAGACAATATTGCTTAGAGTTCAGTGAACCAGAGTATCAACCAAAAGACCAACTTCCTGATTGATTAGTTTTAATCTAATTAGTCTTAGCTATTAACACTAATTAATTAATAGTAAAAGAACATACTTTGTTCTAGTCTCCTGTTTGCCAATAAATCAGCTAATGTTTCTCCTTCGAAATCTGAGAAGACCATGTATGTTAACAGTAATCAAAATATTTTCATGGTCTAATTCACTTTTTCAAAATCTACCTAAGCACCTTCTTATTTCCTTGATTAGCTAGAGCCGGCATCATCTTACCCAATTATTAAGATTCTCACTCTGATTTTTTTTTTTTTTTTTTTTTTTTTTTAACATTCATCCCTAAGCGCTCTGCTCTCTACTAAGAGCTCTTTGGATCAACATTAGATTTTAATCACATTTTTAGCCTCAAAAAACTGGGAAGCAATAAAACCAAGTTGCTGATCTCTATTTGCAATGTCATTAAAATAATCCTTAACAATTCTGGTTTAGGTAATAAATGCTTATAATTTTTTTTCTCCTAGATATGGGTCACCTCCAGGTAGATTACAGAGATAACAGGCTGCACCCAAGTGAAGATTCTTCACTGGACTCCATTGCCTCAGTTGTGGTTCCCATAATTATATGCCTCTCTATTATAATAGCATTCCTATTCATCAATCAGAAGAAACAGTGGATACCACTGCTTTGCTGGTATCGAACACCAACTAAGGTACTGTCTTGCAAAAGTTAGTCTCTTGAATGATGAATCTAGGAAAACTTACACTCATATTGAAATTGCTTGAAACCTTGTGTCTTAACCAGTGAAGTTTTTACTTTGCTCTTCATAGCCTCAAATCCATACCAGGCTATAGTATGAATCAAATACATAGTACTTGCCCAGGGCTGGACTGATCACAAGGTGAATTATCCATTATCCATTGGTTAATGAAGCCTAACCTTACATGGATCCAGTTTTCTCGATGTACTCTGAAGTTTTCAAATGAACAAATACTCCTGGATTTATTCCTAAATCATTGTTTATATTAGACATTAAAACGTGATCACCTGGCATTTCTTAGTCATCAGTCAACTTAGAATTGGGAGAGAAAAAAAGTCCCAAAGGGATGGAGATAATACTCAGGAGAGGGCTGGAAGATCATGAGGGTATACAAAAGGCAAAAGGAACAGGTCAGTGCACCAAAGGCAAGCACCAAGTGGAAAGGTCGCAAAAGATGAAGAGGTGGTGGAAAGTAATAGTAGACAAGGTAGGGAGAGGCAGATTTCACACTAAGGGAGAAAAGATGTATGTTTGTTTTCAGTACAAACATAAAGGGCCTCTAAATCTGCCTATTTTGAAAGACAAGAAAAAACTGTATTAATTAAGGGAAATAAATCATAATCCCTTCCAACTCTAATTCTACCTTTTGCCTTGAGTTGGTTTATTTTAATCATAAACCTTAAGAATTGGAAACAGCCTGAACAATTATGTAATGTAATTTACCATCTGGTTAACCCTTCCATGTAAAAATTCTGTCCTGCGGTTATCCTGCCTCCGATTTTTCTTTGAACAAATGTACATTGGGCACAGCCTCTGTGCTGGGTCAGGATACAGTTGCCAGTGTCCAAAGCTGGGAAACAGACCCGCTCATAAAGTGTATGGAGTGACTAGCAACACACAGGCTGGCCCAGCCTATGATAGTGTTGTACAGTCTGAGTGGTTAGAAGTCATCCCTTTGTTTTTAAAATCTGCCTACCTTCCACTCATTCTTCAGCCCCCTTGAAACACAAGGTCTGCACTTCAAGGATTTGAAATCATTTCACCAGTCTTTTTTTTTTTTTTTTCAGTTCCTTCATCTCCCTATTTGACAGTTTCTTGACATTTCACCTTAAAATACAGTTTGTCAGTGTCCCTCATAAAAGTATAGTTGGTACTAGAACAAGATGTGATAATCTGCATACAGGCTATCAATCAATGAATTGTGAAACTGTTATCTCACCTGAGTTAGGTACTAAATTTCTGTTCATTTGAGATAATGTAAAGCAACTAATTTTTTGTGGTTTTATTCCTCCTCTCATTAAATAGCCTTCTTCCTTAAATAATCAGCTAGTATCTGTGGACTGCAAGAAAGGAACCAGAGTCCAGGTGGACAGTTCCCAGAGAATGCTAAGAATTGCAGAACCAGATGCAAGATTCAGTGGCTTCTACAGCATGCAAAAACAGAACCATCTACAGGCAGACAATTTCTACCAAACAGTGTGAAGAAAGGCAACTAGGATGAGGTTTCAAAAGACGGAAGACGACTAAATCTGCTCTAAAAAGTAAACTAGAATTTGTGCACTTGCTTAGTGGATTGTATTGGATTGTGACTTGATGTACAGCGCTAAGACCTTACTGGGATGGGCTCTGTCTACAGCAATGTGCAGAACAAGCATTCCCACTTTTCCTCAAGATAACTGACCAAGTGTTTTCTTAGAACCAAAGTTTTTAAAGTTGCTAAGATATATTTGCCTGTAAGATAGCTGTAGAGATATTTGGGGTGGGGACAGTGAGTTTGGATGGGGAAATGGGTGGGAGGGTGGTGTTGGGAAGAAAAATTGGTCAGCTTGGCTCGGGGAGAAACCTGGTAACATAAAAGCAGTTCAGTGGCCCAGAGGTTATTTTTTTCCTATTGCTCTGAAGACTGCACTGGTTGCTGCAAAGCTCAGGCCTGAATGAGCAGGAAACAAAAAAGGCCTTGCGACCCAGCTGCCATAACCACCTTAGAACTACCAGACGAGCACATCAGAACCCTTTGACAGCCATCCCAGGTCTAAAGCCACAAGTTTCTTTTCTATACAGTCACAACTGCAGTAGGCAGTGAGGAAGCCAGAGAAATGCGATAGCGGCATTTCTCTAAAGCGGGTTATTAAGGATATATACAGTTACACTTTTTGCTGCTTTTATTTTCTTCCAAGCCAATCAATCAGCCAGTTCCTAGCAGAGTCAGCACATGAACAAGATCTAAGTCATTTCTTGATGTGAGCACTGGAGCTTTTTTTTTTTTACAACGTGACAGGAAGAGGAGGGAGAGGGTGACGAACACCAGGCATTTCCAGGGGCTATATTTCACTGTTTGTTGTTGCTTTGTTCTGTTATATTGTTGGTTGTTCATAGTTTTTGTTGAAGCTCTAGCTTAAGAAGAAACTTTTTTTAAAAAGACTGTTTGGGGATTCTTTTTCCTTATTATATACTGATTCTACAAAATAGAAACTACTTCATTTTAATTGTATATTATTCAAGCACCTTTGTTGAAGCTCAAAAAAAATGATGCCTCTTTAAACTTTAGCAATTATAGGAGTATTTATGTAACTATCTTATGCTTCAAAAAACAAAAGTATTTGTGTGCATGTGTATATAATATATATATATACATATATATTTATACACATACAATTTATGTTTTCCTGTTGAATGTATTTTTATGAGATTTTAACCAGAACAAAGGCAGATAAACAGGCATTCCATAGCAGTGCTTTTGATCACTTACAAATTTTTTGAATAACACAAAATCTCATTCTACCTGCAGTTTAATTGGAAAGATGTGTGTGTGAGAGTATGTATGTGTGTGTGTGTGTGTGTGTGTGTGCGCGCGCACGCACGCCTTGAGCAGTCAGCATTGCACCTGCTATGGAGAAGGGTATTCCTTTATTAAAATCTTCCTCATTTGGATTTGCTTTC
This sequence comes from Homo sapiens, assembly GCF_000001405.40. NCBI lineage: Eukaryota > Metazoa > Chordata > Mammalia > Primates > Hominidae > Homo > Homo sapiens. The sequence continues at coordinate 36,550,160 of NC_000002.12, forward strand.
AGTTGGTTTTCAATTTGCTCACTGGCCAGAGACATTGATGGCAGTTCTTATCTGCATCACTAATCAGCTCCTGGATTTTTTTTTTTTTTTTTTCAAACAATGGTTTGAAACAACTACTGGAATATTGTCCACAATAAGCTGGAAGTTTGTTGTAGTATGCCTCAAATATAACTGACTGTATACTATAGTGGTAACTTTTCAAACAGCCCTTAGCACTTTTATACTAATTAACCCATTTGTGCATTGAGTTTTCTTTTAAAAATGCTTGTTGTGAAAGACACAGATACCCAGTATGCTTAACGTGAAAAGAAAATGTGTTCTGTTTTGTAAAGGAACTTTCAAGTATTGTTGTAAATACTTGGACAGAGGTTGCTGAACTTTAAAAAAAATTAATTTATTATTATAATGACCTAATTTATTAATCTGAAGATTAACCATTTTTTTGTCTTAGAATATCAAAAAGAAAAAGAAAAAGGTGTTCTAGCTGTTTGCATCAAAGGAAAAAAAGATTTATTATCAAGGGGCAATATTTTTATCTTTTCCAAAATAAATTTGTTAATGATACATTACAAAAATAGATTGACATCAGCCTGATTAGTATAAATTTTGTTGGTAATTAATCCATTCCTGGCATAAAAAGTCTTTATCAAAAAAAATTGTAGATGCTTGCTTTTTGTTTTTTCAATCATGGCCATATTATGAAAATACTAACAGGATATAGGACAAGGTGTAAATTTTTTTATTATTATTTTAAAGATATGATTTATCCTGAGTGCTGTATCTATTACTCTTTTACTTTGGTTCCTGTTGTGCTCTTGTAAAAGAAAAATATAATTTCCTGAAGAATAAAATAGATATATGGCACTTGGAGTGCATCATAGTTCTACAGTTTGTTTTTGTTTTCTTCAAAAAAGCTGTAAGAGAATTATCTGCAACTTGATTCTTGGCAGGAAATAAACATTTTGAGTTGAAATCACACAGTGTAACTTGCAAAAAGATTCCATCTCTGAGATCCGAAAGACTTTTAAGGTTATCAGTCCAATGAACCCCTGGTGTAACAAGAAGTCCCGTGCTTTTGTCATTAGGCGGGTCTTTCCCAAGGTATCCTTGCAAAAAGAAAAGTGTCTCCCAGAGTACAGAGAATAGCGATGCTGTTTTTAGGGAGACAAGAAACCTACCTGCTGTCAGAAACGTGCTCATAGCTGGTATCAAAATTAACTTGCTACGCACAGGAGGACTGTGGTGGGAAATCCTACAGTGGTTCGATGCTGAAGAAGAAAGACTTTACCGAGCACGATCAGGGGAAGCCTAACTGCAAAGAGACTTTTTGAGCTGACAGGAAAAAATAAATAGGTATATTTTCATACATTTTAGAAGCATCAATTTAAGAATGAGCTATAAACAGACCAATGTTGAATCTCCTTTAAAAAAATATATCCCCCTAAGGACTTTCTACTATATCATATACCCTTTAAAGCTACATTTCTTCAGTACAAGGCGTCATTTTTACAAATTCAAATTAATTTAAATTATTAATATTACTGTGTAAGTACATGTATCTGGGGAAAGGGCCAGTAAGTTCCAAATAAGAACATTAATAAAACAAGGAAACCATCTCGAGTTTCTCATACCCCTAGAGATGATGGCTGAAATGCCAAGCAGGCATTAAACTTCAAACCGCGCCCCTGCCTTTGCAGTCATGGTGTCTCAGTTGCTGAGTGGAGTGAGGAATATGTTAGCCCTGTTTGTTTTGCTCACAGGTGTTTAAGTGGAATTGTGAAAGCCGCCTGTAGCAGGTCCTATATAGACTCTTAATTCATTCATGTCGTCTATGGGAGGGGTCTGCATGGCTGTTTTTGAAATGTCTCACAGCCCCAGAAAAAGAGCAGGACTTACTTCTGTCATTCCACAGCAGCTCAGCATACTCTAATAAACGTCCTCCTCTTCCCCTTCGTAGCATTCTGGGACTAATCAGGGTTTCATCTGCTCACATATTGTAGCGATGGGTTCTGTGTGGAATTAAGGGAAAGAATCTAGCACTGTAAGGAAAAAAAAAATACAACACAAAACTCCCAAATATAAGGCTCTCAAACATGTATTTTTACTTCTTAAAAAATTTATTAAATGCCATTGATTTGACTGGAACCAGCAAAAGTGCTCATGATATTGATGAATCCATAAGTAGCTGTATCTAGAATTCATACTTAAGAAAAACACACAGGCATGAATAAAATAGGACACAGTAATGAGAATGGGCAGTTCTGCAGTGTACACTTTCTCAAGCACCTCAGAGGACACACACTTAAAGTACAATTCTTCACAGACACATGAAGCAGAACATTTGAAAATCAAAACTTAAATACAAGATTCTAAAAGTGAATGGCAATTTAATGGTTAAAATTTGACCAGTGGTGAAACAAGCAGCAAGCTACAAAATCCATCACCACCAACAGTTTCAATGTTAGCACTAAGTATTAAACCAAAGTAATGCATATTCTGGTTTTGCTTCTTCAAGAACAGCCCGTTTATTCTGTTTCAATCTCTCTGAACAATACTGGTAGGTAATAGTTACACTGACAATTCTCACAAAAAAACAGTGTTGGTTCTTGCCATCACTGAATTTATAGTATAAATCTCCCAAGGCTTTAATCTAGTTCATCAGTGCAGTTTAGATAAGAAAGCCATAAAAACAAATGGGCATACTGTCAGTTAATGAGAAATACAACTGCACATGCACAATTAATATTACTCTCTCTTAATCTACTAAGAGAACAGTTTATTAGTAGATTTAACAAAAACCATCTCTAGAATTCAAAATAGTGCCCATATTTCCGTTGGTTCTATAATATAAAGAATTAGTGTAGTCAAGATCTGTTAATACTGAATCAAACCCAAGTTCAAATGTGCTGAGTTTCCAATAGCAAGAAGGGTAATGGTAGCCAGCTCTCAGAATAATGCTGTCGGAAATCTAGCTTGGAGCCCACCGCAGATAAAGTTGCTGCTCTATGTAGGACACAGAACTAGAAGAAAAAGAGAACTTTTAGCTACAAATGTATATTTTGTATACATTTACACAAAACATACATTTTACATGTACATTTAAAAACCATTAAGTAATGAGAACTAAATGTTAATGCAAAGATCTATGTAGCAATTTTTTAAAGGTTTTAAGAGGCTATACCCAACAAGGATGAGTTCTCTCAACACACATTAGAATTTCCCAGAAATGAGATACCAAAAGGCCATGTCTCTTAGGGTGCCACTTGGAGATAGAAGCCCCTAACATTCGCCCTATACCATGAGGCTTGTGACACAACAAACAGGATCCCTAGGGAAGTCAAAGAAGGGTGCAAGTTTCTGCACACATTTTTATTCCTAACTAGCAGCACGGCAGCAGCCACGCGTACATTACTTCAGAATCAGCCTTGGGTACTACTGTCAAGGCAGCAGTGGCGGCAGGCTGCAGTGGGGTCATTAGGCAGGTGCGAGAAAGAGAAGCTCAATTAGCCCATACAGTGCCCACCCTACTCCCTTTTCTCAGGCCAAATGAGACCACTTTTCTACCTTCTTTCACTTCTGACATTTGCATTAAAACTAAGTGGTGTATTTAGGCAGCCAAGCCACACTCTCATCTGTGTTAAAACAACAACAAACCACCCAAAAAAGGGGAAGGAGTATTCTCCCCTTGAGCAATATCCCCCTCCCGGGCAAAGTGTCGTATTATTGGTCCCCAAGGAAGAGGAACAGTTAACCAGCTGTGAACTTTCAGGATGGGTGGAAAAGAGCATTTTCAATGACCCGACTTCCCCACCTTCCCACACACATTTGGGTAAATACATCTCCACATTGCACTCCCGTCTTCATTTTCTCTGACTACAGTCTCCACTGTAGTCTAAATCCTTGCTGCTTTTCCACCCAGTCCTCACAATACAAAGCCAAGACAAAACCACAACACATGCACACAGACAGCTCATCAGAAGCAGGTACAGTATAGATAGAACTGGGCTTACAGACAGGAGCCAGCGGCCCGAGCATGAGGAGCAGAATTAGATGGGTGCTGCTTCCCTAAGGCATGCGGTATAGGTAGGTTCACAATTATAGTCCTAGGTTTTCAGAGTAAAGAATTAAAAATCATTTTTCCCCAGAGGACTCTGTTCTTTGGGTCATAACATCCTTCCATGCAGTTAAATGCTAAAATAGCTAGAGAATGCTTCAGAAGCTCATTCTATCTCTGGCCCTCATAGAGGCCTAGGAACCCGATATAATTAAAATTTAAGACATGTTCTTTATGTTCGTCTCATTCCTGTTTCACATCTAGAAGAACGAACCTCAGAACAATCCAGCTTTCATACCAATGCTAGCACAACACAAAAGCAAACAAAGATGTCAGGTATTAAAAAAAAAATTTTTCAGAATTTTATAGGGAGAAAAAGTCCTCCATCAGAAAAAAAGCTTATTTTTTAAAATGATGTCAACTCAGTCTGTTCTACTCCAGTGTCAACCCACTAGTGTCTAGCTCATGCTTCTTACTCTCACCGCATCAAGACTCTTACAAGTGAAATGTGTGATTCACTTTGAGCACCCTGTGTATACTACTGAGGTTCCCCTTTCATGACACTATGGTTTAAGAAAAGACCATCAGAGGTTTCTAATGTCTCAGAAATCTTCATCTTCCTTGTGCTCAGCTAACTTTAATGGAGAAGAGAGAGAACCCAGAGAAGAAGACTGTTACTAGAAGAGGATTGCTCTCAAAATTTGATCAAACACTACAAAGATGCATTTTGTGATGCTTTCAAAATCTGGTCCCTGAATACCTGCTACTTTAAAAAAATATTTCATCGTAAAGTATTAATTTTGCCTCTAATTAAGTTCTTCCGTCCCTTCTTTATCATCCAAACTTTGCTCTTTTCTCGGCAAAGCAACTCAACCTCTCACTCTTCTTTTGCCTCATCAATATTCCCACCCTGTGTGAGCCTCACCTTGCCTCTAAGATTTGTGGCTGCTTTTTCACTTTCCTGGGTTTATGCAAGTCCATTCTTTTTATTTCCCCGCTTCCCTCCCTGTGTCTTACATCAGTCCCTTTCGTATTCCCTTTGGCACTGTTCACAGATGTGACTCTTCCTTCCTTCATCCGTCCTCACTAATGATCTGTCCTCCTTTCCACTGTCCTCAAGATGACAGAGACCACCCTTCTCAAATTTCCCAGTGCCAATCTGCCAACATCTGATACCCACATGATTATGGTGCCATCTCACTAATTTTCTTCTACTACCTCTCTTGATGTTTATAGTTTAACTGTGGAGATTATTTCCAACCCAGAACCTCCAATAAAACTTAAATTATATAAAACCATGATATATAATGTTGGTAGAAGTCAGTCATGTAGCTAATCCTCACCCTGCATAATAAGATTAATGAAAGTTGTGCATTGGGAAGTTACTGTCTAATGTATTAGCAAGGCGATGTATTTACTGACTAATCCAAACCTCCCAGCCATCGCACCTATACCATTATAAAACTCACCTTTCAGAATATAATCAGTTAACAAGCTCGGAACTTTTTCACTGTCCTCCTTCATGGCACGAAGAACTGCAAAATAGAAGAGGGGAAAAAAGACAACAATTAAAAATTTAGATCAAAAATATTATTTAATTTCAATCATTGTGGCCTTAATCTTCCTTAATTATAGGATATAACTGACTCATACAAATTATAGGTGATTTTCCTGATAAGGGGATACAACAATAAAGGCCCAATAATTTATTTTAGTGGAGTAAGTCCACAAGAATTTATTTTCGGTAAGAATATCCCACTTACCTGAGAGTTGCTTCCCTGATTTAAAATTTCCAAACAGTGGAGACAAAAAAAGAGGAACTGGGTTATTTACAAGGAGCCTTCGCTCTGTAATAATACCGGAAAGTGGGTTACTATAATGTGCACCTCAATGAACTCTGTGCAGCAAGAAAACCTCAGTGCTGCAGATCAAGCAAACTAGAGAAACTCTTAAAGAAATGGACAGCTATACCCTCCAACAAGCGTATCCTGTCAGACTCCTTAGAAACTTTCAAAGAAAAGACCCAAATGAAGAACAGACTTCCATGAAGCAGCATCGGGCATCTGCCTGGCTGTTGCCTCCTCTGCACTAGGGAGAAACCTGGGAGAATTAGCCTCATTCTAATTTGACAAATTTATCTTCTAAGTAAAAACTAAAATAGAAAAAGCAGCCACCTAGTATAACGTTTTTCTTTTTTAAGCTAGACCATTCAGGTTGAGATAAACTCACAAATATTATACTTTAACAGAGATTGCCAACTCAAATTTTCTCCAAAGCATCCTGGTAAAAATATTTCACTGTTTTTCCCCACCAATACGACAAGGCAAAATAGTGTAACTGTCAAATCAGCCTTCCTGGGTTTAAACCCTGGCTCTGCCACTTCCTAATTGTGTGACGCTGAGCAAGCTACTTAACCACTTTTGCACCAAGCTCTTCATCTGTGAAATGAGAATAATAATTAGATTTAATCTCAAAGGTTTGTTATGAGGACTAAGCTACTAATTCAGATATAAAGGTCATATCATAGTGCCTGGCACATAGTACATGCTATGTATTAACTGTAACTAACACTACTCAAATTATTTAAATTTTTATTAACTATTATTATTGCACCCAAAATCCCCTAATAGCTTTTATCAGGAAGACTATATATCCATAAACACTGTGACTGTCTCCACAGGGCTCTTCTTTTGGAAAGAAAAGGAGCTTTGGACCCAAATATGTCCAGAGATTCCAAACTGTGACAACCTATAAAGACATCTCGATGCTGGAATTATGATGACTTTAGTTTGACCAATGAAGTATTTGTTCTTGATCTGAGAAGCTGAGGCCTGCCAGTAATTCCTGGCTTATGAGCAATATTTATGTTCCCTTCTTTAGAGGGCTACCATGTTCAGTATTTCTGCTTCCAATCATGTTTAAAATTTTTTCTAACTTCTAAATAAAATCACATACCAAAAACCAGCATCATTAAAAGTATAATTGCCTGGGAATTAAGAGATCCAGCTCTGTAACTAACCATCCCCCTGTGTGATCTTGGACACATATAACTTAAGTTCTTCCTGAAAATAAGAGGGCTAGCTACCCAGTTAATCTCTTGATTTTTTATTTCAGACTGGCTGGCATCACTTGATTTATCCATATTTAAATATAAAATTTTTAAAGAATTATTCACCAAAGGAAAGAATAAAAGCTCCAAGTTAGCAGGCAGGGAGCTAAGAAATAAGACACTTGCTTCTACTCTTAGGTTTTCCTTGCCCATTCCTCTTAAATTTCCAAAATAAGTATCATCATCCATACTCATCCATGTGATGCTCTTTCATTTGGTTCCCCCCTAATTAGCAAGTATCATAAATATTTACCATAACAAAGACCTAACAGATCAGCAAATTCAATCCCTCCATTTTAACGGCTAATTGATAGTAACTTAGCCAAAATCATACATATATTAATCTATTTACTGTGAGGTAAATAGAACAAATATTTTTTATCCTAGTTTTTCAATGTAAGCAAAAGAGAGTAAGTAACTTCCAAGGATATCCCTGAAAATAACAGGGATAGAACCAGAATTCAAGGCTCATTTGCGGCCATCATAAGAGATACTCAATATCATGTATATTTAAATCTAACAATTTTTTTTTTAAGGCAAGCCCCTTGAAGGTGCATTATCTTTGTCTGCTTTGTTCACTAAAGTATCCCAAGTGCCCAGATCATGGCCTGGTACAGAGTAGGCCTTCACTAAATATTTGCTGAATGAATGCATGTTCTTAAAACATCACTGTCAATTTATGTTCTACCTATAACTACTACCTCGGGTTCTACATTCATAAGAAATAAAAAGTGTTTACCGTAAATCTTTCCTATTCAGTTACTGACAATCATAGATATATAAGATCCATAAGGAATTTTATTTATGATAAATGGATATGTTCTTAAACATGTAAGAGATGATGGAGATTTAGGTTATGCTTTTTCCCAAAATTTTAGCTCATAAATATTTCACAAGGTAAGAAAAACAGAAAAAGTACAAATCAACACTAGAGTTACTGTTGTATTTAATGTCACAGCCATTTTTGGCTTCATTCTTATAAAAATAAACAATTATATGCATCATTTACATCCTAAACTGACAAAACACTAACAACAAAATCAGCCAACTAAAGTCAGGTGTTTACCAATCAGCAAAAGGAAATCAGGTAATAGTTTCATTTTGTCTTTGCTCACTTTTTGTTAATATTTGAAGATCTTCAACAGACGGTGGTCCGTTTTTTTTCTCATAAGGAATGACTGTAGTCAAATACTGCCAAGTTTAAAAAAAAAAAGTGTCACTTAAATCGGAATTACCTTATCTGCAAAAAATTTGATACTGTTACTAGAAGGTCTATCTGATAATATAAAACACAAGCTACTTTGGTAATGAAAACACAGGTATTGTATGGGAATAAAGTTATCTTACTATCTCAGATGGAGCTCATTTTTTTTTGCCCACCTCTATTTGCTTCATACAAACCTAATGTCAACAGAAACAACCACCTTTTTGCATTTCAGTTATTGAAAATTTCATAGGACTAAGTCTGAGGATGGTTTACTCAATTTGTTCATTTTTAAAGTGAAGTATTATCTCACATTCTACTTGCATATTTTTCAACACATTTTAAAAATAGCAATTTAAACTAAAAACATAGTTTTAACAGTTCTGCACAATAAAGTAATTTCCAACAGCAAAATAATTCTGTTTCAGACCATTTTTATTCTGGTTGAACAAATGGTCCACATATATAACATGACAACTTTGAAAAACACACACTAGCTTCTTTCAGAAGCTAACAAAGACACACTTAAATCGTTTTAGAAATGCGTTACTATTATTTTAAATTATTGGGTAAGTCATTGTAAACGTTTTTAGGCATTAAAGGAGAAAAGTTAAAGTAGAGAATGGCCTAAGGGGAAATGAATAATGAAAATTAATGTCTGAAATTGAGATAAACTTCCTAGTTCACTACTTGTAAAGGCTCACAAGTAACAGCGCCATGTCTTTTAACTAATCCCATGAAAGCATAATCCATAAATGATTGTCCAGATTTTCCTGTTCTTACCATCCCACCAAAAAAATAGTTCCGTGCATTTCACATATGCTCATATAGAAAGCCAGTGGTTTTTACCTGGAATCTCTTAGCTCCACCCATTATTTAACCTCGTGCCCTAAATCTCAGCTCTGTGGCTAATCCTCACTGAGTGATCTTATCCTGCCCATAACTGAAAAACAGGATAAAGAAAGCTGCTTTACAGTAACTGGATCCCTAAGTCCAGAAAAGTGGTAAAACTGCATAGTTCAATCTCTGAGACACGTTAAGTGTCCCACCGTCTTTTTGACGTAGACTTCTTGCAGGTGATGCCCAATTGTATAATCGAATGTTTCTTTGTAAAGAACAACAACAACAAAAGGCCAGAAATGATGTCCTCCTGGCTTCACTCTGCATGTGTGAGGCAACCTGGAGAGGCACCAGGCGGCTGCACCCTGGCCCGCTCTCTGGCTACCTGGCTGCATCTTCAGGCCTCCCTGCTCCACTGACAGTCTGGAAGATTCCTTGTCTTCTTTTGAGGTTGAGAGAGGTGAGAGGCAACGGAATGAAAACAAAAACTCAAACATCCCTTCATGGAGCTCATTGATGAGCTGCAAATGTCAGTGTGAGGCTTCCCTCTTTAATAGGAATGATCTCCCTTCCGGAGAAACACTTAACTACCTGCAGTAAAAACTCCAGGCATTTGATCTAGGCGTTCTTTTGCTAAACTTCCTACAAGCTACATTTTGTACACCTTCTTAATCTGCACAGAAGAGCTAACTTAAAGACTTTTCTTTTTCAAGGTGAAAATTTCATATAGTGAAAGGTAATTTTAAGCATACCCATTAATGTGAATGTTTCCCATGTTCATGATATTCCTTCAATCATTATACAAAAATGTGAATAAAAAGCAAATTGCTAGATACTTGATTATATATTCATATCTGTGTATAATTTTGTATAAATAATGTCGCATGCCTCGTTTGGCAGACAACTGAGTTGGCTGACTATGCAATACACCTTAAAAACACATGAATTTCATTTAAAGGAGGTAAGATACACTCTATACATATTTTTGACCTAGAACTCTAGTCTCAAACATACCGACATCTGGCCTTCTTCCCCCAAAAATGACATCTTGCGACTTAGACTTTTAGAATTAGAGTCACATATTTTAGTTTAGTTATTTTCACAAGCAGATTTTCTACACATGCAATACATTATGTTAAAATGTTAATATTTGTTTAAAACTAAGAGTGAAAAATGGAGCTATAAAACACGTCTTAAGAATGCATTTAATCTATTGTCGAATTTGAAAAATGCTTTTTCCTCAAAGGGAAATTCTGTTCATTATCAAGACTATAAATATAATGAACTTTTATAATAAACTTTTATTTCTCTCGTTAAGCAATGGTCTTAGTAAATTAGTAAACTACCAGCTTTCAGGATCTTCACTTACACAGAAAATGAAAAAGCAGAGAATGAGGAAAATAAGGATAACCGAGCACCTGTTTCTCTCCACCTGAATTTCCAAAGGTGTGGCGGAGGCCATTCTGAATGACATTTGAGATCCCTTCCATGCTGAAGCGCTAAAGGCGGCAATATACGGCCCAGAAGAAAAGGACAGAGAAAGAAGTTCAAAGTCTATTAGTAAGAATGTACCATGATGACTTATGTGCCCAAGAGGCAAGCAGTTAGAAAATGCCACTACTCATCCAGATAAAGCACATAAACCCATGCTCTTTTTAAAATGCTGTTGCTTCCATTTCTTTGCAAGTTAAATGCAAAAGCAACTGTTTTTATGCTACTATATTCATGCAGGCATTTTTCTGATGTAGCTAATTGTTCCAATGTAAATGTTGTAAGTTGTACACATATTTGTTCTATACAAAATTTACTGTGTAATTTTTAAGATACTTTTTGATATTATTTACCTACATTTTATCAGAAGTCTGAAAACTTAAGATGAACAGTATGCGTATTTTCAGCCTAAGTTTGTATAATTCTACCATCAGTTTGGAGAACATTAACATAACATTTAGCAAATGAAAATGCTGTTACTTGGAGAGCTGATTATTGCTTCCCACTCACTCTTCGGGCCACCTGCCACTGCCTTGGTGCAGAAATGCGAACTAGAAGATGGCATACGCTTCCTGGAGAGCAGAGTGGATCCCATGTGCCAGCCAGGCCCCCAAAAACTTCTCCAAAGACTTTTCCACTCCGTTTCTAGGAAACAATTCTACTTTCTTTCTCCCAGCAACCTCCAAGACTTCCTAGAATTCTTTGTACTGAAAAGGGAGTATTTTTTTCCTAAACAACTTATCTTGATTTGTAACCAGTCTACAATGTCATCAAGCATAGTAAAAAGCGTCTGGTGGCACCTCTATGGCGGCTGAGTCAAAGGAGTGAGATGGATTCTTACAGCATGACTAATTAAGGGGAAAGGCTTCGTGAAAAGGAAGTGAAGGCCTGACTCACTTGATGGTTCCTTCCCCTGGAATTTTATAGAGGAAATTTAAATCAGTAAACACATTTGAGGAGTCAACATAAAGAATATTTTACCAGGCCCCAAGGGGCAGAAGAAAGGAAACCAAGGGAATGGTCATCAAGAAATACATATAGTTTCATCCAGTGGTTCTCAAAGTGTAGTCCAGGGACCCCCTCCCACCCAACTCCTGCCAAGAGGTCCCTGAAATCCTCTCAGGAGTTCAGGAGTTCAAAAATGTTTTCTTAATACTACTAAAATATAAGTTGTCTTTTTTACTCTCATTCTCTCATGACTTACAGTGAAATATTCCAAATGACAGACTGAATGCAGAAGCACATTTGTGAATCTAGCTGTCTTTAATCAAGCCAGATGTTAATGAGATTGACAAAAATGCACAGCAATGATATTTTTTCATGATTTTGTAAAATATTATTTTTCATAAATATATGCTCTTTATAATGAATTTATTTTTGGTATTTTTCATGAATTTATATTTTTAATTTTATCACTTTTAATTTGTAACATGGCTAATATTAAGTTTCTTGGGGTCCTTGATAAATTTTAAGAGCGTAAAGAAGTCTTGATAACAAAAAGCTAAGAAATGCCAACAGGCTGAATCACTGAGGGAGCTATGTGCTTCTGTATCAGTCATGTAACTCTATGGAGTTACTGAAAATCTGAGTTCCAAATTTTACTACCTTACAGGAGACTGTACAAATATGCCTCTCCTCCTAAACCATCCAACTTCCCTACCTAGCCTTTCCCAGATTTGCAAGCCAGTTTTGCTTCAGCAAGAATCAAATGTCTAGTCAAGATACTTTGCTGACTACTCTTCACTTCACTGAAAGCATAACTATTAGCTTTGATGGAGGAGGCTAGTTATAAAACAAAAACCTACAGAAAACTATTTCTGTAAATTTTTCCAATGCTATCATAATTCATTCATATTTTTTAAGCAGATTATCAAATGAGATAACATCTTAGGCTTCAGAGTATATAATAACAATTATGAGAAACTATTCTCAAATAACCAAGTCAGTTTATTTTTTAAATTATTTTCATAAAATATATTTTCTTTCAAATGTGACAAAGAGAAGAGTACTTGTTTTTAAGTACTTAGTCTATATTACCTGGCTCCATTATCTATGAGCATGTTTAAGCTAGATACAAATTCATAAAATCTAAAGCTAGATAAAAAGTTTCAGAATCCACCTATCAGGAAACTAAGACACACTTTCTATTTGGAAAGCACATTCCAAAAACACTAGCTTTGTTTTCGCAATCAGAAAGCCAATTCCTGTCACTAGAAAAAACAAAAGTTGATGCAGTTTCAATTTCGTAACATGCAGATGTAATTTAGGTTTTCTTTATTAAATGTGTGGTTGCAGACATTACTGAGCCATCTCAACTACTGACAGCCTGACTACTTGTGAAAGATGGCTTTTGTGCCACCAGAATTTTAGGCTTAGGGGAAATTAGTGAAAATGCAACCCCATGGGAAGCCAAGGTAACCTGGAAAAACAAAACTAACAGCTGATGCCAGTGAAAGAAGGTAAAGTAAGGAATGCAGCAGAACCTCTGTCCTTGCTGCTGATGGCTGCTGAGTCAGTGGCTGCAGCTGACAAGACCCTACTGTCCCCAGCTCTTTCACTGGCAATGAACCAGGGAAGCAATGTGCAGCATGTACAGTTCAATCGCCTCTTGATCCATTGGAAAATTACAGAACAAGGAAATCAGAAGGTTCTACAGGAAAAAAAAGAAAAAAAAAAAAAACTAAAATCTACGTCTGAGAACGTGCTCCTATCAAACGCTTCAGTTGCAATCAACTCCTACCTCCCCAGAAGTCAGGCAGCATCAATATTCTCCCTCCACTGCATTTCCAAACTCTCCCTCTCTACTAGCTCCTTCCTGACAGCATCCCGAAATTCTCAAACCCTCAACCTCTTTCCTTTCCCAAGGTTTTCCTGAAACAGCTCTTCCCAACATCATTTATTTGATCTGGAAGACCACGGCCACTTTTCAGATCTCTGAGACATCCAGGAATCCCTCCTCCCTGAACCGCTTCCTTGGATTCAGAGACACCACACTCTCCCAGATTTCCCTCACCCCAACCCTCCTGCTCTCTAGTTGCTTCTTCTAAGAGGGGCCACTTTCTTCACTCATCCCTTAAATGCCAGTGTTCCCTAGGATCTTGTGCCTCTTTCTTGACTCACCTCTCAGATGCTGCTGTGCCTCTGGATTCTGTCCCTATTTAATTATCATGCACCCCCTCTGGGTATTACCAATCAATAGCTTCATCTTCTGCTTCCATAAATTGATAGCTCCACTTTACTAAGATCAGTAAAGTGCTAAGAACAGAGACTGGCACATGGCAAAGCTCAGTACATGTTAGCTATCTTTACTGTAATTTCCCTGAGCTTCACTCTGCATGTTTAATGGCCAATTGGACATCTGTACCTATTGTATGTTTAATGGCCTATTGACAAGCCTATGTTCCTGTCTATATTTAATATCAATATTTCTAAAACTCATATCCAAAACTGAATTCAATGTCCTCTTCCCCACCAAAACACAAACAAAAAAATTTAAAAACCGGTTCCTCCTTCAGCATTTTATTCTCCTCGTTCATTCATTTCCTCTTTCTTTCAAAAAACATCCTGAGCCAGATACCATTCCAGGTATTAGAGATTCAGAGTGAACACATCAGCCAAGGCCCCTCCCACCCTCCTGACCTTACATTCCAGCATAAGGGGGCACAAAAAGCACAACACGTAAATGAAGCGAATGCTGCAGATAACTAACACATGCCCTATCCCTAGCTCCAGCAAGGCGATTAAAAACTGGATGCCTACTTTCTACTCGGACGCCAGAGAAAAGCTGCCTGAGGAGATGACATCTGAGCTGAAATATGACGTATACACCCATCCTAGATGAGCCACAAAGGACAATGGACAAGGGAGATCTTCTCAGAGAACAAAACCAAAAGCAGCCAACCGGGCCAACTCGGGAGTTCACGCCACAGCTAGTGTGCAGGAGGTCTTGCAATTCTCATTCAATGGGATGGAACACAGCATCTATGGAATATGTCCATTCTCTCCTCCTTTTTATAAGATGTTATTGCAGCAACCCTGTCTTCTCTCCCCCGTTGTGTGCCAATGTGTTGCAATGGCTGGCTTAACTTTCAGACCATAGGTTGACGGAAAAGAGAGACATCCCCTCATTTGCTGGACTTGAAGCTAGAAGCAGGTACTGCTGACAAGATTTACATACCTCCCTTTGGGGAAGGGGCACATGTGCTTTATCTATGTTTGCCCTCGTCAACAATCAATGACCTGACCCTAACTCCTCCCTTCTTTGGTGTCCGAAACAATCAACCTCACCAATATCTCTGAAATTCAACTATTTATATTTCCATCCCTACTTTCACTTCCCTGGCTCAATTCTTACATGAAATCGCTGCAACAGCCTCCTAATTAACTTATCTCCAGTTGCCTCCTTCCAATTAGTTCTCCTTGAAACCACTGAAGTTCTCTTCCAAAACAGACAAACCCAAACATGTAACTACCTGACCTAAAATCCATTTTTGGTTCTCTAAACCCTTTAAACAAAAACCAGGTGCCTCAGAATGTCGTACGACGCCATCCATTTTCCAGCTTCCACTGTGCAATTTCCATAGCCTCTTCTTGAGTTTCTTGCCCCCTCACCTTCTAGCTTTCACCATAATGAGCAGCCTGCATTTCCCCAGATGTCCCTAACTGTCCCCTCCAAGTGGTGGCACACACCACCCCCTCTGCTGTCTGTGCCTGTTCCCTCCTCCTTCTACCTGACCTCCGGGTGCAACTCAGCCTTCCCAGACCCCTAAACCTAGCTAGGGGCAATAGTAATATATGTCCACCTTGACCACAGAACAGAGCCAGGCTCAGAAAACACTAAAAACGTGGTAGTTGTTTTGAATATAGCAATTATCACACCCTGTACCTAGGTTTCTCCACGTTGACACTACTGACATTTCCAGTCAGATCATTCTTGTCACGGGGGTCAGTGTAGTGGGGTGGGATCTCCACTAGCACCTCCGGTCTCTGTTCACCAGGATGCCAGCAGTACCACCCCCATCCTTCCCCACCCTGCCCAGTTGTGACAACAACAAATGTTTTCAGACATTGACTCATGTCCCATGGGGGGCAAAATTGGCCTGGTTGAGAATCACCGCACTAAAGCACATTGGATGGTTCATCATTCAATCTGCAACCCATGGGCAGCACATTCCTGGAAAACTGAAATTGGTTCTACATCCTTAACACCCATGCCAGGGACACAACTGTGGATCAATTAATGTTTGCCTAATAGTAGTATAAGAAAAGTTCAGGAGATGGAGACCATCCTGGCTAACACAGTGAAACACCATCTCTACTAAAAATACAAAAAATTCGCCAGGCACGGTGGCGGGCACCTGTAGTCCCAGCTACTCGGGAGGCTGAGGCAGGAGAATGGCGTGAATCCGGGAGGCGGAGCTTGCAGTGAGCCGAGATCGCGCCACTGCACTCCACCCTGGACGACAGAGCGAGACTCCGTCTCAAAAAAAAAAAAAAGTAATCAAGATATTTTTAATGGGGAGGTAGAGTGCACAAGATCTAAAGAGAAACAATAAAGAAAGAAAAATGAAAATTCTGGTCAGGTTAATTTTTCATAAATTCAACTCAAGTTCTCAAAATCCTTAAGGACAGAAAAAAAAAAATGTCAGATACTTCTTTCATATGCTCCAAAAAGCAAAAACCAGACCAGTATGTAGGAGGCATCTGACTGATAGTCAGTGACTTAACCTGCAAAACGCTACAGCGATCATTACCAATACCAGTGGGATACTTCCAGATTTCTGTATGAAACCAGGAATCATAGCTCAGGCAAAAGTCTTAGAATCAAGAAATTTTTAAACGGTCAACTTGGACAGAAAAGTGCTGAATTAGAAATCGAAGATCTGGGTTCTTTCCCAGCTTTGCCACTAATTGTGTGACAGGAGGGCAGTCACTTTACTGCCAAGGCCTGTTACCTCACCTGTAAAACAGATGATTAAATCATATTAACTTTAAACGTCTTCTTATTTGTAAATCCTACGAGTCTATGGATTAATTCAATCAAAAAGATCCATTATTAAGCAAATTAAAAACACACACATACGCATAGACACACACACACTCTCTCTCTCTCTCTATAGGACTAAATAAATGAGTGCTCCAGAATGGCAGAACTGCACAGCCAGATGATACATTCAGAGTCCAGTGGCTTCATTTTCTTATGAGGAAATGACTACATTCTGAAGGGAGAGACAGGTCTTAGGCATCTTTCCATCCCCGCAGCTTGCATAGTGCCTGGGCCATAGCAGTCATTTTTAAACGTCTCATAAGCTGAGGCTGTGACACTCCTAACACCAGAACCCAAGAGCCTTAGAGCCTATGATCGTTTCACCATATCATGAGGTGTCTTGACTTCTTGCAGGAGAGAAAGAAAAAAAAAAAGCCCAAAATAAGTGGAGTATGAACAGAATAAAGATGACAGGACAGAACATCAAGTTATTTTTCAGAAGAGTGAACAACGGAGTTCTGGAAAAGTCCACTGAAGAATCTAGTCTAGGAAAGTAAGATGAGATTAATGAAATAATCTTGTTGGCGTGGTTTATAAAACATAAAACAATGGAGTGACTAAGAAATCTCAAACCCCGGCCAGGCACGGAGGCTCACGCCTGTAATCCCAGCACTTTGGGAGGCCGAGGTGGGTGGATCACCTGACGTCAGGAGTTCGAGACCAGCCTGGCCAACCTGGTGAAACCTCATCTCTACTAAAAGTACAAAAATTAGCCAGACGTGGTGGCGGGTGCCTGTAATCCCAGCTACTCGAGAGGCTCAGGCAGGAGAATCACTTGAACCCGGGAGGCGGAGGTTGCAGTGAGCCAAGATCGCACCATTGCACTCCAGCCTGGGCAATAGAGCGAGACTCTGTCTCAAAAAAAAAAAAAAGAAATCTCAAACCCCTAGCTAGGATAATCAAAGAGTAGCAAGTAGGAGATCAGTGAACTAGAAGGATAAAGGAAAAGAGAGACCAGGGCAGTGAGACCAGGAAGAAACAGGAAACGAGCTGTGTAGAGCATACTGTGCATTCTGTTTTATAGCTGCCCTGTAAATTCCAAAAAATAACACACCCTTTTGGAAGGCAAAATGAATTTTAAAAAGATAAAACCTCAGAGGCAGGTTAAATATACTTTTTAGTAAACGTCACCTCATTTAGAAACACTACATTTACAACCTTGAGAGCAGATGCGGTATTATTAGGTGCTTATGGTGCTTAACTGGGCCAGAGGGAAGATTTTCTCTATGCTTAAATTTTATAAGTAGGAGGACAAGGAAAGGGAGAGACAGAAGGGGTAGGGGAGGAGGGAGACAGAGTGGGAGGGGGAAGGGAGGGAAGCATTTCTTTGATAACATTTCTCAAGGTTAAAGTACCAAAGACATACCAAAGCGCCAACAGAACTAAGTCTCAGGGTTATGAATGCTGAATGAAATGAAGGACATTAAAGATTTGTTACTAAATAAATAAGTAAATAATTTTTTAAAAGAAAAGAAAAAACAATTTGTTACAGTTTAATTTAAATAACTGCAATAACGCAGTATATCAGAAAACCCAATCCTCCCTCCATTTAATCTACCATTTCCAAGTTTGAAATAAAGAATCCAAGTGTTCAAATTCAAAGTGAAGAACTGGTGAAAATTCTGAATCTGAAGTTATTTTGTAATTGATTCATCCATTTCCCACTACGTCTTTAGGAAGGAGTTAATAGTGCTATAAAATGCCCCCTCTCAGGATGGAATTTTTGATAGGAGCCCATTTGTGAGCAGGGAAATGATTAAGCATTACAGTATTTACTTTATTGTTGCCCTCACTACTGACAAATGCCAAAGTAATGTGGCAAGGACGGAGGAAGAGGGTATTCAATACACAGCTTCAACACCAGTATTTACGCTGAGAATACTCACCACTGCCTCGTGGTTGTTTCCTTCCCTGGCATAAGTATGTATTGAAAGTCTCAAAATCAGTCCTTATCTGGAAACTTTTCTCAGACAAAACCAGTAGCAACAATGTATAAACAGGATATAGATTTATAAAAATTCACCAAAATCTGAAAGACGAAGAAATGGGCCAAGATCCCCAAGGCCCATTTACAACATCCTTGCAAAGCTCAGAAAACGAAAATTCAAGCCAAGGATCCTTCCATCCACCTCTAAATAACTCCACATCCTCATTCCAATGCATGCTGGTTCTGTGAGCTAAGGTCCCTGTTAAGCTTTTGTTTACTCATTTATGAAATGGAAATAATAACAATAATACCTTCTTTATAGAGTTGTTGTGAAGGTTACATGGAATAATCCATGCAAGTACCTAGCAAAGTGCTCAGCAAATATCAATATTCAAAAAAGTATTGGCTATAATTCCTAAAAATAAAAAGGATAGAATAATATTTTAGACACAACTCCCAAAGAGAAATAACCACACCTTTCTACTTTTCTCCAGAACAGCAAAAACAGCATTTCAAGTTCTTCTAATATAAATAAAATTGCAGCTGAGAAAAAATAAATCCCCGATTATAGTTCCTAGCTGATAGGACTGAAAACAACATAAAGAGACATTACTATCTATGACTAAGCACAGAATCAGCAAAAAAGCTTAAACAGAAAACAAGTTAACACTTAAATAATTCGGTCTTTCTGAACAATAAAAAGAAAAGAGCTAGAGAACACTATGCTACATAAAAGTGAACAAGAATCAGATACAGTGCTGCAGTTTGTTAGTTCTTCTGTGGTATCTTAAATATATCAGCTTCTTCTACACACAGCATATTCACCAGTTCAACCAGCTTCACAGAAAGCAACATCCAAGACAGGGAAAAGCAAGACAACAAAGGGCTCAGGAAATTTACACTATTCCCGCTATCAAACTTGTTTCTCAGCCTCACCTGACACCAACTGGTACAGATTTCTAACTGGCCAGGAAATCATTTTAAAATCTCAATATCAAAGCTCAATGACAGAAAAAAGGTTTGAAAAAGCACTCAAGGAATGCTTTTCATCTATTTCTGACTCTTACTCTAATCTACTCTTACTTCATTAATATTCTTTATACTCAGGAGGTTCAAATGAAAGCAAAATGAAAACATAATTATTGTTCCTGATAAATCACGACACTTTCAATAGCTTGAATATGATTTTCAAACATTATAAAACAGTAGGTTTAATTTTTAATAAATTAAAATAATCAAAATGAGGAAACAAGTGTAAAAAATTTAGAGTAAAAATATTCAAATAGTTAAGATATTATTTAAGATGTAAAAGTAATATCTTGTTTTAATACTTCAAATAATTTTAATGTGAATTATAAAGCAGTTATAAAAGCAAATTCTACCAAAAATTTTTTTAAAAAAACAGATCTAAGTAAATTAGAAAATATACATTATACCAAAGCAGATACACACTTGAAAATCTTCAATATTAAACAACTGTTATATGAGTTTATTTTTATGGCAGAAAAAATATAATACAAAGATCTTCAAAATTAGCATTAAATAATTTAATTTTTATCTTTGAAGATCTTTTTAAAATTTTTTATGTAACTTAATATTAATGTGGAAACTAAACTAATTATTGCCAAATATTTTCAAAACCACTAAAACTAGAATATAATAATTGATCTTGGCAATTTTAGAAATTCCTTCCTGAAACATAAATACTCTAAGTACAGTCATGTGCTGCTTAAAAATGAGGATACATTCTAAGAAATGAGTCAGGCAACTTTGTCGTATAGACCATGACAGAGTGTACTTACACAAACCTACATAATTGTATAGTCTACTCCATACTTAGGCTACATGGTATAGTCTACTGCTCCTAGGCTACAAACCTATATAGCCTGTTACTGTACTGAATAATGTAGACAACAGTAACACAATGGTAAGTATTTGTGTATCTAAATATAGATAAACATAGAAAAAGTACAGTAAAAATACAGCATTATAATCCTGACTCCATCATCTATCTATACGCAGTCCATGACTGACCGAAATATCACTATGTGGCACAAGACTGTATACAAGAAGAACACAATTTCCTGGCACATTACAGCTTTTATGTGAACTTGTTTATATTAACAATGACCTCTCTAACACATAAAGAAGTCAAGAATGGACTCCTGATTTTTACTACATTAACTGATGGATCATGAAAGTTCACTATTACCAGCCTACCACCAAAAACCATTGCAGAAAACAAAGTGTAGATGATAAAAACATATCGAAAACTGATGATGACATATATTTCTCTAGGTAATATTATTTTTCATAAAACAAATTTGTTCCACATCTAAAGTAATTCATAATTCATAGGTTTGAATTATTAAAATAATAGCCATTATATAGTCAAGTTTTTCTCCACCCTACAATGACCTTCTATCATGCTAATAGTAATTCTTAGTAAATGCTTTGCACTAAAGAAAATGCAGCAAGATACTATCAAATATCACCAACAAATTATTGTTAAAATGTGTCAATATTTACATTCAAGAATGCGTATCAGAGCCGGGCACGGTTGCTCACGCCTGTAATCCCAGCACTTTGGGAGGCCGAGGTGGGCGGATCGCTTGAGGCCAGTAGTTCAAGACCATCCTGGCCAACTTGGTGAAACCCCATCTCTACTAAAAAAAATTAGCCGAGTGTGCTGGCGGGCGCCGTCATCCCAGCTACTCAGGAGGCTGAGGCAGGAGAACCGCTTGAACCCAGGAGGTAGAGGCTGCAGTGGGCCCAGATGGCACCACTGCACTCCAGCCTGGGCAATAGAGCAAGACCCTGTCTCAAAAAAAAAGAATGTATGTCAGGTAGAATTTAGTATCTCAAGCACCACTGCTTAGATAAAGGGGAAAAAGGCTGGGCACTGTGGCTCACTCCTGTAATCCCAGCACTTTGGGAGTCCAGGGCAGGTGGATCACCTGAGATCAGGAGTTCAAGACAAGCCTGGCCAACATGGTGAAACCCCACCTCTACTGAAAAAAAAAAAAATACAAAAGTTAGCCGGGCGGGGTGGACCACACTTGTAATCCCAGCTACTCGGGAGGCTGAGGCAGGAGAATCGCTGGAACCGGGGATGCGGAGGTTGCAGTGAGCCGAGATCGCGCCCCTGCACTCCAGCATGAGCGGCTGAGTGAGACTCCGTCTCAGGAAAAAAAAAAAAAAAAAAAAAAAAAAAGATAAAGGGGAAAAAAACTCATGCCTTTTCCACTTCTCCTCTAACCTTCTTTTAAAACCACATTTTATCACTGTGTATAATACAACATTTTTATTCCTTTTGTTTGTCTCCATATTTAGAGAACACTGGTCTACCTGCTCACTCTCTTTACCTAGCCACCGGGATTCAGACACACACAGCACAGAGGTCTGCTGTTAGACAAGAAGCTGCCACACGTAGCTTGGAGATTGGCTGGCCAAGGTGTCACTATCACTCAGGCTGCTGCTGAAGGGGCCCCAAGAAAAGGAACAATTCAACATAATCTCAAGATAAAACAAAGTAACCTTTTAAATACAAACTTTAGAAACATTACAGTACTCTTTTTATCTATGCAAACTCACTTAACTGGAGTTCATAACTTTTTGTTCTACTTTTTAATTTTACTAAGTCTAAATCAGAGATTGGCAAACTTTTTCTGTCAAGAGCCAGGCATTAATTATTTTAGGCTTTGTAAGCCACACAGTCTCTACGGCAACCACTCAACTCTGTCCATATAGCCCCAAAGCTGCTACAGATGATATATAAATGAATGAACATAGCTGTGTTCCAGTAAAACTGTATTCATAAAACAGGTGAAGAGTTGATTTAGCCCTTGGACAGTAGTCTGCCTTGACAATCCCTGGTTTAAATCATCTGAGCAAATGTGCTGTTAAAAAAATTCCAAATTAAAAAGAAGGGGGGAAAAAGCCAGGTCCATGTTGTTTTAAACAGAAGCCCCAAACAAAGGCTATCAATCATATTATAACATGAGCTGAGTCACAGAAACGGAGCAATGTAGCTGTGAAAGAAAATATATACAAGAAAGAGTGTATATCATCTAAGCCCTAGCTCTCCCCCATCCTTCAGCAATTCTCTCCCTAACCCCCGAAAAGCAATAAATTAGGGTAATGTGATTCTTTTTACAGTTTTTTCTTTTCTCTACTACCGTTAGTCACTGATTGCTAATATCCCAAAAGTTGTCCGTATAAACTTTTTCAGGGTTGACTGACGCAGTTATGCATTTTTGATGGTGGAGTGTAACACAGTAGAAATTCTCTCTTCAAAGTTCAATGTCATTATGGCAAACAGAAAAGACTATCGATTCCTATCTTCTCAACAAGACTTAGCATAAACAACCTTACATGTGACATTCAATTCAAAGATTTGTTACTAGATACTCAGAGGGTAACTATTCCATTTTCATACATATAAGTTTACTAAGTTATGATGCTAAGCAGGTAGGCCATAATGCCCAGACAACTGCAGATAACACTAGATGAACAGCAACTACTAAATTACAACATAACCTGGTGTTGTTCAACCTATTCTTGTATTCATGAGAACTGCTACTGAAATTCAATGACCTGTGAATGTCTGATGTAACAGAAGCCTGGCTCCCCCAATAAAAATCCCCAATAGAACAATAATAATTCAAATACTACAAATCTAAATCCTCCGGGATTCAATCTCCTGTACACTGAAGTTTCAATTCAACAAACATGCATTAAGTGATGTGCGAAGAACAAGAAATTAGGTGAGGTGCTGGGAAAGCAGTGTGAATGAGCCTTTAAAGAGCTTGCACTCTGTTAGAAGAGAGGTTTAAGCCAATGATTACAACACAGTGTGGTACTTCAATATCACAAGTATGTGTACCCTCACAAATAAATATGAAAACACCTCATAACAGGCATATAAACATAATAGGCAACTCATAAAAGAATACAAATGGTCAACAGATCAAACCCATTGTTTGCCTGTGCAGTGTATATTCAAAAGCTCTTAATATCTCCTGTTGGCGGGAGGTGTGGGAAAATGGTCACTCTTACGCTCTACTGGGCTACACTTCTACACAATAATTTGAAAAGCTGGTCATTTAAAGCCATTTAAAACTCTATATTCTTTGACTTGGAAATTCTATCAGTTTCAGTGAGTGGATAAACTAGTTTTGCTAACCAAAAGAAAATAATTCAATTTTAGGAAAATGGTAACTTTGGTTTAATAGTATAAATTTCAGACTCCTACAAGATATCCAAAGGGAATTGTCTAGTAGGCAGTTGGACATATATAACAATTAGCATTTACTCATGGTGTTTGCTATGTTTGCTAATCTTATATACATTATTTCATTTAATCTCTCCAAAATTCAAAGCCGTCTGTATGTAGGACGAAGATTCAAACACAGCTCTTAACCCAAAGCTCTTAGTCAATATTCTATTGTCTTAGACAATATTCACTGTCCATGGGTTTGACACCTGGCAGAAAGATCCAATATAGAAATATATATTTGCAAGTTTATCTTTCGTTCACTCATTCATTCAGCAGAAATTTATTAGGTACCTAAGGTTGGATCTACGAATACCGAGAAAGTAAAGTTAAATTTCTTATCATTAGGGACATAAAACAGAGATAGGCATGAAAACAAAAAATTGCAGTATGATACAACAGTGATAATAGAAATACTAAAGAGGAGTAACACTAACCCCTCTAAAAAGAGAGAGTAGTCAACTCTGCATCGGACAGAGTCATCAAGGAAGGTTCTAAGAAAGGAAGACAATGCTTGGCCATGATTTTAAAGGATGAGTGAGAAAAAAAAAAAATCCCCCAAGTGGACAGAAGCAGCAGGTAAGGAATTTGATTCCAGAAGAAGAGCATTGAATATAAAGAAGTGTCACCCAAAACAGCATGGTCAGCACAAAGAAATACATGTAGGTCACCATAGTGATAAACAGACAGTGCCCTTTAACCACTCTCTAACCCCCCATCCTCTGCTCCTCCAGATGCTGCAAAAAAGGACAGAGGAAATATAAAGCCTGCCACTCTCTTGAGTTGCACTTCCCAAAGAGGTCCACTCCTTTAACCTCCTCTTCAAACGGAGAATTGGAAAGGGACTAGGCAGGCTCCCTTGTCAATGAGGAGAAGCAGTGGTGTAGTGACACTCTCCAAAACAGCTTCCCAACAGCATCACCATCTACCACCTCACCCAGCCTTTGGTTTTCTTCATGGCCTTTATTTACTACTAAAATTCCATCATCTATTCATTTTTTCCTTGTTTATTGCCTTTCTCCGTCATTAGACTATAAGCTCCAGGAAGGCATGGGATGGGCCTCATCTATTCTATTCTATTCACCACTGTGGTTTTTCTGTTTTTTGTTTGAGACAAGGTCGGGCTGTAAGTGGAGTGGTGTGACCATGGCCCACTGCAGCCTCAACCTCCTGGGCTCAAGCAATCCTCTCGCCTCAGACTCCCAAGTAGTTGGGACTACAGGTGCATGCCACCACACCTGGCTAATTTTATAATTTTTATTTTGTAAAGACAAGGTCTCACTATATTGCCCAGTCTGGCCTCAAACTCCTGGGCTCAAGGAATCCTCCCACCTCAGCCTCTCAAAGTCCTAGAATTACCATCATGAGTCATCCTGCCCACTGTATCTTGAAGAACACCTGCCACAGGAAAGCACTCCACAAATCCTTGCTGAATGAATGAATATTGTTTCATCTTACCCAACATACAGCATTATGGTTATTTTAAACCTAAAACTCCAATCAAAATCATATTTCACTTTTATAAGATAATACTTTCTGTAACATTTCACATATTTTCATGGTCTAATGAAATTTTCCAATGCTCTAAATAGCATCCCTATGCCCTCTATTTTTTTTTTCACCACAACAAATATTTAAAACAAAATCTGTCTCCAAGTTTAACTCTGCTCTATACCCACTCCAATATTTCATTAGAGTATCTTTGGACCAAAGAGAACAAGGTAACAATTTTAGATTAAGTGGTATGCCAACTACAAATTGATGTACTGCTTCAGTGAAACATACATGAAGAAAAATGGAAGCTATTCTATACTTAACGAAAAACTTCAAGTCCTGCTAATAAAACAAAAATATCTCAGGCAGGAGAAAAAAAAAAGTGACTTATGTTATTGGAAAAACAGGTAACATATGACAATTCTAAGGAGGTCACCATTTTTTAGGAATTAGTATCACTGATAATAGCAAACTCATAGAGACCAGGTCTTGCCAAGACTGCATGTGATATAAAATGCTTGGTAAAATGTTTGGCAAGCTCCTGGAATCTGTTTATCCAACTGCCTATTTCACTTTGGGTTTCTTTTGAGCAACCTACCACTATTTTCAGAATCACCCTTCCAGCCTACTTGTGTCACAGATAGGAAGGTCTTTCCCTGGCATTTTAGGCTTTTTATTTTTTTTTTTTGAGACAGAGCCTCGTTCTGTTGCCCGGGCTGGAGTACAGTGGAGCAATCTTGGCTCGCTGCAACCTCCGCCTCCTGGGTTCAAGCGATTCTCATGCCTCAGCCTCCCGAGTAGCTGGGATTACAGGCATGCGCCACCACGCCCAACTAATTTTTGTATTTTTTAGTAGAAACGGAGTTTCACCATGTTGGCCAGGCTGGTCTTGAACTCCTGACGTCAGGTGATCCGCCCACCTTGGCCTCCCAAAGTGCTGGGATTACAGGCGTGAGCCACCGCGCCCGGCCGCATTTTAGGCTTTAAAAGGATACAGGAAACTAGTACTGCAAGCTTAGCCGTGCCATTACTGAACTGATTAAAATTTTTGACACAAATTGTAAATCAGGCAAAATGCAACTTCAAAAGTTCAAATATTATGAAAAATATTTACTGTTACTATGAATCTATTTCAAGACCAATGAAGGCTGAAGTAAGACCTAACTGTTGCCTTGCCAAATCCATTTCTCAATATAAATGCCATGTAAAATTACACAATAGATTTACTCTAACCCTTTTTACATGGGAGTTACAAAACGAAGCCTTTAAACCCCTCTAGGGATAAATTTACTTTTCTCAGCCAAGTGTTAACAGCAATAAATGGAGGATTTACATGTAATCCCTAAAAGCAAATAGGCAGAAATTACCAACCATGCTATGACTTTTTAACTAAGCATTTTATTTAATCTCACTTGCATAACAGGGCAATTTAAAGGGTGCCAGTTCTAAAAATATGAGATGCAAATGCAAAATAGTGTCCCTAATATTTTAAAGCAAATTTTCTAGGATTGTATATTCAAACAAATGTGGGTTGGTTTTGGGTTTTTTTCAGAGTACTCACTAGGAATAACTAAATAAACACCTATTCAATCAATACTGCCATTTCTTAAAAATAATAGATACCTGAGAACTTTTTTCAAAGTCAGTGCATAAGCAATGTCCTTTTTTTTTTTTTGAGATGGAGTTTCGCTTTTGTTGCCCAGGCTGGAGGGCAATGGCACGATCTTGGCTCACCGCAATCTCCGCCTCCTGGGTTCAAGCAATTCTCCTGCCTCAGCCTCCAGAGTAGCTGGAATTACAGGCATGCAGCACCACACCCGGCTAATTTTATATTTTTAGTAGAGACGGGGTTTCTCCATGTTGAGGCTGGTCTCGAACTCCTGACCTCAGGTGATCAGCCCACCTCGGCCTCCCAAAGTGCTGGGATTACAGGCGCGAGCCACCGTGCCCAGCCACGATGTCCTTTCAAAATAGATACAAATGAACATTACACTGAAAAAAATGGATTTATTCATAGGCTAATTACAGCATAATAAATGAGCTATATGGTAAGACTCTTTTTGTGTTAACTGCTCATTGGTGGCCCACCATCCTAGAACTGTATTTCCAGGATTCCATCAGCATCTGCTTAATGAGATCTATTTCTCTGCTAAGTATTCTTTAGATAAGTAAATCAGACTTTATCAAAAACAGAACTCATATTATTGCAAGCCATAATAGCTAGTTTGTGATTTGTAAGACCATGTTATTGATATCACAAATTAAAAAGAGATGTCCCATTTAGAAAAAGAGATCCCTTTACCCAACCATCATACTCTAAAAATAAAACCAACATTTCTTCACACACAAACAAAATCAAGGTGGGAATACACAAGACTTCAACACAAAAAAATCTTATCAAAGGGTCAGCGTTTCAGATGTTCTAAACTTGTTTTCACCAGTCAGAAATAGTCTAGTCTGCCAAATACTAGGCCACATGGCTGATGTCACTTACCTTCTTGTATTCCAACCTCACTGAAAAATCAGGAGGAACCTGTTTACAAACAATTTGTGCCTTGAGCAGAGTTCTGATACCTCTAAATAAACCCCTTCTAATTTCTTATCACACAACTCGTAAGAGTTCAGCAAAAATAAGAAAAAAACTACTAGCCAAATATACATAACCACTCTTCACATTTTGATGTGGTAAAAATGTTCACTTGCTAAAGCTTCTTTTCTTCAAGACATTCTCCTTTTTTGCCCCCTCTTCCTTCCACTTACATCCTTGCTAAACATTTCAGTATTATTCAGATAACCAGTACACCCTAGTCAAGAAAACGACTTTCTGAAGAAGCTGAGCACAGCGGTATTCTGGAATAAAATCCCACTGGGCTCTGATTAGAAGTGTTAACACTCCTGCCCATGTACAACCTGTCGCACCTGCCACCAGCCCCAAAGGCTGGGACTACCACAGAACCTGTTTCCAGTGTTCGACGCCTCCTGCAAAACATCACTTACTGTGCCGGGCATATGACTTCTCTCATTCTTCCCATTCTGAGAGCTGCCATTTTTTAGTTTCTTTTTCTTTTTTGCTGTTTCTTTGTGCTCTTTCTGTTTGTTTTGCACTTCAATAAGAACAGAAATAAAGCTGTTTTTCACTTCCTTTTCAAACTCCAGTTCATCTCGTAAAGCCAACTGCTGCACCAGCTCCTCAGAGTACTCCTTAATGGCAGTCTCAATTTCTTCCAGGATTTCATTTAACTCAGACACTGAGAGCCTTTTCACTCCTGTGACCAAAAGCAAAATACAGCAGATATTAAGACAAAAACATTTCAAGGAAGCAAAACAGAGTAGTCACTAGGAATGACTAAATAAACACCTATGTAATCAATGCCAAAGAGCAAAAATCATATTCCAAGCAATTAAATTGACTGTGGGTGATCTTCTCAGAATTCTACAACTTCTGGAGATCAGATCTGAGTAGAGGTAAGTGGGCAGGTGAGTCACTTCTCAGCTTGCTGGCAAGAAAGTCTAACAAAAGTTTTTACTTGTGCAAATAAATCATTGCATGAATAATACTTCAGTCAAGACTGTGAAGGCTTGTACACGGAAAAGAACAAACACAAAAGTCGAGGGAAAGTACAGAATCCACCTGCTGACAAAAAACTGCAAGCCGTTCAGCAGGGTTCTGGGATATCTCTGAACAGGAAAGGAGTTGATCTGAAAGAATTAAACTAAATATACACTTAATTACATAAGTCCTGATCTGTGAATTTTGTTGAAATTGGTGATATGGTTTGTATCTGTGTCCCCACCCAAATCTCATACAGAAATGTGATGCTGGAGGTGGGGCTTGGTGGGAGGTCACTGGATCATGAGGGCAATTTCTAACAGTTTAGTACCATCCCCCTGGTGCTGTTCTCATGACAGAGTTCTTATGAGACCTGGTTGTTTAAAAGTGTGTGGCACTCCCCCCAGCCCCCTTCCTCCTGCTCCAGCCATGTGAAGATACCTGCTCCAGCTCTGCCTCCCACCATGAGTAAAAGCTCCCTGAGGCCCCCCCAGAAGCAGATGCTACCAGGCTTCCTGTATAGCCTGTGGAACCATTAGCCAATTAAACCTCTTTTCGTATAAATTACCCAGTTTCAGGCATTTTATAGCAGTGCAAGAATGGACTAAAAAAACTGGGAAGACAAAAGGGAACAATATTCCCTGAAACCCCATTTCAGTCTTTTCTCAGCACTTCTGCCCCTTGTGACAGATAGGACACTGTTAAAGTCCCAACCCACAGGGCCTCAGAATGTGGAGAGGGGGTCTTTAAAGAGGTAAATTAAGGTTAAATGAGGGCATCAGGATAGGCCCTAACCCAACATGACTGGTATTCTTATAAAATAGGGTGATCAGGACACAGTAGGAAGACCACGTGAAGACATAGGGAAAAGGCAGCCATCTGCATGTCAAGGAGAGAGGCCTCTGAAAAAAACCAAACCTGCCAACACCTTCATCTCAGACTTCTGGCCTCCAGAACTATAGAATATAAATTCCTGTTGTTTAAGCCACCCACTCTGTGGTACTTTGTTCTGGCAGCCCTAGCAAACCAATACAGATTTTAGTATCTGTATCAGGTATCAGGACTGTATTTGGGAGTCAGGACGTTAACACTGTTTAGCCCATACCTACAGGAACATGGCCAAATCAGACCATCTGAAAGAATTTGGTCTGTCTGACCATCTGTATGTTGAAGCCATACAACCCAAAGGTCTTTAGGTAACTAAGCTTTGGACTGGGCATGCCATAAAGATAAAACTAGGTGACAACACGAGTTGAGCAGATACAGACCCCATCAGTGCCTATTCAAGGAAGGGACCAGTCATATGGCAATGATTAGATACACACCTTCCAACCAGCCTCAGGCTGTTCACAGGCTGGTTATATTTATTCAGACATTTTTCATGAAAATCAACTGTAGAGTTTCTAGAGTTCATTATTCTCACATATGTCAAACAGATCCATGGTTCCCAAAATTCTTCATAGTAACACACAAGACTATTTGTACAAACAGGAATTGCATTTGACAAATAATTACTGAATATCTATTCTACACTTCAAATATGATGGGGTTTCTTATAGACTCAATTGTGTCCTCCCCAAAATTCATGTGTTGAAGTCCTAACCCCAAGTACCTCAGAATGTTACAGTATATGGTCTTTAAAGAGGTAATTACATTAAAATAAGGTCATTAGGATAGACCCTAATCCAATATGATTGCTGTCCTTGTAAGAGGAAATTTGGGGCCAGGCAATGGTGGCTCACGCCTGTAACTGCAGCACTTTGGGAGGCTAAGGCGGGCGGATCATGAGGTCAGGAGTTCGAGACCAGCCTGGCCAACATGACGAAACCCCGTCTCTACTAAAAATGTAAAAATTAGCCAGGCGTGGTGGCGGGCACCTGTAATCCTAGCTACTTGGGAGGCTGAGGCAGAATTGCTTGAACCCGGGAGGCACAGGTTGCAGTGAGCTGAAATCATGCCACTTCATTCCAGCTTGGGCCAAAAAGTGAAATCCCGTCTCAACAACAACAACAAAAATGTAAATTTGGACACAAACACAAACAGAAGGAGGATGAAATCAAAGCTTTCTGGAGATGATCATACTATACATTTGATACAGACAAAAAGCACAGAAATCATTGATTTCAGCAGGCTCCCTTACTCTCTTCATAACTGCCGGTACTAGACCTCTTGAGAGTTTGAATTTCCTGGGAAAGCATTGAAAGCCGATCTGACTGTGTAGGGGTTTCATCATCTTCTGGGTCCGGTGATTCCTGCATCATTTCTTCAATTTCTTCAATAACCTTCGAAAACACACACACCACTGTTAATCAAATATACAAAAGGAAAATGATCTATCTGGAACACAGTGCTCACCTAAGGCACCCAGAGCAGAAATGCACTGAATTCTCCATTAACCAATGGTGTTCAGGTGTGGATGCTCCAAATAATCAAAATTTTTACTGTAGGAGTGAACATGGTTTATCAAGAAAAAATTACAATATACTAAACACAAACCTAAATAGAATTGGATTTACTACGTCCATCATGATTCAGAAGGCCCTAACATGTCTTGCAAAGTCTAGGTAATCGTGCTACAAACACATAATAATTTACTTCAGACACACCAGAGCTAGATCATACAGTAATCGTTAGAAGAAAGCAAATAACAGAAAATTTACCATAGACATACAAGTGCTCAATTTAAAGGTATCTCATCAAAAATTCTGACATAAAATTTATAAAATACAATAGCACAAAAAAAGTATATATAAATGGGAAATTACCTCTATGACAGCAAAATATTCTTTCAACAGCAGAAAAATAATTTTATATATTAATTCAACGAAAAAAAGGGATTTTTTAAATTACTCAAAAAGTAGAAGTCCAAAGAGAAAAATGCTGTGAAAAGCAGAAAAACTTCAGAAATACATTTGACTTTAAACAATGATCTACTGTCTAGTGCAGTGCTGCTCAAATCTTACAACAGTATCTTGCCCTTTTCCAGATTCTAAAAGTTGAGAAGGATATAGAACTCAGCGAAAATGTAAAGGAAACCCAGGAAAATTACTCAATAGTTAGAAAAAAGGACCTAAAGTTAAAAAAAAAAATTAAACACAATTAAATGAAGGAGTAAGACATCATGAGCATATTTCCATGCTTTATGAATTAACAAGCTTAACAGGTAAGATTTCCACCAAGGAAAAACAAAGGCAAATCTGAAGGAGATGGGATTATGTTAATTATAAGAAGAGTCTCCAAAACAGGAAATATAATAAGGTACAATGAGCCACTCAAGGATCCTACAGAATCTGTTATTCTAACTCTTAAAAAAAGGGAGAGTTTACGGTATTAGGCAGGTCAGTGAGGGGACAATGAATTCTCAAGGTCATGTCTATCCCTAGATTACCCTCTACCTCAAAACAACCTTCCAACCTACTATTACCTTGCTTTTTTAAGCACCACATTCTTCCCACGCCTAGAACAATTCAACCACAAATATGACTAAGGAGGATCCAAATAACACAATTTTAATGTAAATTTTTAATGTACTCCTCCCAAGCTTGCCATAATGTATCTCCTTACTGATCTCATCTTTCCAGCCTAAAAATAGAGTGTGGTAGAACTCACAGTCCGAGTAGCCATGGAACATTTTATTTCAGGAAGAAGTTCTGGCATCACATTTCAACAATACAACAGAGGTGGGAAGAGTATTCAGAAAATGAGAAAGCTGATTCGACTGGTTTTAAGTGAATACAGGGTTGACCTTATTAGCGCATTCCACGGGAATAATGCTCACTTCTTTCTGGGGCACACAATATGTTACTTTAATACATGCTAATGCTTTTTACCCAGGGTTTTGAAGATACTAAATAATTTCTACACAGATACTTTACAGTTTGTCCGTGTTTGGGTAAATCTAAAGAAACAAGGAAATTCACAATATTTTTCTGGTTTGGGGTTAAGCAACAACCTTTCCTTGGTACCTTGCTATAATCTTCAACAAGGCCTCTGTTGGAAACCTTCCCAACTAACATAATCCCTTCTGCTTCAGATCACAAATACTTATTTTTCTCTGTGGAAGAGTTAACTATTAAGCCTGTATAACCAGAAAAAAATAGGAAAGATAAGTAAACCAACAGCCATCATTTACTGTCATAACAAGAAGCCGTTTTTCAGCTCTAGAGTCTCCTTTCCTTGCGTTGCTGAGGATCTCCTCTATACCTGGTCTGCCGTGAAGAGGGGTTCATCATTAACACAGGAGACGATGATTGAGTGCATATCCAGCTGTTCTCTCAGCTCTTCATCATCTGATGTATCAAAGAGCAAACTGTCACTTACCTAAAAACAAAAATACCCATCATTAAAAGCAGGACATCCTCATCAAAACAAAGTTAACAGCTCTGAGTAAAAGAGGCTGCAGAGAAAAGCAACTACTAAGAGCCTTCCCTCAAGAGGGAGAAATTATTACAATCACTCTGTACCAGGCAATGAGTATATATTCATCTTGAACAGAAATGAGAAGAATGTAGAATAAATATGAAATCACTGAGATGCTGCATAAGACTGCTATAAAAGCTGACAGATATGCAGAAAAAAATACGGTATTCATTAGCAAGTCATAGGGAATTACAGTGAATAGAAGGGAGAATATGGGCAGGGTTAGCAACACACACTAAGATTGGTAGACGTTAACATTCTAAAGAAAACATAAAAGTTAGTTACTTGCAAACTAACTTCTAATATCTGAGTAAAAGATGATCAACTCCCTGAAAGGCGGGATCTGTCCATGAGCGTCACACTTAGCCCTTCCAATTGCACATTCCTTCTTAACAAAAAATAATAACCCTAGGTTCCAAAAACATCTTTAAACCTAACTAAGCTGGTGATTCACCACTCACCTCCTCACCATCTTCCACCCTGCTCTGCGCTCCAGGAGGACGACCTTTATGGAAGACATCAAAGGATGCCCTTGCTGTCTGGCTTCCAGGTGGGTTAAACCCCATTGGCAGACACTGGCAGACTGGAAGGTGGGATGGTGAAGGCTGGGCATGTATTTTGCTGTCTTCCTCCCTGTCAGACTGTCATTTGTTGACTATGGCTCTTCACCAAAGCCATAGCTCTGATTAGCAGACTTCTCCCACAAGGCCAATCTCAACAGTTTATGGTAATTTCTCCCTCTCCTTACCTCTTCATGCCCAGGACTGCTAAAGTACCAGTTTCTGTTGCCAGCCCTGGGGGATTGCACCACATCAAGTTTGTTTCCCTTAACCCTGCCCACACCAATATAAACAGCCTTAGAGTTTAGTACCAGTACTGATTGTAAAAACTTTGCCTGAAAAAACTCAGCAGATTAAAATGAACAAGGGAACATCTGTCTATCATCTACCTATCTGTCATGACATGACTATTCAGGTGTTGAATGGAACTGAAACTAGAACTCTATTCCTCAGGAAGGATTAGCACACACTGAGTTTCCAAAGAATAAATGGGCAACAAGGATTACGTAAGAAGCCACCATGTCATTCTATTACATAGTGTAGAACTAACATGATAAAATTTTACCTGGCAAAATTATTTATCCATGCAGAGGATATATGTCTAAAGCTGAGGACACAATGGAATGGATGTAGGTTCCTACTGCTTCCCTAGTTCTTCATAACATGAGCATCTGAAGTTTGCAGGTGAACACAGCCTACAGAGTAAGAAACCTGCACGTGAGAAGGGCCAAGGGAAGAAGCACTGGCACACTGACTTTCCAACATTAGGCTGGGAGAAGGGCCCCATCAACACTGCACGGTCCACCTACAACCCTATAATGCAACTCCAGGCTCCTGCGCAGTGACGACAGCCCTTCTCATTTTATTTCTTACTGCACCATCAGCCTAGCAAAGGCCTGGCCATGACCTTCAACACAGCATCATGAACTAAGAACACTGTGTGGAAAAAAGGAGAATCTAAAAGCTTCCAGGGAGGGAAAAAAAAATCACATTAAAAGGATCAGGAATCAAAATGTCAAGTGAATTCTCAATAGCAACAATAGATGCTAGAAAATAATCGATGTAACTTCCATGTTTGGAGAAATTCCATCCTAGAATCCTATATCCAGCTAAAACAAGTAGGCAGGGGCTAGGATAAAGACATTTTCAGACATACAAGTTCTGAAAAAATTTACCTCTCATGTGCCCTTTCTCAAAAAGCTACCAGGAGGAAAATGAAAAAGAAAAAAGATATGTGGTCTAATAACAAGTGACAAAGAGAATTCTCGTAATGATAGTAAAGTGAAAATCCCAGAATGATGACTGTAAAGCTACACTAGAGAGTAACATTCAGATTAGAATTTTTATTGCAGAGAGCATGGAGAAGAGGGAGAGGTGGGTGGGGAGGGAGAGCAGAAGGACTAGATAGATTACCTAGTGCGGTCCATTTACTAAAATGAGTTCTACGGCTCTATTGAGGCTGAACTGGTCAGCTAATTATAAACTAAATAAACCACAAAAAGGCAGGTAGTATCCTAAGAAAAAACCTAAGTAGAAAAAGAGAAAATGTAAACATAATATATCATAATGGGTCAACTGTGCACATTTAAATAGTAAATATAAATGATGAAGATTAATTCAACCCCAGATGTTATGTAATTACATTGGGAAGATGGGGAAAGGGAAGTTTTTGGGAGGGTATAGTGTCAGGGATTGGCAAAGGACAGAAGAGAGCTAAACCTTCACCCTCTGGGTAGAAAATAAATAAAGTCTAAAATTGAGAAAATAATATCAAGTAAAATGGCATGAGCATGTTATCTGCTAAAAGAAATAGCTGATATCATTTAAAGTGGCCACCTCTGGTAAGGAGAAATCAAGTGGAGCAGAGACTGCCTTTTCATTTAAGTCCTATAGTTCTAATTTACTTTTTAAACTATGACAGCTGTTCCTTTAATAATTTAATTTTTTAAAGAAGGAGAAAGATCAAGAGACTAGGCTCTTGATGAGAGGGGATGTATGATTTCTATACTGTAGAAGATGAAAATGTGGCACACTGTGATCACAAAGGCATGTCGATACCATGGAGTAGACCTACCGATTAGTTTCATCGATCCTTACACTTCGAACACTTCACACCCCCTTCCCAATCACTCTTCCTATGTTGCAACTTGAGGACCATGATTTTGTTTTATTTTTCCCCTTCTGGCTTATAAATACTAAAAGTTTTAATTTTAAAATTAATCCGGGGTGGGCACAGTGGCTCATGCCTGTAATCCCAGCACTTTGGGAGGCTGAGGCGGGTGGATTGCTTGAGCTCAGGAGTTTGAGAACAGCCTGGGAAACATGGTGAAACCCCATTGCTACAAAAAATTAGCCAGGCATGATGGCACATGCCTGTAGTCCCAGCTATTCAGGAGGCTGAGGTGGGAGGATCACTTGAGCCCAGGAGGTGGAGGTTGCAGTGAGCCAAGATGGTGCCACTGCGCTCCAGCCTGGACAACAGAGCCAGACCATGTCTCAAAAAAAAAAAAAAAAATTACTCCTAAGGAAGCCCAGGTTGCCATGGCTCACACCTGTAATCCCAACACTTTGGGAGGCCAAGGTGGGAGGATCTCCTGAGGTCAGGACATCAAGACCACCCTGAGCAACACAGGAAGACCTCGTCTCTACAGAAATATATTTTCTTAAAATTAGCCAGGCATGGCGGTACTCGTGTGTAGTCTAGCTACTCAGGAAGCTGGAGCGGGAAGATCGCTTAAGCCCAGGAGTTGGAGGCTGCAGTAAGCTATGATGGCGCCACTGTACTCCAGCCTGGGCAACAGAGGGAGACACTCTCTCAATCTATCAATCAATCAAATTGCTTCTGTGGAAGACATTATCTTTTTCTTATTTCTACTCTTAAAGGTATAAAGATGCATACAAAAGTCCCTGTCCTGAAAGAAATGCACATGGAAGGAGAAATACAGCACAGAAGATGTTCTTAAGCTGAAATGAATGATAAGCATTCTATCATATAAGTATATTCAAGAATGGCACCAGATTTAGAATAGGGTTATGGCCAAAACACATGAGTAATAACAGTAAACTATTATAATAAATTTCCATGACAACAGAAATGATCCCAGATCATCTTTCCAGAGAGAGAGCCAAGTCCATTCCCCACAGAGATGGCATATGCTAAGAGCTGGAATATCTTTCAGGCTTTGCAAACTAGCCCTGGCTGTCATGGGTATCATTATTCACTCCTCCCTTCAGCATTAAATGTGCCTTCTCTTTGCCAAGCATTCCCATCACTCCTTCCAATGCCAGGGTTAGATACAGACCTGGTGGTACTGTTTCCCTGTATAAAACTGAAGATACATCAAATGGAAAAAATGTGCCCACGTAAGAATTTGAAAGATACCAGTTGCCTTACTCTAAAAAAGACATATCAAATTTAGAAGTGTGCCATCTTAATCTTCAATCAAAGAAAAATTTAAAACTGCAATCTAGCAAACTAGTTTTCCTGAATGTTTTTCTCTTTTTAATGCAAAAACCATTCTTCTTTTGTCAAAAAAAATTTCTATACACTTGGTTTTATAAGTAAAATAATCTAAAGAATGCTTTCAAAGGGTAAATTTTACATAGCTTAGTCACGGCACGAACAGAGCACCAGGTGGCAATGGTAAATACAGTCACTTTGCCAGATTAAAAAAAAAATGCTTAATTATATACCATGTAATAGAATGACGTGATGACTTCTTACATAGTCCTTATTGCCCATTTGTTTTTCAGAAACTCAGTGTGTGCTAATCCTCCCTGAGAAACAGAGTTCTGATTTCAATTC
This sequence comes from Homo sapiens, assembly GCF_000001405.40. Taxonomy (NCBI): domain Eukaryota; kingdom Metazoa; phylum Chordata; class Mammalia; order Primates; family Hominidae; genus Homo; species Homo sapiens. Next base: position 36,587,934 of record NC_000002.12, read on the forward strand.
TATTCATCACCAGAATAGTCATGTCACAACAGAGAGATGATAGGTGAATGATCACGTGTTCACTTTCATCTGCTGAGTTTTTCCAGGTAAGGCTGTTTTTTTTTTTATTTTTTGAGACAGAGTCTCGCTCTGTCACCCAGGCTGGAGTGCAGTGGCGTGATCTCGGCGCACTGCAACCTCTGCCTCCCAGGTTCAAGCAATTCTCCTGCCTCAGCCTCCCAAGTATCTGGGATTACAGGCATGCGCCACCACGCCTGGCTAATTTTGTATTTTTAGTAGAGACGGGGTTTCACCGTGTTGGTAAGGCTGGTCTCAAACTCCTGACCTTAGGTGATCCATCCACCTCAGCCTCCCAAAGTGCTGGGATTACAGGCATGAGCCACCGCGCCCAGCCAGGTAAGGCTTTTTAATGTCAGTACTAGCATTAAACTCTACGTCATTACTAATCACTGCCTTGGCCATATCATTACCGTGGCATTGAAAATAACATTCAAAAGGCAGCAAAAGGGAGCAACCTCCCAAGATGCAATCTAAGAACAATACAAGACATACAGCAGTCCCTCGGTATCCAAGGGAAATTTGTTCCAGGACACCCCAATAGCAAAATCTGCAGATGCTCAAGTCCCTTATATAAAGTGGGGTAGTATTTGCATATAACCTGTGCACATCCCCCTATAAGCTTTAAATTATATGTAAATTACTTATAATACCTAATACAAGGTAAATGGTTTATAGTTATATTGTATATAACTATACAATATTTATATTATAAAGTTATATTGTATCGGTTTTCGGTTTTTTATTTTCATTATTTTCAATTGTTGTGTTGTTATTTTATTGTGGGGTTTTTTTTTCAAGTTTTTTAATCCACAGTTGGCTAAAGCAGCAGATGTGAAACCAGAGAATATGGTGGGCCCGCTGTACATTTAGTCAATGAAATTGGATTAAACTGTCTCACTCACGCTGCTAATGGGCCTGACTTTGAAACTATGAATGGAAACTCTTCTATGCTATTTTTTAATATGTCAAAAAAGTAGTACCCATGGACTGGTTTTGGTGCATTCTGCATTATTTTAAATAACATAGAAAATATTTTTTTAAAACCTTTCTATCACGATCTCTGGCCCTACAGTTTCACTGACAAGGCTATTCACTTATTCACTCAATAAAAAGGTATCTTCAAACTTACTATGTGCCAGGAACAGTATAGTTACTATAAAGACAAATACAAATACCTGCCGGGAAGTCACAATCTAGTGACAGACCCAGAAACATATGATTAACAAGAGAAGGCAGTGGTAATTTTAGAGACAGGGACAAAGTGATCTGGGGACTAGCACCCATGAGACAGCAAGGCTAAACCCCGTGGCACAGATAACAAGTCCTTTCAAAGTTCACAACCCCACAAGTGCCATCAGTTCCCCTAGAGGGGAGTGTGTTTTCCTTCCGTGCAGGAATTTAGGCCATGGCTAAATGACCATCTGTCAGAGATGCTGGAGGTGAGGATTCCCCCCAAGTGAGAGGCTGGATTAAGTGTCCTTTAAAGCCCCTTCCAACTCTAAAATTGTATAATTCCATGAGATCAGCAAAGGCTAAAACAGTAATAGGAAGCTTCAGAGAGGAAGGGAAACTTGAACTAAGCCCAAAATGATAGCCAGGACCTAAGTAAACAAGACAGAGCAAAAGATCCCTCATTTTATTCCTTTTCATTAAATATATGCCAGGTCAGTCTGCAAAGCTTAATGGGATTAATGACTGGCACAGTCAGGAAGATTTCCATAGCTACTGAATACTGGGAAATACAGCCAGAATTCTACATTTTACTAGAAAATAATAACAGTAGGCTTTTCTGATCACATATGTAAGAAAATCCTTTTAACAAAACATTAACAATACTATGTAAAATAGTGACAGGCCTACTGCACTATATTCTCAATAATCACATAATTACACTTAATGAAATATAGAGCACGCAAGAAGATCTGGCATGAGTTTACATTATTATTTGATAAGGAACTTAAACAGCCAGGCCCTGAAACTTAGATAATTTGGATATGTTTCTCATCAGATTTAAAAAAGCTTAACACTGTGATTTTCCATTTCAAGTAATTCTCAACCCTTTTCTGCCTCCCTACCTGTCCCACCACTCGTGCTCACACTTCTTAGTCAAGACATCTTCACTTTACAATACCAGGATGTACACAGGAGACCCCAAGAAAGGTAAGTTAGCCAAGACCGTATTTTAAAAGCCAAGAACTAAAATATCTTTTAAAGGTTCTCCAGTATTCACAGGAATACACAGTCTCCTGACAACATATCATGTCTAGCAGGTCACTACACTCATTAAAAAGTTAACTCCGTGTTGAGATTCCAATACTCTCAGTATATTAAACCAAAGGCTAGCATTTTTACTGAGGGTTTCAGTGCACCAAATTTTACTGAGTGTTTCAGTGCATCATCACTGCCAGGTGCAGTGGCTCACACCTGTAATCCCAGCACTCTGGGAGGTGAATTACCTGAGGTCAGGAGTTCGAGACCAGCCTGGCCAACACAGCGAAACCCTGTCTCTACTGAAAATACAAAAATTAGCCGGGACTGGTGGCTCATGCCTGTAATCCCAGCTACTCGGGAGTTTGAGGTGGGAGAATCGCTTGAACCCAGGAGGCAGAGGTTGTAGTAAGCCACTGTACTCCAGCCTGGGCAACAGAGTGAGACTCCGTCAAAAAAAAAAAAATTGTGATGGAAATTTAGCTACACATAAAAAATGAGTGTGCTGGAGAAGAACTGGAGGAATGTGCCAGCAAGGTGATGGCCCTACAGCCAAGACATCAAGACAGAGCCACCCAAACTGCTATAATTTCAGAAATGAGAGGCAGGTCAGTGAATCTGTGTTAAGCAGAAATGCTACTGTTTTAGTTCTATTATCAGCATCAGTTATTCAAACACTATTGGTTCAATTCCTAACTTACCCCTTTTTCTGAGAGGTTCAGAGTAAGCAAGTGCAAGGTCCTAGTATGCGATGACTTCCAGTCTACAGGCATCACATTCCCATAATTATCTGTCAGGGCATTCCAAATCCTTAAAAAGAAGAAAGCTACAATCAATGAAAATTAACATTCTGTATGTCTTTCTTAAACAAATATTCAGTGAAAGATGAACAGCAAATGTCAAAGGAAACAGAGAAAAACAGACAGCACATTGTTTCTCAGAAAAACATCAACAAAGTAGAGTCTCCTAAACAAAAACGAGGTGAAAAATCACATAACTGGGCTGACAAGAAGTCCTAAGGGAAGGTGAAGCCGTACAGAAAACTGCCAATAGGCAGTAGGCAACACTTCCATTATATTAGGTGCTAGGCACTGTTCTAAGCAATTTACATGTATTAACTCATGTAATCTTCAAAAACAACATTAGAAGGGGGAACCATTATTAACCTCATTTTACAGATGAAGAAACTGAAACACAGGGCGGGGAAGAAATGTTTCCAGGGTCACATGAATAATAAATACAACTGTGCATTACACTTATTTTTCTTCTGTAACTTCAAACAAACAGACCATTTCAAAAAGTGAAAAATCTCTCTCAAACAAAAGGTTTGTTATCCTTTCTGGAGAAAGAATTCGCTCTCAATGTGAGAACAGGATTTAATATCTAATTTGTAATAAAGAAGCTAAGCACTAAGGCAGATACAACAAAAAGGAGAAAGAGAGGGAGTTCACAATAAAACACACCCAGGCTCTATCCAATGCAGTTACCTGACCTTATTACCCAACAGCATTACAGGGAGGCAAGAGGGTCAAATGGTAAGGGCATTTGACTGAGACTAGGGAAACAAACTCTCATCTCCATCCTTCTTCAAATAACGAGTCATTGGCCAGGCCCCTTAACCTCCCTAGGTATCCTCTGCCCTTCTATAAATGAGAGACCTGGACAAGAAGCAGATACTCCTTCCAGCTCCATTACTCTAAGCATTAATTCAAATGAGGTGTATTGAAGAGAGTCCCAAACCACACCAGATAAGAACACCAAACTCAAATTTCACAACCAAAATTCAGGTTTCAATACCAAAGTAATAATCAGCACAATAAAACATGATGTTTTATGAAAAACTAAAGTTCAGAGATACAAGTGACTTGAAATCTAATTGGGATACGTAAAATCAAACACTAAACATACAAGCTACTTACTAGCTAGAGGTATACACAAAGATGTCATGTAGAAAAAAACACCCTAAAATGTTTATTAGGTATCTAATTGTGAATAAGCAATAGGCTTTCTTTCCAAGTGTGTAAGACACTAGGATACAAAAACAATCCTGGCTGGGGCATAAACATAAGAATGAATTTTTTTTTTAAGTTCCGGGGTACATGGGCAGGATGTGCAGGTTTGTTACACAGGCAAACATGTGCCATGGTGATTTGCTGCACCTATCAACCCATCACCTAGGTATTAAGCCCAAGAATGAAAATTTTAAAATACAGACATAACATAGTTAACAAATAGGGATTGGGCGCTAAAAAGAAGCAATAGGACTGCAACGGCTAAAAGCATAACATCCCAAATGATGTTTGGCTTTAAAATGCACGTTAGGGATGGGCCTGGTGGCTCATGCCTGTAATCCCAGCATTTTGGGAAGCCAAAGTGGGAGGATTGCTTGAAGCCAGGAGTTCAAGACCAGCCTGGGCAACAAAAGGGAGCCCCACATCTCTACAAAAAAAAAAAAAAAAAAAAAATTGGCCAGGCCTGTGGCATGTGCCGCAGTCCCAGCTACTTTTGGAGGGTAAGGCAGGAGGACTGCTTAAGCCCAGGAGCTCAAGGCTGTAGTGAGCTATGATGGCACCACTGTACTCCAGCCTGGGAGACAGAGCAAGACCCTGTCTCTAAAAATATATAAATAAAATAAAAAATAAAATTAGCCTTAATAAAAATGTGAACCCAAAAATCTCTAGAGAACTAACTCATCTACCCAGCAAAGCTCCCATATGCACAGTCCATTCCTATTCTCCTCTCTGTTGGAATATCTCCTCTAATGCCAGTGAAGTAGAATTAGAGGCAATGTCTGTGGACTACTAAATTTGCTGGGTTTCTGTGGACTACTAAACTTGCTGGGTTTCTGGCTCATACCTTCCTGGATAAGAAATTTTCAAACACTGAATGACTGTATAGTCCATTTTCATGCAGCTGATAAAGACATACCCAAGACTGGGACGAAAAAGAGGTTTAATTGGACTTACAGTTCCACATGGCTGAGGAGGCCTCAGAATCATGGTGGGAGACAAAAGGCACTTCTTACATGGTGGCAGCAAGAGAAAAGGAGGAAGATGCAAAAGCAGAAACCCCTGATAAACTCATGGACAGCGGCCCTCTTCTCACAACCCCACTAGGCAGTGCCCCAGTAGGGACTCTGTGTGGGGGCTCCAACCCCACATTTCCCTTCCACACTGCCCTAGCAGAGGTTCTCCATGAGGGCCCTGCCCCTGCAACAAACTTTTGCCTGGGCATCCAGGCATTTCCATACATCTTCTGAATCTAGAAGGAGGTTCCCAAACCTCAATTCTTGACTTCTGTGCACCTGTGGGCTCAACACCACATGGAAGCTGCCAAGGCTTGGGGCTTGCACCCTCTGAAGCCACAGCCTGAGCTGTACTCTCGCCCCTTTCAGCCACAGCTGGAGCAGCTGGTACACAGGGCACCAAGTCCCTAGGCCGCATACAGCAGGCAGACCCTAGGCCCAGCTCACGAAACCACTTGTTCCTTTTTGGGCCTCCAGGCCTGTGATGGGAGGAGCTGCCATGAAGGTCTCTGACATGGCCTGGAGACATTTTCCCCATGGTCGTGGGGATTAACATTAGGGTCCTTGCTACTTACGCAAATTTCTGCAGCTAGCTTGAATTTCTCCCCAGAAAATGGGTTTTTTTTTTTTCTATCGCATAGTCAGGCTGCAAATTTTCCAAACTTTTATGCTCTGCTTCCCTTATAAAACTGAATACGTTTAATAGCACCCAAGTTACCTCCTGAATGCTTTACTGCTTAGAAATTTTTTCTGCCAGATACCCTAACTCATCTCCCTCAAGTTCAAAGTTCCACAAATCTCTAGGGCAGGGGCAAAATGCCACCAGTTCTCTTTGCCAAAACATAACAAGGGTCATCTTTGCTCCAGTTCCCAACAACTTCCTCATCTCCATCTGAGACCACCTCAGCCTGGATTTTATTGTCCATATTGCTGTCAGCATTTTGGGAAAGCCATTCAACAAGTCTCTAGGAAGTTCCAAACTTTCCCACATTTTCCTGTCTTCTGAGCCCTTCAAACTATTCCAATCTCTACCTGTTCCCCAGTTCCAAAGTCATTTCCACATTTTCAGGTATCTTTTCAGCAACGCCCCACTCTACTGGTACTAACTTACTATATTAGGTTATTTTCATGCAGCTGATAAAGACATACCCGAGACTGGGAAGAAAACGAGGTTTAATTGGACTTACAGTTCCACATGGCTGGGGAGGCCTCAGAATCATGGCAGGAGGCAAAAGGCACTTCTTACATGGCGGCAGCAAGGGAAAATGAGGAAGGAGCAAAAGCGGAAACCCCTGATAAGCCCATCAGATCTTGTAAGACTTATTCACTATCATGAGAATAGCATAGGAAAGACCAGCCCCCATGATTCAATTACCTCCCCCTGGATCCCTCCCACAACACGTGGGAATTCTGGGAGATACAATTCAAGTTGAGATTTGGGTGGGGACACAGCCAAACCGTATCACTGACTATAGACCTAATCCTGGCAGGAATTTAAGCAGGATACACTAGCAGGTGAAGACAGTCCAGAATTTGAGGAGTTTGCTTTGTCTGCTGATTTGCTCCTTCTTAAACAAGGCTATAAGAAAAAGGCAAATGGGATGGAATATTTCACTTAGAAGTGCCTGTCAGTGAGTTTGATCTTCCAAGAAAATGAAAGCCAACTAACAGTCTCCACCAAGGTCAAAACAATGGTAGTTGGAAGGACACAGAGGCAACTCTAGTGAAAGATTTCTAGAATTCTGCAGTCAAGACATATGAACTGCCTTCATCTTTATCACCAAGTATTACAACCAGTCGTAAACAACGGTCAGGACAGCTCTTTTGCAAGGAGGTCAAAGTCCTGCCAACATCGAATCCTGCAGAATACTCTTATAAGTAAAACCTCAGTACGTAAATACAATCCATATTTAACCAAAACAAAAGCTGAGGCTCAGAGAAGTTAAATGAAGTGCCAAGGGTCGGGGAGGGCTTTGGGGTGATTCAAGCACATTACATTTACGGTGTACTTTATTTCTATTATTACACTGTCATATATCATGAAATAATTTTACAACTCACCATAACGTAGAATCAATGGGAGCCCTGAGCTTGTTTTCCTGCAACTAGATGGTCCTATCTGGGGGAGAGGGGAAACAGTGACAGATCATCAAGCATTAGATTCTCATAAGGTGTCTGCAAACTAGAACCCTCACTTGTGCAGTTCACAATAGGGTTCACGCTCCTATGAGAATCTAATGCCGTGGCTGATCTGACAGGAGGTGGCTCAGGTGGTAATGCAAGCAATGGGGAGGAGCTGTAAATACAGATGAGGCTTTGCTCACTCACTCAGCCACTCACCTCCTGTAGTGTGGCCCAGTTCCAGTACCGGTCTGTGGACCAGGGGTTGGGGACCCCTTGACCTAAAGCACAGCAATATCTGAGTAAAACAATTATCAATTATATCTAGTGAAAAGGGAACTGGAACAGACTATCAAGCAATGATGAGTATGTTTTTGCAATATAAAAGGGACAATGCCAGTGATGACCAGCTCCCAACTCCCGGAAAAAAAGAGATTTCATATGCATTCCCAAGTCAAGAGACATGCATTACCACCAACATATCATCTACTAAATACCATTAACAAGAGCGACAAAATATTTTTAAGCAAAGGCTAAAATAACCTACTCTCCTGACGGTCTAAGTGAAACAAAAACTCTTAACGATCTACGTACAATCCTCTAATTGATTTAAGTCAGCTACTCTTGAAAAACCCAAATACATAATACATCTACACTAATTTTTAAATCCAGAATGTGTCCTGGGTTTAGTGATTCAGAGTATCTAAATCTACATATACATAAAATTATCTTCTCTTTGGGAACAGGCTTCCAAAAATGTCATCTTTTGCTACTGACGGCATGCATGTGTGTATAAAATCCAATTATAAGTGTTTCCCTTCTCTACACCTGGGCAGAACACTGTACTGAGGAACCAATAAAAGGAGATGGTCTCCAAACACAGGTGGGCCTGCACCACTGCTCAGCCATGTTTACAGGCCCCACTCCCAAGGCTGTCTTTACAAGCTTCCTACCTTATTCCTGATAAATCTGTTTGTTTCACAAAGGAAAGGAGACAATCAGGCTGGAAACTCCTTTCCGTGCCCGTGACTCCTGTCCTGTCTCTCAAAAATTCTTCCCTAACCTCTAAGAGTCTCTCCATCCCATCAATGCTCTGAAAATCCATTCCTTCCCATGTCCTCATTTTTGAGACAAAGTCTCGCTCTGACACCCAGGCTGGAGTGCAGTTGTGCGATGATGGCTCACTGCAACCTTCGCCTCCAGGACTCAAGCAATCCTGCCATCTCAGCCTCCGGGCAGCTGGGTCCGTGGGACCACGGGCATGCGCCACCGGACTTCACTAATTTTTTTTTAATTTTTTTGTAAAGACCAGATTTCACGATATTGCCCAGTCTGGTCTCGAACTGCTGGAAGCAAGCCATCCTCCCACCACAGCCTCTCAAAGTGCTGGGATCACAGGTGTGAGCCACCGCGCCCAATCTTATTCCACTCATTTTACCTTCAGCCTCTCCGGAGGCTCCTCTCCCCCTATATACACAACATGCTCAAGTCCCTTTACTCTCACCATTCCTATTTACCATCTTTTGGGGGTAAAACCATGGTACCTAATTACAACTCTTACTTAACCAAATTATAATTGCGGCTCAGGTGGTTTAAAAAGTGCCCTCAGGAACTCTGCGCCTCACCTCTCCCAGCTGTGATAAAACCCCGTGAACCTCCTATCATTGCTCTTAGGTGATTCTGTAATTATTAATATTACTTGTGTATGCCTTGGTCTCCCCACCAGACCATGCGATCGTTACCATCAGTAAGCAGGGCCCTTCGTTTTCGTCTCTGTGGCGGCTCGCACTCTACCAGGGCTCCCGGGTGGGTCCCACAGATTCCTGTGCCCTAAATGCTGCCTCGCACGTTGGTACTTATGCACAGGCAATATACTCCACCTAGAACGTTAGACTTTTTTCCACCTGCCAGGCACACTCCCACTCATCAGTCAGATCTCGTTTGCACATTTCTTTATAAAGTCGTTCCTTACTCTCCCCAAGACACACGCTTTTAAGTCTCTCACATTTGGTACATATAACCATTGCAGCGCTAATTACATCCATACATGTATTTGTTTACAAATCTATCTCCCATCCTACGTTGTGTCCTAAGTGGGAGGGACAGTGCCCAGTCGTTTTGGTGTTCCCTGTGCGAAGCAGCGCCTGGCACTCAGCAGGTGCTTAATAAATGCGACTTGAGTGAATGAATGGCGACACACGTGCCCCAGGAGGTGCCCCAGGAGGTGCCGTCTCTAACTATGGGCTCTGCATGGGCGATTCCCTTCTAATACAAACGAGGGTTTGGTTTGCAGGAAGGAGGGCGGGAGGTACCGAGGCGGAGGTTTTCAGGGCTCGTGGCGGCGGGGGGCAGGGGATTTAAATTGCTGGGCGAGCCGAGGCCGACGGCCGGAGGAAGGAGGCGAGAGGGCGGGGACTCCCGCGTCCGGGCGGAAGGAGGGCGCAGGGAGGAGCTGCGGCCGTAGGGCTGCCGGTCGGGCGAGGGGTAGGGGAGGCTCCCGCCCACTCCCGGCCGGGGCCCCGCACTCACTCGTCCCCCTGCAGGAGGCTGCGCTCCGTGATGGGCCGCACGGCCGTCCTCGGGGGCTCGGCGCCCGGATCCGAGGGGCGGAAGCACAGGCTCAGCTTCTCCTCCAAGCTGCAGGCCGGGGCCGGGAAACCGTCGGCGCCCCCACCCGCCTCGGCCCCCGCCTCCGCCCCAGGCTCGGGGCTCGCGTTACAGTTCTCCTGGTCCAGGAGGCTCCGGGCCGGCTCCTGGAACTCATAGAAATCCTGCCAGTCCCCGTCCGCCGCCATCGCCGCCCGGAGCAGTCGCGCGCCCCGCCCAGGCCGGCCCAGCCCGCCCAGCCCGGCCCCGCCCCGGCCCGAAGCCCCGCCCCCGCCCGCTACCGTGCTGACAGATCCCAGGCTGTCCCAACCCTGGGTCTCCGGTGGCCTGAGTCTTCCTGGAGTTGAACGCGGTGCTACTAGAAAGCCAAGACCTTAACTGCCTTGAGTCACTTCCTATATTCTCTATCATTTAGGAATAACTTCCCTGTTAGCTTCCCTTATTAGCAACTTGGCCTAAATGTGGCTAAAATAAAGGACTTCTTTAAACTTACGACCTAATATCAGATTACGCCCCGAAAGTCGTTTTCCCCAAGGTAACCTGCTCCTTTCCTAACTTGCCAACCAGAATAACAGCCAGAGTCAATGGGAAATGTTTAGGTGGTACCGAAGTTCATTCCTCAAATATTTTACCTCTCACGTGCAAAGCACTGGCTAGATCCTGCAGAACATACAAAGATAATTATGCCAGTTAACATTTGCAAAGCACTTAGAGCAATGCCTAATAGTAGATACCCTATGTGTATGTTATAACTAATACATGGGTGCCCCATACACAGGGCTTACAATGTCGGAGTGATAAGAGTAACAAGAAATTGTTTAGACCTCATAAAAACTAAGTGTGATTGGGCGGTTCAGTTTTGCAAGATGAAAAGAGTTATGGAGATGGATGGTGGTGATGGTTCCACGACAGTGTTAATGTGCTGAATGCCACTGATCTATACACTTACAGATGGTTAAGATAGTAATTTTATGTTTATTTTACTACAATACAAAAAAATTGGAGTAGGCCAGGCGAGGTGGCTCACATCTATAATCCCAGCACTTTGGCAGGCCCAGGTGGACGGATCGCTTGAGGTCAGGAGTTCAAGACCAACCTGGCCAACATGGTAAAACCCCGTCTCTACTAAAAATACAAAATCTAGCTGTCAGGCCTCTGAGCCCAAGCCAAGCCATCGCATCCCGTGACTTGCACATATACACCCAGATGGCCTGAAGTAACTGAAGATCCACAAAAGAAGTAAAAATAGCCTTAAGGATGACATTCCACCATTGTGATTTGTTCCTGCCCCACCCTAACTGATCAATGTACTTTGTAATCTCCCCCACCCTTAAGAAGTTTCTTTGTAATTCTCCCCACCCTTGAGAATGTACTTTGTGAGATCCACCCCTGCCCGCAAAACATTGCTCTTAACTTCACCGCCTGACCCAAAACCTGTAAGAACTAATGATAATCCATCTCCCTTCGCTGACTCTCTTTTCGGACTCAGCCCGCCTGCATCCAGGTGAAATAAACAGCCGTGTTGCTCACACAAAGCCTGTTTGGTGGTCTCTTCACACGGACGCACATGAAATTTGGTGCCGTGACTCGGATCGGGGGACCTCCCTTGGGAGATCAATCCCCCTGTCCTCCTGCTCTTTGCTCCATGAGAAAGATCCACCTACGACCTCAGGTCCTCAGACCGACCAGCCCAAAAAACATCTCACCAATTTCAAATCCAGTAAGCGGCCTCTTTTTACTGTCTTCTCCAGCTTCCCTCACTATCCCTCAACCTCTTTCTCCTTTCAATCTTGGCGCCGCACTTCAATCTCTCCCTTCTCTTAATTTCAGTTCCTTTCATTTTCTGGTAGAGACAAGGGAGACACGTTTTATCCGTGGACCCAAAACTCCGGCGCCGGTCACGGGCTGGGAAGGCAGCCTTCCCTTGGTGTTTAATCATTGCAGGGACGCCTCTGATTATTCACCCACGTTTCAAAGGTGTCAGACCACGCAGGGACGCCTGCCTTGGTCCTTCACCCTTAGCGGCAAGTCCCGCTTTTCTGAGGAAGGGGCGAGTACCCCAACCCCTTCTCTCCTTGTCTCTACCCCTTCTGTGATTTTTCTGGGGCAGGGGCAAGAACCCCTCAACCCCTTCTCCTTCACCCTTAGCGGCAAGTCCCGCTTTTCTAGGTGGCAAGAACCCCCAATCCCTTATTTCCACACCCCAATCTCTTATCTCTGTGCCCCAATCCCTTATTTCCGTGCCCCAACCCCCCTTCCCGCTTTTCTGGAGGGTAACAACCCCGAACCCCTTCCCTCCATGTCTCTACGCTCTCTTTTCTCTGGGTTTACCTCCTTCACTATGGGCAACCTTCCATCCTCCATTCCTCCTCCTTCTCGCTTAGCCTGTCCTCAAGAACTTAAAACCTCTTCAACTCACACCTGACCTAAAACCTAAATGCATTATTTTCTTCTGCAACACCACTTGGCCCCAATACAAACTTGACAATGGCTCTAAATGGCCAGAAAAGGGCACTTTCGATTTCTCCATCCTACAAGACCTAAATAATTTTTGTAGAAAAATGGGCAAATGGTCTGAGGTGCCTTACGTCCAGGCATTTTTCACACTTCACTCCCTCCCTAGCCTCTGTTCCCAATGCGATTCCTCCCAGATCCTCCTTTCCCTCCTGCCTATCCCCTCAGTCCCAACCCCAAGCGTCGCTGAGTTTTTCCAGTCTTCCTTTTCTACAGACCCATCTGACCTTTCCCCTCCTCCCCAGGCTGCTCGTCGCCAGGCCGAGCTAAGTCCCAATTCTTCCTCAGCCCCAACTCCTCCACCCTATAATCCTTCTATCACCTCCCCTCCTCACACCTGGTCTGGCTTACAGTTTAGTTCCGCGACTAGCTCTTCCCCACCTGCCCAGCAATTTACTCTTAAAAAGATGGCTAGAGCTAAAGGCATAGTCAAGGTTAATGCTCCTTTTTCTTTATCCCAAATCAGATAGCATTTAGGCTCTTTTTCATCAAATATAAAAATCCAGCCCAGTTCATGGCTCGTTTGGCAGCAACTCTGAGACGCTTTACAGCCCTAGACCCTAAAAGGTCAAAAGGCCGTCTTATTCTCAATATACATTTTATTACCCAATCTGCTCCCAACATTAAATAAAACTCCAAAAATTAGAATCTGGCACTCAAACCCCACAACAGGACTTAATTAACCTCACCTTCAAGGTGTACGATAATAGAATAAAGTTGCAATTCCTTGCCTCCACTGTGAGACAAACCCCAGCCACATCTCCAGCACACAAGAACTTCCAAACGCCCGAACCGCAGCGGCCAGGGGTTCCTCCAGAACCTCCTCCCCCAGGAGCTTACTACAAGTGCCAGAAATCTGGCCACCAGGCCAAGGAATGCCCACAGCCCAGGATTCCTCCTAAGCCGTGTCCCATCTGTGCGGGACCCCACTGAAAAATCGGACTGTTCAACTCACCTGGTAGCCACTTCCAGAGCCCCTGGAACTCTGGCCCAAGGCTCTCTGACTCCTTCCCAGATCTTCTCAGCTTAGCGGCTGAAGACTGACACTGCCCAATCGCCTCGGAAGCCCCCTAGACCATCACGGATGCCAAGCTTCGGGTAACTCTCACAGTGGAGGTTAAGTCCGTCCCTTCTTAATCAATACGGAGGCTACCTGCTCCACATTACCTTCTTTTCAAGGGCCTGTTTCCCTTGCTTCCATAACTGTTGTGGGTATTGACGGCCAGGCTTCTAAACCTCTTAAAACTCCCCAACTCTCGTGCCAACTTGGACAACACTCTTTTATGCACTCTTTGTTAGTTATCCCCACCTGCCCAGTTCCCTTATTAGGCCGAGATATTTTAACCAAATTATCTGCTTCCCTGACTATTCCTGGACTACAGCCACATCTCATTGCCGCCCTTCTCCCCAACCCAAAGCCTCCTTCGTGTCTTCCTCTCATATCCCCCCACCTTAACCCACAAGTATGGGACATCTCTACTCCTTCCCTGGCAACCGATCTCATGCCCATTACCATCCCATTAAAATCTAATCACCTTTACCCCACTCAACGCCAATATCCCATCCCACAGCATGCTTTAAAAGGATTAAAGCCTGTTACCACTCGCCTGCTACAGCATGGGCTTCTAAAACCTATAAACTCTCCTTACCATTCCCCCATTTTACCTCTCCTAAAACGAGACAAGGCTTACAGGTTAGTTCAGAATCTGCACCTTATCAACCAAATTGTTTTGCCTATCCACCCCGTGGTGCCAAACCCATATACTCTCCTATCCTCAATACCTCCCTCTACTACCCATTATTCTGTTCTGGATCTCAAACATGCTTTCTTTACTATTCCTTTGCACGCTTCATCCCAGCCTCTCTTTGCCTTCACTTAGACTGACCCTGACACCCATTAGGCTCAGCAAATTGACTGGGCTGTACTGCCGCAAGGCTTCACAGACAGCCCCCATTACTTCAGTCAAGCCCAAATTTCATCCTCATCTGTTACCTATCTCGGCATAATTCTCGTAAAAACACACGTGCTCTCCCTGCTGATCGTGTCCGATTAATCTCCCAAACCTCAATCCCTTACTAAAGAACAACTCCTTTCCTTCCTAGGCATGGTTAGTGCGGTCAGAATTCTTACACAAGAGCCAGGACCACACCGGGTAGCCTTTCTGTCCAAACAACTTGACCTTACTGTTTTAGCCTAGCCCTCATGTCTGCATGCAGTGGCTGCCGCTGCTTTAATACTGTTAGAGGCCCTAAAAATCACAAACTATGCTCAACTCATTCTCTACATTTCTCATAACTTCCAAAATCTATTTTCTTCTCACACCTGACGCATATACTTTCTGCTCCCCGGCTCCTTCAGCTGTACTCACTCTTTGTTAAGTCCCACAATTACCATTGTTCCTGGCCCGGACTTCAATCCGGCCTCCCACATTATTCCTGATACCACACCTGACCCCCATGACTGTATCTCTCTGATCCACCTGATATTCACCCCATTTCCCCGTATTTCCTTCTTTCCTGTTCCTCACCCCGATCACACTTGATTTATTGATGGCAGTTCCACCAGGCCTAATCGCCACACACCAGCAAAGGCAGGCTATGCTATAGTACAAACCACTACCCCGCCTCTCAGAACCTCTCATTTCCTTTCCATCATGGAAATCTATCCTCAAGGAAATAACTTCTCAGTGTTCCATCTGCTATTCTACTACTCCTCAGGGATTATTCAGGCCCCCTCTCTTCCCTACACATCAAGCTCGAGGATTTGCCCCGACCCAGGACTGGCAAATTAGCTTTACTCAACATGTCCCGAGTCAGGAAACTAAAATACCTCTTAGTCTAAATAGACACTTTCACTGAATAAGTAGAGGCCTTTCCTACAGGGTCTGAGAAGGACACCACAGTCATTTCTTCCCTTCTGTCAGACATAATTCCTCAGTTTAGCCTTCCCACCTCTATACAGTCTGATAACAGACTAGCCTTTATTAGTCAAATTAGCCAAGCAGTTTTTCAGGCTCTTAGTATTCAGTGAAATCTTTATATCCCTTATGGTCCTCTGTCTTCAAGAAAATTAGAATGGACAAAAGGTCTTTTAAAAACACACCTCACCAAGCTCAGCCACCAACTTAAAAAGGACTGGACAATACTTTTACCACTTTCGCTTCTCAGAAGTCAGACCTGTCCTCAAAATGCTACAGGGCACAGCCCATTTAAGCTCCTGTATAGACACTCCTTTTTATTAGGCCCCAGTCTCATTCGACACCAGACCAACTTAGACTGTGCCCCAAAAAAACTTGTCATCCGTACTATCTTTTGTCTAGTCATACTCCTATTCACCGTTCTCAACTACTCATACATGCCCTGCTCTTGTTTACACTGCCGGTTTACGCTGTTTCTCCAAGCCATCACAGCTGATATCTCCTGGTGCTATCCCCAAACTGCCACTCTAAACTCTTGAAGTAAATAAATAATCTTTGCTGGCAGGACTATGCTGAATCTCCTTAGGCACTCTCT
The DNA here is from genome assembly GCF_000001405.40 of Homo sapiens. NCBI lineage: Eukaryota > Metazoa > Chordata > Mammalia > Primates > Hominidae > Homo > Homo sapiens. The sequence goes on from NC_000002.12 coordinate 36,603,982, forward strand.
AATCAGATGTCCTAGGCCCTCCCAATTCTTAGACCTTTTATACCTGTTTTTCTCCTTCTCTTATTCCATTTAGTTTCTCAATTCATACAAAACCGTATCCAGCCCATCACCAATCATTCTATATGACAAATGTTTCTTCTTACATCCCCACAATACCACCCCTTACCACAAGACCTCCCTTCAGCTTAATCTCTCCCACTCTAGGTTCCCACGCCACCCCTAATCCCACTTGAAGCAGCCCTGAGAAACATCGCCCATTCTCTCTCCATACCACCCCCCCAAAATTTTCGCTGCCCCAACACTTCAACACTATTTTGTTTTATTTTTCTTATTAATATAAGAAGGCAGGAATGTCAGGCCTCTGAGCCCAAGCCAAGCCATCGCATCCCCTGTGACTTGCACGTATACACCCAGATGGCCCGAAGTAACTGAAGATCCACAAAAGAAGTAAAAATAGCCTTAACTGATGACATTCCGCCATTGTGATTTGTTCCTGCCCCACCCTAACTGATCAATGTACTTTGTAATCTCCCCCACCCTTAAGAAGGTTCTTTGTAATTCTCCCCACCCTTGAGAATGTACTTTGTGAGATCCACCCCTGCCCGCAAAACATTGCTCTTAACTTCACCGCCTGACCCAAAACCTATAAGAACTAATGATAATCCATCTCCCTTTGCTGACTCTCTTTTCGGACTCAGCCCACCTGCATCCAGGTGAAATAAACAGCCGTGTTGCTCACACAAAGCCTGTTTGGTGGTCTCTTCACACGGACGCGCATGAAACTAGCCAAACATGATGGCACACGCCTATAATCTCAGCCTCCCAAGTAGCTGAGACTACAGGCGCCCGCCACCACGCCCGGCTAATTTCTTGTATTTTTACTGGAGACGGGGTTTCACCGCGTTAGCCAGGATGGTCTCGATCTCCTGACCTCGTGATCCGCCTGCCTCAGCCTCCCAAAGTGCTGGGATTACAGGCGTAAGCCACCGTACCTGGCCAAAAAAATATTTTTTTAAAGGGAGGAAAAAGTAAATATTATCATAAGGAAATACGAATGTGTAGAGGCAACGAATGCTCAGGAGTTGAGAAGAGTGACATCTCTGGACTGGCATGATCAAATACTTCACTTAGAAGGTGGAGCTGGTTAGGTGATGAAAGATGAGCTCATAGTTTGAAAAATAAATCTGAAGTTAGTAATAGAGAATAAATTTTTCCCAATATGCTTTGTCCATCTCTTGGCAGCATGGAAACACATTTTCATGAATACATGTTAATACCAACATTTTCTTGTTTACTAGTCCAATAAATGTTGTGTTTTACTTTAGTGATTTGTCCCATATCAAATGAAATAGTTCTGTGATTAACCCTAAGATACTGTTTAATTAAAAGAAATGTTGTTCCCTATTTCCTTTGAAACCATAAAGGGAGTGGATGTTGATCCCCAGTTAGCCAAGAGCTAGAACTAATTAGTCAACAGTGAACAATAGCTTTTGGATTGATGAGAAAACATTCTGACTCAGCTATCTGAACATTACTCAAAAGTGATGCTCCAAAGTATCAAAGAGCTATTTTTCTCCAGGTGTTTGACTACAGACACAAAGTTATGAGGAAACTATCTAGTTGATGCAGACTCTCTAAATTATGTACATGGCTAAGATAAAATTCATTTATTTTTCTTGACTCATATTTCCATTTACCTGTTATAATGTGTCCACATATGAGTGAAAATGATTGCTCTTAGAACCCAAATGTAGCACTGTCAAAATTTCCAGATGTTCTTAAATAAATTGCCACTGGTTTAGCTCCAATGGTATTACAATTTTATTTTAGTCAAATTTCTTACACAGGATGCTTTTTACTTTTAATTAAATATAAATTACTTGATATTACCCTATGCATTTTGAATATCCCTTTGGGAAAACAAGATGAAAATCACTTTTCTTGGTCAACTTATGTTTGCACACTCATGGTAACCTTGGCACTCAACGCTATCCATAAGAATGCTCCAAATAGATATGTCTGTGAGAAAACACTATATTTCTCTATAGTTTTGCCACTTCATAGGGACAGAGCAATTAGATTAGAAAGAAACTGTAGAGTGGAATAAATTGTTAATTGGTGCTTTGGTAGATTTTAAATAGTTAACTGTAAACATAAACACGTAACAGCAGAAAACTGTTTAAATACTTGTAAATTTAAACCGTTTAAATGTTTGTAACCAGATAAAATTATAAAGTAGCAATGTTTCTCTGCAGTGCCTACCACACATCTCTCCTTCCCATGTTTATCTGGGGACTTCAGGTTGCTCCACAGCCTTCCAGATCATCCTACAGGAGGAGAGACCATGTTCCACTCAGGTCGTGGCCCCATTCCCTTATCCCCGCCTTTTCCTTTAGTTCCTTTGGTACTGGGCCCAGACTTCTTTAAGAGAATCCGGCTCCAAGTTACTGTTTTGTAAACCCCTTCTCTTAATAATTCCTGACAGCAAGCTTAGCTCATTTCCCAGCAACTCTCATACCCATCAGCCAAATTCTAGCTTCCTACACTGCCACAAATCTAGAAAAACCACAGGCTTCTTGCCAGCCTCACCTGTTTTGATCAGTCCATCAATACCCAAAAGCTTCCAATTAAGAAGAGGTTCTTTCACTTTGTTATATCTCACATAACCTACTTCTACTAATTTGTCCGCGAAAATCTATTTATTTTGGACCTTTTATTTCCTACCAACTCCTGAAGGCCATAAGAAAATGAACATGTGTAAACATGCTTGCTCACTTGATATATTAAGAAAAGCTAGCCTATTGAATTAATTTTCAGCCCTTGATTCAAAATTAGAAAGAGAATATAGAAGAACTTTTAAAGAGAGCTTCATAGCACTTGAGCATTATATGCATATTAATCATTTAAGGTTTAAAAGGTTACTTTTCTGGTTTGACAATGTACATAAATTTTGCGCATATATATCAGAGTGGAAGTTTATATGACAAAAAATTTAAAAATAAGTTATTCAACATATAGGTCACCTGTCTTGGCCCATTTTGTGTTGCTATAACAGAATACCACAGACTGAGTAATTTATAAAGAAATTGATTTCTCACAGTTCTGGAGGTGAGGAAGTCCAAGATTATGGTGCTGACATCCGGTGAGAGCTTTCATGTTGTGTCATCTCAAGGCAGAAGGTGGAAGGGCAAGAGAGTGTGAGAGAGCAGGGAGAGAAGGAAAGTCAGACTGATCCATTTATCAGAAATCTGCTTCTGCCATAACTAACCCACTTCTGGGATAATGCTATTAATTCATTGATGAGGGCATTGTCCCCGTGATCCAAACACCTCTCAAAGGTCCCATCTCTCAAAACTGTTGCATTGGGGATGAAGTTTCCAACACATAAACTTTAGGGGACACGTTCAAACCATAGCACTACCTAAAAGTATAATCAGTCAGAAAATATAAGAACTGCAAAAGACACTGTTGAATAGAAAACCAAAAAATATCTGGTTGTTAAAGTATCATATTTAGCAAAGGCCAGAGGCATTATAAAGCAACAGTAAAATAATGAGAATGTATGTAAATGAAAGTTTATTGAGAAGATCTAAGGTAATTGCTGATATCATTTATAACTAGAAGAAAAAAAACAGCTGATGACACAAAAGTAAAAATAATTTAAAAATCTATATGGTGACCCAATAATTTAAGGAAAGGTTGCTTGCTTGCCAAAAAGGAAAGAGCAGCTTCTCTTCACTTTTTCTCCAGTAAGAAAAAAAAATCAAATTAACCAGACACAGTGGCATGTGCCTGTAGTCCAAATTACTTGGGAGGCTGAGGCAGGAGGATCACTTGAGCCCAGGAGTTCATTACAATGAGCTATGATGGCACCACTACACTTCAGCCTGGGTGACAAAGCAAGACCCTGTCTCTTAAAACACAAAAATCAAGAAACTGTTGAGGAGACAAAGACCACAATCTAGAATTTATTAATGAATATTTCATTCCAGTTCATTCAAGTTCGATAGAGATAAATCTTCAGTGAACAGCCATACCTTCCATTTTAATGATTAAGCCAGCGTCCTGATCAGGCAAAACCACCTTGAGAAGAAGCAGTAGTAGGCTCCAAGAGAAGGAACCAAGGTGACTGGCCACGGCTGCACCCTTACAAGGCACCTCAATAGCTGGGTAGGGAAAACTGCCAAGTGCATGCCTGCTTGTGTTCTGAGTAATCAAATGCTGGTGTCTTAAAAATAAATGGAAACAACCATTGGCAGTAGTTGTTTATCTGACATTATAATTTGTTTACCATCCCTCCTATTTTGCCTCTTGATGAAATCTGTATTTTATACTACAGTTATATAAATTAACTTCACTGGAAAGTAATACAAAATTAATAAAATAGACTATTGTCATTGGTGGACTTGAGTTTTCAGGGAGGCATTTGAGGCACTAATTTGAGAAGAAGAAAAAAATCAGTGGAAATGGGAAATCTTTCTCTGGCCCGTACAGGAAAGAAAAAAAAAAAAGATGAAGAAAAGAGAAAAAGCTGTGAACCTTCAAGAAAACAGGAATAAGTCCACTTCCCACTGAATTGGGGGAAAACCAGTGAGAAAAAAAGCAGAAAAAAGTTACAATGAGCACAGTGACTGTCAGTAGGTGACACCGTAATAGAGTAACAGGGCACATCTGGAGACTAGGTGGCATCAAAAGAGGCACCAACAGGTTTATAGAGAGAAATTGACATAGACAATTCAGAGGCATTTGCAGCTGAAAAGAAACAAGGAGACTTGAATTATATTTGGGTAGCGTTATGTTTTATTTTCTGGCATACTTATTAATATAAATTTCTTATAAGAGTACTTGTCCCAAATTTTCCTTAGTTTCAAGTGTTGGGGCAAGGGAACCATACTATCCAGCAATATTCCACAAAATCAGCCAGATGAGTCTGCCAAAATTTGCACTAAGGGTAGTATAAGAATGAGCATTAGGCCAGGCGCAGTAGCTCATGCCGGTAATCCAGCACTTTGGGAGACCGAGGCAGGCGGATTACTTGAGGCCTGGAGCTCGAGACCAGCCTGGTCAATCATGGCAAAACCGCATCTCTACTAAAAATACAAAAATTAGCGGGGCATAATGGCTCATGCTTGTAGTCCCAGCTACTCAGGAGGCTGAGGCACAAGAATCATTTGAACCCGGGAGGCAGAGGTTGCAGTGAGCAGAGATCACACCACTGCACTCCAGTCTGGGCAACAGCGAGACTGACCTCAAAAAAAAAAAAAAAAAAAAAAAAAAAAAAGGATGACTGTTAAACTGTCCTATTCCTTTGGAATTTTATTTTCTTAGGTCTTTGTTTTTCATTTGTATTCTTTCCTCTAAGTTTTTATATTCAAACATATTAAAATTTCCTGTCTTTAAAAAAGGAAAACTTCATTGTAAACAAGGTAGGGATGAAGTGGGACTAAAGGTGAGGATGTCTATTTTACATTAAACATTTTAATTTTTTTAAGCTGTAAGTTTAGTAGGATTTTTTCTTCTCTTTTTAAGTGTGATCAAAATGTCTTGACAGCAAAAGAGCTGCACCAATATTGCTCATCAAAATAGCTTAATCAAAATGTTATGTAGCTAAATAAAAATCCCACTTAAGTCAGATGGGTGTTGGTCTACAGAAACAAAACAAAGTAGCCTATTAAGATAATTGTTTACATAATTTAAGCAAACAGACATGTAATTGCTCAATTTTCTGCCTGATTTGACTAGGGCAGACATAAAAGTAAGCTAGTTGTTTCTAATCTGGTATTAAAGGGTTTAGCATAGGAGATTTGTTAATTCCTTGTTCTTATTGTTTAAAGAAAGAAATGTTAGTTTCATTCCATGTTGCAAAGACAGAGACAGTAACTTTGTAACTCCGGAGGATTGATTTGCTCTTTGGAAAACTGGATTAGTGCATACCCCGGATGTCTGTGAGTCTCACCAAACTGGGATTTGTGATGAACTGAATTACCACCAGTGCCTGAATTTCAGTATCTCATTCACCCCCAGCCATGGAAATGCAAGACTCCTGGTACCCCAAGTGCCTACATTGTGCTGTTGATGTACGCAGGTCTGTGGGTAAGTGAGCACGGGAGACAGCAAGCGCTCTCCAGACTGCATCTACCCAGATGGGCCAGCTAAACTCAGCCTCAGCCTTCTCCTTTTGTTATGAGCTAAACTGTGTCCCCTCAAAATCCATAGTTGAAGCTGTAAGCCCCAGCACCTCAGAGTATGACTGTATTTAGAGATAAAGTCTTCATAGATGTAATTGAGTTAAAATGAAGAATTTTTGGCTAGACACAGTGGCTCACACCTATAATCCCTATAATCCCTGCACTTTGGGAGGCCGAGGCGGGCGGATCACTCACTTGAGGTCAGGAGTTTGAGACCAGCCTGGCCAACATGATGAAATGCTGTCTCTACTAAAAATATTATATGTATATGTATATATATTAGCTGGGCATGGTGGCTTGAGCCTGTAATCCCAGCTACTCGCGAGGCTGAGGCAGGAGAATCACTTGAACCCAGGAGGTGGAAGTTGCAGTGAGCCAAGATCACACCATTGCCCTCCGGCATGGGCGACAGAGTGAGACTGTCTCAAATTAAAAATAAAAAGAAAAAAGAGAGAAAAGAAAATTTGTTAAGGGTGTGCCCTAATCCAGTCTGACTGGTATCTAGAGGAAATTTGGACACATAAGAAAACAGCATGGATGCACTCACACAGAGGAGAGACCACGCGAGGACACAGTGAGATGACGACCATGTGCGGGCCGAGGAGAGACGCCTCAGCAGAAACCAACCCAGCTGACACCTTCGTCTTAGACTTCTAGCCTCCGGAACTGTGAGGACATGAATTTATTTTGCTTCAGCTGTCCAGTCTGTGATATTTTGTGATGGGAGCTCTCACAGACTGATACACCATCCATAGTCATCCCAGTGGTTCCTGGGAGTCTCCACAGAGATGGGACAGATATGATTCTGTTCTTCCTTCTGGCTTCTTTGTCGTCTTGAATATTGCTCTCTCCTAGAAATAACAGCAACTGGCCGTTAACTGGGTGACTTACTAGTGAGAGCAGAACCAGAGCTTTCTGCCTACCCTATGACCCACCTACAGGTGAGAAAACTAGAAATTCTAAAGAAGAATTCGAGTCGTTGAGATGCAGAACTGTCAGCCAGATTAGGAGGGAGGGCCTGGGGTGCTTCCTACTCAAGCCAATTGTGAGGGCTTCCTGAGGAGCAGAGTGTGGGCCAATCTCGCAAGAAGGATCAATAAACAGTGTCTTTCTCCCCAGCTGGTTGGATACTTAGATGAAGGACCTGGACACTGCTGCCCCTGTGAGCCCAGAGTGGGACACCATGAGCGAGTTCCTGGGAGATCCTGATTGAAGTCCCCTGGAGTTTGGAGACACATGGGAAGTTAAAAACTGAGGCAAACTCTTGCCTAAAGAACTCTGAAGGCATGAGGCTGGGGAGCTTCCCATGATGACAGTGCTGAGAAAGAGGTCTACAGAGTGAGCAGCCCATGCTTACACCATCTGTTGGGCAAGGATACATGGTTTTCCCTGGGGCCAAGTGGAAAGACAGCCCTGAGGAGAGCTAGACTTGAGTCACCTTGAAAAGGTCCCACGAAAAGGGTTAGCAGGGTTGAGGAGGCCCCACCAGGAGACCACCCCAACGTAACAGGAAGAGAGGATGCAGAGTGGGGGAGGATGTGATGGAGAAAAGTGAAAGCACAAACCAGTTCCCAGGTCAGGTCTGAGCAGGCCGGGAGGCTAACACAAATATAAGATAGAGGTTGTGATTTACATTGAATCAGACTTCTTCATACCTAATAGTAAGACTGTTCTTATATGTGAAAGTCACTGAAAAGCCATGGACTCCAGCCAAAGACGACAGCCAGGAGTGTGGAAGGGAAATGGGACAGTTCATGTTTGAAGATGAGGATGGGAGGAGAAAGGGAGCTTTAGCCTTAGTGTACTGTAGCAAATTCAACCCTTTCAAATTTTAGCTCTAACCACCTTGGACAGACACCATTGCAGCCCTCAATTTTCATCTCTCCGAGATGGTTCCCACCCCCTGCCTCACCATGCACAGAGCCCTTTCATTTTCTTTCAAAAACGATAGCAGTGTCCTGATAAATATCAGTTCATGAGAATATAAATGCTTAAGACGTTTGCTATTCCAATACAATGAGACTCAACTTTGAGATCACCTGGCACCACCATAGCAGTAATTAATCTACATTTAAACCACCAATCAAGATCAATGCCAAGTAGAAATAGTTACTAGAGAATGGAAGTACAGATGAGAACTATCTCAATGAAAATGTCTCCAAAATTCCAGGCTGTGATCTGGATGCAATGCAATTGCTTACATAGGTCAGAAATCAAGGGAAAAAATTTACCAGCTCTCTGGTCCCATCATGAAAGGGTGATGGATTGAGGGTATTAACTACTGGAAATCGCAGGGGACCAAAGACACCAGTTTTGTGGAATAAAGTAAGTTTGAGATAAAGCGCAGTACAGACGGTCAAGGTAATGCTGCCTTTTGCTTCACCTTCAGAAGCTGAGGGTAACAAGGTTATCTTTTGCTATGAGATGCTTTGATTTGAGTCAGCCAAGTGTAGGGCTTTGGTATTTGACAAATAAGGACTCTTTCTCCTTTGCTGAACACCTGGTTTAATGGTAATATATCATCATTTTTATTTGTCAAAACAATTTTTAAATTATTCATTTCCTTTTCAAGTTTGCTTTGCCACAAACCTCAACTTCCCAGCCCTCTAAATAGGGATACCTGTGTTATGCATTTGTTGATAGGAAAAAAAAATAGGTCCTTTAGCCTCTCATTCCTGATAAGATTTTACTCCTTAGTTCAATAATCTTCCATGAATGGGGTAAAAACAACCAAAATTTTGGAAGCACTAGAGAGCATTTCCTTTGTCATTAACACCCAAGAAATAGTACAGAGAACTGAAGATACCTCTCCAATTCTCCCAGTAAAATGCATAGAGAAACAACAGCATATGGATAGACTCTTGCATTTAAACAAAGGAGAGACCTCTGTAAGCTTCTATTATTATGGGTGGTATCCTACCTATGAATGATTTATAAAGTGGAATTTGTTTGTTTCTCTGAATTGTTTTGAGGATCGATTTGCTTCTAAGTTTGTTCTGTATCTAAAAGTGATATTAAAATAGTCTCCCATAGGCAAAGGGTGACATTAGCAAAAGACTGTGCTTTTAATACTCCATGAAACAGGCATTGATTTCTATATCTGTTTAATAATAAATGTTAAATGACCCTGGAAGCAGAGACACATCTCCAGTGTCTAATAAAATAAACAATGTTTACTTCTTTGAAATTAAATTCTTTAATCAAAGATCACTGTAGGGAAATACAGCATTGACGTCTTCCAAAAATGTCAGAAGAGTGAAGAAAGACTACAAAATTAATAACTTATACATACTGTATTTTGCAAATGATAGTGGTTATACATGTGCCAAATTATTTTTGAAAAATCAAATTTACTTGTAATTGGTTTCATAGAATAATAGTATTTTCCCTATACCCTTGGAATTTGTAATTAGCCTCTGTAGTTCTCTAAGTCACAGAAATTTCTTTTTTATGCTTGGCAACTGAATTATCATATTGATTGTTTTGACAATTTGAAAATAGCTACCTTAAATGATGGGCAAGACACACCACTAGATGTTGTTGTACAATTTTTAAATCCATGTATTCACTCATTTGGCCCAGTTGTAGTCTTCAAATATTATTCCTTACGCAAACCTCCTACATACGTCCCTTATTTTATCAACTTTCCTTTAAATTTATCTATACAATTTCTCTTTCCTTATCTATAAGTATTTTAATTATTTTCTACTTTCTCATCTAGTTCTTCATTCTTTTATTTTCTTCATTTGCTCCCAAATGACTTTCTCTACTTTGGAGAATGTCATGAGAGTTGGACTCGAGCCATTTATGTGTTTAGAACAGCATTTTCCCAATTCCTCCAATATTTTCATTGCTATTTAGAAAGGCATTTGAAACTCTCCCATCCAAGTAGTCTTTTCTGGCTAACTCAAGCTGAATCCTAAAAGATGAATAAGTCACCTATTATTCTCCTAAGGAAACTCCTGCCTTCCTCTTACAGTTATACCTAGTGATGAGGCTGGATAGGACCTCACCAACCATCTCTAGCAGGGTGGGCACACTGGGGGAGTAGAGGACTTGCAATCAGACCTGTCATTAGAATTCCATCAGCCTGGAGGGTTGCGTGGAGGTGCTCTGCTACAGGTACTGAAGTTATATCCAAGTCATTAGCAGAACAAAATATTCAGAAAAGAGTGTAGGACTCCGTAGCTCCCTATAGCAGGCTCACTGGGCTCTCTAGCCTCACAGTGGAGCAAAGCACAGTGACAAGAGATTCAGAAGCAGGCAAAGCCCAGAGACTCAGCAGGCAGGAAAAGGGCTGAATTTAGGTGGTCTTCTAACAAATAGCCAGGCCTCTCCAGGTCATTGGCTGGTCTTAGAAAATGGGGAAAGGTTGAGCCTCCATGTAGGATCTGGTGCAGAGGTAGATTTCCCATGAAACTAAGGAAAAAAGCTTAAGGGACCCTTACTTGCACAAGGCACTTACAAAACCCCAGGAGAGGCAATGCAATGCATATTAAAAAGTGCTGTCAGTTCAGAGAATATTAAAGACTAATTGCTGCACAAAACATTTGCATTGCCCTGAAATCTTAGTGCTCATATAAGAAACCTGACAGCAGTTTTAACAAATTTGACGATAATCTTGCACATTTACCTGACAATATGGCTTACAACTTTGTAAAAGTAAACCCTTAGACACATTAAATGTAACAAAGCTTAAATGAACAAAGAATGATTTGCAAATCCGGCAGCCCCCAGACCAGAATAGGTTCAGGGAGGCTCCAGCACTACGGCCCAGTCAAAAAAGGTTTGTGGATCAAAAAAAGAAAAGGGACACACAGAAAACAGAAGTACAGAAACAGCCAGATTGGTTACAGCTCAGTGTTTGCCTTATTTGAACATACTTTGAACAGTGCCCACCTTTGGCTGAAACTCAGTGATAGGCACAAGAGTAGGTTACAGCCTGTTCACACATCCAGTTAGGCTACAGTTCACTAGGTACAGGGAAACCTTTAAAATATATAAAAAGGCAGCTTTAGACTAAACTTTTTTTTAACAAAGTCGTAATGTAAGCAGACAGAGGAGCCCCAGGGACTATGGGAATTTAATCAAATTGAGCAATCAGCCTGTTTTACAGCCTCCTGCCTTGCAGCCTGTTTTTCCCCAAACCCAGTGTGGAATTTGGTCAGCTGGAACCAGCCACTGACAGATCCTGGCAACATATAGATGAACCCAAGTGAACTTTCCCCATTACCATGCTAAAATCTCCACCCCAGCAGGGGCTATAGCGTCATTACCATAACATGTGACATATGTGCCAGCATCATGACTCATGCATCTGCGCCACTCGGACCCCGCCCCTACATGCGATGATGCACTCTCTCCCCTCTCCATCGCCCCATAAAACTCTCCTGTCACTTTCCCCTTTGGGGACACTGCTTTGGAGAATCCCCCCAGGGTTCTCCTTACTTGAGACAAATAATAAAACTCCTATAGCTCAAAACCTGTGTTCTCTGGCAGAGTCATTTTTTACTCACCAGGCAAATGAGCCCTGGTTTTTTTCAGGTAACAATAAACCTGAAACTTTTCTAATCTATCAGTAACAAAGAAAAATATTTTGAAAAACTAGGTTAGAGGAAAGACTGAGTTTTCTATTGTCTATGGAAAACAATGTTGTAAAATTGCAGTCCTGTGAAGAGCCAATTCAAGAGTAAAAGCCAGGATCACTTGAGTCCAGGAGATGGAGGTTGCAGTGTGAGCCAAGATCGCACCACTGTACTCCAGCCTGGGTGACAGAGTAAGACCCTGTCTCAAGAAAAAAAAAAAAAGAAATAAAGAAAGAAAAAAAAAGAGTAAAAGCCAAATTGTAAGGGGAAAGTGTCAATGAACAAAGTCAAACTCTATAAAGTATTTGAAGAGATTTATTCTGAGCCACATATGAGTGACCAGTGATTAATGACACAGCCCTCAGGAGACCCTGAGAACATGTGCCCATGGTGATCAGGCTACAGTTTGGTTTTATACATTTTAGGGAGACATAGACATCAATCAATACATGTAAGAGCTACATTGGTTCAGTCTGGAAAGGCACAACTCAAAGCCTGGGAGGCTTCCAGGTCATAGGTAGATTTAAAGATTTGCTGATTGGCAATAGGTTGAAAGAGTTAAGTTATTGTCTAAATACTTAGAATCAATAGAAGGGAATGTCTGGGTTAAGATAAGGGGTCAGCCGGGAGCAGTGGCTCATGCCTGTAATCCTAGCACTTTGGGAGGTTGAGGCGGATGGATCACCTGAGGTCAGGAGTTCAAGACCAGCCAGCCTGGCCAACATGGTGAAACCCCGTCTCTACTAAAATATAAAAATTAGCCAGGTATGATGGCAGGTGCCTGTAATCCCAGCTACTTGGGTGACTGAGACGGGAGAATCGCTTGAACCCGGGAGATGGTGGTTGCAGTGAGCCGAGATCACGCCATTGCACTCCGGCCTGGGTAGATGAGCAAGACTCTGTCTCAAAAAAAAAAAAAAAAAAGGTAAGGGGTTGTGGAGACCAGGGTTCCTATTATGCAGATAGAATCAGTAGAAGGGAATGTCTGCGTTAGGATAAGGGGTTGTAGAGACCAAGATTCCCATTATGCACAGGAAGCCTTCAGGTAGCAGGCTTCAGAGAGAATAGGTTGTAATATTTCTTATCAGAGTTGATTCTCTCCTGGATCAGGAAAAAGGTCTAGAAAAGGAAGGGGTTTCTCTTCAGAATGTAGATTTTCCCCACAAGAGACAGCATTGCAGGACTATTTTAAGAGATGGTAAAGAAACATAATTTGGGGTAAAATACATTAATTTCTTTCAGGGCCTGCCATCTGTCATGTGATGCTATACTAGAGTCAGGCTGGAATTTGTTATCTTATTGCTACATGGAGTCTCCTTTGTTAGTCTTAAGATCTGTTTTAATGTTAATGCAGGTCAGCTGGGCCTGAATTTCAACAGGGAGGAGGAAATAATGAGGAATGTCTGTCTCTTGATTCCCATCATAGCCTAAACTGGTTTTTCAGGTTAACTTTAGATTGCCCTTGGCCAAGAGGAGGGGGTCCATTCAGATGGTTGGGGGGGCTTAGAATTTTATTTTTGGTTTACAAAAGTATTGCAGAGATGTGTTAGAAAAGTAACAATTTAAAAATATTATGTTGTATTTCTAGATTGTATACTGTTTGTGATACTTGTTACCTTTTAAGATATATCATGTTATTTTTTCTCATTCTAAATATTTACTTTAATAGCTAATTTTGTATTGTTTTTCTTAAGCAGATTCCACCAAATTACATAAGCTTCAGCCTCCACAAACTCTGAATCTGACCCTCATCAAGTGGGCTGTGCTAAGAAGCTGGGTGGAATGAGCTTGGCCTGGCCTGCCACCTATCATTATTTCCAAGTATGTAATTGTTGACCTAAAAGGAAGATGCTGAGGCAAAATTAACAAAAGCAGAGAGTTTACTTGGGCCAAGTTTGAGGACTGCAACCCAGGAGCATAGATTCAAGGTGCCATGAATATACACTCTGATTAGCAGCAGTTACAAGTACATTTTTTTTTTTTTTTTTTTTGAGATGGAGTTTCACTCTTGTTGCCCAGGCTGGAGTGCAATGACACGATCTCAGCTCACCACAACCTCCACCTCCTGGGTTCAAGCAATTCTCCTGCCTTATCCTTCCGAGTAGCTGGGATTACAGGCATGTGCCACCACGCCTGGCTACGTTTGTATTTTTAGTAGAGACAGGGTTTCTCCATGTTGGTCAGGCTTCTCCATGTTGGTCAGGCTGATCTTGAACTCCCGACCTCAGGTGATCCGACCACCTCAGCCTCCCAAAGTGCTGGGATTATAGGCGTGAGCCACCGCCACCCAGCCACAAGTAAATTTTTAAAGGAAACATTTAAAAATTTTGTTTATCAAAAATTTACATTAAAATAACATATTATTGATTGGCTATATACTGTTCTTTGTATCACAAATTCCAGGAACATGAAGATAATGGGTGAGGCAACTAGTTAGGAACCAAACAACTTTAAACAATTCCCCGTAGGCATGGGTGTGTGTGTGGTGGAGTTTGACAGAAGCCCTATACTCGAGTCTTTTGGGGCCTGATAAATTTTATGCACCTCACATAGCTCAGGATGCTCTGAGCAATTTTTCTTCTCTCATAATCCATGAAGATACAATGTTTAAGGCTTTAGTTAAAACTACACAAGACTGACTTATACTTCAGTGTTTTGTGGGGAGATGTTATTAAAGCCAAACAAGGATACTTGTGTGAGAAGCTAGCCCACCTCTCAACCAGTCTTCTTCTGGGCCACACAGCTGGACTACATTTCCCAGGCACCCTTGCAGCTCCATGTGGTCACGTGAATGAGTTCTAGCCAATGGAATGCAGATGATGGAAGCAATGTACAGCCCTTCCAGACTTAAGCCATGAAAACCTCCCACAATTGCTCACCTATTTCTTCCCTTTTCACTGGCTTAATGCACATGAGCACAGTGACCTTACAAGCCACTGTCAAACATGGCAGAGCCACACAATGAAAGGAAGTTAGGTCTCTGATCCACTGCTTGGAAGAAAACTAAATTTGAACTCTTATTCTTCCAGTTAGCAAGAAATAAACTTTTTATTCTTAAAACACTGGGATTCAGAGGTTTATCTGTTACAACAGCTAATAATATCTCAGTGAATACTGCTTCTGTTAGTGGACAAATAGCACTCCTCTTAAATTATGTTATAAGATCCTACTTGCTTGTGTATAAACATACGTATATTAACGTATATGTTTTGTGCAGATAAACATATGAAAATAAATATGTCTGAAGTCACATTTTCTCTCTTGTAGGTCCCATTTTACATTACTAGTTAATTATAGGCTACAGCAGGGGTCCCCAACCCCCAGACCACGGACTGGGGCTGCACAGCAGGAGGTGAGCGGCAGGTGAGTGAACATTACCGCATTACTGTCTGAGCTCCTCCTCCTGTCAGATCAGCTATAGCATTAGAGTCTCATAGGAGTGTGAACCCTATTGTGAACTGTGCATGTGAGAGATCTAGGTTGCCTATTCCTTACGGTAATCTAACTAATGCCTGATGATTTGAGGTGGAACAGTTTCATCCCCAACTATCCCCTCCTCTTCCCCTGCCATCCACGGAAAAATTGTCTTCCATGAAACCAGCCCCTGCTGCCAAAAATATTGGGGACTGCTGGGCTACAGTATGTGATTAGCATTTCTGATATTTGGGTATTTGAGCAGGTACTAAAATTTCTGAAGAAATAGACCTATCCCAATCAGTGTAATAGACCTTTAAAGATTGTGACTTTCTCTTTATTAGCATATTTAGGCTCAGATCTTCCAAAGATTCTAGAGAAAGAATTCCTGCATTGGGATGGAGGTTGGCATAGACAACATCTATGCTCTTTGTCAACCCTGATTATTTCTAGGTTTCACATCCTAAGTACAAAGCATGGTTTCACAGGACTCCCTGGATCAAATTACATTAATGATAAAAATTCATGTTTTAATGCACTTGCCCTAACTGACTGCTATGGTTTGAATGAATCCTCAATGTGGGATTATTCAGAGGTGGGGACTTTAAAAGTGATTGGATCCTGAGGGTTCTGACCTTATGAATTGATTAATCCACTCATGGATTCATGGATTAAAAAATTAGTGGGTTATCTGCTGGGCACGGTGGCTCATGCCTGTAATCCCAGCACTTTGGGAGGCTGAGGCTGGTGGGTCACCTGAGCTCAGGAGTTCGAGACCAGCCTGACCAAGACGGTGAAACCCCCGTCTCTACTAAAAATAGAAAAATTAGCCGGACATAGTGGCAGGTGCCTGTAATCCCAGCTACTCGGGAGGCTGAGGCAGGAGAATTGCTTGAACCTGGGAGGCAGAGGTTGTAGTGAGCCAAGATCGCATCACTGCACTCCAGCTTGGGCAACAGAGTGAGACTCCATCTCAAAAAATAAAAAAAATAAAAAAAATTAGTGGGTTATCATGGGAGTGGGACTGATGGCTTTATAAGTAGAGGAAAAGAGACTTGAACTAGTATATTGACATGCTAAGTCCCCTCGCCAAGTGATACCTTGTGCCACCTTGGTGTTCTGCAAAGAGTCCCTACCAGCAAGAAGTCTCTCAACAGATGTGCCCCCTCCACCTTGTACTTCCCAGCCTCCATAACTATAGGAGTAAATTCCTTTCCTTCATAAATTACCCAGTTTCAGGTATTCCATTGTAAACAACAGAAAACAGACTAAGACAGTGGCTCATGCAGGCTGTAAGCTCATACTACGTCTGGCCTTACCGTCACCCAGGGAGATACCTCACATCTGCTTAGAATTAAGTCCTTTCAGCTTCTCCTTCTTCTGGCTACTAGGGTTCCTTCCAAGGACTCAGCTTCTGCTAGCCACCAGTGGCACATCTGCAGGACACAAATGCTGGGTCCCAGGATAGAAGTACCAGAAGAGAGGCTGAACACTGCACATGCTTCCAGGCCCCCACAGGTGCTTCCCCTACAACCCCATCATATCTAGTGTGTGCCACTGTAGCAGCTCTGGGCTATTGCTCGTTCTGATGAGCACCATGGCCTCTGCCAATTCCCTGTTACTCCCATTGAGAACAATGACCTGTTACTCAGCACAGCTCTAAAAGGACAAAAAGATCTGTGGGGAGGTGGCAGGAAATACCCCTTTCAGCCTTTTCTTATTCTCATCTATGGCACCCCCTTGCCTTAGAAAATTGTAAGTCTTTGAGTTTTTTACACCTTTTATACTTTTAAGTTTTTATACTTTTTATATCTTAATAGTTTCCAGTCCCTACAGCCAGATATGAATCTATGTGATTGGGTTAGAAATACTTTGAATTATAGATATTTCTTTTTACTCAGAGACATGCCTTCCCTATCACTTAAGAGTCCTGGCTCTGTCTACCCTCAGGATGAGTTTTCTTCCAGGAGATACCTCAGAATATCGTGCAGATACCCTCTAGGTGAGCTCAATTGGCTAGACCTGCTGGAATCCCAGCTCAGGCTTGGGTGTAGTGACCCTGAACCAGGTGTCCAGTTAATAAACATGCTCTGTACACACCTAATTCTCCAAGAGAATAGACCCTTCAGTATTTCTGATGTTTCTCTGAACTTTCTCGATGACAAGTCTAGGCAAATGAAAGACCCTAACATAGTGGACATAAGCAAGATTTCAAAGCATGAAGCTAGAATGGGATTCCTAGTGTCAGTCTAGTACCTTTTAATATCAATTCTCTGAAATGAGAATAAAGTTAATATTTATTTTATTCTATTACTACTGTGAGCCATTAAAATTGGATTTTTGGAAAGCAAAAGGAAAGGAGGAAGGGAGGGAAGGAAGGAATAGAAGGTGTGTAGAGGCTATTCACTAATTTGCTCTCTGAAACACTTAGGGGAAGAAAGAACTTTAAAAGGATCATGGAGATCAGATTTTTAAAAAATTTACCTTCTTAATCTTATATTTTCTAGCATTTTCTCAAACCTATTTGACCCACTCCTCACCTCCAAACATTATTGAGCAGCCATTATGATCCATAAATAAGAGATTAAAAGATTTAAGTGTAATTAATGTGACATTGATTTTGAATCTAATTCTTACACTATAAAATGATTTTTTTTAAAAAACAACAACTTGGCATGCTTAGGTAATATGTATGCCCCTTCCCAACTAGGTGTATATTAAAAAGGTTAAGAGTGACAATAATCTAAATTATGAAAGAATCCAGGCATTCTTATAATGTGCTTTGACCTATGGATACAAAAGGTCAAATGAAGCAGCAGCAGTGTACTGTATTTCTTTTCTGAAAAATGAAATGGGAATTATACAGTACTAATGTACAGCACTTAAAAAAGGGAATGGAACTAGCTATCACAGTATGTTAGGAAATGACTGGTGCTTTTCCAAAAAACATCAGGAGAACAGACTTATTTCTGAGGTATTTGAAATCTGACAACCTCAATCTGTGATAATGAACATTCTGTCTGTGGGCTGAAGCAATCAATGGCTTCCCAGGCGAGGCCTTTGACCTACTTCATGACTGCTCTCCAGTTCACCTCTCAGACAAAATGGCACTGCAGTTACCACCACCACAGAAACGACCCACAGACTTGAATGACGGTGACCTGACTTAATAAGGAAGAGAAAAAAGGTGTAGATGACACCAATCACAGCTGCCTCACCTAACAGCAATAACTAATATCCAAACTAAATAAACTGGTGAGGTTCAAACTGGTTGGCATGCCTTTCTTACACAAAAGTAAGTCACAAAAATTGAAGGGTTTACAAACCATGCTTGCCAGTTACCCTCTCCTGCAGCACTGAGACTAGAGCAGGATCTACAGCTTTTATGGGTTTTGTAAATAAAGATGTATTGGAACATGCTCATTAGTTTACACCATGCCTTGACTACTGTCCATGACAACAGCAGATGTCAGTAGCTGAGACAGAGACTGTACTCCCCACAAATTCTAAAAGATTTATTATCTGGTCTTTTACAGGAAAAAAAATTGCCAGTCCCTGGACTGGAGGGACAGAGCTGAGGAAGTGGTGGTATTTGCCACTGGAAAGTGTAAAACCATGGACACCCTCTCCAGCATCTTCTTTTATTCCTGAGCGCATAAAATAGTCTCTGGGAGGGAAATGAAGTGGAACAGACTATAGAAAAATTATGCTTCTCATAATGAAAGAAGAAAAGCCTGCAGGAAAGGAACAAGAGGCAAATATGCTATTTATGGTACACCATTCTGCTGTTTGCTCCAAGATTTTTCTTCAGCCCAACTACTGTTCCCCACTCAGAGTGAAAGCTTCTATATACAAACTAACAGAAAAGATGGATCAATGATCTTCTGTTTTGGAGATGAAAATGTAATTTCTTAAATAAAATAATAAATAAGAAATTAATACGAATAAAAATAAAGCAAAGAAAAGCAACACAACAGAAAAAATGGCTCATCCTCCAGTGATATGTATCTAGAATGTATAAAATTTTATAAATTTATAACATTTAAAATTTTATACATGCTAGATATATATTCATTCAACACATAATTTCGTCTCCTTAAACCACCTAAAAAAAAGGCAGAAAAGGGCATTAGCTAAAAATGTCAAGCATAACTTGAAATGTGAGGTAGTGCCCGGAGAAGCATCTGTATACTAATCAAAAACCAATTTTTGAGACAGCAGGTCTAGAACATAGAGATAAGGGAGGTGGCTACACTGACAAAGAAGGAAGGCAAGACTGCTGCTAGTGGAGGTCTGAGCTTCTAGTCGTTACTTCTCATGGCACAACTACACCCACGGCAGAGCAGCTTCAGGGACCTCTTTTCACTGGAATTGTGTGCAGGGCTCATTGGCCAGGAGAGCCGCCCTGATTCCATGGGGAGCATCTTACTTCACTAAAGTGAGGTAATTCTGTACCATCCTCTTTGCCCCTTGGACAGCCCTTTGTTACCAGATAAGAAAAGATATAAATAGAAGAAATAATAAAAACATTTTAAGAAGCCATGTATCTCTAATTTCATTATCTGTTAAACCCTACATAGCTCTAGGTTAAAACAATATTTTATGGAGGAAAATTTTAAACCTTAATTAGGTCTTTAGAATAAAATCTCAAAACAGAAATTATATACTAAATGATTAGTAGAACTGATTTATGTAGTAAATGATTAGTAGAACTGATTTAGTATTAAAAAATGTTCATGGAAGGAGGCAGAGGATCAGTAAAAAATCAGGTACTTTGCTTATTACCTAGATGATGAAATAATCTGTACAGCAAATCCCCGTGACACACAGTTTACCTACCTAACAAACCTGCACATGTACCCCTGAACATAAAAGTTAAAAAAAGTTTAAAAATGTAATAACACACTGGGATTATATTTGAAACATAAATAAGAGACAAAAGATGAAAATCCCTAATGTATAAAGATATTTTATAAATCAGTGAAAAATAGAGATAGCTGTAAAATAAGTGAGGATCATGAATAATCAATTTATGAAAGAACAAATGGCTAATAAACATTTTAAAAGTTCAGTCTAAATAGTAAACAAAGGGCAAGATATGGTGGCTCATGCCTATAATCCCAGCATTTTAGGAAGCTGAGATGGGAGAATCACTTTAGCCCAGGAGTTTGAGACCAGCCTGGGCAACAAAGCGAGACCCTGTCTCTACAAAAGTTTTTTAAAAAAACTAATAAGGCATTGTGGCATGCACCTGTAGTCCCAGCTACTTGGAAGGCTGAGGTGGGAGGAGCACTTGAGCCCAGGAATTCAAGGCTTCAGTGAGCTACGATTTCACCAGTCCACTCCAATCTGGGTGACAGAGTGAGACTATATCTAATAAAAAAAAATAGTAAACACAGAAATACAAATAAAAGAGATCATGGAAATATTATCTACTAAAAGCTTAACAGTTTTTCTATTATTAGTAGTGATCTGCTATCTATCTGCAATGGATTTTTATGTATGGTATGAGATAGGCTCAAATTTCTTTCTTTTTTTTCCCACATGGAGTCAGTTATCTCAGCACAGTCAATAAGGCTGTTCATTCTCCGCCTTTTTGTGATGTCTTATTCTCATGAATTATATGACCTTACATATAGGTTGTGCTTCTGGACTCTATTCTGTTCCATCTATTTGTCCAGCCCTGTATAAATGTCACACTATATTAATTACTATAGTTTTTAAATAAATCTTGATGTATGCTAAAGCAAAAAGCCTTGAAACAATGAGCTATACAGTACCTATCAAGTTGGAAGGTATTTTTTTTTTTTTTGAGACAGAGTCTCACTCTGTCACCTATGCTGAAGTGCAGTGGCGTGATCCCAGCTCACTGCAACCTCTACCTCCCGGGTTCAATTGATTCTTCTGCCTCAGCCTCCCAAGTAGCTGGGATTGCAGGCGCACGCCACCATGCCCAGCTAATTTTGTATTTTTAGTAGAGACAAGGTTTCACCATATTGGCCAGGCTGGTCTCGAACTCCTGACCTCATGATCTGCCCACCTCGCCCTCCCAAAGTGCTGGGATTACAGGCGTGAGCCACTGTGCCCAGCTGGAAGGTAATTTTTAAATGATATCAAATGTATTCTTTATGGTGAAGATCATAATCGCCCAAAGGTTCTTCATGACCACTGCACAGACAAAACCAGTCCACTAAAACTGTGGTATTGCAGTAAAGAAAGAGTTTAACACGAAGCCAGCCACACAGAAGAACTGGAGCTATCAATCAAATCAGTCTCCCCAAGGGCTGAAAGGTTAGGGTTTCTCAAGGACAGCTTGGTGAGCAGGGGACTAGGGAATGTGTGCTGCTGATAGGTTGGTGATGCAATCATAGAGGTGTGGAAAACAGTCCTCATGTACTGAGTTTGCCCCTGGGTAGGGGACTACAGGGCCAGTGGAGACATGAGTCACAAGTCCAGGTAGGGTCAGTCTGAAACACCTCTCAAAAACCCAATAATGATATTATTTATAGAAACAATTGGGGAAGTCACAAATCTTGTGACCTCTGGCCACATGACTCCTGAGCAAGCA
Source organism: Homo sapiens (assembly GCF_000001405.40). Taxonomy (NCBI): domain Eukaryota; kingdom Metazoa; phylum Chordata; class Mammalia; order Primates; family Hominidae; genus Homo; species Homo sapiens. Next base: position 36,625,737 of record NC_000002.12, read on the forward strand.
GTAAGGGATATAGAAACTATACCTACGTAGCATCGGGAGATACACCTAATGCTAGATGACGAGTTAGTGGGTGCAGCGCACCAGCATGGCACATGTATACATATGTAACTAACCTGCACATTGTGCACATGTACCCTAAAACTTAAAGTATAATAAAAAAAAAAAAAAAGAAACTATGCCTACGTTTTAGCAGAATTCAGGCCCCTCTTATAATCCTAATCTTGTGACCTTTTATTAGTCTTACAAAAAAAGGGGATCAGTTTTAGGGAGGAACTATTATCATCCTTGCTTTGAAGTTAAGCCATAAACTAAATTCCTCCCATGGTTAGTTTGGCCTATGCTCAGGACTGAGAGAAGACAGTCAGCCTGTGAGACTAGAAGCAAGATGGAGTCAGCCATGTTAGATTTCTCTCACTGTTATAACCTTTGCAAAGGCGGTTTCAATTCCCACCCTGGGTTTCGGCATACCTCATTCCTGAGGTGTGAGCTACAGAGATGGGAAAAGGCCAACAATCAGTTTAACTTTTCTGCTGACAGGGGCATAGTTGGGGTCAGGGTTGGGTCTGGAGTGAGAAGAATGAAACCACTTTGCAGTTGTCTACATAACTTTGTGTTGGAGTCCCAAGGTCTACATAACAAAAAGCAATAGTATTCTTATCCACACAGGCTTAGTACAGCGCTTAAGAGAACAGCAGACTATAAGACAAATGATGAGCCCAAACATAAGAGTGAAAGTTCTAGTTTCAGAAGTTCCCATAGAACTAATCTGAAGCTTTGAGGGATCCAGGTGAATGATCCAAGAACCAATCAGATATTAGGTCATCAACAGAGACTCAAAAATAATAGACGAGGCCGAAATCTAGTAAGAGGTATACTATCATTTTTCTAAAGCATAATTTTTCTCTCTCCAATTTTTCATTTCTACCAAAGACAAATCAAAGCAGGATCAATTTATTTGCAAAATAAGTTTCAGTCTTATTACAGTTTGCCTAATTATTTGCATAAAGTGCACAAGAATAATTATTTGCCATATAGGCTCTTTTTCAAAAATTTGGCTTTGCTGAATTTTTTTTTAATATACAGAACATCAGAGTAGACTTTTGAAAAGCCTCTTGAGCTCAGCCAAGGATTTATCTGTACCCGCAAATATCTGTGTGGGTTGGGTGAATTCCCCTCTTCTCAACATTCCAAAATAACTTGGGGTTCCTGGGCTGTCAGAAAATGACATTCTTTACTTACCACAGGCTAGGAACCCTTTTCAGGACCAGACATGAGGCCAGTTCTTCCAAGGGCCTTTTATCAGCTCTATAAGTCAACATTCATTCCTAAAAGTAGTCTGAAAACATGTCATTCTAGTCAAAGCCTTGGTAAAATAACCAGCGTCTCGAATTGTGTCCTGTTAACAAAACAGATTTTTACTGTACTTACGTAAATAACCATATTGCCATAAGTTAAGAATACTCACAATACTCCAAATTCTAGAGAAATTAGGCAGAGAGAAAGAAATATGTTTTACATTTTGCTCAATTGTTAGAAGCTATAAATAACTCAAAAGAAAAGAAGTTTTCTTGACTCTGAAAAGCAAAACAAAAAAATCAGCAAAGTTTTAAGCAAAAAGTCATTAAAAGATTATTTCAGTATTCTGTTCATTCAGTCCATGTGAATGGACTGTTCTACTTGATACTGGATCAGCAATCCTTATGGAAACATCAGCTTTCCATGAGAGTACTGGAAGTTTTTTTCTCTATTCCAATAGTACAATTTCTAAAGTTATCAGGAACCTGCATTCAAGAGCACGCAACAAAGTCCTATAGCTGATTATAAAACCACCTTTTGAGAAGGATCAAAGTAAAACAACAATTGTGGACGACAAGCATCTTAGAACAATCGTGGTTAAAAATACAACTGACAAGCAAATTTCTTTATTTTTGTGGCATACAATGATTTAACATAATCATAATTATTGTTGATAAAATACACAAAGTCATATTAGACTTACAGGAGTCTCACTACAATTCTGGAACACACACAAATAACACATTCATACAAATATAACCCAAAGAAAGTCAAACACTATTTCATACTTAACAATGCTTTTTGTGTGATTTTCACATACCAAATAAGGCAAATGTGCCTTTTGGACTTCAGGGAGCCTAATACCTAAAAGGTTAATGAGGCCAAAAGGGTTGAATTTAGAACCTGAGATTTTGATTTTGGAAGGTTTGTCAAATACCAAAGGTTTAAAACACTTTATATCGCAAAATAGAATCACAGGTTATTTAGCTGAAGTGATAACTCAAAAATTTCAAAGAGGCAAAAAACCTTTACTCTTTGATAGAGGAGACAGCTTTCCAAACAACAAGACTCAATAAAGACAGCATGAGGTCAACTGAACCTGAACCTCTCTCTTCTCTTTCCCCTCTTTTCTCTCCTTTTTACCTGCAGTGTACTCAAAAGGCAAAAAAATAAAAAATAAAAAATAAAAATCTTTCATCATCTCAATATTACATAAAAATTGTGTTCAAAAGAGAAAACCAAATTTTACCTTTGCATTCATGTATTATTAGTGTTAAGCACCACCGCCCCCCATCTTTTTTTTTTTTTTTTTTGAGACAGCATCTCACTCTGTGACCCAGGCTGGAGTGCAGTGGCATGATCACAGCTCACTGGAACCTCTAACTCCTGAGCTTAAGCGATCCTCTCATCTCGGTCTCCCAAGCAGCTGAGATTACAGGTGAACACCACCAAGGCCTGGTAAGTTTTTACATTTTTTTGTAGCAACAAGATCTCCTTATGTTGCCCAGGCCGGTCCAATTTTTGATAAAACCTTATAAACAAATCTATTCAATCTTAATCAGTTTGACCATTTGGACATAAGGTAAGATTTCCATAAACCTCTATAACTCTTTACAATTTTCTATTAAAGAGCAGATCAATGTTCCAAGGAAATCCTGTTATTCTGACACACGGGCCCAGATTCTGACCCTATATTAGTGTGCTTTTTATCTTAATGTTTAATTTAAAGAAAAACTAAATAGCTCCCTTTACATTTTGGCCAACTTGCTTACATCCACAGAACTTCTTTTACAAGATGAGTCTTTCACAAATCTTCTACAACTTGCTTAAATCTTTGGTTTTGTCCTATCCTTCTTTTAACTTAAGATAATCCTTAAAAACCTCTACATTAGACAAAATTACTTCACCTTTAACAAAAACCGTATTCCCATTCCTTTTTATAATCTTTTACCAAAAACACTTTTTACTTTCCTTATATACTTTGCATGTAAAACTGTTTCTCTGATAGTCTCTGTAAAACCAAAAAATGTTCTAAGGCCCCCAACCATCTGAATGGACCCTTCCTCTCTGCCAAGGTCATTTCAAAGTCAGCCTGAAAAACTAGTTTGAGGCCATGATGGACAGGGGGAGCTGGAACATGCCTCATTATGCCATCCTCTCTTTTGGACTTACTTATAGAATAGACTCTTTAAGTTTGATAAGAATCATTTACAGGCCGGGCGCGGTGGCTCACGCCTGTAATCCCAGCACTTTGGGAGGCCAAGGTGGGCGGATCACAAGGTCAGGAGATCGAGACCATCCTGGCTAACACCGTGAAACCCTGCCTCTACTATAAATACAAAAAATTAGCCAGGCGTGGTGGCGGGCGCCTGTAGTCCCAGCTACTCGGGAGGCTGGGGCGGGAGAATGGCATGAACCCGGGAGGCGCAGCTTGCAGTGAGCCAAGATCAGGCCACTGCACTCCAACCTGGGCGACACAGCAAGACTCCATCTTAAAAAAAAAAAAAAAGAACCATTTACAATCTATTCTCTCTGAAGACTGCTACCTGGAGGCTTCATCTGTGTGATAAAACCTTGGTCTCCACAACTCTTTATCATAACCCAGACATTCCTTTCTATTGATAATAATTCTTTCAACCAATTGCCAATCAGAAAATTTTAATCTGCCTATGATTTGGAAGCCCCCACTTCCAGTTGTCCCACCTTTCTTGACTGAACCAATGTACATCTTACATGTATTGACTGGTGTCTCATGTCTCGCTAAAATGTATAAAAACCAAGCTGTACCCTGACCACCTTGGGCACATGTTCTCAGGATCTCCTGAGGGCTATGTCACAGGCCATTGGTCACTCATATGTGGCTCCAGATAAATCTCTCCAAATATTTTACAGAGTTTGACTCTTTTTGTGAACTTCTCCATTACATATGTTACAATGTTAACTCTTAGCAACATTTATTTTTAGTGAAAAACCTTGTAAGTAAGCAATTTTAACCATGTGTCAGATGCAGAGCCCAGGACAAGGATAGAGCTGCCAACAACGTCTGACTCTTCCTAGCACAGTGGGGGGACATGGCTAACTCCACATGCCCCAGGCCTTACCTAAAATCTAATGGCTGGAAAACAGACAAGTCCAACAATTATCAAAATATGTCACAGAAGTAGTTTATGACCTTAAAACATCTAGCAAAGACAGTATCCGAACTGCCTAATTCAGACCAAGTGTCTAAATTCTGAAGACATTTTTATTATATTTTACCAATTATCTTAAAAAATTGTCTTTATTTACCAAAGATTATTAAAATTATATGAACTAAAAGGCATTCAAATTTCCATTTTTCTGACAAAATATTTGGTTTAAGCACTTATCTTTTTAAGCCAATTAATTAGAGCTCCTTTATATATTTTGGTAGTGAAACATCACACACATGACATATATAAATACACAGACAGACAGAAGCAGATTTGGTAGAGTTATAAGATTCTTCATTTGCCAGTTTTTAGGTTTTTCTTTCCCACTTTAGACCACCAGTCTTTTGATTACCTATTTACTTGTTGCCCTAAACAATTGTTGGCTAGGCAGCTCTAAATTTGCATTTCTAAAGGGACAAGTCTTAGGTAAAACAAGATAGAGGATTCATATTTTACTCAAACCAAAGAAGCATGGTATGAGTAAAAGTTCAATTAGGATGGCTAGGAGAAGCAGACACCCTTATACAGGGAGATTTCCTTAAAGATGTAAGTTTCTTAACTGGATTACTGGCGTTAAGGTGGAGGCTTTTAAGGAACAAGGCCAAGAGAGCATGCAGTATCTACGGCCTAATACACAGGTACAGCTGGGAGACACAACAGATTCCCGCAAAATCAAGGGGATCCCATTTTCACACCAAATTCTGAGTCCCTGTAGAAAGTAAAAAGTTTCCTCTTCAAACTTCCCCTTCTTGTTAAAGAATAAATTGTAAGTGTTAGAAGTAACAGTTTCTTTTAAAGACTAACTTTCTTCAAGTCTCCTTGCTTTGTGCTAATAACTCTTTGTTAAGCCCTAGTCTGTGTAACTGTTGGACATGCTCACAGACACATTCCAGCTCACAGCCTATGTCCCTTCCTTATTTGGAAATATTATTGCTTCCTTAAACCTTTCGTAAGCAACTTCTTTGTTCTTCCTTGCACTTACCTATTTAGGAATGTTTCAGGTTATTAGCAAATTGGGTATCAGTTTAACATTGTGAGGTCCTGCTCCAGCCAATGGACGCAGGACATAGCAATAAGGATGACCCAAATGCGTGGCGGATAAATATGTCTGCTTTTCCTTTGTTCAAGTGTGCTTTTGCCATTGTTCCATCTGTGATTGAGCACCCTTTCTGCAGAAAGTAAAGATGGCCTTGCTGAGAGATCTTTTGTCTCTGTGCTGACATTTCTTCGTGGCACCGGTTGTCTATTTCTAACAATTTTGGTATTTCTAACAGTCCCAAAAAAGAGGAAAGTGCTATGGAATGAGGCAGTGCAATGCTTACACACTATATCTCACAGTAAGGGCATTTCCCTATGGCTGCTGGGCAACCCAGTGTCTAAGAGCCCACTCTGTAATCAGCCCATCCTCCATTTCATACCTTTTATGTGCCCAAGAGCATGCTTTTCTTTCCTAAATGCACAAAGGAGCATCACCCTATAGTGATAGCCACTCACTGTAAGCAACTGCCATCAGCCATCCCTAAAAGTCTATCTCCCATCTAACTGTTATATACCAAGAGTAAAAATTCTGTCATAATGCCAAGTAATTTCTGATGCCCCCAATGTCACAAGGGTCATGTAACACAATGCAAACAGAGCAGAGCCTTGGATTTTGAGAGGGATCTGTCCACTTACAATCCTTGGGTTCCATGAGGTAAACAGGTTTCACCCACAAGGGGGTCTGTGGTGTCTGCTCTGTTTTTCCCAAGGAGTCCCAGGCTGCTAAAAATATATTAGGTCCCGTCATGTGGGCATCGAGTGTGGCAAGAGGAAGGAGGGACAGACAGAAGTACCTGGAAAAACAGAATTCAGTTGATGGAGAAGAAAAAACTTTTTCCAAAAAACAAAATCTAAGAAGAGGAAAAGCATAAAGGCTTCAAAATATATGTAGAGCTTGTGATATCCAAGCTTGTTTTTGTTTTTGTTTTGTTTTGAGACAGAGTCTTGCTCTGTCACCCTAGCTGGAGTGCAGTGGTGTGATCTGGGCTCACTGCAACCTCTGCCTCCTGGGTTCAAGCAATTCTGCCTCAGCCTCCTGAGTAGCTGGGATTACAGGAGCATGCCACCACACCCGGCTAATTTTTGTATTTTCAGTGGAGACGGGGTTTTGCCACGTTGGCCAGGATGGTCTCAAACTCCCAACCTCAGGTGATCCACCCACCTCGGCCTCCCAAAGTGCTGGGATTACAGGTGTGAGCCACCGCACCCAGCTGGATATCAGCTTTTAATGAGGCTGACATTTAACCATAGAGCTCTTTTAAGGAAATACTTTTAAATAACTTATCACCAGACTCTAGCTGGGATAAACAGCCAACACCTGTGGCTTTTAAGCCTTATTTCCCGAAGGTATTCTCCCAAGTGAAACCATTAACCCTTAACTAAGGTTATAACTTAACCACACAGGCACAAGTCATCTCCAAAGAGATAGCAAGCAGTTTTTACAAGATCTAGAATCATCCCAAAAGTAGCTCAGATAAAAGAAAATTCAAAACAAGAATCCAAAGCTGTCCATGGAGGGCAAAAGAATCAATAAATGGCAAAAGTTCCACAACTATCCAACCAGAAAGGACTCATTCCCTAAGCAGGTGTCGAACCCAGGTGGGCATCATGAAAGGTCAAAGCCTTAGCTCCTGAGCTACAGCATGGGAAAACTCTTTCACTTTCCAGAAGGAATCTAGGACAGTCATTTTTGAGCTTGCAAAGGATTTTAACTGCTCAAGAGAACTTTCTAAGGCCAGCCATGACATTCTCGTATGTCCTTCTTTTAATTTAACCTGTTTAAAAATGTAATCTTTTTTTTCAATTGTTGATTTTAAAAAGGCCTCTAAAATCCTTTTTCTTTTAATGGTGTACTTAGGTCCAATAGTGGCTCAATCCAAAAGCCTTTTTAAAATTCATTCACTTGATTATTTCTTTGTTTATTTTTCAACTTTTATTTTAGATTCAGGGGGTACATGTGCAGATTTGTGACTTGGGTGTATTGTGTGATGTTTGAGGTATGAATGATCCCATCACCCAAGTACTGAGCATTGTGCCCCATAGTTTTTTCAACCCTTTCTCCCTCCCCTCCCTCCCCTCTCCAGTAGGTTCCAAGTTCTATTGTTGCCATCTTTATGTCCACAAATACCCAATGCTTAGCTCCAACTTGTCAGTGAGAACGTGTGGTATTCGGTTTTCTGTTCCTGCATTAATTTGCTTAGAAAAATGGCCTCCAGCTGCATCCATGTTGCTGCAAAGGACATAATTTCATTCTTTTTTCTGACTATGTAGTATTTCATGGTATATATGTACCACATATTCTTTATCCAGTCCACCACTGATGGGCACCTAGGTTGCTTCCAGGTATTTGCTATTGTGAATAGTGTTGCGATGAACATGTGAATACATGTGTCATTTTGGTAGACACATGTCTACCATGTGACTATATGTGTCTTTTTGTTTTCTTTTGGGTATATGCCCAGTAATAGGATTGCTAGGTCAAATGGTAGTTCTGTTTTAAGTTCTTTGAGAAGTCTCCAGACTGCTTTCCACAGTTCCTCCTGGGGAATGAATAGGGTATGAATGATGATCTCATCACCCAGGTACTAAATTTGCATTCCCTTTTCTCTACAGCCTCTCCAGCATCTGTTGTTTTTTGACTTTTTAGTAATAGCCATTCTGACTGGTATAAGATGGTATCTCTTTGTGGTTTTGATTTGCATTTCTCTGATGATTCACAATGACAAGCATTTTTTCGTATGTTTGTTGACTGTTTGTATGTCTTCTTTTGAGAGGGGTCTATTCATGTCTTTTGCCCACTTTTTAATGGAGTTATTTGGTTTTTGTTTGTTGAATTGTTTAAATTCCTCATAGATTCTGGATATTAGACCTTTGTTGAATATATAGTTTGCAAATATTATCTCTCATTCTGTAAATTGTCTGTTTACTCTGTTGATAGTTTCTTTTGCTGTGCAGAAGCTCTTTAATTAAGCTCTAAATTGAAAACTTGTCAATTGCTTTTAAGGACTGAGTTATAAATTCCTTCCCAAAGCCAATGTCCCAATGGCATTTCCTAGGTTTTCTTTTAGCATTCTTACAGTTTGAGGTCTTACATTTAATTTCTTAACCCATCTTGAATTAATTTTTGTATACGATAAAATGTAGGGGTCCAGTTTCATTCTTCTGCATATGGCTAGCCAGCTATCCCAGCACCATTTACTGAATAGGGAGCCCTTTCTCCATTGCTTATTTTTGCCAGCTTTATTGAGGATCAGATGGCTGTAAGTGTATGACTTTGTTTCTAGGTTCTCTATCCTGTTCCATTGGTCTCTGTGTCTGTTTTTGTACCAGTACCATGCTGTTTTGGTTACTGTAGTCTTATGGTATAGTTTGAATACTATAATGTATGGGTAATGTGATGCCTCTGGCCAAAACCCTTTTTAAGGCCCAGATGGTAATTTTCCAGGTTTTTACCATATAAGCAAGAAGTATTTTTAGAGAGGAAGTAGAGGAGGCATCTCCATGATCCCTAAGAATTCCTTCTCAGAAATGGGTGTAGGATAGCAAAAGATGACAAATGCCCCATAGGAATGGGACCTTTTAAAACAAAACTTACCCAAGGGCTGGACACATTCAGGACAAAGAGTGTGCTAGCAGTTCTTAAACTCCCAGTCCTTTCAGACCCCAGTCCTTTCAGACCAGCTGCCTCATATAAACCCCAAAATTCCCACCCTTCAGGTGGCACAGACCAAGAGAGAATACCCCCACATGGTCACAAACTCAAGCTCTCAAGGACATAAAACAAGACAAAGGGAAACTTTGTTCAGTTTTTGTTTCAGGGACCCACAGCCAAGTTTGTAACTGGCCAGTCTGCAGTACCAGCTTTGCTATTGTGAACAGTGCTGCAATGAACATGGGAGTGCATTTGTCTTTTTGGTAGAATGATTTGTGGGCTTATATGGAACGAAGGCCTGCATTCTATCCTACGGTATCTCTCTTTATGATAGAACAATGTAGGAAGACAAACTCATAGCACAAAGTACACCAGATTTACTACAGTCTAAGACTAATCTCACAAATCTTTTTTCCCATTAACAAAAACTTTGAAGAGGAAATGAACAGCAATTTTTACCATTAACTCAACCAGTGTGCACACAGAGAAAGGCCAGAAGCCTGGCTGGTAAGAAATTCTTGTCCTTTTGCCAGCTTGCCAGCTTTCTGTGTTTTCTTTCTCTGCAGCTTCTGGAAGAGCAGAGTGAATTTTCATGATTCTGCTTGCTCTGCCTAGCTGTGGGGGCCAAGCTGAATTACAAAAGAAAATCATCGTTTTTCATCTCATGAAACCACAGGCAAAAGCCACTCAATTTTTCAAGATGCAGCTAAATGGGCTGCATGGGGGAACTGAATTAACATTTCTCATTCTGGCCAGAACAATATACACCAACAAAAGACAGACACTAGTCACCTGCTCAAGCACCTAGGCACCAACCTGGTAAGGCTCAAATGTGCCCTTATTGGTCCCTGTCATCTTTGATTCACTCTAAGTGGGTTGAGATGACCTCTGACTAGTGAGCAGTCTCTGGGTAAGATGGAAGACTGGACAGTCACCCTGAGTTAGAGCTATTGAGTTTCCTTCAGGGCTCACTGAATGTGCCCAGACAAATAAAAAGGGTTCACCAAATTAGGCCTGCTGGACTTCCAACAGCAATTCTTTCAGGGGTCCTCTCCACATATGCAAACACACACAGTGAAGTAAACAGACAAATAGAAGGCCTTCAAAACCAAGATTGCAGATCAGATTCCAAATCAGAAGAGTATTCTTCCAAACCAGCCCCCTATTATCCATCCAAGTGGGGATAAATCTCCCCAAACCAAACCTCTTCCTGAAATTTAGGGAGAGCCTAATAGTCCCTGTAATGGGACTACAGTGACTTCAGAGAGACCAACAGATCAAGAGAAGGAAGGGAATGTTTGTTGCACCTAGAAGACTCATCAAACCAGGTTAAAGATGACTTACAGGAATGATTTCTCCATTGCAATGGAGAAAATCCATTGCAATGGGGAATAGTGCCCCATTGCCGATGTGGCACTATGGGTCAACAGTGCCTCACTGACAGGGACAGCACCATAGAGGGCCCACAGTTCAAGAGAAATAGCAGCCACTAGAGCTCACGTGCAAGTGTGTTGTACCAGTGGGAGCCTGATGAACTGCAGGCAGGCACCTGGATGGGTGAATCCCAGATGAGTCCTCAAATTTGTAATCACCCAGCAGGTTCTTTTTGCCTGCTGTACAGACAAAACCAGTTCACTGAGACAGTGGTATTGCAGTAAAGAAAGAGTTTAACTAACATCAGGCTGGCCACGCAGGACAACTGGAGTTATCACTCAAATTGGTCTCCCAAAAGTCTTGGAGGTTAGGGTTCCTAAAGGATAGTTTGGCAGGCAGGGAATTAGGGAAGGGATGCTGCTGATTGGTTGGGGATGCAGTTCATAGGGGTGTGGAAAACTGTCCTCATGTACTAAGTCTGCCTCTGTGTGAGGGGACCACAGGACCAGTTGAGTCATGAGTCCAGGTGGAGTCAGTCTGAAACACCTCTCAAAAGACCACTCTTAGTTTCTACAATAGTAATGTTATCTATAGAAGCAACTGGGGAAGCCACAAATCTTGTGACCTCTGGCCACATAACTCCTGAGCAGTAAAGGATTACAGAGACTTATAAAAAGATTATAGGGCACCAGGCAGAGGCCTGAGGCCCCCATTCCAGGGCCTAGCACCTGGATGACATTTCCAAACACAGCCTGGGCCAGGAGAGAACCTGCTACCTTGAAAGGAAGGACCCAGTCTTGGAAGACTTCATCACCTCTTGATGAAAGCTCCGTTAGGCCCTGAATAATCTCCACAGTGGTAGTACTTGCTGCAGGACTTGGGTGAGACTCCAAGCCATGTTGGCTTAAGATGTGACCCAGCACATTATCAGCTGTGGTGACTATGGGGAAAGACCCCTTCTGCTTAAGGAAAGGAGAAGGAAGAGTAAAGGGACTTTGTCTTGCAGCTTGCATACCAGCTGGGTCACAGTGGGGTGGAGCAACAAGCAGTCCCTGGGGTCCCTGATTCCAGGCCTTGGTTCCTGGATGGCATTTCTGGATGTGCGCTGGGCCAGAAGGGGAGCTCACTGCCCTGAAGGGAGAGACTCAGGACTGGCAGCATTCACCACAAGCTTACTGAAGAGCCCTTGAGCCTTGAGTGAATACTGGTGGTAGGCAGACAGCAGTCACCCCAGGCCTGGGGTGATGGTGGCCAGACACACAACCTTTTCTCTGCTTGAGGAAAGGGGAGGGAAGAGTGGGAAGGACTTTGTTTTGCAGGTTGGATGCCAGCTCACCCACAGTGGAATAGAGTACCAGGTAGGTTTCTGAGGTTCCTAACTCCATGCCCTGGCTCCTGGGCAGCATCTCCAAACCTGCCCGGGGCCTGGGAGAACTTGCTGCCCTAAAGGGAAGGACACAAGCCTGGTTGGATTTGCCACCTGCTGATTGTAGACTCCTTGGGCCATGAGTGAACATAGGTGGTAACTAGGCAGCGGTCACTGCGGGCCTTGGGTGAGACCCAGTGCTGTGCTGACTTCGGGTCTGACCCAGTATAGTCCATGTGGTAATGGCCAGGGTGCCTGTGTCACCCCTCCTCGAGATCCAGGCAGCTCAGAACAGAGAGAGACTCCATATGTCTGGAAAAAAGTAAAGGAACAGAACAAGAGCCTCTGCCTGGTACTCCAGGGAAATTCTCCTGGATCTTACCCAAGACCACCAAGGACCTACTTCTATAAGTGTGCAAGAACCACAGCGTTAGTGGGTTTGGTGTGCCACCTAATGAAGATACAGCTGCAGTGACCAAATACTTAGATATCTTCAAATACCTGGAAAGCGTTCCAAAGACAGATGGGTACAAACAAGCCTAGGCTGCAAAGACTATAATAAATACCTAACTCTTCAATGCCCAGAAAATGACAAACATCTGCAAGCATCAGGACCATCTGGGAAAATATGACCTCATGAAATGAACTAAATAAAACATCAGTAACCAATCCTAAAGAGATAGAGATATGTGACCTTTCAGACATTACATTCAGCATAGCTGTTTTGAGGAAGCTCAACAAAATCTGAGATAACATAGAGAAGGAATTTACCATATAAATGTAATAAAGAGACTGAAATAATTAAAAAGAATCAAGCAGATATTCTGGATTTCAAAAATGTAGTTGACACACTGGAGAATGCATCAGAGTACACTAACAGCAGAATTGAACAAGCAGAAGAATTAGTGAGCTTGAAGACAGGCTATTTGAAAATACACAGTCATAGAAGACAAAAGAAAAAAGAATAAAAAAGATTGAAGCATGCTTACAAGATCTAGGAAATAGCCTCAAAAGGGCAAATCTAAGAGTTTTAGCCTTAAAGAAGAGGTAGAGAAAGAGATAGGGGTAGAAAATTTATTCATGCAGCACTATTCACAATAGCAAGACATGGAATCAACTTAAATGCTCATCGATGATAGACTGGATAAAGAAAATTGGTGCATATACACCATGGAATACCATCCAGCCATAAAAAAGAATGATATCGTGTTGTGGGGACATGGATGGAGCTGGAGGTCATTATCCTTAGCAGACTAATGCAGAAACAGAAAACCAAATACCACATGCTCTCACTTATAAGTGAGAGCTACATGATGAGAACACATGGGCACATAGAGGGGAACAACACACACTGGGGCCTACAAGAGGGTAGGAGGAGGGAGAGGATCAAGAAAAATAACTTATGGGCACTATGCCAAATACCTGGCTGATGAAATAATCTGTACAACAAACCCCCATGACACAAGTTTACCTATGTAAAAAACCTGCACGTGTATCCCTGAACTTAAAAGTAAGTTAAAAACCACAAAATGTATTGAAATGGATAATAAAAGAGAGCTTCCCAAACCTAGAGAAAGATATCAATACTCAACTACAAGAAGGTTATAGAACACCCAGCAGATTTAACCCAAAGACAACTACTTCAAGGCATGTAATAAACTCCCACACATCAAGGATAAAGAAAGGATCCTGAAAGCACAAAAGAAACAAGTAACATACAACAGAGCTCTGATATGTCGGACAGCAGACTTTTCAATAAAAACCTTACAGACCAGGAGAGAGTGGCATGACATATTTAAAGTACTGAAAGAAAAAAGTCTTTTACCCCTGGAGTAGTATATCCTGCAAAAACATCCTTCAAACATAAAGGAGAAATAAAGACTTTCCCAGACAAACAAATGCTGAGGGATTTCATTGACACCAGCTCTGTCCTACAAGAAATGCTAAAGGGAGTACATTAATCAGAAAGAAAAGGATGTTAAGGAGCAATAATAAATCCTTTGAAGGTGCAATATTCACTGCTAGTAGTAACTACACAGGAAAACATGGAGTACTATAACACTATAGCTGTAATGTGTAAACTACTTTTAAGTAGAAAGACTAAACAATGAACCTAACAAAAATAATAACTACAAGGCTACATGCAGTGGCTTATGCCTGTAATCCCAGCACTTTGGGAGTCCAAGTCATGAGGATCTTGAACCCAGGAGTCCGAGACCACCCTGAGCAACACAGGGAGGCCCAATCTCTACAAGCAATAATAATAATAATAACTAGGAGGGTCGTGGGCAGCTGTGGTCCTAGCTACTTGGGAAGCTGAGATGGAAGGATCACTGGGGCCTGAGAGGTTGAGGCTGCAGTGAGTAGATTGTGCCAGTGCACTCCAGCCTGGGCAATGGAGTGAGACTGTCTCAAAATCAGAATAAGAATAAGAATAATTACAACAACTTTTCAAGACACAGGTAGTACAATAAGATATAAATAGAAACAACAAAAAGTTAAAAAGTGGGGGGACAAAGTTAAGGTGTAGAGTTTTTATCAGTTTTCTTTTTGCTTGTTTGTTTATGCAAACGGTGTTTGCATAAAATAATAGTTCATAAGATAGTATTTGCAAGCTTCATGGTAACCTCAAATCAAAAAACATGCAATGGATACATTAAAAATAAAAAGCAAGAAGTTAAATTATACAACCAGAGAAAAATTATCTTCACTAGAGCATGACAGGAAGGAAGAAAAGAGGCAGGAGAGGGCTGGGTACAGTGGGTCATGCCTATGATCCCAGCACTTTGGGAAGCCAAGGTGGATCACTTGAGGTCAGGAGTTTAGACCAGCCTGGCCAACATGGTGAAACGCCCGTCTCTACTCTGAAAATACAAAACTTAGCCAGGTGTGGTGGCACATGCCTGTAATCCCAGCTACTTGGGAGTCTGAGGCGGGAAAATCACTTGAACCCAGGAGGTGGAGGTTGCAGTGAGCCGAGATCACGCCACTGCACTCTAGCCTGGGCGCCAGAGTAAGACTCTATCTCAAAAAAAAAAAAAAAAAAAAAAGGAGGAAGAGAAGACCACAAAACCAGAAACACACACACACACACACATAAACACACATACACAAATAAAATATTATAATGTATCAATGATAACATTGAATGTAAATGGAGTAAATTCTCCAATCAAAAGACATAGAGTGGCTAAATGGCTAAAACAAAACAAAACACATGACCCAATGATCTCTTACCTACAAAAAACACACTTCACCTATAAGGATACACATAGACTGAAAATAAAGGGATGGAAAAGATAATTTGTGCCCATAGAAACCAAAAAAGAGCAGGAGTAGCTACACTTGTATCAGACAAAATAGATTTCAAAACAAAAACTATAAGAAGAGACAAAAAGGTCAATATATTATTCAGCAAGAGGATATTACAATTGTAAATATATATGCACCCCAAACCTGAAGCAGAAATATATATATAAATATATATATGTAAATATATATATATATATATATATATATATAGCAAATATTATTAGAGCTGAAAAGAGAGATACATCCCAGTACAATAATAGCTGGAAACTTCAACACTCCACTTTCAGCATTGGACATATCATCCAGACAGAAAAACCAACAAAGAAACGTCAGACTTAATCTGTACTATAGATCAAATGGACCCAATAGATATTTATAGAATATTTCATCCAACGGCTGCAGAATATACATTCTTTTCCTCAGCACATGAATCATTCCCAAAGGTAGACCATACGTTAGGTCACAAACAAGTCTTTAAAAATTAAAAAAAATTGAAATAACACCAACTATCTTCTCTGACTACAATGAAATAAAACTAGAAATCAATAACAAGAGAAATTTTGGAAACTATACAAACACATGGAAATTAATCAATATGCTTCTGAATGACCAATGGGTCAATGAAGAAATTAAGAAGGAAATAAAGAAATGACAATGGAAACACAACATACCAAAACCTACTGGATATGGCAAAAGCAGTAGTAATAAGAGGACATTTTATAGCTGTAAGTGCCTACATGAAAAAGAGAAGAAAAACTTCAAATAAACAACCTAACAATGCATCTTAAAGAACTAGGGCAAAAAAAGAGCAAACTTAACTCAAAAGTAATAGAAAAATGAAATAATAAAGATCAGAGCAGAAACAAATAAAATTGAAACCAAAAAAAATGCAAAAGATCAATGAAATGAAACATTGGTTAAAAAAAAAAAAAACTGACAAATCTTTAGCCCAACTGACTAAGAAGAAAAGAGAGAAGACCCAAATAAATAAAGTCAGAGATGAAAAAGTAGACAACTGATACTGCAGAAATTCAAAGGATCATGAAAGATTACTATGAGCAACTATATGCCAATAAATTGGAAAACCTAGAAGAAATGGATCAACTCCTAGACACATACAACCTACTAAGATTGAACCATGAAGAAATCCAAAACCTGAACAGACCAACACAAGAGATAGAAACCATCATGAAAAGTTTTCCAGCAAAGAAAAGCCTGGAACTCGATGGCTTCACTCTTATATTTTACCAAACATTTAAAGAAGAACTAATACCAATCCTACTCAAACTATTCCAAAAAATATAAGAGAAGGGAATACTTCCACACTCATTCTATGAGGCCAATATTACCCTGATACCATGACCAGACAAAAACATGACAAGCAAACCAAAAAAAAAAAAAAGGAAGAAAACTACAGGCCAATATCTGTGATGAACATTGATGCAAAAATCCTCAACAAAATACCAGCAAATCGAATTCAACAACACATTAAAAAAGATCATTCATCATGACCAAGTGAGATTTATCCCAAGGATGCAGAGATGTTTGAATATATGCAAGTCAATCGGTGTGGTCATATCAACAGAATGAAGGACAAAAATCATATAATTATCTCAACTGATGTTGAAAAATCATTTAATAAAATTCAACATCCCTCCATAACAACAACAACAACAACAACAACAAAACACACTCAAAAATCTGGGCATAGAAGGAACATACCTCAACATAATAAAAGTCATATATATATATACAACAGACCCACGGCTGGTGTCATATTGAATGGGGAAAAACTTAAAAGCCTTTCCTCAAAGATCTGGAACACGACAAGGATGCCCACTTTCAACACTTATTCAGCGTAGTACTAGAAGTCCTAGCTAGAGCAATCACACAAGAGAAAGAAATAAAGAGCATCCAAATTGGAATGGAAGAAGTCAAATTATCCTTGTTTGCAGATGATATGATCTTATGTCTGAAAAAAATCCTAAAGACTCCACCAAAAAAAAAATGTTAGAACTGATTAACAAATTCAGCAAAGCTGCAGCATACAAAATCAACATACAAAAATCGGTAGTAGCATTTCTATATGCCAACAGCAAACAATCTGAAAAAGAAATCAAGAAAGTAATCCCATTTGCAATAACTACAAATAAAATATAATACCTAGGAATTAACCAAAGAAGTGAAAGATCTCTACAATGAAAACTATAAAACACTGATGCACGAAATTGAAGAGGACACCAAAAAATGGAAAGATATTCCACGTTCGTAGATTGGAAGAATCAATGTTGTTAAATTGTCCATACCACCCAAAGCAATCTATAGATTCAATGCAATCCCTATCAAAAAACAATGAAATTCTTCACAGAAATAGAAAAAAACAATCCTAAAATGTATATGAAAGCATAAAAGACCCAGACTAGACAAAGCTATCCTGAGTTAAAAGAACAAAACTGGAGGAATCATATTACCTGACTTCAAATTATACTACAGAGCCACAGTAACCAAAACAGCATGGTACTGGCATAAAAATAGACACATAGACCAATAGGAAAGAATAAAGAACCTAGAGATAAATCCATACATCTACAGTCAACTCATTTTCAACAAAGGTGCCAAGAACATACACTGGAGAAAGGACAGTCTCTCCAATATATGCTGCTGGGAAAACTGGATATCCACATGCAGAAGAATGAAACTAGACCCTTATCTATTGCCATATACATAAATCATATCAAAATGGATTAAAGAATTAAATCTAAGACCTCAAACTATGAAACTACTACAAGAAAACATTGGGAAAACTCTTCAGGACATTGGACTGGGCAAAAGTTTCTTGAGTAATACTCCACAAGCACAGACAACCAAAGCAAAAATGGACAAACAGGATCACATCAAGTTAAAAATTTTCTGCACAGCAAAGGAAACAATCAAAAAAATGAAGAGACAACCCACAGAATGGGAGAAAATATTTGCAAACTACTCATCTGACAAAGGATTAATAACCAGAATATATAAGGAGCTCAAACAACTCAATAGGAAAAAAAAATCTAGTAACATGATTAAAAGACTGGCAAGAAATCTAAATAGACATTTCTCAAAAGAAGACATACAAATGGCAATTAGCTATATAAAAAGGTGTTCAACATCACTGAATTTCAGAGAACTGCAAATCAAAACTACAATGAGATATCATCTCACCCCAGTTAAAATGGCTGATACCCAAAAGACAGGCAATAATGAATGCTGACGAGGATGTGGAGAAAAGGGAACCCTCATACGCTCTTGGTGGGAATGTAAATTAGTACAGCCACTATGGAGAACAGTTTGGAGGTTCCTCAAAAAACTAAAAATAGAGCTATGATCCAGCAATCCCACGGCTAGGTATATAACCAAAAGAAAGGAAATCAGTATATCAAAGAGATATCTGCATTCCTATGTTTACTGTAGCACTATTCAGAGTAGCCAAGATTTGGAAGCAACCCAGTTGGACAAATCAACAGACAAACGGATAAAGAAAATTTGGTACATATACACAATGAAGTATTATTCAGCCATAAAAAAGAATGAGATCCTGTCATTTGCAACAACATGGATGGAACTGTAAGTTGTTATGTTAATTAAAATAAGCTAGGCACAGTGAAAGTGCATGCTTTCACTTTTGTGGGAGCTGAAAAAAAATTACAGTAATTGAACTTATGGAGATGGAGAATAGAAGGATGGTTACCAAAGTCTGGGAAGGGTAGTGATGGCAGGGGGGCAGGCAAAGTAGGGATGGTTAATGGGTACAAAAATATAGGTAGAATAAACAAGATCTAGTATTTGATAGCACAGCAGAGTGACTATAGTCAACAATAATTTACTGTACAATTTTAAATAAAACAGTATAATTGGATTGTTTGTAACCCAGAAAAGATAAGTGCTTAAGGTGTTGGATAACCCATTTACCCTGATGTGATTATTACACATTGTATGCCTGTATCAAAATATCTCATGTACCCCATAAATATATACATCTATTATGTACCCACAAAACTTCTTTTCAAAAGTAAAACTATAAACTAAATTCTTTCAGTGATTACCTTGGCCTACTCCTAGGAATGAGTGAAGATAGCCGACCTGTGAGTCTACAAGGGAGATGGAGTCAGCCATGTTAGATTTGTCTCACTGTCATAATCTTTGCAAAGGTGGTTTTAAAGTTAAAGGGAAGAGGTACATTTGAATCCTTTGAGACGTGGTATAAATTAACACAAACTTTTTAGAGGGCAATTTGGCAATATATATACTATATCAGTTGCTGTCTAATCAGCCATTTTAGACAGAGCCGGCTTCATATGGGATTGATTATATTGATGCCTATGCTGGAGTTTTATATTTTGGCTCTGAGACTCATACCCTTTAATACTGCCTTTCTATATACAGGGGCTTGGGAGCCTGCAAACTGCATTTCTCAGACCACTTTCCTGCTGGGCTCCAGTTAAGCAGTATAGTGGGAGAGTAATTAGAAGGGAGGAGGAAGGAAGAAGTCATATTGGTTAGAAAATTGTTAGAAGGGCTAGAGGAACCAGGCCGGGCGCGGTGGCTCACACCTGTAATCCCAGCACTTTGGGAGGCCAAGGCGGGTGGATCACGAGGTCAGGAGATCAAGACCATCCTGGCTAACACGGTGAAACCCCGTCTCTACTAAAAATACAAAAAAAATCAGCCGGGCGCGGTGGCGGGCGCCTGTAGTCCCAGCTACTCGGGAGGCTGAGGCAGGAGAATGGCGTGAACCCGGGAGGCGGAGTTTGCAGTGAGCCGAGATCGCGCCACTGCACTCCAGCCTGAGCGATAGACTCCGTCTCAAAAAAAAAAAAAAGAAGGGCTGGAGGAACCAAAGTGGGAAGATGATGCTATCACCTAGAGGTCATTGATTGCAGGAAGCTAACTCTACCCCTTGGGCTGGAGAAGTGAAAGGGAGAAGGAGATATGACACAGAGCCCACAAGCTCCAGTACTGGCCCCGAACAGAAGGAGGCCAGGAGACCATAATCTTGTTGATGTTTCTGACCTTGTTGCTGCTGGAGTCTGTAATCATTTGTAGTTGTCTCCCATGGCTGCTCGTGAAGCCAGAAACAGGAAAAGCGTGGCTTCTCCCTTCCTCCTCTCTTCTGATTTTCCTCCACTAGCGCTGCTTAACTGAAATCCAGCAGAAAAGTGGTCTGGGAAACGCAGTTTTGTAGGCTCCCAGCCTCCCATTGACAGGAGAGTATAAAAGGGTAAATATGAGTCTAAAAGCCAAAATACAAAACTCCAGCAATGCATAAATAAAACATAAATGTTTATATTATTATAATGATTTTTCTATAAAAACGTTTAGGTAAACAAGTAACAAAACAAGAAGATTTTGCACAGACATTTGTAATGATGTCATACTCCTTAAATAATGTTGGCCATTTCTGGTTCTCGTTCTCTCCTGGCCCCCTTGTGGTTTGGTGGGGCCTTGCAACTAGATCTGACGAATGAGTTCAGAAGTGGCATGTGTCGTTTCTAGGATGCATTTAATTGCCAGTGTGAATCTCTCCAGAGCTATCTTTTACCTCTGGAACAGTGTCTAACAACATTTGAGATGGCGACTGTTCTGTTGGTCTCGGTCCCAATGTGACTGTGATGTGCAAATGTTTCTTGCTAATTCAATATGTGAGTGAAAAATAAATCTGTTATTTTAAAGCATGGAGATTTGAGGGTTGTTTGTTTTAATAACATAGATTAGACAAATCCGACTTACACACACTGAATAATTTATGAGAGCAAACAACTACCAACAACCCATGTGTACAAAAATATGAGAAAGTGAAAGAAATTATTATGCATCCACAGTACGGAATATGTCCTTGGCAGTGAGAAATGCTTTTGAAAAATATTAAATTAGATAAAGAACCCTTCACCATAAAAAACTACATGAAAACATAGAATATAAAACAATATACAGTCATGCGCCACATAACATTTCAGTCAACAAGGAATGGAATATATGACAGTGGTCCCATAAGAGTATAATGGAGCTGGAAAACTCCTATTGCCTAGTGACATGGTAACTAGCATAATGTCATAGAGTAATGAGCTTATGGTGGTCCTTCAAGAAATATTCCAGCAAAAGGCATTGATATCATAGGAGATGAAAACTCCATGGGTGCTATTGCCCTTGAAGACTTTCCAGTAGGAAAAGATGTGGAGGTGGAAGAAAATGATACTGATGACCTTGATCCTGTGTAGGCCTAGGCTAATGTGTGTGTTTGTGTCTTAGTTTTTAGCAAAAAAAGTTTTTAAAGTAAAAGAAAGTAAAAATTTTTAAGTAGAAAAAGCTTATAGAATAAGTAAAGAAACTATTTTTGCACAGTCATACAACATATTGTGTTTTAAGCAAAGTGTTATTACAAAAGAGCCAAAAGGTAAAAAAAAATAAAAATAAAAGAATTAAAAGTTTATAAAGTAAATTTATTGTTAAGGAAAAAGTGCTTTTTTTTTTGTAAATTTAGGATAGCCAAAGTGTATAGTGTTTATAAAATCTATAGTAGTGTATAGTAATGTCCTATGCCCTCACACGCACTCACCACTCACTCCTGGACTCACCCAGAGCAACTTCCAGTCCTGCAAGCTCCATTCATGGTAAGTGCCCTATACAGGTGTGCCATTTTTTAATCTTTTATACTGTATTTTCACTATGCCTTTTCTATGTTTAGATATGTTTAGATATACAAGTATTTACCATTGTGTTATAATTGCCTGGAGTATTCAATACAGTAACATGCTGTACAAGTTTTTAGCTCAGGAGTAATAAGCTATACTATGTGGCCTAGGTGTGTAGTAGGCCATACCATCTAGGTTTGGGTAAGTATACTCAATGAAATTGCCTTATGATGCATTTTTCAGAACATATCTGCATCATTAAGCAACATATGACTGTATATTAAATGAGATCAATACATAAGATTATATGCAAAGTGCTTTGTGCAGTAAGTGCTCAATGGTGTTAGTTATTATTGTATAATCAGGAACATGTAAATATCATTGTACTGGGCTTTGCATTCTGGCTGAACAGCACAGTGGCTTACGTGTTCCTATGGCTGTGGCATCAGGCAATGCTGTGGTCCCTCATGACACCTGTGAGCATAACTAACCGGCATCTGACCTGGACTTCCCTTTTGCTGCTGGGGCATGAGATACTGGGACATGAGAAGCTGGGGTTTTCAGCTAAACGGTGCTGCAGAACCCATTGGGTATCCATCTAACAGGGCCTTTGAGGCTGCAAGTTGCAGGCAGGGATGTGGGAAGGCCACTGTCTCAGGCCTATTCTCTGGCTTGCCCTGAGGATGGCGGCTTATGCTGCAGATGCCGCAGTTGCTGTCATGGATTTAGCCTCCCCAACAGCTGATGGTGAGACCAGGTGGTGCAACCTGGAAGTGTGGGGGCGTAATGCCCTGTGAAGCTAACTTTAATCAATTGGAAATAGAAGCCAGAGGCTAATTCTTTTGCCTTACACCCCCAGGAGGGAGCTGTAATAGTTTCATACTATCTCTCTGAAGACATCCTGTGAGACCAGGCAATCAACTACACTTGTTCACCAAGCCACGGTCAGCTTAATAACCCACATTTTTAAATATATGCTGTCCTTTCTCCTTTGCCTCCCTCCTGCTTCACGGGATGACATTCCCAATAAAGTATTTTAAAGTATAGCCTCAGGCATTGTTTTCCAGGGAATGGGCCTGTCTTCATCCATTAGGCCCTAAGCCTAATGACCCTAAGCTTTAAAGGAATACCTGAGGCTGGGTAATTTATAAATAAGAGGTTTATTTGGCTCACTGTTCTGCAGACTATACAAGAAGCATGGCTCCAGCATCCACTTCAAGTGAGGGCTTCAGGCTGCTTCCACTTATGGTGAAAGAAGAAGGAAAGCTGGCATGTGCAGAGATCACATGGGAAGAGAGCAAGAGAGAGAGGCGAGGGAGGTGCCAGGCTCTTTTCAACAACCAGGTCATGCAGGAACTAAGAGTAAGAACTCACTCCTTCTCGTAAGAATGGCACCAAGCCATTCCTAAGGACCCAGACACCTCCTACCAGGCCCCACCTCCAACAGTGGGAATCAAATTTCAACATGAGACTTGGTGGGACCAAACAAACCATATTCAAACCCTAGTAGGGCCTAAGACAGTTTTTTGGATTTTGCCTGTTTTTTTTCTTGTTTTTTGTTGTTGTTGTTGTTGTTGTTTTTCTTGACAGAGTCTTACTCTGTTGCCCAGGCTGGAGTGCAGTGGTGGGATCTTGGCTCACTGCAGCCTCCGCTTGCCAGATTCAAGTGATTCTCGTGTCTCAGCCTCCCAAGTAGCTGGGATTACAGGCACCTGCCACCACGCCCAGCTAATTTTTTTGTATTTTTTAGTAGAGAGAGTGTTTTGCCATGTTGGCTAGTCTGGTCTCAAACTCTCAACCTCAGGTGATCTGCCTGCCTCAGCCTCCCAAAGTTCTGGGGATTACAGGCGTGAGCCACTGTGCCTGGCTAAGACAGTTATTCATACTTCCATAGATATCTCATGGTTCCAAGTATAAG
Organism: Homo sapiens; assembly: GCF_000001405.40. Classification (NCBI taxonomy): domain Eukaryota; kingdom Metazoa; phylum Chordata; class Mammalia; order Primates; family Hominidae; genus Homo; species Homo sapiens. Next base: position 36,649,552 of record NC_000002.12, read on the forward strand.
AGCAACACTCCTACCATAGTTCTCATGTTCCTGTCCCCATCTTCCTCATAGCAGCACATAGCGATGTCTTCCTCTACCATCACCCCCAGTGTTGTCCAGGAAGAAACATAAGTGATAATAAGACATAGACAGAACATACAGTGGAGATTTAGTGCCACAATTGTTTAAATCTTAGCAAATCTGTCAGAAATTTAGATCATTCTTTTAGAAAACCAAGGGAACGAATACAGCAACATTCCACTTCCCAAGACATGACAGCAGATGTGAGGCTTGATAATGCAAATGTATATAGCTTTTCTAACACTTTTCCGTAGGAGGATTTCATCACCGTGTGCTGCAACTATCACAGAAAGTTTATTGTTTCTTTCTTCCAAATTTGACCTAACTTTCTGCTCCCCCATTCACCTACTTGTACCTGGGGGACACAGACAAGCTCTTCTGTAGTTGGCTTCTGACCCACACAAACCTGTAAATGCCCAGAAACAGCGATCAGCCAAGTCTACTCTGCATGGAGATGTGCTTCAGTCCCCCTGGGCCCCTGGCTGGCTACCTTGAGCTTCAGAACTTCAGACAGTGCCTTGGCCTGAACCTCCTCTGGAGTGGAGCCTTTCTGGGGTTGTGGAGCCAGGCTCCTGGCTTCTTATGACTCCTGACACTTGGGTGTCCTGTTACCTGTGAGTCATCTTGCTTGTTGACTCTTGGCCTGCTTTCACTTCCTGACAACTGAGCTTGTGCTGGTAACTCTCACCCTTCAGGCACCGACCCTTGGCCTATGGCAGACACTCCTGGCCCCAACTTCTTGCCTTGACTAGTAACCCCTAGCTGTCCATTCCTTGGAGCATAAAATCTGATCACTCATTTTTAAAGACTCCACAACTTTCTCTTACTCACACTAAATAATACTAGTATTTTTAAATGTTAAAGTCTAATTACCAGTGGTCTCATACTTGATGAAAGCAGAAGCTGACAGGAGTTAGATAAAATGTGATCATGAAAGCTAAAAGAGGGCTCTATTACGATAATGACTTCTCTTTATAAAAATATAGTAAAATGGTAATTGTTTACAGAGCACCTACTATGTGCCAGGTACTGGTCGAGGAGTTTTACAACTATTATCTCTTAAATCATCTAAATAGTCCTACAAGGAATTTATCTCCATCTTATAAAAAAAGTGAGGGGTATCCATTCCATTTCATGACCTCTGCATATTGTACAACAGTCATTCAATACCTTGAATTCTCTCATCAGTTCTATTAACTTTTTCATAACAAAGATAGTGACTTAATAATACATATTAACTTTAATGTGACCTTAATACCTTCGGTTATTGGTCATCTTCCAAGCCAAGATAAGTCCTGAGGTTTATAACAACCCATAAGTATAATTTAGTATTATGTATCAAAATTTAAAATGATCATTTCTTTTCCTCTCAAAATTTTACTTCTAAAAATACATAGAATAAGTTCTCATACTAGATAAATGTATGTATACGAGTGTTATTATCCTGTAGTTTATAGCATCAAAAAACTGGGAAGAGGCTGGGTGCGGTGGCTCACCCTATTATCCCAGCACTTTGGGAGGCTGAGGCAGGCAGATCGCTTGACAACAGGAATTTGAGACCAGCCTGGGTAACACTGCAAAATCCCATCTCTACTAAAAATACAAAAAAAAAAAAAAAAAGGCAAGTGTGGTGATGCACGCATGTAGTCCCAGCAACTCAGGAGGCTGAGATTTGAGAATCGCCTGAGCCCAGAAAGTTAAGGCTGCAGTGAGCAGCAGTGATCATGCCACTGCTCTTCAGCCTGGGCAATAGAATGAAACCTTGCGTCAGAAAAAAAAAAAAAAAAAAAAACTGGGAACAAACTTGACTATCCATCCATCAGCAGACAATTCTTAACTCAGTAAAGGCACATTCATACAATGGCAGGCTACATACTACAAATCCATTTAAGAGGAGCAGGATAACTCAAAGATTTCCTAAGTCATTAATTGGAACTCAATTCACATCTGGGTCCCAAGTTGTTATGATAAACTTTAAGTTATCTAAACTTTGGCATATCAACTGGATACATTATTCCTGGTATTTCTAGACCTAGAATGTTAGCCTTGTTTTAGGGAAAACTCCTTCTGCCTTCTTAGATATAATCTTCTCATTATAAAGATAGTGAATAGTGGTATTATTATTATTGCATATATTTATATAGTACCTTACATTCAGGATGTGCTTTCACTGGTGCACACAAATTCAAAGCTCACAGAAACCCAGTTTTACTGAGAATTCTTTTCTAACCCTAATACCAAGGAAATCCATAAGGCAGCCCTTTGCATGAACCTGAAGATAATGTTAAGGTGAAATGGTTATACGTTTATTTTCAGAAAATAGTGTGAAATAAGTAGATTACTCTTCCAGTGTCTCTATAATTGAAATGTCGTTGGAAAAATAATGCACAATGGAAGATAATGAATACTTAAACAATAAACAATGGAAGATAACAAATAATACATTCATCAAAGCAAAAAAAAGTGTGTAAAAGGATGTTTTATCAATCCCACTTTCCCTCTAGTATTGAAGCTAAGAAAAACAGTGTTGAATCTGCAAGACATTAGAGAATCTTGTACCAACACACCCTTCCAGAGGTGCCTACTAGAGAACCAGCTTCACCCAACCAAAAGATGACTGGGGAAGTACTAGCAAGAAACCAGTGGTGAGCACAAACATATTTAGATGTAGGACTAAAATGAATTTGGAGATAAGGGTGGGAAAATGTTATGCAAGTGCTATTTTATGCTCTGCTGTTGTAGAACTAACACATGTAACAAAATATGGGAGAAAAAGGGGAGAAAATGGATCACAGACCAAAATGTGAAAGTTAAAGCAATAAAGCAGTTAGAAGGGAACATAATAATATGTCTTAGTGACTTGGGGGGTTGGCAAAAGCTCCTTAGGTCACTGGAAGCAATAATAAAAACAATTTTAAATGATTAATTAAACAGCAAACTTAAAATGTCTGCCTATCAAAAGATACTGTTATAAAAATGAATAAGCAAACCACAGACTAGAAGAAAATATTTGCAAAGTATATATCTGGCAAATTGCTGGTATCTAGCGTATTGAACAAATCAACAAATAAACTAAAAACTCAATAATAAAATTAACAACCTAATTTAAAATGGGAAAAAAATCTAATACATACTTCATAAAATAAGATATATAAATAACCAACAAGCAAATGAAAAGTGTTCAACATCATTAATCATTAGGGAAATAAAAATTTAAATCACAATAAGGTACTACTAAACATCTACCAGAATGACTAAAATTTAAAAAGATTGACAGCACCAAATATCGGCAAGGATATGGGAAAACCAGCACTCTTATACATTGTTGGTGTGGATGTGAGACGGAACAACCAGTTTGGGAAATGGTCTCAAAATTTCTTATAAGCTAAGCATATCTGCTATGACCCAGCAATACTATTGCTAGGTATTGACCAAATAAAAATAAAAAAATAGTTCACAAAACTACTTGTATAAGAATGTTCATAGAAGCTTTATTCATAATAGCCCCAAGTTGGAAATAGTCTAACTGCCATACATTTTTATCTTTAATAAATAGGACTAAATTACTGACGCAAGCAACTACATAGATGAATCTCAACATTATGGTAGGCTGGGCACTGGTCTGTAATCCCCATGCTTTGGAAGGCTGAGGCACGAAGATTGCTTGAGGCCAGGAGTTCAACACCAACTCGGACAACATAGCAAGATCCCATCCCTACAAAAAATTTTGAAAAAAAAAGTAGCCAGGCACGTTGCTGTGCACCTGCTTAGCTCCTTGGCAAGCTGAAGTAGGAGGATCACTTGAGCCCGGGAGTTCAAGGCTGCAGTGAGCAATGGTCACACCATTGCATTCCAGCCTGAACAACACAGCAAGGGCCTGTCTCTAAAAAAAAAAAAAAAAAATTTAAGTTTTGCTGAGTAAAAGCAGCCTTACACAAAAAAGATGATACAATGTTTGACTTGATTTCTATGAATTTCTAAAGCAGGTAAAAATTTATGGTAGAAAAAATCAGAAGCTTACCTCTGGGGAAATGGGAATTAAACAGCAAGGGCCATGAGGGTACTTTCTGGTAATGCTGTATCTTGTTAGACGTTTGGGTTACACAGGCATATCCATTCTTCAAAACTGGCAAAGGTATACGTAAGGTTTGGGTACTTTACAGTATGTAAATTTTATATTAAAATACTTTAAACAAATAATAAACTCTAGTTAATGATATGCATCCTGAACTTTGAGGGTAAAAGTGTACTAATGTTAGAAATTTACTTTGAAATACACAAAAAATGAGATAGATTAACATATGGATAGAAGATTGGATATATGGATAACTATACCTAAAGTAAGTGCTGGACAGTAACATGTTAATGATACTGTCTAGGTGGTGGGTATATAGGCGTTCACTGTAAATTCTTTCAACTTTGCTGTAGGTTTGGAAATCTTCATAATAAAACGCTGGAGGAAAAAGAGGCAAGAGAATGGAGTAAGCAGAATAAGAACATAAGTTGCATCATAAGCAGAAGGACAGAGTCAGAGGATATCATTTAATGCTGACAAACTGAATTGTAGAAGTGTAAGAGTACAAAGATAAACACCATGAAAGATAATATTATTGACTAAAGTTGGAAAGTCAGGGAGAGATGAGAGAAGAAAGAAGACACAAGTCAATTTTGTTTTGCTCATAGTATAAAACCACTGGACATTTTCTAAGGAGAGAGAAAATTACCAGTATTTATAGTATGTATTAATAATGAAAGAAATGAGATTAAACAGAGTATATATCAATAAATGTAGATAGGCTTAAACTAACTGAAGATTAAAACAGATTTCAACATTTTGCTTTATACAAAAGACTTGCCTAAAACTGAGTGATCCAGAAAGGTTAGAAATAAAAGGTTAGGCAAAGTTGTGCCAGTCAAAAGTAAGCAAAAATAAAGCAAGGATCAAGGCTTTGATGTCAGACAAAGTAGAATTCAAGCCAAAAAGCATTAAGCAAAACAAAGAGGATACTGTATAAGTGTACTTTTCAATTCAGTAGTCACTAGTCACCTGTGACTCCTGAACATTACAAACATGGTTAATGTGATAAACTACATTTTAAATTTTATTTAATTAAATTAAGTGGTGCAGAGAAAACTTCCATTATCCCAGAAAGCTCTATTGGGTAATGCTTCTTCATAATGTTTAAGACTCCAATTCACAATGAATATATGGCAGTTATAAATATCTATGTATGAAATAACATAGCGTCTACTTTCATAAAATAGAAGTGATGGAAAGATGCAAACTCATATAATAAAAGATTTTAAAATCAAATCTCTCCACACAAGACAAAGCAAGTGGAAAGATCCAGTGCTCAAAGGCTGAAATTGAAAAAAATGTAAGTTGTAGGAGGACACAGTTGGCTGTTCATTTTTTACGTCCATAAAGTATCTCTAAATAGTCTCCTCTCCAAGCACAGTTTGCAGCCCTTGAAAATATCTGGTGGCCGCGCATGGTGACTCATGCCTGTAATCCCAGCACTTTGGGACGCCAAGGTGGGTGGATCATCTGAGGTCAGGAGTTCGAGTCCAGCCTGGCCAACATGGTGAAACCCCGTCTCTACTAAAAATACAAAAAAAAATTAGCCAGCCATGGTGGTGGGCGCCTGTAGTCCCAGCTACTCGGGAGACTGAGGCAGGAGAATCGCTTGAACCCAGGAGGCAGAGGTTGCAGTGAGCCAAGATCTCACCAATGCACTCCACTCCAGCCAGTGACAGAGCGAGACTCCATCTCAAAAAAAAAAAAAAAAAAAAGAAAGAAAGAAAGAAAAAGAAAAGAAAATATTTTGTGATGGTACTCAATAACTTTTCAGTGTTTCTAATGACTATGTGTTGCTGTAAGAGAAGTTATGCATGTACATGTAACTGCCCTAAAGACATTGGCGTCATAAGTGAACTAACCTTCAGAGTTGTGGTGAGAATACAATTAATGGGAATTTTTGAAGTGTTCTGAATTTTTAGGAAGAAAGTCATTGCATAAGCATTTCTTTTTTTGTCTTTTAACAGAGTACATTGGTCCCCAAGGAAAAAACCATCTTGGTCCCGCTTCAACTATTCACCCTAATTAAGTCCGTCAACCCTCTGGTCCACTAGTGGAACAATGCTCCTGACTCAGCTGACGTTTCCTCTGAGGAAAGCTATTTGCAAAACATTTCTTGAGACTTCCTGTCAGAAGCCTATAGCCTGGTGACTTGGGGAATTATCTAAATTTTTGGCACTTTAGTGGGAGCCAGGCAGAAGAAGGAAGCATCATGTTGGTCTTCTTTGTCTATTAAAGACCCATCGATAACCCACACACTTTGCCTTCCCAGCAAGTGCAGGAACAAATGTAAGGCAGAATGGTTCACCAGGGAAACAGGTATAGAGCTGGATGAAACCCCACCAAAGCCACAAAAGCTCCATCTACTTCCCTTCCTGATAATGACGGTGTCCCTTACAAATATTGTTCCAACACTCTAAAGCCACAAGATAGTTTTCTTCAATCAATAGGTGCTATAGTAACCATCCCTGTCAATTCCAAATGTCTGTAAGGGTGTATAGGGCCCAGGATTGCTTACAGGAGAAGGCTTCTTCCACCCTGATAATGATATTTTCTATGCATCATAAATTAAGGCCTTTATTTTCAAGGGTTTGACAAGAAGGGGTTTGATGGGTCTGCCCATCAGGTGTTGCAGGTTTCCTGTGTAGCCACAAGCAGAGTCTGGCCAACAGAAAACCTGGTCAGGTATGTTCACAACTAGCTTGTGTCGCAGATGCTGTTTGTTTTCTCCTTTCAACTTACCTATCATAATCTTTCCTTTAAAATTCCATATCTCACTATTGACCACATGATCCATAAAGATAGGAGCAACTAGGGTTAGAGCAGAGGCATTCAAAAGAAGCATTGAAAACATCCCCACGGCATGAAAGTACTTGTCCATGCTGAAGACCATTGAATGTCCTGTCTATCCTTATCTCCAGAAGCTGTATGTTACCATCAGTCAGCTGTGTGATCAATGAGGTTTTCTCAGTTAGTAGATGGTCAGCTTCTAGGTCTTGATAAGCCAATTTCAGCTGTAGTTAATAATGATGAAGTTGCTCTTGCTGGGTGAAAAATGAAAACACAATACCCATTCTGAGGAGCTTTCCTCATGAGCAGTGTATTTGCCAACACCCAGGACACACTATAACTTGATGATCTCCCTGTAGCATACATTAGAGGAGAAGATCACATTTAGCATGTCTTTGGCTTGACTGCCAAAGTAGTGTGAAATCTCAGAAGTGGTGGGTCTCATGACCCAAATGTGCCATCTGGGAGGATGACCGTATGAGTTGAGTGGGTGTGAACCCTCAGGGTCATGTTGTCTATAAAATGCTGTGGACGACACTTGGGAGTCAGAAGGTCTGCAGTTTTGCAGAAGACACCCTTTGCGGAGAATTTTTTTGATCACTCACATAGGGTATGGACTAGGGAACTGCTTCACGAGGGAAACTGAAGCTGTTTTGCTAAAGGAAACAAAGCAAAAGCCTAAAGCTATTTTGCTATTCCACTCTTTGTGACAAGAGCAAGTAAGCAGTCTGTATACAGATGCTCCTTGACTTACGGTGGAGTTATGTCTTAGTAAACCCATAAGCGGAAAATATTGTAAGTCAAAAATGCCTTTAATATACCTAACCTACTGGACATCATAGCTTAGCCTAGCTCACCTCTAACATGCTCAGAAAACTTACTTTAGCTTATGGCTGGGCAAAATCATCTAACACAAAGCCTATTTTATAATAAAATGTTGTGTTTCTTATGTCACTTATTAAATAGCATGCTGAAAGGAAAAAGCAGAATGGTGGTATGAAATATGATTATTGAATGTGTATCACTTTCATACCATTGTAAAGTTGAACCATTATAAATTAGAGACTATCTGTATACTGGTAAAGTATGCATCAAATGAACATCAAGTGCGACTTGAGGCTAAAAGAAGCCCCATACACCCTGTCTGAAGGATGAGTTAGCCTTGGTAATGCTGGTTTAATGGGCCCACTGGAGGGAGGCCCTATTTGGATTCGCTGCATTTATGCATATGGGTGTTTGGTTCTATTCCTTCTCCCAGAGAGGCTACTTCATTGACTTCACTAGTGAAGCTCAACAGGGTCCTCACAATGTGCAGGGTATGAAGAATTCCATTTTATACCTCTGCGTCCAATTCTCTGGGATATACCCTGTCTTATTCCCCTTCCTGTCAGTCCTGTGCTCAGCAGATTGTGCTCTGGAATTCAGGGTGTGGTTCAAGGTCAGGTTAGTTTTGCCCAGAGTCACAGAGCATACAACTGGCCATCATATAGTAGAGGTCTCAAAACCAGAGCCTAGACACATGGCCTCAAAACCAGAGCCTAGACACATGACCTCAAATTCATCTGCCAATCTGAAGGGATAGATAAAGAAATGCAGAGTGCTAATTTTTTGTTCATTCATTCAAGAAATACTCACTGATAGTCATGTATATGCTGGGCACTGTTCAAGAAGTTCACATCTTGAATGAAGTGAATCCTGAACTTCTTGAATGGTGCCCAGCATATACAATGAAATAAAAAAGAATACTTGTCCTTTGTAAGATCTATATTTGACAAGGAACTGACAATGACCAAGAAATACAGAAGTAGGCAATGGAAAGCAACCTATGAAGTGTGCCAGAATCAGAGCAGGCACCTGCAGCAGGTTGACATACCAGCTTGCATGGGCATGATGAGTGTATTTATGGAGCCTGAAGTTGGACAACAAAGCCAGTCAGCTTAGAGCTTATCTTTTTCCAGATTTTTCCATTTGTTCAACAGGAATAATGATATCTGTTTTCAGATGCTTTGAATTCCAGGTATGAAAAATGACCTCTGATGTGAATGCAAAATTGTTCTCATTCCTGCATGAAAGTTCTCTGGGCTTTTTGATCTTGTCACATTTCAAAAGCTGTGTGCTCCTGTAGAATGACCCCCTGGGCTCCAATCAGGAGATCTACTGTTCTGATTGAGCTCTGCCACCAGACGTGTAACCTTAGGCAAGTTGCTTAATCTCCTGAAACCTATCTCTTCACCTGTGAAATGACTGAGTTGGATCAGGTGATCTTTAAGCTTAAAATTTTTTCTGACGTCCTGTACAATTCAAAGAAAGGTCATCTCCTAAACCAGTTTCACCAATATAAATGCTACTCACAGGAAAATTTCCTTGTTGTGGTGTATGACCGGAACTAATTTTTATTCATTTAACGCAACATTTTTATTCTTCTTTCATTGACTAAAAATATATTTTTCCTACTTCTCACTTTTTTTCCTGTGTCTTTAATTTGCAAAGTTTTTAAACCCCTGTAGCCATCATCTGTGGCAATTTGGTTGCTCGTATGAGCTTTTTTTTCTTTCTCCAAGTCAATGTTCTCGACGTTGCTCATGTGATTATGACAACATGTTAATAATATAGATTAGCTAACATTTGTCGAGTGTTTACTATAGCCAGGCACAAAGCATCTCACGTGATCATCATAGCAACTCTAAGAGATGTAATATTACCATCTTTCTCTTATAAGAGGAGAAACAGATACATTGAGGGAGTAAGAGTTTCCCAAAGTTACACAGCTAGTGAGAACTGCGCTGGTATTGTCTAACTGCAGAGTCCAAATTCATGGCTTCTATTTCAAATTAGCTCAGCTGGTATAGAGATGCAATGGGGAGGAGGGGAGGACAGAAAGGGAGGGAGGGAGGGAGAGAGGGGAAAAAAGAAGAAAAGATTAGATTCAGGGAAAAAATTATTTATATTCTATTTTTAAATAATTGTAAATCTAAATAATTGTATTTAGTCCCATGGAAAATGTATAATATGAAAACTTAGAGTATCTGCTTTATTGAAAACTAGAGACTAATGAGAAAAATAATACTTTTTAGTTTAGCTATTACAGTATTATTATCTGGGCCTATTTAGGAAGTTGCAGAATGGCGGCAGCTTTCCAACTTTTATTCTGAAATTAGATCCTGGGGCCTATGGCAAGGGTAGGGCAGACAGCATATGGCCCAAGGTCAAAGACTGCCTAGGACAAACCCAAAAGTATGCCTCAACAGAGGTAAGAACTAATTCACAAATTCCATAACAATAAATGGCGACTGTGAGCATATGACTGACCCATTCTATTTTCAAGTAAGGTCAAGTCAGAAAGCTGAATTTAGGACAACTAAGAGCCAATAATATTCTTGGCTGGAAAGCCTGCCATTCATCAACAGAATCACATGTCTACAGAGCTCTCCAGCTTAACTAAGTTCATGACCATTTTGGGAAAGGTATGATGTCTTGCTAAAGCCTCAGCTTTGCTCATCAAGTTCTGGTGCCCACACCAGGATTTTCAGGCAGTTGTTCCTCTGGTGAGGTAACATTTGTTCTGTAGGAGATGGCCTTTAGCACCAGCACTCCTGTTGTCAAGAGGTCTTTGCACTCAATCACATCTATTGACAATCTGCAACCTGCTAGGTCATGGACTGAATGCTTCATCAAGGTTATTTATGAGTCACCATGACTTCAGGGTTTTTTTGTTTCATGCAAAGATCAGAAGTACAAAAATAGCTTTATTTAATCAGAAAGAGCTAGAAAATAACTGTCTTGTACATTCCTCCTGTGGTTATGGTTTCCAGTACCCTTTTCTTCAATTAATTATATAAATATACTCAACTTCAAGGATCTTATTTTCCCCCAAATCATTCATGTGGTAACAAGGGAATAGAAAAGCCTTCATGAGCAAGTACATTGATGTTCCACAAAAGCTTCTGAAACATGTACCTCGAGTAGACACCAGTCTGCATCTCATTTCTTTAAGGCTTGTTTACCTAAAGTATGACAGGAATATTTTTCAATCAAAGCTATGGGGTGTTGTTGTTGTTTTTAAAATATCTTTTTTAAACCACCTTAACCATTTTTCAGTGTATTATACGGTGCACATTGTTGTGCAAAGAATCTCCAGAAATTTTCGTATTGCATATCTGAAACTCTATAGCCATTAAACAGTAACTTTTCTTTTTCCCCTCCCCCTAACCCCTGCTAACCACTATTCTACTTTCTAAGAGTTTGACTACTTTAGATTCCTCATATAAATGGAATCATGCAGCGTTTGTCTTTTTGTGACTGGCTTATGTCACTTAGCAAAACATCCTCAAGGTTCATCCACGTTGTAGCACATGGCAGGATTTGCTCCTTTTTTAAAGCTGAATAATATTCCATTGTATGTATAGACCACATTTCATTTATCCATCCATCTGTTGATGGACATTTAGGTGGCTTCCACCTCCTGGCTATTGTTAATAACACTGCAATGAACATGAGTATGCAAATCAATCTTTGAGATACTGTTTTCAATTCTTTTGGATATATACCCAGAAGTGGGATTGCTAGATCATGTGATAATTCTATTTGGAATTTTTGAGGAACCTCCATACTATTTTCCATAGCTGCTGCACCATTTTATATTTGCACAAGCAATGCATAGGGTTCCAATTTTCCCATATCCTTGCCAACACTTGTTATTTTCTGTGTTTTTTAAAACAGTGGCCATCTTAATGAGTGAGGTATATTTTTTCACCATCTTTTATAAAGAGCAAAATAATAACCAAGCAAACAATTTCAAGTAATTTAATTAAATGTTATCAAATCAAATCAATCATCTAACACTATCATCTTCCTGGCACTAACTTATTCTTTGTTTTATGCAAAAGTTAGTCAATATACACAGAACCTCTCATGCAGCAATTCAACCTTTAGGTATACGTTCAACATAAATCAGTACTTATATCCACCTAAAGACATGTATAAGAATGTTCACAGAGCTTTACTCACAATAGCCCAAAACTGAAGACTACCAAAGTCCAGAGACATTACAACAGATAAATAAATTGAAGTATATTTACATAATGGAGTACCAAACAGCAGTGAAAAAAAAAAGAACTGCTATATGTGACAACTTTGATGAATTTTATATACATAACATTGAGTAGGCCAGGCCAGATGCAGTGGCACGCACCTGTAATCCCAGCACTTTGGGAGGCCAAGGTGGGTGGATTGCTTAAGCCCAGGAGTTTGAGACTAGCCTGGGCAACAAGGCGAGACCTTGTCTCTACAAAAAATACACACAAAAATTAGCTGGGCGTGGTGACACATGCCTCTAGTTTCAGACGCTTGGGAGCCTGAGGTGGGAGGAGCACCTGAGCCTGGGTGGTCGAGGCTGCAGTCAGCCGTGATTGCACCACTGCACTCCAGTCTGAGTGACAGAGTGGGACCTTGTCTCAAAAAAAAAAAATTTTTTTTTTTAGTAAAAGAAGCCGGATACAAAAGAATACAATGATCCCTTGGTACCTGGGCATGATTGGTGATTCGTTCCAGGACTGCCCCGATACTAAAATCCGAGGATGCTCAAGTCCCTCATATGAAATGGCATAGTGTTTGCATATCCACACCCTCTCAGTACACTTTAAATCAGCTCTAGATTACTTATAATACTTAATACAATATAAACATTATGTAAATAGTTATTAGACTGTCTTTTTTAGTGAATAATGACAAGGGAAAAAGTCTGTACATGTTTAGTACTGATGCAATTTTTTTTTCAAATATTTTTAGCCCATGGTTGACTGAATCCATGGATGTGTAACCCATGGATACAAAGGGCCAACAATACATACTATATGATTCCATTTGTAAAGTTCAAAAACAGGCAAAACTATGGAGATAGAGCTCAGTATGATTCCCATTGGTGGGGTATTGACTAGTAAGCAGCAGAAAGGATTATTTGGAATGCTGTAAATATGTTATATCTTGATCAGGATAGTAGTTGCATGAGTATATACATAAACAAAACCTCATTAAGCTGCATAGTGTATTTGAATCTGTACATTTTCTTTTATGTAACTATCAAAAAAGTAAAAGAAGAAAGATTAGTCTTAGCAAGAGAACCTATTTTGCCTTGATAAAATACCCTCCTCTTTGTTTTTTTAAGAGAAACAAATAACCAAAAAAAAAAAAAAAGAAAAAAAAATTCCACTAGTAAGTGAGTTTGGGGAATGTTGGAGAGGGAAAAAAAATGCCAAACTTAGTATTGAAGTGAACTTTAAAAAATGGCAGAGACCTTTGCCCGGCCACTCCACCATGTGGGAAGTGAGGAGCACATCTGCCTGGCCGCCTCCCCATCTGGGAAGTGAGGAGCGCCTCTGCCTGGCCGCCCCACTGTCTGGGAAGTGAGGAGCAGCTCTGCCCGGCCAGCGTGCAACCTAGTGTGAAGTTACAGCCTAGTGTGTGATCTTTCTGCCCTCCCCTGGTTTGCATTTTCGACGTTAAGGTTTACTTTTTAAATAAAACTTTTAAAATGGAGAATAAAAAAATGGCAGAGAAATGGAAGAACGGAGACAAAATAAACTTTATTTACCCTGCACCTAAGCCACTCCTTAGAAGTAAATTAGAAAAGTAAGTTAACTTGGAGGGTACCCATAGACATCTAATTTTCTATGGTGTCCTCAGCACTTGAATTTGTTAATTTTTAAATGCTAAACTTTATCACTCAGTTGTCATTCACAACAATTAATTGAGCGTGCACTTTGAGCTTAGCTTTGTTTGTATGCAGTTGTTGCCTTGCATTGTTAGGCATAGAGTTACATTTGCTTGTGTTCATTCCTATTGCAACAAAGCAATCCAATGATGGAAATAGAGGACTGAAAATCAAGCCATCCCTGAAAGATTAGTGTTGTACATAACTCAGTTCTAAATAGAGTTCTGTCAATTCTTCAATATTAAAAGCAAACATTGCCTCATGAAGTCATCCTGATTTATAGCCACGGCCCTTTATTAGCAATTATAACATGGCTATGTCTAGATTTTGAGATATAAAAGTAAACCATATAGTAAATCCTAGTTTAATTAGCCTGTGTTTTCCATTGTAAGAGGCTTTGGCTAGCAGTGCCTATTCTGGGATAAACAATTAGGTGGTACTGGATTCCTCCGGGATTAGAAAATATATACAATTAAAGACAAACTTTTTCTTGTGTGCTGAACCACATGAAAATAGTTACATTTCCCACCACTGCCTAGCCCAAGCACTGTCATCTCTCACCTGCACAATTATAATAACCTCCCACCTAGTGCACCTGATTCTCCTCTTGCCCTTAATGTATTTGCTGCACAGCAATGACAACACCTCCCTTAAAACCTCAATTCGATCATAACCCTTCATTGCTCAAAATCTTTCTAAGGCTTCCCGTCTCCCGCAAAATAAAATCCAAAGACCTTATAATGAATTAAAAGGTCCTATATTCCCTGGCTTTATTAGCCTCTCTCCACTCCAGTCAGCTGGCCCTTTCCTGATCCTAAACACACCTCACTGAAAGCCTTTACCCTGCTCCCTGCGCCTCCCCCGACCCTCCTCTGTTCCCTAGATAGCCCCTAGATAACTATATGGCTTGCTCCTGCATTGCATTCTTGACTGAGTTCAACTCTCGCCTCATTTTAAAGACCTTCTTACCACTCTAAAATAGTCGCTTCAAACAATATCTATTTCTTTGTCTTGCTTTGTTTTTCATCATAGCACTTGTCAGCACCGGCTGTGCTCTAAATGGATGTGCTTATTTGTTTATTTGCCATGTTTCTCCTCTATAATGTGAGCTCCCCCTACTGGAGAGCAAGGACTTTGTTTTGTTAACGGTTGTATTCCCGCCATCTAGTACAGTGCCCGGCATATGGTAGACATTCAATAAATACTTGCTGATTAATTATATCATGAATGATAATGAATATTTATAGATTATGCAATCTGTATGAATTTTAAAGTCGGGAATTTGAAAGTCATTTCTAAGCTATATATTGTCTGAGCTATTACAGTATCAACAAAGGTATGTACAAACAGATTGATGTTTATAACATTGAAAAAAAGTTTCAACTTTCATCTTTCAACCTTGAACCTCAAACTTCAACTTTCATCCTGGCAACATGATATATAGAGAGCATAAATCTTTAGGATCTGACTATGTTATAATTGTTGGCCATCAGACTCAGTGTGCAGCAGCAAACATAGCTGTATTGGGGTTACAGAGCTGTAGTCATTGTTCAGATGTAGCAAGATGTTCCCTATAGTTCCTGGATATATACCATCTGGTGCTGGAATACTGTAACTTCCACTTCCCCACTGTTCAAGAGAAATATACAGACATACATTGCTCTGCAACAAGAGTCAGCAGACTATGGCATGTGCACCACATCCAGCTCAGCAGTCTATTTTTGCACAGCCTGAAAGCTATCAATAATTTTTACATTTTAGAGGGTTAAAAACAAAACAGAACAAAACAAAACAAAATGTGATAGAGCCCATATGTGGCTTAAAAGCTTAAAAGATTTACTGTCTGGCCCTTTAAGGAAACGTTTGCTGACTGCTGCTCTGCAAATTAGGCTGATGAACATGACTTTGGGAAAGAGAAAGGGTTTTAAAAATGAATGCCTGGAACAGAGAAGGTGTTGAAATACATAGTTCGGCTTTCTGAATCAGTCCCTATTACAAGGGCAATGGGTTTGCTAACCTGGGATAGAATGAATAAACTTTTGCAAAGACAGGGAAATGATACTGGCAAGAAAAGCATAAACCTCTCTGTGAACTTTGAATCTTGAGTTTCAAAAAGGGAAAATCTAAATAAAACTAATTTTAGAACTAATCTAAGGCAAAATATGAGTGAGAAGAGAAGAATAAGCCCAGTGGCATTGGGGCCAAGTTACTCTTTGCGGCAGGAACTCCAAGATGTCCATCAGTAATCATTCTCCCTGGCTTTTAATAATGGAGCTTCTTAATTCAAGCTTGGAAGAAGGCTGTCCATCTAAGGACAACATTCCCAGTCTCCCATGCAGCTAGACATGGCCATATTCCAGTAAGCAGAATGTGAACAAAAAAGATGCACACCATGTCCATGAGACTAACTTCTGGATAAGGTGAAATTGCCTGTGTTTCCATTTGCCCCTCCATCTTCCCATTGGCTGGGAGACGGAAGATGCAGATTGAGGTTGCAGTCACCCTATCAGCCTTGAAAAGCTTAGCTTGGTAATTTTTTGCAAGAGCAAAATTAGATCCTGTTTCATTTAAACCATTGCCTTTGGTGTGTTCTCTGTGACATCAACTTACACTGAAAGTCAAGACAATAATATTGCTTATGGCATTAGGTTTATATACATCAACGCCAAAATTTTTTTTAACATAAGATAGAGCGATTTTAAATTTTTAACGAAAGATACAAGACATTTCTTAGTTATCACCAAACTTTTCCTTAAAGGGCCAGAAAGTGAATCTTTTAAGCTTTTAGGTCACATATGGGCTCTATCATATTTGTTTTGTTTTGTTTTAACCCACAAAGAATTATACACATGTATTAGCTCACAGTGACATCAACTTACACTGAAAGTCAAGACAATGATATGCTTATGACATTAGGTTTATATACATCAATGCCAAAAAATTTTTTAAACATAAGATAGAGTGATTTTAAATTTTTAACAAAAGATACAAGATATTTCTTAGTTATCACCAAACTTTTCCTTAAAGGGCCAGACAGTAAATTTTTTAAGCTTTTAGGCCACATATGGGCTCCATCACATTTTGTTTTGTTTTGTTTTGTTTTTAACCCACAAAGAATTATACGCATGTATTAGCTCACAAGATATGTAAAAATATTGTTATGTTTTCTTTAGAAAATGTTAAGGTTTTCACAAGGAGATACTACCTCACACCTGTTAGGGTGGCTGTTATCAAAAAGACGAGAGATAACAAGTGTTGGTGAGGGTGTGGAGAAAACGAAGCCTTTGTACACTGTTGACGGGAATGTAAATTGATACAGTCATGGAAAACAGTATGAAGATTCCTCAAAAAATTAAAACCTAAACTACAATATGATCCAGCAATCTCACTTCTGGGTACATACACAAAGGAAATAAAATACATATATATTTAAGAGGAGGGCCTTACTCTGTCGCCAAGGCTGGAGTGCAGTGGTGTGATCATAGCTCACTGTAGCCTGGAACTCCTGAGCTCAAGTGATCTTCCCACCTCACCTTCCCGAGTAGCTGGCAGGTATATGCCACCAGGCCCAGCTAATTAAAAAAAAATTGTTTGTAGAGACAGGATCTCAGTATGTTGCTCAGACTGGTCTCAAACTCCTGGCCTCAAGTGATCCTCCTGCTTCAGCCTCCCAAAGTGCTGGGCTTATGGGCATGAGCCACTGCACCCGGCCCAAATCAGTACCTTTAAGAGATATCTGCACTATCATGTTCACTGTAGCATTATTTACAATAGCCAAGATATGGAAACAACATAAGTGACCACTGACAAATGAATGGATAAAGGAAATGTGGTATCTACACACACACACGAATATTATTCAATCATAAAAAGAAGAAAAGTCTGCCATTTGCAACAACATGGATGAACCTGGAGGACATTATGTTAAGTGAAATAAGATACAGCAAGATAAGTACTTTATGTTCTCAGTTATATGTACAAACTAAAAAAGTTGAACTCACAGAAGCAGAGAGTAGAATGGTGATTGCCAGGGGCTTAGAGATGGAAAAAAATGGGGAGATATTGGTCAAATATACAAACTTTCAGTTATAAGGTGAATAAGTACTATGGAGGTAATGTAAAGCATGGTGATTATAGTTTATTATATTGTATTGTCTACTTGAAATTTGCTAACAGAGTAGATCCTAAGTGTCCTTATCACCACACACACACACACACACACACACACACACACACACACACAAATGGTAACTGTGTGGTGATAGATGTGTCAGTTAATTGAATTCTGGTAATCATCACACAACGTACACCTATATCAGATAATCACATTGTACACTTAAATATATATAATCCGTATTGTCAACTATACCTCAATGAAGATGGTGGAGACAAAAATGTTATGTTTTTAAAATTTTAAACTAAAACTTTGATTAACCATAAATTCATTTTTGTGCAAGAAGGTAAGGAATTCGTGGGTTTTGTTGTTCCAAAGAGCTACCCTGTTGCCCAAACATCATTTCTTCAATAACCTAGCTTCTCCCCACTGATTCAAAGAGCTAACTTTATTATCCACGCATGTATGCATTCCTTCTTTCACTCCACAAACACTGACTGAGTTACTGCTGTGGCATGTTCTGCGCTAGATGCCGGAGGGACAATGATGAGCAGAGAATGGTCCCAGCCATCGTGGAATATGGAGTACCGAGGAGGAGATCATAATAAGCAAACAGATAAGTATTGCAACTTGCAAAGTGCTGCGAAGGAAACAAATGACCACAGAGAGAAAATAATGAAGCGTAGATGTGGGGCAGTTTCCTCTCACAGACTGCTTGAAGGAAGTTCCATTGAATGGGAGCTGGAGCTCAAATAATAGGATTGAGCCAGCCTGGGAAAGAGTCGGGGAAAAGCGCTCCATGTGGAAGGAGCAGCTCATGCAAATGCTCCGTAGGGGGAAAGAACTTGGCTCTATGGAGGACGGAAACTGGCCAGCGTGGCTGAGACCTGCTGAGCATAGAGAGGCATGCTGTGAGTGAGGTTAGCGGGAGAAGCGGGTCTGGCCACTCAGTGTAGGAATATGGATTTAATTCCAAGTGCAAGGAAAACCACTGAAAGCTTTTAAGCCAAAGGTTTATATATAACCCTATTATGTTTTTAGGCAATGACTCTGGCTGTCTTGGGGAGAAAGCCTAGAAAGAGATTAATAAAAGAGATAGGAGACTATAATTTTTAAAATTGGGAAATTATTGCAGTAAATCTAGGGAAAAAAAACTTTCATATACCTTAGAATTTATTTCCGATATCTATTCCATTCCATTGATCTCGATTTTTATTCCTGCACCAGTTTTGTATAGCTTCATAATAGTTTTGATTTGTCATCGAGCAAGTTTTCTCATACCCCTCAACTCCGAATTTCCTCAATATTCCTGCATGTTTATTCTTCCATTTGATCTTTGCGATGATACTGTCAAGTTCCACAAGTAATCCTGATGAGATTTTGATTGAAAGTGCCTGAACTTTACAAGTTAATTTAGGGAGAATTAGCATCTTGGTAGTAGTAAGCCTTCCTGTCACCCAAAAGACATATCTCTCTCTACATTTATTTCTGCCTTCTTGTCTTCCTTTATGACCCTCTGTAAACTCATTTTTATACTAATTTTTGTATGCTAGACCTGTACATTTCTTTTGAAGTTCACTTCTTGATAATTTAGGGGGTTTTGTCTTTTTTTTTTTTTTTTTTTTTTATGGAGTCTCGTGCTGTTGCCCAGGCTGCAGTGCAGTGGCGTGATCTCAGCTGACTGCAACCTCTGCCTCCTAGGTTCAAGGGATTCTCCCGCCTCAGCCTCCTGAGTAGCTGGAATTACAGGCATGCACCACAATGCCCAGCTAATTTTTTTTTTTTTTTTTTTTTTTGTATTTTTAGTAGAGATGGGGTTTCACCATGTTGGCCAGACTAGGCTGGTCTTGAACTCCTGACCTCAGGTGATCTGCCTGCCTCACCCTCCCAAAGTGCATGATTACAGGCATGAACCACCATGCCCAGCTTATTTTTTGATAATTTTTGTTATTGTTGTTGTAACTGGGAGTTTTCTTTTGTTATAGGTCCTAATAAAACTTTTGTCATATTTCCACATATTTGTAATAGAAAGGGACAAAGGTAATGGAAAGAAGTGAGTTGACTACATTTTTTTCCTGATCCATCAGTCTCACTCCGGGGTTGTAGTTTTTGAAATTGAAAATCAGAGTATGCAGGCTTTGTCATCTGGTTCCACCACGACAGCTTCCCTTGAAGCAAAGGAAGCCTCCTGTCTCCTGACCCATCTGAGGGGAGATTATGGGGGTATGAGGAAGTGTGGGAATAAAAAAATCAATTAATACTTCAGAATGTCATCCCACTGTATTATATATAGATTATACATATTTACATTAAACCAGAAACGTTAAATGGGACTTTTTATGTTGTCTCATATTCTGTGACCCTCAAAGACAAAAGTTCACACATACAAGGAGAGGTGTAAAGCATATTTTGGGACTTGTTATAATGTAAACACACACACACACACACACACTCACCCCCCAAAATGCAAAACAGAATCCTCTGAGGGAAACATAAATTGTTTTATTTTATTCTCAGTACTCTTCTGTGTTTTCTAAATATTTGCTAATAAACCAACTTAATTTTTATGGTCAGAAAAAAAACTAAATAGCAAGCCTAACAGAGTTTCAAATAAATTTGAGAAAACAGGGGGAAGATTTCATGCTTAGATATTCTCAAAGAGCACGTGGCTTCAAAGTAATGCCTGCACCTAACAACTGAAACCTGACCATAAGATCCCCTGTAATTCCAAAATGGCTAAAGGACAGAAGTAGAGGAAAGAAAGGGAAGAGGATGAAAGGGGGAGAAACAAAAATTTAAAGAACTCAGTGTGACTCCACCCAGAACTCTTTGATGACTGGGAGAAGCCAGGCCTCTCAGGCTACTTTGTTGTCCCACGTTCTTCAGCAAGTGGAATCGTTTTCAAAATGGAACCCATGGCCTTCAACAGGCAAGGAAGAGGTAATAGGCCAAATGAGTTGATCTCAGGCTCAAATAACCAGAGTGCAGAAGAAACCTGTCAATGTCATATCAAAGCCACTTCAGGTAAGAGTTACAAGATCATAGACAATGGGAGGAATGTCTCAGGCCGCAGACAGACATGCAGGCCTGAACTTCAAAGAAAGGAACAAAACATGGTACAGAAACAACAGAGAGATGAGCTTGATATTAATTCCAGAAAAAAAAATCTAGTTTGGATGATTAAACACTGGCCTTAATCCTTTAAAAGTGCTAGCAATTCAGTTTTTTAAATCCCTGAAAGAAGTTACTCTGGCTTTCTTTCTACTCATTAAATGAGCTCTAGTTGGTATACGCATGCGATATTCTTTAAGAAAGAGTTTCATTGGGCTCAGATGAGATTTGTAACAGAACAATGTTGCAGAGGCTGAAAGCACAAGCCATTCCAGCCCCCAGAACTATCAATGTAGAAACCAGTATTTCTTCAATGGCTATTAATTAATTGCCAGGCACTGTGCTGGGTTTGCGACGACTAAGGACTAAGGAAATGTCCTGTCTCTCAGGACATTCCAGAGGGGAGATAGACGGTAGGTGCTATTATAGCCATGATGGTACTCAGAGACTGGCATATCTGGAACAACATAAAAATGACATATTATTTTTCCAGGCCATTGGGAAAAGAACTTTAAGTACTTAACATTTGAGGAGGTTCCTCTGGCTGGCAGGCAAAGCTTTGTCCTTCTGTAGTGAAGGTAAGCAGAAACTGAATGACATTCTTCCTGGGATACTCCAGGTCGCACTGGGATCAAGTTTGGATTGAATGTCTCTGAAGTCTCTTACGTCTCTAAATACCACACTTCTGTAAGATGAGTCAGGACTGGGAGAGCCAGAAGAGGTTTCCAGGAGGAAGTAAGACTTGATTTGCACCCAAAATGAGGACAGAATTTCAATAAATAGAAAGTAGAACACAGCAAATGTGACTGAGTTTCTTCTCACCAAATGTATGCCAGGTAAATTACATTCTCTTCAGAGATTCTGTGAGATTCCCAATGTTCTCTAACAAATCCATGTCATGCTTAAACTAACCAGAGTGGATTCTGTTATTTCCACTTCTGAAATTTGCCTATTGCATTGACTCATTGAAGATCTCATGGATCGGTTGGGTCACACTGTGACTTTGCCTTCTTATTCATCAGGCGTACTATGTGTCATGGAAGATGCTATTCACGCCTTAATAATTGTGCTTTTTTTTTAATATCGTGGGTACAGAATTTATGAAATGTTTACCCTGTCTCTCAGTATAGTGGATTCTCATTTGTTCACTCCTCCCACCTAAATGTACCATGTATTTCTCCAATGTGCTCCTCACCAGGTGGGTAATTCTGCTAACAGGCAAAAATGGATAGAGCAAGATGCCACCAGAGGATACATCTCCCTTCTCCGAAGCAAGACAGAAAAACAAAACCATGTTTTACATAACACATTCATTTTCTTCTCCCTTTTCTTCTCAAAATTGCTCTCTTACACAAAAGCTCTTTCATCCAGCAGGAATAAAAAACATTAGTAAGAAAAATGCATACCTAAATACTGTACATTTATACATTCATTAATGATGACAAAGAACAACTTCAAAAGAAAATAGAACCAATAAATAATTCATCTGATCTGCCTACACAATGCTGAACAACCAGTTTGCTGTCGTCATCAAATTAGCTGGTTATTTATATATGACATCGTCTCAACCCAATATTAGTGCAAAGTGGTATATTTGAAAGGACTACAAATTAATGGGACTTTAGATGACTAAAAATAATCTAAATACTCAAATAATTCTTTCCATATTCACAAATCCAAAGTCTAGAAGAGAATTTCTAATCTAGCATACTACTAGCATATTTTTACATTTCTAAAGAGAAAGCATAGACTTGTTCATGTCTCCAAAGTATTCAGGCCCAATTAATACCATTTAAAAGAAGATTGTGATATATTTGAAGTAAGATTATACAAACATATACTCAGCTTTTTAGTGAGGAATTGTTATTTCCATTTAAAGAAAACTATGTATTACATAATTAATTTACGAGAAATCAACTTAGTGCCTTTTAGGTGATCATTTGTGTCAAGGTTCCCTTTCTCTAAAGGGCATCTTGCAAAACTCAATAGTGCCCCATTGTGGAACTGTGGGACAACTGACAGCTAATCCAGGCTTTGCTATTCTTTCTTCTGTTTTGTTTTCTTTATAAGATAAACTTTCTCTAGTTTAGAAACTACAACTAAATTTCTTTAGGTGTTAACAAAAACAAAGAACCAATCATATCCATGAATATGTAAATATACTTATAGAAGAATGTATATTTCTTAGAAACAAAATGCTTTTAATATTTCCTAACTTGTTACTTTAATGACTATTCCAAAGAGTAAAGAGAAAATAAACGCTACTTGTCAAAAGTACTGCCTTATTTTTCTACATATCGTGCCCCAAAGGTAAGTACATTAAAAACTATAAAAAGAACATAGGCGATATCACAGAAAAATCTCTTCTTCTAAGGATGTGGGAGGAAAATAGTTATAAAATATAATGGCACCTTATTTTCAAGCTTCATCTCATGATTGAAACAATTAAATTTTAAGAGAACAGTATATATCATAATTCACACGCATATTTTTTCTTCCTGTTGTGGAATGCACATTCTACAAGTCTAAAATGGAGCAAAATCTTGGGTCCATGCTTAAAGATTGTGCCTGATATTTCAAATCCTACTGACAAAAAAACACCTCATCTGTAATGTCATCTATCAGGTTGTTGCATGGTTCTAATTAACATTTTCCTCCGCATATTAAGGCTAGAACTCCTTCCTTGTTTATTCCCCCACTCCCTCATTGCCCCAATATTCCTGAGTCTTCTCTTTTTTAGGTGAATCATCTCCAGAACCTTAAACACTTTTTCACAAGACTTGGTTTTGTCTGCTTGTCCCCTTGTTGCAATCTATAGGACTACTCTGTGGAGGACACCACCTCCGAGCTTAAACTAAAACTTAAAAGTAAAATCATATGAAAGACGAAAAGCAGGACTATCCAGCCAGATGAGTTTCTAAATCAATGAACAAAGCATCAAAAAAATTGAGTTTCTGTTAAAATATGTTACACCATCCATCATTGAAGAAGTACAAGTCAGCAGAAACCTAGAGCAAAAGATTTCAAGAGTAGTGGTAGTCTCATCATAACAATAATAATAATACTTTTTTTACAAGTTATAAATGATACTTACAGATATTAAAAGCCAAAAAAAGAAAAAAGTTATAAATAAAATGGCACTAACTCATTTTAAAGAATAAATAACGATGGTTAAAGCAAGATGCACTATGATACCTGACAAATTATACGTTTGTAAACACTACAGAGAAACTGAAAGCGTAGATGGAGCAGTGGATGCTGCAAAGCAAAGAATCACAGATGCACTGGCTGGCATTACAAAGACAAAGTGCTCTGAAATTAGTCAAATAGATGACAATGGTTTAAAGAAGATGATTTAAAAAAATAGGAGCGTGTACGACTACAGATAACGGGTTACTAGATAAATCACAAAATGCCAACAATAAAGAAACATAAGCAGAAAAAAAATTTGCTTAACTGTTTCCTGATCTGAAGGATCATTTTGGCATGTTGTTATTCAGCACA
This sequence comes from Homo sapiens, assembly GCF_000001405.40. Classification (NCBI taxonomy): domain Eukaryota; kingdom Metazoa; phylum Chordata; class Mammalia; order Primates; family Hominidae; genus Homo; species Homo sapiens. The sequence continues at coordinate 36,673,918 of NC_000002.12, forward strand.
TTAAGAGAGCCCATTTAGTTCCACTCAGAAATAATCCTCACTGACATGTACTTGTCACGATTTTATACTTTAACTAAGGCAGGATTTCCAGGCTGCCAGAAAGAAATAGGAAGCAACATTTAAAGATGAAAGTGATAAGAATGAATGTGGACCTTCTTTTGAGACTTTTGAAAAATGAAGAATCTTGTAGAAAAAAATACATGAAGTAGAAGAAACTGACATTGAATTGTGGATTATGTGCTCATCTTCAGGAAACTTGATCGGTTGGTGACCTGAGCAATCTTCTTCTGACAAGTGCCCTGGGGCCTTTGGCTGGGAGATAATTTTTTGTTAATTTCCTACTTTGAGGTCTTCTTGAACTCAGGTAGCATAATTTGAGCCCCAACCCTACATGAGTTATAGGTCTTTGATTACAAATTCTCAAAATGCATTTCTTTTTTCTACTCAGAGACTAACCCAAGACATCAGAGTTTCATGGCACCTCTGCTGTTGAGTGAAACTTTTTCTAATCTATCCTTTTCCTGAGGTTGTAGCTGTGTAATGACTCTGGCTGTATGCTGGGGAATCAGTTACCTTTAGGAGACCCTAAGTCTTCTCTTCTGGCCCTGTGTGAATGCTGAAACCGAAATCCCTAAATTACTAAAACTTAGAGTCCCTCCCCGACCCCTTCTCCCCAAGCCAGCGGCAATACCAGTTCACCTGTTTACCTCTCTGGTTTTATTCCCATCCAGACTTTTTTTCTTTCCTGGCCACAGGAGATTTCCCATACATTCTGCATATTATACAATAAACATATTTGTGCATCATTTTAAATAAATGTATAACTATTATATGGATCTATCATAATTTTTAATGTACCTATTGAAATGTTTGATTTTTCACAATTAGAAATAATACTTGGGCAAAGATTATAATTTATTTACCTACCTATTGAACTGTTTGATTTTTTTACAAATAGAAATATTGCTCCGGTAAATATCCATGTATCTAAACTTTCGTGGAAATGTGTAATGATTTCCTTAAAATAGATTTCTCGTAAAGGATTGCTAGGCCAAAGGTTATGCGCATGTTCAAGGTTTTCACTTCAGCCATAGACAGCACTCTGTAATACCTTTCTTATGATATTTACCTATTTCTTCCTTATTTTATACTCATTGATGGACTTAACTTGTATTCCTTACTAGATTTTAAACCTAATGGTAAGTAAATCCACAATATTCCACTAGTTTGAACAAAGCACTTAATAAAAATCTTCTGGCTTGAATGTAGCCAAAATTAGTAATTTTAATGGTTCAGAATCAATATTAATAAACTTGTCCTTGAGTTTTATTGGGACACAGCTGCAGCACAGAAAAATGGCCTCTCAATGCAGTTCCTACCTATCTAGGTTTTGTGCTAGATTTCCAGAGAGAAGAAAGGATGGAAGATTAAAGAATAATAAATGAATCTATGGTGGCAAGAGAGACAGAAAAAATGGCTAATAAGAATATAAAAAGATGTTCAACTTCATTAGTCATTAGGGAAATGCTATTCAAAGCCACAATGAAACACCATTTCACACTCACTAGGAAGGCTAAATTTTTTTAAAAAACACAAACAATAAAAAATGTTGGTGAGGATGTAGAGAAATTGGAACTCTCACACATTGCAGGTGGAAATATAAAATTGTGCAGTCACTTTGGAAAACAATTTGGCAGTTTCTCACAGTGTTAAACATAGTTACCATACAACCTAGTAATTTTATCCCTGGGTATCTACCCAGGAGAAATGAAAACACATGTCCACACAAAAACCTGTACATAATGTTTATAATAGCATTATTCATAATAGCCCCAAGGTAGAAACAACCCAAATGTCCATCAGCTGATGACAGGATAAACAAATGTGGTATATCCATTCAATAGAATACTATTTGAACATAAATGAAATGAAGTACTGATAGCACTACAACATAAATAAATGTTGTAAACACTATGCCTAGTGAAAGAATCCAGTCATAAAAGACCACATATTGTATGATTCTATTGGTATGAAATGCCAGAATAGGCAAATCCATGGAGACAGAAAGTAGATTAGTGGTTGCCAGGGGCTAGGAGGAGGAAATAATGGGAAGGGAATATTAATTAGCACTGGAGTTTCTTTGGGAATGATAAAAATTGTTCTAAAATTAGATTATGGTAATGGCTGCACAACCCTGGAAATATACTAAAGAACACTGAATTGTACACTTCAGTGAACTTTATGGTATGTAAATTTTCTCAATAAATTTGTAAAAAGAGAGAGAGGGGAAAAAAAGAGATCTCAACTCCAATTTACCCTTGTTGTAAGACTCTGTGTTTCATTAATTACCATTCCCATGCATATCCAAATCTCTCATTGACTAAATAGCAGTTTGACATTTTTCCTGAAATGATCAGAGCTTACAAAAAGTTCAGATGCACCCTAATGTTCCCCCTCTGCATTTTTTAAACTGCTGTTTACTTCAGCTTTTATTTATCCATCTTCAATCTTTATTCATTATTTTCTGATTGTAAACAGCTTTGCACTATTTGCTTTGCAGAGGAATTTACTAGTGCCCCTAAGACTTGCATTGTTTAACAACCTCTTTCTTTAACTGCCTGCTCCTTTGCAAAAAGTCTTTGGGAGCAGTAAGAAGGAGGATTTTATCTTTATATGATGTATTCATAAACCTTTGTATATACTCAACCGTTAAAACTTCTCACAGATTGTGGCTGTAAAATACAAAGCTTGAATGATAAATTTCAACTGATGGGACCAGTTGTTTCAGAGACAATAAAACACATATCATATAATCTTACTTTAAACACACACTTCTTCACCCACAAACCCACCTCTGCAATTGGGAAATAGGCATAATGGAGAAATTTTCTGCAAGAAGGCATAAAAACCAGAGTTCTTAAAAATCTACGTCAATCTTCCTCCTCCTCCTCAACATTAACTTCCACTGCACTACTATTCCCCACTTTCCCTTCCTGCACCTTCTAGCAATCCCATGGTGATTTTTAATGATAGCTGTTCTCAAATTTGTTTGTAGTTTCTGTGTATGGACACTCCTGTAGGAATTTCCAGAGTATTAACCAACCGTTTGAGTAGATTGGTGATGGGGAGGGGAGAACATCCTTCCGCCTTAGGAGTGCACCTCAGGGGAAGACAAAGTGGTAATTGTATTGTGGTGAGTGAACGCAAACTGCTGAAGAAATAAGTCACACATCACCTCTAGACAAGGAGGCTCAGTTACAGGGTGAATCAGTTGTCCAAAGAGATGGAGAGTAAACACCAACCTCAATTCTGCAGAGACTGGGAAGCTCAATGGAGAAAGCCCATTTTTTATTCTTACCAACTATTCTGAGAGATGCTAAACATTTTGCTGGCGGGGGAATGGAATAGATCTGTTTACTTTTTCCCCCACCCCCGGTAAGTTCTCACATAGCCCTCTTTTCTATTTTTATGGTTTTCTGCATGTGCTTTGATGTTTTTCTATTTTTTCCCCATTTTCTCTCAAGAGCTCACTCTTAACCACAAAGTACAATGACAGGAAATGTACATTTGTTCAAGATAGTATAGAAATGGTTTACATTTTTGCTTCACTTTGCCCAAAGGGGAAGGTGTTTCCAACTACAAAATTAGGGGAAGAGGGAGGGCAGGCCACACACAGAGAATTTGCACTCTGGTTGACTTGAGTTCACTTTTAAATTTAGAGCCAAGGAAGCTTGAAACTGAAACAAAGGCAATGCATTTGGCTATGTGTGGCAGGAAATGACCTTTCCTATGTTGAAATGATAAAATAATTTACCATAAGAAATATCATTTAATAATGAGTAATAGTCTTTTGAAATAATGTGTTTTTTTAAAAAAAAAACTGGGTTTCTAACGTATTGTCTAGAGACAGATCCTAATTTGTTAAATAGGTAGGATATATAGTGTTGTGGAACAGGAGAAGAGACCACACCTCAACCACCCTGACAGTAGGATCAGAAGCCTGTGTCTGGGGCTAGAGATCCTCACATGCAGAACAGAGGTTATTGGCAAGTAGGTGAAAAGAAAACAGTAGGAATCAATGATATCAGGAGGAGAGTAAAACAGATAAGAAAGGGGCCCAGGACTGAGCTCTGCTGGGGGCATCAACAAATAGAGGAAAAGCTAAAAAAGGAAATTCCAGCAAAGGAGGTGGAGAAGGAGTAACCAGTGAGGTGGGACAAAACCAGAGAGGGTGCCACCAGCGTTTCCACACGAAGAGTGTTACAAAAATAAGGAAGTGGGCAGGCACATCGAACGAGCTGAAAGGCCAAGCATGAGGTGGACAGAGAAGTGACCATTACATCTGGCCTTTTGGAGGGCATGGTGACCTCTGCAGGAACAGAGGCATGATGAAACCTGAAGCCCCATTAGGTGAGGTGGAAAAGAGAATGAGAAAGTAGAGACTGCAAATTTGGACAACTTTCAAGAAGTTTGTTTGTAAAGGGAGTAAAAATTTGAGCCAGTGGCTGGATAGGAATGTCCAGTCATAGGATATCTATCACCTCAAACATTTATCATTTATTTGTGGTGGGAACATTTCAAATCTTCTAGTTATTTTGAAATAAACAACAAATTTTTATTGACTATAGTCACCCAACCATGCTATTGAACACTGGAACTTACTCCTTCCATCTAAAGAATCCTTATACATTTCTTTTATACTAGTGACAAATTTTCTCCATTTGTATTTATCTGAAAATTCTTATTTCACCTTAGTATTTAAGTGATGTTTTCATTGGATTTAAATTCTAGGTGGACTTTTCTTTTCTATCAGCACTTTAACAATGTCATCCCATTGTTTCTTGGCTTCTATTGTTGAAAATGAGGGATAATTTTTATCATTGTTTTCCTATAAACAATGTTTCTTTTTTCCTCTGGATGGGGTTTCAGCAATTTGATATTCTGTTCCCAAATGTGTTTTTCTTTATTTCTATTTTGCTTGGGGTTTGCTTAGCCTCCTGATTCTGTGGTTTGAGAATTTTTGTTTTGTTGTTGTTTTTTTTTTAAATGTAAAAATTGAAATACTTTGGCCAGTTTTTCTTCAAATATTTTTTCTGCCTTATTTTCTCTCTTCTACTTTTGGGGCCCCACTTATATGTATGCTGCACCACTTGATTCCATCCCACAGGTTATTGAAGCTCTGTTCATTTTTTTCTTAGTCTATTCCCTCTCGGCTTCAGTTTTAATAATTTTTATTGATGTATTAATGTTTACTTCCCTGTTGTGTCCAATCTGTGTTATCCCATCTAATAAGTTTGTTATTTCAGATATTGTACTTTTCAGTTCTAGGATTTCCATTGTTTTTCTTTCTTTCAATTTTGCCATTTTTACCTTGTCTGCCATTATATCTCTATGCTTCTCTAAATTCTTTACTGTATTTATCATAGTTATTTTATAGGACTTGTCTGTTAATTCCAAGATCTGGCTTGCCTCTTGATCTGTTGCTATTGGCTGTTTTTTTCCTGTTGTCTATAGATTACATTTTCCTGTGACATCCAATGTATGGCATTTTTTAAAAATTGTATTCAGAACACTGTGTATGATGCATTTTAGAAATTCTAAATTCTATTATTTTCCTCTGAACATTACATTTTGTTTTAACAGTATAATTATTGATGAATTAATTACTTGTCTCTTTTTTTTTTTTTTTTTGAGATGCAGTCTTGCTCTGTCGCCCAGGCTGGAGTGCAGTGGCGCAATCTCGGCTCATTGCAAGCTCTGCCTCCTGGGTTCACGCCATTCTCCTGCCTCAGCCTCCTCAGTAGCTGGGATTACAGGCACCCACCACCATGCCTGGCTAATTTTTTTTGTATTTTTTAGTAGAGATGGGGTTTCACCGTGTTAGCCAGGATGGTCTCAATCTCCTGACCTCATGATCCACCCGCCTCGGCCTCCCAAAGTGCTGGGATTACAGGCATGAGCCACCACACCAATTACCTGTCTCTTAAAGGCTTGGTTTAAGTTTCGTTAGGGTCATCTTATAGCTTTGCCATTAATCTTATGGTGGTTTTCTTAATCCTGGGATGTAGTCTTTACTCCTAAGGCAAGTCCCTTCTGTGGATTCAATGGGCAGCCTGAGATGTTTACCAAGCCCTTCTAACTTGAGAGGACATTAACTCCCAATTCTGTCTTCCCAGCAGTAAGCAGCTGAAGAATTTCGGTCAACTTTTCAGTCTTCCAGCTGATTATTTTCTCTGGGGCTTATTGGAATCTCATTGCATGCAGTCACAGTTGAACATCTGCCAAACATTTGAGAGGTGTTTACGTGTAGATTTGGGCTTCCCCCCACCCTCTGTGACCCTGTTTTATAGCATTTCCTTCCTTAATATCCAGCTGCTCTGACATCCCCAAACTCTAACCTCTGACTTTTCAAATCTATAATGCAGCCTCTTCCAGCTTGAGTTCTATCCTCCAAGGGTTGCATATACTGGAGAGTACTTTCAGGACAAAAGCCAAATAAATGCAGCTCATATGCAGTGCAGCTTTCTTTCAAGTGTCGTATGCCCTCCACTGTCTGTCATCTTTTGGTAACTCTCCAGTGCCTCCAAAGAGTACTTTATTTTTTAAATAGACTTTATTATTTAGAGCAGTTTTAGGTTCAGAACAAAATTGAGTGGAAAGTACAGTGTTCCTATATACCCTCTCCCATGCCCTACCCCCAGCTCACAGCAGCCTCTCTTACTCCAGGATTCTATGCCAGCATGGTACATTTCTTACAACTGATGAATCTACATTGACACAACATTATCATTCAAAGTTCATAGTTTACACTAGAGTTCACTCTTGGTGTTTCACATGCTATGCATAATGACAACATATCCATGATTATAGCATCATACAGAATAGTTTCAGTGTCCTAAAAATCCTCTGTGCCCAGACAATTCATCTCTCCCTCCTCCCTAATTCCTGGCAACCACTGATCTTTTTACTGTCTCCCTAATTTTGCCTTTTCCAGAATGCTATATAGTTGAAATCATATAATATGAAGGCTTTTCAGATTTGCTTCTTTCTCTTAGTAATATACATTTAAATTTCCTTCATGTCTTCTCATGGCTTGATAGCTCATCTCATTTTAGCTCTGAATAATATTTCATTTTCAGGATGTACCACAGTTATTTATTTATTTACCTACTGAAGGACATCTTGGTGGCTTTCAAGTCTTGGCAATTATGAATAAAACTGCTACAAACATCAGTGGCAGGTTTTTGAGTGGATATAAGCTTTCAACTCATTTGGGTAAATACCAATGAGTATAATTGCTGTATCTTACGATAAAAGCATATGTAGTTTTGTAAATTGCCACACTGTCTTCTAAGGTGACAATGCCATTTTGCATTTCCACGAGCGATAAATGAGAGTTTCTGTTGCTCCATATCCTCACCAGCACTTGGTGGTGTTGGTGCTTTAGATTTTAGCCATTTTAATATGTGTGTAGTGGTACTCATTCATAATTCTTTTCTTGGTGTTTTGTATGTGGAAGATTAGATTTTTCAGACTTTAAGCGTCATTGCTATTTTTCATGTGCCAGAGAACTAGGATTTTGAGATGGCCTAATGCTATATGGTGAGGCATTAATTGTCTTGGTAATATGGATGATGGTTTGCCCCTTGGCTTGGACAGTGAAAACAAAATTCCTTATAGAAATTTATTCTCTTTCTTGATGCCTATGAGCCTTCAGCTTTCACAGATTCACCCAAGAAAACATTCGGGAGAACTGAGTTGCTCTGGGGAGCAACTGAAAGAAATTTATAGTGTTTTACTAATCAGAATTTGTATTCTAAGAGTCAGACAGCTAGTTCAAGTAATTTTCCAGAAATAGAAGGAGAAAGGCACAGGGGAAAGGCAAAAAGATATTTGGGTAGTTTGCTTATCTTGATTTTCACTAACTCTTGGTGGTTTAAGACTACTACTTCACTTACGCTTCTTAGTGCTTCAGCACATAGTCCATGATCTGCCTTTGATATCACATACCTTGTGAACCTGTTTGTCAAATCAATTAATGTTTACAATCCCATCACCAATTCAGGATTCCAAAAGGAACTTCTCATATTGTTGCTATAAATTAAAGAGAGCATGAACACTACAGAACTGAGATCTTTTATTACATTCCCCAAAATATCAAACACAAACCATGGAATTAACTTTAGTATCAGAAATAGCATATTCATTGATCAATTCAGTGAGCATCAACTGCCTCCTTCCCAAGAAGCAGGAATTCTACTTTGGCTTCTTAAACTTAGTGTGTGGCAACGGAGCCCTTTGATACCTACATCTATTGATCATGCCTTCAGTTACTAAAAAAATTACGTGATCAAAATTCATTGAGTATGGGTTAAAGGCATCTTGCACATTGAAATTCAAAAGCAGATTCTTTCTACAAACCAGTTATTTACTGAGATCCTTGAGCTATTAGTGTCAAAGTGAAATAGAGTGGTCAGCAGTTATCTAGTAAATTCTTGATAAGTAAATTAAGCCATTCCTAGGCAATAAAATATCTGTTCTTGTTAATGGCAGCTTTGCTTCTTTTTATCCCAGAACAGTCTGATGTTTAGTAGCCCCAGTTATTATACATGTGCTCAGACAGAAATTTTCAAATTGTCAATTATTTGGTGAACTACTAACATGAATGTTTAAAATATTATGCTTCTTTCTACCTCTAATCATTTATTTATTCAATAAACATTTAGTAAGTTTTAGCTGTTTTCCAGGCTCTACACCAAGCCCTGGGGATAGCGAGAGGAGCAAAACTTAGCTCCTGCACTCAAGTTCACAGATATTCATAAATCATTATAGCAAGTGACACATACCATAACAGAATTGTCCTATGGAAACTCAAAGAGAAGATGACAGATAAGTACAGAAGGACGAAGAGGAGTGTGCTGGGCTGAGTCTGGAGAAAGGACACTCCCGTCGGAGGAGGTGCACCTGCAAAGACAGGAAGTTGTTAACACAGAAAGAACAGAGGAGGTGATATCCCGAGCCACGCCATGAGTATAGAAGAATGATGTGGGAAAAGAGGCTGGGCAGGCCAGTGAAGGCATCCTAGGAGCGGTACAGCATGCCAAGGAGTTTGGACCTCCTTCTGCAAACAGTGGAAAGCCACTGGGAGATTTTAAGCAGGACATACTCAGATTTATGCTTACAGATTCCTCTGGAAACAGTTGGGGGCATGGGCTGGAAGGGATAAGACTTGGGGCAAAGAAACAAGTCAGGAATTTATACAATTATCCAGGCAAGAAATGATGATGATGGCATATTTTTTAGCCATAAAAAGAAACAAACTACTGGTGCATGTTACAACATTTGAGGATGAACCTCAAAAATGCTATGCTAAATGAAAGAATCAAATCACAAAAGACCAAATATTGTATGATGCCTTTTGTGTGAAACGTCTAGAATTAGCAAATCTATAGAGACAGAAAGTTGATTAGTGGTTGCTTAGCACTGACAGCCAGAGGAATTGAAAGAATGGCTAAGGGATATGGAGCCTCCTTCTGGGGTCATGAAAATATTCTAGAATTGATGATGGTTATAGATGCACAACTCTGTGAAAATACTAAAAACCATTGAACTGTACACTTTAAAAAGATGAAATGTTATGAATGTGAATTGTATCTCAATTTAAAAAATTTATAAGAAAAAAAGAAAAGAAACGATGAGACCAGAACAAGAGAGGTAAAAACACTCTGATTCTGACCTGCAGATCTGTGTGGCTGGGGCTGCCACAGATCAGGACGGGGAATTCAGAAGGATGATAGCTCCTTCCCGGACATTTTGTTTGAAGTGCCTGCAAAATTGTACTAGTCAGCTTGGTCTGCAGTAGCAAAACACCATAGACTGAGTGGCTTAAAGCACAGGAATTTATTTCTCATGATTCTGGAGGCTGGGAAGTCCAAGATCAAGGTGCCTGCAGATTCAGTTCCTGGTGAGGGTCCCCTTCCTGGCTTGCAGATGGCTGTCTTCTCACTGTGTGGCTATAAACAGGAGTTCATGGAGGGGAAGGGATGGAGAAAGAACTCTGATGTCTCTCTCTTTCATCTTATGAGGACACTAATCCCATCATGGGGCTCTATCCTCATGACCTCATCTGAACCTAATTACCTCCCAAAGGCCCATCTAAAAATATCATCACAGTGGGAGTTAGGGCTTCAACGTATTAATTTCGAGGGGACACAAACGTAAAGTCCATAACAGAGGTATCATAAACCTAAGTCCATAACACAGGTATTATAAACATAAGTCCATAACAGAGGTATGAAGATGGTGATCATTAATAGCTAGGGGAACTTACAAGAGGGTCCAGAGATAAGGATTAGAAAGAATTTAACATATACTTAGTTCTCAAAACAATGGAAGTGAATAAAACAAACTAAGGAGGGCACATGGAGTGAGAAGAGGACTGGGGCTAGACCGCTAGGGAAAGTCATTGCAGACAGAAGAAGAGGTGGCCTTGAAAAGGGGTGAAATGAAGCTGTTAGAAAGCAAAGAGGTAAATAAATACCCCAAAACCCACCAAGTCCAGTCACCTCCTGAGCTCAGTGTTTTAAAATACATACTTGGGAGCATCTCTAAACACAATTTTGCTAAATCAGGGGATTTGGTATTCAAGTAGGCCCATCCTGGTCTGCGTAAGATTGCCATTGCACTGTGACCAGACTCCTAGCTGGACGCTGACCACAGGTTTCTGGGCTTTCATGAAATGGAGTGTATTCCTGCCTTTGTTCACCTGTCACGTAGCTGGGAACTTCACTCTCTATTCACTGCGCAGTTTTCATTTTCACTGTCCTACTAATGAAGTGGTTATGTTTGGCTTTCATCATAATTAGAGTTCATTTAGTTCAAGTGCTTTGTAATTAATCTTTTATGCTAATTAATCTTTTTATACATTAATATATCACAAAACTCATGAAAGCAAAACATTTTCCTTACTAGCAAATTAAATTAAGCTTCTTCAGCCTATAAGCAAAGCAGAAGGAAAAAGATCTAGACACATCAGGCCACAGAAAACCTCCTTTTGCTTAAAAAAAAAAAAAAATTGACTCTCGGGTCTACATTAAAATTAGCACTTGGAAAATAGGAAAAATAAAATCACCCAAGCCGTTCAGTTACCTAGTTTTCTCAGCAAGGTGTCCGTTCTCAACTAGCCTGTGGCTTGAAAAAAAACAAAGGAAGGGAGATTTTTCAATAGTCATTTTTATATCTAGTCAGGATTTCTTTAACTGATTTTTAAGTGTGAAGTTATGGAGCAAAAGCAAACACTGCCAAAGCAGATGCTCCAGCTTATGTCGTTTATTATTACCTTGCAAGCAATAAACAGGCCTTACAGGCAAGTCCTGCTTCATGATTTCAAAACATGTCTTTTGCATATTTTATCTGTCCTGATCCTCTCAGCAACCTGGGGCTGAGGCAGCGTAGCCAGGGGACAGGCCACTTGCATTCAAATCCTGACTTCATTTTCCTAGCTGTGTGTTGCTGGCCTTGTCACTTTATCTCTCTGTCTACATTTTCTCATTTCCAAAATGACTACTACTCATTAGAGTTGTTTGAGAATTAAATGAATTCATAGATGCAGATGTTTAGAACTGTACCTGGCATACAGCAAATGCTCAGTAAACATGATTAATATCATAGTTATTGTGATTATCATTGTTTTCTGAAGCCAGAGACACAGAAAGACAAAATTACTCAAGTAACATGTAGTAGAATTTGCACTCCTGTCTCATCTATTAGGAGTTCCAGATGCTTTCCACTCTGCCAATGACAACTGGGGTTCTGGGGCACAACCCAGCACCTTAGAGGATACAACCGAAAGGACAATAGGTCATGCTCAACCAACAGGGTGCTCTGTGACCAAGGTGCTGGAAAAGCCCCTCCCACACTCCTACCCCAGGTAAGAGCCAAGCTCAGGGTTTCTGGCTTACAGTCCCTCTTGGCTGGGCAAACTGCAGCTCGCGGATGCAGCCTATCGACTATGCTGTCTATCTGTATTATGACTAGACACAGCATAACACGTCTCTGGTTTTCTATTTAGGATACATTCCTAGAAGGGGAATTATTGGGTCAAACTGTTTTTCATCTCATGGTACAGCTTGCCAAATTATTTTCTGAAAAGATTGTAGCAATTTTTACCACTTGTTATGAGTAATACATGAGAATGTTGATCTTCGCCCTTACTAGTATTGAATTTTTAAAAAAATCTGTGTCAAATCAATGAGCTGAAAATAAATGCTTTAATATCATCTTAATTTATACTTCCTGAGTGTCCCCATAGGTTAAATGATTTTTTCCACATTTGTTGCCCACTTAAAGTGTGTGAGTGTGTGTGTGTGTGTGTGTGTATTGTTCATATCACTGGCCTATATTTTTCTATTTGGTGATGCTTTTGAAGTTTTCTTACTGCTTTTAAATATTTTTATAGTTTAAAAATATTAACAATTTGCCATGCTTATTACAAATATGTGCTCCCATTTGATCATTTGCTTTATAACTCTTTCATAGTGTATGTGTCCATTGTTTTTCTAAAACCATGTTATAGTTTTAATGCTAATGTCGTTAAATCTACTAATCTTTTCCTTTGTGATTTCTTCCATGGCTTTTATGCAATTTCAGTCACGTCTGCTCTCAGATTTTGCCCTTCCAAACAGAAGTTCTGGGCATTGTACTGCTGGTGGGAACCCATAGAGCCAGCCTCCCGTGGCATCACTCCCACCACTCTGGCCACCCCTGCCCAGATGCCTATGTCACCTACACTCACCTTTCCAAATGGTGAGAAAGAAATGCCATTTCTTTCTACTTTAAAACAAAAGTATTATGACAAACATGTTGATCTATGTGACCCAGGCTGTGTGCAGGCATTCTTGGGAGCCTTTCTGTAAAGAGACCCGGTCCCTTTTTCTCTGTCATTTAAAAGGCACTATGAGCCCTTCATTTATGCATGAGGCAGGGAATTTGGTTTACCTCCAGATACATCACACTGTGTTGCTCTCCATCAAGATCTGGCTTCTGTTTGCTTCTCATTCACTTAGATTTATCAGCCAGAGTAGTTGGATGTCATGAGAAACTTTAAAATTTGCTATGTGCTTCTCTTCCACGGTAGCTATAACCACTGAGAAAAAGATCTTGGCCAGCAACCGTGTGGCTCATGCCTGTAATCCCAGAATTTCGGGAGATTCTGGTGGGAGGATCACTTGCGGCCAGGAGTTCAAGACCATCTTGAGCAACATAGTGAGACCCCTGTCTCTAAAAAAACAAAAAGTCTGGTTCCTGAATACTCTAATCTCTAGAATGAGTTATATAATAATTATTATTAATGATATTTTGCATAGCTATTTATGGATCATAGGGTATTTTATCAAGATTGCATGGGCTAATCTTTATCAAGATTGCATTGGCTAATATCAGCATTGGCTAATATTTATAACACAATGTTGAATAGTAGCAGATAGAGTGATTATCCCTGTTGAATTTCTGATGTTAGTGGAAATGCCTCTAGAGTTTTCCCATTAAGTAAGATGATGGATTTTAGGACTAAGGCATAAATACTTTATTACGTTAAAGTACCCATCATTTCTTATTTTCTTGAACGTTTTCAATAAGGAAGCAATCTAAATCCATAAAGAAGGCATGGGAAGCCTTTTATCAAGATTATCTAATTTGATACTCCAAATCAAAAGGCAAGTTAATTTTTTCATTTTACAAATGAAGAAACTGAGTGTTCAAGTGACTTGTTGGAGGCTAAAGAGCCAAAAACCATGAATACAGCCATGACACAGATCTAATATCATATTTAATAAAACATGTTTCTTATTTCTAATCCAATTTTCCATTCATGACACCATCTTTTTTGGTTTTAAAAATTTGTCTTTTTATATTGAAATAATTTCAAATTTACCAAAAATGTTGTAAAATTAATACAAAGAATTTCTGTACACTCTTCATCCGCTTCCCAAATATTAATATTTCCATGTAACTACAATGCAATTAACAAAACAGAAAATTAGCACTGATTCACGACCATTATCTGGTCTACAGACCTCATTTAAATTTCATCAATTTCCCACTAATGTCCTTTTTCTGGTTCAAGGTCAAATCTAAGATCACATGTTGCATCTAATTGTCATATTGAGAGGTGACAGCGTGCTGGCAGTCCTCACAGCCCTCCCTCTCTCTCTGTGCCTCCTAGGCCTGGGCTCCCACTTTGGCGGCACTTGAGGAGCCCTTCAGCCCACCGCTGCACTGTGGGAGCCCCTTTCTGGGCTGGCCAAGGCCAGAGCCGGCTCCCTCAGCTTGCAGGGAGGTGTGGAGGGAGAGGCGCGAGCGGGAACTAGGGCTGCGCGCGGCGCTTGCGGGCCAGCTGGAGTTCCGGGTGGGCGTGGGCTTGGCGGGCCCCGCACTCCGAGCAGCCGGCTGGCCCTGCCGGCCCCGGGCAATGAGGGGCTTAGCACCCGGGCTAGCGGCTGTGGAGGGTGTACTGGGTCCCCCAGCAGTGCCAGCCCACCGGCGCTGCGCTCGATTTCTCACCGGGCCTTAGCTGCCTTCCCGCTGGGCAGGGCTCGGGACCTGCAGCCTGCCATGCCTGAGCCCCCCATGCCCTCCATGGGCTCCTTGCGGCCGGAGCCTCCCCGACGAGCGCCACCCCCTGCTCCACGGTGCCCAGTCCCATCAACCACCCAAGGGCTAAGGAGTGCAGGCACACGGCGAGGGACTGGCAGGCAGCTCCCTCTGCAGCCCCGGTGCGGGATCCACTGGGTGAAGCCAGCTGGGCTCCTGAGTCTGGTGGGGACGTGGAGAACCTTTACGTCTAGCTCAGGGATTGTAAATACACCAATCAGCACACTGTGTCTAGCTCAGGGTTTGTGAATGCACCAATCGACACTCTGTATCTAGCTACTCTGGTGGGGCCTTGGAGAACCTTTGTGTCCACACTCTGTATCTAGCTAATCTGGTGGGGACGTGGAGAACCTTTGTGTCTAGCTCAGGGATTGTAAACGCACCAATCAGCACCCTGTCAAAACTGACCACTCGGCTCTACCAATCAGCAGGATGTGGGTGGGGCCAGATAAGAGAATAAAAGCAGGCTGCCTGAGCCAGCAGTGGCAACCCGCTTGGGTCGCCTTCCACACTGTGGAAGCTTTGTTCTTTCAGTCTTTGCAATAAATCTTGCTACTGCTCACTCTTTGGGTCCACGCTACTTTTATGAGCGATAACACTCACTGCGAAGATCTGCAGCTTCACTCCTGAAGCCAGCGAGACCACAAGCCCACAGGGAGGAACGAACAACTCCAGACACGCTGCCTTAAGAGCTGTAACACTCACCGCAAAGGTCTGCAGCTTCACTCCTGAGCCAGCGAGACCACGAACCCACCAGAAGGAAGAAACTCCGAACACATCTGAACATGAGAAGGAACAAACTCCAGATGCGCCACCTTAAGAGCTATAACACTCACCGCGAGGGTCCACGGCTTCATTCTTGAAGTCAGTGAGACCAAGAACCCACCAATTCCGGACACAATATCTCCTTAGTCTTCTCTAATCTGTAATAATCCACTGGTCTTTGTCTTTCATGACTTGGACATTCTTGAAAAGTACTAGCCAGATAAGGTAGAGACTTTCTCCATTTGTGTTTGTCGGGTGTTTCCTCATAATTAAAGTCGCTTATGTATTTTTGGCAAGAACACCACAGAAATGATGTTGTATTCTTCTCCCTGCATATAAGGAGGCACATGATGTCAATTTGTCTAATTACTCACAATGTCAATTGTGATCACTTGGTTTCTCCAGGTTTCTCCACTGTAAAGACACTATTTTTCCGTATTTAGTTAACAAATATCTTTTAGGGGAGATACTTTGAGACTAATAAATGTCCTGTTCCTTATCATCTTTTTACCCACTACTTTGTTGTTTGCCAAACAATAGTTTTCTATTTCTATTATTCTCTCTTCTACCATTATTATTTCTTTCATTATCCTTTATTCCAACTAATATTTATTTATTAATTGCAATTCTTTTGTAATGAAGTTATTCCTTCTCCCTATTTATTTATTATTTGTGTCAGTATAGACCCATAAAATATTATCTTATTGTGTTGTAATTCACTGATATCATTATTTACTTTGTTCAAATTGTCCCAGATTTGGCTGAGGGCTGCTTCAGGTTAGCTCCTGTTTCCTTTTGGCATTACCATTATCTTTTGAGCATTTCCTGCTTTTTGGCTCCAAAATGTTCCAGGCACACTTGTAATTTCCCATCCCCAGTTCTAGAATCAGCTATTTTTCAAGGAGCTCTGATTCTATGTATCAAAGAATATTAGAAACCAAGCTCTTAATACTGTGTGTGCTCATTGGTAGTAATGTTTCATTGATTCTAGGCCTTTTCAATAAGCAGAACTAAGAGACACACACACACACACACACACACACACACACCTATTTACATATCTGTAAATAGAGATAACGTTATTCCTTCTTTACTAATTATTTTTCCTTTAATGGATTTTTCTTGTCAAGTTGCACTGGCTAATATTTTTAACACAATGTTGAATAGTAGCAGATAGAGTGGTTATCCTTGCTGAATTCCTGATGTTAGTGGAAATGCCTCTAGAGATGTTGAATAGTAGTAGATAGAGTGGTTATCCTTGTTGAATTCCTGATGTTAGTGGAAATGCCTCTAGGGTTTTCCCATTAAGTAAGATGATGGATTTTATGACTAAGGCATATATACTTTATTATGTTAAAGTACCCATCATTTCTTATTTTCTTGAATGTTTTTAATAAAGAGGCAATCTAAATTTATAAGGAAGGCATGGGAGAAAAGACACAATGGCAAAAATGCACACTGATAAAATATGCCAATATATTAATTGTGAAAACCCTTTTGAAAAATAATATTAGCAATAACAATCTAATTTTGTGTTTTAAAAAGGTAACACTAAAATTATTAACAAAAGTACAAGTTGCAGAGAACCTAGTTAAAGTGGCCTAAGATTCTTTTCAAGTTTAAGAGAGGAGTAAAAATAATAAATAACTTTAAACTTCAAAAAATTACAGTTGCATATATAGATTAAAATTTAAAAGGTAGACACTAAAAGTTTAGAAATACAATCTGTAGATTACAAAAACAGCATTGCAGGTAGGGAGAGGAGGAAACATAGAAAACTTCACTAATCTAGCAGAAACAGAAGAAGAAAATAAAGATAGAGTAAATAAAAAATACAAATAAGGTACATAAATGCAACCAACTGTATCAGTAATCATAATAAAAATAAATAGACTAAATTTACCCAATAAAATGCAGAGATTGACAAACAATTTTTTTTATAAATCCTGTTGAATGTTATTTACAAGATATACAACTAAAATGTAAGGATACAGAAAGGTTGAAAGGGGAGAGATGGTGGGGTAAGTTGAACTATTCATCCTAATTCTTCATTCCCTCTTCGTTCACACTCTTACCATAGCTTCTTTATGGGCAGCCTAGTTCCCCACCCCTTGACTTTGGGCTTGGTCATGGAACTTACTTTGGCCAGTGGAATGGACCAGAAATAATACTATGCCAATTCTAAGACTAGGCCTTATGAAACCTCACATATTTTCCATTGCCCCCTTGCGACTTTGCCATTGCCATGAGTTCTCCTGTATAGCTGCTGTCCCAGCAGCATGGACAACAAAATAAACACATGTAGAGCAGAGGTTCCCTAGCCAACCCATAGACATATAATGGGAAGCAGAGTCGCACAGCACAGAACAGCTTAGATCAGCAGAGCCCCAGCTGACCAGTGTTCTGTGAACCAATCTTTTATTTTAGCCTTCATGTGCTTATTTGGCATAATAGGGAGATATAAGGCCTATAATCTCCTGCCCACCATTTTGAGCCCTCGTTTTTGTATAAGGCACTTTTGTATTTTTCTAATCTGCCAGACCAGCAACGCTCTGTAGTGTAGGATCTACAGGATAGCTTCCAGCTCCCAGTATCATCCTTTAGATCTTTTAATCTCTTTTATATTCTTACAATCACAGTGACTTACCCACATTCATTTTTTGTTAGTTTGGCCTAGAATATTGTAGGTATTGTCTAATACTTGATACAGTGGTTCCAGCTCATTTCTTTCAAGGAAGCATTTGGGAGTAGTGATCTTTCTGACTTCCTTTTGTAAAAAAATAGCCTAAAGAAAATGAATTCTACAGGTTCATCATTTGCTCTTCTCAGAGCCTACCTTTTACCTAGTAATCAAGGACTCCTATCTAATAATCATGTTTTTCTCCCTGACATATTCTTAAGAAACTCTTCATTCTCGTTTTGGAGGCTTTTTTTACATTGCTCAGCAAAATCTCTTTTGATGGTGATAGTGTACATTTAACAAAAACAAATTACACTGGCAAATTTCCCATTCACATTGAAACTACACCAAACATGTATACTTAGCAGTCATATTCAGCAGTGTCCAGGAAACTGAAATAACAACTGATGGATGCTTGCAGTAAACATCTGCCAAAGTGCAGGGAGAAAACAGTCTCAAAACTGTTGTAGAAGCGTTCAAGGCAAATCACATTTCTATGAAATATTGATGCAGCATCAAAGATGATGTTGCCTTAGACATTTAAGTGAGCTTGTGTTATGAAAGGTGTAACTCTTGTGTTTTAT
This sequence comes from Homo sapiens, assembly GCF_000001405.40. Classification (NCBI taxonomy): domain Eukaryota; kingdom Metazoa; phylum Chordata; class Mammalia; order Primates; family Hominidae; genus Homo; species Homo sapiens. Next base: position 36,692,596 of record NC_000002.12, read on the forward strand.
ACCTGCACACAGTAAAAGTATCAGGAGTGTCTGAAAAGACTATCTCATTACTTAGACTCTTAAATTGCCACACTGAATTTTTAAAAGTCACATAAAAGAATGGATTTGTGATATGAAGAATGCATTGATTTCTCCACATTCTGTCTCCAGAATGAAGAAAAAAATGAGGCAGTATACTAAAGAGTCATCAAATTCAATGTCTATGACAATAATAAAAACTTTTAATAGAGAATGTTCTAAAAGAGATTCGAGTTTTTGTGCTGGATACAATACAAGACTGGGATACTAAGTTTACGTGGTGATAAACAGTTATTTAAGAAAGAACTGATGCATTCAAGCAACCATAGGTGATTTATAAGTAAAACAGAATTTTAAGTAGTAATAGCAGGAAAAAGTGAACATCACAATTCTTGTTCTCAACTTGAAATAACATAGTTCAGTTTATGCCAAGTAGCAAGCTCAAGGCCACTCACCAGGAAGTTGTGATCTTGTTTTACTTTAAAAAGAGAAAAGATTTCCCCAAGGCCACCACCTCGATTGATTTTGTTGTAAGTGTTTTTGTTGCTGCCAGACGTCTGGGATGGAGGGTTGATTCCACTCCTGGCACCATCACTAGTGGTCCATGCAAGGCCCCAGGACTTTTGCCTTAATGTTTTTTATTCCATTTTATCCCAATTCTCCATTCCTATCCTATTTTCCCATAGGCAGCCATTCTAATGTATTTTCAATCATTTTTTAGTTAATACTTATTGTATGCCCTATTATATGTTGGCTTCAACGGCTAGGAATGCATCACTGATCAAAGCAGATAAAAACTCCTGCCTTCCTGGATCCTATTTTCTAGAGGGGGACGCTCGATTTAAAAATCAAGTAGTAGGGCCGGGCGCAGTGGCTCACACCTGTAATCCCAACACTTTGGGAGTCCGAGGTGGGCGGATCACGAGCTCAGGAGCTCGAGACCATCCTGGCTAACACGGTGAAACCCCATCTCTACTAAAAACACAAAAAATTAGCCGGGCGCGGTAGCGGGCGCCTGTAGTCCCAGCTACGCGGGAGGGTGAGGCAGGAGAATGGCGTGAACCCGGGAGGCGGAGCTTGCAGTGAGCCGAGATCGCACCACTGCACTCCTGCCTGGGCGACAGAGTGAGACTCCAACTCAAAAAAAAAAAAAATCAAGTAGTAAATATTATTAAAGGACAATAAGTACTAGAGAGAAGAATAAAACAGGGAAGAGGAAAAGGAAAGGCTTGGAATGTTGGTGCCATTTTAAACAGGACAGCCAGGAAAGGGCTCACTCAAGAGGTAACATTTGAGCCTAGATTTTAAGAAGGTGAGCATGGGAGCCACGCAGATATCCGAGAGAATACTTCGGGGACAGCACGTACGAGGGCTCCAGGCCTTTGCTTCCAGCTTCTGAACAGTACCTCGTGGTGTGCTTCTCCCATACTTAACTCATGAATTCTCTGGTCATGGACTTCTAGTGGCCCTGTGTGAGAAGCTCACTGACGAATATACCCCCAGAAAGAGGTGGATGGATCCTGGGGTACACAGGTAATTCAACCAAGTACTTCTGGATTTTCCTCTAGAATAGCCACATTTGTCTTCACCAGTAGCAGCTCATCATGGTTATGACATGTCTGCCATGATCTTTCTTCAGATTTCTAATTTTTGCCAAGATGATGAAAACAAAATGATATGTCATTGTTTTTTAAAAGAGAATGGCTCCTTTTTTACCATTTTTAACTGTGGTAAAAAAAATGTAATAAAATTTGCCATTTTTTCCATTTTTAAGTGTACAATACAGTAGCAGTAATTACATTCATAATATTGTGCAACCATCACTACTATTTCCAAAATTCTTCATCACTGCAAGTGAGCATCTCTTCATATGCTTTTCAATACATTTATATTTGATTTTGCCTTATTTACCATAAGAAAACAAGTTAAACTATTATAGTAAAAGAAAAGAAGCTCTAAGTCTTAATAGAGCACCATTGCTTTGGAGTCAAGAAGCCTTGGATTTGAATCCAATATCTTGCCTTATTGGCTGCATGACCCTGGGAAAGTTGCTTAATCTCTTTAGGCCTCAGTTCTCTTATCTATAGAATGGAGATTATACTACTAATCCTTCTACATTCTTCTAAATATTAAATGTAATGATATATGTACAGGGTTGCTGTCCTTAGTAAAAGTAAGTATTTGATAAACAGCAACTAGCATTATTATTATTATTATTATTATTTTTTGAGACCAAGTCTTGCTCTGTCAACCAGGCTGGAGTGCAGTGGTGCGATCTCGGCTCACTGCAACCTCCACCTCCCAGGTTCAAGTGATTCTCCTGCCTCAGCCTCCCGAGTAGCTGGGATTACAGGCACCCGCCATCACACGCCTGGCTAATTTTTGTATTTTTGGTAGAGATGGGGTTTCACCATGTTGGCCAGGCTGGTCTTGAACTCCTGACCTTAGGTGATCTGCCTGCCTCGGCCTCCCAAAGTGCTGGGATTACAGGCTTGAGCCACCGAGTCCAGCAGCATTAGTAGTAGTAGTATTAGGAATAATGTGATTATGAATTATGCTTAGGCTGCCATTCTGAACCTGCCCTAATTCAAGTGGTAGGACAGGGGATCCTCAGTGTTACAGCATTATCATCCTTACCACCAAAGAACCTGGGCTCAGAATTTAGTGGAGGAATAAAGAGGATTGAGAAATAATTTCATTGCAGAACCAAAAGAAGTAAGGGTAAAAATGATTAAATAACATTCAAATCATTATCTCCCTTTTTTTAGTCTTCATGTTCCTTTAATGGAGGAAGATTCCTGATCAGTGTACAGTGATGTATTTATTTAACAGTGACCTGTGCAGAAATTACATACTATCCATCTAGATAGCTTGCTACACTTCGCCTATTGATGGAATCATTCCATTTATCAAGTTTTATACATCAAAAAGCTTTGAATTTCATCAGGCTCTTCATTAATTCACCTCTGAAAAAGTGGCATTTAATTTCAGCTACCATGTTTTATAGCATTAAAAAGCTTATGCATCTCTGCACAATGGCATTGAGCAGATGAATCCCACCCAGATTCACATAGTCACATTTGAGAGCTTTAGACCAGAGAGCTGGGCCAAAGTTACTCCTAATCAACACAGACTTCTTACCGTGAGAGCCTATCTTCTCGGCCACATTTTATATAGCCAATGAAGACGTGCCAGCAATCATCCCATGTATAACTTGGCATTAGAGCACAAGATCTGTCAAACAATTATCTTAAATAAGGAGCAGTTCCAGGGCCAACAGATGAGGACAGGAGGCTTCTCGAATGGAAGAAGGTTCTCCTCCCTAGCTGCGTGAGTGCACACTCCCCAGCAGGAGGAGGAATGACTCTTTGCTACCTTCTCCTGTGCTTGAAAACAGATGCTCTGCCACACTGATGGACACTGGAATCTCAAGATCTGCCAGATGTACTTTTTTTTGGTCTGATTTTTTTTTAATGATGTGATACGTTAATACACATTTTGAATCTGAATCTCTTAGATTTCATTGATGACACTAATATATAAATAACTAAAACTGGCAGATTTCATGTGAGATTATTCATCAGTATTTTTTTTGAAACATGAGTCAGGTTTTGCTTCCCACTATGATTATCTTGTGTCCTGTAACTACCAGCATATAATTGAGTCATTTCATAAAACTTGCCAAAACGCAGAAAGGACTGAAGCAAAACAAAACAAAAAAATAGCATTAATATGTAGGAAAAAGTACATATTTTCAATTCAAAAGTGGGAGTCCAGTAGAATAAGTTTGAGAGTGTTTGCACAGTTTTCCTTCTTTGTGCAGTTCAGTCCAGCTGTTCACTAGCTTTTGAAAAAGAAAGAAAAAATTGAATTGCCCCTGCTGAAGTAATTTTTAAAACATATCTTTTACTTTCCATTTTTATCTAAGTGGTCCTCCTCTACTTTTTAGAATGTCAAATTGTAGAATTTGCTTACTGAAAGTTTGTGCTTTGGGCTACAAAAGAATATTTAGAAATCCTTACAAAAAAAAAAAAAAAAAAAAGCAGTGGGAGTGGAAATTTGAAAGAGGACCGCCTAATTCAGCACTAAAACCAGTGTGAGAAGCAGTATGTGTGAGCATGTGTGTGTGTGTATGTGTGTGGGGGGGGGTGTAAAATGTGTTTTTCAAAGTACTGAGAGGTTGATGGGACTGTTCGATTAGCTCCTCTGAGAAGAAGAGAAAAGGTTCTTGGACCTCTCCCTGTTTCTTCCTTAGAATAATTTGGATGGGATTTGTGATGCAGGAAAGCCTAAGGGAAAAAGAATATTCATTCTGTGTGGTGAAAATTTTTTGAAAAAAAAATTGCCTTCTTCAAACAAGGTATGTCTGATGAATTTCTAAGCTGTGTATATAGTTACTTTCCATTCATTATCATTGAAACGTATTTGTCTTTAAGAAACTACAATACAAAGCTTGACCGAGTAAGCAAATTTCAGTTTCAAGAGAGTTGAGATGAAAGTGGATGGTACTTGGCATCCTTGTAAACAACTAGTAATATACATATATATTTATCAATTATAAATAAACTGCATTGATATTAATATTATAACAAGATTTTTACTGTTCCTTTAAACCAATTTAATTATGGTTACAAATAAGTTGAAAAGTATGACATTTGTGTAGAATTTTAAAGTAATTTAAGTCTCTATTATCTTGCTTTTTTAAAAACTTTGCTTGGAATATGTGGAATGTAATAGCAATATAGCAAATTGCTTATAAAGATTGTGAATGGCAGTATGAGAAATGGGCACATTGGTGCTAACTTAAAAGAGAAACTATTTCGTGTGGATCTCTACTTCTCTCTATTCAGACAGATTTCAGTGGAATGTGGCTAGATGTGCGATTCTGTGTCTTGTTTACACTTAAAGTGTTTTCTTAGGCTGAATGCTTCTGTTACTGATAAGCCCAACAAGGGGCTGGCATTGTTAAGTCTGCCATCGTAGCTCAGCTTTTCACAGGAAGACAGGATATGAAATCTCTTTTAAGTATGATTTGTGTCCAACTAGTATAAACATGAAATAAACGCCTCAAGCACAGGTTAAAGAGAGAGGATAAGACTGAATAATTAGACATGACAGTTTTCTCCAAACAACCCACAGCATCTTTGCCATTCCTAAATCAAGAGTGGAATTAAAAATTTTCTTTGGACTTATTGTAAAAATAAAAACAAGCATTCTTGGCCGTGGTGGTTGCTCAAAATTGCGTGTGCTAAGAAAATAGTATTTTGCCGTTACGTTGTGTTGCAATAAATTTGGAAGTTTTGGTGGTAAAGTTCTGAGGTTGTTTTTCCCTTGGTCTCTTGAAAGATGAAAACACCCTGCAGCAAAGCAGGATCAAACACTGTTTGTTTGTGTATTTTCTCTCTATGTGTGTTAGCTGCAAGTGGTAGCTAGTGCTGGTAGGAGAGCTGGAAGTGCCCATCTTTTATTTATTGAATTAAAATACCCTCTTTTGTACAAAAAGCTTTAGACAAAGAATTACAAGATTGCAAAGACTTGCATTTTTTTATTGCAATATGCTGGTTTCCCAGACTAAGCTTCATTTAAATATATCTTATGCCTCACCACTAAAAAAAATAAAAATACCTTAGGAAGATTGGAAATGCTTAATATCTATCCTAAAACTGTTTAATTCATGAATATTGTTAAGAAGATCTGTCTTTTCCACCAAGTTACTGATCACATGAAGAATAGTTTCTTTCAGAGAAAATACATGAGGTTTGAGAATGGTTCTCAGCTATGATTCCTATAAGACACATTGAATACAGGAAAGCAGTATGGTTCAATGCATGCGCCAAGCCAGGAGTCCTAAATTATAGTAACAGCTCTGCCACTACCTATTACCTTGGAAAACATATATAACATTTCTTGACTTTTGTTTCTCTCTTTGGAAAACAGAAATAGCAATGCCTGTACACCCTCCCTCCCAGGGCGGCCACAAGGGTCAATAGTGGTTCTCAGCTCCAAAGGAGTTTTGAAATGTCAAAACTTCTATAGCAATGTAATCTTGGCCTGGCGCAGTGGCTCACACCTGTAATCCCAGCACTTTGGGAGGCCGAGGTGGGTGGATCACCTGAGGTCAGGAGTTCGAGACCAGCCTGGCCAACATGGTGAAACCCCATCTCTACCAAAAATACAAAAATTAGCCAGGCATGATGGCGGGTGCCTGTAATCCCAGCTACTCGGGAGGCTGAGGCAGGAGAATCACTTGAACCTGGGAGGCAGAGGTTGCAGTGAGCTGAGATCACGCCACTACACTCCAGCCTGGGCAACAAAGTGAGACCTGGTCTCAAAAAAAAGAAAAGAAAAGAAAAGAAAAGAAATGTAATCTTTTATTCCCCACATATTAAAAAAAAAAAGATTACTTTAGAAAGCATTTATATAATAAAAACTTCATGGCCCCCAACATGTTCCCATGATGCTGTGTCCACATGTGCAACTTCCCCTCTCCTTGCTAACACTTGGAGGTGTGAGCCAAGCATCAGCAGCAGTGGGGACAAGACAGAACACAATGGGCCTGTCTGTCAGTAGAAGGGCATTTAGCCATGGTGCACTGGAGAGGTTACTCAATGTCTCCATCTCTATTTCATCACATACGAAATGAAGAAGTTACACAAGATAGTCTCTAAGCTTCCCTCTCAATCCTATGGTTCTATGCACTGGGACCTCTCCAGTGTCAAAATGTGGCCAGGAAAATTTCACTGTTGAGACTCTCTGTACATTGCTAAATGAAGAAGTATCGAAATAGTGCTATGAAAATTATGGTATATTTTAAATATGCATGTTTACCTAACCAGAGACTTACATGTATACAAAAATGAAATTTGACATAATTATATTCTTCACAAGACAATTAGAGGGGGTTATATATATATATACACACACATATATATAGATGTCTCCATATTCTTCAGAAGATGATTAGAGGAGATTATAGATATAGATATAGATATAGATATAGATAGATATATAGGTAGATAGATAGATAGATAGATAGATAGATAGATAGATAGATATGCACACACATATACATAGTGTACTGGAGACTGTGGGTCCAAGTTGTATGAAAGACTTTTTTCAGCTTTCTGCTGTATTTCTGTGACTGTCAATATAACCCCATTCGGAAAGAATGTCAAATGCCTTAATTTAAAGCCTTACATGCGAGGTCAAGGCAAAAATGGACCTTCCTGTGCTATGGGTCATGTGGGTGTTAGGCGGAAAGCTGTTACTTTTTCAATGTGTTAACTTTGGCAAGTTACTTAAAGTCTCTTGGCCTCAGTTTTCTCATCTATAAAATGGGTCTATTACTACTGCCTACCCCACAGAGCTGTGGCAAAGAGGTTTGATCAGTGCCAAATGTTAGTTAATTTTTTTTAATTATATGTGACTATAATAAAGAAATCAGATAAGCTGTGAAACATACCATTTGTAATAATCTTCAAACTTTTACACATTAACTCATCGGATACATTTAGCAAATAGATTCATGGAATTATGTGATATTAATATAATCATTAGAAACTAGTTGCCATCTCTTTATCCAGGGAATCTGAGCTAGTCAATCAACAAATAATAAATAAGAGAGGCAACTTCTGTGATGGTCGTAATCTGAGAAACCTCAAAAGGTCTCCCTCTCACTGTCTTAAAATGTATCTCCCTGTGGTTTGCAGAAGACAGTGAAAATCCTGGCCCTCAAACACACATAGCATTTTGCAAGATGTTGGTGGTGATGATGATGATGGTGGCGGTGGTGGTGGCGATGTTATAATGATTAACCATCACCCCAACAACAACAACAATAATAATAGGACAGGTGTGGTGGCTCATACCTGTGAATCCAACACTTTGGGTGGCTGAGGCAGGAGAATTGCCTGAGGCCAGGAGTTTGAGACCAGCCCAGGCAACATAGTGAGACCTTGTCCCTACTAAAAATTAAAAAATTAGCCAGGCATGGCTGTGCTCGCCTGTAGTACCAGCTACTAAAGAGGCTGAGGCAGGAAGATAACTTGAGCCCAGGCATTCGAGGTTGCAATGAGCTATGATCATGCACTCCAGCCTGGGTGACACAGCAAGACCCTATCTCAATTAAATAATAATAATAATAATAATAACTGCTAACACTTCCAGAGCTATTCTTATGTGCCACCCACTGTTCAAGCCCTTTTCATATATCAATTCATTTAACCCTAACAGCAAACATATGAGGTGGGCTTTTACCATCACCATTATACAGATGAAAAAAACGAAGGCACTGATAAGTTGTGTAAGTTGTCCGAAGCCACACAGCTAGTAAGGGATGGAGCTCAGCTTCAAATCCAAGAGGTCTACTTCCAAAGTCATACTCTTAACCTGCCAGGCAACAATTACACATGGTCCTGGTTTTTCTGTGACAGCACCAAATTAGTCTTTGCCATCCCTGAAAACATAATTATCAAGCCAAGTGAAATTTCTTTAAAAAAAAAAATGTACCTCCTTGCAGGTAGAGACACCGTAGTAATAACAGTGGAGAGGCGTGGAGGCAAGGAACTCACAGGGGAAGTTTTGTCAGGAGAAGAGGGCTTTTATTTCTGTCATTCTTGGATAATCTCCTTTTTGGGTGGATGGGGAAAAGCTGACTAGGGGGAGTTAGGTGGTGCGAGTGGAGGGAACACTGAGGAGCCTCCATCATGAAACCCTCTGTGTAGCCAGTCTCCAAAACCTTTCCTTTATCTTCACTGGAAGGTTAACTCAGCAGCTTGTCGCAGAAAGAATCATGCTTCCTTATGACTCAAACTACTTCAGCAAATCACTTTCCCTGATAAGGGTCTCTACATTGACAAGACTCTAGTAAACATTTCTCAAATTCTTTCCTTCAGTTCGAGAAAGGCTAAACTTCTGTGTGGACGTGTGGTAAAATTCATAAAAACTGCCCTTCAGGCTATAGTGAGAAGGCATTCTGTTTCTACATTCTTTCTTCTCTTATTCAAAAAGAAAAAAATATACCTATGCCCTCGGGGGAACCTTACATCTAGTTTCCAAGGGATCAGGTCACTGGCACCTTAATGCTATGTGAATTCCCTTCACCAGGCTTCTTTTTGTTCCAGACAGAGAAAACATGCTTTGGACATAAAGGTGCAAGTTAACTTGCCCAGACTGGCCGTGTTTATACACCATAGTGAGTAAATCTGCACTCCAAAAGGCAAAAAGAATTCAGGGGAAGAGAGATAACATTCAACAACAGCAGGAGCAAATATTTTTTGGGCCACCTCCATGTGCTATTCCCAATCCCATGTTCTTGGGAAGAAGAGTGAACAAAAACATTTCCATTTTCTCAATCTGGGGGCACATAATAAACAAATACAGTAAGAGGCCTGGTGGTGATAATGGGCTGTGAAAAATGTAAGTAGCAAAGTAGGATGCAGAGAGCAGTCAGGGTGATGATTTGCATTGCATGATTTAGTGAATGTTAAACAGAGAGATGAAGGAAGCCAGGAGGCAACCTATGTGGGTCCCTCAGGGAAGAGCATTCCAGGCAGAGGGAAAAGCAAATGAAACAGCCCTGAGTGGAACCATGCTTGGGAGGCCAGTGTGTCTGCAGCAAGCTGAAGGAGCAGGAAAGGGAAGCCCAAGGGTGCGCTTTGGACAAGCAGACACAGAGCGTGCCATCCTCACATGCCTCAATTTCCCCCAGACACCGCCTACCGCTCACTCACACACTAGGGGGCAGTTCTTGCCTCTGCTCTGGATGAAATCTGTCAGGCCAAGCTCAGAGGATTTTTTTTTTTAAAAAAGACCCTGTTCATATTCCACTCCCAAACAATCTTAATTCAGTCATTAACATGTATGTAATACTACGTGATCCTTAAAAACGTAAAGATGATATTCAAGCTTAAAGTCTCATCCTCCACATCCAGGCTTGCTTTCTGCAGTGGAAAGGGGGCATGATTGAATTTTCTTTCTCTGCCTTGCGCCTTTACCTCTCTTCCCCTTGGCCACCAACGGTAGTCTCTTCGTGTCCAGAGTTGAAGTGGGTACAGGGAGGAAAGGTGAGAGGCAGGGACAGGCCTCACTAGTTGGTACTGTTGTGAGCCAGCATCCAGGTTCCCTGAGCTTCACAGGGGTTTACAGCTGCTTCTTGTTCCCATAGGGCATGTCTATGGGTGCTGTGAAGATACCCTCCCCTACTGCGTTGGGGATTCCTCACCTGTAGTTCCCTGGATGTTTTGAAATAAATCCGTTCTGTCTGGGGGTTTACAGTTCCTCCCTCAGCCCTTGGGCAACTGGTAAGCTCTGTCTGGCTGCTTTCTGCCTAGGCTCCTCAGCCCTCCATGCACCTGACTCAGACCAGAGCTAAAACAACCCCAGGCTGACTCTGTCACACAGAGAGTTCTGATTGCCACAAGCTCTTCCCCTCTCCTGTAGAGGACTTAATCATGGGACAGACACCAAGTCCACGGAGGCAGACATCAGCCCCAGAGACACAACTACTCAGCCACTTCAAATTGGGTTACTGGGCATCCAAGCTCTCTTTTCAAAGGAGCTGATTGAGAACCAAGATCTCTGGCTGATGACCTCTCCATGCAAGAGGTTGCAGAAGCTGAGAGAGGGAGTCAGAGATCAGAGAGCAAAAACTTCTTAAAGACAAGTTATAGGCATTTTCCCTCCTCTTTCCCCTACCTAGATGCAGAAGAGGAGCAGGTGGCTCCCCTACCCCCACCCCCCTACACCCAGCCCACTTCAGGCAATAGTGAGAGGAGCTTCAAAGAGACCACTTTGGAACATGGAAGTGGTTGGCACCTATTGTCTTGAGGCCTCAACCAAAACTAAGACCAAAGGATCATCTTATTTTAACATCCCATTACACAGTCAATTACAATACACTCAAATGTTTACTTAGATGGGTGTGTTATGCCTGGTTACACTTAAAAATATGCCTGGTGCATCATTTTACCCTAAATAACGTTTGCGTGTGAGACAGAGTTGTGAGTGAGTTCAGGCTCAAATATGACGCTTGAAAAATCACTTAACCTTGTAACTAAGACCACTTTATTATAGAAGGTATGTACTTTACAGTGTGTGTTTTAACAATTGTCAGCCAAGTATCTCAAAAAGCCTGGGATATTGGCATCAAGGTAAAAACAAAGATAAAATCATCTTGTACAGTGGGAAAATTAGATGTTAAATGGAGTTCAGTGTTTGAGGTTTGGGATAGAATTCTGGTTCTGCTATATATTTATTCTGTAAGCTTGGGCAGGTTTTTTTGTTTGTTTGTTTGGGGTTTTTTTTTGTTTGTTTTTTGTTTTTGTTTTTTTTTTTTGGAGACTCACTCTGTCGCCAGGCTGGAGTGCAGTGGCACGATCTCGGCTCACTACAACTTCTGCCTTCCGGTGTTTGACTGATTCTCCTGCCTCAGCCTCAGGAGTAGCTGGGATTACAGGTGCACGCCACCATGCCTGGCTAATTTTTGTATTTTTAGTAGAGCTGGGGTTTCACCATGTTGGCTAGGCTGGTCTCGAAGTCCTGACCTCAGGTGATCCACCCACCTCGGCCTCCCAAAGTGCTCGGATTACAGGCATGAGCCACCACTCCTGGCCAGATTGGGCAGTTTATTAAAGTTCTTTAAGTCTCAATTTCCTGCTCTGATGAATGGGTGCAATAGTCCTTACCCAATAGGATCACCATGACAATTAAGTAAAATCACCTGTGTACCATGTGCAGCATATAGGAAACATGTAGTAAATGATAGTTATTACTATGGGCATGAACTCTACACTTCTAAAACTTCCCAGGAAGAAGAGCAAAGGGATCAATCCCGTCTCATTTAACAGGCCGCTATATATCCAGGCCAAAATAGTCAGGGGGCCCTGCAGGAGAGTCTGAGGGCTCCTTCAGAGCAGGGATTGTTCCCAGGAAGGCCTCTGAAGTAGGACATTAGGTGGTTGCCTTTGGAGAGCTGGGTCTCCTGCTTCTAAATGACTCTGTTTCTACTGGTCCCTGGAAATTCCTGAGGCTTAATCCTCCACAGCCCTCAATTCCTGAGCCACAGACACCATCCTCCACACCCTCCGTTTTACCCAGGTCTCTGGTTGCTGGGATTCAAGAATGTGCTTCTGAGAGGGAGCCCCATGTCTGCCTCTCAGAACTCTGTCATCTGAGAGGAGCCCATTCTCTACCGAGCAGCAGAGGGGAGGGTGTGGATCTTGCAGACGCACCCTCATCTTCCTTCCTATCTCAGCTGGAAAGTTTTGCCGGACCTGAGAATGTTTTGCTGTGCTTCAGAATTGAAGGCAGACCAAAAAGCACAGAGTGTTCAGGCTAGTCCAGGCTCTAGGGATCATAGTTGAGCAGAACCAAACACCCAGCTCCAAATTCACAGTAGACGGCCCTTTGGCAACTACAAACCTCAAAGCCCAAAGGGAAGAACGGGGAGGAGGCAAGGCTAATCCACAGTGTCAAACACATTAGGCAAAGAAGTTTGTGATGAGAGAAACTCATCTTCCAAAGCTTCATGAGAATCTTTAAACCACTCACGGTTTCCAGGGTAACTAAGAGGAGCAATCATGGCCCACCTCGTCTTTTTGAGGTCCTAGCCTCTTTCCTTTAGATTTACTGATCTTCGTGCCCCTTTCCATTACACAGGATAAATAACTCTTGGAAGGGGTTCTTTAGAGCTCATTTGGGGCATGCCTGCAAACTAGTATTTTTTCCCACTGGCAATATAAGATCTAAACTACCACTTCAGAAATGTAATTACTGTTTGCAGTGTCTCTAGAAATCACCATTGGTCGAAGCCTTTGTGGATGTGGTAAGCATTACCATATGTCAGGTTCCTAACACAGTACAAAATAACCGTCTGAAACACAAGACCAAAAAAGGCTTTCCCTTTTTGGTTTTCTGACATGTAGAAACATGCCACATGGATCAACGAACCTAATGGCACGGGCATACATCAGCTGTGTACATGGATGAGGTCTTAAACCCCACCCAACTGCCCATGAGGAAACATCTTTGCTGCAGGATTTTCTCTAACTATTGGTGGTGAAAGGTGATCCTGGAGAAGGGGATACACATTCTAGTTATCACAAAAGTACATAGAATATTTATGGGAAGTTCCTAGATTGGAATGTCAGTAAGCATAACGTTCTCATAAATACATCGAGAAATAAACATTCTCATAAATCAGTTTCTCAGCCCTGGCGCTATTGGCCTGTGGGGCTGAGCACTTCTTTGTTGTGGAGGCTGTCCTGGGCATTGCAGGATGGTCAGTAGTATCTCCACTCTGGCCTCCACCCACTAGGTGCCAGCAGCATCCCCCTCTCTTGTCAAAGTTGCGACAACCCAAAAAGTCTCCAAACACTATTATATGTCTCCTGCGGGACCAAATCACCTCTGGTTGTGAACTACTGTCATAAATATATGAGGAAACTCTACAGCAACATTCTGACAGCATGGTTTCAAGGTCACCCACTTCCACTTTTTATTTCCTGATTATCCTGGACCTTCTCAGTGGCTGCGACAGCTCACAGGATTTCTTGCCACACTTCTTCCCAGAGCTTGGCTTCAGGGTTGGCGTAGCCTCTCTAGGGACCTTCTGCTTTGATGCTACCAAAAGACAAGCACATGTGTCCTTTTCATTTTGAGTGTTTTCATTTTACTACTGATCATTTCAGGGGAACAGGACATAACTAGAACAATAAATATGAGAAGGGTTTTAATTAAAGCTGCAGGAAACAGAAACCAACTTAAACTGGCTCAAGTCAAAGGCTCAAAAACATCAATATCATGCACAGGAGACAGAGTCCAGCTGGACCTTCTTCAGACTGGAAATAGAACCTGGAAAGTGGTGAGAAATGAAGGGATCTTCTCCCCCTGCTCCTCCCAGGGCCACACACTTATTCTCTCCATCTCTCTCTGCCGTCCTCTTATACATCTTATTCAGGGCCCCATATGACCTGCAACTTGGCGCTCACAGCTTTTGAAGCTTTCAGAATCCCGATTCCAAAATCCCAGGGGAGGCCTCAATTGGCTTCAGTTTCTTTTTTTGCTAGATCACAAGCTTTTGACCAGCTGAGTCATTTACATTTCAGTGACTGTCATCTCTGCATCTGACAATAATAATTGAGCTGCTTCAGTTGTAGATGTAACCAGGCTTTGAAAAGTGAAAAGTACTATGCAAATGAAGAGTGGCATTTTTATTTTATTATAGCATTATAGAACAAATCATAGAATCATTTGAAACTTACAGTGACAACCATGTGAGGAGTTGGCAGGGTAGAAAGTGCGCAATATTAAGTTGGAGACCTGGGCTCTGTGACTTTGGCCAAGTCACTTCCCTGCTCTGAATTATAGGAATTATAATGTCCATTTCACCTCCTCAAGGGGCTCTTCGGTGGTTCAAATGAGAAAACAGTTTAGTGAGAAAACTCTCTGCAGACTCTGGTATAAACCCCTATTATTATAGCCTTCTCTAGTTAAAACCACTGTATGGACGGCCACTGCGAGTTAGGTAGCAGTTAGGAATAATTTTTCAGCTGCCAGCCAAGTGAAAGGGAAATGTATTATCTCACATAACAGACAGTCCAGGGGCAGGCCCAGCCCCCAGGCACAAGACAAATCATAGCTCTGACTCATTTCTCTGTGATTTGCCTGGCTGCCCTCCTCCCCTCGAGTTAGCATTTTCCTCGGCTGGACTTTTCTCGTGGTCACAAGATGGCAGCCAGCAGACCCCCAACAACCTGCCCCCTTGTTCATTTCCAACAAGAGAGGCACCCTCTCCCCAAAAAACACAGGCTTCAGGTCCTTCCATTCTGCCTGTTACAACCCAGGACACAGCCCACCTGGACTAGTAACTAGTACAATCACCTGGCAAGGGCCTGGTGCTGATGGGCCCAAGCCTGGAGCAATTGCCAGCAAGCGGGGATGTTTAACCATCCTTGCCTTATGCCTCGAATTGGGATCTGCCCGGGAGCTGTGGATGGACCCGCTTCCTCTCAGTGGCCGGGCTGCACTGATTTCCTTTACCAAATCGGGATTCTGTTAGGAAGGAGGAAGGGGAAAACGATGCTCTGCGTAGGCCACCAACAGTGTCCATCCAGTCCACGTAGCCTGACTCGGAGTACATCTTCAATAGCCTTGTGCATTCTTAGGAACCACCATACTGAGAAAAGGCAAAATTTCCCCTGCCTTCCTTACCTACTTGGCTCACATTTTCTGCCAGAATTTCTTTAGGAAAAAAAAAAAAAAGGGAAGTAAAGAAGAATTGGGAAGAGAAGAAAAATCAAGAAAGAAAGAAAAACTACTGTCCCCTCTGGCACTCTCTCTCTCTTTCACAGAATCCTGGGGGATTGTAGTGATGACCCTAAGGTGGCTGCTGGTGTTGTGGCAACGGGAAATGCAGTGTTTCAGACCTCAGCCAGAGGAATACATCTGTATGAAGGTTTATGTACAGATAGAGGCCACCACCACATTGTAAAGGACCTCCCCCCCCCGCCCACCTAGTGCCAGCTTCCTTTTCCCGTCCTCACCAGATCAACCCACATCCACTGACAAGCGGAGGAGGCTTTACGGTCAGGCAGAGATGAAGAAAGCAAGGCTGCAGATGTGGCCTCTCCCCATTCAGAGATGTCTGTCCCCAAGGGATTTTTGGCATTTTGGAAACACAGCACAAGCCTCTTATAACTCGTAAATGTTTCCAGATGGATACTGGCTCTTTCTACCTCATGGACAAAGAGTATGGTTGGGTGCTCCCCGAT
This sequence comes from Homo sapiens, assembly GCF_000001405.40. Taxonomy (NCBI): domain Eukaryota; kingdom Metazoa; phylum Chordata; class Mammalia; order Primates; family Hominidae; genus Homo; species Homo sapiens. The sequence goes on from NC_000002.12 coordinate 36,708,384, forward strand.
GTAGCATTGTAGATCAGACAAACACCAACATTACATAAATCCTACATGTCTGCTAGGGCAGATTTTTTTCCAAGCGAGTGGCTCAAGTAAGCCTCTAGGGGGCTTATTAAAAATGATGAATGCAAAAGTAATTTTTAAGCCCTCCATGTCTCCCTGTTGCCTAAAGGATCAGTTCCACATTCTTTAGGCATGACATTCAAGGCTGACATGGCCCTTCATCCCTCTCTGACAGTCTGATTCCTCTCCCAGCCTGGCTGAACAACTCCCAGTTCTGAAGCTCCTCTGTCGCTGGGTCCTGTCCTTTCCTGTTCACTCATTCATTGTTTTCCAACCTGCCAATTAAAGAAATTTGAGCCCCTCCCAGTCCCCACGTTTCAGGCGTATGTGCCCATCCACCCTTTTGCCATCACTGCACCCCTAGCAGCAGAGGTTCCCAATGCTGTCTGCACAGTAGAGTCACCTGGAAAGCTTTAAAACAATATTGGGCCAGGCACAATGACTCACACCTGTAATCCCAGCACTTTGGGAGGCCAAGGCGGGCAGATCACCTGAAGTCAGAAGTTCGAGACGAGCGTGACCAACATGGTGAAACCTCATCTCTACTAAAAATACAAAAATTAGCCAGGTATGGTGGTGGATGCCTGTAATCCCAGCTACTTGGGAGGTTGAGGCAGGAGAATCGCTTGAACCCGAGAGGTGGAGGCTGCAGTGAGCCCAGATCACGCCACTGCACTCCAGCCTGAGTGACAGAGCGAAACTCCGTCTCAAAAATAAATAAATAAAACAATATCGATGTCAACTCAGGTCAATTAAATTAGAATGAAGATGGAGTAAGTGCACGTACTATGAAACAGCTATGGCAAGGGGAGAAATGCAGAGCTTCTGGACTCAGAATGTTTGAATCCAGCTCCTCTTCTTCCTAGCCTTGGAAAGTCCGTAACCTTTGCATGCTTCCAATTCCTTACCTCTAAAATGAAAGCAAGAAATAGTCTCTACCTCATCGGGTTGTTGTGAAGATTAAATGAGTTAATATATTACTGACACTTAGTATATGTTCAGCAAATGTTAGTTATGATGCATGCATGCCAGTCTCCCGCAGGAAGACTCAAAACAACTTGATGCCAGGACCTGCATCTTGTTTCTGCCTGGCACATAGTACGTATACTTTTATTTTTTAATGATTAATGGATGCATGAAAGAAGATGAATTTTGGTTTTAGGAAATCAGGGTGATTTATGTAGAAGAGGTGGCCCAGGAGCTGAAGCTTGAAAGATGGATGGGTTTGTGGTGAGGGTTGGTAAAGCAGTCCAGATAGAACAATAATGTGAATGTGAGCCAAGGTACTGACATGCAGAGTGTGGAGAAAAGACCAAAAGCCCAGGTGTGCTGGGGTCAAAAGAGAGGATTACTCAGGAGAATTGCAGTGAGGTGGTGTTGAAAGGGAAGGCAGGCCATTTCATGAAGAGTTTGTAATGCCTCACTAAGGAATTTGAGCTTTATTCTGTAGAGAATGAGTGGACTATGAAGAAGAATTCTGAACAGGTGAATGCACAATCAGACCTGTGCTTTAGGAAGCTGATCCTTTCCAACTGAAAGAAAGAGTGACCTGGAGCAATGAGCAAGAGTGAGTTAGGAGACTGCTGCAGCTTCCCATTTGAGATCAATATTGTCTGTATATGTTAAGTCTTCCTAACAGACCACATATAATGAAGCTCTGCAGACTCTATCTGGTTTATGTTAATTGAATCACTGCTAAATTTGGTGGTGGAAGTGATAATGATAACAACAATACTTCTTAAGTGTCCCTTTCAATTTCAAGAGTTTTTTCATTATTTCATTTTTGTATTTTATTAATATTGGATTTATTAACATATACGCACAGGGTAAAGATTTAAATAGGACAAAATGGTAAGACTCCTTCCCGTCTCTGATCACCACTTACCCAGTTCTCTTTCCCTGATACAACCACTGTTAGTGGGTTCTAGTGAAAACGCCTCCTACTCTCTAGGCATGAAGAATATATATATTTAAAGTATAGAGTCTGATAAGTTTTGGCATATGAATACTGTGAAACCATCACTACATCAAGATAATGAACATATCCATCTCCAAATTTTTCATGTGTTCCTTTGCCATCTTTTACTTCTGCCCTTATGTCTCCAGGACTCTCCACTCCCACTCCCCAGGCTCCTGGATACCACTGATGTGCTCTTTGTTACTATAGAGTACAGTTTCTGATGCAGTGTAATGATATGAATGTAAAATTGAAGGGAATGTACTCTTTTCTGTCTGACTACTTTCATTTAACATAATTATTTTGAGATTCATTCATATTGTTTTATGTATCAATCGTTCATTCCTTTTTATTGCTGAGTAGTATTTCATTGTATGGATAAACCACAATGTGTTTATCCATTTATCTGTTGATAGATTTTGCATCGTTCCCAGTTTGGAGCTATGGGAAACAAAGCTGTTAAAAATACACATGCAGAAGTCATTGTACGGACATATACTTTCATTCCTCTTGGGAAAAGGCCTGGAAGTGAAATGGCTGCAACATATGGTGGGAATATATTTAGCTTTTTAACTTTTTGAGATACTACCAAACTGTTTTCCAAAGTAGTTGTACCATTTTACCTTCCTGTTAGCAATTATGCCAGTCCTCCACATCCTCACCAACACTTGGTAGTACGAGTCTTTTTAATTTTAGTCATTCTTTCTCCAGGTTGCTTTTGCATGCATTGCCACATTCAATTCCCAATGGACTTGCTCTAATTTTTACACTTCCTGGTCACCAGTGCTGAACATTATCAAGTGTCTTCTTCTTGCTGTGGTCTTTATTTTCCCTGCTTAAATTACTTTTCTCTTTCTTTGCCTTTTTACACTTCCTCCACATTTGACAAAGTGCATTCTTCTCATACATCTTTAACTGATGAGTAATTTGCCCCTTATCTGTAAATCTCAAGCATTTTGATACAGAGATTTAAGAAAAGTCCATTTTGCTTTTTCAGTCTTAACAAGATGCAACCTGCAGATTGTCTTAGACACAAGGGGTAGAAAGAAGGGTGCAGGATCAGGAGCCATGAAACCCAGGCTTGACTTTGGGTATGTGACCTTGAATAAGTCACTTACCCACTGCAGACCTCAGTTCCCTTATCTTTAAAATGGGAATTGTGCATACTCCACATCCTGCACAAGTGTACTGTGAAGAACAAGTTTGTATTTACTCACTTTCCCAACAAACGTGTATCGTTGTGCCCACTACCAAACACTATTCCAGGCTCTAGAAACTGAACAGTGAACAAAATAGACAACTCTAGAAATGCACACGAAGTCGCTTTATTTAAAACTCTGTGAAAAACTATATAAATATAAAGCAATATTATTATTTATTACCAACTTGCTCTCTTCTAACTGTGGGCAGAAAGAGAGATCTAATGAAATTTGTTGTGCTAAACCACTTACACTAATGTATACTCTTTTTTCACAACCAGGCTTCATTTGCCTCACCAGAACTACATATTTGGGATTCTTTATGTTATATCTCATGGCACAATCCATAAATTTGTGAATCAGTAACACATTCTTTTGGAAGCCCCTATTGTTCAGTTTTTGTTAGAACCCGGGTGAGCCCATGAGGAATTAGGGCTCCAGCGTTGCCATGTGCCCCACAGCTCTGTGACATTGGACTGCCTGCAGAAACTGCTTAATGGTGCTGGTGGCAGTCCTCATGCTCAGCCTTGGCAATGGCTGAGAGAGGGTTTGATTTTTTTTTTCACACATTTCAAAAGGCACATTTACATTTTAAGTGCTTGAGTAAACAGACCAAGCAAGCGTAGAAATTGCAGCGGTGAGAAAGAAACTTCACGTATTCTAAGATACTAGAGTGATTCTGGTCAGGTTCCATTATTGATAAGCCAACACTTGGGTGAGATCGCGGGGATTAGAGCAACTCCCGGAATCCCGTTGGTTTTTATCCATTCATTCCAGCTTCTAAAGGTCATGTCCATCATGACTCTAAAGTTGGAGGACAGATTTGAGAGCACTTCTCTCTGCTCTCCGCCTTCCCTTTGGGTTTGTTTGTTGATTAACAAAGTATCAACACTGCTTTATTAGTTTTTATTGAGATATAATTCACATACCATAAAATATGCCATTTAAAGTGTATAATTTGGCCGGGGGTGGTGGCTCACACCTGTAATCCCAGACTTTGGGAGGCTGAGGCGGGTGGATCATGAGGTCAGGAGTTCCAGACCGGCCTGGCCAACATGCTAAAACCCCGTCTGTACTAAAAATACAAAAATTAGCCAGGTATGGTGGCAGGCGCCTGTAATCCCAGCTACTCGGGAGGCTGAGGCAGAGAATTGCTTGAACCCGGGAGGTGGACGTTGCAGTGAGCTGAGATTGCAGCATTGCACTCCAGCCTGGGCGACAGAGCGAGACTCCGTCTCAATCAATCAATCAATTAAAGTGTATAATTCAGTAGTTTCTAATGTATTCATAAGATTGTCTTCCCTTTGTTTTGTTTCCTCTTTAAATTTCCTAGGGAAAAGGGAGAGCGCTCATTACTCACACATTGATTCAACACATATTTACTGAGCACCCAAAAACTCAAATAAAAATCCCTGCCCTTTTGGAGCTTGCATCATAGTGGGGAGCACCATAAAAAAATAAAATAAGCAAAGTATAAAGTATGTCAGAAGTGATAAGTCAATGGAGAAGAAGACAGTAGGAAAGGGATAGGGTATATTCATTGGTGGTGGGTGAGGTGGGAGGAGGATTGTGATTTTAAATTGGATAACTAGGGAATGTCTCATGACAGGTAACATTTAAGCAAAGATTTGAAAGAAATGAGGGAGCAAGTCATGTGCTTATCCAGGGGAATGGCATCCAGCCAGAGGAAAAGGTAGTACAACAAGTGCAGAGACCCTGAGGTAAAAGGTGTTCCAGAAACAGCCAAGAGGCCGGTGTGGCTAAAGATTACTAACTGAGCAGGAGAATCGTGAGAAATGAGAACAGAAGGGTCGACGGAGGCCAAATCAAGCAGGGTCTTGAGCCACTTGTAAAGACTTCGGCTTTTCTTCTGAGTAAGACGGGGAGCCACTGTGGAGTGTCAGCCGAGAAATGCCATGAACCAATTTACTTTGAATAGGATCATGCTGGCTGCTCTGTGGACTGCAGAGGACAAAGGAAGAAGGGAACAGCCTAGTTATGAGGCTAATTGCAATAATCTAGGTGGGAGAGGGCAGAACCTACCACAGATGGCATTGGTAATGCTGAGATGCTGAGAAATGGTCAGTTTCTGGATAGACTTTGAATATAGCGCCAACAGGATTGGCTGGTGGAGAGCACGTGGGGTGTAAGAGAAAGAGAAAGAGAAGTCAAGGATAACTCGGATGAAATCTGCAGTGTTGAGTGGTAACAGCCAATTAATGGGGCTGCACAGGTGGGTCCGATAGGACAACTTGGCATACTGCATTTATCCAATAGGAAAGTTAAACACTCAGGCTTGAAGATACATAAATTGTTCTGGAGTTTCTCAAGTTAATAAAATACAAAAAAAGTCCCTGTTATCACACTATTTCCAAAATATAATCTGGCTACTTAAACACCAAGTTGCCAAACAGATTGTAATGTGATTTTGTTTTTATTTTGAAGCTAAAGACGTAACCAGTGGCCAGCTACCTTAATTGGGAAATTTAACACATTGCAAGTGTTGTTGGAAAATAACAAAGTGATCAGTTCTGTTTGGGGTTACTCTTGCTGCTTAATTTAATTGTTTGTAATAAAGCTTTCATATACTAAACAACTTTAAGTTAATTGCATTGAGTACTTGTATATTATCTCAACCCATAATCTAATAATTGCTTTTTATTAATAAATATGCATAGCAGTGTATCAAATATTGGATAGAAGCTTATACTGGGCCTAGCTAGTACTAGATGGTGATTATCTGTTTCTAGATCTCCATTCAGTGATGTCACTTTGGTGGCTTCAAAATCAGCCATGGTAGGAGGATTTGCTACCACAGAAATTGACAAGCTCTGCAGATCAGGGCTTTTATCTCTTGTTTTTTTTTAACCAGTACACCACTGAACACAGCAGAGGGTAGAGTTATGAATGCCAGCTTTGGGCCACACAACCATGGCACTGGAGGGAGGGGGGATATAGTGGAAGCCATCTGTCCAGAGGGGAGGAGTGTTTTACTACCATTGACATTGTTTAAAATTGCTAGCTCATAAGGATAATAAAAAGCAGACCAACTTTAAGTCTTTTCATTCTCCACAAACTTCTCCCTTATTGCCTGTGCCCAGGGCAGATTCCTCCACCCACTTTTACCTCCATTCCAATCCTATTCACCACCTTGGACCACGGTTATGACATTTAACTTCTCTAAGTCTTAGTTTCCTCATCTGTTCAATGAGGATCATAAAACCTACCATGGTGACGTATTGGGTGGATTCAAAACAATACAGAATGCACAGAATATACTCAATTAATAGTAGTATCAGCAAACCTTTGGCAGTGTCGTCATAGCCTTAAGAGAAAGATGAGAAACTCCCTTATGGATCATCAGCATTTTCATATCTATTGCACTCTCCAACATCTGGGTCTCTGTTGGCACTGTTCCCCCACTTGGAGCCACTTCTCTCCTATTTCTGCATGTTCAAAGTCTGTTCATTCTTCAAAGTTGACCCAGTTGCTACCATCTCTATGAGGATTTCTCTTATTCCCATGGCTGCCATAGTCTCTCTCCTTCTAAAATTTCTGGCCCTTGGGGAATCTCTAGCACTACCCCCCACCTACTGGATTAGAACCTGCACTTCAACAAGAGCCCCAGGTGATGAGTAAACACATTAAGATTTAAGAAGCCAACTGGGCTCAGGGGCTCATGCCTGTAATTCCAGCACTTTGGGAGGCCGAGGCAGGTGGATCACAAGGTCAGGAGTTCAAGACCACATGGCCAAGATGGTGAAACCCAGTCTCTACTAAAAATACAAAACTCAGCCAGGCATGGTGGCACATGCCTGTAATCCCAGCTACTTGGGAGGCTGAGGCACAGAATTGCTTAAACTCGGGAGGCAGAGGTTGTAGTGAGCCGAGATCACACCACTGTACTCCAGCCTGGGTGACAGAGTGAGACTACGTCTAAAAAAAAAAATAAAAAAAAAAAAGATTTAAGAAGCCCGACTCAAAACCACTGGTTCTCAAACTTGGATGTATGTTGGATTTACTCGAGAAGTTGTTAAAAACTTAATTAACTAGACCCAAAGCCAAGAGAGACTTATTCAATTGGTCTGGGGTACAGCCTGGGCATCAGAATTTTTTTAAACTCCCAGGTGATACTATTAAATAATATGCAGCAAAGTTTGAGAACCACTGCTCTACAAACTTCCCCTTATACTCTCTTATGAGGCCTTAACATTCTCTTATGCAATTTAACATGGTTATTTGTGTCCACTTATGTTTTTCCACCTATATTAAACTGTAAGTCTTTCAAGGGTGAGAATTGTTTTTTAATTCAATTTTTAGCACTTTCTAACAAAACGTAGCCATATAATAGGAGTTTAATAAATATTTATCGAATGAATAGTGAAGTATTAATAATTGTAATCTAAATATGTTTTCTGAATGCCATAAATGTGGCTTTCATCCTAATTAGAAGACTACTTGGACATATTCTCAAAATTGTAGAGTTATTTCCTCTTCAGTTCTAAGTAAACATCAAATATTTGAAGAATTGGAGGCTGGTGGCCAGAATGGGCTTTCTAACTGAGAATAGCATCTCTGGGTACCAGCAAGGCCAGCCACTGACATCTCTATGTGCTGCTTATGGAAATCTATAGCCTGGAATCGTAAGACTCCAGAGGGCAATGCAAAATGATGCAGTCTATCCCCACACACTCTGTGCATCCAAATCAGAACCCCCGGCTGAAATATGATGACGTTATTGTTTCTTTCTCTCCAGGGTGTCATTCTGATATTTATGAGGACTGTTGTTCTCACTATGAAGGCATCTGTTATTGAAATGTTCCTTGGTAAGTACTTTTATATGTGTATCTGGATACCCTTTTAAAATTTTCCTAAGATCCAAAGAATCTAGCCAAGAAAAGTTTTAAACCAAGACAGAGCATATAAACAATACAGTGTATCATTTTATAAGAAACATTTTGAAGAGATGTTTTAAGTAAGAATGTTAAGCAAAGATCAAATTCAGGATGCATGTGTATGTGTTTTTATGTAAAGCAAATACTGTATATATATTACATATATGTCTTGGTATATTACCTATTGCACACACACATACACACACCTAGCTTGTGTATTCCTCAGCAATTAGCAAGTATTTCAGATACAGCATATTTGCAGATTGTAAATTTAAGGATCTTCTTATTTCTTAATTTCGCAAACAAATGAACAAAAATTCTTACCGCTGACATGGCTCTACCTATAGCATTAGCAACTCACGCTTTTAGAGATGATTCTTTTTTTTTTTTTTTTTTTTTTTTTGAGATAGAGTCTCACTCTCTTGCCCAGGCTGGAATGCAGTGGAGTGATCTCGGCTCACTGCAACCTCTGCCTCCCAGGGTCAAGCGATTCTCCCACCTCAGCCTCCCAAGTAGCTGGGATTACAGGTGCACGCCACCATGCCTGGTTAATTTTTGCATTTTTAGTAGAGACGGGGTTTCACCATGCTGGCCAGGCTGGTCTTGAACTCCTGACCTCGTGATCCGTCCACCTCAGCCTCCCAAAGTGCTGGGATTACAGGCGTGAGCCACCACGCCCGGCCAGAGATGATTTTTTTTTTTTTTTTTTGAGACGGAGTCTCTGTCGCCCAGGCTGGAGTGCAGTGGCACAATCTTGGCTCACTGCAAGCTCTCCCTCCCGGGTTCACCCCATTCTCCTGCCTCAGCCTGGGACTACAGGCTCCCACCACCACGCCTGGCTAATGTGTGTGTGTGTGTGTGTGTGTGTGTGTGTGTGTGTGTGTGTGTGTGTGTGTGTGTGTGTTTAGTAGAGATGGGGTTTCACCGTGTGAGACAGGGTTTCACCGTGTTAGCCAGGATGGTCTCGATCTCCTGACCTTGTGATCCTCCTGCCTCAGCCTCCCAAAGTGCTGGGATTACAGGCATGAGCCACCGCACCCGGCCCAGAGATGATTTTTTTAAAAAGAATCCATTATCACCAGAGTACGCAATCATGGATAGGCCCTTGAAGAGCAGTAGGTCAACTAGAAGTGCTCAACTGAAGTGCTGAGGGGTTCAGGGCCAAGCCCAAGGGTAATCTTCCATTAAGCTTGGCCCCACTGTGCCTTATCAGGTAGAGTAACCCTGTGGAGCATTGTGAAACTACTGCCAGGAAGGAGCACAGAAGCCTTTCAGACAGTCTGTTAGTTTGCCAGGGCTGCTGTAACAAAACACCGCAATCTGGGTGGATTAGGACAACAAAAACCCATTCTCTCCACCCTCTGGAGACTAGAAGTCCAAAATCAGTGTCAAGAGGGTTGGTTCTTTCAGAGGGCTGCAAGGGAGGAATCTGTTCCATGTCTCTCTCCTAGCTTCTGGCTGTTTGCTGGCAATCTTTGGGTTTCTTTGGCCTGTACATGTATCACCCTAATCGCTGCCTTCATCTTCACATGGTATTCTCCCTGTAGTTGTGTCTGTCTGCACATTTTCCCTTTTTATAATGACATCAGTCATATTGGATTAGAGGTACACCCTACTCCAGTATGACCTCATCCTAACTTAACATTATATCTGCAATGAGCCCATTTCCAAATAAGGTCACATTCTAAGATACGGGGGCTCAGGACTTCAACATATAAATTTGAGGGCACATAAATCAACTCATAATATAATGAGAGTGCTTAAGGTCTGTTCAGAGGGTGTGTACCTGGCAGAACTGGGGACTGGAAGAGAAGAAGGTAATACAGCTGGGAAGGCAAGGGGGCTCCAGGCATGGTGGAAGGAGTATTGGACCAGGAGTCAGAAGGAGGATATGGGTTCTAGTCCTGACTCCACCATCAACTTGCCAATTTTGTCAAGTCACTCATCTTCTCAGAGCTTCCTGCAAATTATATGTTTGAGCTATTAATCACCCAACCCTATGTAACATGGCTGCCAGAGACCTAGGGCAGCTCTGTCCAAGCTACTTGTCTCTCAGGTAAGCTACTTTCTCCTGGAGCCAAAGAAAAGGCCACAAACAATGCCCTCTCTTCACTTTGGATAGGTCCTCAAGGATAGCAGGCACTCTCAGGAGCCAGCGGCACTATTCCCTGGCTCCTGTCAGATGGCCATGAGAAGCCCTGAGGAACTTCTAGGTACCTGGACCAGGAGCCCTCCCCCAGCCACTGCTATTATCCTCAGAGACTGGGCAAGTTCCAGGGGTCAACCATCCCAACACTGCCTCTACAATTGCTGTATATGCCTGGCTTACTTTAGCAAACAAAAAAATGGGCTAGCACACTGGGGAACTACAACTTGAAAGCACAAGGTCCTTCATTTCTACCTTGCCCCTTTGGGAGGCTACCTCTCTTTTCATTCTAACATACAAGTTAGTAGGTTTCTAACTTAAGAATGGGTTGAGGGTGGGACAAGAGGTTAGGAATAGGGTTTAGTCGAACAAATAAAACAAACAAACAAACTGAGGCCATTTCACCTTCTGCATGTTCCCAGCATCACAGAACCAAGAAAGGAAGATCTGGCTGTCTTTTGTCCCCTGCCTTTCTCAGCCTGCCCTTGCCCTTCTGGCTTGCTTATTCAGATAGCAAGAAATCAAAGTAGAAAAAGGAGACTCCTATACCTCAACACAATAAAGGCCAGGTATGACAGGGCCACAGCTAATATCATAATCAATGGTGAAAACCTAAAAGCTTTTCCTCTAAGATCAGAAATGAGACAAGGATGCCTACTCTTGCTACTTCTGTTCAGCATAGTACTGGAAGTCCTACCCAGAGCAATTAGACAAGGAAAGGAAATAAAGACATTCAAAGTGAAAAAGAAATAAAATTTCCTCTGCAGATAACATGATATTATATACAGAAAGCCCTAAAGACTCCACCAAAAACCTGTTAGAACTAACAAATGAATTCAGTAAAGTTATAGAATACAAAATCAACATACAAAAATCTGTAGCACCTCTATACACTAACAATGAACTATCTGAAAAAGAAACAATCTCATTTACGATAGTATCAAAAAAAAACTACTTAGGAATAAATTTAACCATAGAAGTGAAAGATCTGTGCATTGAAAATTATAAAACGTTGATGAGGCCAGGCACAGTGGCTCACACCTGTAATCCCAGCACCTTGCGTGGCGGAAGTAGGCAGATCACTTGAGCCCAGGAGTTTGAGACCAGCTTGCAAAGCATGGAGAAACCCTGTATCTACCAATAAATTTTAAAAATTATCCAGGTGTGGTGGCATGTGACTGTAGTCCTAGCTACTGGGGAGTCTGAGGTGGGAAGATCACCTGAGCTCAGGGAGATTGAGGCTATAGTGAGCCATGATCATGCCACTGCACTCCAGCGTGGGTGACAGAGTGAGGCCCTGACTCACACACACACACAAAAAGATGCAGAAAATTAAAGAAGACATACATAAATGGAAAGATATTCCATGTTCATGGATTGGAAGAATTAATATTGTTAAAATGCCTATACTATCCAAAGCAAGCTACAGATTCTTCAGTGCAATCCTCAGTGCAATCCCTATTGAAATTCCGATGGCATTTTTCACAGAAATTTGGAAAAAAAATTCTAAATTCATATGGAAACAGAAAAGATTCCAAAAGGCCAAAGCAATCCTGAGCAAAAAGAACAAAGGTGGAGGCATCAAATACCCAACATCCAAATACACTACAAAGCTATAGTAATCAAAACAGCATGGTACTGGCATAAAACCAGACATATAAACCCATGAAACAAAATAAAGAGCCCAGAAAGAAACCCACACATTTATAGTTAACTGATTTTTAACAAAGGTGACAAGAACACACAATGGGGAAAGAACAATCTCTTCAATAAGTGTTATTGGGAAAATAATATATCCACACGCAGAAGAATGTAATTGGGCCCTTAGCTCACACTGTACATATACAATGGAATATTATTCTGCCTTAAAAAAAAGAAATCCTGTCATTTACAATGTAAGTGTACCAAAGGATGTTATACTAAGTGAAATAAACCAGGCACAGAAAGACAAATACTGTATGATTTCATTTACATACTGTATCGAATCTACAAAAGCCAAACTGATGGAAGCAGAACGTAGAACAATGGTTTCCAGGGGCTGGGGAGCCAGGGAAATAGGGAGATGCTGGTCAAAGAGTACAGACTTTCAGGCCAGAAGTAGTGGCTCATGCCTGTAATCCCAGCACTTTGGGAGGCCAAGGTGGGTGGATCACCTGAGGTCAGGAGTTCGAGATCAGCCTGGCCAACATGGCAAAATCCCCATCTCTACTAAAAATATAAAAATTAGCCAGGTATGGTAGCGGGCACCTGTAATCTAAGCTACTTGGGAGGCTGAGGCAAGAGAATTGCTGGAACCCAGGAGGCAGAGCTCGCAGTGAGCTGAGATTGCGCCTTTACACTCCAGCCCGGGCAACAACAGCGAGACTCCATCTCAAAAAAAAAAAAAGGTACAAACTTTCAGTTATAAGATGAATATGTTCTGGTGATCTAATGTACAGCACAGTGACTACAGCTTATAAAACCGCATTGTTTACTTGAAATTTGCTAAGAGAGTAGAGTTAAAATGTACTCACCACACACATAAAAATTGTTAAGTATGTGAGGTGATGGCTATGTTAATTAGCTTGATTTAATCATTTCACAACGTACACATATATCAAAACATCATAAATATAGACAATTTTTATTTGTCAATTATACCTTAATGAAGCTGGGGGGAATAATAAATCACTCTATTAATGAAAAACAAGGAAGCTTGCGTTCACATAGTCCCCTCTCCAGGTCCTCATGTGTCTGCCTCCCTGCCATCTCTCTCCTCTGCTCACATGTCTCCACCTCAGGGCCATTTGCTTAAGTCCCCCTACCCCTCCTCTGGGTGCTGTGATGGCTTCCCTGCCCCAAATCCTTACGCCTTTACCTCATTTTCCACCATACCCCTATTAATCTCTTAAAGCCCACATCTGACCTCCACTCTTGCTCTCCATGCAAACTCAGTGTTTTCCCTTTGCCTTTAGGATGCAGCGCAAGTTTCTTCAAGTGTCTTGCTTGTGGAGCCTTCCTGATATGGCTCTTGCTCTCCTCCCCTGCTCTTGTCACTCACCGTAGCCCCCACTCCGGCACTGAACTTCTGATTTCCCTGGGGAATGCATCATTTCTCACCTACAAGCCTTTGAACATGCCTTCCTGGAATGCTCTTCCTCTCACTTCCTCCCACCAACCATGCTATCCTCCAGGAAGCTTCCCTCCACCCCCTTTAGGTTGGGCCATCTTCCTAAGCACTTCCTTGGTGTCCTGTGTTTATTCTCACCATAGCTGCAAGATATTGACCTTGTCATTTTTCTGGGTCTCCAAAATCTGTTAACTCACTAAGGGTGGGAGCTGTGTCGTGCTCAGTGTTGTATCTCTAGTGCTGACCACATATCATAGGCACTCAATAAATATTTCTAAACAAATAATTGTCCTTAAGGACGCTGGATTTTTAAGGTATCGGAGCCATCCAAGGATCCCTCAAAAGCTCTCTAAATTAATGTCAATTAAGTGTTTAATGTGTTTAATTAATATATTTAAGAGGTAGCATGCTTGCTTTAGATATGTTTCAATGCATGATAGAGCAGAGTTTTATACTGCTCATTGTCATTGGAGTATTGTTTATAATCCACGTGTGTACTGACAGGGAGCAAGTGGAGTAAAGAGGCCGACACTGTAGCCAGCAAACTCGCATTCTGGTTCCAACTTCTTCCCCCAAACGACTGCAGCATTAGCCAAGGGGTTAAAACCGGCTCTGGTTTCCTTTCTATAAAATAAAGGATGACCTCCAAAGCTCCTCCTAGCTTTAAATATCCTATGATTTGAAGCATAATTTTATGATTTATGTGATTGTAGAGAATAAGCTGTCATGGCTTTGCTATGAAGTTCTGATTTATTTGATGCTAAATGTTTCATTGAGTATATAATCCTAAATTAAAGCATCAGGGAAACCTGAACTATGTTTAAAGGATCTGCTTTATAAATTGGTTTTCAAGAAGGCATTGTGGATACTATCTATGTTAGCAAACTGAGGTTCTCCAAAAAGATCTAACAGGAAGTTTATGGGCTAGAATGAGGCATGCTTATAAAAGTTCTAGGTACACAAATATGCAGTAAGTACCTACTGATTTGATTATTGATTAGATGTTCTGGTATTTCATGTCTTTTCTTGAACATAATGTGGATTCTGATTATAATTCATTACTGACAGGAAAACTGGAAAACATGAGCACAGATTAATCATGCCAATAATTTTAGAAAGCAATTTTCATTATTATAAATCTATATGATTTCAGTATGACCAGATTAAAAAATAATTGTTTTTTGTAATTATATCAATTTATCATTTATATAAGATTCTAATTTTATAAATTATGTCTATATAAAATATATATTTTATATTAAATACAAATGTAAAAGGGGAAAATACAGAAAACATAAAATGGAAATAATAATTCCTCCATTATTAACATGTTAGTATATTTGTTCCAGTTATTTATCTGCATATATTTTAACCTTGTCAGAGTCATTCTTAAGGTTAGAGCTGAACACTTCACAGGTAATTTAATAATCTACTACACACCATTTGTAATAAATGCCTAGGATTTCCTATTGTTGGCGTGTTTTCAACATTTTATGATTTCCAGATCCATTAGAAATAATGCTCTAATGAGCATTTTTTTACATAAATCTTTGTCTATACCTCTGATTATAACTTGGGATATATTCCTAGGAGTTTGTTTTCTAGGTCAAAGAATATAAAAGTTTTTAAGGCTCTTGAAATTGCTTTCCAGAATGGCCCTGCCTGCTTATACTTCACCAACAGTGTTCAGGGAAGCCCTAATCTCAAATCCCTGCCAGGATTAAATATAATTTTATGTTCCATATTTACTAGCATGATACAGGAAAACACCCCCTCATTTTGCTTTAGCTTGCATTTTTAACATTAAAAAGATTAAACATAGTTTCAAGCTTATTCATTTATATTTTCTCTATGCATTAAACAATAAATTTTAAAAATCAATATTTTAACTGTCCTGATTGTCACATCAGAGAGGGAGAAAGTGAAGTGGGAGAAATTTTTTTCTGAAAGAGAAATTTTAGTATTTAATATGCTTCAACATTTCAGGCACTACTAAAGAAAGAAAAGACAGCCTGGGTAACATAGTGAGGCTCTGTCTCTATAAAAAATAAAAAAGTAGCCAGGCACGGTGGCACACGTCTGTAAGCCCAACTGTTTGGGAGGTTGAGGCAGGAGGATCCCTTGAGCCCAGGAGTTCAAGGTAGCAGTACGCTGTGATCATACCACTGCATTCTAGCCTGGGCAAGATAAGAAAAGAAAAGAAAGAAAAGAAAAGAAAAGAGAGGGGAGGGGAGGGGGGGGATTATTTATGTTATTCAAAACTGAAACACTGGAATTTTTTTTTTTTTTCCCACAGAATTTCACTCTTGTTGCCCAGGCTGGAGTGCAGTGGTGCGATCTCGGCTCATTGCAACCTCCACCTTCTGGTTTCAAGTGATTCTCCTACCTCAGCCTCCCGAGTAGCTGGGATTACAGGCGCCAGCCACCATGCCTGGCTAATTTTTGTATTTTTAGTAGAGACGGGGTTTCACCATGTTGGCCAGAGAACACTGGATTTTTAAGGACTGAGAAGCATTGCTGAGAAGCATTGCTGCATGATTGCCTTGGAATTTGGGGTTCCAGACTTAACTCTCTTCAAGTTTTCTTGACCTGCATGGCCTCCATTGCCAACTACCCTCACCCAGGGACTGGCTCTCAGACCTGTCTGCGGCTTTGCACTTTGAAGTGGGCATCAGCCATCCATTCTGGTGCTCTGCTAGGCGTCCTAGGAAAACGAACACAAGACTGATTTTTCTCTTCCCCAACTTCAACATGCAATTTACCATTTCCAGTGTAGCAAGAGGGGGATTGCTGGGGAGGAGTGAAGACTTTCTCCAGGGCACAAGCACATTTGCAGACCAGCTGTCCCCTGGAGGAATGGTTTCTGAGGAGCTTTAATTATAATCACAGAAGCTGAGGGGAGGGCCTATTTGTGCCATCGAAGATAATGACTTTATTAATTACTGCTGTTCAACTGAACCCAGCTATGCATGTTTTCAGCCTAAAAGGTCTTGGGCAACCAAAAGCAAATGATGGGGTGTTCTTACTAAAATATTTATAGTCCTAATGATACCAGGACTTATAAGCCACTTGCCTCAGGCACAGAGGCCAAGAACAGTTTTTGGTTTTCCACAAAAATTGAAACCCAAATTTATTATTTCACTTACTCCCTCTCCTTGCTCATTTTCTTTCTATGTATGTATTTAGTGCTTGTTTTAAAAATATTATAGGATTATAGATATTTATTTTTGAGCATTAAGTGAAAACATGGTCTTTGCACAGTTAATTGACAAGAGGCTACTATAAAAATTAGACCTCCGGGACACTCACACCCACTCAAACCCCAGAAGTAAATACACCTAAAAAATGTCTGCCTTCATTCTGCCTGGCTAGACTTCTGGTTCTCACTCAGTTCTCTTTCATGTTTCTGTTCTCCTAGGATATGGTACGTCAATTACTCAGGCCTCAGCTAGTGCTAACAGTCAGAATTGGAGATAATTCAATGGCCACATCATTGGCACAGGTTAGCTAGTGTCTTAGTTCATGCAGTCTGCTATACAAAACTGCTATAGACTGAGTGGCTTAGAAAAACAGAAGTTTATTTCTAACCGTTGTGGAGGCTGGGGAGTCCAAGATCAGGGTGCTGATGGATTCAGAGTCTGGTCAGGGTCAGCTTCCTGGTTCCTAGAGAGGCATCTTTTTGCTGTGTCCTCACATGACAGAAGAGGCAAACTAGCTCTCTGGGGCCCCTTTTATAAGGGCACTTGTCCCATCATGAGGGCTCACTGTCAAGACCTGTGACCTCCCAAAGGCTCCACTTTCTAATATCATCACACTGGGGGTTAGGATGTCAATGTAGGAATTCTAGTTGAGGGGTGGGGGGGGGGTGGGTAAACAAACATTGAGACCACAGTAGCTGAATAATCATAAGATAAATAAAAAGTTTTTTTAAACACTTGGTGGCATTGCCACGTTTTTCTTCAAAAATAATTGCCAATCCAAGAACTCCTAAGTCCATTTATACCTAAATTGATGATCTGTGTTCAGTTAAAAACAAACACACCCGCCGGGCACAGTGGCTCACGCCTGTAATCCCAGCACTTTGAGAGGCCGGGGCAGGAGGATCGCCTGAGGTCAGGAGTTCAAGACCAGCCTGGCCAACATGGTGAAACCCCGTCTCTGGTAATATACAAAAATTAGCCAGGCATGTTGGTGTCCACCTATAATCCCAGCTATTCAGGAAGCTGGGTCAGGAGAATCGCTTGAACAGGAGGCGGAGGTTGCAGTGAGTCGAGACTGCACTACTACAATCCAGCCTGGGTGACAGAGCGAGACTCTGTCTCAAAAAAAAAAAAAAAATGCTATCAGAAATTTTCACAATATGTATCAAAATTTTAAGTGAGCATACATTTCAGACAAGAAATTCTATTTGGAAATTTATTTTAAGGAAATAATGGATCGATGCAAAGATTACACTATTTATATTAAATCAAAGTTTGGTTAAGTTATGATACATCCATATAGTGCAATACTTTGAAGGCAATTAAAATTACTGTAGAAAGAACATTTAATGACATGAAAAAATGTCGATATAGATCATTAAGTAGAAATAAGTTATTGAACATTGTAAAAAACATGAGGGATCAAATGTTTGTTTAAAAGTATTCACATGAATACCTGTATACATATAGAAAAAGACTGGAAAATATTATACTTTTGTATTCATCCACATTTGTGTTGTTTACGTTTTTCTACAAAGAACATGATTTTTTTCAATAATAAAAACAGCCAACATTCACTTTTTAATGAATGGAGAGAATATATAAAAAGCCTCAGGCCGGGTGTGGTGGCTCATGCCGAGGCAGGTGGATCACCTGAGGTCAGGAGTTCGAGACTAGCCTGGCCAACATGGAGAAAACCCCATCTCTACTAAAAATACAAAAATTAGCCAGGTGTGGTGACGGGCGCCTGTAAGCCCAGCTACTCAGGAGGCTGAGGTAGGAGAATCACTTGAACCCGGGAGGCGGAGTTTGCAGTGGGCCGAAATCACACTACTGCACTCCGGCATGGGCAACAGAGTGGGACTCTGTCTCAAAAAAAAAAAAAAAAAAAAAAAAACAAAACCTCAGAAGAGAGGCTGTCTGGGAAAGAAAGGCAAGGAGAAAGGGGGTGGGGAGAAGAAGGAGACTCATCACGAGGTCTGAGAAAGCTCTATTTCATCTTATGTGCTTGAAAAGGAACCAGACTTTAAATTAGAAAGGATACAGAATTCTCCCTTCTTCACCTATTGATATACTTGAAGGAGAGTGGTGTCCAAATGCTATCGGAGGTTCTGCTCCTGTTTCTAAGGAGGAAGCTCAACTATCTGCAGTTGCCTCGATGGGACACAGAACCAGGGCTGCCAGGGAACCCGGAGGGAATACTCAGGTCACTTCTCAGACATTGTGATGAGTGTCCTTCTTCTCCCTAGCCCCTTTCTCCGTGCCTTTCTTTCCCAGACAGCCTCTCTTCTGAGGCTTTTTTTATGTTCCCTGCATTCAGCCTTCCCTCAGGCACACTCGTATGCACACACACATGGGTGCACACAATAGGTGCACACACATATAGCGTGCACGCACATAGATGCACACACATGCACATGCAGTTCTCTGGCTATTTGGAGATTGGCCATCTGGAAACCTGCTGTGGAAGGGAAGACAGAGTACAGGAAGGGCCAGGGTGCTCATCCCACCTCCATCATTAATTCATGGGATGAGACAAATTAGTGGACTTCTCCAGACCCACATTCCTTCCTCTGGAAAATGGAGATTTGTCAGGTTGGTGTGGTCAAATTTAAACACAGCAAAACAAAGGACAAGTATCCAAGAGGTGCCTTTCAAGGGACCTTTCAGCAGGGGCTGAGAAAAGTATACAAACTAGACATCTCTTTTCTCCAATCTTAATACAGTCATCCACTTCATAACAATGTCTCAGTCAACAGCCGCCTGTAAGATTGTAATGGAGATGAAAAATTCCTATTGCCTAGTGACATTGTAGCCACTGATGTAGTATAACACATTACTCACATGTGTGTGGTGATGTTGTGTAAACAAGCCTACTGAGCCGCCAGCTGCCAAATAAATGTATAGCACATACCATCATGTACAGTACATAATACTTGATAATGATTACTTGATAACAAGTAACAACTATGTTGCTGGCGTGTGTGTTTTCTTTTTTTTGAGATGAAGTCTCACTCTGTCGCCCAGGCTGGGGTGCAGTGGTGTGATCTCGGCTCACTGCAATTTCTGCCTCCTGGGTTCAAGCGATTCTCCTGCCTCAGCCTCCCAAGTAGCTGGAATTACAGGCGTGTGCCACCACTCCCAGCTAATATTTTTGTATTTTTAGTAGAGACAGGGTTTCACCATGTTGGCCACACTCGTCTCAAACTCCTGACCTCAGGCGATCCACCCACCCCTGCCTCCCAAAGTGCTGGGATTACAGGCGTGAGCCACCACGTCCAGCCTGTATTTTCTATCCTATATTTTTATCATTATTTTAGAGTATACTCCTTCACTTACTTAAAAAAAAGTTATAACATTTAACCAAAAGATTTTAAAAGTAAAAAATTTTAAAATCTCAAAAATAGAAAAAAGCTTATGGAATAAGGATATAAGGAAAGACAATATTTTTGTACAGCTGTAAAATGTGTATGTTTTAAGCTAAGCGTTATTACAAAAGAGTCAAACAGTTAAAAAATTAAAAAGTTTATAAGGTGAAAAAGATACAGTAAGCTAAGATTAATATTATATTAAAGAAAAAATATTGGCCGGGCGCGGTGGCTCACGCCTGTAATCCCAGCACTTTGGGAGGCCGAGGCGGGCGGATCACGAGGTCAGGAGATCGAGACCATCCCGGCTAAAACGGTGAAACCCCGTCTCTACTAAAAATACAAAAAATTAGCCGGGCGTAGTGGCGGGCGCCTGTAGTCCCAGCTACTTGGGAGGCTGAGGCAGGAGAATGGCGTGAACCCGGGAGGCGGAGCTTGCAGTGAGCCGAGATCCCGCCACTGCACTCCAGCCTGGGCGACAGAGCAAGACTCCGTCTCAAAAAAAAAAAAAAAAAGAAAAAAGAAAAAATATTTTTTATAAATTTAGTGTAGATGACGTATACAGTGGTTATAAAATCTACGGCTTTGTACAGTAATATCCTAGGCCTTCACACTCACTCACCCCTCACTCACTGACTCACCCAGAGCAACTTCCAGTCCCGCAAGCTCCATTCATGCTAAGTGTCCTCTAAAGGTGTACCACTTTTTATCTTTTATACTGTATTTTTACTATACCTTTTTTATGTTTAGATATATTTCGATACATAAATATTTATCAGTTGTTAACAATTGTTTACAGTATTCAGTACAGTAACATGCTGTACAGGTTTTTGACCTAAGAGGCAATAGACCATATCATACAGCCTAGGTTTGTAGTAGACCATCTAGGTTTGTGTAAGTACACTCTACAATATCGGCACAATGATGAAATCACCTGTTGACACATTTTTCAGAGAGTAGCCCCATCATTAAGTGATGCATGACTGTAAGAGGGAAAATTAGTTCTGCCATGGAGAATACTTTGTGGATGATCGAAGCAAGTATGAGTCAAAAGAGAAAGAATTTAAGTAAAATAAAATTGATTAAATTTTTAAAAATTTTCTTCATGTAGTTTTGCTGGTGACTGGAGTACATTCAAACAAAGAAACGGCAAAGAAGATTAAAAGGCCCAAGTTCAGTAAGTAAAATCACAATTCCTTGCTGGCATAATGCTTGTTTCTCCCACATGGAGGGTTATTATACTTGTTTTAGGTAATTTTTGTTTTGGTTTGGTTTTTATCTCTATGTCAATTAATTTCCACTCAGATTAATTAGTGATAAGTCTTATCCCCTACCACATTCCAAAAAGTATTTGAGATAGGAGCCCTGACTTTAGGGTAAAGGATATGTAGTTCCCCTGCACTAGGAAAACTCAAAATGCACATACAAAGACCAGGCAACAGTATGTCTCTATGGCTAAGCGGAAAAAGCTTAGCCCTGACATTGAAATGTTGTCTCAATTCCCCATACCAGAAAACTTATTTTGGCTAATGCAAAGGTCTAGCAAAACTGCCCACCTTCCAACAGACCCTGGGAGCAGAAGGCAAATCTCGCAAAAAAGCCCATGCAATTTCACACCCAATCAATGGAAGGAGAAAAAATAAATTTCACTTTTGAGTGGTGTATCAGTTAAGATTAGATGACAGAAAATCTGGAATAAGGCCAGCGACGGTGGCTTATGCCTGTAATCCCAGCACTTTGAGAGGCTGAGGCGGGCGGATCACTTGAAGTCAGGAGTTCGAGACCAGCCTGGCCAACGTGGTGTCTTTATTAAAAATTCAAAAATTAGCCAGGCCTGATGGCGCATGCCTGTAATCCCAGCCATTAGGGAGGCTGAGGCACGAGAATCACTTGAACCTGGGAGATGCAGATTGCAGTGAGCCCAGATCATACCACTGAACTCCAGCCTGGGCCACAGAGTGAGACTGTGTGGAAAAAAAAAAAAACAGGGGGAAAAAAAAGAAAATCTGGAATAATAGATGTTTACTTAAGACTGCAGTTTCTTTCTCTCTCCTGGTCTTGGCTTTTATGGAAGTTCCACAATCTCCAGGGACCCAGACTTCTGTCTTCTAATTCTGCCATTTTCCATGCGGCTCCCAATTCATTGCCCAAAATGGCTGCCCCAGCTCCATCCATCATGTCCACATTCCAGTCAGTAGGAAGGGATGAAGAAGGGCACATAATAGGGATGCAGGATTTTTCTTCTCAGTCATTTTGCAAGCCAGGGAACCCCAGCCGGTGGTGCCTCACCTGGGCCTTGCTCGGCCACATTGGCATGCCCCAGCTCACCTGTGTTATAGCTTATACTCATGTTCAGCAGTTCCTGAGCTCTTGTACCATGCCCAAGAAGAATGAGGATAAGCTGGACATTGAAGGGTGAGGAGGGCTGAGACGAATTTTATCGAGTGAGGGAACAACTCTCAGCAGAGAGGGGACATGAGGGGTGGTTCCCCTACCCAAAGGCGTGAAAGTCCCTAATGTGGCTGAGTCTGAGGACTTTTACGGACTCAGAATGGGGAGTACGTGCTGATTGGTTTGCGAGTATGCAAAAAAGTTTACAGCAAAGACACCACTCAAAGGTGGGCATGACAGTGTAGAAAACCAATTAGGAAAAGGGTAGGTATATGTAAAATAGGTGAAGGGTGGGGATCCATCAGAGGAAAGCGCACCAAACAGGAAGACAGGTTCTCAGTCCAGTCTGAGGATTTAACTTGTAGCTTGCCTTTCAGGCTTTAAACTGTCTTCTGCTTGGAGGTGGGGCTTCACCAGGGACCCACCCCTATCTGCCTAGGCATTTGGCTGCCTCCTACCGCTCTCAATAGCTCCCTTTAAAGCTACATCCAGAAAGTTCAGTAGAACCCCTCTCTTTAAGTACTACTGGCCAGCAGTAAGGCAGAGTGGGAAATGTCTTCATTTTTATTTTATTTTATTTTATTTTTGAGATGGAGTCTCACTCTGTCGCCAGGCTGGAGTGCAGTGGCGCAATCTCGGCTAACTGCGACCTCCACCTCCCGGGTTCAAGTGATTCTTCTGCCTCAGCCTCCCAAGTAGCTGGGACTACAGGCGCCCGCCACCACACCCGGCTAATTTTTTGTATTTTTAGTAGAAACGGGGTTTCACCATGTTGGCCAGGATGGTCTCGATCTCCTGACCTCATGATCCACCTGCCTTGGCCTCACAAAGTGCTGGGATTACAGGCGTGAGCCACCGCAACCGGCCATGTCTTGATTTTAAACATCCACGTCCCTTGCTAAAAGTAAGGGCTATTATTACTATGAAAAAAAAGAAGAATTGATATTGGGAAATCACTCACAAAAGAAGACACAGATGGAAAACTCACACTCAAATATTGTAAGCACACTGGGATATCTGTATCCAAATTTGTAGGCTTGATGGAAGCTTAAGTTAAAGTGTGTTTATAAAGAACCATAAAAAAGGCTTTAGATGCAGTCAACATTCTGTGCTCTCCACAACTGAAACTTTCTTATAGGCATTAAATTTAGGTACCTTGAAATCAGCCACATTAATCATTTGAAATAAAAGAAAGATTTGCTTCACACAGCCTCCTTTTTTCTTCTGCTCTTTTAAACCTTCCATGTGAGATTTCCTGTTGAAATGAGACCAAAAGGGCAACCATCCACAGCCTCCTAGGCTGAAATACTAAAAAGGAATCAGTTGTTTATTTATTTCTGTCAGGACCAAGAGCCAAGAGGACCAGCCCTGGGGCAGATGTGTGTTCAAAACAATGATTAGGTTAATATGGAGACAAATGCACGCCCAAGTATGAATTCCTTCGGGCTGTTTCCAGTATCTTCATTAACTCATATACAAAAATCACGAAAGGTTCCATGATTACCATGACAACAGTTTGCAGTGACTATGAAAGTCTGTGCTAAATGACCCAAGGGCAAACCTCTTTGAGAGATCTCAAATGGATTGAATTTCTGATATGCTAAATTCTAGCCTTATTCTCAAAATCTCCCTAGTGATGCAGCGCATTGGAATCAGTAAATGCATGAGGTCTTTTCTCTAATTAGAAACTCTAGCACAATTATTAAATAGGGAAAAAAAGATACAATGAAGGTAATTGGATATTCCCAAAACTCGGAGATATCTGATTCTTGATCTCCAGAGTATTTCCAAATCATAGTCTATAGCTTGAGGCCAAAGTCATTTTCTTTCTTTTTTTTTCTATTCAACACTGTCAGTCTGCTGCTGGGGGAGGTGACTGATGGCAAGGAAGGCACATTATTCACTCATTTGATAAGTATTTATTGTGTGCTGGCCAAGTACCAGGCACTGTTAGACACCCAGAAACAACAGCAACCCAGACTCGATCTATGCCCTCACAGAGCTCACAATCAAAGGTGGAAGAAAGACAAGTCAACAGGCAATGATAATGTCCACATAAGTGCTAGGACAAGAGGAGCTAAAGGTACTCAGAGAGTTAGGAAAAGAAGCTGTGTATCTGGGAGGGCTTCCTGGAGGAAATGACACACACGGATTCTGAAGGCCAAATAGGGATTGGCCAGGCAAAGACGAGGAGAAAAGAGTGTAATAAGCAGAAAGAACACATCATGCCCAAGGCCTGAAGGGTAGAAAAAGCTAAAAAGTAGTTCAACATACAGAAATAGAGAATAGAAGGTGAATGTGTAGAGGAAAAAGATGAAAAGCAAAGAGACACCAGATGGTGAAGAGTTTTACTGCCATGTTCAGGGAATCTGGACTTCTTCGAGAGGGCAATGGGAAGTGTCTTCATGTGGGTTATTTTGGTTGCAATTAGCAGGACTCCAAGGCCAATCTGCTTAAGCAAAAAGGGGGATTTGGGCAGGACGTGGGGTAGCTCACAGAACCCAAGGCAGGAAATACAGCTGTAACTCCCTCCAGCTCCCTCCGGTTGGACTGCAGATGGAAAGGCCTCAGGAACCGGCACCCCTGCTTCTTCTCTCTGTGCATCTCTCTCTTTCTCTCTCTTGCTGTCTCTCTCTCTCCCCCCCTCTCTCTCTCTCCAGACCATGTCTCTCAGTCCTGATCCCAAATTCCTGGGAGAGAGAATCTAATTGCATCAGGCGAGCCTGGCAGGGGTCCACCCTATAAAAGGAGCATGGTCCTCAGAGAATAGTAAAGTGTTAAGGAAGGTTGTGTTAGGGAAATGAAACAATCCTGCCAACATTAACAACAACTCCTTTGTAGCAATATTTGAAGATATGAAGAGAGAAGAGAGAGAACACAACTTGTGAGTAAGCATTACAGATTTACATGCATATACAGATAGTATGAAAGTGTGTACAAAGTCTGGACAGAATTTCACACAACTTTATATAGTAAGTTGGAAGACAGACAATTACAATTTCTCTTGCCGTTCTGGAGGTAAGGGCTTACAGATCGTTACAGAAGGCCGGAGCCCTGGCATTGTAAAATCAAAAGTCTGGCCTCTTATGTCTTACGTCTTTTAGAAAACATCCTAAGAGGACAGGGTGGTGGGGGGCAGTGGCTCTCTCCTCTTCACTAAATAAAAAAAGCTTGATCATCTAACCGTTAGCGTCGATACCTCAAAATATATCTTACAGGATGCTACTGAAGAGTTTTAAACAGAAAGTGAAATGATAAAAGCAGGGCTTTAAACAAATCACTTTAGCTTTAATGTGAGATTGGACTAGGTCAGTGGTTCTCAATGTGTGGCTCCTGGACCGGCAGCATCAGCATCATCCGGGACCTTTCGTCTCACCCAGCCCAGACATCCTGAGTCAAAAACTACAGGGGTGGGCCCAGCAATCTGTGCTTTAACCAGCTCTCCAGGTGATTTGAGGACTTGTAAAATGTGATAACCGGTGGACTAGAGAGAGGACCAAGACAAAGGCGTCTTACAAATATGAATGTGAAATCATTTCAGGTAGGTTCCCTTTAGTGCCCTCTAACCTCTCTTTTAGAAGCTCTCAGTTTTCACCAGTGTTTTTTCAAGACTCACAATCTTCACAACCCAGAAGTCTTAAGTGAAATAACAAGGAGAAGGTAGTTTGGTAGTGTTGGTCAGTGATTAATTTCCTGACCCCTCCTAGGCAGGGGGCACTCTCCTAGACTCTTGAGGATCTAGTGCCTGATGTTTCCCCAGAGGCCTCCTCTCAAGCTGGGTGGGACTAAAGAATGAGGTGTCTGTTGCCTGGTAGCAGATAAGGGTGTTGCATAATCAAAGGCTGACCAAGTAGAAAGTAAAGTAGAAGACGTATGGGAAAAATGGGAGAAGGAGAAGAGCATAACTGTCTTCCTTGGACTTGGCTTGAAAACGCCTGCCATTCCAGTACATCTATTCTGCCTACTCATGGGGTTCCCACTGATTTTGGTAGTTATCTCTTTCTCTCCTCTCTACTTTCCCTTCTTTTTCACTTCTTTGTCTTCTCACCCCTTTTTCCTTCTTTGCATTTCTTTGGTCTGTCCGTGGGCTCCAGTGCCCCCCATGGATGTTACTTAGCACCACTGGTGGGGGGGCCCTTTGGACCAAGAAGGTAATACTTAAGAGCATGTTGAAAATAATCTGGCAGGCTGGGCACGCCTATAATCCCAGCACTTTGGGAGGCCGAGGCAGGTGGATCGCCTGAGGTCAGGAGTTCGAGACCAGCCTGGCCAACATGATGAAACCCCGTCTCTACTAAAAATATAAAAATTTGCCGGGCGTGGTGGCAGGCACCTGTAATCCCAGCTACTTGGGAGGCTGAGGCAGAATTGCTTGAACCTGGGAGGCAGAGGTTGCAGTGAGCCAAGACTGCACCACTGCTCTCCAGCCGGGGCAACAGAGCGAGACTCTGTCTCAAAGAAAAAGAAAAAGAAAAAAAGAAAAAAGAAAATAATCTGGCATGGGGGTCTTACAAAGAAGAAAAACAAAGATATAAAAAAGCAATTGGATGGATTCTCACAGCTCTACTCCACAAACCCATAGGCCCATTCATTCCAAGCTAATATTTTGCTTTTATGTGCTCAGTTGTATTGGATACAATTTTATCCCACCATATTTGGCTTATCACATTATTTTCTAAATCAAATTAAGTCTGACTCCAAACTGCCAATTGCTGGGGTAGGGGGTGGAATTCAAATTCCTTACTTACAAAGATTTCCTCCCTCTCTGCTCCAGCAGAGTGGGCTTGTGCAGTCTAGAAGATTCGGGGTGGTCCCCTCAGCTACTCAGTGTCCAAGTCCATGTTATCTCTAGAAGGTGGGTAACCCCACTGTTTCCTGGATGATGGGATGTTGGCAGAGGTGGGGAAGCCCTGTACCTAAATCTCCACCCCAAGGTGCATCACACCAGATGCTGCCCTGAGGTGGGTGCTTCTCAAAGCAGCTGCTAGGGCAAGGGACATTTCCTTTACTGGAACCTATTTGGCCACTCCCACCTTCCCAGTCTTAGAAGATCATTGTGTCTCCATCACTCTTTGGGCTGAACAAGCCCAATCCCCTGAAACAAGGGGAATTTGGAGAGTCTACTTTTCAAAGCCTGGAGAGAGTGTTGTCTTTGCGACACACTGCCCTCTCTCCTGCAACCTTGAGAACCAGAGGTGGGAAAACATGAGCCTGTCTACCTTCTTAGAATAGTAAGAGGGAAAAAATGCAATGGGAAGAAACGTAAGTTAATGACTTAATAAATTAACGGACTGTTTAATCCAAGGTAAAGTTTACCTTACTGCAGTAATGAGAGTTTTATCACTTTATTTTTAGAGGTGACATTTTCAAGGCTCTCATTTTCCTGATAAGTCTTAGAGCCATAGATCTAACCTTAGCCAGAGGCACCTTAGTGGTAGGTTTAGTCAGCATAAACCTACTCAAGCAGTTTCTAACAGATTACCAAAGTGTGGCTGCATTTTTCTTGATTGTTTAAGGCTACAAATAAAGATTGAAGGGCTTAGGTGTGTTCATAAGACACTTTTCCTAAGGTAGTCATAATACCTTATACATTTTAAGGATTAATTTCATTTATGTGTAGGTTACTCATTCAAAAAAGGCCTACTCTTTAACTTATGAGACTTTCAGTCCATACTGTAATAAACACATCATATATTTTCACATAAATTATGTCCACCAGACTCTAGAACAATTCCTGCCTGGCAAAGTGTCCGTGCTAGAGGGAGAAAAGCTTTTAAGTTGTAAAATCTCATCAATGGCTTTTCACACATAATGAAGCTGCAGAAGAGCCCCAGAAGCAATGGCCTTAGTCCAAAGTGGTGTCAGGTGAGATCACATTATGCAGATGGGAGCCATTGATGATTCCATGCAACGTGTTACTGGCTGCCCATCCTGCAAAGTCTGTGTCCTCAGTAAGCATCAATCTTGTATAAGATGAAACAAAAGTATGTAAAGGAAAGCCTTGCTGGGCCCAATCCCTATCCCCAACACACACTCAGAAGTAGGTTAGAGGCCTCCTGTATGCACTGCACTTTCTCCGTCAAGTACTGATGCTCCTTGACTTACAATGGGGTTGTGTTTTCATAAGTCCATAGTAAGTCACAAATGCATTTAATACCCTGAAAAACCTTTCATAAAGTTGAAAAATCTGAAGTCAAACCATTGTAAATCAGGGACTGTCTGTATTTACCACGTATTACTCTAAGAGCTTTTTTTATACAGTCTATCTTCCCAGCAAGACCAAAAGTACCATGAAGATCCAATTAGTGCTCATTAGGTATGGACAAAGGAACAACAACAAAAGCCACTATAAAATAAAGCAAAATGTGGTAAATTCTATAGGAGAATAACAAACAAGGAGTCTACAATAGGACTCCTATTGGTCTTATGAAAGAACATTCAAGATAAGACCTGAAAAATAAGTGAATTTTTACAGGCAGAGGTTGGGAAAGGGCTTTCTAGGTGGACTAAGCCCACATACCATGGAAAACAAGTGGAGGATGAGGTCAGGAAGCAGTGAAAGGCAAGGTTGGGTTTAAGCACTGAGGAGTCACGGAAATGCAGCTGGAAGGTGGATTAGGACCCACCAGGCAACACCAATCTGAGAAGCTTTTTTTCTTTGTCATTCACTAGAGGGCGGGGACTCCTGAGAGTTTTCTAAGCAGGAAATTTACATGAGGAAGACAACAATCAGTGAGATAAACACGATATTCTCCACAGGCAGTAGAGCTACATTCTGAAATATTTCCATTTACTTTGGAGTCTGTTGAAATAGACTTAATTTGGGGTGAAATGTACAACATGTAGTTCACATAGTTCTCTCCAATGAGTTAATCTTAATACCTTGTAAGGCATGGAAAGATTTTTGCAATCAACCTTGAAAGAGTAGATGATTCCTGAACCTACTGCCTTGGGCATGAAGAGGTCATTGTTCTGGGACTTAGTTACTTAATGCATTGGACACTGATGAAGAGAAATACGACTCCATGGTTGTAAGATTTGGTATAGCATGCACACAGCTTCTTGGGTAGGTTTATGTGTAGCAACTTGTAAGTAATCCCCAGTGTTTCTTGCTTCTTAGACACCTGGCGCCAACACCAGTGGGTTCTCCACACAGATTGGTTTGTGGGCCCTTTCTCAGACCATGAAAAAGGAAGAGGATTAACTTTCTAGCCCTTCTTCTGATATGGGTGAGAAAGAAGGCAGAGACTGTCTGTGTTACAGATTTTCAGTTGAGTAGACTCTACCCTGGCAATTCTCAGAAATAACGGGAAAACAGTACAATGGAAAATTACGCTAGAAGAGTTACTTTGCAGGTATTTGGGGTAAATGCACAGATGCATGCATGTATTCACATAAACACACACACACATGCATACACACAACCTATTTGTAAGATATATACTGCATTCACCCACTAGTGGTTGTCAGCAATCTTCAAGTTCAGAAAAGCCTGTAAGATTAGACTAGAGAAGCTGCAGTTTAACTTCTTCCCTTCAGTCATGGAAGTGGCAACCAGGTGGAGCTGGCAAAGCTTTGGGTTTATAGGCCTGAGTTCAGGTCTTAGTTCTGCCACTTGATATCTGAACAATTGTTCAATTGTTAATTGAACAAATTAACTTGCCTCTCTGAAAAATGAAGACTAATGCCTTTTAGGGTTTTGTAAGGACCAAATGAAAGAACCTATATTAGGGTCCTTTGTAAACTAAAATATGTATTTTTAGAGACACAAACTTCTGCAGCTGCCCCAAAACTGTGTTGCCACAGGCCAGTTACCCTCTGTCATCCAATCACTCCATCCATTCATTTATTCATTCAGCAGACATTCTCTTGAACAGCAGTGAACAAAACAGACAAAAGTCCCTGCCCTCATGAATTTTATATTCTAGTAGATGAATGAAGATGTTAACTGGAACTGGGACCTAAAAGATAGTAACATTCAAACAGATGAAAGGAAAAAGGGTTTCAGAGGTGAGAAATGATTCAAGCTAAGTGTGCGAGACAACATGCATTTAGAAAGTAAAGACTTTATTGGCAAGTATTGGCAAGCCTAGACGTTCCATGGAAGAAACTATGGAATGGCCTTAAGGATTTTGGAATTTTTCCTAATGGCAGCAAAAACCTAGTGGTGGTTTTTGAGCAAAGATTCAATGTGATCAAAGATTGTTTAAGAAAAATGGATAAGAATGCTTTGCAAAAGAGGGTGCTTCAAAGGAAGAATTAAAGTGACCTAGATATCAGGATCAAGGAGAACAATGCATTCATCTTCAAATTAATGATATTTTTATTTCATTAAACTGAGGACTTTTTGCATAATTCTCTTAAAAACAGGATTTTACTCTAGTTGAATATCACAGTGCAACAAAATTAAGTTTAATATTAAAAGTTTTCATACATAAGTGATTTTTTTTATGTTATAATTCTTCTTCATTAAAAAAATAAAAATAATAATTCTTCCTTATTAACAGGCATGAGGCAAGCTTACGATAATTGCTTGTTGATAAGGAAACTTGTTCTCCAGAAGCAATGTGGCTTGCCTGGGATTACTGAAAAGATGAGTGGCAAAATAAGGAATCTGCAGTTTGATTTGGCCTACTACATAATCGGCTTGCTGTATGTGACATCATCTAATAATCACTGTTATTAGCCTAGGCAGGAGACCCAACCAACAGAAGAAATATTTGCAGTTCTTCCTCTCAGATTCCAATTTTGTACTAAAAATTGACTCAAATAGTACCAGTTGTCTGTTCTGAGATGAGACCTTTTGCCCAGGAACCCTTGTGAGATCACTACAGCGGACACATGAACCTCAGTGACCTAAAGGTAATCCTACAGTTCGATCTGGTTTGCAGGTGGTTCTCTTTTCCCTGTGGCTAGTTCCAAGGGCCTTTGGGAAGGAACCCTTGGCAGATACTGAGGTGCTCTAATGTGATTTCTGATACGAAAGTGAGAGCGTCTATGAGAAGGCAAGATTATCTTAAGGAATCATATGAGACGGTGGGTGGGTGGGGTCGCAAAGGGAGAAGCGGAGCAGGTGGCCAAGCAACAGGTTTCTGTGCAAAGGTGCCACTCAAGAGGTCTGGGCTCCCCACGGCTCTCTGTGGCTTTGGTGTGGACTTTCCCTCACGGACGCTAGCAACTGTCCAGTCCGGAAGGAATGGAAGAGGCTTTTGTCTTGCTTTCTTCAAAGGTTCCAGAATAAGTTCTTTTTAGAACTTACAAATAATTTTTCACCTGAGGTTAGCTGTGGGGACACAGCATTCCCCTCTGACTGTTCTGGCATTTGCCAAATGTCTTCCCGCTCCCTTTAGACCTACAACTGATACTTCTTGAGCTGCCTTAATTTTAGCTTATCTTCTTAAGGAAATCCGATTTTCTGCACTTTTAGGATCAAACTCAGAGAAGGGGGAAGGGAGATACGAATAAACCTTAACAACCAAAGAAAGAGGAAGAAAGGAAAACCTAAGCTGCGAGCACTGAATAGTTCAAAGACCTTCAGAGGAAAGGCCAACATCCGTTTCATCTGGGCCTTAAGTGGAGCGGTGGAAGATTCTTTGGCTGTTACAAGAAAACAGACTACCTCACAAATAACTGGGAAAATATTGTAGAGAAACAAACCATAGTTTCCATATACTTAAAGAAGAGCTGCCAGAAAGATGCAAATGCCTGCTTTTTCCTGGCTGAACATAGACATTACACTTTTTAATAATTTTGGCAATCACTCTGCAAAATTTAACTAGTTCACTCTCTCCAGCTTAATTTTCTGTACAAATTTAACAAATTTTTTACCTTTAGCCACACTTTACCGTGGCTCCCTGTTTTTTCAAAGTGCATGAACACACGTGCCTGATTTCATTTTTTTCCCCCGTGGGACAAATTAATGAGTGAATCCACCAATTTTGCTAATCTGGTTAGGTGCAGATAAAGCAGATCTTATTTAAGGTACTTCCCTGACATTTGTAAGGGGAAAAAAAAAGACAAAATAAACAAGCAAACAAAAAACAAGTGCCCCCTTAAAGAAAGGAGGGAAAATTGATTAGCAGGAAGTAAAATGTGACATTTTCCCTTGTCTTTTAAACCAATTATTTCATGGAAGATCTTACTGCATGTAATATGTGCACCCAGAAGTCTTTCAACAGGTTTGATCATTGTCTAATACTCATGAAATAAGCTTCCAGATAGAGACTCGTTTACACAACCCCAAAATATTTAGTTGGTCTGACAGGACATTCAAAATCTCACAGTGCCAGAGTCACATCAAAATTTAATCTTAATGCACACAGCTTGTCACTTCCTATTTCAAAAAATTAAGAACAAAGAAGAAATCTTTCATTTTCTTTACCTCTAAGGGAGGAGATGCATTTGGGAGTGAGGAAGTGATCTGGGGAAAAGAGGAGAGTTGAACACACAGTTACATCCAGGAATCAAACAATTCACTAATTTGAAGAGAGACCACACTGGCATCTTCATCCCAAAATATGCCTTTAAAAAATACTCTGAGACTCATAATAGTAAATGCAGCCTTGAGTATCAGAGTTTAAAAGAATGAAAGGTAAAAAGAAAATAGCCGGCGAGGAGGCAACCTTTGATGGGGAGAATGAAACCACAAAACTGTTTGAAGCACAGCGCTCTACTTCTTAATGTAAACCACTAATTGCTTAAGCCTGTGATCAAACTCAACCCCTCGGTTCCCAGCAGAAGTTCCCTGTTGGCCCAGCCCTGAGTAGCAAAGATTGTCTGGGATGGGTGTTTAAGAAAAGAGCATAAAACTTCAGTTCTCTCTCCAGCCTGAATGAAATGCAATTCTCCTCATTCAGGTACACAAGGGTTAAAAAAGAATATGCTTTTTGGATACAGCTGGAAGCCATTAGCAACTCTGAGACCATCTCAGGAACCCAGTTAGAGGGTGGGTGGCCTGGCAGAGCTCCTGGATCCAAGAGTCTGTGAATTACAGACTCTTAGCATTGGGAGAGGTTTTATTCTACTCCTCACCCAATGTAGAAATCCTCTCTGTAACTGTTCAGTCTCCACTTGCATACTTCTACCAACACCCCACTCACTGCTTCCTGGGGCAGCTCAGTCCTTCACGGACAATTTCAGTTCCTAGAAAGTTCTTCTTGGCAAAATTTGCCTCTATAGAAAGTCTGTTCTTTAAGTTCTAGCTCACCCTCTGGCATCACAGCACACAACAATCCTACTTGTGAAGATAACTATCATTGCCTCCAATTCTTGCTTCCTCATGCCCAAATGACCCATTTCTACAAACCATCCCTTTCATTTGGTAATTTCCAGACCATTCCCAAGCCTGCTGCCTCTTTGGACTGTGCTCACGTTTTAAAGTTCCCTCTGAAGAATGGGGGCCAGAACTGAATATATTCCCAGATCAAAAGGCACCAGTAAAGTGTCCTCTAGGGGACCTTGGACCTTTTCCTTCTGGAGTTATTGAGGAAAAATCTTTGCAGGGAAATTGCAGTCCTACCCCTTCTGGGATACAGTCAATAGAGCATCTACTCCACCTCATCCCCAGGCAACCTTTCAGCTTCAGCAAACTTGCCTACTGGATGAAGTGAGGCTGGCAGTAGCAATAGCAAAGCCAAAACAGAGGGAGGGAAGAATGAATGAGCTTCCCCTGGATGCTCAGCCAGAGAGTTCCCAGCTTTCCATCAAGCGTTCAGGCAGATAAGAAAAGATCTCTCCCATTATGACTTCAGATCTAAGCCTAGAGGATCCTCTAGGACCAAGACAAAATATCATGTTTTTGACCTGTCTTCCCTGTCCAGAAGTCTTTCATTGCCTTCCACATCCTACATAGAACACAAGCATGCAAGCCTTCTTAATTTGGTCCATCCCTACCAATCTACCATCCTCCCACCAGGCCCCATAATGGAGTCCCTACCCACAAGCCAACCTTGTCCAGGTCATTCCTAACTCCAATGCTCCCACCGTATGCCCTTCCTGGAATACTTTTCCTTCCTTTTGTAAGGCTGGGTTAGCTACAGAGCATCTGAAAGAC
This sequence comes from Homo sapiens, assembly GCF_000001405.40. NCBI lineage: Eukaryota > Metazoa > Chordata > Mammalia > Primates > Hominidae > Homo > Homo sapiens. The sequence goes on from NC_000002.12 coordinate 36,742,758, forward strand.
CAGTACTCTCCTGCCATTGACTCAAGATAACATTTCTGGCCACTGGAGGTGGGTGGTCTTTTCTCAGAGATCTCTGCTTTGTTAATTGGTTATTTCAATAAGCACAGGAATCAGCCTTTTGCTTTTGTTCTCAGCAGGTTAAAGGCAATGAATGGTCATTGTGGTTCTTTTGGTCTGGGAAATGTCTTAATTACATCTTTGCTTTCATTATAGGGAGGGGATGTAGAGTCGGCCCAGGCTCTGGCTTTTAGAGATTAAGTCAATAGTTGAGACCTAACAGTGTCACCCCACAGATAAACTAATAGCACAAGGTGTAATTTTGACCTCATTTTGTATTCCCAGCTGTGCCTCAGATCAACTGCGATGTCAAAGCCGGAAAGATCATCGATCCTGAGTTCATTGTGAAATGTCCAGCAGGATGCCAAGACCCCAAATACCATGTTTATGGCACTGACGTGTATGCATCCTACTCCAGTGTGTGTGGCGCTGCCGTACACAGGTGAGTGGTTCTGAGCTACTTAATAACTAACTAGAAATCAGGGTGTTGGCAGGGAGCCCCCATGCAAGGTTGCCATATTTAGCAAGCAAAAATATACAAATATTTTTTAGCTCAAAATCTTTATTTAATCTTCATTTAAAAAGTGCTTTTACTGGATATAGAAATCTAGCCAACAGTTGTTTTTTTCTTCTTTCATTCAGCACTTTATTATGCTTCATTGTCTCCTTGCATAGTTTCAGATGACAAGTCTGTATTCATTTTTTATCTTTGCTCCTCTATACATAATGTGTCATTTTCCTTTGGTTACTTTTAAGATTTTCTCTTTATCATTTGTTCTCAAAGATGTGGTTATAATGTGCTCTTGTGGAGTTTTCTTTGTTATCCCGATTGAGAGTCATAGAGCTTAAATAGTTCATCAAATTTGGGGATTTTAAGCAACTGTCTCCAAATATTCTTGTTTGCCCTGGCCCCAGCCTCTCCCTCTGAAACTTTATGTTACACTACTTCAAATTATCCCACAGGTCACTGAGACATTGCTCTTTTTTAATTTTTTTTTTCAACTCTTATTTTAGATTCCAGGAGTACATGTGCAGGTTTGTTACAAAGGCATATTACATGATGCTGGGGTTTGGAGTACAAATGAACCCATCACCCAGGAAGTGAGCATAGTATTAAATAGGTAGCTTTTCAGGCTTCACCTCCCTCCTTCCCCCTTCTTGTATTCCCCAGTATCTGTTGTTCCCATCTTTGCATCCATGAGTACTCCATACTTAGCTCCCACTTATAAGTGAGAACATGCAATATTTGGTGTTCTGTCTCTGCATTAGTTCACTTAGGATAATGGCCTCCAGCTGCATGCATGTTGCTGCAAAGGACAAAATTTGCTCTTTTTTATGGCTGCATAGTATTCCATGGTGTATATGTACCACATTTTCTTTATCTAATCCATCACTGATAGACACCTTCGTTGGTTCCATTGTCTTTGCTATTGTGAATAGTGCTGCAACGAACATACTGGTGCATGTGTCTTTTTGGTGGAAGGATTTATTTTCCTTTTGGTATATACCCAGCAATGGGTATATATAGTCAGCAATGGGATTGCTGGTCAAATGGTTGTTCATTAGTTCTTTGAGAAATCTCCAAACTGCTCTCCACATTGGCTGAACTAATTTACATTCCCACCAACAATGTATAAGCATTCCCTTTTCTCTGCAGCCCACCAACATCTATTATTTTTTGGCTTTTTAACAAAAGCCATTCTGACTGGTGTAAGATGGTATCTCATTGTGGTTTTGACTTGCATTTCTCTGATGATTAGTGATGATGAGTATTTTTTCATATGTTTGTTGGCTGCTTGTATGTTTTCTTTTGAGAAATGTCTGTTTGTGTCCTTTGCCCACTTTTTAACGTGGTTGTTTTTTGATTGTTTGATTAAGTCCCTTATAGATTCTGGATATTAGACCTTTGTTGGATGCATAGTTTGCAAATATTTTCTCTCTTTCTATAGGTTTTCTATTTACTCCACTGATAGGTTCTTTTGCTGTGCAGAGCTCTTTAGTTTAATTAGATCCTGCTCATCAATTTTTGTTTTTGTTGCAATTGCTTTTGAGGACTTAGACATAAATTCTTTGCCAAGACCAATGTCGAGAAGGGTATTTCCTAGGTTTTCTTCTAGGATTTTTATAGTTTGAAGTCTTACATGTAAGTCTTTAATCCATCTTGAGTTAATTTTTGTATATGTTGATAGGGAGGGATCCAGTTTCATTCTTTTGCATATGGATAGCCAGTTATCCCCAGCACTATTTATTGAATAGGGAATCCTTTCCCTATTGCTTATTTGTGTCAACTTTGTGGACAATCAGATAGTTGCAGGTGTATGGCTTTATTCCTGAGTTTTCTATTCTTTTCCGTCGTCTACATGTCCGGTTTTTGTACTGACACCATGTTGTTTTGATTGCTGTAGCCTTGTAGTATTAAGTCTGATAATGTGATACCTCCAGCTTTTTTCTTTTTGCTTAGAGTTTTTTTGGCTCTTCAGGCTCTTTTATTATTCCATATGAATTTTAGAATAGTTTTTTCTAATTCTGTGAAAAATTTCATTGGCAGTTTGATAAAAATAATGTTGAATCTGTACATTGCTTTGGGCAGTATGGTCATTTTAACAATATTGATTCTTCCACTCCATGAGCATGGAATATTTTTCCATTTGTTCATGTCATCTCTGACTTCTTCCAGGAGTGTTTTACAATTCTCCTTGTGGAGATCTTTCACCTCCTCAGTTAGATGTATTCCAAAGCATTTTCTTCTTCTTGTGGCTACTGTAAATGGGATTGTGTTCTGATTTGGCTCTCAGCTTGAACATTATATACAGAAATGCTACTGATTTTTATATATCGGTTTTGTATTCGGAAAATTTACTGAAATCATTTATCAGCTCAAGGAGCCTTTTGGTGGAGTCTTTAGGGTTTTCTAGGTATAGAGTCATATCAGTGAAGAGAGGGAGTTTGACTTCTTCCTTTCCTATTTAAATTCCTTTAATGTATTTCTCTTGCCTGGTTGCTTTGGCTAGGACTTCTAGTACTATGTGAAATAGGAGTGGTGAGAGTGAACATGCTTGTCTTGTTCCAGTTCTCAAGGGGAATGCTTCCAGCTTTTGCCCATTCAGTACGATGTTGGCTGTGGATTTGTCATAGATAGCTCTTATTATTTTGAGGTTATGTTCCTATAATATCTAGTCAGTTGAGAGTTTTTATCATGAAAGGATATTGGATCTTATCAAAAGCTTTTTCTGTGTCTATTGAGATGATCACATGGTTTTTGTTTTTAATTCTGTTTATATGGTAAATCATTTTTATTGATTTGCATAGGTTGAACCAACCTTGCATCCCAGGAATAAAGCCTACTTGATTGCGGTGAATTAGCTTTTTGATGTGCTGCTGGATTTGGTTTGCTAGCACTCTGTTGAGGATTTTTGCATCTATGTTCATCAGAGATATTGGTCTGTAGTTTTATTTTTTTCACATGTCTCAACTAGGTTTTGGTATCAGGATGATGTTGGCTTCTTAAAATGAGTTAGGGAGGATTCCTTCCTCCTTGATATTTTGGAATAGTTTCAGTAGTATTGGTACCAGCTCTTGGTACTTCTGGTAGAATTTGGCTGTGAATCTATCTGGTCCAGGGCTTTTTTTTGGTTAGTAGGTTTTTTATTATTAATTCAATTTCCAAACTTGTTAGCGGTCTGTTTAGGATTTTCTTTCTAGTTCAATCTTGGGAGGTTGTGTGTTTACAGGACTTTATGCATTTCCTGTAGATTTTCTAGCTTGTGTGCACAGAAGTCTTCAAAATAGTTTCTGAAGAACTTTTGTATTTCTGTGGGATTGGTTGCAATGTCATCTTTGTCATTTCAGATTGTGCATTTTTGGGTCTTCTTTCTTTTTTCCTTTGTTAATCTAGCTAGTGGTCTATCAATCTTGTTTATCCTTTCAAAAAACAAACTTTTGGTTTCATTGATGTTTTATATGGATTTTCACAATTCAGTTTCATTCAGTTCTGCTCTAATTTTAGTGATTTCTTTTCTCCCACTGGCTTTTATGTTAGTGTGTTCTTATTTTTATATTTCCTCTAAGGTGTGATATTAGATTGTTAATATGAGATATTTAGAACTTCTTGATATAGGCATTTTGTACTATAAAATTTCCACTCAAAACGCTTTCACTGCAACCCAGAGATTTTGGTATGTTGTGTCTCTATTTTCATTAATTTCAATAGTTTTTTATTTCTGCTTTAATTTCATTGTTTACCCAAAAGTCATTCAGGAGTAGGTTGTTTAATTTCCATATAATTGTGTGGCTTTGAGAGATCTTCTTGGTATTGATTTTTATTTTTATTGCACTGTGTTCCAAGAGTATGATTGGTGTGATTTCAAATTTTTTTAATTTATTGAGACTTGCTTTATAACTAAACATGTGGTCAATCATAGAGTATGTTCTATGTGCAGATGAGAAGAATGTGTATCTGTGGTTGTTTGGTGGAGTATTCTGTAGATGTCTATTAGAGCCAACTGATCAAATGTTGAGTGTAAGTCCAGAATTTCTTTGTCAGTTTTCTGTCTCAAGGATCCAACACTGTCAGTGGAGTGTTGAAGTCCCCTACTATTATCACATGGCTGTCTAAGCCTTTCCATGGGACTAGAAGTACTTGTTTTATGAATCTGGGTCCTCCAATATTGGGTCTGTATATATTTAGGATAGTTTTCTTGTTGAATTGAACTCTTTATCATTATGTAATACCCTTCTTTGTCTGTTTACTGTTGTTGGTTTAAAATCTGATATAAGAATAGTGACCTCTGTAGATCTTTCTTCATCCCTTTACTTTGAGCCTATGGGTGTTATTACGTGTGAGATGGTCTCTTGAAGACAGTAGATGGCTGGGTCTTGTTTCTTAATCCAACTTGCCACACTGTGCCTTTTAATTGGAGCATTTAGACCATTTACATTCAAGGTTAATATTGATATATGAGGTTTCGACCTGATCATAATGTTGTCAGCTGGTTGTTTTGTAGACTTGGTTGTGTAGTTGCTTTATAGGGTCTCTGGGCTATGAACTTAAGTGTGTTTTTGTGGTAGCAGGTATCGTTCTTTCATTTCCATGTTTAGAACTCCCTTAAGGCCCTGTTGTATTAGCATTTGCTTATCTGAAAAGTGTTTTATTTCTCCTTTGCTTATGAAGCTTAGCTTGGCAGAATACGAAATTTTTGTTGGGATTTCTTTTCTTTAAGGGTGCTGAGAATAGGCTCCCAATCTCTTCTGGCTTGTAAACTTTCTGCTGAGAAGTCCACTGTTAGCCTGATGGGGTTCCCTTTGTAGGTGGTCTGACCCTTTGATTACCTTTAAGACGTTTTTCTTTCACTTTGACCTTGGAGAATCAGATGACTATCTACCTTCAGAATGGTCATCTTGCATAGTATCTCACTCACAGAGATTTGCTGAATTTCTTGAATTTGTATGTTGACCTCTCCAGTGAGACTGAGGGAATTTTCATGAACTATATATCCTCAAATATCTTTTCTAAGTTGCTTACTCTCTCTCCTTCTCTCTCAGGAAGGCCAATGAGTCACAGCCTCCTTTGGTTGGTCACTTTACATAAGTCTGTATTTCTCAGAGGTTTTCTTCATTTCTTAAATTCTTTTTTCTTTATTTTTGTCTGACTGCGTTGATTCAAAGAACTGGTCTTCAAGCTTGGAGATTCTTTCCTCAGCTTGATCTACTCTGTTGTTAATGCTTCCAAATGTATTATGAAATTCCTGTAGTAAATTTTTCAATCCCAGAAGTTCAGTTTGGTTCTTTCTTAAAATGGCTATGTAGTCTTTCAAGTCTTGGATCATTTTATGGGCTTCCTTGGATTAGGTTTCAACTATCTTCTGAATCTTGTTGAGCTTCTTTGCCCCACAGTTTCTTCACTAACATCTTCGTCAGGTCCTGTTCAGGACTGAGCTAGTCCTGGCACTCAGCAACTTCGTGCAAGGTTGCTAGCTTCCTCCTTTTTTCACCTCTGTGTCTGCATTGCCTCTCTATTGACTTTCAGTGTTTTCTCTCAAAACGTCTGTTCAAAGTGTGATGGTTTACTTGATATTTGGTTTTTCTGTGAGAGAAGCACTTCCCAGCTGTGTAGTCAATCATCTTGACGCCCTCCCTGAAAAACGTACAAACTTAACTGAGCATCCCGTGTTTTCTCCGTCGACCTTACTGTGGAGGGATGACTTGGAAGTCATGCATGGTCCTGCATCTTTCATCATAGCACTCCATAAAAAAGGACAACTGACTTCTCTTTACACTTTGATGGGGAGAGGAAGAGAATTGTACTCTTTCATGTTCATGAAAAGGAATCCAAAGTTCTTGATGATATAAACTCATTTTTTCTACCTGTATGTGCTGAGCAAGGAAATTATGGAGATGTTACCAAGGAAGGCCCAAAAGTTTGGAGGAAGAAATATCACAGCTATGGTGATGGGTTGGAGAAAAATGGGGATGGGGAAAGTGGAGAAGGGTGACAGGTAATACCACTTGGTCAGCTGTTGGTCTAGGATGCAGGAAGGAAGACAGGAGGCATGGCATGCTTTGGATTAAGTCACTACCTAAATGCAGATACCGTAACAGAATCCTCATACCACTCTTGCTTAAGTTTATGGTCAAAACATAGATAAATGTATGCTTACTTAATATCTTTGGCATTAAGACTAGCCTGTATGTGCCAAGCACTTTACCTTCTTTATCTTATTTAATCCTGACAATAATTCCTCTGTGCAGTTTCTACTACTCTTATGCACATCTTAAAGGTGAAGGTAGGTTGAATCACTTTTCTAAAGCCATACTATTAAAAAGTATCATAGTGGGGACTCAAACCCAAGTCCAGCTGACTGCAGCACCTGTACTCCTAACTGCTGCCCAGGACAGCTTTGAGATGTGACTCGGGAGTCGATACTTGGCTACTGGATGCTGGATAAAATTTCTGAATTATTCAGATTTCTGGTATCTTTTTCCTTTTCCTTTTTTGCACATAAGTGGGTTGATTGTTCAGTTGTACCTCTGCAAGGGAGAGAAAATATATAAAATTCATTCTATGTCAAGGTGTCTAGTTAGTAGACTCTCTGAAATTTGAGGGAGCAGTAAGACAAAAACTATGCATAAAATAAAGTTTAAGAATTACTAGTAGATTTCATTGGCTATAGTAATCTTTTCCCCATTACTGCAGAGGGACGAGGAGTGAACTGGTTTTTCAAAGGGAATGGGATTACAAAAGCTCTATTAAGGATAAGTAGTAAAACATTAAAGAAAAACGACACGAAAAGCTGTTCCATAACTCCAGACTACGGAATAAAAATCACTGAATGCTATTTCATAACTTCAGACTATGAAATAAAAATATTTTGCTTTCACCCTGAAATCAATTTCATACTAAAAGGGAAAAGTTATACAAATCTACGCACACGTGTTTGCACACCCATACATGCCTCCCACACATACTTCCAGCCCACAGCACCATCAGCCCTCTCCAGTCTGTGTCTTTGTACACACTCCAGTGTCTGTGTAGAAAGTGACATCTGCTGCAAAGGGTGAGCCTGTCTTAAGGTTGCTTGTATTTTTTTCAATTTTGATCCTAGATGATTCGTTCTTGCTTCCTCTGGCACTTGCTGGGTCTCTCTTGCACTTTCACACTTCCGAGGCAGTATAGAGCCACAAGAGTAAATTTGACCTCACCAAAGATGACATTAAAATAACATGTAATCACTAGGTGCGGTGGCTCACACCTGTAATCCCAGCACTTTGGGAGGCCAAGATGGGCGTATCACGAGGTCAGGAATTCGAGACCAGCCTGGCCAACATGGTGAAACCCCGTCTCTACTAAAAATACAAAAATTAGCTGGGCATGGCGGTGCACACATGTAATCCCAGCTACTCGGGAGGCTGAGGCAGGAGAATCGCTTGAACCTGGGAGGCGGAGGTTGCGGTGAGCCAAGATCATACTATTGCACTCCAGCCTGGGTGACAGAACAAGACTCTGTCTCAAAAAAAAAAAGAAGAAAAAAAAATAACATGTAATCTTTTGCACTGTGATTCTCTCCTTCTAGCAGCATCTCATCACCCTCATGAGGTTATTGTTAGCATCCTCATTTGTTATATAAGAAACCGAGGTATCAAAAAGCTAATTAAATTCCTAGTTAGGGCTACGCGTGGTGGCTCATGCCCGTAATCCCAACACTTTGGGAGGCCAAGGCGGGAAGATCACCCGAGGTCAGGAGTTCAAGACCAGCCAGGCCAACGTGGCAAAACCCCGTCTCTACTAAATACAAAAAAATTTAGCTGGGTGTGGTGGCTCACGCTTGTAATCCCAACACTTTGGGAGGCCAAGGCGGGCAGATCACCTGAGGTCAGGAGTTCAAGACCAGCCTGGCCAACCTGGTGAAACCCCATCTCTACTAAAAATATGAAAATCAGCTGGGTGTGGTGGTGGGTGCCTATAATGCCAGCTACTCAGGAGGCTGAGGCACAAGAATCGCTTAAACCTGGAAGGCGGAGGTTGCAGTGAGCTGAGATCTCGCCACTGCACTCCAGCCTGGGTAACAGAGTGAGACCCTATCTCAGAATAAATAAATAAATTCCTAGTTAGATCCACATTGAGGATTAAAACTCATGCCCCCTTACTTCCAGCCCGGAGCCCAGGTGATATATTGACATAAGAACTGGGGAGTCCCAGCACTGCTTAGCGTACAAAGTGAGGACTCAAGCAAGGTGTAGACTTTACAGTAGTGAAAGTTGGGAAATGCTTTATGGTAGAAGGAGGCGCCCTGTGGAGAAAATAAGAAGGGCATTGACAGGACCAAGGCTCTATAATTCCAGCTTTTGGGTTAGAGTGTAGGAACTTGGTGGGAAAAATATAAATGAGGGGAGAAGGGCAGAAGAGAAGAGCTTGATTCGCTTGTTTTGCAAAAAACAAGATTTGCTGCTTGAGCAATTGAGTGCCACTGTGACTTCCCAGACTAGTGACTGATATAGTGGAAAATCTATTTGGAAGGAGGTACCACTATTCAAAGGGAAGATAAATAAAAGTCTTAAGGGGAAACAGATAGGAATTTTGGAAGCTATCTGTTTTGTTTTTCACAAACAGTGCAAATCTGTTTTCAGAAGGCAGGATTTAAGATGTAGAGAACATGAGCAGAAAGTATATTGGGGATCTATAACCATTGTCCTGCCAGAGTCCCAACAGTCAGAAGTGGGAGACTGGAGACAGTATACTTTGGTTTAGAAACTCAGATTAATTTGTACTAAAGGGTTTAATGTTCATATTCTATATCATGATCAGAGGTCTTAGTACAAGAAATTCCCTTAGTTTCTTCAAACCAAAGGGATAATGAACATATTTGAGGCATCATATTTTGGCTCAGGCTTATCCTAAACTAACTCCTATGTTTAAAGCATGGCCAAGTGCAGGGGAGAGGAGAGATTTCCCTGAGAAGGTGCAATGAAAAGACCAGCTCCATGCAGGACACTCTTCACGCTGATCTCTGACCAGTGCCCACCCTCAGAACAGCAGCCATTCGACACCTGGCCCTAGCAGTGAACTATCCCTTCTCTCTGAGCCAAGGGACTGACCCTCAGTTATCCCAGTCCCCTGGCACTGCAATCAGGGAGGAGGTGAACATCAAGGCCATGCTCAGCACCATGCAGGGCACCTGAGGAATGCAAGGAAGTGGAACTGGGTTTGCTTTTCCAGAGAATATCTATGAAGTGCCTACATCTGAGTGATACAAATGATGAGGTGGTATTTACATAAATTCTCCAAATTACCATGGCTCTGAGCCCCCATCTGCCTCGTAAGTGGAACCACAGCTTTTTTCAGACTCTCTCCCTCCTCCTCCAGTGTCTCCTACATTGGTCAAGCCTCCTGTGCATCCTGCTTCTTTGCCAGCTCACCCAATCCTGAAAGCATAACAATTGGCTCTCACAGAGTGTGAATTAGTTCAACCATTGTGGAAAACAGTGTGGCAATCCTTCAAAGACATAGAAGCAGAAATACCATTTGACCCAGCAATCCCATTACTGGGTACATACCCAAAGGAATACAAATCATTCTATTATAAAGATACATGCATACATATGTTCATTGCAGCACTATTCACAATAGCAAAAACATGGAATCAACCTAAATGCCCATCGATGATAGACTGGATAGAGAAAATATGGTACATATACACCATGGAATACTATGCAGCCATAAAAGGAATGAGATCATGTCCTTGGCAGGGACATGGATTAAATTGGAAACCATTATCCTCAGCAAACTAACACAAGAACAGAAAATCAAATACCGCATGTTCTCACTTATACGTGGGAGCTGCTGATGAGAACACACGGAAACATGAGTTGGGGAGCAACACACACTGGGGCCTGTCAGAGTTGGGGGGTGGGGGAGGGAGAGCATCAGGAAGAATAACTAATGGATGCTGGGCCGAATACCCAGGTGATGGGATGATCTGTGCAGCAAAAACACCATGGCACGTGCTTACTTATGTAACAAACCTGCACATCTGGCACATGTACCCCTGAACTTAAAATAAAAGTTGAAGAAAAAAAAATTGGCTCTCAAAAGCAGGTGTCCGCGGCACCTTCTCATGTGGAAACATAAAATGCTATCCTTTCTATAAGAAATATTTCCATTTTGTTGAGAGACAAAATAAACTCCAGAAATTTTTAGGAAGTAGTACAAGACGGAACAAAATCAGAGTTTAAGTTGTGAGAACAAGATTCTAAGGAGGGAAGGAGGTAGCAAAGTCATGTCAGAATCTCTGTGGGGAAGGAGAAATTGGGAACTCACTGCCCTTTGTCAGCAGCACAGGCCTGGTCAGGCAGAGGGAATCAGGTCTTCTGGGGTGAAACAGCAGCATCGTCAGAGCCATGGGAGTGGGAATGGCTGAAACCAGCCTGCCTGCCATCGGGAGATGTGAGGGAACTCAATCACAGGGAGCCCGGAGAGAAGAGAGCGAGTGAGGAGGAGTTGGCTTAGGGAGGTGCCTGTGCTTTTGAACTCTTGAGAGGTAGATGGGAGCAAGAGGGACAAACTGAGGACTTAAGGTGAGTTCAACCTGGGTTTAAATCCCTCTTGCAATTTACTAGTTAGAAAATCCCAGGTGAGTCCTGCAACCTCACACAGCCTGTTTCTATGGAATGAATGGCAATAACAGCATTCCTTCCACTCCACAACTCAGGTATGCTGGGAGAACCCAGTGGGACACCACACGTTGAGAACAGTTTTAAAGCAATTAAGTGCTTTACATGTTGAGTAGTATTAGCACTTTCTTTCCTTCTATGCCACTGGGAGGTTGAGGGTTGAACGTTGTTGACTCATCAGGAAGGTGGGAGGGCAGGAAATGGCAACTTTCACTCCTGGAGGGAAGGAAGGGTGTTGATGGGGAGAAATCTACATCTCCCGGTGCCAGAAATTAAGGATACCCAAAGGAGCCATGCATGTTCGACTCTGGGGCAAGAAATGACAACGTAAAAGTGCAATCTAGCAACCAGATGGAGACCCTGCCTAACATCAAAGGAAAGACATTCATATGTCAGTCACCGTCCCATCAGGATCTAAAACCTGGCAAAATCCCAGAAATTTAAAGAAACAATTTTCCATCTTTGGGGGATGCTTTTTTAATGAGTTTAACTTAGCTGCACAGCTTTCCTCCCTGACCCAAAAAAAAAGGAGTGTTTACTTTTCATCATTTTATATCACCCTTTGGAATAACTAAATTCATTCTGTGCCATCACAAAACCAAATTGGAAACTGTCAAGAAAGAGGCTTTACTTAAAAGAGCTAGTGGGAATGAGAAAACCAAGGAAAAGAAATCTGAGGCATGGTGGCAAAAAGAAATCCCTGACAGAACAATCAGCTCCTATAAGAAGAAAGAGAAGGACATTGACCCTGGGAGCTCAGATGCTGGGTCTGCTGGTGGAGGCACCATTCTTGTGGGTTGGGCTTCATGTCAAGGTAAACTTTGCTTAACCTTGCTGCTTTCCTATGTGTAAATAAAGATGGCGACTGGTTTTCTAGCCTGTTGATCACGTCAAAAAATATTTCTGTTCTTTCCTGAAAAATTATTTTTTCTCTTCATAGTGGTGTGCTTGATAATTCAGGAGGGAAAATACTTGTTCGGAAGGTTGCTGGACAGTCTGGTTACAAAGGGAGTTATTCCAACGGTGTCCAATCGTTATCCCTACCACGATGGAGAGAATCCTTTATCGTCTTAGGTATGACCACACACTGGAGAAACGCTGCTAAACCTACCACAAGATGAAATGTGCTCTTTTCATTGTGCTGTTGGTTTTTGTTTATGGCCCACCTCATTTCATAAAAATCTGAAGCATTCGTTTTTCTGATAATTAGAATCACGACACAATAAATTAGAATTACATGATAAATCACCACAAAGTCATATCTGAAAATACTAAAAGGCTCCACATGCTTGTTTTAATTACACTGCAGTTATCTGTAAGTCCAATCAGATTTTTAATTACATTAATTACATTTAATAGCTTGGGTTTTTAAACCAGTCCTTTAGTTATGCCAAATGTGCCTCATGTCTAGAACCTTATTCCTTGAGATTTCTGTTAAGTGGATAGATAGGTATTGTCACAGCAAATCCATTGTGTCATACACAATGGCCATATCAAGAGGCATATAATGGCAGTCTGTTCCATTGTTGGTGATGCTAAGTTTGATTCACTGGATATTTTACCATATCTGTCCATGGCAAAGATACCCCGTAATTAATAAGCATCTGTAGGGTAATGCTTTAACATGCTCGAGTAGCTTGTTCCCCAACAAATTTCACCCAGTGATTTTAACATCCATTGCCGATCCTCACTGTAACAAGTATTACATTAGTAATTGCAAAATTATAATTTTTTCTAATTCTGTCATTCCTTCCACATTTGTTAGCTAGTGTTCTTATATAAAGAAGAGTTGCTTTCCCCCTCTGCACCTATTATTTTTAAGTGGACTATGGATTCATAGATTGTTTTTAAAAATATAATGTTATCATCTATTATCTTTATTTTTCTTTTTGGTGCTCATATTTTCTGAGATTGCCCAGTGGGAGCCCTTCAAGCTTTTGACATGTTCACGGTAGTGCTTGAGGACAACACAGTATTTTTTTTTTTTTTTTTTTGAGACGGAGTTTCAATCTTGTTGCCCAGGTTGGAGCGTAATGACACGATCTCGGCTCACCGCAACCTCTGCCTCCTGGGTTCAAGCGATTTTCCTGCCTCAGCCTCCCGAGTAGCTGGGATTACAGGCATGTGCCACCATGCCCGGCTAATTTTTGTATTTTTAGTGCAGACGGGGTTTCTCCGTGTTTGTCAGGCTGGTCTCGAGCTCCTGACCTCAGGTGATCCGCCCACCTCGGCCTCCCAAAGTGCTGGGATTACAAGCATGAGCCACCACGCCCAGCCTAACAGTGTTCTATACTCACCTTATACGTACCCTACTCTAAACCTGAATCTCCCATTTTCTCTAAGGCGGTTCCATGGGATTTTAAACTAGATTGTAGCCAACTTCCTGGCCTCCCAACAAAATTAGGTGCCTTGGGACTGTCCTGAGAAGGAGTCACTTATAGAAAACTAGCTGAACAGGGAAGAGAGAAATGTTTCATAAAACAGTAGGTCTTCCAATCTGGGTGGTTTTCTAGCACTGCTAGGCACCCCATGCCTCAAGCCCCTACCGTCCTCCACTGATTAGAGTCGTTAGCAGGACAACAAACAGACCTTTTACTATTCTTCTCAACTTGAGCAATCCATGTTTCCTTTTGCCTGCCAAATTCTACACGCCCACAGTTCAAATTAGACTGGTTTCTTTGTCAGATAGCGGAAGGGTATCAACCGCAGTACTGTGGGGTTTTTGCCTTGTAACAAAAAATTCACAACGGGAGCCATATAAAAATGCTAATGTCTCGAATACAAATATGTTGAGACAGAGAGAAATATAATCTCCGCATAGGTGTTCACCAAGTAGATCCTGGCTGAATAAGAGCATTTCAGCCTTAAGTGCTCAGTCTGCAATCCAAGAATCTCAACAGAGGTTTAAAAGAAAAATTAATTCTATGGCAGTAGAGATGTTTTGGGCTTTTTAAGTGAAAATCAATCTGCTGATATTATTCCCTATAAATCTCGACTTCCATCTCCCCTCATTCGACCTAGTGACAGTTAACCGAAAATACTTTTTGCCAATGATAATAAACATTTGTGCTTCTGCAATGGCTTGGAAGCCTCTCTCGAATGGATGAGTTAGGAGCTCACTGCAGCATAAGCATTGATAACTGACTGGCAGCCAAGGAATGCTTCCCATTATCCAGAGGTTCATGGCCAGCAAGTTTAACTGCATGATGTCCGAATCCTCTTCTGAAGGCTCAGGTGCCACCATGATCTTTCTCTAGGTTTTTATTTCTAATTTTCATATGCCCCTGAGCTCCTTAACTAATTCACTTTGGTGAGCTAAGAGGGGGAGCAAAAGAGGAGATGTACGTTTACGGCCCGCATGATCTTTACACAGTCCAGGGATATGAAATGTCAGTGAGGGACCCCCTAATACTTCCCTTTTATCCTTTGATCCACATTTCAGGGAACTGAGCTCATGCTCCTTTTCCTTCTGAATAGAAACAGAAAAAAAAATCACGTTTTAGATCAATAAATAGAGAAGATGTCTCTTCCTCGCTTTCTGCAGATAAAGTGTGGCCCACAGCCATGGGGCCCTCTCTGGGCCTAAAATAACCTCAGTCATTGTCATTTGGAGCAGGCCTTGACATTGGTGGAGGACTTGGAAATGCCAGTCCTGTTCCCCAGGTGATTCTAATGAGGTAAAGTAATGCAAGTAAGCCCAAACACGTGGCATTTATAGGTAACACCAGAAGAAATTTTTGCATCTCTATGGAGATACATAGTTCCAAAACATTTTAACATTTTTTCCATTAGATGTCTACAATCTTGTGTAGTAAGCAGGGCCGTGTCATTATTCCTGTTTTGTGAATGAAAACACAAGAGCCTCAAAGGTTGGGGCAGTTAATTAAAGGTAAAACAGAAACAGAAACCTAGATTGTCTTACTCCTAATCCTAGGTTCTTACCTAGACCCTGCTATTCTTTCTGCTTCATGACCCTACGATTCCTGTGCCAGCAGGATGGTTGGCAAGATAGTGCCCTAGATCCTCCTCCACCCACCTAGGTTCTCTGTGCCACACTGCTTACCATCTTCGCATCCTGTAAAAGTATTCCCTCCAGATGGGAGAAGAAATGCTTTCATTACTAGATGTAATATTGGCTAACAGGTAGTACCCCTACCAAGGTATTTTAATTTTAACAGAGATCTAAGCTTTAAGATATTCCCCCACTGAATAAATACTTCTTGAGCAACTGCTTCACGCCAGGAACAAATTGCTTTGAGCTCTGAAAATTCAACCGTTACCAAGTCAGAAAAATGACTTGCCTTCAGGGGGCTTACTGTATTCCAGTGGCATTCTCACTTTACTTGTGGAACAAAGACCATATGGTGGAATTTCAGGCGTCCTTTTATGGTCAGAAGAAGACTTTGGCAATTTTTTTATGCTTATTTTTTTCCCTAATAGACGTTACCATTCCTCTTCCTTGCCTGCTAGCTACCGTGTCTCCCCCTGGGTGAGCAACACATGGTTATTTTCAAGGTTGACCTATATTTACCTACTTTTAGGTTTTACTACTGCTATGAAATTCAAATGAATCCCACACGGTCTGTGAAAGTGAGCCTATGACCGGAGCACTCCATCATCTCAAAGGAGAGCATGTGGAGGGCTTTCCCGTTCACCTACTGATACAATTAAACATTCGAAGCCACACAGATAAAAACCTTCACTTCCATGTCACATCTTCACGGGTGAAAGAAGGATTGCTGATGTTAAGCAACTCTGAATCATGGAGAGTTGGTTGCTTCCATTCTAATAGTAATAAAACACAAGCTATACAGGAAAACAAAATGCCACATGACATTCTCATTGTAATCAACTATTCAGCATGAGGGAGACTGATTTTATTGAACTGAAGAGAGATAAATTGAAAGGACAGAATCAACTTAGTACAGAACCATCTAAAACCTCTAGCTCTAGAAATAAATCTCGTTTTTTTTTTCTCTTTTTTGCAGAAAGTAAACCCAAAAAGGGTGTAACCTACCCATCAGCTCTTACATACTCATCATCGAAAAGTCCAGCTGCCCAAGCAGGCAAGTGCTCACGTGTGATTGAATCTAAACCTTCTGAGTCCATGAACACGCGACGTGTTTTGGGAGATAGCGGAGAAATTAACATCTTAACCGGTCAAGCTCCACTGGCTCTGGCAATATTTTAACAGATGCCAGGAACATGGGCACAGAAATCAATGAGATCAGATGGCTGGGGCTGAAGAATGAAAGCTTTATTTTTTGTTTTTGCAATTCCGAGATTGTGTCTCTATATTTGTGTCATTTTCATTCAGATTGACTGTTGCCTTGAGTTTTAATGTATTGTTGCTTTAGAAAATGACATGACATTCTGTCCGGAAATGTTTCCTGGCAGCTAAAAGGAAAAAGCTGTATCTACTTAGATATGAAATGAAGAGAAGCAAAGAGAACGAGGTGGTTTATGTGATAACAGCAAGCTGCTCATCCAAATAACCCAGGCCAAAAATACACTGTCTACAAGGTTGTGCCAACTCAGCTTTCATGTGAACCACAAAAGGGAGTATCGGTAGACCTCAGGCCAAGAAAATACCTTTTTCCAGGTTTCTGTGTTAAATCAAGAACTGTACTATGCATTATTGTATCTCCAGAGGTGTTTTGATTTCCCACACAAAGAGAAACTGTGAGTCGCTTTATAACGGGATTTTGCATTGCTTCCAGAAACTTGATAGGCTAGCTAATACATTATGAGCCTGATAGTTCAGGTTCTGTTCATGTACTTAAGGTGAACACGGTTTAAGAATAGCAGTAGAACTTAGCATTTATTGAGCATTTGCTGTATGCCAGGCATCATTCCAAGAATTTTACCTGATCATTGTGTTTAATCACCGTAGACCACCATCGGCCTATACTATTACTCTGGCTGAGGAAAATGAAGCACAGAGAAGTTAAGTAAATTAACTTCCATCAAACAGAAACCCCTCTCTAAACCACCATTCTATATTTTCTTTCTCTTTTTTTTTTTTCTTTTTTTGAGACGGAGTTTCACTCTGTTGCCAGGCTGGAGTGCAGTGGTGCGATCTCAGCTCCCTACAACCTCTGCCTCCCAGGTTCAAGCGATTCTCCTGCCTCAGCCTCCCGAGTAGCTGTGACTACAGGCACCTGCCACCACGCCCGGCTAATAGTTGTATTTTTAGTAGAGACGGGGTTTCACCATGTTGGCCAGGATGGTCTCGATCTCTTGACCTCATGATCCTCCCGCCTCGGCCTTCCAAAATGCTAGGATTACAGGCATGAGCCACTGTTCCTGGCCCATTCTAGATTTTCTTATGCTAATAGTACGTATATAGATCGCTGATTTCCTGATTTGAGGAGCCTTAGCATACAAATAAGGAATTTTTTTTGTCTTTTCTCTTAATTACTGCTCCACCTCTATCTTTAATTACTTTTTAATGGATCCAGTGGTCTAGTCCTGTTTGTTTAGTTTCAAGGATAGAGCTGTTCCCCACCTCCACCCGTGAACTGGCAGTGGGTCTGGTGCCTCGTGGGCCATTTCTGAGATATCGCTTGTCCTCTTTTGACCTGGGCACAGAGACGAAGAATGGGTGACAGGTCTCCTTAAGTGGCTGGCATCTCTGTTGTTTCATCTGGCCCTGTGGCTCTGCAGAGCCAGAGGAAAGACTGATTCCTGGGTAGGTGATGTGTGTAGATATCGAAGGCAAGGAGACAGTGTTTAGTTTCATCCTGGCACCCTCTTGTTGGGCCAGAAATCTGTGCCCCTCACTCCTTTCTCCAAGGTAGATACGGATGCCTGGTTCCAGCAGCCCCCTGGGGCAGCCCCTTCCCACAGAGCCATGGGAACAGCCAGGCTTCTCTTTGGCACCCTCAGGTCTGAGAACTGGGATGGGGTGAGGTCACCTCCCTCCTCGCATTTTGCTGCATGAGCCCTGCTGGCATGAGCCACTCCAGCTGCACCCCTCCCCCTCTCAGAGATCCCTAGGGCAGAAACAGTCCCCAGGTTCACATAAAGCCCCCAACTTCAGGGACCACATGTCAAGCACCCCCTATTTTTACCATGAGTGGAAGAGCACTTCTAGACTCCCAGAATACACCCCCAAAACTCTGCGAGCTCTGTTGCTGTATTGCACACGTGTGATGGATCTGCAGAAAGATTGGTTGGAAATAAGATGCCCACCTGCCCTCCTGGCAGGTCCCCACAATCTTGACGAATGACTCTCTTAAAGCACCTTCATTTGGCTTGGGTACGACAAAGTGTGAAGGAAGGGAGAAAATATCTTCTGACTGTGAACTCAGCACCCTCTAAAAGGTGGCTTCTGACCCCTCCTGTTTTTCGGGTCCTTTCCTTCTGTCCACTGGCCTGGGATGGGGGTGTCGGGGGTGTTGTGCAGGTTCTACTGGAATGGCCTCACCCGTGGGAAGTTCAGTGGCATCTCTCCTGTTTTGGAAAGGGGTACTTGTGGCCGGGCGCAGTGGCTCACACCTGTAATCCCAGCACTTTGGGAGGCCGAGGCAGGCGGATCGCGAGGTCAGGAGATGGAGACCATCCTGGCTAACATGGTGAAACTCCGTCTCTACTAAAAATACGAAAAATTAGCTGGGCGTGGTGACACGTGCCTGTAGTCCCAGCTACTCGGGAGGCTGAGGCAGGAGAATCACTTGAACCCGGGAGGTGGAGGTTGCAGTGAGCCAAGATCACGGCACTGCACTCCAGCCTGGGTGACAGAACGAGACTCCATCTAAAAAAAAAAGAAAAAAGAAAGGAGTACTTGTGCCCTTCTGGCTTCAGCTTTGGGCCGTATCTGGACAGCAGGAAGGGCCACATAACCTTCTGTGACTGTAGTCGTCTGTCCAGTACTTTCTCTGTGCCACACACCTGCACTACAGTAACCCCGAGGTAGAGTGCCAGTATCTTCCCTTTTCAGATAAGGAAGCTGACCTTGAGAGAGGTTTAGTAACTCACCCAAGGCCATAGTTCTAAGCAGCCCAAAAAGTATGCAAACTCGGTATCACCTTAAAGCAGGGAAAGTTGCAGGGAAAAGAGTGTAGGGCAGAGAAACTATAGCCAAATGATAACTCGGATAATAAAAGTCTACTTGGTTTGTACGTTCTCCGCAGCAGAGACAATTTCTAAAACTATCTATTTACCCCAAGCACCATTCACCCCCAGCAAGCACTTGTTCCAGATGCCTGAGTCATTGACATCCACAAGGAGTGTGGATAGCCAAGGGTGCTTTTCGTGAAATTTATAAACTAGCAAGAGCCAAGCATTGCTGATGTCACTTGCCCCTTTACCAAACCGTTTAAACTTTTGATGACAGTATCACTAGGCATTACTATCATCTCCTTGTTACTAGATGATCTATGATGGTCAGAGTCGGAAAAATTATTTACTCCTTCATTTTATTCATTCATTCAATGTTTACATTGAGTGAGCATCTCCTACGTGCAAGACCCTGAGCTAAACTACCAGCATTCCAACATAAAAGGGATTCTTGGGGATAGAAGAGCCTCTCTCTGTAAAGTCTTAGTCCCCAAGTCCTAAGTCCTTAGTCTTACTTAGGAGTAAGTTTTCACGAATTCAAATAAAAAATTTCAATGAGTACAATTAAAGGAGTGGTCCCCTTGGTCTTCCTTAAACCATAGAATTCCTTTAGTCATTGGGGAAGCAGAAGAGATGAAGGCTGAGCAGCTGTTCAGGTCTCCGCATGACCCTAAAAAATGTGTCCCGTCTCTCTGACAATATGAATTAACAGGCTAATCAGGCTAGGATGACCCCCAAAAGCATGACAACCTTCTACCATGGGAAATTATCCCCCTCAAAAAATAGAAGGCACTTTGATTTGCCCTGTGCGGCTCACACTGAGAACAGGCGTTCCCTGAGGTTTAAATACTGTTCCCCCACCACCGCGCCCCAACTGCCCTGGCATTTAGCAACCATTAGGCAGGCAGCTGCTTTTTGGCTAGAGCCTTGAGCTAAATAAAAACAGGGAAGTGTTGCTTTGTAGAAGTTTTTTTAAAAAAAACTAGGAAGGCACATTCCTAGTATCACAGCAAGAAAAGGGAAAGTAAATCTTTGTTAGAGGCTACTGAGCTAGCATGGGAAAAACCTCTTCTGCCTTCCCTGGCTGTCTGCTGAGTCCCCCGCTGTGGTTCTCAAATGAGAATTCCACGGCCCACCCTGGGTCCAGTGAGTCAGAATCTCCACGACCAGGGCCCTGGAACCTGCATTTTAACACCTCCAGTGTGGTTCTAACGATGAGCCAGGTGTGGGGAGTGGTGTGGCACCACCTGCTATGTTTGAGAAGGTGGCTGCCTGGAGCTCTTCCGACCACACCCAAATGAGGAATATGTGTAGAGTTTAAGGGAAGTTTTGAAATGCTTTCCCATAAAAATCTTTGAAAAAAGATCAAAACTTTATGTAGCTGAGATTGCAGGAAGAAACTATTTTACTAGTTTTTTTTCAAATGGCTCAAAAAGAACTTGGTTCCATGAAGAATTCACCTTGGATCAAATCAAGGGTATTATGTTCAGTGAGGAATTGGGAGCAATTGGGATAGGAGGAGTAATTTTTCTCTATCTTCCCTTTTTTTTTTTTTTTTTTTTTTTGAGATGAAGTTTTGCTCTTGTTGCCCAGACTGGAGTGCAATGGCTCGATCTCGGCTCTCCACAACCTCCGCCTCCCGGGTTCAAGCCATTCTCCTGCCTCAGCCTCTGGAGTAACTAGGATTACAGGGATGTGCCACCACCTCTGGCTAATTTTGTATTTTTAGTAGAGACAGAGTTTCTCCATGTTGGTCAGGCTGGTCTCAAACTCCTGACCTCAAGTGATCCACCCATCTCGGCCCCCGCAAGTGCTAGGATTACAGGCGTCTATCTTCCCTCTTAAAGACAGTTGTAATCCATGAAGGAGAGCAGGCAAAAACAACAGCCCACGGAAGCCCGTGGAAGCCCATGGCTGTTAGTTGAATTTATGATACACTTGAAAGCATCTGCATTATGAGCAAGTGATACAAAGACTGCCCTCAGGATCTTCAGCCTTTCTTTAGCAAATCAATTTTAGCAAAGGCAGACTGGGATGGTCAGCAGCCTTGGGATTAGCCAATGGTGTGACAAAAAGATAATTCCGATTTTCAATATATAATAAGTTTTAGGTGGCAAAAAGTGTTCACTATTTGCAAGTAGAAGTTTTATTTTTAGTACATTGCAGTTTCATGAATCATTTACAAGTAAAATAGATTGTCAGTTTATGTATGTTTCTTTCCAAATTATTAATTACATCCTATTTCATAAAATATACAAGTGGATTTGTTAAATGGCTTTTCCCTAGATGAAGTAGGTCAAACCCGGGCCTGCATCTCCGTAAGGAGGCAATAATGCCTGGTAGCATTACCAGAGGGTAAGACGGAGAAGTACTTTGGAGAAATTAGAAACTTCCCTAGTACTTGTTATGAAAGCTCAAACTCTTTAAAATAATGGAAATGTCATAAATCAGGCAGATTCACTTTTGCCTGAGGATGGCTTGAAGGAGGCTGCTGTGAGCTCTTTAGTGATTTGTCTGACACAGGCTACAGGCAAATTTAAAGGTGACCAACTTAGCAAGAAACAAGGCAATTGAAAGATCGGTTTCCTACCTTGACCAGCTAATGCCTGCAAGAGCAGACCGAATGGCTGAATTCCAACCCGATTCCAGGAATACTGTTTGCTGACCTGCTGTCTTAAGTCAGTGCTGTGATTCCTGCAAAAGACGGCAGAGTCAGGGTGGGGAAATGAGCAGGTGCTGCTGTTGGCGGTGGGTCTAAACACCCCACCACACATTTGTTTGCATCACTTGTCCAGGACTATGATTCTGGCACTATTTTCCTGGATGTTATACAATGTCAAAGGGGAAGGTGGATGGTTCCCACCAAGACAGAAGCACCTTCTTATTTCAGATGCTATCTTCTTGGTCTGCTGTGCTGTGTAACAAAAATGTATCAACCCCAAGCAGAGTTAAGGCCAGAGCTGGGATGCTGTGGTAGGCTGAAAAACACCCTGGAAAAGATATCCATGTCCTAATCCCTGGAACCATTGAATGTTTCCTTATATGGAAAAAATGTGGGGAGCCTTTGCTAATGTGATTAAATTAAGGATCCTGAGATCGTGACGGGGCGGTTATTCTGGATTCCCCAGGTGGGCTCTAAATGCAATCACTGGCATCTTTGTAAAAGGAAGGCAGAGGGAGATTATTTCACATCCATAGAGGAGGAGGTTGTATTAGTTCGTTCTCACACTGCTATAAAGACACTACCCAAGACTGGGTAATTTACAAACAAAGGAGATTTAGTTGACTCACAGTTCCACATGGCTGGGGAAGCCTCATGAAACATACAATCATGGCAGAAGGGGAAGCAGGCATGTCTTACATGGCAGCAGGCGAGAGAGAGAGAGAGAGAGAAAGAGAGAGAGAGGAAAAACTGCCTTATAAAACCATCAGAGCTTGTGAGAACTCACTCACTATCATGAAAACAGCATGAGGGACACCGCCCCCATGATCCAATCACCTTCCACCTCATCCCTCCCTTGACAGGTGGGGATTATGGGGATTACAATTTGAGATGAGATTTGGGTGGGGACACGGACCCAAACCATATCAGAGGTCATATGACGACGGAGCAGAGAAACAACTGAAGATGCTGGCCTTGAAAACTAAAGTGGCATGGCCACAAGCCAAGGAATGCCAGCAGTCAGCAGAAAGCAGAAGAGGCAAGACACAGAGTCTACCCTATAGCCTCCTGAGAAAGCTCAGTGTTGCTGACACCTTGAGTTTGACCCAGTGATGCTGATGTCTGACTTCTGGCTTCCAGAACTGTGAGAGAATAAATTTCTGTCATTTTAAGCCACCCAGTTTGTGGTAGTTTGTTACAGCAGCCCTAGCAGCTGATACAGGTACACAGGGACAGAAGCTGGCATGCCCCAATGGGGCCCAGCAGGCACAAGCAACAGTGGGTTGTTCCTTCCCAGGACCGAGGAGCTGTTCACTTTGGGGGCCACTGTGTGTCTCCCTGAGAACTCACAGTTCTCAAGACAAACCCCAATGCCCAGTGGGTAGCCACTTGTCCCCTTGCTCTAAACCTTCAGAGATATTCTCAGAGCACTAACAAACTGAGACTTGCTTTATAGGGAGCCAACTACAGCGGTGTTTAAAAGGAGAGAAGTGATCTAAATCATCACACGTGGATGAAGAGCACCATTTAGAAGTCGAATCTAGGCCGAGCACAGTGGCTTGCACCTGTCATCCCAGAGCTTTGGGAGGCTGAGATGGAAGAATTGTTTGAGGCCAGGTGTTCAAGATCAGCCTAGGCAACACAGGAAGATGCTTTCTCTACAAAAAAAAAATTTTAAATTAGGCAGGTATGGTGTCTTGCACCTGTAGTCCCAGCTACTTGGGAGGTTAGGTGGGAGGATCACTGTACCCCAGAAGTTCGAGGCTGCAGTGAGCTATAATTGTGCCACTGCACTGCAGCCTGGGTGACAGAGCAAGATCCTGTCTCAAAAAAGAAAAAAAATGTAGAATCTGGATCATCCTTGCCATCCAGGTAGTTCTATTACCCCATTTTACAGATTAGGAAACTGGGGCCCAGAAGAGTTGACTAGTCATGAACCAACCTAAACCAGCGCATCTAAAACGTATTCTCTAAGACTAGGTCATAATGAAAGCCCCAAATGCACCTTCTGTCTTCTATTCCAAGGCCAATGCTAATCAAATCAGCAAAAAACAAAAACAAAAAAAAATGTACATAAACCATTGCTAGTGGTGCCAGGCAAATTAATTCAGCAATTAATCATGTTCTGCCTTGTCTATGTTCTATGTTGCTATAGTTTTGACCTGTCATTTATTTTATTGCTATTGAATCTTTGGTTGATTGAGTGATTGCTCTGAGAGCATACATTCTTTCAGGCAAGAATGTGGCTGTTACCTGGGTTTCACCCTTCACCGTGGCTAGCACAGCTCTGTGCTCATAGCTAGTGTTCAATCAACATTTATTTTATTTCTAGTTCTATAAGAGTGTACAGGTTATTTTGTGGGCCTTGGTATAATTCCATTTTCTTACAGGTGAGACCACAAAAGCCTATCAGAGGCCACCTATTCCAGGGACAACTGCACAGCCGGTCACTCTGATGCAGCTTCTGGCTGTCACTGTAGCTGTGGCCACCCCCACCACCTTGCCAAGGCCATCCCCTTCTGCTGCTTCTACCACCAGCATCCCCAGACCACAATCAGTGGGCCACAGGAGCCAGGAGATGGGTCAGTAGGTAGACCATGTGTTGCTTTGTGCTAGGGAAATGGGAAATTGGGCTTTTAGAGTAACAGCTCTGTCTGAGCATCTACTGGGCTGGGTGAATGGGGAGCACTGGAGAACTGGGCCGGGGGTATGTTATTTGTGTCCTCCTCCTAGATTCAAGGGAGGATGTAGATTCAAAAATAAGACTGCTGTCACCGTACTTCTGAAGATAGAATACTTTCCCATTGCAAAATCTTCATTTCTCCAAAAGCTCAGTTGAAGGGATGGTAGATTTCTATGTAAACATTGTTGGGGTTTATTGTTGTTGTTATTGGTTTTTAAGTGACAAATGGTACAGACTTGGAAGTCTTCAAATATTAAAAGCAAACAAAACCAAAAGAATCCCTTTAGGAAAAGTCAGCTAATGTTTTTGTTCCTTTTCTGATGGTTTTTTGTCTTACTACTTTTACCCATTGCTCAAATCATGTTGAAGGTTTTATCAAGGTCCAGTTTATGGACTTCATCTCGTACTACATCAAATAGGGCCTAAGGAGCCCATCTGATCATCTGATCTCATTTCTGCACAGACTTATATCTACACCATCCTAAGTTAATAAGCATCTATCTCACTTCCAGAACTTTTCTAGCAAGGGGGCGAAAACTTCTGCAGCTGGAGTTCCACTATTGTCTTAGCAATGTTTTCTGAATATTTCCCACCTGGTGCCACTTTTTCCTTCCAGGAGGAAGTGCTCTGGACTTGTTCTTTTCAGGCTCGCCTCCAGCTTGCAGTCACTACTGCCACATAGCATGACCCTTCCCCCTCTCCGCTCCCATAGCAGAGGCCAGCTACCTACCTATCCATCTTCTTATTTAAAAAATGCAAATCAGGCTGGGAGCGGTGGCTCACGCCTGTAAT
This sequence comes from Homo sapiens, assembly GCF_000001405.40. NCBI lineage: Eukaryota > Metazoa > Chordata > Mammalia > Primates > Hominidae > Homo > Homo sapiens. The sequence goes on from NC_000002.12 coordinate 36,768,179, forward strand.
CCCAGCACTTTGGGAGGCCGAGGCAAGCAGATCACTTGAGGCCTGGAGTTCAAGACCAGCCTGGCCAGCATGGTGAAACCCCATCTGTACTAAAAATGCAAATATTAGCCAGGTGTGGTGGCACGTGCCTATAGTCCCAGCTACTTGGGAGGCTGAAGCTGGAGAGTCGCTTGAACCTGGGAGGCAGAGGTTCCAGTGAGCCGAGATCGCACCACTGCACTCCACCCTGGGTGACAGAAAGAGACTCCGTTTCAATAAATAAATAAATAAAAATGCAAATCAGCACTTTGAATATGCTAGCCCATCTTCTGAACACCTTACAAATATTAGCCTATTGAATCCTCCGTAACAACCCTATGAAGTAGATTTATGACTTCCAATTTCAATAATCCATTGTATTGATGAGGAAACCAAGGAGTAAGGCAGTGAGGAAACTGGTTCCAGCCTACACAGCTGGGAAGTGGCAGAACTGGAATTCAAACTCCAGCAGCCTGGCTCTCCTCTTCCTTGCAGGGGAGCATCCCTGCCAAAAATGAACACCCCAGGCCCAGGCAGAGCACATTTTGGCATGATTAGTATGGCAAAATTAAAAGGTGCTCAGCACAGCCAACTTCTTCTTGAATTAATAATAACAGAATGCATGTAGTACATATATCTCATTTACCAGGTATACTGCATGTATTATCTTATTTAATCTTCCCAATAACTTTTTGAAATAAGAATTATTATTATGCTATTTTATGGACGACTCTTTGAAGAAGCTATGATATAAAGTCCCAGAATAAGAATACCGCAAAAAGAATTTTTGGTGTTCTGAAATACATCAAACACTCCTCCACCATTCTGTTCCTGTTTAACTCAGGATAATATTAACACAGGTGCACAATACTTGACAGCAAAAGAGAAACAGGAAGGATGCTGGATGGCAAGGGTTAACAGGGGTTCTGTAGCCAGAAGTTCTCCTTTCTAAAATTTCAGGCTCTTGACTTCAGATGCCTTGATTCTTTCAAAGATTTTTGAGTATCTGAGTTAGTTGTTTGCTCCTGTTTTCTCCTTAGAGGACTTTAAATTCTTACATAACACATATAATTAAACATGTGGCATATTTATTTGGCTACGCTGGGAGCTTGGAAATCTGTTGCAAGTTGGGCTCTGCTGGTGGAAAACCTAAGAAACTTGAAGTAGTGGCTCCTAACCTGGCAAAGCTTCTTTATTCCTGGCTTGGGAACAGGAGCTTTGGACAACAGCCTCCTGGCCCATCAGTGTTCCTTCTTCATCCTTGTCCAGAGCCCACTTCTATGGTGATCCACAGACTGCTAGACAAACGCTCGGAGCAAGCAAGCCATGAAGCATGCACCACAATGGCTAGGATAGGAACCAAACTGGGGAAGCGGGGAGAGCTTTTTAAAAGTTGTATTGCCTATTCAAAGGAGTTTCTGAAGGCCTAAAAAGAAGTGAAAATTAATATTTAATTGCTTATGTCTTCTTAAAATAAAAGTATTCATGAGAGACTTTCCAGAAACCATACAATTCACTCATGTAAAGTACAAATCAATGGTTTTTCGTATATTCATAGGGTTGTGTGACCATCACCACAATCAATTCTAGAACATTTTCATCCCCCAAAAGAAATCCCGTGCCCATAAACAGTTACTCATCATTTCCCCAACCCCTCCTCCCCAGCACTAGGCAGCCAATTGACTTGCATGAATGCCTATCTTAAGGCTATAGATATTTGCTGTGATATTTCAGTCCAACTATATTAAATAATATTTAGATAAGTCATGTTTTTCCTTCAAATGGGCTGAAAATTGGAAAGCAAATCTCCTTATACTGTGATAGACAAGTGAGCTGCTGTTATTGCACTTATTAAAGATTTTTCCTCTTATATATGTGGCTGTAGGCAAAAGGTTCTAGAACTGGTTGTGGACAGGGTGTTCAAGCAAAACCTAATTCACTTATTCATTCAACAAACGTTTTATGGAATGCCCACTATGTGTCAGGCACTGTTCTAAATCTGGGCTACATCGATGAACACATCCCATCAAGATCCCTGCAGCAAGTCGCTTCGGCTTAGGACACCTGAAGGGTATGTAGCCAAAACAGGAGCTACCTGTGTTTGGGGTCTGTGAGTCATTTGTACTCCACAATGGGATCAAGATCTGCCTCTGATACAACACATGGGAACTTGGAGAGGGCTCAAGGGAGAGCGGAAAGTACATAGCAGGAAGACACAGGGGTTCTTCCAGCCCATGCAGAGGAGCTGATGCAGGTGGAAGGTGGGGCTGGACACCAAAGCCGCATCATGGCCCCTTAACTGACCCATAAATGTGCACACCAGCAAGACAGAAGGGAGTGAGTCAAGGCTGGGGGTAAGGGAGCCGAAAGCCAGAGCAATAGAGACTTCCTACAGGTGCAGGAAGGAGGCTGTTCTTCATGGGAAAGGCCAAGGACAATGGCATCAGAGGGGGAAGCCGGGAGAGCCAGATCTATAGATATGCTTAGGAAAGAGTTCTGGAAAAGACAGAAAATCCCTCCAGGTTCAGCTACAGGTCTGGGTGAATCTACCACAGGCTAAGGAGGTGGAGTGGCTGTGTCTTCCTTTGTTTTCTTAATCAGGTTCATTTCAAGACATGCCATGGTTGCCTCAGCTGAGCTAGCATTGAACTTGTCCACAACCAAGGGTAGACCAGGGAGGGGAGAAGAGCGCCGCCTAGTGGCAGGGAATAGCGATGACAGAGATCCTCCACCTCTCTACCCTGGGCTCCACCTTCTGACCAAGGACCGCTAAGCGGGAGAAAGTGAAATTTGAGGCAGGAAGAGAGGCCAGCATCTTATCACAGCTCATTCCTTCCACATACAGTTTCCCTTACCAACACTCATCTCACCAGTGAAAGCTTATCTTCCTTAAGGTATTTGGAGAAGGCTTTTCTTAAAATCCAGTCTTACAAATAGTAAGAAAAAGACAAATATTCCAAAAGAAAGATGGGGAAAGGCCATAACCAGGCAAGCCACAGCAGAAGAACTACAAATGGCCAATAAAAAAATTGTTATAAAAATGTTCGGCTTTGCCGGTCCCGGTGGCTCACGCCTGTAATCTCAGCACTTTGGGAGGCCAAGGCGGGCGGATCACGAGGTCAGAAGTTCGACCAGTCTGGCCAAGATGGTGAAACCCCATCTCTACTAAAAATACAAAAATTAGCCAGATGCAGTGGTGTGCACCTGTAATACCGGCTACTCAGGAGGCTGAGCCAGGAGAATCGCTTGAACCCGGGCAGCAGGAGTTGCAGTGAGCCGAGGTCGTGCCACTGCACTCCAGCCTGGGTAATAGAGTGAGACTTCATCTCAAAAAAAAAAAAGAAAAAGAAAAAGAAAAAAAAAAAAGATGTTCAGCTTCACCAGGAATCAAGTAAGTACAAATTAAACAACAAAATATCATTTCTCAGCAACTCTCATTGGAAATCGATAATACACAGTTTGGATGAGAGTGTGGAGAAATGACCCAGAATTCACACTTCCAGGAATATATCCTAAGGTAATTATCAACCCGGGGTGAGAACAGATGCTGTTCATAATTTTTTAAAGGAGATAATTTACTTATTTATCACTAGAAGAATGGCTAAAGAAGTTACTATACAGGTAGTAAAATGTTGAGAAATATGTGCGCTTAGTGCCACAAGAGAATTGGCCTGGGGCAGATCATTCAGTCAAAGAAGCAGGCTACAAAACAGCATGGGAACCAATCTCATTTTTGCAACGTGTGTTGTACATGAGAGCATGTACATCCCACAGAAAAAGGGATACAACTCTGTATGCCAGAATTGTATACCAGTAACTGCTGGCTAGAGGATAAAAGGTGATTGCTTACTATGCATAGTATATCATCTTATTTTTACAGTAAGCCTATGTTATCTGCATAATTAAACAGAAAATAAGGCTGCTTTGAGGCTGGGCGTGGTGGCTCATGCCTCCCTAATTCCAACACTTTGGGAGGCCGAGGCAGGAGGATCACTTGAGGCCAGGAGTTCAATACCAGCCTGGGCAACAGAGCAAGACCCCTGACTCTACAAAAATAAAAAAAACTTCCGTGGCTCACGCCTGTAATCCCAACACTTCGGGAGGCTAAGGCAGGCAGATCACCTGAGGTCAGGAGTTCAAGACCAGCCTGACCGACATGGAGAAAACCCATCTCTAATAAAAATACAAAATTAGCCGGGCATGGTGGCACATGCTTGTAATCCCAGCTACTCGGGAGGCTGAGGCAGGAGATCACTTGAACCTGGAAGGCGGAGGTTGTGGGGAGCCGAGATCATGCCATTGCACTCCAGCCTGGGCAACAAGAGCGAAACTCCATCTCAAAAACAAAACAAAACAAAAACTTAGCAGAGCATGGTGATGTGCACTTGTAGTCTCAGCTACTCAGGAGGCTGAGGCAGGAGGATCACTTGAGCCCAGGAGTTCAAGGCTGCAGTGAGCTATGATCACACCACTGTACCCCAGCCTGGGGGACAGAGTGAGAGCCTGACTGAAAACAAAAAATAAACAAACAAACAAAGAAACCTACTTTGAAATTGTGTCAAATAATTGGAACATAGACAAAAAGAGTCAAAAGCTGATTTTGGATAACTCCAGTTCTAAGACAAATTGATATTTTTTTCCATGCCCTCTTGCTCTTCCCCTTCATGACATTTGGTTATTTCCGTCAGCTGGGTTTTACGTGCCTCTCTTTCCCTTCCAAAGGCTTTGCATTTCTCTTAACAGAATGTTTTATCTCCCTTCTCCCTTTTAAAACCTTGCTTTAGAGAAATTGCTCAATAAATAATGAATGTTGAAGTGTGTTTCCTTCGCTCACAGAGTAATTAACGATAACCCATTGTGTACCTCTAAAAATGATGAAAAGCTAATTCTATTTGCATCAATACCACGTTAACGCAGCTTAAGCAAATTGCTGAATGTTAAGTGACACTTCTACTGAAGGATTACTTCAACCTCCCCATGAGTGGCACAGTTGAGAATTATTGTAAGAATAATGAAGTGTAAAGAAATATGGCATTTGACTAAAAGATAGATACTTTGATAGTTGTGAAATACAAAGGTTATTATTACCTGTAGTTTTTAGTTGGTGTTTTAGGTTAAATACTCTTTTTTTTTTTTTCATTTGAATTCCTCTTCCAAGGCAGGTTTGGACTGCCCAAATATAGAGCTTCACCTTGTTTCCAACCTTGGTAATGTCTTGCTAGGTTGGATCATAGAAAGAATGAAAACAGTCAGGTTAAAATTTATTGGCCGGGTGTGGTGGCTCATGCCTTGGGAGGCTGAGGCAGGCAGATCACTTGAGGTCAGGAGTTCAAGACCAGCCTGGCCAACATGGTGAAACCCCATCTCTACTAAAAATATAAAAAATTAGTTGAGCCTAGTGGTACGCACCTGTAATCCCAGCTACTCGGGAGGCTGAGGTGGGAGAATCGCTTGAACCCGGAGGTTGCAGTGAGCTGAGATCGCACCACTGCACTCCAGCTCTGGGCATACAGTGAGACTCCGACTCAAAAATAAATAAATTAATTAATTAATTAAATAAAATTCATGCTCTGACCAGTCAAATGTCCTTACAGATCTCTGGTCCACTGCCACCTACACAAGCAGCCAAAACAGGCCCAGAGCTGATCCAGGTAAGACCTTAAACTCCCTTTCCAGCCACTGATGAAAGTTAAGCTTGTTTACATGCGGTTCCTCTCCACATCTTTGCCATTTAATTTAGATTTGGACAAGGACTATTAAACCACTTAGGCCAACAGAAGATGCCACTCAAGGGCCCAACTTCTAAGAAAACATGTAAAGAAGTGGTTAAGTAAGCAAAGCCCTGTCCCACTCTCTGTTCCCCTGAAGCGAGTCTGTAGAGGTTGTGATAGGAATGTCTCAGGATTCAGTAACCGGGCTCTTACAGACCTGAAAAGGGGCACTCTCTGGGGCTTATTTTTGAGGAACTACGGTAAAACACGAAGGGAAATTTGTATCATCTCCCAGGAAAGAGGATTTTTTTTCTCTCTTTTTTGCCTGAGTAATTCTATGCCACGGGGGACAGAAACACATTCTCTCTCCCCGGGAGTTCACCTATGAATTCTGAAATGCCCCTGGCTGTCTTCATTTCTGTATGGTTTGGCCGAAGAACTAGGAATCCAGCAAATTCTCTTCTCTGCAGCACTGTTAAGGCCTGCAGAGATTAGAAAGGAAAATCTAGCAGGGTTTGACGGTTTCCACAAACTCTACTCACAGCCCGGTCTATGAGCTGATAGACTTGGTGGAAGTATACCATTCCCTCTGAAGCCACAGGACACTAGGATCAGAAGCAGGTCTTCTCCCTGCTGGGGGATACTCGTCCACTCTCCACATGTTCTTAGAAACTGTAGGTTCTGTTTTGCTTGCTACTGGATAGGAACAGGGGCCCAATGGGCTCCTCTGGTCAGGGCGAGCAGCTTCTATGAGCTTCACAATTGCACCTTTGCCAATGCACATGCTGTTGTCCTGGACAAAAAGGCTTGAGAATGAGAACACTGGCCAGGGCAAGGACTCCAAGGCCATCTTAGGCCTCTACAGACTCGTGGGACTCTACAGGAGCCCAATCCATGGAGCACTGTTTCCTCCTGTCCCCTTGGCCAAGATTTTTGCCTCCTCTGCAACCCCCAGAAGTACAACCAGGCACAGAGAGCTCGGCCGACTTCCAAGGAAAATCTGAACTAAGGTAATTTTCACCGGGGGCAAAATAAGGAAAGAAAGCAGCCTGCTGGTTGTGTGTAAATCGGCTGACCCTGTGTAATCCCCTCAGGTATCCAAAGGCAAGATCCTTCAGGAGCTGCCTTCCAGAAACCTGTTGGAGCGGATGTCAGCCTGGGTAAGCTGCCCACTGCTTACCATCTCTGCTCCCTAGGAATTTGCTCTGTGGCACTTTGCAAACATGAGGACCTCCCCACACACTTGTTCTTGGCCTCTGCAGCTCAACTTCAGGTCACCAGAGTTTGGGAGCATGCTAAGATATTTTAACCTCGAGAAAATGTCTCTTTGATTGATCTGTTCTCAGTGCATCAAAGAGAAAATCTTTGTCAACGAAGACATCCAAGGGCTGTCATTACTTTATGTCTCCTCAAGAGGTTCCCTCACTAAGCAGCCTCTTTGCCTCTCTGCACCTACCAGGCCCATCCTCAGACAGTCCTCCAGGATAAAGCACAAATACCCAGATACAGCACATGGTTCGGATATGGCATGGGGGATGGTTGGCAAGGAGGCACATAACCTGATTTGCATCTTCAATTTTTTACTGCCTGACAATTTTGGGTTTGTTTCAATGCTGTATTCTGCTGAATGTATTTGGCCTCATTCCCTTTTTCTGAGTTTACCATCCTCCAGTTCTATAGCTCTGGGATTCTCTGTTTCTTCTCCATTCTCCTTTATGCTCCCAATAATGCCACTCTGTCTCGACCCACACAGATGTTCCTAGATGTTCCTTTACCTTCAAATCCTACCCAATTTCTGCTGCTTCTCTCCTCACCATCATCCCTGCAACTTTGCTCTGAGTGCCTCAGAGTCTCCCATGAACTCTCAGAGTGTTCCTGACTTAAAGGACTCCCCCAACACACTCTAGGTGCTCAGACCTAGACTAGCTATGAAGCTCCATTATGGCTCCTACAGGGGAAGGAAGCCATTTGCACACCCTGAGTAAAGGCAGGTAAGAACATTTGGAGTTCTTAGATATCCTTCGACCAACTCTCATCTCAGATGCAGTCATGTATACAAGGCAAGCTGCCCAGTTCCTCAGCTATAAAATCGTCAGATTATGGAATTGGAAAGAATTGTATAAAGTACATCTGGTCTAACTTCTCACCTGAAAATGAATCACTTATGGTGTGCCAGACAGAGGCCTTTACCCTATATCGAATAACTTCAAGTGGTAGGGAATTCCCAGCCCCTTCATTTGGTGGGTGGCACTATTAGACGTAACTATCCAGAACTTCAGCTCCTCATTACTAATTTGTCTAAACCAGTGGTTCTCAAAGTGTGGTCCAAAGACCCCGCTTTCAGAGATTCTGTGACATCTTCCCTTCTCTGACTACATGTTGTTGTGAGGACAGATTTTCTCCACATATTTCAACAACAACAACATATCACAACTGACTGCAGGAGCTGATAACAGACTCCAGCTATCTTCTATTATGATAGACATTGGAGACATTTGCCACTCTTCTCACTGAAGCCTTGGTTTTAGAAAACAGTTTTTTTTCAGTAAAAATTAACGCTTACATTAAAATATAATAATTCTATTGTCACTTTGAAGTAAATTAATAGTTAGGCCGGGTGCGGTGGTTCACGCCGGTAATCCCAGCACTTTGGGAGGCCAAGGCAGGTGGATCATTTGAGCTCAAGAGTTCGAGACGAGTTTGGCCCACATAGTGAGACCCCGTCTCTATTAAAAATACAACAATGAGCCGGTGGTGCGTGCCTGTAATCCCAGTTACTCGGGAGGCTGAGGCAGGAGAATCACTTAAACCTGGGAGGCCGAGGGTGCAGTAAGCTGAGATGGCGCCACTGCACTCCAACCTAGGTCACAGAGTGAGACTCCATCTCAAAAAAAATAAAATGGCCTGGCGCGGTGGCTCACACCTGTATCCCAGCACTTTGGGAGGCCAAGGAGGGCAGATCACGAGGTCAGGAGATCGAGACCATCCCGGCTAACACGGTGAAACTCCGTCTCTACTAAAAACACAAAAAATTAGCCAGGCGTGGTGGCGGGCGCCTGTAGTCCCAGCTACTTGGGAGGCTGAGGCAGGAGAATGGCATGAACCCAGGAGGCGGAGCTTGCAGTGAGCCGAGATCACGCCACTGCACTCCAGCCTGGGCGACAGAGCGAGACTCTGTCTCAAAAAAATTAAAATTAAATAATAAAATAAAATAAGTAAAAATAAAGTAAATTAATAGTTAAACAAATTGTCAGTATTCTGTTTCAAATGAGAAAGTGCACAGTTGTAATTTCTAAATGATAAAAATTAATAGATATAACTCGTACAAACTAAAGGTCTTTGGGGTCTTTGACAATTTCTGAGAGCATAAGAAGGCTGAGAACCTTTGAGAGTGCCTTAAATTTGAGAGCCTTTCAAATACATGAAGCTAGACTTCATGTCTTTTTTTATATCTCATCTTTTCCAGGATATCTCTTTAATCCCTCCAATAGGTCTTTGCTGGACTTGGCAGTACACCCTCTAACTATGCTGTAGACTATTAATAATTCATACACCAGGGCACCCCGAGCAGAACACAGTGCTGCCAGGGTAGTGTGCCAGGCAATTGCCTCTCTAGTCCTCAATACTCTGCTCCCACTAAAACACCCCAACTTCCATTTGGGGTAAGGCTTGTCTCACCACTGGCTCATCTCCTACTGAGCTTGCAATACCTAAAGTCGCTGGGATTTTTTATCATATACCTCTGTAGAAGCAGGTCACCTCAATCCTGTCTAGACACAATCGAGTTTTTGAAGCCCACACTGGAAAATCACATATCTCTATTAAATCCTTCCTTCGTTTAGTCGGCTGCAATCTTCCTGAGTATTCGTTCTGTCATTGAATGTGTTAACATCCTTGTAATCTTTGTGTCATCTGGAAAATGGATAAACGTGCCACCTGTCTCCATTCCCTTTACTGATAAAAATATATCACATGGGGCAACCGAATCCTGCGATCCGCACTAAACACCTCCTTTGTGTTTAGATCAACCCAGACACAAGCAGTTACATGTGGACCTGATGATGCTGTCATCCTCCTTTCTACAGGACACCAGGTGTCACCCATGAGTGATTCCTGCCACTCTCTCCCACTATGCCTTCAGCCACAGATATAAATTCATGCACCCCCCATTTAAGCTGAAGCTCTCATATGAAGGGGATCTGTTATTTAATTTTTAAAAAATGTACTGAGCATACTGTATGTCAGATACTGTCCTGTGCATTAGAGCTACAAACACGAATCAAGTATTTTCAAATTCTAGAATTATGCTGCTGGGGCTTTTGCCTTCACAGGCCCCACACTCTCCTACTCCAGAGTCATCAGCAACACCACTGCCTCCTACACACTGCGTCCCCCACTGCCAGCCTTTACCCCTCCTACCACGGTTCTGGGAGTTGGGGCAGGCTACTCCTGCTGTATGGAGGAGGCAGGGGTGGTGGGCTCCTGATAATTCAAGTTAAAACCTGGTGGCTTTTCCTCAGAACCATCCTTATGCTGGTTGGCTTCTTGGTACCATGAGCTGTGTTTGAGTCAAAGAAGCTTCACTGGTCTGGAAACCTAACCATGGAGTTAATGTTTCCAAGAGAAAAGGCTGCCAGGTTTCCCAAAAAATACCCCACACCGAGCCTTGGATGGTAGCCCATTTATAAACCTGGGACTGTCGACGCTTTGTTGGCATGATGGCTTACGCCCAGGACCCCAGACTGTCCTCAGCCTTCTCTGAGAGTCCTTGTGTGATGCGCTACCAGCATGGCGACACCCTGGGCACAGCTGCAACAGCCCACCCTCTTAGTGCTCCCCACTTCGGTACAGCAAGAAGCAGCTCTCCAGGGAAAGTGCAGCCCTTGGGACATGAAGCCAGGTGAAGGGAAGGGAAGCCTAGAAATTCTGCTGGTCCAGATGCCTGCTGCCTTTCAGAGCCACTTCCTCCTAAAGACTACACCCCAGGGGAGTCACTGGGAAGAAACGAGGGAGCTGAAGGGACACTCGGGCTTCTGTCTTATAAAATTTGAGAGCCCAAAGGGCCATGTTTGCAGCTCTTGCTTGGGTCCCGTGTTGGTGACTTCTAGATGGAACAGAAGGAGCTGGAACCAGCACCAAGATCACACCACAGTCTTAGGAGCAGGCATGCTTCTGGGCCCTTTTGAAGACTTGACTACATTAGCATGAGTTGCAGGTGGCTGGGCCAGGCCCAGCTCTTCAGTGCCCTAACCAAGTACCCCGAGGTGCTGAAGCGATGATGACTCCTAGTGTGTGATAAACAGATGGTGGTTAGGGGTAGGCTTTGGAGCCTGCCCGCATGGGCTTAAAGTTCTGTTCTGCCACTCCCTGTGCATGAGTTTCCTCACCTGTAAAATGGGATCATAGCTGCACCTAACTCACTGGATGATTGTGACTTAATACGTAGAAAGTGCTCAGTCAGTGCCTGACACTAAGCAAGCTCTCCATAAACACCAATGGCTTCTACATTTTTACCCCAGAAATCATTCAGAACCAATATACCTTTGTTTTTTTAATTTCCAACTTGTATTCTAAGCTCAGGGGTACATGTGCCAAAGGTGCAGGTTTGTTACATAAGTAAATGGGTGCCATGGTGGTTTTCTATACAGATCATCCGATCACCTAGGTATTAAACCCAGCATCCATTAGCTATTCTTCCTGATGCTCTCCCTCCTCCCACCTCCCAACCCTCCAACAGGCCCCAGTACGTGCTGTTCCCCACCATGTGTTCTCATCATTCAGCTCCCACTTGTAAGTGAGGACATGCAGTATTAGAACCAACACTTCTTTTAGACCTGACTGTATCTATGAGATGACCAAGCAAGAATTGTCACAAAAACACAAAAATAATTCCCTGGTTTTCTAAGAGTGACTTACACTTCTCAGAGTGATTTTATACACATTTACCTCCTTCAAGTCTCCTCCATGTGACAGTGTAGGGAAAGTCTTTATGACAACCCTACACTGCAAAAAACTGGAGGCAAACCTGGAAAGAAAGTAAGTGAGCCCCCCAGGCTCCCAGTTGGTCTTTGGTTGACCCAGGATGGGCTTCTGATGTCTTTTCTTGATACCACCCTGTTCCTCCTTGACGCCAGAATACAAATGTTCTCACAAATTTACTTCTCATTACTACTGAGTCCAAAAAACACCAAGTCTCAGCTGTCCAAATATTTTTCAGCCTTTGGCTTTTGGATGAATGTAATTTGGTTCAAACTTGTCCCAAACAAACCGAAAGTGGCATGAATATAAGGACAGGCTTCTAGGACAGGAGCAAGAGGCTTGGAAATCCCTGATGTTGGGGGACTGTTTATCTCTTGATAAAGTAATAGAGCACCCAGCATCCTAATCTTCCTGACATTCAAGAGTGCATCGGAAGAAGGAAAAAGAAAGCAAGCAAGCCTTGGGCAAAAAGTGAGGGAAGCCAGCAGCACATTTTTTTAGGAAAAGGGTAAAGTGCATATTTTCACCAGTAGGTGGCGATAAAGTAATAAGGCTAAAGAAGCAGGATGTTCTTGATCAGAATGTTTAAGCAAGTCATAAATATCTTGAATGCGGAGACTATCTTGCCCAATCTGCTTATATTACTTACAAAGAAATTAAGGCTCACAAAGGGTATGTGACTAGCTCAAGGTCACACACCTGGTTAATGACCGAACTAGATTAAACTCAGGTCTCACCATTAAACCAGAATGTGCAGTAACAGATTGCCTTTCAAAACTGTCTGGCATCTTCATCACATAAAGAAAAATATCACCCTTTTTTCAGTGTGTTAGTAATTTCAGCTGGCAGAAAAGCTGATAGCCTTTAAGAAATAAAACAGTTGATCATGCTCTCAACTTTCTGAGCTAAAATAGAGAAGGAGGGAGGGTGGGATGGAGGGAGGGAGGGGAGACATGGAAAAGAGAGGAAAGGAGGGAGAGGGGCAGAAAGAAAGGGAAACAGCCATTTGTGTGTTATAAGGCTTCCTGACACATTTGTGCTGTCCCTGAGCCCCTCTCAGCCATGATTTTCCAAAAAAGATCAGAGATTATTGAGTAAGACTCTCCTCCTCCCCTCCACCCCTTCTACTTCATTAGCACCAGTTTGTGGTTGAAGGCCATTAAACATCTTACTGCATACAGGTCCAGGTGCTACTTTCCTTTATTCTGCTTGAGTCACACAGTGAGAAGCAGAATCTCGGGAAATAAGCGGATTGCCTGATCTCTGAAGGGGCCATATTTGTTCAGTGTAGTTCCAAGGAAGGGAATTCAAACAGGTGGGACAAATGTACCTAGAACGATATTAGGCATATAGTGAGTGCTTAATAAGTGTGGATGTATGGATAGATGGGAAAGGATTTAGGGCAAAAGATTCAGTCTCAACAGTGCAAGAAGGAATCTACTACTTTGGTTGAATATGTAATGAATCCCCTGTCTCTGGAGGTATCAAGCACTAGCCAGCCACTCACAGGCCAGGGATGTTGCAAAAACAGATTGGGAGGTGGTTTGGAGTGGATGAATTTTTAGTTCCTTTTGAATCCAAGGATTCCCATTATTCCAAGATTCTTGGTGCATAATGAAAAAGAAATTGGTAAAGATGTTTATGCCTTTGACTTTAAGAGCTTCAGATTTTAAAAAATCATACAGATTTCAGGTTGCTTCATCCAAAATTCTGGCCCTCTGTTCCTTTATTGAACTTTCAGACACAATTGGGAAACCTTATCATCCCGGCAATTCACTCAAGAGTTTCTGCTGGTTTGGTTTAAGTAACAAGTTTGTTTCTTTTCAATTTTGAAAATCAGGAGAGATGGACTCATGGAAACCTGGATCGGTCCTTTTAGATGAAGGTAATTATACAGCCCAACCTCTCAGCCACGCGTGGATCAAGATGCGCAGGATAGCAGAACTAAGAGTCTAATAATCCAGCTGGCATAGCGGCCGAGCTCCACTAGCCTAGGATTTCTAATGGCTCCCGCCTCTGATTTAAGGGTCCTACAAAGGGCACATTGAAACTCCCTCCCTAGGGAGGCCTGGGGTAAGGGGCAATATTGGATAACAAAAGGGAGAGAGGAAACGTGAAGACAAAAAGCCAGAAGGGAGCTAGTTTCCCACCCTCAAAATGGGTTTGGACCCTGACTCTATCTGGCAGCACACTTTAACTTCCTCCAACTCCACTTCCTCCTTTGCAAAATGGCTTTCAGGTTTTCCCTTCACGAGAATGGGTGTTGTTTGCTGCGTACTGCATTAAATATTTGAAACTCCAACACACAAGACCTTCCAGCTCTTCATGGGAGGGAAGATTGTACTGGTAGGGGAAGAAGGAGGTGAAGGAGAGGACTCCGCCTCTGGACTTGTACTTCTCCCCTTCCTCCAACGCAGAGTCTTGGGGCGTTTCCACGACAGGCTCCTGGCTGAGAAATGCTGTTAGCCACCCAAAGTGAATGTTTAAAATGATGTGAGGAAGTGGGATGAGCTAGCTGACCTTTAACGGAAGGATGAAATCATGTGCTTTGCAAACTGGAAAAAATAACAAGCCAGTAGAAAGCTCACTGCAGCCAAGCGCGAGCGAAGACCCCCGCACCTTCCTCCACTCCGGGGAATCCCGGAACTTCCGGGCCTCCTGAAAACGGGGAGACTCACTTCCAGTGCTGCAAGCGTGCTCTGCCTGGGAAGCCCATTCGTGTTACCAAGCCTAAAAGGATTCGCTTTTATTGTCTTTATTTCTTTAAATGGTATATTTATGAACTTGGCTCCCATGTACATGGCTCTAAAGACACCCCCTTCCCCAAGGCTGAAATGCAACTCACACACACAGCTTCTGAGAGCATGAAACCTTTTTGAATCTCTACTTCTAGTCTCAAACACCTGGGAGGGAGGAGTTGCATTTTAAGCCCTCTTATGTGAGTTACTTTTAAATAAACTGTCTTCCTCCAGTCCACATCCAATCCTCATTAGATTGTCCTTCTTGTGCCTTACTCATCTTCGTTCATTGTGTCAATCACCAAATGTTGACTGAGGACCTACATGATCTTGGCACGGTGGAGGTTTATTCGAGCAAGACACATTCTGTGGCTCAAGATTTTCAGAATTTTACAGAGACATAATTTACAATGGCCAAGTGCTTAACGCTTTCAGATGACAAAACTAAGGCTCAGAATAAAGAATAAATTAACAAGAACAGAACTCAAGTCTCCTGATTTCAAATCCCCCAGCAGAGTACTATGTTTTTGATAGGCTGTAAGTAAATATTAATTTATTATTTTTCTCAGGATGGGGGTGATGTGAAAAAAAGCACAGTTAGCTTTAAGCCAAGCCCCCAAGCTGGGTGTGAATATCCATTATGTCCCCTCCCATGGGGTAAGGCCAGCTGCTTCCTTTCCTTGTAAGTCACCAAAAGTTTTACTGCTCTTTCCAGGACTTGTTCCAAAAGAAGAATTGAGCACACAGTCTTTGGAGCCAGTATCCCTGGGAGATCCAAGTAAGTTAATTGACAACTAGAAACCCACGGTGTCTTTGACATCTGAACTGCTCTCTCCTCTCTTCCCACTCACTCCCACTCAAACCTGCCTCTCTCCTACCGTGGATCTATTTATCTCCTCTCTTCTGACACCTTGTTCTAAGGGGAAAGGGAAGCTTTTGAAGGATATAAACTGTCTATGTGCATGAGGGGGAGAGGATCAAAATGTTTTAACATCACTATGGCAACAGGGTGAAGAATGGGATGGAACGGAAAGACAAGGAAGGATGAAAGGAGGAGACGGGCAGGTTAGCAGGGGCAATGGTCTACTGCAAATGATGGTGGCCAGAACTCGGAGTTGGAAGTGGAAATGAAGATAAATGGGCATATTCAAGAGATACAGAGAAGGGAGAATCTATAAGATGGAAGGTGGAGGTTCGAGAGAGGGAGAAGTTAAAGATGAGTTGAGCGACTAGGTAAATGGTACTACAATGAGGAACACTGGGGATGAAGCAGGTTTATGTCTATCATTTTCTTCGAGACATTTGATCTGGTAGAGAGAAGACTACCCAGGTCTGACATTCAGAAGGAACAGCCCAATCAGAAATTTAGAGTTGTAAGACAATGAGCTATGGTTCGAAACCGAGGCTATGAGAACAGAAAATGTGACTTAGGGAGACACAGTAAAGTAAGAAGATACAGAAGACTTAAGCCTGGAGAACAACACTAGGTGGAGGAGAAACCACCTGAGGATATCAGAAAGGAAGAACCAGAGAAAAACAAGGAAAATGAGAAAGACATAGTAGTAGCCTGCAAGGTATGGAAAGAAAGCACCTGCATATTCCGCTAGAAAGTCACTACTAGTCAGCCACCAATGGACAGTGAGGCTCAACCTTGCTGCATATGAGAATCACCTGAAGACATTATTAAAGATGCCCATCTTCCTGCCTCATACCTACTGTATCAGGTTCTCCCTAGACCTTGCTACCCAAAGTGTGGTCTGGAGACCAGCAGAATCAGCATCAGCATCACCAGGGAGCTTGTTAGAAACACAGACCTGCTGGTTCTACAGTGATTGATTCCTTTGCACATTTACCCTTGAGAAGCACTTTACAGAGTGAATCCCAGGAGTCTTCATTTGTTGAAGCTGCATTAGCAACCCTGATATGTACATGACTGTGGTATGTATCCAGAGTTAAGAAACACTGGCCTGATGTATTGGACAACACAAAGCATTAGTCTATAAAATGGTACCATGTTGAAGGAAACTACAGCAATTAAATACATTGATAGAGTGATTCCCATAGATACTATATCTTACTTTCTCTTCCTTGACTTTCAACCTCTGATCTCTTCTTTAGCCATAATAAATTGCTCACACTGAACATTGTATAACCCAATTCTACCTGTTAGCACTGATGCTGGCATCTTCAGATCAGAATGTTTTCACCTCTATATAAGAAAGTCATGGGTCTCAGTCAAAACATGCCCTGAGCTGGAACCATTGTCATTTAAAAGAGGAGCAAAAGTAACCGTGGTATCAGCCATCAGGCCAGTGAGTAAAGAGAATTAAGCAAATAGAGAAACAGCTCACCTTCTTAAGACCTAACTATAAGATGAATACGTTAATCCTGAAAACAATTCCAGATGTAAGAAATAAGGAGAAAAACTGCCTGTGAGGAATCAAAATAGATGCTACAATATCCATGTACTTTATTCATGTAAAAAGAAAATCCCCTCTGGCCCTTACTCTAATTAACACTTGTTCCCAAAAATACTTTATTCCAAAAGGTATATTGAACTAATCTGCTGACATCTGGAAGGGAAACTCCACCTCAGGATTACTTCTCCAACTTTACTGTGCACAGGAATCACCTGGGGATCTTGTTAAAATGCACGTCTGTCTCTATAGGTTTGGGTGGAGCCTGAGAGTCTAGCAAACTGTAGGTGCTAGTAGGCGGCAAACCCTGAAGAACTCCACTGCCACCTGCTGGCAACAATTCACACTGCAAGCCCCGCCAGAAAAAAAAAATGAGTTGGCCTTGCTTGGGAATCCACAACATGATAAGCTGCATATGAGAATCACATGCTGCTTCTCCTTTCCTTTACCCCAGGTTTTAGTGGCATTTTTCAACTCTGCTTCTGGACTTTATTTGCCTCTTTCATTCTTCATCTCAAGATCATGCTTGGGTATAGGCAGTTTGGGGACAGCAAAGGACAAGGGAAGCCAGTTGAAAAGGATGAATTGGTAGGCACTGAACGCCCAGGCAGACAGGAGGTAAAAGCTTTTCTTTTGAGATTTGCTACTGAGCCAAGGTACAAACAGGTGCCCTGATTCTAGATGGAGTGAAGTCAGCCAGTGCCAGACGGGTCCCTCTCATCTCCTACTTCCCTGGTTTTGATTGCCATGCAACACTGCAAGATAATAAAACACATTCTCAGGTATAACTTTTCTCCTAATCACAGTTCTGCAGTAGCACTCAGCAATAAATATTTCTCATCAATTCTTCTGCTCAAAACTTTGTCAACTCATGTTCATTTATTGCTTTCATCTTTAAAACAATTTTTTAAAACCAGCAACAACCCTCTCCACCTACAGAGCTTCTCCTCCTGAAGAATGGGAAGACTCCAGCTCTGTGGCAACAATGCACCGTGGAGAACATGGGTGGTTGTGTGCAGATTAGAGAGGTGCAGGTCCGTCTGGCCGCTGCTCCCCACCCACAATGGGCAGTGCCCCAGTGTCCTCTCGGATACACCAGCCTAGAAATTTCCAACTTTACTCACTCTTTTTTTTTTTTCCTATATGGAGCTCTGTTTTGAAACATTTTTGTCTTCTAAATTGCAACTGTTAAATAATTTATTTTTCACTTTTTACTAATCAAAGGGATCTATAGCTCCCAATAAGAACCTCTGATCAGCACTGAATAGTCAGTTTTATACTGAGATGATATCATTCCTGTCTACCGCAAAGGAAACACTAATTTCCATTAGCCTGTGTGGCTTTTCACTAGTTCCTTTTGATGTTTGAAAGGGTGAAAAGAGCTTGCAGCCCATCCATCCCTTTACCTCTCTTATAACCTTCATATATCCACAGAGATCCAGAGATCCTAAGGCAGAATAACTATCCTGGTCCTCATCACAACTAAAAGAAAGAAAGAAAAAAAATCTCGGATAGCTACGAACAAGGGCTGACATCCTATACATATATGTAGATAATTTCTTTGGTTCCCTCGCCCAGGGAAATGAAGGAGAAGATTGATATCAATTTCTTATTCTATAATTCCTGCCCTCCCTCAGTGCTGGCCTTGCAGATCTCTCACACCTTATAAAAATCCAACACTGGTTTCTAAAAAGTTAGGATGAGAGCAAAAAGCCACACGCTCTTGCGACTCAGTCTTGATGAATTCTCACAACGGGGAGTCTGCACTTACAAGATCTTAGCCTAGGAAACCATTGACAGCCTTCCCTAGCTTGGCTAGGACGTCGCTGCTTCTGAAACCCATAATTGTGGCAGATACATAGAGTTTTAAACAGTTATGGAAATAAGGACTAGCCTAAGTGTCCAAGACCCTGGTGCTCAGGGAAACCCCTGTGGGATGTAAATAAATATACCCTGCATCTTCCTACCTCTTTTTCCCTTTCTTTTCATTTCTCAGGGGGCTCTGATGGAGAAAGAGGAACAAGAGGATGCCCAGGTAAATGCAGTGAGAGATCATGAGAATAATAGAGTCTTTTTCCGTTCCGCAGACTGCAAAATTGACTTGTCGTTTTTAATTGATGGGAGCACCAGCATTGGCAAACGGCGATTCCGAATCCAGAAGCAGCTCCTGGCTGATGTTGCCCAAGCTCTTGACATTGGCCCTGCCGGTCCACTGATGGGTGTTGTCCAGTATGGGTAAGTGCAGTTAATGTTCTGAATCCAGAAAGGAAGTCATGCCATGTGCTTAATTTTATGCCACGTGCTTAATTTTATGCCACAAATATTACCAACATGTCCTTGAGCACAGATTTGTTCTCTTCCCTAATGCAAATGTAAATGAAAAAACTGAAGGAATCCAGATGCCTTTAAGAAATCTGAGACTTCCTGAAGGAAGGGACAGATTAAAAAACACTTGTAAGTAGATGGCATTTGCACTCAAGAATATTTATTTGTCTGGAAAACAGGAGAGATGCGTGTGAGTGTTAACTTAGCCAATAACCAGCTCTGTGGCCTTGGGCTAGGCCTTCGCCTCTCTGATTGTCAGTTTCCTCATCTGTAGATCATGAAGGTTGGATCTGCTTTCAACCCTATTACAGCATTTGTTTGAGGGACTCCACCCTGTGCTACAACCTATCCACCTATAGGTTAGACGCCTAGAGAACATGGTGCTTTAGGTTGTATCTTCTCTTTTCTCCAAATAACCTTAGGCCCCTGCACTGGTACTGGAAAAACTCACCAGGCAATGGAGAAGAATGGGTGGGAAGAGAGACGGCCCCCATCAGTCAGCTGAGCACCTAGATGACTTTCGCCAACCTGCTCTATTATTATACTTAGGATAGAAATGGAGGGCTCGTGTTGACATCCAGTCTCAATCTTTCATTTGGCGGTAATAAATCACTCTTATTTCAGATATGAATAGGTTTCTCACTGAAACAGATACATAGATATTGATAATAAACAATCAAAAGAACAAGCGTGCATAATCTTAAATTTATACACACATCTTAAATAGGTAGCCTTTTGACCAAGAATCATTGAGGGCAGGATGGGTATCATGCCTTCTACAAAGGACCAGTGGGTGTGGAAGGGGTGACGGAAGTGGAAACCATCATAACCTTTGGTGCCTATTGCTTAGAAGTGCGGTCACAGCTTACTCACCCTCCTGAAAAGAAAAACTATCCATACCTGACAACACCCGCGGGGTCTCCAGCGCCTTCAGAGGTTTTATTTTAACAAAGTTTGCTCTATCAAAGAGATCAATATTAATTTTTGAGTTGTCAAGAGAAATAAATAAAATGCTTTATTTTCATAAGAACCTACATTTGTGTTTTTAGAATTTAATTCCGATAACACATTTGATACTACCTTCTATTCCTGTCAGGAAAAATTAATAGATGAGTTAACTGGCACTTGTATGTAGTCACACTCAATTAGATAAAAATAACCCATTGCTGCAAATGTCACCTCTCAAGCTCAGGGGATCTATCTTGAAGTTTTTGAGTTGAAATAAGAAAAGTGCGGTTTTAGGGGGTATTTTCTGGTTTCAAAATGCCAACCCTTTTTCATTCCTGTGTTACTTTTTACAGATAGCCAATGGATGACAGGTTTTACTAGAGAGGAAACATACGCGTTTTAATGCCAAATGTCCTTAGTCAGTTTTACTGGGAGGCTCAAAGCTTGATGTGTTATCTTGCATTAAAAATAGCTGCTTTAAAAGCTTGTATATAGCAAGCTTTATAGTATAATATGAAAATAAGATGATAAATATGTCAGGGAAAAGAAAAATGGCGTGAGAATAGTGTTGCTGATGAGAGCATGGATTAGAGAACAAATGTTGCAGGGAAGGAAGAAGAATAAAGACGCCTTCCCCCAAAACATTTTCCCCACATACTCCCAATGTGATCGCCATTCACAAGCAAGAGTTTACCCCCATGCTTTTCAGTTTTACTATCTAAAAAATCCCTTGTGTCTGCCTTTTTCACGGGGTTCTTATTAATTTGGAGCACTTAGGGAAATGTGTGTGTTTTCCACTGTTTTATGCTCACATAAGCTAATCTATCATCTTCGCCCTCCCCCAGCAGCAGGGTGGAGTGGAAAGCGCAATGCACCGCTGACAGGTGATCTGAATTCGGGCCTCAGCTCCTCTGTGTGACCTTAAGCCAGTCACTTAACCTCTCCTTGTAAGTGCTGCCATCTGCATAGCAAGAGGGTCAGACTAGATGATTTATTAGGGCTCTGCCAGCCCTGGCGTCCTGTAATTCAGTGACCAGCTCTGTATTCAGAAGACATCCAGTAAATGAATGTGGGACTAACAGACCAGATAACTGCCTTTCCCTTCCTTTCAGTCTCAGGGTCCCAAGGAGGTGGGGTGATCAATGACGAATTGATGTGTTGCACAGCGGTGATACAACCATCCGTGGAGCGTGGGAAACAAAACAAATGAGAGGGCGGCCCGAGAAGGGTATGATGAGGCTGAGGGGGAGACACATTTATTCAGCAGAAACTGCTGTTGGTTTCACTTGCCCAGCTTCCTCTCCTGGATGGTCCCCTTCAATCCCCGCTGTATGCATGAGAGCACACAGAGGAAGGAAGTGGGGCATCCTGGTGATTTGGGTTCTCACCAGATTCTAACGCCCTCTTTGCTCCCCCTTAAAATCATCCCTGCACTCTTGGAATCACAGGCTGAGGCCTTGAGAGCACCTGATTCTACCTCTTTGTGTTGTAGTGAGGAAATGAGGCCCTACAAACAAATGACCGCCTCATCAAGAACTAGCACTGGAAGGAGAGACTCAAGTTGAGAAGCACCTGGCCAAGGGAGGAGGACTCCGGAGCTCAGAACTGCTCCTTCCCTCCCTTCTCCCCTCTGTTACCACTGCCCCTGGTCCACACAGCTTCCTGGAAGATTCCTTCCTTGGGTTTCCTTAGGAGAGCTGAGTCAGAATTTAGACTTATAAATTTAGAACTTGAAAGACAAATTTAGAAGTTAAAAGACTCATACTAAATATTAACTGGGAAAAAGGCAAAGAAAAATATAAGACCTATAAAAATGGTCTCATTTACAAAATGCAACACATCTTGACTCCTCAATCTCCTACTCAAAGACGTTTTGGGTACACGGAACAGAAAACCACTCCAGGTAGCCCAGGTGAAGGGAGATTCGTGGAAAGGAAAGTGTTCACAGGACTGATGAGACATTGGCCATCCCCTTCCCCTCCTCTGCCTGCATCTCTACACCTCTCTGCCTCTCCATTCTGATCTTCTCTCAGCTGACCAGCATCCTCTGCCGGGCTCTTGGTTTCTGATCCTTCATAACTTCACTTTGCACTGGCTGAGATCCTACCTCTGGTCTGGGCCCAACAGAAGTTTTAACCACCATGGAACTGGGCAAGCACCCTCTCCCATGTTCTCCACCTGCGGGACCCATAACTCACAATCACGTTAACCTGTCAGCAACCACAGCATTCCTACCACACTCATCACACGCCTCCAGGAATAGAGGCAGCTTTTGATACAGAGTCAGAGAGGTTGACTGACTTTCCCAAGAACACACAGCTAAATGCATGACTGGGGCAGAGGACAAATATTAGTCTTGAGTTAATCCCTAAAATGTCAAACAAAATTGTCGTGAAAGCAGAGATTTCGCTCATCTGCCAGGAAAGAGTCTGGTAATTGCTACTTTTCACCTCCTGAAGACTGAGACATCGTGTGTGGACAAAAGGCCAAGGATCAAGCCCCTGTCTTGCACATGAATTCTAAGTTCAAATTATACAACCAAAAGGCTTATAATTGCACCTAATACCAACAGGAACACGGAAAGAGTCAATGAAAGAACAGCCAGGCAAGCCATTAGGTGAACTCTAGTAACGTGGCCAAACACCTTGCATTTCAGCTGCATCCCGGACCCACAGGTGCTAACAGTCCTCCAGACCTTCACTACACTTTCATTTCAGGCCCCCATCTCAGTATAAATGGAACATAATTGCACACGTTCTTTGTAATCAACCCTAGGATATCAAAATTGGAAACAGTTGTGGGATGAAGGGAACTGTTGGTTTTTTCTTCATTTGAAAATCAAATAGACTTTTCCTTGCTCATGAGTCTATAATAGCTGTCCTGTGGTTTAGTGAGTGGCTCTGACTTGGCCGCATCTCCTCAGTCTTCTCACTTCTCAGCCCACCCAACCTCAGCCCGTGGACTGAAGACTCGTGGTCATGCATTCAGCTGGGCAGAGCAGCTTCCATAGGTCGGCTGAGCCACCTAATGCAGGACAGTCAGAGTTGAGGGGAAGAAGCAAAATGCCGTGTCTGGTATGTTAGGCAAAATAATGACCCCGAAGTTGTCAATGTCCAAATCCCTGGAAACCGTGAATGTTTTACCTCACACAGCAGAAGGGACTTTGCAGATGTGATTAAAGTTAACAACTCTGAGATGGGGGGGTTCTCCCGGATTATAGGGATGTTGCAGTGTAGCCACACGTGTCCTTAGAAGTGGAGAAGCTTTCCCAGCTATTGTCATTCAAAGGGAGGTGTGACGATGGAAGCATAGTCAGAGAGATGTGACATTGCTAGCTTTGAAGATGGAGGAAAGGGACATGAGCAAGAAGTGCAGGCATCCTCTAGAAGCTGGGAAACACCAGGAAACAGATTCTCCCTGGAGCCTCTAGAGAGGGGCACAGCTCTGGCCACACCTTGGTTTCAGCCATGGAGACCCACGTCGGACTTGGGACCTCCGGAACTCTCAACTAAGTTTGTGTTGTTTAAGCCACCAAGTTTATGATCATTTGTTACAACAGCAATAGGAAGCTAATACAACTGGCAACGAGGACCACTCTGTCTCATTCTCTGAGTCTGCAGCCAAAAAAAAAGGGAGTGGGAGGGGCTGGGGCATGAAATGCAGCTGGGATGGGGGCTGGCAGAGGTGAATTACAGCACCCACCCTCAGACTTCAGAGCAGGAAGGGGCTGTCTGGGCCTTGACTTCACGTTGGCATTACCTGGGGAGCTTTTTAAAATGCTGATGCCTGGGTCCTGCCTCAGACCTATTAAACCAGAATCTGGCAAGGGGATGAGACCCAGAGCTTGGTATTTTAATCTGTAATTCTCAAGATCTCAGAACAGCTCCCCGTCACCTGCCTGGCCTGATTTTCCAGGGCCTAGTGCCCCTTGCCAAGACCCCACCATGCCACTTCTCTCCTCTCTGAGAGACAGGCAGGTAAGGCCCACAAGCCGCACTCCTCAGGAACACAGAGTCTCAAGACCAAGTGAACTGTGAATACAATATGCCCAAGAATCATAAGATTCTGAGGTTTTTCTTCTGCCTCCCATGCTTTTATTTCCCTATCATGCAGGGCTCCTGGAGGTACATACAAACGACTGCGCTTGACTTCCACCCCTCCCCTTTCAGCTCTCCTCACACATCCACTGGGTTTATCTGGGGTCCCTGAGATCAGTCTCCCCGCAGAGAAGCAGATGGGCACCCTGATGCCCAATAGAACCACCTGGGAGCTCCTAAAACTCCAGATGCCCAGACCAAACTTCACATCAGTTAAATCAGATTTTCTGAGTGTAGAGCCCAGGTATCATTATTTTTTAGAGTTCCCCAGCTGATTCTGTGGTGCAACCAGAGTGAAGACCGGAATATTCTCATGGGCCTGTGCTGTCCTCCAGTGAAGCCCAGTCCCCCAGTGACCCCTGACCCCCACAGTGGCCAGTCCAGAGGGCTGGGGGAGCTCCACCCTCCTCCCTTTCTCTGCCTTTCATTTCCCTTCTCTAGACTTCTTATTTATTTTCCTTCTTTCATCTTATCACTGGAAGCCCCATTGCTGATTTTTATTATTATTATTATTACTAAAGCATCCTCTAAGACATTGCTACTCAAAGTGTGATCCACAGTATCATCTGGGAGGCTGTTAGAAATGCAGAACCTCAGACCTCACTCGGGTTCTACAGAGTCAGACTCTACATTTTAACAAGATCCCCAGGTGATCAGATGCACATCTGAGCTTGGGAAGCTCTGTTGCCAAGATGCCCCACTTCCCCAACACTCACTGAGCCCTGTGATGTGGTTGCAGATTAGCAGCTGGTGAGCCAGTTTGTTCAGGAGTGGCTCTCAGATCAGCATATTGCACGTGATTCACATTTACTCCAGCAGGAAGAGGTTCATGCAGCTCAATTTTCTACCCTTTTTGGTAGATGAGTGGAATTCTCATAGTTATTGCAGAAAAAAAAACCCCACTCACTTAAAAATGAAATTTGATTATTAAGACCCTGCTCCTCCTTCTCTGATGGTGGGAAATGTGGAAAAGACCAGTTCCCATTCATCGAGGGCTAGTTGTGCAAAGTCCCTGAGCAGATTGGCCCAGGACGCTGCACCCTGGGCTGGTCATAGCTGCTCTAGCAGAGCTCATAGCTGTCTGAAGGGATGGGAGCAGAATGATTTTCCATCTGAACCAGGTAATACCCTCAAGGGACAAGTCTGCAGCCACTGTCGTGTGACCTGAAACATCCTCCTGATCTTACAGGCATGGTCCATCTCATTGACTAAGTCCATAAAGCATCACATATTAGCTAGTAAAACAATTAAAAGGCTAAATAGTTATGTTATTTGATTGTAACCTTAAGTTGATGGCTTGTTTGAGAAAATAGAAAAGTTCTTGTTGGAGGGAATTATGATTAGTTAATATTTCTCTACTGGCACAAAAATCCATTTGAGAGGCTCATTCTGTGTGACTCAGAGTGTCATGGGGTAAACCAGTAGACCCTGGGGCTTAAACAGAATAGGTACTTTAGGACTGAAAGGGCCTCAGAAGCCTTCTAGAATCCAGAGCTTTACAAACTTTCCTGAGAATAAGAATCACCTGGATCTCCGAGCCCCATGGATTTTCTTTCAAGGAGAGGAATGGTAACCTATATAGTTTAGTAAGTGCCTTAGGTGAGTTTTATCATCAGGTAGGTCTGGAAACACTGATGATCCATCCAATTTCCCTGTCCCTAGCCCTCAAGCCTTCCTAGGAATCAAACACCTGTGCCCATTTCTGACAGGTGTTTGCTTCTTAAACCCTTGCAGCGTAGCCATTTACTGTTACACAAATTCCTTCTTTTTAGGCATGGCCAACTTCTGGCTCCCTGTCATTCCTCTTCATTAATCCTAGGTCTTCCTCCAAACACAGAACAATCTAAATTTTCTCTTTGAGCTAACAACCTCTATGTTTTCTTCTCTTATTTTCAAAGGAAATCTTTGATATTCCCTAGAAAAAAAAATTTAGTGTTTGCATTTAATAAGAACCTGTAATAAAATTACAAATTAAAAGATTGCTTGCATAAAAATTTAGTGGCATACCTCTTTGAACTTTTAGTCTCCAAGTCTGAAGAGTAACCAGGCTAATCAGGCCATCAACCTATGTATCTCGGAAAAGGACACATATACGCTGGTCCTGAGACCTGCCACGGACTGCAGATTCATGATTTCTTATTCATTATTATGATTAGAGTGAAATTTAACAAATATTTCTTAAATGTTTGCCATGTACTGCGCCCTTGGTCATTTGTGGAGGATCTGATGAAAAATTCATCTAAGTGGTTTGATTACGTTTGCCTTTAATTCCCTTGGTGGATGAGTTCCATGCCTTTGCCCCTAATTATAATTTTAGCAATCAGAAAGGGTTTCAGAGGTCCTCTGATCCAACCTTTCGATCTATTTAAATAAATAAATGTGGTAGAGGTTCTGTTCTTTAGGACCTCACAATCCATCCAGGGAGGCAATATTTTTAAAAGAAATACCGTTAAAAAAATTAGAAGCACCTATTCATTCATTATATGAGTAGCTCATCTGTATGCCTCTGAAGATGGATTCATCATCTAGGATGTAATAGAAGCAAGGGGTGGTCAGTGTGGAGCTCAGAAGTAGAGTGTTCACCTCCACTGGGGATGAACCGAGAGAGGAGAGGATGTTTGAGCTTCCTTTCTTCCATTTGTTTATTTCACAATTACCTATTTAGTACCTCCTGGATGCTAAGTACTAGGGATTGGAAGCTAGGAGAAAGTGCCTGTTCTCAAGTAGGTTACAGTCAAATCCTCATGATCTCTGGATTCTGTATTTGCAAATTTGCCTACTCCTTAAAGTTTAAATTTATTTGTAATCTCAAACTTGTAATTCCAGGAACTTTTGCAGTCATTTTTTGGATATGTGTAGAGGTGGGGAAAAAGAATGGAGTCACCTGATGCACATCTTCCCAGCTAAGGTCAAACAAGACAACACTCTGCCTTATTTTATTTTATTTTATTTTATTTATTTTATTTTATTTTATATTTTATTTTATATTTTATTTATTTTATTTTATTTTATTGAGACGGAGTTTCGCTCTTGTTGCCCAGGCTGGATCTTGTTGCCCTGGCGCGATCTCAGCTCACTGCAACCTCCGCCTCCCGGGTTCAAGCGATTCTCCTGTCTCAGCCTCCCGAGTAGCTGGGATTACAGGCACATGCCACCACGCCCGGCTAATTTTCTTGTATTTTTAGTGGAGACTGGGTTTCATCATATTGATCAAGCTGGTCTCGAACTCCTGACCTCAGGTGATCCGCCTGCCTCGGCCTCCTAAAGTGCTGGGATTACAGGCGCCCAGCCCACTCTGCCTTCTTGTTTCAACTCTCTTCAAGTGTCCTTTCTGCAGTCTTTTTTTAGTGCCACGTTTTTTACATTTTTGTGCTTGTCTTTGGTGATTTTGCTATTTAAAATGGACTCCAAATGTAGTGCTGAAATGCTAGCTAGCTTTCTTAAGTGCAAGAAGCTGGGTTGTGGCTTGCAGAGAAAACAAGTGTGTTCAATTAGCTTTGTTCAGACATGAGTGACAATGCTATTGGTTGTGAGCTCAATGTTAATGAATCAATAATTTGGTGCATTCAGAAAAAGAAGAGGAAATTTGCTAGTCTGTATATGAGTCCACTCCAGAAAGTACTGAAATAATATCTAAAGGGTGTGATGAAGCTATGGAAAAGAGCCTAAACTTACGAATTCATGAGATCATGACTGATTAAAAAAAAAAAAAAAAAACATAGTGGGCAGCATAGTTGTAAGGCTAAAAGCCAAAGAAATTTATGGTCATGTTATCCAAATTCAGGAAAATGGTAAACCCTTCTCAGCTAATATCTTATTATAAAGATATACTGCATATAATTAACTATTTGTAAGAAGCATATATTAAATTCAATGTCTTCAAAGAAAAACACATGTAAAACAAGGTTATATATTGTTCTGTTGATGAAAATGTTGTGACCAGAGGCTCACAGGAACCAAACCTTGTATTTCCATTGGAAGGAATGGCTCAGTACTTGCTAATTCAGTGCTCATGGCAACTGCAACTTTATAGAACGTAACTGCCAAAACTAACAAGACTCAGCTGTGTATGTGGTAGGGGAAAGAGACAGGGAATCGACAATTGCTCTATAAAGTGATCAACATCAACCCAGAACCTTAATGATCAATATTAAGATATCAGGAAAATGACTAAGTGAAGAGGTTCAACATTAAATACTTTTTTTCTGTAAAAACTTTTTTTTTTAGTTTTTTGTTGTTGTTGTTTGTTTGTGTTTGTTTGCCCAGGCTGGTCTCCAACTCCTGAGCTCAAAGGATCCTCCTGTCTTGGCCTCTCAAAGTGCTAGGATTACAGGCGTGAACCACCATGCCTGGCCTGTAAAAACTTTTGAAAGGAACCTTTATATTTTTGCTTTTTAAATTATTTGTCGATGAGCAACGTTTAATTTATGATTGGCTACTATTTCTTGACAGTCACCAGACACCCTCAGGAAATTGTGCAAAGTGAGAAAATCTAGCCCACAAATCATTTTCAAATGTAATTCAGTTTTTATAAATTAAAAATTTTACTATTAATGTTTTACATTATAACTAATGTAAAAAATGTACAAATAACATTATGTTTGATGGACAATTACATATTTATTATTGTCAGTGTCAATTTTGCAATTTTTCATTTTGTAGCCAATATGTTTTTTTGTTTCAACCAATTTTTTTTTTTTTTTGGCTCTGAAAATGTTGATAACCCTTGGTCACTAGAGGAAGATCCAGACTTTAAGGACTCTGAAGCTTATACAGTTTGGGGGCTCTCTTAAAGTGAAGATCACAAAATGACAAATACTGTACACAATTAGACGTCTTGGAAGAGGCATTATAACTTCTTAGTTAATCTGTTTCTGTGAAACACTTAGAGCCAACTGGATAAAACATCCACTGCAGAAGCTGCCCTGGTTAGGACCAGGTAGGAAACTCTGGCAATATTCAGGAAAGAGATGAAAGCCCAAACTTGGGGACGGAAAGGATGGGAGAAATGTGAGAGATATTTAGAGGTAGGTCTGACAGGACGTGGTATTTGATGAGGAGAGTGTCAGGAACACACACTGCTGGATGACTGAGTGAGTCAGAGAGGAAGGCAGATGGGGAGATGGGTGGTTGGGTGGATCAGGCTTGGAAGATAAACAACTTCAGGTTTGGAAATATCTAACCTGAGGTGCCTTCCAGAGGAAGCTGTATGGAAGCCATTTTATGTATATGTGAGGTTCAAGAAAGGGGACCAACCAGTGCACAGACAGCTTTTGGCACATGAATGGTCTGTGAGTCCTGGGAGTTGATGAAATCTCCCAGGGATGTGCATAGCCAAGAAGAGATGCATGATGGGGCTAGCACCCTATGGAACACCAAAGTTTAGAGGTTTAGAGATGCACAGAAATAGAACAAAGAAATGTTAATGCTGTTAATTGAGTGCCTGTAGGCGCCACATATTATGCACGGTGTTGGTTAGAGAAAGCTGAGTCAGGCAGAGAGATTGTCAGCTGGGGCTGGGAGTAAGGGAGATGGGTCGCTGAGCTTGGAGGGTGGGCACGATTGGGGCTTTCCAGATGAGGGAAGAAGTGAGCAAATGCACAAAGCTAGAAAAGTGGGAAAGGGTGAACAGTTCATTTTGACTAGAACATGGAATATCCTAAAAAAGAGAGTGAAAGAGAGAATAAGAAAGAGAACAGCCTTAACATGATAGTTGGAAATTAAATTATGGATGCTTTGAAAGCCAAAACATCAAGTTTAGCAATGGGAATTTCTGATGATTTCCAAGCAGGGGAATTTTGCGGGCAGAACTGAGGACTGAAGGTTCCTCTAGCAGATGGCCACACAACTAACACTACAGAGACCAACACAGGGATTCTTAGGGGCAGCCAGAAGCATGGGGGCCAGGACTCCCGGTGTTACAGTAGACATACAGGGTAGGGAATAAAAGCGAATGAATGTATGTAGAGGAATGGCCAGGACCTGAGGGATGGGGGCTGATGGGCTGTATAAGTAAAAGTGTACATAGCATTTACTGAAATTGCTTTGTAAAAATATAAACCCAGCCACGTACAGTGGCTCATGCCTGTAATCCCAGCACTTTGGGAGGCCAAGGCAGATGGATCACGAGGTCAGGAGTTCGAGACCAGCCTGGCCAACATAGTGAAACCCCGTCTCTATTAAAAATACAAAAACAAATAAGCCAGGCATGGTGAAAGGTGCCTGTAATCCCAGCTACTCCAGAGGCTGAGGCAGGAGAATTGCCTAAACCCTGGAGGCAGAGGTTGCAGTGAACCAAAATCGAGCCACTGCACTCCAGCCTGGGCAACAGAGCAAGACTCCATCTCGAAAAAAATAAATAGATAAAATTTTTAAAAAATGAACCCATAAGCCCTAGAACCCGAGGGGAAGAATACAGAGTGAAAGCCACAGTGCTCCTCCACTGTGTGACTCCTCCTCCCTGAATTTGTGACTTTAGCCTCAGATCAAGACACTTCACACTGTAGGTTGATAGGAAGGTCACGCCCAGCTCAACACCCCCATTTCCCCCATTCTGCTGATTGCTGTGTTGTTGTTTGTTTCTGTTTAGTCCCAACCATAGAACCTGGTTTTCTTCTGGTGAAATTTCATCTATTTGGGTTTTTCTCCAGTGCCCCACTTTGGTTAAGCTTGTTTTAAATTTCCTGTCTTCCCTGAAGGTGTCCACTCTTTCTGTTTTTCATCCCTTGCCTTGTAAATAAGCCACCCTCTGGGGATAGCATAGATCATTTTGAGATAGAGAGCAGTTTGGAAAACAGGGATGGAGGAAAGGAAGCGGGGAGGCAGACACTTTCTCCTCTCTCCCAGGTCCTGGTGACTGGTTTCCTCGTGACTGCACCACTTGTCCCGGTCCGCATGGACTCACTAAGAATCAACCCATGGTCAGCATCCTTGAGGTTCCCACCTGAAACTGCCCACAACCGCTTCTTCCTGGATCCATTTCTGGTGTTTGTAGAAAGGCTACTTTAAAAAGTTTTCTTGGCCAGGCATGGTGGCTCACATCTGTAATCTTGGCACTTTGGGAGGCCAAAACAGGACAATAAGCTGCTTGAGTCCACGCTTTTAAGACCAGCCAGGGGCAACATAGCAAGACCTTGTCTTTACAAAAAATGAAAAAATTTGCTGGGTGTGGTGGCATGCACCTGTGGTCTCACCTACTTGGGAGGCTGAGGTGGGAGGATGCTTGAGCCCAGGAAGTTGAGGCTGCAGTGAGCCAAGATGGGGCCACTGCACTCCAGGTTGAGCAACAGAACGAAACCCTGTCTCTGAAAAAAAAAAAAAGTCTTCTCCTTCTTGAAAACTTAGTAGCCTCTATGGCTAGGCTTGGTGGCTCATGCCTGTAATTCCGGCACTTTGGAAGGCCAAGGCAGGCAGATCACCTGAGGTGAGGAGTTGGAGACCAGCCTGGCCAACATGGCAAAACCCCATCTCTACTAAAAATACAAAAATTAGCTGGGTGTGGTGACACGCACCGGTAGTCCCAGCTACTTGGGAGACTGAGGCAGGAGAATCACTTGAACCCGGGAGGTGGAGACTGCAGTGAGCCAAGATCGAGCCAGTGTACTACAGCCTGGAGACACAGCGAGACTCCGTCTCAAAAAAAAAAAAAAAAATGGCCGGGCACGGTGGCTCACGCCTGTAATCCTAGCACTCTGGGAGGCCAAGGCAGGTGGATCACGAAGTCAGGAGTTCAAGACCAGCCTGGCTAAGATGGTGAAACCCTGTCTCTACTAAAAATACAAAAATTAGCCAGGCGCGGTGGCAGGTGCCTGTAATCCCAGCTACTCGGGAGGTTGAGGCAAGAGAATTGCTTGAACCCGGGCGGCAGAGGTTACAGTGAGCTGAGATCGCGCCACTGCACTCCAGCCTGGGTGACAGAGTGAGACTCCGTGTTAAAAAAGAAAGAAAGAAAAAAGAAAACAGTAACCTCTAGCCTGGACTGACTACATAATGTGCAGGGCAGCTTGTTCAAAAATGATGAAGAATTTCAAGACGGCAGCAGCAGAGCACTATGCCAAGCCTGGGCCTTTCTGACTGAGGCTCTTCTGGAGCATGGAGCCCTGTGTGACTGCGCAGGTCTCACGCCCACGAAGTCAGCGCTGCCTGTGGCTGAGTGTCAGTGGTTTGTGAGATGTGATCTCACACCTCATCTTGGGTGCGATGCACACACACCCGCCCTCCTGCACGCCTCCACACCCTCCACTCCGCCGCTTCGTGGGGATTCACTTGTAGAGAGGGATTCTTACTGTGTTTTTCCACTGAATTCACTCCAACTCCTCCCCAGTTAATCTTTTTCAGTCTTCAGCAAAATAGATGTTGACCTTCTAGATGAGTTTGAGTAGTGTCACCCGGTTGCAGGATGAGAAGCAGAGAGAGGTCTCCTTGGTACCACTATTCACGTGCAATTCCAGTGCTAAGGGTAACCCAGAGAGTGGCTGACAGCTGAGATTCTCTTTCTGGAGAGGGGGGTCTGGGGTAGGCTGAGAACGCTGAGCACTCCACAGATGGGATCCTGACATTTGCAAAATCCCACTTGACAACAGTCCCGTTCATTAGCAATATGGGTGTTATAACGATGTTTTCATCTACATGAGGAATCTGAAGCCCAGAGAAGTTGTCTCCTCAAGATCACACAGCCAGGAAATGGCACAGTCAACACACGCCTTCTGAGCCTTGAAATAGCCTCCTTTTCTCTACACACACCAGTCCACAATGGGACATTTTACAAGGCATAGCAGAAGGCTTTGAAGCAGCTTCTATTTGTATATAAAAGAATCAACCATGATCTCTGCCTTCCTCCAAAGGTATTAACTTTGCAGCTAATTTGTATTTCTTGTTCTGACTCTTCAGAGACAACCCTGCTACTCACTTTAACCTCAAGACACACACGAATTCTCGAGATCTGAAGACAGCCATAGAGAAAATTACTCAGAGAGGAGGACTTTCTAATGTAGGTATGTGATCCGGATTCAAATTATACTATCTTGCTACCATCGTTCTCTTTCTACGTGATTGTCTTCTAACCATTCTATATAAAAGGAAAAAATAATAATAATCCGTCAAGAAATAACTTCTGGTCGGGCGTGGTGGTTCACACCTGTTATCCCAGCACTTTGGGAGGCTGAAGCTAGCAGATCACTTGAGGTCAGGAATTCAAGATCAGCCTGGCCAGCATGGTTAAACCCTCTTTCTACTAAAAATACAAAAATTAGCTGGGTGTGGTGGCGGGTGCCTATAATCCCAGCTACTTGGGAGGCTGAGGTTGCAGTGAGCCAAGATGGCGCCACTGCACTCCAGCCTGGGTGGCAGAGCGAGACTCCATCTGAAAAAAAAAAAAAAAAGGACAAAGAAATTACTCCTGCAACATCTATATCTTTTCTAAAGTTATCATGGCTTCAGAGGGCAAGAATCTTTAACACACACACACTGTACAGTCCCAGCATGCTTGGTTTGCAAGAAGGGGTAGCATTCTTCAGGGCAATCAAGTCTGCTGTCCTGACTATTTTTTTGTTGGCCTACAAGTCATCACTTGTTTCATTAAATTTTGTGACCAGTTAAGGAAGCCCCTCAGTGCCCCTTGAGAATCTTGTTCCAATCAACTACCGTTGTAGTGATGATTGTGCAAAGAGAAACATGTTCTCTGTTTCAAGCTAGGTCTTCTGTGATATCTGAGCCTTTGGGGTCTCACCAGAAATCCAAAGTCTAGTCCTCAGTGGGGCATGTCCAGAAATTCCATTTTATGTTTATCCAGAGTTGATTGGCCATTAGGAAACAGTTTCACACTAACCAAGCTCAAAGACTGTCAAAGAGCCCATGCCAGTGTATTCATTTGTAAATGAAAGATTGGCTTTTTGGGCACTGGAGGGAGACTGTCCACCTCTCGGGGAAAGTGTTTCTGTCATCAAAATCCAAAGAAATGGAGTCATGAGCCACAGTTGCTTGGCTTAGAGTACATGCAGGGAATTGAGCTGTCTTTGAGGGAGCATCCTCAGAGTTACAGTAAATCCGATTAAAGATTTCCCTTCCCACTTCAGTGTATGTCTCTATAGTGACCAGAACATTAGTATCTAACACATACAGAGCTTTTCACCTTTGAACAATGCTAAATAAACACTAGCCAAGTCACTCTCCATGCCCCCAAAGCAGTATTACCTTCATCACACACATGACAGAGTTGATTTCTGGTTTGTTTATAACTTAATGCTTACATTAGTAAAATCCCAGTGGAGACAAATGTCAGAAGGCACTCTCGTTCCTTGACGAGGTTAGCGATGGGTCTCAATCCAATCAGCATACGTTTTTCAGTGGATGACATGTTCTGACTTTGCCTCTGTATTGTCCAGAGTTTGGGTTCTGAGGACAGAATCCGTTCAACTGATTCCAACAGAAAGGGTTGGAATTTCAGGCTATTAAGTAGTTTGGAGAATCACTGTAAGAACTGAAGAAGCAGACTGTAGGCTGAGCTTTAAGAGATGATGTCTGAAGGCTTCCTGCAGAAGTAGGACCTCCAAGGGAGCTGCTCCTTCTTCCAAGATTAGGAAATCACTTTCTGAATTTTGCCATGGCAACCTCTTCAGAAACCTGCTTTGTCCAGGAAGCCAGCAGGATCAGGAGATCAGGAAGCTTCTTCTAGAGCTGCCAGCTCCAGAACCACGCCCTCCCTGTGCCATTCACACCCACAACATGGATCTCCACACCCTGCCGCCCCAAACCACTGCAGCTAGCAACCAACCCCAAGCACCTCTGCGGACAGTATCCCAGAGAAGTCAGATACTAAAGATATTTGTCAGCAGAAATATAAACAAAAGTACAGCCTCTGCCTCACTTTTATCTTCTAAATCTCATGCAAGTGCATCAATTCATGGAACTAAAACAAAGCTAAATCCCTAGCTGCAAGGGAGTCTGGAAAATGTAGTTTTCTGATTTCCAGCCTCTATTTTCAAGACCCACTGGAAGGTGGATGGAATGTGTGTTGAGCACTATACACCATGGCCTCCAGATATAAGGTTAGGTGGGGTTGAGGGGATCTTCTCATGGCGTCTTGTGCTCTGCCCTATAGGTGCCTAATATTAGGCCAGAGAGGACTTCCGGGTGCTTTGTGCTTTGGGAAAAATTGTCCATTGGCTATAAAAGCAATTCTTAGCAGCCAAGGTTTTTCCTTAGCAAGTGGGTTCTGTGCAGCCAGTTCACATGGGTTTTCCAAGACATTTCTGCAGCATCTGTATATGTAACCATTTGATGCTCTCATTTGACAAGTAAGATAATACCAGCTAGTGGAGACAGGATGCTGGCCAAAATCAGAAATGCATTGAGTATAATACTACTAATCCTAAAGTCTAAAGAAGGTGCTTCTTAACTTTTATGGAGATTGAGGACTCCTTTGAGAATTCCGTGAAAGCTATGGCCCTTCTATCCAGACAGATACTTATATACACAAAATACTGTGTATAATTTCAAGTGCCCTGGGGTTCACAGAGCCCAGGTTAAGAGCTCTGCCTACTCTATACAGCCATGCTGACTCTAGGGTGAACGGTCATCCCAGTTTTCCCAGAAAAACCTGGGGCTTTCAGTACTAAAACTGGGAAAGTCCTGGCAAACTGAGACAATTGGTCATTGTCTAGTTGACTCTGAAAATTTCCTGAAGCCCTTCTCAGTGTGAAATATGCACTTGGAAAAGTCATGGCAGGAGGCTTTGTAGCACTTCATGGCTGCTGCACTCAGCTGAAGTAGATTGCTGTTATGGAAAGCTAGGCCCAGAGATGTAGGGTGACCTACTCAGGGCCACACAGCTAGCAGGTAGCACAGCCAGGGCTAGAACACAGTCTGTCAGTTCCCAGTGGGTGCAACTCTTCCCTGCCCAACCAGACCTGTGCCCTTGGCCTGGAACTGGAGGAAAAACACTCCTGACCCCAGAACACAGCTCTGTACAGCCAGCAGGAGCCTCAGGCTCACCCCAGGCTGCAGGGGGCCAAGAAGAGGCTACTGTCACTCCAGGTCAACTCCTCCCACCCTACACTCTTGGAAACAACATGGGGCTGGCTTAGGGGCTTAGTGTGGGTCCAGCAGAAAAGGGGCACTTCTGTTCGCATGAAAGTCTTTGGCCAGGCACGGTGGTTCAAACCTGTAATCCCAGCACTTTGGGAGGCCGAGGCAGGCAGATCACAAGATCAAGAGATCGAGACCATCCTGGCCAACATGGTGAAACCCCATCTCTACTAAAAATACAAAAATTAGCTGGGTGTGGTGGTGCGTGCCTGTAGTCCCAGCTACTTGGCAGGCTGAGGCAGGAGAATCACTTGAACCTGGGAGGTGGAGGTTGCAGTGAGTCGAGATTGTGCCACTGCACTCCAGCCTGGCAACAGAGTGAGAATCTGTCTCAGGGAAAAAAAAAAAAAGTCTTTCTCACCTGCTTGCTGTCCCTAAAACTTTCTTCAAAGCGGAGACAATTAGAAGTTGAAGGCTTGAAATGAAACCAAAATGGACAGTGGTAACGGCTGCACATTGTGAACGTACTTAATGCCACTGAATTGTACACATAAAAATAGTTGAAGTGATTTTAAAAAAGTAACAGGCCGGGTGCAGTGGCTCATGCCTGTAATCTCAGCACTTTGGCAGGCTGAGGTGGGTGGATCACTTGAGCCCATGAGTTTGAGACCAGCCTAGGCAGCATGGCAAAACCTCGTCTCTACAAAAAAAACACAAAATTAACCAGGTACAGTGGCACACGCCTGTAGTCCCTTCTACTCAGGAGGCTGAGGTGGGAGGGTTGATGAAACTCAGGAGGTTGAGGCTGTAGTGAGCTGTGATCGAACCACTTCATTCCAGCCTGGGCAACAGAGCAAGACCCTGTCTCAAAGGAAAAAAAAAAAAAAAAAAACTAGGGAGGGAATGAGTGTATTTTTCTGGACCTCTTTGTGCTGCTGTGATCTCTTCCTGTATTTATAATCAGCGTGATCACTCCAAGCATGAATTTTCTTTTTCTTCCAGGTCGGGCCATCTCCTTTGTGACCAAGAACTTCTTTTCCAAAGCCAATGGAAACAGAAGCGGGGCTCCCAATGTGGTGGTGGTGATGGTGGATGGCTGGCCCACGGACAAAGTGGAGGAGGCTTCAAGACTTGCGAGAGAGTCAGGAATCAACATTTTCTTCATCACCATTGAAGGTGCTGCTGAAAATGAGAAGCAGTATGTGGTGGAGCCCAACTTTGCAAACAAGGTAGATGACTGCCCGGAGACCTACCCAACATCAGGATTTTCTGCACTCTGAAAAATTGTAACGCCGTTGCAGTGGTTTTCCCATGCCTTTAAATGTGCATGAAGCTCATCTCTAGGCAGTAAGGCCTCCAGGGAGGGACTGGTCAATCCGAAACCTGCAATTACCCTCTCAAAGCAAAACCCCACACCCACCAGCAGCTGTGGAGGAGCAGTGTACTCGAATTCTCAGCTAGGTTCTTCCTTGCTCCTTCCACAGCCCCAGGGGGGGTCTCACCCAGGCAGCCCAAGGAGCCTTTACACATGCATGCAAGCGAACATACTCTCTCTCTCTCTCTCACACACACACACACGCACACACACACACGCTTTCTCCTGTATACACACATTGCCGATTCATCAACCTGATAAACCAGAGAAAGGAGGCACTGAACCACAGCAGTGAGATCGCGTTTTCAGATGCTCCTCCTGGGTTCTGTGGAGATGCCCAGCAGGAGATGTGGAGCAATGCCTCCCTCACTCACTCCACCAAAGCTGTTCCCTTTGTACAGTGGAACACCACATAAAACTTCCTCCAAAGAAAAGGCTCCAGCTTTAAAATAGAAAGCAAGCCTTGGACAGGTTTGTCTTTGAGGCCCTTCCAGCTTTAATATTCTATGTGTCTACAGCCAGCAGGGCTCAACCTCCTGCACCACCTCAAACTGATGACCACTTCCTGCTCCTTGAAATGCCCTTCTCCCTGGACTTCCAGGATGCTGTATGGCTCTTATTTCATTGCCTCTTGCCTTTTTTCTACCCTCAATGTTGACCTCCCCAGGTCTACACCCTCCTCTTTAAGAGGCCCTCTCCTGCAGGATCCCTCCCAGGGTCACTGCTTCCACCTTTATCTCTTTTTTTCTTTTTTCAGACGGAGTCTCACTCTGTCGCCCAGGCTGGAATGCAGTGGCGCGATCTCGGCTCACTGCAGTCTCCGCCTCCCAGCTTCAAGCAATTCTCCTGCCTCAGCCTCCCAAATAGCTGGGACTACAGGCACACACCACCACGCCCAGCTAGTTTTTTTATTTTATTTTATTTTTTTATTTTTAGTAGAGATGGGGTTTCACCATGTTAGCCAGGATGGTCTCGATCTCCTGACCTCTTGATCCTCCCGCTTCAGCCTCCCAAAGTGCTGGGATTACAGGCGTGGGCCACTGCGCCCGGCCCTACCTTCATCTCTTGAGCTCTGTAGCCATCCATTTTCAGCTGACTGACTTTTCTCCACCTGATGTTCTACCAGAACCTTAAATCCCACCTATAACAAGCCAAGTTCATCATCCTTCCCGCTGAACTGTTTCCTCCTCTGGACTTTACATGAATGACCACACACCCATCCCAGAGGGCAGTGTCACCCCAGAACTCCTCATCAGCTCCCACATCACAGATCTCTCTCCCTCCTCTTTCCCTCGCCTGACGCCCCCTCCCCAGTTCAAGCTGGTACCCTCCATCTGGTCCTTCTCCCTCCTGGTGCTCCCCAGGTTAGTTTAGATTTCACAATGAAGCCCAACTCACATTTCTGATGGGTTCCCTCAGTCCTGTGGGGTCCTTGCTCCAAATCCTTCATTGCTACCCATTGCTCTCAAGGCCTTCTGGGGTGCAGTCCCAACCTACTCTCCTGGCCCATCTATTATGACCCCCCACAGCCCTGTGTTCAGTCCAGCTAGTCTCCCATCCACACCCAGCACCGCCTCTGTCTCCTGCTGTGACTTCACTGCCTGGTGGAAATCCCTCCCTCCATCTGTTGGCCAGAATTCAGCTCAAGCTCAGCACTTACCTCACATGTCATGAGCTCCACGGAAAGTTTTGTGAACTCCATTTAGGTTTTTACAAATCAATTTTTGAAAAATATTTTCCAGGAAAGTTTGAAGCCATCTCTTGTTCTAAAATAATCTTTTAATTATACAAGGGTAGTTGTCTGGTCTGACTCTTTCTGTGACCCAGAGGCAGGGGTAAGGAAGAAACACCACGCCTTGGGAACATTATACCAGCCACTTCCGGGAGCGCAACAATCAGTTTGCTCAAGGTGTATTTGCAGCTGCCTTATTTTTTTCTGGAATAAGCTTAGGCACTGGTAAATAAATATTCATTTGCCTGGAGGCAGAGTTGTCTGGTTCTGAAGGTGAATAGGTTTGTGTTCCAATCTCAGGGACTCAGGGAAGTCCCCTCATAGCTTAGTTTGTTCCTTTGTGGCAGGGGGTTATGATTCCACCTTGTAGGGTGAAGGTGGGGATTTAATGAGAGAATCATTCCAAGAGCATCTGATGGGACCCCTAACATGTGGTCATTCAGCAACTGTGGGATCCCTTCCCGCCTGGAACAGGGCTGCTCTGGAGACATTTCCATAGCGATTTCTTGTGTATGTCATCTCTTTTCCGAACTGGAATAAAAGCTTTCTTTAGTCCTCTCATGCCATGGTACCCACGAATTCCAATCTTATGGCTGGCTGCCAGTACAAAGGAGGAGCCCGGAGAAGCATAAATGTGAAGCTGACACCAGAGATTTAATTTCTCCCTATGAATTTGCTTAGCAGACAGCTTTCCACTAACGCAGGCAGGGACTCAGCTGAGGGAGTAGGACTGAGTCCAGCGATAACCCGGGGGCTTCGCCTCAGTGAGTGGCCGCTGGGTGAACCGAGATGGAAGAACACGGTAGGAGGGCTAGTGCAGAAAACAAGGGCCTGCTTGCTTCTTCACCTGCCCCGGGGGATCAAGCCTAATGGTGACACTGGAGGATTTGACCCTGACGTGGCGTGGGTCCCTCCCCTCTGTCTTCTAGGCCGTGTGCAGAACAAACGGCTTCTACTCGCTCCACGTGCAGAGCTGGTTTGGCCTCCACAAGACCCTGCAGCCTCTGGTGAAGCGGGTCTGCGACACTGACCGCCTGGCCTGCAGCAAGACCTGCTTGAACTCGGCTGACATTGGCTTCGTCATCGACGGCTCCAGCAGTGTGGGGACGGGCAACTTCCGCACCGTCCTCCAGTTTGTGACCAACCTCACCAAAGAGTTTGAGATTTCCGACACGGACACGCGCATCGGGGCCGTGCAGTACACCTACGAACAGCGGCTGGAGTTTGGGTTCGACAAGTACAGCAGCAAGCCTGACATCCTCAACGCCATCAAGAGGGTGGGCTACTGGAGTGGTGGCACCAGCACGGGGGCTGCCATCAACTTCGCCCTGGAGCAGCTCTTCAAGAAGTCCAAGCCCAACAAGAGGAAGTTAATGATCCTCATCACCGACGGGAGGTCCTACGACGACGTCCGGATCCCAGCCATGGCTGCCCATCTGAAGGGTAAGCTGGGCTTGCCAAGCAGCCTGGTGCTGAGGCTGCTTTCTGGGGCTTGGTGGGCCAGTGGGACAAGGAAGGTATTGTCTTTTTATGCATTGGTTTTTTCTGCGACTTAATAAAAATGTTCAAAGCCGCAGGGAGGGCATTAGGGGTAGAAACACTGCAAGCCCCTCTGAGTAGGGAGAAGGAACAAGGATGGGGCAGCAAGGTGGTCTCCTAAGTGTCATTACAAACCCATGGCCTGTGGATGACTGGGCGCATTAACCCTTTCTTTACATCCTGCACCCTGAGGCATTTCCCACAAGAGCATGATACATTAAAAGGGAATTTGACTCATCACTTTACCTCTATTAAAAACACCAAACCTCCATCTCTATTGAATATGTCAAATTGTACTGGTACTTAGACCACCAACTTGTGTTAGTAACTTTTATTTATTTATTTATTTATTTTGAGACAGAATCTCACTCAGTCGTCCAGGCTGTAGTGCAACGGTGCCATCTCCAATCACTGCAACCTCTGCCTCCCAGGTTGAAGCAATTCTCCTGCCTCAGCCTCCCAAGTAGCTGGGATTACAGGCATGTGCCACCACACCCGGCTAATTTTTGTATTTTTAGTAGAGATGGGATTTCGCCATGTTGGTCACGATGGTCTCGAACTCCTGACAGGTGATCCTCCTGCCTTGGCCTCCCAAAGTGCCAGAATTACAGTAGTGAGTCACCATGCCTAGCCATGTACTGGTACCTTTTAAGGAAAAATAATGTTTTTAAAGACAAGTACTTTTTCTGTAAGCAACTGTTAACCAGATTCGTGGGGCTTCAGGGAAACCTGAAAGGAATTTCGATTCAAAATATTTAAAGAGACCAGGCATGGTGGTGCACGCCTATTATCCCAGCTACTCGGCAGGCTGAGGTGGGAGGATTACTTGAGCCCTG
Organism: Homo sapiens; assembly: GCF_000001405.40. Taxonomy (NCBI): domain Eukaryota; kingdom Metazoa; phylum Chordata; class Mammalia; order Primates; family Hominidae; genus Homo; species Homo sapiens. The sequence goes on from NC_000002.12 coordinate 36,809,918, forward strand.
GAGTTGGAGGCTGCAGTGATCTATGATTGCACCACCACACTCCAGCCTGGGCAACAGAGCAAGATCCTGTCTCAAAAAAAAAAAAAAAAAAGGGCCAGGCACAATGGCCCACGCCTGTGATCCCAGCACTTTGGGAGGCTGAGGCGGGCGGATCACCCGAGGTTGGGAGTTCGAGACTAGCCTGACCAACATGCAGAAACCCCGTCGCTACTAAAAATACAAAATTGGCCAGGCAAGGAGGCACACGCCTGTAATCCCAGCTACTCAGGAGGCTGAGGCAGGAGAATTGCTTGAACCCCAGAGGTGGAGTTTGCTGGTGAGCCGAGATCGTGCCATTGCACTCCAGCCTGGGCAACAAGAGCAAAACTCTGTCTCAAAAAAATAAAATGTTCAAAGAGCTATGTCCACATAAAAATTTCTAAGAGGGCAACAAAATTTTAAAATATGAAAAATGAGCAAAATATGTCTGTAAATGTTTAGAAAATCAGCCACGTTTATGCCTTTATTGCAGAATTTATGTATAATCACTGATCCAAAAAGTGTCATAAGTTATCAAGAACATAAACAGCCTGGAGAAAACCCCAAGTGATAATAATAATACTACTACTAATAAAAGTAAACCAAGTAGTCAATGAACACCAATGCCCTGTAGACAAATATGAATATACACAACTCACTCAGTGCTGTGGTTGTTATTTCTTCTTCTGTGCCTAAATTTTTTTTTTTTTTTTTCTGAGGCAGTGTCTTGCTCTGTCACCCAGACTGGAGTGCAGTAGCACGATCTCTACTCATTGCAACCTCTGCCTCCCGGATTCAAGCGATTCTTCTGGCTCAGCCTCCCGAGTAGCTGGGATTACAGGCACACACCACCACGCCCAGCTAATTTTTGTATTTTTGGTAGAGACAGGGTTTCACCGCATTGGCCAGGCTTTTCTTGAACTCCTGACCTATAGCCATCCACCTACCTCAGCTTCCCAAAGTGCTGGGATCACAGGCATGAGCCACTGCACCTGGCTTCTGTGCCTACATTTAATTTCAGTTATTTGGCAGGATTTTCTGAATGGTTGAAAGCTACTTTCATTTCTTCCTAAAACAAGCCTTAATGAATCAACAATGCTGGTTCCTAGAATCCAAAGTAGCCAGAGACGGGGTTCAGGCAGAGTCTTCCCGGTGACTTACCCTTTATGGAGCCTGTAGGGCACCCTCATAATGGTGGGATGGCTGGTGGCCTGCATGCCAACAATCACAAGGTCCACCAGGCTCATATCAGCAGATTGAAGACGGATTAAGGCTCAGAAGCAACTGGCCCAAACTCCTAGATTGAATGGGCAGAGCCAGATGGGCCAGCTTTGACGGCAAGCCCAAGGCTCTCCTGCTTTCTCCAAACATCTGTCCCCAGTTTGTGCTCAGCTACATCATCACTTTTTTTTCTAGATGTACGTCTTTTGGGCCTCAATCAGAGGGTATCCTTGGCCTACTCATCAGGAAAAATGAAGACTGAGGGAAATGGCTGAGGTGCTGTCAGCGCAGCCTTAATGAACTAGGACCAAAATATGCAAATTACCTGGAGGCAGATTCTTACTCAGCTTAACACTGAGATTTGTCTGCAAATGTAATGAGCATTGTGTTCCTGGGAGTATCCAAGTCAAGGCTGGGTGACCATCTGTTAGAATTGCCAGTAGGAGATTCTGTACAACAAGAGTGGACTTGGGATCTGGAAAACTAAATTTATTTTCTTTTTTTTCTTTCTTTCTTTTTTTTTTTTTTCTTTTGAGACGGAGTTTCGCTCTGGTTGCCCAGGCTGGAGTGCAATGGCACAACCTTGGCTCATTGCAACCTCCGCCTCCTGGGTTCAGGCGATTCTCCTGCCTCAGTCTCCCGAGTAGCTGGAATTACAGGAACCTGCCACCACACCCAGCTAATTTTTTTTGTATTTTTAGTGGAGACGGAGTTTCACCATGTTGGCTAGGCTGGTCTTGAACTCCTAACCTCAGGTGATCCACCCACCTCAGCCTCCCGAAGTGCTGGGATTACAGGTGTGAGCCACCACGCCTGGCCCGGAGAGCTAAATTTCTAATACTGTTTGCGTAGTTTTTTAAGGGCAACCTCTCCATCTTTGAGCGGGAAGGAGGGCTTAGACTGTCTAAACCCAGCTCTGCAGCAAAGCTGCTCTCACTGACACCTGGCAGCACTTTAAAGCCCAAAGCTGGCTCCTTCCAATCTAGACAATGTTCCGAGAAAAGAAACTGGAGGAGGGAGAAAGGGGACTGGCAGCTTAAATGCAATTTAATGGACCACAATCAAAAAGCAGCTTAGGTCAGAGCCACGTGAGGTATGCACGGCTCTCCCAGGCACCCAGAAGATGCTGGAAATAGTGACAACACTGTGGGGGACTCGGGGGGAGGTGCCAGGGCAGGAAGGCTACATCCAGGCTCTGCCCTCTGTTTCATGGCCATTTTGCTTACCCTACTCAGACCAGCCTGAAGGTGGCGCGAGAATAGGCTATTGTAGAGTAAGGTCAAGCACCTGCTGACCAGCTGTCCACAACCCAAATCAAGACCCACCACCCCGGGCAGTCTCCCAGTTTTCCCACTAAGATTGGATGCCTTATCTCTGAATCCCATCCTCTCCTCCCTGGGTCATCTTCTCCCCACTGCAATCCAACACCTGCAGTCTTATTTTACTCCTTCCCATTTGCACCTAGACATGCTCCAGTTCCTCCCTCCCTATAAATAAAACATTTTCTGTGACTCCATGTTCTGCTCCAGTTACCACCTACTGACTCCCTTTCACAGCCAAACTTCAGGAAAGGAGATGCTGACCCCACATGCTCACTTCTTTTTCAGTCTCAACTCACAGTAGTTCATTTGGTTTCTTTGGCATCTTCTTCCCTGAAACTGTTCTCACCAAACTACCAGTGTCTTGGTTTTGTTTTTTCTTCTTCTTTTTTTTTTTTTTTTTGAGATGGAGTCTCGCTCTGTCACCCAGGCTGGAGTGCAGCGGTGCCATCTCGGCTCACTGCAACCTTATGCCTCTGAGGTTCAAGTGATTCTCCTGTCTCAGCCTCCCGAGTAGCTGGGACTACAGGCATGTGCCACCACCCCTGGCTAATTTTTTGCAAAAAAAAAAAAAAAAAAAATAGGATTTTTTGTGACCTCGTGATCCACCCACCTCAGCCTCCCAAAGTGCTGGGATTACAGGCATGCGCCACCGCACCCAGCCTGTTTTTGCTTTTTTAAAAATCCAATGAGGCCAGGCACGGTGGCTCATGCCTGTAATCCCAGCACTTTGGGAGGCCGAGGCAGGAGGATCACTTGAGGTCAGGAGTTCGAGACCAGCCTGGCAAACATGGTGAAACCCTGTCTCTACTAAAAATACAAAAATTAGCCAGGTGCAGTGGCACATGCTGTAATCCTAGCTACTCGGGAGGCTGAGGCACAAAAATCTCTTGAACCTGGGAAGCGGAGGTTGCAGTGAGTGGAGGTCACACCATTGCACTCTAGTCTGGGTGACAGAGTGAGATTCTGTCTCAAACAAACAAACAAAAACCCATTGAGCACTTTTTCATGTTCATCTTACATGACTGCCCTGTAGCACCCAACAGTGTTGGACACCCCTTTCTTTATCTTGGAAGCCTTTCTTCATCACAATGTTGGAACACATGCTGGGGACCATCTCTCTGGCACCTTTGGCAAGGGTTCCTGCACTGGAAATGAGGTTGGATTCAATGGTTTGTAAAGTCACCCTCAAGCCTAAAGTGATTCCATTCCACTGTTTTAGTTTAAAAGATCTTGAACCAGCTTTTGATGGCATTTAAGGCTCTCTCAGATTTTGCTTGGCTCTTCCCACTGGTAGAGCAGGCATGTGTCATGTATTCTGATCTGCATGGCCCCAAAAGTTTCACTTGTCCCAAAATATCTTCCCCTCTTCTATTCCCAAACATGAAATTCTTACCATGTTATTTACTCCATTTTGTTCATTGTTTCCTAAAATACTATAAACTCCTGAGATAACAATTATATAAACGTTGTTACTGTTGGCATAGAGTGTATGCTCAAAGGCATTTATTGAGTGAATAAATGAATGGCCATACTTAGTCTTTATTCTGGAAACCTAGAGGCCTGTAGCGTATTTTTGGTTTTGTTTTGTTTGGGCATATTTCTGATTTTGGATTTGGCTGTGCCAACAGGGCCACAAGAAGAGAGAGATTCTTTAGCAGCACCTTTACTTGGGGACATTTGTTCATCTAACCTTTGTCCCCACAGGAGTGATCACCTATGCGATAGGCGTTGCCTGGGCTGCCCAAGAGGAGCTAGAAGTCATTGCCACTCACCCCGCCAGAGACCACTCCTTCTTTGTGGACGAGTTTGACAACCTCCATCAGTATGTCCCCAGGATCATCCAGAACATTTGTACAGAGTTCAACTCACAGCCTCGGAACTGAATTCAGAGCAGGCAGAGCACCAGCAAGTGCTGCTTTACTAACTGACGTGTTGGACCACCCCACCGCTTAATGGGGCACGCACGGTGCATCAAGTCTTGGGCAGGGCATGGAGAAACAAATGTCTTGTTATTATTCTTTGCCATCATGCTTTTTCATATTCCAAAACTTGGAGTTACAAAGATGATCACAAACGTATAGAATGAGCCAAAAGGCTACATCATGTTGAGGGTGCTGGAGATTTTACATTTTGACAATTGTTTTCAAAATAAATGTTCGGAATACAGTGCAGCCCTTACGACAGGCTTACGTAGAGCTTTTGTGAGATTTTTAAGTTGTTATTTCTGATTAGAACTCTGTAACCCTCAGCAAGTTTCATTTTTGTCATGACAATGTAGGAATTGCTGAATTAAATGTTTAGAAGGATGACATGCAATGTTTCTGACTGTGTCTTTTGTACACAAGTTTCGTGGCAGGGCCACCATTTGCTCTCCTCAGTTCCCAGAGCAACTTCTCTGGGCTCACAACTGGCCTAAGGTAACAACACACCTGTAGAGGTGCAGAGACAATGTACAGTGATGTTGCTTCTCCTGATGTGCCTCCCTCGCTGTTGTCTGAGTCGATGAATACTTGCCACATGATGCTTTAGGAGCAGCCAGCTCTTGAGGACCAAGCTGATCTTGCTTAAAAGTGGGGCAGTAGACCAGGCGCGGGGGCTCACGTTTGTAATCCCAGCACTTTCAGAGGCTGAGGCAGATGGATCGCCTGAGGTGAGGAGTTCGAGAACAGCCTGGCCAACATGGTGAAACCTCGTCTCTACTAAAAATACAAAATTAGCATGGTGGCACGAACCTGTAGTCCCAGCTACTTGGGAGGCTGAGACACAAGAATTGCTTGAACCCAGTAGGTGAAGGTTGCAGTGAGCCGAGATTGTGCCACTGCACTCCAGCCTGGGCCACAGAGTGAGACTCTGTCTCCAAAACCAAAAGTGGTGTAGTAGGCTGTGCATTAGAATCACTTAGGAGACTACAGTGCTGGTTCCCAAGCTCCACCGCAGTACCAGTGAAATCTGAGTCCCTGGGATTGGAGCTTGAACATTGGCACGTTTTAAGAGCTCTCTGGTGATTTGTATCTGCTGCCGTGATCTAGAAGCACTGAGCTACCCTTGAGGAGTTAGTGTTACATTTCCCCAAAGAGGCCCCATTTTTACCTGCTGCCCTGGGTCCATCCAGTTGAGCATTTCTCTTGGATTTCTCATTTGTTAACCAAATATTATTGCTAGCTGCATTAAAATAAGCTGGGATGAGTTTGGTTGCACTTCACTTTTTACTTCCAGCTTCTCCAAAGACTCACCTATCAGCATGTGAAATATATGTGTAATTGGGAAATGTCCAAAAGAATTATAAATAGAGATGACTTACTTGATAGGTTATGTTTTATAAAAATATATTGTGAAGAATACTACTCTGAATGGGAGCAGAAACAGTAATTGTGTCAATATTTGGGACAAAATATTTACATAAAAAATTAGAATCGAGGATATCATTCAGTCAGCAGAATTTACACTGAGCTTACCAAATTTCTTAATAGCTGAAGAGAGAGTATATTGTCAATTGAAAATATTGTGGTCTACAGAGAAGAATCAATTAAAGGTGTCAACAATTTCAGATTTATTTGCCATAAAATTTACTTTGAATGCAATTACAATTTTGTCCAAAAACTTCAAAATATAAATCTGGGTTTTTTTTTAAAGGAAATTCTTCAGAAAGATACTGGTGACACTCTATTCATGCCAGACTCAGCTAAGAAGCTAATTTAGGCCGGGCATGGTGGCTCATGCCTGTAATCCCAGCACTTTGGGAGGCCAAGACGGGTAGATCACAGGAGATCAGGAGTTCAAGAGCAGCCTGACCAACATAGTGAAACCCCGTCTCTACTCAAAATACAAAATTAGCTGGGCATGGTGGTGCATGTCTGTAGTCTCAGCTGCTTGAAAGGCTGAGGAAGGAGAATCGCTTGAATCTGGGAGGTGGAGGTTGCATGAGCCGAGATGGTGCCACTGCACTCCAGCCTGGGTGACCTGGGTGACAGAGTGAGCAGAGTGAGTTTGAGACTCCGTCAAAAAAAAAAAAAAAAAAAGCTAATTTTAAAAACTTAAAGAAGGACTAAGAACGATTATTCCGCCTACATCTTTGCATGTGAAGATAAACCCCATAAAGGAGTTTTTCAACATTGCTTCCATGTACACATACAAGTTATTTGGATTTTTTAAAGAAATATTTTATTTTGGAAAATGGTTTTTGAATCTAGTTATTTTATAGGGGCCTTAATATAAAAACCAATTTGTCATCAATAAGTAAATATTTCCAAAAGTAATATAATTTTAATTATTTTGGTGTCCTCTTTCACTCACAAACCTGTCCCAGTTAGGAAAATAAATGATATGGTCACCCTAGTTATAGGCATTATAAATTTGAGGATAACTGGCACCTCTTCCAATGAGTCTGTTGTCTACGCATTGTCAACAAATATTGAGTGTATGCTATGGGGGCGGGGACAAAGGTCATAGGGAGTGAGACACTCAAAGGCTATGGTGGCATCAGAATTGTCGGTATGGATGTTCCAGTCACCAAAGACAATGACAGGAGTCGGGATGGAGAGAATATAGCCAGGCTCTGGCACCTTCTGCCAATGAGAGGAAGTGACTCAGAGATTCGTAGAAGGCAACAGTGATGAGTTTGAGGGGCTGAATACAATCTGAGGCGAGACCTTCAAGGGAGCTGAGACTTTGAAGGAGGACTAGGAAGGGGAGAGTGAGGAAGGGGCAGTGGAGCAAAGGGCAGACCTATCCCCCATTCCAGACGCGAAATACGTGGGGTGAGAGATGAAAAACAGCCTCCACTTGGGAGTTTGCAAGAGACAACCTGGTTTCAGATAAGCAGGCCAGGAAGGTGAAGGGGCTGAGGCTTCTGGGAGCTTGCTGACAGCAGAGAGGAGCTCCCTGAGTCCCAGGGGGAAGGCTGGGTGGGGAGTGGGGTAGGTCAAATCAGAGTTTGCACAGAGCAGTTTGGGGATAAAAGTTCTGGGGATGTTGGATGAGTGAGAGGCTTGGAAATGACTGTCACCTCCCGCAACCTAAACTGTGCCTAATGTTGCTGAGGCAGGCCTAAAATCTTAACACTAGAAACAGAGCCTTCGAGACAATCTATGTCAATCCCTCAAATTGCAAAAGAGGAAACCCAGGCCACAAGAAGGTTGTGCAAATATGGAGGGACAGAACCAGAATTTGGATCTGTCTGCTGACCTACTGGCTCATGTGACCACTTTTGTCGGGGTCAGAGACCCCCACCCCATCCCCATCCCCACCCAACTTGGCTCTGCAAACTCCTGGGCTCTCGACTGGCCTTTGCAAAGCTCTCTGGGTCCTGCAGACTCTGGAGCCAGTCTCCTAAGGCAACTCCATCCTTCATTCCGTGGTCTTAATAGAAAAATCTCTTCCATGCCCTTTCCCCTCAAACTCAACCAACACAAGCACACAAGGGCCATCAGTCCAGCTGCTCTGTGCATATGACGTCTAAACTTCACTTGACTTAATTTTCCCATTTCTCAGGAGTTAAGGCCCTTTGGCAGACTTTTCTTTACTGAGGCTCAAAGTTTTGCAACAAGGCTCTGCTAAAAAACTTTCTGGCCATACTGATGGTGTTCAGAGGTTACTGGTTTCTCTGGGCTCTTTAAACATTTTGAACAGGACAAAACCTCCATAAAGCAAAAGCCTCCCAGCAGCAGTCTCAAGGGGCCACCATGGGTTTATCGACAAGATAATGCTTCTGTGTCCAAGGATATTCCAGCTTACAAAATGAATTTACAAACAATAATGTTTTCCGATCAAAATCCTAAGAAAAGATCCTCCCTTAGATTACCAATATATAAATGTGGTAAGTAGGAAATATGCTTGAAAGCACGAATTCAATTACCTTGAAAACAGACATTTATGCAAGTAATGCCTTTGAGGAATTCACAGTCCAGTGAGAAACCACACACAAATGAGTAATTAAAATCATACAATTGCTATCATGGAATTATGCACAAAGTGCATAACTGGCAATTGCAAACAATCTCATGAGAAATAAAGTTGGGATAATGCCTGACAGTGAGTGTTTGTCATATGCTGGGCCGTGTTCTGAGGACTTCATATGTATTAACTCACTTATCCCTATGATTTGCTGAGAAAGATTGCCTTAGTCCATTTTATGCTGCTATAACAGAATACCTAAGACTAGGATGGTGAGAGAGAGCAGGAGAGAGAAAGGAGGCTGAATTCATCCTTTTATCAGGAATCTACTCCTGCCATAACAAACCCACTCCCGTGACGTCATTAATCCATTTATGAGGGCAGTGCCCTCCTGATCTAATCACCTCTCAAAGATCCTACCTCTCAACACAGCTGCATTGGGAATTAAGTTTCCATTGCATAAACTTTGGGGGATGCATTCAAACCATAGCAAACATACTCTTCTTATTGTCACTGAACACATCCTGCAACTGAGGCATGGAGACATCAGTAACTTGCCCAAGGTCTTATCACTGATATGAGGCAGATCCGAAAAGGAAGCTCAGACAACCTGAATCCAGGCTCCAACTTCTCAGCAGCCACTTGGCTCCTTACAACAGTGGCCCAAAAAAATAACCCAAGTGGCTGCATAGGGAGTTCTCTATTAAGTGTCTCAATTTAAAATATACATATAATTCCAAAAAATGTACTCCCAAAGTCTATGAAATGTACAATGTGAACAGAGTCTGTTAAATATTCAATGCAAACTCCACTTTCTCCCATCACTCATCCTGATTCTCTGGACAGCCATCCTGCCCTCATTTAAAGTGGGTGATTTGCAGCTGAAGTCCACAGTCCCTGTAGATGATTGAAGACTTTGGACTCCCCTATTAGCTTGATAAACTCTGACTCATTCTTCAAGTCTCAGTCCAAATGCTACTTCCTTTTTGGGGCCTTCCCTGGTTCCAAATAGACTTAGGCTCTCTGGATACAGAACCCTGACCCACCTATTCTCCAGAAACTTGATCCCTTCTCACGAGGAGACACAACCTATACACATCATTAAGGACATGGGATCCAGAAAATGAAAACTTTGACCCTAAGTCGCCTGATGGCGCCAACCACAGATACATTGGTACTGGTAGAATGCGAGGCAGACATTTCAGCAGGAAAGAAACAGAATATGATGGCAAGAGAAAGAGAGGCTCTTATTCCATCCAGACTACACCACCCTTCCCAATGCCCTCCTATTCATTATATGCTACAGTCATGGTTTTTCTAGGACCAGAATCTTCTTTGGGTATCTACCCATGGGGTAACTCTGTTCCTCACCTTATGTTCTCATTTCTCCTGCAGAAAGGCAAACTCAATTTTTTTTTTTTTTAATACACAGTTTCACTCTGTCACCCAGGCTGGAGTGCAATGGCACCATCTCAGCTCGCTGCAACCTCTGCCTCCTGGGTTCAAGTGATTCTCATGCCTCAGCCTCCCAAGTAGCTAGGGTTACAAGCGTACACCACCATACCCAGCTAATTTTGTTTTGTATTATTAGTAGAGATGGGCTTGGCCAGGCTAGTCTCAAACTCCTGACCTCAAGTGATCCACCCACCTCGGCCTCCCAGAGTGCTAGGATTACAGGCGTGAGACACCGTGCCCAGCCAGAAATGCAAACTCTTTTTTTTGTTTGTTTATTTTTCTGAGTTTTATTCAACAAACATGTTTTAGCTGTCTATTATATGCCAGGCATTGAGGTGGGCACTGAGATACGAAGAGGAATATGACTTGCTCCTACCCGAAGAAACTATAGGCTAGAATGAGAGAGACACAAATAAACAGATAATGTGACTGGTGAGAGGTGACTAATGTGATAGGTGACAAGCAAGCTTGGGAAATCTTCCTGGGCTAGGTTTTCTGGGAAGAGTCCATTTCTACCAGGCAAAGAAAAGTGGAAAAGGTGGTCCAGCAGAGAGAATGACAGAAGCAAAGGCAAGGAGGTATGAAACAGTGTCGGGCCCAGAGAGAATGACAGTGTGGAACTTAAGGCAAGGGGCCAGGAAATGAAGCTAGAGAGGCAGGAGCCAGGCCACCTAATGCTGTGATGGTTAAGGTTCTCTGGGCTGCAAGGAACAGAAACTCAATTTGTAGTAGCTCAGGCAAAAAGGCAATTGTTTGAAGATAACTGGAATAATTCATGAACTCTAGGATCAGGAAGACAGCAGAGTCTCAGGAACAGGACGAGGGACAGGAGCAGGACAGGAGAGCCAGGAACCCTCTCACTCCACCCTCCTCCAGGATGGTCTTCATCTGGAAGTAGGTGAACAACTCTGGAGAGAAGGAATAGAGTGAAACTTCCCTCCCCTTAGGGGCTGAGCCCACAATGCAGGCCCTTCAGCAAGGCCACCCAGCAATCCAAGCTGACGTGGCTGAAAGGAGGTGAGCACCCACATTCTTCTATCTGATCACCCACAACCTTTTGAAGTTCCTTGAAGCATCAAGTTGCTTTGAATGCCAATGAATGCATGTCCTCAAGTTTCTGAGTCTGGAAGGCCAAACGCAGGCTGAGTGATGGTCTTCCAGCTCTATAGTCTTCCTTTGTTTTGTTTAGCTTTACCATACAAAGCCAATGACCGTCTCTCTAAGACTCCCTTTCACTTCTCTTGCCTGCAATGACTACAAGATGTTACTTGTTATACACCATTAACTGCTGAAGAGCTATTCAGACTGCCAGGGCGGCAGATGTGATGCTTCTGGGATCCACTTCTGTTTCTAGTATAAAGGCTTAGCTGAGGAGAAATGTCCTATATAAATAACCATCCACATGGAAAACCAATAAGGTTCAAAGACCACAGTTTCAAGGAAGTCTTTGCTTTTTGTTTAATGTCCTTTAATTGAAAAATACTGAGCTGAACTTTATCCCTGCCATCCCTCTTACACAAACAGGTCCTGCGGGCAATAAGCTGCCCAAGTAAACAAATACTCTATCCAGCTTGGCAGCTGAGATCCTGCTATAAAAAACACAATCCCCACTGAATAGCTCCTTTCTGCAACAACTCCAGCCTCACACATGGTTGAGGTGAGCAGGGTGTATTCAGGTTAACGGCAAACTGGAATCTGGGTTCTCAACAAAGAGCTCATACATGACTGTCCAGGGCACAGAAACTGGGAGGGTTCGTAAGCCATAGAAACTGTGCAAACGCCAGAACAAGACCCAAGACCAATTGAATTGTTGTTGGTCTGACATCCCCAAGGCATTCTTAAACCTGTACCCTGATACCATGATAATGATTTTTTTAATGACGTTAGTAACTCTACAAGTTCTCCTTGAAATCATAGTAAAAGGGAGTTTCTTTCCAACCCCAATAGGAGGGTTGTGCAGTGTTTTAAAGCCAAAGAGGGAACAGGGACAAATCAAAAGGTTGCAAACTTAGTAATGACTGTCTAAGACACACACCAAGCAAAACAAAGGAGCAGACGGAGCTTCCTAAAGGGCAAAGAGTCAGTGTAATTTGTTTTCTTCTAAGAAAACACCCTCATTGAACTGGATGACAACTGCAGTGTGGAAACTGCAGGGGACCTTTCCAGCTCTATGGCCTAAATGCAAGGCCTGGAACACCCACATGCCTGTTCTACCTTCAGACAGGGGGCATTCTCCTAAGGTGGAAAATCAACCTTTCATCCTGGAGACTTTCTAATCCTGGACAGTCAGTGAAGATCTCTGGAAGCAAAATACTAGTGGAGTTGTGTCAGCCTCAGCAGGGATTTGCCCACACGGACAGCAGCCAAGACTGTCCCAGAGGGGCCTGCAGGCTTGTTCATGAGCAGATTAGGGGCATCCCTCAGAGAACCCCCTAAATACTTGGTCCTGCAGTATGCCAGTGAAGACAAGCCAACATCACTGAGTAGTTATTGTCCATGTAACTTCGTTTGCACGGACAGACAGGCTGAAAGGCCTAGGGAAATTTTGGTGACAATAGTAAAACCAATCATTGATCTCAGTTATGAAGTCCCAAAGTGCCATGAACTGAACTAGCCACTGTATACACTTTGTCGTTGAATACACACAAAATTCATGTTGTTGAATAAATACATATTTCAAAACCATCCTTGTTCCATACTTCTTTTGGGAGAGATTGGTCTTGAAAGACAATCGAACATAATGGGAAGTCTGCCATGTGCCAAACATATTTTCACAATTCATTACAGCCTCAATTACTATTCAATTTTCCAATGAGAACAGTGAGACACAGAGAAATTAAGGAGTTGCCTGAGGTCACACAGCAGGTAGGACGGAGAGCTGGGCCATGAACCTGGGTCTCCTGACTCCGGATTCAGTGCTGTCTTCAGTACAGAATAGCCACCTTGCCCTGTCTGCTTTTTCCTCCCTGGTCTCATCAGCCACTTTTCTCTCAGCCCTGTTTCCCTCTTCCCCCAGCTGCCATCTTTCCAGTCACATATTACAGAACCATCTTTTCAGCTTTACACGTCTTGTGCCCATATTTTCACCCTGTTTTTCACCCTGCAACAGGGAGTCCCGGGTCCATGGGATTCCAGTGGCAGACTGGAAAGTTACTTAGAAGTTGTCAGTTGCCTTTTGCCCTCCATGTCCCTTGTCTTATTTCCCTGATCATTACATAAGGGTTGCTCGCCAGCTCAAGAGTTACTCCAGGCTCTGAAAATGGTTTCATACAGAACAAGGGGCAGAGACTATGCATGTTCTGGGCAGCTGAGGGGTGAAAAGAAAGAGCAGGAGTCCTTAATGTGGAAACCTCACTTTTAATTTTTTAAAAAAGTCATTTCATTAATGAATTGTTTTGAATTTCAAGGGACTCTGAATATTTTTAAAAACTAAGCATTTTAAAAACAAGTTGATCTGAGAAATTTTTCTTGACCAAACTGTAGTTCTATCTCAGGAGAGTTTCCTTGGGTGCAAGCCAGTGTAGGACGATGAGGCACCCTCCAATCCAGACTCCATGGTAAAAAGCTTTCCCATGTCCAGTTCCTTCCACAGAGCACAGTCAGGTGGCAGCTCTAGGGAAATGGCTCCGGCCCGGTACCCTGGCAACCTTGCATGCCTCCACGTAGGCCACGTGGACCAGGCTCCGCTGCAGTGGGACCTAAGTCTTGTTGGAATACCGTGATATCATCCCAGGAACATGGCGAGACATGTAGTTTGTGGGGAGCTGTCCCAAGGCCGCTGTCATCCATCTTTCTCTCTATCTTGTAGGAGGTTTCTCCAAAGCACTTTGTTTTTAGCTTTCCTGGTTTCAGTGAAGGCTAGGACTTTATACCTCGCTCCTCTTTACAGTACAGCTGCAGGCTTCTTTTTCCTTTTTCTTTTTTTTTGAGACAGAGTCTTGCTCTGTTGCCCAGGCTAGAGTGCAGTGGCACCATCTCGGCTCACTGCAACCTCTGCCTCCCAGATTTCAGCAATTCTCCTGCCTCAGCCTCCTGAGTAGCTGGGAGTACAGGCACATGCCGCCATGCCCGGCTAATTTTTGTATTTTAGTAGAGACGTGGTTTTACTCTGTTGCCCAGGCTGGTCTCGAACTCCTGAGCTCAGGCAGTCGGCCCGCCTCGGCCTCTGCAAGTGTTAGGATTACAGGCATAAGCCACCACGCCCACCCCAGCTGCAGGCTTTAAAATGTGTTCATTGATCACGCCACTGCACTCCAGCCTGAGCCACAGAGCAAGACCATCTCTCAAAAAAAAAAAAAAAAAAAATCATTCATTGCCTTCTAGAATTGGTATCCCACCACACATGACGTCCATCACCTGGCTCCTTGTTTTTGTGCTGTCCTGTGGGATGAGGGAGCTAGCATCATGCTGATCTTGCTTTTGCTGACTACATAAGTAATACACCGTCTGAATCCATTTGGGTCTATCATGTCTTTACCTGCCAAACCTGTGGCAGCGTGGCAAGCCCACTGCAGCAGTAATCACTGTTTATTAGGGGCTGCTTGACAGCAACTGTTTCCTGAGATGCCCTAGGAAGATGCCCTCCATACCACATTGTCTCCCAGGAGGCTTCTGAACACCCCTCCCCCTACACATCCATAACAATGCCGAATCCTACCCCAGCTGCAGATCATCTGCCAGTGACCAGGGAACTGTTTCTCACTAAGAAGCAAAGAGCAGAACGAAGAATTCTTCCTTCAGATCTGTGAATGTTTGCAATTACACTGCCTTCACCACACTCGGGATGGTTCCCTAAAAGCCCACGGGCTGGGATAATATGCAGGTTTTGCCTTGGCGGGTCGAGATGTCATGATTGCCTGAATAACCATAGGAAGAAAGATTCTGAATCTTTAGGATTCTCTTAAAGAAAGAGATGCTAAAATCAATTATCCATGTCTGTCATGGGAGACTGATAGGGCAGGGTCGGTTCTCACAGTTGGCATTTACCCAACTTTTTTTTTTTTTTTTGAGACAGGGTCTCGCTATGTTGCCCAGGCTGGAGTGCAATGGCACAATCATGGCTCACTGCAGCCTTGACCTCCTGGGCTCAGGTGATCCTCCCACCTCAGCCTAGCAAGTGGCTGGGTGGGACCACAGTCATGTGCCACCATGCCAAGCTTTTTTTTTAAACTTTTTTGTGGAGACATGGTCTCACTTTGTTGCCTAAGCTGGTCTTGAACTACTGGGCTCAAGTGATCCTCCCACCTCAGCCTCCCAAAGTGCTGGAATTACAGGCATGAGCCACCATACCTGGCTGATTTACTCATCTTTGTTTTTTGTTTTTGTTTTTGTTTTTGTTTTTGAGACAGCGTCTCACTCTGCCACACAGGCTGGAATGCAGGGGCATGATCTCGGCTCACTGCAACCTCCGCCTCCCGGGTTCAAGCGATTCTCCTGCCTCAGCCTCCTGAGTAGCTGGGACTACAGGTGTGCACCACCACGCCCAGCTAATTTTTTGTATTTTTTAGTAGAGACGAGGGTTCACTGTGATAGCCAGAATGGTCTCGATCTCCTGACCTCGTGATCCGCCTGCCTCAGCCTCCCAAAGTGCTGGAATTACAGCTGTAAGCCACCATGCCTGGGCTGATTTACTCATCTTTAAGGTTAAAGGAGCAAGACAGCATCTTAAAGAAGCACATTTGGAGAACTAAAAGGGAGCTTTCTTTGCTTTTTTTCCTGAATGTGGCATTGCCTATAAATTCTCTTGAACAGATCTCTTTATTTACTGGAAAAAATTAGGAATGGATAAAATTAGTTTTCCTTTAGTTTGATTCTTTTCTAAGGAGGTTTCTAAATAAGTCACCTGGAAACATTCAGGTTATGTATGGTTCTAAACCAAGAGTTCTTTGTAATGTGTTGCATTTGGTTACCAAGTCGAGAATTCCTCAGAGTAAAGTTTCTCGCTTCAGGCTGGACACTGTTAACAACTGCCCAAGATTTGCAGAGGGTTGGGATGGGAGAAAGGGAATTGAGTGGGTTTCTTCCTAAGGAGGTTTTCTGTGCCTGGCACCATCTTGGCTGCCTTTGCATCTGTTATCCCAATTAACTCCCACAGTGACACTTCTGGCACCATTTTATTATTTTTTTAATTGACACATAATAATTATACATATTTATGAGGTATAGTGTGATGTTTTAGTACATGTGTATAACGCATAATGATCAAGTCATCTTCTCAAATGTTTATCATTTCTTTATGTTGAGAACATTCAAAATCCACTCTTCTAGCTATTTGAAAATATGTAATAAACTATTGTTTATTATAATAAACCTATAGCTGGCCGGGAGTGGCTCATGCCCATAATCCCAGCACTTTGGGAGGCCGAGGCGGGCGGATCACGAGGGCAGGAGATCGAGACCATCCTGGCTAACACGGTGAAACCCTGTCTCTACTAAAAATACAAAAAAACATTAGCCTGGGGTGGTGGCGGGTGCCTGTAGTCCCAGCTACTTGGGAGGCTGAGGCAGGAGAATGGCGTGAACCCGGGAGGCAGAGCTTGCAGTGAGCCGAGATTGTGCCACTGCACTCCAGCCTGGGCGACAGAGCGAGACTCTGTCTCAAAAAAACGAAAACAAACAAAAAAAAACCCCTATAGCTAGCGTACTTTTGTATCCAGTAGCCAATCTCTGGCTATGCCCTCTTGCCCCTGCTCCTTCTTTTCCTCTAGTGACCACTATTCTATGCTCTACTTTTATGAGATTAACTTTTTTTTTAGCTTCCACATATGAATGAGAACATACAGTATTTACCTTTCGGTGCCTGGCTTATTTCATTTACTATACTGTCCTTCAAGCTCATCCACGTTGCCGCAAATGACAGAATTTCATTCTTTTCCATGGCTGAACAGTACTCCATTGCATATATGTACCACATTTTCTTTATCCATTCATTTGTTGATGGACACTTAGTTTGATTGCATATCTTGGCCATCGTGCATAGTGCTGCAATAAACATAGGAGCGCCGATATCTCTTCGACATACTGATTTTTTTTTGTTTTAAATATATAATTAATAGCAGAATTCCAGGCATGACTTCATAAAGGAGAAAGCTGAGACTTACAGAAGTGAAACAACTTGTCCCAGGGCCACACCTCTGTTTTTGTCTTTTTGTTTTTGTTTTTTTAAAGGTTATCTTGGATTCAGAAACACATCTGTTAAATGTCAGGTTCCAAACCAAGTCTGTCTCTGGAAAATTATTTAAGTAAATACAACAAAATTGTACACTGACATTTTGAAGAAAAAGTAACACCAATTTTTTAAGGTTTGCTCCTCATAGAAGAACACACATGACACTAATGAGCTAAAAGTCATGGAACAAAATCAGGTGAAGTTAAGAAGACAGTTCAAATTTATAAATTCGGAATAACGGAGTGAAAATGAAATAAGGATGTCTAAAATGTGAAGTCAGGAATACAGAATTAATTAAAGAATACTGTTTTAGAACTTTCCAAACAGTATTTATAGAAACTTCTCAAATGACTTGATTAGAATAACTTTCTTGGAAGAGGCAAGAAATCTTGTACTCTTTTCTCACTGAAGAACCACATTAGACGTTACTTGTTTTTGGAAACAACACCATCAGCTTGTAGGAACTAGGCATTTCTCATTAACCACAGACTTCTTTTAAAATTTTTCCTGGGTGAAATGCGGCATTATAAGTCCATTCCTTGACCTATTCTGGCAGGAGCTCGTCTGGAGAGCCTGCAGAACAGACTTCAGGAGCGTGTCTCTAAGCAGTAGAAAGCCTTCTTAAAAATCAGACAAGTGACTGCTACACAATCTGATGTGTCAGAAAGGAGAGAGCCTATAACAAATTCCAGGAATAACTTATTGATAAGTCCCATTTACAGAAATGGGAGGTGGTGACTGAGGTCAAGCTGACAATAACTTGTATTTCTCCATATTCTTAGCACCTAGCAGCCTGAGTGTGGGATATTCACTCTCACTTTTATCTGAACCACATATATTCATGAAAATACTCATACTCTGTGTCTAGATTATACTATACTCTTCTGCATCTTTTAAGATAAGCATTCGGTTTTTCTACCGTAGTCTGTTGATGTGGTGAATAACACTGATTTTCAAATGTTGAAACACCTTTACAAGGATAAACTTCACTTAGTCATGCTGTATCATCCTTTTTATATATTGTTTGATTTGATTTGCTAAATTTTATTAAATATTTTTATATCTATGTTCATGAGGGATATTGACCTATAGTTGTCTTGCAATGACTTTTTCTTGTTTTGGTATGATGGTAATAAATGTAGGCCACATAGAATAAGTTAGGGAATGTTCCCCCTTCAATTTTAAAGAAGAGTTTGTATAGAATTAGTACTAGTCATTCTTTGTTTGGTAGAATTCCTCAATGAACTATCTGGGTCTGGAGTTTTCTTCACAGGAAGGTTTTAAACAAACAGTTCTATTTCTTTAATAGCTATAGGGCTATTCAGATTATCTATTTCTTCTTTAGTGAGCTTTGTCTTTTAAGGATGTGTCCATTTCATCTAAGTTGAATTTATTGGCATAAAGTTGTTTATAAGATTTTCTATAACCCTTTTAATGTCTCTAAAATATGTAATGATGTTCTCTTTCTCATATCTGATTTATTAATTTGTGTATTTTCTCATTTTACTCCTGATAGGTCTGGCTATATGTCTATAAATTTTATTTATCTTTTCAAAAAAAACAGCTTATATTTTCATTGATTTGTTCTTTTGTTTCCCTGTTTTGTAATATAGTGACTTCTGTTCTTTATCATTGTCTTTGTCCTGTTTACTTTATTTTATTTTTACCTTTCTTTTTATAACTTCTCTAAGTGGAAACTGAGGTCATTGAATTGAGAGAAGTTTAGAATTTAGAGTTATACGGGAGTTAGAAATTTCTCTTAAGCATTGCTTTAGCTGCATCTTGCAAATTTTGGCATGTTGTGTTTTCATTTTTGTTCAGTTCAAAATACTTTTAAATTTCCCTTTTGATTTTTATTTGACCCTTAGTTTGTTTAGAAGTTGGTTAGTTAGCTTTAAATATTTGGGAATTTTCCAGATAACTTTATTTTATTGACTTCTAATTTAGTTTCACTGTGGTCAGAGAACATACCTTTTATGATTTAAATGGTTTTTAAATTATTAAGGCTTTTTTATAGCCTAAAATATGATCTATCGCGGTAATTATTCTTGGCATTGGGGAGAAATGTGTATTCTGCTGTTGTTGCATGGAGTAGTCTATATATATCAATTAGGTCAAGTCAGTTGGTAGTGTTGATTCAAGTTTTCTACATCCTGACTGATTTCCTGTCTACTTATCCTATAAATTATTGAGAGAGGGATGTTGAAGTCTCCAACTGTAATTATGAGTTTATTTCTCTCTTCAATTCTGTCAGATTTTCTACATGAATTTGAAGTCTCTGTTATTAGACACATAAATTTTGGGGATTGTTAGGTTCTCTTGATGAATTGACCTCTATTTTGAAATAAATATTTTTATCCTTGGTAGTATTCTTTTCTCTAAAATTTATTTTGTGTGATATTAATACAGCCACTGAAACTTTATTTTATTTTTTATTTTTTGAGACAGAGTCTTGCCCTGTCGCCCAGGCTGGAGTGCAGTGGTGCAATCTCGACTCACTGGAACCTCCAACTCCCAGATTCAAGTGATTCTCCTGCCTCAGCCTCCTGAGTAGCTAGGATTACAGGTGTGCACCACCAAGCCTGGCTAATTTGTATATTTTTAGCAGTCCAGCCAATAAGTTACCACTTTAAAAAAGTATAGGTGGCCAGGAGCAGTGGCTCATACCTGTAATCCCAGCACTTTGGGAGGCCAAGGTGGGTGGATCACAAGGTCAGGATCTCGAGACCAGCCTAGCCAACATGGTGAAACCCCATCTCTACTAAAAATACAAAAATTAGCTGGGTGTGTTGGCATGCATCTGTAAATTCCAGCTACTTGGGAGGCTGAGGCATGAGAATCGCTTGAACCCAGGAGGCAGAGATTGCGGTGACCCTAGATCATGTTACTGCACTCTAGCCTGGACAACAGAGTGAGACTTCATCTCAAAAATAATAATAATAATAATAATAACAATAATAATAACGTGGTTACTTATGTTTAAGAGTATACATCTATAACTTGTGGCCAGGTGCAGTGGCTCACGCCTGTAATCCCAGCACTTTGAAAGGAGGCCAAGGTGGGTGGATCACGAGGTCAGGAAATCGAGACCATCCTGGCTAACACGGTGAAACCCCATCTCTATGGCTAACACGGTGAAACCCTATCTCTACTAAAAATACAAAAAAAAAAATTAGCCAGATGTGGTGGCGAGCACCTGTAGTCCCAGGTATTTAGGGAGGCTGAGGCGGGAGAATGGTGTGAACCCGGAGTTGGAGCTTGCAGTGAGCCAAGATGGTGCCACTGCACTCCAGCCTGGGCAACAGAGCGAGACTCCATCTCAAAAAAAAAAAAAAAAAAAAAAAAGGAGTAACATCTATAACTTGTTATAGTCTACGTGTAGTATAAGATCTTCACAACAGTATACTTCCATTTCTCCTCTGTCCAGCCTTTATGTTGTTGTCATATATTTTACTTCTACATTTTGTAAACTTCTATACATTTTTATTAGTTTTGCCTTAAAGAGTCAATTATCCTTTAAAGTGATTTTAAGAGTAAGAAAATTTAATTTTTATTTATCCAGATATTTACCATTCCCACAGCTCTTCATCTCTTTGTGGAGATCCAGATTTCTATCTGGTGTAACTTTTCTTCTGCCTGAAGGACTTCCTTTAAAACATCTATAGTGATGAATATTTTCAGTTCTTGTATTTCTGAAAAGCTCTTTATTTTGCCTTTGTTTCCACAGGATATTTTTATTGGGTGTAGAATTTTAAGTTGATAGTTTTGTTTTTTCTATTCAGTACTTTAAAGATGTGCCTCCACTGTCTTCTGGTTTGCATTGCTTCTGAGGAGAAGCCTGACATGATTTTTATCTTTTTCCTTCTGTACATGTTTCTTTTCCTTTGTTTTTAAAATTTTCTCTTATTCACTGGCTTTAAGCAATTTGATTATTATGATGTGTTTTTATGTAATTTTTTCTTTCTTCCTTTTTTTCTTGTGTTTGTTTGGGGTTCACCGAATGTCTTGGATCTGTAAATTTATAGTTTTTGTGATATTTGGGAAATTTTTAACCATTATGCCTCATGTTATATGAGATTTTCCTCTGCGGCTGGTGGAAACATTAACTATTCTCAGCCCTATGCAACATAAGGAGACTGTTCTTCCTGCACCTTTTGGGTAACTCTTTCCCCAGCCTCTGATAGGTTGCTCACATCCTGTACTTATCAGTACTCAGCTGAAGACAGGGTAGAGTTCAGTTCAGATCTCCAGAACTCTCTTGTGGTATTCTTCCCTGCAAACGCTAGTTACTTTGGCCTTTGCAAACTCCCAACTCTGTATTCTCAACTCACAGAAACCTCTATAGTCTGCCTGGGTTGTCCCTTCCTGCACTGAATCATGAACACTCTCTCTGAGCAGTAGACTGGGAAATTAGTTTCCTCTCTCACAGGGGCTATTGTCTTGTGCTACCTGTTTTTCAATGCCTGAAACCTGCTTCTATTGTTCTGTTTTCTCTCTTTTATGAAAAATTGTTTAAGAGAGGAAGATCATTCTAGTCCTTGTTACTCCATATTGCTTAGAAACAGAATTTGGTCTTTAAGAGCAAAAGAATTCCACTTTTCATACAAGATGTGGGAATTTTTATATTGGTTAGCCCAAAGAAGCTTATTTTTATGACTTTTTTTTTTTTTTTTTTTTTTTTTTTGAGATGGAGTTTTGCTGTTGTTGCCCAGGCTGGAGTGCAATGGCGCCATCTCGGCTCACCGTAACCTACGCCTCCTGTGTTCAAGCGATTCTCCTCCCTCAGCCTCCCGAGTAGCTGGGATTACAGGCATATGCCACAACGCCCAGCTAATTTTTGTATTTTTAGTAGAGACGGGATTTCGCCATGTTGGTCAAGCTGGTCTCGAGCTCCTGACCTCAGGTGATCCGCCCGCCTCGGCCTCCCAAAGTGCTGGGATTACAAGCGTGAGCCGCTGCGCACGGCCATGACGTTTCTTAAGTACTTTCAATATCTTCAGGAAGGTGACCCATCCTCTTCTAAGTTGTGAGAGATAATCCACTTGGAGGAGAAAGATTACGGGAAGAATCATCTGAAGTAAAATTTAAATACAACCTTAGGGACATACTCAGGGATATAAGCAGGAAGGTAGAGTTCTTCAGAATTTGCATAACACGAAGTCTATTAACCAGAGCTTGATGTTTGATCATTCTTCAAATAGTAGTGAGTGAATTCCAAGCCGAAAATTGACAAGATTAGAATGATTGTGATGTACCATGAAGGAAGCAGATGTCGCATTTGGAAGGTGACTTTAGCCACTGTTTTTTATTATTATTTTTTCCTTAATTTTTTTTTTATTTCAATAGATTTTTGGGGAACAGGTGGAGTTTGGTTACATGAACAAGTTCTTTAGTGGTGATTTCTGAGATTTTGGTTCACCCATCACCGGAGCAGTATACACTGTACCCAATGTGTAGTCTTTTATCCCTCACCCCCCTCCCACCCTTTCCGCTGAGTCCCCGGAGTCCCCAAAAGTCCATTGTATCATTCTTAGTCCTTTGTGTCCTCATAGCTTAGCTCCCACTTATGAGTGAGAACATATGATGTTTGGTTTTCCATTCTAAGTGAAATGAGTTACTTCACTTAGAAAATGATCTCTAATTCCATCCAGTCTCCTGGCAATGCCGTTATTTCATTCCTTTTTATGGCGAGTAGTGTTCCATGGTGTATATATATACCACATTTTTTTTTTAATTTCACTTTAAGTTCCAAGATACACGTGCACGATGTGCAGGTTTGTTACATAGGTATACATGAGCCATGGTGGTTTGCCACACCTATCAACCTGTCATCTAGGTTTTAAGCCCCACATGCATTAGGTGTTTGTCCTAATGCTATCCCTCCCCTTCCCCTAACCCCGACAGGCCCCAGCGTTTGTTGTACCCCTCCCTGTGTCCATGTGTTCTCATTGTTCAACTCCCACTTATGAGTGAGAACATGCAGTGTTTGGTTTTCTGTTCCATGTTAGTTTGCTGAGAATGATGGCTTCCAGCTTCATCCATGTCCCTGCAAAGGACATGATCTCATTCTTTTTTATGGCTGCATAATATTCTATGGTGTATATGTGCCACTTTTTCTTTATCTAATCTATCATTGATGGGCATTTGGGTTAGTTCCAAGTCTTTGCTACTGTAAATAGTGCTGCAATAAACCTATGTGTGCATGTGTCTTTATAGCAGAATGACTTATAATCCTTTGGGTATGTACCCAGTAATGGGATTGCTGGGTCAAATTGTATTTCTTTCTGGTTCTAGATCCTTGAGGAATTGCCACAGTGTCTTCCACAATGATTGAACCAGTTTACACTCCCACCAACAGTGTAAAAGCGTTCCTATTTCTCCATATCCTCTCCAGCATCTATTGTTTCCTGACTTTTTAATAATCGCCATTCTGACTGGAGCGAGATGGTATCTCATTGTGGTTTTGATTTGCTTTTCTCTAATGACCAGTGATGACCTTTTTTTATGTCTGTTGGTGGCATAAATGTCTTCTTTTGAGAAGTGTCTGTTCATATCTTTTGCCCACTTTTTGATGGGGTTGTTTTTTTCTTGTAAATTTGTTTAAGTTCCTTGTAGATTCCAGATACTAGACCTTTCTCAGATGGATAGATTGCAAAATTTTTCTTCTATTCTGTAGGTGAAGCACTGTTTTCAAGAGTCAGGATATTAGGACTTGGTCTACAAATTACATTTATTACTTTTTATAATCAGGATGGGGGAGATATTAAAAGATGAACTTAGGTGCATAAAAATTTTAATGAGTTTATTTGAGCATTCAGCAATTCCTAAATCAGGCATCACCAGATTGCAAGCAGTTCAGCACTCCACTGAGGAGGTAAAAAGGTATAAGGTGTTTGTGATGGTTAATATTGAGTGTCTAGTTGATTGGATTAAGGATGCAATATTGATCCTGGGTGTGTCTGAGAGGGTGTTGCCAAAGGAGATGAACATTTGAGTCAGTGGGCAGGGAAAGGCAGACCCACCCTTAATCAGGTGGGCACCATCTAATCAGCCACCAGCGAATATAAAACAGGCAGAAAAATGTGAAGTGACAAAATGGGCCTAGCTTCCCGGCCTACATCTTTCAACCATGCTGAATGCTTCCTGCCCTCAAACATCAGACTCCAAGTTTTGGAACTTGGACTGGCTTTCCTTGCTCCTGAGCTGGCAGATGGCCTATTGTGAGACCTTGTGAGTTTAAGAATTAATACTTAATAAACTCCCATATATATATAATATGTATACACACACACACACACACATATATATATATATCTTACTAGTTCTGTCCCTCTAAAAGAACCGTGACTAATACAGTATTCAACGAAGCAAGATGAGGAAAATAACTGCTTGGTTAAAGTGGACAGTCCCTAATTAGAGGTTAGTTGGCAGTTTCTGATTGGTTAAGTTTCATTTTACTGTGTACATTGTGCTTACATAAGAACCCAAGGTGCTGGAGGTGTCTCAGCCTAATGGCTCCCAATTAATTATTTTAACAGGGAAATTGCAAAATAGGAATGAAGGACTAAAGACAGTTGTGGCAGAGAGAATTTGTTGGCTGGAATTTGTTATTTCCTATAGAGGCAGAAAAGTGAGATACTTTTTCTCAACATCCCTTAAACGTAGAGGAGGCCAACATTCTGGCCAATGAGATATGTGGGAAGTCTGTTGGAGGGCCTCTGGGAAGATTTCCTTTGCTGTCTGTATACAGTCAGCTTGGGCTTCCATAACAAAATATGATAGACTGGGTGACTTAAATAAACAAATTTTATTTTTCAGTCTGAAGGCTAGAAGTCCAAGATCAAGATGCCACCATGGTTGAGTTCTGGTGAGGCTCTCTTTATGGCTTACAGATAGCTCCCTTCTTGCTGTGTCCTCATCTGGCAAGGGGAGGCCAGGGGAGGGGAGGGGAGGGGAGGCAGTTCTACATGACACAAAATGCATGAGAGGTAGTTCTACATGACAAAGAATTGTCCCACTTAAAATGCCAAAATGCTTAAGAAACACTGATGTGACTGGTTCTCTATCAAAATAATGACAGACTATCTGGAAATATGCGAGGAAAATACTAACATTATTGATATAAGACCCTGAAATGGAAATTTAAGTAGTCTAAAAGTATAGAAATTAAATTGTAACGGCAAAACCAAAGACGCAGACAAAGAATGGGGAAAGGGAAAGTAACAGCATCTTTAAGCATCACTTATTTTGGAGAGGCACAGGAAGTGAATGTATTCTAAAAATCACATTTTTTTGTTTCAGGTTGGTAGGGGGTTAGTGAAGATTAGAGTGATTCTGTTTTTTCATAGAGTAGCAGGAAGATATCTGATTATGAATGAAGATAATTTTGAAAGAGAAACGCACAGTAGAAATCCCACATTAACATGAGAAAGACAGGAAGTGAATAATGACTTCATCAATCCAGCAAAAACGAAAAGAAACAATGAAGTAAAATAATGAACATAATAAAACAAAACCAGTGAACACCCAATATATCCACTGAAAGAAACTACCAGCCAGTTTCTTTCCTGGAAGACCTAGAAATAGGCAGCTTACAGGAAACACACTTAAAATGAAGGAATAAAGAAAAGTTGAAAGTAGAGACCCTTAAATAAAACAGTAAGACTAATCTATGAATATGCATGCTAAAGCTCCAAATAAAAGACTAGCAACTGAAACAAGGACTTATATGAAAACAACAACATATATGACCAAATAGGGTTTATTTCAAGGAGGCAAGCATGTTTTAATGTCAACTTCATACACACAATTGGTTAGTCAACAGCTTAAAGAAGAGTAACTCATGATCACATCAAAAGATGCTAAGAAGGCATTTGATGAAATTCAGCAGCCATTCTTTAAACCTGGAAAAACAGGAAAGAACCTATTTAAATAAAATAGAGATTATTTACCAAATAACAAGTAAAATACTCTAAATAACTAAATACCAAAACCATTTCCACTAAAGTTAATAATAGACAGGGAGGCCTACTTTTACCATTATAACTCAACACCACATTGGAGTTTCTAGACAACAAAAATTTCAAAAAAAGAATCAGTCAAACATTGAAAAAGACAAGATCAAATTATTTTTGTGAATGTCCCAATTGTATTTCTAAACATCTCGAGACTCTAGTGAAAACCTGCTATAATTCATGAGATTTAGTAAGCATTTACAATGTTTGTTGTATATAAGCATACAAAAACAGATTTTCTCTGTGTATTTTAAAATGTATTTTCTTAAATTTTTTTTTTTTTTTTTAAGAGATGGGGTTTTGCTATTTTGCCCAGGCTGGTCTGGAACTCCTGGGCTCAAGCAATCCTCCTACCTCAGCCTCCCAATGTGCTGGGATTACAGGCATGAGCCATGCACCTGGCTCCTCTCTTTATTTGTAATAAGCTCTTATAAATGAAAATGGTCACAATAGTGACCAAAATAAGAACATATTAAAAATTTTTTAAAGGCAAAGAACTTAAACTCTCAAATCTTACTAAAGATATAAATAAGATCCAAACAGAAAATGATATGTTGTTCTCAGATGGGAAGACAGTATTGTGGGTCAAACTTCCCCAAATTAATATGTAAATTTAATGTAATTTTAACTCCTAATTGGATTAAATTATTACAAACTTCAAATGCTGAGGATAGCCAACAAAGGCAGTAAAAAGAACAGTGGGCAGGGGCTTGGGAAGCGGAAAAGCTCTCCTGACCATATTATAAGGCCACCAATAACTGAATCCATATGATATTGTCATATGAAAGGAGAATTGTAAGTGAAACAGCATGGCATATTGAGAAATAAACCTCATTAAATATATAAATTTAATATATGACAATGCTGGTGTTTCAATTCATTGGGAAAAGGTTGTTTAATAGAGTGCTACACTGGCAACCCACTTGGAAGAAATTTAGTTGGACTGTTTGCATTCTACACACACACACACACACACACACACACACACACACACACACACAAATGGAGTAAAGACATAAATGTAGAAAACCAAAACCAAAAAACAAAAAATGTAGAAGCCATTCTAGCGGCCTATACATGCCACCCAGGAATGGAAACCTTCTTAATCAATAAAGAATACTTCCAAAAGCTTATAGTCACAAATGCCTATATTTTATATATAAGTATACTTGAAGATCTACTAATAAAAAGTTTTTCGGGTTTGTTTTTTTTGGGACATGATCTCACTGTCGCCCAGGCTGGAGTGCAGTGGAGCGATCTGGACTCCACCTGCTGGGCTCAAGCCATTCTCCTACCTCAGCCTCCAGGGTAACTGTTGTGCCACCATGCTCAGCTAGTATTTTAAAAATTGTATGTAGAAACGAGGTCTCACTATGTTGCCCATGCCAGTCTCAAACTCCTGGGCTCAAGCGATACTCCTGCCTCAGCCTTCCAACGTGCTGAAATTACAGGCGTGAGCCACCCTGCCAAGCCCTAATATAAAGTTTTAAATGAGAAAAGGTATTATAAACATGGTCAACAAAAATAATATAGTTTTGGAGAAAAACACTGGCAAATAGTAAGAAAAAGGGTTTACATGTAGTATAAAAAGAGCACCTGCAAATTTTAAAAAACACAGTGGAACATGGGCAAAACTTTAATAAAATAACAAAATAAACATTTTAAAATGCAAATATGCAATTCACTCAAGTGAAATTCAAAAGGCAAAGTTTTATTTGGAAAAAGTACTTTTGAATGTGGTCAACAGACAACTTACAAGAGTTGGAAAAAAATGTTTGCATCCAAGATAAGAAAATCTGAACATATATTGTACAACATACAAAATGCTTTCACAAACTAGTTAACTAAAAAGACAAACGGTACAAACATATGGACCAAAAATAAGAAAAATTTAAAAATGTATATAAAAGTATAACTACGAATATTTGTGGTAGGCAGAATTCTAAGATGGCCCCCATGAACTCTGCCCCTCATGTTACTTCCATGGTTGATGTTACATTGCAGGGCAGAGGGACTTGGCAGATGTAATTAAAGCTACTAATCAGTTGACCTTAACAATCTGGGTGTGCTTAAACTAGTCACAAGAGCCCTTTAAAAGCAGTTTTCTCTGGCTGGTAGAAGTAGAGTCAAAGTATAAAAATAATTTGATGCACCCTGGCAAGCTTTGAAGGTGGAAGGGACCACGTGCAAGGACCACGGAGCAACCTCTAAAGGATCAGATTTGACAGTCAGCTAGGAGACAGGGACCTCCATCCTCTGACTTTAATGAGGCTGGAAGCGAATTCCTCCTCAGAGCTTTAGTTGAGTACCCACCCTGGAAGACACTTTCATTTCAGCCTTGTTGGGCCTTGAACAGACAGCCCAGTTGAGTTTCCCTGGAGTTCTAACCTACAGAACTTTGAATAGATAATTCAGTTCTGAGTGCAATCCAGATGACCAAAACATTTGAAAAGATGTCTACATTTATAGTAGTCAGGAAAATGGAAATTAAAATAACACTGAAAAATCACTACATCCACCAGGATTTTTTTCTTTTTTCTACGTATTTTTTAATGTTACAATAGTTATTGCCATGAGTATTAAGGGAAAAGTGTTTTTATACATTTACTGATGGAAATAAAAACTGTTCCGGCCACTTTGGGAAACAATCTGTCAATATTTATTTAAAAATTTAAATATACATACTCCTCAATGCAGCAATCCTACTCCAGGGAATCTATTCCGCAGACGTAAAACCATCATGGTGACAAACATATACACAGGAATGTTTATTGTAATAATAAAAAGGAAATAAGAGCTATGATAGACTTAGAGAAATTCTCATCCTACATTGTTAAATGAGAAATGTGAGATGCAGAGAACGTACATGATCCCATTTATTTAAAGCAAACTGCCCACCAAAATATCTTCTCATTAACGTTAGACTGTATATGTTTACTGATAAATTTGAGAGACCTTTAAAAATTTGTAAGGTGCTCATGATACACATTATATTAGAAAAAGCAAGTGCAGCATAATATGTAGAATAAAACCCCATATGTAATAACTGGGTATACACATTTGTATGAATAATTAGAAAGATACATATCAGGGAGGTAGGAATGAAGGGGTATGATGGGACATGCTTCGTTTTGCCATTATGAATCTTTATGCATTGTTTTTTGCATTTAAATTCATTTCTGTCACTTTCTTAACCTGAAAAACATCAAATCATCCCCCTTCCCTGCTCTATTTTTTTTCCCTCTGCACTTATCACTAATATTCCCTATATTTTCACTTGTTCCCCCACCTGGAATGTGCTGCATCAGGTGAAGTTTTTGTTTACTGCTGACTGCCAGCAACTAGAACTGTGTGGCATATAGCTGGCACTCAAATATTAAGGAAAGTAGTCTTCTGCTACTCTTGATGTTCATTTTAACCTATTTCTCCTAAAACCCTGATGTTCTAGAAGCTATCAGGAGTGTGACCGAACTACATGACCAGAAGTCTGTATTCAGAGAGTGAACAAGTCATTTGCTGGATGCTTATTTTATTAGGTGTTTTACATCCGTTATCTCAAATCAACCTAATTAGGCAGATCTATTATCCCCATTTCATAGATGAGAAGCCAATTTAGAAGAGTTGACTTGTCTAAAATCTAACAGACAATAAATGTCCTATTGTCCAGGCCAAATTCCTGCTTTCTTCTGTGTTGAACTGATCTTAAAGGAATCATATTTTTAGTAATTTTAATGACAGTTCTTACATGGTATATGTTTAATGTTGAGATTATTCGTTGAATATTTCATATGTAATTTGCTGATTCTTTTAATGATTTAAAGTCATTTGAATATTAAATATAAATAGTTGGTCTCTAACTTGTTGACTGTTTTATTCCTAAAACAATTGCACTGTTCAGCTAAAGCCCTGGGCCCTGCTGGAGTGCTGTCAGAAAACCAAAGACAGAGATGTTCCTAGGAGAGTTAATAAACATTGGTACAATTACTATAAAATCTTCAAGACAAAAACCAGCCTGAGAGCATCCTGAGGAACTTTGTCCCAGAATTTTCCTCTCCAAAGAAAGCTCCCCAGAGGGATGCCTTTCCTGACAAGATTCCACTGGGAGGTTCGTCTTTCTCCTGGACAACAGCAGTCAGTAGGGCCATCTGTAGGTTGCAAGGAAAGAGTGTGGAAGTGGACCTGTTCTGAGCCCAGGATAATCAAGGCAGGCTCAGGTTCCAGGCTAGAAAAGCTCCCTTTCAACTGATCAGAGGCCAGTGGGGAACAGGGGATGAGCAGAGGAGATATGGGGGTCCGGGGATAGATGGGAGGTCATCAACAGGGTTTAGGGACACCTTCCTGTCCCCACCATGCTCTGCTCAGTTTTCACGCAGGCAGGACTGGAACTGTGCAGTATAAAGACGTTGCTACTCAGGCATTTTGTTGCTACCTGTGAGGTAAAGTCCAAATTCCTCTCCAGTCAAGGTGCAGACCTCAATCTCAGGATAAGCTCCACAGAACCAAATGCATTTGAGCATCAACTGTCAAGAGATTTTTTTTTTTTTTTTTTGGTCTTTGATGATTTGTATAATTTAGATTTTGAAATGGGCTCTCTGATTACTCAGCCAACAAATATTTATAGGGTACCTTTTATATGGCAAGGCACCAGGCACAGTGCTAAGAGGAACATAAGAAAAACGAACATGGTCTGTGCCTTAGGGAGCTTATATAGACAAAAGCAAACAAATAATCATTAACCTTTATTTTTGTAGGTGACAAATGAGCAATGCATAATATGCAAAATCTGGGTTAAGGGAGAGAATCAAGATATTCAGAAAAAAAATCTCATTACCTGCTCCTCATGCCTCAAAAAAAATCCAGAAGATTTTGAAATGCAGGAGATAAACATCACATATTCCTTATTAATCTTTGTATTCCAAAAATAATTTCTGAAAATCACAGGAAAGAAAACTTTTGTGTATTTATTAGCAGAGGCAAGCTATACTATCAATTGGACACCTCAAGGGCACAAAATTGCCTGGAACTACAACCTTCAAGTTCAAAATTTCTACCTCCAGAAAGCAATGATGTTTCTAAAGATTCTCTTATTTTTTAATTGTGATTAGTAGATGTGTATTCCTACGTATTCTACAGCAATGAGAAATAAGGAGCACATTCTTTTTTTTTTTTTTTAATCAAATCGATTCTGACAAAAGGAGTTTATTGTCTTGCTTGTTAAAAGGCTGACCAAAAAGAAAGTAAGTCTGAATGTTTCAGAGTTGGGAGAAAGCCTGATTCCTTCTGACCCTGAGATATACAAGGAAACTGAACAAATACCAGGCAGCAAAATACTGAGACATTTACCACATAAGAAAGCATTCTTACATAGCAGTTGAGTACTGGGAAGGTTGTTGGGGAGGGTATTATTCACAAACAACTGTCAAAAGATATGAGACCACCGAGTTTTTCTTTTTCTAAAAATCACACTGAGTGATATTATTCTATCAAGAGGATATTCTGAAATACGTGGGCTATCGAAAAAGATGTAAGTACATTTTAAAAATGTTTTTAAAAGCATAGTCAAAACCATTCAAAAGAGAACTCACTCTGTAAAAACGATTCTCATATTTTTTCATGAGATTATCACTTGGCTACTTTAGGATATTTCTTACATGCCTGGTCTTCATCCTGACATATGCAGATGACACAAAATACTTGGGCTTATATTTTTACAGCTTCCTAAAATATAATGAAAACTATTTCCTCTGACACTTTGCCATGGGGCTCTAGGATACTTTTGATATATTTCCTAAAAATATTTAATTTAGATAACAAGGACCAATGACAAGCCAGAATTGGAACCATTCATTCTTTGAGGTCAGAAGTGGTATACTGCCAGCCCATTGAAGTTGAAATGGAAGACAATGTGGCTCAGGCCACAGGGTCAGTTGCTTCTCCTTTTTGGTAAGGTACTTCTTTCCCCACACTCTCACCCAAGTTATCCAGCCCCCAAAATAAACTGTTTCTGATAAAATTACTTTTGCTCTAAGTTAATTTTGTTTATGCATGAAAAATTATTGTCTTGGTCCCATTTCCAAAGGGAAGTAGTTGGATGCCAGCATACTTTAACATTTCGGCACATATACAAACCACAAGCTGTTTATTTCTACAACTCACGATTAATGTAAAACGTTGCTTTCCATGTGCTTTTTTTTCTTAAAGTTTTCAGTTTGGGCATATTTAATTGTGGATGATGGGTTTCCCTACCATTACCCTTAATTTGATGCTATTAGAATTTTTAAAAATCTTTTGTTTGAGGCAATGAATTGGGAACCTGGTACATACACTAGATTTTATGATGGCATAAGAAATTATAGCACATAAATTAATAACACTATAGTACTCCAAGTGCTGTTTAACAGATGTTTTACTGTGGGCTCTCCTTTACATCACTGGGTTAATTACCTAAAGAGGGACACAGAAAAAGTCAATGTGGAGCTGGCATCTGGACCACTCTTCACGTAAGGTGAATGGCTAAATCACCAAGGACAAGATACTTTTCTATGAAATAGGTCCTTCCTATCAGTAGGTTATTGCAGACTTTGCTCACCCAAATAATGACTTCCAATCTAACTGAAACTACCATTACCTTTAGTGAAATATCAATTAGGAATAAGGAAAGGGTTAGGTTTTGTAGGGTTTGAGTGATACTTAGAAGCGAGTCATTTTATGTTTGGTGGGTTTTGAATCATTTGATATACAAAACTTACTGAGTTAAAATTTGTGTTTCAGAAAACGGATTCCAATTTTCAGAGCCGTATGTCAGTGCTTCCTTAGAGAACTGGAGTGTTCTGGTCATCCTGAGAAGTAACAGGCGGAGGGATGCTCCATGATTATAATGTTTAGGTTAAAAGGTATGCTTGACTCCCAAGGTGTTCTGGGAATATTTTATGTGCCAGGACAATGCTGGGGCCCTGCAAAACATCAGTGATCTTGGGAAACCCAGAGGAGGTCAGAATACTACCTGGCAATCTTAGGCTGACCCCAGGAGGTTCATCAATCCGTGAATAATTTTTGGAGTTTTAATGACCTCCTGAGATAGATCTCCAAAATTACTCAAGCTAATCATGTCTCAGTTCTCATTAAAAAGATAAAAGAGGTGTTTCCAACACTACTGAAAATGTGTGTACATACCAAAGGATATAATACTCATTAGTATACCAGCATACAGAACACCAAACAATGGTGGATAGTTTCAAGGATATCAGAAGAGATGCCTTTTAAATTTCATATTGTATTGTGGATCCTGATTGGAACAAAAAGACTGTGAGTTCTGGGCAGGCCAAAGGCCTTGAAAAATAATGTTGATTTGAAGGGGCAGGGAGTGTGGAAGGCTTGTGTATGTCTGTTAAGTAGCGAAACAAAAAATAAAAACATTGTATTTATATATGTGTATAAATTTTAAAAGCCATTTAAACTGAACATTTGAAAAACATAAAACCTATTCATTAAACATATGTGTCTCTGAAAGTACCACTGACCCAATCCTAGAAGCTATTTTAATTTGGCTTTTCAGAGGCCCAAATTCTCTATAAACTTCTCCTTCCTCACAATCAGTAATTAAGACTGGTTCATTAATTTTGGACTCATGTATACTTTGTCTAATATCCTTTTATTTCTCTGCACCCCTCTACAACTCCTCCCCCAAAAGCCCCAAATCAGACTATGTTAATTTAACTGATTACTGTAAAGCCACAGCTAGATCCCAAATCTGACAAATATTCCAATTCATGAGACACCTATAGCATGTTATCTATATTTGTACACTTTATTTAAAAACAAATAATACACTTAGAGCCACCAAAGATGGATATCTTAATTAGCTTATCCATACCCTGAATTTACATAAGAAACTTCTTGCACCACAAAAATTAGCATTTGGATTAATTTACATTAATTGATGTAACTAAAATTTAAAATACCTGAAGATCAAACAATCTGGCCCAGGGCTCACCAGCTGGAGGACTGGGTGTGGAGAGAAAGGGTTATTTAGGAATCTGAATTGATGACACCCTGTGGTCAGCTCTAGTCAACTGAACTTGAGAAAACATAAAGTAACCAGCAGATTTCAATATTAAAAAGAAGTGGTTCCTCCTAAAAAAGGTATTAGATCATAGAGTTGGGATTAGGGTAGGGGATACCTATTAATCTGGGCTGGAAAAAAAGTGTGTGGAGAAGGGGAGTTGTATTGTTTTCTCACAAGAGGCAAACTTCAGCCAAACAATGAAGAGATAGTAGGGAGGGAGATGTGTGGTAGACCAAAGACTTTCTGATTGCTGATAATAACAAATTTAGCAGCTCTCTACAAGTCAATTAAAATACCATTCTCTGAGACATTTT
Organism: Homo sapiens; assembly: GCF_000001405.40. Classification (NCBI taxonomy): domain Eukaryota; kingdom Metazoa; phylum Chordata; class Mammalia; order Primates; family Hominidae; genus Homo; species Homo sapiens. The sequence continues at coordinate 36,844,387 of NC_000002.12, forward strand.
CAGAGAGGAGCTAACTAACACCCACCCAGGGGGGAAAAATCATTCTACATTAACAAGGCACTCACTGGTTCACAGCCTGTTAAAAACCCAGGCAGACATTAGAATCTAAATTAAAATGATTTTGAAAATTTGCATCAGAGAGATGACAAGCATGTGGTCCTGGTTAAATTAAATCTAAAGCTTGGATTAGCAAAGATCCAGAAAATTCTGACCCCCTAAGCACCACTTTAGGAATACCGCCAGAATCAATGAGTGGGATCTAGGGATCTGTTTGGCCTAACATTTGTTTTTTTTAGAATTAAAAAAACAAAACAAAAACTGAAAGGATCTGTTAAATACTTTGTCAACCTGGCATCCCTGACACTGACATGAAGATCCAGTTGGATGATGGATATTGCCAATTAAAAAGTTTGTAGTGGCAAAAGTAAAAATGATTCAAATTGACGAATGACCTGTCCTTTGTTTTTAAACACAGATACGTTTTTCTGGGCCTTTCTCTAAAATGAACTTTAGGGCTTGATACATTTCACAAAAATATACATATTTTTCGTCAGCTACTACTTTGTATACAACCTGAATCCCAGTGTCCAACACTTAAAAGTACTGCAATTATATAAATTACTAAACAAGTTAACAGTAATGGAGAGGCAACTTCTGAGTAAATAAAATGAATGATTATGTACTTAATAGCCTTGTAGTCACTTTCAAAGAATAAAGTAATCTAAATAAAATTATACTTAGCACTCTTTTTCATGTAAGTTCAATAATTATTTGGCTATTGGTTGAAAACATCACACAGACAGACACCAACCAAAGATTCATTATCTCCACTCGCTAAAAACATTGATGGTTAATTTTAAGCAATTCTTTCAAAGAAAAACAAAATTAATTCTAAGCCTTTCAGTCTGATTTGTGACATCTTAATACAATATAACTTAAATGACAAAGCCTGAGAAAAGCACCAACATAGATTTTTTTTTAATTGCATCCAACCATCATTTCAGATGTCATAAAGATTTGCTTCAGTTAAAATGGCAGCAATGACAAAGAGGTAGATATGAGAGATGCTTTTTAAATATTTTAAGACTATTCTTAGGTGGAATTTTAACTAGTTCAGGTATTTAACCTAAAAATATTTACTAGTTGAATCTTTACCACATAAGAACTTCATGACATGCTGTTTTGTAAGAGGGAAATATATGAAGTATTAAAAAGTGAGCCTTTAAAAAATTACATTTACTTAGCCAACATTAATGAGATCCCATAATTTTGGTGAACAAATAATTTCTCCTTCTACCTGAACTTTACTATAATTAAAGAATAGCTATTGTTTTCTCTACTGAAATTTCTAGGAATTCACATTCAAAATTCTTGGAAAGTATATATGGTGCTCAGAAGAGCACAAAGCGCATGAAATGTCCCCTGAAGTCCTAGAAGTTGAGCAGATACATTAAAAAGACATTGATGGTCACAAATCAGGACCTTCACAGATTGGTAAACACACACACACACACACACACGCATGCATGCACACACACACACACACACACACACACACACACACACTAACTCTCTCTCTCTCTCTGTGCCCCCCCTCCCACCCCCTCCCCAAACTCAATCTTCATCCTCACTGTAAGGCTGCATTTTTTTTTTTAAAGGCACCTCTCATTTTCTAGCTATTGCCTTCTTGATGATATTTGTTTTTGTTAAAAAGTCTGAATGTTCAATGGAAATAGTTCAGTACTGAGAATAAAATATTTTTCAATTCACATTTGAATAGCCAGGTTTTCTTACATTCAGATTTTAATACACTAGAATGACAGTCTTTAAAACAAGCATGCTAGCCTATAATGAATATTGTATATACAGTAATTTAAACACTTAGAACTATATATTATACTGCAAAAGCAAACAGCACAACACTCATCATACTCATCATTATCTGCTGTGTATACTACCTCCAAAAATGAAAATACAAAACAGTAAAATGCACCTATGGTTTATATATATATATATATATATATATATATATATATATATATAGTTTATATATTATATATATTCTTACAATATATATAATATATATTTATAAAATATACATACATTTTAGACATTTTCAAATAAATCTTCATCATTATCTCCAAAAGAAATTTATAGCAAGAATACTGAAGGAATGAAAGTCAGATTAAAAAAAAAATTTCTCACAAAGTTCATCATCAGTGATGCAGCTCAATTTCCCCCGTTTTAGTCATAACTAAAATGATTATAAAAGCGAAATATTTTGCATAACTAAGTATTTGTTTAATGGCAAAAGTTGTTAAACTTGTTCAATAGAAAAATACTGAAGGTCATTATATCACTTTTGTTAAATAATCTGTCTATGGTTTGAGTAGCAAATGAGCTCCATATGACAGTTGAGTTTTGAGAAGGGTGCTGCAAGCTCCCAGAGATGTATCCACAGCATATGAAAATAAGGCAGGGATCCAAACCTCCCGCTAATTTTCATACTATTCCAATACATTTCAAACAAAATATTTACAAATGAAGCACTATGAAAGCATTTCAATGGCTGTTTAAACATTGAATTTGTTCATTCTGTGAATTTTCATTGAATGTTCAACAGGCTAGGGGAAAAGTCAGACACATGTATATGCTACTCTGGTTGGAAGACAGCTTTGGCTCATTTCTAGGCTGAGATCATGCAGTGCTGGTAGAGAAGACTCTCTCCGTAGTCTCCAATGCCACAGCACTGGCTTTCTAAGGAACTTTCAACAGTTCCATTTGCGCTACAGTCTATGTATCTCATGGTTATTTTCCACTCACTGACAGAAAAATTTCAACCATGAAGCATAAAATGAACGGGGGAAGAATGTCCTGGTTTTTAGAATTTCAGTGACATTAATAAAGCAGTAACTGAAGATCTTAGAAGGTAATTAATAACTGGTAGAACAATAGCTTTGTGGTCATCCATCATAAATACACCAAGTAATGGCATCTTCCTTCCTTCCTTCCTGGAAGGAATTTTCCAGTATCCTTCTACAAATGTTAGGTTAGAAACATTCTTTCTTCACTGTGAAGAACCAAAAGAAATTTACTGAACACAATATGGAATTCTGTATCTGCATGGAAATATTAAGTATTCACCTGACAGCTCATGTTTAGGTCAATTCATTTAATTACACAAAGCAGTCTCTTGAGCCTGCTTGTTAACCAAAGCACAAAGATGAAATGAAAAGGTAGCTGTATTACTACAGCATATCTGTATGAAAATCAGGCAAATTTAGCACAAGTCTCTAGCTTTAAAGAAAATTTGCCTGTATAATGCAGAATTCTAGAGGCAAACAGGCAGAAATTTTACAGAAATATTTGTCAATCATTAGCCACACCACCACCAGAATACTTTTTCAAGGAGTAGATGTACGTATCATGAGAAGCATCATTGTTATGACGATGGAAAATGTGGGGAATGGAATATGTAGAAATTGTTTTAATTGGTTAAAATATCTATAGATTTAATATTTTTAAAATCTAAGAGCCTATTTATATGTTTTTTGGTGGAAAGTTGGACGTTAATAATTTATTTCCAATTTCTAGATTGGTCTCTGTCATTTGGGACAAAGAGTAAGAGAGACATAAACCACTATAGAAATAATGTCTTTATGACAGGAGACTAGGTCTAGATAGCAGGGTCTTCAGAATCCCAAAAGGTGAACACATGTAGGTGGGTCACAGGTAAGTTGGGCTGGGGAAGCCTGGCCTTTTAAGGTGTGGATTTCCCCAGAAACAATACTGATCCACTGCCCATTAAAACATGTATATCTCAATTAAACAATGGGGGAGGAATAGGGAGAGAGAAAGACAGAACTTTTTAGCCAATATTTGGCATTAAACTCTTTCATCCAGGTTTCCAGGAGATTCTTACAGGGATTAATAGAGGACTTCTAGGGTACAAAATATTTGTTTTTATTAGTGCTTCTGCAAAAGCAGCTGCGTGAAGTTAACCATACTCTTTGGGCTATTAATAATTATGAACTGTTCTTGGTAGATGTCAGATAACTTGAACGTGACAAAGAAGAAAGAGCACAGATCATCTGAAGCATGATTAGGTGGGTGTTGATAAATGATTATTAGCAAATAAATTCTATCTTTTCAGTCACTGAAAAGTAAGATTTCATTGGTATGAAATAATCACTCTGGTACTATAAATGTCACATGAATAAAGTGAATTTTAAAATAGAAATTATTAAAGAGATATGCCCTGTTTACCCTTAAAAATAAACAGAATTTCAAACCTGAATAAGTTAAATCTGTTAGTAAAAGCAGAGTCGATCAACTATTCTTCACAATGGTGAGTGCTTGATAGCTAAACTTTAGAATGATACCAAATCTGTTTTCAAAACTGTAATACAATATAGAAATCTGCTTGCAAACTATTTGTCTAGCATTTCTGAATAATAATATATTTAACATATTATTGCATTTTTCTCCCCCTAACAGGTAAAATGCTTTGCCAGGTGCTTTATGTGAACAGCTGAAAGGAGAGTCAAATTAAAAACTCAGTTTAACACTGCCTGGTCATTATACACAAAGGGGTTAATATGGCAGATATGATAAAGATTACTATTTTGACTACTTAATGTGTTTTAACAAGATTTCTCAGGGGAGAACTTGGTCTAAGTTTCCCGTTTTCTTCTATTCAGTCCCAGCTATCAAGCTTTTAAATTATCCATTGTAGCATGCCCTACTTACTCAACAGGGACAAGCTAAACTTGTATTCGCTCAGGCCTGCCTAGCGAATTAGAACCACCTCAGAAATAAAGGCGCCTATTGGGGAGAAATTTGAAACAGACCTCAGGCTCACAGATTCAGCTGAGCTTGCAGCAACCTGAACAAACCTTAGTTTTAGAAAACAGTATATGAATTGCAAAACTATACTTCAACAAATGTTCTCTGTGCTCCTTCAGCAGAACAAAAGGGCAGGACGAGATGATTCTTGCCCTCGTCTTCTGTATCTCTTGTGTGCAGTTGATTACTTATAAACAGCTAGAAGGTGAAGATGATGCATTGCGTCATACAAAGACTTTAGCCAGTGCGTCAGCTCCAGCACTGGCTATATAGCATTTGGATGGGTGGAAAGCTACATCATGAATCGATTCTTCAAACTTTTTTCGATGAGCTGTGAATTCTTGGATACACGTCTTACTTTCTAGATTCCATAAACGTATTGAACAGTCATGACCTATATCCAAAAAAAAAATTAAAAGGAAAAATTACATTAACATGAAAATGGTAAGGACAAATAAATAATCCATAGTTGAGGTACTTACTGCCAGACATCAAGTAAAGGCCATTGGGATCAACTGCTAAACTTGTAACAGCTTCTAGGTGGGCTACCATCGAGTGGATCAGTTTGCCTTTGGAAAAAGAGATTGTTACTCCTTATTAATGCCTTTCCTCATCTTCAATATTTGCCAGCTACCATGTCCTGCTGGTTTCTCCAGTCATCCCTCTCTGTGTGCTTACTGTATTAATAGCTTTTTCCATCACCTAAAACAACATGTCTCCCTCTTGCCTCTAGTCATGGCAATGATATGGAAAACCAAAAAAAGCTCAAATTTTAGATTACACTTTTGTCTTTTAAGCCACGATATGGAAGTCAGTAATTTCTACACGCAACCCTTAAGCCACGTTTGTTAATTAGAACTTAGACATTATTAATCACCTACTTTGCATTCTTTAGCTACTGGCAAATTATGAGTTGTGGAAACACAGAATTCAAATTCACAGAGAGAAAACAATGAGGCAAGGAAAAAGGGACAGAAAGAAAACATGGCCACAATTTTGGTGGATACAACATACAGAAAAAAATTTTAAATATTAAATGATTCATCACCAGCAGCTAAACAAAGTCAGCAGAAGTCAACATATTAACAAGGCAGATACTTAGGTAAATATGGCAGCTAATATAGGGTGCTTTCCTCCCAGCACAGTGCTTCCTAAATTTCCTTTATACTGGTGAAATGTAATAAAATAAAACTTGGGCAAATCTCCATGCACAATTCAAATCAATGAGGACCAACCAGTCAGTTTTATAATACAGAAAAGATTAGTCTATGGAAAAACGAATACAATGACCTGGAGGTTTTCCATCCGCAACACTAAAAAAGGCTATTTGGTAATGGAATAATTGAATATTGAATAATGCTATTCAATAACTGAACAACTTTAAACAAAATATAATGACCATATGCCTCTATTTCCAATGTTTCTACTTTTCCCCAATATATAATACTACAATAGATCATAGCAACAGATCATTTTTATTTGTATTTGAGTGAACTTTTCCTGGTGTCCCTAGTGATAACCTTGGCTCTAAAGCCTACATATAGCATCTGCTCACTATTAAATAAACCAAAATGATTCTGTATTGTATAATAAAGACTAGTCTTAGCAGATTTGGATAGAGTGAAGAGAAACTGAGACGGGAGAGTATTTGGGGTTCAGTGCCTATTCCCTGACTACGAAACCACCAAGAGACACCAAAATTAGCCTACTTGTGGTAGGGATTTTTTTTTTTTGCTTTAATAAAAATCAATTCTTAATAAATTCTTACCTGTATTGTTATCATAGAATTTGATGTGCCTGTCTTCATGAGCAGTGATGCTGATCGGAAGAGTAGGATGACTGATGACTCTATTTATTTGGCAGGAAGAGTTGGCTGCTAAAAAGAAAAAATTAAAAAGCAACACAACTTAGTCAAAGATATTTTTCACACAAAGGAGAACTGAATTATCTATCTAAGAGACTGAAAAAGTAGGCCGGCCGCGGTGGCTCACGCCTGTAATCCAAGCACGTTGGGAGGCCAAGGTGGGTGGATCACGAGGTCAGGAGATCGAGACCATCCTGGCCAACATGGTGAAACCCTGTCTCTATTAAAAATACAAAAATTAGCCGAGTGTGGTGGTGCGTGCCTGTAGTTCCAGCTACTCAGGAGGCTGAGGCAGGAAAATCACTTGAACCCGGGAGATGGAAGTTGCAGTGAGCCGAGATCGTGCCACTGCATTCCAGCCTAGGTGTCAGAGCGAGACTCCATTTCAAAAAAAGAAAAGAAAAAAGAAAAAGAAAAAGTAATAATGTGACTTTCATTATTTGTCTTTAGTTCATTTATTCTGTGACTGTTTTCAAAATTTCAATGTTAGGAAAGAGAATTGCCTGATAAATCTGGAAATATTTATAAATTACAATTTCCTGCTATATGTGGGTGCCATCTATGGCTTAGTCTAGAGCCACTAACGCTGTTCATTCTACAATGTTCTGTGAGATTTTGCTACTTTAAGTAAGTTCTATCATCACTTACATGGAGATAATTCTCAAATTTAAATCTCAGCTCTTTTTGCATACAAAGTTCTGTATCACATCATTATCATCTAAAGATATATATGACAAAGAGGGCTTCTTAATCCTTAAATCCCTTTATCACTCTTCCTCATCATAATAGAAATGGTCATTTGACAGAACTAGGTTTGGAATCCTAAAAGTCAGCATCCTAACTGTATTTTTTGTGTTAGTAAGTTCCAAAGAAACTTCAATTATACACACAATGAGACAGGCAAGCACATATCATTAAGCCTATATTACAGTGAACACATCAAGGTTCAGAAAAAGTTGTGACTCCTCCACAATCAGGTGACAAAATCAGTACCTATTCTAACTTCTGACTCTCTCCCAACCTGATGGTTCATGCAGATCACACAACTGTCAAAATTGGTTCCTAAATGATCACACATTCTTCCTGAAAGGCTTTTATTAAAAAGAAATCAGTAATTTAAAACCTCAGTGATTTCTGTTAAGCTTTTTTTAAGAGAAAAGAAAAACTGACATAAAGAAAACACTAATTGAAGGTATGTCAAAGTTTTAAAAATTAAATTATGGTCCAGGGAGAGGAAGGGGTGTCCTTGTAAAATATATTACTGGAACAACTCTCAAAATTTGAATATAAATAGTAATTCAGATAATAGTATTGTGTCAATGTTAAGTTTCCGGATTTTGATCATTGTAATACACTACATCAGAGAATGCCCTTGATCTTAGAATTACACGCTAAAGGATCTAGGGGAATAGGAGCATGACGTCTCTCATATGGTTCAGAATTAAAAATTATACACATATATAGAGTGAAAAAGCAAATGTGACAAAATGTTAAAAACTGCTAAATATGTGTGAAGGGTAGCCAGAAGTTCTCGTACTATTTTTGTACCTTTTCTGCAAGTTTAAAATTATTTCAAAATAGAGTTTAAAAAATTTTTTGAACCCTAGAATAGGTATTACAAGTTTATATTCACATAATAGAAAATACAGCTAAAAATAGTCTAATCTTACAGGATTTTCATGTGGCTCCTAGAAATATAACATCTTAAAAACTGAAGACAGTCTTTTCCCAATGCTAGTGGCAGGTAATTACCCAGCCTGTTATTTAAATATAAAATGTGGCTGGGCACGGTAGCTCACACCTGTAATCGCAGCACTTTAGGAGGCCGAGGCAGGCGGATCACTTGAGGTCAGGAGTTCGAGACCAGCCTGGCCAACATGGTGAAACTCTGTCTCTACGCAAAATACAAAAATGAACCAGATATGGTGGCACACGCCTGTGGTCCCAGCTACTTGGGAGGCTGAGGCAGGAGAATCGCTTGAGCCCAGGAGGTGGAGGTTGCAGTAAGCTGAGATCGCACCACTGCACTCCAGCCTGGGCAACAGAGCGAGACTCTGTCTCAAAAAAAAATAAATATAAAACAAAAACTCACTTGACCATGTGGAGTAAGTTCTTAGTCAGTTACACCTGGTTTAGATCCTAAACAAAGAGATGTTTATTTATAAAATTCAGACTACGCATTATTTCCTCCACAGATAATACTCCATTGAGCAACACCCGTGGTAAAGTCCAGCAAGAGAATAACAGTAACAACAAAAAAAGAAATACTTTAAGTGAAATATCCCATATATTCTGAGAGAGACGTTTCAGAGAATAGCCTCAATTGCTTTGAGAGCTAGAAAATAAATATGATTGAAATCAAATCATGGAAACAGGCAAAAGAAAGTTCTTATTTGGTAACACTTTTAAGGAAGCTTCTCCACTTGATGATAAATCAGAGAAGTCGGCAGAATGCAAAGAACACTACTCATACCTAGCTTGTGACGTATCTGCTTCAACTACCTTTGACTTTACCACAGTCAAATCGCCATTGACATCAATGAGAAGAAGGGTAATTTATTCCTATTCTAACAAACATCCTTCATCACTTTAAACTCTATATAAAACTCACTTTCTCCTTGAAGCTTGTTTGGTCCTTTCATTTTTTTAAAAAAATATGCTAAATTCCAAAACAGAACAACACAATCAATTATAAATAACAAGGGGTAGTTCACAGTAAAACATAATAAGAGACTAATTTAAGTTTTCTTTATACAACTTTAAAAGTAAAAAACATAATTTAGAAAATGTCAGGACATATTACAACTCAAAATAATGATCATTTATTCCAGTAATGTTGCCTTTGTTAAAAACATTCTTGGAAGTTTTCTCAAAATGTTTCCAGTGTCAAGTAAAAAGTCCTATTAATTTAGAGTCACATCTCTTGGGGGAAAATGTGGATTCACTCGCCTAGTTCTCTTTATCCATCTTATCTACCAGACTTGACATCTTATTAACCTGCAGTCATTAAAAAGCACTATTTCCACTCAGGATGTTCACAAATTGGCCATATAATCTCTGAAGGTAATTACAAAAATGTTCTCATCCTTTCTAATTTCATATTAGTTTTTTATTTTGCTACTGTAGCTTTGAGTCATATATTTAAACATGATTTTAAATTTATTGAGAGTCTAAAACCTGTAATTTCTTGCTGAAAAAAATTCTCCTTTTCCAATTCTATCACCTGAGTTTAATTTATTTTCCTGTCTCTCTCGTTTACATCCAAGTAGCTCAAAGTTCTATTCATGCTTACTTCCCCAAACAAGTCTCAGCATATCAGAAGAAAACAATGAACAACAGGTTAGGAAGGGAAAATGATGAAAACCACAAAGGAATAAAGAAACTTTTTGAGAGAGAGAGAGACAGAGAGTGAGAACACCACAAGAACATATGTAAACATATGCATGTACATGTTCACACATGCATGTGCACACACACAACATATCATCACTTTTAAAGCTAGTTCTCAGATTAAAACAAGAGTATATGTATGTCGTATTCTTCATCAACTGCAACCTAAACTGTGATTGTCTAGATTATGGCTAACGACAGAAAGCAATGGTTAAGAAAGCCAAAAACCAAAAAAGAGTCTGTAATATCTTCTTCATAACCTGAAAAAGCACTTATTTCCTGACTTCCTGCATCCAATAAGAAGCTTCAGGTTTGGAATTCTGAGTGCCACAACATGATCTGTATTGAGCTGTACCAAATCATACTATTAATATAAAATTAAGTTGATTTAAAATATGAAATTACGAGAAATGAAAAATAGAATTTCCTATTCAGAATAAATATGGCTTTCTTCAAATAGAATTGAAAATTAATCATTTAGTATAAAATAAAACTTGACCCATAACAGCTCAAATGCTATTTCAAACAGTATAGTTATAAATGTACATAAACTTAACCCAAATTCTTAAAAGGTAAATAATTACAACCTTCTAAGTAACTGTGTTCTGAAAGTTAAGAGACAGAAAGCTTTATAATGACAAATATTTTTCACAGCTGACTCTAGTAGTCGTAATTTTGATTAAGTTAAAAAAATAAACACAGACAATTTAAAATTGGTATGCATACTTGTATCTACATTGGATTCTAAAGTGAGAATGCGTTGTTGTGTTTCCATGTTAAAAATGCTTGTATATCCCTTGCTGAATGATGCTACCATATGGCTCGGGTCACTGCTCACTAGATCCACAGAGGCAGGGATTCCCAGTTCTGAAAGAGAACATATTGAAATAGAATGGCAATTAAACCATCTACTTGACAATCTGCTTAAAATAGAGCAAAACAAAAAATGGCATGGTTTCCTTAAGAAGTAAACAAGGCTTACCATTAGAATAAGAATTAGCTCATAACTATTCATTGGAGATTATTTCTTTGTAACTTTTAGCCCTAGTCTATTTATTTCCCTTACCTGCTTAGCAGATCTTCTACCTGTTACTCAACTGATATATTCATGGAATGCAAGCCTTTATTTAGAGAGCAAATGGAAAACATGTATGAATTACAAATTTTGCTGCTTCCGCCCAACCTCAAGCTTAGAGTGACATAGTGGGAATTCTTCATTTTAAAAAACCCATCTCTTATTAGGGATGTTAGCTCATCAAAAATAGAGAAATTAAAAAGTAAAATTTAAAATTATTATTTATCGTTAGAGTCATGCAAATACCATATGAAGACAACTCATCAAAGCCTGGAAAGAAGTTATAATAGCTCAAGAATACAGAAGGTATTTTTATTTACCATCTAGAATACATGAAAACTTAGAGCTTATTTATAAACATAAAAATAGAAGGAAACATATAAAGTGAATATAATAATCTGATTTTTTTCATTTGGCTCAAAATCTAACTACAGCAAGGTAACAGTTCAAAAATGTGCATACTGCAGAAGAAGATACACAAATAACCAATAAGCAAACAAAAGAAATGCTCATCAAAATTAGCCATCAAAGAAATGCAAATAAACTATGATGAAATACTACTACACATCCACCAGAATGGCTAAAGTTAAACAGACTGACAATACTGTATGTTTGTAAGGATGCAGAGCAACTGGAATGCTCATACACTGCTGTCAAAGGTGTAAAATGGTACAACTACAAAATTTTTTTGAAAAATTTTTAGTGACTTCACATAAAGTAAAATAAACATCCACCTGAAAGCCCAGCAATTCTAAGTCTCTACACACCTATAATGAAAATATATGAATGTTCATAGCAGCCTTGTTCAAAATAGCAAAAAACTAGAGACAACCCAAATATCCATCAAGATATAAATGAATAGACAAATTATGGCTTAATGAAATACTATCAAATAAAAATGAAAGAAATAATTGATATAACACAAATGAATTTCCAAAACATTATAATGAAGAATAAAAGCAAGATACAAAGAACACATACTTTACTATTCCATTTACATGACGTTTGAGTAGATAAAACTAATCTATGATGAAAGAAATCACAACAGTGGGTACCTCTGGCTGGGAATAAGGAAAGGAGGGGACTGACTTGGAAAGACACGAAGGAACTTTGGGGAGATAAAGGAAATGTTCTATCTCTCATACGGTTTGGATCTGTGTCCTCACTCAAGTCTCATGTCAAACATAATCCCCAATATTGGAGATACGGCCTGGCGGGAGGTGATTGGATCATGGGGTGGATTTTCCCCTTTGGTGCTATTCTCGTGATAGAGTTCTCACAAGATTTGGTTGTTTAAAAATAGGTCCCACCCCCTTCTTCCTCCTGCTCCGGCCATGTAAAACATGCCTCCTGTCCCTTTGACTTCCACCATGATTGTAAATTGCTTGAGGCCTCCCCAGAAGCCAAAGAAAAGTTGCTATGCTTCCTGTACAGAACCGTCAACCAATTAAACCTTTTTTTTTTTTAAACAAATTACCCAGTCTCAGGTATTTCTTTATAGTGGTACGAGAATGGGCAAATATAGTCTTTTTTTTTTTTAAAGAAAATGTAGAGACAGGGCCTCGCTATGTTGCCCAGCTGGTCCCAAATTCCTGGCCTCTCGTGATCCTCCTGCCTCAGCCTCCCAAAGTGCTAGGATTACAGGTGTGAGCCACCACACCTGGATTCTATGTCTTGATTGATGTATGAGTTACATGGGTGTACTCATCTATCAGACTCACTGAAATGTATCCTTAATATCTGTTTTTCACTACATACAAATTATATCTTAATTTTTTAAAATCTAAAATCTGTGTGTTCTTTCACCAAAAACTATGCTTTCAAAAATTATAGGCTGGGTGCAGTGGCTCATGCCTGTAATCCCAGCACTTCGGGAGGCTGAGGCAGGCGAATCACTTGAGGTCAGGAGTTCCAGACCAGCCTGGCCAACACAGCAAAACCCTGTCTCTACTAAAAAAACTACAAAAATTAGCTGAGCGTGGTGGTGTGTGCTGGAGGCTGAGGCAGGAGAATTGCTTGAAACTGGGAGATGGAGGTTGCAGTGAGCCGAGATTGCGCCACTGCACTCCAGCCTGGGCAACAGAGTGATACTCCGTCTCAAAAAAAACAAAACAAAACAAAACAAAACAAAACAAAATTATATATAGGTTGGAAATTCAAACAAATACACTTTCGTGGCTTCAAAAACTTTCAAATTAAATTTAAAGAGTTCAGGGAATCATTTATCTGCTTGCTTATTTTCAGAATAAACTGTTTTATAGAGGATTCAGCAAAATAATTTTTTAAAGTATGTACCTTTAGTATCATTAAATACACTTAGTGCTGGAGCAACCTCAGTTGTATTCCATAAACGCAGAGTGCCATCTGCTGAACAGGACAACAAACGCTGATGTGCTGCACTATAAGCCAAACCCCAGACTGCATCCGTGTGGCCTAGCAGAGGGCCTCGTAAAACAGAAGGATCTATACAAAACAGTAAAAATGCAAAATCAGGAGAAAAACAACCACAAAGGTACTTAGATTTCAGAGAAAGTAAAATATATAAACAATAGCACCTGATAACAGTATAAAATATGATTCTTGGTTTCTATTATTCTTCTGACAGGCTACAGTAAATCAAAACAAGCTTGGAAATATACAAATATAAAGTTAAAAAATTTTAAATTAAAATTTAAAAGCACGTATTTTTCCCCCTTAAAAAAACTGAGTATTTCCTCCCCCTTCCTTTTGTCCTTCCATTTGTCTAAATATTTTTAAAGCACGTTGATACGAAATCATTTGAATTTAATTCATCTTTGGAGAAACCACAACTCACACTCCCTGAGGAAGTGAACAGAGAGGTCCTCTCCCTCTCTGAAGTCCCTTAGCACTTTGGCTATACTTCCTTCTGTTCACTTATCTTACTATATGATGGATGGCAGTTTTTCCTGAAAATATGGCATTCATAATGGACAGGAAGTGACATCTACAGGAATCCCCAAATTCTCAAACAGCAGTAACTGAGATGCAGTGATAGTGTATGCAGGGGAAGAGGGAGGGAAGTGGGGAGGTTAAGCACAGTCTCATGATAAAAGTCAAATTGGAAACCTTATTAATCTTCACAATGATTCTATGAAGTGGTACTTTCAAGATGACTCACAAATGTTAAGTCTGGAAATGTCAATGGTGTTATGTCTTATATCCTCTGTCACACATACCATAAAATATTGAAGACACACTGTGTGTCAGGCACTATGCTCAATGATGGAGCCAAATACATGATTAATACCCAATTCTATCCCAGTCCTCAACAGACAATGTTGAAAGTACAATAATTGTGACAGACATCAGTTAGCAGAGAGTAACTGGAATGAGTGAGAACTTGGAGAGTGAAACCTAGAATTTACAGATGTTAGCCAGTTGAAGAAGAGGGGGAGAACATGATTGACAAGAAGGCAGCACCTACAAAACCACATGAAAAAAGAAACAGCATGATATGCAAGTAAATGTATAAGCAATTCAGTATTACTGGAGTGTGGACTTTGAAATAGGAAGTAGATGGGATGAGGGCATCTAGTTTATGGTGTGATTTCTACTACATATTAAGGAACTTGGAAATTATCCTGAAAGCAACAAGCAATCTGTCTCCAGGGGCAGCAGGATCAAGTATGTATTTAATAAGGTAAGCTTGGTAGTAGTACAGAAGACAGATTAGACAGAATCAAGACAAAGGCAAGAGATTGTTTCAGCAGACAAAAAGAGTGACAAAGACCTAAGGCCAGGGGAAGCAGTGAGACAGCCAGAGCAGAAAAAGTAAACTCAAGAAATATTTAGGGAGTCATTACCAAAAAACTAGGTAATTAGTAAGTGGGGACAGTGTGACAGAACAGGGAATCTGAAGTAATTCTTAGGTTTCTAGTTTGGGTGATTCTCATAGTGCCACCAACTAAAAAAGAATATACGAGAGAAGAAACACAGAAAATGCTAGGATTTACAGACAATGAAACAGTCATCCTGAAATTCCTGTAGTCAATCTGAAGCTTAAAGATGTATGAGTCAACTATATGTAAAAGTACAGATGTAGATTCAGTCTCTCAAGGAATGTTTGTACACTGCAAAAAGTTAGGGTCTGGGTCTTTATAAATGTCAATATTTAAGGCAAGAAAAATAAAAGCAGTTTATGAAGGACAGGGAACAGAAATTGTCACAAAGGGTCAAAAAGCCAATAGAATGGACAGATTTCAAAAAGGATGGAGTTGTTAACAATCTCAGATACAGCCAATACATCCAGTAAAATAAAAGACTAAAAATATTCTTGGATCAGGCAATTAGTTACTGACAATCTTGTTACATGTAAGTGTTGTAGCCAGAAGCCAGAATGTAGACAGATGAAGCACAGAGAAAAAACATGAAATTAGTAACTGGTAATTGTGTTTTCTAGACAATACCATCAAAGAAACAGATGATGAGGAAAAGAGAGGGACTAAACAGAAGGCAGAGACGGAAACAAGGTCAAGAAAAGGCTTCTCCTTGACCAGAATGGAAGATACCCGAATTTACTTATTTGCTGAGGGGATGGAAAGGGAGCAAGGAGGGTAAGGCTTAATTAAGATGCAAGAGAACAAGAGCAGAAGAGCAAGAGATTAGAATGCAGTCGCAAAGAGACAGAGAGAGATTCGAGTACAGTCACAAAAGAAACTAAAATGAATAAAGTCAAAATGGGAAGGACTGGCCTAGGACAGAATGAGGGACAGTTGATCCTCTGGCAGAGAGGTAAAGGAAGTAAGGAAAGACATGGAACAGATAACTTATAAGAGAATTAGGGGAGAGTGGGGTTACCTTTCACAACATATTAATGCTCGTTAAATAAATGCTGGGAAAAATTTTTGTTTATTGAATTTCTTATCCTTACTCTGGTTTGGTGGTAAAATTAATCTAAAATGATGATGAAATTAAAATGCTTTTATGACAAATGTGATACTTCAAACTACTCTAGAACTTAACAGAAAACCAAAATACCCAATTCCTAAATAGTTTTTACAAATGAATCTGTGGTCATATCCATTGATAGATTATAATATGATTTATGATGTATGGTATTGTTCCCAAAACTAAAGGGTACTTCTTAACTTCTGAGGCCTTTTACATATTTTGGTGTCATGGGCTTTAAAAATTATTAGCTTCTACAGCCCTCCAATAATTGACCAAGGGGATGGCACCAACATTCATTTTCCTTAAAAGTTGTTTGACAAGAATAATGATGAAATATTATTACAGATTAGTAATAATGTATCAAGAACTCTACAGATGCCTAAAATAAGAAAACAACTGTCAGTCAAGCCTGTATTTCCAATCAATAAGACTTTAGAGAAGTGGGAACTGTATTTTCAAGAATGTGTTCTTCTTTTCTTCTTTTAGCATTGTATATCAAGTTAATTCCTAAATACAGAAGTCCTTTTTAACAAAATAAAGATGTGGTTCTCTTTACCTATTTATTTTCAAAAATCTCTTTATCTCTTCCTTTTATATTCTATGAAAAAATGTGTTTAAAAAACCAATTTTATTCCTTCAGATCTTTGGGAAATCACCTACCATAAGAATCATAGGGGTCGATGTTGGGATTAGTGGTATTCCAGCCCTGGATCAGTCCATCAGTACCACCACTGTAACACTGCTCACCATTGCTGCTCATTACCACACAAAGCACTGGACCTCTGGGAGATTAAAAAAAATAAATCAACTGCTATTCTCAAAAACCAACCTGATAATATGACTTGTTAAAAATAAGAATGTTTAATTACCCAAATGGCTATTTTTCTGCTTTTTATAAAAAATGAAAACACAGGTACTATCAAAGCACTGTTCATTTTTCTTCCTCTGGTTTAAGAGGTTGGTAAATTATGGTCAGCAGGTCAAATCCAACCACTGGTCTGTTTCTGTACAGTCCTCAAGCTAAGAATGGTCTTTACATTTTTAAAGGGTTATAAAACAAAACAAAACAAAAAACAAGAATATGCAACAGAAATTATATGACTAGCAAATCCTAAAATATTTCAAAAAGTCTAACAGCCTGAGTCAGATATTATGTGACTCTTTATATAAAAAGTATGCCAATCTCTGTGCTAAATCAAGAGAAAAGGCACATTCCTTAAACAGAAACAGAAAAAAAAATGCAATGTATCATTGCGTGAGCACACACACACACACACACACACACACACACACTTCTCACAAAACTTTTTAACTTTTAGTTTCAAGGTTACATGTGCAGGTTGGTACTATAGATAAATTGCATGCCTTGGCGGTTTGCTGTACATATTATTCCCTCACTCAGGAAAAAAGCATAGTACGCAATGGGTAGTTTTTCCAATCCTCACCCTCTTCCCACCCTTCACAGTCAAGTTGGCCCTAGTGTCTATTGTTCCCTTCTTCTGTCCATGTATACTCAATGTTTAGTTCTCACTTATAAGTGAGAACATGCAGTATTTGGTTTTCTGTTCCTGCATTAGTTTGCTTAAGATGGTCTTCAGTTCCATGATTTTCCTGCAAAGGACAGGATCTCATTTTTTATGGGTGCATAGTATTCCACGGTGTCTATGTACCACATTTTCTTTATCCAGTTTACCGATGATGGGCATTTAGGGTGACTCCATGTCTTTGCTACTATGTGCTATGATTAACACACATGCATGTGTCTTTATAGCAGAATGATTTATATTCCTTTGGGTATATACCTAATAATGCTAGGTTGACTGGTAGTTCAAACTTCTTTGAGAAATCACCAAACTGGCTTTCCACAGTGGCTGAACTAATTTACACTCCTACCAGCAGCATTTAAGTGTTCCTTTTTCTCCACAGCCTTGCCAGCATCTGTTATCTTTTGACCTTTTAATAACAGCCATTCTGCCTGGTGTGACATGGCATCTCATTGTGGTCTTGATTTGCATTTCTGTAATAATAAGTGTTGTTGAGCATTTTTTCCTGTCTGTTGGCCACATGTATGTCTTCTTCTGGAAACTATCTGTTCATGTTCTTTGCCCACTTTTTAATGGGGTTGTTTTTTGCTTGTTAATTTTTGATTTGCATTTCTGTAATAAGTGATGATGAGCATTTTTCATGTCTGTTGGCCGCATGTATGTCTTCTTTTGGAAACTATCTGTTCACGTCCTTTGCCCACTTTTTAATGGGGTTGTTTTTATTCTTTTTTTTTTTTGAGATGGAGTCTCGCTCTGTCACCCAGGCTGGAGTGCAGTGGCGCGATCTTGGCTCACTGCAAGCTCTGCCTCCCGGGTTCACGCCGTTCTCCTGCCTCAGCCTCTCCGAGTAGCTGGGACTACAGGCGCCCACCACCACGCCCGTCTAATTTTTTGTATTTTTAGTAGAGACGCGGTTTCACCGTGGTCTTGATCTCCTGACCTCATGATCCGCCCGCCTCGGCCTCCCAAAGTGCTGGGATTATAAGCGTGAGCCACCGCACCTGGCCTGCTTTTAGCTTGTTAATTTGTTTAGGTTCCTTACAGATTCTGGATATTGGTCCTTTGTCAGATTCATAGTTTGCAAATATTTTCTCTCATTCTGTGGGTTGTCTATTTACGCTGTTGATCGTTCTAATGTGTGCAGAAGCTCTTCAGTTAAATTAGGTCCCATTTGTCATTTTTTTTTTTGGTCATTGTTGCAATTGCTTTTGGTGTCTTCATCATGAAATCTTTGCCAGGGCATATGTCTAGAATGGTATTCCCTAGGTTTTCTTCAACTTTTTTTAGTTTTAGGTTTTGCATTTAAGTCTTTAATCCGTCTGAATTGATTTTTATATATGGTATAAGGAAGGGGTCCAGTTTCAATCTTCTGCATATGGCTAGCCATTTATCCCAGCATCATTTATTGAATAGGGAGTCCTTTCCCCATTGCTTTTGTCAACTTTGTCGAAGATTAGACGGTTATAAGTGTGCAGCTTTATTTCTGGGCTCTCTATTCTGTTTCATTGGTCTATGCTTCTGTTTTTGTACCAGTACCATGATGTTTTGGTTACTACAGCCCTGTAGTATAGTTTGAAGTCAGGTAATGTGATGCCTCCAGCTTTGTTCTTTTTGCTTAGGATTGCCTTGGCTCTTCGGGTTTCCATATGAATTTTAAACATTTTTTCTAATTCTGTTAGAATGTCATTGGTAGTTTGATAGGAATAGCATTGAATTTGTAAATTGCTTTGGGCAGTACGGCCATTTTAACAATAGATTCTTTCTATCCATGAGCATGGAATGTTTTTCCATTTCTTTGTGTCATCTCTGATTTCTTTGAGCAGTGTTTTGTAATTCTCAGTGTAGAGATCTTTCACCTCCATGGTTAGCTATATTCCTAGTTATTTTATCTTTTTTGTGACTACTGTAAATGAGACTGCATTCTTGATTTGGTACTCAGCTTGGGCATTATTGGTGTGTATAAATGGTACTGATTTTCATACATTGATTTTATATCCAGAAATTTGCTGAAGTTGTTTTATCAGATCTGGGAGCTTTTGGGAAGAGACTATAGCATTTTTTAGGTATAAAATTATATTGTCTGCAAACAAAGACAGTTTGACTGCCTTTCTTCCTATTTGAATGCCTTTTCTTTTCCTTGCCTGACTGCTCTGGCTAGGACTTCCAGTACTATATTGAATAGGAGTGGTGAGAGCAGGCATCCTTGTCTTGTTCCAGTTCTCAAGAGAAATGCTTCCAGATTTTGCAGTTCAGTATGATTTTGCAGGCTGTGAGCTTGTCATAGATGGCTCTTAATATTTTGGGGTATGTTCCTTCAATGCCTAGTTTGTTCAGGGTTTTTAAAATGAAGTGATGCTGAATTTTATCGAAAGCCTTTTCTGCATCTGTTGAGATGATCATGTGATTTTTGTTTTCAGTTCTGTTCATGTGATGAACCACATTTATTGATTTGTGTATACTGAACTAACCTTGCAACCCAGGGATAAAGCCTGCCTGATTGTGGTGGATTAGCTTTTTGATGTGCTGTTGGATTTTCTCTGCTAGTAATTGGTTGAAGATTTTTGCATCTATGTTCATCAAGGATATTGGCCTGAAGTTTTCCTTTCTGTTGTATCTCTGCCAGGTTTTGGTATCAGGATGATGCTGGCCTCATAGAATGAGTTAGGGAAAAGTCCCTCTTCCTCTTTATTTTTATTTATTATTTATTTTTGAGATGGAGTTTCATCACTCTTGTCGCCCAGGCTGGAATGCAATGGGTGCGATCTCAGCTTACTGCAACCTCTGCCTCCCAGTTTCAAGTGATTCTCCTGCCTCAGCCTCCCAAGTAGCTGGGATTACAGGCACCTGCCACCACGCCCAGCTAATTTTTTTGTATTTTTAGCAGAGATGGGGTTTCACCATGTTGGCCAGGCTGGTCTCGAACTCCTGATCTCAGGTGATCTACCCACCTTGACCTCCCAAAGTGCTGGGATTACAGGCGTGAGCCACTGCACCCGGCCCCTCCTCCTCAATTTTCTGGAATAGTTTTAGTAGGAATGGCGCCAGTTGTTCTTTATGCGTTAGGTAGAATTCAATTGTGAATCCATCTCAACCTGGGCTTTTTCTTGTTGGTAAGCTTTTTATTACTGATTCAATTTCAGAACTCATTATTGGTCTGTTCACAATTAGAATTTCTTCCTGGTTTAGTCTTGGGACGTTGTTTCCAGGAATTTATCCATTTCTTCTACGTTTTCTAGTTTGTGTGCACAGAGGTGTTCATAACAGTTTCTGGCTGGTTTTTGTATTTCTGTGGGGTTGGTGGTAATATTACATTTATCATTTCTGGTTGTGTTTATTTGGATCTTCTCTTTTTTTCTTTATTAGTTTAGCTAGTGGTCTACCTATCTTATTCTTTCGAAGAACCAACTTCTGGTTTCAATGATATTTTATACGTTTTTTTTGTGTGTCTCAATTTCATTCAGTTCAGCTCTGAGTTTGGTTATTTCTTGTCTTCTGCTAGCTTTGGGGTTGGTTTTTCTCTTGTGTGTGATGTTAAGTTGTTAATTTGAGATCTAACTTTTTTTTGAGATGGAATCTCACTCTGTCGCCCAGGTTGGAGTGCAGTGGTGGCATATCGGCTCACTGCAACCTCTGCCTCCTGGGTTCAAGCAATTCTCCTGCCTCAGCCTCCTGAGTAGCTGGGATTACAGGTGCACGCCACCGCACTCAGCTAGTTTTTATATTTTTAGTAGAGATGGGGTTTCACCATGTTGGCCAGGCTGGTCTCAAACTCCTGACCTTGTGATCCGCCTGCCTCAACCTCCCAAAGTGCTGGAATTACAGGTGTGAGCCACTGCACTGGCCGAGATCTAATTTTTTGATGTGGGTGTTTAGCACCATAAATTTCCCTCTCAACACAGAATTTCCCAGAGATTCTGGTATGTTGTAGCTTTGGTTTCATTAGTTTCAAAGAATTTCTTGATTTTTGCCTTAATTTCATTATTTACCAATAAATCATTCAGGAGCTGGTTAATTTCCATGTAACTGTATGGTTTTGAGCAATCTTGGTATTGATTTCTATTATTTATTTATTTGAGACAGGGTATCGCTCGCTCTGTTTCCCAGGCTGGTGTGCAGTGGCATGACCTCAGCTCACTGCAAACTCCACCTCCCGGGCTCAATTCATCCTCCCACCTCAGCCCCCTAAGCAGCTGAGACTACAGGAACACGTCACCACTAGTGGCTGATTTTTGTAGAGATGGGGTTCTGCCATGCTGCCCAGGCTGGTCCAGAACTTCTGAGCTCATGCAATCTGCCCGCCTCAGCTTCTCAAAAGTGCTGGGATTACAAGCATGAGCCCCTGCACCCAGCCACTGACTTTTATTTTTACTGTGTTTGGTCTGAGAGTGTGGTTGGCATGATTTCAGTTTTTCTAAATTTGCCGAGAAGTGTTTAATGGTCAGGAGTGTGGTTGATTTTAGAATATGTGCCATGTACAAATGAGAAGAATGTATATTCTGTTGTTTTGCAGTGGAGAGTTCTGTAGATACATGTTAGGTCCATTTGGTCAAGCATCAAGTTCAGGTCCCGAATATTTTAGTTTTCTGCCTTGATGATCTAATACATCAGTGGGGTGTTAAAGTCTCCCACTATTATTGTAAAGTTATATAAATCTTTTTGACAGTCTCTAAGAATTTATTAATCTGGGTGCTCCTATGTTGGGTAAATATATATGTAAGATAGTTAAGAATTTTCTTGAATTGAATCCTTTATTGTCATGTAATGCCCTCCTTTGTCTTTACTGATCTTTGTTGGTTTAAAGTCTGTTTTGTCTGAAATTAGAGTAGCAACTCCTGCTTTTTTCTGTTTTCCATTTGCTTGGTTGATTGTTCTTCATCCCTTTTCTTTGAGCCTATGGGTGTTACTGCATGTGAGGTGGGTCGCTTAAAGATAGAATACAGTTGGGTCTTGCTTCTTTAATGCAACTTGCCACTGTATGCCTTTTAATTGGGGCATTTAGCCCTTTTACATTCAAGGTTAACACTGATATGTGCCCATTTGATCCTGTGATCATGTTGTTAGCTGGTTATTACACACACTTGATTGTGTAGTTGCTACAAAGTGTCAATGGTCTAAGTAACTAATTGTGTTTCTGTGGTGGCTGGTAATATTCTTTTGTTTCCATGTTTAGAAAAATATGAAACCCTTCGGCCAGGTGCCTGTAATCCTACCACTTTGGGAGGCTGAGGTGGGTGGATCACTTGAGGTCAAGAGTTCAAGCCCAGGAGTTCAAGACCACCCTGGCCAACAGTGTAAAACCTTGTCTCCACTGGATCATGCCACTGCATCCAGACTGGGCAACAGCGTGAGACCCCGTCTCAAAAAAAAAAAGAAAAGAAAAAGAAAAATATGGAACCCTTCGTGAATCTGTGTCATCCTTGTACTGAGGCCTTGCTAATCTCTGTATCTTTCCAATTGTAGGGTATCTACTACCAAAGGAGGCACTTGAATATTTTAATCCAAATTATATGAGGAAAAAAAGCTGGAATTTCTAATATTTAAACCTAGTTGGCTCTAGTTTAAAGATATAAATACGTACCTCACTTAAACACCATGTAAATAAAATCTAATTTAAGCACAAATCCCTACTTGGCAATGATGAACTTCGTTTTAGCATTATATTATCTGTCAAATTCTTTTACATTAAAAAAACACTCCTAAATACAAAGAATACCTAGTAAGTGAAAGAAAATAAAATATCCTAACCAGGCTATTTTACAGAGATATCGGTTTAAAATAAAGAAAAAACATATACTTACTTATGGGCTCTGAATGTATAGATAGGTTCTACATCAAGAGAAGTGCTCCTAAATCAGAGAGAGATGACTTTACCATTCTAAGTGTCAGTAAACAGTATAATTAAACATATGTCATAAAATTGTCTTTAAAAATACAAACATTATGGGAATATACCATTCTCAACTACACGATACGTAAGAAAGCTTACTTAACACCAATTATACTTTCATGGCATCAAGAAACAAGATTCTTGTTTAGTAATAATATCATGTTACAGTATTTTTAGCCCTGTCATAATCTATTTGACTAAAGGGAAAGACAGCTTCATTCAAGAGAAAAAGCATGAGCTTTGAAGAGATAAATTTCTGAACTCAATTTCCAGTTCTGTCACTAATTGGCTAACTTTAAGCAAATTATTTAATCTTTCTGAACTTCAGATTACTCCGTTTAAAACAAAACAGAAAAATGGGAATAACACCAAATAATCACAGGATTAAATAGGATTCTACAATTTAAAAAACACCCCAGGACACAATCATGCACATAGTAGGATATCAGCAAATGGTACTTTTATTTCCTTGCCTTTCCAATAAGGATAATATGTCTATCCTTCATACTGAAGAGACTGTCCAAATTATCAGTTTATTCATTACTCAGAACACCATTATTATAGGTACACTATACCCTAATACTGGCTATGACTTTGATGGAAACTGGATTTAAAGTCACGTACTTACTGTTTTCTACACTGTATCGCAGTTACGCATAGACATGTTATCTCACAATGTATAACCAGTAAACTATTTTTCTCTTCTGAAAACACCTAATCTATGTGAAAGTCCATCTGGTTTTAGCAACATCTGGTTGAGCTATCTGAAGCAGACTGATAAATCAAGTATTTCATCTACCCTATGTATGACACAGCATGAATGACACTGATCTCTCTTAAGCCAGGCAATAGATTTCCTCCATTGGTAGTAAAATTTTTGTAACCTCCTCTATTTGATGTTCAGTGATGACTCTTATAATAACAAAGTGCCTAATACTGCAAAAGGGTCTTTGCTGGCAGATGCTGGTTCTTTTTTTTTTTTTTTTTGACATGTGACCCAAAGGAGTGGAGCTCCGATAAGGACCCAAGCAAGTAGAACCAGATTTAGCTTTGTGACTTTTAAAGGGTTTATACTAACTCATGTCTATCCATGCTTAGACAGGAACTAAAGGGCCAAGGTGAGCACTAGCAGTCATGTTAGCCTCTGAGTCTAGACATATTGGTGGGTATGGAAAGTACCTAAAGTCTCAAGGCCAAAAGACAAGACCAAGACCCTCCACCCATCCCAGTGAGGCTTTTCTCTGCTCCATCTCATAAGTCTAAATCTAGTAAACAATGGGGCAAGGTGGAGGTGGACATTTGATTATTTTAAAGATGCATATACCTGTTTACAAGAACAGTCCAAACCTTCAGTATAGACAAGGGGCTCCCCAAATATAGCAGCCATTTAAAAATACTGTTATGTATAAAGACTGTAATCAGTATTCACAAACCCTGGTGAAACCAACAGATAATACCATATCTTCCTAAGCATCAGTTTTCTAACCTAGCATTAGGTTGTATAAATGGAAAAACACAATAAATTACATGACATGGAAGAAAGAACTAGAAGAAATGTTTGGGAAATTTAACAGAAATCATAAAATATGTAGTTTTCTGCTGAAAATGTTACTTAAAATATTCAAATAATGTTAAAGTAGAATATTCTCACTTTTTGGCTGGGGCTGTTTTCTGTAAATTCCACATTTTTAATGTGTGATCCTCTGATGCTGTTATCAAAACAGGCTCAATGGGATGGAAAGCAAGGGCTCGGATGCCATCAAAGTGACTTCTCAATGTAAACTTAGGGTTCCATGTCTTCCTCAATGCATCTTTATTGTTTGCTATCTATTAAAGAAACAAAACAAAGATATCTACACACTTAGTTAAGGATAGGGGAAAAAACTTGCATTTCAACATTAATTCTTGCTGATGTGTCAATAAACGATCACTTTGCAATTTTTAAAACAATATAATTTTTATATGTAAATAACCAAACCACGAAGCAAAATTAGCAATAACCCAACACTAGTTTTCTTTGAAGAAATATGAAAGGTGTATTACAAAAACAATTAACATAATTCAATATAAAAAGTGAATCAAATTATATAAAATAGATCTTACTAGGATGATAAATAATACCAAGTAATTCAACACAAATTATAGTATACAAGTATAATTTTGGGTTAAGAGTTGAAAAACTAAGTTATCTTTAAACCTGCTAACATTTTAAAATGTCATACTTTTGAGATTTTAAATACTTTCTAATAGCTAAATTTTCTTCATCAAACTGGAGGCAAAGTTTATAAACTGGAAACATAAAATGTTAAAAATCGAAGAGATAACACAAAGAATGCATTCCACTGGTAAAACACACATGTTCTTTCCCTCCATGGTAACTCAATCTCAAAAATGAAAAAAAAAAAAAAGCACTATTTTTTCATTCCAATTACATAACAGAAAAGCTAAAGAGGTAGATTATATTTGATTTTACACTAGCACCACAGGGTATGAATTCTTCACACTCCAAGGCTAGCAATCAGACTAAGTTTAAATAAGGGTAGCAAAAGTACAATCATGTGCCACATAAATACATTTTGGTCAACGATGGACCACATATATGATGCTGGTCCCATAAAATTATAATGAAGCTGAAAAATTCCTATAGTAACATCATAGCTGTTTTAATGTTGTAGCACAATACATTACTCACATGTTTGTGGTGATGCTGGTATAAACAAACCTATTTGTGCTGCCAGTAGTATTAAAGTCTAGCACATATAATTATGTACAGAACACAATACTGGATAATGATGATAAACTGCTGTTACTGGTTTATGTTATTTATTATAATTTTTATTCTACAGTATATTCCTTCTACTTATTTTTTAAAAGTTAACTGTAAAACAGCTTTAGACAGGTTAGAAGGCACTGTTATCACAAAAGATGACAGCTCCATGACTGTGACTGCCCCTGAAGACCTTCTAGTGGGACAAGATGTGGAGGTAGAAGAGAGTGATACTGATGATCCTGACCCTGTATAGGCCTAGGTTAATATGCGTATGTGTATTCATTTTTAACAAAAAAGTTAAAAAGTAAAATAAACATTAAAAATTTTAAAAATAGGAAAAAGCTTATAGAGTAAGGATATAAAGGAAGAGAATATTTTTCTACAGCTATACAATGTGTTTGTGCTTTAAGCTGTGTCAAAATGTTTTTAAAAATTCAGTTTATAAAGTAAAGATTATAGTAAGCAAAGTCTAATTTATTACTGAAGAAAATTTTTTATATATAATTTAGCACAGCTTAGGTGTACAGTGTTTACAAAGTCAATGGTAGTGTACAGTAATGTCCTAGACCTTCACATTCACTCATCACTCACTCACTGACTCATTCAGAGCAACTTTCAGTCCTGCAAGCTCCATTCGTGATAAGTGTCCTATACAGGTGTACCATTTTAAAATCTTTTACACTGTATTTTTACTGGACCTTTTCTATGTTTAGACATGTTTAGATACTTACCATTGTGTTACAGTTGCCTACAGTATAGTAACATGCTGTATAGATTTGTAAAGCCTATACCATTTAGGCTTCTAACTACACTCTATGATGTTTGCACAACAATGAAATCACCTAATGAACCCATTTCTCAGAATGTATCCCTATCATTAAGCAATGTATGACTGTACTGGTTAAAGACTGGAGAAATACTACTTATTTACAAAAGACAAAAATACACCAATTCTAACAACAGCTGTTATTTTGGGCATTATTCATTATTTTGACCATTACTGAAAATACTTTATATGCATTAACTCACTTAGTCCTCAAAATACCTCTATGAAGAAGGAAGTAACAGTATCTCTACTTTACAGACTAGACACATCAGGAAAAGAGAAGTTAAGTGACTTGCCCAAAGAACCCTGCTAGTAAGTGGAGGGGCCTGGATTCAAACCCAAGCAGTCTGAATTTAGAAGTTACCCTCAATAAAACATCTGCAGGAAAAAAAATGGATAGAACATGTCAAATTAGGATAATAAGAGAACATAAAATACATCATCCAAGGAACTACTGTAACTACTGGGGCTGGTTATTCTGGAAGAAGAAAAGCTGAGTTGAATCATGTCTGCTCTTTTTAAGCACCTGAAAGGCTTTCATGTGAAAGAGCAATCAAATTCCTTCTGAACGTCTTAATGTGGTAGGCAGCCACTAAGATGGCCCCAATCAGCCCCACTTCCTTATAGGTAAACCTTATATAGTTTCCTCCCCCATTATGGGGTTGGTCTCTTCACCAATAGAATATAGCAGAAGTGATAACAAGTTGTAACATCTTCCATCTTGGGTATTCTTGCTCTCTCTCTTTTCACATGCACTCACACTGGGGGGAGCCAGCTGCCATGCTGAAAAGCCCATGGAGAGACCTATGTGGTAAGGAACTAAAGTCTCCACCAATAGACAGCAAAGAACCAAGGCCTCTCAACAACCACAGGAAGAGCTTGAAAGCAGATCCACCCTACAAGTCAAGTCTTCAGGTGATACTGCAGCTCTGGCCAACATCTTGATTGCAACTACATTGGAGACCCTAAGACAGAATCACCCGGCTAAACTGCTTCTGTATTCCTGACCCACAGAAACTATGAAGATAATAAATGTTTTTTGTTTTAAGCCGCTAAGTTTTGGCATAATTTGTTACATAGCCATAGGTTACTGGTATTATTATGAAACCAGGAACTACTTTGGGAAACCGAGCGACAGACCTAACACCAAGTTTTCTAACAATTAAAAGCTATGAAAAAAGAATGAGCTTTATCTGGAGAGAGGACTAAGTTCCATTACATACTGGATAAACTCTTTGTGGGGATAGAATAGAGGGAACAAAAGTATCTAATGGGAACTTCTGCTTCTAGCCATGGCAAATCAGGAAATTTGGACCACCTCTGCACTAAGGACAAGTAGAAAAGCAGAATTAAACATAAAAAAAAACAGACAAAAAATACTGAAGAAAAACCAGGCCAAAATCCAGAGAACAGAGAGGCCTAAAAGGTGAGCCCAATATTTCGGCTGTTTTCCCCCAGATGCTGTTTACTGATTCCAGAGGGGATGGCTGAGAAGCCGAGTAGTTTTTCTGACAGATTTGAAGTGTCATGGGGATACAAACTGATGAACCTGCCACGACAGTGGGGCTCAGTAAGTCACTTTGCTTTGGGTTATGATTTCAAAGGGTGGCATCCTACACATAAGGGTAAACTAGAAAAAGCCAAGCTTGCAGGGACTGTAAAAATTTAAAATGGAATAAAGCGATCCCAGATCCCAGAGCCAGTGGCTGCATACATCTGAGAAAAGCAATTTAAATTATAACATTTGGTCTGAAGTTATTTCTACAGACAACTTTTCAAATAACAGTTTCTTGAAAATAAAAATAATCATGTACATAAGGATGTAAGACAATATAACTGAAAATGAGCAGAAACAACACATAACAGTAAAAGAACTACAGACTTTCCAATTCAACTTTAAAATAATCATGCTTTAGCTGGGTGTACTGGTGAACATCTGTAGTCCCAGGTACTCAAGAGGCTGAGATGGGAGGAGAGCCTGAGCCCAGAAGGCAGAAGTTGCAGTGAGTCAAGATTATGCCATTGCACACCAGCCTGGGTAAGACAGTAAGATTCTGTCTCAAAAAAATTAATAATAATAATAATGTTGATTGTGTTCAAGGAGATAAAAGACAAGATTGAAAATTTTGGAAGAAATCTGTAAACAATCTAAAAAAAAGAATTCGGCCAGGCGCGGTGGCTCACACCTGTAATCCCAGCACTTTGGGAGGCTGAGGTGCGTGGATGATGAGGTCAGGAGATTGAGACCATCCTGACCAACACGGTGAAACCCTGTCTCTACTAAGAATACAAAAATTAGCTGGGCATGGTGGCATGTGCCTGTAATCTCAGCTACCCGAGAGGCTGAGGCAGGAGAATTGCTTGAACCTGGGAGGCAGAGGTTGCAGTGAGCCGAGATTACGCCACTGCACTCCAGTCTGGCGACAAAGCGAGACTCCGCCTCAAAAAAAAAAAAAAATTCAAGAAGCAAAAACCAGCCAGATGCTGTGGCTCACACCTATAATCCCAGCACTCTGGGAGGCTGAGGCGGGTGGATCACAAGGTCAGGAGATCAAGACCATCCTGGCTAACACGGTGAAAACCCCATCTCTACTAAAAATACAAAAAAAAAAAAAATTAGCTGGGCGTGGTGGCGGGCACCTGCAGTCCCAGCTACATGGATGGCTGAGGCAGGAGAAGGGCGTGAACTCGGTAGGCGGAGCTTGCAGTCAGCTAAGATCGCGCCACTGCACTACAGCCTGGGCGACAAAGCAAAACTCTGTCTCAAAAAAAAAAAAAAGAGCAAAAACTGTAAGACCTCAATAGACAGGCTTAACTACTGACTACAGATTACTGAAGAGACAATTAGTGAACTGAAAGATGAATCATAAAAAAAATAAAGGGAATAGGAGACAGAGGTCACAGGAAGAAGAGGAAGAAGGTATAACACACATATAACTATGTTCCAAAAAGAGAAGAGAAAGAGAGAGGTGCTAGAGTGGTACTCGAAGAGAAATGGCTGAGAACTTCACAAAAGTGATGAAAATACATCAAGCCATAAAGATTTAAGAACTTCAAGAAACTTAAATAAAAAGGAAAACAAACCTTGGCTAAAAAAATAGACACAGATAATAATAGTGAAAAAAATCAGACTACCATTAAATGACCAACAACAGAAATGATAGTTGACCTTAGCAGAAAACATAAAAACAAAGACAGTAAAATACTATGTTTAGAGTTAAAAAAAAAAAAAAAAAAAAAAACACCTCTGCCAACTAGAATTCAATACGCAATAACAGTTGACCCACTCAGGCTAAACAAAGATATTTCAGAAAACAAGACACAGAGAGAACTGGATACCAACAGACCTTCACTAAAGAGAAATACTAAATGTTCTCAGGTGAAAAGAAAGTGATCCCAGATGGACAGTCAGACATGCAGAAAATAATTTTAAAAAGCAAAATGTGTAAAGGATAATGTAAAATGTAAAATAAATAATCCTAACTGAGTATAGAGTGTACAAAACAATAATTTTCTTTTAGAAGATAAACATATTCAGAAATGTGTAACAAGAATGACATATAAGTAGGGTGGGAATTAAGAATTAAAAGCATTATAAGGTCTTTGCATAGAAAATTTTGATAAAGATGTATGTGATACTCTCTAGGGTACCCACTGAAGAGTAGCAAAAGAGTGTAGAAATTCCAAGTAGTAGAAAGGTGGAAGGTTGAATAAAAAATAATCTACCCCAGCCAGGCACGATGGCTCATGCCTGTAATCCCAGCACTCTGTGAGGCTGAGGTGGGCAGACTGCTTGAGCCCAGCAGTTCAAGACTAGCCTGGGCAGTATAGCAAGATCCCGTCTATACAAAAAATTAAAAAGCCAGGCATGGTGGTGCACACCTATGGTCCCAGCTACTTGGGAGGCTGAGGTGGGAGGATGGCTTAAGCCTAGAAGGTCAAGGCTACAGTGAGCTGTGATCACACTACTGCATTCCATCCTGGGCAGCAGAGTGAGACTCTGCCTCAAAAAAAAAAAAAAAAAAAAAAAAGATTGAATGCTCCAATTAAAAGACAAAGGTTATCAAAAATTACCAAAAAAAAAGCAAAAATCAACTTAACAGTGTTTTAAAAAGACAAACATGAAATATAAGGCAACAAAAACATTGGAAATAGAAATGATTTTTTTTTTTTTTTGAGAGGGAGTCTCGCTCTATCGCCCGCGCTGGAGTGCGGTGGCGCAATCTCGGCTCACTGCAAACTCTGCCTCCCGGGTTCACGCCATTCTCCTGCCTCAGCCTTATGAGTAGCTGGGACTACAGGCACCCGCCACAATGCCCAGCTAATTTTTTTGTATTTTTAGTAGAGACAGGGTTTCACTGTGTTAGCCAGGATGGTCTCGATCTCTTGACCTCGTGATCTGCCCGCCTCGGCCTCCCAAAGTGCTGGGATACAAGCGTGAGCCACCGCGCCTGGCTTACAAATGATTTTTTTTAAATCTTTATCAGGTCAGGCATGGTGGTTCACACCTGTAATCCCAGCATTTAGTGGGAGGCTGAGGCAGGTGAACTGCTTGAGCTTAGGAGTTTGAGACCAGTCTGAGCAATATGGCGAAAGCCTGTCTCTACCAAAAATAAAGGAAAGTACCTGGGTGTGATGGTGCGTGCCTATGGTCCCAGCTACTTGGGAGGCTGAGATGGGAGGATCATTTGAGCCCGGTGGGGCGGAGGGTGCAGTGAGCTGAGATCAAGCCACTGCACTCCAGCCTGGGTGACCGAGTGAGACCCTGCCTTAAAAAAAAAAAAAAATTTTTTTTTTGTAAATCTGTATCATATTTGTGGAGAATGGAGTGCAAGGAGTCCATTTAGATTAGATGGTTATTGTAGTAGCTCTGGCTAAGAAAAAAATGGACCAGGATAGAAAATGAAAAGTAGTATACGGATTTCAACTGTCTTTGGAGGTAGAACCCAAAAGACTTACTAATGGGCTTAGCAAACAGGTTGGGAGTTTTTTTATCTGTATGAAGAGGAGTGAGTGGTAAGCATTATTCTTTGGAGTGCTTCTTTACCGTACCTATGGTTTACTTAGGCATCCATCCTACATCCCCTGCATGGTACCTGTGCTGCAAGAGATACATTGTGTTTTCCAACAGAGATCATAAACTATCAAAGTGAGAGGAATTTAATGAAATAAGGCAGGTTATAAATACTTCACCTATGACATAAGCAACTATTTTTCTAATAAATTATTTATTGTGATGAGCAATTATAAACATTTTTTTTTTTTTTGAGGCGGAGTCTTGCTCTGTCGCCCAGGCTGGAGTACAGTGGCGAGATCTTGGCTCACTGCAAGCTCTACCTCCTGGGTTCACGCCATTCTCCTGCCTCAGCCTCCCGAGTAGTTGGGACTACAGGCGCCTGCCACCACGCCTGGCTAATTTTTTTGTATTTTTAATAGAGACGGGTTTTCACCGTGTGAGCCAGGATGGTCCCGATCTCCTGACCTCGTGATCCACCCGCCTTGGCCTCCCAAAGTGCTGGGATTACAGGGATGAGCCACTGTGCCCAGCCCTATAAACACATTTATAAAACAATTATGTTTGGAATTAAGTAAATGTATGCCCAAAGGTACAAAGATTTCAATTTTGGTCCAAATCTCTGATGGGTCAGCCTTAACATCTGGAAAGCACACTGTATACATCCATGCCTACTACTAATTAAAATCTCTTCTCAACAGGATATTGACTAGTGTACTAAAGAAGCAAGGCAAATATTGTTTAGGTAGGCACGAATTACAACTAATTGCTGGTGCCCTAAAAAAGAAAACAAAATCCAAATTTGGTAATGGAAAAAGGAATTCTTTCCCCTATCAAAAACCAATAAACAAATCATACTCAATTATGGATTTAGGTAAAGCCCAAAATTTTAATCTCTAGGTTATGGAAAAATGTTAGTTTTTCTTTACGTATCTTTCAAAGTTTGCAATGAAAACTGAACCAAGTTCTACACTTGTAAAGAAGTTTTACCATTGCCTTCATTTTCTATAAAATCAACTTTTTATTTTATTTTACTTTTTTGAGACGGAGTCTCACTCTGTTGCACAGGCTGGAGTGCAGTGGTGCGATGTTGGCTCACTGCAACCTCTGCCTTCCGGGCTCAAGCAATTCTCCTGCCATAGCCCCCCTAGTAGCTGGGATTATAGGCACCTGCCGCCATGCCTGGCTAATTTTTTGTATTTTCTGTGAGACAGCGTTTCTCAATGTTGGCCAGGCTGGTTTTGAACTCCTGACCTCAAGTGATCCGCCCACCTCGGCCTCCCAAAGTGCTGGATTACAGGCGTGAGCCACCGCACCCAGCCCAAGTTTTTGTTTTTAAAAACCAAGTAAACACAACAAAAACAAAACTACTACTTACATCATAAGTTAGTGAGTCTGCTTCATTGGCCACCGTAAGGCCTGCTAGTTCTCCAAGTCCCAGTTCACTTTCAAGGGCTTCATCTGCTCCCATGATGAATGACTTTCCAGAAGAAGGAGGAAATGTCAATGCTTCCACTGAAGAGGGAAGACAAAGGAAACATTAAAAAATCTCTAAGGAGCCAACATTTAGTCTCATTTGCTTGCATCAAATTTCTTATAAGTGCACGTATATACTTAATTGTTTTTAAATGCTTTTAAACACAATAAAATTCAGTGAGCAGAAAATCCTAAATAATTTATTGCTTTTTCCATATCTTAACCACAGGTAAAGGCATCAACTAATTAGAAAAGTAAAACATGAAACAAATCTAAGAATCCACTGTCCTTTCCTTTTCACTATATAGAAAAATAATGACTATAGGAAAGTAAGTTTTCCTCATTTGATATTTCATGTTAATTACCTAAACAATTTCTATTAATTACTAAATATATGTACAAGTGCTGGTCTCATTCAAAATATAATTCATTAATTTTATAACCTAGAAGAATAT
The DNA here is from genome assembly GCF_000001405.40 of Homo sapiens. Classification (NCBI taxonomy): domain Eukaryota; kingdom Metazoa; phylum Chordata; class Mammalia; order Primates; family Hominidae; genus Homo; species Homo sapiens. The sequence continues at coordinate 36,878,444 of NC_000002.12, forward strand.
AGAAAATTTCAAATGAAAATGGGTCAAATTCTTAAATGTGCCTATTTATGTGACAAAATCTATATGTGGCGTTATAAGTCAGGATTACCTCTGCCGGCCAGAAGAGGGGTAGTGATTAAAGAAAGGAAGCAACAACAGGACTTCCAGGGCCCTGGTAATGTTCTACTTGTTGACCTAAGGGGTGGTGACGTGGGAGGGTAATAATTCTATCTTGATGACAATTCACTGAGCTGTACCCTTATGATATCAGCACTCTTCTGTAGGTATATTATAGTTCATCTAAAATTTTTTTTTATTTTTTATTTCTTTTTTTTTATGTTTTTTTCTGAGACAGAGTCTCGTTCTGTCACCCAGGCTGGAGTGCAGTGGTGACATCTTGGCTCACTGCAACCTCCACCTCCTGGGTTCAAGAAATTCTCCTGCCTCAGCCTCCCGAGTAGCTGGGATTACAGGTGCGTGCCACCACATCTGGTTAATTTTTGTATTTTTAGTAGAGACGGGGTTTCACCATGTTGGCCAGGCTGGTCGTGAACTCCTGACCTCAAGTGATCCACCTGATTTGGCCTCCCAAAGTGCTGGGATTACAGGCATGAGCCACTGCACCCGGTAAAGAAAATGTTTTGTTTATTTGTTTTTTTTGTTTTTTAGATGGAGTCATGCTCTATGGCCCAGGCTGGAGTGCACTGGCATGATCTCAGCTTACTGCAACCTCTGCCTCCTGGGTTCAAGCAATTCTCCTGCCTCAGCCTCCCAAGTAGCTGGGATTACAGGCGCCTGCCACCATGCCTGGCTAATTTTTGTATTTTTAGTAGAGACGGGGTTTCCCCATGTTGACCAGGCTAATCTCAAATTCTGATCTCAGGTGATCCACCGACCTTGGCCTCCCAAAGTGCTGGGGATACAGGCGTGAGCCACCACGCCCAGCGAGAAAATTTTTTAAAGTGTCCATTTGAACACTTTCATTAGCTGTGAACTGTGCTTCAAAGATGTCAGTTTTACTTTGTGAATAACCTGAAATATCCTATTTTGTAACATTTTGAACATAACAATCCAATTCCTTCAACAACCATCATAGAAAAATCAGTTAAAAGCAATATGTCTAATTAAAATAATGATTTTATTTAATTTGGTCAATAACAAAATGTCACTCTTTATAAATGCAATTTGTTCTGACAAACGTCAGAGATAGTCTTTGAGTAGTTTCCTACAGATGGTTACATATGACAAACATTTGTGAGTCAATAAGATGAATTTAGTAGTTCAAACCCTAGCTGCTAAAGGGGTAAATTAATTTTCTTAAAAGAAACAAGTCAACTGTATTGACTAGTGCACGTACAAGACATTTTTCAGTTTTATATTCAATCATGTCTATTAATAAATACTCATTGAATAAATGAAAGAATTGGCCAGGCTCGGAGGCTCATGCCTGTAATCTTAGTGTTTTGGGATACCAAGGTGAGAGGACCCTTTGGGGCCAGATGTCTGAGACCAGCCTGGGCGACAGGGCAAGACCCCTATATCTTAAAAAAAAAAAAAAATCTGAGACGGGGTCTCACTCTGTCACCCAGGCTGGAGTGCAGTGGTGTGATCTCAGCTCACTGCAACGTACACCTCCCAGGTTCAAGCAAATTCTCCTGTCTCAGCCTCCCAAGTAGCTGAGATTACAGGCACCTGCCACCATGCCTGGCTAATTTTTGTATTTTTAGTCGAGATGGGGTTTTGCCACGTTGGCCAGGCTGGTCTCAAACTCCTGACCTCAAGCGATCTCCCTGCCTTGGCCTCCCAAAGTGTTGGGATTACAGGCGTGAGCCATCATGCCCGGCCTCTACAAAATTTTTTTTAACAATTAACCAAGCATGGTGGTGCATGCCTCTAGTCCTAGCTAACTGGAAGGCTTGAGGCAGGAGGATCTCTTGAGCCCAGGAGTTTGAGGCTACAGTGAGCTATGACTGTACCACTGCACTCCAACCTAGGCAACAGAGCAAGACCATGTCTTTAAAAAAAATTTAAAAATAGTTACTTGCTTTTAAAAACAGTAGTGACAAACTCTTAAAATCCTCATCAGAACAAAATAGAGCATAAATTAAGACATTATCAAACTACCATACAATACAGTAGCAAAAATAAACATAGGTTTTACCCAAAATACCATATATCATCCGAGAAGTTCAAACAACTCTAAACATTTACTAATGAAGAATAGGAATTGTTGAAGTTACAACAGCAATTTTCAGGTCAAAAATATCAGTTGAATGACTCATGTGAGACTATGATGGTAGGTCTTCAGCCAGGTGTTTTTTGTTTGATTTGTTCCCATTTCTAACATTTCCAGATAACTTTGTTCAGGTGTAAAAGACTAAGATTCCTAGGATAGACCATATAAATTATGTAAGTTAATTCTAACTACTGCTCTACAAATGGCCAAGTAAAACCTGAAAACAAAGGAGGTAACAACTCCTTCCTTACATACCAGTGGACAGCCAGGACACTCCAGGACTGATGAGGCAGAGCAATAATAAGCATCACTGTTACCTGATTGTTCCTAAGGAGCCTTAGAACTTAAGACTATAGGTCACGTTTCCATCTGGCAACTAAACCTTCCTAGCCCTAATCAGCTTTTACCAAAAAACAAAACAAAACAAAACCCTGTGCCTTTTAAATGTGACACTGCCTTCTTTTTTTTTTTTTTTTTTTTTTTTTTTAAGACAGAATCTCACTCTGTCACCCAGACTGAAGTGCAGTGGTGTGATGTCAGCTCACTGCAACCTCCGCCTCCTGGGTTCAAGTGATTCTCCTGCCTCAGCCTCCCAAGTAGCTGGGACTACAGGCACACGCCACCATGTCCAGCTAATTTTTGTATTTTTATTTGAGACAGGGTTTTGCCATGTTGGCCAGGCTGGTCTTGAATTTCTGGCCTCAAGTGATCTGCCCACCTCAGCCTCCCAAAGTGCTGGGATTACAGGCGTGAGCAACTAAACTGCACCCGGCCCTGCCTTCTGAATTATTAAAATAAAAATAAAGTAACAAAATTATAGAGCACACACAGCATATGAACATTCTTTCTGAAAGTGGACTGAAGACCAAGAAGTATCAGTTATAGACAATTAAATATACAATCTATCTCTTAAATGTTTTTTCTATTTCCAAAAAACCTGCACTGAGGGGGAAGGCTTAGGACCACTGCTGCAGATAGTAAGTTAAACAAACATTCAATGCTTGAGTTTTAAAGTTCCTCACTATGTTTTTTATCAAGGACATCTTCTGTGGCTTACATAATGCTTTTGTACATCTGTCATTTAGTAAATAGTATATATCCTACCTCTATTATTAGAATTCTGCATAATTCATGTATGGCCTGAGATGAAATCTGATAAACTTTTTGAATTATGAGAATAAGAGAAAAACTAACTTTTCTCCTTATCTAGACCTGATTTTGGGATTAATGCAACTGATTAGAAGTCTCATACCTATAATGTCAACAGAATGCATCTCCTAGTGATCAACATACCTACTAAGGACCATGACCTCACATCTGTAATTCAAAAGACATCAAATAAACTTTACATCTACAGTGTGATGTGTTGATTCTTTGTATGGGTAATAAATTCCAAGTGCTATAATTGACTCTAACAAATGATTAACCATGTACTGGTCAAAAATTTCACTGAAGAAGTATTCCAATCGTGAAAATCTAGATACATCTAAATCATATCAGTTTATGTCTCTCTAAAATGTAATTTATTAAAAAAAAACAAGAAAAAAACATATGATTATGCTGTGGCTTTTTCTCAGGCTGTGTTGATCAATAAATAATAATTTGAAGAGACAATGCAAATATAGTATTTAAATTCAGAATTTTTTAAATAAGTATTTAAAAATATACATTAATCATAATTACTTTTATGTCATGCTGAATTTTCAGCTAATATAAATATTTGATTGTTTTAAGAGACAGGGTTTCAGTATGTCACCCAGGCTGGAGTGCAGTAGCTATTCACTGACTCAATCATCACGCACTACAGTCTCAAACTCCTGAACTGCGGCTGAGCCCAGTGGCTCATGCCTGTAATCCCAGCACTTTGGGAGGCCGACGCAGTTGGATCACTTGAGCCCAGGAGTTTGAGATCAGCCTGAACAACATGGCAAAACCATGTCTCTACAAAAAGCATAAAAAAGTTATCTGGGCATGGTGGCATGTGCCTATAGTCCTAGCTACTCAGGAGGCTGAGGTGGAAGTATCACCTGAGCCTGAGAGGTCAAGGTTGTGGTGAGCTGTGATTGCGCCACTGCACTCTAATCTGAGTGACAGAGTGACAGCCTGTCTCCAAAAACAAACAAACAAAAAACAAAACAAACCTCCTGGGCTCAAGTGTCCTCCCACCTCAGCCTCCCAAGGAACCACCAGGCTCAGCCTAAATATGTACTTCAAAATCAATTTCCACATACAAGCATTTTACACATTTATAAACAGATAAATCAGACCTTGTGTCTAAAAGAAAGAACTGTATTTATATACCATAAGATTACACTGCAAAAGACTAAAAATAACCTAAATATTCAAAAGTTTCATATCAAGTCTACAATATAATATACAATCTTAAAATTATCATTATGAAAATCATTTGTATGATTTTAAGAACACAAAATAGAATTATTATACATGATGTAGAATAATGCATATTTTTATATAGGTATATTCTATACCTGTATAAAAAGTATATACATGTGAGGCCAGGCATGGTGGCTCATGCCTGTAATCCCAGCACTTTGGGAGCCCAAGATGGGCAGATCACTTGAGGTCAGGAATTCGAGGCCAGCCTGGCCAACATGGCAAAACCCCATCTCTACTAAAAATACAAAAAAATTAGCTAGGCTTGGCGGCAGGTGCCTGTAATCTCAGCTACTCAGGAGGCTAAGGCAAGAGAATCACTTGAACCTGGGAGGTGGAGGTTGTAGCGAGCCAAGGTCATGCCACTGCACTCCAGCCTGGGCGATAGAGCGAGACTCCATCTCAAAAAACAAAAAAAAAGTATACACATGTGAACCAAGACTGAAAGGGAACAAGTTAAAATAGCAGAATATGTGACTAGACTTTTAGGTGACTTTATCCCCTTTTTCAATTATCATTAATAAATTGCTTAAATATTTATATGAGTTTCAAAGTAAACATTTACTACCAATTTACAGACTGCTAATTTTTCCAATGTTGGAATGGTATATATAGGGCCATGGGCATCAGTGGAGCCAGCGGATATTTTAAACCAGAATTTAGAGTTGGTTTTTAAGTGTATGCACCTTCTCAAGTCTTGAAGATTGAAGTTGGAATCAAACTCCCTTGAATGTAAGAAAGCTTGCATTTGGGGAAAACTATGCAGATCAAACATCTGCAGAATAAAGTTCTCTCTAATAGGAGAGGCCTTTCTAATGAATGAATTTAAAGATATACATCCAAGTGCATTTTGTGCTCCAGAGTATCTTAAATACTTACCTTCATCTGCCCTATTAATTTCATGTTCAGGAAGCCTGGAGCTGCTGGGTCTGGAAGGTGAACCCACAGATGGCTGCAATGAAGGAAGTTCATCAACATCTCTCAAATTAGCAAGCATATCTTGTAGTTTTGACCTATTGGGCCCTAGCCAAAAAAAGGGGGGGTGGGAGGAGATAAAAAAGAGAAAAGAGAATTATCCAATTGCATCAAAATGGTATTATAAGCCTTATTTTCCATCTGTCAATATTTACCTTTAAAAATATTCTACTAGATTAATAAGAATTATTTTCAAGTTTTCAAATTACTGTAAAAGTTTATTTCTTGAAAAGAATTATACTTTTTAAATTAAGCAAATGGGATATCACTATTTACATAAAAAAGAATGCTCGTGTCCAGTTAGACCATGAAAAATAACATTCTTTAGCCACTGAATATTGCTCTAAATGCAGCCAGATACAGATTGTGAGCCTACTGTGCACTGAATTAAACAGTAACATCCCTGTTTGTTTAAATTAAGTTGCATTAATTGCCTTACATCCTGAAGCTATGGTACCCGAGGTGAAGTCTCATGCCCTACCGATTACTTACCTAAACTTTGATTCTTCATTCTCCCACATCCCTGTTTTGACTGTTTTATATAGGATAGAGGCTGAAACAGATCTTCAGTAGTTTTTCCTGTTACAAGTTTAATTAAGAATGGGAAAATCTTACCCAAAGTCTGTTATGGTTTGTTCCTATACCAGCAAAGAATACAACTATTTTTAAGCAATTTTTACTAATGCCTAGAAATGTATTTCAAGATGGTATGATTGGAGTACAGGATTTGACTGGAAATATCTCTACTAGACCACATTGAAAAGACTCAAACTTTTCCAATGAGTACTAGTTCAATTAAAAAAAAAAAATTTATGGTGGTTTATAACTCAATGCTTTATATATCAATTCAAAGCATGGCTTCAGTTCTATTTTTATCCTAAGTCTTTACTTGTTCCTAGATTGCTATTTTATCAAGATAACATGAACTGAAGACATTAAACAAAATGTGCTGAAATGTGTAGTCCCTCTCTCTTCAATGAAAGATGTTAAAATTTCTCCCTTACAGTGTCATTTTTCTTCACCATACTAAAAAAAAACCATGTGCTAGATGTCTGAACACATTTTAATCCCCCGATTTAAGAAATCCAATTGCTTCTATTAGTAGGAATATTGTTCCAGTCAAATGGTGCAGTTTCAGTTAAATTCCAACTACAGCAATGCCTTGATATTTGACAAGAACTGAATAACCAATGGAAAAGTAGATGGATTGTGCCTAAGTCCTGGTTACCTTTCCAACTAAAGGATCTTTTGTATTTCAAGACATTCATTTTTGTAGCATAATGACCTAAAGAAAAATATCAACATTAAGTTAATCTGGAAATTATTTCTCACATATGACATTCAAATTTTCCTCAAAATTTCAGTTTAACTGGTTTTTTGTCATGACTCTCAAAAGCCAAGACAAATCATCTCCCTATGCTTGTTAAGATTAAATTGTCTATCAGTAAGTATATTTGGCGAAAAGGTATGAAATGTGCTTATGTTTTAATATTAATCTTTCTCATTCTGATTTAATCTATCTTGAGATAGCATTACAACATCATCTCTCATTATGTAATGGTTTAACATCAATAACAGACACTGACTTTTTATCAAATCAAGCTAAACGCTTGTAATTTCTAAAATATTTTAAATAAAGGTTTAAATGCTTTTAAGTAATAAAGTTTAAAAGAATGTCCTAACAGGAATGACTGGTCTTTAATAAGCTTTAGCATCACTACAGAGAGAGAAAAAGAAAAAGCATACCTTTCCAGTCTTTCGCAACTTTAAAATACATTTCTCACTAAGTTAGATTTTAATCTCACTTTATACTACCTTAACATCTCAAATAATCAAATTCCTATTACCATAAAAGGGAGGCCCATATTGTCAACGAGGGTAGAAACACAAGGAGGTAATTTAGCCTTGTTCCCCTAAGAAGATGATTTAAGACTGTTTTCAGGAATGGTTTGTAAGGTTTTGTATTTCCATTTTACATTCTTAACTAGATCCATTGCTAAACAATTTGCATAATGAAATAATTAAACATATATGATTCACAGGGCTAGAAATTTCCTTTTGGATTTTGTTTTTGATGTGGCATACATTAAAAAGGAAAAAAGGTCATTGGTAATAATGTTATAAGTAAAATTGGCCAAAAATGTTTAAATAGAAAATAAATATTTTTAGAAGTTATATATTTGACTCTGTGCCCTGTATAGCATATAGTGGTATGAGCAAATGAACTGCATGTTATGAACACATAGAATATTCAGGGGTAGAAATTAACTTTCTGTCACCAATGTCTAAAATTATAAGCAATAATTTTGGTGGATTGCCAGAGGGTCACACTAAATGAGTTATAAATTGTCAATGAAAAAGAAAAACATTGTTATAATTAAGCACAGGTACTTTTAAAAATCAAATTATCACTGTGTTTGAATACATAGCCCAACACTCATGAGGCTCTGGATTTATTATTGGGATATAGTATACATGATTCCATAAGTACATGTGGGTTGTTTTCTTTTAAGTTCATAATTAAATAGCTAATCATTTAATTTCAACCCCTGAGAGCAGGTGAAAAGGAAAGAGGTCAGGAGCAGAAATGAAAAAGAGTAAGTAGATTTAGGAAAACATTGAAAAAAAAAACTGGGGGATGTAAAGAGGCAAGATTTATGATTTACAGATACAATGTTTTCCACTTACTCTTCACCCCCTTTTTCCCCTTTCTCTCCTTTTTGTATTGTTCCTTGAGTTTGGTAATTACTCCCTGGTCCACATTCCAGGCTTCAGGCATGAGACACTGGTCTTCCTTTTCTAAACAGAGTGAAACAAATGAAACAGCCTTTTTCAATAAAATATTGAACACTCTGAGTCAGTATGTCTGAATGACGTAACAACCACTTTCTTTATAGTATCACTAACTTAAAAAAAGTCAGTTTATTCATTTTATATATATAAGTCACACAAAAAAATATAATCACTAAGAAGAAATGATCAGTGCAATTTCCTAGAATCAGTTTCTCCTGAAAGACACACACACACACACACACACACACACACACACACACACACACGGAAGATTTTAGTGATTTTTAGTAAATTAAGCACAAACACTTTACAATCAAGAACTTCTCGGCCAGGTGGGGTGGCTCACGCCTATAATTCCAGCACTTTAGGAGGCTGAGGCGGGTGGATCACATGAGGTCAGGAGTTCAAGACCAGCCTGACCAACAGGTGAAACCCCATTTCTAGTAAAATAAATAAATAAATAAATAAATAAATAAATAAATAAATAAATAAATACAAAATTAGCCGGGCATGGTACCTCATGCCTGTAATCCCAGTTACTTGGGAGGCTGAGGCAGAAGACTCGCCTGAACCCGGGAGGCGGAGGTTGCAATGAGCCGAGATTGTGCCATTGCACTCCCGCCTGGGCAACAGGAGCAAAACTCTGTCTCAAAAAAAAACAAAAAACAAAAAACAGAACTTCTCGTTTTCAGAATTCCTCTAGGACTAACACAAAAAGACTTTGTATTAATTTATGTGATGAGAGAAAATTTTTATTTAGGGATTGTACAAAATAAACGCCAATGATCTTTTAAAGAAGTTTATATTTTTGCCATGTGTTCATTAGTAAGTGATAATTTTTATTTTACAGGCTTAATACATAGCATTTGAAAAATTTATTAATCAACCTTCATTTAAAATTTACAACTTAAATGATGTTAGTTTATAAATTCTTAAAACAGGAAACTGAGTTTCTAGTAGTAAAGAAAATCAATAATCAATTGTCACTATTTCAAGAGAAGAAAATTTAAAAACTATGTTATGTATTTATATTTACTATAAAACAATGTAAATACTATATAATGCTATGTAAATGTTAACTCAGAATGCTAGCTTGAACCCAAGACTGATACATCCAACTGTTCATTCTACATTTCCATTAGGAAGTCTAACAGATACCTCCAAGCAAACATACAAAACCAAACACCCAACCTCTCTCCCCATCCAATCTGTTCCATCCAAAGGGTTCCCCACCTTATTTGATGACAATTCCATACGTGCACTTTTTCAGAGCAAAACCCATTCTTTCCCACTCCACATAAAATATATCAGGGAAAACTATTTTCTCTACCTTCACAAATATTCAGAATCTGGCTTCTCAGCACATCTACTACTACTCTGATCACTATGATCTCTTGCTAGGATTACTGCAATAATTGTTCCCCCTTCCCCATGTCTATTATCAACACTGGTTTCCCTGTGTAGTCTATTCTCAATGTAGCAGCCAAAGATGGTTTAAAATAAAAGATCGTGTCACCCTTCTTGCTCAAATCCCTCCCATGGCTCCCCATCTCACCACTGGTCTACATGGCTCAACATGATCTGGTCATTTCTTACTACATTCTCCCTAGAATCACTCTGCTCTAGCCACTCTGGCTCCCTTAAATTTCTCAGGCATGCCAGGGATGCTGCTACTATCTTAAGGCATTTGCACTGGCTTTCTTCTTCCTGAACACTTCTTCCCCAGATGGCCAATTCCCTCATCACGTCTTTTACTCAATTGTTATCTTCTCAATGGGGCTTATCATGGCCACTATATTTCATGGGTTTTTAATTTATATGTGTGTGTGTGTGTGTGTGTGTGTGTGTGTGCATTTATTTACTTATCCATTTATTTTTGAGGCAGAATCTCATTCTATCAAACCAGCTGGGGTGCACTGTCACAATCTCAACTCACTGCAGCCTTGACCTCCTGGGCTGAAGCGATCCTCCCACCTCTGCCCTGCAAGTAGCTGGGACAACAGGTGTGTACCACCATGCCCGGCTAATTTTTAAAAAATTTTTTGTAGAGATGAGGTCTCACTATGTTGCCCAGGCTGGTCTCAAACTCCTGGGCTCAAGCAATCTTCCCACCTCAGCCTCCCAAAGTGCTGGGATTACAGGCATGAGCCACTGCACCCAGCTAACCACTCTATTTTGAATTGTAACCTGCCTTCTCTACCCCACACTGACCCCAGCTCTCTCTATCTCCCTTACTCTGTACTTTTTCTACTTTCCATAGCATTTATCACCTTCTGACATACTATATCCTCTTAGTTGAATGTAAGCACCAGAAGAATAAGTATCTTCACCTAGAAAACCCAGCAAATAGAAAGCACTTGATCAATATTTGTTGAATGAATGATCCGAGTAAACCAAAGTGAATCATAATAAACAGAAATCTGTTTTTAATAATTTGAGTTTCAATCCAGTTTAGAAAACTGTTTCCTGGGCCTCTGAATATAATACTATTAAAAATCATTTTAAACAACATTTTTATATACTTAACTATAATCTATCAATAGGAGAAACATTCTTTATTTTCCCAGAAAGACATAACAATTAAAAATGTTAATTTTCATCAATCAGGTCTTAATAATAAATTAAACTAGATGGCTTTTGGGTCCCCAAATGTCTTCAGGTTTTTGAAGTTAAAATGTAGCCTTATAATCTTACTAGACTCATAAAAACAATAGCAATCATGGAAGATGTATGGTAAAATCTTTTTGCTTGCCAGAATCTAACCAGATTCTCAACCTAAGCATATTCTTCTTTTTTTTGGGGGGGGTGGGGGGGAGTAGAGTAGAAGACAGATGGAGAGAACCCTTAAAATCGTTTAAATGTTCACTCAATTAGACAAGATTTGCAACCTAGTTTTGTTAATTTGTTAAAAGTGAACCCTTTGAATCTGAATTATAAAATCCTAAAACATACAGGTCAAACTACTGGTAAAGAAACCTCCAGGAAACCGAAAGATTCCATTTACTCATGCTCACTAACAGAACTATCCAGCACACTACTAAAGAAGGAGACAACTCAGTTGTGAGAACAGTCAAGCATGTGACTCATATAATAGGCTAGGTAAAATGTACACACATGTATCATATAATACACTGAGCTATGACTCACACGTTAAAGTAAAGGAAGTTACACAAGGAACAGTGCAGCTGTCCTCGGAGAAAAACCAATCTCCGGTACCCTTGCAATATGATTCACAATTAAAATGACCAACTATATCTATGCAGATGTGTGATTCCTCAGAGAAAGACCTCAGTGTGGCACAGTAGATGCAGCTATGTTGGTGGACTTGCCTAAAATATGAGTAACTTGATACACAAGCTCAGTAGGGAATAAGACAGAATAAAGGCCTGTTTCACTTTAACATCTCCTTGGTTTCCAGACTTGTTTTCTTGAAAGAAAAGCCAGTCACTAGGTACCCACTGTATTCTTCAATGACTAAATAAGTATCTTTTATTTACTACAAAAAAAGGAAAAGAAGTGTCATTGGTACCATGACAGAGTCCCTGAAGGTAATGGCAAATTTACATGGTTTAAGCAAAAGTAAAGGCATATGAAAAATTTATTGTGTGCTATGGTTATAAAGTTACTATTGTCAATATTATCACTGCACCAGAAAACTTTTTTTTTTTTTTTTTTTTTTTTGAGACAGAGTCTCGCTCTGTCGCCCAGGCTGGAGTGCAATGGCGTCATCTTGGCTCACTGCAACCTCTGCCTCCCAGGTTCAAGTGATTCTCCTACCTCAGCCTCCCGAGTAGCTGGGATTTCAGGCACCCGCCCCAATGCCCAGCTAATTTTCATATTTTTAGTAGAGATGGGGTTTCACCAGGTTAGCCAGGCTAGTCTCAAACTCCTGACCTCAGGTGATCCACCCGCCTCGGCCTCCCAAAGTGCTGGGATTACAGGCGTGAGCCACTGCGCCTGGCCCAGAAAACTATTTTTTAATGATTCTTGGGCAAATGAACCTACCAATCATTCTAGAAAGTAATTTTCAACTGAACACTAAGGGCAAGAAGAAGTCAGCTGGACTTAGAAGTATAATCAGTTTCTTCCTCTCATAGGAAGCTCCAACATAAAAGCAAAATAATACACTACAGGTGACTATCCCTTACCCGAAATGCTTGGGACTAGAAGTATTTCGGATTTCAAATTATTTTGGATTTTGGAATATTTGTACTATACTGGTTCAGCACCCCCCAATCCAAAAATCCAAAATCCAAAATGCTCCAATGCGTATTTTCTTTAAATATCATGGCAGTGCTCAAAAAGTTTCAGAATTTGGAGCATTTCAGATTTCGAATTTCACATCAGGGATAGACAGACAGCCTTACTTAAGTAACTTACTTTAACACCTCAACAAGAAGAGTCATTAAAAGATTCAACAAATGGGACAGGCCTAGTGGCTCATACCTGTAATCCCAGCGCTTTGGGAGGCCAAGGCAGGCAGATCATTTGAGGCCAGCAGTTCAAGACCAGCCTGACCAACATGGTGAAACCCTGTCTCTACTAAAATACAAAAAATAGCCGGGCGTGGTGGCAGGCGCCTGTAATCCCAGCTACTCTGGAGGCTGAGGCAGGGAACTGCTTGAATCCAGAAGGCGGAGATTTCAGTGAGCCAAGATTGCACCACTGCACTCTAGCCTGGGCAACAGAGTGAGACTCTGTCAAAAAAAAAAGATTCAACAAATGCCCTTATTATAATGGTTTCTGATAAGTAAGGCGGGGTTGAGTCTACTTTGAATGCAAGGCAGAAAAATTAGCAACATAACATAATATCTCTTGTAGACCTTGTGCCACTGGGATTGTTCAATATTTACAGAGGAAGAACATTTCCTTGAGGTAAGCACAAATTAGTTTTACTGTAAAATGTTTCAGATGGAAAAAAGTTTACAAAAAATCTATTTTTGTCTGTTAAAAACATTAGGAAACCTTTTCCTTGAACTTATCTAGGAGAGTTTTCTTATCAGTCACTACATATAATGACCAAGCAATCATGAAGGAGAAAAAAGTTCAACAGAATTTTTAAATGAATGAGAGAAGGAAAAGGTATCTTACTTTTTTTCATTTTGGCTTTAGAACTCTTTCATTTTTCCTTCAGAGAAGAAATATACCAAAAAAATAGGGATTTAATTAGTATTTCTGATGTGTGTAACTAAAAACGTAAAAAAAGTTCTTCATTTTAAGTAAAACACACTAAGTAACATTTAGACAGAATTAATACCTGTGTCCCAGTCTTACAGGCTGTGTTCTAGTTCTCGAAGGTATATTAGAATCTGTATTTATCCTAAGTAAATTAACATAGAAACAGAAAACCAAATACTACATGTTCTCACTTATAACTGGGAGCTAAACAGTAGGCACTTAGGGACATAAAGATGGCAACAAAGACACCTGGGACTACTAGAGGCAGGAGGCAGGGAGGGCAGTAAGCGCTGAAAAACCAACTGATACGTAAGGGTACTATGCTCAGTACATGGGTGACAGTATCATTTACACCCTGAACTGCATCATCACGCAATATACCCAAGTAACAAACCTGCAAATGTACTCCCAAAACTGAAAGTTGAAAAAGAAAAAAACAAACAAAAAACAAAAAAACACTATTTATAAATAGGGTAATCTGTATAATTTGGGACATGTATCTTTTTTATTGAGAAGAACACTCAATATTGAAAAGATAACAATTAGCTGCAAATTATTTACATATATATGAAACTAAAATCTAATCTTCAGTTATTCACACAACATGAAGAAATAATTTTAAAATTCATATGGAGAATTCAAGTTCAAACATCATGAAAGGCTGGACCCAAACCAACAGATCCCTATCCTCTTCTGGGAAGAACATAATATAAAACCTAACTTTAAAAAAGTAAATACAAGGCTGGGAGCAGTGGCTCATGCTTGATATCCCAGCACCTTGGAAGGCCGAGGCAGGCAGATCACCTGATGTTAGGAATTCGAGACCAGCCTGGCCAACATGGTGAAACCCTGTTACTACTAAAAATACAAAAATTAGCCAGGCCTGGTGGCGCACACTGTAGTCCCAGCTACTCAGGAGGCTGAGGCATGAGAATTGCTTGAACCCGGGAACTGGAAGTTGCAGTGAGCCAGGATCACGCCACTGCACTCAAGCCTGGGTGACAGAGTGAGACTCGGTATCAAAAAGCCACTGCACTCCAGCCCGGGTGACAGAGTGAGACTCGGTATGAAAAAAAAAAAAGTAAATATACTGCTGAGCTAGAAAGAAAAACAATGAAAACTTTCAGGTGCCAGTAATAAAGCATAAACATAGCAGATCCTGCTGCTGCAACTCAGTCCTGGCTATAAGCCTTAATGCCTGTATAAAAAGTCAATATACAACTCTAAGTAAGATTTCTTTATATATGTTACAGACAATTAAAAATGTAATTTCAGTATGGCACTGCTTTCAATAGCAAAAAAAACCCCTAAGCGTACTTTTAACGATTTATGCACAACATTTTTACAGGAAAAATTAAATGACCTTTTTTTTATGAGACGGATTTTCCCCAAAATACTTGTTTCAACTCTTATTAGGTGTTTAAAATATTTGATTTTTTAGAACATTTTGAGAAGAAAAATTCTATGCCTTTTACGAACTGTCAAATCTTTATGATAAATGACTGACTACAATTTTTTAACTCATACTTCTTTTCGCATGTAAGATGTCAGCAATGAGATCTCCAAAAATCCTCCAACTAAAGTCTCATAATCAATTTCCACAAAAATCTAGATTTGCAAGTTCCACTGTCTAAACAGAAAACAGAGAATATTCTGTATAGTAATTCAAATTCTTTTCATACTGTATTGTTGTTGTTTTTTTTTCTTTTTAAATGAGGTAGTTATACAATGTTCCTTAAACATACACACACATTCACCCTGGATAAAGGGTGCTAGTAGTAATAAGTTCACAGAATGCTCAATATTTCAACATTATAGTTAAGATGTTGCCCTCCTGGTAAAATATTAATTTCTTTTATTTACTTAACATCTCTGGTTGGATCCAGTATGCTTCCTTACCCCAGTCTGTTCCATCGCCTGCACTTCTAGATTCATTGTCTCCTTCCTCTGATGTAACCAAGAAGTCAAACTCCTTTAGAGCTTCTTTTGTATCTCGATCTTCACCGCTGTCAGGCAATGCTTTTTTCCTAACAATCTAATGAAAAAACATGCTAAATTAAATAAAGGAGATAGTTTCCCTTTACCACTGAATAAGAAAATTCAATTATTTTCTTCAGAAAGTATACGTTTGTTGTGTTAAATAACTGTACTACCTAACTCAGTGAAAATCACATAGTTTTAAAAAATATGTACATTATAAATTTTAAAGCAGTAATTTAAACTTTGCTCAACGGTATTATGGCTTGTTTTAAGTAAACTAACGGAACCACATACTGAAATATAAGACATGTACTGAAATGACAGATATACGATTTACAAGGTTCCCATAATTATTTCTACTGTCCTAACCTTGCATCAGTTTTCTCTAGTAGCTCTCCATGTATTTATTTTTTTCCCTAAAATGTTGATCTTTCAGAGTACATCTAACTTAGATTTAACAACAAATTGGTAAAGGTTGCTATGGTTCATTTTTCTATATTTAGAAATAACTCTGGAATCACAAATCCAATTGAAGGGCTAAAACTTAAGCTGAATACATGCAGGGACAATTTTTGTGATCTACATGCCTAAGCTCTTTATGAACTGTCTCCATCTCAGTCACCTTTACCAACATGGGCCTAAAGAAATTAGGATGCTAGGTTTGCATTTTCTTTGAATAAGATTTCAATATCTCAGTTTCTCTAGACTTCAGCTTACTCACTTCATGCAAAACAGAAATAACATGATAGGATCAAATGTTATCGCTGGGCTATTGTGAGTGGCTTAAAATTATAAAAGTTTTACAGACAGACCAATAGGATAGACTAGAGAGTTGAGAAGTAGACCCCAAAGATGACAAACACGTGACTTGTATGGCCCTGTTCCCATGCTGTTAATTGGTATCATTCATCAATCACAGCATTCTTCTTCAAAAACAAGATACAGCCTCAGAAATCCTTCTCAGTACAGCACTCCAAGAAGCCACTACCAACAGAACAAAGGTGGCATCATAAACAACTCCTATCTAGCCTTAACTGTCCTGATACATATAAAAACTGTAAAGGAGTGGCCGGGCCCGGTGGCTCATGCCTGTAATCCCAGCACTTTGGGAGGCCGAGGTGGGTGGATCAAGAGGTCAGGAGATCGAGACCATCCTGGCTAACACGGTGAAACCCTGTCTCTACTAAAAAGACAAAAAATTAGCCAGGCATGGTGGCAGGCACCTGTAGTCCCAGCTACTCGGGAGGCTGAGGCAGAAGAATGGCGTGAACCTGGGAGGCAGAGCTTGCAGTGAGCCAAGATCGCGCCACTGCACTCCAGCCTGGGCGACAGAGCAAGACTCCGTCTAAAAAAAAAAAAAACACAATTGGATAGGAGAAATCAAAGGATTATTTAATGATGCTAGAATAATTTGTTTAACTATTTGGGATATTTTCCTAAAATCAAGAAATACTTCTATGCTTACAGCACCTCCCAATCTACCATCTAGCAAATCTATTAGACAAACAAACAAAAAAAGCAAGATCAGTGTGGCAGACTGGGAACAGAAAACCCGTGCTGAATGTGTATTCTTTTATAAATACAAACCATATTCTAATAATCTATTCTAATTTTCCCTAGGTAGCCAGACTAAGGTAGAAAGGTGTATCTGGGCCAGGTACGGTGGCTCATGCCTGTAATCCCAGCACTTTGGGAGGCCGAGATGGGTGGATCACGAGGTCAGGAGGTGGAGACCCTCCTGCCTAACATGGTAAAAACCCCGTCTCTACTAAAAATACAAAAAAAAAAAAAAAAAATTAGCGAGGCATGGTGGTGGGCACCTGTAGTCCCAGCTACTCGGGAGGCTGAGGCAGGAGAATGGCGTGAACCCAGGAGGCGGAGCTTGCAGTGAGCTGACATCACGCCACTGCGCCCCAGCCTGGGTGACAGTGCGAGACTCCATCTCAAAAAAAAAGAAAAAAAACAGGTGTATCTGAAGAGTTATGCCAACAGGACACCCCAATTCTCAGAGTTCCACATATAAATATATTGCCTAATCTACCTTCTTTTACCCTAGAGGCTTAATCCCTCCATCTTCTAGACTCTGATGAGTTGCCAGCTGTAATTCAGAGGGACCACCACCAACATCTTACAGAGTCCTCGTTCTCACTGCCTGACAAAAAGAGCAGGCAAAATCCATAAGAAGCATGTGGAACCTCAAATTCCAAGTATGAATATATTTTCAACATTAAATATTAGGTATTAAGTAATAAAAGCAACTCTTGGGGGGAAAAACTTGTTTCTAGTCTCACCACCTCAGTATAACCTTACAAAGAATAAAGATAAATGACATTTATTACTGTCATTGCAGATTACTATTTACTAAGTATCTCACTTTAAATAAATAAACCAAAAGTCCTCTGCTTTTAATGTTTGGGTAGAGAAGAAAAATGAATTGTGTTTACCACTGGAGAACAGGATCAGAATCGGAAGAGGTAGAGTTTGTAATAATAAGCATGTATTACTTTTCTTCCTGACATAGAAGGTTCCACTCCACTTCTACCTTCGATGAGCTTATAAATCAATTTAGGAAATTAAGAGAAAACCAAAGAAGTTATGGGTTGCACAGGATGCCTAAGTAGATTAGAAAAATGAATAAACTGTCACTTCAAAAACCATTAGGAGGGCCATGACACAAGGGGACGTGGGATTCTTTATACTGTGGCTAAAAAAAATAGTTAATAGCTCTTAGTTCCATTCTTTTTCCTCCTAAAGTTCCTGAATGTGGAGACTAAATGCTGCTGCAGAAGTTAGGCTTCACACAGTTTGAAACTGATCACTTTTTACATGCATGTATAATCTCAGAGTTGTTATTACACTTAACTGGTGATGACGAGAATACTGATAATGATGGCAAAGAAAAATAAGGGCCAAGTGCAGTGACTCACACCTGTAATCCCTGCACTTTGGGAGGCCAAGGCAGGCGGATCACCTGAGGTCAGGAGTTCGAGACCAGCCTGACCAACATGGAGAAACCCTGTCTCTACTAAAAATACAGCATCAGCCGGGTGTGGTGGTGCATGCTTGTAATCCCAGCTACTCGGGAGGCTGAGACAGGAGAATTGCTTGAACCCAGGAGGCGGAGGTTGCAGTCAGCTGAGATTACACCACTGCACTCCAGCCTGGGCAACAAGAGTGAAACTCCGTCTCAAAAAAAAAAAGAAAAATAAAATAAAATAACATTTTTAAAACTTGTTCTACTTGACATTTTAATAGGATAACTTTCAGCTTTTCCTATAGAATGCAGTAAGTTATGCTTATTCACTGCTACACAGAATTAGGTTGTTAAAGTCCTTTTCGGCATATAGCTATGTGAGTGTAGCTGTGCAAATTAATGTAATATAATGTAAAAAATAAGCAAAACTGTTAAAACCAGTGATTTGCTTAGAAATATTTTTTTCCAAAAAAAACTAAAAAATATATATATATTTTTTTTTTGAGACAGTCTCGCTCTGTCACCCAGGCTGGAGTGCAGTGGCGCAATCTCAGCTCACTGCAAGCTCTGCCTCCTGGGTTCACGCCATTCTCCTGCCTCAGCCTCCCGAGTAGCTGGGACTACAGGCACTCGCCACCATACCCAGCTAATTTTTTTTGTATTTTTAGTAGAGACAGGGTTTCACCGCGTTAGCCAGGATGGTCTTGATCTCCTGACCTAGTGATCCATCCGTCTCGGCCTCCCAAAGTGCTGGGATTACAGGTGTGAGCCACCGTACCCAGCCAAAACTAAAAAAATTTTTGAGTGCAGTAGCATGATCATGGCTCACTGCAACATCAAATTCCTGGGCTCAAGCGATCCTCCTTCCTCAGCCTCCCATGCAGTATCACACATGGCTAATTAAAAAAAAATTTTTTTTTTAGATATGGGGTCTTGCTATGTTGCCTAGGCTGGTCCCAAACTCCTGGCCTCAAGTGATCCTCCCACTTCAGCCTCCTGAGTAGCTGGGGTTACAGGCACAAGCCACTGCACGCAGCACAGAACTGCTATGATCTGCACTAATTAGAAGACAGTATATTTATTATGTTGTTTACTTAAAAAGACAACAGTCTATGGTTTAGGAATTTCTAGTAAGATCATATGTAACAGTTTTAATAATTAGTTTATAAATATTTTAAATATTTAAATTGATATCACTAACAGAAACATAGCATCATGATTCAAGGCATTATTTAATACTGAGCTATGAATAAAGTATTTTGATGGAAAAATAATATCTCAATGCCAGCATCCCACAGAAATCACAAGGGACTACCCAATTTCCAGATGATCAGGACACAGAAAAAGTGTCATTGAAATTTAGGCTTTTCCTTTTACTATGGTAAATTAAGACACAGGCTATTACTACTTCTTTGGATAAGAAAAATTGGAAGTTACTACTTGAATTTCAAATAATTTCCAAGGCAGGGCTTTACCAGTAGAGTACTATTGAATAGTCGTGATGGAAAACAATAATCTGGTAGTAATAATTTGAGTCTCTGATGGAGCCTCAGAAGCAGAAGGCATAAAACACACAGAGGTTACACTTAGAAAGCACTTTATAGTTAAACAGATCATTTTCGCACATAGTGTCTCTTTGTTCCTCACAAAATCCTCCAAGGTTAAGATGGCTATTTATAACAATCCTCATTTTACAAATGAAAAAACTAAGCCTGAAGCATTAAGAAACACAAATAGTGGCAGAACTGGAGCTTAAACCCAAGTCTTTTAGTTAGAGGTCCGATCTGCTTTATATTACTTTACTTTCCTCCTCTCTATTCATAAATTAATGTGAAAGAGAAAATGCAAACATTTTCCTAGACAAAGTGAAACATGTCCTCATATCTTACTTTAAAAAGAAGGAAAAGGAGTAGGAGGAAGAAGGAAGGAGAGAGAGAAGGGAGAAGGGGAAGAGGGGAGAAAAGCGAAGAGAGAGGAAAAGGGGGAAAGAGGGAAGAAGAGAAGAAAATGGAGAAGGGAAGAGAAAGAAGTGGCTACTTCGAGACATCTCTCATTCCAAGAACCTGCCATGGGAAAGTCAATAAGCTTATCAACATCTGAACAAAACTTGAGAAGAACCCTAAACAATTTTGAAGAACTCTAATGGAAGAGTTCTGAAAGTTTGCCTACCAAAACAATCCTGACAAGAGACAAAAACTGCATATATTAGAGCTGATGCTAGCTGCCATCAGGCACCATGATGTGTCTGTCAATTCTATTCTCTTGTAACAACCAATAACCCTGCATTGTTATAACACACAATATTTACTATATTCATCTGCCCCATAGAAAAGTTGTCCTGTTCAATGAATGAACAAAAAGTCAAACAGTGAGGAATTTCAAGAGAAAGCTACTATATTAAAAATATTCTCAACTTGAAATCAGTATTACAAACTCTCATAAATGTCTCCAAATTCATGAAAAAGAAAAAGCTACGGGTTAAGATTAAAGAACATGGATTCTTTTATGCATTATACAGTATGTATTATAGTCCCTAAAAATATTTATATTGTATGAGTTATCTAACTCACTGTTGAAGTATCAATGACGCTTTTCTCTCTTCCATCAACATCATCATCTTCATCTTCATCACTGAAATCTGCAGCTGCACTTTCAAGGAATTTGAAATTATCCAGCACGGAGGCAGAATCTGTTAACTCAGATTTTCTGGTGTAAAACATGTATATCCTGCTTAGTTAATCTTTTTAACTTCGACATAAGAAGTAACCCATGATATGTTACATCAACTTCTATTTATATGGTAACTATAAATCCCAAATCACATTATCTACATTGATTCTTATCAATTACACTCTCACAAATTTAAAAAGCAATACAAGAAGTGGATACTCTTTAAGTACTTTGTAATCCTATCTATCTACTTGCCTGCCTACCTACCTACCTATCTACCTGGAGACAAAGTCTCCGGGCTCTGTCACCCACGGTAGAGTGCAGTAGCATGATCTAACTCACTCCAGTCTCCGCCTCCCAGGTTCATGCAATTCTCCAGTTTCAGCCTCCCAAGCAGCTGGGATTACAGGAGTGAGCCACCACACCCTGCTAATTTTTGTATTTTCAGTAGAGATGGGGTTCCACTATGTTGCCCAAACTGGCCTCTAATTCCTGAGCCCAAGTGATTCGCCCGCCTCAGCCTCAGCCTCCCAAAGTGCTGGGATTATAGGCGTGAGCCACTCGTATCTATTTAGATTAGTGGTAATCTAATGTAAAAAACTCCCCTTCCTGATTTATTATTATTTTGATCCTTACACCAACCTTAATGTATTTCATTTTAAAAATATTTTTATTATCTCTACCGCCGTTTTTCTCTACTCTTATTCTCTCTACAACTCTCCCTTTGACCTCTTACATAAGTTTACACAACTAAGAAAATAACAAGTATGTCATTTTTCTCTGATGCAATCTTGTATTTCTGCTTAACAGCTAAAGTAAAAGAGAAAATGTGTACATAAAGTTACTAACAGCAATACACTAGTCAAATTAACATTGCTACTAGACTCGACCCTGTTGATTAATAAGCCATTAATCTCTTAGAAATAGTTGAATTTTCAAATATATGACTTGAATTTAGTTCCCTCAAAATAAATTTAGTAAAGACTGGCTGGACGCAGTGGCTCACACCTGTAATCCCAGCACTTTGGGAGGCTGAGGCAGGCGGATCACGAGGTCAAGAGATTGAGACCATCCTGGCCAGCCAACATGGTGAAACTCCATCTCTACTAAAAATACAAAAATTAGCTGGGTGTAGTGGCGCATGCCTGTAGTCTCGGCTACTCGGGAGGCTTAGGCAGCAGAATCGCTTGAACCCGGGAGGCAGAGGTTGCAGTAAGCTGAGATCGTGCCACTGCACTCCAGCCCAGGTGACAGAGTGAGACTCTGTCTCTAAATAAATAAATAAATAAATAAATAAATTTAGTAAAGATTCCAATGGCCAGAACAGAAAGATTTATCTCCAGTTCATTAGGTAATCTTTTAGACAGAGAGCATTTTCCTGAAAAAAAAAAAAAATTGTAGAAACTACTATGGACAAAATTTTCAAAAGAGATCTATTTTAAATTTCAAATCTACTTACAGCTTTGTGTTTGGTATTACCCTCCCCTAACTCTTTATCCCTACTGAAATCGGACAGATTAGCAACAGTATCTTTGTCATTCTTAAAAGACAAATCAAGGCCAAAACACACAAGAGTGGTCTTCCCTCAAAGTCTTTACTGAAGGTTATTAAAGTATGCATTATAGTTCTTAAAAACATTTATACTATTGGCCAGGCGTGGGGGCTCATGCCGGTAATCCCAGTACTTCAGGAGGCCAAGGCGGGTGGATCATGAGGTCAAGAGATGGAGACCATCCTGGCCAACATGGTGAAACCGCATCTCTACTAAAAATACAAAAAATTAGCTGGGTGCGGTGGCACGCGCCTGTAGTCTCAGCTACTCGGGAGGCTGAGGCAGGAGAATGGCGTGAACCCAGGAGGCAGAGTTTGCAGTGAGCTGAGATGGCGCCACTGCACTCCAGCCTGGGTGACAGAGCGAGACTCCGCCTCAAAAAAAAAAAAAAAAAACATTTATACTATCTAAGTTAACTTGATGACTTACATTAAACCCAGAACATAAAAACAGAACTAAAGATAATGTCCACACAGTCTATATCTATAGAGAAATAACATGCCTTACATTTACAAATATAAGTTAATGTATGTTTTTAATACAGCCTACAAAGTTGGAAATGTATTCTTAATTATTAATGAATACATTTTAAGGCTCCAAGGAACTTTGCTTATAAAAGTCCTACAGTGAACCTTTACCTAATCCCATAATTTTAATTTATATTCCAAATAGCAGGAACTATCTTCTTGCTAGAAAATTTATAGAGTTCAATTAAAACCATTCTTCCTTCCTAAACAAGTGTCAAAATAAAAGTCATACTTAAACATTCACAGAATTTTTGGCTTTTTATTCAATTAACAATCACGGAAATTTTTTCCCAATAAATAAGAATCTCTTTATTGAACTGTTTATGATTATTTTAAGTAGAATCATATGTAATTGTATGATACATAATCCAAAATGGAAAACAAAATATTTCAAATAGCTACTGAATTGTTCACACTTACGCTGTCACTTCAAAATAGCTACTTAAAATAGATATTTTATATCAAAGATAAATTACAACATTAATAGATAAACAAAAGTGGTTAAAAAACAGTGTTACTTCTACAGAATTTGAGGTATTTTTACGACTTCTGGATCACCAATCATGAAACGTCATTCTTACAGATTTGTACTGAATTTCCAAATAAAATCTTTTCTGAAGTTTTATTTACTGATTAAGTCAATATACTAAAATCTATTAAATATCTGTATTAAATAAATATCACAAATAATATTCTTGAATTAAAATAGTCATAAATAACTCCAATCCTTGTTACCTTCTAACCAAATAAAATGTTAGAATTTTTATTAAGTTATAAATTATTTCTATGTCACTACCTAAAAGTACAAGTAATGTCCATAAAACCAAAAATATTTAATAAGAACTAATAATAGCTAAAACACTTTCCAGACAAAATACTTACGCAATCATTGCTGTCTCTTTAACTTCAGCCTCTGTGCCATTTACAACTGAGTCCTGATTTTTGTCATCTTCCCTGTCCGTGACATCACTTGAAAAGCCCAACAAAGCTCGCACTCGTTTAGATTTCACATCTAGAATAGTATCTGTATAACCCACCTCCTGTAGATACCTGTGTGAAGAGAATCCTTAGAGTTCAGTCATACTGGAATCAGTATTCTATAATTTAATATGTAAATAAAAGTATTTATTTAAACTCATTGCCTGCATAAGACTTAACAGTACAGTACTATGCTAGTAAGACTTGTTAATAAATAATCTTCCAGCTGCAGATGGAGCTGTCTCTTGCAGTACCAGCCTCTACAGTCACTGAGAAAAATGAGAGAACTATACAATACACCATTCATTACATTTACCATAAGAAGAAGCTGGTCTTTAATATATCTAATAGCACATTCTTTTCTTTAGGCTGGATTGGAGCTAGACTACCAAATCAGTATTTTATAATAGTTATTCCGGTAGTTTTTTTAAATTTGTCATGGATCAACTGTTTGTGATCTAGACAGAATGTTCCTAGCATATATCGTCTCCTTCATTACACACAAGGTAGTTATTTCTCGAGTCACTCTACAGAATTGAAGCTCCTATCCTGAGACAACTTTAAAATAAAAATAGACTGCAATTAAATTGTAGAATGTAGGGGGTGTGTGTACACATGTGTGTGTATGTTACTGAAAGGCAGCAACACAAAAAAAGAGCAAAGGCTTTGTATTGAGAGCTAGATCTAGGTCCTGTTTCTGCCACTTACTTGCATAACTTTAATTCTCCTGAACCTCAGTTTTCTATCCTTTAAAACAGACACACCTAATATTGTACCTGGCATATAGAAAGGACTCAATACCTACTAACACCAAAGTTGACCAGAACAGACCAAAAGTGGCAGTGGGAAGACCATGAAAAAGGTAAATGCCATTAATAAAAACGACAGACAAACATCGGACATTAACTTATAAGTAGGCACCGAGTCTACTGGATGAAAGAAGAAAACAAAGGTTGACGAGATAACCAGTTTAAGTTCAGTTTATTAACAAGATTTGGTCTTAGTTATTATAGCTGAAAGAGTTATCTCAGAAATATATGTGATCAAAGGGAGTAAGTGTATCTTACCAAATCAAGATGCTCATTTTTCAATCCCATCCAATATTTATAGAAAGGTCTCGATTAAAATTTGGATAATAAATTCCCAACTTTCCTAAATTTAAAGTTCTTGAAAACGGCTTTAAAGATGTTATATTTTTCCATTTTTAACAAATAATATTTGAGACATACCTCACTTTGGCAACAAAATCACATTACAAATACCTGTTTCAAAACTGCTCTTGCCATAGAAAAGCTGGTTTTACTCAACAGTTACTTCCTCATTCATTGATAAAATGACACCTTTACTCAGAAGAGTTGATTATGGGTCCTTTGAAGTTTTTGAAAATATCTCTTGGATAGCTCATTATGAAATCATTTTTTGTTTAAAAAAAGATTAACATTCTAAGAACACATCTATTTTAAAAAGGAAGATGTATAAATCATATTTAAGATCAAAGTGTGGGCATTAGTAAAAATTTACTTATTAAATATCAGAAAATATCTCATTTTCTTGTAACTATCTAGATCAAAAAATACATATGCAAAGACATTTTAAGATTCTCTTTCCGTAGTCAAAAGTAATAGCTGCTATACATCCACTTTGGAAACCTTGGGTTTAAACAACTTATAATCAACCTCCAAAAAACCAGGTAGTACATTTCATTTTACTGAGGCACAAATCTGAATATGAGTTTCAAAGGTGGTATTCAAGAACCAGGCACTGAGCTGGTGAGTCTAGTCTACCTCTTGATATCAGAACCTCAACCCATCATTGTTTACTCTTTATTGTCTCAAATACATATTAATATTTTATGGAAGAAAGTTGACCGGGCATGGTGGCTCACACCTGTAATCCCAGCACTTTGGGAGGCCGAGGTGGGGAGATCACTCGAAGTCAGGAGTTCGAGATCAGCCTGGCCAACATGGCAAAAACCCATCTCTACAAAAATACAAAAAAATGAGACAGGCATAGAGGCACACACCTGTAGTCCCAGCTACCCGGGAGGCTGACGCAAGAGAATCACTTGAGCCCAGGAGGCAGCAGTTGCTGTAAGCCAAGATTGTGCCACTGGACTCCAGCCTGAGCGACAGAGTGAGACTCCATCTCAAATGAATGACTGAATGAATGAATGAATGAATGAATGAAATATATGTTAGGCAATATTTGCAAATTTGGAGAATTCAAAAAGTTCTCCAATTATTTAAAAGTTTTAAAACATAACAAAATTGCATGTAAACACCAATTGCACTTTTTTTTTTTTTTTTTGAGATGAAGTTTCGCTCTTGTTGCCCAGGCTGGAGTGCAATGGCGCGATCTCGGCTCACTGCAAACTCCACCTCCCGGGTTCAAGCAATTCTCCTGCCTCAGCCTCCCAAGAAGCTGGGATTACAGGCATGTGCCACCACGCCCGGCTAATTTTGTGTTTTTAGTAGAGATGGAGTTTCACCATGTTGGTGAGGCTGGTCTCAAACTCCTGACTTCAAGTGATCCATCCACCTTGACCTCCCAAAGTGCTGGGATTACAGGTGTGAGCTACTGCGCCTGGCCAATTGCACATATATTAAAATGTTATATATTCATACATAAAATATGCAATGAAAAGAATAACTTTAAAGTTATAAAATTCTTTTAACTACGTAAGTTCTACCACACAGAAAAAGT
Source organism: Homo sapiens (assembly GCF_000001405.40). Taxonomy (NCBI): domain Eukaryota; kingdom Metazoa; phylum Chordata; class Mammalia; order Primates; family Hominidae; genus Homo; species Homo sapiens. The sequence goes on from NC_000002.12 coordinate 36,905,383, forward strand.
ATTTAATATGAAAAAGGAACAGTAATTCAATTAAGCTTTTTCACAGCATCTGTATGAGATAAAATATTCATCTGACTTGAAAATACACAGTAAAAATAACTTCATAAAACTGTTTCTTGTCTTCAGCCATTTATAAGTTTCACCATGAGACACTTACTGTCTGAGTAGTTGTCGACCTTGTTTCCACATTAACTGGCTGTTTTGTTGTGGCTGCACTTCTGTTTCATTACCTTCATCTAGAAAACATTAAGTCATAATAAAACTGACTTGTTTTACGTATTAGAGGGCATCTTAATTCATTAATAACGTCCAATAAACATTTATAAGATTAAGAATATGTAAAACTGCAACTGTAAGGTATGTGTTAGGATAATGTAAGTTCTGTTTTTTAACTGTAATTTCTATAACAAAACTCTAATATAAATTATTGCTACTGGATTTCCCTAAGAGTAGCAGAACTAAAATAAATACATTTTCCCTGTCTTTAACTAGACTAAGAATTTTTCTCCAGAACAAAGACTTATCCCATCAAGTCACACAATGAGAGCCAAATAAAAGTATTATAAAGTAGCACATCAGAACTAGAACAAGCCAATAATAACAATAATTGAACATTTAAAAATAACTAAGGGTATAACTGGATTATTTGTAACACAAAGGATAAATGCTTCAGGGGATGGATACCCCATTTTCCATGATGTGACTAGTACACATTGCATGCCTCTATCAAAACATCTCATGTACCCCATAAATATATACACCATGTACCCACAGAAATTAAAAATTAAAAATAAATAATAACTGGGCATGGTGGCTCACGCCTATAATCCCAGCAATTTGGGAGGCCAAGGCAGGTGGATCTCTAGAACCCAGGAGTTTGAGACCAGCCTGGGCAACATGGAGTAAACCCTGTCTCTACAAAAAAAATTATCTGGGCATAGTGGCACGCAGCTGTGGTCCCAGCTACTAGGGAGGCTTAGGTGGGAGAATCACCTTAGCCTGGGAAGACGAGGCTGCAGTGAGCTGTGATCGTGCCACTGTACTCCAGCCTAGGCAACAGAGGGAGGCTCTGTCTCAAAACAATGAATGAATGAATGAATGAATGAATGAGTAACAAATAAATAATTTTTTTAAAAAAAGAACTAGAACAAAATACTGAGGAATGATGGTAGAAGAGCCAATTTGGTAAAGAGCAGATATATAACAACCTCAATCCAAACCTGTTTCCTTCATTAGCTATTACATTTAAAAACTTCAGGTAGGCCAGGCGTGGTGGCTCACACCTGTAATCCCAGCACCTTGGGAGGCCGAAGCGGGTGGATCACTTGAGGTCAGGAGTTTGAGACCAGCCTGACCAACATGGCAAAAAACCCCATATCTACTAAAAATACAAAAATTAGTGGTGGTGGGTGCCTATAATCCCAACTACTCGGGAGGCTGAGGCAGGACAACCCCTTGAACCCAAGAAGCGGAGGTTGCAGTGAGCCGAGATGATTGCGCCATTGCACTCCAGCGTGGGCGACAGAGCAAGACTCCATCTCAAAAAACAAAAAAAACAAAAAAAAACCCTCAAGTATTCTTTTAATGACATTCTTTGAATGAAAACCTCCTAAGCATTTTAACGCTTAAATTCATCACTAGGTAAAACCAGAATCCTTTTTAGAAGGTGATAAAATAAAAAGAGCTTTCCCTATGGTAAGTCTGGACTGTACAATCTCCAAGCTATACTATGGTTCTACATTAACAGTACAAAAAAAGTGCATACTTTCCTCAGCCCTTGATCAAACTCTAAAAAACTGCTGATCTTTATAGGATCTTATTCAAGTGGAGATACAATAGGGACTGGAAAAATTTATTTGGTGACATTTGAAATTAAGTATTTACGGGACAGGCACAGTGGCTCACACCTGTAATCCCAGCACTTTGGGAGGCCAAGGTGGGCGGATCACAAGGTCAGGAGACAGACACCAGCCTGGCTAACGCGGTGAAATCCTGTCTCTACTAAAAATACAAAACCTTAGCCAGGCGTGGTGGCACATGCCTGTTTCCCAGCTACTCAGGAGGCTGAGGCAGAAGAATCGCTTGAACCTGAGAGGCGGAGGTTGCAGTGAGCCGAGATGATGCCACTGCACTCCAGCGTGGGTGACAGAGCAAGACTCTGTCTCAAAAAAAAAAAGAAAGAAATTAAGTATTTACTACATACTGTGTTAAAAACACATACATTATCTCTTTTATTCCTTACAACCTCAAAGATAGGTACTTAGCCTCATTTTAAAGATAAGAAAGCTTGAGTTTTGGAAGGCAATTTTCAGGTTTTTTAGTTAGAAACACAATTGTAAGTGTTGAATTTCTGTTTCACTCCAGAGCCCCAGCATTTTCCTTCACATGCTATCACTACAATAAGAAATTAGAGAAATACATGAATAAAAATAAGCATTAAATCTTCCAAGTTTGTTTTTCTTCTAAAAGAACTCTAAAATAACTAGGCTTAGTTCTGTGATATACCAAAGAAACAGACTGGAAAGGCAGGTAGAAAATAAGGGGAATTAAATTAACTCCAAAAAGAAGCTAATTACTCTGTGATAACTTCAAAGAGAAAATAAATTAAAAAAAATAAAAAATAAAAAAAGAAGGGAGCAAAAACGCTGCCCCCAAACTAAGGGAAAACAAATACATCTTGTTTCCACTGACCGCAAATTCAGGATCTGTGCAGGTAACATAGTATGTTCCAATATACCCCCTTCTTAAGTCAAGTGAATAACCTGTACTTGCCAAGTAAAAACATTTACATTGCCATTTCAAGACTTCAGATGTTAAATGAAGTTCTGAGGTCATTAAATCTCCCATCAGAATAGGGCTAAATCCTTTCTATGCCATCCTCAAATATACTCAACTACTTCTGCCTATTTTGGCAGCCAGTGACATTACAAAAAAGTGTGATACAGCAAATCAATGGAATACTACTCAAGAAGAACAAGGAATGAATTACTGATACAAACATACATAAATCTCAAATGCATTATTCTAAGTGAATAAGCCAGAATCGAAAGGCTACAATCTGTAAGATTCTGGAATTCATATGACTTTCTAGAAAAGGCAAAACTACAGAAATGGAAAACAGACTACTGGTTGCCAGGGGATTAGCGTACGGAGGGAGAGATTTGTGAAAACACTAAAAAGGGTGACTTTTATGATATGTAAATTATATCTTAATAAGAATCAAATAAGAATGTACCCTATCCTCTTAAAAAAAAGTGTATTCTTACACTGAGATAAAATCTGACCCTCTAAGTAACATCTGAGGTTATGGCTGGGCCGCAGTGGCTCATGCCTGTAATACCAGCACTTTGGGAGGCCGTGGTGGGCGGATCACTCAAACCCAGGAGTTTGAGACCAGCCTGGCCAATATGGTGAAACTTCATCTCTACTAAAAATACAAAAGTTAGTTGGAGGCTGGGTGCGGTGGCTCGTGCCTGTAATCCCAACTACTCAGGAGGCTGAGGCAGGAGAATCACATGAACCTGGGAGGCAGAGGTTGCAGTGAGCCAAGATCACATCACTACACTCCAGCCTGGGCGACAGAGCAAGCCTCTATCCCCACCCCCAAACACCCCAGAAAAAAAAATAGCTGGGCAAGGTGGCGCATGCGTGTAATCCCAGCTACTAGGGAGGCTGAGACAGGAGAATCATTTGAACCAAGGAGGCGAAGGTTGCAGTGAATCGAGATTGCACCACTGCACTGCAGCCTGGGCAACAGAGCTAGAGACTTCATCTCAAAAAAAAAAAAAAAAAAAATTCAGGTTAAAAAAAGAAACCCAAAGTCAAATAGCTCTTATATTTCCTTACTCAGGCTAAGCTCGCAGTTCTTTCCATGGTTAGTAAGCAGTCATTAACTATCACATTCATTCTTGCCTTGTCAAGTTCAAAAAGTGACATTATATAAAAGTGAGGATTTTAATATAGATAATAGTTGAATTTCTCGGTAATATCGAAAGTATTTGACTGCTATTTCCTGTCAAATTAGGGTAACAGACACTAGATTTACCGTCCTGCTGAACCAACTATAAAACAAAACAGACGATAAACAATGGTTTTCAAAACACTGGACACCATGCAACAAAGGACAGTAATAACTGAGAGAAGGGGAAAGCAAACAGGTAAGCCTCATGATTATCCCAGACACCACCTAGAGAGAGTTTCCAGATCATAGCACAGGGAGGAACAAAAACAGTATTTGAAGAAATAATGGCTGAAAAGTGCCAAATTCCATGAAAACTATAAACCCATAGATCCAAGGAACTCAATAAATCCCAAGCATAAGAAATATGTAGAGAGGGCTAACTACACCAGGGCATATCATAATAAAATCATTTAGAACCAATGATAAAGAGAAAATCTTAAAAGCAGCCAGAGAAAAAGGTCACATTATACACAGAGGAACAAAAATAAGGGCAACAGGAGATATCTCATCAGAAATAATGCCTATGAGCAAAATAAAGACTTTTTCAGGCCGGGCGCAGTGGCTCACGCCTGTAATCCCAGCACTTTGGGAGGCCAAGGTGGGCAGATCACCTGAGGTCAGGAGTTCTAGACCAGCCTGGCCAACATGGTAAAACCCCATTTCTACTAAAAATACAAAAATTATCCAGGTGTGGTGGCAGGCGCCTGTAATCCCAGCTACTCAGGGGGCTGAGGCAGGAGAATCGCTTGAACCTGGGAGGCGGAGGCTGCAGTGAGCCGAGATCGTGGCGTCACACTCCAGCCTGGGGGACAAGAGCGAGACTTTGTCTCAAAAAAAAAAAAAAAAAAAGACTTTTTCAGACATACATAAGCTGCAAAAATTCATTACTTGCATTCCATATTACAAGACACGTGAGCGGAAGACTTTAAGGTTGAAGGAAAATAATATGGAAACACAGATCTACACAAAGGAATAATGAGTATTGGGAATTTTTTTTCATATTAGTATTTAAATATCTTTAAAAGACAAAAGACTGCTGGAAAAAAATAACAATGGAGTGTGTGGTTTATCACATACATAGAAGTAAAATGCATGACAACAATAGCACAAAGACTGGGAAGAGGAGAAACGGAAGTACACTATTATAAGGTTATTGTACTATCCATGAAGTGGTGTATTATCACTTGAAGACAGACTGTAATAAGTTAAAGATGTGCCTTGTAAGCCCTAAAGCAATTACTAAGAATTACTGCTAATAAGTCAGCAAAAGAGATAAAATTGAATCCTAAAAAATATTTGATAATTCAAAAGAAGCCTGAAAAAGAAGGAAAAGAAACAAGAACAGACTGAACAAAATGAATTACAAAGGTAGTAGCATTAACCTAACCATATCAATAATCATAAGTGCAAATGGTCTAAATTTCTCAATTAAAAGACAGAATTTATCACACTGGATATATTCAACTTTAAATAACTACCTGGCTTCTAATATTAAATAGGAGAGACTGAAATATCAAAAATAAATACATTTTAACATAGCCTGAGATAATACTCTCCTACAGTAGAAATATGAAGGTCTGGACGTGGGACAAAAAAAAATTAGAAAGGAAAAGCAAATTTTTGTGAAAAATGTTTCAGAAAATGTCTGGTTATCAGTTTTAGGAAAATATGGTAAATAGATAAAAGAACAAAGAATGCAAAAAAAAATCCCTGCTTCTTTAATGGTTATGCTATTTGAATATACCCTTTCTGCCACCTCCTAGTACTTATCACCATCATCTATAAATCCCTAGATAACCCTCCAAATCTGGCTCACATGTTTCTGCCACCAAACTTCTACATCATCTTGAGTGAAATCAATATGCATGTAGGAGATCCACTTCTGCCTCTCCACAGCCACCACCCTCTCTAGCTGTCATATCTTAGGTCTTATCATCATGAACAACTATGATAGATGCAAACTGATTGTCTGAGCAGACCAGTCAGGCTCAATTACTCCCAATTCATTAGTTCTTTTTTCTTTCTTTTTTCCCTAAATTTGCTAGTTCTTTAATTTAGCTGGGACCTCTAGCCAGGGGCCAGCACACTACTGCCTGCATGTCAAATCCAGCCTATCACCTGTTTTTATAGTACAGACACATCCATTCATTTATGTACCTTCTATGAATGCTTGCATGTGACAGTGGCAAAGTTGAGTAGCTGCAACAAACAGCCTGCAAAACCCAAAATATTTACTATCCGGCCCTTTACAGAAAAAGTTTGCTGACCTGCTCTAGACCAGAATCTACCCCCTTACTTTTAATTCACCCATTAGCCAGCCTCCTTGTGTCTTCACTTCCTTCCCTCTGTAGTTTTAGTTCATGGCTTATCACTTCAATCATTCCTTTGTCAAATTTTTTTGTCCCTTTTTCTCTCCGTGAATTCAACTATTAACTATCTGCATTCTCTTTTACTTTACCCAGACTACCAAATGTGCAGCCTAGTGCCTCTACATACACTCATGATCACACACCTCAACTGGACCCTTAGCTTTTCTCGATCCTACTATTCCCTAGAAAGTTAGTCTTCCTGTTTACCATTAGCATTTTAAACCTTCTCTACTTTTCTTAAACATCTGACCCACTCTCAGCAGATAATCCTATCTCATATATAAAGCTATCACTTGTGGACATTTCCTCAAATACCCACCACCAAACAGAAATCCAAATCTATAAACCTGTTAACCTAACTTCCTACATTCTCTCCTGGTAATGATAAAAGACATGCTCCTCCTGCCATTCTCCAGCTATGCTCAGAATCCAGTCCCTACCACCTTCTTCAGATTATCTTCCTATTTCGAGTATCTCTACTCTTTCCCTTTTATTGGTTACTCCTCTAAGACACACATCACACGTGTGCGTGAGAGTGTGCGCGCGCGCACACACACACTTTCCTTGACCCCATGTGTCCTTCCAGCTATTGCCCTCTAATCTCTCTCCTTCACCTTCACAACCTAAGCTTCCTGAAAGCTAACTATACCCACTTTATTTCTGCCCTCACCTCTCTCCTTAAGTTCTCAGTGTCCCATGTGTCACAAAGTCCTACAGATATTCTTCAGCCCTCTGAGAATTAACCAGTAGTGGTGAACAGTCCTTCCTTCTGGAAGCCCTCTCTTCTCTTGGTTTCCTTGGTCTCCTGGTTTTCCTCCTACTGTTAATGTACTCTGTATCAGACTCTTTTTCACGTTTCCGTTCTTCTACCAGTCTTTTAAATGTCATTCCTCAGGGCTCCATTTTTTGTAATCTTACCTCACATACAGCTCCTGGGTGACTGTTTCAACTCCAATGGCCTTGAGTGCCACCAGTACCATATGTTGATGCCTCTCAAATTTATGTCTCTAACACATCCATACTTCTGGCTTAAGCTCAAGACCCATATACTCAACTGTCTACTGGCCATCTTCACTTGGTTACCTAAGAAATAAATCCAAAAGTGAACCCACCATTTTCCAAATCTACTTCTGGTCTAGTTGTTTAAATTACAAATGTGGGAGTCACTTCTGACTCATCCTTTTTTCACCCCCTACATCCAATCAAGAAGTAGTTCCTGTGCTTGCCTTGGCAGCACATATACTAAAATTAGAATAATACAGAGAAGATCAGCATAAAATCAAATTTATGTATATATAAAAAGAACTAGTTCCTGCATATTTTACTTCCTAAATATTTCCTGAACACACCCTTGTCAAGGAAACCTTACTCATTTGCCCAGGTTTCTGCAACAATCCTCTAACCAGTTGCCCCATCTCCAACGTTGCTCCTCTCTAATCCATCTTCCACACTACAGCCCACGTAATCCAAGAGTAAATCTCATCATAAACCCCTAATTAAGATCCTTCAAATGCTTATTATATTCCTAAGCGTGAACTACTTAACATGTTTCACAAGGCCCTTGTAACTATTTTACCCCCCAGCTAACTCTCTATCTACATCTGGAAACATTCCTTCCCTCTCTCCCACTACTATCCAGGTATCCCATTTCTCAAATGTGCCAGTCTTACCTCAGAAGCTCTGCTGCTAATACTCTGCCTTTCTCCCACCTCCCATTCAACAAATAGTCAGTTTACTTGCCCTGGTTAATTCCTACTTGTCCTTCAGATGTCAAAATTAAACATCACTTCCTCCAAGAAGCCTTTCTTGACCACTTGACTAGGTTTGTGCTACTGCGCTCAATAGCACTTATTATTTATCCATTATACATGTCATATGTCATTGTAATCACTTCTTTAACTGTCTATCTTCCCTATAAAAATCCAACAGGGCATTGTTGTCTTATTCACTGGATTTGGTACTAGGTCTGAAAAACATTATATATATCATATTTATAAGATGAATGGATGGTTGGAAAGATACATGAAATGATACTAGGTACTAACTATTACATACTGAGAATAACTAGGTATTGTACACTAAGAAAATAAACATTTGAGTTAGGAAGTATTCCCAGAGTATTTCCTAGTTTACAGATCAGGAATGGAGTAACCATAGAGAAATTAAGTAGGATCACGGAAATTTAAAATGTTGGGGCAGAGTCAAACTTACATCTACCTGCTTTTAAAGCGCAAGCCCCTTCTACTGAGCTGCGCTGTTTACTTATAAACTTGATGATTTTTTTTTTTAAGAGACAGGATCTCACTCTGTCACTCAGGCTAGAGTGCAGTGGCACTATCTTAGCACACTATAACCTAACCTCAAACTCCTGAGCCCAAGTGATCCTTTCACCTCAGCCTCCCCAGTAGCTAGGACTACAGACATGTGCCACCATCCCCAGCTAATTTTTTAATTTTTTGGCAGAGACAGGGTCTTGCTACATTGCCCAGACTGGTCTCAAACTCCTAGCCTTAAGCAATCCTCCCACCTTGGCCTCCCAAAGTGGGATTACAGGCATTAGCCACTGCAGCCAGCCATGTTTACTTACAAACATTTAAAAAATATATTGCATCTAGGCTTCTATTCTCCTAAATTGATATCCAAAACTTATGAAAACTTTTAAATACAACACTAATTAAAATCACTCCTTTGAGTCAGTTAATATAGTTTTAGAACAGTTTTTAACAAATAGCCTAGATTTTTTAAAAATTTATTTTGAAATTTAAGCACATCTCAGGTCACAAGAACAGACACTCAAGTAAAAGACAGAATATTAAAAAACAAAGGAAAAAAACACAGCACTGATCAACTGGCATTGCTCTAGATCTCAAGCATTTAATATTCAGCTGAGGAAATGCATTAATACACTACTACACTGAATTAACTATAAAATTGGCAGTACATTTAGAAGTCATTTTGGAAAGTTCTTTCATACACTGTCAAATACAGAAGCAACATGGTAAAATGGAAAGAATATGAATTTTGGAGTCAGAAAGACCTGGGTTCAGCTCCATATTCTATCATTACTTAATATCTGTGTGACGTTGGGCAAGTTTTTCCACTTCTCTGAGTTTAAATTTCACATATGTAAAATCCAAATAAATATTATCTTTACCAAAGATACTTTACCGAATAACCACTTTAAAATTTAAAGTGAATATGCGGCCGGGCGTGGTGGCTCACGCCTGTAATCCCAGCACTTTGGGAGGCCGAGGGGGGGCGGATCCCGAGGTCAGGAGATCGAGACCATCCTGGCTAACACGGTGAAACCCCGTCTCTATTAAAAATACAAAAAATTAGCCAGGCCTGGTGGTGGGCGCCAGTAATCCCAGCTACTCGGGAGGCTGAGGCAGGAGAATGGCGTGAACCCGGGAGGTGGAGCTTGCAGTGAGCCGAGATCATGCCGCTGCACTCCAGGCTGGGTGACAGAGCAAGACTCCGTCTCAAAAAAAAAAAAAGGAAATTTAAACTGAATACATAAATATATATATATATATATATATATATATATATATATATATAAAGCCTCTAGCACAAGGTACGTATTTCAGTAAATGATATAAATGAACATTAATGTCTTCAGATATCTGATTGGGAAATTTAACCTGAAATTACGCCAGAAACGTACCTATCTGAAACATGGTTGATAACTTTTGATTAATTTTTGTCATTCTTCCCTAATACCTACTAATAAGTGAATTATATCTATATTTCTTAATATCTGATTTACAAGTAATATTTTATATTGTTTGATGGTATGAAGAAGTAGGAAAAAGAAAAAGAAGAAATAATTCAAAAATATAATAAATGGTTCAGCTGTTAAAACATGTTCTAGTTACAGAAACTCCTGTGGACAAGAAAGACCAAAACAGTTTTCCACCTGAAACCGAAGAATTATGTTTTTGGGATGAGGAATTCCTCCATGCTTTAAGAAGAAATCTCTTACCTCCATATTTCCTAATCTTTCTCAGGATTTCAAGAGCATGATGTACTTTGTACTGCACATCTGAAAGTTCCCATTAACTCTGGGCAGACCCAGCAAGACAAGGTTATGCTGGTGCATGTTACCCCATGAACTCTGATCCTTCCAGTAAGTGTAGAACATAAGCAGAAAATGGGGAACTAAAAGAAAGGGGAAGAGGGAAAAGGAAGGAAGGTGGTGGAAAATGATCTAAATGACACTAAATGGTGCCAAAAGACAAGCAGGTCAGAAAAAATAACTAATACACAAATAATTAGAAAGTAACTTACAGTTGTAAATGCTGCTAGAAAATACTAGACATTAACTTCTTTTTAACACTTAAACTTCCATTAAAATTAGCTTACCAGAATCATAGCTTGGAGGCTTCATATCTCCCTGATTCAATTCTGTCCCGTATTTCAACTTGTGGTATTTGGCTCTAACAAAGAAATGAGAAAATACAGACCATCTTAAAATATGTTTAAATTAACATACACAATAGTAGTAGTCACAAGAATTCAGTAGTCCTGGCTGAACACTCCTAGAACTTTCAAAGGCTCATAGCTTTCCATGGTGTCAAAGTTATAATACAAAAGTGCTTGCCTTTTCGTTGTTGCTGTTGTTATACCATCAAGTATCCTTATAACAAAATAAAGGAATAACTCTGGGAATCATTAACTCTTCTTTCTGTAATAACAAAATGAACGATATAACATCCTGGTTTCTGTAGTATTCAAATTTTCCTGATGATTGCCAAAGCTAAATTTTACTATCAAAAACAGTTAAAAAAAAAAAAAAGGTTTGGATTGTGAAATAAATTTGTAGAAGACTTTTCTCAAAAAATTGAGCTTCTTAAAAAAAGAAAAGTCATCTACAATATTATATGACTTGTCAGATAATCATGATTTGCCAAATATGCATTATACTGCACAATCCAAGGGGGAAAACCCCAGCCCAAATCATCAATGTTGAATAAGATATTCCAGTAGAAAGGAATTTTTTTATACTAGTCAAGATATCCCTTGTCTTTTGCTCAAAAAGAACTGTGAATGGGAATACTGTTTTATCTTCTTTTCAAAGTTGACAGAATGTTATCATTCTGGTTAATAGGATTTAACCATCTGATTTAACTATCTCGGATTTAACCATGAGACTAGAAAAATAACCCAGATAATGTAGAAATTTTTAAAAGGGTGACTAAAAATAGCCATATCTGCTTAATCTATTTGCATATTTTCACTTGTTGGCTCCCTAAAATATTGAGGCCATTTATAATAAATATTCAATGTGTTAAGACTGGGACTCTGTGAGAAACACCCAAGAATGATCAATAAAAAAATAAAAAATAAAAATAAATAAAAAAAAAAGACTGGGACATTAATATAAACAACAATTTGAAAAACCAAAATAATAAAGTAATAAAGGAAGCAAAGTGTAACACAGCCAAATTTGAAAGTTTTTTTTTTCTTTATAAAAACCTAATAGAGCACTTACCGTTAGGTTTTTTCATAATTTAAGAAAAGTAGTGGCTGGGCACGGGGGCTCATGCCTGTAATCCTAACACTTTGGGAGGCCAAGGTAGATGGATCACCAGAGGTCAGGAGTTTGAGATCAGCCTGGCTAACATGGTGAAACCCTGTCTCTATCAAAAAATACAAAAATTAGCTAGGCATGGTGGTGTACCTGTAATCCCAGTTACTCGGGAGGCTAAGGTGGGAGAATCACTTAAACCCGGCTGCAGAGGTTGCAGTGAGTGAGCCAAGATCATGCCACTGCACTCCAGCCTGAGTGACACAGTGAGACCCTGTCTCAAAAACAAAAAAAAGAAAAAAAAAAAAAAAGAAAAAAAGAAAAGTAGAAAGGAAATGAAAAATTATTTGCTCAAATGTGTAAAATACTGAAATCTTTCTTATTTTGCAATAATAATCATTTTGCAGTCACAACAGAAAAAAAAGTTTTAGACAGAGAGGAATTCTAAGAAAACCTATGAAAATTATAGGCAGTTGATGTCCTATTTCTTAAGGTAGGTGATGGGTACATGAGTATTTTTTATAACAGTCTTTATATCTTACACGTATGTATGAAATATTTTATAGTAACATTTACACATTAAGAAGGAAAAAAATATATTCATATGCCAATGAACTGATCTCTTAAGCAAAAAGTAAAAGGTACAAAATACTATGTATGTCTCCATACATTTTTTAAAAGATACATATCTATTTCATTAGCCTATGCATATGAATCTTTCTGGAAGGATACATAATACGTAAGATATCAGTTGATAAGATTTCCTTGGGAAAGGAAATCAATGAACTGAGGCAGAAGGGAGACTATTTTTGCTGTTATTTGATTAATTAACTATATAGATACTTAATTTTTAGTAAATATGTTTAGTCCAAATTATTTAGAACATCTATTTTCAATGTGTCTCTTAACCACAAAGATTTTATCACTGGACGAAATGTTTGCCCATCTAGTTCAATGTATTTGTAATACTATTGATCATCAGAAGGTAAGATTTACAGACATTCATCTGACTTGCAGTTACTAGAAAGTAAACAAAGTTCTAAATGTAACTGTCAATCTCTTATTTTTCCAGAAACACACTTCATTTACCATAAGACAAAGTAGTAATACCTGCTAGAAGTCAAAATAGCAACTGAATGTAACTAGTCTGAAGACAGATTATATTAAAGCTTTTAAAATAATAGTAGCAATAAAATGTTATGGAGTTTATATTTTTTATATATATATAAAAGAAAAACATTTTCAAACACAAAATACTGCATTATAGTGCATTCTAGTGGTCTCAGGAAAAACTACAACAGAACCTACAAAAAGGGAACAGAAAATATTTTACAAAAATAAATATAACAAAAACTGTGACACATTATGAACATTTTATTTTAAAAAACAGACAAAGGCAAAAATATGTAAAGAACTGTTGTTTTTATCACAAGCTATGGTCCCTTAAATCAAGGTCTCCCTACTGAATTGTTACATTCACTAAAATATATTTTTCTCACAGAACCCTCCTTATGCTTAATAGCATTCCTTTTTAAGTCAATATGTGAAAATACCTTCTCATTCATACCGTTTTCCACTGTTTTAACACTCAGCTCACTGTGTTAACCAATCTTTCTTGTTTGCTATTCTTTTTCTGTCTAATTCTGCCTATAAGATAAAAAAGCAGATCTTATATCTAGCAACTCCATGTTTGATACACAGGTAGGCCCTCCATAAATGACCTTTATTGGATAAAAGTAGCATAAAAATTGCTTAATAACTATAATACACTAAAGAAGAGTAATTTTAGCTTTGTTTCAAAGCCTATTATTATACATATTATGCTAGGAGTATAACAGCATCTCAATTATATCTTAAATGTGGATGCTAAAAATAATTTGATTAATTTCAATGAACTATTACTGAATTCCTATGATTTACAGGCACTGTGCTGGCTGCTGGGACAACCTACAGCTTGTAGTTAGGTAAGGGTGGAAGGTGAGGGTATGCGTAAGAGACAGGAATGTAAATAACTACAGCATACTGTGTAAGAGCTATAAGGGCTACTAGCAAGTATTACAAGAATGCAGATAAGGGATTATCTAATCTAATTCGGTCAAAACTGGTGTCAAAGAAAGCTACCAAAAAGAAGGTAACACGTGAGATTTTAGCTAAATCTCAAAATACCAGTGGGAGTTTTCCAATCAAAATGGATTGATGGAGAGGGCATTTCTGTCAGAAGGGACATCTTAAGTGGAAGAAAAAAAAAACACACACAGTGGGTCAAAAAACAGCAGACAGAATAATTACACCCAAAAGGTATGGAAGGAATGGAGACAGAGAAGGGACAGAAAGGGCCTGGCTGTGAAGAACTTTACTAAGAACGTGAAATTAGCTAGATATTTTTAAACACGGATATAACAGAATTATCATATTTGTGTTTTAGAAAATGAATTCTACGGATATGGAAGACGAATTAAAATATGGAAATACTAGAAGCAAGGAGGACAGTTAAGTTACTACAGTAGGGTAGATAAAAGTAGCAGTGAATAGAGAGAAATTTTAAAAATGGCAGAAATTTTTCAGAATTGTATTTATATAGTATTTGAGGTTCCTCAACATAGATGTTCCTAAGTCAACCTCAGATTATACACTATGTAATCTTGAAAATTTATATTAAATTTTATCACACATTAAGGAATGCTTTGATAAATCCACTGCTAGGTAAGTAATTCTTCTGTAATATTAATAATTCGGTTTTACTTTTGGATCCTAAAGTGGGACTACTTAGAAAATCTGCAAAAATCATGCAAAGAAAATCATGTAAAATCATGATCTTTACTTAGGCATTTACAGCTGAAATGAATTACAAGGTATCTGGAATTGCATTAAAATAGATCAAGGTGAAAAAGACTGACAAAAACATTAACTGTTAAAACTTGGGGCTGTATATAAAAGACATTAGTTTCTCTATGAGTATATTTCAAATTTTCCTCAATAATTTTTTTTAAAATTCAATTTAAAATTCAAGCCACAAATAAATGCTTTTTAAAAATGTCTTAGATTATACAAATAGTGCCATAACATCAAGAATAATCCCAAATCATTCCATATACTTCAAAAGAAACAAAACCAGGCTGGGCGCGGTGGCTCACACCTGTAATCCCAACACTTTGGGAGGCCGAGGTGGGCAGATCACCTGAGGTTGGGAGTTCGAAACCAGTCTAACCAACATGGAGAAACCCCGTCTCTAACAAAAATACAAAATTAGCCAGGTGTGGTGGTGTATGCCTGTAATCCCAGCTACTGGGGAGGCTGAGGCAGGATAATCTCTTGAACTCGGGAGGTGCAGGTTGCAGTGAGCTGAGATCGTGCCATGGCACTCCAGCCTGGGCAACAAGAGCAAAACTCCGTCTCAAAAAAAAAAAAAAAAAGACACAAAAGCAGGAACTCTTTTCCAGGAGCAATCCCATTTAGTTAAGAAAGAGAAGAAAAAAATCTTCCCTAGATTCAGCCAGTTCCTTATCTCTACTGTCCTTCAGAGTCAAATTTCCTAAAAAAAATAAGCAACTCTGCCAGGCGCGGTGGCTCACGTCTGTGATCCCAACACTTTCGGAGGCCAAGGCGGGCGGATCACAAGGTCAAGGGATCGAGACCATCCTGGCCAAGATGGTGACACCCCATCTCTACTAAAAATACAAAAATTAGCCCAGTGTGGTGGTAAACGCCTGTAGTCCCAGCTACTCAGGAGACTGAGGCAAGAGAATGGCTTGAACCCAGGAGGCAGAGGCTGCAGTGAGCCGATATCACACCACTGCACTCCAGCCTGGTGACAGAGCAAGGCTCTGTCTCAAAGAAAAAAAAATAATAATAATATAAGCAACTCCATCTCTCCCCACTTCATCCTTCTCAGCCCTCGATCCTCTGTGATCTGGCTCATGTTCCTGCTGCCTTACTGAGGCTGCTTTAGTAAGGGTACCAATAAGCTTCCAACTGGCCACTCCAAATGACTATTTTCAGTATACAACTTACTTGGAGTCTACTTAGCATCTTCAGTTATTGAACTCCCTCCTTTAACTCACTTCCAAAATACTACTCTCTCCTCCTTCCTTCTCTATTTCTTTGTTGGCTCTTCTTCCTCTGCCTTCTCTTCAAATATTTCTACTTCCTGTCACTCCTTCTAGTTCTCTCTTGTTTCCCCAATACTTGTTCTATCAACTACTCCTTTCACTTCACTCACAATAATACTGATGATTCCCAAGCATATATTTCTCATCATGCGTCCCCTTCACATATCTGCTCTTTAATTCTTCTTTTTAATTCATTTGATACCTTCTAAAAGTCTCTCATAATTCAGATAGTCCTTCAAGCCAGGAACCTGGGAGTCATTCTCAAATTATCTTTCTCATTCACCCACTGTCCCATCTCCAAATTTTTATATAAGCTTCAGATTTCATGGACTCTACTTAAAATTTTTTTTTTGTTGATGTGTCTATTTCAGCAGCTACTGTGTTATCATTTCTCATCTTAGACTATTACAATCTTTCTGCCTGTGTTTAGAGATCTTTCCAGTCCACCCCCACACTGAGGTCAGGAGATCTTTCTAAAATGTATTTCATACTCTATCTTGCTTAAAACTTTCAAGTGCTTAACAACTAAATGCAGTATATATTTCCAGATTGGATCCTGGACCAGGAAAAAAAAATGCTATAAAGATCACTTTTAGAACATCTGAATATAGACTATATCAGATAATAGAATATCAATGTTACATTTCTTTAATTTGGTAATATACTATAATCATATAAGGAAATGTCCTTGCTCTTAGGAAATATACACAGAGGTAGTTAGGGACAAACTAGCAAATGATTTAGGGGAAAAAAATGGTACCTATAGAGAGAGCAAACACAATAAAGCAAATATAGCAAATCATTTTCAATTGGTGAATCTGGGTAAAGGGTATACAAGATTCTTGCAACTCCTCTATTAGAGGTCATTTTAGATAAAATTTTTTTGGCTGGGCATGGTGACTCACGCCTATAATCACGGCACTTTAAGAGGCTACAGCAGGA
This sequence comes from Homo sapiens, assembly GCF_000001405.40. Taxonomy (NCBI): domain Eukaryota; kingdom Metazoa; phylum Chordata; class Mammalia; order Primates; family Hominidae; genus Homo; species Homo sapiens. Next base: position 36,922,294 of record NC_000002.12, read on the forward strand.
GGACTGCTTGAGCCCAGGAGGTCCAGACCAGCCCTGGGAACAGGGCGAGACCCTGTCTCTCTAAAAAATTAAAAATTTATCTGTGTGGACTGGAGTATATCTGTATTCCCAGCCACTTGGGAGGCTGAAGTGGGAGGATCACTTGTGCCCAGAAGGCTGACACCGCAGTGAATCATGACTGTGCCACTGCACTACAGCCTAGGCAACAGAGCAAGACCCTGTCTCAAAAAAAAAAAAAAAAAAAAAAATTAAACCTCCCACATTCCCTGTTACATGTAAGATAAAAGTTTGAACTCCTTGGTTAGGCTCTCTATGATCTGACTCTTGCCCCCTCTACCATTATCCGTCATCAACTGAGAGGAGGACCACAACCAACATCCTACTCTCCACACACAAAGATTACAAATTTCTGAACACACCAAACTGCTTTGTTCCATGTCAAACATGTTCTCTCTACTTCCTGCACCTTGTCTGTCTGACAAACACCTTCTTATTTGATGCTATTCAAGCCTCACCTCCTCTTACTCTGCACTCCTTTCTACTTTCATCTTCCAGATGAAAATAACCACTCCGGGCCGCACGCGGTGGCTCACGCCACCCAGCACTTTGGGAGGCTGAGGCAGGCGGATCACGAAGTCAAGAGATCGAGACCATCCCAGTCAACATGGTGAAACCCCGTTTCTACTGAAAATACAAAAATTAGCTGGGCATGGTGGCAAGCTCCTGTAATCCCAGCTACTTGGGAGGCTGAGGCAGGAGAATTGCTTGAACCCAGGAGGTGGAGGTTGCAGTGAGCCAAGATCGTACCACTGCACTCCAGCCTGGCAACAGAGCAAAACTCCGTCTGAAAAAAAAAAAAAAATCTCAAATACTCGGCCAGGTACATTCGCTCACGCCTGTAATCCCAGCACTTTGGGAGGCTGAGATGGTGGATTACCTGAGGTCAGTAGTTCGAGACCAGTCTGACCAATATGGTGAAACCCTGTCTCTACTAAAAATGCAAAAAAATTAGCCAGGCATGGTGGCATGCGCCTGTAGTCCCAGCAACTCGGGAGGCTGAGACAGGAGAATTGCTTGAGCCCAGAAGGCGGAGGTTGCAGTAAGCCGAGATCACACCACTGCACTCCAGCCTAGGCAACAAAGCAGGACTCCAAAAAAAAAAAAAAAAAAACAACTCACTACTCCCAAATTATGTACTTTTAAAAGTGTTTTTTCTTTCCATGTCCCTAATACAGCTTTTCATCAACTTTCCCAAAGTATGAAAAGAAACACGTATTTTTCACTAAGAGGTCAACCTATTTTCAATCTCTTACACCATTTAAAGATTCTACATGATGATGAACACAAGTTCTAATAAAATTTTATCTATTTCTCATTATTCATAAATATCATCTATTTATCTAATTGCATCTAAATGCTATTTTATTGCAAATATCCCATTCACCAACTTCAAAAAGAGAAAAACAAAACAAGCATCATTAAAAACAAAGCAAAAAAGTAGCAAAATAGATAATTCCAATATCACCTATAAGTACTCAGTTATCTAAAAAAAAATGAACTCAGATTGTCGACAAAAAAATCCAAGGCCCATTCATTAAAGCAAATAAATAACTCATATAACTTCCAAAAATCTCACTCATGACCTATTTTCCTTTACTTGTGACCCAAATTTAGTTACTGGAGTATCTTAGACACTAGCAAAATAGAAAGGTAAGATAAGCTTCTGGAGAGATTGTAACGGCAGACAGCAGAGGAACAAAATACACAAAAAAAAGTCTATAGGCTGGGCATGGTGGCTCACGCCTGTAATCCCAGCACTTTGGGAGGCCGAGACGGGGGGATCACGAGGTCAGGAGATCAAGACCATCCTGGCTCACATGGTGAAACCCCATCTCTACCAAAAATACAAAAAATTAGCCAGGCGTGGTGGCGGGCACCTGTAGTCCCAGCTACTTGGGAGGCTGAGGCAGGAGAATGGTGTGAACCCGGGAGGTGGAGCTTGCAGTGAGCTGAGATTGCACCACTGCACTCCAGCATGGGCGACAGAGTGAGACTCCGTTTCAAAAAAAAAAAAAAAAAAGTCTATATAGAATCTTAACATAGTCTGCTGGAACAATTTTTTTCTAAAGAAAATACATCAAATTGAATAATATTAAATGACAGGAAAAGGAAACACTATAGAAATTTCCTTTAAAAATTAAAAACTATTTCAACTTTAAAATGAATGGGTATTAACAGTTCGGGGAGCATATTTGCTTCTTCAAAACAGGCAGAGTAGGAAAAAAATGTTGCTAATTTTTAAGAAATCACATAAATCAGTTTTTTGATCATTATTAAACTATTCATAATAAAATTAACATATTACAACCATTCATACAAATGTTTACTACAGATACACCTGAACTCAAGGAGTATGAACATTTAAATTTATTTTAGGAATGATGAAAAAAATTATTCCAACATTTAAGAGACCACCATTTTGGCCAGGCCCAGTGGCTCACACCTGTAATCCCAGCACTTTAGGAGGCCGAGGTGGGCAGATCACCTGAGGTCAGGAATTCGAGACCAGCCTGACCAACATGGGGAAACCATGACTCTACTAAAAATACAAAATTAGCTGGGTGTGGTGGCACATGCCTATAATCCCAGCTACTGGGGAGGCTGAGGCAGGAGAATTGCTTGAAACCGGGAGGCGGAGGTCGCGGTGAGCCAAGATCGTACCATTGCACCCCAGCCTGGGCAACAAGAACGAAACTCCGTCTCAAAACAAATAAACAAAAAAGAACACCACTTTTCATTTTACTGAATTACCTTTCCTGTTTAAGAGCATACTCCAACATTTTGATCCTCCTCACAAGATCCTTCTTCAAATTTTCTTGGCCCTTCCTTTCTCCCTGCAGGAAGGCAATCTGGGCCTGAGTAGGGGAAAGACAGAAAAAATTCAGTTTAGACCAAAAAAAAAAGTTTTTTTAACTCAGTAAAGAACCATTGGAAGTTTGAACAATTAGATGCAAAAATATTTCCTTTACACATTTCTCACAAAGTATGTACAAATATAAAAATGCACTGACTGCAAGGGGGAAAAAGGATTTAAGTTAAAAAGGGCTGGGGGGACATCTAAATGCATTTTACTTCAGGGTAGGGATTTTACAACACATAGTCCACATCATTTAAGAGTCTACAATATAAAACAACTAATATTGCCGGATGCGGTGGCTCACACCTGTAATCCCAGCACTTTGGGAGGCTGAGGCGGGTGGATCACTTGAGGTGAAGAGTTCAAGACCAGCCTGGCCAACATGGTGAAACCCTGTCTCTACTAAAAATACAAAAATTAGCTGGGCCTGGTGGCACCTGTAATCCCAGCTACTCGGGAGGCTTAGGCAGGAGAATTGCTTGAACCCAGGAGGCAGGGGTTGCAGTAAGCCGAGATCACGCCTCTGCACTCCATCCTGGGTAACAGAGTGAGACTCCATATCAAAAAATAAAATAAAACAACTAATATTAATGCAAACAAATGCAAGGTGTACAGTACAGTTTGCTAAAGTGTTTGTCTTTTTGCCATCAACAGGATCTTTTTATAAAGCAGGAAGGGTTAAAGTAAAATCAGTTCTTATAATCCCCTTGCACAAGCTTCATCATATATTTAAATTTTATGACAGATTCCTTAAGTGACTTTATTTTGGACCTCCCCTACAAACAATAAATTGCTCCCTTTTCTCAATCCCCACCATTTTTCTCACCCACCTTGACATGTAATCCATAGAAAAAAGAAAGTGAAAGTTGGGAAAAGGAAAATTAGAGACAATGGCCTTCTGCCCATTCCTGCCCCCCACCCCAAGGAATTACTAAAACCCTACATTTGAACATGAAACGAACTGTAAACAACTTTTAAAGTCAGTAAAACAGAGGGGTAGGAAAGAGTAGCTCTCCAGAATATTAAAAGAACATTGACAATTGAAATACTATCTTTCACATAAGAAATTGAAACTATGTCACAAACACTAACTTGTTAAAGTGACTCATAATACCTCTTAAAAGTCATAAGGGCCTCAAAACTAGCTATAAATTTCACTATTCTCACATGTACCACCACGTCCGTCTATTATACTGACCCACTAAGACAGGTAACAATGTTATTTATGTATCTACAGTGCTTTCCATTAAGTGAGCAAGAACTTTACATTTAAGGATGACCTTGCCACATCCCTAAGGAATTGTGAGGATTGTGCAACTAAGGTTTAGCAAGTGAGCCATTAAACTTAATTCTCATTCAAGCTTAGTTTGAATGAGCTTTGTTCCTATTCAGTACCACAAGAAACATAAAATCCAACTTATCTAGTCTCTTATAACTTTCAAAATGTAGGTAGTTTGTTAGGCTTTTGTTTTCATTTCAATGTGCTCTTAAATTTTACATTACAATTAAAGGAAGGATTACATTTACCTTACTGAAATAAAAGTGGTCTGAAAACAATTCAATTGTTTTCAGAGGAAAAGGCATCAAATAACCACAAGACTCTTTTGAAATTATATATTCTGCAGTGGGATAATTATGTTACCTAACCAGAATAGTAATGACACATGCATTTAAAGCTGATAAAAATGAAAGTCGTGTCAAAAGGAAATGACAGCCCAACTTGTCATTTCCAAATGTTTGTCTATGCCAAACGTGCTTTGGCATAGAACTTTATATGCTCTTTAAAATGACTTTAATAAAAATAATAAGCTAATCAATGCAATCAAACTTTGAAGGTAATAACAATATCAATTATCTATTTTGTCCCCTCGATACTCCTTGGCTAGTTTTGCATTTCTGCTAACATCATTGGTCCTGGATGATTCTGAAACTTCAGCCTACAATACCATAAAGTCTTTACTGTATATGTTCAACTTCAAGCATAAGAGAAATTACAATTAAAAGTATAATCAGAGGCTGGGCACAGTGGCTCAGCCCTGTAATTAACAGCACTTTGGGAGGCCGAGGCGGGTGGATAACTTGAGCTCAGGAGTTTGAGCCTAGCCTGTGCAACATAGCGAGACCACGTCCCCACAAAAAATTTAAAAAATCAGCCAGGCATGGTGGCATGTGTCTGTGGTCCCAGCTACTTGGGAGGCTGAGGCAGGAGAATCACCTCAGCCCAGGAGGCCAAGGCTGCAGTGAGCAGTGATCACACCACCACACTCTAACATGGGTGACAGAGTGAGACCCTATATCAAAAAAACAAAAAAAAGGGGGGGGGGGGTGGTAATCAGGGCCAGGCATGGTAGCTAATACCTGTAATCCCAGAACTTTGGGAGACTGAGGTGAGAGGATAGCTTGAGGCTGGAGTTTGAGACCATCCTGGCCAACATACCAAGACATCTCATAAAAAAATTAAAAATATAAAAAATAAAGTACAATCAGATTTCTTCTTTTCCATCAGATGGATAAAGTTCAGTAATTTAATAATATGGTAAAAAACAGACATTTAAATGTTAGCTGTGGTGATATAAACCAGTTTCACTTTATAGAGGACAACTGGTAATATCTGTCAAGTTTGTAAATGCATATACCCTTTAACTCAGCAATTTTAGAATGGTATCCTTCAAATATATATTTGCACATATGTGAAATTATGTAATACATGACTGATAAAACACAGACAAGAATATGTATACAACCCAAATGACCACCTAAAGGAGACTGGTTAAATAAATGAATATAATTGAAAGAAAATTAGGACCTGAACTAAGACCTTTGAGAAAAGAGTAAAAGACTATGAGAATAATGTCAATCTTTTACCTTTTTTTTCTCTAGGAAACTTAGATATTAGAAACAGTCTTAAAACACATTCCTACATAAAAAAAAACGAATTCCTTCTGTAAAACGACCTCAGTCGAAAGCATAATAATTGGTATAAATTCTTACTCTTTTAAAATAAAGATTAAATTCCAGCTAAAAATTCTCCAGATATGGCAGTATATTGCTCTTTGAATTGAATTGAGGAAGGGCGAGGGTGAGAGACATAAAAGACGAAAACAGCAAAAGGAAGAAAAAAAGGGAAGGAAAAAAGGTAAAAAGAAAAAGAGGAAAATAGGTCGGACACAGTGGCTCACACCTGTAATCCCAGAACTTTGGGAGGCCGAGGCGGGGGGATCACTTGAGGTCAAGAGTTCGAGACCAGCCTGGCCAACATGGTGAAACCCTGTCTCCACTAAACATACAAAAATTAGCCAGGCATGGTGGCAGGCACCTGTATTCCCAGCTACTTGGAAGACTGAGACAGAAGAATCACTCAAACCCAGGAGGCGGAGGTTGCAGTGTGCAGAGATCACACCACTGCACTCCAGCCTGGGCGACACAGTGAGACTCCATCTTAAAAAAAAAAAGGCAGGGCGCAGTGGCTCACTCCTGTAATCCCAGCACTTTGGGAGGCCGAGGCGGGTGGATCACGAGGTCAGGAGTTCAAGACCAGCCTGACCAAGATGGTGAAACCCCATCTCTACTAAAAATACAAAAAAAAAAATTAGCCGGGCGTGGTGGCAGGTGCCTGTAATCCCAGCTACTTGGGAGGCTGAGGCACAGAATTGCTTGAACCCAGGAGGCAGAGGCTGCAGTGAGCCGAGACCACGCCACTGCACTCCAGCCTGGGCAACAGAGTGAGACTCCGTCTCAAAAAAAAAAAAAAAAAAGTGACATGAATAAAATGTTTAAAAAATTACAAATCATCATACTGCCATTTATCAGTACAACTAAACCTAATAACAGCATATACTTCTGGAGAAGAAAACTTTGGAATTATCTTCAAGGAAAATGAATGTTGAACTTCCATGATACTTTATACGTATTTTTCACAGTATAGAAAATTATTCACTTCCTAACCATTATAAACAAAAAAGATAAAAATAATAGAAGGAAGACATTTTACTATTTAAGTCTGCATGACAAAAAGAAAATTTATTTTTGTATTATTTTCAATTCTAATTTGTCAAAAGGATATATGTAAATAGGAATATAGATCTTCTATAAACAGGTTTATCTGCATACATAATATCTAATAAACAATTAAAATATTTAAAATGCACCATTTAATTTATTAAAGCCCCCCCACCCCTTTTTTTTTCTTTTGAGACGGAGTCTCGCTCTGTCGCCCAGGCTGGAGTGCAGTGGTGCGATTTCGGCTCACTGCAACTTCAGCCTCCCAGGGTCGAAGTAATTCTCCTACCTCACCCTCCTGAGTAGCTGGGATTACAGGTGCACACCACCACGCCAAGCTAATTTTTGTATTTTTAGTAGAGACAGGGTTTTACCATGTTGGTCAGGCTGTTCTCAAACTCCTGACCTCGTGATCCACCCACCTCAGCCTCCCTAAGCGCTGGGATTACAGGTGTGAGCCACCACGCCCAGCCTTATTGAAGCCATTTTAAACTACCTTGTATTCTAAAATTTAAAAGGGCTAGGATTCAAAATTGAAATCACTGAGAAGTAAATTCAAAATGAAAAATACACAAAATTCTTGGGTTGGACACTTTTCAGTAGCTTTTCAGTTACTTGCTATGGAATATAAAGAGCATTCACTTTTACAAAAATCTAAAATAAAATATTATAAAGCTTGATTAATTTAAGGTTCTCATCTTTTGATTTGAACACAAACTTCAAAGTAAAAGAGGAAATATATAAGTAAAAGTCAATTATATGGTTACAGTGTACAATGAAGTTTCAATAATCGCTTTATGTCTTAATGCCTTCTATAAACTATATCTATTCCCTCTGAAAAGCTTTGGATTATATTATCCTCTTAAATCTAGGCTGCTAGTTTTCTCTGGCACATAATCACTGCCTGTAGCCCTCTCTCTTAAAGACAGTGTCATTATCAGGCTAGGCGCGGTGGTTCATGCCTGTAATCCCAGCACTTTGGGAGACCGAGGCAGGTGGATCACCTGAGGTCAGGAGTTCGAGACCAGCCTGACCAGTATGATGAAACCCCATCTCTACTAAAAATACAAAAATTAGCCAGGCATGGTGGCGTGTGCCTGTAGTCCCAGCTACTCAGGAGGCTGAGACAGGAAAATTGCTTGAACCTGGGAGGTGGAAGTTGCAGTGAGCCAAGATCATGCCACTGCACTCCAGAATGGGCAACAGAGCGAGACTCCATCTCAAAAAAAAAAAAAAAGTGTCATTATCATTTGGTGACATCAAACTTTACCATCAGAATCACCCAGATGACTTGTTAAAACACAATTTTTTAGGTTCTACCCTCAGAGTTGCTCATTCAGTAGGTCTGGAGTGGGGCCCAAGAATTTGCATTTCTAGTAAGTACCCAGGTGATAATGCTGCTGATCTGGGACCAACCTTGGAGAACCACTGACTTAAACCGTTTGTAACACAGTTAGGAGGCCAAAAACAAAAAACAAAGCAAAACAAAACAAAAAGCAGGAAACAGTCTGTTAAGGAGCAAGGAAAAGAACAGTCCCAGAGGCCGGGCGCAGTGGCTCAGGCCTGTAATCCTAGCACTTTGGGAGGCCGAGACGGGTGGATCACTTGAGGTCAGGAGTTCTTAACCAGCCTGGCCAACATGGTAAAACCCCCATCTCTACTAAAAATATAAAAAAATTAGCCAGGTGTGGTGGCAAGCGCCTGTAATCCCAGCTACTCTGGCTCAGGCAGGAGAACTGCTTGAACCTGAGAGGTAGAGGTTGTGGTGAGTCGAGATCATGCCACTGCACTCCAGCCTGAATGACAGAGCAAAATTGCCTCAAAAAAAAAAAGAAAAAGAAAGAAGCAAAGAATAGTCCCAGAACCCTACCTCTTTTTTTTCCCCAAAGTGTTGAGATTACAGGTGTGAGCTATCGCGTCCAGCCCCAGAACCCTACCCTTTTTACTCCACAGAAGTTTGGAGTCTTATACAGGCCTTCAAGCTGACAGACGAGTACATACTAGCTTTTTGATTCTCTTCCAAATTCCTTAGTTATGACTATACTTTTGGCAGTCTCCTGATAAAATAAAATCTACCAATATATTTCAGTTCAATCACATGTTTGGGAAATACCTACTTCCCATCAAGTCTAAACTGCTGTAAAGGAGAATATAGGAAAAACAAATAAAACCAAGTTTCTACCCACAATGTACTTCCAATCTCGTTAGGGTACAAGACCAGCTTGTACACAAGCTGTGTTATGTTCACAAAAACAGCTAAGAAAAGATAGTGCAGTACTAATAAACGAGGATTCAAGTGATAAAATCAAATATTTGTATTTGTTCATTTAACAATATTAACTAAACACCTACTTTGTGCCTGGCAGTTATTGGTACTGGGACTAAAGTAGTGACAAAACAAAACAGAGCTAACAATCCAGTGAATGAAACATATGTTGCCTAAGACATATGTGTACCAGTAGCATATGTTATATTTACTTAGAACCAGAAACACAGTTGCAGGCAAAAGCAGTGAATATAAAAATAAACACAAAAAGCAACTGGATGCCTATTTAACTCTGGAGTCAAGTAGAGAACTGATGTTCAACTTTAAAACTGCTTGCTTGCTTGCTTATTCATTTATTTGTTTATTTATTTGAGACAGGGTCTCGCTCTGTTGCCCAGGCTGGAGTGCAGTCATAGCTCACAGCAGCCTCGAAATCCTGAACTCAATCAATTCTCCCGCCTCAGCCTCCCAAGTTGCTGGGACTATAGGCGCATACGACCACATGCAGCTGATTTTAATCTTTTTGGTAGAGACAGGGTCTTGCTATGTTGCCAGGCTGGTCTCGAACTCCTAGCCTCAAGCAATCCTCTCACCTTGGCCTCCCAAAGTGCTGGAAATACATGCATAAGCCACTGCACCAAGCCTAAAAACTGTATTCTAATCTGGTATTTATTCTACAGCTAGTTTTACTTTTTTTTTGAGACAGTCTCACTCTGTTGCCCAGGCTGGAGTACAGTGGCGTGATCTCGGCTCACTGCAACCTCCACCTCCCGGGTTCAAGCAATTCTCCTATGTCAGCCTCCAGAGTAGCTGGGATTACAGGCACCCGCCACTGCGTCTGGCTAATTTTTGTATTTTTAGTAGAGACAGGGTTTCACCGTGTTGGCCAGGCTGGTATCAAACTCCTGACCTCGGGTGATCTGCCTGCCTCGGCCTCCCAAAATGCTGGGATTACACGCGTGAGCCACCGCACCCGGCCTAGTTTCACATTTTAACAAACTAGTCAGTCTCCTGAAATTTTCCTAATAAATAAAATTACTGTACCATTTTATTTATTTACCTATTGTCACATTTCAAAAAAAGATAAGATGTGAACTTATGGATTATATTGAAAATAAAGATAAATTTCATTTTATGTTTTTTAGAGATGAGGGTCTCTCTTTGCTGCCAGGTTAGGAGTACAGTGGCATGATCATAGTTCACTACAGCCTTGAACTCCCGGGCTCAAGTGATCCTTCTAGATAACATTTTACCTCTGAAATGCTATAGGAGATACTGGTATATTCTTTCAAAAGCAATCTCTCCATCCCTAAATGTAAGATTACAAACATAGATTTTCGTATACAGAAAACCCTCAACTGCCCAAATTCTCACTTAAAGCACTAAATTAATTACACCCACATTATCACCTTATGGCAGCTTATAAATAAATGTACATCAGTAGGTTTCTTGAGATCCCAAAGGCTCCCTCAGAACTCGAATCAGTCAGTTAAATTCCCTCAGCACATCTTCCTATCTTTCACCTCTTTATAAATGTTCCTTATGTTTGCTCAAAGGGCTAGAAATTCCATTTTTTTTTAATTTACACACACACACACACACACACACACATATATATGCAGTTAGCCCTTCATATCCATGAGTTCTACACCTGCAGATTCAGTCAACCATCTATCAAAAACATTCAATAAACAATAAATACAAAATTTTAAAAATACAGTATAACAACTTTTCACAGCATTTACATTAAGTATTATAAATAATCTAGAGATGATTTAAAGTATATGGGAGGGTGTGCATAGTTTATATGCAAATACTACACCACCTTATATAAGAAAATTGGAACTTGAGCATCCACAGTTTTTTGTATTGGATGGGGGAGTTCCCGGAACCAATACCCTACAGACATCAAAGGATAACTGTATATGTACATATACACATATGTAGAAGAAAAGAGAGAATAAGATATCAATCAAGGGAGGAATTCTGCAGATTTACGGTATGAGACAGTATGATATTCATAGATTTAACATTCATGGTTACCACTGTTTTGAGAGCTACCCAGAAGATACTTTGTTAAGGCAATGGAGAAGCTAGAGGCCCAATGTAGGGGCTAAATGCATGAGTCTAGCCTAACACCAAGCATTTGTTTTTGGAAGTTTTTTTGAGACAGGGTTGGAGTGCAATGGCACGATCACAGCTCACTGTAGTCTTGACCTCCTGGGCTCAGGCGATTCTCCTGCTTCAGCCTCTCGAGGAGCTGGGCCCACAGGTGTGTGCTGCCATGCCCAGCCAAGCATTTGTATTAAAGTTAAAAGGCGATGACTCTAAACAGTTTAAGAAAAAAAACTAGGCTGGGCACGGTGGCTTAACCTTGTAACCCCTGCACTTTGGGAGGCCGAGGCAGGTGGATCACCCGAGGTCAGGAGTTTGATACCAGCCTGGCCAACACGGCGAAACCCTGTCTCTACTAAAAATACAAAAAAATTACCCGGGTGTGGTGGCGGGCGCCTGTAGTCCCAGCTACTCTGGAGGCTGAGGAAGAATGGCGTGAACCTAGGAGGCAGAGCTTGCAGTGAGCAGAGATCACGCCACTGCACTCCAGCCTGGGTGACAGAGGGAGACTCCGTCTCGAAAGAAAAAAGAAAAAAAACTAAATCTATTGATGTAAAATGCTCTCTGCCCCCACAAAGAAAGAAAAATGTAAGGACTAAGAAAATGGCAGCTCTTAACCAGAAAAAGAACAGAAATGTTCTATATCTCCCCCATCAAAAATCAGTGAACTAATTCAGCAAATGCTCCAACCTGAGCAAAAAGGATTCAAGTGAAATAAAACCTTCATTAAAGTTGAAAAGGATATTAACTTGTAGAATATGCGTACATGTAAGAAACATAACATTACTCTCAATGGAAATATAATTCAGATAAGGAATTCCACAAAAAGATGTCTTAATCTTAAAATCTGAGGATTTACAGAGCTCTCAGAAAGCATTACTTGCAAATGATAAGTCTTCTATAACGTATGATTTTGTTTATGGTTAGCTCCAAAAGAGTTAACATGTTTTAAACCAACATGATTATCTGTTGATAGGTATATAATCTCTAAAGAAGTATTCTTCAATAGGCAACACTTCTCATATTTAAAACATTCAGTCTTTATGTATAAATTATGAATCCATAAATCTTAAGGAACTACATAAAGCCCAAACTCTTCCCAACGGAAGAAGGCTATCGACAATCTGTTCCCATCCCCTCTATCTAGTTTTGTCTTCCACATTCCTACTCACACATCCTATGTTCCAATCAAAGTAGTCAATTAGGCTGGGCACGGTGGCTCATGCCTGTAATCCCAGCACTTTGAGAAGCCTAGATGGATGGATCACTTGAACTCAGGAGTTTGAGTCCAGCCATGGGCAAGATGGTGAAACCCCGTCTCTACTGAAAATACAAAAATTAGCCCGGTGTGGTGGCTCAAAACTGCAGCCCCAGCTACTCGGGAGGCTGAGGCACAAGAATCGCTTGAATTTGGGAGGCAGAGGTTGCAGTGAACTGAGACTACACCACTGTGCTCTAGCCTGGGCAACAGAGGGGAGGATGGTGGGCAAAGGAAGGAACGAAACTCATAATTTTATATTTTTAAAAAAATAAGTAGACAGTTAGTCTTCAGATACTACACCTGAACATTCCCAGCTCCATGCCTTGGCTTATGCCCTTCTCTCTCCTACCTCTCCAAATGCCCTTTCATTTTCGGATTCTACCAATGTCCTAGTCTGAGCCTACACACACCACAGTAATCCCTTCTCTGAATTCCAAGAGCATTTCTTATTTTCTATTTAAAAACAAAACAAAAAAACCTCTGTATGTACATATTATTTTAACACTTTATGAGACTTATATTAATGTTCAGCAAAAAGGCAAGAAAATAAGGACTTTGGCATACTTAATATGTATCACGTACTCTACCAAACACCTTCTATAATTAATCTCATTTAATTAGGACTATGACATAATTATTGTCTTGTTCTCTTTTAATTTTCAGAATGTTCACAATTTATCTCATCCCAAACCAGATAAGCCCTCTAAAGGCAGAAGCCTTCATTCATGCACTCAACATAAAATAATTAAGTGCCTACTAAGTGCTTCCCACTTGTATTGAGGACACAACAAAAAGCGGATTTTTGCATTCTACTAGATTATAAATCTGCTGAGGACAACAGCTAAATAAAAATAGACTCAACTGTTCCATCCCAAAGTGCCTTGCAATACTGCGGTTATTCAATGTTATTTGATTTAAAAGATAAAAGTTCAATCACAGTAAATGGAAAAAAACAGGCAAGAACATACGAAGTAGAAGTATAAACAATAATTACCATAAACTAGAAAGTCTGTTTTTCCTTAACCTTTGAACATTTTTTTAATTCTCAGTTTTTTTGCCTATACAAAGGTGGCTATGAAATGTGAATTAGAGCTCCTATTAATAAAACAAAATAAATAAAAAACGTTGGTATTAACATGTAAATAATAAATTTATAAATATTTTAAATATTACGTACTTAGACAAAAGCAAAGTAACAAAAGCAGATAGGAAATATCATGAAAACAATTTCTCTAAAAAAAAACTTATGATGCCTAATCCCCTGAATAAAGACATTTAAGCCTTTCTTGCTTCATATTTAGACAAAAATCTTCCTGCTTGCTTATGTTCCTATTTCATCTCTGAAAAGACTGTAAGCAATCAGTTGTCTGAGACACCATTCCTGGACAGTAATAGTGTGCTGTCCTTAGTATATGAAGATGTAATTACTGTAGTAACAATAAAAACCTAAGCTTTCAGATTGGATTCTGTTTTGGTTTTATTTTCTTCTACCACTACAATAAATGACACATCATCTTTTACTCTAATGATAAATGGTGCATAATTTTAATACAACTATGTGGAATTAAGAGAGAAATTCATGCTTATGGAACACGATTTATATTCTGTGAAGTATTAACAATGACTAAGTGAATGAACACGTAATCTGATTTAACTAACACCATCTTATTAATTGATATTACATATATAGATCAAAATTTTGTAATATATTGAACAGGACTTAACAGAAAACTACATGTATGTAAGTGACTAATAATCTTTCAATACAATGATGAAGCCAACAGAAAACTATAAAAACTATATTTGAGAAAGATGGAAAGTGGTAATAGGAGTATGCATGTTCTCCAACTTCTAAATTAGAGAAAATCTTATGAGTCAGCAAGTTAACATTTAATTTGATTATTTTTGATGTTACCAGCCCCAGAAATAGCATTCTGAAACAGATTACAGGCTTTCTTCTTTCTATTTGTTGTTACATCAACTATCACAACTCACCTTTCATTTTGTTGCTGAATTTTCAGAATAAAGCATGTGTGTTAAAATTCTCCTTCTGAAATAATCTTTCTATGTTCTTACATATTTAGGTTTGGAATATGGTTCATGATGGCAGAATTGTCCAGGTCAATATAGTAAAATACTCTGACAAAGACAGTAGGACCCAGACTCAAGCTGCGGAAGAGATAAATAAGCTCAGTTAAAAAGAAAAAGAGGGCCGGAAACGGTGGCTCATGCTTGTAATCCCAGCACTTTGGGAGGCCAAGGCGGGCAGATCACCTGAGGTCGGGAGTTCGAGATAAGCCTGACCAACATGGAGAAACCCTGTCTCTACTAAAAAATACAAAATTAGCTGGGCGTGGTGGTGCATGCCTATAATCCCAGCTACTTGGGAAGCTGAGGCAGGAGAATCGCATGAACCGGGGAGGTGGAGGTTGCGGTGAGCCAAGATCATGCCACTGCACTCCAGCCTAGGCAACAAGAGTGAGACTGTCTCAAAAAAAAAAAAAAAAGAAAAGAAAAGAAAGAAAAAGAAAAAGAGGTCGGGCATAATGGCTCAAGCCTGTAATCTTATCACTTTGGGAGGTCAAGGCAGGAAGATGGCTTGAGACCAGGAGTTCAAGACTAGCCTGGGCAACGCACTGAGAATCCATGTCTACAAAAAACTAAATAACTTAGCGGAGCATGGTGGTGCACACCTGTAGTCTCAGCTACCTGGTTGGGAGGCTCAAGTGGGAGGATCACTTGAGCCAGTGAGGTTGAGGCTACAGTGAGTCATGTTTGTACAACTGCACTTCAACCTGGGCTACAGAGTGAAATCTTGCCTTAAAAAAGAAAGAAAAGAAAAAAAAAAAGAGAAGAAGGAAATAAGAAAGAAAAGAAATTTGCTGCATAGACATGACCATATTCATTTGAGAGCAACTTAATAAATATGTATCTTGAAAAGATAGTTTAGAAAAGAAACTTACAGGCTATGACCAGAGTGATTATAAAACACTCTCTTAACAGTTAGCAGGAGGAAGAAAAAGTGTATTCTTTAAAAGGACTTCATTACTAGTAAATAGTTCTATAAAGAAAAGTAGGGGAAAAAAGGCAAAGAAACATGAAACTAAGTCAATGAAAAGCAAATAGGCTATGATCACATATCTAAAGGCCATGAACATGGCAATGAGTATTTTAAAGAATCTAAAAAGTGTACTTTGAATTTTAAAGTATTTTGAGAGATTAATTTTATAAAAGGAAAAAGTGTTATCATGCAGAAGGAACATACTTAGTATAATCAAAAGTTTAAGAAATTGGCCAGGCGTGGTGGCTCACACTAGTAATATCAGCATTTTGGGAGGCCGAGGCGGGTGGATCACCTGAGGTCAGGAGTTCAAGATCAGCCTGGCTGACATGGCAAAACACCGCCTCTACTAAAAGCACAAAAATTAGCCAGGTGTGGTGATGTACACCTGTAATCACAGCTACTTGGGAGGCTGAGGCACAAGAATTGCTTGAATCTGGGAGGCAGAGGTTGCAGGGAGCCAAGATCATGTCACTGTACTCCAGCATGGGCAATAGAGCAAGATTCTGTCTCAATTAAAAAAAAAAAAAAGAGTTTAAGAAATTAAGGAAAGCTGAGCGTAAGGAAACCTTTTCAAGGGTAGTACTAGTATAGCTCAAACCTGGTTTGAATTCCAGCTTTGTCACTTACTGGGTAAGTAAGTAGCAGCCTTAAGCCCAACTGGTGTTTGCTATTTGCATGTATTTTCATAAATAAAAGTGGTCTGCAGCGTTTTTACAGTGTTGTCAAACTTCAAGGTTATTAAAACTATTAATATCCTGTTTAATGTTTAAGAATAAATAACTATTTGATATCTTTTAACTATTGTCCTATCACTGACTTTTAAGACTCTTAATGACAATTTTGTGATTTTTCATGTAATCATCCTTTATATCTTACTTAGCAAGTTCTCTATTAGACATAATATATGTCTGCTGAATGAAACTTTAATTACAGATATCTTTGAACATTTATTAAAATTATATTTGTACTTGTAAGAAATATTTAAACAATGCTTTGTTTTTCTAAACTAAAAGAAAACCAATAGCACAAACCTTCATTTTCTAAGTGTGTCAAGTTTTTTTTTTTTATTTGTTTGTTTGTTTGTTTTTTGAGACTGAGTCTTGCTCTGTCGCCAGGCTGGAGTGCAGTGGTGCGAGCTCGGCTCACTGCAACCTCCAACTTGCTGGTTCAAGTGATTCTCCTGCCTCAGCCTCCCGAGTAGCTGGAATTACAGGCACGTGGAATTACAGGTCAGGTCGATCTCCTGACCTCGTGATCCGCCCGCCTCGGCCTCCCAAAGTGCTAGGATTACAGGTGTGAGCCGCCGCGCCCAGCCTGTTTTTTGTTTTAATCAAGCTATTGCGTGGGATACACTGTACTGACATTCTTTTTCCGAAGCCACTCAGGGATCTCCCGTTGCTTTTACAGACCAATTACCTGATACATCATACACCATACCTTATCTCAGATACATTAATTAGACGTGATGATAATATCTAGCTTTCCCACTGTGGCTTACAAAGCACTTTCATATACCTATCTTATTCGCATTATATATCTTAATTCTTCACAGCAGTAACATGAGGTAGGAATCAAAAATAGATTCAAAAAAGGCATTCAACAAAATTCAACATCTATTCTTTCCTTATTATTATTATTATTATTTTTTGCAGTGACAGGGTCTCAGTATGCTACCCAGACTGGTCCCAAACTCCTGAGCTCAAGCAATCCTCCCACCTCAGCCTCCCAAAGTGCTAGGATTACAGGCATGAGCCACCATACCCAGCCAGCATCTAGTCTTTTTAAAGTTCATTTTGCCACTTAATAGTGGAAATAGTTTCTGACACAAAATCACTATTCTGTAAGCATTTGCTGAACAGAATAAAAGTAAATAAAACAGGTTTCAAAAAGTGATTCAAAATAGTGTAACAACTAAAAGTATATTAAATCAAAAGTCATATACTAGGGAAAGACCACGATACAGTATTTAGGACAAAAAGGAATAATCCTGAAAAGAACCTGAATCCATTCACATTCTAACCAATATACTGTAGTAAAATCTATTCATTCATTTACTGAGTACCTACCACGTACCAAAACTTTGTTTAAGCATTTGGGTCATATTCCCACCATAGACATAGTTCAATTTTTCATTGAACTTATAATCTACATAAAATACTGATAGTTTAATTTTTTAAAGTACTTTTTACATTCTTGTAGAAATAGTATAACCCTTTCTGATTACTGAAGAAATGAACATTATAATCGGAGTTAAGATATATGTAGTAAACATATTCAAATGAGGCATTTTATATAAGATGTACTTCGAAGGAAAAGTAATAGAAGAAATATAAGAGAAATAATTTTAAAAAGGTTACCTTCTTAAAAGGTGAATATTAGTCAATATTAATAAACAAAATAGCCAGATTCTACTCAGAAACAAATGGCAGGAGGTTGATAAAGAACCATGAGAATATATAGAGCTGAATCATCACACGGAAAACTGCAGAGTCTAATTAGTAATAAAAAATACAAATTATCACAGTTGAAAATATTAATAGTTGGTGAAGCTGAGTAAAAGTTTCCTGTATTCCTCTTGAAACTTTTCTGTAAATCTGAAAACATTTTTGTCTTAAAAAAAGTAAATTAGGGGCTGGGTGCAGTGGCTCACACCTGTAATCCCAGCACTTTGGGAAGCCGAAGCGGATGCATCACGAGGTCAGGAGATCAAGACCATCCTGGCTAACATGGTGAAACCCCATCTCTACTAAAAATAAAAATAAAAATAAAAATTAGCCAGGCATGGTGGCGGGGCGCCTGTAGTCCCAGCTATTCGGGAGGCTGAGGCAGGAGAATGGTGTGAACCCGCGAAGCAGAGCTTGCAGTGGGCCAAGACTGCACCACTGCACAGCAGCCTGGGCGACTGGGCAAGACTCTGTCTCAAAAAAAAAAAAAAAAAAAAAAAAAAGTAAATTAGGCTGGGCACAATGGCCCATGCCTGTAATCCCAGCACTTTGGGAGGCCAAGGCAGGTGGATTACTGAAGATCAAGAGTTTGAGATCTGCCTGGACAACATGGCAAAACCTCCTATCTACAAAAAATACAAAAATTAGCTGAACATGGTGGCACATGCCTGTAGGCCCAGCTACTTAGGGAGGCTGAGGTGGGAGGATGACCTGAACCCAGGGAGCCTGAGGCTGCAGTAACCAGTTGATCCTGCCACTGCTCTCCAGCCTGAGCAACAGAGGTGAGACCCTGTCTCAAAACAAAGGAAGTAAATTAAAATGATAAAACCCAATGTTCACAGGCAGATGAATTACAGATATTAAATGAATTACATATAAAGATTTATATATTGTTGGTGGCAATGCAAATTAGTTCAATCTCTTCTGCAAAAGGGGACTATAAAGCTATGTGCAGACTCTATGATCTGGTCATTGCGCCTTGGAAAATACAACCCAAGAACACCAGCAGCCCCTTTCTTCACATCGCTCTCCACCCCATAAAAAAGTAATGTTCAAAGCTGTTAAATGACATGCTCTATTTTAGCTTCTATTTTTATCATCTGAATTATTTCCTTTGAATTTGCCTTTCAATGCATTTCTCAAGATGAACAGAATCATGGTGCAAAATTTTATAACTTATTTTCTTATGTAAACTTTTTTTTTTTTTGAGATGGAGTCTAATTCTTGTCACTCAGGCTGGAGTGCAATGGCATGATCTCGGCTCACTGCAACTTCTGCCTCCCGGGTTCAAGCAATTCTCCTGCCTCAGCCTCCTAAGTAGTTGGGATTACAGGCGCCTGCCACCCCACCCAGCTAATTTTTTTTTTTTTTTTTAGTGGAGACGGGTTTCACCATGTCAGCCAGGCTGGTCTCGAACTCCTGACCTTGGGTGATCCCCCAACCTCGGCCTCCCAAAGTGCTGGGATTACAGGCGTGAGCCACCGCACCCAGCCCTATTATTTTTATACTATCATTTTTATTGGTTGTATTACAAGTCTTCAAGTTGGTTTACCACAACTTACTTAACCATTGTGGTAGATGTTGTGGGCCGGCTATTCGAAATACATATTCCCAAGCCCCTTCTAACTTGTAGCTTCCCACTATAGAATCTGGAACGCCAAGGGCCTGCTTTCTTAGATTCTACTGTGGCCAAACACGGCTATGTGACCAATGAGTGATACATGTATGTCTGCTGGGAATGGGGAAAAGACACTTCTGGGAAAGCTTATCACTCACTGATAAAGGAGACTTACTCCAAAAATAACCCAAACAGACCTTTTTGTTGCTTTTCCCTGTGGTCTTAATGTCTGTAGCTATAGCAATCTTATAATCATAATGTATCAAAAAGGACAATGGCAATCAAGGATGGCAGATGAGAAAGAAAAAACCTAGTTTTTTTATGTCATTGCTAAGCCACTGCACCAGTCCTTGACTACCCATATTTTTCTCATGTAAAAATGAGAAAAATATCACCTCTACTTGTTAAGTCACTGTTAAAAGGGTTTACCAGCAGCCAAAAGCATTCCTGATATTCATTCCACTATAATTGGGTATTTAGTTTGTTTGTAATTTTTCCCTATTACAAAATCATTTGCCAGCGGTGCTCTTGATGCATATAGAATTTTAATGCTTTTTAAAAAGATTTCCCATGGAGAGACTACTATAAGCGGGATCAACAGGTCAAATATAACTATTTCATATCTCTTAATAGATACTGACCAATTGACAATACCACGAACAAGGTATGAGGGTAAAGTTCTAACATATCTATCTCTCCCAGTACTGGGTGTTAGCATCAATTTTTCTTTTTTTTTGAGACGGAGTCTTGCTCTGTTGCCCAGGCTGGAGTGCAGTGGCGTGATCTCAGCTCACTGCAACCTCCTTCTCCTGGATTCAAGCAATTCTGATGACTCAGCCTTCTGAGTAGCTGGGATTACAGGCACGCAACACCACACCCAGCTAATTTTTGAATTTTTGGTAAAGACAGAGTTTCACCATGTTGGCCAGGCTGGTGTCGAACTCCTGACCTCAAGGGATTTGCCCGCCTCGGCCTCCCAAAGTGCTGGGATTACAGGTGTCAGCCACCATGCCCGGCCATTTATTTTTTTAATTAATAGAAATATATATTGCTTTAATGTATGCTTCTTTGATGATTATTAATAATACTTTTCTGCCATATATTACTGCCCTACCAAAAAACCACCCAAATGCTCAAAAAGAGAGTTCAGTAAACTATATTTTGACTGATTTTTTAAATTCTTGTTAGTAAAAATGTAACATAGAAGGAAAAAAACAAACTTTACGTAGACATATAAAGCAAAAAACTGAGAGATACACCTCTTTATCCTCATCCCACTCCCCAGAGGTAATCAGTGTGAACAACTGCTGAATTCCCTTCTCAACTTTCTTGTATGAAGAGACAGAAAGATAAGCAAAAACATCTATTTTGGTTATACAATTATTAAAAATAAGTACAGGGACTAGAACTATATATATATATATAAATATATAAGATTAATAAAACTTTTACGAAGCTCTTACTATGTTACATTGTTCTAAGTATTATATTTATTAAATCATTTCACTGTCACACAAAAACAGAAGACATAAAACAGTTAAAATAGGCCAGGCACAGTGGCTCACACTTGTAATCCCAGCACTTCGGGAGGCTGAGGCGGGAGAATCACGAGGTCAGGAGATCAAGACCATCCCGGCTAACACAGTGAAACCCCATCTCTACTAAAAATAGAAAAAATTAGCTGGGCGTGGTGGCACACTCCTGTAGTCCCAGCTACTGGGGAGGCTGAGGCAGGAGAATCACTTGAACCTGGGAGGCAGAGGTTGCAGTGAGCCGAGATCCTGACACTGCACTCCAGCATGGACGACAGAACGAGACTCTGTCTCAAAAAAAACCAAAACAGTTTAAAACAAACTTGGCCGAGCACAGTGGCTCACACCTATAATCCTAGCACTTTAAGAGGCAGAGGTGGGTGGATCACCTGAGGTCAGGAGTTCGAGACCAGCCTGGCCAACATGGTGAAACCCCGTCTCCATTAAAAATACAAACAAAATTAGCTGGACGTGGTGGCGGGCACCTGTAATCCCAGCTACTTGGGAGGCTGGGGCAGGAGAATTGCTTGAACTCAGGAGGCAGAGGTTTCAGTGAGCCAAGATCTCGCCATTGCACTCCAACCTGGGCAACAAGAGTGAAACGCTATCTCAAAAAAACAAACAAAAAAACTCATACTTAAAACATATATATACACACTAACAGACAGTTGAAAATACAGATGTTAGAGTTAAATTTTTATTAAGTTGTTTTTCTCTTAATATACAAAAGCAATGCAGATATAACGAAAAAACGTTATAAAGAAGGAAAGACTGATATCTAAGTTCATACACTGTTGATTTTGCCATCAAGGTGGGCACTCCTCATAGGTAGAAGGAAATATATGGCTGCAGTTCCAAGAGTTTTCAGGATATTTGGTAATCTCATATAAACAATTGAAGTTTTTGCGCACACAAACAAAATAATGTGTAAGAGAATAAGACACAGAAAATATATCCTTTAAAAATTAAATCCATTACATAAGCCCATGTCTGTTATTTTAAGTAATGTTCCTAGTAGAAACACAAATCCCAATGACTTCATTTAACTTACAAGTATAGATTTATCTTTAATAAAATTATCATTGTTTTCTGTTAAAACTGTAACACTAACCTGAAAAATTGCCAAAAATAAATTATAGAACAAAAAAAGAAAACTGTTCCTATTTGTAAATATACATAGCAGAAGATTTCAATAAATGGACAGAAAGACATTCCATGCTCCTTAGATGGAATACAAAGGATAGAAGCAAGCAGTTCAGAGAGGAGGAAACCCAAAAGGCTAACATACTATGGAAGAGATGCTTAAATTCAGTCGTAATCAGAGAAATGCAAATTAATATAAGTAGGAGATATAACTTTAAATTTATCAGACTAGCAAGAAGTAGAATGCTAGATAATGCCAAGTGTTAGCAGCAATATGGGATCACATACTGCAAATGGGAACGTAGACCAGAGCAGTCATTCTGGAAAGCAATGTGCAGTACTTAGTCAAATCAAGTGTATATATAGCCAACAAACCAGCAATTCCAATATTTAGTAATATGTCAAAGAAATGATCAAACAGTTAAAAGTAATGGATTTAATATACATAAAACATCACAGCTGGATCTTTTTAAAAAAAGAGAAAAATGGGACAATTGGATTTTTATAAATAAAAAACGTGTAGGAAAAACAACGATATTTTATAAAGATACTTTTTTAAAAGAAGGGAAATAAATATGAGAGGAATAGAGATAAAAATGGGTAAGTAAATTAAACAACAGAGGGACCATGTGCAGACCAAGCGATGTCTAACTAGGAGAACTTAATTCTCTGTACCTGAGTTCAAAATAACATTATCAAAAATACATAATGACTTTATATTTAAGAATGCAGAGGTCAGGCATGGTGGCTCGCGCCTGTAATCCCAGCACTTTGGGAGGCCGCGGCAGGCGGATCATGAGGTCAGGAGTTTGAGACCAGCCTGGCTAACGTAGTGAAACTCCGTCTCAACTAAAAATACAAAAAATTAGCTGGGTGTGGTGGCATGCATCTGTAATCCCAGCTACTCAGGAGGCTGAGGCAAGAGAATCGCTTGAACCAAGAGGCAGAGTTGCAGTGAGCCAAGATCGCAACACTGCACTCCAGCCCGGGCGACAGTGCAAGACTGTCTCAGAAAAAAAAAAGAATGCAGAAGTAAAAATCCTAAATAAAATATTAACAAAACAAATACAGCAGTGTATCAAAAGAGAAATACTACAGGACCAACTTGATTTCATTAGTTAGTTAAATGAGAAAAAACAACATATTATCTTAGACGCAAAAAATCAATTCACGAAATTCAACATCTACTAGTTTTAACATCTCTTAGAAAACTAGAAACATTTTTAACATGCCACATAGTAATTCTTAGAAAGCAATGATAAATACTACACTTAACAGTTATACAGTTTTCATGTAACTTTAAAATAAACTTTTTTTTTAAGGAAAAACCCTGTAGCATGACCATCATGATACAAAGCTCTAGAGTTAATAGCCAATACTAGAAAAAGACAGGTATAAATACTGGAAAATACTAGAAAAAGAGAGGTATAAATACTGGAAAATACTAGAAAAAGAGAGGTATAAATACCGGAAATATTTCCAGTTGATTTTTTTCTACCTAAATATTTCCAGTTGATTTTTTCCAGTATAAATACTGGAAAATACTAGAAAAAGAGAGGTATAAATACCAGAAATATTTCCAGTTGATTTTTTTCTACCTAAAACATCCAAATATGAGAAAGAAAAATAAAAGAGAGAAATAATAAAGTATTTCTGCAAGGTGACCAAATGACTTTGCACACAGCAGCAGAGCTTTCCCATGTGTTGGAAATAACCAGTTAAGAGATAAAATGGAAAAAAGATCCCACTCACACTAGTAATAAAACCTACAAATTATTTACTTTATTCCTAGGTATTTAAGTATAGGATATCTCTACTTAAGGAATTAAGAAAAATCTTGTTTGAGAAGACTTGAAATGTAAACATCCCAATTATTACCAAGGTAAGCGCAAGCTCAATAAAAATCCCACGTGTGTGTGTGTATACAGAAAATGTGGTATACACTAAATTGTTAATAGAATTTCTCTCTAAACAGTAGGTTTGTAAAAAGGAATGGAGAGAGGCTAGGGTACTTTCTACTTCATATGTCTCTGTATATCCTGTGTTTTTGTATATACATGTATTTTTATTTTAAATAAATCATTTCTTCTAACGTAAAATTTAGACAGTTTCTAAAAATCTAAATTTAACTCAATTCCAAATAAGAACTAAAACTGTTTCTTTTTTGTAAAAAAGTTGATAGTTTCTAGTCAATGATTCATTTTCCAAATCTTTCCTTATTTCACATTATACCAAACTTACAAAAATTTCTTTTTTTTTTTGAGACGGATTCTAGCTCTGTCACCTAGGCTGGAGTGCAGTGGTGAGATTTCGGCTCACTGCAACCTCCACCTCCCAGGTTCAAGTGATTCTCCTTCCTGAGCCTCCTGAGTAGCAGGGACTACAGGCACGTGCCACCAGGCCTGGCTAATTTTTTTGTATTTTTAGTAGAGACAGGGTTTTACCATGTTAGCCAGGATGGTCTCCATCTCCTGAATTCATGATCTGCCTGCCTCGGCCTCCCAAAGTTCTGGGATTACAGGCATGAGCCACCACACCTGGCCAGAAAGACATTTTTTTAAAAGTCAATATAAATAAATTCCTTAACTAGGAAGGACAAGTTTTAGTAAAACAAACTTTTACTAATAACTACCTGAGTTTCAACTATCACAATATTCACTTCCTGCTAAAAATACACAAAATTAAATCGAAATGTCAAAATTTTTATTCAAACAGTCTGAAAACAAAAGACATCACAAAGTAAATACTATAAAATGCTAGATATATGTAAAAATATTCAAGATAAATTAATTCATTTAACCACTAAGTATATTAAATCTTAACCTACAAATTCCTACCTTTATTACAAAAAAAGCCAGTGAATATAACTCAATTTTTCTTGATAACTCGGGAACATATATATTATTTACATATATATTATATATATATATATATAAAATCACTGAACTGTGTTTTACAAAATTCAATGTAGAACTGTGTTCTACAAAAATTCGATGTTCTTTGACAGAGAAAGCACCAAGTGGGAGTTGGGAAATTCCTACTCCTGGTTCTCTCACAAATATATGCAACCTTATTAAAGTTACTTTTCTGAGCAACCTCAGTTCCCTCAACTACAAATTAAAAAGTTTAACATTCTGTGATGATATGGAACTAAAGATGACATGTGGAAAACTGAGGTAAGTACTGATCCCAAGACAGTAAGTATTTTTTTCAAATATTTCTATTTATTTATTTGCATTCTGCTTATTTGTCTCATTTTCATGGGACACTAAGGGTATGCAGTTAAAGTAACATCTTCCAAGGCAGTACTACTTTGGCTAATTTTTTTTAAATTAATTATTAAATCAAAAACAAAATAACCATCTTCCAAAACATTTCCCCTCATCCTATAGAATGATCATCCTCTCCTCTATAATTATCAGTGCACTCTTTTTTTTTTTTTTTTTTTTTTTTTTTTTTTTTTTTTTGTGACAGAGTCTCACTCTGTCGCCCAGGCTGGAGTAAAGTGATGTGATCTGGGCTCACTGCAACCTCCGCCTCCCAGGTTCAAGTGATTCTCCTGCCTCAGCCACCTGAGTAGCTGGGATTACAGGCATGTGCCACCACACCTAGCTAATTTTTGTACTTTA
The DNA here is from genome assembly GCF_000001405.40 of Homo sapiens. Taxonomy (NCBI): domain Eukaryota; kingdom Metazoa; phylum Chordata; class Mammalia; order Primates; family Hominidae; genus Homo; species Homo sapiens. Next base: position 36,948,282 of record NC_000002.12, read on the forward strand.
GTAGAGACGGGTTTCACCATGTTGGCCAGGCTGGTCTCCAACTCCTGACCTCAGGTGATCCGCCCGCCTCGGCCTCTCAAAGTGCTGGGATTACAGGCATGATCCACCGCGTCCAGCCAGTTATCAGTGTATTCAGATCAGCCAAAAGGTATCATCTATTTTTTTTACTTGCATTATTAGCCAAGAAATTTGGACTTCAATGTTAAATTTGGCCTTCTGTTAATTTGGACACAATTTTAACATCATTAACAACATATACCGTGATAGGTGTTGGAGATATTTGTCTTTAAAGGTACAGAGGAAGTTGCCAAAGAGATGAGAGATTGTCTGTGCTGTTGACTGCTATATCCCTAATTCCTAGAACAGTTACTTGCATGTAGTAGACGCTCAATAAATATTTGTTAAATTGACTGAACAGATTTATAAGAAGCAAGTAAAAAACAGTACAAGGTAGCACACCCTAATTGCCAAATGACAAAACAAGTACTAAAAAAGAAACATCAATGAAAGCTGAGGGTATCCAAATATCTTAGTGTTGGAAATGGGACTTGAGCTAAATTTGAATAAAGAATATATAAATCTACAAGGTGGTCGAAGGACATTCCAGAATAAACCTTTTGAGCAATGACAAAAAAAGCAGGTATGATTTATGTACAAAGCAAGATGACACTATTTTGGTTTAGAAAGAGTACAGGCATGTGTTGAACAATGACACTTCAGTCAATGATTAACCATATATACATGATGGTGGTCCCATAACTATAACCATAAGGTTATACCATAATTTGGCTGTACCTTCTCTACGTTTATGGCTTGGATATGTTTAGATACACAAATATTCGTCTTGTGTTACATCTGCCTACAGTATTCCATATAGTAACATGCTATACAGGTTTGCAGCCTAGGAGCAATAGGCTATGCCATATAGCCTAGGTATGTAGCAGGCTATACCATCTAGGGTTGTGTAAGTACACTCTACATGTTCACACAACAATGAAATTGTCTCGTTAGGTATTTCTCAGAACATATCCCTGTTGTTAAGTAATTCATGACTGTGCTCTAATATGTAGGAAATATAAACAGTCTAATCGTGCAGAGATTTAAAACCTATAACAGGCAAAAATAAAAAATAAAAAGAATGTGTTAAACAAATCAATTTTTAGAAGCCTGGGAGGCAATACTATGTAAACTACTTTGGCCAAGGGAGAAACCAGAAGTGAAATATTAGGGAAGACTTCTACTTTAGTCACCCAGATATGAGGTGATGAGGTAACCAGGGAAGAAGTAGTACTAGTAATTAAATGATTAAAAATGGATTTTAAACTACGTATTTTACAAACCTAATGCATGGCTAGAAGAGTGACTATAAGAAAGTGAAAGGTTGAGTGAAAGCTGAGGCTAGGTTTCTAGAAAGGGTAAACTGGGGGCTAGATCTGAGGAAAAGGGTCAACTGGGTTTGGGAAAAGGATTTTAGAAAGGATGATCGAGTTTCAAGTTATAGTAGGTCATCCAGGTGAAGACATTAGCAAAAACTGGACATGTACAATTTTAACTGCAAAAAAGTATCAAGACTAGTTAGAGATAATTTTGTAAATCATCCAAAGAAAAGGAATTAGGTAGAGTGAGAGGACTTCAGTCAGAGTAACTGCTGAAAAAAATATATAATTTGGTAATCAATTATCTGAATAGAGATCAGAAGCAAGATCACAAGAGACTGAGAAATGAGTAACCAAAAGCAGAAAAAGAGAAAGACAACAAAGGAACAGAGAGAGAGATGAGACTAGTAAAAAAAACTGAAGGTAGTAAATGTGGTCGTTCAGAGAAATTCAGAGTAAAATGAAGGAGAATGAGGGACAGGATGGCAATACTAATAGATAAGGGAGCTGAGAAAGGGGTTTCTTTTGTTGTTACTGGTTGGTTGGTTTGGTTTTGTTTTTTTTTTTTTTTTTTTTGAGACTGAGTCTCACTCTATCACCCAGACTGGAGTGCAGTGGCTTGATCTCGGCTCACCGCAACCTCCGTCTCTCAAGTTCAAGTGATTCTCCTGCCTCAGCCTCCTGAGTAGCTGGGATTACAGGCACGCGCCATCACGCCCAGCTAATGTTTGTATTTTTAGTAGAGATGAGGTTTCACCATGTTGGCCAGGCTGGTCTCGAACTCCTGACCTCAGGTGATCCACCCGCCTTGGCCTCCCAAAGTGCTAGGATTACAGGCGTAGTTTTTACTTAGGGAAAACTAAAATGGCATGGCAAAGTGGAGATGACCATTGGCATAATGGACTCAAGTCTGTCCAAGGTTAAGAATTACTGCTTGATTATATGCCCCATGTGAGCCAAGACCATATCTGCCTCTTCTCCATGGTATCCCCAGTGCCTAGGAGAATGCCAGATTTCAGGAAGTGTCTAATGCCCCAACCAAAAACCTTGATGAAAAAGCGTAGAATTTTTTAAATTCCACAATGACACATTTTACATGAAGCTTTGACAACTCCGGAACTTGCATATTTTAGCCTTTTTGTGTTTATTCTCACTTACTTGGCTAGCTATAAGCATCTGAAAAGCTAAATCTAAATTTTTTGAGGGGAAGCAGGCTCAGAGACAAGATTACAGTGTTTCAGTGTAAGTTCCAGATAATTGAGGCATTTATATTATTTATTTTAAAAAGCAGAGTTCAAAAAAGTTTAAATATCATAAGATATTGGTAATGTAACATAAAATCAGAAAAGGAGAATGCAAAGTAATGATAACTAGATATTTAAAATAAGATTTATCTACAAGAAAAAATATTCAATTAGTTCTCAATTTAGAAGGAATAAGACACTTGTAAAAAACTTGAAGGCATAGGCTTTAGAAAAGGAAAAAAATGTTACAGGGCCCTACTGATAACAAAAACTTTTTAGGATGTTATGTCAAAGAGATTTCCTGGCAGTCAGTGATTAACACACAAGGCGGGGTGGAAGGAGACAACACTATACTCACAACTACCAAAACCCAAGTGCAATTTGCTACAACTAGCATCAAGTAGCAATTATGAAGCCTGTGGCATCCCTGAAATGACCTCTGTCAAAATGATTTGGTATGGCCCAGGCAATGCTTTATACAATAAAATGCAGACACTATTTGCTGCACTAAAAAGCTCTTTCCAGTGGAAGTTGTAAGGCAGAACTAGCAAGCAGCAAAAGGGACAGATACACTGCTCGCCTAAAACCAAAATATACTGTACATTCACTAAATTTATGACAAACATGGTAAATATCAAAGATGTCTGAAACACAGGTCCTGCCCTTAAGGACACAATTTAGCTGACAGACAAGATATACATATATAGACACATGTTAATACATATTGAGTAACAGTGTAACCTAATATATGATTCATTCATTTAAGAACCACTTGTTAGGCAGCTACTATGTGCCAGTCACTCTACTGACCTTAGAGAAATAAAAATGCCCTTAGGTGACTCAGAGTCTACTGAGGAAACAAATATATACCAAGTATGAGATAGGACGGGTTCTCAACCCCTGGGCCACTGACCGATATGGGTCCATGGCCTGTTAGGAACTGGGTGGCATAGCAGGAGGTGAGCAGCAGGCAAGCCAGCATTACCCGCTGAGCTCCGCTTCCTGTCAGATCAGAGGCAACGCTGATTCTCATAGGAGCACGGATCCTACTGTGAACAGCCCATGCGAAGGATCTAGGTTGTGCGGCACTCCCAAGAATCTAACGCCTGATGATGTGAGGTGGAACAATTTCGTCCCGAAAATACACACGCACGCACACACACACACAATTGTGGCTTATTCAAGAATGACAATACAAAACTCGAATTAGCATTCTAAGAAACAAAAATGTGAAGGGTGGGTAGGCCTGTCTTACATTGGGAAAGGACTATATACATCTATATACTATTAACCTGAAACAAATTTTTTAAGATACCATTTTAACATCTTTTCGGATTAACTGATCAACCACCAGTCTGGATGGTGCTGGATAACAATGCTTCTGCTTTGTAATACAAGCTGTTAGGGAAGCACGAAGCTTCCTTGTGCCTGGAAGTCAGACAGGTTTCCCAGAATTAATGGAATCTTGAAAGATGATTAGAAATTCACCAGGCAAACAAGGGAGAAGAAAACATTTCAGCCCTGCACAGTGACCCTGAAGCACGAGAGAAAAAAAAAAAAAAAAAAGCCAAAATATTTGCTTCTACTTACCATGCCCAGACCCATCACTCAGCCTTTTTCTACAGCAAATTATTTAACCTTTCTTCCCAAATTTCTCACCTATGCATTTGGGAATGATTAATATCTACCACATACAGTTTTACAAGGATTAAAATAGATTGTAGATATAAAGCACTTAGCATTGTACCTGGCACACAGAAAATGCTCAATAAATGAAACTATTATTAATGTTGGCAGATAAAGAACAGAAAGAAGAAACAAAAGATAAAGTACTGGGTTGAATTACTAGGGCCATGGATACCTTCTCCCCTGGCTGACTCTACTTTTCAAGTTCAGCAAGTGCGCTGACCCAGATCACAGGCTCCTCCCTGTTCCCTCCTTTCAGCTTTACACCAATCCACATTCCTCAGGGAGCAGGTTTTGGTTGTGCCTATAATTTAAGCTCTTTTGCTCAATGGTTAACCTTCTCATTTAGGAAGTATAAACAAAAAAGGAACAAATCCCAGAATGGGCTGTAATTTTCCATCAGGTGAAACTGGCATCACCGTTGTGGAATTTGACATGGTGTTTATTTCTCATAACTAGATATACCAGTATTGGATCTGATTTCTCTCACATTCAAATGAATGCTAATGAAACCTGTGTGTTCAGTAATGAAACATTCCCCCGGCCCTTTCCTTGAATCTTTCTGGTGAGTGATGCATATTTGCCACACCCAAAATACCTATTTCACCCAACCTTATTCAATACTTCCCCAGCTCACCTTAATTCCAGGGTTCCTATTCCCTTATTTTTCTCTCCATCTCATCTACAAAACAAAATACCTACTACTTTTGTCTTCTGCCATACTGCTTCCAGTCAATTCTGTAACAAATTTTCCTTCTTCCATATCAATGTTTTCTAATATTCTAATATTCCATTATCTTATACAGATAAGGTCCTTTTTTTTTTTTTTTTTGGAAATGCAGTCTTGCTCTGTCACCCAGGCTGGAGTGCAGTGGCACAATCTCAGCTCACTGCAAGCTCCGCCTCCCAGGTTCACACCATTCTCCTGCCTCAGCCTCCCAAGTAGCTGGGACTACAGGCACCCGCCACCACACCAGGCTAATTTTTTGTACTTTTAGTAGAGACAGGGTTTCACCATGTTAGCCAGGATGGTCTCGATCTCCTGACCTCATGATCCAACCACCTCGGCCTCCCAAAGTGCTGGGATTACAGGCGTGAGCCACCGTGCCAGGCCAAGGTACTTTAAGAAAAAACAGCATTAAGTCTACCAAGAAAGTGATCTTATTTTGTCAAATAACTTTCTGCATAAGAGCAAATACACAGTTAACATATTATTCTGTTCTAACATAGCATATGTAAAACAGCCTAAAAATAGACTAATAATCAGATGTAGTGGGTCAAGACTGTAATCCCAGCTACTCTGGAGGCTGATGCAGGAGGATCAACTGAGCCCAGGAGTGTGAGGCTGCAGTGAACTATGATCATGCCTATGAATAGTCACTGCACTCCAGCCTGGGCAGAATAGAAGAGAGACACAGTCTCTTTAAAATAAAAATTAAAAATAAACTAAAAATCAAATTTTTAGGTTAACCAAATAACATAAAAATTAAAAATAACCTAAAAATCAAATCAAAGTGCTTGATCTTTGCTATATCAAAGATCACAATATTTGATATGTGATCAATAAACAAACTATATTAAAATATATATACAGAACTTAGTTAAGCTACCCTCAGAGCAAGCTAAAAAAGCTCCAAATTTGGCCAGGCGTGGTGGCTCACACCTATAATCCCAGCACTGTGGGAGGCTGAGGCAGATGGATCACTTGAGGCCAGGAGTTCAAGACCAGCCTGGCCAATATGGCAAAACCCTGTCTCTACTAAAAATACAAAAAATTAATTAGGTGTGGTGATGGGTGCCTGTAATCCCAACTACTTGGGAGGCTGAGGCAGGAGAATTGTTTGAACCCAGTAGGCAGAGGTTGCAGTGAGTTGAGATTACACCATTGTACTCCAGCCTGGGCGACAGAGTAAAGCCCTGTCTCAAACAGGGGAAAAAAAAAAAAAAAAAGAGCTCCAAATTTGCAGATTTTTTTAAGATGAAATAAGGATTTTATTTCAGTATTCCCCACAAAAAAATAAAAGTATTTAAGGAAATGAGAGAACCACTTTTTTTTTTTTTTAGATGGAGTTTCACTCTTGTTGCCCAAGCTGGAGTGGAGTGAAATGGCGTGATCTCGGCTCACTGCAACCTCTGCCTCCTGGGTTCAAGCGATTCTCCCTGCCTCAGCCTCCCAAATAACTGGGATTGCAGGCATGTGCCACAACGCCCAGCTAATTTTTTGTATTTTTAGTAGAAACGGGGTTTCACCATGTTAGCTGGGCTGGTCTCAAACTCCTGACTTCAGGCAGTCCGCCAGCCTCAGCCTCCCAAAGTGCTAGGATTAAAGGCATAAGCCACCATGCCCAGTCCAAGAACTACACTGTTAAACACTTCTGAGAAACACAAATTGTTAAAGACTTTCCTGAACCTCTTACTATACCGTTTCACTAAATTATTCTACTCGAAGAAAAACTTCAAATAATCAGTGATAAGAATTTAAATTATGACAGCTATTCAAACCATACTTAATCATCTAAATATTAAAATTCACTTGGCTCCTTCAGGTCAGAAGCAGCTACACAGAGTGAGGGACCAAAAAAAGGAGAGGATATGGTATAGAGAGCAATGCCCTGGCCTGGGTACTAGGACTCATGGGTTCTAAACTAGACTAAACCAATTCACACAGTGACCTGAGAAAAGTCACTTCCTTTCTCTAGCCCTAATTGATGAAACGGGGGATGAGATTACTTAAATTCTAAGGTCCCTCTGAGGTAAAATATTCTTAGTCTAATGAAGAAAGAAAATCGAGAGGGAGGAGGGCAGTGCACATGTGTGCATATGTGCATATGCATGCGTGTGTATCCCTGTCAGCCCTAGAATTCTAGAATTATAAGTGCCGAAATGAAAAATACAGATAAGACATCTTTGTAGAGTTAAGAACAGGTTAATGTGTGCAGTTTCTCCTCTGCCTCTGCTCTTTCCACCCCTCTCCTCCCTTCTTCTGTCTCTTCTCCCCTTCTAACCCCTTCCTCAATTTCTCTCTTGCCTCAAGCGTCCTTTCTGAACTCCAAATCTGCCTCGATTACTACGTCCAGTCCTTAATATCTACAAGCTATCACCACTTACTTCTGCCATCTCTAGCCTGTCCCCTACCTCCAACACACAACTCACTGTCCTCAAACCACTACAGATTGAGTACCGCTTATATGAAATGCTCGGGACCAGAAGTGTTTTAGATTTCAGATTTTGGAATATTTGCATATACCTAATGAGATATCTTGGGGATGAGACCCAAGTCTAAACACAAAATTCATTTATGTTTCATATATACCCTATACACACAGTTTAAACGTAATTTTACTTTTCCCTATGGGATACTAAATAAACTCTGTTGAAAAAGCACCTGCTTTTTCACTGCAACCTGCCACACGAGGTCAGGTATGGATTTTTCCACTTGTGACATCATGTCAGCACTCAAAAAGATTTAGATTTTGAAGCATTTTGAATTTGGGGTTTTTGGATTAGGGATGCTCAACCTGTACTTACAGGACAAAGAGAATGTAAGTAGCTACTATGATAAACGGATCACTGAAACTGGTTCTTGGCTTCTACAATAGGACTTATATAAATAATAAATCTAATGCCTTCTGTCCATAGAAATCTCAACCAACAAAAAAGCAAACCACTTACTGGACACCCATCATATATCACATATTTTGCATATTTATCTTTTTTAAACCTTACAGCGATCCTGCTTAGTAGGGATATTATCACCCACATTTACAAAAATGAGGCCTAGAAAAATTGTAAAATGAAAGTGATAGAGATGTCTGACTCTGAGGCCCATACTTTCAACTGTCCAATTATGATGGTCAACAGATTGTTTTGTCAGATTGGCCACCGAGGCAAGAAACGCCAAAGATCCAAGGACAATTTTATTTCTAATGGCCCAGAATTGAAACCTGGATGCTACACACATTAGCAAATCAAAAGTATAGCTGACATCAAGGAGATAGCAGGTGGGCAAAGGGGACTCTATCCAGATTATCTGAACTTTCAAACACCTTTCATTGACTGCATAGCAAAGGGTTTTGTTTGTTTTAAACTCTGCTTCAGTTATCAAGATTTTGGAGAAAAACTGTAGGTCTCCCTTTACCATTCAAAGAAAAGTAGATTTGAAATAAAGTTCAGGACTAAATAGGCACATCTCTTGATAAAGAAGTGCTGTCTGTCAACATTATTTCTCCCCCAAAAATTAGTAGGGCCATTCTTATTTGTCAGATTTTGAAAGTAAAATAAGAGAATTCAGTTTCCAGTTATGGTGCCCCACAACAATTCTTCTACTGAACGCAGCCAAAAATTCTGGACAAAATATTTTCACAATTTTCTTAAAAGCAACACAAAAATAGGAAGGAATTATCTGGCCAAAATAAAAGGGAAAATGGGAACCCAGTGAGGTAAAGGAACAAAAAGCCATTTTTGCCCTTAGGATATTGACCAATCACAACAAACAGCCTTGCAGGACTCAAGGAGCAAAAATCAAACACCCTACCCCTCCAGAGTGGACAGTCTAATAGGTGATATACCTCACATTTAGCTAGATCCCTAAAGGGCTTATGTCTTCAAAGCAAAGACAAAACAGAAGTATATTGGCCCTCAAATGTATTCACAACCAAAATTCACATCAGCTGGGTGGCCCAAACATCTTAAGTAATGCATTTACTTTAAAGTGATTCCAGGCCTGGCAGTGGCTCACGTCTGTAATTCCAGCACTTTGGGAGGCGGAGGCGGGCAGATCACTTGAGGCCAGGGGTTCAAGACAAGCCTGGCCAACATGGCAAAACCTCGTCTCTACTAAAAATACAAAAATTAGCCAGGCGTGGTGGTGCACACCTATAGTCCCAGCCACTCCGGAGGCTGAGGCACAAGAATCGCTGGAACCTGGAAGGCAGAGGTTGCAGTAAGCCAAGATCACACCACTGCACTCCAGCCTGGGTGACAGTAAGACCATCTCAAAAAATAAAAATAAAAAATAAAGTGGCCCCAGACTGGTAATAACTCTAGACATCTACCAGAAGGAAATGTAAAAAACAAAAAACAAACAAAAAAAAACCTTTCTGAAGAAGATACCTTTATTTGAGAGCTCAGATTAGTCTCATAGTTCTTCTTTTTGTCTTTTTTTTTTTTTTTTTTTTTTTTTTTTGAGGTGGAGTCTCTGTTGCCCAGGCTGGATTGCAGTGGTGCAATCTCGGCTCACTGCAACCTCTGCCTCCCAGGTTCAGGTGATTCTCCTGCCTCAGCCCCCCGAGTAGCTGGGATTACAGGCGCCCATCACGACGCCCAGCTAATTTTTTTTTTTTTTTTTTTTTTGAGACAGTCTCACTCTGTTGCCCAGGCTGGAGTACAGTGGCGCGATCTTGGCTCACTGCAAGCTCCGCCTCCTGGGTTCAAGTGATTCTCCTGCCTCAGCCTCCTGAGAAACTGGGATTACAAGCATGTGCCAACACACCTGGCTAATTTTTATATTTTTAGTAGAGACGGGGTTTCACCATGTTGGCCAAGCTGGTCTTGAACTCCGGACCTCAGGTGATCTGCCCGCCTCAGCCTCCCAAAGTGCTGGTATTACAAGCATGAGCCACCGTGCCTGTCTAGTCTCACAGTTTTTCAAGGACAGCAGGCGGCACACAAAGGTAAACTAAGGATACAAGGGAACACGTCGTCATGAACAAGAACCAGCAGAGACAACAGACCACACAAAGGCACCTCTAAGACCTCAGATAAAGGAAACGCAAAGACACTAACTAAAAAATAACTACTTACTATGTTTAAAGAATTAAAGATGACACTGAAAATACCTGCAGAGAACAGAACAATATTTTTTTAAGAAATGACCGAGCAGATTTGAAAAGAAACCAAAATGAACTTCAACAATAACCAAAACTAAAAATTCAGTGGATGGTTTTAACAAATCAGACTCAACTGAAGAGAAAATTAATGGAGTGGAAGATATGTCATTCACAGACTGGAAAATAAGTCAGAATAAATTATCGAGAATAAAGCATGGAGAGATAAAAAGATGGAAAATACAGAGCAGATAATGGAGAAGCCCTAAGATCATGTAATCAAAAACCCAAAAGGAGAAGAAAGGAAAATGCAATCGAGGACAAACCTAACAAGATAGCAACTGAGAAATCTGCAGAACTAATGAGAAGCCAATCCACAAATTCAAGGAGTCTAATGAAGTCCCAAACAAAATAAAAAGAAATATAGGCTGGGTGTGGTAGCTCACGCCTCTAATCCCAACACTTGGGAGGCTGAGGCGGGCGGATCACGAGGTCAGATAGAGACCATCCTAGCTGACACAGTGAAACCCCATCTCTACCAAAAATACAAAAAATTAGCAGGGCATGGTGGCGGGCGTCTGTAGTCCCAGCTACTCGGGAGGCTGAGGCAGGAGAATTGCTTGAACCCAGGAGGCGGAGGTTGCAGTGAGCCGAGATTGTGCCACTGCACTCCAGCCTGGGCGACACAGCTAGACTCCATCTCAAAAAAAGAAAAAGAAATCTATACTGTGACACATCATAATGAAACTACATAACACCAAAGACAGAGAAAATCTTAAATGCAACCAATAAAATAAGCTAGAAAGCAGTAAAACACAGTAAAATCTTTATGCCTGTTATCTAAAAAAAATAAATAAATAAGCATCAGTGTGGCTCTGCTTACCTCAGAAGGTTGTACAGTTTAAATGGTACAGTGTATCTGAAAGGGCTTTAAAGAAAACTGTAAAGAGTGCTGGCTGTAGCAGTACATATACTCAAATTGGAATGATACAGATGATTAGCCTGGCCCCTAGACAAAAAATATGAAAAAATAAAACTGTAAAGATATCTGGAGATGTAAGTGACAGCTTGTACAAAACCTATTTCATTCTTGGTCATTCAGCCTCCCTCTGAACCTCACTTTACCTAACTGAGCTGATTATTTCCAAAGTTCATTCCAGCTCAAAGATTACTCTGTCATTACATCTCAGTCAGAAGGAGGTGATTCAAATTATAATATTCTACTGCCTAAAAATAAAATGCTATCATCAGAAAGAACAATGGAAAAAGAAATTATATCCCAAATTCTATAAAAAGCCATCCATATAGGGAATACTAATAAAAGTGTTGAAATCACCAAACTTTTATAGATAATGTAAAAACAGAAAAAAACAACTAAAGCAGTGGTTCTCAATCCTTGCTGTATACTGGGGAGCTCAAAAAATACTAATGCTAGGGGTCCTCATTCCTAAGATTCTGATTTAATTGATCTGGGGTAGAGTCCAGGGAATTAGTATTCATTCCCTCTGATTATTCTAAGATTATAGCTAAGGTTGAGAAACACTGAACTGAAGAGACAAATAATAGGATACGTTTTAAAAGATTAAAGCCTCTATAACCTTTCTAAAATATAAAGATTATGAAATTATCAAGAATATGAGTAGAATGAAAAATGAACCTGCTGACAAAATTATACCATATGACAATGGAGTTCACCTGCTCCACATGTAAAGGAAGTGGCTTAAAGAGCCAAATAAAATGTAGGATTCATTTCATAATGTGGTTAGTAAATTTACACAATTTGTTACCCATGATGTAATGCAAAGTTAAGATAAACACATTCAGAAAAGTTTATATGAATTTCAAGGTAACAGATACCTACTGGGTTATTAAAAGGAAAGCAAATACACTTGAAGTATATCCTCAATGTTCTGAGGCTGACACTGAAGGCAACCATTCACTCCCATTAAATATCTCTTAGTGCCTGGGTCAGACCCAGAATATTACACTGCATGGCCTCAGGATGGCACTTGTATGCTCCAGCCTCAGAAAAGTTCATGACTGAAGATTATGCTTTTCTCTGGGGATGAGGAGATAACCGAGAGCAAAAGTTTAGCATCATGCATCTGCAACCATTTATTAAGCACTTACTTTATCTTATGTACCATGCCTCTGCTAAGTACTTTAAATTATCTTAATTTAATTCTCACAAGGTAATTTATTATCCTTAACTTACACATGAGAAAACTAAGGCTCTGAGAGATCAGAATTACGGCAAATATGTATTTTAGGCGTAAAATACAATAGTAAGTTTTAAAGCAAGAATTTTAAACCCAGGTCTCTGCCATATTGCCTTTTGTGATAATTATAAATAATAGTCACAATAATAAAGACAAACTCATTTTAAGTATTTATGTTTTCCATTAAAAAGCTCAGTAAATCTTCTCAGCTGTCCTATGAGGCTGCTCATTCTCTCTATATCCATGTATTTTTGTTTGTTTGTTTGTTTGATTGATTTGTTCTGAGACAGGGCCTCACTCTGGCACCCAGGCTAGAGTGCAGGGGCATGATCATAACGCAGTGCAGCCTTGATCTCCAGGGCTCAAGCAATCCTCCCATCTCAGCCTCACGAGTAGCTGGGACCACAGACGCATGCCAACGCACCCAGCTAACTTTGTGAATTTTTTGTAGAGATGGGGCTTCACCATGTTGCCCAGGCTGCACTTTTTTTTTTTTTTTTTTTTTTTTTTTCTGAGACAGGGTCTCCTTCTGTCGCCCAGGCTGGAGTGCAGTGGAGTGATCATGACTCACTGCAGCTTCAACCTCCCAGGCCCAAGCAATCCTCCCACCTCAGCCTCCCAAGTAGCTGGGACTAACCCGGCTAATTAAAAAAATTTTTTTTTCTGGAGATGGGGTTTTGCCATGTTGCCCAGGCTAGTCTTGAACTCCTAGACTCAAGTGATCCTCCTGCCTCAGCCTCAATCCCAAAAGTACTGGGATTACAGGATTACAGGTTTTGAGCCACTGCACCTGGCCCTCTAAAAACTGTTAAGTCATCTTTGACTCCCCTTTTTCTCAAACCCCACATTCTATCCTTTAGCACATCTTGTTGGCTCTACCTTTAAAAATGTATTCAGAATCCTGTATTTTGAATACGTATCAAATACATATTCACATATCTTATCACTACCACCTTAGTTCATCTTCTGCCTGGATTTATTAAAGTAGCCTCCTAACTAGTCCCCCTGCTGCTTCTACTTGTTTTCCCTCCAAGTCTGTTCTGAATCCTTACAAGGGGTCCCTTTTAAAGATGGTGTCACTCTTTTGCTTAAAACATTCCGACGGCTGCTCAGCTTGCTGAGGTATAAGGCCAAAGTCCTTACAATGGGCAAGACCCTGTCTGACATGACTTCTTCCATTAGTACCTGTTTGACATGACTTCTTCCATTCTCTTCCTCTACTCTAGCCACTTTTCCCTCCTTGATATTCCTTAAATATTCCAAGCGTGCTCCCTTCCCCCAGCTGTTCCTTCTGTGTAGAAAGCTCTTTCCTCACCTTAGAGATCACCTTTTCAGGTCTTAGCTCGAATGGCATCTTATCAGTGAATCCTTTCTTCCCCATTCCACCCTCTCAAATCCTCTTATTTTCTTTCCCAACATTCTATGTATTTATTTATCACTGTCTGCCTGCCTCAACAATTTAAGCTTCATAAGGGCAAGATCTGTATTTTTGCTGTTGTATCTCCGGTATCTAGAACAAGGTCTGGCATGAAGTAGATGCTTGAAAAATATTTGGGGAGTGAAAATACAAATTATTAATGCCAAAACCCAGAAAATACAAGTTATTAATGCCAAAACTCTAGCATACAGCCTCCACACCACATGCCCTAAGCTACTCAATCTTGCCACCTTTTTCATACAACTCTAACACTTACAGGTAAATATCAGGGCCTCTCCTACACCACACACCACACACATATCAAAATCTAGGGCCAACATTTTTTATTTTTTATTTACATGCCTGCTTTCTCATAAGTCAGTAATTTTCAAATACTGAGCCTTAGGTTCTCATGAACTCATAAAGTTCTTTACTCCTGCTATTCTCCCCATTCACTGCTGGCTCTTCTCTCCTTCACTATTCTTTTTTTTTTTCTTAAGATGGAGTCTCATTCTGTCGCCAGGCTGGAGTGCAGTGGCACGATCTCAGCTCACTGCAACCTCCGCCTCCCAGGTTCAAGCGATTCTCCTGCCTCAGCCTCCAGCACACACCACCATGCTCAGCTAATTTTTGTATTTTTAGCAGAGACAAGGTTTCACCATGTTGGCCAGGACGGTCTCGATATCTTGACCTCACGATCCGCCTGCCTTGGCCTCCCAAAGTGCTGGGGATTACAGGTGTGAGCCACCGCGCCCGGCCTCTCCTTCACTATTCTAAAGAAATTAGCCTTCTCCCCAAATGATAAACACTCTGATTCTTCTACAAGTTATATCGTACTAATAACTAGACTGCATGTTTCTTTGAGGTCATCTAGCACAATGCCTCACATACAGAAATTTTTCTCAAATATTATTAGTATTCCTTCTCCAATTCCTTTCACAAATGTAAAGCTCACTAATAATCTTAATCATTCTTTTTTTCCCCCCATGAACTACTGCCTAATCTCAACTGGATGTGAGGAGGGGAGCATTACCAAAAATAAAAAGAGAATTTATCAAATAAGATGAGCAAGAGTGAAATAAGTGACAAATAAATAGGTTTTTGCTATAACGTGGCCCTTTCCTTACTCCCAAGATCTGAAGGAGGGAGGAAGCAGTAAAGGCAGGCCAGGCAGATGAGAGCTTGGATTGCCTTTCACAAGTCTTCCCTGGCAACCTGAAAGAGCAGGACTGACAGGTTCTTGAAGAGGCAAATTTGACTTCATCTTAAAGGTATTTGTGTTGACTCTGGTGTTAATGGCTTAGGAAGAGATTTAAAAATTAAAAGGAGGACACCAACTGAGCCGTATTTCATCACAACGCATTCAACTATTTTACTTCCTATTGTGTTTCTAAGAAAATTCCAGTAGCAAAAGAAAAATAAAGAAGATTCAAATGTAACGATGGTAATAATTTTTTTTCCAATTACACTAATAAGGGGGGACAAAGACCAGAGATTACTGCAAACTCTTCCCCCCAAAATATATCATATTCATCCTGTTAGGAAAATGACACATTTTTAAAGTTTCTCTGTGGAAACTTTAATTGGAACACAAAACAGAAAATGCTGTCAAAAAAGTAGTGTCCTTGGCCGGGCACAGTGGCTCACGCCTGTAATACCAGCACTTTGGGAGGCTGAGGCAGGCAGATCACTGAGGTCAGTAGTTCAAGACCAACCTGGCCAACATTGTGAAACCCCGTCTCTACCAAAAATACAAAAATAAGCCAGGCATGGTGGTGCATGACTGTAATCCCAGCTACTTGGGAGGCTGAGGCAGAAGGATTGCTTAAACTTGGGAGGCTGAGGCAGAAGGATTGCTTAAACCTGGGAGGCGGAGGTTGCAGTGAGCTAAGACTGCACCACTGCACACCGGCCTGGGCAACAGAGCGAGACCCTCTCTCCAATAAAAGGAAAAAAAAAAAGGAGTCTCTTTAATATGATAAGCACCCATGGGAAAGCTACCTGAAGTTAATAAACATTTGCCACAAACAACCCAGGAAGGGGTGTTTGGAGATGTGTGCATAAAAACTGAAGATCAACTACAGTTACCAGTAAATTGAAAAGTTTAAACGAGGAGAGGGAGTGAACGGGGCGGGGCGGGGGGAAGGATGGGTTGGAATTCCCCAACTTCTACAGGTAGAAAGGTAAGCATTGTTTTCTGGTGTGTGTGTGTGTTTTGTTTTTGTTTTTTTTTTTTTAACCAAATTAGTGTGAGTTATCTATATTCCCAAAACTGGAAAAGAAATTAAATTTTAAGTAACTAATACAAAAATCATTCCCCACAACTGCACAACATTAAAGTTAAACTTTGCCTTTAACATTTCCTTGAATCCTGAAATCCACACCTTTTATAGAATGCGCTGCTAATAAAGATCAATCTGTAAGTATTCAAATTTGTTGGAGACTATATAAACAAGGTCAAAGAAGACTTGCAAATATCAGATAGACTAGATCGACTAAATACTACAGCAATATAACAATAGGAATGAAAAAGTTGCCAAATAATATAAACATGTAACTACAGACTTACAAGGAAATCATAGAAACTACTGGTCACTCCCTAACTTCATTCAGCTGCTCATTTGTCATCTCTCAGAGGCCTACCCTGACTACCCCATCTAAAATAGCTGCCCCTATCACACGCTATTCCTGAACTCTGACTTATTTCTTCCTCACAGCAGTTGCCACTATAAGCCATTATATTCTATAGGCGCATTTGCTGGACTGTTTGCCTCTCCACTAAAACATAAACTCCATGAGGGCAGAAGCTTGGTCGGTTTTCTTTCAACACAGGGCCTAGACACACAGCTGGCACTCAATACACAGGTGCTGAATAAAATACATGATAAAACTGAAACCCAGAGAGGTTAAAGGATTTCCTCAAGGTCACAGAGCTAGCAACAAACACAGCCCTTACTATAACCTTGTCTACTACAGCCTTGTGTGTTCGCTCTTTCCACAGCCACTTCCACTACACCAGAGCCTGTTCCAGCACATGATTCTATTTAACAGATTTCTCCTCTTCTTTTTTTTCTTAAGCGCCAAATACATGTTACCAAAAAAAGTGACACACTGGGTAGCATTTTAAACTCAAGTGTTTTGCCAACTAAAACTATACTCAAATTTCATAAGTATACAGGCTTAGCCCGTAAAACAGAAAGGCACAACTATTCATAGTTCTTTAAGTTCCTTTTGAAATTGGTGTGTATGCCCTGGAAGTTTTAAGAACAACCACTGAAAACCTATTCACCAATTCTGAATGGCTTGTAAAGTATCAGCCTCACTTTCATTCTTTTCAGAGCCCACAGTTATCTCCTCCCTGGATATACTTTATCTTGCAGATTATGCAAGGCAATGTAACTAACTTCAAAGTCCCTTTAGTTCCTTTTAAAGCACAAGAAAATCTCCCAAAACACTGAACATAAAATTAACCCTTGGGAAGTTTCAGATTCTGAGAACAGGAACCACCTCTTAACCATTCTCTCTGACTGCGATCATCTAGGTCCTTCATTCAAAATGCATTAATTGGAAATACCTAAAAGAAACGTGGGAGGGGGCCGGGGGGTCGGAAGAAAGTGGAGAACAGACATTTACATATATAAAAAAAGGGATCTGATATATGAATAACACTTTTGCCCAACGTCAACTTCTCGCCTCGACTCAAGGCCTGACACAACTTCTGTTGTCTTCTTGATCACCTTCCTTGAAGAGAGGGGCCAAAGCCGGCACGTTCTGCGGAGACTGTCTCTAGACCTAGGAAGGGGCACACCAGGGCAGCGGACGATTTGCTCCGCGTCTCTCAAAACTACTGCCAGCCCAATTAGTAAACCGAGAGGGCAGCCCTGAGATGCAGGATGGCCAGAGAGTTGAAATGAGTCTGGGAGTTAAGAGTGGGATGGGGCGGACGAACAGGCGTGGGGAGGGTAAACAACGCACCAGGAGCGGGAGTGAGAACAGGGTCGAGGTGGGGTCAGCGAAAGGCAAAAGGCGAAGAGAAGAAGGGGACGGGGCTCCGGGTGGGATGGGCGGCAGCAAAGGGGGAGGGGACGCGAGAAGGCTGGGGGAGGGGGAGAAGGGTCCGGGGCGGGGCGGAAGGGAGCAAAGAGGCGGGATGAAGACGGCCAGGCCGGGAGGGTCTTTACCTGCAGCTCCGCCCGCTCCACCTCCCACTGGGCTCTCTCCACCTCGAAGCGGGCCCACTCGTGCTGCAGGAAGTGCAGGATCCCCGGGAGACTGTACTGGGCTCGGGCCGCCCCCGCCGCAGCCGCCCCGTCGCCGGCCGCGGCAGCCTCCGCCAGAGGCCCGAGCCCCTTGGCACCGCCGGCGCCCGGGTGGTTGTTGCTGAAGAAGACGCCGGGACCCGCCTGCTCGTCCATGGCGGCCGCAGATACCCGGGGAGCTGCCCCGGCGCCCAGCAGCGGAGGCAACAGCGGCGGCAAGCAGCGCCTCCTCCTCCCTCCGCCGCTCCCGCCCACACCCCAGTCAGCAGGGAGCAGCCTCCTGGGCGCGGGGGCCGGCCGAGCCCGTGACGGGCCGGGAAATGGGTCAACTGCGGCGCGCTGGCGGCCCGGGGCTTGCCGGGAAATGTAGTCGCGGGGCGGGGCGCGGGCTAGCGCGGCCCGGGCGGCCTGTAGGGCTGTGCCTCAGCTTGGGCGTGGCCTCGGGCCCGCCCCGCCCCGGCTCGCCGCGTAGGGGGCCGGCTGGGCGGGGAGAGCGGGTTTCCTCTGGGGCCGGCTGGGCGCGGGCGGGCGGGTCTCCAGTCTTCCTCGCACGCGGAAGTTCGCGGGCGGCGCACCCTGTTGCATTCAAAAACACACACACACACACACACACACACACACGGAAGTTGTCACGCCAAGATACCTGCCCGAGCTGCACATCTTTTAAGGCTTCCTGGCCGTTCTGTGAAGGAACAGGCTCAAAGCGAGCTACCCGGTGCGGCCGCGGGACCGGGGTTCTCCCGCCAGCTGCCCTGCGTGCTCTCGCTTCGGCTTCGTGTTCGGAGTTTCTCTCACCCTAGACGCTCCTCCATTCTGCCAATCTGCGGGTCGCTGTCGCTCTTGCCTTTCTCTTTTGACTCGAGGGGCTCAAACCTGTTACCTGACCAGTTTTCATTTCTAAGGAACGCCGATCACCTTTCTAAGACAACGCCGCAGCTTTCTGCTGCTGCTTCCAAATTGTGGTTTGTTGACAGCCCATCTGAAAAACTGCTCCGTTGAAGTTTCTTTCCCTTTGCAGTCCTCCTGCAGTAAATCCTGTAAAAGTTTTAGCATCCAATAATAGATGTTCTGTTATTTCGGTCTCATTTTTCCTATCTTATTCCCGCTGATTTTTACTCTACTTAATTGAACAAATATTTTGATTATCGGTTTTCTCTTGCGCTGGGAATATTAAGATAAATGACATCGTTTCTGTCATCAAAGATTGGCGTATAATCAAATATCACAAAGGCTTAATTTAAAAGCTACACCACCTTGAAAAAGCAAGTTCCCTTTCTGCTCCCTAGCGCGGTCTTAGATATCCTGGCCCCTCTCCGTTTTCACTTGTCCTGTTCCCAGTTTCTTTCACGATTCACCTGCCAACTGGCAACAGCATCCGCCTACCAAAGGTACACCAAAGTCCTTTCAAGTTACTCTCTGTAAATATTTGCCTTCTCCGAAGTCTGACAATATGTCACTATAAATTCACACTACAACAGTGGCAAAAAGGAAGGCCCCTGAAAACAATTTAACAAATGCAAATGAAATTAAGCACTTATTTTGTCACCCTAACAAGTTATCTGAAATTCTTACGTTTTGTAGGACGTACTTGTGGGTTATCAGACTTGATGGCCATGAAAAAATGTAAAGATCTAGGCTGCTGAGTGACATGTCAGGGAAAGACATCCTGTCCCTGTCCTCTCTCCCCTCCCCCCCTTTCCCATGGCTACTTGCAGAAAGGACAGGAAACACATTGTGTCTGCTCTGGTTGCAAATAAAGATGGAGAACTCTCTTCTCTCGCTTAATTAATGTTTCTGCTTTATGAATTCATTCTTTATTATCATCAAAGATTGATCCAGGCCTGGCCAAATTCCCTGTGCCATAACTTATTTTGGCTGTCAGTGTCCTTTGAGATACAGCCCAGTCTTCTCATTTACAGCTCAAGGAACTAAATTCCAAAAAAATTGAGACTTGTCAACAATGAGGCCTTGAGTGAGACGACATATCCGACAATTCCTTTAAGTCAATTCATAGCAGACACAAAATGTAATTAAATGTATAGATAATCTGGACTACCACACATATACAAAAACTATTTTAATTCGTAGTTCAACTTTATTACTCACAATACTTTTTTTGCTTTACGAGGACTCATTTACATTTTGGCCAGGCGCCATGGCTCACGCCTGTAATCCCAGCACTTTGGGAGGCCGAGGCGGGTAGATCACTGGAGCCTGGGAGTTGTGGGCAGGAGGCAGGAGAATAGGGTCTGGAGGCAGGGAACGTAAAGTAGATTCAGGCTGACTACCTAGAACTGAATCAAATGGAAATACTTCAGCTATAACAGGAAATGTCCTCTCCACTTACATAGGGCGCACACCAACTAAATGACGTTGTAACTTTACTTCATCCTCTTCATTTACATAGGGCGCACACCAAGTAACCAGTGGAAACCTCTAGAGGGTATTCAAACCCCAGAAAATTCTGTAACGGGACTCTTGATCCCCTATGCTCGGGCCTGCCCCTGCACTGTGGAGCCTACTTTCATTTTCAACAAATCTCTGTTTTTGTTGCTTCATTCTTTCCTTGCTTTGTGCGCTTTCCCCAATTCTTTGTTCAAGATTTCAACAACCTGGACACTCTCCACCGGTAACAGTTGGAGAACAGCCTGGCCAACATGGCAAAACCCGTCTCTACTAAGAATACAAAAATTAGCCAGGCGTGGTGGCACATGCCTGTAGTCCCAGCTACTTGGGAGGCTGAGGTACGATAATCGCTTGAACCCGGGAGGTGGAGGTTGCAGTGAGCCAAGATCATGACACTGCACTCCAGCCTAGGCAATACAGTGAGACTGTGATTCAAAAAAAAAAAAAAGTTTTAAAAAGAAGGCCTTCCCTTAGAGTTCTGGTGCCCTAAGTTGCCTTAAAACTATAGGACTATGAATCCCATAATTATCACTTATTGGTCCTGGCACGGTGGCTCATGCCTGCAATCCTAGCACTTTGGAAGACCGAGGCGGGTGGATTACCTGAGCTCAGGAGTTCAAGACCAGTCTGGGCAACACTGAGAAACCCCATCTCTACTAAAATACAAAAAAAAATTAGCTGGGCGTGGCAGCTTGCGCCTGTAATCCCAGCTCAATTCTCTCATTTTTTAATATGGGAATAATAGTCACCTAATAAAGTTGCTGTGAAGTTAAATGGAAGAAAAAAAGTAAATCCCCTCTCATAGTGCCTACTATATGGTATATTACGGAATAGTGATAGCTATTATTGCAATACAGTTCACAAGAGTAACTGAAACAATATATGTAAAAGAAACAGTCCCTGGTAAATTCTAGGGGCTCAATCATTGTTCTCTCCTTTCTCATTCCCTATTCAAAACTTTAAATTAGTAGAGTTAAAATAATCTTTAAAAAACAAAAACAGGGCCGGGTGAGGTGGCTCACGCCTGTAATCCCAGCACTTCGGGAGGCCGAGGTGGGCAAATCACGAGGTCAGGAATTTGAGACCAGCCTGGCCAACATGGTGAAACCCCGTCTCTACTAAAAATTAAAAAAATTAGCTGGGTGCAGTGGCAGGTGCCTGTAATCCCAGCTACTCGAGAAGCTGAGGCAGGAGAATCACTTGAACCTGGGAGGAGGAGGTTGCAGTGAGCCAAGATCGTGCCACTGCCCTCCAGATTGAGCGGCAGAGGGAGACTCCGTCTCAAAAAAAAAAAAAAAAACAGGCCGGACGGCGGTGGCTCACACCTATAATCCCAGCACTTTGGGAGGCAGAGGTGGGTGGATCACCTGAGGTCAGAAGTTTGAGACCAGCCTGGCCAACATGGTAAAACCCCATCTCTACCAAAAATACAAAAAAAATTAGCCAGGCATGGCGGTGTGCACTTGTGGTCCCAGCTACTCCAGAGGCTGAAGCAGGTGAATCGCTTGAAACCGGGGGGCGGAGGTTGCAGTGAGCCAAGATCACGCCACTGCACTGTAGCCTGGGCAACAACAGCGAAACTCCGTCTCCAAAAACAAAAACAAAAACAAACCATGAAAACAAAAACAACCCCCCCCAAAAAAAAAAAACTAACGTCTATGCCCAATCATTAAGCCTCAGATCTCAACGTGTTGTGATCATTTTATAATTAATAAAGCCAAAATGACAGAAAATAAGGATTCCTTTCCCAGTACACAGAGCAATTGTCAAAATATTGATTTTATATATCACTATAATGAGTTTACAGTGAAAATTGTGAAATGTTGAAAGGTTCTTTAGATAATAGGAGTGTTTGATTTTTTTTTTTTTTTTTTTGAGATGGAGTCTCGCTCTGTTGCCAGGCTGGAGTGCGGTGGCGCGATCTCGGCTCACTGCAACCTCCACCTCCCGGGTTCAAGCGATTCTTCTGCCTCTGCCTCCCGAGTAGCTGAGACTACAGGCACACGCTACCACGCCCAGCTAATTTTTCGTATTTTTAGTAGAGACGGAGTTTCACCATGTTAACCAGGATGGTCTCAATCTCTTGACCTCATGATCCGCCCACCTCAGCCTCCCAAAGTGCTGGGATTACAGACGTGAGCCACTGCGCGCCTGGCTTTTTTTTTTTTTTTGACAGAGCCTCGGTCTGTCACCCAGGCTGGAGTGCTGTGGTGCATTCTCGGTTCACTGCGATCTCCACCTCCCAGGTTCAAGCGATTCCTCTGCCTCAGCCTACCCAGTAGCTGGGACTACAGGTGCACACCACCACGCCCGGCTAATTTTTTGTATTTTAGTAGAGACGGGGTTTCACCACGTTGGCTAGGATGGTCTCGATCTCCTGTCCTCGTGATCTGCCCGCCTCGGCCTCCCAAAGTGCCGGGATTACAGGCGTGAGCCACCGTGCCCTGCCGAGTGTTTACTGTTTTTCAGTTTATATGTGTATGCTTTGTGGGATGAGGATTATAGATCTATAAAATGACAATTCACCTGCTCTTTTGAAAAATGTGTCACGCCAGGTGCAGTGGCTCAGGCCTGTAATCCCAGCACTTTGTGGGGCAGAGGCAGTCTGATCACTTGAGGTCAGGAGTTTGAGACCAGCGTCGCCAACATCGTGAAACCCTGTTGCCTACTAAAAATATAGAAATTAGCTTGGCGTGGTGGTGCGTGCCTGTAATCCCAGCTACTCCGGAGGCTGAGGCAGGAGAATCGCTTGAACCTGGGAGGCAAGGTTACAGTGAGCCGAGATCTCACAACTGCACTCCAGCCTGGTGACAGGGCAAGAGTCCTTCTCAATAAATGAATGAATGAATGAATAAATAAATAAATGAAATTTGTCATTAAAATGAATGGTTCTTTTTTTTTGAGACGGACAAATATTTTACATAAATTCAATCACTTAATATGTGTTTTTTTGTGACTGGCTTCTTACTGTAATGTTTTCTGTTTGTTTGCTTGTATTTGAGACAGGGTCTTGCTCTGTGGCCCAGGCTGGAGTGCCCTGGCACCATCTCAGCTCACTGCAACCTCTGCTTAATGGATTTAAGTGATTCTCCTGCCTCAGCCTCTCAAGTAGCTGGGACAACAGGGGCGGGCAACACGACGCCTGGCTAATTTTTGTATTTTTCATAGAGACGGGGTTTTGCCATGTTGGCCAAGCCGGTCTTGAACTTCTGAACTCAAGTGATCTGCCCACCTCAGCCTCCCAAAGTGCTGGGATTACAGGTGTGAGCCACTGTGCCCAGCCTATTTTTCTAAAACTGTCCAAAATGACCAGTTATTTGGGGCTCTGACTCTTTAACTGCTCAAAGAAAGGTCCTTAAGTTGAACTTGATGGCTCTTTTAGAATTATGGCCAGGAAAAAAAAAAAAAAGAACTGCTTGATTGACAGGAGAAAAGGCCTCCCCAAGGATTAAGAGAACTTTAGGGAATAGAAATATGCAATAACCCATTGTTTATCCACCTCTTCTACCACCTCCTCACTCCCTAATCTCTCCCACCTCTCCTTTCTGCCTACCCTGCTTCAGGGGGCCAGTCTCTGTTTCTGCCTTTCTCAGATTCCAGCCAAACTTACTCCCTAAATTTGAAGTCTGGTAATGGCTGAGTTGGGGAAACAGCCAGTATTAAGTTAGGAATGAAGGAATTGTAGCATCTAAAATTTTTCTTGGAGTCCAAGAATTAAATCTATACCAGTCTTGTGATAGGATGAGAAAATTGCTCATATCAGTTGTCATTATTGTTACTACTATTTTCTTTTGGAAGAGTATGATTGAAGTTAGGGAGTTGCCTAATTTTAATTTCTAAATTGATGTTTTATTTCGTTAAATTTAATAAATTCAATGAAATAAAACTTAATTTAAAATTAATTTTGTAGTGACTGATATTTACAGAAATAGATACTTCAAATCTAAAATCAGGATTACTTTGACAAATCTAAATATCTAATACAGGGGAGATTGAAATGATAATACAGCTCTGAAGCTGTAGCAAGACTTCTCTTGGAATATTAATGGTGATCAACTTCAGATTCTATTTCTCTAAGCAAAGGTAAACTGGTTTTTGAACACATTCTTTTCCTTTCTCCCCATCAATCCCATGCCTTGCTTCCCTACCCCTTTTCTCTTTTAAAATTTCCAATGAGTGTAGGCTCTATTCAACAGATTGTTTTCTTTTAGTAACTGAGGTGTCCTCATTTCTAAGCCAGAAACTGAATTTCAAACAATTAACGTCTACTTCATTACATAAAAATAACTGTGTGTGTATGTGTGGTGTATAGAAAAAGAACGTTTTTTATGAGCTTGCTATTCCTGTCAACTCTGCAGCTGAGATGCACTCATTTCCAGGTATAGCCACTTTCTCAGCAGACGACACTCAATTTTCATTTAGGCTTGAATTGCTCAGAACAGTACTGCCTTCCCAAGCTCCCACCTGGTAGTGCTTAGACATAAATTAAGTTGATCCTCAAAAAAATTCAAATCTGGTACAATATTTTTTACAAATATGATGGGCGAGGGGGAGGTGGAACGAAATCTGGGCACTGTGCAAGAAAAACAAGAGAAATGAATGAAGTTGAAGAAATCCAATACATTTTGTTTCATTTTGAACACATTGTTTTCCTTAGATCTTCTAAAACAGGATTTAACCTATTTCGCTTGTACTATATCTCTCTCCCTCTACTCTCCAGGCCCTCAATATTCTACTGTTGTTCAATATGTGTTAATTATAGTACTTGCAGTTGTTCTCTGTAATGGAAAATTCTATCATTATCTATGTTATCTTCTCTCCCAGATTTCCCCTCAGCTGCAGGACATGAAGTAACAAGAGTGGGAGTGGTTGGAACCAGCTTATATACACTTTCACGTGAACTCTAATACATAACATTATTCCTGATAAACTGATAGTATTCAAGCTTAAGGAGCCAATATATAAAAATTCATTGTAGGGGAAAAAGATAACTTAAATAACATGGTTTTTAGTATATGGCAATAACCAAATTAATGCTGCAACTTTTCTTTATAAGAATGTAGCCGGATTAAAATGTTAAAGAAAGAGTATAAATAAGCTAGAAGATGACGGTGGGATGGGGAGCATTTTTGGCAAAATTGAAATACCCTGAGGAAGAAAAGTACACAGTATATTTGATATGTTGAAAGAACTCCAATATGGCCAACACATAAAGAGCAACATAAAAGTGATAGTGATTACTGTTGTTGTTTTTTTTTTTTTTTTGAGGAGTCTTGCTCTGTCACCCAGGCTGGAGTCCGGTGGCACAATCTTGGCTCACTGCAACCTCTGTCTCTTGGGTTCAAGTGATCCTCCTGCCTCAGCCTCCCAAGTAGCTGGGACTACAGGCATGCACCACCATACCTGGCTAATTTTGTATTTTTAGTAGAGACGGGGTTTCTCCATGTTGGTCAGGCTGGTCTCGAACTCCCGACCTCAGGTGATCCGCCCGTCTTGACCTCCCAAAATGACGGGATTACAGGCGTGAGCCACTGTGCCTGGCCACAAAGTTCTATTTTTTTAAACACAAATGCAACATAATTATTATTATTTGAGATGGAGTCTCGCTCTGTCGCCCAGGCTGGAGTGCAGTGGCGCGATCTCGGCTTACTGCAAGCTCCGCCTCCCAGGTTCATGCCATTCTCCTGCCTCAGCCTCCTGAGTAGCTGGGACTACAGGCGCCCACCACCACGCCCGGTTAATTTTTTTTTTTTTTGTACTTTTAGCAGAGACGGAGTTTCACCGTGTTAGCCAGGATGGTCTCAATCTCCTGACTTCGTGATCCGCCCGCCTCGGCCTCCCAAAGTGCTGGGATTACAGGAGTGAGCCACCGCGCCTGGCCCACACTTTATATATATATATATATATATATATATATATATATATATATATATATATATATACACACACACACACGCTTTGTATATACATATATATGTGTGTGTGTGTCTATATAAATATACATATATATACATATATACATATATTTACATATACATACATATATATACATATACATATATATACATATATACATATATTTACATATACATACATATATACATATACATATATATACACATATATATATATATACTGGAAATATGGAAATATAGTTTCCAGTTTATATATACATACATAAACTGGAAGTAAATTACCTAAGATTAGCATAATGACTAAGTCAATAATGGTACATCCATTATTAAGTAACCATCAAAAAATGATTCCTACTGGTGGTAGCTCACATCTGTAATCGCAGCACTTGGGAGGCTGAGGTGGACGGATTACTTGAGACCAGGAGTTCGAGACCAGCCCAGCCAACCTGGCAAAACCCAGTCTCTACTAAAAATACAAAAATTAGCTGGGCGTGGAGGCACTCACCTGTAGTCCCAGCTACTCGGGAGGTGGAGGTTGCGGTGAGCTGAGATTGCGCCACTGCACTCCAGCCTGAGCGACAGGGCAAGACTGTCTCAAAAAAACAAAACAAAACGAAACAAAACTTAGCTCAGTATAATTTTTCTAAATTATGATTAAGGGACCAGGGTCCGAGTCTGATGCCTATAATCCCAGCACTTTGGAATCCGAAGCAAACGGACTGTTTGAGTTCAGGAGTTCAAGACCCGCCTGGGCAACACGTGAAACCCTGTCTCTTAAAAAAAAAAAAAAAAAAATTTAGCTAGGCATGGTTGCATGTGCCTGTAGCCCCAGCTACTTGTGAGGCTGAGGCAGGCTGGGCGCTGTGGCTCATGCCTGTAATCCCAACACTTTGGGAAGCCGAGGTGTGAGGATCACGTGAGCCCAGGAAGCTGAGGTTCAGTGAGCTGTGACCATGCCACTGCACTCTAGGCTGGGCGATGGAGGGAGACCCTGTTTCAAAAAATAATAAATAAATAATAAATTAAAAAATGATTAAGATATGAAATTCTTAATAAAATTCTGTGAAGCCCATAAATAATACTTTCATAAGGTTTTAGATATGAGAGAACTAGAAATGAGTTTGTAATTATTAAATCAGGTTTTAAAAATAATCCATCTAATGGAAAGCACTGAGGCAAGAAATTTATTTATAGTTCTACTCTAGCCATGTCTGACATCAACCTAAAAATTCCAACTGAGATTTAAGAATTCTAATATCGAAAATAAACTAGAGGAAAAAAAATGTAGGGATAATAATTCATATAAATAAATGTCTTCAATATTGGGATAATTATATCCATCATTCAGCATTGTTTAAATGAAAATAAATAATGGGTATGAAGTGTCTAACACAGTGCTTGGAACACAACAGAAATGGTCATTCTTACTGACAATACCAACCTGTAGTATTTTAACTTCTATATCTGGATTATGTTTAGTGGGTTGTTTTTTTGTTGTTGCTGTTGTTGTTGTTTTGAGTCAGGGTCCCTTTCTGTCACCCAGACTGTAGTGCAGCAGCGTGATGATAGCTCACTGTAAACTTGAACTCCTGGGCTCAAGTGTGTCTCCTCTGTCAGTCTCCCAAGCTCTTGCTATGTTACACAGGATGGGCTCGAAGTCCTGGCCTCAAGCAATCCTCCAATCTCAGCCTTCCAAAGAGCTGGGATTACAGGCATCAGCCACCAAGCCCAGCCTTGTTTACTGTATTTTACACTGTTACACTGTGATAGTAGTTCTACACACATGTAAAGACTGCTTGTCAGACTAAATAATGTTATGTACCAATATTAAAGGACTGGCCAAAAATTCTCTTGATAAAAATAAGCAGGACAAATATTCAGCTATATGTACTTTTTTTTTTTAATGTGTAAAAGATCAGAGAGAGGATATTTACTAAATTTTCTCATTCTATAGATGAGAAAACTGAAGCCCCAAAGGGTCAGGTTGTCTAAACTTCTATTCCTAGTTGATGACAGAACCTACTTAGAACAGGGATACTTGCCTTATCAGGGATGAGTTTTCTCTAATTAAGAAATCAGGCCTGGTCCGGGCACTGTGGCTCACGCCTGTAATCCCAGCACTTTGGGAGGCTGAGGTGGACGGATCATGAGGTCAGGAGATCGAGACCGTCCTGGCTAACACGGTGAAACCCTGTCTCTACTAAAAATACAAAAAATTAGCTGGGCATGGTGGCGGGAGACTGTAGTCCCAGCTACTCGGGGGGCTGAGGCAGGAGAATGGTGTGAACCTGGGAGGCGGAGCTTGCAGTCAGCCGAGATCTGCGCCACTGCACTCCAGCCTGGGTGACAGAAGAGCGAGACTCTGTCTCAAAAACAAAACAAAAAAAGAACTCAGGCCTGGGCGCGCGGTGGCTCATACCTGTCATCTCAGCACTTTGGGAGGCCGAGGTGGGCAGATCACCTGAGGTCGGGAGTTCAAGGTCAGCCTGGCCAACATGGCGAAACTCCATCTCTACTAAAAATACAAAAATTAGCCAGGCATTGTGGCGGGCGCCTGTAATCCCAGCTACTTGGGAGGCTGAAGCAGGAGAATCGCTTGAACCCAAGAGACGGAGGTTGCAGTGAGCTGAGATCAAGCCACTGCACTCCAGCCTGGGCGACAGTGAGACTCCGTCTCAAAAAAAAAAAAAGAATTCAGGCTGGGTGCAGTGGCTCATGCCTGTAATCCCACCACTTTAGGAAGCTGAGGAGGGAGGATCGCTGCAGCCCAGGAGTTTGTGGCTCTAGTGAACTACGATGACAACACTGCAATCTAGCCCTTGTGACAGAGCAAGACCCTGTCTCAAAAAATAATAATTCAAATGTATAATATTGATTAGTAAGAACTTAGAAAGCAAACAGAAGATACTTTGTCTTGAACTATGAAAACTGCTCAGAGTATGCTTCAGAAAGAATTACTGGCTATCATGTTGCTTCTCCTTTTAGCTTCATGATACTGGATGTTCATAATCAAATAAATAAGATTATTTAGGTTGAGAAAAATCTCATGGGTTGGGCAGCAGAACAAATTAATAATCTTCAAACAGATCTTCCCTTTACAGATATGATCACAGAAAACTAGAAGTTGTCAGTGACTTAGAAGGGTCTAGAGAAGGCCAAGCACGGTGGCTCACGCCTGTAATCCCAGCACTTTGGGAGGCCGAGGCAGGTGGATCACCTGAGTTCAGGAGTTCAAGACCAGCCTGACCAACATGGAGAAACCCTGTCTCTACTAAAAATACAAAATTAGCCAGTCGCAGTGGCACATGCCTGTAATCCCAGTTACTCGGGATGCTGAGGCAGGAGAATCACTTGAACCTGGAAGGCGGAGGTTGAGGTGAGCCGAGATCATGCCATTGCACTCCAGCCTGGGCAACAAGAGTGAAACTCCGCCTCAAAAAAAAAAAAAAAAAAAAAAAAAAAAAAAAAAAAAACCAAAAACAGAAGGGTCTACAGAAAGCATAAAGATGTACTGAGAGAGAGAGGAAGGGAGACAGGGAGGGAGAGGATCATTGCTAATGCATGATGCAGTCTACCCTAAAGTGGGAAATGATGGGAGAAGCCAAGAACAGCAAAAAATAGCCAAGGCAGAAATAAACATACTTTATAAATAGATGAGGGAAAAGGGGTTACGTGTGTACATGCATGTGTGCAAAAAAATAAGGAGATTAGAAACAGTCTGGTGGTTCCTTAGAAAGTTAAACATGAGTCAGAAAGGCCATATTTAAGAAAAAAAAAAGGAAAAAGGTAGACTTATTTGAACAAGCAATTTCACTCCTAGGTATATACTCAAGTAATATTAAAACAT
The DNA here is from genome assembly GCF_000001405.40 of Homo sapiens. Classification (NCBI taxonomy): domain Eukaryota; kingdom Metazoa; phylum Chordata; class Mammalia; order Primates; family Hominidae; genus Homo; species Homo sapiens. Next base: position 36,978,476 of record NC_000002.12, read on the forward strand.
ATGTCCACCCCAAAACTTGTACATAATTGCTCATAGCATCATTATTCCTAACAGGCAAGAAAAAGATGGAAAAATCCAAATGTCCTGCAACTGATGAGTAGATTCACAAAATGTGGTATATATACAATGGAATACTATGCAGCCATAAAAAGGAATGAAGTGCAGATTCATGCTACAACATGGATGAACCTTAAAAAACATTACAGTGGGCCGGATGTGGTGGCTCACGCCTGTAATCCCAGCACTTTGGGAGGCTGAGGAAGGCGGATTGCCTGAGCTCAGGAGTTCAAGACCAGCCTGGCCAACACGGTGAAACAAAAAATTAGCCAGGCGTGGCGGCGTGTGCCTGTAATCCCAGCTACTGGGGAGGCTGAGGTAGGAGAATCGCTGGAACCCAGGAGGCAGAGGTTGCAGTGAGCCAAGACTGTGCCACTGCACTCCAGCCTGGGTGACAGAGTGAGGCTCCATCTCAAAAACAAACAAAGAAACAAACATTACAGTGGGTTGGTGGCTCATGCCTGTAATACCAGAACTTTGGAAGGCTGAGGCAGATGGATCACTTGAGCTCAGGAGTTTAAGACCAGCCTGGGCAACGTGGTGAAACCCTGCCTCTAACAAAAATATGAAAAATTAGCAGGGCATGGTGGTGTGCGCCTGTAATCCCAGCTACTCAGGAGCCTGAGGTGGGAGGATTGCTTGAGCCCAGGAGGTAGAGGCTGCAGTGAGCTGAGATTGCGCCACTGCACTCCAGCCTGGGCAACAGAGCAAGATCCCATCTCAAAAAACAAGCAAACAGAAAACATTACAGTAAGAAGCCAGTCACAAAAAACCACATATTAAGTGGTTCAATTTATATGAAATGTCCATGAGAGGAAAATCCAGAGACAGAAAGTAGATTAGTGGTAGCCTAAGTTGGGGGGAAATGGGGAGATGGTAGGAGGATAGCTAAAGGATACAAGGTTTCTTTTTGGGGTAATGTTCATAATTGATTGTGGTGATGGTGGCACCACTAAAAACCATTGAACTGTACACTTTGCTGGGATACAGTGGCATGATCACAATTTATTGCAGCCTCAAACTCCTGGGCTCAAGCAATTCTCCTGTCTCAGCCTCCTGAGTAGCTGGGACTACAGGAGTGCACCACTGCGTCTGGCTAATTTTCTTTTTGTTTAACGTAGAGATGAGGACTTGCTGTGTTGCCCAGGCTGCCTCAAACTCCTGGCCTCAGCCTCCCAAAGTGTTGGGATTACAGGTGTGAGCCACCATGCCCAAACTGAATTGAGTTGTATGGTATGTGAACTGGATCTCCATGAAGTTGTTAGCGAAAACAAAAACAAAAACCAAGGAGAATAATTGTGGCAATGCAAACCTGAAATGAAAAAACAACCAGCGCCAAGTGTGGTGGCTCACGCCTGTAATCCCAGCACTTTGGCAGGCTGAGGTGGGAGGATCATTCAAGCCTGGGTGATTGAGGCTGCAGTGAGCCGTGGTCATGTGCCACTGCACTCCAGCCTGGGCAAAAGTGAGACCCTGCTTCAAAACAAAACAAAACAAAACAAAAATGAAAAGAAGCTGGGCATGGTGGCTCACGCCTGTAATCCCAGCACTTTGGGAGACAGAGGCAGGCAGATCACCTGAGGTCAGGAGTTCGAGACCAGCCTGACCAACATGAAGCCCCGTCTCTACTAAAAATACAAATTAGCTGGGTGTGGTGGCGGGTGCCTGTAATGTCAGCTATTCAGGAGGCTGAGGCAGGAGAATTGCTTGAACCCAGGAGGCGGAGGTTGCAGTGAGCCAAGACCGCGCGACTGCACTCTAGCCTGGGCGCGACAGAGAGAGACTCCATCTAAAAAAAAAAGAAAAGAAAAAAGAAAAGAAAAAAACACCCAAAAGTCAGTGAGAAAACAGGCAAGACAAAGTACCTATCTCAGGTATCTAAAAGGCTGAGTGGAGTTCAAGTGTAGTGAGCTATGATTGCACTCCAGTCTGGGCAACAGTGCAAGACTCTGTCTCTAAAAGAAAAAGGAAAAGAAAGGAAAAGAGAAAAGAAGATAAATGTTCAGAAAGTGACTTGCTTTTGATAATACTTGTTCAGTCTGTTACACTGTGCGGTAAAACTTGGTGTTTAAAATTTGCTAAATGCTGTGGCAAACATTCATTGTGTGAATTATCTATTTCGTACGGTAAAATGCCCACTACATGAAAGAATGGCATCACTGTAATTATGCCTAATTCATTTTTGTATCCCCTGCAGCACTTAGCTTGATGCCTTATACACAGTAGGCATTCAATAAATATTTGATGAAGGAAACTAACCATCATAGCCAGAACTTGAGGTTCTGTAATTACAAAACATAACTGAAGCCAAATTTTAGCCATTAAAAAAAGCAGAATATTATATTACATTTAAACATTTTAGTGAACCTTTAAATGAGAATTTTAATTGTTACCAACTAAAATATACATAGCATAATTTAGTAATTTGATATGAAAGCTAAAAGATCCATCAGAAAGATAAGGACATTTTGGGAAATGCTTAGAAAATGCTGTGATTTTATTCATAGTATATACACCACAAAACAGACACTTTCCATTATTTTGATTACTTCAAAATTTAAAATCTGCTTGTTTTTCAATTGATTTTTTTCATGACAGATGCTGAGTTCTGACCCATTTTTTTCCCCTGACAGTATCAATAGGCTGCCCGACTACATGATACAATTGTTTTTAGCATTTAAATTTAAGACTATGGCTCAGTGTTTGAAAAATAAATAAGTTAACAAAAGAGAAACATTATTAGGAGGAAAATGAAAACATATTCACCACATGATAAAAAAAATCACTCCTTAAAAATCAATAAGTGGTGTGAGCATTATTTCACTTAACCTACTTGGAAGCACTATAATACCAATATACAAATAAAACAGAACCCATAGGTAGCCTGGAATGATACAGTGGCCATCACTAATTAGGGGCTAGTTGACAACATAAATACAAATAAATGAAATTACAAATTAAAAAAAACTTGTTTTTAGCTTAATTGTTGGTGCAGAATGTATGGCGGGGGCTGGTTGTCTGGCAGCCGCTTTAGCTTTGCTCGCTTGGCTTGCTCGAACGGCAGTTTCTAGACGCACTTTCAACTCAGGAGCAGCCCCCATTACTGTCTTGAAAGCATGTGGATACAGAGGTCCAATATGCATTAAATTCTGGAGTGCAAACTCATGAAGATCTTTGGAAGCTGAACTTGCTGAGGCAAAAGAATTTTCATCCAGCAGGTAAGATATCAAAGTGGGAACTAAAAGAGCAAGTAGCTGGACTCCTGTAAATAATAAAGTATGAAAAAAGATCACAAACATAAGGATTATAATAAACTTTAAAAACTAGGCAATTGCCATGGAAGACTGAACATAATAAAATATAAGTACACATGCACAGCCTACTTTAGACCTCAATAACTCGTAATTAATATTAAATATTTACTAAATGTACAAGCTGGAAACCAGGTTTGTTAATATTGTATATTTTACATTTATATTAATTTGCTTTACTTAAAAAAAAAAAAGGGCCAAAGGTTAAAAAGTAATAAAACACTTTACAATTGCCACCTGGTAGAATGTATCTTGAGAGTAAGATTATAAAATTTTTACGGGCATTCTAGAATCAGGAGATTGGAGTGAGGAACAGAAACCTGAAAAGCATCTATTTACCATTATTTAACTAACACTAGTTGTTTCTTTCCTCTTTAAGTAGAAATACAATACAACTTTTTTCCTATTTCATCATCCCCCAAAACTCACAGTGAGGGGAAATTCCTCAAAACTAAGGGAATACATAAGCTTAGGGTTAAAAAAACAAGAACCTATGTCCGACTGATATAAATTCCAAGTCCTTAAAAAAGTATTTATTTGGAGGCTTCATCTCCTTTTGTTAGTCTTTTGTCTTTACTTATATTAACAACTCCATCCTGGGATATAAGTTTCATTAAAGGTGATTTTTTTTAACAATTAACCTTTATATGTAATTGTGTGTGTGTATAACATCTCATAATCACATTGAGAATTACGCGTTCTCCCCCTTAATTACTGTTAATTTTTGTAGAATGACAACTGACGCAATTGTAAGGCAGGAGGAAGCATCTGGTAGAGAATGTGTGACACTCACTGATGTCAGCAAGGACAGTGATAATAATCAGTGAAGCCTTTCCAGAATCCCAGTTCCACCCTGGACCTTACTCCCTATTTTCTTTCCCTGCTGTATTTTTTTCTTCACAGCTCCTATCAATTCCTGCATCTAACTATAGATGTTATATCTACATCTAAAATTGATATATCCATCATCACTATATAAAATTGCACAAAGATACATGTCTACATATAACAGACACAGATACACACACACACACACACACACACACACACACACACACACACACACACGTATAGGGGACGAGAAGTGTTTATTGTCTGTGTTTTCCTACCAGAAATGTAAGCTCCATGAGATCAGGGACCTTTGCCTGTTTTATTTCACGAGAAATTCTCAATGCCTAGAACACTACCTGGTACACAGCCATCCAGTAACTATGCTTTGAATGAATAAACATACATACTCTTTCTCTTGGCAACTACCCAGAAGTTTCCAATTAAATGGATTTGTTTCCATATTAAGTTTTCAGAAAAGAGGTAAAAAGCTTATTTTTAAAGTCCCAGGTAAATCCTCCAATCTTCTAGATTTAGTTCAATTTCCCTCATGTACAATGTTAATAGTATTATAGGGGTAGGCGCGGTGGGCTCATGCCTGTAATCCTAGCACTTTGGGAGGCCAAGGTGGGCGGATCCCCTGGTCAGGAGTTTGAGACCAGCCTAACCAACATGGAGAAACCCTATCTCTACTAAAAATACAAAAAAAAAAAAAAAATTAGCCGGGCATGGTGGCGCATGCCTGTAATCCCAGCTACTAGGGAGACTGAGGCAGGAGAATCGCTTGAATCTGGAAGGCGGAGGTTGTGGTGAGCCGAGATCGTGCCATTGCACTCCAGCCTGGGCAACAAGAGCGAAACTCTGTCTCAAAAAACAAAACAAAACAAAACAAAAAAACCCAAAAATATTAGCTGGGTGTGGTGGCACATGCCTGTAATCCCAGCTACTCTGGAGGCTGAGGCAGGAGAATCGCTTGAACCTGGGAGGCAGAGGTCTCAGCGAGCAGAGATCGTGCCATTGCACTCCAGCATGGGCGACAAAGCGAGACTCCCTTTCAAAAAAAAAAGTTAATAGTATTATAAAAGCTGGCTTTCATAATAAAAATAAAGTAGAGAATTATAAAATATATATAAAATTATCTTCAGTATATTGGCTTGCTAAATTGGAAGAGGTTTCAATAGTAGGTTTTCAACAGTAGGTTGAAAATTAAGGTTTTGGTTTTAACAATTTTAAAATATAACTGGAGGCCGGACGCAGTGGCTCATGCCTGTAATCTCAGCACTTTGGGAGGCTGAGGCGGGTGGATCACCTGAGGCCAGGAGTTCGAGACCAGCCTGGCCAACATGGTGAAACCCTATCTCTACTAAAAATATAACAAATTAGCTGGACGTGGTGGCAGGCGCCTGTAATCCCAGCTACTCCTGAGGCTGAGGCAGGAGAATCACTTGAACTCGGGAGGCGGAGGTTGCAGTGAGCCAAGATCAGGCCACTGCACTCCAGCCTGGGCAACAAGAGTGAAACTCTGTCTCAAAAAAAAAAAAAAAATATATATATATATATATATATAAAACTGGAAAAAATATAAGTTATTTAAGTATTCATCAAATATCTAGAAATATGCTAAGCATTATAGGAAATGTTACATAATTTGTTTCTACCTGGATTCTTTTATTATCTAAATGAAAACAGTAGACAGCACATAGAACAATTAGAGTACTAAGTGCTAAAAAACGTGGGTAGCATTTCCGTATAGAATTCACCAAGAGAATCACAAAACTGAGGAATACTTTGGGATTTTATTTGGTTGGTTACAAATACCAAATAAATTCTATGAAGGGTAAAATCGGAGTGAGCTACGCAATTAGGCAATATTTCTCAAAGAAAAGATCTAATGTAGGTTTAATAGATTTGTATAAGAAAAAAATAAGAGAAAAAACAACTGAAGAAAGTGAAAATAATATGAACAATGTAAGCGATTAAAAGGAGCACAGAAAGGAAACTGGTCTGGTCAGGTTAGTAGGTACACGTTGGGGAGCAGAAAAAATATTTTGAAAAGCAAGCAAAGACGTTCAGACTTGATGCTGTAAGGAAAGAGTAAACTTTTCCAAATTCTTAAGCAAAGGAGAGATAAAATTACTTTAGGTAAATTTGATGGGGAATATCAGCTAGGAAAACTATTATAGTTATCTATTTAGGAGGTGATTAGATATAAGAATAAGGTGCAAGTTTCTCTTGAAACCTAGAGAAATTTCAGAAAGAAATGGGACAAGATTTGAATAACAGATTCAATAAAGATGATGAACAAGGAGTCAAATATAATTCTAATATTTTTAGCTTATAACCTTGGTCATGCAGGGTGAAAAAACATATACTGCCCATTCTTATACCGGATACTGTAAAGTTGACAACAAAATTAACATCTGTAAATGGGATGAAAAAAGTTGAACGACTTAAATTCAAAAGCTGAAAATTTACCCTCTTGGAATCATGTAACTATGTAAAATATGAAGTGAAGTATAAAAATGTTGCCATCAAATTAATATGATTTACATTCATTCATTTATTTGATGGTATCCTCCTAATGAGTGTCATCTTATTTCACCAATGAGACTTGTGTGCCTTTGGTTTTTTATGGCATTTAGTCTTAGATTCAGTTTTAATTTTAAAAACAGGCAAACTGCTTATTCTACCTCTTAAAAGTCTTGTTAGAGTACAAAACATCTGTTATCTGAGTAGTGAAGCAGTCCATTAAAAAAATGAAGAAATCACGATGGTGCTTTTTTTTGGTTTTTTTTTTTTTTTTTGAGACAGAGTCTCACTCTGTTGCCCAGGCTGGAGTGCAGTGGTGTGATCTCGGCTCACTGCAACCTCTGCCTCCTGGGTTCAAGCGATTCTCCTGCCTCAGCCTCATGAGTAGCTGGGACTACAGGCATGTGCCACCACTCCTGGCTTTTTTTTTTTTTTTTTTTTTTTTCAGTAGAGACGGGGTTTCACCATATTGGCCAGGCTGGTCCTGAACTCCTGAACTCGTGATCCATCCGCTTTGGTCTCCCAAAGTGTTGGCATTACAGGCGTGAGCCACCACACCTGACCAATGGTGCTGATCATTGCTACACCTCATTAATAATGCTACAAATTGGTCTGGTTGATAGTTGAAATTACAATGCTTTGGTTGTTTTATATCTTAAACTGAAAAAGGGTCATTTATTTCAAAGATATTGCTAAAGCCTAACTAGCTATTAAACTATATTTAATTATACAAATGATATATATATTCTTACTGTCAAAAAAATCAAACAATACAGAATTAAAAAAAAAGTTCCCTTCCCTATCTGTCCTCATGCTAAATTTAACTCCAAATTAGGGTGCCTGTAAAGGAATTGATCCCAAGAGTCAACTCAAAAATATTTTAAATACTAGAACGCAATAAAACTTAGTGCTGGGATTACAAAGTGAGTAAGATTCAGTCCTCATCTTTATGGAATTTACAATTAGTAAAATAAAAATACAAATAAAGTTATTTTGATTTGCCAAACATAGGCCATGTCAGTCATAAAATTTTTGCCTAAATAACCTATATTGTTACTAATTTCAACTAAATTTATCAACTTCTCCAAACACTGCCTTTTCTGACTTTCCCAATTTTGATGTTGTTTTCATGCAACATAGTAATACTTGCTTCTTTTCTTTTGCCTTCTATAACCAGTTAATCATCAAATCAGATAAACCTTTCTTCCACTTTCTCCTCTGCATTCTTTTCTTCTACTGGCATAGTTCTGGATTATTATTTTATAGAGGAGCTATTGAAATCGCTTTTCAAAAATCTCCACTACTTTTCCAATTTTCTGTGAAATGTTTTTAAGAGAAGAGGAAAAAATTTTTAACAGAAAAGAAAAAACAGGTACAGTTTGTAGGTGGAGAGCAATGTGACAATATAGATTAAAAGTCTTTTTTTCTTTTTTTTGAGATGGAGTCTCGCTCTGTCACCCAGGCTGGAGCCCAGTGGGGTGATCTCAGCTCACTGCAACCTCCGCCTCCCGGGTTCAAGCAATTCTCCCGTCCAGTCTCCCGAGTAGCTGGGATTACAGGCGCATACCACGAGGCCTGGCTAATTTTTGTACTTTTAGTAGAGACAGGGTTTCATCATATCGGTCAGGTTGGTCTCGAACTCCTGATCTCAGATGATCTGCCTGCCTTGGCCTCCCAAAGTGCTGGGATTACAGGCATGAGCCACCGCGTGCAGCTAATTTTTTGTATTTTTAGTAGAGATGGGGTTCCACCACGTTTGCCAGGCTAGTCTTAAACTCCTGATCTCAAGTGATCTGCTCACCTTGGCCTCCCAAAGTGTTGGGATTACAGGCATGAGCCACTGCGCCTGGCCAATTAAAAGTCTTAAAATGTGCATTCCCTTCTCTCCAGTCATTTCACTCTTAGGAATCTGACAGAAATAATTTAAGAATAAAGATGCTCATCTCGGCCAGGTGCAGCGGCTCACGCTTGTAATCCGAGCACTTTGGGAGGCTGAGGCAGGTGGATTACTTGAGGTGAGGAGTTCAAGACCAACTTGGCCAAGGTGGTGAAACCCCATCTCTACTCAAAATACAAAACTAAGCCAGGCGTTATGGCACATGCCTGTAATCCCAGCTACTCAGGAGGCTGAGGCAGGAGAATCACTTGAACTTCAGAGGCGGAGGTTGCGGTGAGCCAAGATCGTGCCACCGCACTCCAGCCTGGGCAAGACTTTGTTTCAAAAAAAAAAAAAAAGCTTCATTTGTGATCTTGAAAAATTAAAAACAGCTTAATGTTCAATCATAAGATACTAGTTTAAAAAGTACAGTCTGTCTACAATTAAAAATCATATTTTGAAGGACAAATATTGTGATAAAATCAAAGCTTAAGTATTAAGGGAATAAAGAAAATATATTAAACTGCATAAGTTTCTGGTTAAATGGATGTATGCAGTAGTTTTTCATTAAATTAAAAAAAATTCTAAATAACAAGTTTTGAGATATTTTAATAATTATGTTTGGTATTAATACTTAACTGGTTATATTTGTTATAAAGCTTTTATACCTCTATTATGAAGATTAGAATATATTATTTTAAAACCCTATGAAATGGGCATGGTAGCTCACACCTGTAATTCTAGCACTTTGAAAGGCCAAGGCAGGTGGATCGCTTGAGTCCAGGAGGAGTCAGAGACCAACCTGGGCAACATGGCAAAAACCTGTCTCTACAAAAAATACAAAAATTAGCCAGGCATGGTGGCACATGCCTGTAGTCCCAGCTACTCCGGAGGCTGAGGTGGGAGGATTGTTTCAGTGCAGGAGGCAGAGGTTGCAGTGAGCCAAGATGGTGCCATTGCATGCCAGCCTGGGTGACAGAGCGAGACTGTCTAAAAAAAAAGAAAAAAAAACCCTATTAAACATCTATATTTTTCCTAGATCTTAAGGGATGCATACATTCCTAGAAAAAAAAAAATCGCTGTGTTGAAATGCCATTGGCAATTCATTTGAACTTCCTGCTCAAAAACAAACAAAGAAAAAAATCAACTCACTACATTATGTAACAGAAGCAAAGGCCTGGTTTTTTTTCTTTTCTTTTTTTTTTGAGATGGAGTCTCGCTCTGTTGCCAGGCTGGAGTGCGCTGGCATGATCTCGGCTCACTGCAACCTCCAACTCCCGGGTCCAAGTGATTCTCCTGCTTCAGCCTCCCAAGTAGCTGGGACAGCAGGTGTGCGCCACACACCCAGCTAATTTTTGTATTATTAGTAGAGATCAGGTTTCACTATGTTGGCCAGGATGGTCTCGATCTCCTGACCTCGTGATCCACCCACCTTGGCCTCCCAGAGTGCTGGGACTCCCAAAGTGTAAGCCACTGCGCCCAGCAGGCCTGTTTCTAATATCAAATAAGATTTATATACAATACAGATCTTCATTCTGAACTAGTAGCTTTTTATAAGAATATACTTACTGTTTTGTTCTTCACCAAGAGCAACCAGTGTTTCAAGAACTTTTATTCCTTCTTGAACCGCTAAAAGCTCTATGTTACTGGCTGGTCTGTTTCTTTCAACAGCTTTTAGCTTTTCAACCACTATTGGAGCTAATGAATGAATATAAGGAGTTGAAAGGGCACGATTGGAATGCTGGAAGACTGAGAGGAGAAGCTGGTAACATTTGGCTTGAACCTATATAAGAAGAACATATTATCAATTAACATGTGTATAGTTCTTATTTGCTCTACAATCACATTGCATCTTACTATGTACTGAAAATAAGTGATACTGCAGGACAAAAATGGAAATTACATTTTCTACTTAGAGAAATGGAGTAGAATAGAATTTTGTGACAAAAATTAGTCAAAAATGTTCATATATTTTAATGACCAAATCACCATGCTTATACAATTCCTGTATTTCTTTTTTCTTTTTTTGAGATGGAGTCTCGCTCTGTCGCCAGGCTAGAGTGCAGTGGCACCATTTTGGCTCACTGCAATCTCTGCCTCCCGGGTTCAAGCGATTCTCCTGCCTCAGCCTCCCAAGTAGCTGGGATTACAGGTGCGCACCACCACACCCAGCTAATTTTTGTATTTTTAGTAGAGACGGGGTTTCACCATGTTGGTCAGGACGCTCTCAATCTCCTGACCTTGTGATCTGCCCGCTTTGGCCTCCCAAAGTGCTGGGATTACAGGTGTGAGCCACCATGCCCGGCCAATTCCCATATTTTAATACTGTGAAATAAGTTAGAAATCAGTTATTCCCACTTCTGTTTTTAATTCTTCCTTTAATGTACAATTGTCCCTCCCATTTTAACCAAATATATTTACTAAGGAAGGTTAAATATTTGAATGATCTGAAACAAAGCTATAAAAATACATTGCTTAGATATCTCAAAACCACTTGATTCCCTGGAAATGACTGTTAACAATGTAAGGTTTCCAGACCTAGAAAATAAAGTCTTACTGGCTCCACTTTGTATTAGAAAGGCTTCAGATTAACACTTTTTTAAAAAAATGAAGGAAGGAAAGAAGGAAGAGAGGGAGGGAAGTCCCACCAATATATGGGACACAGTGGAAGAAAACCATTTCAGTGCTTTGGTAGAACACAAGTGGCTAAATATGGCTAGACACAAGAAAAACCTGAAGAACATTTTAAATATACAGATCTTGGAGCCACCTATCTGGAGACTCAGATTCAGGAAGACAGTACTGGAATCCAAGAATGTTTCCTTTTTTTTTTTTTTTTTTTTTTTTGAGACGGAGTCTCACACTGTTGCCCAGGCTGGAGTGGTGCAATGGCACAATCTCAACTCACTCCACCTCCTGGGTTCAAGTGATTCTCCTGCCTCAGCCTCCCAAGTAGCTGGGATTACAGGCGCATGCCACCACACCTGGCTATTTTTTTTGTATTTTTAGTAGAGATGGGGTTTCACTACAGGCTGGTCTCGAACTCCTGACCTCCTGATCTGCCTGCCTTGGCCTCCCTAAGTGCTGGGATTACAGGCGTGAGCCACCGCACCTGGTCTTCAAGAATGTTTCTGCTTTTTAAAATTTCTGACGTGTAGCAGGCTTGAGAATCAAGTTTAGACTCTGACATTGTAAAATAAAAAATCTTACTTTCTAGACAAACTAGTTTCTAGCAGGTTCATTAAAACGTCAATAATATAAGCTTCTCCTTTAATGTCCTTAGCGTCATTTAAATAAACACTGGAAAACATAATCATAGACTCTTGTCTCTACCAGTATGCCCTGGGGTTAATCAAATATTTCAGATATTGAAGAATTTCTACATATGTGAATAAACATACACATGTGTTCTAGTGCTTAAACCCAGTGATTTGTTTCAGTTTTTCCATTTAAAAGCCATAGTGCAAATACTTAGCTTTTCATTATGTATCACATATTTTAATGAATCAATCTGACATTTTCCTGATAAAGGGAAATGTTTTTATCTATGTCTGTGTAACGTGTAACTTACCCATGGGTCGCATGAATTTAATGCATTTTTAAATCTGTTCATGCAGCCATTCTGTAATGACTGGACTCCTATTATTTCATTACTAGCAGACCACAGGAAGAGTGCAATTGCTGTTAGCATGCTTACTTCATCAGGTGTAGGTACAGAGTCTTCTGAAAATGAAAAATGAAAGAAGTGTGCTGTTTCTAAAACATTTTGGCATTTTATTTTTTTATTTTTGTAGAGAGAGACGTTGTCTTGCCATGTTGTCCAGGCTGGTCTTGAACTCCTGAGCTCAAGTGATCCTCCTGCCTTGGCCTCCCAAAGTGCTGGGATTACAGGTGTCAGCCACTGTGCCTGGCCAGAATTTTAATCTTGAACAATCATCTCTCTCTCCCCACAACATTTATAGTAGTACTTGCCTTAATCTAATACAGTCCACAGACAACTGTAAGAAGTTCAATGTATAAAGTTAAATGTATGCAGTTATATTTAATGCTAAATTATTATAAAATATTCTAACTAATTTTAAAATCCAGAGTACATTTTTAAGTGATATCTCCTTTCAATTTAGTAAATATGAAAACCTGTAAATTCCATATAACCATTAAAAAAATCGGTTGGGTGCAGTGGCTCACGCCTGTAATCCCAGCACTTTGGGAGGCCGAGGCAGGCGGACCACCTGAGGTTGGGAGTTCGAGACCAGCCTGACCACAAAATTAGCTGGGCATGGTGGTGCATGCTTGTAATCCCAGCTACTTGGGAGGCTGAGGCAGGAGAATCGCTTGTACCGGGGAGGTGGAGGTTGCAGTGAGCCAAGATTGTGTCATTGCACTCCAGCCTGGGCAACAAAAGCGAAACTCTGTCTCAAAAAAAAAAAAAAAAAAACTTGGACAATTTCCTGAAGACAGTGTTCTAAGAATTTTAAGGAATTTCTTGCCATTACATTTATTCAGGAATAGATACAACTTGAACAGAAATATAGTACGTAATTAGAAATAACTAGAAATATGAACATTTATTCTAAAGAACAATATTTCTGAACATATAAAATACGAGTTCCAAACATTTTGTGATTATCATTTCTTCAATAAAACTGATCCCTATCTTTTGTGTAAATTTGACCTATTTTGGCAACTGTAAATACCCAGTGATAATCAGTACTTTAGAAGGATTACAAACATATATATGTGACATGCTAACATTATCTCATAATAAGGGTACCAGCTTTTTGTAATATGGAATAAAGGGTTAAGAACAATAGTCTAGAAAAAGTCCATTAACTTAATGTAAAGAAATAAAGTTTAAAAAAAGAGATGTCGGCTGGGTGTGGTGGCTCATGCCTGTAATTCCAGCACTTTGGGATTTCTAGAACAGACTGGACAACATGGTGAAACATCATTTCTACTAAAAATACAAAAATTAGCTGGGCATGGTGGCACACGCCTGTAATCCCAGCTATTTGGGAGGCTGAGGCTACAGAATTGCTTGGATCCGGGAAGCAGAGGTTGCAGTGAGCCAAGATTGCGCCACTGCACTCCAGCCTGGGTGACAGAGTGAGACTCAGTCTCAAAACAAACAAACAAAAAAACAAACAAAAGAGATGTAAAATTTGAAGGATTTAATCAATTTATAATAACCTGAGTCACGAATGTTAAAAACCTGAGAACCCACCCAGACTAGGCAGCTCACTCCTGTAATCCCAGCACTTTGGGAAACTGAATTGGGAGGACTGCTTGAGCTCAGGAATTCAAGACTAGCCTGGGCAATATGCTGAGACCCTGTCTCTACAAAAAACAAAAAAATTAGCCAGGCTTGGTGGTGCATGCCTGCAGTCCCAGCTACCTGGGAGGCTGAGGCAGGAGGATCACTTTAGCCCTAGAGGTTAAGGTGGCAGTGAGCTGCGTTCATGCCACCACACTCCAGCCTGGGTGACAGAGTGAGACCCTGTCTCAAAAACAAACAAACAAACAAAAAACCTAAAACAAAAAAACCCTGAAAACCCCATCATAGGAAATTTATTCTACATAGAATATAATCTCTTACTCAGAGTTGGCAATGCTGCAAGCAATTTTTTATCAAAAATTATTTTATATTCATTTTTTAAAAATTATTTTTTTTTCTTTTTTCCCCCCAAGGAAGAGCTGGAGTGCAGTGCCATGATCATAACTCACTGCAGCCTTGAACTCCTGGGCTCAAGCAACCCTCCCACCTCAGCCGCCCGAGGAGGTGGGACTACAGGCATGCACCACCATGTACAGCTGAATTTAAAAATTTTTTATAGAGACAGCGTCTTACCATATTGCCCAGGAAAGTCCGAACTTCTGGCCTAAAGCAACCCTCCCACCTTGGCCTCCCAAAGTGCTGGGATTATAGGTTTAAACCAAGGTGTCCGGCCCCATTTTATTTTTAAATTGTGATTTTAAGAAGATGGGGCATCTAAATATGATTTTTCTACTGAAAGGAATCAAGGCTTTTGGAGAAGGGGCTGATTCTAGAACAGTGAGGGGGAAATACTCAGTCTGCTACATCTTGGGGCTAGAAAGTATGGAAGTGCTCAAGAAATAATGGGGCCACATTGAAGTAACAGTAAGGGACCCACTGAATTAAAAAAAAAATTATGGGCCGGGTGCAGTGGCTCATGCCTGTAAATCAATCCCAACACTTTGGGAGGCCGAGGTTGGGGGATCACCTCAGGTCAGGATTTCGAAGCCAGCCTGGCCAACGTGGCAAAACCCCATCTCTACTAAAAATACAAAAACTAGCCAGGAACGGTGGCGGACACCTGTAGTCCCAGCTACTTGGGAGGCTGAGGCGGGAGAATTGCTTGAACATAGGAGGTGGACGTGGAGGTTGCGGTGAGCCAAAATCGCGCCATTGCACTCCAGCCTGGGCAACAGAGTGAGACTCTGTTTAAAAAAAAAAAAAAAAGAAAGAAAGTTTGATGGGAACAGACAAGCGAGAAAGTCTCAAAGTATTTCCCCACAGGTTACCTATTAATTATAAAATGGAAAAATGGCAACTTCATAGTGGGGAAACACGGCAGACAACTTCTTAACAAAGTTATTAAAGTTAAGATTCCCAATAATGGGACAAAGCAACATTACAAAGCAATATGTCTTAGTTATATGATGTGCTAAGATATAACATTACTTATGCAGTATTCCTGCCAAGATGCATACATTGAATCTAACCTGAGAGGAAAAAAAAAAATTAGACAATTCTAAACTGAGAAACATTCTACATAATAGATGGCTGGTATTCTTCAACAACATTAATGTTATGAAAGACAAAGGCTGAGGAACTGCCCCAGATTAAAGGAGACTAAGGCAATATAATGACTAAAAAAAAAGAAAAGGGCTCTATGACGGTTATTATTAGGACAAGTAGTGCCAAATTTGGTAATTCTTCTGTGGTTATGGAAGGGAATGTCCTTGTTCTTAGGATATCCATGAAGTACGTAGGAATAGAGTCATGATGACTTCATATCCTCAGATGGTTCAGCAAAATTAATAATAATATTAACAATAATGATATGTGGATTATAGAGAAAGTAATAAACCAGGTGTGGCAAAATGTTGACAACTGGTGAATCTAGGAGAAGGGTATGCTGGAGTTCCTTATGTTATTCTTGCAACGTTTTTTAAAGTTTGAAATTTATTTCAAAGTCAAAGGATCTAAAAACGAAAAACAATGTTGAAGCAATTAAGAGTGATTCATTAGATCCAAGAAGATTTTTGTACGTTTGTACATGTTCACATGCATACATATCCTTTTTAAAGTGAAAGATGCCAGATTTTGTAACAGGAAATAGGATTTCCATAATGGAAATACTCTATTATAAAACTTTGCTTGTTAAGCAAGGGATCTGCTTGCCTCGATATACAAATATACAAATATGCCTGTGGCTTTGATCCCTACTTCATAACTGGCTGTGTCTCCTATGAACTCAGTTCCAGACAGAATACCTCAGGCAAGTTAATTCTATTATCAGACCTTTAAATTCACCTCATATGAATGAACTAGCTTGATAACATATCAAAACTTTCCCTTAATGAACAATTTCAAAAATATTGACTCTAGACCCCCTCAACAAAAATTAAATTAATTATTTTAAAACAAATTCTTATTTATTTATTTTTTGAGACAGAGTGTCGCTCTGTCGTCCAGGCTGGAGTGCAGTGGCGCGATCTCAGCTCACTGCAAGCTCCGCCCCCGGGTTCACGCCATGCTCCTGCCTCAGCCTCCTGAGTAGCTGGGATTACAGGTGCCTGCCACCACGCCTGGCTAATTTTTTGTATTTTTAGTAGAGACGGGGTTTCACCATGTTAGCTAGGATGGTCTCGATCTCCTGACTTCATGATCTGTCCACCTCGGCCTCCCAAAGTGCTGGGATTACAGGTGTGGGCCACTGCGCCCAGCCACAAATTCTCAACGATTTCTTCGTCTTGTTATTCCTTGTTTTTTTTTTTTTTTTTCCTGAGATGGAGTCTTGCTCTGTCACCCAGGCTGGGATGCAGTGGCTTGATCTCAGCTCACTGCAACCTCTGCCTCCTGGGTTCAAGCAATTCTCCTGCTTTAGCCTCCTGAGTAGCTGGGATTACAGGCACATGCCACCACACCCCGCTAAATTTTGTTATTTTTAGTAGAGACGGGTTTTCACCATATTGGCCAGCCTGGTCTCGAACTCCTGACCTCGTGATCTGCCCACTTTGGCCTCCTTTGGGATTACAGGTGTGAGCTACCATGGCCAGCCCTTGTTATTCCTATCTATACACACATATACATATATAAATATGGCTTTTAATGTTTCTTCAGTTTGTTAAAATCTACCTTAAGAAACAAAATACCAGCTCTTGATAAAGCTAAAATAATTTTAATCACATTAATAAAACTAAAGTTATCCCTGGTAATTTTTTAGAAGTCACATATTCACTTAAATGTATTCATTGTTTAAAATAGAAAAAGAGTATAGGAGAGAAAGTAAAACTTGTAACTCTACCACCCAGTAATAGTTTAAAAATTAAATTACTATGTTTTGGTTTAATTTCTTCGGGTCTGGGTTAATTTATATAGTTGGTTATAAACATGGTACTTAATAGATATATTGGATATATTATCCAAATGAATATACTATCATGTACTTTATAATTCTTCCCATTGCCAGATATAGTTATCACACATTTTCATTGTTGTAAGATAGATATAATAGGTGATAAATAACCTTGAACATAATTTTTTGATCAGTAAGGCTAAAGAGTATGCTTCTATTTTTTGGAGACAGGGTCTTGCTTTTTTGCCCAGGCTGGAGTGCAGTGGTGCGATCTGGGCTCACTGCAGCCTCTGCCTCCTGGGCTCAAGTGATCCTCCCACCTCAGCCTTCTGAGTAGCTGGGACCACAGGCACACGTCACTGCGCTCAACTAAATAATGCAATTCTTTTTTTTTTTTTTTGAGAGGGAGTCTCGCTCTGTCACCAGGCTGGAGTGCAGTGGCGCGATCTCAGCTCATTACAACCTCCACCTCCCAGGTTCAAGCGATTCTTCTGCCTCAGCCTCCTGAGTAGCTGGGATTATAGGCGCCTGCCACCACGCCCAGCTAATTTTTTCTGTTTTTAGTAGAGAGGGATTTCACCATGTTGGCCAGGCTGGTCTTGAACTCCTGCCCTTGTGATTTGCCTGCCTTGGCCTCTCAAAGTGTTGGGATTACAGGCGTGAGCCAATGTGCTCGGCCCTGATTTTTCTTTTATATGCTTGGTGGCCATTTCTATTTTCTTTGATACAGATGTGTGTTCTTTTCTTTCTTTTTTTTTTTTTTGAAATGGAATCTCGCCCAAGCTTGAGGGCAATGGTGCGATCTCAGCTCACTGCAACCTCTGCCTCCTGAGTTCAAGCAATCCTTCCACCTTGGCCTCCCAAGTAGATGGAATTACAGGCACCTGCCACCATGCCCGGCTAATTTTTGTATATATATATATTTTTTTGAGACAGAGTTTTGCTCTTGTTGCCCAGGATGGAGTGCAATGGCGTGATTTCGGCTCACCGCAGCCTCTGCATCCCTGGATTCAAGAGATTCTCCTGCCTCAGCCTCCTGAGTAGCTGGGATTACAGGCATGTGCCACCACGCCCAGCTAATTTTGTATTTTTAGTAGAGACAGGGTTTCTCCATGTTGGTCAGGCTGGTCTTGAACTCCTGACCTCAGGTGATCCACCCGCCTCAGCCTCCCAAAGTGCTGGGATTACAGGAGTGAGCCACTGTGCTTGGCCTAATTTTTGTATTTTTAGTAGAAACGGGGTTTCACCACTGAGGCTGGTCTCGAACTCCTGACCTCAAGTGATCAACCCACCTTGACCTCCTAAGTGCTGGGATTCAGGTGTAAGCCACTGCGTTTGGCCTCTTTCTTCTTTCACCTATTGGTGAGTAAGTGAATTTTTTCTAAGAACTCTTTGTATATTAATGATATCAACACAGACATAAATATTATTGTCAGTTTTTCAGCTGTCTTTTTTTCATCTACCATTTAATGTAAGGTGTTTTGATGGGTAGAAGTTAATTTTTTTGTTTGTTTGTTTGTTTTGAGATAGGGTCTCACTCTCTCACCCAGACCAGAGTTCAGTGGCACCATCATGGCTCACTGCAGGCTTGATTTCTCGAACTCAAGTGATCCTTCTGCCTCAGCCTCCCAAATAGCTGGGACCACATGTGTGTGCCACCATGCCCAGCTAATTATTTATTTTTTATTTTGTAGAGACAGGGTCTCACTATATTGCCCAGAATGGTCACAAACTCCTCTGCTCAAGCGATCTACCTGTCTCAGCCTCCCAAAGGGCTGGGATTATAGGCATGAGCCACCACACCCCATCTAATTTCTATATAGACCAAAACAGTAAAATTGTCCTCTGTGACATCTTTCCTTGACTTACAGTTAGTCCTCTGCCATTCTTTTTTTTTTTTTTTTTGAGACGGAGTCTCGCTCTGTAGCCCAGGCTGGAGTGCAGTGGCGCGATCTCGGCTCACTGCAACCTCTGCCACCCAGGTTCATGCCGTTCTCCTGCCTCAGCCTCCCAAGCAGCTGGGACTACAGGCGCCCGCCACCACGCCCAGCTAATTTTTTGTATCTTTAGTAGAGACGGGGTTTCCCTGTGTTAGCTAGGATGGTGTCGATCTCCTGACCTCATGATCCACCCGCCTTGGCCTCCCAAAGTCCTGGGATTACAGGCGTGAGCCACCACGCCGACCAGTCCTCTGCCATTCTAACGTAAAACATTCACCTATATTTTCTTTGTTTTCCTGTTTAAAACATTTTATGTTATTATTTTATCTGGTACTTGTTTTGATTCATGATATAAGAGCCTAAATGAAATTTATTTCTCAAACAGCTAACCAATGTGCTTTTATCATATATTATATTTTATCATATATTACATTCTCACATGGATGAATGTCTGTTTCAAAGCAATCTGTTCTGTTCCACTGATTCTTGGGCCTACTCCACAGTTTTAGATAACGTGGAAATGTTTTAATAGGTGAGAT
Source organism: Homo sapiens (assembly GCF_000001405.40). Classification (NCBI taxonomy): domain Eukaryota; kingdom Metazoa; phylum Chordata; class Mammalia; order Primates; family Hominidae; genus Homo; species Homo sapiens. The sequence goes on from NC_000002.12 coordinate 36,998,159, forward strand.
GACAAATCCTTCTTTACTATTCTTTGTTTTCAGTTATTTTATATTTTCTTTACAAAAGAAATAAACCTTGAAATAAAAAGTCAATCAGAAGAAAAACACAAAAATGTAAGCATTTCACCAAAAATTAAACATAGACATGAAAAATGTTAATGCTTACTAAGAAAATGAGTAATGCAAATTAAAACCGTAAGACAGTATATTTTACCAAACACAGCAAAATTAAAAAGTCTAACAATATCAAATACTGGTGAGAATGTGGGAAAATACAGATTATCATGCTCTGCTGGTGAGAGCGTAAATTCATGTAGCTATGTTGGAGGTCAATCTGGCAATGTCTGATGACATTGAAATGTACCATCGATTCTACTTCTAGGTGTACATCCTAGAAAATCTCTCACAGCACACGTGCATGAGAAATTTGTAAGGATGTTAATTGCAGCAATCTTTTTAACTGGGATAAATTAGAAACAACAAAAATATCATTGACAGGGAAATGAATAATAATTGATAAAAACATATGACAGAAACTATATGGGAGTTAAATGAGAGTTTTATATATTCACATTAACAGATGTAAAAAAAGTTATTGTTGAGTCACAGAATGAGATGACATTATTTATGTAAATTTTAAAACAGAAATATATATTGCTCATAGTTATCTTACTCTCTATATAACACATATATAAATATATATTTAATATAACTGACACATACTCATATAGAAAACATACTTATTTATATAGATAGATATTTCTAAGAAAAAACATAATATCAGGCCGAGTGTGGTGGCTCACACCCGTAATCCCAGCACTTTGGGAGGCCGAGGCAGGAGGATCACGAGGTCAGGAGTTCAAGACCAGGCTGGCCAACATGGTGAAACCCCGTCTCTACTAAAAATACAAAAATTAGCTGGGCGTGGTGGTGCGTGCCTGTAATCCCAGCTACTCAGGAGGCTGAGGCAGGAGAATTGCTTGAACTGGGACCTGGGAGGCGGAGGCTGTGGTGAGCCAAGATTGCGCCACTGCACTCCAGCCTTGGCAACAGAGCGAGACGCCATCTCAAAAAACAAAAAAACAAAAACACCCGAAAAAACATAATATCAACATGTAGTTCCATGTGGGGGTACAATGGAGTAGTGACAGGTACTTCAATTTTCTCTCCTGTTTTATTATTTTTATTGTAAAACAACAACTTGAAGAAAACATAAATATATTAACACATGTAAATTCTGGAGAGAGGCCGGGCACAGTGGCTCATGCCTGTAATCTCAGCAACCTGTGAGGCTGAGGCAGGCAGATCACTTGAGGTCAGGAGTTTGAGATCAGCCTGGCCAACATGGTGAAACCCCGTCTCTACCAAAAAATACACACGTTAGCCAGGCACGGTTGCGCACACCTGTAGTCCCAGCTACTTGGGAGGCTGAGGCATGAGAATCACTTGAATCTGGGAGGCAAAGGTTGCAGTGAGCTGAGATCGTGCCAGTGAACTCCAGACTGGGCAACACAGTGAGACCCTGTCTCAAAAAAAAAAAATTCTGGAGAGAGATATACATGTATATATTTAAAACCTCCCGGCCGGGTGCGGTAGCTCACGTCTGTAATGCTAGCAACTTTGGGAGGCCAAGGCAGGCAGATCATGAGATCAGGAGTTTGAGACCAGCCTGACCAACACGGTGAAACCACGTCTTTATTAAAAACGCAAAAATTAACCGGGTGTGTTGGCAGGCATCTGTAATCCCAGCTACTCAGGAGGCTGAGGCAGAAGAATCACTTGAACCCGGGAGGCGGAGGTTGCAGTGGGCTGAGATCACGCCACTGCACTACAGTCTGGGTGACGGAGCGAGACTTTGTCTCAAAAAAACAAAACAAACAAACAAAAACCCCAAAAAACAAAAAACCTCCCAGTATATTTATATATATATTTTTTTTGAGACAGAGTTTCAAAAAACTCTGTTTTTTGCCGAGCCTGGAGTGCAGTGGTGTGATCTTGGCTCACCGCAACCTCCACCTCCCGGGTTCAAGCAATTCTCCTGCCTCAGCCTCCCAAGTAGCTGGGATTACAGGCACGTGCCACCATACCCGGCTAATTCTGTATTTTTAGTAGAGATGGGGTTTCACCGTGTTAATCAGGCTGGTCTCAAACTCCTGACCTCAGGTATCTGCCCACCTTGGCCTCCCAAAATGCTGGGATTACAGACGTGGGCCACCACGCCTGGCCCCAACATGTTTATAACTATTAACACAAGGGCATTTAGAGTCAACAATCCAGAAAAGAGTATTAAAGTTCACATCTGAAAGATATGACTAACATACCTCTCTGAGATGATTCATTGTTATACAGCAGTTTTCTGATAAGCTTATTCAACTAATTCATTACTTAGGGAACACATATCCTAACTAACTAAAACGTTTAAAACTGATAGGTTACCTGGTTGAGAATATTCCAGGATGCAAGCAAGCGTGCTACGAATCAGAGCTGTCCACTGTTTTTGAACGCCAGCCTCAGTTTTGGCCATTGAAAGTGTCACAATACTTTTAATCCCTTGAAGAGCTGCACTGACTGGTGGAGGAACCTGATTATCTGCAGACTTTATTGCTGTGTCTTTCAATATTCTTGCAATTAAGAACAGAATTGTGGGCAGGATTGTCATACATCCTGAAAGAAAAACAAATCAGATCACCTCATAACTATTCAGTTCCCATATTATAGTTGTTTTCATTGCTTGTATTTTTTGCATTTGATTGTGGTTTAATATTGTTTTTTTCCTTGTCTTTATACAAAATTTACTGTATTACTACTACTATAATTCAATGTTTGAAAAAGAAAATAAGAAAGTGTCATATTATTTCAAAGACAGAATTGGTATTTTCTTTCTTTTTCCAGCTAGCCTTATTTTTATTACTTCTAATACTTCACCTATTTAATATTTCATGCCCTGTGTAATGAAAACGAAAAAGGAAGACAGAAAAACAGGAAAAAACCACACCAGATACTGTGGGAAGCATCTGAGTAACTTCATGAGTTTTATAGCACTTGTAAAACATGTAATCAATCCTCAGTCTACTAAAGTCAACCTAATCAGACCAGGAAAGTAAAAGGACTACTGGGGCAAGGAAAGAAGAAATGAAATAATCCTAGAATTTGTAACTGAAAATTCTAGGTCATGAAAATTCAACCTCCCACAAAAGGAAAAAATACCTTCACCACTCTGACCTGCAGCCATTGTAGCCTCTGCTTGCAAAACTCCAAATATGGAGAATTCATTATTTTCACATATGTAGGGTAACTCTAAGAGGTAGAAAGGTCTTCCGTGAGTTGAGCTGAAATTTATCTCTTTATCTGATACCATTTTTACCTTCCAGATCAGGAATGTCTAATCTTTTGGCTTCCCTGAGCCTCACTGGAAGAGGAATTGTCTTGAGCCACACATAAAATACACTAACATTAACAACAGCTGATGAGCTTAAAAAAAAAAAGTCTCCTCTGACATTCTTCAGAGTTTTTCTTTTTCTTTCTTTTTTTTTTTTGAGAGTCTTGCTCTGTCGCTGAGGCTGCAGTGCAATGGCGTGATCTCGGCTCACTGCAGCCTCTGCCTCCCGGGTTCAAGTGATTCTCCTGCCTCAGCTTCCTGAGTAGCTGGGATTACAGGGCATACGCCACCAGGCCCAGCTAATATTTTTGCATTTTTAGTAGAGATGGCATTTCACCATGTTGGTCAGGCTGGTCAGGAACTCCTGAGCTCAGGTGATCCACCTGCCTCAGCCTCCCAAAGTGCTGGGATTATAGGCATGAGCCACCGCACCTGGCCTTGAGTTTTTCAGTGTCACTCAAGAGTGGCAACCAGACTGGAAAACAGAGTTTAGTTATTCCACTTTATGTCTATCTGCTGACACTGTCTTTCCTCAACCTGTAGTTCCATGTCTTATTTGAAACACATCTGAAAAGAGCACCTTAGGTTTGTGACTTTTTGAATCTTTAATCTTCATAGGCTCCTAAAGGTAGACAAAACCTTAAAAAAAGACCAGCTTCTTATTTTTCACTTGAGATTTAAGAGGAAACTGGGTTATAACAGTGCTTAAAATCAAAGGCAAGCTCATCTTTGTCTACTGTAATATAATGCATTTCCAAATACTGATCAATACCGTACCAGCGGGTGAACAAAGGGATGGTAAATCAGAGAGTATGGTAACTGTGGCTGCCACCAAACGAGCACTTTCTTCTGATAGTCGAGTTTTAGTGGCTATGTGACTTGGAGAGTCTGACACCTTGGTACTGAGATGTGGCATATGCCGTACTAAAATGAACATCAGCAGCTCCATAGTTGCAAACACAAGAGATTTTCCAGGAATGAGACCACCGCTGTCACCTCCTTCTCCCAATACGGTACAGGCCTCTTTTTCCATATCATCTTCATCTGAGGTAAAAGATAATTTGGTGAAATTTCCAGCCAAAAAAAAGTATGTAAAACAACACAAGTATATTTAGGAAATTCCTTCAAAAGAATTTATAAGCAAATGTCAAATAATGTCACACGTCCTTCTCTGTATAATTCTCTGCCTCCCTAGAATTCTGTGCATTGATCTGTCCTTAAAGGTAACAGACAGTTCATTTTTCACTTGGAAAATCTTTATCAGGTATTTTTATTGGGTATATATTTTGTAATAGGAATAACACATGTTAGGTTGAACCAGATGAAATTGACAAAAGGTGAAAAATAGTCGACTCTCAGCAATTTCATTTGGTCCTTTCTAATGAAAATAAAATCAATTTCAAATCTTCTAAATGTATGATTAATTCTTTTTTTAATTAATAACTTCTGGCCAGGTGCCGTGGCTCAAACGTGTAATCTCAGCACTTTGGGATGCTGAGATGGACGGATCACTTGGGCTCAGGAGTTCGAGACCAGCCTAACATGGCAAAACCCTGTCTCCACTAAAAATACAAAAATTAGCTGGGCATTGTGGAGTGTGTCTGTAAACCCAGGTACTCTGGAGGCTGAGGTGGGAAGATCACCTGATCCTGGGAGTTTGAGGCTGCAGTAAGCCGAGATTGCACCACTGCACTCCAGCCTGGGCTCTTGAGAGTAAGACTGTCCCGCCCGCAAAAAAAAAAAAAAAAAAAAAAAAAAAATTAGCTGGGCTTGGTGGAGTGTGCCTATAGTCTCAGCTACTCAGAAGGCTAAGGCAGGAGGATCCTAAGCCCAGGAGTTACAGACTACACTGAACTATAATCACATCATTGCGCTCCAGCTTGGGTGACCGAATGAGACCCTGCCTCTAAAAAATAAAATAAGAACTATAGAAATATGTCCTGGCGTTAATATTTTAAAAATTAGAGTATAAAATAAGATTTACTTCAAGTTAGTGTAATTTCTAGTGCTTACTTAGAGTGTTTCTTTTCTCTTGCAAATAATCCTGAGCAGCTCTTACTATCTGTTGTACAACTCCAGTAACCAACAGCTGGACAGATGATGGATTCCAGGTCAATAGAAGGCGGTGCAAAACACTCAGCAACTCAACACCTATCAGCTAATACAAATAAATACAAATACAGTTAAGTAATTTCAATCTCAAAGAATAACTTTATATTGTTAAAATCTGAGAAAATACCTATGTAAAAAAAGAAATCAGGTAGCTAAAATTAAAATATAGGACTACGTAACAAATAAGAACATTGTAAAAATCTTGAGAAATGGTCACATTTTACTCCTATGTATTTTCAAGCAACAAATGATTTATTATTTACATATTTAAATGTGCTTTATATTCAGAGATGATCATTCTCCTATTGGAAGGAAATAATTGAGCTAAATAGTATTGTAGAGTCCAGTGCTGCTAAAATTTATAATTTCTAACCTGAGCTGAATATCCAAGAATTTCTACAACCTCTGCCTACCACAGATTGTAGAAATCTCTGGTGAGTTCCTCTTCTATTCACTTCAGCAACTACTACAAACTTTTGCCACCCACTTTAAGCTTCTTACTCACAATCTTCCATACCAAATCCATCCAATGAACCTAAATGAAATTTCAAAGAGGGGGAAAAGACTTAACTGCAACCAAAGCCACCTTTACCTCTTTCCTTAAGATCATGTGTTCAGCCTCTTATGTGAGGCTTAATCTGAGGTTAATCTTTCCTTATGTGCTCCTATCCTAACCTATTTGACTTCCTAGGGATTCTTCAAGGACTCTGATCATATCTCGTATGTTTTCAACTTCTCTCTCTAGTTAGGCTACTCTTGTCAGTATAATGACAATGCTCAAGTCTTTCTTATCACATGTCCCCCCTGCACTATTCCCAAAGCCTCCAGATCCTTTTATCTACCCTATGTCCTCCTCTATGTATCTGGCTCCTTCCTTTCCCAGCCTAGATGCTTCCACTTCCTTTACTCTCTTATTCACTCCTCAATCTTCTACTATCTGGCTACTGGTCACCTCAAACAATCCTCTGCGGGAGGTCACCAATAGCCTCCTCTAGACTCATTTCTGTGCTTATTTACTCGATTCTTTCTTTTGAGACTCTGTCTACCCTTCTTGAAACTCCTCCCTTGTCTTTGATAACTCTGTTCTCTTTTGGTTCTCCTGAAACTTCTCTAGCAGTTTCCACTGTTGATTTATTTCCTTCTTCTCAATTTTTAAATGCTATTTATCCTCAAGCTTCCAATCTTGGTCCTCTTTCTTCTTCCTTTATTCAGCCTTCCTAGGCTAGTGTTATCATTTCTCTGGAATTATGAAAAAAGCCTCAGAACTGGCCTCCCTGTCTCCCTTCCCATCTCTTACAAACCAACCTACCTCTACGGGCTGACAGAATGATCCTTCTGAAATATAAAGTTAGTTACATCATTCCTCTACTTAAACATTTTTAATGATTCCCTATCACTTTCAGGATAGGGTTCAAACTCTTTTACATGTCATCAAGAAACCTTCATGATTTGGTCTTCACCTTGTTGTCCAGCCTCATCTAACAACCTCATGTTCCATTCATATCGGCCATAGTAAATGGCTATGCCCTTGAACTTGCCGTGTTCTCTCATGCCTCCTAGTGTTCGTATTTGCTATTCTTTCTGAGAGGAAAACCCGTCCCGCATGTGTTGCCTCACTAATTCCTCTTGAAGATTTGATTCAACCATTGCCCACTCTGAGAAACCATCCTTTGCTTTCCTATCACAACATCGGGCTCCTCCTCTCTATTCTAATTGCAGCTTTACATGCACTAAAATAGCACTTACCACACTGTACCTATCTCCTAATTCAGGCACAGTGAAACTGCTTTCACTATCTATAACCTCAAACCACGTTTGAGGCAGACCAGGCACAGAGTAAAAGTAACTGGGTGAATAAATACAGGGAGTCAGTGTATTCATATCATGTTAAAATAGGATCCAATACAGAAAAAAAATCCATCCTTTTTTCCATTGTAAAGCAATACTCAAAAAAAAACCACACAAGTATCTATCATAGCAATACACTGTACCTGATCTTCTGCAATATGGACTCGAGCATAAGGGGAGTCTAGCAAGGTATGTAAGGCCTGCAGGCATGCTGTAACATGTTCAATGGGCTCCTCAGGTCTAGGGGAACAAAGAAACTGTATACTCACACCTGAAATGCACAAAATAAAAACATGTTTTTTCACTTATAAAACACTTTATGTTGTTTGATCCCATATTTCTTCTCTATTTATGTTTTTACAGATTACCTTAACATGTATTTATTAATACCTTAAAGTAGACTTCAAAATGGTTTCCAAGTTAAACAGCCAAACTCAACATAAGGTTGTAGTTTTGCAATTAGGTTAATATTCAAATTAGCTATGTGTGAAAGAAGGAATTCCCATGCCATCAGGTTGATTATGAAGATATTAAGTTTTTATTTCTAGGACTTTTAAAATAATACATTAAGAAAATAAATTTACAAACATTATAAAATTGTTTTTCATTAAATGGTAGCCAAATAATTTTTCATGCATACAAAGTTTTTAAATGGCAAGTTATAGAGGCACAATGGGTATCATAGTAAACAACTGCTTTTAATTTACATAGGGGTAAAGTCATTGTTTTGGAAGTTTTTCACATTTTCACTTACCAGATCTACTGATGAATCCGATAATTACACCTTATTGTGTTCCTTTTCACTCCCAGAAAACATAAGATCACTAAAAGCTTCATTACCATGTATAAATTCTTAAATGTTAAAAAAGCATCTATAGCTGGGTGCAGTGGCTCATACCTGTAATCTCAGCACCCAGCCGAGGTGGGTGGATCACCTGAGGTCAGGAGTTCGAGACCAGCCTGACCAACATGGAGAAACCCCACCTCTACTAAAAATACAAAATTACCCGGGCGTGGTGGCGCATGCCCATAATCCCAGCTACTTGGGAGGCTGAGGCAGGAGAATCGCTTGAACCCAGGAGGCGGAGGTTGCGGTGAACCGAGATTGCGCCACTGCACTCCAGCCTGGGCAACAAGAGTGAAACTCTGTCTCAAACAAAAAACAAAAAAACAAGAAACAAAAAAGCATTTATAAAGCAATTTTACATTAGGATTCACTGAAATCTTCTTAAACATTTTTTTCTTAATGGGATAATTGGTTAAGTGCCAAGTAAAAAGAAAACCTGTTGTTGAATAAAAAACATATTACGTTTTTTTACTGAAAATTGTTCGATATTGCTGTGTGAATGAGCATGACAGTTAAGTAGTTTCAGTAGTTTTTAATAATTTAATTTCTAGGTTAAAAATTCAATTAACAATTTATAAGGTGAGGTGAAAAATCCTTTCACTTTTCCTTCTCTGAACTGTGCTATACTGTACAAAATCTTTCCATAGCTTTAAAATGAAAGATATGAATTTTCAGAAGTGATAATCTTGAAATATATTAATATGACAGACCTACCTAAAATCAGATGCATTCTGTCTTTGTTAATTTCTGGCAAAGATTTAGCACTACCCACTGCTCCTGATGCCTGGTTTAAATTGACAGATGTAGAACGTTTTTGTAAACCAGATATTGCTGCTGCTTCTGTAGACTCTGAGCACGTAAATCCTGTGCTATTTAACCAAAGTGCCACCGCATGGAGAATTGGGGCCCAGGAATTCCGATAGTGAAGTCTAGCTGTATCAATAGTTTCAGGGGTATAAAATGCTCCACCTGTAAAGCAATCAAATCAATTAAAAACATTACTTTTTTTTTTTTTTTTTTTTTTTTGAGACCAAGTCTCGTTCTGTCGCCCAGGCTGGAGTGCAATGGTGCGATCTTGGCTCACTGCAACCTCCTCCTGCTGGGTTCAAGCAATTCTCCTGCCTCAGCCTCCTCAGAAGCTGGGACTACAGACATGCGCCGCAATGCCCAGCTAATTTTTTGTATTTTTAGTAGAAATGGGGTTTCACCATGCTGGCCAGGCTGGTCTCAAACTCTCAATCCACCCGCCTCAGCCTCCCAAAGTGCTGGGATTACAGGCATGTGCCACTGCACCCGGCCAAAATATTACTATTATACATGTTCGCTCATTTATGAACCACTAACAAAAATACCTGTTACATACAAAAGAGAAATCTAGCCAAAGGGCTTCTCCTCTTTATAAAGCCACCAAAAGTAACCCCTTTTCTGTAGCTGATGAACTGGAATACCTGTCTCTTCCTCACTGATGCTAGTTTTCCAGCCTTTCCTCTGCTACTGCTGATGTCACTAAGTATTCTTACCTTTTCTTACCCTGTTGTCACAGAATTTACCTCTTCATTGTTGCCAGTGGCTCCTAAAACCCTATCATCTTCTCTTTCTATCACAACCAGGGAACTCTGTTTCTTCCCTCTGTTTCTTTCTTCTTCTGCTATTCCTCTCCACCTCCTGTTGTTTCCTCTACTAACACTGAGGACTTCCTCATCACTCCTTGCTGTTATGATGGATTAAGGAAGGAAAAAAGGGGGCGGGGGAACTCCATTATTCTTATCATTAATATATAGGAAGGAGAATGGGTTCTTCAAGTAGGAACTAATAACACACTTTCTAAACAGAAAAAAATGTTGACGATTTCTACACTGATTTTGATAAGAAAACTAAAGTACAATTTGCAAAGCACTTTAGGAACATAATTTATTGGCACACTAGGAATCTGAAATAGAATATGAAAATACAAACATTGAACAGTACAGCAATATACATCTATGGTTATGCATAATGACTTGTTACCCATAGCTATTTAGAATACCCTAGCTCATACAGCTATTATTGTAACAGTGCTTGCTAATATGTTTGCTTCAGCCAACAAAAAAGCTCTATATCTTCTATCTACAAATTCAATATAGAGTACATATTCTAACTGAGACAACATCAAACTTAAGCCACAGAAATTTAAACTGTTACTATAGCAACTGTTGTTGCTAGTCTATACCGTCTCTATTTTGTTTAACTACTACTTTGAACTCCATAAAAGTAAAACTCAGAATGTAATACTCACCATCTGGAGGAAGCTGACTAGAAAATTCGGCTGGTAAAGTCAAGAGTGCATAATCTTTTAATGCTGCTAACCACAGGCGACTGAGTGTTGGTAGTTCAGGTTGTACCAGTGTTATTAAACTATCTGGTGGCAGTTCATCGATGGTACCACAGTCGTCATCATCATCGTCAGTATTTTTAATTGCTCTTTTTGGTTTTGACTCTGCTTCCTTTTTAATATTCATAGCGACCACATATACCTAATATGATATTTATGAGGACAAAATAGTAAGGCATAAGATAAAAAAATAAGATATTTTACGTTATTATAAAAATACAGTTAAATCATCAAAGATAACTGGGTATAGATATTAGAAAGTATACACTTTGGCTGGGTGCGGTGGCTCACACCTGTAATCCCAGGACTTTGGGAGGCCAAGGCGGGTAGATCATGAGGTCAAGAGATTGAGACCATCCTGGCCAACATAGTGAAACCCTGTCTCTACGAAAAATACAAAAATTAGCCGGGCATGGTGGCAGGCACCTGTAGTCCTAGCTACTCCAGAGGCTGAGGCAGGGGAATCGCTTGAACCAGGGAGGCGGAGGTTGCAGTGAGCCGAGATCGCGCTGCTGCACTCCAGCCTGGTGACAAAGTGAGACTCTGTCTCAAAAAAAAAAAAAAAAAAAAAAAAGAAGAAAGTATATACTTTGATCAGGTGCAGTGGCTCATGCCTGTAATCCCAGCACTTTGAGAAGCTGGGAATCACTTGAAGCCAGGAGGTCAAGACCAGCCTGGGTAATATAGCAAGACCCTATCTCTACAAAAAATAACAAAAATGCTAGCCAGGCATGGTGGCACATGCCTGTAGCCCCAGCTACTTGGGAGGCTAAGGCAGAAGGATCGCTTAAGCCCAGGAGTTCAAGGTTCCAGTGAGCTATGATCGTGCCACTGCATTCCAGCCTGGGCACCAGATTTGAGATCCTGTCTCAAAAAAAGAAAAAAAAAAGTATATACAACTCCATGATTTCCTGATAAACACAAAAGAATAATTCCATTTGCCTTGGAGACATTTTTCTAAAAAAACTGATCTGACTTCTGACTATTCCTCTGATGGCATGTTCCTTGAGTAGCCTTCTCAGAGTTTTTTCTGGCTTCCCTCATTCTACTTTACAAAGCACCCCCCGCCTCCACTTTTTTTTTTTTTTTTTTGCCACAGGGTATAACTCTGTTTCTGCCTCCACCTTCCTAGACTTATTAGACAACCAGGCATTCAAAGTAAGCAGCTGAGAGGCAAAAAGAGACATCAGAAAGGATTTCCATAAATATCCTTCTAAACTCCTTCTTACACAGACCTTAAATGATATTTTGCAATCTAGCATTTACAACAGATAGCCTGGCTAATATAATCTGCTAGTCACATACATTACCTGTATCCTTTCTCTCTAGTTTGTGAGCCAAAAAGACATAAAAGCAACTTTCCTAAAATATAATTTCAAAGATTCTTCTTTATTGAATCATATTTATTTTCCTTTGTTTTGTAATACATTTAGGCTTTGGCTACTGGCACATACAAAGCTGAATAACGTATTAATGAGAAAACAAAAAAAGAAAGGAATGACAGCAAGCAAGAAAAGAATTGCTCTAGATAAAAATCTCGAGAAAACTGTCTTCCCTCCACAGTGTTACATCCATTGTACCTAACGAGAAAGCCTAAGTATGGTATCTGTATAGGTACACTGCAAGCTTCTTGATGAGAAGCACTGTGTCTTACCCCTATTCCCACACCAAGCAGACTTACAGCACAGAGAAAATATACAGCAATTGACTAAATTCTAAAATAGGGACTTTGGATCTCAAGTTATGAATATATTACTGTCATATCTTCTAGTGAGTACATGCTTGTTTCCCCCCTAAATTTGTTATTACACTGTTTTTTTTTTTGAGATGGGAGTCTCGATCTGTAACCCAGGCTGGAGTGCAGTGGTGCGATCACAGCTCACTGCAATCTCCACCTCCCGGGTTCAAGTGATTCTCCTGTCTCAGGGTCCAGGGTAGCTGGGATTACAGGCACACACCAGCAAGCCTGACTAATTTTTGTATTTTTAGTAGAGACAGGGTTTCTCCACGTTGGCCAGGCTGGTCTCAAACTCCTGACCGCAGGTGATCCATCCTTCTCAGCCTCCCCAAGTGCCCAGCCACTAACATTTTTAAGAAAATGTCACAATAAGCACTCTTAAGTATATCCAGCCATTCATTCATCAAATCCTTACTAGGTAGGCACCTTTTGCCTTGAATTTGTTATTGTTCTAGGACTGGAAGCAAAAAAAAAAAACAAATAATACATAGTTTTTGCTTTCCATGAATTCACAGGCTAATATTACAATGAGAGGGAAGTAAAAAGGTGCTTAAGAGAAGAAACTTTTAAAGATTTGGCTTTAATTATTTATCTTCTACAAAGATAATCTTTTTAATGCTTTATCTTCTAGTACACTCTACCCAGTGCACAGACAGTGTCTGGTACCTAATGAACACTCGGCAGTTTATGCAATGAGTGAATGAATCTCAGGGAACATCACAGATAAACGAATCTTAGCCTTGGGAGTGTGAGAAAGGTGAGACCGTTTTTAAGGACAAAAGTTGACTTGCTCATAGGCAGAGATGGAAAGGGAGCTTACAGGCAGAGGGAACAGCCAGAGCAAGAGCACAAAAACAGGAAACTGCATGGTAATCTAAGTATGCAAATTTCTCATATAGACGGAGCACAGGTTATAAGCTGGAAGTAGCTGAAGTTTTTACTCTGCAGGCAATGGGGAAGCAAGGGTGTCACTGTAAGACTTTACGGTCTATGTATGCATTTTTCCTCGACTTATAATTTTATTTTAATAATTATGCTATAAAAAGTTGGAAAAATAAGAGTTAAAAATGACTCATAACCTCAATTTCTGGGTTTTCATATTCTATCTTTGTAAGTTATAATTTTGATGTACAGAGATTCTGTATTTAGTTTTACTGATAAACATGTCATAGGGTTTTCCCATGTGAATACCAGTTTTCATAACCATTATTTTAATGACTTACAGTGGATGACCCACAATGTATCTACCAGTTTTCCTACAGTTGAAATTTTATATTTACTTCTAATTCTTTACTTAGCATTGGGAATCCTAGAAAGATGAAATACAGCTTTCGAAGACAAAAGATATTCATTTCTTCACATTATAAATAGTGTTGCAAGTAAACATTTTTGTAAACTTACCTCTTTTCCATATTTTGGATATTTTTCACTAGACTACAGGCCCAGAAATGGAATCACTGGGTCAGTGTTTACAAATATTTTTATGACTCTGAATAGACACTGCCAAATGCTTTCTAAAAAGGTTCTATATTTTATATTGCTACCTGCAATATATGAGAATATATCTTTCAGACCTATTTTAAAATAAATTTTTAGGCTTATTTTTCTTATAGATATTACACAAAAAAGGACAATCAGAAGCATAAGCAAAATGAAGAAAATTAAAACTACACATAATGCTACTACTCAGATACAATGCTGTTACCAGTCTAAACAGTTATATAAACACGCTCAGTTTTTTACCTAATGTGTGCGTGCGTGTGTGTATAATTTCTACCCCAATTTTCTAGTCACTTAATATCATCATCTTTCAAGATCAAGAAATACATTTAGGTTATTTCCACTTTTTTGTGAATAATAACACCATAACAAATACCCTTGTAGCAGAACCTTTGTGCATATCCTTAAATATTCCTGAAAATAATGTGTGCAGTTTTTTAATTAATTAAATTTTTTTTTTTTGAGACAAGAGTCTCGCTCTTGTTGCCCAGGCTGCAGTGCAATGGCGTGATCTTGGCTCACTGCAATCTCTGCCTCCCGGGTTCAAGTGATTCTCCTGCCTCAGCCTCCCAAGTAGCTGGGATTACAGGCATGCACCACCATGCCAGGGTAATTTTGTATTTTTAGCAGAGACAGTGTTTCACCATATTGGCCAGGCTGGTCTCGAACTCCTGACCTCAGGTGATCCGCCTGCCTCGGCCTCCCAAAGTGCTGGGATTACAGGTGTGAGCCACCACGCCTGGCCTAGGGCGCAGTTTTAGAGGATGTACAGAGGAAGGTGCTGAAGACACAAAGAAGAAGAGTAGACAGCACTGAGCTTCACACAGTCTCCTCCTCACTCTCATGCCTAACTGATACCTCCTCCTATCCTCCATGTTTCAATGTAAACATCACTTTCTCCAAAAAGGCTACTTCTGAGCCTCCAGCCTATTGTAACTGCCTCTGCTATGTGTTCCAAAACACTTTGTAACTTTGTATTTCTCCTGTGATAATGCTCCTTACCCTTTGGTACATCTACTTGTTTACCAGTTTGTCTTGCTCAGCAAACGTAATATATCTCACCCCCGTATTCTCAACTGCTAACCTGACAGAGCTGAAGCTAAACAACACTTTGTTGAATGAATCAGAGGGTGGGAAGTAAGGGAATGAGAAAAGTTTAGTCTTAGATTAGCGGAAAAGCTTAAAATAATTATAACTCCAATAGTCTTCCCTTAAACGTGGTTTCACTTTCTATGGTTTCAGTTACCTGTTGCTGAATACCACGAAAATAGGGAAGTGAGATACTGAGCTGGTAGAGGAAGGAATTAGTTACTTCAATACTGGAGGGCAGATGATAAGAATTCAATAGTAACTGGCAGAAGGAATTTAGAAAAATGAATTTAAAACAATGTAATTATATATTTTTTAAAGTGACTGTGAGAATGAAAAAGGTAAAACTAGCTATTAAAAAACAAAACAAGCTGGGCACTGTGGTGCGTGCCTGCAGTCCCAGCTACGCGGATGGCTGCGGCAGGAGGACTGTTTGGGCCCAGAAGTTCAAGTCCAGGCTGGGCAACAAAGCAAGACCCTACCTTTAAAAAAAAGAAACAAAACCCCTATGGCCTCAATATCAAGGTGGCAAGTCACCTGAAATTTAATCAAATAAAAGATTTTTGGCATAAAATATTTTCTGTTATATTTTTGAGTTTTTCCTACCTAATTTCCTCATATTATGTAGGAGAGCCCTTCCTCAATATAGAGGTTTTCAGTACACTGATTAACAAATTTTCAAAAAGTATTCCATATCAAGGGTTAGTTTTTAAAAAACAAAAATTTTTTTACCAACAAGAGTAGAGGAACATTTTCTCATGGATGAAGAAATGGGTCAAAAACAATAGATTGTGGTTTAGTCGTTACCTCTGCCCAAGCTTTGAGAACAGCCAGTTTTTCCATGGTCGTGGCACTCTCTCGGTACAGCTGGCTGGAAGATCCTTTTCCAGCCTGAACTTTGTCCAGAGAAGAAACAAGAAGATTGTGTACTCGACGGAGATCATTGAGATCACTGACAACTCCACTTCCTATCCATGTACTACATACCTAGACAAAGAGAATTCAAAAACTTTTGTGTAAAAAAAATTAATGCTGTATAAGAAAATGGAATAAATGACTTTTTTCCTAGAAGATAAAACACAAAACCAAAGAACAAAACAAAATAAACTACCCAATGCTATGCTTTGATATTATTATTATTATTTTGAGACAGAGTTTTGCTCTGTCACCCAGGCTGCAGCGGAGTGGCGTGATCTCGGCTCACTGCAAGCTCCACCTCCTGGGTTCAAAAAATTCTCCTGCCTCAGCCTCCCAAGTAGCTGGGACTACAGGCGCGTGCCACCACACTTGGCTAATTTTTTTGTATTTTTAGTAGAGACGGGGTTTCACTGTGTTAGCCAGGATGGTCTCGATCTCCTGACCTCGTGATCTGCCTGCCTCAGCCTCCCAAAGTGCTGGTATTACAGGTGTGAGCCACCGTGCCCAGCCAGTATTATTTTTTATATCAATGGTAAGCATAGATTTTATTGTACTCCTACGTAGAAAACAAAATAGTATTTACTTAACATGTTTCCACCGTGTACTTTAACAAAAATGTTAACAGAAATAATTTTCCACCCAAAGCAGTTCAGTCTTGAATAATTCTTCAACAAAATTTCTGCTTACCACAGGAAAAGGGTTATGCTTGCTGCTATAAAGGGGACTTTAAAAAAAAAAAAAAAGAGGCTGGGCGCAGTGGCTTACACCTGTAATCCTAGCACTTTGGGAGGCCAAGGCAGGCGGATCACGAGGTCAGGAGATTGAGACCATCCTGACCAACATGGTGAAACCCCATCTCTACTAAAAATACAAAAATTAGCTGGGCGTGGGCATGGTGGCGTGTGTCTGTAATCCCAGCTGCTCGGGAGGCTGAGGCAGGAGAATCGCTAGGGAGCCAGAGGTTGCAGTGAGCCGAGATCGCACCACTGCACTCCAGCCACGACAGGGCGAGACTTTGTCTCAAAAGAAAGAAAGAAAAAAAAAGGAATAGGAAAAAAAAATCTAGTCCCTACCCTCAAGTAAGAAAACACAGATTGAATGAACACATGGGAATGTTTTATGACTGTAATATGGGACACTTAAAAACAGACAAGGGAAAGATTAATTCTAGCAGGAGGAATGGGAATGTTTAGGTGTCAAAGAGGTTTGTATGTATAGACATAGGAGAGTTACATGAGGAAGAGATGTGATTAGGAAAGTTAATTGGGATTAGATTAAGGTAAAATTTACATTCCATGGAAAATGAATTTAGACTTCATTCTGTAAGCAATTGTGAGTTTCCATGGCCTCTGGACAGGGGGATCATATTATTAGAATTGTGCTTTAGGAAAACTGTTCCAGTACTTCTGTATAAGAAAAAATGTATATAGACAGTAAGTAATATGTTAAGTGTCTTTTATAATACCATAGAACAGAGATGATACGGATCAAACTGGGAATGGAATAAAAAAGGAGAAGCATCTGAGACAGACTTGTAGTTAGAAATCCCAGGATATGGAAACTAATTAGCTATTTTAGGGGGCGGGTGAAGGGAGATACAAAAAGAGCAAGGAATCAAAAATTTCTAAATGCTGATTGTTGAAGCTTCTGACTTGAATGGAAGGAAGGTGATACTACTGCTTTACGGGGATGATAGGGGAAACAAAGGAAACTAAGTAAGTGGAGATGAGAAGTGAGACAGCGTGATTTTAATTTTGAACATTTTTACATGCTGCATTCAAAGTGCCACTAAGAGACTTGTGGAAAGATATTCAGCAGGCAATTAAAAACTTGGGTCTGGATTTCAGGAGCAAGTTCAAGGGTAATTACATAACCCTAGGAATTCCCACACAAAGGTGATAACTAAAGTATTGTTAAATTTTTTTCAAGGACAGCTTTAAACAAAAAAAATAAAGCCTTAAAGCCAGACCAGATGGAACATAGTTACAATTAAGGGACAAGTAGAATAAGAATAAAGAAAGAAATTGAAAAGAAAATACCAGAAAAACAAAAGAAAAACCAGGCAAGTGCAGTGACAATGGAGCCAAGGGAAGAGTTTCAAGAAGGAAGGGGTGGTCTCAGAGTGTCACCTTTAACAACAATAATTACATGTCCTTACTTTCTTTTTTTTTTTTTTTTTGAGACAGAGTCTCACTCTGTCACCCAGGTTGGAGCGCAGTGGCGTGATTTTGGCTCACTGCAACCTCCGCCTCCCAGGTTCATGCCATTCTCTTGCCTCAGCCTCACAAGTAGCTGGGACTACAGGCGCCTAACACCAGGCCCGGCTAATTTTTGTATTTTTAGTAGAGACGGGGTTTCACCACGTTAGCCAGGATGGTTTTGATCTCCTGACCTCGTGATCTGCCTGCCTCAGCCTCCCAAAGTGCTGGCATTACAGGCACGAGCCACCGCGCCCGGCCACATGTCCTTACTTTCTCATCTGAAATCCTTGGACCAAGATTTTTTTCAGAGTTCACAACTTTTGGGTAAAAGGTAATAAGGTACCTGAACCTCATTAAAGTATACACCTAGCAAGATGTGTGGCAGCACCCCATAATTAACACACAGATGTATCTGCAACAAAATGTATTACAAATCACAATAAGAAAGATTAACTAATGCTACATTCTCACTTAGCTTCACATCAGAGCCAAATTAGTACAAGTCAGCTCAGGTTTTGCTGCCAAATAAATGATTAAAAAAGCTTTTGATTTTCACAGCATTTGGATTTCAAATCATGGCTAATGGACTTGAGTTCCTATATTGAAAACGTTTTAAAAGTGGAGAATAAGTATTTATGTCAAATTTTATTCTCAAAGAATTCAAAACTAATTTTAATAAAATTAATAAGGACATTTTTAACTGATTGTTACCAATTAAGGAGATACTGATGGCAAAACTTAAAATGCCAGTCAAAACTGCTGAAAAATAATTAAATTTAAAGTGAAAAGAAATTAAATATGAACATGAAAAGAAAGAGCTGTTACTCCCAAAGGAAACTAAAGAACATATGGGAAAGATTTGATAAATATTTCTGTGAAATTTGGTAGAAATATAACTAAAAAATTGGGGAAAATTATAAAGATTAGGAATTTGGCACTAAGCTTTCTTTGTAAAAACCTAAGTATTTTCTTCACATTAAAGAATCAGAAACTAGGCCGGGCACGGTGGCTCACCTGAGGTCAGGCATTCAAGACCATCTTGGCCAACACGGTGAAACCCCGTCTCTACCAAAAATACAAAAATTAGCTGGGCGTGGTGGCACACACCTGTAATCCCAGATACTTGGAAGGCTGAGGCAGGAGAATTGCTTGATTGCTTGAACTCGGGAGGCGGAGGGTGCAGTGAGCTGAGATCATGCCACTGCACTACAGCCTGGGCAACAGAGGGAGACTGTGTCTCAAAAAAAAAATGACAGGTGCGGTGGCTCACACCTGTAATCCCAGCACTTTGGGAGGCCCAGGTGGCTGGATCACCTGAGGCCATGAGCTCGAGACCAGCCTGGCCAACATGATGCAACCCCGTCTCTACTAAAAATACAAAAAATTAGCTGGGCATGGTGACGTACACCTGTAATCCCAGCTACTCAGGAGGCTGAGGCAGGAGAATCGCTTGAACCTGGGAGGTGGAGGGTGCAGTGAGCCAAGATTCATGCCACTGTACTCCAGCCTGGGCAACAAGAGCAAAATTCCGTCTCAAAAAAAAAAAAAAAAAAAAAAAGAATCTGAAACTAGAATCACAGATAATGCATTATGGATTTTGTTTATGAAGAATGACAAAGTAGCATTGAATTAGTAAAATAATATTCAGAGAAAAGACTTTGCCCTACATCAAAAGATTGGTGAATGAATGTACATTTTAAAATTTTATGCTGAAATAAAATATTTAAGTACGCATTATGTTCATGATCTGACCCTACTTTAAATGATTTTTTATTGATCCACTGATTACTGTACCCAGTTGTGTGACATCTGAGGGTCCTTCCTATAATATCTAAGAGTTACCCTGATTTTAAAGTTTCTTAACATGGCATTTGTTCTAACAAACAGGCTGGGATATCATTAAGCCAACTCCTTACTTTCCTTAAAGGAAAGGAACTTGTAACCTACTGCTTTACCTGTCAGGAAACCAGGTTTCCTCCCAGCAACAGAAGGAAAGGAGGTCACAAATTTAAGCCTGCCACTAGAAAAAAAAAAACTTCTTATAAAAAAAAATGCAACTAGGGCCACAAAAGAAATAAGTTTAAGGCAAATTCAGTATTCATATACAAGATACAATTCTAATAGCCTTTGCTTTTCTAATGATCAGGAGCATTGTAGGAGATTTTGTCTGCTTAAATGCTGTGCTCTGAAACGTCATCATGATACACTTATTTACATATGGACAGTAATTTTTTGATATTTGTGTGGCAGTATCCCAAACCAAATTACCTAGTCGAAGGTTTGCATCACGATCCAGAGACCTATCTCTTACCAACAACGTTTCTTTTCTCTCTGGTCTCCTGTCCGTGGAAAGAGTTAATTTCTCTGAAGACTGCCATTAAGGCAGCAGGCTTCAGAGATATCAATTTCAAAAATGGAAGGAAGGGGCAAACTTGCATTCAGCTACAGAGAGGATAAAGTCAGAATTTTAAACCTATTATTGCAGAATCTTCTCTGCATAGAGGTCACATGAAGCTTGGCCATGGATTCTAAGCAAAAATGATGGACCACAGCACCGTACTCCAGAAAACTAGGAAGAAGAGAGTTGCTTATCTTCTCTCTTTAGGTAAGGAGACAAATAAACTGATTACCTAAAAGATTAGAGCTTAATACATGAATCCTTTTTCAAAATGAAGCATATGAAAAAGAGAAACTGATTAAAGGAATAAGAAAATATGCATTTTTTGGGGCAGGGTGTGGTGGCACATCCCTGTAATACCAGCACTTTGGGAGGCCAAGGCAGGTGAATCACGAGATCAGGGGTTTGAGACCAGCCTGACCAACATGGTGAAACACTGTCTCTATTAAAAACACACAAATTAGCTGGGCGTGGTGGCGGGCACCTAATCCCAGCTACTCAGGAGGCCGAGGCAGAAGAATTGCTTGAACCCGGGAGGCGGAGGTTACAGTGAGCAGAGATCGCATGCCACTGTGCTCCAGCCTGGGTGACAGAGTGAGACTCAGTCTCCAAAAAAAAAAAAGAAAATGTACGTTTTTTGGTGGTTTTGTGAGTCTCTGCAGATATAACAAGGTGAGAATAATTCCCTGGGATTAATTTTGCAATGAAATGTCTATATTGTGAAATTCTCCTTAGTATGATTTAATACCCACAAAGTAGCAAAATTTTCATAATGTGTGGTCAAAAACAATGTTTTGACCACAATGTTTATTACCTAATTATTATTTCATCATTTCACAAAGAATAAAAAGGAAAACTGCCATTGTTGTATTTCCAAGATAAAAATATTATTTTGTTTTTCCTCTCTCTCTTTTTTTTTTTTTTGAGACAGGGTCTCGCTCCGTTGCCCAGGCTGGAGTACAGTGGCGAAATCTTGGGTCATTGTAGCCTTGACCTCCTAGGCTCAAGATATCCACCAACCTCAGCCTCCAGAGTAGCCTGGACTACAGGTGTATGTTACCATGCCCAACTAATTTTTGTATTTTTTGTAGAGACGGGGTTTCCCCATGTTGGCCAGGCTGATCTCAAACTCCTGAATTCAAGCGATCCTCCCATGTTGGTCTCCCAAATTTTTCTCTATTCCTTTACACAAGTTAAATTCTAAGATATCTATGAATGTATAGAAGACAACTATACAAAGTCCCATTTTTCTTCTTACCTGGCAAGCTTTCGCTATTATATCTGATGGTGTATCTTGTGAAAAGGCTGGTCTTAGAGCAGCTCCCACCTAGAAAAATAAATAAAGCATTTTATTTTTTACTTTTATTTTTTGAGACACGGTCTTACTCTATCACCCAGGCTGGAGTGCAGTGGTGCGATCTCGGCTCATTGCAACCTCTGCCTCGTAGGCTCAAGCGATTCTCCTCCCTCAGCCTCCGAAGTAGCTGGGATTATAGGCATGCACCACTACTGCCAGGCTAATTTTTGTATTTTTAGTAGAGACAGGGTTTCACCATGTTGGCCTGGCTGGTCTTGAACGCCTGACCTCAAATGATCCACCCACCTCGGCCTCCCAAAGTGCTGGGATTACAGGCGTGAACCACCATGCCCGGCCTCAGTAATACCTTTAACTGTTGTTATTAAGAGTTAATTTATCCTTCATTATACAAGGGGCAACTGCTATCTATTTCTAAAAATGCTTATGAAGGTTTGCCATATAAAAATAACGGCAGCAAATCCACAACACTCTTTTGAAGGTTCCTTTTATCTCTTAAAGGGCAGAGCTAAATATCTAAACACAAGACTGGAAAGCTGAGCTGGAATTTCTATTCTAGTTTTATCACTAATATGTTATCACAACTTAAAAATAGTGACAACAGCTTGACACTTATTTCTTCATTTGTGGGGTGACTAAAACTAGGTAACAGACAATGGAGATAAAGAGATGCATTCTACAGAAATAAACAGATTGCAGTTCCAAATGCAGTCCTCCAGGAAGTCTGCACTTCTTCAGCAATCTTTCAAAAGATCAATTTTAAGTTCTTAAATAAATAGAAAATCTCACATTAGCCTGATACTGCTCCAGTATCACATGACCTGGAAATTCTGGCTCAGGCACAGACGCAAACTTCTTGATAATGTCTTCAAGCGCCTGGAGCCCAGCCATTCGCAGCTGGTTGCTATGATCAGTTGCAGCCATGAATGCCATGCGAATGAGGTCAGAGAGATGAAGTACCAAGAGGTCATCTAAAAATAAAAATAGAATGCAAAAATGAAAACTTTTCCAAAAATAAGTGTAATAACATAAAAATATGAAATGAAATAAATTTTTGATAAAAAACACAATCCACATATTTCACAACTTTGAAAATAGCAAAGATATTATATTCTTTCAAGACAACTTCCATATCAATCTTTCAAGAATAGTGATATACAATACAGTAATGCTGATGATGTTATAGGACTTACAATGATATGTTATGCAAAATACTTTTAACGTAACTTTCCCAAAATGAGTTTCTGATCCTTTAAGAACAAAGGCTTGGCAGACTTTTTTGGTAAAGAACCAGATAGTTAATATTTTTGGCTTCATGAAAGAAAACAGACTCTTGGGACCCCAAAACTCACTATGCCAAAGAGAAAGTTAAGCTTGGGAACTGAGTCTTGCAATACTGCCTTTTGTTCCCAGGTAGCTGTAATTTCACAACTGTGTGTCATTGCCTCATTTTAAGCCAGGTTCCCACAATGATAGAAGGCCAAAAATCTTCCTAAATGGCCTCCTCTCACAAATTGCTCACAAGGAATCTTCGGAATACATATCCCCCACTAAGAACCAGCCCTAAAACCAAGTTCTGTTGAATCTCACCCTGACAATGTCAATTACCAGCTTATTTTCACAGGTATAGGACAATGACAAGATGAGAAATCATCCCTCTCTCTATGCTGTGGCCAATGCGTAACTGACTTTTTCCTGTATTCCCCCTTTTCACATGTAAAATGTAGATTCACTGAGGCTAGGCAGGGCGAAGTGGCTCAGCCTGTAAACCTAGCACTCTGGGAGGCTGAGGTGGGTGGATAGCTTGAGCTCAAGAGTTTGAGACCAGTCTGGGAAACATGGTGAACCCCATCTCTACAAAACATACAAAAATTAGCTGGGCATGGTGGCGTGGACCTGTAGTCCCAGCTACTCAGGGGGCTGAGGTAGGAGGATCCTTTGAACCTGGGAGGTCAAGGCTGCAGTGAGCCGAGATCACGCAACTGCACTCCAGCCTGGGTGACAAAGTGAGACCCTGTTTCAAAAAAAAAAAAAAAAAAATTTACTGAGGCTAATCAGAGCCTCATAGGAATATAATAACCATCTGATCACTGCTTACCCTTCGTTCCCTTTTTTTTTCCTTCCTGCTGTTCTTTCTTCTTTAAATAAGGAAGTTCCCAAAACCCCCTTTGGAAAAAACACAGGTCACAGATGCTCCTGTTACCTGTGTTTTTTCCCAGGTGAATCCTTAACCTTGGCTAATAAACCTCTATCAATTGATATCTGCTTCAGTCACTTTTTGGTTCACACTTTATAGGCTATATTATCTCTTTTTATCATTTTTTTTTTTGAGATGGAGTATTGCTCTGTTGCCCAGGCTGGAGTGCAGTGGTGTGATCTTGGCTCACTACAAACTCTGCCCCCAAAGGGTTCAAGCGATTCTCCTGCCTCAGCCTCCCAAGGAGCTGGGATTACAGGCACCCACCACCACGCCCAGCTAATTGTTGTATTTTTAATAGAGATGGGGTTTCACCATGTTGACCAGGCTGGTCTCAAACTCCTGACCTTGTGATTCGCCCACCTCGGCCTCCCAAAGTGCTGGGATAACAGGCGTGAGCCACCATGCCTGGGCTCAGGCTATATTATCTCCATTGCAACTACTCAACTCCACTGTTAAGGTGCAAAAGCAGCCACAGACAATACGTAGAGAAATGAGTGTGCTGTGCTCCAATAAAACTTTATTTACAAAAAAGGCTGTAGGTTGGATTTGGACTGTAGGCTGGAGTCTGCCAATCTCTAGAAAAACTCTTGTCAGGAAACTTAAATCTACAAAATAAGAAGGAAACGACCTTTATAATAAGATATGGAAAAGGGAAATGTTTTTCCTTTTAGCCCTAGAGTAAAAGTTGTCCTGGATCTGTATGAACAAAGTTTAAAAGCAAGTCTCAGAATAATTAAAATGATACCAAGTAATTTAACTACATCCCAGAACAAAGTCCAAAATTATTTTGGAATACATCAAAATCCAGCACTAATATCGTAAAATTTACAGGGTCTGACATCTAATAAAAAATTACCAAGAATGCAAAGAAGTAGGGAAATATGTCTCACAACAAAGAGAGAGAGAGAAAAAAATCAGTGAATAGAAACAAGTCTAGAAATGAAAAAGATAAGATAATTAGACAGGGAACTTTAAATAGCTATTATCAATATGTTTCCTATGTTCAAAGAGGGAAAAGAAAAGCACGAAAATAACTAAGGGAGAAATGAAAGGTAGAAAAAAATCACAAAGGGGAATTTAGAGATATAAAGTAAAATATCTGAAATGAAAACTACACTGGATAAAATTAATAGAGATTAAATACTAAAGATCAGTGAACTGAAAAGACTTAGCAACACAAATTATCTAAAGAAATTATTAAGCTCAAGGTCTATGAAGTTCTTCAGGAGGCTTCAAAACCCACAAAGTCTTTTTGAAGCAGTGACATATCTATGGTTCAGCCTGATCCCCAAGCAGTTCCTATTTAAAGAAGTTTTTGTTGTCACTGTTGTTGTCAAAGTTATAAGATGTGTATCTTCATATTTTTTCATGTGCCTACCAAAAAAACTAATTTTAGAATCTTGAGTTTAAAAAGAATATCTGGCCAGGTGCACTGACTCATGTTTGCAATCCTAGAACTTTGGGAGGCCAAGGCGGGCAGATCACTTGAGGCCAGGAGTTTGAGACCAGCCTGGCCAACATGGTGAAACCTCGTCTCTACTAAAAATACAAAAATTAGCTGGACATGGCGGCGGGTGCCTGTAATGTCAGCAGCTCAGGAGGCTGAGGCAGGAAGATCGCTAAGATCGCTTGAACCCAGGAGGCTGAGGCTGCAGTGAGCCGAGATCACAGCACCGCACTTACCTTGGGTGACAGAGCAAGACTCTGTCTCAGAAAAAGATAAATAAATAAAATAAAAATAAAAAGAATATCAGTTGCTTTGTGGGTGGGAGGCAAGCAGAGAAGGCAAAACATTTGGCTAGAAGCCCACAGTGCTTCCTCACCTATAGGAAGCAAAAACACACCACCAGTAAAAGCAAGGTTTTGAACTAAGTATGTTGAAGAGATATCTGCACTCTCATGTTTACTGCAGGACTATTCACAATAACTGAGATATGAACCAACCTGTGTCTATCAATTGATAAAGAAAATGTGGTATAAATACATAATGGAACACTATTCAGCCATAGAAAAGAATAAAGTCCTATTATTTGAGACAACATGGATGAACTTGGAGGCATTAGGTTAAGTGAAATATGTCAGGCACAGAAAAATACCACATGATCTCACTCATAGGTGGAATCTAAAAAAGTTAATCTAACAGAAGTAGAGAGTAGAATGGCGGTTACCAGAGGTTAAGGGTAAGATGGGGATATGTTGGTCAAAGTACATGGAATTACAGTTAAATAGGAGGAATAAGTGTAAGAGATCTACTCTATAGCACGGTGACTATACTTAATGACAATACACTGTATTCTTGAAAAATGCAAAGATGGTGGATGTTAAGTGGTCTCACACAAAAATGATAACTAGGTGAGGTAATGCATTTGTTAATTTGCTAGATTTAACTATTCTACAATGTATGCATACTTCAAAACATCTTGTTGTACATGATATATATATTTGTAAGTCAATTAAAAAAATTTTGCCCAACTGATAAGCTAGAAAAGATGGTAATTATGTTATATGTATTTTACTACAACAAAAAATTGAGAAACAAACAAACAAGAATGAGGTATAATAAACTACTGCCAAAATTTGGGAGAAAATTCCCAAGGCAGTACAAAGTAGATTAAAATGGGTCTACTTACATTATGCCAACCTAAAAGTAAATAAAAAGACCTATTATTTCTCCTGCACTCTATCACCTAATTTACAAAGTCTAGGACTATATCAATCTACCAAACCAAAATCTAGGTAATTGTTTCTGGAACGAGAGCGCCACTTTCCCCAACAACCAGAGTGCTGCTGCTTCTCTGCCCATCTCTATGTCTACCCTTCCTCAAAGCAAGACCTCCGTCTTTTTTCTAAATCCTAGGAAATGAACTCTTGAAAAGGTGGGAATGAGAAGGGGACTGAGCAAAAACTTCAAAGTGGAAAGATAATTCGGTGGTGTATTATATTTGGGGAGTAGTAATTCCCTACAATTAAAGCATAGGAGATAGGAAGATGAAGAGATGAAGATGATAGAGGAGAGCCTGAATAGCACATTTATTGGGTCTATACTTTTTCATATACTCTGCCATGACTGTTCAGAATCAGAATGGCAGGCGGTGATGTTAGAAAGCATCCTGTTAGAAAGGATCCAGAACAAAATATGTCAGACACTGGAATCTAGGTGGGAGCTGTTACAACAGCTTACCCTCCAACTACAGATGGGAAATACATGAACAACAGAGAACATGGGCAATCCACCTCCACACTGAGAGAAAATTCCAAATACGGAGAGTACTCTTCTCTTTCAAGAATATATAAACAATTAAGTTTATTAAAGAAAAATGCAACCAGGGAAAAGAACGATTCTGAAGATTCAGAGAAATGGCTAATCTCTGGAAACAGTGTTCTATAAAAACCAGAATTAAAAAAAAAAATCATGCGGCATCCTCGATAGGATGAAAAGAATCCTGGCTGCTATGGTATAAAAACAGAAAACCTTAGAGAGTAAAAAGGATATGATACAATGGAGGTGGGAGAAACGTAGACAAATTACAGGAAAATTAAAAAAAATTAAAGCAGACTTAAGATTACTAATGAAGGCAGAAAAAAGCAAAACATCAATGTATAAAGAAAAAACCTGTGAGGATCTCTGAGAACTAAGGTAAAAGGACAAGACACAATGAGGAAGAAAAATAACAGTTAAGAAATCCAAAGAAAGAAAGGTCAACCTAAGGATTTTCACTATTCCCTAAATGTAGTATGCACACTTATGATTCCTTGGCTTTACAAATTCTTACTTCCTCTGATTCTTTTTATTTACTTATTTATTTATTTGGCAATCAGCTTTTTCATGTTGAATCCCTCTGCTTCTAATAAACCAGTGTAGTAGGCAGAATATTAGCACCCCAAAATCTCCACACCTAATCCCTAGAACCTGTGAATATGTTACCTTGCAGGGCAAAAGGGACTTTGCAGATGTGATTAAGGTTATGGAGTCTAAAACATGGAGACTGGCCTAAATTATCAAGGCAGACCCAGTCTAATCACATGAGTCCTTAAAAGCAGAGCACCTTTCCTGGCTGCAGTCAGAGACATGTGACGACTGAAGAAGCATCAGAGAGATTTAACGCTGCTGGCTTTGAAGAGAGAGAGGGAGCCGTGAGCCAGGGAGTGCGGGCAGCATATACAAGCTGGAAAGAAAAGGAAAGGGATGCCCCCTAGAGCCTCTAGAAAGGAACACAGCCCTGCTGATGCCTTGATGTTAGCCCAGCGAGACTCTTGTTGGACTTCTGACCTACAGAACTGTAAGATGATAAACTTGTGTGATTTTAAACCAAGTTTGTGGGCATTTGTTATAGCAGCAATAGAAAACTAATGCCACCAGTCTCTTCTAACCCTTTCTCTGCCTTTAAAACTAATCTTCAAAATAACCTCTTCTGTGACGTCTTCCCTGGCTTTATAGGAAATGAATACCATGTGTTTTTTAATGTTCTCAAAGTACTCTAACATACTACTACTGGGACACGCCATAACTATTTGACTGAGAAGTCTGTCTCTCTGTCTTCTAGGCTATAAGTTCTTCCAGGGTATGGACTATGTTTTTTTCTTCTATGTATCCCTACCATATACCAAAAAACAGGATGCAGTAAATATCTGCTGAATAATTACATGAACAAAAACACTATGTTCATGATGTATTGTGCTTTGCTGATTACCTATATTCAGAGTCTCATTTTATACATGTTGTACTACTGTTTTACAGTTTGTATGTTTTTGAGACAGAGTCTTGCTCTGTCGCTCAGGCTGGAGTACGGTGGCGTGATCTCAGCTCACTGCTACCTCCGCCTCCCAGGTTCAAGCGATTCTCCTGACTCAGCCTCCTGAGTAGCTGGGACTACAGGCATGTGCCAGGACGCCCACTAATTTGTTGTATTTTTAGTAGAGATGGGGTTTCAGCATGTTGGCCAGGCTGGTTTTGAACTCCTGACCTCAAGTGATCCACCTGCCTCAGACTCCCAAAGTGCTGGGATGTAATTACAGGCATGAGCCACCGCACCCAGCCTGTTTGTTTTAAAAATATCTATGTGAGCTCTGCTGCTTCTTATACACAATGAAATAACCCAAAAGGCATTTTCAATTCATAGACGTCAATATTGTTAACACATACAATTTGTCTTCAGATATTTAAAAAATGACTGGGTGATGAAGAGACAACAAACTATAGGATAAGGAATCTGTTACTCTATCACCTCTCAATTTCTCTGGGTCTCTTCAACTATGAAATGAAGGTACTGGGTCTGATGGTCTCTTTGTAAATTCCCTATAATAACAGATTCAGGGGATACATGGTATAAAAAGTTTACAAAAGATAAAAAATAATAAGATAAAAATTGTTTCCATAATAAACAATTTTCACCTTTTCAAAAATACCTAATAGCACTTCTGAAATTTGAGAGTTTGAAATCTACCAGTGCATTCATGAATTCTGATACTCTCCATGGCTGGGGACGGCAAAGCTCACTTTATTTATATGCCTTAAAATTTTACCATTTCCTTTCCGCTGAAATGCTAAAATCCAGGACAACGTACTGAGAAAAACCTAAGTAACTGCCATCATTATCCTTTGGGCAAATGATTAAATAGACACACAGATCAATCTATCTTGTGGACCACCTTCTTCAACTTATCTTCCCAATAGGAATCAGAAGATGACTAGTATGCAGAGGGGACAGAAAACTAAGATGAAAGGCAAGAGAACTTACAATAAATAAATGGCATATTCTAAAGCACGCTATATCTGTCGCAGTAAAATATCTCATAGCAGCAAAATGTCTCAAGGTGTAAAAATGCTTTGGGGAAAAAGTACTGATTTTAAATTTACTTGTAGGGTTTCGAAGTTTAGCAGAACGTGCCAAGGCAAGATCAAAGTGAGCCTGGTCTGCATTCTCACACAAATTGATGATTCGACACAGGCAATCGGCAGCAAATACTCGAGTGGCCCAGCGAGGGGCCACAAAGGGCTTTGATTTATCTTCTTCACCTAACGTGGTAAACATGGTATCATCATCCATCTCATCTTTCTTTTCAGCTTCTTCATCTTTTCCACTACTTAAGAGAGTTGCAGTACTCATATCTATAACAAGAATAAGGAATATTGTAACAATCTCACATAAGCAAAAATGATCCTTTAAAAAGTTATTAATATTAAAATTTTTTTAATTTAAAAAAAGACTAAATTCTTACTTGCTGGAAAACAGTAAAACTAGCAGAATTTTTTTTAAACAATCAAAAGCCAAGGAAAAGATAACATAAATTACTTTTATGTAAACTACATTTAAATATTTCAATAGTTTTACATACTATGTCATACTCTAGAGTAACTTGGGGTTTTTATACATGAAAATTTAGTTTGAACTTCCAAAAAATTTTGAAATATATTTTCCCAACAATATAAAAAAGCTCATTTGTTTATAACATAATTTAACTTTCAACATTTTGACAGAGATTTGTAGATCAAAAGTTATTACTTTTAAATAAAACCTATAATTTACATGTATGTATCTTTATACATATATCTATATGTATATATCAGAAGTAAAACAATTTCCATTATTTTAAGAACGCACATTAAATACTTACCACTAGAAGCTGCCAGGACATCTTTACAAAGCATTAGCCAATGAGAAAGTTTTTCTACTGCCAGCGAAGAAAGCATATGTCCCAAAGTGTCATGAATATCAGAACATAATTTTCGATCTGTCTCCCGGTCTAGCATTCCAAAAAGAAGTCCCTCAAGACCAGTTTCTGTTATATTAACACCTTGGTGCCGGCAATGGATATCAGTTCGAGAACTAACCCCAGGGGCAAAAGGACTGACATCTGAAAGGTAATTTTTACAAATGAATTTGTATGGTATTTTGGTGTACGCTATAGGTAACAATTATGATAAAGACCAAGTCTTACATATAAATTCACAACAGCCACAAAACCAGCTAGCTATATACAATTTAACTATGGCCTCTAGTTTACATATCTTTGGGATTATAATTTAATCTGGCAATTAGAGTAATACCTCGAACTGTAAAACTGATTATTCTGAGATATTGTAAACAAATCTCAGGGAACTCTCAATAAATACTTGATTCTAATAAGAAAAAGTGTGGGACAGAGATATACTGCTAAATATATTTAACAAACTAAAAAACTATTGTATTTGTTAGAAGAATAAATTGAAACTTATTCAGTCTTATAGTTCAGATTTTAAAATTTTTATAAAGCCAGAACACAAACTCTAAGTGGATTGCATCCTAAGAGTTCATTTAAAAATTGGGAAAATCCAAGGCTGGGCGCAGTGGCTCACGCCTGTAATCCCAGCACTTTGGGAGGCTGAGGCAGGTGGATCACCTGAGATCAGGAGTTCGAGACCAGCCTGGCCAACATGGCGAAACCCCGTCTCTACTAAAAATACAAAATTTAGCTGGGCATGGTGGCGGGTGTCTGTAATCCCAGCTACTCAGAAGGCTGAGGCAGGAGAATCACCTGAACCCAAGAGGCGGATGTTGCAGTGAGCCAAGATTGTGCCATTGCACTCCAGCCTGGACCACAAGAGTGAAACTCCACTGGGCACAGTGGCTCATGCCTGTAATCCCAGCACATTGGGGGGCTGAGGTGGGAGGTTCACAAGGTCAGGAGTTCAAGACCAGCCTGGCCAAGATGGTGAAATCCTGCCTCTACTAAAAATACAAAAATTAGCCGGGTGCAGTGGCAGGTGCCTGTAATTCGAGCCACTCGGGAGGCTGAGGCAGGAGAATGGCTTGAACCTGGGAGGCGGAGGTTGCAGTGACCCGAGACCGTGCCACTACACTCCAGCTGGGTGATAGAGACTCTATCTCAAAAAATAAATAAATAAATAAATAAATAAATAAATAAATAAAAATTGGGAAAATCCAAAGAGTAACAACAACCAAAAAGCAATGTTGTCATGAAATAGTGGTTAAATTTCTTGCTTCATCAGAAAATCTTTTCATTCTTGTAAACAGCAGCGGTATATAACTGGTGGCTTTAAGAATGAGTATTATTACGCCCTCTGAAGTCTAGAGCCCACTGAACCCTGAAGGGAGTAAGACAGACGAATGGAACTGAAAGGTAACTATTTTTGTTGTGTCACCCCAAATACAGAATAAGGGGAGGTTTGAAGAAAATAGCCATAGTGAGTGACATTCTAAAACAATAGAAAAAGTTAAATGAAAGGGTTCCAAGAAAAGAGAACACTAGGAAGAGATTAGGCACAGAGACTTTTTTTTCACTAAGCAGTAGATAGTGAATATTTTCCCATTTCAGTAATTATACTTCTATAGTATGAATGTTAACGGCTATGCAGCAAACCAATAAATTAAGGGAAAATTAATTGATTAATCACTGAGGACAAATTCCTTAAAAGAAAATTAATTGGTTAGAGGACAAATTCCTTAAGAGGGAATTTCTAGGTCAAAGGGTAAGCACATTTTGAAAACTTCAAGGACATAGTGCCAAAAAACCCTCCAGAAAATGTGCATGACTCTACATTTCTATCTGTAGTACAAGAAATATCTATTCCCACTTTTCCCAACACTGGTTGTAATTATTATTTTTAATCTTGATCACTTTTATAGAAGAAAAATGCTATTTTATGATTATAGTAACTTGCAATTGTTAAATCACTGGAGGTTAAAGATATTTGTTATTTCTTCTTTATAAAATGTGCTCTAGTGGTTTTTACCAGGTGCAAAAACAAATTAACACTGCAGGCCTGAGACTACCTTAGTAAGACTTAATTGCAAGGTTAGCCCTTGGCTAGCATCTGGGAATTGGGTTTCTAGAGGTTTCCCACCATTAATTCCCTGATAAAAGTGGCTCGCTGTACCTAAACTGTGGCTTCTGTTGAACATCTGCTTTCCTTCTGAGTCCGAACTTTTGGTATGTGCCAGGCAGGCCATGCCTATGGCATCAGCCCCCAATAAAAACATTGGGCATTAAGTCTTTAATAAGCTTCTCTGGGAGAATACATTACACACATGCTGTCACAATCCATTGCTGGGTTGCGATCTCTATGACTCCATGGGGACAGGGCTCTGGGGAGCTTGTGCCTGGTTTCCTCTAACTTCATCCTACACACCTTTTATTCCTTTTGTCATAATAAACACAGCCAGGAAAATGCCTATACACTGAGTCCACCCAGGAAATCATCAAACCTGGGGGTGATCTTGGGGACTCCAAACATACTCATTTGTAAAAGCTTTAAACACTTTTATATTTTATTAAATACATACGTTAGTAAATAAAATTAGTTAATAAAAATATATTTTGTAAATATTTTTCCCTATCTTAGCTGTTTTTCTGTTTTTCTTTTCTTTCTTTTTTTTTTTTTTTTTAAAGAGACAGGATCTCACTATGTTGCCCAGGTTGGACTTGAACTCCTGGGCTCAAGTGATCTGTCTCAGCCTTCCAAGTAGTCTCAATTTTGTTTATGGCAACTGACATGTAGAAGTTCTGAAAATTTATATGTATTCAGAAGAGTTCTGTAACTACTTTTGGTGATGTTTTCTCTCCAAAAACAGTACTGTCTACTGGTAGATTTTTATAATAAACTTCTTTAATATTCTACAATACCGTATATCTGTTAATAAAGTTCTTATGCTATGCTACAATTGAAGTTATTCTTGTATCTTGCTTCTTTGTATCCAAGCAGCTTCTAGGCATTAGAAAACTTTTATAAGTAAAAAATTTCCCTCATAATAGGGGAAATATCTCTGTCAATTAAACTCTTAAAAAGTTTCCAAACCACCTACACCTAGATATCAGAAGACCAGCTAGGAATTTAAGCTATACCTAAAACCCTCCAAAAAGGCAGAAAGATAGCAGAAGACCACCTAGGAATTTAAGCTATACCTAAAACCCTCCAAAAAAGCAGAAAGAACTAAAGGAAGCAAAGATCATCCTTTTGCTACCAAACATCTACTGACATTTCATAGTTTTATTGGCTACTTTGGTCTTACCTTCTTAGAGGAAAAATTACATCGCAAGAGGCTAACTACCACCCAGAACTGGAAACCTTCAAGTGCCCCTGAAACATCCTCAAGAAATGGCAGAAATATTCTGATACTAAATACTTTTCAGTTTTTTTAAGCTGCAAATAATTTTTTTTAAATCTAGTCACTCACACCCAACTTTTTACTTATTTATTTACTTACTTCCTTACTTTAGGAGACATGGTCTTACTCCACCACCCAGACTGGAGCACAGGGGCATGACCATAGCTCACTGTAACCTTAAACCCTTGGGCTCAAGTGATCCTCCCACCTCAGCCTCCTGAGTAGCTAGGACTACAGGTACACAACACTATGCCCAACTTGCAAAAATTTTTAAAAAGCAAAAATGCAAAATTATCAAGAAAACCACATTGGAATTTTAAAAGTGGTAATGGTTTTATTTCAAAGAATAAGACATCTGGCCACATTGCAACAGAAAAATGTTATTTGATAAATAGTACTTAACTGAAATGTAAAAGTAGTTAAACAAAAAACAATATTGACCAATAATATAACTTACTGGCACTACTGCTCTCTTTGTCCCCTGTATTTTTTGCCAGGCTCATGGCATATTCACATACTTCCGCTGCTTCTCTTTGTGCAAGTTGCCGAAGACATGCCACAGCTGCTCGTCGAAGTAACAAATGGGAACTACATAAGTGAACCTGTAAATCATAACAATGTTAGGCGATTTCTCTTTAAAAAGCTGTAATTCTTTAATCTTATTTGCCCAATGAATATATATATACATACATACATATATATGTTTTGTTTTGTTTTTTTTTTTTTGAGACAGAGTTTTGCTCTTGTTGCCCAGGCTGGAGCGCAGTGGCGTGATCTCAGCTCACTGCAACCTCCGCCTTCTGGTTTCAAGCGATTCTCTGGCCTCGGCCTCCCAAGTAGCTGGGATTACAGGTGCCTGCCACCACACCTGGCTAATTTTTGTATTTTTAGTAGTGTCGGGTTTTCACCACGTTGGCCAGGCTGGTTTCGAACTCCTGACCTCGTGATCCGCCCACCTCAGCCTCCCAAAGTGCTGGGATTACAGGCATGAGCCACCGTGCCCCGCCCTAATGAATATATATTAACATCTTACTTCTGAAGATGCTCTTCATTTAACAACCTCAGTTGTTTAAAATACAGTCAAATGATGGCCTTTTGACAAAATACTACTACTAATAAAATATACAAAAAATATGTTAGTAGCCAAAATAATTGTCCCAAGATCTGTGCTCTAAAGCTCATACAATATACTTAAATGAAAAATCCAGAAGGATCTTCTGCACATCTTATTTTACACATGGTCCTATTCAACTTTGTCATCTAAATTTTTTAAGTATATAGAGATCAAATGTAGTGAATGAAAAGTTAGGGGGCAGAGCACACCATAATATTTGAAAGCAAAGGAGGTTATCAAAGTGAAAAAACCAAATCAAGCAAACATAATCACCTGAAAAAATTGCAAAATGGGGCCTTTTGCCACAGTATTTTTTTCATCTGAAAGGTCCCTGAATATAGTACACTCTAAAACATAAAAGTATAAGATGCAACATGGCATAAAAGTTAAGAACTCAGGCACAGCTGCCAGACTGGGTTTGAATCCTGGCTCTGTCACTTATTCCTGTGACACCTTACACAAGTTACTCAGCCCCTCTGTGCCTTGATTTGCCCACATGTAAGGTGGGAATATTAACTCTTCACAGGAATATGGTGTAAATAAGTAAAATGCTTACAATGCTGGCTGGCACATGGTAACTGCTCAACAAATGTAAGCTATTATAATTATTAGTATAAATCTGACTCATGAAGAAAATATTAAATTATGTTCCATCTGCTGCTTTTCAAGCAAGGAAGTAATCTTTTAGAAAGAGTCCCAGACACAAATGATGGGGATGGAGAAGAACACATGTATGGAATATATCTCCCCTTCACAATGCCAGATAGTATATTTTTAGGCTATTAATATAGCATTTGTAATTCAAGATATACTTGCATAAAATTCATAGTCCTGCCTCAGCCTCCCAAGTAGCTGGGACTACAGGTGCCCGCCACCACGCCCGGCTAATTTTTTGTATTTTTAGTAGAGATGGGGTTTCACCGTGTTAGTCAGGATGGTCTCCATCTCCTGACCTTCTGATCCGCCCACCTCAGCCTCCCAAAGTGCTGGGATTACAGGCGTGAGCCACCGCACCTGGCTGTTTGTTTTGTTTTTAAGACATCGCCGGCCGGGCGCGGTGGCTCACGCCTGTAATCCCAGCACTTTGGGAGGCCGAGGCGGGCGGATCACGAGGTCAGGAGATCGAGACCATCCCGGCTAAAACGGTGAAACCCCGTCTCTACTAAAAATACAAAAAATTAGCCGGGCGTAGTGGCGGGCGCCTGTAGTCCCAGCTACTTGGGAGGCTGAGGCAGGAGAATGGCGTGAACCCGGGAGGCGGAGCTTGCAGTGAGCCGAGATCCCGCCACTGCACTCCAGCCTGGGCGACACAGCGAGACTCTGTCTCAAAAAAAAAAAAAAAAAAAAAAAAAAAGACATCGCCCAGGCTGGTGTGCAGTGTCACAATCACATCTTACTGCAGCCTCAACCTCTCGGGCTCAAGCGATCCTCTCGCCTCATTTTTTTATTTTTTGTAGAGACAAGGTCTCATTATATTGCCCAGGCTGGTGTCAAACTCCTGCACTCAAGTGATCTGCCTGCCTTGGGCTCCCAAAGCACTGGGATTACAGGTGTGAGCCACCGCACCCAGCCAACAAAGTACTTTATTTATTCCTCTTCCTGAAAATAAAGACATTTTGGAGCTTTCAAATACTCCATAACTAATTACAAAGTTCAAGCATGGTCATATCACATGGGAAGAACAAGTCACTTAGTCTCTTGAAGTTTCTGCCTTTTTATTTTTACAGTGGGGACAATATCCAATCCACCCATCTTACACAACTACTGTAAGAATCAAATGGTAAAACATATATGGAGAACATCATAACATTTTAATTTAGTAACAATTACAGAGAATTGTAGCTAAGAAAATACATTCAACAAATGGTGACTGGCAAAGCCTAAGTGAAAGAAACAAACCACTTTACAAAGTGTTTTCAAAAACCCCACTGCAGTTATTCTCAGGTGTACTTTTCCTTTTCATTTTAACATCTGTGATATTAGAGTTGTAAAGTACAATCAATGGTATCTTTAATCCCTATATTTATTGAAAAGATAATCCTATCCACCCTGAACTGTAGTGGTACCATGTGCCACAGTCGTAAGTTATATGACTGTGTATGTGTGAATCCAATTCTGGACACTCCGTTGTGTTCCATTTGTCTACTTGAGTATCCTTGCAATACTACCCTGTCTTTCTTACTGGAGATTATGGTAAATCTTGATAGTAAGTATAGCAAATCTTCCAACTTCATTGATCTTTACAAGCACTTTGCATTTCCCTATTAAGTTTACAATCAGCTTGTCAATTTTTCCAAAAACACCACTCTTCTACTCCACTTAGCTTCTGTGAACAACACAACCTCTATTCCTTCTTTAATCTCTCTTAACTGCTTCTACATATTTCTGGCTGACTCCTTTCCTCTTTTCTAAAATTTTCAAGTTGGGTTCCTCAATCATGACTCTCTCCTTGGTGATCTCATCTACTCCTACGTCTCTGTTTTCCATATAAATGCATATGCCTCTCAAATTTACCTCTTTAACCAGACCTCTCTTTTCTGAGCTCCAGGCCCATAAAACTAACTATCCATGTGTCTAAAACTGAATTAATGATATCCACTCTTCCCAACCCTCCTCCTCCGATGTTGCCAATCTCAGGGAATTACATTACTATACTCAAGTCAAAAACCTAGGCCACATCCTTCTAACCCTCTTCTCCAACTATGCCCCACTAAGAGCCAATTAATGAACAAATCCTTCATCCTAAATATTATTCAAATCCATTGATTTCTCCCCATTCTCTTACTAACTTAGAGCAAATCACTACCATCTTCTTCCGAGAATACCGTAATTCTTACCCTGTAGAGTCCACTCTCTATCATGCAGCAAGAACAAAATGTAAAAAGTGCAAATCTCATTATGTCACTCCCCTGCAGAGAACACCTTCTAATGGTTTCCCACTGCTTGTAGAATAAAGTCCAAAGGTTTTATGTATGTAGAAAGTCTGCGTGATATGTCACCTGGTTAGTTGTCCAGTCTCATCATTTCCTCTAGGTCCCACCTCTCTGTCTTCTCTCTCAGCCTTAATCACACTAACTAATTGGCTCTTTAAATGTATGACAGCCCTTCCCAGTTTAGGGCCTTGCATGTATTTTTCTTCCTGTCTAAAAGTAAATGCTGTCTACTTCAATATCATGCCCTTTGTAAACTAATTCCTATGTACTCTGCAAATCACACCTTAAATATCAATTGTTTTTTTTTTTTGAGACAGAGTTTCACTTTTCTCGCCCAGGTTGGAGTGCAATGGCGCAATCTTGGCTCACTATAACCTCCACCTCCCGGGTTCAAGCAGTTCTCCTGCTTCAGCCTCCCGAGTAGCTGAGATTATAGGCACCCGCCACCACCCCTGACTAATTTTTGTATTTTTAGTAGAGATGAGGTTTGACCACATTGCCCAGGCTGGTCTCGAACTCCTGACCTCAGGTGATCCCCCCGCCTTGGCCTCTCAAAGTGCTGGGATTACAGGCATGACCCACTGCGCCTGGCCTTAAATACCATTTTTTAATGAAAATCTTTTCTGAATGTCAGGATTATGATAGGCCTCCTGCTAACGCTCTCTTCCAGGCTTTTATAGCACTTATTTGTAAATAATATTTTTCCATTTTCCTTTGTAAACTATAAACTTTACTATGACAGAGGCTTGATCTTGTCTCACCCACAAATGTATCTCCAGTAGGTTGCATGGCTCCTGACATATAACAGGCTATCAATAAGTATCTGATGAATGAATAAATTAACAATTATAATGATACCAACAGATACTCAGAAGTATCAATCAAGCTTTAGGAAATAAAATTCCGAGTAGGAAAACTAAAAATGTGATATATATATATATTTTGGAGATGGAGTCTTGCTCTGTCGCCCAGGCTGGAATGCAGTGGTGCGATCTCGGCTCACTGCAACCTCCGCCTCCTGGGTTCAAGCGATTCTCCTGCCTCAGCCTCCCGAATAGCTGGGACTACAGGTGCACGCCACCACGCCCGGCTAATTTTGTATTTTTAGTATAGATGGGGTTTCACCATATTGGCCAGGCTAGTCTCAATCTCCTGACCTCATGATCTGCCCACCTTAGCCTCCCAAAGTGCTGGGATTACAGGTGTGAGCCACAGCGCCTGGCCCAAATGTGATATATTCTTAGCAAGGAAATAAACAGTTCATCAAGATATTTCTTAAAAGGTAAAAGAGAACACCAGTGAATAAAATGAATTGTCATAAAATGACAACTGAAGTTCAAAAAACAAACAAAAGATCTAGTATTTGATAACATAAAAGGGTGACTATAGTCAATAATAATTTTAATTGTACATTTTAAAATAACTATGGATTATTTATAACACAAATAAATGATAAATGCTTGAGGTGATGGATACCACATTCACTCTGATGTGATTATTATATACTGTAGGCTTGCATCAAAATACCCCAAGTACCCCAAAAATATATATAGCTAGTATGTATCCATAAAAAATTTTTTAAATGTAAAATAAAATACAACTTAAAAATCAATGAATGAAATAGCTCTATACTTACACAAAGGCTAGGAACAAGGCTAGATAGATTGACATGTCGTGGTGCAAACATGTGAAGCTGCTGAAGGCAAGATATGGCAGCTGCCTGAACAAGAGAATCTGAATGGTCTTGTGTTATTGCACAACCCACCAAACAAGAGGAACGAATTGTAGAAGTTGTTGCTCCATTCCCTGGTGCAAAATGAAAGAAAATATAAAATATAATTATTTTATTAGTACCACCAAAAATATTCCTAGTAAACAATTATCCTCTAAATAACCATTCTATCCAATTATTATTCAGGTTTTTTTTGCTGTTGTTTTTGAGATGGAGTCTCACTCTGTCGCCCAGGCTAGAGTGCAGTGGCGCGATCTCGGCTCACTGCAACCTCCGCCTCCCAGGTTCAAGCAATTCTCCTGCCTCAGCCTCTGGAGTAGCTGGGATTACAAGCACGCGCCACCACGCCCAGCTGATTTTTGTACTTTTAGTAGAGATGAGTTTTCACCATGTTGGTCAGGCTGGTCTCGAACTTCTGACCTCAAATGATCCACCCGCCGTGGCCTCCCAAAGTGCTGGGATTACAGGCATGAGCCACTGCACCCGGCCTATATGCCTATCTTTAAATGTAAATAAGGAAATCATAAAAATCACATAAGAGCTACATTCTAGTTTTATACGCATTGCCTTATCATTATCACTTTTGAAAATACTTGATAAACACCTATGCTTAATAAAAGGCACATATTTATCGTCTTCATATCCCTGTGACATTCACAGGAAGAACTATCCTCACTTTCCCAAAGAGGACAATGGGTCTAAGCAAGCGGCTTATTTAAATCACCTGTTTTTCCCTATAATACCAGCATTTTGGGAGGCCTAGGCGGACGAATCACCTGAGGTCAGGAGTTCGAGACCAGCCTGGCCAACATAGTGGAACCCCCGTCTCTACTGAAAATACAAGTTAGCTGAGGCAGGAGAATTGCTTGAACCCGGGAGGCGGAGGTTGTAGCGAGCTGAGATCACGCCACTGCACTCCAGCCTGGGAGACAGAGCAAGACTCTGTCTCCCTGGGGTGGGGGGGGTGGGGAATCACATATTTTTCAATTTCTAGCATTTTCTTTAAGTCTTTTTCTTTTTCCTCTCTTTTTAAAAATATCTGTCAAAATGGAGGAAACATAGCATAGAGATTAAGAATGCCGGTAACGGGCTGGGCGTGGAGGCTCGTGCCTGTAATCCCAGCACTTTGCAAGGCTGAGATGGGAGTGGGAGGATTGCTTGAGGCCAGCAGTTTGAGACCAGCCTGGGCAACATAGTGAGACCCCCATCTCTTAAAAAGAGAAAAAAAAAAAAAGGCCGGGTGTGGTGGCTCACGCCTGTAATCCCAGCACTTTGGGAGGCCGAGGTGGGTGGATCATGAGGTCAGGAGTTCGAGACCAGCCTGGCCAACATGGTGAAACCCTGTCTCTACTAAAAATACAACAAATTAGCTGGGTGTAGTGGCAGGCACCTGTAATCCCAGCTACTCAGGAGGCTGAGGCAGGAGAATCGCTTGAACTCAGGAAGCAGAGGTTGCAGTCAGCTGAGACCACACCACTGCACTCCAGCCTGGGCAATAGATTCAAAATAAAAAAAAAGAATGCAAGCATCGGAAATTGATCTGGGCTTCACTTCTTACTCCAACCACTCACTAGTTTCCAAAACCTTGTAAAAGTTCTTAACCTCTCTCAGATTCAATATTTGATCAATAAAATAGAGATAATATCAGTCTCTGGGTTGTTATCCGAATTAAATAATGTATGTTAAAAGCTCAACCCTTTGAAAACATATATAATAAATGACAAAGGAGAAAAAGGAAAACTCTGAAAGTGGTTTATATATTCAGGATATCTTTACAATAATTTGCTGACTTGGGAGTCTAACCATTAGTAGAATTAGCTCAGTGGAATTAAGTGGTACAAACATAGGCTTTAGGATCATAAATGTGCCACTCATAAGTTGACTAACTCTAGGCAAGTTACTTATCTTCTCGCAGTTTACTTCCTCATAGAAAATTAGCTAATATCTTTTTCCTCTAGCAAAAAGAAAACAAAATCTAGATAATATTTACCTTATGACAGTGGTTTTTCACGCTATGTTCCTAATCCTTAGAGTTCAAAAAAATGAAGCAAAAGTCCATGAAGACATGTGGATAGCACTCTAGGCCAAAGGAACTCTATTATTAACTTTCTTTTCATGGGACTCCAAGTAAAATTTCATTTAAAATGTTTTCTCTGCTCAAAACTTCAACAAACATTATCATGTCATAGGTTTCTTGTAGGGATTAAGTAAAATGCCACATGTAAAAAGCTGAGTGCCAGGCTTTCAGTAAATCCAAGTATTCAGTACATAGTAATTGTTATTACAAAATTTCTTCAAGTAATGTGATGGTGATATTCAGGAAATTTAAAGATACTGATTATCTAACTAGGTTCCTTAATTTCAGATGATTTACTTACCTTGTAGTTCAGGGCCAACAGTAGTTATTATAGCACCCAAGCATCGACCCAAACACTGATGAACTTCTGTATGTGAAGGCGGAACTGTCAACAGCAAGGTAAGAACTAGAGATAATGTTGGTTCCACATAGCCACGATACATCGGACCACTAGAATCCACTATCAAAGCAAGTGAATGAAGAGACCAAGTCTAGAATAAAATATAATTTCATTTTAGTTGTAAGGAAGAATTCGAATGTACTGAATTGAGTATACTGAATTGTTACATGGGTATACTCTTAATATTTTTAGGCCTAACAATGTGAAGTAGCAAATCCAGATTGTAGGATGTTTTCATACACATTCTTCATCTTCACTGTAGTTATATTTACTTATGTATAATAACGTCTAAAAAGAAACAACAAAAACAAAATATTCAAAGGGTCCACAAGAAGATTCAGCCAATGACCCAGGACCTACGTTGGGGTATCACAGGAAGAGAGAGAAGGATGGTTATTTAAAAAAAAAACTTGATCAAGCTAACAAATCTAAAGAAATAAAAAAAAAGAGGAAAAAAGTACACAGAATAATACACAATAAAAAGAAAATATGTTTGAAGGAATGTATGTGAATGGGTAAAATTCTCAGAATAAGACAGACTTTAAGACTAGGCTGATAAACAAAATCTTGCTATGTACTATTACAAAAACAAACCCTAATATATTTGTCCTAACAACTTACCACGGTCATTTTTATTTCATAGAGCAAATAATTTTCCAAAAAATTTTCTAAACTTTTGTAATAAAAAAACCAATTATATTATACCTGGACTTCAGGGGATGTCCCATCTTGTGCTAGAGCCAATAAAATGCTGACACTGGTCTTCAGATGTTGTCCTGAGCCTATTCCACCAACATAACGATGCAAACAACCAAGAGCCAATGAATGACCAGTCCTAGATACAACATCTCGAGCCGATTTCAACCTGAAAAAAAGATTATGCTTCAAGCACTAACTTTGCTATTTCCCTATAAAAACAACAACATTATAAGTCACACAAAAACTGGGATTTATTGGGGAAATAAGAAAAGATTATAATCAGTTACTTCTTTCTCCACTCCCTAACAGGAGTTAGAACTTCAATTTAAAATAACTACAGCTGGGTGTCATGGCTCATGCCTGTAATCCCAGCATTTGGGAGGCTGAGGCCGGTGGATCACTTGAGCCCAGGAGTTCGAGACCAGTCTGGCTAACATGGCAAAATCCCATTTCTAAAAAAAATTAAAAACTTAATCTGTCATGGCAGCGCATGCCTGTAGGCCCAGCTAGTAGGGAGGCTGAAGTGAGAGGACTGCTTGAGCCTGACAGGTGAGGCTGCAGTGAGCTGTGATCACGCCACTGCACTCCAGCCTGGGTGATAGAGCAGGACCCTGTCTCAATAATAATAATATTAATAATAATAATAATAATTGGTTAAAAACATATATTTGACTGAATAAAGCCTATTTTAATTTTAGAGAAAATTTGACAACTCATTTTTAATATTAATTATTCCTTGAAAAGCCAAGACTTATTTGAAATATTTTTATATTTTTAAAAAACAAAATAACTTATGTTTGGTTTTAAAAATAGTAAAAAGGTATTTGTTTTCACAGTATTACATAAAATATTTTACACTTAAGAAATACCCTATAATTATGATTTGAACCTCTTTAAAAAAGGCCAATCTTTTTTCTTTGTGAAATATATTTTAAATGAATTCAAATACATAAAAAGAGATGAACATTACTTTAAAAAATAAGCTTTATTGAGACTCACATACAATATTCACCAACTTTAGGTATACAATTAAATTTTAAATGTATACTAAAATATACAATTTAATGAGTTT
Organism: Homo sapiens; assembly: GCF_000001405.40. Classification (NCBI taxonomy): domain Eukaryota; kingdom Metazoa; phylum Chordata; class Mammalia; order Primates; family Hominidae; genus Homo; species Homo sapiens. Next base: position 37,042,199 of record NC_000002.12, read on the forward strand.
TGATAAGTATACAGTATGTAACCACCACATAATCATTAGAACAGAGATGTCCAAGATGAATACGAGGGGTCTTCAAAAAGTTTATGGAAACTACACATTATGCAAGAACTATACATGGATTTCAACATTTTGGGGTACCAAAATAAACTCGTACTAACTTGTTATAATATATCTGAACAGGACCTAGTTTTAGGCACCAAGAAGGATAAGAACATCAGTTTGAAAAGTGCCCCTATGAGAGCAACACAAATTCTGCTAAAGATGAATTAAGAACAAATATCAAATTTATGGTGAAGCTTGGGTGGAAGAATGGTGAAATCACCGATGCTTTACGAAAGTTTGTGAGGACAATGCCGTCAAAGATATCAGCAGTTTACAAATGAATAGCTCATTTTAAGAAGAGATGAGGCAGGCCGGGCACAGTGGCTCATGCCTGTAATCCCAGCATTTTGGGAAGCCAAGGCAAGTGGATCACTCGAGGTCAGGAGTTCATGACCAGCCTGGCCAAAATGGTGAAACCCTGTCTCTACTAAAAATACAAAAATCAGCTGGGTGTGGTGGCACTTTCCTGTAATCCCAGCTACTCCGGAGGCTGAGGCAGGAGAATCACTTAAACCAGGGAGGCAGAGGCTGTAGAGAGCCAAGATCGCGCCACTGCACTCCAGCCTGGGCGACAGTGAGACTCTGTCTCAAAAAAAAAAAAAAAAAAAAGAAGGGATGAGATAATGCTGAAGATGAAGCCCAAAGCTGAAGACCACACCCATCAATTTGAGAGAAAATAATGCATCTTATCTGTGCCCTAACTGAAGAGTATTGATGATTAACAGCAGAAATAATAGCCAACAACATACATATCTCAACTGGTTCAGCTTACATAATTCTGACTGAAATGTTAGAGTTGAGCAAACTTTCCACTTGATGTGTGCCAAAACTGTTCTACCCAAATCAGCTGCGGACAAGGCAGAGCTTTCAATGGTAATTTTAAACAAGTGAGATCAAGACCCTGAAGCATTTCTTTAAAGAACTGTAACAGGAGATGGAACATGGCTTTAACAGTATGAACCTGACACAAAGCACAATCAAATCAATAGATACCAAGAAGTAAAAGTGGTTCATTCAAAGCAAAAGTGGACTAGTTAAGAGCAAAGGTCATGGCAAAAGTTTTTTGGAATGCTTAATACATTTTGCTGCTTGACTTTCAGAATGGCCAAAGAACAATAGCATCTGCTCATTATAAAAGTATTTTGAGAAAGTTAGCCAAAGCTTTAGCGAAAAAATAACTGGGAAAGCTTCACTAGAGAGTTCTTCTCCAAGGGCAATTCTGCAAGAGTTTCAATGGAAAGTCATTAGACAATCACTTTATGGTCCTGATTTGGCTTCTTATGACTTTTTTGTTGTTGTTGTTTCCTAATCCTTAAAAAAAATATTTAAAGGGTGCTCATTTTTCTTCAGTTAATAATGCAAAAAAGACTTCATTGACATGGTTAAATTCCCAGGATTCTCAGTTTAGGGATGAACTAAATGGCTGGCATCATCACTTACAAAAGTGTCTTGAACCTGATGGAGCTTATGTTGAGAAAAAAAGTTTGTATTTTATTTGTATCTTTTCATCCTATTATTTCAAGAACTTTTTGAAGTCCCTAATAGAAGCCACATATGTAATTTAAAATATTCTAGTTGCCACACTCCAGAAGACAAAAAGGAAACAGGTGAAATTATTTTTTTTAAATAGAAATGAAGGTTTTAGAGTCCAGGCTGGTCTCAAACGCCTGGCCTCAAGTGATCCTCCTGCCTTGAAATCAATTTCAATACATTTTATTTAACTCAATATATCCAAAATATTAAAATATCAAGATGTAATCAATATACCAAATTATTGAGATATTTTACATTCTTTTTTTGAACTAAGTCTTCAAAATCCAATATGTATTACACACTCACAGCGTGTATCAATTTGGGCAAGATACATTTCAACTGCTCAATAGTCGTATGTGGGTAGTGGCTGCCATATTGACAACACAAGATATAGGACATTTTCATCACCACAGAAAGTTGCCTTAGGTCCCTTTGTTGTCATATTCCTTCCCCCAACATCCTGGCAACCACTGAGCTGTCTTCTATCATTATAGTTTACCTTTTATATAGTTTCATACGAATGAAATCAGATAGTACCTAGTCTTTGGGGTCTGGATTATTTTACATAGAACAAAGCTTTTAAGATTCATCCAATTTATTGTAAAAGTAGTTTGCTCTTTTTATATAGCTGAACAATATTCCATTTATGAATACATCACTATTTATCTATTCAACCATTGATAATTGTGGATACTTTCCAGTTTTTGGCTCTCATAAATAAAGCTACTATAAAAGTTTGAGTACAAGTGTTTGTATGCACATACATTTTCATTTCTCTTAGGTAAATACCTAGAAGTGGAACTGGTAGGCAAAAGAGAAGCATATATTTACATTTATAAGAAACCATCAAACTATCTTCCAAAGTGTCTGTAACATTTTGCATTTCTACTGGCAATATATAAGAGTTCTTAACCTACCCTTTGCTGAGATTTCAATTATATGCATGTTACACAGCTTGATATTGGTCCCAGAAGTCACTGAGACTCTGTTCATTTTTAATTCCAGTCCTTTTTCTCTCTACGCCTCATTTTTGATAGTTTCTATGTCTTCAACATCACTGGAATGATCTTTTCTCAATTTCTGTGAATTTTGGTCTTAATTCTAAGCTGGTGTAAGATGTCAATACACAAATACAGCTGACTGACCTGTTCTTCCTACCTCATTGTCTAACCTTCTGTAAATCCTATCCAGTGCATTTTTTCATTTCATACATTTTACATTTCTAGGTTTCCTTTGGGCTGTTTTTACAAATTCCTTTTCTCACATCATGCTCAGGTTTTCCTGTACTTCCTTGAAAATGTAAAGCATATTTATAATAGCTCTTTTAATATTCTTATTTGCTAATTTCATCTTTTTTTTTCATTTCTGGGCCGTTTCTATTGATTGATGTTTTCTCCAAGTAAGAGGTTTTATCTTTCTGCTTCTTTATGTGCCTAGTAATTTTTGATTGGATACAGGATATTGTGAATTTTATGATGTTGAGTTGCTCCATTTATTATATTCCTTTAAATATTGCTGAGTTTTTTTCTGGGATACAGTTCAGCTACTACTAAGAATCAGTTTGATTTTCTCAAGGCTTGCTTTTAAGCTTTTTTAGGGTGGGTCAGGGATGTTGCTCCCATTACTGAAGCAATATCGTTCCGAGGGCTTCACCTCAGGAGGTCTTTCTATTCTGAATAGTGGGAACACAAAATATTCTCAGCCCTGTGAGTTCTGAAAATTGTTTCACCTATTCCCTTTTGGTGGTTCCTTCCCCAGTCTTGGGTAGTTTCCTTGTATTCTGCACATATCAGTATTCAGCCAAAGACTTTAGATGATCCTTCTGTTCATAGCTCTCTCCCTGTGCAGCTCTCTCCTCTCTGTTATTCCACCCTACACATTCTAGCTACCTTGCCTCCCCAAATTGCAAATGCTCTCTCCTCAAGTTTGGGTTTCCTATTTCTGTACTTAAGCCTGGAAACTTTCTTCAAGCAGTAATCTGGAGCATCTTTAGTGTTCCCTTTGTTTCTTTCCCATTCCTAGGAATCACTGTCCTATGCTGGCTGTTGTCCAATGTCTCAAAACTGTTGTTTCATTTATTTTATCTGTTTTTCTAACAATTTAAGACACAAGGGTAAATACAGTCCCTGTTATTCCACCACTAATGGCAGTTAAAGTCCTGTACATTCTTTTAATGTTTATCTGAAAGAATAAGATTTCATCATTTTGTTCATATTTAACTAGTAATGTAGAGATTTGAAATGAAGCTAACATGTAAACTTCATTTTGAACAATGGAAAGGATCAAATAAAAGAAGCTATGAAGAAATACTTTTTTAAGCCATAAAATACTATGACTCATAATCATGCACCAATACAGTCAATTACTATTAGAAAACAGAACAAAATACTACTAGGAACAATGCACCTAAATTAACAAAGCAGCCTAAAAAGCAATTTGGTTGTATTTTCAAAACTTTATTAAAACTCTTAATAAGCTATCCACAACCAGACTTCTGGCAACCTCATTAAAAGTCAAGAGATGGGCCAGGCGCACTGGCTCATGTCTGTAATCGCAGCATTTTGGGAGGCCAAGGTGGGTGGATCATTTGAAGTCAGGAGTTTGAGACCAGCCTGGCCAACATGGCGAAACTCCATCTCTACTAAAAATATAAAAATTAGCCGGGCGTGGTGGCAGGCACCTGTAATCCCAGCTACTTGGGAGGCTGAGGCACAAGAATCACTTGAACCCGGCAGGTGGAGGTTGCAGTGAGCTGAGATTGCACCACTGCACTCCAGCCTGGGCAGCAACAGGGAAACTCTGTCTCAAAAAAAAAAAAAAAAAAATATTGAGAGACGAATAATCATCCCCAAGACTCTAGTTGGCCAGTTTGCCTACTGCAAACTAAAGAAAATTCTAAGTGCTGTCACAGAACAGATGTTAAGAAATGTGGCAGGCTGGGTGCAGTGGCTCACGGTTGTAATCCCAGCACTTTGGGAGGCCGAGGCAGGTTGATCACCTAAGGTCAGGAGTTCGAGACTACCCTGGCCAACATGGTGAAACGTTGTCTCTACTAAAAATACAAGAATTAGCTGGGCATGGTGGCCTGCACCTGTAATCCCAGCTACACGGGAGGCTAAGGAAGGAGAATCACTTGAACCTGGGAGGTGGAGGTTGCAGTGAGCCAAGATTGCACATCTGCAACAGAACCAGACTCCACCTCAAAAAAAAAAAAAAAAAAAAAAAAGAAGCTGGGTGTGGTGTCTCCCTCCTGTAATCCCAACTACTCAAGAGGCTGAGGTGAGAGGGCTGCTTTAGCCAAGGAGTTTGAGACCAGCCTGGGCAACACAGCAGGATCCCATCTCAAAAAAAAAAAATAAATAAATAAATGTAGCAATGAATGAAGTGAAGTAGGTCTATCTGTAACATTATTTCTAACATATTATATCCTTGGATAAGTAATCTTTACCTCTCTAAGCCTCCATTTCTCTAAGTGAAATTATTATTATTCCTAAAGAGCAGTTGTTTTGAGGAATAAAGAAGTTAAGAATAAATGCAATCTGTGAATTCTAAAACATTACACAGATTAGAAAGTTACCTTTGTGTTATTATTTCTCAAAAAGTAACAGGTTAGTGAACCTAAAGCAGAATCAATGTTCACAGTGATAATCATCTCTTCACAGTAAATAATCTTAGATATAAGAATATACATTTCTCAGAGGTCTCAAAGTGACTTTCAATTGAATGGAAATAAATTCAACTATCAAAGATTTTTATTTTTATCCAAACTGGGTCTTAAGCAATTGAAGGTACTCCCTATTAACCTAGAATGGTTTACAGAATGATTCCTGTCTTAATTTCTGTGAATTTCTGTCTTAATGCTAAGTTAGTATAAGATTTCAATGTGCAAATATACAAGACGGACCTGTAGCTATAGATGATTTTAGCATTTCACAGTCAGATATTATATCAGAAGAGATGATGTTGATGAAAACAGTCTAATATAATGAGGCTGTGAAAGACTGAAGTTTTTCCAAAATACAGCCAGATTCTGCCAAATCTAAGACACCATCGTTTTAAAAAATGTACCATTACTTTACATAGCAGTATAAAAGAATTAAAATGCTGCCAAATATTATGACATTTCATACAGAATTTCAGAAAAATCCCAGTTTTAAATAAAATGTGAAAAAATGGGTAACAAAATCTTCGTAATAATTATTTCAGATCATAAGGATTTGAAAAAGATAATGAAGGCAAGCACTGATGATACTTGCAAACAACTAAATTGGACAGGTATAAATAAATGAAATGTCCTTGTGTTTCATCAAAGTACAAAATAAATACAGTACCCTACAGATATTGAGGACACATTGTTTTTTTTTTTTTTGAGACAGAGTTTCGCTCTGTCACCCAAGCTGGACAGTAATGGCATGATCTTGGCTCACTGCAACCTCCACCTCCCAGGCTCAAGCGATCCTCCCATCTCAGCCTCCCAAGTAGATGGGACGATAGGTATATTCAACCATGCCCAGCTAATTTCTGTATGTTTTGTAGAGACAGGGTTTCACCATGTTGCCCAGGCTGATCCAGAATTCTTGGGCTCAAGTGATCCACCCACCTCAGGCTCCCAAAGTGCTGGGATTATAGGCAAAAGATAACGCGCCCAGCCAAGGACACATAAACTAAAACTCCTTGTAATTAAAAAAAAAAATTACCCTTCAAGAGCTTTCTAAAGAAACATACTCCTACTTCACCTGTTATGAACAGAGCACAAACCATTAAATGGATAACTAAGATTGTTACTATCTTTTAATAAATATTTAATAAAAAGCTATTTCATAATCAATGGCAAATATTTGGAAAGAGGAAAACTAATCTATTGCTAGAAAATAGCAGCAATCATTCTGCAGAAGATTAAGTGTCTGGTTATATTTTAACTGTCTTTTGCCTGCTCATACTATCCTTAGTGCATTAGGGCATTACCAAATAACGAATCAAATTGCCATTTACAAGTCAAGACAAGGAAAGCTATTTACAGATAGGCAATAATTCAGAAAATACATTTTCTTCAGAACTACTACTTCATAGCCACTGCTTCATACTCTTTTGTTAATGACCATGACATAGTTTGCTATATTTAATACTCTATATATATGATAGCTAAGAATGATATAATTTACATAACACAAGTGTCAGTTCTTGACAACCCTTGATTTTTAATTTCTCTACTTATGCACTTGATTAACAAGTCAATAGTCACTAATAACTGCAACTCATCATCTTAATGAAACATCACTAATAACTGCAACTCATCATCTTAATGATACTTATTTGGGTCTCTGAGATCACTCTTTATAATTAATATATAAGTGAATCCTTAAAACCTGATGCTTAACTATTCTGTTTCAGTCATAATTTAAGAGATAAACTTGGCAGCAGTTAGAAAAAGAATGGCTTATTCCAAAAAGTGGATAATTAACAGAAAGAATAAAGAGGGACAAGGAAAGGGAGGGAGGAGAGAAAATGACGTCAGAGCACCTCTTCAGTGAATACACATAACAGAGAAGTCCTTATTAACATTTTTCTTGATTTCATTAAGCAACATTCAAGAGCTGGATTAGAAGCCCTCTCCACGCAGAAAGTATCTAACATATTACAACTTTCCCAGATTCTAGAGTTGAATCAACTGCTAAATTAAAAATTGAGATCATTACAAAAAACCCACAAAATATTATCACATGCTGTATACCATGTGGAAAACATAAACTCCAGTTGATTATTATTTAAAAGACATCTTTGCCTACACATGAAACTTGTTAGTAAAGAAACCCACTTACTTGTCAAAGCTATATTGGGCCATTCTAGCAATAAAAGTTGCTTCTCCAACCACCTGAGCCATTCTTCCAAGAGCTTCCCCCGCTGCACAACGTAAGATGGGGTTTGGGTTGTCCAGAGGACCCATAACCAGTGTCAGGGCAGATTTACGAACTTCCTCAGGTCCTAAAGTACTTTTGTTTTCAGCTAAGCCCTACATTAAAAAAAAAAAAAAAAAAAAGACAGCAATTCATAATTCATTATTATTATTTTTTTTTTAAGGCAAGGTCTTGCTCCCTTGCCCAGGCTGGAGTGCAATGGCACAATCACTGCTCACTACAGCCTCGACCTTCTGAGCTCAAGCAATCCTCCCAGCTCAGCCTCCTGAGTAGCTGGGACTATAGGCGCATGCCACCCTGCTGGGCTAATTTTTAAAAAGTTTTTGTAGAGACAGGGTCTTACTAAGTTTCCCAGGCTGGTCTCAAACTCCTGAGCTCAAGCAATCCTCCTGCCTGAGCCTCCTAACATGCTGGGATTACAGGCGCACCTGGCCTCGCAATTCATATTAAATAAAGGAAAAATACATGCTGCAATCTTTCTAAAATATACATACATCTTCATAAGTTATTTTCTTCAACCAGTTTTCACATGTATATACTAATGTCTAGAATCTGTAACTGTTCAATTCACGGTAATTACTTTCCTAAATACGATTTCAGAACGTGATCTATAACACAGCCATAGTCTGACTGGCCCTAAGAGACACTTGCGGGGAGTGTCTCTATTCAAAGACTAGTACTTAAAAGTTACTTCCATATATTAAGGACACTGTATTACTAAATCAACCATTATTTAACTGATTGAAATTTATCACTCTAAGGAAACATTCTCCTATTTCACCTGTTATGAAACAGAGCACAAACCATTAAATGGATTGGTTCTATCTTTTAAGAAATCTTTAACAAAAAAATAATTTCAGAATCAATGGCAAATATTTGGAAAGAGGATATTTGGAAGAGTATTTCATACTCTTGATGAATATGAAACTGAATAGTTTATATAAAAATTTCACAGAAGACAATTATATGACTTAAACAGTATAATCAACATACATCTAAAAACAAAATGAGGCGAGGCGCGGTGGCCTAGGCCTGTAATCCCCGACTTTGGGAGGCCAAGGCGGGGAGATCATGACATCAGGAGATCAAGACCATCCTGGCCAACATGGTGAAAACCCATCTCTACTAAAAATACAAAAAAAATTAGCTGGGTGTGGTTGCACATGCCTGTAATCCCAGCTACTCAGCAGACTTAGGCAGGAGAATCACTTGAATCCGGGAGGCAGAGATGAGACTGCAGTGAGCCAACATCACACCACTGCACTCCAGCCTGGCGACAGAGTGAGACTCCGTCTCCAAAAAAAATAAATAAACTAACAAATGAGGTGGCCGGGTGCAGTGGCTCACGCCTGTAATCCCAGCACTTTGGGAAGCTGAGGTGGGTAGATCATGAGGTCAGGAGATTGAGACCATCCTGGCCAACATGGTGAAACCCCGTCTCTGCTAAAAATACAAAAATTAGCTGGGCATGATGGCGCGTGCCTATAATCTCAGCTACTCGGGAGGCTGAGGCAGGAGAATCGCTTGAACCTGGGAGGTGGAAGTTGCAGTGAGCTGAGATCACGCCACTGCACTCCAGCCTGGCAACAGGGCGAAACTCCATCTCAAAAAAAAAAAAAAAAAAAAAAAAGGTAAAAATAGTAATTAGTAACTGAATGTTGAAGTAGTTTGCTCATCATATTAAATGTCACTCTCTTTGTTCTAGCTGTACTTACCATCCTGGAACTTTATTTATTTATTTGAGACCAAAAATCTATGTCACATTGCATGGGGAAAATGTTAACTACAACAGAGGCATTAGCATATCTATGAAGAAAAGTGTAATCTGTACAGCAATATTACAGTTGGTTCACTACTCTCCCAATCACTGAAGGAGACCACGACCACCCCACTCCTTTTCTAAAAAACTCACAGGTCCAAATTAGTTGATGGTCTCCTCAGAGTACATACTAATGGTTATATAAATGGTCCAAACCTGTATTTCTTCTTCTTTTTTTTTTCTTTTTTCTGAGACAGAGTCTTGCTCTGTCCCCCAGGCTGGAGTGCAATGGCATGATCTCGGCTCATTGCAACCTCTGCCTCCCAGGTTCAAGTGATTCTCCTGCCTCAGCCTCCCCAGTAGCTGGGATTACAGGCACCTGACACCACGCCTGGCTAATTTTTGTATTTTTAGTAGAGATGGAGTTTCATCATGTTGGCCAGGCTGGTCTCAAACTCCTGACCTCAGGTGATCCCCCCGCCTCGGCCTCCCAAAGTGCTGGGATTACAGGCATAAGCCACCACGCCCAGCCCCAAACCCTTATTTCTATAATCAATGCCTATATATATCCTTTTTCCCTGATGTTTACAAAATATGACTTAAGCATGACCTAAGACATGTTCATGCAAACACATATTTGCTACCATTTTATTTTAAAATAAGCTTAGCACTGAATAATATAAAAAGTATTCAAACACTTTATGATAGAGTGCCTAGTATGATGCGCGAATCCTGTGAGATAGGCAAACTATTTGTAACAGTGGTCCCCTCTTTTCCACAGGGGACACATTCCAAGGCCCACCTTGGATGTCTGAACCATGGGATTAGGAACCTGATTGCTGTCAATGGGAACTTGTTTCTGTTCATGCCTTCTACTCACAAACTTAATGCCTTTTCAATTTTAACTAGGCACTTATCACATACCATGGCCATGATTTTTGTAATTTGCGATGGGACAGCAAAACTAACACAAATTCCTTTTTCCTTCTTCATGATTTCAGACAGAAGATTTGTTCTTCCTGTAGATCTCAGCAACTTTGGCATATGATATTATTTCTTGCCTTCTTAAGTTGAGAACTTTCTCTTCTTCACTTAAAGGAAGCACTTTACAGCTTCCCTTTGGCATATCCAAATTGCCAGAATCACTACTTTTGCACTTTGGGGCCAGTATGAAGTAAAACAAGGGTTATCTGAACATAGGTGCTGCCACACTGCAGCAGCCCATCTGATAACTGAGACAGATGGTGACCAAGTGACTAACAGACAGGTAGGGTAGAAAGTGTGGAATCACTGGACAAAGAGATGATTCTCATCCTAGGCAGGACAGGGCAAGATGGAACAGGACAGTACAAGATTTTATCATGCTACTCAGAATGTTGCACAATTGAAAACTTATAAATTATTTCGGGAAATTTCCATTTAATATTTTCAAATCACAGTTGACCATTGGTAATTGAAACTGCAGAAAGCAAAACTGCAGATAAGGAAGGGACTACTGTATTCTTCTTCATACCTGTAGAAACTACAACTCGAAAAAGGTTAAAAAAGTTTAAAGAAATTACTCTGGACACAAACCTAGAGTAGCTTAATGAGAACGCAATCTCTAAATGCAGCATTCTTTCAATTATGTAACACTGCCTCACATGATTTGTGGCCTAAACCACAGATCAAGCTTCAGCTCTATTTAGTTAACCTTCAGTAGAATATCCGATTTCATTCGTCAAACATCTTTGAAAATTCTGAAAGAATTTATTGGCACTTGTAAAATCTGAAGTTCAAATTGAAACATAAACTTTAACAACATTAAAATATAAAACATTTATTTAACTACACTGAGCCTAACATAAAGTTTCAAGTAATTTAACTAAGCTAACGTAAAGGCACAGTTACCAAGTGATTTACATATAAACATTATAATAATCTTGCTATGTCTGGCTTATTAAATGCATTAATTAAAAACTTATTTCAGAATAGTATGTATTAAAAGTAAATACCTTTAGTGCACTAAGAACAGCAGTAAATATGTTAAGCTGCACAGCCTGCTGGCGGACACCTTTAGCTTGTTTAACACATTCAGCAAAGTGATCCAACATTTGTAATCTATAACAATAAGAAAAAAAAATCACATTAGTGACAAATTTTATTCCAATATGGCTCAAAAACGGATAAGAAGAGTACAAGTTAATTGTTTAGCAAATAATTCCCCATGCTATCTCTTTTCTATTTCATTCCCACAGCTAGTCCAAACCAGATCTCCTTCTCCCAAAATATTATATGGACATGCGGTTATTAAATGGAACAAGAAAAGAGTTTCAATTAACAAAATAAGGTCACAATTGCAGTGGTCTTCAACATTAACAGCACTGTCCAACAAAGCGCCTGGCATCTAGTAGACGCTCAAGGTTTCTTGCAAAGATAACAATCATTAATTATGTATCTCCGTGGAAGATTTTTAAGTTAGAAAATTTTAAATGTAGTATAATTCTTTTTCCTATTTTAAAAATACTCTTAGAATAGTACCTCATGTCCTAGCCTCAGAAGCTTTTGGGAAAGTTCAAAAAAGATTTAGCTTTGGCTAATTTTTTTAAATGTAAAAAACCAGAAGTGAATTGTTTTTTATATTAATAAAAAAGAATCAGTTTATTAAAAAAAAAAAATCCATGGCCATCTTAGATGATTTCTCTGTTTTTTTTTTTTTTTTTTTGAGATGGAGTTTCGCTCTTGTTGCCCAGGCTGGAGTGCAATGGCGCGATCTCGGCTCACCACAATCTCCACCTCCCAGGTTCAAGTGATTCTCCTGCCTCAGCCTCCCGAGTAGCATGCGCCACCACGCCTGGCTAATTTTGTATTTTTAGTAGAGACTGGGTTTCTCCATGTTGGTCAGGCTGGTCTCGAACTCCCGACCTCAGGTGATCTGCCCACCTCGGCCTCCCAAAGTGCTGGGATTACAGGCGTGAGCCACTGTGCTCTGCATTTTTTTTTTTTTTTTTTTTTGAGACTGAGTTTCGCTCTTGTTGCCCAGGCTGGAGTGCAATGGTGCAATCTTGCCTCCCTGCAACCTCTGCCTCCTGGGTTCATATGATTCTCCTGCCTCAGCCTCCCGAGTAGCTGGGACTACAGGTGTTCGCCACTACACCCAGCTAATTTTGTATTTTTAGTAGAGAAGGATTTTACCATGTTGGCCAGGCTGGTCTCAAACTCCTGACCTCAGGTGATCTGCCCACCTTTGCCTCCCGAAGTGCTGGGATAACAGGTGTGAGCCACAACGCCCGGCCCATTTCAGAAGATTTTGATAAAAAGAGAGTGAGAGAGCATTCTTCTAAAAAGAAATGATGTGAAACAAAGGAATCCAAGGAAGTTGGATTTAGTACTAAGACAATTATGACCTCAAGTTGGTAATAAAATCTCCCTGAGGTCGCTGTAAGGATTTAAAGCTCAATTTATACTAGTCTACAGGTCTCAGGTCTCAGGTCAAAGCATTATTCAAAACTCATATGAAGATACAGATTCAGATGTACGTGTATACATGCACATTTTGATGTACTTTAAAAAATTCTTAAAAGTAAGTAAGTACCTTTTGTGCACTAAGAACAGCAGTAAATATATTAAGCCGCACAGCCTGCTGGTTGAAAACCAAAGTAGGATCACTTCTTGCTTTTTACCTTTTTAATTTAACATTGTATCATGAGCATCTTCTATCAAAACACTGTCTCTACAAAAATGGACTTTCTATTATTTATTCACTTATCCTCCTACTGTTGAATATTTATGTTATTTATTATATGTTTATATTTTTAATAGAATTTATTTATTTATACTTCATCTTATTCTGTAAAAGTGATCATACAGAATTGAGATAATCCTGGATTTCAGTTATAGCTTTCATAACTAGTTGTATAACCTTGGGTAAACCAAACTCTTAGATATGGATGTCCTTAAGATTTAAAACCAAAATGTTGAAATAGATGCTTTATAAGATTCTTCCACCTTTAACATCATTTAACATTTATGTGGCAACCAAATGTTCTTAAAGATATTTGGGTAAAGTTTCATATTTAAACTTTTTTCTCCTCAAATTAAAAAGCAATTAATCAAGCAACCTACATATTAAAGACATTTTTTATTTTGTAATTTTTGTAGAGATGAGTGTCTCACTATGTTTCCCAGGCTGGTCTGAAACTCCTTGCCTCAAGCAATTCTCTTGCCTTAGCCTCCCAAAGCGCTGGGATTGCAGACATAAGCCACCACACCAGACCCAACAATACTTTTAAGGCATTTTAATTTTGTAAAGCTTTTAAGTTATCTGTGATGGTCTTGTATTAATTCATTTCTGTTTTCCTTTTGGGAAAATCACAATATACAAACTGCCTACTAAAGCTAGGAATAGTGTCTGTGGATACAGAATATACCAAACCAAAATGCTTCTATTACAAAAAGAACCAATTATGTTAGTTTCCAAGTTCTAGACTTGAACCATCTCACAAACGTTATTAGTGATTGGAATTTTCATCCATTTACTTCCTCAACAACAAAGTCAACAGGCTTAGCAAACTGATGTCCTTAATTTAAGATATAGTCAAAACCTATGTATGAACTATCAAACAAACTATTATAATGCATTTTTTTTTTTGCCAACAGTTGTCATTCTAGCATATATAATGAAAATTTTGTTATAAAATACAGTCCACAATACAACAGATATCAGATGCTAGTACACAGGGTCAAATCTTACATAAAGTCTCAAATTATGTGCAATTTGCATGCAATTTTTTTATCATGTATCTGTCACTTACATTAGTAAATCTGTAAGAGTACTGTTTTAAGTATTATAATAACTCACTTTATTGCAGAGTTAACTGGGATGAGAAAATCTACTTTTCGTTTAACATAATATATATTTAACAAAAATTACCTGATTGACTTTATACTAACCGGTGTTTATAAGAAACATGAGGAAACACTACACCAAAAAGGGCCACAGAAGCATCAATGACTGAGACTCCGAGAGGGAGGGGACCAGGTACTGCTTCTCCAGCAGGTATGCGTAAATAAATAGAGGAAGGATCATGCTCCAGAGCCCCACTTCCAGAGGCACTGTTTGGCTGGAGCTGCAAAAGAGTGAAATAAAAATTATTCAAAATCTACTTTAGGAAATCTACTTATTAAACATTGGGAATGAGGATTACAGCAGAGGAGAAAGGAGAAAAGGCAACAAAAAAAGAATGATTGGATCCGAACATTTGAAAACAGACCAAAATGTAATTTGGTCATTAAAAAATCATCAGTAACACCTTATACAAATTTTAAGAAAAGCTTTATTCATTCGAAAACATATTTACACCACCCACCTTATTGCGTGAACAATATACACAAGATCTTAATCCCACAATTATTTTAAATGGGGCTTTAATCACTCTTTAAAAAGTACATAAGAAATAATGTATTCAGTGGGCAAAAGTTCTAAATCTTCAACCTACTAACTCATTCCTCTCCAACCTGTCACAAAACAAAACAAACTAAAACAAAACAAAATACCAATAACCAAAAAGCCAGTTAAAACTGATCTTTATCACAGCCACCACAAGGTATCTAAATACACAGAATATTAAATAAAGACAATTTGCCAAATTCTCACTCTTCCTGTTTAACTTTTTTCACTATCTACCACCAGGATGCCATCTTTAAGTGTCTAAGAACACTAAATGGGGATTAAACCTTTCTATACACTATTTTCTTTTTAAGTGACAATGTGTAATAGGACCATTGTTTCAGATTAAGTTAGTATTTCATTTTCCTCTATGTTTATTACCTGGTCTTCAATTGATTTATGATCAGTTTCCTGAAGCCAAGAACCAAGAAGAACACTATCATCATAATGGCAGAGGGATCTGAGGAGGGAAGTAGTTGTGTTGGCTGAGTTGTCAGTCAAAGTGAATTCCGCTACCAGTTCTCTAAGAAGTGCATTAAAAGATCCTAAAAAACAGAACTTCAGATCAGATTAAAAAGAATAATTTTTGTGAAAATTATAATCATTGCCCACAAAGAGCTGCAACATGTTCAACAGGAATAAAATAATTAAGTCTCTGTTCTCTTCTTTAAAAAAAATCTATATTTAAATGCTGGTTTTAATATACAATAATGGTACTTCCTTTCATATATTGTATTGTGTCTTTTAGCCCAAATTATTTAAAATAACCAAAAAACTCAAATAGAGGAAAGAGAGGCGGGTGCCATAGCATGCTTGTAGTCCCAGCTACTCAGCAGGCTGAGGCAGGAGGATTGCTTGAGCCCAAGAGATTGAGACAAACCTCTGCAACACAGCAAGACCCTGTCTGAAAGACACACACAAACAAAGATACTTTATTTTAAATATATTAAATGTGATATGATTATTATTATTTATTGCCCAATAATGTACAATGAACCACAGCACACCAAAATTCTTTGGCATGATTATACTGGAAAGAAATCAATAGTTTATTTTACTATTAATATTTTACATAATATTTGATTTCTCCCTCCAGATCCTCGAATTATTTGCTATATTACAGTATATAGGAAGCATTTCAGTGTATTAATCAAAAGTGCACACTTTGAAGATAAACCAGCTAGATTTGAATCCAAGCTCTGCCACTTAACTACCTCTAAGTCTTGGGTAAGTTAAGTTTCTTTAAGTCTCTCAATCTGAGATTCTTCATCTATAAAATAGGGCTAAAGGCCTCATAAGTTGCAACACAGTCAAAAAGCTAATACAAAAGGCTGAAAACGAGACCCAGAACACAGTAAGGAGTCAACAAGTATCAGCTACTCTACATGAAGAAAAATAAAATGGTGGCCTTCCTTTGCACAGTAAGTCAGTGGGAGAGCCTTTGTCAAGACTCTATAATACGGTGAAGAATTGTAAAGAAAAATTTTTATCAGATACCACAAATTTTTAATTTACCTTCATAAGTTTTTGGAGGTAACAAAGCCAAGATATCATAAAGTCTTAAACGGACCATTGCAGCACTAGCTTTCAGATGAGCTCCATGGGCTTTCATTACAGATGGAATGCTAAAATATCAAAAACATAGTTGGTAATGGCTTACCAGAATAAGTATTACTTATAAATTTTTTTAGCAATGTATCAATGTACTGCCAAACTACACTGATAAGTATACACTTTCATTTTAGCTTATGTTGTGATCTTTGCTGTAACAAAAACACTTTAAGATACAACTGTATTTCAATCCACACCATTGCTGTAATTTTTAAAGTTATATTACAAAAATAAAGTTTTATGTTTCCTAGATGATTCTAGAAGAAAGCACAAAATATGGCTGAGAAGTATATTATTAATATATAAAATAGGATGTGAACTTGTCTCAATCGCTTACTTACTGTGACATCATAGTCATGGCACATTCAATAGGGGTCATCAATTTTCGAATCACATCTTCAGTTAGTAGCTCAGGACAATGTGCAACGAAGCTCCTCATGGCTAGATAAAATGTTTAAAAGGACAGATTTGGAGTAGCTTTTGTGAACATGAATTAATTTATAAAATTGTATAAATATAAAGGCAGTTGTAATACTTAATTATTATAACGTATAAGGTTCTGAAACCATGTCGAACCAAAAGAAAAACTTGCAACAACTACAAAGAAAAATCGTGGAAAAGGCTAGAAAAAAGGTGGATAGAAAAATGGAGGAAGAGAAGGTACTGGTTAGAGAGATTCTTCGGGTGGAAATTCAGAGGACTATGATCCCATAGGAATTCAGATGACTACAAAGAAAGAAATTTTAAGGCATTGTTTATACACATATACATTTATGTGTATAAACAATGCCTTAAAATTTACATGAAATTTTTACATATATTAAATATATTTTTGCAACTTTTACAGATATATATGTATATGTGTGTGTGTGTGTGTGTGTGTGTGTGTGTGTGTGTGTGTATATATATATATATATATTTTTTTTTTTTTTTTTTTGAGAGAGTCTCACTCTGTCAACCAGGCTGGAGTGCAGTGGCGGAATCTCGGCTCACTGCAACCTCCACGTCCTAGGTTCAAGCAATTCTCCTGACTCAATCTCCTGAGTAGCTGGGACTACAGGCAAGCACCAGCACGCCTGGCTAATTTTTGTATCTTTAGTAGAGACAAGGTTTCACCATATTGGTCAGGCTGGTCTAGAACTCCTGAGAGTGATCCACCCGCCTTGGCTTCCCAAAGTGCTGGGATTACAGGCATGAGCCACAGCACCCGGCCACTACATATATTTTTGCATTTTGAATTTTTACATATATTTGTGTAAATATATATGTATATAAACAAAAATGGTCCAGTGAGAAAAAAATATTTTTATTGGCCCCTTAGCAATAGAGCCTAGACTAAAACACCTCCTAGATGTGTGAGAGTAAAGGTGCCCCCTTGCCTGGCTGCCCTTGTGGTGAAACATGTATCTCTCTCCCAGTTTGGAAAAAGAAGTAGTTTTCACTCTGAGATAAACCAAAAAAGAACTGGTACATCCAATGTCATTCTAGTTATCAAACGAAACAAAACCTGAGCGTTTCCTGTAAGCTGTTAACTCCCAGACAAAAACAACTGTATCCGTTATTTTTGTAATGTTGATATCTGAAAAATATATGAAGGTTTGGAGATTTGATAAGGATGTGAAAAAACAGCTGTTTCTCCATTATGAAAAGACTAACTGCAAATGCCAATAACTTTGGTAATCCTGAGTTTCTTTTTCTTTAAATAGCTGTTGGGTATTTTTTCTTTTTTTTATACATGGTGACTCAGTGCTTCTTTGACAGGTAAGATAGCAACAAGTGGGAATAAGAGGCCTGGGTTCTAGTTCCTGTCTAACCACCAGGTCTAAACACTTTTTCAGAGTCTGGGTTTCATTTTTATTACAAAATTAGCAAACTGAAGTGGATCATTTATAAAGTTTCTATTTAAATCTAAAAGCCTATGAATTTATCATTACCTAGTAAAATAAAAAACTATAAAATAGTGATTTTTCTTTTACTTTACAAATATTTTAGTTATGTCATAATATTGTGAAGCACAATCCTTTCAGTTCTTACCACATAGAGCTCCAGCACGACCTTCCAAAGTTACCTGCCAGGTAAAAGAATCGCCTCGGGCCTTCTCAGCTTCCAATTCCTTTAAGGAACGTGGGAAAACATTTCGCCACAATAACAACATCTTGGGCAGATGGTAACGAACGACAGATGGTCCTAGCCAAGAAAATGAGAATACAAAACCATGTATATGTAACATACCTTACAAACAAGTGTCAAGCAAAATGAGCCCAACACAAACTTTATGTAATTTTAGAGATGAAAATAGAGTAAAATACTGATGTTTAACAATATCTGTTATTTCACTCTATTTTTATCTCTAAAATTACATTATTTTCAACCTTTATTCACTGATTAAAATATAGATCAAAGCATAACAAAATTCACCTTAAACTGTCAATATTTTTAGAATCCAAACATAAAATACACAAAAAGCAATTTTTAAAGGATAACCCAACTGTATTGAGAATGGTGGATTGCATATTATCAATAAAATATATCTGAGACACATTCTATGAGGTCTTTTTCATATACATATGTATATAAACAAATATACCCACTCACACACACATACAGATACATATTCCTTAGTTTTGGGGGCAATTTATGTGGTTAATTTAGTTTCATGGAAAGGCAATATATTCAGACCTAGGAATCTATATTTACATTGCTAAAAAATTCATTTAACATACCACTGAACATACTTAACATAAACTTCTGGAAATGAGTTGCAACTTTTTGTTTTCTTCAGAAAAGAAAAGTAGGTCAAAGTATAATTTCCAACAGATAGATGCTTAGATCTGTGTCATAACTTTGTAGTACATATATGCACACACTTTTTACAGCAGCAGCTAAACATATGAACTAAAATATGAACATACCCCATCACAATAATAGGTATTTTTGTACTATGTACAATGTTAAATTTTGCCTACAATGCAGATTTGTCACACTACTTAAGAGTGAAACACATTAAGGGTTACCCCAGAAAAGCAGCACTAACAATACCAATTAAATGTGACTTTACCACTCTTCTAAAATCACACTGCTGGTTTTCACTTAGGGTATGAAATTTTCCCTCATATTTTCATCTCTTTTAAACACTAAACTCATCAGGTAGACAAAGGTTATTCTGATGGTAAAGGTGAAACTTTGCTAACAACTTTCTCATTAAATGTACTTAAGCAATAATTACCAAAAAGAGAAATCTACTAGCAAATGACGAGGAAAACATCTTTACACCATTTTTACAACTTCAATGAAAATCCAGAATGTGAAGCTTAACACTTTTAAATTAAATTTGCTTTACAGGCTACTGACAGTTATAGCGTGACAAAAATCCTACTCAAATATAATTATACCTAAAGTCATAAGTGCTCCAAGTAAAAGCCAGCCAGCTTGGGTGCGCTGTAAAGATAGCCTGCTATTTTGGGCAGCAGTTCGTAAAAGATCTTCAGCAATACTAACTACCATCTGCAAGAAAAGTTTAGAATTGGATTTTAATTCAAACAAGTTAAATTAAATAAGGAAACAGATAACTAGCATACATTACTTAAAAGAAGTTGTTGGCTGGATGCGGTGGCTCATGCCTGTAATCCTAGCACTTTGGGAGGCTGAGGCAGGCAGATTGCCTGAGCTCAGGAGTTCAAAACCAGCCTGGGCAACACGGTGAAACCCTGTCTCTACCAAAAAATACAAAAAAATTAGCCAGGCATGGTGGTGGGCACCTGTAGTCCCAGCTATTTGGGAGGCTGAGGCAGGAGAATTGCTTGAACTGGGGAGGCGGAGGTTGCAGTGAGCAGAGATTGCACTACTGCACTCCAGCCTGGGTGACAGAGCGAGACTCCGTCTCCAAAAAAAAAAGAAGTTGTCCTCTCGTGTTATTAGCATGTTTTTGAAAGAGGCAACATCAAGACCTGGTTAGTCTTGATTGCACTGATGACTCTGAAGAGACCCAGAACAGTGTAGTAGTTAAGGACAAGCTCTAGGGCCAAATGCCATCTCTGCCATTTACTCGCATTCTCATTTAGCACTGCTTAGTTCCATCACTGGTAAAACAGAAATAATAGGAATGCCTATCTCAGCCTTGCAAGGATAAAATAAGTTAATACAGCATCTATGCTACTACTTTGTCATTTCATCATGTGACAAATCCACTTCTCATTTTTCCTGTGTCTTCTAAGACTGTAAGCTCCAAAAGATTAGCTTACTTATTTGTTTGTTTTTTAGAGACAGGGTTTCACTCTGTCACCCAGGCTGGGGTGCAGTGGCACAATCATAGCTCGGTGTAACCTGGAATTCCTGGGCTCAAGGGATCCTCCTACCTCAGCCTCCTGAGTAGGTAGGACTACAAGTGTATGCCAACATACTTGGAAAATTTTAAAAATTTCATTTTTTATTTTTTGTATGACAGGGTCTCACTATGTTTCCCAGGTTGGTCTCAAACTTCTGACCTAAAGTGATCCTCCAGCCTCGGCCTCCCTAGGCATTGGGATTACAGGTCTGAGCCACCACGCCCAGGCAAGGTTAGCTCAATGGTAGATGCATAATAGGAGTTCAACAAATCTTTGAATGTGGAATAATAGTGCTAATAATGACAGCATTTATTTAGTGGTCACATGGGCTAGCACTGTTCTCGGTACTTTGCTGTATTAACATCCACACAGAATGGCTAGTATAGACTTAAATTTGGTGCAGCTGAATAAGAGGGGAGATGAAACTCTAAGAGGTTAGCAGAGCAAAGGCTTCGAAGCTGAAAAAGGCCAGGGAAGGAAGGAAGATAACTAGTCTAATTAGAGCAACAGGAAATTTGAATGAACGGCGGAATGAAGTCAAATTATAAGATACCAGTTTACCAGACAAAGGAGATTATATTTTACTCTCTGAGTACTGGGTAGTCCCTAAGGGTCTCTGGGCAAATGTAAAATATGAAAGTGGTATGAGGAAGATGGGACGTGTGGGGAAGATGGAAAGTCTGAGGAAGATGAGAATGAGGAAGCAACGATATGACAAAGTGAGAGGGAAGTCTGGATTTCATCGGTAGCTATGCAACTGCTATGAATGGACATGGGCTTAATGTCCCAGAAAAAAAATCAAAATTTAAAACTCTAGCCCCAATCTGCCTATGTAAAGTTTCAAATAATATTTATATAAACACTTAAGATTACTGAGAAGAAAACCATGATAGTAGTATACAACAGAAAGAAAGGAGAAAAAAAAGCTACTCATATTTTTTATTTTATTTTATTTTTTGAGACGGAGTCTTTCTCTGTCACCCAGGCTGGAATGCAGTGGTGCAACCTCAGCTCACTGCAACCTCCGCCTCCTGGGTTCAAGTGATTCTCCTGCCTCAGCCTCCCAAGTAGCTGGGATTACAGGCATGGGCCACAATGCCCGGCTAATTTTTCTGTATTTTTAGTAGAGACAAGGTTTCACCATGTTAACCAGGCTGGTGTCAAACTCCTGATCTCAAATGATCCACCTGCCTCGGCCTCTCAAAGTGCTGGGATTACAGGTATGAGCCATCATGCCCGGCCATGATTTATTAAAACCACTCAATTTTTACTAAACATTATCAAAATGCTAAATATTACAATAGCGTATTATCCTGACATCTTTGAATATATAGCAATGTGAACTTTTATTTCTAAAAGCTGAAAGAAAAGCTCTGACTTTCAAATAATTACTATATCTAAGGTTGGGTTTTTTTTTTTTTTTTTTTTTGAGACAGGGTAGGTCTTGGTCTGTCACCCAGGCTGAAGGACAGTGGCATGTTCATAGCTCACTGTAACCTCAAACTCCTGGGCTCAAGTGATCCTTCCAACCCATCCTCCCCAGTAGCTAGGACCATGAAGTTGGCTAACTTTTTTTATTTTTTGTAATGATGGGGTCTCACTATGTTGCCTAGGCTGTTTTTTTTCTCTTTCCCTCTAAAATAAATTATAACATGTTACTAGACTTGGACAAAATCTATTATCCTTACATCAGAATTAAATATCAAATTATAATAGGGTCTGTTAACACCATAGTAAGAACACTATGTTTTATGATAACATAGTACAACTGTTATTTGACCACCCTGTTCAACACTAAACACAGCAGCGTTCCTATAAAGACCAAAGCCCACGTGACAGCATTCCCAAGTCTAGGATCTCCGTCATACCTTTCCTTTGGCATGAGGAATGCCCAAAGGACACTGATGTACTCCACCTAACAAAGCAGCCATTGCAAAACTATATCCACTGACAGCTTCTGGTGAGGTCTTCAAGTTGTTGAGCCGTTCTGCACACCTGTCTAGAAATGGTGTCAGCTGGAAAGGTAATGCCACAGCCACACAGCGCAAACACCATGCAGCAGCAAGTCGGGCAGCCATGCTTGGATGAAGCAGCACTGAAGTCACAATCTCCAAAAGCCCTAAACAAGAAATACTCAAAATATTACTCTTTAATGAAGTCAAATGATTTCAGAAACTCAAATACTATCTAAAAAACAATAACTGAAATGACAATCACCAAGCTTTCACACATATAGATCCACAACTTTGCCTAAAACTACATACAGTAGAGTACTTCAAAGGAACATTTTCTATGAAGAACATAGTACAATTATATTCAATATTGATGTAAAATTTAATAGAAGTCTTCAACAAATTTTAGTCAATTTTTATAAAAAAACTACCACAATTGCTTTTGATTTCTGTTCCAAAACTTTATTTAACCATTTAATTCAATATTCTTTACAAGGAAACTTTTTTTTTTTTTGAGACTCACTTTGTCCCCCAGGCTGGAATGCAGTGGCATGATTTCGGCTCACTGCAACCTATGCCTCCTGGGCTTAAGCAATTCTCCTGCCTCAGCCTCCCAAGTAGATTACAGGCACGTGTCACCACAGCTGGCTAATTTCTGTATTTTTAGTAGAGACAGACTTTCACCATGTTGACCAGGATGGTCTTGAACTCCCGATCTCAAGTGACCTGCCCACCAGGGCCTCCCAAAGTGCTAGGATTATAGGCACGAGCCACCACGCCCAGCCTATCACAATGAATATTAATTTAAGTAAAACCTGATGATCTGAAGTGCTAATGATGATGATAAGCAACTAATCAGGAATTAAATATCAATCACACTTATGACTGAAAAAAGTGGAAACACATACTAGCAAGTAACTGAATGTCATACCTATAGATGCTTCTTGAATAAGAGGGGATGCGGTGGCATTCAAGCTCTGCACCAGGCTCCCGAGTTCCTGGAGGGCACAGACCATCACATGCTGGCTTGCTGCAATGTCTGCTGCGCCAGATTTGTTTTCTCCACTTGTGTCATTCACTACTGCTTCTGGAAACACAAAATCATGTCTTTGACATAGGAGAAATGAATTGTGGTATGATTTTTTTGGTCTATACAATTTATGATTTTAGCCATACCAGTTGATGTCCGAGTGTTAAAAACTATGCAGTTATTTCTCAATAGAAAACTTGTAGAACTAAACACTGAAGTGACTTAAAAATGTTGTTTAATAGCTTTATAATAATGCTAAAATATATACTGAGATACATCTTTGCTTCCAGGAATACAACCTAATTTTAGCAAGCAGCAGCAATCCAGTGTATAAAAGCACAGATACTGCAGAAAGAAGACTCGGGTTCAAATCCCAATTCCACTAGTTATATTAGTTATGTGACATTGAGCAAGATGTTCAATTTTTCTGTCCCAATTTCCTTATCTGTTAATGGGCTTACATGCCTATTTCAAACGGTACTGTGGTGATTAAAAAGTCAGTGCATATAAAGAATTTAACACAATGCTGCCCATAATACACATTCAATAAATGTTAACAGCTATTATTACTTTATTACCATTGCTACTTTAAGTGTTCCAATATATTGGAGGTATCTGTTAAATTACTGACCAGAAAATGAATCTATAAGGAAAATGCCTTAAGTTACCTCTTACTGGAATGTTTCTGTAAGTTCCCATTAATTAACCTTGCTGCCTGCTACCCCAACCTTTTAGCTTCCACTAGAATCGAAATGTGTTTGACAAGAGACAACCAAAGATCGCTTGCCAAACTACTAATTGAGAATACATTCTGGCCCACAAATCCCCAATACGTATCATTATATTTAATTCTGCTTTCAGGATTTAAAAAAAAATCAAATAACGAATTTATGACCTTAACATTAAGAACCTTTAAATGATAGTAAAACTTTCTTTTTTGCATTCATTATTAATTAATAGACTATAAAATACATAATACAGACTAGGATATAATGGATTAATAAATTGAAGACTATAATTAAATTTTTTTTTTTGAGACAGAGTCTTGCTCTGTTGTCCAGGCTGGAGTGCGGTGGTGCCATCTCAGCTGACTACAACCTCTGCCTCCTGGGTTCAAGCAGTCCTCCCAACTCACCCTCCTGAGTAGCTGGGACTACAGGTGTACGCCACCACGCCTGATTAATTTTTGTATTTTTTAATAGAGACAGGGTTTCGCCATGTTGGGCAGGCTGTTTTTGAAGAACTCCTGGCCTCAAGTGATCCACCCATCTTGGCCTCCCAAAGTGCTGGGATTACAGGCATGAGCTACCATGCCTGGCCAAATAACTCTTGTTTTTAGGTATTTCTGGACTTGGAAATGCATAAACTCTAGCTTTTGATTGCTAAACTTTAAGCTCCCTGAGGATAGGTGCTGTATGCATCTGGCTTGCTATTTTACTCCCACCATTTGACGCGGTGTTTCTGGCACTAAACATTTCCTCAATGAATCAATGTGCAAATTATTCTTTAAGTTGTGAATCTAAGACAGATGACTATTTTAGCATATTTAAGGAATGATATCTCATTAATTTAAACACTTTAATTCACGATTCATAATTTTCAGTTAGCTCTATACATTTAAAACTAGTTTACTGGCTGGGCGTGGTGGCTCATACCTGTAATCCCAGCACTCTGGGAGGCCAAGGCAGGTGGATCACTTGAGGTCAGGAGTTTGAGACCAGCCTGGCCAATGTGGTGAAACCCTGTTTCTACTAAAAATACAAAAATTAGCAGGGTGTGTGGTGGCACACGCCTGTAATAACAGCTGACTCAGGAGGGTGAGGCAGGAGAATAATTTGAACCTGAGAGGTGGAGGTTGTAGTGAGCCAAGATCGCACCACTGCACTCCAGCCCGGACAGCAGAGCTAGACTCTGTCTCAAATAAAATAATATAAAATAAAAAATAAAACGAGTTTACTAAGTAAGCCATTATAAACAACAAAAACTACAACTATTTATATTTTTTTACTAATTTCATAAAACATTTCATACATATATCTCTAAAAAATAAATTATTGATATTTATTCATTAAATCCTTATTTCAAAAGACCTCTATTAGTCAATATAATTTCCCTTATTAAAGTTAGTATAGTGAAATAGTGAATAATAGTGAAAAAACTAAACTTTTAGAATTTATATTTTTGCCTTGCTTTTAGTATTGCTTTTATATTTAGTTTATAACTGGATTAAAAGCTCCATGAAGGGAGAAACTTTATCTCATTCATTATTTAAACCCTGAATTACTGCTCTGCAAATCTAAGACAATAACTATTTATTAAATTGAAAAATTTATAAAACTGGTATTTTAGAAAAGAATTTCTTGTAATTATGTATAACTGAGGTTTCACAGTACATCTTACAGCGGGCTAATAACCATCTGTAATTGTTCCTCTCTAAGTTTTCATATTAAGCCTACGAGGGGAGGAAAAGAAACAATAAAAATATATGTTTATAAAACAACAGGCTCTAAAAGCAGAAAGAGGACAATAGATTACTCCTTGAAGACAGCAACCAATGTGCTGCTGCATGCCAGAAAAGTTATAAAATCCGTATAGGTACTAGAAATAAAACAGAAAACACAATCTTACCAACATACCACCCAAATCTTTAAAAACTCTATTTCACTGTAATTATGTGATTTTAATATCAAATAAGAGTACTCAATAAAAATCACTATGAAAACACACAGAAAGATAAACTAATCAGTCTTATGGATATTTATTAAGAATCATAATAAAGAACTAAATGACTAAGGTAATCAACACACATAATGATACTGATTCTTACCTACGGCTTTCATTTGTTTTCCAATAGCTTGGCAGATTTCTTTGGCAGCTGCAATCTGGGCTTTTTCACCTAGCAAACTGCCCACAGTAGCTCTTAGGATAAAGGAAACACATCGTCTGGAGTACACAGCCTCCACATGTGTTTGTGTTGCCCGAGGATGGGAAACCAGATCAAGTACATGGGACAGGAACGTGGCAAAGCTGCGCTCCAACCACTGACCACCCAATGTTGTCACAAAAACAACATACGCCTGTAAAAAGAGGAAGGTACGACTTCAGATACACTTACATAACTGAACAGAAATCAAAGATAAAGCAACTACTAAAATAACTGATAACAGCATGCTGAATGAATTGTATTTGAGGCTAAAACAGAGAAAATTTAAACTTGAGGTCTTTTTACTACTTCTGGAATACGAATTATTAGTGAAGTATCTTTGACCAAAAAACAGTTCTTAAGATAACAACTTCATGAAGAACACAAAGGGACAGCAGTGAGAGGGAAGGGAAGCTGAATTTACCCCAGTGATCGGGAAGGTAACAGGTTACAGAAACAAGAAAACCTTAACATCCTAAATAAACACTGACTTAGAGCTATAAAACCCTTACGTACGACTTTTTCTGTAAGTTAAAAAATTGTTTACTTATATTTTATACTTGTTTCAGGATCAAGGTACAGTTATGATTTTGACTAAAATCGTGATTTTGACTATGATCACCATTTCATCTTATTAGGTGTTAATTATTATTAGATCATTAACCATAACCTCTTATTCCGTGTTATTTTGAAATTATAATTCCAAGTCAGATATAATCTTATAATTACACTGGTGATTAAACACTGATAGAAAATCCAATCAAAGCATTAACCAGTATTTTTAGCTACAGGGTTGTTGGAGAATATTAAAATCTAAATGCTCAAGCTACCTGAATACAGTTTCAATGAAAACTGAGTTACTTTATATCTGATTTTCTGTTAAGCAAAATGTAGGAACTTCATTTAAAGATATTTACACAAATATGGTAGACACAGGCTTATTTATATATTATTAAATATCTACCGAATTTCCATATAAGCATGTAATTTGGAATTTGAATGTAATTCATTCATTCGGTAAAAGAAACATTTCGAAAGAAACCAGACAATATTAAAAATGTCTCTGTGAGCTGTTACTTAGTAACAGTTTTCCACGAAGTTTCACAAGTGATATGAACAAAATCTTTTTTTTTTTTTTTGAGATGGAGTCTCGCTCTGTCACCCAGGTTGGAGTGCAGTGGCGCAATCTTGGCTAACTGCAACCTCCACCTCCCTAGTTGAAGCGATTCTCCTGCCTCAGCCTCCTGAGAAGCTGGGACTACAGGCATGCGCCACCACACCTGGCTAATTTTTTGGTGTTTTTAGTAGACATGGGGTTTCACCATGTTAGTCAGGCTGGTCTCAAACTCCTGACCTCAGGCAATCTGCCCGCCTTGGCCTCCAAAAATGCTGGGATTACAGGCGTGAGCCACCGTGCCTGGCCAAAATTCTTTCACACATACGTGTTACAAACCTGCGTAACTCCAACTCTCACTTCACGATTAACGGACCCTCCAACTTTTAACATTTCTCCACCGCTCTTTAAGAAACCTGACCCTCCACGCAGAAATCCTGTGGCCATGAGTTCTAAGACTTCATCAAATGTTGCTCGCTTCACATTCTGACGCATTACTTTCAAGAAGAAAAATTAAAGTATAAGCAAATATATTTCTGAGGCACTCTAGCTTAATAATTCAAGTAATTATTTTTAAGGACACTTTACTACAATGGGGAAATGGTTTAGTTTCCTTATAATTGTTTTCTTAAAATTTTCAATGTACTTGTAAGCCTGAATTCAATTCCAAAGGAAAAAATGCTCAGAAAATGGAAAGAGCTAGAAATAAAAGCAATTCAATAAATCTACGCAAAATAGTCTAATAATAATAATACTATGTGTAACACAATAAGGACAAAGCATACCCACAGCAGATACTACTAACTGATCTCAGTTCTCATTCCCGCCTGAGGTGGACACAAAAAACTTTTCTCATCACAGTGCTTTCTATACAGTAGTTACCAATAGATTAAGATGTTACTGGGAATGCAACTGAATTGGCATCCCTAGTACAGAGTTTCATATTTTATGAAGTCCTTCCACATATAGTAGCAAATGCAATCCTCACAAAAATTCTGCAGAGGAGGTATAAAGCTCATGGCTAAGAATTCAAGCTTTGGTATTTGGCTGCCCGGAATTTGAATTTCATTTCCGACACAGAACAGTTTTTAGAAAAATAGTTACAGAATCTAAGTCTCAATTTCCTCATCTATAAAATAGTAGTAACAGTCCATATAATTCACAAGGGCTTTTATGAGGATTAAATTTTGTAATACACTTAATTCAGTGCCTGGCACATAGTTAGCACTTTAAAACATTACATCATCATCATCATCATCATCATCATCATCATCTACTGAAATAATTATCATTAAAGATGAAAATCAAAGCTCAAAGAAGTGAAATAGGGTTTCACAGTTAATAAATATAAGAGACAGGACTTGAACCTAAAACATCTGGTTCTCTTTCTATGATACAGAGGTGGGGTAGAGGTAGGGACAAGACTGGGGCAGGGTTCACTCAGCATCTGCTCACAGGCACCCCTGAGATATCTCTACGGAACTGTGAAGCAAAGCAAGAGTAATTTGAAAACTCAGTGCTGCCTCTGATTCTGTTTATAATGATAATCAAGAAAAATTAAAAATTAATACTGTGGTACAAATGGGGATCTACTCATCAGAGACAGAAAATAGCAAATAAAGTGCTGAAAATAAGTAGCAAATAAAGTGCCAGATTCCAGTACCTTATACATTATCCAAAATCATTTCATAAATCTTATGTGCTTATATGTCCAGCATAATTGCTAGATATCCTGTACATTATCATCACAAAAAATGTGACTACATCAAGGAAAATGCCATTTGGGTTCTTTTTTTTTTTTTTTAATTTTTTGAGATGGAGTCTTGCTCTGTCGCCCAGGCTGGAGTACAGTGGTGCGATCTTGGCTCACTGCAATCTCTGCTGCCCGGGTTCATGCGATTCTCCTGCCTCAGCCTCCCAAGTAGCTGGGATGACAGGTGCATGACACCATGCCTGGCTAATTTTTGTATTTTCAGTAGAGACGGGGTTTCAGCATCTTGGCCAGGCTAGTCTTGAACTCCTGACCTCGTGATCCACCTGTCTCGGCCTCCCAGAAGTGCTGGGATTACAGGCATGAGTCACCGCGCCCAGCCAGGTTCTTTCATTTTATGGAAAAGTAGACAAAGATACCTAAAAATTTAAATCCATTACACTGACTTGCCTATATGCAATAACTAATTAGGTCTGTTATGGTCTAAATCAAGGGCAAACAACAATACCTGTTGCCTGTTTTGGCATTAATGCTGTGGCCATGACTGTTCCTAAAAGTTTAGACACTGCCACTCGTACCCCATAATTTGAGTTTTCCAAAGCCTTAAAGCAGAGAGTGGCTATATTTTCTAGTTCAGCAGTCCACATAAATACAGCTTCATTCTGTAGTTCTAGTAGACACTGGAATTAAAAACAAAAAAGTAAATAACATCCTATAACATCTGCTTCCAGAGATGGAATAGCAAGAACCAGACTTACCACCTCTCCTGAGATAACCAAAAAACTCGACAAAATAAATGAAACAACAGTTTTCAAGACACTGGACATCAGGCAATGAAGCATCTTTGAGGAAAAAAACAAGATGAACCCTACAACTGTCCCAGCCTACTGCCTTGAGAGAGTTTCTAGTTAGGGAGAAACATGTAACACTAAACCACCACATTAGAAAAGAAGAAGGGTCTCAAATCAATAACCTCAGCTTCACCCTTAAAAAACTAGATGAAGGAGAGCAAATTCAACACAAAGTAAGCAGAAAAAGGAAATAATAAAGGAAATTCATGACTAGGAAACTAACAAAGAATAGAAATGAAACCAAAGCTGCTTCTTTAAGAAGACTAATAAATTTGATAAATCTCTAGTCAGGCTGATCAGGAAAAAAAAAAAGTAAAAATACAAAGTACCAAAATCAGAAATGAGAGAGGTCAAATCACTACAGATTCAACATGTTTTAAAAAGTTAAAGAGAATATGTGAACAACTTTATGCCAATAAAATTGACAACTTAGAGGAAATAGACAATTCACTCAAGAAGAAACAGATAACCTGAATAGCCCAGTATCTATGTTAAAATTTGATTCTGTACTTCAAAATCTTTCCCTCAAAAAAACTCTAGGAGATGCCTACACCAGTGAATTCAACAAAATGTTCAGGTAAGAAATAATACCAATTCTATACCAACTCTTCCAGAAAACTGAAGGGAACTTTCCAACTAATCCTATAATGCCAGTATCACCTTGATGCTGAAACCTGACAAAGACACTACGTGAAAAAGAAACTACATACCCATATCCCTCATGAACACAGATACACATTTCTAAACAAACTTCTAGCAAATCTAATACAATAATATATAATAAGGATGATATATCATGACCAAGTGAGGTTTATCCTAGGAATGCAATATTGGTTAAAATTCTAAAACTAATCAATGTTATTCACCACATTAGCAAACTAAAAAAGAAAAATCAAATCATCATCTCAATAGATGCTGAAAAATGATTTGACAGGCACATGCCACCACGCCTGGCTAATTTTTTTATTTTTAGTAGAGATGGGGTTTCGCTATGTTGGCCAGGCTGGTCTTAAACTCCTGACCTCAGGTGATCCACCCGTCTCAGCCTCCCAAAGTGCTGGGATTACAGGCATGAGCAACCACGCCCAGCCTGGACGTTGACATTGATAGAATTCATGATTTTAGTCATATTTCCCCAGTCTTATTTGTATTCTGTCAATATTTGTACATTTAACACTACAAGATGTTGCTAAGAGATATGAAAGACCAAAATAAATGGAGAGATATATCATGTCCATAGGGTGGAAGACTTAATATTATTAGGATGGCAATTCTCTCCAAATTCAATGCAACCTGAATCAAAATCCCAACATGGTATTTTTGCAGACATTGACAAACCTAGACTGGGCAAAACAATTTTGAAAAAGAACAAAGTTGGAGGGCTAACAGCACCTGATTTCAACACTTATTACAAAGGAACTGTAATGAAGAAAAGTGTTGTTGGCATCAAGATAGACAAATGGATCAATGAAACAGCACAGAGAGTCCAAAATTATACCTACACATATACACACAACTGATTTTCAACAAAGGGTGTAAACGGAGTTTAGTGAAGAAAAGATAGGCTTTTCGAAATGGTACTGGAGGGGCCGGGTGTGGTGGCTCACGCCTGTAATCCCAGTAGTTTGGGAGGCCGAGGTGGGCGGATCACGAGGTCAGGAGATCGAGACCATCCTGGCTAACACGGTGAAACCCCATCTCTACTAAAAATACAAAAAAAATTAGCTGGGCATGGTGGCGGACGCCTGTAGTCCCAGCTACTTGGGAGGCTGAGGCAGGAGAATGGTGTGAACCCGGGAGGCGGAGTTTGCAGTGAGTAGAGATCGCACCACTGCACTCCAGCCTGGGGACAGAGCAAGACTCCATCTCAAAAAAAAAAAAAAAAGAAATGGTACTGGAAGAAGTGGATATCCATATTGAAAAAAAAAACAAAAAATTTTGATTCAAACCTTGCAACATATACAAAAATTAACTCAAAATGGATCACATATCTAAGTATAAAACTATAAAACTTCTAGAAGGAAACACAGGACAAACCCTGGTTTACGAAATGTTTCCTTAGATACAACACCAAAAGCACAATCCATATAAGAAAAATTGATACACTGGATGAAATTCAAAATCTCTTTTCCTTACAAGGCACTGTTTAGAGAATAAAGAGACAGGCCACCCATTGGGAAAAATATTTGTAAATCACATATCTGATAAAGGAATATGTAAAAAACCTATAAAACACTCTCAAAAGTCAATAATTATAAAACAACCCAATAAAACAATGGACAAAAGATTGAGCACATCCTTCTTCGAAGAAGATATGGATGGCAAATAAGCACCTGAAAATATGCTTATCATTAGTCATCACGGAAATGCAAATTAAAGCCACAATGAGATACCATTGAGATATGAGATACAATGACATATGTATCCATTAGAATGGCTTAAATTAAAAAGACTGTCAGTAACAAACAATGGTGATGATATGAAGGAAGAGAAATTCTCATACACTGCTAGTAGAAATGCAGAATGGCACGAGTACTTTGGAAAACAGTTTTGTACTTTTCTGAACGTTAAACTAAATCTGCCCTATGAACCAGCTATTCCATCCCTAGGTTATTTGCGGAAGTGAAATGAAAGCATATGTTTGTGCAAAAACTTATATACAGATGTTCACAGCAGTTTTTTTGTAATAATCAAAACTAGAAGCAACTCAAATGTTTATAACAGGTGAGTGAACAAATCAATGTGACATATCCATACAATGAAATACTACTCAGCAATAAAAAGGAATGAACTATGGATACATATAACAACATAAATGAATTTCAAAACAATTATACTAAGTGAAAGAAGCCAGAATACACATACACAAAAGTACATCTCATGATGTGATACTATTATATATAATTCTAGAAAATGAAACTAATCCATTGGAACACAAAACATAATTTAAAATTTTAAAAGAAAAAAAAATCGTTGACTGTTTAAGAGCAAGAAGGATAAAGAGCAGTATTCTAAATTGGTCGAGTACTAACCTTGGCCACTGCACATCGAACAGCCATTGACCTATCAGTCAAGAGAGACCTGGCATTCTTGTAAATATCACGATGGGAGGAAGCTGCTGCACCACCCAGTCCACTTAGAACTTTCTGTAGACTCATTAAGATTTCACTTCGCCCTTGAGACTAGACATGTATACAAAACAAAACTATTTTGTAAAATAAATTCCATATTTAAACAAGAACACACCAAGACAAAAGTTCTTTGGGTCTAATGGTCTTACCTCCAAATTATAAACGGTAAATAATGAAAAGTACAATAAAATTAAGTATTCTAGAAAGTACCTGGCAAGTAAGAATAGTCAATTAAATAATATCTTTCTAAAAAATTAGGTTTTAAGTAAATATATTCCAATATTTCTATGAATTACTGAAGTACATACAATATAATGAAAACATGAAGAGATTCAAAAGCTTCAATATCATATCTCAATATATAAAATATTTCAGAACGTAAAATATTAAGTAAAAAAGTTGAGAAATAATATATAAATGATCCAAAAAAGGAAGCAGAAAACATCCAACACATTTAAAAAAACATGTCAGAAATACAGCAAACCTTCATCTTCTTGTGACTAACTCAAACTGTTATATCCATATTCTCATAGTGCTTATTGTTATTTCTGATAGTATACTCATCACAGTGTATCACAATGCTTATTCACACTTAGCTCTCTTCCACTAAACTGTAAGTTCTTTGAGGTCAGGACCATCTTTGTATGTTTAATGCCTGACAAATAATAAGTCCTCAATTCTTTTTTAATGAATGAATAGACAAATAGTTCCCAGAAAAGGTATCCAATTCTAATCCAATGACTGGTATCACTGAACAGGGAAATAATTTAGACACAAAACACAAAGGGACAGGAAAAAGGTGATGTGACAAAGGAGACAGAGATGGGAGAGATGCATCTACAAGCCAGGGAAGATCAAAGATTTCCAGCAACCACTAGAAGGTAAGAAGGAAAGGAAACATTCTTCCCTAGATCCTTCAGTGGAAACATGGCCTTGCTGACACTTTATCGCAGACCTCCAGCTTCCAGAACTGTGAGACAATAAATTGTTGTTGTTTTAAGCCACCCAGTCTAAGGTAATTTATTACAGTAACCAGGAAATTAACACATTAGCTATGGCACCAAAAAAAAGAAAAAAAAAAAAGCCAATCCAAAAGTACCATAGGACTAAATAAAAAATAACAAGTAAACCTATTCCTTGTCAAAGAAAAGCATTCTTTCCCTTCCCCCTGATATACATTAAAAGAAGGGACAAGTAATAATTTGTAATTACCTCCTTGCTAAGCAATATGAGACCACAGTGACAGAAAAAGAAACAAACATATTTTAGCTGACATCTAACTCTTGCCACAAGCAAATATTCAAATAATATTGGTTGTAAAACTTACCTCTGCACTTTTCAGAGATTTCAATAGATTATTTACCGTTTCTGGAAATGCGCTGCCCAACATTCTCCCCATTTTTTCATAAAATGCTCCGACACAAGCCACCGCAGCCCTGTAAGAAGTGACAACTTCACTAGTCATTGTCCAGGTTAATGATACAATTATACTTTTCTCATTTTTAGAAATCAATTTGCATTTGTCTAGGACACTTTTGGCTATAATCCTTAATTTCAACTATCAAAAACAATTTATGCTTCATAACTGCAACAAATACTATACTCTATTTACACTGTATTCTTGTTAAATACTATAGTTAAATTGTATTCTTGTTAGGAATACAAAAGAATCTATATATGTACATAATAAATCATACCCATTCTTTGGGAAGAAATCCAAGCTTTTCTTTTTTTTTTTAGGGGGAGACAAAGTCTCACTCTGTCACCCACGCTGGAGTGCAGTGGTGTGGTCCTGGTTCACTGCAACCTCTGCCTCCTGGGTTCAAGCCATTCTCCTGCCTCAGCTTCCTGAGTAGCTGGGATTACAGGTGCATGCCACCATTCCCAGCTCATTTTGTATATTCAGTAGAGATGGGGTTTCACCACGTTAGCCAGGCTGATCTCGAACTCCTGACCTCAGGTGATCCGCCTGCCTCGGCCTCCCAAAGTGTTGGGATTACAGGCGTGAGCCACAGCGCCCGGCCCCTAAGCTTTGCTTCTATGAAGACTTTCCAAATTATGTCAAGCCTCAACAATCCCTCTCTTCTTTCATTATATGTAACACTTAATGTCAATCACTGATTTTGACAAAATTATATCATTTACTGTGTTGTAACTTGACCATTTTATATGTCTCTATCTTGTCCTGCCAGTGGAAATGTAAACTCCAGAAACGGAATATAGCTCACATATTTGCATTGCTCACAGTGTCTACCTCTTAATTTACAAATAATACTATACTATTAGTAAACCTGTAAAATTTAATCTAAATTACATTAACAGAACACTTGGAAGAATAAAGTAATAATAGCAACACACTTCTTCAGGAGCAAGAAATGACCCCAGTGTCACTTAGGTCAATAGTAAGTGAATAGCTGTGGGTTTAGCTTAAAGGCAAAAGTAGGACATGGTGGTTAAGAGCGGATGCTTTGGAGTCTAGCAGACCTGTGCCTAAATCCTAGAACCTACCATCTAATAGCTATGTGTAGTTGGATCTTGGAAGTGGGCAGGTGGTCTACCATGAGGCGAGTCATTCCCGCTCCAACAAATAAAAATAAATAAAAGCTATGTGATCTGAGCAATTTACAGATAAGAGAGGTTAACTAAATTTAGCTCACAATCAAACACATAATAAACAGTAGAATCAGGGAATCAACTTTCACCTCTTCAACTCCAAATCTCATGCTTTTTGATACCCTGTAGGCTGATAATAAATTTAAAATGACTGGCATCACATGCCGGCATACATTAGAGATTTCCTAAATAGGACCCATGGATCCACTGGAAATACATATGAATGTATAATCAATTCTACTTAACCAGAACTATAAAATTATGTGTGTATTTGCTAAGTGGCAGTGAACTAAATCATTAAAGTATTAACATAGCTTCAAACTTCAAAACAAACTAGAAAGTACTGGTACTGTCTAATCTCCTCTAAAACTTTTGAGGTCTACATCTATCCTAAACAAAACACAAAAATCTAATCACAATATATCTAGGTAGTTACCTAGTGATACCAGGTAACTACCTAAAAGTAGACCTAAAAATTAGAATCCAGGTTTTGAATAATCTCTCCATTTCCTCTGTAAGCTATTACACGGACCATGGCCCCTTGAATGTTGACGTTCTAGAGTTGTATCCCTAGGCATCTTCTCTTCTCAAATATACTACTCCTCCTAGGTAACTTTACTCATATCAAAGGATTCAGCCTACTCACCAAAACTACATTCCCAACAAATCTCTAAAATCCCAACTAGAATTTCCAACTACCTATTTTACACTGTCATTTGGATATTCCCATTTGTATTCCAGAATCAGCATGCCTAAAATTTAACTATCTTCCCATCACAACTCGATCCACTTAGAGCTCTCACTGTTAGCAGCATGTCGCAGGTTCCACCCACCTGGGGGTTTTTATGGTCCATAGTCTCCTACTAAGTTTCCTTGAAAGAAAAAATAAAACTTCAAGGGCCCCTATTAAAGTAAGTACTTACAATTTTGTTGGTAAGTAGGCCGCAGTGTCATCTTTATTTCTGATAATGTCATTGCATTTATCAAGTGTCTGAAAAACTGTGAAAGTATCCCCAATGCTATAAAGGGCTGCGAGATTTTTAGCTAATAATTTTCGTGTAGGTGGTCCAGGTGAACTACTTATTAATCCAGTTAATTGTTCAACAAGTTTTTTCTGTTTTTCCTTTACATCGGTCTGTTACAAAAAAAATTTTTAAAAGAACATCATTAAAAATTTTTTTTGTTACCTTTTAATCAAAATAAAAAACACTTAACACTTAAGGCACTCTAATAATTAAAAATCTATATTGTATTAAACATAAACCGTGAGAATTTTCAAGTTAATGAAAAGTTCTGTAAGAAATGAGCCATTCTTTCCTACATTAAATATTCTCCTTCATGCTCCTCCAAAGCCAAAAGGTTAGCTCCAATAAAGTGACTCTGATTCAAAAAGTTATGAGACCAACTTACTAAGAAATAAACCAACAGCCAAAGGATGCAAAATATTGGGTGTATGGACAACTGATGTCTTACAACCCAGATAGGTTTCCTATGTAAAAGTGAAGTCAGTAGTTCATAAAGTTACAGGTCAGCAAATGAAACCAAAAGAAACTGAAGAGCCCTAGACAACAGGAAAAAAAAATACCCAGCTCTACCCATAATCAATATCTAGAATTCATTTATTTATTCAAACAATATTTATTATGTACTTAACGTATGCCACATACTAGGGTGCAACAGTGAACAAAATAGACAAACAAGTCCCTGCCCTCATTAAGTTTACATTCTAGTGAGGAGGGACAGAGTTTACCAAACAAACAAATGAATAGTATGGGTGGTTACTGTTTTACGTGGATTAATTAGAAAAGGCCTCTCTCTGAAAAGAAGTGAAGGGGTGAGCCATGCAGATACCCAGGGGAAGAACATTCCAGGCTGAAGGAACAAGTATAAAGGCCTTGAGGTTGGAGCATTCTTAGCATCCTTAAAGACACCAAGAAGGCCAGTTTGGCTGCAGTGGAGTAAGAGAAAGTAGTAAGAGATGAATTCAGAAGGATAGAAGGGACCACATCAGGTAATCTCTTGCACCCCACTATAGAACTCTGTATGTCACTCTCAGTAAGAGAACTTTGTATGTTACTCTGAGTAAGAGTTTGAAGCAGAGGAGGGTCGTGATCTAAATGTTTTTAACAGGCTCACTCTGACTTCTAAGAATACTCTATATGGTCCATAAATGGAAAGCATCATGACCAAATAGGAAGCAGATGCAATAATCCAGATGAGAGATAATAGCGGTAACCATAGAGATGATAAATAAACTCTGGATTTGTTTGTGGATGAAACCATAGGATTTGCTGGTGAATACAACATGAAATTTGAGAAAAAGAGGGAAGTCAAAAATGACTCTATGGTTTTCCCTTGAGCAACTAGAAGGATGAAATGGTCATTTCCTGAGATAGAGAACATGGGGGAAAGGGCAGGTTTGGGAGGAGAAATCAAGAATTTGGTTTGGGTATGTTAACTCTGAGATGCCACTTAGATAAGAAAGAGGTGGAGTAAACATTATCCTGGGAATCATTATTTTATAGATGATAGTAAAAATCATACAATTAGATGATATCACTGAAGGAATATGTACAGATTAAAAAAAAAAAAATGCCCTGAACTGAGGAAGAGTTAAAAAAGAACAAGAAGTAGTAGTTAGTGAAGTGGGAGAGGAACCAAAACCTAACAGCGTCTTGGGAAGCCACGAACAGGAAGAAAACTTCACACAAACTGTGCAAAGCAATGATAACAATCTTATTGTTTAATTTGGGTGGAGGGTGTACAGATATTCATATTATGCTTCCTGTTTTATACACTCTTGTATTTATCAATTTCAGAACAAAATTAAAGACGTTTTAAGTGTTTCAAGGTGAAAAGATGGAGATGGATCAAATAAGACAGAATACTGACCACTGTTCTGGGCAATCTGTCATCAGTAATGGCTGGACAAGTGCTGTTTCAGTGGAGTGGAAGTAAATCCCCAGTTGTAGAGGATTTAAGAGAAAACAGAAACGTCTAGTTGACAATTACAAGTGAATCCATGCATTGTTTTTTTTTTATACTTCAAGTTCTAGGGTACATGTGCACAATGTGCAGGTTTGCTACATATGTATACATGTGCCATGTTGGTGTGCTGCACCCATTAACTCGTCATTTACATTAGGTCATGCATTGACTGTTTCTATAGAAATTCCATTAAAACCATACTAAAGGGTAGCAACAACAACAGGAACAATAACAACAAAGCACAAATCCAAAGGGTAAAGAAAACAGGAGAAAGAATCAACACAGTATTTGGAAACCAACTGTTCCCAACAGGGAAAGCTGCAAAATGACCTAACTTACAACACAGGACCCCCTAAGAGATCACGGTTTTTTTAAGCCCTAGGTGCTTTTGGAGGTGGGAGTGAAGTTGTATGTACCTTGAGATAGAGGGAATGGTTGAGAGTCTAATAAGCAGAAAGAATCCTCTTCTTCATTATGGAAGCAGACTGAAAGTTTATTCTCTGGGAAGAGTGAAATATTGTATGTCCAGACTAGAAGAGTCCAGGCACAGTTGCGGTCTGGGAAAACTGCACTGAAAATGGGGAGATGCAGTGAAAGTTCACATACTGAACTTTAAAGTCCCCAGTCTTCTCCCACAACTCCAAGAATGTAGCCAGCTAGCTATATACTCTTCAGACACGACAGTAGAAAAGTATCTTCTGGGGAATGACTAGCCTACAGAAACCTAAAATACTAAGGTCAGGGACCAAACTAGCCTACAGTGAAGTCCAGTTTAAAAGACTGGCCCTGCTGAGAAAAGTTTTTACTACTCACTTTTAAATTTGATCAGGCAGCCAAAGATCATCAGACATTTGAGGGAAGTATCTACTTTTTTTTTTTTTTTTTTTTTTTTTTTTTTTTTTCAGATGGAGTTTCACTCTTGTCCCCCGGGCTGGAGTGCATTAGTGCGATCTCGGCTCCTTGCAACCTCTGCCTTTCCGGCTCAAGCGATTCTCCTGCCTCAGCCTCCCCAGTAGCTGGGATTACAGGCGCCCACGACCACGCCTGGCTAATTTTCGTACTTTTAGCAGTGTTTAGTAGAAACGGGGTTTCACCATGTTGGCCAGGCTAGTCTGGAACTCCTGACCTCAGGTGATCCACCCACCTCAGCTTCCCAACGTGCTGGGATTACAGGCGTGAACCACCATGCCGGGCCATATCTACTTTTAAAGACAGAATATAAAATACACAGACAATAAAAAGTAAGTTGAATCAATGTTGGGAACTGGCTCCAAAACTGGCCATAAATAAAATCTCTGCAGCACTGTGACATGTTCATGATGGCCATAACGAAACCCGAATGAGGGCAAGGAACACCTGGCCTGAAAACCGCTTAAAGGCGCTCTTAAACCACAAACAATACCATGAGCGATCTGCGCCTTAAGGGCATGTTCCTGCTGCACAGAACTA
Source organism: Homo sapiens (assembly GCF_000001405.40). NCBI lineage: Eukaryota > Metazoa > Chordata > Mammalia > Primates > Hominidae > Homo > Homo sapiens. Next base: position 37,082,634 of record NC_000002.12, read on the forward strand.
GCCAGACCCACCCCTTTGTTTCAGCATACCCCTTCGTTTCCCATAAGGGATACTTTTAGCTAATCGAATATCTGTAGAAACAATGTTAATGGCTGGCTTGCTGTTAATAGACACTTGAGTAAATCTCTGTTCCGGGGTCTCAGCTCTGAAGCCTGTGAGACCCCTGATTTCCCACTTTACACCTCTATATTTCTGTGTGTGTCTTTAATTCCTCTAGCGCCGCTAGGTTAGGGTCTCCCCAAACGAGCTGGTCTCGGCAAATCAAGGCTATGCAGGAAGAAAAAACAGATTAAAAAAAAAAAAGAGCCTATTATTGACTCCTCAAAGAGATAAGTGAAGACACTGGGATTGTTAGGCAGCATAGAGAGATCACTTGCAACGGGTGACGATGATAAATTTAAAGTGACACCAGTCATATAGCCATGTTTTTCTCCAGTTACAATGAGCTGCCCAGGTACAAACATAAAGAAGATAGGCAATGAGCTGGATTTAAACGAGGTTTGAGTTTTGCCACTAAATTTCCCATTCGTGTAATACTCTCAAGTTCCATAAGTGACCCATAAACCTTCCAAAACATAACATGTGTTTTCTTAAGAATCATGACCACATAATCTCTTCACGTTAATGCAACTGGGAAAAAAGAGCAATACCATACCTTGTTGGCAGCAACCAAGACTTTATCAAGAAATCGCAACCATTCAAAGATGAAAACTGGTCTTTTTGCTTCGGTGATTTGAGCCAAAGCTTCTTCATTTAGCAATAAACTGTGGGCTAACTCCATTACGGAAGTTTGAAATTCACACCTTAAATTTAACAGAGTAAAAAATACTTGTAAGTATTTTTTAATGTTAAAAGTCAAGCTTAATGGAATATACTCACTAAGAAAAGTAGGACTACTCATTTCATTTGGGGAAAAACTCAACTTCTTTGAGGCAAAACCTGAGAACATACTTTTAAATGACAAAAATACAAACAAAAACAGAAGAAAACTACTTGGTAAGGAAGAGTGACTCATGGAGTGAAAAGAAAATTAAAAGAAATTATTGCCAAAAAAGGCATTATTCCAGAAGAAATATGTCCAGCAACACATATGTCATTTACCCGTTCTATAAATGAAAAAACTGAAGCACTAAGATCAAACACCCCAGCCGGGCTTGACAACCATCCTCCTCTTTTTCTCGTCCAGGGTTCGGTACATAGCACCTTTACCCTCCCGCGCTGCACCTGGCCAGAGGGACTGAGGTCAAAACACCCAGCACAGACATCCCGAACTGCAGGTCTCCAAGACTCTTCCTACGCGGATGGGTGGGGCGGCCAGGCCCGGCGGCCGAAGCGTCAGTGACAACACCAGGCGGTCCGGAATGCACCCGAGAAGCCTCGCGCGCTCGGGGTCTGGCTTCACCTGGCTACTCCAAGAACCGCAAGCGGCGGACCCGGGGAAACACCAAGAGGCCGCCGCAAGCCTCCGTGGGGTTCCGCAGGCTGTCAATAGCACGAGGCGGCAGCTCGGAACTAAGCACGGAGCCAGAAAAGGGAAAATGTTCATTACGAACTCAAATGTCTTCCCCACCCGTCTGAAAATGTACGTCGGACAGGAGTCCGTGCGTGTCAACATGCATGCTTCGGCGACCTCACCTCGTAGTCTGGAAGGGAAGATCAGCTGAGCTCCGGGGGTAGAAGCAGCCACCAAGAGACCCGGATGCCCCACCTCCCGCACTCCTACCTGCAGGAAACAAGGGAAGAGCGCTTGCGCGGAGGGCTGGTCTTGCGCAAGCGCAGTCACCACGTCCTCCTATCCCCACCCGCCGCGAATTTCCAATAGAGTCTGCACTAGGAAACTGGTGGGAGCCGAGGTCCGGAAGTCCGACGCTGGTCGGTGGGCGCATGCGCAGCGCGCGCTCTACGGCGCTGAACCGGGGCGAGCAGAGAGCTGTCAGGTAAGAGAGCTGTCAGGTAAGGGTCTGGGGACAACCGGTAGAATGATAAAAGGCAGAGTGCGCTGGCCATGACTACCGTATCACACCGTCAGCCACTTTTCCATCCGTGGGTGGTTGCGTCTGTGGGACGCTTGCAGCCAGGAGGAACGCGTGAGGGAAGGGATCAGCGGTTCCTGAGCGTAGTATTGAGAGTGGGACGTTTCTTGTCACATTTATACTGTAGGTCCATTTCTCCACTTGTATATGTAATGGGACTCTCAATATGTCTGTTTCCCGACTACGCCCCCTAAAAAAACAAAAACAAACCTACTCCTACAGTCTTCCCACTCTCAAAAAACGTTAACTCCGTTCTTCCATGTATTCAGGCCAAAAACTTAGCGTTATCTTGACATCGTTCTTTACGTACTACCTACAACATCAGCAAATCCTGTAAGCTCTACCTTCAAGTGTACCCCAAATGCGACCACTTGCATTGCTATCACTCTGGTACGAGCCTCCATCATCTCTGCCAGGGTATCGCCTTGTGAAGTTTATGCTTATCTTTGATGGAAATGGATAATGCTAAAGTATATTTTACCAATAGAAAGAGAGCTTTAAAAGCAACCTGTAACCCCATTCAGATGTGCCTGGCACTTTAAAGTTAAGTAGGTCTCTTAAAAACAATGTAATCCTATTTGCAAGGCACTATGACCCGGATTCTTTGTGGTTTTGAAATAGTCATTTAGCCATACTGAACCTTAATTTCTCCAACAGGAAAAACTCTTCCTACCTTGTAGAGTTGTTAGTGGTGGTTAAATGTGATAAAAATGTGTGATATACTGGGTAAGTGTTAAACCATTATGTGTAAAAATGCTGTTATTACCAATGAAGAATCTGAGGTTTAGAGGAAGCGGGTGAATTACCATAAATGCTGTATATAATAGTGCACGTTTTTAACTTATAATAAAAATAGGTAAACTAAACTGTAATGTTTAAAGATGCACACGTGGATGACAAAACTATCGAGAAAATGAAGGAAATGATTGCCATAAAAAACAGAATAGTGACTATTCTTAGAACCAAAAGAGAGTTGCAACTGGATAGGGGACAAAGAGGGCTCCCAGGTGCCTGATAAGGTTCTACTTCCTGATAACTTTTGCTACATAACAAATTATCCCCAAATGTAGCAGCTTAAGATAACTGTAATCATTTGTTATCTCACAGTTTCTATGGGTCAGGAATTTGTTAGCAGCTTAGCTTAGTTTAGCATGGACTTTCTTAAGAAGTTGCAGTGAAGATGCCAGCCCAGGCTGAGTCATTTGAAGGCCTGACTGGAGCAAGAGAATCCATTTCCAAGGTAGCTCACTCCTGTGGCTCATGAGTTTGTGCTGGCTTTTAATAGGAGGACTCAGTTCCAATCGTGTGACCTTCTCCATAGAGCTTCTTGAGTATCCTTATTATGTGACCACTGACTTCCTTCAAGTGAGTCATCTAACTTCAAAGTTAGAATGACCTAAGAGCTGCAGTTATGACCAAAAAATCAACTCCATCATCTCCACAAAATCCTGTTGGTTACACAGGTTAATCCTGTTCACTGTGGAAGGAGACTACACTAAGGATGTAGAAAACCACACAGCAAGAATGACTGGGAGTCATTTTGGAGGGTACCACATGGTTACAAGAATGTTTGACTCACAGAAATGTATTAAGCTGTACATTTGTTTTATGTGTTTTCTGTACGTATTTAAAAAGTGTTTAAAAATGACTTGTTGACATAGGAAAAAGTTATAAAATTACAAATATTAAAGACCCTTTTTATCCTCATTGTTGCTAAACAATTATTAAGCATTTGTGTTTGGGATGCAGTGGTAGGTAGGGAGGATATAGGGGACTTGTCTTTGTGTTTAACACAAGATATACATTATCTAGTTGAGAAGATATACATTAAAAATATAAAAAACCAGGCCAGGTGTGGTGGCTCACGCCTGTAATCCCAGCACTTTGGGAGACCGAGTGAGGCAGGTGGATCACTTGAGGCCAGGAGTTTGAGACCAGCCTGGCCAACATGGCAAAACCCTGTCTCTATTAAAAACACAAAAATTAGCTGGGTGTGGTGGTGGATGCCTGTAATCCCAGCTACTCGGGAGGCTGAGGCATGAGAATTGCTTGAACTCGGCAGGTGTAGGTTGCAGTCAGCTGAGATCACACCACTGCACTCCAGCCTGGGTGATAGAACGAGATTCTGTCTCAAAAAACAAAAAAGAAAACCATTAAAAATTAGTATAGTAATCCTTTTTTCATCCAGTGTAATTGTCTAGACACTTGGTTGCAGTTGACAGAAACCCTACTTCAGCAAGCTTAAGTAATGCAGAAATGTATTAGTCTATGTAATGGGGTAGAATGCTAAGTCGCAGCTTCAAAGAATCCGCAGCCTTGGAAACTAGGCTCATTTTCTCTATCTGGCTTCATTCTTCAGACAAGATCCCTTCATGGGGCCAAGAAGATGGCCATCCACAGCCCAGCTTCACATTCTCCCAGTTCAGAAACACCCATAAAAGACCTTCTTTCCCCCACAACCCATATATTCATATAATGTAAGGAAAAAGATGGTTATTTCTCTGGCTGGGTCATCTCGTCCCCTGGTGCTGGACATAGAGTACTATAATTGACCATCTTTGTGCCCAAGGAAATATGGGATACTGACATTGCCACCCTCCACTAAAACCACATGAAGGGCAGAGGGTTGGATTCCCAAAGGAAAAGATGGTAGGCAGGAAAAAACAGTACATATGCACCACAACAAGTGAATACACTTTTGTCTTAAGCAACTGAACTAGCAACATTGACATTGCCTGTGAACCTGCTAGAAATGCAGAACCTCAGGTTCCAGCCCCAGAATCAGATTCTGCATTTTAAGAAGATCTCAGTGCAATTTGTATACACAATAAAGTTTGAGAAGTACTTTTGTAGAAAATTACTTTAACCCTTTAAGGGCCAATAATTACATGATTTTAACTATTTTGGATAGAAACTGTCCCTCAAAATATTTCCACATAAGTGAGTTGTTAACTATATCAACTTCCAAATGAGCAGCTTGGACATAAAGTGCTGTAGAGAAAGGCCTGGAGTGGTCAGGAGAGGTTTCTGAAGGGAGGGTAGCCTTGGCCTACAGGGAAGAAATGTTTGTACTCTGTTCAGAGGGCAGTGAGGAGCCATGGGGCTTGAATAATGAATCCTTAGGGACAGTTGTGTCAGATTATGAAGGACAACATCTCATGCTTTGCAAAAGTGACTGGTCCCCCACTGCCTACAGGGTCAGGTTTAATGAAGGATTTGAAACAGGCTAGTAACGTGACCTGACTTGTATTTAAAAACAAACAAGCAAATAAACAAAAAACCTCTGGATGGGGTGCAGAGAATGGACTGGAAGAGGAGACCAACTAAGAAGCTGATTAAGAAGCTGTTGTAATAGTTCAGGTGAGAAAAAAAAAGTGCCTGAACTAAAGCAGTGGTCACAACTGTAGAGAAAACGTCTGTGAGGAGTTTTATGGAGGAAGACTTGACAGCTTCATAAGAGGTCAGGAAGAAGGAGATAATGATGACATCAACATGGAAACACAGGGGATGTAGAAGGCTGGGGAAAGGGGAAAGAAATGAGTTGTTTAGATTGTTGAGTTTGAAATGTCCACAGATAAAGATGTCCAAAGGGCACTTGAATATATAGTAGAGCTCTAGAGACAGCTCATGGCTGCAGATACAGAAAGGTTTATTTCCATTCTGATAAACTAAAAAAAAAAGTAATTATTACTTTATTTGTAGATACTATAGCCATATGAAGTTGAACATGGCAGAAGAAGAGGACTATATGTCTGATTCCTTCATTAATGTCCAGTAAGTAAATGTGCACACCCAGTGCAATGATATGTATAAGATGTGTAGATTAAGAAATGACATTGATTTTATTTTATTTTATTTTATTTTTTTGAGACAGGGTCTCATTCTGTTAGCAAGGCTGGAGTGCAGTGGCACAATCTTAGCTCACTGCAGCCTCAAACTCTCCAGGCTCAGGAGATCCTCCCATCTTGGCCTCCCGAGTAGTTGGGACTGCAGGCCTGCACCATCATGCCCGGCTAACTCTTCTTTTTTATTATTTGGAGAGACAAGGTCTCACTGTGTTGCCAAGGCTGGTCTCCAACTCCTGGGCTCAGGCGATCCTCCGGCTTTGGCCTCCCAAAGTGCTAGGATTACAGGCATGAACCACCGTGCCCAGCCTGACAGTGATTTTAAATGTGCAGTGGGAAAGTCAGTCTTCTTGCTTTATGGAAATACCTCCTATGTCACCATAGAAAGATACTAGAATCTACTTCCTCCTTTTAATGCTAACCATTTTACTTTTGCCCTTGATCCTTTTTATTGCCTTCTTCCAAGGAAATTTACTCCTTTTCCTTTATTACATCATATTGTCTCTTCTAGCTGCTATACAACTTTGTTCTTTATTATTGCCAACATCCTAGAAACATAGTAAGTCTAAACTTACTATATCTGATTTCTTCAACTTCGTGCTTTCCTTATTTTCCTATGATCTGGCACCAGCCTTCATCATTTCTACTAAAACAGCCATTCTTAGAGGTCACTGATTATGTTCTAATATCATAATAACAAAGATGATCATAGAGGTAGTGCCGAAATATTAACTGTTGTCAGGTGAGTAAGTGACAGAGTTATGAGAAAACTTGGCCAGGCGTGGAAGCTCACGCCTGTAATCCCAGCACTTTGAGAGGCTGAGGCGGGCAGATCACCTGGAGTCAGGAGTTCAAGACCAGCCTGGCCAACATGGCAAAACCCCGTCTCTACTAAAAATACAAAAAATAGCCGGGCATGGTCGTGGGCGCCTGTAATCTCAGTTACTCAGGAGGCTGAGGCAAGAGAATCGGTTGAACCCAGGAGGCGGAGGTTGCAGTGAGCCAAGATTATGCCATTGCATTACAGCCCGGGCAACAAGAGCGAAACTCCGTCTCAAAAAATAAAAAAAAAAAAAAAGAAAAGAAAACTTTATGGACTCATCTAAAATAAACTTTTCCCTTATTCAGAGAAGATATCAGACCAGGATTGCCAATGCTAAGGCAAATCCGAGAAGCCCGTCGAAAAGAAGAAAAGCAACAGGAAGCCAATTTGAAAAACAGGCAGAAGAGTTTAAAAGAAGAAGAACAAGAAAGACGTGACATTGGGTTGAAGAATGCACTAGGCTGTGAAAACAAAGGGTTTGCCTTGCTCCAAAAGATGGGCTATAAAAGTGGTCAGGCACTTGGCAAGAGTGGTAAGTCACATGTGGAAATAAACAGGTATTCCTTACCACCTAATTGTGACTTATGGATAAGGACCAAAGCTGATGCTTTAATCTTTATCTACACAGAAATTATAACAACTTAGGCTTTTTAGTCTATTATGTATTAACAAGCCTTATGGAGAGCTTTTCATCATCCCACATCCATTTTAGATACCACATGTGCCATCAAGAGCTGCTTATCAGCCCAGCTTAGCTGAAGGCACTAACAACCTAGATGGATGTGGCTTACAACAGAAGAAGCAAAGAATGGTGATAAGTGATGGGTTGAGAAGTGCAATGGCTAAATACATTGAAACAACACTGAGGATGATGGCAAGACTTTGCCCTGCTTGCTCTGTACCTGTGGCAGCCATCTGAATGACCGTCCAGTTGGAGAGGCTCAATTCTCACCTCTCTTTTTAGGAAGTGAAACTGCTTATTAAGCTAGAGAGGCTATATATTTATAGTAACCTCTGTAAACCGTTTTTCTTTCCTTTATCGTAATTGCTTTGCTTTCACTTAAGGCTGTCACCGTCTTGCACCAATAATATCAGTGTTGTTCCTTCTTAAAACTCCACCTTCAGGTGGCATAGGAGGCTGTGAATCAGCCTTTTTGATGAGTAGGTATTTGAAGACAAGGTAGATAATTGATTATATATAGAATATATATAGATGTTCAGATTTCAATTTTGAATATCATTGAAACAGGAGGGCATATGCATAGAGCATTGTAAAGTTGCATACTTATACTGTTCTGTAGTTTGAGGAAAATTTTCTAAAATAGTTTGTATTCATTCTCTTTAAGGGGGTGGTATTGTTGAACCAATTCCTCTCAATATCAAAACAGGTACGTAATTATTTTGGAGCATATTTGCCAATAATAATAACTTACGCTTAGGTCTACCACATATATTTGCTCAATAAATACTTTTTTTTAAATGATAATACTGTTACAGTTCAGTAAAATTTTGTTAAATTTCTAAACCTCTTCAACCAGAAAAGAAATAAGTTTTAGTGAGTATAAAATAAAATTTAAACCACACGAATATGGGAAGAACAAATCATTACAACCATTGAATGTGCAATACTGTTTTTGTCCATTGAAATGTCTTAAAACTGTTTTGCTCTGGGAGGCCGATGCAGAAGGATTGCTTAAAGCCAAGAGTTGGCCGGGCGTGGTGGCTCACACCTGTAATCCCAGCACTTTGGGTGGCCGAGGCAGGCAGATCACCTGAGGTTGGGAGTTCAAGACCAGCCTGACCAACATGGAGAAACCCCATCTCTACTAAAAATACAGAATTAGCCGGGCATGGTGGTGCATGCCTGTAATCCCAGCTACTTGGGAGGCTGAGGCAGGAGAATCGCTTGAACCCAGGAGGCAGAGATTGCAGTGAGCTAAGATTGCGCCATTGCACTCCAGCCTGGGCAACAAGAGTGAAATTCCATCTCAAGGAAAAAAAAAAAAAAGCAGCCAGGAATTTGAGACCAGCCTGGGCAACATAGCAAGACCTCATCTCTGCAAAAAATTTAAAAAATTAACCGGGTGTAGTGGCACGCACCTGTAGTCCTTGCTATTCAGGAGGCTGAGGCGGGACGATTCCTGGAGCCCACAAGTTCGAGGTTACAGTGAGCCATGATTGTGCCACTACATACCAGCCTGTCCCTATAAAAATAAAATAAAATAAAAGTGTTCTGAGACAGATTTATCTACCAAATGTTTTGCTTAATACTTGGATGAATTCAAGAGAAAAAGATATATTTTATTCATATTTAAATAAAACTATAACAGCTAATACTGTTTTTCTGATTTGAAAAATTGTTTATAATATTACTATAAGATGAGATTAACAATCTTTGTAAAAATCAGATTATGTTTTGGGCTTAAAAAAAACCCTAGTGTTTTCTACTATTAGTGTACTCAAATGATTTGTGAGTGATAGTACTCAAATGAGAATTGCATTTAATTTGTACATAGTTAAATCGTCTTGTTTTGAAGCACAAAGTCAGGATGTTTCTCATCAGAATTTTCTGTTTGAATAGGGAAAAGTGGCATTGGTCATGAGGCATCATTAAAACGGAAAGCAGAGGAAAAATTGGAAAGCTACAGAAAAAAGATTCACATGAAAAACCAAGCTGAAGAAAAAGCTGCAGAACAGTTTCGGTAAAACTATTTTTGAGCTGGTTTTGGTTCTATTTCCTCTTTATTGTGGTATGTTCTCTGGTACTTGGGCATATAAAATGGTTAAAGATAACGTAGACCTTTAGTTTACAATTTTTTCTTTCAATTAGAATGCGACTTAAAAATAAGCAAGATGAAATGAAGCTAGAAGGAGATCTCAGAAGAAGCCAGCGAGCCTGTCAACAACTGGATGTCCAGAAAGTAAGCCTTTTACCAGCTTTCAGTTTAGTAAAGTGTTTTGGCACCCCCTGTGATTTCCCGTTTATTTATTATATATATATATATTTTATATATGTATTATATATATTTATATATGTATTATATGTTTATATATGTATTACATATATTTATATGTATCATATATATTTATATATTTTTTACATATGTCTTATATATTATATATATTTTATGTATTTATATATATAATATATATATTATATATATATATAAAACTAAGAACTCCAAGCCCGGTTTATCTACTCATTAAAGCTTTCATGTAATGTGCACTTCTGATCTGTGACAATTGATATAAAAATGGCTTATTATTTACTATAGTAACCTGAGTTGTCTGGGTTACTATAAAACCCAGGGTTTTATAGTAACTATAGTTTTATAGTTTTATACTAACTATAGTAAAACAAAAAGGGTTAAATAAAATTTTACATTTAATTGTTCTCTGCTTATTTGAATATCAGTTATGACTATTATGTGCAGAAATTCTGTTCTTTATAATATTTGATTAACAAGAATAGCCTATTTTCAGTTCCTATTCAGTATCTAATATATGTCTAACTATTAAAATCAGAGTGGGCCAGGCATGATGGCTCAATCCTGTAATCCTAGCACTTTGGGAGGCAAAGGCAGGATGATTATTTCAGCCCAGGAGTTCGAGACCAGCCTGGATAACATTTCAAGACTCCATCTCTACAAAACATCTTAAAATTAGCTGCATGTGGTGGCACACACCTGTAGTCCTATCTACTCAGGAGGCTGAAGTGGGAGAATCACTTGAGCCCAGAAGGTTGAGGTTGCATTGAGCTATGTTCATGCCACTGCACTCCAGCCTGGGTGACAGAGTGAGACCCTGTCTCAAAAATAAAATCAAGGTGGAATGCTATCTAGTTCAAATTTGAATAGTTTTTAAAAAATTCTGTCTCTGGCTGGGCATGGTGGCTCATGTCTGTAATCTCAGCACTTTGAGAGGACGAGGCTGCAGGATTGCTTGAGTCCAGGAGTTTGTGACCAGCCTGGACAACATAGCAAGTCCCCAGCTCTACAAAAAAAATAAATAAGTAAATAAATTCTGTCTTTGCTTTTATCTTAGTGGTTCAAGTACTCTGAAAATAAAATGACTTCATTTGAAGTCTCAAAAAGCTTTGTAAAATTTCCCTTATATATAGATTACTGGAAGCAATCTCTCACTTTCCTGTTCTTACATATTACTTTACTTTGAATGTATTTCATGGCACTTATGATTTTGTAGCATATATGTATTATTTTGTACCCATAGCCTATCTTTCCTGCTAGACTGTCAGAAGGAACTTAAAGACAACTGCACAATTCTAAAGAATTGGACTTTGCATCCCCATAGTTCATGGTACAATGTTTTCACTTTTTTTTTGAGATGGAGTCTCACTCTGTCACCAGGCTAGAGTACAGTGGCGTGATTTTGGCTCACTGCAACCTCCACCTCCTGGGTTCAAGCAATTCTCCTGCCTCGGCCTCCTGAGTAGCTGGGACGACAGGCATGCACTACCACGCCCAGCTAATTTTTGTATTTTTAGTAGAGATGGGGTTTCACCATGTTGGTCAGGATGATCTTGATCTCTTGACCTCGTGATCCACCCACCTCTCCCTCCCAAAGTGCTGGGATTGCAGGCGTGAGCCACCGTGCCCGGCCAGTGTTTTTACTCTTAAAGCCACACTCAGTGAATACGTATTGAAAGAATGAATTCATGTTGACATGAACATATTTGTCATGCTCTTATGTTTAGTATGTTTAATTGAGACTACTTCTGCATTTTCAGAATATTCAGGTTCCCAGGGAAGCATGGTACTGGTTGAGGCTTGAAGAGGAGACTGAAGAAGATGAAGAAGAAAAAGAACAGGATGAAGATGAATATAAGAGTGAAGATTTAAGCGTATGCTTTGCACCATTTCCTTCATAGGGTGTCTCAGCCTTGGCAACATTAGCACTTTGAGTTGTGGTAATCCGTTGTTGTGGAGAGCTGTCCTGTGCATTGCAAGATGTTTAGCAGCATCTCTGGCCCCTGCCCACCAGATACCAGTTGCACTTTTGCTTATGACAACCAAAACCCTCTCCAGACATTGCTAAATGTCCCCGAGGGGAAAAATAACCCCTGGTTGAGAGGTACTGCATTGCAGGATTACTTTACTAACCCCAAATCAAAACTTACATATAATTTTTCCCTTTAGCTTCCATTTGTCCTCTCATCTCAGCTTCAGTTTGGATGATGAATTAGCAACAAATGTAAATTATTTTAATTTATACCTTATTTCCTGCAAAACTTCTACAAGTCATTCTAATGTGTACTTTTTTCTCCTACTTATAAACAACAAAAAAACACAATCAAAAGAAAATGGAGGCCGGGCATGGTGGCTCACACCTGTAATCCAAACACTTTGGGAGACCAAAACTGGTGGATCACTTGAGGTCAGGAGTTTAAGACCAGCCTGGCCAACATGGTAGTGTATTTTAGTCTCTACTAAAAATACAAAAATTAGCCAGGTGTGGGGCACCCAATAATCCTAGCTACTCAGGAGGCTGAGGTAGGAGGATCACGTGAGCCCGGGAGGCAGAGGTTGCGGTGAGCCAAGATCACGCCACTGCACTCCAGCCTAGGTGATAGACCGAGACCCTGTCTCACAAAAAAAAAAAAAAAAGGAAATGGAGATTATTCAAGAAAGGAAAACACACTCGTATGCTTACTTGAGTATAATAATTTTGTGGAAAACATTCACAATTTGAAAAACCTATATTCCACTTAATTGGGAGACCATTGATGAGAACTTTTATGGCAAAAGGAGGCCATATTCACCTTCACCTTATCTGGGGGAGGTAAATGCCTTGAAAGTAGAAAAAGCCTTTAAAGGATGCCAATTTTAATAAGGCCACCCAAAAACTATTTTCTCAATGTTAACAAGCAGTCTCCATTGTGTCTGGCAGACTTGTGGAAATCTCAGGGTGGCTAATGAACTGTAACACATTCGAATATATCAGTTCTGTCCTTGACATTTCTAATAACTATTCCAGAGTATAGCAGAATATTTACAGCCTTGAGCTAATTCGGCACGATCTAAGAGCCAGAAAACCAAGGTTCTGTTCAATGTAAAGTATTAATAATGTGCTTGTATCCTATAGGTACTGGAAAAATTACAAATATTGACTAGTTATTTAAGAGAAGAACATCTATATTGTATTTGGTGTGGAACAGCCTATGAAGGTAAGAAAATTACTTTATGCTTTTTAAAAATAGATGAATGCTCTCCAATTTTTAGTTAAAGTCATTTCCCACTGACAATGGAAATTTCTTATTCCATTCAAATGGCAGTATGGGACCAATTTCTTAAATAGTGGATATAGAAATAATTGAGGCTTTATTAAAATTGCATTTAACTTTTCAGAAACTGAATGTGTGGAAGTGAATTTTTCAGTGTTTTGTTTCAAAAGAAACAATTTTAGAATAACCTGAGAATGATGAATGTTTTGTGCTTTATTTTTAAAGATTCTTTCTTTGGCTACAGATATTTGAAAGAATTTATATTAAATTTTAGAGCTAATTTTTATATACTTAGATAGAATATTGCCCCTAAACCGTAAAAATCAGATATGTTGAAATCCATTCCTTTTTTTTTCCATTGTAAGGATAGAAATGGTTTACACTTACCAGGTGTCTTACAGAGCCAAGTGTTTCTCCTTCTAACACCTTTGCCCAAGCTACCTTTGCTAACTTGTATTTAAGAACTTTGTACTTGAGAGTGAAGCATTTTTGGTTATTGTTGTTTTTATCTTTTCTGGTTTAGCAGAATAAGTAGAAAACATCAGATCAAAAAATGCATGTTATGTTGAAATAATTTTCTAGTTTACTGTAGAAGTTGTATTAATCTTTCATTTCCCTCACATAACTTACAGATAAAGAAGACCTATCTTCAAATTGTCCAGGACCAACTTCTGCAGATCATGACTAAGATTATTCCCAATAAAGTGGAAACTTGAAAAATGTTATTACTTCCTAGGGATAGACAATTTAGCAGTTGGAAATCTCAAATTTTTTATGCCAGTAAAGAAAGGGGGACTTTATATAATGTTTTGTTCTTTTTGTACTTTAGAATATGAATGTTCATTGACTTGAAAAAAATAATGCAATGGCATTTCAGAACACAAGTATCACAGAGATGGACAGTTACAATTTATTGCTATATTGTGATACGTGAGGGGTTTAAGGACACCAACAGGTAACTTCTTATTCCCCTCTTCACTTTGGAACAAATTGAGAAATAAGAAATGGGAGTCAGAGGAAGAGAAAAATATCCACTTTATCAGTGAATAAACTGATACAGAGAAGAAGGTTGACTTTTTCTCCAGTCAGAGACTGTAATATTTCTCCCTGATTGGAGAGAACAGCGGGTCTCTGCCTTGTTGGGGCAGAGCCCATCTTTGCATTCTGAGACCAGTTAGCTTTCAAGGTCAGGGAAACCACCAGGGGCTGGACCACACATGCTCAGTTCCTTCTTGTATCACCCATGGGATAAGACAGTTCTCTCTTGGGAAGGAATGAATGAGGGTTCAGAGAGCTTTTTCCTACACTTCTTGCTTTGAAGGAGCAAGGAGAAGTTCCCTTCCCTCCATCCAAGCATGAAGAGGAGGGGAAAAGTATTCCCCTCAATAAGGCTGATGTCAGAGGCAATGTTCGACCAGTACTACTAAATTCTAATCCATTTAACTGTGATAATTTCTGGTAAAATCATGAGTTTTCATGACAATGTCTATATCCATTATATGTGATCTGTTGGAAGTTTTGGCTAGAGAAACTTAATTGTGAGGAAATTTAAATATTGTGTGATGCAAGTACTTACTGAATTTGGAAACCCCTTGATAGCATTCCCAGCAAGTGATAGTTCAACCTTTGCTTTTATTCTTCCAGCCACAGAGAACTCACTGCTTTAAAACCATTCCATTACTGGGTAGCTCTGAATTGTTTTCATTGTTTTCTCTTAAACTGAAATCTGCTTCCCTGTAATATTAATGAATACAGCTAAGGACATACCGTGTGGCATACTATGAGAGAGCTCCATCCAGGGTGAGGCATCAAAATCATGAACCTTTTTAAAAGTTCATATGCTCAGGTGTCTCTCCTAGTGATTGATTTTGATTTGTCTTGGCTAAGGTGGTTCCTGGATATCTATATATTTATTTTGAAGTCCCAAGAATGAGTGATAAGCACCTGAGGATAAGAACTAGTACTGAGGTTAAGGATGGAGCACCACCATTCTTTGGATAGAGTTGTGATCACCTGTGTGATTTTATAGCTCACCTGTTAGTTAGATTGAGCAAGAGAACAACCCCTTTTATTAGAAACAGCATACATAAGAAGATTGTAAAAATTAACCTACACTTGCTAGGGTAAGATAATCAGTAGTACAATTTGTATTAATCTCTGACCTAATATGACCTAATTCACTTTTCAAGTTTAACTTGGGGAGCTTTACAAAATAGTAATAAAAGGGTCCCATCCCAAGAGATTCTGATGCCATTAGTCACTGTGACTTGGGCATCACTGCCCTTGATTCTAAAATGCAGCCTACCTTGAGCCACTAATCTAGTTAACTTCTGGGCCTCAGTTCTTCATCCAGAAAACTAATCATTATTTTTATGAATGTAAATATGTGTATATATATAATATTTATATGTTTGGATGCTATTGTTTAATATTTACTTTTTTGTTTTTAAAAAAATTATAAAATTGGCTGAGCGCAGTGGTTCACTCCTGTAATCCCAGCACTTTAGGACGCCAAGGCAGGCAGATCACTTGAAGCCAGGAGTTCAAGACCAACCTGGCCAACATGGTGAAACCCCATCTCTACTAAAAATACAAAAATTAGCTGGGCGTGGTGGCATTCGCCTGTAATCCCAGCTACTCAGAAGGCGGAGGCATGAGAATTGCTTGAACCTGGGAGGCAGATATTGCAGTGAGCTGAGATCATGCTGCTGCACTCCAGCCTGGGTGACAGAGCAAGACCCTGTCTCAAAAAAAAAAATTATATATATATATGTATGTATATATATATATATATAGAGAGAGAGAGAGAGAGAGAGCTATTAATAAAACAGAGGAGTACATTTTACCCTTGCAATTCCAGTCAATACTGTGGTGTCATTTCAGCCAACATACCAACATTCAGTCAAATCCCAAAGCCAAATGGATAATTTCAGATGGAATGGAGTTAGACAGGAACTGGCTTCCCTTTCTCCTGTTACTATGAGGACAACCCACACCTGCTCAGTGGCCTAAAATATTTTAAATATGTTCATGACAATTATGCTGAGAATGCCAGGATAACACTGATGGAACCCATGACTTCACCAGGATTGTGGTCTACATTTACAGGCCTAGTACTAGAACTAGACCGGCTTAGAGAGTGGGAGATATCCCTCTGTTGTCCATCGAAAGATAAAAATACAGGCTTTCAGCCGGGTGCAGTGGTGCATGCCTTTGGTCCCAGCTACTCAGGGGGCTGAGATGGGGAATCCTTTGAGCCCAGAAGTTTGAAACCAGCCTGGGCAACATAGTGAGAGACCTCCATCTTAAGGGAATAAAAAAAAAATCAGACTTTCAATATGAGTAACAAGTTATTTTTAGGCCTTTTATGACTTTATAAATAGGCAATAATGAACACCAAGGGAAGCAAAACACTGAAAAGAATTTTAAAATTTGTTGTAGAACATTAATACGAAATTTGAAACTGCAAAACAATGTAAAATTTAATGTCATGTTGTCATTTACTTTTGTGTATATTGTGCCATGTTTATTTTCAAAGTCCTATCTAGAAATTCTAAAATGTCTAATTTTCTTAATTAAAAATCCAGAATTCTGTAGTTTCTGAAATTCAAAATAAATACTTTAACATACCAAATTGGTTTTTCTAATAAACATTTATTTCAAGTGTTATTTGTTAAACATTTAATTGTTGAGATTTGAAAATGAACATTATTATTTATTAGACACATTTTATAGGCTCATTCAAAATTCTTAACTTTTGAGTTCCTGCTTTCTTCACAGCAGTGCACTCACTACTTTCTGGTATACAAGAAGAACAGCTTGTCCCCACTCTTACAGTGTAATGAAATTAGCAGTATAATGAAGAAAAGTGCTGTGTAGGAATGACTGAGCTCTAAGACAAACTGGTAAGAACAATTAGGTACTAAACAATGGGAGTACTAGGGAGAAGATTCATTTTGAGTGGGAGATGTTGGAACACTTTGGAAATAACACTGAATTTGGGTTCTGAAAGATGGATATAATTTTGATATGCAAAGTTATGAGGAAAGAGTTACTGTATAATCCAGCCATTCTCCTAGGAATATACATCCAAGAGAAATGAAAACAAGTCCACATAAGATTTGTACACAAAAGTTCATAGTAGCATTATTCATGGTAGCCAAAAAGTACAAACAACCCAAATGTCCATCAGCTGATGAATGGATACATAAAATGCGACATATCCATATGATAGAATATTATTTGGCAATAAAAAGGAATGAGATGCTGATTCATGCCACAGCTGGGATGCACCTTGAAAATATACTCAGTGAAAAAGACCACATGTATGATTCCATTTATATGAAATGTCTAGCATGGGCAAATCTATAGAGATGGAGAGTAGATTAGTGGTTACCTAGAGTTGTGAGAAAACAGAGTGAATACTAACGGGCATAGGGTTTCTTTTGGGGGTGAGAAAAATGATAGTTGCACAACTCTGAATATAGTAAACACTACTGAATTGTATACTGTATAGGTGAATTGTATGGCATGTGAATTATATCTCAATAAAGCAGTTATTAAAAAAAAAATGAAGAGAATTTCAGATAGAAACCACAGGAGAGAGCCACTGAGTGCAAAAGCCTGTTGAGGTAAAACTGCAGACCTGCATGGGTGGGGCTTACTCGGGAAACACTGAATATGGGATGCATCATGGAAGCCTCCAGAGGAGCATGGCCTTGCCCAGTGAACTGCAGCCCAGTGAATCTCATTTTAGACTTCTGGCCTCCAGAACAGAAAGAGAATAAATGTGTGTTGTTTTAAACCACCAAGTTTGTGGTAATTTGTTAGTTATAGCAGCCATAAGAAATTAATACAGGTCCAAATCAAATTAACCCCATAAGAGCCACACAGATTTGAGAAGCATTTTATTTGCCTCACAGTTTTGCCTATTATACAGTTTCTAGTTATTTAGAATTTAAGCCAATAATGTCACCATATAACTATCAACTGTGATTCCCTTCATCTATGACTATTTTTAAGAAATGTAAGATTTGGATAAGTCATAATCACAGATCAGAAACTGCAGACATTGAGGCCTGGATGGCCGTTTAGAGAGAAAGAGTTAACATTTCAGTGGAGACCTTTCCTATCTTGTATTTCCTACAGTCTCCTCCTATCTTCAGTGCAGTGTTCTGGCAGCACCTCAAGCTCACTGTCACCAAATGGGATTCAACGTCTTTCCTCCCAAACATGCTCTACCTCACCATGTCGATAGATGTACAGTCGCCCCACTACTGGCTTAAATTCTAAATTACTGAAAACCATGTAACAGGTAAAAGTGTGAGACAAAGTACCCCTCAAATACATGTGGCTCTTGGGGTTCATCTGACTGAGACTTGTATTTACTTGAATGGCATCAGAATCCTGCTACTAACCTTCTAACAAACTTGGAGGTAATCTTTGATGCTTACCTTTCCTTAATCCCCACATCCAATTAGTTGCCAACTCCTCTTGGTTCTGTCCTCTTATTGTTCAGGCCCTCTTAGTCTTTCCACTTCTGACCTTTCAAATATAGTTTCCTCCTGCTCTATTCTAAACATGCTAGTTTCAAAGTATTGGTTGGGCCATACCTTGCTTTAAAGAAATACTCATTTGTCAACTGTGGAGGTTGCTAGGGCACTAACTCACTCTAAAATTTGATAAATATTTATCGCATCTTTCCCATTCAGATTTAGAGAAAGTTCCTTAAAGAAGAATCATAGATGATAAATGCAAGAGGTTTGATAGAACCAGAAAATCACTATTTTACAACCCCTGAAATGAAATAATGGATCCAGGCAACAATTATCAATAGCTGCTAAAACCATCAGGTGAAAGATTGATGAGAAACTTTGTAGTAGTTGGTACCACCAGAACTCATTGATCAATATTAAAATCACTGAAAGTGGAACAATCAGACATCATGTTCCTCCTGAAATGATGTAAGAGAAAGTGTATAGCATCACCTATGGAGTATTCTTGGGGGAAAATAAATGAACCAGGATCAAATCCAGCTTCTAGGTCTAACTGGACACTCTGGGGATACTCTCAGTCAAATCCTGAGTGGAGGAAATTCCACAGGACAAATAAAAGCCGAAAAGAACTAAAACGCAGGGGTAAATTTTACAGAGTAAAGGAGACACATCAACCAAATGCAATGTTGGATCTAGATTTCAACAACCAAGAAAACTGTATTTTTGAGATAGAAACAATACAGACTATTATATGATAATTAAGGAAATCTTGTCAATTTTTTGAGTGTGACAATGATGCTGTGGTTTTGTTAAAAAGATTTATCTGCTAGAGATACATTTTAAAGTACTTACAAGTGCAATGATGTAACACCTGAGATTTACTTTAAAATATTCCAGTAGGGCCGGATATTGTAATCCCAGCAGTTTGGAAGACCAAGGCAGGAGAATCTCTCAAGGCCAGGAGTTTGAGACCAGCCTGGGAAACACAGCAAGACCATATTTCTACAAAAAATTTAAAAATTAGTTGGGTGTGTTGGTGTATGCATGTAGTCCCAGCTATTCAAGCGGCTGAGGCAGGAGGATCACTTGAGCCTAGGAGTTCGAGGTTACAAGGAGCTGTGATCGTACCACTGTACTCTGGCCTGGGTGACAGAGTGAGATCCTGTCTCTTAAAAAAAAAATTACAATTAAATACTTCACCAAAAGAAACAAACAAAAAGTAAGGGGTTAGATGTATTAAGAACGGTAAAGTATTGATATTTGTTGCAGCTGGGTGATGGGTAGAGTTTCATTATTCTATTTTTGTGTATGTTTGAACATAAAGAAATGTATGAATAATATTGAAATTATTCAATATTCCATAATGAAAAGTTAACATGCCAAGAATCTCAAATTATGGTGAACACTCAGTGGGGACTGCATATTGTGAGTTATGTCTCTAGTTAGTTAACAGATAGTAGAGACCTGGAAAAGCTTGTATGTAGCCTTTTAAACATTTCTTCTCAGATACATACATGCATATATATGTATTATATAAAATACATATTCATACACATATGTGCACACACACAGGATGGCTTCATGGACATGCAACCTGTGCAGTTGCACAAGACTGTGCTTAGAAGCACCCCACACCTAATTTTTGAACGAGGGCCGTACAGTTTCATTTTGCCCTTAGTCCCACAAATTATGTAGCTGGCCATACACACACATGCACACATACCACATACCCACATGTATATATGCATATATTGTGTACATATGTATATACATTGAATATATTTAACATAAGTGTTAAGTATGCATGTGAATTTTATGTATGTATTTATGTTAAACATGTACGTATTTAAATAACATGTGGTTTAGTGATAAAAATTCCCTAAAAGGTATGTTTCTAGGGAGGCAATTATATTAAAATGGCTCTCAAAATTTCTGTGTGTGTGTGTGTGTGTGTGCATTTTAATTAGCAAATAAGGTCCCAGGCTCTTGCCCCTGTCCTCCTCTGAGTAAGAGGATACTTTTTACTTTAATTTTGAGGCCAAGAAAATATATACTCACAAATCAAAAGAAGTTGCTAAGAAATGCTATATTCATTTAATAAGAGTAGGAATATATATATCTTTTTTTTTCTTTTTTTTTTTTGAGACTGAGTTTTGCTCTTGTCACCCAGGCTGGAGTGCAATGGCGTGATCTCAGCTCACTGCAACCTCCACCTCCTGGGTTCAAGCGATTCTCCTGCCACGGACTCCCGAGTAGCTGGGATTACAGGCGCCTACCACCACACCCAGCTAATTTTTGTATTTTTAGTAGAGATGGGGTTTCACCATGTTGGCCAGGCTGGTCTCGAACCCCTGACCTCAGGTGATCCACCCGTCTCGGCCTCCCAGAGTGCTGGGATTATAGGCGTGAGCCACCATGCCCAGCCAGAGTAGGAATATTAAAATGAGGTCAGTAAAGATAAGGCTACATTCTCACTAACTGGCCACATCATTTAGTGTTTCTTTTGAATATAGCCTCATTAATCAAAACCAGATATTGTTTTTTTAAAAAAAGATTTCTCTCTACGCAGAACATTTCCAAATCTACAGAAAAGTTCAAAGAATAATACAACAAACACCTGTGTACTGTCATCTAGATTTACCAATTGTACAATGGCTAATATTTTGCCACATGTGTGCCCTCTTTCTCTCTCCATGTTGATTTTTGCTGAACATTGAAAGTTGCAGACATCATGACACACTTGGCCTCTAAATGTTTGTGCATGCATTGCCTAAAAAAACATTTTTGGCTGGGTGCAGTGACTCATGCCTGTAATCTCAACACTTTGGGAGGCCAAGGCAAGTGAATCACCTGAGGTCAGGAGTTCAAAACCAGCTGGGTCAACATGGTGAAATTCCGTCTCTACTAAAAATAGAAAAAATTAACCTGGAGTGGTGGCAGATACCTGTAATCCCAGCTACTCAGGAAGCAGAGGCAGGAGAATCACTTGAACCTGGGAGGCAGAGGTTGCAGTGAGCCGAGATCGTGCCACTGCACTCCAGCCTGGGCGACACAGTGAGACTCTGTCTCAAAACAAACAAACAAACAAAAACAAAATAAAACAAAACAAAAAGACATTTTCTACATATACTATTATCACACCTGAGAAAACAGTTATTTGGCATTGTTATCTAATATGCAGTCTATATTCAAATGTTCTCAATTGTCCCGAAGATATCTTTATAGCTGTTTGCTGGGTTGTTGCTTTCTTTTATTATTATTATTATTTAGATATGATCTCACTCTGTCACCCAGGCTGGAATGCAGTAACATGATCATGGCTCACTGCGGCCTTGACCTCCTAGGCTCAAGTGATCCTCCCACCTCACCCCCCCAAGTAGCTGGGACCACAGATGCACACTACCATGCCCAGCTAATTTTCTGATTTTTTGTAGAGATGAGAACTCACTGTGTTGCCCAGGCTAGTCTCAAAATCCTATGCTCAAGCCATCCTCCCCTTTTGACCTCCCAAAAATGCTGGGATAACAGGCATTAGCTACTGCGTCCAGCTTTTGTCTTTTTAAATATCCAGAATACAATAAAGATTCAAACATTGCATTTGGTCATTGTATCTTACAAGTCTCTCCCCTTTTTTTTTTTTTCATGACACTGACTTTTTGAGAAGCCCAAGTCAATCATCTTATAGAATGACTACATTCAGGATTTGTCTAATAATTTCCTCATGATTAAATTCCAGTTTAACACTTTGTGCAAGAAAACTAAATAGGTAAAATTCTTAAGTCACATCAGGAGGGGCATAATGTTAGGGTGTTCCACCTTGGGTGATGCTAAATTGAATCACTTGGTTATTGTGGTGACCATTGTAAAGGTACATTTTCCCCTGTATAATTGATACCTCTTCTGTAGGATTATATTTAAATCCTTGTAGAAGATCCTATTCCACAATAGCTTTTCATCCAATAGTTTTAGCATCTATTGATGAACGTTACGTGAAAAATCTATGAACTGCTCTTTATGAACACTTTTTAAAGCCTTTATAAAACTATTTTCTCTTACTGTATTTTCACTTTTTGCTTAACCTAAATTTGGCCCTTTTTAAAAATCCTAAAATCATATGGCAGTTTTAGAATGGTAGCTGGTTGCTGCTATAGTTTGCATGTTTGTCCCCCAAAATCTCATGTTGAAATTTGATCCCAGTGTTGGAGGTGGGGCCTGATGGGAGGTGTTTGGGTCATGGGGGAAGACCCCTCATGAATACATTAATGCCGTCCCTGGGGGTGGGGTGTGCTGGGGAGGAGAAGCAAGGAGTTCTCAATCTATTAGTTCCCTCAAGAGCCGGTTATTTAAAAAGAGCCTGGCACCTTCTCCCTCGCTCTCTTGCTTCCTCTCTTGCCATATGATCTCTGCACATCCGGCTCCCCTTCACCTTCCACCATGAGTGGAAGCAGCCGGGGAAGAAGCAGATGCTGGTGCCATGTTTCTTGTACAGCCTGCAGAACTGTAAGTCATATAAATCTCTTTTCCTTATAAATTATCCAGCTTCAAGTATCCATTTAAACCAATAAGAAACAAACTAAAACAATTGCCCTAAGTTGAAATTCACCCTCAGGGTCGTCTTCTAAGATGCAATTTAAATTATCTTCTCTACAGCAATTCAGGACAACAAACTAGCATACCCCATGTTCCTCAAATATATCTTCTCCAGAGCTCATGCCAGACCCCTTGTCCAGACTTCCTGGGTGGTCTCCTCTCTACTCATCTAACACCCTGGCATATAGTTGGAAGGCCCACTGGGCTGTCACTTCTAGCCCTGTGCTCAGCAGAAAGCCATCTTACCCTTCCCGATGGACTATTTTCTGTTTTTAGCTACTGCCTTACAGCACGGTTGTCTTTAAAGTGGTTGTTACAATAGATACAAAATGTATTTAAGATAAAAGGTATAACTATGCAGCAAACACTAGTGGACCTACCATCCAGCTTAAGGAAGTTACCATTACCTTTGAAAGTCCATTTCCCCAATCACATCATTCCCCTCCCTCAAAGATAACCACCATCCAGAATTTAATATTTCTCATTCCCTTCCTTCCCATTATTGTCTCATCACATTTGTTGGGTTTTTTATACAAAATGATTTAGTTTTGCATGCTCTGGAACTTTATATAAATGGAATTATTCTGCATATATTTTCTGAAAACCTGCTTTGTTCGCTTAACATTATGTTTCTGAGAGTTGTATTGTGTTACGTTATTACATTTAGCTGTACTTCAATTGTTTTCAATACTATATAGTACTCCTGTGTGTGAATATAATTTTTTTAATCCATTCTTCTTTTGATGTGCATTATGGTTGTTCCCTGTTCTTTTGGCTATTATAAACAGGGTTTTATGGACATTCTTGTAAGCACGTATGTAGGAATAGAATTGATAGCTATGTGGGTATACATGGATTCAACTTTACTAGATAATGCCAAATTGTTTTCCGAAGTGGTTGTACATCACTTTTTTTTTTTTTTTTAATGAGTACCATATTTCTCCAGCTGGCTTGTAAGCTATGTGAGGCAGAGAACGATCTTACATTTTTTTGGCCTAAAAGCGGTAGAAATTTAATAAATAGATATGAATTGATTGATTCATTAATAGTATAAAAAGAAAATTTGGGGGTGGTTTTTCCATCTTTAGAACAAAGAGATGAGGCTGGGCGCGGTGGCTCATCCCTGTAATCCCAGCACTTTGGGAGGCCGAGGCAGGTGGATTACTTGAGGTCAGGAGTTTGAGACCAGCCTGGCCAACATGGTGAAACCCTGTCTTTATTAAAAACACAAAAATTAGTTGGGTGGGTGGCACATGCCTGTAATCCAGCTACTCAGGAGGCTGAGGCAGGAGAATCACTTGAACCCAAGAGGCAGAAGTTGCAGTGAGCCAAGACTGTGTCATTGCACTCCAGCCTGGGCAACAGAGCGAGACTCTGTCTTTAAAAAAAAAAAAAGAATAAAGAGATGAGCCAGGAAAAAGTAAAATGTAAGAATGTTTTTGAAGCAAAAAGAAGAAAACCTTTCTGTTTCTGCAGAAAGATTAGTAAAAATAGTAAAAAATTAAAGGAAACATTAAAATAAAAGGTAAATATCTATTGATATTCCCTAGCAGATTTTAGATAATTTAAGGAAAACTGCATATCAGAAGCAGGATACTTTTTCAGAAGGGCTCTAACATGTGTGTCGTTCATTTTTCTCTGGGCTTTTCTTCCACACAGTCAAGGTCCTTAGTATTTCAGATGTGTTAGGTCGATCCTCAGGTTTCTTTGAGAGTAATTTCTGTAGAAGAGTTTTCTGCAATGACAGTGAGAGTCAATAGTAAGAAATAAAACATTGAAATAAATAAAATTCTGATGATTTTCAAGTGCTTACTTCTTTTTTATCAAATATATCTGAGATGATGCCATCCCGTAGGTCTGTGAAAAACTGGAAAAAAAAATGATAGGTGTATATTAGGAAATTATTTACTTGGGAGGAAAGACAGAACTAAAGGCTGAGGAATACCTGAAATGTAGGATATTTCCAGATTTTTTGGGAAAGTCTCTTTAGCCAAGAAGCAAGCAGGATTCCCTCTCTCCTACACTACCCCCAATCTAATAACCATCCTTGCATTACGACATGAAGTGTTAAGTGCATCATCTTTACAATCTCCCTTCATGCATTTTGGAACCCTAAGTGATAGGTACTTCTAACTGTTTTACAGAGGATAAGGTTATTGACTCCAGGAAAGTTCCCTTTCCTGAGCTTAAGAGTAGGATATCCAGCTGGGTGCAGTGGCTCACACCTGTAATCCCAACACTCTGGGAGGCCGAGGCGGGTGGATTGCCAGAGGTCAGGAGTTCGAGACCAGCCTGACCAACATGGTGAAACCCCATCTCTACTAAATACAAAAAAATTAACCAGGCATGGTGGTGCACGCCTGTAGTCCCAGTTACTTGGGAGGCTGAGGCAGGAGAATTGCTTGAACCTGGGAGGCAGAAGTTACAGTGAGCCAAGATCGCGCCATTGCACTCCAGCCTGGGCAATAAAAGTGAAACTCTATCTCAAAAAAAAAAAAAAAAAGAGTAGGATATCCACTTGCCTACTGCCTTTAGTGACTCCCCACTGTCTAAGCAAGAAGGTCCACATTTTTTCCTCAAGTTAGCCCAACCTATCTTTCTAGCCTCACCAACCACTACTTCCTTGTAACTTATATACTCCAATACAACTTACACTGCCTGCTGTCCCCAAATACACTCTGTACATTCCCGCCTCCATGCTAGAATCAACTTTTCTGTTTTGGACTATTAGAAGCCAACAGATCCTTCAGAGCCCAGCTTAGATGTCTCCATGAAACCTAAGTCCCTACAGCTGGAAAGATCTCCCTCCCAGCTGCTTCCACAGACTTCATGCCTTCTCCTAAAATGCTTATGGCATTCTCTTATATTATCTTCCCTTTTAGAAAATAAGCTCCTTGAGAACAAGGCTTTATTCATTTATTTATTTAGAGATGGAATGTCACTCTGTCACCCAGGCTGGAGTGCAGTGGTGTGATCTTGGCTCACTGCAACCTCCGCCTCCCAGGTTCAAGCGATTCTCCTGCCTCAGCCCCCTGAGTAGTTGGGATTACAGGTGTGCACCACCACACCCAGCTAATTTTTGTATTTTTAGTAGAGATGAGATTTCACCACGTTGGCCAGGCTGGTCTCGAACACCTGACTTCAAGTGATCTGCCTGCCTTGGCCTCTCAAAGCTGGGATTACAGGGGTGAGCCACCGCGCCCAGCCAAGGCTTGTTTATTTTTGCAACCCTTACAGCACTTAGCACAGTGTCTTACACAAAGCAGTCAATCAATAAAATGTTACTGACTGACAAGTCTTACAAGTCTTATGAGATGTACTACCTTCCAGGGAAGATCAAAGTTTTTGGTCTTTAAGAAAGTGTTTGGTCTCTGCCAAACCTTGAAAGACAGAAAATTCATATTTCATTTGCAGTCAGATACTAATATGCTCAAGCCCATCCTCACGTGAGGGCAAGAACTGTCTGCAGCAGCACTCTGAAGGTGGTAGTCAGTAATTTTTCTTGTTTAATTCTTTCTTTGAGATAATTTTACCTTTGATGTTTCAAAAGCAGTGTCACATACATGAAGAAGTTCAGCAAGAATTAGCCCCAAAGCGTAGAGGTCCACTTCCTTTCCATAGTCTTGCGAAGAAATCTAAAGAGACCAAAATAGATTTACCTTTGTTATGCTCCTTACATAAATATCCAGCCTTCTAAAGCCCAAAAAAGTTATTTGACCAAAACATCTTACACCACAAAACAATGTCTATTTATTAGCAAAATCTGTGGAGTCTGACTGCCTAGGTTCAAATCTGTACCGCCGAATAGCTGAATCCTCTGTGTAAATTAACGATCAACATGGGAATAATCTCAGTTATAAAACAAGGATAACAACAGTATCAACCACAGAGTTTGATTGTGAGAGTGAGATGCAGCAGGTAAAGCAGTTAAAATAGCACCCAGTAGGCGGCTTGCATTGCAACTGTTCATAGCGTATTTATTCACAATATTCCATAACTGGAAACAACTCAAAGGACCACAACAGAAGAATGGATAAACATGTTGTGGCATATTCATACAATGGACTACGACTCAGCAATAAAAAGGAATTCTCTGCTGGTATGAGCAACAAAGTTTTTCCAGAAGATATTATTTTGAATGAAGAAATTAAATACAAAGAGTACCTACTGTATGATTCCATTCATATGAAGGTCAAAAACGGGAAGAACTAAGCTATGGTGATAGAACTCAGAGTGCTGGTTTCTTCTGATCAGTGGGGAGGAGGCACTGACTGGAAAGGAGCTTGAAGGAGCAAAATGTTCTATATCTTTATAGTCTTATAAGTTACAGAGGTGTATGCATTTGTCAAAACGAAAAAATATACACTTAAGATCTGTGCATTTTATACTGTATAAATTGTTCCTCAACAAAATGTTGCCTTTTTTTTTTTTGAGACGGAGTCCCGCTGTCACCAGGCTGGAATGCAGTGGCGTGGTCTCGGCTCACAGCAGCCCCCACCTCCCAGGTTCAAGCAGTTCTCCTGCCTCAGCCTCCAGAGTAGCTGGGACTCCAGGCACGTGCCACCACGCCTGGCTCATTTTTGTAGTTTTGTATTTCTGTATTTTTGTTTTTTTAGTGGAGATGGAGTTTCAACATCTTGGCCAGGCTGGTCTCAAACCCCTTGACCTGAGGTGATCTGCCCACCTCAGCCTCCCAAAGTGTTGGGATTACAGGCATGAGCCACTGCACCCAGCCAACAAAAGGTTTTTAAATGGAAAAAAAAACCACACACACATAATAAAAAGTAAAGTACAATGATGAATGTTTTTAACCAAATAGTGTGAGGGCAGCAATACAGGATGCAGGAGATACTGAAAGCAGCAGGAAGTTAAAGAGAGCCACTGGCCTATTGTGTTCTATATTTTTTATGCCAACTGGCTCCCCAAAAGGAAAAAGTACATGCCTTCTCCATTCTAGACTCTCAAACCATCAGATAGCTCAGTATATCTATTCTTGGATGACAAAATAGTAGAGATATTTTGAAAGCTGTATTGTCAGCAAAATAATCTTTAACGGGCATTTACAAATCAGAAATTAAAATAGGATAAACAACCCAAAAGGTAAAAAATAAAAGCAATCAACCCAAAAAAAAATCACATTCAAATAATGAGACTATATATGAGACAAATATTTAAAACTCAACAGCTGTACACCCATGTTCATCAGCAGCATTATTCACCACAGTCAAAAGGTGGAAGCAACCTAAGTGTCCATTGATGGATAAAAGGACAAACAAAATGTGGTGTATACATACAATGGAATTCATTAGTCAGCCTTAAAAAGAAATTCTGACATGTTACAACATGGATATATCTTGAGGATATTATGCTGAGTAAAATAAGCCAGTAACAAAAGGGTAAATACCGTACGATTCCACTTACATGAGGCATCTAGAATAGTCAAATATACAGACAGAAAGTAGAATGGTAGTTGATTGGGCTGTAGGGAGAGGAGAATAGGAGTTCTTTAACGGGTGTAAAGTTTCAGTTTTGCAAAATGAAAAGTAATCTGTGGATGTATGGTGGTGATGAAAGCACAACAATGTGAACACATTTAACGCCACTAAACTATACACTTAAAAATGGTGAAGGTGGTAAATTTTATGTTTGTATATTTTACCACAATTAAAAATAAAGAGATATATTTTTAAAATTAACGGCTACACTAATAACAAATTAGAGATATGGAATTTCTTTTCTTTTTTTTTTTTTTTCTTCAGATGGAGTCTCATTCCTGTTGACCAGGCTGCAGTGCAATGGCGCGATCTCAGCTCACTGCAACCTCCACCTCCCGGGTTCAAGCATGGAATCTCATTTTAATAGCAAAATGCAATACAGATTCTGGAGAAAGCTTCAAAAATATAAACAATATGACCAGGCGCCGTGGCTCATTCCTGTAATCCTAGTACTTTGGGAGGTCAAGACAGGTGGATCGCTTAAGCCCAGGAATTCGAGACCAGCCTAGGCAACATGGTGAAACCCAGTCTCTACAAAAAATACAAAAAAAAATTAGCCAGGTGTTGGTGGTTTGAGCCTGTAGTCCTGCTACTGAGGGGGCTGAGGCAGGAGGATCACCTGAGCCAAGGAGGTCGAGGCTGCGCAGTGGTGAGCTATGATTGTGCCACTGTACTCCAGCCTGGGTGAAAAGCAAGACCCTGTCTCAAAAAAAAAAAAAAAAAATATATATATATATATATATATATATATATATATCATAATAAATCTCTCTCTCTCTCTCTCTATATATATATATATATAGATTTTGAACAGTATAAAAGTGGCTCTGAGGTAGGTTGTATGATTGCCCCCAATGCTGCACTGGCCTCCTAGTGAGAGGATTACTCTTCTCCACCCTCATTGCCTTGAGCTGGGCCATGCATTTTGCTCTGGGCAATGATGTTTAGTGATGTATGCCACTGCTGAGCAGAACATGTAAAAGCCATCACAAGGTTCTGCCATTGCTTTCTGCCTTGAGGACGGCAGTGACTCAGATAGCATTTTTCCTACAGCCTGGGTCTTGGAATGAAGGAGACACTCAGAGCAAAACTGCAGCCAGCCAGACTGCTGCCGACTTGTCATGTGAGCAAGAAATAGACCCTTGGTATTTTCTGCACCACTAAGAAACTGGGGTCATTTGTTACCACAGCATAGTCTGGCAAAAGCTGACTGATGGAGGACTCGAATAAGTGAGAGAAAATACCAATTTTGGAGAAGTCTCAAATATATGAAGATATCAATGTTCCTCACCTGAATCCTCAAATTTGATGCAATTGCTATCAAAACCTCAAAACCAGTTATGGAAGATGACAATGTGATTACAGAGTTCATTTGGAATTGTAAATGTGAATAGCTGAGAGCATTTTTAAATTGAAGAATAATGTGGCAGGTCCTGCTGTTCAAATACTAAAGCCTAGTTTATAATGCTACAATAATCTAAATAGCATAATATTAAAGAGAGAAATATAAAATAAATTAAGGAAACAGAACAAAGTCCAGAAACACATCTATGAATGTGTGGGAATTTTATATATGATAAAATAATATTTTATTGTGGTAAAATAGACATAACATAAAATTTACCCTTTTAACCATTTTTATGCCTACAATTCAGTGGCATTAACTACCTTCACAATGTTGTATAACCATCACCACTATCTATTTCCAGAACTTTTCATCACCCCAAACAGAAGCTATACCCATTAAACAAGAAGTTCCCATTCCTCCCTTCTTCCAGATAACCTCTGTTCCACTTTCTGTCTCTATGAATTTTCCTTAAAATAGCATTTAAATAATTAACTGCTTAACACGTAGTGATGAAGCAACTGCATATTCACACGGGGAAAATCAAGTTAGATTCCTTTCTCATACATAAACAAAAGTTAATTCAAATTGCAGTTAATTTTTATGTTAGTAAAACCAAAAAATATTTTCATAATCTTGTAATAGAAGCCTCCAAAATAAAAATGAGAAACCTAGCAGCCGTATTGATAAATATGACAATTTAAAAGCTGCAGTGCTGGGTTTGGTGGCTCACGTCTGTAATCCCAGCACTTTGGGAGGCCAAGGTGGGTGGATTACCTGAGGTCAGGAGTTTGAGACCAGCCTGGCCAGCATGGTGAAACCCGTCTTTACTAAAAATACAAAACTTAGCTGGGCATGGTGGTGGGCACCTATAATCCCAGCTACTTGGGAGACTGAGGCAGGAGAATTGCTTGAACCCGGGAGGCAGAGGTTGTTGCAGTGAGCTGAGATCATGCCATTGCACTCCAGCCTTGGTGACAAGAGCAAAACTCCATCTCAAAAAAAAAAAAAAAAAAAAAAAGCTGCAGTACCACAAATGTCATTATAAACAAAGAAGTAACAATCAAGGAGAAAAATTCTATAATATAGTTAACAGATACGGGATCAACACCCAATATAGATCAAGATTCCTTACAGATACACAAGAAAATGAGAACTTAATTATGAGAAATTGGGAAAGGATATGAGTAGAGAATTTGCAGAAAATGTTTAAGTAAATATATGAAAAGAGGGCATACCTTACTAAAAATCTGGAAAATACAAACTAAAATAGCAAGATACTCCTAATTCAACACACTACCCAAAACTGATCACTGGAGAGTATGATGATGCAGTATTCTCATACATTTTGACGGGACAGTATTATTAGAATCACTTTTTTTAGAATGACAATTAAACAGCAATTAAGTTTGAAATGCACTGGTCAATCTATTCAATCACTTTACCTCAAGAAGTCTAACACAGATTATCACAGAATTATTTGTTCTTGGGACCCAAAATAAGGAGGAATGTCTAAGTGTATGAAGTTGTAAACAACCTAAAGAAATACCCTTCGATAAGAAAATAGTTAAATACAACCTGGGAAACATAGTGAGACCTTGTCTCTACAATAAATAAGTAAATAAATAATTAATAAAAATAAAAATAATTAGCTGGGCACAGTGGTATGTGCCTCTAGAGTCCTAGCTACTCAGGAGGCTGAGGTGGGAAGATTGCTTGAGCCCAAGATTTTGAGGCTGCAGTGAGCAATAATCATACTACTGCACTCCAGCCTGGGTGACAGAGCAAGACCCTGTCTCTAAAACAAAATAAGAACAACAACAAAAAATATTAAATTTAAAAAAATAGTTAAATTATGGTATCTCCATATTTTGAAATATAATACAGTTGTTAAAAAAAGAATGTGGCAGATCTATTTGAACTAATATGGAGAAATTATGCTATATAGTCACAAAATAACAAAATAAGTCCTTGAAAAAATGTACACATATATATGTTTCTGTAAAAAAAATCTGGGTGTATATTTGTGTTTGTATGTTTTTATAACTCAGAAAATTATCTAAAAGGATAAAGAATAAACTGATAAGAAGAATAGGGGTAGAAAAGAATGGTAAGGAAAATTTTTAGTATATACTTCTGTACAGTTTTAATTATATAAGTAGTGTCTACTCTTTTTATAATTTTCAAAATAAAAGAAGTAAAATATAGACAGACAGGAAAGAGACCTTACCTGTTCTGGGCTCATGTATCGCAAAGTTCCCTTACTCCTTGTTCGCTTTCCATCATTTTTCAGAGATGTTACAAGTCCAAAGTCTCCAATCTTTACTTGTTTTGTATCTACTAAGAATATATTACTTGGCTATGAAAAAAAAAAATTTAACTTACATGTACCAACTTAACATACTATTACCACATGTCTTAATTATATACAGAAAAGACTATTTTTATATTATTTATAAGACCTTTACCCTTACACAGGTAGCCAAAATCAGGGAATTTAATATGACTCGTCTTTAAAATGCCAGCTGAAAGAAGTCAGGATTTCTTTTTTTTTTTTTTTCTTTTGGGCCGGAGTCTCGCTCTGTCACCCAAGCTGGAGTGCAGTGGTGCTATCTCGGTTCACTGCAAGCTCCGCCTCCTGGGTTCATGCCATTCTCCTGCCTCAGCCTCCCGAGTAGCTGGGACTACAGGCACCCGCCACCATGCCCGGCTAGTTTTTTTTTTTTTTTTTTTTTTTTTTTTTAGTAGAGACAGGGTTTCACCGTGTTAGCCAGGATGGTCTCGATCTCCTGACCTCATGATCCACCCACCTTGGCCTCCCAAAGTGCTGGGATTACAGGCATGAGCCACCACGCCTGGACAGAAGTAAGGATTTCTTAGCTGACACCAGAGGTGGCTCTGGGCACAGCTGCCCTCGAATATCTGAAAAGCTGTCACGTGCAAGGTGGATTCACTCTGCATGGTCCAAGGGAAAAGATCCAGGACTATAGGGTGGAAATGACCTAAAGATTAGCTTTAAAATATCCTAATATCCTAATAGTGTTGTCCAAAGAATGGGAGTTAGACAGTTCCCCATCCCAAGATAGGGCTGAACAACCACTTGAGGAAATGTTGCAAATATGAGTCCATGATCTGATAGGGACTGAAGCAGACATCCTTAAGATCCCTTCCAACTTTGAGATTCTCGGAATGGGTCCATTCCCAACAATAGTGCAGATTAGCCTGTGCAGAATTTCTCTTGGGGGTCTTTTCTCCAAGCCTCTGACAACTTCTTAACAAACACATCCCTTCCACCATGAAAGCATACCAAGTTAACTGGAAGCTAATAACTAGCTCTGAAATATTTTTATCCATGCAATTCTTTAAGCAGATTTTTTTTTTTTAAGGGAGGTGTTTTGTTTTGTTTTGTTTTGTAAGATGGAGCCTCGCTCTGTCACCCAGGATGGAGTGTAGTGGCATGATCTCGGCTCACCACAACCTCTGCTTCCTGGGTTCAAGCAATTCTCCTGCCTCAGCCTCCCGAGGAGCTGGGATTACAGGCATGTGCCACAACGCTTGGCTAATTTTTTTGTATTTTTAGTAGAGACAGATTTTCACCATGTTGGCCAGATTGGTCTCAAACTCCTGACCTCAAGCAATCTGCTCACCTCAGCCTCCCAAAGTGCTGAGGTTACAGGCATGAGCCACCACGCCCAGCCCATAGGAGGTATTGACCAATATTATTTTTGTTTGTTTTTGAGACAGTGTCTCATTTTGTTATCCAGGATGGATTTCAGTGGCATGATCATGGCTCACTGCAGCCTTGACTTCCTCAGCTCAAGCGATCCTCCCACCTCAGCCTCCCAAGTAGCTGGGACCACAGGCCACCACACCCAGCTCTACTGACCAATATTCTAAAGACCACAAAAACAGGAAGGTAGTTGATGAGAAAATTAATATTTTGCTATTTTTGAAAAGGCTGGACTTTTAATACAATCTTAGGCTAAACACACAGACTCTACGGGATAACACACTTATGAGAGGGCCTACCTAGTAAGGACCTAAGAGGGAAGAGACCATAAGCCCAGGGAAGGCTGAAGGAGGAGCTTCCGAGAAGCCAGCTTGAGATGACGGCTCATACAGCAATTAGCAGTTGGATTAGAATTCAATTAACAGTCAGATTGGAGCCTAACACCAGTAATACAGATGGAAAGCTGTAGACAGATGTGGAGTGGATGTGGAGAGAAAACATTCCTATGCTATGTTCAAGTTGCAATGTGTAGGAATATGTCAGGATTGCAAGTGAAACTGCTAGTCCCACATAAGGCTATCACCTGACTCTAAGAAACAGAAAATTGAATTTGTGAAGCCGTGTAAATATCTAAGCTGGATGAGGCTATCTAGTGAAAATATCAGATCACTTTTTGTAGTTCATTCAAAAGAAAAAGTGGGCAGGGCGTGGTGAGTCACACCTGTAATCCCAGCACTTTGGGAGGCTGAAGCGGGCAGACAGCGTGGGCCCATCAGTCCAAGGCCAACCTTGCCAACATGGTGAAACCCTGTCTCTACTAAAAATACAAAAAATTATCTGGGCATCATGGCAGGCGCCTGTAATCCCAGATACTCGAGAGGCTGACGCAGGAGAATCTCGTGAACCCAGGAGTCAGAGGCTGCAGTGAGCCGAGATCACTCCACTGCACTCCAGCCTGGGCAACAGAGGAGACTCTGTCTCAAAAAAAAAAAAAAAAGAAAAAAGAAAAAAAGAAAAGAAAAAGAAGCTGGGTATGGTGGCTCATGCCTGTAATCCCAACACTTTGGGAAGCCAAGGTCGGCAGATCACTTGAGCTCAGGAGTTCGAGACCAACCAGGGCAACATGGCAAAATCCTGTCTCCACAAAATGTCAAAAATTAGCCTGCCTTGGTAGCCTGCACCTGTAGTCCCAGCTATGTGGGGGGCCGAGGTGGGAGGATTGCTTGAGCCTAGGAGGTCCAGGCTGCAGTGAGCTGAGATCATACAACTGCACTCCAGCCTGGGCAACAGAGTGAGACCTTGTAAAACACAAAAGAAATAAAAACAATAATGCCACATTTTGTCTAATCAGTTATAATATGATTAGACAAAATATAGGGCTGTAGATCATATAAAAGGGATGCAAACTTCACCTAGGAGGCACAGGAACAGGACTGATGCTCAGGCTGAGGATGACCAGAGCCTGGGCTTTAGGAGACTGAACATTTTAGAGAGAAGCAGCCTTGCACAAGAAGCCCTCACTCCAGAAACCCCTATGTCCCTTCCCAGCGCCTTTGGTCTAGTTCCTAAGATTCCAACAGAAAGTGGTAAACACTTGGAGACTTTTGTAAGAGGGGCTGTGTTAGGTAAAGACCATTCTCTGGCAAAACCACCTACAGCTGCTATTTTGCAAAACACAACCCCAAAATTGTACACCTTCATTGTATCTTTTCTTAGAGGAGAGAAATCAACAACTGTAGTAGTGAGAGCCTGAAAAGTTATAGAAGATGAAAGAAGTCTCAGTATCAAAGCTTGAGGCCGGGTGCAGTGGAGCACACCTGGAATGCCAGCACTTTGGGAGGCTGAGGCAGGAGGATCACTTTGAGTCTAAAAGTTTGAGACCAGCCTCGGAAACATGGTGAGACCCTGTCTCTACAAAAAAAAAACACACAAAAATGGCCAGGTGTGGTGGTGTACACCTGTGGTCCCAGCTATACGGGAGGCTGAGGTGGGAGGACTGCTTGAGCCCAGGAGGTCAAGGCTGTAATGAGCCGTGATTGTGCCACTGCACTCCAGCCTGGGCAAAAGAGCAAGACCTTGTCTCAAAAAAAAATAAAAATTAAAAATTTAAGAAGAATAATAAAGTCTGACCCTTGAGCAACTGCAGCCAGAGTAAAAATTCTCTGCAAATAGACACAAGAAAAGATCAGTCCATGACACAGGGCACACACGGTGTGGGGCATAGTTGGCAGGTAAGTGGGTAGGCACCAGTCAGAATTTTGCTAATTCATTCTGAGGACTAGGAGCTTAATGCCTACACTTCTGCATTTATTTGCAAATTATTTTATATAGAAATAATTGTGCTTATTTGTTATTTAACTATATGTATGATTTATCCCAAAGTGAAAGCATAACCAACTCTACATTTATCCTTTTGAAATAGTTCTGACAATGTTCCACCTTCAAAGAACAACTTCAGATATTGTAGAAGAGACATATTGGAACCAGACAGACTCAAAACACCAATGCATCAGACATCCAGCCCCTGGGCAGACCACGGAAGCAATACCTTTTAAGGGCTACTCATTCCTCTCTGAGCCCAATAAACAACTGTGTATATGGGAACTTATTTCTCTCAAGGAATTTTTTTGTTTCATTCCTTATTCCTTGCTGTTTTAGAGGGGTGGGATAAGCAGATAGCCACATAAATAAGGTACTTCTGCCTAGAACAGAAAAAGGCAGTTCCAGAGTGATCAGGAAAGGCTCAGTAAAGGAATTACAACCAAAGGGGGCAGGCAGAAGAGTGTCCCATGAGAGAGAAGAACATGAGCAAAGGTCCAGGGACAGGATTCAGGACGGCCAGCTTGTGACAGGCTTAGGCAAGTCACAGGGAATAGGGAATGGAGGAAAGGCTGTGAAGGGCTATTCTGTCTCTCACCTTCTGTCATTTTAATGAGAAGTAAAAAATAGGGAAACTCCTTGTCCGGACCATAAAAGCCAGAGGAAAATGAAAATACTAAGGGATGATACACTTTCCCAGTCCGGGATTACCGCAATTTTCCAATCATGGGGTTGAAATGCTTAACCAAGACAGTATTAGACTCTGGACCCAGTAGCTGTGACAGCCCTCGCGAGTAATGACTGAGAGATTAGGGAACCATATTCCTAAAGCAACAGTCAACAGAGTCCCCTCTGCCTCTCAAATAAAGCTGAGTCACTTAGAGGAGGCAGGAGGAACAGGGGCAGAGCAGCCAGTTGGCTGTGCCAGTCACAGTAATTATTTGCATGGAAATGTTCAGATACCATTTTCTCATAACTATCAATCAACCACTATTCTAAAACTAGAGAAAAAAATATATATCTATCTATCTTATTTTATATATATATATAATTTTTTTTTTTGAGACAAGTCTCACTCTTCACCTAGGCTGGAGTGCAGTGGCACAATCTTGGCTCACTGCAACCTCCACCTCCCAGGTTCAAGCGAATCTCCTGCCTCAGCCTCCCGAGTAGCTGGGATTACAGGCGCACGCCACCATGCCCAGCTAATTTTTGTATTTTTAGTAGAGACACGGTTTCACCATGTTGGCCAGACTGGTTTCGAACTCATGACCTCAGATGATCTGCCTGCCTCAGCCTCCCAAAGTGTTGAGATTATAGGCGTGAGCCACTGTGCCCAGCTGAGAAGATATATTTTAAAATTACTATATTATATATATATCAATTAATAAAGTACATTTTCCACTTACCTTAAGATCTCTATGAATTAATTTTTTTGAATGTATATAATCCACCCCTTTTGTTATTTGTTCAAAGAGTTCCAAAGCCAAAACTTTGTCTAGTTTCTCGCCTCTTCTTTTTTCAATCCATTGTTCCAAGGTCCCTTTATCACAGAATTCCATTTGGATGAAAAGGCACTTAGTCTTTGACCTGGGTATAAAATTCACAGTATGTTAAAAGTAACAATAAATATAAATTTATAAAAAATTTTTTATAACTTTTTAAAGTTTTTCATAACTTTTTAAAAGCTTATACCTTATCTTCTTAAGAACCCCAAAAACACTTTGGGAGGCCGAGGCGGGCGGATCACGAGGTCAGGAGATCGA
The DNA here is from genome assembly GCF_000001405.40 of Homo sapiens. NCBI lineage: Eukaryota > Metazoa > Chordata > Mammalia > Primates > Hominidae > Homo > Homo sapiens. The sequence continues at coordinate 37,120,316 of NC_000002.12, forward strand.
GACCACGGTGAAACCCCGTCTCTACTAAAAATACAAAAAATTAGCCAGGCGTGGTGGCGGGCGCCTGTAGTCCCAGCTACTCCGGGGAGGCTGAGGCAAGAGAATGGCGTGAACCCGGTAGGCGGAGCTTGCAGTGAGCCGAGATCACGCCACTGCACTCCAGCCTGGGTGACAGAGCGAGATTCCGTCTCACAAAAAAAAAAAAAAAAAGAAAAAAAAAGAACCCCAAAACATGTCACAAAATAGAAATCTAAATATAATAAACAAATTTGAATCAAAATATAATAGGCCATTTTTTATTTCAATCATAAGTTCCCGGATGTCCAGAGCTTTATTTGTTTAGCTAATTTATAAAATATGAGCTGGGCTGGGCACGGTGGCTCACGCCTATAATCCTAGCACCTTGGGAGGCCGAGACTGGCGGATTGCTTGAGCTCAGGAGTTTGAGACCAGCCTGGGCAGCATGGCGAAACCCCATCTCTACTAAAAACACAAAAATTAGCTGGGTGTGGTGGCGCGGCACCTGTAGTCTCAGCTACTCGGGAGGATGAGGCACGAGAATCATTTGAACCCAGAAGGCAGAGATTGCAGTAAGCTGAGATCACGCCATTGTGCTCCCGCATGAGCGATAGAGTAAGACTCTGTCTCAAAAAAAAAAAAAGAAGAGGCCGGGCGCGGTGGCTCACGCATGTAATCCCAGCACTTTGGGAGGCCGAGGCGGGTGGATCACGAGGTCAGGAGATCAAGACCATCCTGGCTAACACGGTGAAATCCCGTCTCTACTAAAAATACAAAAAATTAGCCGGGCGTGGTGGCGGGCGCCTGTAGTCCCAGCTACTCAGGAGACTGAGGCAGGAGAATACTGTGAATCCGGGAGGCAGAGCTTGCAGTGAGCCAAGATTGCACCACTGCACTCCAGCCTGTGCGACAGTGCGAGACACCGTCTCAAAAAAAAAAAAAAAAAAAAAAACGAGAAGAAAAAAAAAATGAGCCACCCATTCTTCATTGCTGAAGATCTGCAATCACCATTGCTAACAGATAGAAATAGGAACATGAATACAATGCAGGAAACTAAATTTCATTATTATATAAAGTAACTTTGAAACCTTTTAATTCACCATTGATCTACTAAGCATGAAAGGCACCTAGAGATGAGAAAATCAGTTAGACACTATATCCTTGCCGTCACGGGGATAATAGTCTAATAGGAGAGAGTAAAGGGAAAGCAAACCTAAAACAATAGGGAAGGTACTCTAAGAGAAGTGCCAACAAATTACTAAGATACATAAATTGGAGGCTTGATTTTTTTTTTTTTTTTTTTTGCTAACCACGTTTTATTTTTTTTCTGAATTAAGTTAGCCTCAATATTCATTTATATTCTTTGTATATATGTCAGCTTGAAAACAGGAAGAGGTAGCCAAGAATTTGCTGAAAGCTGAAGTCCTGTATGCTGACGGTCAATAACTCCTGAACTGATGATAATGTTCTCACTTACACGACATGGAGATGGAGGTGGGGCAGGAGAAAATGAATGAATGGGACCCCATTGGCCTCAGGATTTTAGTGAGAGGACTGTCCCCATAATAGGTTGGGTGACTTTCAAAGACAGATGCCAGCTCTTTAGGATCTCCAGTTGTTTGGCAATGGCTTAACTGACATAAAACATGAGGGTGCCCCCATCTCAGCTTGTGGTCTTAAAAATATTTTCACTCCCCACCACCCCAGCATAAGTGGTATAGTTACATTCCAAAGAGACCCTCTGACGGCACCACACCAATCACAGCCTAAGAGAGGGACAGAAAAGTGTTGGTAGCTGAGGAGGGAGCCCCCAGATGCAGCATCTATATGTTAAAACTCTCTTCACAAGACTACACTTAAACAGCCTGCGCTGAAGCCGGCACGTGAACAAGGCTCTCCATGAAACAATGGAGTCAGGAAAGCTGAACCTGAGATTTTGCAGACAGCTGAGGATGTAACAGAGGGTTGTGAGAGCAAGTCTGCAGCAAGAGGAGGAGCAAGGAAGAGATTTTCACTTTCTCCTTACCTTCGGAATGGAGAGATAACAGTGTCTCTCAGAGGGAATTGTGATAATTAATCGTGATGATTAATAGCCTTATCCAGTGGCCCATACATAGTAAATAACAATTTCCTTCCATCCTATTATGGCTATGAGAATTTATTTTTAGTTACCTTGAACTATTTTTGCTGTTCTCAGGATCATAATCACTGCTCTCAAGAGAATCATCACTGGTCTCAGGATCATAATCAAATCCATCCCAACAGCCATTGTAGTGAACAATATTTACATGATCAAGTTTTGCCAATGCTTTTACTTCACGCTCCGCCTTCCTAGTTAAAAGGAACAGGGAACATGGCAGTGTCAGTGTACATCCCTCATAACAACCACAAAACACCTCATGTAATAGACAACTGTCTACATTCCCTTATTAAACCATTGCTGTGGTTCTCACATAGTTTTAGAATGGAAGCCAGGACATTCAAAAGGAAAAAGTGAACATACTGAAAAAAAACATAGCAGTTCTCACTCTCAAGATAAAATAAAAGGCAGTGGCCGGGCGCGGTGGCTCAGGCCTGTAATCCCAGCACTTTGGGAGGCGAAGGTGGGCGGATCACGAGGTCAGGAGTTCAAGACCAGCCTGACCAACATGGTGAAACCCCATCTCTACTAAAAATACAAAAAATTTAGCTGGGCACAGTGGCGCATGTCTGTAATCCCAGCTACTTGGGAGGCTGAGGCAGGAGAATCGCTTGAATCCAGGAGGCGGAGGTTGCAGTGAGCCAAGATTGCACCACTGCACTCCAGCCTGGGCAAAAGAGCAAGACTCTGTCTCAAAAAATAAATAAATAAAAGGCAGCGACTTAATGCCAAGCATCAGACAATTTAAAAATCATCTGTAGTACTCTTGAAATGCCAGTGATGTCATTTTAATTAATTTATTTATTTTATTGAGACAGAGTCTTGCTCTGTCACCCAGGTTGGAGTGCAGTGGCACAATCTTGGCTCATTGCAGCCTCAACCTTCTAGCCTCAAACAATTCTCCCACCTCAGTCTCCTGAGTAGCTGGGACCACAGGAGCACACCACCACACCCATCTAATTTTTTCTATTTTCTGTAGAGATGGGGTTTTGCCACGCTGCCCATGCTGGTCTCAAACTCCTGGGATCTAGCAATCCACCTGCCTCAGCCTCCCAAAGTGCTGGGATTGCAAGCATGAGCCAATGGACCCAGCCAGTGCAATTTTTCATAGCTAAATCATACATTATGTTTTGCTTAGATTTGTGTTAAAATCTTTGTATTTCACAAGCAAACCACATTTAGGCAGCAAGGCTAGGTAACCCAGGCAGTGTGAAGTACCTAATTCAGGATTTTCAATGTGTGGCAAATATACACAAAGAGGATAACTTATGCAGAGAAGGTGAAATGGTGGAAGGCTTTACAGGGATGTGTTGCCAAGACCTAAGAAAATTCCATGCTAAGTGCAGTAAATAAATTGGAGATTTCAAAGATGAGGAAGAATAATCATTTTACAATTTTATTTTTTAATGCAAGAAGTTTTAAAGTATATGACACAAATTTGCAAAAATAAAAAAAATTACTGATACTTTGACAATCCTAAAATAATGTTATTTTAGATTCTTCCTTTTTTTTTTGAGACAGGGTCTCACTCTGTCACCCAGGCTGGAGTGCAGTGGCAATGTTGGCTCACTGCAACCTCCACCCCTAGGGCTCAAGCGATCCTCCTACCTCAGCCTCCCTAGTAGCTAGGACCACAGGCACACACCACCACACTTGGCTAGTTTTTATATTTTTTGTAGAGACAGGGTTTCTCCATGTTGCCCAGGTTGGTCTCGCACTCCTGACCTCAAGTGATCCACCAGCCTTGGCCTCTCAAAGTGGTAGGATTACAGGCCTGAGCCACTGCACCCAGCCAGTCATTTTTTTTGAGAAGAGTCTTGCTTTGTCGCCCAGGCTGGAGTGCAATGGCGCGATCTTGGCTCACTGCAACCTCCGCCTCCTGGGTTCAAGCGATTCTCCTGCCTCAGCCTCCCAAGTAGCTGGGACTACAGGCGTACGCTGCCATGCCCAGCTAATTTTTGTATTTTTAGTAGAGACAGAGTTTCACCATGTTGGCCAGATGGCCTCAGTCTCTTGACCTCGTGATCTGCCTGTCTTGGCCTCCCAAAGTGCTGGGATTACAGGCGTGAGCCACCATGCCTGGCCCAGCCAGTCATTTTTAATGGCTGCAAAACAGCCATCGATCAGGGGACAGAACAAAATATATATACTCATTTCTTTACTGCTGGATATTTTGTTTGTTCTAACTTTTTACTGTTAATGAATGACACTGTGATTTATATCTTCTTGGATATAAATCCATAATTTGAATAACATTCTTTTTTTTTTTTTGGAGATAGGGTCTCACTCTGTCACCCAGGCTGTAGTGCAGTGGTGTGACCATGGCTCACTGCAGCCTCCACCTACTGGGCTCAAATGGTCCTCCCACCTCAGCTTCTGAAGTAGCTGAGACTACAGGCGTGGCTACCACACCGGCCTAATTACTGTATTTTTTGTAGAGGTGGAGTTTTGCCATGTTGCCCCAGGCTAGTCTCAAACTCCTGGGCTCAAGTGATCCACTCACCTCAGCCTCCCTAAATAGTATTCTTTTTATTATTTTTATTTTTATTTTTTTTTGAGAGGGAGTTTCGCTTTTGTTGCCCAGGCTGGAGTGCAATGGCATGATCTGGGCTCACCACAAGCTCCGCCTCCCGGGTTCAAGCAATTCTTCTGACTCAGCCTCTCGAGAAGCTGAGATTACAGGCATGCGCCATCACACCCAGCTAATTTTGTATTTTCAGTAGAGAGGGGTTTCTCCATGTTGGTGAGGCTGGTCTCGAACTCCTGACCTCAGGTGATCCGCCTGCCACGGCCTCCCAAAGTGCTGGGATTACAGGCGTGAGCCACCACACCCAGTCCCTAAATAATATTCTTAGAACTCATCCCCTAGAATGACAAATTACGGGGTAGGGCCTATTTGGCCTCCCCTTGAATCTAAGCTGGCTTCAGTGACTTGTTTAACCAATATAACTTGATGGTAGTGACGTTCTGGAACTCCTCAGATTAGGTCAAAAGAAGCCTTGCCACTCACTCCTGATCTTTTGGATGACTTGTTCTGGGGACAATCCTTCTTGAAACCCAGCCACCAAGTTGTAAGAAGCCCAATCCCCATAGGGAGGCCATGTGGAGGTATTCTGATTGACAGTCCCAGCTGAACTTCCAGCCCACAGCCGGTGTCAACTGCTAGCCAGCTTGGATATCCAGCCTAAGATAGGCTGTAGTCAAGGTTTCAGATGACTACTGACTGCAAATCCCTCTGAGACCCCAAGTGAGAATTGTCCAGATGAGCACAATCAACCCATGGAACCATTAGAGACAACAATAAATTGCTGTTTTTAAGCACTGCATTTTGGAGCAGTGCCTTATACAATAACAGACAACCAGAGAACAATTACCATCTAGCTTTTATCTTAGACAAAATCACTTCACATCTCTGGATCTTAGTTTCCTCATCTATAAAATAAGAAGGTAAGACTAGAACATCTCAAAGATCACCTATTTTGTGGGTAATGATAGGTTCTATCTGGTGCCACGGTTTTTAAAATACGGAGCATTTCATGAATTTGCATGTCACTTTAAAGCAAATGACTCTATAGCTTCAGTTCTGAAGATAGCACCAAAAGGATGATCAATGGTATATCCATTTTTATTGAAATAACCACAGTAAAGTGAGATCATCTCGGAGTAAGCCAAACTCCTCTTGGTAGAATGAAATGTTTAATGAGGATCAGAAAGAAATAAATGATACCCTAATAAAGAAGAGAGAAGCATAAAAAAGAATAGTGCAGATTCAGCGTACCTTGCCATTCAAAAAAATGTAAACATTTACTACTTACTCGTTATTATATTTAACACGTTTAATAACGTAAGTCTTTCCGTCAATTCTGTGTTTTGCTTTGAAAACTTGGCCAAATCCACCTGAGCCAATTAATTCTATTTCTTTAAAATCCATGCCAAACCTTAAAGATAAAAACCACTGTTATTTTGACATTTCATGCTCAACCCCCACCCCCCCGCCTCCCCACTCCTTTCCCTTTAATGTCACTTGTGAAATGGACAATAAAACAAATTTGATTCTCTCCTTCTGAATAAGAAAGATCCACTTGGCAGAAACTCTTGACTCACAAAGAGTAGTCCTCTCACTCCTCCCAGGGCAAGTCTAACGTAACATATCACCCCAGGCAGTCACAGTCAACTCCTGGCTTTTCAAAAGTCATGATAAGTCCAGGTGCCATGGCTCATGCCCGTAATACCAGCACTTCAGGAGGCCAAGGCAGGTGGATCACCTGAAGTCAGGAGTTCAAGACCAGCCTGGCCAACATGGTGAAACCCCGTCTCTACTAAAAATACAAAAATTAGCCAGGTGTGGTGGCGAGTGCCTGTAATCCCAGCTACTTGGAAGGCTGAGGCAGGAGAATTGCTTGAATCTGGGAGGCAGAGGTTGCAGTGAGCCAAGATCACACCACTGCACTCCAGCCTGGGCGACAAGAATGAAACTCCATCTCAAAAAAACAGAAAAAAAAAAAAAAAAAAAAAAAAAAAAAAAAAGCCATGATAAAAATCCTATCACAAATACAAAATGTTCAAAGGAACTGCTATATTGTGCTCCACAGCTACTATCATCAAGCTTTTATAAGAGAAATGGGCATACGCTCTAAGCCTGCCTAGGTTTCTACTTGGTTTTCTCTTCTCCCTCAAGCTTCGTGTTCCATCATTAAGACCTGTCAATTCTACCTCCAAAACACATTGCTGGTATCCACCCGCTTTCCTCTGCCTCCAACATCTTCACCCCAGTCCATGCTTCCATTAGGCCATAGCAGTACCTCGTTAACTGGATCCCCACTTCCTCTCTTCCCCCACTCCAATCTATGATCCATGCAGCAACCAGAGGGATGAAAACTGAGTCTGGCCATGTCTCTCTGTTGCTGAAACCCTCCAACAGCCAACCTTTGCATTCCACAAAAACAAAAAGCCCTTAAATGGCCTATAAGGTGCCAAATGAGGAGGCCCCTGCCTCCCTCAGCATCCTCATCTCATGGCACTGTGCCCCTCCTCATTGCACTCAAAGCACACACTCTTCTGTCTGTTCTCGAACTTTCACATCACCTTTTCCATCTTTACCTTCTCATACGCCCTTCCTTCCACCTAGCACCCACTGCTCTGTGCCCACTCATCCATCAGGCCTCCCCACAACTGTGACCCCAGAGAAACCTCGCCTCACCCCTGCTTCCATTTCTCTCCATGCCATTGCTTTCCTTTCACAGCTCTGACCATAGTTTGTTCCTGCAATTTTTTTTTTTTTTTTTTTGAGACAGAGTCTCGTTCTGTCACCCAGGCTGGAATACAGTGGTGCGATCTCCGCTCACTGCAACCTCCACCCTCCAGGTTCAAGCGATTCTCCTGCCTCAGCCTCCAAAGTAGCTGAGACTACAGGTGCATGCCACGACACCTGCTAATTTTTGTATTTTTAGTACAGATGGGGTTTCACCATGTTGGCCAGGCTGGTCTCGAACTCCTGACCTCAAGTGATCCATCCGCCTCAGCCTCCCAAAGTGCTGGGATAACAGGCATGAGCCACTGTGCTTGGCCTGTTCATGTAATTATTTATTTAAAGTCGGTCATCCCCATGAAACTCCATGACAACAGGGACCATTTTATTTGTTCCTACCATAAACCTGATGCCCAGCACAGTGCCAATTCTATATTGGGTGCTTAATAAACTTTTGATTCCGTATTGTTTTTTAAAGTTTTATATTGAATGACCCGCCCCACTGATGCAAACAGGTCTCCATCGTTTCAGACATTTCATTTTAAATCCAAACATATTGTCTACAGCAGAGTAGACTTTTTTTCAAGTGAAATCTGATATGGAGCTAGAAAGTAGAAAACAGATACAAGTGGATCAATTCTAATTCCCACAGAAGTATTTTTTTTAATCACTGATTTACAGGAGTACTTGTTTTCAATATTAATAACTTGTATAGATGTCAGAGAAATCCACATAAGCATCACAAAGATCTACAATTACCACATTCCATTTGGATCTGTCTAGATATTACTTCTCCAAGAGACATGATCAATCGTGCGCCGGATAGTGCAATGTCAATTAAACTGTTCGGGTGGAAGTATAATTTAGCCTTATAATGGGCCCTCAAGAAACTTCTGTTGAATGAACAACACATCTTTAAACAAATTCTATTTCACAGTTCCATCTTTGACAGAACAGGAGCATTACCATCTTGGACAAGCACCACTACTTTAAGTTCCCCTTGATTATAATAACTCCATAATAAAGCCCCTATACAAAATCCAGTGGCCAATGATGCAGTCCCCCATAGAGGCCCAGATGGGACTTGCCAACAGGGAGACAATGGCATCAGGTGAAGAGACCACATGATTACCTGTCTCCTCACGGGCATGGACAAAAATGCCCATAAGGCAGTTAATTATGAAAAGCTCAGAGAAATTACACAAGAGCACCAGTAAAACCCTGCCCTTTTCTTATCACACCTCACTGAAGCTATGCTAAAATATACCAATTTGGACCCAGAATCTAGAGAAGGTCAAACTTTTCTCTACCTCCAATTTATTTCCCAATCCACCCCAGATATTCGGAAAAAATTACAAAAATTAGAGGAGGGCCCCCAGACATCTTGGTGGGAGCTCCTAAATGCGACCTTCCATGTCTTTAACAACAGAGATGAGGAACAAAAAATTCAAGAGGACAAACATCTCCATTTAAAATACCAGATGCTTGCCTCTGCTGTCCAAAAGTCAGTTATACGAAAGCCTCCTAATAACCCAAAGGGAAACTCCCCCACCTCTCCAGGAGTCTGTTTTCAATAAGGCAACCCTGGACACTGGGAAAAGGCTTGTCCTATCCCCTGGCCTCCCACCAAACCATGCCCAACTTGCAGTCTTTGGGGACACTGGACGATGGAATGCCCTCAACAGGGACACCTTCCCCATTCGGGTACCACTCATAATGAAGCCCCCCAAACATTACAGGAGGAAATCTCTTCACTGTTGGTGCTGACAACGGAAGACTGAGGGTACCCGGCATCCTTCGCCCCCACATCTAGTGAGTCCACAAAACCCAGGTTAATTGGGACGGTATCTGGTAAGATTATTTCCTTTCTTTTGGATACTGGGGCAAGTCTACTGGCATTAACTGAATACCAAGGCCCATTAGAATGTTCATTTGTTTCTGTTGATGGAATGAAGGGCATACAAGAAACCCCATACAAAACACTGCCTCTATATTGCTCATTTCAGGGAGTCACCCTCACTCACTCTTTCTTGGTCATTCCTCATTCCCCCACTCCTTTACTAGGAAGGGACATCCTACACAAACGGGGACGAATCATTCATTTATCAACCCTACACCAAAGCTACCCCTATTTATTATCATCTCAAGAACAGAACCCTTCCTCAGACATTCCATATCAAACAGACTTAAATCCCAAATTCCTCAGCCCTGTAAATCCCATAGTATGGAACACTGACTCCCCCATGTTAGCTACCCACCATTCTCCAATTCAAATTTCAATGAAGGATCCTAAATGTCAAATAGTGGTCCCACAATATCCCCTAATGGACTATGGGGACTCAAGTCCATCATCTCCCAACTTTTGGCTGCCAATATTTTATTTTATTTTATTTTTTTGAGATGGAGTCTTGCTCTTGTCACCCAGGCTGGAGCTCAATGGCGCAATCTTGGCTCACTGCAACTCCTGCCTCCCAGATTCAAGTAATTCTCCTGCCTCAGCCTCTTGAGTAGCTGGGACTATAGGTGTGTGCCACCATGCCCAACTAATTTTTGTATTTTTAGTAGAGATGGGGTTTCCCCATGTTGGCCTAGACTGGTCTTGAACTCCTGACCTCAGGTGATCCACCCGCCTTGGCCTCCCAAAGTGCTCGGATTACAGGCGTGAGGCACCGACCTGGCCTGGCTGCCAATATTTTAATCCCCACCCATTCTCCCCACAATACTCCTATTCTCCCAATTACAAAACCAGATGGCTCCTATAGACTGGTTCAGGATTTGCAACAAATAACTCCACTACTGTTCTGTTTGTCCTGTTGTCCCAAACCCCTATATCCTCATATTGCAAATTCTTCCCAATACTAGCTATTTCTCTGCATTAGACCTCAAAGATGCCTTTTATATTATCCCTCTATCTTCCTCCTCTCAAAACCTTTTTGCTTTTACTTGGACTGACGCTGACACAGGCTACTCCCAACAACTCACCTGGACTGTCTTCCCCCAGGGGTTTAGGGACAGCCCTCACTATTTCGGTCAGGCACTTTGATTGGACCTTTCCCAACTACCTCTACAACCCAGTGTTTTGCTTCAATATGTGGACAATTTACTTCTTTGCAGCCCCTCTCTAGAACACTGTATTCAACACACAGCCAGGCTTTTAAATTTTTTGGCTGAATGTGGGTACCAGATATCCAAAAGGAAGACCCAATTTAACCTCTCCAAACGTTTCATAGCTAGGATTAATCATAACTCCAAATACCAGGGAAATTCCACTAGCATGAAAGCAAGGCATTTAACAAGTCCCATTTCCTAAGACAAAAAGGGACTTATTTTCTTTCCTCAAATTAGTGGGATATTTCTGATTATAGATAGCAAATTTTGCCACTATCACTAAACCTCTTTATGAACACACAAGAGGAAATCTTGATCAACCACTCACTCCTACCCCAGACCTTTATCATGCTTTCTGTCACCTAAAATGTGCCTTATTACAGGCCCCCACTTTAGGCCTTCCAAACCCCCTAAGACCTTTTCATCTATATTTACACAGTTCTCATAATCAGGCCCTTGGACTATTAGCCCAATCCATGGGAGATTCCCTCCAACCAGTGGCATATTCTTCAAAACAACTAGACCCCATTTACAAAACCTGGCCCCTTTGCTTAAAAATTTTGTCCACAGCCTCTTTAATTATCCCTGAGGCACAAACTCACATTCTATGAACCTCTTCAGGTGTTTTCTTCTCACAGTCTATAAGATATGCTCAGCCATAAGGCGCTCACCTCCATCTCATCCTCTCACATGCAAGCCCTACATTCAACCCTCCATCTCTCTTCACAGATGCTCACTCCTAATCCTGCTACTCTTTTATCTTCAACACTGATTTTGGACCCTGACCAACACTCATGCTCTGATCTAATTGAAAGTTCTCTTGCCGTGTTTTACCACCTTACTTCCACTCACATAAAGGGAGCCCCAGATTGATTTATAGATGGCAGCGCATCAAAAAACCCTCCCCGCCAAGCAGGATATGCAGTCACTGAGAGATATTGTGATGATACCCACTGTCTTCCACCTAGAAGAGTTGTAGAGGCTGCCCCCTTGCCTTTGGGCACATCCTCCCAACAAGCAGAATTAGTTGCCCTAATGAAAGCATTAACCCTAGCAAAAAACACACAAGTTAATATATACCACCAATTCTAAATATGTTTATAACATCAACCATTCCAATGCCCAAATTTGGAGCAAGTGGGGCTATCTCACAGCTAAGGGAACTCCTATCATTAATGGAAAACTAATCCATTGTCTACTAAAGGCAGCTCTACTTCCAAAAAAGGCTGCAGTTACCCATTGCAAAGGACTTCAATCAGATAAAAGCCACATTTCTTTAGGGAACCGTGAGGCTGACTATTGGGCAAAACACACCTCAACCAACCATCCAATTCTCTAGTATCTATTTCCCCTCACACAACATATCCCCTTTTATCCCAAACACCAAATACAACAACTACTCACAGCGGGGGCACAATTCAAACTCCCATACTGTCATACAAAACAAATTAGTCCTACCTGACCCTGAAAAAACAACTCTTGGCCAGGTGCGGTAGTCACGCCTGTAATCCCAACACTTTGGGAGGCTGAGGCGGGCGGATCACGAGGTCAGGAGTTTGAGACCAGCCTGATCAACATGGTGAAACCCTGTCTCTACTAAAAATACAAAATTAGCCAGCCATGGTGGTGCGTGCCTGTAATCCCAGCTACTCAGGAGGCTGAGGCAGGAGAATCGCTTGAACCCCAGAGGCAGAGATTGCAGTGAGCTGAGATCGTGCCACTGCACTCCAGCCTGGGTGACAGAGCAAGAATCTGTCTCAAAAAACAAACAAACAAAAAACAACTCTGTTATGGGACATCCACAACCTCTTGCACACTAGCCATTCCCCTCTACAACATTTCTTAAGTTCCCACATACACATAACCCCAGATATAAAGGAACAGTTGAAAGCCATTTTCCATCAATGCTCTATTTGCCAGAAAGCTTCACCCCATTCCAACACTGGACTCCCTTCTTTTCCAACCCATCAAGCCAGGGGACACCTTCCAAGACAAGACTGGGAAATTGATTTTACCCATATGCCCCCAGTAAAAAAGGTTCGATTTCTTTTGGTTCTGGTTGATACCTTTTCGGCATGGGTTGAGGCTTTTCCGAAAACCAACAAATGAGCTTCGACTGTCACCTCCAAATTAATAACAGAAATCATCCCCAGGTTCAGGGTGCCTCCTTCTTTTCAATCTGATAATGGTCCTGAATTCATTTCTCAAATTACTCAAACACTTGCACAAGCCCTACGAATCACCTGGAAGCTACACATCCCCTATCAACCCCAGTCTTCAGGAAAGGTTGAAAAAATGAATGGCATTCTAAAAATCACCCGCACCAGGTACTCACTCCAAACACATAAAGACTGGGTTACACTTCTAGCTTTGGCCCTCCTAAAAATTCGGGCACTCTCACGTAAACCTTTAATGCTCATCCCCTTTGAACTCATGTATGGGAGTTTTGAGCATAAGTATTTGAACTCATGCTCCTTTTGTTCCACCTCAGGGTCAAGCCCCACCTCTAACAACCCCTCTCATTTCTCCTCTTCTGCATATCATCTGCCATTTCATTTGGGAATATGCTGACAAAATACAACTCCTTTAATCCCTTCCTACAGTCAGGAAACTGGGTTCTGGTAAAAGGTCCCAGCCCTACCCCCAATTCCCCCCTCACACCAAAATGGAAGGGGCCTTACCAGATCTTCCTCACTACACCCACAGCAGCAAAGCTCCAGGGACTCCCCAGCTGGTTTCATTATACTTCTCTCAAGAACACAGACTTCCCTTCACTACACATCCAAACAATCAAATCTAAACCACCTTCAGCCTCTCTTGTGTCTCCACAGGATCCACTTCCCTTCATCTCACATGAATGCCGGAGGAAAAGGAAGAGAAATTCACCTAAGCAGCTATGTCTCTTTCTCTCCCAAACTTTCATTGCTTCCTAACTAGCCTTGTTACAGACCTTCAGTGGTATCCTTATGAAACTCTCATTATACATCCTGATCAGCTCCTTACTATTCCACGGGATTTATGGCTTCAAGGAACCTTCCAGGACTTTATTCCTACCCAAACTTTTTCCTCCTTTTGTTGTTTCTTTCTATCTAAATTCCCTAATCACATCAACCTCACCGATACAACCACTCCTCACTGCTATCAAACTAGAACGTTCTATAAACCTTACACAACCCCTCTTGCTGCAAGCTAACTCTTCCTTTGCTCCAGAATGCTGGATGTGTTTATCGCTGTCTTCTTCAGCTTATACATCCCTTCCTACACCCCTTCATGACCTTTTAACAGAAAACGTAACCCTAATCTATAAACTCCAAAAAGGAGCTTCCTTTTTTGAAAGAGCTGACAGTCTGGTTGGCGATTATCCCACTTCCAAGGTCAATCAGGCCAACACATTATTTCAAACCTATTACAACTCCCTACAACGCCTTAAGCCACAAGGCCCTCCCATTGAAGGGCCCATAATTAAACACACCCCACTTTTACAACAAGCCTCACTTTGCTTTTCAGCCTCTGAGGGAAATTTCCGTGTAAGATCCTTAAACCTAACCAATGCAACCGCATTATCATTGTTAAACACCCTGCTGACCATCAAACTAACCGAGTTGACTACCAAGTATCACCTGAAACGAATGGAGCATTTCTGCAACCTGTTCGTTTTGCAGCCTCTCCCTCAACCAATGCCTCTGGCCTAATTTGTGCTGCCCCTAGCGCCCACCTTTATCCATGGCTCAACATCAATGCAATGGTGCAACATCAAATCGTATTAAATGTGTAAAAAATAACTCTTCCTATATCGCTACTATAGTGGGTGTCTCCTTGACCTCCTCCTTGACCACCTGGAGTAATGAACCATAGGAAAGAAAAAACACCCATCTTTAATTCACTTGTTTTCTTTCTGTATCTCCAACTGTATTTATGACAAAGGCTTATTTTTTGTGTGAGTGGCACCAACACATATCTTTGTCTCCCCACTAACTGGACTGGAACCTGTACCCTAGTTTATCTTTCTCCCTCCATTGGACTAATTCCTCCTAGCCAACCTTTGCCCATTCCATCCATCCAATACGTTAGGAAGAGGAGGGCCATCCACGTCATTCCTTTAATGGCTGCCTTGGATATAACCTCCAGACTTGGATTGGGAGCAGGCAGATTGGCCACTCCCTTAACATACTTTAAAGCTCTTTCCACAGAATTACAGGGTTCTTTAGAAGATATAGCCTGAAGCATTATAAGAGTCCAAGACAAACTAGACTCCTCGGCTGGAGTAGTCCTCCAAAACAGATGGGGACTAGATCTAATAATGGCTGAAAAAAGGGACCTCTGCCTCTCATTGGGTGAGGAATGTTGCTTTTATCTCAACCAATTGGGCCTAGTAAGAAACGCTGATGAAAAACTTAAAGAAAGGGCTAAAAAGCTAAGGGAGTATCAAAACAACCAACTAGATTCTTGGTTTGGGAACAAAATCATAATATGGGTCATCCCATTCCTGGGCCCCCTCTTAATGATAAGCCTAAGACTATTGTTCTTACCCTGCGTAGTTAATCTTATTCAAATATTTTTAACTGACAGGATCATGGCCATTTCACAGACAACTACCAAAAACATCCACCGACAGCATTACCCCTTCTTCTTTCTTCAGCACTTAAAATCTTACCTCTTGTCCACAGTATACTTTGTTTCTTTCATGTCAGGAAGGTCAAATCTGGGTGCCAAAGATCTAAAAATTAAGAGTTGAATGTAAAACTCAAATAAAATTGAAATCAAATATAACTTATTTAGTGTTAATGTTAACCTTTTTCTTTCTTTTTTTTTCTTCAGAGGCAAGGTCTCACCCCATCTCCCAGCCTGGAGTGCAGTGGTGTGATCATAGCTCACTACAACTTTGAAATTCTGGGCTCAGAGGAGATCCTCCCACCTCAGCCTCCCAGGTAGCTGGGATTACAGGCATGTGCCACCATACCTGGCTAATTCTTTTTATTTTTAGTAGAGACAGGGTCTCTTCATGTTACCCAGTCTGGTCTCGAACTCCTGGACCCAAGCCATCCTCCCACCTTGGCCTCCCAAAGTGCTGGGGATCACAGGCGCAAGCCACAGCACCCAGCCAACTTTTTTCTTTATAAAACTATATACTTACCGTTCTCCTCTGGCCTCTAATACTTTTTCATCCCTCCTCTGGTTCCTTTTTCCACCTTAGAGTGCTCATTGTTGATGCGTCACTAACCTCTCCTTTTCCTCCTCCAGACTCAAAACCTCAGGAAGTACATCTCCTTACACCCTCATCCTAGCTGTTATTCCTTACTGATGATAAGCCACCTGCAAATGGAAGTTTAAATACCACCTAAAACTAAACATATCCAAACTGCTGTCTTCTCTCTAAGCCCT
Organism: Homo sapiens; assembly: GCF_000001405.40. NCBI lineage: Eukaryota > Metazoa > Chordata > Mammalia > Primates > Hominidae > Homo > Homo sapiens. The sequence continues at coordinate 37,136,212 of NC_000002.12, forward strand.
TAACTCCTTAACTTCCTTAACACCATTAGTGCCATGGTTCTTGACTGCATCCTGTTCAAAGTGAAGCAATCTTCAAATCCTTTCTCCTTTACCTCTCCTTCATGCTTTCACTCAGCTACGGGGAACCTATTCCCTCAAGTCATGTCCACTCTTCCTTTACAGTCTTTCTCACACATTCTCCTCATCCCTCCTGACTGCCACAGTAATCGTGGCTGAGGGCACCTCATGTGCAGAACTCTCTTCTCTCCATCCAAGCATCCACATCAAGAACCATGTTTCTTCAATACATCTATCTACTGCTCAGAATATACTGGTGGCTCATAATGGCTCCTACTGCCATCTTACTGTCATTTCTGACTATATTTACATCTTTGCCTTTCTCTTCAGTTAATTGACATAGCATTTGACCTTTTTTTAATCCAAGTTTTTATGCTATTTTAACCTTACTTGTCTGCAAAATAATACACTTCTCTTGAAAACACTTCTACAGTGAAAACAGCCCAATTCCTTGCCAGTCTTGTACAAAATAATGCCCTTAACCTAATTACTCTAGCGATACCCCCAAAGTGCTTTATGTTTACAGTGTAGCATGTGCACATAGTCAAAGATTTCTCGACACATCTAAAATTATTTGTTTATAGATTTCAAGCTTTCTGCTTCTGAAACTCTGCTCAAATAAGGGTGTACAATACTCTACAAGTATTAAGAACAATAAATAAGTCTGAAATAAAACTTCAGATCAAAATATGTTCAATGCATAATGATACTCACCTTTTTGCCTTCCTTTGATTATTTCTGAGACCATTCTATAACAAAAGAAAATGAGAAATAGTTTCAGATGACTAAATCAGTCATCTTCCTTTCCCGTTTTCCTTCCTCCTGTATATCTAGATGGCTCTCTGACCAATTTCTTAGTCCATCAATGTCTGTACTCTCATCAAGCCCTGTATCAACACTTAGTATTGTAAGACTTAACTTTTTGCCAATCTAATGAGTTTAAAATAGTATCTAATTGTTTTGATTTAAATTTTCCTGATTCCTAGTAAAGCAGCTTTTAATATTTGTTGCCCATTTGGGTATCTCTTCTCTGAATATCTGTTTATACATTTTGTACACTTTTCTACTGAGCTGCTTGCCATTTTCTTATTGATTTGTAGTTCTTTATAACAGAATACTCTTGTAACACTAATCACCAAAAGCATGGATTTTGCTCTAAGTTCAACATTGCCTGCTTATGTGCACAAAAAAATTGTCTGGTTTTTGTTTGTTTGTTTGTTTTTGCGATGAGGGTCTCACTATGTTGCCTAGGCTGGTCTCAAACTCCTGGGCTAAAGCGATCCTCCTACCTTGGCCTCTCAAGTGCTGCAGGCTACAGGCATGTGCCACTGCACCAGCCTAAAAAATTATCTGATTTCAAGTTTACTTTTAAGTTTAATTCTAATTTTTAAAAACAGAAACGAACTATATTAGTGAATCTTTAAATATTATCCCATTGGTAGGAGAGAAAAGCAAAATCATAGGAATATACTAAAATATAAGGATGAGTGAGGAAAGACAGAAGTGACGTGTGGAAGGGTAAGGAATGGAACTTAATTTTAAAAAAAGTCAAAAAGCTGCCGAGCCGGGCGCGGTGGCTCATGCCTGTAATCCCAGCACTTGGGGAGGCCGAGGTGGGCAGAACACGAGGTCAGGAGTTCGAGACCAGCCTGAACAACATGGTGAAACCCCGTCTCTACTAAAAGTACAAAAATTAGCCAGGTGTGGTACACGCGCATGTAATCCCAGCTACTCAGGAGGCTGAGGCAGGAGAATCGCTTGAACCAGGAGGTGGAGGTGGTAATTAGCCAAGATCTCACCACTGCACTCCAGCCTGGGCAACAGAGGGAGACTCCATCTCAAAAAAAAAAAAAAAAAAAGTCTACTGAGGTATTATCATTTAGTAAGAGTGCATAAGATAAAAAATATAAAAATTATGGTGGAATACTGGAAGTTATTTTTAAATGAGGAAACGCACAGAAAAATAAGATTAAGTAGGAAGCTTCGAGACTAATACGATACCATAAGCAACGAAGAACTGTTTAAACTGTCACTGTTAGAATTTATCTCTGATGTATCTGCTGAGAAGTCACCTTCAGATGATGATTCAGAAGCGCTAGAAGAAAAGGGTGTAACTATTAGTTTATTAATTCTGTTTTTATCACTTATTTCTTTCCCTAAATTCTCCTTAAACATAAAAATCTGTCTTTCAGACAGAAATATGAATATGTTAAGTATCTCAATTGTTTGTCTACACTTACAGTGTGCTGGTCACTAAAGAGTTGCTTTGGGACTCACACGTAGTAGCAAAAGAACCAGAGGACAGGTAGTCAGATTTCTGAAAGAAAAAGTATCCCTTAGTAGGCTTAAATACAACTAATTATTTCTCTACAGAGGCTCAGTTTCTATGTACTATCACATTTATTTCAACACATTTACCAAATCCACAACCATAAACAATTACAAGATTAATAACATTTTTTGGATGTTTGGTCTGGATTTTATTTTATTTTTTATTTTACTTTTCTGGATCACAGGGCAGATATTTTGTTTGTTTCTTTCTTTTCAGACAGGATCTGGCTCTGTTGTCTAGGTTGAAGTGCAGTGGCACAATCTTGGCTCACTGCAACCTCCATCTCCCAGGCTCAGGCAATCCTCCCGCCTCAGCCTCCTGAGTAGCTAGGACTACAGGTACATGCCACCACACCCGTCTAATTTTTTTTTTTTTTTGTAGCGACATGGTTTTGCTGTGTTGCCCCGGCCAGGTGGTCTGAAACTCCTGAGTTCGGCCAGGTGCAGTGGCTCAAGCCTGTAAACCCCAGCACTTTAGGAGGCTGAGGTGGGTGGATCATGAGGTCAGGAGTTCAAGACCAGCCTGGCCAACATAGTGAAACCCCATCTCTACTAAAAATAAAAAATTAGCCGGGCACGGTAGCAGGCGCTTGTAGTCCCAGCTACTCAGTAGGCTGAGGCAGGAGAATTGCTTGAACATGGGAGGCGGAGGTTGCAGTGAGCCGAGATCGTGCCACTGCACTCTAGCCTGGGCAACAGAGCGAGATTCCATCTCAAAAAAAAAAAAAAAAAAACTCCTGAACTCAGGAGATCCACCTGCCTTGGCCTCCCAAAGTGCTGGGATTACAGGTGTGAGCCACCACACCCAGCCCAGCCTGGAGTTTAAAAACTACCCTGAGTTGCCACCAGAAATTTTATCCCTCTGAGGCCTCATGGCCCCATGGTGCATGGCTCATCGGTACGACACAGAATGGAGGAATCATTTTGCTAAATCACTGGCTGTCTTGGCATAATGTTAACACAGTCTAACCTCAAGTCAACTTCAGAGGGAATTTTAAAACATAAAAATTTAATCCAAAGGCAATACGTACCACTGAGGTTTCTTCTGATAATATCTGAAGATATGCAAGTTTAGCGGCCAATTGTTTTGCTTCCTGTTTAGTAGAACCTGTACCAATACTATATTCTTTCTGTCCCATTTTGCATTTATAATGAAATCTAGGAGAAATCATAGAAGGTACTTATCCAAACATGAAAAATATAGCAAATCCAACTTAGGATTCAAAAAAAATAACATATTAACAGAGATCTTAAGATAACACCAATTTATTAGATAGATTTATAGTTCATATCTTGCATAATTTAAACCCTCAGTAACATGCCTGACCAATTTCTCTGAATACCCAGGATCAGCTGACATCTGAGCTTGCATTTTCCAGGCAATTTCTAATTTTTTGTTGCTTTGCTGAAAGATCTGGCACAAAGGCACTAAGTGGTGATTTTTTTTTTTTAATTCCCCAAAGGTCAAAAGATACGGAGGTAGAAAAGAAAGAAAGAGATCCAGTGAATTTTTTCAGAGGTGCTCAAATGGGAAGGAAAAAGCCAGCAGAGAAAGTAGGCTTCCACAGGAGAAGCTATGAGGTTATAGTGTAGGGGAAGAGCAAAGCATGGATTCTGCTCTAACTTCACCATTGTCTGCCATCTGCTCATGTGCACAAAAATTTGAGAAAATCCCCACAGTGCAGATTCCCTATACTAAAGTCCACACTCTCCTCCTATTAGATGTAAGGACATTTGTGGTTAGGCAAGGATACTTGGACAATTATATAATAACTATTTTTAAGGGATAAAACAATGGACATGGCAATTTATATCACAGGGTTACTATCTATTACTGAAAAATGATTCCAGTATTTGAACTCCTTTTGCTTTATGTTTCTGTTGGAAGCCATCGAGAGAAACACATCCAAACAGGGTGAGTCTTCCCCGCTAGACCCTGAATTAAATAGCTGGGTTGAGTGACTGGATCATTTCTATAGCTCCTATTTTTTTCAGATACTGCCCCCCCCCGCAAACAGATTTCTTCTTTCTTTTAGGTATCTAATGTTAGCATAATTTAAAGAAACCAAAAAAGTGAGCTACAGAAAATAAAATCATCTCTTAATTATTGAGATTGACTCACAGATTCACTTTTGACTATTTCATTCCAATGAATACTATAACATTTTTCTCTTCCTGGTTTTGGCTCAAAAGCCATGACTGTAAATAGCTGAGTCAATTCATAGAAGTGTATCCTAAAGTGATGATTTAAACTATTTGCCATGTAGATATTTTTTTTCTTCTTTCTCTTTAACTGGTTGGTTGTAGTTGAAAAACAATTGCCTCATACTCATTTGATTTCTGCTTTTTTCAGTTCCAATCCATTCTTTATCCTATTTCCACACATCTTAGCTCACTGGTGATGTTCTCAGTAACTTTGAAACTCTAGTTCATCTGTCTCATCAGATCCCTCAAATCCCGGTCTCCTCATAGTCTAGGGCTAAAGCTCATTCCTTCTGATACATGGTATTTGTTCATTTAATCAAATTTGAAGGACAAATACCTGGACAAAGAGCTCCCTGATCTGACAAGGGTGAAGAGTGATTCTATACATGTGGCAGAGAGGTTTTCAGACAGTTACCACCATCATGTCCTCAATGATGAAAAGATTTCTGTATTCTTCGAGCAGTGGCACCCTGTACTCTCTTGGGTGTTCCACAGACTAAACCATCCAGCTACTTCTCTGAAATAAAGGATTACCCTAATTTGATCAATTATGGTAAATGGGTTCCATGGCTTCAGCAATTAAGCATTTTAATTACAAATTATAAATCCAATTACTTATCAATCATGTAAAACCTTGCATACAGAATGCTTAAAAGGACACATATTTCTGGAAAATTAGACACGAAAATAAACCAACTTTATTGCTTAAATACAATGAAACAGAAAGAAAAGCCAAATTATGTCTTACCCTTCTGGCCCATGCACCCCCGATGCACACTGTTCATAATTTACAGTTAGTCTTTTCTTCTGGGCAATTCTATTGATAAGGCCTATGTAATTCCCCATGGATAATCCTTCTGAAGAATTCGTTGTTGTCAATAATAAAGGACTAACTGCCTACAAAGAAAAAAAATTCCTGTTTAATATAAATGACAACAAAGATTTAACCTTTTAAAAATCATTCTTCTAATAAAATTACTAAATGAGCAATTTGAAAGACAACTTGGATGTTATATATTTTCCTATTATATTACCTTGAGCAAAAGTGTGACTACGTATCTCCCTCTACCAGAAAAAAATCGACGAAGATAGATTTTAACAATAGGAAAGAAGTCACTTTTTCTTGTTTGTCCTTGGAAAGTACTATAACACTTTCTAGCTTGTTATACCCTTTCTAATCTCAAAAAACAAGGCAAGAGATATTACAGTAAAGCTGTATACTGGATCATAACTTAATGAAAAAGATGAATATAATAGCATCATTTCTACTATTATTATCTCTACCTTTTTTTCTTAGTCCGACAAAAATCTTGTCCAAAGTTTTGATATTTTTTTAATTTTTTTCAGACAGGGTGTCACTTTGTCACCCAGGCTAGAGTGCAGTGGTGCAACCTCAGCTCACTGCAGCCTTGACCTCCTGGGTTCAAACCATCTTCCTGTCTCAGCCTCACAAGCACCTGGAACTACAGGCACACACCACCATGCCTGGGTAATTTTTTTGTATTTTTTGTAGAGACAGCGTTTGGCCATATTGCCCAGGCTGTTCTCGAACTCCTAAGCTCAAGTTATCTGCCCGCCTCAGCCTTCCAAAATGCTAGGATTAGAGGTGTGAGCCACCACACCCGGCTGAGTTTTGCTATTTTATTAATCTTGTCAAAAAACTAGCTTTTGGTTTTATTGATCTTTTTTTTTTATTTTTTATTTCTTTTATAGTAATTTCAACCATTGTTATTTTCTTTCTTCTGCTTTTTGGGGGTAAAACATTCTGTTTTTTGTTTTTTCTAACTTCTTGACTCAATTTTCTACCTCATTAATAATTATACTTTGCACTTTTGCTTGAGTTAAAAAAAAATTGGTTAGAAGGGTATCTTTAAGTAGATTTTTCAAGAAAGAACCTTGAAACCTAAATTTTCCCAACATTTTCCAAATCTGAGAATGGCCCTCTGGTGTCTAAAATGTAAATGACTTCATGTTTCATTTTATAAGCATTGCTACACTATCTCCTGGTTTATAATGTTGCTGTGCACAGCATGAAATTTTAAAAATTTTTACATTTTACATAGTTTTCCTCTTCTCTCTAGATGCTTATAAAATTCTTTCCTCATCTCTGGAGCACAGTACTTTCATAAGAATCAATGTTGGGGCCGGGCGCGGTGGCTCACACCTGTAATCCCAGCACTTTGGGAGACCAAAGCGAGTGGATCACGAGGTCAGGAGTTAAACACCAGCCTGGCCAACATAGTGAAACCCTGTCTCTACTAAAAATATCAAAAAATTAGCTGGCCGTGGTGGTGGGTGCCTGTAATCTCAGCTACTCAGGAGGCTGAGGCAGAGAATTGCTTGAACATGGGAGGCGGAGGTTGCAGTGAGATTGTGCCACTGCACTCCAGCCTGGACAACAGAGCGAGACTCTGTCTCAAAAAAAAAAAAAAAAAAGAATCAATGTTGGTCTGGGTGGTTCTAAATTTTCCTGTATCTATTAAGTTGTTTTAATCTGCAGTCAAGTCTTTCTTTATTTCATAAACATTGTCTGCTGAAATCTCTTCAGATCATTTTCTTCTGCACTATTTACTCTGTTCTTATTTTCCGGGATACCAGTCACATGTATATTGGTTCTCCATTACCTGCTCTCTGTAAACACTTGGCTCGCTATATCCACGGGTTTCAAATCCCTGGATTCAACCAATCATGGATCAAAAATATTTGGAAAAAAAATGATGGTTGCATCTGTACTAAATATATGCAGATTTTTTTTCTTGTATTATTCCCTAAACAATACAGCATAACAACTACTTATAGCTGGGTGTGGTGGCTCATGCCTGCAATCCTAGCACTTTGGGAGGCTGAGGTGGGCAGATTGCTTGAGTCCAGGAGTTCAAGACCAGCCTGGGCAACATAGTGAGACTCCATCGCTACAAAAAATGCAAAAATTGGCCAGGTGTGGTGGCTCGTGCCTGTAGTCCCAGCCAGTTGGGATGCTAAGGTGGGAGGATCACCTGAGCCTGGGGAGATTGAGGCTGCAGTGACCCTTGATCATGCCACTGCACTCCAGCCTGGGTGACAGAGTACGACCCTGTCTCAAAAAACGACAACAACAACAACAAAAAAACTATTTACATAGCATTTACATTGTATTAGAGATATTATAAGTAATCTAGAGATGATCTAAAGGATAATCATGTACTACATAATCACATTTTGGTCAACAATGGACTGCATATATGACAGTGGTCCCATAAGATTATAATGGAGCTAAAAAATTACTGTCATCTAATGAGGTCATAGCCACTGTAATGGCTAAATTTCATATTTTTAGTACAGACAGCATTTCGCCATATTGCCCAGGATAATTTTAAACTCCTGGGTTACAGCACAATGCATTACTCACACATTTGTGGTGACACTACTGTAAACAAATCTACTGTTCTACAGTCTTATAAAAAAGTCTAGCACACACAATTATGTATAGTACATAATACTGGATAATGATAAGTAACTTACTGGTTTATATATTTACTATACTTTTTTTATCATTATTTTAGAAGTTACTCCTTCTACTTAAAAAAAAAAAAGTAAACTGTAAAACAGCCTCAGGCAGGTCCTTCGGTAGGTAATCCAAAAGAAGGAATTGCTACAATAGGAGATGACACCTCCATGTATGTTATTGCTCCTGAACACTTTCCAGAGGGACAAAATCTGGAGGTGGAAGATGGTGATGTAGATGATCCTGACGCTGTGTAGGCCTAGGCTGATGTGTGTGTTTGTGTTGTAATTTTTTTTCTTTCTTTTTTTTTTTTGAGACAGGGTCTTGCTCTGTTGCCCAGGCTGGAGTGCAGTCAGAAGATCACAGCTCACTGCAGCCCTGACCTCTCAGGCACGTGATCCTCCCGCCTAGCCTCCTGAGTAGCTGGAACTACAGGCACATGCCACCAAGCCCGGCTAATGTTTTGTGTTTTTAGTACAGACAGGGTTTCACCATGTTGCCTAGGCTAATCTCAAACTCCCAAATTCAAGTGATCCACCTACCTTGACCTACCAAAGTGCTGGGACTACAGGCATGAACCACCACACCCAGCCTTTGTTTTGTTTTGTTTTGTTTTGAGACAGGGTCTCACTCTGTCACCCAGGCTGGAGTACAGTGGCACAATCATGGCTCCTCGACATCCCAGGCATGAACCGCTATGCCCAACCATGATTTAATTTTTTACAACAAAGTTTAAAAGTTAAAAAAAAAAGTTTAAAATTTTAAAAATAGAAAAAAGCTTATAGAATAAACATGTAAAGAAACAAAATATTTTTGTACAGCCATACTATGTGTTTGTTTGTGGTTTTGTGGGTTTTTTTTTTTTTTTTTTTGAGACAGAGTCTTGCCTTGTCGCCCAGGCTGGAATGTAGTGGCACGATCTCGGCTCACTGCAACCTCCGCTTCCTGAGTTCAAGCAATTCTCCTGCCTCAGCCTCCCAAGTAGCCGGAATTATAGGTGCCCACCACCATGCCCGGCTAATTTTTGTATTTTCAGTAGAGACAGGGTTTCACCGTGTTGGCCAGGCTGATCTTAAACTCCTGACCTCAGGTGATCTGCCTGCCTTGGCCTCCCAAAGTGCCAGGATTACAGGCATGAGCCACCGCGCCTGGCCGCGTTTGTGTTTTAGGCTAAGTGTTATTTGGAAAGAGTGAAAATGTTAAAAATAAGAAGTTTATAAAGTAAAAGAGTTATAGTAAGCTAAGGTTAATTTATTATTGAAGAAAAAAAATTTAAATAAAATGAATGTTGCTTATGTATACAGTGTTTATAAAGTCTACAGTGGTAAACAATAATGCCCTAGGCCTTCACATTCATTCACCACCCACTTGCTGACAAACTCAGGGCAACTTCCAGTCCTGCAAGCTCTATTTATGCATGGTATGTGCCTTATATGGGTGTACTTTTGCTTGTCTTTTTTTTTTTTTTTTTTTTTTTTTTTTTTTTTTTTTTTGAGATAGGATCCCCAGGCTGGAGTGCAGTGGCACAACCTCAGCTCACTGCAACCTCCTTCTCCCGGGTTCAAGCAATTCTCCTACCTCAGCCTCCCAAGTAGCTGGGATTACAGGCGTCCACCACCACGCCCAGCTAATTTTTTGTATTTTTAGTAGAGACAGGGTTTCACCATGTTGGCCAGGCTGGTTTTCAACTCCTGACCTCAGGTGATCCACCCGCCTCAGCTTCCCAAAGTGCTAGGATTACAGGTGTGAGCCACCAAGCCCAGCCTTTTGTCTTTTATACTGTATTTTTACCGTACTTTTTCTGTGTTTAGATATGTTTAGATACATGAATACTAAACATTGTGTTACAATTGGCTACAGTATTCAGTACAATAATATGCTGTATAGGTTCGTAGTCTAGGAGCAATAAGCTATACTACACAGCCTAGGTGTGTACTGGTTGTACCATTCAGGATTGTGTAAGTACCTCTATGATGTTTGCCCAATGAGGAAATTGCCCAAAGGTGCATTTCTCACAATGTATTCTCCTTGTTAAGCAATGCATAACTGTATATGGGAAGATGTAAATAGGTTATATGTAAATACTATGCCATTTTATATAAAGGACTTGAGCATCAGTGAATTTTGGCATCCACAGGGAGTCCTGGTACCAATTCCCCACAGAGAGTGAGTGACCACTGTACATTATTCTCCCTACAATCACTTTCATCTCTTTTTCCTTTTTTACTGTACTTCCTCATTTAGGTGGAGGGGACTCCTCCCAGAACCTGTCAGCTCATTTCCCACTGAACACTTCTCACCTTTCCATATTTGTTCAACTTTAGAGTATTTAACTGCTGCTGACACTCTAAATAACTATTATCCAGCTTTGCCCATGGTGTCCTAGGTGTGGCTCTCACTCAGGGTTTCATAGAAATGAAGATAGGGTGAATGACTTAACCAAACTCTTGAATGTAAGGGAACGTGTGAATGGCTTTACTCTGTATGAAAGTATTTTCTCACAGAGAGAAACAGAAAATGTATTTGCAAGTTCCCATTTATTAGGAAAAAAGGCAATCACTCACCTTCTTTTCCTTATTAAGTATCTCAACAGCTAATTTGGCTGCGGCATTTTTTGCTTCCTTCTTTGATCTACCTTCACCTTCTGGAAATTCTCTTCCATCTATTATAACTTGAAATGTAAACCTGATTACAAAGAGAATATTCATAAAATATTATACAACTCATGCACTATCTAAAAACAAGTACTCTAGTCATCACTACCTCCTATGACTACCTTTGAGGGTTTGAACCTACATTCAATATAGCATTTAAGCAGTCACCTCAAACAGTAAAGCAGCATGTCTTGTTGAAGCATGGAAAGGTTTCTACCCTCTTTTCTCTCTGGAGTCAACTGTGGCTCCACCATGGTTCCCACTTTATGCCAAGAGCACTCTCACAAAACTAAAGTGTTGACCTCAAAGTTGTGCCAGAGTTGCCATTCCCCCAGCTTACATTTATAAGGTCATATCTTTTTTCTTTTTTTTTTAATTTTATTATTATTATACTTTAAGTTTTAGGGTACATGTGCACAACGTGCAGGTTACATATGTATACATGTGCCATGTTGGTGTGCTGCACCCATTAACTCGTCATTTAGCATTAGGTATATCTCCTAATGCTATCCCTCCCCCCTCCCCCCACCCCACAACAGTCCCTGGTGTGTGATGTTCCCCTTCCTGTGTCCATGTGTTCTCATTGCTCAGTTCTCACCTATGAGTGAGAACATGCGGTGTTTGGTTTTTTTGTCCTTGCGATAGTTTGCTGAGAATAATGGTTTCCAGCTTCATCCATGTCCCTACAAAGGACATGAACTCATCATTTTTTATGGCTGCCATATCATTTTTTATAGCAACCTACCTCCTATCATGTGGAGGTCCTGAATTAGGCAGTTCTTGATATTTAAGTACTACTCCCTGCTTCTGACGGTATGTATTAAGTTCCTCCATGAAGAAACCTGCTGAAAGATCACCAGCCATTTCTTCTTCCCGTATCCTACAATGGAAGAGACATTTGAATGAGTGATGCTCACAGAACATATTTAATCTGAGTTTCCCAATGCAGTTTAGGAGACAGAGGGGTTGGGGAGACTCCCCTTTATAGGACTCATCTCAGTCTCACATAAATGCAGAGACTTTCTTTCAAAACCGTTCTTTCTTTCTCATTCACTGCACAATAAAGTTAATTTCTCCAAAATTTTCTACTTTAAAAACTCAACTTGGCCAGGTGTGGTGGCTCACGCCTATAATCCCAGCCAAGGTGGGCGGATCACCTGAGCTCAGGAGTTCGAGACCAGCCTGGGCAACATGGCGAAACCCCATCTCAATTTTGAAATTGTTTTAAAAAATAAAGGAAAGAAAAAAAACTCAACTGGTCAGTGAAAGGGGGTCCTTCTCTTTAACTCTGCTCTGTGCTTCCACTGAGTATCAACTACATGTTTGCCTACCTGCTTAAAAAAGTAAAAAGGCTGCAGGATTGTAGAATGTTTTATGTTGAGAAGAAAAAGATTTAGAGTATATATAATAAGTGAAGTGGAGTGGTAGCATGGGGACAGGCTGGGAAATGAACGGGCAGGCAAGTGTGCCTGTGTGGACGTGGATCCTGCCGGAAGCCAGGCGGAGGAGAGCTCAAGCTAAGGGTGATCAGCCCGTGACCTAGATCTCTAGACAAAATAAAACAAGGAAAATATGCTAGAATCAACAATGATGGATCGATAGTTGCAGTCCAGCTTCGTACTACAAATGAGTGCCATAAAACCTACTATACTTGTCACACAGGTTTTAAGATGTTGCAAGAATTGTCATCAAATGACATGCTTTTACTTCAACTTAGAACTGGAAGGACACTTTCTAGGAACAATACAATTTGCTTTCATCACATAAAAATTTATATTGACAGATTTGAGGATTTACAGAAGTCGTGTTGTGACCCATTTAACATACACAAAAAACTAGCCCCCCAGAATTTGCATGTAATTGACTTAGATGATGCCACTTTTCTGAGTGCAAAATTCGGAAGACCGCTTGTACCTGGTTGGAAGCTTTGTCCAAAATGCACGCAGATAATCACGGAAGTGTGGATGTTGATTCTGAAGACCGCCAGAGAAGCAAACCTGAGTCAGATGGAAGAACTGCTAAAGTTTTGAGGTCATTACAATTTACAAATCCAGGAAGGCAAACTGAATTTGCTCCAGAAACTGGTAAAAGAGAAAAAAGAAGGCTTAAAAAAATGCAACCGCTGGTTCAGACAGACGAGTGATACCAGCGAAGACTAAGGTCTATGATAGCCAGGGTCTCCTGATTTTTATTGGGATGGACCTCGATGCCTCGATGAAGATTGTTTAGGATGTTTCTATGCTTGTCGTGCCTGTGGTTCTACCAAGTGTGGAGCTGAATGCCACTGTGACCGCAAGTCACAAAGTATGAGCAAACTGAAATTGAAGGAGGAGAAATAATTCATTATAAACATGCTGGATAATCTGTGGTATCAAACTATGGGGCCTTTAAAGGTCTTTATTTCTAAAATTCGGTTACTCTAAGATACATTTTAAGCTTGATTGTCAAATGACAAAGATTTTAAAAGCACCTCAATGTGCACGAATTTTTCATCTTGGGTGCTTTAAGATTCACTATTTGATATAAATTCAGATAGCCTATTTCTCAGTAGTCAGCATTAAGCCTGCCTGGACCAATATAAACATGTAGGGTGTAGGCAGGTCCTCAATGTGCACGGTTCCCATGGCACAAATTTCAGTGACCTAGATTTAGTTTAAATACCAGTTTCCTTACCAGGAAGGAAAGGAAACTGGTAAGGAAACTGGTGTTGTTTAAACCTAGGTTAAAATTTTAGGTAGCACAGTATAACTCTGAGTAATTACAGGAAGTACAAACTTCTCTGCTAGTTCTTCAGTCTACAAATCACGATGTAAATAACAGATATGCTTCATGATCAGTGACCAGTCGTGTTACTTGTTTCAAATTCTTCCAGTGGTTGGTCCCTGTGCATCTGTTAATCAGTTCACTCACAGCAGAGCACGTAGTTACACTGTCTCTTTGTCCTCCACCTGACATTTTATAGAAGTGAACAATCGAAAGAACTGGCCAACAAAGATGAAAGTCCAACAAAGCAACGAAAAATGATAACACTGGAAGTGAAATTTGAATCAAACATAAATGGATTTGTAGAAGAAGTCACTGATCATGGGAATGTTCTTCCTGCTGTGCATTCATAGGAGCTTAGTGAAGGCAAACTTATCAACACAAATAAGAAAAGTGATTGCAATAAAGATAAATATGTCCCAGAGGAAGTGACGGTAAAAAAAAAAAAAAAACAAACTTCACACTAAAGAGCATTTAATGTGAATACAGAAATACTTCACAACATTGAAAGCACAAGCAATAAAAGGCTGGAAGCTCACCCAAACTTAAAAGGAGTATGACAGTTTGCCATGAATAGAAAAGATGCTTACTCAGTATCATAAGTCACTTGGCAGAAAAAAAAGGCAATCCCTATTCAAACTACTTAGTTTTCACAATGAAATAAAACACTTTAATTCTATTTTTAATGTTTTAAATTACAGTGTACTAAATATTTTTAAATTTTTTTTGCATTTTTTTCTACATTTATAACTGACCTTAAGAGTTTTAATATTTTAGCAGAATTTTAAAGGTCATGGAACAATCATCATTTTCCCCATTGATTATTAAGATTGCTTTGCATGGCCATTTTTATGGTCCCACAGTACCATGCAAAATGAGGACCGCTTGTAGCCGGGAACAACACAATGCTTGCTTCAGGGAAAACTGATTTACACAGAAGTGACTAGTTGAGTGGTAAACTATTTTGGAAATAATCTACATATCTAAGTGCTGAAATATATTTCTCTTCTCCCCACGTATTCTTCAAATAAAAAAGTTTTAATACTTTAAAAAAGTGAAGTGTATGAAATCATGAAGGATTTAACTGTATGGATATAGATTTCTCTATGAAATCCCAAAAATCTCCCCTCTGAATTTTGCAGAAATCAATTTTAGGACAATTTAACCACTGAGTAAATTAAGACCTCTGTTTATAGGTCTCACTGGACCAAGTCTATAGCAATGATTTAAATTATAAACAAAATTTAGAGGATATAAAATATAAATGTACAAGCGAAAACTATAAAACTCTTAGAAGAAAATATGGGGGAGATCTTCATGACTTTGGATTTGGTGATAAAATTTTAGCTATGACAGCAAGAGCACAAGCAACAAAAGAAAACAGAGATAAATTGGGCTTCATCAAAATTTAAAACGTTTGTGTATCAAAGGACACTATGAAGAAAATAAAATGACAATCTACAGAATAGAATATTTACAAATCATATATCTGATGAGGGTCTAGTAACCAGATATATAAAGAATTCTTACAGCTCAACAACAAAAAGACAAACCACCCAATTAAAAAAATAGGCAAAGGGGCTTGAACAGACATCTCTCCAAAGAAAATATGTAAATCGCCAATAAGCACATGAAAAGATACTCAACATCATGAGTCATTAAAGAAATGGAATTCAAAACCACAACTAAATACAATTTCACACCCACTAGTATGGCAATAATAATAATAATCAGGAAATAATAAAAAATAAGTGTTGGTGAGGACATGGAGAAACTGGACCCCTCAAACACTGCTGATAAGAATGTAAAACAATACGGTTGCTGGGGTTCCTCTAGAAGGTAAACTTTGAATTATCATAAAACTCAGCAATTCCATTCCTAGATATTTCAAAGAATTGGAAAACAGGTTTCCAAACAAAGACTTAGACAGGAATGTACATAGCAGCACTGTTAACAATAGCCAAAAGGTGGAAACAAACCAAGTGTCCATCAACGGATAAATGGTGAACAAAATGTGAAATATATCTACACAGCGGAATATTATTCAGTCACAAAAAAAATGAAGTACTGATACATGCTACAACATGGATAGGCCAGGCGCCGTGGCTCATGCCTGTACTCCCAACACTCTGGGAGGCCGAGGCGGGCGGATCACGAGGTCAGGAGATCGAGACCACGGTGAAACCTCGTCTCCACTAAAAATACAAAAAATTAGCCGGGCGCGGTGGCGCGCGCCTGTAGTCCCAGCTACTCGCGAGGCTGAGGCAGGAGAATGGCGTGAACCCGGCAGGCGGAGCTTGCAGTGAGCTGAGATCGCGCCACTGCACTCCAGCCTGCGCGACAGAGCGAAGACTCCATCTCAAAAAACAACAACCACAACAACAAAAACATGGATAAACCTCAAAAACATTATGCAAAATGAAAAATCCAGACATAAAATTTCACACATATTGTATGATTCCCATTTATATGAAACTTCCAGAATCGGTAAATCCATAAAGGCAGAAATCAGATCCTGTAAACCTCTTAATTCTTCTTGGAAAGCTCTTTTGATCTTCTTTCTTCCAGGGCCACTCTTTCTGTTTTTTGTTTTTGAGACAGGGCCTCACTCTGTTGCCCAGGCTGGAGTGCAGTAACATGATCTCAGCTCACTGCAGCATCTGCCTCCCAGGTTCAAGCAATTTTCCTGCCACAGCCTCTCAAGTAGCTGGGACTATGGGACTACAGGTGCCCACCACCACGCCCAGCTAATTTTTGTATTTTTGAGGTTTCCCGGTGTTGGCCAGGCTGGTCTCCAACTCCTGAACTCCAGTGATCCACCAGCCTCAGCCTCCCAAAGTGCTGGGATTACAGGTGTGGGCCACCACGCCTGGCCGGGCCACTCTTTTTAACACACCTTAATCTTTGTAGCTCTAAATGCTGGCATGGCCCAACAATCCTCTTCTCTTCACTCTATACTTTCTCCTTAAGGTGATTTCTTTCACGTCCATGATTTCAGTGATCATCTATACGCCATTACCTCTAAAGTTTACATATTCCTTATGAACCGCTCTGAGTTTCAGATCTCTCTATCCAAATTCTCCACTTGAACATCTTGAACGAACTTTAAACTCAAAATATCCTGTACTGCATGTATGATCTTCTCCCAAGCTGGTTTGAAGTTTCCTTTCACAGGAAATGAGTCCACCATCTATCCAAGTCTGAAAGCCATCAATCTGGGAGGCATCCTTGACATTTCCTCTCCCTGCCTTCTAATCTATAACTAAGTCCTGTCACCAAAATCTTTCTACTTCTCAAAGATGTCTACACTTACCATCCTAGTTCAAGCCAACACCACCTCATTCCTGGATTGCTGTGAGAATCTCAGAACCAGTTCCGACAGCTACTTCAATTCCTTCTCTACCCTGCAACCATTGTGATTTTTTTTTTTATGTTTTAAAATTGTGATAAAATACACATAACATGAAATGTACTATTTTTCAATGTATTAATTCCCTGCCTTTAAGTACATTCACAATGTTGTGTAGCCGCCACCACATCCACATCCACAACTCTTAATCTTTCCAAACAGAAAGTGTGTACCCATTAAACAGTAACTCCCCATTTCCCAGTCCTTTCAGTCTCTGCTAATCTTTTTTTTTTTTTTTTTTTTTGAGACAGGGTCTCGCTCTGTTGCCCAGGCTGGAGTGCAGTGGTGTGATCACAGCTTACTGCAGCCTTGAACTCTGGGCTCAAGCGATCCTCCCACCTCAGCCTCCCGAGTAGCTGGGACCATAGGCGTGGGCATGCCTGGTTAATTTTTTATATTTTCTAATCTCTCTTCTGTCTCTGTAAATTTGCCTGTTCTAGGTACCTCATATAAGTGGAATCAAACAGTATTTGTCCTTTTGTGTCTGGTTATTTCACTTAGCAAAATGTCTTCAAGGTTCATCTATGTTGTAGCATATGTCAGAATTCCTTTCCTTTTTAAGGCTGAATAATATTCCGTTGTGTATATATACCATATTTTGTTCATGCATTCATTTATGAATGGACACTGGTTATTTCAACCTTTTGGCCATCTTGAATCATGCTGCTGTGAACACTGGTATACATATATCTGTTTAAGTCCCTACTTCTGAATATTTGTGGTATATAAGTGGAATTGAATCACATGATAATTCTGTTTAACTTTGTGATGAATCACCAAATTGTTTTCCACAGTGGTTACACCCATGTTACATTTCCACCAGCAATGCACGAGGGTTCTAATTTCTCCACATCCTCACCATCACTTGTTATTATCTGTTTTCTTTTTTAATACAGCCACATCATGATCTTTTTAAAACATCAATTCAGTGGCCAGGCGCGGTGGCTCACACCTGTAATCCCAGCACTTTGGGAGGCCAAGGCGGGCAGATCACCTGAGGTCGGGACTTCAAGACCAGCCTGACCAACATGGAGAAACCCCATCTCTACTAAAAATACAAAATTAGCCGGGGTGGTGGCACATGCCTGTAATCCCAGCTACTCGGGATGCTGAGGAAGGAGAATCGCTTGAACCCAGGAGGTGGAGGTTGCGGTGAGCTGAGATCGTGCCATTGCACTCCAGCCTGGGCAACAAGAGCGAAACTCCGTCTCAAAAAAAAAAACAAAAACAAAACAAACAAACAAAAAAACATCAATTCAATCATGCAGTCTCCACAAGCCACTGAAATTGTTTTTGTCGAGGTTACCAATGGCTTCCCTATCACTAAATCCAGTAGTCAGTTCTTAGTCCTTCTCTACTTGACTTACAACCAGCATTTGATGGGGTTGCGCATCCTCTTCGCCCTCCTCTCCCTGTCTTAGCTTGGACTTTTAAGACACCCACTCTCCTAGTTTTCTTCTTTTGAGACAGAGTTTCGCTCTTGTTGCCCAGGCTGGAGTGTGATGGTGGCATCTCGGCTCGCTGCAACCTCTGCCTCCCGGGTTCAAGCGATTCTCCTGCCTCAGCATTCCGAGTAGCTGGGATTACAGGCGCCCACCACCACGCCCGGCTAATTTTTTATATTTTTAGTAGAGACGGGGTTTCCCCATGTTGGCCAGGCTGGTCTCAAACTCCTGACCTCAGGTGATCCACCCACCTTGGCCTCCCAAAGTGCTGCGATTACAGGCATGAGCCATGGCACCTGGGCCTGGTTTTCTTCTGTTCTGACAAGCTACTCCTTTTCTGTCTCCTTTCCTGGTTCATCTTCAACTTCTTTTCTTCTATTTTTTTTTTTTTAACCTTTTCTATGGTTCTAACTTCCTCTTTTCTAGATATTCTAGCATCACTGGGCCCGGTCCTTAGACTTGCTCTTTTCTACTTGGACTCACTCCCCTGGTGATCACCTCCAGGTTTGTGGCTTTAAATTCCACGGACACAATGATGGTTCTCAAAAGCACGCTTCCACCATGGACTCTCTCCTGAACTCCCAACTGCCTCTGTCCAACCTGCTCCCTCCTAAAATGCCCTTGACTCTATTCCTTCTGCTGTCTTGGCCTGGTCAATTTCTACTTCCTACAGATTTCAGCTCAAAATCCCAGACACTCCTTCACAGGCTCTTCCACAGTGCTCATCCCCTTTATTAAAATTGCTTATTTAACTATTTTCCAAAATAGAGCATGAATTACTACAGGTAAGGGACCAGGCTCAATAATGAATGAGTGAGTACCAAAATATCTCCAGATACCCCATCCAGGACTTGTCACCTGCTTTTCTCTACATTTATAGTGCAATATCTGCATTCTCTCTGTACCCACCAATATCCACTCATCTATCAGGATCAACACAGCCTTCTTTGATGCTGGAGGGTCAGCTAGTATGGGCTTGCCACTCCACCTTGCCCAACCTTCAACACAGCCCTGACTGCTTTTTAAACTAATTAGTGAGCTCTTTGGGGAGCAGATTCTACATCTTATTCACTCATCTGGAAGAAACCTCCATCATAATCACTAAAAAATAATATTTGTCCATCTTACTAATGCCCAGAAATTATTTTGGCTATGCCTCCACTTCCTTTCCAGCAGACTACATACAGCCTGGCCAACACGGTGAAACCCTGTCTCTACTAAAAATAAAAAAATTAGTTGGCTGTGCTGGCGGGCACCTGTAGTCCCAGCTACCTGGGAGGCTGAGGAAGGAAAATCGCTTGAACCTGAGAGGCAGAGGTTGCAGTGAGCCCAGATCGTGCCACTGCATTCCAGCCTGGCGACAGAGTGAGAATCTGTCTCAAAAAAAAAAAAAAAGAAAAGAAAAGAAAGAAAATGTCACCAGGTGATAACTACTATGTTGACAACCGAAGTAGTGGAAGGGGGAACAGCAAGGGCAGAGCGGGGTTTCTTGTATAGGCAGGTTGTTTGAGGAAGGCTGCTCTGATAAGCTGGCATGGGAAGCAGTGCAGGATAAGGGAGGGATTTCCCCATGCAGTTATCTGGGGAAGAAGCTTTCCAGAAAGAAGAAACAAGCAGTGCAAAGGCCTAGAGGCTGGAGGATGCTTGGCTGTGCACCAGGAACAGCAAGGAAGCCAGCGTGGCCGGAGTAGGGGGTGCGAGGGGCCTTGCCTGTGAGCCTTAATAAATGTTTATAGGATTCTGATGAGACAGGAAAGCTACGGGGAAGGTCGGAGCAGGGGAGAGTCTGGTTCTTACTTAAAGGAACATTCCAGATGCTGAGGTGTGGAGAAGAGGTAGGGGGTGGAGGTTCAGGGGTGAGGATACGGAGTGGGAACAGGAACTGCGGCCAGGCAATTGGGAAACTACTGCAACTCTCCACGGAAGAGATTTTTAGCCAAAGATTGTTCAGCCAGTCTATGAGTATTTCAGGCCTCCGTATTTTCCATGTGTCAAGCCACTAGGCCTATTCGTCTTCCACTAGACCCCGCCCCACAACTGCTGCCTGGGAAATATTTGTTACTTGCACTGATAAAAATTCTTCACGGGAAGGAAATGGCTTTCAGTCCCCACCCCGCTCCACGATCCTTTCCCTGGATTTGGGGAGGGCCCCACACCCGGGCTGCGGACCTGGGCCTGCTCTCCCAGTGCTGACCCAGCCGGGGCCAGGGGCTTCGGATCAGCGTCCGCGTCCTGAGCTGGGGACGCAGGATTGGCGAGTCCCGCCCCGGCTGGGCCTGCAGCCCCTCGTACGTGGCCCCCCGGCCCCCGCTCCCCGCGCTCCCTCGGCTGCCCCCTGCCCTGCTCACCTGCGCCGCCGCCGCCGCCGCCGCCGCCGCCGGCCGGAGACCCGCGGCTTCGGGAGAGCTGGTTCTCAGTTTCGTTTTCCCCTTGGACTCCGCCTTCCCTGCAGCCGCCCGGCCCCCTCTCGCACAAGCCCTCGTCTGCTACGGGATTGGGGTAAATTGGCGCTGGATCCAGAGTGCGCGCGAGAGGCACTGGCGGGCGGGCTTGGCACCGGCGGGCGGGCTTGGCACCGGCAGGCGGGCTTGGCACCCACGTGCTGCCCCTGCACGGCCAGGACCCTGCACCCCCATCCCCCGCCCCCGGGGCTCCTAGGGTTCTCCGCTGGCCTAGTCCGCTGGCCGCACTAGGTTCTCGAATCAAGGGTTCCACTTACTCTCAACACAAATATTTGGGGTGGGGTTGGGAAGATGGATCTTACCAGCTCCATTCTACAATAGAGGAAACTGAGTAAATGAACTCACCCAGGGGTCCTGCCGCTCGTAAGTGGCAAAGCCAGGATTCAGTTCAAGTCGGGGCCTGTAAACACCAAAGCACTCTTTCCCTCTTGCCACACCGCGGCCCCCTCACCTTTACAAGCCTGGGGATCAGAGGCCTGGGGGCGTAATCTCCTTCACTCCGCTCCCACCCATCCATTCATTCATGAGCAGACACTTGCCAGCCGCTGTAAAAGCACCTGTGGGCCAGTCCTGCTGCTAAATAGAGACACCTGCTTCCTACAGTACCCCAGGGAGCTTCCTACCATAGTCCAACACCAGTAGTCCTCGATTTATAGAAATTCTACTCACCTGATGGACTGCGACACACTCCCAGAGTCACACAGAGTTCCAGAGTTCATTGGCACAGTGACTAATGAGTATTGAGGCACAGAGAATTTGGATTAACACAGGTAGTAAGCAGCGGAGTTAGAATTATAACCAGGAGTTTGTACTCTCAGTATCTTAGCTGGGATAAGAGAGGAAGGTGGTCCAAAGACAGACCTCAAATATACATTAAATATTATGCCTAGGCCGGCGCGGTGGCTCATGCCTGTAATCCCAGAAATTTGGGAGGCTGAGACGGGCGGATCACCTGAGGTCAGGAGTTCAGGACCAGCCTGGCCAACATGGCAAAACCCCGTCTCTACTAAAAAACACAAAAATTAGCTGGGCGTGGTGGCAGGCACCTGTAATCCCAGCTACTCCAGAGGCTGAGGCAGGGAGAATTGCTTGAACCTGGGAGGCAGAGATTGTAGTGAGCTGAGATCATGCCACTACACTCCAGCCTGGGTGACAGAGTGGGACTCCAATTCAAAAAAAAAAAAAAAAAATTACACCTAGGCAGGCATCCTCTCCAGCCTCCCTTCTCCATCCCCCAACAACCCCACATTGCAGGGTATCAACAACTAAAATCTACACTTTCCTTGTAGCTCTGGTCCTGGGCATAGCTTAAGTCCCCTATATGTAAAGCACTGGCGGGAGGTTTAGAAGGTAGACATGAGGCAGAGCCATCTTTTTGTGGCATTTCCAGGTGACAAGAAAACTCTGACAGTGCTGTGTGTCCATTTGTCAGCTTTGTGGGTGTGGGATGGCTGTGGCAGCAGCAATGGCAGTAGCAAGGACAAGTTTTTCTGACTTTTTGAGCCCCTGAACTGCCCAAGAGAGCTTAAAGAATGAAAAATGGCAAGCTTAAGCATGATCAGAGGACACACGCTTTTATGACTGTACCAGAAAACCCTCCTATTTCAGGGAGCCTCAGGGGTGATGTAAAAATCTGCCTTCTCTGCTGGGGAAAGATTTGGAAGGAATGATATCAGAGGGTTGGTGATGAGGTCCAGGGGAATGATATGATATGGGTGAACCTCTTGGAATGGGTAAAGTGTGAGCATATTGGACTCCCTGAGGAGCCCAATTCCCTACTGTCTGGGCTCTCAGCTGCAAAGCTTGGTGCTGCAGGCACCAGAATTACAATATAATTGTTTTGAGACAGAGTCTTGCTGTGTTGCCGAGGCTGGAGTGCAGTGGCACAATCTTGGCTCACTACAACCTCTGGCTCCCGGGCTCAAGCAATTTCCCTGCCTCAGCCTGCCAAGTAACTGGGATTACAGGCGTGTGCCACCGCACCTAGCTAATTTTTGTATTTTTAGTAGAGAAGGGGTTTCACCATATTGGCCAGCCTGGTTTGGAACTCCTAACCTCAAGTGATTCCCCCACCTCGGCCTTCCAAAGTACTGAGATTACAGGCGTGATCCACCGCGCCCAGCCTAGAATTACAACAAAAATTTTCATTTGCAGCCTCATCAGGTCTCTTCTGTGAACACTGAGGGCATTGATTGTGAAAGAAAGAAGCCCTGGGAATTTGGGTGGATTTGAATGAATCCAAGTGCCACTGCCCTCCTAAATTCTGCTGTGTCTCCACAGGCTTCCCACCATTGTCTGATAAGGCTGGTACAGCCTACATTAAAAAGCATGAAACAGTCACCCTGCAAGGAGGTGCTGATTCTCCAAATATCCTATCTCTACCTGTGCCTTCACTCCTAGAACTAGAATCAGATGCTAATGCGCCCCAAGAGGATATGGACAAGATCTGATGGAGGGGTGATGCTTTACACAACAAAAGAGCAACAGAAAGCAAGAAATAGACATGGCAATGAGTCTAAAGATGACGTGAAGAAAGCTGAAAGTTGAGGCTGAGCGCGGTGGCTCATGCTTGTAATCCCAGCACTTTGGGAGGCCGAGGTGGGCGGATCATGAGGTCAGGAGATTGAGACCATCCTGGCCAACATGGTGAAACCACGTCTCTACTAAAAATACAAAAATTAGCTGGGCGTGGTGGCATGTGCCTGTAATCCCAGCTACTTGGGAGGCTGAGGCAGGAGAATCGCTTGAACCAGGGAGTCGGGGTTGCAATGAGCCAAGATCGTGCCACTGCACTCCAGCCTGGCAACAGAGCAAGAAAAAAAAAAAAAAAAGAAAGAAAGTTGATGTACTGCCTCTAGCAGTGGGAGCGCTAAGCCAGTTTGCCCAGTTGGTTTACTATAATATCAGCTCAGTGGCAGCTCACACTAAATGTAAATGTAATGCCAAGTAATGCAGATGAAGAAATCAAAAATACTTAGGGAGTCAGGAATATTGGAGTAGATTCATCTTATGCAACCTAGTCACTTACTTCCTAACCATGGACCCCAAGAAGATCCAAAGTCCCCTCCTTCAGTGGCTTATACAGAGCCAGTGGCTGGCAATGCAGCTGATGTTCAGAGAGTTGGAAGGAATGATATCAGAGGGCTGATGATGAGGTCTAGGGAAATGATGTGCTTGAACCACTTCGAATGGGCAGAGTGTGCATATTGGGCTCCCTTTTGAATGTTCACCAAAGGCAACCACTTCTAAAGAGGCTTTTGAGAAGCAGTTGAGCAAGAAGACTTCTGTTAGCCTTTTCCCCAGCTATCCCTGTGCTTGTTTCAACAAATAAAGAGGCTGTGACAGCAGGAATGGAGGATATGTGTGAGTTTATCCACATGGGCTTCTCAGGCCTTACTACGTAACTCTTTGTGAATATCAGTATGGTTATTGACCTATAGTCAATCCCATAAGTCTATCTCTTTTAATACAGTGACTTTTAGATCAAAATGTGTAATGCTAAAGCAACGAATCAGACACAGATAGAAGAATCGTATGTATCAATTATTCTTAATTCTCTTTTTACTAGCAGAGGAAAAATAATAACTGTTATTCCTGCTTTTGGAAATTGTAGAGTGGTCCATATTTATGTTGTACCATATCTCTTGTGGCTCTTTTCCTCAGATGTTTCTGCTTTAGTAATTTGTCTTGCTTACTTATAAACTCTTCTTGTCAATAGTCCCCACATGCACATTATTATAAAATCATCGCTATGGTCTGAATGTTTGTGTCCTCCCTAAAACTCATAAGTTAAAAGCGAATCACCAATGTGATGGTATTAGGAGGTGTGGCCTTTGGGTGGTGGAACTGGTGCTCTTATAAAAGAGGCCCCAGAGATCTGCCTTGTCCCTTTCATCATGCAGAATACAGAAAGAAGGCCGGGCGTGGTGGCTCACGGCTGTAATTCCACCACTTTGGGAGGCCGAGGTGGGTGGATCACTGGACGCCAGGAGTTCGAGACCAGCCTAGCCAACATGGCAAAACCTTGTCTCTACTGAAAATACAAAAATTAGCTGGGCATGGTGGTGCATGCCTATAGTTCCAGCTACTCCAGAGGCTGAGGCAGGAGAATTGCTTGAACCTGGGAGGCATAGGTTGCAGTGAGCTGAGATCATGCCACTGCACTCCAGCCTGGGCGACAGAGAGAGACTGTCTCAAAAAAAAAAAAAAAAAAAAAGAAAGAAAGAGAAAGAAAAGAAAGAAAGAAAGAAAGAAAGAAAGAAAGAAAGAAAGAAAGAAAGAAAGAAAGAAAGAAAGAAAAAAGTCAAGCCCAGAATCATCAAGGGCTTACAAGACACTATATTTCCTGCACCCTGGTTGCCACTTTAACCTCGTCTCTTGTTTCTCTGCCCCTCTTTCATTCTCCTCTAGTTACATTGTCCTCCTTGTGGTTTTTCAAGAATGCCAGGTATACTACTGTCTCAGTGCCTCTGTACTTGCTCTTCCTTTTGCCTGGAACCTCATCCTTCAGATATCTGCAAAACTCACAGATCTTGTTGAAACGTCACTTGCTCACGAAGCCCCCTGACTACACTATTTAAGTTCCAATCACTACTGTCACCCTGTTGTCACTCCCTATCCCCCTCATTCTATTCTATTTCCCCTCCATGGCACTTACAGCCTTCTATTATACAATACAACTTATTGATTTATTGTCTTTGTTTTCTCCTTCCTCTGACATGTAAAGTCACATGGACAGGGATTTTTGACTGTTTTATTCGCTAATTATTTCATTGTCTAGAATAGATCTGGGCCAAAACTGGGCTGCTGCCTGTTTTTGTAAATAATGCTTTATTAGTGCACAACCACATTCATTCATCTATATATTGTCTATGGCTGCTTTGACACTAAGATGAGTTGTGTTGAGTCACTGTGACAGAAACTGCATGACCAGTAAAATTGAAAATATTTACTATCTGACCCTTCACAAAAAATGTTTGCTGATCCTTGTTCTAGAATAATGACTGGCCGTGGAGGAGGAGTGGAACTAGCAAGGACACTGGGAGGCAGCAGCTAATAGGGAAAACAAGAGACATGGACTCCTACAAGCCAAGTGAAAAAAAATTTTTTCTGGGAGGAAAGCGTAATCCACTATGTCAAATGCTGCTTAACAAATCCTTGTTGAATGAATACTGGGAGACAGATGAAGGCCCCAGTGTTCCTCTCCCTGATGCTATTCCTCTTCCTCTTCTCAGCAGAGATAATCACTCATTTAAGTTATTCACATTCATGACTTAAAGGGTATTACCTCTGTATGCATTCATTTTTAAAAATAAAATCTTCATATGTTTTAAACTTGCTTTTTGTATTCATTTTTTTTTCTGAAAGTGGTGAAATACACATAACATAAAATTCACCATTTTAACCTTTTTTTTTTTTTCTTTTTGAGACAGAGTTTCGCTCTTGTCACCCAGGCTGGAGTGCGGTGGCACGATCTCGGCTCACTCCAACCTCCACTTCCTGGATTCAAGCGATTCTCCTGCCTCAGCCTCCCGAGTAGCTGGGATTACAGGCGCCCACCACCACACCTGGCTAATTTTTCGTATTTTTAGTAGAGACGGGGTTTCACCATATTGGGCAGGCTGGTCTCGAACTCCTGACCTCAGGTGATCCGCTCACCTCAGCCTCCCAAAGTGCTGGGATTACAGGCGTGAGCCACCACAGCCAGCCTAACCCTTTTAAAGCATATGATTCAGGGGGACTTAGTACATTCACAATATTTTGCAACCATCACCACTGTCTAGTTTCAAAACATTTCACCACCCCAGAAAGAAACCTCATATTGATTAAGTAATTCTTATGTGTTTTAAGAGTTATTTACTTTACCATGGTCAGCCTGGTGATCAAAAATAATCATAATAAATAAAATTTAAATTTAAAAAGATATTTACTTAATATACATAGCTCTAATTCATTTAACTGCTGAATATTTATTTCTATTAATATTTCAAAATTTTCTTATCCATTCTTCTCAGTTTTGTTTTTAAATTTCTCACTATTTACAAATAATGCTGCAATGAAGATTTTCCTTCATGTTGCCTTATACAAATAAGGAAGAGTTTCTCTTAGATATACGCCCAGGAATGTAATTGCTGGATTGTGAAGTATATGCACAAATAACTACCAAATTTCTTTCCAAAATGTACAAGAGTATACTTCTATTTCTTCTCTCTTATCCTTTGTCTCATTGTTGTCATAGATTTACTTCTATATATAAGCCCCAAAATACATTGTTATTACTTTTGCTTTGAATAGATAGATAATTATCTTTTAAAGAGATTATAAAGACAGATTTTTTAGATAGAGTTTCACTCTGTTACCCAGGCTGGAGTGTGGAGTGCACTGGCGTGGCAATCTCAGCCCATTGCAAACTCTGCCTCCTGGGCTCAAGCAATTCTCTTGCCTCAGCCTCCTGAGTAGCTGGGATTACAGGTGCCCACCACCACACCTGGCTAATTTTTGTATTTTTAGTAGAGATGGGGTTTCACCATGGTAGTCAGCCTGGTCTCAAACTCCTGATCTCAGGTGATCCACCTGCCTTGGCCTCCCAGAGTGCTGGGATTACAGGCATGAGCCACCACACCTGGCCATGGGGAAATATAGTTTATATATACCCACACATTCGCCATTTTTGGTGCTCTTCATTCCTCTGTGTAGACCCAAATTTCCATCTGGCATCATTTTCCTTCATCTAAAGAACTTCTAGTATTTCTATAGTACATATCTGTTGGAAATTATTTTTTTCAGGCTTTATTTGACAGAAAAAGTATTTATCTGTTTTTTTTTGAGACGGAGTCTCGCTCTGTCGCCCAGGCTGGAGTACAGTGGCACGATCTCGGCTCACTGCAAGCTCTGCCTCCCAGGTTCACGCTATTCTCCTGCCTCAGCCTCCCGAGTAGCTGGGACTACAGGTGCCCACCACAATGCCTGGCTAAATTTTTTTTTGTATTTTCAGTAGAGACGGGGTTTCACCGTGTTAGCTAGGATGGTCTCGATCTCCTGACCTTGTGATTCGCCCTCCTCAGCCGCCCAAAGTGCTGGGATTACAGGTGTAAGCCACCGCACCTAGCCAGAAAAAGTATTTATCTTCTTTTCTGAAAGATATTTTTGACTGATATCAAATTCTAGGTGGACCGAGATTTTCTTTCAGTCTTTCAAAGATATTACTCTATTGCCTTCTATCTTGCATAGTTTCTGATGAGAAGTCTGTTGTATTTCTTATGTGTTTCTTCATATGTAACATCTTTTTTCTTTTTTTTTTTTTTTTTTTTTTTTTTGAGACGGAGTCTCGCTCTGTTGCCCAGGCTGGAGTGCGGTGGCGGGATCTCGGCTCACTGCAAGCTCCGCCTCCCGGGTTCACGCCATTCCCCTGCCTCAGCCTCCCAAGTAGCTGGGACTACAGGCGCCCGCCACTACGCCCGGCTAATTTTTTGTATTTTTAGTAGAGACGGGGTTTCACCGTTTTAGCCGGGATGGTCTCGATCTCCTGACCTCGTGATCCGCCCGCCTCGGCCTCCCAAAGTGCTGGGATTACAGGCGTGAGCCACCGTGCCCGGCCAACATCTTTTTTCTTTAGCTGCCTCAAAGAATTCTCTTTGTCACTGGTGTTCAGCAATTGCATTAGGATGTGTTTTGGTGCCATTTCATTATGTTTATTCAGCTTGGGGTTTGTTGAACTTCTTGAATCTGCAGATTTATAGTTATTTGAATTTGAACAATTTCAGTCATCAATTTTTCAATTTTTTTCTGTACCTCTTTCCTTTTCCTGATATTCCAATTACATGCAAATTTGCTTGATATTGTCCCATAAGTCACTGAAGCTCCGTTTATGTTTTTCTGTAGTCTTTTTTTTTTCCTGTCTTCATTTAGAATAGAATAGTTTCTATTGCTATGCCTTCAAGTTCCCTGGTGTTTTCTTCCTCTCCATCTAATCTACTGTTTATTCATCCAGTGTATTTTTTATTTCAGATATTGTGTTTTTCATCTCTAAAACTTCCATTTGGGTCTGTTTACATTATCCATTTCTCTTCTCATCATTTTTTTTTTACCCATTTGAGCATATTTATAAAATGTATAATAGCTCTTTTAAGATATTTATCTGCTAATTCCACCATTTCAGCCATTTGTCTGTTTCTATTAATTGATTTTACTCCTGGATATGGGTCATGTTTTCCTATTTCTTTTTATGCTTGAAAAATATTTATTGGATGGCAGACATAGTGTTGGGGCTTTATTTTTTTAAATTCATTTTTTAAATGTTGGACATTTTATCTAGCATTTTTTTTTTTCAAACTGGTAAGCAATTAAGTTACTTGAGTTCATTTCAATGCATTCTAGGCTTGCTTTTGTTACAGCAGGGCTAGGGCTAATTTAGCCCTACTTCTAAGGTCTGAACATTCTGGGAAATCTACCCAATGCCCTGGGTATTAGTCTCTCCACTTTGACTGATGGGAACACAAACTATTTCCACCTCTGAATGAGGTCCAGGAAAATTCTTTGGCTCACTGCTTTCCAGTAATCCTTTCCTTGTCTTGATGGGACTTTACACTGTCTTTGTAAAGTTTTATTCCATGCATACACATATCTGCACTCAGTTAAAGATTAGAAAGATTCCCTCTGCAGATCTCTGAGGTTCTTGCTATGTTAAATTTTTAACATACAGTGCTCTTTTCCCCAGCAATGTGCTCTGAAAATCTAGCCTCCTCAGCCTGCCTGACTCCCAATATCCAACTCCAATTTTATGAGACTTTTGTATGATGTTCCTTTTCCCTGTACTGCAGCTTGGAAACTGCCTATAGATAGCACGTTCAGGAAGGTGTAGGGATCAACTCACTTGTTTACTCCTTCTCAGAGATCCCAGTATTCCTCTGACTGTTGTTCAATTTTCCTAATTAGTACATTTTTCTCATTATCTATTTATTTACCATTTGGATGTCCTCTTCTATAAATTACCTGTCTATATCCTTTACACTTTTTTTTAAGAGACAAGGTCTTTGTTGCCCAGGCTAGAGTGCAGTGATACAATCATGGCTCACTGCAGCCTCAACCTCCTGGGCACATGCAATCCTCCTGCCTCAGTCTCCTGAGTAGCTGGTACTATGGGCACACACCGCCATGCCTGGTTAATTTTTTTTTTTTTTTTTTTTGGTAGAGATGAGGTCTTCCTATGTTGCTCCAGCTGGTCTTGAACTCCTGGCCTTAAGTGATTCTCCCTCCTCAGCCTCCCAAAGCACTGAGATTACAGGCATGAGCCACAGCACCTGTCTACATTTTTTTTTTCCTATTAGGCTATATTTTATTTCATCTATTGATATTAGTTGTTCTTTATATACTCTAGATATTAACCTTTTATTTAGCATTTTCTCTCCTTCCTTCCTTCCTTCCTCTCTCTCTTTCCCTCTTTCTCTCTCTTTCTCCCTTCCTCCCTCCCTTCCTTCCTCCCTCCCTCCCTCCCTTCCTTCCTCCCTCCCTCCCTCCCTTCCTTCCTTCCTCTCTCTCTCTCTTTCTTTCTTTCTTTTTTCTCCCCTCCTTCCTTCCTCCCTTTTTTTTTTTGACAAAGTCTTGCTCTGTTGCCCAGGCTGGAGTGCAGTGGCATGATCTCAGCTCACTGCAACCTCTGCCTCCTGAGTTTAAACGATTCTCCTGTCTCAGTCTCCCCAGTAGCTGGGATTACAGGTGCACACCACCACATCCAGCTAGTTTTTGTATTTTTAGTAGAGATGGGATTTCCCCATATTTGCCAGGCTGGTCTTGAACTCCTGATGTCAAGTGATCTGCCCGCCTCAGCCTCCCAAAGTGCTGGGATACAGGCATGAGCCACCTCGCCCAGCCAGGATTCTTTCTTTTTAGAACATTTTCTGTCTTGTTAGTTCCACATGCCTACTTGAGGCTCTGTGGTAGAAAAAGTCTTGATGGGCCGGGCGTCGTGGCTCATGCCTATAATCCCAACACTTTGGGAGGCCAAGGCAAGTGGATCACCTGAGGTCAGGAGGTCAAGACCATCCTGGCCAACATGGGAGAAACCCTGCCTCTACTAAAAATACAAAAATTAGCCAGGCGTGGTGGTGCGTGCCTGTAAACCCAGCTACTCAGGAGGCCGAGGCAGGATAATCACTTGAACCTGGGAGGTGGAGGTTGCAGTGAGCCGAGATTGCGCCACTGCACCCCAGCCTGGGTGACAGAGTGAGACTTTGTCTCAAAAAAAAAGAAAAAGAAAAAGAAAAAGTCTTTACGGTAAAATAACACAATCTCTTACCTTTAGCTTTGAATTAAAGGTCATATTAAGTAGAAATATAAGGTCCCTTGAGAAGGGGCCTTCCTAAGGCCTACTGCAATGGCATACATGGAGCAGATTAGCAATGCATTTTTCTTGAACCAAATTAGAATGGAATTTATTGCAGAGTTGGAATTAACTCTCCCCCAACATTGTCTGAGATAGCCACCCCAAGTGCTTTTATCCATAGTAAGAAAGGAGTTATATTACGAGCAAAGTACAGAAAATTGTGCACCATTTGGAGGCCTGTGTCATCTATGGCCAAACACAGCTTTAGGTATGTCTCTGATAGTATCTCCTTACCCTCTTACGTGAACCTAGAGCACAAAATAAGTTAAAACTCCAGTGTGATGTATTAATAATAGTGTCCCTTTGGGACTGCTGAAATATCCTTTCTTGAAAAAGTGAACAAACTTATATTTGTGCTCAAAAATGTCCGATGTTATCATTATTATTAAATTGTATTATTATTTTGTATTGTATTATTTAGATTTCAATATTGTTTAATTATTATTTGATTATTTGATTGAATTATCATTTAATTATTTACACTTAATTATTATTAAGGAAAATAAATCTAGGCCTGCTGAATTGACTGGAATCAACCCTGGCAATATGATTCATACTTCAACTTTGCTCCGAGGGAGGTGCCTGCTAAGCACTCTTTGAATTTTTCATCCATTTCCTGGTTCTGAATTTCACTGAACAAATTTTTCCAATCACCAACTTCACCTACAACACACAAAAAACAGTAGACCCAGATATCTGTTAGAATATTTCTTCATGATTTTACCATTTTCAGTGCAATATTTCACTCTGATATGTTAAAATGGACACATGGAAAAAAGCTTTACACTCTTTATTTAGTTTTTTTCAGACGGTGTCTCGCTCTGTTGCCCAGGCTGGAGTGCCGTGGTGCGATCTTCAAGCAATTCTCCCTGCCTTAGCCTACCGAGTAGCTGGGATTACCGGCGCCCGCCACCACACCCGGCTAATGTATTTTTAGTAGAGATGGGGTTTCGCAATGCTGGCCAGGCTTGTCTCGAACTCCTGACCTCAGGTGATCCGCCAGCCTCGGCCTCCCAAAGTGCTAGGTACAGGCGTGAGCTACTGCGCCCAGCCAAAAGTTTTACACTCTTAAAACCTAATGTGATTTCTGTTGTAAAATTAACAATATCCATTGGGACTCCACCATCTGTGGTGTGGGAGGTGACATGTTTTCTTTACATCACTAGGGGGAGCCATCAGCCTCAGTGATACCCTAACCCTATTCCTCTCCAAACACCTAGAACTTAAAATTCCACTTTTTGAGAATGATATTTTTCTCTGTAAAGTCTCTTAAAGACTTTAAATACCCTTTGAAAGTTAACATTTTATAGCAAGTTTTCGTTAAGACCTCAGATACTGATAATTTTGCAAAAATGTATTATTTTGCCTGAGTTTGGGATGTTTTTTCTTACTGGCTGTTACCAGTAAAGAAAGTTACTTTTTTCTTAAAGATCTTTTGATCATTTAGGTTGAAGTTGTAAGTTCCATATTGCATAGCTGTTGAAATGTACGTTAATAAAGAGTTTAATGACATGAAGAAACGCTTACAATATATTAAGGGAATAAAAGAAAACACAAAACTGTTTACAAATGTCATCAGCTATATAAAACGTCACAGAATAAGGGTGGAAGAAAATATGCCAGAAAGTTAAACCTACCTCTGGTGGAAGAAATTTGGATAATTTTAATACTTTTTCACATTTTTCTATGCTTTATGAATTTTCTACAGGGAATATCATACGTTTTTAAAACTATTACTTTATTTACCTTAGAATTGTCCTATTCTAAATAACACTTAATTAACAATAGATAGAAAGGTTCTATTTCCTACCTCCTGAAAGCTGATTAAACAAGCCATAAAAATGGGGGTTAGTCAAGAATCTAACCAAAGTTAGGTTTACATTCAATGTTCCGCTTACAGTAGATTTTAAAAATGGATTTTCATTTGAAAAAGTACAGTAGAGTCATGTCTAGGCTCACATCCTGACTCCACTGTTTATTAGCTATGTGACAATGGAAAATTAATATTCCTGAGCTTTGATTCCTACATTTAGAAAATTAAGAACTTCAGTGGGTTTTTTGGTTTGTTTGTTTTTGTTTTCTTGTTTTTGTTTTTGTTTTTGTTTGAGACAGAGTCTGGCTCTGTCACCCAGGCTGGAGTGCAGTGGTGCAATCTTGGCTCACTGCAACCTCCACCTCCCAGGTTCAAGCAGTTCTCTGACTCAGCCTCCCAAGTAGCTGGAATTACAGGCGCCCGCCACCACGTCCAGCCCGAGCTAATTTTTATATTTTTGGTAGAGACAGGGTTTCACCATCTTCGCCAGGCTGGTCTTGAACTCCTGATCTCATGATCCACCTGCCTCGGCCTCCCAAAGTGCTGGGATTACAGGCATGAGCCACCATGTCCGGCCTTAGAACTTCAGTGTTTTTTACAATAAAATTTAATCCCAACAAAATGTTTAATACATGATAGATGCCTGCTGTTAGCTGTTGTTGTCCTTGCTGGTATATGTGCTACCTCTACATCTCATTATTTCATTATATACTCAATGAAAAATAACACTGGCAATCCTTAAGCTATATTATCACACATTTCCACAAGAACTTAGAATACTTTAATGAAATATAGTAACTATCATCCATGTCAGAGAGAGCTAGTTGCCTTTCCCATAGTCATTTTCTTCCTCTTCCTTATGGACAAAACCCTGATTTTAATTGTGTAGTAATATGCCTGGCTTAAAAAAGTCACATTTCCCAGCCACCACTGCAAGGAAAGTGGCCAATGAAATGTAAGAAGTCATTGGCCAGGTGTGGTGGCTCACGCCTGTAATCCCAGCACATTGGGAGGCCGAGAATGGGTGGATCACCTGAGGTCAGGAGTTCAAGACCAGTCTGGCCAACATGGTGAAACCCCATCTCTACTAAAAATACAATAATTATCTGGGTGTGGTAATGGGTACCTGTAATCCCAGCTACTCAGGAGGCTGAGGCAGGAGAATCACTTGAACCTGTGAGGCGGAGGTTGCCGTGAGCCGAGATCGCACTACCACACTCCAGCCTGGGCGACAGAGCAAGACTCTGTCTCAAAAAAAATATATAAAATAAATAAGAGAGAGGAAAAAAAGGAGTCATTGGCCAGGTGCAGTGGCTCACGCCTGTAATCCAGCACTTTGGGAGAGGAGTTTGAGACCAGCCTGGCCAATATGGCAAAACCCTGTCTCTATTAAAAATACAAAAAAATTAGCCAGGCGTGGTGGCGCACACAAGAATCTCTTGAACCCAGGAAGCAGAGGTTGCAGTGAGCCAAGATTGTGCCACTGCATTCCAGCCTGGGCAACACAGCAAGATTCTGTCTCAAAAAAAAAAAAAAAAAAAAAAACTCACTGATGGGGCTTCCAGGAAAGTTATTTAAAGGGGGCTCACTCAGCTAATACGATTCTGCCCCTTGCCCACTCACTATCTCCTATCTGAATTTGAACATAATAGTTGAGCTTCAGCTGCTATCTTGTTTTCAGAAGGTGATCATCAGAAAGGACTCTCAACCGCAGAAAGGACCCTAAAAGATGGTATGGGGCGGCCGGGCGCGGTGGCTCACGCCTGTAATCCCAGCACTTCGGGAGGCCAAGGCGGGCGGATCACAAGTTCAGGAGATCAAGACCATCCTGGCCAACATGGTAAAACCCTGCCTTTACTAAAAATACAAAAAAATTAACTGGGTGTGGTGGCACGCGCCTGTTAGTCCCAGCTACTCGGGAGGCTGAGGCAGGAGAATCGCTTGAACCCAGGAGGCGGAGGTTGCAGTGAGCTGAGATTGAGCCACTGCACTCCAGCCTGGGCAACAGAGCGAGACTCCGTCTCAAAACAAACAAATAAACCAAAAAAGATGGTATGGGGCTGCCAGTTACAGCTCTGGAGAGCCTGTGTCCAGACCTCTTACTGAGGCGGAGAAAAATAAAACCCTATCTGACTTAAGATGAAGTTATTTGGATTACCTGTTGTGTGCAAAGTCAGTCCCTAACTGATAACAATCCCAGAAACCAATGCGACTTTACCTTTGCGGAAAAGGAATGGGCCGACAGCACCGTGTGTGTCCTGAGACTTCGCACGCATGGCTTGGAAGGTGCTCTGGACTGAGATAGTTTGAATTTGCTCCCCAGTTAGAAAGAATCCCAAGAACTCAGCAATCTGTTTTATTCCAGCAGCCAGATTCTGTAAAAAAATTTTCTTAAAGATAAATTTCTTCCTATGGAAATTGTTCTCTGAGCTGAGACAGACTTTTTAGTCATCAGAGTTATTCAGCCTAACTCCCTAGTTCATCTCATCCCCCACTTTAAACTTAGAGTACTTTCATCTTCTTATGTAAATATTGAGATATCTCTGTAAGATATTCTGTATTGATTATACTTTGTAGTTTCAATTTATGACTCTTGTTGAACTTACCAGATAATAGTTTTTAGCATGTAAATAATGACAGTAACATTAATTCACAGGTTATAATTTTATCTAGGATGATATCATTGCATTAAAAAGTACCAACTTAGACCAGCTGAAGAAATTAATGTATTCCTATGTGCTCATTTGAATTCTCTTTTTTTCTGAATTCTATTTATAGCTAATGTTTAATTCCATTAAGAAAGTCTAATTTTTAGAATCATAAAAACTTGAAGAATTTTTTTTTTTTTTTTAGACAGGGTCTTTCTCTGCTGCCCAGACTAGAGTGGTGCAAGGGCACAATCACGGCTCACTGCAGCCTGGACTTCCTGGGCTCCAGCAATCCTCACACCTCAGCCTTCTGAATAGCTGGGACAACAGGTGTGTGCCACCACATCTGGCTAATTCTTGTATTTTTGTAGAGACAGGGTTTCGCCATGTTGCCCAGGCTGCTCTCAGAGTCTTTAATAGACCAGTGCATAATGTGAATCTCCAAGAGAGCAGGCTATAGAATACAGCAGTTCCTAAATCTATTTGAATAACCTCCTCCCAAACCTCAAGAAATATTTATTAACAGCTGGGGCAACACTTGTATTCTATGGTGCACAAGTTTCAGAAACATTATTCTAAACTAGAATTAATATGTTCTTTCATATTATATACATGCATCCTATAAACAGAAAGGGTCGATTAAATCTCACTTTTTTTTTTTGAGACGGAGTTTCTCTCTTGTTGTCCAGGGTGGAGCACAGTGGCATGATCTCGGCTCACTGCAACCTCCACCTCCAGGGTTCCAGCAATTCTCCTGCCTCAGCCTCCTGAGTAGCTGGGATTAGAGGTGTGTGCCACCACGCCTGGCTAATTTTTGTATTTTTAGTAGAAACAGGGTTTCACCATGTTGGCCAGGCTGGTCTCGAACTCCTGACCTCAAGTGATCCACCCGCCTTGGCCTCCCAAAGTGCTAGGATTACAGGCGTGAGCCGCCGTGCCTGGCCTAAACCATACATTTGCTTGTTTGTTTGTTTGTTTGTTTTTGGTTTTTCGTTTGTTTGTTTTTTGAGATGGAGTCTTGCTCTGTGGCCCACGCTGGAGTGCAATGGCACAATATCAGCTCACTGCAACCTCCACCTCCTGGGTTCAAGTGAGTCTCCTGCCTCAGCCTCCTGAGTAGTTGGGATTACAGGCACGCACCACCACACCCAGCTAATTTTTGTATTTTTAGTAGAGACGGGGTTTCACTGTGTTGGTCAGGCTTGTCTCGAACTCCCGACCTCAGGTGATCCACCTGCCTCGGCCTCTCAAAGTGCTGGGATTACAGGCGTGAGCCACCATGCCTGGCCTAAACCACACTTTCTTTTTATAAGAATGTAATGTAAGACTGGTGTTAGAAACCCAATTAAGTTAAGGAGCACTTGATACTCCCTTCTCTTTAACATGCTTTCTCCACAGGATTCTGCTTTCCTTCCTACCTCAGTAGCCCCCGCTTCCTGGTCTCCTTTGCTGATTCCTCCTTTTTTCCCCAAACTCTTTAAATTGGTGGGCTCCAAGTTCTTGGTCATCTTCTCTATCTATATACCTACGTATATATTTCCATGGCTTTAAAGCACGGCTATGTGTCAGTGATGCCCAAATTTTATCTACGGCCCAGAACTCTCTGTACTTACAAGGCCTGTATGCCCAACTGCCTACTTGACTTCTCAATTAGGACGACTAATAAACATCTCAAATTTAATGTGTCCAAAACCAAACCTCTGATCTCCCCGACAGTTCTTCACCTGCTGCCATCTCCTACTCAATCGGTGGCAACTCAGCCCTCAATATTATTGGCCAGGCCAATAATATTGGAGGCTTACTTGACTTCTCTCCTTGTCTTGCCACTCTCCCCTCCATCCAATTCAGCAGCAAATCCTGTTGGCCTTCCCTTCAACATATATCCAGAATCCAACCTCTTCTCATCCCTGCATGGCCCCTTCTTGGCCTGAGCCACCATCTTCCTTTGCCTGGACTATTGCAGTGCCCTCTTTACAGCCCTCCCAGCATTTGCTTTGCCCCAGTTCATTCTCACACCTAGCCAGAATGATCTTGTTAAAAACACATCTGCTCCAATCACTCCTCTGCTCAAATCCCACGATGGCTTCCCACTTCCCTCAAAGTGAAAGCCAGAGTGAGTGGCATACTCCATCCTACCTCCTTGACTCTTTCCTCATTGGCTGTTCAGCCCTGGTTTATTCCTACTGACCCAGGCACATCTGCTGTCCCTTAATCTCACCAGGACTATCCCAGCTTTTGCTCCAGTTGATTCCCTCTGCCAGAAATGCTCTTCCCCAGTTACCTACTTGGCTCACTCCCCCACTTCCCTCAGATCTTTGCTCAAATCACATCCCCTCAGTAAGGTCTCTCCTAATCTTCCTATTCTTTTTTTTTTTTTTTTTTTTTTTTTGATACAGGATCTCACTCTGTCACCCAGGCTGGAGTGTGGTGGCCTAATCATGGTTCACTGCAGCCTCTACCTCTTAGGCTCAAGTGATCCTCCTGTCTCAGCTTCCTGAGTAGCTGGTACTACAGGTACATGCCTAATTTTTAAAAATGTGCCCAGGGTGGTCTCGAACTCCTGGCCTGAAGTGATCCCCCTGCCTCAGCCTCTCAAAGTGTTGGGATTGTAGGCATGAACCACCACACCAGCCTAAACATCATATTTTACACTGGAATTTGTCCAATCCTTCCCCGTGCCTGGCCCCCCAGCATTTTTAATTTTCCTTCACCAGCTATGCTGTTTCTTTTTTTCTCACATACTATATACATTTTAAAAATTATTGTGTTTATTATGTATCATTCTTTCTTTCCACCTTCTCCAACTGGCATGTAAGTTACTACAGGGCAGCGATCTTTGCCTTGTCTGTTCACTGATGTAACACCAGGGCCTAATTGGTGAGCAATCACTCACTAGATATTTGTTACATCAATAAACAATTTTTAAAAAATGACTGGATAAATTAGTTCACAACCAAGTGTATGTTCAATTAAATCAACTCAGACCTACCTATTTTTTTTTATTACCAATTTGAACTATCCATCATAAAGGGAAAATAAAGCAGTCACTTTTAGTAATAAGTTGCTAAGCGTTATTTTATTTCTGTTAAATAAACAACCTAAGCATGTATGCATGGTTTGAATTTTCTTTTCCAGCACTGTACCATATATCTGGAATATTTTTAAAAATTGAACACCATATTTGTTTATACAAACAGACATTATAAGTAAGTGCTCTACGTTGTAGTTTACAATAAATTTTGCTCTAAAATATCAATAATAATCTCACCTCTTTCAGGTCTTCATATAATATGAACTTAACATTGTCGCCATCAAGATGTTTGTTCCAATTGATTGCAAAATCAAAATACCTTCCCCAAGAAACTAAAAACACAGGGGGGAAGACTTTAAGAAATGTCAAATAACTGAGGTTAAAATGATCATTAATTTATGCTATAAAATATAAACTATACATATGTGTATATGCTCGAGATATCTTTATGTTATTATAAATCCCTGCCACCAAAAAGCTGATATAAATCAGTCCCATTGTCTAAATTTCTATTTATTTTCTTACCTTTTGGAACATTTTTCATAAATAACACAAAATTAAGCAAGTTACAAAAATGATTTATAAAAACTATAAGACATTCATGAATATTTAGGTGGATTAAAAAAATTCAGAAATAGTGAATGACACATGAAATCCGACAGAGACAATGCCAGAAAGAAATGATGAAAAAGACATTTTCTAGACCATCGTTGTTCAATAAAAATGTAATGCTAGCCATATACGTAATTTTAAAAAACAAAAGAAACAAATGAAATTAATTTTAATGTTTTACTCCACTTAACCCAGTTTATCAAAAATATTATTCCATCATATAATCAACAAAAATTTGAGTGAAACATTACATTATTTTAATATGCTAAATCTTCAAAAGCCATGGAGTATGAGACATATACTGAAAATCTCAATTTGGATGCTAAATTTTTATTGAAAATACTTGATGTATATTTAGATTTAATAAAACGTACAGTTTAAAAAGTATATTCACATACGCAACTTATTACACTTACTTAAAAGTTTTCCATTAACTGAATTGTATATCCCTTAAAAATTTTGAATTAATTCCATTTTTTTAAAATGAGAAATTTAGTTCCTTGGCACCAGTCCCATTCAAGTCCCATTTCAAGTGCTCCGTTGTCACATATGGTTAGTGGCCTACCACATTGGACAATGCAGATGCAGACACTGGTCAGCTGTGCTGGTTACTAGCTCTGTGACTTTGAGAAACTCTTAAAACTCCTTGTACCTTAGATTCCTCAACTGTAAAATGGGGCGTTATGAGGTTTAAATGAATTAACACACGTCAAATGCTAAAAACAGTGCCTGCTTCATAGTAACACGCAATAGCTTTTTTTTTTTTTTTTTTTTGAGATGGAGTCTCACTCTGTCACCCCGGCTGGAGTGCAGTGGTGCAATCTCAGCTCACTGCAACCTCTGCCTCCCGGTTTCAAGCAATTCTGTCTCAGTCTCCTGAGTAGCTGGGACTACAGGCACACACCACCATGCCTGGCTAATTTTTGTATTTTTGGTAGAGACGAGGTTTCACCATATTGGTCAGGCTGGTCTTGAACTCCTGACTTCAGGTGATCCGCCCGCCTCGGCCACCCAAAGTGCTGGGATTACAGGTGTGAGCCACCCCGCTCGGCCTCAATAGCCATTACTATTATTAATAATATCATAGTTATTATCATGATCATTGTTATCATGAAGCCCTTGCTTTGAGCCAGGCAGTTTCTATGTGTTTTATTTTCTGTCACAAATACCGTAAGTTGCCTACCCAACATCTAATACATCCTCTTTCTTGTTGCTAACCAAACCCTGATTATTTGGGTCTAAGCTGATCATGACAATTCTGTTTCTTGATATCCTGCCTTCCTCAGAGCTGTAATTGGCCACATGAAATGGTTCTGCCCAGTGAGACACAAACAAGAGTCTGCTGGAAGGTTTCTGGCAAAACTATTGCTGTGTGGAGCTAAGGAACACATTCGGCTACTGCTGATGTGTTCCTCCTTTTTCATGACCTAAAGGTGATGATTGGAAGGATAGTAGCCAATTTCAGGGTGTATTGCAAAAAGTATGAGAGAGAGGCCAAGGGAATATCAGAGGTGCAGGCCAGAGATCCCAGGAACCAGCTACCTACCTTCAGACTTCCTGTTAAATGAGAAAAACAAACCTCTCCAAGGATGGATAGGGAAACAGATATTCCCTAAAATGCATTGTCCCACTGATGACAAGTTTCTCATCATCATTTGCAACAACACGGAGGGAGGACATTATGTTAACCAAAATAAGCTAGACACAAAAAGAAAAATACGAAGCCTGGGCAATATAGTGAGGCCCCATCTCTACAAAAAGAAAAAAAATCAGCTGCGCATGGTGGTAAGTGCCTGTGGTCCCAGCTACTTAGGAGGCTGAGGACCACGTGAGCCCAGAAGGTCAAGGCTGCAGTGAGCCTTGCCGCTACACTCCAGCCTAGGTGACAGAGTGAAATCTTGTCTCAAAAAAAAAAAAAAAAAAAAAAGAAAGAAAGAAAAAAAAGAGAAGAATACAGCATGTTTTCACTTATATGTGGAATCTTTACAAAGTCAGATACATAATAGAGAGTAGGATGGTGGTTACAGGGATGGGGAAGGGCAGAAAATAGGGAGACAGAAGTCAAAAGGTACAAACTTGTTATGAAGTTATGAATTATTCAGTTATGAGCATCTTGAGATCTAATGTACAGCATGAGAATGACAGTTAATGATGACAGTTAATGATTTTATACCATATAATATTCGTTAAAAGAATAGATTTTAGGTGCTCTTACTAAACACAAAACAGGTAATTGTGTGACATGATAGATATGTTAATTTGCTTGATTGTATTAATCATTTCATTGTGTATACGGTGAAACATCATTTTGTTGTACACCTTAAATATATACAACAAAAATAAATACATTTTTTAAAAAGTAGCCCTCTTAGAGTGAACTGACAACAGCTTCTCCTCCAGGGTCATTGGGCTTTAATATCCCATCTATTACACCGTACAGACTCAAAAGAGCCACTAAAAAAAGGAATCAGTTACTGGTCTCTGGCCACTATACTCATGGATGTAGAGTCACTGCCACTTACAAGCAATGGCAAGTGATTTAACTTTTTTTTTGAGACGGAGTTTCTCACTCTTGTTGCCCAGGCTGGAGTGCAATGGTGCCATATCTGCTCACTGCAACCTCTGCCTCCTGGATTCAAACAATTCTCCTGCATCAGCCTCCCAAGTAGCTGAGATTACAGGCATGAGACACCATGCCTGGCTAATTTTGTATTTTTATTTCTTTATTTTTTATTTTATTTTATTTTTTGAGTTGGAGTTTTGCTCTGTCACCCAGGCTGGAGTGCAGTTGATCAATCTCGGCTCACTGCAACTTCCGCCTCCTGTTCATGCAAGTCTTCTGCCTCAGCCTACTAAGTAGCTGGGATTACAGGCATGCAACACCACACCTGGCTAATTTTTGTGTTTTTAGCAGAGACGGGGTTTTGCCATGTTGGCCAGACTGGTCTCAAACTCCTAACCTCGAGTCATCCGCCCGCCTCGGCCTCCCAAAGTGCTGGAACTACAGGCATGAGCTACTGTGCCTGTCTGATTTATATTTTGATTAGTTTCCTCATCTGTACAATGGGGCTAATACCACCTTACTCATAGTTTGTTATAAATCTTAAATTAAAATAATGCATAGACGACCCCTACTTTAGCACCTGGAGCATTAATAGACACTTAGAGTTATCAATAAACCAGAGACAAAATATCAACATGTTTAACAAAAACTTATTTCTGACAAAAACTTATTTTCTTTCTAGCAAACAAATGTCTTAGGTATAGTAGCTCAGTGTCATGGTTTTTTAAAAAATATTTTTTGTTTTTATCAGTGTTACATAGTGACAAGGAAGTTCACTAGAAATGGTTTTCTACATCACTCACTGTTAAAGCTCTCTTTGTCCCATGTCTTTTCTATGGCCACTCTGTACTCATAGTCAACATACGACTTGTCCAAATTAGTTTTTTGTTTGTTTGTTTGTTTGTTTTTTTGAGACAGAGTCTCGCTTTGCCAAGCTGGAGTGCAGTGGCGCCATCTCAGCTCACTGCAATCCCTGCCTTCTGGGTATAAGCAATTTTCCTGCTTCAGCTTCCCGAGTAGCTGGGACTACAGGTGCGTGCCACCACGCCAGGCTAATTTTTTGTATTTTTAGTAGAGATGGGGTTTCACCGTGTTAGCCAGGACAGTCTTGATCTCCTGACCTTGTGATCTGCCCGCCTCGGCCTCCCAAAGTGCTGGGATTACAGGCGTGAGCCACCACACCTGGCCCCAAATTCGTTTTTAAAACAGCAATGCATTTAATTGTTGGATGCACAGAACTAATGGTGCTATGACCGTTCATTTAAATGAAACTTTTTGGTTCCCAGATCTACCTAAATCTTCTTCCTTTACCCTAAAACACATTTGGGTTTTCACATTTATGTGGTCATCTGATCAAGTAAGAATAATTCTTTTACCAACAGCCATACCTTGTCCTTTCATGAACTGTCTGAAGAATTCATCCCAAGAGCCATAGCTTGGAATATCGGGGACATCGTTGTGGAAATGCAAAAAAGATACTGCTGTATCTTTAGGGTTTCGAAATATCACCAATATCTAGGGAGCAAAAATTGAGTTAATTTATTTGGGTCTATGTTTTGAAATTTGGAAAATTAAAAGGGTGAGCAATATCATCATGTCCACTCGTATATTACATAATTGTGTTAATATATAGAGAAAGAATGACAGTAGGAAACTGAGGAACAGGAGGTGGCTGATGGGGAAATCTGGGGAAAGGAGAGAAAGAAGAAGAAAAAGATTGATATTGTTGCAAAGGATTCTTGCAAATGAATTTAGGCAATAAGATGCACAGAAGATGTAAAAAGGAAAAAAAGACCAAGCTCACTAGGATAATCACAAGAGTATGACCTGAAAGCTTAAATCCTCAAATAAAAATTGCAAATAATGTTAAGGACGACAAAAATAATGTTTTAGAGTTGGTAGGAGAAGATTAAAGAATGGCAAAGCCCACTCTCTGGGTATGATGTTTATGGGTGAGTACATGACACAGAACGTCTGAATTCCTATATCTGCCTTCTTTGATGAGGAAAGTGTTCCTTTGGATGAGTAGCATGAAATAAACATCGTAAAGAACAAACTGAAACCCCAGAGAACCAAAAGATTGCAGAGGATCACACGTCTGCTCTGAGTTCAGCCTTCTGGCCTGAAGCCTTCTATTTCAAGAACTGAGGAAACTGGAGGACACATGATCCAGCATGTTCCTGAATTCCGAGGAATCTGAAAACATGTGAGGCCAGACAACTAGAACAGGCAGAAGTCATTTCATTTTCAGAAAGGGGAAAGATGTGGATTTTGCAAAGTGCAGATTTGTGATATTCACTTTCATTTGGGAGAAGTCTAGAATTGACTAAAAACAAGATTTGGGGCCACATAAAAGAGGAAACTGTAACCAACAGGGGGCAACATGGACCCTCTAAGAACAAGTCAGCTAACACCTGGATTTTTTCAACATGGTTTTAGATTAGTAGGTGGAGTAGCTTATGATTTCTCCTACAGAAAAAGTAAGAATGTAAGGCAGAATCAGGAGCAGTTAGGCATATGAAACTGACTGGGGGCTGGGCATGGTGGCTTATGCCTGTTATCCCAGCACTTTGTGAGGCTGAGGCGGCTGGATCACTTGAGATCAGGAGTTCGAGACCAGCCTGGCCAACATGGGGAAACCCTGGTGCTACTAAAAATACAAAAATTAGCCAGGCGCAGTGTTGTGCACCTGTAGTCTCAGCTACTCGGGAGGCTGAGGCAGGAGAATTGGTTGAACCTAGGAGACGGAGGTTGTCATGAGCCAAGATTGTGCCATTTCACTGCATCCTGGGCAGCAGAGCAAGACTCCATCTCAACAATAACAACAATAACAAAACTGACTGGGTATAAATAGTTAATTAACTAATGTAAACCTGCTGGGAGGTTTTTAATAAGCCCTTCCACTCTCTTGGCTGGGTAATAGTTAATGTTTTAATGAATCATTTAGGTAAAGATATAGAAGCTATATTTACCAAATTTGTAAATAACATGAAAGTGGGAGGGAATCAGGATCTCAAAATACCTTGTCTGCCTAAAGAATTTAACTA
Organism: Homo sapiens; assembly: GCF_000001405.40. Classification (NCBI taxonomy): domain Eukaryota; kingdom Metazoa; phylum Chordata; class Mammalia; order Primates; family Hominidae; genus Homo; species Homo sapiens. The sequence continues at coordinate 37,181,117 of NC_000002.12, forward strand.
ACACCAACAGGATAAAATTGAGTAGAGATCAATGGGTCTGGGTCTTGTCTTGTACTTAGATCTAACACTCTTCCCTCCCCCTAGTCCAAATATAGTAGATTCTTGCCATTTGAGGGCTTTATATTTGAGGCTTTAACTACCACTCAGTTGCCCTGGCTTGTAGCAATCTGTAAGTTTACAAAGACATAAATTTGAATTTGAGGGCTAATTGGCTGGAGTATGAACAAATTCCCCACGTCAACGTCTTACCTCCCTGCTGTTGCTCTTGTTTTTTGTTGTTTTTCAGACCGGGTCTGACTCTGTTACCCAGGCTAGAGTGCAGTGGCGCGATCTCACTCACTGCAACCTCTGCCTCCTGGGCTCAAGCAATCCTCCATCTCAGCCTCCCAAGTAGCTGGGACCACAGCGGTGCACCACCATGCCCGGCTAATTTTTGTATTTTTTGTAGAGACAGGGGTCTCACTATGTTGCCAAGGCTGGTCTTGAACTCCTGGGCTCAAGCGATCCCTCCTGCTTCGGCCTCCCAAAGTGCTGGGATTACAGATGTGAGCCACTGCATCCAGCCCCTGTTGCTCTTTTCTTGCCCTTATATTCTTACAAATGTGAAACTCTGTTCAAAAGCCTGCGTGCCCCAAGTCCAACGCTTTATAAATTACTTCAGCTCTGTTTATTATAGAGACACTAAGGAAAAATGTGTTAACTGCATTCAATGGGGGAAATTACGTGTTAAAATGGTATTTCAGACTTTACACATTCGCGATATAAGGAAAAACTGTTTAACAGAGCTATTCAAAGCTGGCTTAGGGGATACTGGAGATCTTTATCATTGGAGGTGCTGAATCATGGTCCAGCTGCTTAGTGGAATTCAAACACTCAATGGGAATTAGCATAGATGACCTTTAAGATATTTTCCCATTTTAAGCTACTAGGATTCTTGTATCACAGCCACAAAGCTGCTCATTCTAAACCTCCACTTCCCTAAGGTTTGCTTTCCTACTCTTCCTTTCTTATTTTGCTTCCCCTCCTGCCTCTTACCATTGAAATTGTAGTCATCTTAACAGTTTTCCTGTTGTGCCTTTCTTTGCTCTTACCTCACTATTCTCCCATTCTTCTTGCTAGCATTCGGCAGAAGTTAAATTTTTTTTTTTTTTTTTTGAGACAAGGTCTCGCTCTGCCGCCCAGGCTGGAGAGCAGTGGCGAGATTTTGGCTCACTGCAACGTCCGCCTCTCAGATTCAAGCGATTCTGCTGCCTCAGGCTCCCAAGTAGCTGAGATTACAGGCACGTGCTATCACACCTGGCTATTTTTAGTAGGTTGGTGCAAAAATTGGGGGTTTTGCCATTAAAAGTAATTCAAAAAACGCAATTACTTTTGCACCAACCTAATATTTTTTGTAGAGATGTGGTTTCACCATGTTGGCCAGGCTGGTCTCGAACTACTGACTTCAAGTGATCTGCCCACCTCGGCCTCTCAAAGTGCTGGGATTACAAGTGTGAGTCACCGCACCCTGCAGGGAGTTTAAATAAATCTTGATTGTAACTAATTCAAATCATTTTCTTCTGAGACAGAAAAAAGGCACCAAGAAATAAGGAACAGAGGGGAGACCAGGAGAGAGGAAACAGAAAGGGTTGGGTAAAAACTAGTAATTACAAGAAATATATCAATACTGATTAATAAAACAACATTTTTAAACAAATGATAAGAACAGCCAAAGCACATATAGTTCTGTATGCATGCTGTGAAGTTTGTTACTACATGTGAAATTCAAAAATAAAATAGTTTCAGCGAGGCATGGTGTCCCATGCCTGTAATCTCACCACTTTGGGAGGCCTTGGTGGCAGAAGGATCTCTTGAAGTCAGGAGTTCGAGACCAGCCTGGGCAACATAGTGAGATGCTGTCTCTATAAAAATTTTAAATATATTTGAAAAAATAGTTTTAGGCCTCAGGTAAATAGTGCTCACCAGAAAGAAAGGAACAATTTTTTTCTCATTTTACTAAATTGTATTTTTTGTGTGTGCATGAAACACTCTAAATATTCTATCAGGATTCAGAAAATTATTCACTGTAAAACAGATTATAAAATACATTTTATTCTATGCATATGTTTTATTTCCTTGTTGAAAATGCATTTGACTTGAGTGCAACTATAGCAAATATATGTCAAGAAAGAAACAAAAACAAAAAAACTAAATGTCACAGTTCATTTATTAAGCTTCTATGAGAAGGAACAAACTCATGATCTACTTCCAAAAACTAATATCTATACATAGAAATTTCAAAGAATTATCAGTAGGAAAGGACACTCACCTTGGCTTTATTCTCGAAGATAGACCCAGGTAATTTGTCATAGTGGAGGTGAGTTGCCAAAATCCTTGGTGATGGAAAGCCTTTCATTCTCTTAAAAATATACACAAAAAGGTGAAAATGTGCACGTGTGTGCATGTGTGTGTGTGTGTTGAATCACTCCTAGGTTTGGTATCTAAGTGATAGTTTCTAGCACTACTGTCACTATATCTTCTCCTCCTCCTCCAATTTTTCTTTTTTGAAACAGAGTCTCACTCTGTCGCCCAGGCTGTAGTGTTGTGGCGCGATCTCAGCTCACCGCAACCTCTGCCTCCCGGGTTCAAGCAATTCTCCTTTCTCAGCCTCCCGAGTAGCTGGGTTTACAGGTATCTACCACCATGCCCAGTTAATTTTTGTATTTTTAGTAGAGACAGGGTTTCACCATGTTGGCCTGGCTGGTCTGAAACTCCTGACCTCAGGTAATCTGCTCGCCTCAGCCTCCCAAAGTGCTGCGATTACAGGCGTGAGCCACTGCACCCGGCCAATTTTTCTTTATTTCTGTTTTCTTACTTTGTGGAGATGAGGAATGAAGAATCATAAATAAACCAATAATTAAAATATTCTTGAATTTCTTTTTTGTACCCTGCTTACCATTTCCCAATCATTTTTGTAATTTTTTAAAAAATTACCTTTTCCCACAATCATATCAAATCCATTTTGTTCAAGAGAACTCATAATCTGAAATACACACTTTCACTTAATTTGATTCTCTTCTGTATTCAAGGTCTTTAACAGAAATAGTCAAGTCTTTCCACAGTTCCTGCGAATCCATTTTTAACATCTAAATCTTTCTGTTTAACCAGCTAAAACTCTAGGCAATAAAATATCTCAATGGAACCTGAAAGTACAGAGTTACTTAAATGTCCGAGAAATGTTTTATGAGAGAAATTCTTGTCAGTATATGGACAAAGGTGATTGATTCTTTTTCTGTAATCTATTTCTATAGATAATTTTGAAGATAAAATTATCTATTTAATCTGCCAGGATTAAGGGTTTTCACTTACAATCAGACCATTAGTATATGTTATGCAGGGAAGTAAGGCTTCAAGTTTTTAGTCCCACATCTGTAGCGGTCACTTACTGCTTGGTTGCAGCTACAATATAATGTAAGTGATAAAAGGATATTCAGATGTTTGTAGCCAATTGTTCTGTAAAAACTTAGTGGAGGCTGGGCATCCTGCCCAATATGGGGAAACCCCATCTCTACTAAAAATACAAAAAATTAGCTGGGCGTGGTGGTGCACACCTGTAGTCCCAGCTACTCAGGAGGCTGAGGCAGGAGAATCACTTGAACCCGGGAGGCGGATGTTGCGGTGAGCTGAGATCGCGCCACTGCACTCCAGCCTGAGCGACAGAGTGAGACTCCATTTAAAAAAAAAAAAACAACAAAACTTAGTGGAGATCTCAACTCAAGCAAGGGGGCAAAAAATGAAATTTTAAAAATAAAACGCACTTTAAATCAATGATATGGATCCAAGCGGTGACTAGCAGTGTAAAATCTGATTTACAACAAATGGTACCTTTAAACATTTGAAGCATTTTCATGCTCATTCACAACAATCCTCTTAGGTAGATATCGTAACCCCCATTTTAGAGATTAAGAACAGGCTTTGAGGTTTTAAGCACTTTGTGCAAAATTGCACAGGTGGTTATTTTCAGATTAAGTTATAGACTGTGGTTTCCATGAAACTGCATGGCCAAAAATCATGTACAGACACATGAGAAATGGTAAGGTTACTAAAAGGATTAGAAAAGCACCCAAGGGAAAAATGGAAGTCAACTGTAACTAAATTAGATAGCTACATAATATATAATACTATGTTCACTAAAATATGTAATATAGCCCAAATGTGAGCAAAGACTAGATACCTTATTTAAGGAAAAATATGTACTCCAGAAAAGTTCTCTGTAAAGCAAATAATTGTTAAGTGAAGTTCATTTCACTGATTTCCATTTAAAATTAAAGGGCATATTGGCCAGGCGTGGTGGCTCATGCCTGTAATCCCAGCACTTTGGGAGGCAGAGGAGGGTGGATCACTTGAGGTCAGGAGTTTGAGAGTAGCCTGTCCAACATGACGAAACCCCGTCTCTACTAAAAATACAAAACATTAGCTAGGCATGATGGCGCACACCTATAATCCCAGCTACTCGAGAGGCTGAGGCAGGAGAATTGCTTGAACCCAGGAGGTGAAGGGTGCAGTGAGCCGAGATCGCACCACTGCACTCCAGCCTGGGTGACAGAGTGAGACTCCATTTCAAAAAAAAAAAAAAAAAAAACAGAGAGAGAGAAATTGAAATCTGGATAAATGTTGGCATCATTTCTAAAGGTGATGTTAAGCACTCTCTTTAGAAAAAGGTTATGCAAAGGCCTGGACAGGAGAAGTCTATGGGGCTTTTCCTTTATTTCCTACCTAGGTCAAAGCTTCTTACTGCCCCTGTTGGTCCATCCTACGTTCCTGGGCCTGTCTCAGCTGAGCCTTCATCAGGTTGGCTTTGGTACAGGTGACCCTCCCTGCTCCTTTGTTGCCAACCAAATCCAGGGCTCGGCACTTACCTCCAAAACACCCTCCTCTGAGTCCCTTTACCATGTGTTTTTCTGCTACTTTGACCTAATCCATGGAAATGGGCTTCCTTCCATCTAGGTTCCAACTTTCAAGTTTGTATTTGTCATCATGCCAGTGTCTCAGTCACCTTCCAGAAGCTGTTCCCTAAGTCCCAATCCAGTGGCTTTATGTTAGTAGCTGAGTTCTCTCTGCCTGTTGGGAATCTTGGTGGTGAACACTGCTGAAAGTTTTACTGAGACTGTGGTTCCCCCTTGAATACAGCCTTCCCTTCCCCGCTGCATTCTGGTGTGTCTAGGAGTGGGGAGAGGCTGTCTTCCATGTCTTTTTTCTGTCCAAGCCCTGAAGTCCTGAGGTAGACCATCCTCCCACTCCTTTCTTGCCTTCCCTGGGCAGGGAGTAGAACATCCTATCTCACATCCAAGACCCAGTTAGTTGTATTGGGAAGGTAAGTAACAACAGCTAGGGTGACCTGTTATCCCCTTCACACACATCAGTGGCGTACTCTCTGAGCTAATGCTTGATTCCTTCCCATCCCTTACACACACGTGAATCATAACTGAGATAGGGAAATCAAAAATCATGTCTGGCTGGGTGCGGTGGCTCATGCCCATAATCTCAGCACTTTGGGAGGCCGAGGTGGGAGGATCACTTGAGCCCAGGAGTTCATGACCAGCCTGAGCAACGAAATGAAACCCTACCTCTACAAAAAAAATTAAAAAAAATTAACCAGGTGTACTGGCACGTGCCTGCAGTCCCAGCTACTCAGGAGGGTGAAGCAGGAGGATCGCTTGAGCCCAGGAGGTCGAGGCTGCAGTGAGCCATGATCACACCACTGCACTGCAGCCTGGGCAATGAAGTGAGACTCCATTTCAAATAGAAATCATGGTTTACTAGGAAAAGACTGGTGATTCCTACTACCATCCTGCACAGGTCCATGTCTTCAGAGATGAGACTTTTCTGTTCATTTCCTGAGGTTTCTCAGCTTACTTTCCCCCTACTTAAAATAAAAAGAACAAAAACAGCCTGGCTATACAGTATAGTTGTTAAAAGCTCAAACTGGAAAACTTGGGTTCAAATCTTGGCTCTATCATTTATTAGTCCCTTGACCTTGGGCAAGTCCCTAGCATTTCTATCTTTTGTGAAATGGTAATAAGGTTATTTTGCAGAAAATGAGATGATACCTGAACAGTGCTGAGGATATGGTAAGCACACAGTAAATTGTGGTAATTATTAGCATTGCACTTTCTAAACTGAAAACTAAAGAATCTCCAAACCGGAAGAAATCTTTCTATGATAATTTGCTGTAAGGTTAAAGGCTGGTTGTACTAACCTGATATTTTTCTGAATCCCCACATTCAAGAACTGGGAATTCTGGATATTTATACTTTTTTTTAGAAACAGCATATATTAATTCACTGACAATGTGGAGAATCCAGTTTGAACCTATCAGAAAAATCAGAGAATAAAAACTCATTACGGAGTCTTGATATAACAAAAGGACGTTACTTTAGCATATACATGATAAAAATTAAAATCTACAACCATTCCCTGATGTGTATATTTAGTTCTTCTGTCTTTGAAATAACTTGGGCTATGGAAAGAAATGGTTTGATTGAAAACAGCATTTACCTATAATTAGTATAAAATTCAACTGAGAACAGATGGCTCCTTTAACAAGGGACAATGCTTCATTTTGAATCTAGAATATGTTTCTTATAGGACAATGTTATGTTATAGAAATAGTTTATTATAAGTTGTATATATTATTTTACATTAAATTAATATGTATTTTCTACAGGAATCTATAATTTTGATTTTATGAAAACACAGCATCAGTTAAGAAAAAAAGATATTAAATGAGGTTGGCTTTAGTAAACAACAGTAGAAAGAATCAAAAGGAGATGGTAGAAAGCAGGATCATCTAGATTCTTCATGTCTTATTTTCCGTTGATGAAGGATCTTTGTAAAAGTGATTTGAGAAACTGATGGAGCAATATTTGATCCTGAAAAATAATTTATAACATGGAAATCATCATGTAAATTATAGAAGTGGCTGTGCTTTTGTCCAGCCAGAAATCAAGACAAAATCACTGCTACTGTCACTGTTCCTTGCCAACTGGACTTTCCCACATTCATGCTCCTCCCTTCCAGGCCCGTCATCCACCCCCTTCTGCCCTCCATCCTCCATCATGGCCTTTCCGCACAGAGCTCTTCCTTCAGACACTGGAGTTTTTTAATCTAGCAGTTCTATTTACTGATTTTACAACCTACGTACTTAACCACTGTGGCCCTCCTCCTCACTGATGCTCAGACAGATTCCTGCAATGAGGAACCGCCTTCATCCCACCTTTGTCTCATACCCTCCCCAACCTACTCACTATGAGAAGTGTACTTGTAGGAAACGACTTGTCATTTACCGCACTTTGGATAAGATGCTAGCACGATGTCATCATGTCTGGCTTCGAAGGTGTCCAGCGCTTGGAAAGTTTCTGAGGTGCACATGGTGATGGGGTAAGGAATCCCCTGATAGGTGAAAAATAAATGAGAGAGTGCAGTTTCTTTTGATTTTTCTAAAGCTTCGTCAATGTATTCAATAAATTTGGATTTATCAGCCATGGTGGCTCCCTGTAAAAGAACCTGCTCTGTGGCTGTTCAGGGGGAGTGATTGCTTTTAATGGAGTTGGGCAGGGGCTGGAATAAAGGGCTCCTCCCAGTCACATGAAAAAGAAATCATTTAATTCTCATCCACCCCTCCCTCACTATTACATATCCTCCTGGGAAAAGCTAAACCACAGGTGCAAAACAGGCTGAGGATCAGGGAATATTACCCCAAGGGCTGATTACATGACCATTTCGGCAACCTGCCCAATGAAAGTAAGAATGGAATATCCTAATAGAAGAAAATATATATTAAATATCTAACAAATAGGTATTTAATCAGGCATGCAATTTTTCTATTAGAAATTCACAGAATGAAACCTCAGTTCTCTTCTGGGTTGATAGATTTCCACACATATCCTCTGTGGTGTGAAAGGAAGCAATGGGATTGTGAGGTAATTTGGTGGGGTGGAAAAGAGACCAGATTTGGGGGCAGTCTTAGGCACTCTCATTTACTGGCTCAATAGATACACAAGTCTAAAGACCTGAGTTTGAACCTTGACTCTACCATTTACTAGTTGTGTTACTCTGAGCTAATGATAATATATCTCTAAAAGTTTATGTAAAATTGTTAACAGTGGAAATGTATCTGAGTTACCCCATATGGGTCTGCAGTAACCTCAATTCTTGCCTCCTCAGAAGAAAGAATTGACTGAGGATGTAAGGCCGAAAAAGAGACTGAGGCAAGTTTCAGAGCAGGAGTGGAAGTTTATTAAAAGCTTTAGAGCAGGAAAGAAAGGAAAGCACACTTAGAAGACACCCAAGTGGATGACTTCAAGTACAAGTGCAAAATGTTTAACCTTGATGCTAGGCCTTCATAGGCTGGCCCACTTCCAGCATCTCACACCACTTTCCCATGATTCTTCCTTTAGGGTGGGCTGCCCTCCTTACCCCAGGGAAGTAAGCATGTGCAGTGTGTTTAGGAAGCTGTACACATGCCCATCTGAGGCTTTCTTCCCTTTTCTAGTGTAGTGCCCCCAGAAGGTCATACTACGTCATTGTGTCTCTTAATGCGTGTGCGGGGAAGGTGCTTCTCCCTGGAACATTTCCTAGGGTACGCTCTTTCTCTAGCAGCCACTCTCCCCTTTTTCCTTTGGGTAAGTTGGCCCACACTTCCCATCTCCCAGCAGCTTGGTGTGGCCCTGTGGCTAAAACAGTAAGTTGATGGCTCTCCAATTTTCTTTAGTGCCTTCCCCATACCTGGAAGGCAGATACTGTGTTGGCAAACCAGATTTGCTAATTCGGAGGAAAGCAGCACTCCAGGGGGTGGCAGACTAACAAGACAGAGGAAGCCAGCTTACTGGATGGCCTTGAGAAAGAGAGCCACCCTCCCATGACTCACACTGTGTAACAGGCCTCGTTCTGACCTGTATGTGAAAGAGCATAATTGTTCATCTTGTTTGAGCCACTGAATTATTGGAGTCTCAACAATTACAATTGCAATTACTCAAAAGTTATAGCAGTTTAGCCTATATCCTATCTGGTACATTTTCTGGGTCATAATTTACTCTTTGGCCTCTTGATAAGTCAAATATCTATAAATGTAGACTGTATATTTCTTCTTATTTCTCTCCCATTCTCTTCCCCACATCTTTCTTCTTATGCTTCTTCCATTTTTCTAAGAAGGTAATTTTTTTCACTGTATTTACCTTTCTCTTAACCAATGTTAACCAGTGAAGAAGATGACTTCTAGTTATTCTTAGTTACCAAGCTGTACTGTCATTCATGTATCAGTTAAAAGGGTAGCTAACATTATTGAGTACTTGCATGTACCACATCCCCTTCCAAATTGCTAAGATTACAGGAACGATCTGATGTAATTTCCTAACAGCCTTATGAAATGGGTGTTGCTTTGCTACCTTTTGCAGTTAGGTTAATTGAGGCCACAGGGGCTAAGTGGCTTCTAGAAGACGAGAGGTGAGGGTTGGCGGGAGGAAAAGCAGGTTTTAATCGGAGAGCCAGCAAACAGAGAAGATGGTGAACTAGTGTTCTAAAGTACCACCTTAAATTTTAAAATTGACCATAGCGTTTTTAAGGGGGAAATGTATGGGAGACATTTGGGAGTGGTACAGGATGCAGGGTCTGTATGTCTTGTTTCAACGGATATCTTGGGTAATTGCCTGTTTGGAGGTCTGGCTGGCATTATCTTGATTTCAGCCCAATGGTAGTGGAGAAAATGTTTGCGACTCCCCCTAAGCACAAGGATTCTGTAGTTGGGGCTCTGCACTTGGTTTGTTTCAAGATTAGCTTCTGGAATTTTTTAACCAAGAAAACAATTAGATAAACATGCATTGCCAGGGGAGAAGGTCTAGAGAGGGAAGGAATGAAGGGGTAAGAGGGGAGGGAAAGAAAGTGAGTGATTAAAAGATATTTTAAAAGCTGGGGTTCCTGGTTACAATTGCAGAGTCAGGATTTGGAGGGGCTAGGGTTGGAACGCAGGCAGTACAGCTAAGTCCAGGCAGAAAGACACTTACAATGAGATCTCAGAGGGCATAGGTTTAATTGTTAGTACCAGTGAATTCTTTGGTTCTTCTTTACCTGCTATGAGAAACAAGGCCATGGCATTTTTCACTGCAAAAAAAAAAAAAAAAAAAAAAAATCTTATTTTCTGAGGAGAGAGATTTTTAGGACCACAAGGGCAATAAATTTCCTGGGTTCTAGTGATGCAGGATGGCACATCCCCGCCTGGGCCTGGCTCAGCCTGGTGCCCCAGCCTGCCTATGTTATAGCTCATTCAGTCCCCTGCCTACTCAGGCCCATAGGCTCCACGGCTGGCCCAGCCTGGCTGCTGCTTTCCATTGTGTGGGTTGGCTGCAGGCACGAGCAGGAGGCAGAGGATCACAGTGTTACAGCCTTTTTTGTACCCACATTTGGCAGATCGCAAGTTCTTGTCCTGCATTCAAGAAGAATGAGGTTATGCTGAAAACCAAAGAGTGAGAAGGGCAGAGAAGAGTTTTATTGAACAATGGAACAGCTATCAGCAGAGATGGGAATCAAACAGCGTGGTCTGCCACCCTAAGGCAGGTAGCCCCCTTAGCCTGAAGGTGGGTACGAAAAAAACTGTAATACTGTATCCCCCACCCTTCACTGGTGTAGGGCAGCCGCCCCACATGAGGGAAGGAGTGACAGGGCCAGGCCAGCCCAGGAGCAGCAGCAGGGAGTGGAGCAATGGGACTAAAAGAGCTGTTAGCATGCTATAACACCCGCTCTGGGGATTGGGGTTGCTGGCATCCCTGTTTGGGTGTCACCATGTTCCCCTCATGCAGACACCATTGCCCAAGGTGGAAGCAGGTCGTGGCATGGCCGGCCCAGCAGCGGGCTGAGTGTGGATCCCACCGCAAGCACTGGATCTAGGTGGGAGTGCAAGCAAGTACAGCTGGTTGGGCTGGGTGCCTCCTGCAGTGTTGCTGGCATTAGAGGTTTCTGGCTGGTTAAGCAGCCAAGAAAAAACCTGCATCACTAAAACATTTTATTTAATAACAGCATTTTGGGACAAATACTATATTCAATATATATATCAATTGTAAGATGCATTCCTATTTCTGAAATGTAAACATATGTAAACATATGGAAACAAGTACATCTTGGAATTGAGGAAATTCTATATGTCAACAGAAAGTGAGAGGCAGGTGGTGGATGTGTGTCAGTACTTTTTAATCTCCATTTTACAGAGGGGAAAGAACTGACCAGAGAGGGTTCCTAGCTAGGCACAGGTATCCGGGTTTCATTATGTAGGTGAATATTTATTTTTTAAAGAAGCAGTATGTGAAAAGGTAAAATCAGAATATCTGAATATCTTAGTATTTTTATATTTCTATACATCACTCCCACTTGAAGGCCTTCTTGCCTTATATAATAATGTGATGATATTAGCTGTAGTTGCAAAGGTGTATTTAAGAATTTCCCTCCCCAAAAATAAAAGAGGAACAGGACTGAACTCCTTGCCAATCTGCTTAGCGGGATTATCCCTTACATTACAAAAAGTCTTTGTTTCCCTCTGGTCAGGTAGAATTTAAAACATTGATTCAAACATAGTTGTTGTTTGCTTGCTTGCTTCTTAGTGAGTAAAAAACTTAAAAAGACAATGGGTTGGATCTTGTTCTGACACTAATGCCTGTAATTATAGGAGGATTTAGGAGGCTCTTTGGGATTGGTAATGGGAACTCTGATTCTTAGTTTGTCTAGGCTTAGGTCAACCTGTTAACCTTACAGTTCTACATACTCAACTCTGAGTTGTCTGGCAAGCATAATGGAGGGAGGATACCAGCCGTGAATAATTACAGAATAACCTGTATCGTGTGATATGTTTGAACTGTCATACGTATGAGTCCAGGTGGGTCTCATGTTATATGAAGTCCTAGCTTCTTTCAGCTCCTTGTGTCTTACCCATATTGGAGATAAATTACCGCAGACCTATCAGGCTTTGCCAGCTGTGGCCTGGCTCAAGCCCCAGAGGCAGCTGCATGGGAGGCTTATTTAAAGTTTCTTTCCGCCTGGGTGTGGTGGCTCACACCTATAATACCAGCACTTTGGGAGGCTGAGGCAGGCGGATTGCTTGAGCTCAGGAGTTTGAGACCAGCCTGGCCAACATGGTGAAACTCTGTCTCTACTTAAAAAAAAAAAAAAAAAAATTGCCAGGTGTGGCGGTGCGTGCCTGTAGTCCCAACTACTTGGGAGGCCAAGGCAAGAGAATCGCTTGAATCCGGGAGGCAGGGCTTGTAGTGAGCTGAGATCGTGCCACTGCACTCCAGCCCGGGTGACAGAGTGAGACTCTGTCTCAAAATATAATAATAATAAAATAAAGTTTATTTCCTTGGCATTAAAGACACCATGCCCTCTTACCTTCTTTTCCTTTGTTTTTTTCCAGTCTATAGACATTTACCAAAAAAAAAAGAAGAAAAAGAAGAAGAAGAAAAAGAAGAAGAAGAAGAAGAAGAAGAAGAAGAAGAAGAAGAAGAAGAAGAAGAAGGAGAAGAAGGAGAAGAAGGAGAAGAAGGAGAAAATATGAAAAGAAATGTCTAGGCTTTAAGGTGAAGATGGGAGAATGGACAGCAAACCTAGTACATATTTGTTAAAGTGGAGGTCCCTATGGCCACTACAGAAGACTGGGATTTTAGCCTGCTTCTGTGCTTTGGAGAGAACTAGCACATCTTTCTAGTCATTTGCATCCCTCTACCAGAGTTAGTAAATCAGGCTAGGACCAGGAAGGCACTGTCGCTAAAGGACCCTTGGTAAAAGTTTCTACTGGAGTCTACACTTTTCCTGCTCCAAACCTTCTGGCCAAAATGTGTCTTATCTCAAAATGTCAAGCTTTGTGCAATATCGTTATTAGTTTATATATATTTTCCTGCAGAAATCATGACATTTCTATACAATTATTTTAGTCTTTCTTATAATTTCTGTTTTTTCGTGAAAGAAATTTTATATTTATATAGTTATATTTGATGTAGTTGAAGATTCAGTGGTTAGTTCTCATCCACATTGACTGTCTGTAGATTTTTTTTTTTTCGAGACAAAGCCTTTTTCTGTCACCTAGGGTGGAGTGCAGTGAGATCTTGACTAATTTTTTGTATTTTTAGTAGAGACAGGGTTTCACCATATTGGCCAAGCTGGTCTTGAACTCCTGACCTCAAGTGATCTGCCCATCTTGGCCTCCCAAAGTGCTGGGGTTACAGGCATGAGCCACCGTGCCTGGCTGACTATCTGTAGATTTTTGAAAGTGGTAACAGGTACATAGGTAATCAAAGTACAGAGCTTATTTGGTGAATCTTCATCCTCATTACATCCTCTGGACAGCTGCACGCGGATACGGTACGGGACATTCCTTATTCCTTTGGCAAAGACAACTTTATTGAGCCTGGTATCAATGCACACATCTGGAGTTCCCATCTCCTTCATTGCAAAATTTCCGGATCTCTTTGAGTGCCTGAGGGACATGCTTCTTGAAGCCCACTCTGTGGATGTGCTTGTGAATGTTGGTGTATTCTTGGGTCATCACCTCGTTGATGGCAGAATGGTCCATTTTCTTCTTGCCACTGTTCTTTGCAGGAGCCATTCTGCTAGGCCCAAGTTGGTAAAGCTTGTTATCATTTCTTTAAGCTTTTTTTCTCCTCTTTTCTTTTTTTCAATCTGAACCATTCCAATGACCTTTTCTTCTTTCTCCTTCCTTCCTCCCTCCCTCCCTCCCTCCCTCCCTCCCTTCCTTCCTTCCTTCTTTCCTTCCTTCCTTCCTTCCTTCCTTCCTTCCTTCCTTCCTTCCTTCCTTCCTTCCTTCCTTCCATTTTTGAGACACAGTCTTACTCTGTCGCCCAGGCTGGAGTGCAGTGGCACGATCTTGGCTCACTTTAACCTCTGCCTCCTGGGTTCAAGCAACTCTCCTGCCTTAGATTTCCGAATAGCTGGGATTACAGGCATGCTCCACCTCACCCAGCTAATTTTCATATTTTTAGTAGAGATGGGGTTTCTCCTTGTTGGCTAGGCTGGTCTTGAACTCCTGACCTCAGGTTATCTGCCCACCTTGGCCTCCCAAAGTGCTGGGATTACAGGTGTGAGCCACCGCACCAAGCCCCAATAGCTTTTTCATCTTGCTTTGTCATCCTGGTACTTTTAACACTGATATTCTGGTATTTCAAACCAATGTAGTGGAGCCTTGCTATATGGTCTGAAAGTTTTTGTTCTCCCTAAATTCATATGTTTTTCACAATTTATGATGCTTTAGTTACACAGATGAACCACATGGGCTGGACTAGGGGTGGGGCGGGTGTTAGGAAAATTGGGGCAATCACAGAGCACCTTGCAGAGGCACTTCCTTTACTTGGCGTGGACAGAGTTAGCTCCAGCTATCACCCCTTCTCTAAAACCTTTACAGATTCCTCGGATTAGAAGCAAGGCCCTTATCATTGTGTACTTTCCATCAGTTATTTGTGGTAAATACCCCTAACTAGACTAGAACTTCGATGAAGGTAGATCTGTGCCTGTTTTGGGTGTTCCAGGCTTTGTCTTGCACACGGTACTTCAATATACTTTTATATTCTTTTTCTCTTCTCTGTTTCCATGTCCCCTTCGCGCTTTCTCAAGTGTTACTTTGCAAACGAATTCTTTAGGGATCTGGCTAAAATGCAGTTTCAGATTCAGTAGTTCTGCATTTTTTTTTTTTTGAGACAAAGTCTCACTCTGTCGCCCAGGCTGGAGTGCAGTGGTGCGATCTCAGCTCACTGCAACCTCCGCCTCCCGGGTTCAAGCGATTCTCCTGCCTCAGCCTCCCCGGTAGCTGGGACTACAGGCGCATGCCACTACGACCAGCTATTTTTTTTTAAACGTATTTTTAGTAGAGACGGGGTCTCACCGTGTTAGCCAGGATGGTCTCGGTCTCCTGATGTCGTGATCCTCCCATCTAGGCCTCCCAAAGTGCTGGGATTATAGGCGTGAGCCACCGCGCCCGGCCTAGTTCTTCATTTCTAACAAGTTTTCAGGTGATGCTTATGTTGGTAGTCCTCTGAGACTATCACACTTTAAGTTTCAGGGTGTTAGAAAAACGACCCAGAACAGGCTACACGTAGTCAGTTTCCTGGGTTTAAATGTGAATTCTGATTTTACTAACTGCGATTGTGGGCAGTGTAAGCCTCTTGCTTTCTCCGTAAAATGAGATACACTCAGCACCTGTTGCATGTGTTATTGCGAACATTCCGTAAAATAATGTACATAGAGGGCAGTCAGGTTCGGGTCGCGGTCAGAGTACAATTAATAGTAATTACGAATGTGGGGGCGGAGCCGACAACGGAAGGGGTGGAGCGTCGCCAACCGTTGCGCATGCGCAGTCCCCCTTGAACGCACCTCAGGTAAGACTCTGGCGAGTGGCTTCCCATGGGCGGTCGGATTTCGGGGTCCCTAGTGCGACGAGAGTGGGGCGGTCTTCTGCGTGGGGCCTCGTCACAGTTCTGGGGGCATGTGGAGGATAGTCAGGTGTCACTGCCTTAATTCACTGGAGGCGAGTGTTTCCGGGTCGCTAGGCGGCCGTGGTCTGGCGGCCGGGCCGTGCTCCGTGCGTGCCCGCGCGTGTCGCCTGCAGGCCCGGGCCTAGCGTTCCGCGGGCTAGGGGAGAGCTGAGGGCAGCCGAGGGCACCAGGGAACCGGGGGAAGCGGGAGCTGGGTGGGACCGCGGCAGGAGCCGGGAGCCGGGGGAGCGGAGGCGGCCAGCTCTCGGCCTCTGTTGAAAAGTCGTCCTCTGCACAGCTAGGCTGGGAGAGACGTTGCTGCTTGAAACCGCGTAGCCTGCAGACGCTAAGCTGGGAGGCCGCCCCGATTCCCTGGAGCGCATCCCGGGATAAGGGGCTTCCGACCCAGCATTGCACATTTGGCTTGAGCTTGTGTCCCCGAGTCAGCGTCTCAGCCCCGTGTGATGTTAACTGCATGACACACAGCCCTGCGCCGAATCTGTCAGAGGCGGCTTCGTGTTAAACTTCACCTAAACTTCCCGGAATGATGCCTTTCCCTGTGCCGAGAAGGCAGGCGCTGGTCTGCCGTGTCTCCCTTGCCGCAGCTAGTAAACCTCACTTCTTTGTGGGTGGACAGGTGTATCCCTGGTGGTCTGTAGCAAAGGAACTTGAAGTTTTATCAGCCTCCTGAAGCCGAGAGCCTCAGTGCAAAACGTATATGTATTTTTAAAAAGGTAAATACTTTGTTGTACGGTGTTATTTGGAGGCAGCTATGCTCACCACTATACACCAAGGCAGCCGTACAGTATTATTCGCACTTTATTTTCTTTTCTTTTAACCCTGGCCTACAGATGGACTTTATTTCTTAGCACCACCCTCTCTTAAAACAAAATTTTACTTCGATTCCTTGAATAATGGAACTGGCTGCAGGCGGTCTTTGTTCATTCCTTGAACATTAAAAATAACCCCAAGAGGCCGGGCGTGGCGGCACACGCCTGTAATACCAGCACTTTGGGAGGCCGAGGCGGGAGGATCACTTGAGGTCGGAAGTTAGCCTGGCCAACATGGTGAAACCTCATCTCTACTAAACATACAAAAAATTAGCCAGACGTGGTGGCACACGCCTATAATCCCAGCTACTCGGGAGGCTGAGGCAGGAGAATCACTTGAACCCGGGAGACGGAGGTTGCAGTGAGCCAGGATCGCACCACTGCACTCCTGCCTGGGAGACAGCAAGACCCAGTCTCAAAAAAATAAAAATAGGCCAGGCGCGGTGGCCCACGCCTGTAATCCTAGCACTTTGGGAGGCCGAGGCCTGTGGATTGCCTGAGCTCAGGAGTTGGGGACCACCCTGGGCAACAGGGTGAAATCCGTCTCTACTAAAATACAAAAAATTTGCTGGGCCTGGTGGCGGGAGTCCCAGCTCCCAGCTACTGGGGAGGCTGAGGCAAGAGAATTGCTTGAATCCGGCAGGCGGAGGTTACAGTGAGCCAAGATCGCGCCACTGCACTCCAGCCTGGGCGACAGAGCGAGACCGTGTCTCCAAAAATAAAATAAAAAAAAAATAACCCCAAGAGAGGCATCTGTACTGAGCATGACTTACTTTCTGTCAGTCATGTACAGCATTGTAGTGAATGGAGCAAAACAACTGTCCCTTCCCACCACTCAACTGCCTCTTAGTTATATATGAATTACTTTGTAAATTTCTTTGCTTCATTTCTTTTAAATAAGAATAATAAAGTTTTAATCTTTTGGTCCCCAGGGTGATCACATTATTAAAATGAGGGAATTTGGGGGGTGGTGGGGAGGGCCACCTGGTAAGATATCAGCAGAATAATCCTACAAAAGGAAGGTTATTTGATTACACCCACCCTCAGGCATTGAAAAGGGGTCGGAAGTGAATGGAGTAAACACCTGACAGCAGCGAGCTGGGATTGAGAACAAAAGAGCACACACAGGACAATAGAAAAATCTGAAAAACAAGTGGTTCTCCTCTTCTGGACTTTGAGGTTATAAGGAGGCTGACTAAAAACTTGGGTTTACATTAATGTCTTCAGTAAGTCTTATATTCTATTTTCTTAGCTTATCTTTAATTTGAAAAAGAATAATGACACAAACGCTTTTTCCTGATTAGCTTTTAAAGGAAGACAATCAAGATCTAACCGGTCTGTAGTTTTGCCACTTAACTGGTTCATCACCCAATCAGTTTCCATCCCCTGCCCCCATTTGTATAAAAATTACTGCGTGTCTGCGAAAGGGCAGATTACTGGCTCATGCCTGTAATCCCAGCACTTTGGGAGGCTGAGGTGGGCGGATTGCTTGAGCTCACGGGTTCGAGACCAATCTGGGCAACATGGTGAGACCCTGTGTCTACTAAAAATACAAAAAATACAAAAAAATAGCCAGGCATGCCAGTGGTCCCAGCTGCTCGGGAGGCTGAGGTGGGAGGATTGTTTGAGCCCAGTGAGCTGAGATTGTGCCACTGCACTCCAAATGCCTGAACTATGGCACAGTTTAGTATATGTTGTATTAATAGTTTAGTATATGTTGTATTATTAGTATGTATCAGTATATAGGATATCTATACTATCTATAATATATAGTATATGTAATAGTGTATGTTGTATTAATAAATGAAGAACTCCAGCCCTTTAGAAAGTGTAGAACCACTTGAGAAAGATCTTACTTTTGTACGGCACTTTACAAAGAGCTGTTTATATATTGTATCCATTTAGATTATTTCTTAACTCCCAGTGCAGCTAAAAAATTATCTTCCCCATTCTGTTTTCCTACACAATTAAATAATTTTAGTTCCGTAAATTGTTCTTTTTACAACGCTTTCTTGCATTTTCTCTCTTTCCTGTGCTTTATCCAATTTTGTCTTTGGTTCATCATGCCCCTCAGGCATGGAGTTTGAAAACTAGGTAGATAGGATGTCTAAACCAAAAAAGTATACCATAGTATTGGTCTTACTCCCATACAGAGAAGCCATTCAAACTGTGGGAATGAATTTGAGTTATTAGAGAAATGATAATAGTAGTTTAAGTATGTTCATTCAGGTTTACACATATCTGTTGTTAAATTTAGGATGGCCCGTACTTTGGAACCACTAGCAAAGAAGATCTTTAAAGGAGTTTTGGTAGCCGAACTTGTAGGCGTTTTTGGAGCATATTTTTTGTTTAGCAAGATGCACACAAGCCAAGGTAATCATAATTCAGAAGTTAATGCTTTCTAAAGGGGTATAGTTTTGCTAATCCATTTTATGTGTTAAATGGCAATGGCATGTTTGGAGAAATTGGTTCTTCAGATTCAAGATATTAGACATTTTTAGGGGCAGAACAGGAATCAAAGTATTCATTATTGTGGACTAGATCACTCTCACTTCTCCCTTAAAAATGTTGTTTGTGGGCTAAGGAAAAAATTTCATACCTCCATGGATTTTACTATTGTGGAGGATATAGCAAGTGTCCTTGGTCTGGCTTAGTTTGGGAGCACAGATGGAGGAAACTTAGCCTGCCCATTATACTTCATTGTTTGGTAGACTAAGAAAGTAACTGGTATTGCTGTTTTCTGAGTAACCAGTTTTCTCAGGCTATAGTATTCTTCCTGGGCATCAACAGTGGGCACTAAGACTTTCACATGCTATGGCCGAAAGTGCTTTAACATTTTTCTTGGGGAAATTTTATATTAGAGCTCTCAACTTTTTAAATTAGGAAGTGATTTTTCCCTAAAACAGGGAATAGACCTGGCATGATAGCCATCTTTGAAACTTGCCACAGTCTTCCTCAGCATACTTGGTTGGAACGCTGTACCAAGATGCTACTGGATACTCAAAAAATCCCTTTTCTTTTAAACTCTAAGGAAGGGTATTAAAAAAACATCCCAACAGTATTTAAAAACAAATTAAAGCTTGGGATCAGTTTTAAAAAGTGTCATGGCTGGGTGTGATGGCTTGCACTTGTAATTCCAGCACTTCGGGAGGCCAAGGTGGAAGGACTGCTTGAGCTCAGTCTGGGCTAAACATAACAAGACACTGTATCTTAAGAAAAAAAAAAAAAGTGCTGGGCATGATGGTGTGCTCCTGTAGTCCCAGCTACTCGGGAGGTTGAGGTAGGAGGCTCCCCTGAGCCCCATCCCAGCTACTTGACCTTGGCTGACGTAGGAGGCTCGCTTGAGCCCAGCCCAGGGGGGTCTAGGCAGTGGTGGATTGTGACTGTGCCACTGTACTGCAGCCTGGGCAACAGGGAGAGAGATCCTGACTCAAAAAAACAAAAGGAGATCGTTCCTGGATTACCAGAAAGACCTTCAAACAAATTTCTAATCTATATGGTTCCCATCATATGGACCCTAAAGCTAGCATTAAATTGTGGCTGTGTTAATATAATGAATTTCTGTTCATATCTAATTTCAAGACATCCTTTTTTCCATCAGATTTCAGGCAAACAATGAGCAAGAAATATCCCTTCATCTTGGAAGGTATGTTTTTCCTTAAGTAAAAATAAGTATAAAACAACTTCTTCAGGTAACCTATAAATTATGTAGTAATTTCTTTACAAGGAATTTCTAACAATACTATTCACATGTATTTTAGTTCTTCTGAGACTAAATTCTCATCTATTCTAGTGAGAGGAGAATTAGGTAATGGGCTGGATTCTGAATTCTTCTAGTGGTTAAGAATGTAAACTCTGGAATCATTCATATATGAGGTGATAGAATCAAACCACAGTTTAAACCTTTGGTTTTAAAAGATCAGTTTCATCTCAGGTTTGCTAACTTCTTGGAGCTGTCTCTTTCTCTGTCAAGTAGATAAAGACTGAACAAGATGACATCATGTAGTTAGACGAAATAGTGCTCATTACAATGATCAGAGATGCCAGGACTTATATGTGAAGTCTGTAATCCTACTGTCCTCTTTTTCATTTTGTTATGTAGCAATATGGAAAAAAGAAGTTGTTTTTTTCAATACATTTAATTTTAACAATGCTTCCACATGACTTTATAAATGAGAGCTATTTTTATTTATAGTTTATTACAAATCCACTGAGAAGTCTGGAATGTATGGAATCAGAGAGCTAGATCAAAAAACATGGTTGAACAGCAAAAATTAGATGTAAGTAGAATTTTAATCTATAATTTACATTAATAACTCATTTCCTTTGTTTTTTAGTTTTTTGAGTGGTTTTAATCCTCTTCTTTTTAAAATGTTTCTTTTTCTTGATGATACTTTTTGCATCTCTGTTGTGTAGCCAGTCATCACGTTCAGCCTCCCATCTAAGCTGTTTGAGACCTTTGAGAGAAGAAGAAAAGATGAGTGTACTACCACACTGTAGACTCTTGGTGGTCCCACAGAACATGCTGCTGAGTCACAGGAACTTCTAGCCTGCCTTGGCCTGTGGTTTCCCACCCACTATACAAACCCACTGCTTGTTTGTTGCTTTTCTTCTCATATTTATTGTCAAAGATAAATGTTTCAAAAAGAAATGACTAAGGAAGGAAAAGAAACAAATGCTCTAAAGATTTTCTCTCCCCAAGCACTTTTACTGGTGAAATAAAAACCAGTAACAATCAATATGTAAAAACGGCCCACTTCCCTAAAAAAAAGTAATTTTTGTAGTCTGCAAGGTTTTTTTTTTTTTTGCTTTAGTCTAAATACTTGTTAATCTTACATGTTCTCCTGAGAGAAGAAAAAGCCATTCCTTTCAGGTTGTAAAGTACCATGAAAAGGTCTTTCAAAAATATTCCTATCAGCCAGGCATGGTGGCTCACACCAGTAATCTCAGCACTTTGGGAGGCCGAGGCAGGCGGGTCACTTGAGGTCAGGAGTTCGAGACCAGCCTGGCCAACATGGTGAAACCCTGTTTCTACTAAAAATACAAAAATTAGCTGGGCGTGGTGGTGCATGCCTGTAATCCCAGCTACTTGGGAGGCTAAGGTAGGAGAATTACTTGAACATGGGAGATGGAGGTTGCAGTGAGCCAAGATCATGCCACTGCATTCCAACCTGGGCAAGGGAGTGAGACGCTGTCTCAAAAAAAAAAAAAAAAAAAAAAAAAAAAAAAAAAAAAAAAAAAAAAAAGAATAAATAAAATAACGAAAATTTCCTATCTTCTGAAGTTCCAAGCCAAAGCTATTTTTAAAACATCAATAAAAAAATTTAAGTTACTTACTTGCATTATCTTTGTTAGCCATGGCATTCATGCCAATGTTATCAAACTTGGATCCCATATTTTCATCCAATAGATGGCCAAACTTTTAAACAAAAACGATAAATTTATTAGAAAACTAAAAATAATGTAGAATAGCTAGCTTGTTAAAACAGTACATTAGCCTTACCTCTTCAGCAGATACAAATAGGCTGGAATCATTTAAGTTTCTTTTCTTTTTTCTTGGCCCTAAAAAAAATTGTAAGTCTACATTATTCAATTATAAATCTAATGATTTTAGAAAAATGCAATGCAACATGATTTTATTTTAAAAATTATACTTGGGTAAAAACAATTGCAATAATCTTCTGGCACCATTGGGTAGCTGGCATTTAAATATAATTTAAGAGTTAGTATATAATATTTTCAAAAAGCTAACAACATCCTAATAGAACTGTTCAGATGACAAGAGTGTCTTCTTGCTTTTCAGATTTGGCCACTGATCGAAGTTTTACCCATAAGGGAAATAACATAGTATCAAGCAATAGTAAAATTATCAGTTTGACATGGATGGGTTTTGAAATACTTAAGACACAACATAAAATTTAGTTCAGGGGTCTTTAGATTGTAAAGAAATTGACTGAAAGTATGTTTATTATGCTATAAATGAAGTTGTTTATAACAGCGAAAAAGGTTCTCCTTTAAAAAAAAAACTTATCTGTAGTACTGAATATATAAACTTTTCCTGAAACAATTATTCAAACTCTGCATCTTTGATATCAATGTCTCTAGCAGTAGTAGAGCCATATTTTAAAAAGAGCTTTACTAAATACAGATCATAACATTCAGCTGTTTTAAGTGTATTAACGCATTTTGGTAAATTTACAGACTTGTTCAACCACAACCACAGTCTGATTTTAGAACATTTCCATCAACTTCAAAGATCCCTGGTGCCATTTGTAGTCCTCCAACCCATCTCCGATCTATCTTGTTTCTATGACTTGCCTTTTCTGGCTATTTCATATAAATGGGATCATATGACATGTGGTTTCCTATATCTGACTTTTTTCATTTAGCATAACG
The DNA here is from genome assembly GCF_000001405.40 of Homo sapiens. Lineage (NCBI taxonomy): Eukaryota > Metazoa > Chordata > Mammalia > Primates > Hominidae > Homo > Homo sapiens. The sequence goes on from NC_000002.12 coordinate 37,203,843, forward strand.
TTTTTGAGGCTCATCCATGTTGTAGTACTCCATGCCATGTTGTGGGCTACATAATATTCCATTGTATGGATATACCACATTTTGCTTATCAGTTAATGGACATTTAGGTTTTGTCTACTTTTTGGCATTAATAGTGCTGCTGTGAACAATCATGTACAAGTCTTTGTATCAGAGCCACTTTTGATAAAATAGTTTCTAAAACATTTCATCTTGATTTTTATTAAGGTGATATGTATGTTACTTAACAGCTGTATAATACACATTTGCATGCATTAGGAAGTTTTTTTTGGGTTTTATTCATCCTGTAGTGATGTATCTGTGACCTCAACGAGTAGGCACTTCTGTACTGTACTGGTTTCTTAAAGTTTCTTTTATCCCGCCCCCACCCCCAACCTCAGCCTCAAGTATGTAACACCATGCCTGGCTAATTTTTGATTTTTTTTTTTTTTTTTTTGAGACAGAGTCTCGCTTTGTCGCCAGGCTGGAGTACAGGGGCGTGATCTCGGCTCACTGCAACCTCTGCCTTCTGGGTTCAAGCGATTCTCCTGCCTCAGCCTCCCAAGTAGCTGGGCCTACAAGTGCATGCCACCACGCCAAGCTAATTTTTGTATTTTTAGTAGAGATGGGGTTTCATCATGTTGGCCAGGATGGTCTTGATCTCTTGACCTTGTGATCTACCTGCCTTGGCCTCCCAAAGTGCTGGGATTACAGGCGTGAGCCACTGCGCCCAGCCATTTTTGATTTTTTGTAGAGATGGGGTCTCATTGTGTTGCCCAGGCTGATTAAAGTTTCTATAAGGTATGTTTATTCTTAAGGATATCTACTCTAACACCTGTAAATGTAGGGTGATCAATTAGTAAATTAATAAATCTGAATCAATTAATAAATCTGTTTAAAATTCCTTGCCTCTTTTTGTTTCAGTCAATTCTGTTGGGTATTCTTTAATCTGCATCCAAAACTATTATCAATTGAGATCTGAAATCCTTTCAGGCTAATGTCTTCTGAAACAGTACTTTACTATTTGAAACAAGCTCAGAGCATCTTTTTTAACATTAAAAAATTTTTTTCTTCTCCTCAAATTCCTTTTACCAGCATCTTTTAATAAAAGGCTCAGTAGAACTTGAAGTAAAGCAACACTTTTCTGTGGGATGCTTTTGAGAAAAACTGCCTATATCTCATCTTATGCTAATACTAAAACATGATCTTAGATACTCAAGGGAAGACAAAATCTGGAAGATAACGTGTTATAATTTAAATATGTATCAGTTAAATCATAGTTATTACAGGACTAAGAAATTGACAGCAGTATTTGAAAGAGCTGATAAAATTTTGTAGGCGTGAGGCTCTGAAAGACTACTACCAATATGTAAATGAAACTTTTTGTCAGGCCTCTGAGCCCAAGCTAAGCCATCATATCCCCTGTGACCTGCACGCACACATCCAGATGGTCGGTTCCTGCCTTAACTGATGACATTCCACCACAAAAGAAGTGAAAATGGCCTGTTCCTGCCTTAACTGATGACATTATCTTGTGAAATTCCTTCTCCTGGCTCATCCTGGCTCAAAAGCTCCCCTACTGAGCACCTTGTGACCCCCACTCCTGCCAGGCAGAGAACAACCCCCTTTGACTGCAATTTTCCTTTTTTCTACCCAAATCCTATAAAATGGCCCCACCCCTATCTCCCTTCACTGACTCTCTTTTCGGACTCAGCCCGCCTGCACCCAGGTGAAATAAGCAGCCTTGTTGCTCATGCAAAGCCTGTTTGGTGGTCTCTTCATACAGACGCGCATGAAACTTTTTAAAACATTATTATTATTTAACTTTGCAGATCTATTTTTAGTCATCAGTATTTAGCAGTAAGCAGAAGCCAGAGAGGCACTGGAGGCAAAGTATGTACAGTGCTTTCTACATTTTTATCAAAAATCTTAAGACTGTCACCTGATACAGCACTTTTTTCTTTTATTAGCACCTTGTGTTACACTGTGAAGCAGAATCTTGTAAGATAATACTTTTAAAAATGTTAAAAAACAATTAGCAGAAAGAAGAGTTCGTATCATAATAAAGGAGCATGGATTATTGCAAGGGTCAAATGGCAAATAATGGTTGAGAAAAGAAAAAGATAACAGGTGTCTGAAAAATGCAAGGCTTTTATAATTGAATGGTTTAAAAATGAATGAGCAGAGATTAGCATGTGAATCTCTGGACTAGGTAAGGAAGATCTGCATTCAAATGTGAGTGGGCACCATCCAATCTGCTGGGGCCCTGGAGAGAACAAAACAAAGAGGCAAACATGTTGATCTGCTGTGCTGAGGAGGAAAATGGCGGATAAGGGGACAGGACTAACGTGCAGCTCCCACATGGATGGACAGAACAGCGTGTGGCAACGTGTTTAGTCTCCTTAAAAGGTATCCAACAAAACTAAGCTTCCTAAATGAAGGAGAGATATCTATGCTGAGAATTCACCACTACCAAGCCAGCACTATAAGAAATGCTGAAAGGAGTTCTAAATCTTTGTTTTTTGTTTCTTTTTTTGAGATGGAATCTTGCTCTGTCGCCCAGGCGGGAAGGCAGTGGTGTGATCTTGGCTCACTGCGACCTCTGCCTAATGGGTTCAAGTGATTTTTGTACCTCAGCCTCCTCAGTAGCTGGGATTATAGGGGCTTACCAACATGCCCAGCTAATTTTTGTATTTTTTGTAGAGATAGGGTTTTGCCATGTTGGCCAGGCTGGTCTTGAACTCCTGACTTCAGGTGATGCCCGCCTGGGCCTCCCGAAGTGCTGGGATTACAGGTGTGAGCCACTACACTCAGCCTAGGAATTCTAAATCTTGAAACAAAACCTTGAAGTACACCAAAATAGAGCCTTCTTAAAACCTAAATCTTACAGGGCCTATACAATAACACAATGAAAAAACAACAAAATCAAAGTATTCAAGCAACAACTAGCATGATGAATAGAATAGTACCTCACATCTCAAATACTACGTTGGATGTAAATGGCCTAAATGCTCCTCTTAAAAGATACATTTGGACCACCAACCAAGAATCTGCTGTGTTCAGGAGACTCACGTAACACATAAGGACTCACATAAACTTAAGGTAAAGGGGTGGGAAAAGATATTCCATGCAAATGGAAACCAAAAGCAAGCAGGACTAGCTATTCTTATATCAGACAAAACAGACTTTAAAGCAACAACAGTTAAAAAAGACAAAGAGGGACATTACATACTAGTAAAATGATTAGTCCAACAAGAAATGTCATAATCCAAAATATATATGCACCTACCACCAGAGCTTCCAAATTTATAAAACCATTACTACTAGACCTAAGAAATTAGACAGATGGCAACACAATAATAGTGGGTGACTTCAATACTCCACTGACAGCCCTAGACGGGTCATCAAGACAGAAAGTCAACAAAGAAACAATGGACTTAAACTATACCTTAGAACAAATGGACTTAACAGATACCTACGGAACATTCTACCCAAAAACTGCAGAATATACATTATTTTCACCAGCACACGGAGCATTCTCAAGGATAGACCATATGGTAGGCCACAAAACAAGTCTCAATAAACTTAAGAAAACTGAAATTGTATCAAGTACCCTCTCACACCACAGTGGAATACAATTGGAAATTAACTCCAAAAGGAACCCTCAAAACTATATACAAATACATGGAAATTTAATAATCTGCTCTTGAATGATCTTTGTGTCAACAATGAAATCAAGATGGAAATTAAAATTTTTTGAACTGAACAATAGTGACACAACCCATCAAAACCTCTGGGATACAGCAAAAGCGGCACTACATTTAGTAAGTTCACAGCATTAAATGTCTACATCAAAAAGTCTGAAAGAGCATAAACAGACAATCTAAGCTCACACCTCAAGGAACTAGAGAAACAAGAACAAATCAAACTCAAACCCAGCAGAAGAAAAGAAATAACAAATATCAGAGCAGAACTAAATAAAACTGAAGCAAACACTACAAAAGATAAATGAAACAAAAAGCTGGTTCTGTGGAAAAATAAAGAAAATCGGTAGACCATTAGCAAGATTAACCAAAAAAAGAAGAGAGAAGATCTGAATAAGCTCAATTAGAGACGAAATGGGAGATACTACAACCGATACCACAGAAATACAAAAGATCATTCAAGGCTACTATGAACACCTTTATGCACAAAAACTAGAAAACCTAGAGAAAAATGGATAAATTCCTGGAAATATACAACCCTTCTAGATTAAACCAGAAAGAAATGGAAACTCTGAACAGACCAATAACAAGTAGCACGACTGAAACAGTAATAAAAAAACTGCCAACAAAACAAAGTCCAGGACCAGATGGATTCACAGCTGAATTCTATCAGACATTCAAAGAACTGGTACCAATCCTACTGAAACTATTCCAAAAGATAGGGAAAGAGGGAATCCTCCCTAAATCATTCAATGAAGCCAATATCGCCCTAATTCCAAAATCAGGAAATGACATAACAAAAGAAAACTAGAGACCAATATTCCTCATGCACACAGATGCAAAAACCCTCAACAAAATACTAGCTAACCAACTCCAACAGCATATCAAAAAGATAATACACCATGATCAAGTGGGTTTCTTGCCAGGGATATAGGGCTGGTTTAACATACGCAAGTCAATAAATATGATATACCACATAAACAATTAAAAACAAAAATCATATGATCATCTCAATAGACGCAGAAAAAGCATTTGACAAAATCAAGCATCCTTTATGATTTAAACCCTCAGCAAAACTGGCATACAAGGGACGTACCTTAAAAGTAATGAAAGCCATCTATGATAAACCCATAGCCAACATTATACTGAACAGGGAAAAGTTGAAAGCATTCCCCCTGAGAACTGGAACAAGACAAGGATGCCCACTTTCACCACTTCTATTCAACATAGTACTGGAAATCCTAGCCAGTGCAACTGGACAAGAGAAAGAAAGGGCATTCAAATCAGTAAAGAGGAAGTCAAACTGTCACTATTCACCGATGATATGATAGCATACCTAGAAAACCCTAAAGACTCATCCAAAAAGATCCTAGATCTGATAAATAAATCCAGCAAAGTTTCAGGATACAAAATCAATGTGCGCAAACCAGTAGCATTGCTATACACCAACAGCAACCAAGCTGAGAATCAAATCAATTACTCTACCCCCCTTACAACACCTGCCAAAAAAAAAAAAAATAATAATACTTAGGAATACACCTAATCAAGGAGGTGAAAGATCTCTAAAAGGAAAACTACAAAACACTGCTGAAAGAAACCACAGACACACACAAATGGAAACGCATCCCATGTTCATGGATGGGTAGAATCGATATTGTGAAAATGACCATACTGCCAAAAGCAATCTATAAATTTAATGTAATTCCCATCAAAATGCCATCATCATTCTTCACAGAACTAGGAAAAAAAATCCTGAAATTCATATGGAACAAAATAAGAGCCTGCATAGCCAAGCAAGACTAAACAAAAAGAACAAATCTAGAGGCATCTCATTACCTGACTTCAAACTATACTACTAGGCTATTGTTACCAAAATAGCATGGTACTTGTACAAAAACAGGCACGTAGACCAATGGAACAGAATAGAGAACCCAGAAATAAAGCCAAATACTTACAACCATCTGATCTTTGACAAAGTAAACAAAAACAAAGTGGGGAAAGGACACCCTATTGAACCATTGGTGCTGGGATAACTGGCAAGCCACATGTAGGAGAATTAAACTGGATCCTCATTTCTCACCTTATGCAGAAAACTCAAGATGGATCGAAGACTTAAAGATAAGACCTGAAACTGTAAAAATTCTAGAATATAACATTGGAAAAACTCTTCTAGACATTGGCTTAAGTAGAGTTCATGACCAAGAACCTAAATGCAAATGCAACAAAAACAAATAGATGGGACTTAATTAAGCTAAAAAGCGTCTGCATAGCAAAATAAATAATCAGCAGAGTAAATAGACAACCCATAGAGTGGGAGAAAATCTTCGTAAACTATGCATCTGAGAAAGGACTAATGTCCAGAATCTATAAGGAACTCAAAAAAGTCAGCAAGAAAAAAACAATCCCATCAAAAAGTGTGTTAAGGATATGAACAGACAATTCTCAAAAGATATACAAATGGTCAAGAAACATATGAAGAAATGCTCAACATCCCTGATTATCAGGGAAATGCAAATCAAAGCCACAGTGCAATACCACCTTACTCCTGCAAGAATGGCCGTAATTTAAAAATAAAAAAAATTTCAGATGTTGGCATGGATGTGGTAATAAGGGAACACTTCTACATTGCTGGTGGGAATGTAAACTAGTACAACCACTATGGTAAACAGTATGGAGAGTCCTTAAAGAACTGAAAGTAGAACTATCATTTGATCTAGCAATCCCACCACTGGGTACTACCCAGAGGAAAATAAGTCATTATATAAAAAAGACAAACACACAGATTTATAGTAGCACAATCTGCAATTGCAAAAATATGGAACCAACCTAAATGCCCATCAACTAATGAGTGGATAAAGAAAATGTGGTATACATATACCATGGAATGCTACTCATCCATAAAAAGGAGAGAAATAATGGCATTCGCAGCAACCTGAATACAGCTGGAGACCATTATTCTAAGCGAAGTAATTCAGGAATGGAAAACCAAACATTCTATGTTCTCAGTTATAAATGGGAGCTAAGCAATGAGGATGCAAAGGCTTAAGAATGATATAATGGACTCTGGGGACTTGGGGGGAAGAGTGGGAGGCAGTGGGGGATAAGAGTACACATTGGGTGCAGTGTACTGCTTGAGTGATGGGTGCACCAAAATCTCAGAAATCACTACTAAAGAACTTACCTATGTAACCAAACACCCTACCTGTTCCCCAAAAACAACTGAAATAATGATAACAAATTTTTAAAAAGTGAATGAAAAGATGATCCAGAGATATCTGAATGCGAGAAACAATTCAAAATGTGGAAAATAATTTCCACTTAACATCTTTCTTAAAAAGAACCCCCCCCACCCCTGAATTTTATTAATCAAATTTAGGAGAGTTCATTTCCCAAAATGATAATGACACCTTTCACATGGACACTGCTTTTAAAAGATATTAAATGTATTTTCTTACCTTGAAATGAGCCAGCAAAGTCAAAATCATCTGTACCTTTTCTCTTGCTTTTCTTAGTACTGACTTTGGAGTGGACTTCAAGTTCTGTTACACGAAAAAATTTGCTAATAAGCAATTTAAAAACAATAAGACTGGAAAATATTACTCCAAGATATGCTAAAATCTTTATTCTGATGGTAAGGCACTATACTGCTATTCCATGTGGGTTTTGTAATTCCACTAGCATAGGCTTGAGGACAGACTGAGAAAAAGACTCTAAGAATTGGCACAGTTCTAATATTTTGTGCAAGTACAAAATTTTCTAAATAGCTTCATTAATAAGACCAAATAATATAAAACCCCTTAAAACAAGAAACTTCTGCTGTGGTTCAGAATAAGTAAGAAGAATGTTGGGCAGGCATGTGCATGCTGGAGGTATGTGAAAGGACAGAAAGGTCAGACAACAGTCTAGAGACAATTCTGGGTGTTCCTTGCTAATTTACAAGATAAAATATTCACCTTCATCTATGCTGGGCTATGATGAATACTGATTAACTTTTATAAACTGCTAATTACTATCAAAAAATGGCAGCATTTCAGCTCAACATGTATTGTACAGAGAAGCTAGCTGCTGGTTAAAGTAAAAGTCCAAAGCTCAAAAAGCTGCTTAAAAGAAAACACACATAACACACAATAAAAACCCTTCAGCTCCAAACGAGAAGGGAAAAGGTCCTTTTAAGTTTCTGGCTGACATGAGTATTAATTTGAATACAGGGCTATATTAAAAACCTTTAGCAGAAAAACAAACTTAAGGCTAAGGAAGTGAGGAAGACACAGTTTATGTCTTATTTTAAAAAATGCTTACCTGGAACGCTCTCACTTTCATCATCTAACACATCCATGAATGTTCCTCCATCTTCATCAACTTCAGCAAATTCTTCATCATCCATACTTCCTAAAGAAACTTCATCGTCATCCAGGTTACCAAGTTCATCATCACTACCTTCTGAATCTTCATCTAATGTGTTATCCTTAGCTCCTTTTGTTCTCTTTTTCACGTTTCTGGAAAAAAACACAACTTGTAATACAAGAGGAGGCAGTATTTTCTAAAGTAGTGTTTTGCTGACTACTAGGGCAGTAGGCTATTAAATGACTCAGAAGGAGAAAGCTTTGCAGACTGCTCAGAGTAAATAATAACGTGCTTTATAAATGTCAAAGATGAAAGTACTGTATCCACTTCCCAAACTTACTTGACTACATTTCCCCTTTATCATATAGTTCTGTGGTCTACTGTTCTGAGGGACAACAATTTGGGAAATGCTAGAAAAATAGGAAGGAGAAGATAGAAGTATGTTACCCAGCAAAATCCATATCATCCTTTCCAGAGCTGAAACAGTTATCATCTTCAAATGTGTCTGCCAGACAATACAGAAATGTGAGATACAACAAAGAATGACAAGCTTGACATATATCTTGTATCTGAATCAATTATTCTAAGTCATGATTCTGCTGTTTATGACAAGTGAACACCAAAACAATGTAAATGTTACTGTTGCTAGTGTGCCTTAATAATGTATACAAACCTGTGAAATACTGATCTTAGTTAAATCCCAAAACTAAAGAAGGATCCAGTTAATTTCGGCTCTTTCTACAGTTCTTTTATGGAAAGAGGATAAATATCAAATAAAATGATATTTAGCAATTGTCGTCCTTTTTACTCTATTAGAACTACTTAAGTGCTCATTTTTAATAGGTGTGATACAATATGTAACATCTCATGCTTGTAATTCCAGCACTTTGGGAGGCCGAGGTGGAGTGATCATCAGCCTGGGCAACACGGCAAGACCCTATCTCTATTAAAAAAAAAAAAAAAACAAAAACAACAACAACAAAAAAAAAAACAAAAAAAAAACGAGCCGGACATCATGGCATGTACCTGTAGTCCCAGCTACCCGTGGGGCTGAGGCAGGAAAATCGCCTGAGCCCAGAAGGTCTAGGCTGCAGGGCTGCAGTGAGTTGGGATTGTGCCACTGCACTCCAGCCTGGGAGACAGAGAGAGCCTGTCTCAAAACAAACAAACAAACCCCCCAAAAAACAACAACAAAAAAATATGTAACGTGAAATCAGTGTAAGTCTTTCCAATTTACCATGTTTTTTGTTTAAGTCTATTAAGTTTCAATCAAAATTTCTGTAGCTCTGTGGATTAAAGATAAAAAAGATCAAACAGTAGACTATTGCTATCAATTAGTACTGATATACTATAATAGATTATGAATAGTAAAAAGGATTTCTTTTTCACATGAGATTTGGCTGTAACAATTGAATAGACTTAAGCAAATATAAATGTTTTCTTATATAGACTATCCAAAGCACAAATCATGTATTTTTCTGGTGCAAATGTGGGTGAATTACCATATATCATAAAAATATTTGTTTCTTTTGTTTTTTTTTTGAGACAGGATTTCACTCTGTCACCCAGGCTAGAGTGCAGTGCCGTAATCTTGGCTCACGGCAACCTCTGACTCCTGGATTCAAGCGATTCTCGTGCCTCTGCTTCTCGAGTAGCTGGGACTACAGGTGCGTGCCACCATGCCCAGCTCATTTTTTGGGGTTTTTAGTAGAGACAGGGTTTCACCATATTGGCCAGGCTGGTCTCGAACTCCTGACCTCAAACAATCTTCCTGCCTCGGCCTGCCAAAGTGCTGGGATTACAGGTGTGAGCCACAGCGCCTGGCCCCAAATATTTCTTAATCTTCCACTGTGATTTGCATGATATTCTTAGCTAAGTGATTTTTTAAAACTAAGGCCACTTCTCCCACTAATGTTCCATGGTCTATTAACACATAGTAGTAGATTATTTTACAAAGAGTCAACAAAACAAATTACCAATCAGCTCTTCAAATTCTTCATCATCCACGTCTTCTATACTTTCTTCATCTGCATCCCGTTTTTGTTTCTCTTTAACAGCAACTTTTTTATAATACCTATAATATTCATGTTATATATTTGACAATTTTATTAAAGGTCTAATCTTACTATATATCATCAAAGCACCTATGACCAGTGGCAAACCACAACTGTAAAATCTTAAGTATACTCAATTGGAAATAAATGACTGAAATTTGTATCTAATATACAAAAAATAGTTTAACTCAATAAAAAGTAGCTGGAATCTTTTAAGTGTAATACATTTCAAAGATAATATTTTATCAGCCCTATTCTTATATTAGAATACAGCAAAACTTAGCCATTTACAGATGTAATCAAACCCTCAAAATTATTCATTCTAAATGATTTTAAAAAACAAGCCAAATCAAACCTAATTAACCAGTCAACCAGATGAGATAAGAGGTACTTTACTACCCTAAGGCATTAGGTTATGATACTAGTTGGTTTAGGACTTATTTCTATAACAGTGCACTGAATCCATTCTAAGGGCCATGGTCTGGATAAATTACCCATGAGTTATCACTATATTAAACTTAAAGTATTATATTAAAATCTATATTAAAGGTAGATTTTAAGCCTATAAAGAAAATTATTATAAAAGGAAATTAAAGGCTAAATTCCAAAAAGAAGCATAAAACAAAATTTATATGCTAAATTAACAAAACTCCCAAATTTACTTTAGTTTTACTAAGATATATTAAGATTAGCAAAATGACGGATTTGTAAATTTTCTTAACAAACACAGACATATCCTTTGATCTTTTCAAAATATGCTGATTAGATTTCATAAAATGAAGCATTTAAAACTAAGGCCACTTCTCCCACTAATGTTCCATGGTCTATTTACACACAGTAGTAGATTATTGAAGTAGATTATTTCATAAAATGAAGCATTTTATGAAATCTAAAAATTTAAATTTTAGCAGTTTCCCCAAATGAAACTATATTATGTATAGTACCTGTGGAAAAACACTTCATCCACTGGTATTTGGCTTTCTTCTTTTGCAAGGAACTCCTTACTGTTCACTACAAAAATAAATTTAAACATTTTAACTTCATATAGCAATCCCCTTTATGTTACTCAAGCTCTTAAGACAAAATACAGCATAATCTGTAATTCTAAAAATCTCAGAATTGTGTGGGAAGGTAGACAGAAGGGACTCTGGAGTGCAAGGGACAATCTCTGAAAAAGTCTGTGTGAAGACCCCCCCAACATTTGAAACTTCACTGGCTACAGCATAAAGTAGGCAGTACATAGCTGTCAGTGCCGTTACAGTGAAACAACAGGGTTCTCTTACTGTTCTTCATTTGCATCCAGGACCCAACTTTCAAGAGAAATAAAAAATTCAAAGAGTTATTTTAATAAATAATCACTTTAAACTTGTCATTTTCAGCTCAAAAAATGACAAGCTTGCCATTAATGCGTGCCATTCTGGGAATAAACAGGAAGTTAACAGAGTTTTCCTTTATACTGAGGAAAACTAAGAAATAAGGAACTACAAGAAATCAGTTTTACCTCTTCAGAATAAAAATTGCTGACTCATCCTGAGTAAAAGGAGATTTGGCTTTTAATTCTAACTTACTAACTGTGGGTAAGTCCTTTTACATCTCTGGACCTCTGTGAAGTAAGTCACTGGAAATTAAATGATCTATAAGGTCTAATTTAATCCTGGTCTCTGAACAAAAGGGAGATGAGATCTGGTATGCAAAGAAATGTCTGCTTTGAATACAACAACAGACTCAGATCCAGAAGATGGCTAGCAAATATAGAAGTAGGTTATTAAGTTTAAAATGATGCTCTGTGACAAAACCAGCTGTGGGTTTTTGTGCTGCTAAGCTGATATTAGAGAGCTTTAAGATGGTCTGAATTGTAAGCAATAATAATTATATACATAGGGGTTGTGGATGAAGCTACGGATGATAAAATGGTGACAACTGTCAAAGCTGGGTGATGGTAATGGGGAGGGGGTTCATCATACTATTTTGTTTATTTTGGATATGTTTCAAATTTGCTGTAATAAAGTTAAAAAAAAAAAAAAAAAGGCCCAGTCAGATACAGTAGATTTAAGAATACCTATTCTTGGGAAAAAAGATGGATAATGTCTTTGATGCTCAGGTTTTATTCTGATAAATTAGAACAAAGAATAATACAATTTATGCATCTTTGTCTTATATTGTCTTTTCAGTTTCAACTGTCTAAGGTTTATACTTACCAGGAAGATGACGAATATCCTTAATAAAATGTTTTCTTTTCGGCTGCATCACAACACTATCTGTGTTTTCTGAAATGTAAAATTATGACAGTATAATGCAAAACCTAGTTATAAGCTCATATTGTTTATTATGTATTAAAAATGAAAGCCAAATAATTCACTAAATAGAAGCATACCTTTGCCTTTATGGGGCTTTGGATTTCGGTATACAAATCGATCCAAAAATCTCATTAGAGTGAAATCCTGCAGTGGGTCCCCTGAATACTGAATATAGTTTCCCTGAAAAGTGGAGCGGGGATTTAAAAACTTAATTCAAATTATGTCTATGAATCCAAGTAAGAAAAAGGAAGAAAAAGATAATTTCTATTACACTGTATTGAAGATACAAATATGCAATAAATGACTCTTCAAATATCTCTCTCATGCACATTATACTTAAAAAATTAAACACACAGATACATATACATACATATTCTAGGATGTAATGTTGATTTGATGGATAGACTAATATTAATAATGCAGGCCATCTAACCATTAATCAGGAACCAAACCCTGAAGTGGCAAACACAGCAAATGGGAAAGTGAGGCAGTATTTCTCCAGGAGAGGAGCTAGAAGGTAATAAATAAATAACTGCGTGGCTTTCAATGTCTTATTGCTTCCACTCATCTCAGAGTGGGAAAAGTTATCTGCTACTCTGTATGAAACAAGTCACTGCTTCTTTATACGAGCAGTAAAATGTACAAGATTCTCTCTGTTAGAGAAAACACTGTATGACCAATTATTGATTATCTAAAATGATACTTTTTTTCTTATTTCTCATCTTTGGATTTATTTTAGACTCACCTGAAGGATGGTCTTTGCAAAAAGGGCCACGGAGGGATGAAAATGCACAGATAACTAAAAAGAAAAATGTGAATAATATCAATATTTCTAAGGTCGACTCTTAGTACATTTATAGCTTATTTAAGAAAATCGGGCTGGGTGTGGTGGCTCACACCTGTAATTCCAGCACTTTGGGAGGCTCAGGCAGGCAGATTGCTTGAGCCCAGAAGTTGAGACTGGCCTGGGCAATATGGCGAAACCCCATGTCTACAAAAAGTACAAAAATAGTCAGGGTGTGATGGTGCGCGCGTGCCTGTACTCCCAGCTACTCAGGAGGCTAAAGTGGGAGGACTGCCTGGGCCCAGGAGGTCGAGGCTGCAGTGAGCTGACATGGCACCACTGCACTCCAGCCTGGGTGACAGAGTGAGACCCTATTTCAACAACAACAAAAATGAAAATGCAAAAATTTGAAATTTAAGCCAATACATTAAAAAAGTGATTCTCAAAACATATTGGTCTCAGGACCATTTCCTACACTTAAAAACCAAAAATTCCATCAGTTTCTATTCAACAGGTTTATATCTACAGACACCTATGTTATAAAAATAAACAGAAAAATTGTAAATACTTATAGGTCCATTAAAAATAACAATAAAGCGGCCAGGCGCGGTGGCTCATGCCTGTAATCCCAGCACCTTGGGAGGCTGAGGTGGGCGGATCACGAGGTCAGGAGATCGAGACCATCCTGGCTAACATGGTGAAACCCCATCTCTACTAAAAATACAAAAAATTAGCCGGGCGTGGTGGCGGGTGCCTGTAGTCCCAGCTACTCGGGAGGCTGAGGCAGGAGAATGGTGTGAACCTGGGAGGCGGAACTTGGAGTGAGCCGAGATCGCGCCACTGCACTCTGGCCTAGGCAACAGAGCAAGACTCTGTCTCAAAAAAAAAAAACAAAAAACAAAAACAAAAACCATAAAGCTACTACATACTAGTAAGTAGCATATTTATGAAAAATAATTATGCAGCCAGGCGAGGTGGCTCATGCCTGTAATCCCAGCATTTTGGGAGGCCGAGGCGGGCGGATCACGAGGTCAGGAGATCGAGACCATCCTGGCTAACACGGTGAAACCCCGTCTCTACTAAAAATACAAAAAATTAGCCAGGCGTGGCGGTGTGCGCCTGTAGTCTCAGCTACTCGGGAGGCTGAGGCAGGAGGATGGTGTGAACCCGGGAGGCGGAGCTTGCAGTGAGCTGAGATCGCACCACCGCACTCCAGCCTGGGCGACAGAGCAAGACTCTGCCTCAAAAAAAAAAAGAAAAAAGAAAAAAAGAAAAATAATTATGCTTCAGGACGAAATATATAGCGAGTAGTATTACTTTACAGTTTTGCAAATCTCTTTAATGTCTGGCTTAACAGAAGAGAGTGGATTATTTCATCTGCTTCTGTATTCCACGTTGAAACATACAATCTGGCCTCATGTGTAGAAAATAGTCTTTCACATAGCTGTGAATTTTCTTCTTTAGTACTATACCAAAACCAAAGATTAGTTGTAATATGGAATCTGAAACCCATATTCAATTGGCTTTTGGTACTTGCTACTTAAAATTATTTGGTCTACTTTGAATCAATCATTTATTCACTCAAGAATTTGTAACATTCAGGTGGCACAGTGGCTCATGCCTGTAATCCCAGCACTTTGGGAGGCTGAGGTAGGTGGATCACCTGAAGTCAGGAGTTCGAGACCAGCCTGGACAACATGGCAAAACACTGTCTGTGCTAAAAATAAAAAAATTAGCTGGGCATGGTGGCATGCTCCTGTAATCCCAGCTACTCAGGAGGTAGAGGTTGCAGTGAGCCGAGATCGCGCCACTGCATTCCAGTATGGGTGACAGAACCTTCTCGTTTCAAAAAAAAGAATTTGTAACATTGTGCATTGGTCATTGGAAAAATACCATATGCAGTCCTTCCAAACACTGGCACATTTCGTTATACTTTACCACAACAATCACATTGTTAGAACCACTGATTTCATCAGAAAAGTTTTACAAATTGAGAAACTGTCAAGCTCAAGGTGGTGGTTACAAGATTTTTAAAACTTTAATCTTTGCTCGAAAGCTTTATTTTTGAATTTTATTGCTGACAACAAATACTGCCAGCTTTTTTGTTTCATTCATTTTCAAGAAAATATCTCCCAAATACCTAAGCCTGAATAACCAGTTTGTCAGTCTTTCATGAAAGAGCAGCTAGATGAGCTTGCAACAACTGGTAAGCACTTGTCCTTGAGACACGTGACAACCTTCATGCTTTAGGTAGGCAGCACAGGTATGTTACGCATACTTGCTATGTATGCACACGAAATACTAAAAAGACATGTTACTTTAAGGTCAAGACACTAAAATCAGTAATTCTCCCTGTGTCATCATTCTTAAGTCATACTGGCTTTTTTTTTTTTAACTGCACATATGTGGCAGTGATGAATATAATGGCTTCTGATGCAGCTTGGTGCTGTCTTTATTCAGGATAAGCTGCAGCAGTTTTACCTATCATTTCTTTTATAGTATCAGTGCCACCGTCAACACAGTGATGAAAACAAATAATGTACTGGTATTACTATGGAAAGAGCTGTGACCTGGCCGACTCACTAAAAAGGTATCAGGAACTCTTAGTGGTCTGGCCGCACTTTGAGAATAGCTGCATAAGATACTTACTGGCTTTACACAAAAAGTCACAGAAAGGTTATTAAAAATATGAATTCCTCTTACAAATTCAGAAAAGTAACTTTACTTGCAAAAAATTTTATCATAAAACTTTTCAGAGGTATCTAATAAATAAAGCAAAATTTATCCATTTTCTCAACTCTATATGCAATAATCTACCTACAAAAAGCAACAGTCATAACCCATGCATGACATCCTTATTTTACGTGCACACTTAAGATTTTCTACAAAATGAACACTTCACATAGTATCTTCCCCCAAATGTGGACTTTTAATGTTTATTAATGCTTATAATTATCATAAAAAAACAAAAACTTCAAGGCATTACATCCTCAAGGGCAAAAATATACAGCATAGGCCGGGCGCAGTGGCTCATGCCTGTAATCCCAGCACTTTGGGAGGCTGAGGCAGGCGGATCACAAGGTCAGGAGATCAAGACCATCCTGGCCAACATGGTGAAACCCCGTCTCTACTAAAAATACAAAAATTAGCTGGGCGTGGTGGTGGGCGCCTGTAATCCCAGCTACTTGGGAGGCTGAGCCAGGAGAATGGCTTGAACCCGGAAGGCGGACGTTACAGTGAGCCACAATCATGCCACTGCACTCCAGCCTGGTGACAGAGGAAGACTCTGTCTCAAAAAAAAAAAAAATATATATATATATATATAGCATAAATGAATAAAAGACAATTTGAAATTATTTTACCTTTTTGAGTTCCCAAAGACTTGTATTTTCAGCTCCACAGAACAGAGGGTTTCTACTGAATGGATCGTATTTATTTAACTGTTTCCCACCTAGGAATAACAAAAAAAATACGATTTCTCAAATGCTTTCTTCCTAGCCCAAGAGGTCATTAAAAGCACCACCATTAATATTCTCAACAGATATCTCCAACATTCTTACTTAGCCAAGCAACCTAGATTAAAAACTCTGAGCTCCCTCAAGAATTTGTCTTGGTACTTAAGCTAGCATCTGCTCTTGAATAAAGCAGAGAACATGTTTATCCCAAACACCAAAAGCTTTCTTCAAGGCCAGGTGCAGTGGCTCACACCTGTAATCACAGCACTTAGGGAGGCTGAGGCGAGTGGATCATTTGAGTTCAGGAGTTCGAGACCAGCCTGGGCAAAATGGTGAAACCCCATCTCTTACAAAAAATACAACAAAAAAACTAGCCAGGTGTGGTGGTGTGTGCCTGTAGTCCCAGCTATTCGGGAGACTGAGGTGGGAGGATCACTTGAGCCCAGGAGATGGGAGTTGCAGTGAACCAAGATCGTGCCATTGTGATCCAGCCTTCCTGACAGAGCAAGACCCTGACTCAAAAATAAGTAAGTAAAAGCTCCCTTCAAAACTTCTCCTTTGGCTGGGCACAATGGCTCATGCCTATAATCCCAGCACTTTGGGAGGCCAAGGTGGAAAGGCTGCTTGAGACCAAGAGCTCGAGACCAGCCGGTGCACAGAGTGGGATTTCGTCTCTACAAAAAACACAACTAGCCATACCTGGTGGCACGAGCCTGTAGTCCCGGCTACCTGGGAGGCTGAGGTGGGAGGATCGCTTGAGTTCAGGAGTTTGAGGCTGCAGTGAGCCATAATGGCCCACTGTACTCCAGCCTGGCCTGGGTGACATAGTGAGACCCTGTCTCAAAAAAAACAAAAACCAAACCAAAAAACCCCAAACTTCTCCCTTTCCTAAATGGCAACAAAAGGTGCCCATTTTGGGGCCAAAGAGGTGGAAACGTTAAGATGGAAATAATCTGAAGATGAACTAGGTCTAAAGTCTTTTGGAGCTTTAGAGTGCTTCAAATATTTGTCATGAAAGTATGCCCAGAAATAATTCTCACTTGGAACAGGTCTGACATTATCTTCATGTTTTTAGAAACTCAGGATTAAAAAAATTTAAAACAAAGATTTTTCAGAACAAACTAGGAACTGACTACCTTCCAACACACAAGCTCTTCATCCTTCTAAAGGATTATTCTCAGTTTAGTCTTCAGGGGAACTGATGGATTCTTCTCAAACTTTTCTGGCAGCTATCAGACTTCTCTTTTGTACTTCACAAACTGAAATTTGTAGATGAATTAATTTGACTGTGAGTCCCAAAGCAAGCTGAAGAAATGGGTCTGGCACCACATTTCTCGAACCTCAAGGCTGGTGTTTTCTTCACAGCCTCAAATGAAGGGGCTGCATTTCTAAGATTTTTTTTTGACTCTAACATTCTATTAATAGACTTTTAATTTAGTTTGGTGTGTGTATAGAAAACCACTTAACGTTTCTATCTTGAACAGAAAGTTTTCTATCCCTAAAACATTACTTTAAGAAACTGTGGGCCAGGTACAGTGGCTCACGCCTGTAATCCCAGCACTTTGGGAGGCTGAGGCAGGCAGATCACCTGAGGTCAGGAGTTTGAGACCAGCCTGGCGAACATGGTGAAACTCCACCTCTACTAAAAATACAAAAATTAGCCAGGTGTGGTGGCACATGCCTGTAATCCCAGCTACTTGGGAGGTTGAGGCAGGAGAATCACTTGAACCTGGGAGGCGGAGGTTGCAGTGAGCCGAGATCACGCCTCTGCATTCCAGCCTGGGCAACAGAGTGAGACTCTGTCTAAATAAATAAATAAGTAAATAAAATGGTAGAATGCTATTTTCTATGAAAATCAAAGAGAAACAAACTCCCTAGAGAATAAAGATGAAAAAAACTCACCTTTCAAATTATCAAAGTGCACCCAGGAAGCAACCTCTGGTTTTTTGGTTTCTACATCAGTTTCAGGAACTGTTTCCTCTGTCTCAAGTTTTTTCACTATCTCTGTTTCTTTGTCTGCATCAGTGAATTTTTCCATGTCTTCATCATCATTTGCATCAATAAAATTTTCTTCATCATCAGACTCCTAACAAAAGTATAGTTTCATAAATCTACATAAATCAACTGGAAGTTGCAATAAAGTCTGTGCTCCATTATGTGATGCAGAGTTTTACTTATTGCAACTCTGGTGAAACGTGAAAGTTCTAATAAAGTAAAATGATGGCTATCAATGGTATTTAAACAAGAGAGGAGATTACATCCTTATTTCTAAACATAACACAGTTAAGTTTTGAGCTAAGAACCCCTGAGCCTTAAGGACTCTAATACTTGAAAACAATTAGCCCTCAAGTAAATTTCTGACTTGTAAATAACCCTATGAGGTAGGTACTATTATTTCCATTTCATTGTTAAGGAAGAAGACTTAAGAGGTCTACTAAGTTTTATAGTCTTCCAAATCTCATATAATGGTAGCTTCTAGTATAGTACAGTTTATTGCAAGTAGAAGAGTTGAGCAACATGCCCACCTAGTAAACTGTACAGCTGGTACTAAAATCTAGGTTTGTCCTATTCCAGAACTCACACTCATATGCTCCAGAGAACTAGGTTACTGTCATTTGAAGCAAAGAAAAACAAAACAAAAACCAATATATTTCAGCACCCACTCAATTTAAAAAGCAGTTGTAAAATATACCGGATGATCATCTAGTTGGCTTCTTAAACCTGGTTTTGCTTTAAGGATCTCAGACACAAGATATAAAGCTCCACATATAAATGGTGGCATCTGTTGACAAGTAACTTGAAGTAACCTCTTCACAAAAGCCTTCACCCGGCGCAACACAATGTCAGCTTTCAGAGATTTGTAGACAAGGTTAAGAAACATAGCTTGCTTGGAACACGTCATCAACCCTGGATCCAACATCTTCCTGCAAAACAAAACCAAGGTCAAATATTTATGTATAAAACCATCTCCACAACCAATGGTCACATATTAGAAATAGCTACTAACCTCATCTTAGTTAGGGATAACTTTGCTGCTTATTTTAGAACAAGAGACCCTGCCCTAAGAGGTAAGATGGAAGTCAATGACCAGAAAAGGATGATGATGGCACCAGGAAAAACCAACAGCAACAGACACAGGAATAGGCATTTTTGAGTGTGTGGTTTTCTTGTCTTTTCCAAGTGTTTTTCTGTTTTCTATATCAACAGGGCACAGCCCTAACAGTATTTACAGAACCCCACCAGAAAAGCTAATCTAAAACCAGATAGTGAAAACTGACCCATGAAAGCAGAACATTAGAAGATTTGGGTTTTTGTCCTTGTATAACTACCTACTAGCAGGGGGACCAGAGGCCGCCTCTTCATGATTTTAGTGAAGACCATCGATGAACAGCAGAAAATTAAATTCTAAGGACTTCAGAGAATCTCTAGTCCAATGTACTAGCTGTGTAACATTCCTCTCATACACGCTATTTTCACTGCCCAGAGTGCTTCTCTCCAACTCTCTGCATGTCCACAGTATCCAAAATTGGTTCTTCTATTAGTCTCTCAGTCCCATGTTTGTGTTCTTCATAGTTTCACAAACTTGATTTTCCTGCCTTTCCCTCTTCTCTAAAGGTCCAATGAAATAGGGATTATGCCTGTTATTCACTGTTGTAACCCCAGTGCCTGGCAGTTAATACCTTTACATGACAGTTTTCCAAATACTTGAACCTATTTAGCTATTATGTGCTTGTCTCTCCCTAATGTCTGTCTTCTGTAGGCTGCTCTACTTTGATCTCATGATACTTTAAAAATTCTCTATCCTAGGTGCTGAATCCTACACATGTCCCCAACCGGTCTAGACCTGCAGATATTAGGACACCCAGAATTAACACAATCCTCCAGATTAGCTCTATTAACACCTGGAATCATTACTTCCTTTGTTTTAAGCATTTCCATTAATTTTTTCCTACTAACACTAGAAATGAAAAATACTTAAGCTTGTGAAGCACTTTCCTATTGCTCTGAATACTCTGGGAAATATCACCCTTTTGGTAATATTCTGGGATATTCTGGATTATTCAATTTTCTCTCTTTACATTTAAATTTTCCCTCTTTACATTTAAATTTTCCAACATTTCCATCCATTTTGCAATTTATTATTAGGCATAAATTACATCTCACATCAACAGAAACATCTGAGAAGAATTTAGAGACATGTCTCTATCATTTCATGAAATATTTTCCTAATGTTTTGATAAATATTTTTGTAAACCAAATCATGTCATTTCTTTTATCCCTCAATTAACTAGGGGTTTTCTTAATGTGAAGGATTCCTAATAAAACCAAGAGCAAACAAACACTTTAAGAAGGCCTAAAGGCCTGTTAAGAAACTCCATCTGTGAGCGCTTTTGGCAAATAGTAATTTCAAAAACTTAAAAATCCACCCTTCCTCAGAGATGTTAGACTATGATGTTAAATAGAGACAGAAAAATGTTTTCTAATAGATTTCAAACACTTTCTAAAAATCAAAAATTCCTATGACCATCAAAAGTTCAAAATAATGAAACCACCCCCCTTCAAAACAAACAAACAAACAAACAAACAAACAAACTAACAAAAACAAAACTCAAGATCCCGAAACCTCTACATTTTCAGCCTTGGAACTCTTTTCAAATTAACAGTGTTAAGTTATCTATTACTTCAAAGAGTTGTGGAAAGGCTTCTGAGTCTTTTTAGTGGACCAGAGCAATCAGTGCTATGAAATGTCATGAAATCTACAGCAAGTGGACCTGGACTTGCCACCTAACTTGGTCTCTTAATATCTGTGTGACCTTGCCCAAATTATTGTATCTCACAGTGTGGGGAAAAGGAAGAGAGATCAGATTGTTACTGTGTCTGTGTAGAAAGAAGTAGACATAGGAGACTCCATTTTGTTATGTACTAAGAAAAATTCTTCTGCCTTGAGATTCTGTTAATCTATAACCTTACCCCCAACCCCGTGCTCTCTGAAACATGTGCTGTGTCCACTCAGAGTTGAATGGATTAAGGGCGGTGCAAGATGTGCTTTGTTAAACAGATGCTTGAAGGCAGCATGCTCCTTAAGAGTCATCACCACTCCCTAATCTCAAGTACCCAGGGACACAAAAACTGCGGAAGGCCGCAGGGACCTCTGCCTAGGAAAGCCAGGTATTGTCCAAGGTTTCTCCCCATGTGATAGTCTGAAATATGGCCTCGTGGGAAGGGAAAGACCTGACCGTCCCCCAGCCCGACACCCGTAAAGGGTCTGTGCTGAGGAGGATTAGTAAAAGAGGAAGGAATGCCTCTTGCAGTTGAGACAAGAGGAAGGCATCTGTCTCCTGCCTGTCCCTGGGCAATGGAATGTCTCGGTATAAAACCCGATTGTATGCTCCATCTACTGAGATAGGGAAAAACCGCCTTAGGGCTGGAGGTGGGACCTGTGGGCAGCAATACTGCTTTGTAAAGCATTGAGATGTTTATGTGTATGCATATCTAAAAGCACAGCACTTAATCCTTTACATTGTCTATGATGCAAAGACCTTTGTTCACGTGTTTGTCTGCTGACCCTCTCCCCACAATTGTCTTGTGACCCTGACACATCCCCCTCTTCGAGAAACACCGACAGATGATCAATAAATACTAAGGGAACTCAGAGGCTGGCGGGATCCTCCATATGCTGAACGCTGGTTCCCCGGTTCCCCTTATTTCTTTCTCTATACTTTGTCTCTGTGTCTTTTTCTTTTCCAAATCTCTCGTCCCACCTTACGAGAAACACCCACAGGTGTGTAGGGGCAACCCACCCCTACATCACAGACTGGAGAGCTGTTAAGAGGATTAAACTAAAGAAACATGGATGACTATCAGTAATAAGGATAGCCGCCAACATTTCACATAGCACTAAGTGTTAGGCACTGTTAAGCACTTAATATACATAGAAAGATTACATGGGTTAACACACATAACCTCCCAACCTTCATTAAAGCCCCAGTTCTGTCATTTACAAGCTGTAGAACCTTGTGCAAGTTTCAAAATCTTCATAATAATCATATGAGATAGCTGCTTTTCTCTCCATCCTACAGACAAATCCACTTAAGCATGATAACATGGGATGAATTATGTCTACCAATAGGTTTTTAGTGGGGATCAAGTAATTTGCCCAAAATTACACAGAAAACTAATGGCAGGGACTCAAACCCAGGCGGCGTGGCTTAAGTCTAAGATACGAACCACTACTCCACATTTTCTCACAAGATATATCTATGTAAAAATATAAAAATGAATCAGAAGGAAATATATTAATTTCTTGAACACAGTTGCTATGTTCGACTGTCTCTTAAACAGCTCCAAACTGTTTACACATTGCTGAAAATATGATGCCTCAATGGGTGAGTTGCAAAATTCAGTAAAGAAAATCTTCATCTCCATTAAAAAACAACAACAAAAAAAACCCTGCACCCTGCATCCCCCAAAACTCTCTACTTAACATACTTTGTTTACCACCG
Source organism: Homo sapiens (assembly GCF_000001405.40). NCBI lineage: Eukaryota > Metazoa > Chordata > Mammalia > Primates > Hominidae > Homo > Homo sapiens. The sequence continues at coordinate 37,226,981 of NC_000002.12, forward strand.
CTCCCCTCTCTGCCACCTCCTCCAATATGAATGTGAGCGCCTCCAGGGGTGGGATTTCTGTTCGCTGTGCCTCCTGTGCACCTAGAGCATGGCACCATACTGCAGGCACTCAGAAAATACTTGTTGAATGAGTTACTGTGTGAATGCATTCAACTGTGTGAAAGACAGCAGGGAAAAGATAGAGGACTGAGGAGAATGGGAAGACGGAAACTGCAATTATATCTGCAATTTTATTTCTTTAATATCCCAAAAGATTTAAAACAAATATAGCAAAATGTTAATTCTGAAATACTAGGTGGTAGATATGAATGAATCTTTTGGGTATTTTTCTGTATTTTACAACCTCTCAAAATGAAAAATGTATTCAAAGCATCTAATATAATTTGTGCCCATCAGGGAAACAAAGATTAAGTGACTTACTTGAAGGTGGCGAGTAGCAAGCTGCTGAGGGGGCCTAAAACCAAATTTTCTAACTCTTTTTCTTGCCCCACAGAGGGCACTGCTTGTGCTGTACTACATCAAGTTATTATTTCATGTCTCATATTGGAAGGGTATGTTCTTACCTGTATAATGCTGTGTAATATCGATCCGATATTGTCTGCTGAGAATTCATTACTTGGAAAAGCAACATTAAAGCCTGGACACTGGTATTAAAATTCACAATATGCAACACTTTAAACAGTGTGTCAATCTGCTCCCTTACTTTGTCATCACCAGTCTGGGAATAAGGGTATGCCCTATTCACACCTGTTAAAAGGGCGCTAAGCATTTTTGATTCAACATCTTTTTTTTTGACACAAGTCCGAAAAAAGCAAAAGTAAACAGTTATTAATTTGTTAGCCAATTCACTTTCTTCATGGGACAGAGCCATTTGATTTAAAAAGCAAATTGCATAATATTGAGCTTTGGAGCTGATATTTGAGCGGAAGAGTAGCCTTTCTACTTCACCAGACACAACTCCTTTCATATTGGGATGTTTACAAAGTAATGTCTCTAACAGATGGGATGCTTTTGTGGCAATTCTGTTCTGAGGATCTCCCAGTTTATTTACCACTTGCACAAGAAGAGCCTTTTCTTCCTCAGGCTTGTTACAAAGCAGCTCATGAGCCACGGTAAGGGCTCGAGTTTTAGTGGTTACTAATGTATCATGACTTAAAGTTTCTAAGACCTGCACAAATTCAGCCACTAAGTGTTTCAGCTGGTGTTCAAAATACCATAATATCAGTCTTCTATCTCTTGAGTCCTTGTTGCCACTGGACAACTGTTCCAGTTTGTCAAAAGGACGCTGGCTGAAAATCCTCAGCTTCCGATTGTCTGGCAAAAGGTCTGTGATAAGCAACTCTTTGAAAGTATCCAAGGCCATAAGGCACTGCTGTTTGCTGCCCTTCTTTTTAACAAGGTTCACAAGAGTTTCTACAAACTGAAGTGTGTGAACGGCATCATCCTGAATAAGAAGAATCATGGCTGCCATCCTGTCACCTAGTGTCCCCGATGACACAATTGCCTTCATCCAGGTAGAAGAGGCTCCCTTTTGACTATTCGTCTTACTTTTGAATAAGTTGATTTCATGCTGATACAGCTTCTGAGCAAGGGTTTTGTACTTAGATACAACATCCTGAGGCTGGGGTTTCAAAGAATATTCATTGCTGTACTCCAGATCATACCATTTGCCTCCAGGCCTAAGTAACAAAGTCTGTCTCTCAAAAAATTCAAAGATGTTCTGTTTATCTTTCTTTACTTTCGGTGTGGTACTGCCATTCTCATCAGAATGTGGTTCTGGCCTATTCTTATTTTTCACCTTATTAACTGATGTCCTTTGACTTTCTGCTGTATTTTTATTATTTATTTTAGGTATTTTTACTTCTTTTTTGCTGGAATTTTCTTTTTCAGCTGGTTCATCTTCTTCAACTAAGGAAGCTTTTGTATACTTCGCCAAATTAAGATTTTGAATAAATGCTTCCAATTCACCTTGCTGAAGGTCATCGATTGCTCCTTTTTTGCCTCCATCTATCACTTCCTCATTCTCATCCAAAGTAGCCAGCATAAGGTAATCTTGCTGCATTAAAAACATAAGTTAAAAATACATTACAAATGTGAAAAATAAAACCATAAAATAATAGGAAACACAACATAATTTTAAAAATAATTTCGGAACTGGAAAAATCCTTTCAAATTTGACATAAAACTCAGGGTCCACAAAGGAAAGGATAAGTAAATTTCTCTTTCTCTCTCTTTCTTTTACACACACACACACGCACACACACTTTTTATTTCGATATAGGAAAAAAATATAAATTATAAACTGGAAAAAAAATACAAGCAATTCCTATCAAAGTAATTGGGTTTAATCCCTTAATATAAGTTTCTACACATCAGTAAGTGACAACCCAAAAGAAAAATGTGCAAAGGACATGAACAGTTCATAGAAAAAAAGGGTTCTTTAAGAATATGAAAAGATGTTCAACCTCACTGAGGTTTAGACAAATCCACATTAAAACCACAATGATACATCCATCTTTTAATTTATCAGATGAGCAAAGATACACTGCAAGATGAGCAAGATACAATGACAGGTGATGCTGGGGAAGGGGTGGCGGAAACGGCACTTTCATACATGGTTGATGTGAGTGTAAACTGACACAACCTCCATGGAGGACAATTTGTCAACTCCAATCACAACTATTTAATACAAGGCACACATCTGTTGGCCCAGCAGCTTCATTTCTAAAAATTAACTAACTGATTGAGACATGGTCTCGCTCTGTTGTCCAGGCTTGAGTACAGTGGCATGACCATGGCTGAACTGCAGCCTCAACCTCCCAGGCTGAAGTGATCCTCCAACCTCAGCCTGTAGCTGGCACTACACGCCCAGCTATTTAAAAAAAAAATTTTTTTTTGAGATGAGGTCTCCTTATGTTGCCCAGGCTGGTCTCAAACTCCTGGACTCAAGGTATCCTCCCACCTCTGACTCCCAAAGTGCTGGGATTATGGGTGTGAGCCACTGTGCCTGGCTCATTTCTACAAATTTATACTACATATACACTTACAAAAGTGGGGGAAAAACACGATTAAGGTTATTAACTGTAGTATTATTTAAAATAGTGAAAGACTGGCAATAATTTAAATATTCACAATAAATGGCTGGTTAGATAAATTAAGACAGACAAAATGATTTATGCAGCCATAGCAATGACACAGAACGTTATGCACTGATATAGAAGGATTTCTAAGACAGAAAAGAAAGCAAAATGTAGAGATAGGTGTATATATATGGTACCATTTATGTAAAAAAGATACACCCGTATTTCATACACATAAATGAGTATGTATATGCTTGAAAAGGTATATAGTATCCCTGAAAGATATAAAATGCAGTTGTAAAAATAATTGCTTCCTATCAGGGCAATGGTTATGGCTGAGATAAAAGTGGAAACAATTTGACTTCACTATGTATCTTTTAAAGTTTGCACCACGTGTTTCATGTGTATATATTACCTATTCAAAACTTAAATATACACAAGCACAGAGCAAACTGTGAATCTGCCTATCTCTAACTAACTCCTCCACCTTGAAAGTCCAGTCTCCAAACAAAATAATATTAAAAACAAAGTTAATTTCTGTTCCTTATCTGCTTAAAATCTTCCAGTGGTTTTGCATCAAACTCAGAGCAAAAGCCTGCCCTCTGACCCCTCGGCCCTCCTTTCTTACTATTCTCCCCTTAACTCACTCTGCCTCTGCTACACTGGCATTTTGGCTGCTCATGGAATAGGTTAGGCACTCTTCTGCCTGTCTTTGCATTTGCTGTTCCAACTGACTGGAATGGCAGCTCACTCCTTCCTGTCCTTTAGGATTCTGCTCAAACATTTCCGTGATGTGTTTGTCGATCATCTCATTTAATACTAACGCGCTCCCACTCCTTATCGTCCTTCCTTGTTTTATTTTCTTTTATAGCACTACCCCGCGTCTGCTGTACTATGTGTTTAAAAGTTTGTTTACTGTTTCTCTCCCTTAATTAGGATGCTCCAAAAAAGAGGGCTTCTGGGGCATACAGTGACACGTGCATGTACTCTATGAGAACAGAAATGAAAATTCCAATACCACTGGTGTTCAAAACACTCATACCACAAGGTCAGGACCAAGAAAAGCCACTCTCCGACCTGATGGTGTGATGGTTATACCACGTCAATAAAATCAGAAGATCGCCTACATCCTAAGAATAGCCAGAGAATACAACGTTCAATTCGAAACTTTTCTTTTGTAAACAGCAGTGGAAACCGGCGTGGGAAGCGCACCGAACACATGCTTCAGAGGCTGGGATCTCGGTCCTGGACGCCCGCGCTCTACGCAGCGCGGAAGCGGCGGGGCAGTCAGCCTAGCCACCTTCGGAACTCTCCACGCCTGATCCCGTTCCCCGGAGCCCGCGGCCGTTACCTTGGTGCCTCCGAGCCGTAACACTTCCTCCAGGGAGAACCCATTCTCGGCTTCACTAGTATTATCCTCATCCTCCTCGTCCGGATCTTCTACTGCCTCCTCGGGGCGCCAAGGCCGCTTGGCATGGAACTCCAAAGGCTCCTTGACTGCGGCCATGGCGGGCAAAGCATACGCGCGTGAAACTCAGCCTATTTCCGCTCTGCCAGTGGCGTAATTCCTGTCGGGGCGTGTCTTCTCCCGGAAATGGTCTAAGCCCCAGCTCCTGGCGGAGCGAGCTAGCCTGCGAATTTCAGCATGAGTGTACTGCTGAGGTCAGGTTTGGGGCCGTTGTGTGCCGTGGCGCGCGCAGGTAAGCGTCAGTCCCCTCGAAGCCCGGTTGCCGTGGAAGCCGCGTGGGGCGCCTTCCTCAGCTCTTCAGTTGAGGGTACCGGGGGATCAAGGGCTCGGGGGCTCACTTCCACCTTGAAGGTACCCTGGGCTGGAAACGGGTCCGGTACAAACGCAATAGGGCTGCGTAGTCGTGGGCAAGTGGGTGCTGTCTCTGCGCCCCGTGGGCGTGCTAAGCACAGTAGCCCGCGGTCTGCGGTGGGGCGAGGTTAAGGGTTCACGAAGCTGTTTTGAAAACGCTCAGGCGGCTTGCGCTCGTGAATGGTCAGATTTATCATGGGGTCTGTTTAATTTGTGTTTTTCGCAGCCATTCCTTTTATTTGGAGAGGGAAATACTTCAGCTCCGGGAATGAGCCTGCAGAAAACCCGGTGACGCCGATGCTGCGGCATCTTATGTACAAAATAAAGTCTACTGGTCCCATCACTGTGGCCGAGTACATGAAGGAGGTGTTGACTAATCCAGCCAAGGTATGGGTCGGGTAGCCCGAGGACTAGGCCCTCTCTAGCCGATTTGCGAGGTGCAAGCCAGGAGGGAGAAGCCCGAAGGTTCTCAGCCCAGGCAGTGGGGGTGCCTGCCAGGGGAAGAGCCATTTCTGAGGACCTGGGGACAGATAATTTGTCAGTTGGTCAGGGCTGGCTCACGTCAGAGGCAGTGCCAGTAAAGAGGAGAGGACACGGTCCAAGGGTGTTTAGGAGACAGAATGTAGCTGATTGGATTTATGATGCGGGAAGGATGACTTTCCTACTTGGCTGATGGTGGGTGGTGTGGATTCATTGCTTTGGGAGAAGGAATACGGGAGGAAGGATGGAGAGTTCAGGCTGGTATATGAATTTGAAGTGTGTGGGACTCTTAGGTAGAAATCTCCAACAGGCAGCTGGAAATAGGAATTACTGCCTGGAAAGTCGTCTGTGTTGGAATGGCTTCAGCTGGCATTGGAGACATGTGCTGGGTTTTCTCACATGTGCAGTTGAGAATGCAGTCTGGGTCGTCTTCACTGTTCTAGGATTAGGCACAGTCACAGCTTTCTGACCCACGTTTCCTTGTCTGTTCTACAGAGCCATTTGGTGAAAGCCTATAGTCCTTTATTTTAGAATATTTCATCTTTTGCTGGGTTGAAATATGACCTCTGTGGAATTCTGGGGTTAGATTGGCCATTGTTGTTGGATATGGTAGTGTGACTCTAGTGTCGAGGTTTACCCAAGGCCGGTATCTTTCTTTCGATGCCGGTTAGGCAGGGCTGCAAGATAGGTGGCTTAGACTAGTGTGGTGGTACTAGAAATAGAAGAGGGTGATTTAGAAAGGGACTGACAGGATTTGCCGATGGATTGAGTGATGGAACGGAGGAATCAAGGCTGATTCGTACTTTTAGCTTGAGCAGTTGGGTGATGATGGTACCTTTTATTGAGATTAAGACAGACAGGACCAGGTTTGGAGGAGTACTAGGGAGAGGGCCTACACCAGGAGCTGCATTTTATACATATTTTGTTAGCAGTGACATGCAGGTGGAGATAGAAAGTAGGCAATTCGCTGTAAGAGTCTGGCGTTCAGGGCCGGACGTGGCGGCTCACGCCTGTAATCCCAGCACTTTGGGAGGCCAAGGCGGGTGGATCACGAGGTCAGGAGTTTGAGACCAGCCTGACCAACTTGGTGAAACCCCGTCTCTATTAAAAATACAAAAATTAGCCGGGCGTGGTGGCTTGTGCCTGTAATCCCAGCTAGTCAGGAGGCAGGAGAATCGCTTGAACCCGGGACGCAGAGGTTGCAGTGAGCCTAGATTTCGCCATTGCACTCCAGCCTGGGCAACAGAGCGAGACTCTGTCTCAAAAAAAAAAAAAAAAAAAGTGAGCCTGGTGTTCAGAAGAAAGACTGGGCAGGCATATATACATTTGCTCGTCATCAGCATATAGGTCATATTTAAAGCCAAGGAACCAGGGAGAACATACTGAGAGAAAGGAAGGTTTCCCAGCATTGAGAGTAGGGGTAACTCTAAAATGTAGAGGCTCTTAACCTAGGGACCCTTTAATAGAAATCAGGGGTTTCATGAAGCTGGATGGAAAAAATATTATACCTTTATTTTCACTAACTTTCAACTGAAATTTAGCATTTCTTCAATTATGAACATACGCAGCAACTAGTAGCATCAGCAATACCTGTGACTTTGTCATCTGTGGAAATCATTGGTATTTCCTTATCACAATACAGTGATCACAGGCATCTCAGGATTTCATCGTGCTCATCCTTACTTCAAAATTTTGTTAATTATTGGGTCTTTGGCTTGATTATGGGCTTTTTTGTTTGTTGGCTTTTTGAGATAGAGTCTCATTCTGTCACCCAGGCTGGAGTGCAGTAGTGCAATCTTGGCTCACTGCAACCTCCACCTTCAAGGTTCAAAGGATTCTTGTGCCTCAGCCTCCCGAGTAGTTGGGATTACAGGTGTATGTTTCCATGCCCAGCTAGGTTTTTTGTATTTTCAATGGAGATCGGGTTTTGCCTTGTTGGCCAGGCTGGTCTTGAACTCCTGGCCTCATATGATCCGCCTGTCTCAGCCTCCTAAAGTGTTGGGATTACAGGTGTGAGCCACTGTGCGCGGCCTAATTATATTTTTTTAATACACTAGTAAAGAAGTGTATATATCACATTTTTTAGAACATTTGATACACATTTTTCAGTTATTTCTTTGTGGTTCTGTGCATTTAAAAACACTCTGTGAAGGGGTCTATAGGCATCACTGGGCTACCACAGTGGTTCATAACACAAAAAAGCGTAAATACCCCAATAATGTTTCCTTATGAACGGAACTAGAAAGCCTAGAAGAAGAGATGTGTGGATTGAAAAAATGTTCTCAAAAATGGGAGTGACTTGATTTATTTTGAATGCTGAAGGGGGAAAGTTGAAGCTGGAAGAGAGAAGGGGACAGCTAAAAGGACTCAGGGGAGTTGTATGAGGAATGGTCCAGAGCACAGGCGGAGGGATTAGGTTTGGATGAGAGGAGAAGGGGAAGGCATTTCATTCTTGGAGTCCCCAGATTAGGTTAGAGGCCAGGTGGGGATGGGAAGCTGAGGAATTCGTATTTTATAACATTCTTTAATTCTGGAGTGAGACTGGGGCCCATGTCACCTGTAGTAAGGTGGTAGAATAGGAGCTTGAGAAGCATAAGAAATATTTAACTCAATTCTTGAGTGTTTCTTGAAGGTTAGGCATCGTGCTAAAACTTGGGATATGAAGATAAATAAGGCATGATCTTCTGCAAACAACTATACTTTGTGGTGAAGAACAGAGACAAATTAGCTCAGAAAAGGTGGCACTGGATTTGGCCTTAGGTTGGAGGGCTGGAGGAGGTCAGCTAGGTGGCATTTGAGCAGATTCGGAGGTTGAGTATAAGACTGCCAGGGAAAGTTGAAAAGGGAGAAGGGTGAGGATTTGCAGTGGCATGGATGTCTGGACAAGCAAGGCTAATAAGAAAAAAAAAAACAACCCTTTTTCTGGAGATATAATATTCATATAGAAAAGTTCATAAACCACAAGTTTACAGCTCAATGAATTTTCACAAAGCAAATGCTCCCATGTAACCAGCACCCAAATCAAGAAACAGAACATCACCAGCAGGCAGGGCCCATATGTGAGGCAGAAAGTGTTAGAATTTGGAGAGGAGGCTGGAGGAGTAGGCAGGGTCTTGCTGTGTTGGGTGTGGGAGCTGGGAGGGGAGGAAGGGTCTGGCGTGCAGAGATGGACGTTACATGACTTCTGCCTTTACGGTCAAGGTGTAATTGTTTTTCTACCGGTTTTGTAAAATGACTGTTACTTTGTAAAATTTGGGTAAAGACACCATATTTCCCTTGCTTATTTATTTATTTATTTATTTATTTATTTTTTGAGATGGAGTCTCACTTTGTCACCTAGGCTGGAGTGCAGTGGCGCGATCTCGGCTTACTGCAAGCTCTGCCTCCGAGGTTCACGCCATTTTCCTGCCTCAGCCTCCCAAATAGCTGGGACTACGGGCACCCTCCACCATGCCCGGCTAATTTTTTTGTATTGTTTTTAGTAGAGATGGGGTTTCACCATGTTAGGCAGGATGGTCTCAATCTCCTGACTTCGTGATCCACCCGTCTCGGCCTCCCAAAGTGCTGGGATTACAGGCATGAGCCACCACACCTGGCTCCCCTTGCTTATTTAGAGGAGAGAACTTTCTTACTAAATAATTATTTCACTTTTACATTATTTAAGATTTTGGAGGGGTATTTTTAAAAGGCTTATTTGAAAATTAATTTTGTTTCTCTATTTTCTCTTTTTACTCAGGGTTATTATGTGTACCGTGACATGCTAGGCGAAAAAGGAGATTTCATTACTTCACCTGAAATAAGTCAAATCTTTGGGGAGGTAATATACTATGTAAAGTATGAATGAAGCTAATATAAACATTTGAGAGCAGATCAAATTGTATTATTCTGTAGTAGTGTTCTACAGCTTTTTTTGTGATTCATCAAAAGTTTTAACTTTATAGTAGTTTATGTACTGAGGGAATAGAGAGGCAGTAGAGGGGAGTAAAATGGTAGAGAGAATATTTGAAAAGTTTATACTCCACTGTAGGAAGGGAAATGGAGAGATAAGAGGGACAAAGAGAAAGAGAAGGAAAGGAGGGGGTCATAAAGAGGACAGAAAAAGGAGAATCAGATGAAGGAAGAGAATGGAAGAAGGGGCCAGGCGTAGTGGCTCACACCTGTAATCCCAGCACTTTGGGAGGCCGAGGCAGGCGGATCACAAGGTCAGGAGATCAAGACCGTCCTGGCTAACACGGTGAAACGCAGTCTCTACTAAAAAAAAAATACAAAAAATTAGCCGAGCGTGGTGGCGGTCGCCTGTAGTCCCAGCTACTTGGGAGGCTGAGGCAGGAGAATGGCGTGAACCCGGGAGGCGGAGCTTGCAGTGAGCCAAGATGGCGCCACTGCACTCCAGCCTCGGCGACTGAGCAAAACTCCGTCTCAAAAAAAAAAAAAGAGAATGGAAGAAGGAAGAGAGACAAAAGGAAAGGCGAGGAAAGAGGTAGAGTGCCCAGGAGAGTGCCCGGGAAGGAAGAGAGAAAAGATAAAGAGCATTGAAGAATTAGTGGAATTAAGAGAAGCTCTAAAGCTCCCAGTCATGATTTTAGCCGTACTTACAGTAAAAGTCTTCTTTTATTTATCTATTTTTTGAGCCAGGGTTTTGCTCTTATTGCCCAGGCTGGAGTGTAGTGGCGCAATCTCGGCTCACTGTAACCTCTGCTTCCCGGGTTCAAGCGATTCTCCTGCCTCAGCCTCCCGAGTAGCTGGGATTACAGGCATGTGCCACCACTCCTGGCTAATTTTGTATTTTTAGTAGAGACAGAGTTTCTCCATGTTGGTCAGGCTGGTCTTGAACTCCCGACCTCAGGTGGTCCACCCGCCTCAGCCTCCCAAAGTGCTGGGATTATAGGCGTGAGCCACCACGCCCAGCCAAGTCTTCCTTTAATAAACAGAATTCTAATTCATTTCCACTAAGTACCTTCTATGAATTTAGAAATAGGAAATAGTGTATACGAGGAAGTAGAATGTGCGTATCGAAAAACATTAGTTATTATAAGAATCATGTAATTGTTTAAATCATATGAATATGAAGAAATGGCATAATCACATTTCATATGTTTATTTGCTTTCAAATACTAATACCTTTCTGCTAGTGATATCCTCTTATCTATGTCATGGGACCTTTTATAGCAGAGGCTGCCTTATTTTTTCCTATTAATCTTCCTAAATGGTGTATGTTATGATGTAGTCCCAGGAAGTTCCTATGTGAACATGTACGTATGTATTGAACAACATACATATGGCTGTACACATTTTGCTTTTTGGCATATAGTGCATATTTATGTGAAATTTTATATTGTGGTATACTTTTATACTTTATAATACTTTAATATGTGTTTTTTTTTTCCCTTTTCACAGCTACTAGGTATATGGTTCATTAGTGAATGGATGGCCACTGGAAAAAGCACAGCTTTCCAGCTGGTGGAACTGGGCCCAGGTAGGGGAACCCTCGTGGGAGATATTTTGAGGGTAGGTAATAAAAGAATGTCTTCTAGTCTCATATAAGTGAATTTTAGTACTTCTGAGTGTGCAAACCATGTTGATTTCATTGGTTTTCAGTTCCTTAATTTCATATTTCTCAGCTAAAATATAATGTCAGAATAATGTAATCAGTCATTACTTACTGTTGTCTGTAAACTTAAAAATTGGAGGGGAGGGGGAGAATATGAAAGCTAAAAATAGGAAACATTTAGAAGACATTATGGGAGAGTGTATTTGTTTCCTCAGGAAGGAAAGTTGTTAATTATATTAAAAGTTTAGGCCAGGCATGGTGGCTCAATCCTAGCACTTTGAGAGGCCAAGGTGGGCAGATCACAAGGTCAGGAGTTCGAGACCAGCCTGACCAACATAGTGAAACCCCGTCTCTAGTAAAAATACAAAAATTAGCTGGGCATGGTGGTGTGCATCTGTAATCCAGCTACTCAGGAGGCTGAGGCAGGGAATCGCTTGAACCCAGGAGGCAGAGGTTGCAGTGATTGCTGCAGTGATTGATTGCAGAGCTGAGATTGCGCCATTGCACTCCAGCCTGGTGACAGAGCGAGACTCCGTCTCAAAAAAAAAAAAAAGTTTAGGCTGGGCAAAGTGGCTCATGCCTGTAATCGTAGCACTTTGGGGGGCCAAGGTGGGAGGATTGCTTGAGGCCAAGAGTTCAAGACCAACCTGGCCAACAAAGCAAGACCTCGTCTCTTTTTATATTAAAAAAAAAAAAAGCAGAAGGCATAAAGCAAAAGATTAATATTTCATTTCTTACATTAAAATTAAAAACTTCTTGCTCTACAAATAAACTAGCAGCTTTTTGTTCTTCAGAGACCCCATTAAGAGAGTGATTAGACAAGCCACAGAGTGGGAGAAGTTATTTGTAACACGTAACCAACAGAGAACTAGTAGTTAGAATTATTTAAATAACTCCTTTAGGTCAGTAAGAAGACAGATAACTTGAGAAAAATCAGGCCAAAGATGTGAACAAGTCCATTCATAAAAGAGGAAAATACAAACGGCTAAAAAAGCAAAAAAAAAAAAAAAAAGATTAGTCACATTGGTAGTCAGGAAGATGAAAATTAAAATCACAATGAGATACTACTGTAACCCTTGCCAGATTAGAAAAAAAAGCTAAAAGTCTGTCAACACCAAGTATTGGTGAAGATGTGGATTTGTGGATCAATGGCAACTCTCATATACTGCTTGTAAAACTATAATTTAGTACATCCTTTTTTCTTTCTCTTTTTTTTTTTTTTTTTTGAGACACAGTCTCACTTTGTCACTCAGGCTGGAGTGCAGTGGTACGATCTTGGCTCACTGCAACCTCTGCCTCCCAGGTTCAGGCGATTCTTGTCCCTCAGCCTCTTGAGTAGCAGGGATAATAGGCGTGGATCACTACACCCGGCTAATTTTTTTATTTTTAGTAGAGAAGGGGTTTTACCATGCTGGCCAGGCTGATCTTGAACTCTTGGCTTGAAGTGGTCCGCCTGCCTCGGCCTCCCAGAGTGCTGGGATTACAGGCATGAGCCCCCGTACCCAGCCTTGTACAACCTTTTTGAAAAGCTATTGGCCATTATCTATTAACATCAAAGTTTCTTATATTGTATGACCCAGCAATTTTACTGCTAGTGATATACCCTAGAGAAACTAGTGTATATGTGTACCAGGAGACACATACAAGAAGATAGCAGCATTGTATAAAATAGCGGAAAATAACAGCACAAATGCCCATCGGGGGGTAAATGAATCAGTTAATTGTGGTATAGTCATACAGTGGAATACGAAGTACTGCAAGAATGCGTGAAATCACAGTGGAATATAACAGTGTTCAACATGAAACAAGATGTGTGAAAGTAGCAGTTTGCAAGAGTTCGTATCATATGATTGTATTTATATAAAATCCAAAAAATAGTCAACATTAAACAATATGTATTTGGTGATAAAAATATATTTAGTAACATTTATAAAGAAAAGTCAGGGTGTTATTAACTCAAGATTCAGAATGGTGGTGACTTCCAAGGGTAGAGGGAGTCCACAGGGGCTTTGGAGATAAGGTCATGTCCCATTTATGGTAGATATTCTCTCTTGTATCATTGTTTCTATCAGTCTACGTACTATTTTATGAAAACATTAAAAAGGAGGACAGTTGTTTATAGTACCTGATAAGTAATAGTATTTATTAAACTTTTGTAGTTTTTAGTATTTTGGAACTCATTAGTGTTTTTGAGTTTATTTTATATGTACTTGACAATTCAATGTAAAAAACAAACATGGCTGGGCGCAGTGGCCCATGCCTGTAATCGCAGCACTTTGGGAGTTCGAGGCTCCCAAAGTTCAAGATCAGCTTGGGCAATACGGTGAAACTCCATCTCTACAAAAAATACAAAAATTACCCAGTCGTGGTAGCATGCGTCTGTGGTCGAAGCTAGTTGAGGGGCTGAGATGGGAGGATTGCTTGAGCCCAGGAGGTTGAGGCTGCAGTGAGCTGTGATTATGCCTCTGAGTAACAAAGTGAGACCCTGTCTCAAAAAAAAAACCAAAAAACACCAACACATACTCAATATAAATTTAAATTTCTTGATGCTTTATGGTTTTTGCTTTAAATTAGAAATTAAAGGATTTAAAAAATATATAAAATATATAAACATATGACAAATAAGAATCTTGATTATTTGGGTGAAGAAAGAAAACAAAATCACGAATTTAAATTTCCAGGGCTCTATTTTATGTTTTTCAGCAAGGTCATTTGAATATAAAATATTTAATAAGGACCTCAAATCATATTCTCTTGTTCAAGTACTTTAAAAGTTGATTCCAGAGCCCTTAAAATGTATGAAGGATGCTTTTCCAGACTGAGTCATAAGAAGTCCTAAAAGCCAAAGAATTTAAAGGGTTGTAAAGCAAATAGCCAGAGAAGTGTCAGACCTGTTTTATTTTTGATGTTACCTTCTGAAGGAATTTCTCCTGGGAAGTTTTTCCATTTGTATTTCGATCTCAAAACTAAATTTGGAAAAATCATCTTGTTCATATTATCAGTCTGGATGTGCATATTCATATCTCAAAAGTATTAATTGGAGGCAGATCACCAGTAGAAATTAAATTCAAATGAAAAATAATGTTGATACACTTTATGCTTTTGCTATTGATTTTTTAGCCTTAAAAGATTGGTAAAATATTAGTATTTTCCTTTTTCCCTTGCATGTTTACAACAGTGAAAAAATGTGTAGCTAAATATAGATTGAAAATGTGGCAGACCCCCGAGTTAAGCAGTCAGGTTTTCAGTACCATTCAGATTTGGTTCTTTGAGGTTAGAGTTCTCATCATCTCAAAGATGAGATTACTTCCTAGACCTAGAGATGTTATCAAATCAAGGCTGTGTACATTTTATTTCCTTGGTCTTTTTTTAGACTCCATAATCTGAATCATTGTTTTTATCAGATGCCAAATCTTTTATTTTCATTTGTTAATCATAATTTATCATTAGGAAACCAAATTGTGCATTGTTCATTTCTTATTTAGATTATGCTTAATAACTAGTAGGTTAGGATTCTTATAGACTGCTGGAGAGTGGCTTGGGTAAGGAACACATCTCTCTGAAATATTACCTCTATTGTGACATGACTAAATCATTGATGTAAATGATTAGGAAACTTAAAACCTACTTAACACATTGTATTTTTTTTTCTTCTTTTGGTATTTAGGTGTTCACTCAACTTGGATCTGTGCTGAAAAATTGTGACATTTCAGTACATCTGGTAGAGGTAAGCCAAAAATTAAGTGAGATTCAAGCATTGACACTGACTAAAGAGAAGGTCCCGTTAGAGCGAAATGCTGGATCCCCAGTGTATATGAAAGGTGTCACTAAGTCTGGGATTCCAATTTCCTGGTACCGAGATCTGCACGATGTTCCAAAAGGTAATTACCTTTATGTGGATTAATGAAAGAATTTTGATCACAACCCTCACAGTATTGATGGGACTGTAACTTTTTACAGCAATATAATAGATTGAGTTACTGCTGCCAAGTCCCTTATCCATAGAGAGTAGCCTACTTTTTTCTAGAAAAGAGCATCTTAATAGAAAATAAAGTTGCCTGACATTAAGTAGTAGTTTATTTCATGAAGCTTTGTAAAATCCCAAACAAAATGTAAATCTCCTTTGTACTTTTGAGTATTTCCCTATAGCTAGGGTTGTACCGATGACGGAGCAGCCCAAGGCAGCTGGGGCTGATGGAAGCAGTGTTAGTAGGTGGGTTTAGTTCAGTTATAGAGTCTTTTAAAAAATCCTTACTTGCCTAAAGACAAGCAAGGTGTGGGGGAAAATCCCTGTACTAGTCAGGAATACTGACTAGTATTGACTAGTTTGAGTCTTGACTCAAAGCCAAAGTGGGGGTACGATCTTGGGTAAGGGATCTCAAGCCATTCCTGCCTCAGCCTTCTCAGGCTGAGAAGCCCGATTTTATGAAATCAAATTCCCTTCCAGCTAACAACTCTGACTTCTAATTTCTTTCAAGCCTTGTGATGAATAAAAGCTTTAACTGCTATTTCAGGTATTTCCATTTTCTGACCCCATTTATGTGTAAAATAAGAATAGTAATAATTGTTCTATGTTCTGCAGTGTAAGTTTTCCATGAAGAGGTAGATAATTCTGTGGTAGTGATGATTATGGAGGAAGTAGGCATTTTTTTTACAGTTAATATTCAAAAGAATTAATTCCTGTGAAATGTGGAAACATTAATTGTTTTCCTCTTTTTAAATAGGGTACAGCTTTTATCTTGCACATGAATTTTTTGATGTTCTTCCTGTGCATAAATTTCAGGTATTGAGGGGGGAAAAAAGTCATGTCTATAATTGAATACAAAAGGCATTGTGTTGCCAATGTTTATGGTATTTATTCAGTATACAAATTTTACTTGTTGAGGTTATTTTTAACTATTATTTGGAATTTTGGTACACAAATAATTCAAAAGCAAAAAATGAAATATTAATGAGAATTGTTAGTTCTCCTGGGATAATTATTAAGAATTCTTAATTCTTCTGATTTGAAGAAGTAAGGGAATGAAAAATGGTAAGATGGTAACTGGCTGTGGTGCAATGAAGGATTTACTTAAGCAAAAAAAAAATTTTCTTTTTTAAGAGATAGGGTATTGCTATGTTGCCCAGGCTGGTCTTGAACTCCAGGGCTCAAGTGTTCATCCTGCCTCAGCATCCCAAGGAGCTGGGACTACAGGTGTGCGCCACTGCACCCAGCCAACCTTAGCACATTTTAAAAAATTATAGATTAAACTTTTTTGGGCCAGGCATGGTGGCTTACACCTGTAATCTCAGCACTTTGGGAGGGCGAGGTGGGTGAATCACTTGAGGTCAGGAGTTCAAGACCAGCCTGGCCAACATGACAAAACCCTGTGTCTACTAAAAATAGAAAAATTATCTGGGCTTGGTGGCACGTGCCTGTACTTCCCAGCTACTAGGGAGGCTGAGGCATGAGAATCACTTGAACCCAGGAGGCAGAGGTTGCAGTGAGCTGAGATTGCACCACTGCACTCCAGCCTGGGCAACAAAGCGAGAGCTTGTCTCAAAAAAAAAATAATAAAACTTTTCTTCATTCTTTCTGTGAGGAGATTTAAGATTTGGTGATAATGTATATGTACTGGTAATTTGTGAGGAGAAGAGCAGCTCTCATGATCCTGTAGTAATTTGTTAGTAAAGCTTCTGGCTGTTCTTCCTGAGTCTATTTCCGTTTTTGGGGTACTTTCCATGCTGCTGATTTTATCTTCCACAGCGTCATCTCTGTTATTGTTTCTTTTGCATCGATTGGTCTACTCATTGTTCAAAGGCAATGAAGTAATGAATTTAAGTAATTTTAAATAGTAAGTTCTCTGTAAATGTTAGTTACTTATGGTAAGAGGAGAAAAAGCTATTTTTGGTAGAAGCAATGTAGAGAACAAACTTGCAAAAATTTGTTTTTATGTGTTATTTTGTGTTTAGAAAACACCACAGGGATGGCGAGAAGTATTTGTTGACATTGATCCACAGGTTTCTGATAAACTGAGGTTTGTTTTGGCACCTTCTGCCACCCCAGCAGAAGCCTTCATACAAGTAAGAATATGCTTTTTTAAGTTTCTTTTATTGCTCACAGAATCTTCAAAGTCTTATTTTCTGAGTTACTACTTTAGAGTTTTAGAGTTCCTTTACAGGAAGAGTTGCTAGTAGCATACGAGGTGCTTTTTATTGACAGTGAAAGTGCAGAGGAGCTAGAGGCAGGAGCATGGGTTAAAATCATTTCTTAAGTGTGTGACCTTAACGTCATGTAGTAAGAGAAAGTAAGTAACCGCTTACTCAGCCAAGTCTCTTACTTTCACTGCTTATCTCAGTTTCATGTCAAATGGTAATGGTATTGTCCACAGGAAGAGTTTACATCTGTGAAAGCAATGTAGTACAGACTATAGTAAATTAACAATAACAGCTAACGTTTGTTGAGTACTTTGTGTTACTCTGTTTTCTCATTTAATTCTCAAAGCAACTATATTAGGTAGGTTCTATTATTATCCTTCTTTGGGCTACAGCATGGCTTTTATCCCATGCTTCCACACAGATCTCAGTTTGATTCGGCCAGAATGGTAGAATTACTACTGCTTTCTGTTGATCTCAAGGAATCATTGCAAGAGCCTGTCTATTGTGGCTTGTTTAAAGGTACAAAAAAATCCCTGTACTTCTCAGGAACGTCCAGGCTTCAGACTGCCTCTTTTTTTTTAATCCTTTTTTTCCAGCTCAGAAGATGATTTTTACTTTCTGGACCTTAACTGAGAACTTCTTACTTAGAAATTATCAGTTTTAAAAGCACAAGAGCTTTTAAACTTAAATGTATGAATTAAGTTTTGTTAAGTATAAATTTAAATGTCAGACTGAACACTTATGAACACCTGTTTTTTCATAGTATAGCAATCTAAGTTTACCTGAATGACATATTCATAGAACTACCAAGAACTAACCTCCTGGCCCTGGGAGTTCATTTAGTTCTTGACCTAATTAGTATTCACTTAGGAAGGGAGGGAGCGAATATTCTCTTTCACTTGAATGAGATGCGTGGTAATACATGTCATCTTGAAGAGTAGCCTAAGATAGAATGTCAGCATGATCAGCGTGTCCACTGATGCCTGATGAGGCTGACTTCATGGTTTTTATAGTTAAGCCACAGTAATTTGATTGCACTATTAGCTAAATGGTTAGTTATATTTAATCCTCACAATAAACCTACAATATCTATAAGGAAGAAAACAACTCAGAAAGTTTAAGTAACTTGTCTACCAGTAAGCATAGGAAGAGCTGAGATTTAACTTCATCTGACTCTATGCCTGTTACCATAGGCAGACATCAGGGCAGGTCATTACTGCATTTCTATAATAAGGTGTTAGGAAGGAGTACAAGTTAATGTATGTTTTCATAATGAAGGGAAAGAAATACCACATTTTCAATCAGATCAGGAAGTAGTGAAATTTCATATATACTAGTCAGGTTGACAAGTGTTAATACTTAGTGTGATTTTGCTTTTTAAGCTAGTACACACTTATTGTGGCCCCTTAGTTAAGTGGACATCTTGGGGTAATAACGGTTTCAATACATTGGCACTAGTTTATAAGCCAGCGTTTCTTGATGTAGGGCATATCATTGGGATACTTTCTGGCACAACAGAGGGCATGATAATATAATTGTCTAATAGGGTCTGCTTCGTGTTATTGGATTTATACCATTTGTTCTTTCAGCACAATATTTTCATTGACTGTTATGTGCCTGGCACTGTTCTAGGCAGACAAAAAAAATCCCTTTCCCATGCTTTCAACCTAGAGGAATGTGTTTATATGATTTGTGATACAAAAGTAATTTTACATTAAATGATAATGCTCTAGGCCATCTGGGGGGATTGGGAGGGCATTTGCCTTTTTATAAAAGAGATTAAAATGTCTTTGTATATCAAGTGGGATAGCATCAAAGAACTAAGGAGTTTTGTATAATAAAAAGGGAGTCAGGTGAAAAGTTGAGTGTAGAGAACATACTCATATTAAGAATTTATTTTTATTAAAACTAAGAAATGCTCATTGAGGAAAAACCTGAAAAACCGTAAGGAAGTCATTCTTTTGAATGATGCATTTTGACTCTTGCAATGATCCCTTTACTAGCATGACGAAACAAGGGATCATGTTGAAGTGTGTCCTGATGCTGGTGTTATCATCGAGGAACTTTCTCAACGCATTGCATTAACTGGAGGTGCTGCACTGGTTGCTGATTATGGTCATGATGGAACAAAGACAGATACCTTCAGAGTATGTATAATTCAGTAACATGATTTATCAGAATTTCAGTGTTAGATCTGAAGCCCATTGAAGAGCTTTGATTTCTACAGTGCCTGGTATTGTTGTATTACATTATTTTATAGTTAACATTAATTCATGTTATTGTAATTCCCCTTAACCCTAGTTCTTACTGCTAACACTGAGTCTACTGTCCAGCCCTCCTTTAACAGGATCTGAATTGTGTACATTCTTCCTTAGTTGTAGAACCTATGTTTATATAAATCCAGATAAGCAGCTGAATAATACAAATGGAAAGATTTTCTTCACATTCTTAAACCTATCTGTAACCCCCTTCATTCAAGAAAAATTTTGGTACTTCTTTACAGATTTAAACTACCTACTGTAATCATTCTAGCTTTTTCTATCATATTTTCAACATTTTTTCCCTTTCCAGATGTATTCTTTTACACTGTTCCTAAACATCCTTTCTTAATGATCTTTGAATATAATCAATTCTATTCAATATACTTTAATTGAAAAACATTTAACTAAATGCTCTTAGTCATTTTCTAGGTCTGTGGTTCTTAATTTCTAACTTTATCTAAAAATAACCTGGATAGTTTGTTGAAAATACTCATTCTCTAGCCTTACCTCCAGGATTCTGACTGACCAGGTCTGGTTAGGGTCAGTAATATATTCTCAGGTGATTTTTTTTTAAGTAATTTCAACTTTTATTTTAGATTTAGGGGGTACATGAGGCAGGTTTGTTATTTGTTACATGGGTATATTGCATTGACTCTGAGGTTTGGGGTACGAGTGAGCCTGTCACCCAGGTGGCAAGCATAGTACTCAGTAGATAGATTTTCAGCCCTTGTTCCCCTCCTCCTGTCTCCCCTCTAGTAGTCACCAGTGTTTGTTCCCATAAGTATGTTCACGTGTACCCAGTGTTTAGCTCTAAGTGAGATGTACATGTGGTATTTGGTTTTGTCCCTGCATTAATTCACTTAGGATAATGGCCTCCAGCTATGTCTACGTTGCTGAAAAGGACGTGATTTCATTTTTTTTTATGGCTGTGTAGTAGTTTGTAGTGTATCTCAGGTGATTCTGATGCATGGTTGATGCATATACTTTGTAAAACACTGCCTAGGTGTTCCCTGCCTAGAGAATTAATGAGAGCTCTATTCCGTCACCTCAAGCATTAATGTAAATATTAAATAACTTTAATATGATAGCATTTCTTTAATCTTAATAACCATAAAAGGGCAAAAATCTGATTTCTTTATGTTCAAGGGGTTTTGCGACCACAAGCTTCATGATGTCTTAATTGCCCCAGGAACAGCAGATCTAACAGCTGATGTGGACTTCAGTTATTTGCGAAGAATGGCACAGGGAAAAGTAGCCTCTCTGGGCCCAATAAAACAACACACATTTTTAAAAAATATGGGTATTGATGTCCGGCTGAAGGTAAGGTTTATTTTATTTCACTGTTATTAAGTACTTTCATAGTATTTCAAAAATTACTTTAAATAGTATGTTCACCTGGCCTTAATGCTCTTGTAGTTAGCCAATCCTTGGTATTCCAGTCTTTTCAGGTAGTATAGGATTTAGTAACTAGTCTGGTAAGTTTTATGCATCTCCATGGGAGGTAGCATTAAGACTTCCAAATAGTGTTTTTGTTTGTTAAGAAAACTGCGTTTATGGGTATGAATTTTCTAACTGTTCTTCTGAGAACACCTAAACCTTACTGTAGATCAAACCCCCTGAGGATATTTGTTAAAAATGCAAATCCTTAGGTTTGTTTCACACCAATCTACATTTTTAATAAGTACTCTATGATTCTCAGGCAGGTAATCAGAAGTCACATTTTGAGTGCTGTTTTATTGGAATATTTGAGAGTCATTAGTATTGCTGCATGTAACTAGGAATCCTGTCTTCTGGTTATTTTTGCTAAGAATTTTTTTCTTTTCAGGTTCTTTTAGATAAATCAAATGAGCCATCAGTGAGGCAGCAGTTACTTCAAGGATATGATATGTTAATGAATCCAAAGAAGATGGGAGAGAGATTTAACTTTTTTGCCTTGCTACCTCATCAGAGACTTCAAGGTGGAAGATATCAGAGGAATGCACGTCAGTCAAAACCCTTTGCATCCGTTGTAGCTGGGTTTAGTGAACTTGCTTGGCAGTGATATTTCAGCTTGGACATTTTACCCTTCAGTCGGCCCAAGAAATCAAAATAAAGGAAACACATTTCATATACTGCAGGTAACAAAAGTCAAAGTATTTTATCTTTTCACAGCAAGAACAGTCCATGTTGTATATAATACAACCAACATTATAGAACTTTTAGGGTTGTGACTGGCTTTGGTGCAAATGTGTGCTCAAGCTAATAAGTTATTGTGAAACTGAGTTTCCTTTAACTTACAAAGCTAGTTGCCATATTTCTATTTTATTTTAAAAAGTAAACATGCGGCTGGGCGTGGTGGCTCATGCCTGTAATCCCAGCACTTTGGGAGGCTGAGGTGGGCATATCACCTGAGGTCAGCAGTTAAAGACCAGCCTGACCAAAATGGAGAAACCCCATCTCTACTAAAAATACAAAACTAGCCGGGTATGGTGGTACATGCCTGTAATCCCAGCTACTCAGGAGGCTGAGACAGGAGAATCACTTGAACCTGGGAGGTGGAGGTTGCGGTGAGCTGAGATCGTGCCACTGCACTCCAGCCTGGGCAACAAGAGCAAAAATCCCTCTCAAAAAAAAAAGTAAACATGGGCACTGATTGTTTTAATAAAAATGGGAAACAGACTAAATGGCTATTCACAGGAAACTGATAAGATATATGTTATTTTTTTAAATGAGCTAGGGCAATATGTTTTGACAGAAAACTCTCTAAGATTTAGTAAGTGAAAAAAAGTAGGATGCAAGAGTTTTTATAGTTGATTCCATTTTTGTTGAAGGAGAAAAACTAAATAAATACGAGTAATTTCATAGAAACGAATACACTAGTGTACACTGGTTGTTTTCTGTGATATGTACTTGCATACAAAGTAAGGAATGAATGCACAATTTTCCCAATTTGGAAGTGACTTTGAGGGGCAGGGTGTGGCTGGGTATTTGAATTTCTTACATTGTGCATCTGTGCATTTTTTAAAAAATTATGAAGGTCACAGTAAGAAACAGTAAATCTTGACATGTAGTTCAAATATGAGTTGGAGACCAGCCTGGCCAACATGGTGAAACCCCATTTCTACTAAAAATACAAAAATTAGCCTGGTGTGGTGGTGGGCGCCTGTAATCCTAGCTACTCACGAGGCTGAGGTAGGATAATCGCTTGAACCCGGGAGGCGGAGGTTGCAGTGAGGGGAGATTGCTCCGTTGCACTCTAGCCTGTGATAGACACACACACACACACACACACACACACACACACACACACACACAGAGGGGAGATCGCTCCGTTGCACTGTAGCCTGTGATAGAGACACACACACACACACACACACACACACACACACAGCCTAGGAGGAATAATTTTCAGATAAATGTCAAATTTTAGTTCTGTATTATGTTTTCATTTTTTGGTTGTTAGAAGCTGTGTGTTAATACTGGAAACAAAGAGTTAGAGAATTATTAATTAGCAACACAGATTTACAAGGGAGATTAAAGGGAAAGAATACTTTCCCTTGATGTCTTGAATTTACGGCTTAACTGTATCAGAAGTTCATTGGCAGTGATGAACTGTTGCTTTTTATTGCTGCTTCTGCTTGACAGGAGTAGCATTCTGTCCACACTACATGGCCATGTCATGTAGCCTTTGAATGTGGACCAACACAAATATGTAAGCTTTCTTAAAACATTATGAGATTTTTTTTTGCAATTTTTTTTTCAAGCTCATTAGCTATCATTAGTGGTGGTGTATTTTATGTGTGGCACAAGACAGTTCTTCCAATGTGGCTAGGACCTAAAAGATTAGACACCCCTGCACTAAAGTAAAGGAAGACGGAGGCCTTGCTTTTCAGATGCTGCCCAGCCTCGGGCCACTCCTAGTTGTTCTCATTCTAGATTCCTGTATTTGTTTTCTTTTTTCAAAGACTTGGTTGGGAGAATTTTTGAAAGATGAGTTAAACGTCCATAGTTGGCTCCTCTCAGATATGTTAAAGTTTTTATAATTAAGGGGCTAGAGTCAGGCAATGCCTTATATCTTAACACCTAGAAAGTTTGATATTAGGTTTTTAACTTTTTAAAGCCTTCTGGTAGTATAACAGTTGGATAATTTGGTGGTAGTTTCTGAAAAAGTTATACTTTACAAGAAATGAGACCTCCAGATAATCAACTCAAATTTAGTAGAAAATTATAAAATGAGCTTTTTTTTATTTTTGGCAGGTTAAAAAAAAATCAGTGTTTTTAAATATAGCATTAGTTCCATTTACAAATACTGTTTCCAAAATAGTTCTTTTACCAAGGTCTGGTAAAATAACACAACCAGGTCAAACTTTTCTTTGGATACTTATACTAGAAATAGGCTCAGGTTTTCACATGGAAAAGTATGGTGATAGGAAATACATTTTATTATCAAGCTTCCAGTATATTTACAAAAAGTTGGATATAACCAAAAAAATATTAAAAATGTACTGAACAGTCATTATAGACTACTTTGTACATTATCAAATGTTTCTAGCAATTACTTCTTTTACAAACACGACTTAAAGACAAAAAGTTATGCAGGTTATACAGTATCTGGAATAATCATTCAACTCCAGATTCTCTGACAGTGCCTTTACAAAATTTTTAGAAAACTTCTTAGGCATTTAACAACAAATACAAAGAGTGCAATTAATTTCATGGCTTGTAAAGTTTGACTATGTAAGTATAGCAAACAAACATCGTTCCAGTTAATTTTCACCTTACATAGTAAAACCACAGTAGATTGATTGCCTAGTGACTCAGAATTATTCCATTTTGTGTGTGTTGATATAAACAGACTTTGGTGAAACTGGGAAGTCATCCTCTATCACAGGGAAAATAACATTTCTAAAAAAAAATTTTTTTTGAAAATTAATTTGATTTAATCTTTGAAGCTTCTATAGAAGGACAAATTACCAAGAGGGGAATGTTTCCTGGAGGTATTTATGGGTAGATAGTACAGCATAATGGTTGGGAGGGCTAAGGGTAAGATTAGAGCCATACTACTGGTCTCAAATACTACTAACTGTTTGAAATTTGGCAGTAAGTTAATCTCCCCTTGCCTCAGTTTTCTTATCTTTAAGATGAAGCTCATAATGACTTAACACTATGGCTGCTGTGAGGGTAAACTAAAACATAAAAGAACTTAGAACACAGGAGTACTGCATACTGTTTGCTACTATTCTTTCAAGGATATTTTTAGTCTAGACAGGAGACTAGCTTCAGGGATGTCGAAAGGCCTTCTCAGTCTGTTCATGTACCAGAACATTCTTTTTTTTTTTTGCTACCTCAAATTCGGTGGGCAACGATAGTTAACACTTTCCTAGTTTTTAGTTTATTTGACTGCATTCATACATATCTGATCTTCACGACAACACTGTGACAAAGGGAGAGGCAAGAATGATAATCTTCATTTTACAGACTGAGGAACTGCCGACAGACCTGCCATCTGTCCAGGCCAACATAACTAACAAGTAGTGGAGTCCAAGACCTCAGCAAAAGTTTTGTTCTTTTACTTTTGTTAGAGTGGAGAAGAAAAAAAAAAAGGTTTACAATGATTACTGAGAAATGAAGAAATAAGCCACTGTTTCTTACAAGTAGATGGTCCCACATCTTAAACTTTGGGGAAGATATTTAAAAATATTTTTTAAATAGCTGGCTGCTGGAGCTGAAATGTAAAAAGAAGTACTTCTTTCATTCTTTAATTTGCTGTGCTGATAATACAGCCCCAGCCTTATAAACTGTTTCATGCTCCACTCCTACACATCCCCTCAAACTGCTTAAAATAATTGACTTTAAAACACTCCAGATATCTGCAAAGCCCAATAGGCTAGGGGAAGGAGAAAAAAGGATACTGTTTGCTATACAGTAACTGTAGCATTAACTGACCCTGCACTGGCCCTGCTAAAAAGCAGAAATTACTGACTGAACCCTAGGTAAAGATAAATTGTGTAAAGCCGAGATCTGCACCTGCTGAATGCTGGAATCCAGTACTGGCATCAAGATGGTGTCAGTCAGAACATGCATATTTAGCAGCAGAGTGGAGCTATGCAAAGACATACAACTCAGCACTTAGACCAGCAGTACTCTTCCTTTTGTAACATCATTTGTCCCTAATTATCTTAGAAGCTGTTGCAACACACAGAAGGTGACAATCCTTATGCTGTATAGAACATATTCAGAGTAGCAGAGCAACTCCAAAAAGGTTAGGAATCACTATTTTGGAGTCTTGATTGACCTAAAAAAGAAAGGTAAAACAGCCCAGTGCGCTTTTTCTAGGCATCTAAGAAAAACCCTTCAATGCCTCTATGGTTTGTTAAACCAATGTTAAAAGTCCTTATAGTAACATCACATAATGGTAACCTCACAGTTACCTCTTAAATACAAGCCTGTCGAGTAATCAATCTTGTAAGTCTTGTATAATTTAGCCAAGCTATATAGTAACTGGATGCTAGCTTGACTTGTTTTTCATTAAAAAAACAAACAAACATATATTTATATTTATATATATATATATAAAGAGAAATGGGAAGACAAATTAAGTGAGCCTATTGTATTAAAGTGAAGGATTAAGAAAAAATACAAAACCAGTTATTGCTTAGGCTAAAAAAGTTTATAAAAAGCTTCACCTTGATTCCATTATGACTTCTTATTATTCAGTTTCCCGCCTGTACCTACTCATTATGAACTACAGTACTGGTGTCACTTATTCGTTATCATATTTCTTCATATCTTTGCAGCACTGCAGATGACAATCTACAAAGAACAAGTTACACAGCAAAATATCAGTCCATAAAATGAAATCCTTCCTTATTTAGGTTAGCTCAGTGATTAAGGATCTTCTTCCATATCATCTGGATTAGGAGCCATAATGAAGTGCTTTGGGTATACAAGGTTATGTGTGTATGCATGTATTTCCCAGCGAGCATCATCACTTTCATGTGTAATGTAACGTTCTCCAATGCGAGTTTCAAATTCTCTAAGGTCAAGCCAAGTCTGATAGTCCTAGGAGAAAATGAAATTGTAATGATGAAACAAAAGAAACAAAATACTGTCAACCTGGTTTTTGTTTTGTGTTTTTTTTTGTTGTTGTTTAGTGCCCTAGTCAAATAATTGACAGGCGCTACTCATAAGTATCTACTATGTACTAAGTTCTACTTGTGATATTTTAAATGAGCAATTTAAAGAAATTTTTCAAACTCAGAGTCTCCAATGAATGAACGTAACTAATTTCTGAAATTAAAAAAAATTTGCTTCAGGCTTCTTAGGTGGCTAATAATAATCACTAAAACATTTTGTTCTATACAACGTGAGGCCTAAACCTTACTCAAAGTGGGGGAAAGTGCTTGGATGCTTATTAGGATAATTTAGTAACTGGTAGATGAGATTACATTTGTTTTAAAGCTAATTCTGCCTCTCACTCCCTATAAAATAGTTCTAAAGCTTCCCTCCTTACTCTGAAGTTTGGAGGGTATCTTTTGATAAATCTATAAAGTAACTTTGGGAGAATTAAGCCAAACATTTTTAAAAAATCTCTTCAATGCAAAAATAAATCCTTCAGTAGACATTTAAAATAAATTTGATAAATTAATATGTCATACTAATCTTACAAAAAGGTGAAATGAACACATAGGTCTATGAAAGGCTAAGTCATTGCTTTCAGTTCATGGGAGTTTAATTGCCTGTCATTACCGATCTGAATGCTGTATGGTTTCCAGAGATTCAGCCATAGTACAAATTAATCACTTAAGAGCACTTTTATTATTCTGCTGATCTTAGAGTGGTCTCATTAGGTGGGACAAATCAGAGTGAACTACTCAAATGAGGATTGCCAAAGAGAGATTACATTTTTTTTTACCTGTAGCCAGGGATGACTAAGAGATTTGTCAACACTGTAACGTTTTCTCATCTTCACTTGAAGCAGATTGTTTATCAGATCAATTGCTAAGGGAAAAGACAAAACAAGATACATGAATTTGGGTGCACAGAGTACCCCAAACTTGTGACTGCCTAGAAGGCAGTTCAACCCATAGAAATACAGGGTTGAGGAATTTTTGCTTCTCAAGGACGTGGACTTTTAGCTAACATGTAAAATGAATCATAAATGTTTACTGATTTAAGTGTATCTGTCAAATTTTCATTGCCTTTATAAGGCAGTATAGAGTACAGGTTAAAGTATATACTCTGGAACCTGACTGCCTGGGCTGAAGTCTGGTTCTGCCACCTACTAGCTGTGTGATACTGGGTCAGTTACTAAATTATATTATGCCTCAGTTTCCTCATGAAGTTGCTGACATATGTTAAGGGCTTAGAACAGTGCTTAGCACATAAGTGCTAAGTATTAACTATTATTATTTGAAGATGAATGAAACAGACTCTCTGATCCTCCCCACCCCGCTCCAATGCTAGAGAGCACTCTAGTCCCTGACTTGGTCTGGAAAGGCACTGCCTTGCCTCTATATATGGTCACATTGAGGTGGTAGCTTAACTACCAAAAGTTTACACTTTTAACAAATAGGTTTCAGGGTGTTTTAGTGTACATGGTGAGTTCTTGGTATATATATTTTATTCACTTATTTGGAGAATGATCAATTGCAAAACCAAGGCAACCAATAACTACATACTAACTACAGCCCTATATAATGGTACATTTGAAATATTGGTAACAAAAGGCTAGACCCAGACACGAACCAAATGGAAAGACTTGTACCATCCTAGTTCTATTTCTTGTCTCTATACTACCAAACTAGCAAAGTGATTCTGATAGAAGAGGTCTACAGAACACACTGCCTCAGGAGGTCTGAGATAACACTGGTTAACATCAAAAAACATCTCTTATGAGCTTCTTCAATTAGCTTTCTTCATTACCAAGCAAACCTGCTACTGTCTTCACATGTTGTTCTTAAACTTTTCCCAGTTTGATGGAATATTAGTTAATCCTATGATTAGGCCTAGTACTTTTGGAAAAACAAAAAAGATCTACCTATTACATGGGCTGGTTAAATCCAGATGGGGGTATTCCCCAGCACTGGTTCTATTAACTTCTATGGGGCAGTTAAATAATGTTTTAAGTAGTGTACTTGTCCTTCCTATCAGTATCAGCAGACTAAAGAGGGCCAGCCAACTTATTCTTGACGGGTACAGAACCAGGAGTTGCAAATTCAAAAGCCTTCACTAGGCAGGAAAAAGAGATGTATGCAGCTTCCCAGCAGAGGTCCACAGGAGAGAGGAAAACAAACTGCAGTGTGTCTGGTGATTATAAAGTTCATTCTAGGTATAAGGAACCGGAGCTAGGTATTCATTCACGGAGCTCACAGTCTTGTTCTGAAGATTAGAAAAGTCAATTATGAAAAGAATGAATACTTAAGAAAAAAATGGGGCTGGGTGCAGTGGCTCATGCCTGTAATCCCAGCACTTTGGGAGGTCAAGTTGGGAAGATCAATTGAGTGCAAGAGTTTGACACCAGCCTGGGCAACATAGTGGGACCCCATCTCTACAAAAAATTTAAAAATTAGCCAGGTGTGGGTGGCCCATGGTGCATACCCATCATCCCACCTAGTCAGGAGGCTGAGGTGGGAGGATCACTTGAGCCCAGGAAGTCGAGGCTGCAGTGAGCTGTGTTTGTGCACACTTCAGCCTGGGTGACAGAGGGAGACCCCGTCTCAATAAAAATAAAAAAAGATAATAAAAAAGCCCAAATGTTTTTTAGCCTAAGTAAATTCTGCAGTGTAGAGGAGTAGTCAGGGAACTTTATAGATGAGCCACAAATTAAGGGGTCCTCGAATTTTAATAGGAAGGATTGTAGACAAGGGAAAAACAGTCCCAAGCAAATTGCAGAAAACAGTTCAGAAGAGTAAACAACTAGGTTTGTGTAGGGAGTAGTGGGAGATGAGGCTAGAAGGTAAGCATGGACCATATCACAGATAACTATGCCTGTAAGGTGGTTAAAGAGAAGTGTTTGGGAGCACCATAAATGAAAGTAATGTTTCCTGAAGATAGATTTGGCAGTAGTGACTAGGAAGGACCAGAAAAGAGTTTAACAGGTAAGACAGTTAAAAAGATATTTTAGTGGTTTGACAATGAGGCCACTGGGGCCTATGTAAGTGCTATGCCTGGGAACTATACAGAAGACACAGATAAAAGTATAAAAAGAAGAGTGCTCAAAAAACTGGTAACTAGTTGAATTTGGAAGATGAATGGGAGATGTACTAAAAAGATAAGTTGCAAGAGACAGACTGATTTGGGATGAGAAAGATGTTTAGGCTTAAAACACATAGCCAAAATTTTTTTTTTTTTTTTTTTTTTTTTTTTTTTACCTTCACCAGAAATTTCTCTCCATGGATTTGGTGGGTACATAAATGCAGCATTTTGGATTTGGTCATTTATATCTTCATCCTCATTAAAAGGAAATGTGCCACTGAGGCTCACATAGATGATAACTCCCACTGACCACATATCTAGGGAACGGTTGTAACCTTTGCTCCGGAGAACTTCAGGGGCTAAGTATGCTGGAGTTCCTACCACAGATCTCCTGAATGACTTTTCACCAATGATGCGTGCAAATCCAAAGTCACACAGCTTCACCTGGAAATTGAAGGATGATGTTAATTTTGTATTATAGTGTTATATATGTAACTACCTGTCCCTAAATATAACACTGTATGTATCATTTCAACATACTTGCCAGCTCTACTGATTATGAATATTAATCACAGATAAGGAAATTGTAAAATATCCTTTTCTCAAAAGGCAGACACATTTATAGCCCTGTGATCCTGACTGACACAGTATGAAGAGCTTTCCTAGTACATATTTCAAAAGTTCTAGCTTCCAGAATACCAAATACCAGACTGGTGTTATAAGTGTTCTGATTTCTTATGAAATAGAGTATGCTGCTTTCTATCATTTGTCTTGTAAGATCACTCTTCCATCATCTGTGAGCAGGAATTGTTTCATTTCTGAATCCTTAGTGGCCTCACAGTGCCTGGACACATAAAGGTACTCAATGTTTGCTGAAGGAAAAATAAGTTACAGTATTAGCCAGGTGTGGTGGCTCACACCTGTAATCCCAGCACTTTGGGAGGCCGAGGCGGGCGGATCACGAGGTCAGGAGATTGAGACCATCCTGGCTAATGCGGTGAAACCCCGTCTCTACTGAAGATACAAAAAAATTAGCCTGGCGTGGTGGCGGGTGCCTGTAGTCCCAGCTACTTGGGAGGCTGAAGCAGGAGAATGGCGTGAACCCAGGAGGCAGAGCTTGCAGTGAGTCGAGATTACGCCGCTGCAATCCAGCCTGGGCGACAGAGTGAAGACTCTGTCTCAAAAGAAAAAAAAAAAAAAAAAAAAAAAGTTACAGTATTTAAAAACATCCCTTGTTTTGCTTAATCCTAGAATCTCTTTTCCTAAGGATGTTATAAACTGGCAAGTAAATAAAACTGAGGTGTATTAAAGGTAATTTTAAATGGGGACACCAGTGGAATAATGCTGGAGACTGCCCCAGTGAGTAACAGCAACACTTTTCTATCACTGTGGAACAAATTATTTCTAGTTAGATGTTTAGATTTGAAAACAGTTATATGTAAAGGGAGCCATAGTCACTACCACATCCTCTCAAAAGAGAGTTCTAGAAGTTGATGAGCTTGGCAGAACTCAGAACACTTATCTTGCTGCCCAGATTTTTCTAGAGGCTCAAATCTGGGGGATTAATGACCACATCCATGCTGAACAAGCAAATGCCAGGTACTTTCTGGAGGAAATGCTCTGACTTAAAAAATGTCTTTAGCAAAAGCATTAATATAAATTGAGAGGAAAAAGATTTAAGCTGTAGAAAACAGTGGTACAAACAGTGCCTAGAAAACGAAGTGAAGTTATCAAATGCTGCTATTTCTGGGATGGTGGACTCTGACACATATTTTTATGAATGATATTTGCTCAAAATCATTACTGAATCTGGCTGCTTCTCGATTTCAGTGTCTTTGAAGAGTACGAATACTGAGCCTGAAGAAATACAAACTCTTTTTTTGTTGTTAAATGCCAGATTTCAGCTAACATCTTGATAAGGTAAAGATGACTTGGAAGTTTGGCAACTGATTAAAGAAGTGGAGCCATGGCTAACACTTGAGCATAAAAAGCGTATCAAGTAAATCACATTATTTTCCCTTTGCTTCTCATTGGAACACTGTGGATCACTAAAATAGAGGTCAGAAAGTGGGAGTTTTAATGTTACCAGTAGGAGTGTGCATCTTTTGTCTACTATTTTGAAGATCAAATGAGATAATATATGGAAGCAGTTTATTTAAAACATTGCACCAACTATCAGGCAACCCTTTCGACCTCAAAATGATAGGGAATCACTTTTAACCACATAAACATAAAAAGAATATGATTACTACTTTAAAAGCTGAACGATTTTTAATATATCTTTTTATTTGAAAAGACAATTTGAGTTATATTTACCAAGTGAAAACACCTATCTGTTGTCCTTAGTCTTGCCATTTGTCTAAATGTACATGTTTCAAATGTATATAAACAATAGTTTGGCAACAGATATTTGAGCTGATCGGAGGAATCATCCTTGCCAATTATGGAAAATGGCTGCAGGGTACCACCACCACCACTTATTTCTCAGGATGGTTGTTTCAGAATTTGGGTTATGATCCATTTCATAGGTCATGCAATAAATTTAGTGGATCAAGATGAACACTTGGAAAAAAAAAAAACTCAACTGAATTAAGAAAAATCAGAGAGTGCTACATGTAGCCAGGACACAGAAGCACGATGCCATTGTGTGTATGTGTGGTGATGAGAAATGTTATTTTATGTAGGTTGTTTGAATACAATACTCTACATAGAAAAAGGAGGTGGCTGCCTGCCTCAACCAAAATCTATCTCCCATTTCCAGTAACACCCCATTTGTTTTATTTATGAGGTATTTATCCTAAGTACCATGCACCAACCAAGGTTGATACTTGCTCACTTCGTTCCCAGCCCCTGGGGAGAGGTGAATTGCAGAATCTATGTGCAGTTAAATCTTAAAAAATCTTGAATATAAACAGTATAACTAATAACATCTGAATTCATTTAGTTATTAATCCTCACTGGTAGTTACAGGCTAAAAACTATTTTTGTAAGGTGGTATGCATTTTTAACCAACAGTACTTAGTACACTGCCTTTTATTATGTGGGTGCTTTGAAAATGTTGCCAGAATCATTTAAAAGGTTCTGGAGAATATCTCACCTGAGGAAATGGCTCTGCTGATGCAAGCAGCACATTTTCTGGCTTTAAATCACAGTGCACAATATTCTTAAAATGCAGATTCCTCAAAGCAACAAGTATCTGTTATGAAAAAAGATTTTCTTTTCAATGTCTGGAAAATCACAAGTAAACCTCATGTGACTCCTTGAATGATTTAATTTGAAAACTCCACTATAGTTCATCAAGACTTAGCTAAAAGTGTGTTATTCTGCTCCTTAAGGTTAACAATTCCCACAATCACCCAACATGTAAAAGTACTGCTATTTAATTATTTTAGTTTTTAGCTGGATACAGTGGCTCATGCCTGTAATCCCAGCACTTTGGGAGACCTAGGCAGGTGGATCACTTGAGGCAAGGAGTTCGAGACCAGCCTGGCCAACACGGTGAAACCCCAGCTCTACTAAAAATACAAAAATTAGCCAGGCGTGGTGGCACACATCTGCAATCCTAGATACTTGGGAGGCTGAGGCATGAGAATCACTTGAATCCAGGAGGCAGAGGTTGCAGTGAGCCAGATTGCACCACTGCACTCCAGCCCAGGTGACAGAGTAAGACTCTTGTCTTAAAAAAAAAAAAATTAGTTTTTAATCGCTAGTTTAAAAAAAAAAAGGAGTTAAAATACCTGTGTGACCATGAATTTAGTAATTCGTTCTGGAAGCCGACTTTTCTCACTGGATAGAATCATTTCCAACATATCTCCATGCAGCTTTTCCATTACTACAAAGACTCGTTCTGGGGTTTCAAACATACATTCCAGGTTTACAATCCCAGGATGGTGCAAATTCTGAAGAGAGGTTGCAAGATACATGAGCAACTTAAGCAGAGAAACAGTTTTACTAATATCTAGATGTGCTATGATTGTCTGAAATGGCACAGAAAGAAAGCCTAGAGAAGTAAACAAAGCAAACAAAATAAAAATTACAATCAATGAAAAGGATCTTAGGTTTTAATTCTCCAAGTTGTGTACTGGAGAGTAGCCGCACTGAGGGGATAGAATGTTCTCCTAATTTGATTATATAATCACTCTTGTCCATTACTACTACTTTTCCTTCCTTCTCACTTGAAAAATCTGACACTGCTCTAATTTCATGCTTTCCCTGAATAGGCACCAACTGCCCATAAATTTTTAGTCAATTACACAGAAACCTTTGACTCTTGGGGGCTGTATTTGTGATGGTATTTGCTTAAGAGTTTTATTTCTAAGGTAGTTATTTATCTAAGTCTTGATTCTTATAATATTATAATCATTAATTCCCTTTTTTTAGGCTCAACATCTCTACCCACATTATCATGTTTCTTGATCACAACTAGGTTACAAGGGTTGGAGATACACAAAGATGAATGCCATACTATTTATGCTTATAAAAAAGCAATTTATCTTTTGTTCTACTACAGAAAATCCTTCCTCAAAAACAAATTCATGAAGTCAGCCTTGCTCAAACACCTTCAGTGGCTCTTTATTTCTGGACATAAATCTAAATTCCTTTGTCAACATTTTGAGATCTTCAATAACCTGGTTTCAGTCTTCCAATTTAATCTTAAATATGTTCTACTGAATGAACCAAGTGCTTAAACAATTTTTATTCCTTATTAATAAAGATACAGGCTGGGTGTGGTGGCTCACGCCTGTAATCCCAGCACTTTGGGAAGCCGAGGCAGGTGGATCATTTGAGGTCAGGAGTTCGAGACCAGCGTAGCAAACACGGTGAAATCCTGTCTCTACCAAAAATACAAAAACTAACCAGGTGTGGTGACAGGTATCTGTAAACCCAGCTACTCGGGAGGCTGAGGCAGGAGAATCACTTGAACCTGGGAGGTGGAGGCTGCAGTGAGCCGAGATCATGCCATTGCACTCCAGCCTGGGAGACAGAGCGAGACTTTGTCTCAAATAAAAAAAAGGCCGGGCGCGGTGGCTCACGCCTGTAATCCCAACATTTTGCGAGGCCAAGGCAGGCGGATCACCTGAGATCGGGAGTTCGAGACCAGCCTGACCAACATGGAGAAACCTAGTCTCTACTAAAAATACAAAATTAGCCGGGTGTGGTGGCGCAAGCCTGTAATCCCAGCTACTCGGGAGGCTGAGGCAGGAGAATTGCTTGAACCTGGGAGGCAGAGGTTGCGGTGAGCTGAGATTGCGCCATTGCACTCTAGCCTGGGCAACAAGAGCAAAACTCTATCTCAAAAACAAAAAAACCCAGACGGTCCCCAACTTAACAATGGTTCAACTTACAATTTTTCAACTGTAGAATGGTACAAAAGTGGTATGCATTCATTCAGTAAAAAACGTATTTTGAATACCTGCACAACCATTCCGTTTTTTTGAGTATTCATAAATTACATAAGATATTCAACACATTAGTGTAAAATGGTCTTTGTGTTAGATGATTTTGCCCAACTGTAGGCTAATGTAAGCGACTGTGCTTAAGGTAGGCTACACGGGGCTAAGTTGTGTTCAGGAGGTATTTTTATCTACTTAGTTATTTTCAAACTTAAGATGGGTTTATGGAGATATGACCCCGTCGCAAAATGAGGAGCATCCTGTACATTTTTCTTTAGCTTTTTTCCTTAATATGGCTAGCTGATTATGCTAGGGGGACTCACATGTTTTTGGCCTATGTGAGGCTGAGTTCCATGTCTAAGATGTTTCTTGAAGCCTTAATTTTAGCCCACATTCTCTCTCTTTGGGACTACTGCAATAGTTTCCACTGTATTGTAATAATGTGTGTATTCTACTCCATTGTTTAATAAACTCTCTGAGGCACAGATTGTTTCAGTTATTTTAGCTCAATATCTGCATCATAGTAGGTGTTTTCAAAAATGTTTAGAAAGTGAAATAACAACAAATGCAAAATAGACTTGTTTGCTAATCATTTTAAACCCATTTTATGAGATCGTTTTCCAAGCAGCAAAATACAAAATGACAACATTTTATAGTAGATAAATGAAACTCAAATACCCCATAGTGGTGGGGTGTGACAATGGCAATAAGCAGTGTAAGATTCAGAATATTATAACTTTTATCAACAGAGGTTGAAATGTGACTGTTTTGCTAGGCCATAGTTGGCTGGCTCTATGCTTTTTCCCCCCTGCCCTCCTTTAAAAACACGTGGACACACAAAAATAGAAGTATGCTGTAACATTATTTTTCTCCCTTAACAACTTCCTCTATTGGTTTACATTTTCTATTTCCTCTGGAGTATGTTTTAGTAAGTTATACTTTCATTGAGAATTACCCATTTTCTCCAAGTTTCCAAATTTATCTGATAGAGATGAGCAAAGTATCCTAAGATTCCTTCCCCCCCCCGTATTTGTGGTTATCTCCCTAAGATCATTTTGTATATTCTTCTTTGCTTAGGATGGCCATTTTATTTTTACATACCTCCTCCCTTCCCCCACACAGCAAACCAGCTTTTGGCTTTATTATTTCTTTTCTGTATTTATTAATTTTCATTTTTGATCTGTTATTCCTTTCTGCTTTCTTTAGGTTTATTTTATTGTTCATTCTTCAACTCCTTGAGTTAGATTCTTAATTCACTTATTTTCATTCTTTCTTGCTTAATATTTGAGGTTATAAAGCTTTTTCTGAAAGACAGTACAAAGGCGCTGATATATATGCAGTATTTTCAGGTTTTCTAAATATTCTGAAATTTTGATTTCGCTCTTTGATTCAAAAATTAGTATTTTAAAGTTTTCATGTAGGAGCTTGTTTTCTGATTTTGTAATTTATTTCTGCTTTAATGCATTGAGATCAAAGAATACTGTTTATACGACTGCTTTTTTGAATTAATGAGGCATTCTTTGTTTTTAGGGTACAGAGGTCAGTATAATCTGCTTAGATCTACCTTACTATGTTTAGACCTTGTACGTTCTTAATTATTTTTGTCTACTCCATTTCTCATGGACTACTGATGTGTTTGTCTGTTTCTCCTTGTTTTTAGTTTTTCTTTATAAATGTTTATGGTGTTATTTGGTGTAGTATGATTTTCACTCTTCCACTGTTAAAGTGGCCTTCTTTCATTTCATTTAATGTGTTTTCCCTTGAGTTAAATCTTATCAGATCATGACCCTCAAATGGCTTTTTGTTTGGAGAAGGGACCTTTGGAGGACATAAGGGCTGCAGATTTCAGAAAGAATCAGCAAAAACAGTTGTGTTGTCTCTTCCTGAAGAGACATGCACCTCTGCTTCATCTTCACTGTTGTTGGAAATCTACATGATTTTATAGTTTTGAATTCTCATCTTTTTTTTAAAGTATGCTCACTTCTGTTAATCATTTTTCTTATAGCTTTGGGGTAGCTTCCAAGATGAGAACGGGAAAATGCTGAATTTACACCACAATGTTCAAACCAGAAATTTCCCTCTAGGTTTTTGATAACGTTTTCTAATTACATAGGTACCTACAAGAACACCACACCTTTTCTCCCACTACTCTACTACCCTCTTCAGGCAAGACAGCAAAAGAAACATTTTACATTACCACATAATCTAGGAAACAAAAGGAACCTCCCCTCCCCAATTTTTTTCCTGCTCTACAACATCCTCCCTAGATGTGGCCAGGTTGACAGTTTATGTAGGCATGGCTCTTTTTCTGTGTAACTGTATATAGACATACATAATGTACACATTACTTTAAAAAGTTAAAGGGAGTCATTCCAAAGTTTTTTTCAATCTAACAATGTATTGTAATTTCCCACATAATACATTTATTCATTAAATATTAAATAAGAATTTGCCGTGTACCCAGTACTATGTGGGTATTCTGGATTCATTATTAAACAAAACTTGACAAAGATGCCTTGTCTCGCAGAGCTTATAAATTGCAGCAAGGTGAGACAGACAATGGGAAATAAAATAGTAAATTACCTAGTATGAAGGTGATAAGTGCCATGGAGAAAAGAAAAAGAGTTAAGGTAGGGGAGTGGAGGGGTGGGAGGGTGGGTTTAATGCTGAATAGAATGTGGAGGCTTCATTGAGGAAATGATATTTGGGCAAAATCCTGACGGAGACAAGGGAGTATGACATGCAGATATTTGAGGGAGAAAGCATTCCAGGCAGAGGAAACAGCTAATGCAAAGCCTTTTGAGACAGAAGCATGTCTGGCATGTTTGAGATATAGCAAGAAAGTCAACATGGCTATTTTTGGGGGGGAAAAAAAAAGACTCAATTTGTTGTGTATATTGTCTGCAGTGGGATCTTTTTCAAGTGATTTTGATTCACTTTCATAAAGAATAATCACAGGTATCTAAAAATGGGATGTGCTCATTTCTGTTAAACAGAATTACAAAGCCTGTCACCAAGAGCTCAAGAGATTGGATACTCCGGGATAAACTGTAAGGTCACTTCTAAATCAGTGATCCTGTGATTTTTCCTCCTTGCCACCGGAAAGGCCAAAGCTGTAGTCTTAATAATAATATGCGCAATCTTCACCCCATCTTTTCTCTAAGTATGTGGGCATGGGAAAGAAAAGCTATGGACGCCTCTAGGGATGCAGGTAAAGGTATCAACAGCAGGATGAACTACAGGAGTTCAGACAGCCTTTCAGGTTTGGGTGATGAGGGAGGACTACAGGTAAGAATGACACGGGGCAAAGATGGAAAAGGAAAGATGATACAGTTGGATGGGGAAGAGGAGAGCCAAAAGGTGGTGTGAGTGCGTTTAACAGTGTAGTAGGTTACTTCCAACCCATGTGAAAAAGTTTAGCTGTGATGCTCACATAACTAAATCTTATGAAACTAATTTCAGTAAATGAGGTGTGATTTTTAAAAAGATTCCTTTTAAGAAGTGTATTTCCTACATGAATTCAGATTGTACTAATAGAATATTCTAGAATATCAATATTCTATATGAATAATATTCATATACAAAGTTAGCTAAAGTTCATCTTTATACTACACACACACACACACACAAACACACACACAGAGTGGGTCAGTCCAATGATGTAAAGTAGAAAGTGCATATGGTTTGCAGACAGACTTAGATTCAAACTCTGAATCTGCCTTCCTGCTGGGTGATGTTGAGAAAAAGTACTTAAGTATAAATGCTGACACCACAAGGAAAGCCAAATATAAAAGTATAAATATCTGACATAAACAATTTGAAGAGAATCTACAACAAAGATAGTCTTGTATTAAATTTAGTATGAAAATAGCATAGAGACATCCTACAATCTATTCCCAGTTTGGGCAATATTGATGAAAGTAACCAAAATGATATAATAATGAAGTTTTTCATACTGTGCATTACCTGGTTATTCCTAAATTTAGTTATTATGATCCATAGCTGATAAGAGGAAAAAAGCTTCAGTGCTTACTCAGAGCTGTGTTTGTGATCAAGAAGAAATCAATCCATAGGAATATATCCTTAATTTTTATTGTTTCGCTTACTAGTTGGACAATGAGGGTTCCAAAATTAGATACGCAAAAATACCTGACAACATATTCATACTATTCATATTCAACAGAGTATGAATGCTATTAATATTCTATTTAAAGGTAGCTTTATAGGAGGAGACAGCCTTGATATGACCACAGGTACCTACTTGACCACAAGCTTTTTGATTATCATGCCTCTGAAAAAGTGAGGTAAATGTTACTATTAGCAACAAGTAACATAATAAATGTAAAATGAATCATTTAAGTTTCTTACCTTCTTCAAGGAAACTCAAGTTCAGAAGGAGGCTGTCTTGAATTTCACCCAAAGCAAATGGGGCTCTGACAGCATTAACCATTTTTTGTTGTTGTTGAGACGGAGTTTCCCTCTTGTTGCCCAGGCTGGAGTGCAATGGCATGATCTCAGCTCACTGCAACCTCTGCCTCCCAGGTACAAGTGATTCTCCTGTCTCAGCCTCCCAAGTAGCTTAGATTACAGGCATGTGCCACCACACCCGGCTTTTTTTTTTTTTTGAGATGGAGTTTTGCTGTTGTTGCCCAGGCTGGAGTGCAATGGCACAATCTTGGCTAACTGCAGCCTCCACCTTCCAGGTTCAAGCGATTCTCCTGCCTCAGCCTCCTGAGTAGCTGGGATTATGGGCATGCGCCACCGTGCCCGGCCTAGTTTTTTTGTATTTAGTAGAGATGGGGTCTCACCATGTTAGTCAGGCTGGTCCCGAACTCCTAACCTCAGGTGATCCACCCGCCTTGGCCTCCCAAAGTGCTGGGATTATAGGTGCGCACCACCTCACCTGGCCAGAATGAGCTATTATACGACCATGATTTCTTTAATAATATGCAAAAACTATATAACGTACATTTGCATATTATAAATTATTTATATGATATTCAGAAAGTGATCCAAGGATCAAGCTAAATTTTAATCTTCTAGATGACCGCCCCCAAGGGGTAAAAATGCTAGATGAAAAACACATAGGAATTTATGGAATTGAAATCATTGCCAATATATCTTTAAAATACGCCCCAATCGACTAAGCCATTACAAAATTAGAGTTTTTAATTAATGAAATAAGTGCTGTTAAAAGGTACATAATTTTAAAGCAATCTTTACTTGCACAGTAATTGCTATGACAAGCATGTCACCTGTGAAAACTGGATGGGTAAAACAGCAACCTTCTGACAAAATGTGGCAAAGTATCCTAAGTATTTTAAGCTCCTGGAATGAATTAAGAATGAAATTTTACTTTTTTAAAAAAGATTTTACTCACGAAAATGTGTTCTAAAACTACTACCATAAAGCAAGATATTGGCAGTCCCTATAATGCCTATATTACCATAATCTAATTTTGCCTTCTTAAAAAAAAAAAAAAAAGAGAAGCAGTTAATTCAGATTCTTACCAGCCTCTTTAATAAACCAGTTTTTTATTTTTTATTTTTACCTGTAAAATAGCCACTTCATTACGGAGTTGACTTTCTTGTTTTGTGGGGAATCTCATCTTATCAATTACTTTAATAGCCACATCCCTCCCAGTCTTTCTATGTTTTCCTATTAAGAAAAAAAGAAGAGGAACGAATGAAGCAAACTGACAGCTTTATTAGGGAGTTGTCCACAGACTGAAATTTATATGTATTTACTCTTGAATTTTCTTTTTGGCTCATTTTTGTTCTTTCTCCACACTCCTTCACTCACCTTTAATTTAGGAAAAAATTGTTTTCCCCTCCATACATAATATTTGCCCCTAATAAAGTCAGCTGCATTATCTAAACAGGAGAAAATTTGAATGAACTTGTTGCTGAAAAGTAATCTACCTTGTTAAATCAATGATAGTTAATTACCCTGACCTAGTCCTTCAGAGACTCTGTCAAGATGGAAATACTGTATGAATGAATCAATTTTATTCTAGATTCAATGAGTCAGCACAGAGTGATTTAACCATGTACCCACAAACTCTGGGTGTCTCTATATTCTAGAATCTAGATATAAAAAATTTATATTTGTCTCTATATTCTAGAATCTAGATATTAAAAAAAGGTAGAAGTTTATTATAATGAACAGTCATTCCCTCATTTATTAATTCAAATTAACTAGTTATACCTATTATGTACTAGGTATGCCTTTAGATGCTACAGATTAAGCAGTGAAAATGACAGGTATATTTTTGGTATTTGTTCTTCAAATATGTATCTGACTTGCTCTTCTCTACATAGCTATTTATTTTAGATTAACTCATTTGTCTCAATGGCACAATCGTAAGTCTACTTGAAAAGACTGAACAAATGTGTGCATTTTTGGTAAGAAGCCAAAGGTACCTCGGACAGTTCTTTGTTCCTCTGATGACAGGAAGTCCTCCAGAGATGTAACTACTCTTAAAACTGACAAATCTGAAGTTGCAAACCATAGATATTATATATGCATGCAGAGTCAACACATTTTCTAGGCGACTGCTTTATGTCACAATACTAGGTGCTAGGAATACAAAGAAGATCCAGACATCTCACAGCCAACGCTCCAATAAAGTTCAGTGGGAAGACAATAATGTAAACCCAAAGGGTAATAGATATTGTGAGAGAAGTATGTTGGGTAGCAGGAGTACCAAAGGGGAACCATGTTTTTATTTGATGGAGAAATAGGTACGGGGACAAGAAATTTCCACAGAGAAAGCCCTTTAGTTGAGCCCTGAAGTATGAAAAAATGTGCACTAGAAGAGACAAAGGGATGGAGAAGGAGCAGAGAGGCAAAGGGTATGGAGGCATGTAAACAGGACTGAAAGATAGAAAGCAAAGAGGAAGCTGCAATTAGATCTGAGGCTAGAGAAGCAGGGATAAATTACAGCAGCCTTGAAATCCTCTGCTAAGAAAACTGGCTATGAATCTGTAGATGACTGTGAACCACTTAAGGGTTCTATGTGAGGTAATACTAATATCAGATGTGAATTTTCTGAAAGATTGACTCTAAGAGTTGTATGAAAAGAAGGTAAGAATGGAGGCAGAACAGCCAACTAGGAAACTACTGTACCAAGTCTTAGCAAGGGATAACAAGGGTTTAACATTTCTTTCTTAGTACCTTTACATATATTAAGTTTAATTAATATTTAAGCCCTATGAGCTACACAGGTCAGGTTTTATTAGTTCCATTAAACAGTTGAAGATGCTAACGCACAGTAAGGTTAAATGACTTCATCAATATCCTAAATCGCAAAGTTGGATTTCAGGTTCAGGTTTTCAGACTTAATAGAACAATCATGCCAACAGTAGACAAATGGTGCCATTTGTGTTGGAAAACTAGTAGGGAATATACTTCAATGAATAAGCCCACTCAGCCCAACATAAACTTCAAACCATCTCCCCCCCTGCCTCCGACAAACATCTGTATGTGTGAGCTACAAGAAGAGATAAAACACACTGTAAAATTTTCTGATTCTGTTAATTTTTAAAGTTTGCAATGACATTAAGGGAAGAATACTCA
Source organism: Homo sapiens (assembly GCF_000001405.40). Classification (NCBI taxonomy): domain Eukaryota; kingdom Metazoa; phylum Chordata; class Mammalia; order Primates; family Hominidae; genus Homo; species Homo sapiens. Next base: position 37,269,457 of record NC_000002.12, read on the forward strand.
AATTACAGTGAGAAGGATTTAGCTGAAAGATAACAAGTCAGCCTTTAAAAAAAAGGCACTGGACAAAACTATGAGATGACAAAACAGCTGGCAGATGTTTTACATTTTCCAGTTTTTAAAATAATGTGTACAATATGCAAACGGCTGTAGTTGCTTACCTCCATAAACGATGCCAAACTGGCCTGAACCAAGCACCTCATCTGCAAAGATCTGGTAAACAGTACTGATATCCTGGTAGGATAAAGTAAGGAGTTAGTATTATTTATTTCTATAATACAATGTCAACATCTCTGACTTTCTTCATCCAAATACTTCAATACATTTTTATGTTAGAAGCAGCTAATTTCCATAAAGTGCAAACTATTTTATGAAAACACAGGCTTTCTATGTTCTAATAAGAGGTTAAGCCCAAATTTTATGTGCAAGTATAATGTATTGTGCAAGACTTTCAGGAAAAAAATGCTTTGCATTTTAAAAATCTTGTATTTAGGCCTGGCGTGGTGGCTCACGCCTGTAATCCCAGCACTTTGGGAGGCTGAGGCAGGTGGATCACCTGAGGTTGTGTGTTCCAGACCAGCCTGACCAACAAGGAGAAACCCCATCTCTACTAAAAATACAAGATTAGCCAGGTGAGATGGTGCATGCCTGTAATCCTAGCTACTCGGGAGGCTGAGGCAGGAGAATCGCTTGAACCCAGGAGGCAGAGGTTGTGGTGAGCCAAGACTGTGCCACTGCACTCCAGCCTGGGCAACAAGAGCGAGACTCCATCTCAAGAAAAAAAAAAATCTTGTATTTATTAAGTAGTGATCTATAAAAGCAAATCTACCTAAAAAAAATTAAAAATGAAATTTTACCTATTTTACCTTTAAGGAGATTTGCTCTCATTGATTTTTGGAAAAAAAAAAAAAAAAACTCAAAAGTTCATATTACTGGGATTAGCCTAACTTTGAGAGACTGAAGAAAAGAATATGTATGAGAGAAAGTCTGTAACTGAAATCCATTCCTCTATCTTTCCTCACTGCTCTTCGCCCCCTTCCCTTTTTTTTTCTTCTTTGTAGTATTTGTTGCTGTCAGAACTAACAGAACTAATATACTAATTTGGGATGTTTACTGTCAAAACTGCATTACAGGTGTGACTGATGAAAGAAAAACAAAGTGGAACTTCACTTAGCAGACCCACACTTATAAAGACAAAGCCTCAGCCCTGCAGCAAAAGCCAGTGAATATGCATGTATATATGTTAAGTTGTAATTAAAATTTTAAGGTTTGTAAGAACCATTTTTATAAGCCTCCCCACTTTAATCTTTTTGTTTAACCAAATTTTGGTTCTAATCAGATTAGGAGGCATCCAATGCATATATAATAACTGCTAGGAAAGTGTATGTGTATGTATGTATGTGTATATATATTTGTTAAACAAAAGCCAATTCTGAATCCTTTTCCCCCATGACATGGATGGAGATATCCTCAGTTCCCATGGGATTATTCAAAATTTGAGTGCTCATGATTTTTGATATTCCTCCTTATCTCCCCAAGAATATGCTGTCTATTCTACCTCTCAACAGGACAAGAGACTCATAGATTATATCTCTGAAATGTTCTATCTCCAATAACACTACTAGAGTCCAATCTTCATTGCAGTCTTAGAAATCTTAACATTTACATGTTAGAGAACTATAACAGCTAAGTGCCCCAAGTAGAAAAATAGAGATTTTAATCTGAGAAATTATATATAACAATTTAACAATTTTCTGACTTCCTTTTCTAGCCTGTTTTCTCTCTAGTCCAGGGGTTAGCAAACTCCAGCTTGTGGGCAAAATCCAGCCTGTTGCCTCTTTTTTGTATGGCCCCGATCTAAAAATGGTCTTTAAATGACTGGACAAATCAAAATAATATTCTGTGACATGTAAATATTAAATGAAATTCAATTTCAGGGTCCATAAATAAAGTTTTATTGGAACACAGCCATGCCTGTTCACTTATGTATTGCCTATAGCTGCTTTCTTGTCACAACCACATAGCTGCATAGTTGTATATGGTCCACAACAGGGGTCCCCAAGCCCCAGGCCACAGACTGGTAACTGTTTGCGGCCTGTTAGGAACCAGGCTGCACAGCAGGTGAGCAGCAGGTTAGCAAGCATTACTGCCCAAGCTCCGCCTCCTGCCATATCAGCAGAGGCATTAGATTCTCAGAGGAGGGCAAACCCTACTGTGAACTGTGCATGCGAGGGATCTAGGTTGTGTGTTCCTTATGAGAATCTGATGATCTGACACGGTTCATTCCGAAACCATCTCCCAACCCCCTACCTCCGTGGAAAAACTCTTCCACAAAACCAGTCCCTGGTGCCAAAAAGGTTAGGGACTGCTGGTCTACAAAGCCTAAGGTACTTACTAAAAAGTTTACGGAAAAAGTTGCTGACCTGTTATAAAACCCTCAACATACCTACATACACCAGCCAACTTAATTTATTCATAATTCCTTAAGAGTCCATTTCCTGCTTCCCTGTTTGTTCATCCTAGTGCTCCTGTACTTGCATGAAAGGTTGTTCCCCAACCCTCATCCATTCAGCACTTCTGTCAGTAATCCATTCCATCCTTTCAGGTATAGCTCAAATTGCACTTCCTTTAGGAAGCTTCCCCTGCTGACCCCACAAGAAGTAATGTCTGCCTTCTCTTTGAACCAGTCTTATCACTTTGTAACACTGTAATGTAACTTTTTCTAGTGAAAAAGTTAGCTTTATTTTTAATTTTAAAAATCTGCCCTAGTTTCCTCTATAAAGCAGAACTCCTTAGGGAAGTTACCAACCGCAAAGTCTAGCCTAGTACTTTGGGCGATGAACCAATTTCTCTAATAAAGATTTTCACCTTTTATTTTCCTTATTTTAATCACCCAGTTTACACATTAGCTATAACGATTACTTACCACATTCTCCTGAATCTGACAATTAGATACAGAGATACTTGTAGACAAATCTTCTGTAAAATATAAAAAAGACAAAATTTAGTATATGACAATATTATTAATCTTTACTGACATGTGAATGCTCATGGTATATCAAACTTTAAAAAGTTTAGCACACAGTTAATACAATTATGTACATTAACAAAATCTACACATACAACCCATCAACAGGAAACTAGATAAAATATGATACATCCATACAAAAGAATACTATCTCAACATTTAATCGATGATGTAGGACTATAAATACTGAATCAGAAAGTCAGAAAGCTAGTTATGATTATTACTGAGTTAAAAAGGGAAGTTTTACTGTAATCCCAGTGCATTAGGACGCTGAGGCAGGAGGATCACTTGAGCCCAGGAGTTTGAGACCACCTGGGCTACAGGATACCCTATCTCTAAAAAAATTTTAAAATTAGCCAGGCATAGTGGTGTGCACCGGTAGTCCTAGCTACTCAGGAGGCTGAGACAGGAGGATCTGAGCCCTGGAGTTTGAGGTTGCAGCAAGTTATGATTTGCGCACTGCACTCTCACCTGGGCGACATAGCGAGACCCTGTCTCTTGGTGGGGGGAGGGGGGGAAGTGGAGTCAAGGGAATTGCAGGGTAGCAGTGCTTAAATTAAAAACAAAAATCTGTGATTACTTTTGGTGAGTGGAAGAGGTGGGGTTGGGGGACAAAGAGTTTTTATACACTTCTAAATTGCTTGCATTTTTATAATTTTATAATGTTGTTTTTTGGTACTTTAATACATTTATTGCCTGAAATAAATCACCTCATTTATCTTTTAAAGAGTGTGTAAGTGCCTGTATTGTTTTCTGAGGAAACAGTCCTAGTTTTAATTAGAATGACATAGAGTTCTGTCTAAAAACCTCGAAAACTTAAGAACCACTGTGAAACATCCATCTACTTACACCCATTCCAACCCCAAATCAGTACTGAACACCAAACATGTACACAGTTGTCATGATCCTCATCACACTTGTCTCAACTAAATAATGTTACCCCTCCACCCCTCCCACTGAGATCTGCCTACTGTATTTCTACCTGAGGTTCAAATCAGGTTCTTCTATGAAGTCTTGTTTACTCTTCTGTCTGTATCTGAGTTTTTTAAGTAATGTATTCCTCACTTTTGCACTGTACTGCTTTATGCTACCATCTAATACCTTTATATATCCCATCTCTCCCTAAAGAGCTTTTATGATTTCTGTATTTATTTTGTATTTTAGCTCAGGGCCTAGCATAATAGTTGTACAAAATAATACAGCTAAACTAAAATAAACTACCTTTGGAAAGTTGTTGATACTTATTTCAATTTGAGTATATTTCTCAAATGAATGACTTATGTGTCCCCATAAGCAACATAATGTTAATGGGGGAGAAGTGACATTATAGTGACCTTTCGATTGTTAACTGTTTACTTTTGAAACTTTATCCAATTTAGGCTTAATTATATAAGTTTTGTTGGTGCAAAACATGTTTCAGTGATTTTTAAATATTTCTGTATGTTTTAATACAGCATTTCTGACTTCACAGATTTCATGAGTGTGATGTGAACCATAATACTTTATTGCCTGTTTATATCCCACTATAAAGCAAAATATTAATACCAGTAGCAGGCATAATCCAATGAGACTTTACGGATGCCAAGCACTGTTCTGTATCTTACAGGTTCTCTTTCATTTAATACTGACAACCTTATGAAGTACTTACTACTACAGTGAGGTAAAGTACTTGCCTGATCATATAACAGATGGTATAGCCAGGATTTTCATGTAGGAAAACTGACTCTGGAGCCTAGCACTGGGCATTGTATGTACGTATATATACTATAACCAATATAATTTTATAAAAGAGTTAACTAATTGTATTGGTTACTAAAGTATTGGTTACTAAAGACTAAGCTTAGGATGAACATTAAAAGGAACAAAGGAACACAACCATACCCACAAAATGCTTAAGAATTAAAGAGGAGAAAAAGCCATCAAGAAGTTTATTGCTTACTGTGATCTTTCCCTTGCCCTGGAGAAGTGCAAACACTTGCTTGAGGAGTAACAGGCATGAGGGCTTGGCGAATTGCTTTTTCCCAGCTCTGTGCTACATCAAGTCCAACTCCAGTGGCAGCAAGAACAGGATTATGAGAGCTGTCCCCATTGTTCTCACCAACGAAGTATACCATAGTATCAGTAATGATTTCAAAACAGTGTGGATTGCTGCCTTGTGAAATGTTTGTGAAATCTCGTGGTGAAGATATGCGGAGAATTTCTGAAAGTGGAATTTCCTGAAGTAAAAAATTAAGCATTGAAAAATAAGAATAGATCTTTGTTTTTATTTTTAAATACACTAAAGAACCAGAGATATGCATTTCAATGAATGCCATTAAGACGGACACAAGTATGCAACATTTAATACACAGTTGAGTCTTATGACATGGCCTGTCTTGAATGAGCTGCAATGTCCAGCAATGCCAGACGCAGAGCATGGACTATGATAACTAAGCCAGTAGCAGATCATTAGGATGCAAGGAAGAAGATATAGGAGAGTAATCTGCCACTATATCCAACACTTGTAACTTCCAACTGTCATTAATTCAGCTTCACAACTACTTATCTAGTGACTGTAGTCTACAAGATATAGCCCCAAAGCAAGTAAGAAGCAGAAATAATGGCAGAAAAAGCAGAATCTTGGTCAGTTGTTTAAGCCACTCCCATTCTGGTTCTGTCCACTGGAGTAACCTGTAGCAATCATTATATTTTTAGTCCACTTCCTAAGGCAAAAAAAAAAACTTACTAAAAACAAACAAACAAAAAAACACCTGCTCAAAGCAAGCCATTAGTTCCCATTCTCTCTTACTGACCTAACTGCTTGGTTATAATCTTGCTTGCTATCAGTTTGTGATGTGGCAAAACGTGGAATAAGCCAAGCAAGGAAGACTGTAAAAAGGAGATTAAGAGCCAAACAAGCAATTGGGAATTGGCACCCAAGGTAAGGTGGAAGGTGGGAGAAATACTAAATACCTCACTGACCTCTTCTGGACAGTCAATGATGATGGGACTTTCTAAGCAGTCTAATCTAAATCAGAGTATCCAGAAGGAAAGCAGCAGCAACCTGACAGGCAAGCCAGAAATAAATAAATACACGACAACAACAAACAGTCTGGAAGGAGAGCTGCTGTGGGGGAGTGAAATTTGGTATGGGAAATAGTTGCTTCAACAAGGAACCTAACAGTGACTTCTATAAACCATACTAGCTAGAGTCATATATATTCAAATATAACAGTTAATGAATATTATCTGAAAAAAACATACACTATCTTAATGCTTATATTTTTTAAAGTGTAAAATCCTTACCTTATAATACTTTGATCCAGATTCATTCTGAAATAATGTTAGACATTTGCTGTCAAGTCTCCAATAATGCCTCTTTCTCTATAAAATGAAGATTGGAAAACTGTGAGGTTCAAAAATGATTCCTCCAAAGTGCTTGTACCTAACTTTTCCCTTCATTTACATTCATAAATTTGTATTTTTGAATAACTTTAAGATTCATGAGGTTCAAAATTCTCAAGATATAAAAAGGATGTATGGTGAAAAGTATCACTTCCACCATCACTCATCCCCACTCCTCACCCTTACTCCAGGCAAAGCATGTTATCAGGTTTCTGGGAATCCTTGTAGAGAATTTCATACATGCACACATGAATACATATATATATATGACACATACACACACACACATAAAAATATGTAATTTACCTATAGGCTATATTTCTAGAAGTTGATTTGCTGGGTCAACAGACATGTGCACATGTAATTTTGCCTGATAGTGTTATATTATTCTACACAAGATTTGACCCAATTTATAGTCTCTTCAGCAACGTATGAGAGTCCCTAGTTACTCACACCCTCATTAATGCAGTATGTTAATAACTTTTTGATCTTTGCTATACTGAAAAATAAACACTGGTATTTCAGTGAAAGGTTAAAGTGATATTCCTTTTATTATAAATGAAATCAAGTTCTTATGTGTAAGAGTCATTTGTATTTCCTGTGAAACTCTCTGTTCATATTCTTTGTCCATTTTCCTATTGCGTTATGTTCTTTTTCTTATCAATTTGTTGGCATTCTTCACATCTTATGGAATTAACCCTTGTTTAGAATGAGCTGAAAATATTTTTTCCAGTTTCTCATTTGTCTTTGCTTTTGGATTTTGCCACATATCATTTTTTAATGAGATTGAATTTATTGATCTTTTATTCTTGAATTTGTAAAATAATTCTCCCAAAGTTTCTTCTGTTTAATTTCTTTACACTCAAATCTTTGATACATTTAGGTTTATTATGTATAAAGTATGAGGTGTGTGTATATATGTATATATACACACACACACATACACATATATATACATATATATTCATATATATACATATATATAACTTTATTTTTTTCAAAATGGCTAGATGCTTGTCCCAACACCATTTACTGAATTAACTACTTTCCCCATTAATTTGATGTAAAAGCACCTTTGATATACCATTAAATTCGCAAAGGTAGGCACACCACTTCAAGTTACATTCGCAAGGATATGAACTATAAATAAAACACATACACACTGCAGTCTATACTGTTGTTATCATACAAAACTTTAGGCCAGCTAAATGTATTGGGTACTTCATTTTATTCTTAAAAGGTTTATTAGAAAGCTTGTTTCAATAATCTACTCAGCAGACTTTAAAAATAAAATACTAGCTACTAACATTTATTGAGTGTTTCTGTATGCCAGACACTGTTCCAAGATCTTCTCATATATTAACTGATTTGGATTTATTAGGTGGTTACCATTATTATGCCAATTTTACACAAGGAAACAAAAGCATAAAGAAACTAAGTAACTTTCCCAAGTTCATATAGTTTTATAGTAAGTTACAGAGACTTAGGCAGTCTAGCTCCAAAGTCTGTGTTCTTAGTTATTACACTACGCTGATTCTTCAAATCTATTGTCTTTCTACTAGAATGTCATCATTCCTCGTCTTTGCTGGATCTAAAAAAAAACGTTGCACATTTACACTAAGTTAAAGTCTACATAAAACCAAACATGCTTCCTTCCTATCTTTGGTAATAAGATGACTTTTTAGATGAAGTCTTAGTTCCTTCTATCTCTATTTGTGGCTCCACTGTGTTTCGAGTTAATTATTTTTTATTGTGGAACAATCCCAGATCCTTTTTGAATATTGACTGCTCTACCAGTTTGTAAAGACAATACATTAAATATTCTGCCTGTTAAAAATTCCTTACAAATTTAACTATAATTCCAGTGCATCTTTTACAAATTGCTGTGGTGTATATAATGTCTTAATATGTATCTCATCATCATTTTGATTTAAAAAATGCACAGAATGAAACTCATAACAAAGTCTTACTAGCATATTCAAATGTATTTGATTACTGACCAGGTTATCCCTGCTGGTGTAATGGACCATCCACCCTTCCTTCACCATTGTGCTGCTCTTCCTCTTTGTGTGCTTGATGGATTGTACAACCCTCATTAGCGGAATATTATTGCTTGTTGATGGACTAAAAAATATTTAAAATTTGTAAGTTTGTGTAGATTTTTAAAAAATCATATAAATACTGTAGGAACATGAAGCCTTTTTAAAGACAACTGAGCTAAAATTTTTCAAAATATCTTAGTAAAATAAACAATGGCTGAAGAAAAATTAATCCTGTTATGATGATACATAAAAGATTCTATTTTAAGCTAATATTTTAAATCCTATTTACTTGTCATGAATGTTTTCTGGAGGGCCACAAAAAAAAAAATTAAAAACAATGAGCGGAATAGAAAGTACCCTCCCAAACTGGAATATTTGGAGCCCAGGAGAGGTTCTCATTTGGGCTTGCTGTTGAAGAGTTTTCCTGCCCTAGGCAGCATGATGGACTAGCAAATCCACAACAAGGCAAAATACAACTATATATATAACTCGAATTCACATGGCTCAAATATCAAATCCAGTTAATCATGTTGTTAGCAAAATGTACTTCTACTAGAAGGTATTTAAAGGAAAATGATTTACAGATACTAATTAAGAAAATGTAACAAGTCAAATCAGCACTGAAACATGGCTCAATAAAATTTGGGATGTATGCATAAAATACACTGTTTTGAAATGTGAACCTCAAACAGTTAAATACTTTCTTTTTTAAACTATGAAGTATTCATGATTAAGAAACTAGCTAGGTTCACCGGGCGCAGTGGCTCACGCCTATAATCCCACCACTTTGGGAAGCTGAGGTGGGCAGATCACAAGGTCAAGAGATCGAGACCATCCTGGCCAACATGGTGAAACCCCGTCTCTACTAAAAATACAAAAATTAGCCGGGCGTGGTGGCAGGTGCCTGTAGTCCCAGCTACTTGGGAGGCTGAGGCAGGAGAATCGCTTGAACCGGGAGGCAGAGGTTGAAGTGAGTGGAGATTGTGCCACTGCACTACAGCCTGGCGACAGGGCGAGACTCTGTCTCAAAAAAAAAAAAAACAGAAACCAAAAACCAACTAGCTGGGTTCTGGAATAGTCTCCAAAATGGCTAAACAAAGATTTTGTTAATAATGTTAATGATAGTAATAACTGTTATTTAATGATAAGCCAAACTGAATAAATGACAACTCAGCCACCTGAGACTGAAATAAATGACTCATTTTCTTTAAGTAACTCTTTGTTTCCAATGAAAAACAAAACCTGCCAAAATGGGGACATTTTGCTACAAGGTAGTATATCATTTAGGCTACAAAAATTGAATTTCTATGAACATAGTGGCATATTTAGAATGGTTTTACAGTCTAATAGTATTTTTACAAAATGCTAATAGTCGGATTAACTGTGGCAATATGAAAACTGCCCTAAACTTCATCACCATTATCCTTGTGCAACATCTTCATGAGTATATTCTTTATTGCCATTTCTACTACCAGTTAAAGCTGCCTGTGTGAAAAACAGGTTGCTTTAACTGAAAGTTCAATACTGACACCTTGCAGTGGCTGTTCCACAACTAGGTTTTACATCTAGACCACACTTAAAGCATTTTTCTTTAAGAACAAAAAACAAAAAACGAAAAAAAAAAAACAAGGATTCTCATACCTCCCCATCTTGAGTGGATGGCAAGGGTGATATAATTTATTTCAGAAATACTACATTGCATGTAAAAGAATTAGCCACAATTTATTTAGATTTTAAATTACTTTTAAGGTCCCACTTAAAGAGACGTGGCTTTTTCTTAATGAGATCCTGAACTGACCTTGCATCTGGAAGTAGCTTGTAATATGTATATATATTACCTGATTGTTTTAACGGCTTCTTCATCTCTTTCCACATCGAGATCAGATGGATCCAAGAAGAACATCTTATCTTCTGGGGGTGATGGCTCTTCTGTGTCATCCAAACCCCGACTACTATCACTATTTATGTCATTATTGTCAATATCCATTGGTATATCTGTATCTGTTCCCAGACTGGAAGGTTCTGGGAAAATTTTAAATGAATTTCAGAGTTTTATATTAATAGAGGAAGTCCATTAAATGTGAAAAAAGTCTTAAGAGTCTTAAAATGTAAGAAAATATCTTTATGAGTTAAGTAAAGTATTTCTCTTTTTTTTTTTTTTTGAGATAGAGTTTCACTCTTGTCACCCAGGCTGGAGTGTGATCTCGGCTCACTGCAACCTCTACCTCCTGGGTTCAAGCGATTCTCTAGCCTCAGCCTCCTCAGTAGCTGGGATTACAGGCGCCCACCACCATGCCCAGCTAATTTTTGTATCTTTAGTAGAGATGGGGTTTCGCCATGTTGGCCAGGCTGGTCTCGAACTCCTGACCTCAGGGGATCCACCCACTTCGGCCTCCCAAAGTGCTGGGATTACAGGCGTGAGCCACCACGCCTGGCCTAAGATAAAGTATTTCTTAAAGAAGATAAAAAATACACAAATCATAAGGCACAAAGTTAATTAATTTGATTACATCAGAATTTTAAATTTCCACATGACAAAAGATACTATAAATGCGGATAAGCCACCACCATTATGGTCAACTGATTTTTGACAAGAGTGTCAAGAAAATTCAACGGGCAAAAAATAGTCTTTTAAGTAAATGGTGCTAGGATAACTGTATATCTACATGCAAAAGAATGAACATATAAATCATATATAAAAATTAACTCAAAGTGGATCACATAAAAATCTAAGAGCTAAAACTATAAAACTCATAGGAGAAAGCATGAGAGTAGATTTTTGTGACCTTGGTTAGGCAAAGCTTTCTTAATACACCAAAAAGATAAGTGACAACATAAATAAATAAATAAATTGGATTTCATCAAAATACAAAACTTCTGTGCTACAAACAACACCTTACGAAGTGAAATGAAAGCCCATAGAATGGGAGAAAATATAAGCAAATCATATGCCAGATAAGGGACTAGTATCCAGGGTATTTAAAAATTCTTACAGCTCAATGAAAAATAAACAGATAAGTAACCTAAATGGGCAAAGGATCTGAATAGGTGCTTTTTTCAAACAATATATAAAAATGGCGAATGAACACATGAAAAGATGCTCAATATTATTAGCCACCAGGGAACTGCAAATGAAAACTACAATGAGATACCACTTCGCACTACCTAGGATGGTTGTAATCAAAAAGATATACAATAACAAGTGGTGGTAGGGATGTAGAGAAATCAGAATCCTCATAAACTGCTAATGTAAAATGGTGCATTTCTTTGATTACTAGTGAGTTTGAACATCTCACTAGTAATCAAATGCACATTAAGATAAATATAAATGGTGTTTCGTATCCATTTGTTATAAGGTAGAAAAACACGAAAACACAAATACATGAAGTATAAATTTATAAAAGACTTTAGTCATAGACAAACTATACTAATTCAGATTAACCGAAAGAGAAAACCAATCATGCTCTGTCAAGGTGTTAATCAGTGCTATGGTATGAATGTTTGTTCCCCTTAAAAATCTTAACTCCCAAGGCAAGGGTATTAGGTAGTGGTGGGTCTTTGGAAGGTGGTATCTTTGGGATGGGTGCCCTTATAAAATATGTCCACAGGAGTTCCTTCTCCCATTCCACCATGTGAGAATGCAACTACAAGGTGCCATCAACCAGGAAACGGACCCCCCTCACCAGACACAGAATCTGCCAGTGCCCTGGACTTCCCAGTCTCCAGAACTATGAAAAATAAACTTCTGTTGTTTATATGCTACCTAGCCTATGGTATTTTGTTATAGCAGCACAAACAGACTAAGACAACCAAGAACCACAGAAAACAAGCCACAAGAGAAAATGTTAATTAAACTCTCCCCAAGAGAATTTTCATTCCTTTTATGCTTTTCCTTTTACAGAACTACTTACATAAAATTTTTACCAGTCATGTAAATTGTTAAAGGAAAATTATGCTGAAAGTCTAGAGTCCTTACTGCTTCCTTCCAAAAAAAGGTAACTGCCTTGCTTAGTATTATCTTGAAAAGAAAAAAAAAGACCCCAAAGGGAAAATGGACAACGATTATTTGACAGAGAAAGGGACAGTGAGGCAGTATAGTGTGTTCTAATCACTAGGGACTAAGGAACCAGACCATATGGGTTTAACTTCCAGCTCTGCCACCTACTGGCTATATTTCTGGGGCAAGTTATTTCATGTATTTGTGCCTCAGTTTACTCATCTCTTAGTACCTACCTCAAAGGGTTGTTCTTAGGTTGAAATGTCAATATATTTAAAGAGTTTAGAACAGTGCCTGGTATAGCAAGCAGTTAGTACATATTAGAACTATGAAAGAATAGAGACAAGAGCAGGGTTTTAAAACAAGTTCTTTTATGTCTAAAAATGAAAGAGGATATGGAGTACCACTGGCTATATTAGACTACAAAGTAACAGGTGGCCAGAGGAAAGACGGGAAGGCGTGATTACTAATAAATGTATACTGTCAGTGGTCTGTGTATTTTGTTTGATTATTAAATCAGAAGAAAATCTTTAAGAAACAAAATAAATCAGGAAAACAGAACCTTATCCAAAGATAATACACCAAAGAATCATGGCCTTTTCTGATCTTTCACAAAAATTAAGAAAAATAATTTTACCTCCATTGAAAGTAACCTCTCCAAGGCAGTCTCTTGGTACTTTTGATGCACAGCGTTTATGGCAGTTGAATTTGCAATCTAAAATGAAAATATTCAGCATATTAATTTATGTAAAAGTCAAGCAGTATCAGATATGGTTAGACTTTCTTTAAATCACTCACAAACAGAATATTATTAGTAATGATGATATTAAAATAATAACCACCTACAAGTCACTTTAGCACCCCTCTGCACCCCCCCATCATTTTCTTCATTTGTATAATGAGGCTAATACCATGTGTACAACACCGCCGAAATGTACTGGCAGCTCCATATTTCCTTCTCTTATGTCATATTCATCTTTCCACATCTCCCATGAGAGTTTCTCAAGCTGATTAAATTCCTATCCAACATATGTCAGATACATACTTTCAATTCCTAAGAATCAGGACCTAATGTATATGCAGGAAAGAGACTGAGATCCAACAAACATTTATGAGGAACCTAATAAGGGCTTTCACATACAACCCTGTGAGGAAGGACTGAGTTTCTCCAGCACAAGGCCTCCCACTTTTACATAATGGTTCTCTTCAGCCTAAAACAAACCTCAGAGTTGATAGCATTGCAGATCAGTGTCAGGTACAATCTGTCCAAAATTACTGTATAACACAGTGGCTCTCAAACTGTGGTCCCAGATCAGCTTCATTAGGAAACTTGTTAGAAATGCAAATTCTTGCGCCCTATCCCAGACCTACTATATCAGCAACTCTTAGCGGGTGGGGAGGGTAGGGCTGAGCTCTGTAAGTCATACTGAAGTTGAGACCCACTGGTCTATGTCTAATACCACCTTTGAAATGCATCTATGAGTAATAACTGGGTAAAAATAACTTTAAGTCCTGACTTAGAATGTTTTTGTAACCCTTGTGAGTCAAGAAAATCCTGGGTATCATGCCAACAGCACAGGCTAAAGATCATTATATGACATAAGCCCCATGAAATGTATAATTTGGTGGAGAATAAAATTTACTTTAAAACACTATCCTTGTTAAGACAGGCCCTAGGGAAAATTCATGTGATATTAATATTATCTTGCACTACCTCTTAAACAATAGATTTGTGTTTTATCTCATGAACTTTGCAAACTGTGAAAACAACAAGGTTTCCATTTTCCCTTTGAAAACTCAGGCCGGGTGCAGCGGCTCACACCTGTAATTTCAGCACTTTGGGAGGCCAAGGCAGGTGGATCACTTGAAGCCAGGAGTTTGACACCAGCCCGGCCAACGTGGCAAAACCCTGTCTCTACAAAAAAAATACAAAAATAAGCTGGGTGTGGCAGCACCACTGCACTCCAGCCTGGGCGACAGAGCAAGACTCTGTCTCAAAAAAAAAAAAAAAAAAAAATTCAGAGCCGAATTTGTGGACTACCTGCAAGTATGTAGGTTTGAATGGCAGGCAGGCAGTTTTAGTTCTCTATGTCCTTACCCATGTTTTTATTAATTTGCTTATGCTCTCTTATACTTTACATACGCTTTTAAGCTACCTTGAAGTTTTTACACATCAAAATAGAAAATAAAGACAAACAGATTAATGAATTCTTAGAATTGTGTATTTTCTCAAATGATCCAGTATAATGGTTTTATCTTAACAAAATCATTTTTCTTTCGTAGACTGACAAATGAAAATATTTTTATTTTTTAAGTATCTTAATTCATACTATTAAAATAGGGAAATCACTGAATTATAATTATTTTAATAAATGAAATAGCTTAGCTATACTGAAATAAAACCTACCATTTTCTGAACCAATATAAGCATAAAAGATTCTTCTTCCAGAACCCTAAAAAGTTGAATAATCCAGTAGCAGAATTAACAGGTTTATGTAAAAATTCATTTGTATTTATTTTAGTTCCTCTACAAAATACTGTACTTTTCTGCATATGGTTTAAGAATGTTTCTGTTCTGCTTAGCAGAGCAGCAATATTAACTACCTTCATTAAGATTATTTGTTGGCTAGAATGTGTACATCTGTTACTAATGTTCTTTCCCAAAACATTTCTCAGTGGCTGCTTGCCAATACATTTTTAGGTTGATATTTTAAAGTATTAATTTATGTAGTAACTCATATTCAAAGCAAGCTGTTGAAATAAAATTTCATCATGTTATAATGCCTAATAGTTATCAAATACCTGACAACAAATGTATAATCTATTCCCCATTTAATGTTCTTGTGTGCTATCATACACTGTCAAGAAAAGCTTTATTTTATTATTATTATTATTTTTTAATTACACTTTAAGTTTTAGGGTACATGTGCACAACGTGCAGGTTAGTTACATATGTATACATGTGCCATGCTGGTGTGCTGCACCCATTAACTCGTCATTTAACATTAGGTATATCTCCTAATGCTATCCCTCCCCCCTCAGAAAAGCTTTATTTTCTTATATGCTTAAGCTTATATACAATTATCTTACTCTGTCTTGTAAGCAAGAATTTCTTGTTACAAAACCCTCAACCCTAATGTTTTATTTAGATCACTTGATAATTCAATTCCACAAATACTTCTACTATATAAAAAGTACAATACCAAGAACTGCTAATTACATGAAAAAAGTATATAAGATTATAGTTAGACTACTTATATCCTATCCTGGCTCAATGACTAATAATCTAAGACATTTACATTCTATTTTAGTTTTCACTCTACTGTGAAAAGTTTCTACTGTACAGCATTGCTGAGAAGGTATGAGACAAAAAGATAAAATCATCTTTAAAAAGCATAAAAGCATTATATAACTATAAGCAAATAATTATTCCAGTATGCTGTTAAAAACTTGTTTCATTAAGAGATGTTTTGAGAATACTATAGAAGTGTGCTGGGTTAGTATCCAAATACGGGTGGGTCCCTATCATAATTTTAGTAGCTTTTATTACGTCCTACCTATTTCAGGGTGATTATTCTCGGGAATGACAGTTTTTGTATAATTCTCCAAACTACATACTTAAAAACAAAAAAAACCCAAAACTCTTGCAGTATGCTTATATGTGTGTGTAATAAATGTTTAATGAAAAGAGGAAAGCGTTATTTTTATTTTGTTTAGTGTCTGGCTCTGGAATCAAAAAGACATAAAACCTCAAGTATCAGCTTTGCTGCCTACTAGCTATTCTGTATTGGGAAGTGATAAGCATACAGGTGAAGAAGCCATCCTCAGAGATCCACATTCTAGTTTTTCTGTTTACTAGCTACATGATCTTAAGCAAGTTACCTAATCTATGTCTATAAAATGAAATATGACTCCTATTACTACTAACTCCTATTACTAGTACTCCTATTACTATTAGTAGTTAATAGTAATAGTAACTCCTATTACTACTAGTATATTAACAAAAGCATAATTCACATACAATTGCTTTGAAGACTGAGCATGTAAAGGTTTACTGTTCTACTATAGTGCCTGGCACCTAACACACACTGCAGATAGTAGTAATAGTAGTTTACACACACATTTATATTTTGTTTATATTTCTCTTTCCTTTATATAACAATTATGAGAATAATTTCTTTGGCTAATGCTTCTGAAATATAAATATTTTAAGCCTATATATAATAACAAAAACAGACATAAATTTTAATTAGGGAAAACACCTAATCCTACCTTTACACTGCATTCCTTGGCGAAAGAGGCCTTTCAGTAACCGCTTGCAGTACTGACATATCGTGGGACGGGTGTAAGAGTGAACAGCAAATGTGTGTGGAACTTTCACTCTGCACATTACCATCTTTTCCATCCAGATTGGGCGACCACTCCAAGAAGGAATTCTCTTACTTGGTTCCTGGTGGACATGTGACTATAACATAAGTAATTTTCATAAGTGTAAGTCAATATTAAAAACAGAGTAGTGGGAGCAGAGCTTAACCACAAGAATCATTTATTTCAAACACTAAAGCCAAAAAACTCTAAAAATGTTGTTCTCAGCAGTTTCCTTTGCAATGTTTAATTTACCAATCTTTGAATGAGAAAAATGCAGATTCTTTTTGCTAATATTTATGCTTAAAAACATCTAAGATATGTTAATTCTCAGGTATATATTCACTGATGATTATTTGCCAGGCACATTTCAGCACTTTACAAATCAAATACACAAACTTTAAAACAAATAAATGAAGAAAGTATTATTGCTGCTCATTTTGCATTACTGAATGTGACATCTGAATATATTTTGAAACACATTTTAGATTTTCAAATTTATCTTAATACTAAAATATATACATACATTTTAAGTCTAATTAATAATGATAAACAATGGCAGATACAAAACTAATTAAAACAAGTTTCAGTAATTCAGCTTTAAGAAGAAGTAAACTTTGTTTACCCATTTTGGAGACTATTCCAGAACCTAGCTAGTTGGTTTTCTGCCTGGTCTTCTGGCCAGGCGTGGTGGCTCACGCCTGTAATCCTAACACTTTGGGAGGCCGAGGTGGGCGGATCACCTGAGGTCAGGAGTTCAAGACCAGCCTGACCAACATGGAGAAACCCCGTCTCTACTAAAAATACAAAATTAGCCAGGCGTGGGGGTGCATGCCTGTAATCCCAGCTACTCGGGAGGCTGACGCAGAAGAATCGCTTGAACCCAGGAGGTGGAGGTTCCGGTAAGCCGAGATCATGCCATTGGACTCCAGCCTGGGCAACAAGAGCGAAACTCCATCTCAAAAAAAAAAAAAAAAAAAAAAAAAAAAAAAAAAAAAGAAAAAGAAAAAGAAAAAGAAAAATACCTGCCTACACTATCAATCTGAGGCATTTTATAGTGCTCTTCTCCAACCAGTTGTTTTGTCCTTTTCTTTTCCTTTTCTTCCCTTTTTTTTCTTTTTTCTCCTCCCCTTACTTCTCCCTTGCACTTCTCTGTCTCTTGTTTTTTTCTGACTTCTTTTCCTTCCCTTGGTTGAACATATTAATGTAGAATTACCCAACTTCTCTGAATTACAAACATGACTAGTTATAGAAGGCAGCTGAAAGATCTCAGGACATCAGTTCTGGCAGTGAGGATGCAAGCAGGTACAGCAAAATCTGTTCATATAGCTAGATGGTAGTTGGGTATTAGGATTTTGTGCTTGAGTATTTGGATTATGTTTTATTCAATTTTGTGTCCCTAGTATATAACAGGGCCTGGCATACAATAATCGGTGAATGTGTGTTGAATGAATGAAATGAGCCACATTGAACTGGGTGATCTATAATTTAGTTTGATTATTCCCTTCATATAGAAAGGGTCATAGTTACCAAAATCTACTTACCCCTCAGGTTACAAAAATTTTTAATTCATGCCTTCTTTAATTTTGCTTTTTGTTCACCTGGTAGAAAAACCCAAACAGTTGGAAAATAAAGTTCTTCTTTTTGAGACTATGCTTGAACTGACTAAAGTAAACCCTGAAAGCCCTTCCATGCTACAAGTTCTACTTGTTTAAAAATACCCTGAACAATCTAACCAATTCAGACATGTAACTGCACTTCTTATACTTCCCTAAGGAGCTTTCATGTTCAAGATAAAATATAAACTAATGAAAAATGTAACACCTTATCCACTTGCTCTGTCCTTCTGCTATTTCCTAATCTAGTAATACTCAACTGGGCATAGGTGGCGTAACAGCATCATTTGTGGGGCTCTTGACATACCTCTATTCTACTGTCCTCATTCCTAGGTAAGTTCTCTGTGCAGTTCAGTGTATAAGATGCACTAACTTTTTCCTACTAATCTTTTCCAGGCTCTTCTGTAGGTTTATACCAACCCCTCATTTTCAGTCCTTTATGCCGCAGCACTCTTTTTATCCTTTAAAAATCTCACACTAGGGCTAAGCAGTAAGAGAAGATGGAATTTTTGTGAAAGGATTTCAAAAGCTTTTACTCTGGTGTCTTAACTTAGCAAAATATTATGATCACAGTACCAAGACAAGGCCTTGATTTTGCCATTAATTTACAGAAGATCAGAGAAGTTACAGAAAAAACTAAATAATAAGATTACAACCTACAGATGGAAGTCATTTCAAATACTATGAAATGTACAAGGGAGTTATTTCTTTTTTCCTGGATCTACTGCCTTTGCCCTTGAGAGGTACACTGTATTAGGAAAAAAAATCACTGATTTATTAATAATGAGATCTGGGTTTAATTCCACTATCTCTTACTAATTTGCTCTCTGACTTCACACAAGTCACTTAGCTGCTCTGTGTCTCAACTGTCTCATCTGTATACAGATCTGCAGATAGCAGTGCCTCATGCCTGCGATCCCAGAACTTTGGGAGGCCGAGGCGGGCAGATCACGAGGTCAGGAATTCAAGACCAGCCTGTCCAACATGGTGAAACCTCATCTCTACTAAACATACAAAAATCAGCTGGGTGTAGTGGCACGCATCTGTAATCCCCGCTACTTGGGAGGCTGAGGCAGGAGAATTGCTTGAACCCAGGAGGCGGAGGTTGCAGTGAGCAGAGACCGTGCCACTGCACTCCAGCCTGGGCGACAGAGCAAGACTCCATCTCAAAAAAACAAAAATTAAAAAAAAAATTAAAAAAAAAAAAGATTTAAGTATGGAGACCAGGAGCCAGGATACTGACTAGAAGGCTAAAGCAGTGGTACAAGCCATAATACCATCCCAAGGTGTACAAAATGCAATTCATTACTACCGGTAAGTCCTGTCTCCATTACTACATTTTATGTTTCTTAAGTGTAGGAACATTACCATTCTTTAGCATATAAATTATGTTCTAGAGTGATGTCATACACCCTGTAGAAACACAGAGAATAACTACTACTAAAATGTCTATTACCTTAGAATACGTACCTCTTCACTGGGAAGGGCTACATATTCAGGCTGTAGGGGTCTTGGAACTGAGAGGCCGGGTCCTGGTAAAGATACATTTGACAGACGTCTCTTTCTTACTCCACTACAGTTATTTGGAATCTTGAAGGCACATCGTTTATGGTAATTTAATCCACAGCCTAAACATATTTTACAAGGTAAAATATAAGATTTAAAAAAAAATTTACTATTTAAGTGTGATACATAAAAACCACTGCTTCTTTTATTTAACATATTTTCTGTTAGCCATACCTATCCTAATTAAGAACCCAGACAGCAGGCTAAGTGGAAGCTAATGAATTCAAGAAGAAAAGGAAATGTGTAAAAAGGATAAGTCAGCTAGGGCAGTGGTTCTTGAAGTGTGGTCCCTAAGGCAACCACCTGGAAATTTGTTAGAAATGTAAATTACAAGGCTCCACCCCAGATCTACTGAATTAGAAACTACGGGGATGAGGCCCAGCAAAGTGTGTTTTACGATGCACAATACAGTTTGAGAACCACTGCCTTAAAGCACTAGTTAGCAAACTATGGCCTCTGTACCAAATTCCTCCTGTGACATGAAAATTTTATGAAACTCAAATTTCAATGTCCCTAAATAAAGTTTTATTGGAACACAACCATATCTATTCGTTTACATATTGTCTATGATTGGTTTCATACTGTAATAGCAGAGTTAAATCATGACAGAGACCATATGGCCAACAAAGTCTAAAACATTTACTCTCTGTCCCTTTACAGAAAAAGTTGATTGACCCTCCACCTTAGAAGACTGTTTCTTCATCAGAAATGTGCACCTGTGTCCTACTCCTAGCAATTCTAATTCAGAACAAATTTGACAATTTAGTTGTATGTAAGAGACAACTTTTTTTTTTTGAGACAGAGTTTCGCTCTTTCACCCAGGCTGGAGTGCAATGGTGCAATCTCGGCTCCCTGCAACCTCCGTCACCCAGGCAGGTTCAAGCGATTCTCCTGCCCCAGCCTCCCGAGTAGCTGGGATTACAGGCATCCGCCACCACGCCCGGCTAAGTTTTTGTATCTTTAGTAGAGACAGGGTTTCGCCATGTTGGCCAGGCTGGTCTCAAACTCCTGACCTCAGGTGATCCACCAGCCTCGGCATCCCAAAGTGCTAGGATTACAGGTGTGAGCCACCGTGCCTGGCCAAGAAAACTTTTAAAAACAAAAAACAACATGAATATTTATGGAGCCATTATTTTGTACTAAATATTTAACCCTATTACCTGATTTAACCGTTTACTCTTTATGAAACCAGTGGGGCAGAATGTATTTTACGAGAAATTAATCTTAAGAGGTTTAGTAATTTGCCCAAGAATATGAAGTAGGTGGCAGAGATAAAATGAGAGTCCTGATCTCTCCAATTCTAAATCCTCGTTACCACCCTAGTCAACAGCTCGTCATCTTGCTTTTTCACTGATAATAAAAAATGCAAATGTGGAATCTTATTTCAAATGACCACAAAAATTTTAGAACACACACCTTCACATTTCAGTCCTTGACGTACCAATCCCCAGAGCATCTCACCACAGTAATCACAGAAAGTAGGAGCTTTGTAAGAATGTACATAGAGAGTATGTGGACGAATCTGGAAGTCTTCTACTGTGGCTAAAGCTTTAAAAAAGAAAAGTATTACAATACACGTTGTATTTGTACTGCGATGAGATTAAGAATGCTCACACATTCACTTATGTCAAAGTACACAGAATCATTTTTTCTCTGAAAGTTGCACTGGACCATAAAAGTAAATTATTTAATATTGTGATTTCAAACTCTAGTTTAGCAAGTCCATTTACTTCTCATCATTTGAGCTCCAGAAGTAGGTCATAGGTTAGTTATTTGGAACTCCAACAGCATTTTCTCATAATGACAAGATTACAAACAGACATTAGGTTACTTTAACCAATTAAAAACTGCTTAACTTACACAGTGGGAAATAGAACACTAAAGTAAAAACTACTATGGAACTTAACTTCAATTTATGGAAACGTTTCTGTGGAAAAAGATACTGAGTCCTAATTTAGGATCCCAGGATATACTTGTCTGTTTGTTCTCCACAGTCCTAGTGGATATGAGAAAGAAACTCCTTTCCCCTTAGTGAACGTCGGGACAGTAGACCCAAGGAACTTCCTCTCACCTCAACCTGCAAGTAGTCTGATGGAGTCCAGAGTAGAGAAGGAAGAGATGTGAGCAGGACTTCCAGGTGAGACAGGGAGTGAAACTCCTCAGGAATGAAGAGGAGGGCAAGGATTGGGAAATATAGAGATGGTTTGGGGTTGTTGTATAGAAGATGAATGATCAGTGTAGCAGGGAGTGAGATGAATGAGAGAATCAGAAATATAAGATGAGAGGAGTGGGGACTAATAAGGACAGAGAGGATCTCAAGAAAAGGCTCAAAGGTGAATTTGAGAAAAGGGAACTTGGTAGCAGGGCTCTGACCCATGGCTGGCCAGCTTGCTTCCTTTCTTCCATCAGTTCTCCTACTTGCCAAACAAAAAGTACTGCAGACCTACTATGTGCATTATTATGGCATTCTTTCTTCCTTTTCACTCCTTATTATCTTGCCCACATTGCTGCAGGATGAGATGGCAAATAGTGGGAATTAAAAAACAACGTATGGCAAGAATGCGTGAGGTGGAAAAAGTGAAAGGTAGAAAAAAGCCCAGTGGGACAAAAAGGGAAAGAGCATTTTTAATTTTAAAGCCACAGAAATAACCAGCATTGTAATTTCCTCTTCCATATCTTCATTACTTCTTTTTTTCCTGATTCTCTTTTCTAAACCCCAATTTTCTTCTTTTATGCTCTTTACAGAAATGGGGGTGGGGGAAGGGGAAAAAACAGAATTTCAGTGTAACTGTTTTATTTCTTTGACTCAGAGAAGAGTATATTTCTTTCAGACCAAATAATTTCCTAAGCTTAGTAACATTCAAGTAATTCAGTTTATTTTCCTATCCTGATTTTTTCCTTTTTTTTTTTTTGAGACAGAGTCTCACTCTGTTGCCCAGGCTGGAGTGCAGTGGTGCGATCTCGGCTCACTGCAAGCTCCACCTCCTAGGTTCACGCCATTCTCCTGCCTGAGCCTCCCCAGTAGCTGGGACTAGGCGCCCACCACCACGCCTGGCCAAATTTTTTTTGTATTTTTAGTACAGACGGGGTTTCATCTTGTTAGCCAGGATGGTCTTGATCTCCTGACCTCGTGATCCGCCCGCCTCGGCCTCCCAAAGTGCTGGGATTACAGGCGTGAGCCACCGCGCCAGGCCTTTCTTTTGCTTTTTTAAAGAGACGAGTCTCGCTCTGTTGTCCAGGCGGAAGTGCAGTAGTGTGATCATGGCCCACTGCAGCCTCAACCTCCCAGGATCAGGCAATCCTCCCACCTTATCCTCCCAAGTAGCTAAGACTACAGTTGCATGTGACCATGCCTGGCTAATTTTTTTTTTTTAAATTTTTAGTAGAGACGAGGTATGCTGCTCAGGCTGGTCTCAAACTCCTGAGATAAGCAATCCTCCCGCCTCAGCTTCCCAAAGTGCTGGGCTTACAGGTGTGAGCCACCGTTGCCAGGTATTTTTCTTTCTTAATGGTGATATAACATGCCTGAAAGGAAAAATCATATGGTGACCATTATTAGAGATGAAAGAAATTAAGTAACAATAATACAAAGACTAAATATAATCGAATTGCAGCATTTAGTACAGAAAATTAGGCTCTTTGAGGGGAAAAGGCAATCACTCTAAAAAGCCACTTACTTACCTGAAAGAACCACTTCCACTAGGTCTCCTTCATGTATTTCATCTGCTGAGGTAATCAGCTGCAAAATGTTTTCTGAGTTCATGTCATGGCGAAAGAGAAGAATTTTGTCATACATGCCAAAGAATCCACACTCTGGAAACTGAGGGATAATAGTCCTATATCAGTATGACCACAGTTTTCTATTTTTATAAGTAAACGTTTCAATTTTATCAAAGAATTTAAAACATAGTGTTTTTAACCTAACACTATTTGCTAACAATTCTATTGATACCTAAAAGGTGATCCACGTACTCAAGCATCCTGGTTAATTTTAAAGTTCAAGAAAAATAGAAAAGTAAACTTACAAATAAATAATCATTGATGATTTTAAAATACATGTCTCTTACAAATACAGGATTTCTATATTCAGTTACTGATGGAGAATATAATCTTAAACTTACTGCTACTCCACTCTTAGCCTGAAAGATAAGCAGTCGTTCCAGCGCCTTAGGACATGCTGCTCTAAATATTTCAAAATTCTTCAGTAGATCTCAGAATTATAAATGCTCACTGACTTATTTGGGCTCCTCATAGAATATCCTTTAATAAATGACACCATGTCACCTGCCTGCATCAAATGGTCTAATATGAATCAGTTTCACTAAACTAAATGCATTTGTCACAGAGACGCTGCTGCTGATATCGTTTACCTATTTCATACTGTAGCCCTTCTTTGTGAAGACCCACCCACAAAATAACTTTATCTAGTTGATTTTATAACATGAACAATTTGCTCACGTAAGTTAACATGTTTTCCTGTTTGCTTTGCCAAATGGAAAAAGCACAGCCAAATTTGTAGCCCAATTTTACCATCAGTCTTGGATCTTATGGGATGTGTTTTAGGTGCAAACACTAACCTAGTTTCATCTCATTTTCTGACCTTAATTTTCTCATTAGAAAAGTCCTGTATATATTTCTAAAGAGTTCTCAAAACCTTTTTTTGAGATAGGGTCTTGTTCTGTTGCCTAGGATGAGTACAGTGGTGTGATCACAGTTCAACACTGCAGCCTCAAACTCCCAGGCTCGTGATCCTCCCACCTCAGCCTCCCCAGTAGCTGGGACCACAGGTGCATGTCACCACTCCCAGCTAATTTTTTATGTTCTGTAGAGACAGGGGTCTCGCTGTGTGGCCCAGGCTGGTGTTGAACTTCTAGACTCAAGTGATTCCCCCACGTCAGCCTCCCAAAGTGCTGGGATTAGAGGCATGAGCCACCACAACTGGCCTCTCAAATCTTTTTTTAAAGTTAAATTAAAAAAAAATTAAAAACAATGATTAATTAGAAAGTTACAAGTTTATAGTTTTTGTAACCAGGGTAAATAATGGGAAAGTACAGAAATATTTAGAATTTTTGTAATACTAATTCTCCTTTTGAGTCACCAACAGTATTTGTAAAACCTCATAGTATGTTTAACATATATCTAAGAGTGTAAGAATTCTCAATTAAAAAGATACAAGTAAAAATACAGAACCAAAAAATTAAATCTTCATTTAAATTTTAAAATTAAAATTTTACTAAATTTTATGAAATTATTCAGTTGGAGAATAAAATATCTTCATAACCTAGTTACAAAAATTTGTAAGGACAAAGGACTCCACATTCCATCCTCATTAAAACTCTAAGGCCAGATGCACTGGCTCATGCCTGTAATCCCAGCACTTTGGAAGGCCAAGGCAGGCAGATCATTTGAGGTCAGGAGTTTGAGACCAGCCTGGACAACATGGTGAAACCCTGTCTCTGATAAAAATACAAAAATTAGCCAGGTGTGGTGGTGCATGCCTGTAGTCCCAGCTACTTGGGAGGCTGAGGCATAAGAATCACTTGAATCTGGGAGACAGAGGTTGCTGTGAGCCAAGATTGCACAACTGCACTCCAGTCTGGGTGACTGACAGAATGAGGCTCCGTCACAAACAAACAAACAAACTCACTCACTCTACTATTTGTATAAATAAAACTGATTTCAAAAAGGCATACTTCTTGCATGTCCGGTAAGTGCAAGATACTGGCCCCACAGTTTGTAAAGACAGAATAGTCCTTATCTTCCAGGAACTTACAATCTAGTAGGAAGACAGAAATAAACACAAATATATATAGTATAAGGCAAATAACAAAATTAAAATAAAAAATTATAGAAGGAGGAGGAATAAAAAATGTTAACTGGGACAGTGGAGTAGAGGGATTCAGTATGATACTTGAGCAGAACTAAAAAAGAGAAGCAGAGTTTCCATAGGTTGAAAGTGTAAGCATCATCAATGAGAAGTTACAAGGTAAATGGAAGACGGTAAGTGGAGCCTTGAGACTAAAGAATGAGATGGGGGAAAGCTGGGTAGAGAGAGGGCAGAAAAGCACAGGGAACCCCACTGGCACCATACTAACAAAGAAACCTGTTATTATGTTCAAACTTTGCCACCTACTAACTATAGCACCTTAGAAAAGTTGCTTAACTTCTCTAAATCAGTTTCTTGTTTATAAAATGGAGGACAATAGGAGTTATAGGCTGGCTTTATAGAGTTCTTATCAAAATTAAATTACTTGATGGCTGTAAAAGTCTCAGCACTGTGATCCATAAATACCAGTGATTTATATCACTAATGTATACCTAAAAGGGAGACGAGACATAAGGTTTCAGAGCAAGGCAGGAACATGATTAAATCTGTATTTTAAAAAGATAATGCTGACAGCATTGTGTAGAGGAACAGGAACAGAAAGAGACCAGAGAGCAAGATGCTGAAGAAAGGGTGACCCTATCAGTCAGAAAAGTATCAGAGTCTGAATTATATAGCAAGTAAATGGAAAAAGACAAGGAAATTTCTCTCCAGAAACTACAGCAAGTAAATGGAAAGAGACAAGGAACTTTCTCTCCAGAAACTACAGCAAGTAAATGGAAAGAGACAAGGAACTTTCTCTCCAGAAACTATAGCAAGTAAATGGAAAGAGACAAGGAAATTTCTCTCCAGAAACTATCATCAATAAATCATATGGCTCATCAATACTGTTTTGACCAAACCAGAAGTTCTGAATAATGGTAACTGAAGACCTAAATAATAAACACACCAAGAGAAGGAAAACAACATCAAAATAATTAATGTATGACTTGGAAAAAATAAATATAACCTTCTTAATAAACACATGGCCTAATGAAAAATAATATCAACATGAAGTTGGTATTAAGAGACTTAAAAGCTTGTAAAGAAATTACAGTGAGATATTACAAAACATTAAAAATAGACATATGTATATTAGAGGCTAGAAAGCTGTTGGTAATGATAAAGAATAAAGTCATTTCAGCATGTTTTCATACTATACTCATCTATACGACAGACAAATTAGAGTTCATAAAGGAAAAAAAAAATGTAATAGCCAGCCTGTGAAAAAGATTTCTGCTATTCGTGATTATGATTTATAGGTATGTTTGGTAGGGTATTTAGAAATTACGTAAGAGTCAGGCCGGGCGCAGTGGCTCATGCCTGTAATCGCAGCACTTTGGGAGGCCGCGGCGGGAAGATCAGGAGGTCAAGAGATCAAGACCATCCTGACTAACACGGTGAAACCCCATCTCTACTAAAAAATATACAAAAATTTAGCCGGGCGTGGTGGCGGGCGCCTGTAGTCCCAGCTACTCCGGAGACTGAGGCAGGAGAACGGCGTGAACCCGGGAGGCGGAGGTTGTAGTGAGCTGAGATGGCACCACCGCACTCCAGCCTGGGCGACAAAGCGTGACTCTGTCTCAAAAAAAAAAAAAAAAAAAAAAAATTATGTAAGAGTCTAAACTAAAAACATGAGAATTCTTGAGACGTGTATATTAAAGATATACACCTAAAAAGAAATACACCCCTCATTCATAATGAGCACACATTCATTATGAAGAATTATACAGAACAAACAAAAACCAAACTGTTAATGAATTCAATATACAAGGATTTACTGTTCCTGATTTTGAAAAATTCAGAAAATAGGTTTTCACGCAGGAGTGGATCTCTAAACAATGTCTTAATTCTGGCCACACATCAGAACCACCTGTAGAGCTTAAAACAAAGGATGCTTAGGCTATCATTTCAGGTTTATGGTTAAGCTCCTGAGGAATAGGCGGCGAACACCTGAATTTTAAATTTACTTTTAAAATATTATTCAATGTATGTATTGTATATACTCTTTAAAAATAATCTATTTTTAAAAATAGTTTAAAATTTATAGAAAATGTAGACAATAAATAGTACAGAGTTCCTGTATACTACCCCATACCCAGTTTCCCCTATTATTAACATTGTACATTAGTTACATGCTATATTTATTACAATTAATAACCCAATATCCATACATTATCATTAACTAAGGCTCATACTTTATTCAGATTTCCTTATTTTTACCTAATACCCTTTTTCTGTTTAAGAATCCCATCCATACCACATCACCTTTAACTGTTATGTCCCCATAGGCCCCTTTTGGGCTGGGTTAGTTTCTCAGACTTTGCTGGATTTTAACAATCTTGGCTGTTTTGAGAAGTTCTGGTCAGGTATATTGCAGGAGGCCTTTCTACTGGAATTTGTCTGATGTTCTTTTCATTATTACTGGGGTAATGGGTTTTGGGGAGGCAGACCACAGAGGTAAAGTGCCATTCTCATTGCACTCTACCAAGGGCACCTACTGTCAACATGACATCACCACTGATGTTGGTTGAGGTAGTGTTTGTCAGGTTTCTCCACTGCAAAACTACTCTCCCCCCACCCTTTTCTATACATACTCTTTGGAAGTAAGTCATTATGAGCAGAGCACTTAAGAAGTGGAAAGGTTTGTTTGTTTCCTTTCCTTGAAGGTGGAGTATCTACATAAATTATTTGAAAATCTTCCAAATGGGAGATTTATCTATTTTCCCCCACTTATTTATTCACAACATTTATATATATCAATATAGACTCATGGATATTTACTTTATACTTTCAGATATAATATGTACTCTTTTAAAATATAATTTTATTTATTTTTGAATAGGCAATTATTCAAAGTTCAAAAGGCAAAAAAGAGTAGACGGCACACCCATGCCCTAGCTGCCTCATTAACCGTCCTGTAGTCAACAGTGTTGCCAGTTTTCTCAGAATCCTTCTGAAAATATTTTACATACCAAATACACATGAATGTATCTTTCCTTCATTTTACACAAATGGCAGCACACTATAAACACTGTTCTGCAGCTTGCTCTTTTTTTCACTTAGCAATATAGAGATCATTCCATTAACAAAGTTATTTTTTTTTTTAAAAACAGATGTATAGTTTTCTTTCACCAGTCCCATCTAAGTATATAATCTTAACCAAGTTACTTAACCTCAGTTTTTCCATCTGTAAAATAGTGCCTACTTGCCTACTTCATAAAATTATCATGAGAATACGTTAATATATATATACAAAGAACTCAGTGTCCTTTTCAATTTTTTTCATCAATGTTTTATAGTTTTCATTGTAGAGATCTTTCACTTCTTTGGTTAAGCTTATTCCTAGGTATTTTATTTTATTTATAGCTATTGTAAATGGGATAATTTTCTTGGTTTCTATTCCAGATTGTTCACTGTTGGCATATAGAAATGCTACTGATTTCTGTATGTTGATTTTGTATCCTACATCTTTACTTAATTCATTTATCAGTTCTAATGGTTTTTTGGCAGAGTCTTTAGGTTTTTCTAAATAGAAGATCATATCGTCTGCAAAAAAGGATAATCTGACATCTTCCTTTCCAATTTGGATACCATCTATTTCTTTCTCTTGTCTAATTGCTCTACTTAAGACTTCCAGTATTATGTTGAACAAAAGTTGTGAAAGTGGGCATCCTTGTCTTGTTTCAGATCTTAGAGGAAAGGCTTTCAGTTTTTTCCCATTCAGTATACCAGCTGCATGTCTGTCATATATGGCCCTTACTGTCTTGAGGTATGTTCCTTCTATACCTAGTTTGTTGACAGTTTTTATCACGAAGTTTTCATTGTGTTGAATTTTACTGAATGTTTTTTTGGCATCTATTGAGATGACCATATGGGTTTTGGTCTTCACTCTGTTGACGTGACATATTATGTTTAATGATTTGCGTATGCTGAACCATCCTCATATTCTAGAAGAAAACAATGGGGAAACACTCCAGGACATTAGCCTGGGCAAAGACTCCTTGAGTAAGACCTGAAAAGCACAGGTAGCCAAAATAAAAATGGACAAAGGGGGTCACATCAAGCTAAAAAGTCGGGCACAGTGACTCACACTGATAATCCTAGCACTCTGGGAGGCCAAGGTAGTGGACTGCCTGAGCTCAGGAGTTCGAGACTAGCCTGGTCAACATGGTGAAACCCCACCTCTACTAAAATACACACACACACACACACACACACACACACACACACACACACACACACAAGCTTCTGCAAGGAAATAATTAACAAGTGAAGTGACAACCTACAGAATGGGAGAAAATATTTGCAAACTATTCAACTGACAAGGGGTTAATAACCAGAATATATAAGGAGCTCAAATGACTCAACAACAACAAAAAAAGAAAATCCAATTAAAAAATAAGCAAAAGATCTAAATAATACATTTCTCAAAAGAAGACATACAAATGCCCGATTGGTATATGAAAAGATACTCAACATCACTAATCATCAGAGAAATGCAAATCAAAACCACAATGAGATATCATCTCATCTCAAAATGGCTTTTATCAAAAAGACAAAAAATTAAAGATGTTGGTGAGGATGCAAAGAAAGGGGAATGCTTATACACTATTGGTGGGAATGTAAATCAGTACAGTCACTATGAAAAACAGCACGGAGGTTGCCAAAAATAAAACCACCACAGGATCCAGCAATCTCGCTACAGGGTATCTACCCGAAAGAAACCAAGATATCAAAAAGATATCCGCGATCCCATGGTTACTGCAGCAAAATTCACAATAGCCACAACAGGGAATCAACCTAAGTGTCCATCAATGGATAAATGGATACAGAAAATGTGATACACATACATGGTGGAATATTATTCAGCCATAAAAAGAATGAAATCCTATAATTTGCAACAACATGGACAGAAGTAGAGAATAACATTTCAGTTGGTGAAATAAGCCAGGCACAGAAAGACAAGTATTGCATGTTCTCACTTGTATGTGAAAAATTTAAAAAAAAAATGACCTCATGGAGATAGAGAGTAGAATGATGACTACCAGAGGCTCTGAAGGGTAGTGGGTGGGGGGAATAAAAGGGTTGGTTAATGATTACAAAACTACAGTTAGATAGAAAAAATAAGATCCAGTGTTTGGTAGCATGATAGGTAGACTACAGTTAACAACAATTTATTGTATATTTCAAAATAACTAGAAGAGTAGAATTGGACTGTTCCTAACACAAAGAAATGATAAATATTTAAGGTGATGGATATCCCAATTACCCTCATTTGATCATTATGCATTGTATGCTTGTATCAAAATATCACATGTACCTCATAAATATGTACAACTATTATTTATCCAGAAAAATAGAAATAAAAGAGATTAGAACTCGTCATAAG
This sequence comes from Homo sapiens, assembly GCF_000001405.40. Lineage (NCBI taxonomy): Eukaryota > Metazoa > Chordata > Mammalia > Primates > Hominidae > Homo > Homo sapiens. Next base: position 37,300,707 of record NC_000002.12, read on the forward strand.
CTAAATACACCTTAGCTATTCCAATCTCTTGTGAGTATGAGCAATACCCAATGAGTAATCCTATGTACATATCTTTTCCCACTTTTTGAGTCTGAATATGAGATAACTTTCTAGGAGATTTGCTGGCTCAAAGAAAACGCATATTTGAAATTTGTAGATACTGCCAAATTGCTCTTTATGGCGGTCAAACCAATTTATACTTCTGCAAGTAATATATTGAGTATGTACTTGTTTTGCCACGTTTTTATAGTGTATTATCAAACTTGTTGACTTTAGATGAAAAATGGTATTTTTGTAGTTTTAATTTGCATTTCTTTTTTTATTACAAGAAGTTGAACATTTTTCACATGCTTAAGTGAATCTGTATTTTCTTTTCTGTAAATTAGGAATTCATATTTTTGCTTATTTTTAATGGATTGATCATCTTTAAAACTCCAAATCCAATTACTCCTCAGAATGATCTTCATTATGTGGAGACCTTTAATAAGTCCTGAACAACATATCAAAAAACCATAAACAAAAATACTTTATATTCCAAAGTATATATGTAGAATTTCTCAAAATGATTTGACAGCAGTGAAACCTAAGAGAGCTTTTAAGATAATAGCTTCTTGTTCTAAATCAGACTCCAGGAGAACAAAGAACAAAGGAGAAGAGCCTTTTTTTTTTCTTTCAGTTGTATAATTTGAAAAGGAGAAAATATTTTGGCAAACTAATTAAAACCAATTCTGGATTACATTTTTTTTTTTTGAGTGGGGGTCTCCCTCTGTTGCCCACAATGTAGTGGCTTGATCACTGCTCACTGCAACCTCAAACTCCTGGGCTCAAGCAATCCTTTAGCCTCAGCCTCCCAAAGTGCTGAGATTATAGGCACGAGTCACCTTTCCTGGCCCTTAATTACATTTGTGACTCTGCTATGCTCACAGAGTCAAAAGGGGCGGGGGCAGAAACCTGTACTAATGCTGTTGTCTCTATATTCTTCAAAATACAATTCTTGCCCAGTAAAATGGTGTATATATATCCCTTCTAAACATTCTATTCTCCTGAGAGGGAAGAAGTTCAGAAAAGCAGCAGAGGTGATGACATGTTTAAGTAATTGTCAGGAATTGTCACTGGCTATTATTTAGTTTATTCCTCTAGGGCAATGATCCTCAGCTGAGATGATTTTGCCCACAGAAGCTATATGACAATGTCCTGAGACATCTTTGGTTTTCACAACTTGAGCTAGTGGCATTCAGTGGGTAGAGCACTGTAGAACACAGAGGGCAGCCCCCACAAGAATTATCCCACCCAAAATGTCAATAGTGCTGAAGCTGAGAAATCCTGCTTTAGGGAATAAAAGAGTCAAGAGAATAAAGAGGCTAGGAAATGTGGAAGAAGTTGGCAACCTTTTGAAAACCAGACAAGTCCATAATTCCTTACCTGGCCTACCTCATCCTTGATTAAAAGAAAGAGGAAATTAAAGAAATAACTAATGATACAGCATGGTAGAAGCAAAATGGCCCTTTAATTTGGCCTCTTTCCAACTGTTCCCCCATCCCCCGAGCTTTTCTGGATTTGCTTACTACAAACTGTGCCGATGACCCCTCTTGACTGTGCAAAATGAAGTATTTTCCCAGTCCATATGGGAATGCAACAGAATATCAGTTATTAAATTTCCACCCTCATGCACTCTGCTCACTTCATTCTTTGCTTTTGTATTAAAGATGACTTCGATAATTTTAAAAAATAATCTTTCTATAACCATTTTAGACGTTATTTTTTACAGCATTACTTAACATTTTTAAGTAAAAGGTTCCAATAGTTGCAAACAAAATTATTTTAAGCAACACTTATTTTGAAAGTAATTTAAGGTGAACCGTTTCAAGTTCATGTCGTTAAAATGCTGTCAGTAAAATGTCAGGCAAGGTAGGAAGCTTCCAAGTTATTTCACTTGGTCAAACATAATTTTTGCACTTTAACAATGGTTTCTGAATTTAACATTATCTGAATGAATAATTTATCACTATGAACTTTTAATTTTTTTTTTTAGACACAGTCTCACCATATTGCCCAGGCTGGTCTCCATCTCCTGAACTCAAGCAATCATTCTGCCTCAAGCCTCCCCAAGTGCTGATGATAGAGACAGAAGGCAGAGAAATACTAGGCAGACAGGGGTGGGTCCTGGCGAAACCCCACCTTCAAGATGAAAAGCCTGAAACCCATTGCCCAAAGTGAGAACTTCTATCTCTGTTTGCCTGCTCTCTCCTGATTGGTTCTTTCTAAATGTCTTTTTACCAATCGAATGTTGCCTTTTCCAAAACTACCTACGGCCGGCCCCACGGCCCAACCCCTGTCCTGTGCCTATAAAGACCCCAGACTCAGCCAGTAGAGAGAGAGAAGCAGCTTGACTGGAGAGAGGTGACTTGACATTGGAGGGACAGCTGGACTTCAGAGGATGGCCTGACTATCGGGAAGAGCCGCTGGACCTCAGGAGAAGATTACCTGCCCGTCCCGTCCCCTCTCCCACATCCCACTCTGCTGAGAGCCATTTCCCATCACTTACCACCTTCACCATCCTTCAAGTGTCTGGGGGATCTCATTGTTCTTAGATGCCAGACAAGCACTGGAGACCCAACAAGTGCCAGTACCCCAAAAAAGGCTGTTGCATAGGCCCTTTCCCCTTGCTGGTGGAGGGCAGCCACCCCACACGATGAGGCAAGGCGCCCACTGAGCTGATAACACGCTGCTGTCCATGGATGGCAGACCTAAGAGAGTATTATATCTTCTGGGGCCTCTGGGGGGTTTCAGGCACCACAACCTAAGTGCCGCTGTGGGGCCCTTAGGTTGAAGGGCCCCACAGGTATGAAGTCTGCTCCTGCCATCACTCAAGGCAGCTAGCCAGATCCTGCACTCGTTTGCTCACATGTTCCCTCCCAAAAGAGGTTGAGTGTGGCGGACTGAGTAAACAGGGTACCCCGTCCCAAGTCCGATGAAGAGGTCAAGAAAAATCCTACATCACTGAGATTACAGGTATGAGCTGCCGTGCCCAGCCAGTATGTACTTTTTTAAAAAGAAGAATGAAGGTTTTATTCTAAATGCAATGGGAAACGATCGAAGTTTAACATACATTTACTTTTAAAATGTACTTGATATATAATAAATGCACTAATCTTAATTAGAAGCTTGATAGCTTCATAAACATACACACAACCCACATAACCACCACTCAGGTCAAGATACAGAATATTATCAGCATCACAAGTTTCTTCAAATGCATTTGAGACATTGAATACCAACGTCATTTTAAAAATCAGCATCACAAGTTTCTTCAAATGCATTTGTGACACTGAATACCAACGTCATTTTAAAATTTGATGCCAAATAAATCTTCACAAGTCTTTTTAAACATAAACTCGATCATAGTAAACAAGCTCCATGAGGAAAAGAATATTCTCTTTTCATGTTCCTCCTGAATCCCCAAGCACTTTGTACTTAACAGGTACTTACTAAAAAAAAAAAAAAAAAAAAGAAGTGTTGACTATTGAGCAACTAACTTAGCACTAATAAATTACACAGAAACAAATCTAATATTAACACCAATTTTAGGAAAATATTTAATTGGAGAGAAGCAGCTCAATGATTCTGTTTCTAAATACAGACATAAGGACGATAGCTGAGTCAATTAGAAAATGACTCAACATGGACTTGAATTTATTAACTTTCATCATTAACCTGAACCCAGAATTTTTTGGATATGAAATATCATAAGAGGCCAGGTGTGGTGGCTCACGCCTGTAATCCCAGCACTTTGGGAGGCTGAGGCAGATGGATCGCCTGAGGACAGGAGTTTGAGACCAGCCTGGCCAACATGCTGAAACGCCATCTCTAGTAAAGATACAAAAAATTAGCTAGGCATGGTGGCGGGCACCTGTAATCCCAGCTACTTGGGAGGCTGGGGCAGGAGAATCACTTGAACCTGGGAGGTGGAGGTTACAGCAAGCCGAAATTGCACCACTGCACTCCAGCCTGGGTGAAAGCAAAACTCCATCTCAAAAAAAAAAAGAAAAAGAAAAGAAAAAAAAAAAAGAAATACCAGAGGAGCTGCTTTATTTAACACCTGCCTTTCTGATACCAACCAAAGCAATCTTTTTTCATTCTCATTTTTTCTTGTTTTGTTATTAGTTCTGATTATCTTTAATTCAAACTTTCCGAATTAAAGATCTAGGATCTTCTATTCTAGCCAAGGTCTTATGATGAATAGTAGAATTAAAAAAAAATTTCTTCTTCCAGTTTGAGCTTTCAGATTAGTAATGGCTGCCTGACATTGATTTTGCCTAGACAAAAAAAGTAGGGGTAGAATAAAGAGCAGGATGTCACTAAGCTGCTGCAACACAGCTGTAGTAGAAAGAATGGATAGAAAAAAAAACAACATAGAATGACAACTGGGTTTTTTTTGACAACAAAAGATACAGCTGGGGTGTTCAGTGTACTTTGGCATAACCTGAAAATTATACCCAATCCGTATCTACAGAGACGATGCAGTTAAAGAACAGACCAAAATAACTCCTCAATTAGGCTACATAAGCAAACAACCTTCAGGTCTAGTGTCACGTAAATCGTCAAAACTAAAACCAAATGTTTTAAATCAGCTAAAAGCAGACAATCTGCTTTTGTAAGAATTATTCCAATTTCTGTAAACAGCATTATAACTTAAAATGAATTGCTGTCTACCAATTCCTTTCTCACTCCAATTATATCTACTATGTTCATTCAACAAATTATACAGTAGCAGGAGCATTATAGTGGTATCTTCTAAGCCTCTTAGCAATATGAAAGCAAAAAGGTGGAGAAGTGCTATTGAGTGCAGTCAATATGCATCAGAAATTGTGCAAAGCACTTGCTACAGACTCTTAATTTCCTCAAAACTCTTAAAACAAGTAATCCAGGCCCTTTAATAAGATAAACACTTTATCTCTGTTTTTTATAGTTTTTTTATACGTTAAATGCTAAAATCAAAAGGCAAGAGCAAACCAATGTAAGCATGTTGGCAGGCTACCTAATGAAGGCTTTGGGACTTTAAGATCACTACAAGACCAGTGATCTTTCCATATCTAAACAGATTTTGAAATCATGAGTATTAACTACTTTTGAGCACTAAGTATGTGCCAGACACTACCTGGGGCTTTACATTTAACCACCATTCTTCTATGGAGGTGGACTTTATGACACTAGTTTCACACCTGAGAAAACTGAGGGTCAGAAGTAACTTGAAAAGGGCCTATCATCAGTGGCAGAATAGCAACTACAACCCAGGTGTCTCTCCTTGATTCCAAAACTCTGCTATGGCATAATATACTCTGTTATCTCTTCCTTGGATTCTTTTTTTTTTTTTTTTTAAACATACTACACCAGTAACAGAGTTAATGTAATTTCAAGGTTGAAAATCCAAGCATGAACAATCACTGTAAGATGGGCGAGGCTTCTGGCCTACTCCCTCAATATCAGTTTTCTCCCTTGTAATCAGGCGTTAAGTGGCCTCCCAGCTGTGATCTGATCAGGAAATTTCTGTTTGGCTCAATTCCAGTTCTACCTGCTGCTCAGATTTGTCTGCCTTCTGCATTCTCCTGATTCCCAGTACCATTAGTTCTTCGGGTTTAATCAGTAAAAACACATTCCCTTCAGCTTATAAACCTCTAGAAGGCAGAGATCTTGTTTGTTGTTAATTTTGCTTTATAAAACAATATGAAGATATAGGAACTTTTTATATATATAGGTTAAAAATTCACATTAACTATATCCATACTCACAATAAAAACTGTGCACTGTTAAACAAAAATGGGTCAGGTGTGGTGGCTCACACATGTAATCCCAGCACTCTGGGAAGCCAAGGTGGAGGGAACGCTTGAGCCCGAGAGTTCAAGACCAGCCTGGGCAACATGGTGAAACCCCATCTGTACAAAAAATAAAAAAATTAGCCGAGCGTGGTGGCCGGAGTCTGTGGTCCAGCTACTTAGGGAGGGTGAGGTGGGAGGATCAATTGAGCCCAGGAGGTCAAGGCTGCAGTGAGCCGTGATCATGCCATTGCACCCCAGCCTGGGTGACAGAGCAAGATCCTGTCTCAAAAAACAAAAACAAAAATGCCCAGGCAAAACTAGAAATCCTGTTTAAGACCTCAAGCTGCAATTCATATTTGTAAGATTTTAATCTAGGAGACAGTCATATTCCCTATTTTACTAAGCCCCTACAATGGTACTAAAAGAGAGACATTGTAGATTTCTTCAAACTTCAGAAATGCTATTACTCCATCAGTTTAACCCAGGGGTTTTCAACCTCAGCATTATTAACATTTTGGGCCAGATAATGCTTTGTTGTATGGGGCATCATAGCAACTTCCTTGCCCTCTATCCACTAGATGCTGGAAGCCCCCCTGCTCCAGTTGTGCATCCAAAAACGTCTCCAGACATTGCCAAATGTTCCCAGGGGGTCAAAATCTCATCAGATGAAAACAATTTAACTTGATCTTATATATTAAAATCAGATACTGAGACTATAACATTTGCCAGTAAAATAGTCCAAAGTCCTAATCCACATTCTTATGTGGAATAAGGAAAAAGTTCAGGAAATAAATAACTTTAAAAATTTCAGAGCATTCTAGAAGAACCCCTGGCCTTTTGCACAATCCCAGGAAAAACAAGCTCTACAAACTAATTATCTGACAATCTAAGCTAGTGGGATCAGCTTGGGCACAACTAAGGCACCGGATATATGAAACAAGATGGGAAAGAATACTGATGCTTATCTGCTCATTTCTATCTCTTTTCAGCTCTAATAACTATAAATCATCTCATCAATAAAACTGTATTTCCAGTATCATGTTTTTAGAAGAGCAGGTATGTGTTCTTTACCAAATGTCTACTAAATGTAAGACATCTCTGAGGATAAAAGATGAATAAGACAGCATCAATCAATGTATCATAAATGTTGGAAGGGTTTCAAAGCTTTGAAAAAAGGAAGCTAAGTTTTGGCTTATGCTAACAACAACAACAACAGTAAAAGAAACTCCACCCTACTCCACCCTTGGGGTGTGTAATGAAACTGGATGAAATTCAAAGAGTGAACGCTTTTGGTCATATCCAAGTTTTAAGCAAAGCTCAACGATAAATGATCTGTTAGAGATATTTTCTTGGGACAAAAACCTCAGTGTATATGTTTTGTGATATTCTTGTTAGAATTTAATCTAGTTTTTAAATTATAAGACTTGAATCATTGATTGTTCTCTATTTCTATGAAATTTTACCATGCTCTCCCCCATACTGCGAACGCCAATTTCATTTTCCCCCAACTTAACACGATACCTAAACTATATTTTAAAACTGTTTTGAACATCTTCCTGCACGCTTGTTTACTAATTTAATCTTTTTGTAAAACATAACTCTCATATCATTTGACCAAGTGTTGAGATCAGTTTTTCTTACCAATACATGAGCTCTATGTAGAAAGAAGACATTAACCTATATAATACTTGCCGTAACATTTTCCCAATCTTGTTGCTTTTACTTTTATATATGTATACGTTATAATTTTTAATAAAATCTCTAAACTGATCTTTTCATGTTTTCTTTTATTGATCTGAAAGTGAGCTGCCTGCTGTCCAGAGGTTTGATAGTCAATTCCATTATATGTAAATTTTCTTTTGAGTTTCCACATTTCACCTTTAATCACTGAAATTTACCTTGGTGTCATATTTTTCTTTTGAGACAGAGTTTTGCTCTTTCCCTCAGGCTGCAGTGAAGTGGCGCAATCTCAGCTCACTGCAACCTCTGCCACCACCCACCCCCACCCACCTCCCTCCCCACCCAGAGTTCAAGCGATTCTCCTGCCTCAGCCTCCCGAGTAGTTGGGATTATAGGCACCTGCCACCACACCTGGCTAGTTTTTGTATTTTTAGTAGAGACAGGCTTTTGCCATGTTGGCCAGGCTGGTCTCAAACTCCTGACCTCAGGTGATCCACCCACCTCAGCCTCCCAAAGTGCTAGGATCACAGACATGGGCCAACGCGCCCAGCTAGTGTCAGGTATTAAGTGAAGGTCTATGTTAATGTTCCTTCAACTGCTTAAAACTAGTTTTTTAAGCTCTGTTTTTTTTTTGAAAAATGATTCCTTTTAATTTCTCATGACTCCTTTGGCATACCTAAAAGTACCTTGTGCTTATCTATTTATGTTCAGATAGTATATAACTTCAGTTATTGTAGGTTTTTCTTCTCTTTCTCTCTTATTTTTCAGATTTTTAAATTAATGCTCTTGACTATTTTTCCTCCAGATAAACTTTAACATTGTCAGAGTAAAAAGAATACCAATAAAAATCTTTAATGGAAAGAAATTTAACTGGAGAAGTAAAAATTACACACTATCAGTCTTCCTTTTTCAGGAACATAAGAAGACGCATTCATTTTACAAGGTCTTTAAAAAATTTTTTAAAGATTTTAATTTTATTTATATTTGGACTTACCCGTTTCTTAAGATAATTGTTGCTAAATATTTTTAATCTTTTTTTCTAATGGAGATATTTATGCACTCTTGGTTAGTTTTCCTGTACCTCTTGTGACATCAAAAGATCTTATACAATGTCACTTAACTGTTCCTATCCCTTTAGAGTTGATTCTATAGGCTCTTTCCAACAGTCTAATTCTTGGGCATGTGTATACAATGCAAGAATATCTCAAATAACAGCCTAAGGGTACAGAAATACAGAGAAGCATGCTTACTTACTCACTGCTCAACAATGGTAATTAACTGACTAGTTAAATCAGTTGACCTCAAAATTATAAGATTCTTAAGTCACATATGCAATCACCATTAATCTAAAGAAGCATATTTGGCCAAGCACGGTGGCCAATCACACCTGTAATCCCAGCACTTTGGGAGGCCAAGGCTGGCAGATCATGAGGTCAGGAGATCAAGACCATCCTGGCCAACATGGTGAAACCCTGTCTCTACTAAAACTACAAATATTAGCTGGGTGTGGTGGTGCGTGCCTATAATCCCAGCTACTCGGGAGGCTGACGCAGGAGAATCCCTTGAACCAGTGAGTCGGAAGTTGCAGTGAGCCGAGATCGCGCCACTGCATTCCAGCCTGGCGACAGAGCGAGACTCCGTCTCAAAAAAAAAAAAAAAAAAAAAGGCAGCACATTATGCCCTTAGGAATATATTATACCAAAATATTCTAATATAGAAGTCACAGGTTTTCACATGCAGCCCAAGAACAGAAGATAAAATAAATCACAGAATTGATATACCATTAACCTCTAATTTTCTGTACCAATAAAAGGAGAATTAGTAAAGCTAATAGAAAACTGTGAGTACCTATTCAGATCAAGGAAGGAATCAGCTGTCTTCTACAGAGAAAACAGATTTTGACATATGTATATATTCTATAAAGCACAAATCAAAAAATTAACATAAACTTAATTGATAGTAGTTTTCAGTCATTTCTAGATTACCACTGGCTAATTCTAATAAATCTTCAACAGAGAGGGACCTCGAAGTGTAATAGCTCAAGTTTTCTTTTGAGTTTGGAAACCACTAAGATCAGATTAATACATAATAATATTGATTAGCTAGCATATACTGTGTGATTACTATTTGCTAAGTATTGGGCTAAGCATTTTAGAAACATATCATTTAATATACACACACAATGATGAGAGATGAGTGCTACTTTTAACCTCATTTTTCAGACAAGGAATCAAGATTACACAACTAATAAGTGGTAGAAATGAACTCCAGTTTAACCCCAAAACTAATGGTTTTAACTATAACACTATACTGCTTCATATTAATTCCTTCCTTTATTTATTCAACCAAAGAATATTCACTGAGCACCTACTGTGGCCATGATATCTGGCATCATAAAGCTTAGTTTTATAGTGGATACAGTCAAGAAAAGAGACAATTACAATGAGCATTATGAATGTTAAAATACAATGTGTTGGATAGGATGCCAACATCCATACAGAAAAAAACTTGCTGGAGGTCTAAGCAGAGGATGTGGCAATGAAAGGGTGTTCAAGGCTAGTTAAAAGATAGAACATGGCATGTCTGAAGCTTAGGAAAGGAATCTGGACCAGAGATCAGAGATTGATCAGCATTATTTTGTAAGTAATCTTGCAATAATACCTTATACATAAGCAATCACATATTTCTGTCACCTGCTCATTGCTGGCAACTACACGTCTGTCCAGTTAACTGCTGCAGAGTGAAGAGGGCAGAGATTATCACGAATTTCTTGAATAACTAATTCTAACACAAATAAAATTTAGAGCACCACTAGGAAGCAGAATCACAAAACTTTTTATCTGACCAAGCAAAAGAAAGCAGACTCTATATGTGCATAAAGAGACCAGTATCTGCTGTCTCACAGACTAGTGAGGATGTTAAAGGTATCTTGCTTTATCCATGCTACAAGCTATCAAAGTAGTAGCATGGCATTGTACCAGCAAAAGCTTATTTCTCCAGGTGAAGTACTACAGTTGGTGATGGCAAGCAAAAAGTAGGATTGAAAATATGATTTCATATTTCCAACAAGGTGACAGCTCTCCTTCCTGAGTCATTTTATCATATTGTACCTTTATTTCAGGACTTACATCTACCTTATATTAGGGCAATTTGACATTTGCTCATCTTCTTTTCTAGAGCATAAATCACAGGGGCAGGGAATTTGTGTTTCATCTTGGGAGCTTCCACAGTTATCTAGCACAGTGACTGAAGAGTAGTGCACCATAAATATTTGTTCAACTGAAGCAAAGCCATAACAGATAATGGCACCCAGGTGTAGGATAATTGTATAACACTATTTAGCTCTCTGCAAACTGCCACCAGGGAGACTGAAAATCTACCTAGAATTTGCAATTATCACATTAACCTATAATCAGCTGCAGACCTCTCTGAAATTTTTAATTTTAAGAATTTTTTTAAAGTATATTTTCAGTATGTGGAAAATAAGATGGCACTCACGGGACAAAATATACAATTTCAATATTTGAAAAAATGTATCTTCAGATTGTTACTTATCTGGTCCTTAGGCTTATCAAATTTCCATTAGACTAGAGGTTCTAGACTGTGGCTCTCATTAGAATCATAGATAGAACTCTTAAACAGACTCCCACTCCCAAAGGACCTGATTTAATTGGTCTAGGAAGGACCTGTTTAACCTCCTAGTTACTCTCCAGTGCAGTCTGGGTTGAAAACCACTGTTACAAATCAAGTCCACATTTAAAATGCATATAACCTTGCAACTACATGCATCGAGTTTGTAAACATCCTGATCCTTGTAACATGTGGCCTATTGTAAAAGATTTTTTAAAACTAGGTTTTTTTCTTTTTCCATAAATATGACAAAACAAGCTTTGAACTTTTGCCTATAATTTTTAAAAAAGCTAACCAGGAAATGCTCAATGATAAGAGTAATCAGAAAATCTTGTGGGCTGTTCAAAAGCAGACTGGTTAAGATTTTGTTGGGAAAAAATAGACACAAACATAGCAATAAAGCCTGCATTTGTCAAAATATATGTTATGAGTTTATTCATTTGATTATAACTATTTCATCAAAAATTACTGAATCGTGGAAATATCTGACAAGGAGCTTGGTTCACACCCCTTCAACTTATTTCCAATAGTAGGCTGGGAGTGAAAAAAATTTAAAACAATGTATTATTTCAAATGTGGTCATGGCACAGCTCAGAGGCAAACACAGCTTTTCTATCGTACTACATATTTCAAGTCAAAGTCTTGTTATAGCTCTGCCTTCTTGTTCCAGCTCTTATAGTGTAAATAAGAGTCCTTTTCACAGTCTATTTAGTGCCATATTTTCTGCATTTTTTTCATCTTTTGTTAGTGACTCTTCTGTTTAAAATGGCTCCCAAGCACAGTGCTGAAGCAGTCTAGTGTTCTCAAGTGCAAAAAGTTTATGATGTCCCTTATAGAGTAACTACACGTGTTCAATAACATTCAGGTATAAGTAACAGCGCTGTTAGCTGTGAGTACAATGTTAATGAATCAACTATATATATTAAATAAAGTGTCTTCAAACAGAAACACATAAAACAAGGTTATGTATTTATTGGTTGACGAAAATGTGACCAGAGGCTTGCAGGAACCTATCCTCCCACTAGGAACAAAGGTTCCACTAGGTCCTACTAGGAGCAATCGTTCACTATTAGCTAATTCAGTGTTCTCAGTGACTTTACAGAATATAACTACTATGAATAACAATAATTGACTGCATGTAGAAATAAAATATAAAAATGACAATAGGAAGAAAATAGAAATATACTGTTCTAAGGTATATATTACATTATAAAGTGCTATGATATTGTTTGAAGATACTCTGATCAGATGCATATTATATAAACTAGAACAGGGATTTCCAAACATTTTCTGCAACAGGCCAAACAGTAGTATTTTAGGCTTGGTGGGCCATATGGTCTCTGTCACAGCTACTCAACTCTGCTGCTGCAGAACAAAAGAAGCCACAGACAAGATATAAAGGATTGAGCACCCTGTGTTCCAATAAAACTCTATTGACAACAGGTGGTGGGCCAGATTCGGCTTATGGATACAGATTGCTGACCCCTGCATTAGCGGAATTGATGAAAAAAAAAAAAACTGTAAAGAGTATAATTAACCAGCAGTGGAGGTACTATGGAATTATATAATGTAATTCAAAAGAAGGCAGAAAAGGACCTGAGAACAGAAGGGACAAATAGAAAACAGCCAATCTATTTAAACACATGTTTTCTATATGGAAAACAGTATTAAATAGAAATGGCCTAAACACTTAAAAAGCAGAAGTTGACAGAGTGAATCTAAAAAGCATACCCAACTATTAATACATGCAAGCTAAAAAAATCCTACTTTACATAGGAAAACAGAGAGGTCATAAGTAAAGCATGTGAAAAGATATCACAATGCAAACACTAATTTTTTATAAAAAGAATGATTAACACCAAGTATTAGTCCCTCACTTAAGACAGTCCCTCACTTAAGATGATTTGACATACAAGTTTTCGACTTTACAATAGTGCAAAAGGGATACACGTTCAGGGAGCTCCTCAACTTACAATAGGATAAACTCACAGCAGATTGAAAATATCATATATCAGAACACACCTTCAACTTAATATTTTCAACTTGCCATGGGTTTATCAGGACATAACTGTAAGCCAAGGAACATCTGTAAGCTTCAGAACAAGATCTTGAAAAATTATATTGAAAAAGGGATCAATATATCAAAGGCTGTAAAAGTCCCAAATGTGTTTGCAAATAATAAGAGAGCGCCAAAAAATCAAAGAAAAGAACTGATAAAACTGAAAGGAGAAAGACAAATCTACAATTGTAGTTGAGAGATTTCAATAGTCCTTTCTCGAGAAAAGATAAGAGAAAGTAGAAAGAAGTCAATAAAGATATAGAAGATTTGAACACTATCAACCAATTGACCCAACTGACATTTATAGAAAACTGCACTCAACAAGAGTAGAAGACACGGGAGAATGGGGAGAGTTCCTCTTGAGGAAAAATGATTCCCCTGCAAGAGTCATTGTAAAATTCAGTTTACTATATCGATTTTATGCTGCTATGTCCACAATCAATAACTATTTTATATTTGTATAATTATCCTTTTTAAGCTATATCCTATTTCCCTGACATCACTCTAGTTGCTCACAGATCAAGATTTTTAATCTGGTTCTCCAAGAATTTCACCCACTGACCCACTCCTCACATTTATATTAATGAAGTAACACTGATTCTAGAATAATCCTGCAGAAAACTGGTAAACCTCTGTAGAAGTAAATCAATTAGCTCAATTTAGCCATTACACCACATATACATATTTCAAAAGAACATACTGTACTTAATAAATATATACAATTTTTTCTCAATTAAAAAACTGTGCAAAAAATAAGTAAATGAAATTTCCAAAGATTGAAAACTAAATCATAGAGAGTCATCAAAACACTGGTTATGAGTTTCTATGGTTTCAAATAAAAAGGGAACATTATATTTAAGTTACAAATATGTATTTAAGTTTAAAAATTAAATAAAAAAATTACAATCTAGTTGCAAAAGTGTTTGAAAACAGTCTGTAAAGGATAATGGAAGGGAAACTAAAAGCAAAGCTACGGAAGGATACAATGCTCTACAGGTCTACAGAAGTAAAGTTATTCTTACTTAGGAATAACTTAGGCCACATGTACAAGTCATTGTTAAAACAAAGGCAGCATAGGTCATTTTCACAAACTGCACAACATCTTTTGGATGGGTAATTATTTACATCAGAAGATAATGAATGATAAACTATATAAAGCGTAAAGAATTGAAACAAAGACAGTAAGATGAAGAGCATGAATTCCCAGAGAGAGATGATTTTTGCAAATAGAAAGTTTACAATTTGTTTGAAACAAATCTGAAACATGCTTGAAAATTCATTAAAATCTACTAAAAATAAAATATAACCAATTCATACAACCCATATAAACTCTTTTGATAACACAGAAAACATACTAGCCTCATCCATCAAATCGGGATTATTAAAGATATTTAGCTAAAGTTCCTTAAGAAAACGGCACGGTACAGGGAAGGAGGGTGAATGAGAAACAACATAAAACCACCCTGAATTTTCAAATATTTTGTCGTATATTCAAAATTAATTTACCTATTTTTTAAAAGACAGAAAGCATGGTCCTATATTAAATGGCAGTTTATTTTTCAGGACGTTCAGAATCTTCCTAAACAAGATCTAAAGAGAAGGAAATGGATAAAAAAAAGAGGGGCCAGAACACAGGGTACCTAGAGATAACAAGGTATGGAGATGGGACTCAGCTGCTAGCTACTGTGTCCCAGGGGGCCTTGTGCCCTCTACCTCCTGTTTTCTCTGAAAACAAATGAGATTTCTTATGCTGCCTTGACTCTATACAGATTTTCCTGCTCTTGAGAGACAAACAGAAGAGTGATACTTTAAAGCTAAAATAAATGCATTTTATTTATGTTTTCAGACTGAGTCTCACTCTGTTGCCGTGCCAGGCTGGAGTGCAGTGGCGCTATCTCAGCTCACTGCAACCTCCGCCGCCTGCCCTGCTCCCCACGATTCTCCTGTCTCAGCCTCATGAGTAGCTTGGACTACAGGTGCCTGCCACCATGTTTGGCTAATTTTTGTATTTTTAGTAGAGATGGCGTTTCAACATGTTGGCCAGGCTGGTCTCGAACTCCTGACCTCAGGTGATCTGCCTGCCTCAGCCTCCCAAAGTGCTGGGATTACAGGCGTGAGCCACTACGCCCAGCCAAATAAATGTATTTTAAATCTGGGATATATGTTCCAATTAGCTAGACTCTGAAATTTCAGTCTTTAGCCTCAGAGGTCATTAGAACTCTTCCAAAAATGCACAGAATAAACTACTGATGGATCAGTATGTCTTAACTCACTGGTACACGTATAATTTATAGAAAAACATCAGTAACAATATTATTTACTACTGATAATAGCACACACAGTACCTTTTGATAAACTATGGAGCACACAAGATCCTTGACAGCAGATAAAGACAGTTCCTGGGCTTCAATGGTAACACTCTCCCGTGTGAGGCCAATTTGCAGTAGAAATGAAACTGTATGCACTGAGCCTCTGGAGTTGGTGAGTGATGGTGCACTGAAGCTTCCATTAGAGAGTCGGGCAGAGAGTCCCGTCTTAGGACTTGAACACGGAGAAGCAGCTGGAAGCACAGCAGGAATAGCTGTGGGTAATACAGACTTCTGGGCTGATGGAGGGGAATTATTTGCAGACATCTGCCTTTCTTTAATCTTTTAAAATAGTTGTCGATTCTTTTTCAATGGTTATGAAGAGGTTTTTAAAATAACAGCAGTAAAGAAAATGACCGCACTTTTGGATTTAGTTGAAAACTTCTTTATTTCCTCTGTTAAGCCACTCATGCCGATACTTTTAAGTTTTATCAAGGAGTTGAATGCCCCAAAGGTCCTATTTCTCTTAATATCAGTCCCATCAAAAAGCAGTCTTGTCTGTAGGAAGACAACCAGGGATTTGTAAAGGATTTAACATCACTGAGCTATCCTCAGCAGGATAGAGTTGACGTAGCTTATTTACGAATCTATTTTCCTTTCAGTCTGTACTTGTCTCTTTAATTTCAGGAAATACATATTGAATAAAAGTTGTTTTTCTGTCAAGGTGAAATCCTCTTCGTTTAAAAAACAGTAAGTGTTTTGGATTAATCTATTCAGTACTTTTCCTTTGGTTTACTAATTTGATAGGACACCTTCTCAAATGTCCACACCTTAAATCACCTTCTCAAATGTCCTCATTTTCATTCTGGGGGGATGAACTTTTCTATGACGAAATACAAAGCTTTTTAAAATAGTACAGGCATATTTCATTAGATGAATGGGTCCATCGAGAAAAGCTGATGCTTTCTGACATATAGTTAGCCTGGAAGGAAATTTTTTAAAGGTTTTTAATACTTTATATTCATTCGACATTAATTTAAAAATAAGAACATAACTTTTTTAAATGACAATTTTTGGTCATATGCTTATAATTCACTAATAAATCCTAATGGGTAGCAATTTTTGGCTAGTTAGCAAAGACTTTTTTTACTATAAGTATAATTTCAGGGAGAGGCTCGAAAAATATCCTTGGCACTCTACACTGATACCTAAAACTTAAACATTAAACATTTTTTAAAATTTACCTCATTTTTAATCAATGAAGACCAAACACTTCTATGTTACAATTACATGACTGAGTTATATCAAAAACAGAAGGGACAAAAAACAGTAAAACTGACATTTTCATAGACATACAATACATGCCACCCCACCACACAAAAGATGTACAATACTTTCCTAATACAAGAGTATTCTTTTTTTAATATTACAATACTAATTCTGCCGAAACATGACTCTTGACTTGCTTTGTTGAAACATTCCTTTCAGAAGGCTAAGGAAGCAGGAGGGGATATACTGAACAGTTAAATGATCAATAAGTGTGAAAGCTGACATACTTATCACAGGAACATAAGAGAAAGGGATCTCACCATAAGGGATTTCTCCTATCCAGGTCCTAACTAGGCCCAACAATGCTTAGCTTCCAAGATCAGACAAGATCAGGCACATTTGGGGTGGTGTGGCTGTAGACCACAAAGCATTTCTAACAGTAAGAAAGAGAACAGTAGGTATAGTTAAATATGTATCATAATTTCTAGGAAAGCACAGGTCAAAAAGTTAAAAAAAAAAAAAGGTATGACCCAACCCCTCCACATGGCTTAGGCGTGAAACAGCTCATAATTGATGGTTCTTTCTAAGTTCCATCTATATACCCATAAATAATTCCAATGAAGAGAAAGAGTAAATCATCCAATGTGGCTGCAGAGTAACTCTCTGCAGAGTAGTTAATGGGTTAAATTAGGAAGAACGTGACAGAAGGGCAAAAGCACACAACTATAGTATTAGGAATGGGAAAGCTCAGGAAAAAACTGAGACTTTAAAAAAAACTGAAGATGAAAGCTTTCATAGCTACTTTCAAGTAAATGATCATTATTCCATCTTATATAATGTACAACACTTGATAGTTTACAAATGTTTCACATACTTTACCTCATAACTCTTTGAAAGTTGACAGGGTAGAAATCATTTTTGTAGACAAGAAAATTGAAGCACAAGGCGATAACGCAACTTGCCCAGCAGCACATGGTTATTAATAGGTGGAGCGGGAATTAGAAGCCAGGTTTTGTACTTTCTTACCAGTGCTGTCTCCACAAGAACACACTATTTCTCGAAGAGAACAAGGAACTAAGAATCACTGCTCAGAGGATGTTGCTAAGGTTGAGAAATCGCACAGAAAGACAGACTGCTCAACTTGTATTTTGCTTATCTTCTCCACAGTTTTAAACTAAAACTGCAGAAAGGCATTGAGAACTGAAACCTGAGACAAATGACTAAGACTATAACAACTTTACATGAGTTTGAGTCTCTGGGTCCAGATGCAGTCCATTCCATACTACTAAAGCAATTCACAAATGTAATCACAAAGCTGACTCCTGCAATCTTGGAGAAAGAGCTCAAAAAGACAGATATAATCATGGCCTGGAGATTTGTAGAGCGGTTTCAAGTTCTGGCGGCTGGAGAAGCAGGAAAGCAAATTTCAGAAATTACAAACATAAAAAATAATGAAGCAAATGGTTTGTGAATAACTAGAGAAGAATATAATGATCACTAGAAGTCAACCACATTTACATCTTGGAAAATAATGATTATTAGGCTTCTTAGCTGGAAAAAAATAACAATAGCTTACATTTATTAAGCTCTTACTATCTGTCAGATACTGTTCTAAGCACTTTATACATATTACCTCATTAATCCTCACAGCAACTCATTATATGGTTGAGAAAACAAAGGTTTAGAGATTAAAGTACTTGCCCAAGACCACAAAATCAGCAAAGCCAGAAAAAAAAGATAGTTTATTCTGACAAAAATAGTATCCAAGATGATTGTCCATGCTACCTTTGCAAGAATGTTACTGGAGTGTGGGTTGGATGTTAGTGTAGTTAAGTTTGCTGCTCTGTGTCACCTTAGATGAGGAAAGTCTTTACGGAACTGCCTTGAAACACTGTCCTCAGCCTTATATCATTTTTCACTATTTATTAGATAATAAAGGCATAAAGAATATGCTTATAAAATCCTCAGGTTGAAGAAATCTGGGAGAAATAAACTAAAATTAAACTGAAACTTAAAGGTAAGTGTAAAGCTTTGCATTTAGTTTCCCCAAAATGTGCAATACAGAAATGGGGAAATGCTTACTTGTAAGCAGTTTATATGAGAGGTATTTATCAACGAAAAAGATTAATTCAAACTGCTAATATAATGGGTGACTAAAAGAGCTAATGCAAAGCTAATGCCCTAGGTCACTGAGAACACATCAGCATCCGTCTGTATACTCCTTGTTACTCAGCCTATATCACAATTATGTTTATATCTATGGTCAACATTTTTAGAGCCATACTGATTTAAAAAAAAAAAAATCATGCACGCAAAGGTAAAAATAATGTCATGTGATAAAAATGTGCTTAACAAAACCAAACAGAATAAGTGGTTTTCAAATACTTGAATAAGTGTTAATAGGAGAATTGATTTTATTCAGTATCACTGCAGAGGGTAGACGAAAAATGAAGATGAGAGCACTTCTTACTTAACCTCACAGGTTGCAAGGATTGAGCTACGGGGTACAAACTATCTGTAACAACACCTGGCTAACAGTAAGTGCTCAGTAAGTTTTAGCAATTTTCACAGCAATTAGTTGAAGGAATTAACAACTAAGCCTTTACTTTATGCTAAACACATAAAGTGAGATATGATACTTTATTAAATCCTTGCAACAACTCTAGGAGGTTTAACTCTATTTTCCAGAAAAGAAACAAGAATTTTAGAGAAGCTGTTGTTTGCCTGTGACTATAGCTAGTAAGTGATAGAAATGAGATTCAAACTAGTTTCCCTGACTCCAAAGCCCAAGTTCTTTCTACCACATTATTCCATATCCAACAACCTAACAATGGAACAGGTTGTCTCACGAGGTAATGAGCTCCACAACGTATCTGACTTAAGTAGTTTTTATAAGATGAACTACCAAAATAAAGTAGTAAAATATCTATGAATAAAACTGTATGCAAGTTAACGACTTTTTTTTTTTTTTTTTTTTTTTTTTGAGACAGAGACTTGCTCTGTTGCCTAGGCTGGAGTACAGTGGCGCGATCTTGACTGATTGCAGCCTCCGCCTCCCGGGTTCAAGCGATTCTTGTGCCTCAGCCGCCCCAGTAGCTGGGATTACAGGTGCACATCACCATACCTGGCTCATTTTTGGATTTTTAGTAGAGACGGGGTTTCATCATGTTGGCCAGGCTGGTCTGGAACTCCTGACCTCAAGTGATCCGCCCATCTCGGCCTCCCAAAGTGCTGGGATTACAGGCGTGAGCCACTGCACCTGGCCCAAATTAACTACTTCTACTTTGATGAATGTCTTCCCACTAAATATCATTTTATTATACCTAGTAATATTAGCCAAATAACAGTGTTTAATACAACTAATTTATCAGAACAAATTACAACTATTCATAATAAACACTACATATAAAAATGATTTTTAAAAGTCTCAGTATTAACACAAATAGAAGAAACCTAAGAGCTGTCAGATTTCTGCCCACTCTTTCCATTTTCCCTCTCCTGGTTTGGTTTATGGACCCCAGATTTACTCTGGAAGATGCAACAAGATGTTGGGTGAAAAATATTAAAACTAAATATTAAACCTAATAACTGTAACTTACATGAACCTTGATATGCTGCTTAATTTTGTCTTTACGCTTCAATTAGAAAACTGAAAGAAGAGTACATCTTATTAATTTACAAACTATATACCAATTATATATGCTTGTTTCTAACAGGGGTACGAGGCTCTAAATAATATCATCTAGTTGGCAAGCATTTCTAATATGTTTATTTAGAACTTGTCAAATATTCTTTTGGGGAGCTAGCTGTCACATATTCCATTCAAATGAGCTTACATAATCTGTCATCATTGTTACTGGAATCAAAATATAGGATATTAATGGCATCTTGAACCCAGTCTGTCCTATTTTACAGACAAGGTGAAACAAAGGCCCTGGAGGTGAGAGGACTTACTTGAGGATTATCTCACGGTAATATCACAAGTTTATCTACTTCCTCTCCCTCTCCTTCCCCTTCCCCCATGCACACATTATCTCATTTTTAACACTCTAATTAGGAGAAGCTCTAACAGCAGTATTTCCACTTAACAAATACTTAATTAGTACTTATTATTTCCCAGACTGTTATGAGAGACACTGGAGTTATAGAGCAGTGACCGAAACAGACATGGCCACTGCTCTCTCTGAAATTCAAAGTGTGATGTGAGACACAGACATAACATTCATACAAACAGCTGGGTAATTATAAACTGCAAGAGGTGATATGGCAGAGTATACTAAGGGGACTCAATTCCAGCTGGAATCTCAGGAAAGGTACCTTTAAGGAAATATTTAAGCTGAGATCTCTGGATAAGCAAGAGTCAACGATGCAAAGAGACAGACAAAAGGATTCCAGGAAGGCAAAATGCATCTAGTTATTAAATTCTTCAAAAAGAAGTTCATTATTTAGTGCAGCATCATTCTTTTTGTACAATACTCAGCAAAGGCTAAAGTGAAGAGATAAAATGCTTTTCCTATTGGAATAACAATATTTATTATAACATGAATTCCTCCCAGTAAAGAGTTTTCCAGGTTCAACTTAAGTTTTGTGTACTAGAAATGCTAATGACGTGGAGGGTTGTGTCCACGCCTCTTGACATGTATTAATATTAGTATTCTTTTACCACGTAAAAGTATGTGGCCTTTTTCAATGCAATTCTGACCAGCGTCCTAAAGTCCATGTCCATGTTTTGACATAGGTTTGACTTTGCTTAGTAATTGTTCTTGCTTTTATATTGTATGTTGTATTTAAAAACTCAAGTGTCTACGTCGTTGGTTTTTAAAAAAATCATATCTTGTAGCAATCCCGACAATGATTTATATATTTTCAAAAATACCTATTACTTTAGATTAACATACTTTTCCTAAGAGCTTAGCATTTGCTAAATTGTTTCCTCTAAAATTCTGCTCATCTGGACCAGTGACAGTTGAATCTCAGTCCTTCCACTGTCAGAGAGTACTGAGAGAGCACACCATATCTGCTCTGCTCAGGAACTGAAAAGTTTATCCAGTAATAAGATTATGGACTGCCAGTCTGGCAATGCAATATGAATCCATGTTGAGCTTGACAGATGTTAGTCTCTGCACCAGTAGTAGCTAAGAAATCTGATTGGTTAGCAGCCAATGAGCAATTTCTCACATACTGCCACAATAAACTAACCACAGAAATGGAAAAATTTTTTTTCCTACATTAAAATGAAAATATCTCATAAGCACATTATCTCAAGTTTTTCCTGAGAGGGCTACTCAAAGAGATACATATATATATATAGCAAGTTCGATCTGAATTACATAATCAGCGAGACTCAAAGTACAATCATCACAGAAGATTGTGAATTATAAGCAGCATTATATCAAATTAAAACTTGTACTAGCAAAGAATTTCCTTATATATCAAGCTCTGTACAAGCAGTTTCTTTTAAAAACGAACAATTAACTCCACTGTAGTATTTTCAACTTTAGAGTCTTTTAAAAAAATGAGAACAAAATGTCCCTTAAGAAAACTGCACTTAAATGACCACCTATTCATATTTTTCTGTATGTGGTGTTTTCAATTCGTAATTTAAAAAAATGTAATATCAGAAAGTTTTATTTATGAAGTTCTGTGTGTGTGGCAGTGTTTAAATCCACGAACAGAAAGAAATTTCTATTTTAAAGTGGCTATCTGATGAAACTGAAAGCTTAAAATTTTCTCTAAAAGACTTACCATTATCTAGGATGCTTAAAAAATTAGTTTTAAGATACACATCAGTCAACATTCTTAATGTGAAACGCTATATACTAAATTACAGAACCTGAGTCACCCTGAAATGTGAAATGCTATATACTAAATTATAGAACCGAGGATGGAACCTGGCTCGTCAAGGAGTACTCCAAGCTCATGCACTCAGGCCCACCACAACTGTATTACTACCTACTGAAGAAAAACCTTCCACGGTTTCTGTGTGACACGTTTCAAATCCTACTTTTAGAAAATCTTCTAACTTCTTGGCTGAATGTCCATGCTTGATCTTAACTCGGAATCTAACAGGGAAGGAAGCAAGGGTTCGTTGACAAGGAAAAACTGGCCTAGATCTCAGTCGGGGGAACTTTATGGACGCCTTCTGCAGCAAAGCTAAGGAAAATGAAAATCGCTAAAAATGTAAGAACGACGACATTAAGTAGAAGGGTAAAAAAAAAGTTTCAGAGGAATAAAATAACATTTTCTAGGATACAAATTAAGGCATTTAAAAGTTCTTGTTCCATTTGTGGCTATGTCTCATAAAAGCTGTGTCGCACCAAGCAGCAGTTCAGGGTGTAACTTATCCTTCCTAATCAAAGATGACACCGATAGTCTTATTTCCTGTGGGGATGGGTGTGATTGAAGACACAGTTACGTCCATGCCATCAATCTGTGTGTGGAAAAGTCGGCAGGTCGCGCGCACACACTTGTCGCTTGAATCGTATGTGTGCCTGCAGACGGCAAGGCCTATGCCTCTGACTGCGTTCACCTGAAATAAAATACCCAACCGGCAATACAGTAGTATATGGTTATTTTCACTGCTCAAAGAAACAGTGGCACTCCTCAGTGTTTCAGCTTAAGGAAAACCTCCCAGGAGGGAGCAACTCGGAACAATGCTGCAACTAGCAAATCCAAACGCAGTCGGGATACTGGGGCGAGGGGCTTACATTCTCCAAGCACCATTTACTCACCCCTTTGAGACGACTACAACGCAAAGTGAGGAAATGAAACGAAAAAGCTGGTCCAAAATTCGGCACTGCGAGCGCCGCGGGTCTGGCTTCGGGAACTAGTTTGGGAGACCCGGGAACGGATCGCCTCCGATGGGCCGGGCGCGGTGGTCTCCAGCGGAGCGCGAACCCAAGTTGCCCTCCGCGCGGACGCCGGAACTTGGCCCCTCTGGCGGCTGCGGCGGCGCCCCCGCTCCCCCTCAGCCGCCCACCTCCCGCCGCGCGCTCCCCCAACTTCCCGCCCAGCGCGGCTGACACCGCCCAGCCCGGCGCGGGGTCCGAGTCCTGTCGCCGCCGCCGCCGCGTGCAGTTGGGGGGTTGGGGGTTTGGGGGATGGGGGAGGGGCCGCCGCCGCCTCAGCCCGACGGGCCGGGAGAACAAAGCGGCGGCGGCGGCGGCGCGAACTTTTTCGGTGTCTGTTCAGCGCTCCCCGAGGCGACTACTTACAGTGGCAGGCTCGGCCCGTCGTGAGAAACTGCGCCCGCCAGCGTCTGAGTACCGGACGAGGCGCCAGCGAGGCTTCACGCGCCTCGCAGGATCCCGCCCGCCTCCGGCGCCCCTTCCTCCCTCCCTCCCCGTCCCGTCCTGGGGCCGGAGGGCGGGGGGCCGGGGCGCGCGGGGGGCGGGGGCGCGCGGCCAGCGCGGGGCCTGCCGGGAGCTGTAGTTCCTCGGCCCGCGCCCGCCGGGAGGTGGCCGCGGCGGGAGGTCGGGGTTGTCTCTGCCCCGCGAAGGGGCGCCGGGAGCGCCGGGTACAGTCGGGCTGGCTCCGCACCCTCGAGTTCCGGGCGTCTTCGTGAGCGCGGGGGCACGGGGCAGGGGCGCCGCGGGAGTCGCGAGCGTGTCTATCAGTTACACGCGGTACTTGATCGCGCTGTTGCCGACGGTACTGTCTTTTCCTCTACTGCCGTGCACTCTTGAGGGAGGCGGTGGCGACAATGGGCCAGAGGTGATAGTTGGAACGGGGGACTTGTAAGGCGTCCAGAGCAGAGAGCTGCTTCCACCCTGAGATGTCACAGCCCTCCCGCATGCTCCTCCCTGCTGCCTGCCCCCGGGGTGGCCGCCGGCACCGCAGCTCGGCGCCCAAACCGGCACGTCCCAAGCCCGACGTTCCGGTGACTGCAGGGGTTTTCCCGGTGCTCGGTGTTTCCTCCCCGTCGGCCTTTAAACGCGAATGTGACCCTACCACCAAAGTGGAGTGCAGTCCAGAATCACCAAACCTGGGCTTCCAGGTGTCTGGAAACACAATGTTAACATTTGTTTTGCTCCAAAACAAAGTATGACCGTGTCGGGTGAGTGGGGCGGGAGTGGGAGTCAGCAGCATAAGGATCTAGAGGGAAAATACACTGTGCATAAATTTTCGATGTCTTATGTGAGAGAAAGGCCTGAGAAGCTGACAGGCATTGTCACAGAAGCCACATGATTCTCCTTATGTCAACATTTTATCCCAAAAGTACTTAAATATATTGAAACAATCAGAGGGACTACAATCAAGAGGGCAGTTTTCTTTCTTCTCTCTTTTTCTTTCTTTTCCCCTTTCTCTCTTTCTTCTTTCTCTCTAGAAAAGGTTTTACTCTGTCATCCAGGCTGAAGTGCAGTGACACGATCATAGCTCACTGCAGCCTGGAGCTGCTGGGCTCAAGTGATTATCCTGCGTCAGCCTCCCAAGCAGCTGGGACTACAGGCGTGTGCCACCACGCCCCACTAACTTTTAAGTTAGTTTTTGTAGAGACGAGGTCTCTTGCTGTGTTACCCAGGCTGGTCTCCTGACCTCAAGAGATCCGCCCGCCTCGGCCCTCCAAATCGTTGGGATTACAGGCGTGAGACACCGCGCCCAGCCAAGAGGGCAGTTTTCAAGAATAGAAAGAAAAATAAACATAAATTAGCCCCTACTTTTGATACAAAATCATCACTCTTAATGGATGTCCTCGGATTTAAAGTTAAGAAATGAAAATATTAAGATAATTTATATTAAACATAAGGCAGGTAAGATTGTGTAAAACCTTGATTACTTTATTTAAAAATCTATTTAAAAAAAGATTTCTGAAACATTCTCAGGAATTGGAAGTTGCTAAATGTCTTACATCCAGCAGTATCTAATTCAATCTTACTATATTTTTGTTATTAGAGTCCTATTCAGCTATTCTTTTACTTTAAAATTGAAAGTAGATTTACTCAAGTTTGCCTTCTTTTTAAAGGACTCTCTTGCTTAACTTTGCCCTTTTCTTCCTTTCACTTCCCAACAGACGTTTTAGTCCAGCCCCAAATTTTGCCTCTGAGCAAGATTCCCAGGACCTCATTGGAGCAGTTTACAGCCAGTCTTATCTCACTATTAACTTCCATTTTCTGCTGTAGTACTTAAAGTGACAGAAGTTACTCTTCCTAGAAGTAACTTTTCCAGACGATTCAAACTGCTGTTATACAGAGATTTAAGTATTTGTGTGCATGTGTGAAAACAGAGATATGTAATGTATATATTTCATTTTATTTCCACTGTTCTGCTTCTCTTTTTAAAAATAAAGCGGTCTCCTCCACTTTGGGTAAATCTTTCAGCACATTTGATCAAAGAACTATCTTTGTATCTAATTTTTTGCTTAACATGAACTACAGTTTCCTCAAGGTGTTCCATTCCTGAGCATTACAGAGATAAAGATTGAATTTAATAAATAAGTGTATTGCCATGTGAAATGTTTTAATCCTTGAGAGAAAATATAATCTGAATGCTCAAAATGGAAAGGATTTTTCTTCTTGCTGGTGTTTTATGAAAACGAGCTTACAATATTGCTCTTCTATGGCTGCAGTTGGAGAGCTTGTCCCGCATTATTGGGCTCCTTGTACTTAATGACACACAACATAGCCATTCAAATATGTTACCTAATGCAAGCAAAGAAAGTCAACACTCTTGTGACTTGAGATAACAGAGACATCTGATTTAGAAACCTAAATGCAGGGGGAAAAAATGATCTGCCCGCCGCAGTCTCCCAAAGTGCTGGGATTACAGGCATGAGCCACTGCGCATGGCCCTTATTTTTATTTATTCATCGTTTAGCACAGTGCTCAATAAATGTTGATTAAATCAGTGAATTTTTTCACTAGGGAAATTGATGACAATTTCCAGCTAGAGGAAATTGTCATCATTTTAAAACTGCAGCTGGTTTTAATTTATAGAATGTGGTCACTGGAAAATTATTTTGTGATTGTGTCTTTTTCCATGACCTTGAAACACAGCTGAAAAATTCAATAAAGCATTTGGGTATCAATATAGAGTTAGTAAAATAGTTATGGGAGAAAATGCTTTAGGATCTATTTCTTTATCAGCAGAGACATACGTGATGATATAGTTCTCAAAATGTCCTGTCTCAGTTTCCACTGCCGTTATCCTAGTCCATATCTCACATCTGGATTACCACAACAGACTTTAAGTTGGTGTCCTAGACTAGCTCAAACTGTTATATCCTTGGAACTGTCTTGTCTGATTTGCAGGCTATCAATAATTGTTCTGTGTTCTGATAGCCCTTGAGAGATAATTCTCATGTGGCTCATCACATTTTATTGTGGACTGAGTGTTTATCACATCCTCCTGGGATCGCTATCTGCCCTTCCCTTTTCTGAACTTGAAGAAGACCAGATCTTTTATTTATTTATTTATTTATTTTATTTATTAGTAGAGACAGGGTTTCACTATGTTGTCCAGGCTGGTCTCCAACTCCTGTCCTCAAGTGATTCACCAGCCTCAGTCTCCCAAAGTGCTGGGATTACAAGCGTGAGCCACTGTACCCGGCCGTTTTTTAAATTTATTCATCATTTAGCATAGTGCTCAATAAATGTTGATTAAATCAGAGAATTTTTTCAATATGTCTTGATGATAGTAGTTAGTCTAGTAGTCCTAAAGTACCACATGATAAACTCTGCAGTCATTCCTTATCACCTACCTTACCACGTCCAAATTCTTCTGCTTGGGTATAAAGGTTATTAATAATATCTATTGCTTATTGAACACCAGCTCTGGGCCAGGCACATTCATTCGTTTTTAATGTAACTTTCTGTATTCCATATAACTCCTCTCTTTCCTTTATTTGCACTTATATTTAGCTTTATATAATTTTACACTTGGTTATATTACTATGTTCATATATCTCCATATATATTTCCTATATTTCCAGTCTTAGTGCATAGTGCCACCATCTAGTCATTGAAGACAGAAACTACTTGGTCAGCCTAAACTCCTTTCCCTTGTTCTCCAAATCTAATTGGTGATCAAGTCCCATCAATTTCATACCATCATGTTTCTTGCATGGTATCTGTAAATATATGTCTGTATATATATTTACAACATAGTATATAATCAAAGAGAGGTGTGATAAGGATGGCTTGACTAAAAAGATTAGGAAAATCTGGTAACTAAAGGGAGTGGTTACTGCATATGTTTCACCTAGGATTTTATATGCAGTTCTTAAAAGTTTATATTCAGGCAAGGTGTGGTGGCTTATGCCTATAATTCCAGCACTTTGGGAGGCCAAGGTGGGCAGATCACTTGAGGTCAGGAGTTCAAGACCAGCCTGGCCAACATGGCAAACCCTGTCTCTACTAAAAATACGAAAAAAAAAAAAAAAAAGATTAGCTGGACGTTGTGGCACGCGCCTGTAATCCCAGCTACTCCGGAGTCTGAGGTGGGAGGATCAGGAGGATTGCTTGAACCCGGGAGGCAGAGGTTGCAATGAGCTAAGATTGTGCCACTAGGCGACAGAGTGAGACCCTGTTGCAAAAACAAAAATGAATATTCAGATAATTTGTGGTAAAAAACCAATTACCTTAACCACTTCCAATAATGTCTGTTTATCTTTGTGACTGCAAAATAAGTTTCTCCAGGAAAGAGTAGGTAATACATAAATCTGCTCATCGATTTTAAAATGGAATTAACATTAATTTCCCTTGAGTTATGGATTATTGCTTTTATTCCAGATTTTATTCAACTGAGTATTAATTTTAAAGGTCTCTTTTATACAAAAATTAGTTGGATGCGGGCTGGGCGCGTTGGCTGACGCCTGTAATCCCAGCACTTTGGGAGGCCAAGGCGGGCGGATCACCTGAGGTCAGGATTTCGAGACCAGCCTGGTCAACATGGCGAAACCCTGTCTCTACTAAAAATACAAAAAACTAGCCGGGCGTGGTGGCGAGCGCCTGTAATTCCAGCTAGTCGGAAGGCTGAGGCAGGAGAATCGCTTGAACCCTGGAGGCGGAGGTTGCAGTCAGCAGAGATCGCGCCATTGCACTCCAGCCTGGGCAACAAGAGTGAGACACCGTCTCAAAAAAAATAATAAAAATAAAAATAAAACATTAGCTGGATGCGGTAGCACGCTCCTGTAGTCCCAGCTACTGAGGAGGCTGAGATAGGAGAATGGCTTGAATCCGGGAGGCGGAGGTTGCAGTGAGCCAGATCATGCCACTGCACTCCAGCCTGGGCAACAGAGCAAGACTCTTTCTCAAACAACAACAACAAAAACAAACAAACAAACTCTTAAAATACTGTAAATTGGTTATAACATTTTTAAAAAGCCAACAGAGGAAGAGAACAAAGATGCTACAGACCTGAATAGGAAGCCAGTATTAAAGTTAATTATCCAGCCAGGCGTGGCAACTCACGCCTGGAATCCCAGCACTTTGGGAGACTGAGGTGGGCGAATCCCTTGAGCCCAGGGGTCTTGAGCCTAAGAGTTCGAGACCAGCCTGGCCAACGTGGTGAAACCCTGTATCTACTAGAAATACAAAAATTAGCCGGGCATGGTGGCCCGCGCCTGTAATCTCAGCTACTCAGGAGGCTGAGGCAGGAGAATTGCTTGAATTTGGGATGCGGAGGTTGCAGTAAGCTGGGATCGCGTCTCTACACTCCAGCCTGGGCGACAGAGGGAGACCCTGTCTCAAAACAAACAAACAAACAAACAAATAAACAAACAAAAAAACTCTTACCAGGGCTGACCAAAACAGAGGAGTTGGGAC
Organism: Homo sapiens; assembly: GCF_000001405.40. NCBI lineage: Eukaryota > Metazoa > Chordata > Mammalia > Primates > Hominidae > Homo > Homo sapiens. The sequence continues at coordinate 37,330,228 of NC_000002.12, forward strand.
TCCTTTCCTGGAGCGTGCAAACTACACCAGCCCAGAGGAATCAGTTAGAAGAAAAGGGTTGGGATGTGATTTCAAAGACAGAGTACAATCTGGGCTCTACCATTTAGTAGTTTTGAGCTACTTAATCTCACTAAAAATTGATTCCCTTACATGTAAAATGAGGGGGGAGTAATTACCTCACAGTGCTGTTGTGAGAAATAAATAAATGAATAAATAAATAAATGTAATGTTATTATGCACATAATATCATCTGCCTGGTTATACACCAGGATTCCACCATTTAACAAGCTGTGTGACCAGGGGCAAATTAGCCTCTATGTGCCTCAGTCTCTTTGTCGTCAGTTAACTACGATGATAATAATTCTTCTTCCATGAATTATTATAAGGATTAAATGAGATAATACATGAAAAACACTTTTTAAAAAGCCTGGCACACAGAGAATGGTCAATAAGGGTTAACTATTAATATTGTTATTCATGCTAAAGAATTAGAGCTTTTCACATCTCTGTATCTCCTCCTGTCCTTTGGCAGCACAGAGAAAGAAAAGTTGCTAAGCTTGATTCTATGGAGGGAAATTTAGAAAGATAATAAAGAACTGAAAAGGAACAGGAATTTCTATGGTCATAGAATGAGTTCCTCTTTACATCATCAGAGGAAGATCTTACTGCACAGGTCCTCAAGTGACCAGAAGCTGTCACTATGGCATTTTCTGTACTAACAGCTTGAAGTATTCTATAGTAAGGGTAAAATCACTAAATAGATTTATATTTGTTTATTTTTAATATAGTTACTCAGAATATAATGACCTGAACATTTTACTATAATTTGTACTCTTATCATGACACCTCAAATTTCAAAACCTTAAGTATTTCCAGAAAGAATTCTGACCATATTCCCCTAGATTTTAAATTGTTTCCTTTAATGTTCTTTAAATGATGATGGCTAATTTAGCTGAAGGTGAATTGATTTTAATTAGGTTGCTTGGTTTTTTTCCTAGACTCCCCTCGAGATTTTATAGTCCTTGATGTATTGATTCACTAAACATTTTTGAGAGGCTACCATGTGCAAGACATTTGATAGGATCTATAGGTAAAACACCTCCTGTTCTCAGGAATCTGAAATTTATTAGCTAAGCTATGTGAAAATCTATAATACGGAGAAGAGAGTTAAAAAAGAAAAAAAAGCAGGAAACAAAATAAAGGGTTAGAAGATGTCAGGGAAGTACAAGATAAATCCCTGACCTGGGGAAGACTGAACAGAAAAGGAGGACTTTTGCTGGGCCTGGAAGAAAGAATAGGATTAGGAAACATGGGGGAGAGGAGTGGGAGAAAAGAGAAATTCGAAATTCTAGGTGGAAGCAATAGAGCAAGCAAAGGCACACAGATGTGAAGACATTGGGCGTACTTGTGGACGAAATACTTCAGTTGGGCTGAGCCATAGCGTATGTATTTTTTCTCACACAATTGTTACAAGTGGAGACATAAATCAAAAACTATACAATTCACCTTTTATTTATTATTTATTATTTTATTTTTTATAATTTTAATATGGAACACTTCACAAATTTGCATGTCATCCTTGCACAGGGGCCAGGCTAGTCTTCTCTATATCATTCCAATTGTAATATATGTGCTGTCGAAGTAAGCACTAAAATTCACCTTCTAAAAGTGTAGAATTGGCTGGGTTTTTAGTGTATTCACAAAGTTGTGCCACATCTCCACTATGTAATTTCAGAACATCTTCATAACCTCCAAAAAGAAATCTATTAGCAGACACTCCCTGTTAACACCATTAGTCTCGGAGTTGGCAGGCCCACCCAGTGGGTTCTGCCGGGAGCCCTCAGGCAAAGACTCCCAGATGCTTGCTGTTGGAAGCCCCTGAAAGGGCATGCATGGGAATGGTGAGTATGGAGGGATACTGGCAGGGCACCTAATGCATCTGCTACATAGGGCTTCGATGTCTGTCTTACAGATCTGCATCTCTCTCCTTGATCTTTCTATAAGCACCTGAGTGTCCCACAGAAAGACCACAAATTCCAAGTGTCCCTAATTGAACTCATCTTTTCCTTGTAACCTGTTCCTCTTCCTATATTTCCAATCTTAGTGCATGGTACCACCGTCTATTTATCCAAGACAGAACCCACTAAGTCAGCCTAAACTCTTTTCCCTTGTTCTCTAGATCTAATTGGTGACCAAGTCCCATCAATTTCATACCATTATGTTTCTTGTATGGTATCTCTTTTCTTCTTTTCCACTGTCTCCTAGTTCAGGCCTTAAATAGCCCTCACCTGGTCCACTGAAATGATGTTCTAAGGTTTCCTACCTCAAATATTCTCTTCTGTTAATTTTAAGAATTGATACATGTGGTGATAGCTGTCTCCCCTCTGCTACCTGATAAGTACTTCCAATATTCATTCACTTCAAGTTTCTCCTCTGTAAGACCTTCCCTGTCCACTCCAGGTCATATGGGAATCATTATTCCTTTCTTTGTGCTCCTGGCATGTTCCTTCATAGCACCTGTGACACTGTATTGCGCAACTATTTATCTTACTAAACCACATGCTTCTGGAGCGCCGAAGCCATAGTTAATTTATCCATATATCCATTGCAGAGTGCCTTGAACAGTATTAATGCTCCACTGACATGGTTGAGTGTTAGAGGTTTGGGAATCATTGCATAGGGTAGAGAATGAAACTATGGGAAGGGATGAAATTTCCCTTAGGGAAGTCCAGGAGCAGGAATTACATTTGTTGAGATCCTACTCCGCTGAAGGAAGCGGGACTTTAGGTTTGGCCCCAGAGACTCTGCACTTTCCACTAATTACATACAGACTGAAGAAGGTCCGTTCTATTTGGCAATTACAAGTTAGTTTGTTAATTCTGATGAGAGAAGTCAGGAGAAGATTGAGGGCCAAAGCCAGACTGCAGTGAATTGATGGGGTAATTTTTAGATGAGAAGAGGACATAGAGAGTACGCTGGTGATTTTCAGATTTTCAGATATCAATAACCCATAAATTTGTTTAAAAATGGAGACTAAGCAAGTTGCCAACTTCTTGTTTTACCAATTAAGAACACTGAAGCAAAGCAACACTTCAGCATCACTAATCATTAGGGAAATGCAAATCAAAACCACAGTGAGATATCTCCTCACATTCATAAGGATAGCTACTGTGAAAAAAAGACAGAAAACAACAGGTGTTAGCAAAGATGTAGGGAGATTGAAACTCTTAGGCACTGTTGGTGGGAATGTGAAATGGTGCAGCTGCTATGGTGATTCCTCAAAAAATTCAAAGTAAGGTTACCATATGATTCGGCAATTCTACTTCTGGGTGTATATCTAAAAGAATCGAAGGCAGGGTCTTGAAGAGATATTTATACACAAATCTCCATAGAAGCATTATTAGGAATAGCCAAAAGGTGGAAGCAACCCAAGTGTCCATCAACAGATGGGTGGATAAGCAAAATGTGGTATACACATAAAACAGAATATTATTCAGCCTTAAAAAGGAAGGAAATTCTGAGACATGCTATACCATGGGTGAACCTTCAAGACATTATGTTAAGTGAAATAAGACAGTTTCAGAAAGACAAATACTGTATAATTCCACTTATGTGAGGTATGTCCTTAGAATAGTCAAATTCACAGAGACAGAAAGAAGAATGGTGGTTGCTAGAGGCTGGGGGGAAGAGAGAATGTAGAGGTATTGTTTAATGGGTGCAGTTTCAGTTTTGCAACATGAAAATAATTCTAGAGGTGGATTGTAGTGATGGTTGCAGAAAAATGTAAATGTGTTTAATGAACTGAATGTATTTAATGTTAAGATGGCAAATTTTATGTTGTATGTATTTTACCACAATGAAACAACAAGAGAGCAAGACAATAAAAGACAAACCCAAGAACCTACAACTGATTATTCCCAAATATGGAGGAAGAATGTAAGATCAAAGATCAGACTTTGATTAAATATAATTGCCTTATTAACAACATTTTAAAAAATGTTCTCCTTTTGCAACAAACTGAGCAAGCATAATCATGGACAGGCATTAATATGGAACTGGCATTTGGGAACTAATGGTGTAGATTACATTAAAAAATGGAAGTGAAGGGAAAGAGTAATAATTAAAGGAGATATCAGGGTCAAGGGAAGATCATTGTCTGCTTGTCGTTAGCCTACTGGTTAGGCTGTACATTACATACTGTAATGAATCAAATATTTCTCCATATTTGTGGCAGGCACTAGGTTTTATAATCATAAGGTATGTGTTTTTAGACACAACATTTTTCAAGAACTTACTATACTACCAGGTGCCTGCCATTTAAGGATTATATTATCATAATTTTTTTACACCTGCAAAGGATATGCTAAAGATGTGTGCATGTGTGTACTATAAAATAATAGTATTCTGTAGCTATCTGCATAATTGAATAAAGATTAACATGTAATTGTAGCACACAGAGAAGTTTTATAATTAGGCTATTGTCTATCCACTTTACCAGGTTTCCCTCATATTTTCAGTCTCTAAAAATCACGAATAGGCCAGGCACAGTGGCTCACACCTATAATCCCAGCACTTTGGGAGGCCGAGACAGAGGATCATCTGAGGTCAGGAGTTCGAGACCAGCCTGACCAACATGGAGAAACCCCATCTCTACTAAAAATACAAAATTAGCTGGGTGTGGTGGCGCATGCCTGTAATCCTAGCTACTCGGGAGGCTGAGGCAGAAGAATCGCTGGAACCTGGGAGGCGGAGGTTGTGGTGAGCTGAGATTGTGCCATTGTACTCCAGCCTGGGCAACAAGAGCGAAACTCCGTCTCAAAAAAAAAAAAAAAATCCTGAATAATAATTGTTACTGCATTCTTTATCTATGGCTCAATCTTTTTTTTTTTTTTGAGATGGAGTCTCGCTCTGTAGCCCAGGCTAGAATGCAGTGGCACGATCTTCGCTCACTACAGCCTCCGTCTCCCAGGTTCAAATGATTCTCCTGCCTCAGCCTCCTGAGTAGATGGGATTATAGGCATGCGCCATTACACCCGGCTAATTTTTATATTTTTGGAAGAGACGGGGGTCTCACCATTTTAGCCACGCTGGTCTTGAACTCCTGACCTCAAATGATCCGCCTGCCTCGGTCTCCCAAAGTTCTGGGATTACAGGTGTAAGCCACCATGCCTGGCCTATGGCTTTGTCTTTAATGTCATTTATTTCCTGTCTGAGACATTAGTTTGTTTCTCTAATTGATGGTCATTTTCTCTAATCAAAGAATAGAATCAAGAGAAGACCATTTTGCCTCAGAGTGGAATGAAGATGTACAGTTCTCTTATGGCCCCTCCTTTTTGCTTATGAAATTTCCTTTTGGTCCCCTTTCTAAAATTACTACTGTGCTTCTTCCTGATTGTAATACAGATCTAACACTGTTAGAAGGAAATTTTTTGGAGGACGAAACAAAGATATTATAAAAGGCAATTAATCTCTTTTCCTTTCTCACAGAGCTGTAAATTCAAACTTTAGTGTTCTGCATAATAGGTATGTGATTTACTGAGGGAAGACCATAAAAGATCAAGGTTTGGGCAGTAACAGAAGGGGATTAGTCTTACTAAAATTCTATGCTAAGTAATTTAATCTTCTTTTTTAGGGAAATTTAGATATACTCTTGGCCTGGTGCTACTAATCATGAGCTCTGTTGAAATGCTTTCCCAAACATTAAAATTGAGGATGGATTAGTTCATCTAATTTACTATAATCTGAACAATAGCATATATGTGAACCGTAGTGTTGAAAGGATTTTTTATGATCACAATCTGTACTAAGTATTACTAAAACATTCAAAATACTTTGTGAATGTTTTCACGTATAAAAATAAAACGAACAGCATAAATTCATTCTAAATTTAAGCAAAAGTTAGATATTTATAGGAGCATATGTAGTTTTAGGGCCGAATTTGAGTTATGGTGTTACGTTGCAACTTTCTACTGTTATTATTGTTAATAGCTATGTGTGGCATAGCCAACTTGTTTTTTAAATAACTGTTGCTATTTTCTGTGAATGTGTCATTTTTATTTGCTTAATTAATGTTCTATTTTGGACCCTGTGGAAAGAGGTTTTAGAGCCTTTCTTCCTCTTACTTGACACTGATGGGCCTAAGCTGAGTCTTAAAAGCAAACTTTTTCGTGTTGTTTGTTTGGTAAGACTTGAAAATTACTCTTAGAATGACTGTTCTTTCATGAAAAGCCAGAAAGAGACTAATTAACAAGCACAATTAACATTATAAGATTGAGAGAAAGGATGCTTTTTCAGTTGTCTGATAACAGTCTGTGTAGCCTGATCAGTAGGAAAATATCACAATTTCATATCTTTAAAACATGGATAAGTAGAATATAACACTGCAGAAAATCCACAAATGACCCCAGAGCAAAAGACAACTGAGTGGCTTCGTCTTGACTTTAGGTTATATTAGTTTACATTTTGGCATTTAATTTTTTTGAAAAAAATTTCCCTTTCCCCCTTCTACTAATAGATATGATATTAGATATATGATTAAAGGAGACAAAAATACAAAAATGAATATTGTACTTAAAATCTAGAGATAAAATACTTTCAATGGTATCTGATTTTAACTTCAGTAAAAGCTTTCCTCAGCTTATTGAAAGTTAGATTTTAATAGCTACTTAAATTTTCTCCTCTGAAACTATAAAAGCCTGTAGGGTAGAGTAAAAGTACACTGCCTGCAAATGAATCAGCTTTGCATGGCTTTGAACAGATGACTTAACCTTGTACCTTAACTTTTTTATCATTAACAATGAGGATAATAACAATAATAATATCTCTCATCATACTTATTTATAGAATTAGGTCTTAAAAACACATTATTGACACACTTAACATCTCTGATCATATTTTTAACCTACACCATAAAAATTTAGTAACTCTGAATGAAAAATTCTTGAACTAACAGCTTTTTACCTTTCATGTTCTATCATTAATATGTTGCAGAAGGCCGGGTGCGGTGGCTCATACCTGTAATTTCAGCACTTTGGGAGGCCAAGGTGGGTGGATTGCTTGAAGTTAGGAGATCGAGATCAGCCTGGCTAACATGGTGAAACCCTGTCTCTACTAAAAATACAAAAATTAGCTTGGTGTGGTGTTGCACGCACACCTGTAGTCCCAGCTGCTCAAGAGGCTAATGTGTGAGAATCACTTGAATCCTGGAGGCGGAGGTTGCGCTGAGCCAAGATCGTGCAGCAGTCTGGGTGCTGGGTGTAGCACTATGCTACAGCCTGGGTGACAGAGCAAGAAACTGTCTCAAAAAAAAAAAAATATATATATATATGAAATTGGTGCTTTATCTTATCTGATCCCACAAGATGGAAAAATTAAACATAGATGAAATTTTTTGAATAAAATGTCAACATGTATGCCTCTATAAATATACAGACTTAAACATTATATGCATGGATGCTTCCTGTAACGATCAGTTGTTTGTAACTTCACATCATAGGCAGTTTAGGTACTGTGTAGATCAGTGCTGTCTATTCTGTGAGCTGTAAAGAATGAATTTTGTGTGTGAGTCTTTGTCTTTTGCTGGGCTAGGTGCCAGAGCTCCGGCATTGGAAGGTGGTTGACTTGCAGATTGGTGAGAAGAATTTACTGACAACAGTATAGGTTTGAAAAGGAAAGTTTTACTAGATAGAAAGAAAGCTGCAAAAGAATGCAGCAGGGCACCTCAGCAAGGGAGGAATTGTGGTGGATTTTCCCTTAGGCGTGTTTATGAACCTTAAAGCGGGAGTTTAATGGTAATTTGGACCCTATTAGCCACATAGGTCATGATAAATGGTTAAATTTGTAGGCATTTTGGTGCCTTGATGTCAGCAAGTGTTGCACAATGAGTTTCAACATACATACATTCTGCAGATGTATGGAAATTCTAGTTACTTATAAATTTTTGAGAAAGAAGCCTGGAACCAGATGCCCGCTTTAGATAACAGGGAAGTCTAATTACTTCTAAATTCCTCAGACGAGGAGTTTTTTCCTCTGGATGGCTGGCTTGACGGTCACCAGGTGACCTCCACTCTCTTCATCTTTGATTCTACTTCTCATCTCCTTGAGTGCACTGAAATTTCTTACTAGAGATTCATTTCTTTGGACCTTGAACACTTTTGGTTTTCAGAGCTCTCAGAGAAAAACTGATCAAAAGTATGATAAATTATTAAATGGATAAAAGGAATTTTGTTTGAGGGGCATAATTAGTGTTTGTGAAAGGAATCAGGGTTTATGGGGACTGTTCCTCTGTCCTTCTTCGAGAGGACAGCGCATGTTATTTAATAGGACTGGGAAGTGAGAAGGCCAGAAAACCAAAGAAGAGGAACGTTTTTTTTCTCCTAGCTTTTATTGCCACCTTCACCCGACCTCTGATCTGGTGAAAGAAGTTGGGAATATTTACAGGAAATCTGGATTCCTGAGATTTCTAAGGAACACTAAAAATCTGACACTGGACTGCAGAGGCAAATATTTTAATTTTTCACTCTGCTATCGAAAGAGGTGGCGGACAGATTCAAACAAGAATATAATGTAGGACTCTTTACATTCTGTGACTATTAAAGGAACAAAAGGCAGGGTGCTTCAGTACTAGACTTGCATGGGGCCAGAAAGTTGGGGGGTTTGAATTTAAGCTGCCTACTTCATAATTTGTCTAAGGCTGGGCCACTTTCCCAATCTTTTTTGCTATTATCCTCAGGGCCTTATGAAATAACTACAATGCAACATGACTATTAATGTTATAGTTAATCTGATTATATGATTTTTGCTGATGTATTTCTCAAAGTGTGTGACTTCATGCAATGATTCTCAGCCGTGGCTGCACGTTAGAATCACCTGGGGAGCTTTTAAGCGATCTGACGCCCAGACCACACACCAGGCTAATCATATCAGAATCTCTGGGGGTGGAAGTCAGACATCACCATTTTCTAAAAAAGGCTTTCTAGATAATTTCCATGTGTAGCTACAGTTGTAAGCATTGGTTTAATGTATTATCATCTGTCTCTCTCAAGTAGAATGGTTTTAACATAGTGATTCTCTAATGTTTTGGTCTCAGAACTCCTTGCATTAGTAACAGTAATTGAGGACCACAAATAGCTTTCATTTATGTGGACCATGTCTATCAATATTTATTGTATTGAAAATTAGAACAGGCATTTTACAAATACTTAATTATGGATTTATTTTAAAAGAATAAAGTCATTGCATCTAAAGACACATGTTTTATGAAAAAATACATTTTCCAAAGTAAAAAGAGTTTAGTGAGAAGATTGGCATTTAAAAAAATCTCTTTAATTTCTGACTTTTTAGATGACAACTGGATTCCCATATTTGCTTATGCATTCCACCTGTTGTGATATATTATTTTGGCTGAAGTACATGAAGAAAATTTGACCCCACACGGACATGTAGTAGGAAAAAGGAAGAGTATTTTAATAGCCTCTTCAGATAACTGTGGATAATCTCCTTCATTATTAAATCAAAACATAACAAATGATAGTGTCATAAAAGGTACAACTTAAAATCTGCTTCTAAATACATGTTTTTATTCCATTACATTAAAATCCACTGGGTGTCTCTTATACTTTGAGTGGAACTTTTCTTTGTGACTTTGTAACATGATGAATTGAACATTTGGAAAATATTGCTTCACTGAGTTATGCAGATATTCCAAATGTTGAGCATTTCATTATATATAATAAATAATCACATTTGTTAAAATCACCAATTTTGTCATAAAAGTTGTTGCATATCAGGAAACTATCAAGCTTATGGTAGCAGATACAAGTTATCCAAAATTCCAATTTTTACTGCAAAGATCCAGTTTTATCACTGGCAACAAACAGTGTCAGTTATTTTCCTTCAAGGGATAGGCGCACTTTATTCATCTTCAAATGTCTGCCAAATATCCAAGTCTGAATAATCATAATTTATCAGTCATTGTTCTTTCAATTAAATTGGAATTTCATGAAAAAAGTAGCAAGTTCACTATGCTTCTCTCTCTCTCTCTTTTTCTTTTTTTGAGACTGTCTCTCTCTGTCACACAGGCTGGAGTGCAGTGGTGTGATCTCTGCTCACTGCAAACTCTGTTTCCCAGGTTCAAGTGATTCTCCTTCCTCAGTCTCTGGAGTAGCTGTGACTACAGGCACCTGCCACCATTCCCAGCTAATTTTTGTATTTTTAGTAGAGATGGGGGTTTTATCCTGTTGGCCAGGCTGGTCTTGAACTCCTAACCTCAAGTGATCCACCTGCTTTGTCCTCCCAAAATGTTGGGATTACAGATGTGAGCCACTGCGGCCCACTATACTTCTGAAACAACGGTACAAATGCTTTTCTTTGAGACAATTGCCCTTTGGTGTGCAGCAGAAGTGTTTGATTTCTACGTCTTATTTTCCCATGTGAGTATAAAGAGCTGCATACTCTCAATTTGTGCTTCCAGTTAAGATGGAACTGGATTTGTCATCCCACCTAAAATATATTAAAAATGACATTCACAATGGATTGGATAAAGAAAACGTCACACACACACACACACACACACACACACACACGCACACACACACACACACCCTGGAATACTACCAGCAATTAAAAATAACAAAATTTTGTCTTTTGTAACAACATGGATGGAACTGGAGGCCATTATCTTTAGTGAAACAGCTCAACTAGCACATGTTCTCACTTATAAGTGGAAGCTAAATAATGTGTACACAATGACATGAAGAGCTGAATAATAGACATTGGAGACTTGGAAGGGTGGGAGGGTAGGAGGGATGAGAAATTACCTGATGGGTAAATGTATACTATGTTTTCAGGTGATGCTTACACTAAAAGCCCAGACTTGTCCACTATGCAGTATATCCATGTACCAAAACTGCTCCTGTACTCTCTAAGTGTATAAAAATTTTTAAAATGATGCTTAAATATTGGAAAAGAGGTATCACAGGAAAGTGGTGAGAAAAGGGAAAATGAAATGAGATGAGCCTGATGTTTTCTCCAGCTTACTGCTTTGAGAGTTTCCAGGATGCAGTGCAGGTAGGAGGAGTCCACACAGAGCTGGTGGTCTCCATGAGATGAAAACGCAGACGTGAGGAGCTCTCTCTCCTCCTGTACTCTGTCCTGCTAGATTTAAAATCTAGCTTCATGGAGAGACAGCTTCAGAAGGCAGTAAAACAACAATTTTATTACTTCATCAATGACATTCTTAAGTGAAACTGGCTCTTTTTCTTTTCTTTTATCGTCCTCTTCTTTTTTTTTTTCTTTATGCGTGGCAGTGAAAAATACTAAGATGGCTGGGTATGGTGGCTTACGTCTGCAATCCCAGCACTTTGGGAGGCCGAGGCAGGTAGATCACCTGAGGTCAGGAGTTCGAGACCAGTCTGACCAACATGGTGAAACCCTGTCTCTACTAAAAATACAAAAATTAGCAGGGTATGGTGGTGCATGCCTGTAATCCCATCTCCTCAGGAGGCTGAGATAGGAGAATCGCTTGAACCTGGGAGGCAGAGGTTGTAGTGAGCCGAGATGGCACCATGGCACTCTAGCCTGGGAAATAAGAGTGAAACTCCTTCCAAAAAGAAAGAAAGAAAGAAAAACACAATGACTACAAGTATAGATTTTCCTCCTCAATAGTACAGTTTTGTGTCCTGTATTGACAGTTGCTAAGGTGCCAGCATTTTTACCCATCATTGCTTTTGCAACATCAGTGCAAAGTCTATACAGTAGAAAAAATGAATCTTGTTTTGGTATTATTATAAAAGTTGATTTGACTTTGGAGACAGCCAAGAGGGTCTTGGGGAATCCCCAGTATCCATGGACCACACTTTTGAAAACTATTGTTTTAATAGAACCTTCTGGTCATTACTACTTTGATCTAATGGCGCCACTTTAAAGGTGGGACTGGGTGTAGGAACATCCTGCCATGGCAGCTTCATGGAGAAGATCTGTTTTGGCAATTGGGTCCTTCATTTCCTTCACATCACAGTATGGAATCTATACTATAATGGAGGTAAAAATTTCTCCACTTGAGAACAGTGTTATCACTGTATATACAACACATTTTTTCCATGATGAAAAACAGGGTCTGAAACTTTAATTAAAATGGAAAAGTCATTAGTTATCTTCCATGGGAAGAGTTTGAAGAAAGGAAAAGTTGAAGTAGGGCAAAAATAGCAGATATAAGGTATTTCTAAACGTTTCCCAAATGAAGGAAGAGAGAAAAGAATGAGCGAAGGAAAGGAAAAGGGTATTTAGTGTGTAAGACACTAGAAAAGATATGCATAAGGAATGAAGTGATACATACATAGTGGTGTTGGATTTGTAGATTCTTGGAAAGTTGGCAGAAAAGCTTACATGTAAAAAAAAAACCAATGTATTGAAATCAGTCTCACTAGCTATGTGGAATGTTTTAGATTTGTACCAGATACAATACGTTTGTGGTGGATACAGGAGATGCGCTGCCCAGATCTGCCCCCAGGGAAGGACCCTGCTCCAGCTGTTGGAGGCCGGCTGGCCCACAGCCTCTAGCAGTCAAGCTCTTTTGGCTGGAAAGCCGCTTGCAGGAAATCACTCCATGGAGGTGCAGAGATAAGGCCCCAGACATTTTGGCCCAGTATGGGACAACTTTGACCGTCTTTTTCAGCTTCAGGACTCCCATGGAGTTGGGTGAGGTTGTTGGGCCCGCTTTGCTGCTAACTTCTCCCTCTGTTCTCTCCTGTTCCCCTTCTTCCTCCCACAGGGGTTTGTCCCAAGGGCACTCCCTAATACACATCCTGCATGTTAAACTCTTGTCTCAGAGTCTGCTTCCTGTAGATACCAAACTGTAAGAACATCTTATTGACTTAAATATAACCAAAATTGGAGAAACTTAGGAAACAAAATCATCATTACGTTATGTGCTGACATTTTAGCTTATTTCTATATTTCTTGTTTTGAATTGCTCATACTTAGCATGATAGTACCTCTCACATTTTGTTTCATTTAGGTTTGCTATTTCCACGTTCTCTTTCTTATAGGAACCATATTGTGAAAAGACATAAAGGTAATAGGGTAAAAAAAAGCAAATAGGCTCTTTATTACCCAGCCACTCAGGAAATGCACTATTTCAAGGTTGACCCAGGCAGCAAGAGAGGAGCTGTATTGGGGAATGTGACAGTGGTTTAGTTCTGAAACTGGAGCCAGTAGAAAGTTCTGAAGGGGGTCCGATGATCAGAACTGTCTGTGGGTTTAATAAAGGTGTATTTAATTTTATTTAAGCCTGGAGATTTAAATTGTCACTCAAAACTCTCAGACATGAATAGGGTTAGCAAATCTGTACACCAGGAAAGGAGTTATTTACATCCTGTCTTCTCCTACAGCTCCAGAGGAGGGCAGAACAGTGTATTTCCAGGCAAGCCCTCTCTTTAAAAACTCATAGCCAAGGCTGGGAAGACAGAGTGAGTGGGTGGGCCTTCTGGCAGCTTCCTTACCTTCAAATCTTTGCTCTCTGTGAAATGGTTCTGCTTCAGTATCCTTGTTCTGATTTTTCTGGGAACTAGATGTTACTGGGAGATGACTCAGAGCAGGCCAAGCCCTGATCCTCACTGTGGAAGCAAAAGAGGCTGGTGAAAGTCACTGTCCTGACAACTTGGACCAGAAACCTACAGACAAAACTGAAATGTTTTCCTGCCCTAGGATTATCTGGATAACAATGACCTTTGATGTTACAAAGTAAATAGAATTGTGTTTGGCTTTTCCTTTTGGGGCCATGCCTTGGAGAAGATGACTCCTTCAGAGCCGCTGTGAATATTGTAGATCTCATTATTTCAGATAATTACTTTGACCATCCTTTTCAATTTGAGAGTATGATGTGAGGCAAGGCAACTATTTGTGAGAAAAAAGAGAAAAGGCAAAGATCCACTGTCATACTTTTGCTTGTGGGTTCCAGTCCAGGCTTTCTATGGGGGGTGGGGGGGTGTCTCAGTCTCCCCGTCTGTAAAATGGGATTAGTGGATTAAATCCGGGAAGGTTGGACAAGCACCTAGGACGGTGCCTGGTGCCGTGTTCAGCAGACGTCGATTCCCTGTCCACCCCTTCTTTAGGAGCTGTGGGAAACACTTCATAACTCCCCAGGGTCTGGTGAACCCTTCCTCCCTTTTCTGTTCCCTGTTTTGGCATTGGAGATCATAAAAAGGCTCTTCCATGTCTCTTGCTTCCTTCCTTTCATCTTCTCCAAGAGAAGGAAGTGGCCGCCTTTGTTAGCTTGGGTTCAGAAGCTTGTGTCTGTCACCCAGGGCCGCCCAGCCCCGGGGTTTGCGAAGGTCCGGGGTAGGAGGGCTGCAGCCTGCGCGACGCGGCGGGAGGCTACCCGGGGGCGATGGGAAGGCGGGCGCAGTCGACCCAAGGGTGGAGAAGAGGGAAGGCGAAGGACGCGCGTTCCCGGGCTCGTGACCGCCAGCGGCCCGGGGAACCCGCTCCCAGACAGACTCGGAGAGATGGCAGGCGGAAGACACCGGCGCGTCGTGGGCACCCTCCACCTGCTGCTGCTGGTGGCCGCCCTGCCCTGGGCATCCAGGGGGGTCAGTCCGAGTGCCTCAGCCTGGCCAGAGGAGAAGGTGAGGGGCTGTTTCTGCGTAGTTGTACTTGAGCGGCTCTGGTCCGATGCGAGGACCCCTGGCCGGGTCAGCCCTACCTAGGCAGAGCGGGAGGCGGGGCAGGGCCACGGTCCCCAGCCCAGGCACCGGCGCCCCACCCGGCGCCCGGAGGAGTCGGGGCTCTGCATACTCGCCGGGGTGCCTCGGCCAGTCCGGGGCTGTTCTGGAGACGCCAGGGGGGCTGGGTGATGTCACTGGCCTCTCCTGGGCTGCGGTCTGATGGGGGTGCTGATAGGCACAGGAAATGTGTCTCGCCGGCGGCTGCTGAGCCGGGAGGCGAGGGCGCATCGCGGCGCCACCCCCCACTCGGGACCCTGGAGGGCAACGGGGCCGGCGCTCCGGGGCCGCTAGGGTGCGGGGTGCGCCTGGGGGTGTGCCCACAGCCCCCCCGCTGCTTCATCCAAGGATGCTGCTGGGGCGCTGAAGTGTCCCTACAGTCTCAGGACGGATGTGTGTTGTTTGTTTTAGATTTTTAAAAGGAGCAACTCGGCAGGAAGGACCTTTACTGGAGACCTGCTTACTTCAAAAGCCTTTTTCCTCCACTTAAAAGAGGGTACCTGCTATTTTCAGAGAAAATGGATCTAGTTGTAGGTAGAAA
This sequence comes from Homo sapiens, assembly GCF_000001405.40. NCBI lineage: Eukaryota > Metazoa > Chordata > Mammalia > Primates > Hominidae > Homo > Homo sapiens. The sequence goes on from NC_000002.12 coordinate 37,345,489, forward strand.
TCGCATATAAGGAACTTAGGATAAAAGTGATTTGCAAGTTCCCTCTGTAAGAAGTGTATGGGTTCGGCCGGGCGGGGTGGCTCACGCCTGTAATCCCAGCACTTTGGGAGGCCGAGGCGGGTGGATCACGAGGTCAGGAGATCGAGACCATCAGGGCTAACATGGTGAAACCCTGTCTCTACTAAAAAATACAAAAAATCAGCCGGGCGTGGTGGCACGCACCTGTAATCCCAGCTACTCGGGAGGCTGAGGCAGGAGAATGGCGTGAACCCGGGGGGCGGAGCTTGCAGTAAGCCGAGATCGCGCCACTGCGCTCCAACCTGGGCGACACAGCGAGACTCCGTCTCAAAAAAAAAAAAAAAAAAAAGAAGTATATGGGTTCACAATTACATGGGTTCACAATTACTTCCTTTTCTTGTGTAACAGTTTTGAAATCATGAAATTGCTAAGGGATTGTGCAAATATTAATGATGTCAGCATAAAATAGTATGTTATAGAGATATTAAGAAAAGCAGCAAAGTGAAGCGATATAAACTTTGGCAGTGTTATTGAGCAGACCTTTTACACACTTAGAGTATGCCTGTATTTACTCAAATGTTTGAAATACAGGGCACGCTGGTAAATGCCCACTCCCACCCAGCTACATGCATATATATATGAATAGCCCATTTCAATTCTTCGGATCTAATGTAATCACCACTCAGGGGTCACAGCAGGCCCCACTTACACATGGAGACCACAGGCCACAGGGAACCTGGTGGTAGTGAGGGAAGTCTGTAACATAAGAATAACTTTATTTTAAGGAAAACAACTTCCCATGGGGGCCCATGAAGAAGAACGTGGAATGACACACAAAAAATCCTCTCCTTCTCTTCACTGAGAATACCCTTCTGGTCAGAAATTGGGAAGAGAACATTACAGACTGGAATATGGAGCCACACCAAATGTATCTTTGTGATACATCTAAATGGAAGGGAATAAATGAGATGGAAACTGAACAAACCACTCTGAAAAGATCATTTGTAGGTGTGTGTAGGCAGGGGGTATTTATGGGTGGGAAAAGGTGCTGTGATTCTTAAAATATTTTAAACCAATGAGAATTTAACTTTTGAGAAACGTCTTTTAAAGCATGAATCCCTTTTATATTTATTTTAAGAAGCTTCTGATCACTGTTCCATTGAGAAACTGAATGTTTTCAAATCATTAAAAGCAAATGACAATCAGCCATCACATTTCCCAGTTTCTAGCTTCCTCCCCTTATTCTGTAGACCTTCATAAAGTCTTGCAGCCTGGGTGATGAATCGGTCCACACTAAAATATGTGCCTTCCTACTTTTTATGGTGTTCGACTATTTTAATCATATGATGTATGTCTTTGGTACACTGGTCTGCTAACAGGTGAGGTGTGGTAAAGAAAGCATTGATTTTGAAATCCATTTCCTTCGTTTTGAAATAAAGATGTTTCTCTTTCAGTGGCTTTGAATATGTAAAAGCAGATCAACTGTAGTTTATGGTGGCATTCAGAGGCCATGATTTGATTATGTATTTGAAACCTGGAAACAATTTTTCCATAGTAACAATATTATAAATTGTTAAACTCCCAGGTGGGCACACACCTGTGTATTTAGAGGCATTGGCATCTGGGTATGGGGTGTTTTATATATATATATATATATAACATATATATATATAACATATATATATAACATATATATATAACATATATATAACATATATATATAACATATATATATATATAACATATATATATATACATCCACCTCACTTGAACTTCACAGCAAGCCCCATGAGGAAGGTACATTCATCCTCAATTTATGGTTGAGGAAACTTGACAACTATTGCACTAGTGAACTGAAGAGCTAGGGTTTGGCTTAAGCCCTGATCTCTCCTTTCTTCTTCTGTGCTTTTCTAATGGTAGATGAGTCCTGGCTGATGTACCCGGAACAGTGCCCAGGTAGTGAAAAAGTGTGGGGCTAGCAGGGAAGTTGGAGGGCCAGATGAAGAGCTTACTCTCTCTTTCTGGGTCAGGGTGGACCCTAAATGGCATTCTAAAACAGGTAGTTTGGTTTTGGTACCTTCTCTTCTGACACCCCCTATTTTCTCCTTTCCTTGATCTCCTTCATGCAGCTTAAAGGTCATCATTAGTCTGGGTGCTAATCCATATTCCAGAGTTACTTCTTCTGAATCTTCCCCAGGCCTTTTGGTCACCAGTCTTATTCCTTTAGTACAGGCCCATTCCTTTAGTACAACATTGTCAACTAGCTATTAAACAGAATCTCATTAAATCATTCTTCCTTAGGTGCGAATGACTGATGGCTTTTGAGGGCTTTATATGCTCTTTAAAAATATTAGTTTCGATAAACTAAAAAGTCTGCCTTCTATTGAAGTCTTCTAATTATAAAGTTGACATGTGCTCATTTTAGAAAACTTGGAAAATACAGAAAAATACACTAAAAAGAAAACTAATGTCACCCATAACCCCACTATTCAGAGATAATGGCTATTAACCATTTTGGTGTTTTTATTTCTATCTCTCTCTCTCTGCGCGCGCACGCGTGTGTGTGTGTGTGTGTGTGTGTGTTATTGTTGTTGTTGCATTCTAATGGAAGCAACGACGGAGACTCTCAGGCAGTGACGTGGAAGTTAGTTGGGGGCTGGGTGTTGGTAGGGACAGAAAGACAAAATGTCATTTTGGAGCCTTACCATCTAGTTGGTAAGTATCATGAGATCCATTTTACAGATATGGACTCTTTCCTAGTCACAGCTAATAAGCGAGGGAGCTGAGATTTCACCCTAAGCTGTTGTGGTTAAAGCCCGCACGGCTCTGCTTTTAAGTAGAGGGCTGCTTGCATTTTAGAAAAGACAGATGTTGTCTTGTTCAGTTCCTAACTATTCCCCCACTGAATTTTTTATATCAGTGGCATCCGACACACAGAAGGAGTTCAGTAACTGCTGATTGAGCTGACTTTGCAGACAGACAGAGGTGTTAATCTGAGAATTGCCCGGGAGACATTCATATAGAATAGAAACTGGACTTGCATTGGCTGCATTTCTGTAATGATCTCCCTTTAATTCAGTCTTTTGGAACCTCAAAACCCTTTGCAAGCTGGGCCAACTCTATCAATTATGTAATTAAAACCCTCTTTAAAACCACATGATTAGCCTAGAAGAGATGCTTCAGGATATCTGGTTCACACTTTTGGCTGAAAGATTCTTGCACTCAGAGCAGACTTATTGTCCTTTCTGTCTGGATGAAAAGACAAGGCAGGGGCTGTAACAGAGCCTCATTCCTCTGAGAACACCTGCACCAATAGAAAATTGTCTAAGTGTCTTTTAACTGAGATAAACCTACAATAAATTGGGGTTTGCATTTACCATTGGGCTCAACTTTGTTTTTGCCTGAGTTACTTTCCCCCTGCTGAGCTCGCTCTTTCTTTCCAGCTTTTTCCTCTTACTCATTCATCTCATCTCCACCTAAATTTGTATATCTATTGAGTTCTGAGAATAAGACCCCTCAAACATTGAATGCATGCTATTTAGGTTGGGAAAGTCAAATGCTTTTCCACACAGGGCTTTAATGAATAGAAGGCTTAAGTAGTTGACTGAGTGTAGTTGGTTGTTTCCTCTTCTCTGTCCTTCAGTTACTGGGAAGCTTTTAGCTCTGGGATTTTACAGGGGCATCTTTGCCCCCAGAGGGGCAAGGAGAGTCAGGGCTCTTTACTGAAGTATGTTAATTAAATGGTTGAGCCCAGGAGGTTGAGGAGCAAACACATGTAAGTCTCTAGATTCATAAGCATCAATAGGCCTGGCCTGTCTGCTGGATTTACCCTTTAGTCATCCATTAAGCATTTTTTGGTGCTATTTGCCAATTAGGTTTCATCTGCAGTATCTCTTGTAGTTAAAGATGCTTGGGGGAGGGGGCATTTATTTTGTTCCTGTTTTTTCTTAAATGTCTTAAGAGCTCTTTCAAGCCTCTAGAAACCAGCCATTTAAACACAAGTGATTTCGTTTCACTCTGGACATGGAGTGAAAGCTTCTATCCACAGTGACCAGATGGGCTTTGGGATAGAGTATTGGACAGTAAGCAGACAAGGAGCCACTGGTAAACAGCTTTTGACACAACAGTTTTGGTTGTCATAGTGACTGCTTGGGTCAACCCAGCTCTTCATCGTCAGAAGCATCGAATGTCAGAAATTCAAAAAGAGCAAAGCCCAATAACATTGAACCACAGCACTTCCTGGCCATTGCAGCAGGTAGCCACCTGTCTCTTCTGTCTTTATGCTTGCTTGTGCATTCAGCTGATTTATTATTTACAGTGGCAGAAAAATGCCCATGTTACTTTATTATTATATAAATACAGTCTTAGCAAAGATAATTTTAGAAAGATAGTTCATCTGTTGATTGCTTTTTTGATTAATTTCCCCAATATTTATCAAATGCTCAAGATGAACCAGGCCCTGTGTGGCCTGTGTGGGAGAGAGAGGTAAACAACAGAGAGAGAGGGAGTTCCAGCCCTTATGGAGCTGATGTCTTGTATGAAAGACAGACATTAAACAAGTAAACACACAAAGAAGTGGCCTCCAAGCTGCAAGCTGAAGTGAGCAGGAGTTAGCCAGGTGAAGAGGAGGGGAAACAGCTTGTAAGGCAGAAAGCACCGCAGATGCCAAAGCCTCATGGGGGCAGAACCTCAGAGCATTTGGGGCCTGGCCAAATGCCAGAGTGACCGAAGCATGGTGAGCAAGGGTGAGGGGGGAGACCAGACAGGCTTCTGTTGGCAGGGTTGAGTAATAATTAACCATGGAAGTCTTCTGACCTCTTGCCTCCATATTCTTCTTATCCCTTCGCACATTTCTATTGCTTTGTCTTTCAGCTTCAGCTTTCTTTTCCAACTGTTGTTTGGGAGCTGGCATGAGGACTTAGATCCTGGAGGTACCAAGGGATTTAAAGCCTGCACTGACAAGTTTATCAAGGAAATATATTTAAAAATGTCCTACCAATAAACAAAGACAAATCTTCTGATGTTCAGGCACAGCACCAATATTCAGGAATAAACTGGAAGTGCATAAATGAGACAGTGAGGCAGAGTAAAACTAGCATGGGATTGGAAATCCCCAGACAGCGGATCTTTTTGTGGATTTACCTGTAACTCTCCTTCAACCTCAGGAAGTCAGCTGGTTTCTATGAATCTCAGTTTCCACTAATATAAATGAAGGAGGTTGGAGACTAGAGCATCTCTAAGTGGCTTTTCCAACTTTAAAATTCATTCTATGGCTCTTTAGTGTTTGATAGAAGGAAATAGTAACTAACACATTGAATATTTACTATGGCAGTTTACATATGTTAGTTCACTTAATTCTATTTACCCTAGGATTCAGGTATTACTACCTCTGTTTTACAGATGAGGAAATTGAGCCTTAATGAGGTTTAGTAACCTGGAAAGATTTACAGCTAGTAGGTGGTGGGGTGCTGAGTTGAGAGGCTGAGTTGAGAGGGTCTGTCTGATCCTATAGCCCATGCTCTTTGCATGGTAAGTACTGGAAAGTAAACAGCCATCTCGGAGTATAGATGAGTGTAAATAATTAGGCAATAAGCATTCTTTGAAGTCCAGTTTCACACCAGTCCCATGGAGTCGATCACATGGAATGAAAATAGTTGCATGACTATTTAAGCGTATCCAGCTAACACTGGTCCTGAAAGGAACTATAAAATAGGCCTCTCCTAATTTCTGTTTTGCCTTCCAAATAATTCAATATTCTTATGTCATCCTCATCCTTCCCCTTAGGGAAGAAGTCATCTGATCAATTGTTCTCTTCCTGTTGAGGAGGAGTAACACATTCCATTATTAGGTGCCTGATAAACATGTAATGAATGAATGGTTCATCATTACCAGTATCATAAGAATATACAGTATGTGTGAAGTCATCCAAAATACAAATTTGAATGTTATGTGAACTTTAATGCAATTTAAAAATAATTTTAATTGAAGTTAAAAAGTCTACTATTTAGTTGGCTATAGATTCACCAAGCTCAGGCTGAAAGGAATTGCAACAATCATCTGAGTTGGCACTGTCTAATAGAAATAATGACTCAGGGCTGGGTGCGGTGGCTCATGCCTGTAATCCCAGCACTTTGGGAGGCCGAGGTGGGTGGATCACCTGAGGTTGGGAGTTTGAGACCAGCCTGACCAATATGATGAAACCCCGTCTCTACTAAAAATACAAAAATTAGCTGGGCATGGTGGCATGCACCTGTAATCCCAGCTACTCGGGAGGCTGAGACAGGAGAATTGCTTGAACCCGGGAGGCAGAGGTTGCAGTGAGCCAAGATCATGCCATTGTACTCCAGCCTGGGCAACAAGAGTGAAACTCCATCTAAAATAATAATAATAAAAAAGAAATAATGACTCAGCTACTCAGGAGACTGAGGTGGGAGGATTGCTTGAGCCCGGGAGGTGGAGGTTGCAGTGAGCCAGATTGCACCACTGCACTCCAGCCTGGGTGACAGAGAGAAACCCCAACTTCAAAAAAAAAAAAAAGATTATGAAAGAAACATATGTAATTTTAATTTTTCTAGTAGCTACATTAAAAAAGTGAAAAAGGGGTAAAATTAATTTTAATAATATACTTCATTTAACCTAATATGTCAAAAAATTACCATTTCAACATGTAATCATTATAAAATTTTGAATTAGGCTTGCTATTAAAATCCTATTAAAATTCGAGGACCCCTTAATTTGTGGCTCATCTATAAAGTCTTCCCTGACTACTCTCCCTCTATACTGTGTAAGATTTACTTAGGCTAACAGTTGGGTTTTTTAATTATTTTTAAAATTTTTACTGAGACAGGGTCTCCTTCTGTTGCCCAGCTGGAGGGCTCAGTAACACAGCTCACTGCAACCTTGACCTCCTGGGCTCAAGCAATCCTCCCACCTCAGCCTCCTAAGTAGCTAGAACAACGGGCATGCACCAATGCGTCACCACGCCCATCTAATTTTTTCATTTTTTGTAGAGATAAGGTCTCATTATGTTGCCAGGGCTGGTCTCAAATTCCTGGGCTCAAGCAGTCCTCTTGCCTCAGCCTCCCAAAGTGCTGGGATTACAGGCTTGAGCCACCGTGCCCAGCCCTAACAGCCCAATTTTAAAGTTGAGTAGTTTAATTTACCTCATTTGACATAAAGTTCTCCCTTATTTTGAAGTTTTAAGCAATTAATTGAAAACATGTCAGAGTCTTAAACATGTTATGAAAGGATAGCTAGTTAAATGATTTCATTCAATCCTCAGAATTACCACCAGCCAGCCATTTTGAATTCATCGGCTCTTCGGCAAATTGCAGAAGGCACCAGTATCTCTGAAATGTGGCAAAATGACTTACAGCCATTGCTGATAGAGCGATACCCGGGATCCCCTGGAAGCTATGCTGCTCGTCAGGTGAGAACATGGGACACAAACCTCAAGCTTGTGTGAATACTGTGCTTTCTCATGAGGGATAATGTTATGGCTGAAGTTCTGAGGTGTCTAATATTCAGATCTGTCATCTCCTCATTCACCAAATAGTCAACCAAGAAAAATCAAATGACTGAGAGTACATGTCTGTTCTGAATTAAGTGGTACATGTTAATGTCAATAGTTTATGTGTGAAATCTCTATTTGGGGTACAACATTACACAGTCCTTCACTCTTGACCATTCAATAGCACACCCCGAGGCTCCCAATTAAGTTTTCTTGAATCCTAAACAATGAACAGCAACAGGCTTAGGGAGTCCTTGCTTGAAGGTTCTAAGTCAAGAGTATCATTGTACTGTCAGGCCATCACTCGCCTTAGGGAAATTGTATTTTCCCTGGAGGGAGAGTTAAGGCTGGTGATAAGCTAGCCGCATTTCTCCAGGGCAGTGCTTCTCAAACTTCTGACTCTGACACAAAGTAAAAAAAAAATGAATTTTACATTTTATACACACAAACGTACTGGCATATTTAACTGAAACAAAACTTCCACGAAAAATATTCTTACAGCATTTTACTGCAATATGGTCAGTTCTATTTTATTGGTTCTTAAAAAATGCTGGTCATAACCCACTAAACTGATTTCAAGACCCATTGATTTTACCACTGTTGTGGAGGGTAGAACAAGCTGGGCCAGACCTTGAATGCCTCTTTGCCTCCCTGATGTCAGTCTTCCTAAGCAATCTGAAACCTCACCTCTGAATATCTGTTTTTTTCAAACTAGCCCCATTTTAAGGGGCCGCTTGGGAAGGAATGGGACTGGCCCTTCACATCCTCTTCTGAAACTCCTCAGGCAAAAGACCTTGGCACCCACTGCTGTGCCTAGATTGAGAACTGCAAGGCGCAGGTGCCCAGCTCTTGAGCTCTTCCTTTCGATTTCAGAGTCTCGCTCTGTCACCCAGGCTGGAGTGCAGTGGCGCGATCTCGGTTCCCTGCAACCTCCACCTCCTGGGTTCACACTATTCTCCTGCCTCAGCCTCCCAAGTAGCTGGGACTACAGGCGCACGCCACCATGCCCGGCTAATTTTTGTATTTTTAGTAGAGACAGGGTTTCACCACGTTGGCCAGGATGGTCTCTTATCTCCTGACCTCGTGATCCGCCCGCCTCGGCCTCCCGAAGTGCTGGGATTACAGGCGTGAGCCACCGCGTCCGGCTGAGCTCTTCCTTTCTGCCCAGTGTACAGCCTCTGCCTCTCAGGCTAGCCTAGATATCCATATGTCTGTGTCCCCATTAGCCTTTTGTCTTCCATCTGAATAGCTCTGGCTTCTCCCAAGGAATTAGACGGTAGACACCCTGCAGGCACCTTAGTTCTGTCTAACCTTTAGGCAGAGTGAAGAATAATAGCAATGATGGCTGACTTTCACTGAGCAGTTTTTCTGGGTCAGGCACTTTACTGAGTTCTTTGCATAGATCATCTCATTCAGCCTTCAGAACAGTGTGTGGATGCTATTATTATCTCAATATTAGGAATTTAAAAAGATCTGAGGTTGAGGTATATGAATTAACTTGCTCAAGGTTATACTTGTACCATTGTTGAGGCCAGAATCCACTTGAGATCTCTATCCTGTCACTGGAGAGCTGGGAGGAATCAGCTCTGCTTCGTGCACTCAAATGTCTCCAGCTCTCGATCTTCTCAAGCCCAAGTTGGAGAGTGAGGCACATACCATTCACTTTAACAACATTCCCTGGGCCTTATCTCTCAAGCATTTTCTTAAAAGAAGGCCAGGGCATTTAATTGGCATTTTCCAAAAGCCTCAGTTCCTTGTTAGAAAAAAATCTAGGTCTGTGATGCTTACTCTTCCCATTCAACTCAACCTTTTTTTTTTCCCATACCATTTGCCCAGAGCGCTGTATATAACCAGAAATGATATGCATACTTCAGGCCTGAGGTTCTTTGCCTGCAGGCTCTGGAAATCCATGAACACAATAAACTTTGCTAGTTGATCTTTAGCTTCAACAGAATACAGTATATAGGATAAATAATATACATAGATATTGTTGTAGTTAAAAAGATACATATTCATTTAAAAGTGTTACTGAAGTTTCAGTAACATTCTCCACTATCATATGGGGGTGGAGGCAAATGAGATATTTATGGACAGTATTTTAGAATGTGTTGGGAACTACTGCTGGGCTGCCTATGCATGGGCTGGCTGATGGCTATGTTAGATATCTCACTTAGATTCCATTTTAGAATTTTTTGAGAAGAAAATTACCATTAATTTTTAGAGACCTATCTTCTAAGCTGTGGAAGACAAAGGAATTCTCATTTTGAAAGTGAGGTACATGACAGAGTAATTATGAGGGAACTACACTAATGGCCTTAATTTGACTAAGATTAGATCCTTTCATGTAGAACTGAATTGAAACAAAAATGATTGAACCTTTTTTTTTTCTCCTGAGGCCTTTTTGAACACTAGATGAGATGTTTTATAATTTAGAGTTTCAAGGTTGTAACTAGAGAAGATCCTCAAATATTAAAAAAGGGTAAACTTGATATAAAATTGGTTTGTGAATTAACTTTTGTAGTTACCAGTAAAGATGTGCATTACTATGGGTTCTCTTTTACAGAAAGAGAATATTTTGGGGGAACCCTGTCCCACATTATGCGTTTTCCTGGTCTCTGATCAATGACCCCAAAGCTGCCTATTGGATTATTAGGATATTTTTATTTTGAGGAGATAAGTTATTTGTAAAACAAATAATTTGAAGATAATACATTTGGGGCTATTTCATTGATTTATAAGATAGAAATAAAAAAATTAAAAAATTAGGATGATAAAGTCTCACAAATGGGCAAGCAATATCCTTTGTCTAAAAGAGGCAAACTAGAAACTTCAGGGGGTAAAATCCCCCACAGGTGCACAGTGCATCTGAGCCACCGAAACTGAATGTCATCAGGTACATAGATCCCAGGTGCACCCTCAGTCCAGCCCCCTAAGAGGAGGAGCCCGAGGGACTCATATATGGTGCACTCAAGAGTAAAGAGGTACCCGAGTCTTCAGGTGGCAGATGTCCGCATCCTGACGACGATGTGTTTGCAGACTTAACACAAATACTGGAAAATCGGCTTCCTCCAAGCAAATCTGGTCTACTGATGTCATTGTTTCTCAGAACCTGGAAACTAGAATTTATGTTTAATTAAATGAAACCCAGGATCATTCACTAGTGTTAACCTAGAATAAATCCCCCTACCACTCTTTGGAAGTAGACTATCTTGTAACAGCCTCTCTCTCGTGCTCATGTCTTCATCTTTGTATTTTTTTTCTTTCTCTACTCAGTCTCCATCTATCTCTGCTTTATCCCTATCTCCATCTCTCTCACTTTTTCTCTTTCTCCCTTTTTCTCTCCTCTCCATTTTAAAACATAGATGTATAGCAACCCAAAGTGTGATCTATATTCTAAATTGCCTTTCGGCACTCCTGGAGGGTCCAGCCCTTTGCTGCTTTGGTATTGGGGAAGGCAGCTGCTTTAGAGTCCCTGCCACAGCCACGCACTCCCTGCTTACGGGTATTTGAATGATAGTAGTGGTCGTTTGGGGAGTTCCCCTAGAGACTTCTGGTGGGGACTTGTAGACTAAGTCTGAAAGCCAAAAACAAAACAAGGGATATTGGTGAACTAATTAGATTATGCAGCCAATTTGATCGTTTATAAAGACGATTTATCTTAGCTGCTAAGATAAACAAAAAATAGTTACACTGAACAAAAAAGTTGCGGGGCTGGGTGCGGTGGCTCATGCCTGTATTCCCAGCACTTTGGGAGGCTGAGGCAGGCAGATCACAAGGTCAGGAGATCGAGACCATCCCGGCCAACATGGTGAAACTTTGTCTCTACCAAAAATACAAAAATTAGCTAGGCGTGGTGGCATGTGCCTGTGGTCCCAGCTTTTCGGGAGGCTAAGGCAGGAGAATTTGCTTGAACCAGGGAGTTGGAGGTTGCAGTGAGCCAAGATTGTGCCACTGCACTCCAGCCTGGCGACAGAGTGAGACTCCGTCTCAAAAAAAAAAAAAAAAAGTTGCTTCAGGAAAAACTCTTTTGAGGATATATGCTGATTCTCTTATGGATTTTAGTGTCAACAAGGTCATCAGAAATTATGATCAAGACCTAGTAACAAGTTGAGAAATAAGTTTGTGTGTGACTTCTGAGTATTGCTAACAGATATATTTTTTAAAATTCCAATTCATTTTGTGAGCTTGCAATCTGCAATTGGTGTTGAAGAAGCCATTTTATGGAGCATTTTATCATCTGGATACCAGATGTTCTGGAGTATATGCTTTTTTTTTTTTTAAATGACCCATTTTGTGGAATTTTTTTTTTTTTTACAGTCTAGGGATAACTCATTTTCATAGTCTGCAGAAAAACTCATGTTAGGTGCATAGTGATTTCTCTCTATTCAAACTATTAATGCTTTGTATCGTATAGTTTTATATATTCTCATTAAATCAATTCATATTTACTGTTAGAATGAACCCATATTTACTGATAGCCTACTGTGAGCAAAGCACAGTACTACAAATTGTGGAGAGTTATGAATGCTGATTTCAAAAAAGGTTATAAACATTTCTTTTGATGATGTGATAAGACAGCATGTAAATTTGCAATAGAAAAGTTAAGGTACTGCATGCACAATGCTATTTAGGACAAAGTCCACCCACTATAAAAAGCAAGGAGTCTCTAGCTGGGGAATCATTTGTTTAGTTGGCTTTTGCAGGACCGACTGTAGGATCAGTGTCCTCCCACTATTTAAATTCCCCTTTCCTTGGAAGCTTCCTGCCGCAGTTGTTTTGAGTCTCTTGCCTACGTGTCATGTCGCATTAGTGAGCACAGGCCACATGGGACTTGGCTAGGATAGAAAATCCTGTATTTCTTAGGAGGAAAAAAAAAATAAAAGCCCTCACATTCATTTCCAGTTATTCATTTTTCATTTTAAGGTCCATCCCAGATCTAAACTGTCTAGATCTGAACTGTTAGATCTGAAATGTTGGTTTTTGGTTAGATGTTAATTGAAGGACAAATTGTCAGTTATTTTGATGTTAGTTTGTCGTTTGACTTTTTATAAAAATAATTTAAGGCAATTTACAATGATGTATATGATACTTGAAAAAAAAAAAAAAAAGAAACAGCCTGGGCATGGTGGTTCACACCTGTAATGCCAGCTCTTTGGGAGGCCGAGGCGGATGGATCACTTGAGCCCAGGAGTTTGAGACCAGCCCCGGCAATATGGCAAAACTCCATCTCTACAAAAAACCAAAAAAACAAAACAAAAAAACCCACAAAAGTTAGTCAGGCATGGTGGCATGTGTCTGTTATTCCAGCTACTCAGGATGTTGAGGCAGGAGAATTGCTTGAACCGAGGAGGCGGAGGTTGCAGTGAGCTGAGATTGCACCATTGCACTTCAGCCTGGGTGACTGAGTGAAGCCCTGTTAAACAACAAAACAAAACAAAACAAAACAAACAAACAAACAAAAAACCAAGGAACATAGGAAAGTGAAGCCAAGATAAAATAGGGATGGGAAAAGGCAAATGAATCAGCAATGAACTCACCTATAACTTCTCACATCGTGAAGTCTATAATATGTTCTTTAAAAAAATACTTCTAGTTCCTGAAGTGATGCTACTTTCTGCACCTGTTGCTTTCTTCTGTCAGTCACTGTGTTGCCTTATAAGGCTCAAGGTGGCCAGCAGAGATGGGGAAAGAGATTCTCTTTTATATTTGCCAGCATTTGCAGTGCGTCTCAACCTGCCTTGGGTGCAGAGGGAAAGCTGCTTGATATGTTATTATGGTTCAGGGTTGCTTATTAATTCTTACAGTGAGCGGAGGTCTGAAATAACCTGAACCACCCCCTAGCTATGGGAGCTTTCTACGTTATCCTTAGCAGGTGAGCATCTGTATCTTTTATTAGTGTTCATTACATGTAAAGCATTTGCTGGACTTGGACACATGTTATGCACTTGGGACAGAAAGAGCTACCATTTGCAGTTCTTGTCCTTGAAGAGCTTAGAGATAGAGACCTGTAGGTTGCTGGTTTACTTAATTTTTTAAATATGCCTTTGTAGCCTCCTAGAAATATTAAAAGTGTACGTTACTATTACCGAACTGCATCTCTGTCTCCTGACTTGTAGACATGTCCATAATATATTGTTAAAGGAGAAAAGCAAGGGGAGAGTAATATAAAAAGTAGGATTCTTTTCCTACAAAAACATATGCCCCTCTGCCAAATATATGTGTTTGTATGCTACTGTAGGTTTGCATAAGCAAGGAGAAGATATGTCGAAAGATCTGCATCAAACTATTAACACTGGTTAATATTAACAATTGGTTGAGATTGATTAGTAAGGGGAAGTTTAAGGGAGAGGCAAGAGGATTAGCTTCTCCTTTAAACAGGACAAATGCTATTAATTACAATAACAATACAAAGCAATTATTAATTGCAATAATATTGCTATGAATTCATTAAGTGTGTATTCCAATTTTAATTTGAAAGGCACTACTTAAAATTTCAGAATCACAGTTAACAAATGAAAGCCATTTCTTTAGATCTAAATTTTTTGTTTTTTTGTTTTGATCAGCACATCATGCAGCGAATTCAGAGGCTTCAGGCTGACTGGGTCTTGGAAATAGACACCTTCTTGAGTCAGACACCCTATGGGTACCGGTCTTTCTCAAATATCATCAGCACCCTCAATCCCACTGCTAAACGACATTTGGTCCTCGCCTGCCACTATGACTCCAAGTATTTTTCCCACTGGAACAACAGAGTGTTTGTAGGAGCCACTGATTCAGCCGTGCCATGTGCAATGATGTTGGAACTTGCTCGTGCCTTAGACAAGAAACTCCTTTCCTTAAAGGTATCTGTTTTCTGCTTATTGATTCCTAGGATAAAGTACATTAACAGTAACTCAGAGTGAATTCTAGAATCCTTGGAGGAATGAGAAGGCCATTTAGAAATGGAGACTTTTGGTACATTTTTATTATGAACATTAATTGTAAGATTGCATGATTGGGAATATCAACCATGGGCAATAAACCTAAGATACGTGACAATGCATTCATTAATTGGCACCTGATTTATCAGCCTTGAATGCACATTAAATTAAATGCAACATTTCTTTGTGAAAAATGAAGGAGGAAGTTTGTTTCAGGTATAGTATGAGAATTGTGTTTTATAATGAACTATGTTTATTTCTTCTTCTTTCTATGGCCATGAAACATCACAACCTTCTGATCTGAGAGATGGTGGCTCTTGGGTTGGAGGAGGGAGTTGCAGCAAAGTGGTTCTGAAGTGGAGAGTGGGTAATTCAGACCTATCAAGATGAAAAGCATGAAGCAGAAATGCATTATTGTTATTATCTGTGAATCTCAGCTCCATTTTATGTAGCATAGCAGAGCTTTTGTTATGCTCTCAGCTCAAAATACTTCTGGGACTCTCAGATGTTATTTCAGTCTTGGTGTTCTTAAGGGTATATTGGAAAAAAGTGCTAAACTAGATGAAGATATTTTGTTCTGATATCACTCATAACCAAGTAAACACAACAAAGCAAAAACAAAAAACTTTGTTCTCAGGCAACAAATGCTTTGTTCCCCGCTCAGAGCTTTATGAAGGGTCCAGCCTTTGATACAGTGGGGGTAAAGAAGTAAAAAGTTTATCTTGTAATGGAAGTAGTAGAGATATTTGGTTCTATTTTTGCTGGATATGCTGAAATTGAAGAAAGCAAGACTTGTTTATACCCTCTCAGTCTCCTTTTCACTTCTTTTTTTTGGTTTGTTTTGTTTTCTGAGCCTTCTACAATCCCTTTGTCCCATGCTTTGCCCTGCTTTTAACTAGTTTCCTTCCCCAGCAATTGGATGAAGGAGTTCAAAAGCTGATGCAAAAGTCTAATTTTTCATATTTGCACTTCTAGTATAAGGACACAAAATGAAGTATGACTTGAAGACATTGTTCTGTGTAATGGATGTATTTTCTCTGAGTGAACTCCTTTGCTTTTTCCCATATAGCTCATATCTGCTTTTGGTGACCAGAAATATTAATAGAAAGGTCTGAATGAGTTATTGGATTGGGGTCATCATTAAAAAAATTTGAATCAACATATATATTCTCATAGTAATCCTTTCTGTTAGAGATAAATGGTGAGGTGGGGGATTTTTTTTAAGAGGCTGTTTTTGAATGCAGACTTTGAGAGTATCAGATTTATTCTTCCAGTTATATGTTTTAACTAAATTGGTATTGAGAAGTTAAGTTCTTCAGCTGTCATGGATTGGGTAGACGGTGGTGGAAAGTGACCTGAAAGAGTGCTTGATAAGTAGACTGGATTATTCGCAACTCTTCATAGCTCCACTTCTCTCCAGTAATAGGACTGTCATTACACATCCACATCCTTTGCCTGGTAACTTTGCTGTGCCCTCCCACTGTAGCCAGTTGTACTTCCTCATCCCTTCACTCTGGACTTCATTATTTGACTTGCCTTAGCCAATGGGATGTTAGTAGAGGTGACACAAACAGGGGCTGGAAGTGTGCTTGTGCCATTGGGCTTGCTCTTCCGTGTCTTTGCCATAACCATGAGAATGGCATGCCCTGGCTAGCCTGCCAGTCCCAGCAGAAGGATGAGACACCTGGAGCAGAACCAACCTTGCTGACTGCACAGTGAAGCAGAGCTGCCCCAGCCAAACCCATTCTAGATCAGCTGCTCCCTAGCTGACCAGCAGAGGTTATGTATCCCAAGAAGATACATAATGGTATTTTAAGCCACTGTGTTGATGGGGTGTTATTCTATTCTATTATTGCAACATTAGCTAACTGATACAGCCTTGAATGGGGAAGGACTGCAGATAACCCAGACTGTGTGAACGCTGGTAATTAGGCATTTGTAGTGTTACCATGAAGACCTTCATACATCAGGCCAGTCAGATTCTCCTAGCTCCAAGGTACTAGGCTGAGTTACTAGTAACGAAGGCCATGGCTATTTTTCTGCCATTCCTGAAATGAAGCAAAAAGAGCAGGTTGCCTCATGGGACTCAGGATGAATGTCCACAACAGTTTATTGCTGGCTAAATGAATGGATATTAGGCGAACAGAATGAAAGCAAATCGTTGTACTGATCATTGGAGTCTCCCAGCTGTTGAAGTTTCACTGAGGTACTTGAACTGTCAAGCCTGCAAGAGATAAAAACTATTTCCGTTTGCCTATGCCCTGGGCATGAGCAGAATGCCTCTTGTCCCAACCGGTCCCGTTCTGCCCTCTTGTTCTGCGATTATGTTGTCTGATTTGAA
This sequence comes from Homo sapiens, assembly GCF_000001405.40. Lineage (NCBI taxonomy): Eukaryota > Metazoa > Chordata > Mammalia > Primates > Hominidae > Homo > Homo sapiens. Next base: position 37,362,278 of record NC_000002.12, read on the forward strand.
GCTAGAACTTTCAAGGCCCTTTAAACAACTGGAAGCTTAGAATGTCTCTACTGAAGCAAGCACCTTACAATTTTTGCCAACGAGAAAATCTGTTTAATTATTTAATGCTTATTAAACCCTGAGTGCATTTATATTGCACAAACACATCCTCTGCTTAATGCTCTCCAGGAGTTATGGAGGATTCAAATCAAATTACACTGTCCTTTCCTCATGGTATAATTAAGGAGCAATATGAAATGATTAGCGTACAAAATTAAGTTAGTTTTCAGATGATAAAGACAATTTTTTTCTCTTTTGAAATCACCGTTAAAACAATCAGGGAAACTCCATTTTTTGAAGAAAGTAGAGAACATCTGTGAATAGGAACCACAATATGAAGACAGAAGTTGGATGGAGAAATGGCAGATGACATATCAGAGTGGAGAGAAGTCACACTGTCCTGGAGAGGGAAGAAATGGAAGAAGCCAGTGGTTTCCTTGATAGAATCCTAAAAAGGCTCAGGAATTAGAGATGTGATAAGCTGAGGAAGGCAGAGGTGAGGAAGGGGCTGGTGTGGAGAGTGTTTCTAAGTCTGTCTAAGGAATATGTGGATGTAGAGATTCCCACCCCACACCAGGCAGGTAAGTGAGTGCCCCCTTGTGCCTTTGCCACAGATGAGAAAATATTTTTCTGGAGAAATTGAACCAGGGAGGTTATGGAATTGAGAATAGCAAGTATACAGGAGGGTGACAGTGGGGCACCCCATGGAAATCGGGGAGATTAGGCGAAAGCCTACACATTGAACAGTGAGATCTATAGTTTCTCTCCCATCTTCAGCACCAGAAAGCCATCAGATAGGAAACTGGAGGATTCTTCTTCAGACCGTGTGAACCACCCCGCAGAAAAATCCCAGATGGTGACATTCAGTAATCCTCAGTGAAAACACTGGCTGGGCACCAGATTGCCTTGCAGTGAAGCCAACCAATCTGTGTCTCCAACCAGCATTTTAATATCTTATTCTTTAACATGAATGAACACAAAGGATGACCAGACATTTGAGGACAGACTCCAGCATGAAAGAAAGGGCCTGGAGCAGTGGCTCATGTCTGTAATCCTAGCACTTTGGGAGGCCGAGGTGGGAGGATTGCTTGAGGCCAAGAGTTTGAGACCAGCCTGGGCAACATAGTGAGGCTCCCTCTCTACAAAAAAAAAAAAAAAAAAAAAATTAGCTGGTTATGGTGGTACACACCTGTAATCCTAGCTACTTGGGAGGCTGAGGCAGGAGGATTGCTTGAGCCCAGGAGTTCAAGGCTGCAATGCACTATAATTGAGCCACTGCACTCCAGCCTGGGCAACAGAGTGAGACCCTGTCTCTTAAATAAATAAATACTTTTTTAAAATGTAAAAAAAAAAAAAAAAAAAAATAGAAAGCAAAACAAATCATACAAATTTAAAATGAAGTGGGAGGAAATAGAGCAGAAAATGACTTAAAGGACACTGTTCTAATATTCTTACAGAGATAAGAGGAGACATTATATCTATGAAACAAAACCAGAATGCTGCAATAACAGAACAATTGGTCAATAAGGAGGAGCTTTTGGAAATTAAAATTTCTATTTTCAAAATAAATAAATCAATAAAACAGTTGGATCCTAAAGTAGAAGAAGTATCTTTTTTTAGAAGAGGAATGACAAAAAGGAGACGATTATGACTTTTGGAGAATAATTGTAACAATTCCAGTTAGGTCATATAAAAAGTATTGGGAATGAGAATGGCACTGGACTTCTCAATAGAAACTTTGGGAGCTAGAAAACAATGAAATTATGCCTTAAATATTTTAAATAAAAATAATTTGCAACCCAGAATCTTCAGACCCAGAAAAATTAAATAGGAAAATAGAATGAAGACATTTTCAGAGGTAAATCTCAACAATTTTCACTCCCATGTACTGTATTTTTGCCCTAGAAGTTGCTTAAAGCTGTGCTCCAGAAAAATCAAGAAAGAAATCAAGGATGAGGGAGTCATGGAGTTCAGCTCACTGGGGGTCCCATATAGGAGAGGCAGAAATCTGCAGGTTGATGGTGAGGGGAGCCCCAAGATAACAAACAGATAGGCAGCAGGCCTAGTGGTCGGTCCAGGCTGGAGCAGGCAGCAGAGGGCTCCGGAAGGGCCCATTCTTAAAAAACAAAACCAGACAGACATGAGAAATAAAGGTGTGATAGTGTCTGGAACGCTTGACCACATAATGGTGAAGACATATTAGGCTCAAAGAAAACAAAGCAAATGAAAGAGAGGCCTGTGGTGAGGAATGGTGGGAAACAGGTTTGCAGAGGCAGGACGAACTGGATTGCGATGTTTGTGTACATGGAAAAGGACAGAAAGAGACAGATCCCCACTGGTTTTTGGTCTGAGTAACTGCAAGGGGGGTTTTGCCATCCATTTGGTTGAAGAGACTGTTGGTAATACAGATTTCCGGGGGAACCTCAGGAGATGAGTTTTGACACTTTGTTCGAGGTGTCTATTAACGTCTATGTGGAGATCTTCATTTGGCAACTGAAATTGTAGTCTGGAGATCGGCAGTGAAGTCAGGGCTGGAGATATATTTTTTGGAATTGATATTTACATGTATGTGTGTGTTGTGTTGTGTGTGTGTATTATTATAATATAATACAATATAATATAACATATAATATGTATATATAGAGAGACCAGCCTGGGCAACATACTAAGGCTCCGCCTCTACAATATTATTATTATTATTATTATTTTAAAATAATTATATTAAAAATTTTATATATATAACAATACACACACAACACAGCACACACACACACACACACAAGACAACACACACATACCCACACATATATGATTTAAAGCCTCAAGAAGAGATATCAAGACAGTGAGTGAGTGTGGACAGAGAAGAGAAGAGAACCATGGAGCAAGCCCCTGAGGCTCTCTAGTGTGAAGAGGGAAGGGAGATGAAGGGAGCCATTAGTGCTAAGGTAGGAGGAATATGGTATCTTAGGAACCAAATGAAGCAAGTGTAGCCAGGAGGGAGTAATTAACTGTGTTGAATGCTGACAATAAGTCAAGAGAGATGAAGACTGAGAGTTGACCACTGGATGTAGCCATGTAGAGTCATTGGTGTCTTGACAAGAGCAGTTTCAGTACACGGTGGAGATAAAACCCAACTGGGCTAAGTTTAAGAAGTGGGATTGGAGACAGCGTGAATAGACAACTCCTTCAAGGGGTTTTGCTATAAATGGGATTACAAAATTGGGCAGTAGATGGTGGAGATAGTGAGGTCAAATATTTTAAGATGAGAAAAGCAACAGCATGTTTGTTGGCCGATGGGAATTATCCAGCAGAGATAGAAAAATTGATGATGTAGGAGAGAAATGGTATTTGCTAGAGCAATGTCCTTGAGCAGATGAGAGAGGATAGGATTTTGTGCATAAGCAGGGAGACTGGCATCTGATATGAGCATGACAGAAAGAAATCAAGGTCATCGGTTGGGAATGAAGATGGGTGAGGTGGCAGGGAGAGGAGGAATGTGAAATCCTAGAAGAGTGCCAGAGTGACTGAACTAAGAAAATACAAATGACTTGCCAGTCAACATGAAAGGCCAATGTGAGGTTTGTGGTCATGAACTTTAAGCAAGGCCAGACAGTGTGGTTATATATTTTTTTCTCTGGTGAGGTTTAGCTGCACGAGTGCTGGCACAAAGTAGGTAGAGTATGTTTTTGCCATGAAAGTTTGACAAAGGCAGAAAGGGGCAAGGGAGTTGAGGGTGTATGCTAGTGAGTGATTGGCATGATTGACTGGAATTTAAGCCAAATATAGAGTGAAGTGAGGACATTATGGGGGTGAAGGACCATGAAAAGGTGAAACATTCAGTAGATTAGGGGTTCCAGTGGGATTGAAGGACTTTGGAGTTTAGAGTACCAGGACCAATCTGAAAGACAGGGGTTATTGTCAGACGGAGGAAAGTGTAAAATCAGTTAGAATCCTAGTCACTCTTTTTAGTTCCATTCAAATACTGTCTTTTTCATAAAGCCCTCCTTGACACCCCCAGGATTTTGCTTCTCATTCTATCCAATTTCTAGAGGACTTTAATGTTACATTTGTGGCTGGTGGCACATTTTGCCATGCTTATGTATTTGTTTTATCTCTCCCCAACCCAACTAAAGTATAGGCTATTTCAAGGGAAGGGCTATAATTATTATTCTTCGTGTCTGTAGCATTCCTAGGGCAGACTCTTGAAGCTAGACTCAGTACAAAATTGAAGATGTAAATAAGGTGAGAAGCAAGAAAGATTTACAGTTGTTTCAGGTTGGATTCCCCAAGAAGCGCCCTCTGACATGGAGTTTAGTATTCAGGTCACTTATTAGGGAGTGGCCTTGGATCAACACAGGTATCAGGGAGGGGAAAGAAATGGTGTTGGACGGAGGAAGAAGTCGAGCTGCAGTGCAGGTTCAACAACGGCCTCAGCCAACCCCTGCGGAGCTCTGGAGATATGATGGCTCTTTAGAGAGCCCCCCGTACCCGTGTAGGTCAGCACTGGATGTGGGACACTCCCAGGAGGTGCAGCTGAGGCAATTCCTAAAGTGACTGACGGCTCTTCCAGCAGCTGAGGCAACACACCCTCCTGTATGGGAAGTGGGTGGTGTATCACACGATTCATCACAGCACTTTCATTGTTTCAAAATTCTGTGAGGAGTAAGAAAAAATATAAAAGACTTCTATTTTCAGAGGGAATGGAAGAAGGTGGTTTATATGGGTGAAGACTGTGGGAGGTGTGATGACTTTTGAAGAGGAAGTGGTGTGGAATAAATTTTGCCATAGTTTCACTTGCTTTGGTATCTTCCTTTCTTTATGGCACATCTATCTTTTTGCCCAATTAATAGAAAATCATGCTATTTTTCATCATCACAGTATTTTTTTGCTATGTTTTTATTGTTGTTTTTACCAGACTGTTTCAGACTCCAAGCCAGATTTGTCACTCCAGCTGATCTTCTTTGATGGTGAAGAGGCTTTTCTTCACTGGTCTCCTCAAGATTCTCTCTATGGGTCTCGACACTTAGCTGCAAAGATGGCATCGACCCCGCACCCACCTGGAGCGAGAGGCACCAGCCAACTGCATGGCATGGTTAGTCTGGGCAATTTCCCTAGCACTGTAGCTGTAGGCTCCGCTTCCAAGGAAAAGGTTGCAAAAGCCAAGTAAAGACCTAAAAATGCCACAGCATCCTTGGAGCACAGTGTTTATGATAGAACATTCCTTGGCAGGCATTGGGTTTTTGAGGAATCCCAGAGCTAAAAAGAATGATTCTGAGCTGGCTCTGTGGCTCATACCTGTAATCCCAGCATTTTGGGAGGTTGAGGTGGGAGGATCACTTGAGCCCAGGAGTTCGAGACCAGACTGGGCAACATAAGGGGACTTCGTCTCTACAACAAATAAAATAATTAGCTGGGTGTTGTGTATGCCTGTAATCTTAGCTACTCAAGAGGCTAAGGCAGGAGGATTGTTTGAGCCCAGGAGTTCGAGGCTGCCGTGAGCTATGATTGCTCCATTGCACTCCAGCCTGGGTGACAGAGGGAGACTCTGTTAAAAAAGAAAGAAAGAAAGAAAAATTGCTGGTTAGAAGCCATGTTTGACTGAGCTTAATTAAAATGATAAAATCATGTAAAAAATTGGATTACAGGAACTTCAGATTCAGTTGGGCCCAATGGGAGCACATTCCCCCAGTACTGTATGGAGGTGGAGAGAGCAAACCCCTTCTTTCAGGCCTTTATAAGTCTGAAGAACATGGGGCTTTGGGAAATGGAATAAAAGAGGGGTGAGGGTGAAGAATTTCCTTGGTGGCTTCAAAGTATTACCGTGACTCCAGTGTGACTATGACAGTTTGATGTGTTGGTTTTGATGTGGCATTTTTGACATGGGGGTGGGGATATTTTGATGCTGCCTTAAAACCCTGCTATTATTACTAAGTAATGAGTGCAACACACAGCCTCATTTTCATCCCCATTCCTGGGCCCACACTCCATCCCTAATCCCTCCCCCGACCCCTGCATCTTCTCCTGACTCTGACTCTCTTCCCATATTTGATCTTCTTTCTGTCCCCACGTCTTCACTAACCCCAGCTTGGAACCTCATGCTACCCTTGAGACTTCACTAGCCCCGGTGCCTTCATCCCTCCCTGACGCTCACCCCATCTGTGAACTGATAGCTTATTCCCAGCACCCCCGCTTATTCCTATCCATTGCCCTATCACTGACCTTCGCCCTATAAAAGTACAAATGGTCACATTCTGTGTCCTCTGTGACCCTAACACACCTCCTGTTGGCATTTGCTCTCCCTCCTGTTATCCATTGGCAGCTCCTAATGGGCCAGGGGAATGTGGTCAGCATATCATTCATTCACTTGTGCCCAAGTGCCCAAAAAGCATTCAGAACATATTCACAAGAGGAGACGCCTGGTTGATCAGCAGTAGAACAAAGTTATTTATTTATCAGTCCAAATATATGAAGCCACAGTGATTCATATATTTGGACTGATAAATAAATTTGTTGAATGAAGATCATTTTTTTCCAGAAACAAACCCTTAATAGATTAACCAACCTTGTGAATATGTTCCTATTTCAAAGAAGCCTATTTTTTCCTATGATGAATATATTGAATTTTCATTCATGAATTTTTTCATACTATGTCTTTAGGATCACACACTCTGAAAATATTTATCTAATATGTGTTAGGATGTATGCTAAATATTTATCCACACATTATTTTACTTAGATAAATGAGGAGGTCTTAATCTAGTGAGTAGTCTTCAGAGAGTCCTCGTGATGAGATGAAAGAGAGCTATAACCAGAAGGAAACTTTAGAGATCAGCTAGTTTGAGCTTCTTATTTGATACACAAGGAAATGGAGATCCAGAGACACAATGTTATATAGCTCCTGTACAAGGAATTTTTCTTAGATACTACTTGATCAATAAATAGTTACTGTCCAAGTGCCTTCCTTTGAGAGTTTTATCATTACAGATTAAGGATAAAATGGCTAAACAGAGTGGATTAGAAGATCAGATAGGCTTGGACTCCTTTCTGAAAATAAATGTATGCTTTTAATGTTCACAAAATATTCATCCAAATGTCTTCTTCCTAATTTATCCTTAGTGATATCCTTTTGGAGTTACATACACAAATAATCAATATTTTGCTATTTGTCCACATTACATAAGCAAGATTTAAAGAGTTCTCCAAAATAATTAGCATAAAATGTTAGTAAATCTTTGGTTCATTCATATAGCTTGCCATATTATTCTCAATTACTGAAATGCAGTTAATTTTGACTGATTGTATTTCCCTGTTGATGAATATAAAACACGTTTTGGTGATGGTGATTAAACATTACTTTTTCTCCCTCAGGATTTATTGGTCTTATTGGATTTGATTGGAGCTCCAAACCCAACGTTTCCCAATTTTTTTCCAAACTCAGCCAGGTGGTTCGAAAGACTTCAAGCAATTGGTAAGCACCACTGTTATTAATGAATAAAACATCATTTCTTGCTACTGACAGATACTACATTTTTAACATTTAAAATTTATAATTTGGCTGGGCGCAGTGGCTCACACCTGTAATCCTAGCACTTTGGGAGGCCAAGGCAGGCAGATCAGCTAGGGTCAGGAGTTTGAGACCAGCCTGGCCAACATGAAACAGGGCTTTCATGTTTAGTAGAGACGGGGTTTCACTAAACAAATACAAAATAAATACAAAAATTAGCTGGGTGTGGTGGCGGGCACCTGTAATCCCAGCTACTTGATAGGCTGAGGCATGAGAATCACTTGAACCTGGGAAGCAGAAGTTGCAGTGAGCCAAGATGGTGCCATTGCACTCCAGCCTGGGTGACAGGGTGAGGCGCCATCTCAAAAAAGAAAAAAAAATTATAATTTAAGTATATGATTTAAATGTGTAATATACTTTATTGGCTTTTTTTCTTGCTTAATTGATTAGTTTATTATTCTTTTCATCTTTGTAGTAAGCCCAGTTTATTTTCCTGCATGAAACTATATTTTGAAATGGAAACATAAAATACTACATTTCATGTTTGCACATCCTTAAAAATGGTTTGAAAATATTTGAAAATATTTTCCCAGAGTCCTGTTTGAAGCAGGTAGAATGCGTTTCGAGAGAAAAGTTTACTCAACAAAGCATGCTGGCTAATGATGAATATGATGTCCTTATAATGATACCAAAAGATATTCTTCAGTTTTTCTTTTCCATCTCTGTCTTTGCCATCTTCTATTTTCTACCTTATCCAGATATTATTTTCCTTTAAATCTAGTACAGTCTCTGCCAATTTTCCAAAGAAGCAAGAGATCAGGATAAAGAGAAAGCCAGATCCTTTGAGATTTAGAGTCAAATAAATGGGAGTTGACTAGGCCAGACCAGGTCAGGTCAGGCCAGCCCAAGAAACATACGTATCTATGGCTGAAGAGGGGAGCTTGGGGCTTGGAGAAAGAAAAGGAGAATAACTTTGTACTACCACCCTACCCAAAACAAAACAAAACAAAACAAAGCAAACTCTTGGCAGGCATCAGGGAAAGATGAAAATGAGATTGATCTTTATTGTAGAATCCAGGCCAGGGGGCTGCTTTGAAGGCAAGAATTTCATGCTAGAAATTCCTTACTAGCCACACAAACTTCTTGGAGCAAGATAGACTTGTATTACTTCTAACAGTGGGAAAAACACTGCCATCATAACTCACACTTTTGCCATGAGTAAAGAATTTGTCTAGAATCTTAGAGAAACTTCTGCTTGAACTTTAGGTGCATGTCATTGACAAATTTCATTTCCTAGTTTGAAAGAGTTACTCTAATGGTGTTATTAATATAAACTTCTTGGGCTTCTTCCTTGCAGCATATTTTCCTTACTTTGATGGTAGCCTTGAGAAACTGAGTTTGGCTTTCTTTCAAGGATTTTGTGCACTTTTATTATGTCCTGTACCAGAATGAACTTATGCCAATAACTTGCACCTTCATTCAATTTTAACCCATTGTGCCCCTCCTATTGGTATTTACATTTCAAACCATATCTCTAGTTGTATAAGAGAAAGCAGTGAGCTGAGGTGGCGCCACTGCACTCCAGCCTGGGCGACAGCGAGACTCCATCTCAAAAAAAAAAAAAAAAAAAAAGAAAAAGTTGTGTCTCATGGTAAAGGAATTATAAGTATCAATAAACAGACAAGAATATTGTTTTTGGTGGTAGTTAGGGCTTTCTCAATGTTTCTAGAATCATATTACATATGATTGATTACTAGTTGGTTTAGTTTTACCTTAGCTAGTTCCTAGCTATCCTAGGAAGTTTCATTTGGTTGTCTTATAATATTCATGTAATCTCTTGTCATCTTGTAACATACAATACATGACTTATGTAGGCCAGTGGTTCTCAAACTTTAAAGTGCATCAGAATCACCTGGAGGGCTTCTTCCACACAGATTGCTGGACTCCAGCCCCAGAATTTCTGTAAGTCTGAGATGGGACCAGATAATTTGCATTTCTGACACGTTCCTAGGTGTTGCTGATGTTGCTGGTCAGACATCACACTTTGAGAACCACTGATGTAGGTCACACTAGGTATCTCTTTCCCATAGAGTGGCCACTTGATATACTTCATCTCTACTCTGTTTGAGTATTCCCCTTTTAAGCCCCATATCTCATCTAAGGCATTCTTCATGCAGCATCTTGGACCTATAAGCATCTACACCTGCACCTGTGTTGTCCCCTTCCACCCACCTGTCCTCTGTTTTTTTCATTCTCTATCTCTTCACTGTTCTGTGGAGTTTCTACCTCTAAGGAGGTTCTCACCTGTAAGTTTAGAGCCACATTTGACTCTTCTCTCTTCCTGCTCCAAAGTGTACACATCCCTGTTCAACCCAGATGTTTATTGTCATGGGTGTGGCCATGCTTGCTGTTGCATAATCTTTTACAAATTATGGACACATGTGCTAAGATTTCAAACTCCTTAAATAAGGATACATTATGAGTCTTGATAAGATAAAAATAGTTGTTCATTTACTGTATAATTGTCATCTACAGAACATGAACTTCATGAATTGGGTTTGCTCAAGGATCACTCTTTGGAGGGGCGGTATTTCCAGAATTACAGTTATGGAGGTGTGATTCAGGATGACCATATTCCATTTTTAAGAAGAGGTAATGTGTGTGTGTGTGTGTGTTTGTGTGTGTGTGCGTGCACAGCCTGATTTTGGAGTACAACGGTGGGATATGAGAAAGTACACAGATGATGATGAATTATCAGCTGTCTTTATGTGGTACAGAGCTCCCTCTGCTTGAAGAATGACCCTTTCTAGTTTACTCACTGGAGTAATGCACATTGTTACAAGTTGGTTCTTTCTTAATAGGTGTTCCAGTTCTGCATCTGATACCGTCTCCTTTCCCTGAAGTCTGGCACACCATGGATGACAATGAAGAAAATTTGGATGAATCAACCATTGACAATCTAAACAAAATCCTACAAGTCTTTGTGTTGGAATATCTTCATTTGTAATACTCTGATTTAGTTTAGGATAATTGGTTCTAGAATTGAATTCAAAAGTCAAGGCATCATTTAAAATAATCTGATTTCAGACAAATGCTGTGTGGAAACATCTATCCTATAGATCATCCTATTCTTATGTGTCTTTGGTTATCAGATCAATTACAGAATAATTGTGTTGTGATATTGTGTCCTAAATTGCTCATTAATTTTTATTTACAGATTGAAAAAGAGGGACCGTGTAAAGAAAATGGAAAATAAATATCTTTCAAAGACTCTTTTAGATAAACACGATGAGGCAAAATCAGGTTCATTCATTCAACGATAGTTTCTCAACAGTACTTAAATAGCGGTTGGAAAACGTAGCCTTCATTTTATGATTTTTTCATATGTGGAAATCTATTACATGTAATACAAAACAAACATGTAGTTTGAAGGCGGTCAGATTTCTTTGAGAAATCTTTGTAGAGTTAATTTTATGGAAATTAAAATCAGAATTAAATGCTATGTTGTGATGTCTTTTTTATATATAAAAATAGTGATATAATTTAATGCATAGTCCAATTTTTATAGGATTTTGCAAATTTAACGTTCTCATTGTAAAAATAATAGTCAATAACAAACATTTTGGAAAATGGAGAAAAGAAGAAAACTATAATCCCATTATATTAACAGAATCACCATTAGTTCGCTTTTTAGTTTTTCCTCACTTTTTCTTTTTTTTTTTGAGACAGGGTCTCACTCTGTTGCTCAGGCTGGAGTGCAGTGGCATGATCATGGCTCACTGCAGTCTTGACCTCCTCGGCTCAAGCGATCCTCTCACCTCCACCCTACGAGTGATTGGGACTACAGGCATGCACTACCTAGCTAATTTTTTTGCCTGGCTAATTTTTTTGGTATTTTTGTATGGATGTGGTTTCTCCATTTTGCCCAAGCTGGTCTTGAACTCCTGGGCTCAAGCATTGTTCCTGTCTTGGCCTCCCAAAGTGCTGGGATTATAGGCACGAGCCACTGCATCCAGCCTCCTCACATTTCTTAAATGCAGATTTTTCTTATAAAGGTATAATCAAACTGTATTACAATTTTTTGGCCTGTTTTTTCCTGTTAAACTATGTGATTACCAGGCATATATTTGCTGTTTTGGTTTTGGATTGAGGTGAGGACAGAAAAAGACTGCTGAATGTGAACTCTAGAGTCAACATTAAGGTAACACAGTAGTACTGCAGTAGTTGTGACAATTTTTGTGTAGATAGATTATATGGTATTCGTTCGGTTAGTTACTTAGAGCATTTTTTTCTGGAAATACATAGGCATTCATAAGTTGTCTTTAGCTATAGGAAACAATTATCTAGAAATACAAACTTGATCAATTAAATAATTAGGAAATCGTTCCTGGCATACAGATGAAGTTAGTTGGGGCCACTGTCTTCTGTGTGTTCCCTGTTCGGACAAGACATTTAGTAAATACTCAGTGAATTAATGTGCCGAATGACAATGGAAGTCATTGGGAAAGTAATTTACTTGCTAAAACATAGTTTTCAGGTAAGAAAAGGATAAAAATAATTTCATCAATTTGACTATGTAAATTATATAGAATATAGCCAGAATTATATATGTATACTTAGGTATTTTCTATGCTATATATAACATTTATAGATAAATATATATTACATTTATATATACTTATATATAACATTACCTGTCTATAATTTCATGTTGGTAAATTTTACAGAATTAGATTTTTCTAGGATTCTTTTTTATTTTCTAAATGTCCTTCCAAAGTCATGTAAATGAAAGTCGTGTGTTTGTGAATTAATGATATTAAGAGCTAACACTTAGACTGAGTGCTAACTCTGTGCCAGACAGAGTCACATATGCTTTATATGTTTTACTAACTTAATCCCCACAACAATTGTGTGAGGTAGGTGTTAGTAAGCTTACTTTATGATGCTCAGAGTAGTTAAGTGTATTTTCCAATATTACATAACTAGTAAGTGGTAATAGTGGGAGTTGTACCCAAGAAGTCTAGCTCTAAAGCTTATACTTGGGAACCATTCTAGAATATTGCCCATTTACATGAAAAGAACTATACAGAATATTCCCGATGCCAAATGCAAAGCAATAGTTGTATCTTGAAATTTTTATAGGTCATTTCAAACTGGGGATGCATTCTTAGGTCATTGCTGCCACGATTCACCTGACAACATAGGCTTCAGAGACACATAATTTCTATGCAGAATGATTACTCTGCCGTAGTGAAGGCTATTTTTGCGTAAGTGTGGGTATATACAAATCAACACGAGTGGTTCCAGGCTAAAGTATCTAAGCCACAAAGCAGGATTAAAGGGAGCTGAGTTTTCTGGATTTTTTGGATGAGAGAAAACATATGGAAAGAGTTCAGGGAAAACACATATTTTTTAACATGAGAAAATAAATGGTCTAACAGACTGATGATATTAAAACAGAATGAAATGAAGTTTTAATGAGGAACCTAAACATTAGTCGACAGTACTGCATACATAATTATAAGCCTAAATGATAAGCTCCTTTGGAGGCAAAATGAAATTAATAAGAGATCTACTATAATCTGTTGAGTTCACATTAGTTGAATTATTTTTAGAGGAGGTTGGTGGATATGTTGAAATGGGATAAAAGAAAAAATAAAACCATAAGCAGCTTAATTCAGTGAAGGTTTTCTTCCTTTGAAAAGACATATCCTCAAATTCTACTCACTAAGAGTTTGCACTGATATAGGAAAAGCAGCCATGATGTCATAAACGGAGACATTTTAAGGCATTAACCTGATATTAGTCTCTGAAATATGCTCTGTATAATTCATGTCAGTCAGAAATATTACTTTCTAAAAATTATAGCTGCAAAGGCAGTGCTCCATAAACATCAGGTTGCATTTGGAATTTTTCTATGTGCATTTTGGAGCATTTTACTGCCCCTAAGAGAACAATTTGTACGTTTTGTCTGTTATTGTCAATCCTGCAATATGTAGGGCTATTTTTCTTCTTCAAGAGAAATGAGTTCAAAGGAAAATATTCATAAAAGAGTATTCATAACCTTGGCATCTAAAAAAATCATGAGCCTGTTATTGTAGCTCGAGGGTTGTGGCTGGAAGAGAAAAGACAGATCCTTCAAAAAGGAGAAATGTTTTAGATGGCAAAGCAGTTGTCATTAAGAACAAAGCAGCCCATGTTTTCAGCTCCAACTTCAAATCCTTAAGCAGTTTATTTCATGAAGCTTCTTTCTTCCATCAAAGAAATACATTCATTATGGTGCTACAGCAAAATCATGTGAAAACTGAACGTTTCCTCAATCAACTTGGCCCAGCTGGAGGTGATTACTTTGTGTAAAGGAGGGACGATGGACACGATTCAAGACGCTTCCATTTCTTTAACGTACAGGCAGCCCTGCAGGAGGCTTGGTCACAGTATATTCTGCGGAAAATCAAGGCTCAGTTTCTGTGCAAGACCTGAATCTGAGGAACGAATGTGGGAGGGGGGAATAGAAGAAATAAAGAGAAGATGAGGGAGACTATTCAGGGCAGCTGCAGTAATTTAAAGCAAAGCTAAAGTAGAAAATTTGGGGGAAATTATTTAAATTTGCTATTCATCTTAAGTCATGAGGCTGTGCTTTCAGAGCCAGCCTCCCGCTAACTTTTGGCTTCAAAGATGAATGAACAAAAGATTGAGGTTTCACTCTCAGTTTCAGGGCCACTTTTTACGTAGCCTGAAATTCTAAAAGTAGTTTTGAAGTGGTTTAACTGCCTCACCTTACTTCCCTTTTGTCTATCGCCTCTGTGTCTTTTATGGTACATCTTTTCCATCCCTCAAGTAGTGAAATTACTGCTTTGTTGCAAGGGGCAGATAGCATTGTGTAAAGCTACTGCTGTGTTCCAAGGGGCTGAGGTGGAGAGAAAAGGTTGTTAGGTGGTTGAGCCAGTAGGGTGGCATAGGATACCCCTCAAATGCTCCTACACATGAACATTGGCCCCAGGCTCCTGGCAAGACATCCAGCAGCAATAATTTATGACAGTTTTATAGAGAGCTGGGATGAAAGGACTGTCTTGTGTCATGGCTGTATTCCTCAGCCGGAATTTGGTTGGCGTACGCACGCAATGTGAAGTCATCTTATTGTGCTCATATTTCAAAGGCAACACATGGAACAGTGCCCACTCTCCTGACATATCTGAATTTGCCAGCGAAGAGTTTAGACCGTTTGTTTGAGCATTAACATTAAGAGCACAAAATTGCCAAGAAGGGAAAACAGCATGGCTTAAAGCAAACAAAACAAAACAAAACAAAAAACCCCTAAATTCACAAAGGTTACAAAGGTAATATGAAAATAGATTTAAAAACTCATAAATTATCAACAGCACTGGAAACTTTATTCTCTTACACTTACTGAGCACTGTGTGGTACAGGAGGTCCTTGGCACTCATGGATTTAACATTTGTGGTTTTGGTTAACAAAGAATGACATGTAGTAAGTGACATGAGCTAAGAGTTTGGCGTGGAGAAGTAAACGAGCATAGCTGACTACGAGCCACCAGTTTCACTGTTGTTCTCTAGTCATCCTTGCAGTAACACTTGGGAAGTGATAAACCCCATTTCTTTGTAAAAATGAAGCCCTCCTCCAAGCCAGCTGCTTTTTCTGGAGATGTTATTGAGAGGTCTAGAAAAATGCTGGCTACAGTGAGTAGCTTTATAAGTGATTTTAATCCTTTACAAATAGATAAATTAATGCTAGGAAAAGATAACTTTAAAACTTCAGTTTTAAAACTTTATTTAATGAGGAAAATTGTAAGCAACAATGGTATTCAAAAGCACTTAGGATATTTTCCTCGAGAATGTTAAAGCTCCATTTTAGGTTATGTTAGAATGATTCCGTATCAAGTAACTGATTGTGATCATCCTTTCATAGGTTTACCCATAGAGCTGTATATTAGCATCCTCATTTTACAAATAAGTGAACACAGAGTTTAAATTATTCTCAGTTGATGCTAAGACTAGACTCTAGGGAACTTAATTTCTCATACATGACATGGCTGATTTCAGCTCGATTAGAGGGGACCTTAGAGATTTTCTACTTCACTGGCTTACTGGTTTTCAGCTACACCCAGGGGGCATTTGAAAATATGTGGTGTGTGTGTGTGTGTGTGTGTGTGTGTGTGTGTGTATGCCTTTCTGTGCTTATGTAGTGGAATGGGTGGTGAATGTTTGTCATGAAGACTGAGGGGTGCTTCTGGAATTTAGTGGTTAGGGGCAAAAATGAATGTTCAGGACTGTTTGCACACTAGAGAATTGTCTCACCCCAAAAGCCAATGGTGCCTCCACAGCACTGAGTAGTTTTCAACATTCTCATTTTAAAGGTTTAGCTATCAAGATCCAGAGAGGATGGATCACTTAAGATTCCATTGGTTTGCAAGTGACAGAAAATTCAAACTTACCTGAGCAAAAAACGAAATTTATTTCATGTCTCTGACTTCAGACACAGTTGACCCCAGAACCCTGTCTCTTGTCTATCTGCTCTGCCCTCCTCTGGGTAGGCATTAAACTTAGGGAAGTACTTCCTTCTGGGGCAAGATGGCTGTTAGTAGCCCCAGGTTCATACTCCCATCACTCCAGTTTCAGTGCAAGGTGAGTACCTGTCCTCTGAGCAACAGTTCCACAAAGTCCTTGGCCTGACTGCCATTGGCCCAAGTGGAGCTCTGGGACCTTTGCTGATTCAGTCTCTGGGCTGGTGGATGGAATGCACTGATTGACTTTGGCCTGTGGCTCACGCCCCTCCCTATAGCTGGGAGAAGTGTCAGCTTCACCAAACCACAGGAATGAAGGCAGGGAGGA
This sequence comes from Homo sapiens, assembly GCF_000001405.40. Lineage (NCBI taxonomy): Eukaryota > Metazoa > Chordata > Mammalia > Primates > Hominidae > Homo > Homo sapiens. The sequence goes on from NC_000002.12 coordinate 37,378,670, forward strand.
GGCGGTTGTCCAAAGGAAGATCTAGAAAAAGAGTGCCGTACAAGCAAGAGCAACAAACGTCCATTACAGTAGGTAAGCGAGTTGGGTGACGTATGTACGATCCTAAGGCATGGTACCACATTGCCTTTCTTTTTTTCTTTTTATTTTTTTTGAGATGGAGTCTCGCTCTGTTGTCCAGGCTGGAGTGCAGTGGCATGATCTTGGCTCACTGCAACCTCTGCCTCCCAGGTTCAAGTGATTCTCCTGCCTCAGCCTCCCAAGTAGCTGGAATTACAGGCATGTGCCACCATCACTTGGCTAATTTTTATATTTTTAGTAGAGACGGGGTTTCACCATTTTGGCCAGGCTGGTCTTCAACTCCTGGCCTCAAGTGATCCACCCACTTTGGCTTCTGAAAGTGCTGGAATTACAGGTGTGAGCCACCGTGACCGGCCTGCTTTTCTTTTATTTATATATTGTGTGGACATTATAATGTGCTGTTAGAATGGAGATATACTTGGTCCTTCATCGCAGTTCATAAACTACAGGGTAAAGGTTTTGGAAGAAGAGCATAGGAGTTATAAGGTAGACTATGCTTCCTGCTTAAAAATATGAATTAGGCTGGGAATGGTGGCTTATGTCTATAATTCCAGCACTTTGGGAAGCTAAGGTGGGAGGATTGTTTAGGCCAGGAGTTGGAGACCAGCCTGGGCAACATAGCAAGATTCCATCTTTACAAAAATAAAAAAAAGTAGCTAGGCATGGTGACTCTTGCCTGTAGTCCCAGCTACTTGGGAGGCTGAGGTGGGAGGATCACTTGAGACCAGGAGTTCGAGGCTGCAGTGAGCTATAATCACACTATTGCACTCCAGCCTGGGCCACAGGACAAGACTTTGTCTCAAAAACAAAAATAAAAAAATCAGAATTAGAAGATTTCTAAATTCAGCTGTTTATGCTTCATTTCCTTGCAGTTGGATTCTGGTGTTGGAAATGGGAGTTTGTCAAAGGAAAACAAAGTTGCTTCACATAAGCTCAGGTTTTCTTCAGGATCATTGTATTTCTCCAGACCTATAAACAAGTGATAGAGCTTAGAAAGTTTCATCCAAGGAAGGAAGAGCACCGCTGGATATTTAAACTTGTTAACATTTCACCTTGATAGAAGGCAGGGGGATTACAGTCTGTAGGAAACCAAGAAAAATATAGGTTACTTAGGAATTGACCAGGACAAGTAAGCTTCTCTGCTACCAGAGGCTGGCAGTCATGGACAAGACCTTGTCCAGACATGGCCTGGGGCCAGGCCGACCTTGAAGCGGATGAAGATGAGGTTGGCAGAAGGAAGGAAGGGTTTGTTGACTCACTGTGAATGTTTCAGTCCAGCAGTTCTCTTCAAAGTCAGAGTTCAAGGCAGCACTTTGATCAAATATAAGCTTCTTACACCACTCCTCAGAGGCCGATAAATGTTATCAGGCCAATGTGTGAGGACCAGCCATGTCATTGGTCCTCATCAAGGTCATTATCAGACCACACCGTGGGGTGGAGTCTGAACTGAGATGGTTGTTCAGCGGCTGGGACCAAGAGAGTAGAATCCAAGCACTTTGAGGTTAAAACAGGCCTTATAAACCATCTACTCCAGGGAAGTCCAATCTTTTAGCTTCCCTGGGCCACAGTGGAAGATGAAGAGTTGTCTTGGGCCACACCTAAAAACACTAATGCTAGTGATAGCTGGTGAACTTAAAGGATTTGCAAAAATGTCCCATGATGTGTGTGTTTGTGTGTGTGTTTTTTTTAGATGTGGTCTTCCTCTGTTGCCTGTTGCTCAGGCAGGAGTGCAGTGGCACAATCTCAGCACACTGCAAACTGTGCTTCCCCAGTTCAAGTGATTCTCTTGCCTCAGCCTCCAGAGTAGCTGGGATTACAGGCGTGCACCACCACACCCAGCTAATTTATATATAAATATATTTGTGTGTGTGTGTGTGTGTGTGTGTGTGTGTAATATATGTATTTTATTTTTGCTTAAGTTTTATATTTCAGGAATTTATTTTTAAAGTTTTCCTAAGGACATCTTGCCTTGAATAGTGTTGGCACAGATTTTATTATACTAACATTTCTGCTACTAACAATCATAAATGTCAAACAAGACATATAAAATAGTTATTTGAAAGCATAGGATAGTGACAAGCAGGCAGATACTCGAGGGAATAAAATGATTGAAAAAAAGGAAATATACTAGTTGCAATCCATATTTACATGTTTTTCCCCCACTCTCAAAAATGGCTGGGAATTGAAAAAGGAATCCAGAAAAAGAGGAAGTCCACAGAAGGTAGAAACTCCAAAATCTGCATACATATTCTCTGCATACATCAAATCTTTCATGCGCGTCCATGTGAAGAGACCACCAAACCTTTGTGTGAGCAACAAGGCTGCTTATTTCACCTGGGTACAGATGGGCTGAGTCCGAAAAGAGAGTCAGCAAAGGGAGATGGGGTGGGGCTGTTTTATAAGATTTGGGTAGGTAAAGGAAAATTACAGTCAAAGGGGGGTTGTTCTCTGGCGGGCAGGAGTGGGGGGTCACAAGGTGCTCAGTAGGGGAGCTTTTGAGCCAGGATGAGCCAGAAGGAATTTCACAAGATAATGTCATCAGTTAAGGCAGGAACAGGCCATTTTCACTTCTTTTGTGGTGGAATGTCATCAGTTAAGGCAGGAACCGGCCATCTGGATGTGTAGGTGCAGGTCACAGGGGATATGATGGCTTAGCTTGGGATCAGAGGCCTGACATTCCTGTCTTATGTTAATAAGAAAAATAAAACGAAATAGTGGTAAAGTGTTGGGACGGTGAAAATTTTCGGGGGTGGTATGGAGAAATAATGGGAGATGTTTCTCAGGGCTGCTTCGAATGGGATTAGGGGTGGCCTGGGAACCTAGAGTGGGAGAGATTAAGCTGAAGGAAGATTTTGTGGTAAGGGGTGGTATTGTGGGATTGTTAGAAGAAACATTTGTCGTGTAGAATTATTGGTGATGGCCTGGATACGGTTTTGTATGAATTGAAAAACTAAATGGAATAACTTCTAAACAGGTATTAAAGGACTAGGAATCGGGAGGACCTAGGACATCTAATTAGAGAGTGCCTAAGGAGGTTCAGCATAGCCTTGCCAGCAAAGAGTATTTATTTTAAGAGTTAAGAGTGGCGGTTTGGGGATAGCACCAGGAAATATCAGCTGTGATGGCTTGGAGAAACCGGCAGTGTAAAAAAAGCAGGACATTTATGAGTAGTTGAGAACGGTGAATAGGAGTCTGACTAGACAGAAGATAGTAGGGATGACAAGTTTTTTGGGGCACAGTCTAAGTTGGTCTGGTGTCTGGAATGAGACTGGGGCTTAATAAAAAGGAGCATCTATACAGGAGCTTAAATGGGCTGTACCTTGTAGCATTCCGAGGACAGGCCTGAATTCTGAGAAGGGCAAGAGGTGAAAGTACTGTCTAATCTTTTTTAAGTTGGAGGCTGAGCTTGGTGAGGTGTGTCTTTAAAGACCATTAGTCTGTTCTACCTTTCCTGAAGATTGAGGACCATAAGGGATATAAAGGTTTCACTGAATACTAAGAGCCTGAGAAACTGCTTGGGTGATTTGACTAGTAAAGGCTGGTCTGTTATCAGACTGTATAGAGGTGGGAAGGCTAAACTGAGGAATTATGTCTGACAGAAGGGAAGAAATGACCGTGGTGGCCTTCTCAGACCCTGTAGGAAAGGCCTCTACCTATCCAGTGAAAGCGTCTACCTAGACTAAGGTATTTTTGTTTACTGACTCGGGGCATGTGAGTAAAGTCAATTTGCCAGTCCTGGGCGGGGGCAAATCCTTGAACTTGATGTGCAGGGAAGGTGGAACTGCCATCAATAAACTAAATGTGATCAGGGTGAGGAACAGGGAAGAAGCCAATATGGGGAAATGGGGTGAATGTCAGGTGGATCAGAGAGATACAGTCATGAGGGTCAGGTGTGGTATCCGGAATAATGTGGGAGGCCGGATTGAAGTCCGGGCCAGGAACAATAGTAATTGTGAGAGACTCAACAAAGAGTGAGTACAGCTGAAGGAGCCAGGAAGCAGAAAGTACATGCCTCAGGTGTGAGGAAGAAAATAGATTTTGGAAGTTATGAGAGCTGCAGAGAGTGAGTTGAGCATAGTTTGTGATTTTGAGGGCCTCTGAAACTATTAGGGCGGTGGCAGCCGCTGCACGGAGACATGATGGCCAGCCTAAAACAGTAAGGTCAAGTTGTTTGGACAAAAAGGCTACAGGACGTGATCCTGGTCCTGGTGTAAGAATTCTGACTGCACAGCCCTGCACTTCAGCTGTGGGTAATGAAAAGGGTTGGGATGAGTCAGGGAGACCTAGGGTGGGGGCAGTCTTTAAAGCTGTCTTCAAGGAATGGAAAGAGGAGTGGGGAAAGGATTTAGGATCTATGGGGTCAGTAGGTTTCCTTTTGTGAGTTTATATAATGGTTTTGTTAGGATGGCAAAACCAGGTATCTAAAGTTAAAAGTATCAACCATGCCTAGGAAGGAAAGGAGTTGTTGTTTTGTAGAAGGTGCTGGGGTTTGAGAGATCAGTTGGACACAATCAGCATGGAGAGCACGTGTGTTTTTATGAGAATTATGCCGAGATAGGTAACAGATGAGGATGAAATTTGGACTTGACTGAAGTAATGGGGGCTGTCTGTGAAGCCTTGCGGCAGTACAGCCCAGGTAATTTGCTGAGCCTGATGGGAGTCAGGGTCAGTCCAGGTGAAAGCGAAGAGAGGCTGGGATGAAGGGTGTAAAGGAATAGTAAAGAAAGCATGTTTGAGATCCAGAACAGAATAATGGATTGTGGAGGGAGGTATTGAGGATAGGAGAGTATATGGGTTTGGCACCACGGGGTGGGTAGGCAAAACAATTTGGTTGATAAGGCGCAGATCCTGAACTAACCTGTAAGCCTTGTCTGGTTTTAGGACAGGTGAAATGGGGGAATTGTAAGGGGAGTTTTTAGGTTTTAAAAGGCCATGCTGTAGCAGGCGAGTGATAACAGGCTTTAATCCTTTTAAAGCGTGCTGTGGGATGGGATATTGGTGTTGAGCGGGGTAAGCATGAATAGGTTTTAATGAGATGGTAAGGGGTGCATGATCGGTCGCCAAGGAGGGAGTAGAGGTATCTTATACTAGTGGGCTAAGGTGGGGAGATACAAGGGGAGGACGTGAAGGAGGCTTTGAACTGGGGGGAAAAAAGCGGCATGTAGCCCAGGAATAGTCAGGGAAGCAGATAATTTAAAGTGTCTCGGCCTAATAAGGGAACTGGGCAGGTGAGGATAACTAAAAGGAGTGCTTAAAAGAGTATTGTCTAAGTTGGCACCAGAGTTGGGGAGTTTTAAGAGGTTTAGAAGCCTGGCCATCAATACCAACAATAGTTATGGAGGCAAGGGAAACAGGCCCTTGAAAAGAAGGTAATGTGGAGTGGGTAGCCTCCATATTGATTAAGAAGGGGACAGACTTACCTTCCACTGTGAGTTACCCAGAGAGTCTGTGATGGTCCTGTAGGCTTTCGAGGCAATCGGGCAGTCTCAGTCTTCAGCTGCTAAGCCGAGAAGATCTGGGAAGGAGTCAGAGAGCCTTGGGCCAGAGTTCCAGGGCCTCTGGGAGTGGCTGCTAGGTGAGTTGAACAGTCCGATTTTCAGTGGCACAGATGGGACACAGCTTGGGAGGAATCCTGGGCTGTGGGCATTCCTTGACCCAGTGGCCAGATTTCTTGCACTTGTAGCAAGCTCTTGTGGGAGGAGGTTCTGGAGGAACGCCTTGCAGCTGCCGTCAGGCGTTTGGAAGTTCTTGTGTGCTGGAGATGTGGCTGGGGTTTGGCTCACAGTGGAGGCAAGGAATTGCAACACAGAAATATGTTGCTACTTGGCTGCTGCTACTCTATTATTGTTCACCTTGAAGGTGAGGTTAATTAAGTCCTGTTGTGGGGTTTGAGGGCTGGAATTTAATTTTTGGAGATTTATTTAATGTCGGGAGCAGATTGGGTAAAAAATAAAATGTATATTGAGAATAAGACGGCCTTTTGACCTTTCAGGGTCTAGGGCTGTAAAGCGTCTCAGGGCTGCTGCCAAATGAGCCGTGAGCTGGGCTGGGTTTTTATATTTGATGAAAGAGCCTAAACGCTAACTGATTTGGGAGAGGTCGGATAAAGAAAAAGGAGCATCAACCTTGACTATGCCTTTAGCTCCAGCCACCTTTTTAAGAGGAAATTGCTGGGCAGGTGGGAGACGGCTAGTTGCGGAATGAAACTGTAAGCTGGACTGGGTGTGAGGAGGGGAGGTGATAAAAGGATTATAGGGTGGAGGAGCCGAGGCTGAGGAAGAATTGGGACCTAGCTCGGCCTGGCGAGGAGGGGAGAGGTCAGATGGGTCTGTAGAAAAGGAAGATTAGAAAGACCCAGCAATGCTTGGGGTTGGGACTGAGGGGACAGGCGGAAGGGAAAGAAGGAAGATTTGGGATGAGTTGCATTGGGAACAGAGGGGAGGGACTGATATGTAAAAGAATGCCTGGACGTTAGGCACCTCAGACCATTTGCCCATTTTACGACAAGAATTATCTAGATCTTGTAGGATGGAAAAATTGAAAGTGCCGTTTTCTGGCTATTTAGAGCCATTGTCAAGTTTGTATTGGGGCTAAGCGGTGTTGCAGAAGAAAATAAGATGCTTAGATTTTAGGTCAGGCGAGAGTTGAAGAGGTTTTAAGTTCTTAAGAACACAGGCTAAGGGAGAAGAAGGAGGAATGGAGGGTGGAAGCTTGCCTATAGTGAAGGAGGCAAGGTTAAGAAAAAGGTAGAGACACGGAGAAGCGGGTGGGGAGCAGCCCTGGGCTGCAATGTGGGTGAGCAACAAGGCTGTTGATTTCACCTGGGTGCAGGCGGGCTGAGTCCGAAAAGAGTCAGCCATTTTTGTATTTTTAGTAGAGATAGGATTTCGCCATATTGGCCAGGCTGGTCTCAAAATCCTGACCTCAGGTGATCCACCCACCTCAGCCTTCCAAAGTACTGGGATTACAGATGTGAGCCACTGCAGCCAGCCCATTATGTTTTAAGAAAGTTTATGGTTTTGTATTGGGCCACATTCAAAGCCATCCTGGGTCGCATGCCACCGGTGGGCTGCGGGTTGGACAAGCTTGATTTACTCTATGGTTTTCACCCTCAGCTTTAGATTCTCCTTGGGGCTGCACTGCACGGACGGTCCCTGTCCACGTTTTTGCCTCTTTCCCAGTGGTAGAATGTACTCCAACAGTTTTCAACGTTTTTGTATTTTAAGTAGTAAAGTCCTTTCTTTGAAGGATATCTCACACGAAAACCCCAAAGATAAAAGCAGTGCAGATCTGGTTGAAGGTAGGAGAGTGGCCTAGAACTTTATTGGTGAAACCTTATCCAAACCCCCCAGCACACTCACCCTGACGCACTGCAGCCGGGACTCTTCAGCACCTCCCTGTAAGCTGGTGCTCTGCAGACCTTAGCTTGGAGCTCCGATCTAATCTCCAGTCTCTTTTTACTCAGTTCTCAGAGGCAATGACTTGGTGGATCAGTCAATCCTTGGGTTCTAGGTTACCACTTTCACCTGGTTCTCCTACCTTTCTAGTCTCTCCTTCTGTCTCCCTTGCTGTGTCTTTTTTTGTCTTTCTGACTCTTAAAAATCAGAATATTCTGGAGCTTAGTTCTTGGACCTCTTCTCCAGCTATACTCACTCCCCAGCTGATCACATCTAGCCCCATGGTTTGAAGATTATGTGTAGATAACTTCCAAATTAGTATCTCCAGTCTCAATCTCTCCCAAAACTCCAAACATCTCCACTGGGGTGTCCCAAAGACACTTCAAATGAGGAAATGCAAAACTGAACTCACAGTTCCGTGCATCCTCCCGAACCTTCTTCTTCCTACATTAGTACATGGACACTTTTTAAGCCAGGTACTGACTCTTCTTTCTCAGCTCTGGACATTATCAAGTTCTATAGGCTCTCCTTTGTACCCCAGGTCTGTCCCCTTTGAGCAGTGCTCCCCCTCTGGGTCAAGTCACCATCATCTCTTCCTGGGTCCCCCTGCTCCACCTTGCTTCTGTAGTCTCCTATCACAGGGACTAGAACGATCCTTTTAAATTGGAATCAGGGGCTGGGTGTGATGGCTCATGCCTGTAATCCCAGCACTTTGGGATGCATAGGTGGGCTGATCACCTGAGGTCAGGAGTTGGAGACCAGCCTGGCCAACATGGCAAAACCCGTCTCTACTAAAAATGCAAAAATTAGCTGGGCATGGTTGTTCCACCTGTAATTCCAGCTACTCAGGAGGCTGAGGCAGGAGAATTACTTGAACCCAGGAGGCAGAGGTTGCAGTGAGCTGAGATCACACCACTGCACTTCAGCCTGGGCAACACAGTGAAATTCTGTCTCAAAAAAAAAAAAATTGCAATCAGGTCATATTACAGCTCTGAAATGGCTTTTCCTTTCTCTCAGAATAGGATCCAGTGTCATTTCTATGGCTGACAAGGTTCCATATGACCAGGCTCCTCCATCTTTCTGGTCCCTCCTCCTATGGCTCTCTTCCTACATCACCTCTCCTGGCCACACTGGCCTCCTGGCTTTTCCCAAACAAGCTGAGCACAGTCCTGAATCACTGCCTTTCTATGTGCTTGCTCCTCTGCCTGGAATGCTTTCCCCTAGATATTTGCGTCGGATGTGCCCACATTTCATCTGAGGTTTTGCTCAACTAATACTTAATTGGAGGGGCCTTCCCTGATCCCCTTCATCCTGTCCCCTGGACTTGCCCATTTTCCATCCTGGAGAGGTCTTAGTGACAACTTACGCTGTAAAGCCACCACCATCAATCACTTCATCCCCTAACGCTACACATTGCTTCTTCTTTCCCCAGAGATGAGGGTTAGACTTATGTTTGGTAGGAGCTGCAGCAGCTGCAACACTGAGGTCTGACTCAACTGAATCCAGGGAAGCTCTGGCTTCCCCAGCAGCTGCCCTGGGGGCCAGTGACACAACCCAGAAATACATACAGTTAATGTCCTGCACAGTAGACAAATCAATGGAAAGCAGGAGATAGGAAGAGACCGAGGGTTAATTGCTTACCCTTCCTCCCTCCAGTGGATTGTTTTGACATGCAGTGATTTTATTTGACCTCTCTGGAAGAGATGGAGATGGAGAAACAAGCTGTATTTGTGGCAAAGCTGGCCATCTTGGTAACACATCCCTTGTATTTGCCATTCTTCCTTTCCTGTCTCACTTCCTACTTTCCTTCACTTTTACTCCCCCTAAATTGCACCTTCTCTCATAAAGTCTAAGCCATGAGCTTTTGTTTCAGGCTCTGATTTCTAGGGGACTGTTATCTGTTTATTTGTGTGTTATCTCTCTCTCCTCTCTAGAATGTGAGCCCAGAAGAAGAGTAGGGAGTTTGTTTCGTTTACTGCTGTATCCTCAATGACCGGCCTAGTACTTGGAACATGGTAGATGCATGTTAAATACTTGTTGAATGAACTTCATGATGAGGAAACTTGTCTTTCCTAATCCTGGACCTTAAGCCAGGATGATTCACTGAAGCCAGGATGGTTCACTTGTAAGTCACCTGGTAAGTCCCACTCATCTGTGGCAATCCTTTGGTACCTCTTGCTTTGAATCTGCTCTTGATCTTGCTTCTGCTTCCTCCTCTCTCACCTGTGATATGCAACAGCCTCCCAATTGGACTCCCTGCAGCATTCCACCCTGCTTCATTCTAGACTTCATGCAACAGTCAGAGAAATGTTTTAAACACATTAATCAGGTCTCATTGCTATGCTGCATAAAACCCTGTGATGGTTTTTCACTGCACTGAGAATTAATATGAACTCCTTAACTATGGCTTACTATGGCCTACAAGGCCCTCCCCACTCAGAAACTCAACAATCTTTTTTTTTTTTTTTTTTTTTGAGACAGAGTCTCACTCTGTTGCCCAGGCTGGAGTGCAGTGGTGCAATCTCGGCTCACTTCAACCTCCACCACCTGGGTTCAAGCAATTCTCCTGTCTCAGCCTCCTGAATAGCTGGGATTACAGGCGCCCAACATCATGCCGGGCTAATTTTTTTTTTTGTATTTTTTGTAGAGACAGGGTTTCACCATGTTGGGCAGGCTGGTCTCAAACTCCTGACCTCAGGTGATCCACCTGCTTCAGCCTCCCAGAGTGCTGGGATTCTAGGCGTGAGCCACCGTGCCTGGCCCAGAAACTCAACATTCTACCACTCTTTCCCTCCCTCTCTGGCCTAAAATGCCATTGCCCTCTTTTGTTCCTTGAACTTACTAAGCAGTCCCCTGCCATAGGGAGGCTTCTGGACATCCTTATCCTCCACATGGGATTCTCCTTTAGTCCCGATTTACATTGCTGTCTCTTTCTTGGCCTTCTCACAGAGGCTGTTCCTCACATCCTCTTATCCAGAATAGGTCCTTCCCTGTATATTTCTATCTCAGCACTCTACTCATTTCTTTCTTTTTTCTTATCACAACTTGTCATTACAATATTGTTTTACTATGGGTGGGGGGCAGCCTGTTTTCATGATCAAATTGTAGGTTTCATGAGGGCAAGGACTATGTCTATGTTTTTCATCATTGTATTCCCAGCAACTTGGAGATATTTGTGTGTGTCAGAGGTTTAATACATACTTGGTGATTAAACAAATATTCAAGAACTGATCCAGCTTCTATTTCTCTGGCTTCAGGACTTGCCTCAAATGTCCCTTTATCACAGGCCTTCTCCAACTACCCTATATAAAATGTAACAGTGTATCTCCTGGCTTTTACTCTTGATTGTGGTGAGAGATTTGGTATCCTTGGTCTGGGCCTTTTGTGTTCTCTAAGAACCTGGTTTGCCCTCTGCCTCTTGGCTCTACTGGCTGCCATGAGCATCTACACCTCCCAGCTCCAGCTCTCAGGGCCCCTGTCCTCATTCAAGGCCTGCCCTGCTTCATCCTGGAGGAGATGGGGCAAACTCAGATACAGAGAGCTTTAGCAACTTGTTCAAGTTTATACAATAATGAAGATTGGGCCAGAAGTCAGGTTTTGGGATTTGCACCCAGTCTCATGCCTTTTCACTCTATTATGCTAATCCTGTATCTCTGTTTCAAATCGAAGTGACTCATTTTGAGTTTTCAGATGAACACTCCAAGTATTATGGAGTACCTGGTTATTTGAAGTAAAAAAAAAAAACAAAAAACCAAGAATTGAAGCTTCTAGCTAGACAAACAAAGCTTGAAGCACCAGACAGCTATTGAAGACCAAATCTACCCACAGGGCTGGAATTAGGCACCGAGGGAACAGATGCAGGGAGAGATCCAAGCTCACAGCCAGGAGCCAGATGCTGGGTGTAAGCTGTCTGTGCCTGTCCTCCTTTCCCAAGGCCCGCCAAAGGGAGGCTCTGAGCTTCAGAGTGGGGATCTAGACTTCAGTTGCCAGTAGGTTCTGAAAGTGCTGCCCTCAGGGAAATGGTGACTTAGAAACAGAACTGCAACAAGTTTCAGTTGAACTCCAGGGAATTCCCTAGGTATGCCTCTTGCCTCCTCCTCATCTCTCTCCTTCAAAAGAAGGACATTTGAGGAAGTCCCAGGGAAGAGAGATGAGAAATATGGTTATGAAATAAAGAGAAATGAAGAACCACAGTATGGAGTACTTTTCTGCATTGGGTAGGATTTGTGGGTGAGACAGAGAATTGGGTGGAGGGCAGAAGGCCAGAAGGAGTAGGCAGAGGAAGGAGGGGGTGTTGAACCTCCTTCAGGCATCGAGCGAGAAACCTGACCTCGGAATAGTCACACTTGATCTCCTTTTGGCTTCTGTGTACCAGCAAAGCCTTTAGGTTTAGTCTGTTTCCTCTGTGGCAGAAAAGGAAGCCCAAGACAATTTGCATAGGCAGCTCTCAAGCAAAGCCTCCCTCAAAGAGTTTCTGACTCATCCCCATGACTTCCTCCCCCATCTGTCAACAGGGGAAACTCCAGGTGGGAGGTTACATTTCCTGCCTCCCTGTTATGGACTAGTTTCCTTCCTGGGAGGTGAGGCAGAAGTGGAGGGGACTTTCTCCCTCCTCATCATCCCATGCCTTCTCTCTTCTCCCGGTTCCTCTCTATCAAACTCTATGTTCCCATTTTGAGCTGAGAATAAGGAACAGCAGAGTTGATTAGAAACATTTTAAAATCAAGTGATTAAACTCTGATAATGGCAGAATTTCAAACATGAGTCAGTATGTAAATCCAATTGTAAAGATGAAGCTTTGAAGATATTTCTGTGTTCTCAGAACCTCAGAAGTTAATTCCTAGACATTGCTTCCTCCTAAGGGCAACTTCAGCACATGGTCCACAAGGATATAGGGCAGGATCCTCATAGAGGTAGTGGGCTACATGTCTCAAGTTGTAGGATGCTCTGGGTCCTCAAGTCTATCTATCCTCTTCCTCGAGTTCTGCACATCATCTTCTACATGCTGCTGGGCTCCTGAAAGCAGCACAACACCCTGACGGGGAGCTTGTTTGAGCATTCATTCTTTCTGTGTTTTGATAGTGTTAGGTAGGCCACCATCTGTGGGTTCTGTTTAGATCCACAGTTCTTCCTCTGGACATGGGATGTATCAAAGCAGGAAAGAGGCTGCCCATCTGAGCTTTTCATGATGTCGCGGCTGTGGCTCTGGCTGTTACCAGAGCTATACAGGAAACCCAGGGAGAGGGCTTGAAATGGTTGGGCATCAGGTATAAAGAAAAAAGCACTCAGAAGTATGGAATTTGTTTACATTGGTTCAGGGAACCAAAGAAGATTCGAGAATAGAATGTTCTGTCCTGTGTGCCCACTGAAATTAGAATTGTATGGGATTTTCCTCCAACACCCTGGTGGCTATTTTCCAGTGTCTTTTGCTGATTCCTCTTCATCTTCAGACTTGTCAAGTTTGAAAGGCTCTAAGACTCAGTTCTTGTTCCTCTTCATTTCTCCATCTCAGTCCATTGTTGACCTCATCCAGCTTCAAGTCTTTAAATACCATGTATATGTTGGCAACTCCTGGAGCTCTCAAATGTTTTCTAGACTTGTATGTACAACGGCCTACTGAACAGTTCTACTTGAAGGTCAGATTCAGCAAGTTCCCACTGAACTCCTGGTCTCCTCCCCACAAATCTGCTTCAGACATTGTTGGATGGCAGTAGCTCCAACCTTCCTGTAGCCCAAAACATAGGAGTCATTCTTTTTATTGAGACATAATCTCGCTCTGTTGCTCAGGCTGGAGTGCAGTGGTGCAATCACGGCTCACTGCAACCTCCGCTCCCTGGATTCAAGCAATTCTCCTGTCTCAGCCTCCCTAGTAGTTGGGATTACAGGGGTGTGCCACCAAGCCCGGCTAATTTTTGTATGCTTCGTAGAGACAGGGTTTTGCCATGTTGGCGAGGCTGGTATCGAACTTCTGACCTCAAGTGATCCACCCACCTCGGCCTCCCAAAGTCCTGGGATTATAGGTGTGAGCCACCATGCCTGGCCTTGGAGTCATTCTTGATTCTTCTATTTCACATCCCACACCCAGTCAGAAGGTAGCCTGGCCAGGTCTATCTTCCAAATACATCCAGAATCCAATCACCTTCTACCACCCCCATTGCTGCTGCACTGGGTCCAAGCCACCATTATCTCTTACCTTGATAACTTTAACAGCCTCTTATCAAGGCTTCCTGGTTCTACCCTTGCCCCCTTCAGTCTATTCTTCATGCAGCAGGAAGAGCGGTTCTTTAAGGAATTAGGTCCCGTCATGTCACTCCTCTACTCAAAGCCCTGCAATAATTCCTTATCTCATTCAGAATAAATGCCCTTACAGTGGTCTGATTGGTCCTCTGTGATCTGTCCTTGAGCACCATTCTGACTTCATCTTTGACTAGTCTCCTCCATTGCTCACTCTTCCTTAGCCACAGTGGCCTACTTGCTGTTTCTTGAACATGTTAGTCTTAATCCTACCTCAGGACCTTTGCACAGGCTGTTCTCTCTGCCTGGAATATTTTCTCCCCACATACCTGCATGGCTATTTTTTAAAAAAATATTATTCCATTCCTTGCTGAACTGTAATTTTTCAACGATGTCTTGCTTGATCCCTCCCCTCAGTTTAAAGTTTTAATCTTGAGATTTTTTACTCTGTTCTACTTATTTCTGTATCACCCTCTAACATATGGTAAAATTTACCTATTTAATATGTTTGCTTTTTGTCTGGGCTTGTTGGCTTATACCTGTCATCTCAGCACTTTGGGAGGCTGAGGTAGGAGGATCACTTGAGCCCAGGAGTTCAAGATCGGCCTGGGCGACATAGTGAGATCTCGTCTCTACTAAAAAAAATAAATAAATAAAATAAAATAAAATAAAATAAAGCCAGGTGTGGTGGTGTGTACCTGTAGTCCCAGCTACTCAGGAGGCTGAGCTGAGAGGATTGCTTGAGCCCAGGAGTTCGAGGCTACAGCAAGCTATGATCACGCCACTGCACTCCAGCCTGGGCGTCAGAGTGAGACCCTGTTTCCCCAAAAATGTTTGTTTTATATTATTTGACTTTCCCATTGAAATATAAGTGCCACAAAGGCAGGGATTTTTGTTTTGCTTATTTGAACAGAGGCTGGCAATGGTGAGTTTGTTAAATGAGTGGATAAATAGCAATGGAATCAGGGATAGTCTCAAAAGAGAGGGCAAATGAAAGGTGGGCAAGTGTCCACAGAGCACCAGAGTTTAAGTTGTAGCTTGTTATGGTTGAGGACCAGAGAGATTTTAGGTTGTAACTGGAGATAACACTGTAGGCCAGAAAATTGTCAATCCACATGTCCTCTGGGGTCTGTTTCATGGTCATTGAGAATAAGCCAATCTGATTAAAAGAAAAATCAGGCATCCTATTAGTTAGACCCAGTGAACAGGCATGACCTCTAGATTATTCTCTTTTACCTTGCCTTGGTTATTGGGAGGCTACATCATATTTCATGATGCAAAGGGGAATGGATACTTGATTCTGTTTTTCTTCTTTTATGTGGACATAAAAAATGATAGGAAAAGTGAAAGGTTTTAGGGGGAAATGCTTTGTTCATAGAATTGCAGCTGGAGTGAGAAGAGAGCTGGAGTGAGCTAAACAGAGAACTTTTTTTTGTAGTGAATCTTATGTCCATGCATACTCAGTGGGTATGCTGACTTTTAAATTGTTTGTGATACTGGCATATACTACAGTCACTGCTATCACTACCTGTGCTAAGGCACAGCACCAGAGAAGTGACACCTTGGTACTGATAAAAAGCAAATCATTTGACTGTTTCAGGACCACAACCTGAGGGATCCTCAAACCCAGCTTCATCGTTCTGCCTCTGGTCTCATAACCTTTGACTTAGGTTCTGGTACCTCTGTTTCTTGCTAGCTTCTCCTTCAAGATGGTGCTTCTGACAATAGCACCTTATGGAGATGGTGACTGTCATGATCAGTAGCATCCCCTTTCACTCTTAAGAGTTCAAGTTAAGATGATAAAATGTGGGGGGCAACGTATATCTAGGGCTTAGCTTGGCTGGTGACCTTGGACTCCTCCAACTTGTGGGCTCTCTGCCTCCCACCCCTCTGCTCCCTCCCATTGGCTTTGGTGATGGCGAAAACTTGATTGTGTGGAAGTTCACTTTCCACAGAAATTCAAAGGTTCACCCAGTGCAGTTCAGAATATGTAATTTGGCCATTGAATAACAGGGTGGATTCAAAAGTTTCTGGTTACCAGCAATGCAGAAGTGGTGCTAAATGAGAACAGAAACCCCAGCCCACTCCCTGAGGTTTGAGTGACCAGGAACCACATTGGCTGGAAGACAATGCCATGGATCTTAGTATCTTGTGAAGAGACACTTGTGGTTTCTTGTTAGTTGTAACAGCAAGTCATGTTCCCCTTCTGAGACTTAGTGTCCCCATCTGCTAACTACAGGGACTCAGCCTAATGATTTGTTGGGTCCCTTTGTGCTCTAAGAGTCTGTGGAGCAGTACAGCCTATTATTTAAGATCCTTACTTTGGAGATAGAACCGAATTCAAATCCTGGCTCTGCGATGTAAAACCTGTTCAATTTTGATCAGGTTATAAGTTCAAGTTTCCCACGTGTAAAATGGAGATTATATTCATTCATAGGCTTTTTATGATGATTAAATGAAATAATATGTAAGAAAACACCTTGTGAAGTGGCTGGCACCTAATCACTCAGTGAAGGATACTGGCTACTATGACCCTGCATGTGATTCCCACGGGGTTGCTTTCAAAGCATATTATTTCATGTAAAGATTGCAACTGTGGGAGGTCAGTTGGGTGGCTATTGTCATCTTTATTTTTATCAATGAGAAAATTGAAGCTGAGAGAAGTCAAGTGACTTCCCTTTGGTTTCAGAGTTGGTGTGTGATAGAGCCAGGGCCTCTCCCGATACCGTGGGAGAAATAAGAGGTACATCAATCAGACATTCATTGAAGAGACAGAGACGGTTGTATGCACTTAGCCAGCAGGGAAGACCTTTTAATCAGTCATTTATGTATGAAAATTCTCTAGAGATAAAAAGAGAGGGTGTTGTAAGAGTCTGATGATTAGGCCAGGAAAAATAAAAAACTTTCTGCCTCTTAGATAATGACGCAGGCTTGTATTTTTGTTCTTTTGTTCCACTGTCCTGCAAAGTGGCCGTATCTGATTCTGCTAACGTCATTGCATAGATCAGACTCTGTTTCTCATCGGCCTCTCTGATCATAGTCCCTGAGATCTGAGTCTTTACTGTTCGCCTCTGATATTCACCACTATTCTATCAGTGTCTGTTTTGGGGCTCTGGTTCTGTCTTAAAATGTCATTGAAATTCTTTTTCTTTATTAAGAATTTATTTTTTATTCTTTTGCTTTATATTCCCTATACATTTCCATTGCAGAAGCATTGAAAAATACTGTCATGTGTAAAGAAGAAAACACTAATCTTACAGATGATCACTTTCTACATTTCATTCTAGATTTCTTTCTACGAGCATATACATACAACAATTTTACTTAATTATTATCCTATTTGTGTTGTTCTATAACCTGCTTTTAGCCCTTATTTTAATACGAGTATTTCTTCATGTTATTACAATGATTTAAAAACAAGCTTTTAATTGTTGCTTGTGTACTTCCATTGTATGGATGTACCAAAATTTATTTAACCCGTTTCCTACTGTCGAACACTAAAGATTCTTTCCAATATTTCACTTTGATAAATAATACTTGATGTAAACTTTCTGCCTGTAAAGTTTTGCTACGTGTCTGCTTGTTTCCTTACTGATAGTATTTTGCCTGCGAGGGCAGCAGGATGAGTACTTCGAGGATTAATCCCTGCCAAGGCAGCTGAGCAACAGGAAGGTCTCTGCAGGGCCCTCGCGCTGCCAGTAGGTGTCACCTTCGCCTCATGATTTCTCTTAATTTTTTTTTTTTCAGGATCCTTTTTGAAGGCCAAGAACAGAATAAATTTGTGAGTCAATAAGATTCAGCTTCAAATATTAAAAGTCTCTTACAAGGGATACAAATTGGCAGTGCCTGAGGGCTGTGGGCCTGGTGATTTTGCTTTTTGTGTTGGGTTGATTTCTTCCAGCCCAGCAGTGTTTGCTGCTGAGCTGATTCTGAGAAAAAGCAGTCAATCTGGACTGCTGGCAAAACTCCATTCTCTCAGGTTCTCTAGGAAACACACACACACACACACACACACACACACACACACACACACACACACGTGTAAAAAAAGCTACTGCGTACTGAGGGCTTTCTCAAAGCATCTGGTAATAAAAAATTCACAGCAATTTTAAAAGACAGTTATTATCAACACTCTTTTCTAGATAAGGGGATTAAGGCTCAGAGATGCTCAATGCTAAGGTGCCAATGGCTTAAGGCAGTATTCAGACCTGGGTACATTGATCAGTGAAGCCTGTGATTTTAACAATTTTCCTATGTTTGTTAAAAATGCTGATTCTGGCAGGGCACGGTAGCTAACACCTGTAATCCCAGAACTTTGGAAGGCCAAGGCGGGAGGATTGCTGAGCTCAGGAGTTCCAGACCAGCCTGGACAACATGGTAAACCCCATCTCTACCAAAAATGCAAAAAGTTAGCTGGGCATGATGGCGCATGCCTGTGGTCCCAGCTACTTGGGAGGCTGAGGTGAAAGGATCGCTTGAGCCCGGGAAACAGAGGTTGCAGTGAGCTGTGATTGCACCACTGCACTCCAGCCTGGGTGACAGAGTGAGATCCTCTCTCAATTAAAAAAAAAAAAAAAAAAAACCAATTCTGAGGCCCCACCCCAGGCCTGTTGGACCAGAATATCTCAGCATGAGACCCTAGAATTTCCATTTAAATGGTCATCTTGGGAGATTTGTATGTGCACTAAACAGAGGTACTCATTTCATTTGTTCTGCAACCAGCTGAACCAACCAGAAATCATGAGAGGCTGGGAGAGGCTGGGTAGACCTTGGGTGGTCTGAGTCTTTAAGTCACTTGTCCAGTTTCCATTTTAGGTCAGCAGCAAAGGTCTTGAAATAAATTATCTAGAACTGGCTTTGAGAGAGCATGCGATATGCTTTGAAATAAAGGGTTTTGTGGCCTCAGTAACCACTCTTTCTTTGGCTAAAAAAAGATTCTTTGAAACCCTTTTCACTCCTTAGCAGAGCAGCAGTGTGGCTTAGGGAATAGGCCTGTGCTTTAAAGTCAGACAGGCCTGAGTTTGAACTCTAGCTCTGCTACTTACCATCTCTCTCTGATCCTGGCCAGGTTGCCAAAGCTCTAAGTCTCAGTAACTTCCTCTGAAAAATGGGAATAAATAGAACCACTTCATAGGGTTGAGGTGAATATAAATAAGATACTAACATTGAAAATGTAATATCCAGCTCCTCTCTCATGATAAGTGTTCAGGAAATGACAAAAACAATAGTTATTTAAAAAAATTAAGTAATAGAAAAAATGCTATTTTAAACCTAGGTAACTGTCATTTTTCTAGTTACCTAAAAACAGCTTTAGTGAGGTCTATTATACATGCATACCATAAAAATCACCCATTGTAAGTGTACGGTTTGATAATTTCTAGTATATTTATTGACTTGTGCAACATCATCACAATCCGGTTTTGGAATATTTCCTTCACACCAGAGGCTTCCTCTTGCCTGTTTGCGGTCAATTATTATTTACTCTTAGCCTCAGGCAGCCACTGATCTGCTTTCTGTTTCTGTAGATGTTCCATTTCTGGACAGTTCCTATAAATGGGATCATAAAGCCAGGCGCGGTGGGTCACGCCTGTAATCCCAGCACTTTGGGAGGCTGAGGCGGGCGGATCACGAGGTCAGGAGATCGAGATCATCTTGGCTAACAAGGTGAAATCCTGTCTCTACTAAAAATACAAAAAATTAGCCGGGCGTGGTGGCGGGCACCTGTGGTCCCAGCTACTCGGGAGGCTGAGGCAGGAGAATGGCATGAACTCGGGAGGCGGAGCTTGCAGTGAGCGGAGATCGTGCCACTGCACTCCAGCCTGGGGACGGAGCGAGACTCCGTCTCAAAAAAAAAAAAAAAAAAAAAAAAAAAAAAAAAAAAAAAAAAAAAAGGTATCATAAAATATGTAATCTTTAATGTCTGGCTTCTTTCCTTAGCATAATATTTTTGAGGTTCATCCATGTTGTAGCATGCATCAGTAGTTTTTATCTTTTTTGCTAAATAATATTCCATTGTGTGGATACATTGGGAGGTATCCGCACTACATGTTGTTTATTCTTTTACCCGTCGGTGGCCATTCGGATTGTTTCTACTTTTTGCCTATTACAAATAATGCTATTATGAACATTCAAGTACAAGCTCTTTTTTGTTTGTTTTTTTGTTTTTGTTTTTGTTTTTTGAGATGAAGTCTCGCTCTGTCACCAGGCTGGAGTGCAGTGGCGCGATCTTGGCTCACTGCAACCTCCGCCTCCCAGGTTCAAGCAATTCTCCTGCCTCAGCCTTCTGACTAGCTGGGACTACAGGTGCGCACCAACACGCCCAGCTAATTTTTGTGTTTTTAGTAGAGACGGGGTTTCACCATGTTGGCCAGGATGGTCTCGATCTCTTGACCTCATGATCCGCCCACCTCGGCCTCCCAAAGTGCTGGGATTACAGGTGTGAGTCACCGCGCCCGGCCTCAAGTACAAGTTTTTATGTGATTTTATTGTTTCAGTTCTCTTAGGTATATATGTAGGAATAGCATTGCTGGGTAATATAATAACTCTATATAATTTTTGAGAAATGACCAAACTATTTTCCAAAGTAGCTGTACTATTTTACATTCCTATCAGAAAGGTATCAGAATTCCAATTTCTCCATATTCTTACAAACACTTGTTACTGTCTGTCTTTTTGATGATAGCCTCCTGATAGGCGAGAAATAGAATCTCATTGTGGATTTGATTGGCATTTTACTAATGATTAATGATGTTGAGCATCTTCATATACTTATTGACCATTTATATATAACTTCTTTGAAAAAATGTCCATTCAGCTTTTTGGCCTACTTTTTCATTGCATTATGTGGCTTCTTATTATTGAGTTAACAAGAGATCCTTACATATTCTGAGTACAAGACCTATAACTGATACATGACTTGCAAGCATTTTCCCCCATTTCATGAGTTGTCTTTTCACCTTCTTGATGGTATTTTTTGAAGCAGAAAAGTTCTTAATTTTGATGAAGTTCAATTTATCTATTTTTTCTTTTGTTGCTTGTGAATTTTAGTGTCATATCTAAGAATCTATTGCCAACCCAAGGTCATGAGGGTTATTTCCATATTTTCTTCTTAGAGTTTTATGGTTTTTAGCTCTTACTAAAACATAACTGGATTAAGTGGTCTTTAATCCATTTGGAATTAATTTGTATATGTGGTATGAAGTTAGAGGGTCCAGATTCATTCTTTTACATGAGGATATCAGTTGGTCCAGTACCATTTGTTGAAAAGACTGTTTTTTCTCTGTTGAATTGTTTGGGAACCCTTGTTGAAAATAAACTGACCATGATGTAAGGATTTGTTTTCGGACTTTTAATTCTGATCCATTGCCTATATGTCTCCCTATGCTAGACTACACTCTCTTCGTTATTATAGCTTTCTAATAAAATTTCAAATTAGGAAGTATAAGTTATCTAAGTTTTTTGTTTTTTCAAGATTTCTTTGGCTGTTTTGGATCCCTTAGATTTCCATATAAAGTTTAGGATTAGCTTGTCAATTTCTGTAAAAAGGCCTGGTGAGATATTGATTGGGGGTATGTTGAGTCTGTACATCAATTTATGGACTGTGTCCATCTTTACAATATTAAATCTTCCAATCCATGAATGTGGGATATCTTTCTATTTGTTAAGCCTTCTTAATTTCTTTCAGCAATGTGTGGTAGTTTTCAATGTTGTTAAATTTATTCCTAAGCATTTTATTTTTTTGATGCTATTTCACATAAAATTGTTTTTAAAATTTTATTTTTAGATTGTTCGTTGTTTATGTATGCAATTGACTTTTGTAAATTGATCTTGTATCCTGCAGCATTGCCGAATTCGTTTACTAGTTTGAATAGTTTTTTAAGTGAATTCCTTAGGATTTTCTACAAATGAGATACAGATAGTTTTACTTATTCCTTTCCAATATGGATGTTTTGTATTCTTTTTCTTGTCTAATTGGCTGGACTAGAACTTCCAGTACAATGCTGAATAAAAGTCTTGAGAGCAGACACCATTCATTGTCTTTTTCTCAATATCGGGGGTAAATATTCAGTCTTTTGCTTTTAAGTATCATATTAGCTATAGATTTTCCCCAGATACCGTTTATCAGGTTGAGAAAGTTCCTATCTATTCCTAGCTTATTGAGTATATATTTAAATAATGAAAGGATATAGTATTTTATTAAATGCTTTTATTCATTTATTGAAATTATTTTGTATCTTATATCCTTTTTAATTAATATTTTTAATTTTGTTGAAAGCAAAAACTTGGAAGCCACATATCTTGAAAAACGATGCTTATTCAGTCATTAGATAATTCACTTTCTAAATTTCTGTGAAGTAATAAAAAATCATTACCAAGGCTTATGAAATGACTATGAATTATACTTACTATTCTTTCACCATGTTTAATCGAAAATACTCAGAAGTTGTGAAAATAAATATTGCTAATATCAATGCAGCTTTGCCAATATAACATTTTCATAAAATGCTCTAAATTTTTTTTTGTCAAAATCTTTGCACTGCACACAGAATTCATTCAACCTTTAGAAAATGCCTACCATATAACCTAAGTGACAAAGCCAGCCAGCCGTGTCAGACTCATCTAACAAACTTTTTTCTTTCAGAAAAAAGTCTGTTTTCACTTTTATATTAACGACAACAACAGCATGTTAACATATAGCCCCATGGCAATGGTCACTTCTGAGGGAACAATCACTAAATATGAGCTGATTGCACTTCCTCACATACAACAGTTTTTAAAAATATGAGCTTAGTATCCTGGATTCAATACTATTTACAATTTAATGGCAACAGGTAATGCCATGTGAATATCAGGATTCATTTTTTTGGCAACTAAAGCATTTATGAATAAGATGGTATTATAAATTAATGTTTAAAACGAGAATATGAGTAAAAGGTTGCTGTCTCTTTTCTTTGCAGTAGCTCCATCTGGAGAGATGTTTCTGCACAATTTGAAACCTAAACTCAAATAAGCTCAGAATAAAAAGTTTGAAAATCTATTTCAAGTTGTATTCCTAAACAAGAATACATTGCATGCCATAATCATGTTCTTGCATGCCATAATCTTACCAGTAATGCGATTTTCTTTTCTGTAATAGTAGACAAATTATTGGATATGATTGGTAATATCTGTCAATCTGTTAGCTATATCCCTTATCTACCACAACTTTTTGCCTCTTGCAGTATGAAAAATGCCTCCTGCTATTTCAAGCACCCTATGAAATAAAGTAGTTTCTGCTATAATGTGGCATATATATGTCTGAAAACCTTTCATACTATAAAGTTACACATTAAAATGATAGGTTTATGGGACAAATAGGTTTGGGGCATAGCCCTCAAAACCTAGGCAACTTTCTAAGCAGTGCATTCACAGAAACGATAACTGGCTCCTGGGGAAATAATTTTGTCTGTCCAAGCGGACTGCCACAGGAGATATAAAAATGCATTTTAAAAAGGATGAAAATATTGGCAACCCTTTAATTAAAGCAGGGCTGGCTCCAGATATAAGCAGAGCTTGGGTCAGTGGGGTTGAGGTTGCAGTAATGGCAGGGCTTGGGTGGCAGTGAAATCTTCCACAAACCGAGAATCACAGAAGCCTGGGGTTGTACTTCTCAGCAGAGGTGACCCTCGAAAAAGGCACTTGTTTGAAAATGTCTTAAAATATAGTACTGCCAATACCACAGTGGAACTGAGGGCTTTTTCTTTTTTACTGAAGGTTATAATTTTACTCCCACTATTGTAACTTCCCTTGCTTAGAAGAAAACCCATACACAAAGCTAATACATGTTAAGAAAAATTACCTGAAACTTAGAAATAAGATAAAAGGATGGTAACACATTCTTTTGATATCAGATTGGAGCACTGTTTAACTGGCCAAGGATTATCTAGTTATTTAGACTAGTGCACCTTTATTTCACTTGCTATTCACTCTTGAACAAAAGCCCAGATTTTGTGAAGTTACATGTTAGTTTGTAGATTTTTATCTATAAGGAAGAAAACTTTAAAAATTATGGTTTTATTGCCCTATAGGTCACTAACTGGTTTTGTATCTAATCCGGCAATCTTTCTTTTTATTTTAATTTTTTTATTTTTGAGACAGTGTCTCAATCTGTTGCCCAGGCAGGAGTGCAGTGGCACGATCTTGGCTCACTGCAACCTGTGCCTCCTGGGTTCAAGTGATTCTCTTGTCTCAGCCTCCCAAGTTGCTGGAATTACAGGAACATGTCACCACGCCTGGCTAATTTTTGTGTTTTTAGTAGAGACAGGGTTTCACTATGTTGGCCAGGCTGGTCTCGAACTCGTGACCTCAGGTGATACGCCTGCCTCGGCCTCCCAAAGTGTTAATCCACCAATCTTATTGTAACATTCTTTTTTCAAAATGATTACAAATACCGTTTCTCAAATACTTTTTGAACCAACTTCCCCATTTTACAAGTTGCCTCTTCAGCACATGTTCATTCTATATTTTTATGAGTCATGTTTTTTAATTTTTAAAAAATTATACTTTGATGCATTGAAGTCAGAGAATATGTGCTGAAACTTTGCAATTTGTCAAGGCTTGCTTTATATAGCACATAGTCAGTTCTCAAATGTTTAAAAAGAATGAGTTTGATTGTTGCTGGCATAGTTTTTTATATTATTTATGTCAAGCTTGCTTATTGTGTATTTTAAATTTTCTATGACCCTACTGATTTTAAATGTGTATTTCATTTATTAATTACTGATAGAAGTGTGTTAAAATTTCCCACTATACTGTGAATTGATCTCCTCTTCTTAGTTATATCAACTTTTACTTTGTACATTTTCATCCTTTTATTCTCAATAACTTTTTGCTCTGATACTTTAGGTATGCTTCCAGTAAAGGGCATATAAGGAGATTTTGTTTTTGCAGCCAATTTGATGATCTTTGTCCTTTAACTGGGGTGTAGCGACCATTTTTATTAATTGTGGTAACTTCTGTGTTTGGGTTTATTTCCACCATCTTATTTTGTGACTTCTATTTGTCTGCTATTCATTCCTCCTTGCCCCTTTCTTGTTTTAGATTGACTATTCTCATTTCTTCACTCTGCCTTCCCATGTTAGTTAGGAACTTACATACTCTGTTTCTAATATTTTTACTAATTACCAAAAGAACTTTCAATATGCACATTTTTACTTATACATTATTTTTAGTCTGATATTTTAGTTCTCCCTCATTTTTTAACACAGTAAATTAGATGGTAGTTTTAGCTTTTGATTAAGTCCATTTATTTAGGTTTTTCTCACATGTATAACAATTTCTTTGCACAACATTTTTCCTTGGATCTCAGACCCTACTTCTGGAATCTTTTTTTCCTAAAGGAAGTACATCCTTTAGAAATTCCTTTAGATTGGTTGGTAGAAAACTCATTTGTCTTAAATATTTTTATATGCTTTTGCTGGATATAAATATCTAGGTTGACAGTTGTTTTCTTCAGCCCTTTGAAAATATGTTCTGCTGTCTTCCAGCTTCCATTGTTACACATTCCACTGAGAATCTTGTCTATTTTTCATTCTTTTGTTAGTAATGTATTTCTTTTTAAGTTCATCTTTTTCTTTGACTTTCTGTAATTTTACTACAGCATGCCTAGGTATAAATTTCCTTGTCTTTCATAAATTCAAATACTAATAAATGTATTTTTTATGAATTTATCTTGTTTGCTAATCATTGGCATCTTTGATTCTAAAGATTTGTGTTTTCTCATAATTTTGAAAAATTTCCAGCTAATATTCTTTGTAATTTTGTATTTTTCTCCATTTTCCTTTGTCTTCTTTCCTAGCTTTTTTGTTTGTTTGTTTGTTTTTTATGAAGTATTGCACTGTCAGCCAGGCTGGAGTGCAGTGGTTTGATCTCAGCTAAGTGCAACTTCTGCCTTCCAGGTTCAAGCAATTCTCCTGCCTCAGCCTCCCGAGCAGCTGGGACCAAAGGTGTATGACACCATGCCTGGCTAATTTTTTTGTATTTTTAATGGAGATGGGGTTTCACCATGTTGACCAGGCTGGTCTAGAACTCTTGACCTCAGGTGGTCTGCCCACCTCAGCCTCCTAAAGTGCTGGGGTTACGGGTGTGAGCCACACGCCTGGGCCTTTCCTGGATTTTTGATTAGACACATATTGCATACTTGCTAACCAAGTGTGGTCTGTGAACTAGCAATACTGGCTTGCTCAGGAAGTCTGTTTAAAGTGCAGAATCTCAGATCCCATTCCAGACTACTAAATGAGAATCTGCATTTTAAGAAGCTCTCCAGGAGATTAATGTACACATTAAAATTTGACAAGCACTGCATTACACTTCTTTATGCTGTCCTTCATATCTTTTAACCTTTTATATTGTACATCTTTTGGTCTTTCTGTGATTTATTATGAATAAATTATTCAGATTTTATGGTACATGACTCTTTATGTTTAATCTGATGTGTTTATTTTTAATCATGAGTTTCTAATTTGGATTACTATATTTTTAATTTTAAAATATTATATTAACAAACTTTTAAGCCTGCTTGAACTCTTTTTTACATTGTCATAATTTCAAACTTGTTAATTCCATTAAACATTTAACGTAATTTATGTTTTATATCTGATAATTTCAATACCTATATTAATGACGAATATTATTCAATTTTTTTTGAGACAGGGTTTCACTTTGTTACCCAGGCCGGAGTGCAATGGCACAATCTTGGCTCACTGCAGCCTTGACCTCCTGGGCTCAAATGATCCTCCTGCCTCAGCCTCCCAAGTAGCTGGGACCACAGGTATGTGCCACCATGCCCAGCTAAATTTTGTGTTTTTTGTAGAGATGGGGTTTCATCATGTTGCTCAGGCTGGTCTTGAACTTCTGAGAGCTCAAGCAATCCACTCACTTGGACCTGGAATTACAGGGGTGAGCCACCTTGACTAGCCCAATTTTTTAATATGGTTTGTTTTTCTGTCAACTCTCAGTCATATTGGCTTGTTTTTTGGTTTCATTTTTGTGTTTATTTTTGTGATTTTAAAGTATGAGCTCATGTCCCTGAGAACTTTTATCTGTGAAAATTCTCTCAGGACTGGATTATATTGCATTCCTTCAGAGATAACTTATATTTGGCTCTTTGATGTGACTAGTGGCACTACCAATCTGGGACTACTTTAAAATAAATGTTCAACTTGAAGGTTTTTTTGGCCATATGCTTACTATAAATCCAGTCCCAGACCCAATTGGAGATCAGTTTACGGATATTAATTCTCCGAAAATATGCTTTCTCCCTCTTGATCCATAACAAGGAGTCAAGTTTCTTTATGGTTTATCTTCATGGGGTTATTGCTTTTTCTTTCTCTGAGGGTATTATCTTTTGGGGGTCCAGGCTCTATCAGGAGTCTTTCATCTGGCATCTCACCTTCCTCAGGATATAAGCTTTGTTACTTGCAGCTCATTGAAACCCAAGGTCTAGGCAACCAGAGGTCACTGTGTCTCTGGGGGTAGCTGTTGGCTTCAATGTTTAGTTATCTTGCTGGATTTTTATTTCTTAAATAACATTTGACCATAAAGGATTTCTGTTACTCTCTTGCCAGCTCCGCTGCTAGGCATTTACAGAAACACTTTGTATATTATTTTCAGCGTTATTAAGTGTCCTTTAGTAGGAGAGGTTTTCATAATGCTTATTCAGCTCTGTTGCCAGAAAGAGGAGTTTTGGAGGGTTTCTTTGGATTTTTAATATGTAAGGGAAAGTGAATTTGATTTTAGACTTAAATCCCTTTGGAATTTTCCCTTTTTAAGACTTAAATTTGTAAAGAGATTTAATTTGAGTGTTTTAATTTCTTTCTAGGAACTTCATAGTGAGTGGGCTTAAATTTATACATAGGGCATCAGATACTGTCATTAGAGAGTGTTTTTATGATGTTCTAAATAAATAAATTTAGAACTCTGGCAGAGGAGGGACTATGATTTATTGGGTCCTCCCAAACTCCAATAATAAACAACTGAGGCTATGAAGGAAAAAAAGAGTAAGAATGAGACAACTCATTGCTTAGTGCTTTCCCCCTCTATCTGATTTGCTGAGTAGGAAAGAAGATGCAGTGGCGTAACGAGGATTGTTGAAAAGGCAAGTTGATGTTGTGTCTCTGATCAGGTGTAATGAAGAGGTGTTTATTCCTGACCGTTAGTATAGGAGTGGTGAGCCCATGGAAGTTTGACTGCCCTGGCCCGGAATCCTGTCTCTGGCAACTAATTCCTGTGTGATCCTGGATGAGTTACTTGATCATAATAACCATACTGTGGGGGCAGTTATTGTAATTACTGTACATAGATGAGGAAACATGGCCCTGGGAAGTTGGGTGAGATAATGTCTGCAAGGTACTTATCAAGGACTCAGTAAGTGGGAGCTGCAGTAAAGACTTAAAACTCTAGGATATAATATCTAATCATGAAAGTCCCTAATCAATGGTCTTACTGGCCTCAGGAAAAGGCCCATACCAAGTCCAGAAAGATGGGCAGAGAGATATTTTTATAGGGGTTGCATGGCATATTCTAAATCATATGAACCCTGTTTGTGTCTTATTTTTAGTAAATGACCCAACACTCTTTTTTTTTTTTTTTTTTCTTTCTGATGGAGTCTGGCTCTGTCGCCAGGCTGGAGTGCAGTGGTGAGATCCCAGCTCACTGCTACCTCTGCCTCCTGGGTTCAAGAGATTCTCCTGCCTCAGCCTTCTGAGTAGCTGGGACTACAGGCGCGCACCACCACACCCAGCTAATTTTTGTATTTTTAGTAGAGATGGGGTTTCACCATGTTGGCCAGGACGGTCTCTGTCTCTTGACTTCGTGATCCGCCCGACTCGGCCTCCCAAAGTGCTGGGATTACAGGCGTGAGCCACCGCGCCCGGCCAAAGTGACCCAACGCTCTTGACTCACTCCTCTTCTCTTAACCTGGTCTTACATCAGAGGCTTAATTATATGATGTTTCGTCTCAATGTATGGCTATTTTACTATTTCTATTTGTGAAGATCGATACTATTCTGAAATTTGAGGTTTTCTCTTCTGTATATCATTGTCTGCAACTATTTATTGTTGATCTGTTGGTGAGATCTTTGTTCTGTCCATTTTTAAAAAAATTTTATTATTACTATACTTTAAGTTTTAGGGTACATGTGCACAACGTGCAGGTTTGTTACATATGTATACATGTGCCATGTTCTGTCCATTTTTATACTTTGTTAATGTGCTAACATGAGCAGTGGTGGCAGAAAGAGTTTTGAATAAGTGAAAGAAGAGTCATAGGGCCTGAAATGAATTCCCTATAGCCCAGTTCTGTGATTCTTCTTGAATACCTCCAATCCTCCTTATTAACTGCTGAAGTAACTCAGGATTTTGCTCTTTACTTTTCAGATTCACTAGTATGTAAGCCAGTGGTCTCCAAAGTGGGCTTCTCAAGAGGTCTATGTAAAAGACAAAATAACTGTTATTTATACTTAGATTCAATTTTATCCTTTAAAATTCTAAGCTTAGTGCATTTTAATGGGCAGTATACAGGTATGCATTCTATAAATATACAGTGAGTACATGCACACAATTTTTTATGATGGGAGAGTAATTAAAACAATTTGGACATCACTGATATAGGCTATATTTGCAGATTTAGAAATTATCAGTTCTACAATAGATGTTGGCATGGATGTCATGGGAAGGGAATGCTTATACACTACTAGTAGGAATGTAAATCACTACAAGTTCTATGGAAAGCAGTATGAAGATTTCTCAAAAAACTAAAAGTAGATTTACCATTTAATCCAGCAAGACCACTACTGGGTATCTATGCCAAGGAAAAGAAGTCATTTTATCAAAAAGATAACAGCACAATTCAAAATTGCAAAGACATTGAACCAGCCTAAGTGCCCATCAACTGATAAATGGATAAAGAAAATATGGTATATATACACCATGGAATAATACTCACCCATAAAAAAGAATAAAGTAACATCTTTCACAGCAACTTGGATGGAGTCGAAGGCCATTGTTCTAAGTGACTTAACTCAGGAATGGAAAACCAAATACCATATATTCTCCCTTATAAGTTGGAGCTAAGCTATGGGTACACAAAGGTATACAGAGTGGTATAATGGACCTTGGGTGGAGGGTAGGAGGGGGTGGAGGATAGGAGGGGGTTGAGGCATACAAAATCTACATATTGGGTACAATGTACACTACTTGGATGACAGGCTTACTAAAATCTCAGATTTCACCACGTAAACAAAACCCATCTGTACTCCAAAAGCTATTGGAATAAGAAGTATGTATATTATAAAAAAAGATCAGTTCTAGTATATTTTTAATAAAGGCAGAAGCTAACTGTAGGTAATAAGGTTTTCCAAAGTTTATTTATCATTTTTAGGCAGTAATAGCTTTTAAGTGAACTTCTACTACTTAAATTTTTTAATTTTGTTTTTTGTAAAATTATGTCCAGAACATGTCTAAATTGTATGGTGGAAATATTGAACAAAACACGAGTAGAAATGAGACAAGACTAAATCTCTTCAGAAGCGTTAGTCAGCGTTGAGTTTCTAAGGTAGAATTATAGCATTTGGCTGGTTCAAACTTGCTTCCTCAAATAAAGTATCCCAATGTGGGATAAAGGGTGTTCCTAAGAGGTTCACATAGAATTCCCAAATATGTCATCTTCTAATTCAAAAATAGATTTTCATTTTTAAGTCTATCTTGGTTTTCAAAATACAAGGGAGAAATTGTCTCAGGTAGCTTTTAGGTGGGGAAGAGGCCACCGGGGAGACTGGAGATAACTCCCCGCAGAGAGAGAAGGTAATATAATAGGATTGGGAAGGAGAAGTTGGCCATGAAAGGAAGAAAAAGATGTGAGGTTCAACCTTTTGAAATCTCGAAGCGCGCTGCAAGTGAGCTGAGGTGAGTGAGAGAATTCAAGATGGCTGTTGTATTAGCTTCCTACGGCTGCTGTAACAAAGTACCACCCACTGGGTGGATTAAAATGACAGGAATTTATTCTCTCACAGTTCTGGAGGCTGGAGGTCCAAAATCACAGTGTGGGCAGGGCCACACACCCTCTGAACACGGAGGGAGGTATCCTTCCTTGCCTCTTGCAGCTTTGGTAGCCCCGGATGTTCTTGGCTTATAGCAGCATCACTCTAACCCTCTTTCTCCCAGCAGCTATCTGCCATTTGTGTCTATGTCCAAATTTCGTCTTCTTATAAGGAACCAGTCATATTGGTTTAGGGGCCCATCCTATTCCACTATGACCTATCTTAAACACATCTGCAGCAACCCTATTGCCAAATAAGGCCATATTCTGAGGCACTTGGCGTTAGAGCATCAGCAAATCCTTTTGGAGGGCGCAATTCAACCTATCCACAGCTCCTGAGTGGTCTGAGGTTTCTTAGGAAAGAGACGGAGGGAGCCAGCAGTGAGCCTGGATTTCAGGGTTGTTGGTGGGAGCCAAGAATGGTGTGGGGATTCCTATCCTTAGACATTCTAAGTCAGGTCAAGAACTTGTAGACCTGGAAAAATACCAGTGAGGCATTAGGGAAAAGACATTTTATACTAGCCACCATGCTAGTATTAAATTGAGTGTTTTTGTTTAACCTTGTAGAATGGGTGAGTATGGGAGGCTGTTCACTTGTGCCTCCCCAACCCCTGGCACTGCTACACTGGCTCTCCATGGCTGCTGCTGGTCTGTTTTGTGGGTGCTCCAGTTTGGTTGATGCCATTTCAGTTGTTAAATCTTGTGAATCCCACCCCTGGGAATAGCTATTTAAAGGAATCATAGCTTTAAGTAGTGACGAAGAGGAGTCAGCTAGAGACACATTTTTGAAAACCTTGGTGGTAAAAGGAATTGTTTTAGTAGCCTGATGGGAGGGCAAGGTTAAGGGAAGGCATTTATTTTATTTTATTTTTAATGTAGATTTGATGTTCATTGTCAAACAGGAAGGCTTCAGGCCCTGCTATGGGCAGGAGAGTTTGGGATTTGGCCCATTGGTGCTGGGTTAACATCAGAAGGGAGCTAAGTGTTCTTACTGGGAAATTATTTTATTTCAGGTCTGACCTTTCTAGAATTGTCCCCTAGGCTCTGAGTCAAGGTAGCTGGGATGAGCGCCCTAATTCATGGATGCTTTCTTAGTTTGGAATCCATCCTGGCCATCTGGCAGGCAAGGATATAGCTGTTTTCTCCTCATGGGGACTATGGTGCCTGGGCACACACACACACATGCCATTGCCATAGGCAAGTGACTTAGGAGAGGCCAAAGCCATCTTTGATTTTCTCCTTTTTTCTTCAATTGTTTAGTGGCCAACTGACCTAATTTCCAATGGGAATAAAGACCTATTGGTTTTAAAAACATTTTTTTACCAGTATAACTTCATTGAAGATTCTTGTGCTTGTGAGTGAATATGATTTATTTTAAAATTATGCCTATAAAAGAGTAATGAGTGGGACAAATGTATAAGTGCCAGACAGAGGTGTTAGAACTTTTAATAAAGCACTTGTATCTTATAGGCATCTTAAAAACCCAATGGAGGCTGGGAGCAGTGGTTCACACCTGTAATCCCAGCACTTCAGGAGGCCGAGGCGGGCGGATCGCTTGAGATCAGGAGTTCTAGACTACTCTGGCCAACATGGTGAAACTCCATCTCTACTAAAAATACAAAAATTAGCTGGGCCTGGTGGCAGGTGCCTGTAATCCCATCTACTTGGGAGGCTGAGGCAGGAGAATCACCTGAACCCAGAAGGCGGAGGTTGCAGTGAGCCGAGATCGCACCAGGGCACTCCAGCCTGGGCGACAGTGACACTCTGTATCAAAACAAAAACAAAAACAAAAACCCCACAATGGAATGACCTGGGTTAAACAACCTTATCATGAAAGGATATTATTGAACTTCTGTGAGATGGTAACCTTGTTCTGAGGTCTTGCCATCATCTATCCAGCCATTATAAAGAGTAGACTAGATATTCAAAGAGAAGTTTGTGAAGCAGGATAGTTTATTGGAGAGTCCGTTGTAGTCATAGGGAGAGTACCATGGCTCTTCTCTTCTCCTATAATCTCCTGTCCTGACCCCAAGCCACACGACTGTAGGAGAGCCACTCTAGAGGTGGGATGCCAATGAGAAAGTAGGGCTGATACCTTATTACCCAGTTGGATTTCCCTTATATAGCAAATTAGTGTTCCTCACTTGGCTCCTGTTTGAACTGGAGGGTAATGAATTGAAGAGACTGGAAGTGAAGCGAGATGAGCTATAGTAGGGCAGCGTGGATTCCTACTCTATGTTGGATCAATGATTCTTGAATTTCCTGCAGGCCAAGTGGGCACTGAGCTTGAGCTTGTGCCTTCTTATGGATAACCCACTCAGGAGGGTCTGATGCAGGCCAGAGGGCCCCAGGAGTAAAAAGGGGGGACAGGGTCTGGGGCAGGAGCCCAGGGAGATCAGGAGAGGTTGTGCAAGGGGATGTCTCACATGTAGGAGCCTGTGCCCTGCCAAGGGAGGCAGCTTGGAGATACTTGCTTCCAGGAAAGCACAGCCAGCCAAAGCAGCTGGGAGAGCTGAGCAAAACAAACCTCCACCTCTCCTCCTTCCGCACCGTGGAGAGGCAAAGCAGGGATGCAGGGAGGCAAAGGGAGTGGATGATACTCCTGCCCTTGGGATCCCTTGTAGGATAGGTCCTTTGGGTCAGGGATTAGGCCTGAGCTGGGTCAAAGGAAAGATCTTGAATTGGACATAAAGGTTGACGTTTTATACTAAACTAGATTAAACTTTTTAATATCTCAAAGAGATGGAAAAGCTGAAGAATGTGCCTAAGGTGTCATCAAGGGATAAAACATGGATAAAGGCAGTAAGTGGAGAAAAAAAAAAGAGTTTTAGGCTTGTGTTCCACTGGGTACAGAGCTTGTGGTTTTCTGGTTCCATCTGAGAGCGAGCGAGCTGCAAAGCACAGTTGACCTTGTGGTTGGAGGACCAGCTGTGACACTGTCTGTGTGGATCAATGACTCCTGTTGGACGTGAATGGGGTATCTCAGGGACACCAGCTGGGCTGTGTGAGGCCAGCTAAGAGCAGATGCCGCCCCTGTCCCTGCCTCTGCACCCCTCCTCTACCTTCAAACACTGCTTTGTCACTACGTAAGCTTCCTGTAGTTTAGATGACATTTGAAAGAAAAGGTGTGAAGGGACCGTGAATTGACAAAGATCTAGTTTCTACCATCTGGCATAATTAGGAAGTAATTTGAATTAGAAATTAAATTATTGTAGAGAAATAACATAAGTTTTATTCCTTGCACAGTTACCAGTGGATCACTTTTGAATACTTGTGCTTTCCGGGCACGTCGTATTCTCCAATAAGTTGTTGGTATAAATTTTTTCCACTCAAATAGCCATTAAAAGGGTTGAAAAACTACCTATTGGGTACAATGTTTGCTATTTGGGTAATGGGTACATTAGAAGCCCAATCTCTACCAGATGCAATATACCCATGTAATAAACAGGCACAGGTACCCCCGAATCTAAAATAAAATAAAATTAAACAAACAAACAAACAAACAAACACATAGCCATTATGGTTTACTAGATCTGCCCAATCCCTCTTGCTTCAAATCATTGGTCCTGGTAATTCAGCAAGGAATTGAAAACCCCAACACATTTTATTTTCTTATTTTTGACTATGAAATTAATATATGGCAATTAGAGAAATTTTTGAAAATTTAAAATACATAGAAAAAATTTTATCCAAGTATTACCACCTAGAGAATTCTACAGTTAATAGCGTCTTATATTTCTTGCCAGGATCCTGTCTTCGCATAGTTAACAAAGTTGTCATTATAGTGTATGTGCAGGTTTTTCCTCTGCTTTTTGAACTCTGTTATAGCATAAACACTTTCCATGTTATAGCAAGTTCTTTATAAACATTTCAATGGCTGCATAATAGTCTATCTTGTGAGTTTATGGTAATTTATATAATCACTTAGCTATCGTTGCTATCAAACAAAATTGCTAACACTGCCAAGGACATCTTTATGCAGTGTGGATGGGATAGAGACCGGAAGGCACTATATGGATCTTTGTTTAGAGACAGTGCCCTCTTAGGAAATACCACTTGCAGGGGGCCCCATGTTGTAGGCTAGTCTCTTAGCTCTTTCAGAGTTAATGTCTCACAGGGCTCTGAGCAAGCCTGGGAAGAGGTCTGGGGATGGAACATATAGGCTGAGGGCCTGTTATGTGCCTGACACACAGTTAGGCACTTCTGTGACTATTGTTGTGCATTCTTTACAACTGCCCTACAAAGTGGATAGCATCTCCATTTTGGAGGAGAATCCCGAGGCTTAGAAATATGAAACGACTTTCCCAAGGTCACAGTCAGGGAGTGGCAGGGTCTGGCTGATTCCACAGTCCAGGTCCTTCGCGTGGCCCTCATTTTATTCTGCAGGCTTTGGTACCTTGTGGGACACACTTAAAAGGCCAAGGAGTCCCCGGGTTTGGGGCGGTGTGGGGTAGATACAGCCCTGTCGGCTGCTGCTTTGTCTTGGGGCTGGAGATGGGGTGGATTAGGGCAGGAGACAGCAAAAGGGAAAACTAGCAAAACTAGAGATTTGCTAGTTAATGATGTTTTCTTGCAATTTTTTTTGGGGGGGGGCACGCAAAACATGTCTTGTGGCTCTTGTACTCAGAAGGCTGGAGGTAAGAGTTTGCTGGCTCTTGGCCAGGTGTGGTGGCTCACATGTATAATCCCAGCACTTTGGGAGGCCAAGGTAGGTGGATCACTTGAGGCCAGGAATTTGAGAAAAGCTTGGCCAACATGGCAAAACCCCATCTTTACTAAAAATACAAAAAATAGCCAGGCATGGTGGTACACGCCTGTAGTCCCAGCTACTTGGGAAGCTGAGGCATGAGAATTGCTCTAACCCAGGAGGTGGAGGCTGCAGTGAGCTGAGATCGTGCCATTGCACTCCAGCCTGGGCAATAAAGTGACTCTGCCAAAAAAAAAAAAAAAAAAAAAGTTCCCTGGCCCTCAATTTCCCTGAGACTTCTTTGGAGAGAAGTGAGACTTACTCTCTGTCCCTTTAATAGTGAAATGTCTTGGTGCGTTGGGCCCGGACTACCGTAGAAGTCTGAATAACTTCTCCACAGTTTCTTCCTTACTGGGTCAGTAACTCTGAATGGGCTTTCAGAGTTATTCTGAAAGATCACCACTAGGAGATGCACAAGATTCAAAGAAGTTAGAGCAGTGCTTGGTGATTTTTCTTTCACGTTTATCTGAGCTTTGCAGGTTTCTTTTGTTCTAAATTCATTGAGAATTGAGGGCGAAAATGTCAGTTTCTCAGATCCTATTAATTCTCCAAAGTGAAAAAAATCTACACTTGCCCGTAGTCACATCTAGTGAAACAGGCTGAAGGAACTGACAAACCAGATGCCATGTGTTAAGGATAATAATATGCGTAGCGCCTGATTCCTTTCAGGGAGATGTCAACACTGTTTTGTCACTTTGGTAGAGGACAGTGATGATGGCAGTGCAAATGGTTAACATTTATTGTGATTTCACTTCGCACCAGGTACCATGCTAATGCCTTTAGGTTCTCTTATCACATTTAACCCTCCTGTACACTGTCTCAATTCATGGACACAACAGTTTTGTTACCCTCATTTTGCAAGAAGAGGAAATTGAAGCATAGGGAGGTCGAGAAACTTATCCAAGTTTACCCACCTAGGAAGCAGCTGAGCTGCCATTTAGACTCAAGTTTCTCTGGCCCCAGAGCTGCTCACTTAACCAGTTAAGTATTCTGCTTCCTGGTTTTTATCCCAACTTGACAGATGAGGAGCCATTTGATAGAGGTCAGAGTAGTTAAGGAATTTGTTCTGGTTCTCAGCTGATTAGGGAAGAAGCTTAGACTAGGTGTCCCTTCTCCTGGTCAAGAGCGTTTCCCTTCTTTATCTTGCAGGCGCAGTGTCTGCTAGAGGCTACAAGAAAGAAAGAGGAAAGGTGGGGGCTCATTGGTGGGGCTGAGTCAAGGGGATAAGGGGATCTCAGCACAGAGGAAACAGTGGAAGGTTGCTGCGTGGCGGATTCTGCTACCACTGGGCCCTTGTGGGCTGCGGCCACCTTAAACCTGGCTTAGATCATGGGCTGATTGGATATGGCCTATCTCTGGACGCTGGGTAGAATAAGCTGAAGTGGATGGAGCAGCTTGAACAAAAACACTCTGCAACCCTCTTTGAGTCTTCCTGGCTTTGGAACTCCCTAGTCAGCTCTGTCAACACCGGGTGGCAGCCATCCCTTCCTGGAGGGGAGAGGTGCTTTGAGGTCCTTTCTTCCATCTTTGCTTAGCTCCATGACAGTGTTGGAACACAAAGCTGAATGATCTTACAATCTTTTCCTGTGCTTGTATGGATGTATGGGTTTGCTTTTTTTTTTTTCCCCTCTAGTCCAGATTTCTATCGCTTAGACACTGGTCTTCAAGAGAGGCTCACAGTTGTCACTCATGCAACCTTTATACTTATTCACACCCCACTCTATTCTTCTGACCATCAGCAGCTTCCTTTTCTTGGAGACTTCACCCTTGCAATGATCCAGGACTTCAAAGCTTGGCATGGCAGTGGAGGCCTTCTCCTGCTGTGGGTTAAGACACTGTCCCCAGGAGTCCCTTTGTGCAATACACAGTGCTGAACGACATGGAAGGATGGCACAGTTACCTCTCCAGAAGAGAGTGAGGCACCAGACCAGCTAGTTGAAATCCTTGGAAATTATGGATGAATGAATGTAATAGAATGTGATTTGATAGAGTGGAGAGGGTGGTTCTGGGAGGTGGAGGGGAACTCTTCGCAGCATTGCTATCCAAATGACATACTATAAATCAGGGGCCTCCAATCCTTGGACCATGAACTGATACTGATCTGTGGCCTGTTAGGAACTGGGCCACACAGCAGGAGGTGAGTGGCAGGTGAGTGAGGATTACCACCTGAGCTCCACTTCCTGTCAAATCAGTGGCGGCATTAGATTCTCACAGGAGGGGGAACCTTATCGTGAACTGCGCATGCGAGGGACCTAGATTGTGTGCTCTGTATGAGAATCCAATGCCTGATGATCTGAGATGGAACAGTTTCATCCCAAAACCATACCCACCCTCCCTTTGTGGAAAAATTGTCTTCTATAAAACCAGTCCCTGGGGCCGAAAAGGTTGGGGACCACTGCTATAAATGATGAATGAGAAAACCAGGCTTTAAGTCTTTCCCTCTCTCCCTTCCTTCTTTCTTCCTTTGTTTTTTTTTTTTCTTTTTCTTTTTCTGTTTTCTGACGGGCTTGTGAGCACACAGGTATGTGCTTCAGTGGCAGTCAACAGTTTTGCTGATTTCTTATTGTAACCTAGGCTAAAAAAATATTGGACAGTGAGTTGATAGTTGATAGTTGATTAAAAGTAATGGCAAAGACTGCAATTAATTTTGTACCAACCTAATAGAATTCTAATAAAGCTGGCTTAACTGGTGAGTATAAACTTTGCTGATGCTAGTTTCCTCTTCTAAAAATTAGAGATTTGGATAAGAAGAGTTTTTGGAAGTTTTGAGAGTCTCATTCATTCTAATATTTTATTTTTGGGAAAAAATGGGGATTTCAAACTGATATTTTGAGCAAGACAATGATACAAATCTTTAAAAACACAATGTGGATAAGGGTGTTGGGGTGGGTTCTTAGTCTCCAGGGTTGTTACGGATGCAAAGAGTGAGACCCTTGCCAAGGCCACCTATGTGGTGTGACCCACCATACAGTTTTTAAATGGTATCCACATAGAATACTCTTTAGGTTTGCGTGGTTATTGCACAAAGCTGACCATTGATAGCCTGCCGGGGTTTGCTTGTGTGTCTTAAACACTCTTAAGACAAATAAATTGTCCAGTGGTCTATATTTGGTGCTCTTTTTTTTCATCCCTGTGTACAGAGCTGAACTGAGCTGGCTGCTTGATCTTGGTCCAAATATAATGGCCCAATTGTCCCCTTATGTCAGGGGGTCGGGCTATGGAGCACACCCAGCGCCCTGTGGGAACCCACAGAAGGGAGGTGGCTATTTGGACATATAGTCTGTAGTGGAGACAAGTTAACGACCCTGCCTGGGGCATTCCAGAGTTTATTTAATGATAAAACTGGCCCCAGATTCTCCACTGGGGCTTGTAAGTCCTGTGCAGCACACGATGGGGTGAGAATGCAGTTAAACACACATCCTAAAGGCATTTTAGCTTGTGAGGAAATGGTAAATCCCCTCTGTGATTTGAAAATACCATTTAAAAAATTGTGCCAAGACAGTTTTTTTTTTTTTCCCTAACCCAGCTCTTATAAAGCAGAAAAACAGAATGGTAATTTAATCTATGACTATATGTGTCAAAGCATCTGATTGAAGAGTAGAAAGAATTCATCACTAGTGTCATGTTAATAAAAAAAATGCAGTTATCTGATTGAATTATCTGTACATATACTATTCTGAATCCAGTCAAATTGATTCATATTGATGTGGCCTAAATGTGCCATTGGCCTGAAACTCACAGTCAGTAAATCGGATATGAAAGTCTTTAATAAAACAATAAGCGTTACCCAAATATCAGCTTCTTAACATTATGACTCTGGCAGGTACTGAGTTTCTACTTTTGTTGGAGTTGGTGACAAACCTGAGTCAAGGTGTTGCCAAGGGAATGGGTCATTGCTAGGAGGACGTCTCTGAGCCTGAGGATAGACTCCTGGGGTGTCAATAGCATGGGTGACAGGGACATTGAGAAGAATGGGAAAGTCACCTTCTGAAGACAGGACCACCACTAACATCTTGCCTTGATGGGCCTTTCATTCCAAACCTAGTGGGTTTTGCAGATGTTCTCTCATTAACTAATTTGTTAAGCTACTTAAGGAGGGTCTGGGAAGGAAGGAAGGTGGGGGTCACAGGCTCTTGATATGCATTGTATTTTCTGTTCCTTTGGTCCGACCAGGACAGGAGTGATAGTGAATGAGTGGTGAGAGAGAGCACCTTTTGGGAATGGTTGAGAAAAGCAGTGGATTTTGCTCTCCCCGTGGATTCTTCCCTCTGCTAGACATGTGCAAAAACACATGTAGGCTGGACGAATCCCAGGGGAATCCCCCCAGGATGGAATCCCAGGGGGTTTTTCAGAGGGAAGACTCACTCTAAGAGGGAAGACAGTATTGGTCCAGCCAGGAAGACTTGTGTTAAATGTACATATGGGGACTTAACTATTTAAAAATGTGGAGGCTGGCCATGGTCAATCATGCCTGTAATCCCAGCACTTTTGGAAGCTGAGGTGGGAAGATCTCCTGAGTCCAGAAGTTTGAGACCAGCCTGGGCAATGTAGTAATAACCCATCTCTACAAAATAAATAAATAAATTAAATAAATAAATAAAAAATAAAAAAATTAATAAATACAAACATTAGCCAGGCGTGGTGGCATGCCCCTGTAGTCCCAGCTACTTAGGAGGCTGAAGTGGGAGAATTGCTTGAGCTCAGAGGTCGAGGTTGCAGTGAGGTAGGATTGTGTCACTGCATTTCAACCTGGGTGACAGAGTGAGACTATGTCTCTAAAATAATAAATTTTAAAAATGTGGAGATTGGTTTGAAAACATAGATTTTACTTTGAAGCTAGGGAGGAATAATGCAAAGGCGCTAATGACTCGGATATAGCTCCGGGCAAATGATGCAGCAAGGCAGGACGATCCAATAAAAGCGGGGTTAGTACAGGAAGTAGAGAGATCCATGGAAAGAATGGACAAGAAAAAGATGAGTCAAGAGAGAACAACACAAACACCGAGCCCTAATGTAAACTATGGGCTTTAGTTAATAATAATACATCAGTATTGGCTCAT
Organism: Homo sapiens; assembly: GCF_000001405.40. Classification (NCBI taxonomy): domain Eukaryota; kingdom Metazoa; phylum Chordata; class Mammalia; order Primates; family Hominidae; genus Homo; species Homo sapiens. The sequence continues at coordinate 37,419,260 of NC_000002.12, forward strand.
CAGTTATAAGAGATGGACTACACTAATCTAAGAAGTTAAGGATTGGAGAAACTGGGAAGCCAGATTCAGGAGATATATGGAAACTCTGTACTTTCTGCTCAAGTTTTCTGTAAGCCTAAAACTGCCTCCCTGCAATAAAGTTTATTAATTTAAAAAAATTAAAAAAAATAGGTGAGAGAATGTTGTGGGAAGGCTGAGCAAAGAGCTCTAGTCCTAAAGCTAACCCTCTAGTTGAATTAAAGCTAGAAAGAAAAAGAGAGAAATTTCAGAATGCATTGAAGAGAGAGTAGGACCTACCCTTAAAGTAAGGGGAAAAATTGCAACATGTCAGAATTTCCTCTGGATCAAGGAAGGTGGGAGTGCCACAATGTCAGTGTACTTAGAGATGAAAACTTGAACATGGCATGGGGAAGGACCGTAACACTCCGTAATGAGATGGGAGCTAAACCCAGGGAGAAGACTGAGGGGTAGGCGTGGGAAGGTCCAGTTAATAGCAATAATGACACTAATAACCATCACTCATAATAAGCAGTTACTCTATCAGGCATTGTGTCAAATAAACTGTTTACGGGCACTATTTTATTTACTCTTCATAACAACCACTAGAGCAAGCACCAATTTTTTTATTTTTATTTTTATTTTATTTTATTATTCTTTAAGTTTTAGGGTACATGTGCACAATATGCAGGTTTGTTACATATGTATACATGTGCCATATTGGTGTGCTGCACCCATTAAGTCGTCATTTAACATTAGGTATATCTCCAAATGCTATCCCTCCCCCCTTCCCCCACCCCACAACAGTCCCCAGAGTATGATGTTCCCCTTCCTGTGTCCATGTGTTCTCATTGTTCAATTCCCACCTATGAGTGAGAACATGCAGTGTTTGGTTTTTTGTCCTTGAGATAGTTTGCTGAGAATGATGGTTTCCAGTTTCATCCATGTCCCTACAAAGGACATGAACTCATCGTTTTTTATGGCTGCATAGTATTCCATGGTGTATATGTGCTACATTTTCTTAATCCAGTCTATCGTTGTTGGACATTTGGGTTGGTTCCAAGTCTTTGCTATTGTGAATCATGCTGCAATAAACATACGTGTGCATGTGTCTTTATAGCAGCATGATTTATAATCCTTTGGGTATATACCCAGTAATGGGATGGCTGGGTGAAATGCTATTTCTAGTTCTAGATCCCTTAGGAATCGCCACACTGACTTCCACAATGGTTGAACTAGTTTACAGTCCCACCAACAGTGTAAAAGTGTTCCTATTTCTCCACATCCTCTCCGGCACCTGTTGTTTCCTGACTTTTTAATGATCGCCATTCTAACTGGTGTGAGATGGTATCTCATTGTGGTTTTGATTTGCATTTCTCTGATGGCCAGTGATGATGAGCATTTTTTCATGTGTCTTTTGGCTGCATAAATGTCTTCTTTTGAGAAGTGTCTGTTTATATCCTTCGCCCACTTTTTGATGGGGTTGTTTGTTTTTTTCTTGTAAATTTGTTTGAGTTCATTGTAGATTCTGGATATTAGCCCTTTGTCAGATGAGTAGGTTGCGAAAATGTTCTCCCATTCTGTAGGTTGCCTGTTCACTCTGATGGTAGTTTCTTTTGCTGCGCAGAAGCTCTTCAGTTTAATTAAATCCCATTTGTCAATTTTGGCTTTTGTTGCCATTGCTTTTGGTGTTTTAGACATGAAGTCCTTGCCCATGCCTATGTCCTGAATGGTATTGCCTAGGTTTTCTTCTAGGGTTTTTATGGTTTTAGGTCTAACATGTAAGTCTTTAATCCATCTTGAATTAATTTTTGTATAAGGTGTAAGGAAGGGATCCAGTTTCAGTTTTCTACATATGGCTATCCAGTTTTCCCAGCACCACTTATTAAATAGGGAATCCTTTCCCCATTGAGCAAACACCAATTTTATCTCCACTTCTGAGATGAAGAAGCTGAGACTCAGGGAGGTTAAGTAACTCGTCCAGGGTCACACAGTTCACAAGTGTCAGGGCCAGGATTTGTAATCAAGATGGCTAATGCCATAGGCTGGCACTTAACCATTGATCTTTATTCCTTGGGAGTTGCTCTCTGAATAATTTCTTGCTTCAGAAATAGTACTTTAAAACTCTAAGATGACTAAATATCATGCAATTGTATTGTAAATATTTTGCCTCTGTTTCTACCACATCACACATCCCCTTGCTCTATACAAACTTGTACGATGACATTTGTTTGCTGGACTGGAGAGAAACAGAGGCAGAGCTGTGCTTTCAGAGAAGGCCTTGAGTCAGAGAAGGGCAGAGACAATGACTTTCTTTTTTTTTCCCTTTAGTAAAAAATTAATCCCTGTTTATTGTAACTAATTTAGAAATGGTAAGCACAAAGAAAATGCACACGGTTATTTTGCCTAATTTTAAAGGGGAAACAAGAATCCTTCTGAGAGCTACGTGCAGGTCAGTGTAGTGCGACAGATTTACTGAGCAATGCCATGTGTTAGACACCACACCAGGCTCTGGGGAGGGAAAAGATAAATCAGACCCGATCCCTATTCTAAATCACGGCATATGAGAAAACAAAGAGCCCCACCTTGTATGATAAATAAATTTGAAACTCTGTTCAGTACACACATTCCATCCAGACCACATCACCTCTGACTCCAGAGAACTCCCAAGGCTGGAGGTAATGCCTCTTCTAGAACAGGGGTCCCCAAGCCCTGGGCTGTGGACTGGTACTGATCAGTTTCCTGTTAGGAACTGGGCTACTCAGCATTACCACCTGAGCTCTGCTTCCAGTCAGATCAGCCACGGCATTCGATTCTCAGAAGGAGAAACCCTATTGTGAACTGTCCATGTGACGGACCTGAGTTGTGTGCTCCTTAGGAGAATCCAACTAATGACTGATGGTCTGAGGTGGAACAGTTTCATCTGGAAATCATCCTTCCACCCCACAACCCCCAGGCCGCCATCCGTGGTTTTGTCTTCCACAAAACCGGTCCCTGATGCCAAAAAGTTTGGGGACCGCTGTTCTGGGAGACATTGTAATGATGAATCTCAGCTGCTGAGTCTTCAGTCTGAGCCAATATCCCGTTGGTGTTAACACGCTGTGTGAAGATGGCCCAGATGAGGAAATCAAAGCTGCATGTGAAACCAAACCCACACACGCTCCCAGCAACACGCAAAGCTTTCACCACATTCATGGCTGCCTCCAGTCTTGGTGAAACATGGAGAAAGCAAACATTAGCCAGGCGTGATGGCATGTGCCTGTAGTCCCAGCTACTCAGGAGGCTGAAGTGGGAGAATTGCTTCAGCTCAGGGAGTTGAGGTTGCGGTGAGCTAGGACTGTGTCACTGCATTCTAGCCTGGGTGACAGAGTGAGACTCTGTCTCTAAAATAATAAATAAATTTAAAAAAATGTGGAGATTGGTTTGAAAACATAGATTTTACTGTGAAGCTAGCGAGGAATTATGAATTTTACTTTATGAACTTTACTTTGAAGCTAGGGAGGATAGATAAATTGAATCTATCAATTACTGATAGATTCAACAATTAACTCTGACCCCAGAGACCCTGCTATGTGCCAGATATGAGGGTATCAGGCTGGGTCCCTGGGAACCAACAAGACTTGGCTCACCCAGCTATGGAATTCTCAGATGAGCTGGGCTTGGCTTATCTCCTGTGCCGTTTACAGAGGCCCAAGTGCATTACCATAGACCCATAGTGACTCAAGGAGTAGTGTACTTCACGAACTTTGAAAGTATAAAAGTAACTCCTCCTTCAGAGTCCACAGGTACCTCTGACTGCACAGATTGGCTATGGGCAATCTATGATAATGCACTCAGCTGCCCGCCATGTGGATATGCACACAAGAAGACAATGTAGGTACACTGGATATGCATATTGGAAGACTTAGGTGGTTGCTAACTTCTCCCAAGTACCCACCTACAATTTGGGGTGTGCCGTTCATCTTGAATAATCCATTGGTTCACTCATTTAGCAAATATTATGTACCCAGTATGTGTCAGGCCCAGTTCTAGTAAATGGAGATAATAGCAATAAGCAAACATTTAAGGCCTGTTACTGAAATGCCAGGGATTTGGTCTCAGTTCTGTTGCTTGCTGCACAGAATGCCAGCCAGGGAGAATGGGAGATAAAGTCTCAAATCCGTCTTCCTGACCCACTAAACTTGGGGGTGTTTATATAGCAGGGAAGGTGGGAAAAACAGGAATTGGGGAGGGGTAAGGGAGCAAAAATGATAGATGAGGGGTCTGGTGCCTCATTTGGATGTGGTGATCTTTTAAGTTTTAGTTCCTTGCCTGAGGGTTGGTTTCCAGAGGCAGGAACTCGGGTAAGACAAATGTAAGTTTCCAGTTTTAAGACCAGGGAGGGTCAATTTCAATGTTTATTCAAAAAACTGTAAATGTTAGTTCTACAGGACAATTGGGCCGATTTCACCATCATGGAGCTTGCCTTCGTATGTGTGTGCATTTGTGTATGTAAGACAATAAATAAATTTAAAAAACAATAAATAAATGAATAAAATGTGTAGTATGTCAGATGATAAGGGTGATGGAGAAAATTAAGAGCAAGAGAGGAAGAGGACTGCTGGGACTTGGGAAAAAGTTAAGATTTTCAGAGCATTCCTGGCAGAGAAAAGAGTGAAGTGCAAAGGCCTTGAGACAAGGCGTATTTAGCACGTTCAAGAAACATCCAGGAGGGCACTGCCTAGGGGCAGAGTGGGGCAGGGGAGAGGGGGCAGTGGAGGGAGAGGAGGTCAGAGGTGATGCAAGGCCAGATTGGCCTTAGCTTTTCCTCTGAAGGAGAAAGGGAGCAACCACAGGTTTGGTCAGGGGAAAGGCATGATCTGACTTTTGTTTTAAGAGTATAATTCTTGCTGCTCCACTGCGAAAAGACTCTAGCAGGACGAGGTAAGAAGTAAGGAGATCAATTAGAGGCTATTGCAACAGCCAGGATGATAGATGACGATGGCTGGGGCTAAGGTGATATCAGTGGTGTTATTGGCATTGAATCCGTATCCATATGGGCCTGCAGCAATCTCATTTCTTGCCTCCTGAGAAGAAAGAATTGGACTGAGCAGCATAAGGCAGAAGGAGAGACTGAGGCAAGTTTTAGAGCAGGAGTGAAAGTTGATTAAAAAGCTTTAGAACAGGAATGGAAGGAAGGAAAGTACACTTGGAAGAGGGTCAAGTGGGCGACTTGAGTGATCAAGTGCACGGTTTGATCTTCTGACTTGGGATTTTATACATTGGCTTACTTCTGGGGTCTTGCGTTACTTCTCCCCTGATTCTTCCCTTGGGGTGGGCTGTCCGCACGTGCAATGGCCTACTAGCGCTTGGGGGAGGAGTGTGTGCAGTGTGTTTACCAGAGTTGTATGCGTGCTCACTTAAGGCGTTCTTCCCTTACCAGTCTAGCATTCCTAGAGGAAGGTCATATAACAGTTAAACTCCGCCATTTTGCCTCTTAATGCGCATGCTGTAGCCCATTCGCCCAACCCCTGAGATCATATTGGGAAGCTGCTAACCACCAGTTTCAGGTGTTTTCTATCTACTAGGAGACTGCCTTTCCCTCGCACTGGCTGTGACCAATTATTATTTTAGAGAGACCCTTAATAACTGACTGACCATCACCTGATGGTCCTGGTGTGTGTGTTGGGGGAGCCCTCTCCTGCCCCACTCTTGCCTGACTAGCTACCTACTGTAACAGTGGAGGTGGTGACAGTTGAATTCTGGCCGGGCGCAGTGGCTCACGCCTGTAATGCCAGCACTTTGGGAGGCCAAGGAGGGCAGATCACAAGGTCAGGAGTTCAAGACCAGCCTGGCCAACATGGTGAAACTAAAAATACAAAAATTAGCTGGGCATGGTGGTGCACACCTGTAATCCCAGCTACTCACGATGCTGAGGCAGAATTGTTTGAACTGAGACCCAGGAGGCGGAGGTTGCAGTGAGCTGAGATTGTGCTATTGCACTCCAGGCTGGGGTACAGAGCGAGACTCCATCTCAAAAAAAAAAAGTTGAATTATGGATGCATGTCGTTAAGTAGTGTCAAAGGGATTTCACAAGAGATTGGATGCAGAATATTACAGAAAGAGAGGAGTCCAGCATCTGAGCTACAGGAAGGGTGCAGTTGCCGTTAACTGAGATGGGGAAGAATGGGGAGGAACAGATTTGAGGGCAAGCATCAGAAGCTTAGTTTAAGACATGTAAGTTTGAGATGGTTATTAGACATCCAAGTGGAGATGGCTATTTATACAAGCCTGGAGTTCAGGGGACAGGTCTGGGCTAGAGATAAATTATGCTTTGCCAGCGATAGGGGCTATTTACAGTCACCAACTTGGGTGAGATCACCGAGGCAGTGAGTGTAAAGAGAGAGAAGAGGCCAGAGCAGGGTGCTGGGCTCTCTCTTCACTGCTGTCAATGGAGGCATGTGAGTGGATATATACGTATATAGGTATATGTGTAGTTGTTCACAGGAGTGAGTCCAGCTTTTATTATCTACTTGAAAGAATGGATATTTCAGCACATAATGTCAGAATTGGCTGGGACATTAGAGATCATTTCAAGTGGGATCACCTTGTTTTAGAGCTGAGAAAAGAAGAGAAAGGAATTGTTTCCTGCAGATGAGCTGCTTTGTGGCTCCTAGCTGTAGAAGGGTGTGTATGTGTGTGTGTGTTTTGTGTGTGTGTGTTGTGGTAGAGATGGAGGTGCTACTCACACATTGGGTGCCATTTCTCATTTACTAAGCCAACAAGTGTCCCTGCCTTTTCTCAGATATGGACCTCTCCAGAGCCATAGGATCTGAAGATGGAGGTTAGAATGGAGCTGAGATGTAATCAAACCATACAATTTGTTTTCATCCCTTCTCCTCCTTCCTTTGAGGTTCTAGTGCTCTTAGTTTCAATTCAAGTTTCCCTTCAGGGATTACATCTTATATCTTAAACACTCTAGTGTGAAATTATTGTATTTTCTATGTCGGCTCTCCCAATGACTATTTGCACTTGAGGCCTTATATCTTCCATAGTAGGATGAAAGGCTTTGTGATGGTGGGGCTGCAGTGAGAGTGGGGGAGGTAGAGCTGTAAAAAGCAGTCAGCTCATGATCTTCCCCCATGCTTCTCTGAAATGTAGAAGGCACAGAAGCATGAGAATTGGGGGTCTTCTTAAGCACAGCCTGACCAGACTACAGAGATTCTGGGGACCCAGGACTGGAAGGTGGGAGCTTGAGTCAAGAAAAACAATGATAACACTTGTGATCAAGACTACATATTTTTAATATACATGAACGCATTTAAACTTTGTAACAGTCCATGGAAGAAGGCACATTATCTTTATTTTACAGATAGGGAAATTGCGGTTCAGAAGACAAGTAACTAAAAGGAGAAGCAGCAGGCTTTGAACATTGGTCTCTAAGACTTCAAAGCCACACTGAGGAACAGTTTTAAAGGGATTAAATCTACTAGATACCGTGGAAATTAGGAGCACGGGCTTTGGAAACAATATAATTGATTTTAAATCCTGGATCTGCCATTTACTAGCTGTGAAAACTTGTTCAAATTGTATAACCTTGAACCTGTGTTTCCTGGGAAGGATTGCTGAGAAGATTAAATGAAGTAATGTATTTTAAAGACACAGCACAGTGCCTGGTGAATTATTGTGATTAATTAATGGTAAAAATTACTCAGGTTCTAACTGCTGAGAGGCTGGCATGCAACACTATAGACACACTATAGTTGAGAATTGGCATCTGTTGTGACTGATTGTCTCATGCTGTACCAGTTGTTGAATATTCTGACTGTCTCTCCTGATCTGGGGGACCAGGGAACACTCCTAAATCCATATAGGGCAGGTCATAAGAGCTGAAAGCCCAACCAACTGCTGAGGGCAGGGGATTCAGAGTTAGAGTGAGACCAGCAGTAAGAGGATGCAATGCCAAGGCAAAGATCAGGACACTATCCAATCTGTATGCCACAATGGGTATGTAAACCAAAAATAAATTCTGAGACCCTCATCCATCTGAATGAACCCATCCTCTTGGCAAAGGGCTTTCCAGAATTAACCAGAAAAACTGGTCCAGGCCATAATGAGAAGTGGAGCTCAGACATGCCTCATTATACCCTCCTCCCTTTTGGAATTACTGTTAGTCATAGAACAGACTCTTTAAGTCTGATAAGAAACATTTACCATCTATTCTTTCTAAAACCTGCTCTCTGGAGGCTTCACCAGCATGAGAAAACCTTGGTCTCTACTACTTGTTATCTTAACCCAGACATTCCTTTCTAAGTCTTTAGACAACAACTTAACTCTTTCAACCAATTGCCAATCAGAAAATCTTGGAATCTTTAAATGACCTGGAAGCCTGCATTTTTAGTTGTCCCACCTTTCCAGACTGAACCAATGTACATTCTACATGTCTGTGTTGATATCCTATGTCTCTCTAAAATGTAGAAAACCAAGTTGTGGTCCAACCACCTTGGGCATATGTTCTGGGTCTCCTGAGGGCTCTATCATGGGCCATTGTTCACTCATATTTGGCTCAGAATAAATCTCTTCAAATATTTCATGGAGTTTGACTCTCTTCATCAACAGGTGCTTGGACTATAATAACCTGGAGGGTTCTTCAAGTCAGGCTCCTTGAATTTGGCCAGGGCTATGTCTGTTTTTCAAGTGTGAAATGAGACTGAATCCAGAGGTGCACCAGAGATAAAGAAGGTGCATCTGGATGAGTTAGAAGGCTGAAGGCATGGGAGTACAGGCAACGTCTACCTCTTGTTCCCGACTATTGGTCAGCACTGAGGGTGAAACATTCATCCAGGAGCCCAAATTACACATCTAGAGATTGTTTGATGGTTAAGGACCCCAGGGTCCTCAATATTCCTCAAATATGGAACATTGGTATGTTTGTTTATTTTTGAGACAGGGTCTCACTCTGTCACCCAGACTGGAGTGCAGTGGCATGATCTCAGCTCACTGCAACCTCTGCCTCCCAGGCTCAAGCAATTCTCCTGCTTCAGCCTCCTGAGTATCTGGGATTACAGGCGTGTACCACTACCGCCCAGCTAATTTTTGTATTTTTTAGTGGAGACGGAGTTTCACCATGTTGGCTAGGCTGGTCTTGAACCCCTGACCTCAAATGATCCACCCGCCTCAGCCTCCTATGCTGATTATTTTAAACTGAAGTTCACTGAAGGTCAGCAGATGCTGGAAGACACTTTACTCTGATAAATCTTATCTACCTTAAGACTTGAGCTACCAGAGAGAACACCATTGCCTTCCACCCTCTCCCTTAAATCTCATTTTCTATACCAGAACAGAAGACTGAGGAATGTAATCACATCTGGATGGACTTTTTCACAAGATAATGTTTCCCTGTCTTGTGCATTCAAATTCCAAAAAGAATCATTTACAAACCATTATCTGGTCTTTGGTTACATTTACAGCACCCCTACTTCCCTCTTTCCAATAAAGAAGGTATTTATGTGTCAACCATCTGATCTTTCTTTGAGTTTTCTTTTTTTTTTAAATTTGTTTGTTAACATTAACAAATTTATTAGCTCTTCTCATATTAACCTGTCTTTTGCTATAGGGGTATCAGCTGTGACCCTTATGATGGGGAGGAAAAAGATAACTCCCTTTTTGTCCCTATAATAGCAAGAAATTAGAGCAAAGAACATTGAATTTATTAAGGAGCATGTCCTTTGGGCTATATCGCTGTCAATCTCTATAACAAACATGGGTTCTCTACAAGAAAATGAACCCTGCCCTCTTTGTCAGGGTTCTCTTAATATTAGTGAATCCACTTAAATTTATTTTTTATTTCCATAGGTTATTGGGAACAGGTGGTGTTTGGTTACATGAGTAAGTTATTTAGTAGTGATTTGTGAGATTTTGGTGCACCCATCACCCGAGCAGTATACACTGCACCCTGTTTGTAGTCTTTTATCCCTCACCCTTTTCCCACCCTTTCCCCCTGAGTTCCCAAAGTCCATCATGTCATTCTTATGCCTTTGCATCCTCATAGCTTAGCTCCCACTTATGAGTGAGAACGTATGATGTTTGGTTTTCCACTCCTGAGCTACTTCACTTAGACTAATAGTCTCCAATCTCATCCAGGTCGCTGCAAATGCCATTAATTCATTCCTTTTTATGGCTGAGTAGTATTCCATCATATATATACACCACAGTTTCTTTATCCACTCGTTGATTGATGGGCATTTGGGTTGGTTCCACATTTTTGCAATCGCGAATTGTGCTGCTATAAACATGCGTGTGGAAGTACCTTTTTTTGTATAATGACTTCTTTTCCTCTGGATAGATCCCAAGAAGTGGGATCGCTGGATCAAATGGTAGTTCTACTTTTAATTCTTTAAGGAATCTCCACACTGTTTTCCATAGTGGTTGTACTAGTTTACATTTCCACCAGCAGTGTAGAAGTGTTCCCTGTTCACTGCATCCACTCCAACATTTAATATTTTTTGATTTTTTTGATTATGGCCATTCTTGCAGGAGTAAGGTATCCTATTGTGGTTTTGATTTGCATTTCCCTGATCATTAGTGATGTTGAGCATTTTTTCATATGTTTGTTGGCCATTTGTATATCTTCTTTTGAGAATTGTCTGTTCATGTCTTTAGCCCACTTTTTGATGGGATTGTTTGTTTTTATCTTGCTGATTTGTTTGAGTTTGTTGTAGAGTCTGGATATTAGTCCTTTGTCAGATGTATAGATTGTCAAGATTATCTCCCAATTGTGTCGTCTGTTTACTCTGCTGACTCTTCCTTTTGCCATGCAAAAGCTCTTTAGTTTAATTAAGTCCTAGCTATTTATCTTTGTTTTTATGGCATTTGCTTTTGGGTTCTTGGTCATGAAATCCTTGTGTAATCCAATGTCCAGAGGGGTTTTTCCAATGTTATTATCTTCCAGAAATTTTATAGTTTCAGGTCTTAAAGTCCTTGATCCATCTTTTTTTTTTCTTATTTATTTATTTATTTATTTATTTATTTTTGATGGAGTTTTGCTCTTATTGCCCAGATTGGAGTGCAATGGTGCGATCTCAGCTCACTGCAGCCTTCACCTCCTGGGTTCAAGTGAGTCTCCTGCCTCAGCTTCCTGACTAGCTGGGATTACAGGCTCCCGCTACCATGCCCAGATAACTTTTTTTTTTATTTTTAGTAGAGACAGCGTTTTGCCATGTTGGCCAGGCTGGTCTCAAGTTCCTGGCCTCAGATGATCCGCCTGCCTTGGCCTCCCAAAGTGCTGGGATTACAGGCATGAGCCACTGTGCCCGGCCCCCTTGATCCATCTTGAGTTGATTTTTATATAAGGTGAGAGATGAGGATCCAGTTTCATTCTCCTACATGTGACTACCCAATTATCCCAGCACCATTTGTTGAAAAGGGTGTCCTTTCCCCACTTGATGTTTTTGTTTGCTTTGTCAAAGATCAGTTATTTAGGTTTATTTCTGGGTACTCTATTCTGTTCTATTGGTCTATGTGCCTAGTTTTATACAAGTATCATGCTGTTTTGGTGACTGTGGCCTTATGTATAGGATGAAATCAGATACTGTGATGCCTCCAGATTTGTTCTTTTTGCTTAGTCTTGCTTTGGCTATGCAGGCTCTTCTTTAGTTCCACATGAACTTTAGCATTGGTTTTTCTAATTCTGTGAAGAATGATGGTGGTACTTTGATGGGAATTGCATTGAATTTGTAGGTTGCTTTTGGCAGTATTGTCATTTTCACAATATTGATTCTGCCCAGGCAAGATCATGGAATGTATTTCCATTTGTTTATGTCATCTATGATTTCTTTCAGTAGTATTTTTTAGTTTTTCTTGTAGAGGTCTTCTACCTCCTTGATTACGCATATTCATAAGTATTTTTTTTTGCATCTATTGTAAAAGGGGTTGAGTTCTTGATTTTATTCTCAGCTTGGTCACTGTTGGTGTATAGAAAAGCTACTAATTTGTGTACATTAATTTTGTATCTGGAAACTTTGCTGAATTCTTTTATCAGTTCTAGGAGCTTTCTGGAGGAGTCTTTAGGGTGTTCTGGGTAAACAATTATATCATCAGCAAACAGCAATGGTTTGACTGCCTCTTTACTGATTTGGCTGCCCTTTATTTCCTTCTCTTGTCTGATTGCTCTGGATAGGACTTCCAATAGTATGTTGAAGTGGAGTGGTGAGAGTGGGCATCCTTGTCTTGTTCCAGTTCTCCGAGGGAATGCTTTCAACAGTTCTCCATTATGTTGGCTGTGGGTTTCTCATAAATAGCTTTTATTATGCTGAGGTATGTACTTTGTAGGCCGATTTTGCTGAGAGTTTTAATCATAAAGGGATGAATTTTTTTCTGCATCTATTGAGAGGATCATGTGATTTTTGTTTTTAATTCTGTTTATGTGGTGTATCACATTTATTGACTTGTGTATGTTAAAACATCCCTGCATCCCTGGTTTGAAACTCACTTGATCATGGTGGATTATCTTTTTGATATGTTGTTGGATTTGGTTAGCTAGTATTTTAAGGATTTTAGCATTTATGTTCATCAGGGATATTGGTCTGTAGTTTTCTTTTTTGGTTATATCCTTCCCTGGTTTTGGTATTAGGGTGATACTGGCTTCATAGAATGATTTAGGGAGGGTTCCCTCTTTCTCTGTCTTGTGGAATAGTGTCAATAGGATTGGTACCAATTCTTCTTGGAATGTCTGGTAGAATTCTGCTGTGTATCTGTCTGGTCCTGGGCTTTTTTTGTTGGTAATTTTTAAATTACCATTTCAATCTCACTGCTTGTTATTGGTCTGTTCAGGGTATCTAATTTTCCTGATTTAAGCTTGGAGGATTATATCTTTCCAGGAATATATCCATCTCTTCTAGGTTTTCTAGTTTATGTGTGTAAAGGTATTCACAGTAGCCTTGAATGATCTTTTGTATTTCTGTGGTGTCAGTTGTAATATCTCCTGTTTCATTTCTAATTGAGCTTATTTGATTTTTTCTAGTCTTTTCTTGGTTAATCTTGCGAATGGTCTATCAATTTTATTTATATTTTCAAAGAACCAGCTTTTTGTTTTATTTGTCTTTTGTATTTTTTTTTTTCAATTTCATTTAGTTCTGCTCTGATCTTGGTTATTTCCTTTCTTCTGCTGGGTTTGGGTTTGGTTTGTTCTTATTTCTCTAGTTCCTTGATGTGTGACCTTAGATTGTCTGTGCTCTTTCAGACTTTTTAGTGTAGGCATTTAGGGCTATGAACTTTCCTCTTAGCATAGCACTGCCTTTGCTATATTCCAGAGGTTTTGATAGGTTATGTCACTATTGTCGTTCAGTTTGAATAATTGTTTAATTTCCATCTTGATTTCATTTTTGACCCAATACTCGTTCAGGAGCAGGTTATTTAATTTCCATTGTATTTGCATGGTTTTAAAGGTTCCTTTTGGAGTTGATTTCCAGTTTTATTCCACTGTGGTCTGAGAGAGTGCTTGATATAATTTCAATTTTCTTAAATTTATTGAGGCTCGTTTTCTGGCCTATCATATGGTCAATCTTGGAGAAAGTTACATGAACTGTTGAATAGAATGTGTATTCTGCAGTTGTTGGAATGTTCTGTATATATCTGTATATATCTGTTAAGTCCATTTGTTGCAGGGTATAGTTTAAATCTAGTGTTTCTTTGTTGACTTTCTGCCTTGATGATCTGTCTAGTGCTGTCAGTGGAGTATTGAAGTCCCCCACCATTATTGTGTTACTGTCTATCTCATTTCTTAGGTCTATTAGTAATTGTTTTATAAATTTGGGACCTCCAGTGTTAGGCACATATATGTTTAGGATTGTGATATTTTCCTGTTGGACATGCCTTTTGTCATTTCATAATGTCCTTCTTTGTCTTTTTTACTGCTGTTGCTTTAAAGTTTGTTTTGTCTGATAAGAATAGCTACTCCTGCTTGCTTTTGGTGTCCATTTGCATGAAATGTCTTTTTCTACCCCATTGCCTTAAGTTTATGTGAGTCCTTATGCATTAGGTAAGTCCCTTGAAGGCAGCAGATAGTTGTTTGGTGAATTCTTATCCATTCTGCAGTTGTGTATATTTTAAGTGGAGCATTTAGGTCACTTATATTCAATGTTAGTATTGAGATGTGAGGTACCATTCCATTCATCATGCTGTTTGTTGCCTGTATACCTTGACTTTTTGTTTTTGTTTTTTAAATTGTATTTTTGTTTTGTAGGTCCTGTGAGATTTATGCTTTAAAGAGGTTCTGATTTGATGTGTTTCCAGTATTTGTTTCAAGACTTAGAGCTCCTTTTAGCAGTTCTTGTAGTGGTGGCTTGGTAGTGGTGAATTCTCTCAGCACTTGTTTTTGGAAAAAGACTGTATCTTTTCTTTATATACGAAGCTTAGTTTTGCTGGATACCAAATTCTTTGCTGATAATTGTTTTGTTTGAGGAGGCTGAAGATAGGGCCCCAATCCCTTCTAGCTTATAGTGTTCCTGCTGAGAAATCTGCTGTTAATATGGTAGGTTTTCCTTTTTAGGTTACCTGGTGCTTTTGTCTCACAGCTCTTAAGATTCTTTCCTTATTAACTAATTAGAGCCTATTAACTTTAGATAACCTGATGACAATGTGCCTAGGCAGTGATCTTTTTGTGATGAATTTCCCAGGTGTTCTTTGTGCTTCTTGTATTTGGATATCTAGGTCTCTAGCAAGGCTGGGGAAGTTTTCCTTGATTGTTCCCCCAAATATTTTTCCAAGCTTTTAGAATTGTCTTCTTCCTCAGGAACATTGATTATTCTTAGGATTGGTCATTTAACATAATCCCAGACTTCTTGGAGGCTTTGTTTATATTTTCTTATTCTTTTTTCTTTGTGTTTGTTGGGTTGGGTTAATTTGAAGACCTTGTCTTCAGATTCTGAGTTTGTTTCTTCTACTTGTTTGATTCTATTGCTGAGAATTTCCATAGCATTTTGCATTTCTGTAAGTGTGTTCGTTGCTTCCTGAAGTTTTGATTGTTTTTTTATTTATGCTATTTATTTCATTGAATATTTCTCCCTTCACTTCTTGTATCATTTTTTTGATTTCCTTACATTGGACTTCACCTTTCTCTGGTGCCTCCCTGATTAGCTTAATAACCAGTCTCCTGAATTCCTTTTCAGGTAAATCAGGGATTTCTTCTTGGGTTGGATCAATTTCTGGTAAGCTAGTGTGACTTTTGGGGGTGTTAAAGAACATTGCTTTGTCATATTACCAGAGTTAGTTTTCTAGTTCCCTCTCATTTGGGTAGCTGTATCAGAGGAAAGGTCCAGAGCTGAAGGCTGTTCAGATTCTTTTGTCCCACGAGGTGTTCTCTTGATGTAATACTCTCCCCCTTTTCCTGTGGATGCGGCTTCCTGAGAGTCAAGCTGTAGTGATTATTCTCTCTTCTGGATCTAGCCACCCAGCAAGTCTACCAGGCTCTAGGCTGGTACCGGGGGTTGTATGGACAGAGTCCTGTGATGTGAACCATCTGTGGGTCTCTCAGCTGTGGATATCAGCACAGTATTTGGGGTGTCTCCCGGGTCTGGCAGGTGCAATCTGCTTCCTTCAGATGGTATGTGGGTCCTCTTGGGTTTCCTGATTTATTCCTGCAGTCATTCTGGAGCAAAAATTCACGATGTGAGCCTCCACGCACTGCTCTGTCTGTCCGAGTTGGAGCTGCAATCTAGTCCTGCCTCCATCTGCCATGATCCCTTCTGCCTCTAACCCCTGTCCTGAGGGAATGTGTGACTCCACTTTGATTCTGACTACTTTTACATCACCTCGACAAGTTCATATTTGTATGCTGGAGGTATTCTGTCTGGGTAACTGGCATTGGCCATTAAGAATCAGAGCTCCCTTTCTCTTGGGAAGGAGACCTGCTGAGAAATTAACTCTATACAGGAAACTCCTGCTGTTATCAAATATAATGTTGGGCAAAATGCAATAACCATTTAAAAATTACTTTTAGACTCGATAACATTTGAGAGCTAACCTATATTCTTTCCTGAGAGTCATGGAAGATTTAATCAGTTTATTTGCAACCCATCTCTTACAGTAAATTATCAATGGTCAAGATTCATAGTCAAATATCCACATGGTATCAAAACAAGTAGAGTAGACAAAAAGCCACATAAAAGCTCCATGAAAGGGAAGGGAATTGTAGGCTAGAGGAATCTGGAGGGTTCAGGAAAGACATGCGTCTTTTTAAATTTTTATTTTATATTTTTAAATTTTAATTTTATATTTTTTATATGGAACACTTCACAAATTTGTGCATCATCGTTGTGCAAGGCCATGCTAATCGCTGTATCATTCCAATTTTAGTGTACGTGCTGCTGAAGCATCATGAAGCACATTATGGGTAGAATTTTTTTACTGATTCTGAGAAACCCACAAAAAAATCCTCTAAAAATTCATTCACTTCTTAGCAATTTATTTTGAAAAATGCATATTAACAAGAAAATGAATTAGATATTTCTTGTTTAAACTAATTAGCTATCTTTTATGATGAATCTTTAAATAGAAAATTATCCCAGCATTTTGGGAGGCTGAGGTGGGTGGATCATTTGAGCGTAGGAGTTTGAGACCAGCCTGGGCAACATGGCGAAACACTGTCTCTACAAAAAAAAAATACAAAAAAAAAAAAAAAAAAGAAAGAAAGAAAAAATTAGCCGGGCATGGTTGTGCACACCTGTAGTCCTAGCTATTTGGGAGGCTGAGATGGGAGGATTGGTCATACCTTGGAGATAGAGGCTGTAGTGAGCCGTGATTGCACCACTGCACTCCAGCCTGGGCAACAGAGCAAGACCCTGTCTCCAAAAAAAAAGAAAAGAAGAGAAAATATTCACCTCACATTTTAAACAGAAGCTTTAAAAGTGTGAGCCATTAATTTATTTCTGACTTTCACTTACAGGATTTCAGGAAAAGAGAACTTTGCTTGATGTATTTTTCTATATAGCATTAGTTCAGGAATAAAAATGGCTTTTGACCTTTTTACTGGTCTCTTTAGAATTTCTGGCTCAGAAATTTTTCATGAGGAATTTATTTCCCCAATTTTATCAATCAGTTGTAAAACAAAAATATTTAAGTAGTGAAAGAGTTCCTGAACCCAGTAAACCCATCATGCTGATAGTGCTATGACCATGACATCGGAGTTCAATATATCAAAACTGTTGCAACACAAAGTGAATTTTATCCTCTGGAAAGCTCATAGCTGGTTTATTTTGAGCTTACTAAGATTTCAAACATTCTGGTGAAGTCAATTGCAATCTCCTTTATTTATTTTCTAAGTGTACATGCTCTGTGTTTGTCTTTGTGGTTGTCGTTAGTGCTAAGACTCATAGTTTATCCCTCAGCCAACATCACTGGAAGCTTTAGTTCATTTTCTTTGGGGTAAGTCAATAGCTGAGTGCACATTTGCAATGTTAATGGACTAAACACACCAATTAAGAGGGAGGAATGGTCAGAATGGGTAAAAGTTGCTAGACCCAACTACATATGACTAGGAGAGAAATGTAGAGATACAGATAGCTTGAAAAGAAATTGATGGAACAAATTATGTTAAAAAATAGCAATATGAAGGCTGAAGTAGGCTAAATTAACATCAGATAAAACAGATTTGAAGAAAAAGAGTATTGCCAGAGATAAAAAGGAATGACAAAAATTATTAATTCTTCAGAAGACAAAACAAACATAAATGTGTATGGGCCTAAAACAGAGCCTCAAAGTATATGAAACAAAAATGACAGAATTAGAGGGAAAAAATTCCAGAATTTTAGTGGAATATTTTTATTCACTGTTTCTCAGGATTTGAGAGGACAGCTCGCCAAAAATCAGTGTAAGACAGGATTCGAACACATTATCAACTCTCTTGATCTAAGTAATAATTATGGATGGCTCATTCAACCACTGAAAAATGAATACCTTTTTGTGTAATACACATTTGTTTTAGTGAATATGGTATGTTCACCAATATACAACATATTTTGGGCCATAAAATAAACCTTAATATAGTTACCAGATTGTAATAGTATAGACTGTGTTCTCTGATCACAATGAAATTAGAAACCAACATCATTAATATTTAGGTAAATCCCAAATATTTGGCAATTAAAAAGCATTTTAAAATATTGATAGGCCAAAGGAGAAGACACACATAAATTATATTTTTAACTCAATGATGGTAAAAATATTTCAAAATTTGTGGGATTTAGCTGAAGAGATGCTTAGGGAGAAGTTTGTAGCTTAAATGCCTATTTAGAACAGAACAAAGAAAAGTGATGTAAGGTACCACCTCAAGACACTAGAAGAAGAAGAGCAAAGTAAATCCGAAGTAATTGGAAGGAAGGAAATCATAAAGACAAGAGAAAATATCACTAAAACAGACACAAATGAAAAAGGACATAAATCAGCAATGTTGGGAAAAAAGAAGGCTTATCACTACAGATCCTACAGAAATTAAAATAACAGATAATATTGTGAGCAAATGTATGCCAAAAATGAGAAAACTTTGATGAAATAGACAACTTTCTAGAAAAATACAACTAAAATTGATGTAGGATGAAACAGAAAATCTGAATAACCTTCTGTCTAATAATGAGACTGGCCTGGGCAACATGGCAAAACCCCATCTGTATCAGTCAATTTTCATGCTGCTGATAAAGACATACCTGAGTCCGGGAAGAAAAATAGGTTTAATCGACTTACAGTTCCACGTGGATGGGGAAGCCTCACAATCATGGCAGAAGGCAAAAGGCACTTCTTACATGGCAGCGGCAAGAAAGAATGAGAGAGAAGCAAATGTGGAAACCCCTTATAAAACCATCAGCTCTCATGAGACTTATTCACTACAGTATGGGGGAAACTGCCTCCATGATTCAATTGTCTCCCACCAGTTCCCTCCCACAACACGTGGGAATTATGGGAGTACAGTTCAAGATGAGATCTGTGTGGGGACACAGAGCCAAATGATATCACCATCGCTACAAAAAATACAAAACTTGGCTGGGTGTGGTGGTGTGCATCTGTAGTCCCAGTTACTCAGGAGGCTGGGGTAGGAGGATCCCTTGAGCCCAGGAGGTTGAGGTTGCAGTGAAACATGATTGTGCCACTGCACTCCAGCCTGGGTGACAGAGTGAGACATTGTCTCAAAGATAAAATAAAAATTGAAAAGCTTAGTCTCAAATTTACACAGAATGCGAATGACATAAGATAGCCAAGAAATTTTTAAAAAGAACCAAGTTCAAGAACTTACATTACTTGGCTTTATAACTTACCATAAAGTTAGAGTAATTAAGACTGTAATATTTGTGAAAAGATAGGCATACAGATCAATGCAAGTAATATAGATCAATAGAAGAGAGAATAGAGTTCATAAATAATTTCATATGTATTGTATACGTACATACATGTGTTCAATTGATTTTCAACAAATGGTGCTAGAATAACCAGGTATTCACATGAAAAAAGAAAACAGCCCATATCTTACTCTGTACAGAAAGTTAACACAAAACTAATTATAGACTTAAATATAATAGCCAATATTATAAAAATTTTAAAAGAAAACATGGGAGAAAATTTTGTAGCTTTGTGTAGTCATCTTAGATATGACACATTAGGCACAAACCACAAAAGAAAAAAGATAAATTGAATTTTATTAAAATTTAAAACTTCTTATCCAGAGACACCATTAAGAGTGTAAAAAGGTAAGCCACAGAATAGGGAAAAATATTTGTAATGCATATATCTGATGCATACAAAGGACTCAATTTCAGAAAATATACAGAATTCTTCTTATAACTAATGAGACACACAACTCAGTTTTAAAAATGGGCAAAAGATTTGCACATATAAATGTAAATGTTTCTATTTTGGAAGAGTGTGGCAGTTTCTTTAAAAATTAAACACATGCTTAATACACAAACCAGAATACCTCTTCTAGGTATTCACTAAAGAAGATTGAAAACTTACATCCACAAAAATATCTGTACACAAATGTTTTTAGTATAATTATTCATGATAGCCCAAAGCTGCAAATAACCCAAATGTCCATCAATATTTGCTGAATTGACAAATAAAATGTGATTATATATCAGTATAATGAAAAATTACTCAGTAATTAAAATGAAAGAACCACTGACAGATGTAGTAACATGCAAGGATTTCAAAAACCATTATGTTGAGTGAAAGAAACCAGACACAAAAGAGTGCATACTGCATGATTCCATCTATATCAAATTCTAGAAAATGCAAACAAATCTATAGTGATGAAAAGTACATTAGTGGAGGCTGGGTCTGAGGTGGAGGAAACAAATAATCTTTTGGGAGGTGATGGAAATGTTTAGTATTTTGATTGTAGTGGTGTTTTCATGTGTGTTGTCAAAAGTCATCAATCTTACATTTTAGAAGATGCAGTTTGTTATATTTTCATTATGCTTCACTAAGGCTAATTTAAAAAAGAACTTCTTAAAAGCAAGAAAAAGAAGGTATTGACAAGAAGTATAAATGGTATTTTAATTAATTTATAAAAGAGTAAATTGATGAGTCTTTGTAATGGTCTTTTAAATAATAATTCAGTTCCATTTACTACCATTAATACTACAAAGTACTGTGTTGCAACAGTCTATTAAAGTAATGAATCACCATTTCTGCCAGTATTATAATAGAAACCTCAGCATTAATTTAACAACTCTAGTATTAAAAAATGTTGACAATTATAACCAATTGACTTTCTGTATATTTGGGATAAAGGTTAAAAACCCTGCAATGGATTATTTGCTGAGAAATGTTTCTAAACAGTTGAAAATCTTCTCTTAAAAAGAAAAGAAAAGAAATCTTCTCTTTTATGTGTTTTAAAAACAAAACATAAAATCATCAATATAAATTCTTTAATTTTAATTTTTATTTTTTACTTTTATTATACTTTAAGTTTTAGGGTACATGTGCACAACGTGCAGGTTTGCTATATATGCCATGTGCCATGTTGGTGTGCTGCCCCCTTTAACTCATCATTTACATTAGGTATATCTCCTAATGCTATCCCTCCCCCCTCCCCCCACCCCACAACAGGCCCCAGTGTGTGATGTTCCCCTTCCTGTGTCCAAGCGTTCTCATTGTTCAATTCCCACCTATGAGTGAGAACATGCGGTGTTTGTTTTTTTGTCCTTGCGATAGTTTGCTGAGAACGATGGTTTCCAGCTTTATCCATGTCCCTACAAAGGACATGAACTCATCATTTTTTATGGCTGCATAGTATTCCATGGTGTATATGTGCCACATTTTCTTAATCCAGTCTATTATTGTTGGACATTTGGGTTGGTTCCAAGTCTTTGCTATTGTGAATAGTGCCACAATAAACATACGTGTGCATGTGTCTTTATAGCAGCATGATTTATAATCCTTTGGGTATATACCCAGTAATGGGATGGCTGGGTCAAATGGTGTTTCTAATTCTTTAATTTTTAAAAAACCTAAAATATAAGAATCTTAAATGTTGAGTCACAATTGCGTGTGTGTGTGTGTTTGTGCGTGTGTGTGTGTGTGTGTGTGTGTATGCCGGGACACATAGTTAAATTTAGTCAATAGTTTCATAAATACTTAGACCCTAATTCACACATGATATATCTCATTAAAAAAATCGATTTGCTGGGAAATCATATTTTATGTTATGTAGTTAAAATAAATTAAGCATTTAATGTTATTTGTTAAGTAGTGAACAGATGGATATTTTCTTTGATTAAAAATATTAAATATGGTAATAAAATAATTTATTTAATACAACTTCAGTAATAAGCTGTTCTAAATGAAATATGTGTAATAAATAATTTGGTTGGCCTTTGTTCCTGGTTCCTGGGAGGTAACCTATAAACCTCTGGGATTTCCTGAGTGACAAGTGCGTCTTTCTTATTCATGGTGTGTCCCTCAGATCACAACTAGTAGTTTATGCTAATGAGGTGACTCAAGATGGGAGCATGCCACTCCAGAAAGACCAACCACATGATTAGAGGGGGTTGGGGCTTTCAGCCACCTGATATCAGTCCAACTCAATATCAGTCCAGCTTCTAGGGAGGGAGGAGTTTGGATATTGAGTCACATGGAAAATGGTTCACCAATCATGCTTATGTAATGGAACCTCAATAAAAACTCTGGACATGGAAGTGTGAGTAAGATTCCTTGATTAGCATGATTCTTTTTCTTCTTCTTTTTTTTCTGAGATGAGGTCTCACTCTGTCACCTGGGCTAGCGTGCAGTGGCATGATCTCTGTTCACTGCAACCTCTGCCTCCTGGGTTCAAGCGATCCTTCCACCTCAGCCTTCCAAATAGCTGCAACTACAGGCATGCACTACCATGCCCGGCTAACTTTTTTATTTTTGTAGAGAAGGGGTTTCATCATGTTGCCCAGGCTGCTCTTAAATTCCTGAGCTCAAGTGATTTGCCTGCCTCAACCTCCCAAAGTGCTGGGATTGCAGGTGTGAGCCACCATGCCCAGCCGGCATTACTCTTTGGTTTTTGTAACTCTTTGATGCCAGGAGAGTAACACATCTTTGAGGATGACAGAAACTTCCTACACTTATCCCTCCACATCTCTTCCTCTGGCTGGTTCTAGTTTGTCTCCTTTTGCTATAATAAAACTATAAACATTGCACTTCCTGAATTCAGTGTGTCATCCTAGTGAATTATTTAAACCTGAAGGAGTCTGTGGAGATACTCAAAATTGTAGCCAGCTGGTCTGAAATGAGTGTGGCCATGGGGATCCCCCAACTTGAGACTTGTGTCTTAAATGAGGGCAGTCTTGTGGAGGATTGTGCCCTAAGACTTTGCAATTTAGGATACTCGTTGCGGATGTCTCAGTTTAAAATCTTTAACATAAAGTATAAAAATCATAAAATGATTATTGAAAATTCTTGGGGTGGGAGATCTCTTAGTAATGTACTGTGAAAAGGGTTTAAAAGTGAAAAACTTTGTGCAATGGGCAAGTGTAACCACCACTTAGGGAAGAGCAGATTCTCAGCTCTGTAACCCAAATGTGCAGCTACAGCATCTAGATGGCTGTTTTTTGGTAGACATTCATATTATTTCAGGACTGTGCTGACCATTTGCTATTTTAGCTTATTCCTCCCTTCTTTTTTTGTAGTAGACTCTGATTTGTGTTTAGAATTTGCCCCTCTGAACTTTCCAAGCCTCCCATTCCATATATACTTCTGTTTCTTGAGCAGAAGACTACAACCAACTTTAAATCCAGTAATTATTTTGGCTTAAGCCCAATCAGCACATTTATTTCCTTTATCCACAGTGGTTGACTTATGTGGCCCATTTTGGTTCAATGAGCTGTGGAGAGATATTTTCTAAGGGTTTCTGGGAAAGAGATTTTCTTGAAATTGCAAAAAGCCTGCCTGACAAGACACTCACTTTCTGCTGGATATTAGGGAGAAAATATGTAGTTACAGAAACCCTTGGTAGCCATCTTCCAAACACAAGATAAAACCTTAAGAGGAAGAAGACGCTGCAGACGGCAGTTTGTGGTATCAATGTTGAACAGCTTATTTGAGCCAGCCCTGAGGCTTAT
Organism: Homo sapiens; assembly: GCF_000001405.40. Classification (NCBI taxonomy): domain Eukaryota; kingdom Metazoa; phylum Chordata; class Mammalia; order Primates; family Hominidae; genus Homo; species Homo sapiens. Next base: position 37,442,830 of record NC_000002.12, read on the forward strand.
ATGACCTCTGAAATTTTCATGTACATGGGTAAATGCATTCCCTTTACTGTTCCAGTCAGTTTGGATCAGTGCTTTCTGATTCTTGTATCCAATACCTTTCTGAGACAATAACTTTAATAAGAAATATGACGATGGTTTTGATAGGGAGTAAAAATCAAGTGTAAAATAACATTCTTACAAGAGAAAAAAGGTGTGGTGCATTGGATCTATGTGTTGGTTTAGGCACATTTGACCACCTCTGGCCTTCTTCTAAGTCCCTTGAAATAAAAGGAAATATATTTGTCAAAACTAGACCCACTACTTTCATGGAAAACAAGAAAGGGCAACATCAACATATCAGAAATGGTGGGAAATTTCCTGGATGATGGAAAGTAATGGGATTGACTTGATAAGGGTTGAAAAAACACACAGAGAAAACAGCTAGGTAGATAAGAGCAGATTCTGAGAAATTTCAAGGGAACAAAGAACAGAAAGGGTCATGTGACAATAGATGGGCCATTGGTACTGAACAGGGGCCAGTTACGTTCATAAACCCTCTCACACTGAGCCACAGGTCACAGAGATGAGGGGTGGGTGATTGTCCAGGTGAAGACACCAAGATTTGCACACTAGACGGTCAACCGCTGCCTCAGCAGTGTTTCTGGTTAGGAAGTGGAAGCTTCTAGAGAGCACACTGTCAGCCCCCCTCAATTCACACCATTTGGGGTGGGAGTGAGGAAGGACCTTTGCAACTGCAAAGCTAACTAAATAAAGCTTCCCAGGTCTTCATTCATAGAGATAAATGGGAATTCTTAAAGCTTCCCAGGTCTTCATTCACAGAGATAAGTGGGAATAAATCTTCCCAGGTCTTCATTCATAGAGATAAGTGGGAATTTTAAGAATCTCAGATGCCATGTAGAAAACCAATAGCTAGAAAGAGAAGGATCAAGCTGAATGAACAGATCACTGGACCACAGAAAGAGAATATTGAGAACAAAAAGGTTACAAAAGAAGTTTATTTTCTGTCTTTGGATATAAACAACAACATTCAAAGAATCTATTCATAAAATAAGAATTGGCAGCTATAAAAAAGTAACTCAGAGTACAGAAGGGTTTTTGAAAATAAAAAATATGATTGTCAAAATAAAAAAAGTCTAATGGAAAGAATAAGTAATGGAATGAACTTAAGACTGCAATAGTGATAGGACTAAGAATAGGATTAGGTAGGCAGGAGGGATTTTTCATTTTATTCTATATTTTTCTATGTTGTTTGAATGTTTTTAAAGTAGTTGAGTAAAAAAGAAAAATTTAAAAATGGAATTGACTCAATAATTCTACTTTTGATAAGTACTTTTTAACATTAATTCTAAGGAAATCAACCCATATGCAGACAAAAATATATGTGCCACATATTTAATACATCTTTCATATTTATAATGCCAAAACATTGCAAATAATCTAAATATTAAACAGAAAAGTGACTTAATAAATTATTGAGTACACATGTTATAATACTTTATGCTACCATTAAAAATCATGTTTCAAAAAATATATCTAAATGTGAGGAAAACATACAAGATATATTAAGTGATAAAACAGAACCAAAACTATACTTCGTATATTCAAAATAGAAAGTATGTAGAACCAAGTATTCATTGTGATTATCTCTGAATGATAACAGTTTTTTCTTCTGTATTGCATAAACTGTTTATATTTAAAATCTATCACTAATTTACTTAGAAAATGCTCCTAGGAAAGAAAAAGGAAAGACTGTGATAGCAAGCAGAACATAGATGGAGTCCACATGGTCCCTTTCTGTATCTCTCTCGCTGAGGTGTATATTTCACTGAGTCTGTGAACCAGGCTGGAGAGAAACCCTAGATGAAGATTCAATTGCTTTCTGGAACAGAAGGTGTGCCTACTGTTTTGTAGTTTTGCTGATTTTGTTTTGTTTTCATTCAGAACAACATTGACATGAACCCACTCAAATGAATCATATTTATTTTAACCAACTGGTGTGGTGGGAACAAAATCTTTATATATTCATGTATGGCATGACACATACAACCCCTACACACACATACACACCCCCAAATCTACTCATGTGTTTCTTGGCCAAAAACTCTTGGGAAGTGTTATGCTTTTTTTCCAGTTTTTTAGCCTACATCTGGCAGATTGAAAAAGTATGAGTATGTACGTACAAGAGAATTTTGCAAAAATATGGCAATCTTTCTTTGCTCTAAACTTATAAAATTTTAATGAATTTGTGCATTCTTACATTCTAGGTATTTTCAGGAATTAAAGGAGATTATCCATTTATTAAAGAGGCATTTTATGTGTTTTTTAAATGAGTTACTATTTGATGTTTGCAATGCCCTGGCAACACATAGGCATTGTACTATTTCCCGCCCAAAGTTACTTGATTAGAATAATAATATTGTTTTTCCTCATAGTAGCTGTCTTCTGTCATTCTTCTTTGTAATCAATAACTAGATCACAGTAGAGAAAAAATGCTTTGAAACAGAACATTGATTTGGAACCTGTTTTTAATGTGAGAATTCAGGTCATTCAACACAGCTAGGCAGTTTTATTTTTTTTGTAAATCCATTTGATAAATTGCCACTTTATGCTTAAATAGACAAGCTTTCGTCCACTCTTCTTCAGTTTTTATGAAATCAGTTTAATGTAGTGAAAAAAAAATCAGGGGCTTTGGGTTCATACCGGCTTCAGCTGGAATTCTGGCTGTACTGTGTCCAAACTGCATGATTTGGGAAAGGTTACTTTTCTGAGCCTCAATTTATTTATCTGTACAATCAGAATAATATCAAGGATGAAGGGAATGACATTTGTAAAAGAAAATGACAAACTAGTATAGAGCTTGAATCTGAGTTGGTTAAATGTTTCTAATAATGTATACTATGCTATAACCATTGTTGTTTTCCTGTACTAGGGGCTTGGTATTCCTCTGGACTGAATTAGAAGCCAGGAGGCTTAGAGTCCAGCCTAAGTTTGGCTGTTACCTGGCTGACATGATCCTGAGCCTGTTCATCCTCATCTGTAACATGAGGAGGTTAGAGGAGATGACTAAGGCTTCTTCCAGCTCTGAATGGGGATTTTGAGTAAAAATCTTACTTTGCACCGTCACACGTGTGGCAGGTGTTATGGCCATGTCAGAGCTGAGACTGGGTTGGAATTAGCAACGCCCTCCTTAAAGAGTCTCTGTGTTTGAGGCTGATCAGTCTTCTGTCCTAGGAAGCTGGCAGAGTGCAGGGGCTGGGGGAGGCACTTTTTTTTCAGAAGTAATTTATAAATTGATACATACTAATTATACATATTTATGGGGGTACATATGATATTTTGATACATATATACCATGTGTAATGACCAAGTCAGGGTGATTAGGATATTTGTCACCTCGAACATTTACTATTTCTTTGTGCTAGGGACACTCCAAATCTTCTAGCTATTTCAAAATACACAATAATAGTCACCCTACTGTGCTATCGAGCTCTAGAACATATTCCTTTTATTTAATTGTATTTTTGTACCTATTAACTAACCTGTTTTCATCTCACCCTCTCTCCTACCCTTCCCAGCCCCTGGTATTTATCATTCTACTCCCTACCTCCATGAGATCAACTTTTTTTTAGCTTTAACGTATGAGTGAAAACACCTGATATTTGTCTTTCTGTGCCTGCCTTATTTTACTTAACATAATGACCTTCAGTTCTATCCATGTTATTGCAAATGACAGGAGTTCATTCTTTTTTAGGTGGCTGAATAATATTCAATTGTATACATATACCATGTTTTATTTATCCATTTATTCATTGATGGACACAGGTTGGTTTTGTTTCTTAGCTATTGTGAATAGTGCTGCAATAAACATAGAAGGCAGATATGTCTTCCATATCTTGATCTCCTTTCTTTTGGATAGATACCTGGCAGTGGGATGGCTGGAAAATATGGTAGACCTGTTTTTAATTTCTTGAGGAACCTTTGTACCATGTTCCGTAATGGCTGTGCTAATTTGCAATCCCACCAATCATGTACGAGCATTCCCTTTCTCTACATCCTTGCCAGCACTTGTTATTTTCTGTCTTTTTCTTAATAGCTATTTTAACTGCAATGAGATGACATCTCATTGTGGTTTTGATTTGCCTTCTCCTGTGAGTAGTGATGTTGAGCATTTGCTCATATATATCTGTTGGGTATTCGTATGTCTTCTTTTGAGAAATGTCTATTCAGATCATTTGCTCATTTTAAAATCGGATTATTTTGGGGTTTTTTTTTTGCAACTGAATTTTTCTTAACATCTCAACTATCAGGGAATGAGACTTAACCAAATTTTCTGCTTTGCTTGGAGCCCAAGAGTCTTGTGGGAAAAACAAGAGAACTCTGTCCATTTTTGTAATTTTAATATGTACTGCACTTTCTGAGGTACTTGCGGGGCGGCGGGCGGTGGCGGGGGGGTGGGGGGGTGGTGGGTGGGTCTAAAGGAAGCCAGAATGAAGACAGAGACAAAACATTTATTTAGAAAAAAAATCTCTTTTTGTGAGGAAGAATTTTGGCAGGTTGAGCCGAACTGAGCAGCAGGGGCTAAATATTAGAGTTCAGATAGGACGTGAGGCTGTGCTTATCAACCCAACATGGCCTTTAGTCCCCAAATCCCCTTGCACAACCACCAGGCCCCCTTCCCAGCTCTGCAATGCCTGCCCACTCTATCCACTCTATGGGGAACGGGGCTTTGTACAGAGGAGAGAACCAGAGGGGTTCAGCAGCTCTGCTGTGGCAGGCTCTTCTGCAAGAGTTCTGATGAGAGGCAGCAGGTGTTGTCCAACTGGCTAGAGATGGAGAGCAGCCGAGCTACATAGCTTAGAGGAGACTACTTGGCCTGGAGGGGTTAGTGGCCTGTGGGTGATGGAGTAAAAATGGTCAACAGGGCAGGGAGGCAGAAGGCAGGTGGAGACCATATCGTATATGTGACAATCTCCACCTTTCTTTATGACTTCTAGGGGAATTGATCCAAAGACCCACCAATTGGTGGACATTTGGGTTACAGCCCTGAAAATTCTTTGAACTGGTTGGGAAAAGGAAATTCAAAAAGGTACTGGACTTCCAGCTAATAAGTAGGTGTGTGGGTATGGGTGGAGGAGGATGTCAGGGCTGGGGGTGGTTTTGTATTGACTATTTGGATCTGGGATCTTATTTGTAACCTCTCTATACTTATTGGCTACTCTCACTTTGAATGTACTGGTTGTCCCCAGTATTTAGAATCATGACTTGCTGCTGTTACCTTATAGTTTAGCTTGTCTTATGGCAAGTGCTTGATGCCTGCTGTGTGCAAAAGCCTGCACTAAGTGCTGTGGAGGACGTTGTCCTGCTCTTGGCTACTCACTGTCCACACAGTCTGGCCTCATGATCCTTCCTCTTCATGAGGAAAAGTGCTTCCTCCATCCTTGGATATTTCTCTGCAGATAACACAAGTGGTAGACTAGAACATTTCCAAAATATTATTTTTTATTGTAAAATATCATTTTATATGAGAAAAGTTAAAATTTTCATTTTAACTTTTATATGAGAAAATATAAAATGTCATTTTATATGAGAAAAGAAAACACTTTCGCTCAGAGATCATCACTGTCAATTTGATATAAATTCTTAGAGTCTCCTTTTAATGCATATTTATCTTTCAACAAACATTGAGTCAATTGCATTTACAAAATGAATCACTCTGTGTATATGGTTTTGGAACTTGCTTTTTCATGCAACAATACATTGTGAATAGTTTTCCATGGATAGACAGAAAATCATTCCTCAGCTGGGTCTTGCAAATGACCTGGAGCTTTTATTTTTGTGGATGCTCTCTTTAATTAAAACTTGAGTTCCATATATGGATCTTTTCCTTCCATCCCTAAATTTGCATATTCCAAGAAGCCCATTTGTTAAAAATTATGAACGGAAGGATTGAAGGAAGAGAAATCCTTCTTTCCATTTAAGAACCACATAAAAATGCTCTGAATGTATATTTGACATTATCATCTGCTTCACAGATTTCTTTGGCTGGTATCCATTTAAATTGTTTTACTCTGTGCCACATGGGCTCTGTGAAGCTATCAGCTGGTCTTCACTGGGGAGATGTGGCAGAAGAGAACTGAGAGGTGGTAGAAGGTGGGAGGTGGGGGCAAGGAGAGTCATTGAGAGTAACCAACACTTGTTCCTGATCCAGGGCCTGGGGTTCACGGAAATGTCAGCATCACTCTAGTGAGGACTCATGCACTGAGAAGATTTTCTTTGGAGGCAAATTTGCCTTTATCTTCAAACCAAACAAAATCGAAATGGCCAAATGCAGGCTTTTCTTTTCTGGGGGCAATGTTTTCTGCAGAATATTAATAGGCGTTAGGAACAAAAAAAGGGTTCTGTGGTAAAGCAAATTTGGAAAATGCTGTATTTTACATAAACCTGTTTCTTCAATGCAGGACTTCTCAGAAACTTTAGCATGCTAATATGCACTCTGACCAAGAGAAGGAATCTGTCAACTTTCCCCAAACTCACACACTCTCATTCTCTTGATTTTGGGTATCTGTATATTAACAACTTTGGAAAATGCCAGTCCTGGAAGTATAGACTTCTATTGATACTGAAGTCAGGAAAAACAAAAGTGGTTCCGTTTTGTATTTAGGGTTGAGATGTTAGCCTGTAACTTGTCCTTCTTGGGGTTACTTCAGTCAAAAGCTACCTTCTAATGGGAGGTGGGTGTGACAGAAGTCGTTCTTGGGGATTTTAAGTAACAAATGCTAAGCTGAAATGCTTTTCTGAGAAATCTTTGAGCAGAGCTGGTTCTTTCCTTAGACCGCTTACAAAGTTTGCAAAATAACAGGTGTTGGCTGAGAGATGAAAAGTGTGTTTATAGGTCTCAGTATTTTCCTTCTTATATCCCTCAAACCTTTCACCTTTATAAGGGCTGTCATCCTGGAATGAGACCCAGGCAGCCTTCCTTCCTGGACGCCAGCTGAAGGATCTCTAGTTGCCATCCACGCCCTGCCTCCCCTTCTTGGAGCTGGTGATTTACTGCTGTAGTCTGAACGTTGGAGAATGTTCTTAATGAGCCTTACGACTGGGGGCTGTGCTTGGAGCTGCCTCTAACCACAACTATTCTTAGTAAAAAAAAAAAAAAAAAAAATTACCAGAAAACTAAGACCCCAGAAGAGGACCTCTGATGGGATGGTGGGTGTTTGAAAAAAAGAGGCAGGGTAGCATTCCTGGTTATCCGTAAATTAAAACAAACAAAGGCATATCACATCCAACTGTAGTCAATTGCTCCTATAAGAGAAGGAGTGTAATTCAAAGAGGTTTATGTATTTTGGCGGAGGATGGAGTGTGTGTGGGAGTTTGAAAGCATAGAATAACATGACCAGGAACTAGCTCCAGTGGCTGGGCAGCTCGTGCTTGCTCACTGCATCCGGCTAATGTACCTGGAGCCAATCTTTTTTTGCCTCCTTTATCCCTATTTGATCTCTTCCATGTCTGAGGCACCAAGGGGTGTTGGAAGAAAGGCTGCATGTTTCTGAGATAACATCTTATGTTTTCACAATTAGGAACCATTTTAAAGCATAGTTGAATATTGTACTCTTACTCTCGCTTTTTTTTTTTTTTTTTTTGACAAGGTCTCACTCTTGACCAGGCTAGAGGGCTGCGACATGATCATAGCTCTCTGCCGCCTCGAACTCCTAAGCTCAGGCAATCCTCCTTAGTAGTTGGGTCTACAGGTGCATGCCACTGTGCTTGGCTATTTACTTTTTGTAGAGTTGAGGGTCTTGCTATGTTGTCCAGGCTAGTCTCAAACTCTTCAGCTCAAGTAATCCTCCTGCCTTGACCTCCCACAGTGTTGAGGTCATACATGTGAGCCATGGTGCCTAGTTCTATCTTATTCTTATACCAAGCCTGTGAGCAAACATAGGATTTATCTCCATTATATATATATAAGACAGTAAAACATAGAGACGTTAAGATCTTATGCCTGAAATTATAAAGCAAGTTAATGGCAGAGCCAGAGGGGACTTGCCTTTCCAGTTAGGGGGCCCAGGCTTTTCTAATCTAGGACTCTCTGGGTTGCTACACTAACTTCCTGTGCTTTAACATTTCAAATGAAAAAGGACTGAGTTTTGGTCACAATGATCCACTTACTGCAAGTTGAATCAAAATCATTAAATGTGTTTATTAGAACACTTTTTTTGAGTCACCTTTCAGCTCCAGGGCTTAGGTTAGGATTGTGAAAATAAATGAAGACCCCTCAAATTAGAACAAGCAAAGGCTACTTACACATAACTCGCTCTCATGAGGGAGTCAGTCACCATCACTCATATTTGGCAGAGACTCCAAGGCAGGCAGAGGAGCAGGAAAGTTTCATGGTAGAACAAGGCGAAGACCTTAAGTACACCTTGATGAGGCTATTAGCATGGGGAAGTTACAGGTGGGCTAACTGAAGTGGGCATCCCATGTGATTAGTTAAGGGTGCTTATTTGGTTTTCTCCAGCTGGTCCTAAATTGGAAGTGGGAACAAAAATGAGGGAAGCAGTGAGTATCAAGTGTCGAGTCCTGGCCCTTTTGGATCAATTGCTATAGGGATTATTGTCTGGCTTTCTGGACTGGTTACTACAAAGAGTAGGTTGGCTTCCTGCACTGGTTGCTGCAGGTTATGGGTTACAGTTTTGTTGTTGTTGTTGTGGTTGCTTTTTGAGACACAGTCCCACTCTGTTGCCCAGGCTGGAGTGCAGTGGCTCGATCTCGGCTCACTGCAACCTCTGCCACCCTGGTTGAAGGGATTCTTCTGTCTCAGCCTCCCGAGTAGCTGGGATTACAAGCTCCTGTCACCTTGCCCGGCTAATTTTTGTATTTTTAGTAGACGTGGGGTTTTACCATCTTGGCCAGGCTGATCTTGAACTCCTGACCTCGTGATCCACCTGCCTCGGCCTTCCAAAGTGCTGGGATTACAGGCGTGAGCCACTGCGCCGGCCTACGGTTTTATTTATGTATATATTCTAGCCATTGTCCCTTTGTATATTCAGCTTCTCAGGATTGAGAGGGAGTGAAGGAATAGGGAGGGGATCTGGGAAGTGCATGGAAGTGAGGGTTCTGGCACCACCTGGGGGGTTAACACTTTGCCCCTACTTTTTTGGTCAGGCACTGTTGGTGGTTATCAGGAGATAGAAGGGGTTGAGAAATACTCCTGTAGTCTTAATATCCTCTCTCTTGCTTAATTTCATTTCATTTGACATTATTAGTTTCTGTTGTTTGACTTTTTTTTTTTTTTTTTTTTTTTCAAAGCGATGAGGTCTTGTTATGTTGCCCAGGCTGGTCTCCAACTCCTAGGCTCAAGCTACCCTCCCGCCTTGGCCTCACAAGTGACTGGGACTACAGGCGCACACCACCATGTCTGACTGAGAATGACTTTAATGCAGTAGACTACTGCTTATCATTTCCAAAGCAGTGAACTTTCAGATGCTATTAGCTAATGTGGACCCAGACCTCTGCCACCTGGTCCTGGATACTCTGGGTATTTCTCAATTCTGGTTCCTTGAAGAGATTCTACTTTGCAGGAATTGGAGAAGGTTTCTAAAAGGAAGGGACATAAGAAAGAAATTTTGAAGAATGGATGGCTTTTGGGGCAAGTTAAAAATGTGCTGGAAAGTGGAAAAGGCAGGGAAATAGGAGCAGTATGGGCAAATGTATGAAGTAGAAATATGTATTCACGGAATGGCAGATAGCCTGGTATAGGAATGCGATTGGTTTGGGGTGAGATTGGAGGGACCTTGAATGTCATTCCTAGGAGCTTGGGTTTTATATGTGTTGGAAGGCTTAGTGTTTTGAATAGGATCTGAAATCCAGCCCATCTCTACAAAATACAAAAAAATTTAGCCGGGTATGGTGGCGCACCTGTAGTCCCAAGTACTCAGGAGGTTGAAGTGAGAGAGAGTTGATTGTGCCCAGGAGTTTGAGGCTGCAGGGAGCCATGAACACACCACTGCACTCCAACCTGGGCAATACAGCAAGACCCTGTCTCCAAAAAGAAAAAAAAAAAAGATCAAAGTTGCATATTTAGGACGATTACCATGGCAAAAGAGTGTATGTTGACTTTGAAGAACCAGACGAGGTTGCAAGTGGTGGAAACTGATCTTAACTGCTTTCCATAATGAATAAGTAAATTTTAACAGAAATTAACACATCTTTTGAAAGGCAGCTGTCAATATACTTCCAATTGAATGTTTTGGGGACATCCAGCTTTCATATGGGTATAAATCATGAACCCACCCCAGATCCCACATGGAAATTCTGAAGCTATTCCTCAGGCTTAGCTGTGAGCCTGGGTGGAGTCATCAGTAGTCAATTTTAAAATGTTGCTGATAACAGGAAAGGCTAAGGGGGAGGAGCTATGAGAAGTGAAGGCAGGAAGTACAGGGAGCCAAGAAAGACAACTTGGTTTGTGTGGCAAACGGTAGCAGGGTATAGAATGAATGATTATACGGCAAAACAAGAGGAGAAACTTCAAATTATTCTGTTATAATGTGTCCTCACAAACCTTGGATTCTGTTTTTTTTTTTTTTTTTGTGATGGAGTCTCACTGTTGTTACCCAGTCTGGAGTGCAATGGTGCAATCCCAGTTCACTGCAACCTCCACCTCCTGGGTTCAAGCGATTCTTCTGCCTCATCCTCCCGTGTAGCTGGGACTACAGATGCGCACCACCACGCCCTGCTAATTTTTGTATCTTTTTTTTTTTTTTTTTTTTAGTAAAGACGGGGTTTTGCCATGTTGGCCAGGCTGGTCTCGAACTCCTAACCTCAGGTGATCCGCCCACCTTGGCCTCCCAAAGGGCTGTGATTACAGGCTTGAGCCACCGCACCCGGCCTAAATTCTTTTTTTAAAAAATTTTAAATTATGTCAAAATTTGACTAAATCTGTATTGACCGAAAATCTAGCTTTTTGGAACAAATGCTTAATATTAGATTATTTACTTGTCAGTGTTCTAAAAGGCTTCAAATAAGTGCATAATCTTTGACGTGATGCATGAATTAATCTTACTGAAACTATCAGATGAGTTTTCAAAGAAGTGTACATGAAGATGCTTATTATTTATAATGGTGAAAAAATGGACACAACAGGAAAATAATTAAATACATTATGATATATTTAAGCAATGGCATGCAATGCAGCCTTTAAGATGATATGACTATATGTTGACTTGGAAAGACATCCATGGCATGCTAAGGTTTTTTTTTATTATTATACTTTAAGTTTTAGGGTACATGTGCACAATGTGTTGGTTAGTTACATATGTATACATGTGCCATGCTGGTGTGCTGCACCCATTAATTCGTCATTTAGCATTAGGTATATCTCCCAGTGCTATCCCTCCCCCTTCCCCGCACCCCACAACAGTCCCCAGAGTGTGATGTTCCCCTTCCTGTGGCCATGTGTTCTCATTCATGGCATGCTAAGTTTTAAAGAAAGGAGGTATCCAAACTTTGGATATAATATGTTCCCATTTTTGTACTTTAAATATGTAAATATTCTTATATATAAACATCTGGAAGGCTACATAGCAAATGCTAACAGTGGTTTGATCTAAGCTATTTGACACAGGCTTCTCTATTTTCTTCTTTAAATTTCCCCTTATTTTCCGAAAAAAAAGTTTTTGCCATGAGAAAATAGAAATTCATTTTACAAGTTTACTTCTGTTAAAAGAAATAAAATGGTTAATTCTCGTGGAACATCTTTGGAATAAAAAGAGTGTTTACTCTTTAATAAACATATCTACATATTTATAAATATACAAATATTTATAAATTATATTAGTGTATATGTAGTATATGTGCGTTTGGGTTCCAGTGGCTAAATATACATGTCTATTTATATAAAGGCTATATATGCATAGTCTAGGAAATCTAGAAAATATGCTTTTTTGATGTGGTCAAATTTTCTTTTGTAAAAAGATTAAGTGACTCTGCATAATGGTGTGTTTTTTCCCTTAGAAATTCTAGTCCTTTCCAGGTGGGAAAAATCACTGCCTCGGCTCTGGATCTTTCAACCAAGGCTTGGAGAGTGGTTGCATAGCAACTACTGTTGGCGTAAATGACCAGTCTTGGTTCTCTGGGGGATGATATTGACTTGCACAATAAAATGATGCATTCAGATACTTTGCCAGCTATAATAGGATAAAAGAGCTAGGACCTTTTAGGAGCCATTTGAAAAAAGACTTGGTAAAATGGAGAGCTTCAGTTTGTTCCGTTGGAAATGATGAATCAAATACAGGACAGCTTTGAACAATGAAATTCAACAATGCAAATTCCTCAGGAAAGGAATCATTTCCCTTCTTTTCATCAACATTCATTAAGTTCCTACCAGGTACCAAGCTCTGTACTAGTTGCTAGGGATATAGTAATGATAACAAGCAGTCTCTACCATTTGGGAGCTTACAGGACAGTAGGAAAAACACAAAAGCTAATAACTCTAATACCTGATGCTAAGTGATCAAAGTATATGGGAGGATGTTATGGGACACAGAGAAAGCATATCCAGTGCTACCTTGGGATTGTTCAATAAGCCTTTCTTGAGCAGTGACTGTGTGTTTTGACATGGGGCTACAAAGATGAAAGAGACTTGGCGCCTGGCCATAAGGATTTAAAACCTGACAGAAGAGACATATAAACAATTCAATCTAATACAATGTGGTAAATGCTCAGCTAGCAGAGGGATTAAAGTATGAGAGCACAGAGGTAGAGATTAATGAATGATTTAATGCCTACTTAATACTCTATTGTTTGCAAAACCCTTAAACATACGTGATCTCATTTGATGTTTATGAACAGGTAGGATTTATCTTTCTCTTATTGATGAAGAAACTCAGGCTCAAAGATGTTGTGATTTGTCTAAGGTTGGTGTCATAGTCTGCTTGAACTGTTGTGATAAAATAAGACAGACTGGGTTACTTAAACAATAAAAATGTATTTTTTTACAGTTCTGGAGGCCAAAAGTCCCAGATCAAGGTCATATGGAGCTGGTTCCAGGTAAGGGTTCTCTTCCTGGCTTGCAGATGGCTACCTTCTGTTTGTGTCCTCACATGGTGGAGAAGGAGAGACAGTGAGCAAGCTCTCTAGTATCTCTTCTTATAGGGACATTAATCCTATGTGACCAGAGCCCCATCTTTTTGATCTTATTTAACTTTACTTCCAGGGAGGCCCCATGTCCAAATAGAGCCGTGCTGAGAGGTTAGGGCTTCAAAATAGGAATTTTTGGCGAACACAGACACTCAACGCATAAGAGTTGGGCTATGTACTTGGGGCTTCAGCCAATAAATCGGGTGTGTCTGTGTGTGTGTGTGTGTGTGTGTGTGTGTGTGTGTGTGCTTGTGTATTTCCTTCACCATATTAGATCTATGAGGCATTTTCTCCCAATGTGATGAATCTGTGACTCCCTCTTAACATTGAAGACATAAACAGGTCTGACATTTTGGGTCTCTGGCTACTCTTCCTTTCCCAGCTTATCTTTAGGACTTGCTGACATGCAGTCCTTTCTACAGTGCTCTCCTTGGGCTTATGCACAGTCCATCTGTACCCATTTAGGTCTTGTCACTTGGAATCTTCAGTTGTAAGGAGATCATGACCTGGAAGCTAGTTCTGTTTAAAAAGAATTGGGTGCCTGGGGCAGGTCCCCATTGCCCTATCCAGGATGAGACTGCAGCCTGCTCCAGGACCATTTAGAGAAGTAGGAAGGAGGTGGTAGAGGTAGCCAAGGCAGCAGCCAGGACTTACAGGGCTGGGAAGGGCATTTTGCCCAACAGCAGCAGCTGCCGTTACATGTTGGGCTTCCTGTCTTCTTACCCTCCCAATCAAGGAGCACAGCAAATGCTTCTTCCTGCCTGTGTGGGGCTGATGTGCCCACTTCCTGGCTTCCTCCAGCCTTGTGATCTTCAATCTTTGCTGCACATTCAAATTACTAGGGGGACATTTAAATACTATTAATGCTCACCTTATCCCCAGAGATTCTGATTTAACTGGAGTGGGACTTAGGGTCTCTAGTTTTTGAAAGCTCCTCAAGCGATCTCAACATGTTGCCAAGGATGAAAATTGGACACATTCCGTCTGCCCCGTTTTCAAGGGGGTGGGGCATATGCTGTGATTCCCAGGCTTCTACAGCCTCATCCAATTTGATTCTCTCAAGACCTGTGGGATAGAAGGTATCATGACCTTAGAGATGAAAGCCTGAGACTGCATTTGGCCTGTGAGCTGGGAGGGGTCTGTTAGTAGGCAGAAGGTTTAGGTAGAAACAAAGGCCAGACTTGCTATAAGGAAATCAGGAAGGAATGATATTGTTTTCTTGCTTTTTAAGGCAGACAGGATTTCATTCATTTGTTCATTGAACAATATTTATTGAACAGCTCCTCCATGCCAAGTGCTGCACCAGGGGATGGGTTAAGACGTAGCCCTTGACACGTGGCACCCTCTGGGGCTCAGCCTTGGGTAGCGATTCTTTGGAGAAGTGTGCATTGTCAGAGCATTGTGGAACTGGAAAAGACACTGCCAGGGACAGTTTTCTTCGCCTACATGACTCATATACTGAAAGAATGAAACTAATTTCTTCTTCCATTTAAAATTAAGCCTAGTCAGAATTTGTAATCTTGCTGGGATGTAAGTTTACAAGCCATAGCAAGGGATAATCATGGCAAATTTGAACTATGGCTTGATGACCAGGAAGAGAGAACATATCGCGCTAGACCCACGAATTCCACTGACGGCTCTGACACCCACGAAGTCCATCCATCTCTGTGCAGGGACATTCCACTAAACAAAGCCAATTGATATCTCACATTCTGAAGATTTTTCAAATATTATTACTAAGGCATTTTCCCTTGTTTTGTTTTAATTCAAGTGGGTTTTTATTTGAGACTTAGAGGTCATAAGTTTTATATCCTCAGGCTCGATTTAAAACCTGGCCACAACAGATAGTAAACAGCGGTCTCATTTTCTTGTAACAATAGTTCATGACATTGTGGTAAGAAACTACACTTGGCAGCTGAACATAACAAAAAACGCATGGTCTTTGGAGTTGAACTGGCCCAAATACGAATCCTGTTCTGTCATTTACTTTGTTGGGATCCAGGGCAAGTTACTTAAGCATTTTAAGCCTCTGTTTCTTCATTTTCAAAATGGGTATAGCAATGTGAAAGAGTATATATATGCCTTAAACAGTGGCTAGTATGTAATTGGTTTTTGAAAAATATTCCTTTCTCCATGTGTAATGACATGACACGTGGCACATCTCAGGACCCTGGTTTAAGGAGATGTGAAGCACATAGAAGGTCTTAGTTGAAATTTTGCATTGGAAAAGGAGATCTTATAATCTCCACCATGAATTATAAATATCTAAGGAAGAGAAACAGTGTGTTTCTTATGCTTGCAAATTGCCTTTAATCTTGTATGCTTGTGAATAGTTGAATGACAGGCAGACACAACGGCTTTACGTTCAAGTGACAAGACAAACAATAATACCTGTCAATAGAGACTTACCTCTGTGCCATACACTTTACATATCTTATTATTATTTTTTAAAGACAGAGTCTTGCTCTGTTGCCCAGGCTGGAGTGCAGTGACATGTTCACAGCTCACTGCAGTCCTGACCTCCTGGTCTCAAGCAATCCTCCCACCTCAGCCTCCTGAGTAGCTGGAACCACAGGCAAGCGCCACCACGCCCAGCTGATTTATTTTTATTTTTGTAGAGATGAGGTCTCACTATGTTGCCCAGGCTGGTCTCAAATTCCTGGGCTCAAGTGATCTTCCTGCCTCAGCCTCCCAAAGTGCTATTTTATCCTCATAATAACTTTTAAGAGAGGTGTTATCTCTATTTGCAAATAAGGAAACTAAACAGTAGTCAGGTTAATTGTCTTTCCCAAAGTTACACAACCAGTGGTAGAGGTGGGATTTTAAGCCAAAAATTGTCAGTAAATCATTGTAGATGGTGGCTATCATATTAAGAAGGCTATTTCTTGACTAAGCTCGGTCATGAGATTAGCATTCCAGTACCAACATGCTGGACACTTGCTGAATAGATGAACACATAGAATCAGTGCCTGCAAGCAGGGTGTGCCTAGTTATCCAGCAGGATGATTTCCTGGATGAGGGTTCGAGCCAAGTGAATGGGGTAATGGCCCCTAACAAACCCAGGGCCCTTGGGTCAGTGGCATCTACAATGCAATGATTACATGCTAATAATTTCAGTATTTGCATTATAGTTCAGGAAATAGAAGAACAAGTCTTTTCTTATTGCTTTGCCTTTGTTGGACATTTTGGTTGAGTACAATTTTTCCTTATCACCTTCTGAATACTTTCTGAAATACTTTCAACTGCAATTCGACTTTCAGTCTTTGCAAGTGTATCCATTGGGTGATATGTATGGTGTTATGACATTTATGTTCTAATGACACATAAGGGCTTCCAGATTTGTAGTAAGTCTAGAATTCATCTCCAGTGACTACACTGAGCAAAAACAGAATATGCACTTTGTAATGATAAAAATTCTTAGTAATGGTTCTGTAATTAGCCTAATGATTTCAACAACTGATCTTTAATATGCATGAGCTTAATTCCTGTTAAGAGCAGAAATCTCAGATTCCTCTCAAGGTCTCCCTTCATACTTATCTTCAGTAATTTAATAAATGTGTATGAGTCTATAGTTGCTCATGTTTTCTCCATTTATATGCATTTATCTGGGTCAGCATGTGGTTAGAGTGATGACATACAAAGGAAATTCAGGCCTCTTGTCTCAGAGCCAGAGGCCTGTATAAACATTCCTGTGTCTGAGATTTGGGGGTTGGAGAAGGTCTCTGGACCTGTCCCCTCAAAATGTCAGGAGCTTACTGCATCTCCCAAAAGGATAGTGCCTAGAAAATGTAGACTTTGTTGATAAAAAATACATAGTGATCATTACATTGACATTTGAAGTATCTGGTTCTTTTCAGATTAGGCAGATGATAGTAAAAGGTCATTGGTGGTGTTGATGAAGGAGAGAGTGGTTGATGAGTAGGATATTAATAATGGCCCTTTACTGAGGCAAGCAAACAGAACCTAACAGACAATATATAGGCAAATACTGTTAAAAACACGGCGACACAAAAACTCACAGGGCTCCACAGAAATACAAGCAAAAACAAACTCCAGACCTCTTGGCTTAACATAATTCCAGAAAAGACCCAGTAAGGATCTGGATAAAGTGTCCATGGCCAAGAGGAACTGAAAAAGTCAGATTCCAGGGGTCCTCACATTTCTGGTTTCCCATTAGATTTTATCTCCCATCTCAAGCAGTAGGATCTGGCAAGAGGGATACAAAAGACTCTGCAATTCAACTTTCAGAAGAGCTGGGGGAAGAAGCAAGGCCATGCCTCTCTGTTAGTAATCCTCTGTGCTTTAGACCACAGTGTGAGAATTTGGAGGTGAGAGGGCAAAAGGAGGTTGCAGCAGGAATCTTGGCCTGGGATCAGTTTGAGGGAGTTTTGCATAAAGGTATTTACTTTGGGAAGATAATATTAGCTCAATTATTTCCCATGGAAACTGGAAAATAAACTCCCACTTTAAACTAAACACATGCACATACTTAGTTTCTGTTTGCACTCTTTCCCTGACTAGTGAGTGAGAAAGGTCTGTGTGTGTGTGTCTGTGTGTGTGTGTGTGTGTGTGTGTGTGTGTGTGTGAGTGTGTATGCTTCTTTGTGGCCCTATTTTTGCTTTGCTTCAACTTATTTCGTCATTTCATGCTTGCTGCCTAGCAGACATGGATGGGTGGATTTTGATCAGAGTTAAAGGCAGTTTGCCCACTATCTGCCATGGTGGGACTTATGCCTGCCAGTCGGTAGGCCTCCCTGAAGTTCATCTTGTCTTGTCAAAATGCTGATGCATCAAGATTGATGTGTTTTGAGTAGGAATTATTTTTCAAAGCCTTGTTTGGGCCAGTTCTGGTCTGGTGCCATGTCTTACATAGTGTATATCATGAATCTTCACTGAGAAAGAAACAAGCCTGTGTTTCTGAAGTGTCCTTCAGCTTAGGTTTGCCCATACACTTTTGGTAAAATTCCTTTTCCAGAAGCCTCAGAGTGAGTCCAGGATACAGAAAAAGAGGAGTGTATCATGCTTGTGGGTTTAACAGTTTATCTGTCACCACCTCCTCCCCACCCCATGAAAAGGCCAAGCTGTCTCACTGGGGATAATTTAATGCCACTCTTCTAGGATAACAGAGAGTCACTTAATGCATGTATTTAGTCAGTCTTTGAAGTAAAGGAAGGTGTGTCGATTTCTGTGTAGAAGCGGTATGCCCAAAGGAGTGGAGTGGTTCTACTCCTCCTCCTTCACCTCCTCCTTCCATTAATTTTGAGCACTGCATAAAGCATGGTATTATTGAGGATGTTGCTGGGGATGTTGTTCCATTTATTTTTACTACATATCAAATCACTGCATAGTTTTTGTAGGTTAGAAAGTTGTAAAGGGCTGTGATGAGTGGTTCTGGAAGGGTGTGTCTCCTGCAGGAACCTATAGGAGCTTGGGTCTGGCTTGGCATCTCTCTCTCTCTCTCCATGTAGTCTCAGGGTATCTCCATGTGATCTTTCCATTTGGGATAATTTGGGCTTCCTCACAACGTGGTGGCTTCGGGGAGGTAGACTGTTAAATGATAAATCAGGGCTTCAGCGCTAGTGCACCAGTGAACTAGGGGGAGGCATCAACTTTCCTAACAGCCTTGGAAATCATGTAGTATTACGTCTGTTGCATTCTGTTGGTTCTAAGCAAGTCAGTGTACTCAGAGATAAGGAAAATGGATACTGACCCTACTTTTTGATGGGAGGAGTATCAAGGTAATATTGTAGAAAAGCATGTGCCATCTTTGGGGGATACAATTTGTCATAGGAATAGCTCTATTCAAGAAAAAATAATCACAGTAAAGACAGTCCAACTGGCAATAGTCCTTTCGGGAAATTCTGTGATCTCAAAATGTTGCATGCCAGTTTGAATGGTAAAATATACACTGACCTTTCTGTGAAATCATTTTTTTTTACTTTAAAATGTTATATTGTGGTATACTTTACATTCAATAAAATAAACACATCTTAAATATACAGTTTAATAAATTTTGATAAATGTTTGCACTCGTGTGACAACCACCCCTGTCAAAACACAGAATACTTCATCACCCCCAAAATTCCCTTGTGCTCTTATGGAGTAAACCCTTGCTGTCTTTGGTCTCAGGCAATTTCTGTGTTGTTTTCTGTTACTATTGATCAATTTTACCTGTTTTAGATTTTCACGGAATCTGACAGCATATACTCTTTTGTCGGCATAATAGTTTTGAGATTCACTCATTTTGTTGTATGTAATGTAAATCAACATTATTTCTGAGTAATATGCCATAGAATGAATATACTGTAATTTGTTTATCCATTCTCCAGTTGATAGACATTTGGGTTGTTTATTGTTTTTGGCTATTATGAATAAAGCTGGTATGAATATTCATGTACAAATGCTTATGTAGACATACCCTTTCATTTCTCCTGGATTAATACTAAGGAGTGGAATTGCTGGGCCATATGGGAAATTTATGTTGAACTTTCTGAGAAACTGTCATTCTGTTTTCCACAGTGGTTGTTCCATTTTACATTCTCACCAACAACATAAGAAAGTTTCTGTAACTTTACATCCTCACTGTACTTGGGTATGTCAGTCTTCAATTTTAGATAATCCAGTGTGTAGTGCTTTAAATATACATTTTCATGATGATCAGGATGTTGAGCATATTTTCATTCATTTATTAGACATTTATATTTCTCCTTTTGTAAACTATCTGTTCAAATCTTCTGCCCATTAAGCATTTTAAAACATATTTTTCCTGTTGGATTATAGTTCTTTAAATAGTCTCAATACAAGACCTGCAGTAGGTATGTATATGGTGAATATTTTTTTTCCCAGTCTGTGGATTGCCTGTTTATTCTTTTATGATATCTTTGGACTAGAAGTCATTAATTTTGATAATGTTTCATTTATACTTTTTCATTTTATGGTTTGTTCTTTTTATCTGTTATGTCTAAAAAAATCTTTCCTACCCCATAGTCACAAAGATTTTCTTCTGCATATTTTTCTAGAAGTCTTACAGTTTTAGCTTCAATTTCTATGATCAATTTTTGTTTATAGTGCGAGGTAAGGGTCAAGGTTTATTTGTTAAAAATATGGGATCTGGTTTTTCAAGAACTGTGTTGAAAACACTATCCTTTACTTATTGAATTATCTCTACATCCTTGTTAAAAGTCAATTTACCATTGGGTAGTTATATTTTTTGACTGCCTATTGTGTTCCATTTATTTATATGTCTATCCTTATGTAAATATCACACTGTCTCCATTTCTGTAGCTTTATAGAAAGTCTCAAATTCCTTTCTAAAATTGCTTTTACCAATCTTGGTTCTTTGCATTATATCACCATAAATTTCAAAAACACCCTGTCAATTTCTTTTAAAAAGCTTCCTGGGATTTTTATTAGAATTCCATTGTATCTATAGATCACTTCAGGGAAATTTATCGATTTATAATGTTGAATCTTTTGATTCATGAACATAGTATATCTCTTCATTTATTTAGGATTTTAAACATTTATTTCTTACACAGTTTTTGTTAGATTTATGCTTATTTTATGTTTTGATCCTATTGTAAATAACATTGTTTTAAGTTTCATTTTTGAAATTATTCATTGTGCTAGTATACAGAGGTAAAAATGGTTTTTATATTAATCCTGTATCTTGCAACCTTGCTGTATTCATCTATTAGTTGCAATAGTTTTTATTATGGATTCTTTAGGGGTTTCAATATGTACAATCATGTCATCTGTGAATAAAGGAAGTTTTATATTTTCCTTTCTAATCTGTATGCCTTTTATTATCTTTTTCTTGCCTTACTGTATTGGTCAGGACCTCCAATACAACTTTGAATGGAAGTGATAAGAGCATGCATCCTTGCCTTCTTTCTGATATTAGAGGGAAAACATTCAATTAAGTGTGATGTTAGCTGTAGATTTTTTTTTTTTGGTAGATGCCTTTTATTGGGTTGAGGAAATTCCCTTTTACTCTTAGTTTGCTGGGGGATTTAAAAATAATTATGCCTGGTTTTTGAATTTCCCAGTGCTTTTTATGTATCTATGGGAATGGTTATAGAGTTTTTCTGGTTGATTCTGTTGATATAGTGTATTGCATTAATTATTCTCTAATGGCAAACCAACTTGCATTCCTGAGACAACTCCCATTTGGTCATGATGTATTATCTTGTTGCAGTGTCTATCAATGGAGTGTCTATCTTGAGGTCGCAGTAAAGATATTGGCTAGGATTGAAGTTATCTGAAGCTTTGTCTGGTTGAAACTTTCTGCTTCTAGGAAACTTCTTGCTAAAAGTCACATGACTGTGTTTGGCAGCAGATCTTTCTTTACCGATGAACCTGTTTTCTCAGTGTGACAGCTAGATTCCCCCAGAGTGAGTGATTGGGTATGTTGTCAGGGAGGGAGGAGAGAAGAGAAAAAGAGCCAGAGTGAGAGTGAGGGAGACTGAAAGAGACTTTTGTTTTTCTGTTTTCTATTTCATTGACTTCTGCTTTTATTATTTTCTTCCTTGTATTCATTTAGTGGTCACTTTTGGTCTTCTTTTTTAGCTTCTTGAGTAGGAATATTAGATTGTTGATTTTTAAAATGTATTCTTTCTCATGTAAGCATTTAAGAGTACAGATTTCTCTTTAAGCCTACTTGAGTTGCATCTTATACATTCTGATGTGCTGGGTATTTGCCATCATTTAAAATACTTAAAAGTTTCTCTTGAAATTTCTTCTTTGGTGTATGGCTTATGGACTATTTAAAAGAGTTTTTACTTAATTTCAAAAAAGTAAGGATCTTACAGTTATATTTTTGTTATCCATTTCTAATTTATTTCCATTGTGATAAGTGAATATCCTATGCATAATTTCAATTTTAAAAATGTATTTCTACCTCTTTTATGACCCAGCATAGGTCTACCACAGTGAATGTTTTATTTGTACTTGAAAAGAATGTGTATTTGTCCATGTTACATGTAGTGTTTTAAAAATATCAATTAAGTCATGTTGGTTGATTGAGTTTTCCATGTCTTCTGTATCTTTACTGATTTTTTAAAAATCTACTTGTTCTATCAGTTACTGGTAGAGGAGTGCTGAAATTTTCATTTCCCTGTTGGTTTGTTTATTTTCCCCCTCGGTTCTATCAGTTTTTCTTCATGTATCTTGAAGTCCTGTAATTGAATGAATACACATTTAGGATTGTTATGTCTTCAGGAATATTTATCCTTTTTATCAATAAGAGACTATATCTCTTTCTGTCTGTTAATCTTTCTTATCTTGATAGGTACTTTGTTCAAACTTTATATACTCTCCAACTTTTTATGATTAGTGTCCAAATGGTATGTTTTTTTCTATCCTTTTATAACAGTTATCTTTTCTGTTTCAAAATGTTTGAAGTGCATTTCTTCTAGACAGTATATAATGGGTCTTGCTTTTTGAAAATCTGACAATCTCTGTGAGTGTTTTTTTGTGTGTGACAATTTCTGTTCAAATTATAGTGCTTAGGCTGTTTGTGGTGAATGTAATATCAGTATGCTTAAATTTAAGTTTATCATCTTGCTACTTACTTTCTATTCATTGCATACTTTATTTTCTCAGTTTTTCTCTTTTCCTGATTTATTTGGTATTGAGTATTTTAGCATTTTGTTTTATTTCTAATATTGGCTAATCTTTATACTTTTTAATTCATGGTTATTATAGTGTTTAAAATATGCATCTTAAGTCATTACAGTCTACCTTCAAGTAACATACTACCATTTCATGTATAATATATTAACATTATGCAATTCCATTTCTCTGCTCTCATTCTTTGTGCTATTGTTATCATACCTTTTACTTATGCATAAATTATAAATTTCATAATACATTGTTCTAATTTTTGTTTTAAGCCATAATTATGTTTTAAATAAGCTTAAAATGAAAAAAATTCTTTTGTATTTGTTGCTCACGTACTTGCCATTTCTGGAGCTCTTTGTTACTGTTGAAGATCTGAGGTTTCATCTGTTATTTTCCTTCAGGTTGAAGAACTTCCTTTTACATTTATTGTAGTACAGGTTAGATGATCATAAATTATCCCAGCTTTTGTTTATGTGAAAATGTCTCCATTTTGTTTTTATTTTTAACAATATATTTGATGGATATAAAAGTCTAGGTTTACTTTTTGTCCCCTTTTGGTACTTTAAAACATACCATTCAATTGTCTTTTGGCTGACTTTGTTTCTGATAAGAAGTCATTGGTTTTCTCACCTTTGTTTTTTTGTAACAAATATGTTTCCCCCTGCCTTTGGCTACCTTTTCTCTCTATTTCTAGTTTTCAGCAATTTTAATATGGTGTGCCCTAATGTGTTTTTCTTTGTGTTAATACTATGTGAGTTGTATTAATACTCTTGGATCTATAGGTTTATGCTTTTTATAAAAATTTGAAAAATTTAGCCATTATTTCATGTTTCTATTCCTATGTCTTTGAGTTCACTGATCCTCTCTTTTCCAGTGTATATACTGCTATTGATCTCAGTCAACAAAATTTTCACTTCAGATGTTATGCTTTTTAGCTCCGTAAGTTTCATTTGGTTCTCTTTTATGTCTTCAATTTCTCTATTTCTTTTAAATCTTTGAAAATATGTAAATGTCACTTTAAAAATCTTTGTCTGTGAATTGTCATCTGTGTCATTTCTGTGTATGTTTCTATTGATTGATCTTTCTCTTCTGGCTACAGGTCCCATTTTACTGCTTTTTTTCAGGGTTACTCTTTTTTGATAGGATACTGGCCATTGTAAATATCACTTTGTTGAGTAGACTTTGGAATCTTCTTTTACAGATATTTGGATTTTATTTTGGCAGACAGTTTAGCTACTTTTAGACCAACTTGATTCTTTTGAGGTTTGTTTTTAGCACAGGTCTGCAGTAGCCTCAGTCTAGCCCTAATACTTCTGGGGTCTTTTCTGAATGCCCTGCTTGTTCTGAGATTTCTACACCACAATTGGTAAGAACTTGGATGACTCCCAGGCTTGTATGAGTTATGGGAATTGTTCAGCTTACAGCTCCTTGTTAGTTCTTTCACTCATAGTTTCTTTTTTTTTGCCTAGTTTCGTGGTGTCTTACCACATATATGCAGAACAGGGTATGTTGCTGAAGACTCAAGGGACCACCTATGCAGCTTTCTGAAGCTCTTTCTTTGTGTGATTTTCTTCCCTTTGGAACTCTGCCTTGCAAATTCCAGCTGCCCAAGCCTCTTCTAACTCCAATATTGTATCTTTAACTCCATGAGATTTATGTGGTCTCCACTTTTCTTTTCATTCATTAATTAATTTATTCTTGAGACAGAGTCTTGCTCTGTCACCCAGGCTGGAGTGCAGTGGTACAATTTTGGCTCACCATAACCTCCGCCTCCTGGGTTCAAGCAATTCTCCTGCCTCAGCCTCCCAAGTAGCTGGAGCTACAGGTGCGTGCCACCATGCCCAGCTAATTTTTATATTTTTAGTAGAGACAGGGTTTCACCATATTAGCTAGGCTAGTCTTGAACTCCTGACTTCGGATGACCCACCTGCCTCTGCCTCCCAAAGTGCTGGGATTACAGGCATGAGCTGTCATGCCTGGCTGGGTGCTTTTATATGCTCTAGTCTCCAGGTAGAAAGCTGGGACAGTTTTAGGGCTTACCTTGTTTGTTTCCTTTCTTTTGGGGATCAATTTCTGTGCAGTCTGCAGCTTATGTTTGAAAAGAGTTGTTTCATAAATGCTTTCCTTTTGAAAAAATAGTTTATAGTGGGCAAGTAAGTCTAGTACCAGTTACTGTATCATATACTGTGACTAGAAGTTATAAAATCACATTTTAAGTCAAAGTGGAACAATCTTTTCTCATTACTCTTTGTAGGCATATATAATTTTATCTGATAACTGGTTAACTGAAAAAAAAAATCCCTTTAGTACAATACTGAGAAATTAAGAATTTCCAATAAGAGAACTAGACTCTTAGAGTTGAGTTAATTTGATGTGTCTTTTGCCCATCGGACAGGGCTACAAAATGATTTGGGAGAGAACTTGGCTGTAGTCTCTCTTAACAAATATCAAAGTATCCTTCATTTTGTCACTCACTCTACTTTTGTCTACAGAAAGTGAATTCAAAAAAGCTGGAGAGGAGACGCATCAGGTCAGAAGGGATTTGCTGCTCTGAACTGCCAGTTACACTGCACAAAAGTATGTCACATACCTTTTTGCAGAGCCACTAGTGCGGCATACAAAGAAAGGGTTCTTATTGCTATCTTGGCTGCCGTTGTGGTTTTATGTTCCCATGGTTTGGAAGCCATGACTTAGAAAGAGCCATGGTACCTGGCTGACAAACCAGCTGACATAAATGTGCTAACCATTTTCTGGCAGGTGGCCTGGTCTGCTAGCTGGCTTCTGAGAAATGATACACATGGAGGCCTCACAGACAGATCACCACTATCTCCAGCCTCTGAAAGTTCTGGAATCTGAATCTGGAATGAGTTTACTGCCCTCTATTTTCACTGGAAATAGACCAAAGAAACTGCCAAATGCTCTTTCCGTGTCAAACATCCAACATACAATGCGACTGTGGTTGTTAAGGCATTGGGTTCTTCAAATGGGTGGGCCTAGGAAGAGTTAAATCAGTCTGTCTGTTTATCTGTCTATCCATCCATGCATCCATCCATCATCTATCTATCATGTATCTACCTATCTAAATATACATGCTATAGCTGTATATATTATATTTCTAGTTTACATGTTGTTTTAATACATAGATGAAACTAATGCAGGCTAGTTTCTCAATCCCTCATCTGCAATAAAAGAATAATATTAATTTGTACTGCATAGGATAGGAAGATACAATGAATTCATAGGTGTAAATAACTTAATACCTAGTACATAGTGCCTTAGCTCAATACATCTTTACTACTGTTATTATTGTTTTACATTATAGATGGAAGGTAGTGCTTCTTGGTTACTCCAAGACTTATTCTATAGAGTATGCTTGAGCTTGGCTCCTCTATGGCCCTGTTTCAGCTTTTTGGTGTTGTTAATTTATATTCTCTTTTTAACATATACTTTAGGAAACACATTCCCTGCCCTGCCCTGCCCTGCCCTCCCCTCCCTCCCCTCCCCTTCTCTTCCTGTCATCCACTTTCCTTCCCTTCTTTCTTTCTTCTTTCAATGGATGGAGTCTTTCTAATAAGAATAGTCCTATTAGACAGACTATAAATAATGATATTCATAGATTTATTTGGTTATGACCTTGGCTTTGAATCTACTTCAGTGTTGGGCTTTATCTGCCAAAACTAAGAAGAGAACTGAGATAAGAAAATTCAAGTTAAATTGTGGTAATTCACAGATGTTGTGTGAAGAAGCAGACTTCTCATTTTTCAGGCATGGTTCTCCTGTCTGAGACTTGGATTTGGGTGTGACAGACAAGAATGTAATTTTAAAGTATTAAGATAGCAGTACAATTCGCAGTTGCAAAAATGTGGAACCAACCCAAATGCCCATCAATCAACAAGTGGATAGAGAAACTGTGATATATATATATATGATGGACTACTGCTCTGCCATAAAAAAGGAATGAATTAATAACATTTGCAGCAACCTGGATGAGATTGGAGACTATTATTCTAAGTGAAGTAACTAAGGAATGGAAAACCAAACATCGTATGTTCTCACTTAAGTGGGAGCTAAGCTATGAGGATGCAAAGGCATAAGAATGACACAACAATGGACTTTGGGGACTCAGGGGGAAAGTGTGGGAAGGCGGGGTGTGGGATAAAAGACTACAAATAGGGTTCAGTGTATACTGCTTGGGTGATGAGTGCACCAAAATCTCACAAATCACCACTAAAGAACTTACTCATGTAACCAAACACCACCTGTTCCCCAATAACCTATGGAAATTAAAAATTAAGAAAAAAAATAAAGTACTAAGAGTGTAGTTATAGAATGTTAAAAGGTATCGTAGATGCCACCAGGCCTGTTTTAAACAGAAAGACACTGAGAAACATACCACAATCTGTGCTGATAGTTTGCCTATTGACTCTCAGCCCCAAGACCACAATTGTATACTCTGCTCTGTGGTGCTAGGTTTAGAGCTCCGCCAATCACATATTCCAGACTGTTTTTGCCAGATGACTTCCTACTGGGTTCTGCTAATTTCTGTCATTGGAAGAAGACTGGAAGGTAGGAGCTTCCTTCCTATTTCTCGTTGGTCTTGTCAGTGAAAGTTTACTCTTCTCTTTGTCTTCTTTTAGCATTGCCAGAACTAGCTTCATCTTACCCGCTCAGGGATATTGTTGGGAGCCAGGTGTTCATTCTTTCTCAGGTATCTGAGCCCCAGCTCAATGGGGCGGGTCCTCTGAGATTCTGAGATTCTATCAGCAGCTGGGAAGTACAGTACTATCTCCTCAGAGGGCTAAGCCCTAGGTTAGCGGATATCCCTCTTTTGAGCTCTAGGTTTTGATAATCCCAACCACTTCTCTTTTATTTACCTAGTCCTAAGGGTTGTAGATTCTTATCTCTGGGTTATTTTAATGCCTTCCTTTTGTTCTTTCATTTTTCTAACTCCTGTGAAAACAATTTCCTATACAGTAGTCCTCCCTTATCCATGGTTTCGCTTTCTGTGGTTTCAGTTATCCATGGTCAGCTGTGGTCTGAAAATATTAAATGGAAATTCCAGAAATAAACAACTCACACATTTTAAAGTGTGCACCATTCTCAGTAGTGTGATGAAATGTGTGCTATCCCTCTGGGTCCCACTCTGGACTGCCTGGGACGGGAATCATCCCTTTGTCCGGCATATCCACACTGGAGATGCTACCTTCCTGTTAGTCACTTAGCAGCTTTAGATTGAAAAAACATAGTATACATACGGTTCAGTCCTATTTGCTGTTTCACGTCTCCACTGGGGGTCTTGGAACACACGCCCATGGATAAGGGGAGATTACTGTATTAAATCTTTTTAATTTAAATATTTGGTATTATTCTTTCTTCCCTTCCCTTCCTTTCCCTTCCCTTCCTTTCCCTTCCCTTCCTTTCCCTTCCTTTCCCTTCCCTTCCCTTCCCTTCCCTTCTCTTTCCTTCCCTTCTCTTTCCTTCCCTTCCTCTCTTCTCTCTTCCTCTTTCCTTCCCTTCTTTCTTTCTTCTTTCAATGGATAGAATTTTTCTAATAAGAATAGTCCTATTGGACAGATGATACATGATGATATTTGCGGATTGATTTGGTTATGACCTTGGCTTTGAATGCAACCCTGGGCTCCTTTCCAAAGGAAAAGTGGGATACTCTTAGTCCATGGTATGCAGTGGCATAATAATTAAATTATCAACTATGGTCACTTAGGATAAAGTTTCTGTTAAATTTCCTGATAAAGTAAGTTTCTTGGGGCACCAAATGACTACTGCATCTGACTCTTATGTAGAGTTAATGGCTACAAGGACTGTGGCATGAGATGGCTTTTATTTTTGGCTGTACTGGAGGAATAGTAAAAAGAAAATAACAAGTTTGGGGTTTTAAATTCTCAGCTTAAGTGTCAGTCAGAAAGCCAGAGAACTTCTATGGTTACCCTATAAAAGACCATTATATTTCCTGTAGCTGTGGAACAAATATCACTGAAAGCCAAACTCCAAATCTGTGTGGATTGCAGAATTATAATCTAAACTGAAATCACAGACTCACCAAATTGTTATGTGTAAGTTAGAGAACTGATTGGGAAGAAGTGGGACCTTGATATTTGAAATGAGGGCATTCTGAATGGACTCAGAAAAATCCAAAAATTTAGAACTTTGCAAGCATCCCTAAACTTTCCTTGTTAGTAGAACAAGCTCCTTCTTCCATATCTGAGGTTAATCTCTTCCTTGGTTGAAAACTCTTAATTTCATCTTATGCTGTTGTCTTGTGAGAGTGTTTTATTCTCCTACCTCCATCAAGACCCATTCTTCATTGCCTCAAGGCTTGTATGTCAAGTCAGATATCCTCAGGTACAGGAAAGAAATAGTATAGACTCCCAGAGAATTGCATGGTTTACTTAACAGCAAACATCTGAGTAGTATGGAGTATTGTGAGAATAAATTGTAAGTGCATTAGACCAAGGAGAATAGAATATAATATGAGGTCAGCCTGAATTTATTGATATGGGTGCACTTACCAGAGATTCTGGATTTAATGTGTCAGCATAACTAGCTGGAGGTTGTCCTGACAGTGTGGTTAGTTGACTGAAACTTGGGCTAAATGATGGCCTACATTCCGAGGCTGAGATGTCACAACTTCTGTGGCATAATGTAGAGTATGAGTCAACAAATTATGGTCCATGGGTCAAGTCTGTGAGCTAGGAACAGTTTTCATAATTTAAAGAAGAAAGAGGAGAGAAGGAGGAGGAGGAAGAGAAGGAGAAAGGAGACAGAAAGCCTATATGGTCCACAAAGCCTAAAATATATAGTCTTTGGACATTTACAGAAAAAGTTTGAGGACCTTTGGTATAGAGAAAGAAATCCAAAGGTTTGGGGGTGGGTATAAATAATGGAATAGATTTATCCTGTGCAAACTCTCCTTTTCTCTATGTCTTCCAAGTGTGTTTACAGCCATGGCTCAGGCTCATGTGTGCTCAGGCCGAGCATCACTGGGGAGAAGGTGTCTCTTCTCCTGCCTCACTGTTTGCACTGAAGGGAGAATAATGACATTCAGAGAGTCCTCCTTGTCTTATCTCTGTTCCCCTCTGGTACCCCTTGGGAGATGGGGGACATGGAATGTTAAAAAACAAAACAAAACAATGAGGCTTTGAGTAAGAACAGATTATCTGTTGGTTTTTTTCTTTCTTTAATTAAGGTGGTTTCCTGAGAAGCTAAGGGAAGAGAAGACTTAGACATTACTAGAACCCATTCCTCAAGACACTGTATTCAGACAGAGGTAAAGTACCTGTGCATAACTCCACATACCTCCTTAATCGATACTGTGGCTGATAAGGTGATTGCTGATTAGGTGTTTAGCTTTCATAGTGACCACAAATTCTTTTTTGGGGAGAAATTCTTTTCTTTTTCCAGCTTACCTTTTCCAACTCACATGCTTTTAAAAGCAATGTTTGCAGTTTCTGCCACTCCAATGTCAACGAGAATTTATTTTAAAATGTGTATGAACTGGCAGCTTCTCAGAAAAAAAAAACATTGTTTTGGGAATGAAGTCATCTGTTTGGAGAGCAAAGCCTCAAGTATCATGCAAGGGGCGGGAACCCAGTGCCCTCTGCCTGCTCAACCCTTTGGCACACACAGCCATTGTCAAAACCTGTTTCCAGAGCAACTGAATTCTCTGTTGAAATTACTTGGCAGTTGACAAGCTCCTCTCCCTAAGGGTCTGGAGTAACTCCTTTCAAGGGTCTTATTTTAATGTAGCTTGTCCCTGATGGAGACCAAGATCATTGCCAGCTGAAGAATTTACCAGTACTCTCAAGTTGGCTCACCTGATACATTTTTATAGTAGAGATCAAGGTGTGTGTTTGGGATTTGGACTCTAATTGATGTCTTCATCGTCTTAGAAACACGTATGTCCTAAAGTCAAAACAATAGCTGGCTTTTTGGGTTATCTGCAGGATAATATTGTATCTGGGTACACAATGTTGGCAGTCTTTGAGAGGTATTGCTCCCATGCATTCTTCCAAACTGTGTATGGAGTAAATAGCCATTCAGTATTACAGACTCTGTTTTCTGACCATGGCACAGCGGGGTCTGGGGAAAGGAGAAGACTGGGCCTTCCTTTGACTTTGTAAGTCTTTGCTTTAAAAAAATCATTTAAAAAAACGCAATCAAAGCTTAATTTAAAAACGGATGTCCAGGATGAATTGCTAGGTCAAAACTAACAAAAGTGGAATTTAATATAAGTGTAAAAATCCTGTGATTAAGTTAAAAAATCAGCTTCCTAAATAACTACCAGGTGGGGAAGCTCTTGATTTTACAGTCACAGTGAATCTTTTTCTATTAAGGGAGGCCAACTTGCATGACTTCTTCAACCAGCCCCCCCGGAAAAACCTCTCCTGGGCCATGTGCAAACAAAGAATAATTTAAATCTCATTAGAGAAAAAAAAGATTAAACAGAACTCTTCATTGTTGAATGGTATCCATTAATTAAGGGCAAAAGAGTAAAAGCATTTTAACTATACAGCTGAACTAACAGAATTTGATATTTAGGCTATTAAACCTAAAATCCAGGTCAATCATTGAAAATAAAATTGGACACATATAGAAAGTAAAAACATAACTGAGAAAATACAAATGGATACACAGAGAAAAGGAGAAGGCATTGGGGTCCCATGCACAATCTTCCTGAGCTAAGTATGTCGGGGAAACTTAGGTCTCTTGATTAAATCCAGGTTGGTTTTGGCATTTCTGGGGGACCAAAGAGGGAAATGGGTTCCATTAAGTTACTTGATGGTGGCTGCAGCCAATCAAAAGTAAGGCCCATTAGAAAGGCCCTGCATAGCTCATGTAGGACAGGCCTTTCACATGCCATGGTGCATTACACTTTCAAGGCACCTTCACTTTCATAATCTCTTTTGCTCCTCCTGTCTTACAGATGTGATCATTGAAGGACTGAGAGCAGAAATATCTTTAAATTCCCAGAGCCAGTTAGCAGCAGGGCTAGGTCTGGTCCCCTTGGCCCCTGCTTTTTTGTATTGATTACCTCTCTTAGAAGATTGCATCTTACAAAAGGTCATTACCTTATCTAGGAAATGTTAACCTTAATTCCTACCTTGAATTAAAATTGGTTGGGGAGTTGGGGTGGGGAGTGAGGATTAGACTTAAGCACCTGCCTCCCAAGCTCTCTTCCCTGGGATAGTCTGAGCCACTTCTTGTCTTCTGGGTCCCAGTTTCTTATGTCCTTTCAGTGGGGTCTACAGATGGACTGGGAGTTGGCAAAATCAGCTGGTGCTTTGGGATTGATGATGCTTGGTTGCCTCTTCTTGAGCCAGTAGAGCCTGGGATACCTTTTATATGATGCAATGGGATTCACAGAAGCTACACTCAGTGCAAATGCCTTTGTCTTTTCAGAGAGCAGAAATTCTGGTGGGTACTCAGTTGGAGATTATCTCTGCTGTTTTATCTCCTTCCTGTTCTTTCCTCTTACATTGTCCCCCTTTTCCCATCAATGTTCACATTTCTGGCTTATCTAGAATATTATGTCTTTGCATATGTGGAACATTGGCTCAATAATGAGCACCCGTGCTTTTCAGATGGGTTTGGGGATTGTCAGCCACATAACCTCATCGCTGGTCTTATATAGATTCCCATGATATCATCTCTGGGTCCTGTGGGGGTAAATCTCAACTTATCAAACCAGTCTTGCTGGGTCATAGGCTCATTTACTTCATTACTCACTTCAACGCCCTTCTTTTGCTCTCATCTCTCCCCACTTTGGCCATATGTCATTCCATATCTCTGTGTTTCAGAAACTTAATTGCAAACTGAAATTGCATGGATTGGGTTTACTCAGTTTTATTATTACAATACTAAAAAATATTTATTAAGTGCTTAATTGTGCATGGTGATATATAAAAGGGGCTGACTTGATGATGTGCAAATAATAATAATCTCTTATATTTTATTACAGCTAATGCTATTATGTCCATTATCTCCTTTAGTGCACCAATTCCAGCTATTTGTGCCTTATACATTTGTCTAAGGAGGTGTGGGATACTCTTGGCACACTCGGAATACTGCTTGCCAGTAAGTCCGATCCCTAAGTCTTACGGCCAAAGGGGCTGTGCAAAGGACCTTGGGATCAATTTTAAGGCTTTTAACATTTCTCTGCCTCTGATTATTAGTTCAAACATGCATCATAGGGAATCAGATTGGAGGGAAGGGGCAATAGACATCCCCCCACAGTTTAGGACCATGAGAAGTTGAATTGGAGGCAGGGGAAAAAGTGTGGCCTTATTAAAGGTGTTGTTTAATATTCCAAGTTTGGGATCAGTGTCAAGTAGCCTCCAGTTAGACTCTTGCTGAACTCAAAAAGGGTTTCACTCACTAAAACTCTTTAGTGAGGTATTAATAAGTATGACACCACAAAAGGGATCCATGTCCAGAGAATTTAGAAAATGAGCCTTTCTCAACACACATTAGCATATTGATGGCTTGGAGAAATCCTTCAGCAAAGGAAACATTTTAAACCTGCCTTAACTCAGAGTTTCCTAAAAGTATTGGATCATGGAACCATTTGGAGGAGGAGCACCTGTGAACATCTGTGTATCCCAAGTTCTGGGAAGTGCTGAATTTGACTAAGTTTTGTAAGGGAGGAGATGTAATAACGAAAGAAACACACAGCCTTAGGGGTGGTTAAGGAGGAAATGAAGCAGTCAGGAGAAGGCAGAGGGACCCAACTGCAGGTGGTGGCTGAGGCCCTGCCCAGTGTTTTTGCCATGGGGAGGCATCTACTGTTCTGAGGTCTCCAGCCCTCGCTGTCTCACTGTGCATTGCCTTTTGGGAAGCATGGATTATTCTTTCTCCTGTCAAAACACACCTTCCATTTAGAAAGAAAGTCAGAAGTTTCTCGGATTGGGTCCTGGTAGATTCTGAATCTAGGATGAATGGCTTCAAACTTGAACTCCTGATTTTTTAGCTGCGCGTGTGACCAGAAAGCAAGGTGTTTGCTAGAACTTACATTGCTGACCCTTCACCTACTTTTAGAAACCCTTTTCACTTTTGCATGTTTTTCCCTGGAGGTTCGCTATCAGGCTGCTGCAAACTCATCAGATGACAGGTACCCAGAGCTGCTATTTCTGGAAGCTCTTGGCCATGTAAAAATACCAAAAATATTTTTTCCTTGTTAAAGTATAAGAACTAGTCTTAGTGAGATTTAAATCATATGTTGATTTTGCTTGGAAAACCCCCAATCTTTGGTCTGTGTTTTAGGATGGACTTTGAGGTTCAATTCCAGGGCTTTAGAATATGTTCTTTAGCAAATAACTTGATGTATTTGAATGGTGCTTCTAAATTTCTGAAACAGCACTAAAGGATGTTATTTTTTGGTGTGGCTGGGAATAAAAATACCCTGTTAAACTTTTGAACCATACATCCCTCTGCCTCAATAGTTGGGCAGATGTGGAGAGAAACTACTGCTTTTTTTTTTTTTTAACATTTGGAAGGCGGTATGTACCAAGTAAAGTTCCCTCCCAACATAGTTTTGCTTTATTTGAAGAAGTTTATTAGACAAGATTAGTCTTCAGGCAATAATAGAGATTCTTCAGGAACCAAATATTTACATTTTGAACTAGCTGTAGAAATGTTTAGTGATTCTTGTGAATTTAGCTTAGACACTGCTACCTATTGTATTGAATTCATGCTTTCCTCTTGGGAACGAAGTTTGAGGTAATCTATGAAATGTATACATAATTAAGGTAATGGAAGATATTTTGAAACTTAAAAATTATGGAATGATTTTTCCATTGACCAAGGTTTAGGAATGGTGTAGAAGAAATCTGAGGCTGGCTTTAAACTTCAGAATGCATTTTTGAGGAAAGAAGGACTCTTTGTTTTTATAAATATGTTTTAATTGAGTCATCTCTGGGACTCTGTTTGGAGGTTAGGTCTTCCAGGAAGGGGGATGAAACATTTTGTAGCTAAGGTCTATTCTGATTATCTTTGATTTGAATTCATTGCTTTTAATTTGTCTTTTCCCCCCATTATTTTTACATGGGTAAATGGAGAGTATTCTGGCTGTCAGTGCTTTGACATTTTTATTAGATAAATTTAAAAGGCATTTATTCAGGCCAATTCTGTATTCTCCAAAGCTTCAAATGAAAGAGTGCAATATCCCAGTCATGAAACACCTCAAGAAGGACTTATGTTTATCTTCTAAAATGAGGTTTCACTTGGTATATGTTTGGCTGACATATTGCAGTTCTAAAACTTGAGCAGACAAGCATTTTGAAGAGATTATTTCACCAATTGAAAAGTGATTATGTAACATCTGTGAACTCAGTGTGCATTTCAGGAAAAATGCTGTTGGCTTTGTCTTCATCCTCAAGTCATACATTAAGCCTTGAAACTCAGAAGTGTCCTCTGAGCTGTCATTAGTGACTCTTCAACTGTCCCTTCTCTTTTTTGTGTTTCAGCATAATGATTGCATATGAATGAAATTAGAATTTCATGTAGTATAGGTTTCAGTGAAAAACAATCCAATAACAGTATTCTAATCTCTCTCTTTTTGTTCAAGGACTAGTTTCTTTTGTTGTGTTCCTTCAAATCCAGAATTCTCAAATCTCCAGTACAAATGGCTATTATGCCTATAAAAAAGCAAGCTGATCTCAGATTCATGCAGACAATAGGCTTACTCTGGACAATTTTGTAAATGGTCTCATATTGTGTTATTTCTGTGTGATGATTTCCTGATATAGTGGTAATTTGGTGGGATTTCAGGGTTTTTAGACCGCTGTTTCACTCTAAGTCATTAAAACAACAAACAGGTTATGCTGGAGATAATTGGAAGATATTCCTAGTTAGCTTTTGGGGTGATGAAATGTTAAGGAGAAGTGTATTTCTGGTCCTCCTTTTTGTTGAAGGGATGAATGGATGGATGATAAACCAATCGAAAGACTCCCTGTCTACCAGAGCCAAGCTGTAGAGAATCTTACTTAATAAATCTGCTGATAATAAATTTGTATATACCAGTACTGCTAATTGGTCATGTACCATATATTTCTGTGCCTCAGATGTCCTTGCACTATTCCTGCTGCCTCATCTTAATCCAGACCCTCATTGTCTTATACCAAAGATAACTATAACAACTTTCTTGCTAGTCTCTGGCCTCCAACCTCTGGCTTCTTCCAGTTCACAGTGGGTCTAGCACTAGCTGAAAAATCTCCCCAAATGTCCTGTTACCTTTTGCAAGGACCTGCAATGGCTCCCCATTGTCGGCCTTATCATGTCGAAACGTCTTATTCTATGTAGTGATGTGAGCATACTTGTTCTCCTTCAGCCCAACTGAGTGTGGCCCTGCACTTATTTATTTATTTATTTCTATTTATTTATGTTTTGAGATAGGGTCTTTCTCCTTCTCCCCAGCTTGAGTGCATTGGTGCTATCTTGGCTCACTGCAACCTCTGCCTCCTGAGTTCAAGTGATTCTTGTACCTCAGCCTCCTGAGTAGCTGGGACTACAGGCACCTAGTTGACTAATTTTCATATTTTTAGTAGAGACGGGGTTTCGCCATGTTGGGCAGCTTGGTCTCGAACTCCAGGTCTCGAGTGATTTGCCTGCCTCAGCCTCCCAAAGTGCTGGGATTACAGGAATGCGCCACTGTGCCTGGCCCAGCCCTGAAATTTTATTTACACTCTTTTTTTTTTTTTTGATCAAGGTTTATCCATCAAACAATTTGACAATATGTAGTGGGTCTTAAAATTTCTCCTATTCCTGGGGAAATAGTTCTTAATATAGAAACAAGTTCAGTGTATAAAGATGGTCATTGCAGTTATTTATATAATTAAAAGTCACAAACAACCTAAATATTCAGCCAAGGAGAGTTAAGTGTGGCATAGCTTATAAAACTTAGACATTAAAAATGATGTGTACAATAAGTTTGTTAGCATAGGAAGTACATTCACACATCACTTAATGAAGGAGATATGTTCTGAGAAATGCATCATTAGGTGATTTCATTGATGTGTGAACATCATAGAGTGTACTTACACAAACCTAGATGTTACAGCCTACTATAAAGGTACACAACTCTATAGTACTCCCTATTGCTCCTAGGCTACAAACCTGTACAGCATATTACTGTACTCAGTTCTGTTGGTAACACAATGGTATGTATTTGTGTATCTAAACATAGAAAAGGTACAGTAAAAATAAGATATAAAAGATAAAAAATGGCATACGTTTATAGCACTTACCGTGAATGGAGCTTTCTGGACTAGAGGTTGCTCTGAGTGAGTCAGTGAGTGGTGAGGGAAAGTGAGGGCCTAGAATATTACTGTACACTACTGTAGACTTTATAAGTACCACACACTTAGGCTACACTAAATTTAAGTATTTTTCTTTCTTTAATAATAAATTAACCTTAGCTTACTGTAACTTTTTAACTTTATAAACTTAAAAATTTTTAAACTTTTGACTCTTATAATAACAGTTTAAAACAGAAACATGTTGTATAGTTATACAAAACTATTTTCTTTTTTTATATTCTTGTTCTTTTTTTTTTTTTTTTAAGAGGCAGGGTCTCACTTTGTTGCCCAGGCTAGAGTGTGCAGTAGTGCAATCATAGCTCACTGCTGAGCCTGAATTCCTGGACTCAAGTGATCCTCCTGTCTCACCTTCCTGAGTAGCTGGGACTACAGGTACATGCCACCACACCTGGCTAATTTAAAGTTTTTTTTTATTTGTAGAGACACGGTCTTGCTATGTTGCTCAGGCTGGTCTCAAACTTCTGGCCTCAAGTTATCTTCCCACCTTGGCTCACCAAATTTTTGGGATTATAGGTGTGAGCCACTATGCCCAGCCTTTATATCCTCACTCTATAAGCTTTTTCTTATTTTAAAAATGTTTTATTTTTTATTTTTTTACTTTTTAAACTTTTTTTGTTAAAAATGAAGACAGAAATACATATGTTAGCCTAGGCCTACACAGGGTCAGGATGACCAATATCACTGTCTTCCACCTCCACATCTTGTCCCACTAAGAAGGGCTTTAGGGACAGAAACATGCATGGAGCTGTCATCTTCTAAGATAACAATGCCTTCTTCTGGTATACTTCCTGAAGGACCCACCTGAGACTGTCTTCCAGTTAACTGTTTTTTTCAATAAGTAGAAGGAGTACACTCTAAAATAATGATAAAATGTATAGTAAATACATAAGCTAGTAACATAGTTGTTTATTATCATTATTAAGTGTTATGTACTATACATGATTGTATGTGCTTTGTTTGTTTACACCAGCATCACCACAAACATGTGAGTAATGTGTTGCACTAGGATGTTATGGCAGCTACAGTGTCACTAGGTGACAGGAATTTTCTGACTCCATTATAGTCTTATAGGATCACCATATATATGTGGTCCATCATTGACCAAAACATCATTATGTGGCTCATGACTTTATTTATGTTTCAAGAAGAGAGGAAAAATACTAAACTCTATATACAGTATTGAAGGTAGCAGTGGCCTGCCTGGAGCAGCTGTTGCCAAGATGCTGACTGCAGCGGGGGAGGCACAGCTGGGCTGCATGCATCACAGAGCTGGCGGGAACCAGGAGCAGGCAGGAGTCCTGTCCTCCTGGATGCAGGTGCAGCCTCCCTTGCTGCAGCTGTGACCTGGGCATCTCTGTACTCCCTGCCCCTGTAGGCTTGGAGGTGTCTGCTCCCACTGCCTGGCTTCTCCCCATTCCTGGCACCCACTCCAATCTGGGAGAGAGGTTGGGGCTGAGCCCAGGTGCTGTCGCAGA
This sequence comes from Homo sapiens, assembly GCF_000001405.40. Lineage (NCBI taxonomy): Eukaryota > Metazoa > Chordata > Mammalia > Primates > Hominidae > Homo > Homo sapiens. The sequence goes on from NC_000002.12 coordinate 37,481,389, forward strand.
CTTGCTGGGTATGCGCATGCTTGGGGCAGCACTGACACACCAGTCCCCTACCACCTTGGCCCCCTCAGGACTTTGGGTGTCCATAAGCATGGGAGGGAGGCCAAGGTGGGGCTGAGGGCAGCTTGGCACTGGCCTGTAGGCAACCCTTGGCAGAAACAGCCTGGGTGCCATGAATAGTCACAAGAGGCAGACAGACTCTTGGGTGGAAGGAGGTCCCTGGTGAAGCCCCACCTTCAAGCTGGGGAGGGCCTGAAGCCTGGGGCCCAGGCTGCTGGTCCTGCAGACTGGAGTGGGAACCTGTGGTGTTTTTTCTGGGCTCACCCATGGCTGCCCATGGAGCAATCAGCACACACTTCCTTCCCTCTGAGGCCCATAACAACCCTTGGACTCAGCCAGACTCAAAGAGAGATGATTGGACGAACATCTGCAGAGAGCAGCTACCCACCCCAGGGTCTCCTCTTTGCTGAGAGCTGAAGAGAGATATGGGACGACCAGCTGTGGAGAGGAGCTACCCACTCCAGGGTCTCCTCTCTGCTGAGAGCTTAACACTTGTTGGGACACCCTGCCTGTGGAGAGGAGCTACCCAATGGAGGTCTGCTCTGAGCTGTTCTGTTGCTCAATAAATCTCCTCTTCACCTTACTCACCCTCCACTTGTCCATGTACCTCATTCTTCCTGGACACAGGACAAGAAGCCCCACTGAATGGTGGGGCTGAAACAGCTATAACAAAGACAAGGCTGAAACATGCCCCTTGCTTGCCACGTTGCAGGTGACAAGAAGCAGAGAAGAGAGAAGGAGAGCAGAGCTGTGGTCTTTCAAGGGGCTCAGACATAGGAGCTCCCCAGGCCAGGGCTGTGACTCCCTCTTTCGGGCTCAGTGGTTCCTGATGTCTCCAAGCTTCCAGGTGCCACTGCATTCCTTGGTGCCAGCCATGGAAACTGCTTGCAGTACACCTGGTCCAGCTGCAGCCTCGCAGGGAGCTGGTGCCCGTGCCAGCCCCTGGAGCTGCCTGCCCCATTGTGGCAGGTATGCTGGCTGTGTGCAGTGGCTGGACTCCATGCTTGCTCACACACCCCTTGCTGCTCTGCACCTGGCTCACTCTTGGCAGGCATGGGATCGAGTCTGGTAGCGTGAGCTGAGCACAGCCTGTCAGGCTGAGTGGGTAGAAAGAGCCCAGTGGGCCAGAGAAAAATTCAGGCAAAGTCGCCACTGGCCACAGAGGTTTCCAGCTGGCAAAGTGACACCCCAAGAATCCTGTGACAGTATTAGCTCAAACATTAAAAAAACAGAGAGAAAAGAACCCTAGAAATTCATATTCTAAAACAAAAGTTATCCATGGGTAGTAGGATTATGGGCTACTTTTAGTTTTTTTTTTTTTTTTTTTTTTTTACACTTTTTAGTGTTGTTGATATTTTTTATATGATCATGCCTTACTTTTGTAAACAGAAAAACTTTTCTTCTGATTTTTTCTATCTTTATTGCCCTTTCTGATAATAAAGATAATCTATACCCATTGTTAAAATTTTAGACTGTAGAAATGTATGAAAAACTTTAAAAAGTAAAAGTCATCCATAATTTCAATTTAAAAAGTCACCTAGTGATAGCCACTGTATTTCTCAAGTTTGCTCTGGTAACAAAATGACACCCAATCATGGTGACTTGCAACAGCAAACATTCATTTATCATTCCTTCATGTTACCAGAGGGCTTGGCTGTGGATGTTCTGCAGGTCCTGGGATCTGCTCCTCATAGCTTCTCATTCTGGATCTCAGGCTAAAGGAAGGGCCCTGCTCTGGGACATTCCTCTACTCACAGGAAGGGAAGAGGAGAGGCTGAACCAAACCACCCATCACATTTAACACATTAGTGTGGGTCAGTATAGGACACACCTGTGTATGTTGCATTGACAAAGCAAGTCACATGGCCAAGCCCAACATGACTGGGTCAGGGCAGTACACCTGCTTGGCAGGAGAGGAGAGTTATCTACCATAACCACCAGTAGCATTTTGGTGTACATATCCTTACAGACTTTTCAATACGCAAGAGCATGCGTACATATACACATGCATACTTTTAAAAAATGGGATGACACACGCTGTAAAATTACTTTTTTTCTTTTGAGATAATGTCTCTGTCACCCAGGCTGCAGTGCTGTGGCATGATCAAAGCTCACAGCAGCCTCAACCTCCCAGGTCAGGCGATCCTCCCACTTCAGCCTCCTGAGTAGGTGGGAGCACAGGTGTGCAACACCATGCCTGGCTAATTTTTGTATTTTTTGTAGAGAAGAGGGTTTCACCCTGTTGTCCAAGCTGGTCTTGAACTCCTGGGTTCAAGCTATCTGCCTGCGCTGGCCTCCCAAAGTGCTGGGATTACAGGCGCATGAGCCACCACACCCAGCCAAAATTACTTTCTTAAAATTTTTTTGGTAGACATTTTTCTAGGGCAATATCTTTATTCTTAACTGTTCATTTAGAATTCTTACATTTTCATTTGAATACATAATATTCCACTTTATAGATACATCATAATTTCTCTAACCTGTCCCTGTATTTATGGATATGTAGGCTGTTCTCTTTCTTTCTTTCTATTATAAATAGTCCTGCCATGAACCTCTTTGTTCATATATCATTGAATACATCATTCAGATAAATTACTAGAAATAAAATCAGTGGAGCATTCAGAATGCACTTTTTTTTGAGACGAGGTCTCACTTGGTCACCCGTGCTTGGGTGCAGTGGTGCAATCAAGGCTCACTGAAGCCTCAACCTCCCAGGCTCAGTGATCCTCCCATCTCAGCCTCCTGAGTAGCTAGGACTACAATACCTGGCTAATTTTTTAAAAATATTTTTTGTAGAGATGGGGTTTCACCATGTTGCCCAGTTTGGTCACCAACTCCTGGGCTCAAGCAATCTGCCCCCTCGGCCTCCCAGAGTGCTGGGATTACAGGTGTGAACCACCATGTCCAGCCAGAATGCACATTTTCAAGGCTTTTGGTAAATGTTGCAGATTGCGTTCTTGAAATCTAATTTACACTCCTGCCAAGAGTGACGATTTGTACTTAAAAATAAAAATCTATTTACTCTTCAAGTCCGAGTTTAAATTAAACTTTCCATAACTTGTTTTCCTAGTAACTCCAGCCAGAATTGATTCTGAACATGGTACTTGAATTTCATAAGTATATGTATTTATTGTCATCTCAATTGTAAGTTTCTGGAGGGCAGGGACCCTTCCTTGAACTGCTTTATTTTCCCAGAAGGGATTTGCACACTCTCCTGATTCATGCATGCCTGGATAATATTTTGAGTGCTTAACTGTTTTTTGCCTCCCAGTATTTTTCCCTTTCCTATCACTGTACTTTCTTGTCCCTCTGTTTTCTGATCCCCCATTAGGCAGATCACATGACCTCAGGGGAGGTACAAGGGGAGAAGATAGGGATGATTGTGCGCAGGCAGTAGCAGAATGCCAGTCTTTCTGGGTTTTGTTTTTAAAAGATGAAAGCCCAGAGTTGGGAGAGAATTCTCAGGCATAGAAGCAGCAAGAGAGAGCATGGGACTTCTTTCCAGTTTTAGGACTGAGTCCCCCAGAGTGGGGAGGGAGACAGGGGGCTGCCTGGGAGATTGCACCCTGCTTCCAGGCAGAGCAAAACAAATGCTTCTACAGGCACTGCTTCCTGAGACCAGAAAGCATTGTCTGTAGGAGCATTCAAGCTTGAGCCTCACTCTGGCAGCCACTGGCAGGAATGGCACTCAGCCTTTGTTTTTTACACTACTTAGTTGTTGTTCCTTCTCCTTCTCCTTCTTCTTCCACCTCCGCCTCCTCCTTCTCCTCCTCCTCCTCCTCCATATTCCTTCTCCTCCTTATTCCTCTTTCCTCCTTCTTCTTCCTCCTTCTTCTTCCCTCCTCCTCCTTCTTCTTCTTCTTGAAATCTCCATCATTTGAAACTCAAGAGATTTCACATACAAATCCAAATACCTATCTTCTCTTGAAAAAACCTGGAAGATTCGGTATTGCCAGCCACACTCCTGCATGGAAACCCTCACAGGGAGTAAATAGTTGCTGTTCCCTTCAGATGAGTGGGGCACCAGTGCACCTGATTCCCACAGTCCCCTTCGCTATAGACGTCCTTCCCCATCTGGCCTTGCTCATGTATAGCCTTGAAGCCTGGTCTGAGCAGCCTCTCAGAAAACTCCTGTGCCCTAGGTATGGATCAGCAACAGCAGAGCTCCAACCATGTAGCTCACCAGAACTTGTGTGGACAGTTAGGATGAGGATTGGGCGTCCGCTCCCAATGCTTAAATGCCTGAAAGTCTTTCAGACTTGAGACAACTTTTGGGATAGAGGTAGAGGCCTGAAAATGACTGAGGTTAAGTTTCCTCTCATCACTTTGGGATAAGGCTCAAAATAGAAATGAAATTGTCTATGGAAACAAGAGCTCTTCCATTTCTTGTACAGTTGAGCTTGTGATTTAAGAGTCATACCTGTTCATACTTTAAAAATTCATGAAATATTTACCGAGTGTTTACCATGAGCAGGCACTGTTCAGGCACTTGGGATACAGCTATGAATAAGACAAAACTTCTCTCCTTATGGCGATTACACTCCATTAGCCCCACTGGAAAGACAGTCCTCCTTTAACTTATCTGAAGCATTTGGTAGAGTTAATGGCTTCCTCTTTGTTAGGACACTTTATTCATTTGGCTTCCAGGATACACACATTCCTGTTTTCCTCCTCCTCAGTGACTGCTCTTGTCTTTGCTGGTTCCTTTTATTCTTCCTAACCCTTTAACGTTGGAGGTCCCAAGATTTGGTCCTGTATGCATCTCTCCTCTTCTCTTATTATACTCACTCTCTTTGGGCTATCATTTATTCTCCCAAATTTAAATAGCATCTATATGCTTAATGACTTTCAAATTTGTATGTCCAGCCCAGATGACTTCACTGAAGTCAGGACCCCATCTGCTTACTCAGCCTTATCACCTGGATGTCTTGTAGGCATTCCAGACTTGATGTGACCCCCAAACTTCTCCAAAAGGCCTGCCCACTCTCTAGCCTTTTCCATCTCAGTTGGTGGCACTTTATCTTTTCAGTTGCTCAGGCCAAGCAACTTGGAGTCATTCTTGAGGACTCTCTTATACACACCATATCCAGCCTGTCTGCAAAAATTTTTTGACTCTACTTTTAAGATATATCCAGAATCCAACCACATTCAACACATCCCTTTCTACCACTGAGGTCCAAGCCACCATTCACTCTCACCTAAATTACTGCAGTAACCTCCTTACTGGTCTTTCTGTTTTTGCCCTTGTCCTCTATAGCCTATTCTTCGTACAGTACTCAGAGTGATGCTGTTAACACACCCACTATGTCATGTCTCAATCTGTAAAATCTCAGTGGCTTCTCGGTTGCCTTAGGGTAAGACCCTGGTAAGGAACCATGTAAGTTCACTATGTCTCTGGGCTCATGGCTGGTCTCTCTCTCTCCTTCCCTCAATCTGCTGTAACCATATGACCTCCTTGCCCTTCCCCGGGGACCTTGTGTTTTTTGTCCTTTGCCTGAAATCCTCTCCCTTCTGATATCAGAGCTTCTCAGTGAAGGCTTCCCTGACTACTATATTATGATTGGACTAACTCATTCCACAAAACTATCTATGCCCCTTCCTTGATTGATTTTCCTCCCATAGCACTTACTAGCACCTAACATATCATGCATTTTACTTATTTATGTTTAAGTTTTTATCTTTTTAGAGAAGGGGTCTCACTCCATTACCCAGTGGAGTGCAGTGGTGCAATCCTAGCTCACTGGAGCCTCAAATCACTGGGCTCAGGTGATTCTCCCACCTTAGCCTCCTGAGTAGCAGAGATTACTGAAATGCACCACCATGCCTGGCTAATTTTTAAAAATTTTTGTAGAGAAAGGGTCTTGCTATGTTGCCTAGGTTGGTTTTTAACTCCTGGCCTAAGGTCATCCTCCTGCCTTGGGCTGCCTCAGCGCTGGGATTATAGGCAGGAGCCGTTGCACCCAGCCTTATTTATTTTATTAATCTCCTGACTTCCTCCACTAAAATATAAGTTCCCTGAGGGCAGGGTTGTTGTTGTTGTTGTTACTGCTGAGTCCCCAGCGCCTATGTTGTTGCTCCATAAATATTTGTTGAATGAATGAATAAATAAATGGATGAATCTTAGAGGAAGTCTACCTGAATTAATAATGGGTTACAGGGAGGAGGTTTGCTTGTCTCTTCTGTACTCATTTATTGTGAACTGACTACGTGTTGGGCCATGTGGTCATTTCTGAGAAAAAAAGAAAAAATAAGACTGTTCCCTCTCCATTTTTCAAGTTCATGTGGTAACATAGCCCTGCTTACCCAGAATCAGCCTGGAGGTCAAGGCTGGTTTACCTAAGCAGCACTACTTAGGGAGCTGTGGGGCAAGGGTGTCCTTTTTTTTTTTTTTTTTTCCTGAAAATCTAACGCATTACCTCGTGTGCTTCTGAAAACCTTTTTTAGAAATTATGTTTTGGCTGGGCACGGTGGCTCACGCCTGTAATCCCAGCACTTAGGTGGGCGGATCACGGGGTCAAGAGATCGAGACCATCCTGGCCAACATGGTGAAACCCCATCTCTACTAAAAATACAAAACTTAGCTGGGTGTTTGTGGCATGTGCCTGTAATCCCAGCTACTCAGGAGGCTGAGGCAGGAGAATCACTTGAACCCGGGAGGTGGAGGTTGCAGTGAGCTGAGAGCGCCACTGCACTCCAGCCTGGGTGACAGAGCGAGACTCCCTCTCAAAAAAAAAAAAAGAAATGAGAAAGAGATAAACTTCTAATTAAGCCAGTTTTACTATTAGAATATCATGTAACTGCTTTGGCAGTTCGGCTTAAGAAAATGAGGTTTTAGCATTACTTTTTAACTTATATCTTTATGAGCTTTTTTCTCTTTTTTGGGGATAATAGAGATGTGACTGAATTGTACTTTTTGTAAGGAGCAGGCCAGCCAATATTCAAATTTGAATTTTAAAAGGAATCTCTTCCTGTCACTACAGCTGTGGATCAAAGGCAGTGTGGAGTAGCAGTAAAATGGTTGATTAAAGATTATTTTACATTGAAATATGTTTTTTCCAAATGTTATTGTAAAGGAACTGAGGAAAACCCCACAGTCTGTTGAGTGAAAGTAGGACATTTGTTAAGCGTTCACATGGGACTCTGTAATAGGTGAAGTCAAGGTTCTTAGACAAAAATTGTCAATGTGGGAGGCCCTTATAGTTATAAAAATGATATGGGGTCCTCAACATCCTTCTCGAACATTGAGAGGATCTTGGTCATACATCGTAGGGTGCTCAGAGCATTGTCTGCTAGTAGAGGGGTTGGAATGGACAACTGTGCAGAGAGACTGCTATTGCTGGAGAATCAATAGGCACAATGGGAGATAAGTACGTCTTCTATACTAAGGAATTCTAGATACTAATGATTTTGCAATAACATGAAAAACAAATCAGAAACAAACAGAAAAGAAAATTCTCTCTCTCTCTGGGAAAACCACCGCATTAGGCTTTTTCACCATGATTTTCCATGATTATATATGAAAGATTCTCTAGTATTTAATGGGAAAAAAGAAAACTTCTGGAGACCCAGGAAGAGTTTTGGTGGAAAAGACTAACAGAGGTTTTAATCTCGAGCTCTGGGAGGTGTCTCGCCTCTTTAAGTAGAAGCAGATTTGATATCATTCCTTTAATTAAAACCATCTGATGCACAAAATCCCTTCTCAATTGCCCTAGATAACTTATTTTCCAACTCCACCTTCAAATGGTTTGTCTTCCAATGAAGCGTGTTATCGTTTATTCAAATGACTGATAACCCAAGAGTCGTGAATAATGGAAAAATGACAAAACTTGCTATACATAATCAGTTGGCAAAGGAAGGAGAAATAACAGCTGCTTAACTGTTATAACATATATTTTTAAACTGAGCTTGTAAGTCAGTGTAACTGCCAAGTCACAGATTTTTTTCAGTAATCTCAAGATGGCTTAAAGCCATACAGATAGGAGTTTGTTGGTGGCTTTCTTCTACCCCGAGCTCTTGTCTTTGGAAATATTGGGCAGGGAGAAAGGGTGCTTTTAGAACCGAGCTGTTCAGGGTCCCAGATCCTCTAATGTAATGCCAGCTGAACCCAGACAGTGACTTCCACCTCCATGAATGCAGGTAGGCACTGATACAGGAAAAAATTCAATGTTCTCCTGAAAAGTTGATTGGCAGTCAAATTAAGGTAAATTAAAATAAATACTCAATGCAATAATGGAGCTCGATCTTTATAGAACTCTATGAGTAATCATTTTGCAAGATCAGGATTTCTTGGAGAAGCATGCTGATTCAAGTGACTTAAGCTGGAATTCCAGCTCTACCCCTTATGGCTTTGTGAATGTTGTTAAGGGATGTAACCTTAAGGAATCTGTCTTCTCACCTATAAAATTAACATGTATTAATAAAATCTGATTGGGGAGATTCTATTAAAATGAGTTAATGAATATATAAGTGATTTGCTTATTAATTTTTAAAACTTATAAAACTGAAAAATATGGAGAATAATTTAACAGGTACCCAGTGACCAACCACTATATTTAAAAGTAACATGTGCCTTATTCTTCCCTTTTCTTTTTCTAGAAATCAAATATTACAATACAGCTGACTGTTTCTCATCCCATCCTTTTTCCTTCTTTCACAGATTTAACCACTATTCTGAAGTTGTATCTTTACCAACCATATTTTTGTTTTTATTTATTTATTCATTTTCGAGATGGAATTTTACTCTTTTGCCCAGGCTGGAGTGCAGTGGCATGATCTCTGCTCACTGAGACCTCCACCTCCCAGGATCAAGCAAGTCTCCTGCCTCAGCCTCCCGAGTAGCTGGGATTACAGGCGCCCGCCACCACGTCAGGCTAATTTTTGTATTTTTAGTAAAATTTTAAAAAGAAAATTTTAGTAAATTTTGTATTTTTAGTAAATACAAAAAAAGACAGGCTAATTTTTGTATTTTTAATGAAGTATTTTCACCATGTTGGCCAGGCTGGTCTCGAACTCCTGACCTCAAGTGATCCACCTGCCTCAGCCTCCCAAAGTGCTGGGATTTACAGGTGTGAACCACCGCACCCGGCCGCATCCCTATTTTTGTATGTGTATGTATCCCTAAACATTATATAGCATTGTTTTGTAAGTTTTACATGTTTACATAAATGGAATAGTTCCAAATCTTTTTGCAATTGTCTTTCATATAACTCTGATTTTGAGATTTAGCCGTGTTGCTCCATTAAGGAGTAGTATGTTCATTTAAACTACTATCTAGTATCTCATTATATGTAATTATTTATTTCACCAGTAAAAAAGCTTGAGCTTTAAAAATTTTTTTTCTATTCATAGAAGGTTGCAATGAATAGGCTTTGCATTTAAGAGTAAAATTATGGGCCACAGGGATGTATCTCTTCAGTTTTGCTAGATATTGCCAAATTACTCATCGAAGTATTTGTAGTAGCCATATAAGAGAGTTTCAATTTCCCCATATCTGCCTCAACAATTTGTATTTTAGATATCTTCTTTTTCTGAAGTGGTATCTCACATTAACTTCATTTTAGCTAGTGAGGCTGAGAAATTTTTAGGTGTTCCAGTTTTCTCTTGTGTAAATTGTCAGTTCATATCCTTTGCCCATTTTATTATTGTATTCTTTGTATTTTTCTTATTGATTATATTAATTTTATTTATTTTAAAATATATTTATAAGGGATACTATACCTTTTTCAGTTACATGTGTGACACATAGCTTATACAAAGTATAGAGTTTGCATTTTAACTTAGTTTGTGTCATCTTATATAATTTTTAATTTTAATATAACATTCTATTATAATCAAAAATGCAAATCAACCATTTCCTTTATGATTTGTGCCCCTGACTTCTCTTTTAGGAAATAATTCACTTCTCCATTATCACAAAAATATTCTTTTCCCATTCTTTCAAAATTCTAATATTTACACTTAGGATTTAATGTGTCCATGGAGTGAGGTTGGGATCAGTTGTACCTTTTTTTTTTTTTTTTTTTTTGCATATGGACAACCTTAGTTGCAGTGACATGTATTATGTAGTCCATTCTTTCCCACTGACTTCTGATGACATCTTGTATTCATGTGATTTAAAAAAATTTTTTTTTACCCTGAGCATTCTCTTCTATTTTACTGGTTTATTTTCTCTTTCTTTGGACAAATATTATTTTTTACAAGCTTTTTTAAACTTTTGTTTTAAAGTTTAAAACTCCTGTTTTAAGTTTAGGGGCACACATGCAAGTTTGTTATATAGGTAAACTTGTGTTATGAGAGTTTGTTGTACTGATAATTTCATTACCCAGTATTAGACCAAGTGCCCACTAGTTGTTTTTCCTGATCCTTTCCCTCTTCCCATCCTCCAACCTTTGGTAGGCCCTAGTGTCTGTTGTTACCCTCTATGTGTCCATGTGTTCTCATCATTTAGCTCCTACTTATAAATGGGAACATGTGGTATTTGGTTTTCTGTATATGTGTTAGTTTGCTAAGGGTAATGGCCTCCAGCTCCATCCATGTTCCTCCAAACGACATTATCTCCTTTTTATGGCTGCATAGTATTTCAAGGTATATATATATCATGTTTTCTTTATCCAGTCTACCATTGATGGACATTGAGGTTGATTCCATGTCTTTGCTATTGTGAATACTGCTGCAATGAACACACATGTGCATGTGTCTTTATGACAGAACAATTTATATTCTTTTGGGTATATACTCAGTAATGGGATTGCTAAGTCAAATGGTAGTTCTGTTTTTAAGTCTTTGAGGAATCACTACACTGATTTCCACAATGGTTGAACTAATTTTACACTACCACCAACAGCGTATAAGGGTTCCTTTTTCTCTGCAACCTCAGTAGCATCTGTTATTTTTTGACTTTTTAATCATAGCCATTCTGACTGGTGTGGGATGGTATCTTATTGTGGTTTTGATTTGCAATTCTCTAATGATCAGTGATGTTGAACTATTTGTCATATGCTTGATAGCCACATTTATGTGTTCTTTCGAAAAATATTTGTTCATGTCTTTGCCCACTTTTTAATGGGGTTATTAGTTGATTTGTTTAAGGTCCTTATAGGTTCTGGGTATTAGCCCTTTGTCAGATGCATAGTTTGTGAATATTTCCCCCCATTTTGTAGGTTGTTTATTCTGTTGATAGTTTCTTTTGTTGTGTAGAAGCTCTTTAGTTTAATTAGGTTCCACTTGTCAATTTTTATTTTTGTTGCAATTGCTTTTGAGGGCTTAGTCATAAATTCTTTGCCTAGGCTGATGTCCAGAAGGGTATTTCCTAGCTTTTCTTCTAGGATTTTTATAGTTTGAGGTTATACATTTGTATTTAATCCATCTTGAGTCAATTTTTGTATATATGATGATAGGTAGGGGTCCAGTTTCTGGTTAGCCAGTTTTCCCAGCACCATTTATTGAATAGGGAGTCCTTTCTCTGTTGCTTATTTTGTTGACTTTGTCAAAGATCAGTTGGTTGGAGGTGTGCAGCTGTATCTCTAAGTTCTCTATTCTCTTCCAGTGGTCTACATGTCTATTTTTGTACTAGTACCATGCTGTTTTGGTTGCTGTAGCCTTGTAGTATAGTTTGAAGTCAGGTAATGTGATACCTTTGGCTTTGTTCTTTTTGCTTAGGATTGGCTTGGCTGTTCATACTCTTTTTTGGTTCTAATGAATTTTAGAATTTTTTTCTAATTTGGTGAAAAATGACATTTTGATATGAATAGCACTTGATGTGAATAGCATTGAATATCATAATTTGATATGAATAGCACTGAATCTGTAGATTGCTTTGGGCAGTATGGCCATTTTAATGATATTAATTCTTCCAATCTATGAGCATGAAATCCTTTTCCATTTGGTTGTGTCATCTCTGATTTCTTTTAGCAATGTTTTGTAGCTCTCCTTGTGGAGATCTTTCACCTTCTTGGTTAAATGTATTCCTAGGTATTTTATTCTTTTTTGGGATATTGTAAATGGGATTGTGTTTTTGATTTAGGTCACAGCTTGAGTATCATTGGTAAAAAGAAATGCTAATTTTTGTTTATGGATTTTGTAACCTAAAACTTTAGTAAAGTTGTTTATCGGGTCTATGAGCCTTTTGTTGGACTCTTTAGGGTTTCCTAGGCGTAGAATCATGTAATTGGTGAAGACAGATAATTTGACTTCCTCTTTTCCTATTTAGATACCTGTTATTCCTTTCTCTGGCCTGATTGCTCGGGCTAGGACTTCCAGTACTATGTTGAATAGGAGTGGTGAGAGTGGACTTCCATCCTTGTCTTGTTTCAATTCTTTTTTTTTTTTTTTTTTTTATACTTTAAGTTTTAGGGTACATGTGCACATTGTGCAGGTTAGTTACATATGTATACATGTGCCATGCTGGTGCGCTGCACCCACTAACTCGTCATCTAGCATTGGGTATATCTCCCAATGCTATCCCTCCCCCCTCCCCCCACCCCACCACAGTCCCCAGAGTGTGATATTCCCCTTCATGTGTCCATGTGATCTCATTGTTCAATTCCCACCTATGAGTGAGAATATGCGGTGTTTGGTTTTTTGTTCTTGCGATAGTTTACTGAGAATGATGGTTTCCAGTTTCATCCATGTCCCTACAAAGGACATGAACTCATCGTTTTTTATGGCTGCATAGTATTCCATGGTGTATATGTGCCACATTTTCTTAATCCAGTCTGTCATTGTTGGACATTTGGGTTGGTTCCAAGTCTTTGCTATTGTGAATAATGCCGCAATAAACATACGTGTGCATGTGTCTTTATAGCAGCATGATTTATAGTCATTTGGGTATATACCCAGTAATGGGATGGCTGGGTCAAATGGTATTTCTAGTTCTAGATCCCTGAGGAATCGCCACACTGACTTCCACAATGGTTGAACTAGTTTACAGTCCCACCAACAGTGTAAAAGTGTTCCTATTTCTCCACATCCTCTCCAGCACCTGTTGTTTCCTGACTTTTTAATGATTGCCATTCTAACTGGTGTGAGATGATATCTCATAGTGGTTTTGATTTGCATTTCTCTGATGGCCAGTGATGATGAGCATTTTTTCATGTGTTTTTTGGCTGCATAAATGTCTTCTTTTGAGAAGTGTCTGTTCATATCCTTCGCCCACTTTTTGATGGGGTTGTTTGTTTTTTTCTTGTAAATTTGTTTGAGTTCATTGTAGATTCTGGATATTAGCCCTTTGTCAGATGAGTAGGTTGCGAAAATTTTCTCCCATGTTGTAGGTTGCCTGTTCACTCTGATGGTAGTTTCTTTTGCTGTGCAGAAGCTCTTTAGTTTAATTAGATCCCATTTGTCAATTTTGGCTTTTGTTGCCATTGCTTTTGGTGTTTTGGACATGAAGTCCTTGCCCACGCCTATGTCCTGAATGGTATTGCCTAGGTTTTCTTCTAGGGTTTTTATGGTTTTAGGTCTAACGTTTAAATCTTTAATCCATCTTGAATTGATTTTTGTATAAGGTGTAAGGAAGGGATCCAGTTTCAGCTTTCTACATATGGCTAGCCAGTTTTCCCAGCACCATTTATTAAATAGGGAATCCTTTCCCCATTGCTTGTTTTTCTCAGGTTTGTCAATTCTTAAGGAGGATGCTTCCAGCTTTTGCCCATTCAGTATGATGTTGTCTGTGGGTTTTGTTATACATGGCTCTTATTATTTTAAGGTAACTTCCTTTGATGCCTAGTTTCTTAAGGGTATTTGTCATGAAGGGATGTTGGATTTTAACAAAAAGCTTTTTCTGTGTATATTCAGCTGATCATATGGTTTTTGTTTTTAATTATGTTTATGTGTTGAATCCCATGTATTGATTTGTGTATGTTGAACCAACCTTGCATCCCAGGAATGAAGCATACTTGATCATGGTGAATTAACTTTTTCAAGTGCTGCTGTATTCAGTTTGCTAGTATTTTGTTGAGAATTTTTGTATCTATGTTCATCAGGGATACTGGCCTGTAGTTTCCCTTATTTGTTGTTCTTTTGCCAGATTTTGGTATCAGGATGATACTAGTTTCAAAGAATGAGTTAGGAAGGAGTCCCTCCTTTATGTTTTGGAATAGTTTCAGTAGGATTGGTACTAGATGTTCCTTGTATATAGGGTAGAATTCGGCTGTGAATCAATCTGGTTGAGGGCTTTTTATTGGTTGGTAGTTTTAAAAAAATATTATAATTCAATTTCAGAACTCATTATTGGTCTGTTCAAAGTTTTGGGAGTTTGTATGATTTCAGGAATTTGTCCATTTCCGCTATAGTTTTTAGTTTGTGTGCATAGAAGTGTTCATAATAGTCTCTGAGGATCTTTTGTATTTTTGTGGGGTTGGTTGTAATGTCACCTTTGTCATTTCCAGTTGTGCTTATTTGGATCTTCTTTCTTTTTTTCCTTTTTAATCTAGCTAGCAGTCCATCACTCTTATTTATCCTTTCAAAGAATCAATTTTTCATTTTGTTGATCCTGTTTGGTTCTTTGGATCTCAATTTTGCTTGGTTCTTCTCTGATTTTAGTTATTTATTTTCTTCTGCTGGCTTAAATAAAAACTTAAGTGGCTCTTTCTTGGGGGGTTATCCATCACCTCATGTATTTATTCTTTGTGGTAGAAACAATCCAAATATACTCTTTTAGTTATTCAAAAATGTACAATTAAAATCTTTTTGACTATAGTCACCTTATTAGGTCTTATTCATTCTTTCTAACTATTTTTTTGTACACAGTAACCATCTCCACATTTCCCTCAGGCCTCTACTACTCTTACCAGCCTCTGGTAACCATCCTTCTATTTTCTATCTCCATGAGTTCAATTGTTTTAATTTTTAGCTCCCATAAGTAAGTGAGAACATGTGAAATTTGTCTTTCTATGTCTGGCTTATTTCACTTAACACCATGACCTCCAGTTCTATCCATGTTATTGCAAATGACAGGATCTTGTTCTTTTTTATGGCCAAATACTACTCCATTGTGTATATGTGCCACATTTTCTTCATTCATTCATCTGTTGATTAATACTTAGGTTGCTTCCAAATCTTGGCTATTGTGAATAGTGCTGCAATAAACATGGGAGTGCAGATATCTCTTTGATACACTGATTTCCTTTCTTTTGGGTATGTGCCTAGGAATGCGATTGCTGGATTATCTGGTAGCTCTATTTTTAGTTTTTTGAGGAACCTCCTCCAAATTGTTTTCTATAGTGGTTGTACTAATTTACCTTCCCACCAACAGTATATGAGGGTTCCTTTTTCTCCTCATCTTCTGCTAGCTTTGGGATTAGTTTGTTCTTGTTTTTCTAATTTTTTTAGGTGCAATGTTAGACTGTTAATTTGAGATATTTCTATCTTGTTGATCCAGCATTTAGCGCTATAACCTTTCCCCTTGACACTGCTTTTGCTGCATCCCAGAGACATTAGTATGTTGTATCTCTGTTTTCATTCGTTTTAAAGATTTTTTTGATTTCTGCCTTAATTTTGCTGTTTACCCAAAAGTCATTCAGGAGCAAGTTGATTAGTTTCCACAGCATCGTGTGGTTTTGAGAGTTCCTCTTGGTATTGATTTCTATTTTTATTCCACTGTAGGCTGAGGATATGCTTGGTATGATTTTGATTTTTCTGAATTTATTAAAACTTATTTTGTGACCAAACATATGGTCAGTCTTAGAGTGTGTTCTATATGTAGATGAGAAGAATATATATTTTGTGCTTGTTGGCTGGAATATTCTGTAGATGTTTATTAGGTTCAATTGGTTGAATTTTGAATTTAAGTCTAGAATTTCTTTATTAGTTTTCTGCCTCAGTGATCTGGCTAATGCTGTCAGTGGGGGATTGATGTCCTGTACTATTATTGTGCAGTTGTTTGTCTTTTCATAGGTGAAAAACTTCCACTCTATTTCTGACTGTGAACTATGTAGAAAATATGAATTGTCTGCTGTTTAAAGGTTTGATAAAGTTTGCTTTAAAGCCTTTGGGGCATTTTTCTTGTGGCTAGATCTTTACTGATCAATTTGAAACTTTATATAGGATTTTACTGGCTTTCTATTTTTTCATTAGCCAGTGTTGGCAATTTATAGTTTTCTAGAATTTTCATTTAAGTTTCACCTTTATTGACGTAAAGTTTTATACAATATACTAATGTTTTTAAAAAATCCTCATTCTATCTATAGTTATATCCCTTTTTTTGTTCTTAGTATTGTCTATATATTCCTTTTTTCCTTAATCAATTTTCCGGAGATGTGTATTTC
This sequence comes from Homo sapiens, assembly GCF_000001405.40. Lineage (NCBI taxonomy): Eukaryota > Metazoa > Chordata > Mammalia > Primates > Hominidae > Homo > Homo sapiens. Next base: position 37,497,708 of record NC_000002.12, read on the forward strand.
CTTTGTGTGTTTTTTCTCCAAAGAATCAGTTTTTTGTTTTGCTGATTGATTCTGTCTTTGTTTTCTCTTCTGCTTTTATATTTATTTATTTATTTTTATTTTATTTTAGTTTTTTTTTAGAAGTGGAAGTCTCACTATATTGCCCAGGCTGGTCCTGAACTCCTGGCCTCAAGTAATCCTCCCGCTTAGCCTCCTGAGTAGCTGGGATTACCGGTGGATGCCATCATTTCCAGCTTACTTTCTATTTAACATTTCCTTTAAACTTACTTACACTGTTGTTCTTCTCACTTCTTGAGTTGCTGGGCTTGTTAATTTTCTGTCTTCTTTCCCTCCAACACATGCATTTAAAGGTATACATATTTTGTCTTAAAGCATACTTACACTACGTCTTACACATTTTATGTTATGTTTTCATTCTTATTTATTTGCAAGTATTAAACATTTCCATTATTATTTCTTCATAAACTGCAACTGATGTAGAGTCATGTTTGTATATTTCCAAATGCATATTTTGACCTTGTAGTTGTTGGTTTTTAATTTTATTGCATTTTATAATCAGTTTAATGCTGTTATTTTGACTCTTAGATTTCCCTTTTTTTAATCTACTTCTAGTTCCTAATTGAGCCTGTTGTCATGTCTGTTGGTTTTGTTTTGTTGCAAATAATTTCTAAGCATTGGCTGTATTTTTGATTGTGAGCTCATCTTCAGTTTGACATTTTCCATGGGCCTTCTATGAGGTTTGAACATTTCTCTTTAGGGTATTTTGCATTTATTTCTACCAGAAGCCCCAGGGTTTCAATAGTGCAAGACCTATTTTTATGTTAATTTCTCAGTTTATTATTTATCATACAGGTAGTATAAATCTGACCCCCTACATTTACCTGTCATGGGTTTGAGAATTTTATTTCTTTTCACATGAACTTTCTCTCCTTCCCAGAGCCCTTATAGATTACAAGATCTCCTACTGCTTGCCTGGACTGGAGAGAGGTTACCTTTCTGGAGTCCTAGTTTTGCAGGAAATTCAGTTCCAGCTTCTTTCCTCTCAGCCTCTCAGGGGATCAGAAAAGTGCCTTATGTTCCTGGGAAGATGTTGAAATTCCAGCCCCAACCAGTATACCCCCTGAGTGATTGAGACCTCTGCTTACATGCTTGCTACTCTAGTTTTGAATAACTGTTCATTTCTGTAATTCCTCTTTGAGATCGGCCATATATTAAGAATGGTTTTGGTTATATTATCAAGTTTCTAATTTTTCAAGAGAAGGAAAGGATGTACTGTCTGATCAGGCAAACTTATTGGTATTACCAGTGTAGAATTTTATAAATGTAATTTAGAGAAAGTTCTTATCTTGTGCTGTAAACTATCATTTAAAAAATAATTATTCTTGTAAATAACTTTTTATGTATTGGGTTTTCTTAAAGTAGGCTAGACATAATTATTTTGAATTGAGTTCACTTAGAGAGGAGACATCTAAGTATGAATTATGGTTCTATTCTAAGGTTGTCGTAGAGTCTTGGAAAAAAGGAAGAGTCTTGGCTTCAAGGAAATAATATAATTTCATTTACTGCTCATTTATGGGAGTATTGAGATTTACATCACTATTAATTCTCTGGACCAAGATCAACTGGAGCCTGTTGGGCAGTGTGAGCCCAAGAAGCTCAAAGTGACGTGCGCAGTGTTGTATGTCTAAAATGATGGGTTTTGACATTTTGATAGATTGACAAGCTTTTTCACTGAGTTCTAAATATAGAAATGGGCTTCTTTCCCCACATAGAAAATAATAAGAATTTATTTCCTAAAGAACACATTTTTTTTCCACTCTAGGCCTGATTCTCTTTGACAGGATGAAGATTTTCTTGGGAATAGATGAGATTTATTTTGGTTGGCCAGAGTGCCTGTCTACTGAAGGCCCCAAATACTAGCTGATACACTCAAGTTAATATGGATCCCCTCTCCTTTGTTTTTAATATTTATTACTCATACACTTTTATTTTGCATTAATATAGAAACTCATTTCAAAAAGTATGGGGCAATTAGTAAACTCAGATAATTTCACACCAGAACTGCTTTTTTTTGTTGTGAGAATAGTTTGACAGCTTAGGAAAAATTAGTAACTTGATTATGTGAGCTGATACTTGAAGATGTTACCTGAGTTTAGGAACTGACTATGACAAGGAACCTACAACAAGTGAGAATTCACGCATGTTAGTGCATTTAAAATATAGGGCTAATTTAAACAATTGGTAAAAGAAATATAAACAGGATTCTAACTAATAAATATCTGATTTTCTTCACAGCTTTTGAAATTGGCAAACATTTAGTCCTTAAAAAAAAAGAGTGACCATTGGGCTTACCTTCTGTTAAAACTTCTTTGTCTGGCTGAACCCAAAAACTTTAGGGGAGATTGAAGTAAAGCTGGAGGGAAGGCAAGTCAGCCATCACTGTGGCCAGATGTACTCTCATTTCCTTATGTGGTCTACATGAGGCCAGCCCTAAAGCATCATCAGATCATCTTAACATAAACTTTGGGATGAGTAGGCAATTACTGCATTCAAGAGATGAACAATCTAACAATTGAGTCATATTGAGTCTTCTTGACACTTTGCTTATTTCAACTCTTTACAGTTGACACTTTGCTTATTTCAACTCTTTACAGTCACTATTTAATACATCAAATTCATAGTGCATGACTAGTCAAATATTTTTTTGACACTCTACTTGCCAGGTGGTATAGGTAATTCCTATTTCTAAACTTAGAGAATTGCATTCTTTTTAGGATTTTATAGAAGTTATTTTGAAACACTCTCCCAAAGACAGCTAATGCAGTGGTTAGGGATACTGTCTGTGTTCAGATCCCAGCTCTGCCTTGTTGTGTGGTTACCTTTGGCAAAGTTGCTTCAGTGTCTCATTTTGGAGACAATAATAGCATCGCTCTCATTGAATAGTTGGGAGAATTAGAAAATACATAAAAAGCATGTGCCTCTCATGTAGTAAGCGTTCAGTGTTAGCCATTGTAATTAAACATGCATATATTCTGCATGAAAACATACTCAAAGAACCTAAAGTATAGCTCTTACGAACATACTGATTTTTGAGACAGTTTCTATCATCCTTTTGGGAAAGGAAATTTATTTTTTCTCCTGAAAAAGTAAGCAATCTATCTAAGTTGGTGATTCTACCAAAAAAAAAAAAAAAGTCTTTCTTTTTGGATATTTCAGTCTCTTTAGGAGTGAATCCTAGAAAACTAAGTTCAAATTTTAGCTCTAGCTGTGCTTGGCTAATAGCTCCTCTTTCTAATCCAGCATTTAGTGAAATAAATTTGGTTTTCAAATTTGGGCAAGGGAAACTTAAATATCAATTGTTGTTTTATTCATACTGCCTTGTCTAATTCCTTTAATTGTCTTTGCAATGTCATTTTACTGTTCCCCTGCTCTCCATCCCTTCTTTTGCTGTTTAGAACAGAGCCTTTTCCGATTGGAACTATCCACTCTGACTTTTGAAATGCTAGATTTCCAGCTGGTAACAGAGTGTGTGTCAACTGAAGAAAGCCTGTGCTTGTGAATTTCTGGTTTGCATTAGACCATCATGCTTTATTGTTCTAAAGGCTCTTGAAGGAGGGTTCAATTCCACGGTGCCATGCAACCTCTCCAGGATGGGGCATTTGTTTCAAACAGCTGTTCACTTGATGTTCTTGATTTTAGAAATCACTTGGGTAAATCTTTAGATACAGTTCATCACCATCATGTATCAAATGAGGATAATCTGAATCCCTTGAAAGCATGCATAAAATATGTAATTGCCCTAGAAAATAAGCACAAATAATTTACTGGTAAATATTTGTTTCACCAGACCACATCCCACTTCTCCAAGCTGCAGTCTGTACTCCACAGATGCTGGTAAAACCCACATTAAAATAATTGGTTCATTATGGTCCTAAGTCAATGGCTACTTCTAAAGTTTTTTTCTTTTTTTTTCTGAGTCAAAAAGTAGTAAGAGACAGAGTAAAGGACCTTTAATTTATTCCACTGTTGACTTCCCTCACAGCAATTTTCATTACAACCCAGGCTGGTGTGCTGCTGCTCATTAGATTTCATTTAAACACTTGGAAAATCAAGACCCTCCACACCTGAATTTCTTATACTTCCCTCTCTGGTCATCCTAGAAATGTGTTTTCTCTGCAGCTAGGTGTGTAAGGACAGCCCTGGTGTTAGCCTCACACTTTGTCTGATTCTCTTCTTCCTTCTAGCTCAACACTGTCATCTGTAGCTCTCTTCTGACATCCACGTCTAAAAATTTCGTTTGACTTGACTGGCCATTCTCCTCTGAACCCCCTACAAGAAGTTGTCATGTCCATTTCCACTGACCTAAGACATCCTTGAGTTTAGAAATCAATCTGTGCACACAATGAACAGTCTCATATATTGTCTTGAATTTCTAGCAATCCCAGTCTAATTACTGGTTGTCTTCTCCTATCTCCAACTCCAAGAGGGATTGTAGAGACAGAGATAGGCTTTTATTTCTTTGGCATCACAAGAAAAAGTACTGTACTGTCCATGCCTGTTTATGTATTTTGTTCATTGTCTCATCTGTGTCTAGTGTGCCTTTGTTTTCAAATGAATATTATAGTGCATATTAAGCATTTTATTATTAATAATGGTGTCCAAAATGAATTTTCAGGTGTACTATTTAAATATAGCATAAGTAATATATTGTCTATGCCTTGCTTGACTCGTGATATCTTGCCTTCCTATTATCTAAAATCAGAGAGGGCAAGTTGGACAAAGACAGCAGGAGAAAATGGAGAGATTGTAAAAACTTACCTTGAGAAAGTCAAGGATGGGCTGGGAGGATATGTGGAAGATACTAAAAGGGATAAAAGATTCTTCTAACTACATGATATATACATATTTGCTTCTTTATCTTTGTCCCAGAGTGTCTTTTGGCTCATCAAAGAAAATCATCACAAGAAAAAGAAGGTTGGTGGTATTTTGTTTAGGAAGGAAGCTTATTATGTTTTTTGATTTATATTTATGGTTATATCAATTCAGTTTTCCTGGGTCTCAACCTTATAGGATCAGAGTTCTGGAAAGGGTTAATGAGTTAATTTGACTGCAGTGTGTCTGCTTAGTCTGCTAATGTATAGTAATTTATGAATATTGCAATTATGCATAGCTATTTAAGATGGAGAATATTCCAAGCATGCTTAACAAATCCATTATCCGTGAAAAACTGTATGTATTTAGATGATTCCTAGGGTAATAGCATTCTCCATTCCACATGTTTTAAGATGTTTTCTTGAGAGCTTCAGTCCGTCACAGAATCTCTGCCTGCTGACCCCAGGGATGTCTATTCACCACTGCGAGGAGGTTCTTTGTACCCAAAATGGACCTTCTTAACTTTACTGTGCTTGAGATTAGGAATAAAAGGAATAACAGAGCTAGAATATATTTACCTGTCTTCCTTGGGGGACTGAGGTTTGAGGTGAGACATGAAGGAGGTGGTGTTAATCAAGCCCAATGCAGATGTGGGTGGGTAAAGAGACAGGAAGAGGAGGTGTAATGGTTAATTTTCTGAGCCAACTTGGTAGGCAATGGTGCCCAGTTGTTTGGTCAAACACCAATCTAGATGTTGTAGGTTTTTCATTTGTTTAGATGTGATTGACATTTAAATCAGTAGGCTGGGCGCAGGGGCTCACACCTGTAATCCCAGCACTTTGGGAGGCTGAGGCGGGTGAATCACAAGGTCAGGAGTTTGAGTCTAGTCTGGCCAACATGGTGAAACCTTTTCTTTACTAAAAATACAAAAAAAAAAAAAAAAATAGCCGGGCGTGATGGCAGGCACCTGTAATCCCAGCTATTTGGGAGGCTGAGGCAGGAGAACTGCTTGAACCCAGGAGGCAGAGGTGGCAGTGAGCCGAGATCGTGCCACTGCACTCTAGCCTGGGTGACAGAGCAAGACTCTGTCTCGGAAAAAAAACCAGAAACCAAAAAATATTTAAATCAGTAGACTTTGAGTAAAGCAGATTAACCTCCATAATGTGGGTCAACTCCATGCAATCAAGTGAAGGCCTTGAGAACAAAGACTGAGTTTCCCTCCTCACCCCGCAAAGAGAAAGGAACTCGAATTCACCTCAACACTGCAGCACAGAAATTCTGCTTGAGTTTCCAGCCTTTGCTTCAGACTCAAGACTGGAATATCAACTCTTGCTGGCATTTCCAGCCTGCCTTGTGGATTTGTAGCTTGCCAGCCCGTACAATTTTCTTAAAATAAATCTCCTCTTTCTCTCTCTTCCTCATCCTTCCCTCCCCTCTCTCTCCATAGGTAGACACAGAAAGCCAGAGAGATATAGATGTATCTATATCCCCCTATTGATTCTATTTTTCTGGAGAACCTTAACTAATACAGGAGGGGAAGAAGATGTTAGCAGAAGGAACCATGTAGGAACCATACATGCAAAGTTGCAAAGTCCTTGAGGCAGGAGGGAGCTGGTGTTTGAGAAAATAAAAACAGGCTTATATTGCTGAAGCACGGAAAGCTAGTGTCTGGAGGAATAGCCAGGCTGGATTTTGTGTTGTGAAGTTGTTTAGGCAGAGCTGGGACTTTAGACACAGATGCAAACATTAATTCTTTGAATTTGAATAGGACTCCTTTAAATCCACTCAATCTTCCAATTTTTTTTGTTATGAAGTGTTTATGTATTATGAATTCTTATACTTTTCTTACTACCATGTAAGATTTCTACAAATCACTTTCATACCCTAAAATGTTCATTCTTTTCTCTCCTTTCATTTCTCCCTTGATCTTTCTTTACAGTGTGCTGCCTCTCTAGGCATTTTCTCTTTTGACCTTCAAATTCCTCATGCACTTGATTGGCCTTCAGATTCCTTGTACACTTGAGCGTTTTTGCACTCTGGGTCTTTAGGCCCCACTTCATGCTTTGGTTCCACAGTTTATGCACTTTCAATCAATTGGCTCCCCATATCCTTTGCTGTGATATATTAGTCCCAGGTCCTGATTTTTTTTTTTTTTTGAGAAGTATTTTTCTCTCATTCTGCATTGTCTTGGGTGTCTGTCCATAAAGGTGCCTTGCTTTTCGTAAGATAAAGTGTGGGATGTGGAATTCCTATCCTTGAACAGTATAGAAAATGATAGGACATGATTCATCTCATGGTGTCTTTCCGAAGAGATGTCCAGCTGTTCCTGTTAAGTCCTCAGCTCTGCCCTAGTTTCTATCCTTTCAAAAAACAGGTTTTTCAGTTTTGCCTCCAATGCTGTAAGCTACCCCATCTACTCCCAGTAAATCCCTTCTCTGCTGAAGTTAGCTAGAGCTAGTTTCTGTGGCTTATAACAGAAGGAGTCTACTCATCCAGCATGAAAGGAGAAAGGCGAAGAATTCGGTGTGGCTGGAGGGAATGGTATGTGTGGGAACAGTGAGGATAAGGCAGTATGGGGCCAGGTTTTAAAGGGCAGCAGGAAAAGAACTGGGGAATAAAGATGTTCACTGGGAGGACGTAGATGGAATGTGTTCAGCTAACTGAGAGAGTAAAGCAAAAGCCAGTTGGGCCCATCAGGGAGTTTGTTACTGAAGAGTTTAGGAATTCCCAGAATTCCAAGGGATATGCAATCTCAGGGAGGTGACGTGGATTCTGTGCAAAACATGGGAACTCGATCCACTGTTTTGGCCAACAGAAGAGAACTGGTCAGCCTGGATTGTAGAAAATAGAAGACCAATGAATTGGTGTCATGAGAGAGCATTCCTTGTATCTGCTGCATGTACCTGTTCATCACAGCCCAAACCATGATTCTCAAGGCCCCAAATGGCCAAACAACTAACTCTCCTTGAGCTAATTCTGTGGCTGTAAAGAATCTTATTATAAAGGGGTTACTCATGTAACTTTTTCTGGAGGAGGAATATGAGTCTCAGGCCAAGATGAGGATTAGGACTTGTTTAGCAGGTATGTTTCCATGAAAATTAATATGCTGACAATTTTGGTTCTTATATAACTTTTGCAGGCTTAGATTATGTGGGTCCGCTGCTGTGATACTGATTGAATTTCGAGCCTATGAATCTGAGGACAAGGCTGTAGACTGCAGTGAATTCACTCATTTAAGTAGCATTATGAAGCCCGAACTTTTTTGCACTTTCCATGAAGCCATGCTTTTTTTTTTCTTTTATCTTATAGGCAAAGGATGCCTATCGAGGAAGGTTTTTAAGGTAGTAAATGAAGAGATCAGTTTAGAAGGAATCATGATTGCAAGGCAGAGAGACTCTGGCAGAAGAGAGGAGGGAGGAAGGTACTGTAAGAACCCCGAGGAAAGCTTAAGAGATCTGGATTAAGGTCACAGCAGTGAGAGGGGGTGGAGATGGCAGCTGCTGGATTGAACTAGGATCTTCTAGATCTTGATGACCTGCTGGATAGGAAGGGTGAGGGCTAGGCTGTAATCAAAGATACCAAAAGAGTGTCTTCTTTGTCACTTTTCTTTCATTAAATAACCGTATCTGAATTTCCACAAACAATGCTGCAATAGTTAAAATTGTGACAGTATGAAAACAGAATCTGAATTAAATTAGTGCTATGTCAGCCCATTGCACTAAACCACGAATTCCCTAAGAGGTTTAGAAACATATTGGATAAAGTGAAATTAATCCTTGAGAGCCACAAGTTGACATATGTATACGCTATGAATCCATAAACTATACTGTGTGCAGTGGAAAAGGAAGCTAAAAAATCCATGTGAACACACATCTGTATACTGTCCTGTGAATAAAGCCTACTTGACAATGCCATTTTCTTTTGCAGTGTTGAACCAGGAGGAGGCTCTGAAATGTTAACATTGTTGACCTTTACAGTCCGACGTGTTGTTGATTGCACCCCCAGACAAACTTGATGAGGCTTTGCAATCAGGTCACCGTTTAATATGACTCACTATCCTATATTTAGAAAAGGCTGTGATTCTAATAGCAAGTGACAAAAACCAGAGAATTTCAAGCTCTTGTCAGCTGCTCTGGGTTACATTCCCCTCCAGGCAAAGTCAGAGCTGCCAGCCTTGTTAATGAAAATTATGAGCCTGTTAGGAGAAGAATAACCAAGAGGTGCTGCCGATAAGAAGTGAGAGAATTAAAATGCTCCTTAACTTTTGGCTTCAGACTTAAAATAGTTCCTTTGGTTTTAAATATTTTTAAAAGCAAGACCTGAAAGTGAGTTTTGTGACTTTTCACTAGCTTGCATGGAATAAGGAGTTGTGTGGTTATGTGATGAACTCAGGATCATTACCGCAACCCTTCTTGATGTTGGAGAGCAGACTTTCTGCTTGAGTGTAAAAACAGTTTCAGATTTACCCCTAAATTATAAAATACAGCAGTTCATATTTGACTCTGGAGGCCTAGCCATGGACATTTTGAAATTGGGATCTCACCGAAGCCCAAACAAACCAGAAACCTTCATCATCTGACTCTTTCAGGCTTATCAATATTTCACACAAAGAAGGGGCACAAAGAAGGCTTTGTGCTGCTGAGCTGAGAGGCTCTGCTGGGGGAATGCGGTTGGCAGAGAATATGCCACAAACTTAAAGAGAAAAGAAAATAGAAAGCCAGTGTAGACACTGTCAAAATGAGGTGCCATGCTTTTATTCACTGTCTGGGTGTGCATCTTTATGTCGAGCAGATCCAGGGACATCAACATGCTGGCTTTCTATTTTACATAAACATTCCCCTTTCATTTATCTTCTCTTCTGATTAGCAATCCTATGTTTAACATGATTCAAATGCTAATATGCTTGATTTTATGAGAAAACAGCACAGGCTTTTCAACTTGGGGTATTACAAGTGATATTTAGTCTCTGTTTTAACATAATTGGGTAAAGATAGGATTCATGGGAGCCCAGATTTTCTAAATTCTAATCCCTAGCTCAGGTTCTTCAAACATTTTTTGTATTCAGTGCAGATATTTGAATACTCGACATTTTGATAGCAAACCCCCAAACACACTGGGCAGCTAAAACATCAATGTAACTACTCCTATGGTAAGATCATATTTGCAGTGTTCCTTAAACCATGCGCAGTTATTGCTATAGTCACTGTCTCCCTTCAGCATGGTGTTGCTATTTCAGTAGATTTACTGTCCTGCCCACATTCTCTTATATACGCATGAGGCGAGCATATCACATTTCTAGTAAACATACTATCTTTCTTTGAGTACGCTGCTTCTTAACACATTCTAAATTTGTTATACCCTGTGCTGTACCCGACCCCACAAACCCACATTCCATCTGGCACACATTGCTGGAATGGTGTGTTTTACTCTGTTGTAGTAAAAATAAACTTTATACATAGATGAAAACTTGGCAGCATACTTACATGGTTCTTGAGAACGCCTTGGCACACTGCCTTTGCACAATATTGACATCTCAGATAATCTCAGGCAAGTCACAGAAATTTTGCGCCTCAATTTCCCCTTCTCCAAAATCAGAGTAAATTCAGTTGCTATAGAAATAATGATGAAAGCATTGTGAGCTCTCCAAAGGTAATTGGTGTGTAACCTTGCTGCAGGCTTGGATTCTCCAGAAAGCTGATTCTGAGATGGTGATCAGCTCACAGGAAGGGTACCAGAGAGTATTCTTTGACTCAACAAGTGTGGAAGGCATGGGACAATGAGGACATGGCAGGTGAAGGATTGGCTGTGCTTCCATGTAATAAAGGCTCAGCCACCCCATGGGGAGCTCTGAGGCTCCTTTAGAGTTGTACCAACTTGGAGTTAGGGGCTAGTTCTTTATCCAGTCATTGAATACAGGCTGCCTTCAGCTGGGGCAGTTCCTGGAGAGGGCCCTCTGCAGAGGGCTGTCATCTTACAATCTTCCCAGCAGGTGGAAAGCAATTCTTCATTCCTGAAGTGGGGATCTGGGAAGCACATCACAACATACATTACCAAAACCAAGCTAGGAGCAGCAAACGTGAACAAGTTTGCTTTCTTCTATGGTTGGTGGCTTCAACGAAGTCAGAATTATGGCCTGGATGACTACGGTGAGAATTCCTTTTCTTTACTTCCAGCCCACTACACAAAGTTCCAATACACTCTGATGCTGCAGTCTAGCTTGAGGGATTCTAGCAGGGAAATTGCTAAAGGGTCCCTTCTAGGATCTGGTTATCTTCCTGCCTTCAATGAGCCTGTCTTCTTTGTACACTCAGTACTATATAATCTGGTTACATTTTCTCTCTAGTATTGAATTCTCTAATATTCAAAGTGAAACATTTATATCACTGTCTTTCAAGTCTTGGTTCTATATGCAAAAATGATCAGCTGCCTAAAGAAGAGAGCTTATATGTACTTGACATATCTCCTAAGTTTTGTAAGGTAGAGCAGTACTCCTAATCTCTCCCTTTTTATGACATTGATGTTCTGAAAATATCAGGCCAGTTATCTCATAGAGCATTTCTTATTCTGGATGTGCCTGATTGTTCCTGCATACTGTTGTTCAACTTGTTCCTCTTCAGGGTAGGAAATTAGGTAGATCTAAAGGCTTGATAAGATTCAGGTTAAACATTTCGGTAAGAATACTCGATTATATCCATTTTGGAAAACAAAAAGTTACAAAACACATTCTGGAATTCAAAATACATGAAGTAAAATTTGACATAAGTAAGGGAAAAATGGGTGATTCTAAAATTATACTTCAAAATACATGAAGTAAAAATTGAAATAAGTAAGGAAAAATAGGTAATTCTAAAATTATAGTTGAAGGTTTAAAACCCCACTCTTGAGGGAGGATTGTTTCAGTCCAGGAGTTGGAGGCTACAGTGAGCTGTGATTGTGCCACTGCACTCCATCCTGGGTGACAGAGCATGATCCTTTCTCTAAAACAAACAAACAAACAAACAAACAAAAAACACCTCTCTTTCAATAATTAAAAAACACTGCAAAATATCAGTAAAGGTATAGGGAATCTAAACAAGACTATCAAGCATCTTGATCTGATTGATATTTATAAAACATTATACCTCAATACTGATTGGTAAACATTCTTTTCAAGTGTACCAGTTATGTTCATCAGGATACAACACATGTTGAACCATAAAACAAGCCTCAATAATTTAAAAAAGATTGAAATTATATACAGTGTATTCTCTGATCATAATGGCATTTACTTGTAAATTAATAACAAAGTATCTAGGAAACCATCAACAGATTGGATTAAACACATCTAAATAATTTATGGATGAAATAAATCACAAAATAAATTAGAAAATATTTTAAATTAAAAGCAAATAAAAATACAATATATCAAAATTTGCAGGAAGCAGCTAAGGCGATGCTCACAGGGAAATTCATAGCTTTAAATGCTTATATTAAAAATGAAAAGCCTAAAATCAATAGCTGAGGATACACTTCAAGAAGCTAGGAAGAGTGAAGGAAACCCAAAGTAAAGTAGAAGAAAGGAATTTAAAAAGATAAGAGCAGAAATAATAGTAGTAAAAAAAGGAAACACAGCAATTGGAAACCTCATACATTGTTGGTAAAAGTGTAAATGGTATATTCACTCTGGGAAAAAGGTCTGGAAGTTTCTCATAAAATGAAATATATACCTACCCTAGGACCCAGCAATTCCTCTTCTGGGTATTTATCCAAAAGAAATGAAAATATATACTGTTGACCCTTTAACAACATGAGTTTAAACTGTGCAGGTCCACTTATAGGTGAATTTTTTTCAATAAAAGTTATGCCAAGTATTCCTACCTTCCTTCTACCTCTCCATCTTTTTCACCTCTGTCAGTTCTGAGACAGCAAGACCAGCCCCTTCTCTTCCTCCTCCTCCTCAGCCTACTCAATGTAAAGACGATGAGGATGAAGACCTTCATGATGATCCACTTCCACTTAATGAATAGTAAATGTATTTTTTCTTCCTTATAATTTTCTTAATAACATTTTCTTTTCTCTAGCTTACTTTATGGTGAGAATATAGTATATGACACATATGACATGCAAAATATGTGTTAATAGAATGTATATGTTATCAATAAGGCTTCCAGTCAACAGTAGTCTATTAGTAGTTAAGTTTTTAGAGAGTCAAAAGTTATATGCAAATTTTCAACTGCATGGGGGGGTGGACACCTCTAACCCCCAAGATGTTCAAGGGTCAACTGTATTGGCAAAAAACATTTGTACAGGAATTTTCATGAATGTTTCATTCATAATAACCAAAGCCTAGAAACAATCCAGGTGTCCATTATTAAGAGAATGGAAAAACAAGTTGTGGTATTTTCATAAAACGGAATACTTCTCAGCAATGAAAGGTATGAACTATATTTAACAATAGGCTGATTCTCAAAAGCATTATTTTGAGTGGCAGAAGCCAAGACCAAAAGAGTATATATTGTGTAATTCTATATATATGAGGTTCTAGAATAGGTGAAATTAATCTATGGTGAAAAAATCAGAATAGTGCTTTCCTCTTGAGGGTGTGGAGTGGGAGAGGGGATTGACTGGGGTGGGTCCTGAAATAACTTACTGGTAATGTTCTGTTTCTTGATATGAACTTGGGTTACACAGATGTATATATTTGTTGAAACTTAACAAGTATAATTTAAAATTTTTGCATCTCATTGTATGTAAATTTTCCATCAAAAGAAAAAATTGTAAAGAAATATTGAACTCTAATGATTTGCATACAAAATATTTAAGGGAAACTGTACTGTTGTACTTTCCTTTGAGATATACCAAAAAATAAGACAGATTGATGAATAAAGTGTATATATGAATAGATGTAAAGGCATGACCAGGCTCAGTGGCTTTTGCCTGTAATCCCAGCACTTTGGGAGGCCAAGGTGAGTGGATCACTTGAGGCCAAAAGTTCGAGACCAGCCTGAGCAACATGGTGAAAACCTGGCTGCACTAAAAATACAAAAATTAGCTGGGCATGGTGGTGCGTGCTTATAGTTCCAGCTACTCAGGAGGCTGAGGTATGAGAATCACTGGAACCCAGGAGGTGGAGATTGCAATGAGCTGAGGTTGCACCACTGCACTGCAGCCTGGGCAACAGAGTGAGACTCTGTCAAAAAAATAATAATAATAAAAAAAGTGTAAACACATGTAGCAAAACAAGCATAGTAAAAAATTAACAATATTGTCTGGGTGGTGGGTATATGAATGTGTACTGTAAAATGCTTTCAACCTTGTTCTTTGAAAATTGTCCCAGTAAAATGTTGGGGTAAAAACATTTTGGGGACTACTGGGAGAAGTTCAATAAGGACTAGATATTATGTGATATTTGAGAATTATTTTTATCAGTTTTCTTTGGTGTTTTAATAGTATTATGGTTATTATGTGACAGCTTATTCTTAGAAGAAAGGAGTTAAAATATTTAGTAGTGTGTCATGATGTCTGCAACTCACTTGAAAATAGCTCAACAGAAATTTACATAATAGGGCAAATAATATGTTACAATTGTTGAATCTAGACCATGGTTACTAGGGTGTTTACGGTCCTTTTCTTTTATTATAAAGTATTGAAAAAGTAAGCAGTAGAAGTAATTAAATATTATGTCAAAGGGCAGTGACTATAAAGTCTGGAAATGCTGTACCTGAGATATTTATAATTTCCAGAATTCCTTTAAAAGGATCAACTTTGGGTTGGTAGCTGCAGGGGACTACTGCTAGACCTGGTTCAGAAAGCCAAGTCATGAGCACCCTCTTCTTGCCTTCTGTCTTATTTTACTTCTCAAGAGAGTTCCTGTTTCGGAGTTTAAATGTGAACTTCTTTTCTTTTTCTTTTTCTTTCTTTCTTTCTTTTCTTTTTTTTTTTTTTTGAGACAGAGTCTCTCTCTGTTGCCCAGGCTGGAGTGCAGTGGCACCATCTTGGTTCACTGCAACCTCTGTCTCCCAGGTTCAAGGGATCTTGTGCCTCAGCCTCCCGAGTAGCTGGGACTATAGGTGCATGCCACCATGCTTGGCTCATTTTTGTATTTTTTAGCGGAGAGAGGGTTTCACCATGTTGGCCAGGCTGGTCTTGAACTCCTGACCTCAAGTGATCCACCTACCTTGGCCTTTCAAAGTGCTGGGATTACAGGCATGAGCCACCGTGTCCGGCCCCTGAATGTGAACTTCTGAGTTCATGATCTTGACTTTTTGTCCGATTCTGAACTACATTGTTGATGAATCTGATGCTATATCTTTTTTCACCACAGATTGAGATGTGGGTTTTTAGTGTCATCCTAGTCATTGAACCTTAATGCCTGCACATTGCTTCACTAGAGATTCACTAGACGCTTAACAACAAATTTACTGCCAAAAATAAATACAGGTGGAACAGCAGATACAACAAGCCATGTCTTATTGTTCAGGCCTTAGCTTCTGTTGTGTGCAGTACCCTGTGTAGTGACATAGAAACAGACAGTCTGCATGACTCTCTGGGCCCAGGGATGATGTTGAAGGGGACAGATGGACTCACAAAGACCAAGCAATATGGTCACAGTGCTGTGAATGTATTTGGAAAGCAGCATTTGGTCTCATTTGATGTTTGTGTCTGTGTCTGGGTACACTTATGGCTATGTGGGTTTGCTCCAGGAACTGGAAGGCCTTCCTTGGAAGAATTATGCTTTGCTTCATTTCATTGAAAATTCCCTGGCTAACATAATTTTCGATTATGGAATCTAACTCCCAGAGGATTTCTGTGGGTAAAAATGGATAAATTTCTTGATAAAAATGTAAAGATAGTGAATCTCAGAGTATTTCAAGCTGCTTTCTTTTCACCACTCTGATTCCTGATGAAAAGTTGGGTGCCTTCACAATGGACACTCTAGATAAGTTGGCCCTAAACCTGGCTGTCCCCAGGATTTCCTGGAGAGCTAGTTTAAAATGTAGATTCCTGGGTCCACCCAAAATCCACAGAATCATGATCTCTGGGGAATGGGCCCTTGGAATCTCTATTTTTTAAAAAGCTGTACGAGTTACTCAGATGGTAAGCAAGTTTGTAGAACTTTAGACAAGTGGTTCTCAAATTTTACTGTGTATATGTGTATTAGTCCATTCTCACATTGCTATAAAGAACTACCTGAGACTGGGTAATTTATAAAGACAAGAGATTTAATTGACTTACAGTTCTGCAGGCTGTACAGGAAGCATGGCTGGGGAGGCCTCAGGAAACTTAGAATCATAGTGGAAGGTGAAGGGGAAGCAGGGACGTCTTACACGGCCAGAGAAGGAGGAAGAGAGAGAAGGGGGAGGTGCTATATATTTATTTTATTTATTTATTTATTTTATTATTGTTATACTTTAAGTTTTAGGATACATGTGCACAATGTGCAGGTTTGTTACATATGTATACATGTGCCATGTTGGTGTGCTGCACCCATTAACTCATCATTTAGCATTAGGTATATCTCCTAATGCTATCCCTCCCCCCTTCCCCCACCCCACAACAGTCCCCCATGTGTGATGTTCCCCTTCCTGTGTCCAAGTGTTCTCATTGTTCAGTTCCCACCTATGAGTGAGAACATGCAGTGTTTGGTTTTTTGTCCTCGCGATAGTTTGCTGAGAATGATGGTTTCCAGCTTCATCCATGTCCCTACAAAGGACATGAACTCATCATTTTTTATGGCTGCATAGTATTCCATGGTGTATATGTGCCACATTTTCTTAATCCAGTCTATCATTGATGGACATTTGGATTGGTTCCAAGTCTTTGCTATTGTGAATAGTGCCGCAATAAACATACCTGTGCATGTGTCTTTATAGCAGCATGATTTATAATCCTTTGGGTATATACCCAGTAATGGGATGGCTGGGTCGAATGGTATTTCTAGTTCTAGATCCCTGAGGAATCGCCACACCAACTTCCACAAAGGTTGAACTAGTTTACAGTCCCACCAACAGTGTAAAAGTGTTCCTATTTCTCCACATCCTCTCCGGCACCTGTTGTTTCCTGACTTTTTAATGATTGCCATTCTAACTGGTGTGAGATGGTATCTCATTGTGGTTTTGATTTGCATTTCTCTGATGGCCAGTGATGATGAGCATTTTTTCATGGTTTTTTGGCTGCATAAATGTCTTCTTTTGAGAAGTGTCTGTTCATATCCTTCGCCCACTTTTTGATGGGGTTGTTTGTTTTTTTCTTGTAAATTTGTTTGAGTTCATAAACAACCAGATCTCATGAGAACTCACTCACTATCACGAGAAGAGCAAGGTGGAAGTCTACACCCATGATCCAATGCCTCCCACCAGGCCCGTTCTCCAACATTGAGGATTTCAATTTGACTTGAGATTTGGGAGGGGACACGAATTCAAAGCATATGAGTAGGAATCACTGGGGTGTCTTGTTAAAATGCAGATTCTGATTCAGTAGCTCTGAGGTAGGTTCAAAATCCTGCATCTTAAACAAGCTCCCTGGTACTGCTGCTGGTCTGCAGACCATATGATGAGTGGTGAGGAACTTGATCAGGCCCTGAAATATTTTCCCTAAAACGGGAGTCACGTCTTCCTTTGTAGAGAGCCTATTTGGCCAGTGTTCAGCATGTGACAAACTATTCTCACCTCCTTGCTTGATATCTCTTTGCTTCAAAATATTTTGCTTGAACAGCTGATGACTCAGACTTGTGACCATTCACTTTGGTTTGCCCAGCAGGTCCTAGTTCATACCTATTGTTCTGGCATATTAATAATAATAATAGTTATTATTATTATTTCTTGAGACAGGGTGTCTATTGCCCAGGCTCAAGCAATCCTCGCACCTCAGCCTCACAAACAGCTGGGACTACAGGCATGTGCCACCATGTTTGGCTAATCTTTAAAATTTTTTGTAGAGACCAGGTCTCACTATATTGCCCAGGTTGGTCTTAACCTCCTGGGCTCGAGTGATCCTCGCATCTTGGCCACCAAAAGTGCTGGGATTACAGGTGTGAGCCACTGTGCCCAGCTCTGGTGTAATTATTAAAGGTTTCTCTGCAACTTGTACTCTTAGCAGTGTCTCCAGCTGGAAGATAAATTATAAAGTCACCCTTTCTAAATTCACAGATGTTGAGAAGTGATATAATGTACAGAACACAGGTTATATACCCAAAATCCTGTATAGCTTCATATCCTGGCTTCATTAGCCCATACTACATGTACAACCTCGAGCAAGTCAAGCCTCAATAATCTCATGTGTAACACAGAAGTGGCTTATCATGAGAATTTATAGAAATGATATAGAAAGTTTCTATTAATAGCACATTGGCTGGCGTGTAGTAGGCACCTATTTATTTAGATCCCTGTCTCTTTATGGGTCAATGAAGTGAACATCTACTCTGCTTTGAAATAGCAAAAGTAGAATGCCGCTATCAACTTAGGATCAGAAGCAGCTGCAGTATTAGAAGGATGGATTTGCTGCACTTGTATTTCACTGAAACCCTCATGAGCCTAATATGGAATCTATCTCTGAACCCAGTAGTCCTATGAGATTTCTATCTTATCATGTGCACTTCAGCTATGTTAATAGACCTAAATCTTGAATTAGAGAAATAAAGATATTAGTATTTATTGAGTTCCAACTGTGTATTAGACGGAGTTAGTTCCAAATTGGACCAGGCCACTATCATAGTTGAAGGACAAGATATAAACAAGTTCAATCCACTTATAAACAGAAATAATTAACAGACTTCCTGGGGGAATATCTATATCCAGTATTTTAGATCTAATCACCTCATAAAAGGATTTTGAGATGACTACGAACAAGAGGATATGGATGGGAAAAGATAAAACTTGGTTATAGTTTTATTGCAATAAAGTACCCATGAAAACACACCCAACAATGAAGCAAATTTGAACAAGATATAATCAATGATTGGCTCCTTGAATACGCCCCACCTAGCTATGCAGACTTGCCTGGGTGATTTCCTTAAACTTGCAGTAATTTTTTAAAAGAATTAGAATATTTGGGATACCATTTGAGTGTTACGGCAATGCTCTAATTTATTAGGAGCCTACTGGGCAGGTGTTCTTATTGAATATCCAAAATAACTTAATGGAATAAGTTGTACTATTATCTCCATTTTACAGATGAGGAAACTAAGACACAAAAAAATTAGTTTCATGCGAGGTCACTTTGAAAGTGAGAGAGAGAACTGAGATTCAAACTTGGATGTTTAACTCTGAGATCTTATTCTTAATCATCACATATCATTTCTCTGTGTTAATTAATATTTTCCATATTTTCAAAACAGCATTTTATTACACCATAATCTCATGTGGTCAAACTTGGGAACTTGGCCCAGGAGCATGGGCTATGTGAGATACATAGCCCATGTATTTAGGGCAAGTAGAAAAAATTAAATTAATTCATTTAACAATTTTACTGAAGTATAATTGAAGTACAATGTTTTAAAGTATAATTTTATCAGTTATGACAAATGCATACACTCATGAAACCATCACCATAACCAAGTTAATAATTATTTCTCTCTCCTAAAATTTTTTTCCCAACTCCTTTATAAATACACCCCTCCCTCTGCCAAGATTCACAGGCAACTACTGATCTGCTTTCTGTCACTATAGGTTCGTTTACATTTTTAAGAATTTCATATAAATAGAATAATATAGTATATGCTCCTTGGGGCCATGCTTCTTTCAGTCAGCATAATAACTCTGAGATTCTTCTGAAATCGTAATTTGTTGAGCATATTGGTAGTTTGTTCCTTTTTATTGCTGAGTAGTTTTGCATTATATGGATGTACCACAAATTGTGTTAATGGACATAGAAGCTGTTTTCAGTTTTTGGCGATAACAAATAAAGTTGCTATGAACATTTGTGTGTAAGTCTTAGTGTGGACATATGCTTTCATTTCCCTTGGGTAAAAACCTAGGAATATATATCCTATGATATATTTTATATAAATTTTATATATTTTATATTTTAAAGAACTTGCCAAACCATTTTCCAAAATAGTTGTGCTTTACATTCTCAGCAGCAATTGTCTACATCCTCATCAACACTTGGTATTGCCAGTTTAAAATGTATATATGTAAGATATATATTCTAGAATATAGAATATTCTTATGTATTCTAGAATATAGAATATTCTAATGTATTCTAGAATATTAGAATATATATAATAATCTAGAACATTAGAATATTAACATATATATTCTAGAATATATTAGAATATATAATATATATTCTAGAATATTCTGACATATAGAATATTAGAATATATGTAGGATATATGTTCTAGAATATTCTAACATAGAATATTAAAATATGTAGGATATATTCTAGAATATTAGAATATTCTAATATTAGAATATATATTCTAGAATATTAGAATATTCTAATATTAGAATATTCTAATATTAGAATATATATTCTAGAATATTCTAATATTAGAATATATATTCTAGAATATTCTAATATTAGAATATATATTCTAGAATATTCTAATATTAGAATATATATTCTAGAATATTCTAATATTAGAATATATATTCTAGAATATTCTAATATTAGAATATATATTCTAGAATATTCTAATATATAGAATATTAAAATATATAGGATATATATTCTAGAATAATAGGTGGATAGTAGTGTCTCGTTGTAGTTTTAATTTACACTTCTGATGACTAACAATATGAGCTCTTTTCATATGCTTCTGAGCCAACTATAGGTCCTTTTAGGTAAAGTATATAAATGTTTTACTTATTTTAAAAATTGGATTGTTTGTCTTCTTACTGTTGAGTGATAAAATTTTCAAATATATTTTCTGTGCAAGAACTTGTCTGATATATGTTTAGTAAATATTTTCCCAGGTCTGTGGCTTGCAGTTTTGTTTTCTTAGTGGTGTCTTTCAGATAGTAAAACACTTAAAATTTGGTCGAAGATCAGTTATTTTTTTTCTTTTATGGCTCATGCTTTTTGTGTTCTAGCCAAGAAATGTTTGCCTACCCCAAGATGTAATTCTCCTGCGCTTTTTGTAAAAAATTTTAGAGTTTTATGTTTCAAAGTTAGGACTATGATTACTTTGAGTTAATTTTTGTGGATGGTGTGAGGTAAAGGACCATATTAATTTTTTTTTCTGAACAATGTGTCCAACATCATTTGTTGAAAATCCTTTCCCCATCGAATTACCTTAGTATTTTTGTAAAAAAAACAAAAAACAACAAATCGACCATATGTATGTGGTTTATTTCTGTATTCTCTATTCTTTTCTATAAATTTATATGTCTGTCTTTTCACCAGTATCATACTGACTTTTATTTTATATTATTTTATTTATTATTTATTTATTTTTAGAGACACAGTCTCACTCTGTCACCCAGGCTGGAGTGCAGTGGTGCAATCATAGTTCATTGTAACCTTGAACTCCTGGGCTCAAGTTATCCTCCTTCTTTAGTCTCCTGAGTAGCTAGGAATACTGGCATGTACCACCTTGCCTGGCTAATTTAAAATAAAATTTTTTTTTCTGTAAAGACAGGGTCTTGCTATGTTGCCCAGGATGGTGTCAAACTCTTGGCCTCAAGTGATCCTCCTGCCTTGGCCTCCCAAAGTGCTGGAATTATAGGCATAAGCCACTGCACCCAGCCCATATTGCTTTTATTATCAGAGTTTTATAAAATATTTTTTGAAATCAGGTAAGTGTCCCAACCTTGTTCTTCTTTTAACAGAATGCTTGGGTCTTTTGTGTTTTCATATATATATATATATATATATATATATATATATATATATATATACACACACACACATATATATGAATATATATATGAATATATACGTATATATGAATATATACATGTATGTATATATGAATATATGTATATATATGAATATATATGTATATATGAATATATGTATATATATGAATATATATGTATATATGTATATATATGAATATATATGTATATATGTATATATATGAATATATATGTATATATGTATATATGTATATATATGAATATATATGTATATATGAATATATATGAATATATATGTATATATATGAATATATATGAATATATGTGTATATATATGAATATATATGTATATATATGAATATATGTATATATATATGAATATATATGTATATATGTATATATGAATATATATGTGTATATGAATATATATATGAATATATATGTGTATATGAATATATATGAATATATATGTGTATATGAATATATATGAATATATATGTGTATATGAATATATATATGAATATATATGTGTATATGAATATATATGAATATATATGTGTATATGAATATATATATGAATATATATGTGTATATGAATATATATATGAATGTATGTATATATATGAATATATATGAATATATATGTACATATATGTATATATATATGAATATATATGAATATATATGTACATATATGAATATATATATGAATATATATGTACATATATGAATATATATGAATATATATATGTGTGTGTGTGTGTGTGTGTGTGTGTTTTCATATACATACATATATATATGTATTAGAATCAGCATTTCAATTCCTAAAAAATTGACAGTGCATTGAAACTATAGATCACCTTGGGGAAAATCATCAACTTAATAATATTGAATGTGATAGTTATTTTTGTTTCAGCTTGACTGGTTTAAGGGATGCCCAGATAGCTGGTAAACAACATCATTTCTAGATGTATTTGTGATGGTGTTTCTGGAAGAGATTAGTGTTTGAAACAGTAGACTGAGTATAGAAGATCCACGCTGCCAACACTGGTAGGCATCATGCAATCCATTGAGGGAGCGAATAGAACCAAAAGGTGGAGGAAGGTGAATTCTCTCTCTCCTTGACCTAGGATACCCATTTTCTTTGGCCCTTGGATATTGAAGCTTGGGTTCTTGCGCTTTTGGATTCTGGGACTTATACCAGGGCCATCACCCTTCCTCTGGTTCTCAGACCTTCAGGCTCAGACTGAATTACACCAATGATTTTCCTGGTTTTTCAGCTTGTAGACAGCATATCATGAGAATTCTTAGCCTCCATACTTAAGTGAGCCAATTCCCATGGTAAATCTCCTCTTATATATGTCCTCTGGAGAATGCTGACTAATACACTGAGTCTTTAAATCTACGAATGTGGTCTATCTTCCCTTTTATTTAGGTTTTCTTTACTTTCTCTCAGCAGTATTCCATAGTTTTTGGTGTAGACACATTTGACTTGCTTAAAACAATTTTTTTATTGCTATTGTAAATGGAATTTTTTTAAAGTTCAGTTTTGAATTGTTGCTGCTTATATACTGGAATACGATGGCTTAAAAATATCGTCCGTGTACCTTACTAAACTTATTTATTAGTTCTAGTAATTATTTTGTGGATTCCCTGAGATTTCCTACATAAATAATTCTATTGCCTGTAAATATTATTTTACTTTCTTATTGATCTTTATTCTTATTATTTCTTTCCCATCTTTTTCATTTTACTTCCCTCTCCCTCTTTTAAAAAATATTACAGTGGTTTAGACTCCCAGTATAATATTGAACAGAAGCAGTGAAAGCAGGTCCCCTTGAATTGTTACCAATCTTAGGGTGCCAATGTCAAGTATGATGTTAGCTGTAGGTTTTGCATGGATGACTATTGTCAATTTGAGAAAATTTCCAAATATTTTTAGTTTGCTGAGAGTTTTAAAAAAAAATCACAAATGAGTGCTAAATTTTGTCAAATGTCTTTTCCCCATCTATTAAAATGATAATATGAATATTCTCCTTTGATCTGTTAATGAGTGAATTATATTTGATTGGTGTTCAAATGCTAAAACCAACATTAGTTCCTTGGAATAAATTCTACACAGTTATGATGTATTGTCTGTATATTGTTAAACACAGTGTAATAATATTTTGTTAAGGATTCTTGAATCTACCTTTCCCCTTACTTTCCTTCTATATTTTTGTTTTTGAGAGGTTTTAGTTTATTCAGTGGGAGGGATGCCCTGGAATGGGCCTTTGGTGCTACATACTGGAAGCAAAATGTGTACTTTTTTAAAAAAGTAAAATATTTAAAAATGATTCTGTAGGTAAATGTGGGTTGCTTATTGGCCAATGTTGCCAGCTAATTCCCTTAAATATTGAGGGAGAATAAACTTTTTACAAAATGTAATATAAAATTCTTCATTTATATGTCTAGTAGGATTCCAGTAGGACCATCCACTTCCCTTTATAAGTGTTTAGAACAAAAGACTTGTGCAGTCAGATTGTAATATGCTTTAGGAAGGTAGACGTTTTTGTTGCTAGTTCATTATTTTATGACTAAGGAATTTTGAGATATATAAACTCTTCAACTTCCCAATTTGGGCTGTATTCTTATAAGGTATCAATTCCAGATTAGCACAGAAACTTCGTCTGCAATGAAAATTTGCTAAGCAAGTTGAAGTTCATTCAGTGCTAGCATGCTTGAGGAATTATGAAACATCAGACTGTGTTGCTACTGGAGATGGGGGTGGGGTTGTCTGAAGATTTTACTTAAGGTTAAATGAAGTTTTTGGACTTTCAGATAATTATTCGAATCAGAGATAAAGATATCAGCTAGAGAACCTTGTGTGCCTCCTTGTACACTGTTGAAAGAGAAGTCTGAAGAAATGTGAGCGTTTCGGCTAAGGTGCCAAAGCCTAGTCAAGGAAATCAGGAAGTGTAGGGGAAAATGCATGGACTTTTGAATCAGATGAATGTGGATGGTATTACTGGGCTTTATCCCTTACAGGCCATGTTTTCGTTTTGGAGACTTCAACTTTTGAGCCTCAGTGTTCTTAATATCTACTTACAAAGATCTCTGTGAAAATTAAATAAAAATATATGGAAAGCCCTTTGCATATAGTAGCAATGAAATAGATGCTAATTCCTTTTTTTATAGGTCAGTATTTAAAATATTGAAACAGTATATTCACCGTTTTTTGAAAATTACTTTTAAAAAGCCAGATTTTTTTTGACAGATCATTTTTCTTCTATGTATGTTGTTATTTAAGCAGCATTCTTAGTCTCTCTCTCTCTAGACTGGAAGCTCCAGGAAGACAACAAACTTGTTTATCCGGCTTATGGTTGTATTCCCAGATATTAGCAGAGAAATTGGTACATCATAAGCAATGATGTTTATTCCCTGAGTGATGAAATGTTGTTTGCAAGTCGTTCCTATACAACTGTTGGTCTCTGGAAAGCTTCTTAATTGCTTATTTTTCCCCAAGAGAGTCCAAGATACCAGAGTGCATTGCAGTCAGCAAAGGCTACAAAAATGAAAAAACACACAGATGGCCAGAGGTGGTCCAACTCATTCTTCTTTACTCCAAAAAAATAACTCCCCAAATAGAATATTTTCGAAATTTAGGGATAGGGATATTTTGCCTTGTGGGGTGGCTAATAGTTAAGCCAAAAAAAAAAAAAAAGTCTTGGTTATGAATGTTGTGGCTATCAGCTTTTTTTTTATTTGCTTGACAAAGAATTCCTTTCTTTACTATAAATTTCTTGACTGTTTAACATTATAAGAATACCTGATGTACAATACAATTAAAGCTAAAGCCCCTTCTGAAAAGTTGATAGCTATTGAGATTCTGACTATTTAAAACATTCAAAAGAGGCTTTAAGTGATCACATGTAAATTAGATCTCTACAGAGGTGACACGAGAATAAAAAACTGCTTATGTACAGTGATTGAAACCCAGCAGTCTCCTTTGAGAGGCACAGAGAGATGATGATGGTGGTTAGTGTAGCTAGCTGGTTTCTTGACTAGCATGTTAAGCCAATTAATAAAGGTACACCTGGCATCTGAGTATTTTCCTTCCAATTTTTTTCTTTCGAGAACAAGTATGTTTAAGAAAGCTAGAAAGAAAGAAAAAAAAAGGGAAAGAAAAAGCAAGGCAGCTCATTTTATTTTATTTTTTTCATGATTTGTTCTTAAAGTTTTCTTTTTAGAAAATAAATGCAAGAATGTTTTTGGAACCATCTGAAAAATGTGTGTTTCTATTTCCAGTAGGACTTGAACCAGGACTGAGATAATTTTAAGTTTAACTGACAGCTCTTAAGCAGAAATGCTAAACCTTCAAATCCTCAGTCCTCTCTGCAACTGGAGTTTTCTTTAAGATTGTCAAATAAATATGTTTGGGGAAGATGGTAATTAAGTGTGAACAGATGGTTGTTTTTAGCTGAGATATTAAGTCTCAGTGTTTAATAGAATGATTTGCCCTGTTGGAATCAGTGGGTGTGATGTAGTTTACTGGCTGGCAAGACATCAAGTTTGTCAAAGCTAATTGGGAACCATGATAGAGATTCAAATTCCTTATATGGTTTTTAGGACTGGGGAAGTGTTAGAGGAAGATTACGACACTGCTACTCCATGCCAAAACGTTACACTACGGCTCTGCAGACTGAAGATTGCCTCACAAGCAGAAATATACTCTTTCCAACAAACACTGGTGGAATGAAAAGGACATTGGATTCCTGCTTCCAGTTACTGCTTGCCCTTCCCTGACTTTGTGACCTGAGGCAAGTCCCCAAATCCCTCTGGGCCCCAGTATCCTCATTTTTCAAATGGAGGAGGGTTAGAATTAAGATGCAATCATGCATCCAGTTGTTTTCCAAAGCATTGTCCAGCTAGGGAAGTGGTAGCACGTGGTGACTGAGAGCTTCCCCGATCCTTTTAGATCAAAGAACACTTCTATGCCTTTGTGCAACTGGTGTGCTGTGGGTACAGGTACTTTTACATCCTCTAGTTAGTGAGTGCAAAGTACTCTTGGAAGCTCCCAAGCACTCAAGGTTTCAATCTGCATTCTTCTCCTCTATATGCACTTTATATTTCAGGTTTTATAGTTTGAGGATTTGAAAGGTAAGAAAAGTGTGAGCTACAGATTTTGGAAGAATCCAGGAGCTGAGCTCATAGCTAAGAACATGTCAGGGGTGTTAAGCAGCTCTGAAGTATGTAACAAAGGCCATTTAGGTCTCAGGAGGCTGCCACCAGAACACTACCCGCCCCTCTAGCCCATGCCAGCCAGGTGGGGGACAGGTGGAAAGATGGAGATGTGGACAGCATCAGAGATTTTTCAGCTTTCATATGCCACATACTCATGCTATGTTTATGCACACACACACATACACATGCACACACACGATTTAAATAAAGGTTTTCACTGAAAATCTTGTGGTTAGATTGTGCCTTAAAGTTTTTGGTTAGCCCAAGGGATAGATGCTGTTGTGAGGGCAATTTCACAGCAAAGAAAATATTTAATGAAACTCCTTACCTGGGGAGCCCATAGAAAGAAGGGGATATGACCTCAACACTCTAAAATATAAAACTTTACTCTTCAGAAACAATTATCTTATTTCACTGAAGGAGAAGGCAGGCCATGTCTTCACAAGCCCAGGGTTTGCCAAGTGGATAAATTCCCTGGGAAAATGGTGCTTCTGATCATTTTTGTCCCCAGTGTCTAAGGCTTATTATTGTGAAGTATACATTCCCGGCAAGCATTGTCAGGAGCTAGGTCTGTTGTTTAATAAATGAACACTCATGGACTTGGAAGCAGATGGCAGCTCCCCTGAGAGGAAGTGGGAGATTTGGGAGAGGACAGCAGCACTGCCTCACTCACAATCCCTTATTTTGGCGGAGGAAAGTAAGGGCTCTTCAGGGTATGTTTCTACCTTCTCATGGCTGAAATCCGATGAGGCATTGGACCTCCTCACGCAGAGTCTTTGGATGCTTCTGTCTGAGCCTGAGCAGTGGGCCAGATGGACTATCGGTCTGCCTCAGGTGGTGTTTCTTATGGTTTCAATTAGACCTGAATCTATCAAGTGCATTGCAAATGCCCAGAATGGGGCAAGGACAAGCCACCTTTCCAGGAGGCATTTTCTGTCCTCATAATCAATGTCAAAACACTTCTTGCCTTGTATACAATCCATCTGGCTGGTAACTGAGCCCAAAACTTAGAAGTTCCTCTTAGTTTACTTTAGAGAAAGATTTCTCCATTCTACACCCTGTTAGTCTGTCCATGGGGCTGCACGGTAGCTTAGGTTATGGGAGGGATTGCAAAGATTTTCCATTTGGAAATCTGAGATGATTGGAAAAATGAATGGAAAAAAATCAGGCTTCCAGAATTTCATTTCTACCAAACAATCATCTATGTAAATTATTCCCTGTGACTACGTGTCCAATGTATCAAAAGCATCCAGATATGGTATGGAAACAGGATTGACAATCTTACCAGTTAAAAATAGATATAGATAAAATGTATGTTTTATCTGTATATCTCATGATGTGCTCTTTTATTGAGATTATCTTAAATAATTACATATTGTAATGACTAAACAACAAAACCAAAAGCTGGGTGTGGCAGAAAGCACCTATAGTCCCAGCTATTTGGGAGACTGAAGCGGGAAGATTGTTTGAGTTCAGGAGCTTGAGACCAGCCTGAGCAATATAGCAAGACCTCCATCTAAAGGTAAATAAATAAAATGAAATAAAAGAAAATAAAATAATAAATTTAAAAATTAAAAAAACAGTTAAAACTTTAGTTTGAAACATACACAGGTCCACTGTCATCTTTACTCATGGTTGCTGATGTTCTAATTTTCACATATATTCCATGACTGCATCCTTTGTGTCTTTCAATCTCGTATCAAATGTCCCTCCTCAGAGGTCTTTCTGACTACTTTAACAAAACCCCCAGCTAAAAAATCTTCACCTCTAGTCCAGAGAACAACTGGACAATTACGGCAGAAGACCACAGTGTGTGTCTTTTATTCCTTTATTCTTAAAATAACAGAATGCTCCAATTTGTAGCCAGATACTCAACTGCTCAAATAGATACTACACTTCCCAGATGGCCTTGTAATTGTTGTGGTCACGTGACTAAGTTTGGGCCAATGGGAAGTGAGAGGAATGAAAACACAACACTTATAGTCATCTTCTTATTGATGCACCGTGTGTCCTGGTCATCCTTTCTTGCTTTCCCACAGGCTGGAATGTAGACATGGTGCATGTGAATTGCTCCAGATGAGTGCACTGGATGAGTATACCACTCTGGGAGATGAACAGGGAGACGGATAGCACCTTGGTCCTTGGGGACCCCTGTAGATGCAGCACCTTCCACCCCTGGACAGGTCACCTTTAGGAGCAAAAAAAATACACTTTTATCTTCTTTAAGCACCGTATTTTCAATCTCTCTGTTACTGAAATTCAGGTGTACCCTAAACAATACATTCTCTATCACATCTATTTCATTTTCTTCATAATAGTTACCCCTATATTTATTTCTCTCATTGATCTGTTTATTTGTTTATTGTCTATCATCTTTCACTGAAATAGATTCCACTAGGACAGAAATTTTGTGTTAACTTCTGCATCCCCAGCAGCTAGAACAGTGCCTGACACATAATAGGTGCTCAATAAATAGTTATGAATTAATGAAGGACTTTAAGGCATATCTGTTATGGGTTATGAGAGAGCCCATGAGACTTCTTGGAGTAGATTCTCAGCAGCTTTATTAACCATGGGGGTTTTACTAACCTCTGGGAGGCCACAGAGGAGCAGGATGCCATGGTAACTCTTATTTACTCATCATGCCTGTTCTGGGAGCTTTTTATATTCTAATGGTTGACCTGGTCATTATTTTATTTTTATCTGGTTTGTTCTAAGAACTACCTCTAATGTTTATGTGGTGAGATACCAGAGCAGTGGTATCCCGCTGGTCATTCATTCCACACATATTTATCGAGGGCCTGTTATCTGCCAGGTGAACTGGTTGGGGGAGGTGTGCCATTTTATTCTAACATCAGGACCAATGTCAACACGTTAAATGTACGAAAAGAGGGTTCATATTAGTTCACACTTGACAAATCACAGAGTCATACGAATGAGGAACTTAGCCAAGAATGATATTTACAACTAAATCTGTAAGGAGGGGAGTCCACAGAGGAGCAGGATGCCATGGTAACTCTTATTTACCCAACACACCTGTTCTGGGAGCTTTTTATATTCTAGGGAGAGATGCATTCTCTCTCACAATGAATCAGGGACACGATCTGACTCCTATAAGGGCCATATTCAAAAAGTGGTGAGATATTTTATATCTGGACTTTACTGACTAGTGAAAGTAAAATCTTTTAAACTGAGTTTCACCATAATTGGTAATGGGAATAATTAAGCAGGCGAGAATTTATTCAACTCTGGTTTTTTTTTTTTTTTTTTTTTTGAGATAGGGTCTCCAGGCTTGAATGTAGTGGCGTGATCATTGCACTGCTCACTGCAGCCTCGACACCTCCAAACTCAGGTGATCCTTCCATCTCAGCCTCCTGAGTAGCTGGGATTACAGGCGCACACCACCAAGCCCAGGTAATTTTTGTATTTTTTGTAGAGACGGCGTTTCACCATGTTGCCCAGGCTGGTCTCGAACTGCTGGGCTCAAGGAATCCACCTGTCTTGGCCTCCCACAGTGCTGGGATTACAGGCATGAGCCACCAACTTTGAATAAAAAATATTGCTGGGAGAAAATTAGGAAAGGCAGACTGAGGTTTTTGGTTGAGGAAAATTCCACTTGATTTTAGGGGAAATGATTCATTTTAGAGTAGGTTCTAGATTATAGTGGTCCTCAAATCTTGCTGTGTGTAAGAATGTGCTTAACTCTAGAAAGTAATAATTGCATCATAGGCATTTATTTTTTTAAACTTAAAAGCCTAGAATTTTCCTAGGAAGAAAATAGGAGACATTTCAGGGTAATTTGGTGTGGGTGTATATACTCTCAACAGAAAACCAGTGTTTGTGAATATCATGCCTCAGCACCGTCACTTTAAAAACCTGTCCAGATGTCACTATAAACTTGGAAATGCACAGTTCTGAGTTTTCATGTTTGAAATGTAAAATGTAAACTTTGGTCAATATCCAGGCTTGTTTTCTACTATTCTAATAATGAGAGAATTAATGGCAAGGCCTGTACTTTCAGGAAAGGATAGAACTACAGGTTAACAACTAGAAAGTCTTGATATCTTTAGCCCAAAGTTTACTTTTGAATGAAAGTCTTTACACTGACTGGTTGTGTTTGGTTTATTTAGTTAGCTTTATATGGTGTGTGTATGTTAGGTTGAGGGGTTGTTAACCACCTCCTTAATGGTCTGCTTTTACTCCATGTGTCTCCTGTCACAGGTAATGGAAAACAAGTAGAATAGGTGACCTCTTAATTTTGAATTTTTTCATGAGAAGTGTTTGCAGAGTTATTACCTCAGTTTATAACCTACCTGGTCATTATTTTATTTTTATCTGGTTTGTTCTAAGAACTGCCTCCAATGTTTATATATTCATGCTTAAACACACTGAGAGTGAGACACCATAAAAGTTGGTCAAATTTTTGCAGAGTCCTTATTTTATGTGTTTTATGCACCTCTACTTTAGGTAATTATAGGGATTGCATTTACAGAGTCTGGTATAATACCATGAAAACAGGCTTATTTCAAACACTAGCTATGTCAGTTGGAAAGCCAGCATCATTTGCCTTGAAAAAGCTTTTTGACAACACATAGGCATTCTTTTAAAACCACACCGAGGCATTTTGTTTCAGATACTTATGTTGTGTTTTGCGTTTCTGAAATCTAGCACCTCTGCGTATTTGAAAATAATGGGACATCTTTTATTGGATTTTGGAAAATTGTTTCCCATGGGATTCCAACCTCACTACCAAATGAGTAAAAGCTTGGTTAAGGACTCTTCCATATATTCTCCTCCTTTAGAAGAGATCAGATGGTGATGAGAAGTACAGAACGGACTATTTTAAAATTGGACTGAAGGAGAAAAAAACAAGTTTGTTAGTTTCATTCCCCATTCTAGTTATTAGAACCAAGTTAAACACCCACAATCTTAAAGAAAATCCTTGAAGGTTTTAATTAAATATTTTACACATTTAAAGTCTTGTAATGGTACTTTAAGTGTCACTGTAGCATGTGAAAGGCTTTGTATAGACAGGTAAAATTTCCATTTCTGAGTGATGAAATGTGATATCACCCCTTCAACTTTAACTTGAAGTTAAAACTGTCAGATTTTTTTTTTTTTTATAATTTAAGGAAGGTAAAGTTAGGGGACTAGAAGACTTCTAAATTGTCTTCTACAGAGCCAAGGATTTAAATGTAACTAGTTTGTTGTGATTTTACAGTTAAAATTATATTTGTGTGTATATATAACTTATCTGTAAAGTGTAATAAATACATTTGCAATTAAAAAAAAAAGAATGTGCTTAAAATGCAGATGTTTGCACTCACCCCTGGAGAACAGATTTAGTGAGTTCAGGGCTGGGGGTAGAAAACTGCTTTTAAATAAGCTTCCCAAGTGATCTCTGAGCAAGTCATTCTTGGATTACACCTTGAGAAGCACTGTCTTAGAAAAACCACCCCATTAGCTGGAAGCCTCTGATGGGACTGCAGAGACCCATGGCAGGGTTTTAGAAGCTCCCTGGCACAAGCTTTCAGAGGACAAGCAGCTGCTTTAGTTTTCCATCCCTCATTAATAGAATCTGGAGCCTACAGTAGCTGGCATGCAATTTAGAACTATTTTAAACAAAAGAAAACAAATGATGTGCAGCTGGAAACTGCTACCTTGCAACATAAATTCTGCTGCAATTTGTTTTCAATTTCTTGCAGATGTGGCACAGCAATGTGATTGCACTTTCTAAAGTCCATAGTGCTAGAGTGGCGACCTACAAGAATCTGACAAGGCCAACCTGCTCTGGGGAATATGTGACCACATAATTTTTTTCTTAAAGTTATGAACATGTAAATATTCAACATGACCAAAGCTGAGTGTTTCAGCATTTTATTTCAGTAGATCCTTTATATTTCTCTGACTGTAGGACAAAATCATCCCTGAATAGACTATGTGTTTTTATTTCTCTTCATAGGCAATATTATAGCCACCGTGTTGTATTAAAATTACACGACAGCAGCTTTACCTTTCTGACACTTGTTTGCTATATAGTGACACATGCATGTGCAGAAATCTGCAGAGAATGGCTGTGGCTGATTTGTAAAGCCTTTGGAGCCTCCAATCTTTGCCTTTGCTTTACCTGTGGAGCTGCTGAATACACCCCTGTGGACATATTTATGGAGTGTTTCCTCAAAATTCATAGACTACATCATAATTCCTTGGGTGGTGGTATGGATTGAATATTTGTGTCCCTCCAAAATTCATGCTGAAACCTAATCCCCATTGTGGTGGTAATAAAAGGTGGGTCTTAGAAGGTGATTAGGTCATGAGGGCTCTGCCCTCATGGATGGGATCAATACCCTTATAAAAGAGGATTGAGGAGGCCTGCTTGCCCCTTCTGTCATGTGAGGACACATATAAGTTGCCATCTATGAGAAATGGGCTTCACTAGACATTACATTTGCTGATAACTTGATTTTGGACTCGCCAGCCTTCAGACCTGTGAGCAATAAATTTCTATTGTTTTTCAATTGCCTAAAGTATTTTGTTACAGCAACCTGAACGAACTAAGGCAGGCTGTGTTTATTTGTAGTGCAGCTTTCTGAGCTTCAAAATGCAGACATTTTGTTTCAGGCCTAGAGTAGGGTTAAAGAATGAGCATGTTGGCTGGGCATGGTGGCTCATGTCTGTAATCCCAGCACTTTGGGAGGCCGAGGTGGGTGGATCACCTGAGGTCAGGAGTTCGAGACCAGTCTGAACATTATGGTGAAACCCTGTCCCTACTTAAAAAAAAAAAAAAATACAACAATTAGCCGGGCATGGTGGTGTGCACCTGTAGTCCCAGCTACCGGGGAGGCTGAGACAGCAGAATTGCTTGACCTGGGAAGCAGAGGTTGCAGTGAGCTGAGATTGTGCCACTGCACTCCAGCCTGGGCAACAGAGTGAGACTCTGTCTCCAAAAAAAAAAAAAAAAAAAAAAAAATTAGCTTGTTAAACAATGCCCATAGATGATTCTGAGACAAATAGTCCACGGATCCCAGTTTGAGTTGACGACTGGATTAGCACAATAGGAAAATGGAAAGATGTAGGAATTGTAGTCTCTGCAATTGACACACACAAACAGAGGCAAGAAGGCAATGACATTCATTACATGCAAGTGATCGAAGAACCCCTAATAATGGCTAACATTCACCGGATGCATGCATTAACTGATTTAATCCTTAGAGCTAGGTTCTGTTACTATCTCCATTTATAATGAAGGCATTGAGGCAGAGAGATGTTAATTATCTTGCATAGAATCACAGAGCTATTAAGTAACAGGGTTACATTTATTTAGGCAGGTCTGCCCCCAAAGTACTTATTCTAACTCTGACACCATACAGCTTCCAGCTAGTGTGCTTTGCTTTCAAAATCCAGATGTGTCAAGTATATACATTGGTGCTTGTTTAGTGTATGTGTGTATATGTATTATGATAATTCATGTGGCAAAAGCATTTTCTCAGAGTTTTCCTTTAAAAAATGCATTATTTTTTAATCCAGAGAATCAATTTATAACAATGCATTTGTATTTTAACAAGCAAACATATGCTATAGTAAATTCCAGCCAGGTACTATACTTAAGCACTGGGAATATAGAGATAAAGACCCGTGGGGAGCTTACAGTGTAATGGGAAAGAGAGAGCTGATCACAGTCCAGGACAATAGACTGGGCAGTCTACAGTTTGGTATTGGTGACTAGTATGGTGGAGAGCAGCTCAGCTTTAGCAGAAGTGCAGGGCAGTGGCTGGAGGTGTGTGGGGGGAAGGGGTCACGAAGCCCAACCACGACTGGACTCAGATTAAAATGATTTAGGGGACTTCACGGAAGAAGTAAGACCCATGGGGCCTTTGAAGAATATATTAGAGAGTCCATGAAAATCGAAGTGGCTGCCATGTGCTCTATCCTCCTTGGATGGCACTTAGATTTCCATACAGCCTTTCCACGCTTCATGCCACGTGACTTTGTAACCCTGGCCACAACTGCCTAGACCAGGGATTACTGCCAAACTCAAGGGCAACTGTTTAGAAAGAAGGTGAAAATCAATCCATTTGTTTGGGGAGTATGAGTGGAAGATGTACCTTGGAAGCAATAGCCAACTGTGTTTGAGGCAGCAAGATGTTAAGGGCACTGCTGTCCCAAGCATGATCCATGAGTCTGGGCCAAACTAGGAACTGTTTGTTACAGGTATTTGAAAAGGCAAGTACTGAAACAGAAATGAAGAGTTTAGAAATTTTTGTAGTGATTGAGCATTGTCAGAACATCCAAGCACATGGCTAATAGCTATATTAGGGATCTGTTGACGCAAAAGAATTTATCCCAAAACGTAGTGGCTTTAAACAACAATGAACTTATGATTTCACACAATCTCTGTAGTTCAGGAATTCAGGATCTGCTTAGTTGGTTGTTTCTGGCTAAGGATCTCTTCTGAGATTTCAGTCAAGTCGCTGGCTGGGACTGCAGCCATCTGAAGGGTAGGTTGAGGTGAGGGGCTGGGGCAGAGGGGATGTTCACTTTCAAGGTGACTCATTCAGATGCCAGATGGTGGGAGACCTCAGTGCTTTTCTACATAGACCCTTCCATTAAGGTGCATGAGTATTCTCACAATATGATGGCTGACTTTTCCAGAGTGAGTAATGTGAGACAGAGAGAGAGAGAGAGAGAGAGAGAGAGAGAGAGAGAGAGAGAGAGAGAGAACAAGAAAGAGGCTAGAGTGCTTTTTTTTTTTTTTTTTCCTGAGACGGAGTCTCGCTCTGTCGCCCAGGCTGGAGTGCAGTGGCGCAATCTCAGCTCACTGCAAACTCCGCCTCCCGGGTTCATGCCATTCTCCTGCCTCACTAGCCTCAGAAGTCATGCACAGTGGCTTCTGTCATATTCCATTTGTTAGAAGCAAGGAACTAAGTGCAGTCGCCACTCAAGGGGAAGGAAGTTTGTCTCCACCTTTTGAAGAGAGGAGTGTCAAAAAAATTGTGGACATATTTTAATGCCAACACAAAATATTTGTTTTGTTGAGCAAGGTCTAGACAAATTCGTGTGTTGTGGAACTTGCACAATGAGACACGTGGTGTGACTATGAAGTAGTCATGGGCATATGGACCACTTATTACTCTACAAAAGTTGAGAAAATTTAAGAAGTGGTCCCTAAAAAAACAAAAACAAATGAAAAAAAGAGAAGTGTCCTTCATCAGGGAGTGGTTTAGAAGCACTAGCCTTGAATCCTTAAGCCATAGTCTCCTACATTTTTACTCCGAAACCAAAAGAATTTTGAAAATCTACGCACCCTCCCTTACACATTTTAAAGTTAACATCAGAAAAATTGTACTATAAGTTGAAAACATATTAAAGAATATATTTCTGATATATAACAAATACTGACATTTGAAAGCAAATGATTACACTTCTCTTTTAAATGTCTTCAGTGGAATCTAAGTAACACAATTATTTGATATTCATTATCTCCAGTTAAAAACACATGAATAAGCCTTTTTAACTTTTGGTAATTGTATCTTTTTTCTCTTTAACTTAGTTTTCCACTTCACCCAGAAAATATTATCTTATTAAAAACTATTTTTTACTGAAAACCTTTTCCCCATAACCCTATCATAGTTCTCTGCCAGAAAAATATGTATATAAATTGAAATCATAGGATTACTTTTATTTTCTGTAGTTGAAAGCTCTCCATGTTAAAATTTTGGTCTGAATTCAGTTATAACAAGTATTATTAGTATACAATTGATCAAAATACTATGAACATAAATACTGATAAATAACTACTAAAGAAAAAGCAAAGTTTTATTGGAATTGCATATGTAAATGAGATGAGTAGTGCTTTTACTCTTTTTAGCTTGTGACTTCATTGGATGAAAATGACTTACTGCCAGAGTTTAGCATTAATTTTGTACCTATTTTTCATTTTTATGAATGTCTGTGCTAAGAAATCTTGTTCTTATAAACAGGTAGGTGTTAATATAAGTTTTCTTATTGTAATATCATCCAAATCTTTTGACTGCTTCTGGCTTATATAACCAAAATTGCATAAGGATACATCCCCATGTAGCTATAAAATTAAAAATTGTTTTTAATGATCTAGTAGCCGATAACTCAGGTTTAATTTTGTTGAAAGCAAAAAATTTAAAACAACCCTGTCTATCAAAGGGATGTGTTATGCAGTCAGTAGAATTATTCATTTTTTGGTTTCTGGGAAAATATTAAAAAATCATGCTTATCCTTGAAGTCTTCATCTAGTATGAAATGACTATTAATTTTATCTGGTACTCTTAAAGGCATTCCTTTTAATCCAATATGTTTAGAAAGTGTTGGAAAATAGAAATATTGTTCATTTCAATACAATTTTACCAATATAGTATTTTTTCAAATGCTTTTGACTTCTCACATGTTTTAGAAATATAGAATGAAAACATTTAGTTTATTCAATTTATGAAACACATCTTCCATTTGCCCTAATTGCCAAAGGTAGTTCCCTTTGTTAAATAAATTAACCAATTTGGACTTACTTTATGTTATAAAAAGTTATATTTCATTTTTATTACAATACAGTGATAAATTTATTGTATTTCATATTTTATAAAGTATACCAAACAATAAATTATATATTTATCATGTAGATGACAAATATCATGTCAAGATTAAACTGCTGTAGGTCACTATAGTTTCTATCTTATAAGAAAAAGATAAATCAATATTCTGTTTCACGTTAATTTATTATAAAGCAAGATAATGTTTAGCCAAATTTATTACATTTTTAAGGAAGTAATAAATATGATAGAAAGCAGGAAATTCCTTCTGTGTATGGATATGTATTGAAGCTTTTTCTCATTATATTTTTAATTCCCTCTTATTTTTTAAAATATTAAAACCATATTTATATGTTGTATTATAATTCTACTAGGTAATGAATTTGCATATCTCATCCTGTTTTATTTTTCTCTGACTCTTACTCATGGTGTCTTACTTCTATTTCTGTTTTGTGATTTTTTATTGTAAGCTCATATTGGCTGTAATTCTATCAGTGGGAAATTTTTGAGGCTGGATTTGGGCATACATTCTTCTAGGAAGGATTTTTGTTGCTTCTGCAAGGTACCTATGGGCATTAAATCTGAGTCCATTTTAAATTAGGCATTAAAGCATGGTCCATCTTAAATTGTACGTCTCTATTTTTAATTTTCAGAATTATTGCAAATAGTATAGATCTAACATGTATATGAAGGCTGGCTTGTGTCCATGTATTCACTGGGGACAAAAAAAAAAAAAAACAAAACCGGCCGGGCGCGGTGGCTCACGTCTGTAATCCCAGCACTTTGGGAAGCCGAGGCGGGCGGATCACGAGGTCAGGAGATCGAGACTATCCTTGCTAACGTTGTGAAACCCCGTCTCTACTAAAAATACAAAAAATTAGCCGGGCGCAGTGGCAGGTGCCTGTAGTCGCATCTACTCCGGAGGCTGAGGCAGGAGAATGGCGTGAATCCGGGAGGCGGAGCTTGCAGTGAGCCGAGATTGCACCACTGCACTCCGGCACAGGCGACAGAGCGAGACTCCGTCTCAAAAACAAAACAAAACAAAACTCCCCTCACCTCCAGGTCCTAGGCAATATTCCTTATTGTCTGCTTGTGCATGAAGGGGTCTTCCACCTTGTTCCACCTTTCTCTGAAGGCATATTTCTTCCTGGGTCTCACTTTTTGTATATAGTAATCTTACTTATGGCGCCTCTTCCTGCCCTGTTTGAAGGCTGTTTTTTTTTTTCAGCGCCCTCTACAGGCCAAAGACCTAATTCCTCTGGATTCATACACCTACCCAGACTGCCCATAGTTTCAATTCTCAATTGTCTATCTGGTCTGTTGTTCCTGATCTTAGTGAATTTTCCTTTCATTCTTACAGATTTGTGTAACAATTTGGAATAAACTTTAAAAAATTATTTTATAGAAAATATATATTATCTAGCACCCTTGTATGTCAGGATCCCTACTATGCTGTATTGCCAGAACCAGAAATCTTAGATGTAAATTTTGTCCATGTTTAGACAGTAGCAAGTGTTACCATGAATAGTTTGACTAGTGGATTTTATTTTGCATTTTTAGATTTTTATGTACAACTTTCCTCAATAGCCTGGTTAAAATATCCTTAGGAAGAAAATAGAAAAAAGATTCCTGGAAGTACAAAATGATGCGTTGAAAACTTTCTGATTTGGACTTAGGCCAATTATTTTAGTCCTAACTTCCTGTCTGCAGTGAATGGTCCAGGGATGGGGATGTGATTTAAGCAGGCCAAGCCGAGTCCTTCTGTGGGATTTTAGAAAGAACACTAGGAAAGAGAAAAATATTCTCCTTTTCTTGCATCTTGAACTGCAAGGATGGGCTTTTCAATCTGCAGGTGATTGCATCCTTTGAAAGCCTGTTTGCATAGCAGACAATGAAGCTGAGCAGAGAAAAACAAGATGAGAGACAGATGGAGTAGGAGACCTGAGAAGATGGCTTGAGTCCATGAATTCTGGTGTTCCCTAGGCCACATTTGCCCCCATCCTTCCCAGGTATGTGAATCAATAACAACTTCCTCCATTTATTTGTTTATAATTTTTTTTCGCTTAAGCTGTTTTGAATTGAATTTCTGTGACTTGTAATAAAAAAGCCCTAACCAGTAGAGCTCACAGTCAAAATATAGAAAGGGGCATCTGCCTGTAGTCCCAGCTACTTGGGAGGCTGAGGTGGGAGGATTGGCTGAGTTTGGGAGGTCGAGGCTGCAGTGAGCTACGATTGCACTACTGCACTCCAGCCTGAGCGACAGAGTGAGACCCTGTCTTTATAAAAATCACCAAAAAGAAAAAAAAAAAAGAGAACCAGATAGAGTGATATGCAGTGGTGGGTTAAGTGCTAACAGAGGTATTGGGAAAGGCCTGTGGAAACAACTAGCCAGACGAGAGATTGGGGCTGATGATACCATTTGATATAGTCTTGAAAGAAGACTCAGAGAGCTCCATACAGAATGCGAAGGCAGACTCTGAAGGCAGAGAAAACAATTGAGACAAAGGACTCAAAATGTAGAATGGTATGATATATAAAAGATAGCACTGGTGGAGCATGGAATATTTAGTATTTAGATTAGTTGAAAAATCAGAACTTTTGATATCAAACAATTGCTATTAGGAGAACCCAAAGTTGTCCTGAAGTATAAAGAGTTTTCTCCACTCTGCTTCACGTTCTTTAAGCGGAGTATTTTTGGCAGTAAAACAACTATGCTGAGTTGGTGCTAGGAGCTGTACAGATGCTGTTTCAAACTGTAGGTGTTCGGGGCCTCGTTTAAGAGTATCTTGGAACACAATAGATATCTAGTTAATTTCAAGAATTGTACAGGGGAAAATGAATTATCATGGAGCCACTTGGAATTGGTCCTCATCAGCCTTAGTATTTTCCTATATTCTCCTTGAAATATCAAAGCAAAACAAGATGTGGCTTTATAACTGGTTGATTGAGAAATCGCCCCTCAATGGAATATAAATACAAAATGATTTTGTTCTGGCACTGACTTCATCCATACTCCACTGAATTTCTTTTCCCATCATTTGATGATATCTTAGGCAAATTCTGTAACTTTCCAGTTATATTTTGTAAAAGCTCCAATCTCAGTCCTGTGAAAGTCTCCCCTCGCTGCCTCCTCCCAGTGCAGGCTTTGCCCATGGTTCCTAGGGCTGGCCTGGGTATGGGGCCATGCTCTGCTCACTCCCTCCTCGTGGCATTCCAGCATTGGCCCAATCTCTGTCAGGGCCACCTCCTCTGCCTTCCTCTTCTAGGCTACAATAGCTCAGCTCTTATGTGAAGAGGGAAGACTACAATAAAAGGGAAAATGTTGTTTTTCTTTTCCCCTGGATAGTGTGGATACCATCTTTTCTCTGGTGGTTTTGCTTTTTATAAGTGGAACTTGTTCCAAAGCTGGTTTTCCGTGGAGATCATGGCTGGGGCCCCCACAATCACAATTTCTTGAGAGGGGGATTCAGCTTTTGCTTGAGCTTTTAAGTCTTCCTCAGCCCACTTGGTTGTATTCCCCAAAGCCTCTTTGGTGTCTCTTTGCCTCTCTGAAGTCCTTGAGAAGAAGGGGTGAGGGAGGCTTGGTATTGGACGCTTATATTTGGTAACTCTAGAATGGGGGACTCTTGTTTTCAGTTATGAGTTCCAGTCTCCAGTTTTAGCACAACACAACAAAAAGTCCAGCTAAACATACTTTCAACTGTTTTATTTCAGAGCATATTGTCCTTGGGTTATGTGAATGGGATTCTCCAATTCAACTGGGTTGTTGTTGTCAGTTCTGGTGCCGTGTTTTAAAGGCGATATTAAAAAGGTCTAATCCCCCAACCCAATAAAATTAGAGAAACTAGTTAGGGTTGCTAGATAAACTAATGATAAGATTAGAAGCTTCATCATGGATGACACATTTAGTAAAGTATTGAATATGCTTAGCCTGGAGAATGAAAGATTCAAATGTATGATGCATTTTTAGGTAGCATAAGGATTAGAATTTGTTTCCTGGTGTTACGGTTTGGCTGTGTCCCCACCCAAATCTTATCTTTAATTATAGCTCCCATAATTCCCAGATGTCATGGGAGGGACTCGGTGGGAGGTAATTGGATCATGGGGGTGGGTTTTCCCCATGCTGTTCTCCTGATAGGGAATAACTGTCCCAATAACTGATGGTTTTATAAAAGGGCAGCTCCCCTGCACACGCTCTCTTGCTGGCCACCGTGTAAGACATGACTTTGCTCCTCACTTGCCTTCTGCCATGATTGTGAGACCTCCCCAGTCATGTGGAACTGTGAGTCAATTAAACCTCTTTCCTTTATAAATTACCCAGTGTCGGATATGTCTTCATTAGCAGTGCGAGAACAGACTAATACACCTGGGAAGTTACAGGACATTAATTTTGTTCTATGTAAGAATTTCTAAAAATCAGAGCTTTCTAAAATGAACAATCTCAGGAGGTAGTGAGCTTTCTATTATTATATTAAGCATTATCTAAATACCACTTGACAGGGATGTTGTCGAGGAGTTTCAATGATAGGATGGATTGTAAATCATGAGTTGAACTTTAAATATCTTTTTCAATCTTTTTGTTCTTTTACTCCAGAGAATAACACAGAATAGCTAACTACTTTAGGCCATACTTACAATTTGGAAGGTTGGTGGGATCAACACTGATTAAAGTTCTGATTCTCAGCTTATTATGGAGTCTCACTCTGTCGCCAGGCTGGAGTGCAGTGGCATGATCTCGGCTCGCTGCAACCTCCACCTCCTGGGTTCAAGTGATTCTCTTGCCTCAGCCTCCTGAGTAGCTGGGATTACAGGTGCTTGCCACCACATCCAGCTAATTTTTGTATTTTTAGTAGAGACGAGGTTTCACCATGTTGGCCAGGATGGTCTCGATCTCTTGACCTCGTGATCTGCCTGCCTCAGACTCCCAAAGTGCTGGGGTTACAGGTGTGACCCACCATGCCCAGCCGATTCTCAGCTTTTTATCTTTTCAGTTAAGAAAAAACAATATTTGCTGTTTTTCTTATTTGGTAAAAAGCCTTACAATATTTTGATTAGCTAGAATGTATATGTATTTATTTTTAATAGGCAATACTTTTTTTTCAGGAAGTACGCTCACTTAGGTCTACTTTTTAGAGCATCATTTTACTAACATCAAGGCATTCTGGAAACTAGTTCATAGTCAAAAGTTTTTATTGGACAAAGCCTCAAAACCAAGGTAATTTGATGGTTTCAGGAAGAACACTGAGAATTATTTTTCTTCCAATATATACTATTGGTATTTCAATACTAATTCTTATGAAGCAGAGTATGATTAATATTCCATTTGGATTTTTTGAACCTGAAAAGTTATTTCAAAGGTTAATTGGAATAACCAACTAGAGACAATAAACAAACTTTTTGAAAATGGAGAGTTTATAGCCCTATTTATTTTATTAAAATTCTCTAATAATTAAAACAGTATAAGGCCAGTATAAAGTAAATTGAAAGATGGACAGGAAAGAATAGCTAGCTCCCTTTTGTCTGTTATGCAAAAGAGCTGAATATATTCTTAAGGAAACATCACAAATCATAAAGGCGAAGAGGACTTATTTGTAAATGCTACTTGCATACACCTACTACATTGCTAAAAATACAAGAAAGTAGAAAAAAAAGATTCAGATCTGCATTTCATACCATGTCTCAAAATACAGCCTATGTGAATTCATTATTACTTTAAAAACTGTAACAAATCTAGACTAGAATATTTTAAATCTGAGGATTAGGACAGCTTTTAAATTAAAAAGTCATAGAAGAGATAACATAGGAAAAGAAAAATGTTTTCATTATGTAGAAATATAAAACATAAACAGCTTATGCAATTAAGAGGAAAAACTGGTAAAAATAATTGGCAATATGTGTGACAAATAAGTGCTTAATTTCTTTACCAAATAGAGGTCATTTAAATTCATAAGAAAAATTGCTAAAACTAACTAGACAGAAGGCATAAACACACAATTTGCAAAAGAGAAAAATCAAATGGCAAATAAACATGGAAAAATGTTCAGCCTCATTAAGTGATAAGAATTAAAATGAGGTATAATTTTACCTTCCAAATTATCAAAGATTTAATCATT
The DNA here is from genome assembly GCF_000001405.40 of Homo sapiens. Classification (NCBI taxonomy): domain Eukaryota; kingdom Metazoa; phylum Chordata; class Mammalia; order Primates; family Hominidae; genus Homo; species Homo sapiens. The sequence continues at coordinate 37,541,256 of NC_000002.12, forward strand.
TTGAAGACTAATGATACCGATGAGAGAGAAAGCAGAGGAAAGCAGTTTGGTAATATTTGTCAGGAGCTTTAAAATGTCAGTATCCGTTGGCCCTGTAATTTGATTTCCAGAAATTATCCTGAGAAAATAATACAAAGCAAGCAAATGTTTTGCATTTTTTGCAGAATATTGGCAATCATAAAAAAATTACAAACGACTAAGAAATTAGGCAATAGTTGAATAAATTATAGCATCTCTACATCAAGGAATATTATGCCAATACGATTCTTTCTGTGAGCAGTTTTTAATAATATGGGAAAATGCTTATATTGTAAGGCTAAGCAAAAGGATAATATTATGTAAGTATTTGCAATATGCTTTACAAAAAAGACTAGAGGGAGAGTCATCAAAATATTATCAAAAAATTGTCGTCAGTGCCAGAGACAATATCGCTCTACTTTGGACCATGTTGGATAAACCCAGCCAAATCCTTATTCTCTGGCTCTGTTTTCTCTCGACACCATGTGGCTTGCCACCCTTCTGTTAACTCATAATTTCCTCCATCAGATGATAATAAATTTAATTTGATCGCCTCTTTCTTTCCATTAGTGATATCAGCAGGTAACCTTGATTATGTGTGAGACATTTTGGCTTCTTAATCAGTTTTGAGACTCTCTTTAGATTTTTTTAAAAAAACACATTTGCAAACTTTATTTGGATGAAGTTCTTCAGCAGATTACATTTTATTTTTAAGTTGGTTCTACTAGCTTTAGTTTTACAGACTATCACCCTCTCGATTGTTCCCCAAATTCTGGGGTTGTATTTATTTGGAGAAAATATATTGCTTTGTGCTGACTACACCACCTGTTATCTCTTGTTCCCCCTACTCACCCACACAAGCTTGATTTTTCCTTGTATTGGCTATCATGTTGAATTTGGCTATTTGGAGGGCTACAAGTGTGGGAGGAAATTTTCAAGCAATATGACCTAGTTTAGAAATCTGACTTTCCAATCAGAAAGGCAGGTGGGAAGATACCCTTGCTGTTTGCTCATGACATGCCATGGAATACATCACTTATCTTTTCCAAGACATTTCCTCTCCTAAGTGACATAGGTAGGGATCATGGATACATAAGACCTGCCTCTATTTCCCTGATCCTAATAGGAAAGAGGTTAGTTTGGCATGTCTTTTTCTTCGGAAACTCTTGCTGATTTCTGGCACTGTGTCCTTTCTGAGTGCTCATAAACTTCTGTTTATGGATCCTGTTTACTAACATTTACCAGGTTAGTTACTAAGATGCAATAGTACTTTTTCCTTGTTTTTGAAAGTCAGGACATCTGCTCATCTTCGCTTTGTTCTTCATGTCTTACTCTTCAGGATTTCTCAGGGTTATCAAAATCACACCTGAGTGTTATTTTAGCCTACTGAAATGGAATTAACCTGGGTGTAGAAAACTGATTCCATTTAGCATGATTAGGTGCTTCCTTTCAAATTTACCTTGCATCTAGGTCTTCAGTTCCCTACTAATTATGTTTGTTCGCTCTGTCAGATGGAAGATCATTCTTGATGGAAAAGATAAAGCCAAAGTGAATGAAGTAATTGTCTTCTTACGTAATCTGTTTACATTAAAATATATTCTCTAGTAGATTGAAGACCTATTATGTTCTTCTTAATCTAAACATAGTTTGACGTTTTCTAGAACTCTTAGCTACTTAATGCTTCTCAGAGATTTGTGACAACTTTTTTCTGTGACCTTAGACAATTTACTTAACCTTGATTTTCTTATCTTTAAGAAGGAAATAATAATAGTGTTTTACATAATCAAGTGATTATGAAGAATGAATGAGTCAATATTTGTGAAAGGCTTTGAGAGTAAGCACCACCTATTTGTTAAATGATTATTCTTAAAAAAATAATATCTGTGTTCCTTAGAGAACCCTTGTCTCCATTTTGTATATACCATCTCTTATGTTCAGTCATTATAATTATCATAATGGAATGATCAGAATTTATTTCTTCATTAGTGAATGCTATAGAGTAGCCTCAGGTGTTTATGAAGCACATAAAATGTATTTAATCGTTTGGTGCATTCCTCAGTAAACTCTTTAAATTGTTTAATCACTTTAATTGTAGCTCACTAAATCCTCAATGGTGTTTATGAATTATAACTTTTGAAAATGTTTTTATAATCTTCATTTGGTCTGGCTTTTGAATACATTGTCTTAAAATTTTTTTTTTAAATAAGTGATACCATTCTCATTCTTAGAGAAAACAATAATGTTTAGTATAAGGCTTTTAAAAATCTTCCCCACTGATATATATTTGAATTGTAACAGAATGATTTCACTTTTATTCCCTAGGTTGTATATGATTTATAGCCCTTATTTACAAAGTGATTAGTAAGTTTATGTGCTAGAAAGTTCTGATTTTTTCTGATTAAGTAATATCAATCAATTTCAACTTTTATGTGAAGCATATTTCTTGTCTGACTTTCAGAAACTGTTTATGTGTTCCAAACTTTCATTCTTCTATGCTAGTTTTCCAACCCTGATTAAATAACTTTATTTAATAACCAGCTTTGGTCCCTTTATTATCAACTTAGAAAAATAAGCTAAAATGTATATATTTAGCATTTATATATTTATAATGTAATACCTACATGTCTAAATACAGAAATACACATTTTGTCTCTTTTTCCTTTACAGGATATGTAAAACTCAATGCTTGTTCTATAGAAGAATGCATAAAATTTTTAGTGATTTAGAAAATGTATGTTTTCTTGAAGCCCTTCAGGTAGAATTTGGCCAAATAAAGAATAGAGTATCACATAAACTACTTAGGAAATGAATCATTCGGCTCTATAAAAGTAAGGGAGATATGTCTAATTCTAGTCAGGATGATGACATGGGGCAAAATGTGCCTCTTTCTGCTGTCATTTCAAACCCATCCGAGTGAGCCAGAAAGGGAAGTGTTAACCGCACTTAATACTTAATGCTGACTGCATGCTCATGGTCTCTATGGAGAATTCCTGCAAAAGCGATCCAGGAGCACATTTAAAGTCCTCCTTTTCTTGCTCTATTCTACCTCTCTAGTCTTATGTTCTGAGACCTCCCTGCAGGGGCCTGACATTTTGGCTAAATTATTTCCTACTTTCTAAATCTATTCCCATGCCTGCTGCTATCCATAACTTAATCAACAATGAAGCTTTACTAACTAGCACACTAATGTCAAAATTTTTTTTTAATTGGTGAAACTGGTGACTTGTTAATTAGCATAACAAATGATGGAAAAGGGGGCTTACTGGTGAAATTAAAAGTATTCAATATATGTAGATTGGCTAAAATACTTTAAAGACACTGTCTCTACCCTTGCATGAATAGAGTTTCAGAATCTGGCAAGGTTTGTCCTGTCCCCTTTGAGATGGTGCCAAAGGCTTGCTCCATAATTGTTTCTGTATCCAGCCATTGGTTTCAGATAGGGTTTCTCAACCTCAGCACTATTGACATTTTGGGCAAGATAATCGTTTGTTGCAAGGGTGTTGTCCTGTGCCTTGTAGGATGTTTAACAGCATTTCTGGCCTCTACCCACTATACACCAGTAGCATACTGCCTTTTTCTCCCCATGACAATGAAAAATGTTTCCAGACATTGCCAAATATCCCCTGGGAGCAAAGTCACCCCAGTTGAAAACCACTTGTTTAAGAGGATTTCTGCTTGAATAATCCTGACTAGAAGAAATAGAATCCTGCCTAGGGTGTGTGGCCATCTTCCTGCAGGAATGTGTCACACAGGGATGGAGAACCTAAAGGATAGCTGTCACTTCCCAAGTTGCAGAGTAGGTCATCTGATTAGTTTGTGTCTGCTATATTTATGGATTCTTATGTAGACCATCTCTGTCTGGCATACTAGATCTGAGCCTTGATTTAATTATAACCTACTAGTGAGGTTGATGGTAGCTAGCCAACCCTCTCCACCACAGACTTCTTTGGTGGCTTCTGTGATTTACCATAAAAAAAAAAAAAACTAAGAGTGTGGACCAAATTGGCTTTGGCTGATTCACCAAAGACTCAATATCCACACAAGAAGTAGACAGGCACTACTTTATTGGAAAGAAATCTTAGTGGAGGTATGCTGGGCCATGGAGAGCCAATCCATGATGTGTTGAGATTTAGTAAACCCCATTCTCACCCACAAGAAGTAAAGGCAGTACAAGGGGACTCCCAGTGGTTTCCTCCAGACCAGGGACTGCACCAATCCAAACTTCGTAGACTCTGCAGATTTGGTAACTTTCCAACTGTATTAGTCCATTTTCATGCTGCTGATAAAGACATACCCCAGCCTGGAAAATTTACAAAAGAAAGAGGTTTATTGGACTTACAATTCCATGTGGCTGAGACGGCCTCACAATCATGGTGGAATGTGAAAGGCACATCTCACATGGTAGCAGACAAGTGAAAAGAGAGCTTGTGTAGGGGAACTCCTCTTTTTTTTTTTTTTTTTGAGACAGAGTCTTGCTCTGTCGCCCAGGCTAGAGTGCAGCGGCACGATCTCAGCTCACTGCAAGCTTCGTGGGAACTCCTCTTTTTAAAACCATCAGATCTCTTGAGACTTATTCACTGTCATGAGAGTAGCATGGGAAAGACTTGCCTCCATGATTCAATTACCTCCCATTGGTTCCTTCCCACAACATGTGGGAATTCAAGATGAGATTTGGGTGGGGACACAGCCAAACCATAACATTCCACCCCTGGCCTCTCCCAAATCTCATGTCCTCACATTTTAAAACCATTCATGCCTTCCCAACAGTCCCCCAAATTCTTAACTCATTTTAGTATTAACTCAAAAGTCCACAGTTCAAAGTCTCATCCGAGACAAGGCAAGTCCCTTCCACCTGTGAGTCTGTTAACTCAAATGCAAGTTAGTTACTTCCTAGATACAATGGGGGTATGGGCATTGGATAAATACAGCCATTCTAAATAGGAGACATTGGCCAAAACAAAGGGGCCACAGGCCCCATGCAAGTCTGAAATCCAGCAGGACAGTCAAACCTTAAAGCCCCAAAATGATGTCGTTTGACTCCATGTCTCACATCCAGGTTAAGCTGGTGCAAGAGGTGGGTTCCCATGGTCTTGGGCAGCTCCACTCCTGTGGCTTTGCAGGGTACAGCCTCCCTCCCTGCGGCTTTCTTGGGCTGGCATTGAGTGTCTGCGGCTTTTCCTGGCACATGGTGCAAGCTTTCGTGGATCTACCATTCTGGGGTCTGGAGGACAGTGGCCCACTTCTCACAGCTCCACTAGGTGGTGCCCCAGTAGGGACTCTGTATGGGGACTCCAACCCGACATTTCCCTTCTGTACTGCCCTAGCAGAGGTTCTCCATGACAGCCTTGCCCCTGCAGCAAACTTCTGCCTGGGCATCCAGGTGTTTCCATACGTCTTCTGAAATCTAGGTGGAGGTTCTCAAACCTCAGTTCTTGACTTCTGTGTACCTGCAGGCTCAACACCACATGGAAGCTGCCAATGCTTGGGGCTTCCACCCTCTGAAGCAACAGCCCAAGTTGTACCTTGGGCCGTTTTAGCCATAACTGGGGTGGCTGGGATGCAGGGCATCAAGTCCCTAGACTACACAAAACAGAAGGACCCTGGGCCTGGCCCATGAAACCATATTTTCCTCCTAAACCTCCAGGCGTGTGATGGGAGGGGCTGCCGCAAAGGTCTCCGACATGCCTTGGAGGCCTTTTTTCCATTGTCTCAGTGATTAACATTCAGCTCCTTGTTACTTATGCAAATTTCTGCAGCTGGCTTGAATTTCTCCTCAGAAAATGGGATTTTCTTTTCTATTGCATTGTCAGGCTGCAAATTTTCCAAACTTTTATGCTCTGTTTCCCTTTTAAAACTGAATGCCCTCAACAGCACCTAAGTCACCTCTTGAGTGCTTTGCTCCTTTGTAGGGACATGGATGAAATTGGAAATCATCATTCTCAGTAAACTATCACAAGAACAAAAAACCAAACACCGCATATTCTCACTCATAGGTGGGAATTGAACAATGAGGTCACATGGACACAGGAAGGGGAATATCACACTCTGGGGACTGTTGTGGGGTGGGGGGAGGGGGGAGGGATAGCATCGGGAGATATACCTAATGCTAGATGAGGAGTTAGTGGGTGCAGCGCACCAGCATGGCACATGTATACATATGTAACTAACCTGCACAATGTGCACATGTACCCTAAAACTTAAAGTATAATAAAAAAAAAAAAAAAAAGAAATTTCTTCCACTAGATACCCTAAATCATCTCTCTCAAGTTCATAAGTTCCACAAATCTCTAGGGCGGAGCAAAACGCCACCAGTCTCTTTGCTAAAACATAACAATAGTCACTTTTGCTCCAGTTCCTAATAAGTTCCTCATCTCCATCTGAGGCCACCTCAGCCTGAACCTTATTGTTCATATCACTATCAGCATTTTTGTCAAAGCTGTTCAACGAGTCTCTAGGAAGTTCCAAACTTTCCCACATTTTCCTGTCTTCTGAGCCCTCCAAACTGTTCCAGTCTCTGCCTGTTACCCAGTTCCAAAGTCACTCCCACATTTTTGGGCATCTTTTCAGCAGTGCCCCACTCTACTGGTACCAATTTACCATTTTAGTCCGTTTTCATGCTGCTGATAAAGACATTCCCGAGACTGGCAATTTACAAAAGAAGGAGATTTATTGGACTTATGGTTCCATGTGGCTGGGAAGGCCTCACAGTCATGGTGGAAGGTGAAAGACACGTTTCACATGGCAGCAGACAAGAGAAAAGAGAGCTTGTGCAGAGGAACTCCTCTTTTTAAAACCATCAGATCTCATGAGACTTATTCACTATCATGAGAATAGCATGGGAAAGGCTTGCCCCCATGATTCAATTACCTCCCACCAAGTCCCTCCCACAACACGTGGGAATTCAAGATGAGATTTGGGTGGGGACACAGCCAAACCATATCACCAATACTAGTTAATGGAAAGGACCTGTGTCTTTGAACAGGGCAAAGGGTTCTGGGAGCCAGTTGGCTGCGATTTGTAACCAGGAACAAGAGGAAAAGAATCCAAGGGAGAAGAGCTGCTGGGGCAGCAACAGAGAACTGAGCCCAGCTGAGAAAGGAAAAAATGCCAGAGTCCTCCTGTGCCTCCCCTCTAATTCTCCTCTGCCACACTTGGGATGGGCTCAGTATCTCCAAGTTCAGTGCTCAAGCAGACTGAGATGCCAGTTTCCAGTTCTGGCAGGTTCTCCCAGTCCAAACCCCCATCACATTTCCTGGGTGATGAAGGCTGAAGGACAAGGGAGGGGACAGCCTCAGCACTTCCCCCAAGCCATCTGCCACTTGCTCGAGCTTCTCTCATTATCTGCTGGGTAGAGATGAGGGGCAAACTGAGGTGGGGCCGATCTGCCTCTCTGTATACCCTAGAGGATGAATCTGGACCTTCAAAGTTGATTGTTCTCTGTAGAAAGTAAGGTCGTTAGCACTTCTTGGTACTTACTCAGCTTTAGGCCTAAGTTATGGATTTTAAAATAGCAGTTACATCCCATTCAACATCCTATTACAAAAATATCAGAGCAAAAGCTGAAATTCTCCTTCTTCACACATACTCCCCAATCTTACCTCCTTTACTTAACTTTCTTTTCTAAAAAGCTTTGAAAGAACTAAACAATGCAGAAAGTAACATAGCAGGCACTGTTGTACCAATTACCCACTACTACTCAGAATGACCAAATGTAGCATATTTTCCCATTTTCTCCCAATGTTCAAAATAAAAGGAATATAACATTATAGAGAAAGTTGAAATCTCTTTGTTCATCCCAAACCGCGTCATATACCTCTTCCTGAAGGTAATTACTGTCATGAAGTTGCTATGTATCCTTTATTTTTTTAACTATGCATTAATTAACCAGCAAACCGTACATATCATTTATTTATATAAGTTATATGCTATGTGTTTTGTTCTGCAAATTTATTTTTACTCGTTGCCATGCTTTTGAGATCTTTGTTAATTAAAAAACCTCATTCATTTTAACTTCTATGTAGTAATCTATTGTATTAATATTCCAAATTTTGTTTAAGTGTTCCCTTTTGATGGACAATTAGATTATTTGTAATTATCATTGTTACTGTTATAAGCAAAGGTACAGTGAACATATTTATCTACATGACCCTGAACACACATGCGAGATTTCCTCTAGGACATACAGCTAAAAGAGAAATTATTTGGCCAGATACATGGCCAATTGATTTCTATATTTCAGTAGAAAACTTGTCTTGAATAGGAGTTGTGTGTGTGTGTGTCCTATTTCCACATGACCCATCTGGGTCCCCTGTGGTGAATAAGGTCTCCCACTGGTGACTTGAGGTTCTCCTGCAGATCCTATTTGTGAGCCATTGGGCATCTTAGCTCAATTCATGGTGGGCTGACTGTCCATGTTTCCTTCAGCCACCCTGGACGGCAGCTGTGTGCCGGGTGAGTTAGAGGATGAATTGCAGCTCTATAATGATCTGTTTTCATTATCAGAGGAGTCCTTCTCAACTCTCGTTTCTCGCTGACTGCTTCTCCTTTCCATAGCCTGACTTGAGTTCTTGCCTGCTTTGACCATGAGAACTGAAAATTGAGGACTAGTAAGTATAAGCCCTTCCTGGGGCTCCTATCACATGGCATGTGCCCATTGGAATGGTAAAATTGAGGACAAATGTAAAACAAAACAAAACAACAAAACAAAACAAAACAAAACCTTTCTCCAGCACTAACAGCTGGTGGGCTTAAGAATTATTCAGGTTAAGTTGAATTGACTTCAAGTTTGAGCTGACTTGGTCTGTGAAGTTGTATGGACTTCTAATCACCAGAAATCCTCAGCTCTGCCTCAGTCTAAAATTACCGAGTCCCTTCCTTTGAGTCAAGAAGATAAGTCAAACTATTCTAGAAAAGCCACCATCCCTCTAGGACCTCATGTATTAATGTAGGGTATGGGCTGGGCTGCTGACTCAAACAATATATTCCTCTCCTGTGCAATAAGGCAAGTGGAAGCTTTTCCCCATGGGTTAATCCAGTCACATAATTTCTTCTATTGCATCCTCCCCTCACCACCTCTGTGGAGCACCAAGTCTCTATTCCAGCTCACACACACAGGAAATGGCAAAAAAAGAAGTGGGGAGTGAAAGCTTTCTTTGAAAAATGAGATGTGAAAGTTGCACATATCTCTTCTGCTTCTATCTGTTTGCCAAAATTTAGTTATAAGGCCACCCCTTCATGCAAGGGATGCTGTGAAATGTACATTTAGCTGGGTAGCAACTGTCCTGCTAAAATCCAGTGGGAAGAGTGCTCCCTTATTAAAACGAAGAAGGGGAAAACGTATCTTGGGAATATTTAGCAATCTCTGCCTCATCTGGCACTATATTTTGATACCTGCACAGGTAAGAAAAATCCACTCACGTAATACGAAGTCAAACCATAACCTATCTACATATTTAGATCTATCTATCTACAACTATCTATAGTTCATCAATTCTAACACACGTTTTACACCATAGCAGCTCAGCTCTCAAACTGGAATGTCTCTTCACAGTTGATGGTGTCTTATGGTCTCTGCCAGCCAGAAAGCAGTAATGGTGTGGTTGTCATTGCCTGCACATTCATAAACTTAGCCATTTAAAGGATAAGCTCTCCACAGGTGCGAAAAAACCCCAAACATTTAAGACCATTTGAGAAAGGAATGTGAGTGTTGGCCTTGCCTTGTAATCTTCTGTTGACACCTGAAAAAAATCAAGGATGTTCCAGCATCAAAAGTTGCAGAATGGGTGTCAGCTTCTTGGAAGAAAATTCCAGAGAAAAGAGAGGAATCCTCAGAAGAAATGCATCACCAATGCTCTTGATAGCATGAGGAACAGAAATACACAGAAAAATTATAAACTTTAATGATTCTGAGTTGAAAAATAAATTATAAGACTTTGAATGTAGATATGTAGAATTCTCTATTTAGTGTATGTTTTAGCATGATATATGCTAAAAGTCTATTCTAAATAAGCCCAAAAGAGCTTTAAGCAATATGAAAACATCGAGGCTATCAAAATATTATCCCAAACTTGGAAATAGACAAGAGAGATTTATTTTTAGTGCAGTGCTAGGTTTGATTTTCTATTTGGCTATTTTATAATTTTATAGAGGTAGAGTTTAGATTGTAGATTTAGTCCAGTAGAAATGCAAATCATTTCTATCCCATGAAATGGATAAGCCCAATGATATGGCTATAGCTTTGTCTGATATTAATCAGATTTTTGCTTTGTTTTCTTCAAATTTAACCCAACAATCTAGTAAATCACCTATATATACACCCAACTTCTCAAATCCCATTTGGACTCGTTTAATATTATGCTTGTTCTCTTAATAATTAGCAAGTTGAATAAAATCTTTGATGTGCTTACTTTAAGTTTGCATGAGAGTTTTCTTCTTCCTTTAACAAATCATAGGACACTTGGCAGCATTTCTTTAGTGATGCAGAAAATAATGGCATGACTTGCAATTGATGGCATGCTAAGTTCGATGGATTATGGTATTGCTGCTGCCTCAATTTCTATTTCATCAGCAAGCTAGTGAAAAGGAAATTAGGGTGACCAAATCACAAATGTTGTAGGCATGACATCTCAAAATGTTTTGATGAAGCTTTAGTCTGGAAACACTCTGCAATAGGCATATGTCATTATTTTGCCTGCTCAGCATCAGAAATGCATTCCTTTGTTTCGGGAATTTCCTATCTGTGATATCTTATGGCACATTGAGATGCTTTCCCACTGCTGAAGCTAACCGTGGCAGATACTTGCTTCCCCAGCCTCCTTTGAAGCTGAGACATAGATATGTTTACACCATCCTGGACTATAAATTAGAAACTGGTGCCTCAGTCAAGCAGGTTCTTCAGGGAATCCTCTCTAGGGGTGGCACTAGCTGTCACAGACAGAGTTCTTAGGGTGGCCATCGCTGAAGCGGGAGCACTGGGCAAGTGCCTAGGGTGGGTAGTGGAGGCAGCATCAGTTTTTGGCCTGAGTTGATCTGAGTCCTCTGAGGTTGTGTGGCCTCTCAATTTGCTTCTCCAGCTACCTTGTAAATGCTGTGAGCCACTCAATCTCCTTTAATAGCTTCTCAATCTTCTTTAATCAGTGAGAGTCATTTGCATGAAACAGAAAACACCAATGGAACAGATATTGAGACTCGGAGAGTCGACAGGAAGCAGTGCTTCATGAGTAAATTTGGTTTTCTACCTGCCCAGTTGTTTTGATGACTCACACTAATTGTATTTGAGATGACAGATATTTTAAAATTTAATGTAGATAAAGGAGCCCAAAGACCTAGAGAGATAGGAATGTTGTAGAGAATTTATCATGGCAACCTGTTTTGCTATTCCCCAACTATGGCCCTCAAGCTGGCCTGCAAGGCACTCCCTTTGCCAAAGCTTTGAGGGCCATCCTAGAACCTTTAAAAAACACTGCAGCGGGGGAATCAGAGATAGTTAATGTAGCCTGGTTGGGGCTAAAGACAGTGAAAAAACACTGGTTTCCTAGAGTTTTCTCCTGGTTCTCTAACTCTTCCTCTCCTTGATAATTGCTCTCTGGAGGCTGGTGATACAGGTGAAAGATGCTATCTTTGAAATGGCTTCTTGGTCTCAAAAGGGATATCAGGATCCCCATGGTACTGGCCTTGAACTAACGGATGATTCCTGGGGACTTGGAATGCTGCTGTACTTCCCTTAGTCAAGGAGTAAGGATTTCTTTGGTTGTGTAATAAGTGGAATTTTTAGTCAAGTGCACCCCATAGTAGGCACAGGGGAGGGGAGAAGGGGAGAGTCTAGTTCTTTAGGGTATAACTGGATTAGGAGTAGTCAACATCTGGCAGAATTTCTACATCAGCTCCCTGACCTATGGTAAGAGCCACTATGGTAGGAAGGGCCAATGAAAAACCTCTGAAACTCCTCCACAGAAAAATTATAAATCAAAAGGGATATTGGACCCCTAGGGAAATAGCATGAGTTTACGTGGTTGTCCAGCCTTCCCGACAATTCTTAAGCTGCCCGGTATCCTTTTTAAAAATTCTTGTTCTGCTGAAATCCTCTGAAGCCAGTTTCATTTGCAGTGCCCTGATACTGCTATATGATTATTTTGCCAATGAATTGTATAATTAAACATAAGAAAAAAAGAAGTTTTATTCTTGGCAGTTGTTATATCAAAGTTAGGTAACTTCACTTTGAACAGAGAAAACTAGCTCCTGTGATAAAATAGTCATGAGCTTCTGCAGGCACTTAGCAGTTTAAGAAGTAGCCAAGAGACGGATTGGACACCACCAACATATTTTACTTATTTGAACAATATGTGTGCACACCCACTTATTGGACCACAGGCAAAAGCCCTGAGGTTTGGTCAAAATCAGAATGCTACATTATGATGGAACAAGAATCTGGGGAAACATAAACAAATCCAAAATCTCTAGGATTGCCCGACTACAAACAAATACTCGAGCTTTACGCTGCCACTCCTGGAAAAATAATAACTGGCTTCTAATAGGCAAATAGTTCTAGGAAGAACAGACATTTGGAAGACACAATTTGCAGAGAGACCAGCAGGCATATATTTAGGGAACCATAAAAGCCTCTCTATAATAAATGCAGTTTAATTTTTTCAAAAGGCAAAATCAAATTATGCTAAAAGAATTAAGATAAAGTCTCTTGCTGCAGAAAAGACACTGTTTATCTTTGCTTGTATGATATTAATTTATATATTCCTGGGTAAAAGCAAAAATTGAGCTACAGAGGTTTTTGGTTAGTTTCTTTGGCTTGTTCGTTTGTTTTAAATCAGTCACCAGCAATTATAGATTCTTTCATATTCACACATTTGTTCATCCAACAGTTTTTTTCAGTGCCTGTCTGTGCTGGGCTCAGGGAAAGCGTGGGATAGGCTGGCATATGAGAAAAACATGGTAAATTTGGGCAACTAAAAGCAGCCGTTGGAGCACAGGAAACATAAAGGGCTACAGATAAGCAAGGATCAGATGATAAAATCCTTTGAGATGGCATTAGAGAAACCTGACATTATACAGTGCACAATGGAAAGACATTACAATCCTTTAATTAAGACATGGATGCAATCAGGTTTGGCTTTTAGAAAGATCACAGCTGCCACATGGAGAATGCCACATGGAGAACTGGAGGGTTCAGGAGTAGGTGCACCCATGTTGCAGGAGCTTAGGAGAAGGAATGGAGGCAATAATTGGAAGGATTCAAGACAAATGTAGGCAGTGAAATTAACAGGAATTTGTTAAGTAAGTATGTGTGTATGGGGGGAGGTATGAGGCCAGATTCTGACTTGAGAAATAAGATTGTTGGTGGTACCAATCTCAATTATAAATTACACAAGAAAAACAGAGTTGGGAGTGGTGTAAATGATGAGTTTGGTGTGTTTTATTCCAAGTGCTTGTGGCACATGAAGGTTGAAATATCCAAAAGGCTGCTGGATACATAAATCACAAAGAAGAGATCTGAGCTGAAGACATGGCCTCTGAAATCATCAGCATCATCCCACTAGTGGCTGAAACCAAGGGTTGATGGGAGAATAGCAAAGCACATAGAAGAGGACCTTGAGGAACAATAAACATAAGGGCTGTGGCTAGAAAGAGGGGACCATAAAGATGACTGAGAATCAGTCAGAACCAGAGATGTCATGGAGGCCGAGGAAAGAGACTTGCAGGAAGGGGTGGGTAACAAGTAAGTTACAGACTGAGAAGTAGCCAATGAATCGAGCAATTAGGCTCTTTTCTGTGAGTTGTTTCTGGGGAAGAGAGTTATGCTGCCTATCATAACAAGGCAGTGTTTCTTCTCCTTTTCTTTCTCCTCTACCATCTCTTCTTTCTCCTTCATCTTTTTCTTCCTCTTCATTCCCTTCTCCTAACCCTCCCCTCCTCCTTACTCTTCTTCGCAGACCCCCCAAATTCTTAAGACCAATGGGAAGTTTAAAAATTCAACTATGTAATTCACATCCTATAGTTGCTTTTGGTGGAAACACTTTCTCTAATATATTCAAGACAGACTTTCTCATCTAAGATAATTTGCCCTGTCATCTGTAGGTGATTATTTGTTCTAGGGACAGAAGAGCTCCTGAATAACAGGAGTATTGGTAGGGAAAGAAAGAAGTCTGTTGCAGTGTTCTAAATGTGGGAGTTGGGGGGGATTCAGACATCAGGTTTCGGGAATAAAGAGTATTTGAGTGTTGATCTGAGAAAGAAGAGGTGAGAGGAAATAGAGGAGATGAGATTAAGAGCCAGGCAACTGAACACGTGCAAAAGGAGGGTGAATGTGCAGAAGTCTAGATCTTGAGAGCAGGGGAGGAAGTTAAGTTTTGAGGTTGCTAGAGCAGAAACACTTGAGCAATAGATGCCAGGCTGGCGGCCGTGGTTGGGTAGAAACCAAAGACCCATGGGCTTTTGCTCCCTGAGGGCACTGACTAAAACTTCTCTCCTCTCACCTAGTTTCTCTTTGATCTTTGCTGTTTGGACTATCCACTACCTCATTTTCAATTTGTTTATTCACTTATTTATTCAAAAAATGCTTGTTGAACGTTTATACGCATTAAGAAGTGGTTGTTGAACATTCACTACGCATTAAGTAGCAGATATACAGATGGAAACATGGCATCCTTGGCCTCAAGCTATGCTGTTTAAAGTAGAAATTGGAAGACCCATGAACAAGCCTTCCCTCTGACTGTGAAAAGTGGTATAGGGGAATTCAGTATAAGTTCTGTGGAGATCCTCAACAGGAGGACACCTATGTCTTTCTGGGCCATCAGAGAAGCCTTCAGAGAGGAATGAACTTCTGTGGATCCTTCTTCACAGTTTCAGGTGCCTCTTACTTTGAGTAGCGTCTGGGATGCCCTTGCCTGGAGAAATGATCTCTCCTGTCTGCTGCTTTCTTTGTCTTACTGAGGCTTTAGGGATTATGTCTCTTGGAATTTTTATGTTGATTTTTTGACCTCTCATTCAGATCTCTCATTTTGGTATTTTGTTCTAGTTCTCTATTAGCAGGTTGCAAGTTTTGGATTAGATGATGTCTGCTCTACACCTACTTCTTGGGTTATTCCATCTCAGGAACTCATTACTTCACAACCAGAGAATGCATATTTCATCGTTTTAAGTTTGTTTCATACTCGTGGTGGTGGTGGGGAATTCTAACCTCCTTGTCTCTGGCCAAACCTAATGACATTGATGATAAAGGACTTGGAAATAATAAATGAAATACGGTCACTCTGTGGACCAGGATAATGTTCTCCTAGGAATGTCTTCCTCAGTTACACACAACAAGAATCTGGCTCTTAGAACTTCAAAATTAAACATCCAAGTCTACTGATAATGGAGCATTTTAAGTTAGAGGAAATAGTATTCTTGGAAACTAACCAAAATAGTTAGAAAATAAAATGGGTTTAGTAGGTGCTTTCAAAGGGTGTACTACAGACATTAGTATAAATGAGCTTGGACAAAAATCCCCTGTCTCTGGTATATGTATGTCACTCCACACTATCCCTTTCTTTCTCGACAAGGAGATTTTGTTATAGAATCTGCCTAATGAGAAAATCAGAAAAAGAAAAGGTGATGTTCTCATTTCAAAACAAAGCTTAAAAATTATATCAATGCATTAACAGAAAGATATGTTAGTGTACTTTAATAGATTTTATGTGATTCATTCACAGCTATGATTTTATTGTGAAACTGATTTCTTCATAAACTGGGTTCCTATGCAGTTTTTCCCAGGAAAATGAAAATGGATGATCAAAATGATAAATACTATAAATTAGTGACAGCCTTCTGGGTAATCAAAAGATTATTTTAAACGTGTAGAAAATGCTAAAATGGGTCTTTTCATCTCTCAATTTCAAGTGAGGCAACAATATGATAGACATTAGACACCAAAGTGGGTGTGAAACAGATTGTCATATGCAGACTTTACAAAAGGAATGCTCAAAGAACAGTTTCATAACTTTGAAACTCTTGAGTGCTTAATTTACTTTGAGAATATAAAAGTGTAAAGAAAGAGGAGACACGCGGGGACATTATCAGCTGATTTTCTGGGGAGAGAATTATGGCTGTCTGTGAGTTTCCACCTCTCTTCCCTACAGGAAAAGAGGGGTGTGGAGGGGCTGTCTTCTAATGTCAGGTTGCAGGAGAGGGAATTTCACGAGGTCATTTGGCAAGTTTTCTGTATACTCCCTTGCAGGGAACTGCAGTTGGAGGGGTCAGGGACTGGTGCCTGGGAAAGCTAAGGAGGCCAGTGGCAGCTAGAAGGAGGTGGTCACTTTGTCTCAGCATTTGTCAGTAGGCGGTAAACACAAATGTTTCCTGTGGACCAGATGTAGAGAGAGATGAGTCCAAACTGTTTTAAGTCTGTGATAGGCAGCTTTCAAAAATGGCCTACCATGATTCCTGTCTTCTGTTATTCATGCCCTTGTGCAATCTCCTCCCTTGGAGTGTACGCTGGACCTAGTGGCTTCTTTCTAATCAAGAGAATATGATAAAAGTGATGGGATGTCTCTTTCATGGTTAGGTTACAAAAGACTGTGATTTCTGTCTTGCTGGGCACTCTATTCCCTTCTCAGCTTGCATGCTTTGGTGAAGCAAGCTGCCATGTTGGAGAGGACTACCTGGCAAAGAACTGAGGGTGACCTCCAGCCAAAAGCCAGGAGGAGCTAAGGCCCTCTGTCCAGAAGTCTGTGAGGAGCTGAATCCTGATATCAACTATGTGAGTGAACTGGGAAGCAGCTCCTTTTCAGTTCAGCCTTGTGATGACTGTGGCCCCAGCTTTGTAAGAGACCCTGAAGCGGAGGACGTATCTAAGCCAGGCCTAGATTCTTGGCCTATAGAAACTGTGAGATAATAAGTGTGGATTGTTTTATTTAATTAATTAATTTATTTGTTTATTGAGACATGGTCTTGCCCTGTCACTCAAACTGGAGTGCAGTGGCACAATCATGGCTCACTATAGCCTTGATCTCCCAGGCTCAAGTGATCCTCCCACCTCAGCCTACTGAGTAGCTGGGACTATAGGCATGTACCACCATACCCAGCTAATTTTAATTTTTTTAAAATATAGTACTAGAAATGAGACCCTGATCTGTTGCCCAGGCTGGTCTCAAACTCCCAGCCTCAAGAGATCCTCCTGCCTTGGCCTTCCAAAGTGTTGGGATTACAGGGATGAGCCACTGGGCCTGGCTGATTGTTTTAAGCCTTAAGTATTAATAGTATGGTAATTTGTTATCCAGCCATAGCTAACGAATACAAATTCCTATCCAAAAGGACACCCTGGGGAATGAGGAAGCTTTAACGGTAAGAGTCTGTGTAGAGTGGACAACTCAATAACCAGTACAGAGTGGGAAACAGCAGCGAGGGGGACAGAACATGTCACTCATGTCAAGGAAGCCCAGCAGAGGAGCCTCTGATGAGCTCTTAGAGGCACCCATGAGAGAAATGATGGATTGTAACATGTATCAGGCCCAAAAAGAGCAAAGCCATAAGCAAAGAAGACTTCCCTTGGCCCTCTTTCCCTTCCTTCATCCCTCATACCACTCTCAGAGGGGCTGAGGCTCTGGTCAGCAAAGAAGAAACAAAGAGGAAGTGAGTAGGTGGCAACCACACCCCTGGGCCCTTCTACAAGTGGTCTGCTTAAAGCAGCTCCCAGATGAGGAAGGAAAGAAGATTTTGCTCTAACTTCAGTTTAGATATTAATATTTGGGGCTAGCCAATTTCTGCTTGTGAATTGAGCTTGCCTTTTGTGACTTAAAATGACCAGAAAAGCCAGCGCTTTCTTTCAGGTACTGAGGAAAATCATCCCCACTGAGGATATATTTAAAGTTGTGTTTTGATATATCACCAACTGTGTTGTTTGACATGCTGGTTACAAATATATTTTAAGTCTTTGAAAATTGGTAGATTAGTTATTCTGTCTATAGCAATGTTCCTAACTATGTCATTCCATTTTCCAATAATTTTAGGCAATAATTTACTATATTATTCTTTATTTTGTTTCTGTACCAGGAACATACCAGAATTCTTTAAAGTTCAGGATACAATCTCTTGGGATTTTTAACATAATGTTTACAAATTAAAATCTGGATGAATGTGTGCACAGAGGTTGTTTAAAGCAGTGAAACTTCTCTGTATGATGCTATAATGATGGATACAAGTAATTATAAATTTTTCAAAACCCACAAACTGTACAATACCAAGAGTGAACCCCAGTGAAAATTATGGGCTTTGGGTGATAATTGATGCAGGTCTATCAGTTGTAATAAATGTACCACTCTGGTGTAGGGTTTTGATAGGCTGTGCATGTGTGGGGGCAGGGAGTATATGTGGACTGTCTGTGCTTTCTGCTCAGTTTTGCTGTAAACCTAAAACTGCTCTAAAAAATAAAGCCATAGCTGAGCATAGTGGCTCCAGCCTGTAATACCAGCACTTTGGGAGGCTGACATGGGTGGGTCGCTTGAGCCTAGGAGTTCCAGACCAGCTTCAGCAACATGGTGAATCCCTGTCTCTACAAAAAATTAAAAAAAATTAGCCAGGCATGGTGGCTTGTGCCTGTAGTCCCAGCTACTCAGGAGGCTGAGGTGGGAGGATCTCTTGAGTCTGGGAGTTTGAGGCTGCAGTGAGCCACGATCACACCACTGTACTCCAGCCTGGGTGATAGAGCGAAACCTTGTCTCAAAACAAAATTAAAATATAAAATAAAATAAAACCATAAAAATAAATTAAGATCGCTCCCTTCTTGGCTGTATATGGGATGTTATTAAATATGTAATAAATTTGTAATATCCTTAGAGAACAAAGAGAAAGAAGCTTATCTTACTATTGAGTTTATTTGGATTCAGCAATGAAAGTAAAGAGAATTGAAATCTCTGAGGGGGAGTACTTAGGAAAAAGTAAACAGAACATAACTAGCCTGACAAAATAGAGGAGAAAAGAGAAAACATTTACACAGTTACAGATGGCATCTTTTAATTAGGTGAAGTGGTAAGCCAGCCCAATGCATTCTCTGTCCTCCTCTGCTCTGTGCCCCAAGAGACTGGCCTCACTGGACTCTATTGCCAAGATCCCTTGCACTTTGGTTTGCAGTTGGATTTGGCTAGTGGAGGAAGGTCACATGGCCACTTGTTGTCACACCCCCTTGCCCTGGCACTGTCTTAAGAGCAGCCATGTTCCTCTATGGTCACAGAGTCTGGAGGGCTTTCTTCTTCTATGGTGGCTGCTCTTACCAAGCTCTGATAATATTATTTCCTGTCCCCTGCCTCTTTAGGCCTAGTGATAGTAGTGGCTTCTTGCCGCTGGTAGTTTTTGGGTTCCTCAACACCCGCCGTGGTTCCCTTAATCCTGGCCACACCTCTGTGAAGGATCCCACCACTAAAAATGTCCTTCAAAATCCCAGCTGAATGTGCTGTTTCTTTCCTGCCAGGATCCTCATTGACACACGAAGGAGCCAATTACGTTACTGAAAGATCCAGAAACTGCAATGAAATAACCTAATCTGGTTAATAGTTTTATTATGTAGAAAGTATTTGCTTTCTACATCTATCCACGTCTTAGAATTATACGACCTGCTTACTTTTGCTTTTTGTATTATTTGACAGCAAGTGCTCCTGTAACCTTCTTTCAAGACCTTTTGATTAGAGGAGATTATTTTCAGTTTTTTGCCAGAGTGGACTCTGAACCATTCTTTCCTTATTGGACTCTTGTCGAGCTGACACTTGCTGTACACATTCCACAAAGGCCTTGAACCTGGCCTCTGACCTCCTGAGATCCTTGGCAGTGGCTACTTTTGTTCCACCTGCACCTAACCATGCCATGTCGGGGGGATTTTATGCTTTGAAGTCTGGATTCAGCAACTCTAAGCTGGCTGTAGGAAATTAATTATATGGAAATAAAGTTGAAACCACAAAATCACCTGCTAACCAAAATTTGCTAAAATGAAATTTCCTTAAAACACCAGTGTTAATTCATTCCTCAGATGCATGCCAGGTGTGACAAATGAATCCTCTATGCTGTGGAGGTTGACAGATTCAGACTTTATGGAAAGAGGAACTATAGCCAATCCCAAACCTGGGTCCTTTCCAGAAAAGAAAGCTGTGCCTTCTGGCACAAGACCAAATTACCCAACCTGGGATCTGTTTGTAGGATTTTGTCTTATTAATTTTTATGGCATTTTGCCTAAAACA
Source organism: Homo sapiens (assembly GCF_000001405.40). Taxonomy (NCBI): domain Eukaryota; kingdom Metazoa; phylum Chordata; class Mammalia; order Primates; family Hominidae; genus Homo; species Homo sapiens. The sequence continues at coordinate 37,561,490 of NC_000002.12, forward strand.
AAGGGCACACACAAAAAATCTGTATTTGGTTGATGTTTCAGATGAATGGAAGTTTAAATTAATAGATTAAAATCCATCCTTAGAATTCTAACACCGTCAAGATGTGGCTGGTTAATAGGTAATTTAATGTAGCTAAAAGAATAAAACTTGTTTAAAAACAGGAGGCTCTATTTTCCAAAACAAATTTTGGTGGTCACTAGTGTTAGTTACGAATTTTATCTCTCTTCTTCAGGATTGCATTTCCTGCCTCTTTGAGATTAGGCATGGCCACATGGCTTGCTTTGGCCAATGAAACGTGAGAGAAAGTGTCAGGTGTCAGTCCTGGGTGAAAACTTTATGCATGAGTGTGCTATGAGTCACACTTTCTTTCTTTCTTTCTGATGTTATATCCAGAAAGGCTTGTGATAGTGGCTACTGCATTGGCCTGAATCCCTGAGTAAGGGCCAGGGAAGTAGAGTCCCTGTCAACCCGAGGTGATCATGTAGCATGAATGAGCAATATAGCTTTGTTGTTTGAGGCCAGTGAAATTCTGGGATTATTTTTCCCCCATGTAACTGAGCCCATGCAGGAGTGACAAGTTCCTGATAACCTCATGCTAAAACACAAAAAGAATAGTCTCACAAAAATACTACATGAGGAATACAGTAGTCCCCCCTCATCTCTGGGGGATACATTCCAAGACCCCCTGTGAATGCTTGAAACATGGATAGTACCCAACCCTGTATATGCTATGTTTTTTTCCTATACATACCTACCTATGATAAAGTTTAATTTATAAATTAGGCACAGAGATGAAAAACTAATAAAATACAACAATTATAACAGTATGCTACCATAATCACTCTTGTGCTTTGGGGCCATTATTGAGTAAAATAAGGGTTCCTCAAGACAAGCACTGCAGTACAGTGACAGTTGATCTGATAATCTAGATGGCTACAAAGTGACTAATGGGTGGGGAGGCAGACAGCACGGATCCCCTGAACAAAGGGATGATTCACATCCTTGGTGGGACGGAGCAGGAAGGCTGGAGATTTCATCAAGCTACTCACAGCAGCATGCCATTTAAAATTCATGAATTATTTATTTCTGGAATTTTCCGTTTAATATTTTTGGACCACAATTGACCTCAGGTAACTGAAACTATGGGTAAGGGGGCCTACTATATTATATTTGGGAGTTGCATTTCTGATCAAGGACTAAGCAGCAAATAAACCTAACAATCATACATATGACCTGTAGGTGTTATAGAGAAACAATTTTACTTTAGAGTAGATATATTTATAAAATAGAAATTCAACAGCTATAAAATTTCATTATAATTTAAAAGTCTTTTTTATTTTTTTGAGACAGAGTCTCACTTTGTAACCCAGGCTGGAGTGCAGTGGTACGATCTCAGCTCACTGCAACCTCCACCTCCCGGGTTCAAGTGATTCTCCTGCCTCAGCCTCCTGAGTACCTGGGATTACAGGCATGCGCCATCACAACCAGCTAACTTTTGTATTTTTAGTAGAGATGGGGTTTCACTATGTTGGCCGGGCTGTTCTCGAACTGCTGACCTCAAGTGATCCAGCCACCTCGGCCTCCCAAAGTGCTGGGATTACAGGTATGAGCCACCATGTCAGGACATAATTTAAAATAGTCTTATGCAATGCACACTGATTCTGTAAGAAACCCCAACTATGCTGTGTCATTAGTTTTACCTTCCATAAATAATAGAATTTTAGAAACTTGATTTTGTTGTTGTTGTTTCTTTTTGTTGTTTGCCTTCCTTTCCTGAGCTTTGAGGAGCTCTGGTGGAGAGCAGGGAATGGAGGTGGCAGGAGGGGAAATGAGTTGATGCCTTTTTTATCTTATGACAAATATTCCTGCTAGGTTCTAAAATCATTCAAACTACTCTCAAAATTGCATTTGTCTGTTTCAAGAAGTCATGGCATCCAAATAGTTGAAGACCTCTTTGAGTATTTTCATTCTGCACACTTGTAGGGCGGGGATTCTTGAGTTGGATTTGTCTGGTCCACTTTCTTAGCAGGTTTGTTTTCCTCTTTCTTCTTCCCATTAAACAACAGTGGGTTACATTTAAGGTAAAGAAATTGGATCACAGAGTGTCCGAGGGCTGTGGGAAGGAGGGAGATAGTGGCCTTTGCACGTCTGCTTTGAGGATAATTTTGTGTATTTTTCGAAAAACCGTTCCGTTTATTTTTTAGCACTAGGTGGTAAAGACTTAGTTCCCACAAGCCTCCCTGAGTTGGTTCCTAGTTCTGGCAGCAGTGGCCTCTCAGGAAGTTACTAGAAACTTCAAAACAGCCAAAAGAGAGTCCTGAGTGTTCTTCAGTGAAGTACTAGGTTTAATTTTCCATGGGTTGCCTATTTTAAAACTATGCAGACAAGATTAACTTGTGGATTTTTTCCAAAAGAAGCTGCAAAAAATTTCTGTCTCATGGAAGAATCATCCCTGAAAAGTTTCTTGCCTGGTAAGACATGGACCAGTTATTTTTTTTAAATAGATACCCAGATTCTCAAAATTTTTTTAAAAAATGAGTCCTAACATCTTACTGTTTACCTTATTAATTAGTAAGTTAAATAAAATATATGAGTATTCTTTTTATATTTGTCTGAGAGTCATGATTGCAGCAAAGGCAGGCAGGGAAACTGCATTGTCCATCTTCATGCTGGACCATGGCAGAAATTTAAAGCCAACAAAGCCAAATTAAAAGCTGAATTTAAAGCCAACATTGATATATAATTCACATACCATAAACTTTACCTGTCTTCAGTCTTTTAGGACTGGAAGTAGTTTTCAAATGATCGAAAAACATTCTAGGAAGAGAAAAACTAAGCTATTCGAGGGCAGTTTTGCTCAGTGTCTCAGGACGGTAACATCACCCCTAGGTTTCTGATGGTCGTTGGATTAAGGAAGGTGTTTGTGAATCTTTGTTTCCCATAAATGTCATCAGGGCTCTGCTTCACACAGGGGTTGTATCCAACCAGAGCATTCTGTTTTATTTGGTCTGAGTTTGCTGATGTTCTGTGACAACCAGCTCCGGATGTTTTATAAACAATTAACCTGACAGTTTGATGGATGAGGGTAACATTTGGGTATCATCTGCACTACAATGAAAGACAGATGATTATTTTTGACAGAAACGATCACCACTCACAATGTGGAAATGGTGAAGCCAGATCCCCGAGGCTCACACTGTCTATAGAATTAGGGCCAGATCAAAACCCACTTGAGAGTAGGCCCAATAGCCTGGGTGACGGACCCGATTTGGGCATTGGATGTGAGCTGCAAAGGCACACAATGTGTTTTAGAAAAGCCTATGTTTGCAGTTCCAAATGTGAGTGAAACAAAGAGAAAGAAAGGCAAGTCCAGCTCTGGCAACACTAAAATCAACAGGCCAGCATTGGCCCTGGGATTCATTTTAATTCACAACGTAGTTTTTAATGTTCTTTAAGTTTTGTGTCCTATTTTATTTCTTAATCAATTTTTAAAAATTGGCATATAATTCACATACCATAAACTTCATCTGTTAAAATGTACAATTCAGTGGTTTTTAGTATTTTCGTAGATATGTGCAACCATCACTCTCTTTCCAGAATATCCTTTCCATCACCCCAAAAGGAAAGCCTGTACTCATTAACAGTCATTTTCCCCCAAACCCTGGCAACATGAATCTACTTTCTATCTCTATGGGTTTGCCTATTCTGGAGTTTCATGTAAATGGAATTATCTAATATTGGTATTTTGTGTTTGGCTTAATTGACATAGAATAATGTTTTTGAGGTTCATCCATGTTGTCACGTGTATCAATATTTTATTCCTTTTTATGGCCAAATAATATTCCATCATATGGATAGACCCTATTTTGTTTATCCATTCATCAGCTGATGGACATTGGGCTTGTTTCTACTTTTTGGCTCTTATGAGTAATGCTGCTACAATTATTCATGCACAGGTTTTTGTGTGAGCATATGTTTTTCCATTCTCCTGGGTATATGCCTGGAAGAGAAATTGCAGTATAAATGGTAACTCTATGTTTAACTTTTGAAGGAACTATCCATTAGATTTTTAAATAAATCAGGTGAGTATCAGTGTGTCTTCTCATCTCTGTAAACAATCTGAATTCTTTGGGAAGAAGATGGTGATAGTAGAAAAATGTATAGACCAAGTGGTTTGTGGAATGCAGTGAGTGGGAACTGTCCCTGCAGGTGTCTGAGTCTATGACAGCAGCAGAGATACTGGTTTCTTTTTGGGAGGGAAGCATATCCATGTTGCAGCCAAGGAGCAGGCACATCTGCCACTAGCCAGTGGGGATGGGTGGGATGACTGATTTTTTCCTTTTTTTTTTTTTTTTTTGACGGAGTCTTGCTCTTTCAAACAGGCTAGGGTACAGTGGCACAATCTTGGCTCACTGCAACTTCCACCTCCCAGGTTCAAGCAATTCTCCTGCCTCAGCCTCCCAAGTAGCTGGGCTTACAGGCATGAGCCACCATGCCTGGTTAATTTTTGTATTTTTAGTAGAGATGGGTTTTACCATGTTGGCCAGGCTGGTCTCAAACCCTTGACCTCAGGTGATCTGCCCACCTTGGCCTCCCAAACTGCTAGGATTACAGGCGTGAGCCACTATGCCCAGTCAATATTCCCATTTTTTTAAATAAAACATCAGCCAATCCAGAGAAATACATTTTGTACCTACTATGTATGTTGCACACTGTGCGATTGCTCTGAAGGGTACTAAGAAGTATAACACAATGACCTTGGCTCTCTAGGACTGGATAGCTTAGTCCTGGGAACCAGATACACACGTCCTGCAAAAATGTCTTAACCAAATATCAAGTCGTATAGTATAGATTATAGGTTTTCTAGGGAACAGAGCATTCAGTGTGGGCTGTGAATATATGTGGGGGTCCCATATTCATAGTTTCCTCCAGGAAAGGGTAATGTGAAACTAAACTGGGTCTAATTGTACATATGTGATTCATCTTGGAATGGAAGAAGCATCTACTTTGCTTCCTTTTCCTCCCCCAGGCACTGTCTGTCCCCAAATTCATAAGACCAATGAACCCTGCTGGGACAACGATAGGATTTGTTTTGATCACATGGTAATTTTGAGCAAGAGGGCCTGGAAGACATATGGGCCTTGTTCCAATGTTCTATGAAGAGCAACGTGTCCCCTGGGCGAGTCACCCGACCTTCTAGACTCTGGCCATAGAAAAAAGTGGGCTTTTCTGGACACCAGATGCCTCCATGATTTGATTTCTTTTTGGTATATGACTCACATGGAATGATTTTAAAAATTGCTGTGGACCAAGTAGTGTTTCTGTCCTTTTCTGCAGCTGAATCTGGGCACATGAAGATGAAGCTGAATCAGTATTTTTTCTACACTTAATTCAATTCAGCACAGCAGGATCTGGATGAGGCAGGAAATGAGGAAGCAGAGGAACCCAGGGTGAATGTGAGAGACGAAAGTTCTGGTTCAGCTTAAAGTTAAACCAACACAAGGGTTAGATGGGGCATTGTGTAAATCAGCATTTTGTTTCTGAATCAGAGACAGAGACATTTTGGGTAACAGAGATAGGAGACATTTGAGCTGCTTAGGGGAGTTTTGTTCTAAGGTCATACTTGAATTTCTTAGAAATCAGAGTTCCTATCATTTTCCCAAAGAACACAGTGAGGATTTGGCCTCCTAGTCATTACTGATCAATTTAATACCATGTTAACAGTAGTATAGCAGTTTTGCAAAAAAAGGAGGAAAAATCCCAGAGTTCTTTGGATTTAATAACATATAGTAATTTAGAGCAGATACATTTAATACCAGTGTTCAAGGCTAGCTACATATGGCATGGAAAATATGTTTTAAGTTGGTCAAATCCAACACATTGGAAAATAAGTGAATCAGCTATAAATCTCTGAGAAAGGCAAAGCCATAGGGGTGGACCTCCAGTTTGTTGGAGGTTTCACATGGAGTGGCCCCCAAGTCACTAGAGTTTGAGGTTCCTTTTGCATGTCTGGAAAGGCCTTTGAAAATCAAGCATGAGAACTATTTTATGAGAGCTTACTATGTGAGCCAGGCACCATTTTGAGTATTTTCCATGTATTAATTCCTTTAATCCTCAAAACAATTCTATAAGCATGGTGGATGCAAGTTACTCTCAAATCATTCAGAAAAAAAATTTAAAAAACAGAGAGAGGGAAAGAAAGAGAAGGAGAAAGCAAGTGGGGAAAATGCTACACAGGAGGAATGTGAATAAAGAATAAATAGGGCTGGGTGCATTGGCTCGCACCTGCAATCCCAACACTTTGGGAAGGTGATGCGCAGGTGGGTCACTTGAGCCTGGAAGTTTGAGACTAGTCTGGACAAATGGTGAAAGCCCAACTCTACAAAAAATACAAAAATTAGCTGGATGTGGTGGCATGTGCCTGTGGTCCCAGCTACTCTGGATGCTGAGGTGGGAGGATTGCTTGAGCCCCAAATGTCGAGGCTTCAGTGAGCCAAGATCGTACCACCACTCTCCAACCTGGGCAACAGAGTGAGACCCTGTCTCCAAAAAAAAAATTAAAGAATAAAAATGAGGAAATAGGATTTCTTTGTACTAATCTAGCTCTAAGTTTGAAACTATATCAAAATAAACACTTAACAAAAGTACCCCTATGAAGAAGATGTTATTCTCATTTTAGAGATGAAAAAACTGAGGCACAGAGAAGTTAAGTAACTTGCTTTTGGCCCCCTGATACCAAGTGGTGGAGCTCGGATTCTAGATCATGGTTCAGGGAGGTTGATAGGGAAAGAAACACAGATATAGAAATACTATTAGTTGTTCAAGGGGTTATTTTGATCTTTGTTGACAACTTCATACTACAGACCGAATATTTGTGTCACCACCCCAACCCCAAATTTACAGATTAAAATTCTCACCCCCAATATGATGGTATTTGGAGCCCTTGGAGGTGATTAGGGCATGAAGGTGAAACCCTCTTGAATGGAATTAGAGAGCCCTCACTTCTTCCACCATGTGAGAACACAGTGAGATGACGGCCATCTGTGAACTAGGAAGAAGCCCCTCATCAGATGGCAAATCCTCTGGCATCCTGATCTTGGACTTCTCAGCCTCTAGAACTGTGAGAAATATATTTGTTGTTTATAGGTAACCCAATTTACAGTATGTTGTAAAAGAAGCTCTAACAGACAAAGTCACCCCGGAAGCATAATTTTGGTCTTGTCACCAAGCTTAGCATTTGGGTGCTTGGGCAAATCTAGTGGAGAGGCAGGCAGGCTACAGGAAGTGGAAACTATGAGAGCCAGGAGGTGCCTAAGATATCATCTGATTGATTGCTCTGCGAAGTGTGGTCCTTGCACTGCTGCTGGCCCAGACACTGTTACCTTTTTTTGGCCAGATAAGTACAGAAAGTATGGGTAAGCATTTAGAATTCTTATAGAAATTTGACATTGCTGCACCTTCCAAACATCATTCTTCTGGTAATTCATTTTTTTATTGTATTTCACAAAAACACAGTCTACAATAGATTGGGGTGGGGGGAAGAAAGGAAAAATGTGTTCCTTCATTACACATTTAGTTTGAGAAGCAGTGGTCTAGTCATATTCTATTTACAGGTGAGACAACCAAGGCTTGGAGAAGTATTCTGAGAGCTGTTTCAAGGTCTCATAATTATACAGTGGGAGAAGAGGATCTAGAACTGGGTCTTCTGCTTCTAGCTCTGGTGCCTAGCAATCTTTAAGGGATGCCATTCCTACTGAGCCATCACATTCTAGGCAGCCATAAGGGCAGCCTAGGATCCATCTCTCCTTTATCTGCAAGTTGCCCCTGGGTACCAAAATAGGAGCCAGAGCTCTGGCTAAAGACTGCCCATATCAGTCTTTGTTGGATTCAAGCTCTGGGGTTAGGGAGAGAGGACATCTCTCTGGGAACATTGCTGCTGACATCTCATTGTTCCCTGCCTTTACTGCTCACTTGCTAGTTATTACTTGGAAAAGATTGATCACTGGTGAGAAGAAATAGGAATTCAGGTTATTAGGAACGTTTCCCAAGGATATAGCACCTTTTTAATCCCACAGAAGTTCATAAATTTTCCAGCTGTGCCAGAGGCACATGGTTGCAGAGCGTGAAAGCCAACTGGCACTCTAAATGGAACAAGTGGAAAATTCTGCCTGTGAAAGCCAAAAGGAATTCTTCACCTTAATTAAGAAAAAGCTCTGCAATATTGAAAGTCTAGGTAGAAAAGACAAGACTTGGCATCTGACTTCTTTAAAATGAACTCTGCTTAATTAGGACTTAGTTAACATAAATTGGAAAAGATCAAGACCAAAGCCCATTGAATTGGGTCCAGTTTAGGAATTAAAACTGTACAGTTCAACTCCTGCCCTTGACAGCAGTTCTGCCTTCTTAGTTTTATAGGTAACAAACTTGATCCCCTTCCTAAGGGAATGTGCGTAAGCTATCTGCTTCTCTAGGGGAAATGAACTCTAGTGATTTTGAGAGATTACATTTAAAGGGCAATTTTCATTTACAGTTATCTGATTCAATACGTGTGGAGCTTTGCATCAACCAAGAACTTGTTTAGGGCCACTCTTGGTGTCCGGCTGCTTGCAAAAGTCAAATCAGTAAGCTATGTAGGACAAAATGTTACTCAGGTTGAATCACTTCATATTAATGAAATGTAAATAAAACCAGAGAAAGGGAAATTTTAGAAATCCAAATAAACACCCTTAATGTGATTTGTCTTCCCAAACAGTTCCCTGGATTCTCTTTTCTGTGTGGTCATGTCTCAAATGCCTTTTAGTGATAACCCTGAATACTCCACATTTCAACAAGATACAAACATTTCTCTCTTGTGTTCTTATTTGCTGTTTCTGTTAGAAACATGAAAACCACATCAACTAGATGGAAATCCTAGAGGAATTTAAGAAGAAAAGATCAATTGTTTGACAATAAACGTGGTAAATCCCATGTGATCAAATAAATGCTTATACATGAAAGCAAGAATATTGTACTTTGAACTCTTAACTATAAAGTTGGGCTAAAAATGATTGGGCAGACCTGTTGGTAGGGGAAGCTGTATTTCAACACAAAATCTAAAAAGTCTTAGATGATGAGGCAAAGATCAGTGGACATGTGAGAGCTGACATTTTCTACTACTGAGGTTGTTTTGTTCTTGGTTTAAGAAAATGGATCTGGGATAATCTAGTTTTTATGAACTCCTGCAAACGAAGCGGCTTTAGTTACGTTGCAGTTGTTGAAAAGGACTGACCCTTCCCTGTAGCTTTGATGTGCAGTGTGAATTTGGCAAAGGGAACTTAAGTTTGCCTTTCAGTGCTGAATGGCACCATTACCGAGGCTCATGTATCTGTCAGAAAAATCACTTCTCTCCTGGTAAAGCCCCTTCTGTCTCAGGATCATGTGAGATTCACCACACAACACTCACTAAACATGGTATCATTTTTACGTAATGAGGGAGTGAGAACTGGAACCTGATTTCATATTTTTTCCCACAGATTTTACTTTCTACTCTTGTCAGTCATATCTGCAAGGCTGACAGTTACCAGGGGCTGTGGCCAGGCATGAGGGAGAATGTGTCATTGCTGGCTGCGTTGGTCATAGCAACGTGTCTGCCTCAGAACAGATCCAGCATGGATGAGCAAACAGAAAAATGTGTAAGAAGGCTTGTGACTGAAACAGACCAAGGGTGAGTGCCGGGACTGTCCATCAGAAACTTTCAATGATCAGTAACAGGATATTCACACAGTCATTTTACTTTTCAATAACTTATCAAGTTGACAAGCAAATAATTAATAATGGTTTGTCACTGGTTGGCAACTTCTAAAAAAGTCTATGGCTGAGAAGGACACTCATTTCTCATAACCTCAGCCAGTACTGAATTACAATGCCAATCAGCAAATGTATCAAACGCCAGAACACTGTTAGCAGCAGCTGAGGCATCAGTATGAGTGAGACATATTTCTTATTCACAACAGAAACTCAGAGTCAGTGGAAGAAAAATATGTAAACACATTTTTCTAATGCAATAAGATGAGGGCTATAATAAATGTATGAAAAAAAGTGCTACAGGAACACAGATGGAGGGTTGATTGATTCTGCTTGGGAAAGTCTGAGAACGCATCACAGGGAAAGAGAATTTAGCTTCTTCGAAAGATGAGTAGAATTTATTAAAAAGGAGGTTATTTTAAGCAAAGAAGTGCATCATATGCGAAGGATGATGTCAAGGATGTGCTTGTCATTTTCAGGGTGTAAGCGTAGAGCAGTTTCATTGTCATTATCTCTGTGTGTTCAAGAGGTACATTCTCCCAATAAATCTAATTTTCAGGACTATTGTCTTCCTTTGGACTCAAAATCTAATTTGCAATGCAAATCTGAGCAGTGACTTCCTTGTTTCAACGGTCTCAGACTGCCCCTAGAAATGATGAATGCATGGGTCCCATAGGTGAATGCATTGGTCCACAGGCAGAGAGAATGGAGTTCCAAGTCAGTCAGGCCAAGGTTCAACACAAGGAGGTGGGAACTTCAGACTGGAAGCTGAAGCAGTTTCTATGGTCATTAGCGGCAGAGGCCAGCCCAGAAGACCAGGGAGACTTCACTCCAGTAGAGGCCAGAAGAAGATTCCCACTATCGGCTTCAGATTCCTCTTTTGTAAAATGAGCTAGTTTGACTAGATCTGTTGCTGGCAAACTTTGTTTCCTAGGCCCCAGGGTTCCATGAAGGTTCTTCTGTGGCTGGTGATGAGAAAGAGTAAGGCCAACTTGGGAAGGCTAAACCTCCTCCACCCCTTCACTTCACTAGAGTAGTCTGATTTCATTTGTTTTCATATTGGCAATCCACATAAGATAAGTTTGAAAATGGTATATTTTACAGTTCAGACAAAAAGGAAAACCTTGGAATAGAGAATTAAGTGCTGGTTCTCTGGGATTCCAAGCCTCCTTTACTTCCTCTGAAATCCCATAGTACTTGATTTATGCCTCTTTATAACACTCATTTTTACCCTGTGTTATTTTTTATGTTTCAAAGACGTGCACTTGTTTTTTCTCTTATGGATGTTTTTGCTCAATGAAGGCAAGTACATGGTGGCTAAACCTTCCCAGACACACTGGCCTTCTTCCTGTTCCTCAGATTCACTAAACTCATACTCTAGTGTCTTTGCATTTGTGATTTTTCTCTATCCAGAATATGTTTTCCCAGATCTCCATGAAATTTTCTCCTTCACCTATTTTAGGGATCTTCTCAAATGTGACCTTATCTGATGAAATTTCCTAAACACCTTACATATATATAAAATGTAATTCCTATTCTCCTTACACACTCTGTCACACACACACACACACACACACACACACACGTCTATTCTGTTTTAGTTTTTCCATAGCACTTAACATCACTTGACATATTTTATATTTCATTATTTGTTTCACGTCCGTCTCATCCACTAGAATGTAAATTCCAGGGGCCAGAGACCTTTCTGTGTTGGTCACTGATCTATCCTGGACACCTGGAACAGCGTCTGACATGGAGTTACCACCCAGTCACTGGAAGTATTTGAGACTCAGTTCCTGTCCAGCCAAGACCTCCTATTAGATAAAAATAAGATCCCTCTTGCAGTGACTGACAGTTCAGCCATGTTTTCTCATTGTCTATAACGTCCAAACCAGTGTGCCAACACAAACCACCTCCTCTAGTACAGTCTGAATAGAATTGTAAAGAGAGAGCATGGGATTTGGAGATGGAAGATTTGGATTTCAGTCTTAACCGTCATATACTAGTGGGGTGCTTTTAGGCAAGTGACTTAATCTCTCCAAGCTTTAATTTCCCCACCTGTAAAAATGAGGTAATAATTGACCTGTCATATAAGGTTGCTATGAGGATTATCACAAGTAAAATGTGTGAAAAGCGGTTTGCAATTTGCAAAAGACCACGTTAGATGTGGCTTCTGGAAAATGAAGCAGTAGAGAAACAGGACTCTAAGTTGCCCTTAAGCCAATACTAGTACTTCTGGCAACTACCTAATTCCTCTGGAAATGGGGATAAGGATACCCCTTTCTGTTTGAAGGTGGAGAAGTGAATCAGATGATCTAACTGAAATTCCTTCCAGCTTTATGATTCATGATTTTATGTTTGTGATGAAATCAGTAAGAAAATATTGAGCACAGAAAGTATTTTTACTGATACTACAAGGTTTTCAAATGAGTAGTCCCCCTAAACAGTCTCTTTTAGCCCTGTAGAATCATCTGTTACCATATGTAATGGAAAGGCAACTTTATTTCAAGATTTATGCTAATTTCTGTTTCCTCATATTTATACTATGTGCCTTAGCCCCATAGATTCAGAAAATAAATTATATATCTATGGAATGCATTTGGCACTTAGCTTAAATTGCCTTTCCCACTAAACTATTTTTTGTTTATTACCATTGATATAAAATGCTTGAACGCTCAGAAGGCAGTGTGTTCAGAGGCAATGAACACTTAAAAAGGAGTTAAGAATTTAAGTTCTTGTCATGGTTCTGTCACTAGCCAGTTAAGCAGCCTCAGGCAAGTTGCCATCTCTCTGGGCCTCAGTTTCCATATGCATGAGTATGTGTGTGTACATATTACATATATATTTATATATGCTGTATGTAATGGGGAGGGGAGAAGTCACATGAAGTACCAACTGCAGACTCAGGAAGAGAACTGCCTTTGCTTCAGAACACACCTTATATGGGCATGTTTGGTTATGAAAATGAGACCTACTGACCATAGCTTGACTGGGCTAGGACTGAAACAAAAAGGAATATGTTTCTCTACGTTATAGAAGAAAAAGATACTGATGAGGTGACCCGGGAAGAGAGAGATGCTGGAGAAGGGGCTATGAGCAGGAGGAGACAGGGGAGCAAGGCCCAGTAAAAAATAACCAGAGGCTGGGACTCGAATGAAGAAATAAATAGACACCGAGAAGCTCTGAGTGATGGGAAAGCTCTGAGTGAGGGGATAAAGCAAGTGGGGAAAATGCTACACAGGAGGAATGTGAATAAAGAATAAATAGGGCTGGGTGCATTGGCTCGCACCTGCAATCCCAACACTTTGGGAAGGTGACGTGCAAGTGGGTCATTTGAGCCTGGGAGTTTGAGACTAGTCTGGACAAATGGTGAAACACTGACTCTACAAAAAATACAAAAATTAGCTGGATGTGGTGGCAAGTGCCTGTGGTCCCAGCTACTCTGGATGCTGAGGCAGGGGAATTGCTTGAACCCGGGAGACAGACGTTGCAGTGAGCCGAGATCACGCCATTGCACTCCAGCCTAGTGACAGAGCAAGACTCCGTCCCAAAACAGGGACAACTGATGTCTGGTGAGGAGACATTTTCCTGATGGACTGGGAGCACATCCACTGGACTAATAGATGTATTTGTGCTGGATTTGTGTTCTCTTCCTAACACACTTTGTCTCCCTCTTCTAGGCCCTGCTCTCTGCTAGATTTTCTCTTTCCTTAGTGTCCTCATGGCTATGCTTGGGGTGCCAAGTCCTTGGCTCTCCAGTTGCAATTGCAGTTGCTTTTTTTTTTTTTTTGAGACGGAGTCTTGATCTGTTACTAGGCTGGAGTGCAGTGGTGCAATCTCGGCTCACGACACCCTCGCCTCCCGGGTTCAAGCGATTCTCCTGCCTCAGCCTCCCAAGTAGCTGGGATTACAGGTATGTGCCACCACGCCCAGCTAATTTTTGTATTTTTAGTAGAGACAGGGTTTCAACATGTTGGCCAGGATGGTCTTGATCTCCTGACCTCGTGATCCACCCACCTCGGCCTCCCAGTGGAAATTGCATTTTTAAGAACAACTCTTTTCAGAGGAGCAGTGGATGACGTTGGTGCTCCCAGTCAGACCTCCCAGGATCTTTTTTCTTTTTGAGGTGGAGTCTCCCTCTGTCACCTAGGCTGGTGTGCAGTGGCGCCATCTCAGCTCACTGCAACCTCTGCCTCCTAGGTTCGAGTGATTCTCCTGCCTCAGCCTCCTGAGTAGCTGGGATTACAGGCACGCGCCACCACTCCTGGATGAGTTTTGTATTTTTAGTAGAGGTGGAGTTTCACCATGTTGGTCAGGCTGGTCTCGAACTCCTGACCTCGTGATCCACCTGTCTCGGCCTCCCAAAGTGTTGGGATTACAGACATAAGCCACTGTGCCCGGGTGATCTTTTTTTCTTTACCATTTTCGTGTACACTCATATACCCCTTTGCTGTGCATTTGCTTCTAACTCACGGCTTCTGAAGCTCTTTCGAGAACTGCTTTCAGGTTGCCAGGGCCTGTGCAGAGAGCCCCTCCAGCCACAGCACCTGGGCATTTATTCTCTCCACCCCGCTTGTGGCCTTGATGAATGGCCTACAAGTGAGGTAGGTATGAAAGCCCAGTGCTCTTGCTTTTCTTGCCTCTGGTACAAATTGGAGGCATAACTTACACTCCAGAGGTCCCCTGCAGGATCAGGCCAAGACTACCCTCTGTAGGACTTGCCTGCAACAACACCCTTGTTTGGCTTCCTCCCCTTCCTGCTGTCCTCCCTGACTTAAATTTTTATTTTAGGTTTGGGGGTACATGTGAAAGTTTGTTACATAGATAAATGGGTGTCACAGGGGTTTGTTGTACATACTATTTCATCACTCAGATATTAAGCTCAGTACCCAATAGTTATCTTTTCTGCTCCTCTCCCTCCTCCCACCCTCCCCTCTCAGGTAGACTCCAGTTTCTGTTGTTTCCTTCTTTGTGTTCTTATCATTTAGCTCCTGCTTGTAAGTGAGAACATGCAGTATTTGGTTTTCTGTTCCTGTGTTAGTTTGCTAAGGATGACAGGTTCCAGCTCCATCCATATTCCCACAGAAGACATGATCTTGTTCTTTTTTATGGCTGCATAATATTCCATCGTGTATATGTACCACATTTTCTTTATCCAGTCTGTCATTGATTGGCATTTAGGTTGCTTCCATGTCTTTGCTAGTGTGAAGAGTGCTGCAGTGAACATTTCTGTGCATGTGTCTTTATGGTGGAATGCTTTATATTCTTCTGGGTGTATACTCAGTAATGAGATTCCTGGGTCGAATGGCAGTCCTGAGAAGCAGTCTTAATAAATCACTTGCTCACAAACCCTGAATCCACATCTCAGGTAGCCCAACCTAAAATCACCCTCTATCTCCTGAAGTGGAGGCTTTTAACTCTTTTTAGGTCATAGATACCTTTAAGTATCTGATAAAAGGTCTCAGCAGTTTTCCTCTTTTTTAAAAATAAGTACTGCTAGTCACAGTGGCTCATGCGTGTAATTCTAGCACTTTGGGAGGCTGAGGCAGGAGGATCACTTGAGCCCAGGAGTTTAAGGCTGCAGTGAGCTATGATTGTGCCACTTCACTCCAGCCTGGGCAACACAGTGAGACCCTGTCTCAAAAAACAGCAACAAAAAAGTGAACATGCCTGTAATTGGTTTGCATTTGTTCTACAGTCTTGGAAATATAGGACAAGCCTCATCCTTGATTTTTGCCAATTGTCTCTGACTCAGCCTTCCACCCACCAGGTGGTTGAGAAATCCAAGGAGGGCCTTTCTTATTCTTCCTCACTCTTCACTTGGGATCATACAGGAAACCTGGTCCAGAAATGCTGGGAAGGGCAGCAGGATTTCGTTCCATACTCTCGGGATTTTGTTCTTCATTCAGGGGTACTGCTGATGATGTGTGGTTCTGCTCAGGGATCTGTGCTCAGGCCCTCAGACTGCAGCACTAGCGTTCAGACTCTCCAGGTGCATAGCAGGAAGCACACACTCAACTTAGATGAGGACTTAATACCTCTGCTGTACTCTGTGTGAGCCCCACCACCAGATCTTACATGGACAGCACCTCTCGCCTCAGTCTCTACCCCAGATCTGTTTTCAGGAACCACCCTGTAGTAGCTTCATGAAGCTACCTCACCCCTACAAACCAGCCATATTCCCTTTGTCTTCCCTCTTCTAGGGCAATTCCATGTCTGCCCTCTGCCTCCAGCAAAGAAATGGATAGTGGTAGTCTCCTGGGCAGAACTGAGTCCAAAGAGCACTGAAAAGTGAAGAACGGCTATCTCTCTAGAAGGAGGAAGGGAAAAGTGCCCTTTTATTCCTCTACAGACAAAAACTAAATAAGGCAGACATTAATGACTCAATAAAATACCATCCCCATACAATATTGTATATGACCCTAGGAAGTTCAGTGTTCTCAGTACTCCAGGTTGTAAACACCTGATCTAAAGGAAAGGAAGTAAGAAAGAAAGCTGTCCCCTATCCTACCTGTACCAGCCAGTGACCAGGATGCTCAACTTTAGAAGTAAAATGTCTCTCCTTGATCTAGAATCTCTCTATCTTATGTCCGTGGCTTCCCCCTCATCCAATACCAAAGCTGTTTTAGTGAAAGAGAAAGTGAGGCAAGGCTACTAGACCCTTTGGTTTTACCAGGGTACCTAATTAACAAGCAAGGACGTGATGTTGGTACCATTTTTTACCATTGTCGGCATCATGTTGCAATTATGACAACACTTGTTGAATCTGTTAAAAACAATGCCATTCAGAGGCTTGTCTCATGAGTTGGTGATAGGCCTTGGGCAAAGTATTTTGGCCAGGTGATGCCAGTGGTAAACATTCCCAATAGTCAGATGGTGGCCAGAGACCATCAGCTTCTCATGAATAGGAAACATGTATTATTCATCTTTATATACCTAGCAAATAGCATAATACCTAATATTATTACTATTACATAGTAATACTAACATTATTAATAAGTAAGTGTTAGGTGGACCTAATTCATCTTAAGTGAATTTTATTTGCTGGTTAGCATGAAGGATTATGTTAAAAATCTTTATAAATATCTCCTTTTGGAATAGGAAGATATCTTTATATTTGCACTTGCTGTGTACTTCACCATCTTGAAGATAATAAGGTCACATCTCTTTAAATATTTAAATTAAAAGGACCCTGAGTCCTGTCCCACTATTGCACAAACATTGTTCATTACCAGAGTGTTTCCTCCTATAAAAGAACCCTAAACACTTAATCCAGCCACAAGGTGGTTGCTCCAATCTCATGCTTTTATTGGAGTGGGAACCCAGAAACTTCTCTTTGAGGCTAGAGGACTCAGTCTGGGGGACCACACATTTCAGAAGTATCCACCATGTGACTGTTGCTGCCACCATGGCTG
The DNA here is from genome assembly GCF_000001405.40 of Homo sapiens. Taxonomy (NCBI): domain Eukaryota; kingdom Metazoa; phylum Chordata; class Mammalia; order Primates; family Hominidae; genus Homo; species Homo sapiens. The sequence continues at coordinate 37,578,688 of NC_000002.12, forward strand.
GAGGCCTGTTATTGCGGTAGAAACCAGGCAGCTGCTGCCACAGCACAGTGTTCCCACCCGAGTTACTCTTCTTGCTCCTAAATCCTTGCCAGGATAAGAGCTTAGATGCACCCTCTTGGGCTGGAGGACCCCATAACCACCACTAGAAAATAGTTAACCCATGTCAAAATTGCCTCATGTGCTCACAATGGTGTAGCTATTTAAATTCACCCACGTCTTAGTCTGTTTGGGCTGCTACAACAGAATACCACAGACTGGGTAATTTATAAACAACAGAAATTTATTTATCACATTTCTGGAGGCTGGGATGTCCAAGATTAAGGTGCTGGCAGGTTCAGTGTCTGGTGAGGGTCCATTCCTCATAGATGGAGTCGTTTTGCTGGGTCTTCACATGGCAAAAGGGGAAAAGCTTCCTCAGTCCTCTTTATAAGGGCACTAATCCCATTCATTAGGACTCCACCCTCATGACCTGGTCACCTCCCAAAGGCCTGCCTTTTAATGCCAACACATTGGGAATTAGATTTCAACTCATGAATTTTAGAGGGACATAAACATTCAGCCCATGCAACCAATGTGCCCACTTCCCCACAGCTAAGTCCCTGTGCCAGGGAGCTGGGTCAGACGTGATGCAGCATTGTGCCTGGACTTAGCTGGGCCTCTGCATTGCTCATCTCCATGGGGCCCCATGCAGACAGAACACATGCTGACTGACACCTCTCTGGAATTTCCTGTGCCTGTCTTCACCTATCTAATTTTTTCATCTATTTCCAGTGCCAATGCCATACTCAAACTGCCAGTATTATACAATAAATAATGCTAAGATAGCACTTTGTTCTACGAAACTTTGATGTTTACATAGTGCTGACATATCTATCATCTTATTTGATCATCTCTTCCTCACACCGGCCTTCTGATGTATGGGGACCTGTGTTGATAGTCAACCCCATCTTATAAGGAGGAAAGTGAGAGTAGACCACATTAACTAACTTGTACAAGTCTTGTAAGTGGGAGGCCTGGATTTTGAACCTAAGTCTTTGTGATCGCTATATTCATTCAAGGAGTTTTAAAAGGTTTTGGTGTCAGAACCTTCCTTTAAGGTGAAATTGAAAGCATAATCCCATATATTGAACAGACAAATATGGAGCTGTTATCGTTGGAGAAGGAGTATGGGATCCCTGTATTCCCTAGCAACCCCATGTAATATGGTTTGGCTCTGTGTCCCCACCCAAATCTTATCTTGTAGCTCCCATAATTCCCACATATTGTGGGAGGGACCCAGTGGGAGAGAACTGAATCATGGGCGTGGGTCTTTCCTGTGCTGTCCTCATGATAGTGAATAAGTTTCACAAGATCTGATGGTTTAAAAAAAAATGGGAGTTTCCCTGCACAAGCTCTCTCTCTCTTTGTCTGCTGCCATCCACATAAGATGTGACTTGCTCCTCCTTGCCTTCCACCATGATTGTGAGGCCTCCCCAGCCATGTGGAACTGTAAGTCCAATAAACCTCTTTTTTGTGTGTGAATTTCCCAGTCTCCGGTAGGTCTTTATCAGCAGTGTGAAAATGGACTAGCCACATAGTTGCTAAAAGCCATTCCAAGTCCTTCCAAAAGTCTGTGATTCTTAACTAATTTCACGTGTGCAACTGATGTTGTATTTTATTACCTCAATTTTACAGAAAAGAAAACTGTGATTTGGAAGTGTTAAAATACCTTTGTTTACTTTCCCTCTTCATCTGCCTGGTTGATATTTGAAAACAAAACTCAGCCTTGGCATGACAGGAGGGAGGAAGGGAATGTGTTCCCATTTGGTTTGTAGATTTGTGACTGTTTTCATAATGTGAAGTTAGTTCACACTAGGCAGGTGAACCAAGTTTTCACACGTTGTCCTTTGCCTTTCTTATGCCTGTGATGTTGAGGTTTTAGTGGAAGTCACTCTTCAGCAAGTGGAAGAAATGCCTGCTATAAAACAGCTTTTATTCATTTGGTCACCAGAAAGGAAGAATACTTACTAATATTCCAGTGGAAACTTACAAAATATTAAATGATAACAGTGATGGCTGCAAAGAGAAATCTTGTTGGTCTCAGCATCACATTTATGATTATAGAGGATTCTTTAGGATTTTATAGAAAAAATATTTAAACTAAAGTCTATTTTTAAATATCTGATTCTAATTTTTATAAAATAGAAATTTGTTCATTGCTCATGCTCTTCAAACATTTGGACCATGTAAGAAAGTGGTTGTAATACTGGTCAAGTGTCCTGCCATCAGCTGAAGCACAATCAGAGATCAAGCCTGAATTCCTCCACGACCATGTCCATTTAATTGTGCTGTGACATCCACTTAAATAGTCACATCGATGGAAAACCTTTAACATCATGCAAGTGAAATGTTACCTTGAAGAAAATTCCTGACATTTGTTTCATTTGGTTTGCTAGTGTCATTTCTCTTGAAAGACTTACTCATTTACCCTACACCTTTTCAAAATGGATCAAGTGGTTCAAACAGTGAAAAACAAACTGTTAACAAAGACTGAAAAACTCAAACCCATGCAAATGAATCAGTAACACATATGTTAGCCAAGAGGGCAAAACCATTTATTGTAATTAAACATTTATTTTTGTCCCGGGATTTCTGGTATCCAGGGCAAAAATGGTGGCATAAGAGGTGACAAAATTCTTATCTACTTGTATAAAGCATGCCAGTTCTTCAGGAAGGACAGCCTTTTTTCTAGTAATAAATTTAAAAAGGAATCTATGGTATTGGTGTGACTCAGGCTGATACTGGTCCTCTAAACAAAATTTTAAAATCTTTAAATGAGATTAAATACATTTTAGAAGTTCATGTTTTCTGCGTTAATCAGAACAGACTGAGTCTTGCTGTGGTAACAGATCTTCAAATCTCAGTGGCTCAACCCAGGAAATTTTTATTTGTTGCTCACGTCATAGCGTGATGCTGGTAACATGAATTTCCTGGGTCACTGTCATTTAAATAGAAACTCGGGGATCTGTTCTCCTTCCACCTTGTAACTCTAATTCTGTCAACTGGTAATCCATCTTTTCCAGCATACAGATAAGGGAGAGAGAGGATGAGGGGGTGGGGAGGATTGCACGAGACACTTTAGAGACCAGGCCTGGAAGAGAGACATGTTATTTCTACCCACATACCATTGGCCAGAATGCAATCGCATCCCTCTAATATTGTCCACAAGGGCAATGGGAATATATGGTATTCCTCTGTTCCTGGAAGGAAGAAAGGGGATGAATGGGCATCTGGGCAACTTCTGCCGTGTCTAGTATTCACCTTAGAGCTTTCCCTCCTCTCATCTTTAACTCTGTTTCAAAACACTTTGGTCCCTGAGGGTTCCCTGGGACAAGGAATTATGTCCACCAATTATACAAATACAAAGTAAAATTATATTAGTATAATTTATAATGAAAAAATTTCTTTGTACCAGTCAACTGAATACTAAATATTGGGGCAATTTTTGAGCATGTTTCTATAAGTGATGAACCTTTATGAACTTAAAATGAGTCTATATATATATATATATATTCAATAAAATGAAATGACTGTTCTCTTCGTCATCATCTGGAGCAGCTCTGATTTTAATTGATTCTATATTGGAGGGCCCAGGTAAGATTCTTTCATGTAAGAATTCCTCTTCTGAAAAAAAGGTTTGAGAAGCGTCGGATTCAGATAGCATGCTCCCTTGGCTCAGGCGAAAGTACCCTCAAGGATCAGAACCATCTTCCACTAAAGCCGGGAGCTAGACAGGATATTTTCACAAAATCCAAAGAGAGAGCGTCATGGACCTCAGGGAGGAGCAAACCTATTACAGAAAAGGGAGCTTTTTCATCACATCTGTATTATTCTTCGTTTGAGCCCTGAGTCAGCACCAACTGAAGCTTCAGTTGACCTGAAACACTGTGCTCGGCGGAGTTTTGGAAAATTAATCAGCTTACATTCAAGAACACTTACATCCCTACACGTTCATTTTATAACGTTTCACACCCATACATTTGGCTTTGAGGTCTGCTTCATTCAGATACATATTGGAAAGCCCTGAATTCCTATCACAGCCAGGATTTTCTTCAGCTCCAGGGATTTGTTTGGTTTTGTGCCATTTTATCCCGAGTTTTATTCCTTCCATCTGATTCAAATGTTTTATTACCCACTCATCGTTGTTCTTAACGGGGGAAAAAAGAGAAAAGAAGCTGCAAAACTGCACCTCTCTTAAAACAGGAAAACGTTCTGGTTTGAATTTCCTGTCAGATTTTGGGCAGGTTAGTTGGCAACTGGTGATTTGGACACATTTCAGATTTCTGAGTACATTTCACAGAGAGCTTTATTGGCTCCCTCTGGACCCCCGTTAGAGAACAGCGAGATGCAGGGCTCAGCTTAATCACCATGCTTTCATTAGCCAGCTGCTCTGTGCACATCACCAAGTGCGTGATCTTCATCATCACACGCTTTTTACTCTATCTGCGAGCTTGGAAAAGGGACTCATCACCATCAGCATTTTACAGTTGCGGGGAAATGGAGCTTGTGAAGAAAGCCTGATTGTCAAATGCAGTCCCCGTGATGTCAGCTACTACCTTTCTGCTGTTGTCCTAAGAAGCTTTTTAAAGAGAAGATTTTTAGATATACAAAAAGGTTACAAAGATAGTGGAGAGAGTTTCTGTATACCCGACTCCCAGTTTACCGTGTTGTTAACATCTTACACCACTATGGTCCATTTTTCACTTTAATGAACCCATATTGACACATTATGATTATCTAAAGTTCATACTTTATCGGGAGTTCCTTAGTTGTGACTAATGTTCTTTTCTGTTCCAGGACATCTGATCCTGGGCCCCACATTACATTTAGTTCTGATATCTCCTTTCCTTAGTCTCTTCTGCCACTGTACTTTTGCTTTGGTGTGTGTGCGTGCACGTGTGTGTGTGTGTTTGTACTAGCTTGTGATGTAATATGCAGGTCTTGGCCTGCCAAATGGAAAGCCAGTGGTATACAGCAAATTATAGTTAACCACTCATTAAGTTGGTAGCCATAATTGAAAAGAGAATATTAAGGAATATGCTAAATATTAGAAGTATTTTGGATGCTAGTTTGTTACAATTAAAAAATGGAGAGGAGACAGTTATATTTACAGAAAACTAAACAGCAAATAGAAGATATCCTAGAGATGCAGAGAATTCAGGCCTAAATACCATTCATTCAGATCTATAGAGACCTATAGGGTTCCCAAAGCAAGCACTAATGTGTTTCTTCTAGTGATTGTTCATTTCTTTCAGGAATGCTGTTTGTCTTTTGTGACTCATAGCAGCCACTTTTACTGATTTTTTTTTTTTTTGGAATGTCAGATGTAGTGAGCTGCCTGGGCTAAAAAGAGTTTGGTACGCAGATTTGGGCTTCATTGGCTGTTTCCCATGGGAAAGTTAGTTGATTAGATTAAAGATGAAAGACTGTCCCAGTCAGCTGTTTAGGCCATACACAGATGGAAGGAATCGGGGAAGGCAGGGTGTACACATTTGCCATGATACTCAGCCCAGATAATTTAATATGAATTTCCCCCCTTTGTTGGTGAGGGGTTGGGAGTGATAAGGTCGAAGGCGTAAGAAATCTTAAAGTATTTGTTAGTGCCGATGGTGTAACCTCTAATTCAACAAAGTACTGCACATAGGGTGTCCTTGTAGGCTTTGGGAAAATTTTAGAAGAGAAGGAAAGAGAGAGAGAGAGAGAAGAAAGAAGCAAAAAGAGAAGAGAGAGTGAGGGGAGAGAGAAAGAGAGAGAAAGAGAAAGGATTAAATGTTTCTGGCATGCTGAGAATGAAATCCCTATGGGGTAGACAGAATTTGACTGAGATAAGCCATCTTTTATGTTTCAAGCAAAAGTGAACAGAGTCCATACACTAAGCAGGTGTCAGTAGAAAGGAATTAGGTCTGTGTTTTAATTTTAAAAATTAATTTCCTCACCTTAGAATCCAACGGTGGAAGGAATTTTCAAACACTTTACATCTTTCTGCTTGCTTCCAAGCAGGCAACTCAGTCACACCCAGCTGTTCCTTTTTACTCACTGTCTTCTTGATTTCCTAGGTCTTTTTCATTTTTGCAATTAAAATGACACGATCACTTGGATAGATTAGTTGAAAAAATTAAAACAGGACAATGGCCATTCTAAATTGTACAATTGCTTGATTAAACATTGATTGAATAGTTTGTGGCTTATTCAGTTCATTCATATTTATTCTCCCTGACTTTCTTCCCTGCCAACTTTTGACTATCTTACTGATTTATGAAAGTAGAGAGGGAAAAAGAAGAAAACAGGTGAAATCATTCTGCTATTTGCTAAGTGATCTGGTAACTTTGGGGTAGGCAATGGTATTGAAAAGGTAGAATGATACATTTGTATTCATTCTTTCTCAAAATCATGAGAAGATTATTTCTAATTTGGGGATATCTGCCACCTCCTCCCCCAAGTGATAATAAACACACACACACACACACACACACACACACACACAAACAAACACACACACACACACACACACTCCTCAAATCTTCAGGTGGAACAGACTTGGCCCTACTATCTCAGCACCTCTTTGGCTTTTCATATTTACTTTCAGTTTATAAAGACACATGTGCTGTTTCCAATCTGCTTAGGGTTGGTGTTTCTGTTGGGAAAGTAAATGGCAAAAGGACCACATGACTGCCAAGGGTAAACACTGCTGAAGGCCACAGCTGCTGCTTAAGGGGGAAGGCGTGGGCTGGCTGGAAAGTTAAGGCAACATGAGGAGGAGAGGTTAGAGATGGGGTGAGAGAAGAAAGACCTGCCCCTCTCCACCTGCCTCTGCTCATTTCCTTCAGGAAACAGACACCAAGATGGAATTAGGAATGCAAAACGTTGACTAGGGGGTGATGCCTGTGAAGGATAAAGGGAGAGGGAGCAGGAACAGGTGGGACAAGTCTCAGACCATGATGCAAGTCTCACATCTGTAAAGGGAGAGCAGGAAGGAAGAAGAATCGGGCAGGTAGAGTTTCAGCCTGCAGGGCAGCTCTGAGAAAGTCTTGGCTAGGCTGATAGGGACATCCGAAGCAACAGTTTCCCAGTAGGGCAGGCATGCCCAGCCCTAGCAGACTCCTACCTCTGTCCCCTCTCCCCATGCTCAATCATTGGCTAGGAGCAGCTCTGGAGAAGCGTGGCCCTGGTATGGATGCTGTAATGGATCCCACAGCTGTGACAGCTGTAGGGTGGCAGATAACTACACTTCTCACTAAATATTATCTTTTTAAAAGTTGTTTATAGTTTTAAATTTATTGTTTATGTTTAAGGTGTACAACATGATATTTTGATATGCATATACACACTGAAATGATCACTACAGTCGAGCAGATTCTCTCTTAAAGGGAGATCTGAGCAGCACCTCCTCATGGATGCCACACCCATGAGTCTTATTATAATAGTAACGACACTTACAAAAGGCAAGAGAGGGCAGCATGCCTGGTCACATTGCTACCATTTACCCTCACATCGTATTGATCACAAGAGCCACAAAACTGAGTTATAGTTTCCTTTTAGCTCTTAAAATCCTAAGGCACCTTGCAAAAGTTAGCCTGACCCAGTTTAGTTTCTTCTAGCTGTCACATGTGGTCCAAAAACCATCTAGAACGATTTGCAGCATGCTGACTCAACTTGTCGGAGCCGGAAGCCCCTTGGCAGACACGAGAACTATCTCATCTCTCAGATCTGTGTGGAAAGGGAAATTGATTCACTGTTTTCATTCCTTTTTCTTTTTCTGAGGTTGCTTCTAAGTGCTGGAGGGTGTTGGCTTTTCTATGACTCAGAAGTATAAATCTTTTCCTAAGGTGAAAGATTAATTTTCAGAATGGAGGAAAAAATCCTTCCTAGTTTTATACTTTAAGTATGAGAATTGGTTACACAGGGGCAGTTGATCCAGAATGTTACGTTGAAGGGGGGAGATAGGAGCATGACTGAACTATAAACCAAAAGGGGGTTTCTAAACACCTCTCCGCAGGTAAATTCAGCTTTGGAAAGAGCTTTTCAAAATCATGAGGCTATGATAGTTCAATTTAGCCTATCATAAAAATCATCTGCTTATTTACTTTGACCAACACATTCATATCCCCTCCTTGTTTTCTGCCTCTCTGAGTCCAGAGAATGAAATTATCTTCATGTGAGTAATAAATTGGAGACTGACAAGTCAAAGACACAAAGGGACATGAAATTCCACCTGTGGATTAACAATTGGCCTCTCCCAGAGTTTAAACTTTTCCAGATGCAAATTCCAGAGTGGGATGAGATATTCCACAGTCGACATTTGGGACAATAGCACTTGTAGACACTCAGGGAATAAACATTATGTAGTTGATGCAGTCAGGTCTATTTCATTTCAGTAAGGAAGGTGGCCAAGCTTCCATGGTGAAGGGTGGTGAAAGTGGGTGTTGTGAAGATTGAAAACTATTCAGTTTTGCTGAAGACAGATTCTGTGTTTTAGATTTCCTGCTGTCTCACTAAGCTTTCCTGAGCTTCCTGGGGTCGGGGGCAGGGCAGAAAGCCTGTCAATAGAAAAGGAGACAGGACTTGTTAAGTTTATTTCAAACCCATTGCTTCACTTCTCATAAGCTATTTTCTACCCCTATTTTTTAAGATCAAGGTACAGTCATGCAGGGAATTTGTTCCAAGGCTCCAGAAGATCCCAAAATCCTGGGATGCTTAAGTCCCTGGTAGAAAATGGCATAATATTTGCATACAACCTATGTACATCCTCCCACATATTTAAAATCATCTCTAGATTACTAATAATACCTAATACCATGTAAATGCTATGTAAATGGTTGTTGTAGTATATTGTTTTTGATTTGTGTTATTTTTTATTTTCCTCTCCTCCCCACACATATTTCTATGAACAGTTGATTGAATCGGCAGATGGGGAACCACTGATATTGAGGGCCTTGGGTATATGGTCCTATCCTTTGTTCGTCACTGATTCATTCTTTTGGTTTTGTTTTGTTTTTTTGAGACAGAATCTTGCTGTGTTACCCAGGCTGGAGTAGAGTGGTGCAATCATAGCTCATTACCGCCTTGACCTCCTGGGCTCAAGTGATGGCATCCACCTCAGCCTCCTGAGTAGCTAGGACTATAGCTACCACACCTGGCTAATTAAAAAAAATTTTTTTTTTGTAGAGATGGGGGTCTTGCTATGTTGCCCAGACTAGTAAAAAACTCCTGGCCTTGAGCGATCCTCCTGCCTCAGTCTCCCACAATGCTAGGATTACACGTGTGAGTCACAGTGTCTGACCTGATTTCATTCTTAGTGATTGCATGGTGGATATCATGGCTTACAGTGGTTTTCATTTTTTTTTTTTAAGTAGTGGAGCTCTTGCTTCATAGAAATATAAAAGATAGAAAAGTGAGGATGGAGAGTCTGACTCTCTGTCTTGCCAGTTTCTGCTTTAGGCATCTCCACAGACACCCAAGACTTTATGGGACATAGCTTGAAAGTTACTCTTAAAGTGAAAAAAGGTGTTGAATGTGAGTTTAGGCCTAGAACATAGAGTCTAGTTCTAGTTCTATTATTATTTAGTTTTTGTAACCTTGTGTACATAACAATAGCAATAACGGTAGTAATAGAGTACCCTGTAAATGCTTATGGTTATAAGAAAGGTTGTTATAATTAGTAACTAGATATGGGGTCACAGAACTGGTTTGGTGACTCACCAGCTAAGTGAGCCTGAGCAAGTCATTTATAAGGGAGTTACTTTTTAAATTGTGACATGAGAAGGTTGGACTTGCTTCCCTCCAATCCGTTCTCCACTCTCTATCCAGAGTGATCTTTCTGAAATGTGAATCCGATCCATGTCCCTCCTTTGCATCCACCTGTTCGTTGGCTCCGCATGATGTCTAGGATAAAGCCTCCCTCTTTAGCATGACATATGGTTGTCCTTGCTCACCTTTCTTGAGTGGCATTTTCTTTACTCTTTCCCTGCCCCCACCATACACACCGTATGCTTGGATGCATACTCACTGAATAATGTGAAGCTGCTGTATGTGTTATGCTCTCTCTCACCTCTACATCTTTGCTCATGCTGTTCCTTATAACTGGAACAGACTTTTTCCTACCTGTCTTCTTTTCGCCTATCAGTTTCTTTCTCATCCAAACTGGATGTCACCCTCCAGAATGCTTTCTTTGATCCCCCCAAACTGACTTAAATGCTTCCTGTATGTTTCCCTTTAGCCTGTATGTTGTGTTGCATTAATAATTCCTGTCCTGTTCGGGTTTGCCCCAGTTGGCTGTAAGAAACTAGAAACTGTGCTTTAGTCATTGTCATATCCTGAGGCCTTAACACAAGCCCCCCTATAATGGATTCAAATATTTGTTAAATGAATTAAAGATTATTTGATTCTTCTCTGAATCTCAGCTTCCTCATTCCTTATATGAAACTAATATGTATCTCCCAGATTGTGATGAGGATTACAGGCACAAGATACGAGAAAAAGCTTGCTGACAGAAATCACTATACCTGTATAAGATAGGAGGGGAGGGCTTGCCTTACTTTTTGGTCTGTAGTTTCCTCTATACAAGTGTTTGGTGAACTGTGACCTACAGGCCAAATCTAGACCACCTCCTGTTTTTGTACCACCCATGAGTTAAGAATGGCTTTTAGATTTTTAGGTAGTTGGATACAATCAAATGTACAAATGCAGATTGTATGAAATTCAAATTTCAGTGGCCATAGATTTAGTGAGTAAGGATTAGTCATGCTCATTTTTTCGGTTATGGCTACTTTCGTATTACAGTGGCAGAGCTGAGTACCTGTGACAGGCTTTCTTACTCTAAACCAAAACTTCTTCTCTCCCCTCACTGTCCAACCCCTGCTTTGGGCCTTGGTTCTGCTTTGATTTCTAAGCCTTAGGAACACTTGATAATTTCTCACGCACCTAGAAAGAACCAGTAACTTCTTATTTATGCTAAAACAACCATATGGGTATATACACAGAACGTAGGATACTTCTCCAAAGATATTTTGTATTTGGGCACGTATAATATGATGAATTTAGGAACAAAATTACTGGGTTCTCCTGCAAACTATCTCATTACGCAGGTTATTTGTTAAAGGAAGGGCTCCTTATGGTTTTCTCTGATGAATATTTGAGTGTGAAATTTGTTCAGATGGGTATGAATTTTTTCTCTGCATAAGGCTTTTTATTTCTTTTTTAAAAAATAATTAATGGAAAGAAGCTAAAAGCAAAAGCCGTTCTCATTTTAAAAATGAGGTGTTGAAAGCATTAACATTAGAATAGATTCAGTTACAGAGTTGGAAGTGAAGAAAGAGAGAAAGAGAGAGAGGGAGTGAGAGAGAGAGAGAAGCTAAGAAGTGTAATGGTCATCTAATGAGAAGATGGGCCAGCTAGAAATACTGTTAGGAAGCTGTGCGGAGAATAGCTCAGGGGTCAGCATAGCTCTGTAAGGGAGAGGCCCAAGGACATTTTTGTGGTAGTTTAATTGCTTCCTGCAGAATCCCTGTAACTGTTTGGCATCTGAACTTCTCCTGTTCTGTCTTCGCTGTCTGTGTGGTATAGCTGGGATTGTACGTGAAAGAAAACTTAATACACCCTATCTACACAGAGGAACATGGTGTCCCATCTCCCAGAAAAGAACCCAATGACCACTTGGACCCTAAGCTGCATTCCTGAGCTTCTCTGAGGATATAGTAAACAAGTTGTCAGGATCCAGAGATTCATGAAGAGAAGCTTCAACATTGTGAAATACTGTTGACATCTTGGTTGCTCTATTTGGCACCAAATCACACTATGAGAGAGAACAATGATTTTGACAATGTTATAGACTGGTCTAACCACAAAACCCACCAACTCCTCTCCTCTCCGCCTTCTAAAATTGCTCCAACAAGATATAAAACCCTAACAAATGCAGTATTCTAAAATGATGGAAAACCAAATATTAAGGTCAGAGGGGATGGTATAAAGCACATATGTGAGCTTTCCGTCTGACCAAGTTCATAACACAGGTTCTGTGTATAAATTCACAATTTGAACTGATAAACTGAAGTTATGCTACTCTGAGTTGGTTTTGGAAAAATTACATATACTTACATGTATCTGCTACAAAGTATTTAATTTTTTAACTCCTTAATTTGAGGGTTTCTCTTTGATTTTGAGGGTATGCTTAACCCACCTTGAATATTTCTAGTATTCCCCCACCTTTTTTTTTCCTTTTTGCAATGCTTTTAAAAATAAGTTTACATTATATCAACTAGAAACATGTGCTTCAATTTCATCTGCCTTGGTACTTCTCCTTACGTAGAACATAGTAAATTTTTGGTGCCAATAAACATTTTCCTTTTAGGGAAAGGGACTAGATTTGTGGTGCAGAATCCCATTAACCTATATTGAAACCAAGTATCTGGGAAATGCTTCTTATGTACTGTATCTGTTCACTGGAAGAATGTCTTTGTTTTATGTGTCCAGTTACAATTTAGTTCATAATAAAATGATATTTTTCCAGATATCAGCTTGCCAGAACCCATTGTTTTCTTTTTGCTAATGTAAACTAAGTAGATGTAGTTGACTGATTATTAACCAGCAGTTTTCAGATGTTGCTTCTTTTCCCTCCTAAATGAATCCCTATCTAAACGAGAAATGGGCAACAATTTTTCTATTGAAACCCAGAAAACCATAGAGGAAATATCAAATAAGAACACCCCCCTCTGAAAAATCAAGACAATAAAGAAAAAACTAGAAACTAGTTTATTAATGCATTTTTAATGTAAACACACAGAAATATACAAAAAAATAGCAAGCATCCATATTTTCAGTTCCCAGTATTAAATATTTACCTTGATATATTCTTATGCTTAAAAAAAAATACTAGGCTGGGTGCAGTAGCTTACTTCTGTAATCCCAGTGCTTTGGAAGGCTGAAGCAGGAGGATTGCTTGAAGGCCAGGGGTTCTAGACCAGCCTAGGCAGCATAGCAAGACCCCATATCTGCAAAATAATCTATTATTTTTGTGGAAACATGTGCTTATTATAACAAATTCAAAAGACAAAAAAAATTGCTCTGAATCCTACTGCTTAGAAAAAATTCACTGTTACCATGAGAGGAACATGATTTTACAGTCCATCTTTTTATGCATACATACTGTTTGACTCCTCCAAACCTCAAGTTGAAATTTGGTCCCTGGTGTTGGAGGTGATGCTTAATGGGAGGTCTTTGGGTCTTGGGGACAGATCCCTCATAAATAGATTAGTGCCCTTCCTGGGAGAGAGTGAGAGAGTTCTCACTCTGTTAGTTCCTACAAGAGCTGGTTGTTAAAAAAAGCCTGGCTCCTCCCCCCATGCTCTCTTGCTTCCTCCCTCACCATGTCATCTCTGCAAAATTACAATGATTCCCCTTCATCTTCCATCATGAGTGGAAGCAGCCTGAGGCCTTTACTAGAAGCAGATGCTGATGCCATTCTTCTTGTATAGTTTGTAGAACCCTGAGCTAAATAAACCTCTGTTCTTTAAAAATTACCCAGTGTCTTTATATATATATATATATAAAGAAATATATATATATATTCCTTTATAGCAACACAAAACATTCTAACATATAACACACACACACACACAGGATAATTAGAAACACTTTTATTAAGACGGAGACTTATTACAGAAGACACTTTAATGCAAAAAGTTTAATTTTACTTAAATTTAATAGAAGAAACTGAGAGAACTGTTGAGCTCTAAATAAATATTTCCTTAGAATAGACAAGATTGGCCAGATGCAGTGGCTCACGCCTGTAATCCCAGCACTTTGGGAGGCCGAAGCAGGTGGATCAGGAGGTCAGGAGGTCGAGACCAATCTGGCCAACATGGTAAAACCCCATCTCTACTAAAAATACAAAAAAATTAGCCGGGGGTGGTGGCACGAGCCTGTAGTCCCAGCTACTTGGGAGGCTGATGCAGGAGAATCGCTTGAACCTGGGAGGCAGAGGTTGCCGTGAGCCTAGATCATGTCACTGCACTCCAGCCTGGGTGACAGAGCAAGACTCGGTCTCAAAGGAAAAAAAAAAAAAAAAAAAAAAGAAAAGATCTATTATTTCTTGAAAGTTTTCTTTCAGATTAAAAAAGAACTTTAAAAAACAATAATAATTCTTCAGCTACACATTTCAATCTTAGCATTCTCAAACTTTCTCCCACTGCTTCCCAAATTTTGTTAATATTTTTATATTGTCTAAAAATGTAACTTTTATGTGGTTTTCTGTAACCAAAATTCTCTTAGTTTGATTAGTTCAGTATTTGGCTCAATACATAAATGGATTGAATGCCTATCAGCTTTTTAAAACTTGGATGATTTTATTAATGTTCTCTCTATTTTGATTCATATTTTAATATTTTTCCCTAAGAGACGTTTATGAATGTTGTATTTCCTACATTCTGTCATGTTTGAGAAAGTCTGCCTATTGTTCTCCTCTAGTCAAATGGCATTCTGGCTGGGTACGATGTCCTTGGATCACACCTTCTTTGCTTCAGAACATTGTGAGCATTACTCGCTTGTCTTTGGCATTTACTGTCATTATGAGGAAGCCTGATTTTTTTCCCAGTGTACATGATTTTCTTTTCTGGCTTATCACTTGAAGAATTATTTCTTTATCTTTGAATTTTAATAATGTTAACTTAGCTATGCTCAGAGTAGAGTGTTCTGTATCAAACTTTTCTGGAAACTACAGGAAAAAACAGCTGCATATGCAGGTGTTATTTTTTGTTTATTTATTTTTTGATTTTGCTCTGTCATCAGGCTGGAGTGCAGTGGCGCGATCTTGGTCCACTGAAACCTCCGCCTCCTGGGTTCAAGCAATTCTCCAGCTGCAGCCTCCTGAGTAGCTGGGACTACAGGCGCACGCCACCACTCCCAGCTAATTTTTGTATTTTTAGTAGAGATGGGGTTTCATCATGTTGGCCAGGATGGTCTCGATCTCTTGACCTCATGATCTGCCTGCCTTGGCCTCCCAAAGTGCTGGGATTACAGGTGTAAGCCACCGCGCCTGGCCTTAAGTGTTATTTTTAACTCTTTGCTTCAGGAAAGGTCTCTTGCACTATGTGTTTCTCTTTATTTCTGTTTATTTGTTGGGTTTGTTACCTTGAAGACACCAATTGTCCTTGTTTTAGATCACATTTTTCTCTCTACCATATCTATTACATCATTCCTAAATGCTTTGATCTCTTTTTAAATGTTATTCACCATGATTAGTTCAAGTCTTCCTGCTATGTCGGTAATTGTATTTACAGCAATAGCAACTGTGTTTCATATTGTTTCTAAAATATTAATTACTTTTATATGAGGTTGTTTGGGACCCCAATTGCTTCCTTGGGTGTGCAATCACTTTTTACATCTTGGTAGGTTGTTGTTATCATCAGGCCTTTGTGTCTTTGTTTTTTTTTTTGTTTTGTTTTGTTTGCTTTTGATATTTTAATTCTTTTTAAAAAAATACTTTAAGTTCTAGGGTATGTTTGATACATAGGTATCCAACGTGCAGGTTTGATACATAGGTATTCATGTGCCATGTTGGTTTGCTGCACCCATCAACTTGTTATTTACATTAGGTATTTCTCCTAATGCTATCCCTCCCCCAGCCCCCTACCCCCAACAGGTCCCAGTGTGCGATGTTCCCCACCCTGTGTCCAAGTGTTCTCATTGTTCAGTTCCCACCTAAGAGTGAGAACATGTGGTGTTTGGTTTTCTGTCTTTGTGATAGTTTGCTGAGAATGATGGTTTCCAGCTTCATCTATGTCCCTGCAAAAGACATGAACTCATCCTTTTTTATGGTTGCATAGTATTCCATGGTGTATATGTGCCATATTTTCTTAATCCAGTCTATCATTGCTGGATATTTGGATTGGTTCCAAGTCTTTGCTATTGTGAAATAGTGCCACAATAAACATACATGTGCATGTGTCTTTATAGTAGTATGATTTACAATCCTCTGGGTATATACCCAGTCATGGGATTGCTAGGCCAAATGATATTTCTAGTTCTAGATATTGAGGAATCGCCACACTATCTTCCAGAATGGTTGAACTAATTTATACTCCCACCAACAGTGTAAAAGCATTCCTATTTCTCCATATCCTCTCCAGCATCTGTTGTTTGCTGATTTTTTAATGATCGCCATTCTAACTGGCGTGAGATGGTATCTCATTGTGGTTTTGATTTGCATTTCTCTGATGACCACTGATGATGAGCATTTTTTCATGTGTCTGTTGGCTGCATAGATATCTTCTTTTGAGAAGCGTTTGTTCATATCCTTTGCCCACTTTTTGTTAGGGTTGTTTTTTTCTTGTAAATTTGTTTGAGTTCACTGTAGATTATGGATATTAGCCCTTTGTCAGATGGGTAGATTGTAAAAATTTTCTCCCATTCTGTAGGTTGCCTGTTCACTCTGATAGTAGTTTCTTTTGCTATGCAGAAGCTTTTTAGTCTAATTAGATCCCATTTGTCAATTTTGGCTTTTGTTGCCATTGCTTTTGGTGTTTTAGTCATGAAGTCCTTGCCCATGCCTATGTCCTAAATGTATCTCCTAGGTTTTCTTCTAGGGTGGTTTTAGGTCTAACATTTAAGTCTTTAATCCATCTTGAATTAATTCTAGTATAAGGTGTAAGGAAGGGATCCAGTTTCAGCTTTCTACATATGGCTAGCCAGTTTTCCCAGCACCATTTGTTAAATAGGGAACCCTTTCCCCATTGCTTGTTTTTGTCAAAGATCATCTGTAGATGTGTGGTGTTATTTCTGAGGGCTCTGTTCTGTTCCATTGGTCTACATATCTGTTTTGGTAGCAGTACCATGCTGTTTTGGTTACTGTAACCTTGTAGTATAGTTTGAAGTCAGGTAGCATGATGTCTCCAGCTTTGTTCTATTGGCTTGGGATTGTCTTGGCAATGCAGGCTCTTTTTTGGTTTTACATGAACTTTAAAGTAGTTTTTTCCAATTCTGTGAAGAAAGTCATTGGTAGCTTGATGGGGATGACATTGAATCTATAAATTACCTTGGGCAGTATGGCCATTTTCACTATATTGATTCTTCCTATCCATGAGCATGGAATGTTCTTTCATTTGTTTGTGTCCTCTTTTATTTCATTGAGCGGTGGTTTGTAGTTCTTGAAGAGGTCCTTCACATCCCTTATAAGTTGGATTCCTAGGTATTTTATTCTCTTTGTAGCAATTGTGAATGAGAGTTCACTCATGATTTGGCTCTCTGCTTGTCTGTTATTGGTGTATAGGAATGCTTGTGATTTTTGCACATTGATTTTGTATCCTGAGACTTTGCTGAAGTTGCTTATCAGCTTAAGGAGATTTTGGGCTGAGATGATGGGGTTTTTAAAATATACAATCATGTCATCTGCAAACAGGGGCAATTTGACTTCCTCTTTTCCTAATTGAATACCCTTTATTTCTTTCTCTTGCCTGATTGCCGTGGCCAGAACTTCCAACACTATGTTGAGTAGGAGTGGTGAGAGAGGGCATCCTTGTCTTGTGCCAGTTTTCAGAGGGAATGCTTCCAGTTTTTGCCCATTCAGTATAATATTGGCTGGGGGTTTGTCATAAATAGCTCTTATTATTTTGAGAAATGTTCCATCAATACCTAGTTTACTGAGAGTTTTTAGCATGAAGATCTGTTGAATTTTGTTGAAGGCCTTTTCTGCATCTATTGAGATAATCATATGGTTTTTGTCATTGGTTCTGTTTATGTGATGGATTACGTTTATTGATTTGCGTATGTTGAACCAGCCTTGCATCCCAGGGATGAAGCCGACTTCATCGTGGTGGATAAGCTTTTTGATCTGCTGCTGAATTTGGTTTGCCAGTATTTTATGGAGGATTTTTGCATTGATGTTCATCAGGGATATTGGTCTAAAATTCTCTTTTTTTGTTGTGTCTCTGCCAGGCTTTGGTATCAGGATGATGCTGGCCTCATAAAATGAGTTAGGGAGGATTCCCTCTTTTTCTGTTGATTGGAATAATTTCAGAAGGAATGGTACCAACTCTTCTTTGTACCTCTGGTAGAATTCAGCTCTGAATCCATCTGGTCGTGGACTTTTTTTGATTGGTAGGCTATAATTATTGCCTCAATTTCAGAGCCTATTATTGGTCTATTCAGAGATTCAACTTCTTCCTGGTTTAGTCTTGGGAGGGTGTATGTGTCCAGGAATTTATCCATTTCTTCTAAATTTTCTAGTTTATTTGCATAGAGGTGATTATAGTATTCTCTGATGGTAGTTTGTATTTCTGTGGGATCGGTGGTGATATCCCTTTTATCATTTTTTATTACATCTATTTGATTCTTCTGTCTTTTATTCTTTATTATTCTTCCTAGAAGTCTATTAATTTTGTTGACCTTTTCAAAAAACCAGCTCCTGGATTCATTGAATTTTTGAAGGGTTTTTTGTGTCTCTATCTGTTTCAGTTCTGCTCTGATCTTAGTTATTTCTTGCCTTCTGGTAGCTTTTGAATTTGTTTGCTTTTGCTTCTCTAGTTCTTTTAATTGTGATGTTAGGGTGTGGATTTTAGATCTTTCCTGCTTTCTCTTGTGGGCATTTAGTGTATAAATTTCCCTCTACACATTGCTTTAAATATGTCCCAGATTCTGGTATGTTGTATTTTTGTTCTCATTGGTTTCAGAGAACATCTTTATTTCTGCCTTCATTTCGTTATTTACCCAGTAGTCATTCAGGAGCAGGTTGTTCAGTTTCCATGTAGTTGTGCAGTTTTGAGTGAGTTTCTTAATTCTGAGTTCTAATTTGATTGCAGTGTGGTCTGAGAGACAGTTTGTTGTGATTTCTGTTCTTTTACATTTGCTGAGGAGTCTTTTACTTCCAATTATGTGGTCAATTTTAGAATAAGTGTGATGTGGTGCTGAGAAGAATGTATATTCTGTTGATTTGGGGTGGAGAGTTCTGTAGATATCTATTAAGTCTGCTTGGTGTAGAGCTGAGTTCAGTTCCTGGATATCCTTTTTAACCTTCGGCCTCATTGATCTGTCTAATATTGACAGTGGGGTGTTGAAGTCTCCCATTATTATTGTGTGGGAGTCTAAGTCTCTTTGTAGGTCTTTAAGGACTTGCTTTATGAATCTGGGTGCTCCTGTATTGGGTGCATATATATTTAGGATAGTTAGTTCTTCTTGTGGAATTGATCCGTTTACCATTATGTAATGGCCTTCTTTGTCTCTTTTGATCTTTGTTGGTTTAAAGTCTGTTTTATCAGAGACTAGGATTGCAACCCCTGCTTTTTTTCTTTGCTTTCCATTTGCTTGGTAGATCTTCCTCCATCCCTTTATTTTGAGCCTATATGCATCTCTGCACATGAGATGGGTCTCCTGAATACAGCATACTGATGTGTCTTGACTCTTTATCCAATTTGCCAGTCTGTGTCTTTAACTGGGGCATTTATCCCATTTACATTTAAGGTTAATATTGTTATGTGTGAATTTGATCCTGTCATTATGATGTTTGCTGGTTATTTTGCCCATTAATTGATGCAGTTTCTTTATAGCATTGATGGTCTTTACAATTTGGCATGTTTTTGCAGTGGCTGGTACCGGTTGTTCCTTTCCATGTTTAGTGCTTCCTTCAGGAGCTCTTGTAAGGCAAGCCTGGTGGTGACAAAATCTCTCAGCATTTGCTTGTCTGTAAAGGATTTTATTTCTCCTTCACTTATGAAGCTTAGTTTGGCTGGATATGAAATTCTGGGTTGAAAAGTCTTTTCTTTAAGAAGGTTGAATATTGGCCTCCACTCTATTTTGGCTTGTAGGGTTTCTGCTGAGAGGTCTGCTGTTAGTCTGATGGGCTCCCTTTGTAGGTAACCCGACCTTTCTCTCTGTCTGCCCTTAACATTTTTTCCTTCATTTCAACTTTGGTGAATCTGACAATTATGTGTCTTGGGGTTGCTCTTCTCGAGGAGTATCTTTGTGGCGTTCTCTGTATTTCCTGAATTTGAATGTTGGCCTGCCTTTCTAGGTTGGGGAAGTTCTCCTGTTTAATATCCCGCAGAGAGTTTTCCAACTTGGTTCCATTCTCCCCATCACTTTCAGGTACACCAATCAAACGTAGATTTGGTCTTTTCACATAGTCCCATATTTCTTGGAGGCTTTGTTCATTTCTTTTTACTCTTTTTTCTCTAACCTTGTCTTCTCACTTCATTTCATTAATTTGATCTTCAGTCACAGATACCCTTTCTTCCACTTGATCGAATCGGCTTTTGAAGCTTGTGCATGCATCACAAAGTTCTCGTGCCATGGTTTTCAGCTCCATCAGGTCATTTAAGGTCTTCTCTACACTGTTTATTTTAGTTAGCAATTCGTTAACCTTTTTTCAGGTTTTTAGCTTCCTTGCGATGGATTCGAACCTGCTCCTTTAGCTCAGAGAAGTTTGTTATTACCGACCTTCTGAGGCCTACTTAGGTGAACTCGTCAAAGTCATTCTCCATCCAGCTTTGTTCCATTGCTGGAAAGGAGCTGCGATCCTTTGCAGGAGAAGAGGCACTCTAGGTTTTAGAATTTTCAGCTTTTCTGCTCTGGTTTCTCTCCATCTTTGTGGTTTTATCTACCTTTGGTCTTTGATGTTGGGGACCTACAGATCAGGTTTTGGTGTGGATGTCCTTTTTGTTGATGTTGATGCTATACCTTTCTGTTTGTTAGTTTTCCTTCTAACAGTCAGGTCCCTCAGCTGCAGGTCTGTTGGAATTTGCTAGAGGTCCACTCCAGACCCTGTTTGCCTGGGTATCACCAGTGGAGGCTGCAGAACAGCAAATATTGCAGAACAGAAAATATTGCTGGCCTGATCCTTCCTCTGGAAGCTTCATCCCAGAGGGGCACCCGCCTATATGAGGTATCTCTTGGCCCCTACTGGGAAGTGTCTCCCAGTTAGGCTACACGGGAGTCAGGGACCCACTTGAGGAGGCAGTTTGTCCATTCTCAGAGCTCAAACACCATCCTGGGAGAACCATCGCAGTCTTCAGAGCTGTCAGACTCGGGCATTTAAGTCTGTAGAAGTTGTCTGCTGCCTTTTGTTCAGCTATGCCCTGACCACAGAGGTGGAGTCTATAGAGGTGTTAGGCCTTGCTGAGATGCGGTGGGCTCCACCCAGTTTGAGCTTCCTGGCTGCTTTGTTTACCTACTCAAGCCTCAGCAATCGCAGACGTCCCTTCCCCAGCCAGGCTGCCACCTCGCAGTTCAATCTCAGACTGCTGTGCTAGCAGTGGGGAAGGCTCCGTGGGCATGGAAACTGCCGAGCCAGGCACAGTAGAGAATCACCTTGTCTGCCGGTTGCTAAGACCTTTGGAAAAGTGCAGTATTTGGGTGAGAGTGTCCTATTTTTCCAGGTACAGTCTGTCACGTCTTCCCTTGGCTAGGAAAGGGAAATCCCCCGACCCCTTACACTTTCCGGGTGAGGCAACGCCCCACTCTGCTTCAGCTCACCCTCCATGGGCTGCACTCACCTTCCAACCAGTCTCAATGAGATGAACCAGGTACCTCAGTTGGAAATGCAGAAATCACCCGTCTTCTGCGTCAATCACGCTGAGAACTGCAGACCAGAGCTGTTCCTATTTGGCCATCTTGGAACCGGTCTGAGTCTGTTTTAGCCAGATCAAGTACTTGGTAAGTTATTCTACAGTGTGAAGCAGTTTTCCTTTGGGTACTTGGTGTTTCATTATTATTTAGTTCTTTGTCCTTCCTTTTCTCTCTTTCTTCCTTATCACATAAAATGTATATAATTGCCTGCCATATCAATACTTCTTTTTTTAAAGTTTGGGTGGTTCTGTCTAGGCATTCTATTTGCTCTGATGTACAGAGGGTTATTTCTTGATTTTTTAAAACATTATATATGACAATTTTGTTTGCTCCTCAGAGCTATAGGTTGGTGCCTGAGTATCCTTGTGTTCTACTCATTCTTTTACACACCAAGAGAATAGTAACAGAAGGAGAAAGCTCAGCTGTGTTAGGTTATTTCCACTCTTTGTTAAAGAATTGAGCCCTGCTCATTTTCTGGAACTTTGTTGATGGTCCTGTGTCAAGACCTACTTGAGGGATATTTTCCTTTCTTGTGGAAATGTAGCCTTGGCTCCTTAGACCATAGAGCTGTGGAGCTTTCTTTTCTGTAGGGTCAGTCCCTATTTCATTCTCTTTTCCCCACCAGTATCTTCTCCCCCAGTTCCTCATTTGGAAGGAAAAAGATAATGACTCAGTTAATTTCTTTTGAGGTTTCAGTTCATCAATTCAGAAGTACAACTTCCGGGGGTTTGGGCACAAGTAAAAGCAAGGCTGTGCACCCTCTCTGTTTCATTTCACAGTCTTCAGTATCTTTCCTTATTTTCCAGTTTTTGGAGTTTATGCATTAAGCATCCCCCCTTTTCCTGTTTTGTGGCTGCTAGTGACTTCTCCTCTAGCTTTTAGGTTTTATAATTTTTAAAAATTCCCCTCTCTTCCATGTTGTTAGATACTGGAAAGGGAAATACTGTGACTCGGTTTTAATCTGCAATCTTAAAGTGAAGGCAGGATATGCCAAAAATTATATTCAAGAAATACAACAGATAATTTAGTTGTAAATTCCATATCATAACCAGTTAAAAGGGAGGGAGTTGGAACGAGAAATATGATGAGAATTTGAGAGACTATAATAAAAAAATCAAGAGAATAAAAGAATAACAGAGAAGAGAGTGAAATAATTTAAAAAGAGGAAAATTCAGTTGGTTCTGATGATGCTTTGGTTGGTAGTATCATCTTTTTAGACTGAGGGCATTGGTGTTGGTAATGCATTATCACTGTGCTTTGAAAATCTGGTAGGCTTTTCAACTTTTGAAAAACGATCCTTCCTGTTCTGGGAAATAATTTGGTTGTTTTTATTCTAAAACTTTAAAGTTTATGTTTGAAATAAAGTCTTATTTTTCTATGTAACCTTGAAATCTTTACAGATGTTTGAAGCAGTGACTTGGATTTTAAAATTTATTTTGTAATCTGAGATTCATTGACCGATGTGCCAACTATTCTGAAAGTTCCTGCTCTCCTGTATCACAGACTGTAGCATTAGAGAGTACTAAGAAAGCAGTGAACAGCTAAACATTGGGAGGGAGGAAATGGTTAGGGTGGTAATGGAATCAGAATCAGGGAGAGAAGTGGGATCAGATACTGGGTGCAGGGAAAAGGTGGGGTTGGGGACCCAAATGGCTTGAAAACATCTACTAAGGGATTTTATGGAAACTGCACAAAGAAGAAAGTCAAGTGTCTAGGTAAAAGTCAGCAGCCAGTAGAGCCACAGAGAACAAGAAAAATGTGGACTGAAAATCCGTGCGTATTAAGAAGGAGTGAAACCTGAGATGGCTTGTTTTCTGTCAACTTTATTCTATCTTAACTATGGGAAGTATCAGCTGTGAGATAGAAAACTTGCAATAATAAGATATGATACTTCTGGCTGTGTGGATAGAGACAGAGAAACAGAGAGGGAAAGAGAGAGAAGGAGAATGCACATCTTATTCCTTTGATGTCACCAAACTGTCTGACATATTTCCCTTCTCTGACATGGTAGGTGTGTCTCAAGATTACATTCATTTTGAATCAGCATTTATGAATATTTGATTTTTAAAATTTTCTTTTTGAATTTAGTGTTTGAGATTGAATTTAAAGCTATATTGAGGTAAAACTTCCAAACAACCAATAAACTTTACTCATTTAAAAAATGCAATTTGATGAGTTTTGGCAAATGTGTATTCCTGTGAAACCAACACAATCAAGATACCATATGTTGCCATCAAGACATGGAACATTTCTACCTGCTTTGTAACTTATTTCTTTTTCTACATCCTTCTCAATGTATTTTTTAACTACTCCTAATATTGTGGTAACAAGATATGCCTGGGATTTGAAAAAAATGGAAAAACATGTTTGGCAATTTAAACATATTAATCACAGTTGTTTTCACGTTTGTGCCTGATAATTTTAATATCTGAATTAGTTTTGTCTTTTTCCCTCTGGTTTTTCAGACAGTAGTCTGATATTATGGTTTGTTTTGTAAATTTTGATTGAGTCCAGACATTATATGTGAGAAAATTAAAGTGACAAGTTGAAAGTGGAGGCTCACAATAAGGTTTCCTTCCTCCAGTGAGGGTTTAGAACAGAAAGTGATCAGCTTAATCCAGTTTGGCACCATTCTGATTTGAAGCAAGGTTTTGGTATTACTAAGGGCCAGTCTATTTCTAGTTTCACCTTTATTCCTAAGGTGAAGCCCTTCAGAGGTCTTTTCTGAAAGCTGGGTTTATTGATTTATCCAGGATCTTCCATCCTGGTGAGCTCTGAAGTTCTATTATTTGTCTCCCATTCTTTTGAAGTTCTGAAAGTGCTATTTATCTTCTCAATGTCTCTACCAATGCTTATGAAATGACAAATGCCTTGGGTGAAAAGTATCACTGATTGTCTGATTCACCTCAATATTCTTCTCTTCTTTTTAAAATCTTGGCCCTTCAAGTCCTGGCTGCCTTGGTAGCTCTCTGATTACTTCAAATACACACACACACACACACACACACACACACACACACACACACACTTGAACTGTTTTCTCTTTTTGTATTTTCTTAATATGTGCTTCATTATTTCATTATCAATCCAGTTATCCAAACTAGGAATCTGGGTATCATCTTTCATTCCTCCTTCATTGTCTGTATACAAGTAATCACCAAATTCTATTTTACCATCTAAATATTTCTCTAATCTCTCCCCTCCCCTATATCTCTACTACTAGGTTACTATTTCAATTTGGAACTCAAAATTTACTTTCTTTGAGAAACAATGTTCTAAACAATTGGTAAATTCTCAGGCAAGTCTACAAAAGTCATTACCTATTTGAAATGCTGTCACCGCATGAGCCATAAACTCTCCCAACTCCAAGTTCTGAGGGCTCTTGATCTCTGAGTCTCATATCTTTTCTAAGTCTAGAATTCTAAGATCCAGCCCAAATGTAAATACCATGAGCCAGTTGGATGAATGAATAAAGGGAAAGAAAGGGATAAGAACTTAATGTAAACACCGGTAATATGAAGGAAAATCTGGCTGAGGAAGCGCAAAATAAAGCATGAGTACTCTAGCTTTCAGAAAGGGTTCTTGGCTAGGGTTGTCAGATAAAATACATGTAACATTTGGGACATACTTATAATAAAAATTATTCATTATTTATATAAAATGCAAATTTAACTGGGCATTCTTAATTCTGTTTGCTAGATCTGTCAATCCTATACTAAGCTGAAAAAGCAGGATTAAGACCCTAAAGTGTGTAGAGAGTATATAGATAAGAACATAGATATAGATAGATAGTTGGCAAGTGAAAAATTTTTTTAATGCAGGAGCTTTATAGACTAACATGGTGCACAGATATGACCAAAACTGAGTCTTCAGTTGCCACATTGTAATTTTGAATGTATGGGGGCATCTTGGCATTTCTAAGAAATAATGCTGCAGGTGACATCAGCAAGATGGTAGAATGGGCATAGTCAATGGATGAGTAGTCAACCTTCATCCCTCCCACAGAAACACTAATTTTGCCAATCACCCACAGGTGAGAGAACCTTTGTGGGAGCGCAGAAGTCCAGCAGAGAGACCCTAGCACTTTATTTGGACCAAAAAATAAATAATAAATAAATAAATAAATAAATCCAAAACTAGATGCATTAAAGAAGGTAAGAACAGTTTTACTTTACCTGTGTCACCCCTCCCCCAGTGTGGCACAGATCAGTGCCAAGAGAGACCGCTTCAGCCCAGTTTCTTCCACAGGGGAAAATGAGAACAGTGAGTGCCTAATTTCCTCAGCTGTAGGATGCTGTAGAAGAGACCCACTTCTGCCTCACCCATTTGAGAACCCTGAGGGAATCAGTATGGCTGAATAATCTGGGGGTAGCTAGGAGCAGGGAAAAGGGGCAGCACTCACAGCAACCTGAGTATGGAATTCAGCAAAGAGCCACAGTTTCTATTAACTACCTCCCAAATTCCATCAAGAGGGCCAGCCACAAACTACATAGGATGCATAATCTGCAGATCCCCTGACTAGCCCATGTGTGCTTCCAACCTTCTGCATGCCCTTCCCCCATGTAGCTGGCACCCTGAATGCACCCCCATGGATAGCATGTACAAGCTTCTGCAGATTGTGCATGAGAACATGAAGATAACTAACTTGATTCAGGATTGGAAGGAAGTGACTAATCTTGAATTTTTCAAGGCACTTCCTAGGGAAGATAAACAGGAGGCTTACATTGCACCTGGCCTGACTTTTGCAAGATCAAGAGAAGGAATATGCTGTAATTTGAATGAAAATTTAACATTTAAAATTTATGTTGAAGCTGAATACTCAATGCAATAGTACTAAGAAGTCTAACCTTTGGGAGGTGATTAAGTCATGATGACTCTTCTCACTTGAATGGGATGAGCACTCATAAAAGATGTCAAGGTTTATGGGAGTTCTCTTTTGCCCTTCCATCCCTTCTGCCAGGTTAGACTTCTCCTATGGAGAATGCAGCAAGAAAATACCATCTTGAAGCAGAGAGCAGCGCTCATCAGGCATCAGTCCTTCTGGAGCCTTGATCTTGGACCTCCCAGCTCCAAAATAATAAGTAATAAATTGTTATTGCTTATAAATTACACAGTCTCAGGTATTTTGTTACAGCACCACAGAATAAGACAACATATTAATATAATCTTGACACTTGTCTACCCCACTCAAGAGGGAACAAGGGAAGTGGAGCATATGCATCTGTAGAAAAGTTCTGAGAGACCACCAGAATCCCTATTTAAGCTGACTAATGAAAGTCTTTCTCTTTTGAAAATAGTCAGTAAAGATTGGAAGAGGTAACTCCTTTTTCAAATGCGAAGATAGTAGTGAAAGACTTCAAAGAATGCAAAAAATCAAGGACACATGACTTCACTAAAGGAACACGATAATATATCAGTAACCATCCCAAAGAAATGGAGATCTATAAATTGCCTGATGAAGGATTCAAAATAATTGTTCTAAGGAACCCCAGCAAACTACAAGAGAAAACAGACAACTCAGTGAACTCAGAAAAAATACATGAACAAAATTAGAAGTTCAATAAAGTGATAGAAATTATAAAAAAGATACAAGCAGAAATTCTGGAACTGAATAATATAATTAAATGAAAAATTCAATAGAGAGCTTCAGACGCAGACTTAAGCAGAAGAAAAAATCTCTGAGCACAGACAGATTAGATAAAATTATCCAGTTAAAGGAGAAAAAATAACAATAAAGAGTGAAGCCGATTAGATTTATCGGACTTCATCAAATAAATGAATTAATATATACATTATGAAAGAGAGATAGAAAAAGGGGACAAAAGCTTACTTAAAGAAAAAATGGCTGAAAACTTCCCAAATCTTGAGAGGGATATGAACATCTTGGTTCATGAAGCTCAAAAATCCACAGACAGGAAAACCCAAAGAAGATTATAATGAGACACATCACATTATAACAAAATTATCAAAAGTCAAAGCCAGAATTTTGAAAGCAGCAAGAGAGAAGCAGATTGCAACATTCAAGGGAACCTCCACAAGGCTATGAGTAGATATCTCAGCAGAAACCCTGCAGGGCAGGAGAGAGTAGGATGAAATATTCAAAATGCTAAAGGTGGAAAAAAAAAAAACCCCTGCCAATCAAGAATACTATACCTGGCAAACCTGTCCTTCAGAACTGAAGGAGAGATAGACTTTCCCAGGCAAACAAAAGCTGGGCTTCCTCAGCTTTGCTACTACACTCGCCTTACAAGAAATGCGAAAAGGAGTTAAGTTTAAAGAAAAGGATGCTAATTAGTAACACAAAAACATAAAAGTGTTCATATGTTTACTCACTGGTTAAAGTAAGTTGATAGTCAAATTTAGAATGCTGTAAGATTGCAATGGTGGTATATAAATCACTTTTCTAGTACAAAAGAAGACAAAGTATTAAAAATTCAGTTGACCTATTGTCCGAAGAAATTGCTCTATAAAGAGGAAGTGCCTCCTTATATTCAAACAAAATAAAACAAAAGCTTAGACAACCATTCAGAAATATAGTCTGATAGAACAGAAAGTCTTAGACAGGGAGGCCTGGTTCTGTCTTTTTCCCCTGCTAGATACTGTTTTCCTATATTGGATGAGTTCTTTAACTTTCCTTGTCTGTTTTCCCATGCATAAAAGAAAGGAAAAGATTCAGAAGATGGGTGCATTCTGGGGTCTTGTTAAAATGCAGGCTCTGACTCAGAAGGTCTAGGGTGGGTCCCAGATTCTACATTGCCAATAAACTCCCAGGTGATGCTGGTCCATACTTAGGTTAATACTACTACATATTCATCCCATTCCTAAAGGAGATTGATCATACACAAATCATGGCATCAATAATCCTGGCTGATAAAAAATTCGGGACAAAGAAAAGTTGTATTCATTCAATAAAGGCAATATTACAAAATGCAGTTGACCTTTGGAGAATGCAGAGGTTAAGGGCACTAACTCTTCCCCCATGTTGTCAAAAATTTGCATATAATTTTTGACTCCCCCAAAACTTAACTACTAATAGCCTACTGTTGACTGAAAGCTTTACTGATAAACAATTGATTAACACATATTTTATATTTTATGTGTATTATATACTGCATTCTTACAATAAAGTAAGCTAGAAAAAAGAAAATGTTAATAAAAAAATCATAAGAAAGAGAAACTATATTTACTATTCATTAAGTAAAAGTGTGTCAGCATAAATGTCTTTTCATCCTTGTTGTCTTCATGTTGAGTAGCCTAAGGAGGAGGAGGAAGAAGAGAGGTTGGTCTTGGTGTCTTAGAGGTGGGAGAGGAGAAAGAGGTGGAAGAGGCAGGCACACTTGGTGTTACTTTTATTGAAAAAAAATCCTCATTTAAGTAGACCTATGCAGTCCAAATTTGTGTTGTTCAAGGGGCAATTTTAACTATATAGCTATAATAGGTTAACAGATACACAATATAAAAAGATGGAAATTTTGACATCACTAACATAAAATAGGTGGGGTGGAGAAGTAAAAGTGTAGAGCTTTTGAATGCATTTGGAGTTTAAATTATCAGCTTAAAATAGACTTAAAACTATAAGATGTTCTATGTAAGTTTCATGGTGACCGCCCCGCCTCCCCACACACACACAGGCTCTAATATATACACAAAAGACAGAGAAAAAGGAATTAAAGCATACCTCTACAAAATATAATCAAAACAAAAAGAAAGCAAGAGAAGAAATAATTGAAGGAAAACAAAGAAATAATTAACTAAATGGCATTAGTAAGTCTTGTCTATCAATAATTATTTTAAGTGTAAACAAATTAAATTCTCCAGTCAAAAGACATAGAGTGGCTACATAGATTTTTTTTTTTTTAAAATCCAAGAATATGCTACCTACAAGCAACTCACTTTAGCCTTAAGAACACATATAGGCTGAAAATGAAGGAATGAAAAAGGTATTTCATGCAAAAGACAGCAGGGATGACTGTACTTATATTAGTCAAAGTAGACTTAAATCATAACTGTCGCAAGAGACAAAGGTTATTATTTAATATATAGTGATCAAAAGGTCAAGTTATAAAGAGACTATAACAATTGTAAATATATATGCACCCAACATCAGAGCATGTTCTAAGTATATAAAGCAACATTAACAGAACTGAAAGGTGAGGTAGACAGCAATGTAATAACAGCGATTTCAATACTCCGTTTTCAACAACTTCCAACACTTATCAAGACTGAATCATTAAGAAATAGAAATAGAAATAGAAAATCTGAACAGGCCAATAATGAGCAAGGATATTGAATCAGTAATTTAAAAAAAGTCTCCCAACAAAGGAAAGCACAGGACCAGATGGTTTCACAGATGAATTCTACCAAACATTTAAAGAAGAATTAAAACTAAGCCTTCTCAAACTCTTCACAAAATTGAAGAGGAGGAAACACTTCCAAACTCATTTTATAAGGCCAGCATTACTCTGATTCCAAAGCC
Source organism: Homo sapiens (assembly GCF_000001405.40). NCBI lineage: Eukaryota > Metazoa > Chordata > Mammalia > Primates > Hominidae > Homo > Homo sapiens. Next base: position 37,608,752 of record NC_000002.12, read on the forward strand.
AGAAAAGGATGCTACAAGAGAAGAAAATTACAGGCCAATATCCCTGACAAACATAGATTCAAAAAGTCTCAACAAAATATGAGCAAACCAATTCAGCAGCATATTAAAAAAGCATACATACCATGATCAAGTGAGATTTATTCCTGGAATGCAAGGTTGGTCCAACATACAAAAATCAATCAATGTAATATAACACATTAACAGAATGAAGAATAAAAATCATATGATCATCTCAATAAATGCAGAAAAAGCATTTGACAAAATTCAACATCCTTTCATGATAAAAACCCAACAAATTAGGTATAGAAGTAATGTACTTCAGCATAATAAAGGCCACATATGACAAGCCCACAGCTAAAATAATATGGATTAAAATCAATACGGATTAAAGACTTAAATATAAGACCTGAAACCATGAAACTATTAGAAGAAAATATAGGACCAAAGCTTCTTGACATTGGTCTGGGCAATAATTTTTTTTATATGACCCCAAATGCACAGGCAACAAAAGCAAAAATAGACAAGTGGGATTGCATCAAACTAAAAAGCTTCTGCGCAGCAAAGGAAACAATCAACAGAGTGAAGAGACAATCAATCTATGCAATGGTAGAAAACATTTGCAAACCACATATCTGGTAAAGCCTTAATATTCAAAATATATAAGAAACACAAACAATAGTAAAAAAAAAAAAAACCTAGATAACTTGGTTTTAAAAATGGGCAAAAGACCTTTATAGACATTTCTCATTCAAAGACAAGCCAAGAGATGGAAACAACCTATGTGTATGTCAGTGGATAAATTGATAAAGTATGCTGTGTGTATATAAATATATATCCCATACTTTATATGGTGTGTGTGTGTACATATACACACATACATATATATATACATATATATACACACATATATAAAATGGAATATTATTCAACCTTTAAAAAGAAGGAAATCCTGCCATTTACTAAAACATGGATGAATCTGTAGGATATTATGCTAAGTGAAATAAGCCAGACACAGAAGGACAAATGCTGTATGATCTCACTTATATGTGGAATTTTTAAAAGTTGAACTAAGAAAAGCAGAGAGTAGAATGGTGATTCCCAGGGTGTAAGGACAATGGCTGCATTGCAGTCAAGTATAGGCCGAGGTACACATCTGGCACAGCATGACACAGTGGGATTGGAGTGCAGACATGCAACCCCATGCGTTATATAATCATAGCTATGTAGCCATAACATGGGAAGTTTCATCACCTGGCTCTGAGCCACTGTTGTCTGCGAGGTGCATAAATGCAGCACCAACAGTGTCAGCGAGCTGCTGAATAAAGCCATGTCTCACCTACCTGTGGCCTCTCGAGTGTTCTTTCAGCTACCTGCCACCCCAGCGAATCCCCTCAGACCTCATCTTGGACTGGAACCTAATACAGGGGCTTTGGGGGTGGTGGTAGGGAGATGCTAGTCAAAGGGTACAGAGTTTCAGTTTTGCAGGATGAATAAGTTCTGGAGATGCGATGTGCAGCATGGTGACTATAGTTAATGGTGCATTGTATACTTGAAATTTTCTAAGAGAATAGATCTTAAGTGTTCTCACTAAAAAAATGAAAAGGTAACTACATGAGGTGATAGACAAATTAGTTTGATTGTGGTAATTATTTCACAATATATACATATATCAAAACATCATGATGAACACATTAACTATATATAATTTTTTTTTGCCAATTATACCTCAATAAAGCTGAGGGGAAAAAAGGATAAGCTGCCATCTATTAAATTTTCTCCCAAGCAATCGGTTGCAGGTTTGTGCTAGGAAAATACGTCACTGTGAGTTCAAAAATCATGCAAGTGAATTGAACTCTGCTAGCATAATCTGATGAGTAAAATCCATTTTATCGTATTAAGAAACATTTGCGAAGGCGAATGAATGAATGACTTGGAGTAGGTTTTCCCTAGCAAAAGAAACGATCACCTGAATTGTTCTCTTAGTGTTGTCCATGTCTGTTTTTGTAACAGAGAGCTGGTCAAACAGCTGAGTGATGTCTGAAAGTGTTATCTCTCACCTCAGCTTTATGGACAGCAGAATTAATACAGGAACTCAGAGGGGAAGTGATTAGACCTTACAGTGAGAGCAAAGCAATGTCTTGAAAGATGCTTCTGCCACTGTCAAGGGCTGTAGAATCTTTTAAAGGCTCCAGCCTTAATTTATGAGTGAGTGCAAATCAGATATTATTTTTAAGTGTCCTGTCAAGAAAACTTGCCAGGAATTCCTTCATAAAATAGAGAATCCTCTTGTAAAGCAAACCACTCCAAATTTGGGAGAAGGCAATGCCAGAGAATTTCAACAGTCTGCCAAAATCAAGTTATTATCTGAATAACTTGGCCCTTTAGTGAGAAGACTAACTTGTTTTTAAAAAAATCTGTAGCCCTAATTAGAAACATTTACTAGAAGTCAGCTGGTCTCATAGCAGCAGCTAATTTCTGGCCTGGGCTAACTTTGTCATCACGCTTTAGGGAGGATAACTGAAGATCCCTGAGGATCCTGGAAATTGATCATCAGCAAACTGGTGGCTTCTAAAAGTGAAAAGAGTTGAGAGCAGTGATCTTCAAATGGTTGCTGTACATTACAATCACTTGTAAAATCTTTTAAAACATGATGTACAGGGACTTTTAAGGGTCATACCAATTAAAACAATAACTGAGGCTAGGACCCCAGGCAGCAGATCTGAAAATCCCCCATGTGATTCCAGTGTGCAGCCAAGATTGAGAACCACTGGCTTTAAGCAGAGCAGGGATTCTCATCCTAGCTACATGTTAGCATCACCTGGAGAAAATTCAAAGAACTACTGATGATCAGGATTCACTGAGAACAATGCAGGTAGAGTGTGCAAAGGCTCAGGAGGTGTTCAACTGATGGCTTAGTGAGCATAGGCAGTAGTTCTCAAAATGTGGTTCCAGAACCAGCAGCATCAGCATCAGCTGGGACCTTGTTGGCAATGCAAATTCTCAGACCCCGACCCTACACCTACTGAACCAGAATCTCCAGGGATGGGGCCCCAGTTTCTGCATTTTAACAAGCCTTTCAGGGGATTCTGATACAGGCTGAAGTTACATAACCACTAGGATAGTGAATAAGAACATGTCCCTGGAACTAGACTGCCTGGGTTCAAATCTTGCCTCTGTTACTTGCAGAGTAACATGGGCTACTAACCTTTTCTGGGCCTCAATGTCTCCTTCTGTCAAATGGGGATAATAATGGTTGTCTCCACAGAAGGTTGTTAAAAGGGGCAAAAGAGTGACATGTGAACAGGGCCTGGTATATGGGAAACACTACATAGTGCTTGTTAAATAAACATGTTGATGTGCTCTCGTTCTAAAGAGATGTGCGTCTTGGATGATATTCAGTAGGTGTTATTTTGTACTGCAGCAGACACTTGAAGAAGCATCTTTCTTGTGATCTCCTGGCTGGTACCCTGAAGTCCTGTTATGCCAATGGACCAGCAACCCTCGCAGGTAGGAATTACTGCTAGAAAGACTATCCTCTCTGCAGGCAAATTTCTGGAAGGATACTATTTTATGGGGAAAAATGTGAACAACTGTAGGTAATTTCACAGTCTGTAGGGCTTGTCTCCTATTTGTAATTTCTTACATGTTTACTCGTGGTGGAAATGTGGAGGTGGCTAAGGAACAAGCAGGCCCGCTGTGTTTCAGTGGCTTTCAGAGAAGGTGGCGGGAAATAGTCTCTTCTCAGCAGCAGCTGAATCCCAGTGTTAGCAGACGGAGCCTTGTTTCTTGAAAGTACATTCCCAGGGATTCCCTTGAAGAATGTGAGAGATCAGCTGGAATGAAACTGGATGTTTTAGGGTCCTGAGGGAAATGTAAATCCAGCAGCTTATTCTCAAGATGTGGCTCCAGAACCAGCAGCACTGATTCTTCTAAAGAGTTGAGAGTGCATTTTAGCTGTGATATCTTTGTACTCTTAAGAAATCCTCCTCAACAAGACAAAACTTGACCAAGAGCATTCAGTTGTCTTCCAGAAGGCTCCCTTGAGGACTGGGACTCTTCCTGGATGCACCCAATTAATCTATTGAAACAAGGACTCGTGATGGCAGCCCCTCACCTGACAAACTGGATTTTCCCCAGAGATCATTTGTAATGTTTTTCCTGAATCTTATTTGTGTTTCCCTATTAGCAATGTTATGTATTTCTATATCGCAAATCCTAAGTGCCGCCTGTAGAACCTAACCTCCATTTATAGCATGGAACACACAGCCCATCACGTATCCTTGCCCTGGCCTTCAGCCTCTGAATATTTTAATAAAAATCACTCTTTCCTCCTTAAGGACCATGTTCTTTAAAAGCTTAACACATAGTTCTTAATAATTGGTTGCTTTACTTGATGTTTCTCTGTTTATCTTGGCTGCCCAGAAGCTCAGACTTAAATGTAAGAGTCTACTTACAGTAACAACCTTGTTGCGGATACAATTAATTCTCCCTATCTTGTATGTGGTTTCCGTTGTCTTTATTTATTATCTTTATTTAAACCTTTAAAAGAGTATAGGATATCAATTTATGAAAAGAAAAATATTTTTTTTAGTTCAATTGAAATCCCTGTTTTGTACCACACTATATTTAATGCCCCATATAGTTCTAAAACTCTGCATGATTCAAAGCAGGGGTTCTTATTCTGGCGTGTGTGTGTGTGTGTGTGTGTGTGTGTGTGTGTGTCTGTATGTACATACCTCAAGGGAGTCTCTAATTTATATATATAATTTATATGTATATATACACACATATATGCACACACACACACACACATATATATACTTTATATGTAACATATATATTAAATATTATATATGTGTATACATACTACACATATATATACACATAGTGTTTGTGTGTGTGTGTGTGTGTGCACTTTTGGAGAGAGAGCATCTCTAACTTTCATTAGTTTATGCAAAGAATTTATGACCCTTCTCTTGCCCCACCCCCAGACCCAAAGTTAAAAATTACTGGTTTAAAGGGACCTGGAAGTAAATATCCAAGAATAGGAATGCACACAGCTCCGCCTTCAAGTCTTCCTCCCCAGTCAGTAAACATCATTGTCATTTATTTTTGGCCTCTTTTAGGAATCGTTCTTCTGACCAAGCAAGTAGATGAATTGCTATATATGGAGCCAGTTCAAAGCAAGGCACAACTCGCTGGTTTTAGATACCAAAGAAGTCCTACAGTTCAATTATGACCTGGGGGAGGTCAGAGCTCGGCAGGTGAATCTTGCTTCTGAATGAAGCTGAGGCAGAGGGAGCCGACTTGCTTCACCCTTTCCCTCACTGGTTTCCCCCAGGGAGGCCTGGGTAACAGGCAGGGTGCAGCTCCTAGGCACAAAGATGCCTACTGATTGTGCTGGGCCAGGCTGTGGATGGGAGTTGATGGGGCAGCGAGATGCTGGGCTAGAGGCAGCAGTGGGCACCCATGACACTCAGGGAGCTGGATGTCAAGCCACGGAAATGAAATCTACCAGAGTATCAATGAGTCACAGCTGCAGCATGTTCTGAGTCCATGCACAGTGCTGTTGCCAGGAGACCCAAGACAGTGTTTTCCAAAGATGCTTAAAGCAAGTCTCCTGAGCTGGCTAAGGATGCACCATAGGGTAAGCGGCACAGAGCACATGCGCCATCACTTTCCTCCTCCTCTCCAACCAGAGAAGTACAGCAATGATCTGCTTAATAGTAAGACATGTGACAGCAACAAGTACACACTAAGTCACTATTCCTCTTGTTTCCCTGTAAGGGGAACTTGGCAGTTTTTACATTTCTGTCCCCTCATTCCCTCCTCTCCAGAGGAGGAGTGGCTTCCCTGATTGGGGAACTTGGGAGCGACGCTTGAGAATGTGGGCTCAGTCTCCTCCTCTGCCCTCGAGCTTTGGGAACAGCCTGCCTCAGAGGCCATGTATTCTGGTCTGTTTGATTCCTTTGTACTGTAGTTTTCCCTGAGAGGACTCCTTCATAGGAGACTTCTAGCTGTCCAGCACTGCTGTGGATACGCTTAATTTGGGGATGTAATGCTGGCATGCTCATTTGGTCCTCACATCTAAGTCACAGTCTCCAGTAGCTTTACCAGTAATGATACTGACGTTTTGATCTCCACTTCTTTCTATTGGTTCTGAACATAGGCCAGTAAGGCAGGAATGCTTTGTATTGGTCTTTTAAAATTCCAACAATTTCTTCTGAAGAAAGGGCTCTCCTAGTTTGAAAAATCTTAAGACAATCTGATCTCAGGCCCTGTGGGTGGTTAACAATATTTAGGGTCATAAAAGCTGGTTAACATCAGCAGGCAAGAGATCTTGGAGAAATGAAGGGACAGAAGTGGAGCAGACAAGGAAAGGGTCACCCTACCCCAGCAGTCACAGAAGTCACCAAACTTCACCAACATGATCTTCCAGCTTGAGCTGCCTCTCCATGTCCTCTCTCCCCGGCCAGATCTGATTCAGAGAGTGCCTGGGCCAATGAACATCTAACTGATATATTGAACAAATAGAGTTTAATCTGGTATGATCATGAAGTCATGTTTTTCTCATCACTGCTCCAGCGAATGCCATCTTGGCTCCTTTCTGCTGACTCTTGCCTTTGAATGAAATCTCACAAAGACATCCTCGTTTTGGTTATTCTTAGACAATAATGGAAAAGTCCTCTAGTTACATCTAGCCACAAAAAATATATATCTTATTTGAAATTAAAATGTCCAGGCCCATGTAATAGTCACATTTAGAGTAGAAACCCTGTTATCCTCCATGCAGGCTGGCTTTCTCCTAGAAACTTGTATGAAGTCAGGGAGGGGAGGCATACCTACTTTCTGTATTTCTACGGAGCATGTTTACCATTCTCCTTTACTTACTAGGTTGTCTTGGATGACCCAGGGCTGAGGCAGGGGAACAAGAAGAGATAGGGAAAGTTCTTGCTGGATGGTCTGGTGCTGGTCTCCTCTGGCTATGGGTCCTTAAGAGGTTCTTTTGCTGGGTCCCACTAACTACAGCTTCTAGCCTTTTCGGCTGAGGTCACTATACTATTTCCAGAACGTACCCCTGAGTGGGGTCACCTTTTAAATGACCCAAGTTGACAGTCCTACTACGAGTTACACATCTTGGAGTCACATGCCAGTGGCCTGGCATTTAAATCAGAGGAGGCTTCAGCTAACATCCTCTTGCGACTAGTGGCAAAGGGTTGGTGGCCTGGGTGTGGCTGGCTGCTAGAGTGTGGAGCTGGCAGAGGTTTTGCTGGTGAGATGCTGCCGGGGTTTTGGAGGAGGAAGTGGGTGGAAATGTGGGCCTTGCCCTCTCTCAGCCTGTGACAGCCTCTCTCTTTCCTGCTCCTGTTCCTTGCTGTTGGTTGCCCACTTTTCCCTTGCATCTCTCAGGCCTTGCCTTCTTCTTTGCAGTCACAGCATCCACGTCATCTTTTCCTTTTTTTATAGGATTTTTGGCTTCATAGAGAGGCTTGGTGGTACCAGCCTCTCTGTTATTTTTGTTCTAAGCCAGCCACATCTTCCCCTTTCACTTGCTAGACTGAGAGTATTCTGGGTGACTTTGAATTGAGCAGAGGTTGCCTTGGCAATCTGTGTACCCAGGGATATTGATTGGGACTTCAGGAAGTTCATGTGAGCTGACATGCAGACATAAGAAAGGGTCTACTGGGCAGAAGGAGCCAGGGCAGGACAGAAGCTACCAAGAGGAAGGGAGAAGGGAGGAGCTGCCTTAGAGAAACACAGGATCTGCCTGCCAGGAGTTCACAGGGTTCAGCAAATGGCCCAATTGTGATAGACAAGAATTACACAGAGGGAGTAAGTTCTAAAGCATTTAAACATTCCAAGCAAAACAATAAGGGCTGTGAATATCGACTCAATAATCCTTCCTATTCTAGGATTTTGGAAAAACCCATTTTACGAATTCCCTACAAAAAGTTTCCAAATCACTCAGAGAATAGTGTATTTGCCTGAAAAACATCCAGACATTCCTTATCAGCAGGCTTATGCTGCCAGCAGTGGTAACACTGTGCTTTCCCCTAAGATGTGCAAGGTTATGAGCCATGGAACAGATGTTTGCGGTTTATGACTACCTCTGCTTAAGCCTGATTTCTTAAACAAGTAGTATCTTTCAGGTGCCTTCTAATATGCACTGACTGCATTTGCTGGAGGCCTCTGTCTTAACACAGTCTCTTAATTCCCCTTCCTTTTGACTGTGTGGTTCCAGGAATGCTTGGATTTTAGTAAAATCCTGGCCTTTGATTAGGGCTGAAACTGTGCCTACTGCCCTAATGGTACATGGCAAATTAAATATCCCCCAACTTGGGTTTTGATGTGTTTGCTCTGATGAACTTTTCTCATTATGGGTTGATATGGTTAGGCTTTGTGTCCTCACCCAAATCTCATCTTGAATTGTAATCCCCATAAGCCCCATGTGTCAAGGGAGAGACCAGGTGAAGGTAACTGAATCATGCGGGTGGTTTTCCCCATGCGGTTCTCGTGATGGTGAGTGAGTTCTTACGAGATCTGATGGTTTTGTAAGGGACTCTTCCTCCTTTGCTAGGCACTTCTCCTTCTTGCCACCTTGTGAAGAAGGTGTCTTGCTTTCTCTTCGCTTTCTACCATGATTGTAAGTTTCCTGAAGGCTCCCCAGCCATGCTGAACGGTGAGTCAATTAAACTTCTTTCCTTTATAAAATTTCCCAGTCTCGGGCAGTTCTTTATAGCAGTGTGAGAATGGAATAATACGTGCATCGAAGGGCAATTCACGTCCTTTCTCTCCTGGGTTGGATTTCTGGAGCTAAACTCAGGTTTGCAGGAGTTAGCATTACTTCTTCACCATGGAAAAGAAAAACAAGGACAGGTGGTTGCATAAAGGACCCAGTGATTAAATCGAAAGCACCTGTGAAAACTCAAAGTCAATATTTTCTTTAAAGGAAGGGAGTGTACACAATCATGGTTGTTTAAGTTAGCTACCATAGCAGAAATGACCTGAATATCAATGATTGGCTTCAGCTGCTCAGCACGTCCTTCGGGTCGAAAAGTTGGGCAGTGGCCTCTGCCAACTTGTTTTTAATGAGATATCCTAATATTTTGAACAACATTGCTATGCTTCTATTTCTACCTTAATGAAAACAATGATATCACTTATACTTATTAAGCACTAGCCATGCATCCAGCACAGAACTAAATATTTATATGGATTATCTTGATTAAACTCCTCACAATAACCCTATGAAGTAGCTGCTATTTTCACGAATAGATGATAAAACAGAGGCTTAGAGACAATCTGCCCACAGTCATATAGTTTGTAATTGAGTCAACCCATGGCTGTTGTGACTCCAAAGTCCATGCTCTTACTTAGTATTGCCTGCCTGTCTTCATCAGTTGGGTAGAAGGTAACTTCTAAGTTTGTGTGTGTGTTGGTGGCAGGGGTTGGTGTTTTTTTTTTTTTTTCCCTTCCCAGGTGTTTGTTATCACAATGATTTTCACAATTCCATGTCCTGTTCCTGTGCTCTCTGTGGTGTTGACTGCATCAGTGGGAGCTTAGCTGGGGCACCTGAGTTCTCCTCCAGGTGTCCTCTGTGAGTGGTGTCTCATCCTCCAGGGCATCTCCACATGGCTTCTCTCCAGCAGAACAGCCTAGTCTTCCTCACAACATGGCAGCTGGGATCCAAGAGGGAGCTTAACCAAGAAAACAAACCCCTTTTCCAATTGCTTATATTAAGCCTCGCTTGCTAAAGTCTCATTGGCCAAATCAAGTCACATGATCAAGCCCAGATTCAACGCAGGAGAGAACTTTACCAGGGGTAAATATCAGGAAGTGTCATTCATTGGCGAAGCCACAGTAGAACAGTCTATCTCATTAGTAATAATAGTAATGATATCTTTCATATATTGAGCACTTACCATGTGCTAGTCAGTGTGTTATAGGCTTTACAAAATTATTTTAATCATCATAGTAACCCAACCTATCAGCTTGGTTTTATTCCCATGTTATAGGAGAGGAAACTGAAGCTCAGACTAACCTGATAAAATGACAAGAGTGAATTCAAACACTGATCATTCTAAGTTCCCGATCCAAGAGATAGAAATATGGTATACAGAAAATGAAAAAAAATTTTTTTTTCGTATAATGATAGCCCTTGGAATTCATAAGGAAAAAAATAAAGGTACTAGTCAATGACTTTAATGCTCAGTAGGTAGCATGTTTAGGGGCCTTCCTGCCTCAAGACTAATTCTCTTGTATTTGCAGCCAGCCTTTCTAATTCTGGTATTTTGAATGGAGAACAGTCAATAAACAAAATTGGGTATAATTAGGCTAATCAAAATGTGAAATAATATAGTGTAACTTTTCTTTTAATCAGCCTCTTGTTTTATTCTTTGGCTAAATGAGCTGGTCTTTCCTCTGGCTGTGTTTTCAAAAAGTTCTGCTCCAAACCATTTGGCAAGCAGTGAGCTGGAGAAAGAACGAAGGGGAAGGGTCTATACCCTATAATGATGCAGATTTCAAAACATAGCTTGGATTTTTGGAAAATCCCTTCATGAGCATGAAAAATACAACAACTATGTTCAGATGCTTTTGCCAGCTGAAAACCACCATGACACTTGAGATCAGTTGCAAACGTTCTCTCCTTCCCCACCAGCACCCAGGGCTGTGGTCCAGGCAGTGAACACAGTGTTTGGCCTGTCCCAGGCCTAAGGGTGTATGAAGTGTGGGCATTGTTGGGTGAGCTTGGCTGGGAGGGCAGTGCCTCAATGCAAGGGAATCATGTGGAAAGATTCATGGAAATTTATATTAAAATATGATACCTCCAAAAATAATTTCTTGCAAGCAGCAAGAATTAACGCATTGTGAAACAAACAGAGCTTTCACTATTAACTTCAGGGAAGAAAAAAAGGGAGGGTGGCTGGCTCAGTGGAAAATATCGGCTGTAAGCTGTGATTTTTTTTTTCTTGCCTTTCCCATGCTAGATGGCACTAATTGAAGAGCTCAGTTGTTTGGGGAGGGGGTTTTTGGAGGAATGTAACATGATCACGTGATTTTTGGTGCATCGTGGGGTCCCTATTTTATTTTCACTGTTAACTCCACCATTGTTTTGGTCTTTGAGGTAATTTTAAATTTTAAGCTGATTGCATGATTTTTCTGGAAGTCAACACTCGGAGAAAAGGCTGATTTGGAGGGCCTGCAGAAGTGCTGGGGTGGGTGTTGACAGATCTGAGTGACATTTGCATGGTATTTCCCTGTGTCACCCCACCCCTGCCACCCTTAATCACCCTAGTGGCAGTGGTTTAATGACACAGAGATCCTGGAAAAGAGTGTTTCTCAACCAGTTTCTTTCAAAGGGAAGCCATGGAGGAAGGAGCCATTTTATCTGAGCAAACAGCAAATTCTTACAGGAGCTTGTAATGGCTGTCCATTCTCCCACTCCACCCCCCAAAATAGAACTTGTGGTGTGAAATGAGGACAGCAAATGATTCATATGTAGATGGGTTTATAATTCATTCTAGAAATAAAGCTGAGCCTGTAAATGACATTCCAGGAAAAATAAGAAAGAATGAGTGGCTTTAAGGGTACACCAGACTGCTTAGGCCAAAATTAAAATATTTGGTAGACTTAAAATAATTATATTTATTTTTTTGAAAGGTAATATGTAATTAAAATTTCCTCTGTGGAATAGTCACTTAAAATAGGTTTGTAGTATTCATATTGTGAATTTATGGAGGGATTGTATGCTTTGATCTCATCAATGGTTCTATAAAGAAGCTTTGACATGTAATGTTGATAGTGACAGAACAGAGGCTCAGATTCTGTCACTTTCCAAAGGTCACACAGGTTGTAAGTGACTTAAACTTGGAAATTGTGTCTCTAAAGCTCATTCTCTTTTCATTAAGTTATACAGCATCTCACTCTATAAGGCTGTGTAATGATGACAGTCATGGACCTGCTCACTCATGATCTGGGTGGTGAAGAGTTTTGGATTTAGAATTAGAAGAGGTAATTGGATTAGATTAGAGTCTCACCTGATGTTACTTAGCTGGGTGACTTGAAGCACATCACTAAAATTGTCTGAACCTCAATTTCATTATCCGTAAATTTGAAGGAGATATCATTTATTTATAGAGTTAAGACCAAAAATCGTAAGTGTAAAAGTTCTCTGAAGATGGTACAGTGCTCTACCATGATATACTATTTCTTAGGTACAAGCTATTATTTATTAGGCACAGCAACAGACTAGGAGCTAGGAGAAATTCAGAAGTCTTTTTTATAGCCTGCCTGACAACCTCTTTAATTATTTTCCATCTGCTCAAGAAGCTCCAAGCCCTGGCCACACTGAACTTTTTAATTTATCCTTTACACGATTTGCTCTCTCATATCTCTGTGCTCGTGCGTAACACCCCTCTCCTATGATCTCCTATGCATCTTTCAGAGGCTCTTTTCAGCTCTATTGGTAGTTTTCCTCTTCTAGGTGCCTATGCATTTTGTTCACAACTCTTATGGCATTTCCTACAGTGTGTTATAATTCATCTGTTTATATATATGCTTCTGCTCCTTCCTAAGCTATAAGCTTCTCAAGGAGACATGCTGCCATCTGTATTAAGTGTGCCTGGTACATAGTGGACATCCAAAGGCTTGCTCAATGAATGCATGACTAGAGGTGTAAGAATTACTGTCCTGATCCTCATACACATTACAACCTAATCGAGGATCATGACAAATAGACATGAAACACTAGCAAAATAAACAGGAAAAAGGATTCTGTGATGTAGGTGCAAACCCTTAGCATTGCATAAATTCAGAGGAGCAGGAGACCTTTGAAAGCTAAAGGAATCAGGGAAAGTTTCTGTATGTGGAATTGCTTAATGATAAGTGATGAATGGGGAAATCATTAAACCCACCAGAATTCCTTCAGGGAGAAAATCCTGTTAATTTGGAAGGTACGTAGATGCTAAATACTCAAGGGATCTGCTTCGGGGCAAAGCTGTACCATAAGAGGAAGAGCATTTAGCTATTGTTCTAAGAGATAAGGATGAGGAAAGGGAGAGTGGAGGTGGATTGAAGATGATGGCTGAAGACCACACACCCAGCAAATCTCAATGACATTGACTAAATCCTGAAGTGCTTGAACTGAATGGATTTTTTTAAAAAAGGAAACAATGAATGGACTCAAATTATCCATTCCTTGTGAATATAGGAACGTGGAAACAAAGAGGGAACCAAGGCACAGCTATTCAGAGAATACGAGATGGCCTTCTCAGGGTTCAAAGAGATAGATTTGGGGTTTGGGCCAGGTTTAACCAAATCTCTCAGGATTGCAGCTGAGGAGCAAAGAAAAGGGGAAGCTGATATCTGGATGACAATATCCAAATGAGTTGCATCTCCAAAGCAGAGAATTGGCCATGGGTCTTAAGGAATCATCCAAGTTAAAGCAAAATAATACTTCAGCCCTCTATATAAACATTCCTGTAGCCACTGCCCCCTAGACCTATAGTTTATAAATCTCAGTCTACCCAGTATGCTGATGGAGGAAAAGCTTTCACCTAAACACCGACCGTGTGAGTTGTTCATAATACTAAATTCATTTAACTTACAGAACTATATTTCAAAATGTTATTTTTCTGACATAATTGTTCGTTTTTAAATGAATTGATGGCTTTTGATGTCTTTACGTGGCAAAATTAAAATGTGTCAACTTCGTGTTCATTTTCTAAATTTCTTAGAGATTTTATTGGTCTATAAAATCCAAAATTTGAAGAACCACCTCTTTTAATATGACCCATAGTATCATTTCAGTTAGCTAATTTGCTCTGAATTAAATGGCAGATTTATTTTCAGTTCCTGAATTCATTACTGGTGGTCATGGTTGGTGTGGTTTATTAAGGCAATTCCTTTTCGAGTCACATCATTCGTAGCCTCTTCAAATTAAAATTTGTGAACAGGTATACTGCCACAGGTACCCTGAAGGCTGTCTGCATATGAACAGGGTTTGGTTTTGTAGTCAATATGCCATTCAACAAGATGAACCCCACAGTTAGTAAAAACAATAGCTTGCATTGTATTATTACAAAGCAGTGTTTGTGTAATGATTACATATTTTCACTTACATAATTATGAAATGTACAAGTGTGACTGCTGCACAGTAATTAGTCACAAATGGCACACATTTCATGTAAATGGCTGCAATTCCTGTGACTCTTCCTATTGGGGCTAGCTTCATGAGCGTGTGACCTATCTAGTCCCACAGGGTCCCCTTGCTCAAGAGGGCCCCATGTTTGGTTTAATGTGCTGTGGCTGCTGTCTTGAAATTGTTCATAATTTTTGACAAGGGGACCCACCCCACATTTCCCCTTTACACTGAGCCCTCCAAATTACATGGCCATATCCAACTGCTATTGCAAAGATTCAAGCTGGGCTGGGAGGTAGAAATAGAAGGACCAGGTAGAGAGGCAGGGAGCAAGACTGAATCCTTTTAGTCATCTCAGGAGCCTCTGCCTCCAATCCAACAAGAAGGGCTTCTCCTGTTACTTAGAAAGTCTTGGCTCTTTTATTCAACTGGAACAAGGAAGAAGAATTAGCTTTTCAGAAAATAAAAAGTTTTGGTTAGGTCACAGTAAGGGGGAGCTGGGGAGATGCTATGGTTTTGATATGTCCCCAGATTTCATGTGTTGGAAACTTAATCTCCAAATTTGTATGTTGATTGGAGATGGGGCCTTTTGGAAGTAATTAGGATTAGATAAGGTCATCAGGGTTGGAGTCCCCATGATGGGACTGGTAGCTTAATAGGAAGAGGAAGAGAGATCTGAGCTGGCATGCTCTTGCCCTCTCACCATGTAATGGTGAGAAATCAATGTCTTTTCTTTATAAATTACTCAGTCTGTGGTATTTTGTTATAGCAACAGAACATGAACTAAGACAGATAATTGATACTGAGGAGATGGGCTATTGCTAGTAAGAAATACCTGAAAATGTGGAAGCAGCTTTGGAAGTGGGTAATACATAGAGGCTAGGCTCTGAGAATAACTCACAGTGGTCAAGTGGCCTAGGAGGTGCCTTCAGGGAGACCAGAAGCACTTGATGGGATAAATAGTGGTCATAAGATAGGCAGTGTAAACTACCTCACTCTTCCCCACTCTTCCGTAGCATCTGCTGTGAAGATACTGTTTCTTATGGTTTTGTTAGTGGATTTCTTTGTGGAGCTCAAAGTTCTGAACCCAGGTTGATTCAACGTGAAAATAAACATTGATCGTGCAGGCTCAAGGAGCCAGAAGACAGGGGTCGGGGGATGGAAGGCGGGACAGTGGGCAATTGGGCTCAGAGTGATGTGTCCTCAGTGAGAATTCCAGTTTTGCCATAATCTTCCCTGTGAAGTTCTGAGAATGAGTGTACAATGCCATAATGTCCTGGACTATGGTGGGGATGGTGGGTGTTCCCCACACTTGAGCAGAACGAAGCCTGTGTAAGCTGTGAAACTGTCAGCTTTGGAGATTAGTCATCCTTGCTCAGACCCTATAAAGCTTTTGCATTAGTTAGGCTGATGTTTCACTTTTAACTCATATAATAGGCTTCAGACACTTGGAAATAGTGCTTTTATCATTAGGTATGTTGCCATTTTTATTTTTTCAAGTTTCTCGCTCTCTCTCTCACCACATAAGTACACTTAAAGCTTTACCCTTGCTATGAGGTTAACCTAAGGCAGAGGGTATGTTGCCAGCTATAGGCCAAAAGTCTGGGTAGGCATGCGAGAAAGAAATATTTTGGTAGCAATATAGCTTAGGAAGTCAATATTTTTTAACATAAGTGACAGCAAATATTTACAAATTCAGGCTACTGTGGGTGTTCAGATTCTGAGTGAAAAGCAATCTCATGCACTGATATTTACTTTGAATATGTTCTCCTTTTTTCAGCACCCATGACTAATTCCCCTTTTCACAGGGTGAAGAGCAAGTTGGCTCTTGATCTAGCCAGAAAAAAAAAAAAAGGTTTTCTTATACTTCTGGTAGTAGGCATGTGGTTAGAATACAGGAGTAAGAAAACAAATGTGACTCTTAAAATTATAGTACACATTAATAAACGAACTAAACATCTAAATGTTGCTAAAGTGACTGAATCACAGATCCACTGTTTCTTACTCTGGTTTTTGCTAGAGGGGCAATGAACATGTAAATTGAGGGTACAATGCAGCAAATGAACTAAATTAGAGACTTTATTTGAGTATTGTTGATGCCGGGAGAGATGAGAAAAATAAGACAAACCTTGCCTTCAAGGAACTTATATTTGTGAGGAAAATACATCAACAAAGCAAAGTCAAGTAATCATAAAAATATGAACGGCTCTTTAACAGTAGAAGGGAGGGAGAAAGCTGAGCGTGGTTAATTTATACATGGAATGTATGAAGTTGTTTCAGAGAGGCAAGAAATTATTTGCCTCTCTGAGTCTTCCTGGAAACAGTCTCCCTGGAGGAGGTAGATTTGAGTATTGAAAGGAGCATTCTAGGCAGGCAGAAGGCATGAGTGGAATCACAGAGGTGGTGAAAGATCCATGAGAGTGAGATGAGTAAGCCAGGCTGGCTGATGTGAGGTTTTGGGATGGTGAATAATTGGAGACTGTGCTGGAAATAGCTAGTGCATTGGACTCCAGAGGGTCTTAATTGGTGGGACAGGAGCTTCTGCATGCACCATGAAAGACCTGCTCTGACACAGTGAAAATCTCTGCATCTCCCTTTCCCACTGAGTCATCTTAGGCTTCCCTCTCTGCTTTTCCCTTGAAGCCAGGAGTCCATTCCCAGTGGGCAGGCCCATCCTTCCTGAAATCCAGCACAAGATGAGGCCTGGTAGGTGAGTGTGCAGGGCCATGGTGCAGACTCCTCCAAGCTCATCATTACTCCAGCTTGGTCAGGGTCTGTTTGGAAAATGGAGTGGTGACATCCTCTTGCCTCAGGATGTGTGGAAGCTCCTTCCATGTATACAGTAGAAACAGAGCATCTCTGATCCTTTATTACCCCCAGAACCCACTCTCCTGGCTCCTGGCCGAAGGGCCTGAGAAGCAATTGTAAAATTGGGAGCTTGCCCAAAGGACCAGTACTATATAAAGATTCATTTCAAACCCTGAGCAAGGCGTTACGGATGCAGACCTGATAATGAGCCATTATGAGAAAATGAAAAGCACAGACTTTGTGGTGGTGCCCTCAGAGCTAAGTAATTCTGGAGAGTAATTATGAAGCAGAAGAATGATTATACAAACTGCAGACTAAACATTTAGGCCCTGTGTGTGAGGCCAGCTGACAAAGCAGAGGTAATTAATAGGCAGTTACAATGTGGAAGATTCTGGAAAGTAGAGTTCTGTTGTCTGAAATTTAGTCTGACAGAGGAATATTAGCAAGATAAATGTATTTGGACCAAGCACTCCCGAGAGGAAGGGCATGCTCAAATTGTTTCTGTAAAAAGTCTCTGGCGGTGTTTGGCTCCCTTCTGCGTCCTTCATGAAACAGTTCTCCTTGAGTATTACGGTTGGCAAGCATGTGGGTGGGGGAGATGTCACACGCACCCGCTCCAGCTGTACAAGCAAGCCACTGCGAGGATTAGACGCTTGTTAGTTATGAACTTAGGTGTCTGGTCTGTTTCTTTGCCTTTCAAAGGCACTTCCTGGCAGAGAGGTACAATGGTGCTTTGCAGGAAACCCTGTGCCCACAGCATCTGTTCTGCAGCTTGGCAGACCGCAGCTGGCCCTGAGCATGGCCTACTAATTCTCTGGGTCAGGTGTGGCTGTGGTGAGATGGATCTCAGCCAGGTAAGACCCTCTAATCTCTGTTTTCTTTCTCCTGCCATAGATACACTGATGATTGGAGGGTATGACAGGAATTCTTGCCTGCCTTTGGGTCGTGAGGGAAACAGAGACAGCGTAATGGCTTTTTGGAGTGCCAGGAGCAGAGTCCCCAGAGTTCATTCTTAGAAAACTATGAAGCTGTTCTTTGAACTCCAACTTTTTCTCCTATATTCATTCAGGGCTCTTTCCTCTACAACCCCCTCATTCTTGCTGTTGATAGATGCCTCTTTCCTACTCTCTAAATGTCCAATTTTATCTTCCTTTGGAATGCCATCAAATTCTTCCTCCCTTTTTCTGTACCCCACCTCCAAAAATAATCCCAACACCCACCTCGTCAGAGTGTCCATTTATTTCCTCAGGGCTAATCCCAGAAGGAGCATACAAGTTGGTGAACTCATACTAATATGTGAATGATTGTTGCCCTTGGATGGTTAGAAAATCAAGGTAGTTGTCCACTGTAGAAGATTGTTTAAAGCCAAGTGGTTAAGAATATTCTATATCCTTCCTTTTGCATATATTATCTCGTTCATCCTTGTGAAGCAGATAATCTCACCATCTCAATGTACAGAAAAGGAAACTGAGGCTCAGAACATTTTGAGTAGCCTACTTAAATAGTCTAGGCAGAGATTGAACCCCCACGTCTCTGGCCCCAAGAGGTCTTGATAATTCCCTCACAACTGCTGCCTAACAGCAGATAAAATATATTTGGATTCTTCTCACCTTTAAGAAAACCTAGTAAGTTAATCTCTAAAAATCAGCAATCTGCTCAGGGGATACAGGGAGAACTAGGACTATTGTCCCAAATGTGTAGTCATATTTATCTGCTTACCAAATGACCATGTGTTGAATCCCTGAAAACCATGGGAGAAATACCAATTAAAAAAAAAATCAGAGTTCTGTGACTTCTTCTTTACTAGGTTTCCCTAAAATTATGTTTTACTACAAAACCCTGAGTATAGACCACATGCTACGAGATGATCCGTGATATCTCTTAGCCCAGTTATAACAACTTACAGTTTTCCTTTTTTTTTTCTAATTGAATACAATGTTCCCAATTATATTAGTTATAAAAGATAATTGCAAAAACCATGCCTGGTCATTTAAAGTCATCTTCTTCTTGAACCAGTTGGTTCCATCTGGTCTTCTGGATGAAAGAAGTGGAAGACACTGAGCTGAGTTCTGCCCTCCAGTGAGCTTTGTTCTCCAGAAGTTACTTTCTATGATGCCAAACCCACACATCTGGTGAGAAGCAGATGAGGAAGTTTCCCTTGGGATAACCCAACTGGAGGTGATTCACATCACTCAAGGGTGATGCCATAGTCAGAAAAGGAAACTTGACTTAGGCAGAAAAGGAATTGTTGTCTCTCATAACCAAACCATGGGAGCATAGGGTTGTGGCTGGACCTTAGGAATAATCTGGATGAGGAGTCAATGATCCTAAGCCTTTGTCTCCCCATCCCTGGCCTCTGCTTTTCTGTACTTGTTGATTTCATTTTGTCTGACAGACATCCTCCTGACAGCTGAAAACAAGACCAGCAGAAGCAACCAACCCTCACTGCTCACAGCTTGGGCCCAGTGCTCAGCCCCAGGACCAGCTGACACTGATAGTAGCTGTTTTAAACCACAGGAATAAAATGGAGGAAAAATCATCTTCCAAAGACGAGAAATGCTGCTCACAAAAGAAAGGTGCTGTGTAGATTCCCAGTAAACAATATTATCTATAAATGACTCTGGGAATCACTAATAAGTGATGATGAAGCTGATTATGCATTATATAAATGTTTAGATTTGAAAAAAATTGATTTATAGCATATAAAATCCCATTATTTTATATTACTGAAATAGGAATATGAAGGAATGGAAACATTTTATTTTAAAAACATAAAGTTACACTAAGACATTAGCTCCTTTGACTCACATATTTCAAAAACAATGACGGTTTTCAGTGGAAAATAATGCTAAGAAGTTCTGAAAATAACAGTAATAAGGAAGAATTTGAGTAATGAAACATTTATTCACTCATTTTCCTTCAAGTATGTACAATATAGCTATAAAATAATTAGACTAAAAAATGGCAGGCACAGCAGAACCTTAAACCAACAAATTTAAAGTATAGACATTTTGTTGGTATAATAAGAGCATTAATATGTATTGAATGTTTACCAAGTGCAGGTAACTATTATAAAACCTTTATTGGCATGATCTGAATTAGTTCTCAAAACAAATAGTTGGCAAACTAAGGCCTGTGGGCCAAACTCGGCCCACCTTCTATTTTTGTACAGAGTTTTATTGGAACACAGCAACACTCATTCAATTATGCATTGTCTATGGCTACTTTTATGCTACAGAATTGAGCTGTAGTGGCAGAGACTGTATGGACTACAGAGCCTGAAGAATTTGCCATCTGGCCCTTTACAGAAGAAGTTAGTTGATCCCTGCAAAACAATCCAATGGAGTAGGTACTGTTATTTCTGCTTTACCCCAAGGTCACAGAATGGTAGTTGTCAGGGTAGTGATTCAAATCCTGAACTGTCTGACTATAAAGTCTATCATCTTTTTAGATAGATTTATAGCACAGAGCACAGGCCCTAGAGTCAGACTGTTTGGGTTCAGATCAGATTCTACCATCTAGTAACTGCATATTGGACAGTTTGCTTAACTGCCCTGTACCTCGGATTCCTCCATAACTCTTCCCATTGGTAATAGATGTGGCTGGTCATCCTTCGTGTCAGTACAGGCCTTGGACCCGGGGTGTCTGTCCTAGGCCCTGCATCTCAGGGCCTCCCATGCTTTGGAGTGCCTCCTTCAACATTCTCAAAGTTTCTCTGGGAACAGCTGGAGTAGCAGTGCCATCTGGGCAGGGTACCCTGAGCTGGGACCAGTAAGTATCCTAGTCCCCATTTCTGCCCTTTGGATTGCTCTTTGATCTCTACTTCCCAGCCCTCATGTGGGGCTGATCTGATGCCCCAAGGAGCTCCAGGACTCATATCTGTGGGTTTATTTTGGGATCCTTGACCTGGCCCTGATTCCGGGTGGGTGACCAGATGAGCCACTGCTCCCCAGAATAGCCCAGTTTTTCTTGTTGAGTCACCAGGCAAGTGCAGACATGTTGATTTTGATGACTCTCACTTACGTAAAACCCATACGTTCAGGGCTCTGAGGTTCTCATGGCCCACTGCTGGCCCTTGACTAGAGCCATATGTGGGGTCCATGTGTCAGGTCTCACCTCTCCATGTCTGAATAAATAGTGGCTTCCATTCTACAGCACCCCAAGGTAGTAAAGGTGGTGTCACTTACCCTCTCCCCTGTACCCCTCCCATCACTAGCACCAGGAAAGTCAAACCCCATCGCTGAGCATTCCTCCAGAGCATTGTCTGTCCCCAAAGAACATTTGACACTTGTTCTGCAATGTTAGCAGACCCTCCTGCTTGAGGCCCTCCAATCGATGTGTTGCCTGTGTCAATGTGTTGACATGAACCCTCTGTGCTTAAGCCATGTTGGGGAGACGTGGACATTTCTTGTACAAATAGGACCACTCTTCTTTTTCTACCCATGGGTTTCCCCCACCTCCCCATGGTGAAAGTGTGTGGAAGGCAAAGGTGCTGTCAACATTAAAAGAAATCACATTCTAGGAATGCAGGAATTACCGTAGGGAGTTCAAGAGAAGATATGGTCAGAAAATATGCTCTTCTATATTTATGCTATAAAATTTCAAACAGTGAATTTAACATTCTCAGAAAATGAATTAACATTCACATTTTCCTGCATATTCTGGGCAAGACTTGACTTTGTGGTCATCATCTCCAAAACACAGTAACCGCCCTCCCTTGAGAGCATCAGTGGAAGCCAGGATTCATGGGTGGCAGCAGGGATGACACAACATCATGATTGATGATATAACCAGCATTAAATAAATGATATTAAGGAAATCCAGAGGCTAGAAAAGCTGTTATTTCAATACAAACAAATGCTGAAGAGCCAGTGTTGTAATAACAGCATTGCAACCCTTTTCTCCCAGTGAGACATGTGGAATTAGCACATCTAACAATAAAAAACACAAAGAGGATTCTGGCATCTGCACAGAAAGTGATGGTGCCTAGACACTATGAAAAAATCTTCCCTTGCACTGATTGAACAATAAGCAAATACAAAAATACCTGTTCTTTACCCATTATTCTAAATCTTCATTGATAAATCATGACTCAGATAGGCCTACGAATTTTGTAAAACATTAAATCAAATTCCTTATACAGACAGGGACTTGGCAGAAAATATTTTCCAGGGACACATACCATAAAGATGCCCTGCTTGGTATTACCTCATTTTCTTTTCTATGAAGTCACTCTTGCTTTCACTTGCAGTTTCTCCTGTCTTTCTTCACGTTGGTGCTTTCCCATGTTTTTTTTTTTTTTCTCGTTTAGGGTGTTCTTTCCTTCTTTTCAAAAATCACTTTATGCTTTGTAATATTTGTAGCCCTCAACTTCTTTCCAAGCAGGTAATTTTGCCTTTCTCTCTGTCTCTTTGGTCATCTGCCTGTCTTAGCCTTTCAGACATTCTCACACTGTAATACACACATGCACGTGCACACACACACTCTATACATATACACTATGCACATATCATATATACACACAACTGATAAACATTTTGTTTTAACGTACAAGCAGCATGTTTACACAGAATTTGTCCTTGGCTTTAGTAACTATACTCACCAAATAGAGGGCTACATATGTGATACAGGAGAGTCAGTCCAGGATTACTTGCTTTCATTCTCAATCTTGTCTGGATAATCAGGTTACAGTATGCTAAGGACATCAAGATGCCCAGAATGGCACAAGTGGAAATTCTTTTAGATGCCTTGTTGTGCGCTCTTGAGTGTCTGTGGTTAGAACTTGATTCTTTACTGGCCTATGGATCAAGTGTCCTGTGGTTTGTGACAGCTGCAGCATTGGATGAGATAACTGGGGGTGCCAGGCATAATTCATCCCCGTATGTCCACATTCTGACTATAGAAAGCTATTGACCTAAAATAACATTTTATATCATTTAAAAATATTTGGGTAGCCTAAGATCCATTTTTTTGTTTTGGATCAGGAGGTACTACATCCAATTTTTACATGTCGTACCTCTTTGTTTTCACAGATAATTTATATTTCTTTATCTCTGACACTATTTGGCTGTCCTAGAAATAGCTGATGACACCAATTAGGAGATACGCTCAGTCACTGATGACGTCCTATCCTATTATGTGTTCATGCACAGCAGGGCAGGGTATCTGAAATGCATTTGCTTTAGCACATTTAGATAATGTGTGGGAAAGGTGACAGGTTTTTATTTTCTTTTTTGCCAATTTGTACATTAGTGTCTCTTAAGTGGCAGATTAAAAATTTCTTAAAGCACTAACACTGATTAAAAATGTTTGTTTAGGCTTGTTCAGAACTCTTAAGTGCTTGCAGGAGCCAAATCACATTCTCGTCCTTTAAGCAAACAACATTTTAAAAGCCTATAATGGCTGTATCTTATTGAAGCAAATGATAATAACTTTCTATAGGGCTATTTTCTTTTATAAGGTAAATAACTAAAACTTGTAAATATGGAAAAATAATCCAGATCCATAGACATATTTGTAAGTATATATTTCTTAAAAATGTTTCAGTCCTATTAGTCTCTATCATTTTAATACACTGGCAAAATATATAGTACTTTGTTCTTTTCTCAAAACTCTTTTTCAGAATTTATGGCATTTCTTGTACCTGGTAAAGACTACTGATAAGCCATTTCTTGTGGACTAATAAAAAAAATTAGTTTTTGGTAAGCATTAATTTTAGTCTCTGCTTTTTATCTGTTTATTCATTCTTTCATCCTTCATTCAGCAATAGCTTCTGTGCTGGGCTGGGAGTCAGGTTGGAGGAATGTGCCCTCTCACCAGGAGGATGGACTTGATTGTATCACTGTGGGGGACCCACTGAATAGTGGGACCTCTGCAAAGTGCAGTGCAGCCCAAGAGGAGAGAACAACTGATTCTAACACAGGCTTCACAGAGAAGGTGACAGAGGTTTTAACGGGTTAGTAAAAAAGGAGTTCATGCAAAGACAGAAAGGCTGAAAAGACGGGTATTTGGGGAGTTCTGCAATGGTAAATGAGGGGGAAGCTAAATGTGTGTGGCTGGTGGCATAAGTAACGTGGGATGTGTAGATTGAGGCCAGAAGGCGAAGGGACTTGAGTGCCATTTTCAAGACTTTGTTTGGACTTTGTCTCCTAGCTATGGAGACCTCATAAGGACCTTTAGTCAGGGTGGTGACTTAAGAGTGGGCACTATTGGAATCAGAGGCTCTTACAATAACTGTGAGAGGGAATAAGGACTTAAGGCAAAGACCTTCTTTGTGATTATAGACAAATTTATTATGCAATACAATAGATAAAAAAGATTAATGCATAAGTCTTCATAGCCCCTCTTCCTCTTCTTCCCCATACCCCCCAGGAAAATTCTAGCAGAGCTATGGATTATGAATTGGATTTTCTTTGGAGTTCTTTAAGAGAAGAATATAAATATTCTAAATGCTTTAATTCTTCTTTGTTGCTACATCTTGATTTGTTTGTTTTTTCACTGTAACTGCACTGAGATCAGTCCCCATGGAGCTCTAGGTTATTAGGGCTACATAACATGTTTTTTTTTTAGGAGAGCCAGTATAATGTTGGGTGACCCAAAGGTTTATGCCTACTTGGGGGCAGTTTGAAGACCTACTAGTTAGTCACATCTACAAAGATAAGATAGGCAAGGTTTTAAAAACCCAAATCCTGTCTGGTTTCCTGCTACCACAGTAATTTCCTGAGGAATACTCCAGGATAAGAACATGCTGTTTATTACCAGCTAGGGCTTTGTCCTTGACACCTCACAAAAGTGCCTGTTCCAGGTCATGAACTTGGGTCAATCTGTGGGCAAGATGTAAGAACCCTTTGCCTCCTCTGAACTCGGAAGCAATTGAGATGACATCCATCTTTGGATGTTCTCTCCTGGACTCTACCTGGTTCCTGCTTGGTTTTCTAACAGAGGGAAAAAAGAGGATGCCGCTTTCCAACCATAAGGAGGCCTCCATCCAATCTTATCCTATCAGCTGCCAGGAAGGAAAAAGAGAGAAGTGATCTCTGTTCTAAGAAAGTTGCATTTTAAAGGAAGAAGTTCTGAATGAAGTGCCCCAATCAGGAGCAAGGATGCTTATCTTCTTTCCTCCTCTGATATGGTTTGACCGTGTCCCTACCCAAATCTTATCTTGAATTGTAGTTCCCATAATCCCCATGTGTCATGGGAGGGACCCAGTGGGAGGTAATCGAATCATGGTGGTGTTTACCTGCATGCTGTTCTCGTGATAGTAAGTTCTCATGAGATCTGATGGTTTTATAGGGGCTTTTCCCCTCCTTCTCTCTGCACTTCTTCTTGCTGCCACCATGTGAAGAAGGGTGTGTTTGCTTCCATTTCTGCCGTGATTCTCTTTCCTGAGGCCTCCCCAGCCCTGCAGAAGTGTGAGTCAATTAAACCTCTTTCCTGTATATTTAATCAACTATCTAGTCTCTGTTATGTTGCTCCATTAGCAGCATGAGAACAGACTAATACAGCTAACCCACTTTACCCTTAGCAGCATAGATTCAATTCCACCTTCTTTGTGGAATTGAATTCCTAATTCATATTAGGGTGTTGGGCAGAGTGAGTATTTGACTTTCATTTATTCATTGGATTTTACATCCAGGTTGTGCCACTAGCACAAACAGTTCATGGAGGGCCTTGTATACCTGTTTAGGAATTTGGGCTTTGTATGGTAAAGGAGAGTTTCTGAAGGTTGTTAATTAGGGACTTTATGGGTTTAGATGTTCAGTTAGAGAAGCTTAAAATATTTTTTAAAATATAGTATCTAAAAAATATTTTTAGAGCCCATCACTCAAAATTAAAAAGGAAAAACATTGGCAGGGGTCATTCTAAAGACAGTGAAATAGTTAGGAAGCTGTTGCTATATAATAGAAGCAAGGTATGATGAGGGCCTGAATGGAGTCAGTGGCAGTGGGATTGGAGAAAAGAGATTGGACATGAGAAATATTTAGGAGGCAAAAGAAGAGGGTTGTGTGGAAAAAGGAGTCACTTCCCGGGTTTTGTCCTGAGAAGCTGGCTGGATGGTATTGTCACTCACAAGCACAGGAGAAGGAGGATGGAAGCATATTTTTGTTGGTGGTGAACTTGATTTGAAATATGGTAAATTTGGGGTTCTGGCAGGCCAAACAAGCAGAGATGTCCAGGGCTCATCTGGATATTCAGGTCTGAAGCCCAGGAGTTGTATTTGGGCAGGAGATAGAGATGTGGGAGTCATCAGAAAATAGATGGCAGTTGAAGCTCTGAAACAAGACATCACCAAACAGAAGAATGAGAATGACCCTAGGGTGCGTGGTAGCAATGGGGTCAGTAGTCGAAGAAGAACCGGGAAGGATTCACAGTGGTGTAGTTGGTGGGAGAGAAGGAAAACCAGAGAGAAGGGAGTGAGAGGAGCAGCAGTGCCCTGGAGAGTCAAGTGCTGCAGAGAAGAGAAGAAAGGGAGGTAGGGTGGGGAACATCTGTGACTTTAGGAAGGTGGTTCATTGGTGACTGCTGAGCGCAGCTTCAGTGAACGGTGGCAGTAGATCTGGAGGAAAGTGACTCAGTGAATGTGAGGTGAGCAAATGGAGACATTGGTGTAAATGCCCCTTTCGAGGTTGTGGAAGTGGCTCACGTTTTTGAGGCAGGGCTGTGTTTGTTTTTCAGAGGTAGGGACTCGAGCATATTCTCTGCAGAAGCCCCCAGTCAGTGAGACTGGTAAAGACTGTTGTCATGTAGTCAGAGGCAGAGTCTCAGTTCTACTCCTTCTCTTATCTCTGTCACACTGAACACTTCTGCTCTTTCTTAAATCACCAGTTGGCTCCTGGGGCTCCCAGGCCTTTCTGGGTTTGCTCTGGGTTTATTCACCTCTTGTGTCAGTCTGTTCTCATACTGCTATGAAGCAATACCCGAGACTGGGTAATTTATAAAGGAAAGAGGTTGAATTGACTCATAGTTCTGCAGGACTGGGGTTGCCTCAGGAAACTTATGGTCATGGCAGAAGCGGAAGCAAACATGTCCTTCACGTGGCAGCAGGAGAGAGAAGTGCAAAGGGGGAAAACCCCTTATATAAAAACATCAGATCTTGTGAGAACTCACTATCATGAGAAC
Source organism: Homo sapiens (assembly GCF_000001405.40). Lineage (NCBI taxonomy): Eukaryota > Metazoa > Chordata > Mammalia > Primates > Hominidae > Homo > Homo sapiens. The sequence continues at coordinate 37,635,819 of NC_000002.12, forward strand.
AACATGAGGGTAACTGCCCCCATGATTCAATTATCTCCTGCTGGGTCCCTCCCATGACACGTGGGGATTACGGGAACTACAATTCAAGATGAGATTTGGCTGGGGATGTAGCCAAACCACATCACCCCTGTTAGAGGTGGAGGATTTGCTGTGCCCCACTCACTGCCACCCCCACTGCCACCAGGGCAGTCATGTCTCACATGGTGCGACATTTGGTATCCCCACTCCTTCACCCACTTGTGCCTTCAGAGAGGACTCGGAGCCCTCAGGAGAGCTACAGGGTAGTCCCGTAAATAGCCAGGGGCCAGTGAGATGATGTACTCTGAGGAGAGGCTTCCCACAATACAAACCTTAGGTGTCAAATGTGCTATGAGGACACTGAGGCATTGTACCCTCAGCACCTGTGGCAGGTAGGTGGGGCCCAGGCCAGCCACAACAGCCCTTTCATTTCCCCATGGTGCTGTCCCAATGTCATAATTTTCTTTGTCATGATATGGGAAGCACTGCCTGATGGGGCCCCACCTCCAGCACATTGGCTGTCTCTCTGTCACTTGGCTTCCTGAATGGTATTTAAACGCCCCCCGCATCACTGTTGGGTCTCAGCAAACTCTCTGGCCTCTTGTTCAATTTGCCCTCTGCATACTGGGAAGGCCTATTTAACTTTGCCTGGCATCTGTGTGGAAGAAACACTTCTTAGGCAAAGAGCTCCTGGAAGACAATCTCCCTAGCAACAATGAAGCATCCTCTCTACAGTCTTTTCTGCCTCTCTTTTGTTGTTATCTGGATGACAGGGATTGAATCTGGCCTCTGCCCATATCAAATGCTGTCTGGGGCTGGAAACAAGCCTCAAAACATGTTTTAAATATTTTATTTCCCCCCGTCTCCCCTAAGTCTGCCCACCATGCATACGCTTGATTAAAGTTATGCCCCAGTGATCAACTGTGAGTGACAGTGACCCTCCTAAAGGTAGTCTACTTAGCCTCTGGGCTCAGGCAACACACCTGTGTCTGATTAGACACTGTTACCCTGCTTGAACCTGTGCCACATGAAAGCAGCTTTCTCTTGTGCTCTGGTAGTGGGAGATGCTTTCTTGTAATGTTAATGCAGGGCTAGACTTTTCTCCTGCTGATCCTTTGCCTGGAATGTTCTCCTCTTCCTTGTCACCAGCCAGAGCACCACTAAATCAGTGTAAACTCCTTAAGGGAAGACTAAAGTCCTGGGAAGTGGGGTCATCCTGGCCTTATCTCCTTAAAGAACCTAACTCTTCAAGGGGGTCTTCCCTGTTAACCCTCTGTATTAGTTGGCTAGGGCTGCAGTTGCCAGTACCATGAACTGCGTGACTTAAACAACAGAAACTAATTGTCTCACAGTTTTGGAGATCAAGATCAAGGTGCCAGCAGGTTTGGTTTCTCCTGAGACCTCTTTCTTTGGCTTGCAGATGGCCACCTTCTTGTTGTGTCCTCCCATGGCCTTTCATCTGTGTGTGTGCATCCCTAATGTCTCTTCCCCTTTTTATAAGGACGTGAGTCCTATCCAATTAGGGTCCCACCCTTATGAGCTCATTCAGCCTTAATTACTTCTTCAAAGGCTTTAGCTCCAAATATAGTCACACTGAGGGTTAGGGCTTCAACATATGAATTTTAAGGGAACACAGTTCAGTCCACCTCATTATCCTTAACGTTTTCCATTTTTCTGTATTCTCTCCAGTGCTTGGGTATTGCATCAGTTTCCTATAATTGCTTTAGCAAATTACTAAAAACTTGGTGGCTATAAACAACAGAAATTTATTGTCTCACAGTTCTAGAGGCCAGAAGTCTGAAATCGGTGTCACTGGGCCGAAATCAAGCTGTCAGCAAGGCTGTACTCCCTCCAGAGGCTCTAGGGGGAAATCTGTCCCTTGCCTTTTTCACTTTTTGGTGGCTGGCAGCATTCCTTGATTTCTGGATGCATCAATCCATCCTCTGTGGTCACATTGTCTACTCCTCTTCTGGTCAAATTTCCCTTTGCCTCTCTCTTATAGGGACAATCGTGATTGCATTTAGGGTCCACCCAGATAATCCAGACTAATGCCCCATCTCAAGATCCTTAACTTAATCATATCTGTAAGGCCCCTTTTACCAAATAAGGTGACATTTATAAGTTCCAGACATTAGAATCTCCTATCTTGGGGGCCATTATTCCACCAGCCACAGGAGTATTGTTCATAATATATCATTTGATGTTTAAACAAATGATGTATCATTTGATGTTTAACAGCTGACCTACAAAAAGAGCCCTTGTTGCAAGGGCAGGAGACACAAAGATGTTTTTGCTGGGTGTGTTCAGACAAGATCACACCCTTCATACCATAATCTAGAGCCTTGGCTCTGTCCTCCCACATGACCTTCGCCTGAGGGGAGGGGCTGGGGACTAGGGAGCCAAGGAGTCTCCCTGGGGAGGTGAGGTTTCAGATGATCCAGGGGTTGGAAGAAGTTTCTCCCATGCATTTTTATCTCATGGCTGGTTAAGAGGGGTGGGCATCCCACTCCCGGAAGCCATTTCACTTTGAATACTTTGTTTACTTCTGGTTAGAAGAGTCTTCAGGAGTGTGGGCTCTGGTAAGAAGGTCCCATTTTCCCTGGACTTATACAACCAGGTCTGCTTCTTGTGTTTTGCTATCGTGACACTTTTACAATTTTTCCTCTCAGTTACCTAAGGTACCTGATGAATAGTCAACATGTTTGTGAAGTCCAGAGTGCCAGATGTATTGAAAATGAGCAATTTTAATCAACGGTGAACCTACCTCTTTATATTTTTTTTTTAAAAAGAGGGCGATTACTGAAGCTTCACAAATAGTGCTTTATTTAGTCATAGGAGCCATGATCTGGTACTAGGATGGGAGGACTTTATTGGCTGCTAATCTAAGATTGTGTTTGTCTGTTCTTCCTTCTTGCCATTTATGGTGGAAAAATCTTCCAGAGCACCACAGGTGTTTTGTTTCTTGCTTCTAGTCCCATCCCAATTTCATTTTCATGAAATGGGAGTCAGGTTTGGAAGATAATTACCAATTTCCTTTTCCTACTTTTAACAATGCCCCTGCTTACGGTACAAAGTTGTGTCTGAACATTACTGCTTATTCTGAAAAACTCAATATGTAATTTTTAATGTCGTTTCAAGCCTTTTGAAGTTTCATCTGTTTCTGGGGCATTGCTAATGGTTTACCTTACAACGCAGAAAGAACTTATAAAGGAGATGTCAGGAGAAAATAATAATCTCCTCAATGCAATCATGTCATTAAGATGCTACTGTTAAGAGTGGGGGATGAGGCAGAGGAAAGACCAGACAGTGACTTAGAAACATGAGCATTTGGCATCGAAGGCATTACTGTCTTGAAGCCTTCTGGCCTGTAGGGTGTATGGAAACATGTCAGTTATGGAGAGTTTTATATTAATCTCCTGTACCATCTAATTTGGTTGATTCAAAATTAGGTTTAATTACAAGTGATCTTCTGGCACTAGGGAGACCGGCCAACAATAACCTTCATTATCTCTTCTGGTGAAGGCCACATTTGCTCTCAGGTAAATCTCTCAGAAAAGCTCATCACTGCCCATTTTTCTTTGGTCCCAGGCAAAATTATGCATTACATGAACTCACTCTTCATGTTTTTCCTGGTCTCTCTTGCTACCTGGTCCCAGGCCAGTTGCTAGAGACTTGTGCTCCCACAGTGGGCATCTGATAAGTGAGTTCACTTTTCACTGTTGGTGGCTTGCAGATGTTGTTACTCCTGGAATTATTCTAAGGGGACTCCATGCCTAATAGAAAAAGCCTCACCTAAAAAGGAACCCATCTCCAAGGGTAGATTTTTCTAGCCCTGGGGCAGCTGAGTGTAGAAGAAATTGTTTTGAGCAGTACTGTTTTTCTAGGGTCACACAAGTTCTGCCTATTTCACTTGTAACAATGCTGCCCATGGGTATAAGGATGACATCCTTTGGAGTTTTAATGCACATTTCCTGGGACTTAAAGATGGGAATTTTCTATGGACACAGTACCTCAAAGGGTTTCTTTGTTGGGATTTTCGAGACCCAAATGTAATGAAAGAATCTTTTCACTACAGATGATCCTTGACTTATGATGGGGGTTACGTCCTGATAAGCCCATTGTAAGTTAAAAAATGTAAGTAGAAAATGTGTTTTCAATTAAGAACCATCCTAAGTCGGGAACCATCTGTACTTTTGTGGGTATTTGGGGTGCAAACGTTGGGGACCATGTGTTATGCTGATAATGACCATCTTGCTGATGTGCCTTGTAGGGTAAGGACTCACCCTGGGAGAGACTGTGAGTTTCCCTGAGGGGTGGACAGTCCACACGTCACCTCTGGGAAGAGGCAGGTCCTCGGAAGTCTGGGGCTTCTGCTCCTCTCTGAGCCTCAGTTCTATGAGTCTGGACTTCAAGGAGTTTGAGAGAACTTCCAGGGCTGTTTGTTTCTACTCAATTGAATTGTTTTTCCTACTTTGTAAGCCATAACTCCTGGCTCTCTTGGGTTCTAATGACCCAGGAGACTCTTCAATGACATTTGGATTCTGTTTCCTGGGGAGCTTTCTTCCTTAATCCTGGGGATACTCAAAGTGTAAGCCAGCCTGGGAAAAGATGGATTGAAAGGAGTTCCGAGGAGGGAGGATCACGAGTTCAGGAGATCAAGACCATCCTGGCTAACAAGGTGAAACCCTGTCTCTACTAAAAATACAAAAAAAATTAGCTGGGCGTGGTGGTGGGCACCTGTAGTCCCAGTTACTAGGGAGGCTGAGGCAGGAGAATGGCGTGAACCTGGGAGGCGGAGCTTGCAGTGAATCGAGATGGCGCCACTGCACTCCAGCCTGGGTGACAGAGGGAGATTCCGTCTCAAAAAAAAAAAAAAAAAAAAAGTTCCTGGGGCTGGGCACAGTGGCTCACGCCTGTAATCCCAGCACTTTGGGAGGCCAAGGTGAGTGGATCATTTGAGGTCAGGAGTTTGAGACCAGCCTGGCCAACATGGTGAAACCCTACCTCTACTAAATACAAAAATTAGCCAGGCATGGTGGTGAGCACCTGTAGTCCCAGCTACTTGGGAAGCTGAGGTAGGAGAATCAGTTGAAACCAGGAGGTGGAGGTTGCAGTGAGCCGAGATTGCGCTACTGCACTCCAGCTTGGGTGACAGTGAGACTCTGTCTCAAAGAAAAAGTTCCCGGGGATATAGCTGGTGGGACAACTGCCCAGTGTGTTCAGCCCAGGGACTGCAATACCAGCTTGCTTCATCTGGAGTTGTTTCAGGAGACACTTAGCCCCTCTCACTTCCTTCACCTTCGTAAATGACTTTCCCTGAGCACCTCACGTCAACCTCACTATTGAGGTGTCCCTACTCTGGCCTTCAGGTCTCTGAATGGGCACTATAGACTGGGCATGAGCTTTCACAAAATGCTGGCTAATTTTATATAAATATCTATCCTGGGAACCACCTGTTCAGCAGTCTGATTCTAGAATCTTCTTCTACTGGAGTCTTCTCAGGAGTGGATCCCAATCTTGCAGACCTAGAAGTGGGCATTTTTTACTCCAATCCCTGTTTCTGGACTGTTTTGAATAGAAGCACTACTAGGATGTGAGTGTATCCTTTGGTTAGCTCATCATATTCTTTCCCTTCCAAGAATGCCCCCTCTCCCTAAAATGATCTCAGCAGACCCTCAAGGTACCTTTTGGGTCCTTCTCTTCCACAAAACTGCCCCAGGTCTCTCCCTCCCCAGAACTCAAAGCTCTTTTTTCCCCCAGTGACCCTTTTGGCAATGAATCACGTGCATATTTTGTGACACACTCCAATAATCACTTCATGGTGAGCATAATACCCACTTCACTGACTCAGCTTTGCTCATTTTGATGTATGGCAGACATCTCTGTCTGCGTGATGAGTCTCTGGAATATTAACTCTATTCTGCACGATGGCTTTGCTTTGGGCAGATGTTTTTATCTATCACCCGTGTCGATCTGTTTTCCATGAGGGAAATTTGGCTGACCTTCAGAGGATGGATTACTGATCTCCCGGGAGCCAATGGAAGTGACATCATTAACGGATTTTTTTTTTTTAACAGCAAAAATGGAAGATAATTAAATGCAGCACAGTAGTTGTAAAACAGATTTCATTGTGTTATACATCACTTCATAAAGTAAGCATAGTTCCCATTCTTCCACATGATGCTTTTTGCAGCATTGTACCACAGAATAATGACTCCCTAATAACTCAGCTGAAAAATATTTAGATCTACTTGCTCTAAGAATAAGGTCAACATTAAACATTCTCAGATGAAAAGCTTGCTGGATGAAATAGTGCACCATCAGAATAAAGCATGCAATATATTTACAGTCAGATGAAACAAGTGTGTCCATAAATCAACCAAAAGACCATCTCCTCCTTTAGGAAATACATGTATTGCTTAGCCAGTACCAATAAGTTAACGTCGTGTGAATAATTTTGGGTATTCTGGCCTTCCTGAATCTCATACAGCCAAACCAACCAGAAGGCTTCCCCGCTGGGTTGATGGTGGCTTATCATTTGGCATCTGGAAACTTCTCTTATTTTGCTGGATATGGCTGTCTAGTGGGTGGCTTACTGACTTGCCTAAGAAAAAATAAGTCAATCATTCAGATTAATCTGGGAGGCTAATTCTAAAATCGGATTTTATGAGAATTGCTAGATTTGGGGCTAGGTTAACCTCATTTCCAAAAGAAAAACTCTTACTGGAGAGAAACCATCATGTTGGCTCATTCTATTGTGTTTATATATTTCACAGTAAAATGATTCAGTCTTGCCAGGTTCCATATTAGGAGGATTAGAACTACATCACTCAATATTTTCTTTTGTCTGTTCTAAAATATTTATCAAGTTAATTTATGGACTTATGGATTTTTTCCATTCCAGGACTTCATTTGCGGGGAGCCTTCAGAAAAAACAGGTCACTTGCAGTAATATAGAAGGACTAAACTGTGATTCTGGAGACCCGGGTTTCTCTTTGCTGTTCAACCAGTGTAGTCTTTTGTGTGTGCTGTTAACAGTGATTTCTGGCTCAGTGAAATGTGATAATGACTTCATATTTGTGAAGAGCTAAGTATCCTGATATTTTGATCTTTTCAAGCAGATAATTTCAGGCAGAAATGATATAGCTTGTCTTTTGTTAGGTCTCACTAGGGGAAAAAAATCGCTCACAAGAGCCTTGCCTACCTCAACAAGAAGTGTCTCTACTTATACAAATGGCATGGTTTCTTTTCTGGTTACTGGGTCACAGGTGGCTCGCCATTTGCTTTGAGTTTGCAAATAAAGTACATCTTGGGTTTCCTTATCTTTAAACAAGTAAAGATAAATTAGGTTAAAGTGGGAGAAGGTTCACAGGATGAGAACATCAATTCAGCTCACAGCAGGTATGGGTCTAAAGTGCCTCTCTGCAGGAAAGAAAGCCACCACCAGCAGTCCACCTGCTCTCAGGGGAAGGGACCAGGCATTGGAAAGGCTGCCTCGGGAGAAGTGACTCAACAAAATCATAAGCCGCATGTAGCTTTGTTTCCTCTTTCTAATACGGGCATATTTATTGCCATCTCAATTATACCTAATTCAATTAATGGAAGAAAATGTACATGAAAGAACTCCCAGAAACTAAAATGGCTAACTGTAGGCAGGATGTGTGATTAATATTTAGAATCTATCAAACCCAGTACTGGCAGGGCTGTTCTCTCCCCAGTACTTACCAGAGAGGGAGTAGAGCTAATGCACAGCCATACTCCTCCCCTTTTCATGAAATAGTTTCATCTTTACCTTGAGGTCACGCTACAGATGAAGAGTAAAATGAAAGACTGAATATGATCAATACTAATTAAAATGGGGGGGAGGTATTGAAAAGAGTCTAAAATTGGCTACAAATAATGAGATACATTGGACTCTTCGTCATTAACAAGATTTAGAATAGGCTGGGAAATTTCTCTTTGGAACTGTGAACTGTGACGGGTGTGGTCCAACAGAAAAAACACTGGAGAGTCATGGATAACGAAATACAACTGAGAAGTTACGGAAAGCACACAATGCCCTAGGGCAAGCTTGTCCAACCTGTGGCCCGCATGAAGTCCAACACAAATTTTTAAACTTTCTTAAAACAGTCTGAGATTTTTTTTTTTTTTTTTTTTTGCAATTTTCTATTTTTATTTTTTTAAGCTCATCAACTATGGTTAGTGTTAGTGTGTTTTACATGTGGCCCAAGAAAATTCTTCCAATGCGGTCCAGGGAAGCTAAAATATTGGACACCCCTGCCTAGGGGAACTTGTTTCGTCTACTTGGTTAGTTGTCCTAATTGCATTTTACCTGCAGTCCAAAGGTTATTTTAGATGATAGAACTGCAAGAACCCCAAACCCAAAGAAAGAATCGTTGAAGTGGTTGGGAGAGGAGGTCATTTCTGAGATACATTTCCAGGAGAAATACAAGTTTGAGAGAAGGAGCTGGTAGTTACTGTGTGCAAGTGTTTTTCTTTGATGGGGAAGGAGTAGTTGGCAAAGGGACAGGAATCTGTGTGTACATTTCCTGCTCCTGTTTCCTTAACCACCATCCTCAGGGCATCTCTGGCACCTTGGGGTCGGGTAAGTGCTCTCTACTGCCCTCGTTTTAGCTGCCTTTATCTCGTCTATATGGCACTTTCTGCGTGAAAAGACATTTGCCTTACAGGGATGAAACTGGACTTGCAAGAGTTTGCTGTAGAAGGTGTTCAAGTCAGGAAGATGCTCAGAAATGACCACTGAGAGGGTGGCATCAGTGCTGACTTAAAAAAAAAAAAAAAAATCTGACCTCACATGTTCATTTTTCCAAAAGTAGAGAGGCTCAGTTTCTAGCCTCTCAAACCATAAGGAAGTAATCAAAATGAGAGTAGATGGAAATCATCTCTTACCTTAAGGGCTCATGTACATTTCAGAGAAGCAATTTCTCTAGCTATACTTATTCTCTTATGGTCTTGTTTATTACTATAAACAAGCAAGTTCACTTTATCATTTACTTTTTATTGTGTTGCTTGAAGTACCTATGTAATGCAAGTATGTACTGTACTAAAATACCTATATTTCCAAATAACATATGTGGTGTAGCCCACAGTCTCTGCAGAAGCATCATGAGTAACCTGTGCCTTTACACTTTACAATCCGTTATTGGTTGCTGTTAAAAGTATGATAACAGATGAAGAAAAAAAAACTAAGTATGAATACACTTTTCCAAACACGCACATACACAGCTTACAATGGAATCCCAATGGAAATAAGTGACAACATCTGATGTAGAATCTATAAAATGTAGACTCTGCAATAAAAAGCCAAAGGCACGTAAAAATATATTTTAACTTTAAAAATAACTTAGTTACAGTAATACTTTGCCTGTGTCTTACCAACATGTAGCTGACAGTCAAAATTTTGCAATATAGATATAATATATAGGGATATATAAGAACTACAAGAAAATCCCCAAAACCCATAAAGTTCAAATGTGAAAACAGAAAAGTTTTAACACTGGAGAATTCGCTATGGTGAGCCTAAGCAATATATAGAAAAGAGTCTACAAAAAGGCTTAGGTGTTAAATAAATTTTGACTTCCTCTTGCTCAGAAAATGTCGGAGTGCTATAAAGTTCCGTGAAGTTCCTTAATGTGACTCGCTCAGCCCTTCATAGCTAGTGCCAATCCTGGCCAAGCCAGATTTCTTGTGTGTCTGCAAACAATATGTGAGCCGAACATCACCAATGCCTCCTGAAAATGGGCTCTGACTCACTTCCTTTTTTTGCCAAGATAGGTTTTGCTTTGTTGTTTTTTTCTAAATTGTTTTTGCAAACAGGGCATAACAGGTAAAAAAATACTTTGTAAGAATATTATTTTAGAAAACCCAACACAAAACTGCAAATACAGCTCCGGAAGCCCTTCTCTTCAACTGTGGTTAGTTTGTTTTTGTACCTTTTACCCCAAAGGAAAAAAGTTGGCATCTTGTTACTTATTTTTATCCATTACATTCAGCACCTCATCCAAAAGTGAGGGCCCAAGATCAAGCTGCAGGGAGAGGAGGGAACCTGTAAGGTCAGAGAGGGACTCCTCTGACTTAGTCTTTCCCTTGATGAGCTCGCATGGGGTGGGATGGTCAAACATGTCCTCGGCTGGCCAGTCGGGGTACTGTTCGGACAGGCTGGAGGAGTGGCTGTCTCTGCCTTGGCTGGACTGAGATGCAGAACCGCTGGAGCCCCACGAGGTGTCTCCCTGGTGGACTGTCCCATTCTCCAACAGACTGCTTTTCTCCTGAGCTTTTTCCTCCATGACGGGCTCGCAGCTAAGCCTGGGCAGCTTTGCTGGCCCGAAGGACTCCTGTTTGGAATTAAATGTCACTGGTGACAATAAGGGCAACATGAGAGCTTGGGATCCTCCAATGGTCGGGAGGGAGATGGCATTTTTGAGCACCGGGGAGGGCGTTTCTGTGAACACAGAGTCCGAGGTGCTGTTGGCCCGGAAGAACTCATTATGCCCAGGGAACTGGCCCAGGTGTGCTTTCTCCTGGTTTCCAGGTAAAAGCTCGTAGTTCCCTTGAAGAAAGGAAATATCTCCAAAGACATCGTGCTGGCCCTCTTTGCCAATGTGGATGGTGTGGCGAAAGTCTCCAAGCGGGGGACTGATCATATCAGGAGACAGAATGTCCCTCAGTTTAAATTTCTTTCCTTTCTTGTTATTGGCTGCTTTCAGGTAAATTGGGGTCTTGGCTGGCATTTTGGAATTTGAGAATGTCTATTTTGCAAGCGGGAGAAAGGGCCACTTTCTTCACAGATGGTATATGTTTCTGAATCCTTTTTGATAGGAACTGTCACATCATTTTTCTCAAGTGGCTTCAGAAGTGGCTTCGAAATGAGATGGGGTCAAAGAGAACCTTCCTGAGGTTACGGCCAAGTGAGGCTTCCTAGAGAGCCAGTTACATCATCCAGTCTTGACCACAACCAGGACAAACCTGCAGAAGAAACCAAAGCAGGTTATAAGCTAAAGACCCTTTTGGGTGCCCTAGGGCCTCCCTTTTCACAAGAGCCTGTAAATAATGGCAGGGCCAGTTTCAACTAATGCTGAACTTATTGTTTCCCTCCAGTAAGTGGATAAAAATTTTCATCTTAGAGAAAACAGGAAAGAGAAAGACCTAAAAACCCCATATCTATGACACCAGTACTTTTTAGACATAGCCATGGGCACATCTTCTGGACATGTCTATGGTTTTAGTCATTTTCCTCTAAGAATTGCTGTAAGCATAGGATCAGTGATTTCAGCTCCTTAAATACAACTGGATTTGTTTTAAAATACATTTTCCTTTTGCTTTGATGTGCATACTAGCAACACTAATATTTCATTGTTGAGTTCCATATGTACATAAGTTAATGCAATAAAATGAACAGTCCTAAAGGAAAGGTGCTGGAATTATTTAATAAGTGACAATAACTATTATATGCTACTGTCCTAAAAATGTTAGTGGAATACATTCTTACAGATAAGAAAACGGAGATTCAGGATAAGCCCTTCCCCTAGAAAGTTACCTTTTCTCAATAACATATAGCCAGTAAATAAGAGAGCTAGAGTTGTAATCAGGTTGTGGCAAAGTATTGGGCTGTCGAGGATGTCAGGATTTGAAGTCATTCTGAGATGGGAGGAAATGAACAAAACTGCTTCACTTCAAAGAGAAAACATTGTGAATCTCTATTACAGGCTGGGCCTTCACTTGGGAACACTTCTGAAACATTACTGATAAGGCTATATCCTCCATGCAGTAGGCAGAATTCGAAGGGAGCCCCCATGATCTGCCTCCTGGTGTTAATGCCTTTGTGAGTAGAACCTGTGACTGGCTTCTAAACAAGGGAATGTGGCAAAGGCAATAGGTCCCTGATTAGGTTACATTATAGGAGATTTCATCTGAGCTGACAAGGGAGAAGACTCCCTGACTCCCTTTGCTGGCTGTGGAGAGGTGAGCAGTTACACTGTGCAAGGGCCTATGGAAATGAAATCTGCCAACAATGTTGGGGAGCTTGGAAGTAGATCTTTTCCCCAGTTGAGCCTCTGATGAGACCACCACCCTGACCCACACTGAATCATAACTCAGGGAGATGCTGGAACTCAGCCCTGCCCAGATTCCTGACCCACAGAACCTGTGAAATGGTAAATGTTGTAAGCCCTCAAGTTTGTGGTCGTTTGTTACCAGTGTAGAAAGCAACACATCCTCCCTGCACATACTATATGATAAGATTAGGAGGGATGAGCTACAAGGCATTGGGGTTGTAATGTGCTCTTTTGCCAATGAGATGCTCTTATCTCTTGAAAATAATCCTCCACCTCTGATGCTGACACAGAGAAGCTAAACCCTTTCCCACTGCAGGAACTTCCCAAATGGCTCTGCCATGACCTCTTCCCTCAGGCGCTCCTCCCACTGGCTGCAGAGCCTGCAAATAAATACTCCAAGGGCTGGGTGGGTTAGTTGGTGTTTTGAAGGGAGCCACATTTGCTTGTAGCAGCTGGAGGCTGTCTGCATCTGCCCCATATTTCTTTCCTTTCAGCAAGAGTTTTAAATTCATTTACCAGTGGCAGGTGACAAGAACTGTGCTCCACCACCCACTGGCTCAGTAACAGCTAACTCAATTTGGGAAGCAGCTAGCTCAGCGTGTCAGCATGCTGGCCAGCAACCCAGGCCGGAGAAGGCTGAGAACAATGCACTAGAGAGAGCCAGCCCCACTCGGGCTTTGGGTATGGGGAGGAGGCAGAGAAAGTACGAGGAGGTTTGCATTCATGCAGAGTGGGCTGACCATGGGGCTGCCAGCAATGACATGATCGTGGGTCCTGACACTCGTTCTCATAGTTTTAGCTCTAATTTGGGTCTTGTTGTGGTAACAAAAGTTGAAGCCCATGTTCTTCCTGTTAAAACATCAGAACTTCCTTCCTGTATGAGTGTACAATGCCTAGTCCTGGCCTCGGGCCCCCTGCTGTTCAGAGGTGGCCTCCCTGCCCTTTGGGCACAGTGTGGCTGACTGCCTGCAGGAGCAGCTGGGTGGCCTGAGGAACAGCTGCCCACAGGAGTGGTGTCCTCAGCACACACGGCCAGGAAGGCAGCTGCCATGGAAAGATACAGCGTGTCCACCACAACTCAAGGGCATGCCAGGGCTGCCTGGGGTCAGCTGATGGAGGCAGGGTTATGCAAGGCCAGGTCCCAGGGCAGGGGGTTCCAATTATTTAAAAAAAAAAAAAAAAATCGATCACTTAAGGCCTGGAGTTTGAGGTCAGCCTGGGCAACATAGCAAGACCCTGTCTCTATGAAAAAAAAATTAGCTGGGCATGGGGGCACCCGCCGGTAGTCCCAGCTACTCAGGAGGCTGAAGCAGGAGGACTGACTGAGTCCAGGAGTTTGAAACCAGCCTGGGCAACATAATGGGACCTCATCTCTACAAAAACTTTCTTAAAAAATTAGCTGAGAATGGTAGCACACACCTGCAGTCTTAGCTACTTGGGAGGCTGAGGTGGGAGGACTGGTTGAGCCCAGGAATTCAAGGCTGCGGAGAGCTATGATTGTACCACTGCACTACAGCCTAGCAAGGCCTTGTCTCAAAAAAAAAAAAAAAAAAAAAAAAAAAAAAAAAAAAATCCCATGAAAATGTAGCCAGAGAGCAGTTCCCTGCCACTCTGACTGGATCATTCACATACACCCTTGAATTAAACAAGGATTTGGGACAGTGAGGAGGAAGAGCAAAGGGGGAGAAAGTGTGTGCTGCTGAGGGTGCAGGGGAGGGAGGGCCCAGTCGGTAGGCTGGTGGGGGCTGGGCACCCACCAGGGAGCAAGATGCTCGTCAAGCCCCAGCCTTTGGTCAGTCCTTGCCCAGCCACAGGCACCAGCACCAGGGGCCTCCAACCAGAGGCTCACTCATCCTGCTTGAAGTGGGGCTTCATGTCGGTGGCATGGAGGCAAAGGTTGGAGGGAAGCAGCAAAGAAAAAGGCAAGAAAAGGGTTGGTGGGGAGGCTACCTAAGCTGTAGTGAGATTCTGGTGAGTAGGAGATACTGGAGAAGATACCTTCAGAGGCATTTTGCTTTCTTTCTACAAATATTTACATCATATTTACTGCATGATGGGGCATAGGCTTCTAGGACTATAGAAAAAAATAATTTGAATTGAATCTGAATTGCCAATCCTAACAGCTCCCAAATACCCTGAAAGTTAAGAATTTTGGGCAAAATGTCAGTTTTACAACTCTAGGTAAGTTGACGTTTGTGCTGCTGGGAAAGTATCTGGCAGCTCTGATCTAGTCCTTCTATTGCATCTGTTCTCTTCCTCCCCAGCTCAGGGGCAACCATGATTGATCCCAGGAGAGTCAATCCAACGCTGATAATCCAATGCCCATAATTTCTCGAACTGACCACTTCCTTCTCTCTCCTTTCTGAACATTCTGGGCTAAGTCCATGCAGCTTGATCAGTTTCCCCTTCTGCTTCCTGGGCTCACTGCTCTTTCAAAATCTTTGCCAATTACTTACTTAGGCAGAAACCTAATGGGATAGTTTCTTCCCTAGCAAGAAGTGGCTGCTCCTGGAGAGGGTATGAGCATCTCCTGGGTACCAGCAGCACTTGATACAAGTCGGTATTTGTTGAGGGCTTCTCTATGTACCGAGCATTGTTCCAACCCTTGACATGGACTAGCTGAGGAAGCCATGAGGCTGTTACTGTGACTATCCTCATTTTACAAATGGATCACTACTGACGAACTGATATCCAGCCACTCTGCCAAGGCTGCATGGCTACCAAGCACGAAGCCACATGGCTGGGCTCTGAGCTTTGAGGTCTTGACATGATATTTAATGAGCACCCTCCCTGGGAATTCTGTCTGCTCCCTAATTATGAAAGGGGTGCATTCCAAAGCCTGTTTAAAACACAAATGTGTGGCAATGTGCTGGGCTGATGAGGATGGGAAACAGGCCCTGCATACACTGACAGTTGAAGTATGAACAGGTCCAAACTCAGTAGAGGCAGTGGGGCAATATCTATCAAAACTGCAAATCATATGCCCTCTGACCTCAGATTGCACTTATAGGGATTTACCCAACTCACAGAGAAATAACAAGGCTGTTCAAACCAGCACAGTTTATAACAGTCAAGAGTTGGAAACAACCTAATTGTCCACCTATGGAGGACTGGTTCAGTTAAGCGTATCCTTCCAAATAAATACTACTCAGATCTAACAAAGGATGAAGAAGTGCTTAATATGCTCATCCGAGAAGAGCCCAAAGATGTACATCATCAAAGGAAAAAAAAAGAGGTGCAAATGCGTGTATTTATATTTGTACTGGCTTATCTATAGAGTATTTCTGGAAACACACAAGTAATAATAGTGACTG
This sequence comes from Homo sapiens, assembly GCF_000001405.40. Classification (NCBI taxonomy): domain Eukaryota; kingdom Metazoa; phylum Chordata; class Mammalia; order Primates; family Hominidae; genus Homo; species Homo sapiens. The sequence goes on from NC_000002.12 coordinate 37,651,225, forward strand.
TCCACAGAGAGGGGAAGTAGATGGAAGGGGAACAGGGTGGCAAAGAAATTTCACTATCCTTTTATGATTTTGGATTTTCAAATCATGTTAATGAACTGGCTATTTTTTTTTAAATCACAAATATATAAATGTGTATGCAGGGCTCAGATTAGGCTTTCCTGGAGAGCCAATTTTATACATGGCTGTTAGGTCCTGAAAAGCCTACTATGAGTTACTGATCATAACACAAACATCAGGAAAATGTGTCTAAAAGCAGCATCTGCAATGGCAGTGTGTGGGTATATGAAGACTTCACAAAAGGCCTGAGCCACGTCTCCCCTGACCCTGGCTATGGGACAGATCACTTTTTGCTTCTGTGATCAGGCCTTCACCAAAGAGGCAGCATGGATCTGTACTTTGTAAAAGGGAAGAGATCTCAGAAGAGAAACATTTGTAGTCGGAAAGGAAAGTGAGAAAATTCAACAGGTGGGAGAGGATGCAGGAGGAGCTGCTGGCCAGGGCATGAGCGAGGAGGGAAGTGCAGGCAGGTGGAATCGCCTGGGCCCGTGAGGACAGCAACTTGTGCAAGGGTGACTAGTGACACACACAGATAACCTTTGATGATGGAATGGGCCTATATGCCATGACTTGAAATCCCATCCCTCCTCATCATTTTAAGAAGACACCTGGGGCCGGGCATGGTGGCTCAAGCCTGTAATCCCAGCACTTTGGGAGGCCGAGGCGGGCAGATCACAAGATCAGGAGATAAAGACCATCCTGGCTAACACGGTGAAACCCCGTCTCTACTAAAAATACAAAAAATTAGCCGGGCCTGGTGGCAGGCGCCTGTAGTCCCAGCTACTTGGGAGGCTGAGGCAGGAGAATGGCATGAACCCGGGAGGCGGAGCTTGCAGTGAGCCAAGATCGTGCCACTGCACTCCAGCCTGGGTGACAGAGCAAGACTCCCTCTCAAAAAAAAAAAAAAAAAAAAAAAAAAAGAAAATAGAAGACACCTGGGTTCCAGGAGACTGCTGGTGAATGACCAACACATCAGAACAGTCAGCATGAGTCAGGGGAACCCCAGGGCTTTGCGTTCTGCCCAGAAGGAAGAAGGATCTGCTTGGAGGAAGGGATGCTGGGAAAAGAGAAAAGGAGGAGCTAAACAGGAAAGGCTTACAGGCCGGAAGCGAATTACCAGACTACAACTAGGGAGCGGGCCCTCCTGGGTGTTCCACAACCCAGATGAGAGAATTTTAGCTTTCTGTCTCAGTCAAAACTCTCAACACCAGCATTAACCTGTGGGCACTGAGCCATCTGAGGGTGCTGAGCACATTCACTCGTGTCTGTCCTTTCCTCATCTTGAACCCCTTTCCTGCAACCAAGGGTCAAGTCATGTGGTCACCCAGGCTGGAGTGCAGTGGCATGATCACAGCTCACTGCAGCATCGAAACCCTGGGCTCAAGCCATCCTCCTGCCCCAGCATCCTGAGTAGCTGAGACTACAGGTGCACAACACCATTCCCAGCTAATTAAAAACAATTTTTTTTTTTTTTAGAACAAGGGGTCTTGCCATGTTGCCCAGGCTGGTCTTGAACTCCTGGCCTCAAGTGATCCTCCTGCCTCAGCTTCCCGAGCAGCTAGGCTTACAGATGAGCCTCACCATGCCTGGCTCTCTAGTTTTCTTGCATTTCTCTACTCCCACTATCTTACCTAAATCTTAAAAGACAGACAAAGGTTCTTATAGTTAGCCCTTTCTCAAAAACCTTGACCCTGAAATTTGAACTTCCCACAATTATTCCTGGTTTCTTTCTAGTTCCACAAACTTTCTCCTAGTTCTTGGATCATGGTTTGTTCCTCTTTCCCTTCATAGATAACACTGGAGATAACATTCATCTCAGAAGTTAGATTCCTTTAAAAACAAATGCTCTAGTTCCTGGGGCACTAGAGAGAAAAGATTTGCCAACAAAAGGGTCCAGCTTGCCAGTCAGTCATGTGGCAGGTCAGAGAGAACACATGTGGCAGGCAGACAGGTGGGCACAGTGCTGCTGAGAACGGACATGCTCCCTTACAGGTTGTGTGAGAAATCCAAGAGTTTCAATACACAAAAGGACCGGAGAGGAAGCTACGGCCCTGGTTTTTATAAGGAAGGAAGAGAGCCGGGTTGCACTAGGCTAGACAATTCTAGTTTCTTGTGACTGACTGAAGCGTAAATGACAGTGATAATGATAGAAATAATCACAGCAGTAATAAATAATTTGGTTAAGAAAAAAACTGAAGCGGTGCTTTGCTTCATTTCTTACCATCTTTTTGGCAAACAGAATGATGCTGAAAATATCAAAACAGGGCAGCAGCCAGGAGGAAGGGAAAATCAAGCGGTTTTAAAAAATGACAGACAGAAAAATCAGCTCCTAAGTTACTTAGAGTTGATGCACTGGCAACTTACAGGACTCTGAAAAGAACCAAGGAGTTGGGATATTTTTAAAATTCCATTTATTTTAAAGGAATGTTTGGTTTGCCTACTAATTGTTTTTAGATTAATTCTTAGTGGAGAGAAAAAGTAAAAAAAAAAAAAAATTGCATCCTGCAAAACAGGTTGCAGTGTTAATTTAAAACACACATGTATAAAAATGGGCAGGTGGGTTGAGGGGTGCTACTGCCCCCAGGGACCTGCGGCTCTGTTCTTTTCTCCTCCTTGCAGGAAGTGAGCCTGCATCCGACTTCCCCTTTCTGGCTCGGTTGTCACATCCTTCAGGGACATTCCAGCTTCTGATCACTTTTCGCTTTGCCTCAGCACAGTCGCACTATGCGGCCAGTCACGGCACCACTGCACTACTGCACCATCTGAGCCCCATGCCAGAGTATCCAGCGACTCCTCCTGCATGTTGGAACCAACAGTCCTAGGGGAGGATGATGACTCGGCCAAGTACCCTCCGCCGCCTCCCTACCCCCAACCATCTGTGGGCTATGTCTCTCTGCTGCCAACCAGAAGATAATAATTCCACTGTGCCAAGCGCCCAGAACATGATCCTAGGCTCCACATTTAGAAGGGATAAAGGCTACCTGGAACATGTCCCCGCATGTTCAGAGGGAGGCAAATGGGAGGAAGTGAAGGAGCTCGATTAGGACATGTGAGAAGAGGCTGAAGGAATAGAGCAGCTTAAAGAGAACTCATAGAAAGAGAAAACTAATCTTAAGGGATCTGAAGGATTCATTTAATTGTAATGAAAAGGAATTAACTTGTTCTGGGAGGCCCTAGAGCTACCAAGCAGAAACTACAAGGAAAGATTTTGGCTCCTCCAAGTAACAGCTCAGGTTTCTCAAAAGATGGAATGGGCTGGGGTGGGGAGGGGACAGCAAGTATGGCCATGGGATGAAGCTCTCACAGAGGGGAGGGCGGTTACCCTGCGCCTCCCTGACAGTGCGTGAAGGGAGGTGTTCACGTTCCCATTTATTCTGAGTTTCCTGTATGGGAACACGATCACTGCCAATTTCCTTGTAGTCCCATGTCACTTTTCCATAGAAAAACGCACACGGACTTTCCCTTGAAGAAGCTTTCTCTTTGAACACGGCAGTCTTCTTACTAATATAGAAATGACCAGCCAATCTTTGGGATCAGAAACACTAAAATATTACTACAATGTGGACGCTCATGTCAATCCTTTTACAAACCTCTGTAGGAGTGCTTCTCTGAATAATTTTAAAATTGAAGGGGAAAAAAACCCCATAGTGTTAGATTTTCATTTAAGTTCAATGCTGAATTTCTAAGGCGGAAATCAGTGTAACCAGAAGCACCCAGTAACCCGAAGGGGATGCTTTTCATATTTTCAGTCTGTTTAACTCCACCCATTTGAGAAGATAAGAAGATGCCTTTTCTATTTTTAGATTCTTACCCTCTCCCCATATCATCTAAACTGAGGACATAGCTCTAAGCTTCAAGACTATGAAACTCTATTAGCTGGCTCCCCAGCTGCTGAGCTCTGTTATGCAAATGAACTTAGCCAGAACGAGCAGGCGGTATTTTAAAGACCCATTCAAAGTCTGATACATCTCACCTTCCATTATTTTAAAGGACTTTCATTTGTGATTCAGCTACAGCTTGAATTTATTGTTCTTTTACAACCCTGATTATATACAGACCCACAAATACCATATGTGAGACTCAGTGCTAATTTGTGTACACGTCTCATTTTTATGGGATCTAATTTGAAAGATCTCTTAGAAGCAAAATTGGAAGACAGAAGGTCCACCTCACATAGCACCAAGTCTGCACTTTTGAACAGAGGCCATTAGGACCTTTTTTCCTATAAAAATGAGTTACTGGGGAAGACTCAATGTGGACATAGAACTCTGGCAGTTACAACAAGGCAGGAGGAGGGCAAGTCCTCTCATGCCTGGTTCATTTATCAGGACGTGTTGTACATGGCACCAGGGCTGGTCAGAAGCACCCAGGCAGGCACTCTAGTTTCATGGATGTGAATCTCTGATAAGGCCATTGCTGTGAACTGCTCACGTGTTTCCATAACTAATGGATCTGACTTGGTCTGTGATGCTGCAAGGACAATATCAATACAGGAAGAGAACTTGACTCTGAAGTTTTCAGCAGTATTCAGCCAGGATATTCATTCTAATCTCTGCTCAAAAGCAAGGAACTTGCTCTCAGTTGCTCACAAAATATTAATATTTAAGTCAGCAATTATTCTATGCAGTACTCCAGTTCTGGTAATGGTAATTTCAAATGATCCCAAATAATAAGCTGACACTGTCCAGAAATTCAGATTATGGTCATTTAACCCATACTACCTTGGAGGGCAAAGTTCCTAGCCATTTGCCTTTAGGCCACATTCTCAAGTTCTCTGATGGGGTAAAGGGACAAATACAGGACTTCCATGCTATTCTGCCACCCTGCTAGGGCTGTCTACAATAATCCACGTTCCTTGGATGGGCTGAAACATGGCTTTTCTGTATGATACCAGCACTGGCTATATGTGGAATCTGGTAGTCGTCATTCTACTCTCAATCTACTTCCACTACCAACATCCTTGCGTTATTTGTATATGTGTTACTACAAATATATTTGTTGAATGATTTCCCTCTAACTAGGCTGAAAGCTCTTCTGTGGGCATGAGCTTATTCATCTTTTGCCTCCCACAACACATGGCCCACAGTGAACTTCAAATTCACAAGTGTTAAATCCATAACCCCTGCTAGACTTTCCATCATGAGAGCCAGGTTGACTTGCTCCCGGGGGCCAAACCCTAGAGCAAGTCTACAGAGGCTCTCTGGAAAGTGACAAATCTGAAATGCTTTGTTCTCTAAATAATTTACACCTGTGAAGAGTACTAGCTAGCATGAGTGCTTTCTGTGGGCCAGGCAGGCATGTAATGCTCAGAGCATACCTCTTAGGAAGCAGTCTTAGATGAAGCCTGTGTCTCCAGTCAATCACCCAAAATGTGGAGGAGCTAGGATTCCAGCCATAGCTGCATTCTGTAGCCACTGCCGATTTGATAACTCAAGGACTGCCAACCTGAAGACTATGTATCTTGAAGTCTGACAGCACCAAGAGGAAATGACACACCAAGAGCGCAACACGGATGAGAGGTGGAGATGCTAACCTGACCTTGTCAGAAGCCAAAAATGAGAAGAAGGGTCCTAGACACTGGTCCCTCCATCTCTAACTCACTAGGACTTTTCAGTATTTTTGCTATTGTCAACAAGAATCTCAAAAGGAATTTGACTTGTGGTAAACGTCAAAAGATTTGAATTGTAAAGTAACAAAGCCCCCCCCCCACCCCCCGCCCCCCGCCATCCTCGAGGAGAAAAACAAACATCCTGTTCTTAGAAAATCGTGTTAAGTGCTGTTCATTCTTTTCCCAGAGGAAGCCCATTGCATGCGACAGTGAACAATCACAGGCTTTCACTGGGGACAATAGCTCCCTAGCTTCCTAACTGACACTTCATTTCCCTCCTAACCTGAAACTAAGAACCTTGTGTTCCCTACATGGAAAGCTCTCCCACCTTCTTACCATCAGCCTCTATTCACAACATCCTCTGAGACCTGCTCCAGATGCACTTCCTTCCTGGAGGAAGTCTACTCGAATGCACCTCACGTAATCCAACCTTGCTACTGCTTTGCTTAGGGGTTTTCTTAGGGGTTGTGGAGGGCTTGTATTATGTGATTTGTTGTTTTCCTGTTTTGTGGTTTTAATGCCTGATATTTCCAGGTGGCTGGTGAGCTCAAAAAGAATAAAGTAAGCAAAAGGGCTATACATGAGTGTTCCTGTTGGGAAAACTCTCCTCCTTTTTATGCTGAATCACTTACAGAGCCTCCTCTTGAGCTGGGGACACAGAAGGCCCTCAAATCTTACTGAATAAGCTCTTCTAGTTTTCTTTCTGACCATCCCTTAAGTCAAGGGTCTACAAGCTACAGGCCGGCCAAATCCGGCCCCCTGCCTGTTTTTATAGATAAAGTTTTATTAGAACACACCTATGCCTATTCATTTATGTACTGTCTACAGCTCAGTGGGGTTCTCAACTGAGGGTGATATTTGTTCCCTATGCGATATTTGGCAATGTCTGGGAATATTGTGGGTTTTCGTGACTGGGGGTGGTGTGCTCCTGGCATCTAGTGGGTAGAAGCCAGGAATGCTGCTAAACATCCTACAGTGTACAGGACAACTCCCCAAAGCAAAGAATTATCTGGCCTCAAATCTCAGTAGTGCTGAAGTTGAGAAATCCCAGTAAAGGTGCTTTTGCTCTATCAGGTCAGAGTTGAGTAGCCTGTGACAGAGACTGTATGTTGCTCTCAAAGCCCAAAGTATTAACTGAGCCCTTACAGAAGAAGTCTGAACCCCTGTCTTAAATGTTGGCATTTTCATAGGGTTGGATGGCTGCTGCCCATCCCCCACTCCTCAACAATTCCCCCGGCAATCACATACCACCTCTAGGGATAACTTCCAAGTCAGTACCTTCAACCCACATGCATCTACTTAAGTCCAGACCAGTGCTACTCAAAGTGGGTTCATACAGTCCATGATGAGATAAGAACAGAAGTTGGAAGCAAGATCTTTTTGACATTGCCTTAACATCAAGCATGTGACCAACAGATTTTTTTCTTACTGAATAGGCTATTGACAAGTTTGGGAGCTGTATGCTGTTGAGCTTGCATGGCGGTTGTGTGTGGCCCAAGCTCCATATTCCTTGTGCACAGTAGTATTGTACAATGGATTGGAAATGGAAACAAACAAAAAGACAGTGGCCCTTCCCAGAGAGTTTGAAAAGCATTGATTGGCCTTTCCCTTCCCTTATATTCCAGACTTCTCTACTTTGCTTCCCTTGTCCCATATAATACTCATAAACCTTGCCCCAAATGGGATTTGCCATCTTTCTTCCCCCTGCCTGCCTTAGGCATCTGCCTTCCAAACTATGCTTTCCTGGTAAATGGCAGAAGTCACTCAATTCCAAAACCCAGCTATCATCCCAGCACTTCTCCCCGCCTCCATCTCTACATCAAGTCCTATAGTCCTATCAGTCTGTCTGGACTGTCTCTCCTCATTCATCCCTGCTCCATCAGCCTTACTCCTGGCCCCCATGATCTTTCTCCTGCACAAGGACATTTGCCTTTCACCTACCTCCCTGCCTCCCCGGTCCTTCCACCTTATCTTCCAATCTACACCAGAGTGAGGTACCTAGAATCCTCATGTAACCTTATCACTCTCTGCTTTAAAACCTTTCAAGGGTTTTAAGGCTACAGCTTGGAGATAAGATAAAATAGCTTGTGAAGCCCACTTCAGCAATCTGGGGGGCCTGCCACACTTGCAACTGAATCTCCTGCCAGTTCCCCATGGCATCCTAAGCTCCCATAGCGTCCTGTGTACACCTCAAACCTAGCAACTATCACACTGGATTATTACCACTACTTATTTAACTCTTCCCCAATCAGGCTATAATCTGGGAGAGAGAACGGAGATCTTATTCATAGCAGGTATTGAAAAAAATGTTGAATGGATAAACAAATGAGAAAGCTTGAAAGACATTGCTGTGCCTCTTCCTCTTTAACCCTGCCTGCTCTATTGAAAATGCAAGATGGAATCTATGATTCTTACAGAAGAAAACAAACATGTAACAAGAAGCTGTCTCCTCTTTTCTTGTGGCAAAGGCTTTCATTTTTCCATCTGTAAGCCATTTTAACCTTCCCCTATCCATGCAGGGTAATAATTTAACAGTGTATCAATGCAAGCCAGAGTAATTCTACAGGACCATACAGATCTTTGGCAAATATACAGATAAAAAATATAGATCTTAAGGCAAATATTTGTGGACATGCTGTTTGAAAGAGATATGACTCCTATCCCTGAATGCAATGTGCAAATAGTGTCTTAGGTAAGACTCAAAGAAAATTTGACAATACAGTCCTCTGAATTCAAACTCAGTGACTCTACTTAAATCAAACTTAAAGAATGAGGCCCTGGAGAAACAATGAACTTGCTCTTTTCTCTTTTCAAAAGGAGATGTGTTAAGGGAGAACTTGGCTCATTTGGCCTAAAATGTACAAGGAAACCTCAAGAAACTACAATGGACAGTCTATAGAAAAGGGTTGTTTGGAAGATCAATGTGTGACTGGCACAGATCAGATATGTGGGGAAAAATAAACCTATCAAAACATTTGCCAAACCAAACCAAATGAAACACCGACTGTACGGGCCAACGAAACTGCTATCTCACTGCTGTTCCTGGCCTGAGCGGGGGAAGAGCTGGACCAAAACTATGAGCCAGCCCTGTAAGACGCAGAAGCCCTGATACACTGGGTACCAGTTACCTTCATGTAAAATGGAGATAATCATCCCAAACTTTATAATAACCACAGGTGTTAGAGCTGAGTGTTAAAATCTACAGTGCTATGTAAACACAAGGCATTATCTTTTCCCCAAATGAGACCAGACTATCTACTGAAATACAGAGTGGAGGGGAAACTATTCTCATTGCCAAAATAAACACTTCTATTTTCTCCTTAAATTTCGCCTGTACCACTCATTAATAAAATTGTTGCAGATGAGGCTAAAATGGTTCCTATTGATCCTGTGGACAGTCTCCACAGTTGGAAGGGATTCCTACCACCAGCTTGATTAGAAGTTAATTCCCCTGTCAATGGGACATAGGGCTGGGGCTATCTTCTCATTCACACCTACATGCATCGGTTATCTTCAGTTGGGGCTCTTCCAGCCTTAGGAACAAATGAAACGTCCCGGAGTTGGGAAAATTACAACAACTGCTATATAGGTCAGATAAAAGTGGTGTTTTCATACCAACTTGGGATCTCTTACAGTAGCCCCTGACCTTAAGACATAAATAAATACAAACAATCTAACATTTTTTTTCTCCTAAATTCTCTGTTGACCCACTTACTTTATCTTATGGATGATTTTAAGAGGAAAATCCTTTTACTTCCATTTAAATTTCATTTTAAGTTACTTTGGTTTTACTTTTGTTCATTTGGTTTTACTTTTTAAGGAAAAAGGAAGCTGAGACCAAAGGGGAATGTTACCTTCTCTGATTTATTCAACTTCTATTTTGCGTCTACCTTAAGGTTAAAAAAAAAAAAAATGGAATGAACCTCAAAGTAGCAGACCTGGAAATGATGGGATCTGGAGGGTGTAGGGTTAGGGAGTGTGCACAACTAACCCTGTCAAAGGGAAATGGAAGGCCAGAGTGGACCAGTAATCATTGGAAGGGACTTCATACCATATGGGAGTCCAGATTTCCAGGCTTGATGAGTAAGGAAGAGCCTAAGGTCCTGAAATCACTTATTTCCTTTTGATCATGAAACCATTTATGAAAACCTTGTGAAAAACTATAGGGAGTAGTATGTATGTATGCATATGTATGTATACTATATATAGTGTGTGTGTACAGTGTGTGTGTGTGTGTGTGCGTGTGTGTATAGTGTGTGTATATATATATACACACACAGGCAAATGATTTGATTTTCCAAAAAGAAGAGACAATTACTTGTGACTACTATCACATGTATCTTCAGTAAAGGTCTGGGTTTTGAACACTTAGGGGATATATGCTCAGTAGGCACTGATAAAAAGTTCACTGGCACCTCACTTGCTTACATACATGACACAGTTGCTAGATGGGTCAATTACTTGTAATCTGCCAATTTTAGCCAAGCCTTAAAGGGATCTTATTAATAGGGCAAGTGACTTGGAAGACACAGGAGATGCACTTATCAAATCTAAAGATAAACAGGAGACGTAGAGGGAGCTTCATTGTGCCAGTGGCTAACTGGGGTCCAGAATTACCTGGACCGAGAGCCGGGGCTGGATGAAGCCCACAGGAATGAACTGAATGATGATGAATAGAAGTCCTGCTTTTGGGTTAACATTAATTATATAATCCCATTTGCGCAGAATGGTGCAGGCTCTGGCTGCTGGCGTTATAAACTGGACGGCAAGGCTACCGGGAGCTGACAGCACGAGGAGGTGGCTGAAAAAGTCATAGCCATCTGACGGACTCTGGACAGACCCCACCAGAATTAGTGATGTATGAGAGAAGAGAAAAAACAAAAGGGCATGTTGTTATTTTCTTAAATACGTGATAAGTAGGGCCAATCTCTCTCCTTTTTAACCAAAGAAATTATGTTATTATCTGTTTATATATCAGGCTTAAGATTTTCTTTTCCTTGGCTTAAAAAAAAGTTCGACAGAGCTGGGCCTAGGAGGAAGATTCATGCTCTGTGTCACTTAAACACTTAAGGCCTTGGTTTTATCATGTCAGAATGAGACTGGGGCTGAGATAAGGTCCCTTCCATCTGTCAAATGGTAGGGCTCTGTGATTCTATTTGCAGAAACATCTAGCGTCTAGGAAGTTTCCAAAAAAGAAAAAAAAAAAGTAATGTTTTTAAGGAAAGTAAGACTAGCCTTAGAATCAAAATACTTTTTACCAGCGAATACAATTTTCATCACCCTTTCCCATCCTTCCTGGTATTAAATTAAGGGTCCTGAGCCATGTAGTGACTCCCTTTGGGAGCTTCAGTGTCCCCATCTGTGAAGTGCAAATGGCAAAGGTGGGAGTCTTCCTGGGTAACAACGAGCATAAAGTGCTTGGCAAAGCACCTGGCAGGCAATGAGCCCATATCAATGGAAGGGGTAATGTTCATTATAAATTACCCCAAAAAGCTGGAGCTGCATAAGGAAGAAGATGAGCTGGAAGCTCATGGTGGGGATTCCTTTTAACCTTACTCCTTTTAGACCTTGGGATCTGGCCACCTAAACTGATTGTTTTAAATACAGTGTGAAAAACTCCCAAATGTTCTGGGTTCAATAGTCTAATTCCCCATTCTGAAAAAAGAACGGAATTTGAAAGAAGTCCCTGCTTTACTCCCTGCACCACCCTGAGAGACCTCTCTCTGAACCTCACTCCCCCAGGCTGGCAAGTAAAGCACCACCATCCCAGGGTGAGCCCACAAGGAATATAAAACAAATCCCCATCACCAGCATAAACTTACACTAAACTTAATAGAAGGCCAAAAATCAACACTCTTTAGGAAGACATTTCATTCTGAAGCCGTCTGAGAGCAAGAAAACAGGCTCTAGTTGGTGCTGCGACATGCACAGAGTGAGCCATGTGCCTCTCGCCAGTTCAACCCATGGGAAGCCAGCTTTAGAAAGCCTTTCACAGTCAGGTGCGGTGGCTCACACCTGTGATCCCAGCACTTTGGGAGGCCGAGGCGGGCGGATCGCCTGAGGTTAGGAGTTCGTGACCAGTCTGGCCAACACGGTGAAAGCCAGTCTCTACTAAAGATACAAAAATTAGCTGGGTGTGGTGGCGGGTGCCTGTAATCCCAGCTACTCATGAGGCTGAGGCAGGAGAATCTCTTGAACCCGGGAGGCAGAGGTTGTAGTAAGCCAAGACTGTGCCACTGCACTCTGGCCTGGGCAACTGAGTGAGTGAAACTCGGTCTCAAAAACAAAACAAAACAAAACAAAACAAAAAAAACAAACCAACCTTCCATGTGCCTCCCCAGCCCCTGGCTGGTCCCTCATGTGTTCAACAACAAACATCCATGGAGGGCCTACTAAGTGCCAGGCACTATTCTAGAAGTTGAGGCCGCAGCAATGATGCACTCCACTGTGGAGAGACTGACGCTAATATAACAAATAAATAAATGGCTCATGTTTATTTATTCGTTAATGGCTGGCGAGAGGTCTAGGCAGCAATAGGAAATACAAGGACCCTTACTCTGTGCTCTAAGTGGACACATGGGTGCCAAGTTGCCTCAGTCACTCCCAGGGCACGAGAAAGCATTGGTGGGGGTTGCCAATCTCTCCGCGGAGATCTTGAGAAGGTTCCAGCAGGGGCTTGACCTATTTCCACAGGGCCCGCAGATGATCTCTATCACCACAACCAAATGACTGGGGTGACTCCCCTTGCATTTGAATGTTCTGTAGCCTGGGAAGGAGTAACTTTACTACAGCAGGACTTAAAAATAAGCTAGTGTGGTGGTTAATACTGAGTGTCGACTTGATGGAAGGATGCAAAGTATTGTTCCTGGGTGTGTCTGTGAGGGTGTTGCCAAAGGAGATTAACATTTGAGTCGGTGAATTGGGAGACACAGACCCATCCTCAATCTGGGTGGGCACCATCTAATCAGCTGCCAGCGTGGCTAGGATAAAAGCAGGCAGAGGAGGCCGGGCGCGGTGGCTCATGCCTGTAATCCCAGCACTTTGGGAGGCTGAGGCGGGCAGATCATGAGATCAGGAGATGGAAACCATCCTGGCTAAGGCGGTGAAGCCCCGTCTCTATTAAACATACAAAAAATTAGCCGGTCGTTGTGGAGGGTGCCTGTAGTCCCAGCTACTTGGGAGGCTGAGGCAGGAGAATGGCGTGAACCTGGGAGGCGGAGCTTGCAGTGAGCCGAGACTGCGCCACTGCACTCCAGCCTGGGCGACAGAGTGAGACTCCATCTCAAAACAAAACAAAACAAAACAAGCAGGCAGAGGAACGTGGAAGGACTAGACTTTCTGAGTCTTCTGGCCTTCATTTTTCTCCCGTGCTGGATGCTTCCTGCCCTCACACATCAGACTCCAAGTTCTTCAGTTTTTGGACCTGGACTTACACCAGTGGTTTGCCAGAAGGCTCTCAGGCCTTTGGTCACAGACTGAAGGCTGCACTGTTGGCTTCCCTATTTTTGAGGTTTTGGGACTTGGACTAACTTCCTTGTTCCTCAGCTTGCAGACAGCCTATTATGGGATTTCACCTTATGATCATGTGAGTCAACACTCCTTAATAAACTCCCCTTTATATATACATCTATCCTGTTAGTCTTGTCCCTCTAGAGAACCCTGACTAATACAGCAAGTAAGCGACAAAGATTTCTGACCTGACAACAACTGAGGAGATATGCTACAGAAAGAATCAGATAGTATAGCAAGGGCTATACTGCCCACTTTGTCATTAAGTCCTACTGCAGCAAAGATGAATGACAAGATAAATGAGATTCAGTCCCTATCCTTGAGGAGCCGGTAGTCTAATTAGGCAGGCACTTGCGTCAATCAGGAACATGGATGGAGTTGGAGGCCATTAGTCTTAGCAAACTGACGCAGGAGCAGAAAACCAAATACCGCATGTGCTCACTTGTAAGTGGGAGCTAAATGAGAACAAATGGACACAAAGAGGGAAACAACAGACACTGGGGCCTAATTGAGGGGGAAGGGCGGGAGGAGGGAGAGGATCAGAAAGACTAATGATCAGGTACTATGCTTAGTACCTAGGTGATGAAATGATCTGTACATCAAAACCCCGTGACATGAGTTTACCTCCGTAACAAACCTGCACATGTAGCCCCGGACCTAAAAGTTAGGCCTATTACTGGATTTCACCTTATGATCATGTGAGTCAACATTCCTTAATAAACTCCCCTTTATATATATATAAAGATAACTTAAATGTAGTAAGTGTTACAATAGGAGAAGATACAAGACACTATGGAAATGCCTCTGATACAAGAAAAAAGAGGAACAGAATCACAGTTTAGGGCCAGGAGAGGGCCTGGGGAACATCCACACACTTCTCTGGCCTCCCTTCCCATCCCCACCCTCCCACTCTGCCATTTTTTTTCACAGGTGATGGGATGGAGCCTGCCCAGAGAAGGGGAAGGATTTGTTTTCTGACTAGCTGGTCAGCCAAAGGCTTAGAGCCTCATCTCCCGCTGTGTTAAAATCAATGTTTTAAGTCTGAACTGACCCTTGGCAAAACAAAAGTTTAAAAAATAAATAAAAAGGTTGAGAAATCAAACACATTCTGAATGGCAAAGCCACATTTCACCAAAAATGCCTCTGCTTGTTTTAAAAAATGTATGTAGCCTAAATGATTATGATGTATTTGGACAGAAAAGCTCTTTTTCAACTAAACTCATGACAACGATCTATCATTGGCATGATGTGTCTACAAATAGGACCTTCAGGTTGTCACCAGAACATGACGGATTCCCAAATGTGGAAGCTGTCTAAATAGAGGCCTGACTTGGAAGTTCCCTGCCTTCCACGCTTGCTCAGGCTGCTCTGCCAGAGATCTGCACGGGTCTGTTTTTCAACCCAGAGTCTTACATTATTAGTAGTAAGATAGCTATGCTAATAGGTGCCACTGATCCTGGCTCACTGTTCTGGAGCCAGAGATTATCTGAGATCATCTCTCACCAAATGCTACGTTTTAGGGATGAGAACAAGAAAACCCCAAGAGGTCAAGGTTATACAATTTGGGTCAGAGCTAAGACCAGAATTGGTATTTTTTTAATCTCTATTTCTACACACAGACACCCCTTTTGATTGCCCTCACTTAATTCTCCATTAGTTTTATCAGCGTTTGCCAGGATCTCCTGGTACATCCTCATCGCTCTCTTCCTGTAACGCCTGTGGTTCTCTAACTAAAATGTCCCTGGGTTGCTTCGGCTCTGTAGGACATACTGCGGTTATGTAGCTTCTGTTCTGTGTTTCCCAGAGTGTGTTTCCTGCCAGGCTGGTCCTGCAGCTGCTCAGTGGGCAAAACCATTTGAGAAACTCTGGACACGACCTCCCTGTGGAGATTCACTATATACACTGGCTTTTTAAATGTTCTGAGAAGTCCTGCAGAAAGGGACCTTCATCAAACTGGGGTCCCACAGAATACTTTTATGACATTCATGGCTCGAGGTACACTTTAGGCGGTACCCTGTTACCTAATTGCAGGTGTGTGATCTCTGCAACATGGTTTAACAAAGGGCCAAAGGCTAGAAGGCTAATAATAACTTTATCCAATATGGAAATAAAACCCAATCCACTGAAAATCCTTTTTAAAAAGTTTTAAATTTGGGATTCTAGAATTCTATTAATTCATGACTTAGGCAAGCAGTAAGGACTAAGCAAACACTAGTTTGGAACTCATCAGCTTTCACACAGTTTACTTGGCTATTTAGAAATAGTAATCTTTTAAATCTCAGCATCATGCTTTGTATTATAAAACTGTATGGTTAAAATTTGAAAACTGCTTTTCTACCAGAGGTACTGTCAAATTCAGTCCATCATCATGTGATTCTGATGAAACTTGGCACTGAAGTATATCAAGGAGAAAGCTTTTTTTTTTTTTTAAGGAAAGAAACACACCTGACTATTGCTTTAGAACTACATGGCTACTTATTCTGGTTTGTGGGGTATTGTTTTGTTTTGTAGCCTTTAAGAGGTGGGGACAGGAGAAGATTTCAAATGGAATTGGACAGCTCCAAGACTGTAACCATTGGCTTTGAGGCTACCTGAGTTACTTCGGACTGTCCTTTCCAGAACCCTGTTTCCATCTGAGAAGTCTCTGGAGCTGATCCCCACAGCTAATCACAAACCCAGAGCATCAAAGCAGTGGAGGCCAAGGCAGGCCCTGTGGGTTTTCCGGGGCAAGCAGTAAGGACAAGGTTTCAAAGGTTTCCTTGTTGTGTGTTTCTTATCTAGCAGGGCCCAGGGGATATGCTGAACTGTAACAGGGCTTGACTTCTGCCATGGACACAGCCCAGTGCCTTTCTGTTCACTTTACCTGTAGCTCCTCTTCTGCTGAGTTCTTGCAGCAACATCATCAACAAACATGGACTAAAACGTCCACTGAGTGCCGGGACTGAAGGCCCAGGTAGTGTGGTTCCTGCCTTCAAGGAGGGGATTGTCCACAGGTGGTTACTGGACTCTGCAACCCCGGGCTCCCCAGAATTTTGAAGCGAGCACACAGTCTATGCTAGAGCTTCACTTCATCCCCAGCCACCAGAAGTCCTTGTCCCTGGCTGTGGCTTGGCTTGCTTTCTCACCATATAGTCCCACATTTTCACCTAGTAAATCTCTTCGTTTATGGCATAAATTAAACTGCTTATGTTAACCCTAGCAGTGTTCATGCTAGATCCACTTTCATGCCACATATGTGGGATTGAATCATCTTTAATAATAAAATAATTTACATAGTGTTCCTCAAGGCTGGCAATTACTGTCATCTTCAACTGTGAGATACAGGGTGATATGAAATTATTTCCTTGCCAGAGGCCAAAAGTCATAACAAAAATCAGATTTAACAACTTCTCTGCCCCTCCTCCCCATTGGTGGGGGTGTGGTATTTAGTATAAGGTCAAAAAGACCTGAGTTCAAACCCTGCTTCTGCTATTTAGCTGTGTGACCTTGGCCACGTTACTAAACCTTTCTGAGCCTGTGTTCTCATCTGGAAAAGAAGAGCAATATAATAGTCTGCCTTATCCTCCACGGATATGTTCCAAGACCCCCAGTGGGTGCCTGAACCTTGGACAGTACTGAACCCCATATATACTATGTTGTTTTTTATACATACATACCTGTTATAAAGTTTAATTTGTAAAGTAGGCACAGTAAGAGATTAACAATAGAATAATTATAACAATGTAATAAAAATTACATGAATATGGTCTCTTTCTTTCTTAAAATGCCCCATATTCACCTATTTTCAGACCATGGTTGACTATGGGTAACTGAAACCCTGGAAAAGAAAACCACGGGTAATTGGGGACCACTGTACTATCTCTCTCAAAGAATAGTTATGAATATTACATGACAGAACCAGTATTAAGTACCTAGGAAAAAAACAAAAGCAACATTGAAAACCTCAACCTTTTATTGTGGCTACTCTGGGCCAGGCACTGTTCTGAGTACATAATCTTTTTTAACTCCTTTAATCCTCAGGGAAATAATATTATCTCCATTTTACAAAGGATAAACTGAGGTAAAGGTGAGGTAACTTGCCCAAAGTCACACAGGTGTTAAGTGCCAGAACTAGGACATGTGCCCAGGCAGCCTGACTCGGAGGCTTCAGAAGTTCAGTTTTTTTTCCCATCCCCTTAACCCAAAGAGCTGCTGACTTTCACATAGGATTAGCCACTCATGCCTGCACATATTGTGTTGTTAAACTGCACACGCATGTTTAGGTTTTGCTTACTGCACAACTTTGGGTAAGTTATATAACTGGTCTATCCTCAGTCTCTACACCAGCAAAATGGGGATACAACGGTTCTTTCATTAGATGATTGCTAGAAACAAGTAAGATAATCAAGACAAAAGGCTGAGAAGAGTGCTTGACACATAGGACGGGCTCCACTTAGGAAGTGCTTTTAACATCCAAAGTAATGAACAATGCAATATATTAGGAAAATTCTTGGTCTTCTATGGCTTGGTGAGGCACACAAGATTTTGTGGCTGGCTGAATCCAGTATTTTCAAATGGCTATCCTTGTTCTCTGGCAAACATACTGCATTTAAAAATAGATTTCTCATTCAATCAATGAAAAGAAATACAGGTTCACAGGATTCTGGTTAGTAAGAAATGAGACTGGGCCTAGATAAAATCTGACTGAAAGCAAGAATCTGAATAACAATAATAATAATAATAATACGATCAGAGCAGTCTTCTTGGAGGTTTTTAGGTTACGAATTATATTCCACCCACTGGATAAATGTTACAGTTAATGGTCAAAGAATTTGTGAAAAATCTATGGCCTGGCTAAAAAAAAAAAAAAAAAAAAATCTTTGGGTGATACAGGTGAAAGCAATTTTATCCCCAACACTGTTGAATACCAGGAACTTTATACATGAAAAAAGCACAGCTTTTGTGAGCATGTTGGACATAAAACAAAACACCACATTAAAGGAAAGGCTGGAGCGCAGACAGGGCAAATGAACTCATGTGAGCCCTTCTGCAATCACTGTTACGGCTTTGTATTTATTCATCTTGCACCGCACTTAAATGTGCAATAAAAAGCAAAAAGTGTGCAACACTTATTACTCTAGCTGCTTTTACTTGTTCCATAGAGATACGTGAAACAATTTCACTGCTCAGATTGAGGGAAAGAGGAGCTCATCTCATTTCAAGCCTGTAGCTGCTGCCACAGCCTCAGCACCATGTTCTAATCATAGAATTCATCATGTAAATCTCTAGCAGATGATGCCATTGGAAAACAGAAACTGCCATGGATCCAGAAATGCTTCCAAATTTCTCCTCTAAAGTTCTTATCTGTGAGCCCAGAGGCTGGTGCTGTTTTATTCAAATGGGTGAGGCCCATTGGGAAACCCGCATTCTTTGGGAGACTTTATGAAGAATTTCAACCATTCCTTGACTATAGAAAGGGCCTTTATCATTTATTTCACATATGAAAATGCTAAATATTTCACAACTACTCCAACTTATTTCTGAGTGTCTAAATCTATTCTGAAAAGGGTATGCATCACACACATACCTGTGTAGCTTATTAACTACCAATAAGAGCTCACACAAATTGCAGGGGGTATGAAAGAGTAGACTTCTGGAACTGTCCAGAAAAGAAGAGAAGGTACATTTCCTGGTTTTAAGATGAAAGAGCTTGTGTAAATTAGAACATTACAGGAGCCTTTTAAATTGTCTTAGGGATACCTTTGGGGCATCATCGCTGGTTCCTGGTGAGTCTTTTTTCTCCCTGTGATGTTAACAGGAAGTCCCTAAAACTGGCTTTGCTATTAAAATACAGACATCTGCTGCTCTCCTAATTTTTGTTCCTTTTAAAAGGCAGTACTCCCAAGAAACTCTTGGATATTGTGAGAATTAAGAGCTGGGAGATGGGGATGGAATCTTTGTCTCCCTAACACATTCATCAGTTCCCTCCCTAGAGCCCCCCTACAACCTCAGCACACAGCAGCAGCCCACTCCTCCAAATACGCCAGGGCTGGAAAGATTCATGTTGCAATACCCTCCTGACATTCCTCATTTTAATTCGCTCACTTTTTTTTTTTTTTTTTTTAAACAAAATGTAATTACTTGACTGTCAGCCTAGGCTGCACTCTGGGGCTTTTACTCCTTTCAACACAGCTGCGCTCCCGGCTTTGATGCTGCTGTCCACGCAGCTTGTCCCAGCCACAGCCTGGCTCTCAGTAATGTAACATTCAAGTGCATATTTATTTTTAAACTGACCTCTCCTAGACTGCACAGTATAAAGGAGATCCTGCCCAAAAATATGCTACTTTCTATTTATAAGATGAAACACATGCCTCCCAAAGTCGAGAGAGGGATAGAGTATAATAATTCATAACGAAAAAATGGCCAGATCCATTCATCCTCACATGTCTGATACTTGTCTGTGTCAAGCCACTTAGTTTCAAGGAGAAAGGGAAGAAAACAAAAAACAAAAAACCTTGTAAACGTCTCAGCTGTTCACCGTCAAAAAACAAAAAAGTCAATATCCAGATCTGCAGGTTGGCGCCCCACTAACAATGTCCTCCATTAAGAAAGAGGAGGGCACCGGGCAGGCGATGCCACGGCAGAGCTGTGCGATGCACCCATGTGCGGCCCTGGTACCAATCCATGATGCGAGGGGCGCGGTAGCCAAGCGCGGCTTGTTCTCAGATGGAAAAATGCTATACGCGCCCAGAATGGCTCTGCCAATAGCTCGGAGGGTGCAATGTGGCCGCGCAGCCCCACCCTGAAAAGTAGTGGGCACAAATGGTGGAGCTCTGAGTCCTGGTCGTGCCGCCGGACCCCCTCCTGGCTTGCTTTATGTCCCCTTCGTTCCGTTGGACACTAGATGGGAAAGCGATGCCCTGGGTATCCCGACTCCCTGCTGGTTTCCCAGCCTAACACCAGCGCACGCCGGAAGCGGCCACGGCCGCGGGCGGGACAGACTCACAGACAGGTAGAGAGGAAGGAGCCCTGGGCTGCCCCGACTCACCGGCCGCCGCTGAGGATCCCAGCCGCTGCCCCGGGCCTCCCGCGGGCGCACGCAATCCCTGCCGCTGTGCGCAGATCCAGCCGAGTCTGCCGGCGTGGTGCCTGCTCACCGCATTATCCGCTCCGAGACGGCGTGAAGGCGCCCCAGGCCGGTGGCCGGGTCTCCGGGCTAGCCCCGCGCTGCGGTCCCCCGGCCGCGAGAGAAGGTGCGCGCGACTGAGCGCGGGGCGGCCGGACGCGAGGACTGAACCTGCGGAGGGCGGGGCGGCGCGGGGCGGGGCCGGCGGCGCGGGGACTCACTGGGGCGGGGCGGAGGGCGCGGGCAGCGGGGCCGACCCTCCCAGCCGCGGTACCTGTGCCCTGGCCCGGGGCCAACCGGTGGCCGGGCGCGCGCGCGGGGGGGGGTCACCGTTGGACCCTCGGAGGACAATGGGCGCCCATTGTTACCTCCCCAGCGCCACCCCCCAGTAGGCGACTTCTCTCGGAGAAGATGCCGCTTTCGACTCCCTAAGCACAAAGAAAGGTCGCCGGACGCTCGGTTTAAAGAGGGACCCGGAGGTGCTGCCGCCCGGGTGCACGGGGACAATAGGACTCCGCCCGCACCCCGGACTCCCGCACTAAAACTCGTGCGCCCACCTCTCCCGATCCCAACAGGCCGACCTAGCTGTGCGAGTGGCGGGCGGTGACCCGCAGGGAAGCGAGGCCACCTGAGTGCGCCGCCCCGGCCAGGCCGCAGCTCCCCAGGTCCCTCTCAGCCCGGGCTCCGGTGGGCGCGGAGGGGGAGGGTCGCGTTCTGTCAGTTTCTAGCTCGCTCCCCTCAGAGCTGCAGCCAAAACCCGGAGAGTGGAATAAGCGCCCTGAAGATGCCGGAGCTCCCGGCTGAGCAACTGGACACGCGACGAACAGCAGACGCTACAGGTTCTCCTACCCAGAGGGAGGCGTTTCTTCTCCCTCAGGGTCTTTCAAAAGGATTTGCCTAAAGCTGGGGCAAGCCGGTGGCGGCTGCCCCAGACGCGCGACGAGGCGCAAGTGGCGCAGCTGCCGGCCCGAGAGAGTAAAATTCAGGCCGCGGTGGCACCTGCGCCCGCCGGTCACCCGGCCACCGCCAGCGCCGCCGCCCGGCGCGCCCCTCCCCTCCGCCGGGGCCGGAGCGTGAACCGGGTTAATGAATGCTAATTTTCTTAATCGGCCTCCGTCTCTTCCTCCTCCGCGAGTCGTCGGCCTGGGGAAGGAGTAGGCGACAGGAAAGGGCGGTGTTTTCCGGCTGGGAGGTCCCAGCCCGCATGGTCAGCCAGGGGAGGGGGCTGGGACCCCTGGGAGTCGGACGCTGGGGGCCTGGCCTCTGCCCTGAGACTCTCGGGTTGGATGGAAATCCTGGCACAACGCGGAGAACCTCCCGGATACCTTGGCTTTGCCGAGAGATATCAGCTTCAGGTCATCACCGCGGTGCCCTGGGTCTGTCTGAAACCTTAGAGGGTGCGCCTTAAGCCGATGTTGTAAACCCAGGCTGACTTTAAGGTGAAGTGAAAAGGAAACGCACACAATCTGGAAAGCAAAATACTTGGGTGGGGTGTTAAAAGCCTCAAAGAAAAATAGTAGTTGGCAGGTCAAATGGCCATGAGGTTGGAAGTCAAATACGAAACTCGGCTGAAGTGATGTTAGAAGTTTGACAAGCAAAAACAGTCCGTGAAGATAAGAGACCCAGCATTGTTTCCCTTCTTCAAAAGACAACTCGTCCAAAGTTTCCTTTGGCAGATACCTGGATTCTACTCCAGATTCCTGAGCATTTTACTTGGGTTTCATATTTCAAAATATATGTTCCATTTGGCACTAATGTATATATTTTATATATTAATTTATTGAAAAATATTAAATGTTCCTGGCCTACTTAGAAAAAGGTATTTTTATAAATATTTATGCATAGTTTTCATTACATAGGGTATTTTATAAGTCCAAATAATATGTGTATATATATAAAATACCACATGCAAAATTCCTTTTGAACACATAAAGACATTCCCGACACACATGTCTTGTATGTAATTTTTTTCACGTGATCTATTGTTAGCTGCTGTTAAAAGCACTTTATTTCTACATGGCCAAATAAATAACTTCTTTTACAGTTTTTGCAAATATAGAGTGGCAGTTTGTCTGAAACGGCATTTTTATTCTAAAACCTATTTTTACTTTTCTACATTATCCCTTGCCTTTTAGAGGCTTTCTCTCCCTCTGCCGTTTTTAAATGAGACTTCACTGCTGGACTCTAAACAGTTATCCAGGACCTGCTCATTCAAGGGCCTGGTGGTTTGATTTATCTTGGCTCCTTTGGCCTCGCCTCCCCACCCCTCCCCTGCCCTCCCCTCCCCACCCCTCCGCTTCCCTCCCCTCCCCTTCCCTTCCTTTCCTTTTTTTTTTTTTTCCCCCAGGGTCTCAAACTCCTGGCCTCAAGTGATCCTTCTGCCTCAGCCTCCGAAAGTGCTGGGATTACAGGCATGAGCCACCATGCCCTGTGCCTCACGTTATTTCTTTGTACTGAACATCTTCAGTGAGTAACTGATCCCTCATATAGTGAATTATTCTTCCAAATGAGTGCATTTCCTGTGCTAACTATGATAGCTTGTAGAGTTGATGGATTTAGGTTTCAACATGTTATGGGAGTCTACTACCGGAAGAGAGGAAAAAGCTTTGCTTCAGGAAGATTTTAGGAGTTTTGAGATTCTGCTGTGAATTTTGGAAAGGTTTAGCCTTAAAAACATTTGGTGGTAACCTTAGAAGCCTGGTATCTGTAGACCACCTGTCAGGCCCAACAGTGGGCTGTTTTTCTATTAGTCCCTACTTGGGAGAAAAGCCAAGTAGTATTGTCAGTGCCCTTGCTGTCCAGAAACCTGTGATCTACCTAAGTGCAGAGAGCACCTTGCCAGTGTACACAAGCAAATGCTGACCACATTCTAGTCTCTTGCTACCAAGTATGGTCCCAGGACCAGCAGCACCAAGCCTCACTCCAGGGCTACCAAGTTGGAATCTTCAGTCTAATGAAATGTGGATAGTTTGCGTGCAGATTTAATGTTTGAGAAGCACCGTCCATGAGTGCTTGGTGGTTCTCCACCTTTCAAAGCTACAAACTCATTTGAAAATCTCATGGGATTTATGAGCACCCTTGGAAAAGCATATTGATTGATACACAAAATTTTTCATATGCAGTTTCAGAGTTCCTGTAAATAATCTATTGATGCCAGGGAAGTCCTAGGTTAAGACCCCCTAGTCACAAAGAAGATTGACTCAGTGTCAGCTGGAGGAGTTAAGAGAAGATTCTCACAGGGGGCAGAGCTTAAATTAAACCTGGGGAATTTGATAGGAAGAGGAGTAAAGAAGAGCATTTCAAGCTGTTGAAATGCAAAGGTCCTGAGAGGGAAAAAGAGAATGTCCTTTTTTGTATGTGTTCATGTGAAACTTAATGAGGAGATTGTTGTTTGACAGCAGGCTTTCCTTGCAATTCCTTATCATCACTTGAACGTCCAGAAAATGAAGCCAGACTGTGGACTCAGTAGTCATTCCACTTTGGGTGTGCAAGAACCCTATGACATGGGGGTTTCACATAAGATCTCATTTCCTACTACTTTGCTCACCTCTCACTCTGCCCCAGCCACATTGGCCTTCAGGCTGTTCCAGGCACTCCCGACAACAGAGCCTGGCCCACTCTTGTCTGTGTGGGGATTCTTCCCCAAATCAGCAAAAGGCTCATTAAGATCTTTATTCAAATGAGACTTCAAGGGAGAGGCTTTCTTTCTAAAATAGCAGCCCCTCCCACACTCCCTTTCCCTAAATAAAACAGGAAGAACAATTGCTTCACTACTTGCGTTATATTTATTTACAAATTCATTTATGGCCTGTTTCCTTAAATGTATGAACTTTATTTGCTGCTGTATCTCCTGTGCCTAGAATAGGGCCTGGCATATAGTAGGTACTCAATAAATGTTTATTGAATAAATGATCTTTTAACTACAACCAGTAATGAGTGTAAAAGCCATGTTTACAACTCTATAGCTACGAAATCATAATATATGAAACATTCTTGGAATATACCACATGTTTGCTGAGACTGAATTTTCAACCACTTCTCTTTAGTCTAATGAAACAAGAAACACTAAACACATGGAACATTTTAAGTTTGAAAATTCAAACATTTTAAAGTAAGACTTACAAAAA
Organism: Homo sapiens; assembly: GCF_000001405.40. Lineage (NCBI taxonomy): Eukaryota > Metazoa > Chordata > Mammalia > Primates > Hominidae > Homo > Homo sapiens. The sequence continues at coordinate 37,675,631 of NC_000002.12, forward strand.
ATGTCTGTATAGTCCATGTATAATGCACAACTATTTTTCTTCTGGCAAAGCTGAGACACATTCATGTGTACTCAGCTGGGGTTTTCTTCCAAAATGCCACATCCAGGCTGAATTCATGTGTGTATGGTCTGGATTATCCCCCTAAGTTAGATTTAAGGAAAATGTAGGAGAAGCTGGAAGGTTAGAACATTTTGAATGAGAATTTCCTTAAAGCTTGAGTATTCTCCTCCTTACTACCCAATTAAAATTTCACCAGTCCTGGAAATATGTCAACCTCTGCTAATGAACTTGATTGACTAATTGCCAAGGCTAAGGAATTTTCTAACCAGTGATTTCCTTGTAAATAAAGAAATTTAGGTCACATCTTGGTTGGGAGATTTCAGCTTTGCCTAATCAAATGCAGCAGGAAATGGTATACTATGAGATATACTATGAGAGGCTATGTTTGCATGAGGACTACAGGCCTAGGGTACAGTTCTAAGCAGGTTACACGGTCACTCACCATAACCACCAAATACGTTTTTGGCATTTGTATTAGCTCTTGAACTTGGGCCAGCACCAATTTAATTTGTGCATAAGACCTTCAAATATAGATGCATACTTGATCCTGTTAGTGTAAACCAGTGACTAATAAAGAGCATTACTGTATATTTATATAGCCTTCTATACTTCTAAAAACACTTTTTCATTTCATCTTCATTTTAGGTCGTTCTGTTCTTGCTGGGTAGGTAAGGCATTTATGGTTGATTTACACATTTCTTCTTTCCAGAAGGGATTTGAGGCAAAGTAGAAGGCTTTTGTATAGAATGAGTCATTCCTTTTTTTTCCAGCTTTACTGAGGTATAATTGATTGAGTCATGCCTATTGTACTCTTTGTTATGTGTTCTTTCCCCACATACCTGTATGTCTCCCTCCTTAGCTTTCTTCCCATGTCTGCTTAAATCTGAACTCCCAGAGGCCTGCCTTCCAAGACATCCTAGATAAAGTATCACCCATGGCCTTCCTTATCCCAGTACCCCCTTTATTCTTCTACATAGCACTTAACACCTGACATGTTGATTGTATATTTATTTGTTTATTGCCTCCCTGCTCCCCATACCACTAGAATATAAACTCCATGAGGGGCAGAAATATTGCCTATTTTATTCATGGCTGTATCCCAACCCCGTGATCAGTGCTTGGCACATAGTAGAGATTTAATAAATATTTGTTGAATGAATAAATGAATGAAGCCCCAGTGCTTAGGGCAGGCGCCTGTCATGTGATAAATATTTGTTGAATTAAACAAAGCTTTAATGAATGAGCTAGAGAAAGGTCTGTGATTCATTCAAGGTTATGCAGACAGTGATAACTTGCTTTATCTAGATGCGAATCCCCGCTAATTCTTTCTCCAAGCCTTCTTCATTTGTATACCTCGTAGCAAATCCAGCCTGTTGTAATGTCAGAATGTCTTTGTTCATCCTTTTTGGTACCTGACAAAAATTGAACATTATAGAGCTTTGATAGTGATTACAGGATGAGCAAGAAAAAATGACTATTTCAGTTAATGCTCTGGGTTAGTGAGACACAATAAAAAAGAGAGAGGTCGGTTGGCCGCGGTGGCTCATACCTGTAATCCCAGCACTTTCGGAGGTGGAGGCAGGTAGATCACAAGGCCAAGATGGTGCAACCCTGTCCCTACCAAAAATACAAAAAAATTAGCCAGGTGCAGTGGCAGTCACCTGTAATCACAGCTACTCGGGAGGCTGAGGCAGAGAATTGCTTGAACCCAGGAGGCAGAGGTTGCAGTGAGCCAAGATCGTGCCACTGCACTCCAGCCTGGGCGACAGAGCGAGCCTCCATCTCAAAAAAAAAAAAAAAAAAAGAGAGAGAGGTCTGCAATGATACCGCCCCCAACTTCTGCTTCCCTGCATGCATTCATGCACATGGATAGAAGAACACATACTCCTACACCATCCCCCAAAACACACACCTACACCTAGCAGTGTGCACCAAGGACAGATCATCTTCTGAGGGTTAATTACAGATCACTTCATTTGGACTCCCATAAAGGGAACCAGGAAATGTGCAGTAGAGGACACCCAGGATTGTTCTTGCATTTACTTCACAAACAGCAACCCATAGGGATATATGTAAACCGCATCAGACAATTGTCTCTTCCTCCTTTTAGGGCCCCAAGGTGGCTTGCACTTAGGGACAGCATCCTTCCCTGTGGCTCATGTTTCTGATGTGCTGGGCTCTTCAACCTGGTACTGTGGATGCTCTGAAGGCCCCTTCTTGGCCATGCCTGATTTTCAGAAATGTTCACCTGGTCGTCAACACTGCAGAAACAATGGTCGTGGTGTCTTCCTCAACAAAGATAACAGATAGATGCGGGGCCTTGAGAGTACTTGGAACTCCCTGGCTACTGACTGAACAGGTTGGAGCCAGAGGGGAGGGGAGCCATTTTACACATTTAAGGCGTGTTTATTGGGTGTCTACTTTGTGCCAAGGAATTGGGCCAACAGTGCTGGCACTCTCCTTGGGCTGACCTATATTCCTCTTATTTTTCAAACCAGTGGACTCGATGTGGAAACTATGTTGTCGAAACCCTCCATCTGAACATTCCAGAGACATCTAGATGCCCCTGACTGTAATCAGATCACTTGTCTGAGCATCAGGACATGCACACATGCAAGAGTCAACACTTGGTAATCCCGTGCTTTGCACTTTTGTCTGGAAATGCTATTATACTGACACAAGTGAGCACTGAATGCTGAGCTGCTTCTTCCAAGGTAGTCATCTCCTCTGTGGCACTATATTAAAATCTTTGTGCCTAAGAGTGGTCTAGGACTTCCTTTTTGGTTTGTAAAGTCTTATCTTTAAATTGTTTCTAATTATGGACTTGCCTAGAAAACAAAGGTAAGAATTTGCACGTTCATGCCATTATATTATAGCCCTTAGAACCCGCTGCACAGCTCTGTTTGCTAGTGAATATGACCTAACACTCTTATTGTCATTCAACTTATATTTATTGAACACCAGAGTGTAAGGCATTGTGACAGGTACTCTAAAAGGTACAAAGATGAATATGCTTCCTACACCTAAGTAGGTTAAACTTGTACAGATGATAAAACGAGCACCCAAGTCACTATAATACCAGATAATATATAATAAATAATAAATGTTATCAATTCCATGTTTTCCAAATGCCAAATAGGGATGCATATTCTGATACGTTATCTGACAATGGGACAATATGTATTGCAATTGGGATTATCTGGGATGTGTGGCCCACTAATACTGATATTTCACTATACACTGGTGGTTTTGAAGTTTTCTCCCTTTTGAATGGAATTGTAAGCAAGACCTCAATGCTTATTACAGGTGAACGTGCAGCTGCTCTGGTTGAGCTATAATGAGTGAGAAGTCCTTCTCTCTTCGTCCCCCACCCCCATTCTCTCGCCAAGGGGTTCTTGAAACTCCTTCTTGATTCTCACTGGCTCTCTTATGGGCTGAATATTTGTATCTCCCTAAAGTTCCTATGTTGAAATCCTAACCCCTGAAGTGATGGTATTAGGAGGAGAGGCCTTCAGCAGGTGATTAGGTTGGAGCACTCATGAACAGGATTGGTGCCCTTATAAAAGAGACCTTAGAGAGTTCCCTTGCTGTTTCTGCCAGGTGAGGACATAGCAAGAAGGGTTACCTAGGAACCAGGAAGCAGACCCTCATCTGACACCAATCTTGGCCTTGATCCTGGACTTCCCAGCCTCTAGAACTGTGAGATAAATATTTGTTCTTTAAGCCACCCAGTTTATGGTGTTTCTGTTGAACTAGCTTAAACAAACTAAGACTCCAAGAAACAGCTGAAACCACAGAGAGATGATCAGTAAATAGAATACTTCTGGTTAGAGTAACCAGGATGGCCTGATTAACATGGGCTGATTACTGGGCTTTCCATTGTATAGGGCTGGGGCATGTGGTCTGAGTGCACCTGTTTGTGGTACAGATCTTTAAGACTCAGGTAAATGGCCTCCATAGAGGATGTCAGTGAGGATCCAGGACTTGACTGGTGAGTTTCACGGCCTGTGTGGTTTTCAGATAAAGTGGTGAAGGATCCGAGGCTCATTTCCAGCCTCCTGTGCCTTCCTCTTCCTGAGTCCTCCTCTTTCTTCTCTCCACTATAGATGGCTTCCCGCCATCTGTTTCTCAGCCCAAAGCCCTGGCTCCTCTGGATATTTGTCTTTTGCCAGCAGCAGTACTCATAGTGGAGCCTAACATTTCTTCCTTTAGCAATGGATCCCAGAAGTACACACCCTGGGCAATGCAATGTTGGATGAATAGTGCCATCCCCAAGGAGGCAACGCTTGGTTTGCTTCCAAAGAGGGCTGGCTTGGGAGGCATGAACTCCACAGCCATACACCAATAAACTAGAACCCTAGTCCTTTAGTGTAGCATTCTGGCTAATCAAAGTTTTATACCATCTTGGAGCAGAGTTAACAAGCTTCACACATTGCTTGGGAGGGAGGCTGCGTACTTTGAGGTTCATGCTGTCCTGAAATCTCCAAATGTTGGGATTATGATGGAGGCATGATGAAGTCTTAGACACCATTCTCTTTTTTAATTGATTTATTATTCCTTGTCAATGACCTAGCTCACTATAAAGGAAAGCAGGGCTTACCGAAACCCCAAAGATGGAAGCCATACCCATATTTTTAAAAATATGAGGGCTGTGCAGAAAATTCAATTAAAAATTGTATTTTTGAGGGGTTTCCTTTTAAGTAAACTATATATGTTTTTAGAGCAGTTTTAGAGTCATGGCAAAATTAAGCGGAAAGAACAGAGAGTTTCCATAATCTTCCCACTCGCACATAGGCACACCCTCCCCGCTATAAAGTCCTACAACAGGGTGGTGCCTTTGTTACAACTGATGAATCTACATTAACACATCATTATCCCCCAAAGTCCATCACTTCCATTAGGTTTCATTCGTTATGTTGTGCATTCTATGCATTTTGTCAAATGTAAAATCATATGTATCCACCATTGTAGCGTCAGAACAATTCTATTGCCCCGAAAATCCTCTGTGCTCCATTTATTCATTCCTCCCTTCCTTCCCCAATTCCACCCCAGTGACCCTGGCAATCACTCATGTTTTTTACTGTCTCCATAGTTTTGACTTATCCAGTATGTCATATAGTTGGAATCATACAGTATGTAGCCTTTTCAGATTGGTTTCTTTTACTTAACAATATGCACTTAAGGTTCCTCCATATCTTTTCATGGTTTGATAACTCATTTCTTTTTAGCATTGAATAATATCCATCCATCGTATGGAGGTACCACAGTTTTTTATTTGTTCAAGTATTGAATATTTGTTAAATTCTTACTCCGAATGAGGTATTAAACTATATGCCATTGGGAGACATAATAATATAAGACACTATTTATAAAACAAGGCATTGTTCTGTCATACAAGGAACTTATACACCTCTAGGCCTTTGTTAAGTGGTGGAGTGGAGAAATGGGGTCTCAAGGAAGGAGAAATTCCAGCTGGCTGAGTTTCATGCTTCCTGAAGGGAAGTGCATCTGAGGAGGGATGTGGATGGGTAGGATTCCAACACTGCATGGGCTGTGTCTCCCCCAGCAAATTCATATGTTGAAGTCCTAACTACCAGTACCTTAAAATGACTGTATTTGGAGATACGGCCTTTAAAGAGATTCAAGGTTAAATGAGGTCAGATAGGTGGACCGTGATCCAATGTGACTGGTGTCCTTACAAGAAGAGGAGATTTGGACACACACACACAGACTCCAGGGGTATGTGTGAGGCGCACAGCGAGAAGATGGTTGTCTACAAGCAAGGAGAGAAGACCCAGGAGAAGCCAGTGCTGCTGGCATTTTGATCTTGGACTTCCAGCCTCCAGAACTATGAGGAAAGAAATTGCTGCTGTTTAAGCAACCCAGCGAAATAGCTAGTGGTATTTCATTTTTTCTTTCTTTTTCCTAATTGTAGACTCATAGCAAATAGTGATATTTTGTTAGGGCAGCCCTAGCAAATGAATAAAATTGTGAAGACAAGGAGGAGAATGATGCAACAGTGAGAAGGGCATGAAGAATGTTCAGAGGCTGGAACACATGCCTGTGTTCAAGATGGAGCCTGGGTTGGCTGGTAGTTTGGGACTATTTCACCAGGCTGTTGTTGGCCTTGGGGAGGGCAGCAGAGGTGAGTCCATGAGGGTGCTGGGATGGAATGACCTCTAGGATTGCCCTTGTGAGTTCGGTCAGCCTTGGAAGTGGTGGCTTGGTAACAGGAGATGTTTGTATTTTGCATGTTTTCAAGTCAATGAAAGTCAGTCTTTAAAATGCCTTGGCTCGCTTCTGTTTTATTCCTGGTGTCAGTATACAATGGTTTTAGTACGGTAAGTTTGCAACACTAAAGGACATATTTTGTCAGAGAAACCAGCTAAAAATATTTCAAGATGTTTCTCAGCGCCAAGTGAGCTCCTTGCCATCCTTGGCTTTCCTTCTCCTGTATTTCTGAACCTCAAAGCAAAATGGTTATTTAAAATAGAGGTGCAGATGTATCTGATCAATTAAAAGAATGTCAGTGCTTAATGAGATCTTAGAGGTCGTCTAGTCCTGCCTTCTCATTTTACAGCAGAGGAAACAGAGACTAAAGAAAATTAGTGATTTTCTCAAGATCATCTGATCATTAGTTAGCAGTAGAGGCTCCTAGTGTAGACAGGTTGTTTTGCTAAATAATTTTGTTTCTATATAAAAAAGGAGGTTCATCCTTGCAAGGGTTAGGATGGGAAAGTGCTCTGAGTTATGTCTGCGGGAGTCTCATGGAATCCAAATGAAAAGTACATGCTCTGGTGTCAGGCACCCGGATTCAGACCCCTGCTGTCCATCAGCTAGCCCTGTGATCTTGGGTCATTACTTAAGCTCACTAAACCTGAGTTCTTATTTGTAAGAATGGTGGTAGTATGGGCAGGTTGTCACAGAACCCACCTTAAGTGTGATGTGAAGATTAAGTGAAACTGAAACAATTCTTACCGATGTGACTGACACATTATCAGGCCTCAAAACATATGCTCTTATCTATTCTTCCCACCACACAAGGATACCATATTTCTCTCTGTCCCAGGGCCCTGGCACAATTCCTGTTCCAGTCTGTGTGCGACAAATATGTGTTAGATGACTGAAGCATCAGGAGTGGCCTAGAGGGAAGGATAGCACACGACATTGGGAATGAAAAAGGAAGCAGAATACAAGATGATATACGGATAAGGGAGATGTGTAAATATTTAGATTCTCAGGCAAGTGGAAAGATGTGAGAAGTGTTAAAGAGCAATGAAAGTAAAAGATGAATTCTCCACCTCCAGGGGGTGATCACAGGGGGTCAGACAACAGGCGTACTTGACATGCTTTGCAAACATGAAGTGTCAAACAGGTGTATAGTAGCCATCAATACCAGAAGCAAACACACCTTAGTAAAATTTCAAGAAGACAATGTTACCTCAAGCATCTGGAGAAGCTTATACTGCTCAGATCTCAGGAACCAGGGAGGTCACGGGGGAAAAGACCAAGGACAGTCGCAGGCAGCTTCAGCAAAAGTAGACCCAACAATAAAAATGATGTAAGAAGTGTATTAAGTATGTCTTTTTATTCTGATTCTTCAACATCTTGGAGTCTAGCTGACGTTGAAAGGAACTGCCCCTCCCAGGGTTATGAAATTCCTAGAGATAGCAACTTGCCTGGGAGCCTATCTTTCATACGCAAACCAGCCAATCCAAAGCCCACACTTCTACCACCTCCTTTATCTGGCTCTTATATGCAGACCCACTATCCCACTGTCCTAATCACCCTAGGCCATGACAGGATACCAGATGACTAGAGACAGCCCCTATGCCCCAGATCCTGCTGGAATTATTCAAACTAGCCAATCCTAAACCTGCTTACTCTGCCTTTCCCTTCTCAATAAAGGTTCTTGTCCACGATCCCCCCTCACTCCTTCTTTCTCTTGACTCACCCTTCTCCATGTTGCCCTACCTAGGGTGCTCCTGTTATTAGGTATCTGTAAGTATAAAAACTTATTCCTTCATGACTGTCTTTTCTGCATGTCTTACCATACCTGATTAAAACAAATCCCAGGTACTCTTATATTAATAAAAAGGAGCCATCAGGGTTTCTAGGATCATCTCCTCTATCCAGATGACAGCCCTCTCTTCTCTTTTTGGACATGTTTTTCATTTTGGTTTGGAAAGGATAATGTCTTCTGTGTTCTGAGAAGTTACTTTTTGCATTTCTCTCCTCTCTTTCTCATTTATTTTATGTAAAGCCTTATTAGCTCCCACAACTTTGTTTGCTCTCTTACTTGATAATGGAGAACATAAGAGCTAAAGTCAAGTGGAGGAAACAAGTTGGTGGTTTCTACATCCTGCTTCTTATAGGACCCGGAAGAGGAGCACCTCTTCTATAGCCTGAGCTATCTCAACAGTGTTCTCTATGGCTCATGCTGGTGACTCAGATTTCTTGTTTAGTTTTTAAGTTTTACTCCCCACTCCTGACAAACTTTTAATATTTTTAAAAGCGGTTAAACAACGAGGTACTATTATACACCTATAAGGATGGCTAAAATCCAAAAATAACTGACAATACCATTTGCTGACAAGGATCAACGGAACTTTGTGGAACAACAGGAGTCTCATTCATTGCTGGTGTGAATTTAAAACGGTTACAGCCACTTTGGAAGACAGTTTGGCAGTTTCTTAGAGTTAAACATAGCCTCATCATAGGACCCAGCAATCATGTTCGTAAGTATTTACTTAAATGAGTTGAGAACTTATGTCTACACAAAAATCAGCATGAGAATTTTATAGCAGTTTTATTTACAACTACCAAAAACTAGAAGTAAACTTTAGTAGGTGAATGGCTAAATAAACTGTGGCACATCCACACAATGGAATGAGCTGTCAAACCACAGGAAGACATAGATGAATCTTAAATGCATGTTGCTAAGTGAAAAAAGCCAGTCTTAAAAGGCTACATAAGGTATAATTCCATTTAAGTAATATCCTGGAAAAGGCAAAACTCTTATGGAGATGGCAAATAGACCAGTGGTTTCAGAAACTCTTGGTGAAAGGAATTGAATAGGTCAACCACTAGGGATTTTTTAAAGGGTGGTAAAACTATCTTTTTATGATATTGTGATAATACTAGATACATGACACTATGCACTTGTCAAAGCCCATAGAACTTCATGGCATAGAGAAACTTAATTATACAAAATTTAAAAAATATTTAGAAGGTTGGAGGATTCCAGGATGAAATGTAAAATATGGCAAAATAATCTAACTGTATTACAAATGCATGAAATAAGCGTACTGAAGGGGATGTGAGAGAAAATGCTTACGTAAGTAAGTTTGGAAATGAATCGAGTCTGTAAGATTAAAGGCAAAAAGAGCTCTGTATAAGCACTCAAACTTATAAAGTTATTTCTATGTGGGTATGGCTTAACAATTATGGAAGTACTCTACAGGAGACTGGAATTGAACAATGAAATAAACGAATGGCTGATGGCAGAAGCCAGGTTCTTCATTGTAGGAGGGAGAGGAAACAAGCAAGGGGGAGAAGGTTAGAATTATCTATGTGCTACTGGGTTGGGATTGGAGACATCAGTATCAACTCATATTTAGCTTAATATAGATACAGATAGTTACAAAGAGAAGGATTTGTAGATATATGTGTATAGACATGGGTTAATTTACACACATATATGTTATTTCTCTGTCAGCTGAGCCTAGAAGCAATAACACCTTTGCAACAAGGAGCATGTCCAGGTCTTGGTTTCTAATACATTCTCCAATAAAAGAACCAAGCTCCTTGGAGACATGGACTCTAGGATGGAGCAGGAAATATACAAGACGAACCTAGAGCATTTTGTAGCTCCTGAAAGTAAGAAAGTGCTCAACCAAATCCAATAATGACAGGGCTATGTTACAGGGACACAGGAGCCAACTGAATGTATTCTCCATGGCCAGGGCTGGAACAACTTGAGCAACAAAATAAAATAGTATTGAAAGTGCAAAATAGATATCCATGAGACCATAATGATACAAACAAATGATTGAATAAATAAATCAATGGGGGACAATAGATAAATCTCCCGGGCAGAAGAAGTTCAAATAATTTCTGTAGATATTTTGCCATCAAAGAGTGGAGTATAAATCGCTGCTTCTTAATTGTGTGCTATGCCTTGTGGCTTCCTTCCAGAGTATAATATAAAAATGTGGGGAGGTGCAGTGGGGGAGAAGGGCTGTAATCCTAGCGCTTGTGGAAGTCGAGGTGGGAGGATCACTTGAACCCAGGAGTTCAAGGTTGCAGTAAGCTATGATCACACCACTGCCCTCTAGCCTGGGTGACAGAGTGAGAGTCTGTCTCTAAAATAATAACAAATAAACAAATAATAACAATAATATAAAATACAAATAAAAGATGAGAGGAGTAACTTTACAGTGGAGAAAACTAACAAACACCACCCCAAGCAGGTGATTAAGGTCAATATCAGCAGTCATAAATCTTGTTGATAGTACGCAGCCTTGATATATGATGAGAATGACATTTTACCTCTGTGGTCTTCATCTCATAAATCCATAACTCCAGCCTAATCACGAGAAAGCCATCATATAATTCCCAATTAGGGGACATTCTACAAAATATGTGAGGAGAAATGACAGGAGAACTCCTCAAAACTGTCAAGGTCATAAAAAGCAAGGGAAGTCTTAACAGTCATGGCAAACAAGGGCCTAAAGAGACACAACCACTAAATTTAATGAGTTATGTTGATGGGATCCTGGAACAGAAAAAGAATGTTAGTTAAAAACTAAGGAAATCTTAATACATGATAGACTTTAATTAAAAACTATATATCAATATTGGTTCATTACTTATCACAAATGGACAATATTAATGTAAGATGTTAATAAGTGAGAATGGGTATAGGGTATGTGGGACTCTGTATTATCTTTGCAATTTTTCTGTTAAGTCTAGAAATATTTTAAAATAAAATACTTCTTTAATAAAAAATGCTGGGAAGAGGATATGCCCTTAGTTATTTTGCTTAAAACTGATTTCTGTCTTTAACTAATCATCCTATAATTTATGGTTAGAAATTTAACTTTTTAAAAAATATTAATAAAATGATTACATTTTAACTCAGCATACAGAGCTACAACATCTTACATAAATAATAAACAAAGAGCAGAAAGCTGGAAATAAATGATTAAACCAGTAAGAACATGGGTTAGGACTAGATAATTTCTTCTATACTGATGATGAGGGTTGATCATAGCACTGTTGTGGTTTGCATTACTGAAATGAAAACATGAAAGTTCATGACAAAGACAGACATTTCATTCAGCTAGTCTACATTGCAAGATAGCTTTCATATACAAAATACTGCTGGTCTTGGAACATGTTTGCAAATGGATGACTTTAGAGAATCCTGATGACCCTGAACCCTTAGATATCAATAAATAGGTGAGTGGGTATCTCGAAACTTTGGCAAGAAGGTCCTGTTGATTTTGGCCCTGCCACTGACAAACATGTAGCTCTTGTGGATGACTGACTCATAAATTCAGATCATTTTCTAATGTCTGGCAGTCTACTTTAGAATCTTGTAGAAATTATATAGACTCTAGTACCCACCATCTCCAAAAAGATGGTCAGCAGGGATGTTATGAAACTTTCTTTAAAGGTCTCTGGTAGGCTGTAAATGTCTTGTGGATGTGCAGTATGGCAGAATGAGTAATCTCTCTGCAAAGGAGGGAGTTGAAGGGCTTTCTCTTGGTTTAAATACTGACTCTGGCACCACCACCCCCCACAAATTCTGTGTTAATATTTATTCAATATATATTTATAGCATCTTTGATATGTGCAAGATCTGTGTTAGAAAGTGTGAGCAGCACAAACATGAATTAGACACAGGTCTCTCTGATCTTCCTTCAAGGACCTGATGATTGAATAGGGGCAATAAAATTTACATAAATAATGAAAAAAGGTACCGAGTAGTCATTGGAGAATAATATTACTGATAGGAGAATTATTCTATTTTCTTCTCCTGCCTAGTGAAACCTATGGGATCACATGAGGCCATTTATTTGTCAATTATATCTTTGGTTGAGGCTGTCATCATATCTCACCTGGTTCCTTTACACCTTCTCCCCAGATCCCATTAGTCACCAAGTCAAATAGATTGGACCACCGCATGTGGCTTCTCATAGCCATCAGGATAAAATACAAAGTACTCAGCTGACTACAAAAATATTCTGTCATTCCCTGGCTGTGCCTACCTCTCTAACCTCATCTTCTACCATCCCCAGTGTCTTACTCCATTTTCACGCTGTTAATAAAGACAAACCTGAGACCAGGTAATTTATAAAGGAAAGAGGTTTAACTGACTCACAGTTCAGCATGGCTGGGGAGGCCTCAGGAAACTTACAATCATGGTGGAAGGGGAAGCAAACACGTCCTTCTTCACACGGTGGCAGCAAGGAGAAGTGCTGAGCAAAAGGGGGAAAAGCCCGTCATAAAGCCATCAGATCTCATGAGAACTCACTCACTAACACGAGAACAGCATGAGGTTAACCACCCCCATGATTCGATTACTTCCCACTGGGTCCCTCCCATGACACACAGGGATTATGGGAACTACAAGATGAGATTTGGACGGGGACAGCCAAACCATATCACATGGCATCCCACACTGCTATGTTCTTTCACCTCACTCTGTGCAGTGCTGCCTCCTCTTTCTAGAATGCCCTTCCCCTGCTCTCCATCTGACTATCTGCTACCTCCATATCCTCCAAGTCTCAATAGAAGCATCACTTCCTCTGTGAAGTGCTCTGGGGTCCTTTTTACTGGGTGATTTTTCCCTCCTTGCCCATGACTCTGTTCCATTTCATATCTCTTGGGATGTACACCCCAGCCCCTTCCTTCATATATTCTCACTCATCCTTTAAGATTCCCCCTGGTCAACCCCCTTTCCTTAGTCAGAGTTAATTATCCTCTGCTCTGGCCAATAATTAATACTTTGTTTATTCCTCCATTATAGTACTGAGTTGCATCTGACTTGGGATAGTTGCTAGCATGCTTTGTCTGGCGTTTTCACCTGATCACAAAGAATTTTAGAATAGGCACTTACCTTCATCTTTTGTTTTAGGACAATGCCTGGCATAACACCTGTTGATTAAATTAATTACCTTTTCTGTGGTTTCTTGGGCCTCTCTAATCAACCAGACATCGCAAACCAGACACAGAGACTGCCCCAGTTAGCCTCATTTCTGAACATTCTAACAGGCAGGCTATGCCAGTCTGTATAGGACTTAGAGAGCCTCAAACACCCAAGAAATTGAATTTACAGCATGTTTATTTCTTCTCTCTAGATATGTATTCTGCAATCATGACCAAACAGAAGGACTAAATCTGGATCAGAATCTGAAATGTAAAAAGGCTACTTGTCAACCACGCCATTGTTTTCCGTTGGAGCTAGCAGAGCAGCCTCGGCTGCACATTCCTGGGACGTGAATAATATCGGTTGTGATTACACTTCAGTATCTCATCCATTACCAGCCCTGTGAACACTGAATATAACCTAATTAGGAAATGCGAAGGGCCCTTTGCTAGGGATGAGTGCTGGGGCAGCAGAGGTCCACATGCCTTCCCGACACAGGGATTCACCGGGTTTCAGACACAGGTTTGGATCCTGCAGGGCTCAAGGACAGACTTTACTGGTCTAGTCCACATTCCTTGTATAATCACCAGTAAGCTGAGAATGTGACACCTTGGATTCCATCCTATGTTACACTCCTCTTTAAATGCATTGCAAAGGAGATATGCCAGGACTGATAAGTCAGTCAATTTCAAATAGGTATTAAAGTATTAATGAAGTGATTAACTCTCTCTGACTAAAACATTTTTTTGTTTACTGGTTTCTACTGGCCTTGAATAGGAATTTCAAATTTGTTGTTGACAATTGGCTTCTCATCTTTCACTGAATTCTTCTAAGCTTGTTTGTCTTTTCCTACACAGCTCTTAAAATGCTTTCAGAGGACTGAATTCTATCTTCCAAAGTGCAGAGAACAGAGCACTAAGGATGTCTGCAGGCTTAATTACAAAGGATGTGATTCTATTCTTATTGTTCCATAACTTTTCTTTGTAGTAAAAGCTGCTGCATTCATTTATTCAATCCTCTGTCCCTGCATTCATCTGACACTTGCTGAGCACCTGCTATAGCACAGATTCACGTCATGCCCATGGCTGGCATCCAGCATTTATAGGGTAACTGGCAGGAGAAAAGAAGAGGCCTGTGGCCATGAGGCAGTGAGATGGAGTCACCTGCTCTGGGAGTCAGCACCCCGCCACTCACACAGAGCCCAGCCAACTGAGCTAACTGATAAGTCAACCTTAATTCTGCTCTAAAATATTTTTCATCAAACCACCCTCTGCTGAATCAATGTACATTCCTATAACCTGTATCTTGCCCTAGTAATGTGTGACCTTCAATGTCATGGTCCAAGGTTTTGCTGCTGGGACATGTGGTCTCGGAATGATCATCAGAATCCTTCACTACATGCTCTAAACCATCATTAGATGCTCTACAGTTTGTCACTTGTTTCCAAGTGTCCTATGTCCACCTCATTTTATAGAACTGGGCTTCACTTGAGTTCTCATTCTGGGTACCTAGTATATTTCCCTGCAATTCTAATTGCTGGGTTCTCTCCCCAGGGAATGGAGCCTGGCTTTGGCATAGATCTCCATGAAGTACTGGGATTTCAGATGGCACCCACTCAATTTTGTTCACCCAGCTCTGACCATGAACGAACCATTCTGCTACTTCTGCCTTCTAACCTGGTGTTTGCCTGCATTTTATCTGGACATTGCTCAATTGTCTTGGTTGCTATGTCCCACCTGCTTGTCTGAATTTCTGTTGTTACTCCAGTCCCTGCCTGTCCCTGCAACTTCACACCCACTCCCACCCCCATTTGTCTTGATGTCAATGCCTTACTGAAAAATCTTGAAATTTGATAGGGAGGATAGTGGTGGCATTATTATTATGACTACTGCCTTACTCTTTAGAAAACTGAGGCTCAGAGGATTAAGTGACTTGGCCAATTACATGTCTAATAAATAGCAGAATACTGCCCAAGGTAATTTATAGATTCAGTGCCATCCCTGTCAAGCTACCAATGACTTTCTTCACAGAATTGGAAAAAACTACTTTAAAGTTCATATGGAACCAAAAAAGAGTGCACATTGCCAAGTCAATCCTAAGCCAAAAGAACAAAGCTGGAGGCATCACACTACCTGACTTCAAACTATACTACAAGGCTACAGTCACCAAAACAGCATGGTACTGATACCAAAACAGAGATATAGACCAATGGAACAGAACAGAGCCCTCAGAAATAATGCCGCATATCTACAACCATCTGATCTTTGACAAACCTGACAAAAACAAGAAATGGGGAAAGGATTCCCTATTTAATAAATGGTGCTGGGAAAACTGGCTAGCCATATGCAGAAAGCTGAAACTGGATCCCTTCCTTACACCTTATACAAAAATTAATTCAAGATGGATTAAAGACTTAAATGTTAGACCTAAAACCATAAAAACCCTAGAAGAAAACCTAGGCAACACCATTCAGGACATAGGCATGGGCAAGGACTTCATGTCTAAAACACCAAAAGCAATGGCAACAAAAGCCAAAATTGATAAATGGGATCTAATGAAACTAAAGAGCTTCTGCACAGCAAAAGAAACTACCATCAGAGTGAACAGGCAACCTACAGAATGGGAGAAATTTTTTGCAATCTACTCATCTGACGAAGGGCTAATATCCAGAATCTACAATGAACTCAAACAAATTTACAAAAAAAAAAAAAAAAACCCATCAACAAGTGGGCAAAGGATATGAACAGACACTTCTCAAAAGAAGACATTTATGCAGCCAAAAGACACATGAAAAAATGCTCATGATCACTGGCCATCAGAGAAATGCAATTCAAAACCACAGTGAGATGTCATCTCACACCAGTTAGAATGGCGATCATTAAGAAGTCAGGAAACAACAGGTGCCGGAGAGGATGTGGAGAAATAGGAACACTTTTATACTGTTGGTGGGACTGTAAACTAGTTCAACCATTGTGGAAGTCGTGTGGCGATTCCTCAGGGATCTAGAACTAGAAATACCATTTGACCCAGCCATCCCATTACTAGGTATATTCCCAAAGGATTATAACTCATGCTGCTATAAAGACACATGCACACGGATGTTTATTGTGGCACTTTTAACAATAGCAAAGACTTGGAACCCACCCAAATGTCCAACAATGATAGACTGGATTAAGAAAATGTGGCACATATACACCATGAAATATTATGCAGCCATAAAAAATGATGAGTTCATGTCCTTTGTAGGAACATGGATGAAGCTGGAAACCATCATTCTCAGCAAACTATCGTAAGGACAAAAAACCAAACACTGCATGTTCTCACTCATAGGTGGGAATTGAACAATGAGACCACATGGACACAGGAAGGGGAACATCACACACCAGGGCCTGTTGTGGGGTGGGGGAATGGGGGAGGGATAGCATTTGGAGATATACCTAATGTTAAATGACGAGTCACTGGGTTCAGCACACCAACATGGCACATGTATACATATGTAACTAACCTGCACGTTGTGCACACGTACCCTAAAACTTAAAGTATAACAAAAAAAATTAAAAAAATAAATAAATAAATAGCAGACCCCTGTCTCTAATAGTTTGCTCTTTGCCCAAATCCATGCTGTTTGCTCTGAAAAGTCTTACGAGTAGTTTTGAAAATGAGATGCTTTACAGAGGTAAAAATATACAGGATATAAAGGTTTTATTGTTATTATGAGCAGCAAGTGGGCTTTCTCCAGTATGTAGCAATGCATTTCTTCTGTTGCTAACCAGGTCTTTGAAACAAAAAGGCTTCTGCTTCATTCTCAGCTGAAGTTTGCACGTGGGTGGGAAATTACGACAATGTCTACAGGTGCCAGTGTGAACAAGTCTAAAACTTCATTTGTGGTTATTTACAATGGGAGCCTCATTTCTAAACAGATAATGCTATAAATGGTGGTTAGATTCTTGGGCTAGCCCACAAAAGCAGTTTAATAATGCAGCTGGAATACATTTCTAATTCATAAGATAGCTGAAGTAATGTATATGTTATGCTCTTGCAACATAATAATCAAGGCTCTGATTAATTAAGGAATGTGTATTTGGAGTCCTGGTCTCTGTAGACCTGTCTCCTGACAGCAGTAGTGATTTCACCACTATTGGCTCCAGAGTGCTTATGGGTTGCTGGGAAATTTTCCTGAAGTTTCATAGCCCAGAGAGCTAGTTTGTTAGGTGGGAAGTCAGAAGTTACTCTAAAGAGAAGTCAAGAGTTTTTGGAAAAAAAAAATGTGTAGATGAGGAATAGCAAGAGGGCAAGAGAAGAGGAATACTGGGGGAAAATGGTGTAAACAGAGGAGTTGGAGGAAAGGAGAGAGAAAAAATTGGTAGGGTCACAGCCAGCTGAGGATGAGAAGTAAACTCTGACAAGGAACTGGGAACTAATAAAGGGACTTAGACAATGTGGAGTTAGAAGATTAGGAATTTAAAACCCAAGAGATAAAAGATGATTTTGGTAGGAGATGATCTTGGATGACTTTGAATAGAGAAAGATCTGTTTTAGAGAGATGTTTTAAATAAAATGCTATACTAGTAAAGTTTATAGAACTTTAATTAGGCGTAATGAGCTGCCAGATTAACCAGGGATTCTCACTGATAGGGGACAGGATGCAACCCAGGAAGAGCATAAGACCTGAGGACCCATGGGAGAGATAGACTTGCAGGGAAGCTATGTATTCCTCCATGCCCAGCAAAATAGAAAAACGGCAGTCCTGCAGAGAAGGAACAGATAGATTTGGTGAAATATGTACCCTTATGTCTGTCTTTGCTCTCTTACAGGACTAGGATGGGAAGAAGTCTTGAATAGAATAGGATTTGGTCTAAAGGAAAGAAAAGCTAAGATTGGCAATCAAGCGAATGGCACTGATGTTTTCAAAGATACTGTAAGGGGCTTCTTTGTTGGTTGGTTTACATAAGGAAAAGCCTGGACAAGGTCTGGAAACAGAAGAATAGGAAAAAGGAATCGAAGTCTCTTTGCCAGTAATTTTAAAATGCTATTTTCATTGTGACCTCAGGCAAGTTCTGCAGATAATGTTTCTCTCTTTTGTATTTGTAGACGGATTTTTTACTACACTTGTTCTAGAGAGGTGAGTATGTATTGTTTCACTGAAGGTCCATAGTGTTGTCCCAGATTGAACAACTCAGTCTTTGGGGAGACACTGTAATGAGCTATGTCTCATGGCTGTCCTAGCAGGGACTGGGCGATTGTGTTTTAGGACAGAACCAACCCCCTTAAGTAGGGGAATAAAGTTTTCTAGAGGAAGGTAGAAGCTTGCGACATGATGGATTTAAGAATATTCTTTCTCGGCTGGGCACAGTGGCTCATGCCTGTAATCCCAGCGCTTTGGGAGGCCTAGGCGGGCAGACTACGAGGTCAAGAGTTCGAGACCAGCCTGGCCAACATGGTGAAACCCTGTCTCTACTTAAAAATACAAAAAATTAGCTGGGCATGGTGGCAGATTCCTGTAATCCCAGCTACTCGAGAGGCTGAGGCAGGAGAATTGCTTGAACCCAGGAGGCGGAGGTTGCAGTGAGCCAAGACTGTGCCACTGCACTCTAGCCTGGGCAACAGAGTGAGCCTGTCTAAAAAAAAAAAAAAAAAAAGAAAATTCTTTCTCAGCCGGGGGCAACATGGAGAAAACCAATCTCTACAGACAATAGAAAAAGTAGCTGGGTGTGGTGGTGCAAACCTGTAGTCCCAGCTACTTGGGAGGCTGAGGTGGGAGGATTGCTTAGCCTGGGAGGTTGAGGCTGCAATAAGCTGAGATTGTGCCACGGCACTTCAGCCTAGGTGACAGAGTGAGACACTAAAAAAAAAAAAAAAAAAAAAAAAGTTCTTTTTATATTTCTGAAGAAGGGCAGGAGAGCAAGGCTAGGAGAGTGGGGGAGCTCTTGAGAGCATCTATGCAAAGGATTTAACTTGCTAGTTGATTTTTTCATAGATCCTGGGGACACAGTCATTTTTAGGGTCATTAGTGATGATTAAGGTTAAATGAATATTAACATTTTAATATTAAAAATTATAATTACATGTATCTCCAAACCCTTAGTTAAGTCCAACAGCCTTGTGTTATTGACAGACTGGGGTGAATGAAGGAATGTGACAATAGAGGAGGTGTCACCTTTTGCTGAGGTCAGTGTGACAGCAGCAGAGTTCTATGGAGGGGACAGTACCCTGGAGGTCCAGGGGGTGAACTAGCAATGAGGAGCCAGAGGCTAAAGGCAGAGCTGGGAGAAGCAAGCTATAGTGCTGGACTACTTCAAAAGCACATGAATTGGAATACACAAATGAAACAATGGAGACTTTTCTGCCTACTCTTCCATTAATATGTTGGAAAGGCAGATTTCTCAGGATCCCACATAACTGAGTACATGTTTGTTTGAGGCTGTCTCAGGAACTCTATGCATGGATTCTAGAAGGGTTGGAGATGCATGGAGAAGGTGAGAGCCAGGAGGGACCCATCAGAAGCCAGTGGGGAAGCCAAGCCAGAAAGTCATTCTACCTCATCAGTCACTATAGTGCGGTGGAAAAATGCATTTATAAAGATGTAGGATTTTGGCAGGATTAGGAATTGCTTTTTCCATTCCCCATTTACTGATACTATTTATTATGTGTTGCTTCCTGTTAATTAAACTTCTATTAAAATAATCTTGTAGTGAGAGTGTTGGCAAGAGAAATACCTGATCTTTATTTCAGATATTACTAGGCAAGTTGGGGCTGCTGGCAGAATATTCCAGCAAAAGCAATATTTTATGAAACTAAGTATCTAGCGAACTTGTGGACGGGTTTGCTATAGCGGTGTTACACTTAGATGAGGAATTTTTTAGTAGCTGTGGAGGTCTCAGAGGATTTATTTTTGAGATGATATGGCTACAGAAGTGGGAGTTAGCAGTTGGGATGTGCAAAAAGGAAACAGCCTGAGATAGTGTTGTTGCTGCAAAATGAAAACAAAACTCTGCCAATGCTTCCAACCATATTGTAGAATTAGGCTGGAGATTTGGTGAGGGGAAACATTGGGAATTTGGCCTTAATTGTATTGTGATTTTGCTAATTCTTCTACTACATAACGTTCTACAGATTAACCTAACTCAGGTCTTCATTACCCCTAATTACAATTTTATTTTTTAAACAAAATTTACATTTTATTTAGACTGAAATAAAACTATGCAAAATTGATTTTCTTCACCGAAAATAACAGCAATATTTTCCATATTATTTCTAGATAAACTACAAAACACTTATTTTTGTAGGTTCTCCAGGTTTTGCTTATAAATCAAGCTGAGATAGTAGATACAGTAATGGAAAAAGACAGAAAAAACAGACACATCAACTGTCAGTATCCATGGCCTCTGATTCTGTCTTAACCATGAAGCAGAAGTAAAAACTAGATAATTTTTATGTTTTGTCTTAACTTAATGTGTTACATTCTATCGTCAGCAGTTAACTGAATCTTCTTCAAATATCATTTTCCAGTTTCATCCACATACCCCATCTCTGACTTCAGTTAATTCATTCATTGAGGTTTTGTTGTCAACATTTAATTGCTTACCACTTTATGCCAGCATAGTGACTTGGAAATAAAGAAACACAACATCTTGTATCAATACATTTCTGTAATGGAAGTTAGCTTACATTTGAGTGGTAAATAGAAGAATGATATCAGAATAATGCAAAAGTATTGGTTTCTATGTTTCTCATATGTTAACATTTTGTGCCACTAAGTAATAGGATTGAACACTTTACAATGGCTTTTCATGTCTTTTGCCCATTTTCTAATTGAATTTTTTTTAACCATTGGGTTTTGAGAGTCCTTTATATATTCTAGATTCTAGCACTTTTGTCATATATGTGGTTTGCAAATATTTTATCCCTTCCTATACTTTGTCTTTTCATCCTCTCAACAGTCTTTTACAAAGCAAACATTTTTAATTTTAGTGAAGTCTAATTAATCATTTTTTAAATGAATTGTGTATTTGGAGTCAAGTCTGAGAACTCTTTTCCTAGCCCTAGATCCCACACATTTTCCATTTTTTTAAGCAAAACTTTTATAGTTTTATATTTGACATTTAAGTCTGTGATCCATTTTGAGTTAATTTTTGTATAGGGTATGAGTTTATGTCAAGTATTAATTGTTTGTCCTTAGATGTCCAATTGCTCCAGCACCATTTGTTGAAAAGGCTAGCCTTCCTTCATTGACTTGTTTTTGCACCTTTGTCAAAAACCAGTTGGGTGTATTTGTGTGAGTCTATTTCTGGGCTCTCTACTCTCTTCCATTGATCTATGTGTCTATTCCTCTGTAAATACCACACAGTCGTGATTACATACCTTGAAATTGGGAAGACTGATTCATCCCATTTTATTCTTCTTTTTCAAAATTGTTTCAGCTATTTTAGTTACTTTGCTTTTCCATATAATTTTAGAGTAATCTTGTCTACATCTAAAACAAAAACTTGCTGAGATTTTGATAGAAATTGTGTTAAACGTATTTATTAACTTGGGGAGAATTGACCTCTTTACTACATTGCGTCTTCCAATCTATGAACACAGTATATCTCTCCATTTATTTAGATTTTCTTTTATTTCTTTTATTAGCATTTTGTAGTTTCCAGCGTACATGTGCTTTACACATTTTGTCATATTTATACCAGAGTATTCCAGTTTTTGAGCAATTGTAATTGGTATTGTATTTTCAATTTCTGTGTTTCTAGACTTTCCCTTTCTTTGTTCTTTGGCTAAAAGGAGCAGGCGTTTTAGGGGGGCTTTTCTGTCTGTACCCGTCAACGTTTCTAGGATTGCTGGCTTCTTCAGTCTGACATATATGAAGTAAAAAGAAAACCCAGGGGGCTTATCACTTTTGATTCCTTGGGTCTCAGTGTCCTTAGCTAGCTCCATAATTCCCATTACATCTTTGTGCATAATTTTTGCAAACCTCAGGGTTTTCAGCTGTGTCTGTGTTGCATTATGGCAGAAATACCCATACAGTAAACCTGAAACCTGTCCTTCAAGAACTTACAGTTTGGAAGGCTCTACATTTCTCCCATATCTAACCTAATATTTCATGGTATATTAGCTGAAACAGAGGCAAGTTTCTTGGTTGCTGAATATTTCCTCCATCTGCCTGTCATTGCCCTTAAAGCTTCACTATTTGTATTGCATTCTAGTGATTTTTTTTTTTTTTTTTTTTTTTTTTTGAGGTGGAGTCTCGCTCTGTCGCCCAGGCTGGAGTGCAATGGCGCGATCTCGGCTCACTGCAAGCTCCACCTCCCGGGTTCACGCCATTCTCCCGCCTCAGCCTCCAGAGTAGGTGGGACTACAGGCACCCGCCACCACGCCCGGCTAATTTTTTTTTGTATTTTTTTAGTAGAGATGGGGTTTCACCGTGTTAGCCGGGATGGTCTCGATCTCCTGACCTCGTGATCCACCCACGTCGGCCTCCCAAAGTGCTGGGATTACAGGCGTGAGCCACCGCACCCGGCCTGAACTTTGTTATTTTTACCAATAAAATATAATTACTACAATATCTCAGAAGTGTTCAAAAAACTATGCCCATCCAGGGGAAGAAGGGAGGAAAGCATCGATTTGGAGACTCCCTATCACACTTGGCCCTAAAGACTAATTTCAGCTTCATAGATGTATTTTATGCAGGTCTTGCATACTGACAACCTGTTCTGCTGTTTCAGATTCGTCGTTCAGTCTAGTAAATGGGCTTGCTGGTTTTTTTCAATAGAGCTTTTATCTTCTTTTTTGTTTGTTTGTTTTTGCCTATTTCATTTCTTGAAACTGAAATGCTATTTTCCTTCCTGTTAAGTGATTCATGTTCACAAAGTCTTTACATTAAAAACAAACCTCACCTTATCTAGCTGTTTCTGATTAAACTGACCCAGTTCTGACCATTCTTTTTTTCTCCAGTTTCTCTAGAAATTTAGGTATTTGGTTTGTGTTTTAGTAATTTACATTTGCTGAAAGGTTTTCAAAAACTACGTATTGCCAAACACTGCACATGTGCATAGTCAGTTCAGACTGTAAATTCCACTGGGACACAGGCAGTCCTAGTTTTGCCTTTTCTCAGATCACCTATATCAGTTATTTTCCACAAGCCAGACACTGTAGTTCACATGCGAGAGTGCTTCTGAGTGAAACTGAATTTGAGGCATTTCAAAAAGTTACAGCATACCTAAACAGCAGAGAGGTCAAGAATGCTAGATGAATAAGATATAAATATTTAGTAGGTATTCTATTGCTGAATGAGTAAGAGTAAATGAATGCCTGCATACATGAAGACTACTGGGGCTTGACAAATCCATTTTCAGTGGAAATTATTTTGGTGCATCAAATATTTATTAAGTACCTAATATGTTCCTCCTGTCACTTTGTTAGAGCCACAGATGCAAATGTAAAAAATTTAAAAAATTCAGTCTGTGGCTCCCAGGAAAATAGACACAGGGTGAAATATACACATACTCACATGGATAATACAAGCCAAAAGTAGGATGCTGGGAGCGCTCAGGGAGATTGTAGAGCTTGGCAGGATAGCTCAGGAAATGATTCCTGGGTAGGATGACACCACTCAAAGCTTAGTGTGTAAGAGTCAACCAGTCAAAGAACGAGCTAGAGTGGGAAAGGGCATTGCAGACCAAAGGAAGGCACAGGAGCATTTTTAGCAGGATTACTGCAGTGAAGGACAAGTTGTTTAGTATTATTAAAGTATAAAGTGGATAGTAGCAATTTGGGAGAGTTAGGACTGGGGAGGTAGGTAGAGACAGATAATGAAGGGCCTGTTTTTCCCAAGAAGGGGCTCAGCCAGGCTTGGAAGAGTCACTGGATTACCACAGGCAGAGGAGAAAAGGAGAAAAGGTCAACTCTGTGTTAGAGCAATTCCTTTGGCAGCCAGGTGGAGGATGGATTTCCTGAGTAAATTAAAAGCAGGAAAAGAGTGTGATAATCTAGGCAGGAGATAATTGAGGCCTTGAACTGGACTGTGATAATAGAAACACAGAGAAGGAATGGATTAGAGGACTATTTAGCAGGAAAAATTGTCAGACTTGGTGGTGATAGAATATGGAAGATGAAAAAGAAAGATGAGTCTAGGTTGACCGCCAGATTCCTGCTTTGGGAGACTGGGTAACTTTTGCGTCGTTGTGTCATGGAGGTGGGGGAAGAGAATGGATGATGTTGTGAAGATGACAAGTACAATTTTGTACTTGTTGAGTTGGAGGTACCTATGAGGATATTCAAGTGAATGGAGGAATACCTTCAACTGGGGAAGGCTATTTGGGAATGCCATGTTCTTAAGGGCGAACCAGGTTTCAGTTAAGGTCAGGAAGTGAAGGGAGTGTCTGCAAAGAGATTGAAGATGTAGGATGGTTGGGCTGTCACGGAAAGAAAGTTCCAGAGGACACAGTTGATAGCTAGGAGGCAGGGGTGGGGGAAGAGTGATTGGACAGAGACAGGAGGCTTAGAGTCCCATGAAATCAGTGTATGAGACAGTCAGGGAGCATCAGCAACATCATCATCAAGCAGTCACCTTGGTCTGGTGAGTGAAGAAGACATGGCTTTTGTCTTGGTAGGGTCAGCTGGCCTTAAGGATCTTCCATGGAATTTAGGACTTTAGGCAGGACAGAGTCTGAGTTTGTCTTTGGGTGACTCCAGTCAAGGGCGGTTAATATTGGTAGTGACTTTGGAGTCTGTGATGTGGTCTCCAGGCAGCAGTCCCCATGAACTCTACAAGCTGTGTGGTGAGTGGAAACCAGACTGGCTCCAAGATAGCCATCTATATGATTTTATCTAAAAATATACATCAATCAGAAAGTTAACCAGAAGGTTCACATTTAATTAACCAGAATATTTCAAATTTTCTTCTACACTGGTAATGGAGACAAAGTAAGGAAAAATAGAGAGGTCGAGAAAACACATAAATGCTGAGAACCACATAAATTAACTACTGCTTTGTTACTCAGAAATAATTTTGAAGTCATTTGCAGGAGTAAAATGAATTTCTAGAATAGATGCTTTTTCCTTATACAATCCAACTTCTAAAACCCTCTGAAATCTGATTATTTTTACTGAATGCTACCAATACGGGTATTGTAGCTGAGCATGTGACTTAAGAAGTTCAACAACAGATAAATGCCCTAAAATAGAAAGCCATTTTATTTTATTTTATTTTATTTTACTGAACAAGTATATGCTTTTTATTCATCATTATTCCCTAAACAATACAGTATAACAAACATTTACATAGCATTTACACTGTATTGAGTATTATAAGTAATCTAGAGATGATTTAAAGTATACAGGAGGATATGCATAGGTTATATGCGAATACTGTGCCATTTGATTAATTAATTATTTCCATAAGTTATTGGGGTACAAGTGGTATTTGGTTATATGAGTAAGTTCTTTAGTAGTGATTTGTGAGATTTTGGTGCACCTATTGCCTAAGCGTTATACCCTACACCATATTTGTAGTCTTTTATCCCTCGCGCCCTTGCCACTCTTCCCCCCAATTCCCAAAGTCCATTGCATCATTCTTATGCCTTGTGGCATCATAGCTTAGCTCCCACATATGAGTAAGAATATATGATGTTTGGTTTTCCATTCCTGAGTTACTTCACTTAGAATAATAGTCTCCAATTTCATCCAGGTCACTGCAAATGCTGTTAATTCATTCCTTTTTATGGCTGCGTAGTATTCCATCATGTGTATATATACACCACAGTTTCTTTATCCACTGTTGATTGATGGGCATTTGGGTTGGTTCCACGATTTTGCAATTGTGAATTGTGCTGCTAGAAGCATGCATGTGCAAGTATCTTTTTCGAATAATGACTTCTTTTCCTCCGGGTAGATGCCCAGTAGTGGAATTGCTGGATTAAGTGGTAGTTCTGCTTTTAGTTCTTTAAGGAATCTCCACATTGTTTTCCATAGCAGCTGTACTAGTTTACATTCCCACCAGCAGTGTAGAAGTGTTCCCTGTCGACCGTATCCACACCAGCATCTACTGTTTTTTGATTTTTTGATTATGGCCTTTCTTGCCGGAGTGAGGTGATATCGCACTATGGTTTGGATTTGCATTTCCCTGATCATTCTTGATGTTGAGCATTTTTTCATATATTTGTTGGCCATTTGTACATCTTCTTTTGAGAATTGTCTATTCATGTCCTTAGCCCACTTTTTGATGGGATTGTTTGTTTTTTTTCTTACTGATTTGAGTTTGTTGTAGATTCTGGATATTAGTCCTTTGTCAGATTTATAGATTGTGAAGATTTTCTCCCACTCTGTGGGTTGTCTGCTTACTCTGCCGACTGTTCCTTTTGCCGTGCAAAAGCTCTTTAGTTTAATTAGGTCCCAGCTATTTATCTTTGTTTTTATTGCATTTGCTTTTGGGTTCGTGGTCATGAAATGCTTGCCTAAGCCAATGTCTAGAAGGATTTTTCCAATGCTATCTCTAGAATTTTTAGTTTCAGGTCTTAGGATTAAGTCCTTGATCCATCTTGAGTTGATTTTTGTATGAGGTGAGAGATGAGGATCCAGTTTCATTCTCCTACATGTGGCTAGCCAATTATCCCAGCACCATTTGCTGAAAAGGGTGTCATTTCCCCACTTTATATTTTTGTTTGCTTTGTTGAAGATCAGTTGGCTGTAAGTATTTGGGTTTATTTCTGGGTTCTCTATTCTGTTCCATTGGTCTATGTGCCTATTTTTGTACCAGTACCATTCTGTTTTGGTGACTACGGCCTTATAGTACAGTTTGAAATCAGGTATTGTGATGCCTCCAGATTTGTTCCTTTTGCTTAGTCTTGCTTTGGCTATGCAGGCTCTTTTTTTGTTCCATATGAATTTTAGAATTGTTTTTTCTAATTCTGTGAAGAATGATGGTGGTATTTTGATGGGCATTGCATTGAATTTGTAGATTGCTTTTGGCAGTATGGTCATTTTCACAATATTGATTCTACCCATCCATGGGCATGGGATATGTTTCCATTTGTTCGTGTCACCTGTGATTTATTTCAGCAGTGTTTTGTAATTTTCCTTGTAGAGGTCTTTTGACTCCTTGGTTAAGTATATTCCTAAGGTTTTTGTTGGTTCGTTTGCAGCTATTGTAAATGGGTTGACTTCTTGATTTGATTCTCCATTTGGTCGCTGTTGATGTATAGAAGAGCGACTGATTTGTGTACATTAATCTTGAATCCGGAAACTTTGCTGAATTCTTTTATCCGTTCTAGAAGCTTTCTGGAGGAGTCCTTAGGGTTTTCAAGGTAAATCATCATAGTGTCAGAAAACAGTGACAGTTTGACTCCCTCTTTACTGATTTGGTTGCCCTGTATTTCTTTCTCTTGGCTGATTGTTCTGGCTAGGACTTCCAGTACTATGTTGAAGAGGAGTGGTGAGAGTGGGCATCCTTGTCTTGTTCCAGTTATCAAAGGGAATGCTTTCAACTATTCCCCATTCAGTATTATGTTGGCTGTGGGTTTGTCATAGACGGACAATAAGGTATGTCCGTTGTATGCCGATTTTACTGAGAGTTTTAATCATAAAGGGACGCTTGATTTTGTCGAATGCTTTTTCTGCATCTATTGAAATGATCATGTGATTTTCGTATTTAATTCTGTTTATGTGGTGTATCACATTTTCTGACTTGTGTATGTTAATCCATTCCTGCATCCCTGGTATAAAACACACTTGACGATGGTGGATTATCTTTTTGATATGTCGTTGGATTCGGTTAGCAAGTATTTTGTTAAGGATTTTAGCATCTATGCTCATCCAGGATATTGGCCTGTAGTTTTCTTTTTTGGTTATGTCCTTTACTGGTTTTGGTATTAGGGTGATGTTGGCTTCATAGAATGAATTAGGGAGGGTTCCTTCTTTCTCTAGGTTGTGGAATAGTGTCAAATGGATTGGTAGCAATTTTTCTTTGAATGTGCAGTTGAATTCTGCTGTGTATCTGTCTGGTCCTGGAGGTTTTTTTGTGGTAATTTTTAAATTACCATTTCAATCTCGCTGCTTGTTATTGGTCTGTTCAGGGTATCTAATCCTTCCTGATTTAAGCTAGGGAGGTTGTATTTTTCCAGGAATTTATCTATCTCTTCTAGGTTTTCTAGTTTATGGGCATAAAGATGTTCACAGCAGCCTTGAATGATCTTTTGTATTTCTGTGGTGTCAGTTGTAATACCTCCTGTTTCATTTCTAATTGAGCTTGTGTGGATTTTCTCTCTTCTTTTCTTGGTTAATCTTACAAATGATCTATCAATTTTATTTATCTTTTCAAAGAACCAGCTTTTTGTTTCATTTATCTTTTGTATTTTTGTTGTTGTGGTTGTTGTTTCAATTTCATTTATTTCTGCTCTGATCTTGATTATTTCTGCTCTGATCTTGATTATTTCCTTTCTTCTGCTGGGTTTGGGTTTGGTTTGTTCTTGTTTCTCTAGTTCCTTGATGTATGACCTTAGATTGTCTGTTTGTGCTCTTTCAGACTTTTTAATGTAGGCATTTAGGGCTATGAACTTTCCACTTAGCACTGCCTTTGCTGTATTCCAGAGGACTTGATAGGTTGTGTTACTATTGTCGTTCAGTTTGAATAATTTTTTAATTTTCATCTTGATTTCATTTTTGACCCAATGCTCATTTAGGAGCAGATTATTTAATTTCCATTGCATTTGCATGGTTTTGAAGGTTCCTTTTGGAGTTGATTTCCAGTTTTATTCCACTGTGGTCTGAGAGAGTGCTTCATATAATTTCAATTTTCTTAAATTTATTGAGGCTCATTTTGTGGCCTATCATATGGTCAATCTTGGAGAAAGTTCCACAAACTGTTGAATAGAATGTGTATTCTGCAGTTGCTGGATGGAATGCTCTGTATATATCTGTTAAGTCCATTTGTTGCAGGGTATAGTTTAAATCTATTGTTTCTTTGTTGACTTTCTGTCTTGATGACCTGTCTAGTGCCATCAGTGGAGTATTGAAGTCCCCCGCTATTATTGTGTTACTGTCTATCTCATTTCTTAGGTCTGTTTCCTACTCAACATACCTTCCATGACTTCTACTGTCTATGAAGAAACTCCAAACTCCTTAACTTGGTGTGTCCATAGTGTTCAGGTCTCACTAACTTGGGGGCTAAGATGGTCACATTTTCTTTAATGGCCAATTATGATGATATGCTATTGACAGGCAATCCAGGATGTGCCCAGTTTCTCTACCCCTTGGAGCCAAGACTATCCTCTCCCAATCTCAGGCCCATTCTTTAAATCCTCATTTTCTGTCTCTCTTTACAGAGTGTGATTCATAGGGACAATGGCCCAAAAAGATACAGCCCTGCTTTCCCCTGGATTCACAGTTTTATCCCAGGGATATTTTGCATTGCAATTTGCCTTCAATTTGACCATGGAGTCTAATACTTCATGGTAATATTTGATATTTTCTGCCTCTCTCACATCCATTTCTTTAAATCCACGTGTAATCATGGGATTCAGAACTGAAAAGAACCTTAGTAATCATTGAGTCAAACTTCCCGGTATTTTAAGTAAAGAGATAGAAAATTCAAGTGACTCACTTACATGATAGTTACTTGGCAATAGAGTTAGTATTTATGATTTGTTTTCTTGATTTCTGGTTCAAAATGCTTCCCTGAGACCACCCAGTATCTTATAATTAGGTAACTTAAAAGGAACTTATAGGTAAATGAAAGATCTAGGTTTGTATACTGGATAATTGTCCCTTCATTTATCTGTCTATTAAGATTTAATTTTCATATATAGGTGCCTAATGACAAGATACCCCCATATCTGATAGAGGCAAAATGTATCATTTTTGAATGAGATTAAACAAAGATAGCCTGTATTGGCTACTCTCTCCACTGTCTACCTGTATGACTCTGAGAATGGACTTTACGGTCAATCTGTGCTAAAAATTTTGGGGCTACAGGCTGGGGGGCAGTTATGAGTGAGGTTCCCTTTTCAGGTGTGTCTCTTCCCCTGGTCAGTGTCTGCAGGGGCTGTGTTCTATTCATTCTCATATTCCCAAAGCCCCACACAGTACCAGCTCAGAGTAAGGACTTGAGAAGTGTGTGTTGAGCAGAGAGGAAATGTCGAAAGAACATTCCCTTTTCCTCAGACAGAGATGATGGCACAGAAAAGGAGCATAAGAGATGACCAGGGACATACTGAGTTGGTGAGGGGGAGGTCGGAGAGTAAAGAAAGGGGATGTTTCATGTTTTAGTTATCTATTGCTGTGTACAAACATTACTTTTAATGGGAAAACTGCGTTACTTTTGCACCAACCTAATACCACCAAACTTAGTAGCTCAGGGCAATAATAGTTTCACTATCCTGTGGGTCTGTTGGGCTCAGCTGAGTGGTCCTTTTGCTGTATACTATATTGGCTGTCGTCACAAGGCTGCACAGCTGGCAGCTCCATCTAAGATGGCCTCCTCCTCCAGGGCCTCTCTGGGCACAGCCTCATACCATTCCATACACGAGCCTGAGTTTCTTAAATGGGGGCTGGAACCTAGAGGGCAACAGTAGAGCTGTCAGCTCTCTTAAGGCATAGGCCCAGAACCAGCAAGGCATCACTTCTGTAACATTCTATTGACCAAAACAAGTCACAAAGCCAGCCCAGCCAAGGGGTGGATAGACTCTACTTCCTGATGGAAGGAGTGGCGTGCATGCACAGAAATGGAGGAACTGTTGCAGCCATGTTTCTGACAAACTGCTACAAGGGAGGAAAAGGTTGTACATAGTGCCTTGACTAAGGCCCCAGTGGATACATGTAATGCAGACACCTAGGAGAATGTCTGTCTTTAAGAGAAATGTAACTGTCCAAGACTATTAAGGAAGCAAATATGCTTTATCACCTTATGTTTCTGAATTAAGAAATGCCTTACCCTGAACACTAATGTGTGCCCCCAACAGGGCTTTTCAAGATATTAGCTCTGAGGGTAAAAGTATAATAAAGATACTCGGCTACTGCAACTTTTCTTTAGAGAGAGCTAGGGCTTAAATGAAAGCAGTAAATTTTCCTTGTCTGCAATAATGAGAAACCCTCAAACCACTCATGTAGCATAATTCAGAAGTTATAGGACAGTCTACAATGAAGCATTTTTATGAGCAATCAAACACAGCAGTCAAAAGATTTTTCCTTCTTTCAGTTTCAAAATGCTAAGACTTCCCAGCCACGTTGTGAACAAAGGACAAAAAAGAACAGAGTATGCAGGGGAAAGAATCAGAAGGCCTGAACTCCTTTTGCAGACTCTGCTGTTCATTAGCTCCAGGCCAGGGCTGGTCACCCAGCTGCTCCTGCCTCTGTTCCTTCCTTTTTCAAGTAGGGATGGTAAAGTGGGATCTGCCTCACCCGGCCCTGCCTGCTTGGGAGGGTTACTGAGGGGCTGCTATACCATAGTAGGTGTAAACATTTTGAACACTTCAAGTGGATGTTGTTGTTGTTACTATGTGATCTCAGAAAATGACTAGATACATATGCTAATAAAATATCTGTCAATATCTAAGATCTGTCAATATCTGTGAATATTGTTGGTATCTTTGTAGAGGCTTTGTTTTTATTGTTAACTTTTAAATTACAAAGTTACACATGAATTAAGCTAATTATATAAAGCTCACATATATAAGGCAAGAAATAAAACCTTTTCTACATCTCAACTGTCCCCATCCCCCTCCCTTCTCAGAGGTAACCACAGTTGCACTGATGTATATTTGCATATTCTTCCAGATCAGTTCTATACTTTTTCTTGTTGTTGTTGAAGAGATAGTGTCTTGCTCTTTTGCTCAGGCTAGAGTGCAGTGGCGTAATCACAGCTCACTGCAGTTTTGACCTCCTGGACTCAAGCAATCCTCCTACCTCAGCCTCCTGAGTAGCTAGGATTACAGGCTGCACCACCACACCCAATTACTTTTTTAAATTATTTTTTGCAGAGGGGGTCTTATTATGTTGCTTAGGCTGGTCTCAAACTCTGGGGCTCAGGTGATGGTCCTGCCTCAGTCTCCCAAAGTGCTAACAGGCATGAGCCAGGGTGCCCAGCCCAGTTCCATACTTTTAGAATATGTACAAGCACAGAAACATGCAATTTTTACATAAATGGTATGTATTAATACTGATTTTCATAAAATTTGTAGATAATTTTTTCAGAAGTCAATGAAATATTTTGCAAAGAATTTGCCAAATTAAAGATTGGCTAAAGGCTTTATACCTTAACTGCAGAGACTCCTTGCTAATCTCATGCGTACACATTGTTTTCCTCTTGTTTATTACTAATTTGGAATAGGTTTTATTTTACTATATGGAATGTATCTTTGTAAAGTTCTTTAAAACCTTTCAGAACAAGAATTGAAACACACACATAAACTTATCATATGTCAGTGGCTTCTGCCTCCCCTTCTCTTCCCTTGATTACTTTGCATTTTCTAAGCAAAACTTTCAAGCTGACAGCAACAAGCAACTTCTCCCTTCCTATGCTTTTAATATTTTTCTGGGTCATTCGCAGTTCACAGAGTGGCTTTTACCTCAGATAACCCCTTTCTCATATGCACGCCCAAATCCACTTTTGAATTCCTCTAATATTCTTGTTTAGTTACCTCAGGGAAACCTTTGCTTTTCAGCCCCTCCCCAGCTCACTCACTTGGCTAAAACCATGGCCCCCTTTGACTTCTGCTAGTGATAAATCTGTATTAATAAAACATCTGTTTGCTAATTTACTCATGCTATCAATACTTCTGGAATACCTACTGTGTGCCAGACACCATGGATCACTGGGTTATGCGAGAACGTGTCAAGGGGCCTGCCGCAGTTTAGGGGGTCATGGAAACATTCTCTGAGGAAGTGTGGACTTGAACTGAGATCTGGGGAGGAAGATCAGGAGGAGGAGGTAATTAGATGAATAGTGCTTGTGTGTGTGTGTGTGTGTGTGTGTGTGTGTGTGTGTAGGGAATAGAGATTGCGGAACATTCCAGACAGAGGCTCAGCATACCCAGTGGTCCTGCAGTCGGGAGAAACCTAGGACTTGTAGGGAATCAAAAGGACATTGTGATCAGACCATAGGGAGCAGCGGGGATGATGGTGAGAAATTAGGTTGAGGAGACAGTCAGGGTCATGTATCACAGATTGTGGAACATAGGTCAGCTGTGTTAAGGGTTTTAGCCTTCAAATGTGAGAATGAAAAGGCATCGAAAGATTTTAAACAGGAGTGTGTGCCCGCATGTCAGTGTGTGTGCATCTGTACGTGTGTGTATGTGTGTGAGACAGAGAACTGAACAGATTTGCATTTTAAAACAATAATTCTGATAGTGTGGAAATCAAGTTGGAGGAGTGCAAATGTGGATGCAGGGAGACCAATTTGAAAAGATTCAAGTAAACATAGGCAGTAAATTATGAGGGTTAACGGCCTCTGGTGATCTTAAAACTACCCAGATACGTTCTTTAAAATCTTCAAAACTTCCCACTTATCGACTTATGCTGTGATACTTAAATCCTTTTCAAGCACTTAAGTATTTTAAGATAAAAATGTGAAGAACCTATTGCTCAATTTATGATCATTCATATTACAACCAGAACACTGCCTACTATTTTCAATATAAACCTCTGGGTGGGGGGTCTTGCCATGGTATGCCATTGCCAGGGAAGGTGGATGGGGAGGGTTCCAGTGAGGCAAGGCAGGGTGCTAGGGGCAGGAGGTCTCTCTCTGAGCACCTGGAGGCCCTCAGGGTGGCCTTACCTTGGTGTGCTTACCACAGCTTAGGGCAGGAGCCCTAAAACTTGATTCATTACCTTCCTGCCCCAACTGCCCTAGATTTCTCCAATTTTATTTGAAATAATTTATTCATGATACAGATTTTAACATGGTCATACTTTCAATAAATATGCTTGAGCCATTTTTTTGAGGAGGCAACAATTTAAAAAAAAATCTATGCAATATGACCGAGAATTCCCAGAACACACAATTTTGCAGTGAGAGAGGCGTATGGAAATCAGGAGTGTATTTCATTCTTGTCTTCAACTAAAGGTTTAACAGCAATATTAACTATAATGGAGATGAATGAGCTCTTGCAAACAAGAATCAACAATTGCCATTTAAGTGTTGTTTTTGAGAAATAATTCTGATTCAATCAACGCATTAAAATATTTTAAGATAAATTCTGCTGAAGAAAACTAAGAATGGTGCTGTCCAGGTAATAGAGTTAAAACAAATCTTCACTAATTTTTGTTTCACAGGATAGTGAAACAAAAATTATTTTATTTAGTTTTTTAACCACGGTTTAATGTATATATATTTTTCAGCCTCCAATTTTGTTTCCTTTACTGTAGTATTTCTCGGCTTTTCCTTCTAGAATGGTTGAAAAATTTGTGATGGAGTCTATGAAGAAATAGATTTCAAAAACCAGGGAAAATTTTAGATTGGCGAATGGTTCTGCTTGGAAATACATCTTCTACTGAGGTTGGAGGCTGATGAGGAAAAGTAAAAACAATGAGGGAGGTAAAGCAAGAAAAGAAACAATACACTACAGATAAGCAATGAACAATTTTGTTTCCTGGGGGAAATGCAGAATTTTCTGTTTTCTAGAGATGTGGCCAACTGGGAATAACACCTTCCTTGTCTTCCAAGCCACAGATGTGGGCTTTTCCAGTCCTAACTTGGAGAAAAAAAATTAGGTTGAAGATATATACACAAAATTCATACTCTGGGTTTCCCACCAAAACATGGAACAGAAATGGAAGACAACAAGGTAAAGAGCATTGGCTCTGGAGTCATCCAAACCCGCGTTGACTACCCGTTATAAACAGTGTTTTGTCCTTCAAAATTCCTCGGGCTTCCGTTTCCTCATTTGTAAAATGAAATGACTTTGCAGGGCTACGGTGAGAAAATACATATGTGTGGGAAGATAGCCTATCAATGTAAGTGTATAAATATCTCTAAAAAATCTCTCTATATACAGATAGCAGTATTTATCTCCATATCTGTATTTATATCACATAGTCAGCACTCAATGGCTAGATGCATTGGTTATTATTGTTGTCTCGAGGTAAGATAGGCTTAGAGTTTTAGTGGTAGGCTGAGTAATGATCCCCCAAAGATGTTCGCATCCTAAAGCTTGGAACCTATGAATCTTGCCATATGTGACAAAAGAGGGTCTGCAGATGTGATCAAGTTGAAGATCTTGAGATGGGGAGATTACACTGAATAATCTGAGTAGATTCGATGCAAACCCAAGGGTCCTCATAAGTAGGATGCAGGAGTCAGAGTCAGACAGGAGGAGGCGTGATGACAGAAGAGAGGGACAGAGAGAAAGAGATTTGCGGATGGTGACTCTGAAGATGGAGGAGGGGGCCATGAACCTGTTGGAGCTTCCCCCACAACAACTTCTCTCTGGGGGTTCATCTGTTGAGAGTCACAATCGCAATCTTATAGGAGCTGGAGCTTTGCAGGGAGACCCTGAAGACACCCAGAGGGAGGCTCCCCAGTGCTGTCTTTGGAGACTTGCAGGCAGGTGCCTTGTCCTCTCTATCACCAGCAAGTAAACTGCAACTGGCCCTGCACCTCCTTTTGAGATGACTTGGGATTTGATGGGAGCTCAGGGAGCCAAGGAAGGCAAAGAGAAGCAGGAGCCCCGCCACACACATTGCAAGTGGTGGATTGCTGGCTGTGGTTTTCCTGGAAGGCTCTTAAATGGCTTTCAGGACATTCTTTGTTGGGGCCCTACATTCTTTAGCAGGGCTATCATGACTTAAGGGGTGTGGCCAGCAAGCCACATCCTCAGGGTGTTTTGTGGGCTGCTCTGCAGTGTGGCATAGGGACCCTGGCTTGAGAGACCTGCTGCTCTTTAAATCTATTACTCAGGAAGTGTTTGGCCTTTTTCTGCTTATTCTGGTGAAAACATATCTCCAGTTTCCCACTGTGAAAAAGACTTTGTCCTAAAGTTTTGGGGAACTGTTATTTAGAGTCCTTACACCTGCTAAGATATCTCCCCAAGTCCCAAAGGCCAAAAATAAAAGGCAACTTTCTACCCCAAGCCACCATAGTGGCTGCACTATGGTCAGACAAGTGGTCATCATCCTGGTCTGTAACATCTTGCTCACTCCTCTGTGCTCCCATATACAGTCATAGTGTATAGCTGCATTAAAGCACTTGTTTCAACATTTTGAAATTGTGCTTTCCCCATCACTTAGAATCCATGCATTCTTCAGTGCTGGGATCACATCTTATAGAGCTTGGTATTCCCAGATATTAGTATGGTGCTTGTCACGTAAGTTATTAATAAATGTTTCTTAGATGAGCAAACTTTACCTCTGTGGTAATTTGTGTAGCTGCTATCCACTCGATGTAGTTGCTTTTCAAAAAACTGAGGTATAATTTACATACAATCTACCAGAAAGTGTTAAGTATTCAGTTCAATTATTTTGACAGTTGAATATATCATGACAATTGACTACACCAAAACAAGAGGCAACCACTGTTTATGTCTTTTTTTAACCAGAGATTAATTTTGCCTAGTTTTGGACTTTATAGAATTGGTTTATATATTATACACATTTTGTGCAGCTTCTTTCACTTAGCATAACTGGAAGTCTCAAGTTTTATTCATACTGTTACATCATCAGTAATTTTTTTCTTTTTCCTTTTTTTTTTTTTTTTGAGATGGAGTTTCGCTCTTGTTGCCCAGGCTGGAGTGCAGTGGTGCAATCTCGGCTCACCACAACCTCTGCCTCCTGGGTTCAAGTGATTCTCCTGCCTCAGCCTCCCAAGTAGCTGGGATTACAGGCATGCACCACCACGCCCAGCTAATTTTGTATTTTTAGTAGAGATGGGGTTTCACCATGTTGGTCAGGCTGGTCTTGAACTCCCGACCTCAGGTGATCGGCCCGCCTTCGCCTCCCAAAATGCTGGGATTACAGGCGTGAGCCACTGTGCCTGGCCAGTAATTTTTTCTTTTTCTTTTTGACTAATATATATCTATTGACTAATACATATCTATTTCTTTTTGACTAATATTCAATTTATGAATATGCCAGAGTATGTTCATCCACCCTCATATTGATGAACATTTGGGTTGTTTCCAGTTTGGGCTGTTATGGAAAAGCTTCTTTGAGTATTCTTGTACAGTTCTTCTTGTGGACATATGTTTTCATTTCTTTTGAGAGATATTGAGGGTGGAATTGCTGGTTGTAGGATACATGAAGAAGTTAACTTTATAAAAATCTGACAAACTATTTTCCTAAGTGGCCGTACCATTTGCATTCCTACCAACAGTGTTTGAGAGTTCCATTTCTCCACATCCACATCAACTTTTGGTATTGTCTTATCTTTACATCTGAGCCATTTTAATAGGTGCAAAATGGCATCTCATGGTGGTTTTAATTTCCATATCAGTGATGATTAATGATGTGGAAAACACTTTCATGTGCCTATTCCTTGTTCTTATACTGTAGTACCCACTAATCCCTGGGGGATTCATTCTAAGAACCCCAGTGGCCGCCTGGAACCAAGTATATTACTGAACTCTGTATGTACTATTTTTTAAAAATCTGATAACTAAGGCAGCTACTGACTAAGGGGTGGGTAGCACAGACTGTGGATATGCTGGACAAAGGGATGATTCAGCTCCCTGGTGGAACAGAGCAGGATGGCTCAAGATTTCATCACGCTACTCAGAATAGTGGACGATTTTAAACCACAAATTGTTTATTTCTGACATTTTCCATTTAGTATTTTCTGACTGTGGTTTACTGTAGGTAACTGAAACTGGAAAGTGAAACCAAGGATAAAGGGAGGGACTACTCTATGTATCTTTTTTTGTGAAATGACAGCTTCAATCTTTTGCCCATTAAAAAAATTAAATTGTCATATTATTGATTTGAAAGAGTTCTTTATATACAATGCATACATGCCCTTTGTCAGATATATGTACTGATTTGCATATTCATTTTCTTAATGGTATCTTTTGGTACACAGAAATTTTTGTTTTAATGAAAACCAGCTATCATTTTTCATAGTTCGTGCTTTTTGTGTTCTGTCTAAAAAAATTTGCCTACTCCAAGGTTGTAAAGTTACTCTTTTATGCTTTCTACTAGAAACTTTATTATTCTAGGTTATATTTTGTTCTATGTTTATCTCAAACTATTTTATTGTATGGCGTGTGACAGGAGTCAAGTTTTTTGTTTGTTTTTTATATGGCCATCCAGTTGTTCCAGCACCACTTGTTAACAAGTCTTCTTTTCTTCATGAAATCACCTTGTCACATTCAGTTAAAAATCAGTTGATTCTAATCTTGATGTGAACCTAAAACTACTCTAATAAAGCGTTTTAAAAAATTAATTAAGTCTATACATATGAGTCTATTTCTGGATTCTGTTCTCTTGATGTATTTGTCTATCTTCACGTCAATACTGCAATGCATTGATTAGTCTAACATATTCGGTTTTAGAACTGGGTATTATAAATCTTCCAACTTTAATTTTTTCAAGATTGCTTTGGCATTTTCATATCAGTTATAGGTTCAGCTTGTAAATTTCTCTAAAAAGTCCTACTGAAATTTTGATGACTGTATTAAATTCACAAATAAATCTGAGGAAAATAAATATCTTAACAACATTGAGTCTTCTACCTCATAAACATTGAATGTCTCTCCCTTTTGTCTGGGTTTCTTTAATTTCTCACATCAGTGTTTTACAGTTTTTTACTGTAGAGAAATTGTACACCTCTCTTAGCATTTTCCTATTTGATATTTTTTGATACTATTGCATATAGTATTTTTTACATGTTGTTTTCCAATTGTTTACTGCTGGTATATAGAAATAGAATTGATTTTTATATATTGACCTAGGTAAACTCATTACTTAGTTCTTATAGTTATTTTGTATCCATAGTTTTCTATATAAACAATTGTGTCATCTGCAAAGAATGACAGTTTTACTTTCCTCTTTATACGAATTACTTCTTTCTTTCCTTTATCTATATGCCTTCTATTTCTTTTTCTCCTCTTATTGCATTGGCTACAACTGCCAGTTAAATGTTAAGTAGAAATGATGAAAGTGAAAGTCCTTGCCTTGTTCTTTATGTTAAAAGGAAAAATCAGTAAGTATTATATTAGCTGTAGGTTTTAAGAGATCCTTTTCAGCAGTTTGAAGAAGTCCTTGTCTATTTCTAATTTGCTCAAGAGTTATTATCATGAATGGAGGTTGACTTTGGTCAAACGCTTTTTTATGCATCTACTGAGATCATTGTATGGTTTCCCTTTATTCTTTCATTGACTAATTTTCAGATGTGAAACCAATCTTACATTTCTTTAAAAACCTTCACTTGGTCATGATGTGTATTTTGGAAATATATTATTGGATTAGTTTTGCTAATATTTTGTTAAGGTTTTTTCAGCTGTACTCATAAGGAATATTGGTTTGTAATTTTCTTTTCTTATAATGTCATTGTCAGTATTTGGCATTGGCAGTATGCTGGCTTCATGGGAATTATTCTCTCCATCTCTAGTTTTGAGAGAACTTGTGTTGACTTGGTATTATTTCATCCTTAAATGATAATAGATTTCATTGGTAAAGTCACCTAGATCTCAAGTTTTCTTCATAAAAAAATTTTGATAATAAATTCAATTACTTGAATTGACATAAGAATATTTATTTATGTTTTTATATTTCTGTTATATATTTCAGTAAGTTGTGTTTTTAAAATTATTTTTCTATTTCATCTTAATTGTTTAATTTATTGACTTAAAGTTGTTCATAATATTTCCTTGCTATCTTTTTCATAACTATAGGGTCTGTAGAAATGCCCTTTTTTTTCATTTCTAACACTGGTAATGGGATTTTCTATTTCACTTATCAGTCTTGCCCTGGGTTTCATTAATCTTTTTTTTTAAACACACTTTTAACATTGTTGATGTTCTCTTTTTGTCAATTTTCTGTTTTATTAATTGACATTCTTACCATCATTTTTCTTTCTTATACTTTGGGTTTTAGTTGTTATTTTTCTAGCTTCTTCATGTGAAGGCTTAGATAATTGATTCTATACCTCCCTTTTTTAAAAAATTGAATGCTATACATTTCCCTCTAAGTACTTCTTTAGCTACATCTCACAAATCTTGGTAAGTTGGGTGTTCATTATCATTCAGTTCAAATGATTTCAAATTTCTTTTGTAATTTCTCCTTTGACCATATGTTATTTAGATATATAATGTTTAATTTTCAAATATTTGGGTTTTTTCAGATATCTGATGGTTATTGATTTCCATATTGTCATTATGGTCATAAATGTACTCTGTATGGTTTCAATCTTTTTAATTTTAATGAGTCTTATTTTCTGGCTCGGCATTTTTGATCTATCTTGGTTAATAGTTCATGCAAAGTTAAAAAGAATGTATATTTTGCTGTTTTGGGAGTGGTGTTTTGTAAATGTTGATTAGGTCAAATTGGTTGACAGTGTGGATCAAATATTTTTAAATTATACTCTTTTCCCTGCTTTTTAAATCAGTTACTCAGAAAGTGATGTTAATATGTTTAACCGTGACTGTAGATTTGTCTTTCTCTCATATTAATTCTACTTGGTTTTGCTTCATATATTTTCAAGCTATTTTTTTCTCTCATCTTTTTCCATTCATTTATCCTGCTTTTTCTGCTCTCTTTCAGGTGAATCATGTATATTTCAATATCCCATTTAATCTCCTGTATCAACCTTTAAGCTCTATCTTTTTGTAATACCTCTGTGAGGTTTTTTGGAGTTATTTTAGATATTATGCTATGCATATTTAAATCATCTTAATCTACCTTCAATAATATACTACTTCATAATCAATGGAAGACACTTCCAATTGAATAATTTCGTTTAGAGTCCTTCCACCCTTTGTGCTATTTTTAAAAATATTTTACTTCTACATGTGCTATAAATTCCACAATACATTATTTTTGCTTCATTCAACAATCTTTTAAAGAATTACATATGTATGTATCTATACAGTCTATATATACCTATATATATTTATTGATATAAATACATATCACTTAAAAAGAAAAGGTTATTTTACATTTACCCAGGTATTTACCCTGCCTATTGTTCTTCATTCTTTTAAAAAATTATTTCTTGTACAGTAAGTCTTCTAGAGATAAATCCTGTCAACTTTTCTCTTTCTGAAAATACGTTTTATTTTACTTGAATTTCTGAAGGATACTTTTATAGAATTCTAGGCTGACAATTTTCTCCTTTCAATACTTTAAAAAATGCTATTCCATATTCTTCTGGA
Organism: Homo sapiens; assembly: GCF_000001405.40. Lineage (NCBI taxonomy): Eukaryota > Metazoa > Chordata > Mammalia > Primates > Hominidae > Homo > Homo sapiens. The sequence goes on from NC_000002.12 coordinate 37,717,130, forward strand.
TTCCATTTTTTCTCTAAGTCAGCCTTCATCTGTATTGTTTTCCCCCACATGTAATCTGTCTTTTCCCTCTGGGTGCTTTAAAGATTTGGTCTTCATCTTTGGTCTTCAGCAACTTGACTATGATACGCCTAGATTGATTATCTCTGCTCTCACCGCTTTCCTTGCAAACAGCATTTTCTGAGGATGGAAAACATGGCCCACTCCTTCCAGGAAGGTGGCTAGCAAAACCTATCTGGGTCTGCGACCTTGGGATACTTGCTGGAATGTTTTCAATTTAATGGGCTCCCTGGTGTTATTGCTCTTGCTTGGTTTTGTTGTTGTTAGCTTTGGAGTAAAAAGCTGGCATTTGTTGGTGAGTGTCTTAGTCCCTTTTTTACTGCCATAACAAAATAGCTCAGACTGGGTAATTTATAGACAGCATCAAGTTATTCCTCATAGTTATGCACTCTGGAAAGTGCAAGACACAAGGTTCAGTGTCTGAAGAGTGTCTGGTCTCTGCTTCTAAGATGTCTCTGTCTTCACATGATGGAAAAGCAGAAGAGCAAAGAGGAGCTAGTTAGTTCCCTTGAGCCCTTTTATAAGGGCATTAATTCATTTATGAGGTAATTGATGTTTTATAATACAGATTCAAATATGTAACAGGAAGCCTGCCACGTTTCATTTAATCTAAGATGCTGTTGATTGTAAAGCCATTATTTTATATACTAGTATGAAAGCAAAAAGTTGTCAACTAAACTGACATGTCAACAAGTTTCAGATTTAGATAGATATGAGATATTAAAATGTGGAAAAAAAAAGATAGTTTATCATTCCTCCAAGTGTGGTCTCTGGACCAGCATCACTAGTATCACCAGGGAGCTTGTTAGCCATGCAAATTATCCAGCCTGTTCACCCCAGACCTACTGAATCAGAAGTTCTGGATGTAGAACCCACCAGTCTGGTATAAGAAGCCCTCTGAGTGATTCTGATGCATGATAAAGTTTCAGAACCACTGAAATAGTGCATCTTAACCTCTCTGGAATGTGATATTTCAAAAAACTATTTCATAGATGCAGACATTTCCGCAAACATTTACTGAAAAGATATTACATACAAGGCACCATGCAGGATGCTCAATACAGAGACAGAGTTGAGTAGAGCTTAGCCATTGCCAACCAGCAGTTTACAGTCTGGAAGTAGATTTGTAATTAAAAACTAAATGATCAAACATGATGTGATGAGTGCTGTGACTGAGGTACCCCCAAAAGATAAGGAAGCTCAAGGGAAGAAGAGGTAACTGCTGAGTTAAATTTGATGACTTCAAGGTGGAGGTGACCTTGAAGCTGGGCCTTGAAAGGTATGCAGGATCTTATTTTTTGGAATACAAATAAATGAGAAATAATATTCCACAGCAGGCTCTTTCTCCCCAATGCCCTTCTTCTCATGTGTATTCATGAAAAAGTTAGAAATTAATTAGAAAGATATATGATCAAGAAATAACTACGACAATGGATCTGCAAACCTTCCCTTTGAGCTCTCTGGAGATATGTTCTCCACCAGCACCCTGGTGTCAACAGAAATTCCTGTGAGTGCCAGAGAAAAAGGCGAGCCTGAGCTATTATCACTGGTAATACCCAAGAAGGAAACGCTGTTGATAAGAAGTGGACAGTGTCCTAGACCAAACAGTTTTTATGGGAACAGAAAGTGGAGAGAACCAAGAGACTAATTCCTGGTTTTGTGCATTTGGGGTCTAAGCAATGGCAACAGAGGCGTTGTCCAATTTCACTGTCATGGAGGGGTTGGAGTAATCTCATTTACATTATATCCGCCAGTTTTCTGGACACATGAAATTTAGAAGCACAGAACATCTGTGCTTAAAAGATAAGCTTAAAGTGACAAAGCAAAGGAAAATCGCAGTTTTTTTTAAAGACCCCAGCAGCAGCATAATGGCCAATTTGGACTATGGTCCATTCTCTAATCCTTTAAACTGATTTCGGCACACAGCACTGTGTCATATGTTTGTGCTGCTCACACATTTATGTAGGAGAGGTACAGCCTTTGTGTTTGTTGGAAAAGGTAAATATACCCCATGCAACTGCTTGTCCAAGAAGTGTTTCAACCACTTCTCATCAGCAAGAAGAGAAGGATTGTTAATGTGGGAACTGCAAAAGGTGTCTGGAGCTAAAGCTGTTCCTAGAGGTTCCGAGAACATCACACCCTCAGGCTTGTTTCCAACTCCTGAATTTTGGAGACAAACGGAAAGCAAAGCTCTGATACAAGGGAACAGAGTGATCCTTGCTATGTCTTCTGGATGCTTCCTTTAGCCACAAACACTTTTTCTTTTCCATTTTGATTGGACATTAGCCCCCAACTCTCCAGCTCTCATCTCCCTCTCCCAAGAAGATGGACTTAAATAATGTATTCCTTACCTGACATGGATAGGATACAAAATACACAGGTCAGGTCTCAGTGACTCTGGACGCTTTTGGAAGAGCAACCTCCGTCATCCCCTTCTTGATAAATCCTTTTGGCACACCTTTGGGATATGAACAGACTCTCCTACCCACTGTTCCACCACTTGGGGAAAGGAATCCTTATGTTAGATAGGAGGCCACAATGGACACAAAGAAGTACTCACAGCAAACTAAGCACAGAGCTTTCTCATCTGAAGCAAGATCATGTTTTGAGAAGTCATGGATTCTGTTTTTCTTCTTGTGGTGTCACGCTCAACTTATTCTCCAAAAGCTTATTTAACATGCCACTTGATGTTTTTGAACGGTATGTGATATACTTTATGAAGATTACAATTGCAGGCTCTCACATTACTCGTTTCTGCCTGTTAAAAATGAAGTGGATAAGAGAACATAAGATTTCAATATGGTCATACTATTTATACCTAGCAGGGAAGTGGAAGCAAGGAGGGATTTGCAATCTTAGTTTTGGATATTCAGGGAAAAGTATACATTTAGAAAATAAAAACTTAGCCAAATTGAGTTCATTGCTTTTTGCAGAGATATTTCGCAGTGAAGAACTCAAACGTCTTTAAAGCAGGGCATTATTAACAAGTGTTATCTTAATTAAAAACTAGACTTGGGCCTTGTGAGTCTTCTGTAGGTATCGACAAGGATTGTGGAGGAGGCTTGTATGAATTGGTTGAGAGCCTGGGATTTGTGACCAGATAGGCTTGGGTTTAAATCCCAGCTTTTTCATTTACTTGGGATTTGGAAAAGTTTCTTCAGTTCATCTGTGAAATGGAGATAATAATATCTAGCTTGTAGAGCTGTTAGAGTTGTTCTTGAGGTACAAACATATTAATGTTTCTAAATGTAGTACCTAGCCATGTGGTACATTCTCACCAAATGGTATTAAAACAAGGTGGCTCATACGTACATCATGGGCTCTACAATCCCTTAAAAACAGAGGACCTTTTTTTCCCCAATTAGCAGAGAACAGACTCTGAAGCCATCCTCCATGGGAGGCTTAAGGAAGTGAAATGTGTGGGAGAGGTGAGGTGGAGAGGAAAAAGAGCAGGCAGCACAAGGCATTCTCTGAGTGCTCCAGCACAGCTGGCCAGAGGAGGTCTTTCTCCTTAACGATGATGCAGGAAGTTGGGGCAAAGTAGGCCACCAGTGCCCCCAGAGGGGCCTTGTCTCACCGTGGTATTCAACTGCTTTTTGTCACAAATCCCTGCTCACAGTGAAAGTGTTGTTAAGTGGATGTCTTGTGAAGAAACTCTTAAGAAAATGATGCCTTTAGGAAAAGCGAAAAGCACGTTGAACAGTAGATCACTGTGACCAGGAGGTGAGGGGGTGATGCCATTTGCTTGTAAAGTAACAATGAATACAAACTTTCCAAACCACTCATCTGTTTTGCATGTGTAAAACTGGCATCTGAGCATGTCATTTGGCACAAAATCCCATGGCATTAACGTTTTCATATGGATGATGAAAGTATATAAAAAGCAGTTGCAACATGGGAAGTTGATGTTGGCTTTGGCCAGTGGACTGTTATTCATTACAAGAGTGACAGCTGTGCTAAGGATGGCGCCTACCTTGCCCTTATTTCCCACTCTCAGAGAGGAGGTCATCATCATGCATTTCTCTGCCCACAAAAGCAGCATTCAGATCAGATGTATCCTTTAAAATCACAAAACTTGCCATGTCCTTGATTCACCTTGCTTTTTGGGACCACAACCAGATCGCTGAGATCTCTGAGCCAATGCTTTTTTTTCCCCCCAGGCGAAAGCCTACAGTTGAGGATGCAAGCAAATACACAGAAATAAACCAACCATGTGCCTCCTTTGGGAATCTGATTTGGCCTATGAGTATGGGCCTGAAAATAACTAGATGTTTAATTATGCATCTAAACTTAGTCCATGAATTTGCATGTGTAAGTAATCAGGGAAGTATTTGCTTAGAAATGTGTTCCATTTCCTGTGTTTGCTCTAAAATAAAATTACTGAACAGCAAGATAGGATTCTGAAATATCTTTTTAAAATGTGTTCTAGAGTCCCACCGCTTGTAGCCTGGGATCCACTTAGGTTAGATATCTTTTTGGGGAGGCTACCAATGGCAATCAAGGACAAAAGCCAAAGTAGGTAAAGTGACTTACGATGTGGTTCTCTTCTCCCTCACTCTCTACCCCTACATAAACCAGGCTCATTCATAATAATTTTGTTCTCATTTTGGTAACTGTAGTAAAAACGTTGAGTAGGCACATAGGAGGGGTATTATGAAGGATCAGGAACAGAGCCTGGTAGAATACTACCTGCTTCCAATTCATTCATTCACTCACTCACTCAAATATCTTCAAGTGCCTATTGTATACCAGATAGGAAATACAAAGATGAAAAAACATGGCCTCTGTTTTTAAGAAGGTAATAGCCTAAAGGGGGCTTTATGCAGAGGATGACAATACACTGTGATAGACACTGTTAGTATAGGTGGGAAAGACTGAATGATTGCGTAGTAAGTAGTACTATTACATATCCACCCTTTCCATGGCCTCATAGTGGGTAGAATGTACTTCCCTGCCCTTGGTGCTGGAGTTTTTTGGCTGTGTGGCTTGCCTTGATCAGTGGGATACAAGCAGAGGCTTGAAATGGGCTTGCTAGGTTGGGTTTGAGTCTTTTTTTTTTTTTTTTTTGAGACAGAGTCACACTCTGTCGTCCAGGCTGTAGTGCAATGGTGCGATTTTGGCTCACTGCAACCTCCGCCTCCCCAGGGTTTAAGCAATTCTTGTGCCTCGGCCTCCAGAGTAGCTGGAATTACAGATGTGCACCACCATGCGCAGCTAATTTTTGTATTTTTAGTAGGAATGGGGCTTTACCATGTTGGCTAGGATGGTCTAGAATTCCTGACCTCAAGTGATCCACCCTCCTCAGCCCCCCAAAGTATTGAGATTACAGGTATCAGCCACTGTGCCCTACCAAGTCCTTGAGCTTATGCATCTCTACTGGTGGAGCAAGGGCTATTCCAGCCAACCTGCAGATGGATGAATGATAAATAATGCTTCTAGTTGTATTACACTGAGATATCATGATTGTTTATTTGTACAGCAAGAGCTGACTGATACACTAAGACTACTGCAGGAAAATCTATGAGGGGCTTCAAATTCAGGCTTGAAGGTCTTGAGGAGGATCCTGAGAAATGGTAATGACTAAGCTGAGACCTAAAGGATAAGTGGTCTATATGTGCGTGTGTAGGTTTGGGGATGGCTGGTTATAGAGTGTAGAAAGAAGGGCAGACAGAAGGAATGGAGGTAAGAGAGAGCCTGGCTTGTCCTCTGAGCTATAAGTAGTGCAGCTTGGCTGCAGCAGGTAGAAAAGCCAACCTTACATAGGGCCACCAACCTGAAGAAAGAGGAAGGCTGGAATCCGGCAGCGTATTCAAGGTTGCTCTCACTGGGCACTGGCCCCTGTCTGGTGTAGCATCACTGAGAATTTCTTTCACAGGAGTTTCTTATAGATAAAAGTTATTCAAAAGAAAGCTTCATGTCATTTTGACTTGTATTCATTTCCTATTACCCATTTTGAAAGTCAGGATCGGTGGGGGCGGTTCCAAGACAGCCGAATAGGAACAGCTCCAGTCTATAGCTCCCAGTGTGAGTGATGCAGAAGACAGGTGATTTCTGCATTTCCAACTGAGCTACCAGGTTCATCTCACTGGGGCTTGTTGGACAGTGGATGCAGGACAGTGGGTGCAGCCCACCGAGTGTGAGCCGAAGCAGGGTGAGACATTGCCTCACCTGGGAAGCACAAGGGGTCAGGGAATTCCCTTTCCTAGCCAAGCAAAGCTGTGACAGACAGCACCTGGAAAATCGGGTCACTCCCACCCTAATACTGAGCTTTTCCAATGGTCTTAGCAAACAGCACACCAGGAGATTATATCCCGCGCGTGGCTTGGAGGGTCCCACACCCACAGAGCCTCGCTCTTTGCTAGCACAGCAGTCTGAGATCAAACTGCAAGGTGGCAGTGAGGCTGGGGGAGGGGCGCCCGCCATTGCTGAGGTTGAGTAGGTAAACAAAGTGGGAAGCTCGAACTGGGTGGAGCCCACTGCAGCTCAAGGAGGCCTGCCTGCCTCTGTAGACTCCACCTCTGGGGGCAGGGCATAGCTGAACAAAAGGCAGCAGAAACCTCTGCAGACTTAAATGTCCCTGTCTGACAGCTTTGAAGAGAGTAGTGGTTCTTCCAGCACGGAGTTTGAGATCTGAGAACGGACAGACTGCCTCCTCAAGTGGGTCCCTGACCCCCGAGTAGCCTATCTGGGAGGCACCCCCCAGTAGGGGCAGACTGACACCTCACACGGCTGGGTACCCCTCTGAGATGAAACCTCCAGAGGAACAATCAGAGAGCAACATTTGCTGTTCAGCGATATTTGCTGTTCTGCAGCCTCTGCTGCTGATACCCAGGCAAACAGGGTCTGGAGTGGACCTCCAGCAAACTCCAACAGACCTGCAGCTGAGGGTCCTGACTGTTAAAAGGAAAACTAACAAACAGAAAGGACATCCACGCCAAAACCCCATCTGCACGTCACCATCATCAAAGACCAAAGGTAGATAAAACCACAAAGATGGGGAAAAAATAGAACAGAAAAAATGAAAATTCTAAAAATCAGAGCACCTCTCCTCCTCCAAAGGAACGCAGCTCCTCACCAGCAATGGAACAAAGCTGGATGGAGAATGACTTTGATGAGTTGAGAGAAGAAGGCTTCAGACTATCAAACTTCTCCGAGCTAAAGGAGGAAGTTCGAACCCATGGCAAAGAAGTTAAAAACCTTGAAAAAAGATTAGATGAATGGCTAACTAGAATAACCAATGCAGAGAAGTCCTTAAAGGACCTGATAGAGCTGAAAACCATGGCACGAGAACTACGTGACGAATGCACAAGCTTCAGTAGCCAATTCGATCAACTGGAAGAAAGGGTATCAGTGATGGAAGATCAAATGAACGAAATGAAGCGAGAAGAGAAGTTTAGAGAAAAAGAATAAAAAGAAATGAACAAAGCCTCCAAGAAATATGGGACTATGTGAAAAGATCAAATCTACGTCTGATTGGTGTACCTGAAAGTGATGGGGAGAATGGAACCAAGTTGGAAAACACTCTTCGGGATATTATCCAGGAGAACTTCCCCAACCTAGCAAGGCAGGCCAACATTCAAATTCAGGAAATACAGAGAACACCACAAAGATACTCCTCGAGAAGAGCAACCCCAAGACACATAATTGTCAGATTCACCAAAGTTGAAATGAAGGAAAAAATGTTAAGGGCAGGCAGAGAGAAAGGTCGGGTTACCCACAAAGGGAAGCCCATCAGACTAACAGCTGATCTCTCAGCAGAAACTCTACAAGCCAGAAGAGAGTGGGGGCCAATATTCCACATTCTTAAAGAAAAGAATTTTCAACCCAGAATTTCATATCCAGCCAAATTAAGCTTCATAAGTGAAGGAGAAATAAAATCCTTTACAGACAAGCAAATGCTGAGAGATTTTGTCACCACCAGGCCTGCCCTAAAAGAGCTCCTGAAGGAAGCACTAAATATGGAAAGCAATAACCAGTACCAGCCACTGCAAAAACATGCCAAATTGTAAAGACCATTGAGGCTAGGAAGAAACTGCATCAACTAATGAGCAAAATAACCAGCTAATATCATAATGACAGGATCAAATTCACATATAACAATATTAACCTTAAATGTAAATGGGCTAAATGCTCCAATTAAAAGACACAGACTGGCCAATTGGATAAAGAGTCAAGACCCATCAGTGTGCTGTATTCAGGAAAGCCATCTCACATGCAGAGACACACATAGGCTCAAAATAAAGGGATGGAGGAAGATCTACCAAGCAAATGGAAAACAAAAAAAGGCAGGGGTTGCAATCCTAGTCTCTGATAAAACAGACTTTAAACCAACAAAGATCAAAAGAGACAAAGAAGGCCGTTACATAATGATAAAGGGATCAATTCAACAAGAAGAACTAACTATCCTAAATATATATGCACCCAATACAGGAGCACTCAGATTCATAAAGCAAGTCCTTAGAGACCTACAAAGAGACTTAAACTCCCACACAATAATAATGGGAGACTTTAACACCCCACTGTCAACATTAGACAGATCAATGAGACAGAAAGTTAACAAGGATATCCAGGAATTGAATTCAGCTCTGCACCAAGCAGACATAATAGACATCTACAGAACTCTCCACCCCAAATGAACAGAATATACATTCTTCTCAGCACCACACCACACCTATTCCAAAACTGACCACATAGTTGGAAGTAAAGCTCTCCTCAGCAAATGTAAAAGAACAGAAATTATAACAAACTGTCTCTCAGACCACAGTGCAATCAAACTAGAACTCAGGATTAAGAAACTCACTCAAAACCGCTCAACTACATGGAAACTGAACAACCTGCTCCTGAATGACTACTGGGTACATAACGAAATGAAGGCAGAAATAAAGATGTTCTTTGAAACCAACAAGAACAAAGCCACAACATACCAGAATCTCTGGGACACATTTAAAGCAGTGTGTGGAGGGAAATTTATAGCACTAAATGCCCACAAGAGAAAGCAGGAAAGATCAAAATTGACACCCTAACATCACAATTAAAAGAACTAGAGAAGCAAGAGCAAACACATTCAAAAGCTAGCAGAAGGCAAGAAATAAATAAGATCAGAGCAGAACTGAAGGAGATAGAGACACAAAAACCCTTCAAAAAATCAATGAATCCAGGAGCTGGTTTTTTGAAAAGATCAACAAAATTGATAGACCGCTAGCAAGACTAATAAAGAAGAAAAGAGAGAAGAATCAAATAGATGCAATAAAAAATGACAAAGGGGATATCACCACCAATCCCACAGAAATACAAACTACCATCAGAGAATACTATAAACACCTCTATGCAAATAAACTTGAAAATCTAGAAGAAATGGATAAATTCCTCAACACATACACCCTCCCAAGACTAAACCAGGAAGAAGTTGAATCTCTGAATAGACCAATAACAGGTTCTGAAATTGAGGCAATAATTAATAGCTTACCAACCAAAAAAAGTCCAGGACCAGATGGATTCACAGCCGAATTCTACCAGAGGTATAAGGAGGAGCTGGTACCATTCCTTCTGAAACTATTCCAATCAATAGAAAAGAAGGAATCCTCCCTAACTCATTTTGTGAGGCCAGCATCATCCTGATACCAAAGCCTGGCAGAGATACAACAAAAAAAGAGAATTTTAGACTAATATCCCTGATGAACATCGATGCAAAAATCCTCAATAAAATACTGACAAACCAAATCCAGCAGCACATCAAAAAGCTTATGCACCACAATCAAGTGGGCTTCATCCCTGGGATGCAAGGCTGGTTCAACATATGCAAATCAATAAATGTAATCCAGCATATAAACAGAACCAAAGGTAAAAACCACATGATTATCTCAATAGATGCAGAAAAGGCCTCTGACAAAATTCAGCAGCTCTTCATGCTAAAAACCCTTAATAAATTAGGTATTGATGGGATGTATCTCAAAATAATAAGAGCTATTTATGACAAACCCACAGCCAATATCATACTGAATGGACAAAAACTGGAAGCATTCCCTTTGAAAACTGGCACAAGACAGGGATGCCCTCTCTCACCACTCCTATTCAACATAGTGTTGGAAGTTCTGGCCAGGGCAATCAGGCAAGAGAAAGAAATAAAGGATATTCAATTAGGAAAAGAGGAAGTCAAATTGTCCCTGTTTGCAGATGACATGATTGTATATTTAGAAAAACCCATCATCTCAGCCCAAAACCTCCTTAAGCTGATAAGCAACTTCAGCAAAGTCTCCGGATACAAAATCAATGTGCAAAAATCACAAGCATTCTTATACACCAATAACAAACAGAGAGCCAAATCATGAGTGAACTCCCATTCACAATTGCTTCAAAGAGAATAAAATACCTAGGAATCCAACTTACAAGGGATGTGAAGGACCTCTTCAAGAACTGCAAACCACTGCTCAATGAAATAAAAGAGGACACAATCAAATGGAAGAACATTTCATGCTCATGGATAGGAAGAATCAATATCGTGAAAATGGCCATGCTGCCCAAGGTAATTTACACATTCAATGCTATCCCCGTCAAGCTACCAATGACTTTCTTCATAGAATTGGAAAAAACTACTTTAAAGTTCATATGGAACCAAAAAAGGGCCCGCATTGCCAAGTCAATCCTAAGCCAAAAGAACAAAGCTGGAGGCATCATGCTACCAGACTTCAAACTATACTACAAGGCTACAGTAACCAAAACAGTGTGGTACTGGTACCAAAATAGAGATATAGACAATGGAACAGAACAGAGACCTCAGAAATAATACCACACATCTACAACCAGCTGATCTTTGACAAACCTGACAAAAACAAGAAATGGGGAAAGGATTCCTTATTTAACAAATGGTGCTGGGAAAACTGGCTAGCCATATGTAGAAAGCTGAAACTGGATCCCTTCCTTACACCTTATACAAAAATCAATTCAAGATGGATTAAAGACTTAAACGTTAGACCTAAAACCATAAAAACACTAGGAGAAAACCTAGGCACTACCATTCAGGACATAGGCATGGGCAAGGACTTCATGTCTAAAACACCAAAAGCAATGGCAACAAAAGCCAAAATTGAGAAATGGGATCTAATGAAACTAAAGAGCTTCTGCAAAGCGAAAGAAACTACCATCAGAGTGAACAGGCAATCTACAGAATGGGAGAAAATTTTTGCAACCTACTCATCTGACAAAGGGCTAATATCTAGAATCTACAAAGAACTCCAGCAAATTTACAACAAAAAACAAACAACCCCATCAAAAAGTGGGCAAAGGATATGAACAGACACTTCTCAAAAGAAGACATTTATGCAGCCAACAGACACAAGAAAAAATGCTCATCATCACTGGCCATCAGAGAAATGCAAATCAAAACCACAATGAGTTATCATCTCACACCAGTTAGAATGGCAATCATTAAAAAGTCAGGAAACAACAGGTGCTGGAGAGGATGTGGAGAAATAGGAACACTTTTACACTGTTGGTGGGACTGTAAACTAGTTCAACCATTGTGGAAGACAGTGTGGCGATTCCTCAGGGATCTAGAACTAGAAATACCATTTGACCCAGCCATCCCATTACTGGGTATATACCAAAAAGAATATAAATCATGTTGCTATAAAGACACATGCACACGTATGTTTACTGTGGCACTACTCACAATAGCAAAGACTTGGAACCAACCCAAATGTCCAACAATGATAGACTGGATTAAGAAAATGTGGCACATATACACCATGGAATACTATGCACCATAAAAAAGGATGAGTTCATTTCCTTTGTAGGGACATGGATGAAGCTGGAAACCATCATTCTCAGCAAACTATCGCAAGGACAAAAAACCAAACACCGCATGTTCTCACTTGCAGGTGGGAATTGAACGAGAACACTTGGACACAGGAAGGGGAACATCACACACTGGGACCTGTTGTGGGGTGGGGGGAGGGGGAAGGGGTAGCATTAGGAGATATACCTAATGTAAATGATGAGTTAATCGGTGCAGTACACCAACATGGCACATGTATACATATGTAACAAACCTGCACGTTGTGCACATGTACCCTAGAATTTAAAGTAATATATATATACATATAAAGAAATATATATATGTGTATATATATATATATATATATATATATATAGAAAGGTAGTTGGGATCAAGTTGACAAGGATCTGGTCAAAGACTAAAATCCAGTGTGTATAATACATATAATCCTCAAATATTGTATACATGAGACTATACTATGGTGTCCATGGTATCCGAACTCTATTTTGGGGTAACACCTTCGTATTATGGCTTTTCTTAAGCCATATATTTTTTGTTTTCAGGATTCATATTCCAGAATCATAGAATTTTAGAATTGATAGGGGCTTTAGGTCTTCTAGTGCAACCTTCACAGATGGCACCAGAGAGGTGAAGTGAGCAGCTAGAGGTCATGCAGTAAATTCTTGGCAGGGCTGGAATGGCAAGTTTTTTCATTTGAGTCTGTTGCCTTCACTCCTTCGCTTCCCCTCTCTTCCTTTTCCACTATGCTGGATGTTACCTGGAATATTTTTGGTTTTGTTTTTTTTTCATGCTGGAAGATATCATTTTTCCTACCGGAGTAGAGCCATAATTGAGCCAAGCACCTGGCTCTTATGGAAAGGCACTATCCACTGAGGGCCCAGCCTAACAGACACACCACCACCACCACCACCACCACCAGCACCACCATCACCACCATCACCACCAGCCCTGTCTCTCTTCTATTTCCCACTGAACCCAGTATTCTAAATATTACTAAATATTTTTCTCTTCTTTTATTTTCTTTTGGTAAAAGGGGCCTTAAATATAATAACCCCCATTGATTTGAAAGGAAGGGGATTTTAACTGGGTTCTAATGACCCAACCAATTTATTTAAATGAATAATAATGCATTTAGCTGCCCAGGATTTGTCATTTTCTTTGACTAATGCAATGTTAGAGAAATATTATAGACTTAGCAGGATTAAATCACCTCACATATGTGTCTCTGTACTGTACCTGAAGCCTACATCATATTAAATGGTAATAGTAAGAACCATTTCCACCTATAACTCATACTGAAAATTGACTTGGTCATGACTCACAAGCACATTGTTAACACATAGTTAAGTATATATGTTTTTTCCTTCTTTTTTTTTCTTTTTTTGTTTGGAACAATTTTAACTTCATGTGACATATACTTTTCTAAAATTTGACTGACACCTTGACTACATACTCCTTTAATGAGATTTATAAACTCAAAATTCAGAAGGTTCCTTTTATTCTGACATATACAACATTGTCAAGATCACCTGAAAAGCCCAGTGATTTTACTACATACCATTGAGTCAATAATTAAACAGAGAAACCATTTAATTATTTGCCAAGATTTTTACCTGTAAAAGTGTCTCAGAGTTAGAAGCTATCCAGATCAAATAACTGGGAAATTAAAATTAATGACCAGAAAAATGACTGGCTTTGCCTTTGGCATTTCTCTTGGATAACAGTTGGCTTCGAGGCAGTTTGTAATCTGGGTTCTATTCCCTGCTTTGCCACAGTTAGACATGTGACCTCAGGCAAATCACATAAGTCTCTGTGGTCTTCAGCCTCCTCATTCATCAAATTAGAAGGTTGAACCAAGTAAGAATTTCTGCCTCTTTCTATGTCTAGCACTTAAAATTATTATCCAGAGAGTGGCTGGTTGTCATTTATTCTCCAGATTCACCTAGATGAGAACCATTATGAAGGAGGCTGAAATTGCAGCAAGGAGTGCACAGGTTGAATTTGAATAACTTTACCATAAAGAGAAATATTGACTGCAGGACTGGATTATGCTGTTAATCTGACTGCTCTTAGGAGTCCTTAAAAATAAATCAATAATATATATGGCCTGCCTTTATAGATATTTTTTGCATATAGACCTACCTGTGGCTAGCATCAATTAAAAAGAAGGACAGACTCTCCTAGAAACAGGGGCCAATTTTACCATAAGTGACTATTTTGTTCAGAATCTTTTTAGGACTCTTAGGCTGCTAGTAACCACAGCCAACTTAAGTGAGTTTGAGCAACAGTGGTTTTAAGGACAGAAGCATTTTATGAAACCCAAGAACAGAAATGCAGCTGGACCTCGGGAGAGGTCTGCAGCTAGGAAGAGAAAAGTTGTCAGGAGCCTTGGTGGGGCCTTCTCTCTATCTCTTACTGCTACTTCTCTCTGATTATTGCTTATATTATTTCCCCTCTACAGAATATGCAATTGCAGGTAGAAGATGCCCCTTTTCCAACCACCACCCAACACATACACACACCCTGCTCCAGGTGACTAAAGTTTGCCTTATCTTCATATAAGGCAACAGCCTGCATTAATTGGAAGGTTTTCAATCCAAATTCCAAATCCTAAAAGAGATGATCTGATGGCCCTGATTGGCTCAGTATGGTCAAGGGTTTATCCCTGGTTCAACCAACTGCAGGGGGGTAGGTAGGGTCCTCTGTTCCAGAGTAGGCTATTGAGCAAGAATTCTTCATTGCACACCTCCAGGGGCACTACTCATATTTTGTTGTGTGTGCATGATACCCAGTGGAGTTGTGCAATGGGAGGTCCTACTGTTGTCTGGAGATAGTTCTCAAGTAAGGGGGACTATTGTCAGCTATAGCCAAAAGGCATTTACTGTATCTAACTAATTGTAGTTGCTAGAAAGTCAACCCTTTCCTCCATACAACTCCCTCCCACTTAACAGACCTTAGCAGCCATGTTTCCTCTACATAGGGCCTGAAATTCTGCCAACCTTTGAGACCTAAAAGACCTGTCTCCTTCTTTACAGTTCTGTATCTTTGTGTCTGAGATGAGCATCTAGTGATAGAAGAGGCAGTGGATCTTCCATGTTTCCCTTCCTGAAAGCCACTCTGATGGCTTTCAAAGGCATCTATATGAGACTTCTTCCCTCTTCCTCTTCATTTAGAGAGAAGCATTCCAAGTGAGTGATCTACTGAGGGGCTGTCTTCTAGAATTTCAGGATTTTCTTGGTTCCATCATCATAAGCAGCCCCAAACTCAACCTCCACTGAGAAGAGACAGTTTTCACTGCAAAAATAAGCCACATGTGTCCTCTCCAAAACACACAGCTCTGCTGGATGTGAACCAGCATTACACACTTTCAATTTATTTTCTTTGATTCAGAACTTTTTCATGCAGATTTATGAACAGTAGATGTGGAGATCAATTTAGCCCTAATTCTGCCTTATTTTACTTGGCCATTCTGGGGACCAAGTCTTGACTCAAGTGGCTACAGTTAAGATAGCAAATCTTTGAAAAGCTGAGCTGCTTTTGTTTGGTGCTTGGCATCTGGTGCATGTAGAATGGCTTGGATCTGATATTTCCTTTCCCTGTAAAGTAAGAACACATCTCTTGAAAAGGTTTGATACAGTCCTGCCAAAGAAGGAAGCAGGAAACTCAAGCCAGCTTGGAGTTTCATGAGCCATGGAAAACTGGCTAAATTCACCATGAAAATAATTTGGAAACATGAAGAGAGTACAGAGCAGCCTCTTTCTAGCCCAGTTTTTCATTCTAGTCTGAGGAATACTATGCATTAATGCATATTTGCTGAAATATGACAATTTAAATGTTATTAATTCATAAGACGCTAGATCAGAATTGTGATCATCTGAACAAATATCATGAAGTTGAACTTTGAAAAATAATGATTGTAGTGGCATTAATGATACAAACAAATGGCCTGAGACTGAACTCTGAAGTGATCAACAAGGTAACTTGCGTATGAATGTGCACATCTTGAATGATGCTGTGTTTACGTAAACTAAGTCTAAAGTATCAAAAAAGCAATTACATTTAGAGCATTACATAATATAGAATTTCATTAATCTGAACAGTTGTCCCACCCCTTAGTCTGAATTAGTGAGGCTTACTTGTACATAAAATAAAGGGAAGAAGTTTAATCTCAGCCTCCAAATCCAGTTCACTCTGGTGCTTTCAAGCCCCTGAAAGTTTCCACATGTGCACAAGTAGCAGACCTTCGCAAAATTTAAAACTGTTAGTTTAGATTCAGTGAATCAGCTATGGTTCTTAGTTTCCTTCAGTCATTCCTACATTCTTCCCGCTTTCCAAAGGTTCTTTTATTTTTCTAGTACATGTATTTTAAGTGGGTTTCTCTGTTTGTTTGATTTTCTGTTTTTAAAGGTTACATTTGGAAGGTCTCATACACAAACATTAATAAAAGTGATGGAGAACAGATTTAATGGCATGCAACCTGAGAGTGTTAATTAGCATGAGAATGCTTGCTACGTGCCAAGAAAGCTGTGTTCAATGCCAGTGATACAAAGATGAATATGTTCCCAGAAAAAAAGACACATAAGATTGTGGAAGATTGTAATTAAAAAAAAAAAAAAAAAAGCAAGATTTTAGTACTGGGGAGCATGAAGATGGAAGTTGAGGAAGGTTCAGTGAGGAAGTAACAATTGAGCTGTGTCCTCAAGATTGAGTAGGAGTTGTTTAGGGTGGGAGGATCAGAAAGGTAGTCTCATTAAAGAGTACCAAAATCTTGGTGTATCAGAGGCTCATCAAGGGACTCAGAGCTTGGAGCAGAAGTTGCCAGGAGAAATGGCAGATGTGGCTTTCCGTGGAGGAGGGCCTTCTATGCCATTATAAGGAATTAGGGTTTTATCTTGAAGCCAGTGGTTTGTAGGTTTGATTGTTTGGTTTTGATCAACATGCTTCCTTTTCAATGAAAAATTCAAGCCCTCAAGTGTAAAAGAGATGGATGCAGAGCAGATTCTTAGAAGTTGAAAGAGGGAGCTTGGGATTCAATCTTCTCAGCCCCTCAGGCTCCCCACAGAAGGCCATCTGAAAGCCAAACAAGAAGGAAATGGGGACTGCACTGTAAGCCTAGAAGTGGTCCAGTGCTGTGTGTTTCTGTTTCTGAAAGGTCAACCTGTCAGCACTGTGGAGTTGGGAACAAAGACAGACAGGAAACAGGGAGACCCACTGGGCCCTGATGCTAGGGCCTGAAGAAAGCATCTCACCATGGGCACAGGCAGGAGGTGTTTCTAAAGCTGGTTAATTAACTAGGGGGAAGTGAAGCATACATTGGGGATGATCCCAAGTTTTCTTCCAGATGCTGGGAGGAAGGCAGTGAGTGATATGGTAGCTTCCAAATTCATTTAACAACAAGAATGTGGCTATTAGATTCTGAGTAGTTTCATTCTAATACAAGACTCTGCAACCAAGTTTGAAATGTGCTGAATTCTCATGAGGAAAGGAGATGCCATGATTAGAGAAGTCATTTTTAAGATCTTTCCTGTTTTGGGATGTGGGAAGTTTTCTCAGAGGCAAGTTTGATACTGAATGAGACCTAACAGTTGTTTTAAATATATCCCTGGACCCTCAGTTTCATTCCTGATGTTTAATCCGTAATTAGTGGGAGACAAAAACTCTAATACTGTCAACCAAATTTGAACTACCTTTTTTGCTGCAAATGTTTCTTGAGGTGTACATAAAAAGTGTAAATTACCATCCTTTAAAAAAAGTCTGAAAAACTTCAAAATACATCTTATTACATGGAAGATGTGTTGGCAGTTTGGGTCTTACAGCCTCCAAAATAAAGACCTCTGATGGAAAACATTACTTAATTTTTGTCGGTGAACTCCTGGAATTCATATTCACAAGGGAGTAAGACCATTCGATTTCCAGAAACAAGGGTGTGGCTACTCTTGTCTCCCACTTCTCATGAAGTGCACCCTTTGAATTAGACCAAGAAAAAGGGGAGCATGAAGCAGCTTTGTTTCTTCCTTAGAAGGAGCAAGTTTGAAGCCATAAAGACTCTATTTTCGCACTCAGGAACTAACTGCTAGCTCTTTTCTAGCTAGCTGGAGTGAGCGCCAGCACTGGGGTATCCTAGCGTGAACAAGAATGCTATTTTGGTCTGTTGTAAAGCATTGTGGAATGCAGATTTTAGATCATTTCATCACATCTACCAGCAACCACAAAACAAACGTTATTTCAGAATGAAGACTATGGATGTAGAAGTACTAAGAGCTAAATAAAAAGAAGATTATAGAGACATTTTTAAAGTTTAATGAATATGCTCACTACCAAAGCTTTGCTTTAAAAAGAAAAAACAAATACTTATACGCAGTGTTGGGTGTTTATACAGTTTGATAAAGGCCAGGTGTAGAGGAGGCATTGAAGAATTCCACTGCGTCTCTCATTGAACCAAAGTGAGAGGGGGAGCACAGAACAGTCTATTACGAGTAATACCAAACCATCTTCCCTAAAAAAAAAAAGTAAAAACAAGGATCCTGTTTATCCGGAAGAAGTCACCTAGAGAATTCAGTAATTTCAAGATAATTAGATTCCTTCCAGAGAGCTGAATGCAGGTTTCACTTTTCTCTGGAGAATATGGCCACTTTCAGAGACAATTAAAATGCTTTTAAGTGTGGCAACACAGTCCCTGGAGAGGAAGGGGGCTTCATAACATGACCCAAGTGGCAGCTGATGCTGCTCCTCTGACTCAGAATATCCTGTGTGTGTGCAGACACTTAATCTTTGTGTCTTTCTCTGGACTTTGAGTAGGAAATTTTAGTCAAGACTCTCTAGAGTACTTTCTATTCATGAAATTAAATGCTTGAAGGATTCTATGATTTATACTAGGCATTAAACTTTACTTCCATTCACAGTCCCATTAGTTTTAATGAGTTAAGGACTTTGCTTTACTTAAAGTAAACAAATAGAAATACTCCAATGGCAAAGGATATTGGACTAAATTCCCCTGGTCCTGGTGTATTCCTCCCATCTGGTACCCTCCTGCCTGAAATGTCATGATTGAAGATCCATTCCTTTAGCTTAAATATTGTCCTCTCTCTTTTAATTTTAATCTAAATCTGGATTAATTTTAATTTGAATCTGGGAGGAAAGGCACATTAAATCCCTTGTGTGAACTAGTTAATCCTTTTAAAAAAGTTAGAAAGTCTGAAAAAAAACAAGAATTGGTAAGGATGCAGAGGAATAGCCACTCCTATACAGCAACTTCTACTTTTTTTGAACAGTTTGGGGCCAGGTTCAGTGGCTCTCACTTGTAATCCCAGTACTTTGGGAGGCCTAGGTGGGAGGATCACTCGAGCCCAGGAGTTTGAGAACAATCTGGGAAACATGGTGAGTCCCCACCTCTATAAAAAGAAAAGAAAAGAAAAATTAGCCAGGTGTGATGAAGAACACCTGTAGTCCCTGCTACTCGGGAGGCTGAGGTAACAGGATCACTGGAGCCCAGGAGTTTAAGGTTGCAGTGAGCTCTGGCTATGCCACTGCACTTCAACCTAGGTGACAGAGTAAGAACTTGTTTCAAAAAAACAGTTTGAGAAATTCCAATTCTGGCCTAGATGGAGTAATAGGGACTGAAATTACCTGCCTGAAACAACCTAAGAAAAATCTGATAAATTAGATGAAATTATGTTTTTTTAAGACAAGGAACATCACATAATGAAGGACCGAGATCCCTGAGGGCTGAGAAACAAACAAGGTGAGCCTTACAATTATTCTAGCAATTGCCTTGAAAGAGTTTCCAGGTGTATTAGTCAATTTTCACACTACTATAAAGAATACCTGAGACTGGATAATTTATAATCAAAGAGGTTTAATTGACTCAGTTCTGCATGGTTGGGAAGGCCTCAGGAAACTTACAATCAGGCAAAAGGCAAAGGGGAAGCAGGGCATGACTTACATGGCGGCAGGAGAGACAGCATGCAGGGAGAAGTGCCAGATACTTATCAAACAACGAGATCTCCTGAGAACCCACTCACAATCACGAGAACAGCATGGGGGAAACCACCCCCATGATCCAATCATCTCCCACCAGGTCCCTCCCTCAAAATGCGGGGATTACAATTCAAATTACAATTCGAGATGAGATTTGGGTTGGGGACACAGCCAAACTCTATCACCAAGCAACATCACAGGGAGGGGTAGCCCAGGAAGAGCTCAACAGACTACCTGAATTGAAGAGATAGAGTTGGTAGTCTGAGGAGACTTGAGCTGATAGGGCAGGGTCTTGAAGGGGAGCTGCACAGGGGGAGAACCATGGAGATCTCTGGAGGGGCCCTTTCAACTCAACAGAGTACTGACCAGCACCTGTGTGTGGAGAGACTACTCAAAGCCAGCTGGGGAAAAAACTATCTGAAAGGATTAGAAGGAACGTACTCACACTCACACCAGGCTGATAGTAATGCCTGCTTCTACCAGCCAGACTGGAAATCTTCACAATTCACAGGATACTGAGTAGATTATTCAGAAGGGTCTTCCCTTCACAGTGGGAAATAATTATCTCTAGACTACATTTTTCTGGCCCTGTCTAACAAATCTTTAAAGCAAGACTTGAAAGGATCAAACTGTTTTTAAACAACTCAACTGTGTCCCAGAACAAAGCCCAAGAATATTTATGGGCAATACAAAAATATCCAGCACCAAACAAGATAAACTCACAATGTCTGGCATCCAATCAAAGTATACTAGTCATGCAAAGAAGCAGGAAAATACAAGAGGAGGAGAAACAGACACCACTTCTTGATGTGAAGAGTGTTGAAGAATTTGAGAACATGTTTAAAACCACTGGAAACTCATCAGTGACAACATTGCTAGTAAGGTAGAACTTAATATGATACATGATTCATCAGATTATATACCAAAACCCAATTATTTCTTTCCTATGGATTCTAAACTTTGTTTTTCCTTTTATTCAGGGAGGAAAGTGATTTTT
Source organism: Homo sapiens (assembly GCF_000001405.40). Classification (NCBI taxonomy): domain Eukaryota; kingdom Metazoa; phylum Chordata; class Mammalia; order Primates; family Hominidae; genus Homo; species Homo sapiens. Next base: position 37,737,955 of record NC_000002.12, read on the forward strand.
GTTCTTGTGGATGATTGCAGAGATGGCCACATATTTTGCAGCCCTGTGCCTCTACCCTAATAATGGGGAATCTTCATTTCCATGTTAGATTTGTGGACCTAGCATGGTTTTTATTTTGGATTGTCTTGTTCAGCAGTTGTAATTGTACAAGTATGTTAGGGCCCATCTTGTTGACCCTGGTAGCACGATTTAGGCTTACAACAACTCCAAATGCTATTTTGGGTCTTTGGGTTTAAAGACAACAGAAACCAGGCCCTTGTTCTTAGGAGCTCACCATCCTTCTCTGCGACCATAGCAGATTCCCAGTTGTTTTAAACTGTACCTGGAATTTTGATATTGTTCAGGTATAGTGAGACCAAAATATCAGGAGACAATGGCCATTAAAAAGATAGTTTGTAACTTACAGCTCCCAAGAAGGGCATGCCATGTCACAGGGGTCCACACGGGGAAGCACCAGGGTTGGTCAGGAGGCAGAAGGAGCCAGGAGAAAACATAGGCAAAGCCTTGCTTGTGGTTTTCATGGAAAGAAAACCAGCCAGACTGGAAATCCTCACAATTCGCAGGGCCTGGGTAGATTATTCAGAAATCTTACCTGCACAGTGGGGAGTATAATTATCTCTAGACTACATTTCTCTGGCCCTGCCTAACAAATCTTTAAAGCAAGACTTTAAAGAATGGAAAGAATGAATGAAGCAAGGTACGCAGCTGAGCAGGCTTAGGGGATTTGAATAATCTCTGCAAGCTCTGGCCTATCTGAGTGGCTCCTCGTTGTGTCTTCCCTGGCCCTGGGATGCTTAAGGCGGAGGAATATTGCCCTCTTGGAATGTAAGACCCAGGTAAAGGGGCAGGTGTGAGTATAGACTCAGGATTGGTTGGCTTGCACATCAAAGACATGCTCCAAGGCAAATGTTTACCATCTCTAGGAATTAGTTAACCCTGGGAGGTCAGTCTCTCCGTGGTCAGTTGAACCCCAAATGTCAGAGCATCAGAAATACAGAAAATAAGAAAATATAGTTAAAAATAGTTACTTCACTAATACGAGCCTCAGTGAGGTCACCTGTGGATTCAGGCCTGTTTGGGTGCACTTGGTGGATTGCAAGAGGCAGCGTCTCAGAGCTCTGCTTACATGGAAGAGTGAAAGGACCACCTGAGACTAAAAAGGTCGAAAAGTAAAGACAGCTGTGGTCTACCACCTTGTTTAAGAAGAGTATGGGCCTATTAGAAGAGAGCAGTAATTTGAAATAAAGCTTGAATCCAGCCTAGTCTCCAGCCTGGGCCTTAGAGCCACTGGGAAAGCTGTTTCTCTATGAACTCACATAAGATACAAAGAAGCTGAGGCATCAGCATCACCGATGGCAGCCACTGCAGAGGAACTTGCAGGTCCCACCACCTCAGCTCAGCCACCAGCACGTCATCAGGGCTTCGCACTGACATTGCAGTGACAGCAGACAACATCAATGATGCCCTTGCTAGGTAGGAGCAGCTGTGGTGATGGCATTAATGGGCACCAAGGGACAGAACTGACGCTTTTCTTCCTCAGCAATGACTAGAGGCATTGCCACAGCAAAAGGAGGGAAAAAAAGGCCACTACTGTGACACTTCCAATTCTGGCCAAGATGGAGTAATAGGGACTGAAATTACCTGCCTGAAACAACCTAAGAAAAATCTGATAAATTAGATGAAACTATTTTTCAAGACAGGGAACATCGGATAATGAAGGACAGAGATCCCTGAGGAATGAGAAACAAGGTGAGCCTTACAATTATTCTAGCAATTGCATTGAAAGAGTTTCCAGGTGTATTAGTCCATTTTCACCCTGCTATAAAGAATACCTGAGACTGAATAATTTATAATCAAAAGAGGTTTAATTGACTCAGTTCTGCATGGCTTGGAAGGCCTCAGGAAACTTACAATCATGGCAGAAGGCAAAGGGGAAGCAGATCACGTCTTAAATGGTGGCAGGAGAGACAGCATTCAGGGGGAAGTGCCAGGAGGAAAAAAGAAAAAAAGGACACTACTGTGAGAACTTGTTCTCAGAGTTCAGGTGAGACATCAGGGACACCCAGAATTCTTTTCAAAGAATCTGAGGGCAGGTAGACTTCACCCAGAGCAGATGGTGGCAAAGCCAGGGCAGGCCTGTCCCACAGCTGGTATCATTACCCTGTTCTCACATCCACATCGGGGAAGCCTGAGCACCTCCTTGGTTCTCCACCTAGAGCTCCAGGATATATCCTTGAGGATTGCTGTTTGCCACTCAGGAATTTATTTGGAGGTTATCATTTTGATGATAATCTTTAAAAAAGTCAGATCTCTACTCACCATCTGGATGACTACATCATCATGAAATACCACTACATAATTCAGTGCTTGCATTTGTAATTCTGTTTTCTGTTTATGCTAGCATCAAATAGAGGATAAAGACATAGCATACTGCTTGAACGTAGATTTTGCAGTAGAAAAAGGAGTGGGAGAATTGAGCTAGTCAATGCTGGTGATGATAGAGGCATGCTGAGCTGAACTAGCACTGAGCTGTGAGTAGTGTATTCATGTATGTGGTGAACAGATACATTACCCAGACCGCCTTGTTGTTCAGACCAGCTTGCAGTGAGGAGGAAATACACAATGGAAAATGTTCTGTTTCTGATTCACACCACAGTTAGTTGCATTAGATTCCCATAAAGTGCAGGTTTCAAAAATTCCTCTAATGTAGCTTCATCTTTGAATATATAAGGCAGCCATATAAGGTCAACAAATGGCAAATCAACAAAATTCGCATTTGAGGCTTGTTTACTGACAGAACTTTTTAAAATTGAATTTGAGGTCTGCTTATCTTGAACTAGAAAAACAAAACTTTTGTGTTTTGCAATTTCTTATAGTATAATTGTCCTAATAAATACTCACTACAGTAGCTTTCTGAGGTCAAAATTCAGGAACAGAATTAAATGTAGAAGTGGAGCCAAGCCTCCTACTTCTACTCCTAAACCTCATTTTGGTCATTTTGCTTATCAAAATAACATCATCGGTCCCATTAAATTGCTATTATTAATTAAATAGTGTGCTTTTGTAAGTCTATATTAACTTTGAATTGTTTTGGTTCTATGGTTGTATAAGAAATAAAGGACTTTATACCTAGATTTATAGTTGTATACACTTCAGTAATATTATAATAAAATATAGCATTGAGAATCTGTAAGAATTTTTCCTTTTTATAAAAGGTCTATTTGCTTCTTAATTTTGAGAAATCCTTGATTAGCAAAATGAAGCACCACATATTCCACTACATATTGACCTAGATTTCTGCCATTGTTCAACAGCATACATTACTTCAACACAATTGAAATTTATCCCCAGACTTCTTTAACCTGTAATTAAATCTTTTATTTTTTCTTTCGTGACAGAGAGTTGCTCTGCCGCCCAGGCTGGAGTGCAGCGGCATGATCTCAGCTCACTGCAACCTCTGCCTCCTGGGTTCAAGTGATTCTCCTGCCTCAGCCTCCCGAGTAGCTGGGATTACAGGTGTGCACCACCATGCCTGGCCAATGCTTTTTGTATTTTTAGTAGAGATGGATTTTTGCTATGTTGGCCAGGCTGGTCAATTAAATCTTTAATATTCAGACTACCGAAGTCCAAGCCCCTTTCTCGAATGAGGCATGCCTTCTTTTACTGGGCAGCTGACTGTTGTAAGTTCTGGGATGCCTGGAGCTGGCGTGTCCTTGTTAGTTATTGCCCCCAGCCACAGGTGTTCCCAGAGCACTGGTGGATCCCATTATGAGGACTGGCCTGTTTTTCAAGTGTCCAAAGCACAGTTAAGACAAGGCCCTGGAGTTTAACTGAAAAAATAAGGATAGTCCGAGAACAACAGAGAGTAACTGATATGTTTTGGCTCTGCGTCCCTACTCAAATCTCATGTCATGTTGTGATTCCCAGTATTGGAGGAGGGGCCTGGTGGGAGGTGACTGGATCATGGGGGTGGTTTCTAATGGTTTGGCACCATCCCCCTAGTGCCGTCCCGTGATAGGTTCTCATGAGATCTGGTCGTTTAAGTGTGTGGCACCTTCCCCCCTCGACCCATCATGTAGATGTGCCTGCTTCCCTTTCGCCTTCCGCCATGATTCTAAGTTTCCTGAAGCCTACCCAGAAGCAGAAGCCAGTATAGCCCGCAGAACTGGGAGTGGATTAAACCTCTTTTCTTTCTAAATTACCGAGTCTCAGGTATGTCTTTACAGCAGTGTGAGAATGGACTAATACAGTAACATAGTTAATACCACCAGAGGTTTCATTTAGGGCTTGCAGACCAATTCCTGACCTCTGAGCTCCCACTCCCCTACCCCAGCTCTCTGACTTGTCCCTAGAAGCCCTGCCCAGCCCCCACTGAACCTCTCCAGGCCTCTCTCCACCTCACAGGCCTGGTCTCCAGCTTTCTTCCTATCACAGAATGACCCAGAGTGCAAACGTCCATCTCCTCCCGGGAAACTCCTGCCACTACCCAGATGGTGAGCTCTGCCCTCCAAATGCTGGCTTATCCAGTCTTAAATCGCACTTCATGTGCTATCCCAACTGCACAGCTCCCATCCATATTAAGGGGCAAAAAAAGTGGCTCTAATTCTGCAAGGATATAGTCATCTTAAAAATACATTCCATTTATATTACAAAACAGAACTTAATAAAAGGTCTGCAGCATCTACATCCGGGTTTATAATAGCTTCAATTTTCTCCAAGAAAAATAAAAGCACGTGTTTTATATTTGTGAAATTAATGTGCCCTTTTTGGTCCTTTCCACCCAAATATAGAAAATCTGCTCCAAAAGTGAATTATATTATATCTAAAATTTCTAAAATAATGACAACAATAATAATAATGAAAAACAAAGTATCAGCTCTTTTGGATATTATAGTGAATAAGGAAAAGTTTTTTTAAATGCAAAAATAATATCAAACGTTCAAAACCTATTTGTATTTTGTGACAATATAATATAGCAGTGGAATCTATGAACCCTGATTCCAGGTCTAGAATCAGACTAGCTGGGATTTAAGATCCTGGCTCTCCTATTGGCTAGCTGGGCAAATGACCTGAACTCACTGTGTTTTCCTATCCTCATCTGTAAAATGGGGTTGACAGTACCTCCCTCATAGGGTTACTATGAAGATTTAAATATATAACAGCTTAAAATATTGCCCACTGTATAATAAGTACTCAGTACATGTGAACTGTGATGATCATAATGATGATGATAATGAAGACAGTGATGATGGTAGTGGCAGTGATGGTGGTGATGATGGCTGGGTATCTGAAGGCAGTTAAAAAAAATCCTAGAAAGAGTTCCAATTTGTGCTTCTCATTATCATCATTGGTAATGAACATGAATAGTGGACATTCTCTTACTCTTCAGTGCCCTTTTATCCCCAATGTGGCTTGTGCCATTTAAAGTACAATGAGGGACTCAGAAGAAGCTATGGTTGAGCCAATCGAATCTTTCTGACCCTTCTTACTTTTGTGGTGACAGTCACGTTATCAGGAACTCTAGTGAGCACAGTTCTTTGTGGTTCTTCATGCAGGTTTAGCAGGGCAGAGCAGTGTCAAGCTCCAGGTACGAGAGGAGAAGTCTGAGGAGGACCATCAGGCTGGGAGACTGCAGGGGACAGAAAGTTAGAGGGACTGTGAGGTGAGGGGGCCAGAGGGGAGGGTCTTCAGATCATAAGGTGAGCAGCTGAAGAACTTCCCCCTGAACTCTCAGAAGATAAATCCTCTTGCTATGGCTCCCCCAAACTCCCTGGCTGTATGGGGTAGGGTAGAAGTCCAGGCTCTGGGAGTCTGGCCTTGGCTGCGTCTTCAGCGGGCTGCGAAGCTGTTAATCTTCTTATTCATCTCTCTGGACACTGCTGGTGGGAAGTAGAGATGAGATTTCTTTTCTTGATCTCTGTCCCTTCTGCTTCCACTCCCCACCTTACCTCTAGGAATCTTTTCTGCTGTCAGCTCCCAGAAGCAGGAAAGGAATCCCCAAATCAGAACTTCTCCTTGGGCCCCCATGATGTCACAGCTCAGTGGACAAAAAAGATATTCGTGACAGGGTCACTAACCTGGTTACTCATTCAGTCAATGATATTTCATTAAGAAAGCTTAAAGTGGTTAACATCATGAGTCCCCAAAAGAGCAAACTTAAGTGATCCTAAAGCGTGTCACTATATTCATTTATAATTATGAAAACAAAATACTGTGGCCAAAAATGCTTTGCGATTTTGAAGTAAAAGATGCTGTCTAAGCATTTCTGAGTGCTCAAAATGTATCCTTTATGTTAAAGAAATATGAATTAAATATAAATGATAGTTTTATGACAGTAGAGCAAATGGATATGTTTTAAGAAGGAATGAATGACCAACATTTATTATTATTATTAGTTTAATGTTTGCATGATGGCTTGCATATTTTTGAAACAAGTTATTTAGTATAAACATTAGGCAGTTTATATTTACTGTATTTACTGTTTGCTTTATCAACAGGTAGAAGGTCTTGAGTTCGCTGACGTTACTCTCAAAATACTTTCAGGTAATTGTTGTCAAACAAGAGTTGACAATTTGCATTTTCTTGATTACTAATGGTGAGTATTTTTTCTTTTTATTTTATTTTATTTATTTATTTATTTATTTTTATTTTTAATTTTTTTTGAGATGGCGTCTCCCTCTGTCACCTAGGCTGGAGTGCGGTGGCATGATCTCAGCTCACTGCAACCTCTGTCTCCTGGGTTCAAGTGATTCTCCTGCCTCAGCCTCCTGAGTAGCTGGGATTACAGGTGCACACCACCATGCCTGGCTAATCTTTTGTATTTTTAGTAGAGACGAGGTTTCACCATGTTGGTCAGGCTGGTCTCGAACTCCTGACCTCGTGATCTACCCGCCTTGGCCTCCCAAAGTCCTGGGATTACAGGCGTGAGCCACCACGCCTGGCCATGATGAGTATTTTTTCTAAGTGAAATAAGCCAGGTGCAGAAAGACAAATATCATATGTTTCATTCATATGTGGGAGCTAAAGAAGTTGATCTCATAGAAGTAGAAAGTAAAATACAGGAGGCTGGGAAGGGTAGTGGGGAAGAGGGACAGGGAGAGGTTGATTAACAAATACAAAAATATAGTTAGATAGGAGGAATAACTTCTAGTATCCCATAGTATAGCAGGGTGACTATAATTAATAATTTACTGTGTATTTCAAAATAGCTGGAAGAGAGGATTTGGAGTGTTCCCAATACAAAGAAATGATAAGTGGTTGAGCTGATAGATATGACAATTACCCTGATTTGGTCATTACACATTATATGCATGTACTGAAATATTACATATGCCCTATAAATATGTACAATTATTATGTGTCAATTAAGAAAGAAAAAGAAAAAAAGGCTTATCTCCCAGTGATCACAGGGATGAGGAAAGAAAAACACAATTAAATTTAAAAAAAGAGAAAAAAGACTATGAAATTAACTTCTCAGCTCACATCTGTGTTGCATGATCATGAGATAGAAAACCATCTTCCCATCAGTGTTTTGGAGCACCCTAAGGCCCCCCCATAAAGTTCACAGGCCACCTCTCCCACCTTTCAGATACCCCACCTTGCCAGCCTTCAAGATTTCCCCCAAGCTCTGCAGGTTCTCATTGAAACACTCAAATACTTTATTATTTATTGGAAAAAAAGGAAAATATGAGACTGGCCTCACCATTGGCTTTCATTTTCCTCTTCCCTCTCCTCCCTACCTTCTGGGTTGTGGCAGCTGTAATTGGGTTAAACTTTGTGTAATTCCGAAGCTATGCTCATAGAAAAAAATAGTGAAATTCTCTAGCGCACCTACTAATGACCCAAGAAAAACTGGAAGCTACTATAGACTTTTTTTTTCTTTTTCTAGTTTCTGGAACTCGGGGCTGATTCTTTTGAGATGCATAATTTAGTTGGAGCCAATTGATGAAGGAGTCAGTTCTTATTTAAGGAAACTGCCTTCAAGCTCAAGTAGAAATCTTGAGACCCAGTATGAAATTTCCATTTTCACATAGCATACTATAAAAAATTGTCTGTTTTTAAAAATGAACTTATGTAAAGACAGTCAATCTATTCAGTTTATGGCTTTCTTTTTTTTTCTAACTTCAAACCAAAGGTGTTTTAATTCCCATAGAAAAGTATTAACAAACAATGGTGACTAACTTCATTCTTATAATTAGCCTTTTGTGGTTGCAAAATGTCTTCACATGCTTTGTTTTTTTACTTGGTCCCATGACAGTTCTTTAAGGTCACTGGGACCTGGACTCCCACTTCTATTTGATGCCTGAGGAAACTGACCATCCAAAGCAAAGTAGGCTACCCGAGATCATGTGGCTGTTAAGTGGTGGGTCTGGGATAGGGCTCATCTTTCAACCAAAAATAATTATTCTTAATTAATGGAGTACAATTTGCAGTGATTTGGTACTTGCTTTGTAGACATACAAAGTTTATAAAGTCTCAGAAATTTGAGGATGCAGTGGGAACTCACCTTTGGAATGGGGTGGAAATGGGCTGAGACCTCCACGAATAGGTGGCTGTTTACAAACTCAGACCCATAATGCTTCCTCCCCTGAAGAGGTTTCCTTTCCTGCTCCTACTGGGATATACTGGGACCTGACTGGCTCAGTCTCCCTCCTTTAGTTTTTCAAATCTGTATATGACAATCTTAGGCAGCAAAATATATTTCAGGTGGTGTGGTGGTTCATTCCTGTAATCTCAGCACTTTGGGAGGCCCAGGTGGGCAGATTACTTGAGGTCAGGAGTTCAAGACCAGCCTGGCCAACATGGTGAAACCCTGTCTCTACTAAAAATACAAAAATTAGCCAGGTGTGGTGGCACATACCTGTAATCCCAGCTACTTGGGAGGTTGAGGCAGGAGAATCACTTGAACCTGGGAGGCGGAGGTTGCAGTGAGCCAAGATCACACCACTGCACTCCAGCCTGGATGACAGATAGGGACTCCATCTCAAAAAAAAAAAAAAAAAAAAGCTTCAGGTCAAAGGCTGGGTTAGGTTATTTGCCAGACAAACAATAATGACAAATAACCTTGGAAAAGAAAGTATGTTAATATCTCTTGTTCATGATGTCAGGGCAAGAACACAAGCCCTAGGGGCCGACAGCCTGGCTTGCCCCCGGCCCTGCTGGTATTTGCAGAACGAACTCAGGCAACTCACTTTGCTGTGCCAATCCTGTTTCCTCACCTATAAAATAGGGCTGTACCTTCCTATTCTATTGTATTCTTATGACTATTAAATGAGATTTCATGGGAAATAATACTGATAAGCAGAGTTGCTTAATTGATGCAGGTTCTCCCTGTACTTTACAGACTTGGCTCTTGAATATCTCTCATTGCCTCCGAAAGCCAAATACATAGTTGCTCACTGCTGAAATGATGAGGTCCCTATGTTCTGCTCACCTTGCCTGAGGACACGTGCAGTTTTTCCTTCCCCTGATAGGCGGCCTCAGCAGCCTATCAGTGCAGGGGCACCTTTTCCTGGGGTGCACACAGTCGGAGAGTAGCCAACCTTCAAAAATAATTATTGAATAAAAGAACAGAGATGGCCTGAGTGTTAATTCATAACACAGGACCCCCCTCAAGTGGGCTCTGTAACATGATGATTTTATTTATATTTTGTTGAGGGCCAACAAGGAATATGAGTGTCATTTAAGCCTAATCCAACTTAGAGGTCACTATTTCCTACATCCTCAGCTGCGAGTTTAGAGACCATATTGGGTGGCAGCAAAAGAGCAGTTTCAACCTGGGCCTCAGTGAAATGCTGAAGAAGGAAGTAGAGTCAAGAAGGTTGTCTTCTTTAAACTTTAAAAAGGCAGGAAACAATGGCCCTGCTCAGAGAAAAGATGGCTACATTTAGTACATCCAGGGCTTCCTTCCTATTGACCCAATTTTTCAAGGGTGTATCAATGCTTGATACTCCCAATAACACTGTGAGCTTTTCATCCCATCAACTACTTGCACATTCAACAAATAACTATTCAGCACCTCTTATATGCCAGGCACTGTGCTAAGTGTTGGTGTGCAGTGCCCGACACTTAAAGAAAGGCACTTCAAGGTCTTTGAATTCAACTATTCAGTCTCTACTTGAATAGCTTTATTAAATCATTTTTCAGTCTCCAAAAATTAATGGTACATCATTAAAAACCTCCAACAAAGACCTATCCCTTTGGTGAAGAAGAGGCAGGTCTCTCTGGCTGCTCTGAAATGAGAAAGTCTTTCTTGTACAGAGCCCATTTAGGCCTCTGGTCCTAGCTCCACCCCTCTGGAGCCACAGAGAATAGGTTTAATCCCTCTCCATCTGCTATTCTTTCAAAACTGTGAAGACAGTTATCGCTTCTCCCTGAGTCTTTGCTTCTCAAAGCCAGCATTCCCAAATCTTTCTGCAGTACCACACACATCATGGTCCCCTCTGCATTCTCATCACAGTCCTTCTAATCCCCAAGAATGGTGGACAAAGAGGAAGGAATGACTGTCTACTTTGGAAACCAGGCATGATGATAATACTCTGAAATTTCTGGCAACCACATGAAGGAGAATAGGCACAGCCAGGGTCTGAAGATATCTAACATATATCAAATGCAGAATTTGGAGCAAATTAAGCGGATATTAACTGCAAGGAGATGGAATAAAAATAGGAGCATTTAGACAGACCTTCAGGAAAGTTTCCCACCATGAGCCTGGACTGTGCCAAACCCCAAGCATTTGGAAAACAGCTTGAGATGTTCAGCAAGTCCCAAATGCAAGCATTTGGGGATGGTTTGCGCTGTCTTAATTGTCCTTGTTTCCACTAGAGTAGCTTGACAAGGCACTCATTTGCTGAATTTCTTCCAGATAAAGAGTGGTTTCTTATTCGATACAGTTAGAGCCTCTCCCCCCGCCCTTTTTTTTTCCTCTTCTTTCTTTCCCCTTTTCTTTGTTGTTGGCCAAAGCTCTTCCCAGGAGACCACAGATTTCTCTCAATGAGGACTGTTTTCATTATCAGGTATGATGAGCATATTGAGGAAGTTGATTTATATTCAGTTAGAAGTTTCTCTTTAAGAGAAGAAAAGTGATCATCTCTCCTCTTAAAGTAGCTGGCACTTGTGCTGCAAATGTATTAAACGTTTCCAGATTAAATTCCAGCAGAGTACAGTCTATCTTTGTACAGGGATAATGGACTACAGTGTTTAGACAGACCCCTGCTTTCTGCCATGGAGGAGAAGGTTCAGGTATAATGCACAGAGACAAAAGGCTGCAGCAACCCAAACAGAAGTGCTGAGAACTGGCTGATACACCAGAGTCATCCAAAATGCCCTGGAGACTAAGGTGAGGAGGCTGCACTGAGCTAAGGTAGCACTCACCTTCCCAGGATCAAAAGGTAATATGCAGCAAAAAAGATCGGACATTCAGTTTGGCCAGGCCATGCTCTCAGGACATTTGGTGTGAACATACTAGTGGCGGAACACCAAGCCCAGTGGCAATGCATCCACATGACACAACCCCTATGAGACGAGAAAAGTTCTGGGGATACAGTTGGGAGATAGTGGAGAGGTCAATGATGGAAGACTGGTCTTTTCTTTTGACAAATTGGGGGTTGTTTTTAAGCAGAAAGAGGACAGCCCCAAATTTGCCAGTGCTCATTATGCATATTGCTCACTCATGAAGAACTGAGATCCAAGTAAACTTAAAATCATCTTGTCCTTCAACCTACTGATATTCGCAGGCTAACTCAATCACAGGGCGGTCTATCAGACCTTGCAGGCTGTCTACCGAATATCCTTTCTTGTATCATCTTGATAAGAGAACCCTGATTTTGTTAGGGGTGGGTGTAATTGACTTACTTGTGTCAGTTTCCACGCTATACTTTTCAGCATTCCATGCAAGAAGGACTAGCTTTGGAGTACAGTGTTAGCTAAGGAGGTATAAGCAGAAATCTGTGCGGATTTCCAGTAAAGTTTTCTTTTTTCAGGTGAGGGTTGAAACCATCTTGCTCCCTTTTTTATCTTCCTGTTTTAAATATGACTGTGAGGCTAGAATTTAGCAGCCATTTTGTGACAACGAGGATGACAGCCATGCGCTGAGATGGGGGAGCAGAAAAATGGAAGGAGCCTGAGACTTGATGGGTCTCCAGCAGCAGACCTAGACTACCTCCTTCTGCATCCACCAGTCCCCTCACCCACCCACCCCTTCTACATCCACCAGTCCCCTCACCCACCCACCCCACACATATACACACACTTCTCCACCTCAGGAAACGCAACCATCATCTTCCCCAAAGCTCTAGGAGTCATCCTTGATTTTCCCGTTTCTCTTACCATCCCCTCTACTCTTGTATATTCCATCTATTACCAAATTCTATCAATTCTACCAGCAAAATAGATCTAAAATTCATCTCCTTTTCATGTCTGCTGCTGCTTCTGCAGTGAACTCTTTGACACCTGGAATGTTGCAAGAGTCTCTTACTGAGTCTCTCCACAAGGGCTTGGCTTCCTGCAGTTACCTCTACACAACAGCAGAAGTGCTTTCCCAAAACAGGCCTGATGGCATCACTCCTCACTCCCCACTTAACACCCTTCTGGCTTTCCACTGCATTGAGTTTCTCATGAAAGCCCTGAGGCCCTGCATTGCAGGGAAAAGAAAGAGAGATCAGAGTGTTACTGTGTCTATGTAGAAAAGGAAGACATAAGAAACTCCATTTTGATCTATACCCTGAACAATTGTTTTGCCTTGAGATGCTGTTAATCTGTAACTTTAGCCCCAACCTTGTGCTCACAGAAACATGCGTTGTATGGAATCAAGGTTTAAGGGATCTAGGGCTGTGCAGGATGCGCCTTGTTAACAATATGTTTGCAGGCAGTATGCTTGGTAAAAGTCATCGCCATTCTCCATTCTCGATTAACCAGGGGCACAATGCACTGCAGAAAGCCGCAGGGACCTCTGCCCAGGAAAACCAGGTATTGTCCATGGTTTCTCCCCATGTGATGGTCTGAAATATGGCCTCGTGAGATGAGAGACCTGACCGTTCCCCAGCCCGACATCCGTGAAGGGTCTGTGTTGAGGTGGATTAGTAAAAGAGGAAAGCCTCTTGCAGTTGAGATAGACGAAGGCCACTGTCTCCTGCCTGCCCCTGGGAACTGAATGTCTTGGTATAAAACCCGATTGTACATTTGTTCAATTCTGAGATAGGAGAAAAAACACACTATGGCAGGAGGCGAGACATGTTGGCAGCAATGCTGCTTTGTTATTCTTTACTCCACTGAGATGTTTGGGCGGAAAGAAACATAAATCTGGCCTACATGCACATCCAGGCATAGTACCTTCCCTTGAACTTATTTGTGACACAGATTCCTTTGCTCACATGTTTTCTTGCTGACCTTCTCCCAACTATCACCCTGTTCTCCTGCTGCATTCCCGTTGCTGAGATAGTGAAAATAATAATAACTGAGGGAACTCAGAGACCGGGGCCAGTGCAGGTCCTCCGTATGCTGAACGCCAGTCTCCTGGGCCCACTGTTCTTTCTCTATACTTTGTCTCTGTGTCTTATTTCTTTTCTCAGTCTCTCGTCCCCCCTGATGGGAATACCCACAGGTGTGGAGGGGCAGGCCACCCCTTCACTGCATTACCTGGCTCCTGGCCACCTCTCCAACTTCTCTCACCACCCTTCCCTCTTCTTCCAGTGGCTCAAAACCACTCATTCTCACTCGAAATGTTCCTGCCTTCAGTTCAGCTCTATTTCATCCTTCAGGTCTTAGCTTAAGTATCATGAAAATTTTTCTGACCACCGTGTCTAGAGGAAATTACCCTGCTGTTGCTCTCAATCCTGACCCACTCCCTTCTTAACACTTTTACAACTTGCAATGATTGAATTGGCTTGCTTACCTGTAGTTATTTGGTTTCGGACAACAGACTCCACTAAGACAGGGTCCGCATCTTTTTTGTTATTTTTTATTCCTAGTGCCTAGCTTACTGCCTGGGACATAGTTAGAGCTCAGTAAATATTTGTGAAATTAATGGCGAATGAATTTTATTTGGATATGATATGATGCAGTATATGAAATTTTTCACTTGATAGAAGTATAATATGGAAATTTCTATCACAATGTTTATTTTAAGCTACTGTTTAGAAATCATATATAACATATACTTTTAAGCTCATTTATTTTTACTTTCTCACTTTTCAGTTGATGCTTATGTCAGAAAACATAATTTGAGTCATGAATGCATATTAAGACATAGATTGAAATTTAACTTTATGGCATCAAAATACTTTCCTGACCTTGAAATATCCTTTTTTTCATAATATTCTTATAAAATACTTTCTGACCATGAAATATTATTTTTCATATAATTCTTACAAAAACTAGATTCGCTTAATATTTCTATTTCTAAATGGAAAGATCAGAAAGACTTTTTCAGATTGGAATACAAATTCCAAAGAAACTACTTCTTTGGAAATCACACATGGGTGTTGTAAATAAACTTATTCCTGGGTAACAGCATGGTCTGTGGAATTAGAAAACCTGGATTCAGGCCGGGCATGGTGGCTGAGGCCTGCAATCCCAGCACTTCGGGAAGCCGAGACGGGCGGGTCACAAGGTCAGGAGATCGAGACCATCCTGGCTAACACGGTGAAACCCCGTCTCTACTAAAAATACAAAAAATTAGCCAGGCATGGTGGTGAGCACCTGTAGTCCCAGCTACTTGGGAGGCTGAGGTAGGAGAATGGCGTGAACCCAGGAGGCGGAGGTTGCAGTGAGCCGAGATCGCACCACTGCACTCCAGCCTGGGCAGCAGAGCGAGACTCCATCTCAAAAAAGTAAAATAAAATAAAGAAAAAAAAGAAAACCTGGATTCATATCCAGTTTTTGACAGTCATTTACTATCTGTGTAACATAGAGCAAACTGTGTGCCTTATTTGTGCCTTAACTTTCTCAGCAGTACTATCGGGATAGTAGTAACATCCATCGGAGAGTTGTGTAATGTTTCAATGAGAAAATGCATTGTAAACATGTGTCAAAGTACTTGGAATATAGCAAACACCACCTAATTTTAGATATTGTATGAGTTTCCTAGAGCTGCCTTAATGAAGTACAACAGACTGGAGGCCTGAACAACAGAATTTAATTTTCTCACAGTTTGAAGGCCAGAAGGACTCGATCAAGGTGCCGACAGGCTTGGTTTCTCCTGAGGCCTCTCTCCTTGGCTTGTAGATAGCTGCCTGCTCCCTGTGTCCTCACATGGTCCTCCCTTCCTGCCCTCTGTACTTGTGCCTAAATTTCCTCTTTTATTTTTTGAGACACGGTCTCACTCTGTTGCCCAGGCTGGAGTGCAGTGACGCAATCACGGCTCACTGCAGCCTCTACTTCCCAGGCTCAAGTGATCCTCCCACCTCAGCCTCTCAAGTAGGTGTGACTTCAGGCATGCATCACCATGCCTGGCTAATTTTTTTTTTTTTTTTTTTTCGGTAGAGACAAGTTTTGTCATATTGCCCTGGCTAGTCTTGAACTCCTGGGCTTAAATGATCCTCCTGCCTTGGCCTTCCAAAGTGCTGGGACTATAGGTGTGAGTCACTGTGCCCAGCTTGCATTTCTTCTTATAAGGACACCAGTCCTATTGGATTAGGACCCACCTAATAACTTCACTTTAGTTTAATTACCTCTTTAAAAACCCTATCTTCAAATGCAGTCACATCATGAGGTATTAGGGGCTAGGACTTCAGCATATTACTTTTAGGGGACACAATTCAGCCGTTAACACTATTAATATCATTCCCCCAGATCGTGTGTAGAGTTTCTTTCTTCAACACTGGTTTTTGAAATCCTGCAGACTTTTTAATGAGAATTTGAAGAGATGAACGTCATCAAATCTGGTAACTGGCATATTGTGAGGGAAACTTGCGGGGTGCTTGTCTTTTTTATGCTCGTTATCGGCTTGTTTTTAACGTGAGTGTTCCTTATACTTCCTGGTTTTAGCAAATAATTTACTAAGGTCTACTTAAATTGTGTGAGACTAAGAATAAACACAACTGTAAACTGTGTATGATGGTCAGAACCACCCTGGAAGTGGACGGTGAGCTGAGCAGAGTGTGGGTGAAGGTGAAGCCGTAGCCATCCTTCCCCGATGCTCACCAGCCTGCACCCTCCAGGGATTCTCAACCTCTGTGTAGACACTCTGACCCATTCCAATAAAAGAGAAAGTACTTCAAAAGTTATATTGCCAATTTTTAAAAAGTAAAAGTGGAAACAGATCTTCAGACCCACCTTTAATGGTATAGGCACACTGAAACACCAACACCAAACTCTGATGTTTTACTCTCAACCTTTGAGAGATGCAAATCTAAGCTAAGACTTCTCTCCAGCAACAGAATAACTGTTTGTAATATATACTTGAAAGTGAAGCATAGACAGTGTATTGAAATTCCTGGGCTTGAATCTTGCCATGTATTAGCTATTGGGTTGGTGCAAAAGTAATTGTGGTTTTTGGCATTAAACGTAATGGAAATTGGGGCAAAAACAGGTAATTAAAAGTAATATTTGATGGTAAGCACATCATTTACCCTCTCTGAGTCTCAGTTTCCTATACTATAAAATTGGGAAAATAATGTATATTTCTCTTCTATCTCACTGAACTCTTATGAGGAGGAAGAGATATAATAAAGCCCTTAGAAAACTATAATCAATGAAAATCAATACAACAGTCAATACAAATCAATGCTGATAGTGAACACTTATATGGTCCTTACTCTGCTAGGTGCCATTCTAAGAATTTCATATGCATGGGTTCATTTGATCCTCAAAACAACTCTATGAAGTAGGTACTGTCATTAGCCCTCATATGGCTGTTGAATTAGATACACAAATTTTAAGTTGGCTTTTAAATTCCTATAGACTTGGGCTTCTCAAACTTCATTGTACATACGAGTCCCCTGGGGATCTTGTTGAAAAATGCAGAGTCTTATTTAGTAGATCTGGGGAGGGGCTAGAGATCTTGCATTTCTAACATGTTCTCAAGTTATCAGATTTAAAGATGAGTTGTATGCATTTTTCTTTTGCACACACGAAAAGCAAATATTCTAAATTTGCTGGTTCTGTGTTAAATGGCTGTCAGTAACATGCTCATTAGTGATGTGTGTGTGTCGAGGGGTGTTTGTATGTATGTGTTTAAACAATCTAACATTGAGTGTTTTCAGCACATGAAAAGATGCTCAATATCACTAGCCGTCAGGGAAATGCAAATCAAAGCCACAGTGAGATACTACTTCACACCCATTAGGATGGCTATAATAAAAGAAAATAAAACAAGTGTTGGTGAGGATGTGGAGAAACTGGAACTCTCATACATTGCTGGGGACATATAAAATGGTGCAGTTACTGTGGAAAACAGATTGGACATTCCTTAGTAAGTTAAACACAGAATTGCCATATGCTCCAGCAATTCCACTTGTAGATATACACCCAAGAGAAATGAAAACATGTTCACACAAAACCTTATACATGAATATTCCTAATATCTATATTGCAATTGCCAAAAGATGAAAACAACTCAAATATCCGTCAATTGATAAATAGATAAACAGAAGTGATATATCCCTACAATGGAAAATTAGCCATAAGAGAATGAAGTACTGATACATGCTACAACATATATGAACATTGAAAACATTATGCCATGTGAAAGAAGCCAGATACAATAGGCCACATATTGTATGATTCCATCTATATGAAATATCAACAATAGGCAAACTCATAAAACAGGCTGGGCATGGTGGCTCATGCCTGTTTTTATTTTTTAAAAAGTACAGGTGTTTCTGGTCAACTATTCCCTAATCCAAGGTTACAACTTACTCCTATGTTTTCTTCTAAGAATTTTATAGTTTTAGCTCCCACTTTTAGGTCTATGATTCACTTTGAGTTAAGTTTTGTATATGCGGTGAGATAGGTGCCCAACTTAACATTTTTGCAGCTGGATTACCAGTTGTCCCAGCCCATTTGTTGAGAAGACTAGTCTTTCCACATTGAATTGTCTTGGTACCCTTGTTATGATGGTTAAATATTATGTGTCACTTGGCTAGGCTATGGAACCCAGTCATTTGTGAAGGTATTTTGTAGATGTGGTTAACATCTACACTTGATTGGCTTTAAGAAAAAGAGATAACCCTGCATAATGTGAGTCATCCTCATCCAATCGGTGAAGGCCTTCAGAGCAAAAATGGAGGTTTCCCTGAGAAGAAGGAATTTTGCCTCAAGACAGTTATGCAGAAATTCTGTCTGTATTTTGCCTGCTTGCCTGCCCTACAATTTTCACACTCAAAACTGCAATATCAACTTTTGCCTACTTTGCATGCCTTTTCTTTCTTTTCTTGCCTAATTGCCCTGACCAGAACTTCCCATACAATGTCAAATACAAGTGGCAAGAGTGGACATGCCTGTCTTATTCCTGATCTTAGAGGAAAAGCTTTTAATCTCTTACCATTACATATGATTTAGCTGTGTTTCTTTTTGTAAATTCTCTTCATCAGGTTGAGGAATTTCCATCCTATTCCTAATTTTTTTAGTGTTTTTATAATGAAATGCTGTTGGATTTTGTCAAATGCCCTTTCCACATCTATTGAAATAGTCATGTGGTTTTTGCCTCATTTTACTGACTTAGTGTATAAGAGAGGTTGATTTTTATATGTTGAACCACTCTTGAGTTCCTGGGATAAATTCCACTTGGTCATGGTATATAATTCTTTTTATATTTGCTAGAAACATACACGTACCCTAAAAACCACTGTATTAAAAGCATTTAGCAATAAACCAACCAAATAAAAAAGAAACAAAAATAAAGTCCCTCAGATAACTTTGTAAATTGAAGATGTTTTTGTAATTTTAAGAAATTATTAAGTTTGGAATATTGTCAGATACAGTACATCTGAATTGACCAAAAATGACTAGGTCATTCTGATGAATCAAACTTTATTAGACAAGCAGGATTCAATATGGCTTATATAACATCTTTGAATTTCTGCCATAATTTCAAATATTACATTCTTTTCCCCATTGCCTGCACTTCCATTTGCTGCCTCCAAATCCCTGTGGGGTAGGGGCTATTAGGGATAGTGCAGAGTTGGTGGGCATGGCATATACTCTGGATTACCCTAAAAATGCAGCATTTTAGGGAAGGTAAGTCCAGCAAGTAGAGGCAAGCGCGAGCCAGGCATTATGTGTGTCTGGTTAACTCAGCTGTTAATCATGCGGACTTGTAGGCTGTGGGGTCAGAAATCCCTTAAATCACTCAATTTTTGGCCTTAAACCCAGCCACTTCAGCACAGAAATCATTGCTCATTTTCACTTCGGATTACCAGTTGCTAATTAGCTTCCACAATTGTCTTAGATGTGCAATTGTATTCTTGTGGCATTTTTGGTAAGGAGATCCATTTATTTGGAGTAGAATAGCTAAATGTACAGAGAAATGGAGGGCTGTTATAGAACCTTGGTCAAGTGTGAAGGACTTCAAAGTGCATGTAAAATTCACTTAATCTGTGCCCTTTAAATGTGTTTCAAAGGAGATGACTTCTCAACACTTCCATCTTTTCTCACTGTCCCCATTAGCATTATAGGTCTCTCTACCAAGAAGTCTTCCTTAAGTCTGACCAGCCTTTCTCTCTTGTTCTATCATCAGTGGAGATGGAGAACAGCTGCTCTATTTTATGGCCTCACTGTTACTTTAATTTATATCTGCTGTAAACAGGATTGCTTAAAACTTAATAGAACATTTCAGTTAGGCATGTAGAAAGGACCCTCTGTCTTGCCCCAGTCATTCCCAATAGATGTAGTTTATTGCCTTAATTTATGATTTTGTTTCTGTTGTTGTTGCCTTTTTTTGGTAAATAGCATGATTTTATTTTTATGACCATATTCTTCCTAGGAATTCTCTGGGCACATGGTGTTTCAAAATCTTGCTAATTTAAAGACCCATTTCACAGACTGAGAGATGATCTTGATAAGATAATAAAATGAAAGTTTAAGGAATACCTCATGGTCTCAAGGTTGGCAAAGACTCAAGCATTGCTATTGCAGCTTCTCAGAAGTGATGTGGATGGAGCTCATAGATAAAGGGTCTGTAGCTAGATCTGTGTATCTAACATTACTGCTGGTATTTTACACAAGTGAGAAATATCTAAGGGGAAAATCCTGGCATGAAGTGGAGTGCTTCTTTCCCTTTCGATGCCTTTCTGCTTTGGCCAAAGAATGGAGAAGTCTTTTGTAAGGGAAGACTGGTAGCTTCTACCCACTGATGGCACTGACCTGTGACCCAGAGAGCAAGGATTAAAAATGTAGAAATAGGCATATGATTTCTCAGAGAAAGTTGCTTAAAGCTTAAGCCATGGGGTTAGACTTTTTCCTGCCCTGTGGATTTATGGCCTCACATGTGGATGGGAGAAATGCAACAGCAGGTCACCACTGGGTGAACCAGCAACCTCTGCTGTGGGCTGCAACTACTTACCCTCTCAAGGATGCAAATGAGGTTACTCCCTTGTGTAATCATGTTTTCACTCCAACCCATTGCCTCCTTGGTGGGCTTAGAGGAATTCCTTCACTGATACAGACAACCTCAAAGCTGACCAGGATTGTTTTCAGGGATTTTACAAGTAGGGGAGAAGAGCTCAGAGGTAGGGATTTCAGTTTCCATTGTTAATTCAACATCCTTTCTTCCTGGAAGTGGAATCAATTACATATTCTCTAGCAGAATCAACTCTTTTTTTAAATAGCAGGTGATAAGGATCTAGGGACCATTCTAAGGGATTTCTCTTTTCCATGATCAAATTCTTTAGAAACCATGAATTCTTCTGACAGTCTGTTATTTCACAAAGGGACTTTCTAAAAATTGGCCTACGTTGGTAGCAGATTTGCACTATTGTCAAAAACTACCCCCATGTGCTGTGCTTAACTGTTTGGGTCCTAATCCAAGCTCTACCACTCCTATCTGTGACTTCGGGTAAATTACTTAACCTCCCTAGGCCTCAGAATAACAATATCTACCTACATGCACCTGAATCTCTTAGAACAATGCAGCAGACAGTGAGTGCTTAAACTAACCTTGGCCATGATGACAATGGTGGTGGTGGTGGAGATGATGTGCTAGGTGCTTGACTAGTCTCTTTAGATATAAGCGAATCCTCACAAGTATCCATTTCCCTTTTACAGATGAAAGAGCAAGTCTCAGAGGGAATAATCAGCCCAAGGCCATAAAGTTAATAGGTGGCAGGGCAGGCATTCAAGCCCTGGTCTTTCTAATCCGGCCTGGAGCTCTTTATTGCACCACCAGGTTACTGGCCCCAGACATCAGCAATATGCATTAGGAAAGTTCTTTATAATTTAGAATCATTTCACAAACATTACTTGTCATTGTTTAGCCTTTCCTTGAATCTATAGGTTTTGATTACCAGCATCACAATGAACAGATGAGAACATGCGTTCAGATAGGATGAAGCTGGCTTGAGTTTACCCACCTAACAAGTGTGGACAGGGACCTGGCTCAGCCTAGGTTACTCCGCCTGTGGAATGAATGCTTTCTATAGTCCACCATGGCTTTCAGTGTCCAATCTGAATTCCTTTCCTTGTCCATCAAGACTGCCATCTGTTCCCTCAATGCATGCTTTGGTTTTTCATTAAAACTCCGATCAGGAGTCCCTTCTCAGCTGGTCAGCTCACCAGGTGTTCTACTTGGATCCTCTGCCCTTGCTATGCTGTTTTCACCATGGTCTTGACAAGTTTTTCTTCATAACTGACCTTCAAGGAAGATCCTGTGACTGCCTAGGTCACGGGGCTGAGATTTGACCCAGCTGGATGCAGAGACCCTCCAAGCACTTCCCTACACTGCTGTGTTCTCAGAATCACTGCTCCCTTAGCCCTGATGAAGGAACCTTTAGAAGGCCTGCTTAGTGGCTCTGAGCTCTCTACAGGAGAAAAGACCATTTCTGAGATAACCAGTATTTGACTGAAGTAGCAGTGGTTCTTAACAAGAGCTCCTTAAAGTTGTCTTCAAAGTAAGCCAATAAGCAGACACAGCTGTTGGTGAGAACAGGTATAATGCATAAGTGTCTCAGTTCTGAAGAAAACAGGTGGTTTACATGACTAGCTTAGAAAAGAGTGGACTGGGTTGTATTTGAATGTTGAAATTACAAAGTCAAGAGACTATACCCTGTATCATAGAAGGGCAATACATTTTTATTGAGGATAGTTATCAAATCTTTATTGAGTACCATCTAAATGTTGTAAACTCTGCACTGGGCACCATGGATATAGTAGTGAATAAGACGGACAAAATCCCTGTCCTTGTGAAGCTACATCCTACTAGAAGAGCTAGACTAAAAATAAATGCATAATATTATATTTGATAGTAATAAATACTATTCTCCAGAAAAATAAAATGTGGTAAGGAGATAGAGATTGAGTGTGTGTCAGGGGTAGGTATCATGGTGACTGTTTTTATAGGAAATGGAAGTATCTCTGGGGAGATGATTTTAAAGGTAAGAAGGAGCTGGCAATGCAGAGATCTGGGGGAAAACATTCTGGATTGCAGGCGTAGTAAGAGGAAATCTCCTGAGCGGAAAGGAACTGGGTGTGTTCATTAAATAGCAAGAAGTCATTCTATATGTTAAGTTCCCTTAAGAAAGTAGTGTAATTTCTCTGACTCTCATTTTCCTTACCTACATAAAACTCAGATGTCAACTGTGGCCTCTTCCGCTCTCAAATTAGGGAAATATTGCACTAATGCATCTCCCCAACCATCACCCTCACTACAATCCTGTAGCCAATAAAAGTCTGGCTGGGCGAGGTGACTAGCGCCTGTAATCCTAGCACTTTGAGAAGCCCAAGCAGGCAGATCACTTGAGGTCAGGGGTTCGAGACCAGCCTGGTGAATGTGGTGAAGCCCTGTCTCTACTAAAAATACAAAAATCAGCTGGGAGTGGTGGTGCGCACCTGTAATCCCAGCTGCTCGAGAGGCTGAGGAAGGACAATTGTTTGAACCCGGGAGGCAGGTGAAGGTTGCAGTGAGCTAAGATCGCACCACTGCACTCTAGCCTGGTGACAGGGTGAGACTCCGTCTCAAAAAAAAAAAAAAAAAAAAAAGGCCCAAACCCCTGCCTCTCAAAGATTTCCCAGTTCCCGATCCCATATATACAGTTTTGTCTCTTGAGGCTTTGACTGCAATGGGAAACCCAGACCCTTTTATAAGAACCACAGAAACCCCCTCCTAGGACTTGTGTGCATAGCAGATGAGCTGAAGATTTGGGGCTGAAGAGAGACCTGAGAGGAAAACAGCCAACCTGTACAGGAGGTACAGGGCTGACGGCTCCCATACAGCAGTGCTAGGAATTCTTTGGCTCTTTCTCAGGGCTAGCCTCTAACTTTCTGGCTCCCTCTCCTCTTCTTTTATTTCTCTCACCTTTTCCTTCCAATAACAAAACAACAACTTTTTCTCTTTTCTCCTGCCCCCATCTCTTTTGACATCACAAAATCTCAACCACCCCCAAAATATCTTTCAAAGTATTTTCTTGAACAAATACAGTGGCAACCCTCAACATAATTCTGGAGCCAGTTTTAGTAAAAGGTATTTTTCACATCTTTGCATTTCAATTGCAGGCAATTATATTGGCTTTTTTGGGTTATTGGAAGGATGACACAACTCTGTACTGGGCACCATGGATACAGTAGTGAATAAGACGGATAAAATCCCTGTCCTTGTGAAGCTTCATCCTACTAGAAGAGCTAGACTAAAAATAAATGCATAATATTATATTTGGTAGTAGTAAATACTATTCTCCAGAAAAATAAAATGTGGTAAGGAGATAGAGACAGGAGATGGACAAGCTTTAGTGGCATTACTGGCATACAGTAAATATTTGATTAACAGAGGTGAGGATAAGTGTGGTGACTGCAGTGGTAGTGGTTCTTATCAACCCACTACTTGTTTGAGGCCAGACAATTTTGCAGCTTAACTTAGAGGAGCTAAAGATATGAAGAACTAAGAAAGTTCTTGCCACAAAGAGGGAAACAGAATATTGCAGGTACACTGAAAGGCAAAATGAAACAAAACAAACACAAAATTCTGGAGACTGGAGGTAGGTCAAAGAGAATGGAGAAGAAAAGTGATAGATGCAAAGCTATGAAACAAAAATTTAAATAAGCTTTATAAGAATTCAGACCTAAGTCTGAAACCTGGTGGGTGAATGGCACTTACGATCTTTCCTGCACTGTGGAATACAAATTTGCAGAATGCAGTTGAAAGAGCACAAAATGACTTCTGGTTAAGGATCACGGTGTATAGGCATTAATTCTTACCCTCCCCTTCTTGAAAAATCTCAAACTAAAAACAGAAAAATATTTTAGTTGCCAATGAAATAAGGATACGACTGCAATCTTAAACCACAAACTATGTAGCAAACCTGCCAAATGCTGTGAAATCTGGACCAAAATGAGGAAGAACACTAAAAACTAACAACATATCCTCAGACCTTGGGCAAGAGGGACATTTCCCCAAAAGAAAGTGAGATTACCCTGAAATGCCATCCAGTGATTCTTCAAGGGAGGTAAGATCCAGGGGTACTGGGGCCATGGCAGAAGAGGACTCTTCCTTTAGGCTCAACTTGATACCACAGAACATGGCAGGCAGAAAAGCAGAGGAACCAGAGTGGTACCCGATTTTTATCCAATATTCATTCTCCTTGCTGTGGGAATGACCAAGGCAGAGAAAGTGGAGGAAAATTGCATTTTCCAAATTACCAACCTTTCCAATGACAAAAATTGCGGTGTGATATACAGTTCCAGAATAAGGAAAAGAGTAGATTTGGTGAGAGGCTATAGGAGGCAATATACTGTGTTCAAGTTTACTAACATCCCTCACTACTCCCCTTCCTCCATGGATGATTTTTCAGCAAGTATACAAGATGAATGACAATCTGAAAGAACCATCCCACAGACATGCTTTGAAATGAGAGAGAAAATAAAGAAGAAAGGAATGTAGGACAAAGATAAAGAACTACAAAAGAAATCATCTAAGAAAACAAAGAGTTTGGGTAGAGTTCCCCATAATCTCAAAGAAATTATAGGAGATAAGTGTAAATAAAAAATATTACAGAAAAAAAAAGCCATACTACAGCCAGGCGCAGTGGCTCATGCCTGTAATCCCAGCACTTTGGGAGGCCAAGGCGGGTGGATCACAAGATCTGGAGTTCGAGACCATCCTGACCAACATGGTGAAACGCCGTCTCTACTAAAAATACAAAAAATGAGCCGGGCATGGTGGCGTGTGCCTGTAGTCCCAGCTACTCGAGAGGCTGAGGCAGGTGAATTGCTTGAATCCAGGTGGCGGAGGTTACAGTGAGCCCAGATCGTGCCACTGCACTCCAGCCTGGCGACAGAGCAAGACTCCGTCAAAAAAAAAAAAAAAAAAGCCATACTACAAGCAACCGAAATTAGAATAAACCTAACTTAAAACAGACAGTACTTTTAATCATTCATTCATTCATTCGTTCATTCATTCATTTAACTAATTAGTGAATACCCCCTCCATGGCTGGAGTGCTTCTAGATGCTGGGAACTTAGCAGTGTCCAAGACAACATCTCTGCCTTCATGGAGCTTACAACCTAGGGTGGATGGGGGATAGTAAAAAGTAAAGAATAAATTTTGATAGTGCTATTAAAAAAAGTAAAACAGAACAACATAATAGAGTATGAAAGGTACTGGGTGACCATGAAAGTCTCTCTCACTGCAGGATATTTTATCTGAAACCTGTATAACATCATGAAAGATTCAGGCCTGCAAATATCTGGAGAGACATTCTATATACATATTATCATAAAAAAAAGATTATAAGGAAAAAGACATGAATGATAGGTAAGGAATATTCAACAAATATATAATTGGTGTTTGCAAAGAAGAAATGAACAAAAGAAACAGAAAATATGTTCAAGAAATAGGAAAAACAATCCCAGAACAAATGCTTAAATCTGCAGTGAGAGAATAATGCTCTAATGAAAACTTACTTGAGTGACCAATACCAGTACATAAAAATAATATGGATAACCAGCCCTGAATCTAGGCTGGTCTCATGGCTTGCTTTGACCCATAGCATGTGGTGAAAATTATTTCATGGCAGCCCTGAGCTTACAGCCCGAAGAGGCCTTGCATACTTTCACTCCCTTTCTCACAGCCCTGCTACCATTTTGTGAACAAGCCTGGGCCATCCTGCTGGAGTATGAGAGATCGCAGGGCCAAGTCACCCCCACTGTCCCTGCCAAGAGATAATCAACTACCACATGAGTGAGGTGATTCTAGGCCAGTCAAGCTCCAGTTGACCCATGTCCTAACTCATTCACCCAAGATCAGCCAAGCCATATCAGCAGGACCACCCCTACAGACCTGCAGGTCTGCAGCAATGATTAATGGTGTTTGTTTTCAGCCACAGTGTTTTGGGGGTGATTTATAAGTCAACACAAGCTAAGTATGATGAATGTCTAAATGTTTTTCACAATCTTTTTCTTGGCTTTAGAGAGATGTTAGAAAATAAAGTCTTCTGTGAAGAAAAATTTACCTGAAATCCAGCGTATCCAATTATATTTTAGTTTCTTTTTCTTCTGTTAAAGGAAACTTACATTTAATACCTTTTATTTAAAATCACATTTCATATGTCTAATGGCTGCTTTTATTATAAAAATGGATTCTATTTCATCAAAATTCTACCTTTTTATTTTCTAAACTGTATGGATGTATAAACAGATGTGCAGGACAATTTTTATCCAATGTTAATAGCTGCTCTTTCATTGGCAGCAAGAGTTTGTATAATTTTTCTGTTGCTCTTTGTAGTTTTCTGTGTGGCTTGAATTTATTGTAATGGGCATGTATCAACTTTGTAAAAACAGTTGAGTCATTCTTTTAAAAGAGCTCGACAGACAGAAAGGAAGTGCTCAGAAAAGGCTGCGTGCATGTTGAAAGGATGTAAGAGCAACATGGGATCCTGGATTGGCTCCTGTGTCAGAAAATGGACATTAGTGGAAAAACTTGCAAAATTTGAATAAGATCTTTGATTATTAGTATTGGGTTAATGTTAAAGCAGATTTGATCATTGTACTGTGGTGGGTCATGAAAGATGCTCATAATAGAAGTTGAGTGAAGGGTGAGAGGGAACTCTCTATACTATTTTGGCAACTGAGTCTAAAATTATTTCAAAATATAGTTGAAAAGAAGGGATAAGACTGTACTTAATTGTATAAATAAAAAGTCCCACTTTGATCTATCTTACTTTTGAAATGGAAAACCTATCATTCTTTGTTAAAGAAAGGGGGAACAGTTAAAAGATAGCCAGTAACTAATGCACATAGTAAATAAAAATTGCTATTAAGTATAAGCTGACTTCGATTCATAGTTTTAGAGTTTCAGGATATTCTGGGAAAGAAATTTGCTGA
Source organism: Homo sapiens (assembly GCF_000001405.40). NCBI lineage: Eukaryota > Metazoa > Chordata > Mammalia > Primates > Hominidae > Homo > Homo sapiens. The sequence continues at coordinate 37,765,420 of NC_000002.12, forward strand.
TGTAAATGTATAATGTCAGCAATATACTATCACTGCTGTTATTAATATTTTGATAATGTTTGGTCTGTCAAGGACCAAAGCAATTCTGTATTCTATACAAGCAGCTTGTATACATTTTATACTTCTAAAGTAATTATTAATATATTTTCAGTTTAATTTAAAGATTGTTATTTACTTTGACCAGAGGAATAATTTAGGAATCAGAACAGTAGTTTACATCTCCAAGTTAGCAAAATGTGACAGATACATAATCTGTATTGGAAGTGATTTAAGCCTGGTATTTGTGATTCATCAAAGGAAAGCCCATTTGGTCTAGGTTGAAATAGTTTCCTTAGATGAGGAGTACTCTCCTTTTTATCAGTTATAGTATTCTTCACATCCATTTTGGTTCCAGGACTAAATGACATCCACGCCACACCGTGTATCAAAACACTCTATAACACATTTTTAAAAACCTCTAATACATTCTGATTGTTTTATAAAAGAGCTATCTTTTAAAAGAGCAGACCAAGTTCATGACAGAGAAGTTCTCTGGTGCATTCTGAAGCAAATAGAAAGAAAACAACAAAAATCTTAGAAAACTCGTAACTGACAAAATCAACTGCATTTGTTTTAGTTTGGAAACAGCACCAGCACCAGTTTCTTTCTTCTAAAAGAGTAAGAATTCACAGCAAGAATATTATTTTTGTTTACAAGAATTGTGTCTGAACCCTCTAAAATACGACTGTCAAGTCAAATGTCAAGAATGTTAATTAGTGAAAGGAAGGGGAGGAGTTGACGGGAGGCAGGCCGTCAGCACCAGCTCACTCTGTAAACAGAGCTGTGTCTTGAATTCCACAGCAATGGCATGGAGGCATTCTTTGAAAAGAGGAGATAATAGATGATGAAGTATCTAGCAAAAAAGATATGAAAAGCTTCTGTCCAAACACTGTTTATCAAACAAATATACTCTGATTGTAAACTGCCTAAAACTTGAGTTTCAGTTTGTTTAGCTCACCAGCATGTGAGTGTGTATATTCACTATTTGAGTTTTATTTCAGTTCTTCTCATTGAGGTCATTCCTTGTTTGAATTAGCTCATGCCCTCTGTTCAGAGGATCTCTTCAAAGTAGATTACAAGATTCAGAGATATTTTTTAAGTCCATTGATAAGTTCTCCAATTCTAAATATTCCACTGTTTAACCATCGGCCCATTAGCCCAGGCACAAAACAGGGAAGAAAGATACACCCGCATTAAAAACCAACAGGTTTTTTATTTCCTCAATGCTCCTGTGTCTTACCCTATTTAGAAATCATATGGCATATGCAAATAGATGTGGATAGGTTTGACAATTAAGTTATTATTTTATTTTTCTTTTAGACCTAGAGTTTAACCAAAACCATCGCTTCCATGCAACATCGCCCCAAATTCAACAGAGTGGGACTTGGCAGACAAGTTTTAATTATAGACCTTGCATCTATCTTGTGTCCATCAATATCATGGTTAACTTGGAAGTTAAAGAGGCATTTTGCAACATCACAGGTCTCTTCTCAACTCATTTAAAATTAATCCCAGTTAAAATAAAAAACACAAATCAAACAGGGCATTTTTCATATTCATTTTGTAGGTGCACTGTCAGAATTATAAATCAGCTTTGCCTAAGGAGTAAAATGAAACACACCCAAATGTAGTATTTTTAGGAAAAAATGTCTGGAAATGAGTGCATATGTTACTATGAATTTTTGTTAAAGATAAGCAAAACTCTAATATGCTAAAATTTATTGACTGGACAAAAATCTCCTCCACAGATGCAATTATTCACATACTCATTGGTCAAATATTTAGTGCATGCCTTGAGGATACACCACAAATCAACCCCTTCTCTGCTCCTCTTCCCCAGTCTCCAAAATCTACCTCCTACCTCCAACCCCACACTCACATGGAATTGCAAATAGCTTGATTGGATAAGCATGGACATCAGAGAAAACTCTCTGATACATTTTTGACACTTGCTAATAAAAGTATGTTGGGTGTTTTTCTTTCTACCTAAGGATGTTCCACCCATCATGGAGGGAAAATGGGGCTAAGAGAAGCCTGCCTCAGCTGGTGGGGTCATATCCACTCACAGATGTTAAGGAGTCTCCATGACAATGAGGACTTGAGGTGGGGAAGAAGAGACCCAGATATCTGCTTTGCCTTCTGTTCAAAAGCCAAGTGTCTGATTTTTCAAGTCTAGGGCTTTAAAACAAAAATCTCATTTGCAACATGCAGTCAGCAGCGGGGTGCCAAGCTCAGGACCTACCCCAAGGGGCTAGCAGCACTGTAGCCTCTGAGACCACCGTGCCACCTGGCTGTGCATTCAGATGTCATCCCTCCCCTCAGCAGGGCCAGGCTGACCACCAGACCGGCTGTAGAACCAGTTATTTGTACACCATGTTTGAAATGGACCTCAGAAATGGTACATTTGGTGAAAGTCAGGGTGTTCATAGAATTTATTATCCAAACTGGACATTTTTGAAAGAGAGAACTATTAATAATCATGCCAGGTCAACAGGCATGAGTGGAGCATGCCCCACAAAGACTTGGACACATGGCCATACCTGTATTTTTCTGTTTAGCAATTTGCAATTACTGCACACTTGAAGCATGTGTAGCTTCCCTGAGGCTCCACCTCTAGGGTTATACTGCCTGGAAATGTATTTTGGGGAAAAACAAACTTGTTGAAGAAAATGTCCTCACAAATGTGTAGCAATAACTCTAGGGGAAGTCACATTCCCACTTGTCTTGCCCATTGTGGTTAGAGGAGATTCTAGAATTAGAAAAGAAACCAAAAAATGAAAGATCTGCTCTAAGGGCTTAATTTTGCCCTTCAGGAAACAAACATACAGAGTGGCCCGTGGGTTCTTTAAAAATGTTCCCCATCAATCTTCCACCTCCTGTTCCTTCAACTGCCTCTATCTTATTTCACTTTTTGAAAAAAGTTGTTTTATCTCTGGCCTAGAAACTTTGGTACAGTTTGTCAATATCAGGAAGTCCATTAAGTAAGATTGCATATTATCCTTGCCAGAGCACGGCTGGCTGTCCAGCAGACATCATTTTATGTTTTTGTCTTTCTTTATTTGAAATACCTTTGATGTATCATCTCAGACAAAAAATGTAGTTGTTCAACAGCTCAGGGAAGAAAGCCTGAGCTTGCCACAGGAGGAGACAGGGCTAAGGCTGGGGAGTTGGGGGGAGTGTAAATAAAGTAGAGGACTGGGCAGAGCTACAAGAAATATTTAGCATTCCTGGCTTCCCACAAAGGGTAGGTCAAGGAGAGGGAATGAGCAGTTGGGATGGAGCGTACACCACAACTATTCTTTTTCGGTCCTAATCCAGTCCACTGTGACACATAAATGTCCCCAGTGGGCAGACCCCGAGTTTATTGTGTTGTGTGGCAAATGCTGAGTAATTACACACGATGCCTGTCTATATGCAGGATGGGGTCAAACTCTGTGGCAAAGACACAGCTGCTGGTTTCATGGCTGTGTGACAAATCCACTTTTGCTAACAATCGTCAAAGCCATATTCATAACACTATGTGTTTAAGGGATTGAGCACTAAAAGTCCGCTTCCACAGGCCCCTGTCAAAACAAAGTCCACTTCTTTACAGTGTGCCCACAGGCTGTCTGTGTCAAAAACCTGGTGTCACTTTTTGGAGTGGGATCTTGGAAGAGGAGCCATGCTCACTGTTGTTTGCCTGGATAGTGAATTGAAGATGGGGCTCTCTTTTCTTGAAACTCTCGGCGGGGTGGGGGGGGAAAGAAACGCGCCTTAGCATCCAAAATAAAGACAACCACACATACACCAAAACAGAAACAGCCATTTTGTTTTTAAAAGATCTGGTCATTGACAGGCTTTCTTTCTGCCCCGCCACTATGGTCTTCTCGGGTTAATTCATCTCCTGCTGCTGCAGGATCTATAAAATACTGTATTGAGATGACTTCAGTAGGTTTCCAACAGTGGGATTTTCCAGCTACTGGAAATACCCAAGGCCAGTGTAAACTCATTTGTTTTTCTTAATTTGAGCCTTAATTGCAGAGCCTACTTTTTGCTGGATGCTAATCCTCTCAAGCACTTCTGAGGCAAACACTCTAGGAGAGGATGTGGACAGAAGTACCCACGGAAAAGGGGACACTGTGACAAAGGGGTCAGCAGGTGAACAAATGTCACATATACCTCCTCTGTGTCATGCGGATGAGCAGGTTCCAGGTGATGAAAGTGAGAAGGTGCCTCCCATTGCAGGGCCCTAGCAACATAATGCTGTTCAGAATGCTCTTAATACAGAAGTGCCTATATTAGTCAGTGTTCTCCAGAGAAAAGGAACTACTGGGAGAGAGAGAGATTAGAAGGAATTGGCTCACACAATTATGGAGGCTGGCAAAGCCCAAGATTTGTAGGGTGAGTTGACAAGCTGGAGACCCAGGAGAGCCAATGGTGTAGTTACAGTATGAAGGCGGGCAGGCTTGAGGTACAGGTACACTTCAAGTCCAAAGGCAGCAAACAACTAATTTTTCCTTCTAGTTCAAAGGTCATCAGGCAGAATAGTTTCTATCATGTTTAGAGGAGGGTCAGCCTTTTTGCTCTATTTGGACCTTCATCTGATTGGATGGGGTCCACCTACATATGGTGGGCAATCTGCTTTCCTCAGTCTACTGATTCAAATGTTAAATATCATCCAAAAATATCCTCACATAAACATCCAGTATAATGTTTGACAAAATATTTGGGCACCATGTGACCCAGGCAAGTAGACACATAAAAAATAATCATGGCAGCACCTGGCCATGAAATGATAAAACCGAGCTTCAAATCTAGCTCTGTCTGACTCCAAAACCCATATCCTTTCTACCACTGTAGTGACCGATTTTGTTCTCAGGAAACTTAATTGTTCTTAAGGAGGTAAGATTTATAAACATTAAAAACTCTGCTTAAGAAAGGTATGTGAGGCCAGGTGCGGTGGCTCACATCTGTAATCCCAGCACTTTGGGAGGCCGAGATGGGCAGATCACCTGAGGTCAGGAGTTTGAAACCCTCCTGGCCAACATGGAGAAACCCCATCTCTACTAAAAATACAAAAACAAGCCGGGCGTCGTGGCAGAGGCCTGTAATCCCAGCTACTCGGGAGGCTAAGGCAGGAGAATCACTTGAACCCGGGAGGTGGAGGTTGCAGTGAGCCAAGATCATGCCATTGCACTCCAGCCTGGGTGACAAGAGCGAGACTTCATCTCAAAAAAAAAAAAAAAAAAAAAGGTATGTGACATAATGTGTTACATTATGATAAATGATCAATCATATTAATCAGATAATTGACCCATCAGCTGTAAAGTGTGAACCATGTTTACACCCAAGTTTTATTCCCAGTGGTGTAAATGTCCTTTTTTCACTATTTCTTGAGTAGGATACCAAGTGTAACACACACTGGAGTGTCTTTCAACTCCACAAGGAAGCTGGAACTCAGAGGGGTCTGGACCTTCCAGGCAAGTCCCTGGCTCTGCTCAGGAAGTCTAGCCATCTGCTGATGCCATGTGATATGGTTTGGCTGTGTCCCCACCCAAATATCATCTTGAATTGACCTGGTAGCAAGTAATTGAATCATGGGGGCGGGCTTTTCCCATGCTATTCTCGTGAAAGTGAATAAGTCTCATGAGATCTGATGGTTTTATAAGGGGCAGTTCCCTCCACATGCTCTGTTGCCTGCTGTCTTGTAAGATGTGCCTTTGCTCCTCCTTCACCTTCCACCATGATTGTGAGGCCTCCCCAGCCACGTGGAACTGTAAGTCTGTTAAACCTCTTTCCTTTATAAATTACCTAGTCTCAGGTATGTCTTTATTAGCAGCATGAGAAAGGACTCATCATGCTACATGGTGACAGCAGTGATGGAGACAGTGCCCAGGATTGCCTCCCCATGACAGCTAGCAAGGGCTGTGATGCTTTACAATTACTGTCAGCCCAGAATTAACTTCCATTCCGTAGACATTCATGGGTGCCTGCTATAATACATAAAAAGCACAATATGGAAACAGGCTGGGGCCAAAGGGAGACAAAGACCCAGTCTCTGCCTTCCGAGTGCTTGCAATAGAAGGGGATAAGAAACACAGCTGTGTAAGAGAGATGCCAGATGATAGATACATGCAGTATACTCTGGCAGTTCCCAAGGGGAGAGATATCACTGCACCCTATGGGGAGCTGAGCAGAGGAGACATTTGACGTAGGCTTGGGAGTATGTGTAGGAGTCCAGCAGATGGGGTAGGGAAGGAAAAACAGGAGCAAATGCACAAAAGAGGAGAAGCAGAGGATTTTTCTAAACAGCAATGACTCATGCAGTTTGTCTGAATTGTAGAATATACGAGAGGGAGTAGCAGGAATGAGACCTATTTTCTGGGCTTGCACTTCACCCTAAACTCCAGTCATCTGTAAGATTCATCTCTTTTGGCTCATCCTCCTGAGCAGGAGCAGACAACCCCAGGCAACAGGCAGCACTTGCCCAGCAGTCAGGCTGCTGAACTGCTCTCCAGTGTGTGTGCATGTGAGGACCCATGAAACAGGGGCCACAGTGTCCTCCCCACCCAGGAACTCAGCCTGGTTTATGAGAACAAACCTCGTTGGCCTGGGCAGCTGGTCTGATCCACTTCCTGAACTCCTGCTCTCTCTGTCCTACCCCACCACCCAGGCCAGCCTCTCTGTCCTGAAGCTGAGACCTTCTGAACAGAAGGCTGGGTCAGCTCTGCTTGCAGCCAGAGGACACTGAGAAGGCCACCACTTACAGGGGCCCTTCTCCTCTCAGGTCCCCAGTGCTCCTAGGGTGGGCAGCCAGCACTGCTTTCCATCTGATTCCAAGCAATGGCTAAGGCTGGTGGCTACCTATCCATTAAGCTGTAAGATGTTTGCCCTTGGGATGTGGTTTAAGTGTCAGTCTGAGGTTTAAAATAAAACAAAACAAATTCTGTTTCACTGCATCTTTAATTGTCGACTTCTGGGGAAGTATCTTCTAAAGATGTGCTAGGCACAATCACCCGTGGGCCAAACTCCATGAACAGAAGTGGGCATGTTAGAATCCTGCGTCAGCTCTTCCCTCATCTCACTGCCTGGGAAAGTGTCTGGTTATAACCCCAGCCCCAACTTCTCAGCTCTGACGCCTGCTGTTCATCAAAACTGACTGGAGGGTTGCTAGAAATGCAGAGGCTGGGGTCCACCCCAGACCTGATGAATCCTAATCCTCAGGCTGAGAACATAGGCCTATGGGCTTTTATTTTTTATATATCTCCCCAGGTGATTATTATACACAGCCAGGGTAGAAAACCCCTGCCTTAGGCAAATGCCTTATAGATTTTTTTTTGCATTCATATTCTCTATTCATTGCCTCCTAGAATTTCAAGCATTAGGAAAGATCTTGGAGATCAACTAGTCTAGCACTTTCTAAACTCATGGTAGTGAGAACCAGCGTAGGAGCTGGGGATATAGTGGGCAGTCCTTCCCAGGCTTATGTGACTCAGAACGATCTGCACTTAGAGTAGAGATTGGCATCCCACTGCTGGAGGGACACAGGTGGGAAGTACTGGCCTAGCTCACCCCTGTATGATGATACAGACTCTGGACCTTCTGCTTCATTCCCCTCTGCCTGTACTGCTTCTGCCTGACCCTACACCCCCAGCTTGGGGTGGAGATGACACCTGCAAACACATGAGACACTGGTGGGAAAACCATGTTCTAGAAGTGTGTGAAATGATGCAGGCAGTGGCCCAGGTGACTTGGCTTTTTTCTCAGTATTGCTTTGAGACCATGCCATCATAAAGTATCTTAGAATCACTGAAGAAAGGAGGCCTTTTTTTCAAGGATTTTTTTAAGAAATAAGAAATTCTAGATCTTGGGACTTGGAAATCAAGAATCCTCGACTTCCACCCCAGCTTGAACACAGGTTCTTTGTTGCATTCTGAGGGAGCTTAGAATAGGAATCAACCTCCAACCCCAGGGGCTGTCAAGGCTGAGTTCCTAGCAACGCTTAGCCAGGGGTAGATGCTGGTAGCAGGAGGGAGGATGGGCAGCCGGCACGTGGGAGACAAGAGTGGGGAGCAAGAGGAGGCTGGGAGGGGTGTGGACAGAATGAGACTGCCTTGGCCCCTCCCTGCCCAGAGTTCAGGCTGCACGTGGTCCACCTGGCACCTGACACTCCATATGGCATCAATTAAATGGACTCTTCAGCTAATGATCTAAGGACTATACAGTTATCTGCTTTACACTCTCAGGAAATCTAGCCTGGTGCCTTGTTCAGACAGATTGTTCATTATTGCATGAATAATGACGGACTAAAAATGACACAGCAGGGAACTTTATCTTCAGAGGAAAACTGCTCTCACCCACTTTCCTAAGGAAATCTGCCTCGGTTCTAGGAGGAAGAGCTCTCTGGCGAGTTGGGGCTGACCCCCATTTCTCATCAGCTCATCAGAGATACAGAGCTGGTCCAGGAGTCCTCCCCCGGGCTCCCCACCACACACACACTTAATCCATTTATTTTCAGATCCCTGCCCAGAAATCTCCAGGAACCCTGACCAGGCCTTGCATCCCTAAGTCCAAAAATTTTGCAGCAAAAAAAGCCATTCTAACTTGAAGCTTTTAATAGCAAATAAATAAAGTGATCCAGGCTCCAAATGGTCCAGGCAAGGCCACCCCACATAGGACTGTGAATATCACAATAGGTGATTGTTTTAAAGTGTTTTAATGAGTCTCAAAACATCCTACATAATATCAGCCTCCACTTCAGTCTTCTTGACAGGCTCCAGTAAATAACATGAGTTGACAGGAATAAAACAGCTTGCTCAGGAGTAATTGAGTGGAATTAGAATGAACAGACAAGAAAGAAAAATTGGCGCTTGGGTCACAAGGAACTTTTTGTTAGAAACGCTCTGGGGGATTTGGTGGGATGTGGTCCCGCTGACTAATCACCAGTATAGAAAGTTTACAATCTCTCCACCATGCCAACGTCTTTAATAACTTGAAAAGCACAAGAGGTGGCTGTTAATTTCAAAGACAGTTATATGAAGCTTTTATTGAGTGTGGTGCAGAGTATATAGTTAGCAGCCTGCAAGATAATGAACCCTTTAAATAAGGCTTTCAAAAAAACAGTTTTATTTTTGCTTGAGCCAAAAGAACAGTGATTTTCTTCTGGTTATTTTAAGGCAGAAAAATGTATGTGAAGTACAATCTCTCCATTGCACACACAACCAGCCACTTTTGTCATCAAGGGCATCTGTCCTTGATGCCACAGAACCGTGACTATTCAGATAGAATAAGGGTTGATATTGTCATGACACTCCTTTCCCAGGGAAAGAGCAGATGGGCAAGGAAGGAGTTAAATGTGGTGGCACCACCCTCATTTTCTTGTGGACACTGGGGCTTCTCTCCTCACCCCTGGCTGATGATGCCGTGAAGAGGTAGAGCCCCCTCATGCATGTAATGTCATGATGTGGTGAAACCAGAGATGAAACCAGTGGGTTCTTGAGATACAGAGAAAGAGAAACAACCAGGACAAGGGCAGGACTTCACATGATTCTGCAGGGGGTATTCTGTGGGCCAGAGACCATGTGTGAGGAGCAAAGTGGGTACAGATGGGCTTTCTGCTCTGGAGCCTTCTGATCATGGCCTGTTCCTACCTCTTCATACGGCATTCCAGGAACAGATGAAATGGGCTGTTGATGGACCTGGAACCTCTGAGCTATGGTGACAGGGATGGGTCCTCCCTCTTGCCCCCAGGCAGTCACCTATGATTCTGACCTGTGAAATACCTTATGCATCTATCATTCTCCCTATCCTCCTCCACCTCCTTCCTTCTCCCCTAGTGTGTATATATGTATACGTGTGTGGAGAGATTAAGAGAGATTTGTCTTGCCCACCTTCAAAGCCATCAATTGTTTACTCATTCTGTCATTATTGTGTTGGGTGTTGGTTAAGCACTGTGCTGAAAGCTGAGGATACAAATGTGAGAAAGTCTGACGTGACCCCCTCTGACCCTCAAGCATCTGGGCCAGCCCCACCTGGGCCCCACCAGCAGCAGGCAGGTGCCACCCCAGCGGGGAAGCTGCCTTCACCCCTCATCCCTGTGAGTCACAACAGTGGCTTCAGCTGTGGCACCCCCCCCCCCACCCGCCGCCAGGCTGAGGCTCAATGGGACCTAATCCTACTGGCCAAGGAGTCAAAACAAAATAACAACAACAACAACAAAAACAGGTCTTTTCTGAGCCAGTCCTGTGAGGAAAGAGAACAATGTAAACAGAGAGATTCGTTAAAGAAAAATGATTTATTTCCTGCCTCAGTCCTGGCAACAAACATTGTCTTTCTCATTACCTAATTCAGTCTTGTTGGCAGCATGTGTTCTGGCTTCACTCTGATTTTTTTTTTTAAGACACCTCTCTGCCCTTCATGTAATATGGGGAGTTTAGCGGTTTCTCGGGATTGGCCCTGCAAGATACATCAAGTTTTACCTCTTTCTAGGTGTCAGTGCTTGATAGCCCAGGAAAATCCCTTCTAGAAGTTTTCAGGATCTGGTAAGCCCTGGGCAGAAACTCACAGCCTCACTTGTCTCTGGCAGTCAGGAACGTGCTGGGAGCTGCATCGTCTGTGGGAGTCTGGAATGCCTAGGAAGGCGAGTTGCAGCCTACACTGAGTTGGAGACAGTCTCAGATTCTTGCTGGTCTCAGATATACAGAGATCCCAGAGGATCTCCCTGTTTTAAGGAAAGAGAGAGCTACTTCTGCAGTTATCAGGAAGCAAAATTATCTCTGAGTCAAATTCCCCTTCCAAAGGTCTTAGCCAAAAAAAAGGAAATTTTTAATGCACTTTTGAAGTTGTTATACTCTTTAATGTTTAGTGATTCCCGGTCCTGGCAGGGTCTTGAAAGCTCCTGGAGGATGTATTTGAATGCAGATTGCTGCTTCCTACTTCCGACCCTCCACCCCAGAGAATGTCTTGAGTGGGGCCCAGGAATCTAAATGTTTGACAACTTCTCAGTGATTCTTCTGTTTTCATCCAGTGCCACTCAAAAGGAATAATGGTGATGCTGTCCCTCTGGGGCTACCTATGGGGCAGGAACATCAAAGAGGCCCAAGACTGGACGGAATGCCCTTCTTATCTTTCTAAGAAATGGTGATCTGGGGGCTTTGGTACAGCAGGGGAGAAGGAATGCTGGGTCTGGGAAGCTCTCAAGTCAGGGCCAAACACCCCTTTCTTAAGCATGCCAGCTTGCTGACTCACATCTTCGGGAGCTTGGTCAGTGGGCTCCCAGCAGTCCCTGGAGATGTGGTCAGTAGGAGTGTAGGAAATGCCAGTGTGTGACAAATACTATCGCTGGAGAATGACTGGTGAGCTTTTTGGGAGGTGCCCTGGGGGTCCAGGCTGAGCAGCTGGCAGGGGCAGGAGGTGAGTGTCAGCCTCTGAAGTCAGCCTGAGGTTCCATAAAGCCACATCCTTTTGCTCTCACTTCAGACCCATCTCACCTGTCACCATAGCCCTTGCCAGGTGTGCAGGTGCTTGCTGCCCAAGGCACCTTTAGCTACCCTGTGCTCACACGAGCCTGTATAGAGACATCCTTTTGGGTTGGAATGAATCCCTCCCTCAGAGAGGCTGGGGGCATTTCTGACTATTTCAGAGCTTCTAGAATATAATCTCCCCTGCAAGCATTTGACTATGGATCCTCTGGGCAGAAGAGACTTGCTTCTCCATGCAGGACCTACTTGTCTACAAGGAAAGAAATAGCTCCTGATCTAGTGCCCAGAGTTTGTTATTTTTAACAGCAAAAATATAGAGAAGTTACTATTCAGAGCTTCTCTTCTGGCCAACACAGGCTATGGATGAGTGGAATGGAAAGGCTGCCATGTGTACATCACCACCTGCGTGGATTCAAGTCATGGTTCAGATCTGCCTCGGCCTCCAGGAAAATGGCTCTACACAGCCAGTACACGGGCAGCTAGAGACATGCTGGGTCACTCCATCAACAACTATTTACTGAGCTCCTGTCATTACCAGGCACACTTCTGGACTTTTTGTTTTGTGAATTAACCTTTAAAAAAGCCAGAGACATAGGGGCTATATTGCAGCCCTATGACTGACTGTGACCACATCCAAACCCCCCTCTCACCTCTGGCATTTATCAGACTCTGTACGGTGAATCTGGCCGTAGCATTTTCTGCAGAATTCAGAAGATGTCTGGTTTCATACAACTCCTCTCCACCCCTTCATTTCCATGAAGTTCCATCTTTAAGGTAGACTGACCGGGATGATCTGTCCGGAGGCTGCGACATCACTAGCCTTATCTTTTAATGTTGTTAATTCTAGCAGATGAGGTATGGGTATGTGGAAGCCGCTTTTCTTCTGAACCTAAGCAACAGCTGTAGGAACCATTTAGCCAGGAGGATCATCAAACCACAGATGACCCCTTTGGGACCCCTGAGAGTCAGGGGAGCACTCATCACTTCATTATGTCCTCAACACATCCTAGGCTGAGCAAAGGTTCTGAATGAAGAAATGCAGAGGTTGCTTGGACTTAGCCCGGGTTGTGGAGGAGACACTTCTTCCTTTCTCATCCTCACAAGGGGTCCTTACTCTGGCCCTACAGCAGCAGCACTAGAGGATCTGTCCAGAGCAAGGGCCTACTCTTTCTCCCTTGCTCCTGGTCTCTTCCCATAGAGCCTCCAGGCTGGAGTGGTGATGGGTGGTTCAAACTGCTCCTGTTACCGTCTCTGTCTGAGTCAGGGCTGCAGACCCTCCCCTGGGAAGCATGGCTGGAATTTCATACTTCCTTCAATCCTCATTCATTCATTCATTCATTCATGGAGTATGGATTGAGCTGCTACTGGGTACCAGTCAATCTCACTGGGTCCGCCTGGTGGTCTGCCAATCCAGATACTGAATACTTACTATGGTGAAGGTGCTATCAAGGTGAGGCCAGGCAGGCCTGTTCAAGATTTGGGACATCAAATGGCAGGGCAAATGTGAGAGAAGGCAGCCCTCGATGCAAGAAGCGATATCCGGCAAACCCCCAGGGCAGCAGTGGGGTCTGGGGAGAAACTTAACACTGAAGAGGTCCCTAGGATCTGTGGTCATTGCAACTAGGAAAGCTGGTTTGCAACCCTTCTTCTACATGCTCAGCACCACCTTAGGACCTAGCTTTTCTGGATTTGAAGGGCTGGTACCAGATTCAGAACAGACAATTTTCCTGGCAGGGGCCACATAGAGATCCATATGCTTAGAATGTTGTAGTTTATTCTTTGAGGTTAGTAGAGAGATCATAGCAACCATAACGTTTGGGCTTTGCCCTCGAGGTTTTTCTGTCTGTGGAAGTACTGTGGGTATTCTTCCCAAAAATACAATGGGGAGTTCAGGGTCAAGAGGAGCCAGGAATCTCTGAAAAATGGAGGCAAATGATCCCTGTTCTTCCTTCCTGCACAGTGAGGAACAATGCCCTCATCCTGCACCATTTCATCCTGGCTCAGGGATAGAATGTCCTCATCACAACATGCTGTTCTATCCCTGGGTTAAAGGAAGGAGAGATTAAATGAGGCCTACTGGATTTCCTAAATATTGCCTCCTCCCATTTCTTAGAGTCCCATAGACAAGGCTTTCCTCATAGAAGAGGCTTTCATTTTCTTTTAAATCACAGGGTTGTTTATAAGACAGATTAAGCATAAACTCAAATGCTAAATCATCTGATACTCAACAGTCTGATACCAAATATCTGAAGTAAAAAGCCTGTGACCCGATGATGGCATTCAAGTGATAAATCACTCTGATCAGAAAAGGATGCAAGAAAAGCAGCTGAAAGTCTGTCTCCCCAGCCACGTGGCTTTGATCTCTGGGAAAGTGGATATTAGTGCAGACAGCAGTTCATAGGTCTTGATTAGTCCGTTCAAACCAGTGACTATGATTTCTCTGTAGATACAAGCACAAAAAAAGTCAATAAACGTTGGGCTGAACTTTAAACAACTGTCTTTTCAGAGAAAACCCAGTTGCATACAAGGAAGATTACTGCACTAGCCTGAAGACAAATGTCTACAAATATTATACGCTCAAGTGCAGGGAGGAGTTTTGTTCAAGGCAGCACAGAAAACAAATTACTCTGGTCTTAAATAAGATCCTTTGAACGGGCAGCAGCAAATCAGTACAAATTAGGACAAATGCATTCTTGACTGATATAATTTCCTTATTCTGCCTGAAAAATGCCACCAATCAGACTATAGACAGCTATGTCCCAAAAACTGGGGCCTCCGGTTACATGGTGGTTGAGTCAATTTGGTGGAAGTTCAAACCCCTAAACCAGCTCTTTATTCCACTTCCTGGGTACTGGTCTTATATTTCCAGGCAGGCAATTGAAATTTGACCATGGTTTTATTTTGCATCTCTTGGCCAGCAAATGTAAATGCAGCACCCATAAAGCACTGAGTCCCCAGAGCCTGTGGCAGGGCCAGCAGAGACTGGATGTAATTGGGAACAAGAATGGTTGCAAGATCTGTTTTCCTGGGATGGTCCTGGCTTAGGACTATGGTTCTAGAGTCCCTTCCGGCTTGCATTTGCCACTCTCTACAGTTTCTCAGTTTGGAATGATGAATTACAGTCACTCTAGGGGAGATCATTTCCCTAGCCCCAGGCATTGTTTCAAAGAATGGATGTACATGGGGGCTTTTTGTTTTAGATCAAGGAAGAGTCTGTGCTTAGGCAGGTGGTGTTGAGTCTAGAGAGAGAGGATAGGCACCCACCCAGCCATGGGTCTTTTCTTCCCACAGGCACCTCAGACTGAGCACTGGAATGGGTGAGTCAGAGGCTGAAGGGGCCCTACTGATGAGGGGTCTTGTGAGATCTGGTGGAGAGGGGTAGGCTTCCCATTTCTGTGCTGAATGGAGAGGCAGCATCTGCTAGAGACCAGGGAGGTGCAGGGCCCCAGTGGCAGGGAAGCAGGTTCTTTCACAGGACTCCAGTTCCCTACCTCTCAGGGCTTAGCCAGAGAATGCACACTGAGCTTACCAGTAATACAAGTATTTTGGTAAAACCTGACTCAAATACTGTCATCATCTTCCGGTCCAGACTCCACTCCACTCCTGGACAGCAGCTAGTACTTTGTGTTTGGCCCTGCTTTTCTAGAACCTTCGTTTGGGGTACTTCTGTCTCCTACCAGACTGCAAGCTCCCCAGGGCAGGGAATTCATCTTTGCCTTACTCACACAACCTGGCCACACTCATTAAGTTCATTAGAGGGTGCCCAAGCAACATTGGTTGAATTAATGAATGAAACATAATGAAATACAATGCATCTAATTTTCCAGCTTGGCAGCAGCTGGCAAAACTTAAAAGCTGAAGTTATCAAGGAATGGGCTAACTCATAAAACACTTCAGCCCTCTTTACCCCTTTTTGGTCCAGGTAACACCGGTGATCACAGTAGCTCTTTGTGTGCATTGTTAATGACAAGAGTCTAAACATGCAAGTCTCTCTTTTTATCCATGATTTTTTTTTTCCTGAGATAGAATCACTTTATCATGCAATGAAGCTATATGAAGGTAAGATGCCTGAGAGAGTGTTTACCTTGCTAGAAAATATTTAGACGTGTGTTGAATGACTGATTTCGAGGTCCAACTCTGCATCCTTCTTCAAGAGACCTCTCGGGTGAGAGAGCAATGAATAGTGGCCCTTGGCTACCGTGTTGGGTCTGCACGGCTTTCAGGGGAGATGGCCACTCTTTATTGACAGGCATTTCCCTTATTTAACCACATGTTCCATGCACAGATGGTATTTATCTTCAGGAGATGACTCACGCCCTTGTCAACATACCTTTCTATATTAAATATCCCTATCACATACAAACTGGACCTCAGAGTGGGCTGGGTGGTATTAGAACAATCTCTTCCCCCTTTTTAGAAGCTGTGAAGATTTTTGAATTTACTCACAAGATCTACTTCCCAATGAACTAAGACTTTGTAGGATTTTCCTATTTAAGATCTGGGTTTAAACTCAGCTCTTCCATTTAACTGGCTATGTGGTCTTAAGATTACTGTCTCTGTGCCTCTATTTAATTACTTATAAAGTGAGAGCAATTTTCCTGATCTTATAGAGTCACTGAGAAGATTAAGTGAGGTAGTGGCACTGAGAAAGTTTGAAGCAAATATTTTTTGAATAAATAAATGACTAAAACAATAATATAAATGTTAAAAATCATCAACCAATTCAGTGTGTATAATGAGGCTTATTATTTACTGAGTGATCCCCGTGCATAAAGAATAGCTCTAAGTTCTTAAACCCATACCACCTTGTAGTTAAGGAATTAGAATGTAAGCCTACATCTTGTGGGTGGGCACCCAAGGCCACACTCTTAACTTCTACCTGCACTGCCTCTTCTTATTTGTAATAAATGTAATAAACTCCTTTTGGCACTAAATACTGCCCTGGAAAAAATGGTCAGCTTCTTCAACTGCGGCTGCCTTTACGCTAATGTAACTGAGGTTCTTAGAGTTTTATAACTTACTGAGCGAAATAAAAAAAAAAAAAATACCCTTATGACACCTTGGTTTCTGCACTAAGTAATTAATGACAAATTTGAGGATCAGGTATCTAGCTTCTGTTACCTGATATTCTGAGCTGAGAATGCATCAGACTCAGGCCTCAGAAATAACTTCACTGAGAGTAAAATGGGAACAAGTTTCTAGTTAGTGAAAACTGGAGCATATGATGACTTGACTGTACACGTGGGGGCAAATAGCAGTCCTCTCTCTCCCATTTCTGGAAAGGGTTTCGTTTCTCTTGGGCCCAGTATTTTCCTGGGTTCTGATAGCCTCTGCTGACTTTGAACTCATCCTCTGTCATTGTAAAAAAGTATACAAGCATTTGCTCAGAACTGTGCTAGACTCTGTGTGATTGCTTCAAGACAGCTCTATCAAAATAAGAGTTATCACTTATTATGAGGCTGTGATGCTCTAGGGACTATGCTAAGTGCTTCATGTATTTTTATAGTCAGGGTAGGCTAGTTTATGCTGTGGCAACAAACAACTCCCAAATCTTAGTAGCTAACAATGAGCTTACTTCTCAATCTCACTAAATGTTCAGTGCCGGTTGGCTGGGGGCTCCACTCCACCTCGCCTCACACAGTGACCTGGAATAACAGAGCTTCCACCATCAAATGTGTTACTGGTCTCCCGGAGTCCCACCTCTAGAATTCTTGCATACAATATCGAAAAGTCTCCCGAACTTTCGTAACTTTGCCATCTTGGGCTCTTAAAGAAAACACTAATTGTATGTTTTGAAATCCAGAAAAGGAAAGGAGTGAGGGATGTTAAGATCAGTCACTCCAGCGATGGCTTAAGCCTCCCCTGGCACAGGCCCCAGGGGTGAGCTTGCTTCTGTGGATTTCCAGCCGGGAAGCACCACCCCGGTTTATTTTCAGAGGTGGAAACTCAAGCAACAATTATCTCCCATCACAGCAAATTAAAAGCCCAGGCTCACCCATCCCAGGAGCGGGGCGAGCACAGGACCATAATGACAGGCCAAGGTTAGTGCATTTCCTTTAAAGGCATGAGCCACTCATGAAACACAAAATAAACAGAGACATAAAAGTCCATGGAAAAGGCCCACAAGTGAGAGCAAGCGTTCGTGCCAAGATCAGAGAGTGTATTTTGATTTTTCAGGAGATTGAGGATTGTAGCAGCAAAAACTGCTCAGTGGATGAGTTGTGGTCTGTGTTTAGGATAATGTGGAAGCTATTGTGTACAACACTGCAGAGGGTGGGGGACGAGTGGCCCAATCTGTCACACAGACATATTTCTATGGCCTTAGAGCCCGGTCTACTTCCACCCACTCTAACCAGAATCTCTATTCCTGCCTGGACACCTGCTCAATGGAGCAGTGCGGCCCTGCTGGCCAGAGCTTCTGCTTGGAATGCCTCTCCTCTCTTATTTTTTTTATTTTTTTTTTTTTTATTTTTTTTTTTTTTTGAGACAGAGTCTCACCACTCTGTTGCCCAGGCTGGAGTGCAGTGGCATGATCTTGACTCACTGCAACCTCCACCTACCAGGTTCAAGTGACTCTCCTACCTCAGCCTCCCGAGTATCTGGGATTATAAGTGTCCACCACCACGCCTGGCTAATTTTTTATTTTTAGTAGAGATAGCGTTTCCTCATGTTGGCCAGCCTGGTCTCGAACTCCTGACCTCAGGTGATCCGCCTGCCTTGGCCTCTCAAAGTGCTGGGATTACAGGCATGAGCCACTGTGCCCAGCCTCCTCTCTTATAGTCTATGCCAGCATCATTGACAGGAACTTAGCCAAAACTCACCTCTTTCAGGAAGTCCTCCAGGACTAATGCTTCTGGGTTCTACGACCCTCCTGTTGCAGGTTGTTTATATATAGCTGTCTCTGCTACTTAATGTCAGTGAAGATTTGTGGTTGTGTCAGTTTTTTGGGGGAGTTCTTTTGAGCTTTGTTATCATATAAGATCTTCAGGAGTATAGATTTTTATTTTTCTTTATATTTATGCTACACACGTTTAACTTCCAAAAAACATTTTCTCATGCACCACCTAATTTTATCTTCAGTATCACCTAGTGAGGTGGGTAGGGATTCCATATGACAGTTAGGAACTTATATAGCAAGATGGCTAGGAGTATGGGCTTTGGCTTGGGCAGGTTTCTAATCTCTCTAAGCCCCAATTCTCTCATCTGTAAAACAGGGATAAAAATAGTTTCTGCCCATAGGTTATTTTAAGGATTAAATGAGATAACACAGGTAACATGCTTACCTCACACAATAAAATTGTTGTTGTTTTAATGATGATGGAACTCAGGCTCAGAGAAGTAAATATACAAGAGGTGGCTCAGTGTGGTATGGAAAGCACCTGGGCTTTGCATCCAGCATGCTCAGGAAATGACTGAATAAAATAACTGGATGCTTTAAAAAAAAAAAAAAAAGAAAAGAAAAGGGCTTGGAGGCAACAGATTCTGATGATATCTGACATGTGGTGACTTTGGAAAACCACTTTGCCTCTCTGGACCTCGGTTTCTTCATCTTTTAAATATGAAAAAAATATATCATGTGTCACATATGTGGTGGGGGGTTTGAGAGGATTCATTCAAAAGTACTTTTGAAAGCATAATGTAAACTGTGGCATGCCTCAGAAATGTTAATTTAATTAACCTGCTTAAATTCATGCAACAGGTCCATGCTGGAGCCAGATTGCCTTATCCCTGGTGTCATCTCCAGCAGGCTGAGTCCCCTTGGAGCCTCCATAAATGCTGCTGGCTGGCTGGCGGGGCACATGGGTGGGCTGCGTACCACACTCCAAGCACTTAGCATTGAGCAGTGGTGGCTCCAGCTGGCAGCCTCACCCTCTCTCCTCCCCACACTCATGGACATTGAAATTGTGTAGAGAAAGCAGAGCTCAGAAACCAGAGCCATTTCTGCTCTCCCTGACTCCTTCACCTCATCTCTGCTGTTGACAAAGAGAACAAGAGGGGCAGTGAGAGAGATTTAACTATGACGTTGGTGCAGAAGTAATCGCGGGTTACATTAAAAGTCATGCCAAAACCCGTGATTACTTTTGCACCAACCTAATAAAACGGATCCTAGTGCATTAGGGATGGTGGCACTGGGACTGAACCTAAGAAGGAAGGGAGGACTCTTAGAATCCACACAGCAACCTGCATCCCAAAGCATGTGGATTTTACTAGTGTTTTCCCATTGGCCCATGGACTAACTTTTCAGAAACCAGCTTCTTTTTTTGATTTTCAGGGAGAATGTGGTTTGTTTTCACTGCATGAAGTCACTTCGGCCTTCTTCCCTGTCTGTGGGCAAGTTCAGGGTAGAAACTACCAGGTACTCTGAGAACTACGCCATGGACTTCCCTGCTCAGAGAAGAACAATCTGCTTCTGACGTTTCACTTTGGTTGTAAAGGACTTCAGGGATTATCTCAGCCTCTTCAAACCAAAATTCCTCTGAAATGCTTAAATTGGCCCAGATAGGGTCAGGTCTGGAATAATCAGTTCAGCTTATGCTGAAATACTTTATTTCCATCCTGCCTGCTTCCACATCCACTTTTCTGAGCATTATTTCCTCCAGAACAATTTAGAGATCTCTGAGGAGCTGATTAGATGATGATGAGGTGAGCATGCTCCCACCACATGGCCACAAGGATTGATAGAGATCAAGGACTGAGAGGTTTGGCCCCAAGCTTGACTGAGGATGATGTCGGGGATATTCCCAAGACCCTCTCTCAGACACAGATGGTCTGACCCTTTATTGGTCATAAGGATGAAGTGGAAGTTAATGAGACTCTCAGCTTGGAACTCCCTGGATGTAAGATTATAGCATATCTGTTTATCCAAAGAATTACGTGTGTCAGAGCAGTAGGTCTTCACAAATTCATTAGGTTTATAACAATCAACCATAGTTACAGGAGAAAGATGCTGTGAGCTCCCTTTATACCCCTGTTCAGTATCTGTACAATCTTACCCTCTAAACGTATTCCTTCTGTCTCACCTTAATCATGTATTGCTTATCTATTTCCTCACAACAGTCTACCTCAAAATTTGTGGCCTACAATGGCAACCATGTAAACCATGTATTTGCTTATGCTTCTGTAATTTGGACCAGGTTCAGCTGGGCAGTTCCTCTGCCAGTCTCACCCGAGGTCATGTTCACTGCAGTCAGTTGGCAGGTGAAGGTGTGGGGAGTTGGAGAAAGACTCACTGGTCCCAGCCAGCCTCAATCACATGTGTTGGGCCTCAGTGGAGATGACTGGAACTACTGCGATGAGTAGGACACTCTCTCCATGTGATCACTCATCCTCAAGGAGACCAGTCTGGGTTTTCTTAAGCCTGGGAGTCACAGGGCATCAAGAAGGTGAAAGCAGACACTCAGGGCTCAATATCACTTCTGCCACATTCCATTGATCAAAGCACATCATAGTGCCAGCCAAAATTCAAGGGGCAGAGGAAATAGACTCTGCCTTTTATTGGATGACAAATTAACATTGCAAAGAAGCATGTATCTAGGAATGGAAGAAATTTCTGGGGCCATCCTCATAATATATCACAGTCACTAAAGCTGCATATTTATAAATTATTCCTTTCACCCTTTAGAAATGGCCTGTTCCTTATTGGCAAGGGCAGATGGAGACTCCAATTGGGATGACTCATTTAAGTGGGGCTATAGAATGAACATTTTTATGGAATGTCAACTGTGTGTAAGCATTGTATACATATAATCCTATTTAATTCTCAAAACAACTTCATGATAGGTCTTACCTCCATTTTATTACTAAGAAAGCTGATGTTCAGGGTGAGTTAATGAATTACTGAACGTAACTCAGTTGTCATGGAGGGAGTTGAGGATTTCTTCACCTGTAAAATGGGAATCATAATACTTACCACCAGCATAGTTGGTAGGATGAAATTAAGTGCTTTGTGTGGAAGTGGCTGGTAAACCCCAAAGCACTGTACAAATGTTAATTTTCATTTTCATTGAGCCAAGCAGACATTTTGAGGGGAGGAGTGTTGTCTAGGAAGGCGCCAGAGTCATCTGAGCCAGACACCAACTGTTGTGTGTCTCTCAGCTGCTATTTACTTTGGCTTCAGACCAAATCCTTCATGCAATGCCTTTGGCGGTCACAGACGAGAAAGAGCCCTGTGGGCCAGGCTGGCAAGCCAGGACATGCTACAGGTGAAGACAGACACGCTTCCATTGGAAAAAGGAAGAAACTGAAACAAAGCTCTAAGTGCCTTGCTGCTATCCTCAACTACTCCGGTTGCAAGGATTTTTAATATTTCACTCAAGGTCACATACACAACCTTGAATTGCTCTGAACCTACTTTCTCCCAACTCTTCTTTTCACTAAATCTCATCCCAATTCTTTCCAAACCTCATTCTCTCATCATTATCCCATCTGCATCTTCAATCTATACACCCAATGTTTCCTCCCCCTCCTTGTCTTATTTGGATTCTGTAAGACCTAATTCTTACAGGGACCAGGAGGGAGGGTCAGCCTTTTGCAAAGTCAGCCTTCACCAGTCTTCTCTTTGCACATCTACCATCTACCTAAACTAAGATCTCTTCCTCCTTTGAGGTTTAGGCTGCTCAGATACACCATGTTCTTTTTGCCTGCCTTGTTGCTGTCATCTGTTGACCTCCCATCAGTCACTACCATCCTTCTTTGGGAGTTCTGGCATCTCACTCATAGCCTACCTGCCGTCACCAAGGACAACTTCAACACTCATTGAACATCCTGGACTCAGAATTCCTCAACTTTTACAACCCCATTATGCTTCATCCAAGACAGCTGAATACCATCCATCCACCGGTGAAAAAGGCTGCATTGCATTGCAGATTGACTAGTTCAACTCACAGAAATTGTTCACAAAAAATGCCTAATGCAGGTGACAAAAGAAAAGTCAAATTTGGAGTCAGGAAATCTGGTTTTAGAGTCTTATCTCAACTCCTTACCAAGTGTTGAAAATTGAATAGGGTACACCTTCTCTAAACCTGAGTTTTCTCATACTTAAAAATGAGGAATAATAGTTTCTATAACACTAGGACATAGTAAAAACCAAATGGGATCTAGAGTGGAAAAAAATTATAAACTGTAGGATACTCAACAAATATCACTATAAACCCTTGAAAGAAAATGTTTATGATTGTATAAATTATATGAATCCAATTTTTTTGTGTTAAGCCAAAAATGAAAAGAGAACAAAAATCATGAATTCTGGTTCAGATGATGGATTGAATGCATTCTTCTATTTTCACTCCATCCCAAACTCCTGGATATTTTAAATCAAGAGTGAGAAGAATGAGAAAAGAGACAATTATAGCAATGTATTGGAAGCATGTGGTAAATAATAACAAAACAGAGAAAACTACATCCTTGGGCAGCTTTGGGAAAGCAGAGAGGGAACTGGATTTATACTACAAAATTTCCAAAACAATCAGCTGCCAGAACACTGGAAGCCAGGCGTTCACCTTACAGGCAGAAGATTGGACATACCTTCTCTGGGAAACCTGACTAGCTCAAGAGGAAACATCTTAAGATATTGACATTGGGAGTTCCAGCCAGATCACCCTATAAAGAAACTATATTCAACAAGACCCATCCATGTTTTGAAGCCTTTAATCAGTTTTTTAGTGCCTCAAACATGTAAACATAAGCAAAGACCATCAGACATATGAGGAAAGCTTCTAATGTGAGCAATAGAAATACTACTGGTTTTTGTATGTTGATTTGTTTCTTGTAACTTTACTGCATTCATTTATTCTAACAAGTTTTTGTGTGTGTGTGTGTGACAGTTTTAGGGTTTCCTAGAAAGAAAATCATGTCATCTATGAGCAGAGACAATTTAACTTTTTCCTAATTTGGATACCTTTTATTTTTCTTGCCTAATTGCTTTGGCTAGGATTTCCAGTATTATGTTGAATAGAAATGGTGAGAGTGGGCATCCTTGTCTTGTTCCAGATCTTAGAGGAAAAGTTTTTAACTTTGCACTAGTATGATGTTAGCTGTGGGCTTGTTATATATGGCATTTATTGTGTTGAAGTACATTATCTAGTTTGTTGAGTTTGTATCATGAAAAGATGTTGAACTTTGTCAAATGCTTTTTGTGCATCTACTGAGATAATCATATGTTTTTTCCTTCATTCTGTTAATGCAGTATATTACAATTATTGATTTGCATATGTCAAACTATCTTTGCATCCCAAAGATAAATCCCACTTGATTATGGTGAATGGTCTTTTTAATGTGCTATTGAATTTGGTTTGCTCATATTTTGTGGAAGATTTTTGCATCTTTGTTCATTAGGCATATAGGCCTGTAATTGTCTTTTCTTGCTGTGTCGTTGTCTGGCTTTGGTGTCAGGGTAATGTTGGCTTGTAAAATGAGTTCAGAAGAATTCCTCCTCTTCAATTTTTTTGGAAGAGCTTGAGAAAACTGGTATTAATTCTTCTTTAAATGTTTGGTAGAATTTAGCCTTGAAGCAATCCCTGAGTTTTTCTTTGATGGAATATTTTTATTTCTGGTTCAATCTCCTTACTCATTATTGATCTGTTCAGATTTTCTATTTCTTCATGATTCAGTCTTAGTATGTTATATGTTTCCAGGAATTTACCCATTTCTTCTAGGTTATCGAATTTGCTGCTGTGTAATTATTCATAGTAGTCCCTTATGATTCTGTGTATTTCTGTGGTATCAGTTGTAATGTTCCCTCTTTCACTTCTAATTTTACTTATTTTTCTTTGTTAATCTAGCTAAAGTTTTGTCAATTTTGTTTATGTTTTTGAAAACCAATTATTCACTTTGTTTATCTATTGTTTTCTAGTCTCTATTTCATTTATTTCTGCTCTGATCTTTGTTATTTCCTTTGTTCTTCTAATTTTGGGTTTAATTTTTACTTTTTTCTTGTTTACTGAGGTATGACATTAAGTTGTTTATTTGAGATGCTTCTTTTTTAATGTAGGCATGTATTGCTGTAAACTTTCCTCTTAGAAACTGCTTTTGCTGCATCCTATAAGTCTCAGAATGTTGTGTTTCCATCTTCATTTGTCTCAAGATATTTTTAAATTTTCCTTTACATTTCTTCTTTGACCCATTGGTTGATTGTTCAGGAGCATGTCATTTAATTTCCACATATTTGTGAATTGTCCAGAATTCCTCCTGTTATTAATTTTTATCATACCATTGTGGTTAGAAAAGATACTTGATATTATTTCAATCTTCTTAAATTTGTTGAGACTTGTTTTGTGGCCTAACATATGATCTATCCTGGAGAATGTCTCAAGTGCACTTGAGAAGAATGTGTATCCTGCTTCTGTTGGTTGGAAAGAAACACAAAAATAAATCAATTTAGAGGAAGTGAAGATTTTGTAAGAGAAAAGAGCATATGTACAATCATGTGCTGTATAACTACGTTTGGGTCAGTAACAGGCTGCATATATCATGATGGTCCCGTAGGATTATAATGCCTGTGTATTTTTTTACTGTAACTTTTCTATGTATAAATATGTTTAAATACACAAATACCATTATGTTACCATTATGTTACAATTGCCTACAGTACTCAGTACAATAATATGCTGTACAGATTTGTAGCCTAGGTGTAATAGGCTGTACCATATAGCCTAGGTGTATAGTAATCTACACTATCTAGGTTTGTGTAAGTACACTCTACGATGTTTTCACAACAATGAAATCACCTACCCATCCATTTCTCAGATATATCCCTGCTGTTAAGTGACACATGACTGTATATGTACATTCCAGTCCTATGTCAATATCTTTAGGGAGAAGACATTGCAATCATGAAACAACGTCAGGACGGTTTATTAAAAAGAAATAGTCATAGAGAAAAAAGAGCTCTTAGAAATTAAAAATATGAGAATCAAACTAAAAAACTCTACAGAGGGATTGAAAGGTAAAATTGAAGAAATCTTTCAGCAAATAGAGCAAAAAGATAAGGAGATGGAAAATAGAAGGAAAAAAGAAAAAATAGTTTAAGAAGTCAAATATGCAAACAATAGGTGACACAGATAAAGGGAATAGATAAAATCAGGGAAGAAAATCAACACATAAATTATTTAAGAAAACTTTCCAGAATTGAAAGACATGAGTTACCACACTGAAAGAACCACAGAGTGCCCAACCCAATGAATAAAAACATACCAATATCACTGTAAATTATTATGAAACTTTAGAATGCTGGGGACAAAGATAAGATACAACAGGGTTTCAGAGAGAAAATACACTTACAAAGAAACAGGAGTTAGAATTTTATCATACTTTGCAGTTGCAATGTTGGAAGTTAGAACTACGGAGCAATACCTTCAAAATTCTGAGCAAAAACAATCTACAACCTGAAATTCTATACTCAGACAAACCATCAGTAAAATGGGATAGAATAAGAACATTCTCAGACATGCATGATTTCAAAAAATGTACTTTCTATCCATCCTTTCTTAAGAAGTTTCTGTAAGGTGTGCTCCATCATAACAGGGGATTAAGCCAAAAAGAAAAGGACATGGGGTACAGGAAAGAGAAGATCCAACACAGTATAAAGGCCAAAGATATGCCCAGGATGATATGGAAGGGTGAGCCAGGACAGCAGTTATAATACCAGACCATATAGGAACAGGCCAGAAGGCTCCAGGAGATTCTCTGAGATGAAATTGACTGACCATCAATACGTTTGAACATACGGGCAGGAGATTGGGACAACTGGTGAAGAGTTTGAAGTTACTTTAATGTAAGTATATAGAAAACCAAGCAAGCAAAAAGACCAAAAATAATTATTAACTCTAGGGAAAATAAAAGGTTGTTCAGGAAAGGAAAAATGTTTACAACATGGTTCAGCTGTGGAAACCACTAACATAGTTATAAAAATGTAACCTCTGAATAGTGATTCAACCAAAATTATAACTGCAATGGAAGGATGGGGAAACTGAAAAAGTGTGTGGTGGTTGGTGGGGAGGAGGAATGAAAGAGAACTAAATTCTCTGTCTTCCATCATGGTAGGAAATCAATAAATAATGCCTAAAAATGAAAACCCCAAAAGTAGCAATACAAGCATGTATGGACGGTCAGTCATTTCAGCTGAAAATCATTGCTTCTGGGAAAGGGAAAGTGAAGGTGGGGAAGCTGATAATTTTTGTAACAAACCTGGTGAAATAGTTTAATTTAATAAAATACACATGAGTAACTTTGACATAAACATTTAAAAAATTTTAAATAGTGTAGATGATCCTCCCTGCCATTCCACTTATAAGGCTGTTTATGCCCAAGGGTAAGAGTGAGACCAGGGAAACAGCTCTGCTTACCACCCAACCCCCACCTTCATTGCTTCAGCTCCTGCAAGTCTCTCATGTCAGGATTGTCAAAGGTGATGTTGACAACACCTGATTTTGCCCTACATGCTGACTTTAGAACCTAATGCCTGATTAAGAGATGCCTACTCTATATGAGAGGGGCTTCCTGCCTTCAAAGAGAGGTTATTCTATAACAACCTCTCTAGTTCCTTCCAACTCCTAGACAGGGCATAAAAATATGCAAAACCAACTGGAGTTATACAGACTCCTGCCCAAGGGCCTATGGGGTTGATGAATGACTGGTGTGGCTGGAGCCAAGGAGAGGTCACGGAAGGCACTATGGAGGAAGCTGTCAGCTCTGTCAACATATTCTGCTTCTTAAAACTGTGCACCAGAGTGGGAGGAGGGAAAGGATCAGGAAAAATAACTAATAGGTACTAGGCTTAATATCTGAGTGATGAAATAATCTGTACAACAAACCCCCATGACAGAAGTTTACCTGTATAACAAACCTGCACATGTACCCCTGGACTTAAAAGTTAAAAAAAGAAAAAGAAAAGCTAGTATTAGAAAAAACTGCACCAGCCATCCTATTGTTGTATTAACTTAAAGCATGTCTGAATTGAGGTTTTTTAAAATTTTCCTTGTTTTCCATGTAGTTGAGCACACAAAGTCACAGCTGAAGAAATTATGTTTTCAGCATCCAGTACTGAGGCATTGTATTAGGCTGTTCTTGTGTTGCTATAAAGAAATATTTGAGGCTGGGTAACTTATAAAGAAAAAAGGTTTAATTGGCTCACAGTTCTGCAGGCTGTACAAGCACAGCTCCAGCATCCTCCATCTATGGCCTCAGGAAGCTTACAATCATGGTGGAAGGGAAGGGAAGCCAGCATGTCACATGGTGAGAGTGGGAGCAAGAGAGGGGAGGTGCCACACTCTTCTAAACCACCAGATCTTGTGTAAACTACCAGAGTGAGAACTCACTCATAACCAAGGGCAGAGCTTCTAAGCCATTCTTGAGAGATCCGCCCCCATGATCCAAACACCTCCCACCAGGCTCCACCTCCAACATTGAAAATCACATTTCAACCTGAGATTTGAAGGGGACAAACATCCAAACCATATCAGGCATTATATAATAAAAGAAGTCTGTGTCTGCTGTCCAGCTGAAATGCCTCATAATAAGGAGAGGGGTTCCAACAGTCATCAAAGATGCCAAATTGCAAGCAGCAAGTGGATAAGTAATAGGACTCAGGCTTTTTGATTTCCTTGGCTATATCTTTAATTCGACTTCCACCTGTCTCACTGTTGGCTACCAGTGGGACTACCAGAAATCACAGGAGTGCAGCATCTGTGGCAAGGCAGAAGCAAACAAGAGATGAAGGGGATGTAAGTCTTGAAGCAGTAGTTGGTTCTTTGGCAAAACAAGTATCTTGTGATAACTTCATTCCAAGCATTAACATATCTTGTGCCAAAAAATGTAAAATGCCAAAGTGAAAGAAAAGCACTAGACTTCTTAAGGGTCTCATCCAAGAACCCTCTTAAACCTCATTCAAATGCAGTTGTTTCCCTTATCAACTCCAAATGTGTTCAGTGTTCCTCCCTACCCATGGAGGAGTGCTCAGGTTTCTTTCAGGCTGTGATCCAAGCTTGCAAAGAGCCAGTGTCGGGCATGCTGACTTAGAATACCCCATTCTCTGGTCTAGCCACCCCCATGAGATGGCATTTTTGCATGAACAACATGAGGATCCAATGGCTTTCTTCGGGGGGCATTTCAACAAGGCTACAGTTGTGGTAGGAGACACTGTGCATTCAAGTTAATGAAATCTCTCCATCATGCCTTAAGGAAGATAATATATCTGCCCGAGGCATTGTGTAGGTGTGTTAGTACAGATTCTCTGGGAAACAGACTCAGGGGGTGGAGATAGGAGTGTAAGAGATTTATTGGGAAGTGAAGTCTGTGAAAGATAAAAGGGGAGAGAGTAGCATGGGGCATAGAAAGTCTTCAGACTGTGATGAATGTCTGATATCTGAAATGCAAGGGAAGAGGAAACAAAATGGGGCCAGGAAAACCTCAGCTCAACCCAATGGAAACCCTAGAACACAGATGGTCACTAGAAGAGTTCCACATTGGGCAGAAATGGACACACCCTAGTGCCCCCACCAAGCTCAGTCATTGCCTGGGAGCTGCAGCAGAGCGTGGAATCAGTTCCAATGCCCAGGATGCAATCTGAAGGCACTGCCGATGGAGGCTGTTCACTAACTGCACTTTGTACAGCTGAGCATCAGATTCTTTTTTTTTTTTTAATATAGAAATGGGGTCTCAGTATGTTGCCCAGGGTGGTCTCAAACTCCTGGGCTCAAGCGATCATCAGCAACTGTTATATAATGTTCTATTATGTCTCAGGCTCTAAGCTTGATCTATATCCACAAAGAGTTCACAGTTTAAAAATCAAGTAATTAAAACAATACATGATAAGAACTAACAGAAATGCATGTGAATTATTGCAGAAGCTCAGGGGAAGGAAGGAGAAAAATATGAAATGATTTAAGCATTTGTTTTACCCTTGAGAAAGGACCCTGTCAATCTACTGCATATAACACCAACTCTAGTATGTGTGTTGCTCAACTGAGCTTCCAAAGTGGTTTGGTATAGTTAGGCAGCTGATTATTAGTAACTTTCTCTGGAGCAGAAAGTTGAAAAGGAGGTCAAGGTCTCAGTTTCTAAGTTTAGACCACACTGGGATTCAAACCAGTCCATTTTTAGAAAATGAAGCACTTACCCCACCTCAATCAAACTGGACTTCAACTCCAAGTGGAGAATGTCAGGCAGATTTCAGCTATGGAAATGGAAAGGTTATGAGCTCCTAGATAATTTTGCTACTCAAAAAGCTAGGAGATGGCTTTTTCCCATTGGGATTTCTTTTGGTAGCATAGACTTGATGCCCAGGAGTGTAAATGATGATCAAAGACTTCAGGTGTTCAACCAACCCCTGATGTGCATGGCTCTAGGGTAAGGATCTATGGCAGATATTGGGGAACGGAGTAGGGTGCAAAACACGGCCCCTACCATGTTAAGGAGCAGATAGTAGTAGGTTTTGAAAATTCTGCTAGCTCCCATGGAGCTCTCCTTGGTTCTATGACTGTCTTCAGTCTTTTCTGATATCTCTGATCATGACAACCTCAGACTGTTTGAGTCTGCATCTTGCCTGGGCCTTGACTATTACCCTGAGCCCTACTGCCTCCAGACTACCTAACTGTTCAGAGTTTCTAGCTTGTTACTGCTATGACCCTCATTGGCTTAAGACTGTATTGCCTTAAGACTACCTGAAGTCATTATGCCCACGTGACCTAAGGGGTGGAAGTCCCATTATCCTCACAGGTGTAGAATGGGATCAGATCAAGTCCTCATACCATCCATATTAATGTGTAATTATCTACAGTGGCTCAGAAATCAGTGGCATTCTCTGAACACCTGTCATGCATGTCTTGAGATGTTTTTATAATTACAGGGAAAGTAGGTCCATCCTATGTAAATTAATAGAAAACCAACTTCCAAGTGCACAATGACTTACAGTCTTAATGCAGAAAAAAATACTGCATCTTAATGCAGAACAAAATATTCAAAAATGTATTATAGTTCATTGTCAAAGCTTACCCTTTGTTTCCCTGTTCTGAGAGGGGTAATAGGAATTCTGTTATGTTTTCTTTATTCTTTTCCTTTTCAGCCCATGGTTTTTATATTTTAGCTACAAATCATCCCATTGGTAAAAGAGGCTCTATTATGAACCACATGCTTCGTCAAAAGTAAACCTCACATTCTTTTCTAATTGTTGCACCCTGACAGGGCGGGGAAGATAGTTTTGTTTTCATAGTGAAGTCACAGATATAAATCTCCCAGGGATTAAGGCCCTTGCAGCAATCCAGCATGCTCACATCATCATGAGGGGTGCTTCAGGTTCATTTCTTTCTGGGAAGGAGAGACAGAGAGAGAGAGAAAGATGGGGTGTGGAGAGATTTCTTTTAGAAGAGTCAAATTCTGGAGGAGAGCAGAACATTTGTCAGCCCCCAGCTCAATGTTGACCACTCCACTGGGGGCCAAAAGTTACAGGTCTTAACCTAACCTTGCATCTAAACTAGGCAAACTTCTTCGATTTTTTTTTCTTTTGTTCTCCTTAGAATCTAATCATGGTATTTCCTCCTTCTCCCTCTCCCTGTCTCCTGTGCTTAATTTGTTTGGTTGTTTGTTTTAACCTGCAGTCTACAGTGATAGGGAAGAAAGAGCGCTGACCTTGGAGTTAGAAAGAGTCAGGTTCAAATCCTTTTTCCTCTGCTTTCTAGCTCTGTACTCTTTGGTGCTTGTGCTGAGCCTGTTTCAACAGCTGTTGCAGAGGAATCGTAATTTTACAAGATTATTGGGGGAACCAAATGACATAACATAAATAGGTGTCTGGCACAGAGGCCCTGAATAAAATCCACCAGTTTCCGCTGCCCTGACTAAATGGTCTCCTGAAACAGGACTCACAACCAGCAGTCCACTCCAAGAGCTCACCTCCCCAGAGCGAGGATAGTTGATTTGGAAACAGAAGTCAGCTGCCATGATCAGCTATGAAGGTCCAAGCTTAAGATGAAAACTCCTCAGCTTGATTGCAAAAATCAGCCACCATGTACCTCTCAACTGAATCCAAGCTGAAGGCTTCTGCAGAAGTGAAAGAATCCATTTGTTCTTCCCTTGCTCCTCTCCCTGTATTTGCAGGGCCTGACATTGTCCCAGGGAAATTAAATTAGGAAAATCAGTTTACATGAGTGATTACTTTTCTCAAAATATTTTCCTTTAGCCTACTGAACCACCATACTCTCTCTATCCCTATTCCTCCCTCCCTCTACACTTCAGCCTCTTCACTTCCTGCCAAAATCATTGTTGCTAAAAACAATCACGTTTAAAATGGCCTAAAGGATTCTTAAATGAGATGAACTGCTTGCATCATTCAAACGAAGACTAGAAATCCCAAGAACACCCTTTGCGGTGATGAATCATGTGGAAACTCCTCAGCCTGTGGTTCCAGGGCTCCCTCATTTGGCCCTCACTCAGTTTCCATCTTCAGATTTAGCTGGGTTCTGGAGTGAACCTTGTCCCAAGGAGGTTGGCCTCCCCAGCTCTCCCTCCTTGCCCTTACTCCTCCCTCTCAGGCCCAGTTTGAATTTCTCCTCTTTGACTTTCCACATAAAATTCCCACCCATCCCTCCAGGCCCATCACAAGCTCTCTCCACCGCCCCACCTTCCGGCGGCACATACACGCTTCAGATTCAGAGGGGTTTAGGTTCAAACCCCCTCTCTGCTACTTATTAGTTAATGAAACTTTGAGCAACTCACTCACACTTTCCTTGTCTCAGATTTCACATCTGCAAAGTGGGGATAACAACACCTCACCGTGTTGTTGGAAAGATTAAATGAGAGACTGTAGAGCACAGAGGCTGTAAGTAGTAATCAATAAATAAGGGCCATTATTATTATCCTCTCAAAATATCTGCCACACCTCTAACTTATTTGTCAGCTAATGGCAGTGCTCCACCACTTGGCCATAATAATATTTTGTTCATGACCAACTGTGGAGATTTTGTGAAAACTTTTATCTTGGAAGAATTTCTCATTGAGGAATATGTAAACCTTATGAGAAAAATTGGATTAGGAAAGCTGAGGTCACGCATAAATCTATAAAATTCATGGCAAATAAGATTATATTCATTAAAGTCAGTAAAGGCAGAATATTAAACAATGAGACTATAGTAATATTTTATGCATATCGAGTTAGTGATGATTGATTTCCATTCACCGTTTCCTGCTTACCAGAAACTTTTCTGGGACTCTTTGGCTATGCAGTGTTAAAATGATGCCTATATATTCAGTTTGTTCTGTAACAGATAATGCCGACTTGAAGAGGCACCCTGTCTGTGCCTGTTTCTCCACCCAAACATTTCATGCATTTTTGACTTGATGGTTTGGAGCTATTGATTCCAGGTATGCCTTCCAATTATTCTTCCCCCAGTCTGTTTTACACCATCTCAGCACCCTTGAAGAAACTGACCCATGCCTGCCTACTGACCATGGGGGACCAGAATTATCCTTCCTCCCTTCCATCTTTCTTTTCCCTGCTTCCTCAAACAAAGAGCACCCAGTGTTTGGAGGAAGAGTGAAGCCAGTTTTCACTGAAGGGCTTCTGTCTTGTTCTCAAAGCTTACCCAACCAAAGAGAGGAAATCAAGCATTGTGGGCCCACTCTAGTTCCTCTTTCCTTTACAATGCACAAAAGGTGAGACCTCACTGCCCAGGCCCTTTAGGGTGTTCCTTGAGGACATGCCCTTTCTTCTTCACCCACCCTTCTTTCTCTTCCCCTCCTTCCACCCTCTGCCTTTTTCCCCATGTCCCCCTTTGCCATTTTAATGCCTCTACTTTCCCCATTTTTTTCCAGGGAACATTTTCCTTCCTATAAAAATAATTTGACTCCAGGCCCTAAGATTCTTCTAGTGATTGGGCAGTTTTGGCTGTGTCAGGCATTCTCAGGATGCCTCTGGCTTTCCTCCCCACTGACTGCAGACTCCTGGGAGGAGAGGGAGAAGAGGGGTCTAGGCTTCTCAATGGGGAAAAGGTATGGGAACTTCTTCTCTTAACTGAGATTTCTTCTCCCAAATTCCTGAAATTAAACACACCTCACCTTAGGGATTTGTTTATCTTCAAAGACTCCCAGTTGGGTTCAATTTTTTATACTTCTAGTAACATAACATAGCTGTTTCTCATGAGAACCTATGGCCCTGACATTGTGCCATTACAAAGGTTTCTTTTAAAAGGTGAACATACAAGGTGCCATGCTTAGATTGCTTCTCCCTAAACAGTAGGTTTTTACAAATATTTTTTCTATATCCTCTATTTTTTTCTATAACTACAGAGGTACAGAAAGGTGGCAAGGGGGAAAAAAGCCTCAGTTTACCCTGCTATGCTTACAACCCTAACAAACCTAACTACTACATTCCCTATTAGAAGCTAAATCTTGGAACTGCTCAAAAGAAACATGGAAATGAAAGTGAATTCATATAGGCCAAGATATCTCATTAGGGAAGAAAAAAGGCTATTGATAATGTAATAATCTCTATTTTTTTTATTTTTATTTATTTTATTTTTTTTTTTTTTGGAGCTGGAGTTGTGTTCTTGTCATCCAGGCTGGAGTGCAATGGTGCAATCTTGGCTCACTGCAACCTCCGCCTCCTGGGTTCAAGCGATTCTCCTGCCTCAGCCTCCTGAGTAGCTGGGATTACAAGCACTGCCACCATGCCCAGCTAATTTTTGTATTTTTAGTAGAGACGGGGTTTCGCCACATTGGCCAGGCTAGTCTCAAACTCCTGATCTCAGGTGATCCACCCACCTTGGCCTCCCAAAGTGCTGGGATTACAGGTGTGAGCCACCGCTCCTGGCCTCTAATTTTATTTATCTAACAAAGGATACTTTACTGTATTAGGATACTTGGCTATTGAATATAATGCTGTCCTATTCCATATATATTTCCCAAATATCTATTTGTGTGTATGTGTGTGTGTGTGTGTGTGTGTGTGTGTGTCTGTGTGTATCTCCATATAAAATTGTTCTATATATATTTTCCTTCTACTCCTAGATGACAAAGTTCTTATGGGCAGGGACCAGATCTTACATTTCTTTTGTACCTCCATGGGCCACTTCCCTTCAAAAAAGTATTTTTTGAGAGCGGATTCTGCACCAGTGGATTGGAGAGGTGTCTCTGAGCTCTGTTATCCTGACCATAGCTGCTTGAACCAGGGGTCAGCACCCAACCCCCAAACAGCCATCTATAGGTTGGCCAGCATCAAAGAAAAGTTGGCTTCATGAGACAGCTTTGCCCCCACCTGGGTGGTGATAGATCAAAAGATCAGCTTGTTTCTTAAAGAGAGTTTAAACAATAGATACAGGATCTTGTCATTAAGTGTTTTCTGATATAAAAATACTCCCTTGGGTAATTGGTGGCAGCAGGGGAGAGAGAAATTGACTCACAAAAACAGACATGTCTGAGGGAATAGCCACTGATGTTGCTGAGTTACTGACCTTTCTGCCCAATGACCAAAACTAACACTGTTTGCTAAAGGATGTTCCAGTGGCCACAAGGCTTAGCAGGGCAGCTGCTGGGACAGTTTTGCCAATTCCTGTCTTTCTCATGTGTCATTATATTGAACATCCTTTATTGGAGTTGATTGGGATGTTTCTGTTTCTTGTATTCCGAAGGAACTAACTGACAGGGTGCCCAGTGCTAGGAGATATAGAAGAGCTTGTGGTCTCTATTCAAAGAGACGGATTTGTGAGTGGAAATGTCATTAAGTGGAATGTTTTAATTTTCTGTGGCTGCTGTAGTAAATTACCACAAACTTGGTGACTAAACCAGTGCAAATTTATTCTCTTACAGTTTTGGAGGTCAGAAATCTCAGAGCAGTTTCACTGGGCTAAAGTCAAAGTGTTAGCAGGGCTGATTTACTCTGGAGGTTCTAGAGGAGAATCCATTTCCTTGCCTTTTCTAGCTTCTGAAGTTTGCCTGCCTTCCTTGGCCTGTGACCTTTTCCCTGCATCACTCCAACCTTCTGTTTCCATCATCACATCTTCTACTTCCGTGTGACATGGGCTTCTCCTGTGTTCCTCTTATAAGGACCACTATGATGACATTGGGCCCACTAGGATAATCCAGAAGAATCTTCCCAGGTCAATCAATATCCTTAACTTGGTTGCATCTACACAGCCCCCTTTGCCACATCAGGTAACATTGACAGGTTCTGGGGATAAGAACATGGACATCTTGGTGGATATTATTCAGCTTATTTCAGGGAGCACATCCTGTGAATGATATAAACAGAGGTCTGTGGAGTCTCCACGAGGGGCAACTGGACCAGGGGAGAGAAGGTCAAACACATAAAAAGGTTCTCAATGAAGCCTCTCTTAATCATAAAAAAGTTTTCCTCTCCCCCTACTCTCTAATCTGTCTATCATCTTAGGATTCCAAGAGAGATATGAGTGTAAAGATCTGCCAAATACATCACTCAGTGTTCCCCATCCCATCCTGATCAAAGTTAATGAACTTGCCCCTTTCTCAAAATAGAACTTGGGAAATTGTCCCACTAGTCCACTTCCCCCAAACAAGGGAGTGCAATGATGTAGAACTGGAGTCATAGATGGGAGTAAGATTGCTTTGCTCAGAGATGACAGGAGTTGAGATGGGCAGAGACACAAGGTGGTGTTTCTTCGACAAACTCCCAGGTGTGCGGGTTCCTGACTGTGAGTGAAGGACTGTGATTTGAATAAGGGCTGGGGTGTGTATCTGAAGAAAATGGTGAGGCATTTATCACTTAGATTTGGGGGAGGAGATTAAAATACAATAACTAGATAGTCATTAAAAATTATTCCAGACACCCAAAAATTGATATGGGGGAGTTCTATTAGGAAAACAGGCTTCATTTACTGGAAAATGGGGAGGTTAATTAAGAAGTAAGAGTGTTTATAAGTAGGATGTTCAGAGGAAGTGCTGATGTTGTCCTTGTCATTAAATGTTTTCTGATATAAAAATACTCCCTTGGTACTTACGAAGAAGGCTGATTTTCATTATTAGACATTCACTTATTCATTGTAAAATAAAAGCGTGTGTGTATGTGTGTGTGCATGCATATGTATTTCCAATCAAAAGTCAGGAGCGCGGACTATATTATATAGAACCCAGAGATTCAAAGGCCTGATTATGAATGGATAGTTACACGGATAGATTAATGATGGATGGATGGAAGAAGTGTGGTTCATCTGTCATGACTGGTGCCTCTAGCTCTAAGATGTCTGACTTTGAATCCAGAGGAAGAAGTGGGATCACTGGGGTTAGGGGAGTATCCTTTAAAAGTTTTGCAAAAAACATTTGCAGTCACTTTTGGTTTATCTCTGCCGGTTGGATTTAGTTTTCCTGAAGCCCCTTGGGGCAGGGCCATCTATGACTTATGCTCCGGGCAATGGAATGTGGCTTTTTCTTCCCTTTCACCCAGGAGCTCTCAAGCTGCCTCTTTGCTTCCTTCTCTACCTATCTGCATGGATTTTAAGCTTATCTGGATACTCATTGTGAATACTCATGAGGGCTAATTTCACTGCATTGCTCCACAAAAGAGTTCCTGGATTCCATATTCTGGAATAATTTAGCAGACTTCAGGATGAATCAAAAGAAGCCAGTCACAGAAAAATGTCCATCAACCTTTTAGTTTAATCATCCCTTATGCCTTAAGGGTATGTTGTAACACAGCTGGCCTAGACAGCCTCTCTCCTGCTCCCCTGGCTCTACGGGTTTTCCTCTGGCCCAGCCCACCTGTCCAGGCTCACCTCTTGCCCCATTCCCACTTTGCAGCCTACATTGAAGCCAAATCAAACTATTCACAGCTGCCCTGGCGCTCTGGACTATGTCAAGTACCCTTGACTTTGCTCATGTAGCTGGAGGGTTCTTTCCTCTTCCTCCACATCTCCCCATGTTCCCTTCTCTTTCCCCATCAATCTTTAAAGACTCACAAATCCAAAATATTCTACTCTAAAAAAGCTTTCATTGACAGTTTTCCTCCACCTCCACCCATTACCAAGTACTTTCTCCTATACATACTTCTATTACAGCAATGATAATACTGCAAATACATTCACAAGAAGGAAAAAAAAATCTCAAGCCAATTAGCAAGTGACTAGAGTCTGAGGGAAGTCCACAGTGGAGATGAGTAAGAGGCCTTGTAATGCAGAAGAGCCAAACAGGGATTAAGGGATAATGCTGTAAAAAAGCAAAATAAATAACCAGGGCAGGCTCTGTTGAATCTTACAGAGATGGCCTTCTAGGTTAAACATTTTTTGAAGTACAGACATGCAATGCTTAACAAGGAGGATATGTTCTGAGAAATGCATTGTTAGATGATTTAATCATTGTGTAAACACCATAGAGGGTACTTGCATGTACTGAATGTACTGAATACTGTAGGCAGTTGTAATGCAATGATAAGCATTCATATATCTAAACATGGAAAAGTACAGTAAAAATACAGTATTTTTTACTGGGACAACCTTCCAATATGCAGTCTTTTGTTGACCAAAATGGTGTTATGTGGCTAATGAATGCCCACTTAACTGGAAAATACAAATATTCCAGGACTGAAAAAACTATGTCTCTGAGAACCTCTTTCCCTCCTCTACCATATATAGGTCCTCAGGGATGCACTCAGAGCTTTGGCTAAGGAAAGGGGTGCTTACCAGGGTGGCCACATGCATCCTGGACATCAAAGGGATGACATTGGTCACAGCCAGTTGCCTCGTTCCCAAAGATTCCAGAAGGACATTGGCATTGTGGCAAAAGAGCAGCAATGCCAGTGTTCCCACTGGGCATGTCAAGTTGATTTAGAATTAGGCTGAGGAAAGGGGACACTTCGGCCTAGTCCAGGAGACCATGGGGTGTTATTTCCTAGCTTGTTCTTAATTTCTCAGCTGAAGGTAGTGTAATAGACACTGATTATTTGTGGCCACCTAATATCTCTGAACTCCCTCCTCTTTTTCTTTTGTGTAACAGCTTTATTGAGATGTAATTCACATACCACACAATTCACCCATATAAAGTGTACAATGCAATGGCTTTTAGTATATTCACAAAATTTTGCAACCATTACATCAATCAATATTTTCATTATCCCAAAAGGAAATCTTTTTTTTTTATTACACTTTAAGTTTTAGGGTACATGGGCACAATGTGCAGGTTTGTTACATATGTATACATGTGCCATGCTGGTGTGCTGCACCCATTAACTCGTCATTTAACATTAGGTGTATCTCCTAATGCTATCCTTCCTCCTTCCCCTGACCCCACAACAGGCCCCGGATTGTGATGTTCCCCTTCCTGTGTCCATGTATTCTCATTGTTCAATTCCCACCTATGAGTGAGAACATGCGGTGTTTGGTTTTTTGTCCTTGCAATAGTTTGCTGAGAATCATGGTTTCCAGTTTCATCCATGTCCCTACAAAGGACATGAACTCATCAGTTTTTATGGCTGCATAGTATTCCATGGTGTATATGTGCCACATTTTCTTAATCCAGTCTATCGTTGTTGGACATTTGGGTTGGTTCCAAGTCTTTGCTATTGTGAATAGTGCCGCAATAAACATACGTGTGCATGTGTCTTTATAGCAGCATGATTTATAATCCTTTGGGTATATACCCAGTAATGGGATGGCTGGGCGAAATGGTATTTCTAGTTCTAGATCCCTGAGGAATCAACCACACTGACTTCCACAATGGTTGAACTAGTTTACAGTCCCACCAACAATGTAAAAGTGTTCTTATTTCTCCACATCCTCTCCAGCACCTGTTGTTTCCTGACTTTTTAATGATCGCCATTCTAACTGGTGTGAGATGGTGTCTCATTGTGGTTTTGATTTGCATTTCTCTGATGGCCAGTGATGATGAGCATTTTTTCATGTGTCTTTTGGTTGCATAAATGTCTTCTTTTGAGAAGTATCTGTTCATGTCCTTTGCCCACTTTTTGATGGGGTTGTTTGTTTTTTCTTGTAAATTTGTTTGAGTTCATTGTAGATTCTCGGTGTTAGCCCTTTGTCAGATGAGTAGGTGGCGAAAATTTTCTCCGATTTGGTAGGTTGCCTGTTCACCCTGATGGTGGTTTCTTTTGCTGTGCAGAAGGTCTTTAGTTTAATTAGATCCCGTTTGTCAATTTTGGCTTTTGTTGCCATTGCTTTTGGTGTTTTAGACACGAAGTCCTTGCCCATGCCTATGTCCTGAATGGTATTGCCTAGGTTTTCTTCTAGGGTTATTATGGTTTTAGGTCTAACATGTAAGTCTTTAATCCATCTTGAATTAATTTTTGTATAAGGTGTAAGGAAGGGATCCAGTTTCAGCTTTCTACATATGGCTAGCCAGTTTTCCCAGCACCATTTATTAAATAGGGAATCTTTTCCCCATTGCTTGTTTTTCTCAGGTTTGTCAAAGATCAGATGGTTGTAGATATGCGGCATCATTTCTGAGGGCTCTGTTCTGTTCCATTGATCTATATCTCTGGTTTGGTACCAGTACCATGCTGTTTTGGTTACTGTAGCCTTGTAGTATAATTTGAAGTCAGGCAGCGTGGTGCCTCCAGCTTTGTTCTTTTGGCTTAGGATTGACTTGGTGACACAGGCTCTTTTTTGCTTCCATACGAACTTTAAAGTAGTTTCTTCCAATTCTGTGAAGAAAGTCATTGGTAGCTTGATGGGGATGGCATTGAATCTATAAATTACCTTGGGCAGTATGGCCATTTTCACGATATTGATTCTTCCTACCCATGAGCATGGAATGTTCTTCCATTTGTTTGTGTCCTCTTTTATTTCATTGAGCAGTGGTTTGTAGTTCTCCTCGAAGAGGTCCTTCACATCCCTTGTAAGTTGGATTCCCGGGTATTTTATTCTCTTTGAAGCAATTGTGAATGGGAGTTCCCTCATGATTTGGCTCTCTGTTTGTCTGTTATTGGTGTATAAGAATGCTTGTGATTTTTGTACATTGATTTTGTATCCTGAGATTTTGCTGAAGTTGCTTATCAGCTTAAGGAGATTTTGTGCTGAGACGATGGGGTTTTCTAAATATACAATCATGTCATCTGCAAACAGGGACAATTTGACTTCCTCTTTTCCTAATTGAATACCCTTTATTTCCTTCTCCTGCCTAATTTCCCTGGCCAGAACTTCCAACACTATGTTGAATAGGAGCGGTGAGAGAGGGCATCCCTGTCTTGTGCCAGTTTTCAAAGGGAATGCTTCCAGTTTTTGCCCCCAAAAGGAAATCTTGGACCCATTAACCATCATCTCCCAAACCTCCCACCACTGTCCAGCCCTAGGCAACTGATGTGGTTTGGCTGTGTCCCCACCCAAATCTCATCTTGACTTCCAACATGCTGTGGGAGGGACCCGGTGGGAGGTGACTGAATCATGGGGGCAGGTGTTTCCCATGCTGTTCTCATGATAGTGAATAAGTCTCATGAGAACTGATGGTTTTAAAAATGGGAGTTTCTCTGCACAAGCTCTCTCTTTTTGCCTGCTGTCATCCACATAAGATGTGACTTGCTCCTCCTTGCCTTCCATCATGATTGTGAGGCCTCCCCAGCTACGTGGAACTGAGTCCAATTAAACTTCTTTCTTTTGTAAATGGCCCAGTCTCAGGTATGTCTTTGTCAGCAGCGTGAAAATGGACTAATACGACAACCATCTGTTCATTAATCTTCTGTCTCTATATGTTTTCCTATTATAGACTGTTAAAGGCTGAATTGTGTCCCCCTGATATTCATATGTTGTGGTTCTATTTGTATTTGAAGACAGGGTCTTGAAAGAGGTAATTAAGTAATAATGAGGTCACCAAAGTGGGCTCTAATCCAATACAATTGGTTCCTTAAAAGAAGAGATTATGGCACAGGCACAGAGAGAAGACCATGTGAAGACACAGGGAGAAGATGGGATCCCCAAGCCACGAAGAGCAGCTTCAGAATGAAACCAACCCTGCTGGTGTCTTGATCTCAGATTTCTAGCCTCCAGAACTGTGAGAAAATCCGTGTCTGTTGTTTAAGCCATCAAGTCTATGGTACTTTGTTGTGGCAGCCCTAGAAAAAGAATACATTTCAAAGAAATGAAATCATACAATATCTGATCCATTGTGATGGGCTTCTTTTACCTACCATAATGTTTTCCAGGTTCACCTATATTGTAGCATACATCAGTACTTCATTCCTTTTATGACCAAATAATCTTCCGTTGTATAGATATACACATTTTGTTGATCCATTAGTTAGCTGAGGGACATTTGGATTGTTTACATTTTTTAGCTATTTTGCAGAATGTTGCTATGAATATTGATGTAAAAGATTTTGTGTGGACTTACATTTTCAATTCTCTTGACTATATATCTAGGAGTGCAATTGCTGGGTAACTCTATGCTTCACCTTTTGCAGAACTGCCAGATTGTTGTCCAAAGTGGCTGCACCATATTACATTTCCAGCAATTCATGAGAGTTCCACTTTTTCCACATCTTCACCAACACTTGCTGTTATCTGTCTTTTTTATTATAGCCATCCTAGTGGATTCATAATGGTATCTCAGTGCAGTTTTGATTTGCATTTCCCTAATGGCTAATGATGTTAAGCATCTTTCATGTGTTATTGACCATTTGTATATCTTTTTTGGAGAAATGTATATTCTGATCTTTTGCTTATTTTTAATTCAGTTATTTTTCTTTTCGTTATTGAGTTGTAAGATTCCTTTATAGGCAAGAAATGCAAGTCTCTTATCATATATATGATTTTCAAAGCTTTTCTCCATTCTGTGAGTTGTCTTTTCATTTTCTTGATGGTATTCTTTGAAGCATAAATGGTTTTAATTTTAATGATATCTTCTCTACCTTTTAGTAATATCCCATATGATAAGTTGCACCTTCCCAAGGTAGAAGCTAGAAATCTTCCACACCGAAACTCTTTTGTAGCTAGGGTAACCTAGATTCCACCAATCAGATCTACCCATGATAGTCTTAGATTTTGGAAATTAGCAACCCAAGGAATTGGCTGCATGGAGAGAAATTGATATGATGATGGAGGCCTCTAGATCTTCAAGATCAGAATAGGGAGAAGCTGCTGGTATCCATCCTGGTTTCCTCATTGATACAAAGCAATAGTGGCAAAGGAAAATTTGCTCAAGAAGCTCCTGTTGTGTGTCCACGATTGTTCCTGAATGGCTCAGAGCCTACTGTCTGCCCCTCCTTGATTTTCTGTGATCTACCTAATATTCTTGAATAAACCCCCTTCCTGATTAAACTAATCAGAATGGATTCTTTTGTTGGCAACTCAGAACCTTGACCATTAAATACCCAGTCTTATCAGAATAAGGGAATTCTAGGATTTCAGGAACTATAGACCTTGCTACTTCAGCAAAAGTAAACTGCTTTATGTCTTTTAAAAAGTGACCTAACCCTTATATGTTATCAAGTAGGCCCTGTTTTCCTACAACTGTACTTTTAAAAACTTTTCACAAGATACTTAAGAAAAATATAATCCTTAATATAAATTCAAAATAACCTGTCAAAGACTTTCAAACAGCGTAGTTTTCCTTGATGGTAGGTGATATGGGTTGGCTGTGTCCCCACCCAAATCTCATCTTGAATTCCCAGGTGTTGTGGGAGGGACCCGGTGGGAGGCAATTGAATCACAGAGGGCAGGTCTTTCCTGTGCTATTCTCCTGATAGTGAATAAGTCTCACGAGATCTGATGATTATATAAGGGAGAGTTTCCCTGCACAAGCTCTCTCTCTTTTTGCCTGCTGGCATCTATGTAAGATGTGACTTGCTCTTCTTTGCCTTCTGCCATGATTGTGAGGCCTCCCCAGCCACGTGGAACTGTAAGTCCAATTAAACCTCTTTTGTAA
Organism: Homo sapiens; assembly: GCF_000001405.40. Classification (NCBI taxonomy): domain Eukaryota; kingdom Metazoa; phylum Chordata; class Mammalia; order Primates; family Hominidae; genus Homo; species Homo sapiens. The sequence goes on from NC_000002.12 coordinate 37,808,736, forward strand.
ATTGCCCAATCTCAGGTATGTCTCTATCAGCAGCATGAAAACGGACTAATACAGTAGGTTTCCAGGAGTGAAGTGAATCTGCTTGGTTTATCAACACACTTAACTCACTTCATGATCAGTGGTCAGGATTTGCAGGTGGTTGCACAGATGAGCCCAGGTGTCGAAACAGAACACAGGTGCTGGCCACGTGGAGATTAGCTATGAGCATTGATATTTCTGGTTTTGTGCTTAAGTTGCTCCACAATAACCAACAAATGAGAACGACCTTTCCTCTGAAGGAGAATGAACAACAAATTGGGGAAAAGGAAAGATTACCATGCTTCCTTAAGAGTTGCTAAATCAATAGCAACTAGAATTAAGAATGAGAGATACTCTCTCCTTGATTCAGGGCCCCATCTGGATTCCTAAGCCAGTTCTATAGGCAAAGTTCTGAGAGTCACTTACAGTGAATTCATGACTTCTTAAAAGCTTATTTCAGCCTAGCTATACCGTTCCAAATTTACCAGATATTTTTCCAATACTGTGTTGAACTGATTAATTGGACTTACATAAGGGAAGCCACATTACTGGGCAATGGCATGTTCAAAAAAGCAAGACATTAAGGAGATTAAGAAAGATTTTTGCAAACTCAAGGCCACCAATGCTTATTCCAAACTTTAAATCTTTAGAGATCAAAAGTCCTGCTACAGGATAAAGCATACCAAAGCCATAGAGAAACGTTAGTTTTGGCAAGATGAGCAAAGAGAAGTGGAAAGAAAGGAAGCAAACAAAATACAAAGAGGAAATTCTACCTTGACTCTCTTCACAGAAGTTTTGTTTAAAAACAGCAAACAATCAGTCAGCAGTCTTTTCATATCATCAAAAAAATAACTAAAAGAAAGATACTTGGAATGAGCGACCCCTGCAGGCTCTGCTCTTTTCAACATGTGAAACTCTGAGGTTAAAAGGTTTTATGGAATTTAATCCCTTTGGAAGTTAAGAGAAGAGCCAGAGTCATGTTCTCAACTTCAGGAGTTGGCTGGCTGGTTGTTTCATTCTAGATAAGAAATCCACTCACCCTGCATAGATATGGATATTCCATTAGGTCAAACCCCATCCCTGGAATATAACAATTCAATCCAGTGGCCTTTAATAAAGGTACCAAGTCCAACACTCCAACAAGAGAGTTAAGAAGTCATTCAGCTGTGTTTGTCTAACAGAAATAGCAGAAATACAGTTCAAATCCTTTCCAAAAGTTGTCAATTTCATTGACTTTAAAAAATAAAACCCTATTGGTCTACAGAACAATAATGCTATTTGCAAAGTTTAATCCAGTATAAGAACATTTCTTCCTTCCCTAACACGTAAGTGCTCAGCAATGATAAACACATGGGGATAGAGTAGAAAACCTCCCCCTTTTCATGCCTCTCCACTTCAAATGTACTGGCCTCAGAACTAGTAAACTCAAATCCACAGTGAGAATTCTTTTTTCTAGCAGAACTCATGTGAGTAGGGTGAATAATGGAAAGTATGTTTCATAGTAAAAGCTCCACAAATCTGCCCTGTACAGCCAGTGTAAGCCCAACTGCAACATTTGGCCTGCACTCAAAGAAAGAACAAAATCCAACTGCAGCCCGTACTTGGGTACACCTGAATTTATGGCTCATTTCTCTGCTTGCTCCATGCTCCATGGGACTGATCTGAGTAAGTTTCATTTTCATTGAAAGAAACCCAACTCCAGGCCACAAAAATCAATAAGAGCCCTGTACTCAGTTTGGCTGCAAAGCTAGAAAACAAGGTGAGAAATGGTCCCTATGTTAATAAAAGGAAATAGAGTACATATACATACACTCATCCACATACAGACGATTGAACTCACTTCCAGATGGGCTGCCAGAGGAAGCTGATTGTACCCAAGCTGGCAGAGGGCACAGAAAGTGATTAGTTGTCAGAAACATAACAGTGAGGCCCTCTCTCCCTTGCCCAAAAATATGAAGAAAGACCAGCAACATTAATGTGAATGAGATCTGATTGTATCACTAAGGGCAGCAATTTCTATCTTTTGCTGAGGTCTGAGTGACTTGGTAGGTCATTCAAAAAAAAAAAATATATATATATATATATATATATATATATATATATATCTATCTGCCGGGCGCAGTGACTCACACCTGTAATCCCAGCACCTTGGGAGGCCGAGATGGGCGGATCACGAGGTCAGAAGATCGAGACCATCCTGGCTAACACAGTGAAACCCCGTCTCTACTAAAAAATACAAAAAATTATCCGGGCGTGGTGGCGGGCACCTGTAGTCCCAGCTACGTGGGAGGCTGAGGCAGGAGAATGGTGTGAACCCGGGAGGCCGGAGCTTGCAGTGAGCCGAGATCTCGCCACTGCACTCCAGCTTGGGCGACAGAGCGAGACTCCATCTCAAAAAGAAAAAATGTATATATATATATATATATATATTAGACTTCAGAGATACAAGTGCCATTTTGTTATGTGGATATGTTGCATGGTGGTGAAGTCTGGACTTCTGGAGTAACCAACATCTGAATAGTGTATATTGTATCCATTAAGTAATTTTTCATCCTTCACCTCCCTCTCACACTCCCACCCTTCCAAATCTCCAGTATCTGTTTTTCTACTCTCTATGTCCATGTGTACACATTATTTGGATCCCACTTATAAATGAGAACATGTGGTATTTGTCTTTCTGTGTCTTAATTGTTTCACTTAGGATAATGGCCTCCAGTTCCATCCATGTTGCTGCAAAAGACATGATTTCATTCTTTTTTATGGCTGAGTAGTATTCCATAGTGCATATATATATATATATATATACATATATATATATATATATATACACACACACATATCTGTATATCCCACATTTTCTACATCCAATCATCCATTGATGGACACTTAGGTTGATTCCATATCTTTGTTATTGTGAATAGTGCTGTGGTAAACATGCAAGTGCAGGTATTTTTTGGATATAATGATTTCTTTTCATATGGGTAGATACCCAGTACTGGGACTGCTAGATTGAATGGTTCTTTGAGAAATATCCGTACTGTTTTCCATGGAAATTGTACGAATTTACATTTTCACCAAACAGGGTAGCACAAGGGAGAGGGTAAGAAAGGAGTATTAAAATTTTCACCTGTTATCGGTGAAAGGAGAACCCCTGTCCTAAGGACTCAAATCTAGGTTCTTTCTCTGGAGAATATTTCAGAAGTCTTCTAGCAAATCTAGGTAATCTAGGTGGTATGTGTGTAAGTGCATGTGGGGCAGGGTGTGTGGATGTTTACTGTGAATATCCCAGGGAGTTAAGCCTGCAATTGAGGAATATTTCACTCTCGGAAAACAAGCACAAAGAGATCCTCACTTTATATTAAATTTGCCTTGTGGATTTCTCAATGTTAATAGAGCAATCTCTATTCACATGGGCAAAGAAAAACCTTGTTCTGGGTATAGTATAAATATTCTTATAAAGAGAATTTCCAGGAGCTCAGATTAATCCTTCATATCTGTCCCTGTAGATTTAAGCAAATAAGCCTTCATCCACATGCCAATATCTCACTGGAGCAGTTCTGAGCAGAGCTGACTTCTGGTTGCCCTCCTCTTTGGAAAACTCTACGAATCCACAGAGGGGGTCATTTTGACCCTCTGCAGTCCTCGGAAAGCTGCTGAGGGTGGCTTTTCTGTCTGAAGTGTGAAGGCAGGAGAATACCCCTATCAGAGTAAGAGCAGAGCTCTTACCACAAAATAGGCACAGTGTTAAACTCTCAACATTTGTCATCACATTGCATCTTCACAAGTGTTGAAGAAAATTCAGTTATTTTTCATATTTTGTAGATGAGAAAACAGACGCAAGAGGGCAGTGGCTTGCCCTAGCCTGTGTAGCTTAGGCATCTGCTGCTGAGCCCCTGTTCTTAAACACATAGTTCTCTGCCTTAGGAAGGGTTTCCATTGCCAACCTTGTTCTTTGCAATTCTTGTGCTAGGTAACTGACATCTCTAGAATGACCAATTCCATATAGCAAAAACTTTAGCAAGATGTGTGATGTAGCTTGCTCAGAACTGTCAAAGCCTTTCTTTCTTCATGCTGTTCCTGACATATATATTCCCAACACACATGTTCCTGTCAATATACTCCTGATATATATAATGTAGCAGAACTATTTTTCCTGCCTAACTGACCACCTGCTACCCAAAGGTTGTTTATACAGACATCTACTTCTACCTCTGCGACATGGTGGTAACAGCACAGACTTTCAAGGTGGTTCTGAGTGTGAATCCCGGCCACTGATGTATTACCTTGAGTTCAAGATGTAATAGGACCAAGGCCCAGCCAGCACTGAGGCACAGGACATGAGAGTGCATTTCAGGTCTGTGAGGCTGCAGACAAAGCAGTGCATCCTATTGCAGAGCTGGCTCACCCTGAGGTGTGACTGTGTGAAAACTAAAAGCCATGAGCCAATCATTGTAGGTCAGGCCATGGAGGGTGTTATGTCCACTAAGCTGAACCTATGGAGCGTCATGGTGCCCTGAATACTGCTGTGAAAGCATCCTGCGCCACCAGCACCTGGGATCACTGCCAGAGAAGAGGCCTCTGCCGCCATGCTCTTTGGCAGCAGTTCCAGTGTGGAGCTTTGCCTCCCATTCCCCCTACCTCCCACTGGCATCATCCCTCTATTGCCCATGCCTACTAGATGACTTACTTCGGAACCTCCTCTAGTCCCGCCATCCTGTGCTGGGGCTGAGTGATGGAATTAGAAGTGCTTTAATGAGAAGAGACCTGGATGCAACTCTGGTTCTGAAGAATTCCAGCACTGGGGCAAGATGGTGCGCTTGTACCTAAGGATGCTGGAGAAACAGGGAACTGGACTCTGCCTGCTTCTGTGCCTTGGGCTCAGCCTTCCCCAGGCACCGTCTACTCAGCCATCAGTACCCCTCTGTTGTGAGGAGTGTCTGAGATCGGCCTGCACTGGACATTTGCAAGCATCTGGATCCCTGGACTGCTAATAGAAAGAGGTTGGTCTTTTGAAGAAGGTTCAATTTGACTTCTGGACTCATGGCTATTTTCAGAAAGTGTGTTTTCTGGAACTTCATTCTAGGGATTAAAGGAGACAAATTACCTCAGTTTTAAAACCTGCTTAATTAATGTGCTCTAAATCTGGAAATGATTCAAATGTTTGTCAGTTGGTGATTGGAAAAACAAACCGTGGGAAAACCATACAATGAAATACTTACCAATATAAAGGAATGAACTATTTTTATTATATGTAATAGCATGAATAAATCTCAAAATAATGCTGAGTGAAGAAGTCAGATGAAAAAGGGGCCATACTGCATGATTCCAATCATATAAAAATTTAGAAAATACAGCCCATAGTGACAGAAAGCATGTGAGTGGTTGTCTGAGGTTGAGGGTATGGGTCAGGGAGAGGTGAAAGGGAAGGATCAAAAAGGGTCGTCAGAAAACCTTTGGGGTGACTGATATGTGCATTTTTGATTGTGGTGATGGTTTCATTGGTATGTACATATGTAAAATCATCAAATTGTACGTGTTGAACATATGTAATCTATTGTACATCAATAACATGTCAATAAACCTGCAAAAAAGATAATATATACAAGATACTTAGCAGTGTGCCTGGCATGCAGTCTGTGCTTGATAAATAGGAGTTATGTTGCTGTTTTCACACTCGGCTTCACTGTCACCTACTTTAGTGAGAACAGGAGCTAAAGACATGGAGACCCCGATCCTATGATGTGTCTCAAATGGACTCTGCCCAAAAGCTGAGGGAGGCTCTGTGTGCATCAGAACTAGAGCCAGTACGGAAAGAGATTCAGAAATTGGTTTAGGAACCCCTTCCAACCAAAGTGACACTTCCCAAAAAAACATGTTATAATATCAGTGTTATAGGAGAAAAACCTTCTTGAAATATATTTCCGATAATGCCTGTAATTCTGAAAGCACATTTTGGCCTGCTTTCTCACCTTGTCCAGACTGAAGAATTGTTTCAGTTTAGTATCAATCAGCCCCTTGATTCTAAAATGCCATTGCCCAGGTATAGACAGCTCACCCCATGGCATGAGGACTCTTCCTCGTGGATTTCTGCAACCCTGGGCTCTAGGTTTGGTTGGGTACTGCGATCAAGCTTCCCCCACAGTCTTAGTTCATCTCTGCTGTGTTCAACAAACATTCATTTCAAGGAATATCCACTCTCCTTCATAAATGTTGAAAATTTCATAATCTCCCCTGGCCATCCTGTCATTGCTCATATGTGAATTAGGTGATTGCTTCTTTGGAGGGTTTGAGAGAGTCCAGGAAGACCACCTTGATATGACAAAATTCCCACTGCACCCCAAGTGATTCCTTTTCCAATTAAATATTAACTTAAAAAAACACAAGCATGCCTTAGGTAAAGGAGGTAAATAGTGAGTAAATAGTTTATTTCTAGAGAGGAAAAAAGGAAGAATAATAATGTTGGATCAAAGGATAAAACATCAACAAGGGGGAATTTTTCTGAAAGATAAGTCTCACCAACTTTACCATTTGGGGGCCAGTGCCTTCCACTCCCTTTCAAAGGCCTAGCATTGGTAGCCTTTGCATTTGTGTCAGCAAAACCCAGAGAGGGTGTTTCAGCATGCTCTGAGGATCAGGCACCCAACACTCTTTTTTTTTTTTTTTTTTTGAGACGGAGTCTGGCTCTTTCGCCCAGGCTGGAGTGCAGTGGCGCAATCTCGGCTCACTGCAAGCTCCGCCTCCCAGGTTCACGCCATTCTCCTGCCTCAGCCTCCCGAGTAGCTGGGACTACAGGCGCCCGCCACTATGCCCGGCTAATTTTTTGTATTTTTAGTGGAAATGGGGTTTCACCATGTTAGCCAGGATGGTCTCAATCTCCTGACCTCGTGATCCGCCCGCCTCGGCCTTCCAAAGTGCTGGGATTACAGGCGTGGGCCACCGCGCCCGGCCCAACACTCTTAAGAAAAATCTGTTGTCAAAGCCCTGTATAAAAAGGGAAATTTCAGCTGCTATTTTAATTAGGTGAAAGCCAATTTGAGACTTCAATAATTTGACACTTTCTGATTTTCTTGGCCCCTGACTTCAGTCTCTTGGTTACTGGACAAACTATGTTTGGTTGGTTGGTTTGGTTTTTTGTTGTTTTGTTACTTTTCTGAGCCTCTATCTATCTGCCCTCTAATCACACAAGAGCTGTAGTATTTAATGTAGTTTCATACAGAAGTATCATAAAACTGATCAGAGAAGGTGTAGTTATAAAAACTGAAACCTGAAACAGTGAGGAGTCCTATGCCTGGGTTCATGGCGTCAGGCCAGAGAGATGGGAGTCCGCTGGCTTCTCGGCCTCTGATGGCAATGTTGCTTTTTCTTCTAGGCCAGGCGCCTGACTCAGGAACTTCACCTACAACTGCATGTCACACTTGGAATCAGTGCCTATTCAGACTCCAGGAAGTCTTAGATGAGGATGAGGGATTGACCTGTCTCCAGGAGGGGCCATACCACATACACCTCTGTCCGCGGCTTCTGGTGATTCAGGAAGCCAGAGGTCAGGGAAGGGAGTGTATACAGGAGAAGTGGCCCCGAAGCCTGCGTTAGTCAGGTGATTGATGGCTGACCCTGGGCAAAAGGGTGAAGCCAGCAAAATGCAGCTTTTATTCTACAAACATTCATTGAGCAACTATTGTACACCAAGCGCTATAATAATCTGTGGGAAAATATTGGCAAACAGGAAACAAGAACTTACTGTTCAGTGGGAGATAGAGACTTAATTCAAATATCAGACTCTAAGCAATGGGTCTCCCTGCCATGAGGGCCCCCCTTCTCCCTGTGATCAGACTTCTGAGCGCATTTTTGTTCTTTACGGATAGCGTCCTGTTTCTCCCAAATCCTTTTTTCTCTGGCATCCCTGTTCCCGCAGTACTTTAAAATATTCAGTTTCTCCCTTTCCCTCCCTGGTCGACTGTTACTTGCCCATGTCAGACTCCCTGACCCCTCCGTCACCCCTTCCTAACCTCAGTGCCACCAGATTGTCCTCCTTTTCCTGTTTTGCAGCCCAGCCCTAGTGTCAGGGCGGGGGCCTGGAGGAGCCCAAGGTGCTGCAGCAGAAGAGAGAAAAGAGAACGACAACACTCAGCTCGCCAGTCTGGTCGCTGGGTTCACTGCCACCATGGCAATGAGACAGACGCTGCTCACCTACTTTGGCCACACGTGGCCCATGGTTGATTTGGCCTTCAGTGGCATCACGACTTATGGGTATTTCTTAACCAGCGCTTACAAAGATGGTAAACCTATGCTACGCCAGGGAGATACAGGAGACTGGATTGGAACATTTTGGGGTCATAAAGGTGCTGTTTGGGGTGCAACACTGAATGCCACCAAAGCAGCAACAGCAGCTGCAGATTTCACAGCCAAAGTGTGGGATGCTGTCTTAGGAGATGAATTGATGACCTTGGCTCATAAATACATTGTCAAGACTGTGTATTTCATGCAGGATAGTAATTATTTGTTAACCAAGGGACAGGATAAACTGTTACGCATGTATGACTTGAACAAACCCAAAGCAAGACCTAAGGAAATTAGTGGTCACACTTCTGGTATAAAAAAAAGGCTCCTATGGTGCAGTGAGGATAAACAGATTCTTTCTGCTGATGACAAAACTGCTCGACTTTGGGATCATGCTACTATGACAGAAGTGAAATCTCTAAATTTTAATATGTCTGTTAGTAGTACAAAATACATTCCTGAGGGAGAGATTTTGGTTATAACTTATGGACTATCTATTGCTTTTCATAGTGCAGTAAGTTTGGACCCAATTACATCCTTTGAAGCTCCTGCAACCATCAATTCTGCATCTCTTCATCCTGAGAAAGAATTTCTTGTTGCAGGTGGTGAAGATTTTAAACTTTATAAGTATTTTAACCATGGAGAAGAATTCGAATCCTACAAGGGATACTTTGGTCCTATTCACTGTGTGAGATTTAGTCGTGATGGAGAACTCTATGCCAGTGGTTCTGAAGATGGAACATTGAGACTAGGGCAAACTGTGGTAGGAAAAACATACGGCCTTTGGAAATGTGTGCTTCCTGAAGAAGAGAGTGGTGAGCTGGCAAAGCCAAAGATTGGCTTTCCAGAGACAACAGAAGAGGAGCTAGAAGAAATTGTTTCAGAGGATTCAGATTGCATCTATTCTTCAACTCCTGATGTTAAGGCCTGAGGGTCAATCATATGCTGCAGTTAGTATCCAACTGATGGACTAAAACGAGCAAGCAGAGAAAAGCATCAGCCTTCCAGAGTTACTCTCTGCTTAAGGCAGAAAGAGCAGTAAATAATGGGGAAAATGAATTAGCTCCAGTGCTGGAACAACTAACTTGGTGTTACCTGTAAGTGAAAACTCAAGAGTATCAGATGAAGAGAGGTAGAGTTATCCTCTTGTAGTACAGTGGCCTGTTATCTTTTTAATGAATATATACAAGCCAACATCCAATTTCTCTTATTACAGTTAGGGTTCTTGTAGCTGTTTATGTTATTATGGAGAAGAAAAATATATTGGCTTATTTTTCTGACTTTTTTCCTTAAAGCAGAATGCCTTTGTTTGTTTGCTTTAGTTGTAAAAAAGAGGGAATACATGATAAAGTAACTGGTTTGATTTCTCTTTCATTGTACACTGCTTCTGAACATTTAATTGTTTTTAGTTGTCTAAATGAAATGCCTCTAAAACAAAAAAAAATCTCCATTTACTGGGGAAAAGAAATCTATTGAGTGATCACTCACAAATCCCATGTTACTTTTTTTCAAAGACATTTGCTTTTTAAGAAGGTCACCAAGAGAACAGCACCTTATCCCAAAGAGTCATACCTCTCTGGCAGCAGAATTTCTGCCACAGGGAGAAAATGGTGAAAATATATACATTTTAAAAACAGTGACAGTATTTTAATATCCCTTTCTACGGATGTAATCTCACTTAATTTCATAACAATCACCTGAAGTAGCTAATGATATCACATAGATAAGGATATAAAACTCAGAAAATTCTGGTGTTTTACACAATATCACACAGCCAAAAATAACAAAGTGAGACACGGACCAGATTCTCTGACTCCCAAGCAGGGGTCTTTCCACTGTACCACACACGCTTCCCTTGGCCACCCCTTCGTTCACGTCTTTGGGCCATCAGCTGGCTTGAATTAGGGTGGACGTGGACTCCAATGGAATAGCAATTTTTTATGGGACTTTCCTTACTTCAAACAGGTACCTTGGGAATTACTTTTAGTTTTCCTAGGTGATCTGCCAAAAGTATTTCTCCTTCTATTTCCCTCTGAACCTGGCTAACTTAAGCTCCCATATAAAATTTTGAGGTGTCAGAGAGGAAGGGCATGGAGGCTTATGGAAACAGGACGATGCCCCCAGAGTCCTTGGGGATTGTTTATGGATTGGCCTGTCCTCTCACCTTCCAGCAACAGAAGAATCAGCCTCTGTTGTTAAGAACCTCTCCATCACCCCTCTGGTGGCCTTGGCCCAGCCCTGGCCATAAAGAGGGATTTCATATCATTAGCGACTTCCCCTTCACAGCTCATTAGCATGAAATGTCTTGGCAGCTGAAATGACAAAAGGGACTCCCTCCTCACCAGTGATTTCATGGGGAGAGACAGAAAATATTGCATCCTAAAAGCAGCCATCAAGCAGCTGTATCTGCTGCGGCCATTGGGCAGCTGTATCTGCTGCTTTTGTTTGTGGCTGTGACTCAATAGCAAGTTGAGTTGCTGGAAAATGCTTGTAGTACTCATCATCTGGCAACCAGATGGCAAGTTGGATTTAACTCTACATGGTAGATCTAGTGGATAAACTAGTTGAGTCTGGAAACCTAACTTTGTTCACATTACCTGAAGGCTCTGCTACCAAGGCTAAGCTGGACATGTGGGGTAAGCTGAGGCACTCCAGATGGTCCCAAGGAAGTGTGATGTGTGTGCACATGTATAGACACACATATAAATATATACACACACATACACACACACACATATACTCACACATATATACATGTACACGCACAGTCATCCCTGGCATACGAGGGGTATTTGTTCCAGACACCAGTGTATACCAAAATCCCCACATGCTCAAGTCCCACAGTAGGCCCTACAGAACTGTGTATATGAAAAGTCGGCCCTCCCTATATGCAGGTTTTGCATCCCTCAATCTGCATTTGCTTGAAAAAATCCACCTATAAGTGGACCTGCCCAGCTCAAACCTGTGCATGTAGTTCAACATTTAACTGTATACTTATATACATATAAAAATATATAAATGCATTTACTTTTTGCCCAATATTTGTTGTCTCCCTCTCAAAGAAAATGGAAGGTATAGTCGTGTTAGCCCCCTGAGCAAGTTGCAGTTGAGGTCAGACCATGAAGTTCAAATGTCTTTTCTAGAATAACTGAATATGGCTTCACAAGTTAGAGCCAGAAAAAAAGAAGTCGAGAACAATAGTCCCCAAGGCTATTTGAAATGTGCACTTCTTTGAAGAACAAAAAGAATCAGTGACACTGTTAACCAAGTCTCGCTATTGATACTGAAGATGACACTCACAGCTCATGCTGTATGTTTGAAAATGCCAGCATTGGCCCACACTAAACTTGCAGATTTTCCTTCTGCCTTGGCCCTCTTGGTTTAACTATCACAAATATGCAGAGTTCACTCCAGCCTCACCTCTGCTTACTTACCAAGTAGAAATTGAAGGATAGAGGTGAAGGTGGTTTGATATGGAATTTATTTCTGCCATTTGCCCAGGACAGTGCATCAAATACTCCCTAGGATGGATCACAACGAGCCATGGTTCTGGTATTTCACAACCTTGTGTAATTTTCTCTCCTTGGTTATGTGCTGAAGTTGACTTGCTTCTAACAAATATGAAAAAATGATGAGATGTTACTTCAAGATTAGATCACAGAAAGATTGTGACTTCTGTCTTCAGTGCACATTTGGGTGCATATGGTTGCACATTTTCTTGCTCAATCTCTCTTGTTCTGTCTCTTACTCTCACTTTCTCACTCCTGCTTTCTTTGTTCTCTCTTTCTATGGGAAGTCAGCTACCATGTTGTCATTCAGCCCAGCGTAGAAGGACCTGCCAATAATTGTGTAAGTGAAATTGAAAACAGATTCCCTCCCCTTTTTCTCTCTCTCTCTGGCCTTCAGATGAGACCACAGCCCTGGCCAATAGTTTGCCTGCAACCTCAACAAAGACCTTGACCCAGGAGCACCCAATTAAACTGTGCCTAGCATTTTGATCCATAGAAATCATGAGATAATAAATGCTTGTTGCCTGATGCCACCAAGTTTGAGAATCCTTTGTTAAGCAACAGTAAATATCTAGTGCAGGCATCAGTGGAAGATAAAGTGATTTCCCCAGTAACCATTGAAAGAATGAGTCAAGTAGTTACAGGACTCAGTGGCCAGTATACTCACGTTATAAATAAATCCAGGTTTTGAAGAGGTGTTTTTCTAACCTGAAGTAGTGGAATCACTACATGTAACTCCGTGCATGTGGGGACCTCATCAGACGCATCACTACCACTGGTTGGAATGGTTTAAAGATGGTCCTACCCAGGGTACTATTTAAAATACAGAGGACAGGGCTCCACCCTGACTTGCTAAAATAGAATCCTTGGGGTAGGACCTGGATCTGTATTTTGAGAAAATCACGCTAGTAGTGTTGCTGTTTAGTTCAATTTGGAAACTACTAGAAAAATATAACCTCTCCAAGTCATCTTCTATATTGAATTTTATGATTCTTTCTGTGTTAAAGGGGGTTACAAATATAGTGCAGGTAACACATTTTGGAAACTGAGTCCTAGCCATGGGCTTAGCATACTTGGGTGTTGTAAACGTGGGTGTGGTTTCAGCAACTTGCAGAACTAGGGAAATTGAGCAATACCCCAAAATTTACTTGAATTCCTGAATCTAATCAAAGTAGTAATGGATTTTAGCATAATTCCATGAATAGTTTGTTTTCTAATAAAACAAACAACAATGTATTACTCAAACTGAGTATTTTCTGAGACATCATGATATGGGGAAGGAGACATTGGGATTAGTGTCAGAAGAACTGTGTTTAGGTGCTGGCTCCTCTGCTTGGCAGATATTTGACCTCGAACAAGTTAACTAAGTTCTACTTCTTCCAGTCTAGTTTGAATGGATTTGCACATATGTTTTGATATAACCATGATCATACTATTATGTAAGTTTTTAATCCTGCCTTTTTCATTTAACAGTACATTTTGAATGTTTTCTCATGTCATTAAAAGTTTTCAAAAATATAATTTTAGGGGCTCCATAATATTCCATTATGTAGGTGTATCATAAGTGGTTAAATATTTGTTATATCCAAGTTCTTATCATTATAAAAAACATTGCGAGAAAGATCTTTGCATGCAAAATTTGTCTACATTTCTTATTACTTCCTTAGAAGGAAATCTCAGAAATAAAATTACTGCATCTAAATGTATGAATAATTTTCCTGAGACACATTGCAAATTGCTCTTCAGAGAGGCTTAACCAACATGTACTTTTATCAGCAGAAAGAGAATTTTCATTTCAATGTCAGCATAACCTTGCCAGCATAAAGCATTATTTTTTAAACGTTGTTAATTTTATGGTTTATATATCCTTGCTAGTTTGATGGTCAAAATATGTCTTCTTGTTTTAATGTGTACTTTTTATCATGCTACTCAGATCAAGTACTTTTCCTACATTTAGTAATGAGACTCCTCGTTGGTAAAATGAGAATAACAATCCCTACTCATAGGGATATTGGAAAAATTTATGAAATGGTGATTTTGAATACTTCTTATGAATGCAATTATATGTTATCTTCAAAGATATAACTCTTATGATCTCAATTTAGTTGATAGCTATTTATATAAAGACAAATCACTCTCTCATGGGACTGTGGAGTTGAGGGCAAATCCCCTCCAGCTCCTTCATCCCATGCATTTCCATGTCATGTAATTAGAGTTCAGTAGCATTAAGAGTTGTAACGAAGGGAACTCAAATAAGTGACAAATGGACCCAGGAGCCTGCATGGCTATCTCCACATTGTTACTCTCAGTAATGGTAGGTGTTGGGGGTGGGATGACTTGGTCAATATTATGTTATTTTGGGGCTCCAGTTACTTAACAGCAACTTTCCATAGCCACTTCCTTCCTCTTTACCAGCCAGGTCCCTGAGTCATTGCTCAACCGTAGGTCCCAGCAGCAGTTAGCTCTTTTGAAGCAAGAACCAAGATATTGCCCCTTTCTGCATACCCTAGGAACTTGTCTGCCTCATGTAGAAACTGCTTGATTTCAATCGAATGAGAGCATGCACCAAGAGAAAGCTAGAATTCCCAGAATTTCTCTTTCTTTTTTTTCTTTCTTTCTCTTTCTTTTTCTTCTTTCTTTTTCTTTTTTTCTTCTTTCTTTTCTTTCTTTTTTTCTTCTTTCTTTTGTTTCTTTCTTTCTTTTTCTTCTTTCCTTTCTTTCTTTCTTTCTTTCTTTCTTTCTTTCTTTCTTTCTTTTTTTTCTTCTTTCTTTTCTTTCTTTTTTTTTTTTTTTTGAGACAGGGTCTTGCTCTGTCACCCAGGCTGGAGTGCAGTGGTATGATCTTGGCTCACTGCAACCTCTACCTCCCAGGCTCAAGCTATTCTTGTGCCTCAGCCTCCCGAGTAGCTGGAACTAGAGGCACATGCCACCATGCCCGGCTAATTTTTGTATTTTGGGGGAAAGACAGGGTTTCTCCATGTTACCCAGGCTGGTCTCAAACTCCTGGGCTCAAGAGATCTGCCTGCCTCGGCCTCCCAAAATGCTGAGATTACAGCCATAAGCCTCCATGGCTGGCCCAAAATTTCCATATTAACTGAATGACTTACATATCATTGCTCAATTAACTTGATTCTCTCACTTATTTGAAAAGAAAAATTAAGAAATAAAAACAAAATTATGATAAAGGCCTGAAAACACAGGGAGAATTTTTCAACAAATTCAATGTAAAGCATTCAAGATGTTAAATAATATGTGGTTTTCAAAGGAAAAATATGGTGGATTTAAATATAATCAATGTTCAGTCTGACTGTAACTTTGCTATTACAGACCTGGAATTAAGCCTTCCTTTTTTCCAGGAACTCTGTCCTCTGTGCCTGGAGGCTGTGACGAAGTGGAAGTTGCAAGGGGAGACTGTGTTCTTCTTATTTATAATTAAAAAATAAAAACGGGGATTTGGGAACCACTTGTACTAGTGCCTATAAACCCACAGTAAGGAATTTTGCCCTAGTAGCTTTACACAGACTATCCTTTTTTCTCCAAATTTATGGAGCAACTTTAAAGGCATTTTGTGTACATAATTATGCAGTCTGTGTTTTAATTCATTGGGAGTTCTGGCTGAGTATGGACTGCAAAGTTAGACATTTTGGGTTCAATTTTCTTTGGTATATCTGTCCCAGATATTACTTTATTTTATTTACACAACCTCATGATGTCTCTATAAACTTGCTTTTTTATCATCATCATTCTGAAATCTCATGCAATAAATAGTGGTTGCAGAGGGGGAAAAGAAAATAGCTTCTTAGCCTTTTTCAATAAGAGAGATGTCATTTTGTCCAGAAGGGCAGCTCATCCATTACTGCCTCCTTTCTGATGACCAGAATTATACAATGAGGCAACTGCAGCCCCCTAGAAGTGACAGTGTCTACAATGCCCAGGAAGCATTTGCCAGGGAAGCCTGCATCCATCATCCCACCTACAACTTGGGTTTATAAAATTGGAGAAGCTCTGGTCAGGTGGCCCTGGGTTTACCACAGTACAATGTTCCCCCAGCTCATGGCTGGTTTGGAATGACCATGACCACTGAAAACTGAGGGTACCCCGGATGAATCACAATGGAGAAAAAGGCACCAAGGGATTCACCAGTTTGGAAATGGCCATTTCTAATCTTCATGTTCCATATATGGCAACACCAAATCCTTTGGAATGGGATGAACACAGAAAAGGCCTGTATGTTCCACCTAAGCATTCTCCTTGCTGCAAGCTCTCTGGCCAGTTGTAGGGCATGCAGCATTGCTCTCTCCCACTTTATTATTTTAAATGCTATTCATATTAAGGAATGAGAGTAACTAATGTTTATGGGAGCTTGTTAAATGCTGGACACTGAGGCATGTTGAGGATTAAATGAGATGATGTCCAGTGCCTCATTGAGGTAAGTGTTGTCACAGTCTCACTTGTGAGGCTAGTAGACTGGATCTCAGAGGTCAGATAACTTTCCCAGGCACTGGCCTAGGAATGGGCTCAGCTGGAATTCAGACAGAGGCAGGCAGACCCCAAGGTCCCTGCTCCTCCCCACTGTGACTCCTGCAAGTGGTACAGACCCATGTTCTGGGCACAGGCATTAAATGGTCACAGGACTATGCTCAGTCTGTCTCACTTTTTATCAGAGAGTGAAGGAAAAGGTATCCAATCTATAGGGAGATGCCCTGCAGATAGCAAGGCCAGCACTTCATGTCCAGTCTTTCAGAGCTTTGTCAGACAGTCGATTTTCCCTTTCTAATGCTGTGACTGGGATGAGAAGGCAAAACAAAAAGAATTAAAAATATAGTATTTCTTTCCCTACTTGGCCCAAAGGAAAGGTTCCGTGGGAAGTTGAAAAACAGATGGTCCAGGGCAAAAATCAACAAGTTTGACATCCAGGATTAAAAACCAGATGGCACTAAACAATCTTTAGAAGCCTCTAGAGGGGCTTCAAAGAAATTGCCCAAAACTCCATGTATGTTTCCATGAAGGCAAGTAGACTTAGTCATACATGATCTTATGATCTGTGGCCAGGTTCTCCTCCACCCAAAATTGTTCCCTGGGATGGGATCAAGCTAAGCACTTTGGGAAAGGAATGGGACCTTTTAGGCCACCAAGAACAGAGAATCCTAACATCTTATGGCTTTAATCAATGCAGTTGTTTCACTGAGTTGACTGATCAGATTAGGCAGCCGCCTCTAATCTTCTCAGGCAGGTCAAGGCTCATAGAGAGCCCAGCATTTGAGGAAACATAAATGTGGTTTTTAGTACGTATGCTGTTAAAGTCCCAGCACATAAACCTCCAGAAGTCACACTTCTCCGAAACCAGTCAGATGTAGAGGCATCTGAATAATGGCTCTTGTAGGGAACCCTGTTCCTGCTTCCTGTTCTTCAGCTGCTTGGAAAACATTGCTGGAACACTGGGATCCACTGAGGGAGATTCTTCCAGAAGTGTCCTGTGTCCCAGACTGTGACTTTTCTAACCAGCATGGACACAGTTGAAATCTAAGCTCCACTGCATCTGCTGCTGCCATGATAGAAACACTGGCATAGCATGTGCTAGGTACCAGGCCCTGGTCTAAACCAGTCACCTATGCTAAAGCACTTTATCATCACAGTGACCCTGGGGGGAGGGTGGTCCTTTGAGGGGACTGATTCATGGAGGTTAAGTAAGTTGGCCAAGGTCACTCAGGTGGTAAAGAGTGTATTAGTTTCCTGTGGCTGCCATAACAGAGTACCACAAACTAGGTGGCTTAAAACAACAGAAGTTTCTCTCTCATAGTTCCATAGCCCAGATATCCAACACTAAGGCATCAGCAGGGCTGCACTCCCTCCAAAAGCCCCAGGGAAAGGTCCTTCCTTGCCTCTTCCAGCTTTTGCTGGCACCAGGCATTTTTGGCCTGCAGCAGCCTCACTCCAGTCTCTGCCTCCATCTTTACTTAGTCTCTTCCGGGTCTGCAACTTCTTCTGTCTCCTATAAGGAGACACTTGTCATTGGATATAGGACCCACCCTGATAATCCAGGATGTTCTCATCTCTGAGAGCCTCAATGTAATTACATCTGCAAAGACCCTTTTGCCTAATAAGGTCACATTCACAGGTTCCAGGGATTAGGAGATACATGTATCTTTTGGGGACCACCATTCAGTTCACTACAGCTGAGCAGCTGGGATTTGACTCAAGCAGTCCAGCTCCAGCACGTGGCCTCCGACCATCACGCCATGCTCTCTCATGTGGTTACTTTTCACAGGTGTCAGCAAAATGCCTGCTCAATGATCTGAGATTTTTTTTCACAAATCATCACAGAGCTGAAATGCTCATTTTTCTGTGCTGCTACTCTGTCCATGTTCCAGAAAGGCAGCACATTAAGTCTACACCACATCACGCATCCCCTGACAGATGGAGAGAATATCAGCAAATCAGATTGCTTTCTAAAGAAAACAGAATCCAACTTTGCAAATGTTTAAAGCTTGCATATTTTCAAAATTTCAAGCAAAAGTAGAAAACCTCATTACCTCAGATCACGGTTGACAAAACTACCATTGACAAAGAATTATCCTACATGCAATGAAAACCCAATATAAGACAGTGAGTGATTGTCCAAAACGTGGGTGTTAGGTCACTACCCAGACAACAGCAGAGTTGACGGTTCTACCCTAGCTCTCTTTTGATGAGGGAAAACATTATTTTTAAATGAAGCCTGCCACTTCAGTGTAGAAAACATAAAGATGTGGACAGTCACCATTGTCATTTAAAGGGTGAGCTGTATTTCTTCTGAAGTAAAGTGATGAGTCCAGGCAGTACACTCACTCTATCAGATATGATTTGAAAAGCTGAAAAATAAACCTCTGACAATAAGATTTTAGGACAGAAATGCTGCCAGGGCTCGAAGTACATTTCAGAAGAATAAAAAGAAAGTAAACGATGCCAAAGGCCAGACAAACAAAAGGAAAATTCCTACTTCGTTTGTTCTCATGAAATGCCACAGAAAAATAATCTGTTAGGCAGCTCTTCTGGAGTCCAAGTTCTTGCGCTGTGCTCATCTCTTCTTTCTGTTAAAGCTCGGTGCTTTGCAAGCTGTCGTTAAATTGCTTACACGGATGGACGGGGCCAAGATGGTTTTCAGTCTAAAGCCAGTGAGAGTCTCAAGGCAGATTCTGAAGGCCTTGAACCACCTGAGCCTGGCCAGATGGATTCTTCCTTTCACTGTTGTGACCATTGCTTTGGTGTCAGAACCCTATGGGAGAGCTGAGTCCATGACCAGAATCCTCATGCCTTTCACAACTCCAATTAGCCAAGAGCATGGCACGGAGCAGAGGTGCTGGTGGGAGAAAACAACACATAGGTGAAAAACCTCGGGATTAGGCATTTCAAACAAGAGGCATTCATTTTGCCCGACACCCAGAGTTGCCCCATAAACAAGCCAGAAACTCAACCAGGCGGTGACGGAACAAGGAATGGATGAGTGACAAACTGGGCTGTTGATTCTGTTGTAACTGAGGCTTGACTGTATTAACAAGCATGCAGTGATTAAACAGACCAGCACCAGAATTTTAGCAGCTACCTTGAAGCCTGCTGACTGACACTGTCCCTGGAGCCCCTGTTATAATGAGGTCCTTGTGATAACTTACTCCCTTGGATAGAGTCCAAGACAGGCACGTGCCCTGTGGAATTCCACACTGTAACCAACCATACTTCAGAGAGATTCCAGAATAATGATGGTATTGCTTATTTAGGCTGAAGGTTATCTGCTCCTCCTCCTCCAGATCCCTGCCAGCCAAGGGAAGAGCATCTCATTGGTGTCAGATGACAAGGGTCTTGTTCCCTTTACTGGAATAAGCTTCTTATGTCATACAGACTCTGGAAGTCCTGAAAAGCCATCTGTCTTGGCCTTTACTTTAGGAAAGAAAGTATCATAACCTGCCACAGCAGTGGGGACAGCTGAAGCCGGGGGTTACTATTCGCCCTTGTTACTATTCATGGAGGCTCTTAGGGAAATGACCAAAAAGCTCTTTATGGCTCTTGCAATTAATCCTGAAATTCTGGTTGTCACTTGTGGGTAGAAACATATGGTTTACAAATGGGTTGATGATTATTATTTCAAGGAAAAACTAAAACATTATAATGAGAGTTATAACATAATGGTGGGACAGTATAAATAGGGAGAGAATTTGTAGTGTTTTCTTGTTCGTTTTGTTACATGAATAGACAGCTAGGGGAAAATGGCATTCTATGGGGAACTGATGGGATTTATTTAATATTTATTTAAATAAATTTATTTATTTATTTATTTAGACACCTCTTTTTTCCCGTCTAAGTTATAAACTAATTAAGAGATGGACAAAGAATAAGGTAAAGGAAGGTCAAAATATTACCTTGGGCAGGGTGCAGTGTCTCACACCTGTAATCCCAGCACTTTGGGAGGCCAAGGCAGGAGGATCACTTGAGTTCAGGAGTTTAAAATAGCAACATAAGAAGAATCTGTCTCTCCAAAAAAGAAAAAGAAAAGAAAAAAAGGAGGTGAGGTGGCACATACCTCTAGTCCCAGCTACATGGGAGGCTAGGGTGGGAGGATCACCTAAGCCCAGGAGGTCAAGGCTGCAGTGAGCTGTGATCACACCACTACACTGCAGCCTGGGTGACAGAGTAAGACTGTTCCTCAAAAAAATAAAAATAAAAATAAAAATTACCTCAGTTCGTGAAAACAGCAAAGATGTGTGGCATGACTAGCTCCATTCCCTGGAATTAGGAAATATCACCACACTTATGATGAATCTTACAAAACTTAAGCCTTCCCACTCAGGGAGGGCCACATAGACATGAGAAAGTAGAGCAGAATGTGGTTGTTTTCCAGGGGAAGCTGGCTTCTAATGAGAAGGGAGGGAGGGAGGGCCTGGGCTTCCTGTGCAGATTCATTTCCCTTGGTTACCAGCAGGTCACTCACCCCACCTCCGTGGGCATTAGCCATGAGGCAAGAAGTAAGAGGAGTTTAGAAAAAAATCCTTGTTTCTGGAAACCAGAGAGGAGGGAGACACGGTTCACTCAATGAGTAGGAACTTCAATGGTTAAATGTGTCTTCTTGTAACAAACATCCATGTAACTATTTGAGGCCAGAATGAATTCTTCCTGGTGTTTCTTTAGGTGATTTCTCCAAGGGAGGCCTGTGGTATGCAGGGGATTTTTACCAAGACCAGCGTTCTCATGAGTCCAGAGGCTCATCTGCCCTTAGAGGATTGGAAGATTTGCATCCGCTTCCACAAGCTGCTAGCCTAATCCTCTAAGGTTCAAATCTGCCAGGGATCCATACCATGAAGGCAGTCCTCCTGAGTTTGCTTTGGAGTCTGACACTTTTCATTATGGACATCAGTGATTGACACCCTGATTGTACTTAGAATCACCCAGAGGGAGCTTTTAAAAAGTATTGGTACCCAGGCCCCTCCTCAAACTGAGAAAACTGAGGACTCTGTGGGTGAGCCTGGACATGGATGGCTTTACCAAGCTCTCCAGATGAGTCTAACGTGCACCCTGGCTTGAGAAGCATGGAGTGGCAGTCACAGAAGCCCAGGTTGGCAGCTGTCTCAGGCAGGAAATGTAGAATGGCAGTTAAAACTGTTAGCCCTGGAGAAGAATCCTGATCCCATTCCTTACTGAGTGTTTGTTAAGTTACTTAAACATTCTTAGTCTCCCCAGGGTGACCAAGGCCATCCGTAAAAGGAAATCCACTCCAGTAAGTGAGTTGAAGCCTTGGTCTTCATCATTTATGATGGTCAACGGAGAAGTTTCCTTTTGTTTGATGCCACCCTTCGTGTCTGTTGCAAATGGCAATGAGCCAGAACTCTGCCATGCAGATGCTCGGGTTATGCCCATGCCAGAGAGTCCAGTGTGGCTCAGGATCAATCAAAACAGAAAGTACCATCCTAAAGTCAGCGTCTGGATTTTCCCCGTCAAAACATTCAACTCCCATGGTATATATATTTTTGCTTATTCAATTCATATTTTGAATTCATATTATGAATTAGTCGAATTTTTAGATATGCTTAGTTGTTGGTCCATGTCACAGCTATCTAGCCTGTAAGGACCATTTCTTCTTGCTCTTATCTTGAGAAAATCACACACTGGTGCTTAGTTAATAAATAGTTCTTGATTATGGAAATAATTATGGCCTTGGAAGAATTCTGTTTATATAAGCAAGAACTCTTAGGTCTTAATCTTGCAACTGAAAGGGATCATAGAGACCCAGGTCTTCAAGTTGAAGGGAAACTTGCCGAGGGCCACACAGGCACTCAGAGGCAGGCCCAGATTTGACTGTTCTCTCTCCAAGTCCATTTTTCTTCCAACTTTATCATGTTGCCTCCCTATACAACCCTCTAAACTACTTCTCTCTCTTTTCTAAATCCATTTTTTTTCTGATTTCTCTTTCTGCCACAAATGTTCCGAATTTATGAAGAAAGAAAATGGAGAAAAGATTTGAGTAGACATTTCTGGTTTCCATGCTTGGATTGCTTCGGAGGATTAGTTTTACTGTTCCAGCTTGTTTCTTTATCAGTTTAAAGGGCAAAACAACTTCCACCCTTTTGAGGCAGCAAGAGGTCAGTCCTCTGCCATCCTCCCCCACGGCCAGGCAGAGCCAACTGCAGCCCATGGGTACCTTCCACCGCCTTCTTCCCTGGGATGGAGTCAGACAGACCTGCAGAGGGGCGACCACTCAGCTTGGGCAGCCAAGGCAATACCTGTCATCACTGTAGTGGGCTTGAAGCCCAGTGTCCTTCACTGCCAGCCTTGATGGCTTTAGCTGTGAAAACTCTCCTGACAAAGGAGGCTCTCACAGGCTCCAGTCATGGGAGCCCTACAGCCAGGATTTCAGGAAACTAGGGTGGAATGGGCAGAACAAGAGTTTGTCCAACAACTGAACAGGACAGGAGGTTCCTACTGCTTGGAAATCTATTTGTGTGTTCCAGAGATGTGCAGAACAAAGACCTACACATGGTTATTTTGGCAAGAACAGGAAGGTTTAGATTATCCTTTTCCACCCCGTGAAAGTGGCCACCTAAGATGTGAGTGTTGAAGGAACATCTGTTTTAACACTAACAGAGCCTCAGTGAGGGTCTCACCATGGTCTTCACTTCACAGACATAGCACAAGCAATAAGAAAGCTGCAGCTGTCGGATGCACACACAGTTAAAGGCTTTGCCTCTCCTTTTTATCTCAGTGTTTCCAACATGACAGTGAGCACCGCGTGTTCTCCAATGGGCTCTGCTCCTTTCTGCTCCCACCAGCAGCTCTGAAGTATCATGTAAGACCACATGTTGCCTCCTTAAGGTGATTTTTGGAGAGGGAATTTGGGAAATGACAAAATCAAAATATCCAGCATGAGCCTTTGCACATCGTTCATGCATTGGGTGCATGAGATGATAGAATTGGATCTGGAGGCATATGCTATGTGTAGAACAGCTTTCCCCATCTGGAGCCCAGGTGTGCAGGTTCACCCCTGAGTCCCAGACATCGGTATCAGTGAGTAGTGAGAGCAAGACAAATCCATCTCACCTACCCTTGTTCCACAGAAATGATTTTACCCCTTGAGGTACAAGGTCAAGCTCTAATTTTATTTGTAGATCAAGTTTCACAATAATTGAGCATTTGAACATGCTAAGAAAGATGGGATTTTGTAACTCATTGTTGAAAGGCAATGTGGCATAATGGTTAAGAGTTTGCATTCTGAAATTAGAGAAACTAATTCTGAAATTACAAATTTGTTCTCTTTGTGACCTTAGGAAAGTAATGCAATTTGTCCAAACTTCAGTTTCTTCATCTATAAAATAAAGATAATTATAATTCCTACCTAGAAGTATTGGTGTAGTTATGAAGAAGGAGACCACTTGTGAAAAACATAAAATACTACAAGGCCACTCGTGTCACAAAGATGCAATTCACTGGTTACTATCATTACTATCAATTTTAGAGGCACAGACTTCCTTCTAAATAAGACTCCTTTCCAAACACGTACATCTAGAGCCATTCATTCTATCTTCTCCCACTGTTAGAATGTCCTTATCTTAAGCCAAAATCTCACTACCCTTGTTTTCTGGCCTTTTAATTTGTACCTACTTTTTGAAACCGCATGGAAAAACTCAAATCCCTTTTTGTAAAGGCATTGACTGGGCCACTGTTTTGCACAGCTCAAAGGGACACAGTTCACACTGTAATCTGTGTCAATGGCACCCCCTGGTGTCCACCCCACTGGAGAGGTAAATAGGGAGGATAGAAGGGAAGAAGGGAAGGGTTGTAGAGAGGCTGGACATACTCTTTTCCATGAAAATCCCTGGTGAAGTAAGGATCGCACCAGTGTACTACCTTCCCCAAACAAAGCAGCTACAACTCTACCAACACTTCTTCATAGGACATGATCTCACATCAGAGCCCATTGTGCTTTGACCACGTTTTTCTTAAAGTGAGGTGCTCAGAGCTAAGTCAACATTCCAGGTGAGACATGACCAGGGCCCAGGAGAGCAGAATTCAACCTCCTTCATTTTTCTGTATACCATAATTAGGATGCCACTGTGATACAAGACAATCTTAGTACTGAATTCCTAGAGCAATTATTTTCTGAGCAACAGGCTTGGTTTTTAATCATACATTGTCCTATAATATCACTTCACTTGTCATGAATTGTTACCCATTTCACTTTATATAAGTGAACTATATATGTGTGTGTGTGTGTGTGTGTGTTTCTTCATACTGTCTATGTTGGGAGTTCCCTGAAATATATGTTTTTAGACATTTTAATGACTCCTGTTAAATCTAGCACGTTTCTGGGACCATAAAAATGAA
Source organism: Homo sapiens (assembly GCF_000001405.40). NCBI lineage: Eukaryota > Metazoa > Chordata > Mammalia > Primates > Hominidae > Homo > Homo sapiens. The sequence goes on from NC_000002.12 coordinate 37,833,386, forward strand.
TCTAATTCGAATATTTAGGGAGAACCAAAGCAAAGGGACAGCATTTATTAAAATTTAAAATGGCCACTGTGGAAATGGAGTCAAGCTATTCTGTGCACACAGTGTTGCTGGGATAAAACACGCTAGAAGAAATGGCGGTAAGTTCTTATTTGGTCAATGAATCATAATTCCCCAAAAGACAAGCATGATGCTTATGGCAGCCCTTAGTAATAATTCTTCATGTGTGGTTTTCTTGCTCATATTTTCTATGTATGCGGTGATTTCCAACTACACTCTGTGGAGCCCGTGGGGTTCTGAACGGATGCTCCCAGGATGTGTGGGAGGGGCAGGAAGAGCAAGAGTGGAGGGCGGGGCTCCTGTCAGCTTTCAGTTTCCCCTAGAGCCGTCAGCCTTTCCCTGTTGTATGTATTGGCCCTCCCTGTAATATTTCCTTTGGGAATAAAAAGTTTAGAAACCATAAGTCAAGTCACACCCTGGTCACCTCAGACTGGCAGGGAGTATGATCACTTTCATGTTTCGTCTCACAAAATGGATTTCTAGGTGAAGTATATTTAAAAAGAAGGTCACCAGGCACAGTGGCTCACGCCTGTAATCCCAGCACTTTGGGAGGCCGAGGCAGGCGGATCATCTGAGGTCAGGAGTTTGAGACCAGCCTGGTCAACATGGCGAAACCCCATCTCTACTAAAAATACGAAAATTAGCTGGGCATGGTGGCGCGTGCCTGTAATCCCAGCTACTCGGGAGGCTGAGGCACCAGAATTGCTTGAACCCGGGAGGCGGAGATTGCAGTGAGCCAAGATCGTGCCAGTGCACTCCAGCCTGGGTGACAAAGCAAGACTCTGTCTCAAAAAAAAAAAAAAAAATTAGGTTAATTTCCACATTTGGCCCTAATGTGGTCAAAACTTCAACAGCTGTGGATTAAAGAGAAAGCGACCACACCATCATCACCATCACCCTCTCTATCCCTGTGAAGCCCCAGACACACACAGTGGAAATGGAATTCAGAGCTAGAGTAAACCCAGGGTCTTGACGGACACTTTCGAAACAGCACTGCAGGTTTGTGATTTCCTTCAGATTTGGAGAGAGTCTCTTGATAACTCCTACCCTCATCTTCTGTTTTGATGGCAGAAAAAAGGGCACTATCTGTCTTTGTTTTGTGTTGCTATAACAGAATACCACAGTCTGGGTAATTTATAAAGAAAATTTATTTCTCACAGTTTCAGAGGCTGGGAAGTCCAATATCAAGGTGCCAGCACCTGGCAAAGGCCTTCTTGTGGTGTCATAATCTGAGAGAAGGCATCTTATGGCGAGAGAGAGGGAGCGTGCCAGCCCAAGTCTGTCTTCCTCGTCTTATAAAGCCACTAATCCCATCATGGGCCCCCACTCACGTGACCTCATCTAACCCTAATCACCTCCCCCAAAGGCCCCACCACCAAGTACTAGCAACATAATTTGGAGATTATGTTGACTGTTTCCTTTCTCCACCTCTCAGCTTGATTCTCAGAGTTCCATGTGATTGGAGAGGCCAGGGTGGGGGGCACTCTGACATCCACCTTGACCAGTACATTGTAGCTGTGCTGGACAGACCTCCTTTAAGAATAACACTTTTCATAAGGATTATTGCTAAAACCAAACTTCTCATCTTTTTTTTTTTTTAAGAGACAGAGTCTCGCTCTGTCACCACGATCTCGGCTCACTGCAACCTCCGCTTCCCAGGTTCAAGCAATTCTCCTGACTCAGCCTCCCTAGTAACCAGGACTACAGGCGCACACCGCCATGCCCTTTTTTTGAGATGGGGTCTGTCACCCAGACTGGAGTGCAGTAGCGCAATTTTGGCTCACTGCAACCTCCACCTCCCAGGTTCAAGGGATTCTTCTGCCTCAGCCTCCTGAGTAGCTAGGATTATAGGCATGCACCACCACGCCCGGCTAATTTTTGTATTTTTAGTAGAGATGGGGTTTCACTGTGTTGCCCAGGCTGGTCTCGAACTCCTGAGCTCAGGCAATCTGCCCACCTCGGCCTCCCAAAGTGTTAGGATTACAGGTATGAGCCACCGCGCCCGGCCGCTTCTCTTCATTTTTATGTGCAATAAATATTTAGAAATATCTTCTCTTAACTCTGTGGAACCATTGTTTCTTTATCTGCAAAATGAAGTTAATAATATCTTTCATAGTGGGCACTTGTGGTAATTAAATGAAGAAGAATGACAAAATAATTCAGAGAAACCTAGAATAAAGTGGGAAAGAGATAGCAGTGAAAATCTATTGGCAGTTGGCTAAGATGGTGACCCAAACCCTAGAGCACTAGGAAGGAGAAGGATGGAGACCACCACAAGTGATGCAAATGTCACTGATCTAGAAAAAGGAATACTGTTAGGATGTTATCACTCCCCTCACACTGTGAAGTCCCAGAAAAAAAATCTTAACTATGTTCAACATAAGAATTTAACTAAAACATAATGGACTATTTCCATTTTTCTTTACTTTCAGTGCTGTAAATAAAATCAACTTGTGGCCAGTAAGTATGTACAAGCTTTCTTCCTACTCTGTGTTAGCAGTATTTAGTATACCAAAAGTGAGAAGCTTTTCATATTGGAGGATTCTATCCAATTTGATATTTTCAATTACATTTAAGAGTACTCACTTGCATCGTCTCCTATCTGTGGTGCAATTTTTTTTTTTTTTTTTTTTTGAGACGGAGTCTCGCTCTGTCACCCAGGCTGGACTGCAGTGGCGCTATCTCAGCTCACTGCAAGCTCCGCCTTCTGGGTTCACGCCATTCTCCTGCCTCAACCTCCTGAGTAGCTGGGACTACAGGCACCCGCCACACGCCCAGCTAATTTTTTGTATTTTTAGTAAAGACGGGGTTTCACCATGTTAGCCAGGATGGTCTACATCTCCTGACCCCATGATCTGCCCATCTCGGCCTCCCAAAGTGCTGGGAGTACAGGCATGAGCCACTGCGCCTGGCCTGTGGTGCTGTTAGTTACAGAGTTGAGTTAAAATACAATGACCTACAAGCTAGTTGGGCCTTTTTATTTCTCTGCAACTAATCCCTGCAACTAATTCTCATGAGTAACCATCCTACTGTGCCAGAGGATTGTGCGAGGAATGGGGAAGGGAAATCTTTTATTGCAAAGGTCTTTGGATTCAAAACAGTGTCTTGAAGTTTAAAATGATTTTTTAGGGTAACCTGAGTATCTTTGGGAAAATGTTTAATCATTTAGATTCTCCTCCCAACCAAGATGACATCTGGCTGAAGAGAGAAACTCATGTATCCTCACAGTGACAGGGAACAGAGTTTACCAGCTGGGTTTCTGACCCAATATGGTCCGCAAGGTCTGTACCCTGGACACCTGTCTAAAATACGTGGCCAAATTTCATGGCCAGTAAAACTCATGGTCTGCTCTTTGCTGGCTCCAGCTGCCGGTCACTTCAAATGGTCTGTCTGGGTGTTGGTGGCATCTAATTGCTGGCTCTATCATGCAGAATGTTCACTGGTCTTTGGACAACTAGCTAGACAGCCACCGCAGAGCTTCCTGGTACTACAGAAGCATGACCTTCTCCATCCCCAATACCTAGATAGGGTCTACTTCAGGCCGTTGTCGGGGGCTCTTTATCTCCATGGAGCAGCTGTCCCTGGGGATGGTAGAATCTTGTCTAGGCCCCAGGAAACCTAGGAATTGCCACATTAACCTCATTTTTGAAGAAAATATATGCCCTATCCCAGATCATTATGCTACTACCTTGCCTTTGCCAATTACTACCTAAGAGATGTCAATGCAGGAATTCTTCAGAGACTTAACATCTTTACTGTCTCTTCTCAGGGAAACCTCTCTGCTTTAGATTCCTTTAATGGTATTTTACTTCTTAGAATCCTTTCTGGAGTTTCAATTCTTCTTCCTGTCTACATAACTCCCTTTTCCTTCCTGAGGCAGCATTTACTTTTTTCCTGCTCTAAGGTCATAATGGTAGCAAGAAATCATCAGAGAAAAACACAGCAGGAAGTATTTTAAAATTATCCTTTTTACACATAATTTAACTAATTTAATCTCTGTGATAGCTTCGCAGGGTTCTTTTCGCAGAAGACACTGAGGTTCAAAGAGGTTATATCACTTCCTTATGTGATTTAACCAAGATCAACAGCAAATCTGGTGTTCCACTATGGCAAACCACCTCCCAAGGACCTGGCAGGGGACAGACACTGCTGAGCTGTTTTCCATTCACAAGGAACTGCTTTTCTGCCTGGGTAACCCCAGTACATAGATCTGATTTGCCTTTCATGCTCCATACCTTCTCCTTTCCCCCACAAATGCAATGCAGGAGAGGAGAGTTACATGGCCTTTCAAGGTGTTTGGCCAGGAAGTCACTTAATAAAGAATTAACACATCATCACTGCAAAGTGGTTTCTGCATGAAAACAAAGGAGATGCTCATTTGTCACCACTCCCTTCTGAGCCAGCTAGGGACTATCAGGAGGTGATGAGTTTGCAATAAACAGCAGAAGTTGAGCACCAAGGCTTTTTCAAACAACTCCAAATAGTTGGCTGAAACCCAGAACACATTATTCTTTGTCCATCAGGATTCTCTCCTACACAGTTTTCCAGAGAAGGATGAAATTCCTTAGGTCATGTTATAAACATTCATCTTCTAAATCACGCCCCTAATAGAAAGAACAGAAGACAGAGCATGTGCTGTAAGTCATTCGCCTGCTGAATGTGCTCTGCACAGGGTGATGTAACATGTGGGGTCAGCCCCTGCGTCAACGACCAAATACACAAGTGTAACGAGATGGGGGGAACAAGACAGACTCCACATGGCCAGCCTGGGGGAGGGTGGGTGTTCCCCTGAGAGGAGAGTCTTGGAAAAGGCTTGTTGGGGAGGAGCTGAGGAGACACAGATTCACTAGGCTTTGCAGTGGTCTAGGACAGAGACGGGAATAAGCACATGGGCGAGAGGTAGCGCTTGGGCACCAGGGAGGAGAGGATAGCTGGGGGAGGAGGGGGAGTCAAGTGATTTTTTGGCCAGTCTAGAAGATGGATACAGTTAGTCTAGAAGCAGTCCAAAGCTAAGGCCTCCAATTCTTTCTGGTTTCCCAAAATCTTCCTCTCTCATCATCTCCTTATTTTCCTTTGCACCCAAAGGAATAAAGTTGTTACCCTACTGGAAAAGCAGGCAGCAAAACTGGTTTCTGTCCCTATCTCTCATCAATCTTCTTCTCCAGTTGGTAAATGCTTTAGCTTTCTTAGTCCTGTCAACGAGCCAAGCAATCTATACATTGACTCTTAGACCTGCGTTTCCCAGCACCCTTGCAGGAACTGGCCCTAGATGACCCTGCCTGAATAACTGATAAACTGTAATTGGCCTCACTTTCGTTAGCCCCACAGCCCCCTTCCCTAAGTTCATAGCCTCTCTTATCTATGCTGCTTAATTCAAGCATCCCAACCCTGTGAGGCAGCCCTACTGCAGCACTGGGCAAGGAATCTGAAGGCCTAGGTTCAAGTATTGGTTCTGCTTCTAATTAGCTGGGTGGCCAAGAGTATTTATAATAATGATAAGGATGTCTACCATCAAATCAGCAATTAGTAGATAAGGTCCTCTGCTAAGCAATTAAGTAAGAGTTACCGTATTAGAAAATGATTATCACAATTTCTAAATTATCTAGTAACTGGAAGCATTGGTACCTCTTTAACTTTTTTCTCCCCACGGTTATTAAATTTGAAAACAAAACAACAGTAATAAACCCATAAAACTGAAAGGCTGGCTGCACGCAGTGGCTCACGCCTGTAATCCCAGCACTTTGGGAGGCCGAGACGGGCAGATCACGAGGTCAGGAGATCGAGGCCATACTGGCTAACATGGTGAAACCCCATCTCTACTAAAAATACAAAAAAAATTTAGCCGGGCGTGGTGGCAGGTGCCTGTAGTCCCAGCTACTTGGGAGGCTGAGGCAGGAGAATGGCGTGAACCCGGGAGGCGGAGCTTGCAGTGAGCTGAAATCGCGCCACTGCGCTCCAGCCTGGGGGAAGGAGGGAGACTCCGCCTCAAAAACAAACAAACAAACTAAAAACAAACAAACAAACAAAAACAAACTGAAAGGCTGATCCTGATTCCCAGGATGAAAGTGAGGAGAAGAAAGGTTTTGTGGCATCTCCTTCAGTGGAATCCAAGTTGGAAAATAGGTGGGAGTAATGGGAAAAGGGAGATGGTTAAATCCCTGGGACGTTCAGGGACAGGAAGGAAGAAAGCAGGATGCTGTCCTGGGCAACATTTGTCCATCCGTGCCTTGAGCAAGGCTGCTCACCTTGGCACTGCTAAATAATCAGTGTTCTGCACTCTCAAGTCTCAACCCTGGTACTCATCCCCTAGGTAACCACGAGAAGCTACCTCGCCTTGAAGAGTTTCATGTCCTGCTTGGTAAGATTGGCAATGGTCAGATACCAAACTCAGAGGATACAACCAGGGTTCAGGCTCCTTCTCCCTGACAGACAAGCTGTCTGTGACCTTGGGTGAATCACTGAATAGGGTCTGAGTTCACTGTCTCACCTGAAATAGAAATACTGACGCCTGCCCTACCTTCCAGAGCGTCACAAGGGTCCATGCGATGATGCTGGGGCCAGTCTTTGTGAACCTTGAAGACACGTTTATGAAGTGAAGGGGTTGATAGGTGATGGGCAGGTCTTTCCAGCTAAGATACGTTTGGATTTGACAGTGCAATACAGTGACCTTAGTTACAGGAGGATGGCCTTGCAGAGTATCCAGCAGCCCCAGGGCTTCTCATGGCTACTTCCCATTCCCTGTAGCTGTAGACGGAGGGAAGGCTGAGGGTTGCTCATTTGACAGGCATCATTATCTTATTTCTCAGCTGATCAGAATCTGGCCAAAGAGTAAAATATTTCTCTTTTAATCTGGCAGTCATTTTCTTCTTTACTCTAAAGTCACTGAACAAGGTCAAGTTCAGGGAACTGAATTCCTCAGGAAAGGATTCCCTGATCATCTGGGAGACATTAGTTCATAGTTACGATGGGTGTGTCAAGGCCCCCGTGGCCTTCTCTCTCATAGTGTTTTAGTAAATTAAACCAAAGGTGGATTGTGTTGACCCAGGCATTAACTATGACTGTTTTCTATGGAGTGTTTCAGGTATGCTTTGTGAGTTTTATGATCCCAGCTCTCTTTCTTTCTTATGGGATGGGTGGAGTGGTGATGGGCATTGTTTTTCAGTTATTGATTTAAATTAATAACAGATCATCCTGTCCAAACACTGGATTGTGTACACAGGTGAACAGGCTATTCATCTTTAGGTGTTTAAATCCTGACTCCTTTTGCATATTGGTATAGACAGATGATCAAGCTACAAAAATACGAGGATCATCTCCCAATGAGCCCTCTCATACAGCTTCTAAAAGGTTAACAAAATAAAAAAGAATCCAGTTTCTATACTGATTAGAATCTATACTCTGATTTTTTTTAAAGTTGCAAATGTTAGGGAATGAATTGAATTCTATCTTTAGAGTAATCAAACTCGTTAGCCTCTTTGGAGAGCCCTGACTCCACTGCTATTATTAATTGTTTATTCTTTAATCAGCCCCTTCACTTCTCTGAACCTCAGCTCAGCTTCTTCATCTAAAGATGAGGGTAGGGTGTAAAACTATATTACATCATTTTTTAAAATGTAGTTATTTTAATTCTATGATGTAAGGTCTTTTCTCCTCTACTGTCTTTGGACTATGGGCAAGAAGTACCTTTTATTTCATGTTACCATTAACATAGTGCCTTGGACATGGTAAATGTTTGACGTATATTTATTGGATGGAATGGAACAGAGTTAATTGTAACCACCTACAATTCCTCATTAGGTTGATTTCCCAATGGCAGACCCATTGAACATTCCCATTTTACGAGGTAGGAACTGGGAAGGAGGGTGAGCTCACCCCAGGGAGGTGAGCCCACAGGCCCGTGGGCACAGTCTTGGGTGGTGGACTTAGACTAGAATCCAGCTCATTTACATCTCAGTCCAGTTTTTTTTTTTTTTTCACCACATACAATAGCCCCTTGCATCTTGTTTGCGCTTACTTAGGGGGCAGAAAAGTAAATGATGTGAAAAATGTACATCATTTTAACCACACCTGGAATTATCAGAGTCCCAAATCAATGACTCTTGAATTGTTTTTACATTTTCAAATAATTGAGCGTAAACACTATCTTGAAATTCATAGAAACCTTTGTGTCCTCAGGGTATGAGAATACAGGAAGGTGAGTGATAGTCACAGGGAGTGGGTGCATCTTATACGGGGTGGTCTGTGATGGTGTCTTGGAGGGAGTGACATTTAAGTAAAGACTTAAAGAAGGAGGAGAGTCAGCAATGCAGGTATCTTGGAAAGAACATTCAGGCAGTGAGAACATAGCAGGCAAAGGCAAAGGCACAGTTTACTCAGGCCATCATGGCTCTGCTGGAGTGAGGGAAGAGTGGAAGGCGAGGAGGTCAGAGACTCAACATCCCCATTGTATGCCAGGAAATGCAGAACCTTGGTAAAGACTTAATATTTTACATAAATTAGATTCAAGTCATGGCAGGTAAGAGCAAAAGAGGCAAGTGATCTGATTTACATTTTAAAAGGATGGCTTCTATGGAGAATAAGTGGTAGGGGAGTGAGTGTGCAGGGCGGACCAGTTAGAAATTCAGGCAAAGGATAATGGCAATTTTGACTGGGTGAATATACCAGAAGTGGTAAGGAGTGATCATATTTAGGATATATTTAGAATGTAAACCCAATAGAATTTGCCAACAAACTGGAAGTGGATTGAAAGGTGGGAGGAAATCCAAAATGACTCCAAGATTTTTGACCTAAGCAATGAATAGAAAGGAGCCTCTGCTAAATGAGGTGGGGAGGGCAGAAGGAGAGGCAGACTGAGTGTGGGGGTAAGAATGAGATGAGAGTTGGTATTTGGAAATGTAAGTTTTGTTTTTGTTTTTTGGGTTGTTTCTTTGTTTGCTTGAGACAGGGTTTCACTCTATTGCCCAGGCTGGAGTGTAGTGGTGTGAACACTGCTCACTGCAAACTCTGCCTCCCAGGCTCAGGTAATTCCTTCCACCTCAGCCTCCCAAATACCTGGGACTACAGGAGTGCGCCACCACACCTGAATAATTTTTTTTTTTTTTTAGAGATATGGTTTTGCCATGTTGCCCAGGCTGGTCTCAAATGCCAGGGCTCAAGCAATTCTCCTGCCTCAGCTTCCCAAAGTGCTGGGATTACAGGCGTAAGCCACCACACCAGGTTGGAAATGTAAGGTTTGACATTTATATTAGACATTAAAGTGGAGAAGTGAAGTGGGCAACTGAATGAAGTCTGGAGTTCAAGAGAAAGATCAGTTTGGATTCCTGAATTGGAAAATTCTTAGTGGAGAGATGGTGTTTAAAGAGAGAGAGAGAACTGGCTGGAGACATATCTGAGTTGATGAGAGAAGGGATCCACTGACCCTGTGGAGAGGTTGGCACCAGGCAAAAGCCCAGTTAATTCATTTTAACTAGGGGGCAGGCCAATTAGGGAAGTGAAGATATAGTTGGTAGACCTGTGAAAGTGTTCTTCTGTTAACTTCTATTTCTCAGTGAATTGAACAGAAAGCTCATCAGCTGAGAGAGAGGTGGATGAATGAAAGACTGGGAGGTTGAGGACAGAGAAGAGTTGTGAACTAATTGCCAAGGAGAATGATGGCCTAGAGAAATGAATTAGGACCTCTGGACACCTTGCACACTGCCTGGCTCAGAGTCAGGCTCAATAAATCTTCCCTGGATGAACAATGGCCCAAGAGCCTAAGGAAGGAGCCAAACTGAGGATTCAAATCTTAATATAGTGCACAACTCAGCCTGTCAGATTTGGATCCATATTCAGTCATACATATTTGGCCAATTTCCTGAAGTTCCATTGAAGGAAACTATAAAAATTGTAATTTAAGCATCTTTCCTGGCAACCCCAAAGAGGGGCTCCAACCTTTGCCAAATGATAGAATTACAGACTTTCTCCTTGGAAAGCTCCCTTCCTAAATAGAGGTTTTTTTGTTGCTGTGTTTAATCTCCCAGTATAGTACTGTTCTCTTTATTTGTACCTTTTTTATTCCTTATAGGTTTTTAAACATGTTTCCCGGCATCCATCATTTTAACAGCCCCTCTTCCCTTTTTCCACACAAAAATTCTTCCTTACATGTCCCCTAGGAATATCTCATTAATTTCATGTGTTTACAAACTTTTTACTATCCTACAAAGGTCCTTCCCTCTACCCCCAGAGAAGTATCTAGTCAGGGAAATAACATACGTGAACTAAAGGCTCAGCATTCTTTTCTGCTCATTCATTTACATTTGCAAAGTCTCCTGAGCCTTTAGCTGCCTTTTAAATAGATGATTCACTTGCTTGTGGAGAATTTCAATAATTTTTTGGTAACAGTTCTTGGTTTTCAGACAGAAAACCTTCCTATGGAAGGATATCTTTCAAATTTTTGAGACTCACAAACTTTGACCAGAGAATAATTCTCTAGGGAGCTAATGCCAGGTTCTGCTTCTCCTTATTTCATTTTTTTTTTCTTTCTAAGAACGTATCTCAGGCCCTTTTGATTGAAACCAATTCTTCTGTGAAGTAGGAAAACTATCTTTAGAATTTACTCAAGTCTACGACTTAATTTTTTGGAAAAGATCTATGATATAGGCAACATTTGGAAGCCATGCTTCTTTAGATAGATAGAAATATGTAAGTAGGGGATTTTAATTTTTTATTTTACTTTTGAAACATAACAGAAATATACAGAAAACACACCATTGCTTCTTTTATTCCACACCTTTTTTTCTGGAGTATATCCTTTAGTAGGTCTTTCAACAATACTCTATTTAATGTCTCTCAGTTTTTCCCTGAAATGTCTATATTTTACCCTCACTCCTGAATAATTTAATTGGCTGTATATTTCTAGTATGATTTTTTCTAGTATTTCTAATATGATTTTTATTTTTTGCTCAGCATATTGATGTATTTGTCCATTGTCATCTGGTCTGTATGGTGGCTGTTAAGAAGTCTATGATAAGTCTAAATATTCCTTTTTTAGATAAATTGTCTGTCATCTTGGATGGCTTTTAAGTTATTCTCTTCTTATTAGTGGTCTGCATTTCCACTCCAAAGCATCTAGCTGTGAATTTAACTTTATTTTTCCTCTTTGGGACTTGTGCTTCTTGTCTCAGGGCTTATGTCATCAATTATGGAAATTCCCAGTCATTAGGGTTTGTTTGTTTTTCAGAGACAGGATCTCACTCAATTGCCCAGGCTGGAGTGAAGTGGTGCCATCATAGTTCCTGCAGCCTCCAACTCCTCTCACTATGTTGCCCAGGCTGGTCTCAAACTCTTGGCCTCAAGCAATCCTTCTGCCTTGGTCTCCCAAAGTGCTGGGATTACAGGCATGACCCACCATGCCTGGCCTCATTCGTCTTTTAAATCTTAACTTTCCCCTATTCCCTTTCCTTTTCATATTCTGAAACTCTTATTAGGCATAGGTTAGCCATCTTATTTTTTCCACCATGCTTTTAATGTCTATTTATTAGTTTTAGTCTCTATCTCTATGATAATTCTGGACAACTCTTTAGATAGATCTTCTAATTTCCTGATTCTTCATCTTTATCTTCTCTACCATTTTATTGAGTCATTGCATTCTTAATACTAACTGATTTTTTATTGTACTTCTAGAAATTCTATTTTCATTTTGTTGTTACTTTCTTACGCTTCTGATTATACCCTTAATTATTTACATACACATATTTTAAAGTCTCTAGTCAATTGTTCTATTATCTCAAGTATTTGCACCTCCAATCCTCCCGTTAGCTGGATCTGTTTATTTTCACTCATGTTGGATTTTTTTAAACTTCCTCTGTTTTATAATTTTTGACCATCAGTTCATCCTTAGTGGGGCTTGTTTTCATGCAAGAATCCCCTGCAGCTATGGGAGCATCCATCCATGGATTTTTCATGTGTTTTACAGGCGTCCCATGGGCATCACTGGCTCTGGTTTTGAGGTTCCTGGGGTAACATATATTTGAACCACTAATTTGAGAGAAGGTTAGGCCTGGGATTTGCATTTTGCAGGATGCTTTTATTCACTCATAGCCAGATGAGTTTCCCTATGATCATCTGGGCCACTGGCAAAATGTTTTCTGTTTTTTTGTTTTGTTTTGTTTTGTTTTTGTTTTGAGATGGAGTTTCACTCTGTCACCCAGGCTGGAGTGCAGTGGTGCGATGTTGACTCACTGCAACCTCCACCTCCCTGGTTGAAAGAATTCCCCTCCCTCAGCCTCCCAAGTAGCTGGGATTACAGGCACATGCCACCACGCCCAGATAATTTTTTTGTATTTTTAGTACAGACGGTGCTTCAGCATGTTGGCCAGACCAGTCTCGAACTCCTGACCTCAGGCAATCCGCCCGCCTCGGCCTCCCAAAGTGCTGGGATTATAGGCATGAGCCACCATGCCCAGCAGGTACAATGTTTTCTAGTCTAACCTTTCAGTGGTGTCCTTTGAGAGTCCAGGCTTTACGTAGCCATCTCAGCACCTTTTGTAGACACGCAATCTTGTCTCTGTCCCTCCATAGCCATTAAAATCCAAGCCAGGAAAGTATCTGACCAACTCCTGACGCCTCCCCACACTGGCTGAAATATCAACACAGAAGCTTGCCTTCCTAGTTTGAATTTTCTTTTTTCCTTTGGCACCCAAGTATTTCCCATTCTTTCCTGAAACTTGAAGCAGAAATAAAAGAACTTCCACAATGTTCCATTTCATATCTACTCACCTGCCACAACTGTGCTCTACCTTTCCTCTCATTACTATGGATGAACCATCTGTGCCTATAGGGCCATTCCTTATACTTGTACACCAGCTCCCATTCCCTCTCACCTGTTCAAGGACACCACTCTTGTAATTCTCCGTTCTCTCCCTCTCTCTGTCTCTCTCTTTCTCCTCTCTCTGTCTCTGTCCTCCTCTCTGTCTCTCTCTTTCTCCTCTCCCTCTCTCTTTCTCCTCTCTCTGTCTCTCTCTTTCTCCTCTCCCTGTCTCTCTCTCTCTCACTCTCTCTCTCTCTCTCTCTCTCACTCTCTCTCTCTCTCTCCTGCACTAATTTTCCTCTTGTTCTTGGATTACTCCTATCAGCATGCTGGTATTTCTATTATTATTTTTTTTTTTTCTGAAAAAAAAAAAAAAAAAAAAAGAAAGAAACCTCAGTTTATCTTTCCACCCATCTAGTGTCCCACTTCTCTTGTTACAGAAAATTTCTCAAAGTTTTTGCCTCTAATTCCTCTCCTTCATTCCCCTTTTACACTCATTCCAATCAAACCTTTGTCCTCACCATTCCACCAAAAGTACTCTTTCAAGTTCACCAATGACCTCCACATTGCTAATTCAATTCTCGGTCATTATCTTACTTGACCTAGTAGCATAATGTGAAGTAATAGATGATTCCCTTCCCCTGGAAATCCTTTAATCTTGCTATGTTTAGGACTCTGCATTTTGTTTGTTTTCCTTCTTTCACATCAGTCACTTCTCAGTCTCATTTGCTATTTATTCCTTTTCTCCCCAAACTCTGGAGTACCTCAGAGTTCAGTCCTTGGATGTCTTCTCTTTTCTAGCCCTATTCAGTTTACTGATGATCCCATCCAGTCTGAAGCGTTTAAAGGCCCTTTGTAAGTTAACAACTCCCAAATGTATACCTGTAGCTTGTATCTCACTCCTAAGTTTCAAATTTATATATCAAACTGTCCACTCAACATCTCCAGTGGGCTGTGTAGTAGACTTTTCAAATATATCTTGTCCAAAAATGACCTCCTGCTATTTCTTATCAATCATGCTCTTCCCCATCTTAGTTAATGGCAGCTCCATCCTTCTGATAGTTCAGGCAAAAACCTTGGAGTCACTGTTGACTTCTTCCCCTCCCCTTGGATCTGAAAATAAAGCTCTGGAATCAGGGCAGTTGTTCCACTCAAATGAATAAAATGGTATGAACACAGAACAAAGGGAGCCTATGTTCTGTTAGGAAGGGGTAAGAGAACAAATAAGTGTGACATGAAACTGAACATGCCACATGGGAAGCTTAAAATGCTATATGGGTTGGAAGGTGGGAGAGCTAATGCCTAGAAATAGAGATTCTGATAGGCATCTAAAAGGCACAGGCTTCTGAGATGTTCTGAGATGTTCCTGAAAGTTGTGTATGATTGGATTACTTACAGTGGGGGTGAGTGGGAATTCCAGGCAGAAGGAGCAACTGAGCAAGACCCACATCTTCACAGTTAGCTCTGCCTTCCCCTGGAGTAGGACTCTTTCTGCCTACCCTGGCAATATGTCTCCTGGGAGCCCTTCGTAATGCCTGGACCCCAATTCCACCCCATCTTACCCGCCAACATAGATCAAATCACAGTTGCTCTGTTTCACCAACATTAACTTCCAAATTGTCTCTCACAGGCTTCCCGCTCTCAATTCATGTTACCCCCATCCCAGTCCACACTTCCTCTCCTATGTTGTGTCTCATTGCCTATCTCTTGGCCTTTGGGCTGCCTCCCCCTCTGTCCATTCTGTTCACTGCAGCCAGATTGACGGTAACAGCGATGATGACTCTTTTGAACAACATGTAAGAGCCTATTCTGCACCACGCCTTGCTCTCAAGGAGGCTTGTAATCAAGAAAAAAAAAAAAAAAAAAAAAAAACTTGGAAACATCTACAGGATACAGATGTTTCTATAAAACTTAACATAATACAACTGGCACAGGAGAAAAAATGATAAATTCTATCAGGGAGGGTGGGAGCAATTATAGAAATCACTCAAAATTTATATGTGGCTCCTCATCATCTGTAGAATTAAGATCTTCCATAACATGCCCCTAGCTACCCATTCTGCTTTGTTACCCCCCCAGTGCCCTTCATGTACCCCGCCTTCTAACCAAAGTGCTCTGTTTGCACATGGGCCCTGAGCCTTCCCTCTCCATGCTTGTGCTCTTGCTGCTCCATCTGCTTGCAATACAAGTGCCCTACCTTGCGTGTGTAAATGCTACTCAGTATGTAAAACAACACAGTGCCCTGCACATAACAAACACTAAATAGTGTCAGTCGTCTTCATCATTATCATCATCATTATTCTGGAAAGATTAGTTCAATTCTCACATCTCTTAATTTTTAAAGTCACTTATGGTCTTGCTTGTGTTGCAGACATACAATCTTATTTCCTTGCCTTTGAGGGCAGGGAGTGAGTCACATAAGATTATCTTCCCCTTTGGCAATAGAAAAGTACCTGGCTACACGCTACCATTAGCCAGGTACTTTTTGATTGCCAGAGGGAAAGATAATGGTGAATAGTGTGGAAAATGCTATTTGTTTTATCTGTTTTATTTCAATTCATTTCCCACTTATTATAAAATGAAATACTTAGAAATGACTCTTTTCACTTGTTGAGTTAAATGGCCATAAATTGAAGACCCAATCTAATTCAAATAGGATGGAGTGAACCTCTGAACTTCCTCAAAGAATGCCTTAAAATACAAAATGATTGAGTGAGTCCAACCTCAAATCACAGCTGATTCAAGATACCCTTTCTCCGTAACACAACTTACACCCAACAGTTGACTGGTTTAGTCAGAGGCAGTCACCCAGGGCTTAAACAGCCTGTAAAAAGAAGTTGTAAGGAAATCTGAGTATGTCAGTTGGATGTGGTTAATAGGGAAGAGGGTGTTCTGGATGGGGAGATATTGAATGACAAGGGTGAGAAGGATAATCTTCTGAGTGGAAAGAGGACAGGACACTCACTTTAGTTGGTGGCAGCCCCTTCTCCTTCTTCCCCCACTTCTAACATGGCCCCTCCCTATGTCTGCTCTCAGAATCCAAACCTTCTCCTTGGCTCTGCTTTATGAACAGTGTGGTGTTTGAGTTCTGTGTGTTGGATACAGTCAGGTCAACATAGCTTCAAGTCCTGGCAGCTTCACTCCTTCTGCAGTCTTGTACAGATCTCTGCTCTTACTGCAAGCCCACACTTCATAGGCATACGAAAATAATATACCCACTGGAGCCATCTACCATGAGTAGAAGTAGGATATGGCCAAGCTTTCATTCACTTGAGGAAGTGATTAGTACATGTTTCCCAGGCAAAACTCATAGTATTTGTTTCAGAAATTTAGATATTTTAACTTCACATCCTTCATACCCACCCCTTTTGGTTTCTTCTACCTAAATTTTGTGCAAAGACTTAAAAAATATCCACCCACCTCACCCCCATCCCCACACTCCCTTGTACTCTTTTTCTTGGCTTGGAAATTTAATTTTTTTTCAAAGCATGCTCCACTCTAAAATATAGTACATAGCGGAGATGGCGCTACGTAGAGAAAAGGTCATGGGCTTTGGGGCCACATAGCCTGGATTTAAATCCTGGCTTTGCCACCTACTTTCTAGAACATAAGAATGTGAGGTACAGATTGGGGAGCCCCCTTCCCTCCACCAATCCAACCCAATGCAAGGTTGGAAAGATTGCTCATAGCTAAGAACAGAAGGTGCCACACCGTGCCACAGAGTTTCTAAGAGGGAGTGAACCAACAGCACCTTTATGATGACTTCTCTCTCGTCTTTATTAAGGAAATGAGAGAAAAGAATAGAAAGTTCCCTTCCTGTGCAATCAGTGACTCCTGACTTGCCCCACCCCACCCCACCACCACCACCACTTCCCTCAACCTCCCATCTTAGTCAGGTCCTGGCTCAGCTGAGCACTAAACCACTGAACTGACAGATAGCCTGATGATGCAAGGGTATGGGAGAAAGTGGAGCAGAAAGGGTGAATGGGAGGTTGAGGGGTCAGGGAAGACAGCTTGGCTTCTTACCACTCAATGGAGGAACAAAGATAGAAACTTTCTCCATGTAGGTCAATCAAGAAAATAGTGTAGAAAGTAGCTGAGACCTAGGCCATCATGATATGGTCACTCCAAAACCCATCCATCAAGGATGGTGAAAAGAGACGGTGGTGAAATGGACTGAGGGGCGGACTTCACATGTGCAGTGAGGGTGGACAGGTGCTTCAGTGAGTTCCCTCCTTCACCACTACCAGCCAAAGAACCAATCCACGAACCCAGAGGAAAGCCCACCTATGCAACCAAGAGGTAGCACATTTTCTGTGGGTCAAACAACAGAAGAGGAGACTGAGCCAAGACAATCTGCCCACCACTGACAAACAGGCAAACACACAGGTAACTCCTTCCTCTATCACCTGCCCCAGGCACCAACATCAGTGTTGCTAGGCCTAAGACATAGATAGGATGGAGAGAGATGAGACCAACACTGTAACAATCAGACAAGACTACAAATCACTGAGTCATGCTAAATGTATTTGATGCACTGAGATACCTTTTTATTTATTTTATTTTATTTTTTATTTATTTATTTAATTTTTGAGACAGAGTCTTGCTCTGTTGCCCAGGCTGGAGTGCAGTGGCGCAATCTTAGCTCACTGCAATCGCCGCCTCCTGGGTTCAAGCAATTCTCCTGCCTCAGCATTCCAAGTAGCTGGATTACAGGCAACTGCCACCACGTCTGGCTAATTTTTGTATTTTTATTAGAGATGGGGTTCCACCATGTTGGCCAGGCTTGTCTTCAGCTCCTGACCTAAAATGACCCACCCCCCTCGGCCTCCCAAAGTGCTGGGATTACAGGCGTGAGCCACTGCGCCTGAGATACTGTTAAAACTCAGTTTTACATTTTCCCCTCCAGCTAGTGTGTCTAAGGTAGACACTGGTCAAAACTGTTGATATTCATTATTTGGAAATATAAAAGCAGTCGGTGCTTGTCTTTTCCTGATGTGGCGCATTTCTCAACCAAGCCTGCCTGTTATACTCTCTGTACAACCCTGGCCAAATTCTTTAACCTCCTGAACTGCCTTCCTATTCTGAAGATCAACCCATCTCACAGCACTGCAGGTTAAGAAAGCTCCTGCACAAAACCCTTAAATGTTAGTTCCCTGGCACCGAGAAGTAGGTGGGAAGTTGGCTTAGCCAGAGAAGTAGTAAATTATCTATTCTACCCTTTTGTAGACATTAACTACATTGCTAGAGAAAGAGAACATGCCCTCTTGTTCTTTTTCCTCCTACCGGTCACAGCTTAAATGTCACTTTCTCAGGGAGGTCTGTCTTGGCCACCCTACCCAAAGAAGGTGGTGTCCTGTTTTATTCTTTAGTACATTTCCTGTTATTTCCTCCGCAGTCCTAATCAGGACGTGAGCTTAGTAATTAACTTACTTGTCAAGTTGTTTCTTATCTCCATGCTGCCCCTGTTACATTACCCGAGGTCAGGCCCCTCTCTGTTTTCTCCCTCTTGTATTTCCAGTGCCTTTAAATTTGTACCACTTAAATGTGGTAAATCTTGTTCCTGAAGGTTCCAGGGCCTTGACTTGCATGTTCTTTTCCCTTATTTAAAGAATCTGAAATAAATTATCTACTTAGTTTGGTCCTTCCTGTGGCTGTTTGCTTGCTTTGGCAGAGTGAAAGTGAAATGTATTTTAATTTTTTTTTAACTTTACAGAAGCCATTAATATAAACCACAGAAATGGTGAGTTTCAATACCTGAAGTTCTGTGAATAATTACTGGGTGGAGCTATTCACACAGGCAATTTTCTGCTTTCCCCATGAGATAAAACCCCAAAAATGTGTTACTATAGCAGCCTGTTTCCTTACTGAGACAGAAACAAAGCAACCTATGAATTAACGTCAACCATTCCCCTGTACTGTGTATCCTCCCAGTTCTTAGTCTCAATGTGCCAGCAGATACACCAAATGTTGGGTTAGTGAAATGTCTGACACCTACACATGTGGAATAAAACGTGCATGTACACAAACTATAATTTAGCAGTATCAGTAGTAACTGCAAACTGAAAAAACAAAAAGGAAGTTGCATTTAAACATAGTGGTGGGCAGTCACCTCAACAGCATTGGGAAAGGGCTGTGCCCTAATTTGGGAAAATTTTCTCATTTTCCTGTTGACTTTGGCCCAGCAAAACGAATGGATTCCATTGGGATGCTCCCTGGTGAAAATCCTACCATCCTGAGCAAATTCAATGGCCAGCTCATGTCCAGTTCCTGTCATTAGTCAGGTTTCACATGAACAAGTGTGGTTTTCCAGAGCTAAGTACTTTCCACAGACAAAGCACCATAAAGCCACTTCTGTGACAGTGAAGTGAAGGCAGTGACATGTGGAACCCTTGTGGAATCTAGAGAAAGGGCTCAGAAAGCCCCCTATGCACCCATGGCTGGGCTCCCAAGAGGCCCCATCTAGTCCAAGATGGTTTCTCAGAAGCACTGAATCCAGAAGGCCATTTAGTAAGCAAAGTCATTTCTCATGGCATTGGTCCCTTTAGAAGCATCCTCCAGGTATGTCCAATGGGAGAGGACATGGTGGGACTGACTTAGAGAGACCCAAGTAGAAACTGCCTTTGGGCGGGGTCCAGTGGCTCCAGCCTGTAATCCCAACACTTTGGGAGGCCAAGGTGGGAGGATCACTTAGGCCCAAGAGTTCAAGGCCAGCCTGGCCAACATAGTGAGAACTTGTCTCTACAAAAATTTTTTTAAAAAGTTAGCCAGGTGTGGTGGCACATGTCTGTGACCCCAGCCACTCAGGAGGCTGAGGCAGGAGGATCGCTTGAGCCCAGGAGGTCGAGGCTACAGTGATCTGAGATCATGCCACTGCCCTTCAGCCTGGGTGACAGAGCGAGACCTCCATCTCTAAAACGCAAACAAACAGACAAACAAAAAACCCAAACCTGCCTCTGAAGAGCAGATCTTTGCTCCTCAAAGTGAGCCAGGACCCACAGCATTACATTTCTGATGCAAAGCCGCAGGCCCACGCCAGACCTGCCGACTGAGAAACTGCATGTTCACAAAAACCCACAAGAGTCATGAGCCTAGTGAAAGATGAGGCACACTTGCTGATTTTGTAGATGCTCAAAATAAACTTTGTAGAAAAATAGGCCTGGCAAATATGAGCTCATGGAGGAGAGGAATGGTGCTTTACTCTTTTTTTTTTTTTTTTTTTTGAGAGGAGTCTCCCTCTGTTGCCCAGGCTGGAGTGCAGTGGCGCAATCTTGGCTCACTGCAAGCTCCGCCTCCTGGGTTCACGCCATTCTCCTGCCTCAGCCTCCTGAGTAGCTGGGACTACAGGTGCCTGCCACCACGCCTGGCTAATTTTTTCTATTTTTAGTAGAGATGGGGTTTCACCATGTTAACCAGGATAGTCTCGGTCTTCTGATCTCGTTATCAGCCCGCCTCTGCCTCCCAAAGTGCTGGGAGTACAGGCATGAGCCACCGCGCCCGGCCACTTTACTCATTTTTTAACTACCAGTGCCTGTAGAAAACTAAGCATATGAAATATGAGTTGAACAAATGAGTGGATAAAGTGAGGGATTACTGCACTGTGTGGACACTGTCCTGGGCCACACAGAGCCCCTTTTAGCCATTCATCTCATCTACCATCTCCGACTCCCCATGTCCCGTGACACAGGATATCCAAGGCCTGGGTTTTGAGTCCTGGTTCTACTTCTTCCAACATTGGGCAGGCCACCCTTGCTCTACACCTCAGTTTCCCCAGCTGGAGGTAAAATATAATAAAAACAAAACCAAACACTAGATTGGTGCAGGGCTATGATGGGCTAGCCATCCCGGCCCAGAGTGGGATCATTGTGAAGAGCTCCAGGACTGAGCCTGGGTGGTCTGTTGAGGCCATCGTGGGTTTGCATGCAGCTCAACTTCCTCCTCTGGCCACTCCCGCTTGCTTTCCCTCCCTTCAACAGGTGTTGATCAAAACATAATATAAAAGAAAACCTCCCCCCAAAACATCCTGGATGCTAAACTTCATCTCAGAGGCTGCTTCACTGGGAGCACTGCCCATAGCACTTGTGAAAGGAAAGCTGGTCCTCACCTAAGATCTAAGATTGTTTTGTGGGAATTTACTGAGCAGCTTCTGGGTTGAGGGAAATCAGAAATGAATATTAAGCTGGTCCTCACCTAAGATCTAAGGTGGTTTTGTGGGAATTTACTGAGCAGCTTCTGGGTTGAGGAAAATTAGAAATGAATATTCTTCAGGTATTTCTCATGTGGCTGGAAACTGAATACTACAACTGAATTATCCTGTAGCTTTATTAAGTTTATACCAGATTCTCCCATATGATGATACTACTAGAACTTAATACCTTACTATTATGGTAGATAATTTTGTTTTTACTAGTTTGGTGTTTTTTGCTGTTATATTTTATTTCTCCTTGGTGAAACTGAGGCACAGAGCAGTAGTGACCTGCCCAGGATAGGAGGAGGTAAGAGTCAGAACTCAAACCCGGGCCCTCTAATTAGCCTGTGTCACATGATATGGTTCCTAGGCAGTGGTAACTGGGATGAATGGGGCTTCCTTAGCCTTTCATAATGGAAAAGATTTCAGATAAAGCTTGCTGTCAACAGATTACGAAACAAAATGCACCTGGTGTCATCCTGTTCTATTGTAAGTCCTTGTTCTCT
The DNA here is from genome assembly GCF_000001405.40 of Homo sapiens. NCBI lineage: Eukaryota > Metazoa > Chordata > Mammalia > Primates > Hominidae > Homo > Homo sapiens. The sequence continues at coordinate 37,854,924 of NC_000002.12, forward strand.
ATGCAAGGGGTCATTAGAACATTTTAGTGGGCTTAACCTTGGTCATCAGATTGGTTACCTGTGAGCTTTGTATTGGGATACAGCTCAACAAGCAACCATGACCCTAAGCCTCAAAGCCTTGAGCCCCACTGTGAGCTCCTTGGGGACAGCACCCTACCCATCACCCTTGTACTTCCTCACCATCTGACCAGGGAAGGGAATAAAGTTAATGTCCTATAAGTGTCTGCTCAGTGACCGGGTGGATAGGCAGTGAACATGCCATGAATACCACCTGCCTTAGAGCCCGCTAACTAGTGGTGCGAAAGAGGCAAAAGAATTGCGTTTTGGTACAGACCTAAAACTCTCCACACACAGTCGCCAAGAGGCTCGGCACTCCTACATGACCCATCACCTTCCAGCCCACGTCACCTTCCCTTTCTCAGTGTTCTTCTGAGCGCTACAGCTTGTATACACAGTTCAGAACTGGATTGCAGAGTGTCTTATCCTGCTTAAGCCAGCATGTGAGACGTGAGCCCAGGGTAGGGCAAACCCCTAGGAAGTCAATGAACGCTCAGTGGGCCTGTTGTGGGTTCCAGGGCTCTCGTCTTTCCTGTAGCTCCTGCCAGGGAAGTGAAAGCAGCTGGGTGTTGCCCGCCAAGGGCTCAGCCAGCTTCCCCTGGCAGGAGTGAAGCCTATTGTTGGAGCTGCTAGGTTGGCTGCTCATGGGCCAGACCAGTGAAGGCGTTCCCAAGGTTCATGTCAGAAGCCACACACGGTAGCAGGAGCTCCCAAGACTGGCTTCTCACCTCTGTCACCCGAATCTTCACTGTGTAAATGGGTTATCTTCTAGTCCAGTCTTGTGGTTGAACAGACTGTTTGTAAAAGGAAGGAAAAGAAATGTTGGCCCGAAGCCGGTGCAGCAGAGCTGAGGGCCAGGAAAGCTGCCTCCCACCTCTCTGCCAAGGCATTTCCGCTCTGACCTGCCATGTCCAGTGCACACCATTCCTGCTACACAGCCAGAAGTCAGGGTGGGATGGTGGGCAGCCTGTCTGAGGCCAGGAGACACAGGAGAGAAAAGAGAGGGCTTAGGTCCAGGGAGGGCAGATGACAGAGCCAGGAGGAGCAAAAGCAATTCCTCCTTCAGAGACTGAAACAGGAAAACAAATCTGTTGGACAAAAAGTGTCCAGGTTCAATGACTTGGCTAAGGTGCCATGGCCAGGGAGAGCCTGAGTCTACCAAGAGACCCCGGCAGCAACCTTGGTCATGAGGATTTTAGAGCAGCCCTTGCAGAGGCAGTGAGAGCTTTTCTGCCACGCTGGGCATGGTGTGTCTGCAAAATTTCAAACTCATTTCCTGAGATAAGAATGACATTTATTAAGGCATCCTGGAAATTAAAAATAAGTGGCAAGAGCCTCCCCACCCTGGCCCACAGGGCTGTTTGCCAAAGCTGGGTGACCCAAGGGAGCAGGACAAAAACAGAGCCCTTGGGGAAGCTGCTCTGCTTCCCTCCATCACGATGTCCTGTTCTCTGTCTTCCCTTCCTCTGGTCCTAGCCCACAGCACTGGCCAGGCTTGGAGGGGGTCAGAGAACATTTGACCACGATCCTGGCAGTGAGAGTGATGGCCTGGCGATGAGACTGTCAGCCTGAACCTCCAACATGGCTTTGAAGTCCCCACGATCAGTCCCCTGGTTCTCTCTCAGGCACCTCTCCATGCCTGCCACCTGGCGCCCAGGGCTCCAGGCTTATCCAGCCTCTGCCAGCTCTCAGAATCCACCATGCTTCCTCCTGTCTGTATGCAGCTGCTTTGAGGTTTGTCCCCTCTGCTGGGAGCACCCTCACCAGCATCTTTTCCTCACCCCCACTCCCAAACTCAGTCTGCCTGCCCGATTTTCACTCATTCTTCCCTGTCTGTCCTCCTCCACCCCAGCCACCAAGCCAAGCGAAGGCAAGGCGCCCCTCTGACAGTGCCCAGAGCTCCCCTAATCAGCCCCCTCGCCACAGTGCAGAGCAACTGCCTGGTGCTCAGCTCTGTTCCCAGCTAGACAGTAAGAACCACAAGGCACAATGTCAGTTATTTCACCATTGGGCTGGCACTGAACAAATGCTCAACAAATACGTGTTAGACAAAATAAATTAAAAATTAATTAACAGGCTGAGCACGGTGGCTCATGCTCGTAATCCCAGCACTTTGGGAGGCGGAAGCGGGCAGATCACCTGAGGTCAGGAGTTCGAGACCAGTCTGACCAACGTGACGAAACCCCATCTCTACTAAAAATAAAAAAATTAGCTGGGTGCGGTGGGGCACACCTGTAATCCCAGCTACTCAGGAGGCTGAGGCAGGAGAATCATTTGAACCCTGAACCTGGAAGGTGGAGGTTGCATTCCAGCCTGGCCAACAGAGTGAGACTCTGCCTCAAAATAAATAAATAAATAAAAATAATAATAATAATAATAATAATAATAATTAACAAAAGGCCCCAAAAGGCAATTTGGACAATTGCCCCAGGCTGATCTCGAAGGTTTCCTCCAACCATTAGTGGGTAGTGGGGGTGATGCTCTGGGGCTCTTCCCCTCGCCTCTGCCTGTGGTCTTGCATCCTGGTCCGCGCAGCTGTTACATGGGGTGGAGGTCTGAGTCTGGTGGGTGTGCAGCAGGTCAGTCAAGGAAGAAAATATGGTCTAGAAAACAGCCTGGCCGCGGTCACCCCCAGGGGTAGGGCCAGGGAACAAAGGAGGTTTCCTGGAAGTGTTGTACTTCTTCTTACCTCAGGGGCGCAATTATTCATTTCTCAGGGACCCACCAGTATAGAGAGAACAATAACTCTGCCCCCACAGTGCTTGGGGCCTGAGACGCTTACCCAGGACACAAAGGAGAACAGGGGGATGGCGGGAGGGATGAGCTGAGAATGCTGAAATATTTCCCCCCAGGGCCTGTGATCCACAAAGCTGCCTCTTTTCCCACCTGGCCTCAGGATGCACTGGGTGCTGGCCTGCCTGCCTGCTCCTCACCCCTCCTGACCTGCTAATCACCATAAAGTGTAAACCAAGAGACCAGCACCTGTTTGTCTTTGAGCCTCCATGTAAAAATACGTAGGAGCACATTTTAAAACCACATAGCAAATAATTGATTCATAAATCAAAGTTCCGTTTTATATTCTACCATAAATAATCATCACTGGCCAGTATTGCCTGAGCCTGGGTCCCCGGCACCAAATGAAAGTCAAACACATTATTTGTTTGTTGGCATTGGTAACAAGCCAAAGAGCATCATCTTCTATCACAGACTATGGATGGAAGTAGAAATCATAAAACTGCAAATGTTCTTTCCTAATGCTTTTAATAAAAATAAATATACCTATTGTCAGAAGTTCAACCAAATGAGTTTTACGGAATAAAAGTGCCATTGAGGAGGGGGTGATCAGAGTGCCGGGTGGATAGAGAACTTGTGGCCTTTCCTTTCAGGCGGTGGGCCAAGATCAGCTCAGTCCCCTCTTTGGGACATGCCTTTTTCTCCTCCTGCATTCCTGGGTTTCCAGGCTAGCTTGGATTCCTAATTTGGAAGTCACCAGAGAGCAAACCTCGACAGTAAGCAAAGGAGTGTCCTGCTATGAACTCCCTGAGAGACAGCCCTAGCCCTGGTTACACAGCAGGCACCTCAGTTCACCCCTCCACCAGCCTCCCAAGGCTCCTGAATCGAGCAAAGAATGAGGCTCTGGGCCTAGCCTACTCCCTGCTCACTGAAGCTGTGCCTATTCAGGGATCTAGCCTGGTGCTAATGTTTTCAAGCAGCCTCCCTGGACAGGGGGTCCTCTGGGAGGTGCTGGCAACCAGCAGACTTGGGATTTGATAACTGCTCTGGTCTGGGAAACATGCAGATTGTGACTCCTCCTCTGACTGGTACTGTTCTAGAAAATGATGAAGTTTCTTGATCATCTATCTCCTGAGCCTCTCGGTGACACTGACAGGCTTTATACCACATAGACATCCTCCATTAGTGCTATCCTCTGCCAGTTTTTTCCACCTTCACCCACACTCTCACAGCAGTGGCAGTTTCTGAAATCTCACACTGGGGCAGTCCAGGAAGGTGGGGACTTCATTTTCTTTGCAACTGTCGTGATACCAATACACTGCTGGGCTCAAGGTAGACAAGTGAAACAGGAGACTTCCCTGACCACCGCCCCTCCCACACCCCAAAAGACCTGTGACAGGGGTGTGGCTCATATGTTTGGCCACTATCCATGCTCAAACTTCTTATGGGAGGGGGAGCATGCAGACGGGCATGTGCAGGAGCCAGGGTGAGTGCCCGTGGGCTCCAGCCCCATGGCAGTGTTCAGGGGTGGGAGCTTGAGACTCCCAAAGCCCAAATGGTCATGTGTTACAGTGCACTCCTTTAGCCTTGCTGTCCACAGACGACTTAAGTGTTAAACAGCTCAGTGCCCTCTTGATACCCAGGTCCTTGTCCAGCATCCAGGAAGAATGAGGTTGCACATGAACCTGAGGAAGGTGAATGTGGGACTTCAGTGGTGGAGGTGGCTCTCAGCAGGATGGATGGGGAGCTAGAAAGGGGATGAAGTGGGAAGATGATCTTCCCATGGGGTTTGCCCATCCAGCAACTGATCTCCTCTCTGACCACCTCCAGCAGAACTACTCTTGGTGTTTAGACACTCCTTCTCTTCTCTCTGCTGTGCCATTCTGCTGCTCTTCTGTTCTTCTGTTCATCCTCTTGTGGAGCCAGGGGTTTAGGGTTTATATGGGTACAGGATAGGGGGGTGCGGTGGGCCAAAAGGCAACTTTTAGATGCAAAAACACCCAAAACCATGTAGTTCAGTGTCCGCAGAGGGGCGGCAGACATTGTCCACAGCTCCTATGTGGGATTCTGAGGCAGCCACCTGTTCTAACCTCATTGGTCAGATGTCTCCACCAGTGTGGCAGGTGGATAGTGAGTTTATGAGTCACAGTGACATTATCCAAAATTTACATTTGAATTGATTGCCTAAATATTATTTTATCATTAAAGGAAATTTTAAATTAGAATATAAATCATCCCTAATCCACAAACACAACAACTGATTTTAGTCTTGCCTATTCCTTCTAATTGGCATTCTTTAAAGTGTTTTATTTAGGGATTAGATACCAAATTCCAAGGGCAGAAAATTTCCATCCAAATCAGCAAAGATTCTTACAAGTCATCTGTGCTTGCATGTAATAATTTTCTGCCCCCTCCAGCCTGGGAGCTCCTGGAGGGAACACAATTTTTACTTCAGTAACTCAGCATTTAGCACTGGGCTAGAAACTAGCAGGTGCTCATTAAACATTTGTTAAATGAACAAACTCCCCAAACCAGGACCTTGCTGGAAGTGTACATTTACATCAAGGGTAGGGATTGATTAAAATTAACTTAGTTAATTTTAACATAGAATAAATCAAAATTCTCATGAAAGTAGAAAGCATGGCAAGAGTAGAGCATCTGAATGTCATCCATTGACCCCAAATTCAATGCTGGAATGGAATATTGTACATTGAGTCCTGTGGGAGGAAGGACAGAAATGAGAGAATGAAGTTGATGACCTGAACACTCAGAAGCAGTACAGGGATAGGGGAAAATAGTGGGTTGAGGCAGGATGTTGAGAACTAGGTCAGTGAATTAAGAGGGTCTTCCAGGGGGTTTCACAGAAGTGGGGCCAGCATCTACTGTGGGGAATAAGTGTGGTGGCTTCAAGGAAACTTGCCATTTCCTCAAAAGCAAAATTTCTTTTTGCTTTTGAGGACAGTCATAGTTACTAGTGGGGAAATTATTCTCCAGGCAAAAGTAGCAGTGACCATGTGACCATAGCATCCTTATCTTATATAGCTCATAGAAGAAAACCTTTTATCAAAGGCAATAGAATTTCCATTTCTTGCATGGATTGGATCAAACTAAGGTTGTCTTCCATTATCATTTATATTGTATATTTCCCAATATATCCTTATATTTATATACCCAGTATGATCTATTTAACTCAGAATCTAAATGCCTTGAATGATCTATTGAACCTCAAAGGAAAATTCTAGAAAGGACTCTATTTACTGCCAAATTAAACTCAAAATAAGCCATTTCTCTAGTGACAGGATGTCTTATTTTCTGGTGGGCATGACCCTCCTCCATAACGGGGGCAACCTGGACTGCACTGGAGTGATTCCTGGATAAGACAGTTGGGCTTTGAGCTGTCACATGACCTCAGTTGGCCATAGGAGAGGTACAGTCTGTCCCCCATTGGGGCAAACTAAGTTAATGCTTAATTACCACTTCCAGGCTTTTCTAATCATTCTTGATCAAGCCTGGATTTGGGGGTTCTGGGATTCTGTAAGCCTTGGTTTAAAAAAATTAATTACATGTTACGTTATAAAAGACTTTTTTAAAGGGTCAAGCGAATCTATTTGTGAAAACACAGAATAAGAGTGACTCCCATGTGATGAATAAAGTGGATATGAGTTGCCAGATTGTAAGTGAGTTAGGTAATGACATTGGAGAAGTCATAAGTATCTGAGAATAAGTAATAAAGTGCATATTTTGGAAGCACTTCCAACAAATCAACCTTGCTTGAATCTCATCCATCTGCTAGAACTCTCCTACCCAACCAGCCTCATCCTGTGGAATAGTCCCTCCCTAATATCTCTCACATCCTTTATTTCCCTGGTCTCCTGCCACTATTCTAGTCCAGGTCCTCATCACAATTTGTCTGGATTATTGCAATGACCTCCTCGTCAGTCTTCCTGTCTCTAGTTTCCCTTTGCTTTCAATCCATTCTCCATGATGCCACTGGACTCAGGGCTTTGTCTTTGTCTTAACATGCCACTTGACATGCTCTAGCTCTGTGCAGAGCTCTGCTTCCCACTGCCTTCTGGGACAAGTGCAAATCCTTAGTCCAGCAGTCTAGGTCCTCGGGTTCCAGCCCACCTGCCCAACCTCCTCTCCCTCCATTGCTTAAAGTGCCAGCCAGGTAGAGGTGCTCATTGTCTATTCCCAGCAAACCTGCCCTCTCTGTCCATTGGTCCTCATGGCCACCCTCCACCTGGCTTGTCCCTACAAATCTTCCCATTTCTCTCTGTCTATTCAAACCCAAGCTCTATTATGGTTCTATCCCCTAACGCGTCTCCAACTGGAGAGCCAGCCCATCCTGGTCTAATAGAGTGGCTTTCTTATATTGCTTATTCTATTTCAACAGAAACTTCCTGGAGCTGAAAAGTAACTGGACTCAAATAGAAAATATATATATATATATCAGGAATAGAGGAATTTCAGGTACCAAACCTATGGTAGAGGAGCTACTTAGAGGCCAGAGGGCCACATAGATGACGGCATACTCAAACCTGGCTCTGTGTTCACACCGCTTTCATCTCTGGAAGGTGGCAAAGAAGCTTGTGCTGGCTCTTCCAGTTACCCCAAGGCCATCATGCCCCATCTTTTCTCCAATCAGAAGACATTTGTATCCACACGTGCACATTCCTTTATTTTGCTGCTTTGGATAACTTTTAAACTATATATTGTTCCCCACTTGTTTGGAGGCAAAGGTATAAAAAGGAGATGGGAGCAGATCAAGAGAGATATATTTGTTTTTAATTCTTTTCCGGTATATCAGTTAAAGTCCTCTGAGGAAGACAGAAACCACTCTAGATATTTCAACCAGGGAATCACTTCACAGATTATAGAGAGATTAGCATCTTTAGTAACCCAGGACCACTGCTGAGACTGGAGGAACATGGGGAGGAAGTAGCGTGACCAGAGACTGGTCGTCAGGGCCATGGGGCAGTGGCTGCTTAGTGGGAGCTGGGATCATGGAGGAAAGGGTTTCCCTGCAGGATCCACAGCCAAGAAGGAAACACAGCCACTGTAAGTGAGGCCACAGGAAGGGGGAAGAAGGCAAGAAATGACCACGATTCGCCCCCTCTGCACCCCCAGTGCTCCCTCAGGGCCCCCCATTGGTGTACACTGCCTGAAGGCTGGAAGGAGAGGGGCCCTGGAAAGAACAGGAATGAATCTGGGGGCACTGGCAGGCAGGCAGGCAGCACATCCTCCTCCTACACAGCTGCCACCACGCCCACACCTCCCTCCTCCTCATCCTGGCAGGCCCCTGGCCCTCCCAGATGACCATCAGACATCTCTAACATTCCCTCCTGACCTTGACCTCCACTGCATCAGCACTGTCCTTGCTGCCCCAACCCTCTCTGGCCTCTCTCTTGAGCTGCCAAACACTGAGGAGAACAGTCGCAGGGCTGTGCTGACTGAAGCCACTGACACGGGCTATCGAGCCTGCAGATGACCCTCACGGCTGCTGGACAATCCTTTGGACAAGATTCATGAATTTTCAGGCATCTCTCAGATTGGCTCCCCAAGTCTTTCCCATTCTCCTCAAGTCCCCACCCAAGCCTCATTCCCTCAGGTTGTCCTCTCACTCTCCTGAGACACCGAGCCATAGACATGACCTTTCTCCATGTCTCTCCTTTTGAAGCTTCAGTCATTCATTTTTTCCTCCTGTCTCTGAGGATGACACCCTCATCTTTCTTGTCCTGGGCCCCCTCTGTAACTTTGCTCCAATCATCCTCCCTTCTGATTTTTTGTTTTAAAGCTTCCCTCTCCCTTGGCTTTGTTCTCTCTACCTAGAAGTGAGCACAGGTGCTCCGTTGCTCACAAGGCAACAAGAAAAAGTCCTTTTACCTCTTTGACCCCCTCTCTTTACCTTCAAATGTATTCAAAGAGCAAGAGTAACCCACCATCTGTTTTTCATGGCTTCATGATTGTCCATTCCAATGGCTTTGATCCACCTTTCTTATCTGTGACTGTCCCAGTATTGGACTCCATTAACAACCTCCCCAACCCCACCCTCTTTCTGGAAAGGTCTCCCTCAATTTCTGTGAGGTTGTGCTCCGTTGCTCTCTGCCCCGCATTCTCTCCAAAAGCTCCTCCATCACTTCTTCCCGGCTCCTCTCTCTCCTCCTGTGCAAACACATAGGGGTCTCCCTACTCTCTGCCCTCAGCCCTCACCATGTAATCCCTGCACTTGGCCTTTCTGTCGTCTCTCCTCTCCTGCCCCATCTCTGTGTAGCATTCTCTGGATCTGTCCCCTGCTCCAAGCCTTGGGGACAAAAAGCTGGTCCCAAATATTCAACCAGCTGGCAATCTGATGCCTTCTGCTGCCACAAATCTCTGTACCCCAAACGACACTTATTCCTTCCCATAATCCCTCAGCCAGATCCTACCACTGACTTCACACTTTTCCTCGTGTTCTGCCTCAACATTTTATGTGGCCTTTGACTCTTCCGTGCCCACCTCCAGTCAGTCACCGAGCCAAGAAAATCCAAGAAGACAGACCCCCTCCTGTTTCCACTGGCCTCACCATTGAACAAACACTTATTATGTTCAAATATAATATATTTTCTATATAATGTATAATACGTTTATTATATTTAAATATATATTTTATATAATGTATAATTTATTAAATTTTATATATTCATATATTTTCTATCTTTTATTTATAAATATTATATGACATATTTCTATATTTAAATATTAATTTATTACACATTTATGTATAACTTTGTGTCATATAATATATTTAATATATAAATTATATTTTTAACACATATAAATATACCATGAAACATTTCATACATGAACATAAATGATGTTACACTGTCATGGTTCCCAGTCTCTGTGCTGAGGCACCCAGGACACCACAGTGAAATCACAGAGGCTTCACAGCGTATATCAGTTTTCAAGGGACAATACACAATCTACGACTTTTAAGATTTGGGGACCTAACAACCTACACAGGTATTTAGTTTTGTCTTGGGACACTGAAAAATTTGTTGAGACACTAAGGGCTTTATGATCTGAGAGAGTTTGTGAAACTCAGGTATCTAGGTTTCAAAAAATACAATGGCCACCCGTGTTCCTACAAGGCAGCTCAGGAATAGAGCACTTAAATACCTGGAAGCCCTCTGATGTTCCATCCCTAATTACATCATCTGCACCTGCCCACCCTTCCAGAACTGATTACTGGTCTGAATTTTTGCATTTACAATTCCCTTGCTTTTCTTTATAGTTTTTATTGCAGTTGTCTGTGTTCTTAAAACATATAGGCAGATATGCATATTGTTTAGATTTGCATGTCAACCTTCATCACATTTTTCACTGAATGTTACCTATCTCCTGGCTAATTTTCCTACCTCTTAGTTGATCTTCTTGCCATTGCATGTACTTTTTTAGTATGCGATCAGGTCTCTTCACTGCTCAACAGTCTTCAGGGACTCCCCGTCCACTACTGAATCAATTCCCTTGGCATTCTCTGCTTCACCAAGTCCCTTAATTTCTCTGAATCCCAGCTTCCTTATCTGTAAAATAGGAGTGACGATACCCATCTTACAGTATTGTTTTTAAGGATCAAGCGAGACAATCCTGTAACATGCTTACAATGGGGTCTGACACATAGTAGGAAGCACAGTATGTTGGAGCTCTTATTATTATTATTATTTTTATTACTCCTCCCTGAGCCGTTATTTTTTTTCATGATTATTACTCCTCCATGAACTTTTCCCTTAGACATAGCACAGTGCCCTGAACACAGTGAATGTTCAGGAAACATTTGTTGAATGTGAAATAAACTGATCTCCATCAACTCACGTGCAAGTTGGTAATGCCCAGAAAAGGAGCTCTTATTAATGGGTCTTTGAAGAACCCCCAGAGGGAGGCCAATATTGCCTATTTTGGAAGGAGAGGGGAGGACATTGATACTTTCTCTTGCTAAGGAGAGTAAATAAGATGTAATGGGGTCTTTAAAACATTTTTATAGCAGTGTGTGGGCATGGGCTTGGTCTGAGCTGCTCCCAGCTGGCTTTTGTCAAGCGTTGGCTGCCTCAAAGCAGAGCAGCCTGCTCGGGAGGACCGCAGGATTCGCTGGGGCCCCAGCTGGAGGGAGGGAACCCATTCCTCTGATGTGCACAGTTGTCTCAAGCCTGGAACCCATTCCTTGCTCAGATGCCAAAAAACTATTTTGGATCCTGTAGAGCTGGCAGGAGTCCCTAGTATGCCATGTCTCCGTGTGTGAAGTGCTTGTCACTTGCTTCTTCCCTTGGGGCTATTTCAAAGAAGATGGAAGAAATTAATGGCTGTAAATGACTAAGGCCCTCGAGTTATGGTTTTATTGATGCATAATTTTGACAGGTTGTCTCCTTATTGAGAAACGGCATGTTTCTGATCTTTTGAGAAAGATTATTCTCGCTAATCTGAGAAGGGGTGCCATGCATGATGCTGGAAAAGGACAACATGTAATCAGTCTTAGCAAAAACACATCCCCACAGGCCTGTGGTCCCTGCAGAACCACTTCATCTTTAATTTGCTGTGTTTTCTCAGTAGGTTCTCATTCCTGCCTCTCCATTACCACTGCCTGATCTTCAAACTTGCAAAGGAAAGTCACCATTTGTTCTCTAGGAGTGTCATGTTTTAAAACTATGCACATACTAAAAAGCAGAAAAACTTGCATACATGTGCAATTATGTCAACGTAAGTGCACATTTATGTGAATATATTCTGTACATAAGGTAAAAAAAAATAGGATAGTGTTCTATGATAAGAAATGCATATTGACTACCCAAACAATGATTAAAGTTTATCTATCTTCTGCCTTGGGTAGCACAGAGTGACTTATCAAATGTCAATGGTTACACTAACATTTACTTTAGCAGAGAGATAATTACAAGAGCTGAAAAGCCTATTGAAACCATCAGAGTGTCCACACATCAGCTGGTTTCCATCCAAACCAGTTTATAATCTAAAGCAGGAATGTCTTTCCTTTAGATGCGACTAAGGTCACAACCTTTTGTTTTTTGTTCTTAACAAGGTTCCGTGGCCATAGTGACCCCAGCCAAGTTTCACATTGCCTCCGGACTTCTGGATGTGGCTCTGCTGCTAATGCTGGCGGGGTGAGTGGAAGAGCTGACCACTGGCTCTAGTTGCAATTTCCACTATGAAAAATGTTTCTAGGGAGGTAGACGTGAGAGGTCAAATGGATTATGAATGACATTTGTATAGCCAAGTTCATAAGATCCTGAAGGAGCAATAGCAAGGCTCTCTTTACTTTTGTGTATTTGCTTTGAAAGTCAAGGTAACTCATAGAATAACCCTTTTTTGGAAATCTTAGTTACAAAGTTGTGATTTGATATTAAAAATTTAGATACATTAGATGATTTGCAACTTTGTTGTTGACCTTTGTGAAAAGAAAAGCAAATATCACTCAGGTGTGCTTCACTAGGTACTAAAAGGTAAACAGCTGTGTGCAGTTTCAGTGATTTTTCCCCGGTGACACCCATTCTGAATGAGGTGCTTTGTCTTAATTTTAGATAGAACTGAAACTCTTTATTAAATAACTAATTGCTTATAGCAACTGGTCAACTTCCTCTTTAAAGAAAATATTCTTGGAAAATGATCTTTTTGTGTCTAGAAATCCTTTGTAAAACAATTACTCTTATTCACCCACCACGTAATCTTCAACTTTCTTAAAGTAATTTTATTTAAAGCCTACTTAGAACACTTACATAGATTTGCTTTCCAATCATGTGAAGCTTCAGGTTTGAACTTTGGAACTTTCAACCAAGCCTCACTTGCCAGAAGGAGTAGGTGGAAGTTCCACCCTTCCCTTTTCCCCATTAGTTCATTCATTTGTTCGTCTGACATTTATTTAGGTTCTCCTGGCTTGTAAACACCATGCCAGACCTTGCAGATTTCAAAATGAAAAAGAACCTCAATGAAGGGGATGACTTTGTAAGCAAGTCATTGCAATAGAGTCAGATAATTGCCACCAGAGAGGCACCCAGAGGAAGCACTGACCCCCCTTGATTGAAGGAGTCAGAAAAGTCTCCATGAAAAGATGGTATTTGAGCTCAAACTTGTAAGAGTTTGCCAAGCCAAAGAGAAGGAGGAAAGGGCTTTGAGGTTAAAGAAATATTGGCATAAAAATGCAGGGATGATATGAGACGTATTTGGTGATGCAAGATGGGGAGCGGTAATTCATGAAACACACACATGCACACTCACGCACATATAATTAAATGCCTACTATATACCAAGCACTGGACAAACAAGTGTGTTTTTCATTCATTATCTTGTTTCATTTTCATGAAGATACCATGAGGTAGGATATTTTTTTAAATCATCACTTTACAAATGAAAAAATGTATCATTATCACTGCTTTACAGATGGTGCTCCCTGTGATTCAGGGATTTACCCATGGCCCTAGAGCTCATCAGATGTCACTAGCATCAAATCCTTTGCAGGTTCATGCAAGGTGGTTAGGGTCCTTCCATGCCATGTAGAGACTTTGATCTTCATCCTGTTGGCAATGGGACACCATCAACATGTTTCCAATAAGGCAATGAAGCACTCTGGCTAAGTTTTGAAATATAATGATATAGCAGGAATGTGAAGGAAGGGCTAGAACAAGAAGACATAAGAGACAGGAAAAATAATTAAGAGGGCATGAAAATAGTCTAGGCAAGAGATAGCAAGGACCTGAAACAAGGAAGGGGTGATAGAGCAGCGAAGATGGATTTGAGAGATAATTCAGAAATAAAAGGGAAAGGATAGAGGAGCCCTGGGGCAGGAATTACCCGAGCTCTCTGTTACAAGTCACAGAACCTATGTATTCAAGTCAGTTTTAGAAGAAAATGAACTTGTTAAGTGATCTGAGGGAATTTATAGAGTCTTTGGGAGAGCCAGAGAATCAGTTTTGGAAGTGTCAGGGTTAAAAGAAGGGCCGGAATTACATGGAGACCCTGCTGCTCCCTTCACTAGCCTTTGGAACTGGTGCCCAGGTATGCATTTCCTGCTGCACTTATAACAAATTAACACACACTTAGGAGATTAAAACAATACCCTATATTCTCTTACAGTTCTGGAGGTCAGAAGTTCAAAATGGGCCTTGCTGGGCTAAAATCAAGGTGTGGCAGGGTTGATTTCCTTTCTAGAGGTTCTAGGGGAGTGTGATTTTCCTTGCCTTTCCCGGCTTCTAGAGGCCACATGCATCCTTGGCTCACAGCCCCCTCTGCCATCTTCACAGCCAGCAGTGTGGCTTCAAATCCTTCTCTCTTACTTCTGCTTTCATTGCCATGTCTCTTCCTCTCCCTCTGCTTCCATCATCACATCACCTTCTCTAATTCTGAACCTCCCACCTCTTCCCTTATACGGAACCTTGTGATTACATTGAGCTCACCCAGATAATCCAAGACCATCTCTCCATCTCAAGATCCTTAACTTGATCCCATCTGCAAAATCCCCTCTGCCATGTGAGTTAATGTATTCATATTCAGGTTCCAATGATTGGGACGTGGACATCTTTGGGAGCTCATTATTCTTCCACACAGTACTGCAGCTTATCTCTCAAACTCTGGTCTTAGGGACCTCCTTGAAGGACATAACCCCTCTTTGTCTCTGAAATGCTGGCTGTCACTGCTGCACCTACCCTCACCAGAATGTCTGCAGCCCAGGCCTGCTGCTTCATGTCCATAGATTCCAAATCAGAGTCTTACATAGTTGTATGTGATCAGGGTGTCTGGATCGTATGCCCAAACCTCAGCTGCAAGAATGGCCCAGAGAACAAGTTTTGACTTCTTCCTTAGGAGCAAGCAGGCTCATGATGCCGGGGGAGGGGTGGGGGAGTTCATAAGTTGATAGGGGCCAGGCACAGTGGCTCATTCCTGTAACCCCAACACTTTAGGAGGCTGAAGCAGGAGGGTTACTTGAGCCCAGGAGTTCAAGACTAGCCTGGGCAACAGATTGAGACCACATCTCTACAAAAAATTGAAAAAAAATTAGCCGAGCATGGTGGCGCACCTGTAGTCCCAGCTTACTCCTGAGGCTGAGGCAGGAGGATCACTTGAGCCTGGGAGGTTGAGACTCCAGTAACCTATGATCTCAATACTGCACTCCAGCCTGGGTGAGAGAGTGGGATTCCATCTCAATGAACAAACAAAAAACAAAAGTTAATAGGTGGCCAAAAGCATGACGAATAGCTGCAAAACCTAGCCAAACCTCAGGTCATACCATGAGTTCTGTTGCCAGTTCCACACTTAAGAGGAATGTAAGCCAGCACAGAGATGGCAGCAGGGATGATGCAGGAGCCTGACATTGTAAGTCCAGGGTGTTCATAGACTGGAGGACATAAGGGCAGTTTTAAAAGACACATGATTGAGGTTTCCTAATAAGCAAGAACTTGCACATGGAAGAGAACTTGGACCTGTCTTGTGTGTCTCCGGTGTTCAACACTAGGACTCTGTAGAGGGTGACATGGTAACAGGGTGTTTCATTTCTCAATTGCATGATCTAAAGACCAATGGGTTGCTCCAAACAGGCAAGAAGCTCGCTGCCATTTAAAGTATTGAGGCAGAAGCAGGATGACAACATGTTGGGGCACAAAGAGGGGAGGCAAATAGCAGAGGAGATTGCAATAGATGGCTTCTAAGTTTATTATTCTGTTCTTATCCAGTAACCAGGTTATTGGTGGGGAAGGTACTAAGGGCCAAATCACAGCTTCACATGAAAGTAACTTTTTTTTCTTTCTTTTTTTTTTTTGAGATGGAGTCTCACTCTGTCACCCAGGCTGGAGTGCAGTGGCGCAATCTCGGCTCACTGCAACCTCCAGCTTCTGGGTTCAAGAGATTCTGCTGCCTCAGCCTCCCGAGTAGCTGGAATTACAGGTATCTGCCACCACACCCAGCTAATTTTTTGTATTTTTAGTAGAGACGGAGTTTCACTATGTTGGCTAGTCTGGTCTCAAAACTCCTTACTTCAGGTGATGCACCCACCTTGGCCTCCCAGAATGCTGGGAGTACAGGCGTGAGCCACCGTGCCTGGCCCAAAAGTAACATTTTTAAGGAGAAAATGCTTGATGCATTTTTTTAAGTCTTGCCTTTTATTTTCTGATTCCTGATTCTTTCCCCTTTTTTTAAACAGTAAGTAACATTTTTAAACAGTGTAGTTTGTTCCCACTCTGACTCCGGAGTCTGGTTTTTCTCTCGGGCCTGCTGCTGTGTTGGAGGACTTGACATGCCTTTTGTGTTCTGTAATGTCTTCATCTGAACAACAGGCCTGTAAAGACTGATCCCCAGTGATTACGCCAAATGTTACTGGAGAGAAGTGGATGAATTTATACAGGAACTAAGTGATTCAAATCTGCTTTCCTTTTCTATGTATGCAATTCTCTGTCTGCATTCCAACTGTTGGCACAGAAGCCCTGGTCCACTGCCCCGGTTTATCACCTTCACACAGAGATGGGGGTGGCAGACATAGGGGCTGCGCATCGGGGCCATGTTGACCTGCTTCTTTCCAAACTGCTCCAAGTGTTATGCATTTACATGTACCCACAGAATGCATTTGGGATGGTTACTTTTCAACACCGTGAATCTAATGCACAGAATGACACCCGTTTTTAAGTTAAAAGTCAAGATGTTTTTGCTTGGATTTAACCTAACCTTCTTTTCTTTTAATCCAAGCTCCATGTTGCTTGATATGATACAGACTTCCTGAGTGACCCAGGCATCATTAGTAACAGACACTTTGGCCTTTTTATCCTTTTTTTTTTTTTTTTGTAAAAAGGGAAAAGCAATTTCTGTTCATCTGCGAAGCACCAAAATGAATATATTTGCAGATTAGATGATACAATTTCTGTAACTGCCATGGATCTCATGTTCAAAGGACAGTGTGTGGGTGGGTGTGTGCACACGTGTGTGTGTGCATGTGTGGGATGGTGGCGAGGATAGGGAGTAGGCGTATGGGAAACTTCAACAATTTTTAAAATATTCTTAGTGTTTTGTTAACCTTCTTTTACCAACCTTCACACCAAATTTTTGAAAATCATGTGGTATACTTACAGGCGTTTGTTTTGTTTTTCTTTATTCTTAGAAAGCATTCTTTCTGGATTGTTTTGTTTTAGTCCTGAGTAGGTAACTACGCTGCATGACAATAAAGTGGATCTTCATGAGCAGGTGTTGCAATCAAATACAATTCTCAACAAAAAATGCCCTGACAGATATTCACAACATGAGTAATCCAGCCTGCATGATGATTAGCTAGAAATGCTAAGCAGCAGTTTCCATAAATGACTATAATTAGTCATCTTTTAACACAGCTAAGCCAACTCACAGTGCCTCTTCTTAGAAGTTCTCTAGAATCTATAAATAGAATGTTCAGCATTTCCCCAACATCGTGTTCAGTCTGAGTGTCCCCTCAATGTGTCCTCTTCTTTGCTTTTCTTTCCTCACTCCCCACTCCTTTTCTCCTTCCTCCACTCATCCCTCCCCTGCAGACCGTCCTGCCCAGACAGTGCTTTTCACTCTCAATTTTTCTCTCTTTCCCATTAAAAGACAACAATTTTGCATCTGATTCTCCCCGAGCACCATGGCTAGAGTTCCACATGCCCATGTCCTTTTTCTTAAAGACTCCATATAGGACATCCCAGCTGTCCCTGCTCCCCAGTCCTGCCGGGATCCACTGGGCTCAGGAGTCCAGGTGGCCAAGGGCTAGCTGGGGTGGGAGAAGGGTGCTGGGAACTACACCAGATGTTCCTTTCCTATGATTCCTATACTCTAGTGGGGGAAGGGTGAGGCTGGGCAAGCGGTGGAGAATGGATGGAGGGACCAGCTGGTCAGGAGGCCTAGATCCCATCAGAGCATTAACCCCATGGCCCTGATCCCTCATCCAGGACAGTAAGGATGGCTGGGCAAGTGGCCTGAGCTCTTGCTCATATGCACCTGCTACATATAATGCGTCCAGACCTACAGCAAGACAGTCATGACAGCTGTTCCCATCCCCAATTACATGCATGTTCAAAATACTTAAAGGCTGAATGTTAAAAGAGAGAGGATAAAGCTACCGAGCATTTGAGGTAGAGCCTAGAGCAGTAACGGGATAGCACTGTGACCCCCTGGCAGTGCAAGACTGTCGTCTCCTCCTCCCTACCTAGCCTGGCAAGCTTTCATTCTTTCCACTTGCTCTCCTCCCAACCCTACAGACACACACACACACACACACACACACACACACACACACACACACACATTCAGACACTTCAGACACTTTCCACCCCTGCAGGCTACATATCAGAGGGAGTCACTGGGCTTGGAAAACAACAGGTTTCTGAAACTTAAGGAGGTAGAATGGGAACTTTTTCCACCATGCCTTCTGTTTACTGACCCCAGCTCTCCAGCCACTGTACTCCCTCCCCCATTTCCCTTCCCCAACCCCACCACCTCCATCAGACTCCCTGAGTCTGAAGGCACAGGATGGTTAAAAGGAGCCTTCATTCCTGCGACTCTACTCTCTTCTCCTCAAAGAAGTGGCAGGCAAGGTAGGGCATTCTCACTGTCTCAACAATATAATTTGCACATGCCCTGGCCCTGTGCCCTTCGGTAGCCATGTCTTCCCTCCCTGAAGTCCCCTGGGATTCTCCTTTGTCACTAACTGGCTTCCTTTCCTGGCATGGAGCACCTGACCCTGTCTGCTTGTCTCTTTTACCGGCAAACTATATCTCCCAAGTTGGCTGGCTTTTACCTTAGGGGTCAGGAGAGGGAGCAATCAGGCCAGAAGAGGGACAGGAGCATCAGCCACCTAAAGAAGGAATGGTAGCAACAATGAGACTGTTTAATCTTTCTAATTGCTGACACCTTCAATACAGTATCTGATATTCATTCAGTAGTTATCAAGGGTCACTTCTGTGCAGCCACTGTTCTGAACTCTCGGAATACAGAGGGAAAAAGACAAAGTGCCTGACCTCATCTAGCTTTCATTCTAATGTAGTAGCTAGGCAATAGACACATAAACACGTAAATATATACTAGAAAGCCAGCTAGTCAAGGGCATGCTTATCGTTGTTTTTTGGTTACCCAGAATCTGAACCTCCATCCTATGTTTGAGATTCCCTACCTCATGGAATCTGGTGGATAAGCAGAGCCCATGGTCCATTACATAGAATTTGAAAATGCCTGATAGTGGTTTTATCAGCCTCTCTTGTAGAAGGAGCCAAGGCCTGTGGCCAAGGCTCCACCAGCCAGACACACTGGCCCACAATTTGAGTTAGGAACCAATGACTCAAGGACAAAGAGACTGAGAAAGCCCTCATAGGAGATGGCAGCAGCTGCAGAAAGATGGGGATTCCAAGGGTGCTGGTGACAGCGGGTTCCAGCAGTGTTAGTATCTGGGACGGTAGCATTGGTGACATAACCAGTGGCAGCTGGGGCAGCAGAGATCCCACCAATTCGTGCAATGCGTGCACTCTTCTTGGCTATAAACCACTAAGCCTTCCCAAACATTCCTGGAGCTGTCAAAGTCTACACATAAATCCTTCTTCTACTTAAACCCGCCAGAGTTCCTTGTGCCCTCATCTAAGAGCTGAACACAAGTAGTAACAAGTGCTCAATCAAAAGGAAAGCCAGACGAAGGCATGGAGAGTGATGAGAGGCTACCTTAGGTAGGTGGCCAAACTCAGCCTCTCCATGGATATGGCTTTTAAGTCTCTCCAGAAAGCCCGAGAGCAAGGCCACCTGAAGACCTGAGGGAAAGAACTCCAGAGAGAGGACACAGTGCAAAGGCTGGGCAGTGACAAGCTGGGGGGCTGAGGAATACCAAGAAGGCCAGTGTAGCCTGAGCTGAGACAGAAGCTAAGTCAGAAGGACAAGCCAGGGCCACAGTTGGTGAGGCTGGTTAGATTGTCGTGTGGAGTTTGAGTGTCATGCTGCGTGTGAGGGAAGCCCCAGCTGGTTTTAAGCAAGGTGACACGGTCTGGTAGTTGAAAAGATCACCCCGGCTGCTGTCAGAAGAATAGTCTGTAGCAAGACAGGAGTGGAAGCAGAAAGATCAGAGACTCTTGCAGAGGTTCAGGAGCCAGGTAGTATGGGTCTGATCCCTCTAGGCCGAGGGCGTTTGAGTGGCGGTGGTGGGAAGAAGAAAGATGAGGAGTAGATTTTGAAGGTAGAGCTGAGAAGCCTTGCTGTGTGTTAGATGAAGGGTGTGAAGGAAAGAGACAGTTCGGGACCGAGCCGCTCTCTGAGATGGGGAAGATGAAGAGAAAGGCAAGCTGGTGGGTGGAGAAGTCAGGATCAAGAGTTTGGCTTTAGATCTAGTGAGTGGGAAACACCAATGAGGTGGAGTGGAGACAGAGTCTGCAGGGGGATGTAAGGACCTGGATGAGGTGGGGGCGAGCTGGGCGCTGGAACTAAGTGTGTGGGATTCCTCGGCACGGGGAGGAAATGTACAGCCATGAAGCTCAATATGCTCACTCAGACGAGAGTGTGGTTCGAGAAGGGGGCTCAGGACAGAGCGCTGGGGAACCAGGGATGAAGAGATCACAGCGAGGAAGAGAATCCAGCTAGGGAACTGCAGGGCGGGAGGAAGAACACAGACTACGGCGTCCTGGAAGCCAAGAAAAGAAAACAGGGGCCTTGGCAATGACCCTAGGCACTTCCAGAGGATGCTTGTATCAAGCAGGTAAGGGGACTGGGGCTCCCAGAGGATGGGCCACCCCGTTTCAGTGCATGGCCCGGCGCCTCTTTAGAAGAGGAAGCCCCTGGATTCCAGAACGTGCTGGCTCCACCCAAGGCAGACGGCAGTGAGGCCACACACTATTCCCAGCCCCTTTCTCTCTGAAAAGAGCCCTTTGTAACTTCTTTGAGAAGGAAACACCTCCGTCAGGGGAGGAACATTATTTGCTTCCTGTTAGAACAGACTTTTACTTAGGATCAAGCTCGGTGTCAGCCCCATCCCCACAGGGAGCAATAAGGGAAAGAGGAGGGAGGGGGCCGCAGACACTCACTTGTGGGGGCTGGTTTCGCAGGAACGGCTCCGGAGAGCTTGAAGAGGGGTAGGCTGCAGGCCCACAGCCGCAGTCTCTCTCAGCTAGAAACCCTCCTCCCTCCTCTGCCAGCCTGTCCTCCCCGGGCTCCGTTCGAAAGGCCTGGGAGATAGGGAGAAGGCTGGTCAGCCTGGGCGGTTAGTGGCTGGTTTAACACTTCCTTGCCTGCCAGCCCTTTCCCAGGAAGACTACAGCCAATCATTCATTCATTCAAAAGCTCTTTGCCAAGCACCTACTCTGTGCTAGGTCTGTGCCCAGCATGGGGACACAGTATTAGGCAAAAAAAAAAAAAACAAAAACCAGACATCCCCCATCTGCCCTGAACTTACAGTCTAGTGGGATAAATTAAACAAGGCACGCAAACACCTCTACAGCCACAAATGTGATAAGGCTCTAAGTGAATATCGCACATGACAGTGGCCCTGCTGAAGGCCAGGCAGAGGTTCCTTCTTGAGGAAGGACGTCTCTGAATCTCCAGAAGCCAATAGAATCTGTAGCAGCAGAAGAAAGGGTCAGGTTTCTAGAACTGCCCACTACGACTTTAGAAGCTGACGCATCTCTGTTATGCCGCGGCTGCGATGTTTTAAGTCCCCAAAGCCCAGAGCACATCGTGGAGCATGGAAGTGGTTCACTGAGAAGCTGAATCTAGTCCTGGGGCTGCTGGTGTGGAGGGTGTGTTCCGCTCTTGGGGCAGCAGCAACAGGTGCCGTGAGAGGCTCAGAGCTTTTGAAGCAGAAATGGCAATACTCTACATCTTCAGCAAATATTTGGGAGTCTTTTGTTAAAAGAAGAGCAGAATAAATATCTATGCCTCTTGTAAAACCCAAAGGAAAGCTCTCAGATAGGCTTCTTTAGGGCTATGACTATCTCTGCAGCTTCACTATACTGAGTTAAGTCTGTAGAGCATCTGTAACCCTAGGCATGTGTGTCCACAACCTCCACACGTACACAAGGACACTCCTACAGAGGACAGGCCGTGCGGACAGTTAGGGGAGGACAGTGGAGGCCGCTTCAGTTCACTTCGGTGCTTTGGATTCAAGTGTTTTTCTGTTTCATTTTCTGGGTAGCTGATTATTAAGCTAAACACTCCTTTGATGGTTGAAAATACATTAGTCCCTTTTCTTGCACGAATCTAATTCACCAAAGCCTATTAAAGTGCTTTTGGACCAATGAGGAAATTTAATGCTCAAGTATTTTATTCTGAATTCCAATTTTCCTTGTGTTATGATTTTACCTATAGGTGGTTGGGTTGATTGTATGGTAAAGATGAAAAAAAGCATATTTGGAAAGAACATGACAATTCTCAAGGTGTTTATACTACTTTACTGTATTTGATCCTTGCAACTGCCATGTGAATTAGGCAAGAAATATTTCAGTTTTACAAATGAGAAAACTTCTGTCCTGAGACATTAAGTGATATACTCAAAGGTCATATAATAATTTGTTTTGTTTTTATCTTGACTACCATACTCCTCTATACCACCTTCAGGACTCTGGAAGTCAGATATATGTGAGTTTTTTGTCAACTAAATTCATAGTTGTCTTAATATTCATCCCTTGCTAAAATTAAGGTGCAGAAATAAAATCTGTCTAATAGAGAAATATAAATCCATCTTTTGTCTGGATAATCAAATTTTACTATATTTTGTTTTAATCCTGAGAATGAAATTTTACAAATAGCTCAGGAGGTTTTCCCTAGAGTTCCAAATAAAAGTGTGTGGATCATATACACGTTCTGCTTAATCACATGACGGTTCCAAATTTTTAATTTCAATCCTTCATTACGATGAAAATTTTTGCGTTTTTTTTCCACCAGCTCTTTGTTTTGTTTTTCAATGGCTCAGGAAAGGAGAGGGGTGTGGGAGACTCTGTCTCTTTTGACAATCACCAGCGCCATCTACTGTCAAGAAATAAAATCGTGACTCATTGTTAACGCGTCAATGAACATTAGGGCTTAAAGAGGGAAAGACAATTTTATACCCCAGTACTTACTGATAAATATAAGTTCATGTACACATATTTTTATCTTATATTATTGTATTCTTAAGCAGCCTATAGGGAGAATACAATGAACTTAATATATAATTATTTATGTAATTCTTAAGAGCACTAACTTTGGAAGAGGATAAAAATGGGGTGAATTTCAGCTAAACCACTTAATAGCTACGTGATTTCTCTTACCCTCAGTCTTTTCATCTGCAAAATATGAACAATTATACTTAGAAGGTTGTTTTCTTGATTAAATGACATATGTAAAATTTACCCCAAAGCTAGCAGATCAAGGCAGCTATTGTTATACGACATTTATGGAGCACACGCTGGATATCAGCCTCTGCTGGGGGCTTGCTTCACAGCAATCCTGTGAGCTGGAGAGGCTCTGAGCTAGCAAGTACTGTGTCCAAGATTACACAACTAAATGAGAAGCATTTTTAAGTCCAATTTTCCATCTGATTTCAAAGTTGTTATCGTTTCTGCTATCTCACAGAGCATGGCTATGAATCCCCTTCTGATACATATCTGTGAAGGTTCATTTTAGGCCCACTAGGGAAGATCTGCTTTTCATATATTTATATGGGCTCCATCCTTTGTGGTCTGATGTGTGTAGCTCATTGTAGGGATGTGCCAAGTTTGCCTAACCACGCTATAGTTAAGAAAGTAACTTCAGGAAGACTCAAAGGATTTTATATGCAACCCTGATCATAACCCAAGATGAAAAGGATGATAAACCTTTTCATCTTGGGTTATGATCTACCACCCTCACAGCATTTTATACAGAATTCTCTGATACTGTTACCTACCATGTGATCGATAGTTTTGTTTTTTCTTTTCTTTTCTTTCTTTCTTTTTTCTTTTTTTTTTTTTTTTTAACAAAGCTGTCTCTCTTTCTGGAATAGAATTCCTCAAGGGCACAACTCATGCTTGATAAATCAATGAATAGATGAATGAAAAGTGATTACGTATTATAATCCCAGTGTGAAGTGATGAGGCCTTCACAAGGCCTTTGAAGATAAGGACCGTAAATTCTCCCTACACCAGCACGTGGTGATTATCCATCTGAGATTTACTGACTTCAGTTGAATCAAGTTGGCTAAAAGTTACCCTCAAGATACTTCTTTAAAGACAACCCACTTCAGAGTGCCAGTCTTTCCTCCTACACTAAATCCAAAGAGAATTTTTAAAATTCAAATTTATTCTCTAGAGAATTTAAGATTTTCTTGAGATTCAACAATAATAACAATTATAAACAGATAAAATGCATATATAAGTCACAAAATTGTATTGCTAAAGTGGATTTTATTTTTATTTGAGATGGAGTCTCGCTCCTTCTCCAAGGCTGGTGTGCAGTGGCATGATCTCAGCTCACTGCAACTTCCATCTCCTGGGTTCAAGCAATTCTCCTGCCTCAGCCTCCTGAGTAGCTGAGATTACAGGCTTGCATGACCACATCCAGCTAATTTTTGTTATTTTTAGTAGAGACGGGGTTTTGCCACGTTGGCCAGGCTGGTCTCGAACTTCAAGAGATCCACCCACCTCAGTTTCCCAAAGCGCTGGATTACAAGTGTAAGCCACTTTGCCTGGCCTAAAGTCGCTTTTTAAATCAAGGGTTCTCGCTGTGTATGGTGGCTCACACATGTAATCCCACCTCTTTGGGAGGCCAGAGGTTGAGCAGGAGGACCACTTGAGCTCAAGAGTCTGAGGCTGCAGTGATGAGCTAATGAGCTTGAGCTATGATGAAGCCACTGCACTCCAGCCTGGGTGACAGAGTGAGACCCCCCCATCTCTAAAAACACAACAAAACAAAAAAAACCTAAGAGTGCTCTGTCACTCATCTATTAAAAAAAAAAAGGCAACCTCACCGAAGTGTTTTGAGTATTAAATAAAATAACATATATAGAACACCTAGCAGAGTGCTGACTCACCTCATTCTTTCACTCAAAAATATATTTCCAGAGCTCCTGCCATGTGCCACATAGACAATGTTCTAGGCACTAATGGTGTGACAGCAAACGAGACAAAATCCTACCCTCATGAAACTTACGTGGGGGTTGCAGGAGGCACCAAATGGCAGGCAGGAAATCCAACAAATAAGCAAATGAACAGTGCTACAGGGAAAAGTTAAGGAAGGGCAGGAGAGCAGGAGTGCCAGGAGGTACTGGTTTAGATAGAGCAGCCATTAAGGGCCTCACTGAGCAGTGGTTCTTGAGCGCAGAGCAGATGAACTGAGAGTGTACTATGAGGATGCCCGGACAAAAGCATCTCAAACAGAAAGGACAGGAAACAGATCCCCTGGGATGGAAGTATGCTTGACTCAATATCAGCCAAGAGGGGTCCCTTCTCACCTCTACTCCCACACCTGAGCCCTTTGGTTTTCTTAATGGTGGCTCCCGTGATGATATTGATTTTAGGTGCGTAAGTATTGGCCATGCCTGCACATAGATGGAGAGACCTCATTGACAAAAACCTGCTCCTTGCAATGTGCCTCAAAGGCATAAAGAAAAGTAGCTAAGATGAAGTTCTCTGTGGAAGACTACTTCTGTTCGTGACTATTTGATTTACAATGTTGTAAAGGGTGACTGGGTTTCCAGGCTAGACCGCAGGACCCTACCTAATGTTTCACATAGAAGGAACATGGGGCACTTGTAATAGAATACAGTGGAAGACAACCCTGTTACCACTGTGTAGCATGATGTTCTAAATTCTATTCCAGCTCTGACATTCCATAATTCTATGTATATAAAAGGAGCAAAGGGAAAATTCATTACCTGCAGTAGAAGTTAAATGGGCCTTTGTGGGTTGACCTGGAGACCCAACACACACTTATAACATTCTCTTTGCAGAAAAATGAGTTCTGGGTTTCAAGTGCTACACTTACAGACGTTCAGAACATAGACCATTTATGAATTGGAGACTTCCTGTGGTAGGTGAGAGTGTCCCTGGTGGCAACGGGCAGGAAGAGATTAAAGAGCAAAGCCCAGAACTACTGTAGCTGGAGCCTTAATGAGGGAAACCCTGATCATGACGGACAACCCAGACAGAGTCCTCGGAGAGCCGCCAGCTCTCCGGCTAGTGCCGGTATAGCATGCAGGCACACTGCGAGTCATGGAGTGCCCTGCACAGCCTTCTGTAGAAGTCAACTGATAGAGCCCTCTAAAGAAAGGACCCGAAAAAATGTCAATGTACTTTTCTTTTTACTTTCTTGGGGGTACATGTCCTTCCCCCTCATCATCTGTCTCTTGTATTGTTACAGTAGAAATGCAAAGTGGAAAAAAATTGTATTTTGGATAACAGCTTTAGTTATTCAGGATAGGATGTTGTCGCAAAACACTAAACTTGAAAACTAGGCATTATTCAGAGAGAAAAAGTTCTTCCAAATGCTTTGATCTCCTGCTTTAACATATGAAAATCCAGACAGGACCATAAAAGTCTATATAGGAAATAAAAAGAGGTGAGAGGAAAGTCTATTTAGTCCCAGGAAGGTGTAGGAAGAGAAAGAAGCCAATGGAGCAGGTGAGACCACAAGCTTCTCCTTCATACCCCCAACTCCTGCAACCTTGGGGCATCATGGGAGCAGGAGGAGGTTGGGTGTTTCAGAAACATTCAGCCAGGTAAAAGAACATTTAGTAATGGTGTGCTTGTCCCAGGATGAGGGAGTGTAAATCCATACAGGTCAGCGCTGTCAACGGATGTCCTGCAGAACCCTTTTCCCCTGCACTGTCTGATAAGTTGGAAATTGACAGTAACTGTTCAGACACTTTTATGGCAATCTGACGTTGTTGCAACATCCAAGTGTGTGGTCTATGGAGCCATCCCGTGAAACAGGGAGGAGGCCTGCTCACCTGCTGTCACACTCGCACGCTGAGTCACAGCAGGTGCAAGCTGTGTGCTACATGTGGGAGGGAGAATGAGCGGCCGACAAGAAGCCAACAATGCATAAAGTTTTCAGAAAATCAGCATTTGGGTATTTTAACTTGCTACTTTCATGATCGTTTTACTTTTTAATCAAGCTTATTATTTAATTTATAGCTAATGTTGTTAACTAAATTAAAGAAGTTAAATTTGTACTATTTTTGACCCTAATTGATAAGCAGTAAAATAAGCTTTTCTGGGCTTTATTTTTTTAAGAAATCAATCATAATTTCTGATTCAAGAAATACATGATTATTGTAGAAAATTTGGAAAATATAAAAAATGCCAATTTCCTAGAATCTAACAATATGCTTGCCAAATGCTGTTTTCTATACGTAGATATGTATGTCCTGTAAAGGCACACTTTACTGAATGTGGCAGTAGTGATAAACCAGATGATGACAATGGAAGTGATTCCAAAGAAACAAAAATCAAAGGTCCTCATGTAGTTTAGTCTGAAGTATAATCTCTATAGATTTTGTACCATATTGAAGATGAAGTGCTAACACTATAGTGTTAGTTGCAGAGAAGTACTGGCTGATGATGCAATAAAACCATCTGAACTTAAGTGGCATTTACAGGTGAGAAATTTTTTAGAAGTTTAAAGTCAAAGAAATTATTTGAAAAATGAATATTGAGTCAGCGAGCTAACAGAAGCAAATCCTCAGAATTTCTCATTTAAACATCAGTGCTTTGCTGCTACATATAAATGAATACATCAGGTCAGTTACACTACAACTCTATATGTAATTGCTAAGAAGGCAGTGAAAACTTGCATCAGAAATGTTTGCTTGGAAATTTCAGATGAATCTGTAGCCAAGAAGGTAACTCTAGTACCACTTTCTTTTCTTTTCTTCTTTTCTTTTTTTTTTTTTTTTTTTTTTTTAAGACAGAGTCTTGCTCTGTCACCCAGGCTGGAGTGCAGTGGCGTGATCTCAGCTCACTGCGACCTCTGTCTCCTGGGTTCAAGCGATTCTCCTGTTTCAGCCTCCTGAGTGGCTAGGATTACAGGTGCACGCCACCATGCCCAGCTAATTTTTGTATTTTTAGTAGAGATGGGGTTTCACCGTTTGGGTCAAGCTGGTCTCAAACTCCTGACCTCGTGATCTGCCTGCCTCGGCCTCCTAAAGTGCTGGGATTACAGGTGTGAGCCACTGCACCTAGCCTCTAGTACCACTTTCTAATGACTCCATAACCTGACATATTCAGGAAATGGCTAATGATCTAGGAGACCAACTCAAGAACAAATGAAGCAGTCAAGTAGTTTTCTTTTTGAGAGGAAAGAGGGTGCAATTACTAATTAAACTAGGACAACAGGCATAAATCCACACAGTTCAGGCAAACCATGATGAATGATCAATCTATTCAAGAACCTCAATCTCAGTATGTGGCACAGAAGTAAACTCATCAACTTCGTTTCAAACCTTATCTTTCTCCTATATTCTCTATAGTATTTACTAATATCACCATCCATCTAGGTATCCAAGCCAGAAACCTGAAAGTAGTCTCTGACATGTTCTTTCTACCCCTTCATCCCCATATCCTCATCCTACTCCTTCAACTTGGCCTCATGAATATTTCTTGGATGTATTTGTTTCTCTATATCCTACTCTAACTGCTCTGGTACAGGCTCCCACCTTTCTAGCTGGTCTATAATGCTAACAAAGTGCTGTCTGTTTCAACTTGATGAATACACACATATTGCCGACTTGGTGTAAAGGAAAAATTGTGTTTAGCAACTTAATCACCATGAAACACAACTAGCTCTGAACCATATACAACTGGGAAGGACTATATTATAAATAACTATGATGAAGAGTTTAAATTGCATGTATGAATATGGTCTGGTGTTGTAATTCCAATGACAGGAAAACATTATGGAATGGTTACCCAGCTTAAGGAGCTTGTGCCAGTGACTGTTAATTAATTTCTAGTTTTCTTCATTGAGAAAATCCTGTTAAAAACCTTTTACAAGTCAGCCGAACTACACAGTGTGCTTAGTGATATAGTAAAAACTGAATGACCTCACAGCCAATATGTTCAATTCAAATCATTTTCTTTATTATGTGTTAATATGGATACTGATCCAAACAATAACAATCGTTTCTTGATGAGGTGGGATGGTCATTGAAAGGAAATGTTCTGTCAAGTCAAGGATGTTTGAACTATGACATGAAGTCATAGTTATGTTTCTGCAAGATAAGAAATCAGTTTAGTCCTAACTTTTGCAGATATGAAACGGACAGTCAGACTTGCTTACTTGTTTGATGTCTTCAATATTTTTAATGATCATGGTATTTCCATGCAAGGAAGGGAAGCAGCATGCTCTTCAAAGGTAGACAAAGGGCAAACACAAAAGTTAGGAGCTTGGAATCAGAGTTTCTACATATTGGGATGACAATAGTTACCATACAGTTACTATAATAATCTCATTAGAGCACACCTGAGGAAAGTAATTGTCACGCATCTTATGCATTTTATAGAATGTTTTCAATATATCCATCCAAAAGAGTCATACACAGGAAATTCATGTATGTAAAATCTATTTCTTTTATTAAATGATAGTTGAAATATTCCACTGTAACAAGTAAAGAAAATATTCGAACTATTTTTTTTCTTTTTTGAGATGGGGTCTCTCTGTCACCCAGGCTGGAGTGCAATGGCATGATCTCGGCTCACTGCAACCTCTGCCTCCCAGTCAAGCGATTCTCCTGCCTCAGGTTCCCGAGTAGCTGGGATTACAGGCACCCACCACCACACCCAGCTAATTTTTTTGTTTTTTTAGTAGAGACGGGGTTTCACTATGTTGGTCAGGCTGGTCTCAAACTCCTGACCTCAGGTGATCCACCTGTCTTGGCCCCCCAAAGTGCTGGGATTACAGGCGTGAGCCACCACACCCGGCCCATTTTTAAATTAATTTTGATTGATGTTTAATGTTCAAAATGTCAGTAGAAGGTACACATAATTCATAAATAAATAGGCCTATACTGGCAATGTGGGCCCCAGTAGTTTTTGCTGATTGAGGTGTGCTATCATCAAAATTTGGAGTCTCTTGATTTAGAAGATAGAAATATCAGAATATTTTAGCTGATGTGATTAAAAATTTGATTTCATTCTTTAATTTCCCCTTAGTTGAGTCCTTCTGATTATGTTCTTCCATATGTCTATATGAAAAGAGAACGTTAAAGATACAGACTTTGAATCACAGTTCCAGACTGATGATCATGCTTTCTCATGATAAATTAATAAAGTGGTTTCTGATTACGACTCACTTTGCCATATAGTAAGTACAGAAAATTGTAAACAGTCCAGTCCATTTTTTCTCACTAAGAAGAGTAGTTGACATTTGGTGTTGACCTCCGTCTCCTACACTTGGTCTCTAGCCTGAGTTGGTCTCTCAGACTCTGATGAATCTGACGCCTTACCTGTGGGGATCTTGGTCAGGAACCCCTCAGTAAAGCACCTGCCACTGAGGGTCTTCTTTTGAACCAGCAGTTCTCAGACTGTATTTTTATCCCACCCCATCCCCACTGCATAGTTCTGCTTTAGTCCATTTTACATTTTCAGCTTTGGCATAAGATTTCCTTCTAAGAACAGTTGGAAGCTAGTGCCTTGCTTTGCTGCCACCATTTGCATCTGCTCTCAATGCTGAGCTCTCTGGTTTCATCTAATATTACCTGCAAACCTACAAAGACACGTCTTTTCTCAGATGGGTGTGTGTCTTTACTAGCCTTTATTTGTCTACCTCCACATCAGCCTGAGGTGCTCCCTGCCCCACAACCTCCCCTCAGCATCTCAGAATTCCTGGAATCCCTCTGGCAACACCTTTGTCAGTTTCCGCCTGTGGCATCCTTAAAGCCAGAGCTCTCCATTGTGTGTGCCTTCTGTAGACTCCAGCAGAGCTCTTTCTACATA
Organism: Homo sapiens; assembly: GCF_000001405.40. NCBI lineage: Eukaryota > Metazoa > Chordata > Mammalia > Primates > Hominidae > Homo > Homo sapiens. Next base: position 37,885,604 of record NC_000002.12, read on the forward strand.
GAAATACATAGTTACTTTCAGTGGCCAACACCACAATTACTTTTGCACCAACTGAATAGCTTCCAACTCCCCTAAAGACTCCCTCCAACCTCCTCCTCCCTACCCTCACTGCTCAGACTCTTTCTGTCCCTCTCAATTCTCCCTGGATCATCCCATGATACAACAACTGAAGGGTTAATGCCTGCCCTGGCAGGGGACTTCAGACCCTTCCTAGCCCTACTGCCTTGCAAATCACTCCCGCTGCTTAAATAGCATTGAGAGAGGCATAAGATTAAGGTAATTAACATTTGCTGAACCCTCTAAGGGAAGGAATTATGGAGGTGAAGCTTTTGACATCACCTAGGCATGCTCTGAGCTTTTCTACATGGATCTTCCTCTGTGGAGGAAGAAACTAAATAGCTTTTCATGTGGTTTCATGATTTTATGATCTTTTTGTCTGCCATATACAAAAAGAGATGAAGATATTTTTATTATTTCAGTGGCTGGCCGATAATACCCTCTTCACAGGAATCTCATACTTGTTGGAAAAATCCTCAATAGGGCCACTAGAGCAGGTGAGTCTCTGAGGGGGTGGGGAGGGTGGTAGTGGATCTTAGCTGGTGCTAAGACCGTCTGGAAAGGGCACACAGTGCAAGGAGACAGGATCATTTGCTCTCTTGTGAAGGAGTGGAGATGAGGTTAGGAAGTGGGGGAGGGAAGAGAGGAGAAAGGAGAGCACAGGAGGTGGCAGAATGTGGAATACGATGTCATATAACTCCCTGGGACTTCTCTGTGACATCACTAGCTTTGTGAGATGATTAAGAGAAAGACCAGTTACAGAAATTTCCGAGGAGTCGAAGTTTCCAGATTGAAGGCAGATGAAACAATATTCATGAATGCAGGAGTCCAGTAGAGTCCCAATAGAAAGTTTTCCAAATCCCCAAATGGCAGGGGAGGTCTCAGCTGGCATCTAGGTTCCACAGTTAATCACTTTAAGTCAGTTTTCATATCTAAATAAATATAACTTGCTTGCTTTACTCATTTTCAAATTTTGGGAGGAGACTGTACCAAGTACCTTTTTGGTCCTCCTCAACTCAAGACATCCTAATTCCTTTGATGCTCTAAATTACAGGTTCCCAAAGTCTGGTCTTTGAAAGCTCTCCAAGTGGTCTGTGGGTTGCTCAAATGCAATGGGAAGGTTTTGTTAGAAGAGGATTTTCTACTAGAGATTTGAATTCTCCATAAAAGGGTACAGAAATAGATATTTGAAAATTATAACCACAAAGATGGTCACATGCTAGGCAGACACTTCAAATGGTGTGGGGTGTGTGTGTTCTGTGGTTGCAAGCAGAAGCTTTGAGGTAGGCGGTCCAAGAGATTCCTTCAGCATGGTTCACAGTCTGAAGTCTCATTTAGGATGAAGTTAAGCCAAACTCTTACAGGGCCATTAAGAAATCAAAGCATGCCGGGCCCGGTGGCTCACACCTGTAATCCCAGCACTGTGGGAGGCCGAGGCAGGTGGATCACTTGCGGTCAGGAGTTCAAGATCAGCCTGGTCAACATGGTGAAACCCCATCTCTATTAAAAATACAAAAATTAGCAGGGTATGGTGGCATGTGCCTGTAATCCCAGCTGCTTGGGAGGCTGAGGCAGGAGAATCGCTGGAACCCAGGAGGCAGAGGATGCAGTGAGCCAAGATTGTACCACTGCACACCAGCCTGGGTGACAGAACGAGACTCTGCATCTCAAAAACAAACAACAACAACACAACAACAACAACAACAAAAAGAAATCAAACCACTTTGTTTGAGAGTCTTTAAAACAGGTATTTATAACTGACACCTCAACTGGGAAAACATCTTGACCCTAAACCTTTGCAATTTCGTTTCTGACCACAGTGGAGGGATGTCTTGGCCACATCACCCTCATATCCAATTTTATATCTAGTAATATAAACAACTACTCAGCTTTGAAGTTTAATGCCGAGTCATATTTTAGGGGATGGTTTGGAAAGAGACTGGCTAGGAAATCCTTCCTCAGAAGGGGTTTTTGTTTGTTTGTTTGTGTTGTTGTTTTGGTTTTGCGTTGTTTTTTTTTTTTAGACAGGATCTTGCTCTGTCACCCACGCTGGAGTGAAGTGGCATGATATTGGTTCATTGCAGCCTCGACCTCCCAGGCTTAAGCAATCCTCCTACCTCAGCCTCCCGAGTAGCTGGGACTACAGATGTGTGCCACCATGCTCAGCTAATTTTTGTATTTTTTAAAGAGATGGGGTTTTGCCATGTTGCCAGGCTCATCTTGAACTCCTGGACTCAAGCGAACCACCCACCTCAACCTCCCAAAATGCTGAGATTGCAGGTATGAGCCACTGTGCCCAGCCAGAAATGGTCTTTTGAAAACCTTCATTAATCTTTACTGTAGCACCTATTTTCCAATTTTAATATAAACAATGCTGCTCCATCCATTGGTTCAAAACTATGGCAAGAATAGAGATCATTCAGATGTCAATAATTTGGAAGTGGTATAATTGCATGTAATCCCCCCAAATCATAATCAAACAGACATAGAAACTAGAATGATGAAAGAACATTGAGGTCACTTTCAACAAAACTGGGTGAAAAGGAATTCTCACAACTCCAGAATATGGGTGGGTGAACCAAAACATGAGACAGCAGCAGGAGCTGAGAGAGCAAAGAAAGTCCAGAAATATTGTATGAACCACAGCATCTCTAAATTGCCAACGAAACCTGCCCTTCAAAAGAGGAGACTATACATTGTGTGAGAATCTATGTGAGCAAACTGAAAAACATTCCGGGAGAAAAGCTCCCATGTGATGGGGGAAGATGGCGGGACTGTGCTGTTGTCAACTTGGTCTGACAATGTGCTAGGCTGGAGAACAGCCCCAAACACACCCACATTCAAATCCCTGGAACCTGGAACTATGTTACCTTCCACGGCAACAGGGATTTAGCAGATGTGATTAAGTTAAGGATTTTGAGATGATGAGATATCCTGGATTATCCAGATGGGCTTGATATCATCACAAGGGTCCTTATGGTAGAGAACCAGGAGGATCAGAATCAGAAAGTGGATGTGACCACAGAAACAGAAGCCAATGCACTTTGCAGGTGGAGGAAGGGGGCTTGAACCAAGAATGTAGTCAGTCTCTACAAGATGGAAAAAGCAAGGAAATAGATTCTCCCCTAGAGTCTCCAGATGGAGGCCAACCCTGCCAATACCTTGATTTTGGCCCAATGAAGCTCATTTTGGACTTCTGATTTCCAGAACTGTAAAAGCTAATACATTTGCTTTTTTTTTTTTTTTTTTTTTTGAAACAGAGTCTCACACTGCCTCTCCTGGGCTGGAGTGCCATGGTGTGTTCTTGGCTCCCTGCAACCTCCGCCTCCCGGGTTCACACGATTCTCCTGCCTCAGCCTCCGAAGTAGCTGGGATTATAGGCGCACACCACCACACCTGGCTAATTTTTTTTTTTTTGTATTTTTGTATTTTTAGAAGAGACAGGGTTTCACTATGTTGGCCAGACTGGTCTCGAACTTCTGACCTCGTGATCCGCCCGCCTCAGCCTCCCAAAGTGATACATTTGCATTTTTAAGCCACTAAGTCTGTGTTTTGTTACAGCAATAATAGAAAACTTATACAGATGGAAACTATATCGCCCAGAACCCTCTTTCCTGTATGTTCTGTTAGAGTTGGCCAGAAGAATTTAGATGAGATTGGGGAAGTGAGAGTGAAGCAGGAGCCATTCCTCTCTGGAGCGCTTTGTGATGAGATAAGATGCCCCACAGGGTCCAGGCCGACTTCACTGTCCGCCTCTGTGCCTCGCTCTGCTTCCAGACTGCTGGTCCTGCTGACCCACAGCACCCCAGGCCTCCCTGCAGGTGCTTGGCTGTGAACCCACAGAGACCATGGCCACACCAAGGCAACAGCTTTCCTTAGACCTCTGGGCAAACTCCCTTCACAGAGCCACATCAGCACTTAACATTTGGCTTCCCAGATTCAATTGCATTCTCCAACCTGTGCTCCCACAGAGGATTAGCTAGATGATATCAGTGTTTCTCAAAGTGATTATATCAATTTATTTTGCAATGACTGAGAGTTTTCTATTATTCCATAGCCTCAACAATACTTGATATTGACTAATTCTTAATTTTGACCAATCTGTAAGTTATGTGTTGATATCTCCTTGTGGCTTTAATTTGCATTTCCCTGATAACCAGTGAAGTTGGGCATCTTTTAATACTTTTAGTGACCTTCTGGATTTTCTTGTTTGTGAAGTGCTTGCAACTTTGGCCCATTTTCCTTCTGGGCTATCTGTCTTTTAAAAAATTGGTTTATAGTTCTTTATATACTCTGGATATTAGTCCTTTATCAATTATACATATTACAAAGATCTTATCCCAGTGTGTGGCTTGCCTTTTCACTCTCTTTAAAAAGTCCCAGCCAGGTGCAGTGGCTCATGCCTATAATTCCAGCATTTTGGGAGGCTCAGACTGGAGGATCACTTGAGTCCAGGAGTTCAAGACCAGCCTAGGCAACATAGGGAAACCCCATCTCTACAAAAAAAAAAAAAAAAAAAGCAAAAATTAGCCGGGTGTGGTGGCACATGTCTGTAGTCCCAGCTATGCGGGAAGCTGAGGTGACAGGATTGATTGAGCCTGGGAGGTGGAGGCTGCAGTGAGCTATGATCATGCCACTGCACTCCAGCCTGGGCAACAAAGTGAGACCTTGTCTCAAAAACAAACAAATAAACAAACAAAATCTCCCTAATATTGATGTGATCAAATGCTTACCATGCATACACAAAACCCCAGCAATTCTACTCCTACGTATATACCCTAGAAAATCTCTTGAAAAATTCTCCAGGTGCAAGACTGTCCATAGCAACATTGTCCCTAACAGGAAAAAAGAAACAAACAAAAAACCGAAAAACCTAAATGTCCATCAATATAAGAGATAAGAGTACGTAAGTTGTTCATACAAGGCACTTATCTTCACACACGTGAATCCACATGGGAGAGTCTCAAGGTTACCTATGGGGAGAGGAAGGGATATGAGATGGGAGGGGTGCACAGGGATGCTGGTGACATTCTGTTTTTTAACCTAAGAGGTGTTTGCACAGCTATTCACAGTGTTTATTCTTCTTTGAAATGTGCATATATTTTATATATGCACTGTCATATTATCTATGTTCCCAATAAAACATTTTAACAGATATTATTCTCCTAATAATCCTATTTGTCATCTTGGTTTAAGGAAGTGCAATGGAAGATTCTGCATACTTGGGGGGAGCAGTTCCCATATCACATGGGCTGTGTGTTAAAAATTCAGACTGCCAGCCCCTACCCAGGCTACAGAATCAGAATGTCCAGGGTGGGGCTGAGGCAGCAGTGTCCAGGGGCACTCAGGGGTGCTGTGGTCATTTTTTCCCAGGTCATTTTCTATCTGAACCTATTGGTCCATCCCAGAGCACCCAGCCCTCTGCAGATCCGCCAGCGTCGGTGGCTTCCTACTGCCCTCTTGTGGCCGGTTTTTCTACCCAAACTGGGCAGAGTCTGACAGCCAAGCGCCAGGGAGTAGACAGAATGTGTTCTGGGATCAGGGGTCTGTCTGGATTTTGTGGTGGCTCCGAGGACCTGCATAGTTGAGCTAGATGCCAAAACATGACACCTAGAACCCACTAGCTTGTCTGTTATTTTTGTTGAAGTCCTATGGATCCATAGACCCCTCCTGGCTGCTCCAAACCCTCGTGTGCTTGGTCCCCACCACCCACAGGGATCCCCTTTCTCTGGGTTCGCCTTCCCACCCACACCTGTCATGCACACACACCTTCCCTACATTATCTGGTCTTCATTTCTGCCTAAACAAATATGTATGGTCTAACCAGATCTCTGGTCCTGGTCTCTGCTGGACGATCTTATTCTGTCCTTCGATTCCACAACACCAGGGCTGTTGTGAGACAGATGAACGCTTAAGACCAGGACCCAGTTGGACACACTCAGTACCTACTGCTTTCTCACCCCCATTCTCCTTTCTATTCCATTTCGCTTTCTCTTCCTCGATCTGTCAGGGTTTCTAATCCTGACAATGAGCTTGAAATGGTCAGGTTTACTCAGAGAAAAAAAAACAAAACAGGCAATTGGTATCACTCAAAGAAGAGCCTAGACCAGGTCTCAGGGGCAGATTCCAAGTATGTAGAGTCCCCACTCACTCGCCTTACCTCTGTCCGCAGCTCAGACGCCGTGTGAATCCTAAATTTAGACCCTGCTATAACATGTGGCTACTGACCTCCAGAAAGGCTCCTCCCCAGAAAGTCATAACCCACCCAAGGGAAGGCAGTGCAGTATAATGATTAAAAATATGAATTTGGAATGATAATTTCATTGGAATCTCTGTTTGCTTATATGTTGGGTGGGCTTGGGCCACTTATTTTTACATCTCTAAACCTCAACTCCCTCATCTGTAAAATGGGCTAATGATATTTAACTCACAGATTGTTGTGATTATCAAATGAGACACTGCATTTTTAAAATGCTTATCACATTTCATAACTAGGAAGCACTTAACAGACACCGTCATTATTCGTTATGAAGTCCAGACTTTGTAGGACTCAAAGGACTCTATCTCAGGGGTGGAATCATCTGGAGCCCTGGCACCATCGGTTGCCCAAGGCTCCTTTCTGAACAGCCAGGTCCCTGGGAATTCTCTAGGGAATGAAGTTGGACTTCATTCAAACTTCATTCTTCTTCTTCGAACTCCACCATGATTCTGGCCTAGAGGCTCTGACCTCCCGCCCAGAGATCACACTGCCTCTCCTCAGTCTCATCCTGTCAATCAAGTCGACTACGGGACCTGCTCAGTCAGGAGCGTGCACTCCACTTTCTCTTCTATTCTCCTGCTGGCTTCCTCTCCTCCACCACCCCTTTCCTCTCACTTACTTTCAGCTGCCAAGAATAAGATACTGTTTTACCCACATCTATCTACTGTCACTCAGTCGGGGACTGGGGCTTCCTGAATCAGCACAACTTTTTCTAATTAGGTTTGCCATAGTTGCATGCTTCAAATGTAGTGGTTGAATTCCTCAAAGAAACTCTTCAGGAGGAAGGAAGGGTGTGGCAGATTATGCCACCCCAAAATATGCCACTTTGGCGTGTTAAAAAAAAAAAAAAAACCACTTCAGCAGAATTAAATTTAAGGGAGTTTAATTGAGCAATGAACAATTCACAAATTGGGCAGCCAACTCAGAGAGACTCCAGGAGTGCCTTGTGGTCAGAACAAATTTATAGACAAAAAAAAAGTAAAGTGACATATAGAAATAGGAAGTGAGAAACAGCCTGACTAGCTACAGCTTGGCGTTTGCCTTATTTGAACACAAGTTGAACACTCAGCAGTGTATGAGTGGTTGAAGTATGGCTGCTGGGATTGGCCAAGACTCAGTGACTGTTACAGGTGCATACTCCTAGTTAGGTTTTCAGTCTCGTCTACCAGTTAAGCTAGGTTGCAGTTCATCCACAAGGACTCAAATATAGAAGTACAGAGTCCTTCTCAGGCCATATTTAGTTTGCTTTAACAGACGTAAGGATTATTCTGAGCTGATGATAATTAAGAAGTGGACAGAAGAAAAACTCTGCTCTCCTTTTTTCTTCCAGGAAGGGCAGGACAGTTCTTGGTCCCCTGAGACAACCGTAGATCCTATATCCCACACACTAGACCAGAGGAACAAACTTGACCAACCAGCCCTTACCGTCCATGAGTTTCCCATTTATCTTCCCACAACTTGCTACCCCATGAAGTCCAGAGTGCTTTTCCTTTCTCTTGTTAATTCTCTACAAAAGTATTGGGTTTTTTTGTTAAGATGTTATATAAGCCCAAGTTCTAACAATCCCTTTGAGTTACTCATCTCTAGGTACCTCCATGTGTATGTGTGACACATGCTAATAAACTTCTGTTTGTGTTTCTCTGGTGAAGGTGCTTTTTTGTTAGTCTAATATACAGGGCCTCAGTGGGAGAACCTAAGATGGCTAGAGGGACAAGATTTGCTTTCCTCCCCTATAAAAGCAACCCAGGGGTGGGTAGGAGGAAGAGGCAGGTAGTGCTCTGTTAGGAAGTTCTCTGTGCACAAGTTCAGCATCCCTAGAAGGCCTCTACTCCTACCCTCAGTCCTGCTTTGTTTATTCAATGCTTTCTTCCTCCTGTCCTCCCAAGTCAAGTATCTGCGTAAGGCTACCTCCTACTTGAAGTTAGCAACCCCTGGGCTGCTGACATGGCCCATTCCTACAAATGATGGCATTGATTAGAATTCACACTCAAAGCAAATTTTGCCTGATTTATTGGAGAAGTTTCCTTAAATCCTCCTTCTGTTCTATGTCCTCTAGGCCATTGAGCCTGGAGTGTCATTGAGAGTACTGTGAGCAATCTTGCCTTGCAGTTAACCACTTAATAAACTCTTTATTCATAAGTAGATGTTGGGGGAAAAGGATAACTTCACAGTAATCACATAAGGACTGGATTATGGCCCCAGCTCCACACTCATTGGCTACGTGATCTTTGTAAGTCATTTTCCCCTCCCTGGGTTCCTCATCTGCCAAATGCGAAAGCTGGGCTGGATGGGTAAGAGCCCTCTTCCAGCTCCGATGTTTCAACATCAGGTTCGCCCGCACACTAGAAACTCAGATTTGCACTGCGCTTCTGAGAAGCTCCAGTCCAGTCATTCAGACAGTCTGATTTATCCCTCGATACCACTTCAAGGGTAGGTTCTTGACTTATCTAAAACTCAGATACCAGAGGATGACTTACTTGAGGTTACAAAGTAAATCACTGTCAGAGGCCAAAACAGCAACTCAGCCTTTCCAACCAGCTTTCCTCCATCAAGACAGCCCAAGGAGAAAACAACCCTCAATGCCACCCCCATACTGGATAACTTTGTATCCATGCAAAACTCCTTTTAACTGACATTTTAACTTTCAAAATTGTGTGTATGTAAACATGTAGCCCATCACCATTCAAAACTCTCCTTTAACTGGTACGAAAGAGCATTTGAAAATTGTAATGAAACTGTATCTGTCAGCTTTTTATTTCCATTTAAAAAATGAAAAACAAGACAAAAAAAAAACAACTAGAAACTGCAGTTTAGATACACAGCCCACACACCGAGCAGGCCCCGATGGCACTGATTCAGTGTGGGGTGGTTAGTAATTGGCAGCTCTTCATTTTAGAAGCTGCATGTGTTATACACAAAGCTCGCTGGTACAGGAATCAACACTGGCTCAGCCCCTAGTATCAAATCCTCAAAGGCCACTCAGACTCCCAGAAGGGAAAAACCCTGAAAGCCAACATTTTTTCCCAAGGCAACACTATATTATCTTTGACATTCTGTTCCCTTGTCTAAGAAAAGAGAATCCAATTCTTCCTGCTTTCCCAGAGCAGTATTTGAACTGTTAGAAGCAATACTTGTTTCTTATTTTCTTCTATCAAGATCACAACTTTCACGCAACTTTGTCAAAGTAAATTAGGGATTTTGCAAGAGCCAGTGGGCAGGTAGTTTCTTGTTAGATATTTATGCCTAACTGTGTCACCATTATTTTTACAAATAGGCTTGTCCATCTCAGATGGTTCTCAGTAGTCGCCTAGGTAGAAAAGCAAGCAAGAGCTCCTGAAACCCTCCAGGATGGAGTTGGGAGCTAGGGAAGCAGAAGTGCTAAGAGGGCCAGAGACCAGAGAAAGCTTGTGGTTGGGCCAAAAAAGGAACAAAATGCTAGACCTTGAAACTAAAGGCCGTGGAAATGACCACAGACATCTGTAGCAAAAGCCAGAGCATGAACCCAAAGACAGAGGCGAAGGTGAGGGCTGGAAGCCAGAAACAAACTCCTATCATGGGAAGTAAATGGGAACAGAGCATGGCCACATGGTGGATGAGCCTCCCCAAGAGCTTAAGAGCTTAGCACACCCCCAGGAACAGCAGAGAAAGTGAGCAGGCAGGGGAAGAGTCCCAGATTTGACTGAGCCCTTACCCAACAGAGATTTTAAAATCTGCAAGTAGGCCGGGTGTGGTGGCTAATGCCTGTAATCCCAGCACTTTGGGAGGCAGAGGCAGGTGGATCATTTGAGGCCAAGAGTTCAAGACCAGCCTGGCCAAAATCATGAAACCCTATCTCTACTAGAATTACAAAAATTAGCTGGGCATGGTAGTGTGTGACTGTAGTCCCAGCTATGGGGAGGCTAAGGCACAAGAATCCCTGGAACCCACGAGGCGGAGGCTGCAGTGAGCCAAAATGGCGCCACTGCACTCCAGCCTCGGTGACAGAGCAAGACTCTGCCTCAAAAAAAAAAAAAAAAAAAAAAAAAAAAAGAAAAAAAACTGCAAGTAACTGAGTTACTTTGAATTGGCCATTTTAACTTCCTCCTCTGTATTGCTGGCCAGAATTAAGGGTTCCATCACTAAATACAGTTATGGATGAATAGAGAAAGTGACATTTCTGCATAGTTTAATTTTTTGACTGTGAAAGGCTTACCTGCTATACTAGCCACGTTTTGTTTTATTGAAAGATGTTAGTAAATGTCTATAAAATATTTATTGCCCCCCACCAACAAAGCTAAGGCAGTTGTCAGCATCTCTTACAGCAAATCTAATCCAGAAGCATACTAGAATAATTTAGCTTTGACAAAACGAGGGATTTTTTTTCTTAGGATCCTGAGAGACCAGAATACACCACCCAGAAACATGCCTCTTTGGCCTCCAGATTGTTTTGTGCTGAAGGCAATTACAAAGAAGCAGATGCAAGAAAGCTCTCTGCCCTCCATCTATTTGCCTAAAAGCAGGACATAGATTTAGAAAGATAGATGTAGCCTGCCCCACCCTCTCTACCAGGGAGGACAAGAGTTAACCGCTGAAGACAACTTTGAACCGTTACTGGCCTGGAGATGGCACCACAGGAAGGTGCATTAACAAGCCTTACTAAGTTGCCTTTCTCTGCCATTTATTCGCTTTCTCCCAATTTGCTGCCCCTAGAGACTCACAGTCCTTTTTTTTTTTTTTTCTTGTCACTTCTTTAAAATTTTATTTTTCTTTGTGGAAGGTGCCATGTAAGCTGAAATTCAGAGCCACCTCTTTGAGATTACTCATTCCCTAGGCATCTCCCATATACAGGTGAAACATACATGTTAATATACTTCTGTTTTTCTCTTATTTATCTGTCTTTTGTCATAGGAGTTTGTTCTAACTAAGAACTTACAAAAATTGAGGAAAAAATTATTTTTCTTCCTCTACAGCAGCAGTCCCCAACCTTTTTGGCACCAGGGATCAGTTTCATGGAAGGCAATTTTTCTACTACCAGGGATGGGGGAATGGTTTCAGGATGAAATTGTTCCACCTCAGATCATCAAGGATTAGATTGTGGTAAGGAGCACGCAACCTAGATCCCTCAAATGCACAGTTCACAATGCACAGTTCACAGGGTTCGTGCTTCTAAGAGAATTGAATGCCACTGCTGATCTGAAAGGAGGCAGAGCTTACGAGGTAATAGATCACTAGCTGTGGCCCCATTTCTAATAGTCCATGGACCACTACTGGGTCCGTGGCCCAAGGGTTGGGGAGCCCTGCTCTACAATAGAGCATATAGTAGAATGGACCAATATTCCTAATATGTAATGCTCTAGTCAGAGGTCAGACATTCTCACATTTAAGTCAAACATGTACATGTTTTAAAGAAAAATAAACAGAATCCTTATGTTGACTTATTTCTATTATGTTTCTTAAACATAAACTTGGTATAAAATTCTTATGTTTAATGTCCCTTTATAATTATACATGAAAAAATATAAATTAAATATAAACACTGCCAATATAATTCAAGTTAACAGCATTAATTGAATGATACTTGATGCTGTTTTGCTGAAGGTAAATTGCAATTCCAAGGATGACTGACACTTCAGTGCAGTTTCTTGTCTGTTCAGTATGTTTATCCTACTACATGCCCGGGGAACACCCGACGCTTCTGCTCTGTTTCTTTATTTTCTTAAGGCACAAAAAGTAAATACAAAGTCCAAGGGTCACTGTAGCTTAATCTGCATGAATTAAGGGACACTTCCCTCTAGGTTCAAGGAGTTAGAAGTTCAGAGTCACTAGCTTTATATCATTAAACTGGAGGAGGGCCCCATCACCACTCAAGGTTCTACCCTTTTGCCATATAAGGAAATTTGTGCTATGTCTCATCCCATTATTAGACCTACCCCATCCTTGCTGAGGTCAGCCACAGACCTTTCAATGGAAAGTGAATAAAAATGCATGCTTGGTGCAACTCAGCTTTGGAGCTATGTTTATATAATTTATTAAAAGAAAAGAGCTGTTGCATTCATCTATTAGTGTATACTTATTACCTGAGTGTTTGCAACCTAGCGTGAATAAATATGTTAACTTATTATTTCTCTTGGAAATTCAGTTTAACCCATTTATTTATAGGTATAGATTGGAAAGTCCTATGTCAAGACATTTTAAGTACCAGTAATATTTCCTGATGGTTGTGGGGAAAGAGTGAATTGAAAAGGAGAAAACTTAAACTATAACCCAAAATAGCCCTAAAAGTAGATCTGACATAGTCCTTATGGCATGTTTAAATCCAGAAGCGTTCATTTCAAATCTATCTCATGAGAGATGGAGCTGGTCTAGTTGGGTATTGGAGGTTTATTCCCAGAAGTATTTAGAAACTGAGAGGAACCCATCAATGATACCTGACACCTGGAGTCAGCCATGTCCTCCAGGCAGAGGGCAATTCAGTGAGTCCATATGTTCTGTCCATCCCAACTTTCTACCCACTGATTTCTTTCCTGCCAAAGTACTGATGGAGTCACCTCCTCAATGTACCACATAAACCCTCTCCTCTATCACAAGAATCTCAGGAGTGTTTTTTGGCTAATTCAACAAATTCTTGGAGCCAGCATACATCAACTGCCTTTCTTAACCTCCTATATTACTTAAGCCCCTATGAATGAAGTTTCTGGTGATATAATATGTTACTGAAACACATTCTTCTTTTTAATACAGACATTCCTCCTTAAAGTGGAAACACATGCTAGCAGGAGAGCTAGTTCAGGCCCATGATGGGTATCCTATGCCCTGGAGTCCATTATGAGGCTAGAATTACTCTCAGGAGATAGACAGGAAATATCTGGGCCTAAACCATTCTGATATGAAATTGGGTTTAGAAATCTGACTCACTTTTATTGAAATATCTAAGGGAAGCTACCAAATCTTAATGAAGAAATTTTGTTTTCTCTCCCACAAGTTTCCCTGCACAATAGTCATTTCTCTCCCTTTATGGCTGTTTGACAAAAGTTGTGTCCCACAACAGAATTGGAAATGACAGTTATTTCTTTCCTGAAACAGTTCCCTTTCTGCTACAGCACAGGTATGACCAGTTACAGCCACCAAGACATAAGGAAAGTGTGGAGAAAACGTTCCTCATTAATAAAAAGAAAGAGATGTAAGAGGAGAGTTTCCTTCTTCCCTTCTGCCTTTAGAAGAAAGTGTGAGGGCATGATTTCTGAAGCTTTGGTAGCCACTTTGCAAACATGAGGATATAGGCCTAGGATGAAAGCCAACCAGCTGTGGGTAGGAACATGGAATATAGAAAGAGTCTGAGTTCCTAATGACAGTATTGTGATGCTGGATCAATCCAGCCTTTAGACTTTTTGTGATTTGAGATAATAAACACTATAAAGTGTTTAGGCCACTTCCACTTGATTTTCTGTTACTTGGAGAGAGAAGCATCCAACCAATACATTAACAACTCACAATAAAGGATCATGAATTCCCCAAACTTGTTAAAATGGAAAAAAACTGTTTTTTTGTTGTTTGTTTTTTTGAGACAGAGTCTCGCTCTATCACCCAGGCTTGGGTACAGTGGCATGGTCTTGGCTTACTGCAGCCTCTGCCTCCTGGGTTCAAGCAATTCCCCTGCCTCAGCCTCCTAAGTAGCTACGCCTGGATAATTTATGCATTTTTAGTAGAGATAGGGTTTCACCATGTTGGCTAAACTGGTCTCAAATGCCTGACCTCAAGTGATCCACCTGCCTCAGCCTCCCAAAGTGCTGGGATTACAGACACTAGCTCCTACACCCAGCTGGAAGAAAAATGTTTTAATTTGGGTTATCTTCCTTCTATGTTTCCACTGGATTTAGAAATATTGGACAGGAAGAATCTGGCAAATGAGAATTCAGATAGTATGATTAGACATTCATCACAATTATTCAACAAATTTTAGTTTACTTGTAATAATCTCTGCCTTAGTCTGGTGAGGCTGTGATATGGTTTGGCTGTGTCCTCACCCAAATCTCATCTTGAATTCCCACATGTTGTGAGAGGGGCCTGGTGGGAGGTAATTGAATCACGGGGTCAGGTCTTTCCTGTGCAGTTCTCGTGATAGTGAATACGTCTCATGAGATCTGATGGCTTTACAAGGCAGAGTGTCCATGCACAAGCTCTCTCTTTGCCTGCTGCCATCCAAGTAAGATGTGACTTGTTCCTCCTTGCCTTCTGCCATGATTGTGAGGCCTCCCCAGCCATGTGAAACTGTAAGTCCATTAAACTTCTTTCTTTTGTAAATTGCTGAGTCTTGGGTATGTCTTTACTGGCCGTGTGAAAAATAGACTAATACAGGCTGCCATAACAAAAATATCATAGCTGGATGCCTTAAACAACAAACAGTTATCTCTCACAGTTCTGAAGGCTGTGAAGTCCAAAATCAAGGTGCCAGTGAGATGGGATAGTTTCCTTGACCCCCTTTGTGGGCGGGAACTGGAGTGGCTTGTTTCACTCAGCCCATCACTGGCCGCTCCTCATGCGAGAAGGAGCGTGGGAGCGTGCGAGCAAGCGAGTGCAGGAACGGGAGGGAACGAGCGCTAGAACAGGCCGGTCACTCCTCTGGCGGGAGCAGGCTCTGTGTGGGCCCCATAACAGCATCCAAGCCCCTGCCCTCTGGGCACCTGGGTTCTTGTTCGGCATCCAGGACATATCGGGTCACACGAACAGATTGAAGGGTAGCATATGCGGAGGATTTTACTGGGTGATGGCTCTCAGTGGGATGGGAGTTAGAAAGGGGATGGTGCGGGAAGAAGGTGATCTTTCCCTGAATCCACACCGTCTGAAATTAGCCGCCATCTATAGATAGTCTGCAACACCCAGCCACTTATATCCCTGACATTCAGCAACTGGTATCCCCAGCGCTCAGCTGCTTGCATCCCCAGCCGTTTGCATCAGCCGCCTTGTGTTGCTCTGCCAGCTGAAGTCTTTTTATGGGCAGAGGATAGGGTTATGGCAGGCCAAAACAACAACATTTGGGCAGAAAAATGGGGTCAGCTGTTTTCAGTTAGGGCTGAGGTTCCAGGCTTGAGGGTGGGGTTTAGCTGGGAGCCCAGCCATTCTGTATCACCAGCAGATTTGATGTCTGGTAAGGGCCCACTTCCTGGTTCACAGACTGCTGTCTTTTTACTGTAACCTTATATGGCAGAAGGGGAGGTGAGCTCTCCAGGTCTCTTTTATAAGGGCACTAATACCATTCATGAGGGCTCCACCCTCACGGTCTAATCAATTACCAAAGGCCTCGCCTCCTAACCCCATCACATTGGGAGTTAGAATTTCAACAAATGAAGTTAGGTAGGGGATATACAAGCACTACACTCTCAATGCTTTGACTCTCTAGATTTAAAAATGTTTCCTCTGTTTTTTTTTTTTAAATCATACTCTCCCAGGCCCACTTTCTTTCCTTACAGTTTTATTGTGTCTACCTTCTGTAACACCCTCAAGACAATATTCCAGAGAGCTCTCTTCTTTCAAAAGAGCTTCCCCACCTGGTTGCTATTTTCTCCTGTTCTCTTTCTCTTTCCACTCCTCCAACCCTGTTGAAGGCATCTCAAACCACAGGCTTTTATACAAACCACAGAATACATGAGAATTTATATTTTTAAAAAATCTTGCCTGAATATGCCAGCAATTGGCAGTTACTGTTAAGGTATTCTTAGACTCCATAATACATGAACATTGAGTATTAACTTGAACCTAAAAATTAGGATACCGTGATTGAATAGACAATAATATTGCTTTAAAATTCTTCAGTGCAAGGTATCTCTTAATATAATTATGTTAATGTGTTATAGTATATATAGCATGAAGCACTAAAGACAGTATGTGGAAAGATTACAGAGAGATTGAAGAAGACATTGTCCCATATATATACCTCCCATGTGCTTTACATCCACTGTTGTGTATTTCAGAGTTCTACATCTTGTCTTGGCTACACATTCCCTCCAACTCTCCCTTGGTTGGTGTGGCAGACTCTGTGAGCAAATTAACCCAAAACCATTCCAAACCTCCTTCTCTCTTTCATTCTCCTACTCTTGAGGTCAGAAAGCCAGGTACCTGGTTTCCAGCTTCTCTTGCAGCTGGGAAAGGCCATGTGTTCTATTTCCGGCAAATGAGTTGAAAGGATAAGTTTCATGGGGGGTTTCTGAGATAGCTTTTCTTTCCTGACAATTGGCACCATGTCTTTCTCTCGCTTCTTTCTGCCTTAAGCAAGAAAAGCACTAGGACAAAAAGCCAAAGCTGAGACTAATACAACTGAAAGACAGAGTCTGGCTTTTGATGGCATCATTGATTGATGAATCAATGCCAGCAACCACTTGCCTCTTTTTAAAAACGACTGTTAGACTATCTTGCTGTTGTTACTTGTAGTTGGAAGAGTTCTTAACTGATCCATCAATATTTTTGTACCTTCTCCTTCAGGCAAAAATTGTCAGGCTCGTTACATTTAGAGCACATGGCCAGACAGACCCTCAAAATTATCAAATACAATCTCTACCATCAACATTAGATATATAATTCCTGTTAGATAAATGCTTCATCCTAATATCATCATCCTTTTCCTAGAGATTTACAACTGCTAATGGTGAGCATGTAACTTTTACCCATGAAATGTTCTGCATGTATAGAATTCAGAGGTGGAATAAGAAGTATTCTAACTATTGAACTTAGAAAGCAGCAAGTTCCATAGGCTAGGGAAAACACATCACATTACCATCTGAATTTTAAGACTCTGGCAGAACTAGAAAGTCCATATGGGCAATGGAGAAGGTCTGTTGCCTCAAAATATTAGCTTATATATAACCCACATTTTACCAAGACTCCCTAAATTGTGGGTAGCAATAACATTGCGTTAATATACTCATTTGATGGTTTCTTATCTTCAGTTGCTAATACAGGATCTCAATCCCCCCAAAATTAGGATACCCCAAGCATTTCTGTAAGTCCCCAGTGTAGGAGCAGAAGGAAAGCTTCCCGTCTGCTCACTGCAGTTTTGCTGAAAATGAACTGACAAAAGGCAGATTAACAAGATAAAAAGGGATACAAATATATTTAATGTACATGAGGGAAAATCACAGGAGTGTGATTACCCAATAACCCAGTGAGGTCCAGATACTTATATGCCCTTCTTCATAGGAGATGGGGAGATAGGGGTTGCAGGAGTAAATTATTTTCAGGGAAAATAAATGATCCCAAAGAACAATGGCCTGGGACAAAGTTCCCCTGAGCTCTGGGGGAGGAGACAGGCAGGTGAGGGGTAGAACTTTATGGTGAACAAAGGTTGTCTTATTATGCAGATAAAGTCCTCCAGGTAATCTCTCAGAATTGCCCTCAGAAGAACAGATGAGAAGTCTGGGTGTGGTGAAGACCCCCAGTCTCTTCACTTCTCCAGTTGTATATATATATACATACACATAAAACCATATATATATTAAAAAAACCCATATGTATATATGGGTTTTGTTTGTTTTGTTTTGTTTTCTCCTGATAGAAGTCTCACTGTGTCACCCAGGCTGGAGTGCATTGGTGTGATCTCAGTTCACTCCAACCTCTGCCTTCCAGGTTCAAGTGATCCTCATGCCTCAGCCTCCCAAGTAGCTGGGACTACAGGTGCCCGCCACCACACCAAGCTAATTTTTGTATTTTTAGTAGAGACAGGGTTTTGTCATGTTGGCCAGGCTGGTCTCGAACTCCTGACTTCAAGTGATCTGCCTGCCTTGGCCTCCCAAAGTGCTGGGATTACAGGTGTGAGCCACTGTGCTGGGCCTCCAGTGATTGATCTTTCCTGGTTATTTGATGAGATCCCTAGGGAGGGGGTCTTAAGACAACTGCATTTCTTTTGGAAAGAAGCTTTCATATTCAGATAAGGAAATTCCAGAGACAGTCCCTCCTAGGGTTTTAGGAAAGAAAGAGGATCAGAGAGGCAGTGGCCCACGCCTATAATCCCAGCACTTTGGGAGGCTGAGGTGGGCAGATCACCTGAGGTCAGGAGTTCAAGACAAGCCTGGCCAACATGGTGAAACCCCTTCTCTACTAAAAACACAAAAATTAGCTGGCCATGATGGTGGGCACCTGTAGTTTCAGCTATTCGGGAGGCTGAGGCAGCAGAATTGTTTGAACCCTGGAGGCAGAGGTTGCAGTGAGCTGAGAGTGTGCCACTGCACTCCAGCCTGGGCTACAGAACGAGACTGTGTCTCAAAAAAAAAAAAAAAAAAAAAAAAAAAAGAAAAAGAAGGATCAGAGAGAAAGGGTGGTAGGGAAAGGTCAGAGAGAGACTGTGGTTCTGAGGCCTTACAATTTTCTTTAATTCTGTCAATCTAAAGTAATCATAAAGTTCAGAATCTAGTTTAAACAGAGTTTATTCAAGTGTAAAAGTTTGAAAATGACCACCAATGGAAGTCAGTGTTCAGAAGTGAAGAAGTTTAGGATCATTTATACAGACAAAGTCTAGAGGAGCATAACAGAATTTCAACATCTTTCTATATAAGGGTTAATGGTTAGTTACAATGATTCGATTAGTTGAGGTGGTCTTTTCCTTTTGAAAAAGGTATATTTAACATTCCACACTGAAGATATAACAGTCATAGGGTCTTTTGTGCCATCTGGTCTGAGTTAGATACAGGACAATAAAGGAGGCAATTAATCTGTACCAAAGACCAGTGACTGGAAGAGGAGGTCTGATCTCTGGTCTCTCCTAGTCAATTACAGAAGAAGAGCAATGAGGAAGAGAGTTAATCTACACTCAAGAAGCGAAAGAAACAAACACGCTGTGGTGACTGAGTTTCCAGGGCTAAACTTCTCCCTTGGCATAATACATTTAGAGGGTCCAGAAATTTTATTTTCTTGTATAATTCAAAGTACTCAATGTGCCAAAGTGCCATGTTTGGGGGTATCATTTTCTGTGCCCCAACACCGGAAAGTGTCTTATGTGATTTTACAAACAGACCACTTCTGCTGTTAGAAAACCCTCTCCTGCTGGGCCTCATCAGCATGGAATATGACCATATCCAATGAACAACATCTCCCAGTGGATACCATGGGCTCCGCCACGACTCTGCCCTACTTTTTTCTTCTACTCCATTCTCACAGAACATCCCGGATGATCCTTTACGAATGAAAATCAGGTCCTTGCATTCCCCAGATCCCTATTGTACTTGGAATGAGATCCATACTGCTTATCTGGTCTCTGTCATGTGGCCCTGACTACACCTCCAGCCCCATCCTTCACCACTGGCCCTCCACCATAATAGTGAAGCTACACGGACAGGCCTTCTCCTTCTTCTAGCACATCAAGCTCCTCCCACCACAGCACCTTTGCCCTGGTTGTTGCCTTTGCTATTGTTCTTCACTTAGATCTTCCCAAGGCATGCAGATCTCAGCTTAGAGATCTCCTTTGAGTGAGGTTTTCTCTGATCATCCAATCTAAACTTGCCCCTTTACCATATTCTCCCATTTTATATTACCATAGCCCTTAGCTTTGCCAACTTCTTTTAGAGTCACCGGTTTGTTTATTGCATCTGCCCCCATGAGAGTGTCATTGCCCTGAAAGCAGAGTCCTCATGTGTCTTGTTCAGTGCTGTAATTCCAGACCCCAGAATAATGCCAGGCACATAGTAAGTGCTCAGTGGATACTTGGACACAGCCTAGGTTAAAAATAGTCCTAGTTCAGACTTGCCACAAAATCTTGTAAGGGACACAGCCATACACTTTCTTCTTTTACTCATGCAAGATCCAAAAAGACACACCTATGGAATACATTTATACAAAATCTTCGCAAAGAAATCAGGGAGGCATTTCCATGAACAGTGTTCAGTAATATCTGTCTGCAGACATAAGGACTACTTAAAAATAAATCCCTTAATGATATGATTTCAGGGGTTATGATACCCCTCCTGTCCGTAAAATTTTTCTAGGACATAGTTTCTCAAACTTGGCAATATATACATTTCGGGCTGGATAATTCTTTGCTGTGGGGAGCTGTCCTGGGCATTGAAAGATACTCAGCAGCATCCCTGACCTCTACCTACTAGGTGTTAGCAGCTCCTCTCCTGTCGTGACAACGAAAAATGTCTCCAGAAATTGCCAATGTCCCATGGAGGGAAAAATAGTCACCGGCTTAAGAACCACAGCTTAGGGCTTATTGAAGTTAAAAACCCACAGTCAGAGATATTAAAATGCAAATTCCTCTAGAAATGGTCTAATTTTACTTTTACTTCATCATTCATTCATTTTTTAACAGTGAATTATTCAGTAGATACCATGCACCAGACTCAGAAATAAGAGCTAAGAATACAACAGACATAGTGAATATTCTTGAGAGCCTCTCTCATTGTGGGGAGGCAAATGGAGAAGTAGACAAGTGCCAAATGGAAGGCCAGGGCAGTGATGGAGGAAGTGCAAGGGGCAGATTAAGGCAAAAGGACGGCCAGAGAGGATGGCTAGAGAGGATCTGTCATATCTTTTCTGGAGGGCTTTCAATGGGTTGGGAGTACTGGAGTAGGGAGAAGGATGCAGAAACGGAGACTAGTAAACTAAAAACAAATCTAGCTTACTTGGCAAGCTGGGAACAATTTGGTGGTGTTTTTATAAGGTGGATCTTTAATAGTCCCAAAATATCAAATGTGTGATGTCTTTCTTTGGTATACAATCTTTGTATTTATTTAACAATTCAAAATTAAATGTTGTAAAAGACAATAATAAATAAAAGCAACCAGCCAGGCATGGTGGCTCATCACGCCTGTAATCCCAGCACTTTGGGAGGATGAGGTGGGCAGACCACCTGAGGTCAGGAGTTCAAGACCAGCCTGGCCAACATGGTGAAACCCCATCTCCACTAAAAATCCAAAAAAAATAGCCGGGCATGGTGGCACACGCCTGTAATCCTAGACACTCAGGAAGCTGAGGCAGGAGAATCGCTGGTACCCAGGAGGCGGAAGTTGCAGTCAGCTGAGATCGCGCCATTGCACTCCAGCCTGAGCAAGAAGAGCAAAACTCTGTCTCAATAAATAAATAAATAAATGCAACCATCCTTAGAAGACCAGGAGGAAACCAAAGTCAGAGAGTTTTTCAGTGTACTTCTCAGGGCAAAAGGAGTCCATGCAGCTTACCTGTAGTCTGTTCCAGCCCTCAAACAGGAACACACAGATATTGGGGGCCAGGGTTCATAGCATTCCAGGTGTGATTTGCTTGGAATGTCCTGGAGGCAAGATTTCCTTGGTCATCTCTGGAGGTAGCAGGAAGTGGGGTTGACAATTTCGAGATGGCAACACTGACTACATTGTGACACTAACAGTTAAAAAAGGTTTGGATGGCTGGGCACGTTGGCTCATGCCTGTAATCTGAGCACTTTGGGAGACCAAGGCGGGTGGATCACAAAGTCAGGAGATCAAGACCATCCTGGCCAATACAGCGAAACCCAATCTCTACTAGAAATACAAAAAATTAGCCAGGCATGGTGGCACACGCCTGTAGTCCCAGCTACTCGGGAGGCTGAGGCAGGAGAATCACTTGAACTTGGGAGGTGGAGGTTGCAGTGAGCCGAGATCACTCCACTGCACCTCAGCTTGGGCGACAGTCTCAAAAAAAAAAAAAAAAAAAAAAAAGGTTTGGACTATAATACATTGATAATGACTAATTTCAGCTCCATGTTAGGTTTTTTTCTCACTAAAGTTGCCATACTTTCTTTTTCCTTCTACAGTTCACTGAACAACAACAAAAAAGCATAATTAATCCTCTGACAGCTGAGCAGCTGAGACCAGACAAGCAAAGCTGAATTTCAAATGACAATGTGTTAAGTAATTAAAGGAGAATGTCCCAGAAGACAGGAGTGATGCGTTTTACGTTTTGGAATCCAGAAAATTACCCAATTAATTAGCTAGATCCTTGCTTTACTTTATGGCCTTTCCAAAATCTCTGTTTTCTGGTCTCAACCACCTCCAGTCTCAGGGAGGGCAAATATTGAGGCTTAGATTGTTCTGATGGGGAAAGTGATAATGTGGAACTTAATTTAAAATATCTTCTCAAGAATGAAAAAATGCATGGACAAGAATGCTTGCTGGGAATTGTCTTGATGGTTACACAACTCAGTAAATTTAGCAAAAATTATTGAATACATACACTTAAAGTGGCTGAATTTTATGGCATGTCATTTATAGCTCAAATCTGTTTTTTTTAAAGAGTGCTTGGTGACGAGTTAATGGGTGCAACACACCAACACGGCACATGTATACATATGTAACAAACCTGCACATTGTGCACATGTACCCTAGAACTTAAAGTATAATAAAACAAAAAGTGCTTGGAAAGGAAAACATAGATGCACAGAAAAATTTGTTCATCAACACAAAAATAAATATTCATAGATACATTATTCATGAGAACCAAAAAGTGGAAACAATCCAAATATTCATGAACTGCTGAATGGCTAAATAAAATGTAGTATATTCATACAATGGAATATTATTTGGTAATTTAAAAAATGAAATACCAACATTATGTTAAGTGAAATAATCCAGGCAGGCACAGAAAGACAAACATCGCATATTCTCACTAATTTGTGGGATCTAAAAATTTTTAAATTGATCTAATGGAGATCAAGAACAGAAGGGTCATAACCAAAGGCTGGGAAGGGTTGTTGGGGGTGGGGAGGAGGTAGAGATGGTTAATGGGTCCAAAAACTAGTTACAATGAATGAATAAAGCCTATCATTTTTTAGCAAAACAGGGTGTCTGTAGTCAATAATAATTTAATTGTACATTTTAAAATAACTAAAAGAATATAATTGGATTATTGTAACATAAAAGATAAATGCTTGAGGGAATGCATAGCCCATTTTTCATGATGTGATTATTATGCATTGCATGCCTGGATCAAAAGATCTCATGTTCCCCATAAATACATACACCTACTATGTACTCACAAAATAAATTATTATTATTATTATTATTTTCAGACTGAGTCTCGCCCCGTCCCCCAGGCTGGAGTGCAGTGGCTCAATCTCAGCTCACTGCAACCTCCACCTCCTGGGCTCTCATCCTCCCAAGTAGCTGGGACTACAGGCATGAGCCACCATGACCAGTCAATTTTTCTATTTTGAGTAGAGACAGGGTGGGTTTCACCATGTTGGCCAGGCTGGTCTTGAATTCCCAATCTCAAGTGATCCGCCTGCCTCACAAAGTGCTGGCATTACTGGTGTGAGCCACCATGCCCAGCCTAAAAGTGAGTTTTAAAATTAAAGTACTGATACATACCACATGGGTGAATGTTGAAATACTACACTAAGTGAAAGAAGCCAGACACAAAAGACCATGTATTGTATGATTCCATTTATATGTTATGTCCAGAATAGGCAAATCCATGAGAGTCAGAAAATAGTTTAGTGGTTACTAGGTGCTGGGAATGAGAGGAATGAGGAGGGACTGCTAATGAGTATAGGGTTTCTTTATGGGGTGATTAAAAAATGCTGTAAAATTAGATTGTAGTGATAGCTGCCTAATTCTTTGAATATACTAAAAACCATTGGATTGTATACTTTAAATGGGTGAATTATATGACATATAAATTACATCTGAAGAAAGCCTTTACAAAAAAACAATGTTTGTTGCAGCATTGTTTATAACAGCAAAAAAAATCAACAATGGGAGTTGGTTACATTAATCATGGTAAAGCGATACAACCAAATAAATACTACATGGTGAAAAGAGATGCCATAAGTGAGCATCACCAAAATCACAGGGAGTGCTTGTGAAAACTCAGAAATTTTTGACTCAATAGATCTGCCATGGGCCTTAAGGAGGTGCATTTCTCACAACTTCTTTTATTCTTTTTTTTTTTTTTTTTTTTTTTTTTAGACTCCTATTCTGTCACTCAGGCTGGAGTGCAGTGGCACAAGTGCAGTGGTGTGGTCCTAGTTCACTGCAGCCTCAACCTCCAGGGCTTAATCCATCTGCCCACCTCAGCCTCCTCAGTAGCTGAGACCACAAGCACTTGCCATTACAGTTGGCTGATTTTTGTACTTTTTGTAGAGATGGGGTTTTGTCATGTTGCCCAGGCTACCCACACTTTCTCATGCTGCTGGCCTTGGGACTGCTCTCTGAGAACCATATCTTTGTATATGTAAGAAAAGAACAAATGGTCACAATATATTGTTGAAGAATCAAAAGGTGGTTGATTAAATTGTATGAGGCTATTAAAAATATAGACATTTACATTATAAATATTATCCCTGTAGACATTATACATTTTATTCATATGACATATGTGAGCACAGAAAGAAATGTCTGGAAGGCTGGGTACCCAAATATTAATTATTTTTACTTTTTGGTAGCAATTTTTATCTTCTTAATAATTGTGTTTATTTTTACAATGAGCCACATGTCCTTTATCAATCTCACAAATTATAATAAATATCGCAAAGTGTGAAAATGTGAGAAATACTTCGTCTAGTATGTTTTAGAAACATTTTTCACTTTGTTCCTGTTATTTTCTGCTTTTATATTTTTTTAGTCATATGTGTCACCTTTTTCTTTTTTTTGAGACAGAGTCTTGCTCTGTCGCCCAGGCTGGAGTGTAATGGTGCAGTCTTGGCTCACCGCAACCTCTGCCTCCTGGGTTCGAGCGATTCTCCTGCCTTAGCCTCCTGAGTAGCTGGGATTACAGGCATGCACCATCATGCCTGGCTAATTTTGTATTTTTAGTGGAGACAGGGTTTCTCCATGTTGGTCAGGCTGGTCTTGAACTCCCGATCTCAGGTGATCCACCCGCCTGGGCCTCCCAAAGTGTTGGGATTACAGGCGTCAGCCAGCGCACCCAGCCATCACATTTTTCTTTATAGCTAATGTGTTTCATGCCATTATTAGAAAAATCTTCCTGCTTTTGATTAAAGCTTTAAAAAATTTTTGTCTAATTGTATGGCTTAATATTTTATGGCTAAATCTGTTGGTGTAGCAGAGTAGGCATCCATCTAAAATTTTTTGTATGAGGCTAGTCAGTTATAATTTTGCTATTTCCTAAGTAGTTCCTCATTTTCCATCGGTTTCTAATGTCTACGTCTACATCTGGGTCTATTATTGGGCTCTAGTCTTTTCCATTAATTACACTATCCTTGCACTGGTTCTAGTAAATTTTAATACTTGCACTGGTTCCAGTAAATTTTAGTACTTGGGAGAGCTAGTCCAATTTCATTATTAATTTTCAGACTTTTCCTGGTTACTGTTACATTTTCTTCTTCCAGTTAAACATTAAAGTTATTTTGTCAAGTGGACCAAAATGAAATGTTTTTGGTTGAAAATGTGTGGATTTATATAAGGAAACATAGCATCTTTAAAACAGTGAATCTTTGTGTCCAAGAATATAGTATGGCTTTTCATTCATTTCAGCCTTCCTTTATGTTTCTCAATACGGCTTTAACTTTTTCATGTAGACCCAGCACATTTTCTATTACTGTAATGAGGCTCCATGGTACAGTGGATACAAGCAGGGACTCTGGGGCTAGACAGGGCAAATTCCAGCTCTAGCACTTCCTGGCCAAGTGACCTTGGGCAACTGCATAGCCTCTAACCACCTCAGTTTTCTCATCTCTAAAACGGGAACAACAGTACTTATATCATAGGTTTGTTATGAGCATTAATAATACGTTGTCTGTTACATGGGAATCACTTAGCAAAGTGTCTAGTTCATTGCAGTCGTTATCATCATCATAAAGAAAACTTTACATAACTGTATGAAAAGGCTAGCAACCAACAGAAAAATTGTTGGTGAGCATTTTAAAATTGTGCAATATGTGGAGGGTAATTAGGCAATAACTACCACAATTTTAAACACTGATCTCTTTGACTCAGGAATTCCAGTTCTAAAAATGTTACCTACATATTTAAAGAACTAAATTGTTAATACCCTCCAATAAAGACCATCAGGGACACACCTGTAGCTGA
This sequence comes from Homo sapiens, assembly GCF_000001405.40. NCBI lineage: Eukaryota > Metazoa > Chordata > Mammalia > Primates > Hominidae > Homo > Homo sapiens. The sequence continues at coordinate 37,911,884 of NC_000002.12, forward strand.
TTGTGGGTTGTCTCAGTAAGATGATATTAGAATGAGCAGATTATAGAATTTGGGTTTTAGTTGGATAGTTTTAGAGAGGTTCCACAGAACACTCTTGATACCGTCAGAAAGGAAGCAATTCAGTCATTGGGTATCTCAGTAAATCTTATCTATAGGGAAGGCAGGCAAGAGCTAGGATAAAGCTGTAACTAGTAAAGAATTAGCAGTCACTCATTTATTAAGAGAGGCAGGTGTTTGGCATTTTGTATTGCACAGCATCCTTGTCAGAACTGGATGTTCTATGAAAACAGTATGGGTTAGCTATAAGCATCACATTAGTTTATAATAACATTGAGGCCTACTACATCAGATCTGTTCCTGGATGACAGGCACTGATTTTATTTTTTCTTTCTTGTAATGTACTTGCAATGAGTCATTGTTTTTCATAGCCAGTGATGGAAATAACTTAGAGGTCTATTAATTCAGAGGCTAGTTAAAAATTACGGTATATTCTCACAATGAAATAGTTATCAAAATGAACTAGTCATTAAGTGAAAAAAATTGCAGAACATTATATGGTTTAAACAGTATATATAACATACACACGTGTTTATACATCATAGAAATTTGCATTCATATGCAAAAATATTGTACACTCAAAATCTTAACAATGTTTACCTCTGGAAAGCAGGATCCAGTGAAAAGGACAGGGTGCTTTATCTCTTTAATTAATGTACTTCTATTTGTTTTAAAATCTAAATGCTGAATTATTTTATTGATAAAAATGTCTTTAAATTATGATAAGCAAATATGGCTGGTTTTAAATTTTCAGTAACGGAATTCTTCTTGATTTGAAGTGCAAGCAATCCCAAAGCTTGCTCATGAATGCTATTATGTTGTAAAAATAAATTAATTTAATTTGGCCATTCCTCCGGGGACCTATTTGATTCAGGTAACAGTTCCCAGAGAATGCTGACAAGGAGATAATTTTTTCCATCTTTCCTTTGGGTGTAATATTAGCATTGGGGTTTCTGAAAGTCATTAAGGTAACTAATTGCTACTGAATTATATATTAAGCTTGGAAGAGAGTGAATCCATTCCTTCTTCCTATACAGATGAATATCAATAGTCATAAGGAATGAAAACCAAGACAACTGGATTTTAACAGGGAGGTGAGTCAAGTTCTTATGGTGAACTCCAAATATTTCAGAAATAGAGTCCTCTAATGTCAGTTCATTTATACATATGTAACACTGTGATGGTTAATATTGAGTATCAACTTGATTGGATTGAAGGATGCAAAGTATTGTTCTGGGGTGTGTCTCTAAGGGTGTTGCCAAAGGAAATTAACATTTGAGTCAGTGGACCGGGAAAGGCAGACTCACCCTCAATCTGGGTGGGCACCATCTAATCAGCTACCAGCACGGCTAGAATAAAGCAGGCAGAAGAAGGTGGAAAGACTTGACTTGCTGAGTCTTCTGGCCTTCCTCTTTCTCCCATGCTGGATGCTTCCTGCCCTCGAATATCAGACTCCAAGTTCTTCAGCTTTTGGACTCTTGGACTTAACACCAGTGATTTGCCAGGGGCTCTCAGGCCTTTGGCCACAGACTGAAGGCTGCACTGTCACCCTCCCTGCTTTTTAGGTTTTGGGACTTGGGCTGGCTTCTTTGCTCTTCAGCTTGCAAATGGCCTATCGTGGGACTTCACCTTGTGATCATGTGAGTCAATTCTTCTAATAAACTCCCCTTCATTTATACATATATCCTATTAGTTCTGTCCCTTTAGAGAATCCTAATAAACACATGGAATGAATTTATTTCTCCAAACTGCTGTCAATTATGCTCTATCAAATTCCCTTTTCCTACTGCATGGTGGGTTTCCTTGACCATGTGTCAGCCTGACTCCAGTCAGGAAATGTATGGAAATGTAGCCCAGTCAGCATCTCAATCATCTCAATCTCCAGTTCAGCAGCTCTCTCCCCTCACTCTAGATCAGGTTAGCCATATTCTCCATCACTCCTCTCCATCTTCACTGTCTTCACCTTCTCCCTTTCCTGCTCCTCTGCTATCAGTGCAGGTAGGAGGAGAAGGAGAAAAGACGGTTCCTCAGGTGGCTGCCCAGGGCATGCCGGGTGCCCTGTTTCTGGTTGGTTGCGATGCTCCCCTTAACCTGAAGAGTTGGGGATGGAGGTGGTCAGTGGGGGCATTCAGGTCCTGTATCCTTTCTCTTAGTCAGCACAGCTGATCTAATTCATGGAATCCTTGTACCCTGGGTGTGGACAGGTGGAGGGTACAAGTGGCCCTGACAGTGTGGACACATCCAAAATAGCACTCCTAAGCAATGGCAATCTCTTTCAAACCTTTTCAATCACCACCCAGGGGAAGGCAAAAAGCCACACTTTTGTGACTGCACATGCCCTTCCCCCCCTCCCTATAATGGCCCCCCAGCATTTCTGCAGCCCTCAGTCACATCTACCACCCTTGTGAGTGTGGGTACTGATAAGATCTATCTTCAGTATTTCTTGGGAACATTACTCTCTCCACTTGGTCACACTACTTGCCATTCTCCCCAGGGCGCTTCCTAGACTACAAGGCCTAGGTGCAGGAGAGCGAGCCCTGACTCCGCAGGCCTCCGACAGGAGATGTAGAGGATAGATCCCCTTCTTTCTTGCACTATCAGCAATTCTCTGGGCAAACACCCAACTCTTCACAAGCCCCACAGGTAGAAGAGGGCAGCTAGCTTCTCTTTTATAAGCACTGCCCTCTACTAGGGGGTTATTTCTTCCTGCACAGACCTGAGAACCAAGTTGGAGTGTGTGTTATTGGGGAAGGGGTCTGCTGGCAGTTGCTGAGATGACCCGTCTCCACAAGCCCATAGGGAAGTAGGTGTTGTTCTTTCAACTTACGGGCTGGTTATTTAGCAGTTCTTGTTTTCAGCTAAGGGTAGCATAATCAATCCCAGGAAAAACAAGAATGGACTCCTTTAGCATCTTTGCTCTTTCTGGGGGTTCAGGATCCCTATACTCTTTTTCTCTATCTGCTCAGTACCATCCTTTTGGTAAGATCCCCTCAGTGACTTGTCTCCAATTCTAGTTCTGCTTCTGATACAGGTTTCTCTGACACCCTGTTTGCAGTGTTTTTAGATGGCTTTTTTTTTTTTTTTTTTTGAGTTGGAGTCTCTGCCTGTGGCCCAGGCTGGAGTGCAGTGGCGTGATCTTGGCTCACTACAACCTCTGCCTCCTAGGTTCAAGCAATTCTCTGCCTCAGCCCCCTGAGTAGCTAGGATTAGAGGTGCCCGCCACCATACCCAGCTAATTTTTGTATTTTTACTAGAGATGGGGTTTCACCATCTTGGCCAGGCTGGTCTTGAACTCCTGACCTCGTGATCCACCTGCCTTGTCCTCCCAAAGTGCTGGGATTACAGGCGTGAGCCACCGCGCCCAGCTTAGATGGCTTCTGCATAGTATGATGGCAGATCAAATAAACGACTCACTTATCACAGTTATTTAGATACTGTAAACATACATATAAACAAGGATGGGCAGCCTCTGTATTATTTCTTGTGACTCCCATCTCCAACTAGATTTTCAGTCTCCACGCTTTTCTTTTTTTCTACCACAATTCTTAATAATCATTCCCCATGTGATTTACTTCAATGATCTACTACTAGATGATCTCAGAAAGTCAGTCTAATATGTGCCTAAAACCATGTCCTAGTGTTCTGGATAAATAGCAAGTACAAAGAGCCTGTTCTCTTTGAGTTGAAATCTTGAGTATGGTTTCTCAGTGATTACTAGAACTAATGTGGACCTATCTTAACTGGTTATGGTGTAAGTTCAAAAGCTGCCAAATTTTATTATTCTTTTATGTCTGAGATATGCTTCAAGAGGCTCTGACTTTTTGTGACAATAATTATTTGAAATCGACACTATATTTTGAAAAGTAAATTTCCAGTTGCTCAAGGGCTTTGAACTTGCAAACTTAAATTTTCCTTGTCAGTTATTTTAAGCTGTCATTTGAAAGTGTAAATGCTTATTCTACCTGGGTACAAGTGTGGTGGGTTTTCTTCCAAGTTGTACTAACAAAGGTCACAAGCATAGCCACACCCTACAAGGCCTCTCACTTTATTTGCAGAACACTAGGAATACTTCAAATGTCATAAGAAGGTCTTTGAAAATCTAAGTGACCTCCGTAGGTTCTAATTCCAAGTCTGTGAATTTGCAAACACACTACAGAACACGACAGCAAAGAGGTGAACACGCTGCGTTTTCCAGAAAACCACTGGAAATAATCTGAAACTTGAAATCAATGCCAAATGAAGATAATGAAAGTGCTTTATCAGTATTTGTTTAAGGTCAAAACTTGGGATATATTTCATAAAGAACTCAGCATCTCTACAAGCAATTAGTGTTTTGTTAGTCATTTATTAATAAAAGGTAGCATTTTTATTCATTAATATTTTTATTTTCTTCTCCGACTAAATAAAGTAAATAATGCACATGGAGAAACTTAAAACTTCTTTTTTTTTTGCACATCAAAAATTAATTCGCACTAGCACTTTCTTACCTTTCTGTGCACTCACGGTGTAAGCCTAATCTTGCCATCTTGAGCACCAGAAATGCACACTAGCAACTAGGCTTGAGCCAGGGAGATGAGAAAATCGTAAGCGAAGAGCTCTGAGCTTCTATGCAGTGTGTGACCTGGACAAGTCACTCATTACATAACCACTGAGATTCTCTTTCCTCCTTTGCAAAATGGGAATGAAAATATGTCCTCTGCCTACCTCAGAGGTTGAGGTGACAAGCACAAGCACATGAAAGCACTGTGAGAACTCCAAGTGCCCATGAATGCAATTGTTATGTCTGATAGAGGAGACAGAAAGCATTCTCATACCTCATGTATCAAACCTTTGATTATGTCCAGTGGACATACACATCCTGAGAATTAACTCCTGGGGGAAAAGGAATTTGGCAAGCACAGAACAATTGTGACACAAATGATTAATCTGGATTATAACAATAAACCTGTTGGCCAAGTTCTTAAGAGTATGAGTTGCTCATAATGATGGCCTGATGCAGGCTGCCAAGTCTTGCTAGAACATGTGGGCTCTTAGAGACGCCAAACAGGACCCAGAGCCAAGAATGCTCTTACTCAAAGAGGTTTGAGAAAAGCAGGGACAGTTTCCTATCATGCTAAAATGAATCTCTTTTCTCACTGCTCTCCCTCTCTTTGGCAGGAAAAGTTGCAAGAATGGCTAGTAAAGTTCCAAAACTACAATTTCATTTGGTTCCTTTCAACATGGTCTTTGAAGTTTGTTTTGCATAAAACTCCGAAAATGAATGAATAAATGAAGAACAGATTTAAACAGTGGTTCCTCAAGAATGATGCTGCCTCATCTCATTTGCTCTTTAGAAATTCATCAGAAGATCACCTATACCGCTACATGCAATGCTTTCCAAAGGATGGTCCTTGCAACATCAACTCAGAATACTCTTTTAAACTGCAATTTACTGGGCCCCATCTCAGAACTAAGAATCCGAAGGTTTGGTGGGCAGCGAATCTATGTATCTTGAATGAATGGATTTGTTACTAGAAAGGCGTCTGGATCCAGACAAGAGAGGTTCTTGGATCTTGCACAAGAAAGAATTCCAGATGACTCCATAAAGTGAAAGCAAGTTTATTAGGAAAGTAAAGGCATAAAGAATGGCTACTCCATAGGCAGAGCAATGGGGTTGCTCCACCAAAGATACTTATGGTTACTTCTTGATGATATGCTAAACAAGAGGTGGATTATTCATGAGTTTTCTGGGAAAGAGGTGAGCAATTCTCAGAACTGAGGGTTCCTCCCCTTTTTAGACCATATAGGGTAACTTCCTGACATTACCATGGCATTTGTAAATTGTCATGGCACTGGTGGGAGTGTCTTTTAACATGCTATTGCTTTATAATTAGCATATAATGAGCAGGGAGGAATACCAGAGGTCACTCTTGTCACCATCTTGGTTTTGGTGGGTTTTAGTTGGCTTCTTTACCACAACTTGTTTTATCAGCAAGGTCTTTGTGACCTGTATCTTGTGGCGACCTCCTATCTCATCCTGTGAGTAAGAATGCCTAAACTCCTGGGAATCCAGCCGAGCAGGTCTCAGCCTTATTTTACCCAGCCCCTATTCAAGATGGAGTCTCTCTGGTTCAAACATCTCTGACAGACTGATGGACAATAATTCAGTCAGTTTATATGCACTTAACCCCTCCATCTTTCATTCTGCAATCTTAATTACGAATGCCGCATAAGAGATTTAATAGGCCTTGCAAAGCAAAACCAGTGATACAAACATTTTAAAGCATACGTATACTTAGAAATAATGCAAAACATTAGATAGTAAATTCTGACAAGAAAAGCTAATTTGAAAAACAGAAATAGCTTTAGACAAAATTTAGGTCTCCAAGGTAAAGTAAAAAGTTTCCAAGTATTTTTGGAAACTTCATTTCTCCTTTCTCAGTTTCTCTACGATTCCATGCTCCCAACCAAACTTCACAGAGGTCTTTCTCCTCTGTAAGCTATCTTACTTGGCATTAGCCAATTTAAAAAAAAGAACTAGCAATCACATAGGCTGATCACATACAGAAAACCTGCCAAAACTCTGGTTGAAAGTGAAGAATTCAGATATCTAGATATTTTTATTTATCCGTAAATCCATTCATTCAAGATATGCATTACTGAATAATATGTACTGAGGGTAGAAAAATGAGTAAGACATGGCCCGTGCTTTTAAGAAAAATTATTCAAATTTTAGAAATTAAGATCTCATAGGATATTCTTTCAATGCTGGGCATTGCCTAACAAGCCTATAGAAGCATTTTTTAAATCTCTAGAAGAATGTACCTGTGTTTGTGCTGTTTAGTGTTAATTAAGGGCTTAGATGCTGTGAAATTACATGTTAACATATGTTAGTTGCAGAGGCCAGAGATGTTGCTAAACATCCTACAATGTAGAATTCTCCCTACAACAAATAATTCTCTGTCCAAAAAATCAATAGCACTGAAGTTGAGAAACCCTGTTCCAAAGAGATCAAAAGGGAAACCAGGAAACCTTTGCCCTCCTTGGAAAGAGAAGTTTTAGTGGTTTCTGCAGTAGGTTGGTACATGGGATAGAAGTCAGGAAGTGAAGCCTGTGAGAGGACACTGCAGGTTTTTCCCAGTGGAGGTTGTTAAATAAGGAAGTCCTAAAATGAGAGGGGAGCCAGGGTTAGTGGAAGTTTCTTTTAGGAATGATAATTGGTGGTACCAAAGTATTTTAAAATGTTTGAATCAACTGAAGTTTTTATTTTTCATTTGGATGTTAGATGCCTTCGAAACTTTCATCTAAGCCATGTTAACAGTGTGTTATCTTGATGAAAGATCTTTACAGTTTCTGCTTCTTTAAAAGGGGAGAAAATAATGCTGCCTATTTATGGCCACATCTCATGATCGCACAGATTTAGCAAAGGAAAATACCCAAAGCGCCTTGATGTCTAATGTTGGATTCTCACCGTTAAATATTTTATGAAAATCTTTTGATCTTTTGTAATGTCACTCTGTAATCTTACTGCATTTCTGTAGGTAAATATCTGAATTATTCAAATTAGTTTATTAACAGTCTTTCATTTGTTAAATACAGATACTCCTTGAGTTATGCTTCTTGTACAATGAGTGACTGGCTGCTCATTATGTCTCAAAGAAAGGTTCCTCTCAGCACCCTTTTGTTTGAGAAAGGGGGGGTTTATGATACTAGGAGAAGTAAATGTGAAGTCATTACTGTCAGAATTGTCTTTTTTGTTGTTGTTTCCTTAAGAAGTTGTTTCTTAAGGGTTGCTTTGCCTCATGTGAGAAAGCCAGAGAGTGCTGTGGCAGAATGGGTCATTCTCTTCTTGTTGGAAGCCTGGCAGAGCCTGTGGCTGGTGGTAGGAAGGATTCTTTTTGCTCTAGCTGGTAAGTGGATGTCATAGCTGGAGGGCGGGGATTTTCTGATCATTTGACATTGGACAGTTATCAGCTGCAGCAGTTGGCGGGGACAAGTTCAGTCTTTTGTTTTGTAAGTGGAAGCAGCCAAGGCCATAGCAACAGATAACTGATTTCCTGACATCAGCAGGTCTAAGTTAGAAGTCAGTGCCAAACCATACTGTATGTTATCACATAGGGTATAAAGGGTTTTATGGGTTTCTCACAGAAATTAACCACCATTTATAGCATAATTTTCATGATATGTCCCATGTCCCAAACAATCAAATTAAAATTATTTTGGATCACAATCCATATGGGTTTGTTACTCTCTTTAGTCTGGATTTCTTCTAAAATCATTACAGTAGTGTTTCAGTTTTCATCTTCTTCTAGACTGTCTTCTCTGAGAGTCCAAATATGTGTCTTAATAATGATAGGAGTATAATTTTTATAAAATGCAAAAAGTTCTAACAACGGTTGGTTAATTAATGTGTCTCTATTGCAATATATGAGAGTAGATTCTCTCTGTTTATTTATTTGTATGCCCAGGGGCTCTGTCTACTGAACAATTTCTTGAAAAGGGTCTGCTCCGAAAGGGAAAATCACTTTCCTTTGTATAGTCTGAAGACAGTAAGTCTGGAAAACTGCTAACCCCAATTTTTCCCAGCAGAATATTGTATAAAATCCACTTACCACCCAAGTCCAAAATGAAATTTTTTTCCAATTATTATATGTAATTAAGCATATCCAGTTATTTTAACTTTTTGTACACGTGTTAACAACATTTTGTCTGATGATGATGAATATTCACCTTTATTTTTAATTAGCGCCAGTGAAACTGACCTTAGCTTGTGAAGTTGATGTATATACTGTCAACAGTGTCCCTGAACATCATCTCCCAGGATGAAGAAAGAATGCAGAGGGAGGGGCAAAACCACTCTTCCTCTGAATCTGTCAAGTTCCACTTTGGATTGTATCCAAGGCTGTGCTTTATTTACAAAGGCCATGGAAAATCAGTGGAGGAATGTGACTTAAAAAATCTTCCACAATTTTTAAAGAAACGTCATTCTTTTCTTGAATCATCACCGAAATACTGCGGAAAACCACTGAGCAAGGTTAGTACATGCCTTTTTGAAAATGACTTTTTTCATGGAACAAAAACTTAATGTTTCTAATGAAATAGAAAGTTTCTAATAAGAATTCTATATCTTAATTAGGTATGTATACTTTTAATAAATTGATTCAACATTGAACTGCTAAGTAGCATAACATAAATATCGTTGTTAATTTTTCTTTCATACATATCTTCCTAAAATACCATTTTTAATTTGTTCAGTATAGGAGTATTAGGCCAACCATTTTATTGGATTTAAGTGATTAATAATTTATTGCACTAATCACTTAGTCTATGGAAATATTTAATAAGCTTATCCTAATGCTTTTTTCAGATAAAACATTTTTACCTTAGAAAGTCCAAGTTAGTTTCTTTTCAGAAATTTTTTTTGTAATTTTCCTGTGTTCTAGAGACTGCCTAATTTTTTTAAAACTACATCAGACATAGTATTATATTCCTCTTTTCCCCAAATTCTATTCCTAGCCTAACCTGAATATCATAAACACAAAGTAATTTTATACTCTGTGGATTAGAGGTTGTGGTAAACTGCAGAAAACCCCCCATGGGGCAAATGATCAGATTTGAGAATTCAGTTTCTCCTCTAACAGAAGCAGTGAAAGCTGAACCCTAAATAACTGAAGTGGGGGATACAAATGATGTAATATCACATTAGAAGGGCTATGATGTTCTTGTAAATGGTGCTATGAAGAGTCCCTTCAAGTGTTCTATCAAAGGCAGGGTCTGGGGGTCCAAGATGGGCTGGGTTAAGAGAAAAGGCTCTCAGACAAAGTTAAGTTTGATATTTGTCTCTAAAACTGACTATGTGGCCTGGGACAAGTTTCTTCACCTCTTGAAGCCTTGGTTTCCTCACCTGTATGTTATTTACTTCATTAGATTGTTGGGAAAATGGAATAAGATAATTCATATAAAGAACGAAGCTTGAAAACTGTGTAGAAGACTCAATAAATGTTCCTGCTGTACCTGTTGCTGCTGCCCTTTGCTCCTCCTCGTTTACAAATGATTCGGGGAACTCAGAGCTTCGGTTACACCTGGGGGACTTCTTCCTCTGCCCCTGCTCTTTGCCTGTGCGCTTCTCCCTCTCTAAATCCCTCTCTCTCAATGGTTAGGGTGTTCTTAATTTAAAAGTTTTTCCCCAGCTATTTGCAGTAAAATATTTCCTTAACCCTTTCCTTAAAATACTTTCTTAAAACCAGCCTGGAAATGAAGGTTGATTCTGCTCTTTGAAGCGGGGGTTGGGGATTTCATAGTGGTACTAATTATACCTGCAGCTCAGCCTTCAGTTTACAAATTAAGAAATTCAGCTTGTAAGTTTGATAAGATTTGGAAATAACAACAAGGAACTAGAAAATGAATAGTTAACTATATAGCATATTGGTAACTGTTAAAGGGTTAAAACTAACTTTGTCATTCAATTGCTTCCTGGAAATAAAACCACTCAAATAAAACCTAAAAAAAAAAAAAAATTGACACTCCCATCTCACATTACTATAATGAAGGACTATACATTTCCTCATGCTTTTCCCTCAAATGTACATACTACTTTCAAATAGTTATCTAATATAGAGGGTGTGCACCATGCCAGGTTCCCAAGATACAAAGATAAATGCTACCATCCTTGAAGATGTTCACAGCCTCACAAACACACAGTCACTGGCAAGCAGTAATTATATAGTGTACACCAGAGAGGTTTGCTGTAAGCTAGCAGGGAGGCATTTTGTATTCATTGAAACTCCTGGTCCTTCCATAAGTTTTGATGGGGCATGGATGAATACTTCTTATGGGGAAGGAGAGAGTGTGTAGCTTCTCAAGGGAAAGAGGTTGAAGTGGTTGAATTGGTTTTGGACGGGTGGCAAGCAACAGGATATTCCAGGCACAAGGAACAGGATAAAAAGGATACAGCTTGTGGAGAGACGATCAGTAGCTTAGCTAGTGCTGAAGTGTAGAATGATGTCTGGTGGAAGTAGCGGAGAAAAGCTGGAAAAGTAGGTTGGGGCAAATCGTGAAGGGTCTGTACCCACTCCTCCCAAATGATTGTCATGCCGTACTGGTTTGATGAATAACAGCAACTCTGAGATTCTTAGTATGTTCTGGTTTTTCCTTCAGATATTCCTTTTAGACTGACATTCCTAGTAGTGGGGAGGGGAATCATTTCTGCTTTTTTATGTCACCCCTGCAACAGTACCTGGCAAAGATAGCGCCTGTCTTTGCTATTTAGTTACAGCTTTGCCAAGGTCAATGGTTGTCACTGTCCCTGAGTTTCTACCTTTCAGATAATTTTTACTCATCAAGGAATAGAAACAAATGTATTGGAAAGGAGCAAGTGTGACATAGTCTATGTCCTGAACCTGAAGATCAAGTCAGTATCAGCTGCCATCTTCCTCTTGGAATAGACTGGTAAGGCCTTGTTCACAGCCCATACGTCACATTTTTATTGAAAGCCTCTTCTGTGCAATGTGCTGGGGATGCAGCAGTGAACAACTCAGTGGGCTCCTGGAAAAGCTTAAATTTTGTTTTAAATACTGAAAAGCTCCTTTTAAGTATTAGCGAAGAGACAGTCATGTTTCTTTGGTATCTAAATCTTGTTAAAAGAGAAAATTGTTTTGCATGATCGGTTTATATCATATTGTATTCTAGTTAAATAAAGCTAGCATTATATTGCAAGATTGCTGCAAACCATAATAAATAGGAGTGAAGTGGGTTTGTAGAAGGTAATATTTTACTAGTTCCAAATCTGAGAGGTTAAAGATTAATCTGCTCTTTTTCCAAATACAACTTAGGTTTTTGCTCTTGTTTTTTGAGACAGAGTCTCATTCTGTCCCAGACTGGTGAGCAGTGGCCCGATCTCGGCTCACTGCAACTTCTGCCTCTGAGGTTTAAGCAATTCTCATGCCTTAACCTCCCGAGCAGCTGGGACTACAGAAGTGCGCCACCACACTCGGCTAATTTTTGTATTTTTAGTAGAGATGGTGTTTCATCATATTGGCCAGGCTGGTCACGAACTCCTGGCCTCAAGTGATCCGTCCGCCTCAGCCTCTCAAAGTGCTGGGCTTACAGTCGTGAGCCACTGCGCCCTGCTACAAATTACTTTTAATAAAATGACCATGGCCAGGCTTACTTATTCTTCAATGCGGCTTGCCTGAAGCTCAAAAAATCATCTTAAAGAGCCTATAGAATCCCTGAATCCCTATCCGTAAACAGTAGTATATGGATTGCAAAACAAGCCTTCTGGATTCTTCATGGCTTTATGGGTGTTGTCTGCTGTTGCTGTTTTGAGAAAGAGTGTACCCATTTTTAATTCTGCTCAATATATTGGTGGGAAGTTTAGAGATTAATGTTATGCAAACCTAAGCTTGAGGCAGTAATACTCAAGGTGCGGACAATACAGAAGCAGTGTATGTACTGTTTTGTTTTTGTTTTTGAGACGCTCTATCACCCAGGCTGGAGTGCGGTGGCGCGATCTCGCCTCACTGCAACCTCTGCCTCCGGGTTCAAACGATTCTCCTGCCTCATCCTCCCAAGTAGCTGGGATTACAGGCGTCCACCACCACGCCCGGCTAATTTTTTGTATTTTTAGTAGAGACAGGGGTTTCGCCACGTTGGCCATACTGGTCTCGAATTCCTGACCTCAGGTGATCCGCCTGCCTCAGCCTCCCAAAGTGCTGGGATTACAGGCGTGACCCACCGCGCCCGGCCCAGTTTTTAAGAGCGTATTTAGCAGAATTAGTTTCATTATACAAACCACAGAAAGCTGGGTAAAACCTTAAATGTCAGGCATCTGAAAAAACAGCGGCTTTCATCTAAAGGCAACTCGGAATGGCGGGGAGAAGGAAGAGGCTGTCAAAATTGCTCATTAAAAGAAAACGTGAGATAAAGCTATGAACACGGGGCTGCAGATATCAGTAATTAGTGCAAGGCGTCTGCCTTTAATTCAGTCGTGAGGAGTAAAGTGCAAGGTTGTGCCTAGAAAGGGCACAGAAAAAGGTTTAACTAGGGGAGAGGGAGTGGGTTTGAGAGCCGGAACGAAGCGAGCTGGCGGTGGGCGTGCGGAGTGGCAGCAACGCGAGAGGGAACGCGCTGGGGCTAGCGCGGAGGCCCAGAGCCCAGGCGGGGGAAAAGGTGCCGACCGGCTTCGAAGGGAGGCGACGGCCGAGACACACGGTCCGGCGCGAGCCAGGCGCCCCGCGACGTGCAATTTTATTTTGCAAAAGGTGCACCCAACGCCAGTCCCGGTAGAGTTGAACCCACCACGAGAGGGAGAGGGGGCGGGAGCGGGGGGCCGAGCGGCCGCGGGCTCCTCCCCCGGCGCCTCCGCTATCTGGGTCAGGACGCGACGGCCGCGGCGCGGGACCTTAGGACCCGCGGGCTCCAGGGCTACTGTCCGTCCGCCACTGCGCGCCAGCAGGTCCTGGTCTCCGCTCTCCAACAGCTGAAAGGCCGGCGCAGTGAACACAGGTGCGTGCGCAGTCTGGGAGGGGGCTGCTCAGCCGCTGGGGGCCGGACCGCGCCGGGGACTTGCGGAGGGAAGCGGAAATACTTGCGGTGGGGGCGACTGCACTTCCGGGTCGGTGTGTCCCTGGCGAAGCTTGAGCCTGCTAGCCAGCGGTGCTCTGCGTTCCCGGGGCTGGAGCAGCGGCCCATAGTGGCTTCCCGGGTTCATCCCTCGCTGACCCTGCGCCACGGAAGCCCTAGCCCCGGAGGTCGCTGGTATTTCCTCGCACGCGGACCCTTCTGGGGTGCGTGGGGAACAGGCAGTTTGCTGCCTCGGCCCGGCTGGTCCCTGCAAACCCCAAAGAATTTCAACAGAGACACTTGCTGGGCTCTCGCTCGGCTTTCAGCCTTGCGCAAACATTTTGTTTTTGTTTGTGTGGGGTTTTTTTTGCTCTCAGACTCCGTCTGTGCCTATTTCACACAAAAACGAAGGCCGGATTATCAGTGCTGCCAACATAGGGGAATGAGGCAAACACTTGGGAGCCCTAAATTTAAAATAAATTATAAAATACAAAAAAACCATGAAAACCTGATGAAATGAACAATAGAATTCACTTCGAAAGTACCAGGTTTTCCAGGACGCTGTAGGAAATCTGATCACTAGTTCAAGGTCTCAGTGCAATTCTCTTAGGAAACTTAAACCTCGGGCTTTTTTGTAATGTCTCTTTATCCTTGCAAAATTTGTCATACCTTCCCCGAGTTTATTAGAGTTATGCATTTTATATTTTTCTCCTCTAAGGGTCTGCTGATGAAGTTAATGAATATCTGTGCTAGATTTATGGTGAAAGCATTATAATTAATTTAGTAAAGCATAATTTCTACATCAAAAAATTAATTTTAAATAAAACTAGAACATGGAAATGAAATGTTTCTTCAGACATTTCTTCAGAAAACATTTCATATTCTATTTTCTTTAGAGTCAACATTTTGATGTCATTTTAGAATACTTGATTCTCATCTCAACCTTTAATATTACACAATAATACACATTAATTAAGTGCCATAATCTATATTAAAATGTCATTTTCCATTGTTATTTACTAGCACCTTACAAATTGAAACGTAACATAATACTTTGTATCTGATTATTAAAATATTAGAGTTTTAAAATCTGTTTGGTAAAGTTTTTAATTACTATATTTTTTTATACTACAAGTGTATACTATTAACATAATTAGAAGTATGAAAGCTAACAAGGCTGGAGGCAGTGGCCCATGCTGCTTATCCCAGCACTTTGAGAGGTGGAGGCAGGATTGCTTGGGCCCAGGAGTTCGGGACCAGCCTAGCAACATAGGGAGACTCACTCTCTACAAGTAATGTAAAAATTAGCCGGGCGTGGTTGCCCACGCTTGTGGTCCTAGCTACTAGGGAGGCTGAGGCAGGAGGATGACTTGAGCCCAAGTGGTCGAGGCTACAGTGAGCAGTG
Organism: Homo sapiens; assembly: GCF_000001405.40. Lineage (NCBI taxonomy): Eukaryota > Metazoa > Chordata > Mammalia > Primates > Hominidae > Homo > Homo sapiens. The sequence continues at coordinate 37,926,888 of NC_000002.12, forward strand.
ATTGTACCACTGCACTCCAGCCTAGGTGACAGAGCGAGACTCTAAAAAAAAAAAGCTATGTAAATGACTTCATACAACCTTTGAAATTATTCTGAAGGCAAGCAAGTACTCTGATGTATTTTGTACATTATTTTTAATGTGTCATTTTTCAAATTATCAGTGTTGAAGCACATTTGTTTTATGCTGTTATAAAACTCAAACATAGCTTGAACTGTTAGTCTTTAATTGTGTTTGTTTAAAACATCAGCTCCGTTGATTCTATTTTTTTCTAGTTAATTTTTGTGGTTCTGAAATAATATTTCAGCTTTGAGCATCTCTGTTCAGTCAGTACTCTCCTTCACCTCCTTGTTGATGCTTTCCAAATCTCCCACATGTTGTGGGTGCATCCAAGAGTTAGGAACAGGTTGTCAAAGGTGACAGTTTTCACTTCCCAGTTGGGTGATCACTGGGTAAGTGACTTGACACCTGTGTGCCTCAGTTCACTTATCTGCAAAATAATAATAGGACCTGCATGGAAGAGATGATTTGGAATTGGTGCAGTTCCTAAAGAAAGGGCCAAGCAAAATAAGACTTTCCCACCTGCTGAAACCTGGTCCTGTCTCAAGAATAAGTTCTCCTTCCTAGGTAGATTTTTACTTCTACTTATTTGCTTATTAAATGAAAATATTTTCAAACTAGGCTATATTTCTTAATGTAAAAGTCCAAGGTATGGGCAAAAGAAAGCAATCAGAATAGGAAGATTTCCTTTAATAGACCTCTATATCAGCGAATGGACATCCTGCCTGAATAATTTTATTGACAAAAATAAAGATGATTAAACTTGATGTGTGAATATTAGCTGGAATGCAGTTGTAATTAATGGGCATAGAGTGACTTATTTTTTTGCAATAAGCTTTCAAGATAATTTAGTTTTGTGATACAATTTTTTTGTAGAATACATTTACACATCTAGCAATAATTAGCTACAATTTCAGCTGAAGTTACAAATTGATTGGAATCTGTTGCTGGCATGTCTCCTGGATGAGCTGGGAGTGGGCAGATGGTTATAGTTCCCAGTTATACCAATTAGGTGAAAAAAAATTTTTTTAAGTTAATTCCAGGCAAATTTCTGTGAGGTAAAGCAGGCCAGATTAAGTACCAAGGCTTTCTCTGGAATCTTTGGTTTAAAAGAAGGAATTCTTAAATCTCTTGGATATAATATTCACTAACACCTGAGGTAATTTCTGGAAGATTATTTTAAAGTCAGTCCTTCTCTTTGACACTTAGGCCTGTAATGAAGTGTAGAACATCCAAACAGGATACTTTCTGTGTTCCAGGCATATACTCTAGTGAAATAGGAATCCAAAGACGTTCTTATTTTAAGCAGGCTTTTCAGAAATAGATTATGGCTGCTTGTTCTCTCAGACCCTCTTCCATAGGGCATTTGCGAGCCCAGAAATCCTAACCAGTAGACCACCAAGGAAGCATTTGAAACATTACATTTAGTTGGCCATTTGAAGTGTAAGAAACAATGCTTGGTAGAATATGTGGAATCACAGGATATAAAGCAGAGGATGGTGAATTTCGGGTATACAACCTAATTCAGAATTTTCATCTTACTGATATTTTTTCCCCAATTCACACTCCCAGCTATTTACTTTGCTTCCTATCTTCACTTCCTATCTTAGAACAGTGAAGCAATCAAAGAGAGCTTGCATAACCTCCCACCACTGCATCTACCCACCTATTTAAATCTCTGCTCACATAATCTGCCTTTTATGACTATGAATGAATGGTTTATGTTCCCATCAAAGGTCAACTCCTGTGCTTGTGCGATAGAGCCCACCTCCTTTGCCTTCTCAAGTTTATTGCTATGCAGTTTTCTATATGTCTACTTCATCAATTTTTCTTTTCTTTTTATGGACTCTTTTCTGTTGGCAAAAAAAACCTGTTATTTCTTGATCTTTTGGCACCATTTTCGCACTTAATAATGGCGTAATTTCTCTTCTATTTGTTTTCTATTTGCCCATCTGTTCTTTTTTCTCCTTTTCCTGCCTTCTTTTGGACCAAGTGAGTATCTTTAGTGTTCCATTTTTATCTCTATTATTGTCTTGATATGTATTGCCTGGGGTTTTTTTGTTTGTTTGTTTTTTAGTGGTTATTCTAGGGTTTACAGCTATGCATCTTTAACTTAATATGATAATTCTTCATTGTAATCTAAGACTCTTACAACAGTATACTTCCATTTGTCCTTTCCCACCCTTTGGGCTATTGTCCTACTTTTTGTAAATCCTGTGATGTAAACTTGGCTTTTGTTGATTGAAAAAGCACCTATATTTTTGTCTTGGACAAAGACATAAACAACATTCATTTACATTTATGTTTTTAATTTTAGAAACGAAAACCAAGAAATGCCTTATTCCACAAACAAAGAGTTGATACTTGGCATCATGGTGGGCACTGCTGGAATCAGCTTGCTGCTCTTGTGGTACCACAAGGTCCGTAAACCAGGGATAGCAATGAAGTTACCTGAATTTCTTTCTCTGGGTAATACATTTAATTCAATAACTTTGCAAGATGAAATACATGATGACCAAGGAACAACAGTAATCTTTCAAGAAAGGCAACTTCAGATACTGGAGAAGTTAAACGAATTACTGACAAATATGGAAGAACTCAAAGAGGAAATCAGATTTCTTAAAGAAGCTATTCCAAAGCTGGAGGAATATATACAAGATGAACTTGGAGGGAAAATAACTGTTCATAAGATAAGCCCTCAGCACAGAGCGAGAAAAAGAAGACTCCCCACAATTCAAAGTTCAGCAACAAGTAATAGTTCAGAGGAAGCAGAAAGTGAAGGAGGGTAAGTTTCTTTAAGATATTTCCTATGTTGAATTGGTTATTATCATTATTACTATTATTTAGGTATTTTCATTATGGGTTCCAGTCATATATCCTGCTGCTCACATAAAATGAAAAGGAGTGATATTTTGACTTAGATTATAATTAAAGTCATATTCAGTAGTCAGTATTTAAGCTAGTTTAGACCATATTGACAAAAGGAATATAAAAAACTTACTGGTAGCAGGTGGTATTATGTGAATATTGAGGAAGGCAGTAATTACTTGCCAAAGTGTATAACCTACTGTTTTAATGTAGCCACTCTGACTCCTTCTGAGAATTCTCTAGACCACTCCTGTTCAAAAGAACTTTCCGCAGTGATGGAAATGGTCCAAGTCTGTGCTGCCCAATGTGGTAGCCACTAGCCCCCTCTGGCCACAAAGCACATGAAATGTGGCTAATGCAACTGAGGAACTGAATTTTCCTTTTATGTCATTGAAGTTGTAATTTTATTTAATTGTAATTAAATTTAAATAGCCACTTGGGCTACTGGCTACTGAATTTTAGTGCAGGTCAAAAAAGACTTGAGAGTATATAGGTGACTCTGTCTCATCTTTGCATGGGTTAATCCAGTGGCTAGGTCTCTTTTCTTTTCTTTTTTTCCTTGCAGAAACCCTCAGCTCACCCGAGGGCCAATGGAAATTTATTAATTTTTTTGTCCTTTTCCATCCTTCCCCAAGTGGCTTTTCCTTGCAAAATGCCTGACATGACACCAGAGGGGAACCTGGGAGCGAGGGGCACCCCAAGGGGCAGCCCAGGGACTTAAATACAAGCTGGAGGGCAGGGCGCAGGTGGGACAGGCAAGAGACAGCACGAGGGACATGGCTTCTCAGGGAGACCAAAGACTTACTTTCTTGCAGGAAGCAGCCGTGCCAGAGGGCAGGGGACTAGGATCCTGGGTGCAGAGTGGGTGAGCAGAGAGGCCCCCAACCCTGGATGGAACCCACATTCCCCAAAGAAGTAGCAGCAGGGGATGAGGGCCTTCCCTGGTGGACTCCAGAGACAGAGGGGAGAGTGAGCCAGATGTGCTGCCTCAGGGAAAGGGAGGAGGTGCTAGCAGAGTGAGGGTTAAGGCTGGTGCCCAGCCTCTGGCACGGTGGGCCTTCCGCCTCCGCCTGACATGAGGACAAAGGGGCACAGTGGGCAGGCAGCGCATGGGTCTGTCTCTGGCAGGGCAGAGGGCGGCAGGAGCAGACTCCCTCCAGGCTCAAGACACAGGCCCAGCGCTGCTACCCACCCACCCACCCGCCGACTAGGTCTCTTTTCTGAGTCACAGTTTCAAATGATTTAAGATTATTTTAGATTCCTTCTGAATATTTTCCTTCCCTATTTTAAAACCAGTCAACAACTTTTTGTTGTTGTTCAAGAACACAAATTTTTTAGATCTTCCTAGAGCTATCATTTGTGGCTCTGCCCTATTTGAAAATTATTGAGAGTCATTGTTCTAGTTCATTTACAAATGTAGGAAGATCTAAAAAATTTGTGTGACTCAGAAAAGAGACCTAGTAGTTATTTATTATGGATGTAGAAAACAGCAGATTAGTACTCTAATAATGACAAAAATCCCAGTATAGCATTGAGCATCATTGAGAGTTATCGAAGACAAACCAGGTGGTTATCCTACCTGTATGTAAATCTGTGGTATTTCTTCATCGTGTGTCCTGTGTGCAGTTTTGGCAGTTGCATCTTAGAAAAGACCTAATGGAACTAGGGACTAACCAGAGAAGGTCTGCTAGACTGAGAGGAAAAATGGCAGTTCTGCTGAAGGAGTATAGACCAAAAGGGTGAATGGCCTTCAATCTAAAAGGACACTGGTTAAGTTGAGCTTAGGCTTATTCAAGAAGTTCTGAAATTCTAGAAAAAGAGGCAAACTTTGATAAGTTTAGGATTCATTTAGGACAAGTAAAAAGAAGATAATTATGGGACTTAATGAATTTCAAGTAATGGTGTAGGCACAGATGTTTTATGTGGGTTCAAGAAGGATTTGTGAAATTTATGAATGACAGTAACATACAGCTAGTTGGAAAAACTAGACACGTCAAAACTTCAAGACTGATGTCAGGAGAGACATTCCCTCCTCTTGCTTGATCCTGGGTGCCTTTGTTAGCAATAAAATACTAGAGTAGATGCAATACATCCCCAGTGCCTTGGACTACAGCAAATGGCACTCAGTAAAGAAGGGGAGAAGCTTTTTCCTGTTTAGCTCTCCTTTAGAAAAATAAACAAAAGCAGACAAACAGTTTGGATTTTTTTGAGAAAGGAATAAGATACAAAAAATTTATTTATTTATTTATTTTATTTATTTATTTTTTTAATTGATCATTCTTGGGTGTTTCTCGCAGAGGGGGATTTGGCAGGGTCACAGGACAGTAGTGGAGGGAAGGTCAGCAGATAAACAAGTGAACAAAGGTCTCTGGTTTTCCTAGGCAGAGGACCCTGCGGCCTTCCGCAGTGTTTGTGTCCCTGGGTACTTGAGATTAGGGAGTGGTGATGACTCTTAAGGAGCATGCTGCCTTCAAGCATCTGTTTAACAAAGCACATCTTGCACCGCCCTTAATCCATTCAACCCTGGGTGGATACAGCACATGTTTCAGAGAGCACAGGGTTGGGGGTAAGGTCACAGATCAACAGGATCCCAAGGCAGAAGAATTTTTCTTAGTACAGAACAAAATGAAAAGTCTCCCATGTCTACCTCTTTCTACACAGACACGGCAACCATCCGATTTCTCAATCTTTTCCCCACCTTTCCCCCCTTTCTATTCCACAAAACCGCCATTGTCATCATGGCCCATTCTCAATGAGCTGTTGGGTACACCTCCCAGACGGGGTGGTGGCCGGGCAGAGGGGCTCCTCACTTCCCAGTAGGGGCGGCCGGGCAGAGGCGCCCCTCACCTCACGGGGCGGCTGGCCGGGCGGGGGGCTGACCCCCCCCACCTCCCTCCCGGACGGGGCGGCTGGCCGGGCAGAGGGGCTCCTCACTTCCCAGTAGGGGCGGCCGGGCAGAGGCGCCCCTCACCTCCCGGACGGGGCGGCTGGCTGGGCGGGGGGCTGACCCCCCGACCTCCCTCCCGGACGGGGCGGCTGGCCGGGCGGGAGGCTGACCCCCCCACCTCCCTCCCGGACGGGGCGGCTGGCCGGGCGGGGGGCTGACCCCCCCACCTCCCTCCCGGACGAGGTGGCTGCCGGGCGGAGACGCTCCTCACTTCCCAGACGGGGTGGCTGCTGGGTGGAGGGGCTCCTCACTTCTCAGACGGGGCGGCTGCCGGGCGGAGGGACTCCTCACTTCTCAGATGGGGCGGTTGCCAGGCAGAGGGTCTCCTCACTTCTCAGGGCGGCTGGGCAGAGACGCTCCTCACATCCCGGACGGGGCAGCAGGGCAGAGGTGCTCCTCACATCTCAGACGATGGGCGGCCGGGCAGAGATGCTCCTCACTTCCCAGATGTGATGGTGGCCGGGAAGAGGCGCTCCTCACTTCCTAGATGGGATGGCGGCCGGGCAGAGACGCTCCTCACTTTCCAGACTGGGCAGCCAGGCAGAGGGGCTCCTCACATCCCAGACGATGGGCGGCCAGGCGGAGACGCTCCTCACTTCCCAGACGGGGTGGCGGCTGGGCAGAGGCTGCAATCTCGGCACTTTGGGAGGCCAAGGCAGGCGGCTGGGAGGTGGAGGTTGTAGCGAGCCGAGATCACGCCACTGCACCCCAGCCTGGGCACCATTGAGCACTGAGTGAACCAGACTCCGTCTGCAATCCCGGCACCTCGGGAGGCCGAGGCTGGCGGATCGCTCGCGGTTAGGAGCTGGAGACCAGCCCGGCCAACACAGCGAAACCCCGTCTCCACCAAAAAAATACGAAAACCAGTCAGGCGTGGCGGCGTGCGCCTGCAATGGCAGGCACTTGGCAGGCTGAGGCAGGAGAATCAGGCAGGGAGGTTGCAGTGAGCCGAGATGGCAGCAGTACCATCCAGCTTCGGCTCGGCATCAGAGGGAGACCGTGGAAAGAGAGGGAGAGAGAGACCGTGGAAAGGGGAGAGGGAGAGGGAGAGAGGAGTACAAAAAAATTTAGATGTGAAATCTTTCTAAATAAGTATGTAGAAACTCACTTTTTAAATAAATAAAATATTTTTCAGAAACAAGGTTTTTGTAAAGTACATTTGTGTAAATTTTAGACTGCCTGTCCTTTTATAATCTCCTGTGGGACTGAAGACTGGCCATGGGGAGGAAGAGTCATCCCCTCTTTCCCATTTTTAAGGTGGGATGTGCTCTTCATACACAAGTGTCCTTGATAGCAAAAATTAAAATATTAAGTGACAGTTACATGTTCCATATGTAACATTTCTCTTTTGCAATAGGTACCTGAAGATTTTTACTTCTTTTCAAAAAATGGATATCAGCCACAATTTTCTAATACTACTTGTTTCACACAAGAAAGGAAAAATATCTAATTATATCCTTAGTTGTTGACAAAAACTTGAGTGGAGGACTCATGGAATTTGGGTAGATCAGTGGAACATGTTTTCTGTAACCATTATTAGAATCTCTTGTATTCTGTCTCTTAGTACACAAGTATTATGGACCTATGCACTTATGCCTTTTCTGGGGCTCAGCTGATTTTCTGCTGGGTATGGTGGTGATGAACAATGCTCAAATTCTCATAAGGTGGCCCTCAGAGGGGTCTGTTAAGTTTGTGTCTGTGTCCTTTTTAGCACTAGTGTTAACATTTTGGAAAGCATCTTTGCTTCTTGGTAATCACATGTTGTTACTGATTTATTTATTTATATTTTATTTTTTATTTTTTATTTTTTTGTCACTCCGAGGCAGAATCAGCTATGCTGTGGCAGCATCAGTTTCTTTCAGTAAGAATAGTATTCGACCCCAAAAGCTGGGTATATGGGGGAGTACTATTTTTAGGGAGGATGATATCAGAGGCTGGTTGGGTCCCTTTGAGGACACGGTAAAAAATATACTCTTAAGGTCACTAGTTCACATTGATGTTTTCAGTTTCAATTTTAAGTTATTTCTGAAAACTTTTCAGTTCCTTTTATTTTTTTAAGCTTCCTACCTCTCTTTGTCATATTTGACTTACGTTGCTCTATCACTCTATGGGTCTAAAACTATTATTTGAATTACAATATTATATGAAGCTTTAGAAACATCTTTTTAAAGAGTTAACTTTGATTCCAGTTGAAAGTAACAAATTCATTATTCTTTCATTTCACTGTGGGCTTTAGGAAGAATAGATGAGTTTCAAAATTAGACTCAGGGTTGTATAGTGACCATATGGGTCTTTTTTCTTTTCTTCTTGCCCTAGATATTTTCATTTACTGTTAGGTTCATATGATACTCTCATATAGTATCAACAAAAACAGTACTGATTATTCGAAAATAACACAAAACACCACGAATCCACTCCCAGAATACCAGCATAATGTCAGGCATAGTATATATTGCCTTAGATAATATTACTTCGTAGATAATAGAGAATGATGATGAAAGTAAGACCACAGACAGATACAGATTTTTGAGGTTTTATTTGAAACTCTTAACTTTCACTTTCATGAGCCAAAAATATAGACAGTGCTTTTTGTTCATTTGTGTTTTTACTCTTAACATTACTTGCTCCTGTCAGGTCCGTTTTAATGTGGAACTTCAGTTGTTCAAAGCATGGAGATGAACAGAGATTCAGAAGCTCATTGTGTGGTGATTTATATGCCTTGCTGTTATAGTTGTCTAAATTTGCAAAACAAAGTTGTTTTCTACTTCTGATCTTTTAAAAAATGAAACATCACGTATATAATTGAAGTACCCTCTCTACTCCTTTCTGTCAGGGAAACTGTTATCTTGAAGTTGGTGTGCATTCTTCCTTTGAAAGTGTTAATGTTTCTCCTACATGTGCACTTTTATATAAACAAGACATAAATGGTCTTTTCTTCTTAAAATTTACATACATATCATTATATGGCACACACATTTTGTAACATGTTTTGCAATAAATTTTTTTGAGTTTTTTCCATATTGATATGTATATATATAAAATTATTTCATTCTTTTTAAGTGCTATGCTGCATTCCTTTGAATGAATATACCTTAATTTATTTCCCTATTGATGGATGTTTAGGTTATCATGTTTTTGCTCCTTTTTTCTTTTATTAACTTTAAGTTCTGGGATACATGTGCAGAACGTGCAGGTTTGTTAACATAGGTAGACATGTGCCGTGGTGGTTTGCTGCACCTATCAACCCGTCATCTATGTTAGGTAATTGTCCTAATGCTACCCCTCCCCATACTCCCCACCTGCTGACAGTCCCCGGTGTGTGATGTTCCCCTCCCTGTGTCCATGTGTTCTCATTGTTCAACTCCCAGTTATAGTGAGAACATGCAGTGTTTGGTTTTCTGTTCCTGTGTTAGTTTGCTGAGAATGGTGGTTTCCAGCTTCATCCGTGTCCCTGCAAAGGACATGATCTCATTCTTTTTTAGGGATGCATGGTATTCCATAGTGTGTATGTGACACATTTTCTTTATCCAGTCTATAATTGATGGACGGTTGGTTCCAAGTCTTTGCTATTGTGAATAGTGCTGCAATAAACATACGTGTGCGTGTGTCTTTACAGTAGAATGCTTTATGATCCTTTGGGTATATACCCCGTAATGGGATTGCTGGGTCAAATGGTATTTCTAGTTCTAGATCCTTGAGGACTTGCCACACTGTCTTCCAAAATGGTTAAACTAATTTACACTCCCACCAACAGTGTAAAGTGTTCCTGTTTCTCCACATCCTCTCCAACATCTGTTGTTTCCTGACATTTTAATGATCACCATTCTAACTTGTATAAGATGATATCTCATTGTGGTTTTGATTTGCACTTCTCCAATGAACAGTGATGATGAGCTTTTTTTCTTATATTTGTTGGCCACATAAATGTCTTCTTTTGAAAAGTGTCTGTTTATATCCTTTGCCCACTTTTTGATGGGGTTGTTTGCTTTTTTCTTGTAAATTTGTTTAAGTTCCTTGTAGATACTTAATATTAGCCCTTTGTCAGACGAATAGATTGCAAAAATTTTCTCCCATTCTGTAGGGTGCCTGTTCACTCTGATGATACTTTCTTTTGCTGTGCAGGAGCTCTCTAGTTTAATTAGATCCCATTTGTCAATTTTGGCTTTTGCTGCAATTGCTTTTGGTGTTTTAGTCATGAAGTCTTTGCTCATGCCTATGTCCTGAATGATATTGCCCAGGTTTTCTTCTAGGGTTTTTATGGTTTTCAGGTCTTAACGCTTAAGTCTTTAATCCAATCCATCTTGAGTTAATTTTTTGTATCAGGTGTAAGGAAGGGGTCCAGTTTCAGTTTTTTTTTGCATATGGCTAGCCAGTTTTCCCAACACCATTTATTAAACAGGGAATCTTTTCCCTATTGCTGTTTTTGTCAGGTTTGTCAAAGATCAGATGGTTGTAGATGTGTGGTGTTATTTCTGAAGCCTCTGTTCTGTTCCATTGGTCTATATATCTGTTTTGGTACCAGTACCATGCTGTTTTGGTTACTGTAGTATAGTTTGAAGTCAGGTAGCATGATGCCTTCAGCTTGGTTCTTTTTGCTTAGGATTGTCTTGGCTATACAGGTTCCTTTTTGGTTCCATATGAAATTTAAAGTAGCTTTTTTCTAATTCTGTGAAGAAAGTCAATGGTAGCTTCATGGGAATAGCATTGAATCTGTAAATTACTTTGAGGAGTGTGGCCATTTTCACAATATTGATTCTTCCTATCCATGAGCATGGAATGTTTTTCCATTTGTTTGTGTCCTCTCTTGTTTCTTTGAGCAGTGGTTTGTAATTCTCCTTGAAGAGGTCCTTCACATCCCTTCTAAGTTGTATTCCTAGGTATTTTATTCTATCTGTAGCAATTATGAATGGGAGTTTGCTCATGATTTGACTCTCTATTATTGGTTTGTAGGAATGCTTGGAATTTTTGCACAATGATTTTGTATCCTGAGACTTTGCTGAAGTTGCTTATCAGCTTAAGGAGATTTGGGGCTGAGACGATGAGGTTTTCTAAATATACAGTCATGTCATCTGCAAACAGAGATAATTTGACTTCCTCTCTTCATACTTGAATACCCTTTATTTCTTTCTCTTTCCTGATTGCTCTGGGCAGAACTTCCAGTGCTATGTTGAATAGGAGTGGTGAGAGAGGGCATCCTTGTCTTGTGCCGGTTTTTAAAGGAAATGCTTACACCTTTTGCCCATTCAATATGATATTGGCTGTAGTTTTGTCATAAATAGCTTTTATTATTTTCAGATATGTTCCATCAATACCTAGTTTATTGAGTGTTTTTAGCATGAAGGGGTGTTTTGAAGGCCTTTATTGAAGGCCTTTTCTGCATCTATTGAGATAATCGTGTGTTTTTTGTTGTTGGTTCTGTTTATGTGATGGATTATGTTTACTGATTTGTGTATGTTGAACCAGCCTTGCATCCCAGGGATGAAGGCAACTTGATCATGGTGGATAAGCTTTTTGATGTGCTGCTGGATTTGGTTTGCCAGTATTTTATTGAGGATTTTTGCATCAATCTTCATCAGGGATATTGGCCTGAAATTTTCTTTTTTTGTTGTGTCTCTGCCAGGTTTTGGTATCAGGATGATGCTGGCCTCATAAAATGAGTTAGGGAGGAGTCCCTCTTTTTCTGTTGTTTGGAATAGTTTCAGAAGGAATGGTACCGCTCCACTTTGTACCTCTGGTAGAATTCAGCTGTGAATCTGTGTGGAGCTGAGCTTTTTATGGTTGGTAGGCTATTAAGTACTGCCTCAATTTCAGAACTTGTTATTGGTCTATTCGGGGATTTGACTTCTTCCTGGTTTAGTCTTGGGAGGGTGTATGTGTCCAGGAATTTATCCGTTTCTTGTAGATTTTCTAGTTTATTTGTGTAGAGGTGTTTATAGTATTCTTTGATGGTAGTTTGTATTTTTGTGGAATCAGTGGTGATCTCCCCTTTATCATTTTTTTATTTAGTGTCTATTTGAGTCTTCTCTCCTTTCTTCTTTATTAATCTGGCTAGCGGTCTATCTATTTTGTAATCTTTTCAAAACACCAGCTCCTGGATTCACTGATTTTTTGAAGAGTTTTTTGATCTCTATCTCCTTCAGTTCTGCTCTGATCTTAGTTATTTCTCATCTTCTGCTAGGTTGTGAATTTGTTTGCTCTTGCTGCACTAGTTCTTTTAATTGTGGTGTTAGGGTGTCAATTTTAGATCTTTCCTGCTTTCTCCTGTGAGCATTTAGTGCTATAAATTTCCCTCTAATCACTGCTTTAGCTGTGTCCCAGAGATTCTGGTACGTTGCATTTTTGTTCTCGTCGGTTTCAAATAACTTATTTATTCTGCCTTAATTTTGTTATTTACTCAGTAGTCATTCAGGAGCAGGTTGTTCAGTTTCCATGTAATTGTGCAGTTTTGAGTGAGTTTCTTAATCCTGAGTTCTAGTTTGATTCCACTGTGGCCTGAGAGACTGTTATGATTTCCATTCTTTTACATTTGCTGAGGAGTCTTTTACTTCCAATTATGTGGTTGATTTTGGAATAAGTGCGGTGTGGTGCTGAGAAAAATGTATATTCTGTTGATGTGTGGTGGAGAGTTCTATAGATGTCTATTAGGTCCGCTTGGTTCAGAGCTGAGTTCAAGTCCTGAATATCCTTGTTAATTTTCTGTCTCGTTGATTTGTCTAATATTGACAGTGGGGTGTTAAATTCTCCCACTCTTATTGTGTGGGAGTCTAAGTCTCTTTGTATGTCTCTAAGAAATTGCTTTATGAATCTGGGTGCTCTTGTATTGGGTGAGTATATATTTAGGATAGTGAGCTCTTCTTGTTGCATTGATCCCTTTACCATTATGTAATGCCCTTCGTCTTTTTTGATGTATGTTGGTTTAAAGTCTGTTTTATCAGAGACTAGTATTGCAAACCCTGCTTTTTTTAGCTTTCCATTTGCTTTGTAAATCATCTTCCATCCCTTTATTTTGTGCATATGGGTGTCTTTGCATGTGAGATGGGTCCCCTAAATACAGCACACCAATGGGTCTTGACTCTTTATCCAATTTCCAGTCTTTTGATTGGGGCATTTAGCCCATTTACATTTAAGGTTAATATTGTTATGTGTGAATTTGATCCTGTCCTTATGATGCTAGCTGGTTATTTTGCCCATTAGTTGATGCAGTTTCTTCATAGTGTGGATGGTCTTTACATTTTAGTGTGTTTTTGCCGTGTCTGGTACCAGTTTTTCCTTTCCGTATTTAGTGCTTCCTTCAGGAGCTCTTGTAAGGCAGGCCTGGTGGTGACAAAATCCCTCAGCATTTGCTTGTCTGTAAAGGGTTTTATTTCTTCTTCACTTGTGAAGCTTAGTTTGGCTCGATATGAAGTTCTGGGTTGAAAATTCTTTTCTTTAAGAATGTTAAATATTTACCCCCACTCTCTTCTGGCTTGTAGAGTTTGTGCAGAGAGATTTCCTGTTAGTCTGCTGGGCTTCCCTTTGTGGGTAACTCGACCTTTCTCTCTGGCTGTCCTTAATATTTTTTCCTTCACTTCCACCATGGTGAATCTGACAATTATGTGTTTTGGGGTTTCCCTTCTCGAGGAGTAGCTTTGTGGTGTTCTCTGTATTTCCCGAATTTGAATGTTGGCCTGTCTTGCTATGTTGGGGAAGTTCTCCTGGATAGTATCCTGAAGTGTGTTTTCCACCTTGGTTCGATTCTCGCTGTCACTTTCAGGTGCACCAAACAAACACAGGTTTGGTCTTTTCAGATAGTCCCATGTTTCCTGGAGTCTTTGTTCATTCCTTTTCATTCTTTTTTTCTCTAATCTTGTCTTCACGCTTTATTTCGTTAAGTTGATCTTCAATCTCTCATATCCTTTCTTCCACTTGATCAATTTGGCTATTGATACTTGTGTATGCTTCACAAAGTTCTTGTGCTGTGTTTTTCAGCTCCATCAGGTCATGGTCATTTATGTTCTTCTCTAAACTTGTTATTCTCATTAGCAATTTCTCTAACCTTTTATCAAGGTTCTTAGTTTCCTTGCATTGGGTTAAAGCTTGCTCCTTTAGCTCGAAGGAGTTTGTTATTACCCACCTTCTGAAGCCTACTTCTGTCAATTCATCAAACTCATTCTCTGTCCAGTTTTGTTCCCTTGCTGGTGAGGAGTTGCGATCCTTTGGATGAGAAGAGTCATTCTGGTTTTTGGAATTTTCAGCCTATTGGCACTGGTTTTTCCTCATCTTCGTGTATTTATTTACCTTTGGTCTTTGTTGTTGGTGACGTTCTGATGGAGTTTTTGCGTGGTCTTCCTTTTTCTTGATGTTGATGCTGTTGCTTTCTCTTTGTTAGTTTTCCTTCTAACAGTCAGGCCCCTCTTCTGCAGGTCTGCTGGAGTTTGCTGGGAGTCCACTGTAGACCCTGTTTGCCTGGGTATCACCAGTGAAGGCTGCAGAACAGCAAAGATTGCTGGCTGCTCCTTCCTCTGGAAGCTTCATCCCAGAGGGCACCCGCCAGATGTCGACTGGAGCTCTCCTGTGCGAGATGTCTGTTGACCCCTGCTGGGAGGTGTCTCCCTGTCAGGAGGCACAGGGGTCAGGGACCCACTTGAGGAGGCAGTCTGTCCCTTAGCAGAGTTTGAGCACTGTGGTGGGAGATCTGCTGCTCTCTTCAGAGCTGGCAGGCAGGAATATTTAAGTCTGCTGAAGCTGCGCCCACAGCCGCGCCTTCCCCCAGTTGCTCTGTCCCAGGGAAACTGGAGTTTTATGTGTAAGCACCAGACTGAGACTACCGCCTGTCTTTCAGGGATGCCCTGCCCAGAGAGGAGGAATCTAGAGAGGCAGTCTGGCTATAGCTGCTTTGCAGTGCTGCGGTGGGCTCCACTCAGTCTGAACTTCCTGGTGGCTTTGTTTACACCGTGTGGGGAAAACTGCCTACTCACGCCTCAGTAATGGTGGATGCCCCTTCCCCACCATGCTGGAGCATCCCAGGTTGACTTCAGACTGCTGTGCTGTCAGCGAGAATTTCCAGCCAGTGGATCTTAGTTTGCTGGGCTCTGTAGGGGTGGGATCCGCTGAGCTAGGCCACTTTGCTCCCTGGCTTCAGCCCCCTTTCCAGGGGAGTGAGTGGTTCTGTCTCGCTGGTGTTCCAGGTGCCACTGGGGTACCAAAAAAAAAAAAAAAAATTCCTGCAGCTAGCTCGGTATCTGCCCAAACAGCTGCCCACTTTTGTGCTTGAAACCCTGGGCCCTTGTGGTGTAGGCACCCGAGGAAATCTCCTGGTCTGTGGGTTGTGAAGACCGTGGGAAAAGTGTAGTATCTGGGCCAGATATCTCTGTCCCTCATGGCAAGTCCCTCACAGCTCCTCTTGGCTAGGGGAGGGAGTTCTCCGACCCCTTGCACTTCCTGGGTGAGGCGAAATCCCACCCGGCTTCACCTCACCCTCCATAGGCTGCACCCACTGTCTAACCTGTCCCAATGAGATGCACCAGGTACCTCAGTTGGAAATGCAGAAATCACCCTTCTGCGTTGGTCTTGCTGGATGCTGCAGACTGGAGCTGTTTCTATTCGACCATCTTGCCTGGGAATCCTCATGTTTTGTTCTTATAAACAATGCTTTATTGAACACTTTCCTTCATAATTCCTTAGGCATATGTGGAAGAATTTCTTGAAAGTATACATTTGAAGTCCTGAGTTATAGATTAACTATATTATTATTATATGTTACTAAATTATTCCTTAAAGTGTACCAAGTTACCATCCTATGAGCAGTATATGAGAATTCTTATCTTCCCATACAAATTTTTATATTGTCAGACTTTTTCATTTTAGCCAACCTGATGAAGATGAAATCGTAACTAATTATTTTTCAATTTGTATTTCCCTGAAAACCAGTACGATCAAACTTTTCATCATTCATTTGCCATTTAGTCCTCTCCTATGAATTTCCTTTAAAAAAAGAAAAGTCACATTAACATTTGAGGTCCCCTTATTCATTCAGTGTGAGTGTCTACTCTGTGGCAGGCACTGTCTGAACTCTGGAGATCTAGCAGGGAACAAAGCAAAGTCTCACAAGTAAAACAGATTTTTTAAAAGAAAATCTAGCAAGATGGTAAAGAGTGATGCTTTTGGCCTTTTAGGATTCTATTAACTAGAACCCTAACGGCCAAGAAAAAAGCAATAAGTGCCAAGCACCTTTCCATCCTGCAGCCAGATGCTAGACCTTCCTGGGCAGGACTTGCTAAGAGATTGAAGCCACTGCCAGCATGAGCAGCCATCCACATGCCACCCATGAAAGGAACTGCTAAAGGCTGAGAGAAGCATTTCTCCCTGGAAAGCCGTTCGCGTTCTGGGCATCCCACTAGTATGTTTATGAAGCTGGATGCTGTGGGAATGGATGCCATTGCTCAAGCACAATGTGTAGCATGGGAAGAGAGAAGAGAGTGGAGTACAGAACTTTCTGGAACCAGTACTGAAGAAGTGGACAAAGGTGGATAAGCCTGAAAAAGAAGACAGATGACTGGTCAAAGCAATGAGCAGGGAACCAGAGGACCAAGGTGTCACAGAAACCAAGAGAGGACAAGATTTCCAGAATAGTGGTAAAAAGCCACAGGTTTTAGAATCTTTCTGATCCAAGCAGGAATCCCGGTTCAGCCTTTAACTAACCATGTAACTTCACTTCTCCAAACCTCAATTTATTTATCTTAAAATGTGGTTAATAATGCATGTCTCATGTTGTTTTAGATGCTAATGAAAGATGAGATAATAAAGTTGCTTTGCGTTATGTCTAAAATAAATTCTTTTAAAAAATGAATTGTTTTATAAAGTAGAAGGAAATGATCAGATGTATTAAATGTACTAGAACAGGAATTGGCAAACTTTTTCTGTAAGAATTTTAGGTTGTATATTTCATGAATCCTTCATTGCGCTCCATTCTATTATATATGCATTTTTCATGTTAAACTGCAGTTAAACTCCTCCCCTATCCTTCTAAATTAACTTTGCGAAGTTGGAGTGTAGTCTTTTCCCCCTTAGGCTATGTGTTAATTGAGGCTTTTTTTTCACCCTGACTTTATAATTTTTAGTACACAATATTTCTACTCCCCATATCTTTGCTCTGCACGGTCACCTTGCCCCTCCCCCACCACCTAAGAAAAAACGATGGTCATATGGTCATGCCAACAGGTGAAGTGTATAAGGTGTCTGCATATTTTGTGTAACTTCAGAGTTAGATTGAAATTACCAGGCACAGATTTAGGCTTGTCATTTTGTTTACACATAGGGGAAAACAATTCCATTTATTAAACGTTTTGTGTAACTGCACCACCCAAGTTTTGCCAAGCCGAAAACTTGGACCTTTTCTATTTAGTGACTTTTTAGTTTTAGTTTTCATAACCTGGAGATGAGGCCGTTGTTTTTGCATGATGTATGTAGTGTCTCATAACTGGAGTTTGCTTTAGTTTTACAGTATCTGTACTCCTTGGATTTTTCAAGAGTTATTTTATAAACAGGTGATGTATTTCTCATTGAAAACACCATTTAAAAAAACAGCCAATCTCAAAAAAAAAAAAAAAAGAATTTTAGGCTCTGAGGACCATACAGTCTCCGTCTCAAAACTCTGCCATTGTAGTGTGAAAGCAGCCATAGGCAGTATGAGTATGGCTGCATTCCAATAAAACTTTATTTACAAAAACAGGTGGCTGGTAGATTAGGCCCACAGGGTGTAGTTTGCCAACCTCTGAACTAGAAAAATACATTTAATAGTAGCCTTTCACTTCTAATGTGTTTGGTCAAGTAAAATAGGGACTGAACTGTGTTTACCGGATTTGAGACTTAGGAGGTCACTTATTGAGAAGCTTTGCAGGAGAAGTTGCTGGGTAGTGATAAGTACAGAAACCTGATCTAGGCCTGTACAAATGAAAGAGAGGTAAATATGTGGACACCAGAAGAGTAGACACTTATTTCAAGGAACTTGACTTTAGATGGAAGGAGGTTGTGTAATTAAGAAGGGGTATCAGGTCCAGAGAACATATATTTTATGTTTCACTTTTTGTTTTTGTTTTCACCTGAGAGATACTTGAGCGTATTTATGGGCCACAAGGAAGAAGCCAATACAGAGGGCAAGAGTAAAGATGCAGGAAAAGGGCCTTTTTAAAAAATATCAAGAACAAAACAAAGGAAATAACCTATGAAACAAGGTGTCACCTGACCTTTTTAGTAGCAGTACACCTTAGGTATTGGGATAACGTCGAAGAAAGAATAGTATCACTTGCAGACTCTTGGGAAACTTTATTAAGCTCAAGATAGTATCTGGTGACATGGAAACTGACAATATAAAGTAGCATTGCTGCCCCTAATAAAGGAGTAAGTACTAGCTTGAAAAGGTTAAGCTCTTCTCTACATTTTGTTATTTTCCTAATCAGTGTCCCTGTTACCATTAAATCTGTAAATATAATAACCAATAGATTCTTAAGAAAGACAGGAAGAACACATTTGCAGATTCATTCATTTCTAAAACAAATGTTTTCTGAGCAGCCACTATGAACTATACTCTTGTAGATGAGTACAGTGGTAACAAAGCCCTTGCACTCTTAGAGCTTACATGCTATTGGTCATGGATTCCAATTTGGACACATTTGTCTTCGGAAGTCTCATCTTCCTGTGCCTTCTTCAAAACTTGAAGTGTCCAACATCCATTCACTCTACCAGCACATCTACAAATGAATCTGGGTACCCCGATACCTTGGCACCAAGAGTAATACTTAGATTTCTACAAGTCTCTAATGCCTAGTACAAATAGATACAATATATACAAAATCAAAATTACAGATAAGGGAAAGAAAAAGACCCCAGTTCTGTGACTACACAGGTATTACAGAAGAAAATGGAAGTCATCTCCATCAATAATTTTTTCCAGATCCTGTCCTAAATGTTTTATATTTATTATCTCATTTAATATACACATTAACTCTGAGGTTTTAGACACAAGGCAGTGGAGTCTGGGAAAGATTAGGCAACTTACTGGTCAGGGACAGAGTCTATACACTTTACCACTCTGCTGCACTGCCTCTCGCCTTACTCATCCCCACTTAAGAAAGTACACGGTGTCAGAATGCTCTACAACAGTATCCTAGGGGAAGTAAGGTGAAGGTGCATATGAAATACCTGCTGAATTCAGACTTGACCTCTCAAGGTGAATACTCATGTATAAAACTCACCTCAATTCCATTTGAATACCTTTTTAAGCCTAACGTAACTAAGAAGGCACAGGTGGGTTCAACATACTATATTTCGTTAATTCTAAGATGAACATTTTTAACATTTTAAGTCTCAAAAATCAAATCGTATCTTACCATCAATTAATAGCGTTATAGAACTGAATCATAATTTTATTGGCAACAATTTTTTCTTTCTTACAATTGATGGTGTTTCTGACTCTATGAAATAGAAAGTAGATACCTTTGTGGGTGTAGGGGTTGGAGGTGTAGGGGGTTGGAAGTTGAAAGAGTTCCTGCCTTATAACTTTAGTTTTTTTCAGGGAGGGTGGACTGTAGGCCATCTTTTAGGGTGGAGGTGAATGGACACTGACACATTTGAGGAAGAAGGGTAAGATGCTTTATTTTTCTCTTCCCTATGCTACCCCTCTCCTCTCCTCTATCAATTTACGTGTCTTAGGACTTTGACCTCCTTAAGAATCTGCACTAATGTGTTTACTGTGGTGTTCCCAGTGCTTTGCACACTTTATCGTTTAGCACATGATACATTATCATGAAGTATTTGCATTAATGATGAATGAACATGTGAAGGAAGAAAGTTTGGAAGAGCAGGTGTGGAGAGTAGAAGAGGGAATTAACTAGAAACATGAATAAGGATTACTCAGGAGGTGGTTGCCCCATTTGAGATTCAAGACTATATACTACCAGTCTTCACTGTTGGATGATTCTTTTTTTCAATAGTTATTGCCATTTCATATATGAGAGTAAGAACCCTGGTGATTGAATTGATCCAGATTTGGGGATTTTTAGGGTGAGCTTCATAGAGAGGCAAAAGGCTGAGGATGTGGAGAGTATAGAGAAGAAAGCAAATTATCTAGTGTTGCTAGAATGCATATGTACTTGTTGACCTAGAATATATACTTATAGTTTTCATTGTTTCAAAACTACATCCAGCTTGTTTTTGCATCATTTCAAACCCTGGACTGTGTCCTGTTCTATATTCTTGACTAGAATGCCTTTAGTAACTGCTGTCTAGTGAATTTATTTTATTTTTTGAAATTATTTTTTTAATTTTGATTTTTGTAGATTTAGAGGGTAAAAATGCAGTTCTGTTACATGGTTACTTTGCAAAGTATGAGCTTTTAATGTAACTATCACCCAAATAGTGTACATTGTACCTGTTAGGTAGTTTCTCATCCCTCACCTCCTCCCACCCTCCTGAGAAGTCTCCACTGTCTATTATTGCATGCTCAATGTCCATGTGTACACATTATTTAGTTCCTACTTATGAATGAGAATATGTAGTATTTGACTTTCTGTTTCTGAGTTATTCAGTGAATTAATTTTAATAAACTTCTTTCTCTCAAAATAATATATGGATGAGAAAATTCTGAAAGTAGAATTTCTATAAAATAGAAATTTAATATGTATAAAATAACCAACATTTGTGCTAAATTCATTAAAAAAGCCATACTTTTTCTGCCTCGCAAGTCACATGCAGACAGCTGTGTCATCTGAGTAACAAACTACAAACAGGGAACTTATGTGGAGAGTTTAATGTTGTAATGAAAGGAAATACAACAGTTATCCTGGTGCTAATTTAAAAATGAATGTTGCTGTTACTGTCCACAATCAGGCACATTTGATAAACTATAAAAACAACTAAATTAATGTAATGAATTGAATAGTTTGTATTATTATTGAAGAATGATACTACACTCAGATCAGCTAAAGATGTGCATTTTTCAATAGCTGAATTCAGAGTACTTCACGATATTTGTTTTGAATAATGTAGAAAAACTTAAATTTGTCAATTCAAGTTAACTCAGTCAATTTTTAGTTTGGGGCATGTTCTTTGTGTTAAGGATTCAGTCCCAGTCAGGGTTCTCCCCTTGTGCCCCCTACTTCTCCCCGTGTGTAATGTAGATTCTCTGAAGAGACTTGTCATCTAGGTACCAGGAGGGGGACATTCAGTCCTAGTATTGTTCACTGTCTTTTCTAGACTCCAGCTTAGATAGGCAGCTGCTGTGAGGTACCTCAGAAGACGCTTCTGCCTTGACTCTGGGGGTCGTCATGACCCGTATGTTCTGGAACACAGCTACTCAAATTGTGGTCTGTGGACCAGCAACATCAGCATCCAGTCTTGCCTGTGAGAGTGTGGGAAATGCATGTTCTTAGGACATACCCCGGACCTAGCGAATCAGAATGTCTGGGAGCAGTGCTCAGGAATCTGCATTTTAAGAAGCTCTGTGGGTGACTCTTATACACCCTAACATTTGAGAAGCTTTGTTCTAGAAGATTTTCTAACATCCACATGAGCAATCATGATGAAATTTTTGTTGTAATGAGTGGTAATTATGGTTACAGATAAACAAAAGGTTCATTGGGCACAGTGAGTATAATGATGGAATACTGACCTAGGTGAGAATAGAGTGGCTGTTGCAGAAAAGGAGGAGGGTTGGGTGGCCATAGGGCATGATAAAAGCAGAAGGTACCTGGGGTCATGGAATTGATAATAAAGAGAATTGGGAATGAATTGAAGGACGAACATGTTTTAGATGCTTGTCATTATAAGGGGTTACTATTTGCTTTTGGGCTAAGTCTAATTTTGGTTCTCTTAAAAAGCCAAAAGGAGGCAATTTGCAGACATTTAGAGGGTTAGGTAAGTTCTTCACCTAGAACGATATTAATCAGCTTCTAGATATTTCCTGTACTGGTATGAGATTTCTTTTCTGATGTCTGAGCAGATCTGGATCTTCTTCCTCATCCCCCAAATGCGCACACACCTAAACACCGTTTTTTGTGTCTGCATAATCATAGATTTGCTTGAATAAGGTCGGGGGAGTGATCTGACCTCTTTATTACCTCGACTGAGCAGCAGTGATTGACAGTGTTGAGATTTAGTTACAAATAATTATTTCCTTTGGGGTAGCTCAGTGAGCAGATGCTTCTTTTAGAGGCCATTGGTGGGAGTGTTAAACAACAAGCTGGCCCAATTTTTCAAAGAAAAATTTTTTATAGAAACTTTATAAGCATTACGTATTATGTTCTTGCAATGTGCAAAAGAGATCCTTTTGGAAAATGACAATCAGACCTTAGTGCGGCTTAGGAACAAAAGACAGTAGTCTCACAAGAGAGGGAAAATGTAATAGATTGCTACAGAGACAGACAGTCCTCCTTGGGCTTCTTGTGCTCCCAGACATCTTGCTACATGAGCCATACATGTAAGGCCCTGATCATTCTTTATGTGGGCCATTTTTCAGGGTTCTGGTGAGCAACCTTGAAGAATGAGTTACTGTTTCCCTTCAGGACCAAGAGCAGGTTTAGCAGATTTGCTTACTACTTGCTATAGAAGTGGTAGATCATCTAAGCTCAGCGTTCTTTCCTGTAACACAATCCACTGTGAAGGCAAGTGTCCTTGGGCCCTCTGCATTGCCCCTGTGGCAATGTGGGACAAAGGAGAACTGATGTAAATGTCCTGGTGATTATGCTGCTTTGCTATGCTGTAAGTAACATAAGTCTTCTGTCTCTAACCCACGAATCTCATGTCTTCTGCCAGCATCCATGATACAGTAAGAGATTACTTTATTAGTTTGTATGTAAACTAAAATCAAATTACAAATCCGACCATTGTATGGTGAACGTTAGAGAGCTTTGGGTCTCTTAAAAGGAATTTGTTCAAGGGTTTCCTGCAGTAGGGTGTTAGGAAGGGAGCAAAGGCTAGAGGCGGTAGTAGTATTTAGGATCAGGAAATTGCACAGTAAATAAAAGTATTTGAGGGGGTGTTTCATGTCATAGGTAAGTATACACATACACGTATACCTGTTATGGGGACAATAGCCCAAATTGGTTTAGATAAGAAAGGACAGTGTTTCTTTTCTAATAACTCTATTAACCTTGCATTTAGGTGAGTATCAGTTGTTCTGAGGAGTGATAAATAGTGCCACAGCATATCCCCGTAATCTGTGCAAATGGCCCAAGCAGTCAGATGGCATACTTTACTGCCAAGGTGAACGATGCTTGTTTCCTTTGTGGTGGCAATGACATTTGCTACTTATTAAACTTTTTTTCCCTTCTCAATGTATCTTTAGGCCAAAGTCTCTAACATTTGCTTTTCCGTATCACTGAAGGATGCAAAAATCTGGGGTAAAGAATGTTCAAGTGAAAGAAGAAGGAGTTAGTAGTACAGGGGTGTGGAAGGCAGCTGGTGAGAGAGATGGTCCAAGGTGAGAGAGATGGTCCAAGGTAAAGGATTGTACAGCTGTCATATATGTTATTGTCCTTATCCAGCTGTTTTCCCACCCCTGGATTTGTTGGATGACTCCTCCAACAGTGAAGGTAGAAACACATTCCACAGCCATGTGAATTCCAACTTCGGAGAAAGGTGAGCTACAGAACAGTTCTAATATAAACTGATGTCATGAGATTCTAGAGTCTGCTGTCATCACATTCTGTGTTATTGCCATGTTAACTCCACATGCAGCTTGAGCATTCAGTCTTCTGACCTGTTCCACCTCTACAGGGCATTTTATGGCTTAAGGATGACGGCCTAGAAGGGAAGGGAGAGACTTACTTTGGATTAAATTTACAATGGGAAAGTGCTTAAGGTAAGCCTTAGAAAAAAACTTCAACATGTGCTAAAAGAACATTGAAAATATTCATAAACGAAGCTTTAGTGCTCTCCTTTGTTTCCCATAATAACTGGATATCCTGGACTGTCCAGATATTCACTTGAAACATTCTCCCCAGAGAGATTGTGCTTCATCCATGGTTAATATTTTAAAATACAATTAGTCAACAGAATATAAGTTTATTCTCCTTAACTCATTTAAATACAGTAGTTAGTAATCTCCAACAGATATTGTGGTTTATTACCTTTAAAACCAGTTCTATCTTTTCCTTTGGGAATCTTTTTGTTCTGGTATCCTTGCATATGTTTCCCCTGATCTTTCTTTCTACCTGCTTCCCTGATTTTTTCAACTTCTCTTCCCAAGGTTTAATAGAGTGGGTAGGTACTGTGTAGGTAGAGATAACCTCTTAGACTCCCGCATTCTTTTGGGTACATCTGTGTGACCATTAACTTAAGCTCCCCTATTCTTCTTATTCCCTGCTGTTTTCATATTAGTATGGAAACAATACCAATTGGTGGACACCAAAAGGTGGATATTATTCTTCAGGAGGCTTGGCAGGTCTCCACTCTGCTCCCTATTTTTTTTCCTCATTTGACCCTTTTCTCACTCTTAGCTGCTGCAAAGAGGACCAGAGCTTCCAACGATGTTCTCCAGAAGATCAAGTTAGTACAGACGCCCAGCATCGTGGAGCCTCTTCTATTTCACAACCAAGTATATCTCTTGGTCATAAAACATCTTATTCCCCTGTAACACATAAAGTCAATGCAGCCAAAGCAAGTAGAAGGTTATTATCTGTATCAAGTCCATCTTTCTCTGAAAGAAGATATTCTTTATTTGTTGGATTTCAAAAAAGAAATGCTTCCCCTTACTGGCAACAAAGTAGAGCTAACTTTGATTCTGAAGAAGACACAGGCTTCACTGATATAAAATCTTCCTCAGACCATTGTGGTAGCTTTATTTCCCGCAGAAGACGTTTCTCATCCCGTAAACTAAGTATAGTTTCCTATTACAAGAGTGCCATTTTTTTTGATCCTCAAGCAAGTGGCCAGAATGTGTTTAATCTAAATGAAATCGAAATCTTTTCTAAAACTTCAAGTAATACTGATGCTAAAAAACATATAACCATCTCTGCTCCTGAATATAACACTAAAAATTTTAAGAATTTTGAAACAAACACTACTTCTCCAGCCTTTGGGAACACTATTGATACAGCCTCCTATCAACAAAGCACATCATCCTTCTTTTCTCTTGCAAGTGATATTTCCTCTCCCGATCAACAAAATGGAATTGCCAATGATATTCAACAAAGGGGCCAATTATGTAAAGATTTAAAAGATTTCCTTCATCCTCGTCCTGAAAGTTACAGCACAGATCATTCTCCAATCATGATTCCACAGCATCCCTCTCAAAGTGGAACTTTCCCATTCCTCCATAAAGCTGGATTTTCTTCATCTTATAAAAATTCTGGTTGCTTTATCCCACCTCAAAGCGAATTAACTTCAGGCCTGTTTGAAGATGAAGACTTTGCTGTCTTGTTTCAAGATGAAGACAGATCTTCACCTATTGAAATTCCTAAAATAAGGTCACCTCAGACTTTACCCTCTCTTAGAAGGGCACCTCAAATAGTTTTCCCACCAGTCACTTTCATAGCCTGTAGAATTCATTTCTCATAACTCCCCTTTCCTCACAAAGCTTCACTGCATTTTCTGAAGAAGATTCCTACATTGCAGTGTAAATTTAATTGCTGTAGTTTTGAAAGTTAGTTTACTGATGTTATTGGAGTATGGAAGTCAAAGATGATTTTGTTTCAAGCTTTTTTCAGATTTACTGCTTAAAGATGGGCTAATCTCAGATTTCTGAGTGACTATTATAATACTTTTGTGGTCTGAAAATAACATCAAGCCTTGATGTATGGACTTTCTAAAAGTAATACATTCTTTGAGAGTTTAGTATCCCCTTTTATCATACTCTAATCATTAGAAATAGTATTCTTACATAATCATTAGAGCTATTTTCATCAATTCACACATTTTCATATATATCAGCCTTGCTAGCTATATTTCTCATGCCTGATGTTCCACTGACAGATAATGTTTTTATTAACACAAGAATCAAATTAGAAGTTAAAAATATTATAGCGGAATATGTAGAATATTTAGAAACCAGATATTTTAACTAAGTAATTTTAATACACATTCATGTATGTGCAAATCTGGGCATTCAAGGAATTCTGAAATCAGGAAAAAGTATGTATATTAGTCTCCCAAAATTTTATTTTTAAAAATGAATATTTTTCATTTTTTTCCGATTGTATTAACAAAGACTGTTATAAAGTATTTATCAAAGTAGCTAATGAATAAAAATGCATGTAAGCAATTGAAAACATTTAAGTTAGAATACAATTAGATTTTGTAGAGGAAAGGAATTTGCATTATTTCTAATTATCCTAATAAAATGTCCCCCAAATTTATTTCATGGGGCTAAGATGTTATTTTTACTTTTGTGGTTTTTTCTTGTTCTTAGCATGTGTCTTTAAAAAATGGCCTTTTGATTTTAATTTTTAAAAATTGTGATAAATATAAAATTTACTATCTTAACCATTTTAAAATGTGTGTTTCAGCAACATTAAGTACATTCACATTGTTGTACAGCCATCACCACCATCCGTTTCCACAACTCTTTTCATCTTGCAAAACTGAAACTCTCCACCCATTAAATAAGAACTCTCTACTCTCTCTCCCTAGCCCTTGTCAACCATCACTCTACTTTATGTCTATGATTTTGGCTACTCCAAGTACCTCATATAAGTGGAATCGTATGGTATTTTGTGACCAGCTTATTTCACTTAGCATAGTGTATAATGTCCTCAAGCTTCATCCATGTTACAGCATATGTCAGAATGTCCTTCCTTTTTAAGGCTGAATAATATTCCACTGTATGTATATATCACATTTTGCATATCCTTTATCCACCAGTGGACAATTTGGGTCACTTCCATGTTTAACTATTGTGAATAATGCACTGTCTATGAACACGTGCATGCAACTGTCTGTTCGAAACCTTCCTTTCAGTTCTTTTGAGTATATATCCAGAAGTGGAATTATTGGATCATGTGGTAATTATATTTTAATTTTTTGAGGAACTACCATATTGTTTTCCATAGTGGCTGCACCATTTTACATTTGCACCAGGAGTGTAGAAGGATTCCAGTTTCTCCACTACCTTGCCAACACTTATTATTTTGTTTTGTTTTTTGTTATAGTAGCCATCCTAATGGGTATGAGGTGGTATCTCATTGTGGTTTTTATTTGAATATCCCTAATGATTAGTGACATTGAACATCTTTTCGTGTGACTGCTGCCCATTTGTATATCTTCTTTGGAGAAATGCCAATTCAAGTCCCTTGATCCTTTTTTTTAAATCAGGTTGTTTGTTTTTTTGTTGATTTGTAGGAGTTCTTTATATATTTTGGATATTAACCCTTTAAAAAAGATATAATTTGCAAATATTTTCTCCCAATGTGTGGGTTGCCTTTTTACTCTGTTGATTATGTCCTTTGATCCATAGAAGTTTTCGGTTTTGAGGTAGTCTAGTTTATCAATTTTTTCTTTTATTGCCTATGCTTTTAGTGCCACATCCAATAAATCATTGCCAAATCCACTGTTGTGAAG
Organism: Homo sapiens; assembly: GCF_000001405.40. Lineage (NCBI taxonomy): Eukaryota > Metazoa > Chordata > Mammalia > Primates > Hominidae > Homo > Homo sapiens. The sequence goes on from NC_000002.12 coordinate 37,954,291, forward strand.
CTTTTGCATTATGTTTTCTTTTAAGAGTTTTATAGCTTTAGGTTTTATATTTAGGTCTTTGATGCATTTTGAGTTAATTTTTGTGTGTGATGTTAAGTAATGGTCTTACTTCATTCTTTTATATGTGGATATCCAGTTTTCTCAACACCATTTGTTGAAGAGATTACCCTTTCTCCATTGAATGGTCTTGGAACCTTTGTCAAAAGTCATGTGATCATATATGTGTGGTTGACTTCTGGGCTTTCCATTTTCTTTCACCAGCCTATACATCTGTCTTTACACCACACTGTACCATACTGTTTTGGTTACTGTAGCTTTGTAGTAGGTTTGAAAATCAGGAGGTGTGAGACCTCCAACTTTGTTTTTATTTTTCAAGATTATTTTGGCCATTTCGGGTGTCTTGGAATTCCAAATGAATTTCAGGATAGATTTTTCTATTTGTACAAAAAATATCATTGGGATTTTCAGAGGGATTGCATTGCATCTGTAGATTATTTTGGGTAGGATTGACATCTTAACATTATAAACTTTCAAATCCACAAACATGGCATGTCTTTCTATTTGTATCTTATTTAAATTCTTTCAACAATGTTTTGTAGTTTTCAGTGTAGGTTTTTCATCTCCTTAGTTAAGTTTATTTCTAAGTATTTTACACTTTTGATGCAATTATAAGTGAAATTATTTTTTTATAATTCTTTCCAGATAGCTCATTGTTAATGCATAGAAATACACCTGATTTTTATATGTTGATTTTCTATCCTGCAATTTTGCTGAATTTTATTCTTATTTTGTGTATGTGTGTGAAATATTTAGGGTTTTTTTCCTACCTAAAGATTGTGTTGTCTGTGATCAGAGGATACTTTTGCTTCTTCCTTTCTAATTTGGATGCCTTTATTTCGTCATCTTGCCTAGTTGCACTGGCTAGGACTTTTAGTACTATGTCGAACAGAAGTGATAAAGAGCACCCTTGTCTTGTTCCTAATCTTAATAAGAGAGCTTTCAGCCTTTCACCATTGAATATGATGTTAGCTGTGGACTTTTCATATATGGCCTTTAATATGTCGAAGCAGTTAATTTTTATTCCTAGTTTGTTGAGTGTTTTTATCATAAAAAGGTGATAAATTTTGTCAAATGCTTTTTCTGCATCAATGGAGATGATCATGGGTTGTTTTTCCCTTCATTTTGTTTATGTGGTATTGATATGGTTTGGCTGTGTCCCCACCCAAATCTCAACTTGAATTGTATCTCCCAGAATTCCCACATGTTGTGGGAGGGACCCAGGGGGAGGTAATTGAATCATGGGGGCCGATCTTTCCTGTGCAATTCTTGTGATAATGAGTAAGTCTCAAGAGATCTGATGGAGTTTTCAAGAGTTTCCACTTTTGCTTCTTCCTCATTTTCTCTTGACGCCACCATATAAGAAGTGTCTTTCACCTCCTGCCATGATTCTGAGGCCTCCCCAGCTATGTGGAACTGTAAGTCCAATTAAACCTCTTTTTTCTTCCCAGTCTCGGGTATGTCTTTGTCAGCAGCATAAAAACAGACTAATACAGGTATATTACATTGGCTGATTTTTACATTGAACTTCCTTGCATTCCTGGAATAAATTCCATCTGGTTGTGATGTATAATCCTTCTAATGGGTTGTTGAATTCTGTTTGCTGTTATTTCATTCAGAATTTTTTTGTCAGTATTCATCAGGGATCAGGTCTTTAGTTTTCTTTACTGGTAGTGTCTTTGTCTAGCTTTGATATCAGGGTAATGCTGACCTCACAGAATGAGCTTGGGAGTGTTTCTTCCTCTTCAGTGTTTTGGAAGAGTTTGAGGAAGACTGCTGTTAATTGTTCTCCAGATGTTCTTCAAGTTATGTGACATCACTGTCAAACGCCACCAAATATTTGGGCTTTCACTTTTTGGGAGGTTTTTAATTACTTTTTACTAGTTATAGATCTATTCAGATTTTCTATTTATTCCTGATTCAGACTTAGTAGTTTGTGTGTTTCCAGGAATTTTTTCATTTCATCTAGGTTAATCAATTCGCTGGCATACAATTCTTCATATTACTCTTATAATCCTTTTTATTTCTATAAAATCAGTAATGTCCCCTCTTTCATTTCTGATTGTATTTATTTAGTCTCCTTTTTTTGTAGTCCAGCTAAAGGTTTATCAATTTTGTTGATCATTCTGAAGGACAAACTTGGTTTCATTGATTTCCTCTATTGTTTTTCTATTCTCTAATATGTTTATTTCTGATTTAATCTCTCTTATTCCTCTCTTCTGCTAGCTTTGGGGTTAGTTCTTTGTCTAGTTTCTTAATATTTCGATTTAGGTTGTTGATTCGGGACATTACCTTCTTTTTTTTTCTTCTTTTTTATTTTTTATTATACTTTTAAGTTCTGGGATACATGTGCAGAAGTGCAGGTTTGTTACATAGGTAGACTTGTGCCATGGTGGTTTGCTGCACCCATCAACCCGTCATCTATGTTAGGTATTTGTCCTAACGCTACCCCTCCCCTTGCTCCCCACCCCCAACAGCCCACAGTGTGTGATGTTCCCCTCCCTATGTCCATGTGTTCTCATTGTTCAACTCCCACTTATGAGTGAGAACATGCAGTGTTTGGTTTTCTGTTCCTGTGCTAGTTTGCTGAGAATGGTGGTTTCCAGCTTCATCCATGTCCCTGCAAAGGACATGAACTCATTCTTTTTTATGGTTGCATAGTATTCCATGGTGTCTATGTGCCACATTTTCTTTATTCAGTCTATCACTCATGGGCATTTGAGTTGGCTTCAAGTCTTTGCTGTTGTGAATAGTGCTGTAATAAACATACAGGTGTATGTTATTTTTATAGTAGAATGATTTATAATCCTTTGGGTATATATCCCGTTAATGGGATTGCTGGGTCAAATGTATTTCTAGTTCTAGATCCTTGAGGAATTGCCACACTGTCTTCCACAATGGTTGAACTAATTTACACTCCCACCAACAGTGTGAAAGCTTTCCTATTTCTCCACATCCTCTCCAGCATCTGTTGTTTCTGACTTTTTAATTATTGCCATTCTAACTGGCGTGAGATGGTATCTCATTGTGGTTTTGATTTGCATTTCTCTAATGACCAGTGATGATGAGCTTTTTTTCGTATGTTTGTTGGCTGCTTTTAAGAAGTGTCTGTTGATATCCTTCACCCACTTTTTGATAGGGTTGTTTGGTTTTTTCTTGTAAATTTATTTAAGTTCCTTGTAGATTCTTGATATTAGCCCTTTGTCAGATGGATAGATTGCAGAAATTTTCTGCCATTCTGTAGGTTGCCTGTTCACTCTGATGATAGTTTCTTTTACTGTGCAGAAGCTCTGTAGTTTAATTAGATCCAATTTGTCTATTTTTACTTTTGTTGCAATTGCTTTTGGTGTTTTAGTCATGAAGTTTTTGCCCATGCCTATGTCCTGAATGGTATTGCCTAGGTTTTCTTCTAGGGTTTTTATGGCTTTAGGTTTAATCATTTAAGTCTTTGATCCTTCTTGAGTTGATTTTTGTATAAGGTATAAGGAAGGGGTCCAGTTTCAGTTTTCTGCATATGGCTAGCCAGTTTTCCCAATACCATTTATTAAATAGGGAATCCTTTCCCCTTGCTTGTTTTTGTCAGGTTTGTCAAAGATCAGGTGGTTGTAGATGTGTGGTGTTATTTTTGAGGCCTCTGTTCTATTCCATTGGTCTATATATCTGTTTTGGTACCAGTACCATGCTGTTTTGGTTACTGTAGCCTTGTAGTGTAGTTTGAAGTCAGGTAGTGTGATGCCTCCAGCTTTGTTCTTTTTGTTTAGGATTGTCTTGACTATATGGGCTCTTTTTTGGTTTCATATGAAGTTTAAAGTAGTTTTTTCTAATTCTGTGAAGAAAGTCAATGGTAGCTTGATGGGAATAGCATTAAATCTATAAATTATTTGGGGCAGTATGGCCATTTTCACAATACTGATTCTTTGTATCCATGAGTGTGGAGTGTTTTTCCATTTGTTTGTATACTCTCTTATTTCCTTGAGAAGTGGTTTGTAGTTCTTCTTGAAGAAGTCCTTCACATCCCCTCTAAGTTGTATTCCTAGGTATTTTATTCTATTTGTAGCAATTGTGAATGGGAGTTCACTCATGATTTAGCTCTCTATTATTGGTTTATAGTAATGCTTGTGATTTTTGCACATTTATTTTTTATCCTGAGATTTTGCTGAAGTTGCTTATCAGCTTAAGGAGTTTTGGGGCTGAGATGATAGGGTTTTCTAAATATACAATTATGATATCCGCAAACAGAGACAATTTGACTTCCTCTCTTTGTATTTGAGTATGCTTTATTTATTTATCTTGCCTGGTTGCCCTGGCCAGAACTTCCAATACTGTGTTGAATGGGAGTGGTGAGAGAGGGCATCCTTGTCTTGTGCTGGGTTTCAAAGGGAATGCTTCCAGCTTTTGCCCATTCAGTATGATATTGGCTGTGGGTTTGTCACAAATAGCTCTTATTATTTTCAGAGATGTTCCCTCAATACCTAGTTTATTGAGTGTTTTTAGCATGAAGCCGTGTTGAATTTTATTGAAGGCCTTTTCTGCATCTATTGTGATAATCAATAGATCATCTCATTGGTCTCACTTGTCATTGATTCTGTTTATGTGATGGATTACGTTTATTGACTTGCATGTGTTGAACCAGCCTCGCATCCTTAGGATGAAGCTGACTTGATTGTGGTGGATAGCTATTTGATGTGCTGCTGGATTTGGTTTGCCAGTATTTTATTGAGGATTTTTGCATCGATCTTCATCAGGGATATTGGCCTGAAATTTTCTTTTTATGTTGTTTCTCTGCCAGGTTTTGGTATCAGGATGATGCTGGCCTCATAAAATGAGTTAGGGAGAAGTCCCTCTTTTTCTGTTGTTTGGAATAGCTTCAGAAGGAATGGTACCAGCTCCTCTTTGTACCTCTGGTAGAATTCAGCTGTGAATCCATCTGGACCTGGGCTTTTTATGGTTGGTAGGCTATTAATTACTGCCTCAATTTCAGAACTTGTTATTGGTCTATTCAGGGATTTGACTTCTTCCTGGTTTAGTCTTGGGAGGGTGTGTGTGTCCAGGAATTTATCCATTTCTTGTAGATTTTCTAGTTTATTTGCATAGAGGTGTTTATAGTACTCTCTGATGGTAGTTTGTATTTCTCTGGGATCAGTGGTAATATCCCTTTTATCATTTTTTATTGTGTCTATTTGATTCTTCTCTCTTTTCTTCTTTATTAATCTGGCTAGCGATCTATTTTGTTGATCTTTTCAAAAAACCAGCTCCTGGATTCATTGATATTTTTGAAGGGTTTTTCGTGTCTCTATCCCCTTCAGTTCTGCTCAGATCTTAGTTATTTCTCATCTTCTGCTAGGTTGTGAATTTGTTTGCTCTTGCTGCTCTAGTTCTTTTAATTGTGATGTTAGGGTGTCAATTTTAGATCTTTTCTGCTTTCTCCTGTAGGCATTTAGTGCTATAAATTTCCCTCTAATCACTGCGTTAGCTGTGCCCCAGAGATTCTGGTATGTTGTATCTTAGTTCTCATTGGTTTCAAGGAACTTATTTCTGCCTTAATTTTGTTATTCACCCAGTAGTGATTCAGGAGCATGTTTTTCCATTTCCATGTAGTTGTGCAGTTTTGAGTGAGTTTCTTAATCTTGAGTTCTAATTTGATTACACTGTGGTCTGAGAGACTGTTATGATTTCTGTTCTTTTACATTTGCTAAGGAGTGTTTTACTTCCAATTATGTGGTCAGTTTTTGAATATGTGCTATGTGGTGCTGAGAAGAATGTATATTCTGTTGATTTGGGGTGGAGAGTTCTGTAGATGTCTATTAGGTCCTCTTGATCCAGAGCTGAATTCAAGTCCTGAATATCCTTGTTAATTTTCTGTCTCGTTGATCTGTCTAACATTGACAATGGGGTTTTAAAGTCTCCCACTATTAATGTGTGGGAGTGTAAGTCTCTTTGTAGGTCTCTAAGACCTTGCTTTATGAATCTGGGTGCTCCTGTATTGGGTGTATATATATATATTTAGAATAGTTAGCTCTTCTTGTTGCACTAATCCCCTTACCATTATGTAATTACCTTGATTTTTTTATTTTGTTGTTTTAAAGTCTGTTTTATCAGAGACTAGGATTGCAACCCCTGCTTTTTTTTTGCTTTCCATTTGCTTGATAAATATTCCTCCATCCCATTATTTTGAGCCTATGTGTGTCTTTGCACATGATATGGGTCTCCTGAATACAGCACACCAATGGGTCTTGACTCTTTATCCAATTTGCCAGTCTGTGTCTTTTAATTGGGGAATTTAGTCAATTTACATTTAAGGTTAATATGTGTCTTTTAGTTGGGGCACTTAGCCCACTTACATTTAAGGTTAATATTGTTATATGTGAATTTGATCCTGTCATCATGATTCCAGCTGGTTATTTTGCACATTAGTTGATGCAGTTTTTTCATAGTGACATTGGTCTGTGTATTTTGGTATGTTTTTGCAGTGGCTGGTACTGGTTTTTCCTTTCCATATTTAATGCTTCCTTCAGGAACTCTTGTAAGGCAGGCCTGGTGGTTACCAAATCCCTCAGCACTTGCTTGTCTGTAAAGGATTTTATTTCTCCTTCGCTTATGAAGCTTAGTTTGGCTCAATATGAAATTCAGGGTTGAAAATTCTTTTTTTATGAATTTTGAATATTGGCCCCCACTCTTTTCTGGCTTGTAGGGTTTCTGCAGAGAGATCTCCTGTTAGTCTGATGGGCTTCCCTTTGTTGGTAACCTGACCTTTCTCTCTGGCTGCCCTTAACATTTTTTGTTTGTTTCAAGCTTGGTGAATCTGATGATTATGTGTCTTGGGGTTGCTCTTCTCGAGGAGTATCTTTGTGGTGTTCTCTGTATTTTCCGAATTTGAGTGTTGGCCTGTCTTGCTATGTTGGGGAAGTTCTTCTGGATAATATCCTGAAGAGTGTTTTCCAACTTGGTTCCATTCTCCCTATCACTTTCAGGTACACCAATCAAACGTAGGTTTGGTCTTTTCACATAGTCCCATATTTCTTGGAAGCTTTGTTTGTTCCTTTGCATTCTTTTTTCTCTAATCTTGTCTTTACAATTTATTTCATTAAGTTAATCTGCAATCTCTGTTATCCTTTCTTCTGCTTGATTGATATGGTTATTGATACTTGTGTATGCTTCATTAAGTTCTTGTGCTGTGTTTTTCAACTCCATCAGGTCATTTATGTTCTTCCCTAAACTGGTTGTTCTAGTTAGCAATTCCTGTAATCTTTTATCAAAGTTCTTAGCTTCCTTGCATTGGGTTAGGACATGCTCCTTTAGCTCGGAGAAGTTTGTTATTACCCACCTTCTGAAGCCTACTTCTGTCAACTTGTCAAAGTCATTCTCCATCCAGCTTTGTTCCCTTGCTGGCAAGGAGTTGTGATCCTTTGGAGGAGAAGAGGCATTCTGGATTTTGGAATTTTCAGCATTTTTGCACTGGTTTTTCCTCATCTTCGTAGATTTATCTACCTTTGATCTTTGATGGTGAGGACCTTAGGATGGGTTTTGCGTGGGCGTCCTTTTTGTTGATTTTGATGTTTTTGCTTTCTGTTTGTTAGTTTTCCTTCTAACAGTCAGCTCCCTCTTCTGCAAGTCTGCTGGAGTTTGCTGGGAGTCCACTCCAAACACTGTTTGCCTGGGTATCACCAGCAGAGGCTGCAGAACAGCAAAGATTGCTGCCTCCTCCTTTCTCTGGAAGCTTTGTCCCAGAGGGCCACCCACCAGATGCTGACTGGAGCTCTCCTATATGAGGTGTCTGTCAACCTCTGCTGGGAGATGTCTCCTCGTCCGGAGGCACAAGGGTCAGGGACTCACTTGAGGAGGCAATCTGTCCCTTAGCATAGCTCAAGTGCTGTGGTGGGAGATTTGCTGCTCTCTTCAGAGCCAGCAGGCAGAAACGTTTAAGTCTGCTGAAGCTGTGCCCACAGCCACCCCTTCCCCCAGGTGTTCTGTCCCAGGGTGATGGGAGTTTTATCTGTAAGCCCCTGACTGGTGCTGCTGCCTTTCTTTCAGAGATTTCCTGCCCAGAGAGGAGGAATCTAGAGAGGCAGTCTGGCTACATTGGCTTTGCTGCACTGCAGTGGGCTCCACCCAGTCCGAACTTCTGGTGGCTTTGTTTACACTGTGTGGGGAAAACCGCCTGCTCAAGCCTCAGTAATGGTGGACGCCCCTCCCCCACCAAGCTCAAATGTCCCAGGTAGACTTCAGACTGCTGTGCTGGCAGCGAGAATTTCCAGCCAGTGGATCTTAGCTTGCTGGGCTCCATGGGGGTGGGATCCCCTGAGCAACAACACCTGACTCCCTGGCTTTTGCCTCCTTTCCCAGGGAGTGAACAGTTCTGTCTTTCTGGGGTTCACACCCCAGATGTGACTGGGGTACGAAAAAAAAAAAACTTCTGCAGCTACCTCAGTGTCTGCTCAAACGGCTGCCCAGTTTTGTGCTTGAAACCCAGGGCCCTTTTGGTGTAGGCACCCGAGGGAATCTCGCGGTCTGCGGGTTGCAAAAAACATAGGAAAAGCGTAGCATCTGGGCTAGATAGCACAGTCTCTCATGGCACAGTCCCTCATGGCTTCCCTTGGCTAGGGGAGTGAGTTCCCCAACCCCTTGCACTTCCTGGGTGAGGCAATACCCCACCCTCTTTGGCTCGCCCTATGTGGGCTGCACCCACTGTCTAACCAGTCCCAATGAGATGAACTGGGTACCTCAAATGGAAATGCAGAAATTACCTGCCTTCTGTGTTGGTCTCGCTGGGAGCTGCAGACCGGAGCTGTTCCTAGTCAGCCATCTTGCCTGGAACCACAGAAGCATCTTTTTTCAAATCTAGGGCTCTGTGAAACATTTTGAAAACAGTCGATCTGTGGTTAATAGTTGGCAGTTAAGCCTGAGCTTCTCCAGGTGCTTCTGTTACTATACCCTTGAATTTATTAATTTGGCTTCATACACGTGAGTTTCTTTTTTTTTTTTTTTTTTAATTGATCATTCTTGGGTGTTTCTCGGAGAGGGGGATTTGGCAGGGTCATAGGACAATAGTGGAGGGAAGGTCAGCAGATAAACAAGTGAACAAAGGTCTCTGGGTTTCCTAGGCAGAGGACCCTGCAGCCTTCCGCAGTGTTTGTGTCCCTGGGTACTTGAGATTAGGGAGTGGTGATGACTCTTAATGAGCATGCTGCCTTCAAGCATCTGTTTAACAAAGCACATCTTGCACTGCCCTTAATCCATTTAACCCTGAGTGGACACAGCACATGTTTCAGAGAGCACAGGGTTGGGGGCAAGGTCATAGATCAACAGCATCCCAAGGCAGAAGAATCTTTCTTAGTACAGAACAAAATGGAGTCTCCTATGTCTACTTCTTTCTACACAGACACAGCAACAATCTGATTTCTCTATCTTTTCCCCACATTTCCCCCCTTTCTATTCCACAAAACCGCCATCGTCATCATGGCCCGTTCTCAATGAGCTGTTGGGTACACCTACCAGACGGGGTGGCGGCCGGGCAGAGGGGCTCCTCACTTCCCAGCAGGGGCGGCGGGGCAGAGGCGCCCCCCCACCTCCCGGACGGGGCGGCGGCCAGGCGGAGGTGCCCCCCACCTCCCTCCCGGACAGGGCGGCTGGCCGGGCGGGGGCTGCCCCCCACCTCCCTCCCGGACGGGGCGGCTGGCCTGGCGGGGGCTGCCCCCCACCTCCCTCCCGGACGTGGCGGCTGCCGGGCGGAGGCGCTCCTCACTTCCCAGACGGGGCGGCTGCCAGATGGAGGGGCTCCTCACTTCTCAGACGGGGCGCCTGCCGGGCGGAGGGGCTCCTCACTTCTCAGACAGGGCAGCTGCCGGGCGGAGGGGCTCCTCACTTCTCAGACAGGGCGGCTGCCGGGCGGAGGGGCTCCTCCATACACGTGAGTTTCTTTGGTTGAGTCCGTTGTACAAAAATCTTCCTTCTTTTAATGTAAGCATTTCCAGGTATAAATTTTCCTCCTATCACCTCTTTTGCTACATCCCATAAGTTTTTGGTATGTTATGTTTTCATTTTCATTTGACTCAAGATGTTTTCTTATTTGCCTTGTGATTGCATCTTTGGCCCATTGGTTGTTTAAAAGTATGTTTTTTAATTCTCACATATTTATGGATTTTCCAGTTTTTCTTCTGCTGATTTCTAGTTTCATGTTTATTGTGATCCAGAAAATATGCTTCATATAATTTCTATGTTTGTAAATTAACTAAGACTTATTTCGTGGCCTAATATATTATCTACTTGGAGAATATTCCACATGCATTGGAGACGAATGTGTATTCTGTTATTTTTGGGTGGCATGGTCTATATGTGTTGTTAGGACCTACAGGTTTATAGGTCTATAGTGATGTTTAAGTCCTCTATTTCCTTACTAATCATCCGCCTGGTTGTTTTATCCATTATTAAAATTGGGTCATTGAATTCGTTTACTATTACTTTATTATTAAAGTAATGGTATTACTATGGTATTATTATTTTATTTTTACTATTATTGTGTTGCTATTTCTTTTTTCAATTCTGTCAGTGTTTGCTTCATATATTTAGGAAGGATGATGTTGAGTGCATTTAGTGTTATTGTTATATCTTCTTGGTAATTGGCTCTTTTATTATGTCCTGCCTTTGTCTCTTGTACAATTTTTGACTTAAAGTCTATTTTGTCTACTAGTATAGCCACTCCCACTCTCTTTTGTTTACTGTTTTCATGAAATATGTTTTTCTGTCCTTCCATATTCAACATATGTGTGTTTTTAGATCAAAAATTAGTCTCTTTTGGACAGCATATCGTTAAATCCCAATTTTTAAAACCCATTCTGCCAATATACCTTTTGATTGAGGAATTTAATCCCATTTATATTTGAAGTCATTACAGATAGGAAAGGACTTATTATTTCATTTTGTTATTGATTTTGTATATGCCATAGATTTTTTTGTCCCTCATTTTCTCCATTGCTACCTCTCTTTGTGTTTAGTTTTTTTTTTTTTTTTAGTGATATGTTTTGATTTCCTTTTACATATATTCTATAAATATGTTTTGTGGTTGCCATGGGGATTATTCATAGCATCCTAAAGTTATAACAACATATTTTAAATTCATACCAACTTAATTTTAATTACATACAAAAATTCTACTCCTTTCCAGCTCCACCACCCATGTATTTTGTTGATATTACAAATTACATCTTTATGTTGTATTATCATTAATCTAGAATCATTAATATAGATTCATAATTACTTTTTACTTTTCTCTTTAGATGATGTAAAAGAATAAAAGGTGGAGTTATGAGCCAAACTTAGAATAATTCTGTTATATTTTCCCATGTCTTTACCTTTACTACAGAATATTATATTTTTGTATGGTTCAAGTGACTGTCTAAGGTCCTTTTTGTTTCAACTTGAGGGACTCCTTTTAGCATTTATTGTAGGGAAATTCTAGTGATAGTGAACTTCCTCAGCTTTTATTTAGAAATATTTTAATTTCTCCCTCATTTTTGAAGGACAGTTTTGCTGTTTATAGAAATCTCAGGTAACAGGTTTCTCTTTTCTTTCAGCACTTTAAATATATCGTCCCACTGCCTTCTGGTTTGCAAGGTTTCTGCTGAGAAATCTGCTGATGATTTTATTGAGGAATCCTTAAATGTAATGAGTTGCTTTTCTTTTGCTGCTTTTGAGATTCTTTTTGTCTTTAGCATTCAGTACTTTAAGTATGATATTCTTGGTGTGGATCTTTTTGGGTTTATCCCACTTGGAGTTTGTTAAGTTATTGCATTTGTGGCCGGGCGTGGTGGCTCACGCCTGTAATCCCAGCACTTTGGGAGGCCGAGGCAGGTGGATCACGAGGTCAAATCGAGACCATCCTGGCTAACACGGTGAAACCCTGTCTTTACTAAAAATACAAAAATTAGCCAGGTGTGGTGGCAGGCACCTGTAGTCCCAGCTACTTGGGAGGCTGAGGCAGGAGAATGGCATGAACCCAGGAGGCAGAACTTACAGTGAGCCGAGATCATGCCACTGCATTCCAGCCTGGGCAACAGAGTGAGGCTCTGTCTTAAAAAAAAAAAAAAAGTTCTTACATTTGTATTTCATTGTGTTTCCTAGATTTGGCTTTGGCCGTTGTTTCTTCAAATTAGCTTACTGCCACTTTCTCTCTCTTCTCCTTCTGGAACCCCTACAATATGTGTATATGTCTGCTTCATGAGGCCCCGTAGGTCCTTTAGGCTCTATTTACTTTTTTTTCATTTTTTATTCTTTTTGTTCCTCAGAACCAATATTTTCAAATGACCTGTCTTAAAGTTTGCCTGGTTGTTTGTTTGTTTTTTTGCCTGTTTGAGTCTTCTGTTGGTCCCTTCCAGTAAATTTTTAGTTCAGTTATCATATGAGAGGGTCTTCAAAAAGTTCATGGAAAATGAATATTATGAAAAAACTATGCACTGGTTTCACACTTTTTTGCACCAAAATAAGCTTATGCTAACTCACCATAATATATCTGAAAAAGATCTAGTTTGAGACACTAAGAAGGATAAGACATTAGTTTGATAAAAGCCCCTATCAGAGCAACATGCATTTTACTAAAATTGAAGCAAGAACAAACATCAAATTTATGGTGAAGCTTGGGTGGAAGAATGGTGAAATCATTGATGCTTTACAAAAAGTTTATGGGGACAGTGCCCGAAAGAAATAAGCCAAATGGAGAGCTCATTTTAAGAAGGGATGAGGTGATGTTAAAGATGAAGCCCACAGAGACACTTCCACATCAATTTGCAAGAAAAAAATGAATTTTGTTTGTGTCCTCTAATTGAAGAAAACCAATGATTAATAGCAGAAATAATAGCTAGTACCATAGACATCTCTGTTGGTTCTGTTTATACTATTCTGACTAAAAAATTAAAGTTAAACAAACTTTCCATTGAATGGGTGCTAAAACTGTTGCATCAAGATCAGCTGCAGAGAAGAACAGAGCTTTCAAGAGAAATTATTAACAAGTGGGATGAAGATCTTGAAGCATTTCTTTAAGGAATCATAACAGGAGATGAAATATGGCCTTACCAGTCCAATCCTGAAGACAAAGTACAATCAAAGCAATGGCGCCCAAGAGGTGAAAGTGGTCCAATCAAAGCAAAAGCAGACTGGTCAAGAGAAATGTCATGGCAACAGACTTTTGGATGCTCAAGGTATTTTGCTTGTTGACTTTCTAGAAGACCAAAGAATGATGACATCTACTTATTATGAAAGTGTTTTGAGAAAGTTAGTCAAAGCTTTAGTAGGAAAATTCTGGGGAAAGCATCATCAGAGTATTCTTCTCCACCATGATGATACTCCTGCTCATTCCTCTCATCGAACAAGGGCAATTTTGCAAGAGTTTCTTTCAGTGGGAAATCATTAGGCTTCCACCTTAGAGTCCTCATTTGATTTGGCTCTTTTCAACTTTTGTTTCCTAATCTTAAAAAAAATTTTTTAAAGCACCAATTTTTCTTCAGTTAATAATGTACAAAAGACAACATTGATATGGTTCAATTCCCAGGACCCTCAGTTCTTTAGAGATGGACTAAATGGCTGGTATGTTCACTTACAAAATTGTCTTGACCTTGATGAATTATGTGCTGAGAAATAAAGTTTATGTTTTGTATTTTTATCTTTTAATTCCTTTTTTCCGTGAACTTTTTGAAGTCCCCTCATACTTACCAAAGCTCTAGATGACATAAAATTTCAGGACATGTTGTATGTGGTAGTTTCTTGGTCTCCCACAAAGATATTTCAGAAAGTCTGTTGTTAGGCTAGGTGCAATGGGTCAAGGCCAAGCATGGTGGCTCATGCCTGTAATCCCAGCACTTTGGGAGGACGAGGTGGGCAGATCACTTGAGGTCAGGAGTTCGAGACCAGCCTGGCCAACATGGTGAAACCTGGTCTCTACTAAAAATACAACAAAATTAGCTGGGCACCGTGGCAGGCACCTGTAATCCCAGCTTGGGGGGCTGAGGCAGGAGAATCACTTGAACCCGGAGGCGTAGGCAGCAGTGAGCCGTGATCACACCACTGCCCTCCAGCCTGGGTGACAGAGCGAGACTCTGTCTCAAAAAAAAAAAAAAAAAAAAAAAGAAAGTCTGTTGTTGTTTACTTGATGTTTTCATGGGGAAATGAGGACCTATTTCAATGTAACTCACTCCTGATGTACTTATGTAAATACACTCTTTTATTTTCACAGTAAATAATGTCTTTTTCTCCCAAAATAATGCAACTCTGCTTTCAGAGATGCTGTTGTTGCTATTGAAATAAACAGTTGATCATGCAGAGTTGAAGGGATAGGAACAATGGCATAGTTTTTGTGAAAATTTAGAGCAGAAGAAAGGACCAGAAAAGTGCATGTAGAACAAATGTTTGTAAGCAAATTTGACATCTTAAGATGAACTTCTCTAGACCTGCTGAAAGGCTATTAGAAAATTCTAGGTTTGACATCAGATAATCTATGAAATGCCTTTGGGAGGAGGGCTGGGTAGTACAAAACTAATTTCTAACCCAAAGTTAATAAATACAGTTAAATTTTCTCAATAATGCATGGATATGCCCTATTTTTAAAATTCTCTTTCAGAACTTTCTTATAAGTTTCTGAGAAATATCCAGTTTTAAATAGAAGATCCCTGTTCAAAGTAGGAAACCAATTTTCCCACAGCTGGGTTTTTTTTTTTTTTCAATGTGGGAAATAGACTAGCGTACATGTTCTCTTTTGTTGCCCAGTTTACCTGTTGCTATACCAATACCACATTGACCCAGTTTCTTTAGCTTTATCCTTTATACTGCAGTTCTGATATTGGTTCTTCAAAATTGTCTTGGCTCTTCTTGCACTTGCCTTTCCATATTAATTTTAGGGTCAGGTCTGTTCCATAGAAAATTCCATTGGAATTTTTCTCAGAATTGCATTAAAAGTATAAATTAATGTGGAGCCTTATGAAATTGTTTTAATTAAATTTTCGTATCCATGAATATATTGTTTTCCATTTACTTAGGTATTCTTTAATGTTTTCAGATATTATTTTGTAATTTTCCCCAGAAAACTCATTTTAAAACTTTTGTGAAATTTTTTCATAGGTATCTTATATTTTTCTTACTATTATAAATGTTATATTTTTATAAAATTATATTTTCTTGTTTTATAGAGTATAAGAACAAAATTGATTTTGGAAGATTTATTATAAATCCTAATTAGTTCTAATTACTTATATGTAAATTTTGTTAGGTCCTCTATTGAATAATCTTCAAAAAATAAGATTGTTTCTTTTTTCCAATTATTATAATTTTTGTTTTTCTTTTAATATTGTGCCAAAAAGACTTCCAGTACAATGTTGAATAGAAGAGCAATATTGGACATATTTTTCTATTCTTGATTTTGAAGAGACTGCTTCTAATGTTTCATAATTAAGTGTGAAATGTATTATTGTATTTAGCATATAGCCTTTTTCAGGTTTGAAAGGCTCCTCCCTCCCTCCCTTCCTTCCTATTTTTTCTTTCTTTTTTTTCTCTCCTGCTTGCTTCCTTGCTTTCTCTTTCTTTCCTTCCTTTCCCTTTCCTGTTTTCTTTCCCTTTCCCTTTTCAACAGTTTCTTACTCTGTCTCCCAGGCTGGAGTGCAGTGGCACAATCATAGCTTACTGCAGCCTCAACTTTCTAGACTCAAGCTATCCTCTCACCTCACCCTCCTGAGTAGTTGGGACTACAGGTGTGGGCCACTAAACCCAGCTAATTTTTTAATTTTTTGTAGAGACAGTGTTTTGCCATGTTGTGCAGGCTAGTTTTGGACTCCTGGGCTCAAGTGATCTTCCTGCCTCCTGAAGTGCTGGGAATATACCGCACCTGGCTGCCTTCTATTTCTTGTTTAAGGCTTTGGTATTTCTTTTGTCCTGAAGTGGTGTTGGAATTTATTGGAAAAAAAAATTTTTTTGGTAATGACTGAATTGATCAGATAGGTCTCATCTGTTGCGCCAGAGAAATTGTCTAATGTCAAACTGTGCTTGTAATTTCTAGTATAATCTCAATTTGGTTGTAATACATAATTTTATATTTGTTGCAATAGCTTGATTGATATTTTATTGAGGATTTTTGCATTTATGTTTATGTGTAAGATTGGCCTATAATTTTTATTTTTTGTAATATTCATGTTTGGTTTTTGTGTCAGTTATATTAGTTTTATAAAATAAACCTGAGGGGCATTCCATCTTTAGTAATTCTTTAGAAGAATTTGAATAAGCCTAATTATTTGGATATATGGCAGATTTCACAATAAAACTATTCTATGTGTGCATGGGAGAGACAGAATTAGAGCAAGAGATAGAGAGCAAGTTGCAGTAGATACATAATTCTGATGTAATTCATTTAATGGCTATAGCAACATTTGAGTTTTTGTTCTTATAAAGAATAACATAAAGATAATAGCTTTATACCTTTATAAAAGCTGTATATTATTTGTTACCATAAAGCTCCATCTTTTAAATTACATAATTTGGTGGTTTTTATTTGCAGAGTTGCCCATTTTTAAATTGAATTATTTGTCTTTTTATTGTCGAATTGTTAAGAGTTTTATATATATTTTGTATACAAGTCTCTTATCAGATATATGATTCATAACATATTTTCTTCTATTCTGTGGGTTTTTTCACTTTTTTAATGGTATCTTTTGAAGCACCTAAGTTTTTCATTTTGATAAAGTCTAATTTATTCATTTTTTTCTTTTGTCACTTGTGCTTATGATGTCATGTCTAAGAAACCATTGCTTAATCCAAGATCACAAATATTTGCTCCTATGTTTTCTTATGAGAAAGAAAACATATACATATAAAATGTTGTCAAACATTTTATAGTTCTAGCTCTTACACTTAGGTTTGATACATTTTGAGTTAATTTTTATATATGATAGGAAGTGAGAGTTCCTTTTTTGCATTTGCTTATCCATTTGTTCTAGCACTATTTGTTGAAGAGTATTGTTTCCTCCGCTAAACTGTCTTGGCACTCTTATCAAAATAAACTGATCATAATTTTAAGAAATTATTTCTGGACGCTTAATTTTGAATAGATGATCCATAATGTCTATTTCATATGTCTTACCCCAAGGACTAAAATATATTCGTCTGTATTTTGTACTAGATTTTTAAAATATATAACATTTTCTTAAACTATCCAGTTATGTTTTTTAAAAATATAAGGTAGAGTTTCAATTTCATCTTTTTCCATAGAGATAACAATTTTTCCCATCTGAATGCCTGAATTTCCTACTGATCTTACATGCCAACTCTCCCATGTACCACATTTTCATATGCATGTGGGTCTGTTTCTAGGCTCTGTTCTATCATTCACTCATCTATTGCTGTACCAATACCACACTGTCTTTAATTATTATAGCTTCATAGTAGGTCCTAAAATCTGGTGGGGTAAGTCTTCTCTCCTTGCTCCCTTTAAGAGTGCTTTGGCTGTCCTGGGCTCTTTGCTTTTTCATATAACTTTTAGAATCATCTTATTTAATTCTACAAAAATTCCTATTAGGCTTATAAAGTTTGAATTGCATTGAATCTATAGATTAACCTGGAAAGAATTCACATATTTATGATATTGGGTCTTCTAAACCATGAACGTGATATATTTCTCCATGAATTTAGGTCATTTTAGAAACATCTTTTAATATGCTTTTATAATTTTCTCCATTGAATTTTCACATATCTTTTGTTAGATTTATTCCTAGCCATTTGATATTCTCTGAGGTCACTGCAAATTGAATATTTTATTTAATTATGTTTGTAGTTTTTTGCTGATATGTAGAAATTAAACTGACTTTCATATGTTAATATTATATTCAGCCAATTTGCTATACTCTCCTATTAATCAAAATTTGTAGAATTTTTATTTTTATGTAAATAATCATAACATCTGCAATAATAAGAAGATTACATTTGAACAAAGATATGAAATATGCAAAGAAATAAACTATATGAATATCTGGAGAAGAACATACCAGGCAGAAGAAAGAAAAAATACAAAGGGTTTAAAGCAGGAACATGACTGATATGTTCAAGGAATATCAAGGAAGTTAGAGTTTCTGGAATGCTGTGAGCAAGCAGGAAAGTGATAGAAGATAAGACCAGAGGTATTGGCCAGATTATGTTAGGCCTTGTAGACCCCTGAAAGGACTTAGGTTTTCACTCTGACTTGGACATCTGATGGAGGGTTTTGAGCAAAGGAGTGACGTGATCTGAGTTATTCTTGCTACTCTGTTGAGAATAGAATATAAGGGTCAAGGACTAAAGCAAAGAGGTGTGATAAGGGGTCATTGCAGTAATCCAGATGAGATGATGGAGGCTTAGACCAAGGTGGTAGTGGGGAGAGGTGGGGAGAAGTGGCTAGATTCTGGATGTATTTTGACGATAGAACCAGCAGGATTTGCTAACAGACTGGGTATTGCTTAAGAGAAAGAAAAAAGCATCAAGGATGATTCCAAGTTTTTTGGTTTGAGCAATTGGAAGAGTAGAGTTTCCGTTAGTAAAGAATGTTATTGAAGAAGTGGGAGATCAGTTCATACAGTATCTTCTTTGTAAGGCATATGAAAGAAATTTAAGAACTTGCTTTGTTAGTTTTTTTGTTTGTTTCTATCTAACGGGAGCTGCAAGTTGTGAAGCTGATTGCATTGCATGCTAGAAAATGAAGAACATTTGTGTCCTTTGTAGCAAAGGTATAGCTATCTAAAATTTGTGTGTTTTTTATATTGACTTCATTCACATTTGGCCTTTGTCTTTTTTCACTATTTCTAATTTATTCTCTTATATGTTATATATCCTTGTATACCTCCTTAAAACCTTTTTAGAACAGGCAGAGTCTGAATTAATAAAAATAAGTTGTTTGTATTGTTTGCTGGCAAAAATGAAATGTAGGCAATAGTATTAATTTTTAAAAACCACGTTAAAGTTTAAACTTAGATCATCTTGAACTATAAATATGTGTTTTTGTGAGTTTACACACACAGTTTTGAGTGCCTGCTGAGTTCCTACAACTGTATCATCCATTCAGCAAATTCAGTGAATAGTGCTGTTCTAGGCACTTGATACATCAGTTAATGAACCTACCATCAGGGAGCTTGCATTCTCCTGGGGAGGATACTGACAAACAGCACATGTAGTAGATTAGTAAATTATACAGTATGTTAGAAGGTAATACATGCTATGGGAAAAGAAAAAAGCATTATGAGGGAGGTTAGAGATGAAGGGAATGTGGGGATTGAGGTATTAGAGTGGTCTGGATGGGCCACATTGAGAAAATGAAATTGGAGCAGAGACTTGAAGGAGGTGAGGGCGTGAGTTATGTGGCTGTCTAAGGAAACGGCGTTTCATTAAAGGGAACAGCAAGTGGAGGTTCCGAGGTAGGCACGTGATTAGAATATTGAAGGAGCAGCTAGGTGACCTGTGTGTATTTGAATAAGAAGAGTAGTAGGAAATGAGATCAAAGAGGTAACGAGATCGTGGGCAAATTGCGCAGGGACTTGTAGACTTCTGTTAGGACTGGAGCTTTTTCTGAGTGAAAGCACGTGCCACTGCAGAGTTTCAAGCATAAGAGGGGCATGATTTGACTTGCATTTTAAAAGGAATGCTCTGGCTATTATACTTAACTTTCAAAGGAGTTGATGATTATTTCTGCGATTTTAGGTATATTACAGCTAATACTGACACAGAAGAACAGAGTTTTCCAGTCCCTAAGGCATTTAACACACGTGTAGAGGAATTAAATTTAGATGTCCTTCTTCAGAAGGTAGATCATTTACGTATGAGTGAGTCTGGCAAGTCGGAGAGTTTTGAACTACTTCGTGACCACAAAGAAAAGGTAAGAGACATAACAATAGCACTTCGTATAGTTCCATTTTTTAATTTAATCTGCCATCTGTTTCAGTTATAACTATAATAATTGTGTCATGGTTCCCACATTTTGATGATTGATGTAAAATTTCTCTATAAAATGACTAAAATTTTTTAAAATTTATTTTTTATTTAAGATGCATAAAATTTTAAAAAAGTAAATGTAAAAGTTTATTAGACTCTAAGGTCATAAAAATGAGAACCAGAGCTATAATTACGCAGATTTACTTTTATTTGATTTTTTTTTTTTACTAATTTATATATTTAACAAATATTTTGAGACAGATATGGGTATTCAAAGCTATTTCTACCAATGGTCATTTGTTGATTTTGCAGTGTTTAGTGTTGGGTCTGAATAAGAAAAGCCTGTCCAGAGCTCTTACCACCACCACTAAAAAAAATAAAATAAAATAAAATAAAATTAAAAATTAAAAGTTTGCAGTGTCCCATGGAGAAATAAATCTCTATTTGTCTGAGGATTTAGCAACTCTAAACACATTGTCTAAAACTTGATAGCTCTCCAGGATTATATTTAGGTAATTTGAGTAAAAAAAGTGACTGCTCTTTTGAGTATATGCATTTTCAATTTACAGATATTAACTGAGATGCTCATTATATTGATAATAGATAACTTGGAAAGGAAAAGAAGAAAAGGATGCCACAGCTCAGGAAGAATTTCTAGATTTTGGTGCCTATCAAATCTCTTCTCTGCATAGATGGAGCTAGTGTCTGGATAATATTAATTGGTTTTAAGATCCAAATGTAACACTACATTAGGTCATATTTCTTAGCCATGAGTATTTGGATTAAAAATGTTTCACACGAAATATGCATATACATAGATTCAATAATCTATAAATACCAGTTTACCTGCCTAAGTTTTTAAAAAGTTGCAGTAGAAAACAAGAATAGAATAGACAAGTTACCAAGTTAATTTAACAGGCAACTCCATCTTTTCTTTTCAGTTTAGAGATGAAATAGAGTTTATGTGGCGATTTGCTCGTGCTTATGGAGACATGTATGAACTATCTACAAACACACAAGAAAAGAAACATTATGCTAATATTGGTAAGCATTTTGTAAAGATTATTCTCAAGTAGCAATTAAGATCTATAGTAAATCATGCAGCCGTAAAAAAGGATGAGTTCATGTCCTTTGCAGGGACATGGATGAAGCTGGAAACCATCATTCTCAGCAAACTAACACAAGAACAGAAAACCAAACACTGCATGTTCTCACTCATAAGTGGGAGTTGAACAATGAGAATACATGGACACAGGGAGGGGAACATCACACAACAGGGCCTGTCTTGGGGTGGGAGGCTAGGGGAGGGATAGCATTAGGAGAAATACCTAATGTAGATGTCGGGTTGATGGGTGCAGAAAACCACCGTGGCACGTGTATACCTATGACCTGCATGTTTTGCACATGTATGCAAGAACTTAAAGTGTAATAAAAAAAAAGATCTATAGTAAATCACTAGTGAATGTTAACTAAAGCTAAATTATCTTAGCTAAAACCAGTATGTTTAATCTATTTTAATATATTATGGTACAAAAAAATGTACACTCTCAGAACAGAAAGGCATTTTAGGGCTAAAGTATATGTTCTTCAGAAATATTTGAATATATTAGAATAGGTAACTGAAAAAAACTTAAATTTCATCTTTTAACTTTATAAAACTTAGACAAGAAATGTAGTGGCAGTGTTTGAGAAACAATAACAGGCAGAGGACAAGTGTCTTCAGCAGTTGTCAACCACAGTTAAAGTAACACATCTTACTTCCTGTAATGTAGAACTCTAGGGACTACGAAGAATAAACTCGCAGACTTTAATGTTTTTTCCAAATGTATCTTGATGAAACAAGATTAACCTTGTTAAAAACTCTGTTTGATAATTGTCTAAGCTGAATGATGATTACATGTTGGTTCATTATTCTGACATCTATACTTTTCTACAAGTTTTTGAAATTTTTCATCACAACAAGAACAACTAAATAGATAGAATATCAAACTGTTATTTTTATACCTCACCTTGACTCTTACTGGATGTCAAAATGTGTCCTTGCAAAAGCCCCTACCTGCCATCTCTCTGAATGTCAGCATAGTACTTTGACATCAAAATCTTTTGAATTCTTCATTTATTCCGAAGGCTTCTCATTTCCAGGCTTTTCTTCTAGAAAAGATAGCAAGAGGAAGACACAGCAAGAAAGATTTCTTCCCAGTCTAGTTCTCTGTAATTTTTATTTCCAAGTAGAAAGTTTTACCAAACTCCTTGTAATTATATTTTTCCACTTGGAGATTCATTTGCTGAATGACCTCTGTGCTTTCGTTTCCCCCAGTGGGAGGAGGATGAGAGGGCTTCCCCCTCTTGTTTGCATATTCATCATCAGCTTTGTGGAGTTTTTCTGTAGCATTCCAGTTTGCAGACCATATACAAAACAGAATTCTAGAGAAGAGATGTATTAATTTCAACATAAATAAAAACTTAACCAAGGAGAACAAGGGGATTTATTTTCATATCTACTGAGAAAATCCAAGTATATCTATGTAAAGTGTTCCAACATTCATCAATATTAAATACATTTTTTTCTTTTTTTTTTTAAATTTTTTTAGTATTTATTGATCATTCTTGGGTGTTTCTCGGAGAGGGGGATTTGGCAGGGTCACAGGACAATAGTGGAGGGAAGGTCAGCAGATAAACATGTGAACAAAGGTCTCTGGTTTTCCTAGGCAGAGGGCCCTGCCGCCTTCTGCAGTGTTTGTGTCCCTGGGTACTTCAGATTAGGGAGTGGTGATGACTCTGAACGAGCATGCTGCCTTCAAGCATCTGTTTAACAAAGCACATCTTGCACCGCCCTTAATCCATTTAACCCTTAGTGGACACAGCATATGTTTCAGAGAGCACAGGGTTGGGGGTAAGGTTATAGATTAACAGCATCCCAAGGCAGAAGAATTTTTTAGTACAGAACAAAATGGAGTCTCCTATGTCTACTTCTTTCTACACACAGTAACAATCTGATCTCTCTTTCTTTTCCCCACATTTCCCCCTTTTCTATTCGACAAAACCGCCATCGTCATCATGGCCCGTTCTCAACGAGCTGTTGGGTACACCTCCCAGACGGGGTGGTGGCCGGGCAGAGGGGCTCCTCACTTCCCAGACGGGTCGGCCGGGCAGAGGCGCCCCCACCTCCCAGACGGGGCGGCTGGCTGGGCGGGGGCTGCCCCCACCTCCCGGACGGGGCGGCTGCCGGGCGGAGACGCGCCTCACTTCCCGGATGGGGCGGCTGCCAGGCGGAGGGGCTCCTCAGTTCCCAGATGGGGCGGCTGCTGGGCGGAGGGGCTCCTCACTTCTCAGACCGGGCGGCCGCTCAGAGACCTCCTCACCTCCCAGACGGGGTGCCAGTGGGGCAGAGACACTCCTCAATTCCCAGACGGGGTCGCGGCCGGGTAGAGGCGCTCTTCACATCTCAGATGGGGCGGCGGGGCAGAGGCGCTCCCCACATCCCAGACGATGGGTGGCCGGGCAGAGACGCTCCTCACTTCCTAGATGGGATGATGGCCGGGAAGAGGCGCTCCTCAGTTCCCAGACTGGGCGGCCGGGCAGAGGGGCTCCTCACATCCCGGACGATGGGCGGCCAGGCAGAGACGCTCCTCACTTCCTAGATGGGGTGGCGGCCGGGCAGAGGCTGCAATCTCGACACTTTGGGAGGCCAAGGCAGGCGGCTGGGAGGTGGAGACTGTAGTGAGCCGAGATCACGCCACTGCACTCCAGCCTGGGCAACATTGAGCACTGAGTGAGTGAGACTCTGTCTGCAATCCCGACACCTCGGGAGGCCGAGGCTGGCAGATCACTCGCGATCAGGAGCTAGAGACCAGCCCGGCCAACACGGTGAAACCCCGTCTCCACCAAAAAATACGAAAACCAGTCAGGCGTGGTGATGCGTGCCTGCAATCGCAGGTACTTGGCAGGCTGAGGCAGGAGAATCAGGCAGGGAGGTTGCAGTGAGTCGAGATGGCGGCAGTACAGTCCAGCCTGGGCTCGGCATCAGAGGGAGACCGTGCAAAGGGGAGGGGGGAGAGGGAGGGGGAGGGAGAGGGAAAGGTAAATACATTTTTTTCATAAGTACCTGCCCTACCCTGGGTATTATGTACTAAGGTAGGAATAGGATAGCAAAATAGACATGTTTTCAGGCTACAGGGGAGCTTATGGCTTTGTAGGGGAGGCAGCACTAGTCAAATAATCATACATATACAAAAACGAATGGAAATAAGCTCTTATTAAAGAAGAGTACAGAGGCTGGATGTAGTGGCTCATGCCTGTAATCCCAGCACTTTGGGAGGCCAAGGCGGGCAGATAGCTTGAGCTCAGAAGCCCGAGACCAGCCTGGGCAACATAGGGAGACCTTGTCTCTACTAAAAATAACACGACTGAGGTGGGAGGATCGTTTGAGTCCAAGAGATCAAAGCCACAGTGAGCCATGATCTCACCACTGCACTGCAGAGTGGGTAACAGAGCAAGACCCTTTCTCAGATAGATAGATAGATAGATAGATAGATAGATAGATAGAGAACAGGCTGTTTGCGAGCATATGTAGCAGAAAGGAGAATATGATGGCAGAGGATGGAGGTTGATGCAGGGAAGTCTTTCTTATGGAAGTTACAGTTTGCCATAGGTAAAATCGCTCTGGATCTCTATTCTTAAATGGAATGGGAGTTTAACTGAGTTAATGTCTTAGATGGTGAAATTCGTAAAGAAATAGGTTGAAGGGAATTCAGGGGCTAAAATGAAGCATAGAATTGAAATAGGATATATCCAAAAGAGAAGAGTTTATAGTGCCAAAGAAAAAGGAGTAGAAAAAGCCTCCGATGTGTTCATTCAGATATTGAAATAAAAGTAAAAGAATTCCTTTAATTTATCCATTTAAGAAATATTTATTCAAAATTATTTTGTCAAGGAACAGTGTGAAAACGAAGGGTGGAGGGAAGGGGAGGAGGGAGAGAAGGAGAGGCATAAATAAGATGAAGGCTGCACAACACTACGGAACCTATTCTATGGAAAAGATAATAAAGGGACAGCCAATTATATTCAGTGTATAAGGAGTAAGTGCTTAGTAATGGTAATGACCAAGTATACTGGAACTGAGAGCAAGGCAGGGGCTCAGACCAGCCGTGGAAGAACGTTGGGGTTCAGCATGAGGGAGGAAGTGCAGAAGATTTCTTCTCATAATAGCATGTTTAAGGTTGTTATGCTTAGTACAGATTTGATCACTGGAGAGTACAAAATTCTTTGATAAAACTCAAAGTGAGTATATCATTATGCAGTATGTTTCTGAAGTATTATGATATGAATCTTTATTTAAAGAAACATTTTTCTAACTTTCCTAATTAAGTAATCGATATGAATGCATCATAAAGATCACAAAATACAGTTCTCTAAAGGAAATAGCTTTACTTTTATTCTGACTGCATAAGTGAGGCTATGAATCTAGTTTGTATACTACCCGGCGTCTTTTTATATTCTTGGAGTGATGGAATCACTTCTATTTCAGGCTTCTGGCAGTACGCTGAAAGTTTTATTCATTTGGTAATGTAGCTAAAAAATTGATTTAGTTTTTAATGTTTTTACATTAAAAAGCATGTTTTTAATCATTCATTTAAAATTGCTAATTTCTTTAATATTTGTTCACACTGCAGTTAATTATTATTAAAATGCTTCACTTTTTAATTGTTTCCAATTTATGTCGATTTCTACACAGAATATTTATCTTAATGGATAGAACTGTAGAATGCCACCTTAACAAATTAACAAATAGAACCGTGGTTTTAGAATAAAATATTTTTATTTATAAAGATTATCTCAACCACTTATTTAGAAAAGCATTTTGCATATCCTTGGATAGTCTCTTCAAGATAATAATAATGGATCAGGGAGAAAAGAAGTTATAAAACAAAAGGGCCCCTTTTGAGAAAGATTCTCAGAACACAGTTCTGTTTTATTTGCAGGTATTTAGATTTTCCAAGCCATAAACAAACCTCTATCCAAATTATTATTATTTTTGGTTTTTTTTTATTTGAGACAGAGTCTCGCTCTGTCCCCCAGGCTGGAGTGCAATGGCGCAATCTCAGCACGCTGCAACCTCTGCCTCCTGGGATCAAGTGATTCTCCTGCCTCAGCCTCCTGAGTAGCTGGGATTACAGGCATGCACCACCACGCCCAGCTAATTTTTGTGTTTTTAGTAGAGACAGGGTTTCGCCATGTTGGCCAGATTGGTCTCGAATTCCTGACCTCAGGTGATCCACCTGCCTCGGCCTCCCAAAGTGCTAGGATTACAGGTGTGAGCCACCAGGTCCAGCCCCAAATTAATTATTACATGGTTAAAAATTCCTCTAAAACTAAGTAAAATAATTTGGGGGAATTATTTATGTCACTGGCCCTGTTCATTATTGTGAATGATTAGGCAAGAACTTCTCAGGGAAGCCTTCCCTTACTCCTTCAGGCAGAGTTAGAGTTACCCACTCTGCTGTGCCCTCTTTTTCACCTTGGTCTTTTTTTTTTTCTTGCATGTAACTTACTTGTTTATATGCCTGCAGCATACTGAACGGTGAGCTCTTGGAGGTCAAGGACTCTGTCTTATTTTACATTTTATTCCCAGACACTCACACAGTATGGCACATAGTAGGTACTCAGTAAATGTTGTTTGAATGGAATACAGAAAATTTCTATTACGCTTTGTAAGCAGTAATTAAATGACGTTTCTTGCACTTGGTTAAGTTGCTTAGTCTAGTGGGTGTCAAACCTTAGCATACATCAGAATCATTGGAGGCTCA
This sequence comes from Homo sapiens, assembly GCF_000001405.40. NCBI lineage: Eukaryota > Metazoa > Chordata > Mammalia > Primates > Hominidae > Homo > Homo sapiens. The sequence continues at coordinate 37,981,077 of NC_000002.12, forward strand.
TTAAACCACAGATTATTGGGCCCCAATCCCACAGTGTGTGATGGAGTAGATCTCCAATGTGGCTGAAAAGTTCTTAAACAAAGTTGCCATGTGATGCTGATGCTTCTGGTCTTGGGACCATACTTTGTGAACCATGAGTTAATTCAATAATCCACCTCCTACCAACTCACATGAAGGTATTAAGTGTAAGTACTTTTATCTTTCAGGAAAAACTTTAAGTGAAAGAGCTATTAATAGAGCACCCATGAATGGACATTGTCATCTGTGGTAAGTGTATAGGATTTATGCAGTCTTTTAAATTCTAACCTGCCTCTTTATAAATTAAATGGATTTTTCAAAATACTATTGACTCATACGTTTAATCTGTCAGTCACATTCACTGAAAAATATGTATAATAGCACAGTAACTGTTCTTATTCTGTTTATTCACATTTTTATTATGCAGCCTTGAAATATATTTAAGGGAAACTTTTATTGAAAAATTATTGAATGAATCTACCAAGTCTACTGGCTTTGAAGATGATACGTTATAATTAAATCTAGTTCAGTATAACATTTTGCTTGAACACAAATACTAAAATGATAGCATGTTTCTAAATGAAATGTAGAAAAGCACATCAACCATTTCTTATGCATTGATGCATCGTAATATACAAATTCCACAGATCAAGGAAAAGCCATTTATGATATTAAAAGTTCAAACAAAGAGAATTTAATTAGTTAGATTGGTATAGGTAAATATCCTTAGAGCAAAAAAAAAATCATTCTTAATTGTGTTTGGACCCTTTGTATGTTTATGTAAACATTATTTTATAAATATAAATTATAAATTATAAAACAATAAGGAATATATTGTTTTAAATTATTATTCTTCCTTTTTCTTGTAGTTGCATTTTTACATTTGTTTTCTTTTTCTCTTGGTTTCTTTTTCTCTCCAGCAATACAGGTGCCCCAGATAGTGGGAAGATACAATAATAAATGTATGACCCTTTCTTCAGCCCTAAGTTTCCAGAAATCCACCCTTCTTTGCGGTTACTTTATTTCCCATCCCTATGATGTAGGGGCACTCTTAGGCAAAATCTCTCTTAAAATGACTCCCTTTCCACAGGTCCACATTTGTCCCACAGAAGACTCATTTTTGCCCCACCAAAATCTGAAGTACAAACCATTTCCTCAAAGGAGACCTCTTTTTTCACTCTGCCACCAGCAGGGGGAGCTCCACTCACAAACTCTCACTTAAAATTCCCTGGGGAGGAATCCGGTAACATTTTATTTGTCCGAACTCAAAGGGACACATGCCAAAATATGAATAGACTTTTTGATGCTGCCCTCACATAGCTTTAGATGAGATGCAAGCCTAGCCCCTGCCCTCTGTCATGAGAGAGTGGAAGGCAGAACCCACAGCACCCTAACCCTGTAGAAATCCTCACTCCCAGTCTCTTCCTCCCTCTGGTGAATTATTTTCCTTATCTTACGTAGCCTGGAGAAGAGTGAAGGGCTAAATCTGGCAGAACCTGTGAATAATTTCTTAGTGTGTCGCGGATGGATAGTAGAGAATCTTGCTTTAGGGATTGGAGTACCTAATAGATAAAGTATTGTTTTGTACTCGGTGCCTCTGCCAAAATTCTAGGGAAAAAGGTAATTTTTCAGGTAACAATTTGGTACAGACTTAAGATCATTTCCCTAGAACAGAGGGTCTTGGCAATTATTTATGTTAGCCAGGTTTACCTAGATAATCTAATTTACATAATAACACTAGTAAATTAACATATATGTTAAAGTACTTCTGTTCCTACGTTTAGTAGTAACTGTAATGAATTTGTGGTGATCAAGCCCTACTCTCTCTCTTCATCGCGTTTGATAATGGAGGTATTTGGGAACTGGTTAGCCTAATTAGGATGCAGAAAGAACACCGAAGTCCTACTTTTAACTCTCAACTCCTCCTCCTCCTCCCCTACTCTTCCTGTCTCTTACCTCTGACTCCTCTGTTCCCTCCCCTCCTCTTCCTTCTCTTCTTTCTCTCCCTCGTCTATTGCTCTTCCTTTCCCATCCTCTGTCCTCTTCCTTCTCTCCCACATGCATCTGTACCCATGAAGAATCACATTAAAAATGTGCATTTGGTGTAAATCGTCAATTTGAGGTTATTTATCAGTGTGGGTTTCCAAATTTTCATAGAGGAGCAATGTTGAATTTGAATTTTCTCTGAGGGCTTCATTAAGTACCTTGAAATGTATCTTGTGAGCATAGATGATGCTGAACTCTGGGTTTCCCAGTCTGTCTTCCACTAATCTGGTTACATCTCCTTTGTTCATCTTCTTTTACTTTTTGTTGAGAACTAAATGCCTTGTCTTGTTTATAATCATAGCATTTAACCCCAGTATTAAATCTTATCAAAACACAGAGTAGTGATTCAATTGTGTTTCACCTAATTTCTTATTCAGTATCAGTTTTGAATTAAAAAAATAAAATTAATCAGTTGATTAAGATTTGAGAAATTTAAATGTCAATTTAATCTTAATTCTTATACTATATCCCACTGAATGCAAAAGTCCTCCTTAAATTAAATAGTAGATGTTTGAGGGGATGAAAAAAGAAATTTAAACTTTGACTTGAGAAGCAATGGGTGAAATTTAGGTGGCCTGATTTTATAATTAATTATAATAAAATGTTCAAATCTTATTCTGCTGGACTCTCTTTAATTATGTTAAAACTGAATTAAGGCTGAATTTATTAGTATGATAATAAGACATATTCTCATTCATTCAGCATGAATGACAAACTATAGCCTGCAGATGAATTTGACTGCCTGTTTTTGTAAATAAAGTTTTATTGGATCACAGCCACACACAGGCATTTTTGCACAGCAGCAGAGTAGTTGCAAAAGACTGGCCCCAAAGTCTAAAATGTTTACTATCTGGCCCTACTGCAAGAGTTTGCAGACCCATCGTTTACAGTATTATATGATGGTTTACAAACCTTCAGTTTGAAACAAAAGATGTAATCTTTAAGAATAAATTTCAAAAAGGGTTAGTATGATTTGGGAATGATTGAAAAATACAGATCATTCTAATGACTTAGTTTTATCTCTATCTTTTCTAAAATGAAATGACTTTGTAACTTTAAGGCTGTATATGCTTTCTATAAGATTCAGTTGTTTTTGTTCTACTGACAAAAAATATTTAATACTCCTGGAATCAAGAGAATGAGAATAAAGTGACCAATGGATTTGCAGTTTGTTGGCCAAATAAGCCAGACCTTAATTATAAGTAATGTCTTACATATTGGTTGTGCTCTACCCTTTGCAAATTATATCCACATGTCTTAGAACATGTGATTTACAGAGCAGCTTGTTTTCACTTTATAGATGGGGTAAGCAAGGTACTGTGTGTATGTGTGCATGCACGCATGAATGTGTGTATTGATTAGTAATCAGAGCAATACAACAAGTGGAAAAACAGAAACTAGAACCCAGTTTTGTATTCTTATATGCCTAGTCATTTTTCTGTTAACAGTATGCTGCCTCTGCTTTTTCATAGTATAAACAGCATTGGTGCTGAATGAGAAATACTGCAGGGAAATTAATGGAGTTGTTTTAGTAGTTGTTGAAACAGTATGATAGTCAATGATTAAGGATATATTCACTATCAATGCAAAGAAAAATACAGTGTTCTTGTCAAAACATATGTAGTTAGAATGACCTCTAGATGGAGGTAATATACCATGTTGTGAATTAACTTTTTTCAGAATTTCCATCAGCCTGAGTATTTGAGAAAAAAAAATAAAATTAAGTATTTTAAATGAACAGTATTAAAAAATCAGATACACACACAAACATAGGTAGAATGGATTGAAAGAAAAGAAGTAATGACCCTTTGGGAGAAAGTGACCAGGTAGCTTTGAATTTATGATACATAAAATGATAGATAATATTTTAAACTTTAAAGAAGCAGATTCCAAAAAAATATGAAAAATGTAACTCTAGGGGCAGATTATTTAAAAGGGAAAATGTACATATTTCATATTATGGTATTTATAAATCATGGGGTTTTTTTTCCCTTGACTCAGAGTAACTTGGAGAGAATATGTTGAGAGAGCAAAATAAAAGCCTAGAGATATCCATAAGTAGTTCTGATTTGCAGAAAATAGCAGAAGATAGATTCTACCACTATAGACCAGTGAACATAGCATCTATGCTTTTCATTCCAGCACGGTTAGATGGGTTGTTTTGTGCATCTCTAGATAAGTGTGTACGCTGAAAGAGAACCAAGACAGATTTTTCTAAAAAGGTGAAATGATCTGTTTTTTATTTATTTATTTATTTATTTTGCTAGTAGAGTAGGGAAATCAATCCAGTATACCTGGATTGAAGTAAAGCACTGAGGCAAGTTCACTCATAACATTTTTTGGACAAGATGTAGAAATGTGGTCAAGCTTTGAGTCAGCTAACCCATGCTGACTAAACGGTTTGAGGCTCAGTTATGCAACAGATCACTGTCAATCTGGGGGTGATTCTAGGGCCAGGTCTGTATCTTGGTCCCCAGTGTGTTCAGTAATTTTGTTGGTGGGTGAAGATATAGAAAGTATGCTTGTAAAAGTTACAGAGAACACAAAATTAGAAGTAACAGGGTATATGATGGATCACAACAGTAACTCAAAAGATTTTAACATGTTGAAAAAGATACCTAACAAGTTATGAATTAATAGAAGTAAATATGAAAGGAAGGATGGAGAGAAAGATGTCAAAAATGACTAAGGATAATAGGGAAATATGATAGAAATTTGAATAAAATATAGATTTTAGTTAATAGTGTATTAATATTGGTTCATTGTGACAATTTTGTATCAATATTGTATATCAATATTGGTACAGTTTTGACAAATGTACTGTAGTAATGTAAGATGTTAACAATAGGGAAAACTAGGTGTGGCATGTAAGGGAATTGTCTGTACTATGAGAATTTTTTTGTAAATTCAAAGCTGTTCTAAAAGTATATTTAAATAGAAAGTGGCCTAAAGTTTTAAGTCCAAATAATTTGGAAAATGATAATGCCCATGACAAAAATAGAGAGTTTGGGGAGGTAGTCATATTGAATTTGGAAGGATTAGAATTGTTCCCCAAACTGGAACTCGTTGAGAGGAAACATTGAACAGAATGGCAGAGGCCATTTCAAAATAACATGGTGAGTAGATAATTTGAATAGGCCTACTTCTATTGAAAAAATGGAATAAATAATTTATAATTTTCCAAAACAGAAAGCATCAGGACCAGACGGGGTCATTGGTAAATTCTACCAAATACTTAAGGAGAAAATTATACCAATTACATAAGATAGAAGTAGAGGGTACACTTCCTAACTCATTGTTTGAGTGTAGCATTACCCTAATACCAACATCAGACACTGGAAGGAAACTGTAGTAGGCCATTATCTCTCATGAATATAGAAGCAAAAATCTTCAATAAAATATTAGCAGATTGAATCTGACAATGTGTAAAAAGAATTATATAACCAAGTGAGATTTATTCCTGGTCTGCAAGACCAGTTCAACATTTGAAAATCAATTACTATAATCCACCACATTAACACACCAAAGCAGAAAAAAATTACATGATTATTTTAACAGACACAGAAAAAGCATTTGACAAAATCTAACACTCATTGATAGTGCAAAGAAAGAAACTCTCAGCAAACTAGCAAACTCTCAGCAAACTTTATCAAGTTGAGGAAAATTTTATCAATTTTCCTCAACTTGATAAAGAACATTTACAGGAAACATACAGCTAACATTATACTTAATGGTGAGAAACTTGCTTTCCCACCATTGAGAAACTAAGATCAGGAGCAAGGTAAGGATGTTCCCTCTTACCACTGCTTTTTAACATTATACTGAAAGTTCTAGCTAATGCCATATAACAAGAAAAGAAAATAAAAGGTATGCAGATTGGGAGGGAAGAAATAAAATTGTTTGCAAAGACAATGATATGATTGTCTTTGTAAAAAATCTAAAAAAAAAATCTCTTGGGATTAAGCAATTATAGCAAGGTTGCTAGATACAAGGTTAAGGTACAAAAGTCAATCAGTTTCCTCTATACCAGCAATGAAGAAGTGGAGTTTGAAATTAAAAACATAACACTATTTACATTAGCACCAAAAATATTGAAATACATAGATGAAAATGAACAAAGTATGTACAAGATCTCTATGAGAAACGCTTAACAAATATTCAACAGGCGAATGAATAAAACTATGGTATATCCATTCAATGAAAAATTACTCAGGGCTAAACAGAAATGAGCTATCAAGGCCATGAAAAGATGTGGAGGAACCTTAAATACATATTACTAAGTAAAAGAAGGCAATCTGAAAAGGCAATATACTATATGGTTCCAACTATATGACATTCTGGGAAAGACCAAACTATGGAGACAGTAAAAGGATCAGTGGTTGCCAGGGGTTGCGGGGAGGGAGGGATGAATAAGCAGAACACAGAGGATTTTTATAGGAAGTAAAACTTTTATGTAACACATTACAACAGTATACACATGTCATTATACATTTGTCAAAACCCATAGAATATTAAACACCAAGTACAAACCATATTGTAAACTACGGACTTTGGATGTTACTGATGTGTCAGTGTAGTTTCATCAGTTTTAACAAATGTACCACTGTGAAGTGGGATGTTAATAGTGGGGGAAGTTGGCCAGGCACAGTGGCTCTTGCCTGTAATCCCAGCGCTTTGGGAGGTCGAGGTGGGCAGATCACCTGAGGTCAGGAGTTCGAGACCAGTCTGGCCAACATGGTGAAATCCCATCTCTACTAAAAATACAAAAATTAGCCAGGCATGGTGGCACATGCCTGTAGTCCCAGCTACTCAGGAAGCTGAAGCATGAGAATTGCTTGAACCTGGGAGGCAGAGGTTGCAGTGAGCCAAGATTGCACCACTGCACTCCAGACTGGGCGATAGAGCATGTCTTCATCTCTAAATAAATAAATAATAGTGGGGGCTATAATGTAGGGGCTAGGATAGGAGATATATGGGAATCCTCCATACTTTCTGCTCAGTTTTGCTGAGAACCTAAAAGTGCTCCAAAACATAGTTTATTAATTTTTTAAATAAAAGAACATAGGCCTGAGGCAACAATAAGTTTTTATAAAGCAGTTTGAGAGTCATTTTCTGTTAATCTGCTTTTCTTGAATTTGAAATCTCTGGAAAGATTTATTGTGGATCTAGAGAGGTACATGAAATTCAGTCTGATTTTAGAACTCGTGAGTAGTAGTGTATCCTAATCTAGTTAAGTTCTGAGGTTGTTTTTAGTACGTTGATATGGTCCTCCTCCTTGCTTTTACTATAGCAGATTCTGTTGATTATACAGAAACTGAAAACAGAGATCAAAAAGGTCATAACTGAAAAGTGGCCATTTTATTGGTTGTCCATATGTGGTATGAATTAAGTTATCGTTTGTGTCTAGGAATGGTCTTACTGTTCCAAATTAAAATTATTCACTGTTTTTTTGTACTTGGAAGTTATGGATATTCATAGAAATGGCTGAGATAAATAACATCCAAAGTTACATTTTTCATCTTAGTTACTATGACAATGCAAGTAAAAATTAACACCTACTCGAAATATTTAAGTAAATGGATATTTTACCTTAGACAAAAACACTCTGAAATACTTCAAAGATTTTTGTACAGGTAGAAACACTCTGAATGTGAAAAGCAACATATCTTCAATTTTTCCAGTAAATAAGCAAATTGCTGAACAAATATTGCATGCAACTTAAAGTCAAATAACTATTTGTATAAATTTTTGTATTCTCAGTGGAAACAAATAAATGACCCATGGGATGCACTATTCTAGCAATGAAGTGTTTCCAGGAAGGGTTGAAGGAGAAGGGGAAATTTTTTGAAAAAGCATACTCTAAAATTACCTTTGATTTTGTTTTAATCGTGGTATTTATTTGCATATTTATTGGTATTAAAGGAGCTCATGAAATTGTAAGTTTTTTAAAGGAGGGAATGAATTTTTTAAGTTGACTTTAACAGTATTTTTAATGTTATAAATCTGTTGACAATATTTTTTCTAATTTAATGCTTAATGTGATTAGACTTTTTCTGAGAGTTTCTTCATGACTTTAATATTGATGATGATGATAGCGGCAGGTAACATTTATTGAAAGTCCTTATGTCCTGGTCACTGTTCTAATCACACTACCTGTTTTGGCTTATTTTACCCTCACAGTATACATGTAAATATTGTTAGTATCCCCAGTTATAGATGAGAAAACTGGCCTCATGTTAATGTCAAGTATTTATTATTGTTAGGGCCCTTATATTTATATGAATACTCCTGTTAAATATGAATGAATGCTTTAGAGTTTCTTTTAATGTTATGTTTTGGTGGCATTTTGTTAAAAATTTACACAGTGGCCACTGTTTTTGTCTGTTTTTGTCCTTTTCAGGTATGCAGTTTTGTGTGGCTATGTATCTGAGTTTGAGGGTTTACAAAACAAAATCAACTATGGGCACCTCTTCAAGGTATTTCTTTTTTTTTTTTCATATTTCTTTTCAGATCCAGACATATGGAAGGGTATTTATTAATAATAAAAATGTTTTAATGTAGCCATATGTTCCATCAATGGGTATAAACCAGATTATTCAACAGATTAAGCTCTGGGAATTTGCTTTTTTGTTTAAATGTTAGAAAATGAAATTATACTCTTTAAATAGTACTGTGACAAAAAGAATTAAATTATTTGGGTGATTAAAGATTATTATTAGTTGGCCGGGCACAGAGGCTCACGCCTGTAATCCCAGCACTTTGGGAGGCCAAGGTGGGTGGATCACGAGGTCAGGAGATTGAGACCATCCTGGCGAACACTGTGAAGCCCCATCTCTACTAAAAATACACACACACAAAAATTAGTGGTGGCGGGCGCCTATAGTCCCAGCTACTCAGGAGGCTGAGGCAGGAGAATGGCATGAACCTGGGGGGCGGAGCTTGCAGTGAGCCAGGGTCACGCCACTGCACTCCAGCCTGGGTGACAGAGTGAGACTCCGTCTGAAAAAAAAAAAAAAAAAAAATTATTATTAGTCCAGATTCTGAAAGAAGTCACGGAGTAGATGAGTATCACTTTTTCAAAGATTAAGAATTAGCCGGCCGGGTGTGGTGGCTCACACCTGTAATCACAGCACTTTGGGAGGCTGAAGCGGGCAGATTGCTTGAGGCCAGGAGTTCGAGACCAGCCTGGCCAACATGGTGAAACCCCATCTCTACTAAAAATACAAAAATTAGCCAGGCATGGTGGCGGGCGCCTGTAATCCCAGCTACTTGGGAGGCTGAAGCAGGAGAATCGCTTGAACCAGGGAGGCGGAGGTTGCAGTGAGCCATGATCATGCCACTGCACTCGAGCCTGGGCAATAGAATGAGACTCCATCTCAAAAAAAAAAAAAAAAAAAAAAAAAGGCCTTTTGGTCATAAGCTCAATAACATCTTAAGTGTGACCAGCACTAAGTAGTTAACAATCTCTGCATATTGATTTGGTGGAGGAAAAGTAGGATCCAATGTAGGATTTAAGTTTGCCATGATAGACAAATAAAGTAAGTAATACACACACACACAAAATGTAGTATTTGCCTCCATAGCTCAATACATAACCCCTCAACGTCAATAATTACAGAGATGAATAAACTGTTCTTCCCTATTTTCCAGCTCCCTATAACCATTTGATAATGCCAGAGGAATAGGTTTCTCCCCCATCTAACTCTGCTATTTTTTCTGCCATTATCCCCTATTCCATGTCATTTGATATTTGTAAGCTCACCTCAGAATCAGTAACTATTCACTAGTCAAGTCATGGGTAGGCAAACATATGACTTCGGTGTTTTCAATTTTTATAACAGTATTTTGGCTTTAAATTACACATAGCTTTATTAAATCCTAGTCACAGTTCTGGTTCTGGTTGTAAGCAATCATTTTTGGTAATTTAGTTATTGATAAGATTTCATTGTATTAATGATAGGGATGGGGAGAACTGAGACAATATTTTAAAACCACTTTTGAGTTACTAGGCTTTGGTGTAGTTCCAGTCAACAATATCTGAAACTTGGGAGATGATTTTCCTTTGGATGCTTTTTTCAGGAACATCTAGATATAGCAATCAAACTTTTACCAGAGGAACCCTTTCTATATTACCTCAAAGGGAGATACTGCTATACTGTAAGTTGAATGCCTTTATTTATAAACTTTATTTGAATATACTATGATTATAGGATAAATTTTCAATGACTTATTGTTTTATTTTTACCCAGTGCCTACTTTAGGGAGAATTATAATAGCAATAAAATTTTATTTTAATGTATAATATATATGTTAAAATTGTATCTGAATTTATAATTTATACATTATAATTTTAAAAGCTATAATCTATGTATTTTATAATTTATAAACTTGTAATTTATATATATTTGTATGTTATATGCCACATTTTATATATATGTGATCTTTTTCTTTCCTGCTTTTTCATTTCTTTTTGCAGTAGTCACGTTCCCTCCCTTTGTGGCTGTCTCAGTTTGGGATCAACAATCCACACACACACCCTGTGTCTAGGTACACTATTCACGGTTCTGTGAGAGGACTTTTTTTCATCCAGTAGTGTATACTGAGCACAAATTATGTGCTAACTAACTGGCCAGGGATGAATAAAACACTCCTTGCTTTTAAGGAACTTAATTTGGAAGGGATACGCGACATATATAGCTCAAATAAAAGCAGCTGGTCCGTGTCTTAAATGACACTATTAGTTTATAGAAAATTACAGAATGTGAAAATGTATCTTAAGAATATGTGAAAAAAATTATCGTGAAAGGACAATGCCATTTTTGAATGATAAAATTGGGGTAGGCAAAGAGATAACTTCTTCATTGCAGCTGAAAGAGAATTAGAGGTGAAGAAGGAAGTTTGCTTTTATTGAACACCTGCTCTATGCCAAATATGCATTCTGTCCTTTATATTTCTTGCTGCATTTCATCCTTAAAACAGTGCTGTGAAGCAGTTATTATTATACCAGTTTTAAAAGATTAAAAATCTGAGTCTTCATGATGTTAAGAACCTTCCCAAAGTCCCATTTAACTAGTCAATGAAAGAGGCAGCATTGAAATTGAAATTGAATTCCAAAATTTATGCTCTTTATATTGTGTTACGTACGAAGAAAACTTACATTTTGTTAAGGAAAAAGGAGTAAAGGTATATCATCTGTTTTTCTCTTTTTTTCCTGGTTGTAAGATGGCAAAGTCAAATAATAGAATGATTACAACACTCAAATTTTTATAACCTACTTAATGTTGTAAAATACACAATGATGCCTTCATTCTCTGAAATATTGCACTGTTGAGTATACTGTTAATTTGCTAAGTTTGTATTACCTTCCAACAACTCACATGTTTTACTTACTGTTTCTTTTCTGTTGATCCCAAGTTATCTGAAATCTCTTCAAGGAAAGAATGCACATTTTACACTTCCTGGTAATTTTTCTTCAGCATCTAGCTCAGTTTTTTGCACTTAAAATAAGCTGCTTCTACAAGTATTTGTTTCTTAAATGATTGATTCACTAAAACTAGAGAAAAAGTACAAAAAAAACAAAGAATAAAAAGCAGTAGTAATAATGGCTAATGTGTACGTGGCTCTTGTAAGCATTTTATGTGACTGTAAACATATATTGTAGCTCACTCACTTTTTCAAAAACCCTATAAGGTTAATAAGGTTAATAATTTGCCCAGGGTCACTCAGCTAATAAGCAGGAGAACAGGATTCAAACACAAGCAGTTTGTTTCTTTTTTTTTTCTTTTCTTTTCTTTGACCAAGTCTCGCTCTGGCACCCAGGCTGGAGTGCAGTGGCATGATCTCGGCTCACTGCAGCCTCCACCTTCTGGGTTCAAGTGATTCTCTTGACTCAGCCTCCCGAGTAGCTGGGATTACACGCGTGTGCCACCACGCTCGGGTATTTTTTTATTTTATTTTTATTTTTAGTAGAGACGGAGTTTCGCCATGTTGGCCAGGCTGGTCTCACACTCCTGGCCTCAAATGATCCACCTGCCTCGGCCTCCCAAAATGCTGGGATTACAGGCATGAACCACCGCACCTGGCCCAGGCAGTTTACTTCTAAAATCTTTGCTCTTAACTAGTAAGCTCTACTGCCTATAAATTATAAGTATAGATAATGAATATGAATTGTGGAAGAGGAAGTTGGAACTCTTTCCACCAGGGGGAATCAGCTTCCGCCAAGGTAATAAAGCAAGTATGAGCAAATGTGTAAAGAAAGTTTCCAGCATATGCAGACTAGAGAACTCAAAATTTTCTGGCCACACAATATCTTAAAGTGTGTGTTAGTCTGAAGTGTGTATGTCTGTTTCTAATCAGGTCAATGGAAGAACCTACAGAAAAAAAAAAAAATAACAATAAGGGGAACAGCCAAAGGCCAGAAACAAAGCAAGAATACCAGTTCCAAGTACTGGTAAGCCAGCCTTGAAACCACCTGATAGTCGGAGGCATTTACCAAGGCTGGTAACCTAAAGCTTAGTCTGTAGACCTTTGTTGGGACTGGGGGACTAGAGACCTGAGCAGAGCAGAGAGCAGCTTGAAGACTGCCACAATATATCTGGGACTCCAAAAGTACAATGCCTGGTGGGGGGTGGGGGGGAGATGAACTTAAATAAAATTTATTCAGCACAAGCTTACAGCAGTGAAAATTCATTTTCAGCCTTAACAATTGGGAAGATAGAGTTGAAAGGAGGAAACGCTGCTAAGATTTAAAAGCCGTTTACCCAACCTCACAAGTGTCTGGAGCTTCAATGTACATTACCTGTCTAGACTTAAAAGCTCAAGAAAGAAATTTTAATTCAAAATGGACTCTGATCTTCACACCATAGAGAAATGGCAAAAGCACATGCTAATCCTCTGTAGAGGAAGGTACCTTTAGATAGGCTTTGTCAAACTTTCACAGAAAGTGTCCCAACAATGATGAGTTCACAGTCAAAAATTATAGACTATACAAGGAAACAAGCCAACAGTAATGACAGTCAGCAGAAAACAAAACAAAAAACCAGCAGTGGACCTAAAAAGACTTCAGATTTTGGAAATGTGGGATACAGAATATTTAATATGTAGCTATAATGTGTTTTTTAAAATAAGAGGAATTGGCATCGGATAGATGAGCAGCATGAGCAAAATTCAGTGCTGCTTTCTGAAAATAAACTGTTACGGCCATGTAACAGGACAAGCTAGAAATTTCAGAAGGACTTAACAGAGCTTTTCTCTTCCTCCATGATGTCAGGCAGTCTTTATAACATTACCTATGCTAATTACAGCATGTTGTCCAACACCAATTATAGCCATAAAATTAAATTGAAAAGATGAAAACTAGAAGTGTTTCCACATATGTTTGACTGTTTTCCAGATCACATTTCAATTACTTAACAAAAGAAAGTCTGTGAGTGGTAAGCAAGCATATGAAAAGATACTGATCATCAGTAGTCATTAGAAAAATGCAAATTAAAACCACAGAGAAAGACCGCTATTTATTCACTTTTTAAAAGGGCTAAAATTTAAAAGATGACAATACCAAGTACCAGCGAGGATATAGAGCAATTGAAACTCATATGTTTCAATGGGAATATGTGAATAATAAATACATTATCAATTCCTAAGTATTCACCAAGAGAAATAAAAATATATGCTCACACAAAGACTAGCATATGAATTTTCATAGCAGCCTTAGCAGCATAACAACATGCATGACTCTTCAAAGCATTATGCCGAGAAAGCTCACAGAAGACTACCTAATTGCATTGATATGAAACTCTAGAAAAGGCAAATTATAGTCAGATCAGTATTTGTGTAGGGCTAGGAGCAGGTTAAGGAGATTGACAGCAAAGGGGTATGAGAGAACTTTTTAGGATGATGAAAATGTACTATATATTGGTTGTTGTGGCAGTTACAGGATTGTATGCATTTGTCAAAACTCGCTGAACTGTACACTTGTAATGGAGGAAATTTTATTTTATATAGATTATACCTCAGTAAAGCCAATTTAAAAAATACCTAGTGACTGAGAAACATAGAAAGTAAACATGTAGAAAAGTTATATCAAATAGTAACCAAATAAATAATAATCAAACTAAAACATATATATGGTTTCAGGCATCTGTTGGGGGTCCTGGAATATACCCCCTGAAGAAGAGGGGATGACTACTACTACTACTACTACTACTACTACTACTACTACTACTACACACACACACTCATAAATTTTAAGGCAAAAGTATATCTAGAGATAAAGAGTGTAACTATATAGTAAGTTTAATTCACAAGGAAAGTGTTTATAAACTAGTGTGCTTGTAATAACAGCCTCAGAACTATAAAATAAAAATTGACCAAATTATAAGGATAAATGTACAGATCAACCATATACTGGTATTTTCACCCACCCCTTTTAGTAATTAATGGAACAAGAAAACAAAAATGTATTAGTTTGTAAAACATTGGAGCCTCACATTTAATAAGCTTGATCTAATAAATATGAAGCCATGTGGCTAACCATTGGAGAATAGACATCTTTTCAAGCATATGCAGAATGTGTGCTAAAATGGACCATATATGAGGCTGTGAAACTAGTCTTAATACATTTCAAAGAACTGATGTCATGCAGTTTTTCTGATCATAATGCAATTAAACTAAAAATTTAAAAAACAAAATTATAGAAATGATAATGAAAACCCCAAGTAGATGCCATTTTATTCCTATTCTTTTTATAAAAATTGTAAAATCTCAGTATGAGGTGTTTCAAGGATATGTATGGAGCAGCGGGAATTATTAGATTGCTGTGGAAACATAAATCAGCGCGACTACCTTGGGAACCATTGATTAGCATCTTTTAAATTTGACTGTTTGCCTGCCATGTGATCGTGCCTACCCTACAGAGACTCACAAATGTGCTCCACTGTTGAAATGATGAAATATTTCAGTTATTTAAATGACTGAACTTCAGTCATACTCATTATCCTGGATGAAATCTTAGAATCATACCATTAAGTGAAAAAGCAAGTCATATAAGGAAATAAGCAATATATTATTTTTTACAAAGTTCAAAGCGAAGCAAAAATAAGCATACGAATAAGAAAAATTATGTCAAAAAATAAGGAAATAATTTTTAAATTAGAGGATAATGGACTGGGCAAGGTGGCTTATGCCTGTAATCCTAGCACTTTGAGAGTCTGAGGCAGGAGGATCTCTTGAGCCCAGGAGTTCAGGACCAGCCTGGACAATATAGGAAGACCCTGTCTCTACAAAAAATTTAAAAAATTAATTGAGCATGTGATGCACACCTGTAGTTCCAACTGTTCAGGAGGCTGAAGTGGGAGGATTGTTGAGCCCAGGAGGTCGAGGCTGCAGTGAGCCATGATCGTGCCGCTGTACGGTATGATCCAGCCTGAGCAACAAGGTGAGACATTGCCAAAAAAAAAAAAGAAAAAAAAAAAAAAAAAGAGGATATTGGCTACCAAGGAATCTAGGTGATGGGACTGAGAAGGAAGATAATTTATGGGGTTGGACAAGCATCAACTGGGTCAATACCCTTTTAAGTGTTCATTTTTGAGCCAGTTTAATCTTTTAGAATGAACATCTAATATTTATATTTGGGGAAAGAGCAAAACTTTTTAGAAGAAAGCAAAAAAATCAGTGGTAATATGAAATTTAGTTTTGGTGGTTACTGATTTTTTAAAAAATCTTCGGGATTGTAAATATGTATAGTGGGTCCCCATTCCCTGCTCCTTCTGGCTTGAGGATCCCTATTCTATTTACATATCTGAGATGCTACCTCTGGGTCAGGAGGCCAGTTGGCAGCATGGAGTAGGCAGGAGGAGAGCAAAGGCGGAGTCTTGTAGCCCCTGTGTGCTGTACGAAGAGATACACCGTAGTTACCTCAGAATCCAGAATCAGATGAACAAACGGGATCAGCATTATTTCCCACCCCACCCCTTTTTCCTCTGATTTGACACAAATCTTCTTATCCAGAGTATTTCAGGTTGGTTTTGAAACCAGTGCTTCTGGACCCCATGGTTCTTTAGAATTGTGAAAAAGGAAGGTAAAATATTAACATGAATACCATGAGGGTGGTATCTCTAATATATATTATTTATGGATATATGTTTTCATTTGTATATGTTATATCTATACACACACACACGTATATACACATAACACACACACGTCTAACTGGGGAGAGATAATCCATTCAAAAGGTGAACAACTTTCTAAGAGTGATGTTGTTGTGTATTTGCAGGTCTCAAAACTGAGCTGGATTGAGAAAAAAATGGCTGCTACTCTGTTTGGAAAAATACCATCTTCAACTGTACAAGAAGCTTTACACAATTTCCTTAAGGTACATTTTGTGTATCCATTATTTTAGTGTCAGACTGATTACCATCTGCACCAATCCCTGCTGCCGTTGTCAAGGAAATCTTTTCTCCATGTGGAGCCTCAGTTTGAATCCTGGTTTTGGCATGTTCTGTTTTAAGCCCCTCATAATGCAAGTTATTAATATGTTTTAAGTCTAAACTCCTTAGAACAACTAGTTATGCCCTAGGTTCTAGGAATTACAAACTACTTTTTAAAAATAACCCAGCAGCCTAAATGAAGGTTTAGGTTTGACAGCTCTTACTGCTAAGTCCAAGAACAGCTCTCTGAGTCACTTGAGCATGTGCAGAAACAGTCACGCCCTGATGGTTAAACTTAGTCCCAGTCCTCCTGATTAGCCTAACATAGAACCAGTTTAATCTTAAGGAAATAAAAGTGCTAAAGGAAGAGTTATTTTAAAAGCTAACTCCTAAAGTTGCAGACATTTCTCTGGAAGATTCTTGGGGTATCAGACCAAATCAGTATTCTCAATCCTGTCTTAAAATGTATAATCGCTGTACTATACAACTCTAAGCAGTAATATATGTGTGTGTGAGCTCACATGTAAATGTATAATATAGCCACCCATATAATCAACTTCCTGTGGGGGTAATAATCCCTTTACCTTTCTCTGGAACCAGTTTCAAAATTTTATAGTTACTAAATGTGTTTTCCTTCCCAACCTACCTACTTCAAGTTTACAAAAATACAGACAAGGCTGCATGCAGTGGCTCACCTCTGTAATCCCAACACTTTGGAAGGCCGAGGTAGGAGGATTGCTTGAGGCCAGGAGTTTGAGACCAGCCTGGGCAACATAGCAACATGCCATCTCTACAAAAAAATAAAAAAATTTGCTGGGCATGGTGGCATAACAACAGTCCCAGCTACTCAGGAGACTGAGGCAGGAGAATCACTTGAGCCCAGTAGTTCAAGGCCGCAGTGAGCCATGATCACACCACTGCACTCCAGCCTGACCAAAAGAGCATGACCTTATCTCAAAAATAATAATAATAAACGTCTTGTACATGCTAATATTTGTGCTGTATTTCAGGGAGCAGTTTTGTAGAACTGAGAGGGAATTTGTAGATCATGTAGTCTAGGTTTCTTCTCACTTTCTATCTCTCACCCCCAATGGCCAGTGGCTGCCTCAAGTGAAAAAATAAGTGTCCTGAAATCAAGCACAAGCCCAGCAGAAAAGAGTTCAAAAAATAAAAAAGAAACGGGCTGTACATTTCTTATTTTTTATGTAATGTGATCCCTTTTTTTGTTGTATAAAAAGGGAGTCAATACCTCAGGAACTTAATTTGTTGCATTTCACACAATGACAATCAAAGATTTGATTTAAATATAAGTGAAGGCTAAGACTGTATCACTCCCATTTCTTCACCCTTTTCCTACCACTGAAAATTAGTTCCCTCTTTTTAAATTGTATAAGAATGTAGATTATGATCTATTTAAGATAAAATATTTATATAAAAGATGCCACATTAACTAGCAAAAATGTTATCTGTACTCAAAACTCATTTCCTCATAATATCAAAGTTATAATTGAGGAGCAGGTTTTCAGAACACTGTAGAAAAGTTCTTGAGATGCTAATGTGCCTGAAATAATACACAGATGAAATCAAAAGTGGTAAGTAGCACAATAATGCTGAGGTAAAGAATGCAAATTTCGGAACCAGACTACCTGGTTAAATCTCAGCTCTACCACTTACCAGCTGATTAACACTGCGCAAATTGCTTAACCTCTCTCTCAGTTTCATCAATAACATGGAGATAATAGTACTTACCTCATAGTGGTGTTGTAAGGATTATCTACATTCTTACAAGTAAATTGCTTAGAGTGTGCCTAGCACCCAGTAAGTCCTCAGCAAAAACTCACGGAATTTTAATTTCATTAAAATTTAAACACCTCAGCAAACCATCTTGGGGAGCCCCGCATTAGGTCATTACTTAGACTTTAGTCTCAAAATGCCTTCCATGTTGTTTGTCAAAGAAAAGAGAGGAGGCATCAGGAATGCTTCTTGCCATATTTACTAGAACAGCTGAGAGGACTGAGGGGTCTGGAGTGCTGAGGCTAAGGCTGTGGTGGAACTAAGAAATCTGGGAAGTGGAGGAGATGAAAGGGAAACAGCACAGACCCTGGCTCCCACACCCAGGAGAGTCTGCAACCCCCGGGTCCTACAACACAGGAGGCCGTGTTGTTGGTACCCAGACTGCCCCGAATCCACCCCTCCAAAGAGCGTTCACAGGGGCCAGGAATGTGTCTCTAGAGCCATCCAGCTGGATCCCGTAGAGGTTGAGAACACTAGGTTTGGAGTTGACAAGTGAAGTTGAGACCTGAGCCTTTCCTGTCTGAATGACCTGGACACACATTTCCTTAGTTCTCCCACTCTCAAATTCTTCATCCGTGAAATGGCCATAATAATACCTACTTTGTACAGTTTTTGTGAAGGTTACAGAAAATAATATATTTTATATTCTTACCCCAGGGTCTAACATGTTAAATGTTCTAACTAAAAATCAATGTTAGCTACTATTGTTTTGCTATTATAGCAGGGGAAAATTGGTCCTCCACAGCCTCAAAGCA
Organism: Homo sapiens; assembly: GCF_000001405.40. NCBI lineage: Eukaryota > Metazoa > Chordata > Mammalia > Primates > Hominidae > Homo > Homo sapiens. Next base: position 38,000,119 of record NC_000002.12, read on the forward strand.
TCTAGGGAGGTGGTTTAGACACCTGTAGGAGTCATCTGTGAATCCCCTGGGGAAATTCTTTCAAACTATAGCATGCTTCCCACCTCATCCAAAATTCTGGCATGATTCCCTAGGGCAGTGGTTCTCAACCTTGGCTGTGCATTGCAGTCATCTGAGGCACCTTACAAAATGGCAGCCCAGGCCATGACCCAGACTCATTGTTTCAGAACCTCTGGGTATCTTGAAGTATAGTTTATAAGCAATAAATTGTACCCATTTTAAGTGTACAGTTCAGTGAAGTTTGACAAACTTATATACCTATGTAACCACCACTGTAACCACCACCATTTCAAGATAGCATTTTCATCATCCTAGAGAGTTTTCTTTGCCTCTTTGCTGTCAATTTCCCCCATCTCCTGCCCCAAGTAACCACTGATCTGCTTTCTATCACTATAAATTAGTTTTGCCCATTCTAAAATTTAATATAAATGGAATCATACAACATGTACTTTTGTGTATATCTGGCTTTTACTCAGCATACTGTTTTGAGATTCATTCATTTTATTGAGTGTATCAGCAGCTCCTTTTCATTGCTAAGTAATATTCCATTATATGGATATACCATAATTTGTTTATGTGTTAACTTACTGATAGACATTTGAGTTGTTTCTGGTTTGATGCTATTTTGCATAAAGCTTCTGTGAACATTCAAATGCAAGTTTGGTATTGACATATTTTATTTCTCTTGGATAAGAACCTAGGGGTGGAATTGTTGTGTCATATGGTATGTGCTTTTAAACGTTGATCAGTGTTTTTAAAGATCATAAAACTATTGATTCCAATGGCAGCTGCTGGCATGGCTGGAAACCACTGGATCAGAGGATGGGTGTGTGTAGTAAATGACAGGTGTGGCAATGTTGGGAGACAGGCTACCCTGATTGCACTTATTGTTTGCAGTCATATGATCCCTGAGTCTGTACTAGTGGCTTCCCCAGCTGCAGAACTCTTGGCTGTGTCCTGATATGGTATAAGGCTGCTGCTTGAGCTTATAAGATGTTTTAAAGAAGAGCTAATTTGTTCAACAGTGTTTATTAAGCACATAACTAGTGCCAAACATGGCATCAAATACTGGGAACACAGAAATGACCAACAAAGTTCCTACCTTCAGGGAACTTGGATAGCCAAGACAAATTAAATATGTATAATATTCTTTGCCAGGTGTTATGATAAAGAGTGTTCTAAGGGCCTTTCTAGAAACTGCCTCATCATTGGAACATTACATTGAAACATTAGCTAATGCTACCCTCCTTGTAATTCATCCAAGTCCTTTTGTGAAAGGTCAGAATCTGTTTTACCTTAGGAATTCAGTGTTGTTAGTTGCCTGTCTGTGTTCTGTTGGGCTTCAGATTTTTAAACCATGAGAACAAAAAGAGATGTTCTGATTTATAATCACTTTAGTTAACTAAACATGGGTGTTAAGCTATATATCCAGAATTAGAATGCCAGCATTAAAGAAATAAGCTGTTTACATGCATACACTGGGGCAAGTTATCCCCAATATGGGATTCGGACAGAGCTGAGGCAACTACCAGGCATAGAAGAAGGTATAATTGAATAAAGTTCAGTCTTAAGTCCCTCTTATTAGAATGGCTCAAGAAATGCACTTACCAAACTAGAAGACTTGAAATGGAAATGATTAGACAAGAGAGAAACAGGAGAACCAGAATCCATGGATAAGAGAGAAGAAGCAGGAAAACCAGAATCCATTGATTAAGAGAGAAGAAGCAGAAGAACCAGAATCCATGGATGCCACTGTAGGATGGTCAAGGCTCTGGCTTGATTGAAATTGACAACTTCCTTTAATTTGTTGGTAGCTTTGCTGTCTCTCCAGCAGGTTTCATTCCACGCCCAGACACTGTTAACCTACCTGGTCTTAAAGATTTATACCGAGTCTGGCTCCCTACCCTAGTAGGAGATTTTTGTCCTCCTTCTTCTAGAACCCTTCTCTTTTGGATTCTGTACAGAATAAAATGTCTTTTACAAGGGATGTGCCCTTATAAGGTGTTGGACCACTTCTTAGCACCCTGATTTGGATTTATCTTCATTAGTATCTATCTTTAAAAATATATATATTATTTTGACTCAGCAATTCAACTTCTGGGAATCTCCCTTACAGGAATAAACACACATGTACACAAGCATATGGGAAAAAGTATGTTAATTGGTTATTAGTAGTAATAATGAAAACGGAGAATAAATCAAGATGTCCAATGGAGAATGCTTCCTTTCATTATGATTCATGCAGAATATGAAATACAGCTATTGAAAATGATGAAGTATATCTATGCTGACATGAAAATGTGTTTGTAATATGGGAAAAAAAGTCTGGAGCCAATATGTAGATTTTCTATCAATGTGCACATTTATTCAGTTTTATGTATTTGTGTTTTTCTAGCTTTACTGAGGTATAATTGACAAGAATTATATATCTGTAAATTATATATATGTAAAATGGTTCCATTTTGTTTTGTTTTCAAAAGCCAAATATCTGTTTTTTTATTTGCCTATACTTGGCAAAGAGTCTGGTAGGTTACATGTCAAACGGCTGATAGTGGTTACCTCTGTGGCATGAGCCTGAAGTTGAGAATAAAACTGGGAAGGAGAAACTTTCACTTTTTAATTTTGGAAATGTCTGAATTGTTCATATCTTGTGAAACAAGGATATTTTTGTAAATTTTTAAAAGTATCCTCTTCTCTTGTGTTCTACCCCCCTCTAGGGTGGAGACTCCAGGTTGTAAGCTTGCTTGCCTGGGCCTTCAAAACAGCGAAAGCTGACTCTGAAGCAAGACTGACTTAGGTTCTAAGAAGAGCTGTCTAGTGACAATACCATACCTGAAAGAATTCTTATTTCCCAGAGATAAAGGAACTGGTACATAAAAGATCAGTAGATAGGAGAAAAGTACCTTTATAATACCTACTCATGTCTACTACCTGAACTGGATGTTTCAAGGATCTGTCTTTCCTTTAAAAGTCCATGATTTGATGGACTTCAGATATTATTTAACTCCTGTGGAATATGTTGAAATCACAAGAAATCAAATATTAATCTAGTGGAAGATGCTTGCCATGGGGTACCAGTCATGCTCTACTCTTATTTTCTAAATAGATAGTGAGGCTGGGAGTGGTGGCTCATGCCTGTAATCCCAGCACTTTGGGAGGTCGAGGAGGGTGGATCACCTGAGGTCAGGAGTTTGAGACAAGCCTGGACAATATGGTGAAATCCCATCTCTATTAAAAATACAAAAATTAGCCAGGCATGGTGGCAGGTACCTGTAATCCCAGCTACTCTGGAGGCCAAGGCAGGAGAATTGCCTGAACCTGGGAGGCGGAGGTTGCAGTGAGCTGAGATCGCGCCACTGCACTCCAGCCTGGGCAACAAAGCAAGACCTGATAGATAGATAGATAGATAGATAGATAGATAGATAGATAGATAGATAGATAGATAGGCAGACAGACAGACAGACAGACAAATATATAGGACTTGTCCTAGGAATATCACCAGTTGTTTTTGTTCTTGAAAAGAAAAGGATAGAGAAAGAAGACTGAGGAAAATGATTATGTAAAGAAATCTGAAAACCATAAAGTATCTCATTGCTTTGTAAGCTTTATGACCATGGTAATCAATTTTATTTTAATGGCTAAATGCAAAGGCTATGTTTCCACCCAAAAGATACTTAAACTGATCAAGTGATTCAAATGTGAAACAACCAACCTAAATTCTTAGGGCAGTTTGGTTCATAATATTTGATTTATTTAAATATATTCTCTTCACTTGTGGTTACTGTTATTTTAATATTGCCCTGTTATTCTCTCATGTTTTTCTCTCAAATCAGGCTGAAGAACTATGCCCTGGTTATTCTAATCCCAATTACATGTACTTAGCAAAGGTAATGAAGACCACTGTTCTGCTTTAAGATCACTTTGAACCTATCGCATAAAAACGGATTATGTTTAATATTGGTTATTTCTCATTTCCAGTGTTATACTGATCTTGAGGAAAACCAGAATGCTTTGAAGTTCTGTAATTTGGCTTTATTGCTTCCTACTGTTACCAAAGAGGTAAGTCCAGAAAGTGACAGTGAGTGCTGTTGTCTTGTTAGTACTATTCGAGCTCAAAACAGGAATAACTCGCTTAGATACATTTGTAGTTTTCTCTATTCAATTTTATGTATTTATTTTTATTCTACCTTTATTGAAGTATAATTGACAAAAACTATATGTATACAGCATGATGTTTTGATAGACATATACATTATGAAATGACTACCACAATCAAGCTAATTAACACATTCATCGCCTCACATAGTTACTTTTTTTATTGTTGAGAACATTTGAGATCCACTCTCTTAGCAAATTTCAAATATACAATACAGTATTATTAACTACAGTCACATTGCTGTCCTTTAAATCTCCAGAACCTATTCATCCTGCATAACTGAAACTGTGTACCCTAGACCAATATCTCCCCATTTCTCCCACTCTTCCAGCCCCTGACAGCCACCCTTCTACTCTCTCCTTCTATGATGGAGTTTTCTTTCTTTTTTTTTTTATTATACTTTAAGTTTTAGGGTACATGTGCACAACATGCAGGCTTGTTACATATGTATATATGTGCCATGTTGGTGTGCTGCACCCATTAACTCGTCATTTAACATTAGGTATATATATCTCCTAATGCTATCCCTCCCCACTCCCCCCACCCCACAACAGGCCCCGGTGTGTGATGTTCCCGTTCCTGCGTCCATGTGTTCTGATTGTTCAGTTCCCACCTATGAGTGACAACATGTGGTGTTTGGTTTTTTGTCCTTGCGATAGTTTGCTGAGAATGATGGTTTCCAGCTTCATCCATGTCCCTACAAAGGACATGAACTCATCATTTTTTATGGCTGCATAGTATTCCATGGTGTATATGTGCCACATTTTCTTAATCCAGTCTATCATTGTTGGACATTTGGGTTGGTTCCAAGTCTTTGCTATTGTGAATAGTGCTGCTATAAACATACGTGTGCATGTGTCTTTAAAGCAGCATGATTTATAATCTTTGGCTATATACCCAGTAATGGGTCAAATGGCTGGGTCAAATGGTATTTCTAGTTCTAGATCCCTGAGGAATCGCCACACTGACTTGCACAACGGTTGAACTAGTTTACAGTCCCACCAACAGTGTAAAAGTGTTCCTATTTCTCCACATCCTCTCCAGCACCTGTTGTTTCCTGACTTTTTAATGATTGCCATTCTAACTGGTGTGAGATGGTGTCTCATTGTGGTTTTGATTTGCATTTCTCTGATGGCCAGTGATGATGAGCATTTTTTCATGTGTCTTTTGTCTGCATAAATGTCTTCTTTTGAGAAGTGTCTGTTCATATCCTGTGCCCACTTTTTGATGGGGTTGTTTGTTTTTTTCTTGTAAATTTGTTTGAGTTCATTGTAGATTCTGGATATTAGCCCTTTGTCAGATGAGTAGATTGCAAAAATTTTCTCCCATTCTGTAGGTTGCCGGTTCACTCTGTTGGTAGGTTCTTTTGCTGTGCAGAAGCTCTTTAGTTTCATTAGATCCCATTTGTGAATTTTGGCTTTTGTTGCCATTGCTTTTGGTGTTTTACACATGAAGTCCTTGCCCATGCCTATGTCCTGAATGGTAGTGCCTAAGTTTTCTCCTAGGGTTTTTATGGTTTTAGGTCTAACATGTAAGTCTTTAATCCATCTTGAATTAATTTTTGTATAAGGTGTAAGGAAGGGATCCAGTTTCAGCTTTCTACATATGGCTAGCCAGTTTTCCCAGCACCATTTATTAAGTAGGGGATCGTTTCCCCATTTCTTGTTTTTGTCAGGTTTGTCAAAGATCAGATGGTTGTAGATATGCAGCATTATTTCTGAGGGCTCTGTTCTGTTCCATTGGTCTATATCTCTGTTTTGGTACCAGTACCATGCTGTTTTGGTGACTGTAGCCTTGTAGTATAGTTTGAAGTCTGGTAGCATGATGCCTCCAGCTTTGTTCTTTTGGCTTAGGATTGACTTGGCAATGTGGGCTCTTTTTTGGTTCCATATGAACTTTAAGGTAGTTTTTTCCAATTCTGTGAAGAAAGTCATTGGTAGCTTGATGGGGATGACATTGAATCTATAAATTACCTTGGTCAGTATGGCCATTTTCACGATATTGATTCTTCCTACCCATGAGCATGGAATGTTCTTCCATTTGTTTGTATCCTCTTTTATTTCATTGGAGCAGTGGTTTGTAGTTCTCCTCGAAGAGGTCCTTCACGTCCCTTGTAAGTTGAATTCCTAGGTATTTTATTCTCTTTGAAGCAATTGTGAATGGGAGTTCACTCATGATTTGGCTCTCTGTTTGTCTGTTATTGGTGTATAAGAATGCTTGTGATTTTTGCACATTGATTTTGTATCCTGAGACTTTGCTGAAGTTGCCTATCAGCTTAAGGAGATTTTGGGCTGAGATGATGGGATTTTCTAGATATACAATCATGTCATCTGCAAACAGGGACAATTTGACTTCCTCTTTTCCTAATTGAATACCCTTTATTTCCTTCTCCTGCCTGATTGCCCTGGCCAGTACTTCCAATACTATGTTGAATAGGAGTGGTGAGAGAGGGCATCCCTGTCTTGTGCCAGTTTTCAAAGGGAATGCTTCCAGTTTTTGCCCATTCCGTACGATACTGGCTGTGGGTTTGTCATAGATAGCTCTTATTATTTTGAGATACGTCCCATCAATACCTAATTTATTAAGGGTTTTTAGCATGAAGTGTTGTTGAATTTTGTCAAAGGCCTTTTCTGCATCTATTGAGATAATCATATGTTTTTTGTCCTTGGTTCTGTTTATATGCTGGATTACATTTATTGATCTACGTATGTTGAACCAGCCTTGCATCCCAGGGATGAAGCCCACTTGATGATGGTGGATAAGCTTTTTGATGTGCTGCTGGATTCGGTTTGCCAGTATTTTATTGAGGATTTTTGCATCGATGTTCATCAGGGATATTAGTCTAAAATTCTCTTTTTTTGTTGTATCTCTGCCAGGCTTTGGTATCAGGATGATGCTGGCCTCATAAAATGAGTTAGGGAGGATTCCCTCTTTTTCTGTTGATTGGAATAGTTTCAGAAGGAATGGTACCAGCTCCTCCTTGTACCTCTGGTAGAATTTGGCTGTGAATCCATCTGGTCCTGGACTTCTTTTGGTTGGTAAGCTATTAATTATTGCCTCGATTTCAGAGCCTGTTATTGGTCTGTTAAGAGATTCAACTTCTTCCTGGTTTAGTCTTGGGAGGGTGTAAGTGTCGAGGAATTTATCCATGTCTTCCAGATTTTCTAGTTTATTTGCGTAGAGGTGTTTATAGTATTCTCTGATGGTAGTTTGTATTTCTGTGGGATCGGTGGTGATATCCCCTTTATCATTTTTTATTGCGTCTATTTGATTCTTCTGTCTTTTCTTCTTTATTAGTCTTCCTAGAGGTCTATCAATTTTGTTGATCTTTTCAAAAAATCAGCTCCTGGATTCATTGATTTTTTGAAGGGTTTTTTATGTCTCTGTTTCCTTCAGTTCTGCTCTGATCTTAGTTATTTCTTGCCTTCTGCTAGCTTTTGAATGTGTTTACTCTTGCTTCTCTAGTTCTTTTAATTGTGATGTTAGGGTGTCAATCTTAGATCTTTCCTGCTTTCTCTGGTGGGCATTTAGTGCTATAAATTTCCCTCTACACACTGCTTCGAATGTGTCCCAGAGATTCTGATATGTTGTATCTTTGTTCTCGTTGGTTTCAAAGAACATCTTTATTTCTGCCTTCATTTCTTTATGTACCCAGTAGTCACTCAGGAGCAGGTTGTTCAGTTTCCATGTATTTGAGGGGTTTTGAGTGAGTTTCTTAATCCTGAGTTCTAGTTTGATTGCACTGTAGTCTGAGAGACAGTTTGTTATAATTTCTGTTCTTTTACATTTGCCGAGGAGAGCTTTACTTCCAACTGTGTGGTCAATTTTGGAATAAGTGTGGCATGGTGCTAAGAAGAATGTGTATTCTGTTGATTTGGGGTGGAGAGTTCTGTAGATGTCTGTTAGGTCCGCTTGGTGCAGAGCTGAGTTCAATTCCTGGGTATCCTTGTTAACTTTCTGTCTCGTTGATCTGTCTAATGTTGACAGTGGGGTGTTAAAGTCTCCCATTATTACTGTGTGGGAGTCTAAGTCTTTTTGTAAGTCACTAAGGACTTGTTTTATGAATCTGGGTGCTCCTGTATTGGGTGCATATATATTTAGGATAGTTTGCTCTCCTTGTTGAATTGATCCCTTTACCATTATGTAATGGCCTTCTTTGTCTCTTTTGATCTTTGTTGGTTTAAAGTCTGTTTTCTCAGAGACTGGGATTGCAACCCCTGCCTTTTTTTGTTTTCCATTTGCTTGGTAGATCTTCCTCCATCCCTTTATTTTGAGCCTATGTGTGTCTCTGCACGTGAGATGGGTTTCCTGAATACAGCACACTGTTGGGTCTTGACTCTTTATCCAATTGGCCTGTCTGTGTCTTAGTTGGAGCATTTAGCCCATTTACATTTAAAGTTAATATTGTTATGTGTGAATTTGATCCTGTCATTATGATGTTAGCTGGTTATTTCGCTCATTAGCTGATGCAGTTTCTTCCTAGCCTCGATGGTCTTTACAATTTGGCATGTTTTTGCAGTGGCTGGTACCGGTTGTTCCTTTCCATGTTGAGTGCTTCCTTCAGGAGCTCTTTTAGGGCAGGTCTGGTGGTGACAAAATCTCTCAGCATTTGCTCGTCTGTAAGGGATTTTATTTCTCCTTCACTTATGAAGCTTAGTTTGGCTGGATATGAAATTCTGGGTTGAAAATTCTTTTCTTTAAGAATGTGGAATATTGGCCCCCACTCTCTTCTGGCTTGTAGAGTTTCTGCTGAGAGATCAGCTGTTAGTCTGATGGGCTTCCCTTTATGGGTAACCCGTCCTTTCTCTCTGGCTGCCCTTAACATTTTTTCCTTCATTTCAACTTTGGTGAATCTGACAATTACATGTCTTGGAGTTAGTCTTCTCGAGGAGTATCTTTTTGGCGTTCTCTGTATTTCCTGAATTTGAATGTTGGCCTGCTTTGCTAGATTGGGGAAGTTCTCCTGGATGATATCCTGCAGAGTGTTTTCCAACTTGGTTCCATTCTCCCTGTCACATCACTTTCAGGTACACCAATCAGACGTAGATTTGGTCTTTTCACATAGTCCCACATTTCTTGGAGGCTTTGTTCGTTTCTTTTTATTCTTTTTTCTCTACACTTCTCCTCTCGCTTCATTTCATTCATTTGATTTTCCATCACTGATACCCTTTCTTCCAGTTGATCAAATTGGCTACTGAGGCTTGTGCATTTGTCACGTAGTTCTCGTGCCTTGGTTTTCAGCTCCATCAGGTCCTTTAAGGAATTCTCTGCGTTGATTATTCTAGTTAGCCATTCATCTAATTTTTTTTCAAGGTTTTTAACTTCTTTGCCATGGTTTCGAACTTCCTCCTTTAGCTCGGAGTAGTTTGATCGTCTGAAGCCTTCTTCTCTCAACTTGTCAGAGTCATTCTCCGTCCAGCTTTGTTCCGTTGCTGGTGAGGAGCTGCATTCCTTTGGAGGAGGAGAGGCGCTCTGATTTTTAGAGTTTCCAGTTTTTCTGCTCTGTTTTTTCCCCATCTTTGTGGTTTTTTTCTACCTTTGGTCTTTGATGATGGTGACGTACAGATGGGGTTTTGGTGTGGATGTCCTTTCTGTTTATTAGTTTTCCTTCTAACAGTCAGGACCCTCAGCTGCAGGTCTGTTGGAGTTTGCTGGAGGTCCACTCCAGACCCTGTTTGCCTGGGTATCAGCAGCAGAGGCTGCAGAACAGTGGATATTCGTGAGCAGCAAATGTTGCTGCCTGATCGTTCCTCTGGAAGTTTTGTCTCAGAGGAGTACCCGGGCATCTGAGGTGTCAGTCTGCCCTTGCTGGGTGGTGCCTCCCAGTTAGGCTACTCAGGGGTCAGGGACCCACTTGAGGAGGCAGTCTGTCCATTCTCAGATCTCCAGCTGCGTGCTGGGAGAACCACTACTCTCTTCAGTGCTGTCAGACAGGGACATTTAAGTCTGCAGAGGATTCTGCTGCCTTTTGTTTGGCTAAGCCCTGCCCCCAGAGGTGGAGTCTACAGAGGCAGGCAGGCCTCCTTGAGCTGTGGTGGGCTCCACCTAATTCGAGCTTCCTGGCTGCTTTGTTTAGCTACTCAAGCCTCGGCAATGGCTCGCTCCCCTCCCCCAGCCTTGCTGCTGCCTTGCAGTTTGATCTCAGACTGCTGTGCTAGCAATGAGCAAGGCTCCATGGGCATAGGACCCTCCGAGCCAGGAGAGGGATATAATCTCCTGGTGTGCCACTTGCTAAGACCATTGGAAAAGCGCAGTATTAGGGTGGGAGTGACCCGATCTTCCAGGTGCCGTTTGTCACCCCTTTCTTTGACTAGGAAAGGGAATTCCCTTACCCTTTGCACTTCCCAGGTGAGGCAATGTCTTGCCCAGCTTCGGCTCATGCTCGGTGCACTGCAGCCACTGTCCTGCACCCGCTTTCTGACACTCCCCAGTGAGATGCACCCGGTACCTCAGGTGGAAATGCAGAAATCACCCATCTTCTGCATCACTCACGCTCGGAGCTGTAGACTGGAGCTGTTGCTATTCAGCCATCTTGGCTCCACCCCAGAGTTTTCTTTCATACTAAAACCTTTGACTTGGATTTTACATGTACTATAAAGTTTTAAAATTTGCTGTATCTCTGTAAGATAACCTGTCACCAGGAGGCCCCTACCAGTTAAAACATCCTGATCCTTGTTAGATGTAAGACAGCAGGGAGTGAAGCAAGCATAATTCCTTCAGTGGGAAGGAGGGGGCACAGCATAATTCCGGGGAGCTGGAGATTAACTATGTAGGCAGCAAACAAGCTAGACAGGTGGCCCAGCCTAGAGTAAGGGGAGTGACCATGGGTTGCCATCCTCAGTCCTCAATTCACAGCAGGTGTGGCTATCCAAGGCCATGACAAAGATGAAAAATATGTAATAACATGTTCTTGGTTTTTGGACACTGGCCATTAATGAAAAATAAACTATTGCCCTGTCTCTTGCCCTTTGATTCAGTAAGTCAGGATTCTGGGTATGCTTTAAGTTTCAAGCATTCCACAGGGTTAACAACTCAGTCTGCTCCTGTGAGCTGTTGACTGGTGTTGTGGGAACAACAACAAAAAAATAGGTATATATTTTCCTCCTTTTCTCATACCACCAAACACTATCATCCTCTAAATCATTAACAGAAAATAAATGCCTCAGTAAAAAAAACCCTCCTCTTTTTCTGTGTTGGAGCAATACAAGTTCCAATATTTATTGTGATCTGAACTATAAACAAATAAGACACACCTGTTGCCTTCTAGGAGCCTATAGCCTAGAAGGGAATATATGATGTGTGTCCAAATAACTATAGCTCGAAGCAGAAAGCATAAGGTACTAAGAGAAGTACAAATCATCAGTTATGGAAATTTTCAAAAGGGAGAAATTATTTTTACCTAGAAGAGGCCAGGTGGCATCAGAGGTAGACTTTGAAAGATCTGTATAATATGGAGTTGTGGGCAAGTATATTGCAGGTCATGAACAGAGGCACAAAAGTGAGAGAGCAAAGCTCGGTTTGCCTGGAGCAAAAGGAATGTGCCCACTTTCCCCCGGACCACAGATTGTACCAGCCTCCCAGTCATTCTCCTCACAGCTTCCTTGCCTCCCGCCAGGCCACTCTTGACTCCCAGTAGCAGCCCAAGCAACAGATTAAATGTAAACGTCAACATGTCACTTCCCTGCTCAAAACCCTTTGCTGCTGGGATGAGGGTCAGAATTTTTAGCATGTCTTTCAAGGCTCTGACCCAGCTCCTACCAATCTCTCAAGCTTCATATGTTCCCAGCTCCCCTCTCCTCTGCACCACCCAGCCTGCCCTTCACCCTTAGAACATACTGTTCCACTTCCTGAAACACTCCTACCCACCCTCTGCTCCTTCCACTAGCTTTATTCCTTCCTATCCTCCAGGCCTTACCATGGATGCTGTTTCGTCAGGAAAGACTTCCTTGACGCCTGCTGGCAAGAAAGCCCCTATACTTTTCCTTGCTATCATTTCACACAGTTATTATGTCATTATTAATGTGATTGTTCCATGAAAGTAACAACCAGGTTTGTCTCATTCATCACTGTACCCCTAATCCTGTGTAACTGCCTAGCATATAATAAGCACTCAGTAAGTGTTGATAGAAAGAACCAAGGCATTAATATCGTACAAATAAAAATAATAGTGTCAATAGTAATAATAAAGAGGACTCCTAATGAATGTAAGAAGGCTAGACATTGGAAGTATTTCTGTAATAAGCAAAATAGTATGAGCAAATATTTCTCACATTGCATTTTTTTCCTCAGTGATGTCTCCATTTGTATTCTTAGCAATTTTTTTCCAAGTAGTAAAGGTATGTAAGGTATATTTCCATTTCTTTTTCCATGAGAAAATAGGATGAAGTGAGTTATATGTAATACCCCTCCATCTCTATAAAGTTTTTTCAGATTGAAATATACCCCATTAGTGATTTTGCTAACCAAGTTTATTCATTTCCAAAATGTCTAGCAATGCCACTAGTTACAAGAGGACAACCTAGCCATCAGTTTACTCTCTCGTGTGACATTTCATAAGATGTTTGTTTCTTTCTTGTGGCATTTATAGCTTCTTCCTTGCATTATAGGCATTTGTGGACATGTCTTCTGTCCCCTATTAGGGAACTCTCAGCTCATCACACTGCTAGTTGATATTGGGAGTGTCAGTCGTTTGGTCTCTAGAGCCCAGATTCAAAGGTGTAAGCAGCTTTACATTCCCAGAATTTGAAACTACAGTATTTTTATTATTCATGTGGACTTTTCTTGACCCTAGGAAAGTAATCTCAGATCCTGAGAAACATTTCTTTTTTAAAAAAGGGATTTCTGTGTCTAAGACAGTGTGAGAACGATTGCTGAATGAAATAATGACTTCACTGGCAACCTGAAAGTTGTTTGCCTGGAGGCAGTATTAAAGTTCATCAACGTGGAGCCTACTGAGAAAGCTCAAATATAAAAAGCATTATGTAATGTTGTATGATAAGAGGTGCTAAACTGGTAAAGAAAAACCCATATTTTAAAATTGCTGAAACATTTTGAAATGGCATTAGTCACCTTTCTAAGACAAACAGACTCATAGACTAGTAAATCCAATGTTACCAGAAACAAACCACAAAAAGAAGTGTACTCTGGGAGTGCTAAAAGTTAAGAGCACGTTATATTTAGCAAGTGGTATAGTTGTCTTTGAAATGGCCTGTTGATTAAAGTTTTGAGCTGTATTTCCAACCTGTTTTATGAGTTGAGAAGCATAACTCTCATTGGTAACTGCTCTTAGTAACAAAATCCTAATTCTGCTTTAAATGCTCTTTCTTAATTAAGATATCATATTTGATTATGATATCTTGAAAACATTGGTTTTCTGGATAAGTTATAAAACAGAATTTGTATCCATTCACTCTGCCTTCCTGTTATAGAAATGCTACAGCTCAGGGTAATAAATGGGTCTCTTGTCAAAATCCTGTAATGTTGTCTCATTTGCTAGAAATTCTTGTTTGCCCATTTCTTTCTGGTTGAAACTTATTTCTTGTAAATTAACTCATCTGTGCTATCCGTGCCTGGAGAATTATTCCTAGTACTTTTTAGAAAATTAATAAGGCAGCCGGGCGTCGTGGCTCACGCCTGTAATCCCAGCACTTTGGGCGGCCGAGGCGGGCGGATCACCTGAGGTCGGGAGTTCGAGACCAGCCTGAGCAACATGGAGAAACCCCATCTTTACTAAAAAAAAAAACACAAAATTAGTCGGGCGTGGTGGCACATGCCTATAATCCCAGCTACTAGGGAGGCCGAGGCAGGAGAATCTCTTGAACCTGGGAGGCAGAGGTTGTGGTGAGCTGAGATCGTGCCATTGCACTCCAGCCAGGGCAACAAGAGTGAAACTCCGTCGCAAAAAAAAAATTAATAAGGCTATTACAGTATAGATAGTATAGACAGACTTTTCCCGCTGTCTAAACAGTCATTTTCATGATTTGTAGAAAGTCTGTTTACAACCCGCTATTTCTACTCTTTTGACTCTTACCTTCTTGTCATTTGCATTTAAAATGTATTATTTCTTAAGATTTTGCAATATATGTAATGGTCTTGGTTGTATTGTTTAAATTGATCTTAAAAACACTCTAAAGAAGTTTCTTAGAACCCTTTTATTTATTTATTTTCTTAAAATAATTGATGATACAGCATCAGTTTGGGACTAGCTGTTCTTAACCAGTACCCAGTCTCATGAAGTTGGTGTGTGATAGTCACTACCCAAATGCTAGGAGAATAATGACAGTTTAATGTAAATAAGTCTCTCTCTTATTTATCCAGTCTTTAGCAGAGAGCATTGATGTAGTTTTCTAAACCATATTTTTCCAACACTATCAGATGAAATAAATCTATATTTTTGAATATGTGTGTTTGGGTGAAAGAGAGAGATTATCTTTATTCAGTTATTTTACAATTATAGAGGTGTACTCTGCTAGAGGCTTGTGATACAAAGAGAAAAAAACAGATACCTCTGCCATCATGAATTCTGTGGTCTAGTGGGAAAGGCAGGCACTGAAAAAGTCATAGCAATAAAATTTGATGAGTGTTTTGGAAATAAAAGCACAGAGATTTATGAGAAAATAAAACTGGTACTGCAACTTGGGCCATGGGCCAGGAAAGGTCATCCTGAGGTTTTGCTATATAATCTAAGGAAATTAGAATTTAAACCCAGTTGTTTAAATATTTAAGACTTGCTTGGACAGTAGAGGGCTCATTAAAAATACAGGTTCCTGGCTTTTTCTAGAAAGTTAGAAGGAAGCTCTGAGCTCCCGAATGTGGTAACCCCAACCCCAGTATCATCGTGGTCTCAAGTTTCTATCTGTCTGGGTTCTGCCCTTCTGGCTTAGTGCTCAGATGGCCCCTGAATGAGATTACAGAGAAAGACAGGTGGTGACTGAGTTCTTGACAGTACAACGATAGGAATTGTTGACCCTCGACTGGGCGTGGTGGCTCACAGCTATAATCCCAGCACTTTGGGAGGCAGAGGCGTGCAGATCATTAGGTCAAGAGATCGAGACCATCCTGGCCAACATGGTGAAACCCTGTCTCTACTAAAAATACAAAAATTAGCTGGGCATGGTAGCACGTGCCTGTAGCCCCAGCTACTCGGGAGGCTGAGGCAGGGTAATCACTTGAACCCGGAAGGCGGAGGTTGCAGTAGGCGGAGATTGCGCCACTGCACTCCAGCCTGGCAACAGAGCGAGACTCCGTCTCAAAAAAAAAAAAAAAGAAAAAAAAGGAAATGTTGACCTTTAAGGATAATGCTTTGGATTTTACTCAGAAAGAGTAGACTCTGCTAGACCCATCTCAGAGGAAGCTGCACAGAGATGTGATTCTGGAGAAAATCCTCAAAACCAGCATCCGGGCAAGAAAGTCTTAAAAACAAAGACAGAACTTCCGTGTAGAATATCTACAGGAAGGAGCGATCTAACAACATGTCAATACTGAGATTCGTAAGGGTGAACTCTGTTCCTCCACAGCAGAATTGGCCTGGGGAGGGCCAAATTAGGAATGCAGCACAATCATATGACTTTAATTTGAGGCTAGAGAAAGTGTGCTATCTCAGCTCAAAGGTGTGGATAGTTCAGATTTGGGAGAAAAGGAATAACCTGAGCTCCAAACCATAACCTGAGTTCTTATAAGAGGGCAATTGCATAAATATAGCCAATATATTAAGTGCTTGAAACATAATGAAAACCATAAAATTAATCATATAGCTATGCAGCTGACCTGCTACAAAGGAGAACACTTCTGTACGCAAAGGAGAGTAACACACTGTATCAGTGTAACCAACGTGGAAGACGTTAACTAGAGACTATACTGAATGCTCGGCATCAGATTCATATGTGGGAAAATAAATGAATAAATGAAGGTATTTGAGCAAGGCTCTAACAGCCTGTTATGTCCTCAGTAGCAGAGATGTCACAGTGGAGAGGAGCCCTTGGAATATAATGAGTATGAGGAAGTTGTCACAGCTCAACATTGACTCAGCATGTGTTAGCTCCCACTGGAGGGAAACTCCATAAATGTAATGAATGTAGGAAACACCTCATCCAGAGAGTTAACTTTTATTCATACCAAAGAACTCTTTGTCTGTAGTCAGTGTGGAAATGCCTTCAGTGACCATTTATCCTTTAAACAACACCGTGAATTAACACTGGAGAGAAGCCATATGAATATGATCTGTGTGGGAAAGCCTTCATTTAATGATCTCACCTTAGTCATAATGAGACAATGCACATGGAGAGAAACCCTATAAATGTACAGCATTTGGAACAGCCTTCAACCTCAGCCCTAACCTTTATAGGTGGTCTCACTCAAGTTTCCATCTATCTGAAAGATGCCATCTTTTAGATACCAGAGAGCTCCCACAGGGCTAAACCCTACACCCTTCAGGCAAAGCTCAAGCCTTGATATGGAAAAAAAACTTAGAGTAAAACAGGAAAGAAAGTGGCGAGCTTTTTCCAGGAGGAAGAAACCTGTTGGGAAAATACTAGATACTTCATGCTGGAGAAGGAATTCAATGAAATAAACATGATAAACCCTTTACTCATAGAGCGACACTCCAGGACATGTGAGGATTAATGCTGTATAAAACACTCACTAAGAGAAAAGCAACTTGTTACAATGAAAAAAAAGAAAATTATTAAAAAAAATAATAAAACACTGTCAATGTCCTGAATTAGGGAAAGTATTTGGTGATTGCACGTACCCTCATGAACCTTAAAGTTCTCATGTTGGGGAATCTCCTCAAGTCAGTGTAAGTCTGTTTCAGCATGCTAGAGTATCAAGATGAATGCATGAAATTTCATTATGTATTTGTATTTTCTTTATAGGATAAAGAGGCACAGAAAGAGATGCAAAAAATAATGACTTCCTTGAAGAGGTAAATAAACGAATTTACTCTTCAACAAATCAGATGTGGTCTACCAAAATTTAAATGAATCAAAGTTGTGCTTTTATTATCCTTCATTTTTGATGTAAGGGTATTGTGCTTAGATTTGAAGGTAAAGCCATGTTTCTGCAGAATGCATTCCACTAGTAGCACTACAAAATTAATTATGTTATTTGGAGAATCTATATACTATAATGTCAATACATAATCTATAAACATGTATGCTTTATATTTTTCTTATCAATAAACTGCAGCCTTAAGAATATTTCTTTAAATAAAATATTTAAATCCAATAAAATGAATTCTCATGAATATTTTATTGTTTCAATGGAGACTTCGTAAGACAAAATAATTTCATTAATGTGGATGAAAAATGGAAAACTCAGCAAAGGACATGAACAAGTTGTTGGCAGAAGAGGAAAAACAAACAAATGTAGTATTGTAACTGGTAATCAAAAGATGTGAATAAAATTACAATAAAATACTGTTTTACCATCAAACTAGCTTTCACTCGTGTCCATGTGAAGAGACCACCAAACAGGCTTTGTGTGAGCAACAAGGCTATTTCATCTGGGTGCAGGCAGACTGAGTCCGAAAAGAGAGTCAGCAAAGGAAGGTAAGGGTGGGGCCATTTTATAAAATTTGGGTAGGTAGTGGAAGATTACAGTCAAAGGGCCTTGTTCTCTGCCTGGCAAGGGTGGGGGTAACAAGGTGCTCATTGCAGGAGCTTTTGAGCCAGGATGAGCCCGGAGAAGGAATTTCACGAGATAATGTCATCAGTTAAGGCAGGGACCGGCTATTTTCACTTCTTTTGTGGTGGAATGTCATCAGTTAAGGCAGGGACCAGCCATTTTCACTTCTTTTGTGATTCTTCACTTGCTTGGGGCCACCTGGACGTATAATGCAGGTCACAGGGAATACGATGGCTTAGCTTGGGCTGAGAGGCCTGACACTAGCAAGGATTTTTTTTCTTCATTCGGAAAGCATTCAATGCTAGCAATATTGTCATGAGATGGAGCATTCTCATACACGGTTAGTGAGAGAATATTTTGTCACTTGGGTACATTAAATATGAAAATATAAAAGAAAAAATTTAAAAAGTATTTTGGCACAAACCTTTGGTAAAATTTATCGAGAGCCTTTGAAAAGTATTAAATCTTTAGTCATGGAAATAATCATAAAGA
This sequence comes from Homo sapiens, assembly GCF_000001405.40. Classification (NCBI taxonomy): domain Eukaryota; kingdom Metazoa; phylum Chordata; class Mammalia; order Primates; family Hominidae; genus Homo; species Homo sapiens. The sequence continues at coordinate 38,018,429 of NC_000002.12, forward strand.
GTAAAGTGCAGTGACTGATTCACAGATGTTCATAACAGCATAGCATTATGTCCAACAGTAAGAAAGCAGCTAGCCACACTGAAATATAACTACAATCGAATAACATTTTGACATTAAAAATAATTACAAAAATGTTATAGGCAACGGCACAGAACATCTTAAGTGCAAGTACAAGTCAAAAATAGTACATACATAGGATCTCAACAGTATAAAAATAAGCACAGAAGAGCATCTGGTGGGGAATACACTAAAATAGTAGTAGTTTATATTTCTGTGGAGCTGTATTTTTCCTATATTTCCCAGTTTTTAATAATAAATAAAGTGATTTTTTTAGGTTGAACTTAGCAGTGAGCTATAAAGATTCCCTGCTACCTCTTAATCAGCCTCATCTTGGAAGTCAGAGTAAAAATTTGGATTTTCTGTTTACTGTCCCAAATACATGGGTGCACATGCACGCACACGCACACACGCACACACACATTTATACACTTAAAATTTCAAGCCGTGATAGACATTCTGGTTAGGTAAATTAAGCAACCCCCTAGCCCCATCTTCTATAATGATCAGTCAAGATACTGAATCAGTCCAGCTGGTTCTCACTTTGCTCTGACAACTGGTCTAATGTTGAAACTCTTGGCTAGATGGGGCAAGAGTCTTGCAGGTTCTCTCGTGGATATGCTGAGAGGCTATGGATACCTCTGGCTATCTCTAAACAGCTAAAGGAATGTGAAAGTATAGAAAGGTGAATCCAGCTAGCACCAAATGACATAGAATCAAGTATGTTGTAGGTTTTGTGGGAGCAACTCATTCCGGCAGAGTGGTACAAACACTTCCTTTACGAATTATGAGGACTACCAAGAAACACTCCTGGTGGGTAGCAGTGGGATTTGGGACTCATAATTGGAACCTGACATAAGATCTAATCAGTGTTCATGTATTATATTTTAACAAAATTATTGTTTCTCATAATATGTCTTCAATGGACAAGTTGATATCCGTTGACTGGGTAATCAGTGTAGTTGTTTCTGGATATGAGCTTGACCCAATAGAAATGTAGTACTCTTAATTCAGTCTTTAGAGAATTAGGAGTTTCTGACACATTTGGCCTTTTCTCCAAATGGGTATTAACAAAGGGAATTCCCCTCCTCATCCTGGTAATAACCTTTCAAAGGAGCATTAACTCCCTGCTGTATGCCCCCTTCCAGAGTCATACTGTCATATCTGTATTCCTCATAAAGCCATTTAATCAGAGAAATTATGTTCGGGAGGCTGAGGCGGGAGGATTCATTGAGCTCAGGAGTTCAAGACAAGCCTGGGCAACATGGTGAAATCCCATCTCTACAAAAATTAGCTGAGCGTGGTGGTGCATGCCTGTAGTTACAGCTACTTGGGAGGCTGAGGTGGGAGGATTACTTCAACCCAGGAGGTCAAGGCTGTGATGAGCTGTAATTGCGCCACTACACTCCACTCTCCACAGCACTCTGGGTGACAGAGTGAAACTGTTTCAAAAAAATTTTTTTTAATTTAAAAATAATTTTTTAAAACTAAAACCATTGCAAATAATTGCTAAATAGCTAAAAAACCGTGAACAGGACTAGAATCTGATAACCTAGAAGGGTGTGCTATACAGCAGTGGTCCCCAACCTTTTTTGGCACCAGGGGCCAGTTTCATGGAAGACAATTTTTCCCTGGATCCGCGGGTGAGGGGATGGTTTCAGGATGATTCAAGTGCATTACATTTAGTGTGCACTTTATTTCTATTATTATTACAGTGTAATATATAATGAAATAATTATACAACCCACCATAATGTAGAACCAGTGGGAGCCCTGAACTTGTTTTCCTGCAACTAGATGGTCCCATCTAGGGGTGACGGGAGACCGTGACAGACCTATCAGGCATTGATTCTCATGAGAGGTGACAGCATGCTGGCAGCCCTCGCTCGCTCTCTGCGCCTCCTCTGCCTGGGCTCCCACTTTGGCGGCACTTGAGGAGCCCTTCAGCCCACCGCTGCACTGTGGGAGCCCCTTCCTGAGCTGGCCAAGGCCGGAGCCGGCTCCCTCAGCCTGCGGGGAGGTGTGCAGGGAGAGGGTGAGAGGGAACTGGGGCTGTGCCCGGCGCTTGCGGGCCAGCTGGAGTTCCGGGTGGGCGTGGGCTTGGCGGGCCCCACACTGGGAGCGGCCAGCCGGCCCTGCCGGCCCAGGCAATGAGGGGCTTAGCACCCAGGCCAGCGGCTGCAGAGGGTGTGCTGGGTCCCCCAGCAGTGCTGGCTCACTGGCGGTGTGCTGGATTTCTCACCAGGCCTTAGCTGCCTCCCGGCAGGGCAGGGCTCGGGACCTGCAGCCCCCCATGCCTGAACCTCCCCCGCCTCCTTGGGCTCCTGTGCAAACGGAGCCTCCCCCACGAGCGCCACCCCCTGCTCCACGGTGCGCAATTCCATCGACCACCCAAGGGCTGAGGAGTGCGGCGCACGGTACGGGATTGGCAGGCAGCTCCACCTGTGGCCGGGTCTGGGATCCACTGGGTGAAGCCATCTGGGCTCCTGAGTCTGGTGGGGACTTGGGGAACCTTTATGTCTAGCTAAGGGATTGTAAATACACCAATCAGCACTCTGTATCTAGCTCAAGGTTTGTAAACACACCAATCAGCACCCTGTGTCTAGCTCAGGGTTTGTGAATGCACCAATCAACACTCTGTAGCTACTCTGGTGGCAACTTGGAGAACCTTCATGTCCACACTCTGTATCTAGCTAATCTAGTGGGGATGTGGAGAACTTTTGTGTCTAGCTCAGGGATTGTAAACACGCCAATCAGCACCCTGTCAAAACGGACCAATCAGCTCTCTGTAAAACAGACCAATTGGCTCTCTGTAAAATGGAGCAATCAGCAGGATGTGGGTGGGGCCAGAGAAGAGAATAAAAGGCTGCCGGAACCAGCAGTGGTAACCTGCTGGGGTCCCCCTCTGCACTGTGGAAGCTTTGTTTTTTTGCTCTTTGCAATAAATCTTGCTGCTGCTCACTCGGTCCACACTGCCTTTATGAGCTGTAACACTCACCGCGAAGGTCTGCAGCTTCACTCCTGAGCCAGCGAGACCACAAACCCACCAGAAGGAAGAAACTCCGAACACATCCGAACATCAGAAGGAACAAACTCCAGACACGCCGCCTTTGAGAACTGTACCACTCACCGCGAGGGTCCACGGCTTCATTCTTGAAGTCAGTGAGACCAAGAACCCACCAATTCTGGACACATAAGGAGTGTGCAACGTACATCCCTCACATGCACAGTTCACTGTAGGGTTGGCCGTACAAATCCCACCACTGATCCAACAGGAGGAGGCGCTCAGGTGGTAATATGAGCAGTGGGGAGCAGCTGTAAATACAGATGAAGCTTTGCTCACTTGCCCACAGTTCATGTCATGCTGTGAGGCCCAGTTCTTAACAGGCCACAAGCCAGTTACCAGTACGAGTACCAGCCTGTGGTCCGGGGTTTAGGGACCCCTGCTATAGAGGATACATAGGATATTTTGTCAATTTAATCCTCTGTCCAATCCAGTGAGGGAGGTGTTCTTCTTTCCATGTAGGTAATGACATAACTGAGGCTTGGAATAAATAACTTGTCACAGACCTTTCTTAACAAGTGGAAAGAGTTGGTACTTAAACACGGCTTATTTCGACTCCTTAATCTAGTCTTAGTTACTCACAACGGATATATAAAAGGTACTGTGTAGATAAAGATGAGGAAACAAACCAAAATAAAGAAGTTATCTGTAATGAGGCCACGTAAAAATGGTTTCTATATTAAATACACCTATTTTCTAAAAACTGAGTGATTTTCTTGAATGACAGGATTATATGTAGAACATTATGCCTACTCCAGGGAATTTCACACAAAGTGAGCCATGGGGAATCTCGTTTTCTATGGTTACTTCACTCACCACTCATGGTGCTTGACCTCAGAGAAGACAGAATAGCTGCAGAGTGTTCCTGAAATGAGGATTGTTCCTGCTAGATCACGAAGTCCAAGCTGATGGTACACCTGCCACTCACAGACGAAGTACCCAAACTGCTAACTTCTCAAGAGACTTCGTGTACAACTTTGGAAAGCGGGAGTTCTGACCCAAACTTTGAATATGCTTGATTTCAGAAGATAAGAATCAAACTGTATGTTGCAATTTCTCATAAAACATTAAAGAAGTAACTTAGTGGTCCACGGAAATTTTAGTGATGTCCATGTAATTGCGATGTTATCTTTCTTACTAAATAACAAATGGCCTTCATTGTAACATGAAAATCCATGCCACTTCTCATTTGTGCCTAAAAGTTATCAAAAGGCTTTTCATTTGATAATATTTTTATACTTTTCGATTTCAAAAAGCAGTGGTACAAGCTGAATGGGGTTAGCTTTTACACTAAACTTCTCATTTTTACCAATAAACAGTTTAAGCGTTGATGTGTAAGTGACAGGGTCGGGGTCAGACAACTGTAGTGACCAAGCCAGGATTGCGTTCCAGCCCTTGGAATCTCACTTGTGCTTTCTTTGAGCCCGGGGCTGTTTATGTTTAATTGATTGGAGTCCAGTGTGTCTGATGTAGAATGGGGGCTCTAAGAATGGTAACACTTACCTGGTAATTACCTATTCCAAGTGTTTTTCCTATATTAACAATTTTAAACCTCACAGCAACCTATGAGGAAGAAACATTTGATATTACCCCATTTAAGATAGGGGAGCTAAAGCACAGGATATTTCCATGCCTAACACCATGAGCAAAAGATTTGGAGTTGGGCAGACTGCTCCAGAGTCCATGCTGTGGTCAGCCACTGTACAATCCTGCCAGCAAATGGGAGAATTGAGATGTGGGAAGTGAAAGACAGTGGAAAGACAGAAGGTAAAAAAGGAAACAAGGGAAAGGAAAAAAGAATTTTAAAAGGTAGAGAGCAGTAAAGAAAGAAGGAAAACAAAGCTAGAAAATGTAAAGAAAAATCTTATATTTGTATTTTGAATATTGATAGACATTTTCTAGTTTTGCATCATAAATTCCCAACAATGTATTTTGTATCTTTTATTTTTTTCATATGCCCGCCTTTTCCTTCCCCTCCTCCACAAGATAAGGTAGTGAAGCCTGTTTTTAATGACTTGATCTACTTGAACTGAGTGTGTTGAGAAAGGTTTGGTTATGGACTTTGTGGCCTGTTGATTGGGAAATTAACAAGAATAGTTGATTTCACAAAGACAAGATACATTTTAGAACCAAGTAAAGTTCATACTTGAAGTACTGTGATTTTGAAGCCCCTCAACCTATGTTTTGCTTTAGATACTTGAAGCCAAATCATAAGGTTGGGTTTTAAAAAATATTGAGATACAATTGACATACAAAAAAACTGCATGTATTTAAAGTGTATAATTTTATAAATTTTGACGTGTACACCCACGAAACCATCACCACAGTTAAGGTAACAAACATTTTCATCACTTCAAATGTTTCTTCATGCCCCTTGGTAATCTCTCCCTCTTGCATCTCTCTCTGCAACCCCATTCCAAATAACAACTGATCTGCTTTCTGTCATTATACATTACATTTTCTAGTATTTTATATAAGTAGAATTATGTGTTATACACCCCTTTGTCTGACTTCTTTCCCTCAGCATAATTATTTTGGGACTCATCCATGTGGTAACATGAACTAATAGTTCATTTCTTTTCATTTCTGAGTAGTATTTTATAACAGAAATATACCATAGTTTGCTTCTCCACTCATCTATTGATAGACATTTGGCCTGTTTCCAGTATTTGATTATAACAAACAAATCATCTATGAAAATTCATATAAATGTCTTCGAATGTACATATACTTTCATTTCTCTTGGATAAATACACAGGAGTAGGAAGTATGGTAGATGTATTTCTACCATTATAAAAAACGGTCAAACTGTTTTCCAAAGTGGTTTTACCATTTCACATTCTCACCAACAGCGTCTGAGAGTTCCGCTTGCTTTACTTTCTTGACAACACTTGGTAGGGTCAGTCTTTTTCATTTTAGCTACTGCACTAGGCATGTAGTATATCTGATAGGGGGTTTAATTTGTATTTTTCTAATGACAAATGATGTTGAGCATTTTTTGGTGCATTTATTTGTCATCTGTATATCTTTTATGGTGAAGTATCTATTCAAATATTTTGCCCATTATTTAAATTGAGACGTTTTGGTTTTTGTATATAGTTTGGAGTATGGCTTGAACTTTATTTGTTATAAGTTATTTGGATATCTAATTATTTCAGCATTTACATTTACAAACTTGCAATCTATCTAATACTCTATAACATATCTAATGAAGTTTTGCCTCCAAATCTGCTGAAAAGACTGTTGTTTCTCCATAGACTTGCCTTTGTACCTTTCTCAAAATCAGCTTTCCATATATGCATGGGTCTGTTTCTGGACTTTCTATTTTGTTCCATTGATCTATTTATTGATCTCAACACCAATACCACATCATGTTGATTAATGTAGTTTTCTAGATTTGAAACCAGGTAGTGTTACTCCTCCAACTTTGTTTTTGTTCTGTTTGGACTGCTCTAGGTTATTTGCATTTCCATGTGAATTTTAGAATTAGTTTTTAAAATTTCCATCAAGAAAAAAGTGGTTGTGATTTTTGATTGTGATTACATTGATCAATTTCAATTGACATCAGTTTTAAGTCTTGCAACCCATGAATATAGTATACCTCTTAATTTATTTAGGTCTTTAGTTCCTTTCAGCAATATTTTGCAGTTTTCAATGTACAGGTCTTTCACATTTTTGTCAAACTTATTCCTAAGTATTTCATATTTTGATGCTCTTATATATTATATTTTCAATTTCTGATTTTTTATTGTATATAGAAATGCAGTTGTGTACACTGATCTTGCATCCTGCAGCCTCTTTAAACTCACTTATTTCTGGTAGCGTTTTTGTAGATTCCATTAGATTTTCTACTACTGTGATTATATCAGTTGTGTATAAAGACAGTTTTACTTCTTTCTTTCTAATCTGAAGGTTTTGTTTTGTTTTTGCCTTATTGTACAGGCTAGAACTTTCAATACACCATGGAATAGAAGAGGGCAAGCGTTCTTATTTTAATTTCTGATCTGAGGGGAAAGCATGCCATTTTTTGCCATTGATCACAATGTTACCTGTAGGTTTTTTTGGAGATACGCTTTTTCTAGTTGAGAAGCTCTCTTTTGTTCTTATTTTGCTGAGTTTTTTTTATGGAATTAATACTGAATTTTGTCACACTTGTGTTCATTGAGATGATCATATGGTTTTACTGTTTTAGTTTATATGATGAATTATATTTGAATTTTAAAATATTAAGACAGCCTTGCATTCCTGGGATAAAATTGACTTAGTCCTAATGTGTTATTCTTTTTATTGTATCAGTGGGTTTACTAAAATTTTATTTTAAGTTTTTGCATAAATATTTACAACGGATATTGGTTTGTAGTTTTCTTGTAAAGTCTTTTTCTGGTTTTGGTATCAGAGTAATTCTGGCTTCAGAGAATGAGTTGAAAAGTACCCTGCCTTCTTCATTTTCCTTAAAAACTATGTAGAATTGATATCGTTTCTCCCTTAAATGTTTAGTGGAATTCACTCGTGAACCCATCTGAACCTGGAGTTTTCTTTGTTGGGGGAAGTTTTCAAGTACAATTTCAACTTCAGTTCTTTTAAGAGATACAGGGCTATTTAGATTATCTTTCTTCTGGAGTGATCTTTGGTAGTTTGTATCTTTCAAAGAATTTATCTATTTTTCTATTTCATTTAAGTTGTCAAATTTGTTGGCACAAATTTAATAATATTCCCTTATTCTTTTATTATCTATAAAATCTGTAGTGATGCCACCTCTCTCATTCTTGATATTTGTAATTTGTGTTTTCCCTATTTCCTGTTTTCTATATTTGCTGTTACCCTACAGGTAACATTATAACCAATGGCTGGAAGTTTATCAATGTTGCTGAGCTTCTGAAATTAACAGCTTTTGGGTTCATTGATTTTTCTCTTTTTCTATTTTCTATTTCATTGATTTCCACTCTCAACTTTATCATTTTCTTCCTTCTCTTTACTTTGGGTTTTATTTACGCTTCTAATTTCTTAAGGTGGGAGCTGAAGTCATTGATATAAGACTTTACTTGTTTTCTCTTTTTCTTTTTTTTAATTATACTTTAAGTTCTGGGATACATGTGCAGAACATGCAGGTTTGTTACATAGGTATACACGTGCCATGATTGTTTGCCACACTCATCAACCCATCATCTACATTAGGTATTTCTCCTAATGCTATCCCTCCCCTAGTCCACTTCCTTTCTACTATAAGCATTTAGTGCTATAAATTTCTAAGTACCACTTTAGCAGTATCCTACAAATTTTAATATGTTATATTTTCATGTTCATTCAATGAAAAATAATTTCTAATTTCCATTTTGCTTTTTTCTTTCATTCATGGGTTATTTAAAAGTCTGTTTTGTTTCAGGTTTTTTTTGTTTTCAGGTATCTTTCTGTAATTGATTTCTAATTTAATGCCATCATGGTCAGCAGTTTGTACGACTTGAATCTGTTCAAACTTGTTGAGACTTGTTCTGTGGCCCAGAATATGTTCTATTTTGGTAAACATTCCATGTACACTGAAACAGCATGCATATTCTTTAAAGGTGACTTACATCAAGTGTCTTTCAAGCCCTCTACCTGCTTTGGTCTCCCCATAGCCTCAGCTCTGTCTTTCCTCAGCACGAGGAGATTTCTGGACTCCTTTTGTGTTTCTGCTCCATACACAGACCTGGATGCTCTCTCAAAGCAGTAAGCTGGGACAATAAGAAGGTTCATCTTGTTTGTTACCCATCTCTCAGGGGTTGCTGTACTTTCTTTCTTGCTGTCCAATGTCTTGAAAACCATTCTTTTTATACCGTGTCCCTGTTTTAGATTTTGAAAGCCAGAAGTTGTAACTTTTGAAAGTTGTAACTTTGTAGCATTGTAATATTTTAAAAATCTGCTCCTCACCACACTTTCCAGTCCTATAAACCATTATTTTATAGATTAAAAAAACCTCGAAAGTATTACATTTCTTTTTAAAATAAGTTTTTATAATGTTTCAAATGCTTCCACTCGATAAAATAAAGCAAATTGACATACTTGTACTATGGAATTACTTATTAAATTAGACATTGGTTAGAGCTCTGAGACAATTTTTTATTTGTCCATTTTTCAATAGTAACCTTGTGCTTTGACAAATAAAATTGCATGTGGAGAGTTAAATTATACTTTTCCTCCTTCTTGAATACTTTATATTTATACAACCCACCTAATTTAAAATTGGGAAACCTAATTGGGAAAATAATCTGCTGAAAATCGCATGTGGAAATGCCATTGGAAATTATTAATGCCACAAAACTGTGGCATTAATAGCTAAGCCCTAATTGGACTGCCACTCTCAGACAGACTGGCCCCACCATGTAGAGTGTGGAATTCATCTGGAGCCCAACATTGACTGTCCTGATCTTTAAAACATCCCAGATATAATGATAGTGACCTCCCAGCCAAGCCACTAATTCATTTATTTATTTTGTCTCTGTTGAAATGCATGTTATTTCCCTTGTGTTCTTCAGTCCTCAGAGCTCAATGTACTTTGCAATTGTAATTAATCAAACATTTATTGAGCTAAAATTATGGGGACTATCCAGAGGCTGATCCAAATTTCAGGGACCCCGAAGCTTACACAATTTGGAGAATCTTTAAGAAAAAGAATACAAAATTACAAACACAAAATTAAGTATGAAAGTGACTATTTATTTAGAATGCAAAAGACAGCATGACAAATTATAAAATTTTCAAAGCTGACAAATACTACAATTATCACGTCCAGAAAAATAACATTTTATTATTATTTATTGACTGCATAGTACATCTAGAATACTTTCTTTTACATACTCTTTGTTTGCTTCATTGTATGGCATTAATTTTAATGTTATTTTCTATTGAAAGGATAGAGGATGAAATATTGTTTTTTCCACTAACACAATTAATTGACATTTTTCTTTCTTATTATGGATCATTTAGAAAAGCTCCTCTCAGCTTCACTTCTTGCTAGTAATGGCATGTAGCAACTTCCTCAGCAGCCCTTCTTCCCAGGGTGAGCCCTCCAAGAACTCCAGCCCTTCGAGCCCATTAAGCTGGGTGCAAATGGCTGTGCTGCAGCCTCTGGTCCAGCTCTGCCCGCTGCAGCCCCTGGGCCAGCTTTGCCCAGCCTCTGCACCTCCCATTCCTACCCCCATCTCACCTCCAATTGTGGGCGGGTCCCAGTAAGAGCCTTAGTCACTGTGGGCGCTGAGCAGGGAACCAAGCAAGCCCCTTTTTATATCCTTCTCCTTGGGGGTCAAGGTCAGGGTCTGAAGCTCAATGCAGGCCCCCAGAAAAAAGCTGTAACTGGAGCCAGCTGATGCGGAGGTTGGAAATTGCCTCCTGACCATCCCCAGAGTCAAATCTGCCATGGCTCCCTCAAACCACTTTCCTGAGGCTGCAGCTGTTTTTATGTGGGGCAGGAAGGCAAAGAACAGGAGACTGGGCGGGCACATATCCATGCAAATAAAGTCCTGTGAGTAAAAGCAGACTAACAGCAATATTTTCCCACCTTCTTTCACAAGGCCTACAGTATAAAGGCTGAAGTTCTCAGCAGGCCTTTTGTGTACCCCACGCTCCCACCCAGTCTGCCTTTCCAGCAGATCTCCAGCATCCCCAACTGCACACACACACTGTCTACATTCCAGGCACACGGGATTGAGTGCTGCTTGAAACCCACCTGGCACTCTTCTGCCCTTTGCTTGGTTTTTATTCTGCCTTTGGGGCCACCTTCCCCCATGCCCACTCATGGAAATCTCCCTTCCCACTCAAGGCCTGGGCCAAGGGATGGAAGTTTTGCCACAAAACCTTCTGATCCACATAGCCAGTTGTGCTCTCACCCACCTCAAAGCCCTGGAGCATTTTTTTGCATCTTCGTTTAGTTTGACCTACCCTAAGATCTTCAATAACGTGAGGACAAGGACCTCATATTATTTACCTTTGTATCTCCTGCCTGGCAGCCTGTGCTCAATTAACATTTGTTAAACCAAATTAAACAACTCAAGAAGAAGAAAAACATTTCACGTGTTCCTAAGTTTCCTTTAAAAAAAAAAAAAAACTGAAAGTAATTTCTACCCTCAGATATGATGTGACAAGGAGAGAGTGGAGAAAGAGGGAGAGGAGGACTAGGGAGCAGGGAGAGTGGAGGGGAGGGTGGGGCAGGAGGTGGGGAAGCCTAGCAGATCAGGCACAAGAGATAGTGTATTAGTCCGTTTTCATGCTGCTGATAAAGACATACCCACCACTAGATAATTTATAAAGAAAAAGAAGTTTAATGGACTCACAGTTCCACGTGGCTGGCGGGTCCTCACAATCACGGCAGAAGGTGGAAGGCAAAAGGCACGTCTTACCTGGTGGCAGGCAAGAGAGAATGAGAGCCAAGCGAAAGGGGTTTTGCCTTATAAAACCATGAGATCTCATGAGGCTTACTCACTACCACGAGAACAGTATGGGGGAAACCTCCCCCGTGATTCAGTTACCTCCCACCAGGTCCCTCCCACAACATGTGGGAATTATGGGAGCTATAATTCCAGATGAGATTTGGGTGGGGACACAGCCAAGCAGTATCAGACAATGAGTCTGTGACAATGCCAGCGCCAGCCTTAGACCAAATTCATGATACTCTTTTTACTCCCCACAAAAACATTACAGATCTGTGTGCATTCTACTTTATTTTTTACTGTTACACCCTTCATTGGATGAAGTACAGACCACATATGAAGGTTAATCATTGTATCATTTCTCTGACCCAGTTGCTTGCTTTTGTCTTGAAATTATAATTCTTATCCCATTTCTAGGCTTCAGTTCCCAGGCTGTTTTTTTAATAATAAAGTAACTTCTGCAACACCTCAGTATGCAACTTAAAAAATATTTAGTGCAGTCACAGAGGATCATTCTTAACAACCTGTTAAGAGAATTGGAAAAGTAAAAGATGACTGATGATGTTTATTGCTTTAGAGATCCAGTCCATATAGTGAAAGCACATATATTATGTTTACAACATGTTAAAAGTTTTCTTTTAATTGTAAAAAACTGGCTTTACATGGATTTTTATTAAACATTTAATTTTTCAAACTGTTACCACATCCAGTATTTCAGTGAAACCTTTTTACTCACTAAGATAGTTTAAGAAAATGATATCACCATCATTTGACCATGGAGAAAAGTGGTACAAAGGTTAGATTTGCTGAAGGTCACACACTTTGTTTCTAAGACTGTGAAGACTAAGCCCAGGTGGCTGACTTCCAGCTCTGGCCTGCACAGCGAGAAAATAACCACATTCAGAGCCATACAATGTCTTAAATTATTTAAAATGTAATGTCCTTAGGGAATTCTTGATTGTTTCCTTTTCCTTTGTTTTCATTTTTCTAAAAAGTGCTTAAGGCAGCTAAAAAAGATAGACTTCTAAAAAAAAAAAAGACTTCTTGAAATTTGCTTAATTGGCCAAGAACATTTGTTTAATTGGCCAAGAACATTTAAGTGTCTCCCATAGGGAGGGAAAATGGTTCATTGGAAAGGAAAACAGTAATTTAAGATGGGCCTTGGATAGGAAGTTTGGTTTCTAAATGAGATAATTCATGGGAATGGCCTAGTAAGGTGCCCTGTACTACTTAAGGAACCCTTATTTGCACATGATGTTGGCCATTTCTCCACAAGAGAGTTGCTCATAGTCATACTTTGTTTCCCTTTTTTTTTTTTTTTTTTTTTTTTGAGATGGGCTCTTGCCATGTTGCCCAGGCTGGAGTGCAGTGGCCATTCACAGATGCAATCATAGCTCACTGCAGCCTTGAACTCCTGGGCTCAGGTGATCCTCCCACCTCAGCCTCCCCAGTAGCTGAAACTACAGGTCCCTTTCCCACCTCCCAGCCTCCCCCACCAGTGCTTTGTTTCCTTTTTTATTTTGATGTAATGCTGTGAATTTTCACTTCTACAGAACTGTAATTTACATTTCATAAAGTAGTTGAGATTATGATCTACCTAACTGTCACAAATCCCCTCCCGCAAATGAACTCTTCCATTTGTCTCCCTGAACTGGCCAGAGAAATCTGTGGATGAGAGGAAAGTTTATCTGGGTTTTCCTACATTCACTCAACTAAGTATTAGTGACTATTATCAACACCTGGCTTCTTTACAAAGAGAAGAAATTACTGGAGGTGCAGAAGCAAAAGATGCACATCCTCATTTGACCTCCCTTCTCAGTTTCAAGGCTGAGCATGCTTCCTGAGCAGACGCCTTCCTCGGGATGCCTGGAGCCCATGAGGAATGCAGTGACCTAACGCTCCCAGAACACAATAATGAGACCCCAACTTAAGTTTCTTGCCCAAAGAAGGAGCCCATAAATTGAGTCAGGTCTCAAGAGAATCATACAACAAAGCAGATTGTGCACAACAATGCCGCTGCCTATCACTCAGCCTCAGTCTTCTAAAAAAGAAAAAAAGTGAGTGCTCTCTCTCTCTCACTGGTTTACCTGTCCCTAAAACCCATTCATAGAAAGAGTGCCTCATTTTCTTTTTACATTAACTTTATTGAGGTATAAATTACATACAGTAAAATGCACAAATTTTAATTGTACAGTTTGATGGGTTTTGACAAATTTTAACACCAGCGTAACCCCTACCACAACCAACATATAGAGCATGACCATCGCTCCAAAAACTTCCCTTGGCTTCCTTCCCCTCACTCTCCCACCTACCTGTACCACAGCCTCAGGCAACCACACATCTGCTTTCTGTCACTATAGATTAATTTTTTTACAATACCATATTAATGGAATCATAGAATGTTAACTGTTTTAAGTCTGTCTCCATTTGCTGAACATTTTTGAGATTCATCTATGATATTGTATATATCAATAGTTCATTCCATTTTGTTGCTCAGTAGTATTGCATAGCTTGAATATGCCATAATGTAATTATAAATTCACCTGTTTGGGGTTGTTTACAGTTTGACATTATTATGAATAAAGCTGAAATAAACATTCACTTACAGGCTGGGCACAGTGGCTCATGCCTGTAATCCCAGCAGTTTGGGAGGCCGAGGCAGGCGGATCACCTGACATCAGGAGTTCAAGACCAGCCTGGCCAACATGGGGAAACCCCGTTTCTACAAAAATACAAAAATTAGCCAGGCATGATGGCGGGTTCCTGTAATCCCAGCTACTCAGGAGGCTGAGGCAGGAGAATCGCTTGAACCTGGGAGGTGGAGGTTGCAGTGAGCCAAGATCGCACCACTGCATTCCAGCTTGGGCAACAGAGCGAGAGTCCGTCACAAAAAATGTAAAAAAAAAAATCACATATAATTATTTCAGCAGACATGTTTTTATTTTGGGTTGGGGGCAGGGGAGGGGAGACATAAAAACCCCAAAGTGGCATTGTTGTGTCACACAGTAAGTATACATTAGCTTTATAATAAACTGCCAAACTGCTGTACCATTTTACATTCCCATTGAAAATACATGAGAATTTCAGTTGCTCCATGTTCTCGTTAACACTTGCTATGGCCAGTCTTAATCTTTAATTTTAGCCATTCTAACAGACATGTAGTAGTATCTCACTGTGGTTTATTCATAGTTCTCTGACCAGTGACGTCAAGCATCCTTTCATGTGCTCATTTGGCTTCAGTGACACCAAATTTGAAAATTCTATAGCCAAAAGCACCTTTGTTAGTTACTAGTAGATTTTTACTTTCTCTTTCTTGCCTTAACACTGGCAGTACACAAACTAGCTAAAAGTAGCTGTCCTTTCCTTCCCATCCCATGGTGAGATCATCAAAACCTTCAGAAACCCACTCTATAGAAAGTCAAGCAGACTTGACTAGATTAAGCCTATGGTCTCAGAACATTGTTGTTGGAAGGGGGATGAAAGTCATGTGTCCTTCTACCTCTCTTGCTCTGCTATACTTAAAGAAACTCCTAGTGATACAATCCCAACAATCAGTCATGAGTTCTCTGACCTTTCACAACACCATCTATGTTTCTTACATTGTTATCCAATTCTATATTTTTTGAATTGTTATCTACTCCATGTGGACACACATTCATTCTCCGCATAGATTAAAAGACTACATCTGATCTTGCTTCTGTGTTTTCATAGGGCTCAATAAATACTTTTAAAGTTGAATTGAATTTGCAATATTCACTATATAATTAAGAGAGAAAATTTGAGATCAAATTTACTCTAGATTTCAGATCAGTCATTTCATGGGAATCCAAACTTTCCATGTCCAGGAATTCATGAGATTCCTCCCCCAACCTCCTGCTCTTGTTGACAATGTAAAACAAACCACAGTTAGCCTGGGAATTATCTTTACGGAATATATCAGCATATTGTTTTGAGTTTTTGCACTGCATGTATTAATCAACCAAGAACACATGTCTTGGTTCAGTAAAAATTTGCAGAAAGCTAGGCATCCTATTAAAAGAATCTGTTGACGTTTATCCCCCCAGCTAGCTTTTCCTATTTTGTAACTACAAAGAATATTAGTGTTTCTTTACTTTTCAGAATCATCTACTCAGAAAGACTTCTAGCAGTGTCCTCGACAGGAAGTCACCACTGTGCTGAGGCAAGGCAGTGGGTCTTTAGGAGGTCAGGTTTCTTCCCACCCTTTGACTGCTCTGCCTGTAGATGTGTCAGCTCTTATCCCACTTCTGCTGAGAAGAGCATCCTTCAGCCGTGACACTAAACTTGTGTGAGGATGATGCAGAGAGGCTGGGCACAGGCCACATAGGCTCACCCTCTACCACTATCTTGGACATATTAGGTTCCTACATGATGGGGAGATCAGGAGGGCTAGGGGAGCCTAGTTATAGTTGCTTTATTGGAACTGTCTGGCATAGAAGAAGACATTCAGAGGGCAATAAAGATCAGACTTTTTCAGAGGCAAACAGGTGAACTTCCAGTGATTTATTCTTAGTTAACCAACCTTCAACCAACTGATAAGATAAACAGTATCCCTAATGCTGATCCTAAAGCATTCGAGATCCTGAAGTATCTTCAGCATTATCAAAAAGGATTAAATTGTATTGTGGTAAACAATGATATTTTAATTTTAAAAATTTATTATAATCCTCTAAACCCATGCTCTCCAAACTTTCTTATTTTATGCTTGAATCGGTTGTAAAAATTGTCATCCCCTAATATATTTATATTTATTTATTTATAAATTATACGTATTAATACCCTACTAAAATTTTCATGATAAAACATATACAAATATAAAATATTTTAAAGGGCAAGAATGTTTTCTTGATTTTAAAATTTAATAAGTAGAAATAAAGGAATACTGTTTTAATATTTAAAAAAAAGCTTTTTATCTGAGCTCATCATGCCTACTAACAAAGTATTTAGAAGCATTTATGCTGAAGTAAGGACAGGAAAAATGACACTGTCACTACTATTATTGAATATTGTTCTAGAGATACTAGCTCTAATTAGGAAAGACAAACAAATTAGAATATTTGAAAGTAATACATTAACAGAATATGGTAAGTATCATTTATGTTGGCAAATAAATTCACGTGTGAAAAACCTGAAAGAACGAACTACAAAACATTCTTCAACAATAAAAGAATAAATATATAGAAATCAGTAGCCATGACAAATACAGATGGCAGCCAGTTAGAAGGTGTACTGGAAGGTAATGCCTCATTTACCCTGAGTAAAACAAGATCAAATATCTAGGAATAAATATAAGAATCATGTCTGATAGGCAAGCAGAAATTGAAGGAACCCCAAAAGTTTGAACAAATAAAAAGACACACTATATTTTGATTAGGAAGACAGCATCCTAAAATTATCCAATATCCTTCAATTAATCTACAAATTTGATAAAATTCCAATACAAATACCAACAAGATTCTTTTTATGTTCTGAGGTTCAAATGGAAAATCAAACAAGTAAGAGTAGTTGTGAAAATACTGAAGAAGTCAAGCAATGAGGGGCAACAATACCTACCAGATAAGAAAAAATGCATAAAGCTATCATACTCAAAGAAATATGAATGAATAGACAAATCAGTGAAATAGAATATAAAGTCCATAAATACATCCTAATACACATAAAAATGTATATGATAAAAGAGGCATGTAAAATGAGTTATTCAATAAATGAGTCCCTGGAAGATAAGGAGGGTGGGAAACAGATAGGATAGGCTATGAATTATTAAGCAACTGGTTTATATCTAGTTTAACCAGCAAGATGCAGGAGCATCTTCAACTTAGTTTTCTCATAGCACCATGATGTCCACAAATCCACTTACAAGCAATAGTTCTGTCTTTCCCAATGTTACATTCCAAGCATTCACAACCGTATCTGGACACAGAAACTCTACCATGGTACCAAACAGTAATTACTCTGCAGAGGTAATAGGTGCACACACTATTTAGGTCTGAATACCACAGCAGGGAAAGGTATGCCAGCTAGGAAGGAAATAAAATCTCAGGAAAAACGAGGGCAAGTAGAAAAAAAAAAAGATAAGAGGAACTAAATAGCCTCGCTGGGCACATACTCATGGGAACCCTGCTGATGTTGCCCAACTTGAAGATAAAGAGATGCCTATGATATAGAATCATGAAGATCTCACCTCAGAGAGATCCGTGATATGTCACCCAGGAGCATCCGTCACCTGCCGGAGCACTGTACCAGGAAACCAGAGGCATGGTTCTGTGTAATCTCGAGCAAGCTAAGTGGCCATGATGAGAATGCTTCTTCCTACTGTGCCCAGCTACAGGATTTATGTAAGAATGACACGAAATGACAGATGTGAGTACACTTTGCAGCTCTGATCAGTGGTATCCTAATAAAGAAGAATTGTTAGCTTTGAGTTGAGCCTTGTTTGTAACAGGCACTCACTTCACTGTTGTTGCCTTTTATGTTCCGGAGTCCTGCATGATATGGACTCCAGGATAGCAAGAGTCCACATACCCCTCCCCAAGAGAAATTAAGCTGGGAGCCATGGAATTATCATCATCTCCTTGCCACCCTGTCCAACTGCAGGTCGTGGGAAGCTGAATTTACCCTGTGAGACTTCTGCTTCATTTACATTCATCTTGGCAGGCAGTGGTGGGTCGTGGGGAACCTGTTGAAAGCATGACAGCAATGAAGGCTTTCTTACATGCTGAACTCACATCAAAGCTCTTTTCTTCTGTGCTGACACATGTAACTCTTTACCAGTCTGATGATAACACATACAGAGACAGACCCTCGGATTCCTGCTGGGGAGAAAACAGAGCCAGAGATATGCTGTACTGAGCTGGCAAATACAGTGTTCTTTCTGTTAAAATCTGATGGGAAAGTAACTAGGCAAAAATCCATGGTGCTGGCTACGGTACAAAGATGACCAAGGCTGTCTCAGGTATCCTGGTGGCTTTATTGTCTATTTCCGGGAAAAGAGTAGGTAGGGATCAAGAGCAAAGAACATGGGAAAATGTGCTGCTTTGTCATTGCAGTTCATTTATTTCCTAGAAATTTTGGCTTCTAGGGAAAGGCAGCGTGATATAAAAAAGAAAAAGGTACTGGACTCAACCTGATTTAAATCCAGACCTGACACTTTGCTACCTGGATGAACTTGGGTAAGTGACCTAAGCTCTCTAAGCTTCAGTTTCCTCATCTGTAAAATGAGGATGAAATTTTCTATGCAAGATTTTGTAAGGAAGATCAAATAAATGGACATAAAGCAATTGACACATAAATATGGAAACGATTTCTCAGCTTTCCTCCCTGAGGGACAGAGACTCTTCAGGCTACTTAAATTCTCCCCAGACTTTTCCAAGTTGCTCTTTATCCTCATACCCTGGCCACACCACAAAAGCTGCCCACATAGAAGAACTTGGTGAAGACTTGCTGACTATTCCCCTAAATTCTGCTTGTTTAATAAACATCTGCAGAGACAGGCTCAGCAATGGGCTCATTGTGGAGAATCCCAGAAGTGTGTGGCAACACCAAAGGAATTTTATGAAAGTCCCAGGAGAGAGAAACTGTCGTTCAAGTCATCACATAGCAAACTGCCCCTAACACGTGCTGCACACACATTAGGTGGTGACTCAGTTTTGGTGTTTGACTTGAGTCTTAAAACATAGTTCAGAACCTGATGATACTTCCCTGAATTCCCATTTTTAGTGTGAAAGTGTGTTCGGCTTCCCGTTGGCTATTGGGAGCTTGAAAGAAATTCAAGGAAGGAGACCTACAAACTGCTTATAAAGGATACTGCGTGAGCTTTATGCACTTTGGCTCTTTTAATCCATTCCACAAGGCCGTGATGCCCATTTTACAGATGATGAAACTCTTTCTGAGGTTAAGTAGCTCACACGGTGCCACAGCTAGCGACTGCGTGAGCTGAGTCACATCCAGATCGTTCAGTATGAGAATTTTAAGAGAAGATAAACATGTGATTCTCTCGAAACTCGGTGTTCTGTAGCCTGCAAACCCCTCTGGAGCCTGGTGTTTGCTTTGCTTGCAAGCCTGACCTCCGAGGCTCCTGCCATCTTCCTTCCCTCTTCTCCCCTCCATTCTCCCCTTTCCCGAACCGTTTCTTTCCCCCATTCCTTCCCCATCTAAACCACAGAAAAGCACTTCCAGGCTCCATTTCAGCCAGCAAAAATCTCAAGCCCAGGGGAGGGCTTCCGGGACTTTCCACTGGAGGCTCTTAGACTTAGACGCAGCGTCCTCTCCTGGAGGGAGCGCAGCGCCCCCCGGGCGCAAGGGGGACGCGTTCAAGCGAGGGCGGACGCCGACTGCGAGTCTCTTTGTGCAGCACTTTGTCTTTCTCTCCCTTGGGGTGTTTTTGGGATTCCCCAACAATAGAATGAGCTGAGTTCTGCGTTACTGATTCAGTTATCTCGGTACAAGGCGGAAAGTGCCGGGAGGAAAACTGATACCCCGTATTGAGCAAGCTGTTTTCTGGGAAACTCCGAACTGTCTCCTGCACGGTTCAGGCCCGGTTACCGCTGCCTGCAACCCCCGCCTCGGAGCCAGCTGCGCCTGGAGCTAAAGCCTCAGCTTTTTAAGGCATGGTTTGCACTCTTTTATAGTTGCTGAGCTACGCTAGGGCCAAACCAACCACTCATCATCAACCTCTATTCACAGCATCTAGAATAAAACCTGCCACATGGCAGGCACCCAGTAAAAGCCTTTTGGAATCGGAATAGAAGGTGGGTTGATTACACTGGGTGCTTCTCACAGCCCACAGGGTTGGGACTGACAAGTATTCCGGCATTAGTAAGGGCAGAGACACTTTGGGCTGGCCAGACCTGATCCTGGGGAGGATCACTGGGTCATTTCTTGGCATCTCCCATCCCATCCCTGCCCTGATAGGTTTCGCCCCTTTCAGCACTCGGAGGGCCAGGCTGGTGGTTCCCATAGAGGTGTACCGCCTGGCAGCCAAACAGGGAAGGGTGTTCCCTTCTGCTCAGTTTTGATTTGAGCTTTGCAAGTGACAATGAAAATAATATTTTTGAGCAACAGTTTAAAAGCCAGATGCTATACACACACACACACACACACACACACACACACACACACACACACACAGAGAGAGAGATAAAATGTTCATGGATTAAGATTATATATTCATATAATTTTAACTATATTCATATGGATTAAAACTAATCCATATGATTATGGTAAAATAATTTAGTCACTTGGGATTGTCCTTATTTTACAAATGAGAAAACTATGGCTCAGAGAGGATAAGGAACTTGCCTAATTTCACTCAACCGGTGAGTCACAGAAATGGGATTCTAACTCACACTTGTCTGGTCCCGAAGCCCATAGATCAGCCTCGGATGGAAGCCAACATACAGTCTTTTCAGTTCTTCCTGGGCACCCCCAGGCACTCCATTTTCCCATTTCTCAGAAGTCGCTGACCCTTCTTTTATTTAAGGAGCACAGTCGCTGCTATCTACAGCCCCCGCTTCTCTGGGAAAATACAAAAGGTTTACATCATTTCTGCTTTGATGGGAACATTCACCCTCGCCCTGATTTTGTCATTTTTTCTGCCTTTTCACTCCTATCATTAAGTAGAAAGCCCTGACTCCACCTGGAGATAAATTAGGTTTGAAACAGAAGAAGGAAGTTGTCTCTCACTCCCTTGCCAGAAAATCACCCAGTGTCTGAGGCTGCAGAATGGGTTCCCTGAAGGTGCACATGGGGTCAGAAGGGACAGCTGGGAAGGGTGCCAGGCTGGCCCTGCCCTCCCATGAACCTAACTTTTCCAGTGTCGCCATCTGACCCAGGATGTCAAGAATCGGACCATGCCATAAGGATTAAATGAAACAATAAGCACAAAGGTACCCAGGACAGTGTCTGACAAATGCACACTGTGTGCCCTACCTGCCCCTTCCTACTACTTTTTAGCATCTCCTCCTCTTTGGTTTTCTCCTGTTTTCTTCTAGAAGTTGTATAGTTTTGAATTTTACATTTAGGTCCATGATGCATTTTGAGTCAATGTTTTTGAACAGTATAAGGCCTGTGTCTAGATTCATTATTATTATTATTATTATTATTATTATTATTATTATTTTGCATATGGACATCCAATTTTTCCAGTACTACTTGTTAAAAGACTAGTCTTTATTGAATTGCCTTTTACTATTTGTCAAAGATCAGTTGACTATATTTGTGTGTCTATTTCTAAACTTTCTTACCTCTTCCATTGATTTCTGTGTCTATTCTTTTATCAATACCACGCTGTCTTTATAACTTTATAGCTGTATAGTTAGTTTTTGCTATGGTCTGCATGTTGGCATCCTCCTAAAATTCACATGCTGGAACTTAATGCCCGATATGATGGTATTAAGAAGTGGGGCCTTTGGAGAGTGATTAAGTCATGAGGGTTCTACTGTCATGAATAGGATTAGTGCCCTTATAAAAGCAAGCTCCCTTGTCCCTTCCATCATGTAAGGACACAGCAAGAAGGTGCCATTTATGAAGCAGAGCAAGTCCTCACCAGACACCACATCTGCTGGTACATTGATCTTGGACTTCCCAGCCTCCAGAACTGTAAACATAAATTTATGTTGTTTATAAATTACGAGTCTAAGGTATTTTGTTGTAATAGCCAAACACACTAAGACAGTCCTGAAGTCAGGTAATTTTAGTTCTTAACATCATTCTTCAGTATTGTATTGTCTGTTCTGGGTATTTTGCCTTTCCATATAAAATTTAGAATCAGAGGGGCACTATCTAAAAATAGTTTACCTAGATTTGGAGTGGAATTTCATTAAATCTACAGATCAGGTTAGGAAAAATTAATATCTTAAACACTATTGAGTCTTTTAATCCATGAACATGGGATAGCTCTTCATTTATTTAGATTTTTTATTTCTTTCATCAGAGTTTTGTACTTTTGCACATATAGATTGTGTACATATTTTGTTAGATTTTTACCTAGGTATTTCATTTTTGTGCTATTGGAAATGCTATTGTGTTTTTAATTTCAAATTCCAATTGTTTATTACAAGTATATAGGAAAGCAATTGACTTTTGTATATTAACCTTGTATCCTGCTATAATTGTTTATTAGTTGAAGGAGGTTTGGGTTCATTTTGGGGGGTTTTCTACATAGCCTAACTTCTCCAGTTTCACCATCTGACTCGGGATGTCAAGGATCAGGCCTTGCTATAAGAATTAAATGAGACAATCAACACTAAGGCACCCAGCAGTGTCTGACAAATGCACACTGTATCTACTACCTGCCCTCCTCTCCTACTACTTCTTAGCATGTGTTCCTCCTTGATTTTTTCCTGTTTTCTTTTAGAGGTTTTATAGTTTCAAATTTTATATTTATAACCATGATGCATTTGAGTCAGACATGTCATCTACAAAGACAGTTTTATTTCTTCTTTCCTCATTTTTTTTATTGGTTTTTTTTTTTTTTTTGGACGTTTTGTACTAAGCAGGACTTCCAATATGATGTTGAATAAGACTGGTGAGAGGAGACATATATACTTTGTTCCCAATCTTGAGGAGAAAGTACCCAGTTTCTTACCATTAACTATGATGTTAACTGTCGGCCTTTTGTAGATCTTCTTTATCAAGATGAGAAAATTCCTCCTTTTTACTGAGAGTTTTTGCTGAGAGTTTTTATCATGAATGGGTGTTGGATTTTGTCAGATGGTTTTTCTGCATTGATTGATATGATTATATGAATCTTCCTTTTTAGTGTATTAATGTGATAGATCATATTAATTAATTTTCAAATGTAGATTAAGCCTTGCAAATCTTGAATAAACCCCACTTGGGCACAGAGTATGGTTGTAGTTTTTTTTATACAGTGTTAGATTCAGTTTGCTTATATCTTCTTAAGGATTATTTTATCATTTTCATAAAAGATATTGGTTTGTTGTTTTTCTTTCTTGTGCTCTCTTTGTCTGATTTTGGTACTTGAAAATGCTGGCCTCACAGAATGAGTTAGGAAGCGTTCCTTCTGTATTCTACAAGAGATTGCAGAAAATTGGTATAATTTTTTCTTTGACTGTCTGGTACAATAACCAGAGAAACCATCTGAGTCTGTTGCTATCTGCTTTGGAAGGTTATTTATTATTTATTGCATTTCTCTAGTAAATATAGGCCTACTTTAAATTATTTATTTCTCTTTGTGTGTGTTTTGATAGTTTGTGTTTTTCAAAGAATTAGTCCAGTTCATCTAAGTTATCAAATGTGTAGGCAGAAAGCTATTTATACTCTTTCTTTATTGTCCTTTAAATGCCTTGCGATCAGTACTGATAAACCCTCCCCAATCTCTGATATTAGTCATTTGTATCTTCCTTGTTTTTTCTCTTGGTGAACCTGGCCAGAGATTTATCAATCTTATTGATCTTTTCCAAAACCTCCCCCCGCCACACACACACACACACACACCACACACACACACACACACCACACACACACACACACATCAGGTTTTGGTTTAATTCATTTTCTCTATTTTTCTAACAGCAGTTTTGGTTTCTACTCTAATTTTTTTTTTCTGCTTTCTTCCGGCTTATATTGTTTTTCTTTCTCTAGTGTCATAAGGTGGAAGCTTAGATTGCTGATTTTAGATCTTTATTCTTTTGCAATATATGCATTCAGTGCTATAAATTTCCCTCTAAGCACAGCTTTCACTGCATCCCACAAGTTTTGATTAGTTTTCTTTTCATTTTCATTTAATCCAAAATATTTTAAAATTTCTCTTGAGATGTCTTCTTCAATTACTTTGTTATTTATACATTTTTAATTTATTCCTAAATATTTGGGATTTTCCAATTATCTTTCTGTTATTCATTTTTAGCTTTATTCCATTATGGTCTGTGAATATGTTTGTATGATTTTTAATTTCTTAATTTGTCAAGGTATATTTTATGGCCTAGAGTGTGGTCTCTCTCAGTGAATGTTCCATGTGACCTAGAGAATAATGTGTATTCTGCTCTATTGGATGGAGAATTCTATATCATTTATATCAAGATGATTGCCAGTGCTGTTTAAAGTTAGCTATATCCTCACTGATTTTCTGATTGTTTTATCAGTCTGTTGTTGAAAAGATGTTGAACTATCCAGCTATAAGAGTGGATTTGTCTATTTCTCCCTGCAATCTTAACTGTTTTCGCCTCACATATTTTGACAGTCTGTTGTTATGTGTGTACACATTGAGGATTGTTATGTCTTCTTGGAGAATTGTCCCCTTTAAAATTATGTAGTGACCATCTCTGTGTCTCTGACAATTTTTCTTAGTCTCAAATCTGCTTTGTCTGAAATTAATATAGCTACTGCAGCTTTTTTAAATTAGTGTTAGCATGATACAGCTTTCTCCATCCCTTTACTTTTAATCTGTGTCTTTATATTTAGTGTAGGTTTCTTATAGGCCACATATAGTCAGATCCAATCCATTCTGACAGTCTCTGTTTTTTAATTGGTATGTCTACTACGTCATTCACATTTGAAGTGATTGTTGATATTATTGGATAAATATCCACCTTGTTTGTAACTTATATATTCATTGCACTTGTTCTTTGTTTCCTTTTTTCATCTTCCCCTCTTCTTCTGCCTTCTCTGGCTTTGAGTATTTTATATGATTCCATTTTCTCTCGTCCTTTACTATATTATAATTCTTTCAAGAAACATTTTTGTGGTTGTCCTATGGTTTGCAAAATACATTTGCAAGTAGTCTAAGTTAACTTTCAAGTAACACTGTATCATTTCATGGGTAGCACAGACATCTTTTAGTAATATATTCCAGATTCCTCCTTCTTATCCTTTTTAACATTGCTGTCATTCATTTTCCTTATCCATATGCCATAATCGCCCAATACATTGATGCTATTATTACTTTGAATAGTTATCTATTAGATAATTAAGAATAAGAAGAATAAAATGCCTTATTTTACCTTCACTTATTCCTTATCTGATGTTCTCCTTTCTTTATCCAAGTGTCTGATCTATATCATTTTCCTTCTCTTTTAGAAATTTCTTTTAATATTTCTTGCAAAGGAGGTCTACTGACTTTGCAATAGATGTTAAAATATTTTACTGACCTGCCTTGCAAGAAAATTATCCCAGTTTTTGTTTGTCTAAGAAAGTCTTATTTTTTCCTTCATTTTGAGGGATAATTTCACTGGATACAGAATTCTAAATTTGTAGTTTTTCTTTTTTTCTTTCAACACTAAATATTTTACACTCTTCTTCCTTGATAAGAAATCTGATGTAATTCTTATTGTTGTCTCTCTACAGGTAAAGTATTTAGTTCCTCTGAATTCTTTCAAAGTTTTCTGTTTGTCTTTGGTTTTCTCCAGTTTGAATATGATATGCAGATTTTGTTTTCGGTATTTATCCCTCCTGGTTTTCTCTGGGCTTCCTAGATCTGTGATTCAGTATCTGTCATTATTTTGAAAACAGTTCAGTCATTAGTACTTCAAATATATCTTCTGCCCTTTTGTTTCTTTTCCTTTTGTTATTCCCATTTCCCATTATGCATATGTTACACCTTCTATAATTGCCTCACAGTTGTTATATGTTCTGTTTGGGTTTTCTTTTTTTTTTTCCATTCTTTTTTCTGTTTGCATTTCAATTTGGTGAAGTTTCTGTTGACATGTCTTCAAGGTCAGTGATTCTTTACTTGGTTGTGTTCACTCTGCTGATGAACTATCAAAGAATTCTATATTTTTGTTACAGCATTTTTGATTTCTGGCACTTCCTTTTGATTCTTTTTAGGGTTTCCAGCTCTCTGATTATATTACCCACCTATTCTTGCATGTTGTCTACTTTTTCCATATAAAGTGCTTTATATAAATATTATGAAATTCCTTGGTAATGCTAGTATAATGTAGGAGTAATGCCCAAGTAAAACCCTAATCCTAGTATAATAGGTTTGATTACTTGATTTGGCAAGTGACACATCCAAATTTGTGTAGTAAGAGCTGTGGTGTAATATAGCCCCATGCATTCAAGCTCTTATTCTAGATATTTTTTTTTTCTGTTTTATGGTATCAAATAGTAATAACATGATTATTTTTGTCCTTTTTGTCAAGAGTAGGTTTATATAACTCTGTATGTTAATTTATTAAAAGAGAAAGATCCCAATGTGTATCTAAATTTCATTTGAAAGTGCAATAGAAAATACGTAATTTAAATAGTATTTTGGCTTTAGAATGCAGGCTTCTGATGAAAAGTTCTGGTTTTCTTCTCTGTATATGCTTTTCTTTTTATTTATTTCCCTATAGAAGAAAATTAGTAAGGGCTTTTCAACAGTCGAACCAGTTTTGCATTTCTATGACTATCAGAGGAGACAATGCCTGTAACACTCTTACACTCTTAGCACAGGCTTAACAGAAGAAACTGCTGCACAAATGTAGGCTCCTGTTATACATATTAGATTTATAAATTCTATGCATATGTTTTTAATCTTGATGTTTGCATCTCATCTCACCTAATCTTTAAAAAGGAGCAGGCAACTTCTTCCTCACCTTTTAGAATGGTGGAACAAGGAGCTTTAGAAATCCTCTTCCCAACCACCCTCCACCAAAATAATGATAAAGCTAGATAAAATTGTAAAAAAGCCATTTCAGAGTAAAATGATCAAGGAAATTGATCAAATACATAAAAAAATTAAGAAGCATTAGTTAGAGTAAAATCACTAAAGCTTAGCTAAGAATAGTGAGCATCTGAAGCATTTTTGCCTGGAGCTGCTCCCAGCTCTCCCCGCCCTTCTCCCCCAGCTTAGTTGGTATGAGAGTTCTACCAAGGTGGGCAAGCAATAAAAGCTAGTGGCTTCACAATTGATGCTGCAGACTTGATTTGGAACAAAGCATGGCAAAGCATGTTTATGGCCAACAAGTGTTGCCGTAAATTGTGACCTTGGTGGAAAACAAACATGAAGGCCAACATTGCAACTAGCCCGAGGTTGTGATCTTGGTTCAGGCAAGCAACAGAAAGACAGACTACCCAGAAATTTATCAGGATGACTCAGGGAATGAGGTCGCCATTGTAGGTTCTCATATATTCCTGGTAGTCTGGAAAACTGCACACATACCCAAGGCTACGCATCCACTCAGACCAGAGATGGCCCTAGCTATTCACATATCCCTGACTGAATATGAAGTTTTCCACATGCACAGAGAAGACACATAAGAACTTTCAAGACAGTAAAAGTCTGGGGCAGACTTGTAAACTGTCTGACCTTTGAGTACATATCCCAACTCACTCAAAGATTCATTACCAAAGGATATAACCCTTACTGCCTGCAAGTATTTGAGCATAATCTCTAACCCATCATCAGCTGACTGCTAAACTATGCTGTTCCAGGGAAACCCCAAAGAAACCATGCTTTAAAATAAGAACAATAATAATAATATTTTTTAAAAACTGAGTGGAGATAGCAGCAGCAGAGAAAAAAAAGCAGAAAAATATCTGATGAAATAATGACTAGAAATGTCCAAAATTTGATGAAAAACATTAGATATCTATGAGGCTCAAAGAATTTAAAAAAAGATAAACAAAGAAATCCACATCTAAGAGACCCACATGCTAAGCACATCATAGTCAAATTGTTAAAAACTGACAACAAAGGAAAAAATCTTAAAAGCAACAAGAGAAAAAAAGACTTCTTATATTCAGAAGAAAAATAATTAATAGCTAACTTCTCATTAAAAAAATAAGAATCCAGGCCCGGTGCGGTGGCTCACGCCTATAATCCCAGCACTTTGGGAGGCCGAGCTGGGTGGATCACAAGGTCAGGAGATAGAGACCAGCCTGGCCAATATGGTGAAACCCCGTCTCTACGAAAAATACAAAAATTAGCCAGGCCTAGTGGCGGGTGCCTGTAGTCTCAGCTACTCGGGAGGCAGAGGCAGAAGAATCGCTTGAACCCAGGAGGCGGAGGTTGCAGAGAGCCGAGATTGCGCCACTGCACTCCAGCCTGGGCGACAGAGTGAGATTCTGTCTTGAAAAAAAACAAAAAAGAGCCCAGAAGATCAGAAGAAAATGGGAAGAAATACTCAATATTATGAAAGGAAACAACTGTCATTTGAGAATTCTATATCCAACAAAGCTGTCCTTCAAAAATGAAGACAAAATAAAAGACATTTTCAGATAAACAAAGACAGAGAGAATTAATTGCTAGCTGAGTTTCCTCAGAAGAAATACTATGTTTTTAGACTAAAAGGAAACGACATCATATGGTAACTTAAATACACATGAAGAAATAAATAATACTTGAAAAGGTAAATACGTAAGTAAAAATAATTCTCTATAAATATGTTCGTATAAAGATTTGTATGTGAATATTCAAAGCAGCAATATCTATAATGACCAAACAGTAGAAATAATACAAATGTCAATCAATTAGTGACATTAAAAAAGTAGTATATCCATATAATGGAATATCATTCAACAACAACAAAAAATGTACTACTGATACATGCTACAAAGTAGATGACTCTTCCTAACATTATGCTAAGTGAAAGAAGCTGGATGCAAAACAAACAAACACAAAACACATATATGAGTTTTTTGATTTATGAACATGAGATGTCTTTCTTACCACTTAGGCCTTCTGTGATTTCTTTAAACAATTTTTTGTTGTGGTTTCCAGAGTATAAGTTTGCACTTACTTTGTTAAATGTATTCCTAAATATTGCATTCTTTTCTATGTAAATGGAAAAAAAGTTTGACTTTCTATATTTTAAACTTTAAAATAAAAAAACCTCTCCCATGACGGTTAACTGTCTGCATCTCATGGCAAATCATTGAGTTCCTGAAGTGAAGTCTTTATGGCAGATATGTGTGGCTCTTCTTTCTCTTTTATCATCCCAATCTCATTCATTTCTTCTATTTCCTTCTATGTCTTCATTCCACTCCTTCCTTATATTGTTCACTGCACTTGTGGGAGACAAAAATTTTGTCTGATATTTCTTACCTAAAATACTCTGATCACTCTGACTTTAATCAGAAAACTCACTGAAATGAAGGATTGAGGTTAGCCAGATGTGCTGATTACCTGAGATGTAACACAACTTCCTTTCATTGAAATCAAAGTTTCAGATCTATCATTCTAAACTTCATTTCTCCTTCTTTGGCAAGTATGTTTGTGTGAAATCAGTTGCTGAGATATATAGGAGGCAGTAAAATTGGCTTTGCTGCAGTCCTCCCTGTCTGGGACTTCTGTATGTGCTACATTTTCTTACACTCCTTCTTCCTAAAGGTAGAGTGAAATGATTGGGTCCATTTCCATTTGAGTGTATGCAGCATGTGCTAAAACATAAATCAATAACAGGCCTGGGATATGGGCCCCAGAAGAACACCGGCCTTTACTGAAGTGGCTATTTCTTGGGCAGGACTTTACAAATTTATCCTTGTCCCCATTCCCTGACTCCTCTGGAGAAAGGAAAACAGCCTCCAGGGACTTCAGGAAGCTTTCAGGATTACCTGTGGCTTCATGCTCCAGAGAGGGGCACAGGAGAGCTATTGTGTCCTAGAAATTACCTGGCATGTGAGCTGGCCCGGCCCTTCTCCTGTACAGCAGGCCCAGAACTGATCTGTGAAAGTGTGGATCTAGACTACCTCTGTAAACAGAAACCTGAAGACTCAGAGTTGGAGTCAACACATCTGGAAAATGACCTCCGACAAACAACAGAACCACCAGGTAGTCAGGGATCCTTCCCAGTGAAATCTGCTACCTTTGGGACTGATCTGCAGAAGAAGCAAGTCATGGAAACATCTGGACTGCACCATCCCACATGGACGATAGAGAAGGGGTGGAGATTATTAGCACTGTCGCAACTTAGAGGCAGGGAGAACTACAAATCTATGAGTTGGCAAACCTGAGTTCCATGTGCAGTTGCACAAAAGATTTTAAATATGGCTTTAATTGATTGACTAACTCATTATGATCATTCCACAAACAGGTATTGAGTACCTGCTTACTGTTAGACATGGTATTTGGTGATAGGGCCATAAGATAAATTAAACTTAGCCAATGCTGTTTAGGAGCCTGCTTGTTGACATTTTAAATCATTCTGTTTATTTTCTAGTCTGTAGAATATGGAAAATATAATCCCATTTGTTTCCCAGGAAGCTGGCTATCAAATGAGTCTAGTTCCCTCATAGTTTGAGGGATTGTTTCTTATTACACGGTCGCCTAGGATGGAGCAAGTCAGACCTGGAAAGTCTACCTCATTAGGAGCCTTCCTCCTCCATGGGGCAGAAAGAAAAGGGAGTAGAAGGAAGGAAGGGAAGTTGGGAGGGAAAGTTAGGACCATCAGTCAGAGAAGCAGCATGATCAGCAAAGCTCTCACAGTGGACTGGACCATCCCAGGTCAAATGGACATCTAGAGGCCCTGTCCTGTGTCCTCGGAGATGGCACCCCAGACTTCTCCCAGACCTTCAAATCCCTGCTAAGAGTGGAATGTGAAGGCTGTGGAAGTGATTATTTAATTCTGTGTTTTATTACCATTTTTTACACATTTCTCTCAAACACTAGATTTTCATATCCTCAGTCACAGACCATGGTTCCATGGTTTATACATCATTTTGAAATTTTTTATTGCATTTTAGAGCCAAGGTCTCACTCTGTCATCCAGCCTGGAGTGCAGTGGTATAATCATAGCTTACTGCAGCCTCAAACTCATGGGCTCAAGCAATCCTCCTGTTTCAGCTTCTCAAGTAGCTAGGACTATAGGCACATGCCACCATGCCCAGCTAATTTTTTATTTTGTAGAGATGGGGTCTTGGTATGTTGCCAGACTGGTCTCGAACTCCTGGTCTCAAGTGATCCTCCCACATCAGCCTCCCAAAATGGTAGGATTACAGGTGATGACAAGATTATTGATGGTTTGTACATTTTTTATCATCTTGCTTCCCCAGCCCTGTGCCTAATACTGTCAGTAATTATTATTGTTACGGCTAATTATTGCTGCATGCTTACTTTATTGTAAGTACTGTGCTTAAGCTAATAGCATGTGTTATTAACTTGAATATTTGCAACAATCAATGAATTTGGGACCTTATTTATCTCCATTTTACACATGAGGAAACAGCCACTTGAAGAGGTTCACTTGCACAAATTCCCACATTTCTACAAACTGGCAGAGAGGATTTGAACCCAAGATTTAAAGAAAAGTTTTAAGCCTACATAAAATGAACTCTGTGAGACCTCGCACCATGGCCCCACATGATGTGCCTCCACTCCTCTCATGCCTCCTCAGGGACTTCACTTCTACAACCAACTTTTATTTACCCTGCCTCATCCTTTTCTGTCTCCCTGCTGCACCAATCTCACCAGTGTACACACATGCCTAAGTATCCCCTATTAAAAAAAAAAATAAAAAAAAAACCTTCCCTGACCATATATCCCCACATACAGCCCCAATTTCTCTGATTCTCCTTTTGTGTTCCTGAAAAAGCAAACAATGTCACTAGCCCATCATATTTTTTCAGGTCCCAGACATTTTTGCAGAGCCTTAAAAAGCCCGTAGGGACTATGTGCTTGCTGCCAGACTGGGATGCAATATAGTTTTAGTTGGTCAGAAAAGCTGACCTAGATATCCTACCATGGTTCAGTTTCCAATAGAGCTCCTAAGACAGAAAAGGATGAGGCAGGGCAAATAAAAGTTGGTTGAGAGAAGACACAATTCTGCACGAACTTCCACATATGTTAATGTAAGAACAAAGAACAATCTCATTACATGGTGGTTGTTTTTTGTTCATTTGTTTTAGTTTGTTGTTGTTGTTGTTTTTTCTGAGACAGAGGCTCGCTCTGTCGCACAGGCTGGAGTGCGGTGGCACGATCTCAGCTCACTGCAGCCTCCGCCTCCGGAGTTCAAGCAGTTCTCTCACCTCAGCATCCCACGTGGTAGCTGGGATTACAGCTGTGCATTACTACGCCCGGCTAATTTTTTGTGTTTTTAGTAGAGACCAGGTTTCACCATATTGGCCAGGCTGGTCTCAAACTCCCAACCTCAGGTGATCCGCCCATCTCAGAGTTGTGAAGAAGGAAGAGCAAGCTGTAACATGGCCTAGTGGGGCTGGCTGTGCCCCGAGGAATGAGCCTCTTTAGGAAAGACATCACCAACACCAGTGACAAGGATTAAGCTAGACTTGAGGGCATGAAACCTCAATAAATCAGGCTTCATTAATCTGGAATTCATGCAATTAGACTGAGTCTGCCAACCCTTTCTTCGGAGTCATGCAAATTCACCGTAAAAACAAAATTGTAAAAGGAGTGTTTAAGAGAGGTAGTACATCCCTCATATTCAACTAGAATGTGTCTGGAGGCACTGGTGAATGGTGATAGAACTTTAAATTCCCTCTGTACAATGCAATCAGGTGGAAGGAAAAATTTTGAGTGACTGTTCTTTTTTTAGTTTTTTATCTATTCGTAGTATTTGTACATATTTATGGGGTACATGTGATATTCTGACACATATAAAATATGTAATGATCAAATTGGGGTATTTATGATATCCAATCACCTTTAACATTTGTCATTTCTTTGTGTTTGGAACATTTCAAATCTTCTAGCTATTTTGAAATATACAATATGTTATTAACTATACTCACCCTTCTGTTTTCAAATACTAGAACTTATTTCTTCTGTCTAGCTGTATGTTTGTACCCATTAACCAACCTCTCTTCATCCTCTCCCCCTACACATACCTTTCCCAATTTCATTCTACTCTCTCTCTCTACCTCTGTGAGATTAAAGTTTTTAGTTCCCACATATGAATGAAGACATGAGATATTTGTCTTTCTGTGCCTGACTGATTTCACTCAACATAATGACCTCCAGTTCCATCCATGTTACTGCAAATGACATGATTTTTTTTTTTATGGTTGAACAGTATTCCATTGGGTATATACCACACTTTTTAAATCCATTCGTCTGTTGATGGACATGCAGGTTGATTTCATGTCTTGGCTATTGTGAATAGTGCTGCAATAAACATGGTGCAGGTATCCCTTTGATATGCTGAGTTCCTATCATTTGGATAAATACCCAGTGGTGGGATTGCTGGATTGTATGCTAGTTCCATTTTTAGTTTTTTGAGAAATCTCTACACTGTTTTCCATAATGGCTGTACAAATTTACATTCCCACCAACAGTGTATAAGAATTCCTTTCTCTCTACATCCTCCCCAGCATCTGTTACTTTTGGTCTTTTTGATAATAGACATTGTAACTGTGGTAAGATGATATCTCATGGTGGTCTTATAATAATTTGCATTTCTCTGATGATTAGTGATGTTGAGAATGTTTTCATATACCTGTTGGCCATTTGTGTGTCTTCTTTCGAGAAATGTATATTCAGATCCTTTGCCCACTT
This sequence comes from Homo sapiens, assembly GCF_000001405.40. NCBI lineage: Eukaryota > Metazoa > Chordata > Mammalia > Primates > Hominidae > Homo > Homo sapiens. The sequence goes on from NC_000002.12 coordinate 38,052,359, forward strand.
TTTAGTGGGATTATTTGGTGGTTTTCTTTCTGTTTTGTTGAGTTCCTTGTATATTCTAGAAATTAGTCCCTTGTTGAATGAATAGTTTGCATATATTTTCCCTCATTCCACAGGTTGTCTCTTCATTCTGTTGATTGTTTCCTTTGCTGTACAGAAGGTTTTTGGTTTAATATAGTCCCATTTGTCCATTTTTGCTGTGTTGCTGGTGCTTTTGGAGTCTTAGCCATAAAATCTTTGCCTACACCAATGTCCTGGAGCAAGTAGTTTTATAGTCCCAGGACCTTCATATTCTTAATGATTCTCTATAGTCATGTATGAACTTGGCTAAGGATGCTTATCCTCAGACAACTTGTCTTTTTACTGCCATCACCAGCAATTGGTGTTTTTTTTCTGGGGCCATTATCCTCAAACTTACTTTTCTCTGTTCCCAAGGATTACAGGAACTCTGAAGTCAAGTAGAAAATGTTAATGCTACTTTGACATGAGGGGGTGGGCAATGCTGCACTCACTAGCTAATGGATTCACTCCCATACACTAACCTTGCTGTCCACAGGATTCAAATTTATGCCTCAGCAAAAATCACTGTGTGGAATGGATCCTCAGTCACTAATTCCATGACTGCCAACTTTACAGATGTCAAGGCTGCCAAATGTCAAGGCTCTGTTATAGTTCAAGGTAGCAGGTTTTAATCTCAGCTGCATCTTAATTCATTGTGAGATTAAAAGTAATATTTTTTTAAAATGTACCCACAGGTGCAAATAATTCCCATTAAAAATAAGTAAGAGTGAGGGTGGTTGACTAAAGATTATCCCTACAATAACATGATTTTCTTACTCAAATTATGATTTTTTTTGGAAGGAAAAAATAGTGCTGTCTAAATATAATTGCCAAAGACCCACAGCCTCACTTACCTAAGACCAAATATACAACAAGTGATCATTATGACGTTATCATTAGCAGTTGGGTATTTTCAGTATTATTGGTTAAAACTTCCTGAGAAGCTTTTGAGGTTTCGTGGGAATGTCAAACACACACACATTATCTACCATATGTGCCACAGCAGGAGAGAGCTTTAGAAATGCTGCTGAAGAAAGTGTATAAGCTATTTTCAAGGGCTCCAAGAAGTTCCAGTTATTTATCCACAGACACTTAAAATATTAAATTAAAAGTCTCATCTAGTCCACAAAACGGTTTGCAAAGAGCATGTTACTAAGGAAAAAATTTACCTGAATGAATTTTATTAATTCCAATAGTAACTCAATTTAACTGTAATAAAATGCATTTTAAAATTTAGATCCCAAATGGTTCATATAAACGTTTCTATGCTAAGTTGAATTAATTTTCACTATGTGAGCTATTTGATCTTATTCAGTGGTTCTCAAATCTGGCTGCATATTAGCATTTACTGGGGCACTCTGAAAAAAATACCAATGCCAGGATCCTACCCTAGAGATTCTGATTTAATTTGCCTGGGGAGCAAACTCACAAGCATTATTTTTTTCAAAGTTCCAGGTGACTCTAATGTGCAGCCAGCACTGAAAACCTCTCATTTTAAATAGTTATTTTGATAGACAGAGAGTTAGAGGAAGTAAACCTACCAAGAACGACTCATTGGTTGAATTTATTATTCAGATATTCTAGGAGTTTTATTGATTAATTTCCAGTTGACCACTTATCAGATTACTGTACTCACCTCATTCCTATGAACTATACTAGTAGATGCCCCACACTCTGAACACTAATGGCCAGTGGGCTAATCTTGACTTTGCCTGTGCACTTCTGCTTCCTCAAGTTGAATTCTGTTTATCTAGAATCATTTGGGTTTGTTTTATGCGTATTATTCCCAAAATTACATAATTTAATTTATTAAATAGTATTAAACTCATCAAGTAATACTGTGAAAATAAAGAGCTGCTGTACTGATGAACACAAAAAAGATGAATGCTTTGGAAAGACTCAGTAAAGTTGACATGCTAAAAGTATTTTACTGTTAGATTAGGCAACTATAAAACATTGGAGAAAATATTAGAACAATCTTAAAAATTCTACATTCAAACTGATCTGCAAGTATTTTTTAAATTTTTGCTCCACTTTAAATACACAGAAACTACACATCATAGGTGATGCATTATGGATATAGTTCACTTAAAAAATATACCCCAAATTCCAAAATGGAGATGCATGGTTAAAGAAAAGACTAGAGTCTTACATCACAAGATTAATAAATGAATGCATTTTCCTCCATGTTTATTGTCCCCTCCCGTGTGCTTTGTTGCTCCAGGGTTCAATTCTCTGTTTCTTTTGGGTCACTCTGTGGCTTGCAGCATGACCACCTACCCATTTATGAATTCTCTTCTCTCTTCTCTACCATCTTTCTTAAGGAACATTTCTGCCATGATTTGCCAGCCAGCTCCATGCAGTCAAACTACCCAGTGCACGACTCTGGACACCTCACTACTGGACCATCCCTCTTCAAGCCCACACTTAATATAGAATACAGCACAGGACATGCTCCATAGTAAGGGCTCTGCTCTCTCAAAAGGACGGGGGGACAAAGGGCTCCAAGTGTCCCACCAGGAAATTATTTGGATATCATGTTATATTTGTAAAACTAATAAAACACATTCAGAAAGTTACCAGAAATGTCTTATGTACCATAAACCATATTTTTAGAACAGTATATTATCAGTTTTGTATTGCAAGCATTGCTTATTATATCTCTGAGATGTCTTTCAAATCCCACTCCTTCTCTATTTCCTCAGTGAGGCCAGGACCAGGTCTACTTTCCCTCTTGCCTAGATGATTTCATAGCCGTCCCCGCTTGATGATCCGCCTAGTTTCACTCCTTCCCTCTAAGCCATTGTCACATCTTGCAGTCAAAGTTGCCGTTCTAAAGCACTTGCCTGTTTTAATTCCTCCTGTGCAACCCACCCCAGGATCCTATGGGAAAAAAAAACAGACTCCTCAACCCAGCATGTAGCCTTTGCAGCCTGCCTCAACCTACCTCCCCAACCTCACCCTCACCCTATATACATAGCTGACCCATCTGTTAAAATGTCTTTGGCTCTTAGAACCAGAAATAGAAAATCCTTACTCAACTGTGTCCTATAAAGTAGGAAATTAGTTGTCTCACTTTGGAGGAAAATCAGAAGCGTAGGAAGCTCTAAGTTGGTTTACTTAATGGCTTGATGACCCCATCAAGGACAAGATCTTTGCATCTTTTCATACAGTCATTTTTGAAGTATCAGCTTGGTCCTCAGGTTAGCTCCCTTCATGACTACAAGATCACTGCAGGAGTCACATCCAGACACAATAGCATTCGACAGAGGAGGATGCACTGTCTCTTACTTGTGTGTGTGTCTTTTAAAGAACAAAGAAACCCTTCAAGCAGCCCTTCAATAGACCTTCCCCTTGCAACTCATCAGCTGGAATAGATTGCATGCCCCTGTCTATACCAATTACTGCAAGGGGAATAGGAATTTTATGATTGATTTAGGCTAGTCAGGATTTACTGTGAGTTGAGACAGAGTCATCTTCCCTGAAGACTGGATAACTGGAAAAAAATCAAGGTTCTGTTAACAAGTAGGGTGATGGATATTGGGTAGACATTAACAGTACCTGCCACACTCCCTCACCCTGACACACACACAAATACACACACACACTGCATGCAAACACATACGTGTGCTCCCCACCTCACCTGGATCATTGCCACCTCCAAGCACATCACATTCATTCAAACAGATATTTTATTACTGAGCACATAGGACGGGGCAGCACTGTGCCAGGCACCCGGGATCCAGTGGGGAGCAGGTCCTTTCATCACGGAGGGCGTTGTCCAGGATCCTCTCATCCTCCCTCCCTGATATTGTGTCTCTCTAGTCAACCCCTAAGCATCTAGGCCCAGCTCATAGGGCATCTCCTCTATGGAGCCTTTCCTAACCCTCATGTCCACACAGTCTCTAGGAGAATTACGTAGTTCTTAATCGTTGTTCCCAAAGCACTTCATACACCACTTACTACAACATCAATCACACTGTGTTGGGGCATGCCGGTGTGTCTCCTCAAACAGGAAATGAACACCTCTGCATCAGGGCATGTGTTTATTTTTATAACAGTTTTATCTTAGAATAGTATCTACTAGTGCTTAACAATGCTTAGAGACATAATAGATGCTGAATAAATGATGGCCTGGATGATCTGAATGTATATAAAACTATATTACACTTGATTTACTGTGCTCAGCATGTAAGAACATATAATAATTCTCCCAAACTTATTTCAGGGTGTCCCATGTGACTAGATAAGAGAATGAATTTTGTTTGATTAGGTGCATTCTTAGGCTATGTGTAAGAATTGTGAAATTATGACATACCCCTAAATGATATAAAATGATGGAGACCCAATTAGGAAGAAGAACTTAATTAAGCAAGGGTTTTAAGTCCTGAAATTATAAGCTTTTTTCAGTTTTGTTTTAGTTATGTTATTACACTGTGTGGGTCTGATTTTTTCCTTCCATTTAACTGCTGCATTCTCTAGTCTATGCTAAAATGCCTCCACTTGCAATATGGAATATTGCCTTTGTGAAAAATGCCTTTGACCTGTTTCTGCTTCCTAGTGCCTTATTTGGGGTCTTAGCTTTGTGGGTTCATGACTCTCTGTGAAGCAGCATCAACTGTCCAGGGCTCTAGCACAGTCCAGGGCCATTCAAAACAGAGGTGGAAATGATGTACATAGAAGTGATTTGTCAACCATAAAGTGCTTTAGAAACATGAAGAGGTTGTTACTATTACTAGTTGGTGCTGTGAGAAATAGATGGTGCAGACCAGGATTGGCAAACTTTTCCTGTAAGAGCCAGGTAGTAAATATTTCAGGCTTTGCAGGTGCCTTGTGGTCTTTGTTACAACTACCCAACTCTGCTGCTGTAGTACAAAAGCTGCCATAGGCATTACAGTCAAATGAGCATGGCTGTGCTCCAACATAACTTTATTTATGGATACTGAAATTTGAATTTCATAAAATGTTCATGTGTCATAAAATACTTTTCCTCTTTTGATTTCTTTCTACTATTTAAAAGTGTAAAAATAATGCATAGCTCACAAGCTATGGAAAATGGGTGGTGGACCAGATTTGGACCATGGGCCATAGTTTGCTGACCTCTGCTGTAAACCACAGGAGATTCATCTTACCAAGATGCTGGTAGCCAATGGAGCCTGATATAGAAACCACTTTATTTGATATGGTTTAGATCTATGTCCCCACTCAAATCTCATATTCAATAGTAATCCCCAGTGTTGGTGGTGGGGCATGGTAGGAGGTGATTGGATCAATGGGCAGAGTTCTCATGAATGGTTCAGTACCATCCCCCTTGGTACTGTATAGTGAGTGGATTCTCATGAGATCTGGTTGTTTAAAAGTATGTAGCACCTTCCCCCTCCCTCTTCCTTCTGATCCAGCCATGTAAGAAGTGCCTGTTTCCCCTTTGCCTTCTGCCACGATTGTCAGTTTCCTGAGGCCTCCCCAGAAGCAGAAGCTGCTGCTATACTTTCTGTACAGCCTGCAGAACCGTGAACCAATTAAACCTCTTTGCTTTATAAATTACCCAGTCTCAGGTATTTCTTCATAGGACTGTGAGAATAGACTAATACAGAGCCCATTGAGGCTATCTGAACAGTAGCAGAGTAACTACCCAGGAAAATGTCCGACTCATAATAGCAGCATTAGAAAGCCACCTTAACTCTTGGAAATTTAACCTTTTTTCTTTGGAAATAATTGTGCTCCTCACATGCCTTGTTCTTTTGACCTGAGTTTATTTTCTACTGGAGATGTTGACTTCTCTGCCTTTGGGAAAAACCCAGGTCAGTGTGAGTCAGCCCTGTGGGCTAGGGAAGGGGGTGAAGGAGCCCAGGGTGGAAAAATCTCAGGTATCTGAAAAATAGCATTCAATCTCTCATCATCCATTGACATAGCTCTTTAGGTCAAGCCTTCAAGCTTTGCCCTGCAGGAAGAAGCAGCATGAGGGGAAGACCCTCTTTGAACTTTAATTCCCAGCCTTGGAAGGGAAGGCTTGGAGAAGCAACGCCCCAGATTCTGTTAGCCCTCATCAGCTTTTCTCAGCTCTGCTCAGGCAGGGGACTTCAGGACCAGAAATTGTGTCTGCAGGTGTGGGGGCTGCTTGTCCCAAGGCAAAGGTGAAGGAGAAGCAAGAGCAGAACCCATAGAACATAAGGAACCATAGCTTTGAATTTCCTTGTTTGGAGTTAACTTTTCCACCAAAATATAACCTTATGTGGATCGTCTTCCTTACTTTTATCAAGGTGTTCGTTTTCTGTGTTTCAGAACTGAGGTTATGGGCAGTTTTCTGTTTCAGACCTACCTACTCTAAGAAGCTTTCTTTTATTTCCTATTGCGACCTGAGTTTATTTTCCACTGGAGATGTTGGCTCCTCTGCCTATGGGAAAAAGCCAGGTCATTGGAAAACGCAAATCTCTCCTTTCCTTGAAGCACATTATCTGAAACTACCTGAAAACTCTTGTGTATGTATCTTTATATTATATTTATGTTCACACTCACTTACTCGGAGGAGGGGCCCCTGAATCCTCCCTGAGTATTTCTCATGATTCTTATCATAGTGTTTTACCCAAAGTAGTAATAAATAGTTACCAATTGAATAAAAGTAAAACGTCCAATAAATTGAAATGGGTTCAATTATAGAAGCACTGTCCAATAGAACTTTCCGCTATGATGGAAGCGTTTTATATCTGTGCCTCTCACAACAGTAGCCACTATCCCCATGTGGCTTCCAAGCACCTGAAATAAGGCTGATGTGAATAAGGAATTGATTTTTTAATTTTTTTAATTTTAATTAATTTAAATTTAAATAGCCACATGTGACTAGTGGCTACTACATTGTACAGCACAGGTCAGTAGGACAATAAACAGCTGGCTTAACTAATTTCTTTTTGTGAGTAGATTATTTGGGCAGTGATCATACCATCAGAATTTAAAATATAATGCAAACCAGTGGTTGGATATTGTGTAGAAAATCCAGCAAGATGATTGGATATTCCACTTTCCAAGGAACATAAAAATGTCCACCCCTGTAGAGTTTATATCCTGGGAACTGGAGTGGGGACGGAGACAGACAGTAAATCATCATCAAAATGTAAAGGTTATTTTATGTTATATTAACAGGAAATAAATGTTTTATGTGTTGGGAGCGTAGGGAACAGAAAAAGTAGAGCAAGGTAGGCATGTCGAGGGAGCTTGTGGGGGCAGGCTAAGTATTAAATAATGTGGTCAGAGGAGGCTTCATTAGAGAGATGAGAGATGAACTCAAGCTAGACTGATGTAGGGACGTGGGCAAAGAAAATGAGAAAGGTGCTGACCTCTGCAGAGCCAAGGGCAGGTCTGTATGATGACCTAAACTCCCCTACACTCTGTTGCAAAGAAAATAAGCCCTGGCGGGGCACTGAAGAAGAAGGACAGGGTTTTGTGTGTGTGTGGTTTTTTGTTGTCGTTGGTTTTTTTTGTTTTTGTTTTTGTTTTTTTGTTTTTGAGACGGAGTCTCGCTCTGTCACCCAGGCTGGAGTGCAGTGACTCGATCTCGGCTCACTGCAACCTCCGCCTCTCAGGTTCAAATGATTTTCCTGCCTCAGCCTCCCGAGTAGCTGGGACTACAGGTGTGTGCCACGACGCCCAGCTATTTTATTTTATTTTATTTTATTTTATTTTATTTTATTTTATTTTATTTTATTTTATTTTTTTTAGTAGAGACAGGATTTCACTGTGTTACGCAGGATGGTCTCGATCTCCTGACCTCATGATCCGCCAGCCTTGGCCTCCCAAAGTGCTGGGATTACAGGCATGAGCCACCACACCCGACCATTTTGTTTTTTATTAACAAGGCCTTGATAGACGTTTCCAGAGCTATCTCTTGAAGTTAGAAATCAAAACAAGAGAGCAGGCAGGCTTGCCCATTTTTACAGCAATCATTCCTGGAAACCACATTGGAAAACACACAGTGAAAAGTTAACCTTATTCTTCCACCGCTTTGTCCAGCCTGTGTTTCCCCACTTTTTTCCTCAATATCAGTGCCAAGCTCTAGAATGCCAACTGGATTTGCTTGCGGGCTGTGGGAATTGCAGAATAAGAGTCTCAAATTTAAATACTGATTGCTGGGATGTGCAGTAAGAGAACAGAGGTGGCCCTTTGGCCTTCTGAATGTGAGCAGGGAGAGTGACAGGGGAGGTGCAGGAAAGACAAGCTCAGAGCATCCTGGGATTCACAAACATCCACCAGATCCAGTGGACACCAGCAGCTTTCAGTATTGTGGGTCTGGGAGCTGAGTGGTGCTCTCAAAGCTGATATGACCTGACTTGTGGGGTCCAATGGCCTAGATAATGGCCAAGGGCTGTGGGGTTAAACAATAAAGTTAGAGACAGCCAGGAAAGCATGCTGGGTACACAGCACAACACCAGGGGATGGGAGATCCCCCCAAACAGAACACGAGGCTGCCTGCTTTTCTCAGCAACCCCACTGGGATGAGGGTGGAAATCTTTTTCAATCAGATATAATAAAACTTTGACTCAAAGGCTAGACATAGTGTAGAAAATGTTCCAGGAGAAGTTCCATTAAGTGCTTAAAAGAATCAGTGTGGAGTCCTTTGGTGCACATAAAATTAAAGAATCATCAGGCCATTTTAAATTATATTTAAAGGCATTGTTGAAAAGTATGTTAGTTCCAAGAGCCTGTTTGTTCTCTGGTTATTCTTTAGGAACAAGTGAGTAGTCAGGGAAGCCTTCCTGAAGGAGGCAACACCAAGGAGTGGGCATTAAGGACAAGTGTCCTCTTACATCCTCCCCATGTGAAGGAAATGCAGGCACTGAGTTATCAGATTTGCTTCAGTGCTCCAAGGGGAAGATGATTGGAATGAGCTCAAGAGTCAATGGCAGGGAACGGTCTGGACCCACCAGTGCCATCGGCCAAGCCAGAAGCCAGTGCTGATTATGGGCCAATGTCATCTGCTGTGGAGTGCGCTGAGATTATTTTACTTCAGACTGCCCTGATTTTGTGACCATAAAAATCAATTTAATGAATTGCAACCCTCTTTTTTTTTTAAGGTAATTATACTATCTGGTAACTCAGTGCCTGTATTTTCTTCACATGGAGAGGATGTAAGAGGAAGCTTGTCCTTAATGCCCACCCCTTGGTGTTGCCTCCTTCAGGAAGGCTTCCCTGACTACTCATTCTAAACAGTGCCCCCTCACACACAGTACACACACACACACACACATACACACATATACCACTTATAATTAACTGAAATCTTATTTTCTCTCCTGCCACCCATCCCACTAGAATATCAGCTCCATGAGGTCAGGGCCTGGGTGCCTTGTTCATTATTATATCATCAGTGCCCCAAACAGTGTCTGCCTACTAATAGGTGCTCAATTAACACTTATGACATTGAATTAAAATTGCCTCGGCTGGGAGGTTCCAGCTGTTGCTCATCCCAAAGGCTGGTATTCTGCCTCCTGTTCTGCTCTGAGAATCTGGCACCACTTTACCTCTCCTGCAAGGACTTCAGCACAGGCCATGATCCTTGTTCACATCTCTAGGCCTGACCTTCTTTGTTCAGTGTTGCCATCTCGTTTCCTTGTCTGCCAGCAGCTGCCATGCTACCTGCCAATGTCAGTTCAGCTTCACTTAAGTTCATTTGCACCAATTCCCCTTTAACATTTTTTCCAATCACTTTTCATCACTTTTTGGTGTAGTTGTGTGAATTTTAACACATGTATACATCCATGTAACCACTGTCACAATCAGAAAACCTTCCAAAACTCCACCAGGCTATCCTTTTGTAGTACTCTCCCTCCCCTTTAACCCTCGACAACCACTGATCTACTCTTCATCATGACACTTTTGTCTCTCAGAGGCTGTCGTAGCAATGGAATTGTGCAGTGTGTAACCTTTTGAAGCTGACTTATTTTACTCAACATAATTCCCTTGAGATTCATTCAAGTTGTTGTGTGTATCAATGGTTCATTCTTTTTTATTACCGAGTAGTATTCCATTGGGTGGATGTAACAGATTTTGTATAACTAATTGCCCTTTGAAGGAAATTTAGGTTGTTTTCAGTATGAAGTCATGATGAATGCAGCTGCTGTAAACATTCATGTATAGCTTTTGTGTGAATGTGTTTTCATTTCTCTAGGATAAATACCCAGGAGTGGGGTCATACTGTAGCATTTTTTTTTAATTTTATTATTATTATACTTTAAGTTTTAGGGTACATGTGCACAATGTGCAGGTTTGTTACATATGTATACATGTACCATGTTGGTGTGCTGCACCCATTAACTTGTCATTTAGCATTAGGTATATCTCCAAATGCTATCCCTCCCCCCTTCCCCCCCCCCACAACAGTCCCCAGTGTGTGATGTTCCCCTTCCTGTGTGCATGTGTTCTCATTGTTCAATTCCCACCTATGAGTGAGAACATGCGGTGTTTGGTTTTTTGTCCCTGCCATAGTTTGCTGAGAATGATGGTTTACAGTTTCATCCATGTCCCTACAAAGGACATGAACTCATCATTTTTTATGGTTGCATAGTATTCCATGGTGTATATGTGCCATATTTTCTTAATCCAGTCTATCGTTGTTGGACATTTGGGTTGGTTCCAAGTCTTTGCTATTGTGAATAGTGCCACTATAAACATACATGTGCATGTGTCTTTATAGCAGCATGATTTATAATCCTTTGGGTATATACCCAGTAATGGGATTGCTGGGTCAAATGGTATTTCTAGTTCTAGATCCCTCAGGAATCGCCACACTGACTTCTACAACGGTTGAACTAGTTTACAGTCCCACCAACAGTGTAAAAGTGTTCCTATTTCTCCACATCCTCTCCAGCACCTGTTGTTTCCTGACTTTTTAATGATCGCCATTCTAACTGGTGTGAGATGGTATCTCATTGTGGTTTTGATTTGCATTTCTCTGATGGCCAGTGATGATGAGCATTTTTTCATGTGTTTTTAATTCAAGATGGATTGAAGACTTAAATGTTAGACCTAAAACCATAAAAACCCTAGAAGAAAACTTAGGCAATACCATTCAGGACATAGGCATGGGCAAGGACTTCATGTCTAAAACACCAAAAGTAATGGCAACAAAAGCCAAAATTGACAAATGGGATCTAATTAAACTAAAGAGCTTCTGCACAGCAAAAGAAACTACCATCAGAGTGAACAGGCAACCTACAGAATGGGAGAAAATTTTTGCAACCTACTCATCTGACAAAGGGCTAATATCCAGAATCTACAATGAACTCAAACAAATTTACAAGAAAAAAACAAACAACCCCATCAAAAAGTGGGCGAAGGATATGAACAGACACTTCTCATACTGTAGCGTTTTGCACTTTCCCAAGCAATGTATGAAAGTTCCAGTAGTTTCACATCCTCCCCAATACTTGGTATATGTTATCAGTTTTGTCATTTTTTTAAAAATTTAGCCACTATGATAGGTTTGTAGTAGTATTTCACTGTGCTGCATTTCTTATGAAAAAAATTTAAAAATATATTCCATCACAGAAAACAATAGTGAATCCTGTTTGTGTGTGTGTATGTGTGTGTGTGTATATATACATACATAAATATATATCTATGAAGTACACACAATCACATGTAGAGATATGTACTAAATCATGTAAAATATATTGCATACTGTGAGGCTATGGTTTAAAAAATTGGAAGCCATTGAGTTGGCATTTCTGCTTTCTTCATAGTGACTAAGCAGAAACCTAAAAACCTTGAATAAGCTCAATTTGTAAGCAAAGAGAAGAAACTGAGATTAGGGGCCGGGTGCATTGGTTCACACCTGTAATCCCAGTACTTTGGGAGTCCGAGGCGGGTAGATCAGGAGTTTGAGACTAGCCTAACCAACATGGTGAAACCTCGTGTCTACTAAAAATACAAAAATTAGCCAGACATGGTGGTGTATGCCTGTAGTCCCAGCTACTCGGGGGGCTGAGACAGGAGAATCACTTGAACCTGGGAGGCGGAGGTTGCAGTGAGCTGAGATCATACCATGGCACTCCAGCCTGGGTGACAGAGCGAGACTCCATCTCAAAAAAAAAAAGAAAGAAAGAAACAGGTTAGACTTCAAGAGTACCAATTGAAAACTGAGTCATGGAGAAGGTGAAGAGATCATCAGTGCTGAGAAGCAGGTGCGACAAAACTCACTCCCCTTTTTTCACCCTTGCTTCTGTATATACAATATGATTCCATAACAAAATTGTTGGGACTTAGTCCCTGCTTTTCAATGAATATACCATCGAATAGTGGAGATATGATGTAAACACAAATATGACTATGGGAAGTATTGAAAAATGAGGGTAGATGTCTTTTTCCTCGTTAAAAAAAAAAAATCTATGTAATGCATCTCTCTCCCAAGAGGATATATTTCATTTAAAAATAAAGAGGTCATGCCATGTGTTGGTGGGGAAGTGGGTACAGCTTCCCCTCATGCACAGCTGATGGGAGTGTGGACAGATTTGGCATTCTGGAGAACATGCAATATTTAAATTACATAACGCACTCACTTGCTGACCCAACACTTCTAATCATGCGTATGGCATGCATTACAAAGTTTACATAGGAGGGCAAGTAAACACATACCAAGCTGTTCCTCGCTGCATCATTTAGGGGCTCACAAAGTTGGAAGTTATCCAGGTATCTATTCCCAAGAGAGTGGATAGAAAAAATGTGGTGGATAAGTACCATGGAATACTAGGCAGCAGCTATAAGCTATGGAATTACACAGGGATGGAGCTGAGAAAAGATTAAGCAACAGGATGAGATATGTACAGCACTTACATAAAGTAAAACATATATATTCAAAACAATAATACAAATTTTGCTGGAACACGCAAACAAAAAGTGCATATTAAGCATATTGTAATACTTATCCATTGAGAGAGAGAGAAACAAATGTAAGGAAATAGGAATAAATTTTAAAAAAAAAAAGAAAAAGAAAGAGGCTGGCTGATTTTTCGGGCTTGCTCAATGACTCTTAGCTCTGACCCAAAGGGATCTCAGTGCTGTTAGGCTTCTACTGTATAACATTGTCTCACCTAAAGGGGCCTCAAATGATTCAAAACTAGTTCTGGTAGGTCCAGTCATTCTGTTTGCAAAGGCAAGCTTCCCATCAAAAAGCTTGTTTCGTGCCTTGGTTCTTCTCTCTCCCTCTGGCCAGTGCTCACGGGCTCTGAGAGACGGAAGGGTTCTGATGAGCCACATACACCAACACTTAGGTGATGCATGGCTATCAGATGGACAGGCCATGTCCCAGGAAACTGGACCAGCCTAAGGATGGCCCTGGCTCCAACAAGGAACCTTGGTCCAGACAGGTTCTAGGACAGAAGTTTTAGGATTATAAGACAAAGCATGACTGCTTGTTTGTTTGGCTTTTGGTTTTGCCTAAAGAACAGTTTAAAGGGGCTTTTCTCAGAAGAGAGCAGTGTGGTGAGGATTCCCGCACAATGTCAGTTACTGCCTGTCTGTAGTGTGGAATGTGCCTTAGACAAAGGAAGTAAATTGCTTGCGAAACTCCCAGGATCTTATGGCCTAAAAAAATAGACGGACTACCCTATAAATCCAAACACAGGCACACTGGGAAGGGACAAACTAGGGTACAAAGATAATGGGCTTTGAATTAGTTCATCTCCAGGGAAAATCTGGATGAGAATACTTCTAAATATATAATTTTGGCCCATTACTTTATCGCATCCCTCTGAAGACTGTTAGGCAATAATGCATTAGAGTTTAGCATAGTGATGCAAAAATTGTAAGTGCTCAACATATTTTAGTTCCATTTCTTCCCTCCATATCTGACACATGTTGAAAAGTGTGCATGAAGAGCACAGCATTTGTCCTCAAAGCCTGTATGTCGCTTAGCAGAGGTGCTACAAGCATGAGCTGTTACCCATAGCGTGTCCATACCTATGTAAACTAGATTATTTTCCTCCATAATTCCAAGTTAAAAAAATTGCTTTTAAATGTATTTGAATATATTTAATTTTTTTCTTCTTTCCTTTTCACTTTCTGAGATTTATAACTAATAGACTGAAACTGGAGAGCAGAGAGCATGTGAGAGTCACTGAGCCAAAAAACGGAGAGTTAACAGCCAGTGAACTTCTGTTGCACTGGTGCAGAAAAACAGACTGGCGTTGAGGTTGAAGAAACAACCTCTGTGAGTTTCTAACAACCACGCCTGTCTTACTTATGTCCAAAGCTGCATTCATTTCCCACCCTGTACTCCGGTCTTATACTCTGTTGGATTGATTGGGTAGAATCCAACTCTGCTAGACAGTTGTGCAAAAACTGGCCCCAATTATAATTATTTAAAGGAATATTTTTCCCATGAAAATATTTCCTTCACTTATTCTTAACTGTCCTGACATTTCCAAGATCCTACTGTCATACATCTGGAAAACTAGTGAGTATTCTCTTAAACCACTCCATAGCCATACCTTCTGGCTGCTAAAGTGAGGTTCCCACGCCAAAGTTTCAATGCCATTTTGTGCAATTTTTACTTCTTTTCCTGTTTTCACATTAATAGGAGCTGTAGTCTGGAAGATAAAGAGCCTTTGGTACCGCAAGCCCTGTCATCTGTGAGTGTGGCACAGTGAAGGCCTGGAGAGTCATGACCTAGGCCCTGTGAAGTCAAGTATTTTTACCAAGTAAAAAGATTGGCAATAAAACATTTCCACATAGTACATGACAGAATACTTGTACCCATCTTATTTTATTGGACATTAATTGCACTAATTGAGGCACATGTACCTTTAAAAAAATGAAAGAAGAAAATACTCAGAGAAAGGACTGGTATGAGGCTGAGGAAGAAAAATGTGTACTGCATTCTTTAGATGAAGCAGAAATCGATCAGCAACTTAAAGTCGCAATCTATTCAATCTTTCAACATTGCAAATTAATTCTCATTTGGCTTGATTGTTTGATTGAAATGTAACCTCCGTGTTGGTTCTTAGAAATTCAAAAATATAGAGATTAGAAATTTGGTTGATGAAAACCTACGGGAAAAAAAAGCATGTGGCCTCGGCCTGAAATGTAGAATGGACAAATAAAATGTTTACAGTGCAATATTTTAATTGAATAATCCATAGTAATAGTTGAAATAAAGTGATACATTAGACTATATTTGCTACAACATAAAACTTCATAACAAGATTATGAAAGTGATTTTTATTATTTTGGTAATGGTGTCCCAGTATAAGTAATGAGATACAATTTTTTTTTAATTTGGTATATCAAACAGTAAAGGCTACATATAAATGTTGTTTCCCCAGAATGTACTTTGTCTACAACTATGCACTGTAGCTATTATGCACACACTAAAAGCATTCATGATAAAGTACAAAAATAAGAAAAGATTAAATAAGAAGGTATCCTTGAGTTATAAATGTCTACTAAAGTATACCTTTTAATCACACAGTTGTGTCACAGCTAAAAACACACAAATTAACATATACTGCTATGCAACTATTTGATCTAATATAGATCTACTAGGAAAATATTAAGGCTGTAGTAACACTTCACAGGTAAAGGCTAAGTTCTGGGACATGAAAGCTTTTAGAAAATTCACAAAACAAACCTGAGACATCTTTTTGTTTTGGAAAAAAGCAATTTGCTTATAGAGTCAAAGCTTTGACATACAAATGAAGCATTTAATAAACATTATACTTTATTGCAATAACCTGGAGTAAAACTTCTGACTTTAATGGTTGTCAGCAAATACATTCTCTCTCCGGTAGAAACACAATGAGGGTTTCTGATTAAAGCAGTAATCTGATTACTCCAGCCTCCAAATTCAGTTATTTTCATTCGTTTTTTGTTTTCTTTTCCTTTCTTTAACTAGGTTATAAGCATATTAAATAAGCCAGGTAAACTCCAAGCACCTTACTTTCTTCCATATAAACACAGCTTTCCTTTTGCCGCAAGCATCTGATGACGACTGGGCCTACATACGTAAAAACAGATTATAGCACATCTGGACCTGGTTGACATAATGAGGCATCCAGATTGGTTCATGATTATTTTTGCAGCTACACATTTCTCAATCTAAAAAAATAGGCTACAGCAGCCCAAATTCACTGTCTCAGCCTTGGTGGGGCATAATATTTTGGAATGGCAAGTGCCAAAAAATTTAAATGTACTGGGCAAGCCTGCTTTGTGTAGTTGACTCTAATGCCTTTAAAAATACTGGCATGATTTTTTATATTCAAGAAGTACAGCTATGAAATTTTAAAATAAAATTACATGAAGTTTTTTAATATTCCAAACCACAAAACAGATCTGCTATGTTGTAGACTTTTTTAATAGCCTATTTGAGATTTAACTCTGCTACGCCAAACATCTTTCTTCTAAATGTCCATGCTTTGAATTTTGTGCTCCAAATTAATTAATTCAGAATGAGTGGGAAAATGTTTAACCATCTTTCCTTCTTTTCAGTGTTTCTCTCTTTTCTCTTACCATCCCCCCACCCCACACACACATACACACAACTATCAAAAACTCCCTTTTTTAAAATTTTGGTACAAAGATTCCAAAAAGCTTAATAAAATGTAATAAGCACTTAGCACTTAGGACACTGTAGAACTTTCTTTGGAAGTTTAATTGCAATGAACTTTAAAACTTGAAACTTCAATTCACTTTTCTAAATGTGAATGCATACATTTCATTTGAGCTTTATGCTTTCCCAGCTACCAAAGTAATTGCCATCTTAAAAAACACAACTGACCTCATCTCCACTGTCTTTTCCAAACAGCTTCCAAGACTATCTTCTGATTCTGACTTTCCAAAAAGCAGGCATTAATGTTAACTTTCAAAAAATCATCTAGAAGAGAAACTTGGTCAGTTGTAATGGGAGTTCTGTCCCCAACTCTTGTCACCTCGTAAAAAGAACATCCAGGTAATTCATGGCATTTTCCATTATTCATTGGGCAGACACAGCTTAGATTTCTCTGCCTTCCACAGGAGAATGTTCAGATTTCCACTAACTTCAACTGGAACTCAATAATCAGAATGGCTTTAAAATTTAGTTAAAATTTAAGCATGCCATGAATTTGGAATTTTAATATATTAATTAGGTTATTTTCAAAACAAGATTCTGTATTATAAATAGAATTTCAATAAAGATGTTATAAAAATAAGAACACATCTTAGGATCTAATTTTGAGATTCGCCAAAATTTGAGTGAAGAAAAGAAACCCTGCTTCATTTCCATGTCAAAAATAGGTGGTTGATTTAATCAAGCTCATTTTTAGCACACTTGGTTGCGTTAGTTGTACTTTTCAATTTTCAATATTATACAAGGCATATATTATTCAACCTTTTCCTGAACAAGATAATACTAATATACTGCTTACGGACAGTTAAGTAATATATTTCACACTATTTGGTGACTTTTTTTTTTAACCTATGAGACTTACTGAAATCAGTACATTATGGTCACATAATTTAAAGCTTGGCTGGCTTTTTTTTTTTTCTTTGCTGATAATTCAAATTCTGTACTTTGGCAAGCAAAAGAGGTACAACATCACCTTGGAGTTTTACAATTTAATAATGCATACTTTAAAATTCATGATAACTCATGGAACCCCACTATACTCACTAATTCAACTATTGATTTCTTTTTGAGCAACTGACTTTATGATTTATCCTTAAAAGTAAGGAAGTATACCAGAAGGCAAAAGGATAAATCCACCCATAAATACTAGAGTCTAAGTTATTTTCCTGAAAAGGTGAAAAGGGAATTTCTGGTCTTTATCTTTTCCCTTATCACCTTCAATCACACACTTTACACTGAAATTACTTGTCTCTGTCTCTTCAACAATATACTCTGAAACTTTGTTTAATATACTTTTTGTCTATTTCTGCATATGGGAGACCAATCTTGGATTCCCACCAAAAATGGCCTGGTTACCAAAATACTGCTTCATTCAGTAGTTTGGTGTAAGTGTTTGGGTGTATGTGTCTATATGTGCATTTTAACTCCAAAGAATGCTACCTTCAGAAATAACCAAGATGCAGTATGTATATAATAATTCATTGGGCCCTTTAAGTCTTTGACTCAAAAAAATCTCCCAGAAGCTCCTGCATAGCCCACTACTCATGAAGAACCGCTGGGTATGGAGCACACCTCACCTGATGGACAGTTGATTTATGCTCACCTTAAACGCTAATTGAGAAGCAGCACAAAAGAGGAACTGGAAAAAAACTGAATTTTACTCCTCATCTCCGAAGATGTGAATATTTCTAAAATTTCAGCTTGCCTCTTGCTTCTTATTGGCAAGTTTCCTTGGCTTGTAAATTTTGGACAGCACTATCAAGGAGCTCCATGGACTCTCTGAGAGTGACATTGACTTTAAATGACTTGGGTTTAATGGTTAGACCATAACTGAAATTCATTTTCGCAGGCTCATTTGGGTTGGCCCTGAAATCGCACTGGTGAGCCAGGATGGAGATGAAGAGAAAAAGCTGCATCTTAGAAAGTTCTTCGCCAATGCACCGCCTTTTGCCCACTGAAAAAATCATCACTCTGCTGGTCAGGTCCTTGTTGATGAGGCCATCCTTGTCCAAGAATCGAGCTGGATCAAAGTTCTCCGGGTTAGGCCACTTCAGTGGGTCATGATTCACAGACCACTGGTTGACAAAAACCACAGTGTCCTTGGGAATGTGGTAGCCCAAGACAGAGGTGTTGGCAGTGGTGGCATGAGGAATAGTGACAGGCACAAAGCTGGAGAAGCGCATGGCTTCATAAAGGAAGGCCAGGACATAGGGCAGGTTGGGCTGGTCACCCATACAAGGCAGACGGTCCCTCCCCACGACCTGATCCAATTCTGCCTGCACTCGAGTCTGCACATCAGGATACCTGTTTGGTGTTTAATGTGGAGAGAGAAAAGCAAGTGAGCAAAATTCTTATTTCATCTAGAAAGCACATTATAATTTATTTTAATTCCACTTTTTCTTAAATAGGCTATCTAGCTCAGTGACTAAATTAATATTTCTGGGAAAAAAATCTAAAACAGCTTCCTAATTTCTCACTAAATTACAAGATGGACTTTAAGAATTATATTTCCTGTAATAGGCCTTGCATGACTAATGCTGTCTTTCCCATTATAAGTCAAAAAACTCTTAAGTTTTCCCAGCCTCAAAAAGCACAATAGTAGATAAGGCTGACTTTTCCATTGGGTACCGCAGGGACAGTGCCTAGGGCTCACAACACTTTTTAGGGGCCCATGAAAATATTTTTACGTCTTTTACAATCTTCAGACCTAAAAAAACTCACTTTTAGTTAGAAGAAAATATTTTCATACATCATTTTAATGCATTCATCTTTATATCAGGGTAGTCATGAAATTTAATTTTTAATTTTTTTATAGTATAAGGAATCTACAAAGGCAAAAGCACCCAGGGCCCACGAAAGTTACAATGTGAAAGTAAATTTTTTTTCTCCCTCATTTCCCTGGACAATTCCAACAGACATGCTGTTCTCATTTTATACAAAGATAATTGGTGTCCTGATGGATAAAGCTACATACTGTATTTTTTAAATTTGAAAGCAAATACCCAATGTTCATAAAATTATGGTACAAACTGTAGTACTTATTCACTGTTGATGATACAAACTGATACAATCTTTTTAAAAAACAAAATCTTAATACGAGGCAAGAGACATGAAGGTAACCTCTTCCCGCCTCATTTTAAACCCAGTAATCCATGCCTAGAAATGTATTTTCAGAAAATAATTTAAGAGATACAAAAATATGTAACCACAACAGGACCTAAAATTCTAAAAATTAGCCAGGCATGGTGGTACACGCCTGTAGCCCCAGCTACCTGCCAGACAGCGGCGGGAGAACTGCTTGAGCCCAGGAGTTTGGGACCAGCCTGGGTAAGGTAGTGAGACCCTGTCTCTAAGGTAAGTAAATACATAAAATTAAAATAAAAATTTTAAAAATGCAATCAAGGCCAATGACCAACATTAAAGTTCAATAAATGATTATATATAACTATACATTATCATAGCAAAATACTATATAGCCATCAAAAATTACCAAAATAAATATTAAAAGATTAGAAATGTCCACTACCTTGAGTCAAAGTGTTAGAAGTCAAAAAACAAGTAACTGATTGTTTGCAACTCCGAAAAAAAATGTATACACGTATGTGATGAAGTGGAGTTATTTTTAGAATCGCTTCTTCAACATTATATTGCAGGAGTCTGCCAACTTTTTTCATAGAAACATGTATGGTGGGGAGAGCCAGAGAGTATCTATTTTAGACTTTGTGGACCAAACCCTCTTTGTTGCACTACTCTGCTCTGCCTTGTGTTGTAGAGTGAACGCAGCCATCGACAATGTATAAATGAATGGGCATGACTGCGTCAATAAAACGTATATACAAAAACAGATCGTGTAATTTGCCAAGCCCTGTCATACGTCTTTTCACTAAAAAGGAAAAAAAAAGTATCAGCATATTGAATTGAAAGTGACCTCCAAATTGTTTTATTTCTTTTTGCCGCCTAATTGGAGTACTCGGAGAACTATTGTGGTTCTAATGAAAAACAAAGGCCGTTTCAAAAGTTAAAATGCCTATCTGCGGATGCACAAAAACCTATGGAACCTATTCCGGGATTTCCTTTTCCCTGATCTCTGGTTGACTTTTCTTTATTCGATTTCTGCCTCTCCCTCACCCACCATGGGTGTTTCTATGATTTTAATACTAAAAAGCCATTTTAAGTATACAGAAACTTTTAATTTGTGAAGGTAGCTGTACAGTATCTAAGGAAATATAGATTGCAGTGGATTTTAATAAGGAAAGAGTCATTCTCTGCCTTCCAAACACCTTTCTGTGGCGCCTGCAGATTCAGCATCTCCAACTGCTCACTTGTGCTCCAAGAAATGACACAAAACCAGGATTTCTGGTCTCTTCGGCAATCAAAATTTGCCTTGCGAAACATTTGCCCCTAGGGATAGTGTTTCCACAGTAAATACTACAGGCCGCCCAGTTAAATATGGATTTCAGATCAACAAGGGCTAATCTTTTAGTGTGAGTATTCCCGTGTAAAACTTACTTTTCTTTTGCCAAATCTGGCAACCCGACACCAGGGACCTGTTGAATCCGTGCTTAGTAGAGACCAACGTGGGCATCAGGGGGTCCGCTAACTGAGCCAAGCGCAGGGGCCAGAAACGTCTGCAGGCGCCTCCTGGATATCCCATCTGCCTTTCTGAATGCTACTCTGCTTTCGTAAAAGTGACTGCTTCTTGTCTTCTACCCCGGCATTTCTCAAACTCCTAGCGCGGAGGTTTTATAAACCTAGCGCTGCCCGCTAGTTGTGGCCGCCTTCTGAAAGTTTCTGTGCGGGTTACCTGTCGGCTGGCCCGGCCTCCATGGGCTTCCTTGGCCTGGAACAAAGCCCTGACGGGCGGCCCGCTTTTAGCGCCAGGGCTGGGCGGCCTCGGATGCACGCCGAGGACTAGCCTAGGAGAGGCTGCTGTGTTTAACATATTTATGACATTACCTTTTCTTTCGGAACTATTCCAGTTCTGATTGTAATGCGCCAGGGAGAGAGATATCAGGGCTCATCTCCAAGCATTTAAAAACTCTTGTTTTTCCGGGGGGTGGAGGGGTCTTTGCAAATGTGTTCTCACTCGCAAGCAGGGGAGGGGACGATAGAGACAAGATAGGAGACCGGAGGGGTCGGGGCACCGCTGGGTGGGGCGCGTGCGCGTGTCGCAGCCCTCACTGTGAGTCCCTTTACCGACGCGATCTTGGTTTTGAGGGGTGGGGACCTGGAGCGAAACCCCAAACCCGGGGCCCTGCTTGCAAACTCAGCATATTCTGTCTCTACTCCGCCTTTTTCAGAGGAGAAAAGACCTGGCCCACGCCTCCCAGAGGCTTTACCTGGTGAAGAGGAGGAGCAGCCACTGCAGCGCGGTGGACAGGGTGTCCTGGCTGGCGCCGAAGATGTCAGTGATAGTGGCCGGTACGTTCTCCAAATCCAGCCGCGCGCCACCACCGTGCGAGTCCCCGGCCGCCTTCTTTTCCGCAGAGAGGATAAAGGCGTCCATCATGTCGCGGGGGGCGGCCCCGGGCCGAAGGCTTTCGCAGTGCCTCAAGAACTTGTCCAGGATGAAGTTGCTGAAGTTGCGGTTGAGCTGCTCGAATTCGCGGAAAACGGTGCGCACCGGGTTGGGGAAGTACTGCAGCCAGGGCATCACGTCCACCAGGCTGCCCGCGCCCACCGTGCGCCCGAACTCTTCGTTGTGGCTGAGCAGCTCACGGAACTCGGGGTCGTCGTGGCTGTAGCGGCAGCCGAAACACACGGCACTCATGACGTTGGCCACGGCCACGACGGTCAGCGGCCTCGGGTCGAGGAAGGCGCCGTCCGCGCTGCCGCGCACCAGCAGCGCCACCAGCTCGCGCGCCTCGCTCAGCACGTGGCCCTCGAGGACTTGGCGGCTGCGCGGCTGGCGCGTGAAGAAGTTGCGCATCATGCTGTGGGCTGCGCGCCGCTGCACCTTCCAGTGCTCCGAGTAGTGGCCGAAAGCCATGCTGCGGCCGCCGGACACCACACGGAAGGAGGCGAAGGCCGGCCGGTCGGCGAAGGCCGAGCCCTGCTGCACCAGGGCCTGGTGGATGGCGCGCTCGCCATTCAGCACCACTATGGGGCAGCTGCCCAGGCGGATCTGGAAAACGTCGCCGTAGCGCCGCGCCAGGCGAGCGAACGAGAGGTGAGCCGCCTGGCCCACCGCCGCCGCGTTTCCGATCAGTGGCCACGCAAACGGGCCCGGGGGCGCGGACCGGAGCTGCCGCCTCCGTTGCCTCAGCAGCCGCTGGCCCACATGCACAGTGGCCAGCACCGACAGGAGTAGCAGGAGCGTGGTCTGCTGGATGGACAGCGGGTTTAGCGGCCAAGGGTCGTTCGGGCTGAGGCTGGTGCCCATGCTGGGGACAGAGAGGAGAAGGCGTGACACTCAGGGGTGCAGAGACAGGAGCGGGCGCCCCACGCCCCTACCCCAGCCTCTGGGGACTGAGTGCCGTTGGGTGGAGAGGTCGGAGCTGACTCTCTGGAGAAATGGCCGAAGACGCCCCTTCCCATCCCCAACCCACTCTCCCTTGGAGAAGAGAAGGGGCGTGTTTCCACCTCGCTGTAACCCAGCGCCAAACCCTTCCCCTCCCCGCAAGGCGCGTAACGGTTCCTGCAATCTGGGGACAACGCTGCGGGCATCGAGGCGGTGGCGCTTGATTTCCTTTAAAGTACCTACCACGCCACCCGCTACCTGTAATAATCCATCTGAAGAGGTCGCCGGGCAGCGCCTCGGCAGACAGACTGACCTGCGGGGAGGTGCGGTTTCCAGTGGCGCGGGACAGCCGGCTCCGAGAAGGAACTGGGACCTTTGCCTAGGGCAAGACGTCAACAGGAACCCGCAGGCCCGGCCTGGACACCTGCTGCCCTCACTGGAAGCTTTAACTCCCACTCGAGTCTCTTGGCGTCGTCAGTGCCAGGAGCGCTTGGATTGGGATGGGGACGGAGAAGGGTGCCTCGCTCGCCGAGCCCCGCTGCCCTTGGGGACCTGGCAAAGTCGAGGTTTCCTCACAGCGTTGAGATTGAGACTGGGGGTCGGTGAGTGGCGTCAATTCCCATGCCCTTGCGGCTCTCACAACTGGAGTCGCAGAAGCGCTCGCTCCCACTCCCACTCCAGAGTCAAAGCGCGCCATCCCGCTCCTCCGGGTTTTAAGGACTGGGTAGAAGGAGGGCAGCGCGACCTGGCAGGGCGGGGCCTGCGGGGGGCGGGGCGCGCCGCACACCAGGCCGCTTTGACCCGGACTCCCGTCCAGGCGCACCGGCCGGCCTCGGAGCTCTACCAGCAGGCTTTCATGGGAGCGGAGGTGCCCACGTTTCCATTGTGCGGTAACCGCGCTTCATCACAGCCACCTCCAATCGAGGCCGCACGGTGTCCCCAGAACCACGCTCGGTACAACCTGCCCCGGCCGCTGCGCTCGACTTGGGAGCGCGCCCCGCCCCGAGCGCACGACCTCCCTTCCCTCTCCGCGACTTGAGCTTGCTTCCCGGAAAGCCAGTGTAGTGGCAGCGGTTTGCCTCACAGCGCCCCTGGTTGGTTGTTTAAATTTTATCTTAGGTTCTCGCAAACAAATTGCCACCTCAGTGGAGGCTCTTTGGCATGCTAAATTTTTTCCAGTTCTTGCGGCGAGATCAGGAATCCCTAAAAGTAGCCGCTCCCCCGCCCCGGGGCCCCGACAGTGCTTGGGCACACAAAGGCTCCTGGGGCGCAGCTGGCCCTGAGATTTCCCGCGTAGAGGCCACTCCAGGTGGCGCCGCCCGCTGGTGGGCGCGGGGCCGCCCAGGCTGCGATGGAAGCCGTTGGCGCAGGGCGGGGAGCCAAGCTGGGGCGACTGGGGGGGCCTGGGGGAGCTAGCGGGGCGGGACCCGAGCGGGGCGGAGAGTGGCAGGAGGAGGCGAATCTCCGCGCTCCGGCGAACTTTATCGGGTTGAAGTTTCTGCTGTCGCCTCCCCTTTGCGTGCGGAGCTGGGCTTTGCGTGCGCCGCTTCTGGAAAGTCGGCTCCAGTCATATCCCTGGGCGCTGCCTGCGGCCGCTCCTCCCGCGCTTCTCACGGCACCTGACACGCGGAGGCGGCGGCCGAGGGTGGGGTGCCGGCCACCACCACCCTTGGCGTGGGGTGCCGGCCGCCACCACCCTCGGCTGCGCACGCACAGTCGCGCCTGCCAGGCCAGCGAGGCGGACGCTTGGGCCACCACCCGCAGGCCGAGCCCGGGCGCGTATCGCCACCTCGCTGCGCACCGGCGGCTCTGTGGTCTTCCTGGGCGCGCTTGCGGTCGCGAAGGGGGCCCTCCCTTTATAAGGGAAGCCGGAGGCGCTTGGGCGGGGGTGGCTTCCCCCGCCTGGCGCGCCCTTTCCTACATGCTGATGCATAGGATTTTCAAGACAGCTAAGAGAACAAGGACTTCACGAGGCGGGGGGAAGGGCGAACTCGAGGGAAGAGGTGGGATGTATCTGGTTAACCAGGTAGGAATTGTACTGGCTTCATCAAAGGATAAATATAAAAGTGATAGGTTCACCAGGGACAACCCTGCACTTTGAGCTCCACTCGCGCTGCGAATCTCGTGCTATTATTGACCTGTTTACAGATGAATAAACTAGGGTTCAGAGAGGTTGCGTGACTTAACCCAGGTCGCGCAGCCATCAAGAAGTGGAGCCAGGGCTTGAAGCCACCAAGTCCCACTCCAGATCCTTCACATAAGTTTACACGGAAGAAAATTGCAGATAAGAGGCCCAAATGCCTTCTTTCCTGCCTCCCTTAAAAAAAAAAATGCACGTGGGGCTAGGCGCAGTGGCTCACGCCTGTAATCCCAGCACTTTGGGAGGCTTAAGCGGGCGGATCACTTGAGGTCAGGAGTTCGAGACCAGCCTGGCCAACATGGCGAAACCCCATCTACTAAAAATACAAAAGTTAGCCGGACGTGGTGGTGCACACCTGTAATCCCAGCTACTCGGGGATCAGGGGGGAAGGCAGCAGAATTGGTTGAACGTGGGAGGCAGAGGTTGCAGTGAGCAGAGATTGCACCACTGCACTACAGCCTGGGCAGCAGAGTTTAAGTGAGACTCTGTCTCAAAAAAAAAAAAAAAAAAAAAATCAGCTGGAAGAACTTTTTAATTATTGTTTTTGTTTTCATAATTGAGAATTCTGAGAATAGCAGAGAAGAAATAGTATGCTAACCCTTTGCAATTAAATTGCTTATGAGGGAGGCCAGGGGAGTGTGCCTCATAGCTGACCCTGGAATGACTGATTACATTGTAAAGAAACACAAAGGAGTGTCTGAAAAGAATCTGACTTCTTGAGAGATTGAAACCAGCAATCAATTTGCTGACCTGATAAAGAAATGTCTTTTCGTGATGGCTTTTTTTATTTTTATTTTTATTTATTTATTTTTTTTGAGATGGAGTCTCACTCTGTCACCTGGGCTGCAGTGCAATGGCGTGATCTCGGCTCACTGCAACCTCCGCCTGCCAGGTTCTCCTGGCTCAGCCTCCCAAGTAGCTGGGATTACAGGTGCGCACCACCACACCCGGCTAATTTTTGTATTTTTCTAGTAGAGATGGGGTTTCACCATGCTGGCCAGGCTGGTCTCAAACTCCTGACCTCAGGTGATCCACCAGCCTGGGCCTCCCAAAGTGCTGGGATTACAGGCATGAGCCACCGTGCCCGGCCTGTGATGCCTTTTATTCGGTATCTTTTGAAGAGTTTTCTGGAAATGATTTCACACACCATGATGGGGAACTTAGATAGTGATGGAGTTTTAGTTTTTGAGCAGTTGCATTGGTTTAATAATAAGCGTTGGTTTCCCAGAGGTGAGTTGGCCTACACAGCCTTTGAAATGAGTTTCATAGCAACCTTCCCATGTCCAGCTTTAGCAAGATCCTTGCCTAATAATTCAAGACTCTGGTGCATGCATCAATCTCTCATAGACTTTAATTTAGTAGACGGGAATTATCTATGAGCTAATGCCAATCCTGAGCTGTTGACATTCCTGAAAGCCTTTATCACAATACCTCTGCCAGAATGAGAGCAGATGGAAGTTGCCTTTAAGTAAATTCCTATTTTTAAAAAGTATAAAACGAGGTTGTTCCTAAGACCGCCTGTCCAACTCCTCAATAATGCCATCTAGTTTTTAGATCAACTAGATGCATGCTTTCCTGCCATCGCAGATAGATCAGATATATCCTCCAAGCTGTAGTTCCTTGGGCTCAGCTCTTTTTCTAGGACATGACTCAAAAATCAGAGGAACTAGGTTGGTAAGTGCTGTCAGAAAGATAAGCCCTTATCGGTTATGGCAAACCAAAATGACTGGCTATGGTAACACTTTTTGCAGAGAATCTTCAAGCCTGGAGTTCTTAGGGCTTTATGGTGCAAACTTCATTGAATGCCCCATCCGGTACCCTGATAAGGACTTCGGATAAATCCAGAGCAGCCTGTTGGCACCCCGACCCAACTCAAGGCAGAGCCCTGCCTCTAGTGAGAATCTACGCAGGCTCTTTAATTATCATCACAACTTCTCAACCAAAGCAGGGACCTAAGGCCCAGGAATCTCCTTTCAATCAACACAGAATATGGGCATTCTGCCCTCCCAAATCTCAAACTTGAATTGTTTGTTGCAAATAACTTTCAAAAAGAACAGCTAAGCTAGAGGGATAGTTTAAAGTAGAGAGAGGTTTAAAATATCTTATCTTGTATTGACTCGAAGGAACAACTTAAGCTTGTTTAAGCAGAACAGGAATGCACTGGCCCATGTGCAGAGAAGGATAACCGTGATGCTTCACAGGATACAAGGACCCAGGCCGCTCTACCGGCTCTCTGCCTATGCTGGTCTTTGCTTGGGCTTTCTCTCTTTGCATGGCAAGGAAGCAGCTTAAAATTAACAAAACAAAGAGAAAGAGAACAGCTCTCTTCCAGGGTCCTAGAAGGACTCCAGGGGGCCAGGCTGGCATCAGGTTTTTACCCTGTGGGCAAGGGCTTGTTCTGTCATCAGAAAAAAAGAGATGGCAGAACATGCTAGGAAGCCAAAGAGCTGACCCAGTCCACTCCATGTATACATGTCTGCCCACTGGTTTCTTTGGGTTGGAGGATAACCTAAGGAAACCCAAAGCCATTATTGTTATTATTATTTTAAATCAGCAGATATATGCATTGCCCTTAGAGCCAGTAGCCCAGAAAGCTCTGCCCTTCTGCTGTCAGGCTGGAACTCAGTTTTCTTCATGGTCTTCCTCTCTAGTGTGACCCCTAAGTCAGTTTAATGGGTAGCCACTGTGCTTTTCCAGTCATCTCCAAACACACATACCCACATGCACTGAGGAGAGTGGAGGAGAATAAGCCATCTCTGGTAGGCTCTTGACATTTGGGTGGGCAGGATTCAGTCATCAGGCACATGCTGGTAGGCAAGAGGAGCAGAAATAAGGAGACACACCAAGTGGCTGAGGGTGCGATAGAGGGAGGAACTGTAGGATAATGCACACCAGGGGCTGGACCATGAAAGGAATCTTAGGAATTGATACCAAAACCCTGTGCCTCACCTGAAATGCTCCACTTCCTTCCTCCTGGCAATACACAGGCAGAGAACCACAGAGCTAATAGAAAGGTATTTTATCTAATCTCAGAAGCCATCATTTGTAGGATGCACCCTTATTTTTATGTACTAACATAAAGAAAGGAAGCTACCAATTATAATTGCATCATCGACTCTAAGATACATCCAGATTTCGGAGATGTAAAATGGAAAGTTGAGGGTATGATTTGGAGCTGACAAAGCATTATACATTTCATGCGCGTCCGTGTGAAGAGACCACCAAACAGGCTTTGTGTGAGCAATAAAGCTTTTAATCACCTGGGTGCAGGTGGGCTGAGTCTGAAAAGAAAGTCAGCCAAGGGAGACAGGGGTGGGGCGGTTTTATAGGATTTGGGAAGGTAAAGGAAAAAGGGGGGTTGTTCTCTGGCGGGCAGGAGTGGGGGTCACAAGGTACTCAATGGGGGAGCTTTTGAGCCAGGATGAGCCAGGAGAAGGAATTTCACAAGAAAATGTCATCAGTTAAGGCAGGAACAGGCCATTTTCACTTCTTTTGTGGTGGAATGTCATCAGTTAAGGCAGGAACCGGCGATCTGGATGTGTACGTGCAGGTCACAGGGGATATGATGGCTTTGCTTGGGCTCAGAGGGCTGACATTCCTGTCTTCTTATATTAATAAGAAAAATAAAACTAAATAGTGGTAAAGTTTTGGGACAGCGAAAATTTTTGGGGGTGGTATGGAGAGATAATGGGCGATGTTTCTCAGGGCTGCTTCAGCGGGATTAGGGGCGGTGTGGGAACCTAGAGTGGGAGAGATTAAGCTGAAGGAAGATTTTGTGGTAAGGGGTGATATTGTGGGGTTGTTAGAAGGAACATTTGTCATTTAGAATTATTGGTGATGGCCTGGATACAGTTTTGTATGAATTGAAAAACTAAATGGAATAAGAGAAGGAGAAAAACAGGTATAAAAGGTCTAAGAATTGGGACAACTCAGGACATCTGATTAGAGAGTGCCTAAGGAGATTCAGCACAGTCCTGCCAGCAAAGATTATTTATTTACTTCAAGAGTTAAGAGTGGCAGTTTGGGGATAGCACCAGGAGATATCAGCTGTGATGGCTTGGAGAAACAGCGTAAACCGGCAGTGTAAATAAGAGCAGGGCGTGTATGAGTAGTTGAGAACGGTGAATAGGAGTATGACTAGACAGAAGATAATAGGGATGATAAGTTTTTTTGGGGCACAGTCTAAGTTGGTCTGGTGTCTGGAATGAGACTGGGGCCTAATAAAAAGGAGCGTCTATACAGGAGCTCAAATGGGCTGTACCTTGTAGCATTCTGAGGACAGGTCTGACTTCTGAGAAAGGAAAGTCGTAAAAGTATTGTCCAGTCCTTTTTAAGTTGGTAGCTGAGCTTGGTGAGGTGTGTTTTTAAAAGACCTTTAGTCCGTTCTACTTTTCCTGAAGACGGAGGACCATAAGGGATATAAAGATTTCACTGAATACTAAGAGCCTGAAAAACTGCTTGGCTGATTTGACTAATAAAGGCTGGTCTGTTATCAGACTGTATAGAGGTGGGAAGGCTAAACTGAGGAATTATGTCTGACAGAAGGGAAGAAATGACTGCGGTGGCCTTCTCAGACCCTATAGGAAAGGCCTCTACCTATCCAGTGAAAGTGTCTATTTAGACTAAGAGGTATTTTAGTTTCCTGACTTGGGACATGTTGAGTAAAGCTAATTTGCCAGTCCTGGGTGGGGGCAAATCCTCAAGCTTGATGTGTAGGGAAGGAAGGGGCCTGAATAATCCCTGAGGAGTAGTAGAATAGCAGATGGAACACTGAGAAGTTATTTCCTTGAGGATAGATTTCCATGATAGAAAGGAAATGAGAGGTTCTAAGAGGCGGGCTAGTGGCTTGTACTATAGCATAGCCTGCCTTTGCTGGTGTGTGGCGATTAGGCCTGGTGGAACTGCCATCAATAAATCAAGCGTGATCAGGGTGAGGAACAGGAAAGAAGGAAATATGGGGAAATGGGGTGAATGTCAGGTGGATCAGAGAGATACAGTCATGGGGGTCAGGTGTGGTATCAGGAATAATGTGGGAGGCCGGATTGAAGTCCGGGCCAGGAACAATAGTAATTGTGGGACTTAACAAAGACTGAGTACAGCTGAAGGAGCCGGGGAGCAGAAAGTATATGCGTCAGGTGTGAGGAAGAAAATAGATTTTGGAAGTTATGAGAAATGTAGAGAGTGAGTTGAGCATAGTTTGTGATTTTTAGGGCCTCTAAAAGTATTAGGGCGGCAGCAGCCGCTGCATGGAGACATGAGGGCTAGGCTAAAACAGTAAGGTCAAGTTGTTTGCATAGGAAGGCTACAGGGTGCGGTCCTGGCTCTTGTGTAAGAATTCTGACCGCACTAACCATGCCTAGGAAGGAAAGGCGTTGTTGTTTTGTAAGGGATTGAGGTTTGGGAGATTAATCGGACACGATCAGCAGGGAAAGCACGTGTGTTTTTATGAGAATTATGCTGAGATAGGTAACAGATGAGGATGAAATTTGGGCTTGACTGAAGTAATGGGGGCTGTCTGTGAAGCCTTGCGGCAGTACAGCCCAGGTAATTTGCTGAGCCTAATGGGTGTCAGGGTCAGTCCAAGTGAAAGCAAAGAGAGGCTGGGATGACGGGTTCAAAGGAATAGTAAAGAAAGCATGTTTGAGATCCAAAACAGAATAATGGATTGTGGAGGGAGGTATTGAGGATAGGAGAGTATATGGGTTTGGCACCATGGGGTGGATAGGCAAAACAATTTGGTTGATAAGGCATAGATCCTGAACTAACTTGTAAGGCTTGCTTGGTTTTAGGACAGGTAAAATGGGGGAATGGTAAGGAGAGTTTATAGGCTTTAAAAGGCCATGCTGTAGCAGGCAAGTGATAACAGGCTTTAACCCTTTCAAAGCATGCTGTGGGATGGGATATTGGCATTAATCGGGGTAAAGGTGGTTAGGTTTTAATGAGATGGTAAGGGATGCATGATCGGTCACCAAGGAGGGAGTAGAGGTATCTTATATTTGTGGGTTAAGGTGGGGGAATATAAGAGGAGGACGCAAAGGAGGCTTTGGACTGGGAAGAAGGGCAGCAATGAGATGTAGCTGTAATCCAGGAATAGTCAGGGAAGCAGATAATTTAGTTAAAGTGGCTCGCCCTAATAAGGGAACTGGGCAGGTGTGGATAACTAAAATGAGTGCTTAAAAGAGTATTGTCTAAGTTGCCACCAGAGTTGGGGAGTTTTAAGAGGTTTAGAAGCCTGGCTGTCAATACCCACAACAGTTATGGAGGCAAGGGAAACAGGCCCTTGAAAAGAAGGTAATGTAGAGTGGGTAGCCTCCGTATTGATTAAGAAGGGGACGGACTTACTTTCCACTGTGAGAGTTACGCGAAGCTCGGCGTCTGTGATGGTCTAGGGGGCTTCCAAGGCAGTCGGGCAGCATCAGTCTTCAGCCGCTAAGCCAAGAAGATCTGGGAAGCAGTCAGAGAGCCTTGGGCCAGAGTTCCAGGGGCTCTGGGAGTGGCTGCCAGGTGAGTTGGACAGTCCGATTTCCAGTGGGGTCCCACACAGATGGGACATGGCTTAGGAGGAATCCTGGGCTGCAGGCATTCCTTGGCCTGGTGGCCAGATTTCTAGCACTTGTAGCAAGCTCCTAGGGGAGGAGGTTCTGGAGGAACGCCTGGCCGCTGCGGTTCAGGCGTTTGGAAGTTCTTGTGTGCTGGAGATGTGGCTGGGGTTTGTCTCACAGTGGAGGCAAGGAATTGCAACTTTTTTCTATTATTGTACACCTTGAAGGCGAGGTTAATTAAATCCTGTTGTGGGGTTTGAGTGCCAGATTCTAATTTTTGGAGTTTTATTTAATGTCGGGAGCAGATTGGGTAATAAAATGTATATTGAGAATAAGACGGCCTTTTGACCTTTTAGGGTCTAGGGCTGTAAAGCGTCTCAGGGCTGCTGCCAAAGGAGTCACGAACTGGGCTGGGTTTTTATGTTTGATGAAAACGCTATCTGATTTGGGATAAAGAAAAAGGAGCATTAACCTTGACTGTGCCTTTAGCTCCAGCCACCTTTTTAAGAGTCAATTGCTGGGCAGGTGGGGGAGGGCTAGTCACGAAACGAAACTGTAAGGCAGACCAGGTGTGAGGAGGGGAGGTGATAAAAGGATTATAGGGTGGAGGAGCGGAGGCTGAGGAAGAATTGGGACCTAGCTGGGCCTGGCGAGGAGCAGCCTGGGGAGGTGGGGAGAGGTCAGATGGGTCCGTAGAAAAGGAAGATTAGAAAGCCTCAGCGACGCTTGGGGTTGGGACTGAGGGGACAGGTGGGAGGGAAAGAAGGAAGATTTGGGATGAGTTGCATTGGGAACAGAGACTAGAGAGGGACCGATGTGTAAAAGAATGCCTGGATGTCAGGCACCTCAGACCATTTGCCCATTTTACAACAAGAATTATTTAGATCTTGTAGGATGGAAAAATTGAAAGTGCCGTTTTCCGGCTATTTGGAACTACTGTTGAGTTTGTATTGGGGTCAAGCGGCATTGCAGAAGAAAATAAGATGCTTAGATTTTAATTTAGGTGAGAGTTGAAGAGGTTTTAAGTTTTTGAGGACACAGGCTAAGGGAGAAGAAGGAGGAATGGAGGGTGGAAAGTTGCCCATAGTGAAGGAAGCAAGCTTAGAGAAAAGAGAGAGTAGAGACATGGAGGGAAGGGGTTTGGGGGTTCTTACCTTCCAGAAAAGCGGGAAAGGGGTTGGGGCACGGAGAAGAGGTTGGGGCACGGAAATAAGGGATGGGGGCACAGAGATTAGAGGTTGGGGTGTGGAAATAAGGGATTGGGGCACAGAGATATAAGAGGTTGGGGCGCGGAAATAAGAGATTGGGCGCAGAGATAAGAGGTCGGGGCACGGAAATAAGGGATTGGGGTGCAGAGATACGAGGTTGGGGTACTTGCCCCTCCTCTAGAAAAGCAGGACTTGCCGCTCAGGGTGAAGGAGAAGGGGTTGGGGATTTCTTGCCCCCCAGAAAGGAGGAGAAGGGGTAGAGACACGGAGAGAAGGGGTTGGGGTACTTGCCCCTTCCCCAGAAAAGCAGGACTTGCCGCTAAGGGTGAAGGACCAAGGCAGGCGTCCCTGCATGGTCTGACACCTCTGAAACCTGGGTGAATAATCATTGCAGTCCCTGCAATGATTAAACACCAAGGGAAGGCTGCCTTCCCAGTCCCTGACCGGCGCCGGAGTTTTGGGTCCACGGATAAAACGTGTCTCCTTTGTCTCTACCAGAAAATGAAAGGAATTGAAATTAAGAGAAGGGAGAGATTGAAGAGTGGAAAGGAGAAAGTGGTTGAAGGACAGTGAGAGAGGTTGGAGAAGAGAGTAAGAAGAGGCCGCTTACCCGATTTAAAATTGGTGAGATGTTCCTTGGGCTGGTCGGTCTGAGGACCTGAGGTCGTAGGTGGATCTTTCTCATGGAGCAAAGAACAGGAGGACAGGGGATTGCCCTCCCAAGGGAGGTCCCCCGATCCGACTCATGGCACCAAATTTCATGCATGTCCGTGTGAAGAGACCATCAAACAGGCTTTGTGTGAGCAATAAAGCTTTTAATCACCTGGGTGCAGGCGGGCTGAGTCCAAAAAGAGAGTCAGCCAAGGGAGACAGGTGGGGCCGTTTTATATGATTTGGGTAGGTAAAGGAAAAAGGGGGGTTGTTCTCTGGCAGGCAGGAGTGGGAGTCACAAGGTACTCAGTGGGGGAGCTTTTGAGCCAGGATGAGCCAGGAGAAGGAATTTCACAAGACAATGTCATCAGTTAAGGCAGGAACAGGCCATTTTCACTTCTTTTGTGGTGGAATGTCATCAGTTAAGGCAGGAACCGGCGATCTGGATGTGTGCGTGCAGGTCACAGGGGATATGATGGCTTAGCTTGGGCTCAGGGGCCTAACAATACAGGCTGACAAGGATTCTTTCTTTGTATTAAGCACTTTCTAGATTTCTTGGAGTGGTTAGCACCAAGGGTATTGGCTACCAATCCTCATTTCTATTAATATTATTTCATGTAGACAAATGTAGACAATTGATGTTTTCTCAATCCTATGTAAAGTTGGTGAGAAGGTGATTTAGAAGATTCTGCTATTTTTATTGACCTAAATTAATCTAAGAAAAGATAGTCACTTGCTAAGTAGTTGCAGCTTAAAACAAGTTTCCTACTCCTGCTCCCCTTCCAATCTCGTTGCCCATGAGCTCTGTCTGGTATTAGTGAAAGTGACAGAAATACATGTAGTGAAAGCTACATGTATTCTAGTTCCTCACCAAAATGCATATTTAGAGGTAAAGGGGTGTAATGTCTGCCACTTACCCTCAAATGGCTCAAGGAAAAAATAGAGGGGTTTGGGGAGAAGGAGAGGGAGAGAGAGGAGAATGAGAAAGTAAGTGTGGTCAATGTTAATTGGAGAATCTGGGTAAATGGGAGTTCTTTGTGATTCCTTGAAACTCTTCTGTAATTATATCAAAATTAAAAGTTAAATATAAGAACATAAAAAAAGATCTTCCCAACATTTTGATCTTACATTGCCTTCTTAGCTTCTCTTGAGGGTTTCTTGTAAGCAAGGACAGTGGAAAGAAAGTGGGATTAGTCTGCTGTTCAGGGTCCTGCATCTGATGTGTCACTCCTGGAGTTCAGGACTAATAAAAAGTTTGTGCTCAATTGCAGTCTTTCTCCTCAGCACTATGGATTATAACCTGTACTTTCTGTGCCGTCCTTGTTCTTTGAATGGCTTGAGTGTGTCTTGTCTCTTTTATCTTAGGCTTTCTTCAATTCCTTTTGAAAGCAGAAGAAATATGATATAAGGCAGTGTCATGCCCTTAGTTCTACTGTGCCCCTGTGTTAAGGGGCATAATCTACTCAGGGTTCTATGTGCTTCATAAATGCAGCAAATGGTGCTGTGCTTTAATGGTTTTTCCCAGCATCATTCCCAGTTCTTTCCTTTGGTTTGCTTCCTTCTGCCCTTTTCCTTCCCCTTGCTTCATCCTTCTTTCTTCTCTCTCATTCTGTCTCTCATTTTCCCTTTCTCTGGGTCCACTCCTATCTTCCTCACCCTCATTCCCTCAAGACCTCCACTCTCGTCTCAGGTGCCCCCTTTTCTGTTCTGCTGTCTCCCTTCCTCTCTTCATTCTCTCTCACACAGAAGAGTAAAGAGTCAGGGCAGAGGGGAAAAGAGTGAGGGAAATAAGAAGGGGGAGCAGAGAGATACAGCAACTAAGAAAAAGAAAAAGAAAA
Organism: Homo sapiens; assembly: GCF_000001405.40. Classification (NCBI taxonomy): domain Eukaryota; kingdom Metazoa; phylum Chordata; class Mammalia; order Primates; family Hominidae; genus Homo; species Homo sapiens. The sequence continues at coordinate 38,087,846 of NC_000002.12, forward strand.
AAATACCCAGCCCTGGGGCTAAAAGATAGTCACGGTGGTCAGTCACTTTGTCTGGGCTCTCAACTGGTGTACTTACCTCTCCTGCTCAACGTTTGAGCATGTGCCTCTGCTGCTTAATATTTGTGGGGTGAAGCTCCCACCGACTTGGCACAGTGATGATTCCATACGAAGGGAAGGGACGCCAGGGTCTGTGGTTGTTTTTGTACGTTTGTTCTCTGAGCTTCTACTACCACCTACTCTACTTCCTGAAATAGACTTTTCTCTCCTCCTTTTCCTTCTCCTTCTTCTTTCTTTTTTTTTCAGAGTCTTGCTCTGTTGCCCAGGCTGGAGTGCAGTGGCACCATCTCGACTCACTGTAGCCTCCACCTGCCATGTTCAAGCGATTCACCTGCCTCAGCCTCCCCAGTAGCTGGGACTACAGGGGTGCACCACCATGCCTGGCTAATTTTTGTATTTTTAGTAAAGGCAGGGTTTCACCATGTTGGCCAGGCTGGTCTCAAACTCCTGACATCAGGTGATCCACCTGCCTCGGCCTCCCAAAGTGCTGGGATTACAACCATGAGCCACTGCGCCCAGCCTGAAATCAACTTTTCTAACAGTGAAAGAGGGAGCCTACTGTCCACAACTTTGGTCAATAGGGAAACACTTTACTTCCCTAATTCTTTGACCAACCATAGAAAACCTTTAGGCAGATAAAGGATACTAGTTTTCCTTTTTATTTTCATTTTCTAAAAATAAATATTTACCAGGTTACCAAGAAAATACATAAAGCAACAAGTAAAACACCCCACCACCAAAAGAATGTACATTTGGGCTCAGCTAAGATCACAACATCTAGCCATGGACATGTTGACTGGTACAGCCTCCAGGTTTTTGGATGGTTAGCATCCAGATTCTAGTCTTTCTTTCTCTCTCTGTCTGTCTGTCTGTCTGTCTGTCTGTCTGTCTGTCTGTCTCTCTCTCTCTCTCTCTCTCTCTCTCTCTCTCTCTCTCTCCCTCTCTCCCTCTCTCCCTCTCTCCCTCTCTCCCTCTCTCCCTCTCTCTCTCTCTCCCTCTCTCTCTCTCCATTCACCTCTTAGTTTTTAGCATTAGATCTGCATTCCCTCACAGGTTTTTTTCTCTTTCCACAAATGGACCAAAATTCCGGTTGAAAACTCTGGGTGTATCCAGGGTTTGAGAAAATAATTGATAGTTAAATAACTTAAGTGGTTAGTCCTCCCCTGCATGATCCCAACGGAGAACACAAAGGCTGGATAGTTATACGTCAGCTTTTTTGACCATTGACTCCCAACAGGATTTTTCCCTTCTACTATTGAAGTGATCATTTCTCAACTGTTGTCTGTTCTATTGTTGGACTGCTTTGGTTAGAAAGCTGTAGATGCTAGAAGGTTCTTCCCAATATTAAGAAAAATTCTGGAGTGAACTTTCTTGCCTTCTGGTAAATCTAGAGCTATTCTTTGGAGTGACATAAAGCAAGACTCATTCTCCTTTGCTGTCACATGTTTGAAGATGGAATTGTGCTGCTTCTGAGCCATCCTTCCACCAATTAAAAATGCCCCAGTTCCTTATCTCTGCCTTCTGGACAATGTGCTTTTTCAGTATGTCCATCTGAGTATGGGCCTGAAACTGAACATAGTATCCCAAATATGACATTCTGTCTAGCCCAGGGGGGTGTGGTTACTTCCCATTAGACATAGTGTTACTTTCAATGCAAACAAAGTTTTTGCCCTGTTTTAATATATTTGCATCCCACTATTAAAACATCTATATTCTACTAAGATTGTGATAAGCAAAAATCTTCATCCTTTAATATAGGACTTGGTAGCTGGCTGAGTCTTCAGTTGTACTTGTATTATTGATTTTTCAAAAAAATACTACATGTGAGATTTTACATTTATTTCTATTAAATGCATCTTGTGGCTTTAGGATGGTGTTCTGGCCTACAGAGGCCATGTTGATACTCCCAGGAGCACAGACTAGGACAGGACAGGAAGACTATCCAGGGAAAGCATGGCCCAGTCTGGACTACTTCTAGGCAAAAATCTTTGGACTGCGGTTTATGTTATATAGTTGCATCATTATACATCCAGAATATTATGCATATTAAATTATTTTTCTATTTTGGCCAGATATTTATTCTTAAAACACACACACGTAGTAACATAGATTCTTGTTGCAAGAGAGTCAATCAGTATATAAAAATATGCAGAAAAATGAGAATAAAATGAGAAAACTCACACTCCCACCCCTTCCCAGAGTAACCATGGGTACCATGTGCCTTCTATTTATGTACATGCATACGGTTGTACATATAGATAGATAGATAGATCTACTTCATGATTTTAAACTACTGCATGGTATGACCATGACATTATTATTGTCATTACTATTATTATTGAGACAGGGTCTTGCTCTGTCACCCAGGCTGGAATGCAGTGGTGTGATCTTGGCTCACTGCAACCTCCACCTCCCAGGCTCAAGCAATCCTCCTGCCTCAGGCTTCCAAGTAGCTGGGACCACAGGCTCGTGGCAGCATGCCTGGCTAATTTTTGAGTATTTTTTAGAGGTGGGGTTTTGCTATGTTGTCCAGGCTTGTCTCGAACTCCTGGACTCAAGCCATCTTCCCACCTCAGCCTCCAAAGTGCTGGGATTATAGGCGTGAGCCACTGCGCCTGGCCAACATTATTTTTTCAACCATCAACGGCGACTTAGATGGTCATTTGTGTTGTTCTCAACTCTATTATTAGAGACTCCACTGCAGTGATTTCACTTTTCTGTGCAATTCTGAATCCATTTGCAAATGTTCCCCCAGTATCGATTCTCAATAGAAATGCTTGAGCCATAGGGATATATGCATATATGCTACATCCTCACTGTCTTCTAAAAAGGTTTGCCAATTCCCATCTCTATGAACCTTGGCTTTGTACCAAGTAGAATGTACCTAAATACTTTTCCTTCTATAAAGGATGGTTACTTTGACTTAGGTTTGCCAACATGGAACAAAACAAACAAAACAAAAATTTTACTTGTCTTTCAGACCTATTTCTTCTCTTAAAGAATACATATGCCTGTGTTCAGATTATCTCCTCTTCCTGACAAATGAGGGAAATCCCCAGATGAAAGCTGATAAAACATTAGACGGGGGTGATTCCGGACCTCCACATCCCTATGGAACACATCACAGAAGCCAGGATTGGAGAGCCAACTCCACACACCTCCATATCCCCTCTTAGATGAATGGCAATTCTTTACAGGCCGTGGGCGCAGGCCCAAATGCCTTCTGGGCTTGTCTAATCCTCCAGAGGATATCAAAGGCAATACAGCCAGCATACCCAATCATTAGGAGTTTGGCTTCTGGGACCGGGCACTCTTGGGTGTGAGCACCAGCTCTCTTATTTATAAGCTGTAACCTTGGCCATGTTATTTAACCCTTCTGAGCCTGACTTTCCTCACTTGTACAAGACAGGTAATATACCAACCACAGAGGGTGGTTTTGAGGATTAAATGAGATATTGATTGTAAGAAAACAAATAGCATAGTTGATGGCAGAGTGAGCACCCAATAACAGTTAGCCATTATCATTATTACTACTACTTACTAAGTCCTTACTTCTGTCCAGTAAAATCCAAGACATGGCAAGGACTTGAACCTCGCAGGAATAAAAACATGGCCCACTTGGTTCAGCGTGACAGCTCTCAGGGTGGCGTGCCGTTACCCACCTGCAAATTCCTAACAGCCCAAAGTGGCACCAGTCACTTCCTCCTTGCGTTTCTCAGGCAGCACATTGAGTGGCTGCTAGCATCACTCCAGAGCCAGACTGAATCTGAATCTGGCTCTCCTACTTACACCGGAGTGACTTCCATGCTAGAAATCGCTTCTCTGGGTCCAGCTTACACTTAAGTGAATGGAGATGTAAAATGGAGACGATACCAGTACCGATTATGCAGAGTTGTGGTGAGGACTGAATGAACTAATACATGTAAAGCTTTTAGAAGGGTGCCTGGCATGTGGTGGGTGCTCAGGCATCATTAGCTGTTATCATTATTCTGTGGGAGGCCATTTGCCGCTGCCTTAAGAAGGCTGATCTCACAGAAACATCTGCTGTTGGCAGAAGAGCTCAGCACCAATAGCCAATTTGTGTTTCCCTCCAACTCCCAGATGGCAGCTCTGCAGCACTTTCTCCTCATCTAATTTCTCCTCACCCAGACGCGCTCCACATCAGGACCCTTAGGTAGTACAGAGACAGTTCTTTAGGCAGGGGGATGCCATGTTCCCAAAAGAGCCTGATGAGGCCATAGTAGGCCTCTTCCACCAAGCTATGCTTTCGGTCAGTCCCTCTGTGACTGTTACGGATGCTTTGTAGCCCTGTGGCAATGAGGCTCCAGGACAACACTCATGCAATTCCCTGCTGAGGAGAGTTCAGAAAACTCCATGCTGTGCAGTGCAATTGGGAGGAAACTCAAGGGAGTGCTGTCGTGGGACCTCCCGGTGGTGATTTGTACAAATGACGCAACGCTATCCAGCTTCCCAGAAAACACCGCCTTTTTTTCTTACATTACAGCTCTGAGTCAAAGTGTACTGTGGCCTCAGACCTGGGGCATACAGCCCATTTGACAGCCACAATGAGGGAAACAGCCTACTTCTGGAGCCTGTACCAGAAGGCAGAACGGGAGACTCCCAGCTCTCCCTTACTAAAGGCCAGGGAGGAAATTGTCTCGAATGCTCTCCAGTCCAAAATGGAAAGTTAGATTCAATGGTCTGTACTCTTGGGCTGACTAACCTCCGTTTTTCCTTTTCCCATTGTGCTGAGTCAGCCACGGGGGGTGGGTTGTGCATTTTAAGGGTTTGAATGCAGAAGGAAGGAAGGCTTCCCAGTTTCTGAGCCTTGAGAAGGTGGCACTGTGGCCTCCAACCAGCAGCCATGCCCCCAGGCACCTCATTCTCCTACACTATTTCAGGGACTTTCTGGTGCAATAAGGATGTGACTGAGCCCTGAGCCCCCAGGTTACCAGCCACACCCCAGTGGAATCCCGGGAGCTACGGGGTAAAATGGAATCCTCTTCCACAGCAAGTGCACAGAAGGCACTCAGGGCTGGTGGGAACCTCCATTTCTGCCCTCATTTACTCTGGACTCTGAACCTAATACCTGAGGCTTCCTGCAGCAAATCAGAGAGGTGAAGAGCAACTTACACGTATCTTTTTTTTTTTTTTTTTTTTTTTTGAGACAGGGTCTCTCTATGTTGCCCAGGCTGGTCTTGAACTCCTGGGTTCAAGGGATCCTCCTGCCTCAGCCTCCTGAGTAACACATATCACTCAACAAGGAATAAACACCACAACAATTTTGAGTACCACAGTCGGAGCACTGTGTCCTGCTAAATGTGAGGAGCATTCTCTCTGATGTTATCATCATAAGGCCAGGGCCTGTGGCTTAAGCTCCTCCGTTCCCTTAGAGTCTCCCACACCACACAACAAGTTTGGAGACAGAGAAAGTAGCTAATATTTCCCCCTAAGTGCCAGGCACTGTTTTCTATTTTTTACATTGACAGTTTCATTTATTTCTCCCAATCATCCTAAAAATATTGGTATATTTAGCCTGCTTTATATACAAAGGGATTAAGGCTCAGAGACAGTAAACTATTTGCCAAATGTCACAGAGGTTGCAAGTGAGAGGGGTCAGGATTTGAATTCAGGTCTGCAGGCACCAAAGCCCATCTATACCACACCAGTACACATTTGTTGACTCACTGCGTATCATCCTAAGTCTTACAGAAGCCCCACCCCTCTAACTACAGTAACTGTAGAGGTCTCTAGTACTGTTATGCCTATTAGGGACCTGGGCCACCCCACTGCCTTCTCCTGCCCTGTGAGCTGACTCCCTCCAGGAGCCCAAGACCACAACAAGCAAAGCCATCTTGTTGCCAGAGCCTGATGCAACTCACACCCTCTTCCTCCCCTCCCCTTGCAGAATATCCTTGGTATCTGCCCAGCAATTTAATCTCCACAATTTACAATCAAATCTTGGGATGGCTTAGAAAATCTTCCTTTAACACAGTGGCTGGAACATGCAGAGAGTTGGCATGCAGCCTCCACATGGGCTTCATGACTAGATCTGCTACACTCAAACCCATTATATTGAAATTACCATAAAATTCACACTATTCCAATCCTCAGAAATGATGGTTTTATTTAGAAGTAAGTGAGCAAAAGCAATGATTTCATAGGCCCCAGTGCCAAAATCTTAGCTCAATGTTTCTCAAATGTTTTGTTTTCAGAACCTCTTCAAAGTCTTAAAAAATATTGTAGAGTCCAAAGAACTATTGTTTAGCTAAGTATCTATCAATATTTATAATTCTAGAAATTAAAGCTGAAAAACTTATAAAATATTTGTTAGTTCATTAAAAATAATAAACCTAATACATGTTAACATAAATAACATTTTATGGAAAATAACTAGTTTCCAAAATTACAAATATTTAGTCAGAGTGGGCAGTTTTAAAAAATATTGTTACAAATCTCTTTAATTTATGACTTAACAGAAGATAGCAGGTGACTCACATCTGTTTCTGCAGAAAGACCCCCCAGTAAATTTGTAAGAGAATGAGAGTTAGAAATGCAAATAATGTTTTATTCCCACAGCTGTAACCTTGTGGGTTTCCTGGAAAGGGTCTCAGGGGCCATCCCGACGGGGTGCCTGGACCACACTTTGAGAACCATTGTCTAAACTTAAGAGTGTGTTTTTTGGGCCGGGCGCGGTGGCTCACGCCTGTAATCCCAGCACTTTGGGAGGCCGAGGCGGGTGGATCACGAGGTCAGGAGATCGAGACCATCTTGGCTAACACGGTGAAACCCCGTCTCTACTAAAAAATACAAAAAATTAGCCTGGTGTTGTGGCGGGCGCCTGTAATCCCAGCTACTCAGGAGGCTGAGGCAGGAGAATGGCGTGAACCCCGGAGGCGGAGCTTGCAGTGAGCCGAGAGAGCGCCACTGCAGTCCGGCCTGGGCGAAAGAGCCAGACTCCGTCTCAAAAAAAAAAAAAAAAGTGTGTTTTTTGTTTGTGTGTGTGTGTGTGTGTGTGTGTGTGTGTGTGTGTGTGAATGTCTCTTCATCCAAGAAAAATCTAAATGGGCTATTGTCTTGGCGTAGGAAGTAGGTGAGGGTGCGGTGGATTTCAGAAAAAATAATGTCCCAGTTACTGATTTTAAGAGAATAGCCCTGAGACAAGTGTGGGCGCATTGAAACACCACTGCAACCCTCTAAACTATTGCAGAGTTGCCACCACCAGGTGTCTGGCTAGAAAGATGTCATCTTCCCAAGACAGCTACCTGCCCAGATGATGTACCTTAGCCCCAGGAAGGAGGAGGAAGAAGAGGCAGACAGAATGATGCCCAAACCCCTGCGGCCCGGAGACGAGGTAGTGCCTGAGTCAGGAAGCTGGGAGAGCCCAGCTCAGTGGAAGAGGCATGTGGATCCTGGTTAGGTGTGAAGCCAGGAGGGCTTCTTAGCCACAGCCTGAAATCGAAGCCCAGGATCGAGCCACAGTCTGAAATTTTTGGATCGCAGCTCTGCCAATTAAACCAATGGTAACAATAATAATGTACTGTCATATATGTAAGAACTGCCATATATGGAGCATTTTGAGCCAGGCAATGTGCCAAGCACTTGACAGAAATCATTTCATTAATCCCACACAGCCAACCCTTTGAGATAACCATTGCCCTCATCCCTTTTTTACAGACAAATAAAGCAAGGCAGGAAGAGTTGGAATTATCAATCAAGGTCACACACACTATGTTGGTTGAGCTGAAATTTGAATTCAGTTCCGCCGGGCTGCAAAAACTCTCTGCTGCTTCCCAGCTGCACCAGCTAGGCAAACTCCTGCCAGAGGAAATCTCACAGTTGGAGTGCAGTAGGCATAGATTTCTCCTACTTAACTGGGGGGAGGCTGTAGTCACAGCGAAGGGAATATTATTGTGTCCCATGGGAAGAAACATGAAGACGGAGTGGACGCTTCATTCCTACTCCAATCAGCCATCTGGAGGGTTCAGGGCTGAACTGTAGTGGGGGCATCACAAAACTTAGGGAGGTGAGGAGCCTCCCTTAGGGAGGTGACAGCCTGAGTACATGGCCCCCAAGCTTTCAGATCCCTTCCTGCACCCCTCCCCACCTAGCTCTGCACTTGGCATTGTTGCTACTAGCCAGGAAGTCTGAGATCTGCGCAAACCCCGCCCTTCCCCGCCGCCCCCGTAAGCACTACCGTCCCTTCAAAGTTCAGACGTGGGGTCCTTTGGAGCCCTGCTCCCTAGAGGGTCGCCTGGCACATGGCCACCTCCACATCCCGCCCCTTCTGAGCTCAGCCTCCCAGAGGTGTGAACTTCTTACAAACACACACTATCACCCAATTCCCTGGAAAAACAAACAGGACAATTGTGTGAAAATTCCATTCTAAGGCATCCTCCCTTCTCTGTAACCAGAGGCTCCAAGGAGTTCAGCATAGCACGAGCTTTTAATTTGCGTGCAGACAAGCACAAAAGGCACAACCGGATATACCTGTTATTTCCCAATGACCTGAGAGCCCGAAGTTTATGTTAAGCCTTGGGTTATGGCACAGCTTGCACGCAAGGCCCTGCAGCTCCTGCAGGCAATTGAGAGGTGGTGGTGTACAGGACAGAGGAACAACTCTGAAGTGACAGCACATAATTTAATTCCCCCTAAGCTTTCCAAGCATGCAGACTGTTCCTTTTTTGTCAGCGTATAACCTAAGTGATTTGTTCTACTCAGGCAAGAAATGTCTAATTTAAACCACATTGCAGCTAAGCCCTTAGTGAAGAAGGAGAACTCCTTGAGGCTTAGCCGTGCGTGGTTAGGCTGGTGGTAGCTGAGGCAAAGCAGACCTCTTTCAGCCCCTGTATTTCTTACTCAGGTCATGACTGGAGATACGTGGGTTGGGGGGCTCTAATCACCACACTCACTCTTCTGTCTCACACTTCATCCCTCGTGAATGGGTTTAGTTTTAGTAAGAATGTTTACAGGAGAGTGTTGGCTACATGTCCCCAACATCCCGGGTTTGAGTCCCATCTGAGCCACCAGGAGTTGGGTGACTTCAGGGAAACCTCTTAAACTCTAACCATTGTTTTTTCTTCTCTGAGAAACAGGACAAATCGGTAGTGGGGGTGCACAGATTGGCACATTTTCGTGGCAAGCGATCTGGCTTAGGAAGCAAGAGATCTGTGCTCCAGCCTAGCTTTGTTCCCAACTAGCAGTGGATTTGCAGCAAGGAACTTTTCTCTGGGCCTCAATTTCCTCATCTGTAAAATAAGCAGGCTGGATGAAATGGTCTTTGAAGTTCCTTCAGCTATAAAATACTATGTATGTCTTAAATCACTTGGAGTTTGACAAAATAATAGTTATAATAATTTTAATTATTATTGTGATTTCTTCCTACAATCCCAAAGATTTCACTAGCCATGCAAATCTTTTAAAATTCTTCTTTAAAAGTACTTTTCTTGGCCTTACTGACATGAAGCAAAGAAGGATTCTAGGCCCCCAGATGGTAGGATTTGGGGTAGACATTCTGTGTCTGTCTCATTCCCCATGGAATTATCAAATTTCCCCCCTAGCCACGCCAGACTGCTAAATGGTCTCTAAGTATAGCCTACATTTCAAGGCTGTTTCCTCAGCCAAAAATGCCCCTTCTCCTTGTCTGCTGTGAAACTCCCTTCCTTTTACCCTCCTCTTTCCATTATGGGACAGTTTTCTCTTCTGGGCTCCCTTGAGCACTTCACACTATTATTCCATTGACTTCATGCTGTTATTTTTGGTTTTGTATTCAATATATCTTTGCTCAACTAGACCCTCAGGAACTCTGTCATCTGTACCACCCAGCCTCTCCTTCCCAGCCTTCCCCAGCACCTGGTACACATTCATGGAAGAATTAACTTTTGAACCCTGTGGATTTCATCACAATAGGATAAGAATGCTGCATGGGTTTAGGATAGACGTTCACAATCTGAGATGAGCAGTGCTAGCCCCAGTCCCCAAAGGAAACCTAGTTAGGGTGGTGATTAGAGACATTTTGAACAATTACTTCAGGAAAGGATCAAATTCATTGAAAAGCTGCTTATCTTAGTGAAAATGTTGTAACTGTGGAAAGACATAAAAGACAAAATGTTCATAACTGTATCCTTGGAAGTGCCTTTCTTTAAAGAATAGGAATCATCTCACCAAAGTATTTGAAGAAGAATGTGTGTGGTTGTTTGCATGTAGCTGCCTATACTTAAGAATGTTACATATTTCATTTCTCCCAGGATCACTCAGCCTAAGAGAAGAATTCGAGGTTACTTTTAGGGAGGAAAGGACACTTACACTGGGAATTCAATCGATGGTAGTTAAGCGTCCTTTTTCTTTAATAATTGGGATAAGTATGACACATACAACTTTACATAGCATGCTCGGGGAGTGAGGAGAGAAGCTAGAGAAGACTGAGATGAGTGAAATGCAGGCTTGATTGAGAAACTAAGCAGAATTTCTACTAACAGTGAGGATTGAGGGAGAAGCGTTCCTGTAATGGAGGGGAAATGAATAAAACCTCGACTCCCAGCTCGACAGGGACCTTTCTTCTCCTAGCCAGCTGGAATGCAAGCTTTAAAAAAAAAGGAAGTGTGGGGAGGGCTATTTTTTTTAATAAGACGTCTCAGAAATGATCATGAACACAGTAAAGCTGGTTTTCAAAAAAGGAAAGTGAGAAAAGTAGTGACAACTTGAAGCTGGTAGTTGAGGAAGAAGGAGAACTTCTGAACCCATGAAGAGAGTATACCCGGTTTGGGTGGGCAGGACTCCAAAGCCTTTAGGATCGATGGACCAGAACAGAGAAATGAAAATGCAACAAGAACAGCTGTGGGGAAAAGGCAGAAGGGGGGTAGGAAGCGAAGAGGGTGTGTACTTTTCCTTTCTGATCTGAGAAAGGGAAATTTTGTGCTGGGAAGAGTTACGCGGGAGGAGGAAGGAAAGGCGCCAGGAATGCCTGGAAGGTATATGATGTCTGACCTTATGATCTCTTGCAACAATTTCTACACCGATTGTGTCCCTTCACCTCTGCTCTAAAAATGTGGTTAGGTAAATATCTGTTTTATTAACATTGTGAGAAATTAGCCTCGTTTACAGAATTCCACAAAACAACTTGCAATAATGAGAGGCTGCTAGGATGTAGGTGATACTAGGAGAAGCAATGCCTTGTCTGAACCCCCAGGGCTCTGGAGGCACCGCTTTGGGTTTAAAATCTTTCCTTAGTGACCTTGAACGTAATGAAATAGGAGAGAACGTTGATCTTAGAGTAGTAATAGCACAAACCACAGCCTTAATGCCCAGCAGGCTTAGTTCGCTGGAATAATTAGCCTAGGAAATGCATGACTTAAGATGTCCCCACAGTGGCCCCCACAAAGTCTGAAGGGGAAACAAAGAGAAAGCCAGAGAGCCTTTCATAGAAGGGAACCAACTGCGTTTACATGCAAAAGATCCATCTCCTGTGGCTACCTAAGAGCAGTGACTCTCTGGGGGTGGAATAATTTATACATGTGTAAAAACATTTATTTTTCTACATATTTACTTCAAGCATGTGTTAAAATATCTGCAAACAACTCCAGACCCCCTCCCCATCTTATTTTTATCCTAAAGGCAGTGTTACATGGATATCCAAATGTTTAGAGAGGACAATCTTAAATATACAAAAGAATGATAAATAAATAAATAAATAAATAAATAAATAAAAAAAAGATTTCCTAATTTGTCACCACTTGCATGCTGGAAACCGACAGCGCTAACTTGGGTAATATCCTTTTAACTCTGATTGAATTATATGTTAATTCCTTGCGGTGGTCTTAGATTTCAGACGCTATTAGCAAATTATGGAGGAAAAGCAAGATCATATGATTCATGAACTATCACAGCAGCAACAGTTTCTAATTTCCACCCATCCTCTGTGTCATGTGATATGTTTCAGAAACTCACTTAAAATTGAGAAAATAAGCCATTCCTAATTGTACTTAAGTAAGGAAATAGCTCATTTATGAATCTAAGAAGATTAAAGAATATGGCTTTAGTGTGTTTGTTTAGAATCTATGCCAAAATTTTTTTCCGAAGCATAAATCTGGTTTTTTTTCTTTTCCTTAAAAAAAACTTTAATAAAGCCAAAGAAAGAAAGAAAGGAAAGAAAGAAAGAAAGAGGGCTCCACATGCAGTTTCAGCACTAAGGGATCCTGACAAGTAATTCACCTCTGCTTTGAATGTGGGATTTTTGCACTCTATGATATATACCTTTGGAGTGGTTTTGTTTTCTTTGTGGTTTTTTTTTTGTTTGTTTTTTGTTTTTTGTTTTTTTTGTGTGAGACAGTGGATTTTTTTATCCATCATTGCATTATTGGAGTTTTATGTGATTTAATGTATAAAAAGTGAGGCTATTCTCCAACTAGTTGTTTGGGTTTCTGTAAAGTTCAATTTCCACAGTTTACCTCAAGAGGTCTTTTAAAAATGAAATTTCAAGCATGTTGCTTGATATTCTTTAACATGTTCTCAATTAATTTGCAATAAAGTCCAGCCCCCTTCCTATTGCACACTATTGTACCCTTCCTGCCTTTTTCATGCACTGCTCTCCACCCACCCTGGCTTCCCGGCTTTGCCTCCAACGTCAGAGTGATTTCTGGGCTTGCTTTTTTTTTTTTTTTTTTGCCTGGAAACTTCTTCTCTGAAGAACTTTCAAATGGCTGCCTTCTTCATGTATCTCCTCTCGGAGCATCATTCCCTGACCTTCCTTTCTAGGGCTCTGAATCCACCCCATTGCTGTCTATCCAGTCAGTCTCTCTTTTCTAGCTGGCATCCATCACAAGCAATCTGCTTATCTTGTTTTTGGTGAGTTTATATCTGTTTCTACCACTGGATTATAAATACTTCCAGGATAGAGATCTAGTTTATATCACTCACCATTCTCTTCCCTTAGTGCCTGGTATGTAGTAGGTGTTCAATAAATGTGTACTGAAAGAATGGATGAGTGATATGATATTGATCTGTACCTATTTTTTCTTTTTAGTCTATCTTTGTTGAGTTTTGGTATTGATTTTATGTGTCAGTACCTGAGAAGGAGAGAAGTCCTTGAGTTGTTTCGTAAATGTGGCTCAAGTGAGATGCTGAACAGTGCCAGCCATGTGGACTCTGCCACAGTGAAGGAGGAAGGTAGAGAAAATGGGTTCCAGTGTGTGTGTATGTGGGGGTGGGAGGGGTGTGTTGATTTAGGGGTGTACAGAAAATGGTGGTGTGCTTCATGACTTTTTTTTTTAAAGAATGAAACCAGGACATCAACTGAGCATATAAGAGGGGAAAGTGGTGCAGTAGGGTTAAGGCATAATGAAAAGATTTAGAATTATCCTAAAAGAGTAGGAAAGCAAACCACGTAGAGATGTATAATAGAATTCCAGTGTTGAGTTTCCATTTTATCATCATGAATTTGAAGTGAGACAGCTGGAATTTGGGATTTCCCTAACACTTGAGCTGGGAAGGTAAATTGTTAATCACTTTTATGGAGCCAGTGTCCTTTGACCAAGCAATCCTAGTCTAGGAATTTATCCTAAAGACAATTGGACAAGTTTGAGAAAATGCATATACAAAGTCGTTTAACAAAATATTTTATTATAATTGACAACAAATAAATGGAAAGTACCTAAATATTCAGCAATATGGGATTGGATAAATTCTGAAACATACAATGGGATATTTTGCAGCTATTAAAGACTGTCTGTCTATATTCATTGATATGATGAATAGGTATGATGAGTTATTGGTGAAAAAAATGCAGTTTTCAAACTAGCACATAGTGTAAAACCCTTTTTTAAAAGTCGTTTACACTCATGTATTTTAGCATAAAGAAAGACATGGAAGGATGTTCACCAAAATGTTAAATCTTCTCACCCTCTTCTATGTATCTTTTTGAATTGGGTGAAATGTTCTATAATGAGTATTTGAAAACAGAATAAACAGAAAAAAAAAGATTTAATTAGATCCCATTTGTCAGTTTTTGCTTTTGTTATTGTTGTTTTTGGTGTCTTTGTCATGAAATCTTTGCTAGTTCCTATGTACAGAATGGTATTGCCTAGGTTGTCTTCCAGGGTTTTTATAATTTTGGGTTTTACATTTAAGTTTTTAATTCATCTTGAGTTGATTTTTGTATATGGTGTATATGTAGTCTTCTACATATGGCTAGCGAGTTATCCCAGCACCATTTATTGAATAAGGAGTCCTTTCCCCATTGCTGGTTTTTGTCAGTTTTGTCGAAGATCAGATGGTTATAGGCGTGCAGGCTTATTTCTGGGCTCTTTATCCTGTTTCATTGGTCTGTGTGTCTCTTTGTACCAGTACCAGGTGGCTGTGGTTACTGTAGCCCTGTAGTATAGTTTGACGTGATGCTTCCAGCTTTGTTCTTTTTGCATACAATTGCCTTGGCTATGTAGGCTCTTTTTTGATTCCATATAAATTTTAAAATAGTTTTTCTTTCCAGTTCTGTGAAGAATATCATTGATAGTTTGATAGGAATAGCACTGACTCTGTAAATTGCTTTGGACAGTATGGCCATTTTAATGATATTGATTCTTCCTATCCATGAGCATGGAATGTTTTTCCATTTGTTTGTGTCATCTCTGATTCCTTTGAGCAGTGTTTTGTAATTCTCATTGTAGAGATCTTTCACCTCCCTGGTTAGCTGTATTCCTAGGTGTTTTATTCTTTTGTGGCAATTGTGAATGAAATTGCATTCCTGATTTGGCTCTCAGCTTGGCTGTTGCTGATGTATAGAAATGCCAGTGATTTTTGTACATTGATTTTATATCATGAAACTTTGCTGAAGTTGTTTATCAGCTGGGATCTAATGAAACTTAAGAGCTTCTGCACAGCAAAAGAAACTACCAACAGAGTAAACAACAATGATCTACAGTATGGGAGAAAATATTTGCAAACTATACATCTGATAAAGATCTAATATTCAGCATCTATAAGGAATTTAAATTTACAAGAAAAAAGCAACCCCATTAAAAAGTGGGCAAAGGACATGAACAGACACTTTTCAAAAGAAGACATACATGTGGCCAACAAGTGTATAAAAAAAGCTCAATATCACTGATCATTAGAGAAATGAAAATCAAAACCACAACGAGATACTATCTCACACCAGTCAAAATAGCTACTATTAAAAAGTCAAAAAATAACAGATGCTGGTGTGGTTGTGGAGAAAAGGGAATTCTTATACACTGTTAGTGGGAGTGTAAATTAGTTCAACCATTGTGGAAAGCAGTATGGCAGTTCCTTAAAGAGCTAAAAACAAAACTACCATTCGACCCAGCAATCTCATTACTGGGTATATACCCAAAGGAATATAAATTCTTCTACTATAAAGACACATGCACACATATGTTTATTGCAGCACTATTCATAATAGCAAAGACATGGAATCAACCTAAATGCCCATCAGTGGCAGATCAGATAAAGAAAATGTGATACATATATACCATGGAATACTATGCTGCCTTAAAAAAAACCAGATCATGTGCTTTGCAGAAATATGAATGGAGCTGGGGGCCACTATCCTTAGTAAATTCACGCAGAAACAGAAAACCAAATACCTCATGTTCTCACTTATAAGGAGGAGCTAAATGATGAGAACACACGGACACAAAGAGGGGAGCAACAGACATTGGGACCTATTTGAGGGTGGAGTGTGGCAGGAAGGCGAGGATCAGAAGAAATAACTTTTGGGTACTAGGCTTAGTACTTGGGTGATGAAATAATCTGTACAGCAAACCCCCATGACACAAGTTTACCTAGGTAACAAACTTATACATATACTCCTGAACCGAAAATAAAAGTTAAAAGAAAAAAGAAAGACCCATCTGTATAGTGCTCTCTCTCTCTTTCTCTTACTTGGTTTATTCTCTTCCTTATCCATTGCATGCATTAACCCTTTAGAACTTCCGGTGTTCTGGGGACCCTGAAAGATCAGCTAGCAGGATTATTGCGGGGCTCAGTGCAGTGATGCAGAGGCCTCCACCAGCAATCCTGAAGTTGAAAGAGAATATCCACCTCCCTTATGCATAAGGGATAGATTTGGGGGTGGCATTGAAGGTCTTTCTCTCATTTTGCTGGCAGCTGTAGCAATGCATTGATTAGCAGGAGAGGTTTTCTCTCTAATGAGCCAGAAACTAACACTTGTGGAGTTCCTGCTATACACCAGCACTGTGCAGGGTGCTTTACATTTAAAAAATAAATCTGGGCCGGGCGCAGTGGCTCAAGCCTGTAATCCCAGCACTTTCGGAGGCCGAGGCGGGAGGATCACAAGGTCAGGAGATCGAGACCATCCTGTTTAACATGGTGAAACCCCATCTCTACTAAAAATACAAAAATTAGCTGGGCATAGTGGCAGGTGCCTGTAGTCCCAGCTACTCGGCAGGCTGAGGCAGGAGAATGGCGTGAACCCGGGAGGCAGAGCTTGCAGTGAGCCGAGATTGCGCCACTGCACTCTGGCCTGGGCAACAGAGCGAGACTCCATCTCAAAAAAATAAAAAAATAATAAAATAAAAATAAAAAATAAATCTGTTTAATCTTCACAATAATTCTACAACGAAAAAATTGTTATCTCCATTTTATAGCTGAGAAAAAAATGAGGCACAATGAAACAAAAGCACTTGCATAGCACACAATATAGGAAGGAGTGGAGTGAGAATCTAAAGTCAAGTTTACAGCATGCTGTTTTCAAGGCAAAACTACTTTTGATTTAAAATCATATTCTTTTCTCTCCCCAATCTCCTCCAGCTAGCGTTTCATCCGTGTGGATTTGTCAGGAGACAAGGAAAATCAAATTTCCAGCAATGCGTATCTAGTGTTTAACAATCACATCATTACACATGAAAAAAATTTGAAGCTTGTCAGATCACCATTGTATGAAATATTTCCCACTTGGGACCATACAGCTCTGTATTTTTCTGATCAGTTACAATTTTTAGGATCTAGTCTTTATCCCAGAGACCCAGATCTGTGTATTCTGTATTCTTTTGTACCCTGTGTTATTGCTTCACCAAGAGTATACTCCAGGTGATTTTTTTGTGTGTCCTTAATTTTGTCATTTTGTGGTCATTAATAACATCAGTTAACAATAATATTATTATACTGTCCACTACAATGTGCGTTTGTGAGCACTGGCAACAATTTAGCAGAACAGAATGAGTTAGATTCCCAATTGTGGTAGATCACGTGTAGTAGCGAACAGAGCACAGAAACTCCGGATCCTAATTCTTGATTTCCTGGCAGTGATACCTTCCCATTCCATTACATAAGGTATAAGTGGCAGAAGATCAGGGAGAACCACAGGGCTGTAAGATATTTTATAAGTTGTTAAATAAGGGGACACTGCTTTATTTGGGGCATGTCACTCAATCTCTTCAACATTGTGTTAGGTAGGTATCATGAACTAAATTGTGGCCACCCAAAACTCATACCTCGAACCCCGGGTACCTCAGAACATAATTGTATTTGGATATGGAGTCTTTAAAGAGGTAATTAAGTTAAAATGAGGTTGTTAGAGAGGGCTGTAATCTAATATGACTGGTATCCTTATAAGAAGATTGAAAACACAGATGTGCACAGAGCAAAGACCACGTGAAGACACAAAGAAAACAGCCATCTGCAACTCAAGAAGAGAGTCCCAGAGCACATTGTGATCTCTGACTTCTGGCCTCCAGAATTGTGAGACAATGAATTTATATCGTTTAAGCCACCAGTCTGTTGTACTTTGTTATGGCAGCCTGAATGGGCCAATACAGTGAGGTTCCCTGGAAGACTTTCAGATGGGGACTTGCATGCAAGAAGTTTAACAGGGAGAGCTCTCAAGAGCAACCCCCGGAGGGAGAGAGGGAGGAAAGGAAAATTGGGCAGAGAGAGAAGCTGACCTCTGATGCAGCTGCTACAAGGTTCTCAGCTGATCCTAGGGTTCTCAGCTGATCCTACAGGGTGTTCTGGAGCTGGGATGGCCCCGTAGAGTTGCCTGGAATCAAGGCAGGGCCCAGGGAGGGAGATAACCTTGGCAAAGGCAGCTTCCTTCAGCGGGGGAATTCCCAGTGAGGGACTCAATTGTGGCTGTTTGCAGTGGGCACTGGACAGCTGGGGAGTGAGTTTCTCCGCCCTGACGAGGGGTCTGGGTGACATCTCACAGCATCCATCGCAGACCTGCAGCTCCTAGTCTGCAGACCAGGATAAGCACAATGCCTGTGGTGCATTTCCCCGCAGGCGGCTGTGAGGAGCTAATGAGATAATGGATATGAAAATGCTCTGCAAACTGTGAAGACTATCAATATGCTGTTATGCATCATTCTCTGTTATTTGTTGCTATCCTGTCCTTTCACCTTCCCCAGGCCGGAATGATCACATTTTCTCTTTCCCTAGCTTTATTCCTGGGTCACTAGCACAGGGAAAAAATAAGAAGAAAAATCAGAGTGGAATTCTAAAAAACAAAGGTCCTGTGCTTTTCTGCCTAAAATATGTACAATCCTCAGTTGGCACTGTCAGGAATGGGGACCGCCCTCATGGAGAAGTGGCACTTCCACTCCTAGCCAGCCTCTGTGTGAGCTGGACTCTAAGGTCAGGAGAATGAGGAGGCCGTGAAGGTCTTGGCCGTCTCTTTTTCCCCTCATCTCTACTGAGACATAGATCGAGACAGGGACCCATAAATCACCTTGGAGTTAAATCAGGGGAAAAAAGAAAAGCCCTCTCAGGCAACAGCATTTCACAGCAGCAACAGGAAGTTGTAGGGAAAAGAGAAAAGTCAAAACTCAAGTGAAAATCTGAGTCATGGTTCAGAGAGGCCACAAATACCTTTCTTATGGAGAGTCAGAAGAGGGAACACAGAGAAAACTGAGAGGTTTTTTTTTTGTTTGTTTGTTTTGAACTTTTTAAAGGAGAATTTGTTTTTAATCCTGTGAAGCTAGTAAACATCTCTTTAAAGAATGTGTGTGGTCACACAAGTTGAAGGGCTAGAAAATTACCTCCTCACAGCCCAGATGGTTTTAAGTGGGAACAGATAGGAAGGAGCGTGAGTTAAAGCTCCCACCCACACTACAGGACCCTGCTGTTCCAGCCGCTTTCCTCTGCCACTAGCTCAGGAAGAGCGAGGGCTGCCTCTCAGACACAGGGAGTTCCTGCAGGCTGACTTCAGGCACTCCAGAATGAGGTGTCCGTATTTTCCTAAGTGCTGAGGGTCACCCTACCTCCTCCTCTTTTATTAAGATTCTCTGAACCACTCAGAGAATACACAAGTTAAAAATAAATTACTTCGGCAGATAGTGAGGGTACAGAAGTCCTCGGTAAGGTTTTCCTTTTAATGAAAACCAGCCCCAAATACTTTTCCTTTCTAACAAAGAGCAGCCTGTGAAATCAAGCTACAGACATAGATGCCAGCAGAGGAATACTACCTGGGACTAGGCATGTTCAAAATGGCGGTTCCATCTTCTCTTCCTTTTTTTTTTTTTTTTTTTTTTTTTTTTGGTTAGTTAGTTTGTTTTTGTTGTTGTTGCTGTTGTTTGAGACGGAGTCTCGCTCTGTCGCCCAGGCTGGAGTGCAATGGCATGGTGGAGGCTCATTGCAACCTCCACCTCCCAGGTTCAAGCGATTCTCCTGCCTCAGCCTCCCAAGTAGCTGGGATTACAGGAATGCACCACCGTGCCCAGTTAATTTTGTATTTTAGTAGAGACGGGGCTTCACCATGTTGGTCAGGCTGGTCTTGAACTCCTGACCTCGTGATCCGCCTGCTTCGGCCTCCCAAAGTGCTGAGATTACAGGTGTGAGCCACCGCGCCCAGCCCATCTTCCTTTTCTCAGTGCCAGCCACGTGTACATTAAGGAACAGACAACATGGCGCGGGTCAAGTGGAAAGCTCTTTTGCATAGTAAGATGAGGGTGAGGTAGCCAGCCTTCCTCCTGCTATGTAAACATCACACCTAATCGAACTGATCTGTGGGCCCTATGTAAATCAGACACCGCCTCTTCAAACCTGCCTAAAAATTTGGAGAATTCCGCCCCAGCAAGTCTTTCCCTTTCAGAAGCCCCGCTCTCTCGCTAGAGAGAAAGCTGTTCTCCTTTCTCTTTCTTCTGCCTATTAAACCTGCGCTCCTAAAGGCCTCCTTTGTGTCCCTGTCCTAAATTTTCTTGGCGCCAGGTAACGAACCCTGGGTATTTACCCCAGACAACGAAGCCGCTTCAGAATGACAAAACAACAGACATGGGGACTTCTGGCAAACAATAAACCACAAATGAACAGAGAGAGATTAGAAAATAAATCTAATCACAGCAGAGGAGGAGGGGAGAAAATAGCTTCTCTTCCCAGAAACACAGGAGAGACAGAAAGCAGGCTGCCCTGTTCTGCGCCTGCTCCATTCTCCAGTAACATACCGTCCTGGTGTAGTGAGACTTTTCGCATTATAGGGCCCAACTAGAGATCCAGTCATTTTTACTTACGCTGTGAGCCAAGATTCTGAGTAAATGGGTTTATCTTGATTGCAGTTAAAGTATCTGGTTGGGCACATCCTAACATGAATATTATACCAACAATAAAAATCGTGGAAATGTGGGGAAATGTCCACGATATGTTCATAACTTAAAGTAGGTTAGCAGTGCATTGTCAACGTAAATAAAACAGTATATTGAGTGTGATTCCAATATTGAAAAACAAAATAAAGAGCACTAAATCTGCCAAGTTCAAAGACCAGAGTGCCAGATGCAAAATGTTTAATGTTTCTTTCTGTGATGGGATTATTTTTTTCTTTATATTTTTCTGTATTTCCTGATTTTTTTCTACAATAATCATGTTTCTACTGTAATCTGAGATATAAAACATTAGAAAATTTGGTCAGATGAGTTGTTCCAGGATTGTGATTATTTCTCCACAAACAGATGCTCCTCAACTGATAATGGGATTTTGTTCCTATAAGCCCATCATAAGTTGAAAATACCGTATGTCAAAAATGCACTTCATACACCTGACCTACTGAACATCATAGCTTAGCCTCGCCTACCTTAAACATGCTCAGAACACTTAGATTAGCCTACAGTTGAGCAAAATCATCTTATGTAATTTATTGGCTACCATACCGAAAGTGAAAATCGAATGGTTGTGTTGTTCGTTGAAGTATGGTTTCTACAAATACATATTGCCTTTGTGCCATCATAAAGTCAAGAAATTGTTAAGTCAAATCATGAGTGAGGGATCATCTGTACATTCATACACACACGGTATGAATACATGGGGGTGTGTGTGTGCATGTGTCTATGCATGTAAATGTGTGTTTCAAAGCTCTGGGGTCCTTCTTCCTTCCCAGCTAGGAGCCCCTTTTCCTCTGCTGAGCTCTCGAATCTTGCATAATTGCTCACCACATTTCTGAAAAGACAATCTCTTGGTACAGCACCCCCAGCCTTCTACCAAGGGATTCCAGCAGATGTTCACTCCCAGCTCAGCTTGGATAGGGCCACCAAGGAGCCTGCCTTTGGTCTCCACAGTCACTTCCTGAAGTAAGATTGAAGAGGGTGGGAGCACCATGGTTTGTTGACCTCCAGCTCTGCTTGTATCTCCTTTGGCAGAAGGGGTCCCAGGTGGTGCCTACATTCTAGATTTTAGAGAGGACACCACCTCCAGAGAGCTGAACCCAAAAACTGATGAGCTCCAAAGACGTGAAAAAGGACAGACCCTGCCAGACGAGCACCCTTAGGTTGTTGGCACGGAACTGAGGGAGGAAACTGGGACTACCCGCCTGATGTTGCAGCTTTTTTATTCTCCCCTCGTCACTGTGAGAGGTCTGGACTTCTTCTGACATAAACAGCCTCCTTTCATCAAAGGATCGTGCCATCCTTTCTATTTTCTAAGCATTAAAAGGCAGTTTAAGCAGATCAGTGAATTAGGCAAACGTTTATATTCTCCCTTGCCCTTTTCTTTTTGCATCTGGTAGAATTTCTCCTGTTCTATTGTTGATCTCTTTGTAAAAGCCCGTACATTCTTAGCTGCCAGGGCATGTCTTTGGAAGCATTACCACATACCTGTGAATGATTAATAAGCTGTGTTTGGTTAATAAGCAACATTCAGCTCTCATATTAATCACAGATTTTTAAAGTTAGACACAGCTGGTGACAATTTAGTGACACAGGGTCAGCTTAGCTTTTCTTGAGCATTAGCTGGGAGGAGAGGCTGAACGCTGCCAGATGTCACCAACCAAAAAAAAAAAAACCTAACTGGGTCCTCAGAGAGGACCTGGGGGATGCAAGTGCACACACACACAAGAGCAAGAGATCCCTGTTCTTTTCAAGAACTCCTTTTCTGGAGGACTGTCACCTCCAGAGACCCCATGCTTCCTCCTCATGGTTATAACTTTCCCCAACTCTTCAAGTGTCTAGAGAAAGCACATTTTCTGAACCAAAAATCAGGGTTTATTGATTGGCCATGAGTCTCAAATTAAGAATGCCCTGGAAAAACTGGAGAAAATATTGAGGCATTAGCGGCATTCTGCATAGGCTATATTTGTTCAGCCACATTGAATAACTTACTCTATGCTTAGTACCTCCAGAGAGTGGGGTTACAAAGAAGAATACCCCCTGTCTAGTGGGCCTTCACTGGTGTGTGAGGCTCCTCTGGGCAGGAACTCAATTCTGACTTGTGCAGGTTGCAAGTGGAGGGTCGGCCGTGCTCAGCTGGGCTGATGGTTTCCCCTATTCGAGCCCTTCCTGGCACAGTGTGTCTCCTCTGATTTCTCGTTCCCAGAGCCTTTCCTCAAGTAGGGATTGCAGTTCTTGCTCTCAGTTCCTTCAGCTAGAGAAGCGAGGTCCTTTCACTGGCCCTCTTCAGATCCTGTTCTTGAGCTCAGTCCAACAGGACACCTGGCTTCTCTGTTCACATAGGATCTTCTTTGGGCCAGGCCAAACTTTCCTCTTCCATCTCTCAAATTGGCCCTTCCCTCTCTCAAGAACTGGCTACTTCTCATGGCCCTCTTCTTCATCTCTTCATTACTCCCAGTCTGACAGTGGCTTTGCAAAAATCTTTCACATTTCTCCTCACCATGGTCTCTCTATCGTAAATGAAGATCCAGAAACGTCTTAATTTATCTTTAATGGATAATATAGAGGGTGATTCCTGTCTTCAATCAAAGAGAAAGAGGTATAAGGACAATACACCCAGGCCATTTCACCTACAAATGCTGACCTTACAAAAGACCAGTGGGTGGGGACAGGTGAGTGAAGGTCCTAACCCAGGGCTTCTCTGTGCTGGGAAGTCACAGTTTTTCTTTTCTTTTCTTTTCTGTCTTTTACTTTAAGTTCTGGGATACATGTGCAGAAAATGCAGGTTTGTTACGTAGGTAAACATGTGCCGTGGTGGTTTGCTGCACCTATCTACCTGTCATCTAGGTTTTAAGCCCCGCATGCATTAGGTATTTTTTCTAATGCTCTCCCTTCCCTTGGCCCCCACTTCCCGACTGGCCCCAGTGTGTGATGTTCCCCTCCCTGTGTCCATGTGTTCTCATTGTTCAACTCCAACTTATAAGTGAGAACATGAAGTGTTTGGTTTTCTGTTCCTGTGGTAGTTTGCTGAGAATGATGGCTTCCGGTTTCATCCATGTCCCTGCAAAGAACACGAATTCTTTTTTATGGCTGCATAGTATTCCATGATGTATATATGGCACATTTTCTTTATGCAGTCTATCATTGATGGCTATTTGGGTCGGTTCCAAGTCTTTGCTATTGTAAATAGTGCTGCAACAAACATACATGTCCTTGTGTCATTATAGTAGAATGATTTATAATCCTTTGGGTATATACCCATTAATGGGATTGCTGGGTCAAATGGTATTTCTGATTTTAGATCCTTAAGGAATTGCCACACTGTCTTCCACAACAGAACTAATTTACACTCCCACCAACAGTGTAAAAGCGTTCCTATTTCTCCACAGCCTCGCCAGCATCTGTTGTTTCCTGACTTTTTAATAATCACCATTCTAACTAACGTGAGATGGTGTCTCATTGTGGTTTTGATTTGCATTTCTCTAATGACCAGTGATGATGAGCTTTTTTTCATATGTTTGTTGGCCACATAAATGTCTTCTTTTGAGAAGTGTCTGTTCATATCCTTTGCCCACTTTTTGATGGGGTTGTTTTTTTCTTGTAAATTTGTTTAAGTTCCTTGTGGATTCTGGATATTAGCTCTTTGTCAGATGGATAGATTGCAAACATTTTCCCCCATTCTGTAGGTTGCCTGTTCATTCTGATGATAGTTTCTTTTGCTGTGCAGAAGCTCTTTAGTTTGATTAGATCCCATTTGTCAATTTTGGCTTTTGTTGCAATTGCTTTTGGTGTTTTAGTCATGAAGTCTTTGCCCATGCCTATGTCCTAAGTGGTATTGCCTTGGTTTTCCTCTAGGGCTTTTATGGTTTTGGGTTTTACATTTAAGACTTTAATCCATCTTGAGTTAATTTTTGTATAAGGAGGGGGTCCAGTTTCTGTTTTCTGCATATGGCTAGCCAGTTTTCCCAGCACCGTTTATTAAATAGGGAGTCCTTTCCCCACTGCTTGTTTTTGTCAAGTTTGTTGAATAGCAGATGGTTGTAGATGTGTGGTGTTATTTCTGAGGTCTCTGTTCTGTTCTATTGGTCTATATATCTGTTTTGGTATCAGTACCATGCTGTTTTGGTTACTGTAGCCTTGTAGTATAGTTTGAAGTCAGGTAGCATGATGCCTCCATCTTTAATCTTTTTGCTTAGAACTGTCTTGGCTATACAGGCTCCTTTTTGGTTCCATATGAAATTTAAAGTAGTTTTTTCTAATTCTGTAAAGAAAGTCACTGGTAGCTTGATGAGAATAGCATTGAATCTATAAATTACTTTGGCCATTTTCATGATATTGATTCTTCCTATCCATGAGCATGGAATGTTTTTCCATTTGTTTATGTCCTCTCTTATTCCCTTGAACAGTGGTTTATAGTTCTCCTTGAAGAGGTCCTTCACATCCCTTGTAAGTTGTATTCCTAGGTATTTTATTATCTTTGTAGCAATTGTGAATGAGATTCACTCATGATTTGGCTCTCTGCTTGTCTATTGCTGGTGTATAGGAATGCTTGGGATTTTTGCACATTGATTTTGTATCCTGAGGAAGTCATAGTTTTTCTATGTGCAGTTCCAAAGCCCCTGAAGAATGATTAAAGAGCAAATTACTTTCTCTTTTGAAGATTAAAAAGAGACTCCTTTTTAGCAAGATCAGAGTTAACAAATTACTGGCCCCATGCCCTTTCCTACCCATGTGGAGTCCTCGCCTTGCATCAAAAAGGGAAGCTAACCTGCAACAAGGGAGCAGCCACTGCCAGGAAGAAATGCCTTTGTGCCTTCCCTCTTCTTGCCCTGCTGCCTTCTTCCCAAGTCAGCACTCCTCTCTTCCCTTTCCACATGCTTCCTCTTTCCCCTCTTAGGAAAAAAATATAATATTGGATCGGCTGTGTGTCAAGCATCTGAGGTTCTAACCATAGCTCCATTACTACCAGTCCGTGTGACTTGGGGAATGCTGCTTACCTTCTTTGAGACCCAGTTTCTTCATTACAAGATAAAGAGCTTGCTAGGTGAGCTCTGTGACTTCTTTCTACTTAAACATTTTGTGATTCTGCGTTCTTAGACTTTGTAATAATTCTCTCTTAAGGTATTTGTACATTAAGTTTTACATGTCATTGTGGAATGAACAGATTTATCTCTAGTTACAGAATCCCAAACTTCAGCAGAAGGTGCAGGGAGAACCAAAGAGGTGAGGGATAAAGAAAGGGGCTCCGCCAAACCATATCTCTCATCTTGTTCTTGAATTACCAGCCCTCTGGCAGTCAACTTTCTTAACTGGCTTCCTTCTGGAGCCCAGATTTGTTTTTCCTTGCTCTCTTAATCTCTGTTCACTATTTTCTATAGAAATTACTTTAGAGAGAAACCCTCTTCCAATTGTATTTAAATCCACCCCCCAAATATAATTTATTCTCTTATGAAGCTTTGAAATGGAAAATTTTCCCCAGAAGTAACCAGGCATTGTGCAAAGTCGCATCCATTTTGAACACCAAAGCAGCTGTAACAAATAAGAGATGACAAATGCCATTGTGTAATTTAGTTCTTCATATCAGTTTGTCATTCTGACTCCTTTCTATTTAACTGGATGCTTTGTCAGACTTTGTAATCTAACCATGTGAAGGGCAGTGAATAAAGGATTAACGAAACCCTTTCCAGTTTTGCATGAGCATTTGATTTTTGGCTAACTTCCTAGCTCTGTTCCCATGGAAACCTGATAAAGGAAAGTACAAGTGGGCCCTGATTGGTAAATCCTATCTGGATTGGGACAACTATAAATACCAGAGAAGAAGCCATATTTTCGAGTTTCCCTAAGTGCAGTGACCCTTGTAACTGGCATGACCTTGAGAAGACCATGAAAGTTATGGCCATGGAGTTCCTCCAAGAGATATTAGCTGCTGTGAAATACAGGGCCTCTCATATAGTGTGGCCTCCACACCCCACTGATGTGAGTCTCATTTCTTCACAACTCAGTCCACATGGGGGCCAAAGAGAATAGCTTCTGCCCACTGTGTGGATGGCTTTGTGGTCTGCTGCGAGGTCCCGCAGAAGAGGAAGTCTGGATGTGCCCTACTGACATGCTCTGCCTCCTGGCCTATGAATCTTCTGGGTCAACTGCTGTCTAGAGTGGGCCTTGGCAGTCTTGTGAGTTTGCAGGTTTAATAGAGCCTTATGAGACCTCCTGGTGGGTCTTGTGGATGGAGGTTTTCACTTTTACTGGTTTGAATGAGTGCATTTGCCTGTGAAGCTGTGAGCATGAGACAATGTCCAGTCTTATGGTTTTTACTAATTGCCAGTTTTTCTTTACAAATTAAAAAATAATTTTGTAATGAAAATTGGCAGGTCCCACTTGAGAATATTATACTAAGTGAAATAAGCCAGTGACAAAAAGACAAATACTTTTTTCCACTTCTCTGAGGCACTCATATTCATAGACATGGGAAGTAGAATACTGTTTGCCAGGGGCTGGGAGAGGAGGTAACGGAAAGTTGCCGTTTAATGGATGCAGAGTTCCACCTTTGCAAGATGGAAAGAGTTCTGGAGACTGGTTGGACAACAACATGAATGCACTTAACACTACCGATTGTGCACTTGGTTTAAAAACTGCACATTTGTAAAATGGTTAACGTGGCAAACTTTATGTTATATGTATTTTACCATAATTTAAAAATTTTTTTTAATTGACAGTTTCCTCTAAATATCACACTTAAATCATGTTTTCAATACACAGACTAATTCTAAGTGTTTCCAAATTTCCTTCTAAGTAATATAGGAAGATTTTGTGTTACTTTTCCAATTTCATCCTGCAACCACGGTTAAAAATCACTACTATTCACTTCTTACCATTTGATCTGTTGACAGTTTCAGCCATCAGTCACTGCCGGCTCCCACTTCATTTAGTTACCATGTCCCTCACTAACACAAGATCGCCGTCTAGGGGCCAATCGTAGAACTACAGGCTACACAGAGGAGAAGGGAGCCAGGCCACCTTTCCCATGCATCCCACTCCTTGAACAGAAAGAGCAACTAAAAAGGGAGGCAGGAGTTCTAAGCACCATCTTTTTTTCACCAGTACAGTTTCCAAGATCTTGCTGCTATGAAAATAAAGATCTCCTAATATTTATAGTACTTGAGGTTAGAATAGTCTTCTAGGTAGAGTACTAATATCTTGCTGATAAAGCTTTTGATGCTGAATCCTTGATTATTCTCTTAATATAATATCTTCTGTGCGAATAAGGCTAAAATGCTTGCATACACTCTTGTACTCACTTAGGAATGTAATAGAGCAGTTTGGGAGAGTGACTGAATGCTTCTGCTTTGGGCAAATTTGCCACAAAATCATATTATGCAATCACAGGGTCACAGAACATTAGAACTTAAAGAGCTTTAGAGGCCCGTGGTCTCTAGCAGATCCCTTTGAGAGTCTGATAAAAATTAGAGGTTTACGTACCATAAAATGCTATTTTGCACAAAGCTTTGAATACCATTTTAAAATTTCATCATAGATGAAGAATTCCAGCTTGAATCCCACCCCATAATTTGGAAGTGAAGTTTCTGAGAAGCATCCTGTGTGAAGAAGCAGCTAAACAGAGGGGAATGGGAGTCAGAACTGGATGTTGGAAAGAGATGTGATCCCACAGACAGTGTAATGCTGGGTTGGAACCAGCCCTGGTCAAACCCATTCCCCCGAGTGCACATGTGTTCCAGGGAGAAGCTTGCTGGGGAAGAGAGCAGCAATTTGCCCACCAGAGGCCCAGATCTCCTGGGAGAAATCAGCTGCCATGGAACAGGAGTTTTTCTTCATGCTAGAAAGGGAAAAGAACATGAATAAGTGGCAATCCAGGGACAGCCAGAAGGAACCTGGACAATGGCTCACCGGCTGAGCAGAGATAGAGTTGCACTGGGTGGGGGGGGCGGGGGTGGGGGGCAGTTGACAGCAGCCTGGATTGTGAGCAAGGAGTACGAAGAAATAATAATTGAAGTAGCAGAAGGTAGCAAGGGGTGCAGACCAAGAGCACAGGCACTGCAGAGAGAAGTCTGGATTATTTGTGAGGACTTTCCCTAGGGACTTCTAGAAAGAAATCACTAGTGAGGTCTAAAAGAAGACTGGACTTCCAGTGTGGTGATAGGAACATTGCTCTTTGAGTTCTTACTACAAATGAGGAACTTTGATTTGCCAGGAAACAAAGGGTTCAAAGAACCAATTGTGATATATTTTGGCTTAAATCCCCCCCACTGAAATATGACAGGAGTCAAATTGGGGTACCAGGTAAGTCTTGTGAAGGTGCTGCCTGGGGAGTACCCAGCTGTCTGGCACTTTCATAATATCTTTCTGAACCTCAGTTTCCTCATCTACAAAATGGGATTAGGACTTGTTGAGCATCAAGGTTCCTTCCGACTTGAAAAATCTTCTGATTCTATGACCAAACTGGAAGGCCTGGGTTGGGCTCTCTCAGTTCTGCAGATTTAAATGAGTCATTTCTGAACTGTTGGCTTAAGGCCTATCCTTTTCACTCAAATATTCCCTTGAGGCATCATTTTTTTTTTTTTTTCAAAATTGGGAAAGCGAAGGATACAAGAAGTTGGAAGGAAAGCCCATGAAAGAAAAAAACATTTACTATAATTAAGAAAGAAAATTAAACAGATGATGATCAGAACTGCGGTTATAAATTAAAGTTAACTGATTCCAAGAGTGTACGCCATCAGAATTCGCCCTCATAACTGGAAATTTAGAGGCAGGGCAAGCTTCAAGTTTGCCTAATTCAGCAGTTCCAATCCCATTTCCTTGGGATTCTCAGCTCTGCCTCATCTGTGTTCAGTTTAATTCTCAGGCTGGGGATAACATGGCTATTGCAATAATAGGGCCAAGCTTGACAACATCCAGAGGGAGAGACTCTCTTTTCCTATGGCTCTCTCTTAAAGGTGGAGAATTTTCCAGAAGCCCCAGCAAACTTCCCCATAAATCTTATTAAACCTAATTGGTCCATATGCCTATTCCTGAACCTCTCACTGGCAGGGGGATGAGATTATACTTAGACAATTTAGGCCTAACCTGGAAGTACAAAGACTGCAATGGGGAAGGGGTGAATATTTGAAAAAAATCAGGGTTTGTTGGAATGAAGTGAAGAATGGCTGCTGGGCAGACAGTCAGCGGTATCTTGTCAGAATCAGCTGTTGAAATGCAGTGGGGCGTATGACCATGCTCCCCATTTAACAGATGGAGTAGTTAGGCCCAAGGTCACACAGTTGGGTTAGAGCTAGGGACAAAGACCTTTCTACTCAAAACCCGAGGCTTCTCTATGTACATTTCAAAAGGCTTAAATTTTGGCTTATCTTTTTACCCAGAAAGTCTACTTCTGGGAATTATTATAAGGAAATAATGAATGGGAATAAAGAGTTAGAAACAATAATTTTTAACCCAGTATATTTTTGTGAAAAAAAAATGGGAATAATGTGAAAGTCTAATAGTATGCAGTTAGTGAAATCAATAATGATACATACATACAATGGAATACTATGCAGCCATTACAATTATACCACAGAAGAAAAGGCAATGGCCTGGAAAAATATATTGTTCATAATATATTGTTACATAAAAAGTAGGCTATAAAACTGTTGTTTAACAAAACAGATCTAGAAAGATTAAGAGATGTATACAGCAACATTTTACCTGTAGTTTCCTCTGCATGATGGAATTGTAGATGATTTTAATCTCTTAGTTTGTGCTTCTTTTTTCCAGATTTCTTTGGTTGAGGATATGTAACAAAGAATATCTTTGGTGAGAACATTGCAATCAGAAAAAAATGTCCGTGTAACCATTTTTTAAGATTAATTCTATTTTCACTAAGAACACTGATTTTCAGACATAGCTATAGGTATCACAGGGTTCTATATGGAATTTCTAGAAATACAGTGGGGAGTTCATGGCAACAGCCTTCTCAAGACCTGTCTTCCATGCCCACGAATTCCTAGGATAAGAAACAACACTCGGGAGGTTTCTAAAGTTCCCGACCTCAACTGCCCTCAGAGAGGGGTCATTATATCCAGGGCAATGTTAGTGAGCCACAGTATGTGCGTTGGGAACCATGTAGAGAACAGGAAACTACAGATGCTTTTTAAGACACTTATGAGAATTGTTCTTTCTAAAGTTTAAAGTGCCTGGCACATATTTGGTGCCTAATACTGGCTAAATAAGGAGATGTTGGCTGTGCGCAGTGGCTCACGCCTGTAATTCCAGGACTTTGGGAGGCCAAGGCGGGTGGATCACGAGGTCAGGAGGTTGAGACCATCCTGGCTAACACGGTGAAACCCCGTCTCTACTAAAAACACAAAAAAAATTAGCCGGGCGTGGTGGCGGGCGCTTGTAGTCCCAGCTACTCGGAAGGCTGAGGCAGGAGAATGGCGTGAACCCGGGAGGTGGAGCTTGCAGTGAGCCGAGATCGCGCCACTGCACTGCAGCCTGGGCGACAGAGTGAGACTCTGTCTCAAAAAAGAAAAAAAAAAAAGATAAAATTACCAGAAAATATTAAACAGGTAAGTATTTACCTGTTTAAAAGAAAAATTACTAGAAAATATTAAACAGTGAAATGACCAGTGTGTCCTCAGCACAACACCTTCTACAAATTATATTAGGAGTAGCAAACAAGGCAGTGGCTCACACCTGAAATCCCAACACTCTGTCTGGGAGGCCGAGGTGGGTGGATCACCTGAAGTCAGGAGTTCGAGACCAGCCTGGACAACATGGTGAAACCCCGTCTCTACTGAAACTACAAAAATAACCTGGACATGGTGGTGGGCACCTGTAATCCCAGCTACTCAGGAGGTGAGGCAGGAGAATCACTTGAACCCAGGAGGCGGAGGTTGCAGCGAGCCGAGATCGCGCCACTGCACTCCAGCGTGGGCGACAAGAGCAAAACTCTGTCTCAAAAAAAAAAAAAAAAAAAAAAAAAAAAAAGGAGTAGAAAACAGAATGACTCTCAGGGGCACTCCGCTTTTTCTGGAGTTGTTCCTGGGTCTCCTGACCACCCAAGTCTGACTGAGT
Organism: Homo sapiens; assembly: GCF_000001405.40. Taxonomy (NCBI): domain Eukaryota; kingdom Metazoa; phylum Chordata; class Mammalia; order Primates; family Hominidae; genus Homo; species Homo sapiens. The sequence continues at coordinate 38,119,534 of NC_000002.12, forward strand.
TCTCCCACATTTATCCCAGCTGTCACGGATGAGAGGCACTTTCTCTTCTGCTGACCTTCTGGCTCCTGGTGATACTGTCTACAGCACAGATGGAAAGTACCCAGGAAACAGCATAACAACAACAACAAAAAATCACATTTTTTAGCTTCAAAGCAAACACCAAAGTTAAAAGCCCAACGCCTGAAGGAATTTAAGGACCAAAGTTATTTAGGGCAGAAGCTAAAAGGAGGTGGCCTACCCCCTACCCACGGACCCCAGGCTTCAAATAGGTGAAGGTTGGAGGCTGCCAGGCCCTGAGCAAGCATCATCAAAGAAGAGCACATCCAAGAGTACCCCAGTGCTCACTCTGCTTTGAAGACAAACAGCCCTCCTAATTAGAAACAGCTTCATTCACATGCCAGATGTCCATGCTTCCCTTCCAATTATTTTCAGAAACATCATAAAGAACCATTAGCGGCAGTGCAAAATATCCTGGGTTGTTTTTTAAAAGAATTTGTCCATTCTTATGAGTTCAGTTTGATATGAAGAAGATTGCAATCCGCCTATTCCTAAGAGGTTTTTGGAGCAGGAGAGGGACTCAAGATAAGGATGTGTAAGGATTTGATCACCAGAAATACTACCACATATTTGGTTTAAGCATAAAGAACAAGCATCTTACAAAAATGTTAGCCAAATGTCTCTTTACATCACACACACACACACACACACACACACACACACACACACGATTAGTACACCCTGAGCATTTATCTAAGAATAACATGAACAATCAAAAGTTTTTGGAAGCAGAGGATCTAGATCATGAGTTATAGTTCTGAATTCTGTGTTGGTCAGACTACTTCGAAATACATTGTCCACTTCAGGAAACCACATCTGGAAAGGGACATTGACCAATTCAAGAAACCCCAGAAAGTGGGAAGAGCACAACCATGGTGGACCATAGACTTCTTTAGGGCAGGGTCTGTGCCATGCCTTTGCTCACCCCCACTGCCCTGGCACAGTGCTTTATACATAGACCATGCCGTAAGATATTTGTTGAATAAATGAGTAAATAATTCATATGTCATGCATAATTGTTGAAGGAAGTACAGTTGGTTAACTCAGAGAATAAAAGGTACAGAGGACATGACAGCTCATGTCACATACCTAAAGGGGTACCACAGAGAATAGGGAAAAGATGTATTCTCTCTTGGTCTTTGGATCAGAATGAAGACTATTTAGTGAAAGCTACAGGAAAGCAGCTTTGACCCAGGATTATTATTATTTTGTGTATCCACCATAAATAACTGTGTGAGGCTCGGGTACATTCTCACACTCAAACTTTAATTTGAGCATTAGAGGGATATAGAAAGAAATTTGGGCTTGTGGCCAGATTAATAACTTGTTCAAGAAATCTTTACTGAGATAGTGCCAGAGGATGCTGAGAAGCAGGGTGAATAAGTAACCAAAAAGGCAGGGTTTCTTCCTTTTTGAAGCTTCCGGTCTATTCAGGAATGCAGACAAGTCAGCAGGTAATCACGGTGTGCACAGGTGAGATGGACTGTGATAAGGGAAGTTCGGGCGCCTCCTGCAGTGGGTGCTCCAGCATCCCAGGGGGCTTAGATGAAGCAAAAATGGGGGATGTGATAGGGGTGGAGGATGATCCAGCATGCATATGAGCTCTAAGGCAGGACAGAGTGGCACTTTGGAGAACCCTCCACCGTCCTTAAACCAGCCCCACTTCCCACTTCCAGTTCTACCCACTCTTGGCTTAGGAAATTTTCTCCTCTTTTTGCCCTGAAAATTAGCCTTGGTGGCTGAGTTTTGCTTTTCAGGTTCTCATTGCTAGTGCTTATTTTGACGCTTAGTGACCATCTCATTCCTACTATTGGCCCGCAGTAGGGAATCAGACCTTTAGTAGACACGGAGCTCTTCAAATACAGAGTGAACTTGGGGCATCTGATCATGTGGGTCAAGATGAACACTACAGAATACAACTGAGAGCCACATGTGAGTGAAGCTGTACTCGAGCTGACAATACTGACATTCAAAAAGCAACAGGATGATGAGAATGTTCTGGAATTAGAGGGTAGTGATAGTTACACAACCTTGTGAATATACTACTGCACACCTTAACATGGTGAATTTTATGGTACGTAAATTACATCTCAATAACATTTAAAAAAAAAAAAAAAAGCAGCAGCAGATGGCTGCTGGAGGAGGCTGAGCTTAAATACCCCTGGTTACACTTCCTCCTTTCCTTGTATTTACTGGAAGGAGAAGGATTTGTCCTAAGATGAATAGTTTTTTCATCTTCAGAAATTCCTGACAAGCTACTACCCTGTCAAGGCATGAAAAATTTCATTAGTGCTGACTTGGTACACAGTCTATTAATTAGTACCTAAATAATTGCATGTTGCCTCTGTGTCATGATTTATAATTGTATGCATGCTTTGATCTTTCTCATCACAGGCAGCACTGAGAAGTGAAGGAATATTTGGGAGGATCAGAAGCTTGGTCCTGATTTTGCCATCAACAGGAACTTGATGACTTCAAGGGAGTCCCCAAACCCTGGGTTTCTGTTTTCTCAACTCTAACATGAGGGGCTAGATGCATCTGGTTTAGTTAGTCTCCATGATGGTTTAGTTCGTCTCCATGATCCTGTGAATTTCAGATGTTGAAAATCTTCGGAAAAGCCCTGAAAGATGAACAGGTAGGAGTTATTGTCTATATTTTACCCATGAGGAAACTAAGGACCTGGGAATCTAGAGGGCTCATTAGCTTTTGAACCAGTACTAGCAATGAGTTCATCTGAATTCTGGTCCCAAACTCCTAGCATGAGAGAAATGTGGACCTTTCATTCCAGGAGTTTAGCATGTAGGAGGTATTCAGCTGGTGAGGGATTAAGGCAAGATTACAGGTTCTTGAGAAACATAAGCGACAGAGACAAGAACATCAGAAAGGGCCGCTGTGACTCGGGTCGTGGCTGCCGATGGAGCTCGTAAGTCAGGAGAGGTTGTTTGCTGAGAAGCTTGCATTCCCTAGAGCCCAAGTGGGTGTTGCCAGGAAACCCTGAGTTTTCCAACTTGGCAATCAGTGCACAGCTGAGTTTTTATAGGAAATTGCCCAGCTCTTTGGAAATTGTATGTGGTATAAATATGGTTTTGAAATTCTATATATTAGCTTAGCAAAAGGCGGAAATATTTTGAAACCCATGGATTTGGGAGATCTGCCGGCATTGCTATTAAAATTACTTTCAGCAGAATTGTACAATATGACATTATATTGCTCAAAATGACTCAATTTTCTAATCTTTGAGACTTCTTAAAAAGAAATGAACCCCAAGTAGAGTAAAGGTGGACTGCAAAAAACAGCTTAGTCTGAATGAAAAAAATTCATCCTTGGCTCTGCATCTAAGAAACTGGCTGTGTGTCCTCAGACAATTCACTTAATGTCTCAGATCCTCAACGTCTTCAACTGCAAATAAAGGGGTTAGAGGAGATCATCTTTAAAGCCCAACTCAGCTCTAACATACTATGATTGGATACCATACACTTGTCCACATTCTTTTCTCTAGCACTTGGGGATTTCTGCTCTTCCAGCCTTTACAAATACAACCTTTCACTGTCACACTCATTCTTCCTTGTCCTTAAAACAGAAAGCCCAGGCATAGTCTGATGCCACTTCTGAGGGCTATAGCAGGTGGCATCTAGTGTCTCTATAGTAACTATTTACACTCCTAGGGAAAATTATCTCACAGAAGCATAGAGAGCCTGACCTTGTCTATAAAGACAGTAAGGTACAATGATTAAAAGAATAGGCTCTAAAGTCAGGCAGACCTGGGTAAATCTGCCACCTACTAGAGAGCTTGGGCAAGCAAGTTCACCATGCCTGGTACCTAGTGAGTGCTGTGGGCCTCTATTCTGGAGGGACAGCAGGGCCTTACGAAACCAGCATGAGATTGTAAATGCCTTGCAGGCTGGATTTTCAAGAGGAAATGCTACCCCCTTTTTCTCCAACATCTCTGGCAAAATTGCTAACCCAAAGGTACTAGGCCCAGCTAGTTATGAAGGGGATGGAAGTGATCTCTATCCAAGGGAAGAACATTTGAATTGATGTTTAAAGGAGTTGTTTAGATTCTTATGAAGGAATAGAGGAAGAGTAGAGGCAAAGACAGAGAAGGGGATGGATGAGAATAAAGAACAAGAAAAGAAGCAGTAGGAGACAAATGAGAAGGTTAAAGCTGATAATTTTTACTTTTATGATAAAAGGAATTTCTAAGCAAATTCTAACCATTTTATCAAGAAGAAACAAATTCACTAACTTATATTTCTGCTTAAAGAAATGCATGGGCATTTTCTTCGCATGTGCAGTTTGTTTAAAAATTAGGCATTGAATGCTTTTTAAAAAATATCTAGATCTATTCTGGACATGCACATTCCAATTGATAGATAGATCAAAATGTCTGATTTTCTTACTGGTAACTTGGCACCAGTTGCCAGTGGCTTCATATGAACCTATCAGCTGCTGTGGGATGGCAGAGCAGTTAAGAGTCCAAGACTAGTCCACGCAGGCCTGCAGCTCCCACATTCTGATGCATCAAAGCCACAGCAAGTTCCTAAAACATAGGCTCTGGATCCAGATGCTTTTGGTTCAAATTTTCACTTCATTATTTCTCAGATGTGTGACTTATGGCAATTACTTACTTCTCTAAGGCTCACTTTCCACATCTGTAAAATAGGGCTAATGATAGTATTTGCTTCATAAGATTGGGGATTGAATGGGATAATGCACTTAGCTCAATACTCACCCATAAACTTTTTTTTTTTTTTTTTTTTTTTTTTTGAGACAGAGTCTTGCTCTGTTGCCCAGGCTGGAGTGCAGTCGTGCGATCTTGGCTCACTGAAATCTCCACCTCCCAGGTTCAAGCAATTCTCCTGCCTCGGCCTCCCATGTAGCTGGGATTTCAGGCACACACCAACACCCCCGACTAATTTTTTTGAATTTTTAGTAGAGACAGGATTTTACCATGTTAGTCAGGCTGGTCTCAAACTCCTGGCCTCAAGTAATCCGCCCACCTTGGCCTCCCAAAGGGCTGGGATTACAGGCGTGAGCCACCACTCCCAGCCAACAATATTCAATTACATACTCAATTACTATGTTCTTTTTCTGGTAACTAGAATGTAGGATCTTATGATTGGCCCCAAGTTCAAAGATATGGGCAAGTAAGTATAATATAAGAGTGTAGATACAGATTTTGTAGGATATATGCCATGGCCTCTGTCCCATATCAGTTTAATACCTATTTTCCAATGTAATGCCCTGAAATCCCAGAAGAGGAAAAAAGAATTTTTTTCTAACAATTAGAAACATGATAAAAAAAACTATCAAAGGTATATTCATTCAGCCATGCAAATTGTAAAACCATAGCAATCATTCTATTTGTTTGGTCACAGTTTAAAAAAGGAAATTTGCTATAAGAAAAATAAATACAAACAAACACAAAAAGAGTTGAATGCCACCTGCAGAAGAAGCACCAATCCAACTATTTTACCCTGCCCACATTCACCATGTTTCTCACAATTGCCTATAAAAAGTAGTCACCATTTATTGTACCAGGCAGTGAGCTAAGTGCTTTATGGACCCTGTCTCGTTTAACTGTCCCCAGAGTCCTATGAGTAGGTATGTTAGTGCCATGCCCATATCACGGATAAGGAGATATGCCAGGTCAGAGAGGCGAGTTGGGATTCACACGCAGCAGACTTGCTCCAGGGCCTGTGTTCTCAACACTGCATGGTGCCGCTTCTGATCTGGATTGTTAAATCTCAGCACCCAGCACTCCTGGCTTGGGTAGAAGGGAATGGGCCCAGAGGTGCTGAGAATGGATCTCATGTACACCTAGGGTCGAAGTTGGAACAGAGAGTATGTGGAGAGCCTGGGCTAAGACTGAAGCCGCCATGATGAAAACCAAACTCAAGCAGTCTTGTTTTTTAAAACCAATGGGAGTAGTAAAGTATAAATGTAAATCTCAGTTATCTTATCATGCCACCCTATAGGTGTTTCCAGTAGTTACTTTAGAGCTATCAAAGATACATCTGAAATAACGGTACTGTGTATATACTTGAGTCCTCTTCCCCAGCTTGACACTCCTAGGAGTCAGGTGTTCTCTGGGCCAGATCATTTGCCCACAAACATAGCAATATGCCTAGCCTTCTCATTATATAAGGTCCCCCATTATATGGGGGACCTTATATAATTTCATCATATGGATGAAAAATGGGATTATTTTATTATTTGACTCTTCTCTCTAGGATTCAAAGTGCTTTTATTTATAGATTTTCATGATTTAACCAATTCACCCAAGAAGTAGGAAGAGGGCAGCTTTATTATTTTCAAATTGTGGACTGAGAAACTGAGATATGCAGAAAGAAATAAAGCTGCTCTGCAATTTGGAAAACCATCTGTGATGCTATAAAAACGTCTCACTGTACTCTCAACCACATAAATCACTATTTTTATTGCCTTCTCTCTGGATGAGATGTGGCTTAATTTGAGAGAGCTGTTTATCATTTGGCAAGCTGAAAGAACCTAATTTCAAGTCTCCATTCTAGTGGGTGGTAAGAATAAAGGGAATTTGCTTTAAGGGAAGAGGAAATGATAAGAATGGGAAGGAAACGGTTAGACCTAAAAAAAATCGATTTTGAAACCCTTTGGATTATCATGGATTTAATTTGCCAAGCATGGGTGAGGGGTCACATGGAATGGGTTTGAATTCTAAGCCACCATTATGACCACTCACTTAATGTTTCTTCCTACCACTCCCATTCTACAGTGAGCCCATGATTAAGATAACAACAGCTTAAATGAGTTAGTGCATAGTATGGTTTGGCTCTGGGTCCCCACCCAAATCCCGTGTTAAATTGTAATCTTGAGTGTTGGACGTGGGGCTTGGTGAGAGGTGATTTGATCATGAGGGTGATTTCTAATGGTTTAGCACCATCCCCACAGTGCTGCCTTATGATAGAGTTCTCAGGCGATCTGGTTGTTTGAAAGCATGTAGCACTTCCGCTGCCCTTCTCCTGCTGGCCATGTGAAGGTGTGCCTGTTTCTCCTTTACCTTCTGCCATGATTGTAAGTTTCCTGAGGCCTCCCCAAAAGCAGAAGCCTTTACAGCCCACAGAACTGTGAGCTGATTAAACATCTTTCTTTATAAATTACCCAGTCTCAGGTAGTTTTTATAGCAATGCAAGAACAGACTAATGAAGAAAATTGGTACCAGAGAAGTGAGGCATTACTACAAAGATACCTGAAAATGTGGAAGCAGCTTTGGAACTGGATAATGGGCAGAGGGTGGAACAGTTTGGAAAGCTCAGAAGAAGACAGGAAGATGAGGAAATGTTTGGAATTTCCTAGAGACTTGTTTAATGGTTTTGACCAAAATGCTCATAGTGATATGGGCAGAGATGGCCAGGCTGATGAGGTCTCAGATGGAGATGAGGAACTTATTGAGAACTGGAGTAAAGGTCACTCTTGCTATGCTTTAGCAAAGAGACTGGTGGCATTGTGCTCCTGCTCTAGGGATCTGTTGAACTTTGACCTTGAGAGATGATTTAGGGTATCTGGCAGAAGAAATTTCTAAGCATCAAAGTGCTCAAGATGTGGCCTGGCTGCTTCCAAAAGCCTAACTCATCTGCATAAACAAAGAAATGACCTGAAAAGGGAGGCAAAGCATAAAAGATAGATAGGAAAATTTGCAGCCTAGCCATGTGGTAGAAAAGAAAAACCCATTTTCTGGGGAGAAATTCAAGCCCAATACAGAAATTTGCATAAGTAAAGAGGAGCCAAATATTAGCAGTCAAGACAATGGGGAAAATGCCTATGAGGCATTCCAGAGACCTTTGGGGCAGCCCCTCCCATCACAGGCCTGGAGGCCTAGGAGGGAAAAATGGTTTCATGGGGCCAGGCCCAGGGCCCTGCTGCTTTGTGCAGCCTTGGGGCATGGCACCCTGCATCCCACTTGCTCCAGCTACAGCTGTGGCCAAAAGGGCCCCAGATACTTCTCAGACTGCTGCTCCAGAGAGTGCAAGCCACAAGCCTTGGTGGCTTCCATGTGGTGTTAAGCCTGCAAGTACAAAGAGGATGAGAGTTGAGGCTTGGGAACCTCCACCTAGATTTCAGAGGATGTATGGAAAGGCCTGGATGTCCAGGCGGGAGTCTCCTGCAGGGGCAGAGCCTTCATGGAGAATATCTAGTAGGGCAGTGCAAAGGGGAAATGTGGGGTTGGAGCCCCCACACAGAGTCCCCACTGGGGCACTGCCTAGTGGAGCTCTGAAAAGAAGGTCATCCTCCTCCAGACCCCAGCTTGCACTGTGTACCTGGAAAATCCACAGGCACTCACATCAGTCCATGAAAGCAGCCACAGGGGATGTACCCTGCAGAGCTGCCCAAGGCCTTGGAAGCCCACCCCCTCCATCAGCATGGCCTGGATGTGAGACACAGAGTCAAGATTATTTTGGAGCTTTAAGATTTAATGACCGTCCTGCTGGGTTTCGGACTTGCATGGGGCCTGTAGCCCCTGTGTTGTGGCTGAGTTCTCCTTTCTGGAAATGGAGTATTTACCCAATGCCTGTACTCCCATTGTATCTTGGAAGTAGCTAACTTGTTTTTGATTTTACAGGCTCATAGGTGGAAGGGACTTGCCTTGTCTCCGATTAGACTTTGGACTTGGACTTTTGAGTTAATTCTGGAATGAGTTAAGACTTTGGGGGACTGTTGAGAAGGGATGGTTATATTTTACAATGTGAGAGGATATGAGATTTGGGAGGGGCCAAGGGTGGAATGGTATGGTGGGGCTTTGTGTCCCTACCCAAATCTCATGTTGAACTGTGATCCCGAGTGCTGGAGGGAGGGTTTGGTGGGAGGTGATTGGATCACAGGGGTGGTTTTTAATGGTTTAGCGCCATTCCCCCAATTTCTTAGGAAATCTGCTTGTTTGAAAGTGTGTAGCATCTCCTTTGCCCCTCTCCTGCTGCTAATGGCCTGTTTCCCCTTCACCTTGTGCCACGATTGTAAGTTTCCTGAGGCCTCCCCCAGAAGCAGAAGCCTGTACAGCCCACAGGAACCATGAGCTGACTAACCATCTTTTCTTTATAAATTACCCAGTTCTTTATGGCAACGTAAGAATGGACCAATAGAGCACATCACTAGGGTAGCACAAAGGAGAGGGCCCAGAAGCAGAGGAGAGATAAACAGCTCATTTTTTTCATCTTTCTCAATGTTTCTTGCTCACTCTCTGTTGTTTGCATCCATTTTTCATTTCATCCCATTTCCTCTTTTTTCCCTTTCATTTCCTCATTTTGGGACAGCAAGAGGTCATGTTCTTGCTGCCAACAGTTACGACATTTTCAGTAGTCATGACAGCCACAAAGCCAGGGCTGGACTTGTCCAGAAGTCTGATCTGCAGCAGGAGGGAGTCTGTAGTGTGCAGGGGCTCTCCAGCTGTCACTTAGATCCCAAGCTGCCCCTTCACTTTTAATTTTGCTGATGGTGGCTTTTGTCAAAGGCAATTTAAAATTTAGGGCTAGGTAGTCTAATCTGTCAATCTTTTCTTTTCTTTGTGGTTTCCAGGTTTGTGTCTTACTTAGGAGGGCCTTCCCAATGCTAAAATTATATATATAAACAGATATACCACAATTGCCTAAACAGAAATTTGGGCAAGCTGGCACATTTGAAACAGGGCTGTCTCCTAAAATTTGGAACGTGTGGATAGCGTGCATATGCTTGGACTCTAGGACTTACTTTCTCTGGAAAAATCCGTCTAGCTTCCTCACTCACTGCCTCTGCCTCCCAGCTCCAGCCTAGCCATTTCATCTTATGGTGGGGGAGCACTCAGTTGCTAGGGCCAGAAACCCACTCAGAGTAACTTAAGTAAATGGGGATTACTTGCACAGTGATAACGGAATACTGTGAAACCCAGTTTGAAGAATTGCACCTGGATCACTGAAGGGCTAGAGTCTGGAGCTGCCCTTCCTCCTCCCTTTCTCTCAGTTATCTTTGTCTCTGCTCCATCCTCCCCCTTCGTCAAGCATACTCTGTTACCACATGACCTTAAATGACTGTCTAACTCAGTCCTTGAGCCCACAGAATCTTGTGAGTCTAGCACTCACAGATAAAAAAACACCCTCAGGCTTTCTGTGTCCCAACTCCAAGTTCTAGATAAAGATGTCTGATTGGTTAAAGTGGGTCATGTTTAAAGTGGGTCTACTCCCAATTCAGTTATTGGTGGCCAGGGCCATGAGCCACATGGTTGCCCCTTGGGGCAGTGGGCAAGGTAAAGTTCACAAGATGTGGTGGGGAGGAAATGACCACTGTAACTCTGTGGTCCAGTTCCCACACCCATATTGTGATTTTTGCTCCCCTTCAAGTTTGCCCTTGATGTTGTCTGTAACTGAATTCTGTTTTCTCCCATGGTTAGATTTATACCAGATCCAGGACCTTTTAGGGAGGGCTGTGGTCCTGTCCCCTTGGGGAGGCTCTGATCTAAGACTGCTCCCTCATGGAAATTAAGGAGAAGGGGAAAGCCTAGGCTACAGATGGAGAAGGATGAGTCATTCCAGCAGCCATGGCCAAGGGAACTCCTGGAGACGTAGGGACTGTTTATGTGGCCACTCACCATCATGCAGGCCCCCAATGGGGGTGAGGCAAGGAAGGACATAGAAAGACTGCTCAAGTGCATTTCTGGTTTTGCTTCCTACCGCAAACGACTCTTGTCATATGACTGGGGGAGTGTGGTGGTGGCAATAAGCAGAAAAATTTGAGTCTAAGAGTTGCTTTCTGAATTCTATTAGGGTCAATGTAGTCTAAAGAAGTTGACTTTTGAGGAAATAAATCTTTTCTGTTTTCTGCAGCCAGACTAAGGATTTAGTGGTGAATGGTAGGTGGGAACATAGTGGGACTCTGACTGCTCATACGGCCTCTGTGAGGCTCAATTCTTTTATCTCTAAAAGAGAGAACTGTCTACCTGGTAAGAGAAGATCTTTTGGGAGCCCACTAAACTCTAACATAATGTTATTATACAGTAAGTTCTCACTTAATGTCATCGACAGTTTCTTGGAAACTATAGCTTTAAGCAAAATGACATGTAACAAAAGCGTTTTTTTCTCATCAACGTTATAACAAAACGTTAAAGGAAGTGACATTATTTATGAACCTGCTGCATGTTGTTTTGCTTAAAGTTACAGATTCCAAGAACCTATCGATGACATTAAGTGAGGACTTACTGTACTAGTATCATTTATAACTTATAAAAATGACTTAATTAATATACCACAAAATATGCAGCTTTCATGTTAGAGACCAGATAAATATGAATATTTTGTTAAAATGTCTCTCTTCTCTACTTTACCAGTCTTCACCAACCTCCTCCCTCCAGAATATTCCTCAAGAATATAAAATGCCTCATCAACATGAGACAACAGCAGGAAGCACCCATTCGTAGTAATCCTCTGTATGGAGGAGGCTGTTACATAACCACAAAGGCACAAAGCTGCAGTTTTGAGAACATCTTCCCACGCCAGTTCTAAGCATTGACTTCAACTATGGTTGCTAACACAAGAATCGGCACTGGTGACTTTTGAGCCATCAATCATCCTTTCCTAACACATGAATCTTTTGGAAAAGTATGTGAGATTGGAGATTACCTGTGATGGTTTGGATTTAGATTTTGCCTCCAGGTTTAGGCAATGGTAAATAGGCAGGAGTTTAATAGGAACTAAGGTTATTTGATAATTCCTGGGCCACTGCAAATAGAAAGTGTTGGCAATTTTGTCTTTTGGGCTGCCTCTGATTGAAGGCACAGGCCTGTTTCATGAAGTTCTGAAACATGAACCGGCTGTATCTGCGTCAAAGTCAGTGGTAACCAGGTTAATAGCACTGACAACCATGTTCTTTTTACAGGAAACACAAACGTGAATCACTTGTTCTTACTTTTCTTTTACAGTGGTCTCAAATAGTCAAGACCCCCTGCTGGGAGGAGCTTCTATCCTGCTCTGTGGAAGAAATGGGCATGCCAGATGCCTGGAAGATCAGAGGCTCACATTCCAGGTGGGTCACCCTGGTTCTTCTCATCAGAATCAACTAGAGAGATGGGCTCCCTCTCCATCCCTACCCACGGGCATTGGTCAGGCTGAAAGCAAAGAAAGACAATCCATTGCCCCCAGGAGAACTGGTCTTACTCTAAATCAGTGGCCTGCAAACTGTTTATGTGGATGTCCGGATAGTACATTTTTTGCCTGTGTGGGCCTTCCAGTCTGTCTTAGTTACTCAACTCTGTGATTTTTGAGCAACCATTAGACAGTATGTAAATGAATGAGCATGGCCCCATCTGGCCCTCCACCCACAGGCCATAGTTTGCTGACTCCTGCAAGAGTAAAACCCTTTATGAACTAGAGAGTTCCAGGCTTGAACATGGGTCCAGAAAATATGGGAAGGCAAACCTCACACATTTGTGGTTGTGTGCCTCCTAAGTGCTTTGTGTCACTGTTGGCTTCCAATTCCTAGGAAGGGCCTTGGGCACCAACCGTATGTTGACCCAGGGAGAAAAGGACTTTTGGGAGTGAGAGTCAGAGAATGGGTACCACGTACCCTTCAGATCCCTCAGCTTTCAGATTGACACAGCAACAGATCATAGTCTCCTAAATTCTCTGGCTTAAAGCATGGAGCCACACTTATCCTGCCAGGCTGGGTCCCCAGTTCTTAGATGAGGCTAGCAGTAGCCATGAGGAGTGGGCATGTGGCTAGTACAAGAGAAGGAATGCTAGGTGGCACTTGGTCAGCAACTTTCCAATATCATGTTTCTTAATTGTATCACCAAATGTGTATTATCGTCCTGTCTTTTTTTTTTTTTAATTATTATACTTTAAGTTTTAGGGTACATGTGCACAACATGCAGGTTTGTTACATATATACACATGTGCCATGTTGGTGTGCTGTACCCATTAACTCGTCACTTAGCATTAGGTATATATCCTAATGCTATCCCTCCCCCCTCCCCACACCCCACAACAGTCCCCGGTGTGTGATGTTCCCCTTCCTGTGTCCATGTGTTCTCATTGTTCAATTCCCACCTATGAGTGAGAACATGGGGTGTTCGGTTTTCTGTCCTTGCAATAGTTTGCTGAGAATGATGGTTTCCAGTTTCATCCATGTCCCTACAAAGGACATGAACTCATTATTTTTTAGGGCTGCATAGTATTCCATGGTGTATATGTGCCACATTTTCTTAATCCAGTCTATCATTGTTGGACATTTAGGTTGGTTCTAAGTCTTTGCTATTGTGAATAGTGCCACTATAAACATACGTGTGCATGTGTCTTTAAAGCAGCATGACTTATAATCTTTGGCTATATACCCAGTAATGGGTCAAATGGCTGGGTCAAATGGTATTTCTAGTTCTAGATCCCTTAGGAATCGCCACACTGACTTGCACAATGGTTGAACTAGTTTACAGTCCCACCAACAGTGTAAAAGTGTTCCTATTTCTCCACATCCTCTCCAGCACCTGTTGTTTCCTGACTTTTTAATGATTGCCATTCTAACTGGTGTGAGATGGTGTCTCATTGTGGTTTTGATTTGCATTTCTCTGATGGCCAGTGATGATGAGCATTTTTTCATGTGTCTTTTGGCTGCATAAATGTCTTCTTTTGAGAAGTGTCTGTTCATATCCTGTGCCCACTTTTTGATGGGGTTGTTTGTTTTTTTCTTATAAATTTGTTTGAGTTCATTGTAGATTCTGGAGGTTAGCCCTTTGTCAGATGAGTAGGTTGCGAAAATTTTCTCCCATTCTGTAGGTTGCTTGTTCACTCTGATGGTAGTTTCTTTTGCTGTGCAGAAGCTCTTTAGTTTCATTAGATCCCATTTGTGAATTTTGGCTTTTGTTGTCATTGCTTTTGGTGTTTTAGACATGAAGTCCTTGCCCATGCCTATGTCCTGAATGGTATTGCCTAGGTTTTCTTCTAGGGTTTTTATGGTTTTAGGTCTAACATTTAAGTCTTTAATCCATCTTGAATTAATTTTTGTATAAGGTGTAAGGAAGGGATCCAGTTTCAGCTTTCTACATATGGCTAGCCAGTTTTCCCAGCACCATTTATTAAGTAGGGGATCATTTCCCCATTTCTTGTTTTTGTCAGGTTTGTCAAAGATCAGATGGTTGTAGATATGCAGCATTATTTCTGAGGGCTCTGTTCTGTTCCATTGATCTATATCTCTGGTTTGGTACCAGTACCATGCTGTTTTGGTGACTGTAGCCTTGTAGTATAGTTTGAAGTCAGGTAGCGTGATGCCTCCAGCTTTGTTCTTTTGGCTTAGGATTGACTTGGCAATGCGGGCTCTTTTTTGGTTCCATATGAACTTTAAAGTAGTTTTTTCCAGTTCTGTGAAGAAAGTCATTGGTAGCTTGATGGGGATGGCATTGAATCTGTAAATTACTTTGGGCAGTATGGCCATTTTCACGATATTGATTCTTCCTACCCATGAGCATGGAATGTTCTTCCATTTGTTTGTATCCTCTTTTATTTCATTGAGCAGTGGTTTGTAGTTCTCCTTGAAGAGATCCTTCACATCCCTTGTAAGTTGGATTCCTAGGTATTTTATTCTCTTTGAAGCAATTGTGAATGGGAGTTCACTCATGATTTGGCTCTCTGTTTGTTTGTCTGTTATTCGTGTATAAGAATGCTTGTGATTTTTGTACATTGATTTTGTATCCTGAGACTTTGCTGAAGTTGCTTATCAGCTTGAGGAGATTTTGGGCTGAGACAATGGGGTTTTCTAGATATACAATCATGTCATCTGCAAACAGGGACAATTTGACTTCCTCTTTTCCTAATTGAATACCCTTTATTTCCTTCTCCTGCCTAATTTCCCTGGCCAGAACTTCCAACACTATGTTGAATAGGAGTGGTGAGAGAGGGCATCCCTGTCTTGTGCCCCTTTTCAAAGGGAATGCTTCCAGTTTTTGCCCATTCAGTATGATATTGGCTGTGGGTTTGTCATAGATAGCTCTTATTATTTTGAGATACATCCCATCAATACCTAATTTATTGGGAGTTTTTAGCATGAAGGGTTGTTGAATTTTGTCAAAGGTCTTTTCTGCATCTATTGAGATAATCATGTGGTTTTTGTCTTTGGTTCTGTTTATATGTTGAATTACATTTATTGATTTGCATATGTTGAACCAGCCTTGCATCCCAGGGATGAAGCCCACTTGATCATGGTAGATAAGCTTTTTGATGTGCTGCTGGATTAGGTTTGCCAGTATTTTATTGAGGATTTTTGCTTCAGTGTTCATCAAGGATATTGGTCTAAAGTTCTCTTTTTTTGTTGTATCTCTGCCAGGCTTTGGTATGAGGATGATGCTGGCCTCATAAAATGAGTTAGGGAGGATTCCTTCTTTTTCTATTGATTGGAATAGTTTTAGAAGGAATGGTACCAGCTCCTCTTTGTAACTCTGGTAGAATTCGACTGTGAATCCATCTGGTCCTGGACTTTTTTTGGTTGGTAAGCTATTGATTATTGCCTCAATTTCAGAGCCTGTTATTGGTCTATTCAGAGATTCAACTTCTTCCTGGTTTAGTCTTGGGAGGATGGATGTGTTTGAGGAATTTATCCATTTCTTCTAGATTTTCTAGTTTATTTGCGTAGAGGTGTTTATAGTATTCTCTGATGGTAGTTTGTATTTCTGTGGGATCGGTGGTGATATCTCCTTTATCATTTTTTATTGCATCTATGCAGTTCTTCTCTCTTTTCTTCTTTATTAGTCTTGCTAGCGGTCTATCAATTTTGTTGATCTTTTCAAAAAGCCAGCTCCTGGATTCATTAATTTTTTGAAGGATTTTTTGTGTCTCTATTTCCTTCAGTTCTGCTCTGATCTTAGTTATTTCTTGCCTTCTGCTAGCTTTTGAATGTGTTTGCTCTTGCTTCTCTAGTTCTTTTAATTGTGATGTTAGGGTGTCAATTTTAGATCTTTCCTGCTTTCTCTTGTGGGCATTTAGTGCTATAAATTTCCCTCTACACACTGCTTTGAATGTGTCCCAGAGACTCTGGTATGTTGTGTCTTTGTTCTCTTTGGTTTCAAAGCACATCTTTATTTCTGCCTTCATTTCATTATTTGCCCAGTAGTCATTCAGGAGCAAGTTGTTCAGTTTCCATGTAGTTGAGGGGTTTTGAGTGAGTTTCTTAATCCTGAGTTCTAATTTGATTGCACTGTGGTCTGAGAGACAGTTAGTTATAATTTCTGTTCTTTTACATTTGCTGAGGAGTGCTTTACTTCCAACTATGTGGTCAATTTTGGAGTAGGTGTGGTGTGGTACTGAAAAGAATGTATATTCTGTTGATTTGGGGTGGAGAGTTCTGTAGATGTCTATTCGGTCTGTTTGGTGCAGAGCTGAGTTCAATTCCTGAGTATCCTTGTTAACTTTCTGTCTCGTTGATCTGTCTAATGTTGACAGTGGGGTGTTAAAGTCTCCCATTATTATTGTTTGGGAGTCTAAGTCTTTTTGTAAGTCACTAAGGACTTGCTTTATGAATCTGGGTGCTCCTGTATTGGGTGCATATATATTTAGGATAGTTTGCTCTCCTTGTTGAATTGATCCCTTTACCATTATGTAATGGCCTTCTTTGTCTCTTTTGATCTTTGTTGGTTTAAAGTCTGTTTTCTCAGAGGCTAGGATTGCAACCCCTGCCTTTTTTTGTTTTCCATTTGCTTGGTAGATCTTCCTCCATCCCTTTATTTTGAGCCTATGTGTGTCTCTGCACGTGAGATGGATTTCCTGAATACAGCAGACTGATGGGTCTTGACTCTTTATCCAATTGGCCAGTCTGTGTCTTTTAATTGGAGCATTTAGCCCATTTACATTTAAAGTTAATATTGTTATGTGTGAATTTGATCCTGTCATTATGATGTTAGCTGGTTATTTTGCTCGTACAGTTTTTTCCTAGCCTTGATGGTCTTTACAATTTGGCATGTTTTTGCAGTGGCTGGTACCGGTTGTTCCTTTCCATGTTTAGTGCTTCCTTCAGGAGCTCTTTTAGGGCAGGTCTGGTGGTGACAAAATCTCTCAGCATTTGCCTGTCTGTAAAGTATTTTATTTCTCCTTCACTTATGAAGCTTAGTTTGGCTGGATATGAGATTCTGGGTTGAACATTCTTTTCTTTAAGAATGTTGAATATTGGTCCCCACTCTCTTCTGGCCTGTAGAGTTTCTGCTGAGAGATCAGCTGTTAGTCTGATGGGCTTCCCGAGAGATCAGCTGTTAGTCTGATGGGCTTCCCTTGTGGGTAACCCGTCCTTTCTCTCTGGCTGCCCTTAACATTTTTTCCTTCATTTCAACTTTGGTGAATCTGACAATTATGTGTCTTGGAGTTGCTCTTCTGGAGGATTTTCTTTGTGGCATTCTCTGTATTTCCTGAATTTGAATGTTGGCCTGCCTTGCTAGATTGGGGAAGTTCTCCTGGATAATATCCTGCAGAGTGTTTTCCAACTTGGTTCCATTCTCCCCGTCACGTCACTTTCAGGTACACCAATCAGATGTAGATTTGGTCTTTTCACATAGTCCCATGTTTCTTGGAGGCTTGGTCCATTTCTTTTTATTTTTTTTCTCTAAACTTCTCTTCTCGCTTCATTTCATTCATTTTGTCTTCCATCACTGATACCCTTTCTTCCAGTTGATCGCATCAGCTACTGAGGCTTGTGCATTCATCACATAGTTCTCGTGCCTTGGTTTTCAGCTCCATCAGGTCCTTTAAGGACTTCTCTGCATTGGTTATTCTAGTTATCCATTCGTCTAATTTTTTTTTCAAAGCTTTTAACTTCTTTGCCATTGGTTCGAATTTCCTCCTGTAGCTCGGAGTAGTTTGATCATCTGAAGCCTTCTTCTCTCAACTCGTCAAAGTCATTCTCTGTCCAGCTTTGTGCCATTGCTGGTGAGGAGCTGCGTTCCTTTGGAGGAGGAGAGGCACTCTGAGTTTTAGAGTTTCCAGTTTTTCTGCTCTGTTTTTTCCCCATCTTTGTGGTTTTATCTACCTTTGGTCTTCGATGATGGTGACGTACAGATGGGTTTTTGGTGTGGATGTCCTTTGTTTGTTAGTTTTCCTTCTAACAGGCAGGACCCTCAGCTGCAGGTCTGTTGGAGGTTGCTAGAGGTCCACTCCAGACCCTGTTTGCCTGGGTATCAGCAGCAGTGGCTGCAGAACAGTGGATATTGGTGAACTGCAGATGCTGCTGCCTGATCCTTCCTCTGGAAGTTTTGTCTTAGAGGAGTACCCAGCCATGTGAGGTGTCAGTCCGCCCCTACTGGGGGGTGCCTCCCAGTTAGGCTACTCAGGGGTCAGGGACCCACTTGAGGAGGCAGTCTGCCCATTCTCAGATCTCAAGCTGCGTGCTGGGAGAACCACTACTCTCTTCAAAGCTGTCAGAGAGGAACATTTAAGTCTGCGGAGGTTAGTGCTATCTTTTCATTTGTCTGTGCCCTGCCCCCAGAGTTGGAGCCTACAGAGGGAGGCAGGCAGGCCTCCTTGAGCTGTGGTGGGCTCCACCCAGATCGAGCTTCCCGGCTGCTTTGTTTGCTTAATCAAACAACTAACTGGGCCACGGCTGGCGCCCCTCCCCCAGCCTCGCTGCCGCCTTGCAGTTTGATCTTGGACTGCTGTGCTAGCAATGAGCAAGACTCTGTGGGCGTAGGACCCTCTGAGCCATGCGCGGGATATAATCTCCTTGTGTGCCGTTTGTTAAGCCCATTGGAAAAGTGCAGTCTTAGGGTGGGAGTGACCCGATTTTCCAGGTGCTGTCTGTCACTGCTTTCTTTGACTAGGAAAGGGAATTCCCTGACCCCTTGCGCTTCCCAGGTGAGGCGATGCCTTGCCCTGCTTTGGCTCGTGCATGGTGTGCTGCACCCACTGTCCGGCACTCCCCAGTGAGATGAACCCGGTACCTCAGTTGGAAATGCAGAAATCACCCGTCTTCTGCATCGCTCACGCTGGGAGCTGTGGACCGAAGCTGTTCCTATTCGGTCATCTTGGCTCCTCCCCCGTCCTGTCTTAAAGAGAAGAAATATGAGTCTCTCCTGCCTGACAGAAAGTAAGTTCCAGGCAGCAGAAGCATGACCTTGGCATTATGGCAGACAGAGAGGTGTCCTTTGCTTGTGCCTTTCCTTCAACCTGCCTGACCCCGGCTCTGCTCAGCAGTGACCCATGCTCTCTTGACCACTTGTCTCCAGCAGACCTGTGATTTGTCCACCTTGCTGCATCCTGGGCTGGTGGAACTACCCTGTTTGGGGCTTCTCCTCCAGGGGTTCACCCAAGTTTAGAAAAGCAGTAAAACAGCCACCATGCAGACCAGCCTATCCTTTTAACAAACGTCTTTGAAGCTACCATGTTCTAAAACATTTTCAGCATGTTTTGAAGCTTTTTATTATTACTATAGGGAACACTCTGAAACTAATGCTATGGTTATAAGGAACTCGGAGCCATCCCCAGTATGATTCCATTTCCCAACAAGTTCAAGAAACAGAATCCAGGCACGTAGTATATGAACAATGCCAAAAGATGCAACCGATACAGTGAAACTTCATGGTGTTAGAGACAGGAAGGAGGTTGGAAATTACCCTCTAAGTTTGTTCTTTTAGCTCATTATTTACTTTTAAAGTACTGCTTGTGCAGAACCCAAGGACAGCTGCGCATTTATTGCACATTTATATTCACTGCTTCCTGATGACATTAAATGTAAGCACCTGCAGCAGGGTATTGGTGAACTGTCCAGGGGAAGCACAAATTAGAAAAAATACAAAATACGCTTCCCTGAGCCCATGAATTTACCGTATCAGGAATATGTAAGATACATTAATTAGTTCATCAGTAGGCTCCAAGACAGACATTGCAGATGGTGGGGAAGGTGGGGGTGGGGGCAGGTGGGTGGGCAGGCACCACTGACTCAAAAGTTATTGCGTGTGGGACACTTTGCCAAACTCTGGGGCCTGTGTGGGTTGAGGCACATATGTTGGGGCCTCCATCAGGGCTGGGTGGAGGCCAGGGCAGGACACAGTGGTCTGGAGCTGAGGAGTACGACACACAACTCCACAGGAGCCTCAGAGTTTAGCACGTGTGCAGGGTAGCATGTTTGGGCAATGTGTGTCTGTCTGAGAGTCTTCTACAGCTGAGAGCCTGGGGTCCCCAAGGAAATAGGGTGATGTCAGCAGGGAAGAGCCCAAAACGCTCATCAGCCTTCAAAATTCAGCATACGCTAGGGACCTCATGATTCCAAGCAGAGAAGCTAAAAGAAATGCAGTTCACCAAGGCATGTAGTTCAGGTGCCTTCTCCCAGGACCTATGTAGCATTGAGACTTCCCTGGGGTCCTTTAAATTATGCAATTATCAAGCCTTTTTTGAAGATCTTTTTTAAAATGATTTTTCTTTTTGCATTGTCTTTTGGTTTTCAAGGAAACATAGGTTCTTTGGTGAACTGTTTTATAACTACAGCATTTGCTGTAAGGAGGTGTTCATATTCTCTTAGTGTAATAACATCAAGAAGCTGAAAGAAGTCCGAGATCTCTAGGAGGGAAATGGCTTCAGAATATGCCTCTCAGGCTACCATAGATCTGACACCCCAGAAATATTTGGAAGACAGACTGGAGTTAGATTCCATAACTCAGGCTATGTGGCCTACCTGCTGGGGCTCCTATGGCCTTCCCTACCTCCACTCCCCAAGTTGTGGCAGAGAGCCCCTTCCAAATTGTCCTCGGTCTGATTAACCTCAGTATGTTAGAAGACAGGGGGTTGTCAAAGGCCAGGATGTTCTTTGCTGTCTCTCATTGTGCTGCAGTTGTTGAAGCCTGGAGTACCAACCGGGATTTCAGACAGCTTGGATGATGTCCCTTCTGGTTCTGCAATGGGTTCTCTTATTTGATGGGTAGCTGAGAAAAAGAGAGGCAAGGGGGCTTTAGATCTTCTGGAAATCTTGATTCGTCAGAGTTGATTGACTCGTCTCTTCCCTGGAGTCAGTGACAGGCAAATTCACAATTTCACTCAATGCTCGCACTGAATAGCTAAAAAATGGCCAGTATTCTGGGCTAGAACCTGATGACAGAAAGAGATATGGAAGGAAAACAGTGTCCTACCACAAAGTAGCAAAGACACATTGCCTTGGTGTCAACACACTTATACTTAAAGCTTGGTTCTGCCATTTATAATGAAGTGACCTACTGCTAATTGTTAACTTCTCTGAGCCTCAGTTTGCTCATCCATAAAAATAATGCCTCAGTGTTGCAGTGAAGGCTTACTATAAAGTGACCAGCAGGCAAGCTAGACATAGTAAGTGGTTGGTGCAAAGTAGCTGCTGTTGGGCTGCTTTTCATTCGGTTTAAGTACTCATCTAGAACTGATGCGCTATTAGATCTATTTGACTGTCCTGTGAACAAAAGATAAATTGTTTCCTAGGAGTATTTTATTTTTCTAAGCTAAACACTTGGTGCATAGGAGCTTACCACTTGCATGTAATTTTCTTGTTTTGTATAAAATAAACTGAAAAACCAGTTCTTTTTTTGGCTGAATTTAATCATCAAACCTATTTTTAAAATGCTCTTTGTGTACTTTCTTTCCTTTTTAGAAAATTCCTTTTGGTATTTAGGAAAATGTTTAATTTTGTTCTAATGGTTACCTTTGTAGTACTCTTTATTACCTTTTTAAGAATTTTTTAACCTTTTACCATATCTTTTGGCTATTACTTATAGTGTAAATTCAATGATCTTATTCTACGTTCTTACCCACTTCTCCCATTTTAAAAATTGTACTGTTTCTATTCTGTTAGAAAATGCAATGTTTAACTACCATTCTTATACCCATATCTCCAACCTTGTGTTAGTCCTAGATCTATATATGAAATATGTAGAAGCCCACCTTCAATCCTCCTGCTGAAGTGTCTGCAGTCAGCTCTTAGTTGAATAAAGTACACTTAATTCTGCAGTGGATTCGTCAGAAAGGACACGTGGGCACAGTATTCTTGTGTTCTTTCGTCTTCAAAACTGCTTTTCTATATTGTTAACATTTGAAGAACAGCTTGGCTAGATATAAAGTTCTTGACTTGCATTTTCTCAAGCTTCTCAAAGAGCTGCTTCACTCACGTCTTGCTTTATATGTTGTTGTTGAGAAATCCAATGTCAGCCAAATCCTCTTCTCCTTTCAAGCTATTTTATGTTTCCTCCAAAAGGCCATATGGATTTTTTTCTTTCTCTTTAAAGCTTAGCAGTTCTACTAGGATATGGCTCTGATATAATAATGCCAGGTCAACTTTTATAATAATGCCAGGTCAACTTTTTCAAGTGAACCCTTTCACTTGTAGATTCAATTCCTGATTTATTTCCAGAAAGTTTTCTTGGATTATAATTTTAAATAATAGTTATATTCCATTGTTTTGCTCTCCTCGTTCAAGAACTCCAGTTGGACATCCTTGGCTGGTCTTCCACTTCGATCACTTTCCTCTGACCTTTTTTCTTTTTTTCTTTACCTCCTTTTTGCTCTCTTGTTTTCTCCTGCTTTCCTTCAATGTCTTTTGTTAAATTTCCATTTAAATTTATTCTCCCTTGGGCCTCATAATTTTGTCTACATTTCTGGTATGATTTTGCCATTTTCTTTGATATTCTTCCTATGTTCAATGACTATCATTTCATTTCTTCCTTTTCTTCTTTCTTGATCTATTTGTGTTGCTGAGTTTTATATTTCTGATTCAGTTTTATATTTCTGATTCAGTTTTATATTTCTGATTCAGTTTTATATTTCTGATGCTTTTTACGTATCTCCAAATTCTATTTTGAGGAAAATTAATTTTTGTGGGAGTATTATGTTACAGTTTTCCTCAGCTCATTGTTCCCCCCACCACACCCTGCCCCTGAGGTGAGGGAGTATTTTCTTCAGCTGAATTACCTTGGTTCACTTTTTACGACAGTTTTATTTGGATATGACTGCGGTTTTTCTGTACCTCTTCATTCTGTGGAGAGAGTTCATCGTGTGACATCAGCATTTCCTTTCAGTTCTGCCCTTTTCTGTGAAGTTTCTTTTATGGAAGATGTTGATGGTGAAGTTAGGAAGAAAAAGAAAGGGACTACTGTGTCTTTCTTCCTAGAAACATTAATTTTATCTTTTCTTTTTTCTTTCCTTTCATTGCTATTTCACCGAGGAATACCACCACTTCTCTGTATCTCATTCTCCCTAAGAAGCCGTGCTTCTCCAGGGCTGCCACTTCTGGGCCTCACTCATTTCAAATCTTTTCCCTGCAGCTGGTGGTGTGAACTGCCAAGTTCCAAATTGCGTAGAGCATTTCTTAACGTAGTTGGGCTTTCTTTTGAGAGTGTGCATACCTTATGTAAGTCCTTAATGCCCTCTACTATTTTTGATACCATTCTTTAATACTTCCCTACTTCACTTTCCATATCCATAGGCTTGAAGCAGTAAGGCAAAAGGTAGCTGTTAGAATATGATGCATTTTTCTACTTGCTGATCATTTACAACTTGTAGTATTCTCCAATTCTTAGTAATGCTAAAGCCATAATGTTATTTTCTATTTTCACTCTATTTATTTTAAGGGTTTTTAAAGTTGTATGGGGAGATTTGAAGTCAAGCAGCTGCCATCATTTTCCATTCCTGTTTGGTGTTCATTGAACTTCTTGGATTTTCATGTTGATATTTTTCATCAAATTTGGAAAAAAATTTTGACTGCATATTTTTTCAAAACTTTTTTATCTCCAATCTCTATTCTTTTTTTTTCTCAAATCTCTCTCTCCTCTTTTTCTGGGACTTTAATTACATTAATATTTGAACCCTTAATACCATTTCACAGATAACAGAGACTACCTCTCTAGCCTTTCTTCTCTTAGCTTCAGTTTGGATAGTTTCTACTATTCTGTCTTCAAGTTCACTGATCCTTTCTTTTTCAGTGTCCACTGTGCTGCTAAGCCCATCCAGTGAACTTTTTATTTGAGATATTTTATTATTATTATCATTTTCATTTCTCTACTGAGAGTATCCATTTGTTTACTCATTAGGTTTATCTTATTTAAACCTGTAAACATATGCATAATGGCTGTTTTAAAGTCTTCGTCTATTAATTCCAACATCTCTGGGTCTGTTTCTATTTTTTGTTAATTTTTTTTCCTGGACATAGGTAACATTTTGCTACTACTTCACATATCTAGTAATTTCTGATTGTGTGCTGGTTATTGTAAATTCTTGAAACTCCCTTCTCTTGGCTCCTGTGACACAATGATCTCTGGGTTTTCCTACTACTTCTTTGGGATTCTGTCCACCTTCTTTAACACTCATTATCTTCTACTTGATTTTTAAATGTCATAGATCTTCATGGCTCAATCTTATATTTGATCTTTTCTCACACTATATTTTCTCTTTAGGCAGTCTCATCTACACCCTATGCTTCAATCAATCACCACCTACACACTGATGATTCAAAATCATATAAATTCAGATGAGACCTCTTCTTTGACTAACTTCAGACTAATTGCTACTTGTTTGTTTCAATAACACATCTATCTCACTATGTCCAGAACCAATATTGTGATTTCTCTGGCCTGCCTGCATGTGCAAACACACACACACACACCCACAATATGAAATAGGAAACTTCTTCTAGTGATATAAATTTCAGTGAATTACACCACCATCACTTCAATTATGCATGTTTGAAATACAGACACTTTGACACCTCTTCCTTCCTCATTCCCCATATACATTCCATCTTGCAATTTTATTGATTTTATACTTCCACTTGTCTCCATTGCCATCTCTCTCTGCCACTATCCAGTTTTTAGCTCCCACCACCTCTCACTTGCATTATGAAATAGCTCCAAATTTATTGTGCACCTCTAATCTTTCCCTGCTATAATCCATTCTCCAAATCATTGCCAGCATTACATTTTAGAAATGCAAATCTAATAATGCAAATCTAATTCATTCTCTCTCTGTATTTGTCTCTCTCTCTCTACATGCACACACACACACATACACACACACAGTTTTAAAGAAGGCTAAATTGTTGTCCATTGCTTTTTGGATGAAAACAAAAATCATTAACATGGGCTGATCCCTACCTGACTCATGTTACCATGCTTTCCTTGCTCTCTCCTATCCCTCTCTGTTGTCTTGGTCCTATATACTGTTCTGGATTTCCTGGAGTGTATCTGCCTCTGGTCTTTGCCTGTGCTATTCCATCTGTATTAACTGCTCTTTTCTCTCCTCATCACCTCCTCCAAACCTGAAATCAATTGTCCTTTTCTTGGGGGAAGCCTTCCCTGAATTCCTTGGCCAGTCAATCTCACACTTATGCTCACAGTGGCACAGTGTACCTCTCATTTGTAGTCCCTATAACATTTGTAATTTCACATCTATTTCCGTGATTCTTTCATTCAGGTATGACACCCCTACTGAATTATAACTGTCATGAAATCAAGAATTGTGTCTGTTTTGGCACACTCATATTTCTAGTATCAATCATAGTGTAGATGTTTAATAAATATTTACTGAATCAGTGAATAATGAATAAAAAGTACTCTTCCATGAATCTTTCTTATACTCATGCTTAGCTCTCACTCTACCTTTCTAACAAATGGCCTAAGCAGAGGAAGATGCTAAAGGGGCTGCTAAGGCAGCAAGAAAATCAAGTAACACAGAAACAGAGTCAGTTGGTTCTTTGCACTTAGGATTCTCAGAAGAATTTTTTGCTTCTGCCTTCAAAATTAAACTGGAATATTAAAACTGATCTTTTGGTCCCTGGAAGATGAAGTACAAACCATCATCAAAAAGTATCTACTGTTGGGACTGGTGACTCACTTTGTCCTTCCCTCCTGTAAGCCATGAGAAGGAATCAGAATGATTCTGTCATCAAGAGCATCACAAATCCTGGATCTTCACCTGATTAATGCTTCACGTCTAGCACAAGCACTTTCATTTTCAAGGGATTCCATACTGTATTGTCTAGCCCCTGGCTGGGTTGGGATATAGTTATCTTGGTGGCATAGGATCAGCATGTGTAAGAGCGGGATATTATTGGGCGCTGTATTGAAAAGAGTAACCCTGGGAAGGTGAGGGTGATTATTAAGACCAACTCTGAAGCGATGACTGGTGACCAGAAATGAGTTGATGTCAGAAATTTCTACAGAGATGGTGATAGCTTATAAAGGTGAAAATCCAGTAAATAGTCTGGGGTTTAAAAACTCAAGTAAGGGATGAATCAAGGGATGATGCAGAAATTATGTGTAGTAGAAAAGGCAGATGTCAGGGGTAGAAATACATCACCGGGCAAGTAAGGCCAAGTACGTGCCCATCTGGAACACAGGGCAGAATCTCTTCAGTAAGTTGGCTTTATTGGTTTTAGTCATTTTTATCTATTGCTGATGCTCATGTGATACTTTGTTTCTTGGGTGAATTTCGGTATCTCAGACAGACACATACAAGGAGAAAGAACAGAAGTTCTTAGGTAGTTTTTTAGTAATAGAAGTTCTTAGATTTTTTTTTTTTTTTTTTTTTTTTTTAGTAAGAAAGAAAAGTGCTGGGAGAGATTGATCGTTCCTTATAAAAAGGCCTTCATTCCTCACAAAAATACAACTTTCAGTCAAGAATTTGGTCCTTTAAAAAAGAAAGAGGAAGAAAAGAAAGCATGAGCTCTATCCCTCTTTTGACTAAATACTACCACTGACTTTCCTGTTTAGAACTAAAGGCTGTCTCTTGTTCCACAGGTCAAATGCATACTTTTTAAAATGCCACTTGACCCCTTGGGTTCCCCATTCTCAGTAGAAAAACAAAATGGTCATTAATTTATTTTGACATGCAAACTCAGCTGAACATTTTTTGGTGATTCAACCCCACAGATGTAAAGTGAAAGAGTGCCAGAAAAGCAAGTGAGAGCCATGAGATTACCACAAGTCTGTGAGCACATTTTTTTCAAGGCTTACAGAATCCCAAAGCTTGCCCTTGCTTCAGGAAAAAGAACTGGTTGACACCTGAGAGGTTTTAAGCCACAAGAAGCTGAGGCCCGTTGTGAGGAGGGCAGGGACAGTGGGGCCAGGCCACACGCGACGCGTCACCCACCTCCTGCCTCACCTCCCCCCACTGAGATGTCTGCTGGGTGGGAGGAGGCTTATTGCCAGAGAACAGTCTGGTGTTTTCTGTTCCTGCTTCAGGAAGTCCCCCTTCTCCCGCCACCCCCGCAGCTCCTCAGCCTGGAAACAACTTTTAGAGAGGAGAAGGGAAGCAAAGCTTTCAAAAGCAGATACCTGTGGGGTTTGAAGGGAGGTGCCCCTTGTTCAAGTATTTCTCCCCCAAAATTGAAAGGACACTTCAGATTCATTCATTTTAGTTTTGATGTATCTTCAGTAATTAAGAAGCCACTAAGAAAACTGACCCTGGGAAGGCAAATTCCTGAAGCTGAGTCAGATACAGCCAGCTCTTACCATACCATCTGACCCTCAGTTCCCTCTGACCTCATCTCTTCCCACCTCCTCTCTGTCTGACTCAGCAGTGAGGCCACACAGGCCTCCCTGCTGATTCGAGAATGGCTCCCACCTGAGGCCTTGGGCCCCCCTTGTTTTCGCCCCCACATACCCATCTGGCTTCCCCTTCACTGCTTCCAAGGCTCTCCTCAGAGAGCATCCTGTCAGACCAGTCTTTCCTGGACATGCTGAGTGTACCTTTCCCCTATTTCATTTTCCTTCGTGGCACCTTTTACCACCTGATATGTTCAATGGCTCTATGTTTGTTTGTAGTAAGTCTCGCCTGACTAGAATATAAGACCCATGGGAGAAGAGACTTTCTGCTCTACCCTTGGCACATACCGGGTGCTCAAAAAATATTCAAGTGCTCGCTTCGGCAGTACATGTACTAAAACTGGAACAATACAGAGAACATTAGCACGGCCCCTTCACAAGGATGACACACAAATTTATGCAGCATTCCATAATTTCGAGAAATACAAATCAAAACCACAATGAGATAACATCTCACACCAGTCAGAATGGCTATTATTAAAAAGACAGAAAATAAGAGTTGCTGGTGAGGCTGCAGAGGAAAGGGGAAAGCTTATATGCTCTTAATGGAAACACAAACTAGTTGAGCCACTGTGGAAGACAGTTTGGAGATTTCTCAAGGAACTCAAAATAGAACAACCATTAGACCCAGCAATCCCACTACTGAGTATATACCCAAAGGAAAGTAATTCATCCTATCTTAAAGACACATATGCTCCTATGTTCACTGCAGCACCATTCACAATAGCAAGGACATGGAATCAACCTAAGAGCCCATCAACAGTGGATTGGAGAGAGAAAATGAGGTACAAATACACCATGGAATACTATGCAGCCATAAAAAAGAATGAAATCATGTCCTTTCGCAACATGGATGGAGGTGGAAGGCATTATGACCTCCATAAATGACCTAATGTAAGAACCTAAAACAAAATATTGCATGTTATCACTTGTAAGTGGGGCCTAAACGTTGAAGACACATGATCACGAAGATGGGAACAATAGGCACTGGGGATCACTAGATGGGGAAGGAAGGGAGCAGGGGGCATGGGCTGGAGTGCCACCTGTTGCGTCCTATACTTATTCCCTGGGTGATGGGATCATTGGGATCCCAAGCCTCAGGGTGATGCAATTTACCCATGTAATAAACCTGCATGTGTACCCTTTAATCTATGATAAAAGTTGAAATTAAAACATAAACAAATAAAATCCTGAGTACTGTTTCAAAAAATATATTTGAGGAAAGAAGGAAGGAAAGAGGGATGGAGAGATGGAGGAAGACTAAAGGAAGGATCGTGGCCCTGAGAGAATAGAGCACAGGCCAGGGGTGAGATACAGAGTGAGATGGGAGCTGAATGGGGTCTCTGAAACTAGACATGGAAGACACCAAAAGAAACATTCCTACTTCATCTTTCCCTGTGCCTGGGATAATTTACTCCTGGATGGTAAAGATATGTCTTGGTTTCATCTGTGTTAAATAAACCTGCACGATGTTACAAGCTGGCATTGCTTCATAAGCTTGACCTTAGCTTTCAAATAGGACCTCGATCATTGCTCAATGACCAAGTCACAAAGTTGCCTAATGATATTGGCCCACAGCCATGTTATTGCAAACATGGCAATGACTGGCCAAAACCAGGTGTGCTCCTTACATTTCTGCCCGGGTGATACTCTCAGAGAGCTCCTCGCCATGAGAACTAAGTCAGTCTCCCAGTGCCAGGAGCCAGGACAATTACGGGGCTTTCCCTATTGTGTGTTCTTGCTGCTAACCAGCTCCCAGGCCTAGGCTTCTGAGAAACAGTGTAGGCACACAAGCTGCAGATCTCTCCTCCCTTTATTCTCTCTCCCCTTCCCCAAACCCACAATAGCCTCTACCATAGTGCTTATTCTTTTGACCTGTTCTGATCTGCTAGCCTAACTATTCCCCAACACCTTTAGGAAGATAGGTCTTCCCTGACCCTCAGTCTGAGGTCTAGAAGCCCTTCTGCCTTGCCTCACAGGCATCTTCCCTCCTCCCCCGTCCCCTAGACCAGTCCAACAGCAGCCCGTGCAGCCTCTGAAGTCCACTCCCAGTGCTAGCTGATGGGAACCCCATGGGCTCCTGTCTGCTATACAAATGGAACAGACTTTCTTCAGAGCCAACCCCAGCTGCCCCACTGAAGCTGGTTGCCACAGTGATTTTCAGTCTCATACCAGATTCTGATCTCTTCTCTTGCCCACCTTTGGTGCTGCAGAGTGGATCATCTTGTTTTATACTCAAGTCATCATTAAAATTTATAGAAAAAGAGAGAATTTAAAAAAAAAAACACTAAAAAATCACCTTGTACGCATATACCTCAGAAGATCTTTGGCCTAATGGTAATCTGTGACATTAAGGCAAATAACCAAAAATATGTAATTTTTCTATTTATTTCTTTGAGTGGGCTCAGTTGCAGATATATGAATCTGACCAGGGTCCTGATCACTTCCTGCTCCCAAAGACCACCCTTTGAGCCTGTAAGATCCAAAGTCAACTCAGTGGATTAATGTGCAAGTCTAGCCTGAGCCAGTAAGACATGGTTCCCTCTAAGATGCCAGGAAAGGACCTAGGGCTTCCCTGGGCTGAGCTCTTAGGTAAGCCATGGCCTGGCCTGGCCTCTTAGAGGTTGTGCAAGACCAGCCTCTGTGATCTGCGAAGGCCCTGAGTCCCAGACATCGTCTCCAACACTGACCTAGATCCAGTGCCAGCAGGACAAGAAAGTCCCCTCTGCTTTAACCTTTACATGAAAAGAAACTTTGAAATGACCAATCCACATTTTTTTTGTTTGTTTTTTTCTGCTTTCCACAGCCCTTTTCTGTCTGTAAAACCAACCTCCTCTTCTTGGCTCATCAGAACACTCATTCTATTTTATGGAATAAAGTGCTGCCCAATTGTAGAATCAAAAATACAGCAAATTAATGTTTTTTATATAAAGTTTTTGATACATAATAATTACACATATTTATGGGGTATCTGTGATATCTTGACACAGCCATAGAATGTGTAATGATCAAATCAGGGTATTTAGGATATCCATCGCCTTGAACATGTATCATTTCTTTGAGCTAGGAACATTTCAAATTTTCTCTTCTGGCTATTTTGAGATACTCAATATGTTTTTGTTAACTATAGTCACCCTACTTTGAGGCTGAATACTAGCGCTTATTCCGTCTAACTATATGTCTGTACCTATTAACCAACCTCTCTTCATCCCACACACCCTTCATAGCCTCTAGTAGCTACCATTCTTTTCTCTACCTCCATGAGATCCATCTTTTTAGCTCCCACATATGAGTAAGAATATGCAATATTTGTCTTTCGGTGCCTGGCTGATTTTACTTAACAAGATGCCCTTCAATTCCATACATGTTCCTGCAAATGATAGAATTTCATTCTTTTTTACGGCTTAATAGTATTCCATTGTGTGTGTGTGTGTGTGTGTGTGTGTGTGTGTGTATCACATTTGCTTTATCCATTCATCTGTTGATGGACACTTAGATTGATACTGTATCTTGGCTATTGTGAATAGTGCTGCAATAAACATGGGAGTGCAGGTCTCCCTTTGATATATTGATTTTTTTTCCTTTGGATAAATACCCAGCAGTGGGATTTCTGGATCACATGGTAGTTCTATTTTTAATTTTTTGAGAAACTTCCATAGTGTTTTCTATAATGGCTATACTGATAAATGAATTTAACAAGGTTGCAGAATACAAAATCAACATACATAATCAATAGCATTTCTATATACCAATAATTAACTTGCTGAAGAAGAAATCAAGAAAGTAATCCCATTTAAAATAGCTATAAAAAATTAATTGTCTAGGAATAAATTTAATCAAATTTAATAAATTCTTTCCGATGAAAGAAATTGAAGAAGACACAAACAAATAGACGTTCCATGCTCATGAATTGGAAGAATTAATATTGTTAAAATGACCATACTACCCAAAGTAATCTACAGATTCAATCTCTTATCAAAATACCAATAACATTCTTCACAGAAATAGAAAAATAATCCTGAAGTTTATATGGAACTACAAAACACCCCAAATAGCCAAGCAATACTGAGTAGAAAGAACAAAGTGGTAGGCATTACACAATCTGACTTCAAAATATACTATATTTGGTTACATATAGTAACCAAAATGGCATGATATTTAGTATAAAAAGACATATAGACCAGTGAAACAGAATAGAGAACCCAGAAATAAATCCACGTATTTATAGCAAACTATTTTCAACAAAGGTGCCAAGAACATACACTGGGGAAAAAATACTCTCTTCAATATACGGTGTTGGAAAAACTGGATATCCATATCCGGAAGAATGAAATTGGATCCCTATTTCTCACCATATACAAAAATCAACACAACATGGATTAAAGACGTAAATGTAAGATCTGAAACTATAACACTACTAGAGGAAAACACAGGAGAAATGCTTCAGGACATTGATCTAGGCAAAGATTTTATGGCTAAGACCTCAAAAACACAGGCAGCAATTAAGATCTTTAAACCAAATTTGTTGTAATTTTGTCTTATGACACTAGCAACACAAGTGAATTTAGAACCATTTGTCTGGTCACTTACCGTAGAATTAACCACCTTCAAAACATGTAACGACTTTACCACTTAAACCCTTACCATTTTGTTATGGTCAGGGATACTGTGGGCCAGGTATTCAATAAGGACACAGTAGAAATGGCTTGTCTCTGTTCCACAATGTCTTGGACCTTAGCTGGAAAGAAGCAAAGGCCAATGGTTACTTGATGGCCGGGAGCAAATATCATCTCAAGGCTCCCTTCCTCACAGGTCTGGTTCCTATGCTAATAGGACTCAAAGACGAGGATAGGTGACTCATTACCTACCCATGGCCTCTATACATGGGTTGGTGTTTTCACAACATGGTGGCCTAGGTATTCAGACTCAAGGCTCCAAGAACTAGTGTTCTAGAAAACTAAGAGGAAGCTGCGTCACTTTTTATGATTGAGCCTCAGAAGTCAAGCAGTATCACTTTCCCTACTCTACTGTTTGAACAATTACAAGCCCACTCAGATTCAAGTGGACTCCACGTCTTGATGAGGGGGAACTAAGGTCACAACGTAGAAGAGCACAGACGATAGGAGACACTGGCCATCTTTGGAAAATACAATTTGCCACTCATCATGTGTTAATGCACAGATGAGGAAGTGCTATCTGCTCTTCTCCCCTCCTCAGCTCACCCTGACTTCTGTGTTTCCAGTCCTGATTATTTATAACACATGTTCAATATAACAAGGATGTTTTGAAGCCCAAAGGAGTGAATCCTTTCCTAGCCTTTCAAACCAAGATAAGGAAAAAGTGGAAGAAGACATTAAGACATGCAGCTCTAAGGAACTATCCAAATTACACTAGGTAGATGCCCTGCAGATGTTTAACTTCAAGATTTCCAGAGGCCACGTGTGTGTCAGTATCAGAGAATCAAGTTTACATTCTCAATAAGTAGATGTTGAGAATATACAGCTGATCCCCACTATTTGAAGATTTTTGCATTTGTAAATTTGCCTACTGACTAAAATTTATTTGTAACCCCCAAATCAGTATTCAGAGTTTTTGCAGGCATTTGTAGGCATGCACCAAGTGGCAAAATATTGAGTTACCTTATGTGCACGTCAACAGACGAAGGTGAACAAGGCAATACTCTGCCCTCTTGTTTCCATTCTCATACTGTAAACAAGTGACCTTCTGTGGTCAACCTAGTGCCTTATTTTTCAAACTTTTGTGGTTTTGTTAGCAATTTCACTCTCTAAAAATGACCCTCAAGTCTAGTATTCCTAAAAACAATAAGGCTGTGATGTGCCTTACAGAGAAAATACATGTGTTAGATACACCTTGCTCAGGCATGAGTTAAAGTGCTGTTGGCTGTGAGCTCAGTGCTGATGAATCAACAATATATATTAAGTAAGGCATCTTTAATCAGAAACACACATAAAGTAAGGTTATCTATTGATCAGTTGGCAAAAATGTAACTAGAGGCTCACTGGAACCTAAACCTGCATTTCCCTTAGGAGCAGTGGTTCAATATTTGCTAATTCATTGTTTGCAGTGACTTTATAGAGCATAACTTATATTACAAATAATGAGAATCAACTGTACCGTAGATCAGGACTTTTATAAGCCCTGGAGATACAACAGTGACCAAGCAGACCAAAATCCCTGCTGTCATAGAGTTTATATTCTAGAGGAGAGGGGAAAACATAAATGAAATAAATAAATAAAAGATATGTATGTTAGAAGGTGATAAGTGCTATGGGAAAAAATAAAGCAAGTGATGGGAGGTGGGAGTGGGCATTCAAGGTGGCCTTTTTTGTTGTTGTTACTATTGTTTTCTGTTTCTTTACCAAAAAAAATGGCCAGGGTGGACCTCAATAACAATCAGATAACAGTTGAGACAGCTGGTGAAAGAGATGAGGAAGAACACTAAGCGATTTCCCGGAAGACAGCAGAAAGAACAACCAGTACACAGGCTGAGGATGTAAACAAACCCGCCATGTTGTGGAAACCAGGAGGAGGCTCATGTGCCCAAAATGCAGTCAGTAGGAGATAAGGTCAGAGAAGTAAGAAGGTGTCAACTCAATAGGGCCTGGCAGCCCATTGTAATGACTGGGGCTTTCACACTGAGTGAAAGATGGTAAGCATCCAAGGGAGAAACAGGAGAGCAATTAAAAGAGTGGCAAAAATCTAGACTTGGAGAGTAATTACCACCGATTATAAGAAGTGGTCAGGTTCCAGATGTCTTCAAAGGCAGAGCCAACAGGATTTGCCGGTGGATTGCACGTGTAATTGTGAAAGAAATGATGATGTCAAACATGACTCCAAAGTTTTTGGCCTGAGAAGCTGGAAGTTGCCATTCTAAGACAGAAAAGACTGTAGATCAAGCAGGTTCTGGAGGGGATTTCAATTCTACTCATTTTAAGGTGAGATGTCTACTTAATATCCAAGTGGAAAAATAAGGTAGGCAACTGGATATACAGGGCTGGAATTCAAAGAAGTCCAAACTGGTAATATACATTTTGAGTCCTCAGCATAAAGATGGAATTTAGAGACATGTAACTGAATGAGACCACCAAGGAATCGGTGTAGGAAGAGAAGAGGTTGAAGAATGGAATCCTGAGGCATTCCAGTGTCAAAAGAAGAAATTGAGAAAAGCAGATTGAGAAATGTGGCCTCCTGGAAGCTGGATGAAGAGAGTCTTCCTAGAAAGAGTGAATGATTGTTATGTCAGCATGCCCAGAAGTGGGGTAGGATGAGGACTGGGAAGAGAGAAAGTCCTGATTTGTAGAGTTTGCCAATTTCCATGGCGAAAATACTCCCACCAGAGTTGATTTCAAGCTGTTAATGTGATGTCATTGAATGCAGAGTTTAGAAGAGATGCACACAATTGGCTCTCAGGAGATATTGCAAACTGATCTCAGCAGACATTGCAAGCTGATCTCAGCACACCCCTGACAGCTAATGATATCCATTGCCTCAGCAGGCTTTGGCATCCAAGAGGGAACTAACTGCCCAAGCAAGTCTGAACGTGGCATGGCTGAATCTCTGTCATCTGGACAGGGCCAAGCAACATTTATCTTCAATATGGTAGGCTGGCAACTTTCTCAGAGGGCAGCCCAAGCTGGGCTGGGCAAGAGGGGCTCAGAAAAGGATGTCATGGTCCTTGCAGCCAGACTCATGCTAACTTTTAGCAGAGTGCATTTCAGTAATGAACAGCCTGAGGGATGGTCCCTCAGCCAACACAGAATGCAGACCTCTTTGCAGGCTTCCCAGATCTTCCTGAGCACATCTTTGGTGTCTGATTCAACAATGAGAGGGTCTGACTAGACAGATTTAAGTCTCAGATGGACTTACCGAGCAAGTACACTAAAGTAATCTGGACACTTTAACAAATAAAAGCATAATACTCTCTCTCAAAGAGTTGTTAAAACAAAATCTGATGAGAAACCTTCTTGGAAATAAGTCTCCCGGCTTATGGGAACCTTGTTTCCAAATCTGTTAGTATTCCCGCCCACATCCTGAGAATCCTTTTATGTTCTCTCAGACTCCAGACCCTACTTCATACATTTCCTGCTGCCTAGACTTTATCTTGACTGGCCTGATTACTGATACCATTTGGTTCCAGCCACTTAATTCCCAGCAGCCTGAAATGGCCACATCCCTAAAGCAAAATACCATCGGACTAGGAGGAACATCAACCTGCTTAAATTGTGGGCTCTGCCTTTCATTTACACACAGGAAGAATTTTCCAAGGAGGTTTTTTTTTCCCTTCCCTCTCTGGAAGTCTTTAAATGTGAGATTTTCATTTTTCATAAAATAATAATTAACAAACATACATCGATTACCTACTGAATGCAGCGCACCATACAGGATTCTATAAAACATACAAAGAATAATTAGATGTCTACTTATAATGTAGTTGGGAAATTTGTCATTTTCTTAGATAAAATTCTGACCAATGTGAGTGCCCAGTGAATGTCTCAGAAACCAGGTACTGGAGGACAGTGAGACACAAGAAGCCCACAAAGCTGCAGTCTACAGGATGGATAAGATCAAAGGAAAGGAAAAGGAATCTCCTATTTGCTTGCCACTTCTTTGTGCTAGAACTGTTTTAGACACTACATCTGTTTAATTACATCGCAATACTTCCTATTGCTATAAAAAAGGATTTTCCTACTTCTATGAAAAGAGAGTGTCATTCCTTTTTACAAATGAATCACAGAGTGGTAAAGCACTTAACCAAAATCCACAGAGCCAGTCAGTGGCAGAAGTGGGACCCCAACAGAGGAAAACATCTCCAAAGTCCTATGTTTAACTCTTACTACCACTTCACATTGCTTCCCTTAGACTGAGGAGTCAGTCGAATTGTGCCGCCCCTCTTCCCAAAGATACGTCCGAGTCCTAAATCCCTGTATCTGTAATGGGATCTTATCTGGAAATAGTATTTACAGATGTAATTAAAGTGTCTTGAGATGAGATTATCCTGGAGGTAGGGGCTGGACTGAGGAGCCAAATCCAATGACTGGCATCTTTAGAAGAGAAGGGAAAACAGACCCAGAGACCCAGAGGGAGGGCCATGTGAAGATGAAGGCAGACGTTGGAGTTCTGCACCCCCAAGCCCAAAACACCAAAGACTGCCAGCACCCCGCAGAAGTCTGGAGAAGGGCGTGGAATGAATTCTCCTTCAAGCCTTCAGAATGAACCAACCCTGCCAACACCTTGATTTTTAGACTTTTGACCTTCTCAACTGTGAGAGAATAAATTTCTGTTGCTTTAAGCCACCAAGTTGTTGTGATTTATTATGGCTGCCCTAGGAAACTAATACGGACAGTCAGGATGAGGTCAGTCTGCACAGAGACATGGGGGAAGAAAGAGAAGAAAAGATCACGAAATGTGACTTCTAAAGCTGAGCCAAAATAGGGTTCCTGGGAAGAGGGAGCTATACTCTTTTTGCTGCCAGTGGCAAGTCCTGAACTCCCATGTCTTGGTTTGATTCCAACTAGCGTGTCATAAACTATTCGGTTTGACTCTGAATGCTAACATCTAATCAGTTTCCTCAGCTTGCTGGTTTTGCTGGTTTCTATTGTTTGGGCAAGTTTGAGCTACACAGACACAGCTCCTGGTATACTTGTCCTCAAATATCAGAGAACATCGAATCATTCAGGTGCATCTTTGTGAGCACACTGAAGAGATAAGCTTCTAAGAAATAAAACTGATATCACTGGCAATGCCTACCATTGGTCAAAAGTAACTTCCTCAATAGCTCTTGGTGGTGCCTAGTTCTGTTTTTACATGGAGGCATCAGATAAAATGCAATGATTCCAATAGGATTCAGCTATCATCACCCATTAACAGGTCAGTTCTGAGGGAAGCAGCTCTCTGGGGATTTATTGTGGAATGAGAGAGGAGAGAAAACTTTATAGCCAAAGCAAAACGCAAAGAGATAGATCTATTTGAGAATCCTGGGCATTCAGGAATGTTAGCAAGGAATTGAGGAACAGACTGAAATGAAGATGACAAGGAATGAGAATAAATCATGGTTATGTCCAATTTTTTGTATGTTGGTGTTCAAGAACCATAAGTAGCCACTTACTGAATTCTGATTCGAGCTTACTAAGGACCTACTAAGGACAATGTACCCCATTAGGTGGGTGTACTAGAGCTATAAGGATGAATGAGTTCATCTGCTCATAGCATAAGGAGGCAAACTTTGGGGGTTGGGGGAGGTATATGTTGGGAGTCAGAGTAGAGGAAAGAAAAATGATGCCATATCCCTCAGCTTCTGGGAGGTGATCCCATCAAGAGTGCAGTGGAATTTTTAATGTTGAGAACTCCATGAAGTTCTGTAACCAAGTACCCCCCATTGTTTCTGAGATAGAGAATGAATTATTTTTTATTTTCTCTTCTCTCTTTCCCCCTACTCCCCTGTTCCCCACTTCCTATTTAGCTCTTTAGAAATGCAATGATGATAATATTTTACCTTCCCTCCACCAGACATCCCTACAGGGCAAGCTTATCTGACTATGTGCTTACTTAAAAGCTCCAGGACAGAACTCTGTCCTACCAGGAGATTTCCTCAAAAGACAACAGTCAATACGCAACCTAAAGTACGCCCACTATGAAACCCTCTCCCACCTGGAAAGTATCTCGAGACAAGGCCACTTTACAACCTAGTTCTGCCCGGGATGGTGCCAGCTCGACCACCTGGTAGATAAGGCACAAATCGAGTCATGCAGACCCCCACCTGCTCACGCCCTCCCTTGCATGCCATTCATGCCAAGTCCCCTTTTAAAAGTTTCTGCTTTCTGCTCCAAAAGCAAAGTGGTACCCATAAGGCAGGCAGCCTGTACTTCCCTAAGCTAGCTTTGGAATACAAAATCACATTCCTTATACCAGACTCCGCTCTTGTTCATTGGACTAAGCAGGTGGCAAGTGACTAAACCTGTATTTTGGTTACATTTCTACTGAGAGGAATCCAGGGACACCAATAACAGGCTGAGAGTTGTCTGGCTGCTCAGAGCTCCACACAAAGGTCGGGTATTTGTCAGAGGAGGAAAAGTGTGGCATCTTTATATAGACCAGGGCTCACCGGCATATACTTTGCCATTTCCTGGGAAAGGAAGCTTCTGGCTCCTGGAAAAATGGCAGAAACTTGAACAGAGGATTGGTGAAGTCTTTTGGTTTATGTGGCCAGATAGTACAAGGTTCCTATCAGGAAGAAAAGCACATAGTGTCTTTCTTCACTCCTTTGGGTTTGGGAAACAAAAAAAATACACCAAAGGCAGTGAGGCCACCATAAAACCCAGAGTGGGGGCAGAGGACAGGATGCTGGGGAGTTCAGGGGAAGGGCTCTTCTGAGGTCTGAGTTTCCCTGTATCTGCGCATTTATCCCAACTGAACTTTTCCACGGGAGTGCTTCTGGCCTCCTCTCAGCCTAACCTCCCCACCTCTCCACATCCTGAGCAAAGGTTCCATGTGAATGAGCCCAGATGGAAAAACACTGGAGGAGTTTTTCTTTGTCACTACAGGCAGGAAGAAAATGGCAAATGGAGACAATTATTTGCTGAATTTGGTCTCCGTAGACTCATACTTTTTGCTTAGTTTTCATTATTTGAGGATAAAGATTGCTTTTAGGCCTAAGAGACTCAGCTAACTGGACAATTTTTCAGTTCATTTTTGAGAAGTAGGCATGGCCTTGGGAGAACATTTTTTACCCTCTCCGCACTCTCATTCCATCTCACATACAAATACATTAAGAAAATGAAGCCAACTGAAGCAGAGGTCAGGAGTGAAAGAAAAGTTGATATAAGAGCTTCAGCAACAGCAGCTGGCCCCAGGCACT
This sequence comes from Homo sapiens, assembly GCF_000001405.40. Classification (NCBI taxonomy): domain Eukaryota; kingdom Metazoa; phylum Chordata; class Mammalia; order Primates; family Hominidae; genus Homo; species Homo sapiens. The sequence continues at coordinate 38,158,980 of NC_000002.12, forward strand.
AGCGGCTGATAAAGGAAACTCTGGGCAGAAGAGCCTGAGATGAATGGGATATTAGTGAGAGGAGCTGAGCCGGTCACATAGCCAAGTTTTGCAGGAGGAAAAAAGAGAATGGGAAATTAATTATAATCAATTCCTACTAAAACCCTGAGAATTGGAGACAACACATAGGCTATTGAGAGGGCGATTTCTCCTAATTCTTTCTGCAAGGTCTTAGAGTGCTTCTTACCCACAACAGAAGGTACGAGAACCTCTGCCAAGCATATGGAATTGCCAACTTCAAGTCAGGAGAACTTACTTGTGAGCCTCCTGGAGATGGTTATGTGGACACAGATGATGGGTTTTCTTTCTGTTTAGTAAGGAGTTCAGTAAGGAGTAAACCTATGTTTGTTTGGTTCTCATACTCGTCTCTACTCCCTGCTGATATTTCCCTTGGCAGAAAATGAGTGCACTGACCAAGCCAAATGCAAGCAATAAATCCGGTGGCACTTTATATCGTATTAACTCCAGAGAGGAGTTAGAAGGCCTCAAGACAATCATGCCTATCGTGATATTGGAGGTTCGCTGTTTGGAGGGCAGACCAAAACCTGGAGGGGTCTAGATATGAGGATCAGAGGCTGAGAAAGGGTATTGGGGTAGGGAGTGACTCCAACTTTGCTTTCAGCCACCCTTCTCAGAGGACAGTGGGCAGACCAGCAAAACCATTCTGGAGGGAAAGCCAAAAAAATTAGGGTTCCAGGAAGGCTGAAAATGAAGGCGGCCTTTTCTAATAAAGTGAACAGGATCAAGAGGCTGCCAAATGCTGCTCACTCCAACCCCTTTTATTGGCAGTGAAGCAAGTCAAATACTTACTAGGAACACTAGCCCTTTCTTAGAAGCGACTCTTGTTGAAAAAAACATCCTGTGCTTTGCGAAGTGATTTGTCCCTGAAGAACTCTATGAGTAAAAGAGACTCTAGCTGTGACTTTGGCCAAGTCAGGTGGTCTTGCTACTGATGAGGGGGCTGAATCCTGAGCATTCTCTTTGATACGGAAAATAAAACGGACTAGGGGAGAAGGTATAGAATGTAACGCACTAGGGGTTTTTTGGAGGGAGGATAATCTCTGGGCAGTTCCCTACTCTTGAAACCTAGCCTGGAATGGGCTTTCACCTCTGTGCTATTTATACTAAAACTGAATTGGCCTTAGGGATGGGATGGAAAGTAATTAGGATTCCCTATTACCTGATGATTTTGAACCCAAACTATTCCCTTGTGGACACAAATGGGTATGGTGGAGTCAAATGCATTCCGTGAATTCTTCCCCTATTGTTTTAATCAAAGCACCGATTTTAGCACAGACTCATGTGCCAAACAAACTATTGAAAAACTACTGTGATACACATTTAATGAGATGATCTAAAGTGTTTCTGGGGGCTTGTCATGGGACTGCTGAGGTGGTCTCCAGGGATGCTTAGAGGAAGGATATGGGAAGTGAGACATGTGGGTTGAATTGCCCCACTCCTAATAAGGCTGATAAATTGAAAAACCAAGGTATAGAAGTGACCTTTTACGTTCTGGGGCAACTTTTCATCTGTGCTTAACGAGAGAAATGAAAATCGGATGGATTTCCACTGAAAATTTCATGTCACGATTTCATGTGAATGATCTAATATCTAGCTTTCCCCAGGAGCCAGTGAATTATATATCCAGCTGTGGAAACTGAAAACACCATGAGGCTGCTCATGTTAGGCACCTGCTGTAGAGAAAGACCTTTCGCATTTGGGAGGAGGGGCAGAAGGCTTGTTTGTAAAACAGCCTGGTGTGATGCTCTTTTCTGAGCATTTTTCTCTTGCTCTCTCTGCCTTGCCTGAGTTGTCTCTTCTCAGTGACTTTAGGAGACATACCTTTGGGCTATCTTCATAAATCTTTTGCTATGAATCAGGATTTAAATCATTAGGGTTTTCACTCATGCCATTTAGGATACTGAAAACAAGTGTGCACTTTTCAGACATTCTGTCTTACACCTGTAGGTCACAAGTCTTTCATGCCTATGGTATTTTGTTACAGTCTATATGGTTTACTGTTGCATCTCTCAATCCATTGAAGTCTATTCCCTAAAAACTTCTAGGCATGGAGTAAATGTCAATTACAAATGACCAGAATTTAACAACAAAAAATTTCTAGGCAGGAATGTTACAGCCCATCTTCAGTTCTGGAGGAAAGCTGGGATAGTTCATAAAATAATTCTGTCTGATTTGTTTCTATGAGAATCTGTGTTTAGGGTATTTTCAGGAGAGAGGAATACACTTACTTGCTCTAAGGCCACACATCTTAAACCGAGATACATCTACTCTGGGAGGTTTGCAGCTGGAGTTTTCAGCTGAACTTTTAAAAACTTTGTTTAAAATAAGTTGCTTTACATTGGAACTTAATATCCTCAGTGGATTGAGATCGACATTCTGGGAATTGAAATTGTGTCTGGAGAAGAGAAAGGAGCAATGTTGCATTTTGCAGTAGAGGCAGATGGGCTAGGCAGGGATGGGGGAAGTCTTCTGAAAGGAAAGCAGTGAACAGTTGGGGAGGGGTTCAGAAATGGAGCTAGGGGACCAACCACAGAAAGGGTGGCCTACTTTGGGATTTTTCTAGCTGCAGCATAAATCTAGTACATCTTTTTATATTGAAACTAAATACAGATATGAAATAGAGCTTCATCTGGCAATGGCCTCATGAGTGTTGGGCAAAGCTGCCTTCTTCTGAGGCTGTTTCCTTCAGGCACGGGCTTGGGCTCCTCTTCTCATTCCCTCAAGCCCCACTCTCTCAACTCAGGTGCCTTTGTCAGCTTGACATAAGATCCTTTAATAAACCTAATGGCAAACATCAACGGGAAGCAAAAAATCCAGATCTCAACTATGGCATGAATAGTTGCAAAAGATCTAACTAAAGCCACCCAGCCACAGTGTGGCTTCCTTTCTGCACAAGTATTCTTGCTTCCTAAAAAAGGACCAACCTGGCTGGGAACGCTGGCTCACGCCTGTAATACCAGCACTTTGGGAGCCTGACGTGGGTGAATCACGAGGTATGGAGTTCAAGACCAGCCTGGTCAAGATGTGAAAACCCGTCTCTACTAAAACTACAAAAATGAGCCAGGTATGGTGGCGGGCACCCGTAATCTCAGCTACTCGGGAGGCTGAGGCAGGGAATTGCTTGAACCCGGGAGGCGGAGCTTGCAGTGAGCCGAGATCGCGCCACTGCACTCCAACCTGGGAGACACAGCGAGACTCCGTCTCAAAAAAAAAAAAAAAAAAAAAAAAAGGACCATCCTATACCCCATTCTCAGCACGTCATTCAGGTACTGGACAGACCTTAGTCTTAAAACCAGCATGCCTGGAGTGGGCTCTTACCCTCTATGGGCCTCAGCTATGGGGGGAAGAAAAGAAAAAAAAAAAAAAAAGCGTTAAACTAGGGACTCACCAAGGGCCCTTCCAGCTCTAGCTCTCTTCAATTCTACATACAGCATTAAAGAATTTCAGGATATATCTCCCTGGCTTGTTGTTAGTCTCTTTTTACTTTCTCCAACTTTCCCTAAAGCAGGGAATAGCAAAGAATAGCAAAGAAACTTGGTGCTGATCTGCAGAGAGAGCCTCTCCTCAATCAGAGATTCTGAGCCAAGGGGTTTGTGTGACCTTTGGAACTCAACCACAAAGCCCTGGAAGAACTGGTTACCACCAGGACCCTAGAGAACAATCCCAATATAAGCCACACTTTCTCTTGTTGTTCTCCTATCTCCATTTTTGAACCTCTCCCCAACCTTTTACTGCCTTGCCATCTAAGTCTACTGTAAAAATACAACATTTCTCCTTTCTCCTCTCTGTCCCAGGCAAAATTTCTATTCCTAGGATGTTGATCTCAATCTGCTAAGAATATTATGTTCTAATGTAAAGCAACTCTTTTTAAACACAGAGCTCAACTCAAAACAATCTTCAGTGATCTACCAAAAAGGAAGATATTTTGAATAAGAGACTTCCTTCAGATGAAATCAGTATAATTAATTCAAATCCCATCCATCCTCTCTTTATATAATCAAACTTCACAGCAGGACAGAGATAATATGGGTTAGCCAAGAAGAGAAAAGTTTTCAGTCCTAGAAGAAAGAAGGTCTCTGCTATCACCTCATAATAGCTTTGGGGCTACTCCCTCCAAGATCATAGAGCTCGTCAGCATAAATCATAGAGGAGCTGTTTGCATGCAGCAGAGGGACCCAGAGTGCCACCTGGCATGGTCCAACCTAAGAACCTAGGTGAGAAGCATGGGAAGCCAGGGGTTGCCATGAGAATAAAGGTAAAGAGACACAGTTTGTCTAATTCTTGGGTTTGCTTGGGGTCAGCTCTGCGTGTCGAAATACCCCCTTCCACCAATTTTCTAGGCTTGGCTTGACTCCACTTACACTCCCGTAGATTTCAGCTATCATCCCTGCTTCCCTCTTGGGAGTTTTTTTTTTCCTCTTGGGAGTGTTATTTAGGCTGGGGAGAACTTAATGCAGTCATCATGTTGATTCATTTTCACAAATACTTATTAAATGTCTGCTTTTGCACAGCTCTGTGGAAGGGCCAGAGTGGTATATAATGCATGATCTCTGACTTAAAGGAACTTGAAAGTAACCTGTGCCCTAACTTTGTTACCGACAGGGAATGATTTTGGAGGTTCTGGGAGAAGCAATCTGTTAGGTTGGTGCAAATGCAATTGCTGTTTTTGTCATTAAAAGTAATGGCAAAAACTGCAATTACATTTGCACAAACCTGACACTCCTGACACCTGAGAGCCAACTGCCAATCATTCCAGGATACACTGTGTGCACTTTGCTTTCTCACTGCAATCTTCTTTAAGCATTCATCTATCTCTCAATTTCCATCTAATTGAAACTGTGGCAGCAGCATTAGCAGCTGGTGGTGGTGGAAGACCTCCTGATTCCAGAAATTTCCCAGGGTGGCCCCCTACAGTTTGGATCTGCTGAGGAGCATGTGGAAATTCAAAGGCATGCTCTCTTATGGAGAACAGTTTGTTGGCAAAACATTGCCCGTTTGCTGCACATCTGTAAACTGAAGTAGACCTGTCTTTCTCGACACATTAAAAACTGGTCAAAAGCTTCACTGGCTAATTAGGTTAGTGATATGGTTTAGCTGTGTCCCCACCCAAATTTCATCTTGAACTGTAGCCCCCATAATCCCCACATGTCATGGGAGGGACCCAGTGGGAGGTAACTGAATCACAGTGGCAGGTTTTTCCCGTGCTGTTGCCATGACAGTGAATAAGTCTCACCAGATCTGAGGGCTTTATAAAGGGCAGTTCCTCTGCATATGCCCTCTTGCCTATCGCCATGTAAGACATGGCTTTGCTCCTCCTTTGCCTTCTGCCATGATTATGAGGCCTCCCCAGCCATGTCGAAATGTGAATCTGTTAAACTTCTTTTTCTTTATAAATCACCCAGTCTCGGGTATTTCTTCACAGCCGTAGGAAAATGGACTAATACAATTAGTTGCAAAATTAGGTTAATCACCTTCTCATTGAATGTAACTTCATCACATATATATAAATGATATATAGTGTACTTCATATAAAAATGGTTATATATACATACACACATATATATATATATATATATATATATAATGGTTTGTGTACCTTCCCTGAGAATGTGGGCAACTGGAGAACTCTGGCCATGGGTGCAAAAGGGCCTCCCTTGCTGTTCCATGATGGTGCTCCCTCAGGCCCCTCTTCATCTCTCCTCTCCAGCCCCTCACCCTCTGCCTGGGCTCAGGCCCTCATCTTCTTTTTCTTAGATTACCTATTCCAACAGCCTCCAAGCCTGTCTGCTGCAAATCCAGTCTGTTTACAACTTACATCTGACCATGTTTCTCCCCTGCCTCAGAGCTCCCTGAGACTCCCCATTCCCCAGAAGAGAACATCTGAGAAGCCTTACAAAGTGCTGTCTGCCTCTTCAATATCACTTCTGCCAACCTGCTGCCTTGCAGATGGGCAAGAAGTCCCTCACACACCCCAAGCTGTTGCTCAGCTTTGTGGCTTTGCAACTGCTGTCACCTTTTGCCCTCTGCCTATGCTTCATTTGGTTAACCCTACTCATCCGTGAAGGCTCGGCCAGGGGACTTCCCTGGCTGATTGCTCCCAAAATATGCTGTGATGGATAGCACCATCAGTGTGCTTCCATGAGGTATCGTAACTAACTGTGCAATGGTTCTCTCCTCACCGAGGACTGTGAGATCCTAGAGAACAGGGAATGGGTATTAGTCATCACATCCCCAACATTAAGGACAGTGATTTTGCCCCCCAGGGGATATCTGGCCATGTCTGGAGACTTTTTGGTTGTCATAACTAGATGGGGGTACTACTAATACCAACTAAGTGGAGGCCAGGGATGCTGTTCAACAGCCTCCAATGCACAGGACAGCCTGCATAACCAAAAGTTATCTGGCCCCAAACCGTCAATAGAAATCTTAATCTAGGACAAAGACTACAAACTTAACGCTGCTTAATGAATGATAAAGTGAATATATTTTACTGAATGAAACTCTGCCCTTAAGTAAGGTCCACGTGACAATTGTTGGATCATGGGAAAGAATTCAAGTAAATGTACTCCTTCTTTAGAACAAGTAATGGCATAAGCCTAGTCTTTTATTGTGGATTTAAGTTTGGCTCCAGTTAACAAGGTATTTCACGTTATCAACTGAGCAACTAGGAATAATATACCGAAGGCTATTCTCTACATAGAGTAAGAATTTCTAGACTAAAATAAAGTCAGAATGTCAGAAATAAAACAGGTGTTAAAAATCATCCAACTTGAGCTACTGATTTTATAAATGAACACTCCAGGTCCTGCATGATAAAGTGACTCCCCAAGGTCACCTAGCTAGGAGTGACAGGGCCTGGGGCCAGTGAAAAGAGAGCTTGTGTTATGACTTCACCAGAAATGAATATGAGACTACTGGGTCCATCTCTGGGATCCTAACAGAGATTAGGTCAGGGCTGGGGGTTTGGGAGAGGAGAAGAGAGAAATAGAGATAGCTGGGAGGTAGGCTTTGTTACATGTCTTGGTTTCTTTCCTGAACAGTCGGACCTTTCCTCACATCTCATGGCTACTGAATTTGAGGACTGCCTAGTGCCAAAGTCTGTACCTTGATACCTTAGATCACACACAATTCAAACTTTTCCACCTTCTGGGGTCTCTCACTGGCAACACTATTAAAATTTTGGGCAAGACGATTCTTGTTTGCAGGACTGACTCTTTGGAATACCTGGCCTTTGCTCACTAAATATCTGTGGCATCTCCAGGCATGATTATTAGAAAACAAGCGAGGATATTTTCAAATGCCACCTAGGAGGGTGGTACTGCCTCATTTTCCTGTCCCTTCAATTGAGGATCACCAAAGACCAGTTGGCAGGGTTGCATTTGTGTTGAGCAAACTGCATCTTGGTCAGCACAAGAAAGCAATCAGAATGATGGATGAGAATGGTCTTAATGACCACCTTCACCAAAATGACCTGTGTTGTCTGTTAAAAATAAAATTCTCAGGCCCCACTCTCAGGGAGTAGGATGCAAGAATATACATTTTTAATAGTCTCGCCAGGTGATTCTCATGCACACTAAAAGTTTAGAACCTCTGCCTTAGCAGTAGCACTCAACCCTGGCTCATATGAGAATTAATGTTTAAAAATGCCATTGTTCAAGCCCTACTGTCAGAGATCCTCAGTTTCAACTACAGTGAAGCCCTAGCCTTGCATGTTTTAAAACCTGCCTAGGTAATTCTAATATTCATCTAAAGCTAAGAAACACTACCATTATGAAATCTTGCTAGTTAAGAGGAAACCACAAATTAATCCCCTCACTTTCGGGTTAAATGCAAGAAACTTAATGTTTTCAACCTTGGCTGCACCCTTAGTGAGATTTCTAAAATCGCAGTGCCACACCCCATGCCATTGATATCAGAATCTTCTGAACTAGGACCCAGGCTTCAGTGTTTTTTAAAGCTCCCAGTTGACTCTAATGTGCAGCCAAGCTTGAGAACCATGGATTCAGAATATTTTCCTAAATTCTCCCATAAACCTCTGCTCTTGGCTTTTAGCTTTCCTCCTATCCCCTAGTTCAAAAGTTTGAGGTTGTGGGGGTCAGGGCAAGAATAATAAAGGGAGAAAGGACAAGATTCAATCCAATCCAGTTCTTTTCTCCACTTAATCCCTGGCTACCACTGACTCGGCACTCTGGGAGTAAAGAGCAGTGGAGAAAGCTCTAGACCTATTGGTGTATATTTCCAAGAGGAAGATCCTTGGACCAGCATCAAGTTGGCTTTTTATCTTGATTCTTCCCTGAGGTTTCTAAATATTGTTCCAGCATAGGAATTTCAGCTTTTATTCTTTTCCAACTTTTCATTTATATGGCATGCATGGGTCACAGAAGCAATGGAAAGTTGGAAACCATTGCCTTCTAATTAGCAGATGTCTCAGTGGCTAACATTATTTGCCAGTAGCAGTGCCAGCGCAGCGCTGGGAAAGTTAATTACTGTCGACAGTCCTCGAGCCTGTTTTCATAACTGGTAATGACTGTTAATATGTCACCACTGAAGTTAGAGATTCAGAAAAGTCTTTTGTCCTAGGACTATTAAATGTCATGGAAGAATAACCCCCAAATTTGCCTTTGGGTAGATAAAGTTCAATGGGACTGGCTGGGCGCGGTGGCTCACGTCTGTAATCTCAGCACTTTGGGAGGCCAAGGTGGGTGGGTCACGAGGTCAGGAGTTCAAGACCAGCATGGTGAAACCCCAGCTCTACTAAAAATACAAAAAAAATTAGCGGGGCACGGGGGCGCATGTCTGTAATCCCACCTACTTGGGAGGCTGAGGCAGGAGAATCGCTTGAACCCAGGAGGCAGAGGTTGCAGTGAGCCAAGATCGTGCCGTTGCACTCCAGCCTGGGCAACAGAACAAGACTCCAACTCAACAACAACAATAAAAAAGTTCACTGTGACCTTTTTAAAAGAAATGTTAAATCTGACCCCAGTTGCTAAAGGCAGAAGAATAACACGAGATTTGAGACCAAGCCAGTTCCTGTTTGACTATTTTGACCCCATTTATAGTCATGTCAAATGTCCCCCATTTCTGCTGGCTCCAGCCCCATCTTGTTGCTGCTTCCTTGAGATGTGAGGAACAATCATTCTTTCTTCTGTTCTAGGCCAGGTCCCAGATGCTGACAATAAAACTGTCTAAGTCTGGAGTGTTATGGCTCCTAGTGTTAGGTTCTTTCAACACACACCACACACACATGTTTTATGTAAGGTGCATCATTTGCAATGGGCTGGTGGACCCTGATATCGAGTTGGGGGTCACCAGTACATGTTCCCCTTCCCTAATGGTCAGTAGTCCTGCCCTGCCACATGGCCTTAGTTAGGACCAGATTTGACCATCAGATAGTTAAATAAATCAGAACTGCAAATCCATCAAGATCCTTTCTCCTTATGTGAGCTTATGTCTGCAAATAGATATGTGGTGAGGATGGGGGGAAGAACACAGCCTGACAACATACAACAATAGCATCCATGCCTCAAATCAAAAATGCCCTCCAGTGGGTGGATACTTGCCTGAAAACTGCAAGCCCCAAAAGAACCACTCAAATAGTTCTACCCAGATTTCCAGACATTTCCCAAGTGAAACAGCCTCTTAGAACTTAAAATGGGAACGTCAGAGACATTAATATCTCATTCCTACCACCTACCGCTTAATCAGTGTGTTGCTAAGCCCCTTACATATGAAATCTTTCTCAGTCTTCACACAACCCACAGAGGGGGACAAGATATCACCATCCGTACTTAACAGAGGAAGAAATGCGCTGAAGATTACACAATTAGGACGTGTAAGGATATGATTCAGGGTGTGTCTGGATTCAGAACTGCACACTGCACCTGCTGTGCTTTATTGCATTAGCTGCTGCTGCTGCTCTGACCTGGGCTGACGTTGCAGTGAGTCTGGAGAAACCCTTTGCCATGTTTCTGTGTTTTCATCACAGTTTCTGTCACTACTTTCTTGACCTTATCACTCTTACAGTCCTGGTCCTATTCTGTCTGTGATGGGAGAGACCTTTGCCAACCAGCCTCTCTGCTCATTAATTAGATCTCAAACATGGTGTCTTTGTGTTCTAGTCTTTCTATGGTGCCCTTGTATTATGAACATAAAAGTTAAGCTTCCAGATCTCTCACAGGTACCCCATTTTCTCCTCCCTGTGCTTCTCTGAACTTGTTTCCCTAACCACAAACAGAACAAGTTCTCTAGAGGTTGAGTCAGAAGAATTTTTGTGGTAAAGAAGACATTGAAAGGGGGTTGGTCTACTAAATGTCTTGTGTTAGGGTTCTCCAGAGAAACAGAGAAATATATATATATTTCTATATATATGTATATATATTTTTTATATGTGTGTGTATATATATATGTGTGTGTGTGTATATATATATATATGGAGATTGTTATGTGAATTAACTCATGCAATTACAGAAGCCAAGAAGTCCCACAATATGCCACTGCAAGCTGGAGACCCAGGATAGGTGTCATTCCGTTAGAGTCCTAAGGCCTGAGAACTGTCATGGGAAGACTTTGGATTCAGCCATGACTCAAGTGTACCAGTGGACTTTTCAGTTACATGAGAAAATGCATTGTCTTTCTCTTTAAGCAGTTGGGTTCATTTTCTGTCACTTGGAGGTGAAGGTTCCTAAAGACTACAGCATTCTTCCCATGGATCATTGGATGGCCTCATGCAAAAGTGTTGCCCGGACACTGTGTGGGACAGATGAACCCAAAAGCATTTCTTCCCTAATATGCACCCCAACACCCAGAATCTCATCTATGCATGAGAAACAGCTTTGTAAATAGTAAACTAGGTGTCAACATAAAGTCACATTCCTATAACTCAGTGTGAATTGACCTTCTTGATATGAGAGCTGAGTGAAGACAGAGAATGTATGAGGCTTTGGGTACAGGTTCCTGAGGCGTGCTCAAATGTACGTTAAGAGAAAAGACTGGAATAGGGAATGAGAGAAGGAATTGATGGATGTTAAAATGAACATATTAATTTTGCCTGTGGGCATGTTTCCATTAATTGGCTTTTGGATCTGAACCAAGAATAGCAGAATTGAAAACCTAATAAAAACCAAACCCATGAAGAGAAGAAAAATTTTCATAATAGCCCAAGTGAGAGTAATGACGTGAGCTAATCCAATTTGAAGTATAAACAAAGAAATTTCTTCACGCAAAGAGACTGACTTATTTTGTTTCAGAACTAAATACCACGCAGTAGAGGTTAGGTCAGGGAATCTGGCCTAAATATATGGGGGGGTCAGGGAGATGGAGGTTAGTCATTCCATTGGAGGACAGAAGAAAAAGGAACAAGAAGTTCTTTTATAGTGACTGACCATAAAGTTTTGAAAAAAGAGGTATTCAAATAGCACTTTAATCCACACTGCATGTTATGAGAGGCTATGGGGAGATGTACAATTTAAAAGCTCACTAAAAAATGGCAAATTAAATTTCATTTTCTACTTACGGTTGATAGACGTGACTTTTCAAGGTCAGGCATATTAATTGGCTTTCAGATATTAAGCACTGTAGAAAGAGGGGACATATTTAAACTTTCCTTTAAAATAGTGGTTTCCATCATTTTTCATGTTATTATACACAAAGAAAGTGACAATTTTACGGCACTACGGTAAATAGACTAGGTCATTTGAGGCAGAGATTGCTGGCCTGGGCCACCCCAGGTCCACCTAGGCTCCCCAAAGACTGAGGAATACCTATTTTGTATACAAGTGAGCTGCATCCACTAGTTAAGAAGCCAAATCAAAGACTGTCTATGAGGCAAAACATATACTGCAGCCATTTGGGGGAAAGAACAAAGCACTGAACTAGAGGGCAAAGACCAACATTTTGGTTCTAGCTCTGCCAAGTGTAGGACATTGGACTAGGCACTTAACTGCAGTAAGCCTCAGTCTGCTTGTGTACAAAACAGAGTAAAAGATTTCTTGCATTTCCTACTTTACAAGGTCAACATGAGGATCAAGAATACCATGTTCATAAACATCATGTACAACCATAGAGTCCTATAGAAATGTGTGGCCTGATGATGATAATGAGTATGACATTTTTCTTCCTAGTCCTACCTCCATTTAGACCACCCTTCCTTTCAAGAGTCCCCTGCAATGGACAGGAGTTGACACCAAGGAGAACAATACAGCTGCTAAATCTCAAGTGGCTAGGAGCACAGAGTGTGGGAAGCTATTCTGCAGCTGTGTTTTTGAGTTGGGCCAAAGAGCTAGTGGGGTTTTGGCTTCCCAAGTACCTTTGTTGAAACTCCCTGGGGAATTTTGCTTTATGAAATTTCCAGCAATTGGAGATCCCACTGGGTTGGTGAATAGAAGCCTAAAGGGCTCCCTGTTGGATGAAAAAATGTGTTTGAAGTCTGCTGGGAAGAGCTGTAGGAGGGAGCTGAGGGTTCTTCCATGACTCCTACTGTGCATTGACAGAAGCTGTCCCTACCACTGTTGATTGCCAATTATTTTTGTCTCCAGAGCCAAAGAAAATATATTTGAATTTGACCCATCTTTCACTAGGATCTACAGATGGTGAAATATTAATGAACAGGTGGGTTGCACAATATTCCAAGATTGCGTTAGAATTGATTTTTGTAGGCTAAATTATTAACACCAGAGTTGCTGACATATATTCTCATATGATTAGCAAACCCAGAAGCCTTAATATCAACACAGAATACATTCAGAACCATCAAACACAACATCTACTTTGCTGGGAACAGAATACTAGGTAAAGGAATTGAGATCTCACACAACACTCCTCTGAAAATAGGGACAGCTAATTTTGTAATGGATTGCCAGCAAAAGCTGTGACAATGCCTACTCTGGAAGTCTCTAAATTTCTTTTCAACCTGAGAAGGGTGTTCCATGATATTTACTGGAGTAAGAAGTGATGGAGGAGGTAGAATAGTTCTGGAAGTCAGGTCTCTAAATAGAACAAATCTTGGGATCCTCCAAGTTTCAGTCTATGCATGGAATTATGTTTAAAGAGGCAATATCTAGTAGCTAAATAATAGCTAAAATTGTTCCAATCATGACTTGCACCTCTCAAAGATCATTATTCAAGTAATGCTTCTATCCTTTCCTCCAGCTCAGTGTTTCCTGAACTTCCCCTGCACTGATGCTCTTGCTTACCTAAGCCTCTTCTTCAGCCTCTTCTCCATCCCTGGACAATTCAATGCACTGCATGGACCTTGCTTAGATTCTGATTTGAGCAAACCAACTTTTCTTCTTCTCCTTCTCCTTCCTCCTGCCTCCTTCCTTCTTCTTTCAGATAGCATCTCTCTCTGTTGCCCAGGCTGAATGGAGTGGTGCAATGACAACTCACTGCAGCCTCAACCTCCTGGGCTCAAGTGATTCTCCCACGTCAACCTCCCCCAGTAGCTTGTACTACAGGCACTCAACACCGTGCCTGGCTAATTTTTGTATTTTTTGTAGAGACGGAGTTTCACCATGTTGCCTGGGCTGGTCTCAAACTTCTGAGCTCAAAAGTGATCTGCCTGCCTCGGCCTCCCAAAGTGCTGGGATTACAGGCATGAGCCACCACACCTGGCCTCAAACCATCGTCAATGCAACACTTTGAAGACAATGAGGGAAATCTGAATTTGGATAGTGTATTAGATGATACCAATAACATATTATTAGTTTTGATAGGTGTGATTAATGGTATTGTGTTTATGTAAGAAAACACCACTATTTTTAGCAATCAACACTTAGATACAGAAAGCTAAAATGACACAATTCTGGGATTCGGTTATCATACATCAGCCAAAATAAAGGAGGAAGGAAGGAAAAATGTACAGAAGTAAAAGTAGGAAAATACTGATAATTCTGGAATTTAAGTGATTGATGTTTGAAGTCCAGTACTATATTCTCTATTTTTGTGTATGGTTGAAATTTTTCCTATTTCCTGGGAAAATTTTCCTTGAAAAACTTTTTAAAGAATTTTAAAACTTCTTTTCAAAAGAGAAAAAGAAGGACTGGGGTGGTGGATCATGCCTGTAATCCCAACACTTTGGGAGGCCAAGGCAGGCAGATCACTTGAGGCCAGGAGTTCGAGACCAGCCTGGCCAACATGGTGAAACCCCATCTCTATTAAAAATGCAAAAATTATCCAGGCAAGTTTCCACACACCTGAAGTCCCAGAGAATCTCTTGAACCCAGGAGCCGGAGGTTGCAATGAGCTGAGATGGCGCCACTGCACTCCAGCCTGGGTGACAGAGCGAGAACTTGTCTCAAAAAAAAAAAAAAAAAAAGGGAGAAAGAGAAAAGCAAATGCAAATATCTTCAAACGTCATAAGAAAAGGCAAAAGTGAATCCGATAAATATATTTTAAAACAATAATAAAAGAGGCATTTTGCTGACAGATAAATTCATGAAACAAGACTGACTTTTTTGAATGCCATTCATAGAACTGCCAGGTCAGCTGTGTAGTGTGAGGTATATTTCAATGCAAAATACTGAAATTATAAAAACAGGATTATGCACACAAATGTTTCAAGCCTTTATAATTTTTTTAAGTCCAAATGGCATAGGTCCATTTATAAAATATTTTCTGAATTTATATTATGATTTAAACTAGCAATATCCTATTAATTAACTTATTTAAAATTCATAAGGAGACAAGTTATTTAAAAAAAAAAAACACTCTTGAACTGAGTAAAAAATAGCACGAAGTGAGGTTCAGCTCTGGGGAGAAGGGAAGTTGTGCTAAAACTTTTCAAAATGGAATTTAACCTCAGACTTTTAAAGCATCACTTTCTTTAAGGATTCACGGCTTTCCTCCCACACTGGTCTGGGGCCAGTGTCTGGAGTAAAGTATTGCTACTCCTAAATGAGATTTTAGAAAGTAGCATAGTTTCTGAAAGGAGCAGCCACTGGAAACCAAAAACTTTCTCAGGGTACTCAAACGGTTTGAAGAGAACTGATATTTGAAAACGGAAATCCTTCCATTTGTGACAACATGGACAAACCTGGAGAACATTATGCTAAGTGAGATAAACCAGTCACAGCAAGACAAATACTGCCTGATCTTTTGTATATGTGGAATCTAAAATAGTTACTCTCCTAGAAGCAGAGAGTAGAATGGTGGTTGTCAGGGCTGGGGTATACAGGAAATGAGGAGATGTTGGTCAAAGGGTACAAAGCTTCAGCCATGCAAGAGGAGTTAGTTCTGGAGACCTAATATACAGCATAGTAACGACAGTTAACAATACCGTATTGTAGACTTGAAATTTGCTACAAGGGTAGATCTTAAGTGTTCTCACCACAAAAGAAAAGAGGCAGCTATGTGAGGTGATGGGTAAGTCAACTAGTTTGATTGTGGTGATCATTTTCCAATGTATACATATATCAAAACATCAAGTCATATACCTTAAATACATGCAATTTCTATTTGTCAGTTATGCCCCAATAAAGCTGAAATTTTTTTTTTAAATGAGAACTGATGTTTGCATCCAGTTGCTGCTAAAGGCACAAATTTTCTTTAAAAACTATTGAATGATTTTCCAGCTCTTACAGACATACTGGGAAGAAAAAAGTTAAAAACTATTTGAGAAATTTGGATTGAACTACCTCATCCTGTATGAGGTAAGGCCAATGTGCAATCTTGCATTGCTAATCACTCAAGCAGAGTGCTCAGAAGCTGGGAAACAGGCTGCGGTTAAGAACATTGCTTAAGGAAGAATAATTAGATCCTTTCCGTGTCTCATAGCCACAATTTTTTTCCAGCTTTGGCTGTTGTTTGAGCAAGACCTTGTGTATCAAACATTGATCTAGCCAAGTGGCTTAGTGGAGAATTTGCTCAAATTGGTTTTTTAGTATCTTGTTGGCAGGAGGGGAAATGACTGCTTGAACGTTTCAGCCTTAATGCTGACATGTGGTGACTTGAAGCCAGGTGAATGAAGGTTCCTCCAGCTAGAGAGGTAAGATGAACATGCCGGACCAGGAAGAAAGCAGGTCATCATGTTAGACAGGTGCAATTATGTGCAGAGACTATAAAAGAAGAGAAAAAGACATTTAGTCATCAGAGAGCAGCCATTCAAGTAAGACCTTGAAGGAAAGGGAGGGTGAATCAAACAGAAAATATAATGTAAGCAAACGCACAGAGGCTATACTGTGGAGAGGATGTGGGGAAGAGGGAAGTGGTCCATTTGACTGGAACAGAGGGTAAATTTAAGGCAGTAGGAGGTCATAAGACTTATGGAAAATTTGGAATGCCAAAATGGGACTGTTATGTGTTAGGTTGATACTGGGTGGGGGCACTGAGGATTTTTAAAACGTGATCAGGGCTGCCTTGTTGAAGGTAAACCTAGCGGTGGTAAGTCAAATGAAATGGAGTCATGAGAGAACAGGTGGTACTAATCACTACCAGTACTGAGTGCTTTGCAGATGCTACTTCATATACATAATCTGATTTAATTCTGATAGCAAGAACCGTTATTAGCCCACTTTACAGATGATAAAATTGAGGCTTAGGGTGATTAAACAACTTGCTCAAATTCACACAGCTAAAGCAGAAGAGGCAGTGTTTTAATCTAGACACAGGTACCTGCCCTTAATCACTATGCTTGACAGCTTCTTAAGCTAGAATGGGTGGTAGGTGACCGGGGTCTGAATTAGGAATTTGGAGGTAGTAATGGAAAAGAGGGATCAAATTCTTAGAGGTAGGATAGGCAAGACTTCACCAACAGGAGCCTACGGAGGTCTGTGATTTGGTGGCTGCGTGAAAAAGAAGAATGATACTGTTACTAACCTAAATAAAGAAACCAGAAGAAAGACTTGGCATCGATTAAAAGATTATTAATATGGTTTTAGTTATATTGACTTTGAAATGCCATGAGTAGATCCAGTGAAAATGTCCATCCAGCCATCGGAAATGTAGTTTGGTTGCTAAAGAGGGGAGATGGAGCTAGAAAGAGAAGCTGAGGCATCACGTGCAAGCAATAGAGGGGCAAATACGCAAGGGAGGGTGGCAGAAGAAAATCATCCCAGGTGTTTCTTTTCTTCTTACTCAGCTCGGAATAGAGATGACTTCTGAGTTTTTATCTACTCCCATTCAGGAATGAAATGGAGAAATGTAGGTCAAAATTTTACAAAATGGTCATGTAGAATAATTCTCTGACTTCCCATCTCTGGGAGGAAGAGAGGCAGCTTTAGTAGAAGTGTGAAGATTCTAAGCAAAATTTAAGTAAAATTATTAATTTTTTTAGAGATGGAGTCTTGCTATGTTCCCCGGGCTGAATTCAAACTCTGGGCTCATGAGATCCTCTCACCTCAGCCAAGTATCTGGAACTGCAGGTGTGCCTCACCACTCCTGGCTGTCTAACTAAAATTATGAAGGGCAACCCATTATCTCTTTACTTTCTCTTGCCCCAGAATAAGACAAGAATGCCGAGGCCTGGTCAGTATCCCAGGGTACCACCGCCAGTGCTGGCCAGAGCAGGCTCTGAGAGGCTAACACAGGCCACAGAGCCTAGGGCCTTGTTTTGGAGGGTGAGGTGAGGCTTAAAGCTGGTAGGATAGGCGCCCTCTGAGATTCGCCATCTGAGAAGTCAGTCAGTTCTTTATTAAACCATTCTAAACAACAGAAAGTGCAGTGGGTGGGCAAGATTCCACTGCTGAATTCTTCAGCAGGCCCTGCAAATGAATGACATGGTGTCAATGGGAGGGAAAGTGAAGCAATAAACACAGATGGTGTTTGTGCAATCTCATCTGGGTCAAGGAAATCACCTCATCACTCTTCTTTGATGGGCAGATTCCTATCTCTTAGTTTACCATTTTCCTTACTAATTCCCTCAGCTCCATCCAATGTGCATTCTTGTGTCAAATTGCATGTTCATGAGTATATTACATGTTCCTGTTGTGAGTATGCAGGGGTTACCATGGGATGACCCCTGTGCTATGAACTTGGAACCTCAAGAAATTAGATTGCCTTTTAAGAATGAATCAGAGAAGAAATACAGGAAACCACTTTAAATAACAAATGTGTTCCTAGGATAGCAAGATTTGACTGGACCCTGACTGACGAGATTACTATACCTAAAGAAAGAACGCATTCGTGAGAAGGAGAGTTCTGCTCAGTTATGAACAAAGCAACTGCATTCAATAAATATTTGTTGAGTACCTACTGTGTTCCAGCAGAGAGCTCGCATTCTAGCTGGGGAGACAGAAAACAAATAAGTGCATTTATAATTGGATGTCTGCTTGTGATATGTGTGTATCCCAGGCAGAGGGTCCACAGAACAAACAACAGCATCTAGTGTGGCTCGGAGATGTGCTCACTCAAGTTCTATGCCAGATTTGAGAAGCCTGCTTGACTCTAACATCCCAAATCTGCATTTCCAGCACTTGGGTGACATTTTGACCTACCTAATAGCTCTCGGGTTGATTTCTCCTGTGTGACTTTCATGAAGACATACATAGAGGAAAAAAAGCACATATCAAAAGTACTCAGGTCAATGAATTTTCCAAAGTGAGCACACCTATGTAGCCAGCACCCCAAATCCCTCCTTATAGCCCCTTTTACCACCCTTACCACTGAAATGTAACCACTATCCTGAGACCAGCACCATAGGTTTGTTTTGCCTTTTTCTGAACTTTATATAGATGGAAATATACAGTTCATACTCAATACATGCTGCATAGATTCTTTGATTCAATATTACATCTGTGGGATATATTCATGTTGTTGTTTGTATTGGTGTTTTGTTCTTTTTTCATTGTCAGATTTCATGGTATCACTACATCACAGTGTATTTTATTTAAATGGACATCAGGGTTATTTCCACTATGCCACTATTCTTTTAACAAACTATTTTTCTGCAGGAATCTGTTAGAAGTGGCTTCTGATGTTTGCAACTAAGAATCCTGCCTGATCCACATTTGTTTTAATTCTAAATTTGTATTGGGTTACCTAGGTTTTGTATTGATTAAGAAATCAAGTGAAAATTTCGGGGTTTTTGTAGAAATTCTTCTTTTTAAACTACGCTTTTGAAGACATAGACATATTTTTCATGAGCTATTTGCCAACGAAGATCTGCTTACTCTGTTTCAACAGTGAAGCCTAATGATAAAAAATAACATTCCATGTAGATAAAAGCTGTGACTTCCCAGCTTAAATACAGCACTTTCTGGAACTACAGCTATAACTTGTGTTCTCTTAGGTTGCTAAACAAGTTGGTTAGGAGCTTTTCTCCTCAGGGTTCAACCACATGACTGCTTCTGGGCAGTTCGAGTGGTTTTCATCCTCATTGCACAATAGCAGAGGTTTTGAGGTTGTGTTTTTCTCCACATTGCCCATTTCCCTGGCGGCCACTCTCAGGAGCTGTGAAGAGCTCAATTTAAAGACAGTCATATCAGTTATTCATCAATTACTGGGATCTTTTCATTTTTTAAGCATATCATATCAACACCCCTTTTGTAGGACTATAGCCTGTCTGAGCGGGGCTGTAGGAGAGAAGGGTATACCTCTCTGTCATTACATCATTTTCTTCTTTGTCCGGGCCATATCAATTGCCAATGCCTCATTCAAGGCCTGACTTTTGAGCAATGAGATGGACCAGCCAGCAGTCATTCCTCTCAGTGACTCAAGGAGACTGACATTTGTAATAACAAGGAGTTACTGAGCACTTGGTATGTATGCCAAGATTCTTAGTATGGACACCAGGGATCTGCAGAGCAAGCATGTCCATTTCATTAAAACCAATCTCTCCACTCGTGCTCTGGATACCATCCCCTTGTCCTTCCCAAAGACTTTCCTCCTGCAATAAACCCTTCTCTCCCTAACATGATCAATTTCTCTCTCCCTCCTGGATCATTTCCATGAGAAGGCAGATGTGTTCTGGTGCCTACTTTCCAAAAAAAAACATTCTCTCACATCATTGCTCCCTCCAGACACAATCCTATTTCTCAACTCTTTCACAGCATGCCTTCCTGCAAAGAATTGTCTGTAGTCACTGCTCCACTTCCTCACCTCCTTTTCTTAGCTCAGCCAACTCTGGTTAACTTCCTTCTCTCCATGCCCCTGAATCTGTTCATTTCAAGGTCATGAATAACCTCTTTTGCCAAACGCAGTGGCCACCACTGTGTCTTCATCTTATTCAACTTTCGAAAATATTTGACATAGTTGATCACTTCCTCATTCTTAAAGCTGTCTCCTCTCCCAGTTTCCATGACACCACTTTCTCCCCTTTTCCTCTGACCTCACTGGCTGCATTGTCTCAGGCCTTTTTGCTCGTTTCTCTTTCTCTGATCTCTCCTGGAATGACTCCAGGCTCTGTCCCAGATCTTCTTGTACTGTCCATCTATAAGCTCTTTGTAAGTGACTCATTCAGTCTCATGTCTCTAAATACCATCTACATACCGATGGCTCTCAAAATTAAAATTTCTGATCTTGATTTATCTGACCTATCCCCTAAGGTCAAGTTCTTATATCCTACTGACTTCTCTATATCACTACATGGGTGTCTAAGAAGTTTCTCAAATGTAGTATAGACAAAGGTCTTGGTTTCCCAATGTCCATCTTTGCCTCTCTCTGTTCTCCCTAGTAAACAGCAGCAATTTTCACCCATTGAAGGCAAACATTTAGAAGTCATCCTTAAGTTCTCTCTCCCTCACTTTCCCAAACGAATCATCGGCAAGTCCCGTTGGCAACAGTTTCATGTCAAGAGTTAATTTTAAGAATCTTTTATTCAATTTAAACTGACAATTTTTAAAAGTTTGGAAAGTGGGAGAGAAAACACCCATGTTTTCTCATAATCTTCATAATTATCATTTTAATAGCACATGCTGTATCATTGAGTAGACATATCCTAATTTACTTTACAGTCCCCCTAATGTTGTATCTTTGGAGTCTTCTCACATTTTATTTCTATAAACAATTTTCAATGAATGTCTGCATGCCTATATAGATGTTTTATTTTTGTTTTTAAAGTAGAGAAGCTGATTTTTGCTGTTGTTTTTGTTGCTGTATAAAAGATCACTGAGTGATTGCCTTAGTTATGCAACAATAGAGAAATAAGTGTCTATTATTCTGGTGTTCAGGTAAAGTAGAATTCTATCAAAATTGTCACAAAATTGTCTTTGATGAGAGCCATCATAGTGCAAAGTTGATGACTAAAAGGAGATGGTTAAGTTGTCTAAAGAGCAAGGCCATAGGAGAGAAGAAACTAATATTCAAAGCTTCCTCCCACAGTTCAAAGTTAGAGAAACCTGAGAGGGGTGTACTGGTATGACCACCCGAGATCCCATCGCTGAGAAAGATAATGGCCCTGGAGACAAAGACTGATGAAGAAAGACAGTATCCAGCTGTGATGCAGATGAAACATGCGGCATGGTTGCACTCACTATGCAGCCAAGGCTGGAAGCCACTCTGGATCCAGCCACTCTGGCACAGCGTTCTTGCTCTAGGAAGAACAACTGAACATGGCCACACAGGCCTCACAGCTGGCATATGGAGGCTGTTAATAAGCTGAGCTTGAGGCTTCAAAGGACTCTTGTAGCCTGTGCTGGATCTAGCAGTGACCAGTATGCCAGTGGCCATGGATGCCCAGGCCCATGTTCAGTAGTGAAGCAGGTGCTAGCAGCAGAAGCAATAGAAATGGAAACTGGGAGATCTGCTGTGGATGAATCTCATTATCTTCTTTCTCTGACCCTCTTTGGACTAAATAAACTCCCAGTATTCTTGACCAACAGAGGTAGGGTTGGAACAGAACCTCAAAAGTCATCATTAGACTTCCTACTAATAGGGCATTGGAAGTTCAAGCGACTAACTAGGAAACAGGTTAGTATTTGTACCCCTACACTGTGCAACAGATTACATACCATTTGCTCTATTTGGCATCCTTTCCTTAGGCTAGATTCCCAGAAGAAAGATTACTGATTCGAAGGGCATGAACATTTTTATGACTCTTGGCCTAAATTACTAGGCCAAGGTTTTTTCAAAGGGATGCACTAATTTTCACTATTTCCCCACACCCTTTCAGGTGATAAATAATTGACTTGATTTGTTTACACTGACGCCAAGAATTCTTGGGAAGAAGGATCAAAGTGAAAAGTGGTAGCCCATGGTGGGGAGGCCACACTCAGTGCAGTTGTGAAGTCAGCAGCATTTTTAAGCCCATTCATTGCCAGTAGCCCTGAGATGAGCATTCCCAAGCTGCTTCCCAGGTCCCTCCTCCACTCTCTCAGGGACATCCATTCTGTACCAGCCCCCTCAGATACTCATGCCCTTGCCCTCCCTTCTCCATGCTCATTAAAACCAGCTTAAGAGCAGATATGACATCAGTCACTTACCTTTTCGTGTGGCTCTAAATCAAAGTGTCACCTCTCCCAAGCACATGCTTGCATCTTAGCTCTGATTGAGGAATGAAAAGCTTTGTTCTCTGTTAAAAGAACTTTGAGCTTAGATGCCCCAGACTGAGAAATCCACCAAAAGCTGGACCTTTGACTTGAGCGGCAAAGGACCCCCATAGTCAGGCTGTGATTTGAGGAGCATCAAGAGGCCAGAGTTTCCAAGTTGGGACCCAGAAGGTGGGGTTGGCAGGGGGAGGGTAGGAGCAGCTGGAGACTCTGCTCTACCAGGGGAATACGGAGGTGGGGACCAATCCCAGGGTAAGGAATGAAAGTAGGAGCCCCAGAAGCTGAAAACATACTTCACCGATGTCAGCATTTTACCCAGAGCCATTCCAAGGTGACCATAACTCACTTAAAAGCCTGAAAGCTGTTTTATGCCAACTAATAAAGTGCAGTTTAATAAAAAAGTTGTCAATCATTTTTATATAAAATGTATTTGGGGCATGAATGGTTTTGATCTTTTATAAAGTCAAAAGCTTTTAGTGCTGCTCATGGTTATAATCACTGCGTGAGCCTGGGCAAGCCTCACAACCTTGCTGGCCTTGACTTTCTTATTTATGAGCTATAGACAATTACACCCAGCCTGCTGCCTGGAGGGCTGGGGAGAGTGGTGAATTGAGTGTTCAAGTTGAAAGTAAGAGGTGGTCTTCAGCGGTTGACTCCAAGCATTACTTATGATCAAGGTCTAATTTCTAAGAGTCCAAAATTAAATAACAGGTAGAATTGAATGCCTTGAGCTTGTCTAGTGATATGGAAGTGTAGCTAATAGCCTACAGCCTAACCGTGTAAGATACAACTGGAATATAATACAAACCCCATGGAGAGTAAAGGACAAAGAGAAATTAAAGTAAGAGGCAGGAAATAATAAAACGATATTTAATTTGGACATGTGCCCCCAACGCATCTGTAGAAAAATCAACAAAGCATAAATACCAATGGGAAAACCTAGCCATAATTACTCTAAAAGATATAGAGACAGGAAATTGGATAGGAGTTTGCAGTGTTGTTTTGGGCTGCAGGGATGCCCCTGTGTGCCTGCAAAGGGAAATGAGAGTTTATCTCTGAATAATCAGATGGAATTGTACATCAAATAAGGGTAAAATTGGTCATAGTCATCTCATGATTGCAGTGGTTTCTATGTTCTCCAGGTCAGTCCACCATCATTGAGGAGACGTGGGTGCGGAGAAAGGGGTCAGGTATGTGGTCAGACATCTCTGTGGGATCTCTGCTGCTAACTAGCTATGCCACATTAAGTATGTTTTAACTTGTCTGACCCTCCAGTTTAGCTCAACAAAATAGAAGAAAATCTCCCTTTCAAGGCTGTTGGAAGGACTACAGATGAAAAGTATATAAAGTTCCCAGCAGATGGAAAATATCAAATAAATGTCAGCTAGTAGCAGCAGCAGGAGCAAAGATGAAGGCCGACTCCTGAGTTTTCAGACTCCACAGATCCCAGAATCCTTCTCTGCTCTGAGTTCTGAGTCCCACAGTTCTGATGCATCCACCTGTGCACCTCACCGGCAATCAGTGGGAGCCTGGGAATGGTTAACTAAGAGGGGCTTGAGAAGGCAATGAGAGAGGAGCACAAGGAGGTAACCAGCCACTCCACTGAAGCTGTGTTTAGGTGGTGGATATGATCTGCCAGCGGCCCCTCAGCCAAAACCACCAATACAAATCCATGTAGACAGTTTCTTAAACAAACTTAGTAAAATCAAATCTAGAATATCTCCCCCTTTCAAACAATGCATTTTCCCAGTGCCAAAGTACAGCACTTTCTTAGCATCTTCCTTCTACAAATGATGGCGCGATGCAGTTTAAACACATACCTTGCCAATTCTTTTTAAAATGTAGGCTTATATGATAATTTTAATCACATGCTTTCCCAATTATTACATGTGTATGTTTATATGGTAATGTTAACCACATGCTTTGCTACATGCTTGCTGTGAGTGATGTTTTATTTTATTTTTAGAGACAGGGTCTCAATCTGTCACCCAGGCTGGAGTGCAATGGTGATCATAGCTCACTGCAGCCTCGAATTCCTGGGCTCAAGTGACCCTCCCACCTCAGCCTCCCAAGTAGCTGGGGCTCCAGGTGCACAACCACATGTTGCTGATTTTTAAATTTTTTGTAGGGATGGGGGTCTCACTGTGTTCCCCAGGTTGGTCTTGAACTCCTGGCCTCAAACGGTCCTCCCAACTTGACCTCCCAAAGCACTGGGATTACAGGCCCGAGAACCACACACAGCCTGCTGTGAGTGATTTTAAGAGAAGCTGTTAGAGATTGGGGCCCTAGCATCTCATTGAATCACTGGTTGACACCACCACAGCCTCCCAGCTCTCAAGCAATTCCTAGGAAAACAGGAATTCATCGGGAAAATATTCTTGATCCTGATACCAAAATTAACAAAGGGGGCTGCTTCTTGTGTTGTATTCTCAACAGCAGAAATGACAGTTGTGCCCATCAAAACCCCCAGAGACCCTGACCAGCAGGGAAGAGCAGTAGCAAGGAGATAGGAGAGAAGGGTGGTATAAAGAGTTTACCTTCTTTATTTTTCTCTGTCCACAGTTCCTTTACGCGGAAAGCTATTTACAGCAGCCACAGTCTCTGTTTGGTTTGGCATGACACTGACTTTCTATGGATAAGTCAGGATCTCATGTCCTCATCTAAAAATGGTACCATATTGAATGACGCTTTACCTTCATTTCTCTCACTTCACTGGTTTTGGATGAGCATAGGGGCACCTTTGGGTCAGAGTACTTTTCAGAGAGGGACAGTCAATAAAAAGCCTTCGTGTATAACTAGTCCATTTTCATGCTGCCGATAAAGACATACCTGAAACTGGGTAATTTATAAAGAAAAAGAGGTTTAATGGACTCACAGTTCCACATGGCAGGGGAAGCCTCACAATCATGGTGGAAGGTGAATGGCACGTCTTACATGGCGGCTGAGAAGACAGAATAAGAGCCAAGTGAAAGGGGTTTTGCCTTATAAAACCATCAGATCTCATGAGACTTATTCACTACCATGAGAACAGTATGGGAAAACTGTCCCCATGATTCACCTATCTCCCACC
This sequence comes from Homo sapiens, assembly GCF_000001405.40. Lineage (NCBI taxonomy): Eukaryota > Metazoa > Chordata > Mammalia > Primates > Hominidae > Homo > Homo sapiens. The sequence goes on from NC_000002.12 coordinate 38,184,525, forward strand.
AGGTCCCTCCCACAACACGTGGAAATTAAGGGAGCTACAATTCAAGATGAGATTTGGGTGGGGACACAGCCAAACCGTATCAGTGTGCCCAGAGAGAGAGTGGGTAAGAGGAATAGACCAAAACTTGAACTATGAGAAAGAGAAGTAAGACGGTAGGGAAGACTGTAGTTCAGAATCTGTAAGTTATAACTGACTTCTCACAGCCTGGCAAAAAATTGGAAGCTGGAGTATAGGACATAAATTCATGAGCAGTAGCAATTTTAGCCAAGTCGAGAGAAAAGCATTGAACTTCAAATGAAAATAATGTTCAAAGAGGTGAACATGAAGTTCATTCAAGATGTGGAGGGAATTATGAGCAGGGAGATGCATGCCAAGAGAAACTAGATGGTATTTGAAAAAAGTGAGATTCAAATTAAGGTTCACACACAGAGAGAGAGAAAGAGGGATAAAACAAAAATATTTTAATGGTTTCCTTTTCCTGTGGTCTGCTTTAGAATTCACCCAAAAGCCAATTGTTTCTGTGGTTATTCAAATTTTGTTTCTCTTCTCACTCCCTCCTCTTGTCTATCCTCTGATCCCCAGCATTTGGACAGAATAAGAGAGAGGAAGTAAAACTCAAATCATTTTACTTTACTTTTTCTTGGCCATTTGGCTAAGAGATGTGTGGGGTGAAGAGGTGCTTGTGGCCAAAGTGTGATTTGTAAAATGTGTGGGTATTTTTTGTTTGGTTGGTTTTGCTTTTAGCTGCTATACTTATGTTACCCCAGTTTACCACATCCAGTCCTCTTTGGGCACAAAGGGAAAGACTCAACAAACATTTGTTGAGTGGCTTGACTCAGCTTTGCTCCTTCTCCTGAGTATTCCTCCGTGGAGTTTTAGCAACTTCCCATAGGAAATCCAGGCTAAGGTCTGATTCATCCAGTCCTGAATAATGTGTTAATCATGAATTGGATAAAAATCATGAATTGGATACTACTCAAGAGGATAAGCTGTTTTCAAACATCTTAGCAGTAAATATTTGCAAACCAACAAGAAACACACTAAATACAAATGGCGTTTCTCAATTCATTAGAGCAAGCCTGCAAGAACCTTGACCTGGGAGTAGTGAGGCCACTTTCTCAGCCACTAGTTCATGCCATTATATATACATACCAGTTTTAACAATACATTATTTTTATAATTTTCAATGTTTGAGATTATTCATGAACCTGAACTGCCCTTCAACCTGTAAATCTGAATAAGTGAGGTTTTACTATGATTTACAAAACCATAAAACAAGACAGAAAGAGGTCTGTTCATCTAATAGTGGCTGTTTGTTTCTCCTTTCCTTTTTGGAGAGGAGGGAAAAAAAGAGCAAATGTCTATCTAGCAAGATGACGTAGGGCTGGATAAAAAGATAAATGCCTCTGAGGTGTGTAGGGATATTACAAATGTGATTTGGAAGAAAGACAAGATCTGAGGGGGTGGGAAGTTCAGTGTAGAAAGTCTCTTCTATCAGGACATGGATTCTAATTCTCTCCTACCACACTGGGCATAACCATCAGGGAATTTAAAGTCCCTTCCATGCCAGGCATGCCCCATCACCTAGGAAGAAACTCAACCCATCAGCAGGCATCCAAAAAGGCGTCAGCCAGGTAGGGTCCCAAAGAGCCCCACACCTTGGGTTATCTGGGAAAATCCCAAGTTATTTAGAAGACAGTGTACCTCTTGCCTCTACCCTTGGTGGTAAACATTGCTTCAGAGTCACACACACACAAAAAGATAAGCTTTTTTCTCAATTGAAAACTGGAAAGTTGAAAGAGGAAGTAAAGAGAAAAAGAAAGACATATACTATAATCCAGGAGTCCCACATGTTCAGAAACTCTTCACCTGTGAATCTACATTTTACTGAGTTCACATCTGCCTTCTGAAGGGTAACCACTCTTTACCCCCCAAATTCAACTCATTACTTGTTCAACTTTGACCAAGAGGTTTTTTTTTTTTTTTTTTTTTTTTTTTGAGATAGTCTCGCTCTGTTGCCAGGCTGGAGTGCAGTGGCGCGATCTCAGCTCACTATAAGCTCTACCTCCTGGGTTCACGCCATTCTCCTGCCTCAGTCTCCTGAGTAGCTGGGACTACAGGCGCCCACCACCACGCCTGGCTAATTTTTTTGTATTTTTAGTAGAGATGGGGTGTTTCACCGTGTTAGGCAGGATGATCTCGATCTCCTGACTTCATGATCCACCTGCTTTGGCCTCCCAAAGTGCTGGGATTACAGGCATGAGCCACCGTGCCCAGCCGACCAAGAGATATTTTTAAGAAAAGTCTCATAAAAGCATAAAATTTTATATATGGCAAAAGCAATCAACATCTATAGAAAACTGATAAACACATATGACTCAGAGGAAGAAATTTCCCTCTATGTATTATTTACTGTTAAACTTACTATGGCTTATAAGGCCTTGATCATCTAAACACTTGTTTCGATTTATCCATTCTCTTCCTCTCCTCTTCAGCCTTCTTGAGATTGTGGGTCATCTCCAGGGATACTTCTCCACAGTTCTACTATCAGTGTCTAAGGGATTCAGGTTAGGGCAACACACACAAAAAGTCAAATTCAGTTATTCAAGCACCAATTAGATAATGAACATCTGCCTGGGGTACTCACGACATTCTGGGCTAAATATTCCCCCAGAGAGAAGAATAAGGGAGTACTCAGTGGGTACTAATGTCTGGTCTGTGACATGACAATGAAGTGAAGATTAAGTTCCATCTTTACCCCCATTCACCATTTATCTCCCAATCTCTCTTCCCAAGTCATTCTTTTTTTTTTTTTTTAATTATACTTTAAGTTTTAGGGTCATTCTTATCTTCTTCTCATCTCTTACCTGTTTTTTCCTGACCCTAATTCCTCAAAGAAGCTTAATTCACTTCTAGATCCCCTCCTTCCCCCATGAATATAAAGAAAATAACTATATCTAGTTCTTTTAGATGTTCAAATTGACTTGATTGCTAGCTGAAATCAAAATTGACCAGCTGAAGTGGTTTTCAAGAATGTTAATTCTTATTCTGACCACTGGATTAGCACAATGGGCCATTGTACACATAAGTACACCCACAAGGCAGTCAGTAAAATAGACAATGCCTAAAGCTGTAGATACACTATATACATGGCATGAATCTTTTATTCATTTGTTTAGTCTACAGCAGGAAGCCAACTGCCTCACTTCAGGCCAGAGGGAGAATGCTGAGATATTGTACGAATACATGCAATTTTCCAAGCTTCAGGAAATTTGAACTGAAACATTGACAGGAAAGAGCCCATAGTACACTTGCATGTTGAGCTGGTGTTTAAACTCTTTTTCCCATGTAATGAGCTCATATCCAAAATGTTGACTCAACGTGCATGAGGACTTGGCAAGTCCTGTGGGGAGGAGCGCCCTGTCACGGGAAACAGGAGAAAAACAAGGCCGGCTCAGCACATTCTCTCAGAGCACACAGGCCTTCATGGGCCAGAGTTTCTGTTATTAAAAATAAGAAAAGAAAAAAAACAGAGAATGTCTCCTCTTAATCCAGCAATAACTCCAAGAAGATAATAAGTCAACAGTCACTTTTTTCATGGCTACCTACTACAGAGTGTCCTAGTAAAATATATACTTGATACATTAATATACGCTTTAAAAAGAATAGCAGTTAGACATTAACCAATATCTGTTTTGGTTATGTTAAAGTCACAAATGTTTAAAATGCCCATCGTTTCACAGTCAACCACATATAAGATATATCTTGCTTTATTAAGTGTATTTAACACCTAAAAGTGCCACACACTTTCCAGGGCACACTCATCTGAGGGAGTTTGTAGAAGATGCAGTGCTCATGGGGCCCTAGGTTGTTAGCTCTGAGGCTGCCATGCTTCATTCACCAACATGTATTCCCTTACAACTTGGGCCCAGCAACAACAGATTTACTATATAAGCCTCCAGTACTTCCTGAAAAAGTCCTTTCCAAATACCCTCAAAAACAAACAAACAAACAAAAACAGTCCTCTTTCTGTGTTTCAATCAAGGCTATAAAAGTAACCCATGTTAAAAAGCCAGGATGGCTGCAATGAATGGAGCACACAGAAGGCCTCCTGAGCAGTATAGACTTTATTTTTCCATCGTGGGGCTCCTGTAATTTTTAAAAGTCTGTTTGAAGATATTAATTTGGCAGGAATGAGGAAGATGGATTCAAGGGATTAGGAACTGTAGGGAGATGTAGCAAGTGGATGAAGGCCTGGACATGAATAATGTTCACAAGAATGGGAAGGAGGGAAAGATTAAAAGGGATATTTAGAAAGAAGAACTGACAAGCCTTGGTAACGGAGCAGATATAGGAGATAATGAGGAGAGAGGAGTTGGAGTTGGAGTTGGTGAGGAGAGATGGAGTTGGAGTTGGATACAGTGACAACTTCGAAGTTTCTATCCAGAGGCTGGGAGTGTGATGGGCCATTGACAGAAATGGCAAACGGAGAGCTGGTTTGCAATGGATCAAGATGAGGGTTGAACTCAGAGATTCTTAAATCTAAAACATCTCAGAAGGCACCAAGCCCAATTTTATACTTCCTTTCTGTATATTAGAGACTGAGGCCCACAGAGGAGAGGATAAAGACCCGTTGAAGGTCTTAGTTAGTTGGCATGGAGCAGACACTAGTACCCAGTCTTTGGTCTCTTGTTTCTATGCCTATGATCATTATTCAATGGTCCTGTGCCTAAGCTAGAAATCTTTTGATTGCGAGTGATGGAGAACCCAACCCAATTTGACTTGAATAAGTAAAGGAATTTATTGGCTCTTACAAGTGTAAAGTCCAGAGGTTTCAGTTGAGGCATGGTCCAACAGCTCAACATTTTCACTGAGCACCTAGTTTCCTTTTGTCTAATCTCTGCCCAATATTGTTCATAGTTCCAAGATGTTCACCAAGAGGTCCCTGAGCTGTGTGCTTTCTCATTTACATCCAGCAGGAAAGAAAGAAGGTTTTTGTTCTAGAATTCCAAGCAAAAGTCCTGGGATTCACTCTAATTGGATTTGCTTGGTCATATGTCCACCCATGGCCAACCACATGGCTGGGGAGCCAAATGTGCTGGTCTGGGTCACATGTTCCACCCCTGGAGCCCCAGGTAGAATCAGATTCCATAGAGCCAAATGGATTCCCAAACTCCAATGAGGGCTGCTAGGAAGAAAATAACAGAAGCTACAGCATCAACCAACAAATGTCTATTACACATTGTTTGGCTAAATCTCCTTCTGTTTTTTCCATAGCAAGTTTATGACTTTTATTTTTATTTTATTTTATTTTGAGGTGGAGTCTCGCTCTGTCACCCAGGCTGGAGTGTAGTGGCACGATCTTGGCTCACTGCAAGCTCCGCCTCCTGGGTTCACGCCATTCTCCTGCCTCAGCCTCCTGAGTAGCTGGGACTACTGGTGCCCGCCACCACACCCGGCCAATTTTTTGTATTTTTAGTAGAGATGGGGTTTCACCATGTTAGCCAGGATGGTCTCGATCTCCTGATCTCGTGATCCGCCTGCCTCGGCCTCCCAAAGTGCTGGGATTACAGGCGTGAGACACCGCACCCGGCCTATGACTTTTATTGTTAGATACAATGATGAAGTGGTTTGTCCACAAGTTTTAAAAATATACAGAAATCAGAATTGCCATACTCACCATGGAAAAAAGGGAGCACAGCTTTAACAAGAACATTTTAAAGAGAAAGAAAAGTAATTAGGGTGAATAAATTCAAATTTTAGACAAAGTCAGTCATGGTGACATGTGCCTGTAGTCCCAGCCAGCTACTTGGGAGGCCAAGGTGGGAGGATCCCTGGAGCCTAAGAGTTTGAGTCCAGCCTGGGCAACATGGGAAGACCTTGTCTCTTAAAAAAAAGAAAAAAAGAAAAGAAAAAATTGGTAAATGCAGCCAAGTCTTTGTCACTAAAATATATTCTAGGCAACATTCTTCAAAGCCAAGCAAAGTCTGTGGCTGCTGTGTGCTGGGGCTATTTCCTCTCAATTCAATCATGGGTTGGGGTGATGGTTAATAACCCTGAAATTTAAGGTCTTTTGTCAGTCTGGCATCAATGATGAGTGGTGTGACAAGGCTTGGTGTATCACTGATAATTGCTTAGAAATGACTCCACACTACCCAGTTTTTTGGTGTATTTTTCAGCAGTATTGCATAAGAAAGTCTTTAGCAGCCACTGGTACATGCTTCTGAGAAGCATTTGACCACAGAATATCTTAGATTCAAAACACATTGCTTTGTGGGAAGAAAGGCACCACCCAGCACACACACCCATCCTAATTTTGAATGGACTTAATTTCTGAATTCTAGACACTGCCTCACAATGATATAAAAACAACAAGAGCCTCATTAAAACCCCAGAGGCTGAGCCCACAAACAGGAATTCATAGAGTCTCTAAGAGAAAGATATCTGGGCAACATTTCTAAATTTTGAGCTGTCTGGCTGGTTGAGACAGATGATCTGATGGCAAGAATGATTTGCAAAAAATTCAACACTGACCAATCAGAGCAGACAGTCTAAATAAACATCGATTCTTACAAGGCTACCTTCCTTACCAGTTAAATATCAGTCCTGCCTCAGAGAAACATAAGATCTAAAGAGGAAAATCTACACAAGATTGTGTGTGGGCCAGAAAGGCCGCCGTGAATGGTGAGAAGGTGAGTCAATCCATCCATCCTAAGTCAAAGAATCCAACCAGTTCCATGGAGGAGGCACAGAGGAAAAGAGGAAGGAACAAAGTGGAAGAAGAAGAGAATGAAGAGGTGGGAAGAGATGGGCAAGGATGGGAGAGCAGAAGCCAATCAAGAGAAGAAGGAAAAGCAAACAGAAGAGAGTAGAAAGGAATGGGGGCCAGAAACAAGCAGGAATCATGAAGAGTGGGGAAAGGAGAGACTTTGGAAATTCAAACAAGTAGAGGAGTGAAAAAAATAGTGATGAAAGGTAAGAAAGGTAAGGTAGGAGATGTGTGAAATTGCAATAAGAAAAATGGCAGTGTTTATGCGTGATCATTGAGTCTTACTTGCATTACACTTGCATTACACTTACACTGTGTAATGCAGGGCTCAGAAAACTTTTTCTCTAACCAGTCACATGGTAAATAGTTTAAGTTTTGTGGGTGGTGCAGTCTTTGCTCAGCTACTCAGCTCTGGTGGTGTAGCATGAAGACAGCCATAGACAATAAGTAAACAAGTGGGTGTGGCTGTGTTCCAGGAAGACTACGAATACCAGTGATGGGTCAGACTTGGCCCATGGGTCATAGTTTGCTGAATCCTGGTATAATATAAATCTTCTGCAGACAAAAGTGCTTCTTACATTTTTGGCACCCACAACACCTAGATACACAATACCAGGTATGTTACAACTGCATGGAAAAGCCACTTTATAGGCCAAATGGCAGCAATTTTCAATGGCTTTTTTTTTTTTTTATAACTTTTGACCTACAAAATGTCAGTTTCCTGTGATGCCACCCTACCTGCTACTAGACTGGCCATCTGATCCCCACTGGAGAAGCCACAATCATAGGGAAGGAATATTCCATTTGGGGACAGATAAAGTCAATGAAAAGATAGATGTTCTCAGTACAGCCCAGGCCAGCATGAGCAAAGGTGGATACTTAATGTCTAGTCAGCTTGCATGCCATGACAAAATACCACAGACTGGGGACTTAAACAACAGAAGCTGATTTTTTCATAGTTCTGGAGGCTGGACACAAGATGAGGGTGCCAGCATGGTCAGGTTCTGGTGAAGTCTCTCCTCCTGGCTTCAGACAGCTGCCTTCTCATTAAGTCCCATATGGCCTTTTCCTCTCTCTCTTCCTCTTCTTATAAAGCCATTCATCCCATCATGAGGACCCTAATTTCATGCCCTAATCTAACCCTAATTACCTCCCAATAAATTTCATCTCCAAATACCCTCACACTGGGGATTAGGGCTTCAACATATAAGCTTGGGGAGGGGGAGATACAAATATTCAGTCCATAACCCTTAAGAAAGGCCTTTCATTGATTTTCATCTTAAACAAAAATATTCTTACCTGTTTTTTCTGGAAACGAATAACCAGCCTGTATGACACTCCTTGGGCTCCACCTCTCACCTGGATATATTACAACACTGTGCATAGGAGAGATTCACCAGATAGCTGATAGAGAACTTTACATTCAGTACTTAAAGCTTTCCTATTGTGAGAGAGAACTCCATCCAGCATAGGAAATAGCTCCACAGAGTTTTTATCTGAGCCACATACTGCCTCAGAGATCAGAACCCAAGCAAAAACTCTGCTTCTTTAATTCATACGCTCCCTTATTTCCTCACCTTGGGCTCTTCAAATGCCCCCAGCTTGACTGTGGAGCTGGCTTCCTCTCCAACCATCATTAATTTCCCAGAGGGGCCTGTGGTACTTGGGAATAGCTTCGGTGATGAGAGGCAACAAGGTCTAGCCAAGCACAGCTCTCTAGGTCTTGAAACATCCTTAAGGCCTAAGCCTAGTATCATAGACACGGGCTTGTTCTAACCCCAAACTCAGACCTCTAACAATGACCTCACTTCCACTTGCTTCTTTTGTGATTTAGAAGAGCACCTTGCAGCCTCTGAAATGCGCAGTTCTTGCTTGGTGAAGGGTTCCTGTTTTAGGAAGCCAGCACTACTATTTCATTGCCTCTAAGGCACAATGCAGGGCATTTGAGGTTGATTTTGTGGTCGGTTTGTTTCCTTTATTTTCATTTGTTACCCAGCACCATGCCCATATTTCCAAGTTTGTCTTGGCTCCTGATTTCAGTCATTCTTTGGGCACCAATGGCTTTCCCAAGTCATTTACCAGGGTAGCACAAGATGCCTTACAAATTACCAGAGTAAAGTAATGGCCCCAACAGGTATGCTTTTGAGGCCACATGAGGAGATACACAGCTGCAGGATTCCCTATCAGCAAAGACTGAATGATGTCAAACGTTCAGAAAAGGAGAAACTAAGTGGGTGTAGCACAATCAATCACTTTGCATTTCAAGGTGAACTTGCAGCTCTTATGGGGAGGGAATTCTCTATGTCATTTTCCACGTAAATAAAGTAATGAGACCACTTTGTTGTAGCAAAGAAATTCAGTTTGTTTCTAGAAGCAGATGTGTGTGCATGGGTGAGTGGGCATGTGCATATTTGCTTTAAAACATTTTCCAATAACTGCTGACAACAGCAACCTGAAGCCTCCAGGCACCCAGTTTCTCCCCATCCTGAGATGATCTTTTTGCTCCTGGAGCAGCATTGACGTGTTCCATAGGATCATCCCTGTCCTCACTGGCCTGGCCTCTTCAGTGACCTGAAATCTGCATTTCCTGACCCTTCTTCCTGGGCCTCTTCTTCTCAGTTTCTCTACTCTTGTCACACAAAGTTACTCAACACCCAGTAGGAGCTTATCAGAGCCACAGCACCACGTTCCAAGGGCAAAGAAGGAGAAAGAGCTCCACATTTACATCCCAGCCTTGGATTTAAGCCTAGAGATCTTCCCTCCTCTACCCTCCCACCCCCATCACTTCCCCTTCCAGCACCCATCATTGCTCCCCCTGGTTGAACCTCGTCCTTGTGAGGTCCAAGTGAAAATTTCCCCTTTGTCCTCTGAAGGTTTACTGAAAATCACAGACAAGAGGTAGATTAATAGGAGAAAAGGCATGCAATTTATTGTTAATGTGTACACGAGAGCCTTCAGAATGAAGACCCAAAGATGCAAAGAAATTGTCCATGTTCAACAAAGTATGATAGCTTAGGTTCAATTAAGTATGGACAGCCATGTAGAAATATGATTCGACAAAAAGGCTATAATCTAACGCTAATAGACTGAGTGGGGATCCAGCAAGGCCTGTCTGCCTAGGTTCCTCTTGGCCTCTGTTCAGCATTCCTTCCTTCTGGTTATGGGCAGGACCCTCACTGGAATGGGGGTCTTATGACCTACAGTCAAACAAAGTAGGCCAGATAATTTCTTTGTGGCCAGTTTTTACGCAGAAAGGCAGGGGAATGTCAGAGTAATATTTTTAGGTTTTATGGCTGGCTTTGGAGAAAGGGGGTCCTGGTTTCTATGACTCACCTCGAAGATTCTAGTTTCCATGGCTAGCCTAGGTGGAGACTGGGACTGAGACAGGAGGGCAGGATAAGGTCAGGGCAAAACTTGTGCTTCCTTTGGGGCACTGCTTTCTAAGTCCAAACACTGTTTTCTGCAGCCCACTGCTCACCATTTTCCTTCATGAGGAGGAGAAAGTCTCAGTTTACTAAACTTTTCTAGCCTCTGTTCCTGCCTCTATAAATGGTGATAATACAGTTGTGCTGTGTGCTCGCCCGGGGCTATGGTGAGGAATCAATGAGGAAATATACAAAAGAGCCCTAGCACAGAACCTGATTCATCACTGATGCTCGGTGAGTGTTCATTATACACCCCCAACACCTCTACTAACCATGTTGACTGTGACTAAAGTAAATGTAGATTGGCAAGTCACACTCTGGAATAAAGCTTCCCAACCCTGACGCCTGACACAATCACCTGGGAGCTTTAAAAAGCACCATGCCTGGCCGCCACAATCATCTCTTGCCCTGAAATATCCTGAGGGTTTGGCCTCCCTTGTTCCTTGTTTTGATATTAGGCAACATTCCTAGGCCACCAGAGCAGCTATTTGATTTTCTTTTTCTTGTCCTTCTCTTTCTCCCTTTTCCACTAAGTTTTGGGGATAATCTGTTGCACTGCAATAGATACCTAATATAGTCCTCTTTTCACCACGTGGCATTCTGATGTCCCTGACTTTCATAGCTATTTCATTTTTGCATGACTTTTCTTTCCCAGAAATAAAGTGTTCATTAAATTTGCATGTCCTGATGCATTCATGCATTATTCTTTAATTTTGATATATTGGCCTGATCTGTTAGCCTTCTTAAAAATGAATGTGGCCAGGCATGGTGGCTCACGCCTGTAATCCCTACACTTTGGGAGGCCAAGGCGGGCAGATTACCTGAGGTCAGGAGATTGAGACCAGCCTGACCAACGTGGTGAAACCCCATCTCTACCAAAAATACAAAAATTAACTGGGCATGATGGCAGGTGCCTGTAATCCCAGCTACTCGGGAGGCTGAGGCAGGAGAATCACTTGAACCCGGGAGGTGGAGGTTTCAGTGAGTCAAGATGGCGCCACTGCACTCCAGCCTGGGTGACAGAGTAAGACTCTGTCTCGGGAAAAAAAAAAAAAAAAAAAAAAAAAGAACACTTTCTTTAGTAGTAGTTGCTTCTCATTAGTGGAGCCATGTTGAGATTTCATCTCTTAAGAAATGAAAGATGACCTCCCTCCTTAGAATACTGAATAATTCATCAGGGCGGGGTACAACTGTGGAGCTCTCCTGCTACTCCTGATCTCTTGAGCCCCATTCCTTTCTAATTATTAAATGGCACAATGCCGAGGAATCCCTCCTGCTCCTGAAACAGACTTCTCCAGGGGCGTCATGGCTGACTCTCAGGTCCCTCAGTTTATTCTCTCCTGCTTGTGCAGAACGAAACAAATACAAATCAATATTTTAAAACAGACATATACTTAATATTTTTTAAAAGCCAGAATATCTACGTATACTAATTTGCTTGTCTGTTATATTCACCTCTTTTTGTATGATAGCTATGTTTTTATACACTTATCTCATTAGAGTATTATACCAAACTCATAGCCTTTCACAAAAACAACTTGCATTAATGAAGCCGTGATTGCCTTTTATTTGATGTTCACATTTTCACAGTGGGGCTAGCAAAAACTCCTTTAAGTACTGCCTCTGATATTCTCGAACACTCCTTTTTTTCAGTCCACAACAAAAAGATGTTCCAAGCCATCCTCGCTTTTTTTTTCCCTAAGACTGCAATTAACTAACTTCCAAGAAAATTTGATTGCTTTGAGAAAAGAATAGCATCAGAAATCACAATTCAAGCTTCTCACCTGTGCATCAGCAGTGAAGAGAAATGCTGGTCCTTTCACTACCGCCACTTAGGGCCTATTTTGTGACAGAGCCAGTAAAGATGTTTTTCAGAGTGAGGAATTCCTACTGATTTTCCTTACAGAATGTATTATGTTGCTATATATTGTTTTAGTCAGCCAGGGTCTCTTAAGAAAAATAGAGTGAGTATTACTAGAAAATCTAAATGTGGGTAGATTTCCAGTCAAGCAGCTAGGCAGAGGCGTCCAGAGACTCCCCGTGCTCAGCATAGCGTTGTGCAGCCTTGCAGGGGGATGCCTTGGGAGAAGGGAGCAGTAGCAGGGCTCACAGCTGGCTCCGTGGCACTGCCTGTGGATCTGCATTGCCTTCTGTTAGGATTAATGCTTTGTCTCCAGTTTATTTTTTTTCTTTTTTTTGAGACAGAGTTTCGCTCTTGTTGCCCAGGCTAGAGTGCAATGGCGCGATCTCCACTCACCGCAACCTCCCGAGTAGCTGGGATTACAGGCATGTGCCACCACACCCAGCTAATTTTGTGTTTTTAGTAGAGATGGGGTTTCTCCATGTTGGACAGGCTGGTCTTGAACTCCCGACCTTAGGTGATCTGCCCACCTTGGCCTTCCAAAGTGCTGGGAGTATAGGCGTGAGCCACCGTCTTAGTCTCCAAATTTGTTACTGGACTCCGAGCAACCCTGATGCACTGCTGTAGAGTGCCAATCTCCCAGTTTGCTCAAGACTGAGGGGTTTTCCAGGATCCAGAATTTTCCATTTTCAAGCTGGGATTGTCCTGGGCCGACTAGAATGAGATGGTCACCAGGTCACCAGTGAGCTAGTAGCAGAACCACTCAAGGAGCTCATCACCTCCTGCACAGAGCAGGAAAGAGACACTCTGCCCTCTGCTCAGCAGAATACCAGAGGACAGAATAAAAATATATTTGGGACTTACTCAGAATCAATGGGAACTTAAGAGTCCCGCTGCAGTGCAGACAGATTCTTCAGTGCATAGGGCCAAGGTAATTACAGGCAAAGCTAAAAGAGGTTGTGGTAAACATATAGCTGTGAACAATCGTCTTATTAACAAAGTCCTGGTCTAGCTGTAAAGCCTGGTTTTCCTTCCCTGTCTCAGAGAGCTCTGTGGAAGGTAGTTGGTAGATCTGAAAGTCCACAAGCAGATTCTCCAGGTGCAAGGAGAAGTGTACAGAGGAAAGCCTTTGTAAATCCACACTCAGAAACTGGGCCTCACATTAGAGGTCAAGTTTAGGTGGGAGTGTATTCACAAGTACCCTCATGCATATTGGTTTTACTATTCTACACTCAGAGCCTTGGCTACCCAAGAGCCAAATGTGTCCATGAACTCTGGGAAGATCCTGCGAAGGCCAGACAATTCCTGGGGCATTCTGTGAAGCTAGGAAGCCAGAGTTGGAAGGGTCCCACTCTGCCTCAGCCCTCACATGACCTGGTCCAACATTGCCTTACAGATGAGGAAAACTGAGGCCTAGAGAGGTAAAGAGACTTACCTAAAAGGCATGGTTGGCCACTGTTAAAGTTGGGATTTAAAACCCAAATTTCCCAACTCTCTGCACTAAATAAATTCTGCAATGCTGCTTCCATTGCAATGAGAGTTTGAATACTGAGTGTGAGCTACTTTTCTGGGCTTCTAATTTCTGAGAACAAAGTTTAGCAGAGGAAGAGAATCGTGAAATAATTTAGTTCATTTCATGGGGCACCAATAGCATTCAAATACTTTCAGTCGAGGTCATGTTCATCCACAGCACAGCCTTGACCTTAGCAAGAGCAGCAGGCAGATTGAGTGGATTCAATTCCAAGATTGTCTCCTATTTTGTCTCTTTAGGCTTAAATGCTTTAGCACCATTTCAAGGGAGAAAATTCACATCACAGAGGACAAAAAAAGCTGTCATTCTTTCTAAACACTAAACTTATTGTCATCTTAAGGTCTTGACTGTTGGTGTTCCTTCTGCTTATTTACATTCACATGGCTTCTTCCTTGTCCTTGGTCAAGTCTCAACTCAAATATGATTCCCTCCAAAAAGCCTTTCCTTGTTACCCCAATTATAGCAGTTTATAATCAGCCCCAATCTTAACTCATCTGTAGTGAATTAAATAACATCTCCCAAAAATTCACCTCCACCAAAGCCTCAGAATGTGACCTGATTTGGAAATGCCATCTTTGCAGACATGATTAAGGTAAGGATTGGAATAAGATAATCCTGCATTAGGGTGGGCCCCAGATCCAATGAGACTGTCCTTAAAGTCCTCCACAGCCTAACTCCAGGCTACCTCGCCAGTGTGGATTGTCTACACTGACTGCCTGCTCCTGGAAAACTGATCTTCCTACCAACCAAACAGCTGGCTTCAGCTTCTCGCCATGCAAGTTCCTGCCACATGCCACTTCTCTACCTAGGAAGTTCTCCCTCCTTTCACCTGAACCTGTCCAAATGTTACTCTTCCTTCAAAATAGGGCTCCAATCTCAAAATTTCTGCTCCCATGGGGTCTTTCCTGATGCCGTGCTGCCGGGCACAATCTCAGGAGACTCCAGCACCACTGTTTACACCACCCTTGTGTGTGTGTGTGTGTGTGTGTGTGTGTGTAAGTGGACCTCCAATGGACTATGTGCTCCTACAGAACAGGAGCTGTATTTTGAAGTTGTTTTGTTTGTCTACTTGTTTTGGTTTTGTTGTTAGTGTTCTTTTCTTTCCAGGCCTTGAATGCTCTATGGACTATGTGACAATATGTAGAATAAAAGACAGATTGCTTGGTTACATGAACAGATTAATAGCATGTTACTTCGCTCCACCCTAAAGCAAGTCCTCTCAGCCACACCCCACTGCAATGCAGTCTACATGTGACTTCTTGGCCATAATTACCAAATGGATTCAGAGGCAGAGAAGAGGGAAAATGGCAAGTCCCTTTTCTCAGGCTGCTGAGATAATTTGCTTAGAGGACTTAAGAGGTAGCTCTTTAGGATTCCCAGAAATAATTGGGGAAATATTTGAGGGTCCCACACAATCAGGGAAGATAGTAAAAAAATACTCACCACTTTACTTTGAGGTCACTGTTGCTGCCATCATCACCCCAGAGTTGTTTCCTACTCTTGGTTATCTGGAGTCACACTGAGCTCAAAACAGATGGCCCTGAAACTGCTCTCTGAAGCAGTGAGCACACACCGTCTAAACACACAAATATGCGCATGCACGTGCACACACACACACACACACACACACACTTGTATGTCACCACTGAACTAGTAACCCCAAGCAAGCTGACCAAGTGCTCTTCTCCTGAAGTTTCAGAGATTTCATTGCAGAAACACAATTTACTTTTATGAGCAGCACTTCTGTCCCAAGGCCTCAGACTAAGCTGGTAAGTACTGATTCCAGGACAAAATGTGACCCACATCCCGAAGTGTCCTGCATTCCTCTTTCTGCCCCTTATAGGTTCTTTACCTGCAAACTCTCTCCCTCTTGTCCAAAACATTTTACCTGCTCTGTCACCTTTGCATGATCACAGGTCCTTCGCGTTCCACAATCAGTTATTTCCGTACCAGGTTTGTTTTATCACTTTGAACCTTAAAACACAGGGAACAAAATTTTACCCACTGTCAAACTGAATCTGTCCATTGTGAGATGCTACACCACTGAATTTTGCTGTGCATCCGTCCAATTGGAAAAGGAATGAATGTGAAAGTTTCATTTAAAACACTCCTTCATGAAACTCTCTGTGCATCAAATAACTGAAAGCCCAAACCACTGATCAGTTAGTAAAGCTGTGAAGCCCTCTCAATTGTCAGAAGCAATTTGAAATTGAACTGAAAAATATCTCACGGTCTCTTAGAAACAGACACGAATTGTGGTTTGTAACCCAATGTGGAAATAGTTACGGAGAAAGTGACAACCTCTTGTGAGGTGTGTGCGCTCTTCCTCCAAGTTCTTTGTTCTAAGGTCAGAGGGCTGATCACCTCACTGCTGCCCTACATAGTCCCCTCAGCACCAGAAAATGCTCACTTACCACCAAATTTACTTCCAAACTGTAGTTTATCAGAATATAATTTTATTTTCTGAAAGAAGTGCTTCAACTTTGTGTATTGGCACAAGATAACTATAAACAATACCAAAGAAAACGGTCCCCTATAATCTGGCCATTTATGGACACAGCACCAGAGGGAAAAAAACTTTAAACATAAATTAAGAAAGTTCTCTGTAAGAGCTCTTGTTGAATTATAGCTGACAACAGTACACACAGCACAGTCACGCCACTGAATTCTTTCCAGCTCCAGCTCCATAATTCACCTTCTCCCACATGTCCTCTATTCTTGAACTTAGAAGACTTTTCTCAATAAGGGTCACTAAGGGGATCCCAGTTGGGAATAGAAGAACAAAAAAGTTTAGTAACTATTCCAAGAGTCATAACATCGTAGGCAATAAATGCTGCATTTAAAGACTACAGATTTAAGATTGTGAGCAGCTTCTACCAGACACTGCATTACCCTGGTAAAGTCACCTGCCTTCTTTGAGCTTCAGTTTTCTCATCTGGCAGTTGTTCAATGGGTTTAGTCATTTGCAATCATTTTTATTACCTTCTAAGGTCCCCTTTAGGTACTGTGATGGAGAGGTAGACAGACAGAAAGATGATAGATAGATAGATAGATAGATAGATAGATAGATAGATAGATAGATAGATAGATGATAGATAGGTGGGAAAGCCTTAAAAACTCAAAAAAGTAAGGAAGGATGATCCCAAGAAATAAGAGGAACCAGAGCTCTTCTCCCTGGGTCTGAGAGAAGCTGGCCCAAGCCATCCTTCCCTGAGTCCTATCCTGCTCCTGCTTGGACTTCCCAGGACAGAATCCTCCCTGCTATGTGTGAGGCAGCCCCAGGCCCTTTGTACTGCTCCAGAGGTCTGGGGAGCAGTGTTCGAATGGGAAGAAAAGCATCCAAAAAAGAAAAACCAAAGAGCCAATGCCATAAATATGTAAATGCCCTTGAACTCTACTGAGAATTCCTCTGTGCCCCAATAGTTTCCTCCCCTCCATGTGGGTTATATTCTATTTTCCCAGGCATGGAGTAAGGGAGAAGAATAAAATTGGAGCTGGGTGGTGGGGGAGTAGCCTGGAAAAGACACTTATGAATGCAAAGAGGCCATAGATTTCATTACCAGGTGCATAGTATCATCAGCTCCCGGTCCAATGCTTACTCATAGCACAAGCTGATTAAATGGTTGTGGAGGAAGGGAGGGAAGGAAGGAAAAAAAGAAGGAGAGAAGGAAGGAAGGAAAATTGGTTCTTATGCTTTCTACTGGAAACTTTTTATCTATTCAAGGAAGAATTAATTTTTGATGTTTACTGGCTATATATTTTGCACTCTCCACCTTGCCACCACCACATATTTATACTGTGACCAACCTAGCTGAAATGAACTTATATTTTAAATGAGTCATTTTGCAGAGCAAGTAATAAATCAGCTATCAGGAGTAAGGAGCTCTCAGCAGGCCATACTGCTCCATTGCCAGGAGGGATTATTTTAGTAGTATCACACTAGGATTTCTGAATTTATGCCCTTAATTTATGAGACATTCATTGCAGGGGCTTTCCCAAGTGTTATTTTCATAAACAGCAGATTAATATAGGGGCTTTTTCTTGCATTTCTTTGGAAAAATCTTGCCCCCATGTAGAATATTCAAGCTCTGCTACCTATAAATAAGCTAATGTCTTTCCTCTGGGCTGTTGTCCCTTAGCCTTCAACATCTTCTAGTCTGAAGCAAAAATCATGCTTCATTTTGTTTTGCTATCTTTCTAATACAGTAAGAGCTTCAGGTCAAAGAACTGAAGAGAATGTGAGAGCTTGACCCTCTGTTATGTTTTTCGTTATTTGTAGATTTTCCTTATGCACTTGCCCTTCTGTGGAATCTTTCCTCTTCATTCCCTTATCCCTATTAGGATTCTACCAATTTATTGTTCTAACCTTGAAGAAACAGCTTTTTATTTACCTTCAGCTGTAGGTGGCCCACCAGGTGTCAACAACTGTAGAGTTCCATCAAGAGTCATCATTTTACAGTTACAAGTCGGAGGGGCCTTCACAGATCCGTCAGGCTCAACACTGCCTCCTTAGTGAGCCTGTGAACCACCCAAGACGGCTGGTCATCAGTGTCATCCTCTTCCTTTTCCGGACAACTATCTTTAAAAGAAAAAAAAAGAGTGTCTTTGAATGTATCCATTTTATCCCCAAATAATCTTGTTTAATAAATTCCTTATTAGGCCAAATCCAATGTGCTGAAATATCTGCCAAGCATGTCATTCTACACAAAAGGGATTTGCAAATAGCCAGTAGTTGGCGTGAAGAAAGGACATGTGAAAGCGCTGGGTGTGGAATTTCCCATCCTCGGCCGGAGGTCTACTACAGCTCGCTGTTTGCAGATCTGGGCTGAGCTATGCATCACATTGTTCATGAAAGAAAAAGCAACTGCTCTCCCCAGTGCCCCTTCCCCGCTCCACATGGCTGCGATCAGCAGCCCCAAGACCCTAATTGCCACAGCCTATTAGAAATAATGAGACTTACATGGCAGAAGCCAAGGGTAAAAGCGACATCTCGCAACACGAAAGGTTAATATCAACATATACAGCTAGTGAGTGCAAAGGGCACCTCAGTTGGTGGCTCATTATGGCGGGCTGACCCATAGGGAAAGTGTCATTCTGCAGAGAGGCCTTTCTCAGGATGTGGCAGCAAAAGTTACAAAAGATAAGGACTTGCCTGTGAAACGCACTCAACTAATGAGAGCTGAAGATTGTTTGAAATATCCCGATGACCTCACAGATGGGGGATGCTGATTAAGATGGCTACAGGAGGCTCCTTTCTTGTCTGACAGCCCATTGAGAAGCTTTGGTGAGATGTGACTAACAGGCCGTGAAGGTGTCTCCATCTTCTCTGACATGGTCCATGCTTTGGGCAAAACAAACATGAAAAATAAGTCTGAACTGACACACATGTTTGAATTTAGTTTTCAGAGCCATATTTGGGGGAAGGAGCACTGGTGGGGCCGTCAGCGATGATTCCTTTATGGTAAAGGGTGTTCGTGACTACTTGCGTGACTAATCGCATGACTGCGCTGGGGGGTGAGCCAACGGCAAATTGAGGTCTTGAACACTTGACAAAACAACCCCTGTTCTGTGGGTGAAATTCTATAGAGCTTCATGCGTAATTAAATGAAAGTTTCACAAGAGTCTACACCTCAATCATTTAATGCCGATATGTAGCACAAAGGAAGGATTTTTGCCACATCAAAATACATCCATGAAACAATGGAGAAATGTCCCAAGTTTTCAGAGTCAGAGATACTCACAGAAGAAACCCTGGAGTTCTCTTGACCTTCATTTAGTGCCTGGGACTCTGAAAAGAGATCACCATTATGCTCTCCTCTACCTCATACTAGAGGTGAGGATGAGAGCGCACCTCATACTGCATATCTTAATTCCTCTCCCAGGACAACTGGAAGGAACACCTATCCGTTTGCCATGTCACTAAAACAAAAATCACTCGTGTCTTGCAAAAACAGTTCAGATCTTTCTATTTAAAGAGCTTATCACTATATTAAACAAGGTTATATTGGAGTTTTGTCATGAGATTTAAGAACATTTCTTTCAAGTCTTTCTAACTAGTTGTTTTAGTTATTGATTGCTGAATAACAAATTAACTCAAAAATTAGTGACATCACAGTAGAAAATAAAATTACATAAAGATTTTTATAATGAGATTTAAGAAAGATTTTTCAAGCTTTACTAACTAGCTGTACTAGTTAATTAATTGCTTTATAACAAATTGCCACAAAATATGGTGGCATCAATGACAATAAACATTTATTATCTCATATAGTCTCTGTAGGCAGCCTCATAAGGTTGCAGTGCAGATGTTGACCAAAGCTGTGATATCATGTGAAGGTTTGTCTGGAGCTGGATGATCCCTCTCAATTTGGTTCGCTCACATGTCTGGCAAATTACTGTTAGTTTCATTCAGGAGGCCTCCGTTGCCACATCAGCTTCTCTACAGAGCTGCCTGCATATCCTCACGACATGGGAGCTAGCTTCCCCTACAGCAATAATCCAAGAGAAAAAAAAAACCCACAAATTCTTTTTTAACCTAGTGTGTCCAAGGTCATGCCCCACCATCTCCACAATATCCTAGTGGTCACACAGGTCAGCTCTATTCAGTGTGGGAGGTGAATACACACAGGCACGAATACCAGGAGGCAAGAATCTCTGGGAGCCATCTTGCAGGCTGGCTATCACATTTATTAAAAGTATTTCTTAAAGTATCTTCACCTGACCAAAAAATATAAAAACTATGATCATCGATGTGGTCGGCAAAAAGTCTGCAAGCGAGACAAAAATCAAAGAACTCTATGGTACACTTTGTAAAGAACGTATATTCCATTTGACTGAAAATATTTTCTTCTACTAACTGATACGTGTTTACATGTGGCACCTGTAAGACCAAAGTGAAGACATGAATTAAGAGATTACTCAAGAGAAATTGATTTTAGTAGATAAACAAGGTTTTTTGAAACAATTTGCTCCCTTTTGATCACAAGAGCAGGATTTTTGGCCTAAAGCATCTAGAAAACTGCAGTCTTCCTTTTCAGTGCATATCCATGGAGTAGTCTACAACCATTCACCACTGTGCCAGGCATAGGGAATTCAAGAGCAACAAGGTGAAGAAAATCTTAATCAGCTGATTGAGAATCCATTTTATGGAAAGATCCACCTCTTTGGGGAAATGGACTTGATATTTAGAAACTAAAACAATATAAAAATTTTCAACAATAGAAGGACAGAAATAGGATATGAATTAAACACCAAGCCTGTGGTAAATTTGCTTTCAGTGAAAAAGATGTAGAAGAGGAAAAAAAAAATAAGGAAGAGACGAAAGGAGAAAGAAGGAGCAGTGGACGTAGCTGAGGAGAATTATTTCCAACTTTTGAAACCAACAGTTGAACAATTGAGACTTATGGTGGTTTAGCACTACAGTCAAAACATCTTGTCTCCCACCCCAACTTCTATGACCTAAATAAATGCAGAGAGATAGCATATTTATGGATTACAAAACTCTATATTGTTAAAATGGCAATGCTGCCCAAATTCCTCCCAAGATTCAACACAATTCCAATCAAAATTTCTATAAGCATTCTTATAAAAATTGACAAGCTGATTCTAATATTTGTATGAAAATTCAAGGAACCTAGAATAGCCAAAGTAATTCGAACAAAGAACATAGTTGAAGGACTTACTCTATTTGACTTCAGTACTTACTATAAAGCTATAGTAATTCGTTCTGTTTAATATTATGGTAAAGGTAGGCATATAGATCAATGAAACAGAATACAGTCCAGAAATAGACCAGCTGAGTTTTGACAAACAAGCCAAGGCAACTCAATGGGGGAAAATAAAGTCTTTTTAATAAATGTCATTCAATAAACTATCCATTTTTTTAAAAAAAATCAATCCTACTCCCTACCATACACAAAAATCAACTAAAAATATATTCCACATCTTAATGTGAAATGTGAAACTATGAAACTTCTAGAAGAAAACACAGGAAAAATATTTGAGATCTTAAGGCAAGCAAAGATTTCTTAGATGTGACACCGAAATCACTATCCATAAGAGAAAAAATGTTGGTAATTGAACTTTATCAAAATTTAAAACTTTAACTCTTTGGAAAGCACCAATAAGAAAACAAAAGACTCATAAAAATATTTACAACATATTTATCTGGTAAAGAACTCACATCTAAAATACAGAAAGAATGCTTATAACTCGACAAAATGTAAACAGACTTTTGACCAAAGTCAAGATATGAATGGACAATCAACACATGAAAAGATGTTCAACATCATTTGTTATGACATATGTATACACTGCAGATTAAAACCTTAATGAGATACCACTACACGCCCATTAGATTGCCTAAGATTAAAAAGATCGAATAATACAATGAGCCTGAGATTCACTTAAAAATAAAAAAAATAATAAAAAAAAAAGATCGAACATACTAATCTTTTTACCAAGTGTTTGTGAGTATGGGGAAGTGGAACTCATATACTAATGAGGGGAATATAAAATAGTACAATAATGTGGTTTGACTGTGTCCCCACCCAAATCTCATCTTGAATTGTAGTTCCCGTAATTTCTACATGTCCTGGGAGGGACCCTGTGGGAGGTAATTGAATCATGGGGCGATTTTCCCCATGCTGTTCTCATGATAGTGAGTGAGTTCTCACAAGATCTGATGGTTTTATAAGCACCTGGCATTTCCCCTGCTGGTACTCATTCTGTCTCCTGCTGCCCTGTGAAGAGACCCCTTCTGCCATGACTGTAAGTTTCCTGAGACCTCCCCAGCCATGAGAAACTATGAGTCAATTAAGCCTCTTTCCTTTATAAATTACCCAGTCTCAGGTATTTCTTCATAGCAGCATGAGAATGGACCAACACATCCAACCACCACCAAAACAATTTGGCAGCTTCTTAAAATGTTAATTATACACCTACCTTGCAACTCAGTCATTTCACTTCTAAGTATTTAACCAAAAGGAACTAAAATGTACGTGCACACAAAGATTGCACATGAGTGTTCTTAGCAGCTTTATTTATGATAGCCCAAACTGGAAACTATTTATCAACAGGTGAATAGTTAAATAATGGTATCATATCATACAATGGAATACTATTCGTTAACTATAGTGATGAACTATTGACATAAGCAAAATGGCCAAATCACAAAATCATTATGAGTAATGAAAGAAAACAGACAAAAACAGACAATACAGAGTTAACAATTCATTCCTGGGCATGAACCCAGAGAATGCATATAACCACTAAAAACATTTACACAGGAATGTTCAAAGCAGCATTATTCATATCATCCCAACATGGCAAACCAACCAAAATATCCATCAACAATAAAATGGACTTTATAAATAGTGGTATGTTCCCATAATGGAATATTACACAGCAGGGGTCCCCAAACCCCAGGCCACACAGACCAGTACCAGTTTGTAGCCTATTAGGAACCAGGCTGCACAGCAGGAGGTGAGCAGTGGGTGAGCAAACATTACCACCTGAACTTCGCCTCCTGTCAGATCAGTGATGGCATTAGATTCTCGTAGGAGCACAAACCCTATTGTGAACTGCACATGCAATGGATCTAGGTTGCATGCTCCTTATGAGAATCTAATGCCTGATGATCTCAGGTGGAATAATTTTGTTCCTAAACCATCACCTCCCCCAACCCACTGTCCATGGAAAAATTGTCTTCCACGAAAGTGGCCCCTGGTGTCAAAAAGGTTGGGGACTGCTGTTATACAGTGAACAAACTACCTCTACATGCAAAAACATGGAACATTACAAACATAATGTTGAATGAAAAAAGATAGTCACCAAAGAGCACAAAAGTTCAACTACATTTATATAAAGTTCAAATACAGGAAAAACTAATTCATAATGTTAAAAATTATGATAGTGCTTACTATTGGGGTGAAGTGGATAGTGACTGGAAAAAGCACAAGAGGTGTGTCTGAAGTGCTGGTGATGTTCTATTTTTTTTATCTTGGTGCTGGCTACAAGAGTGTGTTCGCTTTATGAAAATTCCTCAAATGTACACTTATTATTTGGTACATTTGTCTGCATTTATGTTATATGTCAATAAAAAATGTACCCTGTAAAATCATGTTTTATGGTTAGATGATGCAGTTGAAATTGAAAATGATGGGTTTTGTGGAAATACAGATGTTCAGCCAACAGGAAGAAAAGTGACGTATACTTGGAGTTGACAGGATATTACTGGAGATAAATATGTCATTCCTTACAACAGTCACAGATAATGATAAAGGCAAAGGGAAGAGAAAGCTAAAGAAGGAATCTTGGTGAATGTTTACCTGTAGGTGTTGGAAGAAGAAAACAAAGAGATGGAAAAGGACCAAGACATGCATGCACATAGAAGCCAGGCTAAAGAATGCTTCAAAGAAGAGACAGGGGCAGCTAATCATCAACACAAAAGCAGCACAGTGGTTAAGAGTGTGGGCTTTGGAGCCAGAATTTCTGGATTCAAATCTTCCAATTTTCATCTATAAAATGGGGCTATTAGTTGATACTACTTCATAAAGTTAATTCATTTGAACAGTGGCTAGAATGCTCAAAAAGATGAGAAGTATAAGAAAAGATTGCTGGATTTAGTAGTTAGAATCAGGCTACAAAGTATGGTGAGAAAGTAGATGCAAAAAGAGGATTTTAATGAGCAGCCAGTGTCCATCCAAAAGGCCACAAATTGATTCTCCAGCTTTCTAATATGACACTAGAGTATGTCCAACCTTTCTAGTTCCGAAGTACTCACTTGTGGAGGCTACAGATTGGCTTAGGTCCCCATTAGGAAGGGACCTCAAGTTATCTGATCCAGAAAGAAACATTGGTTTTTTTCAGTTTTCTGGGAAGTTTGAATGCAGATATACTCACCTTATAGAAGTAATGCCTGGGGTGAGTTTCTGTTTCTCAGGTTAAGAAGTTTCTCCAATAAAATTCATCTCAGAAAAGAGAGAGGAGGAGGAGTCCTAAGTAATTATCCATAGAAGGCCAACTAACAGTTCTATCTAAAGTTTATTTTCCAGTGGTGCCACTGATTGGAAGGCCACTGGCTGAAATGCACGTGATGTAACTCAGTATTGCAAGTTGAGTCCTTCAGGGTTTCAAGTAAGGATGAGACTGGACCACAACCACAGAGAACTAATGTAAAATCCAAAAGATATGACATTGTGAAGAAATTACTACACTGAACACTGAGCATAAATTTCTATGTTCCTTGTAGAGAGTGCCAAACAGTATATCACAAAATTCATTTAAAAATATTCTTTGACTTAAAAATAATGTATCCTAAAAAAGGATACATTTATCCTAGAAATTTATCCTAAGGAAGAAGTTCAAAAGAGGCCAAATAAAAAGCTATATGTAATTTTGCAGTGTTGGTTCTAATAGAAAAAAGAAGTAGCAATAATAACCAATAGAAAAAAAGTTTTTAAAAATAGGCCTGAAAACAGCGTAAGTATTAGTGGCTATTAAAATAGTAATTATGAAGTCTATATAAACACATAGGGAAATGTTTATTATATCTTAAAATATAATAAATGAAAAAACAGGAAATAAAAAGGTACATAGACTGATTACTATTTTGTACAATATTGTATACATGTTGACAAGAAATCAAAAGGAATATATAAAAACAAAAAAAATGTCAGGAATAGATAATGAGTGGATAGTTTTTTCTTTTCTCAAAAATGTGTCAAGACTCCTGCTTCCAAACTAACACAGGAACAGAAAACCAAACACCACATGTTCTCACTCATAAGTGGGAGTTGAACGATGAGAACACATGGACACAGGGAGGGAAACATCACACACTGGGGCCTGTCATGGGGTGGGGGGCTGGGGAGGGATAGCAATAGGAGAAATATCTAATGTAGATGATGCGTTGATGGGTGCAGCCAACCACCGTGGCACGCGTATACCTATGTAACAAACCTGCACGTTCTGCATTTGTATCCCAGAACTTAAAATATAATAAAAAGATTTTTTTTAAAAATGAACAATTGAAGAAATAAAGAAGACTCCTGTTTCCAGGAAGATGAAACAGATATGCTTTTCTCATTCCTCTAAGTACAAGTGAAAATGCTGGATAGTATATATAAAGCAAACGTAAGATCACTTTGAAAGGTGAAGAGAAGACAGTAGAACAGCTAGAGACAGTGATACCCATAGAAAAATATGGTGAGTTCCATGGGTTTTCTTTCTGCCTTATATACTCCAGACTTGGAACTAAAGAAGTAGGTAACCTAGAAATGCCAACAAACACAGACCAAAAAACACCCCCAACAAAAGCTTACTCTCCTCAAGCCAAAGGACTAAGAAAAGAGCCGCATAGAAAGACAAAACAACTTTTAGATAATTTAGACAATAACCACTCTACCCTAGCTAAACCTCACAAAAATAAACAAACAACAACAACAACAAAAACCTGTGAGCCCATCCTCACCCACACAGGCAAGGGCAAGTGAGAGCCTAGATTTCCACCCTTGCAAGGCTCTATCGAGGCACTCCAAACCTCTTCCAGGGTGGTATTAGAGAAGGCCAAGAAGGCAACTAGGACTTTCATCCCAGCTGGCCAATAACAACCCACCTTCCTCCCTCATGGTACCAGTGGACAGCTTGTAGAGAACATGAACTTCTTCCAGTCCCACCTGGCAGTAACAAGGCATTTCTCCCCATAAGGTGGTATCAGTCAGGTAGAGAGGTGGGACTTTAATCATCACCCAGCAGTAATGAGGCTACCCTTACCACAGTGTCAGCAGAGACAACATGGAGAGCTGGAACTCCCTCTGCTCAGCAGTAATGAGAAGCCACCCTACCAAGAATTCATAAAGACTGAGTGGGGAACCTAGACTTCTATCTCTACTTGAAATTAACAAAAGAGCACTCTGCAACCTTTCCCTGACACAGTGACATCAGGGAAAGCCAGCCAATATTTTGCCAGCTAAACCAAAATATTGGAATAAAATCCAGAGTCTGATAATATAAAATGTCCAGATTTTAACTTTAACATTTACTCATCCTACCAAGAACTGGAAATATCTCTAATTGAATTTTTAAAGATAAACAATAAATGCCAACACCAAGATGAGAAAGCTGTTAAAATGTTTTCGACAAAGATTTCAAAGTAGTCACATTAAAAATGCTTTGACAAGCATTATAAACATACTTGAAATGAATACAAAAATATAAATTCCCAGCAAAAAAAAAAAATGTCAGGAAAGAAGTAAAAGAAATAGAGGAGAAGCAAATGAAAATTTTAGAACTAAGAAATAAAATAACTGAAATAAAAAGCTCAGGGGATGGGCTCAACAGCAGAATGGAGAAGATAGAGAAAAAAAATCAGTGAATTGGAACATAGAACAATAGAAATTACTTAGCAAATAGAGTGGGAGAAAATATGCATAAGGCCTCAAAGAATAGGGGGACAATAACAAAAGATTTAGCATGTATGTCATCAGAGTTCCAGAAGGAGACGAGAAAGAGGGTTGAAAGAGACCACTTGAAGGAAACAGGGCTGCAAATGTCCTAGCTTTGGCAAAAAGATATAAACCTACTTCTGAAAGCTAAAAATTAAAAAAAAAGTTTGAAAGCAATTAGAGAAAAATGACACCTTACCTGGGGGAAAACGATTAGAATGCCAGCAGATTTCTCATCAGAAAACATAGAGGCCAGAAGGAAGAGGCATAATATTTTCCAGGGGCTGAAAGAAAAGAACTGTCAACTGAGAATCCTATACCTAGTGAAAATATATTTCAGGAATGGAGGGGAAACTAAAGCATTCTAAAATGAAGGGCTAAATGAAGTTTTCTGAACAAAAGAAAAATAAAAAATAAGGAACTTGGAACATCAGGAAGGAAGAAAGAATTCAATAAACAGTAATGTGGGTAAATAAAATAGGCTTTCCTTCTCCTTATGAATGTTCTAAATTATGTTTGATATTTGATATTTATAACACTGCCTGACAATGTTCTAAATGTGTGTAGAGAACATATTTAAGACAATTATAAACAGGTAGAGGGAAAGGGGTATAAATGGAGGTAAGGTTTCTATATTTCACTCAAACTGGTAAAATGACAGTAACAGTAAACTGTGATGAGTTGTATATCTAATGTAACACTTATGGCAGCCATTTGAAAGGTTAAACAAAGAAACACACTTTAAAAATTGTAGATAAATCAATATAAAATTCTTTTAAATGTTTAATTCATAGGAAGGCAGGAAAACGAAAGCAGAGAAATGAAAAACAGAGCAAGCAGACTTAACTCTGAGTCTATCGATAATTACATGAACTGTCAATGGTCTGTATACAGCAATTGAAAGGCAGAGATTGGTAAAGTAGATTAAAAAGCATGACCCAACTATATTCTGTCTACAAGAAACTCACTCAAAATAATATATAGGCAAGTTGAAAGTAAATCAATCACATATGAGATGTCACACACACACCTATCAGCATGATTAAAATAAAAAATAGCAATGCTGCCAAATACTGGCCACATGTGTAGAAACTGGATCATTCATACATTGTTGATGGAAATAGAAAATGGTACAGCTATTCTGGAAACAGTTTAATGGTTTCTAAACAACTAAATATGCCACTATCATACAACCCAGCAATTACTCTTCTGCACTCCGGGGCATATCATTTATCCCAGAGAAATGAAGGCTCTTATTCACACAAAAACTTGTACACAAATGTTTATAGCAGTTTCTCTCATAATAGCTAAAAACTGGAAACAGCCCAGATGTCCATCAATGGAAAAATGGTTAAATAAATTGTAGTACATCCATATGATGGAATACTACTGAGAAATGAAAAAGAGAATAATCTTCTGATACGTAAAACAACCTAGATGAATCTCCAGAAAATTATGCTGAATGAAAAAAGGGAAGTCAAAAAGGTTGCATACAGTATGAGTCCATTTATATAATGTTTTTGAAATGACAAAATTATTGAAATGGAGAAAAAATTAATGTTGGTCAGTGATTATGGAAGGGGTAAAGATGGGAGGTAAGTATGTATGGCTATAAAAGGAGGAATCTGGCTGGGCGTGGTGGCTCACACCTGTAATCCCAGCACTTTGGGAGGCTGAGGCAGGTGGATCACCTGAGGTCAGGAGTTCGAGACTAGCCTAACATGGTGAAACCCTGTCTCTACTAAAAATACAAAAATTAGCCAGGCGTAGTAATCCCAGCTACTCAGGAGGCTAAGGCAGGAGAATTGCTTGAACCTGGGAGGCAGAGGTTGCAATGAGCCAAGATCACACCATTGCACTCCGCCTGGGTGACAGAGCAAGACTCTGTCTCAAACAAACAAAAAAAAAAAAAAAAAAGGAGGAATCCTTCTGGTGATGAAAATGTTACATATCTTAACTCTATCAATGTCAATATTCTGGATGTAGGATTATATTATCATTTTTAAAATGTTACCATTGGGAGAAACTGGGTACAGGACACACAAGATTTCTCTGTATTATTTCTTACAAGTGTTTATGAATCTATAATAGTTTCCAAATAAGAAGTTTTTTATGTATCACATTCCTTTTTATAGCAGACTCTTGACATTTGAGAATAATATGTCCAAACCTTCAAGAATCCTCAAATACTGGAAAGAGGGCATGTTTGCATAGGCTTTCTCTCACATCACACTTCCTGTAGCATCATGCATTTCCTGTACACATCCTCATACCACCTCATCACATTTCAGCTTTTACTGGTGCTTCCTCCTCCCTTTATGTTCGTTTTCCACAACACCATCCTCATTCCTCCAGAGCTACTAGACACAGAGAAAATCAAGAGCCTGGTGCTGCTGCAGGGAGCAGGTGCCAGGTCCCGGGCTGCTACAATCCGTGCCTCAGTAAAATGCCAAATTACCACCAAGCATGAGCCTCCAGGGAGGCTCCTGATCAGTGAGAACCACAGTGCTAAATCTAGAGATGCCAAAGGCATGCTGTATCACTCTCTTGATGATTATTTCTCATAAAAGAAAAACCAACATTAGTGCCTTTCCGCAATCAAAACCTCACCATAGCATCAGGACAAATGACATATGCTGGTGGCAACAGGAAATTTAAAAAAAAAAAAAGAATGAATCTTCCTATTGACTCAGACTGATGCGGAGTGGCAGACCTCAGCAGAGCAGGCTCAGAATGACAGCTTAGCAGACCTGGTGCAGTTATGCATGGTGCCTGGGTGGCTGTCACTGAAGGCCCTTTGAGTACCTCCCCAGATGAAGCCCCAGCTGGATGCCTGAGCTGTTTTTTTAACCCTAACAAGATCTGTCATTAAACCTTACTGGAGCCTGACTTTGCCTCTTTCCCTCCAGGCCTTTCTAGTGGTGGTCAAAGGTCACGTCATCCTTCAACACAGGCTTCTGGGCCCCCGGCTTTTGTTCCCCAGACCGCATAGTGATGATGGGCAAACAGCCTCTTGGCCCTTGGAAGACACACATGAAATCAACGAACCATGGTCCTTAACAAATGGGCCCCTTCAAGGCCAGCCAGCCAGCTACAACTACTTATGATATTTACAGCTTTCTGTCTGCACAGATTAAACCCAGGGAATGAAAAATGGACTCCTTAGTCTGGTAAACTTATGTCATTCCTTATTAAGACAAATTGAGAACAGAACTAGATTTTGTTGAGAAACAACTTCTGCTTCTAAAAACAATCTGGGGTGAGAATAGGAACATTTCTGGGGACAAGGACTTCTTATACAATATTACTGTTTGGTGACAGTGTTTTCTGGTAATTTCATAAACACACTGTGTTGTTTTCTAGCAACAGAATATATTTTGGCCAAGAACAATATTTATCACTTATTTGTTGTCAATTAGTGCTGTAAATAGACACCTTGTGAATGCATTCCTCAGCAAAGAATCAACATGAAAGCAATAAGACCTTGGCAGCCCAAGTTATCATCTTTTTGTTTGAAATGTGGACATTGTTTCTGAAGACACATCAGCACTTTGGATGCTGAGGCTGAGGGAAGTGTTATCTCATTATCTTTTCAATCTAAGAATCATACATCTAAGGGCAGTGAATTTTGGCTGGGTAACCCTTTTTCCAAAGAAAGCATATGCACGAGCTCAATGCGTTGATTTAAAACCAGAAGTGCTTTGATTCAAGTTAAGTAGGAGGCCAGAGCTTGGCCTGATCAGCAACTGTACCTGTCCATGCCCACGCCATCCCACAGCCCCCCACCCAAGAGCCTTCCTTGAAGAGGTTCTATAGAGCATAGCTTGAAAATCAGGTCTGTCAAATATGTCTGGAACTAGTTGCCAGAAGATCAGGGTGCCAGATGAACCTTCTGCAAAACGATGGAGCTTGGGGAACTGCCACAGTCCCACTGTGCCTGGTTTCCTTATCTAGTAAACACAACTCTCCTTTTCTGCTGGCCCCAAGGAGCTATAATGAGAATGACTATGGAATAGAGAGGAAAGTGTGTTGATAAGCCCATGTGTGGGGGTTATAGCTCATAATAGCTGTTATTTTAAACAACTTCATTGATGTAATTCACATACCATACAATTCACTCATTGAAAGTGTACAATTCAATGGTTTTAGTGTATTAACAGAGTTGTATGAACATCGCATTCAATATTAAAATGCTTTCATCACGCCAGAAAGAAACCCCATACTCATTGGCAGTCACTCCCCATTTCTCCCCAGCCCACACACAGCCCCAGGCAACCACCAATCTACCTTTTATCTGCACAGATTTGCTTATTCTAGATATTTTGTATAAATGGAATCATGTAATACATAATTCTTTGTAACAAATTTTTTAAATTTAGCATAATATTTTCAAGATTTATCACTATTTTATTTCCTTTTATTGCAAAATAATATTCCATTGCAGGGATACACCCCACTTTGTTTATCCATCTACCAGTCATGAACATTTGGGTTGTTTCCATATTTTGGCTGTGATGAATAATGCTGCTATGAATCTTCATGTACAAGGGTGTTTTTTTGTTTGTGTTTGTGTTTGTTTTTGTGGACATGTGTTCTTATTTATCTTGGGTGCAATACCTGGAAGTAGAACTGCTGAGTCATGCAGTAGCTCTGGGTTTAACCTTTTGAGGATTTACTAGGCTGTTTTCCAAAACTGTTGCACCATTTCCCATTCCCATCAGCAATGTATGAGGGTTCTAATTTCTCCACATCTTGATCAATATTTGCTATTACCCATCTTTTTGACCTGCCTTTTTGTACTCACCATGCTACTGAGTGCAAAGTAGTATCTCCTTGTGATTTTGATTTGCATTTTCCTGATGGCTAGTGATGTTCAGCATCTTTTCATGTGTTCATAATGGGTCTTTACTTTTTAAGATAATGGCAGGAAATTTAACAGAGAAAAGTATCAACATAGATAGAACTCCACAAGCACCAATCGTTTTCTATGTGTCAAATGTACTTCTCACTTGAAGACTGGAAAATATTTTTGCTTAAATTATGACAACTATCTGTCTCCTCCAGTATCCACCCCTCCTTCCCAAATCACCTAACGCCATTACTATGTTTCAAATTGGGCCAAACTCTAATGCAAGAAAGATGTTTTCTTCATTAATCTGAAAAACAAATGAGCTCCAAGACCTAGTCAGTAACTCACTTTCTCAACAAATGCCAACATACCAGATCATCCAAATGGCACAAGACTGCCACTCCTCACAACCCTGGAGGGCAGGATTCACATGGCAGTCTGTGTGCCTAGCATCCATGGGAGGCAGGCCCCCCACAACACACCTTTATTGGACTGCATCCCTGTGAGTAGTTCTTTGGTCAATCATGGGAGTGGTTTTGCACTGGCCCAATGGGCATCTACATGGTGGCCAGGTAGGGTGTAAGGGCAGAGTTAGACTGGCTTCATGGATCTGTTCTGTTTACCTAACCATTGATTTAACAGGCTTGCCTAGAGGAGTGGCCACCCCAACATCTACAGGAAGTACTTCCTCAGGCACAACCAGTTACTGATGACAGCTCTGTACAGTGGTTAGGAGCAAGAGCTGGCAATGACTCTTTGATCAAGGAGTCTTGATCAAAGCCCTTCCCCATCTTCTGCAAGCTCCATGATCTTACAAAGATTCCTTTATGCTTCTGGATCTTAGTTTCCTCCTCTGTGAAACAGTGTGATTAATAATACATCGCTCAAAGAGTTGTTGTGAAAATTAAGGCAACAATGTATATAAAACATTTAGCAGAGTGCTTAGTACATAGTAGGTCCACAGCTGGTGTTTTTATTATTTTTATTACCAGCAGTCCACTATTCACAAGGATTTCTGGCTTCCAAGTCTTCATATTAACTGTTCCCTTTGTCCAGAATGCTGTTTCATACACTTTTCCCAGTTAATTCCTACTAATCCTCTAACCTGGCTTACAGGGACCCCTCCTGGAACCCTCCCTTCCCTCTACTCCCAAGAGTAGGTGCCCCACATATGAGCTCACAAGCTCCAGATGGTCCATATCACCCTGTCTCCAATCGCCTGTGTGCTTGTCTGCACCAGCCAGCAGACACTGGGCTCCCGCAGTTGGTGGGAACTCCATCAATATTTGTCCTCGTTTTGCCGGTCCCTGAATCTGAGTAGCAGCCTCTTTGCCATCCTCAATGCCTCCTTCAAAGGAAAAGAATCTAATATTTTCTGAGTGTTCACCGTGTGCCAGTAATTTCCCTATGTTAGTTCATTAATTTGCCTAATAGAAGATTGGGTGAGGTAGGCATTTCCCTGTTTTTAGGATAAGGAATCAGTGGCTCAGGGGGTTAATTAACGGAATTAACTAACCACAGTTTGCCTAAGGTCTCACAGGCACAGGGCTGAGGCTGGCACCCAGAGTCAATGTTTTTGCAACACATCCCCAGAGTTTTGCCCTGTCTTATGATTCAGTCCCAATTAAGCTACAGGGATCCACAGGCTCACTCAACTACTTTCTCTCTCTCTCTCTTTCTTTCTTTCTTTCTTTCCTTCCTTCCTTCCTTTATTTTTCTTTCTTTCCTTCTTTCTTTCCTTCTTCCTTTCTTGCTCTCTTGCTTTCTCTTTTCTTTCTTTCTGTCTCTTTCTTTTTTATTTGACTTATAAGCTACAAACATTTATTTCTCATAGTCTGGAAGCTGGACGTCTGAGATCAGGGTGCCAGCAAAGTCGTGTCCTGGTGAGGGTGCTCCTCCAGGTCGCAGACTGCTACCTTCTCCCTGTGCCCTCATAGGGTGAAGGCACCTCAGCTACTTCTTGTTATCGGCCGCCTGAAAGAATACATTTTTTCCCCCGTATGCTTTATTATAAAAACACCCAATACTTTACTAAAATGTGCTCCTTCTGTCTAGCTGGTTTGGGATGTTTAGGAGGAGTCAGGGACAAATCCTCCCTGGGGGCCTTTCCCAGGGAGCGCTGAGGTCTGGTAGTCAGAGACGGGTCCTCTGGGGAATCAGAGATGAAGATGACAGAGGAAAGGTGGAGGTTTGGCAGGGAACAGCAGACAATGGCTGTGGTTGTGCCTCTGGCTGATGGTTTCCTGAGAGGCTTTGCAGTTTGAGCTGTTACACATCTGCTCTGGGTCAGTGTCCCCAGACCTTCTCTGTGCTGCCCCAGCCCTGCCAGCAGGCAGGACTATTCACGAGGAATCACATGGGATTGTAAACCCCTGGGGCTTGGAGGAACCTCTCCTCCTCATGGGGAGACTGTCATAAAGGTGGCTGCTTCCAGGGAAAGGCTGTGGCTGTACACAAGGACTCATTTTTCTGTCAAAATGAAGAACTCCAGAAGCGCACATGTATTTGGCAGCGCATCTACTATTCGCCAGCATCTGTTTTGTGCAACATGATTGTTAATGAACTGAAAAGGATCCTGCTGCTGCTGCTGCTGTTATTTTGAGGACACAGGAAGCAAAATCAGGAATTCATTTGTTCCTTAGTTTGTTCAACAAATCTGTACTGAGCACCTCCTCTTTGCAAAGTAAAGAAGAGAAAAAAATGAGATGAGGTTATGTTCTGGGTCCTCCAGACAAGTGTTGGGGGAAAGGCTGTATTTGTGAGGAACTGTCGTATCTGTGCATCTCATGCACATTGAGCCCTCAACAAAGGAAGGGACCCAGCTACAGCAAATCGGTCTGCAACGAGGAGGTGAAGAGTAGAATCTCCGCAGGCCAGCAAGCAACAAAAAGCACTCCAGGTGGAGGGAAAAGCATTAACAAACGTGGAGAAGGGAAAGCAGAACATATGAGAGAATTGCAAGTGATTTCTTTTTGACTGAAACAAAATTATATGAAGGAAGGAAATAATTCTGGCAATGCAATTGGAGCAGGATCCTAAGGGCCTTGAATGTCACACTAAGAAGTTTGCAAGCCACCAAATAGCTTAAGTAAATGATAGAGTGTCCTGACTGGGACTATATTTCAGAAAGATAAATTTGCAAACAGCATACAAGATGGACAATGGTCAAGGTGGGAGAGAATAAAACCAAATATAACAGAATCTGATAAGAGGCTTGCATCAATCAGCATAGACTTAATTATATTATAGTAACAGACAACCCTCAAATCATAGCAGCTGAAACAATAAGCGTTTATTTCTTGCTCACGCTATATGTCACTTGTGAGTTGGCTAGAGGCTCTGCTCTTCATACCCTCTCTCCCAAATCCAAAGTGTCAAAGAAGCTAGGATTGCAAATACTGCCAGATGCTTTGACAGAAGGGAAGTTACCTCATACCGTATACAAAAATGAACTCAAAATGGATCAAAGATCTAAATTTAAGAGACTAAATTATAAAACTACTAGAAAAAAACATAGGGGTAAATCTTCATGACCTTGGATTTAGCAATGGATTTTTAGACATGACATCAAAAGTACAAGCAATCAAAGAAAAAATAAATAAATGTTAGACCTCAACAAAATTGAACACTTTTGTGCTTCAAAGAACACCATCAAGAAAGTGAATAGACAACCCAAGGAATAGGAGAAAATATTGACAAATCATATCTGATAAAGGACTTGTACCTAGAATACATAAAGAACTCTTACAAGTCAATAATAAAAAGCCAAATAACCCAATTTGAAAATAGACAAAAAAACTGAACAAGTATTTCTCCATAGAAGATACACAAATGGCCAATAAGCACATGAAAAGATGTCCAACGTCATTAGTCATTAGGTAAACACATGCCAAAACCATAATGATATAGCCACTTCACAACCAATAACAGGGCTGTAGTTTTAAAAAGTCAAATAATAACAAGTGTTGGTGAGGATGTGAAAGTATTGAAACCTTCATACACTGCTGGTGGAAATATAAAATGGCACCATCACTTTGGAAAACAGTCTAACAGCTCATCAAAAATGTAATCACAGACTTTCCATTTGGTCTAGCAAATCCACTCCTAGTTATATACCCGAGAGAAATGAAAACAGGACAAGGCATGGTGGCTCGTGCATGTAATCCAAGCATTTCAGGAGGCCAAGGCAGGCAGATCACTTGAGGTCAGGAGTTTGAGACCAGCCTAGCCAATATGGCAAAACGCCATCTCTACTAAAATACAAAAATTAACCAGGCATGGTGTGTGCCTGTAATCCCAGCTACTCAGGAGACTAAGGCAAGAGAATCGCTTGAACCCGGGAGGTGGAGGTTGTGGTGAGCCAAGATTGCGCCACTGCACTCCAGCTTGAGCAACAGAGTGAGACTCCGTCTCAAAAAAAAAAAAAAAAAAAAAAAGGAATAATAACAGGTCTACACAAAAACTTGTATGTGAATGTTCACAATGGCATTATTCATAATAGCTAAAAACAACCCAAATGTCCAACAGCTGATGAATAAACAAAATGTGGTATATATGCACAATGGTATTTTATTTGGTCATAAAAAAGAATGAAGTACTGATACATACTACAACATAGATGAACCTTGAAAACAAGTGAAAGAAGCCAGTCACAAAAAAAGCGCATATTATATGATTCCATTTACATAAAATTTCCAGAATAAACAAATACATACAGATGAAAGTAGATTAGCTTAGGGCTGAGGGGGATGGGGAGATTGGAGGGAGACAGCTAATGTGTACAGAGCTTCTTTCTTAGTTGATGAACTATTCTGAAGTTCATTGTGGTGATGGTTGCACCACTTCATGGATATATTAAAGCCATTGAATTGTACTCTTTAAGTGGGTGAATGGTATGGCATGTGAATTATATCTTAAAGAAGCTATTACAAAAAATGGAAGTGAACATTGCCTTAGAGCACTTAATGTTCCTAAAAAAAAAAAATGGCTTCCAATTTCATCTAGCTGAATTGTACATTAGGCATCCTTATATCCCACAGAAGAACCAGAAATGCATGCCTGGCCTTTCCTGGTTTCTGTACACATAAGAAGAGTAAGCAAAATGTTTGCACTACCTCTGACTTCAGCCAATACCCAGGGTCTTACTGAGGGTCCACCCATTATACTCATTGGACTCCTAAGGATGTCTGTTGTCCTGGATGAAGAATGTAACAGGGCATTTTTGGTGGCTTATCAAAAGCTGCTATTCCCAACACCCACTGCTTGGTACAGAACTCTGGAGGAAAGAGATGGGAAATGTTAATGGGGCTCAAGATGCTTCTAAGGAGGAAATGGACCATGACCTGCAGCTTTTCCCTTAAGGAAACCAACGTTATTAGATTCTTTGTAATATACTGAGCTTTAACAGATGTTCTCAGTCAAGAAAGGACACCAGTTAGAATCTCAACAGGTGTGAAAGGAGTCTAGAACAAAGACTGGCTCAGGGGCAGGCCCTTGGCTGTGGTAGAGGGAATAGTAGAGACCATCCAGGTGTCCCTCATGGTCCCAGGACAGGAGCAAGCAGGATGGTAAAGAACACTCACCGACTTAGGTGTCTATACGGTGGAAAGCCTCCTAAGAAGGACAACCTAGAATTCCTGCCCAGAGCACACAATAAAGATACTGTATAAAATGGTATGACTGAGGCACAGCTTTGTTTGCTGGTTCAGGATATTTAGACCTCATGCTTAACTAAAACCTGCCAGCAAGCAATTCTCCAATGCCAGTTTTAATGAGATATCACCTGTTAATTCTGTAAAGATAATTATCTTCAGTTGAATTTAAGATTAGCATTATGGTATTACTGGAAGCATCATGAAATGTATATCTACCTTCATTATTTCTGGAAGAGAAATTGCAGATAGAAAAAAACTTTTTATTGCCATAATCACTGCAGTTGTTTATTGAATGACAGCAAGTCAGTACTTACACAGGCAGGCTATCCACATCATATGGGCCCCAGGATTAGTCCATTCTCGCATTGCTTTAAAAAAAATACCTAAGATTGGCCGGGCGCTGTGGCTCACGCCTGTAATCCCAGAACTGTGAGAGGCCGAGGTGGGTGGATCACCTGAGGTTGGGAGTTTGCGACCAGCCTGACCAACATGGAGAAACCCTGTCTCTACTAAAAATACAAAATTAGCTGGGCCTGGTGGCATATATCTGCAATCCCAGCTACTCAGGAGGCTGAGGCAGGAGAATTGCTTGAACCCGGGAGGCAGAGGTTGTGGTGAGATGAGAGTGCGCCATTGCACTCCAGCCTGGGCAACAAGAGCGAAACTCTGTCTCAAAAAAAAAAAAAAAACCTAAGATTGAATAATTCATAGAAAAGTAAGGTTTAATTGGCTGGAGGTTCTGCAGGCTATACAGGAAGCATAGTGGCTTCTGCTTCTGGGAAGGCCTCAGGCAACTTACAATCATGGCAGAATACAAAGGAGGAGCAGCATAAGGAGCAGCAAAGTGGGAGGGAGGTGCTACACACTTTTAAACAACCAGATCTGCTGATAACACACTCACTCACTATCCTGAGAACAGCACCAAGGAGATGGTGCTAAACCATTTATGAAGGATGCACCCCCATGGTCCAATCACCTCCCACCAGGCCCCACCTCCAACACTGGGGATTAAAATTCAACATGAAATTTGGGTGGGGACACAGATCCAAACCCTGTCAGCCCCCAACATAAACATGGTTCTGTCTGCTTCAAGGAAGATCCTTTTGCATGTTCCATAGCTTGTTCTCAAACTGCCCATATGATAACTCAATTAATCTCCACTTTTCCATTTTCAAACACCCAAGAAACCTAAATCTGAAATTGTTATTTGACCTCATGATCGTAAACACAAGCACTAACACTGAAATCATGAGGTCATATCTAAGGATCTTCTACAGCAAAGGTAGGAAATTTTTCTGTAAAGTGCCAGATGGTAATTATTTTAGGCTTCATGGGCTATACATTTTCTGTCACAACTACTCAACTCTGCACCATAAGACATTATGTAAACACGTAGGCATGGTTGTGTTCCAGTAAAACTTGTTTTACAAATAAACAGGTGGTGAGCCAAAGTTAGTCCAAGGGCCATAGCTGGCTGAGCTCTGTCTAGAACACCCTTAAATTGCCTTAAATTTTATACAGTAGTCTACCCTTATCCACAAGGAGTATGTTCCAAGACCCCCAGTGGATGCCTGAAACCTCGGATAGTACGGAGTCCTATATATACTATACATACTGTTTTTTCTGTATGTACATACCTATGTTAAAGTTTGAGGCATGACAACAAAACCAGCACAGATTTCTTCTTCCCTCTCCACAATTTCACAGATAGAAGGTTGGTTCTCACTACAGATCCTAGCAACCTCAGCATATAATTGTTTTTCTTTCCTTATTAACTCAAGGACTTTTACCTTTTCACTTAAAGGAAACACTCTACCACTTTACAACATCTCTTTGGCATATCTGAATTGCCAGCATCAGTACTCTTGTACTTTGGGGCCATTATTAAGTGAAATAAGGGTTACTTGGACTCAAGCATTGTGATACCATGACAGTCGAGATGTGGCTACTGGTTAAGTGGTGAATACATTGTGAATATGCTGGACAAAGGGACAATTCACATCCTGGGCAGGACAGAGCAGGATGGCTCAAGATTTTATCACACTACTCAGAACTGCATGCAATTTCAAACTTATTGTTTATTTCTGGGATTTTCCACTTAATATTTTCAGACCATGGGTAACTAAAGCCACAAAAAGAAAAAGCACAGTTAATGGGGGACTACTGTATTATAATTAAAATACAAACATAAAATTGTAAAATTATCTTACAGAACTCTTGAACTTTTGAGAAGGTGGATCTAGGGACTTGTTCGAGAAGTGCTTGCCTGAGGAAGCCAGAATATGGATACACACCAGGAGAGGAGAACTTTGACACACTTTGTGAGGCAAAGTACATACTGTGAAAATGACCTCAGATGGCCCCTGAGGATAAAGGTTTGAATTTGCTATGCCTGTGGCCCCCGTTGGGTCTAGTGTAATGTCTTAGCAACAGAGGGTGCTCAATAAATGACAGTCAAATGGATCAAGTAAAAATCAACAGAGGACTTCCAGTTTAAGCTCTTACATGTAAAGAGCTTGGAAGTCATCACTCCTGTCTTCACAATGAGAAAAAAGCTGAACAAATGAAAAATCAACAACTTTTTTTGGAACCATCAGAGAAGTGAAATTGCAGGGCAAATCGCCCATCCCAAAATCTGGAGAGACTGGTGAATACGGAAAATCATAGCCGAGATCAGCTTACCTGAAGCAGAAGCCACTAGAGCCAGTAACTGGGAACATTTTGATGGTAATTTTGAAGAATTGATGGAGGCAGAGTGTGGACTACTTAAGGTTTAAAAACCCTGGGGGCCTAGCCTTGGGGTGGCAGTAGGGGTATGCAGGCTTTCCTGGTTTTTACCTCAAGGATCTCCAGCAGGTCCTCACAGTGCAGAATGAAGGAAAAATCTCTAGTAGTGGAGGGTAAACAATAGGGGAATACAACAGGGGAAAAGTAACAGAGGGGAACCATGCCCAGGGCATCTTCATAACAAAAGCCTGTGCTCTAAGAGAAAGCACTTTACCAGAGCCCTATCTGGTCTAGGGGAAGAGAAATTAGCCAGTTCTAATCCCTCTGGGCTTCTTGTCTCATAGAAGGAAAGGGAAAGGGCTAGGAATGCTTCTGAAGGTCACAGTCCGGAGATTCAGGCCCACTTTCTTAAAAGGGGGGATTTAATCTTAAGATTATGCAATGCTTCCCTATTCCCACTCTCCTCATGTCAGCAGGGCTCTAGTATAACAACAGTGCAGTGCAGCAGAGAGAGCTGCACAGCTCAGATTCCATTTAAAAAGGAGTTCTTGGGGAGATGTAAAGACAACAGGAAAGAAGATAAAGGAAAGTGAAGCCTCTGGCACCCACAGCTACAAAAGGCATTAAACACAGCCCAGCTCCTAGCCTGTTACTAGAAAACTTCACTCCAAAAGTCAATTTTCTCAGTTTCTTTACCTAGCACATCATGTCTAGCTTTCAACAAAGAACTAAAAGATATACTAAAAGGAAATTTTTAAAAAACACAGGCTAAAGAGACAAAACAAGCATAAGAATAAGGCTTGGTTATAACATAGATTTTGAGATTATCAAATAGGGAATTTAAAATAGCTATGATTAATAAGTTAAAGAATCCAAAGGAAAGTGAGCCAACATACAAGAACAGATGAATAATGCAAACAAGGGATGGGACATCTAAAAAGAATCAAAAGGAAATCTGAGAAATCAAAAATATTGTCATAGAAATGCAGAATGCATTTGATGGGCTCATCATTAGACTGAACACAGTTGAGGGAAAAAATCAATGAGACTGAAGAAATGTCTATAGAAACTTCCCAAAACAAAAATACAAAGAGAAAGAAGGATGAAAAAATATGAAACAGAATACCCAAAAACTGTAGGACAATTACAAAGGGTATAACATATGTGAAATGAAACTGGTGAAAGAAGAAAAAGAAAAGGGAACAGAAGGTATATTTGACATAGTAATAGCTGAGAAATTCCCAAAATTAATGACAAACACCAAACCACAGATCCAGGAAGCTCAGAGAACACTAAACACGTTAAATAGCTAAAAATAAATACTTAGGCATATTGCACTGCAGAAAACCAAAGATATGGAGAAAATTTTGAAGGAAAAAAAGTTAACCTGTAGAAGAAGAAAGATAAAAATCATATCATGCTTATCTTCAGAAACCATCCAAGAAAGAAGACAGTGGGGTGAAATATTTCAAGTATTGAAAAAAAAAAAACAAAACACCAACCTACAGTCCTGTATCCAGTGAAATATCCTTCAAAAGTGAAGGATAAATAAGACTTTCTCAGACAAACAAAAAACTGAGGGAATTTGTTGTGAGTAGACTTACCTGTTCAAGACTTGCCTTGCCTTGCCTTCCAAGTGAAGGAAAATTATATAGGTCGGAAACTCAGATCAACATTTTAAAAAGGAAGAGCACCAGAGAAGGAACAAATGAAGAAGAAAGTAACATTCTTCATTTTTCTTATTCTTAACTGATCTAATAGATGACAATTTGTTCAGAGTACTAATAGTAACAATGTACTGGGTGATTATAATGTATGTATAAGTAAAGTAAACAGCAGCAATGTTATAAGGGAAGGAAGGAAAGAACTTTGAATATTCTGTTATAACAAAACTGCACTACCTAGGAAGCAGTATACTATTATTGGAAAGTAGACTTGATCAGTTGTAAATGTATATAGCAAACTCTAGGGTAACTACTAGAAAACAATTTTTAAGATGTGTGATTGATATGCTAAAAAAAATAGAAAAATTTATAGCATTATATCCATATATTGGGAAAGAAGAAAGATCTAAAACCAATCATCTAAGATCCCACATTAGGAAACTTAAAAAAGGAGAGCAATATAAACCTAAAACAAGCATAA
The DNA here is from genome assembly GCF_000001405.40 of Homo sapiens. Taxonomy (NCBI): domain Eukaryota; kingdom Metazoa; phylum Chordata; class Mammalia; order Primates; family Hominidae; genus Homo; species Homo sapiens. The sequence continues at coordinate 38,226,931 of NC_000002.12, forward strand.
AGAGTAAAATAATAAAAATTAGAATAGAAATCATGAAATTGAAAACAAATTAATAGAGAAAACAACAAAACCAAAATCTGGTTCTTTGAAAATGTCTGTAGAACTGATAAACTTCTAGCTTAGCTAACCAAGAGCAAAAAAGAGAAGGCACAGATTACTAACATCAGAAATGAAAGAGGGATCAATACTACTAATCCCATGGACATTTAAATGATACTTTTAAATATGTATGAACAATTCTATGCTCACAAATTTGGTAACTTGGTAGAAATGGACCAATTCTTTGAAAGACACAAACTATTAATACCAAAACTCACACATGAAGAATAGAATATCTGAATAGGGCTATATTTATTAAAGAAATTTAATCAACAATTAATAACTTTCCAAAAAAAAGAATGCACCATGCCCAAATGTCACCAATAAATTTTACCATTTTTAAAGAAATAACAATTCCCTACAAGTTCTTTAAAAAATAAAAGCAGAAGGAACCTTCTTAACTTATTCTATGAGGCCAGCATTACCCTAACACCAAAACCAGATAAACGCATTGTAATAAAGAAAAACAGACCAATCAATATCTCTCATGAACATAGATACAAACCTTCCAACAAAATACTAGAAAATCAAATAAAACAATATGTAAAAAGAATGATACAATATGCCTGAATGAAATTTAATCCAAGTATGCAAGCTTGGCTTAACATTTTAAAACCAATTAATGTAATTATAACATTAACAACCTAAAGAAGAAAAATCTTATGATCATATCAACAGATGCAGAAAAAGCATCTGAAAAAATTCAATACCCATTCATGATAAAACTGTCAGCAAACTAGAAATAGAGGGAAAGGTTCTCAACTTGATAAAGAACAGCTACAAAAAAACCCCACAGCTAACATTTTATGTAATAATGGAAAACTAGATGCTTTCCCCCTAAGATCACAAATAAAGCAAGGATGTCTCCTCTCACTGCTCATATTCAAAATCACACTGGAAGTCATAATTTGTGAAATAATAAATAAGGAGATAAACACTATACAAATTATCAAAGAAGAAATAAAGCTGTCTTTTGTTTGCAGATGACATGATTGTCTACATAGAAAATCCCAAAGACTCAACAAGATCAACAACAACAACAACAACAAACCCTCCTGGAACTAATAAGTGATTATAACAAAGTTTCAGGAAACAAGGTTAATATATAAAAGACAAATCTTTCCTATATACCGTCAATGAACAATTGGAATAAGAAATTAAAAGCACAATACCATTTCCATTAGCGCACACACACACAAGGAAATACCTAGGTATAAATCTAACAATATATATACAGGATCTGTGAGGAAAACTATAATATTCTGATGAAATAAATTTTAAAAGATAGAAATAAATTTTAAAAGATCAAAATAAATGATATTTAATCATCTATAAATATCCAAATTTACACGTATAAAAATTTACAAAATATTTATCTGTAAATTTGGTATTTAAATATTAGAGATATTCTATGTTCATAAACAGGAGGAGTTAATATTGTTAAAACATTGATTATTTTCAACTTAATTTATGGATTCAATGTACTCCAAATCAAAATCCCAGCAACATATTGTGTTGCTATCAACAAACTGCTCCTAAAGTTTATATGGAAAAGCAGAAGTTTATATGGAAAGGCAAAAGACCCATTTATTATTTTATGAATTAGCCACAGAATACAGAAGAAGAATAAGGTAAGAGGACTGACACTACCCAACTTCAAGCTCCAGTAATCAAAATGTCTTGATATTGGAGAAAGTATAGGCAAATAGATTAGAACAGAATAGAGTCCAGAAATAGACCCACACAAATATAGTTAACTAATCCTTGACAAAGGAACAAAGGCAATTCAGTCAATAAAGAATAGTCTTTTCAACAAATGATGTTGGAAAAATTGAACATCCATAAGTAAAAGAAAGAAGAAAGAAGGAAGAAGGAAGGAAGGAAGGAGATGGAGAGAGGAGAAGGAGGGAGAAGAAGGAGGGAGGGAGGGAGAAGGAAGGTAGGAAGGAAGGAAGGAAGGAAGGAAGGAAGGAAGGAAGGAAGAAAGGAAGGAAGGAGCAAAGACCTGAATCAATACCCAACTTAAAAAAAAAAAACCATACAGAAGCACATGAAAAGATGCTCAGTATCATGTGTCATTAGGGAAGTTGCAAATTAAAACAACAGTGAGACACTACACACCTATTAGAAAGGCTAAAATACAAAAAATACTGACAGTACCAAATGCCGGTTAAAACACAGAAAAACAGAAATTCTTGTTTCTTGCTAGTGGGAATGCAAAATTGTACAACCGCTTTGGAAGACCATTTGGCAGTTTTTTCCAAAGCTAAACACAACCTTATCATACGTTCCAGCAATCATGCTCCTAGGTTTTTGCCCAGTTGGTTTTAAAATTTATGTCCCCACAAAAACTTACAAATGTTTATAGCAGTTTTTGCAATAAGTAAAATCACAATCACCAAAAACTGGATGGCCTTCAATAGGTGAACGAATTAAAAGGTAGTAGTGGTTGGGCGTGGTGGCTCACGCATCCCAGCACTTTGGGAGGCCGAGGCAGGAGGATCACTTGAGGTTGGGAGTTCAAGACTAGCCTGGCCAACATGCAGAAACCCCGTCTTTACTAAAAATACAAAAATAAACCGGGTGTGGTGGTGCATACCTGTAATCCCAGCTACTCGGGAGGCTGAGGCAGGAGAATCGCTTGAACCCAGGAGGCGGCAGTTGCGGTGACCCAAGGTGGCGCCATTGCACCCCAGCCTGGGCAACAAGAGCGAAACTCCATCTCAAAATAATAATAATAATAATAAAAAGTAGTGGTATAGCCATACATGGAATGATTTTTTCATAAAAAGAAATGAGCTATGAAGCTATAAAAAGGTATGAAGAAACCTTAAATGCATATTGCTAAGTGAAAGAAGCCAGTCTTAAAAGGTTACATACTGTATCATTCCATCTAGATGGCATTCTGGAATGGCAAAACTATGGAGATAGTAAAAAAAAAAAAAAAAAAAAAAAAAGTCAGTGGTTGCCAGAGGTTGGGAGACGGAAGGGGAAGAGAGATGAATCGGTGAAGCACGGGGGATTTTTAGGGCAATAAATCTCTTCTCTATGATACTGTAATGATGGATATATGACATTATACATTTGTCTAAACCAATAGAACTATACAACACAAAGATGGACTTCAATGTAAACTATGAACTTTAGTTACTAATACTGTATCAGTATTTTTTCATTAACTGCAGCAAATGTTCCACACTAATACACGGTGTTAATAACAGGGATATAGTAGAACACGTGGGGAGAGGAGGTTCTGTACTATGAGCTCAATTTTTTGGTAAATCTAAAACTGTTCTAAAAAATAAAATCTAATAATCCCTTAAAAATCAACACGGTAAATTGCCACATGTAAGATTCACAGAATAAAAGAATGATTTTACAAAAAGAATGATAAAGATCAAATAGTTTCAGAGCTAGCAGAGGCCTTAGAACTGGTCATCCTCTCACCAAATCTTCACTGGGCAGTTACAGAGTGTCACTGTCTGCATGAGGCACTGCAAGTATAGTGAAAACTAAGACAGCCCCTGTCACAATATAGTATTAAGGGAAAAAGTTCAAATGATTTCATTTTTGATGTGTGTATGTGAGAGAGAGAGAGAGAGAAAGAGAGAGAGAATAGAGGTAGGGAGAGAACATTGAGAGGAAGCTCACCAAGACATGAACAGTAGTTATTTCTGGATGGGCTTTTATTTCCTCTTACTAGTTTCTATCACTTTATAGTGTTTCTATGATAAGCATGCTTTGCTACTGTCATAAGAAAATTAAATAATAAAATGTTCCTTTATTCTAATGATGGCACTTCAGAAAATGCTACCAATGAAGTAAATTTGAAGTCAGGATTATGAAAGTAAATGAATTGGAACAGGTGGGTGAGTAGCCGGGACGACCCATTTCTCACAGGGAAGGTGCACAGCAGGGAGCCCCATGCACTGCATGAAGTGTGTTTGGCAGCCACAGAGGACAGGCTTAGCAGCTCCGTGGTGGATTTCACTCAGTGGCAGCAACACTTGACCACCAACAACTATGGCAAGGCAGCTTTGCCATCCTGATAGTTTTTGACACTAATTTCTACTGAGTTTCCTCAAAGAATGTTTCACAGAAAACTAGTTCTCAAAATATTCGTAGGTAGAATTCTATTAAATTAAACAAAACTAGCACAATTATTTATAGAAGAACATACCAAAGCATTTATTATTCTATGATACAATGAAAACAGAGAGTACAGTGTTTCCCTAATTGGAGAAAAAGTAATTCTCCCTGCTTTTCCTTTCTTTCCTTCTTCCTTTATTCTTTCTTCCTTTTTCTCTTTCTCTCTCCAGTGGGGACAAGAGAATTTCATGGAATGGGTGTCATTTGGTACATACTTGGAGAGCTGTTACTCTGCCAGATGTCACACCAATTGTTTATGGGCTATGATTTATTGTGTTTGTCAATATAGCTCTCAGTATTCCTACCACCAAGCACAGCAGCTAGCACATAGAAGGCTCTCAATAAATACTTGTTAAATAAGTGAATGAACTCTTTTTCCAGCTGGAACCATGGAGGATGTAGAAGAGAAGAAGAAGAAGGTTCCTGTTATGCCAGAAACCCTTAAGAAAAAGGGAAGGAATTTCTCAGAGCTGAAGATCAAGTGCCTTTGAAAGAAGTTTGCCTAAAAGATGCTTTGAAAGGCAAGGAGGAAGCTTATCTATGAAGAAGCAAAGCACTATCACAGGGAATAAAGGCAGATGTACAGAACTGAAATATGAATGGCGAGGATGGCAAGAAAAGCTGGCAACTTCTATGTACCTGAAGAACCCAAATTGGCATTTGTCATCAGGATCAGAGGTATCAATGGTGTGAGGCCAAAGGTCCGAAAGGTGTTGCAGCTTCTTCGCCTTCGTCAAATCTTCAATGGAACCTTTGTGAAACTCAACAAAGTTTCAATTAACATGCTGAGGGTTGTAGAGCCATATATTGCATGGGAGTACCCAAATCTGAAGTCAGTAAATGAACTAATCTACAAGCGTGCTTATGGCAAAATCAGTAAGAAGCGAATTGCTTTCTTTGACAGATAACACTTCGATTGCTCAATCTCTTGGTAAATATGGCATCGTCTGCATGGAGGATCTGATTCATGAGATCTATACTGTTGGAAAATGCTTCAAAGAAGCAAATAACTTCCTGTGGCCCTTCAAATTATCTTCTGCATGAGGTGGAAAGAAGAAAAGGCCACCCACTTTGTAGAAGGTGGAGATCCTGGCAACAGGGAGGACCAGATCAACAGACTTATTAAAAGAATGAACTAAGGTGTCTACCATGATTATTTTTCTAAGCTGTTTGGTTAATAAACAGTACCTGCTCTCAAATTGAAAAAATAAATAAATAAAAATAAATAAACAAATAAGTGAATGATTGAATTTCATTAAGAAAAAATGAATTACTACAAAACTCTGTACTTTCTTATCTCACCTAGATTTGACTTGCACTTTCCTACAGAGAAAAGAAGTCACCCAGGTTCACAATGAGCAGCCCAACTTGGACAATTTACCAAAGCACAGAAGAATTCAAAATCTAGATCTTCTCACCAGGACTCTCTCCAGTGGCTGTCCTACTTGCAAATGTAATCATCCTCCCAGAGGAGAGTCAGGCACAAACCAGGGAGTGAGTTTGTTGTTCATCTTGCAACACCTCTTTCAATGAATCTAACTTGCTTCACAAGAGTCCATTGGGAATGGCCCCCCAAAAAAACAGTCGCTTGGATTATTTAAGTGAACACATGACAGTCAATGCAATAAGGCCTTGCCCTCCCCACTTCCCCATCAATATTTATCAAGGACATGGTTTTTCCAAGGGAGAAAGGAGCATAGTCTTGTAACAGCTGTTCCAGAGAACAGACCGTACATGGATTAAAACTAACTCAAGTCAAGAAGAAATTATGTACAGTCTTATAAAAGAGAGATGCGTCTTGAGCTGAGAAAGTGCATGTTCCCTTAAATATTTTCCTGCCCCCACATGCTTAGCCCCTTCAGTACTTGGTGTCCCTACCTTCTGCCAGCTTCTGACCCTGAGGAATGATCAAACCTCGTTTTTCTAGGAACTGAAGGAGCTCTTTAGCCCCTCAAAATACATCAAAGGAAGACTCAATGCAGCCAAAATTCAAGCCTAAATTTTGAAATACAAATATTTGAACTGATCATGATGTCCACGTCCTACACAAATAAAACTTTCTTTTAGAAAAGAAACCCCTGCTGGTTGTGCTGTAATTATTTTAGGCAGAATGCTTTTAAGTCTAAAGCCATTTTAAACTCTCAAAACTTTATACATCCAAGGAAAGCAAACTGAAAGTGAGCATCACTAAGTTTACTCTTATTTCTAAGATTAATCTCAACCTCCCTGGATTTCAACACTCACGCCGTTGTCCAGACTACTAGATGCAGCTGCAACTAGGGATTTCTTAAGTCACATAGGGAACCTGGACTAAATTAATCTGGAAGGATATGTGCCATTCCTAAGTTTGCGATTTCCTTCACTATGTTTAAAAAAGGGTTATTAGGTACTAATGCTGCACAGATTTTCTAAATACTCTATTTGCCAGTGGCAGAGCCAGATGTGGACCACATTAGGAGAGACATGCGTGACAGCGTTTTGCTAAATGTCCGTGATGAATTTTAACTTGCAAAGGGGAAAATTATAGCTGTGTGGTGCCAGGATAATTTCCTCCAAATACCACTCCCATCAGGTCATTTTCTCCTGTGACTCACCAGCTCCTTTTGAGGAAAGCGTAAAGTCTGGCATTAGAGGCCTCAGTCATCTTCTCTTCCTCCAGACTATCCCAAAGGATCCCTGTATGCCAGGACCACCTCTTGACTCTCCTTCTGCGTATTTTGCTTGGGTGGCTCCCTCTGTCTGGAATACATAGCTCTTACACCCTTCAAAACCTGGCTCGAATCTCATCATTTTCAAGGAGGCTTCCCTCCCCAGCCTCCCTCCACTGATTATTCTCCTGTATTTGGCATTCACTGCAGGTATCCATAGTTGTCTCTATGACTGTTGGTGGTGGCCACTGGAAAGCTCAGCATCGAATGTGAGGCCCCATAAAGCAAGTGTAGGGAGCAGCCTCCCTGGGGGCATTTGCACACTTTCCCCTTCCCCCTTCACCGTATGTCCCATCCTTGATTTTGCTTTGCTTTTTCATCCGCTTTGTTGTCTTGATTTATTTTTAAGTGATATCTTAAGTCCTTTCTGAATAAGAATAGAGTGAACATGCGAGTCTTTGGACTACGTTGGCATGTGTTTTTTTCCCAGCACATGTTCTCTGTGAATGTCTGAGCTTCCACTACTTCATATGCTCCTCTAAGAAAAAAATAATCATCTCAGAAGCAAGATGTCTTCCTCTGTTCTAATTTCTGGAACTAACATTTTTTGTTTTTCCTTTGATTAAAAGAGTATGTGTGCAAGACCCCTTATGTAATGTCACCTACAACCCAGAATTATCATCCCATGTTACACATGAAGAAGCACATAATCAAAAGACTAAACAGACAACCCATAGACTGGGAGAAAATAGTCGCAAACTATGCATCCAGTGAAGGACAAATATCCGGAATCTATAAGGAACTCAAACAAATCAGCAAGAAAAAAACAAATAATCCCATCAAAAAGTGGGCAAAGAACATGAATAGGCAATTCTCAAAAAATATACATGAACAGCCAACAAACATATGAAAAAAAAATGTTCAACATCACCTTACTCCTGCAAGAATGTCCATAATTAAGAAGTCGAAAAACAACAGATGTTGGCATGAATGTGGTGTAAAGGGAACACTTTTACACTGCTAGTGGCAATGTAAATTACCACAACCACTACGGAAAACAGTATGGAGATTCCTTAAAGAACTAAAAGTAGAAGTACCATTCGATCTAGCAATCCCACTACTGGGTATCTACCCAAAGGAAAAGAAGTCATTATATGAAAAAGACACATGCACATATGTGTTTATGGCAGCACAATTCACAATTGCAAAGATATGGAACCAACCTAAGTGCCCATCAATCAACAAGTGGTTAAAGAAAATGTGGTATATATACAACATGGAATACTACTCAGCCATAAAAAGGAACAAAATAATGCCTTTTGCAGCAACTTGGAAGGAGCTGGAGGTCATTATTCTAAGTGAAGTAACTCAGGAATGGAAAACCAAATATAATATATTCTCATAAGTGGGAGTTACACTATGAGGATGCAAAGGCATAAGAACAATATAATGGACTTTGGGGATTCTGGGGGAAGGGTGGTAGGGGCGTGAGGGATAAAAGACTACATATTGAGTACAGCGTACACTCCTTGGGTGACAGGTGCATCAAAATCTCAGAAATCACCACTAAAGAACTTATCCATGTAACCAAAAACTGTACCCCAACTATTGAAATAAAAATAAAAATTATTTAAAAAATACTAAATGGTTGACCCAAAGTCACCCAGCTTATACGGCAGAGTCAAGACTTGAACCCAGGCCAACCTAACTCAAAATGCCTTGACTCTGTATTCTCTAAAAGCGTCTAGCACCAAAACACACACCATGAAGTGTCTAGCACCATAACAGGCACTCATTCATTATTGAAGTATGACCCAAAACATTTGGTACAGAATTGAATAAAACCATGAAGGCAAAGCTATTGAAAATTGAGCTTGCAAAATTGGTAGAATTGGCTTCATGAAAAACTGAGGAGATTCTAATTAGGTCTATCAGAGAAAGACAACACAGATCTACAAAACATTCTGGATGTAGGTGAACAGAATACTAGAAGAGATGCTGTGAGCTGATGTCCATGTTTGAATACAAAAGAAAAATAGATGGGCACGCTGGTTTAGATTTATAGGTCCAGGGCAAACTGATCCAACTGTGGAATCACTGAACCCCCCTTGGGTTTCAATGAGGGTACCCTTGGTAGTTACTTTCGGCCCTAAGGGGTTTGACAAAATGGGACAGACAGGGTTTTTACATCTGAAGCCAGAATACAGAATCTTTGTTCATTGAGGATCTTCATACATGTTACCTTATCTAATACTTTCCCTAACTTCCCCCAGTGTTTCATGTTTGTTATATTTACACATGGTCTTATAACGACGTGTCTATGTCTATCTTGCCACATTGCCCAGGCTGGTCTCGAGCTCCTGGGCTCAACCAGTTCTCCCACCAGAGCCTCCCAAAGTGCTGGGATTACAGGTGTGAGCCACTGCACCCGGCCTAGTTCTCAAATTATATGGAGGAACAAAGACCTAAGAGTAAATAAAGCACTCCTGAAAAGGAATATCAAGACTTATTCCAAAGCTAAAATAACAAAGACAGTGCTGTACTGGCACAGAAATAGACAAATTGCCCAATGGAACAGACTAGAGAAACAGAGACAGAGAGAAAGAGAGAAGGGTGGGTACTTGAGGATGGAAGAGAAGGCACTGCGGATGACAAGGAAACAATGAACTCTTCAATAAATAGTGCAAGGCCACTGGTTACCTACATGGGGGGGAAAATACTGTGACTAATCCCTGCTTTGCACCATGCAGAAGAATCAAATGCTAGCAGATTTAAGATTTAAATACACAAGGCAAAACTCTAAAACTTTTGAAGGCAACATGGGAGAATATCTTTAGAACATCAGAGAGGTGAAGGTTTCTTAAAGAAAACACAAAACTATGAAAGAAAAATAATAAATTTGGCTACATTCAAATTAAGAACTTCTGTTTAACAGTAGACCCCATGAAGAAAGTGATCAGAAAAGCAACAATGTAGGAGAAGATATTTGCAATATATATAACCAATATAATCTACATAAAGATGATGTATTTTTTAAAATCTTTTCAAAGTTCAATAAATAAGTTAATAAATACACAGTTCACAGAGCAGAAAATATGAATAGCCCATAAATATATAAAAGAATACACAACCTCATTAGTAATCGCAGAGACACTAAGATACCAGTGGGACTTTACTTTTTACCCACTGGATTGGCACAAATTAATAAGGCTGATATTGTCAAAAACTTGGGCTGGGCGCAGTGGCTCAGGCCTGTAATCTCAGCACTTTGTGAGGTCAAGGCAAGTAGATCGCTTTGAGCTCATGAATTCGACACCAGCCTGGGCAATATGACGAAACCACATTTCTACAAAAAATACAAAAAACTAGTTGGGTGTGGTGGTGCACACCTGTAGTCCCAGCTACTTGGGAGACTGAGGTGGGAGGATGGCTTGAACCTGGGATGCAGAGGTGTGGGGGTTCAGTCAGGATGGTGGGAGAAATTGTAAAATTATGGGAAATAAACGCAAACCCTCTTGGAAGGCCTGGAGGTCTGCATAAAGTGTTTGGCTGAAGGCAGAATTCTCTTAAAAGCTCAGGGCATGGATACATAGGAATGTAGAGTAGTTTATCTAAATAGCTTGTTTATTCATGTGGTCCTAAGACCAACATTTGGTCAACCACAGATGCATGATTGCTCTCTACTCAGGAGGTCAGCAATGTCAATTACCCTCTAGTGGTTTTTACTCAAGACCTTTGTCATCTAATCTATACTGAATAAATGTGAGCTTCGCTGACTGAATGGAGCCATGGCTGCTACTCTTTACAGAACCTTCCTTGGTGTCTGTGAGGGGCCCAGACCCTTAGCTGGACTGACAGGCAGAGTATCTGTGTCAGTGTACATTACTCATCCGTTGTTGGGTGAGGGTCTGCAGAACAAATGCCCGCACAGAGGTTGCAGTGAGCTGAGATCATGCCACTGTGCTCCAGCCTGGGCGATAGAGCCACACCCTGTCTCAAAAAAAACAAAAAAAAAAAGAAAAAGAACTTGGAAAGAGTATGATTCAACTGGAATCTTTATTCACTCTTGGCAGGAGTCTAAATTGGTATAACCCCTCAGAAAAAATAAGTTAAATATATTCATATACCTTATAGCCTAGCAATCCTACCCTAGAGAAACCCTCGCACACGTGCACAAATTCATGTGGTTGTACTTCTAAGTATAACCCTAGAGAAATTCTTGCATGTGATTTACGTATGGGAATGTTCACAGCAATATCAAAATAACAACCAGAAACAACCCAAGTGTCCAAAGTGTTCAGAGAAAGAATAAACAATTATTTATAACTACTCACACAATAAAATGCTAGAGACAGTAGTGAAAATAATGAACTACATGCAACATGGATGAATCTTAGAAACAAAATACTGAGTGGAAAAAAAGCAAATGAAAAGAAGACTGCATGTAGCATAATACCATTCTGATAAAGTGGACACAATCAAATAATATGTTTCTTAAGGTTATCTACATATGTGCTAAATTATTATTTTAACCAGGGCTTTATAGAAATAAAATTCGGAAAGCTGGTTACTTCTAGGGACTTGCAGGGGATGGCATAGGAAAGGAGCCCACCAGCTACAGCAATGATATTGATCATGTTCTAGTTTAAGGACGACTCACAGGTGTTCTTCCTGTTATTACTATGCCTCATCCCTTAACTGTGTGATACTCACATTATTTTGCATATATCAGCTATTACATAATAATAGCAAATAAAAATAAAAGAACAGGCAAGGCACAGTGGCTCACGCCTGTAATCCCAGCACTTTGGGAGGCCCAGGTGGGCGGATCACCTGAAGTCAGGAGTTCGAGACCAGCCTGGCCAACATGGCGAAACCCCATCTCTACTAAAAATACAAAAATTAGTGGGGTGTGGTGGTGAGTGCCTCCAGCCCCAGCTACTCAGGATGCTGAAGCAGGAGAATCGCTTGAACCCGGGAGATGGAGGTTGCACTGAGCTGAGACCACACCGTGGCACTCCAGCCTGGGTGACAGAGCAAGACTCCATCTCAAAAAATAAATAAATAAATAAATAAATAAATAAATAAATAAATAATAAATGGCTGCAGTTTTACGATAGTCTCAAAAAAGAAAAACAAAAAGAATAAAAGGAAAAAAATCAGGTGTCCACGCTTTTCTGAGAATACAGAAACAAAAGTCTTTCAGTTACTCACAATTTTTCCATACTCACCAACACAGAATGTCAGAAGTGGACCCCAGCAAGGCCCTGTAGACCCATCACTAATTAAGTAGATGAGGAAACGGAAGCTCAGGGATAATACGTGACTGCTCCATGATCACCTGGCAGAGCCAGGAGCCAAACCCAGGTCTCCTGATATTTCTTCTCTTAGATCAAGTCCCCAGGCAGTGGCCTTCAGTCTGGTAGATAATAAAAAGAAAACTCCAGTCTTCTTTATCTTTGTATCTCTAAGACCTAGCAAAGGGCTTAATAATTTGTTGGCCCTCAAAATGTTTTGTTTCTGAATATTATGGAATTCCCATTGGATTCGTCACAAGAAGTCCTCAAAGTGGTAAAAATTCTCTCTTCTGGTTCGGTGGCTTCAAACCAAGAAAAGGTTCCTGGAAGCAAGACAGAAGAAACTATCGGCCATATCACTAATGGGCATTGCCAGAACTCATATGTGTGGCCATACCGGAGGAGATCCCTGCGGCAGGCAGGGCTGCATTTTCTAGCCGGTTCCAGCAAGCCAGCCTCGCGTGACTGACTTCTTTAGTTTAAGGTGCAGAACTCAAGGGAAAGGAGCCAAACCCTATGAATGTGTCTGTACTGCCTCCAAGGCAAGGAGTGGCCAGGATCTGTGGCTTGCCTGTGGAATGAGCAGTGGAAACACTCTCTTCCATTATGTCTGCAGAATAGGCTGGCGGGTGCCACATTACGTTAGTAAGCTCCTGGCAAGGCACGTGGCTTCCATCTCACTTCATTAGCAGCTTTCCTGAACTTCAGGTTTTCCCGGTCCCTGATTCTAGGAGTTAAAGTTCCCTCTGGTACCATTATTCTTCCTCCGTGGGTTTTTCTAGACCTCCCCCATCCCCAAGGGTCTGACGCAGGGCCCTGGTTTGTAGCTCCTATCTGGGAGAATGTGCAGCCAAGGGTCACAAAACAGACCTGGGGGACTGGCCTCCCCCGAGGGATGCTGGGTCCCAAGCGTCCAAAGGTGCCCTGATTTTCCCACCTGCAATGATCAGTAGCCAAGTTCTCTGATTTTATCTCAACTCTTTCTTGAGCGCGTTGAGATGAATTTTGAGTCTCTCCATTCATGACATGTCTCCCTTTATTCAAATCTTATTTTATATCCCGCAATAAAGTTTCTTGTATTCTTCATCAAATCTCCACATTCCTCAATAACTATATTCCCAGATGTGTTTCATTTTGGGTGACTTGGGCCAATAGTCTAATGAGGCAAAATAATGGGCTGCTTCTGTCCTGAGATGCCCGCTGGCTGGGAGCACTAATGATGACTTAAGGCCGAGATGCACCAGTTGTTTATGGACCACGGATGGCTTTTCTTCTGGGATGAAGCTCTACCTTCCTGCAGGTTGTACTAAGACCAGATGCTTGTTTGTGATTCTGGTTTGTGCAGGTCACTCCCAGGGGTCTGTGCAGTGGGAGCCTCAGCATGGTTTCCCACATGACAGTCCTGCCAAGAGCAGGGGTGGCCACCCCAGCTGGTCACTGCACCTTGGCCCTCTGCCTACTACATGCAGAAGGGGCTGTGAGCAGGTAAGAGAAAAATGCTTTCTTCTCATCTGAGGCTCATGGGTACCTGGCTCTTGGGAGCACCAGTGGCAGGTGCAGCTCGCAGCCGACTGATGTCCTCTCCCTTCAATCCAACAAGTGCAGCTTCTGAACTTACACCTCCTCTGTGGAGCTTTCAGGATACAGAGGGCCTCTGGCTTTGAAATCAGTTTCACTTGGATGTGTAAAGCCCAATTTATAGACTTTACTTATCTTTGTGTTGTTTTGTTAAACCGAGTTTTTAATTCCCAGAAATTGTGGGCTTCAACTTCTGTGCCTGGTTTTTCATGTTGCTGATCTTGATGGTCCACCTTTAAGACCTGCTGTCACAGGAACTGTCATCCACACACGGGACACCTGTACGTGCTAGAAGACGTCGCACTCCGGTAGGCCCAGCAGCCTAAGTAGCTGGCAGAGGGAGGGCAAGGTCTCTGTGACTGGGGGAGGCAGACATCCAGATGCTTGTGAGGGTTCTGCCTGCCCTGCTGCCATCCCCACTTGTCTCCTTCGGGAAACCGTATTTTAAAGAAAGTAAAACAGCCTACTCCTTTTCAACTGCTGTAATGTTTCATTCCTAATCCTGCAGAAAAATTCCCTTATGTTTCACAAAAATAACATAACCTTGGCAGTGTAAAATACCAGACATCAGGGTAAAAGGTGGAAAGAGCACTGGGCATGGGTTCCAAAGAGCTGTGCTCCAGGCAGATGTTCCTGAGACAACCTACAGCATCTCAGGCAACCCAGGGTCCCCTTACACTTTGTCCCATATGATTTCACGAGAGCAGTAACACCTACATAATAATGTGGAGTGAGACCAAATGACTTGGCCAAGAGCTGTGCAAATCTTATGTATTATAGACTAATATAATACATAAGATAGCAAATAATATAGCAAATGTACCATAAATATCTCATTTCAGGACAATGATTTATTTAATGACTCCCAACACACAGAATATAAGAGAGTCTTTTAACACTAGAAAGTGACAGCAAGAAAAAAACAGTAATACCAGTTCCTATTTATTGAGCACATACTACATGCCAGGCACTATGCTAAGGCCTTCACATGAAGTATTGTATTTAATCCTCAGGCAGGTAATTTTATTCACCTATTTTTTAACCAGAGGAAAGAGAAAAAATTAAGTTTAGCAAATTTTAGCAAGCTAAGTGACTTGGCCAAAGTCACTCAGCTTCTAAGTGGCAGAGCTGGGATTCAAACTCAAAGTATCAAAAATTTGAGTCACGCTCCAAGAAACGTCCAAGCTATCATGAAGAATAAAACATAACCATGAATAAGACATAGTCACAGAAGAAGAACAAAATTCATCATATTTACAAGTCAACAACATTTTATAAGGTGTACTGTAGGCATATACCATCGATTTATCCAATGTCAACGGAACCAGAAGAGGGGCAGAGAGAGAGAGAGAGGGATGACTGATAATTTGGAAAGACATCATGGAGAAAATGGTCTGTTACCTGTGCCTTGAAGGATGAGGAGTATTTCAACAAATGGAGGAGAGAAAAAATATGTCCCAGGCAAAGGCGGGTGAGCACGAAAGCTCGGAAACAAAGCACATGTCGGGTAACATACTTTGTGCAGCTGGAATGTAGGAAAAGTAAAAGGAGACATGGCTAAAAGCAGAGACTGCTAATTGTTCTCTAGTATTCATTTGTCCCTCTTCCTTTTAGTGAGAAAATCCCTCATTTTATCTTGACATGCGACTGCCCAGCAGAAGGCTACCATTCCCAGCCTCTCTTGCAGCAATGTGTGGCCACATGACTAGGTCTGAGTGCTGGTCCTGGAGCTGAAGTGATGTGCTATGAAAGCACTGCCCCAGGACTTCCCTCTTTCCCCTTTCTCCGGGATGGAAATGGTGACAACTAGCGCAGCTGCCTGGGACCCAGATATGGCATCCACAGGCAGAGGGTGACAAAGCTGCCCACCCACACCCGGACACTTACCTGTAGACACATGGGAAAGGAAGAAGCTTTTATCTTATTTAAGTAATGGTAATTGGGATTCTGGAACAAACTCCAGAATCACAAATATTTACTGTCTGACCCCAAATAATACAGGGCCCAGTCTTATAGGGCCTTAAATTCCATGGCAATATTTGGAAAATAGTTGGCAGGCAAAAGCGTGTCTTGGTTTGAAGCATCCGTGCTCACACAAAGAGGTAGCATCACAGTTCTCTTAAAGAGCACTAATGTATTAATGGAATGCCTTTAGAGCAACTGAGTTTTAGATTATGTTAGAGCTAGAGCTTGAGGGTCAGGAAAATGTGTTTGCCAGGATCTCACAGCACAGGGTAGTACTGGTTTTATTGAGAGAACTTTGCTTTCAAAACCATAAAAAGGGAAAGGAAAGTATATGAAATATGTGTCTGAGCAAAATTCCACAAGAAATTATTTGCCCTTGAGCTTCACTAAAGTGCTGTTCCCAGTTATTCTGGAATAGGATTAATCCAAGGTGGGCAAAGTTTAAACCAATGGTACCCAAGTAACATCCACCATTTTTCTTCTTCCATGTCAGAACACAACAACAAATTAGACTAAGAACTAAAGTAAAGCCTGTCTCATCTATGTGCTTTTAAAAGAAATGGGTATTTCAGATAAGTTAATTTTCCAGATAGCTGAAGGTTAAGTTCCCTTCTGTTACTTTATCATTGGCCAACAACAATTCAACTACTGCTACTGTTTTCAAGATGATTGTAAACAACTGCAAACACAGGCACTAGACTGCATGCCAGCAATCATCAGAAGATGATCCTCTGGGTAATCAGAACCAGCATGCTTAATTTCTTTTAGATTGCCATTGTAACAGAAACACAACATTTAAGCATTTTCTAGAGAATGCAGGATAAATCCGTAGCTTTCGTGCTTGAGAAATGCAATTGTAAGCAAAAAACATTTTGAGAAATGTGGTCTATTAATTAATCACTGCTCTTTCATAAATATCACTTTATAAAATATATTCAAGACATTATTCAACATGTGTTGTATATTAAGTATTTCCACTACACAGACTTATTCCCCATGGATCTGTGCTGAGGGAGGAAAAATTTAAATGAAAAGCAAAAGTTTGTAGTTCTCAAATTGCACCTAAATCAAATAAGCAAAAAGTCGAGATACTTTCACTGGAAGATAAAACAGTCCATTGGTTTACAAAGTACTTGCATTCTTAGAAAACTAGTGTATTTTACCACCATGTATAAAAGTATTTGTGTTTATATGTAAAATGGAGTTCACCTCTAGGTTCGGGCACTTACAAATGGTTTTGTACCCACATGAATTTGTGGTGGAACATTAAAAAGCACAGGATGGGGTCAGGCATGGTGGCTCACGCCTGTAATCCCAGCACTTTGGGAGGCTGAGGCAGGCGGATCACTTAAGGTCAGGAGTTCAAGACCAGCCTGGCCAACATGGTGAAACCCCATCTCTACTAAAAATTAAAAAATTAGTTGGGTGTGGTGATACATGCCTGTAATCCCAGCTATTCGGGAGGCTGAGGCACAAGAATCACTTGAACCCAGACAGTGGAGGCTGCAGTGAGCTGAGACTGTGCCACTGCACTCCAGCCTGGGTGACAGAGTGAGACCCTGCCTCCAAAAAAAAAAAAAAAAAAAAAAAGGCACAGGACGGTGCTCTGCATAGCAGGATGACCAGCATCCCTGAACCCACCTATTAAATGCCAGCAACACTTCCAATCATTGTGAAAGTAAAATCACTGCCTCGCCAAAACTCTCAAAATGCTTCCCTGGGGGCAGTAGCACTCCCTCTGAGTGAGTACCACCGTCAGAGTGCCTCGTCCAAAGCGCTGTCTTGATTCATTTCCTGAGGCATATGGCAGTGCACCTGCCGCACCTCGGCTTGGACATGTGCACTGGAAAACTGGCAAGGGGAGGTGTTCAGACAAATTGTCAGACTTGCTGCTGGCTTCAGGTTAGATGAGGCGCTGAGCCTGAGTGTCTCACGCTCTCAAGGAAAGCATTTTTTGCATCACTGAACTGATGCAAGAAAAGAGGTGGAAAGAGGAGGAAAGCATTCTCATGGTTTGGGCCTCCTCAGTCAGCCTTACCTGCTCAGGGCCCCACAGCACTGGGTAGAAGAGGTAACGACCAAGTGGATTTTAGCCACAGTGATAGTGAGCATTAGGGACACAGGCCATCACCCCCAAAAGCTCTTTTCTTTCATTGCCTAAAGGAGAGCAAGGAGTGTGGTAGGGAATTGCAACAGGCAGGTGGGGCTGGAAAGGTGGAATGTTAAATTCTCCTGAGAGAGGAGAGGGCAGAAGGCAGAAAGACAGGGACATGAGTTGCCAAATCTGAAAAAGTTTGACTGGCATCTTCAGGTGAAGGCAGGGGATGTTTTCTCTGCCCTCCTGTTTTAGGGCAGCTATAGATGGCCCAGGTTTAAAGAGTATTGTGGACAGGAAGGCAAAGGAAGGCAGGAGAGCCCTGCAAGCTGAAATCCTCCCGAAGAATGAGGTCTCCAGCTAACTGGTAATGAGGTAGGAGGCAGGTTGGGCTTGACTCCCAACCAGATTTATAAGACTGGCCAAACCAGGAAGAGGTGCAGAAAGCACCTCTCCATGAGACACGCCCACCAAAGCCATGACAACTTACCATTACCATAGCAACATCCAGTAGTTACCGCCCATTTTCTAGCCATTTCTGCATAACTTGCCCATTAAGTAGCATGTCATTAAAAGTGGGTATAAATATGATTGCAAAACTGCCCCTAGGCTGCTACTCTCTGCATGCTGTTTATGGGGCAGCCCTGCTCCACGGAAGCTGTCACACTGCCACTGCCTCAGTAAAGCTGTTTTCTTCCTCCACCTGTTCGCTCTTGAATTCCTTCCTGGGCAAAGCCAAGAACCTGCCCTGCATCAGTAACTCTAAAAATAGCCTAGGTTAGTTGAAACCACAGCATTCCAAAGATTCGAATGATTCTAAGCTAAATGTGCAGGTCTGTACATCCTCAGGAAGGAAGGGAGATAGGCTGGGAATCTTGCAAGGAGAAATGACTAGCTGTGAGATGCCTCTGAATGTAAGGTTTTCCTTCCTGGAGTCAGTCTAGCAAGGTTCTTTAACCACTAAGAAGTAGAAGAACATCCGTGATACAGGCTCCAAGCCAAATTCGGCCTTTCCTTGCTTTGCTTTCTGAAGTTCTATCATCTCTATCTCTATCTCTACCTCTACCTCTATCTATCTCTAGCTCTATCTCTACCTCTACCTCTATCTATCTCTAGCTCTGTCTCTACCTCTACCTCTATCTGTCTTTAGCTCTATCTCTTGTTCTCTCTCAGCATTTTTTCAGTTATTGAAACTAGTCAGCCAAGATTTGTTTATCGTGCTTTTGGTAACGCTAGAGGAATAGAAATAGCATTATTTGCTATGGGATTATTTTTTCTCCTTATTTTCAAAGATCTGTGCACAAATTGGAAACTCTGCAAATTAATAGCTTTAAATTCCAACCTGTAATGTACTGAATGCTGTGGGGCTCTGCCTAGACCCCCACTTCAGGAACAAGGCTCACTGCCCCAGCTTCTGGGGGTGTTATCTGCCGATGCACTCAGTCAAAGGGAACTGCCTCACCCAAAGCTACAGGGCCTCCAGGGAGGCAGCAGGTATGCAATGGGTGATTGATGCAAAGGGACAGAGGCCTGAGCCCTGGGCCTTAATTTGGAACATCTGTGAAGGGCTTTTCCAGCTCCAGAGCTCCCCACGTGATAGGCTGAGGCCTCTTTCAATTGCACCACTGTTCACCTTCTCTTTCTGCCATCCTGCTTTGCTCAGACCCTAACAGATATCTTTCCTGAGACCATTCCCTAGTAAATTGCGTGCACACAAATCTCCATCTGAGAGTCTATTTCCTGGGGAACCCAACCACAACAGCAGATGTCAGGAGTGGTTCAAGGTGACTGACTCTAAAATAGGATTTAGAGCTGGATAACCCTCTGGCTGGCTGGCAATGAGAAGCCCATCGATGATGGTGGGGGGTGGGCTGAAAGGCCCTGGCATATGGTAGCAATGCAATTGTCATTGATTTTTTTATTTGTTTGTTTTGAGACAGGGTGTCACTCTGTCACCCAGGCTAGAGTAGAGTGGTACGATCACAGCTCATTGCAGCCTCAACCTCCTAGGCTTAAACAATCCTCCCTCCCGAGCAGCTGGGACTACAGGTATGCACCACCATGCCCAGCTAATTTTTTATTCTTTGTAGAGATAGGGTCTCGCTATGTTGCCGAGGCTGGTTTCAAACTCCTGGGCTCAAGAGATCCTCCTGGCTTGGCCTCCCAAAACGCTGGGATTACAGGCATAAGCCACCACGCCCAGCCTCGTTGCTGTTTTTTAATGTCGCTGTTCATAAGCTGGAATGGAATACAGATAGAAGGGAACTCATGGGTGGGTAGACTCTTTCAGGCATTTGAGAAGTTCATGGGAAGTAGTCATTTTGAGAATTATAAGAATTATGGCCATTTCTGGGAGATATTGGTTAATCACTAATTTAAGGCAAAATAAGAAAGCCAGAAGTCCTCCTTGACAAATTGTGAAGACTTTGCTCCCCTGACGTTGGAAGGCAGAAAGAGCTGAGGCTCAGACCTGGGACTCATTGATAGGAGTTCAGGAGTTCCAGAGAAGGTTGAAATCTCAGCCCTAACTCATCTGATGATATCTGAGAGGGCCTGACCCACAGATGGCTGTGGAGGTGGGTAACAGTGCTTGGCATCCCCATAGGCAGGATAGGAAGGCAGCTTAAAGAAGTACTGCTCAGTCTCTACCACCAAAAGATATTGAGGATGGACCATCAGGAGGCTGAGGGTGGCCAACTCAATTAAAAAGCCATGATCTCTTCTGGAGCTGAGCCAGTTTTCAGACCTGGAACCCATTTACTAAAAATGATGCCAAGGTCCAAGAATGAAGACCCTGCAATGCCTTGGCAAGTATATATGGTAATGATTACCTCATTTCTTCCCCCCCAAAGCACTTACACCCATTTGCTTGGGTAACCATACACAGAAATAAGGACTATACCTCATCACTTCAAGGACTGTTGGACACAGGGTCCAAATTGACCCAGGGATACCATCCACCACCCCAGCTGCCCACACAGAGATTGTTAGACTGAGTGCCAGGTCATTGATAGAGGCCTGGCCCAGGTCTGTCTCACAGTCCATCCACTGGGCCTATGTACCCTCTGGTTAATCCCTGGTCCCTGAAGGTAGAATCGAAATGAACACACTTGGTAGTTGACAGGACCCCCTTATTGATTTCTTCATCAATGGGGTAAGAGCTACCACAATGAAGAAAGGCAAGTAGAGGCCTCTGAAAATATTCCTTCTACTCAGACCAGACAGTAAATCAAAAACTATGTTGTATCCTGAGAGAAATGGCAGAGTGCTACCCTTAAAGACCTAAAGAATGCAGGGGTGGTAAGTCTCCTTCACATCCCCACTGAATTCACCAGTCTGACTCCTGGAGAAAACAGATGGACCCTGAGGATGACATTTGGACTACCAAAAACTCAACCAGGTAGTTGCTCACTTGCAGTTGCTGGGCCTATGTGGCACAGTGGCCAGGGCACATGAACACGGCCTCAGGTATCTACTGCACAGCTCCTGACTGGTGGGTGTGTTCTTTTCCATCTGCATTAATTTTCTACTGCTGCTGTAAAAAATTGCCACAAATTTAGTAGCTTGAAATAGCACAAATTTACTATCTGACAGCTCTGTGGGTTAAAAGTCTGACGTGGGTCTCCTTGGGTGAAAATCAAAGGGTCAGCAGGGTTGCATTCCTTTCCAGAGGCCCTAGAGGAAAATCTACTTTCTTTTTCCAGCTTCTAGAGACCACCCGCATTCTTTGGCTCATAGAAAGCCAGTAACATTGCATTTCTCTGATCATTCCTCCATAGTCACACCTCCCTCTAACCCCAGCTGGGAAACGTTCTCCAATTTTTAAGGACCTGTGTAAATATATAGGGACCACCTAGATAATTCCTCTGTCTCAAGGTCCTTAATCGTATCTGCAAAGTCTCTTGCCATGTAAGGTAACATATTAACAGATCTCTGGGATTAACATGTGGACATATTTGGCGGGGGGTGAATTATTCTGCTACCCTATCAGGAAGAATAATCAGAAGCAGTCCTATTCATATGGAATCAACAAGTATATATGTTTGCCATATATTTATGGAGCAACAATATACATTTGCTCGATAGCAATGTTAATTCTCCTGCCCTTTGTCATAATATAGCCTGAAGGGTATCACATTGGTTCACTATATCTATGACATCATATCAGTCATATCAGCTTAGCAAGAAGGGAGAAGTACATTGCAGGCCTTGGTAAAACAGGCACTCTAGAGGGTGGGAGATAGAAAAACCTACAAAGATTTGGAGACTTGCCATGTCAGTGAAGTTTGCAGGGTCTAGTAGTCTGAAACATACTGGAATCTCCCCTCCAAAGTTAAGGACAAATTACTGCATGTTTTACCTCCTATTAAGGAGGATGCATAACACTTGGTCCTCCTCTTCAGGTTCTGGAGGCAGCATATTCTACACATGGAAATACAGTTCTGACCCATTTACTGCGTGGCACAAAGGGCTACAAGCTTCGATTAAGAACCCAGAAGAGGAAAGAGCTCCACAGCAGGTCCAGGCCCATGTCGAGCAGAACCTCTGCTACTAGGGATACCTCTGATGGAGAAAGACACCATGTGGAAATTATGTCAAATTCCAGTGGGAATATCAGTGTAGACCCTCTAAAGTTCTAGAGAATGTCCAGACTATCTTTAGCAAAGAACTATACAGTACTTGAAAAACTGTTTCTGTTGGGCAACATAGTGAGGCTTCATTCTACAAAAAAATTAAAATTAGCCAGGTGCGGTGGTGCATACCTGTAGTCCCAGCTTCTTGGGAGGCTGAAGAAGGAGGATCCCTTGAGCCCAAGAGTGTGAGGTCACAGTGAGCTATGATGGCCCCACTGCACTTCGGCTTGGTGACAGAGTAAAACCCTTTCTCTAAAAATAAAATAAAATAAAAAAATAAGTGTTCCTGGCATGCCACCGGGCCCTGGAGGAGATGAAGCACCTGCCTATGGAACCCAAAGTGACCCTGAAACCAAAGCTATGCATCAGGAGCTTGGTACCATTGGACCCAATAAGCCATGAGGTCAGGCCCAGCAACCATCCATCTCAAGATGGAAGTGGTCCATAAGGACAGAGGACACAAGTATGCTGCATGTGCAGGTGGCCCCAATTCCCCAGTCATCCACTGCTTTTACACGAGTGCCTCTCCTCAGCTCTCACTTATGTGCACAGGAAATGGGGCAGAGCAGAGTGGGGTAAAGAAGGATTCTTTATGAGCAGCTGTCAGAAGAAGGAAAGGGCCAAGCTTGATTCACAGATGAGTCTGCTTGGCACATGGGTATAATCTGAAAATGTTTCAGGCCTTCACAATAGCCCTATCCAGGTGTGGTCCTGAAAGACAGTGGTGAGGAGAGAACTTGCCAATGGCAGAGCTTTGAGCAGTACACCTGGTCATCACTTTGTTTGGAAAGAGAAATGAAATGGCTCAAGGTAAGAATATATAAACACTCATGGGCAGTGCAGAATGGCTTGGCTGGTTGGTAAGGGCTCTGGAACGACAAAGACTAGAAGATACGGGACAAGGCAAAAAGACATGTGGAAGACCTATGGTAGTGGACACAAAGTGTGAAAATCTTTGTATCACATGTTAACACCAACTCACCTACCACAGATGAGATAATAAAAAACAAGTAGACAGAATCATTTGACCAGGTGACGTTAGCTAGCCTCTATCACCAACCACCCAAAGGCTGGCACAATGGACTCATAAATGAAGTAGCAATGGTGACAGGGATGAAGGCTATGCATGAACCCATTTTCATGGGTTACATCTCATTAAAGGTTATCTAACCACTGGCATTGCCAAATATCCAAGCTTCTAGCAACAGAAATCACTCTGGATCCCTGCTATGACACAATTCCTCAAATACATCCATCAACCATTTGGTGGCAAGTTGATTACATCAAGCCCATTCCACCCAGGAAGGAACAACAATTCATCTTACCTGGAATTGACACATATTCTAGGTAAGGGTTTGTCTTTCCCATCAACAGGACTTCCTTAGCCACCACCACTATCTGAGGGATTCCAGAGTATTTGATCCACTAATTTGGAATTCCACGTAATATTGCATGTGACCTAGGAACTGATTTTATAGCTTATGTTAAAGGAAGTGCAACAATGAGCACATAACCATGGGATCCACTGGTACATTCTGAACCATGCAGAAGCTGCCTGCCTGGTATGACAATGGAATGACCTTTTTAAAGTGCAAAAGATGTACAAGCTTGGAGATGCTCCCTGGGCAACTGGAGTGGCATTCTCCAGGACTCAGCATGTGCCCTAAATCCATAGCCATTATATGGTGCTGTGTTTGCAAAAGATAGAATACATGGTTATGGAAATGAAAGGGAGGAAGGAGCCCCAATTATAATCATCTCCAGTGACCTACTTAGAGAATTCGTGTTTTCCATCCTCCAACTCTAGGCTCTGTATACCTAGAGGTCCCAGTTCCCAGGAGGGCAACATCTCCACCAAAGGTGACAGCAAGAGTCGAACTTTAAACTACAAATAGCCTGTCACGCTAGCCTCCTTATGTTAAGAGATGACCAGGAAGGAAAGGAGGTGTAATTCTCACAAGGGTAGTCGACTCTTACCATGAAGAGATAGGCTACTTTCACACAGTGAGGACAGAGAAGAATGTGTTTGACATGCAAGTGATCCACTGGGTGGCTCTTGGTACCTTCTTTTCCAATTTTAATAATAAATGGGCAAGTGCAACAGCCACAGCCTGAAGAGGGCATGGTGACCTGGAGTTTGGAGCTCTCAAGAGTGAGAGTCTGGGTCACCTCACCAGATAAGCCACCTAGATGAGGAAAGGAGCAGACCAAGGCTGAGGGGCATCTACAATGGGTGGTAGAAAAAGGAGACAATGAGCACCTCTGCAGGTGTGAGACCAGCCACAGCTTCAGGGCATGTTGTTTGTCCTTTTAACCCTCTTATCATAATTTTCCCCAAAAAAAGAGATTAAACAGGTTCCTGGATGAACTTTCCCAGATGGAGCAGACTTACTATGCAGAGCAAACGGATCCAAAAAACCAAAAGATAGACTCTAGTGGATGATGTGGTAGACCATTCAGATGTCCCTGTCAGGACCAAGACACTCATTCCATCATCTTCCAGGAATGTCAGCTGCTGATGGCTTATAGGAATTGTGTTGGCCAAGGGGGTCCCCTACCCAGGATTTGTGCTAGGCCAAAGGTTATGTTCTTTCCCCACTGGAGTTCACATATAATGATTGTTGGCTGCAAAGGTATGAAGGCATGGCCCCTTTGATTCAGTTCAGGACATGTTTAAAGGGTCATCCCAGCTGCAAAGCTCCCTGCAGATTGGCTGAGACCTCTGTTACTACTGCATCATAGTTCACTTCCTCTTCCTGCCCAGCCTTGGGTGCCTCAAGGCTCATAGCTGTTGCTCCTCAAAAAGTACCTGAGTGCAAATGTCTGTCTCAGAGGGCAATTCCTAGGGAAACCAATCTAGGAATCCTAACGTTTTCAGAAAAAAAAAAAAAAAAAAAAATCACATGATCATCATAAAATATTTCACTTTTTAAGCCTTATCTGTCTTGTACACAGTTAAATACACCATAGTTTCTGAAAGGCTGAAAAACAGTGCCTAGGAATATCACTTTTGGGAAATAGACTTGAATTCTTTAATTTACATAAGCAACACATGCACAGGGTTTGTGAAAATCTATTCAGATTTGTATGTATTATATTGAGTTCTGTGGTCACGTGCCTCATCCAATATTTGGCTTGTAATAAATTCTCAGAATGATAGCTAATGCCATTTTCATCATTGTCTACATCACCATCACTTGGCATCTTTTTTGCTTGCCTCGTTACCTGATCCTCATCACCTTCTCTACTCTCCTGCTGCCACACAGCATTCAACTGGGCATTCTGCTCCCACTCCAGCTATCCCAAGGGTCAGATCTGTCCTCCTACCCCATGGCTCATGGTTCGCCTCAATCCCACTTTACCCTGCAAATAAGATGAGGCATTATGCCTTGCTGAGATGACACAATTGCCTCCGTTAGTACCACAAAATATAAACCCCCCCAAAAAGCTTAACATGATTTTAAAAAACAAAATCCAAGTAAGCAATGATTTGCCAAGAGGAATGTGAAGTTTCAAATTTATTTAGTTTCCACAACTCTTTGTAAATCTCATTTGTAAACTTTCAAAAAATATATAGTCATCCCTTGGTATGCAGAGGATGGTTCCATGAACCCCATGTATACCAAAATCTGAGTCTTGCAGCCTGGCCCAGCAGAATTCACATATAAGAAAAATTGGCCCTCTGGATAGGTGGGTTTCACTACCCAAGAATACTGTATTTTCCATCCACATTTGGTTTAGAAAAACCCAAGTATAAGTGGACTCTTGCAGTTCAAACCCATGTTGTTCAAGGGTCAACTCTACTTTATTACTTTATTGCAGGTTTTGTGGGGTTTTTTTTGTTTTGGGTTTTTTTGTTTTTTTTTTTTGAGGCAGAGTCTTGCTCTGTTGCCCAGGCTGGAGTGAAGTGGTGTAGTCTCGGCCCACTGCAACCTCCGCCTCCCAGGTTCAAGCGATTCTCCTGCCTCAGCCTCCCGAGTAGCTGGGATTACAGGCGCCTGCCACCATACCTGGCTAATTTTAGTATTTTCAGTAGAGACAGGGTTTCACCATGTTGGCCAGGCTGTTCTGGAACTCCTGACCTCAGGTGATCCACCTGCCTTGGCCTCCCAAAGTGCTGGAATTACAGGCATGAGCCACTGCTCCCAGCCTATTGCAGTTTCTTAAAAGGCAATTCATTTTAAGATAGAGCTATAGTTAATAATATGGAAATATCTTTAATACATATTAATTGGAAAAGCAGATTGGAGAACAATATGTTTAGTATAATTCCATTATGTATATCTTTTACATTGTTTACATCTGTCATACCCATATTTATTTTGGTTCATTTGCTCTTTCAGAGACCTACATATATACGTTAAAATGGCCTAATATTAAAATGCTTTTTCCCATTTCTCCTTATTTTTTTGCTTGAAAATGTTGATATTATTTTCAACATTTGGCATTTAGCCATTTTTTTAGTCAGTCTTCCTGAATTTTTAAATTTTAGTTACTCTCTTATATATGTCATAAAATTGGGTTTTGTCTTGTGATATATCTAAAAGTCTTTTTGTTTAATTGATAAAAGCAATGTGTCTCATTTTTATGTTTTTGTTTTTATTGCCTTTGTAAATATTTTATTATATAGAATCTGCTGTATTTGTGTTGTATGTTTCTTCTCATAATTAAAAACATGTGTGTTTTTATCCTAGAGGCTACTTTTATAATTCAGACTTCATCAGATACCCTATAACTCTATATTCGTAAGATCTATCAGTTCCCTCCTGTGATCAGTAAAAATAATGACACAGGATTTTCATCTTTGTCACTTTGCAAGCCGGGGACCTCTAGCCAGTGACACCCTGCCTGGGCCTTGCTTAACCACACTACCTGCTGCAGGAGATAGCCCTCCCACTTGGCCTGCCTGGGGCCAGCCCCGACTTGCGCACTTCTTGAGTTCTCCAGTTCTTGTCCTGTGCCAAGAAGAATGAGGATGTGCTGACAATCAGAGTGAGCAAGGTGGGGAGTTTTATTGAGTGATGAAACAGCTTTCAATGGAGAGGGGACATGGCGGCGGGGGGGGGGGTCTCCCTACCTGAAGGCGAGAGAGTCCCCTCAATGTGGCTGAGTCCGGGGCTTTTATGGGTTCAGAATGGGGGAGGGGCAGGCCATAGGTAATATTGGAAAAGGCAACATTTGATTGGTTAAAAGGCATTGTTCAGAAAGAATCAATCGGGAAAGGGAGAGCAAACAAGAACAGAAGTTCTCACTCTGGGTTGTGGGTTTCATCCTGGACCAGCAGCAGTCCAGTCTTTCAGCCCTCAGGCTGTTTTTGGCTTGAAGGTTGGGTTTCACTGGGGACCCACCCTTGTCTGCCTAGGCATTTGGCTGCCTCCTGTTGCTGCTATCAATAATCATTCTATTTCCTCCCTTTCTCTACTCCTGATCACTCTTTTATTAGTGTTTTTTTTGTTTGTTTGTTTGTTTTGTTTCTTGGTTTTTTTTTCAGACAGGGTCTCCTTATGTCACCCAGGTTGGAGTACAGTGGCACAGTCACGGCTCACTGCAGCTTCCACCTCCCAGACCCAAGCGATCCTCCCACCTCAGGCTTCCGGAAAGCTGGGGCTAGAGGCACATACCACTACGCCTGACTAGTTTTTGTATTTTTTGTAGAGACAGGGTTTCGCCATGTTGCCCAGGCTGGTCTGGAACTCCTAGGCTCAAGCAGTCTGCCTGCCTCAGCCTCCCAAAGTTTTGGGATTACACATGTGAACCACTACACCTGACACTCTTTTAGTGTTTACCTTAGAATTGTTACATACACTTTTACTACTTAATTTGTCAGTTTTAAATAGCATCCTTTATCCCAGGGGGTCAACAAATTTATTTTGTAAAAGATTAAATAGTAAATATTTTAGGCTTTGTGATTCAATCTTTATCACGACAACTTAACTGCCGTTATAGCATGAAAGCAGCCATAAACAATCTGTAACAAATGAACATGGCTGTGTTCCAATAAAACTTTATTTATACAAAAACAGGTGGTGGGCTAGATTAAGCCTGTGAGCGGTAACTTGCCCATCCCTGCTTTAATGTAGCAATTATAGTAAGCACTTATATAACTTTTCACCTTCTTTCTCTTGTTACTTTCCAACTTTTGTTAGTTACATATGGTTCATATCATCAAGGAAAATAATATTTACATTCTCTTATGTCACCCTAATTTCCATATTTACCTAGGTCTAGATTCTACAGTTCGATGGATTCATTCAATGTTCACCACCAATGTTTTTATCAGTTTTCCAGGCTTCTTGCAGTTGAATATACTCTTTTATCTAGTAAATTACTTAAGAACAGTTCATGGGAACTATATTCCCTGAGTTCTTGGATGTTCAAATGGTAAGTTGCCTCTATAACTGAATAAAAGATTGGCTGGATATAAAATCTGCAAATCAAACTTTCTTTCTGGGAGGATTTTGGAGTCACTGCTGTTCTTTGTTTGTTTGTTTTTTGAGACAGAGTTCACTCTGTAGCCCAGGCTGGAGTGCAATGGCACAATCTCCACTCACTGCAACCTCTGTCTCCCGGGTTCAAGTGATTCTCCTGCCTCAGCCTCCCAAGTAGCTGGGATTACAGATGCCCGCCACCACACCTGGCTAATTTTTATATTTTTAGTGGAGACAGGGTTTCGCCATGTTGGCCAGGCTGGTCTTGAACTCCTGACCTCAGGTGATCCACCCACCTTGGCCTCCCAAAGTGCTGGGATTACAGGCATGAGCCACCGTGCCCAGCCTGTTTTCTAGCATTGAATGTTGCTGTGGAGAAACCAACGATCAGTCTGCTTATGCTTTATACATGACTTGATCTTATTGCCTGGATGATAAAACATAGCAAAGAGTCTATACAGTGAAATATTTACGGAAGTGGTCAAAACAAAAACACAACATAAAATAACAGACTTATTGCTTGTATAAATTGAAGAAAAAGACTTGTAGACAATCTCACAAAACAAAATCTAATTCCATCTATTGTTCATTTTGTTTCTAAGAAAATAACTAAAATGTTTAAAATTTTAGGAAGGTTGACTATAAAAGAATGGCAAAATGCCAAACAGAAAGAACATAGAGGTTACGATTATGAACTCAGACAATGCTCCCAGGAGTCTTTAAATAGAGTTGAATTGCAGTATATTTATTAAGATCTGTCTTCATGTCGATCATTCTTGGTCAATTTTCTCTGAGACCCTGTTTACTTTTCCATTAAGCACATTCAAGTCGCTTATTGCAGGAAGTTGTGTTGAATTATATCAATAAATTTGTGTTCTGTCCCATTCATTTCATAATTTTTCTCTTGGTCCTTCACTTATTCATATTTCCTTTCCCTGTCTTCCCATTCCATCATTTTCTTTCAACCTTTTTCTTTTTCACTCTCAAATTTTTGTCTTTTTGTTTTTAAAGTATTTGCTTTTTACTTTTTAGAAGTTTTGCCTTTTTCAAATAAGCATGCCTTTACTTTTTATACTTCAAATCCTTAAGATAATATAGTACTATAAATGAGACTATTTTTAAAAATCTATACCTCAATTTGTAGAAGGATAAAACTCATTTTATGGAAGGTAAAAGGTAAGAGTCTGTTCTAAGAGTACACAGGCTAATAGTGTCTCCTAGCCTTTGAAATCCTTTTTTGTTTTGCTCAGATTTCTCATGTATACCCTCTACAATCAACAGTGTCAGTTTTCCTTCATGTTCCTTCCAACAGAGCCCTAATTTCAATTATAGGGTCTGTTTTTGTTTTTGTTTTAAATTCTAGGCTCTGTGCTTGTTGGGGATGATAGATGTTTGACAGCTTTCTCGCTTTCTTCTAATGTAATTGGTCCATATAGATATGTTATCATCCCTTGAAACTTATTTGGTAAATTATATTATCCCTATTTATATATTAGCAACTTTTAATTCAATACATCTCTCCCTGATCTTTTTGTCTCTTTGCTTTGGGTCCTTGGTTTAATTACTTTTAAAATTAATTCTAAAATATTTGTCTTTTTTTTTTTTTTTTTTTTTTTTTTGACAAGGTCTCACTCTGTGGCCCAGGCTGGATTGCAGTAGCATGATCGTGGCTGACTGCAACCTTCATCTCCCAGGCTCAAGAGATCCGCCAGGTGCGGTGGCTCACGCCTGTAATCCCAGCACTTTGGGAGGCTGAGGCCAGTAGATCACCTGAGGTCAGGAGTTTGAGACCAGCCTGGCCAACATGGCAAAACCCTGTCTCTACTAAAAATACAAAAATTAGCCAGGCGTGGTGGCATGCCTGTAGCCCCAGCTACTCGGGAGGCTGAGGCAGGAGAATCACTTGAACCCAGGAGGCGGAGGTTGCGGTGAGC
The DNA here is from genome assembly GCF_000001405.40 of Homo sapiens. Lineage (NCBI taxonomy): Eukaryota > Metazoa > Chordata > Mammalia > Primates > Hominidae > Homo > Homo sapiens. The sequence goes on from NC_000002.12 coordinate 38,257,758, forward strand.
TGAGATTGTGCCACTGCACTCCAGCCTGGGCCACAGACTGAGACTCTGCCTTAAAAAAAAAAAAAAAAAAAAAGAGAGAGAGAGAGAGAGAGACAGAGAGAGAGAGAGAGAGAGAGATCCTCCCACCACAGCCTCCGGAGTAGCTGGGACTACAGGCATGCACCTCCATGCCCAGCTAATTTTTTTGTACTTTTAATACAGACAGAGTTTCGCCATGTTGCCCAGGTAGCTCTTGAACTCCTGGGCTTAAATGATCCACCCACCTTGGCCTCCCAAAGTGCTGGGATTACGAGCCACTGTGCCCAGTCATATTTTTTTTTTAAATAGACTTTATTTTTTAGAGCAGTTTTAGGTCCACAACAAAATTGAGCAGAAAATACAGTATTCATATATACTCCCTGACTGCATGTGCATATAGCCCCCACCCCACTATCAACATCCCCCACAAGAGGGATACACGTGTTATAAATGATGAGCCTACAATGACAAATCAATATCACCCAAAGCCATAGTTTACATTAGGCTTCACTTTTGGAGTTGTACATTCTATGGATTTGGACAGATATATGGCATGTATCTACCATTATACTATCATAGAGAGTAGTTTCACTGCCCTAAAAATCCTCTGTGCCCCGCCATTTCAGCCCTCCCTCCCCCAAACCCCTGACCACCACAGATCTTACTACTGTCTCCATAGTTTTGTCTTGTCTAGAATGTCATATAGTTGGTATCATATGAAGCCTTTTCAGATCGGCTTCTTTCACTTAGTAATACGCATTTAAGGTTCCTCCGTGTCTTTCCATGACTTGATCGTTCATTTCTTTTTAGCACTAATTAATATTCCATTGTCTAAATGTACCACAGTTTATTTATCCATTCACCTGCTGAAGCATATCTTGGTTGCTTCCATGTTTTACAGTTATAAATAAAGCTGCTCTAAACATTTGTGTGCAAGTTTTTGTTCATTTGGGTAAATACCAAGGAACATGATTGCTGGATCGTATGGTAAGGGTATGTTTAGTTTTGTAAGAAACTACCAAACTGCTTTGCAAAGTGGCTCTACCGTTTTGCATTCCCACCAGCAATGAATGAGAGTTCCTATTGCTCCATATCCTTGCCAGTATTTGGTGTTGGCAGTGTTTTGGATTTGGATTTTGGCCATTTTAACAGGTAAGTGGTATGGCCTTTTTTTTTTTTTTTTTTCTTTTTGAGATGGAGTATCACTCTGTTGCCCAAGCTGGAGTGCAGTGGCACAATCTTGGTTTACTGCAAGCTCCACCTCCCAGGTTCAAGCGCTTCTCCTGCCTCAGTCTCCCACGTAGCTGGGATTATAGGTGCCTACTACCATGCCTGGCTAATTTTTTGTATTTTTAGTAGAGATGGAGTTTCACCATGTTGGTCAGGTTGGTCTGGAGCTCCTGTCCTCAAGCAATCCATCCACCTCAGCCTCCCGAAGTGCTGGGATTACAGGCATGTGCCACCATGCCCGGCCTCATTCTTTTTTAATGTCATAGTTTTATGACATGGGCTGCAACATTCTTCTAGAGTCTGCACTTCATTTGATATTTGTTTTTCCTACTACTTTCCTTCTTTCTTCTTGTAACATCTTTGTATATTAAAGATCCTGTGATGGCTCCTTTTTTATTACTTTTTACAGAAACAGTTGATTTTTTTTCCTGTATCAGCTTTTTGCTTTCTTACTCATGTGATTTTCCTGTATTAGCCAACCAATTACGGTGAAAATGGTGACACAGAAGGACAGGGGGAAATGGGGCAACTCATAGTTCCTTTTCCCTTCAGTTGTTCTTTTTCCTTTCCTTTTCTTTCAAAAAAGAGAGAGGGTCTTGCTCTGTTGCCCAGGATGGAGTGCAGTGTTGCAATCATGGCTCTCAGTCTTGAACTCCTGAGATCAAGCGATCCTCCCAGCTCAGCCTCCAGGGTAGCTAAGACTACAGGCCTGCACCACCACGCCAAGCTAATTTTTAATTTTTTTGTGGAGATAGGGTCTCACTATGTTGCCCAGGGTTGTCTCAAATTCCTGGCCTCAAGTGATCCTCCCCTCTCAGCCTCCCAAAGCACTGGGATTACAGGTGTGAGCCTGTGCACCCAGCTCAGTTTTTCTTTACTCATCAGTAAGTCAAAGGTACAGACTGTTGGTAGAAAGTCCTCATACAAAAAAATGAAATGAAAACAATCTGAGCTCATTTTGTATAGCATTTCCATTGTTCTGGCAAACACAAAATATATATGAATGTACAAACTGAGAAATATAAATTGTATAATTTTAGTGATTCTGCGTAAAATTTAAATGTTCTTCTATTTACATTTAAAATTGCCATTTTATGCTAATATCATTAAATTTTAATTTTTCTTTTCTTAGAACAACAATAAATTTTAAAAACTTCATGACAAGTCGAGAGGGAAAGTACAGAGGAAAGGAAGGAATTTTATGTTTTAGTAATTTTCACATCATTTTTCCTTGATTTTCGAAGGAGGGCCTTGCATTTTCAGGCCCTGCAAATTATGCAGCCAACCTTGCATAGGAGGTTAGTGCTGGAAAGACCTTAGAGATTATCTAGCTCAATCCATTCATCAGACACAAAAGATGGACTGAGAAAGATGAAATGATATTTTGCTTAGGAAATTAAAAGGGGAGAGTAGGATGGGAAAAACTTCCTCCATCTTCAGATCTTCAGGAGTGAACGGTGGTTTCACTGAAAGACACTAAGTCCACGGGGAGCCGCACCTCTCAGATCTGTCTCTTTGCAGGTTGTCTAACGCCCACTCCCTCCCGTGTTGATCTGGGCTTCTCTCACATTAGAGGGCAGTAGAGCCAAGTACCCAGATCCTTTGCAGCTGCTGCATATTTTGGCCCCACGTCCACCATCCTGGGTTTCCCCCTGTGGGTGTCCTTCCCACACATTCAACATCCAAGCAAGGTCCTACACCACCAAGAGAGTCCCGCCAGCCCTGGGCACCTACGGGGACTTCCAGTGGACACGTATTCTATTCTTGGGAACTTTCGGTTTCTAAGAAGTCCACAAAGCCTTTAAAAGTTTGGAAAAAGAGTTGAAAAGAATCGTAAGAGGTAGGATTTAGAGGAGAACGGGGAGTCCCGATGCAACGCCCTGAGTCTTCCTCCCTTAGACAACTTTTTCCTTCCTGTGAAGACAGTATGCAAGGAAAAAAAGAGAGTGCTAGAACTGAATTGGGAACAATGTAATGTCTTTTTCTATTGCTCTGGCAAAATCCTTGCTGAGAAACTGAGAAGTGTTGATTCTGAAAGCTTTTTTAGAAATTCTTTCCAAGGCAACTTAATTCAACAACACATTTAACAAGAGTCTTTTGTCAGACATCCTGTCCTCTGATATTTTAGAAAACACCACACACACACACACACACACACACGTGCACATGCATGTATGCACACACACTTTATTTTCACTTTTCTTCCCATCCAGCCCAAGGCATGCCCAGAGCACAGCAAAGCAACGCTTGGAGCTTTGAAAGGACACCATGTCCTTTCAAAACATGATTTTGAATTCCATCCTGCCTTCTCTCCACCTACATTAAAACTCTTGAAGGACATTTTCTTCTAATACTGTCTTTTTTGGGACTTCTTCATGTTGCCTGCAAATTATCTCTTTTCGAATCACAGCGTTTTGGGCACAGACCATCACTGCCCACGGAGTGATGAAGCAGACCGGGGCTGTGGTTACAGAGTCAGAAAGAAGGGTCTCCTGCCCCAGGGACCACCACACCCTCTCCCAGCATTCAAGCTGCCCAAGCTTTCTCAGAAAACATCTTTCCAGGCCATCACCAGCAGCGGGTTTTACCAAAAACGTCCCACTCTCTGGCTTCCTTGCTGATCTGTGGGCCTTGCTGGATCCACCCGCTCACGCACGGCCCTCCCCACAGACCTCTGCCTCGGCTGGATTCTTCCCTTCCACTGGCTCTTATGTGCTGGACTTCTGGATTCTCATTTGCTTCCTGAATTTTGTCGCCAGGACTCAGAATTCAGTCCTCCTGTCCAGTTCTGCTCTTGCGAGAGCCAACTCACATGCAAGCCCTCAAATCCTTCCTCATTGCTCTGAGGCTGGTTCTGGAGCACTTCGGCAGGGCCTGTATTCTAGCATAGTATCATAGTGCTTGCCTCCCCCACTAAAATGAAAATCAGGGACAATGACTCTTTCTCCAGGCCTCCTCTTCTACCCAAATACCTGGTGCTGGACTGGTATGCCGGCACACATTAGATGCTCAGTAAATAATTGCTGTCTAAAACAGATGTTCTCCACTGCAAGCACAACATTCCTTGTTAACATATCTGCACAAAAACCCAGAAAACAAATGTGGTTGTAACTTTGATTTCAGTTTGACAAACGTCTTTCAGTTGTGTTTCCAGAACGCCTCTTCCATCAACTTCAAAAGGCTGTGAACCGGGAGGCTGTCACACACGTAAGATCCAAAAAGCCACGTGGACTGCTCTGCCCAGCTGCAGGGCACTAGGGGCTGTTGTTGAGCTCTGAACAGATCCTGGGATTATTTATAATTGAAAATCAGACTCTGAGAGCCTTTAGAGTCATGAAGGAACTCATTATTCTCCTTCCCCACGTGCTTCTCCTCTGTTTTTCCCACCTCTGCCTCTGACCTGACATCTGACCACACTCACAGCAGGCTCTTCAGATCCCCTAGGCCTCAGAGCACCTGTGCTTGGCAAACAGCTGCTTTCCTGCTGGACTGAGACCCGCAGACCACCTGCATGCCCACACATACCCTTCTGACTGCAATGGAGCATCAAAGACTGAGAGCGAGGACCGGGTGGCCAGCTGAGGCGGAAACTCCGCCAGAGCTGACTTATTCCCAGGCTTATCTCAGCAGGGGCCTGCAGAAGTGGGGACACGGAATTGAGGCCACTGTGAGTTTTCGGTGTAAGCTTAGTCCCATTTCCAATCCACATGATCACCTCCCTGCCCCCTCCCCCTCCACATTCTTGGCCTGAGCCAGTCCCTCCCGTGAACACAGCAAAGGCCAGGTGACCAAGAAAGTGGAATAATAAAGGATTTTAGACTGGGGGAGGCAACTAATGGTCTTCTAAGCCAGTGAATAAAAAACTGTTTTAGCTGCCCAACCCTTTCTTCAAAAGAACCTTATTGGAAAGTCAAACAGGCAAAACCTATAAAAACCCAGAAAGAACAATCCACACTTCTGCTCTCTGGTTTTGCTTCTATCTGGCCATGATGTTTTCATCATTTTACTCTTCTGCCTTAGCTCCCTTTCATTCCTGACAAGCAGAGGCCTCTGACATCTCTGAGCCCAAACATGGGTACAGCAGTGCCTCTGAAGCCAGCAGTGCCAGACCAGCAGCAGAACTTCTCTTGCCCATCTGGGAATGGTGTTTACTGAAAACCAGAGAAAACAGGCACATTGATGAGTCCATCAGTTAGATTATTCTTTCTTGAGAGTGGCTGAAACCTGTATGAGTTTGTTCTCACATTGCTATAAAGAAATACCTGAGACTGGGCAATTTATAAAGAAAAGAGGTTTAATGGGCTTATGGTTCTGCAGGCTGTACAGAAAGCATGGTAGCATCTGCTTCCAGGGAGGCGTCAGGAAGCTTCCAATCATGGCAGAAGGTGAAAGGGGAGTAGGCATCTCACATGACAGGAGCAGAAGCAAGAGAAGGACGTGGGGGAGGAGCCACCCACTTTTAAACAGCCAGATCTCACGAGAACTCACTCACCATCATGAGAACAGCACCAAGGGGATGGTGACAAACCATTCGTGAGACATCTGCCCCCATGATCCAATTACCTCCCACCAGGCCCCACCTCCAGCACGGGAATTACAGCTCAACATGAGATGTAGTGAAGACACGGATCCAAACCATATCAAAGCCCAATACAAATAAGTTTAATTAAAATGGGGCTTTATTGGAAGGATAGTGGAACATCCACACACATACCTGGGCTCCCAGTAACTAGAATCCAGCCTCAGTGCCATGATGATCCCTCTTTCTCTGTCTCTCCTCTCTCATTCTCTCCAGTAGAGATGAGTTTTCTCTGTGTGACCACAAACATAGCCTCTGGGAGCTCTAGATTCCCATCCCTCCAGATTCCCATCCCTCCAGACTCCCTGAGCCAAAAAGCCCTCACCACCAACTTCTTTTAAAACAATCCTAGGAAAGCCTCTGATTGGTCCAGATTCCGCCATGTGCCCATCCCTGAACCAATCACTGTAGCCAGAGGGATGGACACATGTTCTCCCCATGGCCAGGATGCAGAGTTCTGGGATTGGCAGCTCCTTCCGGGCCATCAGCAAGGACACCGGGAGGAAGTAGTTCCGTGAAGAAAGAAGGGCTTCTGTTAGATTGATGGCAAACAGCACAGGTTCTTAATATTTTGATAGAGACTCTCTTGGAAACTCCTATAGCCGAAAAGATGCCTTAACCAAAAAGATTGTACCTTTGACTTCAGAATCAAAGTAACTGTAACTGAATTCCATAACTAAGAATTTAGTCCTCCTGTCCAGTTCTCTCTATTGCTCTTGCAAGAACCAGCTCAAATGCAACCCCTCAAGGCCTTTGTCATTGTTCTGAGGCCTGTTCTGGAGCATTTGAGCAGTGCCTATATTCTAAAATAGTATCTGATCTAATTAATGTTTGCCTCCTCCACTAAACTCTAACACAGGAACAATGAGTCCAGCTCCAAGCATTAGAGGCTGGGGCAACAGAGCCCTGCAGAGCTCCTCAGGCCACGCGCAGAGGGAGCCCCCACACTCCTTCCCTACACACCAGAATTAAAAACCAAACATTAGCTGGGAGTGCATGTGTTGCTTTTCTTTTGAGACTGGATTCAACTTGAAAGGACTCTTCATCTTATCTTGTGCAAGTGAGCAAGGGGAAGAGTGTTGGTTCTGTGGTGCAATAAATAACTTCTCATTATGAGAAATGCGATGCCCCTCTCCACCTAGCCATTTGGAAACCATAATCTGACATTACAGAAGCTTTTCTTGTGAGACCAGAGATATCTGAACCACTTCTCTTTTCAAGCAACTTCAGCAGGCTTTCCATGCTATTAGTGGAACAAGTCCAAGCTATCTTTGATTTGTGGTCGCTTGATTGGGTCCTGAAAGGACAGGCTCTGCTTTGTGAGGAGGGATAATTGCTTGGGAATCCTGCAGAGTAATTTAATTCCTGTGCAGTTAGAGGGACCACAAATTTGGAGAAACTTAACTCCTCTGGAGAGATGACAATATATGTGAAGGTTCCTCTCCACCATATGGGCCCTTCCTTTCCTCTGACAGCTCACTTCAGCCCTTTCTGCCTCATAAATTTTCCTGACACTGGGAATGTTTTCCTAGAAAAGAGGAGGTTCTTCTCAGATCCTGCCACACAAAGCCTGAGGCCACTTAGAAAATGATCCAGCTGCACAGCCTAACAGGTCAAACCACCATATCCTTAGGCACAATGTCATCACCTAACTCTGTGAATTTCAAACTCACTCCAGCAACCCATAGGGCAGTCAGAGTGGGAGGGTAGTAGTGTGTGAGGCCAAGAAATTGACCATCCTTTACTGATAGGAAGGGAGAGACCAAAGCTGCCTGAACCTGAGGGCCCACAGGCCCATTATAAGAGTCTTTGGTACCATTTGAACCAAAAGAGTTGATAGATCACTGCTATGGATATTCACAGGTTGAAGGAAAGATACCAATGAGATCGCACTTGTTTTGACGTTGGAAACCTAGCTTCATTTTCAGAACCATAACAACCAAAGGTTATCTCAGGCTAGGAAGGGACTTTTTCTTCTCAATAAACTTTCTGTTTTGGAATAATTTGAGAAGTACAGAAAAGTTGCAAATATAGTACAGAGAGTTCCCATATGCCTTTGACCCAGTTCCCACTAGTGTTAACATCTTTCATTACTATGCTACATTTGTCAAAACTAAGAAATGAACATTGGTACAGTACCATCAATTAAACTGCAGACGTGATTCAGATTTCATCAATTTTTCCACTAATGTTCCAGGATCTCATCCAGGATCCCACATTGAATTTAGTCAACATGTCTCTTTCATTTCCTCTGAGCTGTGATAGTTTTTTAGTTTTTCCTCATTTATCATGACCTTCACAATTTTGAAGGATACTAGTCAGATATTTTGTAGAATGTCCCTCAATTTGGGTTTGTCTCATGTTGTCTCCTGGTTAGACTAGGGTTATAGGGTTTGAGGAAGAAAAGCCAAAGGTGAAGTGCCTGGAAGAGATTTTTTAAAAGAAGAACAGGTAGATCAGAACTTACAAACTGACTTATCTTCAAGCCAAATCCTGTTTTGTTTGTTTCATCCTATGTTTCTTAGAAATGTTGTATTAATTTTGTACTGAATTTTTCTAATTCACATTTCCAGTGTCTCTTAAAAAATAGAAAGAGCTAGTGATTCCAGGCCTCCGAGGTAGTCAGAGGTGGGCACTGAGAAATGGTTGGCCCCTCCAGGGCTGTGTCTTCTTTGGGTCGCACCAGTCCTGTGGCCTACTCAGCGTGGAGGTCCAGCATCAGCTACTATTGATCATGTCCATAATGCTGGTTTTCTTACGGTAAAAAGAATTATCTATATTTCTATCATAACAGAAACAGACCCTGTATTAGTCCGTTTTCATGCTGCCAATAAAGACATACCCAAGACTGGGTAATTTATAAAGAAAAGAGGTTTAATTGACTCACAGTTCCCATGACTGGGGAGGCTTCACAATGTGGCAGACAGTGAAGGAGCAAAGTCACGTCTTACAAGGAGGCAGGCAAGAGAGCTTGTGCAGGGGAACTCCCACTTATATAACTATCAGATCTCATGAGACTTATTCACTACCACAAGAACAGTATGGGGGAAGCCACACCCATGATTCCATTATCTCCACCTGGCCCTGCCCTTGACATGTGGGGATTATTAAAGTTCAAGGTGAGATTTGGGTGACACAGCCAAACCATATCAGACCCAGATAATCTCACCCTTCAAGAGGAATAAGGCAAGAGCAAGAAATGTGGGGAGCTGAGTCTAAGGAAAGTGCATTTAACAGGAAGTGGTGTGGATGAACTCTCTAAAACCTCCATGTGACTCCCTGTGACCACTGTCCGTGTGACATGGTCTTCACCTATTTGGCAACAGAAAAGAGAGATGTGGGTCAGGAGGGAAACCAACTGTAAAGGAAGTGGATGGATGAAGGGAAAGGATGATGAAACTTCCACCTGCCCTGACTTCCTCCCAACACCTTTCTCTAGGCCAAATCCATATCACCTCCCAGGGATAGCCCTGTGGCCTGCTGGGACACAGCCATCTGGCAGGGTCTGCATGGCTGGGCCTCCTCTGGGCAGGGATTTCCAGTGCGGCCAGTTCCACCTCAGCAGCCTGTTAGAGGCATGGTGGGGGTCTGCCTGAGGTCTCCCCTACTCTCCCGCCCATGGTGCCTGTGAATGAGATGTGCCCTGTCACAGGAGCTAGACTTCTGAGCCCCAGTCACCCCTTCCCAGGAAAAAATGGGGACAAAATCCCCAACTTCTCTTCTTTCTCATCCTCCTCCCCTTTCCCATCCTGCCCCAAGACCCTAGCCTTGAAAGCTTTAGGATCTGCCTAGAATGTGTGCCCACAGTGGGTGCCAAGGCAGTGACCAAGCCAAGTCTCCCAGCACCCACTCATATGATAAGGCCTACCCAGTACACCGTGAAAGCAGACCTGGGGCAGAATGGGGGGTGAGTGGGTAGGACAGTACCTCAAGTGAAAGGAGTGAGCACTGGACCAGGAGTCTGAGGATCTGGACCCCAGTCCTTGTTCCAGTGCAGTGTGGTGCTAGGCAAATCACTTAACCCCTCTGAGCCTGCGTTATCTCATCTCTCAAATCAGTTGACACTTTTACCTGCCTTGCCAACCTCCTGACTTCTGGGATATGTAAAGATGATCAAGCCTGACTCATTCCCCTTACTCCCAAGCCCAAGTTATATCCCTCTCTATCTGTCCACAGAAGCTCAACTTTCTCCTTCACTGCACTTACATCACATCCCCGCTTACTTGTTAAACCTGCACCCCTGCCATTAATAAAATTGCCTTGGGGACAACACACACATATTTAGACATGGGGCCTAGTGCAGTGATACCTGTTCCAGGACTTGATATAGGACGTGCTCAAGAAATGTTAAATGAACAAATGAATTCAGCAAGCAAGTAAATAACAGAGTGTGTGAATGTGTCTTTTCAACTATCAGGCTTGATCTAAATGTAAAGGACCAGGGATGAGACCTAAGTAGTTCCTGGGTAGCTGACCTGCCCTGGCTCACAGCCAATGCCAATTACCTGCCCCTGCCCTCCAGTCAAAAATGATTGGATTTGAGGTTGACACCTAACTCAAATCTGTTCATCTATTGGCTGACAAACTGCCAACCAGACTCTTCCAGTATTTGAACTGTCACAGAAATAATAAATCATGAGATGAAAGTAGGTGATTGAACAGAAACATTATGTAGAGTCATGGTTGGGACAGCCATATTGGTCCATTACACTAGAAGCAACCAAAGAGAGAGGACACAGAGAGACAGAGATGAGCGAGATCATCTGAGCCTTGGAATTGGAGAGGAGATCTCAGTTCCCAACATTCCAGTCGCATTTCCAGTCTGACTGTACTTTGTGTCTTGTCTTTGGAAGTCTGAGAGATTTTCCCTTGAAGTTGTAGAAGAAATCCTTTGCTTAGGCTGGGGTTGGAATGGGGGTTGGAGTATCTGTTCCTTACACTCAAATAATCTCTCATTAAAACACTGGGAAAACAAGATACAATCTCTTATTAACAGGTACAATCTTATCTACAAGGAGAAGAAAAAGACACCCACAAGGGCTGAGGCACATGTACTCATCGGAGGCAGGAGTAAATATGAGGGCCCCCCTCTGGCCCAGGGCAAACTGAATCCCAAGGCTGATGGTGGGAGTGGTCATTCTCTGAGGATTTCAAAGATACTTCTCTTGGATGAGCAGAGGAGGTTGAGCCAGAAACCAGGAAAAAGTTCCAAAGAAATAAAGCGTCAGCCTGGCATGTTATTGCTGGAGCTGAGGGCCAACAGTTGGTGCCCAGTGTTGGAGGCAGCCTCCCAGGACCCTCTGCAGAGATTGGCTGACTTGAAGGGCTGGGAAACCCATCAAACCAAGAGATGGCCAAGCTCACAGTAGGCCAAAACGCAAACAAATCATAGGCACAAAGCAATATAACTAAGAGAAGGAGACATGGCCAACTTTGGGCATAATCACTGGGATCCTGGTAAGAGTAGATTTCTCATCCAGAGCTGTAAGTAACTCAGATGGTATTTGTCATAAAATTATGAAACACTGTGGGACTTGCGGTTTCTGTAATTTGTCTGCCTCAGAAGAGCTAATGTTTATTGATTTTCTTCTGTACAAGGCAGAATCATCCATTTGGTTTGCCAGTGTTGAAAGTTCTCAGGTTTCTGGAAGAAGCATGAACCAAAAGAATTAAAATGAGTATCTCTATATCAGTTTTCTTCCTAGTTACAGAGAGTGAATATTGCTATAATGAAAGCTTTCACAAACATCCGAAATTTAATTCTTTTGCAAGTCCTCAGAAATTAAAAATGATGGAAGGAAATAAGCATTTATTGAATACCTGACATGTCTCAGGCAGTGAGCTAGGCCCTTTCACAAATTCACAGCAGTGAATTTGATCCTTTGAAGACCTCCAAGAGTTATTGTACTATTTCACTGAAGAGAAAACTGAAGTTTACAGAAACTAAATAGCTTGTCCAATGCCCCACAGCTGTTATGGAGTCAGACTGAGATTCTGACCCATGTCTGTCTGTCTCAAGTCCCTGATTTTTATGTGTCATCATACTGCCTTTCTATGACTGGCTTCCCCAGGGCCTTGGGAACCTAAAGAGCCCATGAAGTACTTAGGCTGCTTGTGGGGCGCTCATTCTTGACTTACAGTTTCATGTGAAACTCTTGGGGTAGAAAGGATGGGAAACATGGAAACTCCTTTTATTAATAAACTTTTTCTAATATGCTATTTTTAATTTTTTTTTTTCCCAAAATGGAGTCTCACTCTGTTACCCAGGCTAGAGTGCAGTGGCGCAATCTCGGCTCACTGCAAACTCTGCCTCCTGGGTTCAAGGGATTCTCCTGCCTCAAGGGACTACAAGGCCACCACACCTGGCTACTTTTTGTATTTTTAGTAGAGACGGGGCTTCACCATATTGGCTAGGCTGGTCTCGAACTTTGGGCCTCAAGCAATCCACCTGCCTTGGCCTCCCAAAGTGCTGGGATTACAGGCATGAGCCACCATGCCCTATATTCATATTTTTAATCCACCTGGAATTTATTTTTGAATGGGATCTGAATTAGGAGGGTTTTATTTTTGTCTAAAGGCCTACCCATGTATGGTAGTACAATTTGTCTTTTAAAGTATCCTTTTCCCACTGAATTGAATATGTTACCTTTGTCATTCATTATGTTTTTATGTTCATTCACTCTACTCCTAGACTCTCTTCTTCTCTCCACTGGTCTATTTTAGCACCAGTTCCTTACTGTCTGAATCCTGTAGCTTAGTTTTAAATTTAACTACCTGGTAAAGCAAGTCACCACTCTTAACTCTTCTCAGACACTTGTTCTTCCATATCATCTTTAACATCTTTTTGTCTATTCCTCTCCACTCACTGAAAATAATCATTTTTATTCCAATTAAATTTAATTATATTTGTATATTAATATGGATTATAAACAAGAATTGGCACTGTAAATTAAATCTTACATTATAAATTTAGTGTCTATTTCTTCATTTATTCGATTTTGTCTTATGTCTTTTAACACAATTTTATGTTTTTTTTCAAGTATGTCTTTTACTCATCTTATTGGACTCACTCCTGAGTATTTTGTAGTTTTTGTTTCTATCAAGAATAAAATTTTTTCTTATTTTCATTTCTAACTGGACATGCTCATTTAGAGAAAAGCTATTGATTTTTTATGTTTCTCGTATTCAGCCATCTTAATTCTCCTCTCCATCCTGGTAAGTTATTTAAGTCACTAAGTTCTAACAGATTATCTAAGTAACTGAATTATGTTTATATTTTCTGCAAAAAAAAAAAAAAGAGATAATTTATTTTGTTTTTCTCCAATATTTTACACATTGTACTATTGCATTATTTAAAACTTCCAAAACAATACTAAATAATGGTAACAAGGGTGGGCACCGTGGCTCACACCTATAATCCCAGTACTTTGGGAGGCCGAGGCGGTCAGATCACCTGAGATCAAGAGTTCGAGACCAGCCTGGCCAACATGGCAAAACCCTGTCTCTACTAAAAATATAAAAATTAGCTGGGCGTGGTGGTACACACCTGTAGTCCCAGCTACTCAGGAGGCTGAGGCAGGAGAATCGCTTGAACCCAGGAGGTGGAGGCTGCAGCAAGCCCAGATTGTGCCACTGCACTCCAGCCTGGCCGACAAAACAAGACTCCATCTCCAAAAAAGAATAATAATAATGGTAATAGCAGGCAATCCCTTGTTCCTGATTTTAAAATGGCTTCAGTATTTCATAGCTTGCTATAGTTATTATTATGTTTAAAAAGTTTTATTCTCCTATTTTACATGAAGTTTTTATTAGTAATTTTTAAGTTTTATGAAATGCCTTTTATAATTTACTGTTATAATAGTTATTTTCTCTTTTCATCTGTTAACCTAGTAGATATATTTTGCTGATAAATATTCTAATTTTAAACTATCTTTACACACCTAAAATAAACTTGATTCAATTTCTATGTATTATTTTTACAATTTTCTATAGGATTTATTGACTAATTTTTGCTTAGAATTTTTGCTTCTGTATTTGTAGATGAAGTTGCCTAGTTTTTTCTATCTTTATCATGCTTTAGTATTAATTATTCTAGCTTTATAAAATAAATTTGGAGCTTTTTTCATATTTTCCTGTGGCCTAGGATAGTTTAAATAATAGCCCGCTACTGTTTCATGGATACTGACACGACACTCCTAAATCAGAGACAAAAGACTATTTATTACTCACAGCAATAGCAGTAGTCAGATATCAGCATCTGTGCACCAATTTCCTAAGCCCTATCTCCCCAGGCCGATGTGAAGAGAGACAGCTGACACCTGCACACACAGAAGGATGGATTACAGGAGAGGCATCCTGAGCTTAGGAATCTGACTGTTTCATAATAAGCATGAAGCATAACTACTCTTCACTCCAGAAAGAGACACTGTTATCTTCCAAGGTTGTAAGCAAACCTACCCTTTACTCTGAAGAGAAACACTGTCTCCATCTTCCAAAGTTATTTACTACACTAACAACCTTGAAAAGATAGTCCAGGATAAGGGACAGTCGGTATTTCGCTCACAGATGCACAAAACGGTAGGAGACCCATGAATAATTATTTCCCAGCGATGCGTAGCTGAGGCTGAAAGGACAAAACATTAGTACTTATTAATTATTAGACAGTGGGCATATGAATGTCATTACACTATTTTCTGACTTCTGAAATAGTTTTAAAACATCTCCCCCTTGGCCGGGCGCAGTGGCTCACGCCTGTAATCCCAGCGCTTTGGGAGGCCGAGTCACTAAATTTATTTAAGTCACTGATCTCAGGCAGATCACCTGAGATCAGGAGTTGGAGACCAGCCTGGCCAACATAGAGAAACTTCGTCTCTACTAAAATACAAAAATCTGCCGGGCGCGGTGGCTCACGCCTAAAATCCCAGCACTTTGGGTGGCTGAGGCAGGCGGATCACGAGGTCAGGAGATCGAGACTATCCTGTCTAACACAGTGAAACCCCGTCTCTGCTAAAAATACAAAAAATTAGCTGGGCGTGGTGGCAGGCACCTGTAGTCCCAGCTACTCCGGAGGCTAAGGCAGGAGAATGGTGTGAACCCAGGAGGCAGAGCTTGCAGTGAGCCTAGATTGCACCACTGCACTCCAGCCTGGGCGACAGAGCTAGACTCCGTCTAAAAAAAAAAAAAAAAATTAGCTAAGCGTGGTGGCACATGCCTGTAATCTCAGCTGCTCAGGAGGCTGAGGCAGGAGAATCAATTGAACTGGGGAGGCGGAGGTTTCAGTGAGCGGAGATCGCGCCATTGCACTCCAGCCTGGGCAACAAGAGCGAAAGTCAGTCTCAAAAAAAAACATCTCTCCTTTGTCCCCAAAAAGAAAAAGAAACGAGACTTGTGTAATAAGGGAGTAGTTGCCTCAAGATTTAGTGGCTGTTCCAATAAAATATGGGTGACTTCCCTTCAGGAATATTGAATTTGATGGCTGGGGCAAGGTAGGGGCCTTTTAATTCAAACAATCTGCAATGTTAGATGGTCAAGTTAGAAGGCATTCCAAAGAGTCCCTTAGCTATTCCTACTTGGTACCTCCTCATTTCAACGCATTCATAGGTGGATCAGGAACAGATGATTGGAAAACTCTCGGAAATCTCTCTCGCTCTCTCTCTCTCTCTCACACACACACACACACACACACACACACACTACTCAAACACAATTACCAAATAAATCGTGCCGGGTGTTATCCATGTTTCTTAATCTCTCTAGACTTTTTTAATGAGGTCAATGGGAGGGCTGTTATTTATGATCTTAAAGCACTGGTATATGGAAAACATAATGGACATAGGAAAGTCAATGGTGAGCAAAAGAAAAATGACCCTGTTCCACAGAACTGACTAGGTAGTGGGGAAGATAAATAATTTGATAGAATAACAAGATGTGACTGGATCCCAGATCCACTAGAAATTGATTTAACCTCACCTTCCACATGTACTCATCCACTAGCTCCCTACGACGTCATAATCTGAGAGAGTAAGCACAGTTTTCTTGTGATTGTTTCTAAGAGAGTAATAGAACAGCAGGGCCAGGGAAACCTTAGATTAAAAAAAGACCCAGCAGGACACTGGTTAACAAAAGGTGTTTGCTTAGGTGACTTCTCTCTCTAGCTCAGATTTTCCTTCACAAAAGAAATTCAAACATCTAGCTTCATACCTCAAATAAATACTGCTTTAAAGCACCCAGCAAATCTAACATAGCATTAAAAAGTCCAAAATTAGAAATATTCTTCTGAGGTCTCTGCCCAAAATGCAAGACCAGCATCCCCAGGACCTTCCTCTCTCCTGCCCCTTCAAACATCACGCAGACAAAATTCTTGTGGACATAACAATATATAAAACACACACACACACACACACACACACACACACACCTTTACTTTCTCTCTGTTTCTGAAAATTTCCCCTTATTCACTCAAAGTCTGAGAATGTATTGGGGGGGGCTCTTATTGCTGAAACAGACGAAAGATTTGCTAATGAGAATGATGGTTTCTTTATCCATACTCTTAGCAACAATAAAAATGTGGCTGCAGTTCAATTTAAGCGAACACCTAAATAAAAATTTAGACTTATGTAAAGTATTAAATTAATATTAAACCAATTTAATAGTCTTTATTTTTGAAAAGAATCAGAGTAGGCCAGGCTGCGGTGGCTCACACCTGTAATCCCAGCACTTTGGGAAACTGAGGCGGGCAGATCACTTGAGGTCAGGAGTTCAAGACAAGCCTGGCCAACATGGTGAAATCCCCATCTCTACTAAAAAATATAAAACACCTGTAGTCCCAGCTACTCAGGAGGCTGAGGCTGGAGAATCATTTGAACCTGGGAGGCAGAGGTTGCAGTGAGCTGAGATTGCGCCACTACACTCCAACCTGGGTGATGGAGTGAGATCCTGTCTCAAAAAAAAAAAAAAAAAAAAAAAACAGAGTAGAATTATTTTATTTAGCAACCTCTCCTAGCAACTGTTTCAGAAAAATATTTACTCTGAAAGATGAAATGTACCTGCAGTTCATTGTTTTTCCCCAGATTTGATCCCAGGGATACCTAAAATGAGATAATGAATGAGCATAAATGCAAAACCAGATCCTAGTTTCCTTTGAAAGCTGGACTAAGTAACAATTACAATCAGCTACATCAGATATGCTGAGCTACCACAAATGATTTTGAAAGATGGGCTTCATCTGCCCCCTGCTGTACTCTAGGTAAATAACAGGACTTATTAATTTAGCATTGGTAGACAAGATTATTTGGCATCCCTCGCTAAAATGTAAAGGCTACGGCAAAAAAGACAGCATGTGTTTCACCACTGTGTCCCCACCATGTAGCATAGTACCTGGGATATAGTAGGCACTCAATAAATGTGTTGAACAAATGAGCATACAGATAAGTAAAGTATGCTTACAGACTGAGTAGGCATAATACCAAGTTTTACAGGCCCAAGAAAAAAATGCAAATGTTTTGCAACGTTCATATGTTTCTGAAAATAACTTGGTGCTTACCGAGTATGCATTGTCAGCAATTCAAACTTGCTATCCTCTAATAATTCCACTAGACTGAAAAAACTAATTAGAATATTCAGACTTAAGGATATACGTAAATTTTCTAAATGTGACTGTCAAGCAATAACTTTTTGAGAGCTTAGAATCTGAAAGCCATAAGGTAAAAAACCATCCAATTGTCTCCAAGACGGCAGAACTTGCAGAGATCACGCAAAGTTCCCCGTGCCATCTCCCATCCCTTGCCTCAGGTGACCCCTGCAGCCGCCAGCCCTCCAGTGATTATCTCCATCTCTCTAGGATTAGTGAAGGCACAGATTGGAAGATAGGCATCATATTTAATTGGGGGTACATTTATTGAATATGAAAGAAGTCATGCGAGGGCCAAGATTTCAACATT
Source organism: Homo sapiens (assembly GCF_000001405.40). NCBI lineage: Eukaryota > Metazoa > Chordata > Mammalia > Primates > Hominidae > Homo > Homo sapiens. The sequence goes on from NC_000002.12 coordinate 38,275,524, forward strand.
TCATATACAGGCATACCCTGGAGATACGGTGGGTTTAATTCCAGACAACTGAAATAAAGCAAATACCACAATAAAGCGAGTCACACAAATTTTTTTGTTTCCTAATTCATATACAGTTATGTTTACATGATACTGTAGTCTATTAAGTGTGAAATAGCATTATGTCTAAAAAAATGGATTTACGTTAACTAACAAATACTTTATTGCTAAAAAGTGGTAACAATCATCTGCGCATTCGGTGAGTCTTTTTGCTGGTGGAGGGTCTTGCTTAATGTTGATGGCTGCTGACTGATCAGGGTGGTGGTTGCAGAAGGTTGAGGTGGCTGTGGCAATTTCTTAAAGACAGTGAAGTCTGTGGCATCAGTGGATTTTCCCTTTAATGAAGGATTTCTGTCACAGGTGATGCTATTTGATAACATTTACCCACAGCAAAACTACTTTCAAAATCGGAGTCAATCCTCTCAAATGCTGCCACTGCTTTAATCAACTAAGTGTATGTAATATTCTAAATCCTTTATTGTCATTTCAACAATGTTCACAGCCTCCCCACCAGGAATAGATTTCATCTCAAGGAACCGCTTTCTTTGTTTATCATCAAGAAGCAACTCCTCATCTGTTAAAGTTTTATAATGAGATTGCAGCAATTCAATTACTTCTTCAAGCTTCATTTCTCATTCTAGTTACCTTGCTATTTCCACATCTGCAGCTACTTCCACCACTGAAGTCTTGAACTCTTCAACGTCATCCAGGAGGACTGGAATCAACTTCTTCCAAATTCCTATTAATATTGATATACTGACCTCCTCCCATGAATCACGAATGTTCTTAATGGTATCTAGAATGATGAGTTCTTTCCAGAAGTTTTTCAATTTACTTTGCCCAGATCCATCAGAGGAATCATTATCTATGGCAGCTATACCTTACAAAGTATATTTCTTAAATGATAAGACTCGAAAGTCGAAATGACTCCTTGACCCATGGACTGCAGAATGGATGATGTGTTAGCAGACATGAAAACAATATTAATACATATTCTTATACAAGCCCATCAGAGCTCACAGGTGACCAGGTGCATTGCCAATGAGCAGTAATATTTTCAAAGGAATCTTTTTTCTGAGCAGTAATTCTCAAGAATGGGTTTAAAATATTGAGTAAATAATGCTGTAAACAGGGGTGCTGTCATCCAGGCTTTGTTGTTCCACTTACAGAAAACAGGCAGAATAGATTTAGCATAATTCTTAGGGGCCTTAGGATTTTTTTTTTTTTTTTAAGACAGAGTCTCACTCTGTCACACTGGAGTGCAATGGCACCATCTCGGCTCACTGCAACCTCCACCTCCCTGGTTCAAGCATTCTCCTGCCTCTGCCTGTAATCCCAAGTAGCTGGGATTACAGGCACCCACCACCACACGTGGCTAATTTTGTATTTTTAATAGAGACAGGGTTTCCCCACATTGGTCAGGCTGGTCTCGACCTCCTGACCTCAAGTGATCCACCCACCTCGGCCTCCCAAAGTGCTGGGATTACAGGCATGAGCCACTGCACCCGGCCAGGATTTTCATAATGGTAAATGAGCATTGGCTTCAACTTCAAGTTGCTGGCTGCATTAGACCCCAACGAGAAAGTCAGCCTGTCCTTTAAAGCTTTGAAACCAGGGATTCATTTCTCTCTAGCTATGAAAGTCCTAGATGGCATCTTCTTCCAATATAAGACTATCTCATCTACACTGAAAATCTGTCATTTAGTGTAGCCACCTTCATCAGTGATCTTTCCTAGATCTCTTGGATAACCTGTTGCCACTTCTACTTTAGCACTTACTGCATCACCTTGATTTTACGTTATGTAATAGAGATGGCTTCTTTCCTTAAATATCATCAACCAACTTCTGCTAGCTTCAAACTTTTCTTCTACAGCTTCTTCACCTCTTAGCTTTCACAGAATTGAAGAGAGTTGGGGCCTTGCTCTGGATTAGGCTTTGGCTTAAGAAAATGTTGTGACTGGTTTAATCTTCTATCGAGACTACTCAAACTTTCTTCGAATCAGCAGTAAGGCTGTTTTGCTTTCTTATCATTTGTATCTTCACTAGAGTAGCACTTTTTCTTTCCTTCAACAACTTTTTCCTTTGCATTCACAACTTGGCTAACTGGTGCAAGAGACCTACTTTTTGACATATCTTAGCTTTCAACATGCCTTCCTCACTAGGCTTAATCATGTGTAGCTTGTGATTTAAAGTGAGAGACATGTGACACTTCCTCTCACTTTGTGGGGAAAAGAAAGAGAGATCAGACTGTTACTGTGTCTATGTAGAAAGAAGTCGACCTAAGAGACTCCATTTTGTTCAGTACTAAGAAAAATTCTTCTGCCTTGAGATGCTGTTAATCTGTAACCCTACTCCCAACCCTGTGCTCACAGAAATATGTGCTGTGTCAACTCAAGGTTTAATGGATTAAGGGCTCTGCGGGATGTGCTTTGTTAAACAAATGCTTGAAGGCAGCATGCTTGTTAAAAGTCATCACCACTCCCTATTCTCAAGTACCCAGGGACACAATACACTGCAGAAGGCCGCAGGGACCTCTGCCTAGGAAAACCAGGTATTGTCCAAGGTTTCTCCCCGTGCGATAGTCTGAAATATGGCCTCATGAGAAGGGAAAGACCTGACCGTCCCCCAGCCCGACACCCGACACCCATAAAGGGTCTGTGCTGAGGAGGATTAGTAAAAGAGGAAGGCCTCTTTGCAGTTGAGATAAGGGGAAGGCATCTGTCTCCTGCTCATCCCTGGGCAATGGAATGTCTTGGTGTAAAACCCGATTGTATATTCCATCTACTGAGATACGAGAAAACCGCCTTAAGGCTGGAGGTGGGACATGCTGGCAGCAAAACTGCTCTTTAAGGCATTGAGATGTTTATGTATACGCACATCAAAAGCACAGCACTTTTTTCTTTACCTTGTTTATGATGCAGAGATATGTGTTCACATGTTTTCCTGCTGACCCTCTCTCCACTATTACCCTATTGTCCTGCGACATCCCCTTCTCCGAGAAACGCCCGATAATGATCAATAAATACTAAGGGAACTCACAGACTGGTGCTGGTGTGGGTCCTCCGTATGCTGAGCGCCGGTCCCCTCGACCCACTTTTCTTTCTCTATACTTTGTCTCTGTGTCTCTTTCTTTTCTCAAGTCTCTCGTCCACCTGACAAGAAGCACCCACAGGTGTGGAGGGGCAGGCCACCCCTTCATCACTTGAACACTTAGAGGTCATCGTAGAGTTATTAATTGGCCTAATTTCAATGTTGTTGTGTCTCAGGGAAAAGGGAAGCCTGAGGAGAGGGAGAGTGATGGGGGAAGGCCAGTGGTTGGAACATTCGGAACACACACAACATGTATCAATTAAGTTTGTCATCTTCTTTGGGCACAGTTTGTAGTGCCCCAATTACAATAGTAACATCAAATATCACTGACCAGAGATGATCATAACTGATATAATAATAAAGAAGATGTTTGAAATACTGCAAGAATTACCAAAATGAAACAGAGGCACAGACTGAGCACATGTTGTTGGAAGCATGATACCAATAGACTTGCTTGAGGCGGGGTTGCCACAAATTTTCCATTTTAAAAAAAAGCGTGATATATGCAAAGAACAATAAAGCAAGGCACAATGAGATGAGGGTTGCCTGGCCCTATCTATGCACCTTCGTTGGAGCAGCCTAGGCTTACCTGAGGAGTCAACACAATTTGCATGTGTGGGGCAATACTAAAGGGAATATAGGTAAGTAGCAACGGATGTGACATAGACAATGGCTAGAGGACTCCACACAAGGGAAATATCAAATGGGCCTGACCTCTCAGGCATGAAGAAGCTGAGCCTTGGGAGACATAGATATGAATCACCTACACAGAACGTGAGCATTTCACACTGGGGGAAGTGAATGAGTAGAGACAGATGGAGCACTGAGCATGCCCTGAGATGCTCTGGAGAGAGAAGCAGCTTTTCTTCTGTTTGATAAAGTTGATCCCACCTTGCTTTTTTTTTTCTTTTTTTTTTGAGACAGGGCCTCTCTCTGTCGCCCAGGCTGGGGTGCAGTGGCCAGGTTGGTTTCAAACTCTTGGCCTCAAGTGATCCGCCCACCTCGGCCTCCCAAAGTGCTGGGAATCCAGGCAGGAGGCACCGCACCCAGCCCCACCTTGCTTAAAGACTCTGTAATAGCTACCTTAATGATATGCTAATTTTCCTCATGTCATTTCTACTGGACCTAAACCTATAATTATATCCATTTATCCCATGAGGCCAATTACAAAGTCGAACCCTAGAGAAAACACATACCAAAACCAAAAAAAAAAAAAAGCTTTTCAAATTTTGCTTATTTACTCAGAAAACCTGAGTAATACTATTCGTGAGAATGGATTCTGTGGATGATAGATCATGCTAGATTGGGCTACATTGTAACAAGAATTCACTTTAGAGATTCCAAAGTTAAATGATTAGGCAAACTAGGAGAGGTTCTAATGGTTTGCCCTAGGACATAATTCTAATTATGTCCTAAAATCTGGACTCAATAGTGACCTACACTAAATAAAGTTGAGATGTCAGGAATTCCTGAGTACAATGTAAAAGACTGTCTCCCCAGCCACTCCAGTGCCTGCTTGATAGCTTCAGGAACCCCGTCATCATGGAAGGAGGAATGAAGGGGACACTTGGGCTCAGCAAACAGACTTCACACCGAAGCTAATCTGCCTACGACCATGGCTGAGAGCCCAATCTGTCAACTCTGAGCTTCCAGTACGGTACAGGAACCCAAGGAGATTAGTTTGGCATCTGGTTAGAAGGTTACAAAGAGCCGGGCGCGGTGGCTCACACCTGTAATCCCAGCACTTTGGGAGGCCAAGGCAAGCGGATCACCTGAGGTCAGGAGATCGAGACCATCCTGGCCTATGAACATAGTGAAACCCCATCTCTACTAAAAATACAAAAATTAGCTGGCTGTGGTGGTGTGCGCCTGTAATCCCAGCTACTCAGGAGGCTGAGGCAGGAGAATTGCTTGAAACTGGGAGGCGGAGATTGCAGTGAGCTGAGATCACACCACTGCACTCCAGCCTTGCAAGAGATCAAGACTCTGTCTAAAAGAAAAAAAAAAAAAGGTTACAAAGAACCACTTTCATCACAGAAATGCTGCAATTTCTCTCCACTGAGACACTCATTCTGGCTATGGATTAGATTCCCCTGCATGGTATCCTTTGCAGACATACTAAATACCTTAATCATGACCATAATATTCCACCCAAAGGTGCTTTTATTTATTTATTTTTGAGACAGAGTCTGGCTCTTGTCGCACAGGCTGAAGTGCAATGGCACGATCTCAGCTCACTGCAACCACTGCCTCCTGGGTTCAAGCAGTTCTCCTGTCTTAGTCTCCCGAGTAGCTGGGATTACAGGCTCCTGCCACCACGCCCGGCTAATTTTTTTGTATTTTTAGTAGAGACGGGCTTTCACCATGCTGGGCAGGCTGGTCTCGAACTCCTGACCTCAGGTGATCCGCCTGCCTTGGCCTCCCAAAGTGCTGGGATTACAGGCGTGAGCCACTGCGCCAAGCCCCAAAGGTGCTTTTTATGAAGAAATTTATTTTACAACGAAAGTAATAATGCAATAAGCCAGTGCTCACAGGATATATGGCAAGACCAGTGAATGCTTTTGCTGTGAAGCAGGTAACTTTATAGAATGGCAGAATGGCCTTCTGAACTCTCCAGTACCAGCCAAGAGACAGCACTTTGTAAAACTGGGTGTTGTCCTACCATGTGCAGGACACATGCTGTTAACAGGAATCGAATGGTATTTCGCCAACAACCAGAATTTATGTCTGGGTATCAATAAATAAAAGTGAGTGTGACAACTTCCACTTTAGATTTTTCGATCCAATTGCAAAATGTTTGTTTGCCATCCCTGTGATTTTAGATTCTGCTAGTTTAGAAACATGAATGTCCAAGAGAGAAATGTTTCATCAGAGCAATGCTTCTACCAGTTGAGGCTGGCACTCACCATTTCAGGCTCCTTACACAAAATCACTAAACAAGCAAATAATGGGTAGGGGCAGGGGGGAGGGGCAGTGTTACCATTTTATCTGAGGTCATTGATCCTGAGCATCAAGGGAAAATAGGATTTGTACTACATGAAACAGGCAGGTAGGAATGTTTGGAAATTAGGGGATCCTCTGAGGGCTCTTCTCATACTGCCTTGTTTAATGGTGAAAGTTACCAAAGGACTAGAGCAACCCTAGAGAAGTAGAGGACCATCAAGGGCTCCAATCCCTCAAGAATAAAGGTTTGGGTCACTCCACCAGGTAAAGCCAAAGGTGTGGCTAAGGGCAATGGGAACAGGAGATAAGTAAAGGTCAACTATGGCCTTATTTTTCTCCTTCCTTGGTGGGTTTTAAATATATAAGTATGTATACTAATTCTTTTTATGCCCCTTCATCCTTCTCCAATTATTCTATATAATTGGTCAGTTACTTTTACAATTTATATATAATTTTCGGGATATAAAGATGGAATGGTAAACATCAAACAAAAATCTTGAATTTAGAGCTAACTGCAATAAATTGGGATCTGGGGCTTCCTCTTTTGAGGAGGGAGTAGCATGTTTTGTATAAGGGATAGTGGCATGGCTGTTCAGGTTGGAGATGTGAAGATAGAGTAAGGGTCTATGTTGACCTTGCACAGCCAGAAAGTGAACTGCAGGGAACTCCGTCATTTGAGCCTACTTTGAGTCTTTCAAACACACTCTCCCCACTTTAATCACTCCCCAAGTGTTAATCCTTCATCCCTCATATAGAATAATTTTTATATAGTGCATTGAAATTAGGCTATCAACAGGTGTATTAGCTTCTACCAATCAGAGATACATACACAAGACTTTATTTTGAAAATGAGTTTTCTATGGCTAGGCGCAGTGGATCATGCCTGTAATCCCAGCACTTTGGGAGGCCAAGGCAGGCCGATCACCTGAGGTCAGAAGTTCGAGACCAGCCTGGCCAACATGGTGAAACCCTGTCTCTACTAAAAATACAAAAATTAGCCAGGCATGGTGGCAGGCACCTGTAGTCCCAGCTACTCGGGAGTCTGAGGCAGGAGAATCACTTGAACCCGGGAGGCAGAAGTTACAGTGAGCTGAGATTGTGCCACTCACTGCACTCCAGCCTCGGCGGCAGAGTGAGACTCTGTCTCAAAAAAAAAATGAAAATCAGTTTTCTGAGAAAGACCAAGACAGGTATTTCACTGGCTCAAGGGCAGCAAAGGCAGCCTGGTGATGAAGTCAGTGGTGATGGCAGCTGTTTCCACCACCCACGGCAGAGGCTATGTTATGGCTCCAGTTCTTTTACATGCTCAATTTTGAGGTATGGTTCTGGGAGCTTTCCAAAAAGGTAAGCCTAGCTTCTCTAAAACTTCTGTGGGTTTCAAATAGCCTTTGTGCTTCCCTTCCTACTTAAATTATCTAGCATGCATTCCACTGTTAGAACAAGGAAGGCTGATGCATATAGGAAAGTTTCATAGCTGTGCGCCTGTGGACAATTGGCCCTGCCACTCTCAGCCTCAGTTTCCTCATCTTTGAAAACTTTCAAGCACTGTTGTAAAAATTAGAAACGTTACAGGCAAAGTAACTTATATCTAGGAAATACTTACATCATGACTTCTCAATTCATCAAAATATATTCAAAGTCTACTTCTTTTCATGTGACCCAGGGTCATTATTATCGTGCACCTGGACTATTTCAGTCACTTCTTAATTAATCTTTTTCTACTCTATCCCCTCCTTACCCTCAAGTCTATTCTCATCACAATAGCCAAGATGACCCAATCAAAATTTAAGTCCACTTCAGTCACTCTTTTGCTCAACATGACCTAATGGTTCCCAGTTTCCGTCCTACTAACAATTCCTTTCAACAGCCTACAGGACCTCCAAGGCCATGCCCCCTAATACTTCCCCGATCTCATCACTTTCTGCCCGTTGTTCATTCCCTCCTAGTCAGACTCACCTCCTTCCTATCCTTTTAACATGATACCCACACTCATTCTGCAGGCCTTAGCATGCCTGTTCCTTTTCTCTGGAATACTCTTCCCCAAAATATTTGCATGGCTCATTGCTTCATCTCCTCCAAGTCTTTGCTCAAATGTTGCCTCTCAAGAATGCTTACCCTCACCATCCTATTTCAAATAGTAAACCCTCGCACCCCCAGCACTCCTCATCCTATTCTATTTTTTTCTATAGCACTTACCACATTCTAACAAACCACTGAATTTACTTTATTACATTTTTGCCTGACTTTCTACAAAGACTGACATTTTTGTCTCTTTTATTCTTTGACATTTCCCTAATGCCTGTAACTAGTACCTGATAAATATCTGTGAAATGAATAAATTGATCAAATGAATAATTACTGCTCCTACAACTGCTATCCTCCTGCATACAACATATGGTACCATATAAATATTTGGTATTTATACATGACATATGGTACCTAATAAATACTTGTGGAATGAATAAACTGAATGATCAAATGAATGAATGAATGAATGACTGTTTCTATAATTGCTGTATTACTACTACTGCTACTACCACTACTGCAGCCCTCTTCCTTGGCCCTTCCAACTTCATTTTCTACATTCACCTTGAAAAATTCTGCCTGAGCAAGAAGTCAGATTCAGAGCAGGAAGTTACTGAGTCAACAGCATAATCTTTCCTCAGGTTCCTACAACTGTAATGATAACTATCTCAAGAACACAAAGCTTTTAATTCTGAAATGCAATTTTGTTTGGGGGATAGGAGAAAGAGAAGGTAGAAGGAAGGTACTGGGTGTTTTCATTTGTTTGTACTAAAACATGCCCTGGTCAATGAAACCTAAAATGATTCATGCTAGATGTGCAACTTGTAAAGAATTAAGAGGTAAGGTAGATGGATCCCCCTTAAATTTTGAGAAAATCAGTGATGCATAGAGCTCATGCCACCCAACGTGGCAACGCACATGAATACTAAGTTCAACCTCTTGTAGTGGATGGTCAGGGACATTGGTGATAACAAAGATATTCATGAGACAACTGGGGAAATTTGAATGCTGACTGGATATTTGATATTAAGTAATGATCTATTATTTTAGGATAAAGGTATTGTGGTTACTGATATATGCTGAAGTATTTATGAGAGAAATGATATAATACCTGGGATTTCCCTCAAAATAGTCAAGCTTCAGATGGGGGGAATGGAAGTGTGTAGATAAAACCAGACTGCGTATGTGCTGATAACCATTTAAACTGGGTGATGGGTACATGAAACTTCATTACACTATTCTCTCTACTTTCATGTTTGAAAATCTTCATAGTAATGTCTTTAAACATCCTTTTAAATCTGCCAGGCTATAGGTAGATTTAAAAATTTTCTGACTGACAATTGGTTGAGTTTATCTGAAGACCTGGGATAAATAGAAAGGAAATGTCTGGGTTAAGATAAAAGATTGTGGAGACCAAAGTTCTTATTTGCAGAGGAAGTCTTCAGGTAGCAGGCTTCAGAGAGAATAGGCTGTAAAACGTTTCTTATCAGACTTAAAGTCTGTGTTGATGTGAATGCCTGAGAGGTTTAATGAGGCATGTCCGACCCCCACTTCCTATCATGGCCTGAACTGGTCTTTCAGGTTTAATTTTAAGAGTGCACTGGCCAAGGACAAAGTCCATTCAGATAGTTGGGGGACATCTTAGAATTTTATTTTGGGTTGACAGCTGAGTACCTATTTCAGAATTGTGATAATGCAGTTGAAGATACTCTAGTCAGGGCTCTCCGCTCCTCCCATTTGACAGACAGCCATATCTTCTCGTGTAGCACCAGCCACATCCTGAGATACCATGGTTAAGGTGAAGGCCAGAGTCAACAGATTTGGCCACATTGGGCACCAGATCACCAGGGCTGCTTTTAACTCTGGTAAAGTGGATATTGTTGCCATCAGTGACCCCTTCACTGGCCTCAACTACATGGTCTACGTGTTCCAGTGTGGTTCTACCCATGGCAAATTCCATGGCACTGTCAAGGCTGAGAATGGGAAGCTTGTCATTAACGGAAATCTCATCACCATCTTTCAGGAGCGAGATCCCACCAAAATCAAATGGGACAATGTTGACGCTGAGTACATTTGGGTGTCCACCGGTGTCTTCACCACCACAGAGAAGGCTGGGGCTCACTTGCAGCAGGGAGCCAAAAGGGTCATAATCTCTACTCCCTCTGCTGACGCCCCCATGTTCATGATGGGCGTGAACCATAAGAAATATGAAAACAGCCTCAAGATCATCAGCAATTGCCTCCTGTACCACCAACTTCTTAGCCTCCCTGGCCAAGCTCATCCATGACAACTTTGGTATTGTGGAAGGACTCATGACCACGACCCACACCATCACTGCCACCCAGAAGACTGTAGATGGACCCTCCAGGAAACTGTGGTGTGATGGCCACGGGGCTCTCCAGATCATCATCCCTGCATCTACTGGTGCTGCCAAAGCTGTAGGCAAGGTCATCCCCGAGATGAATGGGAAGATTACTAGCATGGCCTTCCGTGTCCCCACCACCAATGTGTCGGTCATGCATCTGACCTGCCATCTGGAAAATCCTGCCAAATATGATGACATCAAGAAGGTGGTGAAACAGGCATCAGAGGCCCCTCAAGGGCATCCTGGACTACACTGAGCACCACGTTGTCTCCTCCAGCTTTAACAGTGACACCCACTCTTCCACCTTCAATGATGGGGCTGGTATTGCCCTCAATGACCATTTTGTCAAGCTCATTTCCTGTTATGACAATGCATTTGGCTACAACAACAGGGCAGTGGACCTCATGGCCCACATGGCCTCCAAGAAGTAAGACCCCCAGACCACCAGCCTCAGGCCCTCAGCTGCTAGGAATCCCCTATTGCACTAGGTCTCCTACCACACTGAGAATCTCCCCTCCTCACAGTTTCCATCCAGACCCCCTGAAGAGGGAGGGGTCTAGGGAGCCCCACCTTGTCATGTACCACCAATAAAGTCCTCTGTGCTCAGCCAAAAAAAAAAAAAAAAAGATACTCTAGTCAGCAGGATTCCATGATTTTCACCAACAATATTCAGCTGCTAGGTATAGGTACAGGTAGAGACTTGGGTTTAAAAACAGAGCTGAAGTTTCATCAAGTGGGTACACAGGGTAGCTAAGGATATTTATAAAGGAATGGTTGTAGTGCTGGACCACTGCATCTTAGCTGAGTAAGAAGGCAAGGAGATGAGGGCAATATGTATGAACAAGCAGTAGGGTGAAAGGATAAGGCTTCCATGAGATTAGAGGATTGTTTGAAAGGAAACACTGCAGTCAATGAACTGAAAGGAAGCCATAAAATCTAGATTTGGGAGGTAGTAATGACATAGTAGAAGGGTATGACTTATGAATGAGTAGACATGGAGGACAGGAGGTCTTTTGGGGGCTGAAGAAATCAAGGGATGGGATGGGTCATTCATGTGGCATTAAGGATCCAAGAATGACCACAGAAGGAACAAGAGAAAAAGGCTGGAAGCCAGGTGCCAGAGTTATCAACGAAGGAGGAGGGGTGGTAGGGAGGTCAGTAAGATTGCCCACAGTAAGTTGGGGTGACAAGTGGAAAAGTCTGATAACTTTAAAGAAGCTGTTTTATTTGTTGTTTAATAGAAAAAAGACTTGAAAGGGTGCAATGGAGCACAGGAACATCACCTCTGTTAGGACCGGCAGTAGCTAGGGAGGGAGCAAGTCAGCCTTGAGAGGGCTGCAGGGGAGACATTCTACTAGGGGAATAGAAGACACCAGGGTTTCAGTTAAAGTGAAAAATGAAGAGAAAGCACACACAGAGAAAAAGTGTTTTGGCAAATTGCTAATAACAGACCGTGGATTATAGAGAACACAAAAGACAGGTGTGGGAGGCCATGGAAGAGTTGAAGGTGGGGTTAGATTAGGTAGTGGTTCTCAGTCCTAGCCGCACAACAGAATCATCTGGGGAACTTTTGAAAGTACTGATGCCTGCACACAGATCAACTGAATTAGAATCTCTAGGGGGTAAGGCCAGGGTATGTACAGCCCAGTAACCAAACTTTCAAATACAGTCATCCCCCAGTATCCATGGGCGATCAGTTCCAGGATCCCTGTGGATACCAAAATCCACAATGCTCAAGTCCCTTACAGAAAATGGCCTGGTATTGGCATAGAAGCTACACATATCCTCCCATATGATTCAAATCATCTCTAGATTACTTATAACTAATACAACGTCAGCGCTATAAAACTAGTTGTTTAGGGAATAATGACAAGGAAAACAAGTCTGTATTGTACATGCTCAGTACAGATGCAACCATCCACTCTTTTCAATTTTCCACCCCAGGCTGGCCGAATCCATGGATGCAGAACCCACAAATACAGAGGACTACTTCCTTGTACACACTAACACAAGTAACAGATGAGAAGGGGGAAAATGGCATCAGTGTTTATCTCTGATGAGTACATCAAAATCTTAAGGGTGAATGTCTTTATACTTTCAGATTTTCTTGTGCATTTTTCAGATTGAATTAAAAAAGGGGGCTTTTGTTTGTTTGAGGGGGATTGCTTAAAGAAAGGGGTTTATAGTACAGTCTCAATTTCTACTGTTTACACATGGAATTTATTTGGTCTGTCTGACCCAATCTGTTTCTGGTAAAGGTGCATGAAATGAGCTTTGAAAAAATATCTAAAACTTAAAAATAAAGGAAAAGGCAGTAGATCATGTCCTTTCAAAGTCATACAGGGACATTGCTTAACATGCCTATCAAGAAGGCTTCTAGGCAAATTGCTGAAGAAATGTATATATTTCTTTATGCATTGAATCCTAGCAGATTGTGTGTGTATATATAGTGTGTGTGTATATATATATATACAAACACACAATGAACTATTATTCAGCCTTAAAAAAGGAGATCCTGCCGTTTGTGACAAGGAACCTAGAGGACGTTATGGTAAGTGAAATGAGTCAAACACAGAAAAATACTGCATGATCTCACTTATGTGTGGAATCTAAAAGTAACAGAAAGAAAGAGGAAAAAAAATCAAATACACAGTAACAGAGAGTAGAATGGTGGTTACCAGGAGCAGGGGAAATGGGAAGATGTAGGTCAAAGGGTAAGTCTAGAGATCTAACGCACAGCATGAGGACTACAGTTAATAATATTGTATTGTGTATTGGAAATCTGCTAAGACAGCTTTTAGATGCACTTAGTACAAAAAAAAAAAGGAGGGGGTAACCATGTGAGATGATGAATATGTTAATTTGCTTGACTATAGTATCATTTCACTATATAAAATGGCATATTACATACTTTTAATATATGTAATTTTTAAAAGTTAACATATAATGAGCTTATTTTTTAATGTTTTAACATTTTTGTTTTAATTTCTAATAAGATAAATATTGGCAGATCATTTGGAGGCCTCAATTTTTAAGAGCCAAAGGGGATCCTGAGACTCAAGTCTGAGACTCACTGATCTATATTTGTTTGGCGTTGCCATTTACTACTAAGGGCGCACATTACTCAGCATACTCATTTCAAAATGCCCTTCCTGGTGGACTACATAACTCCTATTTCTCCAATTCTGCTTTGAAACAGCCTTTTGCCATCTCCGGTTTCCTCATTAAGAAGTTGAATAAATTTTATTATGTATTCATTGTGTATTTGGACAACAGTCATGTATAATTTTAAGGATTATATTTTGATAGAAGGTACGATCTGCTGATTTATACAATTTAGTCCTGAGTTTCTTTTCTCTGTATTCAAAAGCTGATGAAAGAACAGGGAACATTATGAAGTCTCATAATCATTCTTAAACATTTCCCTAATGAAATGAAAGAAGACTGCAATCATCAGCTATGTCTAAAACTATTGTGTTCCTTCACAAAAGTATTTAAAAGGAAAGAACAAGTACAAAGTTTGTGAAGCAAAATGACATAGTTTTGAAAGAAGATCCAAGCTTGAGAATGGGTCTCTAATTTGAGAGATAACATTTACTTTAATATGGAAGAAGAGCACACTTTCAATCTATTGCCAAGATCTTTCCTTCCCAATACAAGCTCCACCTTCCTCCCAGGGAAACAACACAGTACAACAACATAATTTCAGCTCTGTCTGTGCAGAAAGCTTTCTTAGTCAGGAAGGTATAAAAACAGCAGGAGAAATCCATAATTCTGCTACTCATTAGGAAACACTTAACACTGATCTCAGGCTTCAGTATGCATTAGAATTATCTGAGAGACCTGGTAGAAATACAGATTTAAATTCACTATGCAGGGTGGGAGGGATAGCATTAGGAGATATACCTAACATAAAAGATGAGTTAATGGGTGCAGCACACCAGCATGGCACATGTATACATATGTAATGAACCTGCACGTTGTGCCCACGTACCCTAGAACTTAAAGTATAATAAAAAATAAATAAATTCACTATGCAATGTGGGGGCGGGTGGGGGGCGGCCACACAGCACTCCAGGTGACTCTAATCGAAAATAAAAAGCGAGCCAGGTGGAGTGGTGCATGTCCATAGCCCTAGCAACTTGGGAGGCTGAGGTGGGAGGACTGCTTGAGCCCAGGAGTTTGAGACCCCACCCCCATCCCTTAAAAAATAAAAAATAAAAATAAAAATTCATACTTTGGGAAACTATACTAAAGTATTAGAATTGGCCGCATAGCTGTTGTGTTTTTCTAAGAATCGTCCGTGTAACCTTAATATCTAAATGTCAAGCCCCTCTACCTGATCTGAAAGGCCCTTCACAATCTTGCCCAGGTCTTTAAACTTCAACTCCACTCCTACATCCGTCTCTGCCCTTCAGTAACTCCCTAGTACAGCCACGCTGAACCATTTCTGTATTCCTTCCTGATATCCACCCTTCTCTCTCTTTCCTCTTCTCTGGGTGGGACTATTTATTCTTCACAGCGGTGTGATAGGGTGGGTAAGTACATAGCTCTCTGGACTCTAAAGCCAGTAGACCTGGTTTCCAATCCCGGAGCACCCTCACTTTGGTAAATGTGGTTGACCTCTCTGAACCTGAGATGCCTCCTCTATAAAATCAGAGATAAGAATACCCACCCCAAGGCTATTGCATGAGCACTGGCAGCATTCAGTATAGATGCTAAACATGTTTATACCCCCCAACACACAGAAAACCTTCAGTCTTCCCAGGAAAAACTGCCCTGTCCTCTCTAAATAATATAAACATCCCTCTTGGAGATAAACACACATTATACAGGCCTGTAAACCCAATTCTGGTAGGACTTATAAGCAGATACTTAGGAAAATGCATTAGATCAAATCAGTATACTGAAGTTTTAAAAATAACACAGGCCAGGTGCAGTGGCTCACACCTGTAATCCCAGCACTTTGGGAGGCTGAGGTGGGTGGATTGCCTGAGGTCAGGAGTTTGAGATCAGCCTGACTAACAAGGTGAAATCCCATCTCTACTAAAAATACAATAACTAGCCAGGTGTGGTGGCAGGTGCCTATAATCCCAGCTACTCGTAAGGCTGAGGCAGGAGAATCGCTTGAACCTGGGAGGCAGAGGTTGTAGTGAGCCGAGATTGTGCCACTGCACTCTAGCCTAGGTGACAGAGCAAGACTCCATCTCAAAAAAAAAAAAAAAAAAGGAGAACCCAAATCCATAAGGTAGCCTACCCTCACCATCCCCCAAAGTTATTTTACCAGAGGGTTTTTAATGATCATATTCCTTCATAGTTTGATTATTTTGATGCCAAGGGCAGAAAAAGCAACCACTGATATTTAGGATCCCACAGTTGCCAAATAACCACTAAGCTTACCTACAGCAGGTGGCATATGCCTAAGTATGGAAGGCAGATTGAGGTGAAGTTGACTAATCCAGTCCATGTTAAAACATTCTGAGCATTTAGTATGCACAAAAATGTTTGATAATGTAAAAAAAAAGTGCACAAAGTATGGTTTCTTCTTTCCGAGGAGCTCAACCCATTTAGGGGAAAGTACTGACAAATGCTTTCTTCCATAGACAAAAATAACAATGACCACCATCCTCCAAAATTCACCTTGTTTATCCTCTTCAGGAAACAGAGGAAGTTAAAAATAAGTACGATTTAGAAGACAGGTGTTTGTTTACAAATATCAACGCCATAAAAAAGATTTAAAAGTCTGCCAGGATGTGGAAATTCTCATCACATCCTCCTAACATCTGTGAGGGGTAATATTATTCCTATTTTATAGATGAAGAAGCTGAGGCTCAACTGCTATATAAGCGTTAGCACAAATTCATGAAGCTTGCGTGGTGGAGCTAGAAACAAAGCTCAGTTTTAACCATAAGGTCATCTCCTTTGCTTAGAATTGAAATTTAAGCATTCTTCCAGATCTAGGTTGAGTTTTTAGGTAGTCTTCATGTTTTGTAACGGGCAAGTCTAAACCATGCCATTTTAGATGACCTCTCTTGTCAGGGGCTGCAGACCCATTTGGCCAGAATGAGTATGTTGTTTACTAATTACCATAAAAATTTGTCAGAAAGTTAGAGAACTCTTAAATAACAGCCCAAATGCCGGGGATGGGGTGGGGGTGGTCGGGGAGTAAGTTATGGACAAGCTTCAAGTACAGGTGGCCAAACAGTCAGAAGATGCAGCCTTAAAACAAGCAAAATTGAGGGCACGATTTTCTGTTCTTGTACCTGCTTCCCAAGCACCCTTTCTTCACATTTTATTTGATTCTCTCAACAATCCTATTATAGGAGGAAAACTGTCATAAAAAGAAAACTCTTAGCAGTTGTTTTAGTCCATTTTCACACTGCTGTAAAGACATACCCAAGACTGCGTAATTTATAAAAGGAGGTTTGACTCACAGTTCCACGACTGGGGAGGCCTCAGGAAACTTACAATCAAGGCTGAAGGCAAAGAGGCACGTCTTACGTGGCAGCAGGTGAGACAGATTGAATGAGTGAAGAGGGAAGAGCCCCTTATAAAACCACCAAATAGATCTCGTGAGAACTCACTATCACGAGAACAGCATGGGGGAAACTGCCCCCAACAATCCAATCATCTCCCACCAAGTTCCACCTGGTGATTATGGGGGTTATGGGGATTACAATTCAAGATGAGCTTTGAGTGGGGACACAGAGCCCAGCCATCTCAGCAATGATCCCAGGTCTATTGTTCTCTCCTTAAAACTCCACCTACCCTAAGAATCAAAGTAACCATTAAATAATTACATAATGACCTAGGAAAATATCCCATTACATGAAAAAAAAAAAAAAAACATCATGTACAGGATAATTCTATTTTTATGTAAAACAAAAAACAAGTATGTTTTATGCATATACAGACTTGTCAATAAGCAGAGGGAAGGTTTCAATAGCACACACCAAAGTAATGGTTCTCTCTCAGGTGTACAATCAAATGGACAGGAACATTTTCACTTTTTGCATCGATTCATTTTTTAGAGTGGTAATGTTATGGGTAATTTTCAGCTTGTTTCGGTATTAGCAAGATGTTACTTTCTCCACTTAGTGCCTCTAGGAATGCAGCCAAGACAGTCCTTGCATCTTGAGTTGGGAACATTACTTATCATTGTCTGAAGCTTCAAACAGATTCAAACTTCTGGAGGTGTGTAGTAGAGTCCTAAGTTGCAAGCCTGAGATGCCCAAGGTTCTTTTTGATGGTTTCCTATCTATCACACAGGACTGCCATGAGTATGGAGAGTACTAACATACGTATGGAGGTGCCTTATTGAGCTATGCAAAGGCTGTGACTTCCCTCCCCTAAGCCCTTTCATGTGTATCTCTAGGCAGTTTGGACCTATTCAGCTGATACATTTGGCTGCAGATTTCACGATCCTAAAAGGATATAAAAGTTGTATTTCACTGAGTACATTAAGGGCAGCTCAATTCCTCGGTCTAACTTCCAGCAAAATGTAAATCTGAAAGACAGGAGTTCCTAGGATCTAAGACTTCAGTAGAGAAGGTAAGGGAGCAATTCTCTGTGCTGCCTGGGAAACCCCCAATCTAGCTTTGACAGGAACCAATAACTGGAAGACTCCCCAAAGTCGCATTCTCTTTATGGCAGAGGCTCCCAACAGAATCCAAGTACAATAGTCATTTGATGAGTAATCTCTGGCCAAGTGAGAAGATGGCTACCAGATGCACAGCAACTCAAGCTAATTTTCATCCTCACTCCACGACTATCACACGAATGGAAAAAACCTGAGATGCGCAGATCCATTCTGGTCAAGTTAGAGGAAAGGAGGGAATCCAGGACATGAATGTTTAGGCTAAAGCTTAAAAGTGTGAAATGGACTTAAATCCTGTAGAGAATTGTCTTCTTTGAGTAAAGCACTCTTTTCTGACAAGAAATGTAAGAAAGCCAATGGTCTAGATTTTATAACTTTTTAAAAGTAAGCTGTCTTTAATTTCAGAAAATCTGCTATTATACAACAAATTATTTTTTCATTCATAAAAAACAGTCCACAGCATTCATAAAACAGGGTGGCAGAAGAAATAAAAAGACACTTTTCAGGTGGATTCTTTAAGAACAGATAAGTTAGCAATTTAATACAGATGAAAACAAATACAATCCATATAAAAACAGAATCTGAATGGGAGTGGGAGCGAAGATGTATCAACCAAAGTAAATTCAGAGTTTTCACACATGCAACTCAACACCTGCATTCTCTTCGCTTAAAAAGCAAACTAAGGGCCGGGCGCGGTGGCTCACGCCTGTAATCCCAACACTTTGGGAGGCCAAGGCAGGCGGATCACAAGGTCAGGCGATTGAGACCATCCTGGCTAAAACGGTGAAACCCCATCTCTACTTAAAATAGAAAACATTAGCCGGGAATGGTGGCACGCACCTGTAGTCCCAGCTACTCAGGAGGCTGAGGCGGGAGAATCACTTGAACCCAGGAGGTGGAGGTTGCAGTGAGCCAAGATCGCACCACTGCACTCCAGCCTGGGTGACAGAGAGAGACTCCGTCTCAAAAAAGAAACAAACAAAACTAGGTACTTTAATCGGTGTTCACAAAGAAGACCACAAAAGTACTGAAAAAATGCTAGCCTTACATATACCACCAAAAAAAAAAAAAGAGAGAGAAAGAAATTAACAATCCCCATCTACAACTAGGCTAATCATAGGTTTTCCCTTATAGAGACAGACACAGAAAAGTAACTTTTTACAAGCTTAGTTTTGAGGTACAATGCCTTAGAGCTCTCAACTGGGGTGTTTCCTGCTCATGCTCTTTTCACTATAAACAAATGTGGTTTATGAAGTGGAATACATACTTGAAAAATTCCTTAAAAAAGAATCACAAGTTTCATTTTATATATACAACAAATTTTTAATTATGTACTGAAAATAAATTACAGGAAATAACTTTAAAATGCAACAGAGGACAAAGTCACAATAAACATTCCCATTGAATTCCCTTGGTGGGCGGGGGGGGGGTGAGATTGCAGTGCTCAAGATAAATATCACAAATATATCAAAAACTTCAAATTGTCTATGCATTCACACACTGACATGAGCCACAAACATTCCTTTCACAGGGACAGTACTTATTTAGCCTACCACAGGACCAGATTTTGCCATAAACTACAAAACTTTTAATACAAAATCGTATTTATATATTTATAAGTCATATACATGCCCTATCTGTGATTTTAGAAAATAAAAGCTACACACTGTACAGACACTCTTAACTCATAGCTGTAGGCAACATTTTTGGATGGAATTTCTTCCCCAATAAAATTAATGGCATATTTTATATACATGAAGGCTAAACTGCAAAAAGACAGTTCAGTTTCCCAGATATGCATCTCCTTTTAGGGCAAGTTTATAAATTTAAAAAGGCAAGACAAATGTACACCTCAGAATTACTTTCTTAGCTACAAGAGTTGCCATGTAATTTCTGTGAAGTTTCTGATACATGCATTGATGTAATACTGGTATTGAAGGCAGTAAAGCAATATATACTTTTAATGTAGTGGCTCAATAAAGGCTTCATTGTCTTTCCAATCTGGTTCTTGAAACAGTGATTCATAAATTCTCTAAAAATTAAAATTTCAATGGGACACTGTGTTAAAGAGACTCTAAATAGATTTCTGAAAATATTTCCCTGAAATATCCTTTTACATAAGACAAATTCACTAACATTAGATTAAGTAAAAAGAAATAAAAGAGTTAAACATGGCACAAAGGTGCATGATTAACCAATGCTCCTCAGTCCATCTGCATGTCTTAGGAGCCATTAAAAGAATGCTTAAAACTAACAAACAATCTTCACACTCTGTGGCAGCCATCTGTGAAGCCAGTTACACTAAACTACTTCTACAGTTGATTGTAAACTTTGGTTTATTTTTATTTGAGTTCTCATTGTACAGCAAGCATGAAAAAAAAAGAGAGTGGAGTCCGTGAGGAGATGAACTGTCAGTCTGTCTTTAATCTGGCATGATGAGACACCTGGTCAGTCAGGCCTGCTTTGATAGAGTTTGTTACAGACTGCCTTATGTTTTCCTCCATCAAATTATCACCCAGGGGCTTCAATACCTGTGGTATGAGAAATGTGCAAAACAAACAAAAACATGAGGTAAAAAAAGAGTTACATATAAAAATAGATATAAAAATTCAATTCAAAGCAATGATGAAAATAACCAGGAATATGGGAAATAAAAAGATGCTTCTCTCAAAAAAACTTATGATGCTACTAGACATTTTATAATGCAACAAAAATTACTTTCCTCTTATTCAAACCATTTACAATTCCTATGAGATGGATGTGCAATTCCATACCCTATATGCAGCATCAAATCTGGTATGTATACAGCATTTATGCAGACCGGCCCAGACGGTCCTGCTTATTGTCCTACATGTGTAAGTGTGAACACTTCAGATAGAGAAAAAGGTTAAAAATACTGTCTAATTTTTCTTCTTGTTATTGTTGGATGACAGTCTCTGTCGCTGTGCTGATGAAAGAGCACGGTGAACCATTCGACGTCTAGTAACTTCAAACAGTTTGGAAAACACCTAAAACATGAAGTGATTTGTTAGGAGAATGAATCAGAGTGCCTCGAAGCTAAAGAGTTTAAGACTACAAGAATTTGAGACTGTAGGTTTCTCACCTTCCTGGGACTCCTCTGAAGCAAAAGAAAAGAGAAATGCAAAGAAATTTAGACAAGGTTTGTTGACACAGCACAGATCTCTGACTAGCTGATTACCTTACCTAAACTATACTGAAAATGATTTTATACACTTTAGATTCTTCCATTTAATTGTTTTGTAATAATGGTACCTCCAAAATCCTAGAATCAATGCTGTTTAAGAGATGAATATTTCTCAAAAGAAGATATTGTACAATTATTGAAAATTATATTGCAGAAAATGATCCAAAATTTTAAAATAGCTAATTTTTTCTTAAAAGTGAAGTTGCGATAGCTTTGCATCCATCTTCTATTAGAAGATATCAAAGAAACATCAAGTAGTGAGATTGAGATAAAAATTTAAATAGAATAAATATCCAAACATAAACTTCCCAATCGGATCTGAATAGAGCATTTCTCTAAAGAGTAAACACAAAATCCAAATTAATATAGTGGGTCACTTTATAAAATAACATCATTACAAGAAAAGTCAATATCCAATCAACTTTCTTCAAAAAAAATGGTCTGCTTCTTCGGTCTTCAAGTTTATAGCCAAAACAAACATGGACCTGCATATCCTAGATCTTCAAAATAAGCTCAATATTTCATGAGCCCAAAAATGGCATCTCAAATGCCTATTATAGCGTTCGTCATTAATAACCGTAGCTTTCATTCTGGTCCTTGACATGATGTTCAAGTATTTCACGAAGATCATCTTAATGACATCCATAAGCGGTCCACAGGTAATTCCAGCACACCGGAGGCAGATACACAAAATGGCTTTCCTTAGCAGATACTTGCAGGCAAGAGTTCACAGCCTGGGGCTTTGAATTCTGGTTCGAGGTAAAAGATTACGACGGAGCATGGTTCTCTGTTCATGGCGCTTTGCTTTACTAATTAATATTTCCAAAACACAAAGGTCAAAGTTTCCTTGGTAAGAAATCCCTACGGGATTGTTCCTCATAGTACATCAGGAAATCACTACCATCTTCATGGAAGGCAATGAAGACCTGTCTACCATCCAGCATTTCTCCTGCATTGCTGCTTGCCAATATTAGGAAGAAACTTCTTTTGCTTTCCGAAAGCACCACTTCCAAACTTCTTTTCCTTACCTTGAAAATCATTCATTGTTTATATTTTCTTTCCTCAAAGAAAAAAATCATTACAGACTCTGACCCTGCCCACCGTCTGATACAATCAGGCCTACAACTAAGAATCTATCCAGAGGATAGTACAGATTTAGGCTAACCAAAGTACATTAAAATTATAACTTTAAAGAAAAAATCTTCAATTCATAAAGATTCTACATCTGAACAAAACAGAAGACATCCTTTTGACATTCCTCACATGAAGGCAAAGTCGGAGTACAAATACTGCAAAGGATGGAAAGTCACAGGAAAATAAGATTAGTCACTAAAAAACCAAAAGATAGATACCAACCTGTTCCCATAGTGTTTCAGCAATCTGATCAATCACTGTTCCAATTTCTCTGAACTCCCCAGAGTATTTAACATATGCCCAAGTACAAAGAAATATCAGTGCTAACCCCATGACAAGGTTACACAAGACAGCTATAGAGTTTAGGCCAATGAAGCCAGTCAGTCCTGAGATTATATACATAGCAAACATGACCGCAAACAGTGTGGCTGGGGTACGAGCAGCATAGAAGATATTTTTGCCATCATTGTGCTTTATAAAATTTGCATAGGTTTCTTCAATTTCAGCTTCAAGCTGGTCCTGATAACGACGGCAGAACTCATCTCCACCCATCTTTTTTACTGAACGAAATTGTTTTATCGCCACTTCCTTGAGATCCAAGTGTTTTCGCTCCAGATCTGAAGGTGCAATGTAAGGCTTGTCCCCTCCACATACCTGGACAGACAGAATTACAGTATTACATGCTAGAAATAATTAACACTTGAAAGAAGTTCCTGTTCATAGTTTTTAGTCTCAGAAAGTCAAACCACTTACATGATTGAGTCAGTTTTAAACTCACTTACAATACCTCACAGGTTATCATAATCTAGTTATTGTTTATATGTTGAACCTACTCAAGCAAAATCATTTTCCAAATATGACTAACGGAAACTGAAGACAAAAAAATTTTACACTGTGCTCTGTATCTGCCTTCACTTGACCATCATATACCATAATAGCACACAAAATTGCTGGCAAGAGAACGGGTAAAAGATGATAATGCCCCAAAAAGATATTTTAATGTTTGAGCAAGCAAGTACAGAAACTGCTACTGGCCTTAAACTAATGCTACCAACATCAGAAGTCACCAATAACAGCACTCTGAATCACACATTTGTCAGAAGATATTTCAGTAGAGTTTATATAATAATTTACTAACTCAAATTCTGCTCTCAAATAATGTGAATTATTTTCTTATAGTTTATTTCCAGCAAAGACCATAAAGGGGAATTAGGGAATAATGTACCATAAGCTGCACAAATTCGCTCAATTATTTAAAAAATTTTTTTAATTTTTTTTTTTTTAATTTAAAAATCTTCTCACTCCAGCATCAAATTTAAATTTTAGGTACAAACCTGTTCCATACTTTTACAATAGGTATCTCTTGCTCCTGCTACTGCAGCAAGATTATTAGCTTCAGCTGTTGCCTAAAAAATAAAATATGCCATTATTATGCAAAAAATACTCTATGACTCTAAAAATTCTGATTAACACAATAAGTTATGTACAATAAACAAGTCTGAAAATGAACCAGAGAAAGTAACTTCCAGTTTTTCTTTCCTATGCAAGGGAACGTTGGTATAAAGGATATAATGGTAAGTGGTTCTAATAGGACTGCCTGCCTGATTTTGTTTTGCTTAGGTTGATGTTAAAGTGTGTCTGCAGAAAACACCACATATGCTCAGGAAATGGATAAAGATAAATAGATATAACCCTAAAATATGTGGATCTCCAGGTGTTAGGAATCGAGAATTACCCATATGGTTCTCTCTCTCATAATCAGTATTATACAAGACATTTTCAAACCCACAAACCTTACTGCACGAAGTTTTATCGGCAAATACTGTTTAATCTACTATAAAATGGAAAAATAGCCTAAAGTAGTAAATGTTTTAAAATATGAATGGGGTAAAATGACACTGTCCCAAAAGACCACCATTTGAAAGACAGAAAAAGAAGTGAGACTATATTCACTAGAAGTAGCTCTAAATCATTAACACCAAATAAAAATAAGACTTATTCCAAACAACATTCATTGTCAAAGACTCAGAATAGAAGCAGCTTAGTTCAGAGAGGCCCACATCAAGCCATCTTATCAAATAGAAATTTTCCTATACTTTGAGCATCTGAAGAGAAGGTACTGAGGACTCTTATTTCTGGTGGCCTGGACACATGGAAGGCCTACAATCTGCAGTTACAAAAAAAAAATTGTATGAAACCTTAGGACCCACGACACATACGGCCTTAAGCAAAATGTGTTTGCATGCAAAAAAGCACCCCCCATTTTCAGCATTTCTCTCTAAAGCAAAGATTTTTATTCTCCCTCATAAATAAGTATATGTACAACACATATCACTCTCTCTCTCTCTACCTGAAGCATGGACTTTGGATGTGGAAGTTCTTCTCCTTGATAGATTTTGATGTAAGCCTAAAAAGGGAGAAGATTTGTTAGACTGACGGATTATGCAATTTGGCTCCACATCCCCAAAGAAAGAAAAGTCATTAAATATAAAAATAATTAACACCATTAAAAGTAAATTCTAGGCTTTAAAAATCACCTTATTCCAACAAAGTTAACCCTATTCTCAATATTATTAAATTATATGCTGCTAAATAATATCCTAGGTATTTCTATAACAAATATAACATAAAAGTTATAACTCAAAGTTAGATATAAAATGCCATCTTCTTTATGAAAAGAAATTCACAATTACCCCCTATTGCCAGTGTTTTAATATTTTTAAAAAACTTTTTTTTCTCTTTCTTTAGAGATGGGGTCTCACACTGACACTGAGGCTGGAGTGCAGTGGGATGATCACAGCTTACTGCAACCTCGAATTCCTGGGCTCAAGTGATCCTCCTGCCTCAGTTTTCCAAGTGGCTGAAACTACAAGGTGTGTGCCACCACATCCAGCTGAAGAAACAATTTTATCCAGTATTTTACTTTGACCAGCTTAAATTGTATTTCAGCTCAAGAAGGAAAAAAAAAAAAAAAACTAATTTGTGGTTTAAGAGTAAGAAGGAAAAGATAAGAGTTTGTTAGAAGTCCATATAGGGTCTTTCATCTCAACTTTCTTTTTTTTTTTTGAGAAGGAATTTCGCTCTTATTGCCCAGGCTGGAGTGCAACGGCACGACCTCAGCTCACCACAACCTCCGCCTCCTGGGTTCAAGCAACTGTCCTGCCTCAGCCTCCCGAGTAGCTGGGATTACAGGCATGCGCCAC
This sequence comes from Homo sapiens, assembly GCF_000001405.40. Classification (NCBI taxonomy): domain Eukaryota; kingdom Metazoa; phylum Chordata; class Mammalia; order Primates; family Hominidae; genus Homo; species Homo sapiens. Next base: position 38,301,125 of record NC_000002.12, read on the forward strand.
CACATCCAGCTAATTTCGTATTTTTAGGAGAGACGGGGTTTCACCACGTTGGCCAGGCTGGTCTCGAACTCCCGACCTCAGGTGATTCGCCCACTTTAGCCTCCCAAAGTGCTGGGATTACAGGCATAAGCCACCGTGCCTGGCTCATCTCAACTTTCCACTGACAAGATTCATTCATAACTGGGAAGGAGGCAGAGCAAGATGGCCAAATAGAAGCCTCCAGTGATCACCACCTCCAAGGAATATCAAATTGACAACTATCTACATAAAAAACCACCTTCATAAGAACCAAAAATCAGGTGAGCAATCACAGTACCTGGTTTTAACTTCAGATCACTGAAAGAGGCACTGAAGAGGATGTGAAAAACAGTCTTGAATCACCTACACCACCCCTCCCCCATCCTCTCAGCAGCAACCACATGGTGTGGAGAGACAATCTATGTGCTTAGGGAAGTCGAAAGCAGTGACTGTGGAATTTTTGCATTGAAACTCAGCGCTGCCCTGCCACAGTGGAAAGAACTCAGCCAGCACCCATGGAGGAAGAATTTAGACCAGCCCTAGGCAGCCAGTCCTGCCACCATGGGCTACAGTGCTCTGAGGTCCTGAATAAACTTGAAAGGCCATCTAGGCCACAAGGACTGCAATTCCTGGGCAGGTCCTGGTGCTGGGCTGGGCTCAGAGCCAGTGGACCTGGGGTGCATATGATATAGTAAGACTCCAGCTGGGGCAGCCAAGGGACTGCTAGTGTCACTCCCCCTACACAAGCTCAGGCAGTGTAGTTCACAGCTCTGAGAGAGAGTCTTTCCTTCTGCGTGAGGAGAGGAGAGGGGAGAGTAAAGAGGACTTTGTCTTGCAATTTGGATACCAGCTCAGCCAAAGTAGAATGCGGCATAAGGCAGAGCCCTAAGGCCCCAATTTCAGTCCCCAGTTCCCAGACAAGATTTCTAAACACACCCTGGGCTGGAAGGGAACCCACTGTCTTGAGGGGTATGACCAAGTCCTGGCAGGGTTCATCACGTGCTGACTCAAGAGCCTCTGGGCTCTGAATAAGCAGTAGTGGTAGCCAGGCAGTACTCACTATGGGCCTTGGGTGAGATTCAGAAATGTGCTGGCTTCAGGTGTGACCCAGCACATTCCCAGATGTTGTGGCTATGAGGAGAGTCTCCTGCTTGAGTAAAGGAGACAAAGGCCAGGTGTGATGGCTCACACCTGTAATCCCAGCAATTTGGGAGGCCAAGGCAGGCGGATCACCAGAGAGCATCTCTGGACCCACCCAAGGCCAGAGGGAACTTGCTAGATTTGCCACCTGCTGATTGTAGAACCTCTGGGCCTTGACTGACCACAGGCAATAACCACACAATAGTCACAATGGGCCTTGGGCAAGACCCATTGCTGTGCTGCCTTCAGGTCTGACCCAGTGAAGTCCCAGGGATGGTGGCCACAATGGTGCTTGTGTCACCCCCTCCCCCAGCTCCAGGCAGCTCAGCACAGAGACAGAGACTCCATTTGTTTGGGAGAATGTAATGGAAGAGAACAAGAGTCTCTGCCTGGTAATCCAGGGAATTCTCCTGGATCTTACCGAAGAGCACCAAGGCAGTACCTCTACAAATCTGCAAGAGCCACAGCATTATGGGCTTGAAATGTCCCTAATGCAGATACAGCTGCAGTGACCAAGATCACAACACCCAAGTCCCTTCAAATAGTTAGAAAGCCTTCCCAAGGATGACAGGTACAAACAAGCCCAGACTGCAAAGACTATAACAAATACCTAACTCTTCAATGTCCAGACACCAACAAATATTCACAAGCATCAAGACCATCCAAGAAAACATGACCTCACTAAACAAACTGAAATAAAGCACCAGTGACCAATCCTGGAGAGACAGAGATAACTGACCTTTCAGAGAATTCAAAATAGCAGTTTTGAGGAAACTCAAAGAAATTCAAGATAACACAGAGAAGGAATTCAGAATCCTTTCAGATAAAGTGAACAAAGAGACTGAAATAATTATAAAGAATAAAGCAGAAATCCTGGATCCGAAAAATGCAACTGACATACTGAAGAATGCATCCAAACCTCTTTTTTATTTTATTTTTTTGAGACAGGGTTTTGCTCTGTCTCCCAGACTGGAGTGCAATGGTGCAATCCTGGCTCACTGCAACCTCTGCATCCCAGGCTCAAAGGATCCTCCTACCTCAGTGTCCCAAGTAGCTGGGACTACACGCGTGCGCCATCATGCCTGGCTAATTTTTGTATTTTTTGTAGAGACAAGGTTTCACCATGTTGCCCAGACTGGTCTCAAGTGATCTGCCCACCTCAGCCTCCCAAAGTGCTAGGATTACAGGCATGAGCCACCTCACCCAGCCTCAGAGCTTAACACAAGACCTGAACAAGCAGAAGAATTAGTCAGCTTGGAGACAGGCTATTTGAAAATACACAGCTGAGACAAAAGAAAAAAGAATGAAAAAGAATGAAGCATGCCTACAAGATCTAGAAAATAGCCCCAAAAGGGCAAATCTAAGAGTTCATTGCCTTAAAGAGGAGTAGCTAAAGAGACAGCGGTAGAAAGTTTATACAAAGCAATAACAAAGAACTACCCAAACCTAGATACCAATATTTAAGAACAAAAGATTATAGAACACCAAGCAGACTTGACCCAAATAAGACTACCTCAAGACATGTAACAAGCAAACTCCCAAAGGTCAACGGTAAAGAATGGATCCTGGCTGGGCGTGGTGGCTCATGCCTGTAATCCCAGCACTTTGGGAGGTCAAGGTGGGGGAACTGCCTGACCCTGGAGTTCAAGACCAGCCTGGACAACGTAGAGAAATGACGTCTCTGTTAAAAACAACAACAGGCCAGGCACGGTGGCTCACACCTGTAATCTCAGCACCTTGGCAGGCTGAGATGGGAGGATCACTTGAGGCCAGGAGTTGGAGACCAGCCTGTTAAACACAGCAAGGCCCCATTTCTATTAAACCACCACCACAACAACAACAAGAAGCACGAATGGATTCTAAATGCATCAACAGAAAAGAAACAAACAACATACAAAAGAGTTCCAACACATCTGGGAGTAGACTTCTCAGCGGAAACCTTACAGGCCAGGAGAGAGTAGCATGACATAAAGTGCTGAAGAAAAAAAACATTTTTCCTAGAATAGTATATCCAGTGAAAATACTTCAAACATGAAGGAGAAATAAAGACTTCCTCAAACAAAAGCTGAGGAATTTTATCAACATCAGACCTGTCCTACAATAAATGTTAAAGAGAGTTCTTCAATCTGAAAGAAAAGGATTTTAATGAGCAATAAGAAATGATTTGAAGGTCCAAAACTCACTGGGAATAGTAAACACACAGAAAAACAGAATATTATTAACAATAATTGTGGTGTGTAAACAACTCATATCCTGAGTAGAAAGACTAAAAGACGAACCTATAAAAAATATTAATTAACAACCACAACTTTTCCAGACATAGACGGTATACTATCAATAGAAACAACGAAAAGTTTAAAAAGTGGGGGGATGAAGTTAAAGTGTAGAATTTTTATTAGTTTTCTCTTTCCTTGTTATTTAGTTTGTTTAGGCAATCAGTGTTATCAGTTTAAAATAAATATATTATAGTTGCAAACCTCATGGTAACCTCAAAAGACATACAACAGATACACAAAAAATAAAAAGAAATTAAAACATACCACCAGAGAAAATCACCTTCACTAAAAGGAAGACAGGCAGGTAGGAAGACCACAAAACCACCAGAAAACAGTAACAAAATGACAGAGGTTAACTCCTTACTTATCAGTAACATTGAGTGTAAATGGGCTAAACTCTCCAATTAAAAGGCACAGAGTGGCTGAATGGGTTTTAAAAAATGGTGATACACACTTCATCTATAAAGACACAGACTGAAAATAAAGGTATGGAAAAAGATACTCCATGCAAATGGAAACCAAAAAAAAAGAGCAGAAGAAGCTACATTTATATCAGCCAAAGAAGGTCATTATATAATGATAAAGGGATCAATTCAGCAAGAGGATATAACAATTGTAAATATATATGCACCCAACACTGGAGCACCCAGATATATAAAGCAAGTATTATTAGAAACTAAAGAAAGAGGACCGGGCGCAGTGGCTCATGCCTGTAATCCCAGCACTTTGGGAGGCCAAGGCAGGTGGACCACTTGAGGGCAGGTGGACCACTTGACGTCAGGAGTTTGAGACCAGCCTGGCCAACATGGTGAAACCCCATCTCTACTAAAAATACAAAAAATTAGCTGGGCATGGTGGTGCGTTACTGTAGTCTCAGCTACTCAGGAGACTGAGGCAGGAGAATCACTTGAACCTGGGAGGTAGAGGTTGCAGTGAGCCGAGACTGCTCCGCTGCACTCCAGCCTGGGCAAAACAGCGACACTTGGTCTCAAAAAAAAAATCAAAAAAATTGAAATTATATCAAGTATCTTCTCTGACCACAATGGAATAAAATCAATAACGAGGAATTTTGGAAACTATACAAACACATGGAAATTATATTAATACAATAGGCTCTTGAATGACCACTAGATCAGTGAAGAAATTAAGAAAGAAATAAACACATTCTTGAAACAAATGAAAACGGAAACACAACATACCAAATATATGGGATACAGCGTTAAGCAGTACTAAGAAACTATATGGTAATAAGTGCCTACATCAAAAAAGAGGAAACACTTCAAATAAACAACCTAACCATACATCTTAAAAAAACAGAAAAGGAAGAGCAAACTAAACCCAAAATTAGAAGAAGTTAGCGAAATTGAAATAAAAACAATACAAAAGATCAATGAAGCAAAAAGTTGATTTTTTAAAAAGATAAACAAAGTCAACAAACCTTTAGCCACACTAAGAAAAAAAGAGATGACCCAAATAAATAAAATCAGAGATGAAAAAGGAGACATTGCAACTGATACCACAGAAATCCAAAGGATCATTAGAGGCTACCATGAACAACTATATGCCAATAAATGGGAAAGCCTAGAAGAAATGTATCAATTCCTAGACATATACAACCTACCAAGATTGATCCATGAATAAATCTAAAACCCGTACAGACCAATAACAAGTAACGAGATCAAAGCCATAATAAAAAGTCTCCCAACAAAGAAAAGCCCGAAAGCTAATGGCTTCATTGCTGAATTTTATCAAACATTTAAAGAACTAATACCAATCCTACTCAACTATTCCAAAAACCAGAGGAGGAGGGAATATTTCCAAACCAATACTACAAGGCCAGTATTACCCTGATACCAAAACCAGACAAAGACTCAGCAAAAAATTACAGGCCAATATCCCTGATGAACACTGTTGCAAAAATCCTCAACAAAATACTAGCAAACTGAATTCAACAACACATTAAAAAGATCATTCATCATCACCTAGGGTCAGGCAGGGATGCAAGGACAGTTCAACATACACCAATCAATCAATCAATCAGTCAGTCAATGAGTGTGATACATCGTTATCACCAGAATGAAGAACAAAAACCATATGACCATTTCAATTGATGCTGAAAAAGCACTGGATAAAATTCAACATCCCTTCATGGTAAAAATCCTCAAAAGGTACAGAAGAAACAGATCTCAACATAATAAAAGCTGTATACAACAGACCCACAGCTAGTATCTTACTGAACTGGGAAAAAATTGAAAGCCTTTCCTTTAAGATCTGAAACAAAACAAGGATACCCACTTTCACCACTGCTATTCTACACAGTACTGGAAGTTGTACTTCAGTACAAACTTTGAGAAAATGACAGTGGCTTCAATAAATGGTGCTGGGAAAACTGAATATCCATATGCAGAGGAATGAAACTAGACCCCATCTCTAGCCATATACAAAAATCAAATCAAAATGGATTAAAGACTTAAACCTAAGACCCAAACTATGAAACTACTAAAAGAACACATTGGTGGCCAGGTATGATGGCTCACACCTGTAATCCCAGCACTTTGGGAGGCAGATGCAGGCAGATCACCTGAGATCAGGAGTTCGAGACCAGCCTGGCCAACATGGTGAAACCCTGTCTCTACTAAAAATACAAAAATCAGCTAGGCATGGTGGCAGCTGCCTGTAATCCCAGCTACTTTTTTGATGTGCAAAACCTTTTAACTTGATAATGTGCTTGCAGGGTATTACTGAAGAAATCTTTTCCCAGAGCAATGTCCTGGAGGGTTTCCCCAGTGTTTTCTTTTCTTTTTTTTTTTGAAATGGAGCCTTGCTCTGTCGCCCAGGCTGAGGCCAGGCGAATTGCTTGAACCTGGGAGGCGGACGTTACAGCAAGCCGAGATCACGCCACTGCAGTCCAGCCTGGGTGACAGAGCAACGCTCCATTTCAAAAAGAAAAAAAGAAGAAAACATTGGGGAAACCTTCCAGGAAATTGGTCTGGTCTGGGAAAAGATTTCTTCAGTAATACCCTACAAGCACAGGCAACCAAAGCAAAAATAAACGAATGGGATCATATCAAGTTAAAAAGCTTTTGCACATCAGAAAAGTGAAGACGCAACCCACAGACTGGGAGAAGACATTTGCAAACTACTAGTCTGATAAGGGATTAGTAACCAGACTATATAAGGAGTTCAAACAACTCTACAGGGAAAAGAAAAAAAAATCAAATGATCTGATCAAAAAACGGGCAAAAGATCTGAACAGACATTTCTCAAAAGGAGACAAACAAATGGGATACAGGATATGAAAACATCACTGATCATCAGAGAAATGCAAATCAAAACTACAGAAAGATATCATCTTTCTCCATTTAAAATTGTTTTTATCCAAAAGACAGGCAATAACAAATGTTGGCAAGGATGTAGAGAAAAGGGAATCTTCGTACACTGTTGGCAGAAAGGTAAATTAGTACAACCACTATGGAGAACAGTTTGGGGGTTCCTCAAAAGACTAAAAATAAAACGACCATATGATCCAGCAATGCTGCTGCTAGGTATATACCCAAAAGAAAAAAATCAGTATATAGAAGATACATCTGCACTTTCATGTTTACTGCAGCACTAGTCACTACAGCTACAATTTGGAAGCAACCTGTGTCTATCAATATACGAATGGATAAAGAAATGTGGTACATATACACGATGAAGTACTACTCATCCATATAAAAGAATGAGATCCTGTCATTTCCAACAACATGGTGGAACTGGAGGACTTTATGTTAAGTGAAATAAGCCAGACACAGAAAAAACAAACTTCACATGTTCTCACTTATTTGTGGGAGCTAAAAATTTAAACAACTGAACTCATGCGATAGAGAGTACTAGAAAGATGGTTACTAGAGTCTAGGAAAGGTAGTCAGAGGGTGGAGGGGAGGCAGAGATGGTTAATGGGTACAAAAATATAGTTAGAATAAGATCTAGTATTTGATAGCATAACAATGTAGTTACAGTCAATAATAACTTACTATACATTTTAAAATAACAAAGAGTATAATTGGATTGTCTGTAACATAAGGAAGGGATACAGGCTTGAGGTGATGGACACCCTATTTACTCTAATATGATTATTAGACATTGTATGCCTGTATCAAAAATATCTCATGTACCCCATAAGTATATATACTACGTACCCACAAAAATTAAAAATTAAAAGTAAAAATAAATTTTAAAAAATTCATTCATAACTAAACAAAGATAATATGAGAGTAACTATCAAGTATCCAATAAGTGAACAAAATACACTCTTAGTTAAAACTACTACAAATAATACAACCTTCCACAGCGGTCTTGTTCTGGCAGGCAAGCTATAAAGACTAGAGAAGAACAGAGGGAAAAAAAAAAAACCTAAGAGTACTTTACTTGAACCAATATAAATACTTTCAGCTGTTCTTATCAAGTCCTCAGAACTCTGAGGGAGTGTTTTTGTGAGAACTTAGGATGTAAAATTATGCTTTCCATTCCTATTATCATTCACTAATGACAGAGTAGTATTAGAGTATGATGAATGGCTTGTTCTCTCCATATCTGAGATGGAGAAAAAGTAAGATAATTCTGTAAATAAATTAAATCACTGTCTAGGAGACAGAAATCTGCTATAATCTTTTAAATATCCTTAAATACAGATACATCTAATTCAAGGCAGAAAGATAAATCACAAATCTTACTCTTTTTTGTTTTAAAATAAAGACAAGAAATTTCTTATACATACAGATGAGTTTTAAGTCAACTACATTTCTATCTTAGACAAAACTGTTTAAGAGCTCACCTACCTTAAAATATTCTACAAGATCTCTACAAGTGACTTTAGATCCACTTATCTCTTTTTCTACCAAATTTTCAGGGGCAAGCAGCAATGGAACCAGATTTCGAAGCTCTCGTTTAAAGTCTTCATCAATATCTAGAAAACAAAAAATTGAGCAACATATTAGTCCAAAAAAAATTAGGTCCCCACTGGTACGATTTCATAAAATTCTGTTTTATGAAATAAGAATACATAGTATCTATTACTGAAGTGGATTCATTTTTTAAAAAAAAGCTCATCCAACATGCCATATCTCATAGGAAAAAATATAATCCCCCTTACTCTACTAGCCCATTTTCCCCAACCCCCTAGTAACACTGCCAGTTCAAATAACAAATAAAACATCAATAAATTTGTGGACTACCAAGACAAATTTCACATTTAGTATTAACGAAAATGTCCTTTTCAAGAGGCAAACAATTCATAAAATTGTATTAAATTTTACTACTAGATTATGTTTTACCAGCCATACTGTAAAAGTTTTGTCAATCCCCAAATGTTTTGCCAACACACTCAAAATAATCCTACAACATACATAAACTGTACTATCACTCCTGAAACAGACACTTATATCTGATTTCATCAATATAATAAAATGATAAAGCCTTTTAGCAGACTGCAATCAATTGAAAAGAAATGCTCTCAGCCTTCAGAATTTTCAGGACATCACTGCTGAGCAACAGACATTATAAAATAGGTTAATCAATATGCTAGACAGCTGCAAACAAATCAATGGAATGCTAGAGAAACAACACAGAGCATTACAACCACAACATGAACAATGCATCCAAACATTCTCCAGTATAAGACAGGACATTTAAGGCGTCATGTATTTTCTTAAAAAACTTTCCACCTCTAATAAATAAGTTCAGATTTTAGCAAGAATGGGAATTCCCACCTTTCAATCTCCCATCAAAACTAGGATTAGTTGCAACTTTAAGACCAGGATGTGGCAAAAGGAAGCAACCAAGATTTGAGAAACAATTGTGTATGTGCTTCCTTACATTCTGAAGCTCTTCATGTTGATTTTGTTTTACCTGAGGGCGGAGAGAGACAGGTGAAATTGTAAACAGAAGAAAGAAAATTTTTTTAAAGAAAATGCACACAGACTCGCATGCACACTATGCACACTTAACTCAGATGGTACTCCTAAGGAGTCTTTTTTGACAATACAAAAAATTATGAAGGCCCATTTCTGACCACTTTGTTAAGACCCCACTTTTTTTTTTTTTTTTTTTTTTTTAAAGACAGAGTTTCGCTCTTGTTGCCCAGGCTGGAGTGCAATGGTGCAATCTCGGCTCACCGCAACCTCCGCCTCCCAGGTTCAAGTGATTCTCCTGCCTCAGCCTCCCGAGTAGCTGGGATTACAGGCGTGCACCACCATGCCCGGCTAATTTTGTATTTTTAGTAGAGACAGGGTTGGTCAGGCTGATCTTGAACTTCCAACCTCAGGTAATCCACCCGCCTCGGCCTCCCAAAGTGCTGGGATTACAGGCATGAGCCACCGCACCCAGCCAACCCCACATTTTCTTAAACCACAAAAGATGTTTTTCCCAAGTAAGCTGCCTGGAACAGCAAAAACTACAAATAAGGTAGTTAATCACAGTATCTAATAACCAAATAACAAATTATGGCTGTGACTTATACACCAGTAAATAAATTAAGAATTTACCTTTAAAGTACTTACAACAGCAACAAAACAGAACAAAACAAAAAAAAAAGTATAAATTTGCCTACAAATAAAAAGTTTAGCCCCTGAACAAAGTAAAAGCTAAGATAAAAAAAATTACAGTGCAGTACAAAGACCTTAGAAATGTGTTAGAATTTCAGGTCCCTCTCTACATGATTATTTATGATTTATGCTAGTTACCAGAATTTTGAGAAGGGAAACTGCCATGTATTAGGGGGAAAAAAATCTTAAACTTAGAAACATTTTAGATAATTACTCATTTATCCCAATATAACTCACACAGTCTCCTAAACACTCTTCTGGAAAACAATTTTAACAAAATATGCGCTATTTATAATTAAAACCTGGAAACTACCTAAATCTCCCATCAACAGCAGAATGGAAAAACTGTTGTCTATTCATTCAATAGATACTATACAGCAATGAGAATAAATAAATTAAACTATATGCAACATGGATTAACCTCAGAAACATAATATTGGGTAAAAAAAGCTAGACTCAAATACATTCTGTATGTGATTCCATCCACATAAAGTACAAAAACAAAGCCTGTGAGAAGTCAGGATACTGGTAGAGGGTTTTGGGGGAAGGTTGCTGTATGGAGGTGAGTGCTTCTAGGTGCTGGCTAAATGGCTATGTTCATTTTTTATAAATTCATCAAGCTACACACTTATGATTTGAGCAATTTTCTGAATATATGTATAACATTTCAATAAAAAGTTTAAAAACTTTCTTGTCTTTGAGTTACATAATTCTGAGTTTAGTTAGTATGTCTATTGTGCTTTGTGTTAATTTCTTCTGAACAAACCAGAAACAGAAAATGCTGATGACTGAAATTATTTCCAAAAGTGGGGTCTGGAAATGCCTTTCAAATAATCTAAGAATGTTGAATTGGTTTTAATCTCATTTTAAAACTAAAAGAAAATTATATCATACCCCAAGTCTTTAATGCAGTTGAGAAACCAAATGCATCATTCCCATAGACAAATAAAATCTTATCAATGAAAGACAGCACCCTCCTAATGAATAAAGGGGTCTTTATGTATCCTTTGTGTGTGTGAGTAGATGGGTAGCCTGTAAGTATCTGACCTGCAGGTTTCCCAAATTGATATGGTTTGGCTCTATGTCCCCACCCAAATCTCATCTCAAATTGTAATGCCCATGTGTCGGGGGAGGGGCCTGGTTGGAGGTGATTCATGGGAGCAGAAATCCCCCTTGCTGTTCTTTTAACAGTGAGTGAGTTATCACGAGATCTGGTTGTTAAAAAGTATGTGGCACTTCCCCCTTCACTCTCTCTCTCCTGCCATCTTGTGAAGAAGGTGCTTGCTGGCTGGGTGCGGTGGCTCACGCCTGTAATCCCAGCACTTTGGGAGGCCGAGGTAGGCCGATCACAAGGTCAGGAGTTCAAGACCAGCCTGGCCAACATGGTGAAACCCCGTCTCTGCTAAAAAATACAAAAAATATGCCAGGCGTGGTGGCGGGCGCCTGTAATCCCAGCTACGGGAGGCTGAGGCAGGAGAATCGCTTGAACCCGGGAAGCGGAGGTTGCAGTGAGCCAAGATCGTGCCATTGCACTCCAGCCCAGGCAATAGTGTGAGACTGTCTTAAAAAAAAAAAAAAAAAAAGAAGGTGCTTGCTTTTCCCTTCACCATCCGCCATGATTGTAAGTTTCCTGAGGCCTCCCAGTCATGCTTCCTGTTAAGCCTGTGGAACTGTGAGTCAATTAAACCTCTTTTCTTCATAAATTACCCAGTCTCAAGTAGTTCTTTATGCTGTGTGAGAACAGACTAATACACAAGTACTTCCATGGGGGGCTACCTTTAGGAATAAAGGATCATGATCCTTAATTTTGATTCAAGGACACTGTCTTCTTTGGTAGGAATGCAACCACTTTACTTTTCATCAATTACAAACAGAGTCACTTGGGCTAACCTGGAATACTTTATTCCAACGACACGTAAATACTGGTAATGTGACCAGCAGTCCGGACAGCCCACCCGTTTGCCTAGCTTGGTGCTTATGTTCTCCTCTTTAAGCATTAGGGTCTTACCTGTAATCTCTTTTCAAGAAATTGCTTTCCACCTTCCAAACCATATGAATGTTCATAAGGATAGCTCCAATCTCGAATCAAAAACATTAATGTCTATACACAGAAAAAATAAAAATTGTTTATTTTACAATAAAGAAAATTTACGAAAAAATCACAACTCTTAACAATTGAAGCCTCTCTTACTCTCCTAAACAATCCTTATCAAAAGTTATAGTAACTAAATGGTCAGTACTGGTCATGGTTATATCAAGGACCCACTTAAACAACATTCTCAGGCCCTATACCAAGCAATCGCTGCCACTGAAGAACTTCACTAAATATAAAGAAAGAGTCACCACAAGCAGTAATACAGGACTTTAAAAATGAAAAATGGGTGTATCAGGACACACGGATCATAATTTTAAATCATGGTTGTGTAACTACAAGACCAACTAATTCTAGATGGCTATCTAGACTGATTATAGATCTGGGGTCAATAAGGACATTTTCACTCACAGAGGATGTTTTTACTCATATAGGGTTAGATTTCTCAAATGCTGACATTTTGGGTCAGCACTGCTGACATTTTGGGTCAGTTAATTCTTAGTTGTGTGTGGCTGTCCTGTGTATTGTAGAACGTTGAACCATATTTCTGGCCTCTATATGCTAGATACCAAGAGGCACTAAGCTCTCCCACAAAACTGTGACAACCAAAAATGTCTCCAGACATTAGCAAATGTCCCCTTGGGTGGCAAAATGATCCCAGTTCAGAAAAAACTGATATAGGCCAAATAGGGTATATTTCACCTATATATCCAAAAACGAAGGCATCATCTGCTCAACTACTTAATAAAAGTGACCATACTAGCCAGACAAGAGTGAGGCAGAATCAATGTAAACCCATTAAGATTAACAATCAGTAGCAATGCTGTCATACCGGAAAGGCTTCACACACTTAGGAGCAAACATGGTAGAGTCATGCTCTCCTACTGTAACTGCAGCTCACCAAACAGTATTAATGGCAACTTACAAATTACACTTGCTTCAAAAAATAAACTATCTGGAACTTTTCTATATGAAACCAAAATAAAGAGTAACAGAACTAATTTCAACTTGTAGTAAACCACAAAAAAGAAACCTGTAACATTCTGTAGTTACCACGTATAAAAAAAAAATGGCATGACTGTCATATATTTCCTATTGTCTTAAGTTTAGAATAACATCTGTTAAGAGAAACATTACTCCCCTTAATCTAAGTGAAAGCATTAAGAATTAGCCTAGATTCATTTATTCTATTTATCCTGTTCGCCTACTGATAAGTATGCTGATGATACTACCAAAGGTTAGTTTCGATTGCACTGAATCTGTTGCTAGCAATGAGTCTATTGTAATATCCTGGTGTCTCCAAAATTACAAACTGAGGTGGCTTCACAACTTCTCATAGGCTAATCTTTAAAATGTTAGAATAACTTTTTTACCTGAAATGGTTTCTGGTAGATTTCTTCCATCGCAAGTCTTCCATACTCTGTAAATAACTATTAAATAGAGTTAGTTAAAATAATGCCTCTAAAGAGATTGAAAGAAGACATGTGTAAACCTGTTCCACACCAAAGCTCCAGGTACCAGAACCTTTAAAATCATTTCAAAGCCAAACATTTAATTTTCTAACACACTAGGTATGTACAAAATTTCTTCCAGTTAAGAAGTCATACACCAGTTTAAACCCATATAACATTCAATCGTGTTACCAGTATTATAGGCTTCCAAGTGTAAATTCATAATAAAGTGAGAATTAAATTTCAATAGTTGGCACATTTTCTTTAAGAAATATGTGCTCGCAGACGGGCGCAGCGGCTCACGCCGGGTAATCCCAGCACTTTGGGAGGCCGAGGCGGGCGGATCACCCAAGGTTAGAAGTTCAAGACCAGCCTGACCAACATGGTGAAACTTCATCTCCACTAAAAATACAAAATTAGCCAGGCATGGTGGCACATGCCTGTAATGCCAGCTACTTGGGAGGCTGAGGCAGGAGAATCCCTTGAACTTGGGAGGGGGAGGTTGCAGTGAACCAAGATTGTGCCACCGTACTCTAGTCTGGGGAACAAGAGCGAAACTCCATCTCAAAAAATAAAAATTAAAAAAAGAAATACGTACTTGCAAATGTTGAAGATCATCTTCTTGAATATTCTGAGACAGATTATATACCTGTTGAAACAAAATTTATTTTGTTTTTTATTAGTGTTTTGTTCTGAATACCCAGCTTCTGTATAACTTTACTTGTGGAAAAAAGGTTATTTTGTATCTCAGCGCAAAGGAATCATTTAACTACTATCTTGACAACTGACATGTGAAAAGGATTTTCTCTTTTTTCCTAACAATAGTCAAGATAGAATATTAAGGAAGAAGCAGTGGTGGTAAAATATGCAAAAAGCATGAATATATGTATACTCATGGCCTAAAAGTGGTAGAAGAACAAGTGTGGTATCTAGTAGGTTTCTTGTACTCCTTCTCTAAGCTCTTTAATGTTAAGATACGATCATTTTTTAAAGAGTGTAGGTTATTTCCACCATCATTTTTCTAAATTAGTGAATATAAGGGGCAACAGTTTACAAAGATAAATTCTTCCCTGGTACAATCAGAGTATACAGTTACTCAGGGGTACCTCCACTACTACTGACTCTAGTGTGGTTCTCTTTTTACTCACACTCCTCAGTTTACTTACTCATCAGTTTTCACTTACACTCAACATGACAATTTTACTGGCCTGTGGAAGCTAATAAAAGTAACAGTAGGTGGCACTCTTGCCCTTTCCAGAATTTTTTGGAGGAGACTAGAGTTGATAAAGGAGGGTCTAAGTATCCTCAGGAAACGGGGATTTTCATCCATTAATTCTAAGACAGATCTTTAGACAGTAATCTACACTGCCACAGGAGAAAAGTGGCCATCAACAAATATCACCTCTGCTAAGAAATAACTTACATCTTAGGAACCAGGGTGACTCCGAAGAGAGAACAATCTGTTCTAGGAGCAAATAAGTGATACTCTGGCTAAACCACTTGGAGGTCAAGAATATAGTCAATTTAGGCCAGCAAACCTAAAATGATATTCTTAGCTACTAATTCCAAACAAGGATTTAAAAAGTAATTGATGACTGAGGTGATTAAACTTTAGATTTTAACATAAACCCTGACACCATGACCAACCTATGTGGGCCTCTGCTTTTAGAAAATAGGTCTGGATCCTTTCATTGTCAGGGCCAGGTTGCAAACAGCAAACAGAGAAAGAGATTTATTTAACTTAGATCATTAGTACTTAGCATACTGTCTTGTATGTAACAGGTGCTCAGTATGTATTTGTTGAAGGAATAAATGACAAGAAGATCAAATTATCATTTATCTATCAGCCAGATATCTTACATAAGGAAAGAAAACTACCCCCCCCACCCAAAGGCAAGGAAGAAAATAATCATAATCTTAATCTTCTTGGTTATTTATACTTTACAAAGCACTTTCATATGCATTATCTCATTTAGCTCTCATTTCTGACTGCACACAACAACCACATCCAAGATAGGCAAGATGAGTAAAACTCATTTTACAGACAACAAAGTGGCTGCACAGCTTTAAGTGGCTGTCTAAAACCAGGTCTCTTACTATCAAAAAGTTGAATAAATAAACAAAAAAAGACTAAGGGATAAGTTTTAGGACAGAGAACTCGAGAACTCCCTCTAGAGCCAGCTAACCTGAGGGGCTTCTGCTTGCTTCAAGGGAATCACAGCTGTGCCATCTTGCAAGATCAGAGAAAAAAAGAGACTTAGAGGGTCCCCACCAGCGTCACTTAGTGGGTAATGACAAATATCCCAACCCTATAATAAACTGAAGCCAAGCTGAAGAGTATTCTTCTTTTAGCTCAGGTTAACAGCCAACCTTCTTTCCACTCTGATGGCTAGGTACTTCAAACTGAGGAAGGAGGAAAATGGGAGCTTAGAGAGACGAGTCATATGTTCCAGACATTACTGGAAAGCATAAAAAAATCCAAGACACTGTGACAGCATCACCTATGATCTACCATTGATAAGAACAATTTCTTATCTTGGGAGGATCACATACCCATTTTAAAAAAATATTTGCAAATATACTTCTTGATACACCATCACCAGCTGGGCCTAACCGCCATACTTCAATAATTCATTTTTCAGAGATGTATCAGCCACAGATGATCTCAGAAAAGAAAAAGTAAAGAAACACCAAATGACATGTGGTAGTTTAATTCAGTCCAATCCATCTAAATTATACAGAAAAGAAATGGCCTAGCCTGAAGAAACTAGAACCGGATAGAACACCAAACACAATTTGAATATAAGTGAAAAAGAGAAGGGATTTTATCCCTTCCTAAATGAAGGTGCTAAAAATCCTCAGTTTATTATTACATAAGCCTTGTCTGGGTTTCCTAAATTAAACATTAAGTAATTACTCTGCTTTTATCTCCTTTAGTTCAAATAACTGAGTACCACTTGTCATAGATACAGAATAAAAAACTAGACTTCTAAGCTTAATTACCTGGGTTTTTTGTTTGTTTTAGCCAAAAAAACAAAAATATACTCTCCATATTACTGTGTCTGGTAGCCATCTATCTGATTTCAATTACAGATAACATGTGATATCTTTTCCTTTAAAAAAAAAAGTATGTATTCCATAATGAAAAACTAAAGAGACTGGTTGTTGGTTTATTGCATCCTTTGTAACTATCCAAAGTACAAAATTTCACATCATAAGCCAGAAAACCATGCATGGAAATGTAAATAACCAATAAGAAATGTAAATAGCTCTCAAGAAATGTAAATAGCTTCCTTTTTTTTCCCTTCAATCAAAAGGCATTTTGCCAGCACAAGGTGGCATATGCTGACAGTCCCAGCTACTCAGGAGGCTGAGGCAGGAGGATCACTTCAGCCCAAAAGCTAGAGTGTGCATGATCACACCCATGAATAGCCACTGCACTCCAACCTGGGCAACATAGTGAGAATCCATCTCAAAAAAAATTAAAAAGGCATTTTCAAGAGGGGCAAATGCCAGGCTCAGTGGCTCACGCCTGTAATCCCAGCACTTGGGGAGGCCGAGGTGGGCGGGTCACCTGAGGTCAGGAGTTCGAGACCAGCCTGCCCAACGTGGTGAAACCCGTCTCTACTAAAAATACAAAAAAATTAGCTGGGCATGGTGGCGGGGGCCTGTAATCTCAGCTACTCGGGTTAGGAGAATGAACCCAGGAGGCAGAGGTTGCAGTGAGCCGAGATCACGCCACTGTACTCCAGCCTGGGCAACAAGAGTGAAACTCTGTCTCAAAAAAGAAAAAAAAAAGGGGCCAAATGATTACGTGAACTGATCGCACCACTTAATCTTGTGTCTCACCTGGACAGAGCTAGTCATAGTGCTCAGAGCAAACACCGTTGCACAGTCTTTGATAGTTGACTGGCTATCAAAGGCACCCTGGGTATCCATAAGCAGCACAGCAACCTAGGAATTTGAGAGTTTAAAATATTTAGTAAAACAGTTGCCAAAAATGACTATAAAAAAAATCAAATGATAAATTTGAAAAGCAGTAATTAAATCAAGAAAAGTACTTATATCTCATACATTTGACATAATAATCCGTATGTTAAAGTTATCAAACATTAATAGTTCTGTGTTGTTTTGATTTTTAATACTGGAAAATAGCCCAAGAAAGAATACAGGGTAGAAAAGTATAAACAGAATTTTACTTTAGTTCCATTAGGTCTGTCAATCACAAATACTTCATTCCAAACTTGTATGCCTGTTGTTTCTCTTTCACAGCCACCTCGCCATGTAAAGCCTGTCAATGGTTCATTGTTTCCACCAATCCAACTTTGAGAATCCTGTTAAAGTCAAGGATAAATGTAAAATACAACACAATTAAGAAATAAAAGAAACCAAAAAATCACCCATTCTTTATTTTACAGATGGGGAAGCTAAACCCGGAAAGACAAAAAAAACACTGTGTAACAAACAAGTAGTTACAAAGCAGTCCTTAAATCCCATGTGGGGTTCTTTTTCTTATAGAGACGTGGTCTCCTCCAAACTCGAATCTTCTCAAATCAGCTCACACTACTACTCTCTAGGCTTCTAAATAAGTGGGGTTATACTCACTTTCCCCCTTTTCTGAAAGATATCCTGGCTGGGCATGACAGCTCATGCCTGTAATCCCAGCACTTTGGGAGGCTGAAGTGGGCATATCACTTGAGGCCAGGAATTTGAGACCAGCCTGGCCAACGTGGCAAAACGCCATCTTTACAAAAAGTACAAAAATTAGCCAGGCGTGGCGGCACACTCCTGTAGTCCCGGCTACTCAGCAGGCTGAGGTAGGAGGATCACCTGAACCTGGGAGGTTGAGGCTACAGTGAGCTGAGATTGTGCCACTATACTCCAGCCTGGGTGACAGAGTGAGATCCTGCCTCAAAAACAAAAAAAAAAAAGAGAGAGAGAGAGAGAGACAGAGAAATATTTCCTAAAATGTTAAAAATCATAAAAAACTCGGCACCAATTATTTTAACATGTTGTTACACAGATAAGCAAAACTAAGTTCCAGGTAGAATGACTGTCAAAACAGCACTGCTTTCTCAGAATAGCTTACAGTAAGTTTTCATACTGCCTTCATTTCCTCTTTAAAAAATAATCAATTTTAGGCTGGGTGCAGTGGCTCATGCCTGTAACCCTAGCACTTTGGGAGGACGAGGCAGGTGGCTCACCTGAGGTCAGGAGTTCGAGACCAGCCTGGCCAACATGGCGAAACTCCATCTCTACTAAAAATACAAAAATTAGCCAGGTGTTGTGGCATATGCCTATAATCCCAGCTACTCAGGAGGCTCAGGCAAGAGAATCACTTGAACCCGTGGGCAGAGGTTGCAGTGAGCAGAGATCGCGCCACTGCACTCCAGCCTGGCCAAAAGAGCGAAACTGCGTCTCAAAAACAAAAACAAAAAAAATCAATTTAAAAAATAACCCCAAGACTTGTTTGGAGCCTGATTTAAACAAACCATCTATTTAAAACGTCTTTTTTAAACCAACAGGAAAATATGAACCCAAACTGGTTATCTCATTAGATGGTGTTAAATTAGGGTAAGGAAGATTGTTTGGTGTGCTAATGATACTGTGGTTAGGAAAAAAAAGAGTCCTTATCTATTAGATACTCAAGTATCTGCAGTGAAAGGATATGCCTGGCATTTGCTTTAAAATATTCCGGGAGGTAAGGAAAAAAGAGAACAGATAAAACAAGACCAGCAAAATGTTGACAAATACATTGGAGTTCATTATACAATTCTCTTTATTTTAGGGTATGTTTAAAATTTTCCATAATAAAAGTTTTTAACTAGAACCACAGGGCTAAATTGTTATTATGAAATAATACAAAAGTTAACATATAAGGTAATTTTTCTAGAAAATTAAATGTGGGACATAATAAATGAATACCTTTGACAGACGTCAAGATCCCTAAAGTTTAGTATACTTAAAGCCCACATAGCCTTTACTCAATGTACCCCACAGGAAAAACGCCTTTGTTTCAGAAATACTTCTAATAAGCTTGGATATCTAGTCTAAAACAAATTACAAAGCGTGAATTAGGAGTGGAGAGATGGTTAAGACAGGACCAATGAGGGATGAAGCAATTTATGAAAAGCAGACACACAGTGGCAAAAACAAAAACAAAAACAAAACAGTGTCAGCCAGGCACAGTGGCTCACGCCTGTAATCCCAGCACTTTGAGAGGCTGAGGCAGGTGGATCACTTGAGGCTAGGAGTTCAAGACCAGCCTGGCCTTGGTGAAACCCCCTCTCTACCAAAATGACAAAAAAAAAAAAAAAAAATTAGCCAGGCGTGGCGGCACATGCCTGTAATCCCAGCTACTTGGGAGGCTGAGGGAGGAGAATCGCTTGAACCCGGGTTTCAGGTGGGTTGTGGGAGGTGGAGGTTGCAGTGAGCTGAGATCGCACCACTGCGCTCCAGCCTGGGCAACAGAGAGAGACTGTCTCAAACAAAACAAAACAAAACAAAAAGACAGTATCATTCAGACCATCACCTAACATAGCCTTAAACTTCAAACCATCTTTAATTATTATTATTATTCCACAAAACTCCCATCCCCAGTAGGCCACCAATCCTATCAATTACAAACTTCTCTTGGATTCATTTCTTTTTCTTCAGTTTTCAATACCTACAACTTAAAGACCTCATCTATGCTGGTCAGAAGGGGCTGCCACCTGAGACAATTCCATTCACAGTATATATGATGGACTTGTGTTTCAGGAGGCACCCTTCACAGGAATCAGAAGATTATTTTGACACTCCCCGGACAAGTAAAACTGGTGATCCTGCCCCTTGACTACATATTTGGATACTTCATATTGGTCTCTATGCAACTCCTGCTCTATCCTCTAACCCATTTTTCCATAGTCACTGAATGTTCACAAGAAATGTAATCGTGCCACTGTCCTGCTGAAAAGTCATCTGTGGCTCCGCACTACCAATAAGACCATCTGGAGATCTGCTGCATAACAATCCTTTTTTCTCTTTTTCTTTTTTTTCTTTTTTTGAGACAGGGTCTCACTCTGTCACCCAGGCTGGAGAGCAGTGGCACAATCAGAACTCAATGAAGCCTCATCCTCCCGGACTCAAAGGATCCTCCTACCTCAGCCTCCTAAGTAGCTGGGACTGCAGGTGCACACCACCACACCTGGCTGATTTTGGTATTTTTTGTAGAGAGGGGGTTTCGCCACGTTGCCCAGGCTGATAACAATCCATCTTTAATTTACTCTTCTTGTCTGTGCTCCTGATACTCCCCATAGATCTCAACACACATCTTCCTGATTCTACCATACCAAAAAAAGTTACCATTTATAAGGAGTTACCTTTATATGGTTTTGCAGTTTTTTTGTGAGTCTCTTGAGAGCAAAGGCTACAAACAATCATCTTTGTTCACCAAACTGCTCCTATCAAAGTGCCTTGCACTGTTGTAAGTTCTGACATGGAGAATCTCATTCCCCCACAATGTCAAAAAAAAAAAAATCTGGTACTTAATGAATTTATTATTTGTAAAAGTTACAGGCTACACAAATAATTCCTCTAAGAGAACTCTGGTTTTACTCTACATTTTACTTATTTCTATCTCCTCTACAAGAAGGTAAGTTTCACAAAAGTTTTGTTTGTTTCATTCTTACAAGTATTCCCATCACAGAGAAGTGTGCCTGGCTTGTAGTTGGTACTCTAAGTATTTCTTAAACAAACAAAAAAGTTTACTTATAAGCTTCAATGTACTCCCTTTTGAGCATGGGTAATAAATCCAGAAGAAATATGATCTTTGTTATTATTCCTAGAAACAATACAATCATAAAAAGACAGTAAAAATAAATTTTTATAAGTATAGATGACTGAAATCATAGGCTTATATGTTTGCCAGCCCCCTCTTCCAAAGAAACTTTAAAAAGAATTGGTGTCTCATAAAAATCTACTATGTATCATCTCTTCCTAGGTTACCTTGTAATGGAAATGTTTAAAAAAAAATACTAAACTGATTAGTCAGCAAAAGGATGAAAGAAGCTGAGTGTGGTGGCTACACCTGTAATCCCAGCACTTTGGGAGGCCAAGGCAGGAGGATCACTTGAGCCCAAAAGTTCAAGGCTGCAGTGAGCTATGATGATGCCACCACACTCCAGCCTGGATGACAGAGTGAGAGACCCTGCCTCTATTTAACAACAACAACAAAGATGAAAAAATAAATCAGAGAACTAATCAGATTCTTTAAAACGTGTAAAAGTGTATAATTTCTCTAACATAGTGAACACTGACAGCTTTCATAAAATACAGTCATTCATTCATTAAATATTTGTGGAACCTCTACCATGTGCCAGCCATTTTTCTAGGGATACAGCAGTGAACAAGAATAAACATTCCTGCCCACAAAGAGAATTTTAGTGGGAGCTAAAGGCAGCCTTGCTGATAACAGACCCTATTTGCTGTGATAATTTACTAAAAGCAAACCTAAAAACTCAAAAACACTAATCTGATACTATTTACTACTATGGAGACAAAAGCCTCAAAACTCAGAAATGCAAAAGTAATCCTATTCCACCAGACATATAAAGTAAATAGGAAAAAAAGAAGTATTTATAGAATAAAACTCAACTGCAAAAGGCAATCTGAAATCACCAGAAGTTTTTTTTTTTTTTTTTTTTTTTTTTGAGATGGGGTCTCACTTGCTATGTTGCCCAGGCCGGTCTTGAACTCTTGAGCTCAAGCAATCCTCCCACCTCAGCACCTCAGCCTCTCAAAGTGCTGGGATTACAAGCATGAGCCACCATGCCCAGCCTGAAGTTTAAGTATAATCAAATAGTGAATAAATACAGCCCTTGCCAAAAAGACGTTCTACATAATATAATTATCAGCAATTAAGAAACCTTACCTATTCTAAACAGTAAGAAACAAATTCATATTTTACCAAAGGAAAGGTATACTCCCTAGCAACAAAGTGAAACAACTATGTAACCATTTATTTAGTTAGTTAGACAGAGAGAAAGAAAACGAGACAGACAGACACAGACAGGGTCTTGCTCTATCACCCAAGCTGGAGAGCAATGGCACGATCATAGCTCACTGTCCTCGACATCCTGGGCTCAAGTGATCAAAGGGTTGGTTGTCCTGCCAGGCCTACATGTATCAGAGCACACCCGCTCCTGACTGCTGGCAAGCTGACTCCCTTTCACAATGGATAGGCTGGAAGAATAAAGGTTCATACAAAAGCCATAAATCATCACAACTGGGAGTAAAAGGAATAAAAAGAATGAAATTAAGATCCAAGTGGGCCGGTAAGGTGGCTCACGCCTGTAATCCCAGCACTTTGGGAAGCCGAGGCGGGCGGATCACCTGAGGCTGGGAGTTTGAGACCAGCCTGACCAACATGGAGATACCCAGTCTCTACTAAAAATACAAAAAAATTAGCCAAGCATGGTGGTGCATGCCTGTAATCTCAGCTACTCGGGAGGCTGAGGCAGGAAAATCGCTTGAACCCGGGAGGCGGAGGATGCGATGAGCCAAGATCGCGCCATTGCACTCCAGCCTGGGCAACAAAAGCGAAACTCAGTCTCAAAAAAAACAATCCAAGTAGTGCTACAATAATAAGCGAGATCCTCCCTAGTTGCATGACATTCCCCACACCACCACAAATGAAAATCTTCATGTGTATAAAACTAGTACCTAATCAGGAGACAGGTTATGAACACTCAGCACCCAAAGTGATGGACACAATAAATACTGTACACATTCTAACCACCAATTGTATTTACTGTTTTCATTTGAATATGTGAGAATACTCTGCAAGTCCTGGAACAAATTATAAAACATTTAACTTTAAAACAGTTTAAAACTGTCTAACATCTTATCCAACCCCATTCCCACCCCATGCCCAACTCTTCCCATCTGGGGCTGGACAAATCAATGAAATTATGACTGACCCAAGTCATGAGCCCAGAAAAAGGACAACTCTAACTACTTAGGTACATGCTGAAGAGGAATTTAACATATTTTGATAAAAGGTTCTGCTCAAAAGGTGTCTTTGACCTTGAAGACACTATGCTAAATGAAATAGGCCACACACAAAAGGACAAATATTCTATGATTCTACTCATATGAGGTGCTTAGTCAAATTCATAGGGACAGAAAGTAGAATGGTGGATGCCAGGGGATTGGGGAGAGAAATGGGGAGTTAGTGTTTAATGGGCACAGAGCTTCAGCTGGGGAAGATGAAGCAGTTCTGGAGATGGATAGTGGCAATGGCTACACAACAATGTGAACAGACTTAGTGCCACTGAAGTGTACACTTACAAATGGTTAAAGAGGTAAATTTTATGTTATGTATATCTTACCACAATTTTAAAAAAAGTTGCCCTTGAGGGCTAACAAAACGGAAGGGGCAGACACGTCTTGTAATTAAACTGAGATTTGACTTTAGAGTCTTCCATTGGACTTCCAGTGTCAGCTTTCTCATGTAAAAAGTTTAGAAGTCATCAGACCTATCTTTACAACAAGAGAAAAGCTTAGCAAACTGAAAAATCAATAAACTCTCCTTTCTTAGATCAAAGAATTGAGATCACAGGTCAAACCATCCCTGCAAAATCACAAGAGACAAACTAACACAAAGGATCAGGAGTTGAGGTCAGCTTACCAGCAACTGCTGCAGCAACTGGTAGGAACACTTAAATGGCAATTTCAATGAATTGTCAGAAGCTGAGAGTGAACTAGTTTAAGCACTAAAAACCCTAGAGGCTCAGTCTAAGAAAACACCCCACTTTCCTGAATATTATCTCAAAGAACTCCACAAAATTCTCAAAGTAATTACGGAAGAAAGTTTCCCTCATGACTGACAAGGGGAGGGGAAGTAACACTTTTTAAGTTCACCCTGGGAAAGTAACCACTATCTACACACACACCAGTACATACACACACACACACACACACACACACACACCAGTACACACACACACACACACACACACACACACACACCAGTACACACACACACACACACACACACACACACACACACACACACACACACACACACACACACACCAGTCCCCACAACAAAAGCCTGCCCTCCTGAGAAAACTACTTTACCAGAGCTTTATCTGACCCTAGGGAGGAGCAATTAAATTAGCCAACTCCAGCCCCATCTAGGCTTCCTGTCTAGTTTAAGGTTTTGTTTGTTTGTTTGTTTAAAAAAAAAAAAAAAAAAAAAAAAAGAGGGTCATAGACCAGGACTCAGGCCCACTAAAAAACTAAGGAGCCAGGTGCAGTGGTGTCTGCCTGTAATCTCAGCTATTCAGGAGACTGAGCTCAGGAGTTCCAGACCAGCCTGGGCAACATAAGGAGACTGTGTCTCAAAAAAGAATAAAAATAAAACTAAGATTTAACCATAAGGTGGCATACGATGCTTCTGCTCTCCTACACTTTACCACCTCATCAACAATGCTCCAATATAATGACAGTGGATTACAAATAAAAAAGCTGCAAGACACAGATTTTGAGTTCAATAAAAGTTCTTGGGAAACCCCAAAGACAGTGAGAGAATAAGGAGAAACTGAAGCCTCTAGGACCTGCAGCTAAAAAACACGTTAAACACAGCCCATCTCCCAACTAGATTAACATATAACCTCATAATAGAAGCCTAAATCTTCAGTCTTTATTACCTGATACTTCATGTCTGGCTTTCAGCAAAAAATTACAAGCCATGCCAAAAGGCAAGAAAAAAATAGACTGAAAAGACAAGGCAAACAACAGAACCAGACTCAGATATGATATATTTCAGAATTAGAAAATAGGAAATTGATCCAGGAAGAGGACAGAACACCAAGCAGGATAAATACCAAAAAAATCCACACTAGGTATATATTATAGCCTAGCTGCAAAGTAACACAAAAAGAAAATCTTGAAAGAAGCCAGGAACAAAACACTTTTACCTACAGAGGAACAAAGATAAGAATTACACTGGACTTCCCATTACAAATCATGCAAGCAGCTGGGAGCAGTGACTCATGGCTATAATCCCAGCACTCGGGGAGGCCGAGGCAGGTGGATCACTTGAGGTCTGGAGTTCGAGACCAGCCTGGTCAATACGGCAAAACCCCATCTATACTAAAAATACAAAAATTAGCCAGGCGTGGTGGCACACACCTGTAGTCCCAGGTACTTGGGAGGCTGAGGCAGGAGAATCACTTGAACCCAGAAGGCAGAGGTTGCAGTGAGCCAAGATCGCACCACTGCACTCCAGCCTGGGCGACAAAGCAAGGCTCCATCTCAAAAAACAAAGCAAAACAAAAATCATGCAAGCAGGAAGGAAATAGGGTGAAATGTTGACAAAGCTGGAAAAAAGAAAAAAAAACCCCACCAAACTAGAATTCTGTATCCAGTAAAGTTATCCTACAAAAGAAGTAAAGACTTTCTTAGCCAAAAACCAAGGAATGTTGTCGCCAATACGTCAGCAAAAAGGAAAATGATATAGGTCAGAAACTCAAATCTACATAAAGAGAAAGAGTATCAGAGAAGGATAATAAGGTAAAATAAAATCTTTTAGGTGGTTATAGTATATAGATAAGGGAAACAAATGACAGCAATGTATAAAAGAGAGGAGGAATTAGGAATACGCTAAGGTAACTGCACTATCCATGAAGCAGTATAATATCTGAAAGTGGACTTAGCTTAGTTGTAAATGTACATTGCAAACTCCAGGCAGCCACCAAAAAACACGTTTAACAGATATATTAAGAGAGTACAGAAAACGCAATCAAGTAAAATGTTCAATTAAAATTGGAGAAGGCAGAAAAAGAGGGGAATATAAAAAAAAAAAAGTACAAAAAAAAAAAAAAAACACCAGAAAACAATTATAAGCATGGCAGCTACAAATCCAATTATATCAACAATCACTTTAGATGTGAATGACCTAAATACACCAATTAAAAGAAACTGTTGGCCGGGCACAGTGCACATCTGTAATCCCAGCACTTTGGGAGGCAGAGGTGGGTGGATCACCTGAGGTCAGGAGTTCGTGATCAGTCTGGCCAACATGGGGAAACCCCGTCTCTATTCAAAATACAAAACTTAGCGGGGCGTGGTGGCGGGTGCCTGTAATCCCAGCTACTGAGGAGGCTAAGGCAGAAGAACCATTTGAATCAGAGAGGCGGAGGTTGCAGTGAGCCGAGATTGTGCCACCGCACTCCAGCCTGGGTGAGAGAGTAAGATTCTGTCTCAAAAAAAGAAATTGTCACAGTGGGTTTTTAAAAAATAGAGCCAACTATATGCTATCTATTTTAAAAACTCCACTTTACAAAGACAGACACAGGTTAGAAGTAAAGGTATGGGAAAAACATACCATGCCAACACTAATCAAAAGAAAGCTAGAGTAGCTATGTTAATTACAGACAAAGCAGTTTTCAAAATAAGGAAACATAAAAACCACTTCAGAACAAAGATTAAGAGTTGCATTACACCAAAATATGTGAAGCAAAAATTGAACTCCAAAGAGTAACAGACAAATCCACTATTATACTGGGAGACCTCACACCTCTTTATAGGTAGCTGACACACCCAGCAAGTAGAAATCCAATAACATAGTCGAGCTGAACAGCATCAACAATCAAATGGATCTGACATTATAGTATATTTCATCCAACAACAGCACAATACATACTCTTCTCAAACTCACAAAGAACATTCACCAAGGTAGACCATATCCTGAGCCTTAAAATACACCTTTAAAAATTTTAAGGGATAGATAATACAAAGTATGCTCTCATACCACAACAGAATTAAACTATTACTAGAAATCAGTAACAGAAACACAGCTGGAAAACTCCCCAAATAGTTGGAGTTTAAAACAACTCACCTCAAAATGACACAGGAGTCAAGGAAATCTCAATAGAAATTTTAAAATATATTGAACTAAAGGAAAATGAAAATACTACCTATTAAAATATATGAAATGCAGCAAAAACCATGATTACAGAATTTATAGCATTAGATGCATACAGTAGGAAAGAAAATAAGATCTAAAACCAATACTCTAAGCTGCCATCTCAGGTAACTGGAAAAGAAGAGCAATATAAACCTAAAGTAAGATGAATAAAATCAGAGCAAGAACTGATGAAATTGAAACAAGAAAACAGAAAATCACAACAGAAAAAACAAATCAGTGAAACAAAAAACTGATCCTTCAAAAAGATCAATATAATTAACTGAAGAGAGAGGGGAGAAAAAAGATAAGACAAACTAGTATCAGAAATCAAAGAAGAATCTTCATTACTAATTCCTTGAACATTAAAAAAATAAAAGAATACTAAGAACTCTATGCCCACAAAGTTAGTAACTTAGTTGAAATGGAGCAATTCTTGGAAAGAAACAAACTACCAAACTCACACAAGGAGAACTAGATCATCTATTTAAAAAAAAAAAAAAAAAAAGGCCAGGCGTGGTAGCTCATGCCTGTAATCCCAACACTTTGGGAGGCCGAGATGGGCAGATCACCTGAGGTCAGGAGTTCAAGACCAGCCTGGCCAACATGGTGAAACCCCCATCTCTACTAAAAATACAAAAATTAGCCAGGCATGGTGGTGGGCGCCTGTAATCCCAGCTACCCAGGAGATTGAGGCAGGAGAATCGCTGGAACTCAGGAGGCAGAGGGTGCAGTGGGCCAAGATCATGCCACTGCACCCTAGGAGACAGAGCAAGACTCCATCTCCAAAAAAAAAAAAAAAAAAAAAAAAAAAAGATCAATAAATAACCTTCCAAAAGAAGGATTTACAAAGCCCAACTGACTTCACTGGAAAACTCTACCAAGCATTTAAGGAAGAAATGGTAGCAGTTCTCTACAAATTCTTTTAGAAAATAAGCAGAGGGAATACTTCCTAATTAATTCAAAGTATTACCCTAATACCAAAACCAGACAAAGATACTACAAATAAAGGAAAACTGCAGACCAGTATATATCATGAATATAAATGCAAAAATCCTTGACAAAATATTAGCAAATCAAATCTAACAATGTACAAAAAGAATTACACACCATGATCAAGTGGGATTTACTCCAGGAATGCAAGGCTGGCTCAACAACTTAAAGTCAATAAATGTAATCCATCATAACAATAGTCTAAAGAAAAAAAATCAGCTGGGCATGGTGGCTCACGCCTGTAATCCCAACACTTTGGGAGGCCAAGTCGGGCAGAATACCTGAGGTCAGGAGTTCAAGACCAGGCTGGCCAACATGGCAAAACCCCATCTCTACTAAAAATACAAAAATTAGCCAGGCACGGTGGTATGCACCTGTAATCCCAGCTACTGTGGAGGCTGAGGCAGGAGAATCGCTTAAACCCAGGAAGCAGAGGTTGCAGTGAGCCGAGATTGTGCCACTGCACTCCAGCCTGGGTGACAGAACAAGACTGTCTCAAAAAAGAAAAGAAAGAAAAAAAAAACACATGATAATATCAATAAATACAGGAAAACTATTTGACAAAATCCAACATTCATTCAGGATTTAAAAAAAAAAAAAAAACTCCCAGCACACTAGGAATAAAGAAAAACTTCAATTAAAAAAAAATCTACAAAAAATCCTACAGCTAACATAGTAGTGAGAAACTAGGTGCTTTCTAGAAACTAGGTTAGAAAACAGACAAGGATATTCATTATTTATCACTTGTACTCAATACTACCAGAGGTTCTAGCTGGGACCATCAGCCAAGACACAGAAATAAAAGGTTCCCAGGTAAGAAAGAAAGAAGTAAAACAATCATCATTTGCAGATGACATGATGTTGTATATAGAAAACTCGAAGGAATCCGCTAAAAAAATTATTGGAACTAATGAACAAATTCAATTTGTTTCAAGGATACAAGATCAATATGCAAGTCAAGTATATGAACTATACACTTGCATGAACAATTCAAAAATGAAATTAAGAAAGCAATTCCATTCATAGTAACATCAACAAAAGGAATAAATTGAAGAAAAGTGCAAAACTTATACTCAAAAACTATAAAAAAATGTTTGGATCTAAATAAATGGAAAAATATCCCATATTCATGGACTGTTAGACTTAATATTGTTAACACAGTAGTATTTCCCAAATTGATCTTTCAGATTCAACCAATCACTGATAGAATCCCAGCTAACTTCTTGTAGAAACTGAGAAGCTAATTCTAAAATTCATATGGGATTGCAAGGAACCCAAAATAGCCAAACAATCTTGAAAAAGAACAAAATGGGACTCACTTCCTCACTTCAAAATTTACTACAAAGCAACAGTAGTGAAGACAGCGTGATACTGGTATAAGAACAAGACATGGCCGGGCGTGGTGGCTCACGCCTGTAATCCTAGCACTTTGGGAGGCAGGCAGATTGCCTGAGCGCAGGAGTTCGAGACAAACCTGGGCAACACGGTGAAACCCTGTCTCTACTAACATACAAAAAAAAACTGGCCAGGTGTGGTGGCTCATGCCTGTAATCCCATCACTTTGGGAGGCCGAGGTGGGCGGATCACGAGGTCAAGAGATGGAGACCATCCTGGCCAACTCGATGGTAAAACTCGATCTCTACTAAAAATACAAAAAGTAGCTGGGCATGGTGGCGCACACCTGTAGTCCCAGTTACTCAGGAGGCGGAGGCAGGAGAATCACTTAAACCCGGGAGGCAGAAGTTGCAGTGAGCTGAGATTGAACCACTGCACTCCAGCCTAGCAACAGAGTGAGACTCTGTCTCAAGAAAAAAAAAAAAAAAAAAAAAAATTAGCCGGGCATGGCAGCGCATGCCTGTAGTCCCAGCTACTTGGAAGGCTGAAGCAGGAGAACTGCTTCAACCCAGGAGGCAGAGGTCGTTGCAGTAAGCCAAGATCGCACCACTGCACTCCAGCCTGGGCAACAGAGCAAGACTCCATCTCAAAAAAAAAAAAAAAAAAATAGAACATGTATACAGATCAATGGAATAGAACTGAGAGTCAAGAAATAAATTCATATATCTATAATCAACTGGTTTTCAATAAGGTATCAAGAGCATTCAATAGTGGAAGTGTTGAAAAGTCTTTCCAAAAATGGTGCTGGGACAAATAGATACATAACCAAAAAATGAAGGAAGAACCCTCTTTCACATCATTATTATGACATATACATATATAAATATATTTTATGTAATTAACATTATATATTAATATGATTATAGCATTATTCCTAATAGTCATAAAATTGCAAACAAACCAACTGTCCATTAACTGATGAATGGATAAAGTGTGGTATATCCACACAAGAGAATATTATTCAGCCATAAAAAGTACTGATACATGCTATAATATGGATGAACCCTGAAAACATTATGCTAAGTGAAGCCAGTCACAAAAGACCACATTTTTTAAGATTCAACTTACATGAATGTCCACAGAGACAGAAAATAGATTAGCGGTTCCTTCAGGTTGAGGGTTTGGAGAAAGGATCTGGGGGTAACAGCCAAAGGGCTGTCACAGGGATTCATTTTGAGATGATGGAAACTTTGTTTCTTTTTGAGACTGTGACTTGCTCTCTCCCAGACTGGAGTGCAATAGCACAATCAGGGCTCACTGTAACCTCAACCTCCTGGGCTCAAGACATCCTCCTGCCTTAGCCTCCTGTGTAGCTGGAACTACAGATACACACCACCACGCTCGGCTAATTTTTTGATTTTTGTAGAGATGGAGTCTCCCTATGTTGCCCAGACTGGTCTCAAACTCCTGGGCTCAAGCAATCCTCCCACCTCGGCCTCCCAGAGTTCTGGGATTACAGGCACGAGCCACCATGCCCCGCCAATGGAAACATTTTTAAATTAATTGGGGTAATAGTTGCACAACTCTGTGAATATACTAAAAACCACTGAACCGCACACTTTAAGTGAATGACTTATATGGTAAGTAAATTATATCTCAGTAACACTGTTAAAGGAAAAACAAAAAATCAAATACCTTTAGTGTACAAGTTCAACAAAGACTCCTAGTCACACAAAACCCACTTGTATAACACTACCAGAGTCCAGGGGAGAATGAATGGCCCACTCAAGTTTCTGTTGACTGTCCATATACTAGTACAATGTGACATAAATCTTATGCCTTGAACTTGCTTCTTGATGAAAGAATTATGGTATACATTCTCCAATCTATACAAAATGTATCCTATTAAAGGAAAGAAATTTGTGAGAACAAAGAAATTCTGAAGCCAGGCTCAATGGCACATGTCTTGTAAGTCCCAGCTACTTGGGAGGCTGAGGCAGGAGGATTGCTTGAGACCAGGAGTTCAAGGACAGCCTGGGCAACAGAGTGAGACTTGATCTGAAAAGAAAAAGAAAAAGAGAAAGAAAAGAAATTCTGAACTAAAATTTATAAGCTGGGCCACGCACAGTGGCTTACACCTACAATCCCAGCACTTTGGGAAGCCAAAACAGGAGGACTGCTTGAGCCCAGGAGTTCGAGACCAAGCTGGGCTAAAAAGTGAGGCCCTTCAGGGTCGATCACCTGAGCCCAGGAGTTTGAGGCTTCAGTGAGCTGTGATTGTGCCTCTTCACTCCAGCCTGGGCAACAGAGCGAGACGATATCTCTAAAAAAGTTAAAATAATTTTTTAAAAAATGTACAAGCTAAATAGCAAAATTGTCCTGGCAGAGTGAGGGAAGGAGGTAGGGAGTTAATTACCTTAAAAAAAAAGTCTCCTCCAAAAACAGTTAGTATTAACACAAAAGGAACTTATATTATACAAGATGGCTTAACTCCCTAAATGTTCTAAAACTGGTGGTTGAGTAGTCAGTGTTTATGAGTAACAGTTTGTTGCTTGAGGTATTTTTCAATAAATAGCCTAAATAAAACCAGTTACTTTAGAAACAGTTAATGTAACCTACTGGAACAAAGAGTTTGGAATGAAAAAAGATCTGTAATTTATGTTCTCTCAAATCCAAAATGGAAATATGTGATGATAGGGGTGCCATAATATTTATGATACTGCAAAAGAGGCAATACATACATTTGGGACTTAAAGCTGGAAAAGCTGCAAAGGACAGAGTATTTTCAGGCAACAGGTTCAGGAACGTAACCAAGAAAGTCTCTCCTAAAATGCTGCAATAAGGACTTCAAACAATATTGTAAACACTTCCATCTCGTTTATTTCTGATTCCTCTAGCTTTGGTAACATTTGATGAAGCTTTTCTGACTCAAATCTAATCCAATTTAAAACCTGCATAGGGAAGAATTAAAACTTAGTTTTGATTCCAAAATCAAAGTCTCAGCAGCAGGGACCCCAATATGCTAAGGGGAAGATAGTCCACATAACCTCTGTATCCAATCCTCTTTTTTTTTTTTTTTTTTTGAGACAGAGTCTCACTCTGTCACCCAGGCTGGAATACAGTGGCATGGTCTCAGCTCACTGCAACCTCTGCCTCCAGGGTTCAAGAGGTTCTCCTGCCTCAGCCTCCTGAGTAGCTGAGATTACAGGCACCTGCCACCACCCCTGGCTAATTTTTCTGTTTTTGGTAGAGACGGTGTTTCACCATGTTGGCCAGGCCGGTCTTGAACTCCTGGCCTCAAGCAGTCGACTTGCCTCGGCCTCCTAAAGTGCTGGGATTACAGGCATGAGCCACCGAGCCCAGCCCAATCCCCTTATCTTATATTCAGGTAATAATAATAAGCAGCAGCAGCCCACAATTTTTATTTCCTTATTGACTCTTAAAAATCTGGTCAAGGCCGGGCACGGTGGCTCACACCTGTAATCCCAGCACTTTGGGAGGCTGAGGTGGGCGGATCACCTGAGGCCAGGAGTTCAAGACCAGCCTCAACATGGAGAAACCCCATCTCTACTAAAAATACAAAATTAGCCGGGCGTAGTGGTGCATGCCTGTAATCTCAGCTACTCAGGAGGCTGTGGCAGGAGAATTGCTTGAACCTGGGAGGCGGAGGTTGCGGTGAGCCAAGATCGCGCCATTGCACTCCAGCCTGGGCAACATGAACGAAACTCCGTCTCAAACAAACAAACAAACAAAAAAATCTGGTCAAAGTTTGCCTGCTTCTCACATTGGCAAAAATAATAATATAAAATTCAAATTATCAGCATTTTGTTACATAAGTTCTATAGTTTCAATAATAATATTCAACATTATAGTTATAATTTATATTCAATATTTATATATTATATAATATATATTATATAATATATAATATATATTATTTATAATATATAAATATATTTATATATTATAATATATAACATTTATATAATAAATATAATTAAATAAGCTAAACTTCTACATTAAATCTGGCAAATAGTTTATGAGCAAATGAACTTGTATACAGACGTATACAGATAATTTTAAATCAACAAAATACACATCAGAATAGCTAACATTAAAAAGATTGACAATACAGTTCACAAGATATACAGCAACTGTAAGTCTCTCACACTGCTGATGGAAGTGTAAAATTAATGAAACCACTTCGGAAAAAAATTTTGGCAATCCCTACTAAAAGTAAACGGGTATTTCCCCCTGTGACCCAGCAATTCTACTCCTGGGTATAAACCCAACAGAATTCAGTGCTTACATCACAAAGACTTTACAAAAATGTTCATTAGCAGTTTTATTCATAACAGAAAAAAACTAGAAACCCATATGTCTATCAGTAGAAAGGGTAAATTATGACATATTCATCCAATGAAATATCACTCAGCAATAAAAATAACATACAACATATTTCTGACACATGTAACAATGTGCATACACCAGCCTTAATGCTTAGTGAAAGAAACAAGACACAGGAGTACATACTCTATGATTACATTTATGTGAAGTTCTATAGTAGGCAAAACTAATCTACATTAATACAAGTCAGAACAAAGGTGGCCCTTGAGAGCCGGAGATAGCAGTAACTGGGAAGGGGAATTAGAGAGCCTCCTAGAATGCAGGAAATGCTGTCTTGTTCTGAGAGACAGTGGTTACTATAACATATATATATATAAAAATGCACTGGCTATATTAAGGTTTATACACTTTATGTATGTAAGTTACACCCAATAAAAAATAAATAATAGGCCGGGCGCGGTGGCTCACGCCTGTAATCCCAGCACTTTGGGAGGCTGACACAGGCAGACAATGAGGTCAGGAGATCAAGACTATCTGGCTAACACAGTGAAACCCCGTCTCTACTAAAAATACAAAAAACTAGCAGGGCATGGTGGCGGGAGGTACTTGGCAGTCTGAAACAGGAGAATGGTGTGAACGTGGGAGGCGGAGCTTGCAGTGAGCCACTGCACTCCAGCCTGGGCGCCACAGCGAGACTCTGTCTCTAAATACATAAATACATAAATAAACAAATAAAAATAAAAAGACCCAAGGAAGCAGCATTTAAAAATATTGTTCCTCCTCCAAATACATTTCAGTCTTGAGAAAGAACATAAGACAGTTTTTCTTCATGTATTTGCACATTTCCCATGAAATCTCAGACACTGTTATCCTTAAAGAGGAAGGTAAAATCAAGTTCAACATCCCATAGGGCTCATTCTGAGATATTTGTGCTTGTGGCAAGTTATATGTAGCAGTGCGTATGATTCTTAAAGATAGTTTTTTACTCCTGGTCTCTGGCAACAGTTTGGGGAGCAGCTCTTTAAATAGCAAAGAATAAAAACATAAAGGACAGTTTTTTTAAAATGCCATTACCAAATATGCTGTAGAAGGAGTCAAAACTCTTGAGTAGCAAATACAGCAAGGATCCTTTATTTATTGAGCTTAGATACCAGTGCATAGCAAGAAAAGTTACATTTGTACTCACACATATCCTCCCATCAGTCTAGTTCAACTCTGAAGTAAACCAAAGTAAATATTTATAAAAGAATAATTTAGTGTAGGTATATCCTATAAAGTAACCTGTACTTTACTTATTGTAGATATATGGGAAAATGACCAAACATAATTTTACATAATAGTTTTTAGAATAAAGGCTCTGGCATCAAATTGCCTAGTCTCGAATTTAAGTCTTGCCACTTACTTTGAGTCTCGTTTCTTCAACTACCAAGTTGAAATATAATTATCACTGCACAGGGTTATTTCTGAATACTAAGTAAGATAATGCCTGCTAAATGCTTAGTAATCAAAATACCAAGAATTCAGTAAAGATTCAAAAACCGTTACATCACAAAATAGTATGTGCTTCCTAATGGAAGAATACGTCATCATCTATGAAGTACTCTTGCCAAAAGAGCGTCAAACTTGAGTCTGATGAAGTCTCTAGATTCAACTAACAACTTACAGAAGATTCACAGAATGCAGAACATGTAAAACTACACCAACGGGATGTAATCTGCAAATCCAGAGTGGGAAACCCTATAACCAACAATCAGTATCTTCAACAAATAAATTGCCAAGAAAAAGAGAGGGAGGGAGGGAAACCTAAAATGCATTAAAACACTTTGAAGACAACCAATCACAATGTGGACTATTAAAAAAAACAAAAACAAAAACGAAAAGCAGTTGAGGTGGCCAGGCATGGTGGCTCACACCTGTAATCCCAACACTTTGGGAGGCTGAGGTGGGAGGATCATTAGAGGTCAGGAGTTCCATACCAGCCTAACCAACATGGTGAAACCCCTATCTCTATTAAAAATACAAAAATTAGCCAGGTGTCGTGGTGCGCACCTGTAAACCCAGCTACTTGAGAGGCTGAGGCAGGAGAATTGCTTGAACCCAGGAGGCAGAGGTTGCAGTGAGCTGAGATCACATCACTGCACTCCAACCTTGGCGACAGAACAAGACTCTGTCTCCAAAAAAAAAAAAAAAAAAAAAAAAAAAAAAAGGCAGTTGAGGCAACTTGAAAATTGAACACTTAAAAGACATTAATATTAAGGGATTATTATTTCTATATTATTGTAATGTTCAAAAAAGTCCTTATTTTTAAGAGACACATACTGTAATATTTATAAATTAATTGATCACAGGGATTTACTTCAAAATAATATATAAGGTGTAGACTGAGTTAGATTATAGATGAAATGAGATTGGAATTGATAAGTGCTAAAAATTGTTTAGTATATGGGCATTTATTATATTATTGCCTACTTTTACATGTATTTATTAATAAAATTCTTCATAATAAAGTTTTACAAAGAAAAAACAGGAAATGGTATAAAAGTAGAAGCAACTCCATAGAGAATTAAGAATCCTTATCTAGGAGAATTTAGTAATAATAGCTATCACCATTACTTAGCATCAATATCGTAAGCACTGTGTTTAGTTTCATGTATATTATATAATTCTACTAAATTAAGTTTTGACCATTGTAAACTGATTCCTAGATTTCAAACTACAACAGCGAGACGTGACAATCTAATCAGCATTTTTCTAACAGTTCCTACAGACACTGGAATAATCTATTTCACTTTGAAAAGGTTTAAAATCATGCAGCCATAAAAAAGGATGAAATTATGTTCTTTGCAGCAACATGGATGCTGCTGGAGGCCATTAGCCTAAGCAAATTAATGCAGGAACAGAAAACCAAATACCACGATTTTACTTAAAAGTAGAAGCTAAACAAGGGTACTCACGTACACAAAGATGGCAACAACAGACAACGGGGAGTACTAGAGGGGAGAGGGAGGAAGAGGGCAAGGGTTGAAAAACTATTGGTTACTACGCTCAATACCTGGGTGACAAGATCAATTGTACCCCAAACATCAGCATTAGGAAACACACCCTAGTAACAAACCTGCACATATAGCCCCTGATTCTAAAATAAAAGTTAAAATTATTTTTTTAAAGTAAACACTTTGGATTGTAACTCAAGTATAAATGAGCCCACACTGATATAAAGGATGGAATGAATAAATAAATAAATAGGGAGAAGATACACCTCTTCCCAACAGAAGAATCCTAAATAATATATTTAGATGTCTTCCTCCTATCAGAAGGTAGAGCTTAATCCTCCTCTTTCCCTGTTCTTTGAGGTTGGGGTGGAATTAATGACTAAAAAATATCAAGTCTGCAGTGGTGAAACCTGGCAAACACTAGCTTAACCAACAGGTGAAGAGTACCATTCCTAGCAGTACCACGTGACTATACATACCCCCAGATACAATGTGATGAGAAGGGTACTTGACCTCAGGAGTATTCTTTCCAAAATCCCATCACCCCAGTCTAACCATGACAGAAATGTAAGACAAACTTAAATTGAGGAACGTTCTTCAAAATAGCTTACCAGTATGCCTCAAAATAGTCAAGATCACCAGGCTCACACCTTTAATACCAGCACTTTGGGAGGCTGAGGCGGGCAGAATCACCTGAGGTCAGGAGTTTGAGACCAGCCTAGCCAACATGGTGAAACCCCATCTCTATTGAAAATACAAAAATTAGCTGTGTGTGGTGGCAGGCACCTGTAATCCCAGCTACTCAGGAGGCTGAGGCGAGATAATCGCTTGAACTCAGGAGGCGGAGGTTGCAGTGAGCCGAGACTGCGCTACTGCACTCCAGCCTGGGCAACGAGGGAAACTACGTCTCAAAAAAAAGTCAAGATCATGAAAAAAGGGAAAGGCTGAGAAACTCACAGACCAGAAGAAACTAAGGAGACATGACAGCTAAATCTAGGAATCGTATTCTGTATTAGAGATCCTGGAATAGAAAGAAGAGCACCAATGGAAAAACTGCAGAAGCCGGAACGAAGTCAAGGACTTAGTTAATAGTAATGTACCAATCAATATTGGTTTCTTAGTTTTGCAAATGAATCACACTAATGATAACATTAGAAGAAACTAGGTAAAGGATTCAGGTATACAGGCTCTCTTTGTTATATTCCAATATAAAAAATGTGTTTGAAAACTTAAAAAAATATGACCTCTAATATTGTGTTAAAAATGAAAAAAACACTTCTAAAAAATCAGCTGACAAAAAATTGTAGTATCAAAGCAAAAACCCATCAACAGTTAAATGGATAAGCAAAATGTGGCATAATCATACAGCAGAATATTTATTTTTATTTTATTTATTTATTTTTGAGACAGAGTTTTTCTCTTGTTGCCCAGGTTAGAGTATGATGGCACAATCTCGGCTCACTGCAACCTCCACCTCCCAGGTTCAAGTGATTCCTCTGCCTCAGCCTCCCAAGTAACTGGGATTACAGGTGCATGCCACCGCGCCCAGCTAATTTTTGTATTTTTAGTAGAGATGGGTTTTCACCATGTTGCCCCAGCTGGTCTCGAACTCCTGACCTCAGGTGATCTACCCACCTCGGCCTCCCAAAGTGCTGGGATTACAGGCGTGAGCCCCAACACCCTGCCCTCATACAGTAGAATATTAAAGCAACAAAAATAACGCAAAAACATGAGTACATCTCAAAGTTATAATGTTAACAAAATAAGCCAAACACATAATACCTATGGTATGATTTCATTCACGTAAAGTTCAAAAACAGTGAAATGAACCTGTGGTGAAAAGTTCAGAACAGCAGTTAGTTTTGGTGGGGGGGGGGGGGGGGTAGACATTAACTGAGAAGGAACACAAAGTGGGGGTTGTTCTGTATTTTCATCTGGATGGTGGTAGTAAGGGTGTATACCTATGTAAAATTTCATCAAGCTGTACACTTAAGATTTGTGCACCTTTTCTGCATGTAAATTATACTTCAAAGGAAAAAAATTTTTAAGGAAAAGATACATTTATCTAAAGCACACCCCTAAATAAGCAAATAAGAATTAGAAGTGGGGGGGGCAGGGCATAGAATACTTGAGTGTAACATTTATTTAGGAGGGGAAAGCCAACATCCCCCACACCATAACCATACCCACCAATTCTGTCTTTGATTACAGATTTTAATCTCCTCTTATAAAACTACTCACTACTTTCATCAACTGCATACTTACATACATTGACTCAAGTCAACACTGAAAACTTAAACTGTCAGTATGTCACTACTCTACTTCTTTCAGCTAGCATCCCACCTGTGCAGGCATACAGGTTAATAAAATAAATCCAACTACCCCATTATTTCTCCTTCTTTACTTTCATCTCATAGGAAAAGCATGACCCACCACATGATCAGTTTAAGTGGAGGCACATTATCCAAAAATCAGATACCATTTAAATGCAATTTTTGATTGACAGAATAAGGTGATTTATATCAGGAATTCTATAGGGCAATACTATAAATGAAAGCCAATAAAGACATTTCAGCTTAGAAGCCACTAACTAGATGTATAACCTCACTCAAGCCATCATAACCTTTGCATGGCTTCTGCAACTCCCCCAGGAAAAGAGAGTTCCGTTTGTGCAGAGATTGCAAATACACGGCAATGGGGGGCTGCTACTCCACTCTGAACAGCCACTACTAACTGATCAGAGATGGAAACAGAAATGGCACCTGAGGTGAAACTTATCTGTCATTCCTAGATAAGTGATCTAAGCTTCCCTCCCCTTCTAACTTTCTACTGTCTGTGACCTACTTGGAACAAAATACATTTGCACTAAACAGCTTAGACACAGATAGATACAATATACACAAGCTAACTTAAGGACTTAAGAGGACCTCAAAATATAGAAATCCTTTATCATCTTTAAATGTACAGTTTTTTTAAAAAATATGCCACTACTTAAACATTTCTCTATTTCAGATGTAAAATTCTAGATCAAGTCTAAATAGGAAAACTTTAGCTGAGCATGGTGGCTCATACCTGTAATCCCAACACGTTGGGACGCTGAGGTGGGAGAATCACTTGAGGCCAGGAGTTCAAGACCAGCCTGGACAACATAGTGAGAACCCCATCTTTACAAAAAATTTAAAAATCAGCCAAGCATTGTGGTGCATGCCTGTAGTGCCAGCTACTTGGGAGGCTGAGGTGGGAGGATCACTTGAGCAGAGGAGGTTGGGCTGCAGTCTACTAAACTGACACTAAAAGCCATGTTCACACCACCGCACTCCAGCCTATGTGACAGAGTGAGATCACGTCTCAATCAATGAGACAAACTTTAAAATGATGTACCTTTCTCAATGTCCCAAACATGTAAAACAAAGTTTTCTAATATAAACTATGCTATTGATACTCAGGTATATTTGAGAAAGCCTGAAATGATCGCCATGAAAAAACTTTACTGAAAAGCTTCCTGGAAAACCAAATGAGAATGTTTACCTTATTTCTTACCTCGAAGAGAATGCACACCCAATTACAAATGTCACAGAACTCATAAAGGTGAGCACCCTGACAGGTGTTTAGACAATTACCTAATTCTGTCAAAGTATTATTTCTAATAATTCATGTGGCTTCTGAATGTCAAAAGTTCCCTATATAGCAATTCCACTAAGTGCTCCACTCCAAAATTTCCAATTCCTTCTCCTGTTCCCTTTCAAACTCCCATTCCCTCAGTCCAACTTGCAATTATCAGAAAAACATTCCAACTC
The DNA here is from genome assembly GCF_000001405.40 of Homo sapiens. Taxonomy (NCBI): domain Eukaryota; kingdom Metazoa; phylum Chordata; class Mammalia; order Primates; family Hominidae; genus Homo; species Homo sapiens. The sequence goes on from NC_000002.12 coordinate 38,342,102, forward strand.
GAGTGAAAAAATTTTTTTTGCTTTTTTTTTTCAGGAGAGAAAGTCAGAGTCAGGGAGAGATAGGTAAGTAGCAATTGTCTGGTACCATCTCAAAGTGAAAATGTATAGAAGGGAAAGAGATTCATCAATTAAAATGTAAGTATCTCCTAAGACCCAGTTCTTGTGCCAGGTGCTTGATAATCAACAGAGGGCCCACCCATGACAGAGATTAAAGTAGCCAGAAAAAAATAAGCAACTAAAGTAATATCAATAAAACATACAACCTGTACCATGAGTTAGGAAGAGGATGTAATATAGTCCTAGATGTCAGGGAAGGCCCCCATGAAAAGATGAGCCAAGAATACCATAATATTTGAGGAAAAAACATGGCATACTCAAGGAACAGCAAAAACTATAGTTTATTTGACATATGAAGGGCAAGAGATGAGATTCAGAGATCATGGATGGCTGCAGAAGCCACTCTAAGGAACTGGACTTTATCTCCAAAGGTAATAGTCACTAAAACTGACTTGTTTGAGGAACACAGATATACTTTTTCAAAGGTCTCTATCCACCTACTTTACTCACTGTAAAGGTGGCCAAAAGGAAAGTGTGAAGAAGTAACAAAAAGGGAAAGAAGATAAACAGTACTTCAGAGACTTCTAGGATATACTCAGACAACTTGGGTTAGAGCCACAATGCCTGGAACACAGATGCTCAATTATATGTTTCCATATGCAGTATATGCAGAAGGGAATTATGGCGATGAAGAATCAAGAGCTCAAACTTACATTACTGTATTGACCAGGAAGTCCTATAAAGAATTATATTTCTATAGAATTAAAAATGCAGTTCTGTCAGCCTGGACAACAAAGTGAGACCCCCATAGCTACAAAAAAAAAAAAAAAAGTTTTTTTAAGAGTTGGGCATGGTGGCACACGCCTGTAGTCCTAGCTTCTCGGGAGGCTGAGGTGGGAGGATTGCTTGAGATTGGGAGGTTGAGGCTGCAGTGAGCCGTGATCACACCACTGCACTCCATCCTGGGTAACAGAGTGAGACCACTTAAATTAAAAAAAAAAAAAAAAAAAAAAAAAAAAAGATATAGTTCTGGTTTTTGTCTATTTTTTTAACAGGCATGGTTGGTACTTTTTTCTTTTTAATTGGGTTCAATTTAAAAGACTATTCACCTTGTTATACATGTATCTAAGCATGAAGTCCAGTAGAAATGACTTCCCTTTACGAAAAGCTCCTGCCACAGATACCACTACTATGTTAAGATCTCGTATGTGCTCCTGTAGCAATATCTGCTCCAAAGCTTCTTCATCAAGTTCAAAGTTATGGTCATCTTCATGAGCAAGAACAATCTGTACTGGACATGGTTTCTTCATAACCTCATCAGAATTTACTAGGTCATCATCTTCATAATTCTCACCTAGAATTTAAAAAGAAAGAAACTGGTTACTTTAATCCCTATATTACGAACTTTCATTAAGGACCACAACTAAAGCAAAATTTCAAGTAAGTAATTGCCCCCTCCCCCCATTATAGATCATTATAATGTTCCTTTGGATTTCTCACTCCCTCTGTGACAGGACAAAGAATGCTGATAAGATTTCCCACTTGATATGGTTGGCTGTGTCCCCACCCAAATCTCATCTTGAATTGTAGCTCCCACAATTTCCACATGTTGTGGGAAGGACCCAGTGGGAGGTAACTGAATCATGGGGGAGGCTCTCTCCTGTGCTGTTCTCATGATAGTGAATAAGTCTCACGAAATTTGATGATTTTATAAGAGGTTTCCCTGCACAAGCTCTCTTCTCATCTGCCACCATGTGAGATGTGCCTTTCACCTTCCGCCATGATTGTGAGACCTCCCCAGCCACGTGAAACTTTGATTCCATTAAACCTCTTTCTTTTGTAAATTGCCCAGTCTCAAGTATGTCTTTATTACCAGCATGAAAATGGACTCATACACCATTATACATACAGATAAACAATAATACTAAATATGGCCTCTATCTCAATGAAGTCTTAACTTCATTGAGAATGTTCATGTCAACAGCACCTGTTTCTGAGCCCTGTATTATTCTGTAAATAACTTTTCCAACTGTATGCACACATAAACTAAAGAGGGGAAAAATCAATTTCACCTGATACTTCAAATCCCAATTTTCCCTGTAAGCATCACCTAGAAAATTCACAAACATTACTCTACTTTACAAACATTAAAAACATATATTAAAATTGTTCATGTGGCTGGGTGCAGTGGGTGTAATCCCAACACTTTGGGAGGCCGAGGCAGGCAGATCACCTGAGGTCAGGAGTTCAAGACCAGCCTGACCAACATGGGGAAACCCCGTCTCTACTAAAAATACAAAAATTAGCTGGGCATGGTAGCGGGCGCCTGTAGTCCCAGCTACTTGGGAGGCTGAGACAGGAGAATCGCTTGAACCTGGGAGGCAGAGGTTGCAGTGAGCTGAGATTGCACCACTGCATTCCAGCCTGGGCAACAGAGTGAGTCTCAGTCTCAAAAAACAAACAAAAAAAAATTATTCATGTTATTTTTCATTCTGAAACTTAAAGGGGAAAATTAGGGTTCTAACAAGTTTCCAAAAATGATACTTACAATGAGTCCCTAATTTAATAACAGTAACCTAGTACTACTACAGCCTCCTCATTAAAGCAAAGCACAGGATTAATGTTTCATTAAAGAAGAGTCAGTGAGATGCATTTATATCTCAGAATTTCATCTCCCACTGGAGCTCTTTCTCACCAAACACTACAGCTGTTATAGCTCCCGAAAACAGCCATATAAACCCTTCCTTTGTTCACCACAACACATTAAAATAAGGTAACCTTTGCAGACATAACTTTACTGAATAGTGACGAAGAAGTACAGAGAATGTAAATAGCAGAGATAAACTTCCAAAGTCTAGGTTTCTGTTCTTCTTTAAAAAAAACACCTAGCTTCAGAGGACACATACCTTGTCTGACTTTCTTCTCTACCAACTGCTTGATCCCACGTAGCAACTAGTTACTCCTGGGGACCTTATCTTCTCCCACATCAAAATTTCTAAGAGATCCCCTCCTTGAGCCTGTCTACTAAGTGTCAGTTTCCACTCTAAGGACACATACGGTATCCACTGTTTTCAATGCAATCAATGACTGTCCTACTCTGAGGAGAAAGCCAGTCCACTAAGGCGTGGTACATTATTAGTGAACAGTTCAGTAATACCTTATCCACATAACCAATATTCACAGAGCAAAGATTATATAACTACATTAGTGGATTTTTAATCTTATTACCAAAAGAAGCATCTCACTTATCTGATTTGCAAAGACTATTAGAGCCTCTACCTCCACATCACGAGGCACCTTTAACTGTATATAGCAAAGTCAACAGCACTATTTCAAAATGTGCTGAAAACAATGACAATGCATTATAAAGAGCAAGCCACTTCAAAGGAGAATCTTTGAAAGTAAAAGCAATCAATATTTAGTTAAAGGGGACATTATCACTGCCTGTATCAATGGTATATAGCAATAGTCAGGTATGCTATTTGAATGCATGCAAAAAGTGAACTTTCCAGGAAAAGTTGCAATACAGTTAAATTCTAAATTAACGTCTCATTAGGTAGGTCCAGATAAATAACAAAACAGGATGCAAACGGTATAAGTTTCTAAGCTTAATTAGTGGTTTAAGACCATGAAGTAGGGAGCAAACTGCCTCGATGCATGTCACTTAACTTCTCTGCACCTGTTTTCTCATCTGGAAAATGGGTGTGTGTCAAACAGGCATAGCATTACCTAACTCATAGGGTTGTCATCAGGATTCAATGAGTTGAAATATGTATGCTACGCAGTAAGCACCATAGGTGTAAGTTAACAGTAATTTCAAAATAACCAATCCAACAGGAGAAGCTTTTATTTTCCCCTTGAAATGCCAAAATGCTATGGTGATTTTCACTTGACCAGTGTAGCTGCGTACTGACACTGCCATCCACCCATCTGCTCTGGCACAGACTTGCTGGCTGTCCTTGACATATAGAGATACGTCTACGTGTCTTTTACTTACCCCTAAATCTAATCAATAACCACCTTCTTAATTTGTCTTCATTTCTGAATCTCTATTGATAATATTCCTGCACTTGTCACTGCCACAGTACCTCACACTGTAGCATCTAACTGGTTTCCCTTCATTAATACTCTTGTCCTCTTACCCAATCCAATCTAATCTCCACAGAGTAGCAACTAAATAATATAGTTACATGTAAAGTTGACCAGGTTACCCTCCTTAAAATCACTGTTACAGAGGACTAATGACTAAAATCCTACACATGCTCTATAAGGTCCCGTACTCACCGCCAATCTCTGTTGCCTCTTTTGGTGCTATTCTTCTCTTTAAACCAGCGGTCCCCAACCTTCTTGGTACCAGGGTCTGGTTTCATGAAAGACAAGTTTTCCACAGAAGGGGGAGCAGTGGTTTCAGGATAAAACTGTTCCATCTCAGATCATCAGGCATTAGTTAGATTCTCATAAGGAGCACACAACCCAGATCCCTCACACGTGCAGTTCACAATAAGGTTCGCGCTCCTATGAGAATCTGATGTCACCATGGGTCTGACAGGAGGCGAAGCTCAGGCAGTAATGCTCGCTCGCCTGCTACTCCCCTCTTGCTGTGCGGCCCAGTTCCTAACAGGCCACGGACGAGTACCAGTCCACGGCCCTAGGGTTGGGAACCCCAGGTTTAAACTAGGTAGCCAAACTAACCTTTCATCAGATCCTCATGCTGCTAAGCTCTTTCTAGACTCTGCTTTAATATTCCTCTGCCTAGAGTACTCTTTCCTTTGTTGTTTCCTAATAAATTCACACTTACTCCTTAAATCTCAGCTTAAAAGACACTTTCCAGGAACAAGAATCTTCCCTGAGGCTTCCAACCAAGTTTAGTCATTCTATACTCCCCAAATTTTAATCTATCACTTGAATATTTATGTAAGTACTTATTTATTAAATGTCTCCCCTCTTGGATTGCCAATTTACCACTTAGTTTCCCATCATAAGCAGAAAATAGACAAACAAAAGAAGAAAGCCCTTAAATACCTTACCATGGCTTCTATAGTCGTATGCGATCTGGGCCCAGCCTCCTCTCCATAGCAGAGGGCCTTATAAAGCACATGTCATCTTACAACACACTCCTATTCATTCCCAAAGCCTGGACAATCTGGCCTTCTTGCTGTTCCCTGATGAAGCTAACCCTGTTTCCCACCTTAGAATTTTTGTCCTGTGTTGTCCCCTATCTGGAATGCTCTGTCCCTAGAAATTCACATGGCTTATGTCTCCATCATCCAGCTCTTCAGCTCAAATGTTATCTCCTCAGCATGGCCCTCCCTGACCACTCAATCTAAATCACAGATCCCTTTCCTTAACACTTTAATGAAACAGGTTTATTCATAGTTTTTTTCAATTCCTAAAACAACCTTTTTTCATTCGTTTAAATGTGTACCTGATATCTCCCACTCCACAGAATGAGTGTGCCACTAAAGTAAGGATCCCAATCACCCTGTTAACCATTCTCTACCAGCACCTACAACAGTGCCTGACACCTAGCCTAGCAGGTTCCTTGTAAATATTTCCTGAATGAATGAAATTTAAGCATTTTACTCAGGAGTCTTACATCTGCCCTTACCTTTTTTTTTTTTTTTTTTTTAAGGCAGAGCGCTCTGTCACCCAGGCTGGAGTGCAGTGGTGAGATCTCGACTCACTGCAACCTCTGCCTCCTGGGTTCAAGCCATTCTCCTGTCTCAGCCTCCAGAGTAGCTGGAACAACAGATGCCCAATGCCTCGCCAAGCTAATTTTTGTATTTTTAGTAGAGACAAGGTTTCCCCATGTTGGCCAGGCTGGACTCAAACTCCTGACCTCAGGTGATCCACCCATCTCAGCCTCCCAAAGTACTAGGATTACAGGCATGAGCCACTATGCCTGGCCCTGCCCTTACCTAGTTTATAAGCAAATATGATAATCAAATAGCTTGGGGAAATACCTCCGACAACTCAAGAGTATTAAGTATACGTAACACAAAAATTCCATAAAAATTATGAAGCTTGGCTAGGCGCGGTGGCTCACGCCTGTAATCCCAACAATTTGGGAGGCTGAGGAGGGCGGATCACCTAAAGTCAGGAGTTTAAGGCCAGCCTGACCAACATGGAGAAACCCCATCTCTACTAAAAATACAAAATTAGCCAGGAGTGGTGTTGCTTGCCTGTAATCCCAGATACTCAGGAGGCTGAGGGAGGAGAATTGCTTGAACCCAGGAAACGGAGGTTGCGGTGAGCCAAGATTGCGCCATTGCACTCCAGCCTGGGCAACAAGAGCGAAACTCCATCTCAAAAAAAAAAAAATTATGAACCAAGTAAAACACTTTAAAAAAGAACTCAAAAGTAATAACTGCTAAAATATCACAATGACCAAGTGTGGAGGTTGGTGATTTTGCTAAAACAAACAATAGTTTTGCTCTTATTGTAAAGAAAGCATTAGTTGGTTTTTTAGAAGTTTAAGAAAAAAAAAAAACCCAAAAGCCAAAATTGACAAATGGTATCTAATTAAACTAAAGAGCTTCTGCACAGCAAAAGAAACTACCATCAGAGTGAACAGGCAACCTACAAAATGGGAGAAAATTTTCGCAACCTACTCATCTGACAAAGGGCTAATATCCAGAATCTACAATGAACTCAAACAAATTCACAAGAAAAAAACAAACAACCCCATCAAAAAGTGGGCAAAGGATATGAACAGACACTTCTCAAAAGAAGACATTTATGCAGCCAAAACACACATGAAAAAATGCTCATCATCACTGGCCATCAGAGAAACGCAAATCAAAACCACAATGAGATACCATCTCACACCAGTTAGAATGGCGATCATTAAAAAGTCAGGAAACAACAGGTGCTGGAGAGGATGTGGAGAAATAGGAACACTTTTACACTGTTGGTGGGACTGTAAACTAGTTCAACCATTGTGGAAGTCAGTGTGGCGATTCCTCAGGGATCTAGAACTAGAAATACCATTTGACCCAGTCATCCCATTACTGGGTATATACCCAAAGGACTATAAATCATGCTGCTATAAAGACACATGCACACGTATGTTCGTTGTGGCACTATTCACAATAGCAAAGACTTGGAACCAACCCAAACGTCCATCAATGATAGACTGGATTAAGAAAATGTGGCACATATACACCATGGAATACTATGCAGCCATAAAAAATGATGAGTTCATGTCCTTTGTAGGGACATGGATGAAATTGGAAATCATCATTCTCAGTAAACTATCGCAAGGACAAAAAACCAAACACCGCATGTTCTCACTCATAGATGGGAACTGAACAATGAGAACACACGGACACAGGAAGGGGAACATCACACTCTGGGGACTGTTGTGGGGTGGGGGGAGGGGGGAGGGATAGCATTAGGAGTATACCTAATGCTAAATGACAAGTTAATGGGTGCAGCACACCAGCATGGCACATGTATACATATGTCACTAACCTGCACATTGTGCACATGTACCCTAAAACTTAAAGTATAATAATAAAAAATAAATAAAATAGGAAAAAAAAAACCCCACTGGGCAGAAAACCTTTGTTAACTCGAAAATTCACCTATATTAGTTGGCCAGTCACTATGCAACCAAGTTTATTAGCACAGACAAAGACAGGCCTTTCAAATAGACAGAATGTGTCTACATATTTGTCACCATATCTAGTCTACAGCCTTTTACAGAGAAGGGTAGCAAATAGATTTCAAAAGTATAATGGAGCCTAACAATGATGTGATACACCTGCATCTATCTACTTACTCCCCATGGTGATTTCTCTACCAAATATGGACTAAATACAGATAAAGTACTCCATCAAACACTGATATAAGCAAATGAATAAAAGAGAATTGTATGTAAATTTCATTAGGATACCTGTAAATACTGTACTAGCATTTAGTGATTGCCTACAATTAAAAGTCTCTAAATTCCACACCACTCTAAGATTTTAAACTGAAGTTACGTCCTGTGTATAGAATAGTGATTTTATTTCCATTCTTCAATGCCAAAAATTTACTAAGACAAGTAGATTTCAGCCCCCCAACACATTTTTGTGATTCACAGTTCCAAGTCAGTTTTCCCTACGCTAGCCCCCAGATGGGTCTTTCAAGGTCAAAGCTAAAAGACACCTAAAGATGATCACCTGCTTCTCAAACATCTCTCCACACATTAACACTAAGGTACCTACCTAATATCTATTTGCCACACGGCCTAACAAAAGAAAGGTGTCTTAGTAAAAGGACCTGTGATTGCCAGGGGTTAGGGGGATAGGGAGGGATGAACAGGCATAACACAGAAGATTTCTTAGGGCAGTGAAACTATTCTCTATAATACGAAATTGGTTGATACCTGTCATTATACATCTATGAAAAAAACCATTGAATATACAACCCCAAGAGTGAACCATAATGTAAAACTATAGACTTTGGATGATAATGATGTGTTAGTGAAGGTTCATTGATTTTAACAAAAGCACCACTGTGGGTGAAACGCTGATGGCGGGGGACAGTGTGTATATGGAGTGGCAGGGAGTACGTGAACTACAATTTCGCTTCATATTGCTGTGAAGCTAAAATTGCTCTAAAAAAAAAAACCAAAAAAGTCTATTTAAATAAGACACCTGTCTTTTTGTTGTCTAATCACACATTATCTTAAATCTGCCAAATTCAGACACTCAGCATGTATTCCAACAGCAAAATTTACACTTCAGGGCTGACCTAGATCCTCAGCAAATTTCAAGCTTAATTATAAACTAAGATAATAAAAAAGTGCTACAAATCTTCATTATAATAAAATGTAGCATTAATGTTAGATTACATCAACCCAAAACTAAACTTATAAAAAGAGAACAAAGAATAATTCACCTTTCAAAAGGAATGAAAAGTATATTTTATTATTCACATTCCAAACAAAAACTTGAAACAAATTTTCATGGAAAGTAACCTTGATTCAGTCTATTCAGTCTACTTATAAAAAAATTAGTTATCCCACAAAAGCTAAGTAACGTGTTAGTGCCTAGTACTTGAACCTCAACATTTATATTTCATACCCAAGTGAAAACAGTATCTAAGTATTCAAGTTTATTCTAGCACATATTTTTTAAGAGCCTTAAAGAGGTTATACGATGGTTAAATATATTTCTAGGGATTTATTATAAGGAAATAAGGACACTAATTTTATTCTGGTGGCAAAAATTAATGTTGCGTACCTCAAAACTGGAAAGTGGCCGAACAGTTATTTTAGCCATATACTGACATATTATGCAGCCTAAAAAACACATTTACACTCTAAAAAAATTATACATATATATATTTAATTTTTTTTTTTTTTTGAGACAGAGTTTTGCTCTGTTGCCCAGGCTGGAGTGCAGTGGCACGATCTCGGCTCACTACAACCTCCACCTCCCAGGTTCAAGCAATTCTTCTGTCACAGCCTCCAGAGTAGCTGGGACAACAGGCACCTGCCACCACGCCTGGCTAATTCTTTTGTATTTTTACTAGAGATGGGGTTTCACCTTGATCAGGCTGGTCTCAGACTGCTGACCTCAGGCGATCCACCCGCCTCCGCCTCCCAAAGTGCTGGGATTACAGGCGTGAGCCACCTCACCTAGCCAAAAAAATCTATGTATTATTTTAAACAGCATAAAATTGGCCGGGTGCAGTGGCTCACGTCTGTAATCCCAGCACTCTGGGAGGCCGAGGAAGTCAGATCACCTAAGGTCAGGAGTTTGAGACCAGCCTGGCCAACATGATGAAACTCTGTCTCTACTAAAAATACAAAAATTAGCTGGGTGTGGTGGCAGGCCCCTGTAATCTCAGCTACTCGGGAGGCTGAGGCAGGAGAATTGCTTGAACCCAGGGGTGGAGGCTGCAGTGAGCCAAGATCGCGCCATTGCACTCCAGCCTGGGCGACAGAGCAAAACTCTGTTTCAAAAACAAACAAAAACAACAACCAAAAAAAAAAAAAAAAAAAAAAAAAAACCACCATAAAATCAAGTGGGAAAAGGGCAGACTACAAAGTAGTAAAAATCACCCCCAATTCTATTTTGCATTTTTTAAAACACAGGTATTTGGGGGAGGGAGGATATTTGAGACTTCTAGTCATTAGAGTAACTGGTATCAGACTGGCCCTCGACCGTGGCTATAAAATTAGACAAAATACATGAAGCATTGTTTTTCAAGCAATGGACAACAAGTAGCACAAGGACACTTTCAAGGTGAGTGCCATGATCACTCCCAGCTCTCTGCCTGGGAACAATTTCCTAACTATAGAGTGAAGAACTAGAGCACAAAGATCTGAATTCAAGATTGCTAGAGCAGTAGGAATCTGTGAGGCAGGATACCAGAGAAAAAGGATCTATGCAGAGGTGGAGCCCAGAACTCCTTGGACAAGGACAACAAGCATCACAGGTGCAGGGGAACACAACACTATGCAATGCTTAACAGAAGGAAGCTACTACAGGGTTGAGAGAGAAACAGAAGTCAAACATTACTGAGACACTTTGGAGTTCTGGCCCAGCCAGAGTGGAAAGAAACATCTATACCTTAGGCATCAAGCTGAGACACTAGAATCGACATATCTTAGAATTAAGGGTCAAGTTCTAGAGTAAGGCCTACTGACAATCCATCCAATCAAAGCCTAAATAAAACCAAGACTTGAAAAGATCTGCAAGGTACACAGTTTGGAAATTTAGTCCCACTAAGTTAGGGAGATTTCCTCTAAGCTTTCCACAGACCCACACTAACGAAGTATGAAGCAAAGCCAAGGTCAAGATCCATCAGTAATTAACCTGCTTGCCAAACCAAAAACAAGCTAAGAGAATCCAAAATCTCTACAATGCATAACATTTAATATACAGTATATAAATCAGAAATTACTAGACATACAAAGAAAGAAGGAAATGTAGCCCATAGTCAAGAAAGAAAAGCAGTTAACAGTACCAATTCTGCCATGACCCAGATGCTGAATTTAGCAGACAAATGCTTTTAACCAGATACTGTAAATACGTTCAAGGACTTACAGGAAAATAAAGTCTTAATAAATAAATAGATGAGGAGTCTCAGCCAAAAAACTATAGAAACTATTAAAAAACAAATGAAAATTCTAGAACTGACAAGTACAGTAATTAAAATGAAATACTCACTGGATGGACAACAGCAGACTGTAGGTAACAGAAGAAAGTTTGTAAACTTGCAAAGAGATCAAAAGAGATTTTCTAATCTGAAGTACAGAGAGAAAAAAGAATAAAGAAAAACTAAGAGAGTCTCACGAACCTATGGAACACTATCCAACCTGCATTTAGAATCCCAGAAGGAGAACAAAGTGAGGCTGGAGCTGAAAAAATATTTGAAGAAGCAATAGTCATAATGTTACCAAAATTTGATGACAGAGATTTACAGGTCCAAAAAGCTCAGCAAACCTCCAGTACGGTAATACAAAGAAAACCACATCAGCCAGACTGCTAAAAACCAAAAACCAAAGATAACAGGACACAGAGCAGAATATTCAAGTAATTATTGTATAGTTATGTAATAATTATACAATTATACAGAGCAGAATAATTCAAATAACTGCTGCTTATCACATCATCACTGAAGCACTGGAGGCCAGAAGACAAGGGATTGATAGCTTTAGAGTGTTTTTAAAAGAAGTGTCAACCTAGACTTTTATATTCAGTGAAACGATCATTCAAAAATGAAAGCAAAATAAAGACAGCAAAAGCAAAAGTATGGCCGGGTGCGGTGGCTCACGCCTGTAATCCCAGCACTTTGGGCGGCCAAGGTGGGCAGATCACGAGAGGTCAGGAGATCGAGACCATCCTGGCCAACATGGTGAAACCCCGTCTCTATGAAAATACAAAAAATTAGCCGGCGTGGTGGCACGCACCTGTAATCCCAGCTACTTGGGAGGCTGAGGCAGAGGAATCACTTGAACCCGGGAGGTTGCAGTAAGCGAAGATCGTGCCACTGCACTCCAACCTGGCGACAGAGCAAGACTCTGTCTCAAAAAAAAGCAAAGAGTATCTGTCATTAGCAGATGTGCATTACATGAGAGCTATATAATGTTCTTCAGGCTGAAATGAAACATTATCAAATGGAAAGTCTCTTTATTCCTTCCTATTGATCTGAATCCAAAATAGTAAACAGATACAAATATAAAAGACTGGTTCTTTCTTCCAACTAATCTCCCTAAAAGATAATTGATCAATGTGGGGTTTATAAAGTATGTAGAAGTACAAAATTTTAAAAGACATGTTATGAGGCAAAGTAAATGAAATTACACCCTAAGGTTATGATTTTAAAGTGGAAAGTGGTAAAACATTGATTCTAAATAGGCAGATATATTAAAGATGAATATCATTAGCCCTAGAGTAACGGCTTTAAAACAAACAAAAAGAAAAAAGGTATAGCTTAAAAAGCCAATAAGGGGCCAGGTGTGGTGGCTCACGTCTGTAATCCCAGCACTTTGGAAGGCCAAGGCAGGAGAATCACCTGAGGTTGAGAGTTCGAGACCAGCCTGACCAACATGGAGAAACCCTGTCTCTACTAAAAATACAAAAATTAGCCAGGTGTGGTGGCACATCCCTGTAATCCCAGTTACTCGGGAAGCTGAGGCAGGAGAATCCCTTTAACCCAGGAGGCGGAGGTTGCAGTGAGCCGAGATTGTGCCATTGCACTCCAACCTGGGTAAGAAGAGCGAAACTCTTTCTCAAAAACAAAAACCAAAAAAAGCCAATAAGAAACCAAAATAAAATAGTAAAAAATATTCAATGAACCCAAAGTAAAAAATAAGAACAAAAGACAAAAGAGATGAATGAAAAACACGCAAGATGGCAACCTTAAACCCAACTAAATTCAATAATTACATCAAATATAAATACACTAAACACTCCAATAAAAACGCAGAGACTGCCAGACTGGGTAATAAAAGCAAAACTATATACTGTATTTCTTTGTTGTTTTTGAGATGGAGTTTCGCTCTTGTTGCCCAGGCTGGAGTGCAATGGCACGATCTCAGCTCACTACAACCTCCGCCTCCTGGGTTCAAGCAATTCTCCTGTCTCAGCCTCCCGAGTAGCTGAGATTACAGTCGCCCTCCACCATGCCCAGCTAACTTCTGTATTTTTAGTAGAGACAGGGTTTCATCACATTGGTCAGGCTGGTCTTGAACTTCTGACCTCCCTCATCGGCCTCCCAAAGTGCTGGGATTACAGGCGTGAGCCACTGCGCCTGGCCATACTGTATATTAGAGATGTCCTTTTAATAAAAAGACAGAGCTTGGTTCAAGTAAAGTTTCAAAGTAAAAGGGGAAAAGGTATACTATACAGACATTAATCATAAGAAAGCTAAAGTAGCTACATAAACATCAAAGCTGGCTTCAAGACTAAAAGCATACCACATATAAAATGTGTACTCATCAGAAAGACATAACAATGCCAAGTAAGAAACTCAAAATACACGAAGCAAAAATTCAGAGAACTAAAAAGAAAAACAGATAAATGCATAGTCACATTTGTTTGGTTCTTTTTTTTTTTTTTTTCTTTGAGTCTCGCTCTGTCACCCAGGCTGGAGTGCAGTGGTGCCATCTCGGCTCACTGCAACCCCCGTCTTGCAGGTACAAGCAATTCTCCTGCCTCAGCCTCCTGAGTAGTTGGGATTACAGGCACGCACCACCACGCCTAATTTTTGTATTTTTAGTAGAGACAGGTTTCACCATTTTGGCCAGGCTGGTCTTGAACTCCTGACCTCAATGATCCACCCACCACCTCGCCCTCCCAAAGTGCTGGGATTACAGGCATGAGCCACCATGCCTGGCCACATTTGGAGAGTTTAACAACTCTAAGTAATCAATATAATAAGAAAACAAAAAATTACTATTAAGAATATAGAATAGACAACCCTACCCACAAGAAAAATTAGCCACATATGTAATTTTAAGTTTTCTAAGTCACATTTAAAAAAAATCATTTAAATAATATTTTTATTTACTAACCCAAAATATTAGCATTTCAACCTACTCAGTATTTTTTACTTTTCTTTCTTTTTTCTTTTTTTTGAGACAGGGTTTCACTCTCATCGACCAGGCTGGAGTGCAATGGTGCGATCTCGGCTCAAGCAATTCTCCTCCCTCAGCCTCCCAAGTAGTTGGGACTACAAGCGTGAGCCAGCTAATTTTTTTTTAAATTTTTTGTAGAGATAGGGTTTCACCATGTTGCCCAGGCTGGTCTCGAACTCCTGGGCTCAAGTGATCCACCCACCTCACTCAGCCTCCCAAAGTGCTGGGATTACAGGCATGAGCCACCACGCCTGGCCCATTATTACTTTACATACAGTCTTCTAAATCTGCTGTGTATTTTACACCTACAGCACATTTCAACTTAGACACTAAATGCTTATCAGAAACACATAATCATTTAATTTCATAAAACTTACAACTGAAAAAGTAGACATGTATAAAAGTTGTTCCAACAAAGTTTTCCAGTATAACCAAATCAAATATTAATCATTTTCCACTCATATTTGTATCCATACTAACAAAACTGTTAATGTAAATAAAATTAAATAAAACTGAAAATTAAGTTCTTCAGTCACACCATTCAAACTGCTTTAATACTCATTTCTTTCACTAACAACCATTTCTATACATGTTTCCTCTTGTATGAACGGTCTATTCACAATCTAGATAGTTTTAAAGAAATGTTTAAATTACCACCCTAAAGTCCCTTTAATTCTACACTAAATCAGATGTTTAAACAGTATTTTACGACAGGTTTTTTAATTCAAAAAACTTTGTGTTTGCTGTAAACTGGAGTACCTTGTATACAGTACATAATTTAATGCTGGAAATCTAATTTAAAAGGTTTAGCCGGCTGGGTGCGGTGGCTCACATCTGTAATCCTAGCACTTTGGGAGGCCGAGGCAGGTGGATCATGAGGTCAGGAGATCGAGACCATCCTGGCCAACATGGTGAAACCCTGTCTCTACTAAAAATACAAAAATTAGCTGGGCATGGTGGTGGGTGCCTGTAATCCCAGCTACTTGAGAGGCTGAGGCAGGACAATTACTTGAACCCAGGAGGCAGAGGTTGCAGAGAGCCAAGATCACGCCACTGCACTCCAGCCTGGCAACAGAGGAAGACTCCGTCTCAAAAATAAATAAATAAAATAAAAAGTTTATAGTTACTATATATATGTTTGTTTAATATACTTATGATTTACTTCCTACAGAACCCTCAGTCAGAAATGTTTCCTATCACATTTGGGATTAAGGAAAAAAAAAAAAGAAGTAGCATGGTGAAACCTCATCTCTACTAAAAATACAAAAATTAGCTGGGCGTGGTGGCACACCTGTAGTCCCAGCTATTCAGGAGGCTGAGGCAGAAGAATCGCTTGAACCCGGGAGGCGGAGCTTGCAGTGAGCCAAGATCGCACCACTGCACTCCAGCCTGCGTGACAGAGCAAGACTCCGTCTCAAAAAAAAAAAAAAAAAAAAACCTCTAGAGATACTTTTTTATATTGGGGAGGAAAAGCATTTTCCAAGAACTACAAGGTTTTAGGCATTAATAGAACATACATATACACCCTAGAATATATATCAAGATACATGACAACATTCAAGTTCTAGTACATATGCTTAAAAATTAGCCTCAATACTTAAAATTAAAACTATTACATCACTCCCACAGGCTTTATAGATTATGCAGCCCAATTTACTCATTTTAAAAATAAGAAAAACATACAATTAAACCACTGTTTGGGGGGAAATCAAGGCCAGGTCTTATTTAGTGTTATTTCCTCCACAGCAGTGCTAGTCAAGCTTAACATGAATACACATCACCTGAGTATCTTGTTAAAATGCATATCCTGATTCAATAAAACTGGGATTGAGCTTGAAACTGCATTATTATCAATCCAAGATGATGCCAAAATTGCTGGTCCTCAGGATATATGGACTAACAAGGGTCACTCTATTTCACAAGTGTTTAGGATGTAAGTGTCATTCATTTAATTCTATTTCATGTAGTTTCTAACAATATTAAAATAAAATTTTCAAGGAAGAAAAAAAGTTTTCAAGCTAAACTGTAATGCTCTATTTTTCCTGGGAGACTGCTAATACTGTGATACAACTAACCACTCCAGGGTTGCTATCAAGGGTTTGATATACCAAAGTTCAAAAAAGTCGAGGTACATAAAACAATCTCTACTTAAAAAAGGAAAAAGCTATAGAAATTATTTTAAAATGGCTGGGCGCGGTGGCTCACACCTGTAATCCCAGCACTTTGGGAGGCCAAGGCGGGCGGATCACGAGGTCAGGAGATCGAGACCACAGGGAAACCCCGTCTCTATTAAAAATACAAAAAAAGTAAGCCGGACACGGTGGCAGGCGCCTGTAGTCCCAGATACTCAGGAGGCTGAGGCCGGAGAATGGCGTGGACCCAAGAGGCGGAGCTTGCAGTGAGCCGAGACCGTGCCACTGCACCCCAGCCTGGGCGACAGAGCGAGACTCCGTCTGAAAAAAAAAAAAAATTATTTTAAAACGTTAACATGATATACGGCTAGGATTGAAAACTATCAGCTAGTTTAGCTCTATTAAACTATTAGTCTAGCTCATCCAATCACCTGGGTGAGCTTTTATAACAGTGCTGGGTCTCCCCCACAAGACTATTGCAGCCTGGGATACAAGTATTACAAGTACTGACAAAGACACAAACTTGGACTTCGATAAATTTTTTTTGAAGGAAAAAAACAGCTACTAGTCAAACAGATACTACAAGAAAATATTTTAACTTATAATCTGGTCCTGTAAAACATTAAGAACTTATAAACTCATATTTCTCTCATATAAAATTAGAACTACAATGCAAATTACAAAAACAAAAATTTTAAAGACTCCAGGAAACGACTTATTAACAATTTCAGTTATCAAATATTTTCTCCCTTAGACTTGTCCCTTTCTAGCCAACAACAAAAGACCATCCTAAAATAGACTTTTAAAAATGCTTTAAAGAGGGCAGCTGCAGTGGCTCACGCCTGTAATCCTAGCACTTTGGGAGGCCGAGGTGGGTGGATCACCTGAGGTCAGGCGTTCCAGACCAGCCTGGCCAACATGGTGAAACCCTGTCTCCACTAAAAATACAAAAATTAGCCAGGCGTGGTGCCACACGCCTGTAATCCCAGCTATTTGGGAGGCTGAGGCAGAAGAATCACTTGAACCCCAGAGCCCGGGAGAGGGAGGTTGCAGTGAGACAAGATCCCGCCATTGCACTCCAGCCTCAGTGACAGAACCAGACTCCATCTCAAAAAAAAAAAAAAAAATGCTTTAAAGAGTATATAATACCATTCATCTCCTTCCTTCATTACTATTAAATCAGGAAACAAAGAGTTGTTTTTCCTATAGGATTCACATACTATTTTCCACTTGAAATGTACCCCGTTTCCATAGTAACTACCACTGATGTCACAGAATTTTTGCTGTTCCCACTTAAAGAACACTAAGGCAAAAAATACTTTTATGCATTTATTAAAATAGACGAAGAAAAATGTAAAATGGTTTATAAATGTATAAACTCAAAAGTATTTTTCCCCAAAGTTTGTCATCAAATATTACCCAGTTCTTAAAAGCATACACCTGAATATGTAAGTGTACTTAAAAAAAATACTAAAGTTGGCCGGGCGCGGTGGCTCACGCCTGTAATCCTAGCCCTTTGGGAGGCCGAGGCAGGTGGATCACTTGGGGTCAGGAGTTCAAAACCAGCCTGGCCAATATGGTGAAACCCCGTCTCTACTAAAAATACCAAAAAAATAGCTGGGCGTGGTGGCAGATGCCTGTAATCCCAGCTACTTGGGAGGCTGAGACACGAGAATCACTTGAACCTGGGAGGTAGAGGTTGCAGTGAGATGAGATCGTCGTCCACTGTACTCTAGCCTGGGCAGAGCAAGGCTCCATTTCAAAAAAAAAAAAAAAAAAAAAGAATACTAAAGTAAATTTAAATTTGGTATTTTAAATGACGTTAAAATTTAGGAAGTCAACTTTGTTAGCTAGTCAGGAGATTCTAGAATAAGCGATGGCTCAGGGGATTCTTTTTTTTTTTTTTAAGATTTTGGGTGTTTTGCTTATTTGTTTTGAGATGGGGTCTTGCTCTGATGCCCAGGCTGCAGTACAGTGGCACAATCACAGCTCACTGTGGCCTTGACCCCCAAGGCTCAAGACATCCTCCCATCTCAGCTTTCTGAGTAGCTGGGACCACAGGCATGCACTACCACAGTCAACTAATTTAGTTTTTGTAGAGACCAGGTCTCACTATGTTGCCCAGGCTGGTCTCAAACTCCTGGACTAAAGGGATCCTCCTGCCTCAGCCTCCCCAAAGTGCTGGGATTCCAGGAGTGGGCCACCACACCCAGCCTCGGGGAACTCTATAATCAACAAGACAGAAATTCAGACATTTTATTCAGGTTCTGCAAGTCTCTTCATTTTCTTCTACAGAGAAGTCTTGAAGAAAATCTCACCTCAAGTCAAGACCAAAAAAAAGGGTCTTAGACGGGCTCTTAGGTACTTTTTTGGGGGGAAATGAGGGAGAACATACTTTTGTTATGTGGACCAGATTTTTAAAGAATGAGAGTACACAATATTGAAACTTTCTTACTTTAATATTTTTTAGGTAAGTTGTTTATATCCTAGAGAAATTCCTGCATACATATACAAGAAGAACGAAACATGGTTCCTTGTTCACCAAAGTATTGTTGGTAACTACAAAAAAAAAAATTGGAACAACCTAAATACCCATGGATAAATAAAAAATAAGTCAGAGAATTGAAATTAATGCATAAGATCTAAATATTTACATATGGATAAGCTTCCACACCAACGTGGAATGAAAAAAATTAAATCAAGCAGCCAGGCGCGGTGGCTCATGCCTGTAATCCCAGCACTTTGGGAGGCCGAGGCAGGTGGATCACGAGGTCAGGAGATCGAGACCATCCTGGCTAACGTGGTGAAACCCCATCTCTACTAAAAAATACAAAAAATTAGCCAGGCGTGGTGGCACACACCTGTAGTCCCAGCTACTAGGGAGGCTGAGGCAGAAGAATGGCATGAACCCGGGAGGTGGAGCCTGCAGCGAGCCGAGATCGCGCCACTGCACGCCAGCCTGGGTGACAGAGCAAGACTCCGTCTCAAAAAAAAAAAAAAAAAAAAAATTTAAATTAAATCAAGCTACAAAATACAGTCTGAACCACTCACCATGTTTTAAACACAACACAATACTGTATATTATTTATGAAATATACAAATGTTATAAGCTATTTAAAAACCAGAAAGCATACACCACTTTCAGGACAGGTGCATATCTACGAAGAAAGGGTAAAAGAGAAAGGTTATTGGGTGAACCATTCAACTGCACAGTAACATTTTCTCTTTTAAAAAGGATTCAAAATCAATATGGCAAATATTATGTATTAGATTAATGCAATGGCTACTTGGGTATCTATTTTATCTTTCTCTGTCATTTTTGTAAGTTTGAAATACATTACAATTGTTTTTAATGAAACATTTTAATTTGCCTCAAAATTTACTTCCACAGACAGGCAAGAAAACTTACCTTTACTGAAATGACTCAATGAAATAATCCTCTCAACAACCCAGTAACTTAGCTATTAGTCCCATTTCACAGAGAGGAAATGTGGATCTTCGAAGATGTTTTTTTAAAAATTATTTAAGATTCTACAGTTAAAAGGTAATGCATGCATCAAGATTTCTATCTTTTAAACCCATGCTGTTTCCACTATACCAAACTGCTATTCGATGTTATAGGATAATTCTTAAACAGATCAATCACTGTTCCCCAGTGATACAGCCATAGAAAGGAGACTCAAATCAGTCCACATAATGATGCTTATCATTTAAAATAAATCCCTAGTATTAGCTAATCGACTCTTATGAGTAAAAAACTACAAGCGCAGAATAAGAATAGGTTTAAAGGGCTTGTTTTTGCTTGGGAAAGGTGGATTCGCTAACATCTGGTATTTGAGATTTCTAGCTCCCTAAAGTTCCAGATTAAACTAGATGTTTAGGAAAAAACTAGAGCAACCAAAATAATCACAATTACAAATACACATAACCCTTCCTTACCAGACATATCACGGGGCAAAAAACTGCTTACTAAAGAATGGTCAACACATTTGTAATTCAATTATTTATCATGGGCCTATGACTGAGTTAATACTGTCAATATTTAATTAGCCACAGCCACACCGTACAACAGTGAGTCTCACACCCACTAGAGTTTAAGAACCATCTGGGTAACTGGCTCAGAATACAGATTCTTAGACCCCACCTCCAGAGTCTGATTCAGCTGATCCATGGAGTCCAGAAATCTACATTTTTAACAAGCACCCCACTAACCAGCACCATGCTAATTCTGACACAAGGGGTGAAAGGTCTAGAACTGGAGGTGCATAAATCTTTATTCTTTCAATAGTCACTGAACACCTACAACACAGTTCTGAGAACTACAGATTCAGTAGTAAAACAAAATTAAGAACAACAACAAAAATCCTGCCCTTAGGAGTTTACATCCTAAAGACAGAGCAATAGAAAACATATGTGTGATGTCAGCTAGTGTTAAGTGCTACAGAGAAAAGTAAAGCGAGCCAAGGGAAATGGAGGCAGGAGTTGTCATTGAAGACAGTAGTCACAGATAACTTCTCCTA
Source organism: Homo sapiens (assembly GCF_000001405.40). NCBI lineage: Eukaryota > Metazoa > Chordata > Mammalia > Primates > Hominidae > Homo > Homo sapiens. The sequence goes on from NC_000002.12 coordinate 38,362,888, forward strand.
CAAGATGACATTTGAGCAAAGAACTGAAAGACATGGACATCTGGAGGAAAAGAGGAAAACATTATTAGTAACTTTCTCATCCCTCAAAATAATTCACTGTATGAAATAATTTTAGGTGTTGTAGCTTTTACTACAGAAGAGTGAAAAACACAGAGTGCCGACTATGTGCCTATTATCTCTTTAAACCTCAAAATCACTTTGTGGAGTAGCTATGAGTTTCCTTGTTTCCATAAAGGAGTACACTGAAGCTCAGATAAAGCAATCTGCGAGGATACACATTTTGTAAGTAATCAACTGAGGATGCACAACCAGGTCTTTCTAATTGTCAAAATGCATCATCCTCCAACTAAGCCAAACTGTTAGCATCTTTATTATCAAATGAGCATGTCTGCTGAATAAACTCAGATCTGAATTCTTATATGCTCAGTACTTCTAGAAACCTGAAAAAAGCTACCAAAAATACAAGTTGTTTATTAAAAAGGTGGGGGGGGGGGTTATTTATCATCTTTATAACAAATCTTGGCATACAGCTATTTTTCCAAAAATTCCCTAGTTAATATGTATTTATACAGTCAGCAAATCATTTACACAGTCTCCCAATATTTGGGGAACAATTTTTTCTTCATAAACTTTCTAGAAGGGCAAGTATTAAATTGCATACCTTTAAAATATAAGATGCAATAAAAGTATATTTGCCCATCTTTGGCAAGATAAGCACATATATTTAAATATAAGTAAATGTGTAACTCACTGTTTCCTATTCACCAACTCCAACAATTCTCAGGACACCTACTATCCAATCTGTCATGAATTACGAGGAAGACCTCCCATCCTACCTACTTCACACTGGTAACTAGAGAGCAAGGCACTATACTAGACAGAAGTATAATTCAATAATAACAGTCTTTACTCTTAACGGTTCTAACACAAAAAGTATAAAAGGATACTGTAAAATAAAGGAAATGCTATTTGAGTACAAAAGTAGCCCTTTTTGGATTATCTAAACTAGGGTTATCAATAAAGACATTCTGAAGACGGCTGCACCTCTTAAGCCCTGAGGATCAGATTAAGGCTAACTTTAAAAATGTAGTCTAGGCCGGGCACAGTGGCTCACGCCTGTAATCCCAGCACTTTGGGAGGCCAAGGCAGGCAGATCATGAGGTCAGGAGTTGGAGACCAGCCTGACCAACATGGTGAAACCCTGTCTCTACTAAAAATACAAAAATTACCCGGGCGTGGTGGCGGATGCCTGTAATACCAGCTACTCAGGAGGCTGAGGCAGAAGAATCACTTGAACCCGGGAGGCAGAGGTTGCAGTGAGCCGAGATTGTACCACTGCACTCCAGCCTGGGCAACAGAGTGAGACTCCATCTCAAAAAATAAAATAAAATAAAATAAAAATAAAAGTATAGTCTGAGAATGTTGGACATCAACCCTGAGGAATACCACTGACAATTTCAGAGCAGAGGAGAGAGAGTCAAAGCTGTGTTGCAGAGATAAACTCAAAGTGATGAGTAAGAAGTGTAATGCGCAAATCAGATATAAGGCAATTTCAAGAGCCCGAATATAAAGTGAGAAGCCCAAAGTCAAGAGGTGACAGTAAAAATGGAAGAGCTAGTTCTTAAACATCATTCTCTGTGGCCTTAGGCCAAATTATTCCATATTTGTTATATGAAACACTCACTTTTCTTACATGCCTTATAAAACGACAATGTACTACATTCCTATTTCCGGAAGTATTTTTAGTACAATGACTCTAAGAGCTCCAAGATTTTGTAGCACACGGATCAAGAATTAATCGAAAACACAGAAGGTTTCCTTGACTCAGGCATATAGTTTAAGAATTCTCTTTTAGGCTCAAAAAATAACTTTGTTGGCTAGGCACAGTGGCTTGCGCCTGTAATCCCAGCACTTTGGGAGGCTGAGGCGGGTGGATCACGAGGTCAGGAGATTGAGACCATCCTGGCTAACACGGTGAAACTCCGTCTCTACTAAAAATACAAAAAATTAGCCATGCGTGGTGGCACACGCCTGTAGTCCCAGCTACTAGGGAGGCTGAGGCAGGAGAATGGCGTGAACCCGGGAGGCGGAGCTTGCAGTGAGCTGAGATCACGCCACTGCACTCCAGCCTGGGGTACAGAGCGAGACTCCGTCTCAAAAAAAAAAAAAAATTACTTTAAGAGTTGTAAAGTATCAAGCCATAAAAGAACTCTGAAATTTGGGATAGCCAGTTAGCAAGGGAATCATACACACACACACACACACACACACACACACAAATACACACACACACACACACACAAATACACACACACACAAATTTAGAATATTTAAATTTAGAATAGACACTTAGATCGAATAGGGCTACTATGACAAATTTCAAAAAGCTTTAAGCCAATACTCTGGAAATTTAGACACTAAGTTCCATTCTGCCACATCTCTCTACCTCAGATGACTGTTACAGCAGCAGTTTAAAAAAAGAGAAGGCCGGGCACAGTGGCTCACACCTGTAATCCCAGCACTTTGGGAGGCCGAGGCAGGCAGAACACCTGAGGTCAGGAGTTCAAGGCCAGCCTTGGCAACATGGTGAAACCCTGTCTCTACTAAAAATACAAAAAATTGGCCAGGAGCAGTGACTCACACCTGTAATCTTAGCACTTTCGGAGGCCAAGGTGGGTGAATCACGAGGTCAGGAGTTCGAGACCAGCCTGCCCAACATAGTGAAACCCCATCTCTACTAAAAATACAAAAAAATTAGCCAGGCGTGAGGGCGGGTACCTGTAGTCCCTTGGGAGTAGCTACTTGGGAGGCTGAGGCAGGAGAATCACTTGAACCCTGGAAGCAGAGGTTGTAGTGAGCAGAGATCATTCCTGGGTGACAGAATGAGACTCCATCTCAAAAAGAAAAAAATTCGCCAGGTGTGGTGGTGTGTACCTAAAATCCCAGTTACTCGGGAGGCTGAGGCAGGAGAATGGTTTGAATCTGGGAAGCAGAGGTTGCAGTGAGCCAAGATCGCGCCATTGCACTCCAGCCTGGGCGACAAGAGCTAAACTCTGTCTCAAAAAAAAAGAGGTAAGTATTCACTCAAATTCCAGACTTGGCTCAATACAGACAAAATTCCTACTACAAGAGCAGCCGTGAAAAGAAGGGAATGGTGCCAAAAGGAGACAAATAAACACCCCTCCAACTAGATAAAATGTGACTAATTTGAAAAAAAAAAAAAAAACAAAGATAAAGTCAGAGCTTCGCACTATACTCTCCTTTTGTCCCCTCTTAGTTTGGCAATTTGAGGGTACATGACAGGATTCCTTGTAGTAAATAAACACACACGCTCAAAAACAGGATGAAGGAAGGAGATGTTAGCACAGTTTTTAAGTTGCATTTTGAGCTCCTCAGATAATTTTTCCAGGAATTATCCAGTTACTTAAACCAATTATTTGCTCTATTTGGCTACAGGAAAATAGCCCCATTCCTTTTTTTATTAAACATACTCTAATACCATTTGGTCTTTCAGTTGCCTCTATCTAATTGCTTTTAAGTATTTTTTAAGCATCTCTTTTAGATTGAAAATTCTCAGAAATCAGGGTCAAATGTTTAAATTATGTCATAAAAAGTTACCAAAATACTGCCTATCTTTTTTATCTTCAAACCAGTGGCATAGCCTACACTTTGCTCTCTAAGATCTACCCATTCTTCAAAGCACGACAAAGCCTCCCTCTTCCATGAAGTATTCCTCAACAACTCTAGCACACGGCAATTTCTACTTCAGAACATATAAGCTTAACGATAAACTTAACTCACAAATATGCATAAAGTCTCTATGATCTACGTGAAAGCTTAGAACAAGCATCTGTCTACATTATTTTTTGTAGGTATTCACTATAAGCAGCTCAAAAGCCCTTTTATAAGGTAGGTACACAGTATGTCAACTAAAACTATCAAGGGAAAAAAGCTAATTATTTGTCTAAGTATGGTCCTCTATTTGCCTGTCCCATTCCGGCCTCTAGTCCCAAAAGAAAACTAACCCCAGCCCCTTCATGTCCTACCCTCAAGAGAAGAGATGATAACTTTGTGCACTTAGTACATGCCAAACACTTTAAGACATTATCTTTATTACTATTATTATTTTTTTTAGCAACAGAGTCTCACTATGTCGCCCAGGCTCAGCTCCATCCTGCAGCCTCAGCCTCCCAAAGTGCTGGGATTAAAGGCACGAGCCACCGCACACAGCCAAGACATTATCTTTTAATCTTAGAACTTTTCAGGTAGGTTTTTTTTTAGGTTTTAAGAAACTAAAACTTATTTGTAGAGATCTGAACCTAGCTTCTAAGCTTGCTTTTCTTCTACCACGCTACTAGGCACTGAAACAGATGCCCACTCTCCGACAATAAAAAGAGATACGAATAAACAATCAATATATGATTAACAATTTAAGGCCGGGCGCGGTGGCTCATGCCTATAATCTCAGCACTTTGGGAGGCCAAGGCGGGCAGATCACGAGGTCAGGAGATCGAGAACATCCTGGCTAACACGGTGAAACCCCGTCTCTATTAAAAATACAAAAAAAAATTAGCCGGGCATGGTGGCGGGCGCCTGTAGTCCCAGTTACTACAGAGGCTGAGGCAGGAGAATACCATGAACCCGGAAGGCGGAGCTTGCAGTGAGCCACTGCACTCCAGCCCGGGGAACAGAGCAAGAATCCATCTCAAAAAAAAAAAAAAAAAAAAAACCGCCCATTTAAAACAACTTTTTTTTTTTTTTTGAGACGGAGTTTCACTCTTTTCACCCAGGCTGGAGTGCAATGGCGCGATCTCGGCTCACTGCCACCTCCGCCTCCAGGGTTCAAGTGATTCTCCAGCCTCAGCCTCTGGAGTAGCTGGGATTACAGGCGCTTGCCACCATGCCCAGCTAATTTTTGTATTTTTAGTAGAGATGGGGTTTCACCATGTTGTCCGGGCTGGTCTCGAACTTCTGACCTCAGGTGATCCTCCCACCTTGGCCTCCTAAAGTGCTGGGATTACAAACGTAAACCACCACGCCCGGCCTAAAACAACTTTTTTTTTTTTTTGAGGAGTCTCGCTCTCTCTCCCAGTCTGGAGTGCAGTGGCGCAATCTCGGCTCACTGCAAGCTCCACCTTCCGGGTTCACACCATTCTCCTGCCTCAGGCTCCCCAACAGCTGGGACTACAGGCGCCTGCCACCACGCCCGGCTAATTTTTTGTATTTTTAGTAGAGATGGGGTTTCACTGTGTTAGCCAGGATGGCCTCTATCTCCTGACCTCATGATCCACCCACCTCAGCCTCCCAAAGTGCTGGCATTACAGGCGTAAGCCACCGCACCTGGACTCTAAAATAAGGACTTTTTTTTTTTTTTTTTAATTTGAGACGGAGTTTCACTCTTGTTGCCCAGGCTGGAGCGCAATGGTGCAATCTCAGTTCACCTCAACCTCCACCTCCCAGGTTCAAGCGATTCTCCTGCCTCAGCCTCCCTAGTAGCTGGGATTACAGGCATGTGCCACCACGCCCGGCTAATTTTGTATTTTTAGTAGAGGCGGGGTTTCTCCATGTTGGTCAGGCTGGTCTCGAACTCCCCACCTCAGGTGATCCGCCCGCCTTGGCCTCCCAAAGTGCTGGGATTACAGGCATGAGCCACTGCACCCAGCCATAACAACTTTTTAAAAGCACTCCAATAGCATGCCTAAAGACTAAGACTACCACTAATAAGTTCAAAAAAATTGCCAATTTATTTAAGAAAAACATGAAAGAAACCAACACACACAATTCTCACCAAAAAAATACAAAATTAAAAAGCAAATATGAAAAATAATTTCCTGCATGCAAACAGGCTTTTACAAAACAATAAAAGAAATACTGGGAAATGCTCAAAAAATATTAAAAAGCAATTAATAAAAAGAAGTCAGAGCTGGGCACAGTAACTAACGCCTGTAATCCCAGCACTGAGAGGTGGAGGTTGGAGGATCGCTTAACCCCAGGAGTTCGAGACTAGCCTGGGCAACATAGTGATACCTCATCTCTAAAAAAGTAAATAAACTAATTCACATTTTCAATTTCCATATCACTATTCCAACATCAACTACAATCAAAAAATTGCAAATTAAACTGTAATATGCCCATTTTTACCTATATGTTGGCATTTATTTTTAATTAACACCCACTGTGAACAAAGATACTTGCAAACAAGCACAAACCTAACCCTGATGAATAAATGGGTAAAACCTTTCTGAATGGATCTAGCTTTTTCTTGAAAATGTACATGTCAGGCCAGGTGCAGTGCCTCACACCTGTAATCCCAGCACTTTGGGAGGCCAAGGTGGGTGGATCACCTGAGGTCAGGAGTTCAAGACCAGCCTGACCAACATAGTGAAACCCCCATCTCTACTAAAAATACAAAATTAGCTGGGCGTGGTGGCACATGCCTGTAATCCCAGCTACTTGGGAGGCAGAGGCACGAGAATCAGTTGAACTCAGAAGGTAGAGTGAGCCGAGACTGCTCTACTGCACTCCAGCCTGGGCGACAGAGTAAGACTCTGTCTCAAAGAAAAAATAAATAAATTTTTTTAGTAGAGACGGGGTTTCACTATGTTGGTCAGGCTGGTCTCGAACTCCTGACTTTGTCATCCACCCGCCTTAGCCTCCCAAAGTGCTGGGATTACAGTCGTGAGCCACCATGCTCGGCCAATTTTTTTTTTTTAATTAGCCAGGCATGGTGGCACACACCTGTAAGTCCCAGCTACTCAGGAGACTAAGGCAGGAGGTTCACTTGAGCCCAGAAGGTGGAGGCTGCATATTTGAGACCCTATCTCAAAAATAAGTACATAAATAAAAAATAAAAATTAAAGTGCTGATAAAAAGAAAACAGCAATTTATGAAGATGCTATTAATAGCCATCTTGAAAAAATTCTAAGAACAGGGGTGTTTTCCCGTCAAAACTCCTCTCGGATTTGTCATTAAAAAAAATCAAAGCCGGGCGCGGTGGCTCACGCCAGTAATCCCAGCACTTTGGGAAGCCGAGGCAGGTGGATCACGAGGTCAGGAGATTGAGACCATCCTGGCTAACACGGTGAAACCCCGTCTCTACTAAAAAAAATACAAAAAATTAGCCGGGCGAGGTGGCGGGCGCCTGTAGTCCCAGGTACTCGGGAGGCTCAGGCAGAAGAATGGCGTGAACCCCGGGGGGCGGAGCCTGCAGTGAGCCGAGATCCCGCCACTGCACTCCAACCTGGGCGACAGCGAGACTCCGTCAAAAAAAAAAAAAAAAAAAAAGAAAGAAAATCAAGACCGGGCGGTCGCTCACACCTGTAATCCCAGCACTTTGGGGGCCGAGGTGGGTGGATCACCTGAGGTCAGGAGTTTGAAACCAGCCTGGTCTGTCTCTACTAAAAATACAAAAATTAGCCGGGCACGGTGGCGGGCACCTGTAATCTCAGCTGCTCGGGAGGCTAAGGCAAGAGAATCACTTGAACCTGGGAGGCGGAGGTTACAGTGAGCCAAGATCGCGCCACTGCGCTCCAGCCTGGGAGACAGAGTGAGACTCTGTCCCAAAAAAAAAAAAAAAAAAAAAAAAAAAAAAAAAATCAACCCAGCCAGCACAGTGGCTCATGCCTGTAATCCCAGCACTTTGGGAGCCCAAGGCGGGCGGATCACTTGTGGTCAGAAGTTTGAGACCAGCCTGACCAACGTGGTAAGACCCGTCTCTACTAAAAAATACAAAAATTAGGCGTGGTAGCGGGTGCCTGTAGTCCCAGCTACTTGGGAGGCTGGGGCAGAAGAATCTCTTGAACCCAGAGGTGGAGGTTGCAGTGAGCCAAGACTGTGCCACTGCACTCCAGCCTGAGTGACAGAGCAAGACTCGATCTCAAAACGAAACAAAACAAAACAAAACAAAAAAATCAACCCCTGGCCCAGCAGGGTAGTGCAAGCCTGTAGACCTAGCTACATAGTAAGCTGAAATGGCGGGGGTGGGGGGTGCACCCCAGAAGTTCAAGGTTGCAGCGAGCTATGATTGAGCCACTGCACTCCAGCCTGTGCAACAAGGCTAGCCCCTATCTCGGGGGGGAAAAAAATAAGGAAAAAAATACAAAAAGATAAAAAAGATTAGGAAATGGCAAAAATCAACTCCCCCATTCTGATAAAGGTGAAATTAAACCAACTTTTGGCATCCCACAAATTCATTCACTGAAATTTTTAAAAAGCTCTCCATTTACCATGCCAACTTTCCTCCTTTGAGGAGTTTCTTTATAGAAGGCTTTCAAATTTCTAAATGGCATTTATAGGGTTTATCTCTTTAATTAAAAAAAAAAAAAAGAAAGAAAGAAATGGCTGGGTGTGGTGGCTGATGCCTGTAATCCCAACACTTGGGAGGCAGAGATGGAAGGATCACTTGAGTCCAGAAGTTTGAGACTAACCTGGACAACACAGGGAGACCACATCTCCACAAAAAATTTTAAAAACTAGCCAGGTGTGGTAGCACACTCCTGTAGTCTTAGTTACTGAAGAGGCTGATTCAGGAAGATTACTTGAGCCAGGGAGGTCAAAACCGCGGTGATCACGCCACTGCACTCCAGCCTTGGCAACAGGGCAAGACCTCGTTTCAAAAAACATAGAAACAAAACAAAATTTTTAAAAAAATTACTGTAAGTTTGCTAGGGTAGATATTAACCACTGGGAAGGAAAAAAAAAAATGTTACAGAAAAACATTACAGACCCAGGCAGGGTGCGGTGGCTCATGTCTGTAATCTCAGCACTTTGGGAGGCCAAGGTGGGTGGATCACCTGAGGTCAGGAGTTCGAGACCAGCCTGGCCAACATGGTGAAACCCTGTCTCTATTAAAAATACAAAAATTAGCTGGACGTGGTGGCACGCGTCTGTAGTCCCAGATACTCAGGGGCTGAGGCACAAGAATCGCTTGAACCCACGAGGTGGAGATTGCAGTGAGCCAAGATCACGCCACTGTACTCCAGCCTGGGTGACAGAGGGAGGCTCTGTCTCAAAATAAATAAATACATAAAAATAAAACATCATAGACCTAGTATTAAAATCCAAGCCTCCATTCTAAATCCATTTCAAAAATCATAGGAAGTTTGCAGAACTCAAGTTAAAATGTTAAAGATGGATGTAGTTCTAATCACTGTCCATGACTCTATTCTAAAGGATTAAATGAAGGGAAAAATAAGGTTTTTATGAGATTCACTGTTAGTATGGTTTCATGTTAATTGTTTTTTTTTTTTTTTTTGGCAATCCTGTGCATAACAGACCCAAGTTAGATTTTGCAGATTTACTGTTTGAAAAGCCAATGCACTATACAGTCAAGTCAGCCCTCCATATCTATGGGTTCTACATCCATGAATTCAACCAACCAGGAATAGAAAAATTATTTAACTGCATCTGTACTGAACATGTACAATTTTTTCTTGTCATTATTCCCCAAGCATACAGTATAACAATGATTTACATTGTATTAGGTATTATAGTGTAGAGATTCAAGTGTACGGGAGGATGCACATAGGTTATATGCAAATACTATACCATGTTCCAGGGACTGGAACATCCTTGAATTCTGTCATCAGAGGGAGGTTCTGGAACTAATTTCCCATGGATACCAAGGGACAACTGTACTTGGAAACTGCCATAACCTTAAACTATGAAATTAACTCATATGAAATCCTGCAATTGAAATAAACAATTCCAGAAGAACTACTTTGCCACAGGATTGTCTAAAATGCACATTTATTAAAATGAAGATAGCTAAGAAGCATGAATGATCACATCTTATGTTAATAACTGAACAAACACCTTCCAAGTTGCCTATTTTGAAAATTACTTTTTAGTTCAAAGTCTCATCTTAAATAACCACCCATTATGGTAATAACCACCTCCGACAGAATATTTGGCAGTGGGTTAAGCACTTTTAACACATTTGATACTTACAATAACCCTATCATGAACATATTATCAGCATTTTACAGCTAAAATTTAAAACTTGCCTACCACCCTTGCCCAAACTAAATCTCTGTCCACAGGAAAAAATTATAACTTTTTATTGCAAATATACACATTATATATAATAGCATAATAACACAAGTAGTCACACTGGTACATTCTTACATATATGTTACTGTGCCTTAAGACAGTTTTACAAACTTTAAAGTACTACAAAACACTTGCACCCTATCATCTGTTTCCCACGACAGCCTTGTTACGGATTATCACTACCTTATATGAGGGCTCCAGGCTCTGAGAGCTTAAGTGAAATCACTCATTTGATTCCTCATTCTTTTCCCACTACATTATCCTCCCTATGATTAAAGAAGCATTGCCGCCACAATCAGAGCATCTTTGCAATAAAAGATAAAATGTTACTAGAGAACCTAGATAAGTATTCTTCACCAGTTACATACTTCTCCAACAAGTTATTAGAGTTACTGGCCAGCAGGATATCCAGCTAGCCTCTAAGTGGTTGTTTGGGGACCAATCATAAAGTTGTATGAACAGGAGTTGTATGAATACTTTTTATTAAGCTAGTAGCTTAGCAAGGGAATCCCCTACATTCTACTTGTACTGGTCCGAAGACCAAATCCAAGGTCAATCAAAAGTACATATTATCTCCTTGGGAAAACAGAGGATGTTAGTCTTTTATGACTTAAAAGTTGTTTCTAGTAACTATCATCCGACCATACACCACACAGCCATTTGTCTCAGAGTAGGTAGTGAAGGTGGCTACTTAAATACACACATTTTTAAAAAACTGTATCCAAGTTTAGCAATATGTGTATATACCCAAGCACACAGAGACACGTTCCATAACTTGGAAAATCATCTGTAAAAGTTATTTTGGCTTTGCACTTCTGAATACTTCATGCTTCTCCATGACCATAACAAACAGAATTGTTCTACTTCCTTTACTAATTGTTCTACTTCTTTCTATAATATCTACCAAGTATTATCCTATTGCCATCATATTTTCAGGTTGGTACTTTCTTCCTGCTATCCTTTTTATGGGGGAGACAGAGTTTCGCTCTTGTTGCCCAGGCTGGAGTGCAATGGCATGATCTCGGCTCACGGCAACCTCCACCTCCCAGGTTCAAGCGATTCTCCTGCCTCAGCCTCCTAAATAGCTGGGATTACAGCCATGCGCCACCACACCCAGCTAATTTTGCATTTTTAGTAGAGAGGGGGTTTCTCCATGTTGGTCAGGCTGGTCTCGAACTCCTGACCTCAGGTGATCCACCTGCCTCGGCCTCCGAAAAGTGCTGGGATTACAGGCGTGAGCCACCGCACTCAGCCTGCTATCCATTTTTAAAGCCATAGAGAAAGCCCTCGAGTGTTGTGTATCATGTGCTGTGTGGAGGACTAACGGATAGGAAGAAAACTACTAAAGTAATGAATTCACTGTGGAATCAAGTTCAGTTATTCTATGTTCACATCTACATTCCTTAAAGTAAATAACTCTCAAATTTTCTAGAAAGTAAATAATACACCTGGACTTTGAAAACCCAAAATGTCTACAAAATCAGAATACCATTACACGTTAAAAACAAGAAAGAAAAGAAGAAAGCTGCTTCCCTGCACCTATCTGGAGAAAATCTTTGCGCTGTAAAGCTCTAAACCACCATTACCAAAAAGTTTAACTTCTACTCCTATGCCTTACATTTCTGGCTCTTAACTTTTTAAGGGCCTGACAAACAGCTTTGCTGACAATTGTGTGTGTCAAACAGGTCTTCCAAATGACCATCAACAATTTTTTAATACATCTTGCTATGAAGTCCCAAAATTTAAAAAATATATGTTGAACTCCATCCAGCATTATCAAACTAGTTAATCAGTCTCCCCGTACTCTTAGCAGCTAGCTGCCTAATACCAACTGTGGAAAAAGCCTAATTTTGGAAAAGGTCTAACAATTTCAAGAAAGTTACTTATACTTGTGAATATTCCAAAACTTTAAAGTTACAATACAGTCACAGAAAAACGAATCCTGAAATACACCTATGTGCACTCGACTTAAGGCCATAATCTTATTTTCACTCAGGGTTTCTTTTCCCTATAATATCTTTACTGTAAGGCAGCTACTTCTCCCTAAATAATTTCGAAGAATTTCAAAACACTTTACTAAATAGATTTAATCATATCTACAGAATCCTATCAACTTAAAAAGCCAATAAAATGAGTACTTATTTGCTTTCTAAAGATCCTACATTCCTAAAAGAATAAACACAAAGCCTCTCCCTAACACTAAACTACTCAAGTGACACTTGACCCCAACTTGGTTTTTGAAGCTATTTCTCCAGGAAGCAGAGGGAGACAAAGAGTTTCTACACAGTCAAAAATAGATGAGTCCTTTTCATTCAGTCTGTTTCTTCTCACTTTAAACACAAATCCTACCAAGCTCATTTAGTTTTTAACTCATTAATGAGTGACTCGGAGCAAATTAGCAGGTACAGGGACTGTTTTAGGCAATCATTTGCTAGGAATGGCTATCAAGTGAAGGTCTTGCTGATCCGTCCTAAAAAACAAAGGACAAAAACCTATGAGTAGCAGACAAAAGCATTTATTAAATAATAAATGGTGGGCCCTATTTCAACAACAATCTGAAGAGTATCATCTCTTCTCAAGATACCACAGCACAACAACGTTCACAACCATAACTGAAGTATAAATTTATGTTTCTTCTAATAAGGTAAATACATAGAATATTTTGAAACTGCATCTAAAACTCTTACCTCAAAAAAAGGAAAGAAAGAAAGAGAAAGAAAGAAAAGAACACACACTTCTTCCCCTAGGGTCCAACCAAAAGAGCGAAATTAATCCATCCGCATTCCAAAACAATTAATTACTTAAGAAATCCAACCAGCACACATCTAAGGCGAAGCTGCTTCTTTGGTAGTTTTTTATTCTACAGAGTGCTACCACTGTACAAACAGTCAAGCGTTTTGGTTGGCAGACAATAATAAAATAAGCTTTATTTCCTTTTCTTCTTCCCTTAGCAAAACTCCAGTCTGTCATCACCTCTGACATGCGCCAAGAACTACCAGGAATGATGAAGTATATTTCAAATAAACTTTCCTATTAAAGTGAGTCCTTGTGGTTAACATCATACCAAAATGCTTTACATTTTATCCAGCAAAACCTTTACACACCGTAAAAAAAGAAATCTTAAGACACGAGCTCGTATCTGTATTTAATAATAAACTCTTATCTTGGCCGTACTTACCAAATCGTAGGCTTTTACTATTTATAAGCCTTTGAAAAAACTTTATGCCTTTCTTAAGTACCATCAAAATTTTCAATCAGGATTTCATGCGATCAATTCGCACCACAGTGAGAGATCAAACGCTAAACTCCTATAAATAGGGGTGTTATGAGTGAGAGGGATACACTGCGCTGCCAACGCAACTGCGTCTTCGAGGGGGCAGGGGCGCTCCTGGTACACGTACAGTAGGAGCTCACATTCAGCAAAACCAGGGAGCCAAGGATCAGGTGACTTCACACTACAGACACTTTCAGAGTGATCAGGCCTTACTATCGTCCAAGTGACTCGTAAACGGCTCATAACCCCAGTTTGACACGAAAATCTAGACTTGCACCCTAGCCACGCACAACCCGCGCGAATGGGTTCGGGAGCCGAGGAGCCCCGAAACGCGAGCCCGGGGACAGAGCCCTGGCCTGCGGACTGCGGTTCCCTCCAGGAAGGGTGTCTAAGGAGCTTTCGGACCCGGCAGCAAGGTGTCTGCTCCCCGCGCGACCTCCTCCTCCGCGGGGCCCATCATGCCCTGGCCACCCCTTCCTCCCTGTCCGCGTAAGGGACAGCGAACGCCCACCAGCTAACGGGTCGCCCCGCCGCGTCCGGAGCTCGCCGGACGGAGCGGAGCCGCAGCCGACCTCCCCGCGCCCCGGGCAGGCGGCCACGGCTCAAGGCCGCCCCCTAAGGTCGGGGCGGACACGGCGGCAGCCACGCGGCGGGCTGGCGGGCAGGGGGCCGGGCCGGTCGCAGACGCGCGCGCCACTGGTTCTCCCAGCAGCTACTGGAGCCGCGGCCCACGAGCCGCCCTTTCAGGCCGCGCGCTGCGGGAGCGCGGGGCGCGGCTGAGGCTAGGCCCGGCGGGCAGGCGCGGCGGCGGGAGGAGACCTGAACCAGCCGCGGACTCCGACCCCGCCGCCTGCGGCCGGTGCCCGCGAGCCCGAGCAGCGAGCGTCTCTCCCCATCAGGGCCCCGCGGCCTCTGCCTCGCTGGCCCGTACCTAGGGAGGTCGTGGACGAGACGTGGTTAACCGCGGCGCTTGGGTCGCTGGTCCGTCGCCGGCGCCACAGCCCCTGGTGCGGTTGCTGCCCTCGCGCTGCCTCGTCCCCCTCCGCCATCTTGTACCGATTTAAAATTAACTCCCCACTGACGTCAAACGCCGCCGCCGCTTTATCAACCTCCCGGGAGCCGGCGGGGTGGCCGGCGGGTCCTAGCGCCGCTCTCCGCCTGTATCTCCTCGCCCTCCGCCTGTATCTCCTCGCCCTCCGCCTGTATCTCCTCGCCCTCCCTCCGCCCCCGCCCCGCCCATCGCTCGCTCGCTCCGCCCTCGCCCTGCCCGCCTGCAGATCCGTCTCCCCGGCTCCAAGTTTCTGGTTGGACTGGGGCGGGGGTGTCCCTGCCGCCGCCGTCTCACACCCCCACCTCCCTGAGCTCAGCACCACACCCCCTTAGCGCTGGGCCAGGCTCTGCAAACGCAGAAGGGAGCTCCAGAGAACTAAGTCCCTCCCTCCCAATTCGCTTTACATCTCTAATCGTTGATTCGTGCGTCCTGCACGTGAGGTGGCTTTCGCACCCCTTCTCTCCTTTTCATCGCCCCCTCCTCATCACAGCCATTCCCCTCCTCTCTCCCCATCCACCCCCCAAGTTGTTGCCAGTGCCCTGCTTTTCCTCTTGATCTTTTCTTTCCTCACCCAAGTCCCTACTGTTGCTTCCCCTCCCCCCCACCATCCTAAGGTTTGTTTGCATTCGCTCCCCATCTACTTATGAGACCTTCCCCCATCTTCTCAACTGTGTATACCCTGGCCCTGTGCTCCTAGCACCTTGCAGAGGCATGCCAGAAAGCACTCTAATCGGAAAATGAATCGTGGCAGGTTCTTACCTAATTGTGATGAACCTTCTTCTGGGGATCCAGTGACATCCAGTAGAAAGTTCAGGTCACTTTTTAAATTACAAGTCAGCCCGTGGAGGCGTCTGTGAAACATGATCCCTTTGGATTTTTACCATACTGCCAGCTGCATTAGAAATTCCTCTTCTCCAGTAAAAACAGATGTCCGGGTGTACAAACAGCTGTTTTGTCCAGGTCTTTTCATAAGTCTAAAATTCACAGCATGCACAATCTCTAGAAAAGCACTGGTGTTATTAAAGCTTTCAAAATACCATTCTAGGTAGGGCATGGTGGCTCACGCCTCCCGGGTTCAAGCAATTCTCTGCCTCAGCCTCCGGAGTAGCTGGGATTACAGTCCCCCGCCACCACACCCTGCTAATTTTTGTATTTTTATAGACACGGGATTTCACCATCTTGGCCAGGCTGGTCTTGAGCTACTGACCTCGTGATCCACCCGCCTCAGCCTCCCAAAGTGCTGGGATTACAGGCGTGAGCCACTGCGCCCGGCCCATCCAAATATATTTCAACAGAATATGGAGTTTGTCATCATTGTCACATAAATCTAGGAGAATAACTATATACGTGTTCTTGGCAATATTCTTTGAGTTACTAAGATTCTAGTTCTGGGACTTGAACCACCTCCACAATCTAAAGTACAGTTACCCTTCCCCCTCGTTCATATTGATGGCAGGATCTTTATCAACTTGTTAAGTGATATTCCTCTTACGTCCTTGTGATATATGATTTGGAGAGCTCACTTTGTCAAGACATTTTCTGTTTTATCATTGGCCTGAAAAACGTAGTATTGAAAAGGAAGAAAAAGAAGAAGCAGAAGCAGAAGAAGGAGGAGGAGGAGGAGAAGAAGGGCAAAAAAATCTTCACGAGGATTGTTCTACAAAGATTTATTTACTGTCATTTACTCACTAAAAAACATTTGCTTAGGCACATAGAAAAAAGAAACCATTTACAAACAGCACAGCATAGGCCATTTGCTAAATTAAGGTTGATACAGTCAGTGACAACAAAAAGCTACCTGAATCCTTACCAAAGTGCAGTGTTCACCTAAGCCAAATCACCCTCTATGCTTAGTATAGGCAGTCCTTTGGAAGATATTGAATATCTTACATGTAATAAAAGACCTTATGGTTTCCCTCACTGTGCCTTCGATTTTAAGGACTTCAATTCTATCTACTAATCTAGGCTGCTACCCCATGTGTTTCGTGTTTTGCTTTGCTTTTCTCTTTTCTTTTCTTTTTTTTTTCCTTGCCTATGTTCTTCTCTTTTTGGTGTTCTGCCTATCTTGGCTCCCAAACCCACTCTCTCCCCCATCTGTGGTTACTATGCCTGAATCAAGAGAGGTCAAACGCTTATTTAAAAAAAAAAAAAAAAGGCTGGGTGTGGTGGCTCATGCCTGTAATCCCAGCACTTTGGGAGGCCGAGGTGGGGCGATCACCTGAGGTCAGCAGTTCAAGACTAGCCTGGCCAACATGGTGAAACCCCATCTCCACAAAAATACCAAAATTAACTTGGCATGATGGCGGGTGCCTGTAATCCCAGCTACTCGGGAGGCTGAGGTGGGAGAATCACTTGAACCTGGGAGGTGGAGGTTGCCGTGAGCTGAGATCGTGCCATTGCACTCCAGCCTGGATGACAGCGTGAGACTCCATCTCAAAAAAAAAAAAAAATAGGCTGACCCTGGGTACACTGCCTGTGAGTTAGCCCTACTCCGCAAGGAGCAATACCATTCAAAAAAGACTGCTGCTTAACACCACCAGCTCAAAAAAAAAAAGAATTAATTAATTAATTTTTTGCTGTCCGGAAAAAAGTCAGTGATTCCTAAGGAAAATTTTTCCTTGCCACCTCTCAGGGAGACATTCCGTCTTATAACTCTTCTATGGGAAAGCACGGGGTACTGAGAATATGAGAACTGACAAGAACTTGCCCTACAATCATTTTAACCTTCATGGAGATGGTGTAAGATAGAAGGAATGGGCCAGGCGCGGTGGCTCATGCCTATAGTCCCAGCACTTTGGGAGGCCAAGGTGGGTGGATCCCTTGAGCTAAGGAGTTTGACACCAACCTGGGCAACATAATGAGAGCCTGTCTCTACAAAAAATACGAAAATTAGCCAGGCACGCACCTGTAGTCCCAGCTATGGAGGAGGCCAAAGTGGGAGGATTGCTTGAGCCCATGAGGTCGAGGCTGCAGTGAGCCAAGATCACACCACTGCACTCCAGCCTGGGTGGCAAAAAAAGAAAAAAGATAAAAGGAAAGTTCCTCCCTGTGAGAGGTAGAGATTTAGATATCCATTAGTGGAAACCACTCACTTGCCTGGGGTGATATCAGATGGACGGGGCAAGGTTAGAGTAGAGAGAAGCCAAAGACAAATATAAAGCAGTGTTGTCAATAGAAAAGGTGTTGGATATTGCTGAGGCTGAAATGAGATAAACTACACTCTCCGAGAATGAAAAAGGCTGTCTTTGTTGTGGGCAAACTGCATCTCTGCAGACCTTGTTATCTTTTCAGTGATGCGTTTCCTGAAAGTTTTGTTTAAGCTACACCATGCTTGCAAACTGTTGCTCCTTTTCTTGTGCAAGAATGGTTGACAGAAATGAAGAAGTTGTTTCTCTGAGACTATGTGAAATTCTGGACGCAGGCAGAGCTGCTTCAGGGCCAGGTTACAAAAAGCAGAACAGGGCTAGGAAATTTTCCTCACAGACCTGAAGCACTGGAGGTACTACAGAGCAACGAGCTTGACTCAGTCGCCAATATTCTCATGATGGACTCTGTAGGCTCCGTTCGTTGACCTGAGGGGTACAGACCATTGATTTGTCCCAGAAGTTGTACAGTGACTGTGGCTAATGAACCGATTTGCCACAGGCGAGGCTTCCTTTGGGGGAGGGGCCAGGGAGGAAATATTTTGTAGGGACAGAGGGAAATCGGAGTTCCTGCTAGAGTAGATGTGGACAAGAAAATGGACTCTAGTCTTGGCTTTATGTTTGTACTTGAAAAGTAAGTAAATAGAAGAGAATAGAATAGGGACTCTGGGTTATTGACTGGCAGAAAAATTTTATTTATATCCAAAGCTAGTGATTCAGGGTCATTGGGATAGACCTTCTAAAGGAGATTAAATTAAGAACATCAAGAATTGCCAGGTGCAGTGGCTCACGCCTATAATCCCAACATTTTGGGAGGTCGAGGGCGGGGTGGGGGGGCGCGGATCACAAGGTCAAGAATTCAAGACCTGGCCTGGCCAACGTGGTGAAACCCTGTCTCTACTAAGAATACAACAATTAGCCAGGCATGGTGCCTGTAATCCCAGTTACACAGGAGGCTGAGGCAGGAGAATTACTTGAACCCAGGAGGTGGAGGTTGCAGTGAGCCGAGATCCCACCGCTGCACTCCAGCCTGGGCAACAAAGCAAGACTCCATCTCGGAAAAAAAAAAAAAAAAAGAAAAGAAAAAAAAATCAAGGGTTTCTGTGGCTAATATTTGTTGTAGGAGCCTGGACATGGGCGCATACCTCTCTGGCACAGCCATTCATGCTGATACTTGCAGGCATCTTCAAAGGCATGTATTAGCCCCATATGAAACACTGTGAGTAGATGGGTTTCTGCCTGGGTTTACTGCTTAATATTAGGTGTTCCTTTTTTTTCTAGAGCAAGGGATAGATGGCTGTCCCTTGTTAATGCAAGAGGGAAATAATGATTCTTCCCAGCTGAATTCCTCTGCAGAGGCAATGACTTAAACTGGGATACATGAGTATCAGTAGGGCTTAGTGGAAAGAACAGCAGCTTTGAGTTCGCACCCCAGCTCTATCTACCTCTTGGTTTTATGACCAAGATCATTAACCTCTCTGACCTTCAGTTTCCTCTGCTGTAAAGTAAAGGTCTCTTCCTTGCATGTTTCATTATGATCATAGATCACGTAGATAAAGTATTTAGCCTAGTGCTGGCACATGGCAATAAATGATAGCCATCATGATTAATGCTCCAATAAAACAGCTCTTTTAAGTCTAAGAAGGGATTAAAGAGCAAGAATACCATTAGTAATAATACCTGTTCATAATTTCATTTAATCTACAAAATACTTTGATGAGGCAAGGATTATTGACATCATCCTCACCATCAGCATTCTACAGAAACGGGGACTTTAAAATGTTACTTAATTTCTTCAAGGCCATATGACTACTAAATTGAAGAGCTAAAATTTGAACCCCCAAATTCTGTCTGTTCTGAGAGCCCATGTTCTATTTTTTTTTTTTTTTTTTTTTTGAGACCGAGTAGCTGGGACTACAGGCGCATGCCACCACACCCAGCTAATTTTTTGTATTTTTAGAAGAGATGGGGTTTCACCATGTTGCCAGGGTGGTCTCGATTTCCTGACCTTGTGATCCGCCTGCCTCGGCCTCCCAAAGTGCTGGGATTATAGGCATGAGCCACCACCACTGGCGAGAGCCCATGTTCTTTTTTTTTTTTTTTTTAAAGACGGGGTCTCAGGCTGGGCGCGGTGGCTCATGTCTGTAATCCCAGCACTTTGGGAGGCCGAGGCAGGCACATCACAAGGTCAGGAAATCGAGACCACCCTGGCTAACATGGTGAAACCCCGTCTCTACTAAAAATACAAAAAATTAGCTGGGCATGGTGGCACGTGCCTGTAGTCCCAGTTACTTGGGAGGCTGAGGCAGGAGAATCACTTGAACCTGGGAGGCAGAGGTTGCTGTGAGCCAAGATTGCACCACTGCACTCCAGCCTGGTGACAGTGTGAGACTCCATATCAAAAAAAAAAAAGACAGGGTCTCACTCTTGACACCCAGGCTGGGGTGCAATGGCACGATCTCGGCTCACTGCAACCTCCACCTCCTGGGTTCAAGCGATTGCCCTGCCTCAGCGTTCCCAAGTAGCTGGGATTACAGGTGCGCGCCACCACGCCCGGCTACTTTTTGTATTTTCAATAGAGATGGGGTTTCACCATGTTGGTCAGGCTGGAGCCCATGTTCTTAACCGTGTATCTTCAGATAACACACTGGCATTGTGGCTAGGCACTGAAAACTCTACAATCACCTTCTACAGACAACTAAATAGCTAGAAGCATAGCTTCTGGATGTCCAGAAGACTGTTTTGAATAGCTGGAGAGGATGAGGTGCAGATTTAGGGCACCCATGATCAAGATAACTGGCACTGTCCTAGATGCAACTGGTAGCTCCTACTTGAACGACTGACTACTATAGAGTTCATAGGTGTCTTGCAGTTACTAAAATGATTTAGTAGCAGGAGGAACAAAAGTTCAAATCCAGAAACTGGACTTGTTTATGTTTGGAAAAATAGATAGATACTGGTTTTTTAATTACAATTCGCATACAAAAGAACACTGGCAGGAACTCTAGGCACAATATAATATCCTATAGTACATTTTCAAAAATAAAAATGAAGGAGTGGCCAGGCGCAGTGGCTCACGCCTGTAATCCCAGCACTTTAGGAGGCCGAGGCGGGCGGATCGCCTGAGGTTGGGAGTTTGAGACGGGCCTGACCAACATGGAGAAACTCCATCTCTACTAAAAATACAAAATTAGCTGGGCGTGGTGGCGCATGTCTGTAATTCCAGCTACTCGGGAGGCTGAGGCAGAAGAATCGCTTGAACCCAGGAGGCGGAGGTTGCAGAGAGCCGAGATCGTGCCATGGCACTCCAGCCTGGGCAACAAGAGCTAAACTCAGTCTCAAAAAATAAGTAAATAAAAACAAAACAAAAAAAGGAGTGAAAGTAAACACCATTACGCAGAAAACATGCTTGTAGCTTGAAGCGAACATGGCCGTGTGCTTTAGGCTCCTCTGAAAACGGGGTGGTGAATGGTATCCTCTTTGAACAGCCTGTCTGGACCGCGCCTAATGTGTTTCTCATAACTGGCCTGCCCTCAGGAATGCCTTTGAAATCAGTGGGAAATCCAGACTGCATAGAAGGAACTGTATATCTTGGCCTCTTTTAAGATTAAGACAATATCTACATAGGCCTTATTACAGCCAACATACTGTTCTTGTAACTGGAGAGCAGCCAAATCTTTCTTTCCAACTCACACTCAAGCTAAATTCCTAACTTCTAAAAACTGGCTGGCTGGTTGGTAGGAAGAAACACTGCACCTTGACAATGTCCTTAGAGTCACTGTCCATGTTGTAACCTATTTAATTCTTGGATTCACGGCCACTAGAGTCATTTCGTTATTATACTTTGATGGTGAAATCTGTACTCACCTCAAACACTTCCTCCTAGACTCACACCATTTCTCCCCTTCCCAAATATTCTTGGGGTCTGTCTTCAATTATAAATGCTCAGAATACGAGTTCCATCTTTTCATTTTCCCCACAGTTCTTTGCTCAGACTCAAATATTGCATGTAATGCCACTGCCACTTGGTCGGCCTGGCAAATATTTATCTTTCAAGCTTATCCTGATCACCCTCCAAGAAGGCGAGCTATAGTAAGACATAATAAAATGACTGTTGTTTTAAGACATTTTGTTTTGTAACTGGAGAGCAGCCAAATATTTCCTTTCATCTCTGTAATTTGCTATAGAGCAACTGGTAACCAGAACACATACCCTTGGTGTCATACCAATATATAAACATATATATGTGGTAAATGCATAAGCAAATACAGAGCAATAATAAACTCTGAATTCAGATAGTGCTAATCACTCTCTGTTAAAGTTACTTGTTTGCTTCTGCTGTCTAAAGCAGTGGCTCTTAATTTTTTCACATTGTTTTGTTTTACAGTGATACAAATGACAAATGGCACTCACCAACAGGACATGTTCCATAGGTGTGCCCCAATATCCATTGGTGGCCACTGTAAATGAGACTATGCGCCATGTAGCTCCCATCAGGAACAGATTTAGTATTTTGGGGGTCCTGAAGCTTCTACAAGTTTGAGAAATTTCTTTAAGAAAACAAATTGTGAGGCTAGGCTTATGCCTGTAATCCCAGCACTTTGGGAGGCTGAGGCAGGTGGATCACTTGAGTTCCAGACCAAACCAGGCAACATGGCAAAACCCCATCCCTACAAAAAAATACAAAAAATTAGCCATGTGTGGTGGTGCCCACCTGTATTCCCAGCTACTTGGGAGGCTGAGGTGAGAGGATCACTTGAGCCCAGGAAGTTGAGGCTGCAGTGAGTCGACATTGCACCACTGCACCCCAGCCTCGGCAATGTGAGTGAGACCCTGTCTTGAAAAAAAAAAACAAAAAAACCCCCACAAAAAACAAATTGTGAATTAAAACAAATTATATAAGTAAATGCATATTTAGCATAAGAAAAGAAATCCCCTCAAAATACCAAATTTTATCTAATACATACTACAATACAGAAAAATAATTTTTTTATTTATTAACTTCATAGCATACCTTTCTAATACCACATTTTCTTTCTTTTTTTTTTTTTTGTTTGAGACAGAGTCTTCTCAGCTCTTTTGCCCAGGCTGCAGTACAGTGGTGTGATCTCAGCTCACTGCAACCTCTCCCTTCCAGGTTCAAGTGATTCTCCTGCCTCAGCCTCCCACATAGCTGAGATTACAGGTGTGCACCACCATGCCCGGCTCATTTTTGTATTTTTAGTAGAGACAGGGTTTCACCATGTTGGCCAGGCTGCTCTCGAACTCCTGACCTCAAGTGATCCGCCCACCTCGGCCTCCCAAAGTGCTGGGATTATAAGCATGAGCCAACTCGCCCAGCCTAAACCATTTTTTCTGATCTTTTCACTGTATGGTCTTTGACTCTTCATATTATGCCAATTTGGGGATATCATTTTCTGAAGAGAGAATAGAAAGGCAATTCAGTTTTTCCTGTAGTGTAGTGAATAAAGTTTTTATTTGTCTGTGACTTAGAAAATTCTCTTTCAGTCTGGGTGTGATGGCTCATGCTTGTAAATCCCAGCACTTTGGGAGGCCAAGGCGGGCTAATTGCTTGAGCCCAGGAGTTCAAGACCAGCCTGGGCAACATAGAGAAACCCCATCTCTCCAAAAAAAACACAAAAATTAGCCAGGTGCGATGGTGTGCACCTGTAGTCCCTGCTACTCGGGAGGCTGAGGTGGAAGAATTACTTGAGCCAGGGAGGTTGAGGTTGCTGTGAGGCATGATCATGCCACTGCACTCCGGCATGGGTGACACAATGAGACCCTATCTCAAAAAAGAAGAAAGAAAGAAAGAAAGAAAGAAAGAAAAGAAAGAAAGAAAGAAAGAAAGGAAAGAAAGAAAGAAAGAAAGAAAGAAAGAAAGAAAGAAAGAAAGAAAGAAAGAAAGAGGGAGGGAGGGAGGGAGGGAGGGAGGGAGGGAGGGAAGGAAGGAAGGAAGGAAGGAAGGAAGGAAGGAAGGAAGAAAGAGAAGGAAAGAGAAAGAAAGAAAGAAAGGAAGGAAGGAAGGAAGGAAGGAAGGAAGGAAGGAGAGAGAGAGAGGAAGGAAGGAAGGAAAGAAAGAAAAAGAAAAGAAAAGACGGAAGAGAAGGGAAGGGCAGGACAGGGCTCGGCAAATTAAAAATGATGGTTCATGGTGGTTAGGTGTAAATGGGCCTTAGTCATGCCTTCTTAGCTTCCCTTGGCTGGGACCCAGAGGTCACCACACACACTATAGAGGATTAGGGAGGTAGCTGAGTTAAGAACCAGAGGTCATCATAGTGGTACAGTGGTGTTCAGTCTATGCCAGGAATCAGATGGATGCTGGAGGTGAGATTCAGACAGGTACACCAAGGAGACCTGAATCACAAAAAGGAGCACCAGGACCTGAGTAAAAACCAAAGAACAAAACATAGGGTCAGCTCCAATTCCAGGGATATGAGCGCAAGGGACCCAGGAATCAGACTAGCCAACCCACCTCACAGCAGAGCCCACCGAAGCCCCACACAAGAGCACTAGGATCCAGGCACACATCCCAGGCCTCCTCCCCGCTGCTAGGTGGTCACACGAGAAAGCTTCCCACGCTGTCTGCAATCTTGTTCCTTTAGTTGTTGTTTTAGGAGGGAGTAGAAACAACGGAGCCTAAGATACCCAGAATCAGATTCTCAAGTCACAGAGGAAACTCCCTAGAATCGTTTGCTAACACTTAAAATAACATCTAACATTTATCAGGTACTTACATGTGCCAAGAATTCATATGAAGTAATAATTTATTAGTTTTTTTTTCTTTTTTTTTTTTTTGAGATGGGGTTTCACTCTTGTCGCCCAGGCTGGAGTGCAATGGCACGATCTTGGCTCACTGCAACCTCTGCCTCCTGGGTTCAAGCAATCCTCCTGCCTCAGCCTCCTGGGTAGCTGGGATTACAGGTGTGTACCACCACGCCCAGCCCATTTTTTTTTTTTTTTTTTTTGAGACGGAGTCTCGCTCTGTCGCCCAGGCTGGAGTGCAGTGGCGGGATCTCGGCTCACTGCAAGCTCCGCCTCCCGGGTTCACGCCATTCTCCTGCCTCAGCCTCCCAAGTAGCTGGGACTACAGGCGCCCGCCACTACGCCCGGCTAATTTTTTGTATTTTTAGTAGAGACGGGGTTTCACCATTTTAGCCGGGATGGTCTCGATCTCCTGACCTCGTGATCCGCCCGCCTCGGCCTCCCAAAGTGCTGGGATTACAGGCGTGAGCCACGTTAAACCTCACAATAACTCTAAAACAGAGACACTATTACATTTAACATTTTATGCTGAGAAACCTGAAGCCAAGAGAAATTAAATAATTTGCCCAAGACTACCAGGTGTATAAAATAGTGGAGTTGGGCTTTGACCCCACAGATAGAACTCTGGGGTTCACACTCAGACTACTAAACTCTGTTGCCTGTAGTAGCTTGAAGAACTCCAGAGGTATGATACCAATAGCTCCTTGGGGTTGGCCTAACCATTCCCAACCACAGCTCCTTTCCTTGAATTAGGATTTAGGTGATGAACAAATCATTCAAGAGTCCAGGGTTGTCAACTCTCCACTGTTGAGTCAAATATCATGTCGAATACCGACAGTGTTTCCATTGGGTTTTTTTTTTTTTTTTGGCCACCACCAACACCATGTGACATCAGTGGCAGATCTCAGAAGATAAAATGAGTGCTGCTCCAATGTATTCAGTGTAGTCTGCTTCTCAAATTCAGAGCGCAGGTTGCTCGGTTGCTGGAGAAGCAATGTATGCCTGCCATCACTACTCTGTGGATACCACACTGGGGCTGTTACCCATTGCATTGAGTCACAAAGGCATTGCAGGGCCTATGTGACTTAGGTGGACCCCTACCCTGCTTTTGTTGCCCAGTGCAATGCCTATGTGACTTAGCAAAATTCCTACTCTGCTTTGACTCTGCATATTTTCAGAAAACAGGGGACAGGCGCAGTGACTCAGGTCGGTAATCCCAGCACTTTGGGAGGCCAAGGCGGGTGGATCACAAGGTCAGGAGTTCAAGACCAGCCTGACCAGCATAGTGAAACCCCGTCTCTACTAAAAAATACAAAAATTAGCCGGGCGTGGTGGCACACGCCTGTAATCCCAGCTACTCAGGAGGCTGAGGCAGGAGAATCGCTTGAACCTGGGAGGCGGAGGTTGCAGTGAGCCGAGATCGTGCCACTGCACTCCAGCCTGGGTGACAGAGCAAGACTCTGTCTCAAAAAAAAAAAAAAAAAAGAAAACAGGATGTCTGATGTCTGTGGTCAGAGGTTCCTTCTTAGGCAGCTTACCCCACCTCTGAAGAACCTCTAACTTCATTATAATCCAATTTCCATACTAAATGACACTCCCAGGGGCGCCATGACAGTTGACAATTACCATGACAACAAAAGGAGGAAACCAAAACAGGACAAAAGGGAGGCGGCTCCTTGATTCCAAGTAAATCTCTGTCCCTTCCCAAGAAAAAGCATAAATACACCTCTCCTTGATCTTAATGCTCAGCCCCTTCATCAAGAAAACCCTACATGCGGAACTTCCCAGTTCCCAGGAGCCGAGAAGTTGATTTGTGAGCTGTGCTCCCACTTCTCCCATTCTGTGGCCATGAAATACAGCCTGCACTGCTTGACACTCACTTTCAGTTTTGTGTGCACCGAGCAAGAAAGAGCCCCTCTTGGGGTAACCAGGAGACCTGGTAGTAGGGTTGTGCTGGCAGCAGCAACCCACCCCCTCCATCTCGTACCCATTTTCTGCTCCATTCGAGAAGCCTCTGCAGCATCTCCAGGGCACGCTCTCTCCCAGCACAACCATGTGTTGCATATTTTTAGAAATAACCACACTTGCTATGGGTAACCCAGAGACTGGAGCAACAGGGCTCCAGATTCCAATTCTGAATTTGTGATAAGAACCCTTGAAAATGTGTTTAACCTTTATGTACCTTCATTACCACAAAACTGAAGGGACTGCAACATACCAGTATCATTTATAGGCTTGTTGCATGGTTATTTCTTGAGCAAGTGTTGATGTTCATGTGATTCTCCAACACCCTCTCCATCAGCATCTGCTTCCCTCAGCACTCTCAAGACAGAGCCATATCCTTGCTGCTGCTGACAGTGCCCATAAAGAAAGCCAGGTCTGTGCAAAGCCTGCAGACCGCTGATGCTCCTAGAGTCTCTGGTCCACTGGGTACCACAGCTGAGGAGAATTCTGTGCACAGCCATGCTTTGTTCCTAAGCAATTCTGCTTGTGCCTAAAGATTCCCAAAGTCTCTCATAAATAGTTTTGCAGTTTCTTGCTCTCACCTCTTGCTGGGAATGCCTCAAAGTCTCATGAAGCCAACTCCTCTGTTTCTGGCCTCACTGTTCTAACCATGGGTCTCTGACACCTTCCAAGAGGGCAGGCAAGGAACAGAGACTGTGCCTCTCCCCCACCATTCACCTCTGAGGCCTTGCTTGCAATGAATCCTACCTGTCTTCCCCACAGGGGCCTGGATGTTTGACCAACCCAGCACAAAACAAGGAGACAACAACAGGTGCAAATTGACACTGGGAAGAGGGAGGCAGGAGCTGAAAGGGACTTGAAAAAGAAATATTGTCCTCACTAGCTATATTTTGGCCCCAGCTTGGTAGGTCAAAGTTGCCCCATAGCAGATGTTTATAATAATCATAGTTAGTAATTTCAGCATAGATTAAGTATTTTCCTCCTGTTCTTATTTTAAGTAGGGAGAACCAAGAATATGCAGGTCCATATGGGAAAACAGCATTTTTAGATTCTAGTTCACGGGCATATTTAAATCTGAAGGTCAAGACCTATACCACCCTTGTATCCCAAATTAGGGCTCTCTCCTTACATACGTTCATGTTTTCCTTTATTTCATCCTTAATTGATGGTGACTGAGAGGATTTTATCACATACAGGTCAATGACAAAAAGCTAGAAGGAATTCACCATGTCTGTAGGTTGGGTACTTGTTCTCTACAAGATTGGCAGGTTATTTCTCTCATAAAAGTTGCAATTGTGTAAAAGAACACAGACTCTTTCAGTCTAATTCTTTGACAAGGAGAACTACTGTTGAGTGGTTTTAATATCATAATGCTTATATGAAAACTGGAGAGCTGGTAGCCATTCTGCAGGGAGCCGAAAGCAGTGGAGATTAAGCACTATATTCAGAAGACTGCTACGTGGCTATTTCCCCCAAGTAAATCAGGAGAGTTCCAGGAGACCACTGCAGTTCCAGGTACACACCCAGACGCTCTCAGAAGGGTGGAAGCAAAATAACAGGCCTCTGATGAAAAGTCAGGAAGATGAATATTATGGGATGAAGGAGCTCCTTGTGAGCAGTTGAGAATGGGAAAGAGGGACTAAGAGGAAGTCAGGTTTATGAAGGTGTAACTGAAGCAAAGGAGTATCCATTGTGTGTCCAGTGGGAGGAAAGAGAAATTAGGCACCAAAAATTCTGGAATGAAAAAAAAAGAAATAATGGAATGTACTCAAGTCCAATATGATTCTGGAGAATCCGAACCCAATCACTAGACAATGGAGGTCCCAAGCCCCACAAGCAAGGAATGAAGAATAACATCTTACTTTCTGGTCTATCCTTTCCAGCATTCACTAAAGCAATTCCCCAAAGCAGTAATTTGGCCAGCTATTCATTCCCCGTTGCGGGGCTGGGAGAAGGACGCAGACAATGAAGGTGGGAGGGAAATAGAAAGGACAACAGCAGCAAATACTTTAATAGAGGAGAGATTTATGAGGTGCTGCTGGGGAAACAGAAAGAAATGTAGGAGCTACAGGGGGTGGGGATCTGGTAGACCCAGCCTGGGGGAGCAGTGTCTGCACTGGGCTTGCAAATAGTGATCACAGCCAAAAGGTACTTTGTAGGATTGAGATCCTTTGATAATCTGGACCCTTTACAGTTCAATAAGCATGGTGATTTAAGTCTAAGACTGCAAAGTCAGTCTCAGTGGCTCATCCTGAAACCCCAGGAACTTGGGAGGCTGAGGCAGGAGGATCACGAGGTAGGAGAATTGCTTGAGGCCAGGAGTTGAAGACCAGCAGGGCAACGTAGAGAGACTCTGTCTACACAAAAAATATAAAAATTAGCCCAGCATGATGGTGTGCACCTATAGTCTCAGATACTAGAGAGGCTGAGGCAAGAGGATCACTGGAGTCCACCAGTTCGAGGCTACAGTGAGCTATGACCACACCACTGCATTCCAGCCCAAGTAACAGAGACCCTGTCTCAAAAAAGAAAAAAAAAGAAAAAAAAACCTCCAAGATGGCACTTGATTCCCCACATAGTACACCTAGGGATATGGTATGGAGCACAAGCTCCCAATCCACCACAAATACCCAAAATAGCTCTCCTCTCCCACCAGTGAGACCTCTGATCACACCCACGCCTTGAGCAGGTTCCTCCACACACAGACAGTTGTAACCTGTGGAGGCGTTTTCTTTGAGCATAAAGGCCAACGTTAGCATTCGTATCCTGCCTCTAGTAAGTTCTTTGTGGACACAATCTAGTCTTGAGGGGAAAGCTGGTTTTTTCAATATATTTTTTATTTTTTATTTTTTTTGAGATGGAGTCTCACTCTGTCACCCAGGCTGGAGTGCAGTGGCGCGATCTCGGCTCACTGCAACCTCCGACTCCCCAGTTCCAGCGATTCTCCTGCCTCAGCCTCCCAAGTAGCTGGGACTACAGGCGCCCGCCACTACACCCGGCTAATTTTTTGTAATTTTAGTAGAGACGAGGTTTCACCATGTTAGCCAGGATGGTCTCGATCTCCTGACCTTGTGATCCACCCGCCTCGGCCTCCCAAAGTGCTGGGATTACAGGCGTGAGCCACTGTGCCTGGCCGGTTTTTTCAATATTCTAAGTGGAAAATCACTGATAATACATTTTTCAGTTAGGATGCTTTAGCAGAAAGTAACAGAAAACCCAACCAGAAATGGCATCAATAAAAAGGAGAAGGCAGGCTGGGCGCTGTGGCTCACGCTATAATCCCAGCACTTTGGGAGGCCGGGGGGGCGGGGGGGGGGTGGATCACTAGGTCAGGAGTTCGAGACCAGCCTGGCCAATATGGTGAAACCCCATCTCTACTAAAAATACAAAAATTAGCCGGGCGTGGTGGCGCCTGCCTGTAGTCCCAGCTACTCAGGAGGCTGAGGCAGAAGAATCACTTGAACCTGGGAGGTGGAGGTTGCAGTGAGCCCAGATCACGCCACTGCACTCCCACTTGGGCAACAGAGCGAGACTCCGTCTCAAAAAAAGAAAAAAAAAAAAAGGAGAAGGTAATATCTCATATCACAGTAAGTTCAAAGGTAGGATGGTTTCAGGGTTGGGTTAACTCACTGTTCAATTACAGCATTAAGGCACCTGTTTTGTTTTGTTTTCCAATTTTCTGCTTTTTTCTTCCTCTATAAGTTGACTTTTGTTCGCATATTTATCCTGCATAGCTCAAACTGGTTGCCAAAGCTGTAAGTGCCCCGTAAAGATACAACAGGGGAACAAAAAAGAGTCTACTTTCTGCCTTGAATCTCTTCTTATTAGAAGGAAAATTTCCCAGAAGCCCCCTTAGACTTTTCCTCAGTCTCTTGTGTACTCACAAGTGAAATACATGTCCACTCCTAAACGAATTTCTGGCAAGGAAAATGGACTCACCATGATTAGTTTGATGTAATCAAGGTCCACACTGCTCTGGGCTGGAACCAGTTTTCCCTGAAACATATTAAGTGGCCTGATACCTGAACAAAATTGGGATATTGTTAGCAGGAAGAAGGGTAGAATGGCTGATGGAAGGGCAGCCCGTAATGTCTGGCATTGATGAGAACACTGGGCATGACTTCTAAGCACACTCTGACCTACCATCTCCTCTTTTTCTCCTATAATCCACTTGTCACGAGGTAAATGCCCCTTTCACTTGGGTATAACTAAAGTAATGAAGGCCTTTATACAACAGGAACCCCCGAGAACCCGTCAAGAATTCTACAGTTCCCAGAGAAATTAATGTGAGCTACATGTGGTTTATATTGAAACAAGCCACCAATTGAGAAGCTTAAGTTACACCATGGATGGTGAGAAAGGACCTTCCAGTTATCACTAAGCATCAGGCATGTGCTGTCCTTGTTCTTCCCTTGACCTGGGTTGTGTACAGAGTTCCTGGGTTTCAGCGATGCCTTGCTGCATGGTTGAAAATCCTGTTTATCTTATTGTCACATGCATCCTTATAATATAGCCCCCCATAAATTGAAGTGACTTGAATAAATGTTGGGTTTTTCCCCTCAGAAAATCAATTTAGCCAGGAGACAGGATTGGGAGACTGAATGAAACCTGAAGCTTCGTTTTGTTTGATGCTCATATAGTTGGCTTACAAAGTGATTTTTTTAATTTTTAAATTAATTACAAACAATTAAAATCAGAAAATTACACACATTTTTAAAAGTGTGACCCATCTCTACAAAAAAATTAAAAATTACCTGGGTGTAGTGGTACATGGCTATAGTCCTAGCTACCTGGGAGGCTGAGGGTGGGTGGATTGCTAAGCCCAGGATGTCAACACTGCAGTGAGCCATCATCGTGCCACTGCATTTTAGCCTAGGCAACAAACCAAGACACTGCCTCAAAAAAAAAAAAAAAAAAAAAGTAGATTTCTGGTTTAAAAAACTATCTGAAGATCTGACCACCGGAGCCAGTCTACTTATATAGTGACCACTGTCTGAAGCTGACTAGTGGGTCCCCCTTTGATCAGAAATAGATTCTCCAACTTGCCACAGACTCCATTTCACACTTGTGCTATCTGCCTGGCCCATCTCAAGCATTTGAACTCATGGCCCCTGGCTACCTAATCAAAAATGCCCATGGAGTTACCTAATGGACCTAACTCAAGAGTCATAGCCAGTATAGTAACCAAAACAGCACGGTAGCAGTACCAAAACAGACACATAGACCAATGGAACAGAATAGAAAGCCCAGAAATAATGCCACACTCCTACAACCATCTGATCTTTGACAGAGTTGACAAAAACAAGCAATGGGGAAAGGACTCCCTATTCAATAAACGGTTCCAGGATAACTGGCTAGCTATATGTGGAAGATTGAAACTGGACCCCTTCCTTACACCATATATAAAAATCAACTCAAGACCAATTAAAGATTTAAACATAAAACCTAAAACCATAAAAACCTTGGAAGATAACCTAGGAAATACCATTCTGGACATAGGACTGGGCAAAGATTTCATGACAAAAATGCCAAAAACAACTGCAACAAAAACAAAAATTCATAAATGGAACCTAATTGAACTAAAGTTTCCACACAGCAAAAGAAACTATCAACAGAGTAGTAAACAGACAACCTACAGAATGGGAGAAACTATTTGCAAACTATACTCGTGACAAAGGTCTAATAACCAGAATCTATAAGGAACTTAAATTTACAAGCAAAAAACAAACAACTCCATTAAAAAGTGAGCACAGGACAAGAACAGACACTTTTCAAAAAAAGACATACATGTGGCCAACAAGCCACAAAATGCTCAACGTTACTAATCACTAGAGAAATGCAAATCAAAACCACAATGAGATACCATCTCACACCAGTCACAATGGGTATCATTAAAAAGTCAAAAAATGCAGCCATAAAAAGAATGAGATCATGTCCTTCGCAGGGACATGAATGAAGCCGGAGGCCATTATCCTTAGTGAACTAACACTGGAACAGAAACCAAGTCCTGCGTGTTCTCACTTATAAATGGGAGCTAAACATCAAGTACACATGGACACAAAGAAGGGAACAACAGACACTCAGGCCGACTTGAGGATGGATGGTGGGAAGAGGATGGTGGGAAAAACTACCTATCTGGCACTATGCTTATTACCTGGATGATGAAATAATCTGTAGACCAAACCCCAGTGACATGCAATTAACCTATATAACAAACCTGCTCATGTAACCCTGAACCTAAAGTAAGAGTTAAAAAAAACAAAAACAAAAACGCAAGTTGGCCAGGCTTGGTGGCTCATGCTTGCAATCCCAGCACTTTGGGAAGCCGAGGAGGGTGGATCAGTTGAGGCCAGGAGTTAGAGGCTAGCCTAGGCAACATGGTGAAAATCCCATCTCTACTAACAATACAAATATTAACTGGCTGGGTGCGGTGGTTCACGTCTGTAATCCCAGCACTTTGGGATGCCAAGGCGGGAGGATCAGCTAAGGTCAAGAGTTTTGACACCAGCCTGACCAATACAGTGAAACCCCATCTCTATTACAAGTACAAAAATTAGCCAGGTGTGGTGGCAGGCACCTGTAGTCCCAGTTACTCAGGAGGCTGAGACAAGAGAATTGCTTGAACCCGGGAGGTGGAGGTTGCAGTGAGCCACTATCATGCCACTGCACTCCAGCCTGGGCAACAGAGCGGGACTCCAACTCAAAAAAAAAAAAAAATCGCCATATGTGGTGACACACACCTGTAATCCCAGCTACTTGGGAGGCTGAGGCAGGAGAATTGCTTGAACCCAGGAGGCAGAGGTTGCAGTGAGCCAAGATCACACCACTGCACTCCAACCTGGGCAACAGAGCGAGATTCTGTCTCCAAAAAAAAAAAAAAAAGTTATAGCCAGTTCAGAGAATGAAAAGCAAATACATTGATGAGGGATTTCAGGAGATCAGAGACATGAGTCCCATCTCCAAAGAAAAAAACACCCTGAACCTCACAGCCCTCCTCCCTCTCCCCACAAACCTTGGGAAGCTGGCCAACCCTGATAGCAGAAGAGTAGAGAATAAAACATCCCCTTGTTTCTAGTGTACAACAGTCACTGAGTCATGGGAAGCCCCGGAGCGCTAGATCTGATTACCTGCTGATCATGATTTCAGCTTGCAGAACAAGCCTGTTCCCATTAGTGACAGTATACAATTACTAGCTGACATGCTTACAGGGATCTTACCACAATATTCTTTTCAGGAATGTATTTCTTCTACCATCCTCTACCCACAGACACACACACATCCTATTTTGATATGCCTGTCCCAAATGGATTCTGAAAACTGGTTCAGATAGACTCTGTTTTATTAGCTCTCTCTATATGTTTCTCAAGGTCCAATTTT
Organism: Homo sapiens; assembly: GCF_000001405.40. Taxonomy (NCBI): domain Eukaryota; kingdom Metazoa; phylum Chordata; class Mammalia; order Primates; family Hominidae; genus Homo; species Homo sapiens. Next base: position 38,396,513 of record NC_000002.12, read on the forward strand.
CTTCCTTCTTTAATCCCCATGTCATGATTATGACCATTAAAAACCATCTTTTTTTTTTTTTTTTTTTTTTGAGGTGGAGTCTTGCTCTGTTGCCCAGGCTGGAGTGCAGTGGCACGATCTCAGCTCACTGCAACCTCCACCTCCTGGGTTCAAACGATTCTCCTGTCTCAGCCTTCCGAGTAGCTAGGATTACAGGTGCCCACCACACCTGGCTAATTTTTGCATTTTTAGTAGAGATGGGTTTTCACCATGTTGGCCAGGCTTGTCTCAAACTCCTGACCTCGTGATCTGCCCGCCTTGGCCTCTCAAAGTGTTGGGATTACAGGTGTGAACCACCGTGCCTGGCCTTTTTTCTTTTTTTTTTGAGACAGAGTCTGGCTCTGTGGTCCAGGCTGTAGTGCAGTGGCATGATCTCAGCTCACTGCAACCTCCGTCTCCCGGGTTCAGGCGATTCTCCTGCCTCAGCCTCCTGAGTAGCTGGGATTACAGGTGACTGCCACTGCGCCTGGCTAATTTTTGTATTTTTAGTAGAGACAAGGTTTGGCCATATTGGCCAGGCTGGTCTCAAACTCCTGATCTCAGGTGATCCGCCTGTCTCAGTCTCCCAAAGTGCTGGTGAGAGGTGACAGTGTGCTGGCAGCCCTCACAGCCCTCGCTCACTCTCAGCGCCTCCTCGGCTTCAGCGCCCACTCTGGCCACGCTTGAGGAGCCCTTCAACCCGCCGCTGCACTGTGGAAGCCCCTTTCTGGGCTGGCCGAGGCCGGAGCCGGCTCCCTCAGCTTGCGGGGAGGTGTGGAGGGAGAGGTGCGGGCGGGAACTGGGGCTGCATGTGGCACTTGCAGGCCAGCGCGAGTTCCGGGTGGGCATGGGCTTGGCAGACCATGCCTGCCCGAGCAGTGAGGGGCTTAGCACCTGGGCCAGCAGCTGCAGAGGGTGTGCTGGGTCCCCCGTGCTCGATTTCTCACCAAGCCTTAGCTGCCTCCCCACAGGGCAGGGCTGGGGACCTGCAGCCCGCCATGCCTGAGCCTCCCCCTGCCGCCATGGGCTCCTGCGCCGCCCGAGCCTCCCCGACGAGCACCGCCCCCTCCTCCATGGCACCAGGTCCCATCCACCGCCCAAGGGCTGAGGAGTGCGGACGCAAGGTGCAGGACTGGCAGGCAGCCCCACCTGCAACCCTGGTGTGGGATCCACTTGGTGAAGCCAGCTGGACTCCAGAGTCTAGTGGGGACTTAGAGAACCTTTATGTCTAGCTAAGGGATTGTAAATACACCAATCAGCAATCTGTATCTAGCTCAAGGTTTGTAAATGCACCAATCAGTGCTCTGTATCTAGCTAATCTAGTGGGGACTTGGAGAACTTTTGTGTCTAGCTCAGGGATTGTAAATGCACCAAAACGGACCAATCAGCTCTCTGTAAAATGGACCAATCAGCAGGATGTGGGTGGGGCCAGATAAGGGAATAAAAGCAGGCTGCCCCAACCAGCAGTGGCACCCTGCTGGAATACCTTTCCGCGTTGTGGAAACTTTGTTCTTTTGCTTTTTGCGATAGATCTTACTGCTGCTCATTCTGGGTCAGCCCTGCCTTTATGAGCTGTAACACTCACCGTGAAAGTCTGCGGCTTCACTCCTGAAGCTAGCAAGACCATGAATCCACGGGGAGGAACGAACAACTCCAGACGCGCCACGTTAATATCTGTAACACCCCGTGCGAAGGTCTGCAGCTGCACTCTTGAACCAGTGAGACCAGAACCCACCAGAAGAAAGAAACTCTGAACACATCCGAACATCAGAAGGAACAAACTCCAGACATGCTGTCTTTAAGAACTGTATCACTCACCGTGGGGGTCTATGGCTTCATTCTTGAAGTCAGTAAGACCAAGAAGCCACCAATTCCGGACACACTGGGATTGCAGGCGTAGGCCGCCGCGCCTGGGTTTTTTTTTTTTTTTTTTTCTGAGACAGAGTTTCACTCTTGCCCAGGCTGGAGTGCAGAGGTGCAATCTCCGCTCACTGCAACCTTCACCTCCCAGGTTCAAGGGATTCTCCTGCCTCAGCCTTCTAAGTAGCAGAGATTACAGGCCCGTGCCACTGTGCCTGGCTAATTTTTGTATTTTTAGTAGACTTTCGCCATGTTACGCAAGCTGGTCTTAAACTCCTGATTTCACCTGATCTGCCCACCTTGGCCTCCGAAAGTGCTGGGATTACAGGCCTGAGCCCCCACATCCAGCCTAAAACTCATCTTTCTTGTTGGATGGTGGGGCACAAAACTGAAAGAAAGCCTAGGAGGGATATTTCCACCAATTATTTTCAGTAAGTGTGTAATGCCAAACTCAGTACTATGTAAAGCTAGTAAAGTGTAGTAGCTTAACATCTCAGGATCTCAGTCCAGAAATAGTATTCAATATGAGCAAAAATATGCATAGCATGACATAGTGCTGCATGTTGAAACACGCCATTGAGTACAAATCCTTTAGCTTATGAGAGGACAGAAATAGTTCTTAAAAATTAGTACGGCTTCTTAAAAAATTAGCCAAAAGGGGAACTAAGTGTCCTAGAGATTAGTGTGGCCTTCGGAGCAATTTCTATCAAACTGGATTCAGCCATAAGGAAATCGGGTTAGTGTTGTAAGATCAGACATTTTGACTCCGAAACATTTCTTTAAGCATGGAGGGACACCACAGTGCTCTTTCCTAACAAGCCAGAGCAAGAGTCTTCTGTTTTTGCTTTCTGGTAGTCTAAGGTACATGCCTCAGAAAATGCAGTTGAAAATAAAAGGGCTGCAGGAGTTTTGAGACCGACCTCAGCAACATAGGGAGACCCCATCTCTAAAAAAAAAAAAAAAAAAAAAATTTAATTAGGCATGGTGGCACACACCTGTAGTCCCAGCTACTCAGGAGGTTAAGGTGGGAGGATCGCTTGAGCCAGGAGTTATGCTGCAGTGAGCTATTATCGCATCACTGCACTCCAGCCTGGGCAACAGAGTGAGACCCTGACTCCAAAAAAAAAAAAAAAAAAAAAAAGAAGGGCTCATCCTACCTAAAGATTTTCAGCACTTGGAATGTAGGCTCTGGAAGAACACAGGATTTGGATATTTTCTAGAATTTCTTTCTCTTGGTCCTTTCATCACCTTAAGAAGTACCTGAGCCAGGCACAGTGGCTCACACCTGTAATCTCAGCACTTTGGGAGGCTGAGGAGGGTAGCTCACCTAAGGTTGGGAGTTTGGGACCAGCCTGGCCAACGTGGTGAAACCCCGTCTCTACTAAAAATACAGAAATTAGCTGGGTGTGGCGGTGTGCCTGTAATCCCAGCTACTGGGGAGGCTGAGGTGGGAGAATTGCTTGAACCTGGGAGTTAGAGGCTGCAGTGAGCCGAGATCGCGCCACTGCATTCCGGTCTAGGCAACAGAGTGAGACCCTGTCTCAAAAAAAAAAAAAAAATAAAAGAAGTACCTGAAAATGGGGTGATTAAGCAGAGAACTGTGAACAGAGAGATATTCCATTGATTTTGGTGGGCTTGCCTCTGTCATATTAGTTCAGCCTAATTCAATCAGAACTTCCTCAGCACCTACTCTGTGCCAATACTGTGCTAAAGGCCATAGCAACAGCAGAAGAACCCTACAACACAGCCCTTGACCTTAGGAAGTTCACCATCTTGTTGAGTGGGCCAAACCTATACACATGAAGGAACTAGGGGACAAGACTAGGGGACAAGATATAATTGGGCATCAAAATTGGTCTAATTTCCATCTAATCTTAGTTTTCTTATGCATCATTTCACAGTTGTATTTAAAAATCATAAAACATTAATCTGTCCAGGTACAGTGGCTCACACCTGTAATCCCAGCACTTCCGGAGGCCAAGGCAAACGGATGGCTTGAGCTCAGGATTTCAAGACCAGCCTAGGCAACATGGCAAAACCCTGTCTCTACTAAATATACAGAAATTAGCTGGGCATGGCGGCATGTGCCTGTAGTCCCAGCTACTTGGGAGGCTGAGGTAAGAGAATCACCTAAGCCTGGGAGGCAGAGGTTGCAGTGACCCAAGATGGTGTCACTGCATTCCAGCCTGGGAGACAGAGTGAGACCCTGTCTCAAAAAAAAAAAAAATCAAATTAATCCTAATTTAAATATATTAAAATCCATTATGGGTCACATTCAATCATGGCTAAAGTGAAAAGCTAGACAATGCCAAGTGTTGACAAGGTTGTGGAGCAACTAGACCTCTCATACATCAACAATACAAGAATAAATTGGTAAAATAACTTTGGAAAACTGGCAATGTCTATGAATATATGTATATCCTATAATCCAGCAGTTCTAACCCTGGATTTATACCCAACTGAAATCCTTATATCTTTTCACCAAAAGATATAAGGAATCATCATAGCAGCACTAGTCATAATAGAGCCAAAGTGAAAACAACACAAATGATTATCAATAATAGAATGGATATGTAGTATATTCAGACAGTAAGATAACACAGGGTAGTGAGAATAAACAAAACTATAGCTACCAGCAACAATATGAATAAGTCTCACCAACATGATGTGGAACAAAAGAAGCCAGACCAAAAAGACTGACAATATATTACATGAATCCATGTATATAAAGCTCAGAAGCAGGTAAAATAATTCATTGTAGTAGGACTCAGGATGGGGTTACCTTTCCTTGGGGATGGTATTTATTAAAATGAGGCAAAAGGAGAACTCTCAGGTCTTGGTTTCTTGATCTAGGAGCTGCTTATGTGCTTGAGTTCACTTTGTGAAAATTCATTGAGCTCTATATGAGTTGCACCCTTTTTTATGTATGTTATTTATCAATTAAAAATCCATAGAAGGGTAACATTCAAGTATTACAAATGCATCCATATTTCTTCAAAGATTTCTGTTAATAGGCTGAGCACGGTGGCTCACACCTGTAATCCAAGCATTTTGGGAGGCCAAGGCAGGCAGATCACCTGAGGTCAGGAGTTTGAGGCCAGCTTGGCCAACATGGTGAGACCCTGTCTCTACTAAATATACAAAAATTAGCCAGGTGTGGTGGCGTATGCCTGTAGTCCCAGCTACTCAGGAGGCTGAGGTGGGAGAATCACTTGAACCCGGGAGGTGGAGGTAGCAGTGAGCCAAGATCGCACCACTGCACTCCAGCCTGGGTGACAGAGTAAGACTCCTCTAAAAAAAAAAAAAAAGATTTCTGTTAATGGAAAATTGAAGCCTAGACAAGTTGTGGAAATTGACTTCCAATAGTCTTTGACTAGGACCAGGAATTTCATGCTTCCTAAGTCCCTGTTCTGTCACTGATTCTCTAGGCAATTTTAGAAAAACATTATTCCTATTATTATTCCTATTACCTCTATTTCTAAAAATAGTGAAGTTAGCTCTCATTCTTCATTCACCGTCATTAGATTTGCCTTTAAGGTGAAATATGTGAAATTGTGCTGCAGTCAATGCTTTTGACATTAAATCAAAATGACAATTAAAGTCCCTCACCATTTTCATGACAGGTGAAAAAGTCTACTGCACTGAGGGAGTGTGTTATTACTGTCCAACCTCAATCGTTATCATTCGGTCATAATTAGCCTGACTGGTAAACCACAAGTGAAGTTTGGGCTCTCTGTCATAAACCTTCATATGGAACCCAAGCTCTCTTTTCCTTCCATCTGAGAGAGAGGTGCTTTCTCATACCTTACATGGATGAATTCTTTTGTTCTAAGGAGCCAGGAGAAATAACAAGATTTAGAAATATGAGACCAAATGAGAAAAGAGCTGGTCTTGACAGAAGAAGACGGCTGCTGTCACTTATTGGCTGGAAAATTTTGGATAAGCCATCCCACCTCAATTTACTTAATTTGTTTTAAAGATGAGTCTCAATTTACTCATCTTTAAAACAGGGACATTAACTACCCCTCTCCTACTTACCTCATTGGTTGTTTTAAGGTGGAAATGAGACTATGTATGTAAAAATCTTTTGAAAAGTAAAAAGTACAGATGCAAAATATTATAATTATGTAAGAATGCTGTCAGTGAACTCTATTGGAGTCCTTAAAAAATGAGTGTCCATGGCTCTCGCTCTCCCTCTCCCTCTCTCTCTCCCTCTCCCTTTCCCTCTCCCCTCTCTCCCTCTCCCCACGGTCTCCCTCTCCCTCTCTCTCTCCCTCTCCCTTTCCCTCTCCCCTCTCTCCCTCTCCCCACGGTCTCCCTCTCCCTCTCTTTCCACGGTCTCCCACTGATGCCGAGCTGAAGCTGGACTGTACTGCTGCCATCTCGGCTCACTGCAGCCTCCCTGCCTGATTCTCCTAACTCAGCCTGCCGAGTGCCTGCGATTGCAGGCGTGCGCCACCACGCCTGACTGGTTTTCGTATTTTTTTGGTGGAGACGGGGTTTCGCTGTGTTGGCCAGGCTGGTCTCCAGCTCCGAACTGCGAGTGATCCGCCAGCCTCGGCCTCCCGAGGTGCCGGGATTGCAGACGGAGTCTGGTTCACTCAGTGCTCAATGGTGCCCAGGCTGGAGTGCAGTGGCGTGATCTCGGCTCGCTACAACCTCCACCTCCCAGCTGCCTGCCTTGGCCTCCCAAAGTGCCAAGATTGCAGCCTCTGCCCGGCCGCCACCCCGTCTGGGAAGTGAGGAGCGTCTCTGCCTGGCCGCCCATCGTCTGGGACGTGAGGAGCCCCTCTGCCTGGCTACCCAGTCTGGAAAGTGAGGAGCGTCTCTGCCCGGCCGCCATCCCATCTAGGAAGTGAGGAGCGCCTCTTCCCGGCCGCCATCCCATCTAGGAAGTGAGGGGCGTCTCTGCCCGGCCGCCCATCGTCTAAGATGTGGGGAGCGCCTCTGCCCCGCCACCCCGTCTGGGATGTGAGGAGCGCCTCTACCCGGCCGCGACCCCGTCTGGGAGGTGAGGAGCGTCTCTGCCCAGCCACCCCGTCTGAGAAGTGAGGAGACCCTCCGCCTGGCAACCGCCCCATATGAGAAGTGAGGAGCCCCTCCGCCCGGCAGCCACCCCGTCTGGGAAGTGAGGAGCGTCTCTGCCCGGCAGCCACCCCATCCGGGAGGGAGGTGGGGGTCAGCCCCCGCCAGGCCAGCACCCCCGTCCGGGAGGGAGGTGGGGGGATCAGCCCCCCGCCCGGCCAGCCGCCCCGTCCGGGAGGGAGGTGGGGGGGTCAGCCCCCCGCCCGGCCAGCCGCCCGTCCGGGAGGGAGGTGGGGGAGTCAGCCCCCCGCCCGGCCAGCCGCCCCGTCCGGGAGGGAGGTGGGGGGGTCAGCCCCCCGCCCGGCCAGCTGCCCGGTCCGGGAGGTGAGGGGCGCCTCTGCCCGGCTGCCCCTTCTGGGAAGTGAGGAGCCCCTCTGCCCAGCCACCACCCCGTCTGGGAGGTGTACCCAACAGCTCATTGAGAACGGGCCATGATGACAATGGCGGTTTTGTGGAATAGAAAGGGGGGAAAGGCGGGGAAAGGATTGAGAAATCGGATGGTTGCCATGTCTGTGTAGAAAGAGGTAGACACGGGAGACTTTTCATTTTGTTCTGTACTAAGAAAAATTCTTCTGCTTTGTGATCCTGTTGATCGGTGACCCTACCCCCAACCCTGTGCTCTCTGAAACATGTGCTGTGTCCACTCAGGGTTAAATGGATTAATGGTGGTGCAAGATGTGCTTTGTTAAACAGATGCTTGAAGGCAGCATGCTCGTTAAGAGTCATCACCACTCCCTAATCTCAAGTACCCAGGGACACAAACACTGCGGAAGGCCGCAGGGTCCTCTGCATAGGAAAACCAGAGACCTTTGTTCACTTGTTTATCTGCTGACCTTCCCTCCACTATTGTCCTATGACCCTGCCAAATCCCCCTCTGTGAGAAACACCCAAGAATGATCCATTAAAAAAAAAAAAAAAATGAGTGTCCATGGCTGGGCACGGTGGCTCACTCCTGTAATACCAGCACTTGGGAGGCTGAGGCAGGAGTCTCACCTGGGGTTGGCAGTTCGAGATCAGCCTGGTGAACCTGGTGAAACCCCATCTCTACTAAAAAATACAAAATTAGCTGGGCATGATGGTGCATGCCTGTAATCCCAGCTACTCGGGAGGCTGAGGCAGAAGAATCGCTTGAACCCAGGAGGCAAAGGTTGCAGTGAGCCAAGATTGTGCCATCGCATTCCAGCCTGGGAAACAAGAGCAAAACTCCATCTCAAAAAAAAAAAAAAAATGAGTGTCCATGGTCAGGCGCGGTGGCTCACGCCTGTAATCCCAGCACTTTGGGAGGCTGAGACGGGCGGATCATGAGGTCAGGAGTTTGAGATCAGCCTGACCAACATGGTGAAACCCCGTCTCTACTAAAAATACAACAATTAGCTGGGCGTGGTGGTGTGCGCCTGTAATCCCAGCTACTCAGGAGGCTGAGGCAGGAGAATCGCTTGAACCTGGGAGGTGGAGGTTGGAGTGAGCCGAGATCGTGCCACTGTAGTCCAGCCTGGGTGACGGAGCGAGACTGCGTCTCAAAAGAAAAGAAAATAGAGCAGAGTGGTGCAATAGAAAGGGTCTAGAAGGTTTCTTTGGTTGGGTGGTCAGGGAAGGTCTCCTTGAGAACCTCTGAGAAGGTGGCAACATGTGAGCTACATCTTGAATATGAGAATGAAATTCTGGGGAAAGAGTGCTCCAAGCAAAGGGAAGAGCAGATGCAAAGATGCTGAGATGGTGGGAGGCCGAGGCAGGCAGATGACCTGAGGTCAGGAGCTCAAGACCAGCCTGGCCAACATGGTGAAATTCCCGTCTCTACTAAAAATACAAAAATTAGCTGGGCATGGTGGCACGTTCCTGTAATCCCAGCTACTCAGGGATCGATAGAAATGTTCAGGTTAAGATAAAAGATTGTGGAGGCCAAAGTTCCTTTGAGGTCTTACAGTGACTGTCCTTAGAGACAATAGATGAGAAATGTTTCCTATTCAGACCTTTAAAAGGTACTAGACTCTTAGTTAATCTCTTTAGGATTAGGAGGGCCTTTTTCTAGCTACAAAAAGATCTAGCTATGTTAATAAAGATTCTTTACAGATTCAAATTCTCCCCCACAAAGGACAGCTTTGCAAGGTCAGTTTGGTGTGGTGGCTCATGCCTGTAACCACAACACTTTGGGAGGTAAGGCAGGCAGATCACTTGAGGTCAGGAGTCTGAGACCAGCCTGACCAACATGGTGAAAACTCAACCAATTGTCAACCAGAAAATGTTTAAATTTACCTATAGTATTTCTCAAATGTGTTTGATTGATGTCTCATACCTCCCTAAAATGTATAAAACCAAGCTGTGCCCCAACCATCTTGGGCACGTGTTCTCAGGACCTCCTGGGGTCTGTGTCACGGGCTCTGGTCACTTATATTTGGCTCAGAATAAATATCTTCAAATATTTTACAGTTGGACTCTTTTTGTCTACACAACTCACCATAATGTAGAATCAGTGGGAGCCCTGAGCTCGTTTTCCCGCAACTAGATGGTCCCATCTGGGGGTGATAGGAGAGAGTGACAGATCATCAGGCATTAGATTCTCATAGGAAGTGTGCAACCTAGATCCCTCGCATGGGCGGTTCACAATAGCATTCACACTCCTATGAGAATCTAATGCCACTGCTGACCTAACAGGAGGCAGAGATCAGGCATAAGGCAAACAATGGGGAGCAGCTGTAAATAGGGATGAAGCTTCGCTCGCCCTGCTCACTTCCTGCTGTGTGGCCTGGTTCCTGTGGCCCAAGGGTTGGGGACCCCTGGAGTAGGGAGAGGGTATAGATAGAAAAGAGAGCACGAGACTAAGACCTATTCATAGCAGAGGAAGAACTGGCAGCAAAAGACTTTTCCCCAGGAAAATTGCTGTGCGATCATATAATCAGGCCTGCCTTCAACTTGGAATATTTTGGACAAACACCAAACAGAGATTCAGAGGTGGCTTCACTGTAAAGCTAATGAAGCATTATCTTCAGGGTGCTTCACTTGTGCAAGCCCTTTCCGAGGCCCTGGGAGGCACCCCAGCTTCTTGTAATCAAATTTTGCATTTTTTCTTTAAAAGAACTTTCCCCAAACCTGCCCCTCCACCCTTGAATACATCCAAATGTCATTGCAAATTTCTGACCTTCAGCAACAAGTCAGTACCTAGAGGTTTGTAAATACGCTTCCTTTGGTAGGCTCAGAGTCCTTCCATCCAGCACAGAAAGTCTGACATTGACGTACATATCTTTTTTACTTTTTATGTTTTTGAGACGGAGTTTCGCTCTTGTTGCCCAGGCTGGAGTGCAATGGCGCAATCTCGGTTCACCGCAACCTTGGCCTCCCGGATTCAAGGGCTTGTTCCCTTGGGGGAAAACAAAACAAAACAAAACTCTTCCTGAAGTCCCAACCAGAAGCAAAACTTTCCCAGCCCTGTCTCAGGCCATTTGTCTGTCAGGCCTCTGGATGGTGGAGTTGGTCTCAGTGTTTACTAAACAAACCAATGTGGTTATCCCATGGAGATCTGAAAGAGAAAGACAAAAAATTAGCATAAATACAAGGCCACCTATTCAATTAAAGCTGCAAACCAGGGCAGCTAGAAAGCTGAATATAAAACAGTCAGGGAGAGTTTTAATACAAGTGAGTTACATAACTTGAGACATGCTTGAGACTCAAACAAAGGCATTCTTATCTCAAGGTTAAAGGAAGGAAGGAAGACCAGCAACAGTTTCCAAGCACTTTTCCTATAAACTTTCTACCAACAATGAGACTCAACAGTTGGGAACTGGCGGGGGTGGGGAGGACAGAAACCTCCACAGCTAATCATTCCTTTGGGTTAATTAGGACGTCCTCTGCATAAGGTGTGGTTCCCTACTGGTGGTGGAGTCACAGGCTTTCAAAATTATCACCATTTCACAACCCAGGAACTGCTCCAGTTGGAAGCAACCTTTGAGACCATATGGCCAACCCCCTCCTGTTACGGATAAAAAACACCAAAGGTCATTCAGCTAGTTACTACAGAACAGGGACTAGAACCCTTGTGGTCCAGGCCAGTGCCACTTCCACCCCTGTGCCTGCACCTTCAGACACATCCACAGACCATCTGTCAGCAGCCCACGGCTGGGAGGGCAACTGAGTATAGCCTCTCCAACAAATTTGCTGGTGCTAGACTTGACCCTCCTTCCCTGAAGCCTTCCCTTTCTCCTGTTTTTTTTCCTCCTCTCTTCTTTCAGCCCTCTTTTCTTTGTTCACCTGCATCTATGTCCTCAACCCACTGATGGCATAAAGAGGTCCCTAAGCATTGTTTTAATTTGCCAGTGGCACTGGGAGGCGCTGGGATCTGGGGACAAAATGTTTCCTCCAGGCCAACTCCTGGAAGAGGTCAACTCCCTCTTTTCCATCTCTTCCAGCCTAAGCCTTGAGAATCAGTGACAGAACAAGGAGTTAAAAAGCATAAAATTCCTGATCCTAGTCAAAGACTGTTGAAAGTCAACTTCACAGCTCTTGTGGGCTTTAATTCTCCATTAATAGAAATCTTTAAGGAAATGTTGATGCATTTGTAGTACTTGAGTGTGACCCTTCTATGAATGTTTTTACCAGAAAACTGTTTCAGGCAAAACCTTCCACAAAATAATTACATTTTTGTAGGTTATTCTTTTTTTTTTTTTTTTTGAGATGGAGTCTCGCTCTGTCGCCCAGGCTGGAGTGCAGTGGCACGATCTCGGCTCACTGAAACCTCTGCCTCCCGGGTTCAAGCAATTCTTCTGCCTCAGCCTCACGAGTAGCTGGGATTACAGGCATGTACCACCACACCCAGCTAATTTTTGTATTTTTAGTAGAGATGGGGTTTCACTATCTTGGCCACGCTGGTCTTGAACTCCTGACCTCATGATCCACCCACCTTGGCCTCCCAAAGTGCGGGGATTACAGGCATGAGCTACCGCGCCCAGCTTTTGTAGGTTATTCTTTAAAACTCAACAACTTTCAATCAGACACGAAGTCCTAACAGTGGACATATTAAAAAGAGAAATACATGGAGGCAGGACCTTCCTGATACCCTTTAGGTCATAACTTTGAACAGTCCAGTCTACTTCCTGTGGCTAAAAGGGGAAATCGGACCTGCCCAATACCCCTATGCCAACATCGGGGAGCAGAGTCCATTCCTAGTGTCCATCACTTGCCCTGGCAGGGGAACTCTTTTTTTTTTTTTTTTTTTGAGACAGAGTCTCACTCTGTTGCCCAGGCTGGAGTGCAGTGGTGCAATCTTGGCTCACCGCAACCTCTGCCTCCTGGGTTCAAGCAATTCTTCTGCCTCAGCCACCCGAATAGTAGCTGAGACTACAGGTGCATGCCATCATGCCTCGCTAATTTTCGTATTTTTAGTAGAGACGGAGTTTCACCATGTTGGCCGGGCTACTCTCAAACATCTGACCTCAAGTGATCCACCCACCTCGGCCTCCAAAAGTGATGGGATTACAGGTGTGAGCCACTGCACCCGGCCTGGAACTCTTCCGTGAGTGTCACTAACATTTCCCATGTTGTGGTCTGAGGTCACACCCTCTGGTGCTGTCCTCCATGGGGATGTGCAACACTTCTCATACCCTCTGTTTCCTCTCTTTTGTTATAGATGAAGGGGAAGAAAAAGATAAAACCAAACACAGCCCAGAAATTCTGGCATACAAATCAGAAAAGAACTACTTCTTAGCCACCTGTGCCAGGTAGGTGGGTGGATTATAGATTTAAATCCAGCAGAATGTGGTCCAAACTGGTTCTACAGACAATGAAGTGGTTCTTTGTTTGGGGGACCTGCCAGGCCAGGTTAAAGTTGGAGACAGGCTCTTCTAGGGTTGGTAGGCTCCCAGAAGTGTTGGGATTACACAACCCCTCACTGGATGTACAGGCAGAACTGGCAGGCTCGCTGGAACAGAACAAAGCCTTGGGAGAGAAGTTTTTTTTCCTGCAACTCTGCCAGCATCCCTAAGTATTCTGGCTCTAGATCTGGGGACTTTAAATGACAAAATGATAAGTCTAAAATTTATTTTGCAGTTCCAGAGAAAATTGTAAGACTCTTTATGGGCTAGAGAATTTTACAAGTCTTACTTGTGAATAATTGACTTTTCCAAAATTCTGTAACGTCAGCAAAGCATGCCACAGAGAATGAAAATGTGTGTTTCTATGGGGCCAGGTCCTGCACAGTTTCATTTCTCTTTCTTGAGCCATGATTGTCTTAAATTTGCATTGAAATAAAGGGCACCAGCATCAAACTGGGTGGCTGTTGCTGGGTTGTTTTGCATTTTTCCATCATCTTATTTGGAAAGCAATGAGACCTTTTTCAATCCTTTGGGCTTCCTCCAAGTGGAATGGTCTTTTAGATCTAGTGTCTTTTGGGGTAAGTAATGAGCCCAAGAGAAAACATAGAGTGAGTGTGAGCATGTGTTTAAATTTTCTAGTGCTGTTTTTAGAGCAATTCAAGAATGAAATCTCCCCAGGGTGCCCAACTGCTCTCAGAATGCAAACCCACACAAAGAGCCAGAGAGGGAGAAGGGATGCTTAAAACAGAGAGGGAGGCTCCTCTTCAGGGACATCCAAGGCTTGGGCCTGGTGGCTTCCTTTTTTTCCTTTTTCTTTTTTTTTTGAGACAGAGTCTCACTCTTTCGGCCAGGCTGGAGTGCAGTGGTGCAGTCTTGGCTCACTGCAACCCCATCTCACAGGTTCAAGAGATTCTCCTGCCTCAGCCTTCTGAGTAGCTGGGATTACAGGCATATGCCACTACTGCCCGGCTAATTTTTGTATTTTTAGTAGAGATAGGGTTTCACCATATTGGCCAAGCTGGTCTCAAACTCCTGACCTCAGGTGATCCAGCCGTCTCGGCCTCCCAAAGTGCTGGGATTACAGGCCCGGCCAGGCCTGGTGGCTTCTGATTGCACTTCTAGAAGCCACCATCCACCTTTACTGCGTGTAGCCAAAGGAAAGCACCATAGCGCATCTCCATGGTGTTTCCTCATGGATGTTGTTGAAAACGGGTTGTATTCATTATGCAAGATGTCTTTATGAGGGTTCTCAGGATAAATTTCGTTTTGGTCCTGATACCAAGGATAGACATACTTTTCTTGAGCAATTATGCTACCTTTCAGGATTTTAAAAGATATGCAAGCAGTCTTCAGAACCCAGCCACATATTGTGGATAGATCCCCACCCAGATCCTAGTTCAAGAGGCCTGATCCCAGCCCAAAAGCAAATCCCTGGATCTGAGTTTCTGTTGACATATCATTCATTCAACAATAAATCTTTTATTATTATTATTATTATTATTATTATTATTATTATTATACTTTAAATTCTATGGTACATGTGCACAAAGTGCAGGTTTGTTACATATGTATACAGGTGCCATGTTGGTGTGCTGCACCCATTAACTTGTCATTTACATTAGGTATACCTCCTAATGCTATCCCTCCCCCCTCCCCCCACCCCATGACAGGCCCCAGTGTGTGATGTTCTCCTCCCTGTGTCCAAGTGTTCTCATTGTTCAATTCCCACCTATGAGTGAGAACATGCGGTGTTTGGTTTTTTGTCCTTGCGATAGTTTGCTGAGAATGATGGTTTCCAGCTTCATCCATGTCCCTACAAAGGACATGAACTCATCCTTTTTATGGCTACATAGTATTCCATGGTGTATATGTGCCACATTTTCTTAATCCAGTCTATCATTGATGGACATTTGGGTTGGTTCCAAGTCTTTGCTATTGTGAATAGTGCCACAGTAAACATATGTGTGCATGTGTCTTTATAGCAGCATGATTTATAATCCTTTGGGTGTATACCCAGTAATAGGATGGCTGGGTCAAATGGTATTTCTAGTTCTAGATTATTTAGGAATCGCCACACTGTCTTCCACAATTTTTTTTTTTTTTAAGATAGGGTCTTACTCTGTTTCCCAGGCTAGAATGCGGTGGCATCATAGCTCACTGCAGTCTTAGACTCCTGACCTCAAGCAATCCTCCTGTCTTGGCCTCCCAAAGTGCTGGGATTACAGAATTGAGCCACTATGCCCAGCCCATTCAATTAATCCTTCATATGACAAATATATATAAAGTACCTATTATGTGGCAGGAGATATAGTTGTAAACACGACAGGCAAAATAAATCCTTATTTTCACGTTTGCAATCTAGAGGGGTTAACTCTGCTGGATGCACTTGAATTTGTAGATATGGTAATGAAATTGGTGAAACTGCCTTTGCAAAAATTATAACTGAGGAAATTATGACAGTGAAAGACATCAGACCTAACTGACTCCATCTTTTCTCTTTTTTTTTTTTTTTAGACAGAGTCTCACTCTGTTGCCCAGGCTGAAGTGCAATGGTTTGATCTCGGCTGACCACAACCCCCATCTCCTGGATTCAAGCAATTCTCCTGCCTCAGCCTCCCGAGTAGCTGGGATTAGAGGCATGTGCCACCACGCCCGGCTAATTTTATATTTTTAGTAGAGACGGGGTTTCTCCATGTTGGTCAGGCTGGTCTCGAACTCCCAACCTCAGGTGATCTGCCTGCCTCGGCCTCCCAAAGTGCTGAGATTACAGGTGTGAGCCACTGCACCCAGCCTCCATCTTGCTTCTAACCTTTAAGTTGCCCTTCTTCATTCCTGGGCAAAGGCCGAACTAACCTTGGGAAGAAATTTAGTTTATGCTTCAACTGCGAAACAAAATTGGTAATAGTCCTTTCCGAAAAGACCCCCTTCTTGTCTTGGGACCAGTCTGCCTTTGCAGGACTAACAAATTAGCTACAAGATTAGAAATTATGGTTAAGGGGTCATGCAGCCTCTGGCTGCAAGAGTCTGAGCCTCCCCAAATTGCTCCTGGGGATAACATCACTGTTGTAAAACCTAAGTTCAGTGCTTGAGATATTTTGCAGATCCTGCACTTGATGGATCAGCTGACACCACCCAGACCATAATCTGGCTCAACCAGTTCTGCAACTCCACCCAGGAACAGAAGACAGCAAGAAAAACTCACTTCGACCCCCTATGATTCCATTTCCAACCTGACCAATCAGTGCTCCCCACTTTCCAAGCCCCTACCCACCAAATTATCTTTAAAAACTCTGATCCCTGAATGCTTGGGAGACTGATTTGAGTAATAATAAAACTCTGGTTTCCCATACAGCCGGTTATGCATGAATTACTCTTTCTCTATTGCAATTCCCCTGTCTCGGTAAATTGGCTCTGTCTAGGCAGCGGGCAAGGTGAACCTGATGGGCAGTTACCTAGCAAACAGCTAAAGTGGAAACCTCAGAAAAAGACTAGAAGACCAAAAAGACTAAAACAACACAGGTGTGAGTCAGAGTGATTAAGACATTTAGAAAAAATGAAAGAATTATACTCCTATTTGCTGTGTGATCTTGAGCAAATGACAACCTCTTAGTCTCAGTCTCCTTATCTAAAAAATGACGATAGAGACTTATAGTGAGAAATAAGTGAGATAATATGAATTAGGCTTTTCACACAGTGCCTGCTCATATCACTTGCTCAATAAATACTGGCTGCTACTACTTTTATCCCAGGAGCACCAAGAGGAGAAGAGCCCTTGGTATGGGCATTTTGACCACATGAACTGTTCAGCCTGGTGTCAGAAATGGGAATGTGGAGAGAAGCAGGGTTTCCATTCTGTAGAGGCTATGCCCATGGATGTCACCCAAGTCCTAATATTTCCAAAAGAAACCATACCTAGGCCAGGTGTGGTGGCTCATGCTTGTAATCCCAGCACTTTGGGAGGCCGAGGCAGGTGGATCACCTGTGGTCAAGAGTTTGAGACCAGCCTGCCCAACATGGGGAAACCCTGTCTCTACTAAAAGTACAAAAATTAGCTGGGCATGGTGGCAGGTGCCCGTAATCCCAGCTACTCAGAAGGCTGAGGCAAGATAATCGGTTGAACCTGGGAGGTGGAGGTTGCAGTGAGCCAAGACTGCACCACTGCACCCCAGCCTGGGCGACAAGAGCAAGACTCCATCTTAAAAAAAAAAAAAAAAGAAAAGAAAGAAACCATACCTAATATACCTAAGCTACCTTTATTTTTTTCCTCTTCCATCTCAATAATTCTAATCATAATCCTCATTCGCACCCCCTATTTTGGCTAGAAGATAATTTCCATATTTCCATTTAACCTTTCCATTTTACTGATAAGACCAGTTTTTTTGTTTTTTTGTTTGTTTGTTTTGAGACGGAGTCTTGCACCATCGCCAGGGCTGGAGTGCAGTGGCGTGACCTCGGCTCACTGCAACCTCCACCTCCTGGGTTCAAGGAATTCTCCTGCCTCAGCCTCCCAAGTAGCTGGGATTACAGGCGCCAGCCACCACACCTAGCTAATTTTTTTGTATTTTTAGTAGAGACAGGGTTTCACTATATTGACCAGGCTGGTCTCAAACTCCTGACCTTGTAATCCTCCTGCCCCAAAGTGCTGGGATTACAGGCATGAGCCGCCGTGCCCTGCCAAGGGTGGTTTTCGTCTTGGCCAATGTCCTAGAGTTAGCACAAATAGAAACTCCAAGCCTTCTCACTCACATCCCATGTTTTTCTGTTATTTGTTTTGAAGGAAGGGGGAAATCGATTTGCTTTTTGCTTTTGTCAGTAGCAAGCAGTGTCACATACCATGGACAAAGATCTAAATGACACATGTTATAATCTTGGAGTTCCTTGCAACTGGCTTTGGGGTTGCTCACTAAAGTCCCTAGGCAGGTGCTTCATTAAATATGACATCTAAATGACTCACCTAGAATTCTGAGATATACACAAAAGAAGAAAGGAAAAAGAAAAGTTCCAAGGACGTGGGTCCCCTTTGGTTCACATTCCAGCCTCAATGAATGGCCCACTTATGTTTCAAGATCTTAAATCTTGGCCAGGCGCGGTGGCTCACGCCTGTAATCCCAGGCGGATCACGAGGTCAGGAGAGCGAGACCATCCTGGCTAACATGGTGAAACCCCGTCTCTACTAAAAACAGAAAAAATTAGCCGGGCCTGGTGGTGGGCACCTGTAGTCCCAGCTACTCGGGAGGCTGAAGCAGGAGAACGGCGTGAACCTGGGAGGCGGAGCTTGCAGTGAGCCGAGATCGCACCACTGCACTCCAGGCTGGGCGACAAAGCAAGAGTCCGTCTCAAAAAAAAAAAAAAAAAAAAAAAAGATCTTAATTCTTGATCTTGAATGTACAATACAGACAATGAAAGCCATAAATATGTTTAGTCAAGAAGATCCCCAAATCCCAGGATCTTGAAAACTTCACCTCCTGAGCTTCATCATACCATCAGCCCACACGCACACTCATTTCTCCGTCTACCCTCACCATTCCTGATCTTGAAGAACTTTCTCCAAGGCCAAGGACAGAGTTCTATAAACAAAGTGGTAAGTGAGAGCGAATATCCACATGCCCCAAACTGGGCCCCTCCCCACACTTGAGAGACCACTAAATGAAATGGCCTTACTGTGTAAAAACCAGGGAGGGATAGGAGATAATGGACAAATAGCAGACCAACTGTAACTTCTGCTCATCTAAGATGATCAGACCAGTAACATAAACAGAAGAGGAATGATTCTATGAGTCCCAACTCCAGGCCCTCAGGCCGTTATTCTCCATAGGCCTTAGAGCACAAATGAGCTGCACATAGCATGTCCTCTGTTATCAAACAGGCCAGCCAAGAGATGGCCTCTCTCAGCTGGCTGAGCTCAGGTACCTTGGAGCTAAAAACATTCACTATCTCGCTGCAGTCTAAAGCTTGGAGCAATTCCTTTTAGTCGATGTACTAGAAGGCAAAGGTCAGGCAGACAATTCTAGGTACCCTCTGTAAGCATTTGGCAGAGATCTCTGAGCATGGACCTGTGCCTAACTGTTCAAGCATAAAGGAAGAGGAGAAAACTAGTCCCAGGCAACAGGCCTCCACATTCTCCATCACTCTTCTGCTCTTCCAGTGGCTCTGAAGTTGGTGGGAGCATTGCGTTGTATCCTGCCCTTCCAGTCTACTATAAATCATATTAGATGGTTCTATGGCCTACTTTGTAGCCCAGTGAAACAGCAAAACCTACCAGGTGTGTATCACCTTATATATTTCCTTGCCTCTGTTCCCCTGTGGATGAAACCGGACTTACCTGAACTAAACAGATTATATTATAAAAACTTCTGGGAAGTCTCAAAAGAGTATTATCATGTTCATTTAAATGATCTTATAGTTGCTACAGACTTTGCTTTTTGAATGCAGAATATGCATTGATTTTTTTCATATCCAAAGCTCTAGGGGTCTCTTTATTAGCATACTTTAACTATTGTGTACTCTAATTAAATGTGAATATAGCCTTAATCTAACTGACTCCCTTGATATTACCCCAATCAGAGATCATGAAACATAGTTATAGCGCCCATGTATTGAGTGTCTACTATGCACAGGTCAGGAAATGTGTCAGGGACTTTACATATGTTATTTTGGTCCACCTTCACAAAGGATTTGTAGAATTAGCTTCAGTTTACAGCTGCTGAATCTAAAATGCAAAAAGGACAAATTACACAAGAGCACAGGTGCAAGTGGCAGAACTCAAATGTACACTCAGCTACGTTCTGGCTCCAAATCCAGTGACATGACATCCTTCTTTGTCTGAGTAGGAACAGTCATAAAAATATTGGAAGGAATTCATGGAGCCTTCTTTAAATAAAAGGCTCATGGTGTCCACAAGATGATCCCACGCTACTCCACCCCAGTGACACCTTGTCTGGGGTGTTGTGAACACTTGTAAAAGCCACATTTTTTTTTTTTTTTTTGACGGAGTCTTGCTCCATCACCCAGGCTGGAGTGTAGTGGCGTGATCTCGGCTCACTGCAACCTCTGCTTCCTGGGTTCAAGTAATTCTCGTGTCTCAGCATCCCTAGTAGCTGGGATTACAGGTGCCTGCCACCACGCCTGGCTAATTTTTTAAATTTTTAGTGGAGACAAGGGTTTCCCATGTTGGCCAGCCTGTACTTGAACTCCTGACCTCAAGTGATTCACCCGCCTCGGCTTCCCAAAGTGCTGGGATTACAGGCATGAGCCACCACGCCTGGCCAAAGCCACAATTTAATACGAATTAATACTGGCAAAGGAAGTTGACAAGACAAAGTGGGTCTGAAAATGCAAGGAACTGTTGAAGAGTAATTAGTTTGTTGGAAAAAAAAGATGGAGAATAGGAGAAACAATCTAACAACTCTCTCAATATTTGAAAAGCTGTAATGTAGTAGAAATGGATTTTGTTCATTCACTCATTCATTCATTTCTCACACATTTCTCAGACACCAAACATGGGCCAGACACTTGCTAGCCATGGGAGAGCAGCTAGAAAGAAGTCAAATGTGCCTGCACAGCATAGCAAGAAAACCAGATGTGAAAAAGCATTGCAAGTGTGATGATTTCTGCAAGGTATAAAAAGGAAGCAAGAAGAAGTCTTTGGTCTTACTCCCTAAAATTCAGTAACACAGAATGACTACTCCTTTTTTTTTTTTTTTTTTTTTAATTTTTGAGACAGAGTTTCACTCTTGTCGCCCAGGCTGGAGTGCAGTGGCACAGTTTTGGCTCACTGCAACCTCTGCTTCCCAGGTTCAAGCGATTCTCCTGCCTCAGACTCCTCAGTAGCTGGGACTACAGGTGCACACCACCACACCTGGCTAATTTTTGTATTTTTATTAGAGACGTGGTTTCATCATGTTTGCCAGGCTGGTCTCCAACTCCTTACCTCAGGTGATCTGCCCACCTCAGCCTCCCAAAGTGTTGGGATTACAGGTGTGAGCCACCACGCCTGGCCTAACACAGAATAACTCTTACTGGGTAGAAATATCAATAGGTAAAAATAAAAGGGAGGCAGATTTCAGGGCAGAGTAAGAAAAGCTGTCCTGAGTCCCCAACAATGAGGTAGGTGTCAGGAAGAAGTGAGTCCCTGGCAGTGGGAGGGTTCCATTGGTGGCTGACTGACCCCCTCCCTGACACATTCCACAAGGGATTCCCTCATAGGAGAGGAGGTTAGCATAAGCACTGTCTACCAGCACAGATGCTGAAGTCCTAGAGTCTTGGACCTCATCTTCGACAGAGTGAACAAAAGTTCTCTGAAAGAAGGGCGTTTTTCAGTAATGCTGTTCAGCTCTTCCAGTGTGCTACTGTCCAACAATTCAATATTGCTGTCCAGTCTGCAGGGAAGAAGGCAAGGGGCAACTTAATCCCAACTAAGTAACATCCACTTACCTTTAGCAGGTAAGTGAAACCTCCCCAACCCATTGTTAATAAAAACTTGGGTGAGGGAGAACTTACTGGGTAGAAACTGTAGCATCCAGAACTTAAGAGTTAGCTGTGCCAGCTGCCAACAATTTTTGGACAGAGAAATGTTTGTAGGAATCCATTCTATCATTGCTCTGCACCATAAATTCCGGAGAGCACCCTTTCTTATCTGCTCAGCCTTGCCTCTTAAGAATGGTTGACTGCTCATCAACGATTCATTCTGAGAGAATAAGGAAGAATGCTCTTGTTTTCTATGACAAAGCCTCCATTTTCTATTTTCATGCTGAGGCAAGTAGCTGCAAGCCTGAGAGATTTATTATTTTATGACTTATGCCAATTTTGGAAGCTTGCAACTTTGAATCAAACTAGGAATGTGAAAAAAAGGGAAAAAAATTGTACAAACCTAGCAAGCCAGTGTGGAAAACTCCGGAGATAAAAAATATATCTCCTTTGACCAAATTATTCAAGTTGGAAACATCCCACCTCACAGATCAATTGCCCATTTAATCATAATGCCTTATAGCCACGTGGCACTTCAGGGACAGCTTACAAAGCATGTTCTTGTTTATTATCTTCTAGCCCTCCCAGCAGTCCTCTGCAGTGGGTATGGCTCGTGCTATAACAGAGGAGGTGTTGGACTATGAACCAAAAGAATCAGGCTCTATCTCCAGCCACCTCTTTAATTGATGTCTTTGGGCAATTTCACTTAAGCTCTCAACCTCATTTTTTTCTTCTGGCCAAAGGAACTGAAACACCCAGAGGCAGATGAAGCTCACAAAGCTTCAGCTTCAGAGCCTGCCACTTGCACAGGTTGTGAACCTAATTTTGAATTCACGGTTTTGTGTTCTTGTCCTTAAAAAGGGCTCCCCGAATTACAATTTCAGGCCACACAAAACCTAGATCCACCTCTTAATAAAAGTATACCTCCTCAGCCTAATTCTAGGAAGCCAAATTACGACAGGTGTCTCTATGATCTCAGCTCTGCCCAATGGCCTGTGTTGGTCCTATGGCTCCTCATGTCACAGGTGAACTCTGTTGGTGCCTCTCCTTGATGGCTGCAAAGGGCTCACAGCTGGCCTCTTCTCCAGAGAATGCCCTCAGCTGCACAAGAGGCCCTCATCCTGGAGTGTACACCACCACTCCCATCCAGGATAGCCAACCAACTCCTGATTGACGGGGAGTGATCCCCTATACACAAGGCTGCACCCCTGTCTGAAGGTCAGAGCAACTCTGTGGTGCAAGTCATGTCCTTAGGGGCCAGACTGAAGCTAGACTCCATCTGGGATCACATTCTTGCTTGGTTCCTTCCCATGTCTCATCCTGTTTCACACACCCCTTTCTGCTACACCGCTGCCCCATTAACATGTGCACCTGAACCCTCACCTGGGGATCAGCTTCTAGGGCACCCAACCTGAGACGTAGAATGATAAGAAGAGTGCCATTTATTTCCTATGTTGAAGACTGTCTGGTTCACTTTCAAACATAGTCAAAGAGCCATAAGCCTCCAAAACCCCTTGCAGCTCAGTCTATGGTGGAGATGGGTGTATATATATGTTCCTCAGCCAGCAACTTGGTCTGAGACCCATCCTGTGCCCCAAAGTCCACGGTTAAGAGTTCTAAGTACATTAGGAACAAGTACATTTGGGAGGGTGAAGGTGGAAGAGCTGACTGTTTTGTGATACCCTACACTGTGACCAACCACCCTAGTGTCTTCTCAGAATCTTTAGCTTTGGGTGTTAGGAAGGACACCAAAAGACGAGAAAAGAATGAACAGTAGCATCGTGTCACTTTCATTCTCTTGGCACCTTCTACCTGCAGGAGATTTATAGCTAGTTCTTTGTGCTGGCTAAATAGAGGAATCAAAGAGCTCTCCAATGTTGTCTGTCAGTTTAGAGAGAGGCAGAGTTTAGGAGTAAAGGGATTTACAGCCTGCTTCTGTCTCACCTCGTACTCAGTTTGTGGCTTTAAAATGAATTAATCATTCATTGCCCTTTAGCACTCCCATGTATGGCATGCAGGTTTACTTCCACATCTCACAAAGACCAAAGATCCCGAAAAGGATCATCATAACAGCAAGACTGCCATCCATAAGAGAGACATAATTTTTAAAAATTAAAAAAGATAGGCTGGGCATCGTGGCTCATGCCTGTAATCCCATCACTTTGGGAGGCCGAGGCAGGCAGATCATGAGGTCAGGAATTCAACACCAGCCTGAGCAACATGGTGAAACCCCATCTCTACTAAAAATACAAAAATTAGCTGGGCATGTGGCGCTTGCCAGTAATCCCAGCTACTCAGAAGGCCAAAGCAGGAGAATTGCTTGAACCCAGGAGGTGGATGTTGCAGTGAGCCGAGATCATGCCACTGCACTCCAGCCTGGTTGACACAGCAAGCTTCGTCTCAAAAAAAAAAAAGATAAAGACAGAGTCTTGCTATGTTGGCCAGGCTGTTTTCAAACTCCTGGCCTCAACCAATCCTCCTGGCTCAGCCTCCCAAAGCACTGGGATTACAGGTGTGAGCCACTGCCCCTGGCCAAGACATAATTTTTAATCATCAAAAAGGACACACAAGAAATTCCTCATGAAGGGGAATAAAATGTGAGGCAGGAAGGAAATATTCATTACCCAGACGGGTGCTTGCTCCCCTAGACTCTTACCCCGAGGGATCTGGAGATAACTAGTGCTCTATCTCCTTCCATTAAAGAGATAGGTATGGGCTTTGCAGACAAACTGTGAGGATCTAGGTCAAATCCAGGGTCATCATTCAAGGGAGAGATCATTCAAGGGTGGGCTGATGAGCTGCAGATTTCAGAATCAGGCTACAAGAAGTTGGGAAAGAGGCCGGGCGCGGTGGCTCATGCCTGTAATCCCAGCACTTTGGGAGGCCGAGGCGGGCGGATCACGAGGTCAGGAAATCGAGACCATCCTGGCTAACAAGGTGAAACCCCGTCTCTACTAAAAATGCAAAAAATTAGCCGGGCATGCTGGCGGGCGCCTGTAGTCCCAGCTACTCGGGAGGCTGACGCAAGAGAATGGCGTGAACCCAGGAGGCGGAGCTTGCAGTGAGCAGAGATCGCGCGGCTGCACTCCAGCCTGGGCGACAGAGCAAGACTCCGTCTCAAAAACAAACAAACAAACAAGAAGTTGGGAAAGACTGACTCAGAGACAGGGGCCCATGGCACTCACCCAGATGGGGCTCCCAATGCCCGATCCAAACCTTAGCAGAGCCACGGATATCTCTTTATGCAGAACCATTGGTTTTCTGAGCCAGCAGCTTCCTGTAGACTCTTGGAACTGATCTAAGGATATGGGAGCCTTGAACTTGAGCAGGGAGCAAAATAACTGTATGTGGCTTTGGTTAAATTGCTTGCTGTCCATTCCCTCATGTCTCCTTTACTCATCTTTCAAGGCTGATATCAGATTCAGATTGAAGCACTATGCATGAAACTGCTCTGATGTAAACTGTAAAGTAACAAATGTAAATGTAAGACAGTGGTAACTGTGGAATAAATACCAAAGAGGGCGAAGAGGAAAGCTCTTCAGAATTGGAAGTTCAGTCTCACAATGCACGTAGAGCCTTCCCTACTGTATTAGTCGGTTCTCACACTGCTATGAAGAAATACCGGAGACTAGGTAATTTATAAAGGAAAATATTTCAATTGACTCACAGTTCTGCATGGCTGGCGAGGCCTCAGAAAAACTTACAATCATGCAGAAGGCACCTCTTCACAGGGCGGCAGGAGAATGAGTGCCCAGTGAAGCGGGGAAGCCCCTTATAAAACCATCAGCTCTTGTGAGAACTAACTCACTATCACAAGAACACAATGGGGAAAACTGCCCCCATGATTCATTTATCTCCACCTGGTTTCGCTCACACACGTGGTGATTATGGAACTACAATTCAAGATGAGATTGGTTGGGAACACAACCAAACCATATCACCTACCGTTGAGGGGGAGGTGAAAAGAGTCCCATGCCCAGTGTTCCTGGCAAGAATGAATCTGTGTCTATAGGAGTGTGCACCTGTAGTCTCCCTATCACAAGCAACTGCACGTGGCCCATCTGTATTACTGTTCTCTGCAGTGACCTCTGGTTCCAATTACCTTTCCAGCTCCCTGTCCTTCCATGAACCCTGGTAGCACTGGCTGGGGCCCTGTTTGTTCTAGTCTCTTCCCCAGGACAGATGGATACTTGAATAAACATGTTGGATACAAATAGCGCACCCAAACTCTCCTTAGAAATCTCATTTTGTGCCCTGCATGTTCAGCCCAGATAGAATCTCCACAGACCAGACCAGCTGGATCAGACTCAGCTCTACCCTAGCTTAGTGGTTTGGACCACAGGTCCTCCTGTGGAGGAGGGGTCTCCAGCCACTTTCCCCAGCTCTCTCCCCTCCACTCTAAGTCAACATTGGTTCCAATTACCTCCCTCCTCCTCATTAGGAGCCCACAGTACTGATAATGACCATTTTAAATATCTTTTTCTAAAAATATCACCAAAAACAAGAAAGGCACAAGATAGAAGGCTCAAAGAAAATACGAAACATGTAGCTTTAAATTTTTCATCCTTCAAAGGAAGGACCAAAGATAATTAAAATATTAGTGAAGGAAGTACAGGTAGATAAAAATAGGTATTTACATATATGCTGCCCCTTTGGGGGGGACTTTCAATTTTAAAAACTTAGCTGATAAAAACGATAAAGCTGGCCGGGCGCGGTGGCTCACGCCTGTAATCCCAGCACTTTGGGAGGCCGAGGCAGGCGGATCACGAGGTCAGGAGATCGAGACCATCCTGACTAACACGGTGAAACCGTGTCTCTACTAAAAAAAAAATACAAAAAATTAGCCGGGCGTGGTGGCGGGCACCTGTAGTCCCAGCTACTCGGGAGGCTGAGGCAGGAGAATGGCGTGAACCCAGGAGGCGAACCTTGCAGTGAGCCGACATCACACCACTGCACTCTAGCCTGGGCAACAGAGCGAGACTTCATCTCAAAAGAAAAAAAAAACAAACGATAAAGCTTGCAAAACCCAGGATGCCTGTGAAATAAACATACCTTGTATGTGCTGCACAAATTGTCAATGATTTTTTTTTTTTTTTTTTGAGATGGAGTCTGGCTCTTGTCGCCCAGGCTGGAGTGCAGTGACCTGATCTCAGCTCACTGCAACCTCTGCCTCCCGGGTTCAAGCAATTCTCCTGCCTCAGCCTCCTGAGTAGCTGGGATGACAAGCGCCTG
Source organism: Homo sapiens (assembly GCF_000001405.40). Taxonomy (NCBI): domain Eukaryota; kingdom Metazoa; phylum Chordata; class Mammalia; order Primates; family Hominidae; genus Homo; species Homo sapiens. The sequence goes on from NC_000002.12 coordinate 38,422,975, forward strand.
CCACCACGCCCAGCTAATTTCTGTACTTTTAGTAGAGATGGGGTTTCGCCATGTTGGCCAGGCTGCTCTCGAAATCCTGACCTCAGGTGATCTGCCCACCTTGGCCTCCCAAAGTGCTGGGATTACAGGTGTGAGCCACCACACCTGGCTATTGATGATTTTATAGTGTATAAATATTGTTGATGTACTGGGTGTGATGGTTAATTTTCTGTCAACCTGACTGGGTCACAGAGTACCCAGATATTGGTCAAACATTATTTTGGATGTGAGAGTGTTTTTGGATAAGATTAACATTTAACTTGATAGACTGAGTGATATGGTTTGGATCTGTGTCCCTACCCAAATCTCGTGTTGAATTGTAATCCCCAGTGTTAGAGGTGGGGCCTGGTGGGGAGTGATTGCATCAATGGGCAGATATTCACCTTTGGTGCTGTTCTCATGATAGAGTTCTCAGGAAATCTGGTTGTTTAAAAGTATGTGGCATCTCCTCCCTCTCTCTTGCTCCTGCTCTGGCCAGGTAAGATGTGCCTGCTTTCCCTTCACCTTCCACCATGATTTTAAGTTTCCTGAGGCCTCCCTAGAAGCTGCTATGCCTCCTGTACAGCCTGCAGAATGGTGAGCCAATTAAACCTCTTTTCTTTATAAATTACCCAGTCTTGGGTATTTCTTTATAGCAGTGCAAGAATGGACTAATACATTGAGTAAAGCAGATTCTCCTGTCTGATGTTCAATAAGTTGAAAGACTGAAGAAAACAAAAGTTTGACCCTCCCCTAAGTAAGAGAGAATTCCTCCTGCCTGACTGCCTTTGAACTGGGACATTCGTTTTTCCTGCCTTCAGACTCAAACTGAAACGTCAGTTCTTCTTGGGTCTCAAGCCTACTGGCCTTCAGACTGGAACTACACTATCAGCTCTTCTGGTTCTTAGGCCTTTCCACTTTAACTGGAACTACATCACCGACTCTCCTGGGTCTCTAGTTTGCTGAATCACCCTGCAGATCTTGAGACTTGCCAGCCTCTAAAACTGAGTGAGCCACTTTCTTTACACACACACAAACACACACACACACACACATCCTACTGGTTCTGTTCCTCTGGAGAACCCTGACTACCACACTGGATCATCCTCAAATAAAACAGGTATTAAGCTGTTGGACCAGAGTAAGATTTGTTTTCTCCTGCAGTCAGAACTCAACCTACTGACCTCTAAAATTCATCATTCTTGTAGCACCAACGATGACTACAGCCCAAAACTTAGACTATCCAAGCATCTGGAACTGAGATTCATAGTTTGTTTAGTGGGAAGTCCCGACTTCTTTTATCTTGACTATTGTGTTAGTCCATTCTCACATTGGTATAAAGAACTACGTGAGACTGGGTAATTTATGAAGAAAAGAGGTTTAATCGACTCACAGTTCTGCATAGCTGGGGAAGCCTCAGGAAACTTACAATCATGGCAGAAGGTGAAGAGGAGAAGCAAGGCATGTCTTCTCATGGCTGGAAAGCAGAAAGGGAGAGAGAGCCAATTGGGAGGGGCTATGCACTTTTAAACAATAAGACCTAAACACCCAGATCTCACGAAAACTCACTATCACGAGAGCAGGAAGGGGCAAATCCACCCCCACAATCCAATCATCTCCTACCAGGTCTCTTCCCCAACATTGCAAATTACATTTCATCAAGATTCGGGTGAGGACACAGAGCCAAACCATACAAACTATTAAGAAATATGATTAACCATTTAAGTCAAGTCTGGCAAATAAAACAGGTCATCGAGTGGGTAACATGTTTTGGGACCCAAAATCCTACAGTCTGTATAGTGAAAGGATGTAGGGCCTCTGACTAAAATGGCCATCAGGGGTTTTGCTAGAGCTGGCTGGTTATAAACGTGGAGAGCAGAAGGTATATCCTGTCAGAGAGCAAGAGTGACCAGTGAGAGAAGAGGAGGAGGGAACTTCATGTGGGCCAAAAGCTGGAATTGCCACAGTTACTCTCCTACTTAAAATTCTTCTTTGGTTTCCCCTTGTCAATGGGGAAACTTCAATTTCCACTGCCCATTAACGTGACACACAGGGTTTGGCTCAGCCCTATCTCTCTCATTTTTAAATGTTTAAATTTTTTTTTTTTTTTTTTGAGACAAGGTCTCACTCTGTCATCCAGGCTGCAGTGCAGTGGTGCAATCATGGCTGGCTCACTGCAACCTCCACCTCCCAGGCTCAAGCAATCCTCCCTCCTCAGCCTCCCAAGTAGCTGGGACTACAGGTACTCACCCCCATGCCTGGCTAATTTTTTAAATTTTTGTAGGGATGGGGATCTCACTATGTTGCCAGGGTAGTCTCAGGGGCTCAAGCGATCCTCCCATCTCAGCCTCCCACAGTGCTGGAATTAAAGGTGTGTGCCATAGTGCCTGACCTAGCCCTGTCTCTTCACATGACCTCCAGACTCTCACCTTCGGGCGTCCAGACTATTTGGCAGCTTGGTTGACCCAGCGGTGTGACCACATATCAGCTTTTCTCCCTCTGGAATAATCACACATTCTATATGCCCATATGCCTTGGAATTGCCCGCTCATCCTCAAAAATTAGCTGCTCCCTCCCCAGTAACTCATCTCCCAGTTGACCATTCCCTCTTGGGCCACTACAGTAGCCTCAGCAATTAGTTAACAACTCTGTAAATCCCTCCAGGTGGAGATGACCATGTCTTATCAGCCACTCTATTTCCAAAGCCCAGCACTGTGCATGCCACATAGATACTTAACCGATGTTTGTTGAATCAAATTGGATTTAAATTAGCTGTGATTCCAAGGTAACAAGCCATTTTCTTTTTCTTGGTTGATTCATAAAAAGTGTGAGAAGAAAAATAAAGTTATAAGTGTATATCGTCCCCAGACAAATTAAAAGACAACTTCCATGTGAATTTTGGATATGGATATACTGGACTGGGCTCAGTGGCTCATGCCTATAATCCCAACAGTTTGGGAGGTTGAGGTCGGCAGATCACTTGAGGCCAGAAGTTCAAGACTAGCCTGGCCAACATGGTAAAACCCCGTCTCTACTAAAAATACAAAAATTAGCCAGGCGTGGTGGCAGGTGCCTATAGTCCCAGTTACTCAGGAGGCTGAGGCATGAGAATCGCTTGAACCTGGGAGGCAGAGGTTGCAGTGAGCCGAGATCACACTACTGCAACTCCATCCAGCCTGGGCGACAGAGTGAGACTCTGTCTCAAAAAAAAAAAAAAAAGAAAAAAGAAAAAAAAAGGCGGGGCACAGTGGCTCACTTCTGTAATCCCAGTGCTTTGGGTGGCTGAGGCGGGCAGATCACCTGAGGTCAGGAGTTCGAGACCAGCCTGGCAAACACAGTGAAACCCTGTCTCTACTAAAAATACAAAAATTAGCCAGGTGTGATGGCAGATGCCTATAATCCCAGCTCCTTGGGAGGCTGAGGTGGGAGAATCTCTTGAATCTGAGAGGTGGAGGCTGCAGTGAGCCGAGATGGTGCCATTGCACTCCAGCCTGGGCAACAGAGCAAGATTCCATCTCAAAAAAGAAAAAAGAAAAAGAAAATTCTGCCAGGATGTAGATGGAGGTAAAACCAAATTTGTCTCCTTAGTTTATTGTCACACTTTAGGCCCAGGATTACACTCAGTTAACTTTATCTATTAGTAATTGTAAGAGGAATGGATGTTCTGGTTAAGCAAACAAAGAACCATATAAAAGAAAACAGAAGGCTTGGGTTCTTGTCCTGATTTTCCACTTACTACCACCTATGGACTTTGGGCAAGTCCCTTCATCTCAATTCCTTCAGTTTTAAAATATGGTTTATAAAATGTTCTTGCTGAAAATGCGGGATAAGCTGGAAATAAATCTGCCAGTTTAAGGTATTATTAGGCATAGATAGCCAATTTCCCAAGAATTAACTTCAAATATATTTAACACCATAAAATATTATACAAATATTGCAGCTTTCTTGCATGATTCAGAAGGCAGTTAAGTGAGTGCTCCAGGCTCTTCATGATAAGTATCATTTACCATTACAACATAAATTTGTGCAAATACCAGTTTATAGACAGTTTCATTTGATAGAATGGTACATAAGCCACTTTTAAATAATACTGTATCATTTTGGTATCGGCACCCTGCAGAAAAATCTAATGAGATGATCACCAAGCCAAGCTTTAAGGTTTCAGGAGTTAAATGGATACTTACGGATGTAAAGGTTTGTTTCAGCTCTGTCAGCATAATCACTGTTTACTGGTCCGGAGTGGGTTTGGAAGGGTGGTGGTAAGCATTATGATGTGTCGTCAGTGACTGACATCCAAATCATTGTTTTCAGGCCAGTGCATCAAATATTTGGCCTTGTAAACTTCTTAGTTACAGGGAGGTTGGGCAGCCTTGGGGATTAGTTTCATCCAAAGAGAATTTGAAAGGCTGTCCTTGACTGCAAGCCTGAAAATTCTTCTTTACCACGGTGACATAGAAACTGCATTCGAGGGAAAACATCAGTGCTCCTTCAGACTTTCTAGAAACTATACATTGTGATGGAGGTTACTTCATAAAGAAGTGGCCTGGGAAATGAACGAAAACTAAACACTGAGTCTACTCTAATTTTACCCACCATTAAGAGATGCTAATTTCGTTCCCGGGTGGGACCAAAAAGAAAAGGTGGAAACTATTCTTGGTGCAGACTATGCATTAAAATCTCTAGATTAGCCAGGAATGATGAAACACACCTGTAGTCCCAGCTGCTCGGGAGGCTGAGGTGGGAGGATTTCTTGAGCTCAGGAGTTCAAGACCAGCCTGGGCAACATAGCGAGATCCCCCCCATCTCCAAAAACAAAAAAATCTCTAGAGAAATAAAACTAGTTTGAATAGAGAGAGGAGGCCAGAGAATTGAATGAATGAGAGATTCAAACTGAGAAAGGACTGGAAATGAGACCAAGAAATAAAAAATCATGGTAGAAGGGAAAAAGAAGCTACTGGAGAGACTTTGGAAGAGAAGATTTCCCCTATGCAATGTTGAAGGAAGCTTTGTAAAGCTTTCGCATTTTTGACATCATGTCCCAAAAAAAAAAAGCACTGGCAGTGATCCAGGCGGTAACAGTGATCTGGGAGGTGCTAGAGAGAACCAGAAGTCAAGAGTAGCAGCAGTGACAGAGAGTGCCATTGCACTACTGCTTTGAAGGTACAGTCTGTGCCGGGCCTTACTTCTCCAGTGAGGTCCCTGGAGCAGCAGCCTCACTGGGAGCTGGTTTGACGGGAAGAATCCCAGCCCTTAGAGGCCTACTGAATCCGAATCTGCATTTCAACAGGATCCCCAGGAAACTGGATGCACTTTCGACTGAGCCTTCACCTTTTTTAGGGCTCTTGCAACCCTATCTCCTTCTTCTATTTTTTTTTTTAAATTAAGACAAGGTCTCGCTATGTTGCCCAGGTTGGTCTCAAACTCCTGGGCTCAAGCATTCCTCCCGCCAGGGCCTCCCAAAGTGCTGGAGTTACAGGCATGAGGCACAGTGCCCACCCTCCTTCTTCTATTTTTTCTTTTTCTAGAGACAGAGTTTCCCTCTGTTGCCCAGGCTGGAGTGCAATGGCGTGATCTTGTCTCACTGCAACCTCCGCCTGCTGGGTTCAAGCGACTCTCCTGCCTCAGCTTCCTGAGTAGCTGGGATTACAGGCGCCCGCCACCACGTCACGCTAATTTTTATATTTTTAATGGAGACGGGGGTTTCACCATGTTGGTCAGGCTGGTCTCAAACTCCTGACCTCAAGTAATTCACCCACCTTGGCCTCCCAAAGTGCTGGGATTACAGGCGTGAGCCACACTGCCCGGCCACCAGTTTTTCTTCTTTTCCCCTTCCCTTTTCATCATCTTCTTCCTCAAATTCCAAAAAATGGTCACGTGTGACAATCAATATGGTGGGTGTTTACATCTCTTCCTGGTCCTAATTCAAAGCCCAAGCTAGCCTCAATTCATAAACACGTGAACAAAACAGTTGCGCTGGGCCCCAGAAAGCCATCAGGCAAGATGAACCCTCCCCCATAACATCTATATTTGTGTCACTTATTTATACAGAGGCTTAAGTATACACAGTGCTCTGTAGGGGAACATGCCAAGAAAAGAATACAATCCCTGCTCTTTACAAAATATTTTTCTTTTTCTCTCATAACCCTAGGGAATAGCCAGGGTGGGGATGGAATTACGAAATCTTTGAACCAAAATATATAAAATGAATAGAAGGAAGCCGTAGGTATTTTTTAGAGCCTCCAGACCTCTAAGAAAACAAGACTTTCCCAAACAATATGCATGAGCAGATTTTCGCTTCATGTGAAAACAAGCTCAGTTATCTGAAGGAAACTCAAACACACACACACACACACACACACACACACACACACACACACCAGAAAAGACATTTTAAAGGCATTTTGTCAAAGATATTTATAAAAGTGCATTTTAAAAGGCTGGAGTGAAGTGGTGCGATCTCGGCTCACTGCAACCTCTGCCTTCTGGGTTCAAGCGATTCTCCTGCCTCAGCCTCCAGAGTAGCTGGGATTATAGGCATGTGTCATCATGCCCCACTAATTTTTGTATTTTTAGTAGAGATGAGGTTTTGCCATGTTGCCCAGGCTGGTCTCAAACTCCTGGCCTCAAGCGATCTGCACGCCTCGGCCTCCCAAAGTGCTGGGATTATAGGCGTGAGCCACCACGTCTGGCCTGGAATAATTTTAAATTTATAAAAAAGTTGCAGAGATAGCTCAATGAGCTCCCATATAGTTGCCCCCCAGCCTCTCCTAATGTTAACATCTTATTCAACCAGGGTACATTTGTCTAAACTAAGAAATCAGTGTCGTTAGCTGGGTACAGTGGCTCATGCCTATCATCCCAGCACTTTGGGAGGCCGAGGTGGGTGGATCACCTGAGGTCAGGAGTTCCAGACCAGCCAGGCCAACATGTTGAAACCCCGTCTCTACTAAAAATACACAAATTAGCTGGATGTGGTGGCGGGCACCTGTAATCCCAGCTACTCAGGAGGCTGAGGCAGGAGAATCACTAGGACCCGGGAGGCAGAGGTTGCAGTGAGCCAAGATCATACCATTGCACTCCAGCCTGGGGGACAAAGCGAGACTCCGTCTCAAAAAAAAAGAGAAAGAAAAAGTAATCAATATTGTTACAATACTATTAACTACAGACTCTTATTCGGACGGCACCAGTTTTTCCACTAATGTTCTTTAGTCCAGGATTCCATGTTGCATTGAACATTAATACATTTCAGTAAAACAATACAGTGAAGTCACAGGATAACACATGATAATTGATTATCAGATGCAGATGGTGAAAAGAGCTTTGCCTCAGGTCAGGAGGGCCTAACACTCATCTCAGCAGTGAAGGGACGCAAGTCGCGCCCGCAGGGGTGTGAGGTTGTTTCACACAGCGTTGGGGCAGGCATTCCAGCTCTCAGTAAGAACTAATATGGTTCAATGTACGCTAACTCCCCCAAGGAATCTGCAGTTCACATTAGGCAAAGGGTATAAAGCTCTAATTATGAACTCCGCAGCCAGAGTGGACCATGAAGTTGAACATTTCCACAAAGAAGAGGAGAGACTTACTTTCCCATGCTCTGAAGTCACACTTCCTGCCCTGTACTCTAGGAGCGATGCGAAGCCTCAGGACTCAAGCTTATTTCTGAAGCAAGGTCTCAAGTCAAAAAAAAGAAAAAGAAACATTTAGACTTGCCCCTTCTGAGGAGTCGCTATTCTGTGCCTCTCTAGGGGCCACCTTTGCTCAGAGGCTCCGTTAGGCTGGTGAAGCAGGGGGCTACAGTGGGAGGGAGAAAGGCTGAACATTCCTCAGCGTCGGCGTCGGCGTCCATGGGGGGCTCTGAGCGATGGCCTTCTCCGCTTGCAAGGTCATTGGTCTTTGAGCCGGACTCGCTGCCTAAGGCAGGCTAAGACTGGCATATTAGCATTCCATCTACATTTAACTTGGAATAAATTCTAGATTTAGCCCTGCAGCTAGGATGGAATTTTTCCCCTTCCGCTGCCCTCCCGCTTCCTGCCTTAGAGCTGGGTCTGGGGTGAGGCAGATGAGGGGCTAACAGCGTAACATGCAGAGAGGCTCTTGCACCACCGTGAGAGTGAGCGCATGTCTCCTACAATTTTTCCACTCTAGGTCCTTTGCTTGTCACACAGCGTGGTTACCTCTTCCTCACCTGCAGCTTCAGCCCCACTGTGTTGTCATAATGACTTAGCACCTACAAAATGAAAAGAGGGCCAAAAAAACCCCCCAAAACGTCTAGCTTCCCCCTCAGTTAAGTGTTCAAAGTGTCCTAACTTCCAGCTTTGAAATAGGACTGAAGATGAACCATGCTCCTGGCACCCCCTGTTGAGAGCCCAAGTTCAGCAGATTGCGGCCATGGGGGACTGAAAATGGAGCCCTGGACAAAGACACTTGCTGGGTGACCCAAGGCAAGGTACACTTTGACTGGCACATCTATTGAATGAGTATATTAAGAGTTTGGGGTTTTAGGCTGGGGGCGGTGGCTCACGCCTGTAATCCCAGCACTTTGAGAGGCCAAGGCAGGCGGATTGCCTGAGGTTAGGAGTTCAAAACCAGCCTGGCCAGCATGGTGAAACCTCATCTCCACTAAAAATACAAAAATTAGCCAGGCATGGTGGCAGGCCCCTGTAATCCCAGCTACTCAGGAGGCTGAGGCAGGAGAATCACTTGAACCTGGGAGGCGGAGGTTGCAGTGAGCCGAGATTGTGCCATTGCACTCTAGCCTGGCAACAGAGTGAGACTCTATCTCAAAAAAAAAAAAAAAGGGTTTGCGGTTTTAGAAAGAAGAGAGATTCTAGAATCTCAGAGATTTCCTTTTTTTTTTTTTTTTTTTTTTTTGAGACAGAGTCTCATTCTGTCTCCCAGGCTGGAGTGCAACAGCACAATATCAGCTCACTGTAGCCTCTGCCTGCCAGGTTCAACCAATTATCCTGCCTCAGCCTCCTGAGTAGCTGGGACTACAGGCTCCCACCACCACGCCCAGCTAATTTTTGTATTGTAGTAGAGATAGGGTTTCACTATGCTGGCCAGGCTGGTCTCAAACTCCTGACCTATAGAGATCTGCCTGCCTGGGCCTCCCAAAGTGCTAGGATTACAGGCGTGAGCCGCTGCGTCTGGCCGACCCTCTCAGATTTCCGACTCAGAAATGTAAACAGTGGAAAGAAGGCGAGAGAGCAGGCTAGTAGTCTCCAGAGAGATCTAATTGGCGGATAACAGAACTATAAGGGTTATTCTTCTGCCTCCAGATTACCTGGACATCCAAGCAGGGCTAGCAGCTCAGAATTGCCCCCAAGCACTTCAGTCTTAATCTTCTCATATGAAAAATAAAGGAATTTTGATTAGTGAATGGTTATCAACCATGACTATTCATTAGCATCACAAGGAGGCTTTGCAAACATCAGTGCCTGAGCCCCACCTCTAGAGATGCTATTGAATTAGTCAGGCCTAACCACTAGTCCTTTTCAAACTCCCCAGATGGTTCTACTCTACTGCCAGGCTTGAGAACCTCTGTGATGGGTGATGTCTCAGATTCCCTCGCTGACACACTATGATCCTGAGAGATAATAGTTAACTGCTTTTTGACTTGGCTTCTCTGGACAGAACCCAATTCAAACATTCCCATTAAAATGACCAAAAGTGTAAAGAAAGGTAAAGGGTCTTTAATTAAGTCTCTGGCCCCCTGGAAGAAGGAAGCTGGGGAAAAGACAGCCATGAGGGCAAGGTTAATGGTACATTTTTAAGTAAAAACGGCTCCAGAGACTCACAGCCACAGTGGCAGCTAAAAAGTCAAAATTAAGTTTCTCTATGTGCTCTGGCCCAGCCTAGGGGCATGGCCTTGTAGCCCTGATCACTATGCAGTTATTCAGCCGCCCTCCCAGGCGGGTGCAGGCCCTTGGGTAATCAGCCGACAATCTCAAGTTGACCTCCTGGGAGGCCACCAAAGCCAATTAAACTAGAGGTCACCTGGGTTCGGCAAGAATGGTGGCCAGCCTAGGCTTCACTGAGCAGCAAGTGAACAGTAGGCTGCAGTGAGTACAGTAGGTGTTAGAGCCTCAGCAAGCTGATCACATGCTGAGCACAGTAAAAGCCTGAAAGGCCCATGGAAGATTGGGCAACAGTGGATTGCAGGACCAAAGTCTCAGGGCAGAAGTTTATCTAGTACCTCACAGTAGATATTCCTAATCCAGCTGCCCAGTGCATTACACAGGGCAGGCTCTTTTCCAGGGCATAAAGGTGTTTTTTCTGTTGTTTTTTGTTTTTAATTCCCCTCCTGTTTTCTTTAGTTTTGCTTTTGTTTTTTTATTTCTCTCTAGACTTTCCATGTACACTATGAATGCCAAGTGCTGTGAATACCAACCCATGCTTTCAAAGAGCCTGCTGCCTCAGAGCATGTGATGTGGAACTTTCTGGTGGCCTCGGCGTGGAGGTTCTCAACCTCAGCTGCACACTGTGTTTAGTTGGTCTGGAGCGAGATCTAGGCATCAGTATATTTTTTAAGCTCCCCATGTGATTGTAATATGCAGCCAAGAATAAAAAAAAAAAACACTGGGCTAGGTCATTCCTGGCCGAGGTGAGGAGGTGGTGAGATGGATTGGAAGGGGACCATGGCAAGGATTCTTAGGGGTGTCAAGGAGGAGATGAAAGGAGGACTCAGACAAGGGGATCTGGCAAGTTTTCAGAAATCACCTGCTGATGCCTTTTAAAGCTAATGCCATTATTGAATCTTAGTCATCCATTCATCCTCTACTCACCAGTGACTAATATTGATGTGTTTTAGACATATAAAGATGAATTAAGACCCAGTCCCTGCCCTTAGGCGGCACACAGTAGGAGAGACAGACTCATGAACACATGGTGGTGTAATCAAAGTTAGTCATGGACTGTATATGTACTCAATTCTGGGGCCCACAGGGCACCCCATTCTGTGGGTAAGGGGCAAGCTCACCCCAATGTCAGGCATACTAGGAAGAGGCTAAAGCTAAAATATCCAATGAGAGCCTGCAAGGAGGGCCTTGGACAGGGGAAAGACAAGAACTTCTTGGGCTTTCTGGGCTTCCTCTCCAGAGCCTGTGTCCTGAGAAGTCTGTGAAGTAGGTACACTCAAGGTTACTCTACTGGACAACTCCGGGGGTGTCATTCATTTGTATTTTATGAAAACACTGCCCACTAGAGTTGTGCACCTAGATGGCATTGCGAGTGTGGTAAGAGAAGCTGACTCTGACCAGAGGGCTCCGGAAGGTGCCTCTGCCGTTTGATAAGGAAGCTCCTATGAGAAACACGGGAACAGATCTATGCCTGTGGGCTCTGAGAACAGCCACATCCAGAAGCCAGGCAGAAGATCCTCTATTTTTCTTTCCGGTTTTCCCAGAGCCTTCAGTGAAGTAGAATTAAGAACAAGTCTGTGGCCACCCTTTGGGCTGGCATGGTTCCAGACACTGGCATCCTCTAGGGCCAGGGTAGTTGTGGCATCCCCAGAACTGCAGAGAGGCTCACCACAGCATGGGCAGGGCTATGGTTTGCACGTGTCTCCCAAAATTTCATGTGTTAAAAACTTAATCCTCAATGCAACAGTGTTGGGAGGTGGGACCTAGTAAGAGGTGACTGGGTCAGGAGAGCAAAGCCCTCATGAATGGATTAACATCATTATTAAAAGAGTGGGTTGTTACAAAGCAAGTCTGGCTCCTGGTGCCTGTTGGTCTTCAGTGCTCACTTCTGCCTTCACCCTTCCACCATGGGATGACCCTCACCTATTGTCAGTGGCATGCTCTTGGATTGCCCAGCCTCCAGAACTATAAACTGAATAAATCTCTTTTCTTTTAAGTTATACTGTGGTTTTCTGCTGAAGCAGCAGCACAGTGAACTAAGACAGGCAGTGACCCAGAGGGATGAGGTCCCATGACTGAGACCTCACCCAATCACCCACAGAAATATACTAGATGGAAGGGAGGCTAGAAAGGGGAGTTGAGGTCCTGCCACCATGCTGGTGGGGATGTGTAGCCCATGGGCTTGGGTTTAATTTTTTTTTTTTTTTTTTTTTTTGAGATGGAGTCTCACTCTGTCACCTAGGCTGGAGTGCAGTGGAATGATCTCGGCTCACTGCAACCTCTGCCTCCCAGGTTCAACCGATTCTCCTGCCTCAGCCTCCTGAGTTGCTGGGATTACAGGCGTCCGCCACCACACCTGACTAATTTTTGTATTTTTAGTAGAGACGGTGTTTCACCATGTTGGCCAGGCTGGTCTGGAACTCCTGACCTCAGGTAATCTGCCCACCTTGGCCTCCCAAAGTGCTGGGATTATAGGCGTGAGCCATCACACCTGGCCACCGTTGCCAATTCTTGATGACGTCCAGAATTTTTTCTTGCTACCTGTGCCACATCCTGCTTTTGGAAGAAAGGAGGAGAGCGGTGGGCTTCTGTTGAATCACTCACCACCCACGTTTCCCCATAGCTGACAGGGAAGGAGTTGGCCATGGCCTCTATTGCATTATCCATTGTTCATTCCCATAAAAACAAAGGGATATCTTTCAATATCTAGGCAATGCAAAAACCTTGCCTTCCAAATAAGGTCTAACCTCTCTGATTCAACTTATCAAATAGCTAGCTCTACAGCCAAGGGTAAAACAAAGAGACCTCAGCTTTGGGCTGCAGGATTCAGCTTCCCAGATGGGAGGTGAGAGCTTGCTGGGCAAGTTCCTCCTCCATCTCCCACTAGTTCACTTTGACCTTCCTTTGATGGTCAAACCCATTTCTCCCAACCACCAGCATGATTCTGATCACTGTTTGGGTCAACCTGCTGACTCCTTCTCCACTTGGTCCCCTGCAAGAAAGCAGTGTGAAGCCTCTGGGCTTGTTGATTCAATAATCATCTTTATACTATACTTACTTAGGAAAAAAATGTCTTTGTGAGAAAAGACAGACAACAGACACCATGCCTGATACAGCGTCAGAAAGAAGCACTGTTTATTCAACTGACTTGATTAGTGAGTGCCAGACAGCTATTAGAACAAAAATCATGTTTTGGGGCAACAAAATCATGCTTTGGGTCTATTTGTGTCATGGCAAGCCTCCACAGAGTACCCAGATAATGCTTGTTATCGTCACCCATATTAGCCAAATGTTTGGATAAATAAAGATGTTGTATGAAATTCCCTATCTGTTGCTTTAACATAAATTCACATGGAGTGGTACACTGGTGAGTCATGTTCCATTTCATGGCTATATGGTTTCCATGGCCAAAAAAATGAGAAGAGGGCTTCCTTGGGCTGGGAATCTGTGTAAGAATGTGCTTGCTTAATCTGCTGCCCTCCTGTTTGCCTCCTCTGTGTACATACACCAGGTCCACCCCCAAGCCTATGGTTCATTGCACATTAGGTGACCTAATCCTTGAGTGGTTGCTGGAATTGTCCACCTGGGGCTAGTGTTTACTCTAAATAGACCCACTACACACACAGGTCAGAAGCCAACACAAGTGAGCCTTGGGCATGCCCATCCCGTTGACAGCCGCTTTCTTAGATCATCTACCTTTGTTTCCACTAGGCTCTGACTCCTTGCTCCATTTTGGTGTCTAGCTGGCTTGAAACCCTTTGGGCTTTGTGTCTTGTTCCCAGGCCCTGGTTGAGTATGATCTAATTCTGTGTCCTTGCATTTGACTGTCAGCAGTGGGCTGGTACCAGCCCTGAAGCTCCCTTGTAACCATACCCCAGCCTATCAGCATCAGTGAGGCCCCTCCAACTCTCCTACTGGACAAGTTCTGGTTTCCCTCATGGACGAGGGTTGAACAAAAATGAAAGATAAGTCAGTTGTTATGACTAGAAAAAGTGATTACCAGGCCCTCCCTAGAATCCCACCTCTTTCAGAGATATCCAAGTACAACACAGAGAACCAGAAGTGGCCAATTCATTTTGCCAATCAGGCTACATAGACTCATGAGTCACCTAAGATAGACACACCTTTTGAAAAACAGCTGCAAACAGACCTGGAACAAACACTTTCTTTTGCTGAGAGCAAATAAAAAGATTACGTTAGATGGATCTAGAAACATTTCTTTTATTTTTTTGAGATGGAGTCTAGCTCTGTCACCCGGGCTGGAGTGCAGTGGCATGATCTCAGCTCACTGCAACCTCCACCTCCCAGGTTCAAGCGATTCTCCCCCTTCAGACTTCCGAGTAGCTGGGATTACAGGTGCCCACCACCACACCCAGCTAATTTTTGTATTTTTTTTAGTAGAGACAGGGTTATACCATTTTGGTCAGGCTGGTCTCGAACTCTGACCTCAGGTGATCCGCCTGCCTCAGCCTCCCAAAGTGCTGAGATTACAGGCTGAGTCATCACTGACAATACTAGGAACATTTCTAAGATTCAAGGAAGAATCAAATAATCCAGTTCTTAAAAAGGCTTGGATGCAGCTGAAATTCACAAACAGCTAAAACCAGGAGCTACATCTCTGCCAGTCTCTGCTTCTTCCTACAGGAGGTCAAGTTCCTACTCATCTCTAAAGTCCAGCTTTCTCTTCACAGTTGAAAACCTGGCCACCAACAACTCCTGGCTATTTCTTTTTTTTTCTTTTTTTTCTTTTCTTTTCTTTTTTTTTTTTTTTTTTTTTTTGAGACGGAGTCTCGCTCTGTTGCCCAGGCTAGAGTGCAGTGGCACAATCTTGGCTCACTGCAACCTCCACCTCCCACCTTAAAGCGATTCTCCTCCCTCAGCCTCCTGAGTAGCTGGGACTACAGGTGCCTGCCACCACGCCCAGCTAATTTTTGTATTTTTAGTAAAGACAGGGTTTCACCATGTTGGCCAGGCTGGTCTCGATCTCCTGACCTCATGATCCACTCACCTCGGTTTCCCAAAGTTCTGAGATTACAGGCGTAAGCCACCATGCCCAGCCTAGCTTCTGGCTATTTCATCTTGCAGGTTCATCCACCGGAGAGAGGACCTCCACCCCCGCTCTCCTCTAGTCAGCCATCCTAAACCCTCAGAAGGAGCCATTGGTCCACCTTGTAATACGACTGCTTCTACTGCAGTCCCTTGATGGGGGCGAAGGTGCAGCACGACATGACAGTCCCAAAGGAAGGGAACTGCTGCAAAGGGCCAGAATAGGTGAGATTTATCACCTCATCTTGGTTCTCAGTTCCACCAATCCCAGCCCCATCCAGCAAAACAAGAATTCCCCTGTTGTGTTCAAGCTATGTCCAAAGATGAAGGCTACAGTCTGTTTTCCACAAACCACTTTTGGAATCCTTACCAAGTATTGGCTTGCAATACAAAGGATCCCTTCTCTATTACTATGTAACTAAAAAAAAAAAAAAATTGAGCTGCCCCATCTGAAAAGTCCCTGTGTCTTAGAAAAAGGCTTTGTTCTGTATTCTGGATGAGGCCAATCCTCAACAAAAGGCAATATAACAGAGAGGTTAACTTCACAGCTTCTGGAGTTAATTTAGGGATCAGTTCAAATCCCTGCTCCAACAGTTATAGGTGTATGACACACAGCCTCGGCTTTACTCTCTATAAATGAAGATAACTGATAGTCACTTCCTGGTGTTGGTATGAGGATAATTTGGGGCAAGGCATGAAGAGCACTTAGCATGGCACCCGGGACACAAAAGACCTTTAATGACACTGGATAGACTTGGTCTTCAGTGATGTCCTCTGCCTTTTTCTGCCATCTTCCCCCTCCTGCCATTCCCCAGGGAATCCAAGGCTCTGCCTCCAGGAACAGATGTTTCCCACCTGTTCCTCTTCCATATGACTTTGCAATGGATCTTCATGAAACATACACTCCCACCCCAATCTAAGACCCTTCATGTCTTGTTAAAACAGTGAAGATAAAGTTAAACTTCCCTAGAGTGGGCCCCAAGGCTACTTTCAATTTGGACCCTGCCTGCCTCTCCTACCTTGCAGTGTCTCCTTAAAAAAATCTCACCATGCTAGATCACTTGCTATTTCTCAGATATGTCATGCTCTTTTACCACAATGCATGACTGCAAACACTGTCCCCTCTTCCTGGAAAGCCCCTTCCCTGGCTAGCTCCAACTAGCCTAACCAGTTTTCATGATGTTTGTGATCAGGGGATTCCCAGAAACTTTTGCTGACCCCAACCCCCATTTCGAGTTAGACAAGCTTCCTCTGGCTCCATTCATGCCCACGTTTCCCTCTATCAGAGTCCTTATTACACTGTATTTGCTTGTATGTCTTTGTTATTAAATTCTGCTCTTCTTGAGAACAAGACTACATTTCCAGCATGAAGCACAGAGCCTGGCATAAAGGTAATGTTCAATAAAGTGTGATTGTCTGAAACACCAATGAGTATATTTAGGAAGCCATGTGTCCTGGTAAGAATGAAGATGAAATGTACAGTCCTTTTCCTCTTGTAGCTAAGTGAGTCACTGGGTACAAAACCCATGACCTTGCCCACAACACTCCAACTGGCACTTTCAGCTGCTTCATGGGAAACAGAATTCAACACTGCATGTAAAATACTGGATTTTAAATCCAGAAGCCTACCTGCAAAGTCCCTCTTTCTTGTGATCTTGGTCAAAATGCTTAGCCTTGTTTGTCTTGCCTATGAACAATTTTTTTTAATACTTGGCTATAGAAAATAAATACAATTATGCCTATAAAATTAAAAAGTATCTTTGATGTTTTTTTCCTACATGGCATTGTCATGGCTGCTATTGAAAAGATGACAATTATCCCAACCTCTAAGCCAAAGTTAGTCCTTGTTCCTGAATACCATCAAGTCATTGTCTGTTACAAGGAAACACTAGACATATTTTGTGCTTTTCTGGTGTCTGAGTATTGCATCTCAAGTGGAGGCCTGGGTCTTTTGTATATGTCTTGTATCTCTCATGACTTTTTATAGTATTCACTAGAGCCCGACTGTGGCCCAGAGCTGTCCTCAGAGGCTATGCTGTGGGACAAGGCCACAAGCAAAACTATAATGAGCTCTTCCTGGTGTTGCCAGAAAAAAGAACTCTTGGATAAGGTCAACGAATCTGTCCTTACAAAGATCTCTGTGTTTTCACAGGTCAGCCTCTAGTGAGGTAAGTAATAAAAAGGAAAAGCTGAAAATAACTGCAAGAACAAGGGTTGCATTATTCATCTGTAAGGATTACATATTGGGTTTTAAGGATGCATATATTAAACATTGCTAAGCTTCATCCTGTCTATAATTATTAACACGTTGCTGAGGGACTCATGGTAATTATCATCTGGGAATCCCACTCAGATACTGCACAACTCTAAAAAGGTGGACTAATTCCTAAGGTAAGGCAATGTTGAGCAGGAATGTCAAAGTGAGCAGCATATAAAATAATAAGGTGTCTGGGCGCGGTGGCTCATGCCTGTAATCCCAGCACTTTGGGAGGCCGAGGCGGGTGGATCACAAGGTCAGGAGATTGAGACCATCCTGGCTAATACGGTGAAACCCCGTCTCTACTAAAAATACAAAAAT
Source organism: Homo sapiens (assembly GCF_000001405.40). Lineage (NCBI taxonomy): Eukaryota > Metazoa > Chordata > Mammalia > Primates > Hominidae > Homo > Homo sapiens. Next base: position 38,440,474 of record NC_000002.12, read on the forward strand.
TAGCCGGGCATGGTGGCGGGTGCCTATAGTCCCAGCTGCTGGGGAGGCTGAGGCAGGAGAATGGCGTGAACCCGGGAGGCAGAGCTGACAGTGAGCCGAGATTGCACCACTGCACTCCAGCCTGGGCGACAGAGCAAGACTCCGTCTCAAAAAAAATAAAATAAAATAATAAGGTAACCATGAGCAATAAAGCCATAAATACATCTAAGAGGCTTGAATGACCCAGCCCAGGAAGGAGGAACGATGGCCTTGTTAAGATTCACACATTTCTTAACTTTATACTGTTACTAATGGAGCAATCTGTGGTTAGCGTCCCCTAGATAACCAACATATAGAAGCCAGAATGTAACTGAGACAGAAGTCAGCAAGCCTTTGTTCATTGCACAAACATTTAGGAAGCACTCACTGAGTGCCTGGCACAGCAGCAGGTCTATTAAGATAAGTTCCTGGCCCCAAGGGGGAGGTAGACGTGTAAACCAGTGATGTGATAAGGGCAGCGTTCCGTGTGTACACAGAGCATCAGGACAGCCCCAAGAAAGGAGTGGCTAATTCTTCCTGGGAACATTGAAAAGGATATCTTCGAGGACGTGGGTTTTAAACTAAGTCTTGAGAAGCTCCTTTGGCTGAGAAGTGAGGAAAGGGCATTTCAGATGAAAGAGTAAAGCAAGAGCTATTGAACCCCTGCTCACCAGGAGCCAAAATGGGGCCCTCCAAAGCAAGTTGGCCAGGAGCCTTAAAGCCAGGCTGAACAGGAGTCGGGAGAGCCAGAGAGGAGTGCCAGTCAAGCCCTTTAGAGACCTGGGAGGTCAACATAGACAAATCCAGGTCAGATGGCAACAGAGTCAAAAGATCAGAAGCAGGTAGAGCAGGAACAAAGAGGTGGGCTGCAGGAGACGGAGGCTCCTGTTTATTGGTGGCAGCCACTTCGTGGGTGGGTCTGGTTTAAAAGCGCAGGGCCAGAATAGACAAGTTTCTAGGCACAGAGCTGGGTGTTTGGGGAACCGTAAGCATTCAGCAGAACAGGAGCAAGTGTTCTTGAGGAAGCAGAGAGGCAGGAGGAGAGCCCAAAAATTGGGGCAGGAGCCAATCGTGGAAGGTCTTGGCTGTTAGCTGAGGAAGTGGGGAATGATTATGTTACCTTAAGCTGGGGAGTGATGCAGAGTCTATTATGACCCACCTCGCCTGGTCTGGTATGTTTATCTTGCTATCTCACGTGTATCTATCCACAACAGTGCAATAAATGCTAAATTTGAAGGAAAAAAAAAAAAGAAACTCACAAGAACATATTCAACTTCTGTGAATTATTTTCATAAAATAAGGGCAGACCATGCTCTATAATGCTGAGTCCAGTGGTTTTCAACCCTGACTGCATATTAGAATCACCTAGTGAGCTTTTCAAGATTATAATGAGGGTCAGGAGTGGTGGCTTACACCTGTAATCCCAGTACTTTGGGAGGCTGAGGCAGGTGGATTACCTGAGGTCAGGAGTTGAAGACCAGCCTGGCCAACATGGTGAAACCTCATCTCTACCAAAAATACAAAAATTAGCCAGGTGTGGTGGCACATGCCTGTAATCCCAGCTACTCGGGAGGCCAAGACAGGAGAATTACTTGAACCTGGGAGGCAGAGGTTGCAGTGAACTGAGATCGCGCCACAGCGCTCCGGGGTGGGCAACAGAATGAGTTCCATCTCAAAAAGAAAGGAAAAGACTATAATGAGACTGTCAGGTGGTAAGGGCTCCCTGGCAAAACTCCGACCAACCTGTGCACTGGGAGAACAGGGTGGAGCCTTGGGAAGTTCACACCATTTGCAGGAGGGAAGAGCCAGGCATCCTCTGTTCTCCGGTTCCTTTTCGCCTAATAAATTCCATTTTTCTCATCCATCAAAGTGTCTGTGAGCCTATTTCATGGCCAGGTGACAAGGACCCAGCTCTTAGCTGAACTAAGGAAAAGTCCTACAACAATAGGAACCTGGACCCCATCCTAGACCAATTACATCAGAATCTTTGAAGGAAGGGGCAGTCCTGGCATCCGTGTATTTCCAAAACTCCTCCAAGAATTCTAATGTACAACTGGCGTTAGGAACTGATAATCAAAAATGGCAGAGAAAGGAAAAGGAGTTTTGTTACTTTTCCCTAATCAGCATGAGAATACAACATAGTAGAAATGAGAAAAGTCAGCAATTTGCAGGCTATAAAGACTCAAGGCTGGATTTCATGGCATTAATCTGAGAGAGCCAGTTTAACATCTTTTAAAAGAATGTGTGTTTTCTTCTGCTCCCAAAGTGCCAAGCTTTCAAGAAATGCATATCTTTTCATTATCCCTGTTTGGAAACCAGGACAACAGATGGCAGGATAATGGATTGTGTCGGCTCAAGTGAGAGTTGCTTTAATTTGTGAGATATCAAATTCATATTGACTGTGGGGACAGGCTGATATGATTTATTTCAAATGGAAATGGAGCCTTCATGGGCTCTGTCTTTGTCCATTACCATAAGACAAAGTCTCACCTTCATAGGTGAGACATATTGGATTGCCATTGATAGAAACTGTTTGCAGGGGCTGCAAGAGGTAGCTCTTGTTCTCAGTGACTAAGTGTTGGAGAATCTCCAGATGCCCAACCAGGAAGCCTGAACTTCACAGCAGTGAGGGCTCCCACCCAGCACCCCGCTCCTCCAGATCAGTCAGCAAAGTACAAAGGAAGCCTTGTTTATATTTATTTTTCTTTGCGGTTAACACTTTATATATTCCTACATGTACTCTCAAAAATGCAGCATGACATTTTGAAAAGAAAACGCAATAGGTGCAACCCATTCATTCCTGAAAGAAATTATCTTCAGGGACAAGAAACAGATCCTGCTTGCGGCTCTTGGCAATCCCTCTTCAGCATAGCAGTGTGAAACCCTGAGCCAACAATCAGTCGGAGGCTGCTTGCTGCCAGAAGTGCTCCTACCTCCTGGCGAGGGTGGCTTAGAGAAAATCCCCAACCTCAGTGGGAAAGATAGAGCAAAAGGAGAAGGAGCCGAGGGAAGAACAGGAAAGGCTAAAAGGCAAGCAGTGATTGTCCCCTTCCTGGAAAGAGGTAAAGAGTAGAGCCAAGCCTCAATGGCCAGGCACCTGCTATCTCACTCTGACCTAGCAATGCTTAATGACATTTGGAGAAGTGTCAATGATATGAAATTGGCCTGATATGGTTTGGCTGTCTCCCCACCCAAATCTCATCTTGAATTGTAGTTTCCATAATCCCCAGGTGTCATGGGAGAGACCCAGTGGGAGGTAATTTAATCATGGGGGCAGTTACCCTCATGCTGTTCTCCTAATAGTGAGTGAGTTCTCACAAGGTCTGATGATTTTATAAGGGGCTTTTATAAGTGCCCTTTTGCTCGGCACTTCTCCTTGCTGCCTACATGTGAAGAAAGACGTGTTTGCCTCCCCTTGCACCATGATTGTAAGTTTCCTGAGCCCTCCCTAGCCCTGTGGAACTATGAGTCAATTAAACCTCTTTCCTTTATAAATTACTCAGTCTCAGGTATGTCTTTATTAGCAGCATGAGGACGAACTAATACAGGGCCTTAGCAATCTTCTAGTTCAGAACTCCCAATTTACAGTTGAGAAAATGAGGCCAGAGAAATAACTGACTTGCCTAAGATAGTGAAATAAATCCAGAGCAGTGTTCAGAATTCAGGTCTTCTGATTCTCAAATCCTTTCACTTTGTATCCCCAGTAGATTTCAACCTTGGCTTCACATTATAAATTCCTAGAGAGCTTTCATAAAAACAAAACAAAACAAAAAAATACTCAGCCCCAGTATTGGTGGTCTGGGGTACTTTATAGCTCCCCAGGTGATTGTCACTGAGAACCCCTGTATGCTGGCCTAGCCTGACTCAGTGGTCTGTTCCATTTCGCACCATAATGAGCCAAGCCTTGTGCTAAGGACTGGAGCTGTGAAAATGAATCAACTTGCTTCTGAAGCTGCTCAGCATGTGGCAGAGGAGCATGCTGTGAAGAGCTCATTCCAACAGCAGCGTGATGAGTAACACTATCAACATAAATAAGTAATAGCAGTGATTAAGTCTGTATGGGAAGGTTGAGGGAGGTGGCATTTGAATCCACATTTAAAGGATGAATGGAAGTTTGTTGAGAGGACAGGATGCAGAAGCATTTTCCAGAGAGAGGGAATAGCATGGACAAAGACCTGAAGGCATGAACAACACAGCGTGTTTGTAGTTTAGTTTATCTAAAGCAAGGTGCAAGGTAGGAGCCGTGGAATCAGAGCTATGGAGGTAGGTAAGGGCTGGGTCACACAGGGCCTGATAGTAGAAGCCATTCTAAGGGTTGGGGATTATCCTGAAATGATTGTAAGCACTGAGATATGCTATGCAGAAAAATGATAAAGTAAAACTTGTAACGGGAAAAGAACCCTAATGGTGGTGTCGAAATGAATCGGAAGGGGAAGAAGCCAGAAACAGGAGGAGCAGTTGAGAGAGGAGGTGAAGAGATGATGAGGGTCTGAATGAGCTGGCAATGTGGACTGACAGCAGAGGACAAATTAGCTGTGTCCCTAAGTCACTGCATTTATTTATTTATTTATTTTTAATTTTTATTTATTTTTTTTTTTGAGACAGAATGTCATTCTATCACCCAGGCTGGAGTACAGTGGCGTGATCTCGGCTCACTGCAACCTCCACCTCCCAAGTTCAAGTGATTCTCCTGTCTCAGCCTCCTGAATAGCTAAGATTACAGGCATGCACCACCATGCCCAGCTAATTTTTGTATTTTTAGTAGAGATGGGGTTTCACCATGTTGGCCAGGCTGGTCTCAAACTCCTGACCTCAGGTGATCTGCCTGCCTCGGCCTCCCAAAGTGCTGGGATTACAGGCATGAGCCACTGTGCCCAGCCAGCCATTGCATTTAGAGAGTAGAATTGATAGGAGACAGACGGTAGATTAGCCGAAGGGTAGAAAGGTCTAACTCCAACCTAAGTTCTCCCTATTCTCCTTCATATACTCTGGACTGAAAAACTCACTCTCCTCTTCCTTCAAAAATCTAGTTGTTGTTGCTTTTTTTTTTTTTTTTTTTTTTTTTTTTTTTTTTTTTAGAGACAAGGTTTCATTCTATCACCCACGCTGGAGTGCAATGGCACAATCATGGCTCACTGCAGCCTCAAACTCCTGGGCTCAAGCGATCCTCCCACCTCAGCCTCCTGAGTAGCTAGAACTACAGGTGTGAGCCACCATGCCTGGCTAATTTTTTTTATTTTTTTGTAGAGATAGGGTCTTGCAATGTTGTCCAGGCTCTACTCAGCCTCCCAAAGTGCTGAGATTACAGGCACAAGCCACTGCACCAAGCAAAAATCTAGTTTTTTAATGAAGGAAGGAGTAAAGTTCAGCAAGTCCATGCTCCATGTCCTGAACAGTAGGAGGCATGTTGCCTCCCGAGAATAGTCTTCTTTCTCATCTGCATGGTAAATTACCATTCCTCCAAAACTCTGTTCAAAGTCAGCTGCTCTGGGAAGATGTCCTTGGCCCCTAGAGCCATGGGATGGGTGCCCACAGCACCTCTATATTCCTATAAGTATTAAGAGAATTGTCCCATGGCATCAGTAGTTATGACTTTACACATGCACCCTTTTCCCCAACCCATTGCTGACACACAAACTCTTTTAAGACAGGGGCACTGTTTTTTTTTTATTGTCTCCTGTCCTAACACAATGCATAGAAAAAATACTTGATAAAACCTCACTGAATGAATGAATGTCAAAGGCTGAATTCATGAATTCTAGGGACGTGTTCTACAATAGTAATGATGATGATGCTTCTAGGACACTGCAATCTCTCCCTCATAAGTGAGCACCTCGGATTTAACTGTCCAGCATCATTTGGAGCACAGGGCGGAGGATTATACCGAGGAACCACACCCATGTCATTTGAATTGTCCACAAGACCACTATAAGGACTTTCCAGGACCATCACAAGGCTGCAAACCGCATTTGAAGTGCTGCTTCTGGGGCATTCTTTCCAAAGAGCCTTTTAGCAGGGCAGGGAGTGAAAGGTGAGGACAAGCCTAGGAAATACATAATCCAAGGCTAGGGAGATAGAAGCTTAATATTTACTGCCGTGCCTGGGAAAAGTGAGGCTTGTCGTTGTCATCTGGGCAATTCTCCCTCGGACTAGCTCCTCTCTGTGGCCTCCTGGGGTAACTAATGTCTTCCAGCAGCACTTCTTGCTCCAGGAATCTGGAATCTTAGCTGAGTGCTATGAAGACGGTTCTGATTAATTGATACACTTAAGGTATGCACTATCGGTTGCTATCCTAATCCTCCCAGGAGATTACCTTTTCAAAGCGCTGGAAGATTAACGAGAATTTCAGATGCCGTAGCAATTTGAAGGGAAAAAATTGTGGCCTCCACAGTGCCAGCTTGCCTGCCATGAGGGAGACATATTTGAGAGTCCTTCAGCTCCCTGTGGGCTGTACATCCAAGCAAGAAAGTCCAGATCTTGCATCTGAGTTGGCAACTGAAGGAAGAGACCTTGAATCAGCACAGCAGTCAGAATTCTGCTTGAGGGCAGCTTTGCTGAAACTAAAAGGAACAACTTTATCTAGAACAGTCTCTCTGCACATTCGCTTTCCCCTGTGGCAGTTGCGATGTTAGATTAAGTCTATGTATATGTAGGGCAGAAGCGAAGTGCAGGAGGGGGTGGAGAGAATGATGGGAAAGAAAAGGCTCCTTCTAAACACACATGTATGTCAGCATTACCAGGTGCTCTGCTGAAACCGGTAGGATGAACACCTTCCGAACAGGCTGCATTCCTCCCGAGGAAACTGAAGAGTGTAACCTCACAGTGAAATTCCCCCCAAGTCTTTGGCTCTGCAGGAAGCTTCTGGCTATTTTTCAGGAGATGCGTTTGCTGCAGGAGGAGGTATGGAGGTTGGGCAAGGCAGGCCTGGTAGGGCTGGCCCAGGCTGTCTCTCTCAGACAAGTCTAGACTCAGGACTGTCATGCTACCTGGAAATGAGTTCTGGTAGGAATGTCCAGGCAGAAAAGCTGCTCTTCTTGGGAAAGTTGTCAGCTTTAAATTACCTAGAGAAATTCTGGGGTGGAGGCTCAGCTTGGCACCCTTAAGGTAGTTGCAAATAAGGGGTGAAAGAAACGCTGAGGACAAGTTTAAAACAAGTTAGTCAAAATGAAAAACACGACATCTGCATCTAGAGTTTCTGTAGCACCTATTGATCAGATGGGTCAATGTGTTCTTTCAGGGTAATGCTTGGAAGCCTTCACAGGCTTTTTCTCCATCAGGTTGCTTGACTTGATTCCATTATTATTACTATTATTTTATTATTTTTAATTTTTTTTCCTTTTGAGACGCAGTCTCGCTCTGTCACCCAGGCTGGAGTGCAGTGGCGTGATCTCGACTCACCACAACCTCTGCCTCCCAGGCTTAAGCGATTCTCCTGCCTCAGCCTCCCGAGTAGCTGGGATTACAGGCATGTGCCACCACGTCTGGCTAATTTTGTATTTTCAGTAGAGACCGAGTTTCTCCATGTTGGTCAGTCTGGTCTCGAGCTCCCGATCTCAGGTGATCCACCCACCTCGGCCTCCCAAAGTGCTGGGATTACAGGTGTGAGCCACCGTGCCCGGCCTGATTCTATTTTTTAAGGCTAGATTCTTATTGCCCTAGACCTTAAGTCTGACTGCCAGCATTACTGGACCGGGGCCTCACTATTGACCATTTGAGTTTTCAGTAAAAACATCCCTGTGTCCCCAGATTATATTTTTTCCTACTCTGATTTTAGAAGGAGCTTCTTGCCTCTGTCTCTCCAGATTTAGCTATAGAATTTTCCTACCTCAACATGAAGTCCTCCCAGACTCTAACCCCAGAACATTCAGCATCATCTAAAGCCTCCAAAAGAGACCATCCCCAAAATAGGGTTCTGGGTGGATCCAAGGTTTTATTTAGCAGCTCCTCTTTTTTCCAGGTCACTACCTACCAAACAGAAAGGCCATTTTTCCAAATGGCCTTGAAGCTTTCCCTAAATGTCTCCTTCTGGATTGGTTTGGCAAACATTATCTAAGTATCCGTCATATGCCAGCCACTTTGCTAGACATTGGGAATACAAAGACAGTAAGACTAGAGAGAGGAAATAGCAAGCTCGAAGGTTCTTTTCTCTGCTAGGAGTGGAGGACTAACCATAAAGTCTGACAGCTCTTAAAGATAGCTTCAACTGAATGGTCTCAGATGGTTTTACATCCCAGATTTTTCTGGGGCTCACTTGCTACCGTCACGGCAATTAGTCTTCTGAGTGTTGCCCCACTGACAACTAAGCCAAGCTCTACTGCAGTTTTTCTCCTGGCACAAATACATATCTTTGATCCTGGAGGAAAGGTGTCAAAGAAGAGGAAGCAGGTGGTGGGGAAGGCCAAGCCACCCCATGCATTCTGCCTGTAATTTGGCAGTGCCGCCATCTGTTGGTTTTTTCATATGTCCAAAGCCTGCAACTGCAGTCTTCATGTCCTTCCCTTTCCCTGCAGAAATGGGTCAGGAATATACAACTACGCTAAAACCAGTCTGAGAGTCTTGACCCACTTTTGAGAGTTTCCAGACCAGTGCAGCTGAAGCTATCCTGCAGCTGTGCCCTTAAGAGAATGATGCAGGCAGCCGGGTTCGTCTTTCTCTGAGCTGCCATGGGGAAGGTGTGGTCTTTGTTTCTGAACATGTTTCTTTATTGCCAGAGTCTGAAGACTTGGAGGAATTATTGCAAAACAGCTCACCTTCCCTCTTCCCTGGGAACACAGGTTGAAGGAAACATCAAAGTCTTAAAGAGCCATTACATTCAGAGCAAGAGTAATCAATGGGCATTTTCATTCCCTTCCTTTACAGTTGGTACCAGTCTTCAGTTCTCAGCCTGTAGGCCCCTGACATGGGGCACTACTCTGTACAGTTCCAGAAACCAACAACAGCCATTTAGCAGGAGTGTTGAAACTGCAGATTGTTCTCCACTGTTCTTCACTGTGGCTGTGTTTGGAACTACCAAATACTAATCCTCAGAACTTGGTCTTGGACCTGGTTATAAATCTCATTCCTGCAACTCTGAACAGTGTGATCTTGGGAGAGTTACTTAATTTTTCTGAGTCTCAGTTTTTCTTATCTATAAAATGAAGTTAGTAATAGTATGGACTTCATATAACGTATGTGATGATTAAATTACAGAGCACATGTAATGTGTGTAGCACAATGCGTGGTACATAACTAGGCCTCAACAAATGGCCCAACAATGTGTTGTTGGTCTAGGGTGGGAGACAGTAATCTCCCTTTGACTGTCATTATCTTTTGACTGGGAAGATTGGGTAGGCAACAATGTTGCCTGTTTGCTGTACTTAGCTCTACTTTACTTTTTATTTTTTTATTTTTTTGAGACAGAGTCTCACTCTGTCACCCAGACTGGAGTGCAATGGCACAATCTTGGCTCACCACACCCTCCATCTCCCAGATTCAAGCAATTCTCCTGCTTCAGCCTCTCAAGTTGCTGGGATTACAGGCATGTGCCACCATGCCCAGCTAATTTTTTGTATTTTTAGTAGAGACAGCGTTTCACCATGTTAGCCAAGCTGGTCTCAAACTCCTGACTTCAGGTGATCCACCCACCTCAGCCTCCCAAAGTGCTGGGATTACAGCTGTGAGCCACCGCACCCAGCCGTCTACTTCATTCTTGCTTGGTTGTTTGCTTCCTGCTCTCACCAAATTGTAAAGCTCACTGAGGACATGAACTAAGATTCTGTGGCCAACAGGGTCTTTCTATATAGTAGATAGTCAATAAATATTTGTAGATGGATGCATGGATATTTTTTCAACTGACTATTTGAATATGACTTCTGATACATATGAGTATCAGTACCCAGGGAATACATGATCCAAGGCTGGGGAGACATGGGCTTAATATTTACTAACATTTTCCCTTACCTGCCACCTGCTTCTCTTGAGACATTAAATCCAAAGGCTATAAATCCTGCTGCTTTGCATGGCTGGGTTAGATTGCATATGAGAATTTTGCAAAGCAAAAAAGATACATCACACCAACTGGCCTCTCAATGTATGCTCCCCTCAAAAGGCTTTCAAGCCAAAAATCCCTAAGCAGTAATTATGTGCAAGGCAAAGAAATTAAGAACTCTGACTGGGAAGACATTAAATGAGTCTCTGGAATGTTGTAAAAGACTTATATGCAAGGCTCTATCCTCCCACTGGATTCTTTTCTGGCTCCTTGCCATAGGATCTATGGAGAACAAGTTCTCATACAGGAATTTCCCCTTGCATATTGGGAGAAGATACATTAAAATCTGGTTACGAATCACAGCTGGGTGCTTTGAATTCAGTTACGTCCCCATGCACAATAATGGTGTGTACAAGGCATCACTCCTAAAGACAACAAAAACCTATAAAATAGAATTTCTAAGGCACAGAGTCCCTCAGTAATAAAAATCTGCAAGGGCCAAACAACCTAGGAGTTATCTTTATTCCCTTCCATTAGCAAACCAGAGAACATCTTCTGGGCTTCCCCCTACTGATCTCTTAGGAATCACTGTGAATGTGAGAGCTTAGGGAAGGCAGGTGGTTGATGAATATGAGTGGGGTATTATAGTGGGATATATTTAAAAGATGAGTCTGTTTGAAAAGGAAGCAAAGGCCCAGCCTGGCTTGTAATGACCCTGAGGGAATCAGAATCCCAGAGAATCCAGAGTGAGTTTTGTTTGTGGGGTTTTTTTGTTTGTTTGCTTGCTTGTTTTGTTTGGTTTTTTTTTTTTTTTTGAGATGGAGTCTGGCTCTATCACCCAGGCTGGAGTGCAGTGTCATGATCTCGGCTCATTGCAACCTCTGCCTCCCACGTTCAAGCGATTCTCCTGCCTCAGCCTCCTGAGTAGCTGGGACTACAGGCACCCGCCCACCACACCTGGCTAATTTTTGTATTTTTAGTACAGACAGGGTTTCACCATGTTAGCCAGGCTGTTCTCAAAGTCCAAACCTTAAGTGATCTGCCCACCTCGGCCTCTCAAAGTGCTGGGATCACAGGCATGAGCCACCATGCCTGGCCTTTTGTGGGGTTTTGTTTGTCTTGTTTTATTTTTGAGACAGGGTCTCACTTTGTCACCCAGGGTGGAGTGCAGTGGCATCATCATAGCTCACTGCAGGCTTGATATCCCAAGCTCAAGAGATTCTCCAGCCCCAGTCTCCCAAGTAGCTGGGACTACAGGCATACACCACCACGCCTGGCTGATTTTCTTTTTCTTTTTCTTTTTCTTTCTTTTTTTTTTTTTTTTTTTTTTAGTAGAGACAAGGTCTCGCTATGTTTTCCAGGCTGATCTCGAACTCCTGAGCTCAAACAATTCTCCCATCTTGGCCTCCCAAAGTACTGGGATTACACACACAAGCCAGCACACTGGCCTGTGTTTGTTTTAATAGAGTAATATGAATAGGAAACGTTTCTCAGTGCCATCTGTAGATTTGCTGCTTGAAGGAAAAAGACTGTGATAATGATGAGACTTCCTCTTTCTTTTCTTTTTTTTTTTTTTTTTTTTTGAGGAGTCTCACTTTGTTGCCCAGGCTGGAGTGCAGTGGTGCCATCTCGGCTCACTGCAAACTCCACCTCCCAGGTTCAAGAGATTCTCCTGCCTCGGCCTCCCAAGTAACTGGGATTACAGGCACCTGCCAGCACACCCGGCTAATTTTTTAAATTTTTACCAGAGACAGGGTTTCACCACGTTGGCCAGGCTGGTCTCAAACTCCTGACCTCGTGATCCACGCACCTCAGCCTCCCAAAGTGCTGGGATTACAGGCGTGAGCCACCATGCCCAGCGAGACTTCCTCTTTCATCAGGGAGAGGCCCCAAAGGCTATTACCAAAGCTTTGCCTGCCTGGTGAGCATGGCTAGGTGGTCGCCCTTCCCGTCTTCGAAAATCATTTCCTCTGGGAATCCCTGCCCAGCTGACTCCATTCAGCTTGTTTGCCAGATCACCCCAGGAAGCTCTTAACCCTCACCCACTAGAACATGAGGCACCCACATGGCCCAGGGTTTCCCTCCAAAGATTTCACCATAGTCCCCACAAGTAGGCTTGTGTCTAACAGGTGTTCTCAGTGGGGAAGGCAGAGGTTGGAAAGAGCGTCCGTGGCGCACATCTCTGTAATAATAATGGATCCCGTTTCCCAGGTCCTCACCTCTTCATGCCCCCTCCCAGGGAGGCCTTCTCAGATATGCTAAATGAAGTGGCCCTTTCCCCCCCCCAGCACTCTCTATCTCCTAACCTGACTTTACTTTTTCCCACAGAAATTTTCACCTTTGACACAATTTATTTTTATTTATGTGCTTTCTGTCTTCTTTCACAAGATTGTAAGCTTTAAGAAAGTGGGGATTTCACTCCCGCCTGAGCGACAGCAAGTCTCCATCTCAAAAGAAAAAAAAAAAAGGAAGCAGGGATTTTTGTCTATCTTGTTCTCTTTTTCCAGCACTTAGAACAGTGTATGGCAATAGTAAGTACTCAATAAACATTCTTGGAATCAATGCCTACTGAGAGGCAGGTGCTTTGCATTGATCACAACCTCCTGCAAGTGAATATTGGCCTCCCAGGGAAGCCGAGAGTCCTCCCCATGCAGGGGTTGGGTGTTCTAATAGGGTATGTTTTCATGGCTGTTGTGTTAGTGAGTGGAGTCATTCTGCCTGGTTAAAAATCTCAGAATATATGGTATGTTTTCTTCTGTTTCTTTCTTAAACTGAAACCGTTAAAAGAACCAGACTCTGCCCTCTTCCTCCTTCTTTTCTCCCCATTGGCTTCGCTTCTGTCAAGAGGTCTGCAGAAAGAAGTCAGCCTTGGCCTGAAGATTAATCTACCTGGAAAATGGCGGGTCACCTGCTTCCTTGTTCTCACTGGAAGAGGTGGCTCAAGGTGGAAAGGGCCAGACTGTCAGCCACGGTTCTTAGTTGGACAACAGAATCCCAACTGTCTAATTTAAGTAGAAAATATGTTTTTTTGAGAGTGGTAGGTAGTTCACAGAATTTCTGGGAAGGTCAAAGAAACAAGCCTAGAGGCTGGGCAGCTGGAATAACGCCCCAAATCACTCCACAAAAGTGGTCCTGGGGAGTCAGCGTTCTTGCCACTCCTGGGCTCACGAGGGCTCACCCCATCAACACCCAGGCCTGGAGCACTGAATGCTACTACAGGAACCTCATCCACGCTGCCTGAGAAAGTGGATGTGGCTGATGCCACTCTCACTTCAATAGGTTCACACAGCACCCACTCCCTATATGACTTGCCATGTTGAGCAGGTCTATGCCAACCTGCAGACCTATCTCCAAAGGCCAAGGATGCTGAGAGGGGGAAGAAAGAGCCTGACAAATTCAGTTTCTCAGAAGGAAGCATTTAATAGGGAACTTGGGAATAGCAGCCATGTCTGGGGCTGCTGCTGCAAGACGGCGATCCACCCTCCAGAAAGTATCCTTTCTATAGTAAGATTTTAGGGTAAAGTATGGGCAGCTGGTCACACTTTAGACTCATGGCTGCTAGGGAAGTTAGATACACATCTCTGCGAAGGGTTATCTATGCTACAGGCATTGTTTCTTGAACTCGCCGTGGGAATGCCTTGGTATACGGGAGTCAGACATCGGTCATTATGGTGGTTTTGCTTCAAGATGTCATTATTCTTGCTGTGCAACAGCCTGTTTTCCTACAATAACCAACTACAGAGTCTAGCAAGTGTGTCAGGCTGAGCCTGGCTCATATGCTGGCCCTTAGGCAGCAAGAGAGGCTAGGGAGGCAAGCACTGACTTACCTTCTATTGTGGGAGGTGAGTCCTCATAAAATGGGGTGGGGCACTCCCCAAATGCTGAACCATCAACAAAGTATGACAAATGTCCACCTCATAGATACACTTAGGTGTCCCAGCCAAGTACACTCTTACTAGTACCTTACTCCAGCATTAATTTTTCTTTTTTTTAACAGCTTTATTGAGATAGATTTTCATGTACCATATAATTTATCCATTTAAAGTGTAAAATTCAATGATTTTTAGTATATTCAGATTTGTGCAACCACCACCACAACCAATTTAGAACATTTTCATTATCCCAAATAGAAACCCCATTTCCTATGGCTATCATCTCTATTCCCCTGTTCCTCCCAGCCCCAGCCAACTACTAATTTACTCTCTGTCTCTAGAGATTTGCCTATTCTGGACATCTTACATAAATCGAATCATACAATATGTAGTCTTTTGTGACTGACTTCTTTCACTTAGCATTCATGTTGCCAAGTTTCACCCATGTTGTAGCATGTAACAGTACTTCATTCCTTTTTGTGGCCAAATAATATTCCACGGTATACAGACACCACATTTTGATTATTCATTAGTTAGCTGATGAACATTTGGGTTGCTTCCACTTTTGGCTGTTGTGAACAATGCTGCTATGAGCATTTGTATACAAGTTTTTGTGTGAATGTTTCTGTGGATGCATGTTTTTGTTTCTCTTGGGTACCTAGGAGCAGAATTGCTGGGCTACATGGTAATTCTATATTTAACCACTCAAGGAACTGCTGGATTGTTTTCCCATTAATTTCTAATAGTGAAATCTTACAGTCCCCACTTCACAAGAGAGATGGACACAGAAAAGTTAGCAAACTTGCCCATGGTCACATAGCAAAATACACGTCAAAATGGGTATTCAAAGTCCCAGCCCACACTTACTCCACTGCACTTTCCTGCCTTCTACCACTGGTTGTGTCTGCTTTCCTATTCTTTTTTTTTTTTTTTTTTTTTTTTTTTTTAGACAAAGTCTTGCTCTGTTGCCCAGGCTGGAGTACAGTGGCACAATCTCAGCTCACTGCAACCTCTGCCTCCTGGGTTCAAGCCATTCTCCTGCCTCAGCCTCCCAAATAGCTGGGATTATAGGCATGTGCCACCACAACCGGCTAATTTTTGTATCTTTAGTAGAGAAGGGGTTTCATTGTGTTGGCCAGGCTGGTCTCAAACTCCTGACCTCAGGTGATCCGCCCGCCTCAGCCTCCCAAAGTGCTGGGATTACAGGCGTGAGCCACCACACCTGGCCTGCTTTCCTATTCTTTACTATCTAGGTCCTCATGTATATTTTCATTTTGGTCCCATCTCCCCTGTTATAAATTCCTGAAGGGGCTGTGTTTCACTTACTCTGTAACTCTGTCCTTGACCTTGTTCTTCCTTCCATCACCCTTCAACCCACTGAATAAAGCTGGGAGGGATGCCAGAGGTCTGCTGCATAGCTGGTGTTTGTCCACCCAACAGCCATTCCCCTTGGCTAACAGAACCTGGGTTTCTTTTACCTGACAATGGACTGGGCCTGGGATTGAATGGTAATTGGTCTAAACCAATCATGAAAATACCATCTTCCTCTGCTAGTGATTGGTTTAGCAATAAGCATGTGACCCAGTTCTGGCCAATGAACTGTAAGGAAAAGTCCACCTGGACTTCCAGAAAAGATTTTCTTCCCTCTTAAGAGAGAGTCCTGGGAGAGAACATCCCCTTTCTGCCTGCTGGGAAGTGGGTCTGTGAGGACAAGGTGGCCGCTGGTCACCAGCTGCCAAGCTGGGAATGCTGGAGGAAAGCCTGACCTTCTAGGCATGGGTGTGTAATGCACATGTTCCTCAGTGCTCCAGTGCTGGTGCCTGTATGCTTCACCCTTAGAAGACGTGGGCCTTCTCCCCACATATCCGTGAGTTCCAGCAGCTATTCTTTTCTGTCCTTACTTCTTGTATTAGTCCATATATTCACACTGCTATAAAGAAAACCTGAGACTGGGTAATTTAAAATGGAAAGAGGTTTAATGGACTCACCGTTCTGCATGGCTGGGAAGGCCTCAGGAAACTTACAATCCTGGTGGAAGGCAAAGGGAAAGCAAGGCACCTCTTCTCATAGTGGCAGGAGAGAGAAAGAGAGAGCAAAGTGGGAAACTGCTAAACACTTTTAAAGCATCGATCTTGTGAGCACTCACTATCACTAGAACAACATGGGGGAAATCTGCCCCCATGATCCAATCACCTCCCACCAGGTTCCTCCCCGGACACATGAGGATTACAATTCCAGATGAGATTTGGGTAGGGACACAGAGCCAAACCATATCACTTCTCTCCTCTGGGATTCCATCACCCCTGATTCCCTGACCACCTTGGCACCTCAGACCAACTGATTCCCACCCTACTGTCGCCTGCTTCACTCCACCCCTGTCCACCCTCTGGCCTCATACTTCACCCTTAGCTCTCCTAAGAGCTCTTCTCAAATAATATTGGCTCTAGGTGGATAAAGTTCCCTTCACCCCTAGAAAGAGGTGGTAGTTGCACAGTGTTACCAATGCACTCAATGTCAAAGAACTGTATACTTTAAAACGGTTATTTGTGGCCGGGTGCGGAGGCTCACGCCTGTAATCCCAGCACTTTGGGAGGCCAAGGCGGGTGGATCACTTGAGGTCAGGAGTTGGAGACCAGCCTGGCCAACATGGTGAAACCCCGTCTCTACTAAAAATACAAAAATCAGCCAGGCATGGTGGTGGGTGCCTGTAATCCCAGCTACTCAGGAGGCTGAGGCAGGAGAATCACTTGAACCCTGGAGGCAGAGGTTGCAGTGAGCCAAGATCATGCCATTGCACTCCAGCCTGGGCAACAGAGTGAGACTCCATCTCAAGAAAAAAATAGTAAAATAAAATAAAATAGCAACTTGTTCCTGGAGAGCTTCACAAATCTCCCTCTCTCCATAGCCGCCCCAGACCACCAAGGCCACATCTCATTGCTGACTCCTCCAATCCCCGGCAAGCAGTTCAGTGTCTCCATTCTGTTCACCCCCTGTGGCCCTGCTCAAATCCTTGTCAGCTACCCATGCCATGGGCAGCCCCTTGCTCCAATGTCTAGACTCATGTGTGCCTCACTCTTGTCCCTTGTCTTAGGCAAATGTCTGATCTGGGGTCTCTCTCTGCCTCTCATTCTCTAGTTTTTGCTCCCAGGCTAAAGAGATGGCCATAGAAAACCACAGAACCTAACTACATACGCATTCTTGCTTTGAATGATTACTTCGTTCTGCTCACAATGCCGTTTGCCTCTGCTGTTGGACTGGAGACTGCTGCCCAAGACATTTCATCTCCTGCAGCTTCCTGGAGCCCCTTCCTCGCCTTTTCCTGACCTCCTATCCTCAGCCTCCCTTCCAACTTTGTCAGGAAAGTCAAAGCCATTAGGCACACTCCAGGTTTTCCCTCTGCCCTGCTTTCCTCTTCCACACATCACTCGCCTTTCAAGCAATTCCCCTTTGCTTCTTGCTCTGAGGAGCAGAGTCTGCCCAGCGTCCAGGCCACATCATTCTCCACGACTCCTGATGCCTCAGCTCCTGCTCGCATCCCGGCCGGTGATCCTCAAGGGCTCTCCAGTGTCTCCAGCCTCTCACATTTTCCTCATTCTCTCCCCTTTGCCCAGAAACATACACAGATGTCCAACATAAAAATTCTTCACTGGACCTTGCTGCTCACATATTCTATTTACTTTTCACCTTGACAGAGAAACTTCTCAGAAAAGCACCTTCACTTTCTCAATCCACAGTCCCTCCTCAACCATCTGCTATGTGGCTGCCACTCTTGGCATTCTACAAAAATAGCTTTTCCAAAGGCCTCCAGTGACTTTGTAATTGCCACACCCCAAGGCCTTTCCTCAGTTTTGGGAACCTCCTGTCCCATGTTTTCTTCTCTTAACATGTCTGCCCCTGCTCTGTCATGGCCCATCCTGGCTTGTCTCTTGACTTTCTGAGAGACCCAGCTTTGACTCTTACTTGCTCCCCATCCTTCTCTCTACAAAGTTGCCCTTAGTGACCATCCCCTCTCAGCACACACAGTTTCCAAATCTATATCTCCAGCTTCTGTGTGACCATGGGCAAATGATCTCACTGAGACTCAGTTTCATCATTTATAAGTCAACCATTTGACACCCCCTGAGGTATTCAATGGCCACCTCAGAATTATTACATTTCACCCTGGATCATCCTTTTTTCCCCCAAAACAACTCTTCGTCCTGTTGCTGTTGCTGTTTCTTCTTCTTCTCCTGTTGCTGTTTCTTCTCAAGACACCTGTATTGGATAGTTAGGCTAAATTCATCTGCTGTGACAAAGAAGCCCCAAGTTTCAGTGGTTTGTAATAACAAAGGTTTATTTATCTTACATATGCCATGTAGATCAGCTCTCTTCATTCTGGAAGCCAGGCTAACAGAACAGCCCCAGTCTGGGACATTGCTTATGTCAGAGGGATAAGAAACAAGGTGATGGACCAGTCTGTGGTTCTTCAAACTTCTACTCACGTCCCCTTGGTCAAAGCAATCTTGTGGTGAAGCCTGATTTCATGAGGTGGGATATATCACCTTCCTAAGGGACCCATAGAGAAGGGGAGAAGATTTTTGAAACAAACTGTTTAAGCATGTGTTGTTGTTGCTGCGGTTCGACGGAGTCTCGCTCTGTCACCTGGGCTGGAGTGCAGTGGCATGATCTCGGCTCACTGAAACCTCTGCCTCCTGGGTTCAAGCAATTCCCTTGT
Source organism: Homo sapiens (assembly GCF_000001405.40). NCBI lineage: Eukaryota > Metazoa > Chordata > Mammalia > Primates > Hominidae > Homo > Homo sapiens. The sequence continues at coordinate 38,459,045 of NC_000002.12, forward strand.
CTCAGCCTCTGCAGTAGCTGGGACTACAGGTGCGTGCCACTATCACTGGCTAATTTTTGTATTTTTAGTAGACATGGTGTTTCGCTATGTTGGCCGGGCTTGTCTTGAACTCCTGACCTCAGGTGATGCACCCGCCTCAGCCTCCCAAAGCGCTGGGACTATAGGCATAAGCCACCACACTCAGCCTAAGCATGTTTTTTAAACAATGATAAAATCTTCTAGAATTAATCTCCCAATCACTGGGCTTCATACGCATCTCTGATCTCTACCTCTCCCTGATTCCACATCACTCACTTGCAAGGTATTATTATTATTATTATTATTATTATTATTGTTGTTGTTGCTGTTGTTGTTGTTGTTGTTATTGAGACAAGGATCTTTCTATGTGGCCCAGGCTGGCCTCGAACTCCTGGGCTCAACAAATCCTCCCTCCTCAGCCTCCCAAGTCACTGTGACTACAGGTGTGCACCACCACATGCAGGTGCCAGCTATTGTTAATTCTTTTCTCACAATGTCTCTTGAATTCAATACTTAATACATGGTATAATTTTAATCATGGTTCTTATTTTATTTTATTTCATTTCATTTTATGTTTTGAGACAGGGTCTCATTCTGTTGCCCAGGCTGGAGTGCAATGGCACAATCTCGGCTCACTGAAACCTCTGCCTCCTAGGTTCAAGCGATTCTCCTACCTCAGCCTCCCAAGTAGCTGGGATTACAAGTGCCCACCACCACGCCCAGCTAATTTTTGTATTTTTAGTACAGACAGCATTTCACCATGTTGGCCAGGCTGGTCTCGAACTCCTGACTTCAAGTGATCCACCTGCCTCAGCCTCTCAAAGTACTGGGATTACAGGAATAAGCCACTGTGCCCGGCCTATTTATTTTTTTGAGACAGGGTCTCACTCTGTCATCCAGGCTGGAGTGCAGTGGCATGATTGCAGCTCGCTGCAGCCTTGACCCCTGGGCTCAAGCGATCCTCCCATCTCATCCTCCGAAGTAGCTGAAACTACAAGTGCATGCCACCACACCTGGCTAATGTTCGTTTTTTCTGTAGAGACAGGGTTTTGCCATGTTGCCCAGGCTCATCTCGAACTGTCTGCCTTAGCCTGCCAAAGTATTGAGATTACAGATGTGAGCCACTTGATCATAGTTATAATTTTTATTGCTGATTTCCCCAACTCCAGTCTCTGTCATATTAGTTAGTGCTCAATATACTTGTGATTATGTTATTTTGCTACTCAGAAACTTTCAATAGTTCTTCATTGCCTTCGGAGCAAAACACAAATTCATGAGCCTGGTGTTCAAAGTATCTTCACGGTAGAGGTCCTATATATCTAGAATTATCTGTATGAACTCTCCACTGTGGTCAACTTAATCTACTTGCCACTCCCCAAACACACCTCTGCCACTCTCTCTCTCTGGAATTCTTCCCACCTTGTCAAAATGCTACCCATCTTATAAAGCCTATGTCAAATATTTGTGTATATTTTATGGTCTCTATTGGATTGTGTGTTCCCTGAAGACAAACAGAGTATCTTTCACATTTGTGTGTTCCATGGGCACCTTGCCCATGGTAGGGGAAGGGGAAAAATTAGCATTTACTGAACACCTCCCGTGTGCCAGAGATAGTGGAAATTGCTTTACATATGCTATCTCATTAAACCCTGAGAGCAACTCTATTCAATAGGGATTATTATTCTAATTCATTGATCATAAAACTGAGGTTCAATGGCGTGATTTTTCCAAGGTCACAAAGCTAGTTATTGCTAGAGTCAAAATTTGAAACTGAGAGCTATCTAACAATAAATACATTTGAGGAAGGAAGAAGCAAATAATTATGCTCACAAAGGATAAATCACAAAAGAAATACAAATGGCTAAAAAACACATTGAAAAATTCAGCCTCACTCATCAGCTTTCAAACAGTAATGTTTTTTACCAATCAAAAGTTATTAAATATACTGGCCAGGCATGGTGGCTCACACCCTGTAATCACGCCTCAGATGGATGGATCATTTGAGGTCAGGAGTTCAAGACCAGCTTGGCCAACATGGCGAGACCCTGTCTCAACTAAAAATACAAAAATTAGCCAGGCATGGTGAAGTGCACCTGTAATCCCAGCTACTTGGGGGTCTGAGGTAGGAGAATCGCTTGAACTGGTAGGCGGAGGTTGCAGTGAGCTGAGATCAAGCCACTGCACTCTAGCCTAGGTGACAGAGTGAGACTCCCTCTTATTAATATGCAATAATATGTTGGCAAGTGTTGGGGAACAGGGACATTTTGCACTATTGGTAGAAGCAAAAATTGGATCATCTCTGGAAGGCAATATGACCTTTAAAAATGTGCAGAGCCTTTGACCTAATTAACTCCACTTCTAGAAATGTAACCTGAGGAAGCAGCAAGAGATGCATAAAAGCATTTATAATTAATTTATAATTAAGGATGTTTATCTTGGCATGGAAAACCAGAAACAAGCTAAATATCCAACAAGCGGTGTTTACTAAATACACTGTGCTCACACTTATCATAGAACCCAGTATAGCAATAAAAAAATTATAAAAAGATACTTCATGACATGGGAATGTGCTCATAATGTATTAAGTAAAAACATAAACCAGGTGGCAAAGCAGCATTGCAACATGATGCAATATATTTAGAAAATTATGAATATAAAATGACTCAAAGGATATATTCTAAAATGTCTAATAGTGTTTATTTCTAGAGGTGGGTTTTATTTGCATTTTGCTTATTGATATTTTCAAACTTTCCACACTGAGTGTATATTACTTTTTAAAAATTGGGGCCTGGAGCAGTGGCTCATACCTATAATCCCAGCACTTTGGGAGGCTGACAAAAATTAGCCAGGCATGGTGGTGCGTGCCTGTAGTCCCAGCTACTCAGGAGGCTGAGGCAGGAGAATCGCTTGAACCTAGGAGGCAGAGGTTGCAGTGAGCCGAGATTGCACCACTGCACTCCAGCCTGGTGACAGAGTGAGACTCTGTCTCAAAAATAAAAAAAAAAAAAAAAAAAAAAAAATTGGAGCCAGGGCATGGCCAGGGGGAGGGGGAAGAATGTGTTGATATTAACTATGCTTCCTAGGATCAGAACAATCAAAACACATCAGATATGAGGCCTTCCGAAGGGAGTGTCATCCACTGCCCAGCACCTGCCACACCACACCCTTGGGCTGGGCAAACTTCTGGAACAGTGGGAAGTGCGGGGGCGAGAGCGCCTCACCTCAGTCTCCAGTTCTGTTGCTTGTCAGAAAAGCACCCAAGGGCCCGTTAGGAGGCATCATGGTGGTGCCTAGCTGATGGCCAAGGCCCCAAGAGAGGCTTCAGTGTAGGAAGCCATTGTAACTTAAAGCTGAGGAAGAAACACAGGTGCAGATTCCAGAGGAGTTCACATATTCACCTCCTAGAATGCTATATGGTTTGTGGTCAACCTCACCGCCTGAGGAGCAGAGCAGGCTTGAGGCCAAGTGAGAACACAGCCTGGGAGTGAGTCATGGGAGATGGGAAAAAAAGCGTAGCAACCAACAGAGACTTAAGCTGAAACCAAGTGTAGGAGTTGACAGAAATGAGGGTGGAGATACAGACTTGCAAGGACTGACTTTGAAAAAGAACCTGTTTTTCCAACCAGGGACCTGGATGTTTTTAAGGTCAGATTGCCTTCTAGAGTAGATCTAATTTTTGCTTTTACCAAAAGCAGGAATTTTTTAGGTCTTATGTAGCCCCTAGCTCACACAAAACCATTGGTGGTTGTTTTTTTAAAAACAAACAAATTTTGATTATAAAGAAAATGCTCAAATGAACAATATGCATATGATTCAGCCCTCATGGAAACTTTTTAATACCTGCAAAGCCCCTGACTTCATTCTTCACATCTGTCTTTCAAGGTAGACTAGCAATGGCATGGTCTCCATCTGGCAGATTAAAAACAAAAACAAAAACAAACAAACAAAAAACCTGAGAAATTAAAATCACGTTTCCATAGCTTGACCATGTTGAAAGGTGATACCACAAGAGTCTACCTCACTGGTTGATTTATTGCTCAAAAGCAGTTCTCAATCCCCAATTCTTTTTTTTTTTTTTTTTTTTTTTTGAGACGGAGTCTGGCTCTGTTGCCCAGGCTGGAGTGCAGTGGCGTGATCTCAGCTTACTCCAACCTCCGCCTCATGGGTTCAAGCAATTCTCCTGCCTCAGCCTCCCAAGTACCTGGGATTACAGGTGCACACCCCCACGCCTGGCTAAATTTTGTATTTTTAGTAGAGACGGGATTTCACCATGTTGGCCAGGCTGGTCTCGAACTCCTGACCTCAAGAGATTCACCTGCCTCGGCCTCCCAAAGTGCTGGGATTACAGGCATGAGTCACCACGCCCGGCCCCCAATTCTGTGAAATTCCATATGACAATATTTTTTTCTGGGAAGGCCAAAGCTGTGATTTGGTAGAAGGAGTGGAGGACTCGCAGCTGGAAGAGCTGCCAACCACTTCACTTTCCAAAGTATTGCAAACCATGAAAGTGTGAGTTCTAACTCCACATTTCAGAGAGCTGATTAACCTCCTGAGCTGTGGTCTCCTTGTATGTAAAGTGCAGTTCACACCTCCAACAAATATCTGCTGAGCACCTACTGTATGTCGGACATTGTGCTAGGCACTAGCAACACAACTATGAGCCCTTCCTGACCCTCAGGGATTGGTAAACTACGGCCAGGGACTGTCTCTGCACCCAACAAGTTAAAAATGTTTTTCATATTTTTGGATTTGTGAAAAAAATCAAAAAGAATGTTTTGTAATTTGTGAAAATGTATATAAAATTCCAGTGTCAGAGTCCATAAATCATCTGTTATTTGAATACAGTCACATTCGTTAGTCTATGCATTGTCAATGGCTGCTTCCAGACCACAGTGGCAGAGCTGAGCAGTTGTAACAGAGACCATATGGCCCCCAAGGCCAAAAGTACTTACTATCTGGCTCTTTACAGAAAAAAAAATTTTTAAAATTGGCTGACCCTTGGACCAAAGGAAAAAAAACAAGGTAATTGCAGATTCAGAAAAGTTCTATGACATTTAAAAGGTAGGGACCGGGTGCGGTGGTTCATGCCTGTAATCCTAGCACTTTGGGAGGCCGGGATGGGCGGATCACTTAAGGCCAGGAGTTCGAGACCAGCCCGGACAACATGGTGAAACTCCGTCTCTACTAAAAATATAAAAATTAGCCAGGCATGGTGGCACGTGCCTGTAGTCCCAGCTACTTGGGAGGCTGAGACAGGTGAATCGCTTGGACCCGGGAAGTGGAGGCTGCAGTGAGCTGAGATTGCACCACTGCACTTCAGCCTGGGCAACAGAGTGAGACTCCGTTTCAAAAGACAAAAAAGAAAAGAAAAGAAATTTAAAAGGTTGGGGGGCGGGTGGAATTTTTCAAGGCTGTTATGAAGGTGGCAATTAAAGCGCCTAGAGAGGACACTCTGTTAACTTCCACAACTGGAGTATTTGCAGGTCCTACTGGCCCAACCTGGTACCAACCAGTTGAAAATAATGGGTGTGTCCAGAACGTCACTGGTTCCTGACCTCCGATCCCACTCAAGTCCTGCGGATGCTCTGCGCTGCGCTCTCAGGCTGCCCTCTGGGGATACACCTGTGTGCACGCCAAGGGTGCTGCTTCCACTACACCAGTGGTGTAGGTGCCAACATGGAGTTACACCTCTGCTGCCCTCACACTCACAGAGATGCTTTGCTGCACAGCGGGGTGAGGACAATGACCCTCTCCTCCACTCAGTATCCCTGAAGTTACTTTGGAACCTAAGCAGATAGCTGTGGCCTCTGTCTCCCTGACGCCCTGCGGAAATGGCTCCTTTAGTCCTTCCCTGCTGCCACCTGCCACTGGACTGGAAGACAAGGTCAGGGATTGGCACTGCATTTTTTCTATGCAAAATTCTTCCCCCGCTTCCTCTCTTCCTATGTTGTCTTCCCCCTCTCCTTCTCCCATGTAAATGCCCCATGTAAATAGATGCCTGTATGGACTAACGAAGCAGTGTCCTCTGGCTGTGTAATCTGCTGTATAATTCATATGATATGACATTATCAGCATTTCCTAATCTCCCTCTTAGTTGGCCACCCAGCCCCTTATCTTTATCCTACCCCAACTCCCTCACCCAGAGATACACAGTCCAGTATTTGTTGATTTGAATTGACGGAACTTGGGGCCCGGCAGTTCAGGCAGTCAGTCCCAGTCTCCTTGGCCCCTTCGAGTCATCAGACGGGACCCAGGCAGATCTGTGAGTGCATCAGTCCTGGACCAGTCTCTAGGTGCTCAGCGTGCTGCGGGAGATCTGGGTGTCTGGGGAGGGACCACACAGCAGGATCAGAACCTTGAAGGAGGCTCCTGCCCCTGGTGGCCTGCAGGGCATGCTGGCCTGCCCTGAGCTTCTGCTTGTGGCCCCGACATCCTGCCACTTCTTGCCTGTCTCTCTGCATAGGCTCTGACTGGGGTATCATGCTGTGAAGGGTCCACCAGGCCCTGTGCCACCAACTAGGCCTTCTCACAACCATTACTTAAGCTTACCTGAACTTCACATGCCCCCTGGACCTTGCACCTGTGTGTCCAGGCTGGGTCAGCACCTTGCATTGTTCTCTCCTCACCCCTGCTTGAGCTTCCTACCCCTAACTTAAAAAAAAAAAAATCTTCAGCTACCTTCTTTAGCCCAGAAACTCTCCTCAGCTTGCATGAGAGAGGGGTTAGGCACAGAACAACCCTGTTGTTCTGATGGGTTAACTTCAGTCTTTCCCAGGCCAGCTTCCTCCCCTTACTCTGAGGGGCCTGTGCCACCAAGGTCCCAGCGTGGCTCAAGGCTCAAGCTCACTTAACCACCATAGCAGCTGGTATCACCGCTTGGCTCCCTCTACTGGAGCAGAACAAAAGTTAGGGAGACAGGTGGAAGGGGCAACTATTAACACACATTGCACTATCTCTCGGTGGGCTCAGAAACTGGGGTAGGCCCAAACTAATGGGACAAGGCATCCAGTTACCATTAGGTGGAAAGACAGGCGGTGGCAGTGGGAGGATGACAGGCCAGTCCAGCGCCCTTCAGCAGGGCAATGTCTATATTCTTCATTTATATACCATTTGTTCTTTTTTTGTTTTGTTTTGTTTTTGTTTGTTGTTTGTTTGTTTGTTTGTTTTTGAGACCAAGTCTCACTCTGTTGCCCAGGCTGGAGTGCAGTGGTGCGATCTCAGCTCACTGCAACCTCCACCTCCCAGGTTCAAGTGATTCTCCTGCCTCAGTCTCCTGAGTAGCTGGGATTACAGGCGCCCACCACCACGCCTGGCTAATTTTTGTATTTTTAGTAGAGACGGAGTTTCACCATGTTGGTCAGGCTGGCCTCGAACTCCTGGCCTCGTGATCCGCCCACCTCGGCCTCCCAAAATGCTGGGATTACAGGTGTGAGCCACCGCACCTGGCCATCTCTGTTCTTTTAAGGAGGCAAGAAAGTAAGAACAAAGGGACAGAAGAAAATGTACACACAGGACTGCCAAGCAATCCTTCTCTGCTTCTCCTTCCAAGCATGTGATGTGTCCAACTCCCTCATCTCTCTGTCCCTGCTAACCAGGATAGGATTATTTTAAGTAGGTGAAAAATGTCTTTGACCATGTAAGGCCTCCTGAAACTCTAAAACCTGTTTTGTAAGAGTCTGTGCTCATTTTAATTTAATTAGCAAACTTGGAATTGCTCACACTGCTTTCTGATTCTGCAAGATTCATGAAAATGTATGCAAAATGTTATGGGGAATTGGTAAACTATGGTACTCTGTGTCTGTACAGCAATGCCCTTAAAAAGCAAGCTATCTGAGGCTGGTGATCAGGCAAGCTTCAGAACAATTCTCCCACTGGGTGGGAAGTTGGATGGGTGGCTTCCAAGGTTGCTTCTAACTCCAAGATGTTACGACACTAAGGTTAATGGACACTGAAATGCAGGCCAAGAAAAACCATCTAACGTGAGGGGTTAAAAAAAGACTTGACAATGTTTTTTACCCAGAACACGGTGAGCTGAAACATTTCCAGCTAGGGCTGTCAACAAAGAATGTGTTTGCAAAACATTCAGAAATTAAAGTAAACTTCAGCAGGCAAATGATAAACCTTCCCTAAAAAGGTAATCACATGGTGAGTGACCAGATTTTGGATGTGGTCCAAAATGCTTTCACATTTTTAACTCCAAATGGGCTGGGGCACTTGCTTTGAGGGTCAAAAACATGAGAAGTTAGGATAATTGCCTCCTACTCAGCAGGCAGCCGTGGGAAAGCTGTGAGAAATAAAGTACCTGGTGGCGACTCCGAAAAGCCAGCCAACCCCTGAGGATTGTGGTGCAGGAAGAAAGGGGCATAGAGTGGGCACACAGCGGTCCCAGAGCCATAGGAAAAGGAGGTCCCGGGGATACCAGGGCACCCCTCAGTCCAGCTGCCGATGCCCTGGCCAGGGGGCAGTGTGGGTTGCTTTGCCATCCTCCTTTCTCCCGGATGCTATTCCAGCCAGTACAGCACCACATCTGGAAAAGTCCTCATTCCATTGAGGCTCAGACTCTTCAACCACATCAAACTCTACCTTTTATTGGGGTGTGGAGGAGCTTTGGTTTTGGCTATATCTGCTTTACAATTTTTTTTCATTGTGAAATAGATCATATTACAAAAGAATGTGCATAACGTATATGTCCAGCTTAAAGAATAATAATAAAAACCAGATACACATATCCACACCACCCAGCTTAAGGAATTGAACATTGCCAATACCATGAAGCTCACTCCATGCCCACCCTTCCCAATTGTCTTGCTCTCCCTTCCCAAACCCTGGGGCAAGCCACTGACCTGACACAGGTGTTACTCATTCCCTGGCTTTCCTTTATAGTTTTAATCCATTTGTTGTGGATCCCTAACCAATATACTGCTTAGTGGTGCCTTTTGTGAATTTCATGTGACAAAGCCATGCTAATTGTAACCTTCTTAACATGCTGTCTTTGCTCAACAGTATTTTTGAAATTTGTTCATGTTGATGAGTGTAGCTGTAGTTTATTTGGTTTCTTTGCTATATGGGATTTCATTATGCCAAAATTTCTTCGTTATTCTGTTACTTATGAATATCTGGGTTGTTTCCTTTTTTAGCTATTATAGACAATGCTACTATGCACATTCTTGTACACATCTCCCATAGAGTATGTGCAAGAATTCCCCTCGGGCACAGCTACTCACAGTGTAGCTGGCAGACTCACTGCTGGTGCCCAAACTTTTATTGTTTTACAACAAGGTCAGGAGCTTGAGCCAGGATGTAAAGCAGCTACATCATTCAATTCACCATTTAGTTCAACTGCTACTTTTTTTCATAGCAGGACTTCCTTTCAAAGGAGCAATTGGGCCGGGCCCGGTAGCTCACGCCTAAAATCCCAGCACTTTGGGAGGCCGAGGTGGGCTGATTACTTGAGTTCAGGAGTTCAAGATCAGCCTGGACAACATGGTGAAACCCCATCTCTACTAAAAATACAAAAATCAGCCAGGCATGGTGGTACGTGCCTGTAATACCAACTCCTCAGGAGGCTGAGGCAGGAAGACCACTTGAGCCAGGAGCCAAAGGTTGGTCACCAGTGAGCCGAGATCAACCACTGCACTCCAGCCTGGAGAACAGAGAAATACCCTGTCTCAAAAAATAAAAAATAAAAAAGTGCAACTGATTTCATTCCGGAAGAAGCTCCTCAATTCCTCCTACTTCTGCTGCTTGGCAGGGCCCTTGGTGTCCTCTACCTTTTCTCTTCACCTTCATCTGCCAATCTCTGGGCACCCTCTCCCTCATCAGTGAAGACTTTGGTCTCTCACTCAGCCTCTCAGTTTTGCTCAATAAAAATGTGCTGCATGAGCGAGCTGAGATCGCGCCACTGCACTCCAGCCTGGGTGACAGAGTGAAACTCCGTCAAAAAAAAAAAAAAGTGCCACATGAATGAATGAATGCTGTGTTCTTTCCAACCCAAACATCTGCCTCAGGAGCTGCCATGTTCTTCCATGAATTCCACCTCCCCAGTTGATTTTTCCAGGGGATGGGTAAGAGTCAAAGTCCTCCCCAGACTTTTTCATCCTGGAACCAAGAAAGGCGGTCAGTGTATCTCCAGTGTAAAAGCTAAGATGTCATTCACCAGGGCTGGCAGCAGCCCTACTTACCACCTTGGGAGGAAGCTGCCTGCAGTGACAGAGGACAGAGTTGAGGCACAGAGAAGACAGCAGCAACACGAGTCGGAGCAAGCATCTGGTAGCACCTGGTCCCTGACTCCTGGGTCCCTGGGCCTGCCTGCATTGGTTTCTCAGCCCCATCTTGGCTTCTCTCTTTTGTCCAAGCTGGTTGAAATGGTTGTTTCACATCTGGAAAGAAAATGAATAATACACCCAATTTTAGGCTTAGTGAGCTGCAGAAAGCTGGAATCAAGGCTGCCCTTTGGACTGCAAAGCTGGTTATTACGAACATTTTTGAAGAATGTTGCTAATTCTTCAGATTGGTGTTACTGCAAATACCAAACTGAAACCAAAATCAAACCAAACAAAAACTCGCAAGCAAATAGGAGATCTGAGGTTGCCATATTGTAGGGCATTGCCATCTTTCCTGCCGCAGCTCAGGTATCAGCTGGACAGTTCTGCTTGGCGTGCACCACACGACCACCCGTGCCTGAACTCTGATCTCGGCTCGGGTCTTCCCAGGTCCTCTTTCCAGGGGTTCCCACTGTGGTCCATCACTCCATGTCACTTTACACCACTGGGAAGGCTATTTCACCACATCCACATGTAAGGACGGGAAAACAGCCAAACGGCACACAACTCCATGAAGAATTGTTAACACCAGCAGGGACAGCTAGGGATCTAACTCATACAGGAAAAAGGAGTACATGAGAAGCTCTGAGAAACAGCAGGACTCTCCCAAGGAATACTTAGTCCAGAAATAATTCTTTAAAACTGGGTGGAGCTTTAAAACCATTTTGCCACAGAAATCAAAAGCCCTTTATGGGCATTTCATCTGTCCCAGTCCCACCTAAAGTGGACATAAAGCACAATTCCAGTCCCTATCATCACGCCTATATAGGACAGAACAGATCAGCAGTTCCTCCTCTTCCCCATCCCTAGAAGAAAACAGCAATTATTCTTGGGTCACCTGATCACAGAGTGTACAGGAGAGGGGCACCTGGATATGTCATTCATTCCCATGTTTGAAGGTAGCTAAGGCTCAGAGAGGTTAAGTGAATTATCCAAAGTCACACAGCCATATAGTAACAGAACCCAGACTAGAAGTCAAAACTCTTGTCTAGTGCTCTTTTCTCTTCACTGTGCTGCTTAGGAGCACTTCTCAGGCAATACCGAAGACATTTCAAAGAGTGTGAATCAGAACGTGAAACCAATAAAGTAACTACAATGTCCTCAGATATCCACATGACAGCCCTGGGATGTCTTGGGCATTTTTTACCCCCAGCAGACATGCAAAGAGGTCCATGAGGGGCAGATGGACTCCTGTGGAACTGTAGGGCTGTGCTTTTCAAACCCTGGATCATGAAATCAACTTGTGGACTGAATAGCTTTTCTGAATAGAATATAAAATATCAACACTGTATCATATGGTAAAGTTAAATATTATTTCACAAACCTTTGATACCATGTGTGTGTGTGTGTGTGATGTAAAAAGTTTGCTTTTTTTTTTTTTTAACGGCGATCACTGTCAAAATGTTTCGAAAACTCTGCTTTAAGGAATAACTTCTGGAGAAACCCCCAGCTGTTACAGTTCAATGCTTTTATATTCCCTGCAGGTAGAAATTAATGCAAAAATGCTTTTATTTTTTTAATGTAGTAAACAAGATTTAGAAGCTATTTTAGTAAGGATCCAATTAACCAGAACTCTCAGGGAATTTAACGTCCTGGTTAATGGAATCTCTTCATTAATGAGGACAAATTGAAAACCCTTGTCAAGATACAGAGTCATAGAACATTATGGGTGGAAGAGACCTTGGAAATTGGTTTTCACCAACTCCCTCACTATCTTGCTGGCAGAAGGTGAGGCTCAGAAGGGGAAAGTGGCTTGCCCTAGGCCCTAAGGCTAATTGAGGGTTCAAGCCAAGACCTCAGCCCATAAATCACCTGCCCAACTCTCTTGTGAGACTGGGTTGAATCTTAGTGAAATCACACATAATAACCCTTGGGCTTGCTTCTTAATATAAAAGCACAGCATTTAGCTTGTCTATTGCCATTTGCTTTTTCTTATAGCTCAGTAAATTTGGTTTTACAGAATTTAGAACAAACACCAAAGATCTACTGGTAGCATCAAAAGGTTGGTGTGGTGTGGTTGAGCATCTTTCTCTCTGTCTCTCTCTCCGTCTCTCCTCTTCTTTTTTTTTTTTTTCTTTGAGACAGTCTCACACTGTTGCCTAGGCTGGAGTGCAGTGGAGTGATCTCAGCTCACTGCAAGCTCCCAGGTTCACACCATTCTCCTGCCTTAGCCTCCCGAGTAGCTAGGACTACAGGTGCCTGCCGCCACACCCAGCTAATTTTTTTTTTTTTTTTTGTATTTTTAGTAGAGACGGGGTTTCACTGTGTTAGCCAGGATGGTCTCCATCTCCTGACCTCATGATCTAACCACCTTGGCCTCCCAAAGCGCTGGGATTACAGGTGTGAGCCACCACACCCAGCCCCTCTCCTTTTCTTTTTCTTTGTTTGCTCTGATCTTTTTTCTTCATGTACATTATTGGTTTTTCGAGACAGGGTGATAACCTTTTTTTAAAATATATTTTTTATATTGCTTGAGGCTGAGAGAAGCTATTTTCATTCTTGGAACTCCCTAAACCATTCCTGTGACCGGTTTCTGCCTATAAGCGACTACTTAATGAGTTTTATCATATGGAGAATAAACCCTGGGAAACCAAAATGCATAGTCTTGTCCTTTGGTGGCATGCACTGTTCTCTGGGCACATTTGTTCGTTGAACACATACACATAATGTATCAGGCACTAAGGATGCAGCAGGGAACAAAACAGAAAAATCCCTGCCCTTAGGGAGCTTATACTCTAATAGTAACAAATAAGCAGACAGTAAACAAATAAGCAAATAAGCACATAGTAGGTCAGATGGCAATAAAGTCGAAGGAGTGGGGAAAGGCAGGCTAGAGGAAAATAGGGATTGCTGAGGATGGGTGGTTACTATTTCATATGGAGTAGTCAAAGAAGGCTTGTGAATCAAGAAACAGACGTCTGAAGCAAGTAAGGGCATGAGGCAGCTCACAGTCTGGGAGAAGAGAGCTCCTGGCTGGGGAGAAACAGCATTGTGTCAGGCTACAAATAACTTCCACCAAGTACCAGTGATTTCTGACTCGTCAACTCCACCTTGCCGATGACACTGTCCTAGAGGTTAGTTTTTTTCGTTTGTTGTTTGTTTGTTTGTTTTAATTTTGAGATGGAGTTTCACTCTAGTTGCCCAGGCTGGAGTGCAATGGCATGATATCAGCTCACTACAACCTCTGCCTCCTGGGTTCAAGCAATTCTCCTGCCTCAACCTCCTGAGTAGCTGGGATTACAGGCACCTGCCACAATGCCCGGCTAATTTTTTGTATTTTTAGTAGAGATGGGGCTTCACCATGTTGGCCAAGCTGGTCTCTAACTCCTGACCTTAGGTGATCCACCTGCCTCGGCCTCCGAAAGTGTTGGGATTACAGGCATGAGCCACCGCGCCTGGCCCCTAGACGTTATCAGACACTGATTTAGGGAGAAGACATTGCGCTGTTTCGTTCCATGAGCAAGCACATGTGCTAAGGATTCTGTGCTGAAAGACACAGATGATCCCTGCCCACCTGATATTAGTGACAAATCAAAAAATGACTGTCCACGCTGGTCAGGCTACGATTGCAGTAAGAATGCTGCAAAGAAGGGAGGTACAACATGCAAGTCTTCCGGAATAGGAAGAAGGATAATTTCAGGCAGAGGAAATAGCAGGCATAAAGGCACAGAGGTAGAGAGGATGGTGCATTCAGGGATCCTCTAGCTGTTTGGTCTGGTTGGGAGGTGAGTGTCAAGAAATGAGGATAGAAGCAAGCAAAAAGTAGAAGTAGAAGGTTGGGCATAGTTGCTCATGCCCATAATCCCAGCATTTTGGGAGGCCGAGGCGGGCAGATCACTTGAGGCCAGGAGTTCAAGACCAGCCTGGCCAATATGGTAAAACCCTGTCTCTACTAAGAGTATGAAAATTAGCCGGACGAGGTGGCATAGGCCTGTAATCCCAGCTACCTGGGAGGCTGAGGCACGAGAATTGTTTGAACCCAGGAGGTAGAGGTTGCAATGAGACTGCACTCCAGCCTGGGCAACAGAGTAAGACACTGTCTCAAAAAAGAAAAAAGAAAGAAATGATGATAGAATTGGGCAGAAATGTGGGTGTCACTGTACTGTCTGTACATTATGAAAATGCTCTCTGTAGCACTATTAAAATCCTTCCTAGTTGAAATGAAAGAAGTGGGCTGGGGTGTGGTACTGTCATGGGGAGGCTCTAGAGAGGAAGACAGGAGCACACATAAAATCATAAATTTTAATTTACAGCAGAAAAATAAACTGATCAGACTCGCCTTTTATAAAGATTTCCTTGATACACAAGGGATGAAAAGAGGGAGAGCGTGGAAACAGGTGAATCAGTGAAGAGGCTGACAGATCCATGGTAATCCAGCTGAGAAATTCCCTGGGCCCACCCAGAGGGACTGACAGAAGACAGGAAAGAGTGGGTTGAAACTGACGGCTATTGTGAAGACAGGATTGACACCAGCCGAGGGGGGTTAGATATTGGGCACAAGAAACAAGAGTAGGGGAAAGGGAGTTGTTCTCTCATAGAAGACAGATGTTGGCTTTAACACAGTAGTTGTAGAACTGGCCAATGAATTTGGGTTAGTAGATTCCAACTACAGAATATCACAAAATACAAGATAAGATATGAAATGTCATTAATTCTTCAAAAAAAAAAATGCCAGGATTTACATATTTCAATATCCCTTCCTTGAAGGCTAAGCATTTCCTCCTACAGTGACGTCACTTCTAAGAATTACTCAGGGCTTCTGAAGGGGACTTCCCTTCGTAACCGTATCCCAAGAGCTAGAAAATTCTCATCCTTTTAGGAAAAGTTTGATTTTCAGAAGAGATGCAATGTCATTTGCAGCAAGCAGATATGTGGTTGCCTGGGACAGGGAGGTGGGGTCATGGAGCAGGAGGGATGGAATACAGAAGGGTCACAAGAAAGCTTTGAAAGGTGTTGGACATGTTTCTTATCTTGATTGTGGTGATGGTTGCATGAATGAATACATGTGTCAAAACTCATCAAACTGTACACTTACATATGTGCAGTTCATTGTAGGTCAATTCTACCTTGAGAAAGCTATTTTTAAAAAGTTATTTGCTGCAAAAAGTAGTGACTAAGGTCCATCACCAAGCTGAGGAATCCCCCTTCCTTTATTTTTTAGTGAAAATGTAAGAGAATACTTTTCTCCTGTGTCTTCCAAGTTGACTTGGAGCCAATTCTCAATTGTAGGTGGTTGTTTTTTTGTTAAAAAAAATTTTTTTATAGAATCACTGAAACAAGTGATCTTTCTCCACTATAGGACAGTCCTCGTGTGGGCATGTAAGTTCTAGAACATATGTTTTTAAGCTTTACAGGCATGTTCTGTCATCTAAATTGGAATCCAGTGACTTGGCATCTTTTGGTTCTTCTACTCAGGCTCCATGAGGGACAGCTCTCCAGGTCTCAGATTTCCTCATCTGGAAATGTATTTTTCCCTTTGCTTAGCTCATTCGGATAAAGGTTTGGATGAGAAGTGTCATTGCTTCCCCTAGCTAGGATTTGGGTTTCAGACATCCAGGGCCAGCCTCACAGAGCTGGAATCCCAGAAAGCTTTCTTTGCACATGCACGAACATACACACATGCACACCCAACCCCCTGCCAAGAAAAAATTGTCCTCTGACCAGTTTGCCAATGTCTGGCATTACAGCATTTCTTCCTCCTTCCTTTTAGGATAAACATTTCATTCTCTCAGAATCCTGTTTGAAAATAGAATCCTGGAGGTCAGGCCTGGATGCTGTGCCAACGGGGAGAGCTAAAGGTATCCAGCGGCACCATGAGGACACTGGTGTCCAAGAGAAGAGGCCACCAGAGGAGGGCAGGGAATGCAGAGGGGCAAAGTACCACTGGGGGCCTGAACTATAGCTACTTCACCATTGTCTTATTCATTTATTTATTTATTCAAAAGGCATTTATGTTGCATCAACATACCCACCTTAATTCAACATCTGGGCTTAGTACAGAGTACAGTTATACAAAACAACAAGTTTAGCGAAGTTGATTAGCAAGCTAAAACTGCACTTTGACACCTATCAATAGCAAGAGAGTTGGCCGATGAGTCAGCAGTTGGTCCCACAATAACTCAGAGGGCAGACCACATGTTCATATCAACCTTTAACAGCAGTTTGGAATTAAATGAGACAGAATATTGATAAATGGAAATTTCAGGGAAGTAGTAAAATATGAATGCAAAACAGGTGGGGACAATATTTAAATCGTTCATCTAAAAATAGTCTAATTCCATGCAGTAGCCAAACCCTATTAGGTTTCAAGTTCATTTGGGTTCACGGTTTGTCTGCCGCCTTCTTTGACTTTACCAGGCCAAGATTGGGAGGAAAGAGGGTCCCCTTCACCATCTTTTGTTTGTATTTTTTGTGAGACAGGGTCTCTCTGTGTTGCCCAGGCTGGTCTCAAATTCCTGGGCTCAAGTGATCTGCCTCAGCTTCCCAAGGTGCTGGGATTACAGATGTGAGCCACCATGCCCAGCCCCCTCCACCATCTTTATACTCATCCATGCACTGGCATCATCTGAGGCCGAGGTCAAGAACTTAGGGTTTCAGGAACCAGGAAGAAATGTTGAACAGGAGCTGCTGAGAGTTGGAAAGGACTTGGGAGTGAATTACAAGGAAAATTCATCTCTTAAATCTCCCTTTGGATTTGACTCCTTTCGGACAAACAAAAGTAGAACCATAGTGGGGTCAGGCATAAAATTTCCAAACACTTGGCTGGGCATGGTGGCTCCCACCTGTAATCCCAGCACTTTGGGAGGCCAAGGTGGGCAGATCACTTGAAGTCAGGAGTTCGAGACCAGCCTGGCCAACATTGCAAAACCCTATCTCTACTAAAAATACAAAACTTAGCCCCGCATGGTGGTGGGTGCCTGCAACCCCAGCTACTTGGGAGACTGAGTCAGGAGAATCACTTGAACCCAGGAGGTGGAGGTTGCAGTGAGCCGACATCGCGCAACTGCACTCTAGCCGGGGCGACAGAGTGAGACTCCGTCTCAAAAAAAAAAAAAAAAATTCCTGAACACTTACTTGGCATCTCCTGTGTGCTAGGTGCTTGCTAGGCCCAGGAGACATACAGGAGAGGGAAGCAAGGCCCCAGATGTGCCGCAGTTCACATCTACTCAGCTGTAACCCGGGGCAACAGTCTCAAGAACCAAGCTTCCTCCTCAAAGCTCATCCATGAGACTAGCAAAGACACAGCTGCCCAGGAAGTTCCACTGTTGAGGGAGAGAGTGGAAATCAGGGCCCAGGCTGGGGATTGAGGGGAGTTTCATGGTGCCTTCCATCTGCCACCCTCCTACAGGAACTGCCCCCTGATAAAGGGCTGAGCCCAGGATCCCAGGATGTGTGCCATGTGACCGTGCGCTCTTGCCATCCCCTCCCTCTCCACACTGACTTGAGGAGGGCTGGGAGGGGCCATCTGCCGAGCTGGTGGCCCAGGCCCTCAGGCCCTGTATGGACGCGGGCTAGGGCCACTTGTCTTCTCTCTCATGGCAATGAGAGCAGCCTCACTCCACTGGCTATGGCCGGAGACAGTATTGTTTTACATCTATTGCTATTTGCATGCTGCTCTGTTGAATGTGCCTTTCTCCTGGTGATGTGGAGTAAGCCAGACAGGGCACGAATAGCAAAATGCAAGAGGGAGTCAGGGAAGAAGCTGGTGGCAGGATGGGATGGAGCAGGCCCAGAGCTTGCCAAGGCACCTGGAGGGGCCTGGGATGAAGGTGACCAATGCCACTGCAGGGTCTTTAGAGCCAGCCAGACAGGCTCCAGAGCCACCTGCTGTCCTCCCTGCTGCATGGCCCCCGGAAGGCTTGACCCCATCTGGCTCCTGTCTTAGATACATGTGTTAGGTATCTGTGGATATCTGTGGGAAGCTCCACATCACTCCACTTGGGGCACCATCAAACTCACCCCCAAGCCCCCCTTATTTGAGTGTGCTTGAGAAAGTTTCTGTTCTGGCAAACAAATGAGCCAAATGGCAGTTGTGCCAGAAGCCTCCCGCCTCTGCTGAGCGCAAAGGGTGGAAACCATGATGTGGTCCCAAGGAGACCAGGGTGGTCTTTCCTAGAGCCCTTTGCCCGTTTTGGAACAAAGAGGGTGAACCCACAGCTCTGTTTACCTGCTAGGCGCTTAATATGGTTTTTGTTTTTTTTCTGTTACAAATCAGTTTGCCAAAGTTTAGAGTCAGCAATGGGGTCCAGCAGAAATTAAACTAGAGCAGGGTCACACACCTGTAGCTCCCTTAATTAGCTGTGTGAGACTGGCCAAGTAATTTAAGTCTATGTCCTAGTTCTCTCATCAGAAATACAGGACAAATAATATTTGCGTTGAAGATTTCATATGAAGATCACGTGGGAAAACAGGCACAAGAAGCCTTGGAAATGCATGAGCAAGAGCAACACTGTTTCATGAAGTGGGAATGAAAATGGGAGGAATGAGGGTGGTATCACTCATGTCAACCAGCCGAGAAGTCCCTACCATCCCCCTCCACCAAGCTCAACGGCCTCAACTAAAGAAGCCAAAAGATCAATCTCTGAATCCCTCCCAAACAACCCAAAGGCTGTGGCTACCTGCCTACACCAAAGTTGCTAATTCCACAAGGAATGTTAGCAGAATTGGAGTTTGTTCCCCTCCTCCACCCCCTCCATCTCCATCCTCAGATACAGATATAGATATATAGATTAGACATATAGATAAGTACAGGTATATACATAGATATAGATATAAATAGACATAGACATAGATATAGTTAGAAACAGAAATAGATAGATATAGATAAGTATAAATATCAGTATAGGTGAAACCGCTTTTACAAAAATTATAACTAAGGAAATCATGAGAGTGAAAGAAATCAGACCTAACCAACTCCATCTTGCTTCTAACCTATAAGCTGTGCTTGTTCATTCCTGGGCATAGGCTGAACTAACTTTGGGAAGGAATTCAGTTCATGGTTTGACTCTGAAACAGAATTGATAATAGCCCTTTCCCAAAAAGACCTCCTTCTTGCTTGGGGGCCAGTCTGCCTTTACAGGACTAACAAATTAGCTACAAGATTAGAAATTACAGTTTAGGGGCCAGGTGCAGTGGCTCACACCTATAATCCCAGCACTTTGGGAGGCAGAGGTGGGCAGATCACTTGAGGCCAGGAGTTCGAGACCAGCCTGGCCAACATAATGAAACTCCATCTCTACTAAAAATACAAACATTAGCTGGGCATGGTGGCACACGCCTGTAATCCCAGCTGTTCTGGAGGCTGAGGCAGGAGAATCACTTGAACCCGGGAGGAGGCGGTTGCAATGAGCTGAGATCATACCACTGCACTCCAGCCTGGGTGACAGAGGCGAGACTCCGTCTCAAAAGAAACAACAAGAAAAAGAAATTACAGATTAGGGGTCATGCAGCCTCTTGTTCCAAGACTCTGAGCCTCCCCAAATTGTTCCTGGGGATAACATCACTATTGTAAAACCTGGGATCGGTGCTTGAGATATTTTGCAGACCCTGCACTTGATGGATCAGCTAATACCACCCAGACTGGTAATCTGGCTCAACCAGTTCTGCCATCCCACCCAGGAACAGAAGACAGCAAGAAAAACTCACTTCGACCCCCTATGATTCCATCTTCAACCTGATCAATCTGTGCTCCCCACTTCCCAAGCCCCTACTCACCAGATTATCTTTAAAAACTCTGATCCCTGAATGCTTGGGAGACTGATTTGAGTAACAATAAAAGTCCAGTCTCCCGCACAGCCAGCTCTACATGAATTACTCGTTCTCCATTGTAATTCCCCTGTCTCGATAAATCAGCTCTGTCTAGGCAGCAGGCAAGGTGAACCCGTTGGGTGGATACATAGGTATAGATAGTTAGAGGTATAGGTATAGAGATAAAAAGATGTAGACATCAAGATGCTTCCAGCTGCAGGTAGCCACACAACCCAGTTGAAAGTGGCTTAAACAGAGCCAGGCACGGTGGCTCACGCTTGTAATCCGAGCACTTTGGGAGGCCAAGGCAGGCAGATCATGAGATCAGGAGATCGAGACCATCCTGGCTAACATGGTGAAACCCCATCTCCACTAAAAATACAAAAAAATTGGCCAGGCGTGGTGGTGGGCGCCTGTAGTCCCAGCTACTCAGGAGGCTGAGGCAGGAGAATGGTGTGAACCCGGGAGGTGTAACTTGCAGTGAGCCGAGATTGTGCCACTGCACTCCAGCCTGGGCGGCAGAGCAAGATTCCGTAAAAAAAAAAAAAAAAAAAAAAAAAAAAAAAGAAAAGAAAAGAAAAGAAAGAAAGAAAGAAAGAAAGAAAGAAAGAAAGAAAGAAAGAAAAGAAAGAAAGATGCTTAAACAAAATTCTCATAACTAGTTCCAGTTCCAAGCCTGGGCGGCAGAGCAAGATTCCGAAAAAAAAAAAAAAAAAAAAAAAAAAAGAAAAGAAAAGAAAAGAAAGAAAGAAAGAAAGAAAGAAAGAAAGAAAGAAAGAAAGAAAGAAAAGAAAGAAAGATGCTTAAACAAAATTCTCATAACTAGTTCCAGTTCCAAGATGTGTTAATTTAGTGGCACCTCAGTGCCATGAAGGACTCAGAACTTCCCATTTCCTTTCTACATTGGCTGATGTCCTCAGGCTTATTGCCACAGGGTGTCACAAAGGCTGCTTTAGTGCCACACAGTGCATTCTCCCCGAGACACATCCAAAAGCAGGAGGGGAGATTTTTCTCCAATGTCTCTTTTTATTAGGGCAGAAAATATTCAGGAACGTTCTCCTTCTCATACACACCCACTCCATATAGACCCAGCCTCTCTGGAGGGAGTGGGCCCTGCCAGCAAGGAAGAAGGACAGGGTGAGGGGGTGGCATGGAGGAGACAGCTGAAGCGATGGGGAGAGGGTTCGAGTGCACGGAATGGCTCAGGTGCAAGAATTCAGTTCATTCTTGCTAAGCAAAGCAAGAGGAATTTGTTTCTGAGTCTTAATTGGCCCACAAAATTGCTGTGGAAGCTGAAGAAATCTTAATGGTCACCCTGCAGACCTGGACCACCAACCAAGCTGCTACTTGGTCTGTGCTCAGAAAGCCAAGGGCTCCATAGCCAGACTTCCACGGCCAAACTCAGGAAGCCCCCAGGAGTGTTGCCAGCTCAATGACTACACGGTGCCCACCATAGGGCACACCACCCAAAAGGTGACTCAGCCTGCCTCTTAACACCCACAAGGCCAGGGACCAGACACTGAGATGTCCACTTTGGCTACTGCAGAGAAACTAAACACTTCCCCAACCAAATTGTCTAAGAGAATCTTGCCCACCCCCCAACTTCAGCCATTTAAATGTCACAGGAGAGCATCCAATGGGCAGAATCAAGTTACAGCAGAAATTATAGCTGCAAGAGAGTCTGGGAAATGTGATTGTGAGCTCTCAATCCCCTGCAATTACAGGAAGGCACCACAGAAGAAGGGTGGAAGACACTGAGCTCCAGTCCCCCAAAATCTACCACAGCAGTTAGCTGTGTCTGCCACCCCCTTCTCTCCACAGTTTCTAACTTTGATTTGGGTCATTCCATATGTTGAAGGGGAGAAGGGAGGAACTCTATCCCAGAATCCAGGGTTGCAATGCATGACAATTAACATAGCTCATTCTCCTGGCCACGGTAATTGGCTGAGGCAGTCACATGACTGTGGGCTGCTGAAGCTGATAAAACCTCAGGACTTTTGCTCAAGCTCCTGGAAAATGGGTTTGCTCTTTCCAGCTGAACATAAAAAACTCTGGAGCTGCAACATCCACCTTCCACTGGGAGCAAAGAGCCTTCTGAAAAATGGAGGAACTGAGATGAGGCAAAGCCAATATGATATTTTGAACCCTTGGATTCAGCCCTTCCTGAGGCCACCTAGGCTTTTGAGGAACATGAACCAATATCTTTTCTTTTTGTTTAAGTCAATTTGAGTTGTTATCTGCAAGAAAAACAGATAGAGGAAGGTTATCAAAGACTCACTTTGATTATTTTCTTGAACATGCAGGCGGTGGTCACTGGCTTACTGAGATCAGTCCTCCAGCTCCTTAAAAGTTAACTACTCACGGGCTGGACACGATGGCTCATGCCTGTAATCCCAGCACGTTGGGAGGCTGAAGCGGGAGGATCACGAGGTCAGGAGATCGAGACCATCCTGGCTAACACAGTGAAACCCTGTCTCTACTAAAAATACAAAAAATCAGCTGGGCATGGTGGCGGGCGCCTATAGTCCCAGCTACTCGGGAGAATGGTGTGAACCCGGGAGGCGGAGCTTGCAGTGAGCCGAGATTGCGCCACTGCACTCCAGCCTGGGTGACAGAGCGGGACTCCATCTCAAAAATAAATAGCTTCTCTCGCCAGGCATCCTCGTGGAAGTGACATCGTCTTTAAACCCTGCGTGGCAATCCCTGACGCACCGCCGTGATGCCCAGGGAAGACAGGGCGACCTGGAAGTCCAACTACTTCCTTAAGATCATCCAACTATTGGATGATTATCCAAAATGTTTCATCGTGGGAGCAGACAATGTGGGCTCCAAGCAGATGCAGCAGATCCGCATGTCCCTTCGCGGGAAGGTCGTGGTGCTGATGGGCAAGAACACCATGATGCGCAAGGCCATCCGAGGGCACCTGGAAAACAACCCAGCTCTGGAGAAACTGCTGCCTCATATCTGGGGGAATGTGGGCTTTGTGTTCACCAAGGAGGACCTCACTGAGATCAGGGACATGTTGCTGGCCAATAAGGTGCCAGCTGCTGCCCGTGCTGGTGCCATTGCCCCATGTGAAGTCACTGTGCCAGCCCAGAACACTGGTCTCGGGCCCGAGAAGACCTCCTTTTTCCAGGCTTTAGGTATCACCACTAAAATCTCCAGGGGCACCATTGAAATCCTGAGTGATGTGCAGCTGATCAAGACTGGAGACAAAGTGGGAGCCAGCGAAGCCACGCTGCTGAACATGCTCAACATCTCCCCCTTCTCCTTTGGGCTGGTCATCCAGCAGGTATTCGACAATGGCAGCATCTACAACCCTGAAGTGCTTGATAAAACAGAGGAAACTCTGCATTCTCGCTTCCTGGAGGGTGTCCGCAATGTTGCCAGTGTCTGTCTGCAGACTGGCTACCCAACTGTTGCATCAGTACCCCATTCTATCATCAACGGGTACAAACGAGTCCTGGCCTTGTCTGTGGAGACGGATTACACCTTCCCACTTGCTGAAAATGTCAAGGCCTTCTTGGCTGATCCATCTGCCTTTGTGGCTGCTGCCCCTGTGGCTGCTGACACCACAGCTGCTCCTGCTGCTGCTGCAGCCCCAGCTAAGGTTGAAGCCAAGGAAGAGTCGGAGGAGTCGGACGAGGATATGGGATTTGGTCTCTTTGACTAATCACCAAAAAGCAACCAACTTAGCCAGCTTTATTTGCAAAACAAGGAAATAAAGGCTTACTTCTTTAAAAAATAAATAAATAAATAAATAAATAAATAATAAATAAATAAATAAATAAATAAATAGATAAATAAATAAAAAGTTTTCTACTCACACTGAAGTGACGAAGTCCAGAGAAGGTGGAGAGCTGTGAGCAGCCAGAGCGAGGGCTGCAGGATGGTCAGCGGCAGCCTCTGCTTTCCTCCACTCCACAGACACTACTCCTGTCTCTTAACTTGCCCATGGGCTGGAGCTGTGCTAATTTTGCTCTTAAATATTATTAGAGGTCTTAACATCTTCCTCGGGGATCCCACTGAAAAGTAATAACATCAGAACACATTATTACAGTTTCAGATACATCTTAAAATATATACTGTATCTAAAATTTTACATTTTGGATGAATAAACACTCTCATTAATCAAATAAACCAATTAATAAGAACTAATATATATTTCTTTTTTCTTTTTCTTTTTCTTTTTCTTTTTTTTTGAGATGGAGTCTCGCTCTGTTGCCCAGGCTGAAGTGCAGTGGCATGATCTCGGCTCACTGCAACCTCCGACTCCCAGGTTCAAGCGATTCTCCTGCTTCAGCCTCCCAAGTAGCTGGGATTATAGGCACCCACCACCGCACCTGACTAATTTTTGTATTTTTAGTAGAGATGGGGTTTCGCCATTTTGGCCAGGCAGATCTCAAACTCCTGACTTCAAGTGATCTGCCCGCCTCGGCCTCCAAAGTGCTGGGATTACAGGCATGAGCCACCACACCCGGCCTACCCCATTTTACATAATGTGATTATTATGCATTGCATGTCTGTATCAAAACATCTCATGTACCCCACATACACCTACAACATACCCACAAAAATTAAAATAGAAAAAATGGTTTTAAGTATAAGGAATATTAAAAATATCCACAAAAGAAACACAAATGATCAATAAACATTCTAAAATTTAAAATATATATATATTTTTCTTCCTTTCTAATATCAAAGATGTTGCACTTATGAACTACTCAACACATTTAAGCTGATTTTTTTTTTAAGCCACAGCCTGGATGAGGAGAGACAGAGGCCCAGGGAGCCTGACTGTCCTCAGCCTTGAGTGAAGAGCAGGGCAGGGAGAACCCCAGTGAGTCAGTGCCCAGTGGGCTCTGTGTTGTGCGGCCCAGATCTCCCTTTAGGAAAGGAAAGCTGATTGCCCCAGATGCTGGAGGGGTTGTCAGCTGATAGGTCTCAGCTATCAATTCTCTTGGGGAATTATTGTGGCTGAAGATAACTGCCTCACCCAAGATCATGCCTCCTTTCAAGGGCAGCCAGTATCCCCGATGCACGGAGAAAGGTCAGGCTCCCTCACCTCAACTGGGATAAGTGAAGGGCCTGCCCAACTCCAGAGCTCCCTGGTGCCTGGCTGAGGCCTTCATGGGGCCTGAATTGCAGTCCAGCTTCCTTCCCTTCCTTTCCCTTCCCTTCCTCAGGCGCTGATCCTAAAGGCACTCCCTAGTAAACATCCTGCTCTCTAATTTCCATTGGAGTCGGCTTTCCAGGAAACCCCCTGCACCACTGTAGTACAGGCAGGAGTTCCTGGACTCCAGGATTTAACCAGGTAGAAGAGAAAAGAATTCCAAACCCATTTACAGCATCTATTCCTGCTGCCCCTCTCCCCGCTCCATCTTCTTGTGGAAATAAAATTACCCTTCATGGTCCAGCTGCATGGCCCGCCTTCTCCTCAAAACTCCCCTGAACCACGAAGCAGCGGTGTCCCTCCCTGTCCTGAATTCCCACAGCATTTCATGTGTCCCCTTTTCAGGAAGCATCATCTGCTGGTATTTCCTCATTTCTGCATTTTCAGTGTCAGCCACTGAGTTCTTGAGTCTGTGAGACACCTTCTCAGAGCCATTTTTCTCATCTATAAAATGGGAGCAATGATACTCCTGGGGGTTTAATGAGCAACCAGATAATCTCCTGCTCCAGTGCCTGCCCCACAGGAAAAGCTCACTAGGCTAATTCCCTCTCTCCTTCCTCCTGAAGGGACCACTCTCCTCAGCCACAATGGGAGGTTTTCCCTCTTTCTGCTCTGGGGAGGAGGGGAGCAGCAGGAACCCCCCTGAGGACATTTCTGCCTCGTGGGCATCTGCCTTTTCCACACGCTGCCCTCCATGGCAGACTGGCTACTTGCAAAGAAAAATGGCATCATTTGGGCTTTGAAGAGACAAAGGACTCACACAGGTACTCCTAAGTGGTCAAACCGCAGTCAGCTTGTCCTAGAACATCTAAATCTCCAACTATTTTTAGGATCAGAGTTAATTTTCTGGCTTGGTGTGAGCTGCCAGGATGGGGGAGGTAGTTGAAAGGAGATGGTGTTTCACTCCTAGGTCTCTACCCAAAGGAACTGAAAACAGGGACTAGGGCAAGTGCTTGTACACCCATGTTCACTGCAGCACTATTCACAATAGCCGAGAGGTAGAAGCAACCGCAGTGTCTATCAACAGATGAATGGATGAATTGTGCCATACACAGACAACGAAATATGCTTCAGCCTTAAAAAGAAATAAAGTTCTGGCTGGGCACGGTGGCTCACTCCTGTAATTCCAGCACTTGAGGGGGGCCTGTAATCCCAGCACTTGAGGGGATGAGGCAGGCAGATCATGTAAGGCCAGGAGTTTGAGACCAGCCTGGCCAACATGGTGAAACCCCATCTCTACTGAAAATACAAAAATTAGCCAGGCATGGTGGCAGGCACCTGTAATCTCAGCTACTCAGGAGGCTGAGGCACAAGAATTGCTTGAATCCGGGAGGTGGAGGTTGCAGTGAGCCAAGATCGTGCCATTGCACTGCAGCCTGGGCGACAGAGCAAGACTCCATCTCAAAAAAGAAAACAAAAAAAAAAAAGAAAAGAAAAGAGAAATGAAGTTCTGACACATGCTACAATGTGGATGAACCTTGAAAACATTATGTTCAGTGAAATAAACTGAGACACAAAAGGACAACTATTACATGATTCTACTCATATGAAATATTTAGAATACTGAAAGTCATAGAGATAGAGAGTAGACTGGCAGCCACTAGGGGATGGGAGGGAAGTGAGAATAAGGGGTTATTGCTCAACGCGTGCAGAGTTTCTGTTGGGGACTATGTCAGCTAGACATGGTGAAACTAGACAGTGGGGATGGCTGCATACTAAATGTGAATGTATTTCATGCCCTGAATTGTCCACTTAAAAATGGCTAAAATAGCAAATTTTATGTTACATACATATTTTAGCACAATATTAAAAAATATTGTAATATCTCGGAAACCATTGCACTATAAGTGGGTGAATTGTATGATATGTGAATTATATCTCAGAAAAATATGTTATAAAAATAGATTACTATTCTGGGTCAAATTCAAAGAGCTGTGTAAATTTGAAGACGAGAAAAGAAAACAAAAAAGAAAAAGAAAACCCCATAATTGGACAAGTGGAATGGCATTATTTTCAGCCACGGTCTCCCTCCAGACTTCCTTCTTCCTGGCACCCAGAGCCATTTTAGGGCCACACAGTCTCCAGCAGAGTTTCCTGGAATTCATTGCAGGCAGATGCAATCTCCCAGGACCTCGGTCGTTTCATCTGGCAGCTAAAGACTCCCCAGGGTCGGGCAGGCCTTGAACAGATGCTAATGGTGTTCCTTCATCTCTCTGTACCTTTGGAGCTGGTTCTGGATATAGGGTAGTGGGAGTAGGGACCTCAAGAAGCAAAGAAGTGCTCTCTTCCGTCAGGACTCAGAGCCGACCAGGCTGGCTGCAGAGCACTAAGATGCAAGAGGCCACATGTTTTAATGTGTCCATATTCCCTCCCTCAACTCCCCACTGTGGTCCCCAGTCCCTACCACCACCACACACATAGCCTTGGACCCCAGGCCCTGGGACACAAGTGTGCGTGGAGTGCGCTGAATCTAACATGATAATTAATTAGGTAACCCACTTTGCATCATAGAGGAGTCAAGGACTCAGAGGCCTACACGGGGCAGATCTGAAACCCAGGTGAATGAAGCCAGTCCCAGCAGGCCAGGCAGAGCAGACAGCAAATGGGGTTAGCTGTTGCCACAAGGCTCCAGCCACTTGCTGCCATGCGGGAAAGTGGCCTTGTGTTGCCAGTGCTTCTGGATTTTAAAAAGGAGCCAAAACAAGGTTTTTTAGGTGAAATCTCTTAGTGTTCATTTCATTGCTGGCAACTATTTCAATTTTTTTTAAAAAAAGGAAATTAAAGCCAACTTCCAGGCCTAACAACATATTATTGGTAATATATCTGCAAGCCCAATATGAATTGTGACCTGCTGGTTTTTAACATCTGTTTAAACATAATCAGGCTGGGAGCAGTGGCTCACGCCTGTAATCCCAGTACCTTGGGAAGCCAAGGCAGGTGAATCACATGAGGCCAGGAGTTTGAGACCAGCCTGGCCGACATGGTGAAATCCTGTCTCTTCTAAAAATACAAAAATTAGCCAAGGGTAGTGGCAGGTGCCTGTAATCACAGCTACTCGGGAGGCTGAGGTGGGAGAATTGTTTAAACTCAGGAGGCAAAGGTTGTAGTGAGCTGAGATCGCGCCACTGCACCACTCCCGCCTGGGCATCAGAGTGCGACTCGGGAGGCTGAGGTGGGAGAATTGTTTAAACTCAGGAGGCAAAGGTTGTAGTGAGCTGAGATCGCGCCACTGCACCACTCCCGCCTGGGCATCAGAGTGCGACTCTGTCTCAAAAAATAAATAAACAAACAAATATAAACATAATCATTGTGATCAGGAACTGGTGCTGAGCTGATAGTGAGGAAGCTGATCCTGTCCTTGAACACGGGCCAAAGGAGAGCCCGGCACTCTCGGAGGCTGCTTGCTTTAATTTACTACAAACAGAAAAAAATTGGGCTGCAATTTATTTTAATTTCATGGGATTTTTAAACAATCTTATTTCCATTTGATGTTGATCATCCTAATGATGATTATAATGAGGATGGTCAAAGAACTCACTGGTTTGGGTTGAAGAGCACATGGGGTTCTTGGGGGAGCAGCAAGTACAGCGGGGCAGAGCGTGTGCTCCTTTAAAATTACACCCAGGACCACGGGTCCTCCTGCCTATGCCCAGCATGTGTCTCGGGGCCAGGTCAGAGGCTTCATTGTCAGATAGATATGGTCTATGCCACAGCTTCCTGAGCTGCGACATGGAAACACTAATACCTCACAGCGTCCTTGGGAGTTAAATGAGACACCTACAGGCTGGGTGCGGTGGCTCACATCTGTTATCCCGGCACTTTGGGAGGCCGAGGCTGGTGGATCACTGAGATCAGGAGTTCAAGACCAGCCTGGCCAACATGGTGAAATCCTGTCTCTACTAAAAATTAAAAAATTAGCCAGGCATGGCGGCAGGCACCTGTAATCCCAGCTGCTTGGGAGGCTGAGGCATGAGAATACTTAAACCTGGGAGGCAGAGGTTGCAGTGAGCCAAGATCGCACCCCTGCACTCCAGCCTGGGCGACAGGGAGAGACTCCACCTCAAAAAAAAATTTTTATATAAATGAGACACCTACAGGTCTCAGGTCTGTAAAATATCAGGCCACTTCCCAACAAATGCTTTACCTGTCCCACCCCCTACACATCTTGAGCATACCTCATCCTTGCTTACCAGGTCCAGTTTTAAAAAAAAATTACCTAGATCAGAGATAGACTTTGGCCCATGCCAAACCTCAGTGCTCTCTCTCTTTCTCTCTCTCTCTCTCTCTCTCTCTCTCTCTCTCTGTGTGTGTATATATATATATATATATATATATATATATATATATATATATACATATATATATATTTTTAGGCAGGGTCTCGCTCTGTCACCCAGGCTGGAGTGCAGTGGTCTGATCGTGGCTCACTGCAGCCTCAACCTCCTGGGCTCAAGTGATCCTCCTGCCTCAGCCTCCCGAGTAGCTGGGACTACAGGCACACACCACCACGTTCAGCTAATTTTTAAAAAAAAAACTTTGTGGAGGCAGGGTCTCACTATGTTTTCCAGGGTGTTCTTGAACTCCTGGGCTCAAGTGATCCTCCTGCCTCAGCCTCCCAAAGTGCTGGGATTACAGGCGTGAGCCACTGCGCCTGGCCAGCTCCATTTTTAATAGTTGACTGTCTTCTTCTTGACAGATTCTTTTTTTTAGGTAACTTTCATAAAGTTCCAAAATAATAATAGTTATTGGCATCCATCCTTTCTCTTTTAAAAAGGAGGGCAAGGGTGTATTTCGGGGACCAACGCAAACAGGTATGGACAGGTGGGCAGAGGTGGGGTTCAGCCAAGCCAGGTGAAAGGGCTCAGGGGGATGTCCAGCACCCAAGGAATGAAGCCAGCATCCTGGCCTTGAAACACTAGCTGGTCAGCTCTTTCCCCAGAGAGGCCCCTCTGGCTCTTGGGTACCTTTGTCTGCTGGGGGGAAGGAAAGGAACAAAAGTGGTATGTATCGAGCACATTTGCTTCTCCTTTTCACTCCCCACATCATGTAATGGTCACAGAATCCTATTCATCCTTCTGAAGGACGCTTCTCATCAACCCCACATTCAGTGCTCCACTGGGGACCTCATCACGATTTGCCTTCAAATCTCCAACTGCTCCACACTCCCCCAGACCACCTTCTGGGGACCTGGGGCTGGGGCCAGGGGAGACTCCACCTGTCTTTCCCAAGCTGAGAGTGGGGATGCAGACACTCAGTGGCTCTCAAGGGAAAAATGATTCCTTAGCCCCAGTCCCTCTGCAGCCTCAGGGCCCAACCCCACCATGCACCCAGCACCGAAGCCACACTGCGTTTATCATCATTTTCTGAATAGGCCAGGCCCAGGCACAACTCAGTGCCATTATTGACAGTATTGCCTTTGTGCCTGGCTTGCTTTTTTTTTTTTTTTTTTTTTTTTTTTCACAAGCCTTTAAGATGTTGTAACCCCATTCCTGCAAACAAGGTATCATGAAAGTTGGGTCCTTATTCCAGGGTTCAAGACAAATTTCATGATGACACAAGGCATGTGTTAAGGAATATGCTTGACTAGGGGAAGGGCAAATTTACCAAGCCAGGGCCTGCAAAATAAATGAAGGCAGAGGTCCCTGAACCCACCCATCTTCCCACAGCTGCTGGACCACACTGTGGGTCTATTTAGCAATGGAGGCCCCCACTGCACCTGTCATTCTTTTTTCATATCCTACAAGTAAAAACAAATTCAACAAGGCACTCTGGTGCAATGCAGTCTGGATTTGCCAGCTGTTTATAGAAGTTGTCTGAAAGTGCCAACTGCCTGGCCCTTGGAGCCCACAGGACAGAAGAGACCTTCTTGTCAGGGGAAGAACTGCTAAGGCCATGGGCTAGGTTCAGATGCAGCTTCTCCAATAGAGAGGAGATAGGAATCTCCCATCCAGCCCAAGCAACCTAGGGAAAGCCCCTGGGGTCACTTTAGACAATTCTGCTCCTTCCACCAAGCGAGCAAACTGAGGCTCGGAGCTTAAGGCAGGTGGGAAAGATCACATACCTCAGAGGTGGTGGAGTCCAGATTCTAGATCAGGCTCTTCCTACCATGCTGTATGTCACAATCACCCTCATTATCCAATCCAGGGTCCTCTGCAGCTGTGTGCAGGCCTCATTCTCTCATGGAGGGGCCCCCCGGAGTCAGCCCACCCATAGGTATCTCGAGTTTATGGGAGGTGAGGGTCCTGCCCTCCTGGGTTCTCCAGGATGACTGGAACCAAGAAGAAGTCTTGAGGATACCAACAATACAAGTTCAATTGTGCTGCCTTATCACCCGAGATTTCTAGATGGCAGGGTCACTTTTTCTAAGTTTGGTTGCCCAATTTTCAGTGCCTCCGCCAAAAAAAACCCGTGCATGCTCAAGTAAGTGCAGATATTATTAACATCTCATCTCCCTTTCCCAACACAGCAGAAACAGGGGCTCAACATAGATAATAGTGAAGTCCTATAGTGGGGCGTGTGTGTGTGTGTGTGTGTGTGTGTGTGTGTGTGTGTATGGATCCCTATGTGGGGTTCTGGGTTGAAAAACCTGGCAGGGGAGTTTGATAAACTGTCCTTACCTTTCACAGGATTCTGTGCAGTTTTGTGATAGCCAACCCATATGGGTCAAAGACTGCCATAAACTATGGACCTCTAATAGACAGCAGATAGAATACATAGCAATTTATACCCTATACTTGCTGTAATGTCAAAGTTTCAGATAATTTAATATAGAGGAATTCCAAAAGTAGTTTAAACACACACACACCATCATAAAATGGTGTTAAACCTGTCCTTCCCTGGCCCAGGTCAGGATATTTCAAGACGTACTTATATCCCCCACGTCTCCTCCTCCCCAGTCCTGAGCAGTCTTCTACTGCCCCATTTGGTCATGGTACTACCCTTGACCCTGATCAGAATTATTTAAAACAATGCAACTAGCCTTGCCCGTAAGGATTCATGTGTCCACTGATTGGCCTCCATATGGAAGACACTCCTTGGTTTCTGCTGTTTGCTGGAATTATTTTGCTGTGTCTGAGAAGTTGTTGAAGGGATGGCTTCATGCATCTATAGGCTCTATCTCCTCTGCACAGCTGTGGCAATGTCAGCCCTCAAGGTAAATGCAGTGAACGCCATGCGAGAAATCCCCGGTTGGAGACAAGATGCTGTGAGATGAGGATGACATTCCAAATAGTGCAGCAGGCATTTGGAGATACAGCCCAAGAAATTCCAGAGGGCATGCAAATTACTGCCAGCTACAGTAGATACTGGGACATGTGGACGGATGGTCTGAGGGTGGATGATTCCAGAGGGAGTCATTTCGGGAATGCACAATGACCCTCTCAGAAAGCAGTCAGCCAGAAGAAGGCCCAATGAGGATCCAAGAGTGACCTTGTGGTCCTCAACCTTACTGCCTTAGTAATGGGTGGAAAACAATCTAAATATAAAGGCATTTCTTTTTCTCCACTGTGCTTGCCTTGCTCAATTTGCAAGTCCAGGGACAAGGCCTACTATCTGGGATGTCAGAGAGCTAAGACTCCATTCTTTAATCATCCTTATTTTTAGTCATGGGAACAAGGGATTTGAATTACTATGCTATCATCTCCTTGGGCTAAAATGCATCTTCTACTAAGAATCTTCATGGAAACATTAGGTCTGATTTTTTTTTTCTTCCATAACCTTTATTGTTGGGGGCATAGGTATTCTCCAAAAACTACTGTTAAATAATCCAGATTTGCTAACCCATCTATAATCTTGTTCTGATTCCCTCTTTAGTTTCATCTTCTCCGTCATCATCATTACTCCACAGATCACTTAAATCCCCCTACTTGCACACCTACTACCTAGAGAATGTTGTTTTCAAAAGTCATCTTTCCTTTAATAGATAACTGCACAGAACAGCAAGCGTTATGCTCGTCATGGAATTTGGAGAGCAGGCTTGCATTTGGGAATTCAGCAGTCAGCAAAGGTGCTGGTCCTTTTTTTGGAGACCTGTCAGTCTTCAGTTGAATATCAGAGTACACTCCTGACCTGCTGCAGTTTGCATTCAGTGATTTTGACCTTTCCAGTAGGGTGTGTTGCAATGGTGAACTTCCTATTGGCTCAATGAGCCTCATTTGGAATCAGTTGGGTAATTATGTCTTTTCTGGCTTCCCACCCTTTCTTTTTTTTTTTTTTTTTTTTTTAACTTGCTATTAAAATTCATTTTTATTTTTATTTTTTGGAGTTGCTTGAATATATTTTAATAATTTTTAGATACTTTTTTTCTTTTTTTTTTTAATTATACTTTAAGTTTTAGGGTACATGTGCACATTGTGCAGGTTAGTTACATATGTATACACGTGCCATGCTGGTGCGCTGCACCCACTAACTCGTATCTAGCATTAGGTATATCTCCCAATGCTATCCCTCCCCCCTCCCCCCTCCCCACCACAGTCCCCAGAGTGTGATATTCCCCTTCCTGTGTCCATGCGATCTCATTGTTCAATTCCCACCTATGAGTGAGAATATGCGGTGTTTGGTTTTTTGTTCTTGCGATAGTTTACTGAGAATGATGGTTTCCAATTTCATCCATGTCCCTACAAAGGACATGAACTCATCATTTTTTATGGCTGCATAGTACTCCATGGTGTATATGTGCCACATTTTCTTAATCCAGTCTATCATTGTTGGACATTTGGGTTGGTTCCAAGTCTTTGCTATTGTGAATAATGCCGCAATAAACATACGTGTGCATGTGTCTTTATAGCAGCATGATTTATAGTCATTTGGGTATATACCCAGTAATGGGATGGCTGGGTCAAATGGTATTTCTAGTTCTAGATCCCTGAGGAATCGCCACACTGACTTCCACAATGGTTGAACTAGTTTACAGTCCCACCAACAGTGTAAAAGTGTTCCTATTTCTCCACATCCTCTCTAGCACCTGTTGTTTCCTGACTTTTTTATGATTGCCACTTACCACCCTTTCTAATTAGTGTGCTTTACCTAACCTGAGCCAGCAGCAACTGTCTCAAACTCTCTGCATCCCTTTCTACTTAATCTAAGCAGCTTGCTTGACTAGACAGTAAATATCAATGGCTAAAAGACTCAGAATTCTTCCTCCCCCTCTCTGTCCTCTCCCATTTTTCTTCTTCCTTGTCAACTTATGTGATAATAGTACCTTGATTTTTTTTTGTTTTTGTTTTTGTTTTTGTTTTGTTTTGAGATGGAGTTTCTCTCTTGTTGCCCATGCTGGAGTGCAATGGCATGATCTTGGCTCACCACAACCTCCGCCTCCCAGGTTCAAGTGATTCTCTTGCCTCAGCCTCCCGAGTAGCTGGGATTACAGGCATGCGCCACCACGCCCAGCTAATTTTGTATTTTTAGCAGAGACGGGGTTTCTCCATGTTACTCAGGCTGGTCTCGAACTCCCGACCTCAGGTGATCTGCCCGCCTCAGCCTCCCAAAAGTGCTGAGATTACAGGCGTGAGCCACCACACCTGGCCAATACCTTGATTTTTAATCATCCTTTTTATCTTTCCAGTTAGTGTCACACCTTTGAGTTCATCTGGGATAGGAGGGGAGAGGGGGCGGGTTGGAGGGCTGGTCTGAGTGCCCTCAAGATGAAAGCATTTCCAAGGCAGGGTCACCTGCTTAGACAGTTGCCCTGACCCCCTTCCCGTGTGGGAAGACAGGACAGAGCCCACGCAAATCTTCCTTGCAGTGGAGATGACCGAAGTCTGGCTCTTGGGATGCGTAGCTTTGATGAAGGTCACTCAGAAGCTGTTGGCAGGTATGAGCTCAAAACCTTGCTTGCTCTCATCCTACACATCTCCATGAGTTCAATGCTTCTCAGAAAGTTCTAGTCACAGAACCTTCACTTGAAACGAAATTCAAGCAGAATTGCACTGTTTGGAGCAGATAGCAGCTGAGTAGCTGAGAGCCAGGGATGTGGGGGTGCCAGGAATAGCCTTCCCCTCAGTCTCCCCTTGCCCCACCCTCTGTCCCTGCAGTACCCCCACCAAACATCCCAAGAACCACTGCCCCCCAGACCACGCAGCCTCCTTTAGCCAAAGGGTGTTGTAAGCTGAGCCTTCCCTATCCCCTATTCCTCTTTTCCCCAACCAGAGAGGACAGATGCTCCCAAGTAAATGAGCTGAAATTCAAGTCAGAGACATTCCTAGGGGCTGTTTACTTGGTGTTCCATGCCTAACGGGTTCGGATGTGTCCTCTGGCTGAATCATGCCTCTGATGGTCCAGCAGATGCTGCCAAGAAGCAGGGTTGGCGTTGGGCAGCAGGGTCGCCACTGCAGACATGTGGCATCTGATACCTCCCCACCTGCTTGACCCTTCCAGCATCTCTCCCTTCCGCAGACAGATTCCTGGCTCTGTTGTTTGGGGTTTCCTCATGCCTTCTCATCCTTTCTGTACTGTGTCTGCACTGAGTCTGAGATCAGGGAAGCATCTCAAATTACAGAGCAGGGATTTGGGAAAGGAGAGAAGATATGGAAATGTTGATACCCAAGAAAGTCCTGCTTTTAAAAAAAATTATTGGGTAGTACTCAGCAAGCTTCCAGCGGAGCGGATAGTAGACTCCACATCCCTTTGTACTTAATCTAAGAGGCTTGTTTGACTAGGCAATCTAGACATCTCCTGCGAGCAGCAGTAGTGTGCCGGACCTGGAGTCAGAAGCCTGGTTCTGCTTCCAGCTCAGCAGTGAACAGTTCCAGTGACGCTTTAAACTTGGCCTATATTGTTAATAAAATAAAATGTCATTTCCAAGGCCTCTTCTAAGCTCTATCTTTGTGTTTAACAGGCCACTGATAGCTTACTGCCTGGCAGTAAGTCCTCAGCCCCCTTCAGAGCAAAGGGGTCCAGGAGGCTCTTTCAGTGAAGTTGTTCTGGACAGTGTCCTGCACCTTGAATGAAATCAGCCTTGTAACCTGGCTCAGGCCAAAAGCATCCATACACTGGACCAAGGGAAGCTAGTCACTAGTCAGGTGGCCCATAGCCACTCTATCCAAAGGGGACCCTCCTTATTGATGGTGACCAGACCTGAGATTCTCTCATGCCAGGAAGATGACTGAAGTTCTTACAGAGAACATGCTGGAGCAACCCAGGAAGACAGGGTAATCTGAACAAGGACTGCCATTGCTCTACTTCTTCAGGGCACACCCATAGGCCAGTTCCGGGAGCACTGTGACCTAGCACTCAGTTTCTCATGTGGCCTTATGGTCAACACCCATCACCAGAGGAAGGTCAGGCCCATCTTGTCCTGGCAACCTAGTATCACCTGGAGGCGATGATTCCATTCTATTTTGCAAGGAGGTCATGATGTGTAGGAGGTAAGTCCTGGGTCTTAAATCAACTGAGATTGCAAATCGGGTGTTGAGCATTACTCCTTGTTTCTAACCCTACACATAGGATTAACTCCACGTGGGTCAATGGAGCAAAGATTTCTTCAAAATCAGGAGCCTGAGTAGTTTATTACTAATAAGGTGACCTTGAAAAAGATGCTTGACCTCTGTCTTAGTTTCCTCACCGCCTGATAGGGACAATGTTGTTCAATCTACCTACGTCCTAGGGCTGCTGTAGAAAGAAATCAAATGGAATCACGTACATGAACATACTCAGTCATACAATGGACTAAGTAAATAACTGTCCTTAAAACCCAGAGAGTGAGGGGCATGAGACAGGAGAGCATGGAACTAACAGCACTGGCTCTGGAATCAGACTTGATTGAGTTCAGATCATGGCTCTGCCAATTCCTACAAGAGTGACCTTGGACAAATTACTTAGCCTTTCTGGGCCTCAGTTTTCTCATCTGTAAAATAGCAATAATATAGCACTTACTTTATAGGGTTTCTTAATTAAGTTAATGTATGTCAAGAGAAGTGCCTAGCACATAGTAAATGCTCCCAAATGTCCATTATTATAAAGAATGCCACATACCTCTGGCCAGAAGCACATTCTGTGGGCTCCCACAGCCCTCCTGTGCCCATAGAAGGGAAGCACTTGCTCTGGACCTTGGCATTCTTGAAGGGATGCGTGGTGGGTCTTCCTCCAGCAGAGATGGTTCCTGGCCTCCTATTCTGGCACAGTTGACTGTGAGACCACGTGCAACTTCCACCTTCCCAAGAGCTTCAGTTTCCTGCCCTAGAAAAGAAAGGCATTCGTAATGACCTGTCCCACAAATGGTCACTTGGATTGCCTCATTTGTGGTGTCCTGGACAAAACCCCTACTCCACGATTTCCTGGATGTACACCCTACTGCAGAGGGGCGCATGAGCCCACGCATGCCACCAAATCAGCAAGAGAAGTCGAGTAAACAACCCTGGGCCTAAAGAGCTCCCTCGGGAAGGCATGGAGAATTATTTTTGCTTTAAATATCTCTAAAGAAGGTTTAGAAAAGGGACTCTCCAGCTTTTCCTTTGCCTTTACGTTTTCTGGTTAGGAACATTGAAATTTCCTATCTTGAGTCCAGGATGAAGTGGACATTTTTAAAGGGGGTTTTATTTCCAGAACACAGTCTGTTCTTCTCAGCAAAGCCCTTAATTGGAAACAGTTGTCACTGACCCCATTGGCATGCCCCAGGGTGGGGAGGGCATGCACCCAGCCTGCAGTGATTTTGCTCTGCCATTTCCAAGGAGGCAGCCTGAAGAACTGAGCCCCATATGCTGGGGGCCTCGCTGGGCTGACCAGTCTGCTTGGTAAAGGGCCGGGGCAGAGGGTGGTTTCAGCTGTGCACACTTGGTTTCTGCAGTGGTTCTAATTCAGGCTGTCCAGAGACGATCATCTGGATGACCCCTAGAAAGTTCCCCTCTGGAGCAGGAGAACAGGAGAGGAAGAGGGTGGCCATTGCACTTAGAGTGACTCTTCTGTGTTGGGTTAGCTGCTGGCTGGATTTCTGCACTTGGCTGCAGCCTCTTGTAGCTGATACATTCATACCCAGCCAGAATGACAGCCTTGGCTGCAGGTTTGGATTTCCTAACACCCAGATGTGAGCTGTGAGTGGCACACAGCAGTGACCAGTTCCTAATATTTGCTCAGATGACACAAAAGTCTTTGTCCTTGAAGCAGATCCCAAGCTAAACCTTGGACTCTGTCACCCCGGCTTCCACAGATGCTTGCTTCATAAGTCCTAAGGTAAGAAATAGCACAGCTCCATCCTCCAGCCTTACCACGAACGGATGCCAATGTGCAATCTCAGGAAGCTTCTGTGTTAGGAAGATGCTGCCGGAGCACTTGCAGTGAGTGACCCGGATCATGCAGGCCCTGTCAGATGACTTATGTCACTTTCCTCAAGGAGAAAATTACACTCTTTATACTTGGCTGAGGGGAGGAGGCATTGAGGTTTTCTTTGTGGAGGTAAAAAAAAAAAAAAAAAAAAAAGTTTTGCAGATTTTGCCTTTTTTAACCTCAAAAATATTTTTAAATGTAAGATGTTTTCTGAGGTAGAGTCTACGTGAGGTGTGACACTGTAATTGTGAATCCCACCATCCAGCTAAGCTAAGGCCTATGGAGCATAATTCACTCTTTCCTTCAGCAAATATTTGAACAGTGTAAAACTAAAACAGCCCATTCATTAAGCAATGTGCAAGGTTCTCCCGCTGAAATATCCTGGAGTCATAAGATTTGATCGCTGGGCTGCAGCAGTCAGTCTGATTAAGACCTTCAGAGACCATGAAGACAGGACCCATTAAGGAACCTCACCCCAAATTAAAGACAACACCAAATTGCATTTTTTTTAAGCATAAAGGAAGGAAATCAAGGATCTGATTTTTCCTAAAATGAATGTTTCAGTAACAAATAATCTCCACCTCTCCCATCTTCCACCCCCACTTATTCCCATCCCTCCACCCTCTCTCCACCACAATGCTCATCCACCAGAGGAAAGTGGGGGTGGGGCAGGGGTTGCACTTGAGTGACAGATGTGAGGTTATGGCTAGAAAGTGAGAGCTTAACCCCAGGGGAGAGAGTGACTTCCTCTCACAGCAAAGTGGTCTAAAGTAGGCCAAGGCAGCTGGTTGGGCGAGGAATGAGAATTCTCAAGAGGAGATGAAATTGATGCTGTAATCTCAGAGTGGGGAAGACGTAGCGGACTTTAACTCAGGAAGTTTCCATGAAAGAATTGAGAGCCTATGAGAGAGAAATACTGGAGTGAAATCAAAAGAGTTGACATGAAGGCCATGCAGAAAATTATCTTGATTCTTCCAGGAAACTAAGGACAAAAGCAATAATTCAGTTTCCGCAGAGAAATGTGTGTTCTTGGGGAAGAGTGGAGGAAATCACTCAAGGAGAAATATTGGCTTTTAAAGTCACTAGACTTAAAGACAGGGTTGGGGTCATGGAAGGGAACAGAAAACTAGAAAGGCTTGGAAATAACTTGGTGATATTTTTGGTTGATACAAGCTGAACTTTCTTTTTCTTTTTTTTTTTTTTGAGATCGAGTTTCATTCTGTTGCCCGGGCTGGAGTGCAGTGGCGTGACTTTGGCTCACTGCAACCTCCATCTCCCGGGTTCAATCAGTTCTCCTGTCTCAGCCTCCTAAGTAGCTGGGACTACAGGCACACACCACCATGCCTGGCTAATTTTTTTTTTTTTTTTTTTTTTTTGTATTTTTAGTAGAGACAGGGTTTCACCATATTGGTCAGGCTGGTCTCGAACTCCTGGCCTCAGGTGATCCACCCGCCTCAGCCTCCCAAAGTGCTGGGATTACAGGCGTGAGCCACCCCCGCCCCAGCCTATACAAGCTGAACTTTCTAAACTCTAAATCCCATAGTCTTTGGTGGACTGCATCCTAGATTCACCTTTCCTTAGCTGTGTACCAAGAGTTTGGATGCAGTAGGCACTGTGGGGAAGGGGCACTGTAGGAGCCACAAAGCGGAAAGGGTGTGAATCCCAGGGTACCCTTTGGAAAAGCCGTTGGGAGAGGGTGACCTACCCTACCACACAAGGGACAATGTAAAGTATCTGCAGGCTTCTGCTTGTGACTGCCCTGAGGCCCGGTTTTCACATAGCAGCTTTTCTGTCTATTTGTTTTACGTATTTCTCTCTAAATAAGTTTCTTTAGCTGTTTAAAAAAAAAAAAAAAAAAAAAAAAAGACAGTTCTCAAAGCAAGGTTCCCTGGACCAACAACATCAGCATCACTGGGGATCTCAGAACCTGACCCAGTGGTCTGCCCGGCCCAGACCTACAGAAGCAGAATCTGTAGGGGTAGGGCCAGCAATCTGTATTTTAATAAGCCCTTCTTGCGATCTCGTTTGAGAACCACTTGTTTAGCAAAACGGCAGGCCCATTGAGCTATCAGAGTCTTAAATATTTCACCCTTGTGCTATTTATGGGTCTATTTTTGGCTTTTGTATTTAAACTGCCTTTGCAGAAATGCACAAGGTTTCTGTGCCATAGAACTCAATGTTTCCGGGGTTATTATGCATATTACTGAATCCACAATTTTAACCTTGGGGGTGAGGAGGAGGTACAGCAGGGCCAGCATGTAATTTGATCAACTCAGTCTTCCTTCTTTTTCTAGGTTGAGGGGAGTGCAAAACAGTACACAGAGATGTGGGGAGGGGGGCTCCGGCTGCATTTGACTTCCCCTGAGCTGTGTGTCTGAGGCAACTGAGAAGTACCCTTAAGACCTACACCAGCTGGCTCTTGCCTTTGGAAACAAGTGCTCAGAGGCCGGCATGTGATCCGCCAGCAGCAGCTAGGTTGCTCACATGCTTTCCATCTCCTTTTCCTTTCCAAATTCAATTATCTTGCATTTCTCAACCCTGAGTCTCCTCCCTAACCCCAGGAAAAATGGGATTTTAGAGCCCTGGAGACTCAGTTATGCAGTTATCCCTTAGCCTCCTCGCTCCTCCCAGCCAAACATTCCAACTAGCACTCTCCCTAACTGGATTCCAGACCTGCCAAGACATTCCAGGACAGAGGCGATTCCTTCCTGCTGGCTGCCTGGCTCAGGTTGTCGAGCCAGATATGTGAGGCCAAGCACAGGTATCTGTTAGAGAGGCCAAGAGATGCGTGATCCCTGCAACCTCTGGTGCAGAGGAGCAGGCAACCGGGGCTTGTGCAAAGCTTGGAGACAGCGAGGAGCAGGAGAAGACTGCGTGTTATGTAAGGGAAGCATGTGGGTTGCGTGCTGCTATTCACCTGTTGCTAATTAGTACACTGCCTGTCAGGACTCAGGCGAGGAAAACATCTTCCTCCGACGCACGCTCACCTCGCTGTCAGAGTGAAGACATAATGATCCAGTCTAGAAGGGTTCTGTCCAACAGAAAAATTTATTGAACCACGTGGTATGTTAGGTGCTGAAGATACGAGATGAATAAACCAGGGTCCCTGCTCACAAGGAATTTGTGATCAAGAAGAGAGACGAAAACAA
Organism: Homo sapiens; assembly: GCF_000001405.40. NCBI lineage: Eukaryota > Metazoa > Chordata > Mammalia > Primates > Hominidae > Homo > Homo sapiens. The sequence goes on from NC_000002.12 coordinate 38,500,711, forward strand.
GTAAACAGTTGTGTACAATCCATGTGATAGAGAAAGCAAAACTACCTTTGGTGTACAAAAATCCTACACTGCTTTGAAAGTTGAGTCAGGCCAACTCAGAGGTCCCTTCTAGAAGTGCGTTCTAGGCAGGGAGAACAGTAAGTGCAAAAGTTGGGGAGTGGGCCTGGGGTTCTCAAATCCTGAAATGGCAAAATTAAGCTAAGGTTGCTATGCCAGGTACAGAGTCAGGAAGGCTGCTTCCTCTGGACGGGGCCAGCAACAAGACTCAAAATGTGAGTAGGAGAACCCAAGGAAAAAGTAGGTAGGAACAGGTCAAGACATGGACAGAGAAGGGTGGGGAGAAGTGGCGTGCAGGGAGATTGCTGGGATCATGAGCTAGCACTGAGGCTTGTCTTTGTGAGCCTCTGCAGAGGACGCTTGGGAGCAGGAGCCTAGCATAGAAGGCAGGGTCAGGTGCTGGGCACAGTGGCTCATGACTGTAATCCCAGCACTTTGGGAGGCTGAGGTGGGTGGATCACAAGGTCAGGAGTTCGAGACCAGCCTGGCCAATATGGTGAAACCCCGTCTCTACTGAAACTACAGAAATTAGCCAGGAGTGGTGGCATGCACCTGTAATCCCAGCTACTTGGGAGGCTGAGGCAGGAGAATCACTTGAACCTGGGAGGCAGAGGAGGTTGCAGTGAGCCGAGATCATGCCACTGCACTCCAGCCTGGGCAACAGAGCAAGACTCCGTCTCAAAAAAAAAAAAAAAAAAAAAAGAAAGAAAGAAAGAAAGCAGGGTCACAAGAGAGGCAACTGGAGTCCAGAAACAGTTTAAATCCCCCCCTCAATGGCGTTCTGTATTCGGGAAGGCACTAGCAGGAATGAGAGGGATAGTCCAGGAGTGGAGAACCGAAATCTGCCCATTTGTACACAAGATAAAGTTTTGAAAAAACACCAGGGAGCAAAGAATATACAAGGGTTGAAAAGTTTACAAAGCAAAAAACAATCCCGCAGAGGCATGTTTTGCTCTATTTCCCGACCTACAAAGAGATCTTCCCTCAAATGTCAGGCTCTGGCCCCAGCTCTCTTTTCCTCTCAATGTCACTCTCATGGCCCCACCACCTGGGCTGTGACTTCAATGACCATGAACACCCTCAGCCTCCAGACCAGCCCCTGTCCCAACAGACAAGTGCTTACTGGACACCTTCACCTTGAACTCCCATGGACACTGCAACCCCAACATGTCCAAAAGTGAATATGCCATCACCAGCCCTCCCCGCCATCCCCTCGCCATTGGGCCCTAGCTCAGGGAATGGTACCTCAATTCACCTTAATGCCTGACCCAGAAATCCAAGGAGGCCTTTCTCTCATCTCCTCCTTCTAATCAAATTATTTCCTAAACCACTCTGGAGCCTATTCACCTCGTATAGTTTGCTATTGCTGCTGTAACAAACTGCCACAAACTTAGTGCATTAAAACAACACAAGTTTATTATCTTATAGTTCTGAAGGTCAAAACTCCTACAATCAAGATGTCAGCAGGGCTGTGGTCCTTCTGGAGGCTTTAGAAAAGGATCTGCTTCCTTGCCTTCCCTAGCTTCCAGAGGCCACCTGCATTCCTTGGCTTGTGGCCCCTTCCTCCAGCTTCAAAGAAAACAGCAGAGCATTGTTGGGGCCCAGAAAATAATATCCCAAAATGAAGGTCTCAGAAGCAGCCTCAGAAGCAAAAGTCACAAGATTTGTAACCTCTTCAATTGCTCCTATAGATAACATAACTATTGTAAAACCTAAAATTGGTGTTTGAGGGTATCTTTCAGACCTTTCATTTTGATGAACCAGCTGGTGCCATCCAGACCAGTTAACCCATTACCAAGAAACTGTCTCAATTGGTCTTGTGACCCCCTACCCAGGAACTGACTCAGCACAAGAAGACAGCTTCAACCCTCTGTGATTTCCTTCCCAACCCAACCAATCAGCATACCCATTCCGTAGCTCTGCCTCTACCAAACTACCCTTAAAAAACCCTAGCCTCTGAGTTCTCAGGGAGGTGGACTTGAGAATTATCTTCCGTCCTTCTGCTTGACTGGCCCTGTGATTAGTGAACTCTTTCTTTGCTGCAACACCTGCTGTTCTCAGTGAACTGGCTTTTCTGGGCAGCAGGCAAGAAGAACCCATGAGGAAATTACATTAGCATTAGATCATAATCTTTTTGTCCAATCATATTTCTACATGGCTGTCCATACTTTTCTGAACCTAAGCATAAACATGGACAATTTCCCCTGTATCTTTGGGTCTTCATTCTGAAGGCTCTTGTGTTATACATAGAGCCTTAAATAAATAAGCCTTAAATATGTTTATATGCCTTTTCTCCAAGTAATCTGCCATTTGTGAGTTGATTTTTCAGCAAACCTTCAGAGAGTGAAGGGGAATTTTCCCGTGGCCCCTACAGTTTCAACAAAGTTCTCTCTTCTTCCATCTTTTAAGGATTCTTGTGATTACCTTGGGCCCACCCAGATAATCAAGGATAACCTCCCCATCTCAAGATCCTTAACTTAATCCAAGTCTTATAAAGTAACATTTTCACATGTTCTGGGGATTAGGAAATGAACGCCTTTAGGGGGGCCATTATTCTACCTACCACACACCACTTCCTACCCCAATACCACTGCCACCATCTCCTTCATTTGGAGTCACCAACACACTCCTAAATGCATAGAAGAATCACAAAGTATTTAATGAGGGGGAAAACAAAAGAGAGAGAAGGAGAAAATAAAGAGAAGGGGAGAGAGAAGAAGAAAGCCTCTTCCCATAGACTCCCTGAAGCAAAGGATGCCTTTCATTCCCAATCTCTTACCTAGTTTCCTTGACTCCAGTATTTCCCCCTCCAAATCATTCTTGGCCTTGCTCTTTCCTTTTGCCCTTGCTATTTGCTCTGTCTATAATTTCAATCTCTATTTCCTAACAGTCACCCCCACTCTGCCTCAACCCCTACACAGAGCACCTGGCTAAGTCCTGTTCCTTCAGGTCTCAGTTGAGATGTCATTTCCCCAGGAAGCTTTCCCCAGCTCTCAGGTTTAGGTCTCCTGGGGTCTCCAGTAGGTGCCATTGTACCTTGCTCTTACCTGTCCTAGCCCTTATCTCATCCAAAAGTCATCATCCATTCTCTTGTCTATCTTCTGCTCTGAGCTTTCAACACTGAGAACAAGGTATGAATCTTTTTCCATGTTTCCCCCCAAGTACATTGTACGGTTCAATAAATATTTTCTGAATAAGATTTAAAAAATAAAATAACACTTCGTTTCATTCAACCTCTTTGGAAGCCAGATCTGATCTAGTTGCTTGTGTTCAATGCCAGCCCCAGGTCTTGCTCTTTATTGATGCTTATTACCTGTTGCTGGCTTGATGGGAGGGTGTGGTGACAGTCAATAGATGCATTCCAGGGGGAAAGGAGGGGGCAGTAAACAGTTCAGGGCTTCTCAGTTGGTCCCAGATCAGGAAGACAACTGAGGACAAGGCCCTGGCAGAGAGGCCTGGAAGATTTTCCAAAACTGGGATCCAGAAGAGAGGTTTCCCCTCTCAGGTCACATAGGCAAGGCTGGACTCTGCTGTCTGTAATTTCATCACTGGCCAGAGCAGGATTTCTGAGATGTAATAAGAATTCCAGGACAGCACACATGAGGCAGCAGGTGGCTGGCAGCCTTATGCTAGATGAAGCCTGGGTGGCGAGGCAGTTCCCCAGCAGGGACACACACTAGGGGGGCCCACATTCCTTCCTGCTCCACCCGCCGTAACCCACCTCCCCTTCCCCCTTCTCATCTGTATTTCTGAATGCCAGGCCCACTCAGGCCAGACATTTAAGACAGCACCACCAAACTTCTAGCACCTTCAACAGTTGTCAAGACTGATGAGAAAAAAAAGAAAGAAAGAAAGAAAAGAAAATAAATTGTTAGCAAACGACTCTTCCCCATCTGTTTTGATAGATGAAGGATTGACAAGATCATAGTTTGTCTCCTTCAGGAGTTAGTGTGGCCAATACAAATCATATCAAAAGTACTTGTTAATTTAGTTTCTGTAGACTAGAAGATAAACAAGTATCTCTTTCTCTCTCTTCCTCTCTTTTTACTTTAAAAAAAAATTTAAAAAATATTATAGGACTTTCACAGCCAAAGTCAACTTTTCACTTCCTTTTCAAAAATTTCCTGGAAATTTTTGTTTTGGTTTCTTTTCACAGTTATGTGATATTTACTTATTTGTTTTTCTCTTAGTGAATATTTAGGTTGTTCTGGGTTTTTTCTTCTTTCACATAATTCTATAATATATTCTTCTGCATATCTTATGTACACATGGGAGAATCTCTTAAGTGGAATTGATGGTTAAGTACTTCCACATCTTTACTAGATAAGTAATTACTAAATTACTATCCAAAATGGTTGCATCAATTTATACTTCCGCCCACAGTGTACATGTTGCTCTGTATCTTCTCAAATACTTTGGCAAATGGTTGTTTTTTTACCAATCTTAGAGATATAAAATGGTACCTTGCTTTGCTTTAATTTACATTTCCCCGGCTACTACTGAGATTGGCATCTTTTCATGTATTTATTGGCCTTTTAGATTTCATCTTCTGTGAATTGTCTGTTCATATCTTTTGCCTAATTTCTTATTGAGCCATTTATCTTTTTCTAATCAATATACAGTTTGGATTGTATATAAATTTGTCTATATGATTTGAATCCTATAGAATGCATATGATTCCAAATCATATACATTCTGAATAATAGTCCTTTTTTTGTTTTGTAGAGATGAGGTGTTGCTATTTGGCCCAGGCTGGTCTCAAACTCCTGGCCTTAAGCAATCCTCCCACCTCAGCCTCCCAAAGCTCTAGGATTACGGCGTGAGCCACCATGCCCAGCTTGGATACTAGTCTTTTGTTCTTTATAGGCTATATTAATTCAAGTCTTCCAAGAAGCAGAAATCAAAACAAAATTGGAAGTGCAAGACAATAATGGGGGGTAATACCTGCGCAGGATAATGGGGAAAAGAGCAGGCATGGTTGGGGAGAGTTTTCAGACCCCAGTGCAGGTCTTTATGCCTGTGAAAGGGAAGAAGAGGAAAGAGAATTGGGTGGGAAAAGCCTCCATCTGCAGGGCAGCTCTGAGAAAGTCAGCCAGGCTAATGGGGAGCCTCAGAAGAAAGTTTGCCTTTTAAAGAAGTCCCACACTGAGCAGGAATGACTCAACTCTGGTACTCCCTCCGTACTCAGACATTGGCTAGGATCGGTCAGAGCTAGCAGAGCCTCTGCTAGAACACAGTGGTGGATCCTGAAGATGAGGCAACTCCAGGCTGTCAGCCAATCACACCTCATAAGTGTGTCTCTGTTGAAAGGAGCCGAACAGCACACTCCCCTGACTGCCACATTGCAAATATCTTTTCCCAGTTTGTGTTTGTCTGTTTTTTATTTTACTTTATGGCATATTTTGAGGAAAAGAAGCTTTACCTTTTTTTGTTTGTTTGTTTGTTTGAGACAGGGTCTCTGTCACCCAGGCTGGAGTGCAGTGGCATGATTACAGATCACTGCTGCCTCAACCTCCCTGGCTCAAGCAATCCTCCCACCTCAGTCTCCTAAGAAGCTGGGACTACAGGGGCACACCACCATGCCTGATATGGTTTGGCTCTGTGTCCCCACCAAAATCTCATGTTGATTGTAATCCCCATGTGTTGGAGGAGGGGCCTGGTGGAAGGTGATTGGCTCATGGGGGTGGTTTCTAATGGTTTAGCACCATCTCCCTAGTGCTGTTTCATGATGGACTTCTCACAAGATCTGGTTGTTTAAAAGTGTGTAGCACTTCCCCCTTCTCTCTCTCTCTCTCCTGCCACCATGTGAAGATGTGCTTGCTTCCCCTTTACCTTCCATCATGATTGTAAATTTCCTAAGGCCTCCCCAGCCATACCTCCTGTACAGTCTGCAGAACTGTGTGTCAATTAAATCTCTTTTCTTTATAAATTCCCCAGTCTCAGATAGTTCTTTATAGCAGTATGAGAATGGACTAACACAATGCTCGACTATTTTTTCCTATCTTTTGTAGAGATGGGGTCTCACTAGGTTTCCTAGACTGGTCTTAAACTCCTGGGCTCAAGTGACCCTCCCACCTTGGCCTGCCAAAGTGCTGAGATTATAGGCATGAACCACCATGCCCAGCCAAAGCTTTACATTTTAATGCACATAAATTTACGAATGTTTTTCTTTAGTGCTTGTACTTATTTCTGTTTTATGATATTATTGCCTACACTGTGATCTTGGAAGTTTTTCTGTATTTTCTCCTAGAAGTCTGAAAGTTTTACTTAAAATTTTTTTCACCTAAAATTTCATATTGTTGGGTTCGTTTTCAATATGGGCTATCAAATTCCCAGTACCACTAATTGAATAATTTATTCTTTCTCTACTCATCTGCATGTCACCTCTGTCATATATCAAGTCTTCATAAGTACAGAGATCTGTTTTGCGAGTCTCTATTCTGTTCTATTGGTCTGTTTGTCTCTTTCTTGGCTAAAGCCACACAGTCTTAATTTAACAGGTCTTATAGTCTTATAGGGTGAGTCGCTCATCTTGTGTTTTTCAAAATTTCTTAACTATTTTTGGTCCTTTTTCAGAACAATGTTAGAATCATCCTGTCTAGACCCATAAAAAAAATCCTATGTGAATTTGGTTGGAGTCACAAAGAATTTATAATTTGGGAAGAATTGAAATTTATGACACCAAGGCTGGGTGCAGTGGCTCACACCTGTAATCCCAGCACTTTGGGAGGCCAAGGCAGGCAGATCACGAGATCACGAGATCGAGACTATCCTGGCTAACACAGTGAAACCCTGTCTCTATTAAAAAATACAAAAAATTAGCCGGGCGTGCCGGTGGGCACCTGTAGTCCCAGCTACTCGGGAGGCTGAGGCAGGAGAATGGCATGAATCCAGGAGGCAGAGCTTGCAGTAAGCCGAGATCATGCCACTACACTCCAGCCTGGGCAACAGAGTGAGACTCCATCTCAAAAAAAAAAAAAAAAAGAAATTTATGACACTGTATCTTCATATCATAAATACATCTTATCTATCTATTAAAGAATACCTAGGCCAGGCACAGTGGTTCACATCTGTAATCACAGCACTTTGGGAGGCCAAGGCAGGAGGATCACTTGAGGCCAGAAGTTCGAGACCAGGCTGGGCAACATAGTGAGATCCTATTTTACAAAAAAAAAAAAAAAATTAGCCAGGTGTGGTGTCATCCACCTGTAGTCCCAGTTACTTGGGAATCTGAAGCAGGAGGATTGCTTGAGTCCAAGAATTCAAGGCTGCAGTGAGCTATGATGGTGCCAACTGCACCCTAGCCTGGGCAACAGAGAGAGACCTTGTCTCTAAAAAACCCTAAGAACAAAAACAAAACAAAACAAAAAGAATACCTAAACAAGTAAAGTTTTATAATTTTCTTCATAAAGATCATGTATATATTTCTGGTACCTTATAGCTTTTGTTTCTTTTATAGGTGTTAGCTTTAAATTTTTTTATTTTCTAACTGTGGTTGGTACCTTAAAATGCAAGTTAATTTTTGTATAATGACCTTCTATCTAGTAACTTTGATGTGTTCTCCTAAATTTTATAAGGCTCTCTTTTACACATCTCTGGAAAGTTTAGATACTTCTGTACCGGAGCAAAAGTCATCAGCAAGCACTTACCCTTGGTGACAAAAGCAGTCCGAGCAAAGGACTAACTCGCAACCTCCCTTGCCTAAACGACTGCAGCTTGTTCCTAAATCTTACTATCCTATTGACACATGCAACAGCAACGCCCCCTTCTGGAGACCTGCCAACAAGACAGAAGTCTCCAGAGAGAAAGCCCTCGTGCTTGTTTAGATCAAAGATCCAGACCAAGTGGCCTCGCTTGAGGTCAGCCTTGCTGTTACAAAACAGAATGATCCCCAGGCAAAGGGCTCAGAGCCAGCTGGGTTAGATGAGGGGCTGCCTGGGTGACCTGATTAGAGGATGCTGTTTCTTGATTGGCCACATCCACTCTGTCCTTCCACTCCTACTTGAAAAGGCCTTGGGGACATCAGAAAGCAGGCCAGAAGGAGGAAGCAGCACTGCATGGAGAAAGAGTTAGCGTGAAGCCTGCCCCTTGCCCACTGAACACCCCTGCTCAGCCCGCAAGCTGTTTCCCAGCTAGGCTTCCACCCAAAACATCCATCTGGCTTGATTGCTGGGGGCAGCCGGCAGCTTCAAGAGACCTGTGAGGCCAGGAAGATGCATTCCATAGCTGTTGGCTTTGAGGTCATCCTATGTGATGCTAGAGAAAGAGAGACAGAGAGAGGAGGATGAAGAGCTGGTGCCCATTTGTTGGGCACTGGCATCTCACTGGACCCCAGCTGTCTCCATGCAATGGCCCAGAAGCAAGGTGACTTTTCCAGAGATCCCATTTCCCCTTAGAGAAAGGCCATTTCTCCATGGCCTACTTGGGTGTATAGGATAATGGCCTGATGTGAAGGGCTAGGTTTTATTTCCATATCTATCAAAGCTGAAAGCCAATGGGGCAGAGTAAAAAGTAAATGAACCTGAAGTCAGACAGATCTGAGTTCAAATCCCTAGGTGAATTCAGGCAGGGTGTAATCAACTCTTCTGAACTTTGATTTCATCCTCTGTCTAAGGGGGAAGAAAATACCTTCCTTGTAGGGTTGTTGAGATGATTAAATTGAATTAAATCATGTACATCGCAGCAGAGTGGCTGCCTGATAAAGCTGTTTTTAATCCTTAGAAGGATAATCGCTGAGTCACCTCTCTAATGGATGTGGGATACTTGCCAATCTCAACCTTTTCCCAGTGAACTAAGAAATGTGAGTTCTCCTGAAATGAGAGGCAGCCACTAAGTCCTGTGTTGTGTGCTGAGGATGGAGTTTATGTATATATGGTAACTCATTCTATTCTTACGAGAACCCTGTGAGGTGGATAGTATGGATATTATAGCCATGCTGCAAATGAAGAGACTGAGGTTCAGAAAAGCACCATGACGTCTTGAAGTCATGAGCAGGATATAGAGAGCAGAGATAAGAAGCTGTGTGTGTCCTTTCCAGAAGCCTTTGCTGTGCTGCCCAGGTCATTACCCTTCTCCTGTCTTGACAATCTAGTCCTAGACCTCAGGTAGTCCCACAGGTTTTTTGTTTTGTTTTATTCTGTTTTTAGAGACAGAGTCTCACTCTGTCGTCCAGGCTGGAGTACAGTGACACAGTCATGTCTCACTATGTTGCCCAGGCTGGTCTCTAACTCCTGGCCTCAGACACTCCTCCTGCCTCAGCCTTCCAAAGCACAGATATTACAGGCATTACTGTGCCCTGCCTTAACCCCACAGTTTTTAACTTAGCTCTGGGGCAGTCCTGATCTCTCTTTTTCAGAGGATAAATTATTTCAATTGCCAGGAGCAACAGTTCATTGACCTACATGACCCTTCCGGGCTCTAGTGTTAACAAGAATTGACTGAAAAGCTATGGTTTTTTTTCTATTCTCGCTTTTCCTAGGAACTGCCATTTTGTGTAATGTCCATGAGCTGGAAAGTACAATCAGATAACATTGAAGAGGCAAGAAAGGCTCATGGGAAGAAAAAAAGGGCAAAAGAAGCATTTTTATAGGAATCAGCAAATCAATATTTAAACAAAAAATGATTTCTCTTATTATATATTGTCTTTACTAGAATGATCTGTGCAGCTACTGGTCCCTTCATTCATTTCTAAGGTTCTGGAGGGAAAAGGTCTGTGTCTGTGTTTAATCTTCTTGTTGCTGTTTTTTGGGATTTTTGTTTGTTTGTTTTTTTGTTTTTGAGATGGAGTCTCACTCTGTCACCCCGGCTGGAGGTACAGTGGTGTGATCTTGGCTCACTGCAAGCTCCGCCTCCCGGGTTCAAGCCATTCTCTCACCTCAGCCTCCCGAGTAGCTGGTACTACAGGCGCCCACCACCATGCCTGGCTAATTTTTTGTGTTTTTAGTAGAGACGGGGTTTCACTGTGTTAACCAGGATGGTCTCGATCTCCTGACCTCGTGACCCGCCCGCCTCAGCCTCCCAAAGTGCTAGGATTACAGGCATGAGCCACCACGCCCGGCCCTGTGTTTAATCTTCTACTACACCTGGCCTGGTCTCTAGCATGTACACAAGTGACTCAAGTGGCCCATAGAAGGAAGGAATCGGTGGCCCATCCTCCAGAAATGCCTTCAACTCTGGCTTTTAGTTATGTCTGACATTCTTGCCATGAGAGTTTCCGTCTCTTGGAGGCTGTTCCTTTCCACCAAGTTAACCAGATCCCACACACTGTCCCCAGAGCAGAGCAGGACACCATGGGAAGAGGCCTTGGAAGAAGAAAGTCGAGGGAAAAGCTGACACATGGGACATGGTCAGTCCTATGAGGGACCCAAATGAGAATATGTGCTAGGACATGGAGCATGGTTCCAGCCTCCATAGGAAGGAAGAAAAATCAGGGTCCCCGAGAAGGCAGACATTGCTCACACCATCATTCTGGCAGGACTAGTTTGGTTCCATGATGCAATCTGGGCTGCAAGGCTGAGCAACTCCAAGTGGTTCCTGTGTGAATTGAGATGATGGCCTTGGTCTCATTCCTCTGGTCTCCAACAAAATTGGGATGGACTACTACAGACCTCTGGGGAGCCCAGAATGCTCTTCAGAGCAGGAGATGCCCAGAGCCTCATTCCACCAAGGCAGGTCAAGAGGCTACTGATGTATTATTTCCTATTTGTTTCACTTACTGTTTTGATCATTGACTTATTTAGTCATTCATTCATTAACATACTTATCCCTGTTTTGTTACAAAATGGATTTAAGGTGAAACTAATTTATCCAGAAGATGATTTTTTTTTTTTTTTCAAGAGACGGGGGTTTTGCCATGTTGCCCAGGCTGGTCTCAAACTTCTGAGCTCAAGCAATCCCCCCGCCTCAGCCTCTCAAAGTGCTGGGATTACGGGTGTGAGCCACCACACCTGGCCTAGAAGATAATATTTTTAAAAGTTAACTCATTTCTATCGTCAACTGCATTCAATAATTTAATTCAACAAATAATTTTTAAATGCCTAACTCTATAAACAGTGAGACATCAGTGAAAAGACAAAGATGGACCCCACCTGAATGTACCTTATAGTCTAGCTATGGACAAGTAACAGACAATTGCAATATAATTGCACACTAGTTACTTCATAATTCTAGTAATTTTTTTTTTTGAGACAGAGTCTTGCGCTGTAGCCTAGGCTGGGGTGCAGTGGCATGATTTTGGCTCACTGCAGTCTTCACCTTATAGGCTGAAGCCATCCTCCCACCTCAGCCTCCCAAATAGCTGGGACTACAGGCACACATCACCACATCTGGCTAATTAAAAAAAAAAAAAGTTTGTAGAGACAGGGCCTCACTATGTTGCCCAGGTGGCCTCAAACTCCTGGAATTAAGTGATCCTCCTGTCTCAGCCTTCAAAGTGCTAGGATTACGACCATGAGCCACTGTGCCTGGCAAATCTTACTATCATTCAGTCCCTAACTACTGCAAAAATTAGTGTTCATAGCCATTTATATTTTATATACTCTAATGACATCTCACTAATTGTCATACCATTTCTCAACAACCAACAGTTGCTCTCCAGAGCAAGGCTGGTGCAATAGCAGCCCGCTGGGCCCCACCCCCAGCCTTTGCTGCCCAACAGCCTACTGCTACCACCCAGGCAGCGGCCTTCAGTGAGCTCTCCTCTTAAAATGAAAGAACTTACATACAAACATGTAAGTGAGAATGGATGTTACAGCAATCAGTAGACAATTTTTAATGCAACTTGCCAGCTACAAGCAAGCATGGGGAAGTAGCTAAATTTGTAGAGACCCATTCTCAAACAAGGTCTAGTCCTGTTTAGCTCAGATCATTCAGCTTACTTCAGAATTCCATTTAACAAACTCCCCCCAGGGACTGACTAGGACTCATGAGTTATTTGTGCCTCAGGACATCCATGGGAGCCAGGCCTTCTCTAGTACAGGATCCTCTGTGCTGGCTCCAGGTGAGAGTCCTTTGTTTCACCTTCCTCCACCCCATGTGCAAGCTAGGGCTTCTTCTTCACTGAGGGGATGCTGGTGATTCAGGTCCTTCCTGGGTTTATGCAGAAAGAGACCCTGGTTCTCTTGACCTGCCAAGCTATGTGAAAAAACACTGAACTCAAGCCAGATATTTTACAGTCCTATCTAGAGGACTATAGGAAATTCATTTGACCTCTAAGAGCCAGAGTTTTCTTCCTAGGGAAATAGAGATTCTGCTACCAGCCCTGCTTTTCCCCCTGGCTGGCTGCAAGGTTCAGGGCCTTGTGAAGCGTACATCCCTGTGTAGAGAGAGGGAGGGATTCATGCTCACACACTCATCTTCTGCTGGGATGCCTAGTTCCCCTGGCTGTGTGTTCACCTGCATCCTAGAGGCTCCACTGTGGTCAGGATCAGCTCTAAGTCAGGATACAGTTATATAAGTTATAATTATATAAGTTTAAGCTGGTCTCAAACTCCTGACCTCAGGCGATCCACCCACCTCGGCCTCCCAAAGTGTGGGGATTACAGGTGTGAGCCACAGCACCCAGCCCTAGATGTTTTAAATGGAATATTTGGTGTCCCAAACCTAGATTACAATCTGAAGAAGAGTAGAAACAGACCTCTGTATAAACCAACGTAAAACTGAAGCCAATCTCAGTTGCTGGGTCAGGGTTGAAATGTCATGATCTCCCAGCTGTGAGCAATGTTTGAGATAGTCCAGGTTAATCCCTGCCTTTTAGAAAGGAAGAAAGGAAAGCCTGGCCACTAGCTCCACATCACCCCTAAAGGTAATAACAAACCAGGACCCAGGGCTAATATTTGTTTCTTGAGATTTAAACTTTTTCTGAGTGTGTTTGGATTTTTTATATAAGTTATAATTATAAATATCCTGACATAGATTCTTTCCTTCACACTCAGCCTCTGTCTTTTACTCGCTTGGGTGATCCCCAAGTCAGAAACTGAGGGTAATGGCTAATATTTGTTTCTTGAGCTTTAGACTTTTTCTAGTGTGTTTGGATTTTTTACATAAGTTATAATTATAAATATCCTGACGTAGATTCTTTCCTTCACAAAAGCAGAGAACAGCTAAGATCACCCAGTGAGTAAGAGACAGAGGCTGAGTTACTACACAGTGTGAGGGTGATAGCAAGAGTTGGAAAAAAAAAAGATGGATTTTTTTTTAAACTTCCTTGAAAATAGTGGTAGGATACACAATATTGAAGGAGGAGAACAAAGTTAGAGGACCGACACTATCTGACTGCAGGAGTTACTATAAAGTTGCAGCAACCAAGACAGTGTGGCATTGGCAAAACAATAAACGAAGAGCTGGGCGCGGTGGCTCACGCCTGTAATCCCAGCACTTTGGGAGGCCAAGACGGGTGGATCACTTGAGGTCAGGAGTTCGAGACCAGCCTGGCCAACATGGTGAAACCCTGTCTCTACTAAAAATACAAAAATTAGCTTGGCCTGGTGGTACACACCTGTAATCCCAGCTACTCAGGAGGCTGAGGCAGGAGAACTGCTTGAACCCAGGATGTGGAGGTTGCAGGGAGCCGAGATTGCACCACTGCACTCCAGCCTGGGTGACACAGCGAGACTCCATCTCAAAAAAAAAGAAAAAAAAAAAAGGATAAACAAAGAGATCAATGAAACAGAATAGAGATCTCAGAAACAGACCCATATAAATATAGTCAATTGATGTTTGACCAAAAAAACAAAGGCAATACAATGGGGAAAAGAAAATCTTTTCAAAAAATGGTACTGGGACGAGACATTTATATTCAAAAAAAAGGAATGAAGACATAGATCTCATACCCTTCACAAAAAAATTAACTCTAAATAGATCACAGACCTAAATGTAAAACACAAAATGGTAAGACTCTTAGAAAATAACATAGGAGAAAATCTAGATAACCTTGGCTTTGGTAGTGACTTTTTGTTTTGGTTTGGTTTTTTATTATTATTATTTTTTTGAGACAAGGTCTCTGTCACCCGGGCTGGAGTGCAGTGGCGCAACCACAGCTCACTGCAGCCTTGACCTCCCAGGCTCAAGTAATCCTCCCACCTTAGCTTCCTGTGTAGCTGGAACTACAGGCACATGCCACTATGCCTGGCTAATTTTTCTGAAATTATCTGTAGAGATACAGTCTCTCTATATTGCCAGGCTGTCTTGAACTCCTGGGCTCAAGTCATCCTCCCGCCTTGGCCTTCCAAAGTGCTGGGATTACAAGTGTGAGTCACTGCACCCAGCCAGGTTATGACTTTTTTGACATGACACCAAAGGCATGATCTATGAAAGAAAACACTGATAAGCTAGACTTCATTAAAATTAGAAACTTCTGTTCTGTAAAAAATACTTATGATAATATAAAGAAAAGCCACACACTGGGAGAAAATATTTGCCAAAGATGTATTTGATATGGGGCTATTATCCAAAACATAAATAAAACTCTTAAAACTCAACAGTAAGGAAACAAACAACCAATTAAAAATGGGCCAAGACATTAAGAGAGAGTTCACCGCAAAAGACATACAGGTGGCAAATAAGCATACGAAAGATGCCCCACGACGTATGTCATCAGGAAAATGCAAATTAAATCAACAATGAGATACCACCTACACACCCTTTAGAACAGCCAAAATCCGGAACACTGATGTAAGGTACCTGGAAGTGCTTCGGTCAAGGAATAGTCTGAGGCGGGTATCCAGGCCTGCACGAGTCAGCAAGTTTGGCACGCAGGCGCACACCTCCACTTGTTATATAAACTGTTTGTGTAAGTTCATACTTGACTTGGAGCCACAGTTGTCTGTAAAAGGTATAACTGCCCTGTTAACACTGCGCACCAGACACATGGCTCTGGGGCTCGGCTCGCCTGAAATGGCTTGTCATGGTAGGCGCGCAGGCGCCCAGAGAAAGAGCGAGCGAGTCAGAGCTGTCCGTCTGAGCCAGGACACAGCTCAGCTCACTCACTCCCAGAGAGAGAAAGAGTTAAGCTGCTCACCCTGAAGGCAAGGGAGAGCCGGCCACGCAGCTGTGTGTGGGAGCCGCCAGACTAAGCAGCCGAGACAGGGCGGACAGTGTGAGAGAAAGCTGTTGATAAGAGCTGCTGCTGAATAAAGTCATCTTTCAACTGCCTACAGCCCCCCGAGTGTTCTTTCTGCTCATCCAGCCACTCCCTTCGGACTCAACATAACATGTGGTGTAGTCATGAACCTGACAACTGACAACATCACATGCTGGCAAGGATGTGGAGCAAAAGGAACTCTCATTCATTGCTAATAGGAATGCAAAGCAGTACGGCCACTTTAAGGATAGATTGGCAATTTCTTACAAAACTAAACATGCTGTTACCATACGATGTAGTAATCATACTCTTTGGTTTTAACCCAAAGAAGTCAAAAATGTATGTCCACACAAAAACCTGCACATGGGTGTTTATAGCAGCTTTATTCAAAATTGCCAAAACTTAGAAGCAACCAAGATTTCCTTCAGTAGGAGAACGGATAAATGAAACTGTGGTACTTTTAGTCAATGGAATATTACTCAGCACTGAAAAGAAATGAGCTATCAAGCCATGAAAATACATGGAGGAAACTTAAATGCATATCACTAAGTGAAAGAAGCCAATTTGAAAAGGCTACATACTGTATGATTCCAACTATATGACAACATGGAAAAGGCAAAACGATGGAAATGGTAGAAAGATCAGTAGTTGCTAGGGGTTAGGGTGGAGGGAGGTATGAATAGGCAGAGCACAGAAGATTCTTAGGCCAGTGAAAATACTCTGTATGATGGTTTAATGGAAGATACATGCCATTATAAATTTGTCCAAACTAACAGAAGGTACAACACCAAGAATAAACCCTAATGTAAACTATGGACTTTGGGTGATAATGATGTGTCAATGTGGGTTATCAATTGTGACAAATGTACCACTCTGGTGGAAGGGACGTTGATAAGAGGGTGGCTATGTATGTGGGGGGCAGGGAGGATGTGAGATATTTCTGTATCTTCTGGTTAATTTTTCTGTGGACTAAAACTACTTATAAAAATAATGTCAGCCAGGCGCAGTGGCTCACGTCTGTAATCCCAGCACTTTGGGAGGCCGAGGAGGGCGGATCTCGAGGTCAGGAGATTGAGACCATCCTGGCTAATGCGGTGAAACCCCATCTCTATTAAAAATACATAAGTTTTTAGGCATGGTGGCAGGTGCCTGTAGTCCCAGCTACTTGGGAGGCTGAGGCAGGAGAATGGCGTGAACCCAGGAGGCGGGGCTTGCAGTGAGCCGAGATCATGCCACTGCACTCCAGTCTGGGTGACAGAGCGAGACTCCGTCTCAAATAATAATAATGTCTATTTTTTTAAGTTTCTTTAAAAAGAAATACGCAAAGGACAAAGCAGGGGCCCCTGAAGTTTCATCACTTAGAGCAGTGGTCTCCAAACTACTGTGATCACACAGACCATTAGGAAATAAGTTTGCACACCTTCCTTCAATGCATGTATACTGTATTTATTTATAATTTTTAAAAAATAATTGTAGAATCATGGGGCTACCTTTTTTTATACAGAGAGTACAGTTGCTAGACAGATAAGGACTGCTATATTTCTCTTATTCAAAGGGATGTTTTTTCTCTTCTCAAATAAAAACTGACATGAGTCGGGCTAGTTAAGCAATTTCATCTTTTCTCCGGTTACAGATCTGATTTCATAAGACACAGTGATCACCTCTTCTCTGACAGGCATTGAAGAGAACACACTAATAAGTCGAGCCACTCTGCAGAACGCCACGGCCCACGTTTTGCTTGCTTTTTGTTTCCATCTAGACTTCTTTTGTGTTAAATGCCCCTCACACTTTTTCTGCCCACTTGCTCCAAGCATCCTAGATGTTTTAAATGGAATATTTGGTGCCCCAAACCTAGATTACAATCTGAAGAGTAGAAACAGATCTCTGTATGAAGCAACGTAAAAATGAACCCAGTCTCAGGTGCTGGGTCAGGGTTGAAATCTCGTGATCTCCCAGCTGTGAGAGATGTTTGAGACAGTCCAGGTTAATCCCCGTCTTTTAGAGATGAAGAAAGGGAAGCCTGGCCACTGCCCCTAAAGGTAATAACAAACCAGGACCCAGGAGCCACATTCCTCACCTCCCCAAGTCAGAAGCTGAGGGTAATGGCTAATATTTGTGCCTTGAGCTTTAAACTTTTTCTGAATGTGTTTGAATTTTATTTATTTATCTATTTATTTATTTATTGAGACAGGGTCTTGCTCTGTTGCCCAGGCTAGAGTACAGTGTACACAATTGTATTTGTGCCACTGCAGCCTCAAATTCCTAGGCTCAGGAGATCCTCCTGCCTCAGTCTCCCCAGTAGCTAGGACTACAGACATGCAACCACCACTTTCGGCTAATTTTTTTTGTAGAGATGGGGAGCTTGCTATGTTGCCCAGGCTGGTCTCAAACTCCTGGCCTCAAGCAATCCTTCTGTCTTGGCCTTCCAAAGTGCTGGGATTACAGGTGTGAGCCACCATGCGCGGCTTCTTTTTTTTTCTTCCCCCTATGATCAGTTAACAGAGGATAAATGTGTTCTGTTTTATTCTCTCATTTCATCTTCTCAAGATGTTGTATTTGGCAAATGAGGGAAAAATCAGGCCATGTAGAGGGAAATGACTTCTCTGTAGATGTTCATGAAGTGTGCCTCTGGGTTATAAGTGGAATCCTAGCACCTAAGTTTCCTAATACCTACTTCTTTTTTTTTTTTTTTTTTTGATGGAGTTCCGCTCTGTTGCCCAGGCTGAAGTGCAGTGGCATGTTCTCGGCTCACCGCAACCTCGGCCTCCCGGGTCCAAGCAATTCTCCTGCCTCAGCCTCCCAAGTAGCCGGGATTATAGGCACCTGCCACCACGCCTGTCTAATTTTTTGTATTTTTAGTAGAGACAGGGTTTCACCATGTTGGCCAGGCTGGTCTTCAACTCCTGACCTTGTGATCCACCCACCTCGGCCTCCCAAATTGCTGGGATTACAGGCGTGAGCCATGGCACCTGGCTTCCTAATACCTACTTCTAACAATAAATAGGATATCACTATACATTGCAAGAGCAGAGCTCTGTAATAATTAAGGAAGCTGGTGATTTATAAGGAAAGCCTGGTATGTCAGTTACTGCAATTATATACATCTAAGCTTGACATGAAGAAAAGTCTCTGGTCTGGGTGAGGACAAATCTACTCTTTAATACAACAGAATGGTCTAGCACAGGAGATTTCTCAAAGTGTAGTACCTAGACCAGCAGCATCAGCATGATCTGGGGACTCACTAGAAATGCAAAATCCCCAACCTCACCTCAGACCAACTAGATCAGAAACTCTAGAAGTGGGGCCCATAATCTGTGCTTGAACAAGGCTTTGAGTTTGACATCTGCTCTGGGGCAGTGTTCTCAAATTTTGGTCCTGGGACCCCCAGCCTCAGGATGTCCAGAGGGGGCTTCTGAGATGGGTTATATGGAAGCGCAAGGAACTGAAAGGACCAATGGTTTATTCCTCCAAGTTCAGTGTTTCCCAAACTGGCCTAATTGTAAGGATTACTGGGGACCTCTTAAAAAGACCAACTTTCAAGTCGGATGCAGTGGCTTACATCTGTAATCCCAGAACATTGGGAGGCTGAAGCAGGAGGATCACCTGAGCTCAGGAGTTTGAGACTAGTCTGGGCAACATAATGAGACCCCATCTCTACAAAAAAGTTTTAAAACCTAACCAGACATGGTGGTTCATATCTGCAGTCCCAGCTACTCGGGAAGCTGAGGTGGGAGGATTGCTTGAGCCTGGGAGATCAAGGCTGCAGTGAGCTGTGATTGCACTGCTGTACTCCAGACTGGGTGAGAGCAAGATCCTGTCTCAAAAAAAAAAAAAAAAAAAGACACTATTCCTGGCCCCTACTCCAGGGGATTCAGAATCAAACCAGGAGACAATAGTGGCAAAGGGCAGGCTCAGATTCTGATGCAGCCCCTTGGAAGATGTGGCCCACTCATCCTAACTCACTTGGAAATTATTGCTCTGGGACTCCAAAACAACTGATTTAATTTATAAAATCCACCTCAGCCCAACACCATCAACATTTGAGAGGGACCCAGTTACTGGTCCTTCGTTCAGTTAATAAGTATTGTTCAGAATCTATTGTGTTTTAAACAAGGGAATAAAAATGTTTTTAAATAAAAAATTCTGTCTCTGATTATTTTTTAGGGTTATGATGGATGATCAGGCACACAGAAGCCCAAGGAGACCTCTGAAGACAAAGCATTCGGTCTAGATGGAGGAAAGACTGTCACTAAATGGAGGGAGAAGAGGGAGGTTACGTAGGAGAGAGCAGCAAGAAGATAAACAGGGAAGGGAAGGACCAAAGAAGCTGACATCTCCTGGTAAACTACTGAAGGATGAATCTGGCTCCTTGGACCCATGGGAGGGAGACCAGCTTGATGGGTTAGTACCAAGGTGAAGGCTTTTTTTGGTTTTGTTTTGTTTTGAGACGGAGCCTCTATCGCCCAGGCTGGAGTGCAGCGGCACGATCTCGGCTCAGTGCAACCTCTGCCTCCCAGGTTCACGCCATTCTCCTGCCTCAGCCTCCTGAGTAGCTGGGACTATAGGCGCCTGCCACCACGCCCAGCTAATTTTTTGTATTTTTAGTACAGATGAGGTTTTACCGTGTTAGCCAGGATGGTCTTGATCTCCTGACCTCATCATCTGCCCGCCTTGGCCTCCCAAAGTGCTGGGATTACAGGCGTGAGCCACCGTGCCCGGCCGAGGTGAAGGCTTTTGAGGCTGCTTTGTTTAAGCACCTGCTCTGTCCCTTTCCAACAGGCAGTTGGCTCAACCTATTTGAGCCTAAATCTCCCCGTCTATGAATAGGCTGATAATAGGACTGCTCTCAAAGAGCCGTGACCAGCAAATGTAATGAGGTTGTTGGTGTTTCCCAGGCTCCATCAGCTGGTGTGGCCACACAGCTATAGCTAGCAAGAAGCACGCAGTCCACGGGAACTATTATGATTCTAAACACCTTCTGGCAGAACTCAAACTTTTTCTAAGTGATCGCCTCTTAGTCAACGGAAAGGCTGTCCCCTTATAGACCCTTCCAGTGATGATCAGTCCTGTTTCTGATGTACTTTATTTATTTATTTTTTTTTTGGAGACAAAGTCTTGCTCTGTCACCCAGACTGGAGTGCAGTGATGCAGTCTCGGCTCACTGCAACCTCTGCCTCCCAAGTTCAAGTGATTCTCCTGCCTTAGCTTCCCAAGTAGCTGGGATTACAAGCGTGCACCATCACACCCTGCTAATTTTTGTATTTTTAGTAGAAACAGGATTTCACTATGTTGGCCAGGCTGGTCTCGAACTCCTGCCCTCAAGTGATCCACCCACATTGGCCTCCCAAGGTGCTGGGATTACAGGCGTGAACCACCGTGCCCAGGCCTTCTGATGTACTTCAAAGCCAGACTACACACCAATAAAAGAGTTTATATGCTTCGGCTCATTCCATTGGTGAATGAGGAGAGGTGGAGCAGGAAAGGAGCCTGTTCCTGGGGTGGCGGGCCCAGCAGCTCTCATGGCTGCCTATGCCTCCCTCTGGCTCAGTTTAAACTCAGCAGGGCTTAATCCCAGGTGCACCATCTCTTTGCTGCGGAGCCAAACAGGTTCCTTCTAAGGGTTCGCTCTGCATCTCTTGCCCTTCCTAAATCTGGTTGCCTCTTTCCCACCATAACTTGATACTCCAGGCGAAAACAAGGCAAATTGATTGGAAAAAGCTGAGATTGACAAGAATTTAATTTTCCCTGAGACACCCTTTAAAAAGGGGGCAGGCCAGCGCTTAGAGCTAACGCGGGTTTATTGACTGGTAATTGGTGAATTATCTACACCAGTGGTTCTCAAACTTGAGCATACATCACAACCACCTGGAGGGTTGATTCTTACACAGACTGCTGGGCTCCATGTCCAGGGTTTCTAATTCAGCAGGTCTGGGGTGGGGCCTGAAAATTTGCCTTTCTACCAACCTCCCAGGTGATGCTTATGCTGTTGGTTCCAGGACCATACGTTGAAGACCACTTACTCTACATTTTGGAGAAAGAAACTAGGAGTTTTCAAAAGCTATAGATTATCATTAAAAAGCCAAATTGAAAGATATTCTCCCTCAACAGCTAATTATAATGGAGGCTAAAAGGAAGCATAAAATATCACTAAATAGGCATCAGATAATCTATGACATCATACTTGATTACAGTACTGGTCCTCATCACCAGTGCATGGTGTTCAGTTTATCGTTTGTGAGTGTGGTGGTCGTTTCTAATTTTGTTTTTAATTTATAGAGAACTTTGGCATCCAGTATAATATGAGGGCACTTGAATGACCCATTGTTCCAAAACCATCTCCTGTTTTGAGAGAAATTTCCAGCATCAGAGTCACAAAGTTAGTGACGCTGTGTCTAGATCTACATAGGGAACTAAACAGGGAACCCAGAGTACCTTCTGGCCTTCTCTCATTGAACTTGGAAGCATTAATTAAATTAGTTGTCAACACTTTGGTGCTGAGACAGTGAGAAGCAAAGCACCACGGGAGAACCATGGCTAAAATCAGCCTCAAGAAGAAAATGAGACCGGGGAAGCAGCTTGAAGATTTGGGTCTTAGGGCTGGGCGTGGTGGCTCACGCCTGTAATCCCAGCACTCTGGGAGGCCGAGGTGGGCTGATCACCTGATGTCAGGAGTTTGAAACCAGCCTGGCCAACATGTTGAAACCCTGTCTCTACTAAAAACACAAAAATTAGCTGGGTGTGGTGGCTCATGCCTGTAACCCTAGCTACTTGGGAGGCTGA
This sequence comes from Homo sapiens, assembly GCF_000001405.40. Lineage (NCBI taxonomy): Eukaryota > Metazoa > Chordata > Mammalia > Primates > Hominidae > Homo > Homo sapiens. Next base: position 38,522,627 of record NC_000002.12, read on the forward strand.
GGCAGGAGAATCACTTGAGCTTGGGAGGCAGAGGTTGCAGTCAACCAAGATCGCACCACCACCAAAGTGAAACTCTGTTTCAAAAAAAAAAAAAAAAAGATTTGGGGTCTTAGGTGGCTGTCCAAGGACAAAACAGGGAGGGAAATACTGACATAAGGTTACGGGCGGTATCAGGGCACCTGCTTTCAGGTACCGCCATCTCGATTATCAGAGGGGTTACAAGATGCAAAAGTGAGAGCAAAACAGGTCCTGACTGCTCCAAAGGGAAATCAGCAGAGTCATTAATGACTTGGCTCCTGACCAGCCCCGTGTGCCCTGTTTAATTCACAAGAGCCTCTCCTCCCTTATGCACTGTCCCAGTTCTCTTCCCGTACCCAGGAAGGCATGCTTTCTGTGTAGGTCATTGCACAAGGAGACTGGGTCACTTATTTCTGGGAGGATGTGGTGCAGGTCCATGGAGGGGAAGATCAACAGCTCAAGCTCAGAGAGAAATATGTACCCTGAAATTCGAGATGCCTCGTGCTAATTCCCATGGAGACTGGTGTCAGGTAACTGAGGACAAGACCGTAAACACAGTCGCATCTGTCTGACCCTGTTCTGCAGGCAGCATCTAGGGGATTCTCTCTCCCTGGGGCAGCCTCCTTGGGCATAGCAGCCAGCTCTTGGTATAGAAACCTCACCTGGAAAGGAATATTTCCATTGTGCAGGCTCAAAAGAGGCTTCACAGTGAGCTCAGGGCCTTCCTGGACAGTGATGTCCTCAAATTGGGGGGACTGATGAAAGTGTTGGGAAGCAGGATGGGTAACGTTAGGGTGCTCAAACCCAGAAGGCTGAAGGTTACGCCAAGAAAGGCTTTTGAACATATCAAAGAAACTGATTTTTGTAGCCTTCTGCCCATGAGCCAGGCTCTTTGCCTGTGTTGTTTTATCCTCACTACAACCATGTGAAGGTGCAGAAATAGGCTCAGAACTAAGTCACTTGCCCGAGGTCATCCAGCAGATAGTGACAGAGCCAGGGATCCATTTGACTCAGAGCCCATGCTCCGTCCATCCCACCATGTAGCCCTCTAAAGGGGAACAGCAATAGGATCTGTAATTCAGGAGGAAAAGGTGATATTCAGGTATTCTCTATTTCTGCAGCATGAGAGCTTTAGGTTAGATGCAAGTGGGGATTGTTCAAAACAAAAATGGATTGTCTCAGGAAGTTAAAGAACTCCCTTTAGGGGATGATTCGGGAGCATGACCCTGCCCTGAAGTGGAAGAATGCAAAGTGAAGGAGGGCCCTCCGCCATCTAGGGGCAGCCCGGAGGAAAACGCATGGATGTGGGGCCCGCACGTGGTTCTGGGGAGTCACAGGACAGGGAGAGCTGCTAAAGCCCCCCAACCCCACCAAACACACACACACAATCCAAAAGACTAACTGAAAATGTGGGGCCTTTTTTTAAACTTTCTTACTCAAAGGAATGAAGCTGTAGTTTACACCAGGTGTCAGATGGCTGTTTTTGGCTGTTAGACTTGTCTGCCCCTTCCCCGGGACACCCTTCCTCGCCCAAGATAAATGTTGTTGCTTATTCAGACTGCTTGGAGGAGGAGAAAGCCAAATATTTGTACCCAGGAGACTTTTTTTTTTTTTTTTGAGACAGTCTCGCTCTATTGCCCAGGCTGGAGTGCAGTGGTGCAATCTCAGCTCACTGCAACCTCCGCCTCCCAGGTTCAAGCAATTCTCCTGCCTCAGCCTCCAGAGTAGCTGGGACTACAGGCACACACCACCACACCCGGCTAATTTTTGTATTTTTAGTAGAGACAGGGTTTCACTATATTGGCCATGGCTGGTCTAAAATTCCTGACCCCACATGATCCACCATAGTCGGCCTCCAAAGTGCTGGGATTAACAGGTGTGAGCCGTCACATCCAGCCCAGACCTTCTCAGCAGAAGTCCATCCAACCCTAGGGGTTTGCACCCCGTGGGCCCTGCCAGGAGGGAGGCAGCTGTATGTTCCCATCTGTGGAGGGCTGGTGTGTCCTGCCACAGAGTCAGGGGTCCTCAGATCATGGGTGCCAGCCAAGAGTGGAATGATTAGGAGCAAAAGCAAATCTAAACCCTGATAGTCTCGTGGACTTCAGCATCCACAGGTGTCCCCATCTGCAAGCAGTTCACCACCAGAAATGAGCTCCCTGGGGAGGGGCTCTGTGTGTAATTGGCTCCTCTGAGAGGCTCCCTGCCCCCAGCAACTGCGGGCAATCTCACTTCCTAGGAGCAGAGAGCTTTGCTCCCCAGTCTGGGTGAACAGTGTCAGTTGCTCAGGGGATATCCTCTTTGACCACCTTGCCTACCCAGTGTCCCAGACACCCTCAGGTGTTCCTATTCACCTCCCCTACAACGCTGTCTTTGCATTCAGCCATCTCTGTTTTCCCCAAGCGTCTAAATCCTTTTCATTCTTCAAGGACTAACTGGAAGACACTTCCTCCCTGAAGCCTCCCAGGCTACCCAGCCCATGAAGATCTCTCTTTCCTGTGAATTTTTCACCTGTCTATACTGCTCATTTGGCCTTCTCTGAGACCTCAATTCTCCTAACCATTAGGTGCCTTGACTTTTTAGCTGTATCTCTGTACAGATGATTTCGCTTTTTTAAATATTTCCCCCAGCACAGAGCACACTCAGTCCAGTGAGCACAGCAGACATTCTGATTACCGGGCTGCCTGAGTATGAATTATGGACAAACTTCTTTAAAAAAATTTTTTAGTGGGCCTACATTATATCCTCTCAGACACAAATGTCCCAGCCTTCACAGGGTCTATCTGTTCATAGAGAGGAAAAAAATAAAACAGAAAACGGAAAGCATTCATAATGCCACCATCCAGAGTCAACCTGTGCATGCTAGGATATATCCTTCTGCGTGCATATGTGTGTGTGTGTGTGTGTGTGTGTAAACAGCCTCATTGAGATTATCATTCACACATATCATACAATTTGATAGCCACGTGGAAAACATCAAATTAGATCCATTCCTCACATTAGGCACCAGGGTAAAAGCTTTTGGATTAAGCACCAAATGGATCAAAATCTAAATGTAAAAATGAAATCATACAAATAATCCAAAAAAAAAAGAGTGGAATACTTTAAATGTAGAAAAGACAAAATCTTTTCTAATTATAACTCATAAAATCCCTAACTCATAAAAGTAATAAAATATTAACAAATTTGGTTCTGTAGCATTATAAAAACATTCTAAGTAAAATATCCAAGTAAAATCAAAAGGCAAATGAAACCTGGGAGAAAGAATTGCAAATTGTATCACAGACAGTTAAGGTTAGTTAACAGTTAAGGTTAATGAATTGTCAATATCCTTAACAATTAAAGAACTTCTCAGAAGAAAAATCCTAATAACCTGATAGAAAAATGGGCAAAATATGAACAGACATTTCACAGAAAAAGTAAAGCAAATGAAACTAATGAAAATATGTTTACTATTATTTTCCTAATAACAGAATTGCAAACTTAAAATACTGTATACTATGGTACCATTTCTTATCTTTCAGATAGGCAAAAGTCCAAAAGTTGGACAATATAGTTTATTGGTGAGGCTTTGGGGAAACTTGTCCCCTGTTGCTGATGGGAATTCAAAATCATACAATCTCTGTGGAGAAGGATTTTGTAATATCTGGCAAAATTACATGTGCTCTTTCCCTTTGATCCAGCAACCGCAGTTCTAGGAGTCTATTGCAAACATAAATACCAGAAATGTGAAGTGGCATATGCTCCAGTTATTCATTGCAGCGCTATTTATAATAGCAAAAACTGAAAACAACCCAAATGTCCATCAGTAGGCCACTGGTTGAATTCATTAAGGAGTATGCACACAGTGAATTGCTGTGCAGCAATAAAAGGAAGGAGGATAGATGGCCTCCAGAGTATAGTGGTAAGTAAGAAATACAAGGTCAGAAGAGTAAATACAGTATGCTAGCTTTTTTTGTTAGAAAGGGAGGAGGGGCCTGGCGCGGTGGCTCATGCCTGTAATCCCAGCACTTTGGGAGGCTGAGGCAGGCAGATCACCTAAGGTCAGGTGTTTGAGACCAGCCTGGCCAACAAGGCGAAACCCCATCTCTACTAAAAATACAAAAATTAGACAGGCATGGTGGCAGGCACCTGTAGTCCCAGCTACTCAGGAGGCTGAGGCAGGAGAATCACTTGAACCCAGGAGGAGGAGGTTGCAGTGAGCTGAGATGGCGCCACTGCACTCCAGCCTGGGCAACAGAACAAGACTCTGTCTCAAAAAAAAAAAAAAAAAAAAAAAAGCCACTCATGGTGGCTCACGCCTGTAATCCCAGCACTTTGGGAGGCCAAGGCAGGCAGATCACAAGGTCAGGAGTTTGAGACCACTAGGGCCAATATGATGAAACCGCATCTGTACTAAAAATACAAAAATTAGCCAGGCATGGTGGCAGGCACCTGCAGTCCCAGCTACTGGGAAGGCTGAGGCAGAAGAATTGCTTGAACCCAGGAGGCAGAGGTTGCAGTGAGCCAAGATTGTGCCATTGCACTGCAGCCTGGGCAACAGACCGAGACTCCATCTCAAAAACAAAAAAGTTAATTAGAAAATATTATCTCTAAGATGAGAAAGAGAATGACAGCTGTGACAGCTGAGTGGGGAAGGGGCAGACAGGGAGGCTAAATTCTTTGCTTATATTTCTTTTATAATTTTTACTTTCAGCATGTAAATATGTTAGAGTATTGAAAAACAAAATTAAACTTAGAAAAGGCAACCCCCTTCAATCAAAAACAAACTCAGCCAAATGATGGTTATAGTATAGCAAGTTGATTTTGTAATCACAGGGAGAAGAATTATTTTAAGTGACTTTAAAACGCAGTACTTTGACTGAACATCTCTCCAGGAGGATACAGCCTAGGGGCAAAGAGAACCACAGAGAAATCTGAAACCATATTTGTCAGTCTTCCTAGTTATTCTACCGGACAAATGGCCCAGTTTCTTCAACAAATAAAATGTACAAAAATTGAAAGGGAAACATTCTTTTATGGATTAGAAAAGACTTAAGAGACCTGTGACCAAACGCAAGGGTGAAAAGAGAATTTTGAAATAATCAAAGAAAATTGAACGGTGATATCAACTGATATTAAGGAAGTGTTAATTTTGAGTGTGATTTTATTTAATTTCATTATAGTTCATTGTATTATTATGGTTCTGATTAATTTATATTACGGTTTATTTAATTGAGTAGTGTGGTTATGGGTTTTTTTTTTTCCTGTTATGAGATTTTTTTCCCCCTTTTGTCTATGGTATATTTATTTATTTCTAATTTTATTTTGAGTTGTTTGTTGTTGTTTTTTAAAAATTGTGCCTTTAAGTGAGATTCCCAGGAATCAGCAACAGAAGCTCAGTGGTGACTAATGCTCTAGATGTCCCAGGGCTCTAAGTTCTACGTGGAATACCTAAGTCAACAGTGAATTTTCAGAAGGGGCAAGTAAAAAATGACAGCCTTAGGACGACGGCAGCGGCGGCCCAGCAGGCTCCGCGCATGGGTCCGCGGTGGCTTGGGGTCCGCCCGCGGGCTGCGGTGCGAGCTGGCAGCCGGCTCCCCTCCTCCCCCGCCGGCCGCCGCCGCTGTGATTGGGCGAAAGATGGCGCTGGGCGGATGGAAATCCTAATGACAGTCTCCAAATTCGCCTCCATCTGTACCATGAAGTGGTGAATCATATCGGAAAGATGCTTTAAAAGCAGATTCTCTACTGCACGCTGAGGAACAGTACAAAAAATGGCTGAAATCAGGTGGACATAAAATCGACAGTATTAAAGAAATCATATTGAAGGATGAATCATTGAAGACTCCATTTCCCAACTGAATGATTGTTCTTTCTCACAGTTTACATTTTAGGAGAGCATTGGTATTAAATGGACTATATTAAAATGATTTTCGGGAAAAAAAAAAAAAGAAATGACAGTCTTAAAGGCAACGAACTTATAACAAATATTCTGTTGGATCAAGTTGATTGAAGCAGGAAAACTTTCTTGGCATGAAAAATCACACCATCAGAGGCCAAGAGCACAGGCTCCCGAGTTCCAATTCCAGCTCTCTCACTTCCTACTCTCTGGCCTTGGGCCCGTTACTTAGCCTCCCTGTGCCTCAGTTTTTCTATCGACAAAAGGAAAATGGGTAGAAAGAAAACCTATCTCATAGAGCTGTTGTGGGGAATAATTAAGTTAAAGACATGTAAAGTGCTTAGAACAGTGACTGGCACATATGAAGCACAATATTATTGAACATAATAAATCTGATTTTTTAGCATTTAATTTTTAGAAAAAATTGACCAGTCATGTATATTGCTCCTTTTAGTTTTTTGCCCCTTTCTTTTTCGTTTTTCTTTTTTAAAAGACAGAGTCTTGCTCTGTCGCCCAGGCTGGTGTGCAGTGGTGTGATCACGGCTCACCACAGCCTCAAACTCCTGGGATCAAGCGATCCTCCCGCCTCCTGAATAGCTAAGACTACTGGTGTGCACTGTCACACCCAGCAAATTTTTTTTGGGGGGGGTGGTAAATACGGGGGTCTCACATGTTGCCCAGGCTGTTCTTGAACTCCTGGCCTCAAGCGATCCTCCTGCCTCGGCCTACTTTTACACCTTAAACTAGTGTACCACGTAAACATGCCAATGGGGGAAAGACGACACAATCTACAGTGATGCTCCCTCTTCTAGCGACTCCGGGGGTGCAAACTGGGGCCTACGGAGTGGAGGAGCACAGGCCGCCCTGAGGGCCGACCAGGCTTGGTGCCAAGTGACCTCACGATGGCCTCCCCCGGGAAGCCTCACTCCTCCCTTGGTCCAGATCAGGAGTCCTTCTTTGCCTTTTTTCCACGGTGGGTAGCTACTCCTGGAGGGCACATTCATCACAGTAAAGTAAATGAAATTCCCATAGTTCTCCTCTCCCCTGCAGAGGAACGCACGTTGAGGGTAGGGCTCTGTTTCACTCTCCCTGGTAATCCCCAGCACTGCACCCAGCTCCACAGCGCTTCAGATCCACTTGTCAAAGTGAACAGAACTGGGGGCCAGGGGACAGCCTGTATGTGACAGACCCGCTTAAAGGACCTAGTGCTTGCAGAGAGAGGAACCGTCAGAGGAGGCGGCAGGAGCGAAGAGGGAGCCACAGGCAAACTCCTAGTCTGCATTTCTTTCTTTCTTTCTTTTTTTTTTTTTTTTTTTGAGACAGAATCTCGCTCTGTCGCCCAGGCTGGAGTGCAGTGGCACAATCTCGTGCGGAGGCACAATCTCCGCCTCCAGGCTTCAAGTGATTCTCCTGCCTCACCCTCTTGAGTAGCTGGGATTACAGGCACATGCCACCAGGCCCAGCTAATTTTTGTATTTTTAGTAGAGACGGGGTTTCACCATGTTGTCCAGGCTGGTCTTGAACTCCTGAACTCAAGTATCAGCCCGCCTCAGCCTCCCAAAGTGCTGGGATTAAAGGCATGAGCCACCACGCCTGGCCTTTTGCTTTTGGGAGACAAGGTCTCACTCTGTTCCCTAGGCTGGAGTGCAGTGGCTGGGACACGACTCACTGCAACCTTAACCTCCCTGGCTCAAGCGATCCTCTCACCTCAGCACCCCTGAGTAGCTGGGACTACAAGACACATGCCCCCATGCCCTGCTAATTTTTGTATTCTTTGTAGAAATGGGGTTTCACTATGTTGTCCAGGCTGGTCTTGAACCTCTGGGCTCAAGTGATCCACCCGCCTCAGCCCCTCAAAGTTCTGGAATTACAGGCATGACCCAACACACCCAGCCCTACTCTGAGTTTGTACTTGGGGTCCACCTTGTCCAGTAACTTAAGTTCCACCTCCTCAAAAAGATGCTTGCCTAATCATCTTCACTGTATGTTCCTTGCCTCATTCCACAAGCCTTTACTGAGAAGCCCCCTGAAATACAATCTCGCCCCAACAAAACTTCAGAATGATAAAAGAGAGGAGCCTCATCAAAGAACATAATCAACAGAGTGAAAAGGCAACCTAAGGAACAGGAGAAAATATTCACAAATCATAAACCTGATCAGGGGCTAATATCCAGAATATATAAAGAATTTCTACAACTCAACAACAAAGAAACACAAATAACTCAGTGAAAAAACGGGCAAATGACTTGAATAGACATTTCTCCAAAGAAGATATACAAGTGGCCAACACGCACAGGAAAAGATGCTCAACGTCACTAATCATTAGGGAAATGCAAATCAAAACCACAATGAGTTATCACCTTATACTCACTAGGATGGCTATTATCCAAAAAATAAAAAATAAAAACCAAAAGAAACAGTAAATCACAAGTGTTGGTGAGAATGTGGAGAAATAAGAACCCTTGTGCACTCTTGGTGGGAATGTAAATGGTGCAACCACAATGGAAAACAGTGTGGAGTTTCCTCCAATAATTAAAAATAGAATTATCAATTCCACTTACAGGTATATACTCAAAAAAATTGAAAGCAGGATCTCAAAGAGATATTTGCACACCCATGTTTATAGTGCAGTATTCACAATAGCCAAGAGGTAGAAGCAACCTCAGTGTCCATCAGCAGATGATTAAACAAAATGTGGTGTACACATACAATGGAATATTATTCAGCCTTTAAAAAGAAGGAAATTCTGACCAGGCGTGGTAGCTCACATCTGTAATCCCAGCACTTTGGGAGGCCGAGGCAGGCAGATCACTTGAGGCCAGGAGTACGAAACCAGCCTGGTCAATATGGTGAAACCCCATGTCTACCAAAGTTCAAAAAAAAAAAAAAAATTAGCTGGGTGTGGTGGCGCATGCCTGTAATCCCAGCTACTCAGGAGGCTGAGACATGAGAATCACTTGAACTCAGGAAGCGGAGGTTGCAATGAGCCGAGATCACACCACTGCACTCCAGCCTGGGTGACAGAGTGAGACTATATCAAAAAAAAAAAAAAAAGAAGAAATGTTTGAGACTGTAAATTTTATGTTATGTGTTTTGTTTTTTGTTGTCATTGTTGTTTTTTAGATGCCCAGGCTAGGGTGCAGTAGCGCAATCTCAGCTCACTGCAACCTCTGCCTCCCGGGTTCAAGCAATTATCGTGCCTCAGCCTCCCGAGTAGCTGGGATTACAGGCACATGCCACCACACCTGGCTAATTTTTGTATTTCTAGTAGAGATGGGGTTTCACCATGTTGGCCAGGCTGGTCTCAAACTCCTTACCTCAAGTGATCTGCCTGCCTCAGCCTCCCAAAGTGTTGGGATGACAGGCGTGAGCCACCTCGCCCAGGCTGTGTTATGTGTTTTTAGCACAATTTTTTTTAAGAGAAAAGGAGATGCAAAAATAATTCTAGCTGGGCACGGTCGCTCCCGCCTGTAATCCCAGCACTTTGGGAGGCCAAGGTGGGTGGATCATCTGAGGTCAGGAGTTCGAGACCAGCTTGGCCAACATGGTGAAACCTCATCTCTACTAAAAATACAAAAATTAGCTGGGCATGGTGGCAGGTGCCTGTAGTCCCAGCTACTCAGAAGGCTAAGGCAGGAAAATCACTTGAACTTGGGAGGCAGAGGTTGCAGTGAGCTGAGATCATGCCACTGTATCCCAGCCTGGGTGACAGAGCAAGACTCCATCTAAAAAAAAAAAAAAAAAAATTCTAAATAGTTGATTGAATAATCTCAACTACTTGGGGATAAAACATGATTTTTCTCCTAATGTAATTGCCCCCAACTAATCCAGACTGACCATCCTTTTTTTTTTTCTCAAATAGAGGGTTTCTTAATCACATCTTTGCCACCTTCCATAGCTTTCTAGCCACCTTTGATTATTTCCGATTTAAGACTCAGTCCTTTGCATCCTGAAGCTTCAAGTCTCATCAACTCCCTGTCTACCCATGCAGACTGGGTCTGTCTGTGACTCTAGCTTAGGCTTGATCTCTTTACCCATCATCTTCTCCCCTCTGTAGAGCCAGCCCTCCAGTGTGTGCTGGTGCAGGAAGAGAGAGAGGCAAAGGGCAAGTGTCTCCTCTCAGCACAGCAAGTTTGCATGGATCCATCCTGCACGCCCTCAGGAGCTGAGAACTCAAGGCAGCAGTTCTGGGCCCTCTCTGCCAGGCAGTATATCCCTTCCCCACTATCTCCCTCCCATCCTCTTCTCCACAGCCCTAGGGCAGATTGACAAGCCCGAAGGCCAAGCAAACAACCATCTGGGAGCACAACTCTCCTTACAAACACCTCTAGTTTTCCTTATGATTCTCTTAGGTCCCCACCCCATTCCTTGGCTTCAAGAAAGAGAGTGAATAACCCCTCTCCCCAAGACCAGTCCACCTCACCCTCTCCTTTGTCAACCCTCAGAGCTTGAATGGGGAATCATGGAACCAGTTCGGACTCCCCCTATAAGGCAAGGGGAGCTTGGCAGGCTCCAGCTTTTGGGGGCTTACTGGTGTCTCTCGGAATGGAGAGACCTTTCGTTCTCACCTTTAGACCCTCTTTCAAGCTAGTGGTGTCAGAGGAGGGAGAGATCACTTTCAACTTTCAGCGACAGGGAATCAGAGAAAACCTTTTTGGAGAGGGAACATTTGAACTGGGCCTCAAAGGCTAGGTCAGATTTGGCAAAGTGAAGATGAATGGTCAGGTGAGAGAGAGGGAAGGCAGAGGCGAAGGCTCAGACACAAGGAGTTTCGTGGCACGCAGGCGTACCAGTTAGCTACGACAGACATGCGTGCAGGAGAGTGGAGAAAGGAAGTGAAAGCATGCCCAGTGTTTCACGTTGCCTTTGGCTTGGTCTGAGCTGTCTGTCCCGTGATGCTTTGAGGAGGGTGTAGGCAGCTGTGCAGCCATTCTCAGGACCTGTATTTGCATTTGCACAGGCCAGTGAAGCTGAGAGTACTGAAGTTCACTGATGCTGGCCAGGAGCTGTTTGGAATGACTGCCAATCTTGAAAGTAGAGTCCGTGTATCTCAAGACATAAAATTAGCAAAATTCTTCTGCAGCCAATCCCATTTTCTTGCAGTCTTCATGCAGAAGCACCAGCTTCTCTGAGCATTTGAATCACTCCACACAGCTCCTTCTATCCTGAATGACACTGCCCAAAATACACTGAAGGCCTGTCCAGCACCCTGAAAATTCCACGGCTACACAACATGAGGAAGCCGAGTCAGGGGAACAGGGGGCTTCAGGTTAGCTGTGGCCACTCACGTGCTCTGTGATTTTGGACAAGTCAGTCTCTGAACCTCAAATTCATCAGAAATGCAGGGGTGATACTAGCTGCCCTAGCATAGGATTAAATGAGGGAGGTAATGTGCATGAATACGTTGAAAAGTGTCAGCCGGGCGTGGTGACTCATGCCTGTAATCCCAGCACTTTAGAAGGCTGAGGCCAGTGGATCGCTTAAGACCAAGAATTAGAGACCAGCCTGGCCAACATGGTGAAACCCCATCTCTACTAAAAGCACAAAAATTAACCAGGCATGGTGCTGCGTGCCTGTAGTCCCAGCTACTTGGGAGGTCGAGGCTTGAGGATTGTTTGAGCCCAGGAGGTGGAGGTTGTAGTGAGCCAAGATCACAACACTGCACTCCTGCACTCCTGGGTGACAGAGTGAGACTCTGTCTCAACAACAACAGCAACAACAATAAAGTAGTGACATTGATGTGTATCTTACATGATGAATGCAGTTTCCACTCCTCTCAAGACCCCAGAGTATAGTGCATAGGGAAGCAGAAAGCATTTGTGTTCCCAGGGGGGAGGCTGGCTGTGCAGGGAGGACATGATCAATAACACTGCCAGCTTAAAATAAGCATCAGTGTCACCAAAACGCTGCTTCCAAACCAACCCCTGATGTTCTAGGTCCACCATTCCTCTGTCCCACCTCCCTGCTTTACCTCTTTTTTTTTCTTTTGTTTTTTTTAGACGAAGTCTCACTCTGTCACCTAGGCTGGAGTGCAGTGGTGTGATATTGGCTCACTGCAACCTCCGCCTCCCGAATTCAAGCAATTCTCCTGCCTCAGCCTCCCGAGTAGCTGGGATTACAGACGCCTGCCACCATGCCCGGCTAGTTTTTGTATTTTTAGTAGAGACAGGGTTTCACCAGGTTGACCAGGCTGGTCTTGAACTGCTGGTCTCAACTGATCCGCCCACCTCGGCTTCCCAAAGTGCTGGGATTACAGGCATGAGCCACTGTGCCCGGCCTTTCCTCTGATTTCTATGGCACCTATCACCATGGTATGCAGGTACTCACATCAAATCTGTTTTTAAGTTCAAAACAGAGCCATATGTGGGAAGACGCATTTCTCTTCTGAAGCCTTATCTCTGAAGCTGAGCTTGGAGTGAAGTGACAGGCGGAACCGACTCCTTGGAGGATGGAATCTTGAGGTTTTATGTGGGAGCAGAAGAGAAGCAAGCACCAAATATCTATCAAATGCCCACAGAGGGAAACACTGTAGTAGCTGCCTAGAGATTCAGTCCTGCTCAAGTTTCCCTGCTCAGATCTCAGGCGCAATTTTGAGAAATGTTCTTCTTCCTCAGTGGATGACCTCACCCTTTATGGGGAGGCGTGCCCATACGCACAATAACACAGTACTCATAAAGTCCAAGAGAGGCCGGTCCAGGCCTTGGCCAGGGAAGCATCCATGGACTTGGGCGTTCGTTGCAGAATGTTCAGACAGGTCTGGATGAGGGGTGAGGCCCTGCCTTGGAGGGGCTGCCCTCCCTCTGTGGCACGGAAGCCCTGCTGCCTGTGACAGGAGGCGACTGCACCTCACCCGCGGCCTGTATGCTGCAGGACCCAGCGAAGAGCTTCCTTAGCTTGCAGCTGTGCAGACACTAGGAAAGGGAGCACCTACCAGGGAGATTTGCCTTCTTGGTCCGGTAGCAAATGCAGTCCCGCCGGCCCACCTGGTACAGGTAGGACGTTCCGCAGGCCTTCCAGATCTCCTTGGCAGGTTTATGGGCGAGAGAAAGCGGTTCCCAGCCTCCTGCCCTGATGCGGCTGCACCTTCTGGACCACCGTGAACACTCTGCCCCCTGCCAGGCCCCCAAAATACTCTTCTGTCTCTACAGTTGTGCCACCTTTCCCCAGCACCAGGGAGCAGCTCGGCAGGACCAGGCTCTGGGGGTCAGCACATGCGTTCTTCACAAGCGTAAGAGGGCTGTCGTGAGGGAAAAAAAAATGGCATTATATGACGTCATTCCAGCTTTCATACCCTTTCTGGAAATAAGTGATGATATAAAGAAATAGACATAGATTATGTACACACATACATGAAGGGTAAGTACTTGGAAATGTTAAAGAGTTCGTTTTAAAAGTCCTTAGGCAGCACCCCTTTCTCAAGTTAATTCCCACTTGATCAAAGGTGGAGCTGCGGGCTCCGAGGAGGCGCGGTCAGGGTGGCAGGCCTGGGCTGCGCGGACCGCGAGCGAGCCTCCTGGGTCTCCCTCCTTAGCGGAGAAGATCCTCCAGGCTAAGGTCCAAGGCCCATCTCCCTTGGGGTTGTGGCCGCCCACCTCCTCCCCGCCACCCTGGGCTTTGGCTTTGTCCTCAACCACGCCCCGGGAGTGCGCGGAGCGGTCGCAGTTCTGTTAGCCAGGGTTGCGTTCCCACCGCGAAGGCCCGGGCGCGCGCTGCTGTGGATCGAGTCTGGGGCTCCGGCCACCAGGTGGCGCCACACGGCTACCTGCGCGCCGCTCTGAGGCGGTCGGATCGCCGCGGTGCAAAGGACCCAAGACCGGGGGTAACCGGTCACCCGAGCCGACCCACCGCCCGCACTGCCGAGGCTCAGGCGCCCCAGTTCGGTGCCAAGAGGCACGCCCCGGGGCCAACCTGGACAGGTAGCTTCAGCAAAATTGCCGGACAGTTAAAAAAAAAAAAGTTTCCACCCCACCCCCCACTCCCAAATCAATTCAAAAATAAAAATTAAACTGTGGGCTGGGCGCGTCTGAAACCCCGTCTCTACAAAAAATACAAAAATTAGCCGGGCTTGGTGGCGTGCACCTGTAATCCCAGCTACTCAAGAGGCCGAGGCAGGAGAATCGCTTGAACCTGGGAGCGGAGGTTGCAGTGAGCCGAGATCACACCGCTCCACTCCGGCCTGGGCAACAGAGCAAGACTCCGTCTCAAAAAAAAAAAAAAAAAAAAAAAAAGTTAAACTGTGGTGGGGAAAGTTGTTGGCGACAATACAGACCCGCATGGATACAGGCAGCGGGGAGCATGAGTTCTGGAGCCAAAATTGCTGAGTTCAAATCCTGTTTAATGACCTTGGGTGCGTTATTTAACCCCGTATATAACCCCATTACCTCATCTGCACATGCAAATAATTTACTTAGAACTCACGTCATGAATTGTTGACAGGAATTAAATGAGTTGATACACCATATATATTTATACGTGTGTGTTTTACATATTTAATGTAAGTGCATATAAATGTATGTATGCATATAATCATATGCATGTATAATATACAAAATTATGTACATATATAACATATATGCCTAGTACATAGTAAGCACCAGTGTTAGCTATATTTTATGCATTTATATATTTATTCGTTATGCAAGTTCTATGAATTATTAATTTTTAAAAACATTTTCACTCAAAAGAAAGACACTATTGGGGTTTAACCTTTTTTTTTTTTTTTAATTTATTTTTGAGATGGAGTATCTCTCTTTCCCCCGGGCTGGAGGACAGTGGCATGATCTCGGCTCACTGCAAACTCCGTGTTCTGGTTTCAAGCAATTCTCCTGCCTCAGCCTTCCAACTAGCTGGGATTACAGGCGCCCGCCACCATGCCCAGCTAATTTCTGTATTTTTAGTAGAGATGGGGTTTCACCGCGTTGGCCAGGCCGGTCTTGAACTCCTGACCTTGTGATCCACCCGCCTAGGCCACTCAAAGTGCTGGGATTACAGGTGTGAGCCACAGCACCCGGCCTTTTTTTTTTGAGATGGAGTTTCACTCTTGTTGCCGAGGCTGCAGTCTCCCGGGTTCAAGCGATTCTCCTGCCTCAGCCTCCCGAGTGGCTGGGATTACAGGTGCCTGCCACCATGCCCAGCTAATTTTTTGTATTTTTAGTAGAGACAGGGTTTCACTATGTTGGCCAGGCTGGTCTTGAACTCCAGACCTCAGATGATCCACCTGCCTCAGCCTGCCAAAGTGCTGGGATTACAGGCGTTAGCCACCGCTCCCGGCCTGTTAACTTTTTATATGGAAATTTTCAAACATTTACAAAAGTTGAGAAAACAGTATAATAAACCCACATGGGCACATCACGCAGTTTCAATAATTAACACATTGTCAATTCCGTTTTATCTATACCCCAGGACCCCTCTTCCACTCAGCTAGGCTATGTTAAAGCAAATCTGAGATTACCTATAATTTCATTTGTAAATACTTGACGATTATGAAGTATTTTTTAAAGCTCAATGTTTGATACTTCCTTCATGCACAATGTTATATTCTTCAGTCCATAGATTTCCCATGACACTGGAAATCTTTTCCAAACCAGCATTTGACACAGAAGTTGGAACTGTATATTGAATCAGTTATGAAAAATTTGGAGCAGTGATTTATTTGCCTGAAAAGCATTTCCCCTTCTGAAGAAATATGTTCTCCCTGAGGAAGGGAACATTACGCTCAGCCACTGGTTCTCTTCTAGTGAGAATCTACGGGGTGTTCTTTTATCTGCAGTGACACATCCCAGGTTGAATGATCACTCCAGGGAAGGAGATTCTTGTAATTAGTCAGATTCCTGCACTCAGAGGAGGATCTATCCATTTTAAGAAGGAAATCACTTCTCCAGACACTTGAAGGCTCTAGGATATATGGCCAATACTGCAGGTGAACCACTGTCTACTCAAAGTGTCTTTACACCAGTGCCAAGTCCCATGCATACTAAAAATTTAAGCACATTTATTTCCTCAAGGAATGTTGTTAACATGTTAAATTATTTACTTAAGATACTAATACACACACATCCCTGCCTAATAATACATTAAGAGGCCTTTGAGACAGGAGAAAGACAGAAACCAGGGAAATAGTTGTTCTTATTCAACTGTATGATTTTTGGGGGGGTTTTGAGACAGAGTCTCACTCTATTGCCCAGGCTGGAGTGCAGTGGCACGATCTCAGCTCACTGCAACCTCCACCCCCCGGGTTCAAGCGATTCTCCTGCCTCAGCCTCCTGAGTAGCTGGGACTACAGGTGCACGCTACCATGCCCAGCTAATTTTTGTATTTTTAGTAGAGGCGGGGTTTCACCATTTTGGCCAGGATGGTCTCGATCTCTTGACCTCATGATCCACCCGCCTCGACCTCCCAAAGTGCTGGGATTACAGGTGTGAGCCACCGCACCTGGCCTTCCATGTTTTTACTGTTGCCTTCCCCCTTCTTGATGTTGCTGGTGTTAAGGTTTCCACATTTGATGTACCCCATCTCCATACCTCCCCATGGTCCTGTGTAAACCCCAAGTCTTCTAAAAAAGCCCCGTCTTTCCCTTCACTGAATTTCTGCCTCTACCACACAATTAGCACTAATGTACGTGGACATGCCCCCTAGAGGCTGAGCTTGCGTGAAGGGACCCAGGCACTTCTGGAGAGATGGGACCAGCCTAGAGGAGCTGACATGCATGAGGAGCCCAAGCAGCTCCAATTTTGTAACCACCCATTAAAGTGTGACAGGTGAGGGGGATGAAAGGCATTGCCCCTTCCTGAAGAACTAGGACACTGAGGGGACTTTGGGAGTCTAGGGAACATGATGCCATTTTGTACTCTGGCAGAGCCCCAAGCACAAACCGCACCCCCTTCAGGGGGGTTACGTGCCTGAGTGTCATGGGAGGCCACTCCCTCCCAGGGCTTCTCCAGCAGCAGGTGAGCCAAGGAGGAAAAACAGGGTGGGCGAAAAGGCCTTGAAATCACTGGATGAGTTTTACAGGGAACCTGAGCATACCGCAGAGGAGACATAGGTTATAACCATAATGTGATCCAGCATACAACCACAGACTGGGGAGGCTGAGAAAACAAAGGTTATGCTTTTTTTATTTTACAAAAGCACTCTTAAAAATTACAATACACAAGCCAGATATGGTGGCTCATGCCTGTAGTCCGAACTACTAGGGAGGCTGAGGCAGGAGGATTGCTTGAGCCCAGGAGTTCAAGGCTGCAGTGAGCCAAAATCGCACCACTGCACTCCAGCCTGGGCAAAAAAAAAAAAAAAAAAATTATAATACACACTCATAACAATTTAAATAAACTTAATTATAGAAAGCTAATATATTATATATAATAAAAATATATAAAAATATATCTCATATATAATATTGACACATATTTTATAATATATTATCATATATAATATATATATAATGTATATATTTTTTCTCCTCCCCTGTCCAATTATACTCTCTTAAAGTAACCAGTATTAGCATGCTGGTGTATATATCATTCCATATTTTTTCTACGCTTACACAAGCACTGAATCACCTGTTGAGGTCTCATTTATGCTTTTAACAAAAACATGGTCATATTTTTCATTATAATTTACCACTTGTTTATGTTTACTTAATATGTCTTCTACACCTTCCCAAGTCAATACATATAAATGTGGTTCATTCTACTTGATGATTGATTGCATGGTATTCCATAGAACAGATGTACTAGAATGTATTCAATGAACCCATCACTAATCATGGGTTTTGGTTATAGCTCATCAGCTTTGTTAATTGTTTCATCTGGGCTAGTCCTGTTTTAATTGTAATCTCCTAAATAACAAAGGCCATACCGTAAACACAAACTTACTTCTCAGAACTTCGTCGTTGCCTACATATGTCACACATTTAACATGACGTGAATATCCCTTTAATTTTGGAAATGCACATAATTTCTTCTCATTTGTTAAAAGGAAGACAGTTCTTAGGATGATAGGCTTATATTTGGCACGTTTACTGAGCAGGAGGAGATAATTTTTTAAATTTCATAATCCCATATGGTCTGATTTTTCTCCATATGTCAACCTCCTTCCCAACAGGTGCGTCATACTTTCCCACAGCACTACTCTTGTATCTCTACAGAAATCATATAAACTCTACCCCCATACCATAAAATGATTTAAGTTTCAGAGTGAGACTGCCTAATACAACACACTCATTTTAAAGATGAACAAAGCTAAGCATTCATAACTTAGCTACCTAGCAGAGGAGCCAAGGCTGGAACCTATCCAGGGCTGTCTCCACTACAGGACACAGCCGCACCAGGGCTGGGGAATGGCTGGGGCGCAGCACATAGGCGACAGTATTTTTGTTTGTATAAATTATAAAGTAGGTCGTTAATTTTTCTCAAAGACTTAACAGGTAGCTGATGGGTGCCACTTGCTAACCACCTGTTTGAAGAAGGAACTCTTGCTGCTGGACCTCAGGTCTACAGCTTGTTTTTCCCCAGAGGCTGCTCTTTATCCAGCTTGTGGTTTTCTCTGCATCCAGCAGCCAACAGAGTTGTGAATGCCCCTCTTTACTTGCATTCCCACACCATCCCTGGCATGCCAGTGTGCCCTGGCTTGGAGTTGAGGCTGCTGACTATCTAGTTATATAAAGGGAAAATCCTTCAGGCATAGCCAGAGGAAGCCTGTCAAGGGTGGACACAGATTTGTGGGGCCTAAACTTACAAAGTTTTTGAGACCATCTTTAATGGAAAACAATAGAAAAATGTCTTATTTTTGCCATTTATAAAAGAAACATATGCACACATTGCTAGGTCCTCTGCCTGGTGTCTTAGAAAGGTCTAGTCCCTGACAACTGAAGGGTGCTGAAGCTTAATTTCCTTTATCTTCAGGGCACAACTTCCCCTGGGCCTTATATGGAGTCAGTAGGGACACACCTGGGGCACCCTTTGATCCTTCACATGTAGATGGACAGAGCTGCTCAGAACCCTCCACGAGGTTATGCACACAGTAGCCCAAAGTCCAAGAGTTCCGGGACAGTCCCTGTTTTCAAATATTTAATTATGTATCAAACGATGCATCTTGACTTTTCAAAAAATATAAGTGACAAGGTTACAGAATAGAAGTACCAAAGAAAAACAAAAAAAAAGCAAGCAAAACAAAACAAAACAAAACCAACACCCCAAAATGCATACAAATCAGGATGGAATTACCAATTGTTCCCTGTGGATTTTTCCATTCCCATCTCAGAATGGAAAGAGCAAGCCCAGGACGGACAGTAATGGCACCCAGCAGCTGCAGAGTGCAAAAGTTCCCACCTGCTGAGAAAACAGCAGGAATCTTTAGAAGGAAATTCTCTTCCCTTATTAGGTAGCAGTAATTATGCTGCCAAGAAAAATCTTGCCTTCATAGACTTATGTTGCATAAGAAATAAAGTTTAGCTGGAATGGACAAGTTGAGTTCAAAAAACTACTGAAGAATCTCCTTCTACTCCCTGTCCTCAGCTTTCCATTCCATAGTAACTAGACCCGAGATTTCAGAGCACAGTATTGAAGCTGCTGTGCTGCATAAGTATCTCACACCCAAAGACTCAGGCAACTATTCCACAGTTTTCTTTTTGTTTTTTGTTTTTTGTTTTTTTGAGACAGAGTCTCACTCTGTCACCCAGGCTGGAGTGCAGTGGCGCGATCTCGACTCACTGCAACCTCCGCCTCATGGGTTCAAGCAATTCTCCTGTCTCAGCCTCCCAAGTAGCTGAGATTACAGACCCCCACCACAATGCCTGGCTAATTTTTGTATTTTTAGTTGAGACGGGGTTTCACCATGTTGGTCAGGCTGGTCTCAAACTCCTGACCTCAAGTTATCCGCCCACCTCTGCCTCTCAAAGTGCTGAGATTACATGCATGAGCCACCACGCCCAGCCAGTTCCACAGACTTCTAAGGGGCTATCAGGGAACAAATGTGTAGTAAAAACTGTTCACCAAGTGTTTATGAATCATCCAAGAAGGTCAGGATAGGTTTTTGTTTTGCTTTACGG
The DNA here is from genome assembly GCF_000001405.40 of Homo sapiens. NCBI lineage: Eukaryota > Metazoa > Chordata > Mammalia > Primates > Hominidae > Homo > Homo sapiens. The sequence goes on from NC_000002.12 coordinate 38,542,570, forward strand.
GAGACATCCTGAATCTGAAAGGCAGAAGACACCTATCTGGCAGGTCCAGGGTTAGCACAATGTATTCACTGCCCGTTCAAGAATAGTAACAATGATCATAATAACAGTCATAACTATTGTTTGTTGAGACTATGTGCTTTAAATGCATTATCTCACTTAATCCTCATACCAACTTTGTCAATATTCATATTTCACCTACAAGAAAATAGACTTAGTGATGTGAAGAGACAATGTCATACAGCACACAGTGCTAAAGTTGATAATCAGACCCAACTCTATCAAACTCTAAAGGCCATTTATTTAACCACCGTGAAAGAAAATAAAATCTCAGGACCCCGTTTCATGATGCCAAAAGGAAAACATTAAGCTGAAAGCTGAGTCATGGCCAGAAATTGCCTTTCTCTTTGTTCCTAAGCAGACAGCTACAGATAAAAGGCCGGATGTCTCCACAGTCAGCTACTCTATGTTCACCTTATCAGTGATCAGTGCTGATTTACTGAGTGGGAGACGACTACATAATTGTCTGTTCTCCTACTTGCTCCTTTTCTCTTGCAACATGTGGATTCAGTCATGTGACCACATCCTCCCTCTTTCTCTTCCAGCCTGCTTTTCCCCTTTAAATACTGAAGGCTTCAAAGTGATCTTTGAAGAAAAGCCCCGACCACATGCTGTTTCTGTGGTATCTGTGTTCCTTTCTTCCGGCCATGTCCTTAACCTTGGCAAAATAAACTGCTAAGTTGATTGAGATCTGTCTCTGATACTTTTTGATTTATACCACTATACTTTCCAGTCTTTTTTCTTTTTTCTTTTTTTTTTTTTTTTTTTGAGACGGAGTTTCACTCGTTGCCCAGGCTGGAGTGCAGTGGCGCAATCTCGGCTCACCACAACCTCTGCCTCCCAGGTTGAAGCAATTCTCCTGCCTCAGCCTCCCAAGTAGCTGGGATTACAGGCATCTGCCACCACGCCTGGCTAATTTTATTTTATTTTTTTAGTAGAGACGGGGTTTCTGCATGTTGGTCAGGCTGGTCTCGAATTCCTGACCTCAGGTGATCCACCCGCCTCGGCCTCCCAAAGTGCTGGGATTACAGGCGTGAGCCACTGCGTACAGCCTCCAGTCTTCTTTAATAGGCAACAGATGGATTTCTAAGCAGTTACCTCAAGAAAAAAAAAAAAAAAGAAAAGGAAAATTCCGTGAAACAAATCCACAAGGATTAGCCAATCCCTACTTAGTGATGATGCCTACAGAAAGTGCTGTTGGCCAGGCTCCATTCCCTCACCAGTCCCAGCAGCAGAATCACCTGAGTACTTACAAAAAAGGCAGATTCTTGGGCCCACCCCCAGATCTATTGAATCAGAATCTCTGAGAATAGAGCCTGGGAATCCTCATTTAACATGACCCACCATACCCCAACTCCCAAGCAATTCCCCTTCACACTGAAGTTTCAGAAGAGCTGCTTGAAGGATGAGCATTCCTCCCAGCTTGCCTGGAAGATAAGTTTATACCTGTTATCCTGGCATATCAATAGTGCCTTGCTTTACCCCCATAAGTGTTCCAGTTTAGACAACCAACTTGCATGTATATATTTCTATATTTTTTGTACCAAAATAAACCATACTGTACATGCTATTTTATAACCTGAAATTTTTATGCAATGATTTCTACTTTTCCATATAAACTTTTATCTTTTCTCATACCAGTCTATATTCAGATGTTCTCAGTCATCTTTAAAACATTCTCTACATCTGGTTTAATCAGTCTACGCATTGCGTTATAATAGTTTCTCTTCTAAACTAGTTAAGTTTCTCTATCTCTTCCTCCCCACCCCACATCCCCACTTCTCTCTCTCTCTCTCTCTCTTTATCTCACACTGACTTGTTAATAGACTAGGCCAGATGTATTATAGGCTGGGCCATGTTTTGGATTTTTCTGGACACTTCTTTATGGTGTTAGTTTGGTCCCTTGTTTTCTGTATTTCTTATCAACTGAAAATTAGATTAAAATTTTTATTCTTATCAAGTTTGAGCCAAGTTTGGCTATACATCACAAGTAATGTTGTTTATTTCATCTTATATCACATCAGGAACATGTACTATCTTGTTGACCCACAATTAGTGACACTGAGATCAACCACTGAATGGAGTGACTTTTTGATGCAATGACAGGACACAGTTACATTCTTTTCCTTGCAACTGGGTAAAAATCTGTATGGTATCACTTTGGCTCTATATAAATATTCAATTTCCCATCAACCTAACGCTTTCAACAATTTGATACTTGTTGCCTGAGTTCAGGGTGTTGCAAAATGTCAGTTCACTAGTTCTATCAATCTTCTACATGATTAGCAGACCTTCTTCAGTAGAAAAGAGATTTTTCTTCATTATCTGGGACCATTTAGTTACCATGAAAAGCAGTTCCTATTGGAAAGGCAAGTTAAATGTTTCTTTTTTGTTGTTGTTGTTGTTGTTGTTGAGAGAGTCTCAGTCTGTCTCCATGGCTAGAGTGCAGTGGTGCAATCTCAGCTCACTGCAACCACAGCCTCTCGAGTAGCTGGGATTACAGGCATGCACCACCACACCCGGCTAATTTTTGTATGTTTAGTAGAGATGGGGTTTTGCCATTTTGGCCATGCTGGTCTTGAACTCCTGACCTCAAGTGATCCAACCACCTTGGCCTTCCAAAGTGCTGGGATTACAGGCATGAGCCACCGCACCCAGCCTGAATGTTTATTTCTTACGCTTTGATTATTTTCAAATTAAGGAACTAGTTTAATAGCCACTTGGGCCCAATTTCTGTGGTCCATTTGCAATATCTCCATCAAGAGAGCGAGCACCTTCCAGAAAAGTCTAGTGGTTATAGGAGAACTAAACAATGCTAAAAACTTTGGCCACATTATGCACAGATACAACTGGCAACCAGAAATACTCCACTGGAAATGGTAGCCCTGATGAGAAGTCATGGCCTAAGCTAACTAGTTTTTCACATCTGATTCTCTAGTCACATCATATACTGCATTTTTTTTTTTTTTTTTTTTTTTTTTTTTTGCTCAGGAAGTTCTTGAAGAGCGCTTCATTTATGATAGAACACACTCTGTTGCCTCTCAGAAAAGAGCTTTCATTAAGCACAAACAGAGCTGCTCTAGTAAATGGGCTCTCAACAAACAGGAGTACTGTACCAAGCAATAAGACAGTGATTCTTTGTGTTCCGAGTTTGACACGTGGTGTAGGACTTCTCTGCCTGGGCACTATGGCTCACGCCTGTAATCCCAGCACTTTGGGAGGCCGAGGTGGGCAGATCACTTCAGGTCAGGAGTTCGAGACTAGCCTGTCCAATATGGTGAAACCCCGTCTCTACTAAAAATGCAAAAATTAGTCAAAAGTTAGCCAGGTATGGAGGCAGGCACCCGTAAGCCCAGCTACTCGGGAGGCTGAGGCACAAGAATCCCTTGAGCCCAGGAGGCAGAGGTTGCAGTGAGCCGAGATTATGCTGTACTGCACTCCAGCCTGGGCAACAGAGCAAGACTGTGTCTCAAAAATATAAAAATAAAAACAGTATTTCCAGAGGACATACACCACATACTGTGGCATATTTTATTTTCCAAAGATGGTAGCTATAATCTCTCTTATCCCCCATGCTCTTCTTACAACATAATTTTGACACTTCTCCCCCTTGGAAGTAGAGTGCCCTTAAATCTGGAAAGGTTTATGGCATGGATGAAGTGACACTAAGGATATGCCACAATTTGTTTATTTATTCACTTTTTTTTAGATGGGGTCTTGCTCTGTCACCTAGGCTGGAGTGCAATGGCATGACCATGGCTCACTGCAGCCTGAAACTTCTGGGCTCAAGCAGTCCACCCACCTCAGCCTCCCAAGTAGCTGGGACTATAGGTGCATGCCACCATGCCTGGCTAATTTTTTTTATTTTTTGTAGAGACGATGTCTCATTCTGTTGACCAGGCTGGTCTCACATTCCTGGTCTCAACCAATCATCCCCCCCTTGGCCTCCCACCTCCCAAAGTGCTGGGCATGACCCACTGCACCTAACCTATTTATTTCCTTTTTGATGACACTTAGGTGTTTCCAGTTTGGGGCTATTACAGATAAAGTTGCTGTGAATATTTATGTATGAGTCATCGTAGAGACATATACTTTCTTTAGGAGTGAATGGTTGGGTCATATGGTAGGTATATGGTTTAACTTTTGGGAACTGCCAAATTACTTTTGCAAAGTGGTGGTACCATTTTACATTCCTATGAAAAGTATGTGAGAGTTTCATTTCCTCCACATCTTCACCATCACTTAGTATGCTCAGTCTTCTTTTTTTGTTGTTTTTTTTTTTGGGATGGAGTCTCATTCTGTTGCCCAGGCTGGAGTGCAGTGGTACAATCTCGGCTCACTGCAACCTCCGCCTCCTGGGGTCAAGCAATTCTCTTGCTTCCTGAATAGCTGGGACTACAGGCAGGTGCCACCATGCCCAGCTAATCTTTGTATTTTTAGTAGAGATGGGGTTTTGCCATGTTGGCCAGGCTGGTCCTGGTCTCAAACTCCTGACCACAAGGGATCCACCTGCCTCAGGCCCCCAAAGTGCTGGGATTACTGGCGTGAGTCACCGCACCCGGCCTCAGTCGTCTTAATTTGGCCATTCTAATACATATAGAGTGGTATCTCATTGTGGTTTTCATTTCTATTTCCCTAATGACTAACGGATAATGATGTTAAGCATCTTTCCATGTGCTTATTCATCTTTTATGTATCTTCTTCAGTAAAATGTAGATTCTAATCTTTTTGCCAAGTTTTAATAGGGTCATTTTCTTGTTGAGTTTTGAGAATTCTTTGTATTTTCTAGATACAAGTCCTATATCAGAAATATATGTTGCAAATATCTTCTCTTAATCTGTAGCTTGTCTTTTCCTTCTCTATTAGAGCAGAAGTTTTACATTTTGCTGAGTTTATGAGTTTGGGTTTTGGATTTTTTTAATAGACCAATGTTTTTGGTGTTGTAAGAAATCATTACTCAAAAAAAGGTCACAAAAAGTTTTCATCTATAAGATTCATAATTTTAGCTCTTGCATTTAAGTCTTTCACCCATCTTGAGTTAATTGTTGCATATGGAACAGAACATGGCTAGAAGGGGTCTTTCTGCATATGTATTTCCAGTTGTTCCAACAACATTTGTTGAAAAGAGGGTCCTTTTTCCACTGCATTTCTTTTCATATTTGTAACAAATCAGTATGCATTATCAATATGTGTGGCTTTATATCTATATTCTGTCCCATTGATCTATTTTTATTTTACACACCTACCACAGTCTTGATTACTATAGCTGTATAAGTTTTGAGGTGGAACCCTCATGAATGGGATTAGTGCCCTATAAAAGAGGTCCCAGGGAGATCCCTGCTCCTTCTGCCATGTGAGGTTACAGTAAGACAGCCATCTATGAGGAAGCAGGCCCTCACCAGACCCGGAATCAGCTGATGCCTTGATCCTGGCCTCTCTAGCCTCAGACAGAGAAATAAATTTATGCTGTTTATAAGCTACCAGTTTGTGGTATTTTGTTATAGCAGTCCATCCAAACTAAGACTTACTCCAACTCTGGTTTGTTTTCAAAGTTGTTTTGGCTATTCTAGGTCCTTTGCATTTCATATGAATTTTTACAATCAGCTTATAAATTTCTACCTTAAAAAAAAAAAAAAAAAAAAAAAGACCTGCTGGGATCTTGACAGAGATCGCATTAAATCTATAGGTCAATTCAGGGATAACTGACATGTTAACTATATTGAGTCTTCTGACTCATGAACAAGATATATCACTCAATTTATTTAGGTCTTCTTTAATTTCTCTAAGCAATGTTTTATAGTCTTTCAGTGTACAGGTCCTGCATATCTTTAAAATTTTTTTATTTCTAATTATTTTTGTTGTTGTTTTGAGATGGAGCCTCACTCTGTCACCAAGGCCGGAGGGCACTGGCACAACCTCAGCTCACTGCAGCCTCTGCCTTCCAGGTTCAAGCGATTCTCCTGCCTCAGCCTCCCGAGTAGCTGTGATTACAGATGCCCACCACCACACCAGGCTAATCTTTGCATTTTTAGTAGAGACAGGTTTTCTCCATGTTAGCCAGGCTGGTCTCAAACTCCTGGCCTCAAGTGATCCACCCACCTCGGCCTCCCAAAGTGCTGGGATTACAGGTGTGAGCCACCATGCCCAGCCTATTTCTAATTATTTGTTGCCTATTGACTTTTTAATTCTTTTAATTTTTATCGTTTAATTATCTTTTAATTTTATCGTTTACAGTTCTTTATGGTTTTGTCCGTTTTTATTGTTTAAAAGCATCCCATATTTATTTCACTCATGTAAAATCATCTCTTCGAAGAAGGTAAACGTTTTTGCTTTTTAATTTTTTCCTGCTCCCTGCATAGTCTGTTTTCTCTAGGTTTCTGTCTTTCATGTTAAAGGATTAATTTTTAGCAGTCTATTCATAATTAAGAAGGACACACTAAAAAGCCAATTAGCAGCTCTGCATGCACGGGCAAGGAGGGTTCAGTAGTAGCTATCACTGTAACTGCCCACTTAACAAGAAACCCTTAAAATGTCAGAATCTGTAGTATTTTTGCCTTTGGCTAGACAGCTTCTCCAGAGAAAAATCCTCCAATCTGCTTAATGAGCTATAAGCTGATTGCCAGAATTCTGGGAGCCTAGTTGGAAGGAGGGAGCAAGAAGAATGAGGGTGGGCAGTCTCAGTCTTCCATATGTAGATTTGCACTTCATTTTCATTTTCAGAACGGTGCCTCAGCGCTCATTCTCTCTGCCTTTGTTTCTGAATTTGATGCTTCTCTACTTGAATTTCTCAAGAAAATAAGCTTCCTTTCTTGTTCGGAGGTAAGGGAGAGGTAGCCATCTGGCAGGGTCAGATATGGAAAGGAATCTGTGGTTTTAAGTCTTCCTTATGTTCTTTCAACAAGACTCTGTTATGAGCCCCTCTCACCTCCAGCTAGTTAACGCGACTGAAAGGTTCCGATTCCTGAACCTTTCAGAGTAAACTTTGTAAACTGGCATGCCTACTGGCATTTTCTCTGCAGGCTACTTTCCATTTTTCATTGGCTTCACATTTTTCAGTTTGTTGACATCACTAATTTGCTGGTTTCTTCTATCTTAGTTGGATTTAAAGCATGCTTATTTTTTGCACAAGTGTGCAATCCACAACATTTATCTAGAGGTCAAAATAGTTTTGAATTACCAAGTAATAACCCAAAGTAGCAGTCCTGACCCTTCGTGCCATCCAGTGTGGCTGCAGAGTTCTTACGTCTAAGGAAGGGAGGGAGGCTGAAAGGTGGGGCCTGGTTCACTCAAATTAGTAATTTTAAAACATTGTCGTTTGTAAAGATATACAAGAAAGTGTAGATGACTGTTTTCTTTTTTAAGAGACAGTGTCTTGCTTCGTCACCCAGGCTGGAATGCAGTGACATGATCACTGTAACCTCAACTGCCTGACTTCAAGTGATCCTTCCACCTTAGCCTCCCAAGTAGCTGGGACTATAGGCATGCACCATCATGCTGAAGTGAGAAGTGCTTGAAGCCAGGAGTTCAAGACCAGTCTGGACAGCATAGGGAGATCTGATGTTTTTAAATTTTTTTTTTTTTGTAGAGATAGGCTCTCCCTGTGTTGTCCGGACTGGTCTTGAATTCCTGGCCTCAAGCGATTCTCACGTCAGCATCCCCAAGTGCTGGAATTACAGGCATTAGCCACCTCGCTCAGCCAATTTCTATAATCCTCCTATAATGGCAAACCAATATAAAAGTAAAAATTAAAAACTGCAACATCAGACAGAATTGCCCTTATATAAAAAGAATGAAAAAGTAATTACAAATCAATAAAAAGATGAGCACCCAATAGAAAAATAAAGATGGCTAAAATATGTGAAAATAACATTTTTCACCTATAAGGTTAATAAAATTTAATAGGCCATTTCTTGAATTGAGGGGTGCAATTTGGCAATTCTGTCAAAATGTGAAATGTGATTACTCTTTTCGACTGAGAAACTCCAGTTCAGGAAGTATCATGAGCACATAAATGGGTGCTTGAAAAGCTATATGATGGGTAAGCATAGGCAGAGAGTAACAACAAAAAAAAGAAAACTACAGAAAAATAAAACTAAGAAAAGCTGTATGGCAAAAACCCATCAGCATGGGATTGATGAAGTAAGTTACCATTCCATCTCACAGTGGGATACTCTGCAGCAATGAAAAAATGATAGTGGGGAGGTGATTTTCCTTTTGTTTAAATCTTTTTGACTGAATCTTTTCTAATAAGCATGTCTTACTTTTACAATCAGAAAAAGCAAGATTGCCATTTCATTTTATTCACTTAGAAGCAATTTTGAATAGTAGTTGAGAGTATGACCTTGGGAACAAAATTGCCTGGGTTCAAGTCTGAGCACCACCTCCTTGTTAAACCTTCAACAAACTGCTTGATGTCTTTGCTCCTGTTTGCCTGTCATTAAAAGGAATATAATAACAACCTCATGAGGTTGCGGTAAGAATTAAATAAATTAATATACAAGATATTAATACTTGGAACCTACCTGGCTCAAAAAAGGCAGTTGATATGTATTAGCTACTATTATTTCATTTTGGAAACACAAAGATTATTTAATGATTTGTGTTTAGGCTGTGTCAAAATGTCTCTGGCATCAAACAGCTGTTTTAAAATGCCAGCGGTCAATGGGAAAAAAACAAGAACCAAGTGACAGGTTTAAATATTGGAAAGGAAGAAACAACATGTAATTATTTGCAGATGATGCAATTGCCTATCTAAGAAAATCCAGGAGAATCAACTGAAAAATTATCAGGATGAGTAAGAAAATTCAGTAGAAGAATAAAAGAGACATATTTTGAATTCAATAGCCTTACGCTATACTAGCAATTACTAGTTAGAAAATAAAACGGAAAAAAAAGATTCAATTCACAATAACAAAAAAATATAAAACCTCTAGAAGAAAGTTTCACAAGAAATGTATAAGTGCACACAAAGAAAATCAAGGTGTTGGCTGCTTTCCGGAGGCTCTAGGGGAGAAGACATTTCCTTGTTCATTCAGCTTGTTGGCAGAATTCAGTTCCTGACAGTGACAGGACTGAATTTACCTGCTGGCTGTCAGCTGAGGACTGTTTCCAGTTTCTAGAAGCTGCCCACATTCCTTGGTTTGCAGCCCCCTTTTTCTACCTTCAAAGCCAGCAACAGCAGGCAGTTCTCCTCATGCTTTGAATCTCTCCTTCCATCTCCTCTTCTCTTAAAGAAGAGAGGAAAGTTTCTCACTTTTAAGAGTTCATATGATTAGATCGGGCCACCTAGATAACCCAGGAAACTTTCCCCATCTAAAGGTCGGTAACCCTTACTCACTTCTGCAGAGTCCCTTCTGTCATGAAGGTAACATATTTACAGGGGCTGAGGATTAGGATGTGGATATCTTTGGTGGGACATTATTTTGGGGGGCTGTTATTATAAGAGTTAAGAGTGTCTGCTTTGGAACCAAACCTCAGGGTTTAGAATCCTAGTTTCACCATCTAATGGCTGAGCAAGATTGAACAGCTTACTTTACATTTCCCCATCTTTATAATAATGGCCTCAGCCTCATCTGTCATAAGAATTACTTAACATGTATATTTAACAGGATGCCTAACATGCAAGTACTCAATAAATGTCAGCTATAATTATTAATAGTCAACTTAAACAAGGAACATTTTCTGATCTCAATTAGGTTTCACCTTGTTTCCAACCCAGGGCTGCAGCCTGTCGAGAGTTTTTAATCTTGATTCTGTGGTCTTCAGTATTGTAACTTCCTTCTAGATTGGTGTTATCTTCCCTTTGACAGCATGCTTGCTCCTTCATCTCAGTCACAAAGTCAGGCAGGGTCACCCTGTGGCTTTGGCACAAATGGAGGCAGTTCTCATCTGTGAGAACAACTTTACATAGAGACCATGACTACATGGGCAAGGTGCTGACAGGAAGGGGAAAGGAAATACAGAGTTCCCTGCCGTTACAGAGTTCAGAGACAAATGACTGTTTTAACAAAAAAACAGAAAAAAATGGAGTTACTGCAGTGGTACCCAAGGCCTACTCTATGCCATTTAATTTGGGTTTAATTAACAAATAAGATAAATAAGAGAGATATTATCACTATTCTACAGATTAACAAAAAACTGAGGCTCACACCATCGTTAGGGCTTGTTCAGGCTCATATGGCTGATAAAGGGCAGCATAGGACGCAAATCCAGGATTTTTGACTTTGCTAAGTCCTATGCTTCCTCCCCTCGGCACCTTCTTTAGAAGGATATGGAAACCAAAATGGAAAACAGTTTCCTATGCTTATCGAAAACTGGAGTAGGGTCTGCCACTGGCAGACAGTTCTGTTTGTTTGCCACATCTGAGAATCTCAAAAACCCCAAAAAGTGGACAACTAAATGATGGAAAAAATCCTGGGGTGTTGATGAAAGAAGAGCTACTTAATTAGAAGAAACTAAAAATGATAGAAAAAAAAAAGAAAATTGAGACTCATCAACCTAGAAATGTTACAGTCGAGAAAAGAAACCTATCAAATCCAGACTGACAGAACTAAGAAGGACAGGGACTGTTTATGATAATCTAGTTGGCACTTTTCAAACACCTGTGAAGTACTTATTCACAGACCAGAAAACAAACTTATCAAACTCTGTATCTCCACAAAGAGTGCTGGCCAGAAATATTCAGGCAGGTAGTCATGCCAGTGAGTTCCTGGGAAAAAAATGCTAAGTTGAATCATTAGAAATTAAATTGTGTTTTCCCATATGAACAGCAATATGATGAGGGGTCCTGGCCAAGGGGGTATCATGTCAAATAAACCACACATATGGCCAACATAATATTAAAACTCTTATGTTGTCTCTGGAAAATTCCATACTCATTAAAAATAAAAGGGCCTTTATGTACCATATCTTGGTTATATAAGGAATGTCCATCTACCATAAGCTGCGTATACAAATATAACTTATATATATATATACAATACCAAAAGTTCTATAATAAATTTCCCTTAAACCTCAAGGTTAAAATTAAAAAAAAATTTTTTTAATAGAGATGGGGTCTCACTACATTGCCCAGGCTGGTTTCAAACTCCTGGGCTCAAGCGATCCTCCCACTTCAGCCTCCCAAAGTGCTAGGATTACAGGAATATAATCCTAAAATGATATTAACTTTGCCTGCCTTTAGAATTTAGGAGGGTTTTTACTGATGTTATATGAATGAGGCAAGTCTTTTGTGTGTGTGTGTTATGAGAGCCAGGGTCTTGCTCTATTGTGTAGGCTGGAGTGAAGTGGTGCCATCACAGCTCACTGCAGCCTCAACCTTCTGAGCTCAAGCAATTCTCCTACCTCAGCCTCCCAAGCAGCTGGGATTACACGCACACACCACCACACCCAGCTGATTTCTTTTGTAGAGATGGGGACTCACTGTGTTACCCAGGCTGGTCTCAAACTCCTGGGCTCAAGTGATCCTCCCACCTCAGCCTTCCAAAGTATAGGCAAGGTGTGAGCCACTGTGGCCGTCCAGCAAATCTATAAGAAAAAACAAAAGCCAGGTGCAGTAGCATTGTGTCTGTGGTTCCAGCTACTCCAGAGGCTACGGAAGAAGGATCGCTTGAGCCCAGGAGTTCAAGGATGCGGCACGCTATGATTGCACCTATGAATAACCAGTGCACTCCAGCCTGGGCAAAATAGGGAGACCCCATCTCTTAGAAAAAGCTGTCCAGGCAGGTTGGGGTAATTTGAATTGCCAACTTGCTGTTATTTTCTAGTACCTGAGCTAGACTTTTTAATCTATAAAATCCATTTGTATTGCAGAAAAACCACAGATTCACAATGGCAATGATTGGATTGTGGCAGTTGATATCTCCTATTGTGGTAGCATAGGGACTCTCTGGAATACCCTTATCTCTTCTAGAGATTTGTATTGAATGTCACCAAAAGTACTTTTCTACGTAGTATTTCATTATGAGATCAGTTGGTCCTCAGGTATTGTTGCTATTCCCGTTTTACACGAAAGGAATCTAATGTTTAACAGTCATCTTAAATGACTTGCTCCCAGTCACACAGCTCATTAGCGGCAGAGCTGGGATAAGCAGCCAGGTCTCACAAAGTCCTAACCCAGTGTTCTACTACACAACACTCTCTCAAAATTATTGGGAATTATTTTAGGCTCATCCAAAATGACCAGAATGGAATGAGTTATCTCTGTCCCTTCTTAACTCCACCACATTATCTTGGGCTACTTTATAAACTGTGCCTTAAATGAAAAATACTACTCTTTCCCGCAGGATAACCAGCAGCTGTCTGCCAGCACAAAGATACTTCTTCCAAGAATCTTTGGGAGCTGGCGAGATGTATACATGGTCAAATCAGGATTTCTAGTTGATAATAGTATGACCATAATCCAGACAATAGACTACAATCCAAGTCTTCCCAGCAACGTCTTTCCTATTTAACCTGTTTTGGTTTTTTTGAGATGGGGTCTTGCTCTGTTGCCCAGGCTGGAGAGCAGTGGTACGATCTTGGCTCACTGCAGCCTCGACCTCCTGGTCTCAAGCAATCCTCCCACCTCAGCTTCCCGAGTAGCTGGGACTATGAGCGTGCGCCACCACACCTGGCTAACTTTTGTAGAGACAGGGTCTCGCAATGTTGCCCAGACTGGTCTTGAACTCTTGGCTTTAAGTGATACTCCCACTTTGGCCTCCAAAAGTGCTGGGATTACAAGCATTGCAGCTGACCAATTCATTTTTTAAATGCCTAAGATCACTCCCTCTCACCACTAGATGGCCAATGGCATAGTGAGACTTTCTTCTGACTATAAATGCTCTGTTCAGATTTTTCTCAAAGCCACCATGACTGCAGGGGGAGTAATTATTGCGTCTCTTCCTCCCAAGTCTTTAGGATCTGGTATACTCCAGATTTCTTCAAGCTCAGAAAGGCCAGTCTTTGAAGAACACAGCTTTTGAGATATCCAAATCCAATACCTAGGTGTGCAAACACTGATTTCACTCCCTGCATCATAGCAACCCATTCTATCTATATCCTGCCCCCATCCACCTTACCCATAACTTGACTAAGAGGAGGTAGTTGATGTCAATTGGGAATCCCATGGGATGGAACCACTGCTGCTTAACAACCATTTCCTCAGCTATCTTCCCATAGACTGGGATACAAAGTTCCCAGTCCGACCTCTCTCTCTGACCTCTACCAGCTTTAAGGAGCCTCACATGAGCATTTTTCATGATGCAGGCAACTGGCAGGCAGTCTGATCCTTTCTTTTATTCACTAAGATTGTTGCTAAAATGCAAACTTACTAGGTAACAAACATAATATTATATTAACTTGATCAATTTAAGAACCCTATATGGATAATTCAGGCAAGAATAAAACCTTTACTCAATAGCAGTTTTACCTATTTTATCCAAAGAACTTCAGCAGCCCCTTACCACACGTGTTAACTGCTGAGCCAGAAAAGAATCAGAAAAAGTATGGAATAGAACTGCATTCTTAACAAACCATGCCATGTAGCCTAACTTCTACATTATACAGATGAGGAACTAGACCTAGGAAATGGGTTGCCCAAGACCAAATAGTGACAGAAGTTACTAAAATCCAGGCCTTGCCCCTCAGTCTCTGCCCTTTCCGCTGTACCCTGCCACATATTCTTCGTTGGAAGAGCATCATGACCCATTACACGGCCCTGAGCTCCATCCCATGTGTCCCACCTGGTGGCAAGTAGGTTGAGGATGGGACTCCATCTATTCCCTGTGCACTTTCAGTGTCTTGCTCTACAGTTTATAAACCATGTGGCCTTCATTCACACATAATGGCAATAATTTGCCAAAGCAGTCTTACCTTCCTCAGAAACATAAATAAACAAAAATAACAGGTTTTACTGATCCTGAGTCGAGTGTTTAAGAAGCAAAACTGCAGGGAGCAAAGGGTTATTACACAGCAGGAGGAGGTACAACAGGTGTGGAGCTATTTTAGTCTTTTTGGTCAAGTGGTGGAAATTTTGGCTCAAATACTAGTGCCTTGCTGAGAAATATTGTGGGATAAGTGATCATACTAGGTCTTTGTAGGACGAGCTTGAATTTGTATTGGCAACAGTCATATAAATATTACTTACCCTTCTAACAGTCTAGCAAGAAAACCTCTACCATGACTGAGGTGGCTGATACTGGCATCAGTCCTCTCAATTTTGTTAGGCAGAAAAATCTGAGGTTTTATTATGTATCATACAGGTGCATAAAACAACACGCATTAGCTATCTCATTTTACATTTTTTTTTTCCAGAAGATTCCTAAAACCCTCTAAAGGATTTATAAATACACTGCACACATAATTTTTGTTTTTATGGATTTTTGTCTATATAAATCAGTCTCTTATTGAATTCCTCTTCAAGACTTTGAAGCAGCTATGTATATACGTTAGCATGTGTGCCAAAGTCTAAATGAAACTGGGTAAACTGGTTAAAATAGTCTCTTAATTTTTCAAGAAAATGTGAGTATATTCATGAATAGATCCTCCTGCAGGCTGAGACTCAGTGAGAGTAGCTCAAAATTAGTTAGGATAAAGTCTGTAAACTAAGCAACCAAAGCATTACTCAGGCTTAGGAACACAAGAGAAATTCTATTTTCCATTCATGGAATCATCCCCTCCCCACCCTCAAATCCTCTTTCCTAACCGTTCACTGTGCACAAGACCTCAGTGGGCTCTCTTCCCTGGCTCTAATCTCTTGTCCCATAGTCCAAGGTGACCAGAAGTAGCCAGCCACCCTAGCAATACAATCATAAACCAGACTCAGGATCCCATCTCCTGCTGGTGTGGGAGTGAACTAACTCAACAGATTCTCCCTACACACCTTCCCCAATGTATCTAACCGGCTACATTTAAGCCTTGCAGACCCATATTAGCCCTTATTTAAAGGAAAGGATTGCTGGGCTAGACCTACTTTGTTACTGTAGTAAAATACTGTAGCAAAATAAAATTACTATTTTAACTTTTAAAGTATACAATTCAGTGGCATTTAGTGCATTCACAAGGTGTACAACCATCACCACTATCTAGTTCAGAACATTTTAATCACCTAAAATATATCTTGTAGCCAATAGCAATCACACCTCCATTACCCCCAGCTGGCAACCAGAATTTTGCTTTCTAATCATTTACCAAAGCAGTTAACATTGCTTAGGCTACTACAGCTAATACTTCTACTCACTGAGAAAAGCCAATTATTTCAATGACTCAAAAGGGCTTTTGTGTAAGATTTTGAGTATTAACATCTAGATTCAAGTCATTATATCCCCGTTTACTTTGTTAAACTTGGGCAGATCAAAAAAATCTGGGTCTCTCATCCCCAATTTGTGAAACGGAATGATTATACAGCCTTCGCGCCTCCACCACAAGTGCTGATCATTCCTTGACCTTATTTTTTCATCTTATAGTGGAATTCATAAAAGCTAAAAGATTCAGATTATATTACTCAAAGACTAAAGACTCCCTAATCAATTTTCAGTTCCTCTTAAGAATTTAGGAAATAGTCTGCCTCATATTTAGAAAGAAGGCTTAGCCATTTCTCCGTTGCTTCCCTTCTAAGCTCAAATTAACCTACTGACTTTTTAAAGCTAACCATCTGCCTGAACTTGTATTGTCTGGCATACTAAGTGCACTTGATAGAAGCTGGAATAAATGACTGAAATATCCAAGAAGCCAAATCGTTGCAAGTGACACTTCTGATATGGTTTTTGTAGAAACTGAAGGTTTTTTGGTTTAAAATTGTCATTATTTCTTTGAATTTCTAAGCTGCAACGAAAATAATCTTATCTACTTTACATTCATGCTTTGTGACATCAAAAATCAAATATTTTAAATGGAAATCAATGGATAATAAAATTTGTTTTGAATATATACACACATAGTACAACTAAGTCAGATTCTGCAGATTATCTGGGATATCAGTATTTTTTAAAAGTTCCCCACATGATCCTTTTTGCTAGTCATGAAATCATCTCCCCACAAAATAAAACGTTACTCTCCTAACTGTCGAGAAGCACTGCTAAATATCCCCGTGCAGCACCGGCATTATCTATCTACCTTGTTTTTCTTCCCCTACTCTCCGAAGAAAAGGGTGTTTCACATAAAGTCACATCCAAAAATCACCTTAATAACCTAAACTTCACAATCGTTAAGTTGTAATCAAGTTTCACACTCCCAAGCTATACCACTGGTATTGTTATTTAATAAGCTATACTAAAATTATGGTAACAACGAAAGTCTTTCAGGCCATTTACTGTTTTCCGGGCTCTCATTAAACTATGATTACTTCCCAGAAAAAAAAAAAAAATAACATTGCTTCTTAATTTCTTTTGGTATTACTAGGGAGAAAAAAAAGGAAAAAATAAATGATGACCAGATTACAATTATCAACTCAACTCAAAGCAAACCTTTCAAGGTTGCTCTGTAGCTTAGCCTGATTACTGTGTCACCCCACAAGGGAGCTGTCAAAGTTTCCAAATCAGAGACTGCCACTAATTCAGTAATTTTACTTTATTAGCAGTTCTGTATCACTTACAAGGGTTTAATGTATACAGTAGAGATGATTTCTAAGTTACATATAAATAAGCTTTCTGCTCTTAAAAATTAAACGACCCTAGAGTTGATTTTAAATGTTCTCACCACAAAAAATAAGTATGTAAGGCAGTGGATATGTTAATTAACTTGATTTAGCCATTCCATAATGTATACATTATACCCCATATATGTAATTTTTGCCCATTAAATTTTAGAAACTCTTAAACGAGCCATTAACAAATCAACACACAATACTTTCAGTAAGTGTCCATAAATATTACATCTATGTCTAAACTTTGTGGTATCTGACAGAAGAGTACAAGGTACAGTCTCTTGCCTGTAATCCCAGCACTTTGGGAGGCTAAAGTGGGAGGATCATTTGAGGCCAAGAGTTTAAGGCCAGCCTGGACAACATAGCAAGACCCCCATCTCTACAAAACAAAAAGTTTAAACATAAAAGAGTTACAAAAAAAATAAAGCCTACGGTTGGCAAAAAGACAAAGATAAATCATGTTTAAAATAGGGCCTTTTTGGGCGCAGTGGCTCACGCCTGTAATCCCAGCACTTTGGGAGGCCGAGGTGGGCAGATCACAAGGTCAGGAGATCAAGACCATCCTGGCTAACATGGTGAAACCCCGTCTCTACTAAAAATACAAAAAAATTAGCCGGGCGTGGTGGTGGGCGCCTGTAGTCCCAACTACTCGGGAGGCTGAGGCAGGAGAATGGTGTGAACCCAGGAGGCGGAGCTTGCAGTGAGTGGAGATCACACCACTGCACTCCAGCCTGAGCAACAGTGAGACTCTGTCTCAAAAAAAAAAAAAAAAAAAAAAAAAAATTGGGCCTTTTGTCAAACAATTGTCAGTGCTTTCATTTGATTGTGCTGTTTGTAGATTAAACTGCTAAAGATGAGATTTAGGCAAATGGAGACCCTTAAAATACATAGGTTGTGTTTTCAAACTCAAAAGAGAACTCTGAAGATGGGTGTATTTTGCACGAAATACCAAACTAGCCTATGCTCAAGGTGGTTTCCACTGTGTATTCCATTTTTCTCTACTAGGTAGTTTCCCTCAAGACAGCAAAATGGCTATAACAGTCCCAGGCCTAACCTTACACAGGCAGACCACACCCCTTAGCGAGAGCACTTCCTCATCCATTCTTCAACAAATCCTAGGTGTCATTCTCTTTGGATCAACCTAGGTTACCTGTTCAACACAGAATCAGATTATTACCTTGTTTACAGCAATGGTTCCCCACCCAATCTGATATCCTTTTACTCTGCTGAAATAAAATTCCTAGATAATACCTACCTACACACAGACACACACAACTTAAAGAAAAACCAAATAAAACTCTTAATTGTTAAGGGAGAAATAAAATTTACGATAAAATGTACGTTGTAATACATAAATACTCAGGTACGGCTACAACAGAAGACAGAGATGAATGTGACAGCTACAAATGAAAACTGACCCTTGTGTATTATAATGGCAATCCCAATAATATGTTGATGATATAATTTTCCAAAATGGCGAACAACTCTTGAAAGCATTCTAAACATTATTTCCTTGATTTATAAGGTAGTTGTATTGCTAAAAATTCAGTGTACTGCATATTAAAACCACACAAAAATATTTTGCATTAATATATTAAAAAGTCAGACTCGAGGATCAGATCATTATAAACAGGTTTTTTACCTATTTAAGTATCTGATAGGAAATCAGAAAGTCATGCAGGACAAGGGATAATTCTTCCTGGTCCTACCCATCAAATTGTTTGCAGTGTCCCCTAACCACTGAAGAAACACCCCTACAAACTGTCAAAATACCCCTCTAGGAGGACCTGCTGCCCTTATTAAGAGGTACTAAGAGTGATGAGGCTAAGTCAATGAGGCTCACTCAAACCTTGATTACTGCTACAAAATAGGGGAGGGTGGAATGGAGGATAGAGAAAACAATATCCAACATTACTACCTTCCTCATTTATAAATTAAAACTAAGAGAATTTCAAGTGTTCCCTCGAATGAAGGGCTTTCTATGAAAGTAACTAGTAAAGCAAAGTCCATTTTGTTTGTTCAAGTTCAAAAAAACATTAGAACTAAGATCCCTAGAAGACGGTATTTTGCTAAATAAAATATATTAGGTTTTAATCAACATTTGAATCCATTTGATGGAAATGCTACGTTTTAGGCAAAAGCAATGATACTACGGATTAAATATCCATTATTTTAAATCCCAAATATCCACAGATTTAATATCCCAAATAATTTCTTTGGTTTAAACAGTATTCATGCCTGCACATTCACTTACTTTTTGGTTGACACTGAAAATCATCATGAGCAGAGCCGCAGTACTATGAAGAGAAAGGCCACAGTGGACTAAAAGTCTCTTAGACCAAACAACCATATGGAGATAGGAAGTTCATCGCTGTTATCTTACAAGCACTTTTGTTACCTTTAAGTGAAGCAAAGCTCCTTGTGCTTCAGATTCCTAAGTATGGGAGAATGTTCTACAATCAAAATTTCTTTATTCCAGAGAAAGTATCACTGATAGCTACTTTGCAGTTCTGTAGCAGCCTATCTGTAAAGAAAATATGAAACAACTCACCCCATTTAGTCATTTTTTTCCCCTCTTCTCAGTTCTGTTCAAGACATAGTTGAGATAACCAAATCACTAGGATGTTTGCAAAGTCTCATGTTGGCTGCAGCTGCAAATATTTTTATTTGGTGAGGTAACACCTTCAGCAGGAGAATAAGGATTTTAAAAGGCAGCTCATATTCCATAACTCAGTTTGGCAGATTTATTATCAAATGTGTAGTAGGATTTGGATACAGAGATGGGATTTCAATATTTTTTTTAAAAACTCAAAGCTAGTATTATTTCTTTACAGTTCTTAAATCTGCTTTTTCTAGTTCTTCTAAAAGCATAAAGATAGCACAGAGAAGAATGTTGCCAAGGCTAAGGAAAGAGAGAGTATTCACAAAGCAAACTTCATTAACAGCAGTCATGCCTAAGTAAACTATCAAAAACATTAGTGACAGCAGCAGTATAGGGCTTACACACCAGTGTATAAATCTATCAGCAAGGCCCAACTTACCAACTAGTTTACTCCCAAACAATTCACTTATTTTGGTGGAGAGAGAGCCTTACAGATAAAAATCATTTCTACACATCTAAACTAATTAAAATCTAAATGAAATAAGTCCTGCCAACACCTACAGGTTTATTTCTTAAAATCTTAGGCATTAAAAAGTCTGTAATTCTGACAACCCACATTAATTTTCAGAGGAGGAAGGAACGTAGACAACTATTACATAAACCAAAATTAAGGTATTTCAATTTTTCAAAAGAGGTAGAAAAGTATTTATAGGGGAAAAAAAGCTTTATTGTAAAGTTAGATAAACTTAGGTATTAAATTGGCAATGAATAAGAAACATACATAGCCCAGTATCGAACACAGTTCACACAGTTACCCTTGGCATAACTTACTGGGTTCTGTGATAAGGGTCTAAAATACTTCTAGATTAAATTTAATTTTTTCTTTATCTTTAGAGGGCTAAATGCTGGTCCACTGCCATCAAAATGAGGGGAAATAAATGTTAATGTGTGTTTAGTTTCCATCTAAACTTCCTATTAAACAGCTCTAAAATTGTAAATGCCTGCCTTATTTCTAAAAGGATTTTTTATATTAAAATTTAAAATAAAGTCTTTACAAAAGATCTAAATGGAACTTTCATTTACAAATTTGTTTAAAAGTGTCAGGATTACAAAACTGATATTGTCAACTACTGATATCAGTTATTCTAGGTAGATGACACATATTCTCCCTTCTTTTAAAGATGAAAACAAAATGGCCACATCAGTTTTTCTATTGTAAAAAAGCTGTGAACTTGGTAACAATCGTGCTATAGTCTCTTAATACCATGTTTGGTCCTTAAATCTTACTTGCCTATGTATAAAATCTATTATCTTAAAAAGAAAAAAAAAACAGATCCAGTGGGAGAAAGAATGTTTAATAAATGGTATTGAGACAAATAGCTATCTGTTTGGAATAAAAATAAAATTAGATCCTTAAATCTTGTACCATATAGAAAAATACATATTACTGATGGATCCAAGAGTTAAAAAATAAAAATGTAAATATCCAAAATTCTACATACAATTTTAGGGGGTACACAGATTCTCTGAAGCCCACCCATGGATCCCAGATTATTATCTATAAGAGGAACTGTTAATTATAACCTCTATTAAAATCTCAATGCCAAATACTAGCTGTATTTAAGTCACATGCAACAAATGAAAATGAACACATTAACTCATTGTTATAACTTTATAAAATCTCCAAACTGGACTAGAAACAGAGGCATGTCAATACAAATGGACAGTGACTTAAAAAAAAATACACCAATTTAAATAAGTTTGAATGCATACTGTACACGTGTATCCATGTCTGTTAGCCTTTCAGAAATATAAAATCAGTTAAATCTGTAGTACTTAAAATTCAACATATGTAACGTTATTCTCAAACTTCATTAAAATAATAAATATACAAGTTATGTTTAATATGAGTAACTGCAACATACTTAAACATCTAAACATATAATAGGAATTCTATATTAAAATGCAATACTTTCACCTGCATTAATCTCTTACACAATGAAAAAATACTTGCAGATAATTAGCATTAAGAATGCAAATATATTTTTACTGTGGAAGAAAAATTCCAGTAATAAGGTTAGAAATCATATATCTGTATAATCTACAATGAAGCTGTAGATAGTCTACATTATGATATTCTATCTTAAAATGAAAACAATTCAATATTTAAGCTTACAACAAATTTACTCAAGGCAAAATATGTTTATTACAGAACAGGATCTTAAAGTAAGCAAGGCAACATGAGATCAACCATTTTAGATTTTTTTTTAATGAAGTGTAGCTTTGAAATTGTAATAAAGGTGAACATAAATTCTAACATGCTCTTCTCTTCTTATAAATGGGATGATGTAGAAAAGCAAAGCTTCAATGTATAGGGATTGGAACCATCTGTAAAAAGTAAAAAACAGTTAATATTTCACTTCATCAAACTTTCAAGATCACCTTGAAGTATCAGAGTAAATTACTTCACCTTTTTATACTAAATATAAGAAATATGGTGAATATAAAGCAGGAATATAAAGAAGTAAAATTGGCCAGATGCGGTGGCTCACCTGAAGTCAGGAGTTCGAGACCAGCCTGGCTAATGAAGTGAAACCCCGCCTCTACTAAAAATACAAAAATTAGCTGGGTGTGGTGGTGCACGCCTGTAGTCCCAGCTACTCAGGAGGCTGAGGCAGGAGAACTGCATGAACCTGGGAGGTGGAGGTTGCAGCAAGCCAAGATTGTGCACTCTAGCCTGGGTGACAGAGTGAGACTCCGTCTCAAAAAAAAAAAAAAAAAAAAAAAAGTAAAATTTCTAAGTAAAGTAAGGGAAAGATTTTTATTCATATTTACTGGAAGGTAAGCTCATGAAGGCAGGGACTTTGTTCACTGCCACATTTCTATTGTTCTCAACACTGTCTGGCACTCAATTTTTTTTAGTGAATTCATCATTAAAGAATAAATAGTATCAGGATTAAGCAGCAAAGCTCACATTGCAAAAATATTGCCAACAGTTAACTCTCTATAAAAGCCAATTCAAATACAGCTTGGGAAGTAGGTCAAAGCTGGAATGTACATGAAGACATCTATGATCCCAAAAGGTTCCAGGAAATCTAGTATTAAATCTCTCTTCATCAATGGGGTACATAAGTTTTGAAATTACTGAAAAAAAAAAAACAAACCAACTGGGTATACTTCACAAAAATATTTCCATTTTGTAAATTTTTCTTTCCTTTAATTTTTCAGACCAGGCAGAAACAGCTCTTCCTCAACTACATATATAAGAAATCAAAGCAAAGAACCAGTTTTGCTATCTTAATGTATCACAATTTTAGTATTAAAAGCTGTAGTTCATTAAAGAAAAAAAATTCCTGTAAGGAAAAGCATATGCATCAACAAGTGTGTACAAGACACTGCAGAGGATAAAAACATACATAACTGTCCCTATCTCCAAACAGTTTATAATCTATATACTGTCTCTAAGGTATTTCATATAACTTTAAAGCTTTTTAAAACTTTCTCTCAAAAATTAAGCCTGACTACTTAATAAAATTTCCTTTTTTTTCTTTTAACTAAAAGTAAAATGAGAAGAAAGCCGACACTGTGGCTTGTGCCTACAATCCCAGCAACTTGGGAGGCTGAGGCCAGAGGACTGCTTGAGGCCAGGAGTTCAAGACCACCAGCCTGGGCAACACAGCAGGATCCCTCCATGTAAAAAAAATTTAAAAATAAACAAATATACACCAATAAGCTGGATGTGGTGTTGCACTCCTATAGCCCCAGCTATTTGGGAGGCTGAGGTGGGAGGATCACTTGAGCTCAGGAAAGTCGAGGCTGCAGTGGGCTGTGATTGCACCACTGCATTCCAGGCTAGGAGATGAGCAAGACCCTGTCTCAAAAAAAAAAAAAAAAAAAAAAAAAAAGGTGTTTCTTACTTAACTTTTTATTTAGGAATTTTCAAACATACACAAAAATGTAGATAGGTTTAATGAATCCCCACATACCTATCACCCAGCTTCAATAATTGTCAATATTTGTCAGTCTTACTTTATCTACCTACCCTTCACACACAGTTTTGAAAGCTAGAATATTTTAAAGCAAATTTCAGATGTTATTCCAGCCATAAATCATTCATTGTTTTTTTTTCTCTTTTTTAAACCATCATTCATCACCACACCCAATAATGTTCCCCTATTATTTAAATACCCTGGAGATCCAGGATCAAAGTAAATTACACAGCAAAAAGTTTCAAAAATTAAACTTGAGTTTTCTCACGCCTGTAATCCCAGCACTTCGGAAGGCGGAGGTGGGCAGATCATGAGGTCCAGGAGTTCGAGACCAGCCTGGCCAACGTGGTGAAACCCCGTCTCTAACAAAAATACAAAAATTAGCTGGGTGTGGTGGTGGGTGCCTATAATCCCAGCTACTTGGGAAGCTGAGGCAGGAGAATCGCTTGAACCTGGGAGGTGGAGGTTGCAGTGAGCCAAGATCGTGCCACTACTCTACAGTCTGGGGGACAGAGCAAGACTCGTCTCAAAAAAAAAAAACCAAAAAAAAAAAAACCAAAAAGGCCATTGTTACTATTATGGAGACAAACAAACAGGTTAACAATTTCACTTGACTTGACACAAATTAAAACAACCAAATACCATTTTTCATCTATCATACTGGTAAAAATTGAATATCTGACAACACTCAGTGTTGCTAAGAGTGCTGAGCAATGAATATTTTCATATATCACGGTTGGTAACGTAAACTGGTGCAACCTTTATAAAGTACAATCTAGCAACATTTTACCTAACTATAAACCTTCATGCCCTACACTACTGAAAAACTGTCCTACAAACACACATTAGAAAGTGCAACTATTGACCAGTCGTGGTTGCTCACGTCTGTAATCCTAGCACTTTGGGAGGCTGAGGCAGGAGGATCACTTGAGCTCAGGAGTTCAAGACCAGCCTGGGCAACACAGTGAGACCTTGTCTCTATTAAAAAAAAAAAAAATTAAAAATAAAAAAAAATTTAAAAATAAAAAAGTGCAACTATAAGGATGTTTATTACAATAACAGAAAAAAACAAACAGAAGCAACCAGACTGTTCATCAGTGGGGGGACGGGTAAATAAGACAAAACTGTGATACATCTTGACTATAAATAGCTATCCTGAAAATGCTTTAAAAAGCTTTGAATGTGGCAATATAGAAATAGCTCCAAGATATAGTAAGTGAAAACAGCAAGACACAGGAAAGTATGTACAGAAGAATCATTTTGTTTTTTTATTTTATTTTTTTGAGACGGAGTCTTGCTCTGTTGCCCAGGCTGGAGGGCAATGGCGTGATCTCGTCTCACTGCAACCTCACCTCCCAGGTTCAAGCAATTCTCCTGCCTCAGCCTCCCAAGTAGCTGAAACTACAAGTGTGTGCCACCACGCCAGGTTAATTTTTTTTTATTATTTTTTTATTTTTAGTAGAGACAGGGTTTCGCCACATTGGCCAAGCTGGTCTCGAACTCCTGACCTCAGACGATCCACCCGCCTCAGTCTCCCAAAGTGCTGGGATTACAGGCGTGAGTCACAGTGCCTAGCCAAGTTTTAAAAATATATGTAATTATATATACACACTAGGGAAGAAAAAAAGAACAAGACAAAAGGTTGGAGGTTGTAGAAAGCTTTAACTTTTCATTTTGTACCTTTATGTACTGTCTGAGTTTTCTAAACATATGCATGTATTGCTTTCCTCTAAAATGATCAGCAGGGATTGTGGAAGCTATAGCTTGAAGGTGATTCCAACCTCCTGGTACTCCCACCCTGTATAGTCCCCTCCTACACTCACTGTACTGTTTGGTCTCTGTGACCAAAAAAATTATAACATTAAGTGATGGTATGCCACTTCCAATGTTAGGTTATAAAAAACATTGTTGATTTATCTCTTGGATCACTCAGAGAGAAGTCAGCTACCATCAAAAGGCCAATGTGGCTTGATTGAGCCTACACACAACCATATGAGTGCGCCTGGGGGTGGATCTTCTGGCTTCAGTCAAGCCCTGAGATTACTGCAGACTTAAACAACAGTTTGACTGCAACTTCATGGGAGATCCTAAGCCCGAATTGCCCAGCTGAAATGCACCCAAAATACTAACCCTCAGAAACAGTAAGATAATAAATGTTTGCTGTTTTAAGATGCTAAATTTTATGGCAATTTGTTATACAGCAATAGATAACTAATACAGGAATTAATATGCCTTTCTTTTTTGTATTTATCTGTATTTTTTAAGAAGCCTATTAAGTGTTATTTTTATATTACCATGAATGTTTCTGTGATGGTAACTGCCACTACATAATTACAACACAAATAAAGCATTTTACTTACTCGGCACTCTTATCTGATAGTGATTCAGTGCCGTAAGGGCTTCTACTGCATCAGTTTTGCACTCCCATTCTAATAGCCCAGAAAGTGTTTTGGCTGAAGCTAAAACAAAAAAACACAAACTCAGTTATTATTACTTGCTTATCACCAACTTAACCAGAAAGCTTTAAAAGAGGGACTGTTCACTTACGTTTTGCATCAAACACTTTATATTTGATGAATGTAAGAACTTCATGGTCATTACACAACTGTCAAAGAAAGTAAAACTTCATTAAAAATATAGCCAAAATAATATCCCACTTTTTTACAGAAAGTAAACTTTATGGCAGAATTTAAGTTTTAATTCTCAAATGAATGGATTAAATCAAGTATGTTTTCTACATTAATATCAAGCTGTATGAAAAAATCAATTAAAAACAGTAAAATTCTATAAACTATATTAAGTAACTTAGTGCTGTACAATAAAACCACAGATTTGTTAACTAAAATATATATTCTCAGAGTTGACCAGGATTTATCTAGTACTTAAGGTAGGGAGTAGAGTTCCACAAAATCATTTCTTATCTGAAGCATTTCTTACAGTTCCTACTTAGCATTTTCTAAGTTAGGGGAAACAATATGGATAGAGAAAATTTTGTTATGGGTGAGATTTAAAGACACGATATGTCTTTAAATAACTTTCTGAATGCAGGATTAAGATGACCTCATTCTAATTCCAACTCTCAAAAGGATTGAGCCACAAATCAACGAAGCCCAATGAGGAATGGAGGCCAGAAAAGTACAATGGTCAAAGAATAAACTATCCAGTACCAAGTAAATAAAATAGTAATAACATCAAAAGCAAAAGAATGAGCAAAACGACTTCAAAATGAAGCTAAAACAGATTTTAAAATAGGAAATAGCAACATTCTATACACATTTGTATTTCAGTGCCTACCTTTGTGAAGGTCTCTTCTGTGACACAC
This sequence comes from Homo sapiens, assembly GCF_000001405.40. NCBI lineage: Eukaryota > Metazoa > Chordata > Mammalia > Primates > Hominidae > Homo > Homo sapiens. Next base: position 38,569,161 of record NC_000002.12, read on the forward strand.
AATGGAACATTATAATAATGCAAAACACAGGAGGGTGGCTGGATTATATTCTTAGATGCTTGGCCAGCACTTGTAAAGCGATTATTTTTGCTCATTGCAAAATCTTTGTAGCTGCTGGTACCATCCTCCAGCTCAAATATTTGACTTGGAACAACTGAATGTTGTTTAGACACGCTAAAGATTGTAAAGAAAAGACATACAAAAGTACTTTGTTAGATAAAAAGCAGCAAGTAGTCTCAGAATGCTAATATATTTTGCTTGCATAAATCTTAACCAAAAAAAGGCATACATAGAGCTATTTAAATAGAGGATTTAGTTTGGGTTATAATCAATCACTCTTGTAGTTTAGACATCAATTAGAAAGAAAATCTATTAAATATATTCTCATATTAGAAAACTTTAACATAAAAACGTGCCCATTTTAACACGTTTTATCATCATAAAACTAAAAAGCAGGTATCGCTAAGCAAAATCTGAGTGATACGACCCTAACTCTTGTCTAAAATAACAATATTACAGCTGTTGTTTCAGATGTGCCCTCAGTTACATTAAAATATTCTCAAGTTGACATTAATGTCTCTAATAAAAAGGACAAAGATTTTTAAATATTTTTTAAAATTTATCATTTAAGATAGATAATTACCAAACATTAAGTCTTTTCCCAAATAATTTGACATTATTAAGGTGTGTGACAGCTCTTTCTACAGCATACTCATCACCCATTTCTACCAGTGCTGTACCAGGAATGGTCTTCATAAATTTTACCTGTAAACACAAAATTCCAAAAAGGTGACCATTTAATTCCCTTTTACAGTAAAAGAAATTTTAAAACACAATACGACCTAAGTGGTTAAAGTAAAATACGGAAGATCACCTGGATTTTAACTATACTCTGCCATGTTATGAGATACCCTTAACTCTTATCAAAGTTCAATAGTTAAAAAGGAACACTATTGTATAGCCCACTGAAGAACAGCACAGGCTCACCCTAACTCTGTTATGTATTAATTGTGTGATTTGAGGGCAATATACTTAACTTCTCTGAGCCATGGATTGTCGCTGAAAATACAGATAATACCATCTGGCAGGACTCGTTAATATTTACTCTTTCAACAAATATTTATTAAGTGTCTAATATGTTTTGATAAGCACTGTGGTAGGTACTGGGGATTTAATAGTGAATGTTAACAGACATTATCTTCTTGAACCTTATATTCTAGTAGTTAAGTCAGAAATTTAAAAGTAAACAAATAGTAAGTACAAACTATGTAGAATTCTGTTAATGCAGTAAACAAGATGCTATATAAGAAATAATACAAAATAGCCTTGAGATAGCATGGTCACAGGAAGGCTTGTGCAACATAGGGGGATACACGTTATTTCAGGACAGTTTGGGCAGAGGCCATACTTACCCTCTTGTACTATTTCCAGTTTTAGAATGTAATGCTGTAAGGGTTAGAAGGTATGAAGTATGATATCATTCAGCCTAATGCTTAGCCCTTGGGAAATCCCTAAGTGGCTATTAAGTACAGTAGTTCCCCCTTATCTTTGAGGGATACATTCCAAGAACCCCAATGGATGCCTGAAACTGCAGACAATCCCTGGTGCAGTGGCTCACACTTGTAATCCCAGCACTTTTGAGAGGCCAAGGTGGGATGCTTGTTTGAGCCTAGGAGCTTGAGACCAGGCTGGGCAACATAGCTGAGACCCCATCTCTACAAAAAAAAAAAATACAAAACCAGCTGGGCATGGTGGCATGCACCTGTAGTCCCAGCTACTCAGGAGGCTGAGGCAGGACTGCTTGTGCCCAAGAGCTAGAGGCTGAAGTAATCTATGACGGTGCCACTGTATTCCAGCCTCGGCGATAGAACAAGACCTTGTCTCAAAAGCAAACACACAAAAAAACTGTAGACAGTACTGAAAGATAATTAGATAGATAGAGAGACAGAGACAGACAGAGATTAAACATAGTATATACTATATATAAGCATAGCATATATAGACTATGCTTTTTCCTGTACATACATACCTATGATAAAGTTTATAAATTAGGCACAGTAATAGACTAACAAAATAATAAAATAGAAAAATTATAAATGATCTACTATAATAAAAATTACGTGAACATGCTCTCTCTCTCACAATATCTTATTTTACTGTAGTCACCTATTGTTGGAGCAGTTAACAGTGAGTAACTGAAAGCAAAACTGTGGATAAGGGAGGACTCCTGTACCAATGACATAGATGACACCTTCAACGTAGTATTTCCTTCTTATCTATTGACGTCTAAAGAATACTGAGAATGTATTTACACAACAAATGCAACATGGCTTCTATTTCCATCACTTCAACTACCCACTTTAATAGGATATACTACACCTGTACTTGAACAAAACTCAGTCGTAACAGGATTTTTCAGCTTTATTTGAAATCTCTTGTCTTCTCATGGACAAAATTCCTCTCCCTTGATTTAATCCAATGACTATCTGCAAATCTAATAGTGACTAAATATACACATTAAATATGTGGTTCTTGTATTGGTAAATCTCCAAAAGAAAGTTAGAAAAAATTAACTATATATGGATCTTTAAAGGATTATGATAGTCTGAGTTCAACGTATCATAGCTTATCATTTAAAATGTTTTAAAAACTTGCAAGATGTAGAGTGAAAGGGACTAGAATTAGTCAAATAACATACAAAAAATCTAAGTTTTATTAGAAAAAGTAATTTGAGTTTCTAAATCATATGAGACAATTAGTTCACAACACAAAAGACATAGATCTACTAAAGATGTTGATTAAATTGCCTGATTCTGATTGTCTGCATATGTGAAAAACACAAAAAGAAAATACTCTATAAAGAAAGTTAAAATATACATTAAAGCCCATTTAATTATCAAACATGCATTCCCTCCACTTAACACTTGGGCCTAAGATAGTGTCTGTGTGAAAATAATACTTCTCCCAATGCTACTAAACCTATCCCATGTATTCTTGCCCAGTTACACAAGTATAGGTATCCCATATGTTATCTCCCAGACCAAATGTGGAATGTTTTGTTTTGTTTTGTTTTGTTTTTTACTGTGATCAAATGGTTGACAAAATTCTTGTTTCATAATTCTGAAGGGTTGCTTCCTCAGATCAAGAAGCTTTAGAATTAATGAACTAAGAACTAAATGTAGCAACTTTTCAAGCCATGTTCCCCTCCCACGCATAGTGACTCACATGCTGCAAGAACTTACTGTTGCAAAGAACACTAAAATCACTTAAAACAGGAAAAAAACACATTACTACAGTACTAAAACTCAAATTAGCAAGTGTTTTTATCAAACTACTGGTAACTTAAGACTACCATTCATTTTCCTAGTTAAATTTTCCATGATTCTTTCAAAAACTATTTATCTCACATTTGTGAGGTATCAATAAATAAAACCTCGCAGATTTGGGGAAAACACAGTTATTTGATAATAAAGTTACAATTATTAAAGACCTTCAAAATATGTATATTGCTAGACAGGAAGTTTTGGACACATTTTATCAAAGTGGGTCAGTTTCAAATACTGGTTGAGCTAAATGCACATGGTTCCTCCGAAGATAATAGAACCCTGGCATTTAGGAAGCAAGTGCATAAATTCTAGAACTCTTCTGAAATTCACAACTTCTGGCTAGGCTCCGAAGCTTGTTTTTATATATACCCTCCATGAAAGTAACTGCTCTTTCAACCTGTTAAACGCTAGAATCACTTTGAAATGAGATCACCAAAATATAGACTTCAGGCCTCTCATACCATAGTAGTTGATTACTACTGATTTAGACTTCTTTTTATATTGGTTATTTTAAAAATATTTGTAGTATCAACAACCTATACTTATTACTTATCAACAAAAAACATTTTCCAGAGTTCCTATATAATAGATTTTTAGCTTATGTGGGTCATTACTCAAAGAATTTGGATATTCCTGATACAAGGAGAAGACACATATTTGCAGCCTTTTCAGAGTTACCACTGAATATCCTAGCAAAAGAAACCAATATAAAGAGAAACTTACCTTCTCAATATTTCCATATAAGCAGAACAGGTTGAAGACTCTTGAACAATTCATTTTTAGTTGATGTAATCCACTAACCATTACAACTGAACCAGAGGGATTTCCTCCATGCATGTAAGAGGAAGAAGCCTGTGGTAATGGATAAGCAACAAGTTCAGGTGTATCTCGAGAGCCCATTCTGTAACGACTTGGTAAAGGCAATAATGGACCATGGGATCCTATAAAAATGATCAAAATAAATAAATTAGTTAACATATACACATAGTTGTTTGTAAATACTTTAGTAGATATACTGCACCACACACAAAAAATAAACTCTTAATATTAGCTAGTTTGATGTACAAAGAAAACTCAAATGTATGAATATTTCAGTATAACCTGAGGAAAATTAATAAAATCTGTATTCATTTGCACCAGATACAATATATATTGACCTATACCTGCATACACCAGGCTATAAGCTTACATTTTTAAAAAATTATAGTTTAACAAGACTATGGGGGGTTAAGAAAATGAATGTAAAGTCTGGGGCTACTGTATATAAATTATACCTCAAATTTAAAAAATAAACCTCCTGCCAATGTCTTTTGGAGGAGTAATAATATTACATGTACAGTGAAATCTGGGAAGCTATCTCTACACAGATATAACAAAAAGAACCTCTTCAGTTCCACTGAAAAGTTGTTTCCTTGAATATATTTTACTATGTACTTTCAGGTTGGTATCTTATTCCCCTAATTCTAATTTAGGAAACTAAAACCCTAGATTTAGTTAATAACTCAACTACACACAGGTGTCTTATTACTCTACAACTTCCATTTTTTTGAAACAGTATCAAGAACCCAGAAGGAAATAATGCCTGAGTATCTAAAACTATTTCAGCAGAAAAACACACTCAAATCTATGTCTCTTACATTGAGAATCCTCATTAAGAATCAACTTGCTAACTTTAGAGTAGCTTTAAACAACTTTATCTGTTTTTCCCATCCACAACAGATCTAACAAAAAATAAAGCTAGAGTGTAGAATGAAAAGAAATGAGGGTGGAGAAACTGACACTCAAAGTAGACACAGGGCACATTTTACAGCAATAAGAAGAAAGGCAGAGGAACTCAAAAGCAGCAACTAAGATGGAGACATGCAGCTTAGAAACAGAAACCCTACACATCTTAGATGCTCCTAATAATAACAGAAGCAACATCTAGGGTACATGCAAAGGTCCCCCTGATGTGCAAAACCAATCCAAAAACCCAAGTCCTTTCTCTATTTCTCAAGAAGAGTATGTAATGCCACTGAGTTGCACTTGTATATAGGACTAAGGGACAACTGTCATCTATCTACTAAGTGAGTTACTAAGAACTACTAAATTTTGGTATTCATAACATACTATTAGAGCTTATGGTGGACTCCAATTTTTGGTATTCTAACAGCTGCCATTCATAACAACACAGTAACACCACCACCAAGCACACACAAACACGGTGTGAATTTCTGCAATTTTAGGGAGGAATACTTTATCAATGTATCATCAGTGTCTCCTTAAATTGGTCATGGATTTCAACTACTCCTTTTATTGGCAATTGGTAGTTTAACAAAACAATCCATATGAGCGACTGTTTAGTAATTAGTTTTTAGGCTGTTTAGTAATTATTTTAGCCTCTAATTTAGACTCTCATACACACACCAAGATTCAAATATCAATTATTCTTATTCCTATTGCAAAAGTACATATACATAATATACTGCCTCCCCGCCACCTACCATTTGCTTGTACAGTAATGACATTTCACTATCATCACACTAAATTTTCTTTTTCATGGAAGTAGAAAGACACATGGTAGACAGGCAGTGGAAACTTTTACTCTATGTATAGTGGCTAAAGTCCAAAACCTCTGAGATCTACTGCCCTAAGTAACAACCAAAATCAGTCCACAAGAATAACTGATGTTTATAATTATGACTTTGAGCCATCATTATTAAATTATCTTATCTATACTACTTAAAGTATTACCTATATTATTTAAGATAAGAAAAATCAGACGTCTTTTAAAAGTTTTCTATACTAAATTGATAATAGAAAGTCTGGGTGTTTAAAAAACTAATGCTTCAAATATTTAAAAAACTGACATGGAAAAATGCTACATAAATGGTATATTAACATCTTGAAGGCATTTTTCATCTTTCAAGCTTTAAAATCTTTCGTCTACAAACCATATCCAAAGATGCTACAAATTAATACACAAACTCTTCTTGAGCTTACAGCAAATAAATCTATGTATCAATTTCTGCCATGGTTCAACTATGAAAGCTTCTACCAGTTCATATCATTAAGTCTGGGCTTCCCAAATTAAAAGAGGTAAAGAATTGTGATGATTCACATAGATTTCATACTGCTATAATAAACCAATGAATAAACTTAATCTGATGGAATCTATGGGTCCTGAACCATAATTAACTCTTTCTATTCCCTTTCTTATAGTCGTCACATAGGAAAAGGAAAGGTCATCTATAAGGTGATCCCAAAATGCAAGTAAACCTGTTTTGCTGAAGCGCTGATCTGAAGGGATACATTTGTGATTTGCAATATTTGTAAAAAGGCTCAATATCACTAGCACACATCCCCCATCTTTGCTTTTTCCCCTATTACTCATCTTACTTCTCTTCTCTGCCTCTTTATTCGCTCTCTTTCCTCCTATACCCCAATTCTGCTTACTTCCCTAGAAAAGTGGAACAAATTAACCTCAGATTAAATATCTTAATGGACATAGCTCAGAATGGATACCCCCCTACATAATCCCACCACAACTATCAAAGAATTTCACAATAGGCTTTTTAAAAATAAAAAATTTTGGCAGGGTATATAACAGCTTTTGTTTATACTATTTTTCGGTAAAATATTTTATAAAGGAAGGCAGACTTACACTAAGAAAAAAATCTGTTTCCACACTACTACAGCAGAGTTCCTTGTCCTTCATTTATTCTTTCACAGATTTTTCTAATCCACTTTGGCAAAATATTTAACCAGTTTTTAGCCTTCAGCTGACTGCCATGACTCTACAACTATACTACAAACTTGTAATGGCAAATTTTTTGTAACCCTCCATTATCAAAGTGCAAAAAACACCCAATGTTTTTTACTGCAGGATCAGAACTACCCATACAACCATGTTTAATGTTTACTCTGTTACAGGAATAACTAAGAAAAATAATCAAGGTACACATTCACTAAACCAGCTGTAATGAGATTTTCATTCTATACCACACTTACTGTTTTGACAAAACAGAGATGGTTTCAATCTTTTCTGCCATATAGACTATGGAACCTTGAAGACACACACACACACATACACAACACAAACACACTACTACAGTTCAAAAGAAAAACACTAGAAAGTAAGCTAAAACTCACAGCTAAGAATGGTCATTAAAGTAAGTATGTAGGCAATTTGAACCATTTAGGACAATAGGCAATACCAGGTGCTTTTCGGTGACCAATCCCAAGACTACAATATAGCAATTTCTATTTTCTGCCAGTTTTAATAGTATTGTGCTTCAACTTTAAAGCACAGAATAGGTAGAGTCAATAACTACCACTAAAAACTAAAGAATATTTTCAAACAATTTACAGCTAGTTAAAAGATTCTACTTATAAGAACAATAGTTTGATACCTAACGTTACCTAATTTTTTCCTGGGGCAGATTATTATTCTAGGTTCCATAATCTTATCAACATAGCAAAAAGTAAAAGCTGAGAAGTTTTAAAAGGGGAATAAACATGAACAAATTTAACTGAAACCAAAATACTAGCTACAGAACTATAAGGTGAGTCTAACCAGAAGCATGTTTCCTTTTTGACAAATACCCTATTCTTTCTGCCTTTATTACTCAAAATTCCTCTTTGTTGCTAATTGCTGGAATGAAAGAAAATACACTTACTGAACAATAATTCTTCTTTCTGGTCCTCTTACAAGCCAGAACCCATTAAAAATCAAAACCAAACCAAAATATAATGGCAAAAAAGTATTCAATCCCCAACTAGTAGCTCTCACTTATCTCAAGGATTTTTTTTAAATCATTATCCTAAGAAAACAAATTTTGGACAACTCCTGGGAGTACATTACAAGGGACTGATCCCATATAAACCGAGGCAGATACGCAGGAAAAATAGACAAGAAATGTGCCATACTTCATCAGAAATGCAGCAAGTCAAACAGTTCATCTATACTACCTTCTTTCTACCTTGACAACTTACCATAGCCATCATGTCTAAACGAAGAAGGGTGTTCTCCCAAAATGGCTTGTCTCTGGCGACCCTTTCCTCTATCTGACACAAAAGTAGAAACATGGTTTTAACAATTTTGACCCAAGTACTTAATGGAGTTCTCAGATGGGAAACACCCATTCAAAACATCCAATACAACAATTCATAAAAGAAATACGATTCCTGGTTAACTTTAAACATCCATTCATATCCAATTTAAACACAACACCAAGAGTGTAAAAAATTAATTCCATCTAACAAATTCCACTTAACTTGAATATATCTTTTTGGCAAATGCCAAATACAATCACACTTTCAAATTTAAGGAAGAATGGATACTTTTCAGAAAGTGAATGTACACAATGCTAGAAGTTTGACACTGTACAGAAGTTTTTACCAATACATGTCTTTAAAACAAGCTTTAAGTGCAGTACTTTTGAAAGACAGTACCTGAATCATACTATTAGCTTCAACAGCAACACATTTTCAAAGTGGGCTTCTTTCAAGAAGTTTCAGCATAAGCCAACAACAACCTGTATTACATGGTTTCACAATCAGTAAACACAGAGTATTTTATAAGTATATGCACATATTTACAAACACCTGACTTGAGAGCTGAAAATGTTCACATCACTGACTCATATTATATCATGAATAGGTCATTGTCTATTGACCATAACACCAGGTAGGACTATGAGCAACCCCAAACTTTAAAGATGCCAAGATAAAGCTAACCAAGGGGGCTACATTATTGGATGAGAATACTACAATACTCTAAAGGATAATTTTTATTCTAGCTACGTTTTCAGAAAAGGCATGCCAATTTTCCCAAATCTAATTAGAGACATCAACAAAAAAATTATTTATAAGTTTCTAAAATAGCACCTCCTATGTTAGTAAATTTTAAAAATCATTATACAATACTTTTAGAAAGTTTGCTGATGAAATTACAGTGCCCAATAAGATTTTTAAAAATATGTATCTCAAGACTCTGGTCATTCTAATCCTTGAAAATTCAGAGAGCCTTTACCTATATCCTTAGTCACCTAAACAAATGAGGTTTATGGGAGATGAGAAATACTTTAATTTTCACTTCAGTCTAGAGAAGTAGAGTTTTAATCACCTATTCCAAGTTATTGTGGCATTGAAAGGGACTGAGGCCATCTAGTTTAACTTTTACTCAATGTAAAAATTCTCTTTACATCATCTCTGTAAGTTGGGACCATTTAGCTTCTGCTTACCCAAAACCAATAATAAGATTTCCAGATAGCCCTAAATTGTGAGAAAATGAATTTTTATATTGTATAGAAATTGATCCTCTACCCATATTCTACCCCATTTAGGGCCTTACAGACTTAGTCGTTGGCCAAAACCTCTTCTAAATGCTCAAGAAGTTATTATGACTGTCCCCCCGACCCCATTTCCCCAAAGTCATTTCTTCTTCAATCCTAACATTCACAGTTCCTTCTACCACATGGCTTCTAACGTCTCTCATCACGCAAGTCTCACTCCTTTTGAGCCAATCTAGCCTACTAATCCATTCTGTTAATGTTCCTCTGCTTAAGCATACGCCATCAAACACTAAATACAAATCCTTATCTGACCTAGGAATCTTAAAACCACAACAACCATAATGTCTTCATGACTCAGTTTTATTGATACAGTTAACAGTGTGCTATAAAGGAAAGAGAACTGGGTTGGGAATCAGACGATTCCAACTTAAACCACTAATTTGCTGTATAGTCACAGAAACAATTTTCATTCATAAATGAAGGAGTTAGAGTAGATTATCTTCCAAGCTATCTTTCAGCCAAACATTCTCATTAATAATTCACTTCTAAATGACGAGTTAATGGGTGCAGCACACCAGCATGGCACATGTATACATATGTAACTAACCTGCACATTGTGCACATGTACCCTAAAACTTAAAGTATAATAATAATAAAATAAAATAAAATAATTAAAAAATTAATAATAATTCACTTCATTTGAAGTATTCACTGCGTAACAGGTCACGTAAAACAGAAGTGAGCAGAAAGTTGAACCCTAAATATATCAGTTTCTAAACAGTGGTAAGCTTTCCTAGAGTCAAATGATCTGATGGAAGCTGTGAACATTCTCCCCAAAAAGATGCACCTATCTACTACAGGTTCTAAGATTTCTGGAGGGGTTCCCTGGCGTCCTGGTTAGGGATTCTTTACACTAAAATGTAATTCAAGCTGAAAAGGGCTTTGAAAAAAGTGAGGGTATGTTTTTAAAAAAGTTTTTATTTTTTTTGGTTAAAAAAAAAAATGTTATGAAGGTCTTTATTTGGGGATAGCAACCTAACAGTTTCAATAGCTATCAATTTGAGTGCAAGCTAAGAGCTCTACAGAAACAAAAACATAAACTGTTATGGTCTCGCAAGACAAATATCTGTAAGGAATTAGAAAACAAAAAATTTTCCTTCAAAGCATAAACTAAAAACGTTTTACGTGCTTTAATTATATTTCACTATTCACATATATACCTTATACATTTCTAAACTTATCTGACTAGAATTATATGAAGAACTAACCTCAGCTGGCTTTGTGTAAACATCAGACCCTTTAAAAGAATAGATGTAAACACTATTAAAATAAGCTTATCTACACCTGTTTAAAGAGCCCCTGAGAAAAATGTAACCACAACTATTTCAAATGAGATTTTTTTAAAAAAACAAAACCGAGTGGTCAATAACTGTAAATTGACAGAAGTGAGACATTTCTCATCAACCACTTGTCCGGTTGTTTCAGTGCTAAGGATGTGCTTTCTAATACTGACATCAACTGTACCAACCCAAGGCCAGGCAGATTTCCATAAGTAGTGAAAAACATGGGGTCTAGCCAAAGCTGCATTACAAAACAAACCTATTTGCAATTTCATGCATAAGGCAAGATGATTTCCTGGGAATTGAGAGTTAAAGGAGCCAATCATCTAAAAGTCCTAAATATGCAAACATGCAAAAGATCAATCATCACATTGTCTTTTTCTTTTTGCTAGAGTACATGCACTATAGAGTACCCACTCCCCAAGGTATTTTGTATGCCATAAAATTTTTTTCTAGTTACTGACTTTTACAGACATACTCATCTTGAGCTTTTCCACCCTGTAGTTCAAACACTGATATTGTAGTTAAGATGTAGCCAATACTGCAGCCCCCTTGTTTTTACAAGATCCACATTTTAATTTGTATATTCCAGAATTGCCACACAGTTAGTTGAACAATTTTATCAGTCAAATTTATCCTCACGAAATCTAGCACTTATAGGTGAAGATGCATCCCAAATGAAATGCTCTTATTTTCAGATTTATCAAGTTTAAAGATATTCTATCTTGAACAGACATGTTACTTTCACCTACATTTGAAATGTCAAAATTTCTAGTTACACAAATTGACAGTGATAACCTTAAATTGTTACAAAAAGTGACAACTTATAAACAGCCACTTTACAAAAATCAAACCACACAGAAGAACGTCTTTCACATATAATGCACCTTTTCATTATGTTAGAATTTCTGTTCAGTGACCACAATTGAGAAAAAAACAAAAAATTTAAAAAGTAAACAATGCAGCAAGTGTGCACCTTTCTAATCCTTTTATTTTTCTATCTGTGTGGATTGGTTGAGCATTATCAATTCCCAAGACCTGTTAATAAACTGGTCCTGGTTATTTGCCAATTAACAATTTGAATCTAAGCTGCACACAGTCACAGTAATGGGCATTAAGATTTACAACATTGCAGATGAAGTCTAGTTTCCGTTAGTGGAAAGTCTTAAATTCTACAACTGAAACCTTAAGGGAAATCAGACCAATATATACATACAACTTGTATAAATGGGCACAGTCTATCATGGTGTTCATCCCATGCAATTCTGAAGTACTGTTAAGTGTCCTCCTTTAAAAACTTGGGGTGATGGTGCATGCAGTATGCAGTCAAGGTGAATTGCGAGTCTGAGTTTTTCAGAGGGCTTTTTGCTGATGCCGATGTTGTGCATGATGAAGTGTAGAGTCAGCCTGCTGGAGTCCTCTATCCTTCTTAATGCCTCGTCCAGCTTGGGGGAAAGTCCTTTCCATAGAGAAGCAGTGTGCAAGTTTGCAGTTTGTAAGGAATATTCTGAATCAGTTTCCTCTCCTCCAAAGAGAGAGAGCTGCTTGGAGAAATGCAAGTCCTTGAACTGCGGGCGTGCCTGAATGTGTGGGCTCCTTGTTGAACTAAATATAAATAGCTCAGTACATACCAGTAGGGGGCACTAATGTTCAAGGTTATTTTCCAGCATTACATGGCCTTTTGCAACAAAAGCATTCATCAACAAGGTTTTCATTTGAATTAACTAGCTCATCTCAGGAAAAAAGAATCTAACTGCATATAAAAATTTGTCAGCAGATCAAGTACATTCTAAAATGTATAAAATACCTACCTCGTCTTCCCAAATATGGTTTAGTGTAGTCCCAACTGTCATTGTCATTCCTAATAACATTTAGACGAGTTGGCTGTTAAGATTGAAAATAATGTAAGTTCAAACTGCATATCCAAAGCATAAATATTTCTTGGGTAGGGTGTTGAAAAAAATATTTACCCGTGCATATTCAATTTTTAGTGTGCAACATCCAGCATATATATCAGCTCCATTGAGTGCTGCTTTAGCTTTCTGGGCACAAAGGACTGATTCAAACATAAGCTCTATTAAGGAAATTCGGTTTAAGGTATCTGATACTTAATCATTATTCACTCCCAAAGGACAGGATTGAAAATAATCAGAAGTAGCTCTTTTACTTCTGGAAATGTTTTACCAATTTCAGGATGAATTTTAAGAGAATTTTTTGTTTTGTTTTGTTTTTGAGACGGAGTCTTGCTCTATCACCAGGAGTGCAGTGGCGCGACCTGGGCTCAATGCAACCTCCACCTCCCGGGTTCAAGCAATTCTCCTGCCTCAGCCTCCCAAGTAGCTGGGACTACAGGTGTGTGCCACCGCACCCGGCTAATTTTTAATTTTTTTAGTAGATACGGGGTTTCACCATGTTGACCAGGATTGTCTCGATCTCTTGACTTCGTGATCCGCCCGCCTCGGCCTCCCAAAGTGCTGGGATCACAGACGTGAGTCACTGCGCCTGGCCAGGAGAATTTATTTTTAAGATCAAGGGTGGCTGGGCACAGTTGCTCACGCCTGTAATCCCAGCACTTTGGGAGGCTGAACCAGGTGAACAGCCTGAGCTCAGGAGTTCGAGACCAGCCTGGCCAACATGGTGAAGCCCCATCTCTACTAAAAATACAAAAATTAGCTGGGTGTGGTGGCAGGTGCCTGTCATCCCAGCTACTTGGGAGGCTGAGACACGGGAATCACTTGACCACCCTGGGCAACAAAAAGCAAAACTCCATCTTAAAAAAAAAAAAAAAATCAAGGGTACCAAAGAAAACATAATACAACCGAACTATCTACCTTAATTCTTTTAGGTCATCATTAGTACTTTATAAATCGGAAAGCAGAGGAGATAATGGAGCATGGTCCCATTCCCTAGCAAAGGACAACTTGCAACCTTGAAACAGAAAAGATTTTACTCTTTAAGAAGAACATTACAAAGAGCCAAAGTAATACAAAACAAATACATGATTTTTACATATTTCTGAGAAGGCATAGTTTTATAATACTCTATCTAAAATTTTATCAGTTTTTAAAAAAATTACTTAAGTCCATAATCTTAAAAAAATAAAATCACAAAGGTATATAAGGTAAAAAAACAAAGATAAAACATAAGTCCCTTGCCAGAAGTAAGCACTATTAAAGCGTTTGCTGTATATCCCTACCTTCTTCTATGCATACACATGCACACGTAGGTTGGGGTTTTCTCTTTATTATTATTATTTAAGATGGGTCCAGCTTGGGGGAAAGTGTATTATCTATACTATTTTGTAACTTGCTCTTCTTACTCAATGTGTGACAAATTTAACATAAAGAAGTTTTTACATAAACCATTACCATTTTAAAGGTTCAATAAAAAAAGGTAAGATTTTACTGACTCTAAAGTTTTGGTACTTCCAAACTACTTTAAGAGGGAGTCAGAAAAGTTCACTTAGGATAAATTCCAAAATAGTACAAGTGTACATATCTTCAAATAGTGTTATTTAACAGCTTAAAAAGGAAGCACTAGATTGCTTTCTGGTAGCAAGTTATTCTTATCATAAATAGTAAAATTCCCTATGAGTACTGCAGTTTCATTTTTTAAAGCTAAGTCACGTAGATTTTTGTGAGAGGACAAAGTAAACACCACTTGTCTAGAAATGCTTAAGCCAGAAAAAATAAGATCCGTATGAATTACACATCAATAAAAATTTACAAATAAAGGATATTCAACCATTGCTTGTATCCCATTTCTCTTGAATATAACAATACGTTGCACTTTGCCAACAGGGTTGCATACAGTATATAAAACATCCTATGAAGGAAAAGAAAAAGATTTCTTCACACTTTACATCTGAAAAAACATTAAAGCTATACTTCGTTTTGTTTTACCTAAAAACTATCAACTGTCAAGATGTCATTTCTATTGATTAATAAAATTAATTCTTAAAATTATTACTTTTTTCTTGAGACAGGGTCTCACACTGTTGCCTAGGCTAGAGTGCAGTGGCACGATCACAGTTCCCTACAGCCCTGACTTCCCAGGCTGAAACGATCTCCCGCCTCAGCCTCCCGAGTAGCTGAGACTTCAAGGCATGCACCACCACACAAGGTTAATTTTTTCGTTTTTTGTAGAGACAGAGTCTCACTATGTTGTCCAGGCTGTCTCAAACTCCTGAGCTCAAGGGATCCTACTACCTCAGTCTCCTAAAGAACTAAGATTATAGGTATGAGCCACCATGCTGGCCTAAAATTATTATACTTTAATAAATCTTAAGGTATTTCTTCACCTACACAATACACCCACATTAAAGAAGTTCCAATGGAACATTTGGAAAGCACTGTCACCTATTTTATGTCCTAAATGAATCCTCAATTTTTATTTTCTTAACAGGTGACTAAAATAACTTCTGATGATATAAAATTAATAAACCAAAACTATAATCAATGAATATTTTTTCCAAATGTGACACTGAAATGTTTAATATTATAATCACTTGTGTTATAGTAATAAATATGTATTAAGAGATAATATTAGAACAACTCTGGTACTCATTTTTCAAGGGACAATGGCCATAAAGAAAAGACCCAAGGAAGACCATACAGTTACATGTCACTAAACAAGACGCCTGAGTCATCTAAGAATCTAAATACCTACTTAGGAGTAATTATTCAACTATCAAGAAATTTCTTGAGCATCTATAATTTACACAGCTGCATTGTTACACACCAGAGATATAACAAAAAACAGAGTACCTACACTAGATTAGTTACATGTTTTCCCAACACCGAATATTATAAATATATTACTATATATTAATAAGTCTATATTTAAAATACAAAATGTCTAATTAAATCTAAAGAATATCTTATGCTTTAAGTTTATGTCCCAATATCATATGCCCAGACTACATATGATACCAACTGAAGTTTCCCTTACTGTGATGTTCCTCTATTCATTACAAAAATTAAGTGTCTGTGTTACTAGCTTATTATGAAACAGCATGTGAGTAGGAAGAAAACTAGTTCTGGAAACAAATCCTTTTTAAAACTTCTACCAATAACACTTTTCAAAAGAGTAAAGAAGCAGGGAATTTAAAGTAAATCAAAGACAGATTTTTAACAAGCTATTGCAAAATAGTTCATAATGATATGTGCATCTTACCATAACATGGGATTCTGTCACTACCTAGTAGATGCTCTTATATATATGCTGGCATATGCGTGACAGAGATTTTTTGAACGATTTCAAACAAGTCTGTCTATAATTCCTTATTATCAAAAACAGAACTGGTACTGATTATACATTAAAAATTTCAATGTGCCTATTTAATTATGACAACTGTGCTTATCTTTTTAACTACAGTGCTCAGCATTTTTTCTTTGTTCATTAAACTTGTTAAGATTAATTTTCAAAATTAAAAAAACTATTTTCTAGTATCTAGATGGCAATGAAAAAACTACAGATCAGTCACTCTGGAGGCAAACTGCAAAATCACTTTTAATTTCATTTGTCATATTAAAACACATACCACTGTAATTGGATAAAGCGGATTCTGAATTGAGAGCAGAAGAACTTTGTTGCCTCCTGATGGATCATCAGTATTTCCTGGCCGAGTGATCCTTTTGCTTGTAGAATAGTTGAAAAAAGCCTGTTGACCAGCAATGTACACGGGTTCATCTGCAGCAAATGTCACACATTCTTTGGCACTATCTATGTTTTCAAATTCCACTAGAGCCTGTCGTTTAAATGGCATCATCATCACATAGCTGAAAAGGGAGAAAAGGAGGAAACACACAAACACAGCAAGTTCCGTTAACATTATTTGTCCTCAATTAAGTAAAAGCAGACTTTAATAAAAATGTGTCAAATCCCACAGTATTCTTCACTACCTGTGTCCAACGTAAGTCAACTTTTTTTTTTTTTTGAGACGGAGTCTTTCTCTGTCGCCCAGGCTGGAGTGCAGTGGCGCAATCTAGGCTCACTGCAAGCTCCGCCTCCCGGGTTCACGCCATTCTCTTGCCTCAGCCTCCTTAGTATCTGGGACTACAGGTGCCCGCCACCAGGCCCCGCTGATTTTTTATACTTTCAGTAGAGACAGGGTTTCCCCGTGTTAGCCAGGATGGTCTCGATCTCCTGACCTCGTGATCCGCCCACCTCGGCCTCCCAAAGTGCTGGGATTACAGGCATGAGGTAAGTCAACTCTTAAATCATCTGAAGAATTGTGGTACAACAGGTAGATGTACACATATGAAAGCTTATCTCCCAGTGATAAGTTTATCTACCTCATGACCTCCTCAAAAACAATTATCTGTTATTAGTTACTAACAAGACAACCCAGTTTATTCTTTGGGGTGCTACTCCGAAGCAGTATTAGAAAATTTCAAAGACATAGAAACCAACGCAGATCAAACTCAACAGAAGGTTGGCAGACAGAATCCCTACTTGACAGCACAAACTACCTCTCTCGAATTTTCTTGAATAAACATCCATACTAACAGCTAAGAACTGACTATACTTTTAAAACAGAGATAAATATAAATGGAAGCAACAACAGACTGACCAAAGTTCCAAAGTTCATATAAATAATCTCCTCCAAAACATTTTAATACTAACCATCCATAAAAAATATTCATTAGAATACGGCAATCAGGAGTGTCTATGAGCAGGAGGGTAAGATGTTTACTTTTCAAAGTATATTCTTTACTAGAAAGACAAACGAAGCAGCCAAAAAAACCCCAAAATATAATACAGTACGTTCTTTTTGGAGGAGATATATTTTAATACAGGAAATGAAGAATTAAAAAGATATATTTTAATACAGGAAATGAAGAATAAGAAAGGAAGGAAGAGTTGAAGACAGAAATCACAGCACCTGGATCACAATGGGGGAAGCATGTCCTCTATTCACAGGAACAAGAACCTTAAAAATGCTTTAAAATACAATTAAGTGGTTTTCGTAATAGCAGAAGGCCAAAGAAATGTCGGGTCCAGTACTCAATGACATCACTGTTTCTCAATCAGGCATCCAGGACCTACTGCTACACTATGGAAACTAACAAATGGTACAGTATTAATAAGAAAGAAACAGATCACCTTACAGCCTGGCAAATTATTATTATAGTAAATGTCAGCTTCCTCATTTATAAAACTTGGAGAATTGTCAAGATTAGAGTTACTACATACAAACTCTAAGCGGATTGCCTTGCACATTGTACACCCTCAATAAAAGGTAACTATTACTGTATTATTATTATTTAACGTATCTTGCCTCATTCATCTTTCTGTCCTCAGAAGCTAGAAACAGAGCCTAGCATATATTTGTTAATCTAGGGGACTTATTAGTTTTCCCCACCCATATCATTCAAAATTAAAGAAGTACAAAAACAAGGCGTTGAATTTAAAAGTGCAAGATATAAATCCCAGGAGACATTCCTTTTAGAAACACAGACGCTTCACTGAAGTTCTAAAGTCTTGCACATGAAAAATAGAAAATGCTGGTATCAGGTCTATGCTAAAGAAATTCAAGAAGAAAAAATCTTCTTTCACAAAACAAAAAAGTTGGTTTAATATCTAAATGTATTACTGAGTTTATGTTATTACGCTAATAATGCCATATGAAAACAGAAAATTATAAAGGTACTGATATGGTGTGGCTCTGTGTCCCCATCCAAACCTCGTATTGAATTGTGATCGCCGATGTAGGAAGTGGGGCCTAGTAGGAGGTGATTGGCTCATGGGGGTGGTTTCTAATGGCTTAGCACTATCCCCCTAGCGCTGTCTCCTGACAGAGTTCTCACAAGATCTGGTTGTTTGACAGTGTGTGACACCTGCCCCTTTGTGTGCGCGCTCTCTCTCCTCTCTTTTTTTTCTCTCTCTCTCCTGCTGGCTATGTAAAGATGTGCGTACTTCCCCTTCACCTTTTGCCATGATTCTAAGTTTTCTGAGGCCACCCCAGAAGCAGAAGACTGTATAGCCTGCAGAACCGTGAGCCGATTAAACCTCTCTTCTTAATAAATTACCCACTCTCAAATACGTCTTTATAGCAATATAGCAATGTAACAACAAACTAATACAGGTACAGAAGTAAATTATTTATTGGCCTGTTATAGACTTAGTAAATTTGCTTTCTGTGACTAAAATAAGAAGTGAGCTGGCTAGGCACGGTGGCTCATGCCTGTAATCCCAGCACTTTGGGAGGCGGAGGTGGGTGGATCACAAGGTCAGGAGTTCAAGGCCAGCCTGGCCAAGATGGTGAAACCCTGTCTCTACTAAAAATATAAAAAATTAGCCAGGCACGGTGGCAGGCGCCTGTAATCCCAGCTACTTGGGAGGCTGAGGCAGGAGAATCGCTTGAACTTGGAGGGCAGAGGTTGCAGTGAGCCAAGATCGCGCCACTGCACCAGCTTGGGTGACAGAGTGAAACTCCATCTCAAAAAAAAAAAAAAAAAAAAAGGGTGAGCTAAAAGCACAACTTAAAAGTGAGGGTTACCCAGAAAAGTAGCATCAATGAAGATAAAGAAAAAATTAAAATGTTTTATTTTCCTTTTTACTGCCAATATTCAATATAAAAAAACTAAAATGTTACAGACATTTTAGCATGTGCTTAAATTGTTTTTTGAAAATCTTTAAAACGCACTCATATGAAACCAGGTGTGGTGGCTTGTGCCTACAGTCCCAGCTACTCAGGAAGCTGAAAGTGGGAAGATTGCTTGAGCCCAGGAGTTCAAAAAAATAAAGAAAAAAGGTATTAATACGAGAAACAGTGGGAGATCACAGAGAGAAAAGGCTAAAGAAACAAAAAAGCTAAGGGACATGGTAGGATCAATGCTTTTAACTCCATCAATTTAAAAATCTTTACCAATTTCTAAATAAAAACATAGGAGAAGACAACAGATTTAGTGCACAAACTGTGTCCTCCCAAATGTTGTATTGTAAAACTAATCATTTCCTAATATCTCCTTTAATGGGAGAGAAGGGGAAAAAGAAATACAACATGTATTTTAAATACTCTTATACTCTTGATTATAATGCATACAGTATAGAAAAATAACAAAAGTTAAAAAATACAAGCAATTTTATCCTGACACAACACAACCATTTTTAATATCTTGTTATATTTTCTTCTGAGCTTCTTACCTATGCATCTAGTTTTTATATATAAGCTTACTACATACTGAACTTGGTGATTCACCATTTTAATATAAGCAGTTTCTATACTGTTTATAATCCCACACATTCCATTAAATAAAGGGAAAGTTTCCAAATTGTAACATTTTGAAGCAAAATTTCTATTGGAAGCTGTTCAAGGTTCTTTCAGCCTTAATAGCAGCCACCTCTCATGCAAGTTCATTTCATACAACTGAAACTCCTATTACACCTATTTATGCCAATTAAGCTCTTAATTACACACTAATTTGTTCCAATTATTTCAGAATTTTCTATCCACATAACTACCAATCTTGAGGGCAAAATGACGCAAATTAACTGAATGACATTCACATACGGTAGACTTTACCAGAGACTAAGTATCAAATCAAAATTTTAGAGTCTAAAAATGCAAAGGTCACCAGGAGTAATTCAAATTACTAACTTAAAATAGTTCTATTTCTTTAATTCCTAACCTTCATGTCATGGTACTAATTAACATCAAAATAGTCACTGCTTCCCAAAGTTTCCATTTATATTTGCTCATCAACTTGTTTTCTGACATCTGCCTAAGAAAATAAATTTTAAAGCCCTAAATACACAAGAAGAGAGGAAAAATAAACCACAGACACCCACCTCTTTATAATTCCATAGGACAATGTGCCACTTATATAATCATTAGAAGGTCCTTATAGAGACAGGGGTAGTCTACTGTCAACAGCAAGACTAAAGGTCTAAGGAGTCTGTCTACTTAATATGTAACTCTCCACGCAGATTTAATTCCAATATCCACTCCAAATGACTGAGAATTGATATAATCAACTTAGTGATACACTTTCAACATACAAACTTTACTATGCCCATGCGGATTCTCAATTTGTACATCCAAGGTTAACGTGTTTGCCAAGTCATTTACCTCTCAATGAGGTCACCCAAGAAAATAAAATTATGCCACAATGCAAGTTATCACCTAATACTACTATTCCTTTGAAGAAATAACCCATTTCTGCTGGATACCCTCTGCTGGACATCTCTGATCACTACCTCATTATCTATGCATTTTCCTCTCAATACTCAAATACTTAACATGAATTTTTATAAAATTGAAGCAGTAAGGGTAAGTATCTCAGAAAACACACTGAAATTTCTCTTCTATTTATATACTTCAACTTGATCTGTGTCTTCGATAGCTGTAACAAAAACTCTAAACATATTCATCAAGGAAAAATAATAAAATCAACGCTAGATTATCTATACTAAGAAAAGAACAACAGCCGGGCATACTCCAAAAATAATTTAGAATTTTTAAGTGTCTATTTTTGGCAGCAGATTCACTTTTCTAATTATGTTTTCACTTAAGTTAATATTCTTAAGTATACAGCAGCTGTGGGAAGAGACAGGGGGAGCCTGCGTGAATACAAGGCACAAAAGGAAGACAAACTAGGATAAAATATAGCTCATGATTTGCATTAAGAACTCACAGAGCCTATAATCCCAGCACTTCTGGAGGCTGAGGTGGGAGGATAGCTTGAGCCCAGGACAGCAGCTGAGGCAATGTTAAGAGACCCCTCATCTCTACAAAAAATTTTTTTAAATTACCCGGGCATAGTGACATGCGTCTATAGTCCCAGCTATTAGGGAGGATAAAATGGGAGGATAACCTGGGCTCAGGAGGTGGAGGCTCCAGTGAGCCATCAATGTGCCACTACACTCCAGCTTGGGCAACAGAGAGAGACCCTGTCTCAAAAAATAAAAAGAACTCAGCAATATGCACATGAACAAAAGAACTCACAGCAATATGCACCTAAACAAATAATGCCTACCCTTAATCTGCTTACTTTTAGTTGCCAATTAATTCCTAAATATTCCAAAATCAAGAACAACAAAAAAATCAATATTTAAGCATCACTACTTGAAACTCTGAAGATGAAGCATGTAATCAACTCAATGGTTTAAAGAGTGTTTGAACAGGACTCACGGACTCATTTGAAAATCAGATGAAAAGCACACATAATTTCTTTATACAACTTTGCTGGGGAGTGAGAAGTGATCATAGCTCCACAAAAATACACTCATGCATCACCCAGGAAGGTTAAAAATAGTAGGCTTAAAACGTTCCAAAGAAATACAGTCATAGGCAAACAATAGATACTACTTTGTTTATATATACAAACAATATTTACTATGCTAAACATCAAGGCTTGTAACAAGCAAGCAAGGATTATTCTACCACAGTTTTCAATCTACATGAAGTCCCTATCATCCTTACCATATTGTCCCAAATTTTTCCAGCGCTTCCACGAGGTCTGCTTCCACCACAGATTCACAGAGTCCTCGAACATGGACGACGGGTGAAACAGAAACTTTATGATGACTTCCACCTGCCTCCTAGCAAGAGAAAATAATTTCTAGTTAAAAAAATTTTAAGTCTAAGGCCGAACGCGGTGGCTCACGCCTGTAATCCCTGCACTTTGGGAGGTCAAAGTGGGAGGGTCATTTGAGGTCAGGAGTTCGAGACCAGCCTGGCCAACATGGTGAAACCCCATCTCTACTAAAAATAGAAAAATTAGCCAGGCATGGTGGCACGTGTCTGTAATCCCAGCTACTCTGGAGGCTGAGGCAGAAGAACGGCTTGAATCCGGGAGGTGGAGGCTGCAGTGAGCCAAGATCGCGCCACTGCACTCCAGCCTGGGCGACAGAGTGAGACTCCATCTCAAAAAAAACAAAAAAAATTTAAGTCTAAGTTGAATTGCATCTTTCAGTAAATTCAAACCTGCTTAAAAAGTAAACATTTTTTTTAATCCCAAACCAAATCGCAATTCACAAGTTAGCAAAAGGATATGAGAATAAAATAAATGTTTGTTTTAAAATTTTTAATTTCTTAAAAGGGAGCATTCTATCTCAGTAAGAAGTACAAAGATGTTATTTAATAATATTTCAACTTCAAGAAAATCTCAGAAAGAAAATTTAGCAGATACATAGGGCATGCTACAACTGGAAGTATATTTGATACTCATTAACCTCCATAAAATCAAAATCTCAACTAGTACAAATGAACAAAAAGTTCCAATCAAAAATTTTTCCTCAACATGAAGATAATATACTTATCTTTCCTGTAACGTAGTAGATTTGTATCATCTTTTGTTCTTGTTTAATTGGTTATCTAGTCCCACTATAACTTGAGGATACTCACTTAGCAGTATTAATTCATTAAACACATGACAACTTAAATTTATACAAGGGTACCATCTTTGCAAGGCAGGGGGATGAATAAGAACTACTCAAAAATGCAAGCCCTCCTGGGCATCTACGGAATATTGTGTATCTTCGAGTATGCCAGGCAGGATGTTTCAAAATGTAAGAATATGGTCTTAAAGTTTATTTTTAAACGTAGTATCTGTACGAATTACTTTGAAAATGCAAATAGCTTTCATTTACTTATTCAAGTTCCATTAAGACAAAGATCTGTATTTACAAATGCCATCAGGCACTTCTCTTGCATCGTAACTTCAGAAATGACTTCCACCGTGTACATCCCTGTCTATACAAAAAGAAATTTTTTAAAGTTTTTTTCTCCTATAACAAGACTAATCTGAAAGCGCTATTTTACCATTAAAATTTAACAATTGTTTTAAGAAAATTAAATTTCTTTAAGGCTATTTTAAATGACTCACCAATTTTTCTTTATTATAAAGACTGTTAGGAAAATATAACAAATGGAGTGCCCTGCCAGTAAAAATTTATGTCACAACTGAAAGAAAGGAACTGATTTAAATATATAAAGTAACCACAGAACTACTCACGCTACTGTCAAATCCAAAAAATAAACTCAGTCCTTTGCCAATACTAATTCTATCCTTGGAATTTATTTGAATTGCTTATGCTCCGTCTTTCCTATGGTTAAACAGATATCCCTTACATGCCACTAAGTTTGAAATGAATCATTCTGACTATACCCTAAGTAAATCAACACTTTCTTAAGCAACATTAACAATCAGACTCTGTCTAGATGAAATTCAACAAGCAAATGTGCATGTATCATCATTACATTCTTAAATATAACTGGAAATGAATAAAGCAGGAAGAGCTCTAAATAATACCTACCTGCCAAACACAGCATGTATTTAAAGTATAACAAGTTTTACTCTCAAAATAATTAGAAAATAATAAACTGCAAGATACAATTAAGAGAATCATTTCAGTTCATTCTTAGAAATCAGGTGGCAAAGGTAAAATAAAAGGACGACAGAAAACTGTATTGGCCTGAACTCTTCAAAAAGTTAGTATCAAAAACCAGTGGAGGGAAGATTCTATATGGAGACTAAGAGACACAGCAACCAAATGCTGGGCCAGACGTGGTGGCTCATGCCTGTAATCCAGCACTTTGGGAGGCTGAAGCAGGTGGATCACAAGATCAGGAGTTCCAGACCAGCCTGGCCAAGATGGTGAAACTCCGTCTCTGGTGTGGTGGAGGACGCCTGTAATTCCACCTACTCGGGAGGCTGAGGCAGAGAATTGCTTGAACCCAGGAGGCACAGGCTGCAGTGAGCCGAGATTGTGCCACTGCACTCCAGACTGGGCGACGGAGTGAGACTCCGTCTCAAAAAAAAAACAAAAAAAAACCTAAATGCTGGCCGGGCACAGTGGCTTACGCCTGCAATCCCACCACTATGGGAGGCGAAGCCAGGTAGATCACAAGGTCAGGAGTTCGAGACCACCCTGGCTAACACGGTGAAACCCCGTCTCTACTAAAAATACAAAAAAATTAGCCGGGCATGGTGGCAGGTGCCTGTAGTACCAGCTACTCTGGAGGCTGAGGCAGGAGAATGGCGTGAACCCAGGAGGCAGAGCTTGCAGTGAGCCGAGATTGCGCCACTGCACTCCAGCCTGGGCGACAGAACAAGACTCCATCTCAAAAAAAAACCAAAAACCAAAAAACAAACAAAAAAACCAAATGCTGTATGTGAGCCTTTATTAGACAATAGTTAAAACTACTATCAAACACATATTAGGGACAACTAGGAAAATTTGAATACAGACAGGATATTAGGTTAACATAATAGAATTAATTATCACTGTCTTTAGTAAGAAAATAGTAATGGTTATGTAAGAGAATACCCTTATTCTTAGGAACATTGCGATATTTAGGCATGAAATGTCATGATGTTTGAAATTTACTTTCAAATAGTTTAGGGGAAAATAGTATAGGGGAAAAAAGTATGTATATAAATATAGATATGCAGATGTAGAGAAAAAAACCCTACACAGCAAAAAGCTAAAAACTGCTGAATCTAAGTGAAGGATATACGTTAAGTTGAACATTTTATATAATAAAAAGTTGCAAAATTATTTTATAATATTTAAAGCCTGAAAAAAGGTATAAAGAACTTTATTAAAAATACCCAAGGCCAGGCACAGTGGCTCATGCCTGTAATCCCAGCACTTTGGGAGGCTGACACAGGCAAAATCACCTGAGGTCAGGAGTTCGAGATCAACCTGGCCAACATGGCAAAACCCCATCTCTACTAAAATTAGAAAAATGAGCTGGGCGTGGTGGTGCACGTCTGTAGCTACTCAGGAAGCTGAGGCAAGAGAATTGCTTAAACCAAGTAGGCAAAGGTTGCAGTGAACTGAGATCACATCATTGTACTCCAGCCTGGGCAACAGAGCCTCCATCTCAAAAAAAAGAAATAACCATGTACCCACCATCCAATTTAATAAATAAAACATTATTAGCCAGGCGTGGTGGCTCATGCCTGTAATCCTAGCACTCTGGGAGGCAGAGGCGGGCTCAGGAGTTCGAGGCTCAGGAGTTTGAGACTAGCCTGGGCAACATGGCAAAACCCCGTCTTTAGCAAAAAAACAAAACATTAGCTGGGCGTGGTGGGGTACGCCTGTAGTCCCAGCTACTCAGGAGGCTGAGGTGGAAGGACTGCTTGAACCCAGGAGGTGGAGGTTGCAGTGAGCCAAGATCGTGCCACTCCAGCCTGGGTGATGAGCAAGACCTTGTCTAAAAAAAAAAAAAAAAAAAAAAAAAGAAAAGAAAAAAACACAAAACAATAAATTGATCACATCTCTTCTTACTACCCCCTTCCCTTCCCATTATAGGTAACCACTATCATGAGTATAGTGCTAAAAAATATAACTATTTTTCAAATTGGTCTTCTTACAAAGAAATGGATTATACAATCGATTTTTAAATCTCTCAAAAAAAATCTCCTTTTAATATATTATTATTTAATTATATTTCCTAAGTGGAATAAAGTGAAACCACAGTCATCACTTAAAAGCTGGACAATGTGGGCCGGGCGCAGTGGCTCACGCCTGTAATGCCAGCCCTTTGGGAGGCCAAGGCAGGCGAATACCTGAGGTCAGGAGTTTGAGATCAGCCTGGCCAACATGGTGAAACCACATCTCTACTAAAAATACAAAAATTAGCCGGGCGTGGTGGCGGGCACCTGTAGTCCCAGCTACTTGGAAGGCTGAGGCAGGAGAATGGCGTGAACCCGGGAGGCAGAGCTTGCAGTGAGCTGAGATCGCGCCACTGCACTCCAGCCTGGGCGACAGAGCGAGACTCCGTCTCAAAAAAAAAGGGTGGACAATGTTAAATATACTCAGTATGGTAATTAGGGGAAGATAACGATTATTTCAACCTCAAGGCAGAAAACATACCCCTCACCCACCTTGTATTTCCCTTATTCCCACTCAATGAATCTGCCATTCATAAGTTTATTTACCTGGATATTTCTATTTTTAAATTATGTCCCCTTTTCTTTAACACACAATTTTCTCATTCTTTCTGTAGTGATAAAAAAAAAAAACCTATGGCTGTTTCCAAATATAAAACCAATGTATCAAAGGTATCTTTCCCAACTATTTGTCTACCATCATCCTCTCCTGAGCTTCGTTTTCCCCCTTTTCCCCCAAAATACTCATACTGTTCTTAAATCACTTCTTTACCTGTACTATATACTGGTGACAAGAAATCTGGTGTCATTTGTAGAGACTTCTCTCTTTTTTGAGACAGAGTCTCGCTCTATCACCCAGGCTGGAGTGCAGTGGCACAAGGTCTCACTGCAAACCTGTCTCCTGGGTTCAAGCAGTTCTCCTGCCTCAGCCTCCCGACTAGCTGGGACCACAAGCATGTACCACCACACCTGGCTGATTTTTGTGGTTTAATAGAGACAGGGTTTCACCATTTTTGCCAGGCTGGTCTTGAATTCTTGGCCTCAAGTGATCCACCTGCCTCAGCCTCCCGAAGTGTTGGGATTACAGCTGTGAGCCACCGCGCCCCGCCTGTAGAGATTATTTTACCTACTCTAAAATAACTTCTTTTAAGCATCATACTATGAATCTTGACTCCTAAACTGGTGAACAAATCAGTTTTGTTTTTACCCCCCAACAATATATTAATATTGAGGTCATGTCTTCTCCAGCTTAAGGAGTCCTTTTTTTAATCTTTCCTCATACAGGAGCCCAAGTTATTTCCATTTCAGATGTTTAGTTACCTAGGCTCTCTCTTTCTGTATCTATTGCTTACCAGACTAGAAACAATATCCCAGCTGCGTACCCAGAAAAAGAAGGCATGCTTGCAACATACATGCACTTTACAAACTTACATAATCTCTTCTTTAGGTTAATTGGGTTAACTGTAATGGCAGCATTATTTGGTCTCTACTACAGGCTCTAGACCAGTCTACTTACAGACATTTCAAATTCTCAGCCCTTCAAAGGCCATTTCAGGGACAAACTCTTAATAATACAATATTTTATTTATTTTTTATTTTTTCACAACTCCCTCTTCACAGCAATACTAACTTTAAATGCTAATTTTGACTACTGCATATTAAGGACTAAACTCTACTGAAGAGAAGAAAAGCTCAGTACAGTATAAACAAAGGTTCAATAAACATTAGTTGGCACATCCTACCTCATCCACATTTCCCTCTCTTACATAATCTTTCAATTACCGATATTTGTAATGATTTATTAAGTCACACCTAAGTTTACTCTTCAGGCGAAATATCCTCCAGGTTCTTCTGTCACTCCTTTTATGATGCAATTTCTAGTGCCTTCTCCATTCTGGTAAGCTTTCTGGATACATTAAAATTTATCAATGCAGTCCCAAGAATAAGTACAGTATTTCCAGACATAAAACTATCCCCTATCTTACTCTGGACACTTAATATAGAACAAAGGACAAAGTTTTAACGGGCAGCTGTAAATATCATTTTAACCCACGCGATGTTTAATCACATTTTTTCCCTACTAAATTAAATAATTATGTCTCTTGGTCTTTTTCTCTTTGTAAAGAAGCACATCTAAAACATAGGGAAACTAACTTTCCTATCCAAAGTTTTTAGGTACATTTGATCACATAACAGAGCAAAGATGTAAAATTATGGCCATATGAGTCAAGTAACTTTTTTTATTTTTTTTTTTTTTTGAGACGGAGTCTCGCTCTGTCGCCCAGGCTGGAGTGCAGTGGCACGATCTCAGCTCACTGCAACCGTCGCCCCTCCAGGTTTAGCAATTCTCTGCCTCAGCCTCCGGAGTAGCTGGGATTACAGGCGCGTGCCACCACACCCGGCTAATTTTTTGTATTTTTAGTAGAGACGAGGTTTCACCATCTTGGCCAGGCTGGTCTTGAACTCCTAACCTCGTGATCCACCTGCCTCAGCCTCCCAAATTGCTGGGATTACAGGCGTGAGCCACCGTGCCCGGCCAAGTCAAGTAACTTTTTAAAAAACAAACTTTTTTTTTTTTTGCTCATGTAATAGAAATCATTTGGTTTTGCCTACCCAGAATTCCTTACCCGTTCTGTTTAAAAATAAAAACATAAAAACAAAACAAAACAACTCCGTATTATTATTATACATTGGTATTTTCAATCACACAGTCATGCCTCCTCAACCTCAGAGGTGGCCTGGTGATTAATTAGACGGGGGAAGAGGGGAAGATCAAAAATGCTTGATAAGAAGGGATAAATACGGGCTGGGAAAGAGAGGATGCTCTTTAGCTGCTAGCTATAAGAATGTCAGCCTAGCTTTACCACTATACAGAGAAAAGGAGAATTGAAACATGGAAAGAGAATCAAGTCCCTATGACATCATCCAAATCCCTGGATCCAGCCATTCCTAAAACCAGTGTCACAATTTGGCTTTCCCAGTTACATGGGCCAATAAATCTTCTACCCCGCTCCCTTTTTGTTTTCCTTAAGCTCATCTGAGTTGTTGCTGTGGCTGTAAGCCCTGAAAGTTGTGTTCAATTTCATGGAGGCAAAAAAAGCAATATATGATGTAGAACCAGATTTTTAGATATGTAACATTTTTTCACTATTATAGCCCCATCACCTGACATATGGTAGAAGCTCAATTATTGTGTTTTAAATGAGGCTAGAGATCACTGAGTTCCAGAGAGGTTAAGTGAAAAAGTTTGTAAGCAGAGCCAATACACTTGCCTTGATTGTGCTACTGGCTCTATGAACAGCTCTTTTCACCGTAACATACTAACATGAAGAAACAGTCTAAAACCAAAAGATGGTAAAACCTACTACTTTTCATTTCTTTCCCCAAACTAGGCCTAAAAATCCTCACTCTACTAGAACAGCTTCGCTGGAGGAGACACAAGACACTACTGCTATGCAAGCCTCAGGCTCTGGCACTTACCTCTGGGGCACACATCCTTTAACTACTTTATTTCCATGAAGTAGTTACTACACAGTCTTCTAAACTTCTCCTGTGAGAGCTAAGTGACCTCATCCCATCTCCCAACCCATATGCATCTAACAGATCACAGTAATATTGCTATCATTAGTAATTTACATTGTGCAAGTATAACAGAATAGTGTATCCTGAATTCAAACTGGATTTTCAATGTGCTGTATAATCCTTTGTTTGGAAATCCTAGGAGCAACAATTTTATCTTGGCATTTTGCCATCTTTCACGTCTATTTACTAAAAGTTGAGAAACAAATTTTCACTTCATCAGCAAACCACTTAATAATCTTTGATTTGCCTGTTTATTCACTAGCAGAAAACAGAAAAACTTTAAAATCTCCAAAATAAATTAGCACTCCATCCCAATTCCTCAAGTGGTTTTCCCAAGTGAAGCCTTAATATTTCCAAGTCAAGCTGCCTTCTTAAAAGAAGATACAGAAACTTAATATGATCTTGAAGGTCATGCCTATTAAATTTAAGAACACTACTCCACAAGAAAAAAGTAACTGTATAATATGTGGCAGGAACCTCTATAATCAAGCCTTATTCAACAATGCAGCTCAGTGAATGTGAAAAACCCTAGGAGTTTTTTGCTCTATTAAAAAAAGGTACCAGAAGACACAAATTTGAAGGGTGTTTTATTTCTCATATCCAAAGTATTAACTCTTCTCTCATTTCTCTTTGTACCTTCAACATAATGATCACTCACAATTATCCATTCATTTCTAAGTTAAGAGCCTTTGTAGAACCACTATGTTTTTCTTAAATACTCACTTTCCTCTTTAAATGTAGTCAATATATTATCAAAGCACTCAAGGTTAATCATAAAAAACCAAGCAATGTAAATCTTCAAAGGCTTACTTTGCACTTTACAAACTTCCAACTAGAGTTGAAAAGAATGCCATCATTGTACCTAACCTGCATTTACTTTAACAGTCTGACCACAAAGGTATTTCTTCTCTGGGCTGAAGGACCACTGAAGTTGTGCAAAACCCTTTTCGGTTACAATGAATTACCAAACATGTGAACGAAGAAGCACAAGACAGTAAACTTCTATCCGGGGAACGTCTATCCTAATAATAGAATTTTATTATGTACAGGTTTCCATAGTTGCCATGATTTCAAAATAGTACCAAAAATTACATGAAAAATATTTAAAAACAAGATAAACAAGGCTTCATTAGATTTCATAGTACAATGATGGTTTTACTGTTAAATGAAAACAATTCACCCTTTCCTAGGAAACATATCAGCAGTAAGATAAACAAAAAAATTAAAATTTATACCTCAATCTGCTTATATCAGTTCCCGCCGGGGTAACTTAAAAGCAGCATTAGCATTACGTTAATCACTTAACTATAGCTTCGGTTAAAAAAGGCATGTGTTTCAACCTTCATATTTTACAGACTAAGAGAACTCAGAGTAGTAAACTGACTTTCTCAGACTCACACAAATTGTATGCTAAGACCAGGTGCGGTGGCTCACGGCTGTAATCCCAGCACTTTGGGAGGCCAACTCAGGTGGATCTCTTGAGCCCAGGAGTTAAGAGACTAGCTTTGGCAATATGGTGAAACCCCTTCTCTACAAAACACAGAAAAAAAAAATTGGCCCGGCGTGGTGATGCAGGCTTCCAGTCCCAGCAACCCGGGAGGCTGAGGTAGGAGGATCGCTTGAGACAGGGAGATCAAGGCTGCAGTGAGCCGTGATCACGAGCTGCTGCACTCCAGAGCTGCTGCACTCCAGCCCCGGGCCATAGAGTGAGATCCTCTCAAAAAAAAAAAAAAATTGTATGCTAAGCCTAGACTCTTGACCACCCCCAAGCCCTACTCAGTGCCATTTCCACCGCTCCACACATTTCGCTTTGGATACATTAATTATATGTTATTTTCTTCCCAACATCCAAAATAATACTATTGATTTAATGCTTTATCTGTTTTCAAAAACAAATTTTTATAATCTGATTTAAGTATCTTTCCAAAATGCCTGAAGACATTTCATGATGCTGCACAAAAACCCAAGCAAGATTTCTAGCAACGAGGTACACTGATCGAATACATCGAAATATCAGTTATAATATTCCTGTTTCCAATTTCCACAACAGAGTTGGCTTTGAACTGAAACTTCCTAAGAAAAAACCATTTCCTTTATTCACACTTCCAAGTTACATTTTGAATATTTCAAATAGCTCGGCACAAAAATCTAAAGTAATAGCTAACACCGTAACAAGACTGAGAGAAAAAGTTCCTTTTTTAAATGTGTTGCAAAGTTTGCTCTCACATCCTGGTAACTGGAAACTGCAACGCTGGGTGACTGACCAGCCTTTTTTTTTATTATTTAAAAATTCAAACGGCTATAAAGGGCTTCTAATGTGCGTCTTATTTTTAAAAGGTAAGGTAAAAACCCTTTTAACCTAATAGTAGGATATATGTGTACAGTTTCGTAATTCTGTTAAAGTTTGCAGAATTAATCACAATTCATGTGTTAAATGTTTAAATAACATCTAAGTCATTAAAACCGCTTAAGTGCACCAAAAAAGGGCAATAACGTTTGCTCCGCTTTGTTTCCTTAAAGTCTCCATCCAACTGAAGCTAACTACTTGCTGTGGACAAAATGATCACATTCCTTCTGCCTCCCCCTAACATTTCTGGTAAGAGAAAGACCTGGCTCTAGGAATGTGTGTTTAATGCAACCCTGAGCTCACTTCATCCTTTCATGGGGCAAATGTGGAATAAATTACCAATGAAAAACTTTAGTAATTTTAAGATTTGTTTTACTTGAAGGTAGGGGTGTACCAACAGCTGCCAACACTTCTGTTGAAGTGTTGTAACCGAAGAGGTAAAAAGTGTACTGAGTAATCCACAAAATTGGGTAGAGCAAAGGATGCACGCCATGCTTATAAAGAGTTTAATTTTAAAATTTTTTAAATTAAACCTTCAAGGGAACTAGCATGTGAACGCCAAGGCATAATCTGTTATTTAATTACGGGTCTCCATAGGACCGAGGCGGAGAGAGCTCCCGGTAGAACCGACGCAACCATCCCGGGATGGTGACCAACGCGCGGCTGCTGCGGGCAGAGGGACTGAAGAGAACCGGTGGTCCCGACGCTGGCCCCGAGCCCGAGGAGTTAAACTAACAAAGAGCTCCCCGAGCCGCGAAACCCCCCAGAGCGGAAGCGACGCCTCCCCGCCGCCGCCGCCGCGCCGCGACCCTCCCCAAGTTCAGGGCCCGGCAGTGGACTCGCTGCGGGGCCTGCGGCCAGGACGGCGCCGGGTTCGCAGTCGGGATGCGGGAAACAGGTAGAGGCCAGAATACGAGCCCCAAAGAGAAGAGTGGGCGCTTCCCCAAACGGGTCGGCGCAGCGGAAAAGGCTAACTGAAGCAAGCGGGAGGCCCCGCACCGAGGCCCTGCTTCCCGGGGAGCAGCCAGGCACAGCGGACAGGGGGGCCGCGCTTTGTTACCGGCTGAGAGAAGCTCCGGCCGCCGCCGCCGCCATCGCCCCCGCCCCGGGGCGTCGCTTCCCGGCGGTTCTCGCCTTCCTCGGCCGAGTAGTCGATCTCCCCCTCCTCGGTCTTGAGACGCTTGGCCTGGCTCTCGTACTCCCGGTCCTCCTCGTACGTCTCCCTGGGGGAGGAAGAGGAGGAGGACATGGCGGCGGCCGGAGGGACCGGCTGGCAGGCGGGTGGGGGTGGCGGTGGGGCGCGCGCCTCGGATGCCGCCGGCCAGTCCTCGCCGCCGGCAGCGCCTCTTCTGCGAGGGTCTCCGCGGCCCGGCCGTCCGCGGGGACTGCGCGGCCAGGAGACTGGCGGCTGAGAAGCGCGGACGGACTGAGGGGGGCGCCCCGGGAGGAAGCTCTGGAGCGGCCGCTCCTCTCAATTACCGAGCCAACATTCAGCCTCTCCCTCCTCCTCCTCCGTCTCCGCTCCCTGCCCGGAGGAGCGAATCTAAGGATGGGGACGCAACCGTGGCTTCCGGTCTTCCCTCCTCCCCTAAGCCGCTCCCAGCCGCGCAGGCCGAGCCTCCGCCCCCGCCTTCGCGGCCGTCGCGCAGGATCGAATCCAGCCGCAGCCTGCGGGAAGCGCCCCCCCCGGCCCGGGTTCTGCTCCCTATTGGCAGGGGCGGGAAAGTCGACCGGGCTTCCCATTGGCTGTGAGGGCCGTTCGTCAAAAGCCGCCCGCTGCTCGACCTCACTTCTCTCCCCGCGCCTTCTGAACTCGCCGCGGTCCTGGGAGGCCCGGCGCGCAAGGCGCGCCGCCTGGGAGTAGTTGCGACCCGCAACCGTTGGCGCTATGCGGCTCCTACCCGAGGCCAGGCGTGGAGTGAACACGGACGAGCGACGAGAAGTGCGGAGAGGCTAGGGCTGCGGGTGTTAACCGCCCTGCCGCTAATTTAAATGCTTTTTATCACCTCTTAAAAAGAGAATGAGGAAAAAAACCTCTAAAATCCCTGCAGTCATACCCCCCGAAAAGCCCTAAAATTGCAGGCGATGAAGGGAGAAAACGGCTTGGAGCCATGAGAATGGTCTTTCCACTGTTTTGTGTGCAAAATCTGGTAGAAGTGGGCGGACCCTCCCGCCCCTAGCTGGGTGTTGGAGAACAGCTGTCAGCATTGACTGAAGGCTGCGAGGCGCGCGTCGGCAGGAGGCGCTGCACGCGGGCGCTCGTCGGTCTGATCGGTTATAACTCGTTTGTAACCTGGGCCCTTTACTGACTTGCCTGTCCCTGTAAGTCCCTGCTCCAGTTAAATATGTTTTAATCCTTCCATATAAAATCTCATCCTCCATCCCAATTCTTTCTCTTCTGGACAATGTATTTACTTCACTTGATCATTTATTGTCGAAAGATACAAAAGCCTTTCAAAGTTCTGTGATCACAGCTTGCTTCCTCTGTGGTGTCCTGAGGGCTTTTCCAAGATTTTAGTTGCTGCTCTCTTTTTGCAACAGGGCCCCTTATAACTCCCTCTTAAGATGTTCTGTTTTAAAAACTCTGTGAGCGCCTGAAGACAGGAACTGTGTGCAATTTTCATTTTCGCAAGCCCAGTTCCTGTGCGATCTCCAGCACAATTTAGGTGCTCAACAATGCTGAATGAGTAGTCCTTGGGAAATAAAGGTCCAGTGTATCTTTCAGGACAGAAACTGGCAAATCAAGGCAACCTAACTGCCCTCTGTCAGGTGCCTCTTGGAGGACTGCCTGAGATCAAGAGCCTCTTGTGTTTCTGTTGTCCTTGTCCCTCGGATGCTTTCCTAGATGTGGCTCTTCCTTTCCTAAGAGTGTAGATTGCTTCCTCCTCCAGCCTAGTTCTCTCCAAAGTTATTTCCTCCTCCAAAAAAGCTATTTTTATTTATTGCTGAGAGTGCTTTAACATAACACTTTTGTACTTTGTAAATTACACCGGCTGTCATTTTGGAATCTAATTGCAAGATTTTCCACACTATGCAGCTATAATCAAATGTGTGTGCGGCTGCAGGTATACATTGACAAAACAGAACTAAAAAAATTATAAATTTATTTTTTAAATTAAAATGGAAGTCGACAGAAGAAATAGCAAAAGAGTGGCAGAGCTGGCTGCGGATGAGAAAATGTCATTGGCAAAAAGCTCTGCAATGGTTTGGGAAAGTAAAATAGCAACAAGGGAAACAATGATACAATTCTGCTTAAAATATGTCCTATGGATTCATATGTCCCCTAACATATTCAGAATGCAGACATTACCTGGCCTTCAGAAAGCTGAAGATACCAAGGGTCAAAAAAAAGGTCTAACAAACCTACTTCACGTGTTATCTTTAGCATCCATTGTCCTTTTTATAGCAGTCTCAGTATCAAAGATCAGGAAAGGATGAGTGAATTAATAAACTTGATACAAAGGAAACTTCTTTGATGAGGTGAGATGGGCCATTCTCAAGATATTTTTAGTTTGCTCAAATTAAAAGAGAAGAGCTGAGAGCTTAAAACAATTATTTTTTAGGAGAAAGAAAACAATAGAATATTATGTGAAATAATTGAGTGTGATGAGAAGCACTAAATATCTTTTTGTTAAGTATGAGCAACTACCTGTTAATTTTGTTTTATGTACATTTTCATATGCTAGGTGAATTTAGTTTGGTAAATTCTATTCACTCACAACTGGATTTACTAGGCCTTATACAAACTTTCCAAATATTTCTTGTGAAGATGCAAATATTTTAAATTCTCAAAGCCCTGCATTCAACCTATGGATTATACCACATTACAATGCAACTGTCACACCAATGGGTAAGGAAATCCAGCCTTGCCAAACCTAGGGCTGCTGTGCTCAGCGTTCACAAACAGCAGGTGGAATTCAATATGTACCAGTATTAAACTTTGTTCTTTTTGTAAGTAGCCCAGTTGAGTAAAAAAAAAAATATTGAGGGAGTAAAACTTAGAAAGCATTTTTAAAGGACACCAATCAGTTCGTTAACCATGGGTGAAATGCGAGCTTGTTGCAGATGAGTTGTTCAGACAGTGACAGTAGGTCCTTTGATAAGGAAAATACTAGCTAGCTCATCACCAGGGCATGAGGAGCTAAAGAGAGAGGACATAAATTATACTCTACATTATTTCACTTAGGTGAGACAAAGAAATTACACACTGCCCAGTAGCCAGAAATACCTAAGAAAAGCAGAAACAGCTCCTAAATGCCATGACTGTCTGGAACCTCTCATGCATTACGGCCTCAGACCTTTGACTATTTTCTGAACATTTGATTGAATTCGCTGCTGTCAAGTAGGCAGCAGCCAAGAGCTCCCATTGCCACAGCTCAAAGGGGACTCCAGCTATACTGGAGTAGGAGACAGGCTTAGGGCAGGCCTAGGGAAATTGAGAGTCAAGGGCCTTTATAATCAATCCAGCCTCAAATTGCCCTTTAGTTTTAAATCTCGTTACTGATCTATAAAATTTATAAGACATTGTGCTAGGTGATGAGAGGACTACGTGAGCTGGTCCCTGCCCTCTCAAAGCTTGCAATCAAGTTGTGGAAACAAGGCTCATACCCAAGAGATAGGCTACAAGCATCCATATGTAATAATACATATACAATAATTAATAGCCACATTTAATGTGCCAGTCACTGTGCTAACCACTGAAAGGGTTTTGTCAATAAATTCTGACAGAAGCCTTCTACCAGAGGCATTATTATTACTCTTCCCAGTATACAATTAAAGAAACAGTCTAGGGGAGATTAAGAAACCTGCCTTAGGCTGGGCACAGAGGGAGGCAGAGGCACACAGATCACTTGAGCCCAGGAGTTTGAGACCAGCCTAGGCAACGTGGCAAGACCCTGTTTCCACAAAAATTGTAAAAATTAGCCTGGAATGGTGGTGCGTGCCTGTAATCCCAGCCACTCAGGAGGATGAGGTGGGAGGATTGCCTGAGCCCAGGGAGGTCCAGGCTACAGTGAGCCGTGACTGCACCACTACACTCTAGCCTGGGTGTTGGAGTGAAACCCTGTTTCAAAAAAAAGAAAAGAAAAAAAAGGAAACCTGCCCTAGAGCTGCAGTTAATAAATTGAAAAGCCAGGACTGGAACCCAAGCAATCGGGTTCCAGAGCCAGTACTCGTCATCAGAAGACTGATGATTTAATTATTGTGTTATTTATTACCATGGACATACAGATCTAATTTATAGTCACTTATTATATAATGATGCTAATTCATTCACTGATTTCTCCTTTTTATTTATTTCTTTATTTGAGACAGGATCTCACTCTGCTGCCCAGGCTGTGGAGTGCAGTAGCGCAATCATAGCTCACTGTAGCATCTACCTCCTGGGCTCAAGCAATCCTCCCAACCCCAGCCTCCCAAGTAGCTGGGACCACAGGCACATACCACCACACCCAGCTATTTTTTGTTGTTGTTGTTGGTAGAGACGGGAGTCTCACCATATTGCCCAGGCTGGTCTCAAACTCCTGGGCTCAAAAGATCCTCCTGCCTTAGCTTCCCAAAGCATTGGGATCACAGGCATGAGCCACTGAACTCAGCTTCATTCACTAATTTATACCTGGGTTTATGTAGCTATAATCCTGGGAAGGATTGAATACGTTATAGTTTTCATCATTTGCATTTGTATAAGGAAATTCAATTTACTTCCACAGGAAATTACAAATATAATGCACTGTTTTAGTGTTAATTTTTTACTTTTTTTATTTTTATTTTTTTAGACAGGGTCTTGCTCTGTCACCCAGGCTGGAGTGCAGTGGCATGATCTAGGCTCACTGCAACCTCCGCCTCCTGATTCTTGTGCCTCAGGCTCCCAAGTAGCTAGGATTACAGGCTTGTGCCACCATGTCTGGTTAATTTTTGTACTTTTAGTAGAGATGGGGTTTCACCATGTCGGCCAGACTGGTTGTGAACTCCTGGCCTCATGCAATGCACCCACCTCAGCCTCCCAAAGTGCTGGGATTACAGGCATGAGCCACTGTGCCTAGCCTTCAACTTAATTTCTGTAGAAAAAGCCCAGAAATTATGTGAAAAGTGTCACCATTTTCTGATGGATGCATTATTTGAATAACTAAAGATGCAAATTACAAGTTTTTCATACCCAAACTCAATTTCCAATATTGCTGCCATTTCATTGAATATGCAAAACTTTTGTTTCCTGCCTCAACTCCTGTTAAAGTCCAGTAAAACCTTCATGCACATCTTATTGTGAGTCACACTTCCAAAGGATTAGAGCCATAGAGGTGTGTTATGATTAAGACAACATACTTAACATGAAATCCAGCTATTCAGAGACAAATCAGTTAGTTTCTATGAAGTTTTGTTAAATCCAGAGTGCACTATTTCTGACGATGCCACTTGTTTGACAGAGATCACTGAGAAAGAGTACTGTGGCACTGTTGCTGAAACTAGCCCCTTTAATTCAACCTATATTTGCTTAGTAATGGTCAAAAGAAGCCGCAGTTCCAGGAGGATGCACTCTGCAGGAAATGCCTCAAGCACTATTAGCTCAAGATGTAGTCGAGTGTAACCACAGTGGTCTACTCTATCAGCTGTCATGCACAGCTGCTCTGGGAATCCAGCTGCCACAGTGTTTGACCTCTTTAAAAAAAAATTATGATAAATCTGCAAAAATAAAAGATTAACCTTAGAAGTACTCACTCATATACCCGATAATGAGAGGTAAAATTCAGGTTTTTTTTGTTTTTTGAGACAGAGTCTCGCTCTGTCGCTCAGGCTGGAGTCCAGTGGCGCCATCTTGGCTCACTGCAAGCTCCGCCTCCCGGGTTCACGCCATTCTCCTGCCTCAGCCTCCCGAGTAGCTGGGACTACAGGTGCCCGCCACCAAGCCTGGCTAACTTTTTGTATTTTTAGTAGAGACGGGGTTTCACCGTGTCAGCCAGGATGGTCTCGATCTCCTGACTTCGTGATCTGCCCGCCTCAGCCTCCCAAAGTGCTGGGATTACAGGCGTGAGCCACCGCGCCCAGCCAATTCAGGTTCTTGTTATTGGTTACAGCCATTTGACCTCAGTCTTAGAAATAATATTTAAATTATTTTCACTTTTCCCTCTGACTTGTGTGACTTGATATTGCTTTAGACATTTAAAAAATAATTTTAATACATTATAATTTAATAAAGAACGAAATGATAGCATTTCTGTCCACAGTTGAGAGTGAATAGAATTTGCCAAATGAAATTCACCTTGCATATGAAAATATGGATAAAATTAACAAATAATTGCTCATACTTAACAACAAAAAGATATTAAGTGCTCTTGATCATTCCCAATTATTTCACAGAATATTCTATTGTTTTGTTTCTCCTAAAGAAAAATAATTCAATTTTAAGCTCCCAGCTCTTCTTTTCTGTCTCTTTTAATTTGAGCAAATTAAAAATACCTTGGGAAGGGTGCATCTCACCCCATCAAAGAAGTTTCCTTTGTAAGCAAGTTTACTAATTCACTCATCCTTTCCTGATCTTTGATACTGAGACTACTACAAAAAGGACAACGGATGCTAAAGATCACACATGCAGTAGGTTTGTTAGACCTCAGTTTTTTCACCCTCCCTATCTTCAGCTTTCTGAAGCAGGCGATGTCTTTACATTCTGAATATGTTAGGGAACATTTGAATCAATAGGACATATTTTAAACAGAATTGTATCATTGTTTCCCTTGTTGCTATTTACTTTCCAAAACTATTACAGTACTTTCCTCACCCTCACCCCTAAATCCAGAAAATTAATGTCACTGTATTAGTCCATTTTCACACTGCTAATAAAGACATACCCAAGACTGAGAAGAAAAAGAGGTTTAATTGGACTTACAGTTCCACATGGCTGGTGAGGCCTCAGAATCATGGTGGGAGGTGAAAGGCACTTCTTACATGGTGGCAGCAAGAGAAAATGAGGAAGAAGCAAAAGTGGAAACCCCTTATAAACCCATCAGATCTCATGAGACTTATTCAGTATCATAAGAATAGCATGGGGTCAGGCATGGTGCCTCCTGCCAGTAATCCCAGCATTTTGGGAGGCCAAGGCAGACAGATCACATGAGGTCGGGAGTTCAAGACCAGCCTGGCTAACATGGTGAAACCACATCTCTACTAAAAATACAAAAGTAGCTGGGCATGGTGGCCTGCACCTGTAATCCCAGCTACTCAGGAGACTGAGGCAGGAGAATCGCTTGAACCTGGGAGGCAGAGGTTGCAGTAAGCCGGGATCACACCATTGCACTACAGCTTGGGTGATAAAGTGAGACTCTGTCTCAAAAAAAAAAAAAAAGAGGGAGAAAGAGAACAGCACGGGGAAAACTGGCCCCTATGATTCAATTACCTCCCCCTGGGTCCCTCCCACAACACATAGGAATTCTGGGAGACACAATTCAAGTTGAGATTTGGGTGGGGACACAGCCCAAACCATATCAGTCATGCTAGCCACACTTTAAGTGATCAATAGCCACATAAAAGTGGCTACCTCGTTGCACAGGATTGGACTGGACTGATCTCATTCATCTTTGTGTCTTCAGCACCTAGAACATTGCCTGGCTAGATGTTTGTTGATCTAAACTAAGCTTCTCTTTCTCTGCCTCAAGAAAAAGAAGCACATGAAACAGAGCATGTCAGCTTTGCAAATTATGTCTATGAAGATGTCTCAAAAGACTGATCTATAATATGATTTGCTCCTCACCCATATTTGAAATGAAATCATCTTAAAAATATAATTCCATTTTTCAAATAACTGCATAGATATGGCTCATTTTGTGCACTTGATGTACCAAAATGCATATGATTTAAATTTATAAATCAGCCAATTGTAATAAATGTGAGAGAAGCATTTTAACAAAAACTTTCCTATTGTGAATATTTTCAAAAGTGAAATTCCTTTACAAAGTGAGTAATTACTCTCTGATTTACCTGTAAGCACATCATTATATAAAAATCAGAATTTGGGCAGGGGAAGGGAGAGCATCAGGATAAATAGCTAATGCATGCAGGGCTTAATGCCTAGGTGATGGGTTGATGGGTGCAGCAAACCACCATGCCACATGTTTGCCTATGTAACAAACCTGCACATCCTGCACGTGTATCCCAGAGCTTAAAATTAAAATAAAATAAAATTTAAAAAAAATAAGAATTTGCCCTTAATTGAAGAATTAGGCAAACAAAAAATAGTTTTATTTGAATGTGCTATTGTAACCATCTGATGTAGAAAACTTTAGAGAATAAAGTTACTATTATTACTAACTACAAATAAATAACCAGCATTGTATAGCACTTTACTATGTACAAAGCAGTATCACAAACATTGCTTAATTTGATTCTCACAGAAACTATATAAGCTAACAGGGAAGGTCCTTACTGTGTCCATTTGGCAGGTGAAGTTCAGAAAGACTAATCTTTTGTCTCTAAATTCCGATCTTCTTTTCACTATACCAATAAGGACATATGAACTATCTATGGTAACTACATTGGAATTGGGACTTTAGATTTTTCTGCCTTATTTAGACGGAAATACTTTCCTAGAAATATAATCTTTTCTTTTTTTTTTTTTTTTTTTTTTGAGACTGGGTCTTGCTCCATTGCCCAGGCTCCAGTACAGTGGCACAATCTTGGCTCACTGCAACCTCCACCTCCTGGGTTCAAGTGATTTTCATGCCTCAGCCTACTGAGTAGCTGGGACTACAGGCACCCATCACCACATCCAGCTAATATTTGTATTTTTAGTAGAGACAGAGTTTAACCATGTTGGCCAGGCTGGTCTTGAACTCCTGACCTCAAGTGATCTTCCCACCTCTGCCTCCCAAAGTGCTCAGATTACAGACGTGAGCCACCGTGCCCGGCCCTAGAAATATAACTTTTTAAGCAACCTATAATTTGTGTGAACTAAAACCATTGTTTTACATCCCTGGAAAAAAATATATATATCTCGCCACCTATTTATAAGAAGGCCCTCAATCAATATTTGCTAAAAGATCAATGAATACATGAGTGATCCTGAAAACAAATAGAGCAGACTATTATCAGCCAAAGTTCAGTTGCAAAGAACAGAATCCAGTCTGGTTAGTTTAAGCTAGAAGTATTAAAGCACTTAAAGAACTGAAACTATTAATGGAGTGACTCACAAAACCATAACTCAGAACTGGGAAACCAAAAGAGCGGTGCTGTTGCTCATTGTGAAGCTGACTGCTCCAGCACTACGCCACCATACCACAGTCTGGAAGCCATCACGATCAGGAAGCTGCCACTTCCATGGCCAGCTCCAGAATCACACCATACCAACTATAATCTGCACTGGCAAAGTAGATGCACCACCCCATGTTTCCTGATATTCAGGAAACTAATAAGTGAACACTGGAACCTCCAGAACCATTGTTATAGAAGAAAAAAAACGCACCCAAAGCCAAGCCTAGCAGCAGAAACAGCCTTCCGGATCTTACATAGAGGCTCTGATTGTTGAAGCTTAAGTAATAATAGCTGCAAGAGAGTCTAGGGATGCAATATTTGGCTTACTAGTCTCTGTAGGAGTCTTGGCAAATTGGCCAACATGTGTGCTCTT
This sequence comes from Homo sapiens, assembly GCF_000001405.40. Lineage (NCBI taxonomy): Eukaryota > Metazoa > Chordata > Mammalia > Primates > Hominidae > Homo > Homo sapiens. The sequence goes on from NC_000002.12 coordinate 38,611,987, forward strand.
TTTAGAATCTTTTATTAGTAGCAGAAATTGAAAAAAAAATTATTCTTGCAACAAATTAAGAGAACTAAAGTTCGCAATGATCAACTAACATATTACCAAATCAACTCCTATTATAAGAATTTATTATAAGATTTCAGTGTGAAGAAGAAGGTACTAATACACCATTTTATCTCAGTCTGAAAGCAAAGTCTCTAGGATGGCTTCAGCTACTCTGCAACTGGCACCAAAATGACCACAGGAAGAGAGAAGAGAAAAAGCTAATCTTCTCGACTGTTTCCATAGTGCAATGTTTTTTACAGAAAAATAAGTGAAATGTACAAAAACGATCATTGGAAATGCTTCTGCATGAATACTAATGTGTATATCTGCAATTTAGACATAATTTTTGGTGTTTTTGTTATTGTTTTTTGAGATGGAGTCTCGCTCTGGCACCCAGGCTGGATCTTGGCTCACTGCAACCTCTGTCTCCCGGGTTCAAGCAATTATCCTGCCTCAGCCTCCCAAAGTGCTGGGATTACAGGCATGAGCCACCGCGCCCAGCCCATCATTTTTGCTTTTGGTCCTGTATACAGTAAGACAAAACTCAAGTTCTTTTAAACTAGGGAAGGCAAAATAGTTCTACCTAGTCAGATTGAGTTATTTTCACAAGCAGCAGCATTTCCACCCCATCATCCAGCTAGTGGTGGGGCACTAGAGGGAAATAATTATTGGGTGAGAAAAGAAGAGAGAGAATTTTGTAGCCACAGCCTTATGTGTTGAGGGATCCTATGTGCACTGTGGTGTGGCATTCTGAATGGCTGCGGCACCACAAGGGCACTGTGTGGTGAGATGCCCTTCCCGGGGAAGGAAGACGCCAGAAGAAAAAAAATGAGTGAAGAAAGCTGAAATCACCAAAAACAAATTTCATCTACTTCACAACTTTAAAACATTAACTCTGTCCAGTCTTGTAGTGGAGAAGGATGATTGCCTATGGACCTCCAGATTATCAAACTGGTCTTGAACTCCTGACCTCAGGTGATCCACCCACCTTGGCCTCCGAAAGTGCTGGGATTACAGGCGTGAGCCACCGTGCCCGGCCCAGACTTTTGATATCTTGGCTTCCACCACCAATGTTAGCAAATATTTCTAGCAGAGTCTGATAGCAAAAGCAACAGTCTTTATCACTAAGTATAATGATGACTATAAGAACAAATCGAAACACGATGATTTTCATGTGTTCCTGAAGCCATCCCTATAAACTTTATAAAATTAATCAGGGAAGGAGGGAGGGGAAGAAACAAAAATAAACCAAGCTCACCGCCCATTCAGCATTAATCATGAGGCCAGCTGCTCTCTGACTGCTTCCTCATGGTTGCTTGGTGCTATTGCCTCAGAATCACATAGAACCTGTTACAAGATTTTAGTTCCCCTTAACTCCTCAATAGATAACAACTGGAACATTATTAAATGTTTAGTTTTACGTTTGATATATTCTTTTTGGTCCCACGTATCAACAACACTACTGACATCAGCTGGTCTGAAGGAACCCCCAGGAGCTCACTCACCAAGGAATTCAGTTTTTACATCCTGATGATTTTATTCCCCTTACCCTGACCAATCAACAACTCCAGTTTTCCAGCCCCTCAGCCTCCATGATCACCTTAAAAGCCCCAGCCCAGAACTCCTGGGAGGGATGGATTCGAAGTTCTCCTCCCATCTCCTCACTCGGCGCCCTGTGATCATTAAACCCTCTGCTGCTGTCTCAGTGTAACTGGCCTGTTACTGTGGATCGGGCATACAAATCTGTGGATCCTAAAACATTGCCACAAAACAATAATTTTATGGGAACACACTGCTTCCTCTGCTGTCGTCTGCCCCAGTAAAGTCAGCTACGTTCAGTCACTTCATGTGTTACCTCTCCTACATTCAACAAACATTTATGATAAACATTTCAACCTGACCCTGTGGTGGGCCCTGATAAAAGAATAAATAAGACACAGTCCCAACCCGCTCTGTGTCCATTCCAGGGACTCATATCTTAAAGAAGGCTAAGGCAGATGGTTATATCTTTTTTCCTCCACAGACTTATGTGAGATTTCAGACACAGTGGGTAACACAAATGAGGGTAAAGAGATATCCTCCCTGCAATGTGAAACGACATCATTATTCAAAAGCTAAAACCATCAGTTAGAACCCTCCCCCAGTGCCATTACTTCCCACTTACAAAACAATAGCATTAGAAGCTATAGTCAAAGGCAGACTTTAACTTTCTCTGATAAATTATTAATAACAAATGCGTTTTACCAAAGTTAATAAGATCCCCATACCAAGTATAAGAGCCATAAAAATGATAATATCCTTTGTCAAAGTAATTTTACTCAGGAGAATTGAAGTTTAGTCCGAACCAATATAGAAGTCATATGCATAGAGATGTTCACAATATTATCTATGACATCTAAGAGTCAAGAAATCATTAGATAAATTATGATTGTCAACTAGATATACTGAGGGGTAATTATAAGACTCGTGACAATAAAAAACAATTTATTATTTGATGGAAAGTTTTGAAACGTCTAATTTTTCTTTTTTCTTTTTTCTTTTTTTTCTGAGGTGGAGTTTCGCTCTTGTTGCCCAGGCTGGAGTGCAGTGGCACCACGATCATGGCTCACTGCAACCCCCGCCTCCTGGGTTCAAGTGATTCTCCTGCCTCAGCCTTCCAAGTAGCTGGGATACAGGCATGCACCAGCATGCTCAGTTAATTTTGCTTTTTTTAAAGTAGAGACTGGGTTTCACTATGTTGGTCAGGCTGGTCTCGAACTCCCGACCTCAAATGATCCACCCATCTCGGCCTCCCATAGTGCTGGGATTACAGGCATGAGCCACCGCGCCTGGCCTGAAAAGTCTAATTTTTAAAAGTGTGACCATGTGTACCAGGGCTTCCCAACCTTGGCACCATTGACATTTTGGTCCAGATAATTCTTTGCTGAGAGGGAGCTGTACGTTGTAGAATGTTTACCAGCACCCTTGACCCCTGCCCCCTGGATACCACTAGCGCCACCCATCCTCAGTAGTGACAATCAAAAATGTCTCCAAACATTCCCAACTCCCCACAGGTAGCAAAATCACCCCGAGTTGAGAACCATGGGTTATACTCTATGATCACAGCTATGTAAAAATGTGTGCATATGTGGAGAAAGCTGGGAGGAAATTTGGAAAAATTAAAAAGGCATTTCTAATAGGATGATGAAGTCATTGAAGTTTTTAAACATCCTCTTTAATATTTTTGCAATAAAAATATTAAAGGTTAAAATTGAGTACTGTTGTGAGTCACAAACTCTTCTAAGGAGTTTTAATCTTTAAAAGTTATTATACAGTTTCATTATTAGAGATAATTTTAATCTCCCGTTATAATGACATCAAAGGAAACTTTATTTAGAGGATTGCAAAATCATTTTTTAAAAACCCATAAGGCCAGAACTGATATGTGATTCAGATGGAGAAGGACAGAATGACTCATTAGTACTAACCATAATTCTTATTCTGCAGAATGCTTCTTGGAGCTTGCTCAAAATCAGAAAGAATTTCTAAGGAAATTTTGTATAAGAAAAAAATGAATTCAGAATTATTCCATCACTGCTACCCAACACTGGATTTGAGTAAGAATTTAATGTATGTTTGGCGTCAATGGGAAAGTTACTTAAAATATTTTGACAATTCTCAATTTTATTTTTAAAAATGTATTAAGGATTACAGCGTCTAACATTCGCAGAATGTTCTACCGTGTTCATTCTCTCATTTAGTGAATTTGAGCACAAGAAATAGAGCTTCAGTTGTGAACATGTGCTGAGTAACATAAGTAGGTAATATAGAACAAAGAGTGTAGGCTACTCTAACACTGTAGGGTTGGGAAAGAATAAAATTGTCAATATTCAAATGGCCATTCTATTCCTTGCTCCGGTAGAACAGGTGATTTTAAACTGTTTTAGAAAGTCTCAATAATATTATTCTACAAAGCAATATATCTGAGAAGTGGGTAACCCAGTGCCTAAACCTTGCCAGAGAGGCAGATGTAGATGGTTGACAATCACCCTTTCCTGTTCTGAGGCATATATGTGATTCCATAAATAAGTGCAGGGGTATTTGATGCTTGACTTGGAGAGCTATGCCTGGAGGCTTGGGGGAATTTGGAGGCTGAGGAAGAAAGGAAAAGGTAAAAGGCTATGAGCAAGAATCTCAAGAGAGTGGAGAGAAAAACATGGCCTCTCGGCTCTTCCACCTTTACTCTACCCCAACCCGTTTGGTCCTGTGGACCCAATTAGGTCTTTATGAAGATCAGTGTTAGAAGACAAAGGAACTTTCTCATGCCATATTGTCAGATTCAGCATGTACAGCACTGAGACCCAGGTAATAAAGGGTAGAGTGGGCTGGAGGCGTTGCCTTCATTTCTACACAGTGGGAGCAAAGCAGTCCACCAAGTGCTGTGAAGCACAGGGCAGCAGAAAATCAGAAATTACAGGAAGGGCCCCATCAACAGGGCCAGCGCCTCCATCCAACAGATTTGGAACAAGGGACTTCTGCCAGGAGACTGGACCTTCATAGGAACATGAGCAGACTTGTTCCTAAGGACATACAGGAAACTTGCTCACAACTCCCAGATTAACTGGTGGAGATTTTGTGAGGGGAAGTTATTGAAACCTTTCAGTTAGGCATTTAGTGTTATTATGACTTTTTTTGGTTTCCATGGGTTGACTAGGTATGGGAACATTCCAACTACCTCTGATTTACAAAAAAAAAAATACACCACCAATTCCCAGTTTTATATTTCACAGGTGTCCCTCACTTTAAAAATAAGTATTTCATAAAAGTTCGCTATAAATAAGATGTAAAGCAAATTCTATTTTCTCATAGGTAGACATTTTTAGGTAAAATTTACATAAGCAGTCATCATTACATTATTTTTCAATGGACAAAAAATTCCAATAAGTGGATCAAAAACTTTTGATAATGAAGGACAGTGAGATGAAGCCTAGCTCAAAGTAGGCTGGGCACTGCAAACCAATAGAGACACATCCCCGACTCTAAAAGTATTCCTCCACCATTGGCCACTGCCGTGGTCACAGTTACCAGATTGTCAAGTTAATATTATGAAGCTATGAAGTAACAGTGTAATAGCATCACTTCTGCAGGTACTATGATCATTACTCTGAATTAAAGTTCACTTAAAGCTACATAGAACAAATCAGTTCTGTGTCCATTCTGAAAGTTTAGAATGTTTTATATTGAATGAGGTGATCTGTGTTAGGGGCTATGCTAGCCAGCACACAAGGGCAAGATTCTAATCCATCGGTGGTAAGTGAACCTGTAATGGACAGCTCTCATTTTTAATAGCCAGGTTCCTCCTTCTTATGATAGAACTCTCTTTCCTGTGAGGAACCCGATCCATGTGTCTCAGCTGGAGCTGAACTCTCACTTGGGGCTACACAGCCATCATCACAAGAGTAGGCAAGTGACCCGACAAAGCCAACCAGAGTTCCCCATTTCCCTAGTCTGCTTGGTTGTTCCAGAGAGATATATGTGACCAAGTAGAACATATCAGAATCAACCCCAGGAGTTTTTTGTCAGAGCTATTGGGAAAGACTGGCTCTTTTTACCAGATTTACTAAGCTAAGAACATAGGAGCCTGGGATTGGAGAAGCTCAGAATGAAGCTGCAAGAGGTAAGCAGAGCTAGGAGACAGAAAAACAGCCCTAAAGACATCATCTGAGCCCCTGGATCCCAGTTCTGTCTGAAGCTGGTTCCACATTGACTCTTTTTTTCTCCTACCATCCACTCAGGAACAGTAGGCTTCATTGCTCCAATCCAGACCAGTTTCCCAAGGTCATCAGGAGTAGAGACTCCCAGCATTTCCCAGTTCTGGGTTCCTGGGGTTTCTTCCAGGCAGTGGTGCCAACAAAACAACTGGTGGGACAATAAGAATACACAAACACACAATTCACTGTCTTTGTTAACTTTGACCAAAGTCAGGGCGAGAGACAACAGTTGGAAGTACCTACAATCACTATCAAGCCTGCAGAGTCTAACTAAACCTTTTTATGTAACATAAATTGTTTTCCTTCTGATATTATTCTTCTATTTATTTTATTTTATTTTATTTTAGACAGGGTCTCACTTTGTTGCCCAGGCTGGAGTGCAGTGGCAGGATCTCGGCTCACTGCAGCCTCCACCTCCTGGGTGCAAGTGATCTTCCCACCTCAGCCCGCCAAATAGCTGGGACTACAGGTGCACACCACCTTGCCTGGCTAATTTTTTTGTATTTTTTGTAGAGGCAGGGTTTCATCATGTTGCCCAGGCTGGTCTCAAACTCCTGAGCTCATGCAATCAGCCCACCTTGACCTCCCAAAGTGCTGGGATTACAGGTGTCAGGCACGGTGCACCCAGCCAATATTATTATTTTATCGGTGGCACAAATCACTTTCAAAGCTCCACTCCAGATAGTCCCCCAAGGTTCAGTTAGCTAGACCACCTATAGTTTTGCCCCTAATTGTTGTTGACTTTATTCAATGTGGTCTTTGTCATTATCATAAAGAGGGTGTGCTATTGTCAGAACTGGAAGGGGAGCAAACAGCACACCACAACTTGAATGGAACTTGAATCATACCAGGTGAAATTCCCATGGATTCTTGGCTCCCTTTGCATTTGTTTTCACATAAACATTCTGCAATTTCTGCCAATTTGTGTCCTTGCTTTCTCTCCCTTTCTAAAACTTCTGGCTGACAGGTTCACTTTGCCCTGAATTTACTGATTTAACTCATTTTACTTCTACTAACTAACCTAAGGAGCTTTTCTTCCTCCTACATAATAGATTCACGCTCTGAATTTCTCCTTTAGATCAAAAGTGTCCATTCAACTTGAACCACCCACTTTAGTGAACCAATAAATTCCTCTTTTGGAATTCCTCTTTTGTAATCCTACCTGTTTGGGTAGGATTTCTTTCACCAATAAGTGATTTGAGCTCCTGCCACAATCCGCTGAACTATTCAATTCTTCTCAGGGGTTTTCATTCCTACAGCCAACTATTGGGATGCTACTATGGTTTGAATCTGTTTCCCAATATTCATGTGTTGGAAACTTAATTTGCCATTGTAACAGTATTAAGAGGTGGAGTCTTTAAGATATGATTAGGCCCTGAAAAAAATGTTATCTCAGGAGTGGGCTCCTGATAAATAGATAAGTTTGGCCCCCATCCTGTCTGTTTGTCCTGTGTGCTTGCTTGCCCTTCTGCCATGGTTATAACACAGCAAGAAGGCCCTCATAAGATGCAGACCCCCCAACATTGGACTTCTCAGCCTTCAGAACTATAAGAAATAAATTCATTTTCTTTATAAATTACCTAGTCTGTTATATTCCATTACAGCAACATAAAACAGACTAGGATAAATGCTCACTACCGTACATTCTGGGATTCAAAATAAAGTTAACTAGAAAAAGGAAGGAAAACATGGTAGAGTGACCACACTTCTGTGCCTCCTCCCAAACACCAGTGACACAATAGTAAAGGAATACACAGAAAAGAGGTTTTAGCCCCCAGCCACAAGTTGGAGAAGAAACAAGAACAAAGAATATTCAACAAACTTAGGGAAGATGGAAAGTGAATGGAGAAGTAAAAATGACTTAATAGGATAGAGGAAGTGGAAATCTAAGCATCTTGGCGGGGAATTTCAATGAGTAATGAGCTGTAAAGAGTCTCAGTGCTTGCAGGCAGCAAGAGCCACAGAAGGTAGAAGTGAAGCTGTGACTCCAAGATTATTAAGATTGGAGGGCTACATGTGTGGGAAATGGTTGGACTTCCAGTCTCCTCAACAACTCTCAAGCAGCCAGACCCCTCTCTGCTCACTACCCCAAAAGAGAATGGAGGTTCATATTCTGATTAACCCAGCAGTCTCTGAACTTGAAGATTAAGCTACATGCAGGACAAAATGAGTTACAGACCTGAAAACTGTAGTTTCATGTAAGAGACTATGTACCGAACTGTGAACATGTCAGGCATGTCCCTTTCCTGCTCTCAAAATGCCAGTAACCAAGCATGTACCTACCCCCACCCCGTGCCCCACCACCACCAAACCTAATCAATCCTCTGGAGAAACTGGATAGTCCGAGAGAAAAGGCCTTCAGGCTCTGACATTACAGGGTTCCCCAATAATAAAGCTGGTCCACCATCTAATCATCCTACAGAAAAGCCCTTTAGGCAACACACATTGCCAATGCACCCAGAGTTTCCAAAGAGGCTTTTTAGGAGGCACTCTTAAAAATAATAGCCAGCCAAGGATCCCAGACATTTCAAAACGGTCTGCAACATGAAACACAAATACCAAAATAAACAGAGAAAAATGGAATTCAGATGTTAGAAACCAGAGAGTTCTTGACCCTGGAAAGAGTAAAGTCAAGTTACAATCACTGTTTGTGAAGCTGTTTGATCAACAGAGTTAGTGCTGCTATGGCTACAGTCTCATATCGCCAAGGATAACATTCAACTACAAGTAACAGAAAACCAGACTACAATGGCTTAAACAAACAGCCGTTTATTTTTGTGACATAACAAGGAGTTGGAGGTAGCAGCTGCAGGCATTGATTCAATATCTCAATCGTGGCAGAAATGGCACCTCTGTAATTTTCCACTCTTTTCTTCAGGGTCCAAGATAGCTGTTGCAGTTTCAGGAATCACATATATATTGTTCAAGGCCACAGAGGGAAAAAAGAAGGCAAAGATGGTACCAACTATATCTTTCTTTATTGTATCATCTTATTGGCCAGAACCATGTCACGTGGCCCCCGATTTGGCTGGAAAAGTTCGTATCTATACCAGGAACTGCCATTGCTGCCCTAATAAAATTAGAATTATCTCAACAAGAAAGAAGTGGGAAATGGTCACTAAACAGGTAACTAGCAGTGTCTATCACAGTCTTCAAAACAAATTGTTGTTCTCTGGAATTTATACTTTCATAAGATCATAAGTGATTTTTAGGTGGTGATATAGAAGAAAGACCTGGAAAATGTTGATGAAACTAAAGGTAGAGATTCTGGTGTTTTATCTTTCAGATGACAAACTTTAGCCTTTTTATAGCTGACATCACTTAAATGTCTTTCCTGTAACAAAGACCAGGAAGAAGCCACAGTACCACAAAAATATGAGGCTATAAAGAGATGGAATTCAACCTAGATGACCATCAGTGGTGGACTGGTTAAAGAAAATGTGGTAATATACACCCTGGAATACTATGCAGCCATAAAAAAGAATGCAATCATGTCTTTTGCAGCAACATGGATGGAGCTGGACACCATTATCCTAAGCAAATTAACTCAGGAACAGAAAACCAAATACTGCATGTTTTCACTTAGAAGTGGGAGTTAAACATTAAGTATACATGGACATAAATAAAGGAACAACAGACACTGGAGCCTCCTCGAGGGTGAAGAGTGGGAGGAGGGTGAGGATCAAAAAACTACCTGTCGAGTACTATGCTTATTACTTGGGTGAGAAAATAATCTGAACACCAAACCCCTGTGACATGCAATTTACCCATGTATAAAACCTGCACATATACCCCCTGCAGCTGGAATAAAAGTTGGGGGGGAAGAAGGGACATATTTTAAAGGGAGCGAGAACTTTAGAAATTAACAAATAAATGCTCACAAAATTGAAAAAAAAATATATATATGGCATTTCTATAACATTTTCCAGCCATATTTCCTACCTCTAATTTCAGTTTTGGGTTTCTACACACCTTCTTGTATGTGGTAAATGTTGGCTCACCAATGGCATCAAGAACAGCACCACCACAATTGCTGTAAGAATTCTCGGCAGGGCGCGGTGGCTCACGCCTGTAATCCCAGCACTTTGGGAGGCCGAGGTGGGCGGATCACGAGGTCAGGAGATCAAGACCATCCTGGCTAACACGGTGAAACCCCGTCTCTACTAAAAATACAAAAAAATTAGCTGGGCGCGGTGGCGGGCGCTTGTAGTCCCAGCTACTCGGAAGGCTGAGGCAGGAGAATGGCGTGAACCCAGGAGATGGAGCTTGCAGTGAGCCCAGATAGCGCCACTGCAGTCCGGCCTGGGCGACAGAGCGAGACTCCGTCTCAAAAAAAGAATTCTCATAGGTGAATATTTGCATTTAATATCTACGGTATGTTCCAACGTAGCTATAAGAAGTATACTATAGACTCAAATGAGAACATTACACATCATTATGCACCAACAGTTCCCATACTCATGTCCGGTATAACCTTATTCCAGTTAGAATTCCAAATGCAGAGATCTTTGTTTTGCTTCTATTAACAGTGCCTGGAATAGTGCTGGAACACAGTAGGGCTCAATGAGTATTTGTTGAATGAATGACTGAATCTCTTCAGTCATTTCCCTTTTCTCCTTACTTCCCTATTCCACCTCCCGCTTCTTTTGCAGAAGAAAACCACAACATGTCTGACATGTGAGGGCCTTGACCACAAAAGATAGAATTGTTCCCTACTTCTCATTATATGCTATAGTATTTTCACATTGTGCAGCCAGCAAAATAGTATTACCAATCACCTGCAGATCGTTGAATGTCTAGAATTTTAAAATTATACCTAAAAGATATGATGAAGAAAAATAATTTGCATAGGCTTTACCTCTGCTCCTAGTATGTGTAAAAAGCATATTGTTATGGTTGTTTGTGAATGGATTCTTCCTGATCTGTGTCACAGGCAAATGCTCCTGTGTTCTTTAGGGTATAGTTTTAAGGAGCAGGGAGTGAGGTGGTCAGGATAGGATGTGTTTGCAAGACCGAATACAACACAAGTCTGAAGCAGGACATTTTTAAGCAGCCATTTTGATGTAGCCAGGTCAAAATGGCCCTGTATAAGCGTAAAATCCCGGTTTTTTTTTTTTCAGTGCAGGTAATGGATTCAACAGACATTCTTGAATTTAGTTCACCTCCTATCAGCACTATCACTAAGGTACTACCTACAAATTTAATGAGGTTTTTTTTCTAAACTGAGAATAATGGAATCTGTTTGGCGTGTGTGTGTATTTTTCTCTCCAACCAGAGTCTAATGTATATAAGATCAAGGATAACGTAATCAGGAGGTCTACAGAAAGCAGGCTGTTCATCCTCTAGTGTAGAACAGTTTAAAAACTCCATTTAGGCCGGGCGTGGTGGCTCACGCCTATAATCCCAGCACTTTGGGAGGCCGAGGCAGGCAGATCATGAGGTCAGGAGATCAAGAACATCCTGGCTAACATGGTGAAACCCTGTCTCCACTAAAAATACAAAAAATTAGTCGGGCCTGGTGGCGGGAGCCTGTAGTCCCAGCTACTCGGGAAGCTGAGGCAGGAGAATGGGGTGAACCTGGGAGGCGGAGGTTGTGGTGAGCCGAGATCACGCTACTGCACTCTAGCCTGGGCGACAGAGCGAGACTCCATCTCAAAAAAAAAAAAAACACACACACACCATTTTAAAAAATTTCTCTGGCACAGTGGCTCACTCCCATAATCCCAGCACTGTGGGAAGCTGAGGCGGGTGGATCACGTGAGGTCAGGAGTTCAAGACCAGCCTGGCCAACATGGCAAAACCCCGTCTCTACTAAAAATACAAAAATTAGCTGGGGGTGGTGGGGAGCACCTGTAATCCCAGCTACTTGGGAGGCTGAGGCAGAGAAAGTTGCTTACAATCCAGGAGGTGGAGGTTGCAGTAAGCTGAGATTGCACCACTGCACTCCAGCCTGGGATATAGAGCAAGACTCCATCTCAAAAAAAAAAAAAAAAAAAAAATTCTCCTTTTTAGTACAAGAATCCAAGATCCTATAGCAATTCATTTTCCTATCACCCAAAGAGATTTCATCAAGCTTTACATTATTTAATAATTTTATTACTAATATTAATCATACTAATTATTATTTTACCATCAGAAAAAGTGGGCCATTAATTTTTCAGCCTGGAGGGATTAGAGAGAGGTCCTCAGCTCCACAGCCCCTGTCACTTTGGTTCCTTCGGAGGCAGTTCACTGGTCATTTGGGACAGCATGTGATTTGCATGAGGCCTGATAAGCCAAGGAGGAGCGATTGTGAATAGTCCATCAGGACTGGTCACTATGGAGAAAAAGACAGAAACAAATAGATGTCTACCACTTTAACTGCTATGGCCTGTGAGCACCAGAAGACAATGTGTGCCTCGCTAAGGGGGAGTAAAAGTCAAGGTGGAAAAGTGAATCTAAGATGAGAACTGGATTCTAGATTCCAACTATTTGAAAACTGACCAGCCAATCAAAAGTCTCATAGTCTCGGCTTTTTTTTTTTTTTTTTTTTTTTTTTTTTTGAGACGGAGTCTCGTTCTGTCGCCCAGGCGGGAGTGCTGTGGCGCGATCTCCGCTCACTGCAAGCTCCGCCTTCCGGGTTCACGCCGTTCTCCTGCCTCAGCCTCTCGAGTAGCTGGGACTACAGGCGCCCGCCACTGCGCCCGGCTAATTTTTTGTATTTTTAGTAGAGACGGGGTTTCACCGTGGTCTCGATCTCCTGACCTCGTGATCCGCCCGCCTCGGCCTCCCAAAGTGCTGGGATTACAGGCGTGAGCCACCGCGCCCGGCCTAGTCTCGGCTTTTAAACAGTCTTCTGGATGACTGAGTCATGGGGACAGATGTCCAGTGGCATCCTCAGGATGGCAGCTCAGTGATACTGGATTGCAGCATTCTGGGGCAGTAGGGGGAGGGGCTTCAGATCCAGTTGGTATCCAGGATCTTTGCTGGTCTCTGCTGTGGAAGGACTAGTTTGGTCTTATTCCTGGATGATGACCCCTGAATGAAAATGTTCCTTTCTCTGCCACTCATGGTATTCTGCTGCCCCCACTGATGGAGTTGATGGTTTTGTCCATTTGCATTTTCATCCTGAAGTCTCTAAGTACACGGCTCTTTGTCCCAGCACATGCCTCTATTCAGTGTGTGCTGGTAAACGTTTAACTGGCTATCTCCAAATTACTTCTTGTCCTCGGGCCCCTAACTGCTCCGGGCTGTCTCTAGCATGCCTCTTCTAGGACTGTCTGTTACTCTGGCTGTGCCCCCATGGACTCTACCTAATCTCCGAATACACCACATGTCACGCATTTTGTCAAGCAGTTTACATATATGAACTCATGCAATCCTTACAGCAACTCTGGCAAGTAGATACCAGAGGGCAGAGTGTCTCAAAGATCGCACAATGTTTTTTCTCTGGTCTGTAGGTAAATAGAGCTGAGAGCTTAGGGTGGCCAGAAGCAGACAGGGACTCCAGAGAGCGGCACTGAGAAAATTGATGGTGGTGTCCCACACTCCCTTCCCCTTCAGCCCTCTTCTCATGCAAGACTGTGTTACTGGCCAAACCAGAGAGGAGCTGGGAAACAGGCAGCCTTGCTATCACCTCCTGGTCTCACTCCTAGCCTCCACACCCCCATCTTGATCAGCCGCATTCACTTTTTTTTTTTTTTTTTTTTTTTTTTTTTTTGAGATGGAGTCTCACTCTGTCACCCAGGCTAGAGGGCAGTGGCGCGATCTGGGCTCACTGCAACCTCCACCTTCTAGGTTCAAGCAATTCTCCTGCCTCAGCCTCCTGAGTAGTTGGGATTACAGGCATATGCCACCACGCCCAGCTAATTTTTTGTATTTTTAGTACAGATGGAGTTTCACCATCTTGGCCAGGCTGGTCTCGAACTCCTGACCTCAGATGATCCACCCACCTTGGCTTCCCAAAGTGCTAGGATTACACACATGAGCCATGGTGCTCTGCCCCCATTCACTTTTTCAATAAATATTTATTAATTGTGTTTTATGGACAAGGTACATATGTCTTTTATGAACTAGGTATTTCAGGGAATGCAATTGTGAGTAAACCATGATTCTCATTTGTCTTCTGAGCGATTATAATCTAGAACAGACAAGATGTGTACACAAATTACGATTTTTAAAATTTGCTACTTTGTAAGGGTCAGAAGAGTTTTAAAGACAGTGAATCAAACCTCTTGTGTGGCCCTAACCCCCAAATGCTCTGTAACCATCTCTCATAGCTCAAGAGCAGCTTGCATTTAGATGGGTGATTTGTCATTTAAAGAAATATGTCAATCATCATTAAAGATACATGGAAAAATGAAACTGGTTTATTTGTTAAAGTAGTGGAATTATGGGTGATTTTTCCCCAGTGGTTTTGATTTACATTACCATTATATAATGGTGCTTGAGCTTTGTTATGTTTAAAAGAAAAAGCTGGAATTGTTGTCATCCACAACCCAGCTCCAGGGACTGATTCCCAAGTTAGCTTAGCTCATCTCTGAATTAATCTCCTGAGGATCTGAGAAAACTCTATAGAGTTCCACAGAAGACTGCCAGCTTTACATAGTCACAGGAACGTATCTTTAAACCATTTGAGGATGTTTTCTATATTGTATGTAACATGAAATGGTTTTTAAATGGTGTTAAACCTTTGAAAAGTGATGTGCTTGTAGAACTGTCTTCTTAAGACCCACTGTGGGATTTTTCCCCTCCCCCCACATCCTTTTGATGTCAGTGATAACAGTCCCACAAGGGCACACTGTCAGTTAACTAGATAGGAAGCTTCGTTAGGCAAGCAGGTGTCAGCAGTGGCACAATCTACTAATTTATAAATGAGTGTATTAGGGTTCCCTACAGGGACAGAACTAATATATATACGTATACATAAACGGGAGTTTATTAAGGGGTATCGACTCACACAATCACAAGGTGAGGTCCCACAATAGGCTGTCTGCAAGCTGAGGAGCAAGGAGGCCAGTCCGAGTCCCAAAGCCTCAAAAGTAGGGCAGCCAACAGTGCAGCCTGCAGTCTGTGGTCTAAAGCCCAAGAGTCCCAAAGCTGCCCTCAAAGACTTGCAGTCTGATGTCTGAGGGCAGGAGGTATCCACCACAGGAGAAAGACGGAGGCCAGAAGACTCAACTAGTCTAGTCTTTCCACATTCTTCTGCCTGCTTTTTTTTATGGCCATGCTGCCAGCTGATGAGATTGTGCCCACCTAGGTTGAGGCTGGGTCTGCCTTTCTCAGTCCACTGACTCAAATGTGAATCCCCTTTGGCAACACCCTCACAGATACACCCAGGAACAATACTTTGCATCCTTCAATCCGATCAAGTTGACACTCAATATTAACCATCACAATGATCATTACCTGACTACTTGCATTTAACACCAATCTAAGCTAAGAGTCCTCTGATGAGAAACTGGGCTCTACAAATATGAAGAAAGATTTCTCTGAGCCCTTGGCAGCCATTAAGCTACTCCCATTAACAGCCTCCCTTATACTCTGTATAGGATTCCCCACTCATAAAGAAGGGCATGGGGACTGCATCAGCCTTTAATAAGATATGATTCCTGAAACTGCAATGACCATCTTGGACCGTGAGAAAACGAAGGAGAAAATCACAAAGGTGCCGTTCCTGCCATAATTGGGATATTGAACCAATTCCTGCAGCTGCTACCTCCAACTTCTTGTTTTGTCACAATAATAAATGGCTATTTGTTTAAGCCACTATAGTCTGGTGGTGGGTTACTTGCAGTTGAATGTAATCCTTAGTGATATGAGACTGTGGCCATAGCAGTGCTAACATTGCAGATCAAACAGCTTTACAAACAGTGATTGTAACTCGACTTAACTCTTTCCAGGGTCAAGAACTCTCTGCCTTCTAACATCTGAATTCCATTTTTCTCTGTTTGTTTCAGTATGTGTCTTTCATGTTGCAGGTTTTCTTGAAATGTCAGAATCCTTGGCTGATCATTAGTTTTTAAGAGTGCCTCCTAAAAAGGCTCTTTGGAAGCTCCGGGTGCATTGGCAAGGTGTGTTGCCTAAAGGGCTTTTCTGCAGGACAATTAGATGGTGAACCAGCTTTATTATTGGGGGACCCTGTAATGTCAGCAGCAGCCCCTCCAGAGAGATACTTCCACCATTTCTCCTCATCACCTTCCCCCTCCACTGTTCCCAACCCCAACTCCAGCCTCTCCAGTGATCTGAGACTTTCAGGAAAGAACTTAGGGAAAATAGATCTTTATTTTAGAGGATGATATGGCCAGAGTGTATCTGAAGCTCTGTGTCAAGTAATGTTATAGCAGTGCTCTATAATTCTTGTTGATATCACTGTGTTCTGTACTCAGTGACAGCCTAACTGGAAAAAATTTAAGTAATAATAATGATATTTGACATATTAAGAACACACCATGTGCCAAGCAGTTCGTTAAACACTTTATACATATTAACTCATTAATCCTACCCAGCCAAGTATACTCTTGGTATCCCATTGTACCAATGAGGAAAGGGAGGCTAAGAGGTTACATAACTTGCCTAGAGTTACACACCTAGTGAATGGATCATTGGAATCAGGTTTTTTTGTTTGTTTGTTTGTTTGTTTTTGAGATGAAATCTCACTCTGTTGCCCAAGCTGGCGTGCAGTGGTGCAATCTCAGCTCACTGCAACCTCTACCTCCTGGGTTCAAGCTATTCTCCTGTCTCAGCCCCCTGAGTAGCTGGGACTACAGGCACGTGCCAACACGCCCGGCTAATTTTTGTATTTTTAGTAGAGACGGGGTTTCACTATGTTGGCCAGGCTGGTCTTGAACTCCTGACCTCATGATCCACCCACCTTGGCCTCCCAAAGTGCTGGCATTACAGGCATGAGCCACCACGCCCGGCCTGGAATCAGGTTTTCTTACAGTGCAAGCACTTGGCAGGTATAAGCAAATTATCTTTGGCAGGACACACTTTAAACCCAGACTTTAAAAGAATTCTCACAAAGTTCCAAGGAACATGACCTCACAACAAAAAATTATATAACACACAAAGAAACAAGCCACAGTATGTGAGAGTCATCAGAAACAACAGCAAAATCAGCTTGTAAAAACTTTTGATATTGGATGATCAATTATAGATTTATTTTATAAATATATAGAATGTATTTAACATTGAAAGTATAAACAGGAGAATATAAAAACTGACAAAGTAGATCTGAACAATTAGAATAACTAAAAATTAAAAATTTTAATTGAAATAAAAAATCAAAGGGACTAGTTAGCATATTAAAAACAGATGAAAATTTAACAGTAGGCTGTCATGACCAAAAAAAAAAGAGAGAGAGAGAGAGAAAATCAGTCCAGTCACGGTGGCATATCCCTGTAATCCCAGCACTTTGGGAGGCCGAGGCAGGTGGATTGTTTGAGCCCAGGACTCCAAGACCAGCCTGGCCAACACAGTGAGAACCCGTCCCTATCTTAAAAAGTAAAAAATATTTTAACTAAAAAAAAAATCATTAGTGTACTAGAAGATAGAAGTCAAGAAGTTTCTCAGAATACAGTACAAAGAGAAAAAGAGTATCTTCAAAAACCCTCTAGCAGGTGGTACATTAAAATCATATCCATTAAAATCAGAAATTTAAAAATGATGGCTACTATCATCATATCTATCAAATATTGTACTAGGGGTCTGAGCAGCCCAATAAGATAAGAAAGAAAGAACTGGGAAAGTAGAAAGAAAACTACGGTTATTTGAAAATGATAGAATCTGATGGAATAATCTCCAGATAAATTCTTAGAATAAGTAAGGTTCTTAGATACAAAAATCAGTTCACAAATATCAACAGCATTTCTATAAAGTGTAAGATATAAT
The DNA here is from genome assembly GCF_000001405.40 of Homo sapiens. NCBI lineage: Eukaryota > Metazoa > Chordata > Mammalia > Primates > Hominidae > Homo > Homo sapiens. Next base: position 38,629,647 of record NC_000002.12, read on the forward strand.
AAAATTAATTTTTAAAATGCCATTAAAATGGCAATGAAAACTATAAAGTGATTAGAAATAAATCCAGCAAGTTATTTTTATAACAGCTATGTGTGGAACAATATTGCATTTGTGTCCTATTACTGCTGTAACACATGACCACAAACTTGGCATCTTAAAACAACCCAAGTTTATTATCTTACTGTTCTGGAGGTCAGAAGCAGGAAAGAGTCTTATGGGCCAAAATCAAGTTGTCATAGCCGCATTCTTCCTGGAGGCTCTAGGGGAGAACCTTTTCATTGCCTTTTCCATATGCTACAGGCTGCCTGCATTTCTTGGCTAGTGGCCCCTTTCTTGATCTTCAAATTCAAACCCTGCTTCAGTCCTCACATCTTCTCTCTGACTTTGACCCTCTTGTCTCCCTCTTATAAAACCCTTGTGATTACATTGGGCCCATCTAGATAACTCAGATGCAATGTAACATATCACAGGCTCTGGGCATTAGGACATGGACGTCTTAGCAGGGGGTATTATTCTGTCTACCACAAATATAAATGGAAAGACACATCTGGTTGTTTGTTTTTTTTTTTTTTTTTTGAGGTAAGTTCTCACTCTTAGCCCAGGCTGGAGTGCAATGGTGCAAGCACGGCTCACTGCTGCCTCAATCTTCTGGGCTAAAGCAATCCTCTTGCCTCAGCCTCCCAAGTAGCTGGGACTACAGGCATGTTCCATCATGCCCAGCTAATTTTGTATTTTGTGTAGAGACTTGGTATCACCATCTTTCCCAGGCTGGTCTCGAACTTCTGGCCCCAAGTAATCCTCCTGCCTCGGCCTCCAAAAGTGCTTGGATTGTAGGCGTGAATCACCACACCTAGCTAAGACATACCTTTTTCATAAACAGAACATCATAAAGATGTCTGTTCTCTCAAATTGATTTATGGATTCAATGCAATTCTGAATCATACTCCAGTAGGTTTTTTTTTTCATTAAACTTTACAAGTTTTTTCTAGCATTTATATGAAAGAACTAAGTGCCAAGTATAGGCAAGACCCTCCTGAAGAACAGGTGTAAAGATCTGCCCTACTAGATATTAAGACTTAATATGAAGCTTTAATAGTTAAGACTTAGTGGTATTGACCAGAGACAAATCCGCCAGGAGAACAGGCTCAGGTAGAGACCTGATATGTAATAGAACTGTACTGCATCAGGTCATAGAAGCATGCATACACTCTAATTGCATTGATACAAAAGTTGAAAACAGGAAATATCAAGCAATATATTACTTAGAGACACACACACACACATATATGTATGGTAAAACTATAAAGAAAGGCAAGACATAAAATTTAAGACTGGTAACCCCAAGACTTGGGAAGGTTGAGACTGGGGAGTTTTACATAGTGCTTTCCAAAGTACTGCTAATGTTCTGCTTCTTAAGCTGAGTGTCAGGTATAGAGGTGTTAATTTTATTATTAGTCTTTTTTTTTCTTGAGACAGAATCTCACTCTGTCACCCAGGCTGGAGTGCAGTGACACAATCTCAATCTCAGCTTACTGCAACCTCTGCCTCCCAGGTTCAAGCAATTCTCATGCCTTAGCCTCCAGAGTAGCTGGGATTACAGGCGCGCACCACCATGCCTAGCTAATTTTTGTATTTTTAGTAGAAACAAGGTTTCACCATATTAGCCAGGCTGGTCTCGAACTCCTGACCTCGAGCAATCCTCCCGCCTCAGCCTCCCAAAGTGCTGGGATTACAGGCATGAGCCACTGAGTCCAGCTTATTATTAGTCTCTAAATTGTGCAATATGTTATAGATACCCTTTTGTTTGAATACTATCTTCATATTTTTAATATAAAAGGTAATCTGAGTTCATTTAAAAATTTTGTTTAAAACAAGTTAAAGTGCATAAAAACAATGTAAAGTTAAAGTATCAGTGTTGTATCCAGTTCATATAAACTATCAGATAAATATTAAGACTACGTTAGAAAATGGCATAGAAGTCATTAATAAACAAATTCACACAAGAAGAAATCTAAATGGCAATTAAATATATGGTATTTTTTAAAAAATCTTCCATCGATCTAGTAGTTAAAAAATTAAATATTTAAATATTATCGCCTCTCTAATTCAAAGGGGGTTAAATATATCATATTGGTTGTTGGTATGATACTGCTGATAGGCAAATACATTGATAAGAATTTGTGAAAAACAATTTATCAATACCTATCAAGCGTCCTAAAGTGTTTATGCCCTTTTGTTAAATAATACCATTTTCAGAAATCTGTACTAGAGATAATTCTTATATATCAAGGAATATTTTTGTGACCAAAAAAATAGTATTAACTGGATGCTTATGCTGGTGCCAAGTATGGTGCTAAATCCGCCCCATAAATTAGGAGACTTGGGTTACTGCCAACACTACTCAGCCTGAAGATACTAGGAGGGTCAGGATCAACACCCAACAGTGCAATTCCACAGCCCATATTTTTAAGCACCACATCACACTGTAGCATTGCAACCTGGTTTCTAATTGTTGAGAAAAAAAAAATTAATGATTAAAAAATCAGTGTGAGACAATTATTCAAAATGAAAATGAGAGAAAAAAACCTAGAAATGACCTGAATGTTCAGTAATAGCCAAATAGCAAAATTAAGCATGGTATATTTATATGTAGCAGGCAGGGAGAAAGTAGTCATTTCAGAAATTTTAATACGTGGAAAAATACATCTTAAAATTGAAGAAATGTGGTATTGTGATTCAGTGCAAATTTATCACTGTTATAATTAAACTAAAAATTAAAGTCCTACTGATAGTGGGTCATAGTATCATTTTAATCATCTTAGCAAAGAACCACAATTGTTTTTTTGTTTGTTTGTTTGTTTGTTTGTTTGTTTTTTTAAGATGGAGTCTCGCTATGTCTCCCAGGCTGGAGTACAATGGCGCGATCTTGACTCACTGCAACCTCCATCTCCCGGGTTCAAGCAATTCTCCTGCCTCAGCCTCCCGAGTAGCTGGGATTACAGGTGCCCACCATCATGCCCAGCTAATTTTTGTATTTTTGTAGAGATGGGGTTTCTCCACGTTGGCCAGGCAGGTCTTGAACTCCTGACCTCAGGTGGTCCGCCCACCTTGGCCTCCCAAAGTGCTGGGATTACAGGCGTGAGCCACTGCACCCAGCCCACACATTCTTTATTTCTATTTTAATTTAATGTGAATAGATACCACATTCATTCATTCACATTCTCCAAGCAGCAAACAAGTATAAAAATATACACAATAGAAAGTCTCACCCCTACTCTGCTCCAGTGCCCACTGGTTTCCATTCTCAGCCTCAATTGGGTTATCAATATTAGTAGTTTCTTGTCTGGCCTTCCAGAAGGCTGTTCCTAGTCAAAGACAATATACATTCTTTGTCCTCTTCTTTTTTTATACAAATTACAAAAGACTATACCCATTTTTCCAGCAAGTCACTTTTTGCATTTAATAGATCTTGAAGATCTGTCTAAATCAATACAAAAGCACTTACTCATTTTTAACAGCTATATAGTATTCCACAGTGTAGCTATGCCATAAATAATTTAAAAAGGCCTGTACTGATTGACATTTATGTTGCTTCCAATTTTTTTTCTGAAAAACTTTTCTGAAGTGACCATTTCTTTTGCTGTTACAAAAAAAAAAAAAAGCAATGAATAATATTCCTTCAATACTATCTCTAGAAATCATTATTAAAAGTATAAGAGAATGCTGGGTCCAAATGTACATATATTTGTAATGTTTAAAAATAATTTTAACTTTTGGCACAGGTGCGGTGACTCACGCCTGTAATCCCAGAACTTTGGGAGGCCGAGACGGGCGGATCACGACGTCAGGAGATCGAAACCATCCTGGCTGACATGGTGAAACCCCGTCTCTACTAAAAATACAAAAAATTAGCCAGGCTTGGTGGCGGGCGCCTGTAGTCCCAGCTACTCGGGAGGCTGAGGCAGGAGAATCGCTTGAACCCGGGAGGCGGAGCTTGCAGTGAGCCGAGATTGCGCCACTGCACTCCAGCCTGGGCGACAGAGCAAGACTCCATCTCAAAAAAAAAAAATAATAATAATAATAATGATTTTAACTTTTATTTTAGATTCAAGGGGTGCATGTGCAGGGGTACATTTTAGATTCAAGGGGTTCATCCCCATGTTTGTTACACCATGGGTATATTGTGTGATGCTGAGGTTTGGGATATGAATGATTCCCTAACCCAGGTAATGAGCATAATACTCAATAGTTAGTTTTTCAACCCTTGCTGCCCTTCCTTCCTCTCCCATCGAGTAGTCTCCAGTATCTTTGTTGTCATCTTTATGTCCCTGAGTACCCAATGTTTAGCTCCTACTTATAAGTAAGAACATGCAGTATTTGGTTTTCTGTTCCTGCATTAATTTGCTTAGGATAATGGCCTCCAGCTGCAACTATCTTGCTGCAAAGGACATGATTTTGGTTTGTTTTTTGTTTGTTTTTGTTTGTTTTGGCTGCACTATTGTAATTTTAATGGATACTGCTAATCTCTAATTGGCTAACATCTTGATGCTGTTAGGCTTCCTCCCCAAGAACATGGTCTACCTTTCCATTCGTTCCAGCCTTTTTTTGTGAAGGACAACACAATTTGGATCCACTATTTTTCAAAAAGCAGTGTATATATGCAAAACTTTATCTACCAATGATTTCAGCTATGCACCCCAAAAAAAGTTAAAAGGAAATGGGTCACTATGTTAATATGAAATGATCTATCAGGGCAGGTGGGATTTGGGGTTATATGGGATATAGGTTATATGGGTATTCTTTATTCTTTCTTGCATTTTTCAATTTCTTGCTTTATTTTGTTTTATCACTTTTGTAATAAAACAAAGTAAAGCAAGAAATTGTCACCCATACCCTGGACGATAGAGCAAGACTCTGAAAAAAAAAAAAAATCTTTTTTCTTTAATCACAGAATAGTCAATAACTTTCAAAGTAATAAAATTTAGCATCATTCACCAGAGAAAAAGCAATATAAATCTATGAAAGTTTGCCCCAAAGGATTAGATACTTTGAGATGAAATTTTAAACTGTCTAGATAAAGCACATTCCCCCTTTGACCTAACCATGTCCCTATATCAGATGACAAACTCATGAAAGACCAGTAAAGAGGAAGCTGTACCCTTGCTCTGAGTTTGACCTTTCTCAAAGCAGAATGTGGTTTTGCTAAAATAAGAAAAGAATCTGTCAAGGTCACGCAGTACTTGATTGTTATCTTACAAAATTTGGCAGAAGTTTTGCCCTAAACGTATCAGCAATACTGACAATTCCATTAAAAATTTATTTAAGCTGGTGCCACTGCTGCTGATGCATAATCTCATTTTAGGAAACTTCATTGTTTTTGGAAATTGCAGTTTTAGAGATTCGTAATTTGAGTTTTAAGTAGGATAATTTAAATAAAGATTGCCTGAAAGGAAAAATTCTAATATAATTGAGACTCATTGGAGGAAAATTGTACTGAAAATTTCCTTTAGGGGACATTTCCTATGTAGTATAAATGACTTTTCCCCTTTAGTCAATTTTTATAATAATTCTTTTTTTATGGCCCCAAACCTTTTGTTTGCTGTCGTCATTATGTTTTGTATGTTTGAGATGGGGTCTTACTGTGTCACCCAGGCTGGAATGCAGTAGCTCACTGCAGCTTCAAACTCCTGGGCTAGGCGTTCCTCCTGCGTCAGTCTCCCAAGTAGCTAGGACTACAGGCACATGCCACCACATCTAACTTATTTTTTTAAATAATTTTTGTAGATACCAGGTCTTGCTATTTTACCCAGGCTGGTCGTAAGCTCCTAGCCTCAAGTGATTCTCCTGCCTTGGTCTGCCAAAGCACTGGGATTACAGGCATGAGCCACTATACCTCAAAACCTCTTACTTCTTATTTTGGGAAGAAGAAAAGATGGAAGAAAATGAAAGCAGGTCTTAAAATCCTAGGGAAGCAGAGGAAGGACCATCCTTAATTATATTAAGGGCTCATCCTAGGCAAAATTACAAGGAAATTTCCTTTTCTTCTGCTATCATACCTCCCAGTATCCTTTCCAACTTACCTGTTTTGTATTTCTTCAAACTCTTGCTCCAAGTCAGATGTCAAACATGGACAACTATCTAATAAACAAATTCTCACTGAGATGGTTTCCCTTCCAAAGAATATTCAGATTTCTAAAGACCAAACAAACATAAGTCTGATAGTGGTATTTTAGAAAATATGAGAGAGCATGGGTGCAGTGGCTCATGCTTGTAATCCCAGCACTTTGGGAGGCCGAGGCAGGTGGATAACTTGAGGTGAGGAGTTCGAGACAAGCCTGGGTAACATAGTGAAAACTTGTCTCTACAAAAAGTACAAAAATTAGCCAGGCATGATGGTGCACACCTGTGGTCCCAGTTACTAGGGAGGCTGAGATGGGAGGATTGCTAGAGCCCAGGAGGCAGAAGTTGCAGTGAGCCGAGACTGCACCACTGTACTCCATCCTGGGTGACAGAGTGAGACCTTGTCTCAAAAAATAAAAAATAGAAAGAAAATATGAGAGGCTGTTGGAAAAACATAGGAGGCTCTTATCAGCATCCCTGACTCACAACACACAGGTTAGTCACATATGCCGCCTGCTTAAGATTAGTCCCAAGTCCCCAAAACGCCCTAGAGAAAATATCCTGATTATTTCTGCCTTCAAATAAAGAAAGAGGGAAAAGATTTAAAGTGACAGCATATAGGTTTTGTTTTTTGAAGCAAAAGAAAACATCCAAATCACACGTCATTAGTGTTTCATTTAATGCACTCAAAATATGTTTAAACTATTAGATACAGGAGATTCACAAAATATTCATAGGAAAGTAAAAAATGAAGATATATACCACATCCAATGTATATCTCAGTACCAGAAATAATTAATCCTCCCAATTATAGGAGGATTTTTTTGTTACTTGGCAGCTCACTGAGTTTTTCCAGATCAGGGACAATGAAAGCTCCCACCTACTATAGATTTTTATTCTCCTGGCTGGGTGCAGTGGCTCATAGCTGTAATCCCAGCACTTTGGGAGGTCAGGGCAGGTGGATTGCTTGAGGCCAGGAGCTCCAGCGAGACTCTATCTCAAAAAAAAAAAAAAAAAAAGATAGTGAGTTTTCATGAGATCTGGTTGGGTAGCACCTCCCCTTTCTTTATCCTGCTCTGCCATAATAAGGCGTGCTTGCTTCCCCTTCACCTTCCGCCATGATTGTAAGTTTCCTGAGGCCACCCAGCCATGCTTCCTGTACAGCCTGTGGAACTGAGTCAATTAAATCTCTTTCTTCATAAATTACCCAGTCTCAGGTAGTTCTTTATCACACTGTGAGAACAGACTAATACAGTTACCAAGGGATTAAGATGCAGAATTGTAGCAGGGAGAAGTCAGAATATATGTAGGAGAGAACATCCCACTAATTCTGATGGCTAGAGGGGACTCACAGACCAACTTCTTCAAGGCCTCGTGTCTGGGGATACAGCTGCCACCTGGCTTACCCCAATCCAGCAGGGAAAACTGGAAGTCCCAAGATTAAGAGCAAGCAGCAAGAACTCCATTCAAAATAATGAAAGAAGGAAAGAAAGGCCGGGCACGGTGGCTCACGCCTGTAATCCCAGCACTTTGGGAGGCCGAGGCGGGCAGATCACGAGGTCCGGAGACTGAGACCATCCTGGCTAACACGGTGAAACCCCGTCTCTACTAAAAATACAAAAAATTAGCCGGGCGAGGTGGCGGGCACCTGTAGTCCCAGCTATGCGGGAGGCTGAGGCAGGAGAATGGCGTGAACCCCGGGGGGCGGAGCCTGCAGTGAGTCGAGATCGCGCCACTGCACTCCAGCCTGGGTGAAAGAGCAAGACTCCGTCAAAAAAAAAAAAAAAAGAAAGAGAGAGCGAGAAAGAAAGAAAGAAAGGATGGGGGAGGGAGGGAGGGAGGGAAAGCAGGAAGGAAGGAAGGAAGGAAGGAAGGAAGGAAGGAAGGAAGGAAGGAAGGAAGAGGGAGGGAGGGAGGAAGGCAGGCCTGGGGGCGGTGGCTCACGCCTGTAATCCCAGCACGGTGGGAGGCCAAGGCGGGTGGATCACGAGGTCAGGAAATCGAGACCATCCTGGCTAACACGGTGAAACGCGGTCTCTACTAAAAATACAAAAAAATTAGCCGAGCATGGTGGCGGGCACCTGTAGTCCCAGCTACTCGGGAGGATGAGGCAGGAGAATGGCGTGAGCCCGGGAGGTGGAGCTTGCAGTGAGCCGAGATCGCGCCACTGCACTCCAGCCTGGGCGACAGAGAGAGACTCCGTCAAAAAGGAAAGAAAAGAAAGAAGGAAAGAAAAGAGAGGAGGGGAGGGGAGGGGAGCGGAGGGGAGGGGAGGAAAGAAAAGAAAAGGAAAGAGAAGAGACAGGAGGGAGGGAGGCAGGGAGGGAGGGAAGGGAAGGAAAGGCATTCATGACATAGAATAAAGAAAATAGTAGAAAGTATGAAAATGAAATTCAAAGGAGTCACAGCAGATTTATGGCAGGGGAGGAGGCAGAGATGAGAATGTGATGAGGGTGAGGGTCATAGATATTTCACATTTATTGGGGACTATTTTATTGCATACATATAAAGCCTAAAAGCAAATATGTCAAGACACAGATAACTCTCAATTCCATGAGGCAAGAAAACTTTATACTTATCTATATTTTTAACTTATTTAAAATTTTTAAAAATGGAAGAGATTGAAGTAGAAGGGGGTGCATTCGTAAAGGATTCCTGAAGAAGATGAATTTTGAGTGTGTATGCAATGTACCCCTAAATGTAAAAAATGGACCTTGGAGGAGTTTTCCTTTTGGATACTGTGACAACACAGAAAGAGCAATTAACAGTCCCTGTTTTTCAGAAGCTAGTTTGAAATATAAAAATTAGCTATGTGAAACACTCAGTGACCAATATATACTCAGAGTTTAAAGTTATCACTTATTACTAATAAAAGAGAAAGCAAAAAATTACTCAGAATGAATGATTCGGAATTTTTCATGACCCCACCTCAAATACATCATCTATATTTCTTTCAACTTTCCCACCCACTATCATCTATACCTATGCCATCATCACATAAATGATTCCTTTGGAATGGTCTTAAACTAAAAAAGAAAGAAGGAAGAAAAGGAGGTAGGGAGGGAAGGAGAAAGAGAAAGAATGGGGGTACAAAGGAGGGAGGGAAGGAAACAAAGAGGGACAAAGAGAAGGAGGGACAGAGAGAGACAAGGAGGAAAGAGAGCAGAGAGCTCAATATATGTCCAGGTAACTCACTAATGGGCTGGATTATCTTTCATTCTAGAAAAAAAGGAAAAAGCAGATAAACCCACAATATCACAGTGGACAAAAAGTTTTCTTTTTTGAGGGACAAAAGCAAAAGTTGTCCTAGAAGGATATAAGTCTCTAACCCTGTGACTAAAATATACCAGAATATTTTTGGCTCTTTTGGATTGGCTATTTTTATGAATATATGATTCCAACAAAAATCTTCCCTCCTCATGTTTCTCAATCCTGTGTGTATCCACCGAAGTGCTTGATGTCATTTTTTTGTGTTAGGTCTTTTTCTTTTTAAGAATAATTCATGGCCAGCGCTGTGCAACCCTCCAAGTGTGAAGTGACAGCCTTGTGTGTGACACTTTGCCCTCCCCAAGTTTGCATTTTCGACATTAAAGTTTACTGTTTATTAAAAAAAAAAATTCATGGCCAGGTGCGGTGGCTCACGCCTGTAATCTCAGCACTTTGGGAGGCCGAGGCAGGAGGATCACCTGAGGTCAGGAGTTCAAGACCAGCCTGGCCAATATGGTGAAACCCCGTCTCTAATAAAAATACAAAAATTAGCCGGGCGTGGTGGCAGGCGCCTGTAGTCCCAGCTACTTGGAGGCTGAGGCAGGAGAATGGCGTGAACCCGGGAAACGGAGCTTGCAGTGAGCCGAGGTAGCGCCATTGCATTCCAGCCTGGGCAACAGAGGGAGACTCCATCTCAAAAAAAAAAAAAGAATAATTCATTTCATTATCTTGCTATCTTTGAGTACCGTGGTATCAATTAACAACATAAGCCACAGGACATCTGACAACACAAGATGTTGCCACAGCTGCAGAACTCACCTAGGCCATAAAACTGCATTTACATTTTGTCTTTTAGAGTTTGAATAAAATCTGATTTCATTACTATGCTATTGAGCACATTTATAGTGTGAGCATTCATAAACACCCCTCCATGATAAGATGACTCAATTGCCCTTTTTTCCTGAACTGCTGAAGCCTGAGATGCTACCTGTGAACAGCCTAAAATGTGAGGTCAGAGTCAGGCCAAAAGTATTAAACAGTATGTCTTTTCCAGAGAAAACTTTTAAAAAGAAATTCTGATGCAGATAAAATATTTAAATGAAGGGGGAAAGTAAAAACATTCAAGTCACTCTGAAACTAAATAATGGTAAATTATAACAGCTTTCAACAATACTTAGTTCTCATGAAAAGTATTTACCATGGCAACCATTGCATCAAATTGCTCTTAAACAAGGAATTCAAGACATCTATTGTACAGCATGGTGACTATAGTCAAAGACAATAATATTGTATTCTTAAGAAATGCTAAGAGAGTGGATGTTAAGTGTTCTCACTACAAAAATGATAACTATATGAGGTAATGCATTTGTTAATTAGCTAGCTTTAACCATTCCACAATGTATATATACTTTAAAACATAATGTTGTATAAATTATTATAATTTCATATCAATTTTTTAAAATAAATTTGTTCAGCACCAATAAAAAATAATTTATTTTTAAAATAAATTTTAAATTTTAAAATTTTTAAAATTTTTAAAATTACAGGTGGCTCATGCCTGTAATCCCAGCACTTTGGGAGGCCGAGGTTGGCAGATGACCTGAAGTCAGGGATTTGAGACCAGCCTGGCCAACATGGTGAAACTCCATCTCTACTAAAATTACAAAAATTAGCCGGGTGTGGTGGTGGGTGCCTGTAATCCCAGCTACTCAGCAGGCTGAGGCAGGAGAATCACTGGAACCCGGGAGGTGGAGGTTGCAGTAGGCTGAGATCACTCCATTGCACTCCAGCCTGGGAGACAGAGCGAGACTCCATCTCAAAAACAAACGGCCAGGTGCGGTGGCTCATGCCTGGAATCTCAGCATTTTGGGAGGCTGAGGCGAGCTGATCACCTGAGGTCAGGAGCTCGAGACCAGCCTGACCAATATGGTGAAACCCTGTCTCTACTAAAAATACAAAAATCAGCCAGGTGTGGTGGCGGGCACCTGTAGTCCCAGCTACTCAAGAGGCTAAGACAGGAGAATTGCTTGAACCTGAGAGGCAGAGGTTGCTGTGAGCTGAGATCGTGCCACTGCACTCCAGCCTGGGCAATAGAGTGAGACTCTGTCTCAAAAAACAAACGAACAAACAAAAAAACAAACGAAAAACAAAAAATAAATTTGAAGAAAATTGTTCTTAAACAGTTCCCAAACTATAACAAAAAAGGGAAGCAAGAGAAGGTTATCTCCTAGAATTATATACTTTCCCTACACATGCTTATCCATTTTTATGAACTTAAAAGCTCACCTTAAAAATAATAGCACCCTTTGACCCAGCATGTCACTTGCACTCCTAAGTACAAATATTAGAGAAGCACTCACAAGATAATACGTACATAAACGTACATAGCAACATTGGAATTACAAAAATTTGGAAACAAACTACATTTCCATCAATAAGAAGAAAGTTAAATGAAATATACATATAACTCATACAAACTACACAGCACTTATGAAACTGAATAACTTGAACTACATATAACAACAATAGTTAATCTCACAAATAAAAAGTTGAGCAAAAAAGCAGGTTGAGGAAGATTACAGTATGTAGCACTAAGCCAGACATGGTGGCTCAGGCTTGTAATCCCAGCTACTCAGGAGGCTGAGGTAGAAGGATAGCTTGAGACCAGCCTGGGAAACATAGCAAGACCCTGTCACTTAAAAATGTATGTATACATTTTTTCATATTCATATGAAATATAAATATTTATATATAAATATATATTATCCATATATATTTATATATATATTTATAAAATATGTAGCACTACTAGAAGTATACCAAATAAACATTCTGGCATAAGGTCAATAAATTGAAATCAATATTTAGTTGAGGAGAAAATGAATATCAACATCAAAGAATGATTTCTGGGGTACAAGAACAAACCTGAAATTATGGCCGGGTGCGGTGGCCCACGCCTGTAATCCCAGCACTTTGGGAGGCCAAGGCAAGTGAATCACCTGAGGTCAAAAGTTCAAGACCAGCGTGGCCAACGTGGCTGGGACTACAGGCATGCCACCCTGCCTGGCTAATTTTTGTATTTTTAGTAGAGATGGGGTTTTGCCATGTTGGCCAGGCTGGTCTCGAACTCCTGGTCTCAAGTGATCCACCACCCTAGGCCTTCCAAAGTGCTAGGATTACAGGCGTGAACCACCTCCTCTAGCCTACTGGGTCATTTTAAACAGCAAACTGATACAAAATGTCTTTCTGCTACAGCAATCATAATTAAAGGCAAAAGAAAACAAATAGCTCAGAGAAAAAGAAACTTGGTAGTGTGTCCGAAATTGGTGAGTTCTTGGTCTCACTGACTTCAAGAATGAAGCCGTGGACCCTCGCAGTGAGTGTTACAGTTCTTAAAGATGGTGTGTTCGGCGTTTGTTCCTTCTGATGTTTGGACGTGTTTGGAGTTTCTTCCTTCTGGTGGGTTCGTGGTCTCACTGGCTTCAGGAGAGAAGCTGCAGACCTTTGTGGTGAGTGTTACAGCTCTTAAGAAGGCGTGTCTGGAGTTGTCTGTTCCTCCCGTCTGGAGTTGTTCATTCCTCCCAGTGGATTCGTGGTCTCGCTAGCCTCAGGAGTGAAGCTGTTGACCTTCACAGTGAGCGTTACAGATCTTAAGGGCAGTGCAGACCCAAAGAGTGAGCAGCAACAAGATTTATTGCAAAGAGCCAAAAGACAAAACTTCCACAGTGTGGAAAGGGACCCCACGGGGTTGCCGCTGCTGGCTCGGGTAGCCTACTTTTATTGCCTTATCTGATCCCACCCATATCCTGCTGATTGGTCCATTTTACAGAGAGCTGATTGGTCTGTTTACAATCCTTTAGCTAGACACAAATGTTCTCCAAGTCCCCACTAGATTAGCTAGACACAGAGCACTGATTGGTGTGTTGACAAACATTGAGCTAGACACAAAGTGCTGATTGGTGCATTTACAATCCTCCAGCTAGACATAAAAGTTCTCCAAGTCCCCACCCGCCTCGGGAGCCCAGCTGGCTTCACCTAGTGGATCCCTCCCCAGGGCCGCAGGAGGAGCCTGTGCAGTCCCATGCTGCGCTGCCAGCACTCCTCAGTCCTTGGGCGGTTCGATGGAACTGGGCGCGGCGGAGCATGGGGTGGCGCCAATCAGGGAGGCTCCGGCCGTGCTGGAGCCCACCAGGGGTGGGGGTCTCAGGCATGGCAGGCCGCAAGTCCAGAGCCCTGCCCCGCGAGGAGGCAGCTGAGGCCCAGCGAGCGCTGTGCGGGCAGGCCAGCACTGCTGGGGGACCCAGGGCACCCTCCGCAGCTGCTATCCCGGGTGCTAAGCCCCTCACTGCCTGGGGCTGGCGGTGCCGGCCGGCTGCTCGGAGTGCGGGGCCCGTTGAGCCCGCGCCCACCTGGAACTCGCGCTGGCCCGCGTGCGCCGCGTGCAGCCTCAGTTCCCGCCTGCACTTCTTCCTCCACACCTCCCCACAAGCAGAGGGAGATGGCTCCGGCCTTGGCCATCCCAGAGAGGGGCTCCCACAGTGCAGCGGCAGGCTGAAGGTCTCCTCAAGCGCGGCCAGTGTGGGTACCAAGGCCGAGGAGGCGCCAAGAGCAAGCGAGGGCTGCCAGTACGCTGTCACCTCTCGGTAGCCTGATCGTGATTGAAACCAAATGAACAAGATTCAAATCTGCAGTCGTTAGGGGTAAATAAGATCTGTCTACCTTAAGTGGTAGTAACTTAATATCAAAGGCAGCACACTGGGATGCCCCCTCGCTTCTGTTTGGGCACAGCTTTCTTTTCTACTATTATCTGGTACAAAACTGGTTTTCTGTACATCTCCTCAACCTCTGACCAGAAAGCCTTGGCCCTGGAACCTCTTGGTGATAGTCGTTTGCCTGTGCTAAATAACAACCTCACTTCCTGTTTTCTCTTTTATCTCAACACAACAGGTACAGAGTGGAGGATGTGACAGTTAGAGGGAATGTTGCAACAATAATGAAAGCAATTACTCTTGAGTCTTAGGCTTCCTTGCTCGTTTTCGTTTCAGTAGATTATCTCTTGTGAATAACACTTAAAGTGGACAGGGCTTGTACAGATACCAGGGGAGAAGAAAAGGCACGTGACTCCAGTGTCACTGTCAATGAGCAGCTTGTTTGGCCGCTTCTGGCGTTGGGTAAATTTTTTGTTTTTAACTAAAGCCTTACTTATAATCAGACCCTCAGTTTCTTTCTTTTCTTTTTTTTTTTTTTTTTTTTTTTTTTTGAGATGGAGTTTTGCTCTTATTGCCAAGGCTGGAGTGCAGTGGTGTGATCTTGGCTCACTGCAACCTCCACCTCCCAGATTCAAGCGATTCTCCTGCCTCAGCCTCCGGAGTAGCTGGGATTACAGGCGCCCGCCACCACACCTGGCTAATTTTTGTGTTTTTAGTAGAGACGGGGTTTCACCGTATTGGTCAGGCTGGTCTCGAACTGTTGGCCTCAGTTGATCCGCCCTCCTCAGCCTCCTAAAGTGCTGGGATTACAGGCGTGAGCTACTGTGCCCGGCCCCAGACCTTGAGTTTCTTTTTGAGTTTTGTAATTTTATATCTACTTTATGTCTTTATAAATCTCACTTACCTTAAAGAAAGGCTGAACTATAAGACAGCCAAGATTTAGAAAACAGTATGATTATTTAGGACAGTGAAATGAGGAAAGAAATGAAGTGCTTAGAAATTTTGCTTTCACTATGTGCGGTATGGAATCAGTTCCTTCACAAAAAACTCTCCTACAGTAAATGAATTGCCTTTCATGATATATTTAAATTTAAGTATCTATCCTGCAGCTCATTTTTATAGTGTGTTCTACTGACTTTCCAGCAGAAAATCTGGCTCTTTTAAACATTTTTGCTCAAATAGAAATTAAATGAGCGGTTGCCTGGCGGTGGGGTTTGGGGTGCAGATAGGATTGACTCCTACGGGGTGGGGGTTCCTTTTGGAGATGATGGAAATATTCTAAACTTGGATTTTGGTGGTAGTTGCACAGTTCTATGAATATGCTAAAACCATCGAATTGTACACCTTAAATGGGTGAATTTTATGGTATGTGAATTATATCTCGATAAAGATGGTTTTAAAAAAATCTATTCTGGGCCGGGCGCGGTGGCTCAAGCCTGTAATCCCAGCACTTTGGGAGGCCGAGGCAGGCGGATCACAAGGTCAGGAGATCGAGACCGTCCTGGCTAACACGGTGAAACCCTGTCTCTACTAAAACTACAAAAAAATTAGCTGGGCGTGGTGGCGGGCGCCTGCAGTCCCAGCTACTCGGGAGGCTGAGGCAGGAGAATGGCGTGAACCCAAGAGGCGGCGCTTGCAGTGAGCCAAGATCGCGCCACTGCACTCCAGCCTGGGCGACAGAGCGAGACTCCGTCTCAAAAAAAAAAAAAAAAAAAAATCTATTCTGGAGGAAGAATCTAAAAGAGAGAAGACTGCCATAAAAGAGAAGTTAGAAGTCTCTTAGATTTGAGTGATTTCTTTGCTAAACCGGAGAGGCCAAGAAACCAATGACAGACTTTGAGGTTTTTTAATCCAAAATATCCTGCCGGGTGTGGTGGCTCGTGCCTGTAATCCCAGCACTTTGGTAGGCCGAGGCAGGGAGATCACTTGAGGTCAGGAGTTCAAGACCAACCTGGAAAACATGGTGAAACCACGTCTCTACTAAAAATACAAAAAACTAGCCAGGCGTGGTGATGGACGCCTGTAATCCCAGCTACTCGAGAGTCTGAGGCAGGAGAATCACTTGAACCCGGAGGCGGAGTTTGCAGTGAACTGAGATCATGCCACTGCACCCCAAAACACTCCATCTCAAAAAAATCCTAACATTCCACCATTCTCTCTCTCCACCTTCTATCAAGGTCCTTCATTATTTATCTAATGAGTAATCTCACCCAATACAGCATTGTGATAGACATTGGGGATTCCTGTTCTCTTGCCCTTTTCTGCTATTTAAAGGCTGAAAAGCAAAATTTTCTGTTTTCCTTTTTTTCAGCCAAAGGTGGCCATATGATTTACTTCTGGCCAATAAAATGTAAGGTGTCTCTTTCCAGATGAAAAGGGATAGATACAGCTGGAAGAACCCTGCTTCTTCTGTTCCTGTTGCCTCATCCCCCTTTTGCCTGTCTAGAAAGCAGATGTAAGGCCTGGAGATGCAGCAGCCAATTGGTAACATGAGGTGTCAAGCATGAGGATAAAAGTCCCTAAGCTAGGAAATGCAGAGCAGAAAAACTAAAAGAGCCTTGGCCCTTGGGTGCATTTCTTAGCAGCTACACCAGCATTGCTCAGTTCTTGGCTTCTCAATACCTAAGAAAAATAACTTTTTTTTTTTTTTTTGGGACAGAGTTTTGCTCTTGTTGCCCAGGCTGGAGTGCAATGGCGTAATCTTGGCTCACCGCAACCTCCACCTCCCAGGTTCAAGCGATTCTCCTGTCTCAGCCTCCCGAGTAGCTAGGATTACAGGCATGCACCACCACACCTGGCTAATTTTGTATTTTTAGTAGAGACGGGGTTTCTCCATGTTGGTCAGCCTGGTCTTGAACTACCAACCTCAGGTGATCCGCCCGCCTCAGCCTCGCAAAGTGTAGGGATTACAGGCCTGAGCCACCATGCCCAGCTCTAACTTTTTTGTTAATGTACCGTTATTTGCCGTTGAAACCAATATCCTGTTATTTGTGACCAAAAGTACTTGAATAAAGGCCAGGAGCGGTGGCTCATGCCTGTAATCCCAACATTTTGACGGGCAGATCGCTTGAGCTCAGGAGTTTGAGACCAGCCTGGGCAACATGGTGAAACTCCATCACTACAAAAAATTACCCGGATATGGTGTCACATGCCTGTAGTCCCAGCTACCCAGGAGGCTGAGGTAGGAGAATGGCTTGAGCCCAGGAGGCAGGGGTTGCAGTAAGCCAAGATCTTGCCACTGCACTCCAGCCTGGGTGACAGAGGGAGACCCTGTATCAAAAAAAAAAAAAAAAAAAGAAAAAGCAGTCTAATAAACCAACTCTGAGATGTTCATATTTTACAATTATGTAAAAATGTCAGTGTCTAAAGTGAGTTTGTTTTAATGACCAAGGGCTGCTTCTTGTGCACACAAAAGAGCATTTGTTGTTAATTGGGTTTTTAATTATTACACAATTTATTGAAGAAACAAATTTTTCTTAAATTTTTAAGTTCAATTTAAAATAGTTCAGCTTACATATAGATGTAATAAGTGACATACTAGAGATCCATGCAAAAAGAAAGAAAAAGAAAACATTGTTTCACAGAGAAGCATTTGAGCTAGGCCTTAAATAATGAGAAAAAAAGAAAATTTAAGGCAGAAAAAATAGCACATGGGGTCCTAAAAGGGTGTATTATGTTAGATGTCCACGTGAGGCAGGAAAAATAGAGATGAGGCTGGAAAGTAAACGAAGGCCAAATTGCTTAAGGTCTTATTTAAACCAGACTAAGCAGCTGAAAGTTTATCCTATAGAAAATTGAGGTTGGGCACGGTGGCTCATGCCTGTAATCCCAGCACTTTGGGAGGCCGAGGCGGGTGGAACACTTGAGGTCAGGAGTTCAAGACCAGCATGGCCAACGTGGTGAAACCCCATCTCTACTAAAAATACAAAAATTAGCTGGGCGTGATGGCTGGCGCCTGTAATCCCAGCTGCTCGGGAGGCTGAGGCAGGAGAATCACTTGAGTCCGGGAGGCAGAGGTTGCAGTTAGCCAAGATCACGCCACTGCACACCAGCCTAGGCAACAGAGCAAGACTCTGTCTCAAAAAAAAAAAAAAAAAAAAGAAAAGAAAAGTGGAAACTCTTAAGGGTTTTTTATGATCATATGGGCATTTTAGAAAGATGCTCTGCAGCTGTGAGAAAGAGACTGGAGGAGGCCATAGGTAGAGAGGCTATTCGGAGACGATTATGGTATTAACTAATGATAGAGGACACGAGTTTGAACCAAGAGAAGACCCCACTGCATAGGCTGCAGCAGGCCACTCTTACTACAACACCAGGGCTTTGTTCTAGGTCCTACTGTTCACCACACAGAAACCCAATCACTGGGGCAGTGAGTATTGCCAGGGAAGAAGGCTTTAATCGGGGGCTACAGCCAAGGAATTGGGAGATCAGTCTCAAATCCATCTCCCTGATCAACTAAAATCAGGGGTTTATACAGCAAGGAAGAAATGAAACTACATGCAGGAAAACAGGAATAGAGAGGGGTGAGGAAGAGGAGTTGGTCAACAGGAAGCAGGTGGTGAGTTAGGCAATCATGATGGGTGAGGTGTCTGGCATCTCACTGTCCTGATGCAGCAACCTGGTAAGTTTCAGCTTCCTGATACTATCTGGGAGGCATGACGGTTGGTTTCCTGAGAATGGAACTCAGATAAGACAAATGGAACTTACTCAAGTTTTAAGACTAAGAGGATTAATTCATATGTTTATTCAGAAGAAACTCTAAACATTAGTTGTATGGGACAATTGGGCAGGTTTCACAACCAGGGCAGGCGACAAGTGGGGGACAAAGCAGAGGCTCAGTGTTCACAGTCAGAGCTGAGGGCAAGTCAAGTCTGTAATGGAAAAGGGGCCAGTGTTCCCAAGATGCATTGCCAAGGCTGTGCAGGACCACGGGACCAGTGCCGGACCTGCAGGACCTTCAGTTCACGACCACATGCTAACTGCTACAGGCTGCAGCTTCAGACCAGCAGAGCACACAGAAAACAGGTGGACAAAGGAGAGAGAAGGCGGGGGACCCAGAAGGGGCCCGTGGCTCTTCCTGCTGTGGTGAAGACTCATAAGCCATACTAGTCTCTCTTCTCCATACATCTGTTCACCACGTTAGGAGAAGAAGCAGGAAGACCGGGAGATTATTGAGATAATTCATCCAAGAGAAACTGAACATAGCTAAAGGAATTATGTCAATGATCAGCATTACCATGCTTTAAACCAGACTGGACATTTCAATCATCTTCACCACCACCAACAACAACTAACCAAGTGAGTGGTGGCTTAATAGAAGACCAGAGCAGCTATGGACAAACTGATAGGAAAACCCATTTCATCTGCACAACAAAGTTGGAGCACAAGTTAAATTATGCAACTCTCTTGGGGAGGCCAAGGCAGGAAGATCATTTGAGGTCAGAAGTTTGAGACCAGCCTGGACAACATGGTGAAACCACGTCTCTACTAAAAATACAAAAATTAGCTGGGCATGGTGTTGCGTACCTGTAATCCCAGCTACAGGGGAAGCTGAAGCAAGAGAATCGCTTGAACATGGGGGGCAGAGTTTTCGGTGAGCTGAGATCGCACCACTGCATTCCAGCCTGGGAGACAGAGCGAGACTCCAACTCAAGAAAAAAGAAAAAAAAATTGTGCAACTCTGATACAGAGGCATAGAAAAAGAAGAGTTGAAGATACAAACATTGGTTGATAATATCCAGCACTGTCCAGGGAAGACACTGAATCTGAGGCGCATCAGCAGTTCGTCATCAGAGATGAACTCCCTCTTGTGAAGCATGGACCTTTCCTTGGGCACGTACATTTCCTAGCCAGCTCTTTGCAGCAACTCATGCTCATAAAATGGCCCTTGTTTTTTTTGTTTGTTTGTTTTTGTTTTTGAGATGGAATCTCGCTCTGTCACGCAGTGGCATGATCTCTGCTCACTGCAACCTCTGCCTCCCGGGCTCAAGGGATTCTCCTGCCTCAGCCACCCAAATAGCTGGGATTACAGGCGCCCACCACCATGCCCAGGTAATTTTTGTATTTTCATTAGAGACAGGGTTTCACCGTGTTGTCCGGGCTGGTCTGGAACTCCTGACCTCAGGTGATCCACCCTTCCTCAGCCTCCCAAGGTGCTGGGATTACAGGCATGAGCCACCACGCCTAGCCGGCCGTTGATTGTTAATTCATCTAATTCATCATCACCAGTTCTTCCATACTAGGAAAGGGAGATTAGAACATTCCAGGCCCTGGAAGAGGATAATCTCTTTTAAATAGATAGAATAGGCTTTTATCTTATATACCAGTCCTTAAAAATGTAGCTGGGGTTAGTCTCTAAGCAGGACGAATCCTGGGGCACTGACAATACCGAGTTTCCTGCCTGAAAGGCTGAGGACCAGACCCTGGACTAAAAGGTGAATTTACACCCTGGTGATCACTTGGCTAATTTCTCCCAACAACACCGCCGCCTTCCTGTCCTGTCCCTTCCATCAATGTCATGTCACACTGCGACTCCACCTTGGATGAATAAACAAACTCATGGAAGTACAGCACAGTTTGGCCAGGTGCACATACTTCCTCCAAGTTCCTATTCTTGCCCTGTGACACGCTCCATGTGTGTTGGCCAAGCTGTGGCCTCACAGACTCATCCCTAAATCACCTCCCATCACCTATTCCACTCTATTCTGACCTACTGTCAAAGTTCTGGCTGCTGATTTTTATATTCCTTCTATTTATTTTCCCACTGTTGCTGTTGGATTTGGATTTGCCTTACTCAGAAAGCCCTAAGTGACGCCTTTTCTATTTCAGCCCATCTCCCTCTATACCAGCCCTGAACAGAAGGGCTGTTCTCCTACCCAGCCCTCCCTGGCCTTGCAGACAGGACTTAGGACCACAGAGCCGTCCAGGGGACATTCACCACATCAGAAGAAGGTCAAATTGGCATCAACCAAGCTAGATTCAGCATTAGATGTGGAGGTTCCAACAATCTCCAGAACCTTTGGCCAGGCTCTACCTCAGGGATCTGAGAGCAGCATAATCTACAGAGAGACAGGGACACATTCAGCAGGACTGCTGATTCCCCAGGGAGGCTTTGAGAAAGTAGTGCTTCAGGAAGCAGCATCTGGGAGCTGATGGTGCTCCTATTTGGCAGCACAGAGCTGTCCTGTCCTTCCCACTGTTCCAGACGCAGTGATGATGGAGCGAAGAGCACTACACTGTGGCTGCAGCAGCTCAAGCTCACAGCCAAGTCACACAAGCTCAACATGTTCCCTGCCCATTACATACTATTTGGGGGTAGACATTGGAGCCAGGCAGGCCTGAATTTGAATACCAGTGTGACTCTTTGGCCCCAGTCCTCTTTGAGTCTCAATTTTCTCAGCTATGAAATGACAGTGGTTATACCTCCCTCACAGATTAAACCACATAAAAATGCATAGCATGCACATTGCTTGATACAGCAGACACTAACCAATGTGAATTCTGATTCCTTTTCCTGAGAATCTGATTCCAACCTGCGGCAGAATCTCCAGGATCCTAAAGTAGATGCGCTCCGCCAAGCCATCCTCTGTACTCAGCCATCCTTCTGCCTGGCCCTTAAGGAAGAAGGCCAACCTGAGTCAAATGGGGCTCTTCCTTCAGAGCATGACTGAATAGGCTTCATGGGAAGGAGTGGTGCTGGGGGTGAGGGACTCAAAAAAATGTATACCCCTTTGTTTTCAAACTTCAGTGAGCGTGGTAATCATTTAGAGAGTTTATTAAAAATAGAGGCCAGGGGCTGGGCACAGTGGCTCACGCCTGTAATCCCAGCACTTTGGGAGGCCGAGGCGGGTGGATCACCTGAGGTCGGGAGTTTGAGACTAGCCTGACCAACATGGAGAAACCCCATCTCTACTAAAAATACAAAATTAGCCGACCATGGTGGTGCATGCCTGTAATCCCAGCTACTCGGAAGGCTGAGACAGGAGAATCACTCGAACCCGGCAGGCGGAGGTTGCGGTGAGCCGAGATTGCGCCACTGCACTCCAGCCTGGGCGACAAGAGCAAAACTCCATCTCAAAAAAAAAAAAAAAAAAAATAGAGGCCAGGGCCAGGTGCAGTGGCTCACGCCTGTAATCCCAGCACTTTGGAAGGCCAATGCAGGTGGATCACTTGAGGTCAGGAGTCCCAGACCAGCCTGGGCAACATGGCACAACCCCATCTCTACCAAAAATACAAAAATTAGCCTGGCATGGTGGCACACACCTGTGGTGCCAGCTACTAGGGAGGCTGAAGCACGAGAATCACTTGAACCCGGGAGGCGGAGGTTGCGGTGAGCCGAGATTGTGCCACTGCACTCCAGCCTGGGCAACGAGAGCACAACTCTGTCTTAAAAAAAAAAAAAAGAAAAAGAAAAAGAGGCCAGGGCCAGGTGCAGTGACTCACGCCTGTAATCCCAGCACTTTGGAAGGCCAAGGCGGGTGGATCACTTGAGGTCAGGAGTCTGAGACCAGCCTGGGCAACATGGCAAAACCCCTTCTCTACCAAAAATACAAAAATTAGCCTGGCATGGTGGCACACACCTGTGGTGCCAGCTACCAGGGAGGCTGAAGCATGAGAATCTCTTGAACCCGGGAGGCAGAGGTTGTAGTGAGACAAGATCACGCCACTGCACTCCAGCCTAGGCGATGGAGCAAGACTCTGTCTCAAAAAAAAAAAAAAAAAAATAGAGGCCAGGTCCCTCCTTAGACTTACTGTTATTAAATACAATTTAGAGGAGGCCATTGGTTTGAACTGAGCTCCTGCACTAGGCCTGACAGACCAAACCAAAATAGTCACTCACACTGAAGCTCCACCCCACCAAGTTGAAAATAAATTGTTTATCTGACCTTCCCAGAAATTGAGAGTGAGATAATAGCCCAGTACCCAAGCTATTTGAGCTGATATGATAAGAAAATCTTCTCTACTTTAACCTTTACAAGGAAAGGAAATTTGAAACCACCAATCCACTTTTCATTTTCTGTTTCTGCTTCTCTCCCCACTTCTCGTTTCTAAAGCCAACCTCCTCTGCTCAGCTTATCGGAACACTCATCATATTTTATGGAATGAGGTATTGCTCGATTCTAGAACTGTAAATAAAAGCCAACTAAGATCTTTAAATTGGCCAGGTATAGTGGCTCACACCTGCAGCTCCAGCACTTTGGGAGGCTGAAGCAGGAAGATCACTTGAGCCCAGGAGTTCAAGACCAGCCTGGGCAAAACAGTGAGACTCCATCTCTATGAACAACCATTTTTTTGTTTTCTTTTTTTGAGACAGGCTTTCCCTCTGTTACCCAGGCTGAGTGCAGTGGTGCAATCACAGCTCACTGTAGCCTGGATCTCCTAGGCTCAAGTGATCCTCCTGTCTCAGCCTCCAGAGTAGCCAGGACTATAGGCATGCACCACTATGTCTGGCTAATTTTTTTTTTTTTTTTTTTTTAAGTAGAGACAAGGTCTTATGTTGCTCAGCTGGTCTCAAACTCCTGAGCTTAAGCGATCCTCTCACCTCGGCCTCCCAAAGTGCTGGGATTACAAGCGTAAGCCACCATGACTGGCCTACAAAATTTTTTTTAAGAATTAGCTGAGTGTGGTGGCATGAATCTGTAGTCTCAACTACTTGGGAGGCTAAGGTAGGAGGATCGCTTGAACCCAGGAGGTCAAGGCTACAGTGAGCTATGATGGTGTTACTGCACTCCAGCCTGAGCAACATAGACACTATCTCTAATATATATATAGTCTTGTCCCTTGGAATCGCCTGAGTTATAAGGGGTTTTTTTATATGCTAATGAGATGACTCAAGATTGAGGGGCCCTAGATAGCTTCAGGATGGAAGCTGGTTGCCAGAAAAACCAACCAAGAGATTTGAGGATGAGAACTGTCAGCCCCACTTCCCTAGCGGGTGAGGAGGGATTAAAGGTTGAGTTTCATTATCAAACACAAAGACTTGATTAATCTTGCCTAGGTAATGAAACCTCCACAAAAACCCCTAACCAATAGGTTCGGTGAGTTTCTGGGTTGGTAAACATATTGATGTGCTGGAAAGATGGGGCACAAGAGAGGGCACGGAAGCTCTGCGCCACCCCACCCCCATATCTTGCCCTGTGCATCTTTTTCATTTGGCTTCCCCTGAGTTTTAGCCTTTATAAGAAACCAGTGAGCACATGTAAGGTATTTTTCTGAGTTCTGTGAGTCATCCTAGTGAATTAGCAAACCTGAAAGGAGGTCATGGAAACCCTCACATTTGTAGTGGTCTGGGCAGAAGTGTGGGTAGCCTGGGCACCCTATTTGCAGCTGGTATCTGAAGACAGGGGCAGTCTTGTGAGACTGAGCCCTTTAACTTGTGGGATCTGACACTAACTCCAGATAGGCCATGTCAAAATTGAATTATGGGACACCCAATTGGTGTCATAGATTTGGTTGGTGTGATTGGGTGTCAGAGCTGGTGTCAGAAAAAAACACTGCCCAGGAGCTTGTCACATTTGCCCTCTCCTGACCTCGCCTGGCCCTTGCATAACCACACATCTTTATAGAATGTGGTTAAACTCAGAAGAAACTGCCAATTCCACTGCAATTCTCTCACCTAGATTCAATGTTAGCCTTTTGAAGAGACACAGAAGCGACGCTTACATTTCTCTGTTCAAGCCTGCCCAAGGCAGGGCTGGATTAGCCTGCGGGCCTCTGACCTTCTGACTACAGTCCACACTGCACCCAGTGGGCTGTTCCAACAGACCACGGAGCACAGGGCCTCTGCTCTAGAACAGGGCGGAACACACTTGCTGGCCATCTAATGGACTCACCGCCAGCCCTGACTGTGGAGGGACCCTGTCTTGTAAGCCTGGCCATATGGGGTCTGCCTGGCCACATGAGGTCTGCCAGAGCCGTCCTATCTGGCTAGATTCTTTGCTCTAGTTCCTCTCGGCTTTTTATCAGTAGTTCAGCTTTTCCTAGGGCCGCACAGTTGCTGAAATAAACTTACTCAGCCATTTCCACTTGCACGTGCCCCAGGAGCCCAGGAAAAGGCTCTGCTGAAAAGACTTCCCTCTTGCCCCGAGGTCACAGCCATACTTCTGTCCCAGTGTGTGGTTAAACGCCATCTCCCCTCCTTGCCTTTCCCTCTCTCTCTCTCCTTCTGGAGAAGCCACACAGTTTCATCAATCAATGCCACCTATCTTAGTCCGTTTGTACTGCTGTAACAAAACTACCTGAGACTGGATAATTTATCAACAGCAGAAATTGATTTCTCACAGTCCTGGACGCTGGGAAGTCGAAGATGAAGGTGCCGGAGGGCTTGGTGCCTGGTTAGGGCCAGGTCTCTCCTTCTAAGATGGTGCCTTGAAGGCTGTGTCCTCACGTAGTGGGAGGGAAGGAAGGGCAAAAGCATCTAAGCTGGTTCTCTCCAGCCTCTTATAAGCCACTAATCCATTCATGAGGGCAGAACCTTCATGACGTCATCACTTCCCAAAAGACCTCACTTCTTAATACTACCACAATGGGGATTAAGTTTCAACATGAATTTTAGAGGGGATACATTCAAACCACAGCACCACTCGTCTTGGTGTACCTACTGGCATACTTGAAACCATTCAAAAGGGCTTCATTCTCAGTTTGTTTTTGTTTTGTTTTTTTCAAAAATGTGGCATTTCTTGACAGGAACTGCCTCTGCTACGACCCCATTCAGAACAAAGTTAATCTGGTCAATGAGTGTCTCCCCCACCTGTAAGGAAGAATTTGCTAAGAGATGGCACAAAATCAAGGGACATGACTGAGGCTCAAAGAGCTGTAGAACTCCAAGTGGAATTTGCTGGCCAAGCTTCTACTTTGAGCAGAGGCTGAAGTCATCCATAGAGAGGCTTTCCTGGAACTACAGGGATACACTGCAGAGCTCTCCCATTAATTAGTGGAAACTCCTACCAGCTGCAAAGCCATCCCTGGGGACCTCATCTGGCTATGACTCGGGATAGTGCCCCAGGTAGCTCCCAGTCATTGGTCCAAGGAAATTCCTTACTGTAACTACACTGGGTCAGTGTTGACTCCTGGAAACCTCTCCTTCCAACTGTCAGTCTCCTGTGACTTGGAGTTCTCCATGTCTTTCATGGGAGCCAGCTCTGCAAGGGTTGGGGGAAACCCTGCATGGCTTGAGCGCTTCTGTTGACAACCCATTGCCATCAAAATGGTTCTTACTCTGTACCACCGCCCTCTGGGCATAATGAACATCTCTGTCTAGAGCTCTTTCGGACCTTCCCACTGCGATCCTCAGGGTCCCTAACTCCACACTCATAAGTGCACCATCGTCTGGAATAAAATTTCTGTGTTCTCCTAGATCCCAGGAAATCATCTGACTCCTCTGTTTTCTCACCTTGGGTCATGCCTGAAGTGTATCTGACACCCCCGGTGTGTACTCATAAACACCTAGCGACCAGTACACACCCAAGACACAGGCTCAGATTCTCAATGTATATGAAGGATGGGAGGAAAGAGGATGCACTGCCAACCCTCCAAGGTCCTAGGAAAGTATATATTTAAATACCATCAACTATTAATAAAGAATGCGGCAGAGTTCTAGTTATTCCCCCAATGTCTTCTCC
Organism: Homo sapiens; assembly: GCF_000001405.40. Taxonomy (NCBI): domain Eukaryota; kingdom Metazoa; phylum Chordata; class Mammalia; order Primates; family Hominidae; genus Homo; species Homo sapiens. Next base: position 38,656,303 of record NC_000002.12, read on the forward strand.
TTTTTGCTACATTAACAGAATGCCTAGATTAATGATTATACATTTCCAAACCTACCCTGCAGTTTGATATGATTATTTGAATATAAGTTCTGGCCAATGGAATGTGAGGGGAAGTGATGTATGGAACTTTCAGGATATGTCCTTAAAGAAAGGGGCTGGCCAGGCGCGGTGGCTCACACTTGTAATCCCAGCACTTTGGGAGGCCAAGATGGGAGGATCACTTGCAGTCAGGAGTTTGAGACCAGCCTGACCAACATGGTGAAACCTCGTCTCTTCTAAAAATACAAAAATTTGCCAGGCATGGTGGCACATGCCTGTAATCCCAGCTACTCAGGAGGCTGAGGCAGGAGAATCACTTGAATCTGGGAGGCAGAGGTTGCAGTGAGCTGAGATGGCACCAATGCACTTCAGCCTGGGCAACAAGAGCGTGGCTCTGTATAAAAAAACAACAACAACAACAAAAAAAAAAAACAAAGAGGGGCCATGCCACTTCTCCAATATGCCCTCCCCTGTCCCCTTTCTTATCCTGCTGTGGACATGGTGGCATCCTTGGCCAAGTGGACTTCAAGCCATACCCCACACCCTAGGGATGGTGAGACAACTAGTTAGAAGAGGACTAGGTCCCAGATTACCATAGTGAGCACAGCTACCATACTAATCAGCCAGGGCCCTGATCATCACTGAACATCCTTTTTGGATATGCCAAAGAGGCAAAAAGAAATGGCCTGACCGCTCTTTAGTTGGCCATTTCCCAGGGTTACGTTTCCATGAGTAGCCTTGAGGGATGAGGTAACATCTCCCAGACAGAAAGCAGGCTTGCTTGCCACTCTGTAAAAATGGTAGATTTCAGCTGCAACGTGAGTCCACTATGTGTACAGTGTTCACCTGGTTCCCTCTGTGTTGTCTTCTTGGGTCTTGGAGGACATGGGGAACTAGCCCCAAAATGATGAGTATGCTACTTGTTGTGCAGTGAGTAATAAAATCCTTTGTCTCACCCTGCCCGGCCTGTTTTGCAATTTTTAATATTATATAAATGATAAATATGTATCCTTTTGTCACTGCTTTTTTTGCCCCCCCTCCCCCACTTAACATTGTAGTTATGAAGTTCATGTCTGAGGCTCTGTGGAGTCCTAGCACAATCATTTTCCTGTTTTCTCATCTGCCATTGCATGGATATACCACAATTTGCTTATCTGCTCTTCAACTGAAGAACCTGAAGTTGTTTCCACATTTTTATTCTTATACATAATATGGCTATAAATATTCTTACACGCATACGCAAGAGATCATCCAGAGTATATTATAGGGAATGAAAATGCTGGGTATTCATGGGGTGTTGCTGGTTTATGTGCAATTTGACTTTATTATATATCAACAATTTGTCCTCCAGAGTGGTTTTACCAACTAAGACATCCACCAGCTGTGTATAAGAGATGCTTCACATTCTCTCCAGCATTCAATCATTCATTCAACACATATTTACTAGTGATCTACTAGTTTGTTCTACTTATGGGTATGCAGTAGTGATAGTTCCCACTCTCTTGGAGCTTCCATTCTCTTGGCATGAGATATCCAATAACAAATAAGCAAATTAATACATAATACATCTGGAGGTGATAAGTCCCTTTTTTTTTTTTTTTTTTTTTTGAGACAAAGTCTCACTCTGTTGCCCAGGCTGGAGTACAGTGGCGTGATCTTGGCTCACTGCAACCTCTGCCTCCCGGGTTCAAGTGATTCTCCCGAGTAGCTGGGATTACAGGCGTGTACCGCCATGCCTAATTTTTTTTTTTTTTTTTTTTTGAGATGGAGTCTCTCTCTGTCGCCAGGCTGGAGTGCAGTGGCACGATCCCAGCTCACTGTAACCTCTGACTCCCCGGTTCTTCTCCTGCCTCAGCCTCCCGAGTAGCTAGGATTACAGGCATGCACCACCACGTCCAGCTAATTTTTGTATTTTTAGTAGAGCCGGGGTTTCACCATGTTGGTCAGGATGGTCTCAATCTCCTGACCTCAGGTGATCTGCCTGCTTGGTCTCCCAAAGTGCTGGGATTACAGGCGTGAGCCACAGCTCCCTAATTTTTGTGTTTTTAGTAGAGACAGGGTTTCACCATGTTGGCCAGGCTGGTCTTGAACTCCTGACAAATGATCCACATTCTTCAGCCTCCCAAAGTACTGGGATTACAGGCGTGAGCCACCGCGCCCAGCTGAGTGCTTTGTTTCTAGGCTCTATGGCTACAAAGGAGTAGCCTTTCTTCCTGGGGCCTTTACAGTAAGTGAATGCAACGCCCTCATGAGCCCAACATGACCTAATTTAAGAAAACAACATTTTAAAACTTGTAATTACTATAAAATTAGAAGATGAACATTTTACATTCCGTAATGTGTTAAAATAGACAGTATTTTGGAATGCATGTTCTCAGATGACCTATATAATACCAGGCAGCATATGAGGAAGTGGTGAAGTATTCCCATCTTTGCAGTCATGCTGCCCAGAATCAAATCTTGGTTTCCTGACTTACCAACCTTGTGACCTTGAACTCTGTAAATTTAACCTCTCTAAGTCTCAGTTTCCATATCAGATAATAGTGCCTGAGTCATACGGGTGTTTATCATGGTGCACAATAAGTTTTTAGCATGGTGTCCAGTACATTTTACTACCAGTCAATTAATAATAATTGAATAGGCCAACCATGTGACATTATTCCTCTTTTACAGATGAGGAAACTGAGGTTCTCAGTAGCTGAACAAATTGTCCAGCCAGGAAGTACTGGTACCTCTTTAACCCAGGTCTTCTGATACCAGAGCCAGTTCTCTACTACAACATTGCTTGTATATATGAATGTATCAGGATTCACCCAATAATTATTTGTTGAACATCTACTATGTGATAGTTACTTGGTGCTTGGTGCTAGGAAATTCTAAAATAATCCTAACAGGGCTAGTCATCTTTGAGCAACCCTGAAATTACACATATCCTGAGACAGGTTTCATCCAGCATTGGCTGTTAATGAAGTGTGAAGCTTTTATTTTCACTTTTATGGGGGACGGAGATGAGGATTGTATCACATTTGACTGTAAGCTCCTTGAAGACAAAGACCAACTTTTACTTATCAGTGTACAACCACTACTTAGCACAGTGTCTAGCACATACTCATTGAGTATTTGATGAATGAGCAACACGCCATACAGTCAAATTTAATCCATTTTCCTAAATAACTTCTCACATGCAGCAAACCATGCAGTCAAATTTAATCCATCTTCCTAAATAACTTCTCACATGCCCCCCATAATGCCTTCCCCAGCAGTTGCTCCAAAATCATTGATGCAATTGAGTAGAATTAAACTATGAAGGCTTGGTGCAGTGGCTCACAGCTGTAATCCCAGCACTTTGGGAGGCCAAGGCAGGCGGATCACTTGAGGTCAGGAGTTTGAGACCAGCCTGGCCAACATGGCAAAACCTGTCTCTACTAAAAATACAAAAATTAGCCGTGCGTGGTGACGTACACCTGTAGTCCCAGCTACTTGGGAGACCGAGGCAGGAGAATAGCGTGAACCTGGGAGGCAGAGGTTACAGTGAGCCCAGACTGTGCCACTGCACTCCAGCCTGGGTGACAGAGGAAGACTCTGTCTCAAAAAAAATAAAATAAAATAAATTGAACTGTGAATAATTCTACCTCTTGTAAACTTGATGAGATTCTCTCAGATTCCTAGCTTCCAGTACAGGTAGTTTTTGTTGTTGTTGTTGCTGTTGTTTTTGAGACAGGGTCTCACTGTGTCACCCAGACTGGAGTGCAATGGTGCAAATTTGACTCACCAAAACCTCCGCCTTCCAGGCTCAAGTGATTCTCCTGCCTCAGCCTCCCAAGTAGCTGGGATTACAGGCATGCGCCACCATGCTCGGCTCATTTTTGAATTTTTAGTAGAGATGGGGTTTCACCATGTTGGCCAGGCTGGTCTCAAACTCCTGACCTCAAATCATTCACCCGCCTCAGCCCTCCAAAGTGCTGGGATTGCAGGCGTGAGCCACCAAGTCCAGCATGTACAGGTAGTTTTTATCTGAAATCAAGTATAGTGAGTTTGATTTGCAAAAATATATAAGTTGGGCTGGATGTGGTGGCTTGTGCCTGTAATCTCAGCATTTTGGGAGGCTGAATCAGGAGGAAGGCTTGAGGTCAGGAGATTTTAACTAGCCTGGGCAACATAGCAAGACCCCATCTCTTAAAAAATTTTAAAAATGAGCCAGGTGTGGTGGCACATACCCATGGTCCCAGCTACTTGGGAGGCTGAGGCAGGAGGATTACTTGAGCCCAGGAGGTTGAGGATGCAGTGAGCCATGTTTGTGCCACTGAACACCAGCCTGGCTTACGGAGAAAGACCCTGTCTCAAAAAATAAAGTAATTAAAATAAATTAAAAATGGGGCCAGGCGCGGGGGCTCACGTCTGTAATCCCAGCACTTTGGGAGGCCGAGGCAGGCGGATCAAGAGGTCAGGAGTTCGAGACCAACCTGGCCAACACGGTGCAACTCGTCTCTACTAAAAATATAAAAAATCAGCCAGGAGTGGTGGCACGTGCCTGTAATCCCAGCTACTCGGGAGGCTGAGGCAGGAGAATCACTTGAACCCAGGAGGCGGAGGTTGCAGTAAGTGGAGATCGCACCATCGCACTCCAGTCTGGGTGACAGATCAAGACTCCGTCTCCAAAAAATAATTAATTAATTAAAAATATGTAAGTCTGGCCAAGCACGGTGGCTCATGCCTGTAATTCCAGCACTTTGGGAGGCCAAGGTGGGTGGATCACCTCAGGTCAGGAGTACGAGACCGGCCTGGCCAACATGGTGAAACCCCATCTCTACTAAAAATACAAAAATTAGCTGGGCATGGTGGCACATGCCTGTAGTCCCAGCTACTTGAGTGGCTGAGGCAGGAGAATCACTTGAACCTGGGAGGTGGAGGTTGCAGTGAACCAAGATCATGCCACTGCACTCCAGCCAGGGCACAGAGTGAGACTCTCAAAAAAATATATATCTATATATACGTAAGTCAAACTATTGAGTCAGGAAGCCGATAGTTGAGTAAGCAACAATAACAAAAATATACTCATGGAAACATAAGGAATGATTTGAGACAGTGGCTACTGAGTGCCCATTAAGAAGAACTGACAATAAACAATGTTGGAGTTCAGAGAACTGACAAAGAGAACAGGAGTGTGGTAATGGACCAACGTGACTGGAGAGAATCTTTTCCAGGTCTTTTTATAGACAAACTGTGACTCAGTTTTGTTATTATAACTCAGAGAATTTTCTCTGCATAGCAGCTTGTCAATAGCTTAAAACTTTGTGTTGTTTTTATTTTTATTTTATTTTTTGAAACAGGGTCTTGCTCTGTCACCTCAGCTGGAGTGCAGTGGTGTGATCATGGCTCACTACAACTTCAACCTCCCAGGCTCAAGCAGTTCTCCAGCCTCAGCCTCCCAAGTAGTTGGGACCAGAGAAGCCCACTACTAAACCCAGCTAATTTTTTTTTGAGACGGAGTTTCATTCTTGTTGCCCAGGCTGGAGTACAATGGCGCGATCTCCACTCACTGCAACCTCCGCCTCCTAGGTTCAAGCGATTCTCCTGCCTCAGCCTCCCGAGTAGCTGGGATTACAGGTGACTGCCACCATGCCCGGCTAATTTTTGTATTTTTAGTAGAGACAGGGTTTTACCATGTTGGTCAGGCTGGTCTCGAACTCCTGACTTCACGATCCGCCCGCATCAGCCTCCCAAAGTGCTGGGCTTACAGGCATGAGCCACCGTGCCCAGCCTAATTTTTTTTACTTTTAGCAGAGATGAGGTCTCGCTATGTTGCCCAGGCTGGTCTCAAACTCCTGGGCTCAAGTGATCCTCCTGCCTTGGCCTCCCAAAGTGCTGGGATTACAGGCATGAGCCACTGCGTCCGGCCTAGAGTGATTTTATGAAAGCAGGGTCTGACCCCTCCCAGGAACAACACACCTTGCCATTTCTATGTTGAATGAGGAGGTGGTGGCAGCCTCCAAGAGCTCAGATTTCCTCACGCCTGGCTTCCCAAGCACTCAGTTTTGGGGACTTACCTCTATCTGATAAGAGACAGACCTTGGCTGGGCACAATGGCTCACGCCTGTAATCCCAACACTTTGGGAGGCCGAGGTGGGTGGATTACCTGAGGTCAGGAGTTCGAGACCAGCCTGACCAATATGGTGAAACCCTGTCTCTACTAAAAATACAAAAATTAGCAGGGCATGGTGGCATGCACCTGTTAGTCCCAGCTACCCAGGAGGCTGAGACAAGAGAATTGCTTGAACCCGGGAGGCGGAGGTTGCAGTGGGCCGAGATCACGCCACTGCACTCCAGCCTGGGCAACAGAGTGAGACTCCCTCTCAAAAAACAAACAAACAAAAAACACACAAAAAAACCAGACCTTATTCTTCACCTGGCCACCCTGACACCTCCCCTTCTAGTTAGAGGAAATGCTATCTACTTCAAGTAATTCTCCTTTTTTTTTTTTGAGACAGAGTCTCTCTCTGTTGCCCAGGCTGGAATGCAGTGGTGTGATCTTGGCTCACTGGAAGCTCCGCCTCCCAGGTTCACACCATTCTCCTGCCTCAGCCTCCCGAGTAGCTGGGACTACAGGTGCCCGCCACCATGCCCAGCTAATTTTTTGTATTTTTAGTAGAGACGGGGTTTCACCATGTTAGCCAAGATGGTCTCAATCTTCTGACCTTGTGATCCGCCTGCCTCGGCCTCCCAAAGTGCTGGGATTACAGGCATGAGCCACCGCGCCTGGCCAGTAATTTTCCTTTTACATAAATGCCATAATCCCTTTTCCCTTTACCTTATAATCTCATCCTCAGGCCCTTACCCCAAAATAAAAATAAATACCTCCTGAAATTTGACAGTGCTTCATTTTCTAGATTACTACCTTGCATCTGACTTCCCTGCAGATGGAGAATTGCCCCTAGATTTAGGGGTTTTGTTTGTTTGTTTTTAAGTGCACAGATATTCCTTTAGAGTTTCACTGTGGGATAAAAATAGGATATTAGGGTGAGAAAAATCAAGGTTTGTGCCTGACAGTTGATTCAAGCACAAGGTAATGCTATTTGCGACAATATGTTAGTTAAACCCTTCAAAGGAAAATGAAATCAAGAAGTGTACTCCTTACATTTTTTTTTTTGAGACAGAGTCTCACTCTGTCACCCAGGCTGGAGGCAGTGGTGCAACGTCAGCTCACTGCAACTTCCGCCTCCCTGGTTCAAGCAACTCTCCTGTCTCAGCCTCCAGAGTAGCTGGGACTACAGGCACATACCACCATGCCTGGCTAGTTTTTTTTTATTTTTATTTTTAGTAGAGATGGCGTTTCACCATATTGATCAAGCTGGTCTCGAACTCCTGACCTCAGGTGATCCACCCGCTTCTGCCTCCCAAAGTGCTGGGATTACAGGCATGAGCCACCGCGCCCAGGCCTCTTTACATTTTAGGGAGACATCATGGTACATTCATTTTCTACCAAATGGAGTAAAAAGAGCTTCCGTAGAGACATTTAGCATTGGGCAGGCAAATACATTTATTTCCTTCTGTAACAGCATGTGCTTGGCAGAACACTGAGAACTGGAGGTTGAGAAAAAAAAAAGTGGTCTTCCTGCTCACTTTTCTAAGACATCCTTGCTAACACAGCATTGCCAAAGGGCTTGCGTGTGAATCACCACAAAGTTAAGTGGCTGATGAAACTGAGAGTTTATGAGAATTTCTGATGAAGCAGCACATAGGAGTGCCTGTCGGTTATTGTATGAGTGTGATGCAGTCTATAATTTGACTTGTTTGGGTCTTTTTATTATTATACGTTGAGCTTCACTGAAGCCTGTTGCAAGCTTTTTTATTTTTCCTTTGCTATCAGAATTCTTCTGCTTCATGATGGAGAATTGAGGCTTTATGGCAAGAATGCTAAATATACCTTAAATTACAGACAGAAGAAGCTGAGAGATAGTTATTATGTTTTATTAGCATCTGATTCCAGGCACATAATCCCAATTCTCATAATTTCCTAATCAAAGATGCATTTCATTTCTGCACTCACCCCAGTCTAGTTGGATACCCTCTGAAGTACCCAGGAACCAAGCCAAGAGCAGTATCAAGAAAAGATAGATGATTATGCAGATGGCTTGAGTAAAACTTGTCTTTAGGCTCCCAGCATCCTCCCACTTCCTAGGCTCAGTACTCCTCTAAAGTTGCCAGACTTAGCAAGGAAGTACATAGGTGCCTGTATGTTATCTCATTAAGGCCCTTAATAGCTTTATCTTAATCCTTCTGCCATCAGAGCCTATTTTTTTGGGGAAAAAAATTCAGATTACTCATCAAGCCTTAGAGCAATATTTCTCTAAATCTGGTCCCAGATAATCTGCAGAAGAATAACTTGGGAACATGAAAAATGCAGATTCCTGAGTTTCACCCTAGACTTCCAGAATTAGAAATTCCAGAGGTGGGGACTGGGAATATGCATTTTAAATGTCCTCAGCAAATTCTGAGACACAATCAAGCAAGACAATTATTTAATAACCTTAGTGTCTTTCCTCTCCAACTGTACATACCTGAAGACTCCATCCTACTTGTAGAAAAGGAGATAACAAAGGTTCAGTACCTGGCATTTACAAGGACCTCAATCAATACTTGTTCCCTGAATCCCTTCTTAAAGGAACTGTGGACTTCAGGAGCCAGAAGACACCAGAGGTCCCTTTCCAGTCCCTTGAAGTAAAATAAGTCTGAGGCTGTCTCTAATCACCTCCGCACACCGAGGGCCTAATCCATCTACCTGACCCTGTCTGGTCCAAGCTCCTCGAGGCTGGCACAGCTTTGGCCGTCAGGAGAGCCTTCTGGGCAGTGGCTCTAACAGAACCATGTCCAGGACTTCATCCGTGGGACAAAAAGAGTGAATCTTCAGTAAGTCTGTGTGCAGAGAAGCCTGAGATGATTTACCTCATTTCTAAGCTACTACTGTACTTTGTTGTTGTTGTTGTTGTTGTTTTGAGACGGAGTCTCGCTCTGTCACTCAGGCTGGAGTGCAGTGGCGTGATCTCGGCTCACTGCAAGCTCCGCCTCACGGGTTCACGCCATTCTCCTGCCTCAGCCTCCCGAGTAGCTGGGACTACAGGCCCCCACCACCACTCCCAGCTAATTTTTTTTTTTTTTTTTTTTTTTTTTTTTTTTTGTATTTTTAGTAGAGGCGGGGTTTCACCGTGTTAGCCAGGAAGGTCTCAATCTCCTGACCTCGTGATCCGCCTGCCTCGGTCTCCCAAAGTGCTGGGATTACAGGCGTGAGCCACCGAGCCGGCCAACTACTGCTGTACTTCTTACCCCCTGTATCAAAGAGTTAAAATCTAATTTTTTCCCAAGATCGGTCTCACTGTAAGTCTGCTATCTGTATTTTCCCATTCTTCGTCTGATAGCCACCGACATTAATGACCAGCTCATTACATGTTGAGGTGTGGGGAGATGGGGGTAGAACCCCGTCAACCCAGGATTCGAGTTTAGAAAGACTACAAGCCCCAAAATGCAATTTCACCTCCCAAAAACTACCATTCCCAACATGCAATGCAACCAGGACGAGCCAAGGAAAAAAAGTACAAGTGTGGCTGCAAAGTTTGCCCCTCTTGTTACCCTCAGGCAAATGATTGATTTAGAAAGGCCCCAGGGGCTATTTTTTGCAGGAACGGTCACTCCCTAAATCCAGGCAGGGAAAGGGAGGAGTCTGAGCCGAGTCACGCCCCTTCTCCTGTAAACTTGGGTCGCCTCTAGCTTAGCGAGCGCTGGAGTTTGAAGAGCGGGCAGTGGCTGCACACGCCAAACTTTCCCTATGGCTTCGGTGACCAGGGCCGTGTTTGGAGAGCTGCCCTCGGGAGGAGGGACAGTGGAGAAGTTCCAGCTGCAGTCAGACCTCTTGAGAGTGGACATCATCTCCTGGGGCTGCACGATCACAGCCCTAGAGGTCAAAGACAGGCAGGGGAGAGCCTCGGACGTGGTGCTTGGCTTCGCCGAGTTGGAAGGTGGGTTGAACTGTGCCCTGGGCTGCGAGCAGGCCCCAGGCCCACGCTACATACCTCCCGGATCTAGCGGGCCACTTGCAATGCGAGGGACCAAGGGGGAAAGTCGCCTAGCTTGGGACCGTCTGACTTGCAAGCGCATGCATCATAGAGGGCCGTGTGGCCATCCAGCATTTGGGAAAAACTGTAATAAATAAACTATGGCAGTTGGCCTCTGGTTATCCGTTCAGGCTTTGCCCCAGTTAACGTAAAAGGTCAGCTGATGGTATGATACACTTCAGCGATCCTGGAGCGATCTTTGAACTGCCTAATCTTTGAACTGCCTGATACCTGGAGAAGGCTGGAGAGGAAAGAGCAGGCAAGAGGGGGTGTGGCTCCCACTTCTTCCCTTCTGAAGAAGGAAATTCAAATACTTGCCTCTTCTACTTCCTTCTTCCTTGATCAGATTCTCTTTGAGGCCTGGTTGTCTCAGAAATGCTCCACTAAGCTCAGTGGTTGCCTAGTACACCAGCTACCCAATAACCATTTAGGAACAAAATAGAGAAGACCAACTCAGTGTCTTCTCAGAGATCAGGTCTCCTACCAACTAGGATGGACTTTTATCCCAGAATCCATGGGCAATTAGGATCAGGCATTAATTAATACATTTGACAACTCTATTAATCCGATGACCTCATTAAACAGGACAGACAAGGTCCCCACTCTTGCGGTTTGGCTGGGGAGATAGACTTTAACTCAGTAATTGCATAAATAAAGAATGACAATTGCAGCTTGATTGCAGCAAAGGAAAATGTACATCATGCTCTCTTAGCACCATGGTGTAACTAGACAGAAAATGAGGTGTGAAATAAAGCTGGCAAAGGGAAACTGAGAGTTAATACTCTCTGCTCAGTGGTTGGGGCGTAGACAAATTCTGCTGGAGAGGAGGTTTGAGGTTTTCCTTTTGGTGTGTCATTCTGTCTGTTTGGTTCTTCCGATACGTAAGATATGTAACTTGGCTCATGGTTACATGTTGGCCAGACCAGCCTGGCCAGCATGGTGAAACCCTGTCTCTACTAAAAATACAAAAAAATTAGCTGAGCATGGTGGCACGTGCCTGTAATCCCAGCTAGTCAGGAGGCTGAGGCAGGAGAATAGCTTGAACCCAGGAGGCGGAGGTTGCAGTGAGCCAAGATTGCGCCACTGCACTCCAGCGTGGGTGGCAGAGCGAAACTCTATCTTAAAAAACAGAGAGCAAATTTCAATTCCTCAGGGAAAAAAACAAAACTCAGCTTTCTGTTGAACACCACCATGCCCGGCTAATTTTTTTGTGTTTTTGGTAGAGATGGGGTTTCACCATGTTGGCCAGGCTGCTGGCGGGCACCTGTAATCCCAGCTACTTGGGAGGCTGAGGCAGGAGAATCACTTGAATCTGGGAGGCGGAAGTTGCAGTGAGCCGAGATTGCGCCACTGCACTCCAGCCTGGGCGACAGAGTGAGACCCCATCTCAAAAAAATAAAAATATACTCTAACCTTTCCCTCTGCCTTTCTGTGTAACAGCTGACCATAAAGAAATTAAGACCCTCATTCCAGAGGGGTCCTGCCCCATACCCGGAGGAAGAAATGCTGCATGGGGAGGCCAAGAAAAATCTGAACACAGGCCTTGCCGAGTTTCCCCACTCACTCTATTAGCAACAGATCTTACCCTTTTGGTCCAATCATATTTCTACATGGCTGTCCATGTTCCATTGGACCTAAGCATAGAAATGGATTGTTTTCCTTGTATCTGTCGGTCTTCATTCTGAAAGCTCCCGTGTCACATAAAACTATAATCAAATAAATTTGTTTGGCTTTTTTATGTATTTTTTATTTTTTAGAGGTGGAGTCTCGCTCTGTCACCCAGGCTAGAGTGGAGTAGTGCAATTATAGCTGACTTGCAGCCTCGAACTACTGGCCTCAAGCAATCCTCCCACTTCAGCCTCCCAAAGTGCTGGGATTACAGACATGAGCCACTGTGCCCAGCTGTTTTGCTTTTCTCTTGTTACCCTGTGTTTGTTGTAGAGGTGTGGGCTGTGACTCTTACAGGGGAGATATACAACACTCTGTTACTATTTTGATGGTGCTCTGATACTACATTTCTAGTGCATTAAAACCTATGTTAACAATAAACTGGTAACAGTGGTTGTTAAGAAAGGATCCTGGGTGCCCAGGGTGCAGAGGATGGGAAGGAGACTTAATTTTCACTGCATATTCTTTTAAACCATCAGAGTATGTAAGTATATATAAACAAACAGAGGTAAATAATTTAAAGTAATAAGACTTGACAGAGGCCGGCATGGTGGCTCACACCTGTAATCCTAGGAGTCCAAAGTGGGAGGATCGCTTGAGGCCAGGAGTTTGAGACCAGCCTGAGCAACATAGTGAGACCCTGTCTCTAAAATAAATAAAAATAAATAAATAAATAAATAAATTTAAATTTAAAAAAAATTTTTTTAAATACTTGACAGAATAAGGGGTTATCTTGACATTACCATATCCCAAAAATGGTTTTGAGCCATGCGGAAGATCTGAGCGTGGATAATTCCATGAGACATGGTCCTTTTGTAACTGCAGAGTTAGATATGAACAATCTTCAATTTCCCAGACAGGTTATATAAACTGTTTGGATGACAGCCATAACCAGAGGTCAGAATGGTTCAGTTTCTCCCTGGGAAAATGGGATTTTTTTCTTTCATAGAATTCTAAAGAAGAAAATTATATAAATTTTTAGTTACAGTAAGAGAGGAGACCACCCCTCATATTGCCTTATGCCCAATTTCTGCCTCCAAAGAAAGAAGTAAAAACTAAAAGGCAGAAACGAAATCCACAGGCAGACAGCCCGGCACTACGCCATGGGCCTGGTAGTTAAAGATCGACCCCTGACCTAACCAGTTATGTTATCTATAGATTCCAGACATTTTATAGAAAAGCAGTGTGAAAATCCCTGTCCTGTTGTGTTCTGTTCTGATTACCGGTGCATGCAGCCCCCAGTCAGGTACCCCTGGCTTGCTCAATCGATCACGACCCTCTCACGCAGACCCCCTTAGAGTCGTAAGCCCTTAAAAGGGACGGGAATTGCTCACGCGGTGAGCTCGGCTTTTGAGACGCAAGTCTGCCTTCTTCAATCCGGTGTCTAAGGAGTTTTGTCTGCGGCTCGTCCTGCTACAACAGCCTAGAAAAATCAGTAATGCCTCCTATGAGTTTTTCAACCTTTTTTTGTATTTAAAAATGTTTTTTGCCGGGCACGGTGGCTCACGCCTGTAATCCCAGCACTCTGGGTGGGTGGATCACAAGGTCAAGAGACAGTGACCATCCTGGCCGACATGGTGAAACCCATCTCTACTAAAAATACAAAAATTAGCTGGGCATGGTGGCGCATGCCTGTAATCCCAGCTATTCAGGAGGCTGAGGCAGGAGAATCACTTAAACCTGGGTGGTGGAGGTTGCAGTGAGCCGAGATTGTGCTACTGCACTCCAGCCTGGTGACAAAGCAAGACTTCATCTCAAAAGAAGAAAAAAAAAGTTTTTCTTTTTTTTTTTTTTTTTAGTGCAGTGGCGCTATCTCGGCTCACTGCAGCCTCCACCTCCTGGGTTCAAGCGATTCTCATGCCTTAACCTCCCAAGTAGCTGGAATTACAGGTGGGCACCACCACACCCGGCTAATTTTTGTATTTTTAGTAGAGACGGGGTTTCACCATATTGGTCAGGGCTGGTCTCAAACTCCTGACCTCAAGTGATCCACCTACCTCAGCCTCCTAAAGTGCTGGGATTACAGGTGTGAGCCACCACGCCCAGCCTAAAAATATTTTTCATCGGCATGTCCCACCTACAGTCATTATGATTTCTTTCAAAGCCTGTGCTGAAAATATTTGCTTATAAGCCACAGGTATAAACAACCTACCCATACAATCATTGAAACGCCTTCCTTTTCATGTTTCCCCCAGTTGCCACCAAAGACCTGGCTATTAACTGCCATGAGAGGCATTAAGGAAAAAATAGAAAAAGTAAATTTAGTGCCTTTAGAAAACCTGGGTTCAGAAGCAGGGATGAGGAAAAAAAAGGATCAGGTTAGAGGCTGCAGTTTATTGTCGCTCACGCCCAGGAGCACCCTGGTGGGAGCATTGAAAATTCCTGGTTTAAAGTTCTGCTTCCTTCCTTAAAGCTGTGCGACCCCGGGCAATTTACTTAAACTCTCCAGACCTATTTTCTCACGTGAAACAAATGGATTGTGATGATTTAATGAGCCATGGGCTGTGATATGTGTCTAACCATATCTGACCACATATTTGATACGTCTCTGATCAGAGGGAGCAACTAATCATTTTTATCCCCTTTCTTTCCTTTGCCCCCAAATACCATCTCTGACTCTACTAGAACTTTTTATTTCACTTAATTAACACTGCAAAAAATGGCATGGAGATTCAACTAGGACAGCAAGCAGCCACTAAAAAGTATATAAATTATCTGAGATTACTAAAGTGCTTATTAATTAAATTGTTTTCTTCATATAACCAAAGGATAAGTCATTCTGTGAATGGGGGTTTTGATTGAGAGTGGTGAGTAATTTTATTTCAGACTTTAGTGCACTCTGGCTAATTTTGGGCTGTCCAAATTGGGTGTCACAGTGTGGTCCTTGGGTTGTTAGAGGAGTGGAAAGGGCCATATCCCATGATTAAGCATTTATTAATTTATTCTCGCCAGTGCCTTGCCCAGGAAAGGGGGAAGCGTTTCCTCTACTCTAAGCTCAGCAATTGACTTGGTTAAATCAATATTCATGGCTTGACCTAGGAACTTTGAACATTTTCATGAAAAATAGTATTTTCTGCATTTCAAAACAAATTTTTAGCCATGCCTTATTCGGGATTTGGGGATTGTCACTTTTGTAATTCCGATTTGATGTGAAAGCTTAGTAACTATTAGTCCACTGCTATAGAAGAACTGCCTGAGACTGGGTAATTTATAAAGAAAATAGGTTTAGTTGACTCACAGTTCCTCATGGATGGGGAGGCCTCAGGAAACTTACAATCATGGCAGGAGGCGAGGAGGAAGCTAGACAGATCTTACACGGCAGTAGGAGAGAGACAGAAAGGAGGGGAAATTGCCACTTTTAAATCATCAGCTCTCGTGAGAACTCACTGACTATCACAAGAACAGCATGGGGGAACCGCCCCCCTGATCCAATTACCTCCACCAGGTGGGATTACAATTCGAGATGAGATTTGGGTGGGAGCACAAAGCCAAAGCGTATCAGTAACATTTGAAGGTAGTATAAAATTTATTTGTTCTAAAGGGTTTTTCAGAGACAGGATTTCTGCTGTGCTTAAATTCTTAAAAACTATTCCTCCAGGGGCACAGTGGCTCTCACCTGTAATCCCAGCACTTTGAGAAGCCTAGGTGGGAGGATCACTTGAGCTCAGGAGTTCAAGACCAGCCTGGGCAACACAGGGACACTCTGTCTCTAGAAAAAATACAAAAAGTATCCAGGTGTGGTGGCGCATGCCTGTAGTCCCAGCTATTTGGGAGGCTGAGGTGGGGACCTGAGCCTGGAGGTCAAGGCTGCAATGAGCCGTGATGGCACCACTGCACTCCAGCCTAGGTGACAGAGAAAGACCCTGTCTCAAAAAAACAAAAACAAAAACAAAAAAAACCCTGATAATTATGGGGAAAAAAAAAAACAACAAAAAAACCCTATTCCTCCAAACCAAGGAACTGGCCTGGCAAGTGCTTCTTATCTTCATGACGTGATTGGTTTTGGGTAGTGGTCACTTGTAAGGGAATTCTTGCAAGCCCATGTGGTAGGAGCCCTGCTGTTGGCTTTGTGGTTGTCTCCAACACCCAGTGTGCCTCTGGCAGAGAGCGGGAGCTCAGTGTTCACTTGTTGAATGAATCAAAGTAGGACTCAAAAATCTCTACAGTCAAACATCTTGTTTTTTAGAAAAAAAATTCTGCTTTTCTATAATTTTTGAGCTTCTGAAAAGCGGATGAAACAAAACCAAGGAAAGATTGTTTGGCTCTTTGGGACTCCTTTTGGTTAACCAGTGTATGGGCTTTTAAAGCTATTTTCAGAAAGAGAAGAAGGTGGGGAGAGGTGGGAATAGGAGAGAGAGAGATCAGCCTGGCCTGTGCCTAGGGATGGAGGTAAGGTTAATAACCAGAAAGCCTGCGCTTTTCACATAATTTGATACTGAAGAACATGGACTCATGAGCTAGACTGTCTGGATTCAAGTCTTGGTTCTGCCACTACTTAGCTGTGTGTTTTGGGGCAAGTTATTTAACTTTTCTGTCCTCAGTTTCCACATCTGTAAATTGGGATAGTAATAGTGTCTACATCATAGAAACGTTCTGAGTATGAAATGAAGTAAATGTAGAGCACTTAGAAAGTGGCTGGGACACACTTTGGGAGGCCAAGGCAGGTGGATCACCTGAGGTCAGGAGTTTGAGACCAGCCTGGCCAACATGGTGAAAACCCATCTCTATTAAAAAAAAAAAAAAATTTAGCTGGGCTTGGTGGCGGGCACCTGTAATCCCAGCTACTTGGAAGGCTGAGGCAGGAGAACTGCTTGAATCCAGGAGGCGGACGTTGCAGTGAGCCAAGACCGCACACTGCACTCCAGCCCAGGCTATAAGAGCAAAACTCCGTCTCAAAAAAAACACAACACTCAGTAAGTGTTAGCTATTATGATAGTCAATGGGCAACACTCTGATGCACCTGCAGATTAGCAAAGAAGCAAACCAGGAAAGGCCTGGAAGAGAAGGATTAATGTTTAATTTGTACCCAACCAGTTGGGTAATGGAAACCTGTGACCTGTAACTGGCCTAATCAGCTCAGGGTCTGTATCCTGAGAGCCTCTCCATCCCTTGAAAAAATAGTTCATATGCTTGAATTGCATTCTCTGCTGATCTGAAGTAGACATGACAGATACAGAGTACCACGGGAAAAGGGAATGGAATTCAGAGGACATCTAAGTGAAAACTAGAGTGGAAAGTAATCTTGGTAATAATACAGAAAACAATCTCCAGACCTTAATCTTTTCCATCGTAAAGTAAGCACAGAGGAATTTAAAGAGAAGAAAAGTACCATAATATGCCCACGCCCAAAGTTGTAAGTATGAGGACGCTACTTTGCTTTTTACAGCCCCTCCCCTAAAAAGGCCCCAAACAGTTTATGCTGATTATTATACCATGTAGCCATCAAAAGTAATATGGGGCCGGGGCGGGTGGATTACAAGGTCAGGAGATCGAGACCATCCTGGCTAACACGGTGAAACCCCGTCTCTACTAAAAATACAAAAAATAAGCCGGGCATGGTGGCGGGTGCCTGTAGTCCCAGCTACTCGGGAGGCTGAGGCAGGAGAATGGCGTGAACCTGGGAGGCGGAGCTTACAGTGAGTTGAGATCGTGCCACTGTACTCCAGCCTGGGCGACAGAGCGAGACTCCGTCTCAAAAAAAAAAAAAAAGGGAACTCAAAAAAAAATAAAAAGGAATATGGTAGATATGTCATGACATGGAGCAATCTGAAGATATTTGATAAATGAAAAGTTGCAGAACAATGTACGATTATAGTGTGATACTCTATGTAGTATGATTCTCTTTATATGGAATATGTGTGTTTGTGTATTTATATATTTGCTAATATGTAGTTAATTCAAATTTTTAAATGAAGTGTACGTGCCAGACTGTTAATAGTGGTTACCATTGGAAAGGAGGGGAGTGGAGAGGTGAAGGAAGGCTTTTGTGTTTTAGTCCTTGTTTAGGTTGCTAGACTTCACAAATAAAAGTACAGGATGCCTGGTTAAATGTGGATTTCAAATAAACAGCTTATACTTTTTTTTTTTTTTTTTTTGAGACAGTCTCGCTCTGTCGCCAGGCTGGAGTGCAATGGCATGATCTTGGCTCACTGCAACCTCTGCCTCCTGGGTTCAAGCGATTCTCCTGCCTCAGCCTCCCAAGTAGCTGGGACTACAGGCACAGGCCACGACACCCAGCTAATTTTTGTATTTTTAGTGGAGACGGGGTTTCACCGTGTTGGCCAGGATGGTCTCAATCTCTTGACCTCGTGATCCACCCTTCTCAGCCTGCCAAAGTGCTGGGATTACAGGCGTGAGCCACCGCGCCTGGACACAACTTTTAAAGTATAAGTATGTCCCATGTATAATAATAACATGAACAAACTTATACTAAGCAATTATTTGTTGTTTATTTGAAACTCACATTTAACCAAGCATTCTATATTTCCTCTGGCAAACCTACTCTATATCCTTGTGTATTACCTAACTCTCTCTAAAGGATATTTTAATGTACTAATTATGTGATTTAAAAAAATAAGAAGAGAAAGAATAAGATCGCTTCCCCTCAAGACCACACGAAAGTATAACTTTGGCCTAGAGAAAAGGAGATTACAAAGCAGTGTTATACAGTCCCCCTTCAACCATAGTTTTGCTTCCTGCAGTTTCAGTTACTCAGAGTCAACTTTGGATTGAAAATAGGTGCATACAGTACAATAAGATGTTTTGAAAGAGAGAAAAGCCTGGGCACAGTAACTCATGGCTGTAATCCCAGCACTTTGGGAGGCCGAGTTGGGCAGATCACCTGAGGTCAGGAGTTCGAGACCAGCCTGGCCAACATGGTGAAACCCCGTCTCTACTAAAAATACAAAAATTAGCTTGGTGTGGTGGTGCATGCCTCTACTCCCAGCTACTCAGGAGGCTGAGGCAAGAAAACCACTTGAACCTGGGGGATGGAGTTTGCAGTTAGCCGAGATGGGGCCACTGCACTCCAGCCTGGGCAACAGAGTGAGACTCTGTCTTAACAACCACCACCACAACAAATAGTTTTATAAAAAGAAAGAAAAAAGCACACAGATGCATATACTAAAAGATGGAAGAGTGTGTGCACATAAGAATATTAGCAGTGGCTCTCTCGAGTGATGAGATGAAGGATAATTTCAGTTTTTTCTTTGTGCTGTATAAAATTCTTTACAATTTTGTATAATGAATATTAATTACTTTTGGAAAAGGAAAGGATCGTATGTAATGAAAGCCATTTTCTGTGATTCAGTGAGGACTTTGACATGCCCAAGATGTTACCATGTGCAGCATTCGTCTGAAGAAGGTGAGGGACAGTGGCATGCAACACACCTTTGGATTGAGGGTTTTTTTGTTTTTTTTTTTTTTTTTTGTGTGTGTGTGTGTGTGTGTGTGTGTGTGTGTGTGTGTGTGTGTGATGGAGTCTCGCTCTGTCGCCCAGGCTGGAATGCAGTGGCGCGGTCTCGGCTCACTGCAAGCTCCACCTCCCAGGTTCATGCCATTCTCCTGCCTCAGCCTCCCGAGTAGCTGGGACTACAGGCGCCGGCCACCACGCCCAGCTAATTTTTTTGTATTTTTAGTAGAGACAGGGTTTCACCGTGTTAGCCAGGATGGTCTCGATCTCCTGACCTTGTGATCCGCCTGCCTCGGCCTCCCATAGTGCTGGGATTACAGGTGTGAGCCACCGTGCCCAGCCTGAATTGAAGTTTTAAAAGTGCTGTCATCCCTTGTCCTTGCAGGATACCTCCAAAAGCAGCCATACTTTGGAGCAGTTATTGGGAGGGTGGCCAACCGAATCGCCAAAGGAACCTTCAAGGTGGATGGGAAGGAGTATCACCTGGCCATTAACAAGGAACCCAACAGTCTGCATGGAGGAGTCAGAGGGTTTGATAAAGTAAGTACGGCACATGTGACTGAGTTCCCTTTAGGCTCACTTTACGCATACCTTCTGCTTGCCAGGCACAGTCATAGGCCCTAGAGCACATGAGTGGTGAGATGCAGGAAAGAGGCCCCTTCCATGGTTCAGGGCAGCAGGTGCAATGGGCATGTGCTAGGACCCATCCTTCTCTAGTTCATCTGTTGGAACAGACAGGGGAGCCCCAAGAGAAAGGATGTCAACCTTTGACTTAGGAAAAATGAGAAACAACTTTCTCACAGTGTTGAGATCAGGGAGTCGGGTTGAAGAGATGTGGATTGATAACAGTATCTTCCACTTATTGGACAAGACATTGACATATATTATCTCTTACTCTTACTAAAACTCTGTGTTATCACTAAATGGGAAAACCGAGGCACTGAAAGGCCACATGGCCAGGCACAGTGGCTCACGCCTGTAATCCCAGCACTCTGGGAGGCCGAGGTGGGCAGGTCACCTGAGGTCAGGAGTTTAAGACCAGCCTGGCCAACATGGTAAAACCCCGTCTCTACGAAAAATACAAAACTTAGCTGGGTGTGGTGGCGGCCACCTGTAATCCCAGCTACTCTGGAGGCTGAGGCAAGAGAATCGCTTGAATGTGGGAGGTGGAAGTTACAGTGAGCTGAGATCACGCCACTGCACTCCAGCCTGGGCAACAGAGCCAGAGTCCGTCTCAAAAAAATAAAAAATAAATAATAAATAAAGGGCCACATGACTCCTAAGTGGGACAACCAGGGCTGCCTGGCCCAAAACACTCATTCTTACACCATAGCTGCTGGTGTCCACCCAGGCTGCATGGGTGCCCCCGTCCAACATGCTTCCCTGTACCTGTCATTAAGCCCCCCGCCCCATGCAGCATGGCGCTGCACCAAGGCCTGCCCTTCCACTGAAGTGCCTCATGCCTCAAAATCATATCAGATTCTCCCCAGTTCCTCCTCTCCACATGAAAACGACCATTCTTTAAGCAGATCCCTAGAAAACAAGGTCAGGAAAGCAAATTGATCGAACAGCTTCTCCCTGGGGTGGGAGTGCTTGGCCTCCTGCTTCCTAGCCCCATGGGAGTCTATGGGTTAACCCCAGTGATTGCTCTCTTACTAGTCTAATTTCAGGCTGTGCAGGAGTAAATTTCAGTAGTTAACTTTCTTTTAAATTATACCACCCAGGTTATTTGCTAGAGAAGAGCCAGAGAAGAGCCAGAGAAGACAGGAACATGTATGGCCACTAATGGCCACAGTTTCTTCTCTTCTGCCTCTAACCACCACTTGTCCTGCAGAAGGAGGCTTCCCCGCCTCCATGAGCTTCCTGCTGGTGGCCTGGAACTAGACTGACTGCCCCATGGGTTTCCCTTTCCTCAGTGATGGGATTCTTCATGCCAGGGAGGCAGAGGGCAGCATGTGCTCTGCCAGTATTAGGGCAGAGTCTCTAGAACATGCCAGGATCATGAGCAAACCCCAACCAGAGAAAGTAAGGCCCAGCCTGGCTTCAGACAGGGATCTTCAGAGGAGCCTTAGGACAGCACCTCGTTCTAGCTTGCCCCTGCTCCCCCTGTTCACTGTGGCATTTTCCGTGGTGTTGCTTAACTTATATTCCCTTCAAGAACACAGCAAAATCGTGAGTGTACCTAGCCTTCAGTGCAGTGTGCCCTTGAGCCCCTTCTGTGAAGCAGGGGGCACAGTAGGCCAAGGACTCCTGAGGCTCACAGTATAAAGAGGGAGATGGACTCTTACATGATAACTGTTAAAGGCGAATGGCCACAAGCACCATAACAAGCCAGAGAAGACAGGAACATGTGTGAACAAATGAAATAGCAGCCTAGGAGATAGGATTGGAACTGGCCTTGAAGAGCCAATAGCATTTCATTCAATACATGGATATGGGAGAGAATGACTGCACAGTGGCCCTGAGAGGGGTGGGGAAAGACTTTGAACTCTTTTTTTTTTTTTTTTGAGGCAGAGTTTTGCTTTCATTTTCCAGGCTGGAGTGCAATGGCGCCATCTCAGCTCACCACAACCTCCACCTCCTGGGTTCAAGCAATTCTCCTGCCTCAGCCTCCCAAGTAGCTGGGATTACAGGCATTCGCCACCATGCCTGGCTAATTTTGTATTTTTAGTAGAGACAGGGTTTGTTGGTCAGGCTGGTCTCAAACTCCCGACCTCAGGTGATTCACCCACCTCGGCCTCCCAAAGTGCTGGGATTACAGGCATGATCCATCGCACCCGGCCACCAACACATTTTTTTTTAAGATGACAGTTGAATAGGATTTGAAATGGTATAAGAAGATCTAGAGCTGCAGAGTTTCTGGAAATTTGGAAACTACAGGCTCAGGGAAATCCTTCCATAAATAGGAATTATGCTTAACCAATCATATTGGTTTACACAAAAATCTTTCCATTGTGTCCTTTCTCTACAAAAGAAAAACTAGGTAGCAAGTTAAGATTTCATTTCAATTATTTAATTCCTGAAATGTTCCATTTGGGATATTCTATTTCTTTTTTAATTACACATATAACAGGCTTCATATTTTGAGTGTCTTGAAAGTTCAACCTTTCTGGGAGCTAACTAGGGTGTAAAATGAATTTTTCACTAAGCTCAGTGAAAGTATTTCACATACCAGCTGCCTTCACTGTAGGTGAAGGCAGAGACCTCCGTTCCTGCTGGGTTCTCCTTCCTGGCAAATGCCACGTCTGTGAGAGCAAAGTGGACAGATCCTGGGCTCAGAGACCACTCCTGTGGCCCACAGAGGCTATTATCTTTCAAGTCCATAGAGTTTGGCCTCAACTCTTCTGTTGAAAAGGAAGATTCAGACAAAAACTTCACTGAGACTAAGATGTGGAATAGAGGAGACAGCCAGTCCTGAGTTTGAACCCCAGCTCTGTCACAAATAACATGTATAACTTTATTTATTTATTTATTTTTTGACACGGAGTCTCACTCTGTTGCCCAGGCTGGAGTGCAGTGGCGCAATCTTGGCTCACTACAACCTCCACTTCCCAGGTTCAAGTGGTTCTCCTGCCTCAACCTCCCGAGTAGCTGGGATTACAGGCATGAGCCACCATACGTGGCTAATTTTTGTATTTTTAGTAGAGACGAAGTTTCACCATGTTGGCCAGGCTTGTCTCGAACTCTTGACCTCAAGTGATCTGCCCGCCTTGGCCTCCCAAAGTGCTGTGATTACAAGTGTGAGCCACTGCACCCGGCCACATGTGTGACTTTAAACAAGATTTTTTTTTCCTTCTAAACAATGGACAGGTAGTATGAAACTCCCCACCGCCCCCGACACACACTAGGAATGTAGAAGGTAGATGTGGGTATAAGTTAACTCCACTGAACTCAATTTGCTCATCTGTAAAATGGAGGTAAATAATATTTGTTGAAGCCACATGAAATTGCCAGTGTTCAACTGTTTTGACCTACAATGATGGTCATTTCATTTGGGCAACCAAATCTTTACCTTGCAAGATGATTTATGTAAAGCACCAGGTCATTGACTATTGAGCACTCAACAAGTTGGAGGTCTCATGCCTGCAACAGGCCCCTTCTTTAGTGATCCCAGAGCTCTCTAAAGGCACTGGGAATCTCTGGCCAACTCATCCCCTGATAGTATAGAGTAAGGGAACAGTCTCAGGATCCAGTCCAATGCCACACACTAGCTGTGTGGCCTGGGGCAAGCGGTTTATCCTCACTGAGCCTCCATTCTTTCATTATTCAATGAGGATGATGTTACCTACTTTAAGTCTGCTTTGAGACAGATAGACAGTGTCTGTGAAGTTTGTAGCAAAGAGTCTTGACTCATAATGGGCACCCGATAAGTGTTCGTTTTCCCTTCCCTATAAGTGTAATCTTGGAGCCTCTAGGACAAAGTTGAGAACAGCCACTATGTTAATCCAAGATTCCAATTCCTATTTCCAAAAGCAAAATGCCTTTTATTTATTTATTTACTTTTTTGAGACAATGTCTTACTCTGTCACCCAGATTGGAGTGCAATGGTGTGTGCGATCTCGGCTCACTGCAGCCTCAACCTCCTGGGCTCAAGCGATCCTCCCTTCTCAGCCTCCCGAGTAGCTAGGACTACAGGTATGCACCACCATACCTCGCTAATTTTTTTAAACTTTTTCATAGAGATGACATCTCACTATGTTGCCCAGGCTGGTCTTGAATTCCTGAGCTCAAGCGATCCTCCTGCCTCAGCCTCCCAAAGTGTTGGGATTACAGGCATGAGCTATTGCACCTGACCACAAAAAAAAACTTTAAAAATAAACTCTTCTTCATACTTTTTTTTGCCAGTCTTAGAATCATATTTTCTGGAACAAGAAGAAACTTCGAGATAATTTCTTCAACCCCTTTATTTTATGAAAGAGATTAATGCCTAGAGTCACACAATGAGCTAGGGACAAATGAGGCCCCTCAAATCAGGACTCTTGACTTGTAGGCTACAACTCTTCTTAATGGCACAAATGCCTTATTTGTTTTGAACTCTGCCTAGGGAACACAGAGAGCCTTGTAGGGATTTTAATAAATATTTGTATATATACCCCTAGGAGACAGGGGCTGATTTATTAAAGTTTTTTTTAATACTCTCAGCAGATATTGCTATATGGCGTTTAGCAGAGTGGGGCTACAAGATTAAAAAAAAAAATCAAAGAAAAATCATCAAAGAAGAGGAGAGGAAAATATTGTAGACACACATCGTACAAAGTTAGAGAAAAGAGAATGGGGAGTGTGAGAAGGTAGAGAAAAACAAACATTTGTAATAATTAAAATCCAGGGACCAGGTGCGGTGGCTCATGCCTGTAATCTCAGCACCTTGGGAGGCCGAGGCAGGTGGATCACTTGAGGTCAGGAGTTCGAGACCAGCCTGGTCATCATGGCAAAACCCCGTCTCTACGAAAAATGCAAAAATTAGCCAGGTACAGTGGCTCATGCCTGTAATCATACTCGGGAGGCTGAGGCTTGAGAATTGCTTGAACCTGGGAGGTGGAGGTTGCAGAGCCAAGACTGTATCACTGCACTGCAGCCTGGACAACATAGTGAGACCCTGTCTCAAAAAAAAAAAAAATCCAGGCTATCATTAAAAAGTCTTAATTGATTGTATAACCATTTTCCTTGTGAAATCAGTTGTCTTTAAATATTGAAATATGGCATTTAGCTTGAGGATGGAGCAACTACACAACTTTGAAAACACTTTTTTCCAGGTGCTCTGGACCCCTCGGGTGCTGTCAAATGGCGTCCAGTTCTCGCGCATCAGTCCAGATGGTGAAGAAGGCTACCCCGGAGAGTTAAAAGTCTGGGTGACATACACCCTGGATGGCGGAGAGCTCATAGTCAACTACAGAGCACAAGCCAGTCAGGCCACACCAGTCAACCTGACCAACCATTCTTACTTCAACCTGGCAGGCCAGGTAAGTGAACTTGTTTCTTCTTTCCTGCTTCGTGCTTTGTGGAATGTCCTGGGCTGTGGCTAGAGAGATCAGAGTAGTGTGGAATTGCTGTGGCAGTGAGGTCACCCTCATGATGATGAAAAGGGCCCAGCAGAGGGCTTATAGTAGGTGCTCAATAATTGAAAATTATAGAGAAAGACAGAATGATTACATTGTACTGCCAAGAGAAGTACCTGTTTCCCGTTTGCTTCAGACAAGTAACTAGCTGTTTCAAGAACTCCCTCTCAGAATCTAATTGTAACATGTGCTTATATTTGCTTCCCTTATTCCACGTCTACTCCCTGCAAATTTGTTCCAATTAAGGTGCCTTCCACCCTTGGAGCTTTGGAAATGGGCATGGTCCAGCTCCTTTAGATATGCTGCCAATATGTGTGTGCTTCCCCTGTGAGCCTGCCAGCTCCTCCCAGGGGTTTGGGTGGGCCAGTCCTGCCCTGCGCAGTACCGTGGAAAGAGCACTGGACTTGGATTTAGAAGACCTGGTTTTTTTAGCTTAATAAAGGCATATTCTCAATTTCATAGTAATAACACTACCTACTATTTGTCAGCTGCTGTTAGAAGCCCTTTATGAAGTTGTTGGTTAAGACACTAAAATCAACCCAGCAGAGGGATAAACCCCAGTGGGGGACCACTTGAACTGCCCACATAAGAGTGGTGTAGAGCTGCTGACAACCCCCCTTAAGTGATCCCTTCTGAACTACCTCATTCCCTCCTAAAGGTAACAGTTTAGCTCATTGAGGAGGATATCATATCAGACAGAATAAAAAGCTTAGCTAAACTCTGTAGATTATATCTATTACTTCCTCTTTATCTGAAGAACTCATCATTGTCTACTATACTTGACTCACTTTGGCCTGATTTTCTACCGCAAGATGGTGTTCACAGTCAGCTAGTAATATCTCACCTTTTTATACTGTTTCAGGAGTTTGCTGATGATCTGCTGGATTCTGTTTTCTAGAATTTTCCCAAATTGCAGAGTTAATTGGTTCTTGTAAAATTTCCAAAGTTCTCCCTTTAAAAAAGTTGACCCTTCACTTGCGGGTTCCTTATCCTCAGGAACTTTCACCATCCTTCTTGAAATCTTAAAAACAAGGCCAGGTGCTGTGGCTCATGCCTGTAATCCCGGCACTTTGGGAGGCCGAGATGAGTGAATCACCTGAGGTTAGGAGTTTGAGACCAGCCTGACCAACATAGTGAAACCCCGTCTCTACTAAAAATACAACATAAGCTGGGCATGGTAGCGTGGGCCTGTAATCCCAGCTATTCGGGAGGCTGAGACAGGAGAATCACTTGAACCTGGAAGGCGGAGGTTGCAGTGAGCTGAGACTGCGCCATTGCACTCCAGCCTGAGCAACAAGAGTGAAACTCCGTCTTTAAAAAAAAAAAAAAAATCTTAAAAACGAAACAAAAGACAAAAACAAAACAAAAACCCTCAGACCTAAGAGGATCTACTTCTTAAAATAAGTTCAGAAACAAACGACAGAAATAGAAGAAAGTATTGTTTTATGTAGGTAAAAAACTCGGTGATAATTCTGTTTTTTACATTTTTTGCATACTTAGGACATCCTATTTAATAATAGGGAGGGGAGATCTAAAGGAATAGATTAGAAATAAAAAGAGAAATTATGCATGCAGTATTCCATCTGCCAGTGTGTTCCAATGAAGGAGACAATATGGGAATGTTAGGTTTACTAAGGCTTTTTACGACTCTTCCAATCCTGCAGGGACTTGGAGTGACGGGTATTTCTGAATCTCTTTTCAGAGGCTGAATAGTTTCCTAGATCATAGACCCCACCCAAAAGCGCGGTCAATGAACTTCCTTCCGTATACCACAGATTGAATATCCCTTATCCAAAATACTTGAGGCCAGAAATGTTTTGGATTTTGGAGATTTTCAGATTTTGGAATATTTGCGTTATATATACTTATTTGTTCAGCATTCCTAATCTGAAAACTCGAAATCTGGAATGCTCCAGTGACTACTTCTGAGCGTCATGTTGGCACTCAAAAAGCTCAGATTTTGGAGCATTTCAGATTTTAGATTGTCCTCTTTTTTTTTTTGAGGTGGAGTTTCACTCTTGTTGCCCAGGCTGGAATGCAGTGGCACGATCTCGGCTCACTGCAACCTCCACCTTCTGGGTTCAAGCAATTCTCCTGCCTCAGCTTCCCTAGTAGCTGGGATTACAGGCGCCCACGACCACGCCCAGCTAATTTTTGTATTTTTGGTAGAGATGGGGTTTCACCATGTTGCCCAAGCTGGTCTCGAACTCCTGACCTCGGGTGATCCACCCGCTTCAGCCTCCCAAAGTGCTAGGATTACAGGCGTGAGCCACCGCACCTGGCCCCAGATTTTAGATTTTCAGATTAGGGATTTTCAACCTCTATCTTAGTAAGCGTAGCTTGAATCCACAGCCACTAACTTCAGGTTTGAAGGTGGATGGGGGCACCAGCCTTCCAAGGCACTCCGGTAGGAGTGGATGATCACCAAGCCAGACCTGGAGTCAAGGGCCTCTGCATCTTCAGAATATCTCTTGCCATACCTTGAGAAGCATTATCATATATCTCAAACCCTCCCCAGGCACATAGCTCAAAACCTGATATTTAAATTAGTCAGCTCATCTTATATATTTTTGTTTGTTTTTTAAATTTAATAAGTGGTATTTTTGTTCTATTTGGGCCCAAGTATTGCTCATCACTTCTAAGTTTGAGGGTTGGAGACCTGGGGAGGAGGGGAGAACTGGCTTTGTCAAAGAATATAAAAGGTATGTAGGTTGCAGGTCGTTTTTTGTTTTATTTTATTTTTCTGTTCCTTCCTGTGCCTAACACAAAACTGGGATAACTTTTTTTTTATTGAAACTTTACCTAAAGACCTGGGTGTGGTGGCTCATGCCTGTAATCCCAGCACTTTGGAAGGCCAAGGTGGGAGCATCACTGGAGCCCAGGAGTTCAAGACCAGACCGGGCAACATAGAGAGATCCCCCATCTCTAAAAACAAACAAACAGGCTGGGTGCGGCAGCTCACGCCTGTAATCCCAGCACTTGGGAGGCCAAGGTGGGCAGATCACTTGAGGTCAGGAGTTCAAGACCAACCTGCCCAACATGGTAAAAACCCGTCTCCACTAAAAATACAAAAAATTAGCTGGGCGTTGTGGTAGATGCCTGCAATCCCAGCTAATCAGGAGGCCGAGGCATGAGAATTGCTTGAACCCAGGAGACGGAGGTTGCAGTGAGCCAAGATTGCGCCACTGGACTCCATCTTGGATGACACAGTGAGACTGTGTTTTTATAAACAATAAAAACAAACAAACAAAAAAACAACAGAAACTTTACCGAAAGAGTTATGAAAGCAGGTCTGGGGGAATTCGAGATGAAAAGCAATAGCATGTGGTACATGACAGGTAGACATGTCATTAAGGACCCAGGTTCTTCCAGTTTTCCATCTGCTTCCTCAGTATTTTGGCTTTTGTCTTCAGGCTTGTCCCCTCATGGCCACAGCTCCAGGAATCACCTCCTCATATAGTCACATCCAGAGACAAAAAGACCCATTCCATTTTTCATATCTCTAATGTCCTCTTTTTAAGAAAAAGCAATGCTTTTCCTAGAAGCCCTCCAGCCAACTTTCTCTGATTTCTCATTGGCCAGAAGTGTGGCCTATGCTCTGCCTAACCCAATCGCCAGCAAGGGAATTAGGCCATGATGATTGGCTTAGACCAGTCAAAATTTGCCCTCTGGAAATGGAGCGGGGGTGGGTCCTCTTCCCTGAATATCTGGTCTAGCATAGGATAAATCAACAAGCCTAGTTTCTGCCTGGGGGCACAGAGTTGCTGGTAAAAGAGTTGCCATGGCTTGTGGGTAGTAACCCACAGTGTCTGTACCCTCCTGCTAGAGGTGATGAGAGCTGAGTTAAGGCTGTGGTAGTGATATTGCACAATGTCTTTAAAGTCCCCTGCAAATCATAATGGGCTCTATAAATGGTTAATGTTACAAACAGGTAGCAGCCAAGCAAAGTTAACCAAAACAAACACTGAACCCAGAGATGGGCCTCAAGGTCTGTTTGTGAATCAGCATTTCTTGCCAAGTTTTCATCAGCCTTGAAAGGAAATGATTCCAACAGTAATATTCCACCAGAGTAGATCATTGCGTTTTTCCAGCCTAGAAGAGTCATAAAAAGAAGCATGCATTTTTATTTTTATTTTTTATTTTTTATTTTTTTGAGACGGAGTCTCACTCTGTCTCCCAGGCTGGAGTGCAGTGGCGCAATCTCGGCTCACGGCAATCTCCGCCTCCCAAGTTCCAGGGATTCTCCCGCCTCAGCCTCTGGAGTAGCTGGGATTACAGGCACGTGCCCCTGGCTAATTTTTTGTATTTTTAGTAGAGATGGGGTTTCACCATGTTGGCCAGGCTGGTCTTGAACTCCTGACCTGAAGTGATCCGCCCATCTCGGCCTCCCAAACTTCTGGGATTACAGGCCTGAGCCACCATGCCTGGCCACAAAGCATGCATCTCTTTAACGAAGGAATGTTACTACTGCTTGGTGACCCAGTGACCCTTAAGAGGGTGGGTGCCTGATGAATGTTCTTTTCCTTCTCCTCCTAGGCTTCTTCCTAAATCTCAGGCTCATCAGTTTATTTGGAGTGTGATTTTCATGTTGATTCATTTCTCTAGTGCTTAAAAAAAAAAAACCACAGAAAGTGGAAATTTCTTTCTTTCTTTCTTTCTTTCTTTCTTTCTTTCTTTCTTTCTTTCTTTCTTTCTTATTTTGAGATGGAGTCTCGCTCTGTCTCCCAGGCTGGAGTGCAGTGGCGCGATCTTGGCTCACTGCAACCTCCGCCTCCCGGGTTCACGACATTCTCCTGCCTCAGCCTCCCGAGTAGCTGGGACTACAGGCGCCCACCACCATGCCCAGCTACTTTTTTGTATTTTTAGTAGAGATGGGGTTTCACCGTGTTAGCCAGGATGGTCTGATCTCCTGACCTCGTGATCCACCCACCTTGGCCTCCCAAAGTGCTGGGATTACAAGCATGAGCCACCGTGCCTGGCCAGAAAGTGGAAATTTCTAAGCAGCTTTATTTATAATAGTAAAACACTGGAAGCAACCCAGAAGTCTATCAACAGGAGAATGGATAAACAAATTGTGATACAGTCATACAACGGAATACTACTCAACAATACAAAGGAATATAACATGGATGATCCCAGTAGCATTATGTTGTGTGGAAATAACAAGGCACCAAAGAATATGTACTGCATACTTCTGTTTCTAAGGAGGCAGGCACCTAGGAAACAGAGTGAAGACCTGAATTAATGCTAGGCCAGGAGTCTGGAGAATGGCTTTGCCTCCTGCAGGTGTCCTCATTGGATGACATTACATAGCTTGTGTTCCTCCAGGCTTATTTGTGCACAGGAAGTATGGAGGTGCTTTGGTCCACCTGGGTTCTCTTTTTCTAACACTATTCAGCTCTGTATGTGGGCTGCAGCTCCCAGTTTAGCGCCACCAAGGCCTGGAACCCAACCTTCACACCCCTTGTCTCGACTGACCCAAAGCCCTCTGTGTTGAGCTGAGTAGTGAACAAATAGGGCCAAGGAAATACAGTAGTCCCAAATTCTCTTCCCTCAGCTCCTCTCCCACAGTCCCAGGGGCATCTCCAGGTGCTGGCACCACCCTGAGGCATGCGAGGATGGCAGGAGAGAGAGCCGCACAGAAGAGACATCCTCTCTAGGCTAGACCTGCTCTAGGCAGGGGTACAGACCCTCTCCCATCTTGGACCTGCTGCCCCAGCTCACAGCAGAGTGAGCTGTAGAAAGTGCAGAGGAGAGGCCTTTGCCCTGGCTTTGTCCCCCACCCACTCATACCCCTGCCCAGCACACACCCACTGGGAGAAAACAAGAGCATCATAGTTCTTCTGGACAGGCATGGTGGCTCAAGTCTGTAATCCCAGCACTTTGGGAGGCCAAGGCAGGCAGATTACTTGAGGTCTGGAGTTCGAGACCAGCCTGGCCAACATGGTGAAACCCCATCTCTACTAAAAATACAAAAATTAGCCTAGCATGGTGGTGGGCACCTGTAATCCCAGCTACTTAAGGAGGCTAAGGCAGGAGAATTGCTTGAACCCTGGAAGTGGAGGTTGCAGTGACCCAAGATTGCGCCACTGCACTCCAGCCTGGGCGACACAGTAAGACTCTGCCTCCGAAAAAAAAAAAAAGAGAATCGTAGTTTTTCAGAAAAAGAGCCTACTAGTGGTGTAATTAAACCAGTTTCTGTCGTGTTTAGACATGCATTCTCATGGTCTCTAAAATCTTGACCTTTCTTTTCAGAATTACTCAGTTGGATTGTGTGGGCCAGTCTTTCAGACCATAGAATCTGTTTCCAGCTAACCTGTCCTAACCCTGTCTCAAAAAAACCAGTCGGCCGGGCACAGTGCCTCACACCTGTAATCCCAGCACTTTGGGAGGCTGAGGTGGGTGGATCACCTGAGGTCAGGAGTTTAAGACTAGCCTGACCAACATGGTGAAACCCCATCTCTACTAAAAATACAAAAATTAGCCAAGTGTGGTGGCACACGCTTGTAATCCCAGCTGCTCGGGAGGCTGAAGCAGGAGAATTGCTTGAACCTGGGAGGCAGAGACTGCAGTGAGCCAAGATTACACTACTTCACTCCGGCCTGGGCGACAGAGTGAGACTCCGTCTCAAAAAAAAAAAAAATGTGTACTGGGTGCGGTGACTCACACCTGTAATCCCAGCACTTTGGGAGGCCGAGGTGAGCAGATCACCTGAGGTCGCGAGTTCGAGACCAGCCTGACCAACATGGAGAAACCCCGTCTCTACTAAAAATACAAAATTAGCCAGACGTGGTGGTGCATGCCTGTAATCCCAGCTACTAGGGAGGCCGAGGCAGGAGAATCACTTGAACCCGAGAGGCGGAGGTTGCAGTGAGCCGAGATCGCGCCATTGCATTCCGGCCTTGGCAACAAGAGCGAAACTCGGTCTCAGAAAAAAAAAAAAAGTCAAATGTCAAATATCCCCTGAGAGACAAAATTATCCCCAATTGAGAACCACTAGTTTAGCTCATCTTTGAGCATTCACTGAGCAAAAGCCCTCACTTGGTTTCCCTTCCACATCTTCTGGTGTGAAGCTTTAAAATATGTTGCTATTGATAATATAAAATAATATTTGTACTAGAAACATGCATGTATAAAGTTATTTGCCGATTTGCAAACAACACAATGCACCTTTCCTACACTGTTATTCACAAGGACCCTGGAAAAGGTAGAGGCATCATTAGCCCAAATTTATTTTATTTTATTTATTTTGAGATGGAGTTTTGCTCTTGATGCCCAGGCTGGAGTGCAATGGCACGCGCGATCTTGGCTCACCGCAACCTCCACCTCCCGGGTTCAAGCAATTCTCCTGCCTCAGCCTCCTGAGTAGCTGAGATTACAGGCATGTGCCACCACACCTGGCTAATTTTGTATTTTTAGTAGAGACGGGGCTTCTTCTTTTTGGTCAGGCTGGTCTCGAACTCCTGACCTCAGGTGATCCGCCTGCCTCGGCCTCCCAAAATGCTGGGATTACAGGCATGAGCCACCGCGCCCGGCCTCATTAGCCCAATTTTAAACCAAAGGAAATGAGAGTCTATGAGGTTAAATGAATTCCCTGGGACCACTCAGGAAGAGCTGGAACTACACCCCAGGCCTTCTGACACTGACCAGTACACCAGCCTTTGACTCCCCTGCAAAGGCCAGGCTGCATCTTCATGGAGGAGGTGGGCAAATTCTCAAAAGCAGGGACTGCGGTTCTGACACCTGGGCTTCTGTCATGGAGCAGAGAGTGGGGCCTCTGTGTGGAAACTGGGCTAGAGGGGGGTGCCAGGTGCACCCCCAGGAGTGAGCCTGGAGCAGTACCCTGACCTCTCAGGATGTGTGTGTTCCTGGTTACCAGTCATTGCTCTTCTGTTTGCCTGGCAAGTGAGAAGAATAGAAGAAACACCTCCACTAATAAGCCAAGGTCCAAAAGGCTTTCAAACCACTGTGGTCTCTGACTTTTCACCTTCATATTCTATTTAGAAAAGAAAATGCATGCACACTTGAAAGTTTCTTCCAAATTTATCTGTTGCTATTTTGAGGCCTTATCTACCTCCACTTAGTTGATTATATTTAATCATGACCATCAGCCAAACAAGATTTTAAAAGTTTTTGTCAATGCCTGAAAACATTTTTGCAAGATAAGTTAAAAAACAAATATATGAAATAAGACTAAGCAGAAAACCTTTCCCCTACCTTTTCCTCCCAGGCTTCCCCAAATATAAATGACCATGAAGTCACCATAGAAGCGGATACTTATTTGCCTGTGGATGAAACCCTGATTCCTACAGGTTGGTGAATTTAACCTTTTTGTGTTATGTGGGATCATGGATTGGCTCTCGAGGCCAAGAAAGGACATTAGTGGAGAAAGCGGTGAAATCTTAATAAAGTCTACAGTTTAGTTAATAGAATTATTCTAGTGGTAATTTCTTAGTTTTGATATGTGTACTGTGTTTATGTAAAATGTTAGCATGAGGGAAAGCTGGGACAGAGATGCAGTATTTTTACCACTTTTCTGTAAGTCTAAAATTATTTCAAAATTTCAAAAATTTTTAAAAAATGGTGAGTAAGATAATACTTTACTGGGGCTGGGCGCGGTGGCTCACGCCTGTAATCCCAGCACTTTGAGAGGCCAAGGCGGTTGGATCACTTGAGGCCAGGAGTTTGAGATCAGCCTGAGCAACATGGTGAGACCCCGTCTTATTTTTTTTTAAGATTAAAAAAAAATTTTTTTAATGCAAAAGAAACTAAAGTTAAAAAAAATTTTAAATAACTTTACTGGATACTCATCTTACACTAGGTAACAGCTTTTGTTTTAGCTGGCTTTTTTGGGAGGGGGGCGGTGCGGGAGGGGATAGGGTCTCATTCTGTTGCCCAGGCTGGAGTACAGTGGCACAATCTCAGCTCACTGCTGCCTAGACCTCCTCCCCAGGCTCAGATGATTCTCCCATCTCCACTTCCTGAGTAGCTGGGACCACAGGCACACACCACCACGCCTGTTGTATTTTTAGTAGAGACAGTGTTTTACCACGTTGCCCAGGCTGGTCTCAAACTCCTGGACTCAAGCAATCTGCCCGCCTCAGCCTCTCAGAGGGCTGGGATTACAGGTGTAAGCCACTGCGCCCGGCCACTTTGGCCTCTTTAATGGGTTGAGTTTATGGCTGCTAGTTCAAACTTTTTATGAGGAAGAAAGGTAAGCATGTGAGCCTGCATACCCAACAGCAACTTCAGGTAACAGCAGGCATTAGGAACTCCCATAAATATAGTGACTACAAAACTAATTGGAATAATAATGAAAAATTGAGCTCAATGGGGTCAAATTTTTGGCATCACAGTTTTTGAATATTTTCCTGGCTCCAGGGCTGAGTTTAAAGGCTTTTCTGTTTGTCTTGGTAGCATGTGTCATCTTGTGATATTTACATGACTCAATAGAAGGGCATGAGTAAGCTGGCCCATCTGGTCCTAGAGGCAGAATTACTGCAGTAGAACTATATGTTGTGAACTGCAAGGAAAAAATAGTGGTGGCTGCTGTTTTGTGACTGATAAGGAAGAAAGTGAATCAATTAGCTTATAAGTGGAGGTTATGAAATAAGTGCATATTTATTTGTGTATATTTATAAAATCTTCTCATGCTATCCGGTTGAGTTGATCAGATGAAAATCACAACAGGGCATAATTTGTGCATTTAAAGGCCTGTAAAGGCCAAGTTATTTTACTTGATTGTAAAAAATCATTGTGGCAAAGCACAGTAGGCTTAACATGCACTCTAATGGACTGCATAAAACTTGCGTTCGCTGGGTATGGTGGCTCACACCTGTAATCCCAGCACTTTGGGAGGCTGAGGCAGAGGAGGATCACTTGAGCCCAGGAGTTCGAGACCAGACTGTGCAACACAGTGAGATCCCATCTCAACAAAAAATTGAAAAAAAAAATAGCCAGGTGTGGTAACACGCACCTGGGGTCCCAGCTACTCAAGAGGCTGAAGCAGGAGGATCTCTCGAGCCCAGGAGTTGGAGGCTGCAGTGAGCCGTGATCTCTGCTGCACTCTACCCTGGGCAACAGAGCAAGACCCTATCTCAAAAAAAAACCTAATTGGGAATATATGTGTTATATTTCAGTAGTTTTTTTTTTTTTTTAAAAAAGACCAAACTACCATTTATAATCACCATCTTTTCATGAAAGAATATTTTAGTACCATAAAAGTGTAAACAAATTTAATCTCAGAATAAGGAACAACTCTTTATGTTGAATTTATGTAGCTTTTTAAAAAATAATATGGTACCACTTGGAGCCAATACTATAAAAAAAATAAATAGCAGATTATCCAAACG
Source organism: Homo sapiens (assembly GCF_000001405.40). Lineage (NCBI taxonomy): Eukaryota > Metazoa > Chordata > Mammalia > Primates > Hominidae > Homo > Homo sapiens. The sequence continues at coordinate 38,691,935 of NC_000002.12, forward strand.
TATCTCAGTTTTCTGGGGACCAGTGAAAATGTTATCACTAACTCATAATTCAGAACTAGTAATTGATCTGTAAGGCCACTTCTCTCTCTTGCATTCTCCAATTCTACGAGGCTCCTAGCATGACATTTTACTGCTATTTCCACAACTCTTCAAATCCTTTAGAGCTCTATCATTGAAGTAAATAAGTTGCTGCAACTTCAGAGCTCATGAAAAATTTGTAATTCTCTCCTACCTATCCATACTTGAGTCAGACCTACATGTTATACCTGTTTGCCGAGTGACACTTAAGCAGAAATTGTAGTATTGTTTTCTCTTTTCTCAGAAGTCCTTAAGAAACAAGCTAATTGTCTGATTCCTTTGAAACTTCCTCCAAAAATGGGTGGTAGTAACTGCTACCCTGCACTTTAGGAATGTAAGAATTCACATGTCTGGCCCACTTTCCACTGAGAACAAATCTCTAGGAGCCCAGATTTTCTCTCTTTTTTTCTTTCTGTTTTGTAGAGACAGGGTCTCCCTATGTTGCCTAGGCTGGTCTTGAATCCCTAGGCTCAAGCAATCCTCCCACCTGGGCCTCCCAAAGTGCTGGGATTACAGGTGTGAGCCACCATGCTGGTCCTCATCTGACTCTTAACACTGATCAAAAGCCCATGAGCTTAATTTTGAAAGAAATCCAAAAGGCTTGCCCATCATTTGATCACTCAGAAGTGCTGCTGGGCTCTCTAGGAGTTGGCAGTCTATGGGAAGGGTCAGCCAGAATTGTGTCCATTAATCTGGAAAATATCAGGATAGACATAACTAGGAGACTTGGCACAGAGGGCAGGCACTGCTGAGGGGGCTTCCAGATAGAGGAAATGAGAGTTAAATAAAACCTGGAAGGGAAAGTGGAAGTTTGCCAGGGAGTGAGGAGGAGAAAGGTGTTCCAGATAAAGATGAACAAGCGTGGGCGGTGCAAGAAATAGCAGGACTAGCCCAGGGAAGTGCTGTGCTTTTGAAGCAAAGCATTTGGGGCATAATTTTAGTGGCAGAGAGTGGATGGGCCTGGAGAGGTTGATTGGGGCCATGTCAGATCTGTACCAGGCTCTGTGGAACTGCAATCCCTAGGGTGGCCCTGGGTGGCCCCAGGCTGGCCTGGAGCTCAAGGCCGATCCACATAGCTGACTCACAGGTGTGCCTGAGTCCAGTCTCAAACTTCAGCGTGTTCTGCCAGAGCTGGACTGAACCACAAGGCCACTTTCCTGAGACGTGCTACAAGAACCTGTTAGACCAGGTCGGGTGCAGTGGCTAATGCCTGTAATCCCAGCAATTTGGGAGGCCGAGGTGGGCAAATTACTTGAGATCAGGAGTTCGAGACCAGCCTGGCTAACATGGTGAAACCCTGTCTCTACTAAAAATTCAAAAATTAGCTGGGTGTGATGGTAGGCGCCTGTAATCCCAGTTACTTGGGAGGCTGAGGCAGGAGAATCGCTTGAACCCAGAAGGCAGAGGTTGCAGTGAGCCCAGATCACGCCACTTTACTCCAGCCTGGGAAACAGAGCGAGACTCTGCTTCCAAAAAAAAAAAAAAAAGAGAGAGAGAAAATAACCTGTTAGACCAGCCATACTCCATTAAGACTTCTCAAAATAAATATGCACTATCTACCGACTGTGGTTTTGTTGAATTGAGAAAAAGAAGATACTGATTATCTGTGAGATAAGGTGAAGCTTTATGATAATAATAGCTAGTATTTCAGGGAGGACTTTATAAATAATTCATACCACAAGCCTGTAAGGTAGGTTCTGTTCATTTTTCTTATTTAACAGATGTGAAAACTATAGAACAAGGAGTTAAAGTACCTTACAGAGGATGACCCAGTTAACAAGTTGGGGAAAGCCGGGATTCACACCAAGGTAGTCTGGTATTAGAACTCAGGCTCTTAAGTAGACCTGCACTCTACAGATCTTACAATGTGGTTAGATGTCAAGAAGGTTTGGTGCCAGGCACAGTGGCTCACACCTTTAATCCCAGCACTTTGGGAGACCAAAGATTGGTTGAGCCCAGGAGTTCAAGAGCAGCCTGGGCAACATAGGGAGACCCTGTTAATACAAAACATTTTTTTGAATTAGCCAGGAGTGTTGGTGCATGCCTGTGGTCCCAGCTATTTGGGAGGCTGAGGTAAGACAATTGCTTGAGCCCAGGAGGTCAAGGCTGCAGTGAGCTGTGATTGTGCCACTGCACTTCAATGTGGGTGAAGAGCAAGACCCTGTCTCAAAAAAAAAGAAGAAGATTTGGGAGGTAGGGGAGAGGCAGAAAGGAGTGAGGAAAGAAAGAAAAGAAAAGTAAATTAATTTCTTTACTATATAAATACCCAAGTGCAACATATAGTCAATAAATGAGAAGTAAGCCAAAACAAAGAACAGACTTTTGCCAGCTGTCAATCCTCAGCTCTTTTGCCACCTTTTGTACAGGGAGCCTCCCCAGTCCTCTCACTGTCTCCTCCTTGTTCCTTCCTCCCTTCAATTTATTTCTACTTTTCTGCAAAGAAAACAGGAAACCAAGTTTGTTTAAATTAAATATAAGAAAGGGAGAGAGAGAAAGAGGAAGGAAGGAAAGGAAAAAGGGAAGGAGGGAGAGGTTTTCTTGAAATTAAAGAGCATGAATTTAAGTGTCTGGCCTTGTCAGTCTGACAAGAAAGGGAAAGTCAGGCTGGGCGCAGTGGCTCAAGCCTGTAATCCCAGCACTCTGGGAGGCCGAGGCGGATGGATCACGAGGTCAGGAGATCGAGACCATCATGGCTAACATGGTAAAACCCCGTCTCTACTAAAAATACAAAAAAATTAGCCAGGCGTGGTGGCAGGCGCCTATAGTCCCAGCTACTCGGCAGGCTGAGGCAGGAGAATGGCGTGAACCCGGGAGGTGGAGGTTGCAGTGAGCCAAGATCGGGCCACTACACTCCAGCCTGGGCAACAGAGCAAGACTCCGTCTCAAAAAAAAAAAAAAAACAAAAAAAGAAAGGGAAAGTCAAGGGAAAGTCACCTCAGGTGTCATTGTTCTGTTGCAGCATATGGTGTTCCTGACAGATCCCTTGTCTTTCTGGTTCTTGGTTTTCTCATATGCAGAATCTTGTTATGAACAAGTTGTGTTGAAAGTTCACATTCTTTAAGTATGTATGTTGGTCATCTCTGTTGAAAATGATAGAAAAATCACCTTCGGTAGAAAATTTACAAACAGGCCGGGTGCAGTGTCTCATGCTTGTAATCCCAGCACTTCAGGAGGTGGAGGCGGTTGGATTTTTGAGCCCAAGACTTTGAGACCAGCCTTGGCAACACAGTGAAACCCCATCTCTACCAAAAATACAAAAATTAGCCAATCTCACAGCCCAGTCTCAAAATAAATAAATTAAATAAATAAATAAATAAAGTTTCAAAAAAAGAAAGCAAACTTACAGACACAGTTAAAGAAAAGCTGTACCATTTACAGGGTGGCGTTCAGCTATCTGGAGCAGTCCCTTATGGTGGGTACTTCATTTATCCTGGGGAGATGCTGGATAATGAGTTCGTTTTAGACCCTTTGCTCTACCTGGCTTTTCCTGGGGTGGCTGCTTGGTTGTGCTGAAACCCTCAGAAATCAACAGTAGAAAACTTCTCTAAAACAGCTTTGGCCTTTTTGCATATGAATGACTTTTACTGCGTAAATCAGTTATTTTGCTTACCATCCTAGTCCTCTGCTTTCCACCCCAAATCCTTGTTTATGTGTGTGTGGTTTTGTTTGTTTGCTTGTTTGTTTGCTTGTTTGTTTTTTGAGACGGAGTCTCACTCTGTTGCCCAGGCTGGAGTGCAGTGGCTCGATCTCAGCTCTCTGCAGCAACCTCCACCTCCCGGGTTCAAGTGCTTCTCCTGCCTCTGCCTCCTGAGTAGCTGGGACTACAGGCGCGCATGCCACCATACCCGGATAATTTTTGTATTTTTAGTAGAAATGGGGTTTCACCATGTTGACCAGGCTGATCTTGAACTCCTGACCTCAAGTGATCCACCCGCCTTAGCCTCCCGAAGTGCTGGGATTACAGGTGTGAGCCACCACACCCCGCCTGCGTGTTTGTTTTTTAAATCTCTCTTCTTAGGGTCATGAGATTTCTCATTAATTTCACTTAGAGCTCCTGGAGAGAAAAGCCTCTATTATTGTCACTATAACAGTAAAAAAAGTGTAGAGATTTTTTTTTTTCTTTTGAGACAGAGTTTCGCTCTTGTTGCCCAGGCTGGAGTGCAATGGCGTGATCTCAGCTCACTGCAACCTCCACCTCCCGGGTTCAAGCGATTCTCCTGCCTTGGCCTCCCAAGTAGCTGGGATTACAGGCATGTGCCACCACACCTGGCTAATTTTGTATTTTTAGTAGAGATGGGGTTTCACCATGTTGGTCAGGCTGGTCTTGAACTCCTGACCTCAGGTGATCCACCTGCCTTAGCCTCCCAAAGTGCTGGGATCACAGGCATGAGCCACTGTGTCCAGCTTTTCTTTTTCTTTTCTTTTTTTTTTTTTTTTTGAGACAGGGTCTCTTTCTGTTGCCCAAGCTGAAACAGTGACACAATCATAGCTCACTGTAACATCAAACTTCTGGGGCTCAAGCAATCCTCCTGGCTCCGCCTTCCAAATAGCTAGGATTACAGGTGCACATCACCATACCCAGGTAATTTTTTCTTTTTTTACACGAAAATGTCTCAACATGGATTTTTTTTTCTTTTTTGGCAGAGATGATGTCTCACTATGTTGCCCAGGCTGGTCTCAAACTCCCTGCCTCAAGCCATCCTTCCACTTTAGCATCCCAAAGTGCTAGGATTACAGGCGTGAGCCACCGCACCTACCCCCAAGAAAGCTTTTTTTTTTTTTTTTTTTTTTTTTTGAGACAGAGTCTTGCTCTGTCAACCAGGCTGGAGTGCAGTGGCGCGATCTCAGCTCACTGTAACCTCTGCCTCCCATGTTCAAGCAATCCTCCCGCCTCAGCCTCCCGAGTAACTAGAATTACAGGCACATGCCACCACGCCCGGCTAATTTTTGTATTTTTAGTAGAGAGGGGGTTTCACCATGTTGGCCAGGATGGTCTCGAACTCCTGACCTCAAGTGATCCACCTGCTGTGGCCTCCCAAAGTGCTGGGATTATGGGCATGAGCCACTGCACCCGGCCCCCAAGAACTCTTCAAATGCACCTAGTGTCACAAGAAAAGATAGTTAAACTGTGTCTGAAAAAGTGGCTTATGTGGGGAAATTTGTGATGGATTTAGGGAAACTTAGGGTAAATTTTAAACATAAGGCCTTTTGTCAGATCACCTACATTCCTCGGATTGTGCGTGGGTTTGTCGCAGGTGCTTGATGTGACAAATTACACAGCTTCTATTGCTTCATTTGATCAGCCGCCTGTTGACTTTCAGCCAAGTCCTGCAGGGTTGCTTCTCAGATTGTATCTTTCTGCAAGACAAAGATGTTTTCATAGTCTCTCTTTAACTTCTCCCTTTTGTGGCTATTAATTTATACTTATATGTTTTTCAACTCCTTATTTTTGTTTTCTCTTTATAAAAGTTTTAACGTGTGCTATTCTTGAGGGAAATACTGATGCATATCTAAACTTTAGGGGTGTTTTTCACCCTGGCTACAGACACTCGGTAAATAATTTTTCAGGTGATGGGAAAACACATCATCATGAGAATGTAGCAACTTTTATTTTGCAGTAACTGTTAAAATTGTGGCCACAGTGCTCAGTAAAAGGGGACCTTCCCCCTGTAGGTGTTTGGGGAGGAGTGACGTCCTGTCCTCCATTTTGTTAGTAACCCACTTATGGATGGGGCATTATCACCTAGAAAGAAAAGAGATACCATGGTATGCAGTTACAGGGAGCCAGAGCAAGAGCAAGACAAAGAAATTCCCTTACGTCTTCAATGCAGAGCCGGCATTTAGACCTCTACCCCAGGCAGGACCCACAAATCTTTGGCAGCCATGAGCACCTGTTTTGCTCCTGCCTTCTTCCTGTTGGCAATTTTGGGTTTTGGGGTTTTTTTTTTTTAGACAGAGTCTCACTCCATCACCAGGCTGGAAGTACAGTGGTGCAGTCTCGGCCCACTGCAGCCTCCGCCTTCCGGGTTCAAATGATCCTCTTGCTTCAGCCTCCCAATTAGCTGGGACTACAGGTGCGCACCACCACGGCCAGCTAATTTTTGTATTTTTAGTAGAGATGGGGTTTCACCATATTGCCCAGGCTGGTCTCAAACTCCTGACCTCAAGTGATCTGCTCACCTCAGCCTTTCAAAGTGCTGGGATTATATATATATTTTAAATAAATGAATAGAATTCATCACCTAACTTCTAAAGCTACCTCTGTAGATGAAATTCCGGCACTTAGGAGTCAGCAGTGGTGTATTGAGTGCATAGCCCTTGCTCACAGGTGCTTCTTTCCTGTCCCATGGCAGGTGGCACCAACAGAAGGTTTCTGCAAGGCTGAGAGCTCCTTTTACCCATGGACCAGGAGCAAAGTTTGCAGGTACACTGTCAGGCTGTGTTTGGATGTTAGCAGTTAATTTAGCTCTGCGTCTTCAGAGCAATTATTCTTAGCTACTTAAAAAAAAAAAAAGGAAAAAAATGACACCCATAAAGCATTTGCTGCTCCATAGGATGGGAGCACACTCTGTTGTTGGGCATATGAGTCCCTCTGGCATGTGTTTTCTATGTTTATTGTTGTCAGGGCTGTCCCTGTAATTTCCCAGAAGTAGAACTCCCTGAAGCTGTTTCCCAGAAAGGACAGGGGTGTAGATAATGGATGTCCAGAGACAGAGAACACTGCAGTGCCAGATCCCTGTGCTGCTTTGTCAGACATTTGTTTATATATTGTTTGTTTTTGAGATGGGGTCTCACTATGTTGCCCAGGCTGATCTTGAACTCCTGAGCTCTCAAGTGATCCTCCCACCTCGGCCTCCTAAAGTGCTGGGATTACAGGCATGAGCCACTGTGTCCAGCTGTTATTATTATTATTATTTTGAGACAGAGTTTTGCTCTTGTTGCCTAGGCTGGCGTGCAATGGCACATCCTCGGCTCACTGCAACCTCCGCCTCCTGGGTTCAAGCAATTCTCCTGCCTCAGCCTCCCGAGTAGCTGGGATTACAAACGCCCACCACCATGCCCAGCTAATTTTTGTATTTTTAGTAGAGACGGGGTTTCACCATGTTGGCCAGGCTGGTTTCGAACTCCTAACTTTAGGTGATCTGCCCACCTCGGCCTCTCAAAGTGCTGGGGTTACAGGCATGAGCCACCGTACCTGGCCCCAGCTGTTATTATTTTTAATTGATACCTAATACTTGATATCTAATACATATTTTATTGATACCTAATACATATTTACAGGGTACACTGGGATATTTTGATACATGTTTACAATGTATAAGGATCAAATCAGGGTAATTAGCATATCCATCACCTCAAACATTTATCATTTTTTTGTGTTGGGACATTCAAAATCTGCTGTTCTAGCTATTTGAAAATATACAATAAGTTGTTGTTAATTATAGTCACCCTATAGTGCTTTAGAGCACTAGCACTTATTCCCCCTATCTAGCTGTACTTTTATTAACATTAAACAACCTTTAGGCTGTGTGCGGTGGCTCATGCCTGTAAACCCAGCACTTTGGGAGGCCGAGGTGGACTGATCACCTGAGGTCAGGAGTTCAAGACCAGCCTGGACAACATAGCAAGAACCATCTTAAAAAAGAAAAGAGAAGAATATTTAAAATTTTCTTCACTGATCATTCAGGAGCATATTGTTTAATTTCTGTGTATTTGTACAATTTCAAAAGTTCACCTCGCTGTTGAGTTCTAGTTTTATTCCACTGTGGTCAGGAAAGATACTCGATATAATTTCAATTATTTTAAATTTGTTGAGACTTGTTTTGTGGGCTAACATATGGTCTATTCTGGAAAATGTTTCTTGTGCTGATGAAATAATGTGTTTTCTGAATCTGTTGGATGAAATGTTCTGTAAATGTCTCTTTGTTAGTCTAAAATGCAGGGTTTTTTGTTTTTTTGAGAGAGTCTCACTCTGTTGCCCAGGCTGGGAGTGCAGTAGCATGATCTTGACTCACTGCAACCTCCACTTCCCAGGTTCAAGCAATTCTCGTGCCTCAGCCTGCCAAGTAGCTGGGATTACAGGTGCCCGCCACCACACCCAGCTAATTTTTGTATTTTTAGTAGAGACAGGGTTTTACCATGTTGACCAGGCTGGTTTTAAACTCCTGGCCTCAAGTGATCCGCCCACCTCAGCCTCCCAACGTACTAGGATAACAGATGTGAACCACCGCGCTCAGCCTAAAGTGCAGTTTAAATCTAGTGTTTTGTTGTTGATTTTCTGTCTAGATGATCTGTTCAGTGCAGAGAATGGGGTGTTGAATTCCCCAGCTATTGTATTGGTGTCTATGTCTCCCTTTAGATCTAATAATATTTGCTTTATATTATGTATCTGGGCGCTCCAGTGTTGGGTGCATATATATTTAGAATTGTTACCTCCTCTTACTGAATTGATCCCTTTATCATTATATAATAACCTTTTTCTTTTTTTTAATCGTTTTTTACTTGACGTCTGTTTCATCTGATACAAGTACAGCTACCCTGCTTGCTTTTGGTTTCTGTTTGCATGGAATATCTTTTTCCACCCTTTCAGTCTATGTGTGTCGTTACAGATGAAGTGAGTTTCTTGTAGGCAACCGTAGTTGGGCCATGTTTTTTAATCCATTCAGCCAGTCTATATATTTTAAGGGGGGAAGTTTAATAAGTTTACATTCAAGATTATTATTGATAGGTGAGGACTTCTGTCATTTTGTTAATTATTTTCTGTTTTTTTAAATATATCCTTTGTTCCTTTCTTCCCCTCTTATTGTTCATCCTTGTGATTGGTGGTTTTCTGTAGTGGTAAAATTTGATTCTTTTCTCTTTCTCCTTTGTGTATGTGCTCTACCAGTGAGTTTTCTACTTTTTTGTGTTTTCTTGATAGTAATTATCATTTCACTTCCAGATGTGGGACTCCCTTGAGCATTTCTTATAAGGCTGGTCTAGTGGTGATGAATTCTGTCAGTTTTTATTTGTCTGAGACATGTCAGGCATTTAGCTTCAGGACCTGATTCTAGTTCCCTGCCCTGTGGCAACAAGTAGAAACAGATCCCTGGTACCCTGCTTAAGTATTACACCAGCTAGATGTGAGCAGATGAGAAAATCAAATCCTTCTATTTTGCCAGGGATTAATTCATTCTCAGGATTGTAAATATTACATTTCACCTTTCACCTCACAGAACTGTAGAATTAGGAGGTGAGCTGGGCAGCCTGCCCAGCAAGACATTATGATGTATACAATACAGTGCACTACTAAGGATGTGTCTTTAAAGGCATTTACAGCACACAGTTTTTTTTTTCCTTATAATTTTGCTGCTCTTTATTTGTAGTAGTAGATAAGGAATTAAGAAAGCAAAAATGAGTGCTTTGACTAGGTCTTTTGCCTTTGAAAGTAGCATTAGTAAAATCCCCTCTTCTTTTTTATTCTTATAAAATTTACCCAATTCACTCTGTCCCCCAGCCCATCTGTGTTCACTTGCTGTTCTTGCTGCTCTCAGTTTTTAAAAGCTTATTCTAAAATTACATCAAAGCAACCCCATTTTGACAAAATTAGAATTCTGGTAGGAAACGCTTGCCATGAGGCTGTGGAGAGAGGCCCAGCAAGACTTTTGTATTTTATTTCAACCTCTGTCGGTTAAACCTACAATTCGGCAGATGATATAATTACCTCCCTGGGGCAGGTCTCTATCTCTGCCTTGGAGAAATAGCAAAGTCCAAAGTAGTCTCCTCATTCAAAGATGTTGCAAACGAAGGCTGTTTTGATCTTTATGTATTAGCATTTGGGTGTTAATCTTTCTGGAGCTCCTGACAGAAAATTCCTTTAAATTTATTATATAATTCTAAAATATTGGACATATTTGTTTCAAGCATCTGTCAGTATCCTTACTCTTTCCATTTCACTCCCCACTGCCTTAATTAGTCATCAGGTCCTACTGATTTTTAACTCCTAAGCATTTCTCAAATCTGTCTCCTCAGTATGTATTGTTGGTTATATAACTCCATCTCCATTTTCACTGTGCTGCTTTAGACTATCTTTTCTTGTCTAGATTAGTGCCTGGCTTATATTATGGGCTTCATAAAGTGGGATCAATGAATGAATGATTCATAATCTGGACAACTGCACTCTAACACCTAACTGGAAAAAAAAAAATCTTAAGATCTATCTTCCATGTAAAAGCATCTATCTAAAATGCAAATCTTACTTTGATAATCTCCAGGTTAATAAACCTCTTAGACGGCTCTCAGGCCTCCCCAAAACCATCTCTCATTTCACTGATCAAAAAAATAAAAATTTAAAAATTTTAAAACTTAAAAAAAAAATTGAACATTTCACTGGTCAAAAAACAAAAACAAAAATGATCTCCGAGCATGCCTCCCTCACACCCCACCCTGCTGTGCATCCCTTTCCCACCCCCAGCCTACAGAGACCACCCAATAACCTCTTCTTTGCTACATGACCCTTACCCTCCTTCTTCAAGAGTCATACTTTCTCCTTAGAAACTTTTCCCCCCACTTTCTGGAAACTGTAGATTCTTTCTTGCTTATGGTTTTTGTAATGACATCAGCCATTTAGAATTCATGATGTGGCCAGTCTCTGCTATCTGCCTCTCCACAGAGCTTGCTCAGATAATCCATCAGGATTTAGTCACAGATCCAAAGTAGGGAGCTAGAAGGGAGCTTCAGGCTTGGTCTCTTCGGGTTGAAGCTAGAAAACTAATCTATACTGAACACAAAAATGAAGCTGAGTAATAGCCAACCTATACATCCTAGGAATTAACTATTGCTTATTTTGCCCCCAGCCAGTCTCTCCACACTCCTCTCTCCTTTACATTTGTTTTAAACACTATATATATATATACACTTTATTTATATATATATACTTTTTATATATATATATATATAATATGTGTAATTTTTTTTTTAATTAGCTGGGCATGGTGGGGTGTGCCTGTGATCCTAGCTACTCAGGAGGCTGGGAGGCTGAGGTGGGATGATATGTGGGATTTTATATATATATATATATATATATATATATATATATATATTTTTTTTTTTTTTTTTTTTTTTTTTTTTTTTGAGACAGAGTTTTGCTCTTGTTGCCCAGGCTGGATTGCAATGGTGCGATCTCAGCTCACCGCAACCTCTGCCTCCCAGGTTCAAGCGATTCTCCTGCCTCAGCCTCCCAAGTAGGTGGGATTACAGGTATGCACCACCATGCCTGGCTAATTTTGTATTTTTAGTAGAGACAGGTTTCTTCATGTTGGTCAGGCTGGTCTCTAATTCCCGACCTCAGGTGATCCACCCACCTTGGCCTCTCAAAATGCTGGGATTACAAGCGTGAGCCACCGCACCCAGCCTTAAACACGGTATATTAGCCCAACACTGTGTGAGAACTGGGATTCAGAAAACCAAGATATAGGTCTCCGTTCTGCCATCCACTAGCTATGCTATGAGTCAGCCATGAAAATTCTCTGGGCCTCATTGACTGAATCTGTAAAATCTGACTTGATGAGGATTATATTCATTGAACTCTGAGGTCCTGTCCATTTCTTACACCCTGATTCAAAGACCGCACAGAATCTCTAACCCAGATATTCTTAACTAGGGTTCTTGTATGTCTGGGAAGATGATGAAAGAACTTCAAGGGGATCATGAGCTCTTTAAATTCTATATAAAATCCAAGGCTGGGCGTGGTGGCTCACGCTTGTAATCCCAGCACTTTGGGAGGCTGAGGTGGGCAGATTGCCTGAGATCAGGAGTTCGAGACCAGCCTGGGCAACATGTTGAAACCCCCTCTCTGTGAAAATACAAAAACAATCAGCTGGGTGTGGTGGCATGTGCCTATAGTCCCGGCTACTCAGGAGGCTGAGGCACAAGAATTGCTTTGAACCCAGGAGGCAGAGGTTGCAGTAAGCCAAGATCGTGCCACTGTGCTCCAACCTGGGAGACAGGGAGAAACGCTGTCTCAAAAAATAAATGAATAAATAAATAAATAAATAAAATAAAATAAAATAAAATAAATTCTATGTAAAATCCTTTGTGAACTTGCTGCATCACCTTGGCCCACAAAGGGGGTTTTCTTATCTTTTTTCCTCTTTCAAAGTAATGATAGTCTATGGTTGCCCTACTATGTATTCTCTTTTTATTATTTTATTATTTTTTTTTTTAGAGACAGGGTCTCACTCTGTTATCCAGGCTGGAGTGCAGTGGTGCAATTATAGCTCACTGCAGCCTTGGCCTCCTGGGCTCACGCGGTCATCCCACCTCAGCCTCCTGCATAGCTAGGATCACAGGCATGCCCCCATCATGCTCAGCTAATTTAAAAAATATTTTTTTTGAGGCTGGGCACAGTGGTTCATGCCTTTAATCCCAGAACTTTGAGAGGCTAAGGCGGGAGGATTGATTGGGTCCAGGAGTTCAAGAACCTGAGAAATACAGAGAGACCCCATTTTTACTACAAAAAAATAGAATCAAAAAATTAGCCAGGCCCAGTGGCATTCACCTGTAGTCCCAGCTACTTATGAGGCTGAGGCAGAGGATTGCTTGAACCCAGGGGTTCAAGGCAAATTGAGCTATGATTGGGCACTGCACTTAGCTTTGGTGACACGGCAAGACTCTGTCTCCATTAAAAAAAAAAAAAGTAAGGCTACAGATAAGAAAGTACTTGGACAACAGTAAAAAAGTTAAACTCATGACATTGGACCCTATGAAATGTGTTTACCCTAGAGCTGTTTATTGTATGATAGGTCCCTGCTAGATAGTATTCAAGGTTTAATGCAAAAACTCCAAGGACCTCTCTTGGTAGCAGTGGTATTCTTTAAGACGGCACATTACTGAATCCTTCCTGTAAAATGGTCACAAGATCATTTTTATGAGCCTCTAGAATAACTCCTGAAGCTACTCATGCTCCCTACTGGAAAACACATTACTGTTACAAGATTGGCAAACATGAACCAGCATGGTAGAAATCTGGCAGGAAGAAAGCTCAAAATTTAGCACTTGGCCAGGCGATGTGTAATTCCTGTGAAAATTGCAGGCTAACAGTCAGTGAATTTGTCAGAAGGGGAATTATTTGCTAGAGCTCTGACCACCACCCTTGGAGAGTTGATGGTTCACATCTACCCTTCCTCCAGCCCAGGTCTGGACAAGGGCTGCCTCTAGTTCATTCCTGGTGCATAGCCATCCTTAGTGGTCACTACATTCTGAAGGGGCTTAGTGGGACTGTGGGCCTTGGGCAACGGACCTGATGTTAACTCAAGTAAGTTCCCAGAGCAGATTTGTATTCAGTTCAGCTAACATTTATAGAGCACCTACTGATTGCTACATGCTGCCTGAGAGATAAAGAGGATGGAACACTGTCTCTGCCCTTGAGAAGCTCAGAGGGATGGGGAGAACCTAATGTGGTCAGAGCAGTTGTAGAGATAATGCCTGTGGGACTGAAGGAGTGTAGAAGCCAGGGTAGAAAGAGGATTCTCAAGATTGTCCTGAGCTGTGAGAAGCCTCTCAGTGTCTGTGAGGATCTAGCCACAAGGAGAGTGAGAGTACCAAAGCACAGAATGCAGGAGTGGTGATGACTGTTAAGCCAATAAGCCAAAGAGACAGTTGGGCAGAGCAAGGGCTAGGGTGCAAAATTTAAGGCAGCATCCACTCCCAGGGTCGTGCATGTGCAGGGTCAGCACCTGAGAGTGTGTGTCTTCTTAAATTTTGCACCCTAGGCACCTCATTTGCCCAGCCCTACAGTTGGGTACAGTCATGATTGTCTTTCTGGGCCATGCCGATGAGCTGGGATTTTTTTTATTTTTTATTTTTGACGGAGTCTTGTGCTGTCGCCCAGGCTGGAGTGCAGTGGCGCAACCTCCCCCTCCGGGTTCAGTGGTCCAACTTCCCGCTCTGGGTTCAAGCTATTCTCCCACCTCAGCCTCCCGAGTAGCAGGGATTACAGGCGTGCACCACCACATCAGGCTGATTTTTTTTTGAGACAAAGTCTCACTCTGTTGCCCAAGCTGGAGTGCAGTGACACGATTTTGGCTCACTGCAACCTCCGCCTCCCAGGTTCAAGCGATTCTCCTGCTTTACCTCCCAAGTAGCTGGGATTACACGTGCCCGCCACCCTGCCCAGCTAATTTTTGTATTTTTAGGAGAGACGAGGTTTCACGATGTTGGCCAGGCTGGTCTTGAACTCCTGACCTCGTGATCCACCCACCTCTGCCTCCCAAAGTGCTGGGATTACAGGCGTGAGCCACCACACCCAGCTGGAATTTTAACTTTAGATCATGGAGGGCTTTCAAGCATTCTAAGCTGGGAACTGACCTGTCAAGATTGGCATTTTAGAAATCTCACCCCAGGTTGGGCGTGGTGGCTCACACCTGTAATCCCAGCACTTTGGGAGGTCGAGGCAGGTGGATTGCTTGAGCCCAGGAGTTCGAGACCAGCCTGGGCAACATATCGAGACCCCATCTCTACAAAAAAAAAAAAAAAAAAATTAGCCAGGTGCGGTGGCCCACACCTGTAGTCTCAGCTACTCGGGAGGCTGAGGCTCAAGGATTCCTTGAGCCAGGGAGGTGGAGTTTGCAGTGAATTGTGATCCAGCCTGGGTGACAGAGGGAGATTCTGTTTCAGAAACAAAGAAATATCACCCCAGCAACTGTTCTGGTGGGACTTGACTGGAGACAGAGACCAGTTTAGATGCTGTTGTTGGAGCTGGGCACAATGGTGTGTACCTGTAGTCCCAGCTACTCAGGAGGCAGAGGCAGGAGGAACACTTGAATCTAGGAGTTCAAATCCAGTCTCGGCAACATAGTGAGACTCCATCTCTTTAAAAAAAAAAGGGGGGCGGGGGGGTCGCTATTTTAATAGTCCAAGCAAGAGATGAGACCCAAATTAAGGGTCAGGTGGAAGAAGGCAGTTTAATCATATTTAGGAGGTAAAACTCAGGAGGCCTGAATTGAATGCATAGATGAGGAAGCAGGAAGGCTGTGTGATGACCCCGGGACTCTAGAGCAGCTGCTGGGCAGTAGAGATGGGGATGTTCAGTGAGTTGTGAGTAGGGGAGGAGGGGGAGCTGGCATGGGGGGCTGGGAGAACTATGGATTTGATCTTGAAATATTTGAGGTTAGGGTGCCTGTGGGGTGTACATCTCCCCTGTACACCTGACCTTACACTTCCAGCAGCTGGATGCATGAGTGTGACGTTAGAGAAATGACAGCTGGAGGCATACATCAGCGTGTACTTTGTAGATTAAGCCACGTGGATTTACCAGAGAGGAATCATAGACTGAGGAGAGCAGTGGTCTGAGGACCAAACCCTGGGAAACTCTAGGAAACAACCACCAATATTTAAGGTCCAAAAAGGGTCTACCTTAAAGTGCCAAGGGAGATGGCCAGGGGTAGAAGGCAAAGAAGGAGAAGAGGTGTCTAGAAGTCTTGGAGTGACCAACAGTGTCAATACTCCAGGGAGTCAAGTGGCAGGAGACCTGGGAACCTGCATGGCTGTGGTGGTTGTTGTCCTGACCCCGTTTAAGAATGTAACAGAGTGGTCAGGGCAGAAGCCAGACTGTAACCGTTTGAGAAGTGACAAAAAGTGAGGAAAGATTCAGGAATATAGGCCAATAACTGGTTCCCAACTAGGCAGCTTTCTTGAATACAGAACCCTGCCAGGCACAGTGCCTCACGCCTATAATCCCAGTCCTTTGGGTAGCTGAGTCGGAAGGATCACTTGAGGCCAGGAGTTCAGGACACAGCAAGACCCCATCTCTACAAAAAAAATATAAAAATTAGCAGCCGGGTGTGCTGGCTCATGCCTATAATCCCAGCACTCTGGGAGGCCGAGGTGGGTGGATCACTTGAGGTCAGGAGTTCAAGACCAGCCTGGCCAAAATGGTGAAACCCTGTCTCTACTAAAAATAAAAAATTAGCGAGGCGTGGTAGCACACACCTGTAATCCAAGCTGCTCGGTAGGCTAAGGCAGGAGAATCACCTGAAGCTGGGAGACGGAGGTTGCAGTGAGCCGAGGTCATGCCATTGCACTCCAGCATGGGCAACAGAGTGAGAAACTGTATCAAAATTAAAATAAAATAAAATAAAATAAAATAAAATAAAATAAAAAAGCCTGGCATGGTGGCTTGCACCTGTAGTACCAGTTGCTTGGGAGACCGAGGCAAGAGTATCTCTTGAGCCCAGAGAGCTAGGGGCTACAGTGAGCTGTGATCACGCCACTGCACTCCAGCTGGGTGACAGAGCAAGACCCTGTCTCTAAAAAAATAAAAATAATAAAAATAAATAAAAAAGAATCCTGGGCCCCACCTCAGAGATTCTGATTCATTTGCTTTAGCACAGGGCCATGGAATCTGTCCCAGCATCCTAGAAGCTACCTCAGTGAGTTAACAGAAAGGACTGGTATTGAAAGTGCTGTCGCCTGGGCACAGTGGCTCAAGCCTGTAAT
Source organism: Homo sapiens (assembly GCF_000001405.40). Taxonomy (NCBI): domain Eukaryota; kingdom Metazoa; phylum Chordata; class Mammalia; order Primates; family Hominidae; genus Homo; species Homo sapiens. Next base: position 38,708,489 of record NC_000002.12, read on the forward strand.
CCCAGCACTTTGGGAGGCCGAGGCGGGCGGATCATGAGGTCAGGAGAGCGAGACCATCCCAGCTAACATGGTGAAACCCCACCTCTACTAAAAATATGAAAAATTAGCCAGGTATGGTGGCGGGCGCCTGTAGTCCCAGCTACTCAGGAAGAATGGCATGAACCCGGGTAGGCGGAGCTGGCAGTGAGCAAGATCATGCCATTGCACTCCAGCCTGGGTGATAGAGCGAGACTCTGTCTCAAGAAAAAAAAAAAAAAAAAAGAAAGTGCTGTCAACAAGCTGTGACAAAGAGAAGGCTCCTCTGTGAGGCAGGGAAGTGGGGTCAAATAACAGTTTTTTTTGTTTGTTTGTTTGTTTTTTGAAGGAGAGGAGCTGATTTAGGACAAGTAAAATGGTTGTCAGAGAGCAGAGGAATCCAGGGAAGGCTTGAGACCGTGAATCTGTGGTGGCCTCTGCCGGTGCTTCTGTGGGCTTTCTCCAGCTCTCTCGGCAGGGCGGAGTCAGGAGCAGAGAAGGCAAATGGTGGGATGACCTGAAGTTGGGGTTTTATCAGAGAGGAGGAGCAGGAGGACAGGGTGTAAGGCAGATCAAGGAGTGTTACTAAGGGTCTCAGGTCCTAGACAGTGGGCCTAGACAGGTAGGCAGTGAGGGTTGTGGGGGACAGGGAAGACGCGTGGCAAGGGGCCCTGAAAACCAGGGGAATATGGCAACATCAGGGGCCTGGCAGTCCCAGGAGGGGAGCAGGTCTAGCAGGAATGCCCTTGTGCCTGTGCAGGAGAGCAGCAGGACTAGGAGGCTGCAGACAGACAGTGGGTAACTGAAAGGTGAACTTTCTACTAGACAGCAAATCCCTGGATGTCATCCTGATGGATCTAAGATGAAAAATACCCCACCATGAAAATGCCTTACGTGGTCCCAACCATGAAGCGTAAAATTGCCTTTTCACCTGAAAACGACCTGCAGCTTGGTTTAGCATTTTATGCTTCGGATGTCATCTAACATCCAGAAGCAATACCCTCCCCCGTTGCAAGTCAAGGTAAAATCAGAAAATGCTCGGTGGAAAGGAAAAAAAAAAAAAACATAAGACAAAAAGCCAGCAACAGAATAAAGCCGCAAACCCAAAGCACCAGCAGAGGAAAGGGAAAAAAACCTGCAGCATAGACAAGCTTTGATGTTGTGTGATCTGTGAAAAATGTATAGAAATGTTACCTTACCAAAAAATTCCCAAGGTGCTTTACTTGCCAACCACTGGAAGGAAGTAAAAATTCCCACCCAGGGTGTTACTTTTAATTATCATCCTCTTTATGTTGTTTCCTAAAATAACAACAGGCATTCTAGAGATGATTTACGAAGATGGCTTAATGAGGTGTCAGATGAGTACCTGTGCCCATGAGCCCCTTTACCGCAGGCCTCCTTATGCAAATTTGACTGACTCTTCTGAGCCCGACTAGATAAAGAAACAGACATAATTGGAGCAGCTGGGCTGGAAGCACAGCTGGGCTATCCTCATGGAGACCAGACTCTAGCACCACGTGCTCTTCCTGCTGCCCCAGTGTCCCTCCCAACTTTTGCTTTTCAGAGCAGCAGCCCACCTGAACCTGGGGCTTCCTCAGATGATCTCCACATCAGTGCTTGTCAGCATTCATGTGCACACAGATCACCTGTGCAACTTGTGAAAATGCAGATTCAGACTCAGTGGCTGGAGTGGAGCCTCTGGATCTATGTGTCTAACAAGCCCCTGGGTGATGCATGTGGTCATCAGATGGTCCTAGGTCCACACTTGGAGGAGCTATTTAGAGCCTATAAAATAGTTACTCCCCTATCCAGTGTTTGAGTCCCAGACTTCTGCATTCTGCCAGCACTCAGATGCTTCTGGGACAGGATGCTTACTGTGCATCTTGGGTCAACATGTCAAAAAGGCCTTCCTGTATTGAGGTGAGATCTGTCTACCTAGGGCTCACCCTCACCTGGCCTACTTCTGGGCCTTGGATCCTATGTAGCAGGCTTAAGGCATTAGAAAGTGGCTGGCATGTCCCCCAAGTATTTTATTCAGGCAAAACATGCCAGGTCCTCTGGCTATTATTTAAAAAATTTGTTGTAGAGGCAGGGTCTCACTATGTTGCCCAGGCTGGTCTCAAACTCCTGGGCTTAAGTGATCCTCCTGCCTCAGGCTCCCAAAGCGCTGAGATTACAGGCATGAGCCACCATGCCTGGTCTTGGCTATTTTTCTTATGCTATGGTTTGGTCATACTGGTCATTTCCTTCTTTTTTTTTTTTTTTTTTAGACGGAGTTTCACTCTTATTGCCCAGGCTGGAGTGCAATGGTGCGATCTTGGCTCACTGCAACCTCCGCCTCCTGGGTTCAAGCGATTCTCCTGCCTCAGCCTCCCGAGTAGCTGGGATTACAGGTGCCTGCCACCACACCCAGCAAATTTTTGTATTTTTAGTAGAGACGGGGATTCACCATCTTGACCAGGCTGGTCTTGAACTTCTGACTTTAGGCGATCCACCCACCTCAGCCTCCCAAAGTGCTGGGATTACAGGCGTAAGCTACTGCACCAGCCCCTGGTCATTTCCTTCTGATCCTGCTCTATGTGTCTTTAGGCCTCTCCTCTTGTGATACCCATGCTGCAAAAAGTAGCTTGGGACTGTCACCACCTCATTACAGATAGCCTTTTTTTTTTTTTTTGAGACGGAGTCTCGCTCTGTTGCCCAGGCTGGCATGCAATGGCGCGATCTCAGCTCACTGCAACCTCCGCCTCCCAGGTTCAAGCGATTCTCCTGCCTCAGCCTCCTGAGTAGCTGGGATTACAGGCGCGCACCACCACACCTGGCTAATTTTTGTATTTTTTAGTAGAGACAGGGTTTCACGACGTTGGTCACGCTGGTCTCGAACTCCCAACCTCAGGTGATCCGCCCACCTCGGCTTCCCAAATTGCCTGGATTACAGGCATGAGCCACCACACCTGGCCTTACAGATAGCCTTTATGTGACTCGTGTTGAACTTGCTGTCAGCCATCATCCTTAAATTCATTTTCACCCATGCTGTGGATCAGCCACATTTCTTCCTAGTCAGTTATTATCATAATAATTATACTTAATACTTATGAGAGTTAGTATAGCAAGGTGGTTAAGAACATAGTCTCTGGAATGAGACTGCCTAGTGAGAAGCACTATGATTAGCACTGTGTGTTATCTGTCACCATCACCATCATCATCATCCATCACCATCACTATCAACACCATCATCATTAACATCACCATCACTATCACCACCATTATCACCATCACTGTCACCACCATCACCATCACCATCACCATCATCATCATCACTATCACCACCATCATCACCATCATCACCACCACCATCATCATCATCATCAACATCATCACTATCTTAAGTAAGTGCTTTGCCTACATTTACTGATTTAATTCTCATAACAACTCCATGTTGTAGGGGCTGTTGTTATCCCAGTTTTACAAGTGAGGAAGTGGGGCCTCACAAGATTATGTTTTGTGCCCAGGGTAACAGTGACAAGAAGCTAAATCTGAGCAGTGTCCTTTGGTTGGTTTTGTTTCATTGTTGACTAAAGTCCAAGACCATATCTGTTCCTGCTATTCATAAATTTCTTCTTTTAGTCAGCATTTTACCCTTACTTTACACTATCTTTTGGATTCCTGGTTCTGTCATCCCAAGTGTATCTGCCTCCTAGCTTCATGCTGTCTGTTATATTGTGAGAAAAATATGTATCTTCACCTAGTCATACACAAGGTCAGAGGCCATGTGGCAATTCCCTACAGATTGTGCTCACTGAAGCCCTGATGGTGCATATCTCCTGAAGCTCCCTGAGCCTGTAGTCTTGTAACCCACTCAGAGAAGCCTAGAGAGTGGTCAGGCATGATTTGTATTTGAACATATTTGTATTTGGTTCCTGGGAAACATGTTTCCTCTTCGCTTTCAGGTCTCCATTCCAGAATCCTTTCCAAGATGGACAGCACCCTCCAAATTTATAGTTGCTGAAATCAGTCCTCTGGGCAGGGCCAGATGCAAGGAACAAATAGAAAGCAGGGTCTGCAGAACACACATCCCAGAGGCGATAATGACCAGTTAATCCCCGCAGATAGTTAGATCTAGGAGACTGTCCCTGGGCTTCAGGGCTCCCTGCTTCTGACTCCAGCAGTGCAAATGAAAGCCTCTATGTTCCCACTAAACCATAGGTGACTGAGCAGCCATGGTGTTGCCTGCGTTTCTATAAAGGAGGAGCGCAGGACAGCAATCTCATCAGAGCGGAGGCTGGGGCTGGCCTCGAATTTAGGTTGTATGTTTATTTGGGGCGATGTGCAAGCAGGGGGTGCCCTGATAGAGATTACAGGGGCTAAATCCCCCACATAAAACCATTTTGTGCCACTGCTCCTGGGCCAAGTGACCAGAAAGGCTGGACTGATTTCTCCCCTCTCTCCTTTCCTGGTTCTGTTCTCTGACCCTGGGTGATTAATGTAACCTAGCTGTGTTCAATTACCCACCCTTTTCACGATGCTGGGATGTCTGCCACCTGTCCCTAGTGCCCTTCTTGGCTTCCTGTGAGTCGTGACTGTGGGAGCCTTGCGACTTTTGGAGGAGAGCAGGAGGCCCTGGGTCTGCCATCAGCATGGGCTCCCTAATCACACCATTGTCACCGGAGCCTACCCAAGCTGCTGGGAAGTAGCAAAATAAGCATGCAGGGAACATTCTTCCACCCCAATATGTTCCCCTCATGAAATCATCAAGCAAACCCTGAATGCCTTCTCTTGGTGTGGTCAGGCAGAAGGGTTGTCTCTCTCATACTAGAGCAGTCAGTGGCCATTGGCTGACTGATCCTAACGGCAGATCTAGAAAGATTTGGAGAAGGCTGTCTTGGTTCTCTTAGAACAGCATGTGGCCCTAGCAGTCCTCCTGTTCTTGGACAGTGGTGCCCCCCTCATGCCATGAAAACTGATGGGGCAGGCAGGGGAGCTCCAGCCAGAAACGGGAAGTGTCTCAAACCTTAGTGAAGTGATCTTGAATCGCTGATTTACAGGGCTGATTTTGACACATTATTCTCAGGAAAACAGTGGTTTAGGGCATGGTCTCAAGCTCTGTCTAGGTTGAAATCTTGTCAGGTGTGCTGGCTCACATTTGTAATCCCAGCACTTTGGGAGGCCAAGACAGAAGGATTGCTTGAGCTCATGAGTTTGAGACCAGTCTGAGCAACATAGAGATACCCCATCCCTACAAAAAAATTAAAAAATTAGGTGGGCATGGTGGCACACACCTGTAGTCCCAGCTACTGAGGAGGCTGAGGCAGGAGGATCACTTGGTTCCAGGAGGTCGAGGTTGTGATGAGCTGTGATCGTGCCACAGCACTCTAGCCTGGGCAACAGAGCAAGACCCTGCTTCAAAAAAAAAAAAAAAAATTTACCAGCTGTGTGATCTAGGACAATTTATTTGAGTTCTATAGGCCTCATCCAATGATAATAATTGGACTTACCTTATTGGTTGTGACAACTAAATAAAAAAAAAATACATATAAAGTGCTTAGAACAGTTCCTGGCATTTAGTAAGAGCTTTGTAAGTATTAACTATTATTAGTACCATCATCATCTTTATTGCCACTATTTACTGAGTGTCTAATATGTACCAGACATGTCTAAACACATATAGTACATGCATTATTAGCTCATTTAACTACTTTGGGGTTTTTTTTGCGGGGGGGTTGTTGTTTTTTGAGATGGAGTCTTGCTCTGTTGCCCAGGCGGGAGTGCAGTGGTGTGATCTCGGCTCACTGCAACCTCTGCCTCCCAGGCTCAAGCAATTTTCCTGCTTCAGCCTCCCGATTAGCTGGGACTACAGGCGTGCACCACCACACTCGGCTAATTTTTGTATTTTTAGTAGAGACAGGGTTTCACCATGTTGGTCAGGCTGGTCTTGAACTCCTGACCTCAAGTGATCCGCCCACCTCAGCCTGCAAAAGTACTGGGATTACAGGTGAGCCACTGCGCCCGGCTGAACTACACTTTGAAACAGGGTGTAACCCACTTGGCTCTCAAGCAGAGCCAAGTGTAGAGAAAAAGGCAATATAATAATTATCTGCTTTCTAGTCCTTCCTTTTAGCCACTGGAGAAAATAGTAACCACTTTCTGTGTTAAACAAACAAAAAGAAGAAAAACAGCAAAACTGAAACAAACTAACAAATCCCCTCAATATTTGATTTCCAATTTGTGAACCACTCCAATACAGATAATTCTGAGAAGCATGTAACAACCAGTAAGAAAACCTAGTATGTTTGCTTTAAAGTCATAGACTAGTTTTCAATGGATAGTCAACTAGCATTGGAAATAAAAGAGTAAGATCAATGTTGTAGGTTCATTTGGTCTATAGTATAGTTTACCTGTGATGTTTCTTTGTTGATTTTCTGTCTAAATAATCTGTCCAATGCTGAGAAAGGGGTTCTCAACTATGATTGTACTGGGGCCTATAGTTGGATTTTTTTCCTTTAGCTCTAATAATATTTGCTTTATATATCTGAGTTCTTCAGGGTTGGGTGAATACATATTTACAATTGTCATAGCCTTTTGCTGACTTGATCCTTTTTATCATTATGTAATGAACTTTTTTGTCGCTTTAAACATTTTTTGTTTTAAAGTCTATGCTGTGTGATGCAAGCAATAGCTACTCCTGCTCACTTTTGGTTTCCATTTCTGTGGAATATCTTTTTTCATCCCTTCACTTTCAGTCTATGTGTCTTTATAGGTGAAGTGAGTTTTTGAAGGCAGCATATACTTGGGTCTTGCTTTTAAAATTCTTTAAGCAAGTCTGTATATTTCAGTGCTTCAGTTGAGGAAGCTAAAAATGGGAGAGTTCAGTAACCTGCACAAAGTTAAACTGGTAAGTAATTGGTGAAGTCAAAATCTAGAATCAAGGCGTTTTTGTTGTTTATTTTTTGTTTTGGAGACAGGGCCTTGCTGTGTTGCCCAGGCTGAAGTGCAGTGGTGCAATCACAGCTCACTTTAGCTTCATCCTCCTGGGCTCAAGTGATCCTCCCACCTCAACCTCCTGAGTAGCTGGGACCACAGGTATGCACCACCACACCTGGCTAATTTTTGTATTTTTTGTAGAGACAGGGTTTTGTTGTCCTGGCTGGTCTTGAACTCCTGGGTTCAAGTGATCTGCCCACCTTGGCCTCCCAAAGTGCTGGGATTATAGGCGTGAGCCACCGTGTCCGGCCTGCAATCGAGTTTTCCTAACTCCAGAGTTACGCTGTTATTTCCCTCTGCTACTGTCCATAGTAACAGCCATATTACTGAGTACTTACCACTTGCTGAGTAGGGTGCTGGGCACTTTACATGCCTTATTTCATTTAGTGTTCGCAATAATGCTATGAGGTAGAGTCTCGTTATCCCCATTTTACAGATGAGGTAACCAAGCTTCAGAGAAGCTAAGCAGCCTCCACAAATTTATACAGCAAAGAAAGCCAGCCTTTAAATCCAGGCCTGCCTGACTCTAAAATCTGTTCTATTGAGTTTAACTGCCAAACAGGTGAGCAGGATGCTCCTAGGAGGGTGGTAACAGTGATTGGTAATCCATGACTTCTGGGATCCACTGAAACCCAGGGATATGCAGTTTGCCTAATCAGCCCTATTTTCTGAGCTATCATTAGGGACAATTTTCACTTTCTCTGATGCTTCATTTCCCTGCAGCTTCTGAAAGCTGTTGATTTGCTCAGATTAAGACCAGCTTCTGCGCCTTTCGCGTGTCAGATTGTTGTGTACGTGTTCAAGAGTATGGAGGAATCATAAACAGTCCAGAAGGAGGCCCTGGTGTACTACACAAAGTTTTTGCCACATTGCTATGGGAGGAATCTGTGTTGCTTGAGCAAACACTTGAGGTTATGTGACTGTGAGATTCCAAATGTGCATTTCAACATCAGGTCATGACGGTGCAACTTGTTTTGTGATGAATGGCACTATAAGTAGAACATATTCTATAGACCAAGGATTCTTAGCCAGGGATGCATGGCGGGGCTTCAGAGGCTCTGGGAACATTCTGTATGTGTGTGTGCATTTTACTGGAGAGAGATCTCATAACTTTTATAATATTCTCAAAGGAGTTCATGACTCAAAAAAATCATTTAAAAACCATTGTTCTCAATTTAAAAATCACTAGAAGAGGAAGCTTCAGAAAACAGAATAAGCCAGGCACAGTGGTGTGTGCTTGTAGTCCCAGCTACTCAAGAGGCTGAGGTGGGAGGATGGCTTGAGCCCAGGAGTTTGAGGCTGCAGTGAGCTGTGATTGCACCTGTGAATAGCCACTGCACTGCAGCCTAGGCAACATAAGAGACCCTGACTCTAAAAAACAAACAAACAAACAAAAAACAGAAACCTTAAGTACTCTAATGAAAATGACAGTGTGCTCTGGAGGCAGAAATGCACCTTCCTTTTTGCATGAAAGATTTACGCTATGGGGCCGGGCACAGTGGCTCATGCCTGTAATCCCAGCACTTTGGGAGGCCGAGGCAGGCGGATCACCTGAGGTCAGGAGTTCAAGACCAGCCTGACCAACATGGCAAAACCTCGTCTCTACTAAAAATACAAAATTAGCTAGGCGTGGGAGCACATGCCTGTAGTCCCAGCTACTCGGTAGGCCGAGGCAGGAGAATCGTTTGAACCTGGGAGGCCGAGGTTGCAGTGAGCCAAGATCACGCCATTGCACCCCAGCCTGGGCAACAAGAGCGAAACTCCATCTCAAGAAAAAAAAAAAAAGTTTATGCTGTGATTAATACCTGGTCTCTGTATTAAGGGAGTGTGTGTGTGTGTGTGTGTGTGTGTGTGTGTGTGTGTGTATAAAAGAGAGTGAGAGAGTACACACACTATGTGCCAGGTAAGTGCTAATATTAGTTCCATTTTTCTTTTTGAGACAGAGTCTCACTCTATCGCCCAGGCTGGAGTGCAGTGGCACCATCTCGGCTCACTGCAACCTCCGCCTCCTGGATTCAAGCAATTCTCTTGCTTGAGCCTCCCAAGTAGCTGGGTTACAGGTGCACACCACCATGCCTGGCTAATTTTTTGTATTTTTAGCAGAAACAGGGTTTTGCCGTGTTGGCCAGGCTGGTCTCGAACTCCCGGCCTCAAGTGATCCCCGCTGCCTCAGCCTCCCAAAGTGCTGGAATTATAGGTGGAAGCCACCATCCCTGGCCTTAGCTCCATTTTATAAATGGGGAAATTGAATCTTACAGAGGCATAGAAATACCCAAGATCAGTGAGTAAGTCCATGTGAGCCCTAAGACAGCTTGCATAGATTTGTAAAGCAAAATACGGAACAAATTATATAAAACCATTTTCTTTTTTTTTGAGACAGTCTCGCTCAGTAGCCCAGGCTGGAGTGCAGTGGCACAATCACAGCTCACTGCAGCCTTAACCTCCTGGGCTTAAACGATCTTCCCACCTCAGCCTCCCAAGTAGTTAGGACTACAGGCACGCACCACCATGCTTGGCTAATATTTTCTGTTTTTTGCAGAGACGGGGATCCTGCTATGTTGCCCAGGCTGGTCTCGAACTCCTGGGCTCAAGAGATCCTCCCATCTCGGCCTCCCAGAGTGCTGAGATTACAGGTGTGAGCCACTGCCCCCAGCCAGAAGACAGTTTCCAAATAACATGCTTAATATTTGTACAAGTATTTCTTTTTTTCTTTTCTTTTTTTTTTTTTTTCTTTTTGAGATGGAATCTCCCTCTCTCGCCCAGGCTGGAGGGCAGTGGCGCAATCTCGGCCCACTGCAACCTCTGCTTCCCAGGTTCAAGTGATTCTCCTGCCTCAGCCTCCCAAGTAGCTGGGATTACAAGTGCCACCACCTCGCCCAGCTAATTTTTGTATTTTCAGTAGAGACGGGGTTTCGCTATGTTAGCCAGCCTGGTCTCGAACTCCTGACCTCAGGTGATCTGCCCACTTCAGCCTCCCAAAGTGCTGGAATTACAAGCGTGAGCCACTGCTCCCGGCCCAAGTATTTCTTTTTTAGGGGAGAAAAAATTATTGGAGAAAATTTCTTTCCTACTCATTTCCCAAATTTTTCTAGGAAGTCTATGTCAGATTTCCTTTCTTTTTTCTTTTCTCCCTTAAAATAATTTTTAATTGTTATTATAAACAGGATGGACCTGTGCTGAGGAGTGTAGCAGGACTGTGGTTTTATTCCTGCACTGTCTACTGGGTTGTGTGAAGATGGGCTAGAAAGAGGATCTGTTGGGAAGGAAGAGTCTAAAAATGAATGAACGTCAAGAGTCAACGACTCTTACAGCATCATTACCGTCTGTTCCTCTTCTCAGAGAGTCAGGCATGAGGGCCACCAGGCAGGGGAAAAAATGACTTCAGATCATGAGAAATTAAAAGCTTTTAATTAAAATTCATCCGGGTGAGAGAGTGTTCATGGCCAAATATTACAAAAAAAGCTATTTTCCTGTAATCAGTGCTTGGTCAGAAGTTCATAGACCCAGTTCACTTTCTACCCCATTTCTTCAGTCTTCCCCCTCAAAATTAAGTTAGCGCTAGGAGCCTGTAGAATGTGTGTGGCATAAATGTGTCTTGCCTGTGCTACAGCTGCACTTTCACTGGTGGCTGGAGCCAGTCCTGTGCATGTTCTCTCCTGCACCTCGTCAGTTAGCCAATCCCAATTTACCCTCCAAGATTAGGATCCTGGCTGGGCGCGGTGGCTCATGCCTGTAATCTCAACACTTTGGGAACCCGAGGTGGGTGGATCACGAGGTCAGGAGTTCAAGACCAGCTTGGCCAAGATGGTGAAACCCTGTCTCTACTAAAAATACAAAAATTAGCCAGGCGTGGTGGCAGGTGCCTGTAATCCCAGCTACTCGGGAGGCTGAGGCAAATAATTGCTTGAACCTGGGAGGTGGAGGTTGCAGTGGGCCGAGATCACGCCACTGCACTGCAGCCTAGGCAACAAAATGAGACTTTGTCTCAAAAAAAAAAAAAATTAGGATCCTGGCTGGGTGCAGTGACTCACACCTATAATCCCAGCACTTTGGGAGGCTGAAGTGGGCGGATCACTTGAGGTCAGGAGTTTAAGACCAACCTGGCCAACATGGTGAAATCCTGTCTCTACTGAAAATACAAAAATTAGCCAGGTGTGGTGGCGGGCACCTATAATCTCAGCTACTTGGGAGCTGAGGCAGGAGAATCGCTTCAACCCCGAAGGTGGAGGTTGCCGTGAGCCGAGATCACGCCATTGCACTCCAGCCTGGTCGACAAGAACGAAATTCTGTCTCAAAAAAAAAAAAAAAAAGATTAGGATCTGTCACACCTCAGAGAACCTTTAGTGACCCCCGAGGCTGAGTTTGATGCTGCTCCCTGCTCCCCTAGAGCCTTAGGAATTTCACTTTCCTTGCATGTCTCACACTCTCCTGTAAATGTTTATTGTTTTGGCCAGGCGCGTTGGCTCACACCAACACTTTGGGAGGCTGACCGGGTGGATTGCTTGAGCCTAGGAGTTTGAGACCAGCCTGGGCAAGATGGTGAAACCCCGTCTCTACTAAAAAAAATAATAATAATAATAATTAGCCAGGCGCAATGGCACACACTTGTAGTCCTAGCTACTCGGGAGGCTGTAGTGGGAGGATCACCTGAGCCCAGGGAGGTCAAGCCTTCATTGAGCTGTGATCATGCCACCGCACTCCGCCTAGGTGACAGAGTGAGACCTTGTCTCTAAATAAATAAACAAATTTTTATTGTTTTAATCTGTCTCTTCCACCAGATTCTAGGCTTTCTGAGGTCAGTTTAATGCCTGGCACATAGAAAATGCTCAAAAATTGGTAAACTAACAAATTTGTGTTTGTTTTTTCCCCATCCAAAAGTAATTGCAAGGATTAATGTTCTTAAGGTATAATCACGTGAAGGCACTTCTATGTTAAAAAAAAAAAAAAAAAAAAAAAAAGGCTGTGGGTGGGGGCAAGGAGGAGCCAGGGAGGAAAATTAGTCTCCTGTCAGAATTTGTGAAGTCAGTGCTAGGAGGTGAAAACATCACCTCTTAGATGCTAGCAGTATACTAGCAATCTATTGCTATACAACAAATTACTCCAGCACTTCGTTTATTATCTCTAATTGTTTCTATTGGCGGGGAATTTAGACAGGGCACATCTTGTCTCTGCACATGATGTCTAGGGCCTCAGCTTAAAAGATTAGAACAGGGCTGGAATCATCAGAAGGCTTGTTCACTCACATGTCTGGCAGTTGATGTTGGCTGTTGGCTGGAGGCCTTGCTGGGGCTGTCAGCCAGAACAGCCCACACACAGCCTCTCCACGTGACTTGAGCTTCCTTACAGTATGGTGGCAGGGCTCCAAGGGCAAATGTCTTGAGAGAGAGAGAGAGGGCGAGGCTGGAGCCTTTTACATAACCTGGCTGCAGAAATCACACAGCATTACTTGGCCACATTCTTTTGGTTAAGGTGGTTAAAAAGGTCCATCCAAGTTCAAAAGAGGAAACACAGACTCCACGGCTCAGTGAAGAAGTATCAACATCACATTGTAAGGAGAGCATGTGGATGGGATCTAGACTACTGTGGCCATCTTTGAAGAATGCAATCTGCCACAAGCAGTCATGGGGAAAAGGCCAAATTCCTCATAATAGAATGTGGGTGTGAATCTCTTATGTAAGACAAGAGATATGAATCAAGGCAGATGGATTTTGTGAAGGCAGTGAGTTTTTCCTTCACTTTCAGAGTGCAGGTAATTATAACTCTGTCAAGAATGCAAATAGAAAGAGGAAGGTTTAATATTTTGTGACAGAGATCTGGAATGTTATAAAGTCCTATTTCCAGTGATCAGATCTACTTCATCTTCTTGCAAAAATGAGGCAGTTGTAGTGGCTAGAGTAACACCCTCATGAACTCTCTTTGTTAAGTCATCCCCCGTCCCAGTCACTTCCACCTCTTCCTGGCTTACTGTCACTCTAACATCACTCTTGTCATAATCCTTGATTATTTTCTTATCCATGTTGGTGATACCCTGACCACTCTGCTTCTTTTTTGAGACGAGCTCTCACTCTGTCACCCAGGCTGGAGTGCAGTGGCATGATCATGGCTCCCTGCAGCCTTGACCTCCCAGGCTCAAGTGATCTTCCCACCTCAGCCTCCCTAGTAGCTGGGATCACAGGTGTGCACCATACCACACCTGGCTAATTTTTTAATTTTTTGTAGAGACGGGATCTCACCAGGTTGCCCAGGTTGGTCTTGAACTCCTGGGCTCAAGGGATCTGCCCTCCTTGGCCTCCCAAAGTGCTGGGATTACAGGCGTGAGCCACCGCGCCTGGTCCACTCAGCTTGAGATCCACTCATCCAATGATCTTGTCCTTCACCCTTCTCAGCTGCTCACTTCTTTGACTTTGTCATGACCTGTCTTTGCAACCTTCCATGATCGCTATTCTAGATGTCTTTCAGCTCCAATAATTCTTCAGCACCACAAGAACATACAGTTCTTTGGTATAACTACTACCTTTTCACTGTCCCTCCCCAACTATGCCTTCCCTTCCCCCCCCCACCCCCCCCCCCCACCTAGAACAGAAGCGCATCATGCGGGCCGGGTGAGGCGGCTCATGCCTGTAATCCCAGCACTTTGGGAGGCGGAGGCAGCTGGATCACTTGAGGTCAGGAGTTCGAGACCAGCCTGGCCAACATGGTGAAACCCTGTCTCTACTAAGAAGTCCGTCATGAGAATCACCCCTTTGCACACACTCAACTCTCTTGCCCCCTCCCTCCTTCTTGTGTGCTCCTAATAAACCCAACCCTGATTAACCCCACCCCCTACACCCTCCACAGCTGTCATCATGCAGTTTCTGGTCTCTGTATTTATGAAAACAACCTCTAGTGGGCCCTTGATGCTGTCTGCAGTCAGACATTCTCTGAAATAGGGCATGGGCTGCTCCTCTGGCCCAGAGCTGTAACCCTAGATTGTTGGGTCAGAGCCCCTCATCTGCCAGGCACTGCTGCCCAGACCTTAATACACACCCATCTGGCCTCCAGGAGAATAAGAAATCCTCTTCAGAAACTGCTTCTCCCTGCCGACACCCCTGGCTTTCTGGTGGCTTCAGAACTAAAGTTGGAGGATGTGACATTCTGTCTGAGGGTACCCCTTCCATTTCCGCTTCTTTTTCCTGAACACTCAGCATTGCTGAGAGCTATTTTGACAGCTCCTTCTATTCTTAGCACCAAAGCACAAAGTCATATATGCAGATAAACCAAGGCTAGAAAAACTGCATGTTCATTTTCTAAATTCTTAGTGAGAAAAATCAAGAGCAACTGTCGGGGTTGGGGGCGTAAGGGGCTGTGACCAAGTCGGACACTCCAGAGGGAGGTGGAAAGTGCCTGAGTGGAGATTCTGACACTATGCAGATGTGTCACCTCGGGCAAGTCCCTTCAGTTGCCGGGGGCTCAAACTCACCATCTGCAAAGTAAGGGGACGGGATGAGGGAATTCCTAAGCCCCTTTCTAGATCTTTCATTCTTCGTCACCAGATGCTACAATATACACAGTTGCCTCTGGGTTTTTTTCTGCCTCTCCTGCCTTCATTCATCAGTTTTTCAATCAACGAAAGGCTCTGCTTCATGCCCAGAGGGTACAGAGATAAATAGGGCACAATTCTTGCCCTTTAGGACCTCACTTTCCTTATAGACACATCACTTGATATATGTGAAAGTTGGTTATACAAACTGGGTCATTGTCATACCCAACTAACTCAGAGTTGAGAGGCCGGGGGAAAAGAGCAGTTAGGGTACATAGCACCTGCTCCAAGAATTGATTTTTCTGCAAAGCTGAAACAGCCTGCTATAACCCTGAGACCAGTTTCACCCTAGTAATCGCTAAAATGACCTGCTGTGACTCTAACACTAGTTTCACCTGCTGCTGTCACTCACGAGTCAGAGCCTGCCAGCTCCCAGAAGTTTCTTTAGTGCCAATGAGCGTTCTTTCAGAACAGTATGTAACATTTCTCTTTCTAATAAAACTCCCGGCCAGGTGCAGCAACTCACGCCTGTAATCGTAGCACTTTGGGAAGCTGAGGCAGGAGGATCACTTGAAGCCAGGAGTTCAAGACCACCCTGGGCAACATAGTGAGACCTCATCTCTACAAAAAAATTTAAAAATTATAGCTGGTGTGGTGATGTACTGCAGTAGTCACAGCTACTCGGGAGGCTGAGGCAGGAGAATCCCTTGAGCCCAGGAGTTTGAGGCTGCAGTAAGCTATGATCAAACCACTGCACTCCAGCCTGGGTGAGAGAGCAAGACACTGACTCAAAAAAACAAACAAAAAAAAAAGCAAAAACAAAAAATATGTATATCTAATAAAACTCCCAACCTTCTCTTTGTTTTCCAGACATGCTGAGGACCACCTAGGCTGTGTGTGCACTCTGAATTGCAATTCTGTGATTCTCTCTTTTTTTGAGACTCAGTCTCACTATGTTGCCCAGGCTGGAGTGCAGTGGCACAATCTCAGCTCACTGCAAGCTCCACCTCCTGGTTCAAGCAATTCTTCTGCCTCAGCCTCCAGAGTAGCTGGGACTACAGGCACACACCACCATGCCCAGCTAATTTTTGTATTTTTAGTAAAGACAGGGTTTCACCATGTTGGCCAGACTGGTCTTGAACTCCTGGCCTCAAGTGATCTGTCCATCTCGGCCTCCCAAAGTGCTGGGATTACAGACATGAGCCACCATGCCTGGCCAATTCTGTGATTCTCAAATAAAACATTGAGAGATTCATCTCTATATTTTATTTGACTTTGACAAATCCTGTAATTATGTCATAATATGATGAACGTTTTGAGAAAAGTCTATTCTAAGTATAATGAGAACAAAGAAAAAAAAGATTGGTCCTGGCTATAGAGGTTAGAATATTTCACAAGAAGAAATTATGTTAGAGAATATTCTTGAACGATCAATTGGACTTTGCCAGACTGTGGTGGGCATAGGGGACCCAGAAGGAACATTCATTCTAGTTATGAGAAAGGGCCCAGAGACATGGCGAATCTGGGGGACAAATTCCACATTTTCCATATACTTGATCATTAAGCACATGACCAAGTGTGTCAGTGCATGAGGATGGACAAGATAGATTGGAGCCTTCACTGTTTTTTTCTTCTCATTTACCAAAAATTTCATCATTTTAGAATTGTCCCAGTTTTCTAATTTTAAGTCAGGGCTTCTTTGTCATGCTTAAAGTCTTACCCTCTGTGCCCTCTGCTCTGTGTTCTATATGGTAGCCTGAAATTTGGCCCTGTTATATATATTTATTTATGCCAGACTCCTGAAGGTGTTCAAGCATACCATTTATCAAATATTTCCATGTAATGTGGCAGCTAATAACAGCTTCGTTTTACAGAGGGAAGAGCTGAAGCAAACACTGATTTGTAGATTGCTTGGTAACAGGAAAGAGACCTGATGTATGCCCTCTGTCTTTCCTTCACAAAAATTTTGTAGCTTTCTTTGTTTCTTCAAGCCTTCTACCTGTAGTTATACTTTAAGGGAGATAATTATAAGCAATTTTGATTGACCTGAGTCGATCACACTAGGACTGTCATAAGGGTTAGATTTTGAGTTGACTGTGGCTTTAAGGAAGAATTAAATATTGTAACACCATTTAAAGTTATAGAAGAAAGCATAAGTTACCACTCAGAATATAGGTTGGTAAGACTAAAATCTTCCTGAGCCCATGAGAATACCTGCTTTTTTTTCCAAGTCTAATTGTTTCATGAAGAATTGCTGAGCATGGTGGCTCATGCTTGTAAACCCAGTACTTTGGGAGGCTGAGGCAGGAGGATTGCTTGAGCCCAGGAGTTTGAAACCAGCCTGCGCAACAAAGTGAGACCCCCATCTCTTCAAATAATTTAAAAATTAGCCAGGGGTGCTGGTACATGCCTGGGGTCCCAGCTACTCAGGAAGCTGAGACAGGAGGATTACCTGAGCCTGGCAGGTCGAGGCTGCATTGAGCTGTGATCATGCCACTGCACTACAGCCTGGGTAACAGAACGAGACCCTCGCTCTTAAACACACACATACACACACACACACACGTATATATATAATTGGGCATACACCTGTAGTCCTAGCTACTCAGGAGGCTGAGGCAGGAGGATCACTTGAGCATAGCAGGACCCTGTCTTTAAAAAAGAAAAAGAAGAATTATTGTTGCCTTTTTCTTTTCATTTCTTTTCTTTTTTTTGTTTTGTTTTGTTTTGTTTTTTTGAGACAGAGTCTCACTCTGTCTGGAGTGCAGTGGTGAAATCTTGGCTCACCACAACCTCCATCTCCCGGGTTCAAGCGATTCTTGTGCCTCAGTCTACTGAGTAGCTGATATTACAGGTATGCGCCACCACGCCTGGCTAATTTTTGTATTTTTAGTAGAGACGGGGTTTCGCCATGTTGCCCAGGCTGGTCTCAAACTCCTGACCTCAAGTGATCCGCCCACCTCAGCCTCCCAAACCTCTGGGATTACAGGCATGAGCCACCATGCAAGTCTGGGAGGTAGTATATCATGTAAACATTGCAGGACAAAAGCATACCCAAGTGGGTCACACTGCTATCTAGGATTTGGCCTTTGGCTTTCAAGATCCAAAAAGTTCAACTATGAATTCTGCCAGAACTGATCAGGGTTTAGAGGATGTAAAGCAACCTCTTTCTATTGTGTCTCTAGCACCATCTACTGGGAAACAAAAGTGCCTTTATTTTTTTTTTTTTATTTTTTTTTTTTTTGAGACGGAGTCTCGCTCTGTCGCCCAGGCTGGAGTGCAGTGGCGGGATCTCGGCTCACTGCAAGCTCCGCCTCCCGGGTTCACGCCATTCTCCTGCCTCAGCCTCCCAAGTAGCTGGGACTACAGGCGCCCGCCACTACGCCCGGCTAATTTTTTGTATTTTTAGTAGAGACGGGTTTTCACCGTTTTAGCCGGGATGGTCTCGATCTCCTGACCTCGTGATCCGCCCGCCTCGGCCTGCCAACGTGCTGGGATTACAGGCATGAGCCACCCCGCCTGGCCAAGTCTCTCACATTTAATCCCAACACAATGCTGTATACAAACCAAGTGACTCAGAATAAGAATGCAAAAGTAAACCAGACAAATGCAAGCCGAAGTAGTCTCGGCCGGGCTCAGTGGCTCCTGCCTATAATCCCAGCACTTTGGGAGGCCGAGATGGGCAGATCACCTGAGACCAGCTTGGCCAAAACGGTGAAAGCCCATCTCTACTAAAAATACAACAATTAGCTGGGTGTGGTGGCAGGCACCTGTAATCCCAGCTACTTGGGAGGCTGAGGCAGAAGAATCGCTTGAACCTGGGAGGCCAAGGTTGTGGTGAGCCGAGATCACGCCACTGCACTCCAGCCTGGGCAACAAGAGCAAAACTCTGTCTTAAAAAAAAATTGGTTGCATGTGCAAATATTCCCTATTTAAAAATTTGGCCAGATCACACCTGTAATCCCAGCACTTTGGGAGGCCAAGGTGGGTGGGTCACTTGAGGTCAGAAGTTTGAGACCAGCCTGGCCAACATGTTGAAACCCCGTCTCTACAAAAAATACAAAAATTGGCTGGGCATGGTGGTGTGCCCCTGTAATCCCATCTGTTTGGGAGGCTGAGGCGGGAGAATCACTTGAACCCAGGAGGCAGAGATTGCAGTGAGCCAAGGTTGAGCCACTGCACTCCAGCTTGGGCGACAGAGTGAGACTCCGTCTCAAGAAAAAAAAAAAAAAAAAGAGCAAGGAATCCTTTGTGCACTTCCCAGATTCTCTCGGTTAAACAGTGGACACCCACACACCAGGATGGTATCGCCTGGACCTCAGTGTCTCACTTGAGTGCTTCGTACCTAGGCATCCTGAGGCTGTATGTGAACTCAGAACTCCAGTCTTCAGGCACTAGGAAGACTACATTTCTGAACAGCAGTTCTGAGTTTAAGAAAAGAAATGGGGCCGGGTGCAGTGGTTCACGCCTGTAATCCCAGCCCTTTGGGAGGCCAAGGCAGGTGGTTCACGAGGTCAGGAGTTCGAGACCACTCTGGCCAATATGGTGAAACCCCGTCTCTACTAAAAATACAAAAATTAGCTGGGCATGATGGTGCGTGCCTGTAGTCCCAGCTCCTCGGGAGGCTGAGGCAGGAGAATCACTTGAACCAGGAGGCAGAGGTTGCAGTGAGCCTAGACTGGCCATTGCACTCCAGCCCAGGCAACAGAGGGAGACTACGTCTCAAAAAAAAAAAAAAAAGAAAAAGGAAAAATAAATGAAATGTCCTCTTTTACTCAGATAGATTTGTGTGTTCTCTCAGCATTTAGGAACCCACAAAAGCAGAACCAAATGTTTTAAATGACTGGCAATTGGTTCTTCTTTTACTTTTTAAATTATTTTAATGGTAAGGTACAAGTTCCTGCTTTTTCTTAGCCTCCTAAGATTTCAGCCCTACTTTGCATGCTACTTCTCTCCCCTGATTACAGTGGAAGCCAAGTTCCTAAAATTGCCATTTGACCACATGAAAGGGAAAAATAATTATCACCCTAAAAGAGTATGTTAACCTCCTAACATTTGCATTTACCTTTAAAATATATGAGACAGCTCTGGGACTATAAGAAAACTTTTTAGGCCAGGAGTGGTGGCTCACACCTGTAATCCCAGCACTTTGGGAGGCCAAGGCAGGTGGACCACCTGAGGTCAGGAGTTGGAGACTAGCCTGGCCAACATGGTGAAACCCCATCTCTACTAAAAATACAAAAATTAGCTGGGCGTGGTGGTGTGTGCCTGTAATCCCAGCTACTTGGGAGGCTGAGGTGGGAGAATCACTTGAACCTGGGAGGCAGAGGTGGCAGTGAGCTGAGATTGTGCCATTGCACTCCAGCCTGGGCGACGAGCAAAACTCTGTCTCAAAAAAAAAAAACTTTTTTTTTGGCTGGGTGCAGTGGCTCACGCCTATAATACTAGCACTTTGGGAGGCCGAGGTGGGCAGATCACCTGTCAGGAGTTCACGACCAGCCTGGCCAACATGGTGAAACCCCGTCTCTACTAAAAATACAAAAGCATGGTGGTGTGCACCTGTAATCCCAGCTACTCATGAGGCTGAGACAGAAGAATCACTTGAACCCAGGAGGCGGAGGTTGCACTGAGCTGAGATCGCGCCACTGCGCTCCAGCCTGGGTGACAGAGCAAGACTCCATCTCAAAAAACAAAACAAAACAAAACAAAACAAAAACTCAACCGTAACATTGTTTAAGCCTCTGAAACAGAGCCCTTTTCTTTTCCTCTTCAAGAAAAAATGGCTGGAGTGATTTGGCCTGCTACAGAGGAAACTGGTATTCTCTGTACTTGGTACAAGGTTCTAGCACCTGGCTGTTACTACTCCTGGGTGGGCCATAATTTTAAGAGGAAGTGGACCTCTGCCATCATCTTATCCTGGGGTTTTCCACCTGCGCTGCTCAGAACCTGTACTTGATTCAGCTAGAACAACTCTGGCTTTTATGTATATGTTACTATATATTTATGAGTATATATTTTCCATTGTCCCTTGGAATCCATGGAGGATTGGTTCCAGGACCCCCTACTGATACTTAAATCATTAGATACTCTAGTTCCTTCTATAAAATGGTGCAGTATTTGCATATAACCTGAGCCCATACTCCCATATACTCTATTTATTTGAGGGTTTTTTTTTTCTCTTCCCCACCCTCTCCATATTTGTTTTTTAAGACAGTCTCATTCTGTTACCTATGCTGGAGTGCAGTGGTGCAATCATGGTTCACTGTAGCCTCGACCTCCTGGGCTCAAGCAATCCTCCTGCCTCAGCCTCCTGAGTAGCTGAGACCACAGGGACACATCACTATGCCTGGCTAATTTTTTACATTTATTTATTTATTTATTTTATTATTTTGGTAGAGATGGGGTCTCTGCATGTTTCCCAGGATCTGGGCTCCCATCTCCTTAACAAATTAAAATGAAGGCGGAGAGAGTAGAACCAGTGAGCCTTTGTGGAGGCTCTATATAAAGATGAGACTTGGGCATTTATCACCTTTGTTTTCTGTCTCTTCCCATCAGGAGAAGTTGCCCCAGTGCAAGGCACTGCATTCGACCTGAGAAAGCCAGTGGAGCTTGGAAAACACCTGCAGGACTTCCATCTCAATGGTTTTGACCACAATTTCTGTCTGAAGGGATCTAAAGAAAAGCATTTTTGTGCAAGGTCAGGTACTTTTCACTTCCTGAGTCTGTAAGGAAGAAATGACACCAAGTCCTATTTTCCTTTGGAGCTTTTCCTCTGGCCATATCAATAGCATTTACTATGCTACAAGTGACCCAATACCACATCCCATATTTTCTCAAAGCTCCCATGGCACAGGTGAGCTCTGTAGAATTTATCCCAGTCCCCCACCTGCCATTACCCCTATTCCCCCTGCTTGGCACCCGCTCTCTCCCTCTCTGCCTGTTCTTTAAGGCCCATTTTCTGTTAGAAGCCTTAACTCTTCCTAGTGAAGTCACCTCGGCTGTCACTGAACTTCCAGAGCCTTTGTGCTTTCTCGATCTGTGACTTATGCCTGCCTACTCCATGGCCAGTTGGAGGCTAGGCATCTCCTGCAGCACTCACCGCCTCCAGCCTTGACCGATAGACACTTGTGTGCACGCTCTCGCCTTCTCACCAAATCCCAGTTCCTCATGCCATTTCATCTTTGTGAAGCCCTACCTCTACCCCAACACCTAATATCATCCTTGGCACTAGCAAATAATGAATAAATGTTTGCAGAATTAACAGTTTTGTGTGTGTGCGTGTGTGTGACGGAGTCTTGCTCTGTCGCCCAGACTGGAATGCAGTGGTGCGATCTAGGTTTACTGCAACCTCCGCCTCCCGGGTTCAAGTGATTCTCCTGCCTCAGCCTCCTGAGTAGCTGGGATAACAGGCACGTGCCACTATGCCCAGCTAATTTTTGTATTTTTAGTAGAGATGGGGTTTCACAATGTTGGTCAGGCTGGTCTTGAACTCCTGACCTTGTAATCCACCCACCTCGGCCTCCCAAAGTGCTGGGATTACAGGTGTAAGCCACTGCACCCGGTCAACAGTTTTTAAATAAAGCAGAAAAAATGACTCAAACCAAATAGTGACAGAAAGAAGATCAAAGACCTTCTCCGGGCTGGGCGTGGTGGCTCATGCCTGTAATCCCAGCACTTTAGGTGGCTGAGGTGGGCAGATCACTTGAGGTCAGGAGTTTGAGACCAGCCTCGCCAACATGGTGAAACGCCGTCTCTACTAAAAATATAAAAATTAGCCAGGCATGGTGGTGGGCACCTATAATCTCAGCTACTCAGGAGGCTGAGGCAGGAGAATCACTTGAACCCAGGGGGTGGAAGTTGTAGTGAGCCGAGATCACGCCACTGCACTCCAGGCTAGGCAACAGAGCAAAACTCCATCTCAAAAAAAAAAAAAGAATCTCAGGCCAGGTGCAGTGGCTCTCATGCCTGTAATCCCAGCACTTTTGGAGGCTGAGGTGGTCAGATCACCTGAGGTCAGTAGTTCAAGACCAGTTGGGCCAACATGATGAAACCCCGACAATACTAAAAGTACAAAAAATTAGCCGGATGTGGTGGCAGGTACCTGTAATCCCAGCTACTCTAGAGGCTGAGGCAGGAGAATTGCTTTAACCAAGGGGGCGGAGGTTGCAGTGAGCCAAGATCGCACCACTGCACTCCTCCCTGGGTGACAGAGCCAGACTCCATCTCAAAACAAACAAACAAACAAAAATTAGCTGGACATGGTAGTGCGCACCTGCAGTCCCAGCTACTGGGGAGCTGAAGTGGGAGAATTGCTTGAGCCCGGGAGGCTGAGGTTGCAGTGAGCCGAGGTCGCGCCACTGCACTCCAGCCTGGGCAATAGAGAAAGACTCTATTTCAAAAAAAAAAAAAAAAAAAAAAAGAATCTCAGCCTCTCCAGGACCTTCCTCTCTCCAACCTGGCTGCTGCCTTCCTCCCTACTCCCCAGCTGGCAGGAGTGAGTCTGTTTTGTGATGCCCCAAAGAAGCTACTGAGGATCCTGAAAGCCACCTGCTCATGCCTTGCCTTTGAGACTGGAAGAATTTTCCATCATGCTCTTCCTACCTTCATCTCCTCCTTATATCTTGTCCCTGCTCTGTGGCTGGGTCTGATTCCTGTCTCAAAGCCGCTTCCCAGCTTCTACTCCTCCCCACCTGCTTTTCTGCCCTGGACTCATGTTGTTTGTATTTCTTACCAGGGTGCATCATGCTGCAAGCGGGCGGGTACTAGAAGTATACACCACCCAGCCCGGGGTCCAGTTTTACACGGGCAACTTCCTGGATGGCACATTAAAGGGCAAGAATGGAGCTGTCTATCCCAAGCACTCCGGTTTCTGCCTGGAGACTCAGAACTGGCCTGATGCAGTCAATCAGGTAATGCCACAGGCTGGCTTTTCAGAGTAGAGTTGTGTCCAAGGTCACACTGTACGACAGAGTTCACTACACTCGAATCAGCTTGTATGATTCAAAAGTTCATGCTTTGTTTGTTTGGTTTGTTTTTTGAGACAGAGTCTCACTCTTGTCGCCTAGGCTGTAGTGCAGTGGCACGATCTCAGCTCACTGCAACCTCCGCCTCCTGGGCACGATCTCAGCTCACTGCAACCTCCGCCTCCTGGGTCCAAGCGATTCTCCTGCCCCAGCCTTCCAAGTAGCTAGGATTACAGGCGCCTACCACCATGCCTGCTTAATTTTTGTATTTTTAGTAGAGACAGGGTTCCACCATGTTGGCCAGGCTGGTCTCAAAACCCCTGACCTCAGGTGATCCACCTGCCTTGGCCTCCCAAAGTGCTAGGATTATAGGCGTGAGCCACTGTGCCCGGCTCAAAAGTTCATGCTTATTCTCTTCTGCAAGTCACAGAAAACCCATAGCCAAGCTACTAACATGGGATTTACATGGTTTTAAGAAAGCTGAAATTTTGTACCTTCAAAGCCTTTATCCAGTTTGTTTCTCCTTAACAATACCTTCTCGTTTTCTGCAGCCACACTTAAGGAGAGCTTCCATATCGTCTCCTCCTATGTGCTCCCTCATAACTTTCTTTTCTGGTTGTTACCCAGAGCAGTACTCCTGAAAGTGCCAGCCCACAATAAGAAGCTTGCACCTTGGGCTGGGCAAGGTGGCTCATGCCTGTAATCCCAGCACTTTGGGAGGCTGAGGCGGGAGGATTGCTTGAGCCTGAGATTGAGGCTAACCTGGGCAACACAGGGAGACCCCATCTTTACAGATTATTAGAAAAATTAGCCAGGTGTGGTAGTGCACACCTGTGGCCCCAGCTACTTGGGAGGCTGAGGTGGGAGGATCCCTGAGCCTGGGAGGTCAAGGCTGCAGTGAGCCATGATCACACCACTGCACTCCAGCCTGTGCAACAGAATGAGACCCTGTCTTTAAAAAAAAAAAAAAAAAAGGGCCAGGTGCGGTGGCTCACACCTGTAATCCCAGCACTTTGAGAGTCTGAGGCAGGTGTATCACTTGAGGTCAGGAGTTCGAGACCAGCCCGGTCAACATGACAAAACCCTGTCTCTAGTAAAAATAAAAAAATTATCTGGGCATGGTGGCAGGTGCCTGTGATCCCAGCTACTCTGGAGGCTGAGGCAGGAGAATCGCTTGAACCCAGGAAGCGGGGTTTGCAGTGAGCTGAGATCGCCCCACTGCACTCCAGCCTGGGCAACAGAGCAAGACTCCATCTCAAAAAAAAAAAAAAAAAGCCTACACCTTACACCAGATTATAGATCAACACACTGCTTCCCTTCATCAGGAAAGCCTTCCTTTAACAAAGTGTGCTTTTTTCACTCTGATTAAAGTTCTTTATCTCACTATGAACCAATCATAAACAGTTCCCGCACTGGCAGCCATCCACAGAGCACTGGTCTAGAAGCCCGTCCAGAAGCACACCCAAATGGTTAATGTTGCAGCCTGCGGTGTCAAGCATCACCTGTGTTGTTTCCCCTTCACAGCCCCGCTTCCCTCCTGTGCTGCTGAGGCCTGGTGAGGAGTATGACCACACCACCTGGTTCAAGTTTTCTGTGGCTTAAGGAAGTGTGAAGATATGATCCAGTCCAGGGCTAGGCTCAGCCACCTGTCTCCTGTCCAGAAAAAAGGTGAAGATTAAGAAGCTTTCAGAATGATTCTATGGATTAAAATCATACAAATGGTGGCTGTTCTGAGAATCAGTCTGGGTATTGATTTCCTTTTCCAGTGACTGGCTCCAGGCCATGTCTAATGACCAGCTCGATTCCCTGTGCAGTTCAGAGGGCAAGTGAACCCAACCAACAATGTCGTCATCTAAGCCCTGACCCTAGCCAGGGACTCCCATGCTGCTGTTGGCTCCATCTCTCCACACTGCCTCTTTCTTTTCAACTTTTTGCCCTTCCTTTCTTTAAAGCTATTCTCACATTGCTTTTATTTCCTCCTCCTTCACCTCCAACCACTGTCAGCAGCACTCTGGAGTTTTCAAATGTCACATTAGCCTCACCCTGCATGCTAGGAGATGGACCTGTCTCTATACAGCAGTAGATGATTGATAAGTGAGGAAACTGAGGCTTACAGAGGTTGAAGACCAACAAGCTAATAAATAAAAAGTTGAGGCCGGGCACGGTGGCTCACGCCTGTAATCCCAGCACTTTGGAAGGCCGAGGCAGGCGGATCACGAGGTCAGGAGATCGAGACCATCCTGGCTAACACGGTGAAACCCCGTCTCTACATAAAAAATTAGCTGGGTGTGGTAGCACGCACCTGTAGTCCCAGCTACTTGGGAGGCTGAAGCAGGAGAATCGCTTGAACCTGGGAGGTGGAGGTTGCAGTGAGCCGAGATCATGCCACTGCACTGGGCAACAGAGCAAAACTCGATCTCAAAAAAAAAAAAAAAAAAAAGGAAAAAAAAGCAGCTCTCTCTCTCGGGAGAGGGAGGGGACTTCCGAGAGGAAAAGGCCTGCAAGAGCCTTTGGGTTAACTGAGAAAGCACAGCCCGGCCAACGCTTGGGAAGAAAGACAGGCAAGCACTGGAAACAGGAGCTATTAGGGTGAGGAGAGAGCCTTGCCTTTCACAGCACAGTGAGGATGACATTGCACCAGGGACAGAGATTGTATGTGACAAGGCTGGGGCTCCTTCTTTCCTAGACAATCAAAGTATCAGTGATGGGTTTTGGTTGGTGATTTTGAAAAAAAAAAAAAAAAGTATGTTATACTAGTGTATGCTGTACTGAATTGAAATAAAACCAAAATCTGCATCTTCAGAAGACTTGTTCCTTTACTCAGCTTGAAATCTCTCAGGCGTGGACCTTTGGGAAATGGACCAAGAATATGGGTGTGTTCTGGATTCTACTTTGCCCTCCAGTGGGAGCCCTGGCATTTTCCTACCTAACAGTTAGGAAAGCTATCTCAGTGGAAGTAGCTTTCCACACCTCCTCTTTCTTTGTAACCGATAATAAACCAAAGATCTTGTTTATTTTTTAATTCACTTCAGCATGGATTTTTCTGAGCACCTGCTCTGTACACAGCCCTCTGCTGGGTCTGTGAAGGGATTCAGGTCAGGTGTGATGCTGCCCACAGCAGCCAGTCAGGTGAGGTACATGCTCAGTTGTCTTCTCACTGGTGAGGTTAACTTTGGTGACTTGAGCAAGATGCTGCCTGCAGATCTCTCCACTCTTATTAAAGTTACCAATATATACATTAGCCAAGAGGCCTCAGAGGTGAACTATTAAGCTGACTGCAACCTAGCTACCAATTTGATTATTAAATTGTTCGACGCAGGGTTCTCATACTCTAGGTGCCAGCAATCATTTAGGAAATCCCAGAGAAGAAGAGAATGAACATTTTCTTATTCACAAGTGTAGAGTTGCCAGTTGCCCCTGCTTTCTGTATCCTGACCAAAAGTCACAGAGTGCCTTGACCTTTGTCACCTAGCCAGCTGCAGATTTTTCCTAGCAGGCTTGAACCCAAACCGGGCCTTGAACATTCCCAGGCACTGATAAATCTGTCTAGGTTGTTCCCTAAAACACTAAAAGAAACTGGCACTGGGCCGGGCGCAGTGGCTCACGCCTGTAATCCCAACACTTTGGGAGGCCGAGGCGGGTGGATCACCTGAGATCAGGCATTCAAGACCAGCCTGGCCAACATGGTGAAACCCCGTCTCAACTAAAAAAAAAAAAAAAAATACAAAAAAATTAGCTGGGCATGGTGGCGGGTGCCTGTAATCTCAGTTAGTCGGGAAGCTGAAGCAGGAGAATTGCTTAAGCCCAGGAGGCGGAGGTTGCAGTGAGCCAAAATCATGCCATTGCACTCCAGCCTGGGTCACAGCAAGACTCTCATTGCACTCCAGCCTGGGTGACAGCAAGACTCTGTCTCAAAAAAAAAAAAAAAAAAAAAGAAAAAGAAAAAAGAAACTGGCTCTGGCCCTGAGCCAAATTCCTTTAACTGTCATAGAAACTCCCTCACTGCTGATATACCTGGGCAGAACACCCCTTTTCTCTCTCAACCATTGCTGCAGCACTCTGTAAGGAAGTTCCTCTAATAAATGCTTTGGATTGATCACCCTGGCGCTTAGAGCTTCTTTCTTTGAAATCCCAGCCGGCCCTATCTCGAGATAGTTTGGATCACTCCCTGATGGGGTCTCCCCTGCTGCCACTATGGGGGCGATTCCAGCCCTGGATCCACTGAGACAAAACAAAGAAATGTAACAACTACAAACTAGTTCTTAATGTAATGGCCTCTAGGTTTGAGAATGCCAAATTAATTAATTAATTAGCCAAATACTTTGTTTTCTTCTGTCCAAAAAGATTATTGTTTTTATAAGAAGCCAAGTCTACAGTAGTCCAAGTAAGGATATTCATTGCCTGTAGGGCAGCTGAAATAAGTTACTGGCCTTTAAATTAATGGTGTTTATAAAAGCAAGTAAAAAAGGCGGCCAGGCGCTGTGGCTCACATCTGTAATCCCAGCACTTTGGGAGGCCAAGGTGGGTGGATTGCCTGAGGTCAGGAGTTTGAGACCAGTCTGGCCAACCAGGTGAAACCTGGTTTGAGACCAGTCTGGCCAACCGTCTCTACTAATAATACAAAAAAATTAGCTGGGCGTGGTGGCATGCACCTGTAATCCCAGCTACTCAGGAGGCTGAGAGAGGGAAATTGCTTGAACCAGGGAAGTGGAGGTTGGAGTGAGCCGAGATCTCGCCACTGCACTCCAGCCTGGGCGACAGAGCGAGACTCTGTCTTAAAAAAAAAAAAGGCTACATTTGTCACACCATGCATCTGAGGGAAGCAAAAATTTAGAGAAACTCTTTTTGTGGCAGCAACCAATCTGTCCTTTTTCATGAAACACATAACTTTGCTTGAGAAGCCCTTCCATGTGCTTATAAGACATAGATTGTGACATGTGACAGCATGTCAGCATAATTGGGTGATTTTATGATAAAATCGCTGAAGGCCCCAGCAAGAAGTAAAATTTTAGAAGGTGCTGGACGCGGTGGCTCACGCCTGTAATCCCAGCAGTTTGGGAGGCCAAGGCGGGTGGATCACTAGGTCAGGAGTTCAAGACCAGCCTGGCCAAGATGGTGAAATCCCGTCTCTACTAAAAACACAAAAATTAGCCAGGCATGGTGGCAGGTGCCTGTAATCCCAGCTACTCAGGAGGCTGAGGCAGATAACTGCTTGAACCTGCGAAGCGGAGGTTGCAGTGAGCCTAGATTGCACCACTGCACTCCAGCCTGGGTTACAGAGCAAGACTGTCTCAAAAATAAAAAATTGTACAAGGTGAGATGTCATATTAAAATAATTACACAAACACTGCTGTGAAGACTAAGATGTCATGCTGTGGAGGTGGAACTGGAGAGTTTACGAAAAGTAGAACATGGAAAAAAATGCAGGACTACCAGCACAGGGCAGGAAGGAAGCTCAGCATGTGTCCTGGTCCCCGGCCAGTTCCCATTTTCACTCTTAACCATTTTAAGCAATTGGATCACCAGTTTTCAAGAGGCTGTTTGGACAGGAGTGCAATCCTTTCCCAATCAAGGCATTTCCTGCTTAACTCAGTTACGCAGATCATCATTAAAGTCTCGTGCTTTGGGCAGCACTTCCAGCTACAGTCAGGCAAGGACGTCAGCAAATCCTCTCCTTATTATAGTTCGAGCAATTAAAATGCTGAAAAAATTGGACGAAACATTTTTTTTGTTGTTTATAGAGATGGGGGGTCTTACTATGTTGCCCAGGTTGGTCTTGAATTCCTGCCCTCAAGCAATCCCCCCTCCAGCCTCAGCCTCCTAAGTACCTGCAACTATAAGCACGCACCACTACTCCCAGCTCAAAACAATTTTGGTGTTCTGGAAACAGACATAAAACCTTCCAGTCTGAGATATGTTGTCTGAAAAACTACTGAGCTTTGAGTAGGAATAGTGGGAGTCTGTAGTGTTCTTGCCTGGGGCTGTTCGTATCCCCCTCACTCCTCCAACTCAGTAATTGTGAAGGTTCTGCTGAGGCAAAACAGAACATGAGGACAAGCAAGCAGCTGTGGTTGAAAGAGGGTTTACTCCATTTGGAGGTGTGAGTGGCAGCCATACCCAAACCATCATCAATGGAAGTAACAATCCCAGTGCTGTGCAGGCAGGGAGGGCTTATGGCTCTACTGGCCTGAGGTTGCAGTCGTGGCTGCAAGCAGATTTTTGGCTGATCGGAGGCTGGGTACATGTGCAACAGAGATGAAGGGCTCAACAAAAAGTAAAACTTAAGATAGACTTGAAAGCAGCCTGAATATTAAAATTACTCACCTACCTACACAAAGATCCATCAGCAGAGGACAGAAGTCTGACTGGTTGAGGTGTCAGCACAAACTCTCCAGAAAGTGGCTGCCCCCTAAGCTGTGCAGACACAAGGCAACCCCCTAGAATTTTAAAATAAGCATAAGAAGCTGGGCATAGGGGTTCATGCCTGTAGTCCCAGCTACTCAGGAGGCTGAGACAGGAGGCTTGTTTGAGCCCAGGAGTTCAAGACTATAGTATACTATGATCCCACCTGTGAATAGCCAACTGCACTGCAGCCTGGACAACACAGGGAGACTGTCTTTTAAAAGATAAACACAAGAATGTTGAAAACAAAAACAAAAACAAAAAAACTGGAGATTATAAAAAGGAATCAAGTAGGCTGGGGCCAATGGCTCACGCCTGTAATCCCAGCACTCTGGGAGCCCGAGGCAGGCAGATCACCTGAGGCCAGAAGTTTGAGACCAGCCTGGCCAACATGGCAAAACCCAATCTGTACTAAAAATGCAAAAATTAGCTAGGTGTGGTGGTGCACACCTGTAATCCCAGCCACTTGGGAGGCTGAGCCAGGAGAATTGCTTGAACCTGGGAGGCGGAGGTTGCAGTAAGCTGAGATCATGCCACTGCACTCCATCCTGGGTGACAGAGTGAGACACTACCTCAAAAAAAAAAAAAAGGGAATCAAGTAGAAGTTTGTTGAAAACAGTATAATGATGCATAAGAAGTTAACTAGAGAGGCCAGGCACAATGGCTCACACCTGTAATCCCAGCACTTTGGGAGGCTGAGGTGGGCGGATCACTTGAGGACAGTAATTCAAGACCAGCCTGGTCAACCTGGTGAAACCCCATCTCTACTAATACTACAAAAATTAGCCAGGCATCACCATGTGCCTGTGCCTGTAATACTGGGAGGCTGAGGCACGAGAATCACTTGAACCCGGGAGGCAGAGGTTGCAGTGAGCCAACATCACGCCACTGCACTCCAGCCTGGGCAACACAGTGAAACTGTCTCAAAAAAAAACAAAACAAAACAAAAAAAAAGTTAACTAGAGAGAGTCAGAAGTAGATTTGAGACAGCAGAAGAAAGAGTAAGTGAACTTGAAGGTAGATTAATAGGAATTATTCAACCTGAAAAACAGAAAAGAGATTGAAGAAAACTGAACAGAACCTCAGAGACCTGTGAGAAAACAAGCACATGAGCGTATGAGTAATGGGAGTCCAAAGAGAGGGACAAAAAAAAATAATGGCAAAAAACTTCCAAATTTGATGAAAACCAATTATCTATAAATCTAAGAAGCTCAACAAACTTCAAGAATAGAGATTCCCATCTAGATACACCAAACTGTTGATACATTTAAACTGCTGAATGTCAAAAGCAAACAAAATTTGAAAGCAGCAGGAGAAAAATGACTCCTCGCTACAGGGGACCACCAGCACCAGTACAATTAACAGCTGACTTCTCATCTGGAACAATGGAGCCCAGAATGCCGTGGAATGACATGGTCAAAGTGCTTCAAAACCAGAGATTCAATTATCACCCAGAACTATCCTTCAAAAGCAAAGGTGAAATAAAGACTAGGGAATTCATTGCTAGCAAGCCTGCCTTATGAGAAATACTAGAGGAAGTCCTCCATACTGAAATTACACCAGAATCCATGGAAAGAAATAAAGAAGATCAGAAATAGTAAATATATGGATTAATAAGACATTGTATTTTTTCATTTATTCTCTTAAAAGACATAAGATTAGCCGGGCATGGTGGCTCACGCCTGTAATCCCAGCACTTTGGGAGGCTGAGGCAGGTGGATCACAAGGTCAAAAGATCAAGACCATCCTGGCCAACATGGTGAAACCCTGTCTCTACTAAAATTACAAAAATTAGCTGGGCATGGTGGCACGTGCCTGTAGTCCCAGCTACTCAGGAGGCTGAGGCAGGAGGACTGCTTGAACCCAGGAGGCAGAGGTTGCAGTGAACCAATATCATGCCACTGCACTCCAGCCTGGCAACAGAGTGAGACTCCGTCTCAAAAAAAAAAAAAAAAAAAAGACGTTAAGATTACACAAAGCAATACTTGTAACACAGTAGTATCAAGTTTAGAATACATAAATATAGCATAAAAGAGGGAAGAGTAAAAGGAAACAGCATTGGAGTGTAATTTCTATATTTTACCAGAGTATTAATCAGAACTAGATTGTGGTAAGATTCAACCACTAACTAAAAAATAGTTTTAAAAAATCAAGAGGAATTAAGTAACACACTTAATTTTTTATACTAAAAAAAATATTTAGGCCAGACATGGTGGCTCATGCCTATAATCCCACCACTTTGGGAGGTCGAGGCGGGTGGATCACCTGAGCTCAGGGGTTTGAAACCAGCCTGGCCAACGTGGTGAAACCCCATCTCTACTAAAAATACAAAATTAGCCGGGCGTGGTGGCTCACACCTGTAATCCCAGCACTTTGGGAGGCTGAGGTGGGTGGATCACCTGAGGTCGGGAATTTGAGACCAGCCTGATCAACATGGAGAAACCCCGTCTCTACTAAAAATACAAAATTAGCCAGGGGTGGTGACACATGCCTATAATCCTAACTACTCAAGAGGCTGAGGCAGGAAAATAGCTTGAACCCGGGAGGTGGAAGTTGCGGTGAGCGAAATCGCGCCACTGCACTCCAGGCTGAGCAACAAGAGCAAAACTCTGTCTCAAAAAAAAAAAAAAAAAATTCTGAATAGAATGTTAACTTTTTTTTAAAGATGATTATTTCTTTGAGCACAGCGACCTCTACTGGTACTAATATAAATTAAAATGCAGTTTCTGTTTTTTTCAGTTTCCTTTCCAGCATGGGATCATTTGGAGACAGAGAAACCTAGAGGACAATAGCAGAATCCTTTGATTCACATGTGAGTGCTGCTACTTCCTTATTATAGTAGAATAAACCAGGCCAATCTTCCAATAACTAACACCACTTCCAGAGCAGTGGTTTTCAATTCTGGTTGCGTATTAGAAGAACCAGGGGAGAAGCGAGGCACTGTGGCTCACACCTGTAATCCTAGCACTTACGGAGGCCAAGGCCGGTGGAATGCTTAAGCCCAGGAGTTTGAGACCCACCTAAGCAACATGGTGAAACCCCATCTTTAAGAAAAAAATACAAAAATTAGCTGGGTGTGGTGACATGTGCCTGTAGTCCCAGCTACTCAGGAGGCAGAGGCAGGAGGATCACCTGAGCCCAGGAAGTCAAGGCAGCGATCATGCCACTGCACTCCAGCCTGGGTGACAGATGCTGTCTCAGAAATCACCAGGTGAAATTTTTACATTAATACCCAGGCTTCACCCTCAGTGATTCTTTCATTTGAATGTCTTTAAGCACCCTGGGTGATTTTAGTCTGCAACTAGCAATCAGAACCACTACCCTAGAGTAAAAGCTTTCCCTAGTATGGTCTCATTCATCCATTTTACGGTAAGTCCGTAAATGCGTTTGGCTAGAATTTGCCCCCGAGCTTCACAAAGCACTTCAAGGAAAGAGTCCTGGATAAGTCAGGCTTCCCAGACCAAAAGTCTATCTTGGTAAGGCCCTGGCAACTCTACAAATAATCTTGGTACCCAAGATCTCCAGAGATAAAATTGTTTTGAAAGTTGTAAAGTTGAAGACACATATCTAAACCAGGGGCTGGCAAATATTGTCTGTAAAATGAAAAGGAGAGTAGATTTTACAGGCTTTGTTGGACTTTGTCACAACCACTCAACTCCACTACTGTTAGCACAAAAACAGTGACAGCCCATAAGCAAACAAGTCATAGCTGTTTCCATAAAACTTTATAAACACTACAATTTAAATTTCACACAACTTACATATGTCATAAAATGTTACAATTTTTATTCTTTTTCAACCACTTCAAAATGTAAAACAGCCGGGAATGGTGGCTCATGCCTGGAATCCCAGCACTTTGGGAGGCCAAAATGGGAGGATCACTTAAGCCCAGGAGTCCAAGAACAGCCTGGGCAACAAGGCGAGATCTCTACTAAAAATTAAAAAAAAAAATAGCCGACTGTGGTGGTGCAAGTCTGTAGTCCCAGCAACTCGGGAGACTGAGGTGGCAGAATCACTTGAGCCCAGGAGTTCAGAGGCTGCAGTAAGCTGATTGTACCATGGCACTCCAGCCTGTGTGACAGAGAACCTGCCTCAAAAAAAATATGCTGAGGCCAGGCGCGGTGGCTCACGCCTGTAATCCCAGCACTTTGGGAGGCCGAGGCAGACAGATCACCAAAGGTCAGGGTTCAAGGCCAGCCTGCCCAGCATGGCAAAACCCTGTCTCTACTAAAAGTACAAATTAGCAGGGCGTGGTGGCGGGCACCTGTAATCCAAGCTACTTGGGAGGCTGAGGCAGGAGAATCACTTGAACCCAGGAAGCAGAGGTTGCAGTGAGCCAAGATCACGCCACTGCACTCCAGCCTGGGCAACAGAGCGAGACTCCGTCTTAAAAAAAATCTATGCTGAAACACCATTTTTCAACTTGAGATTGGTAAAAATCAAGTTTGATAGCCCATCAGGTAGGAACTGATACAAAGAAACAGGTACTCCTATACACTGCCATGAAGGCAAACCAACAGTACCCAGCAAAAATTATAATGCACATACCCTTTGACTCAGCAATTTCCGAGGATGATCTAGGTAAGCATGTTCACCTATCAATGATGTACTGTACTGTACATCACCTGTCAATGACGTACAGTACAGTACATTCACTGCAACACTAATTTTTTTTTTTTGAGACAGAGTCTTTCTGTCGCCCAGGCTGGAGTACAGTGGCGCAATCTCAGCTCACTGCAACCTCTATTCAATCAGGTTCAAGTGATTCTCCCGCCTCAGACTCCCAAGTAGCTGGGGGATTACAGGCGCGAGCCACCGCACCAAGCAAAAAAATTTTAAAAATTAAAAATAAAAACTGACTGATTACTCATCAGTGCTAGGCTAGTTTAGAAGGAATGAGTCTGGAGCAGCACTTCCAATCAGTGACAATCAATTTGGCAATCCCAATCACAGAAAACAAGTGGGGGGATGCACCAAAGCTTATTTTGAAATGCATCTATCAGTAACGGGTGCCAAGTTGCACATGACCTAAGAGGTATTGGCCCAAACAGCCCTTTTCCCCACAAGGCTGGAATTTGTTTAAAACCATTTTTGCCCCTACCCCTCCTCCACACCTTTTTATCCTTTCTATACTCATTTCTAGGACGCTACTAGCTGCCCATCCTAAAGCTACAGGATTAATGCCTCCTACTTTTGGCTGAGAGCTCCCACTTCCAAAAATTAAGTATCAGGATTATTTGTTCAATCTCTGCAGATTTATTGTTGAGTAAACTTATCTTTAAATAATACAGAACAATTAAAGCTAACCAAGTGCAACAGATAAATAAGCCTGCCAGTTATACACATAACTTTATACCAACCATAATTCAGCCAGTCAAAATTCCAAAAACAATCCAAATAACTTCCAACATACTAGCGGTCAAACTACCGAATAAACTTGATGCAGACCAGTATTCCCAAGTTGCAATAGTATCCAATGACTTTGCTGAAATGCATAAAATGGACAAGCCTAGGTATCTGCGCAACCAGCAGGTTTTTTTTTTTTTGTACCAAGGCTAGAGAATGCCTGGTAAAAGCTTGACCAGAAAACTCTCAAAAGTAACTGTTACTGCCCTACTATTCTTAAGATACTTAAAATTTGAATAAAGAACCTACTGGCTATGTAACATTCTAAGGTCTACCAGATGCTACCAAAAAATATTAGCTACATGGAGTGTTGCTAAATATAGCTGAGATTTACAAAACCACTTTAGTCTCATTGACATTTCTGATTGACATCTTTAATTACTTTGCACCAGCCTGGCAAAATAGAAGAATGTTGTGGTTGGGAACTGCAAAACCTAGCTTGAAGATTAACAACAGGTCTTTGCTCAGAATAAGACAATCCATTTGAATAGATGAAGAGTATCTGGGCTGGAAAATTTTGCAAAGCTGGTTTACATGAAGGTGTTTTGTCCCAATTTCAGACAATTCCTCAAACATGCATTTTTTGGTATAAAACTGGTTAACTAATGTAGAAAGCAAAGAAACAAGACCATTGAGAGTAGAACTCCCCATATCTTGGGGAGTCCTAATTAACACTATGCCACCTAGTAGCCTGAAAGCTGCAATTAGTATAAAGATCATCCAGAAATGTTTCTATTTCTCATACATTTAATCAGTTTCGTTTAGTTCCTGTCATGCTCATTTAGACACATCAGTGGTCCTACTTGCTTCACCACTGATCATACAATACCTACTAACACCAACTTCAAACGGATTAGCTAACTTAAGGATCTGTCATGATGCATTCAGGCTGTATCATAAGGGACTCAGGTCATCTTACCCAGAGCTACAAGGGTAAGATGGAATTTTCAAAGTCCCTTAAGATCCTGGCCAAGTTTTATGCATAGAATAGTGATGTTCAAGACTTAACCAACACCTTTCAATTCTGAATGTAGGTATGTATGAATAAGGTTAACAATTATAATGTCTGACTCTCAAATATATCAAATTAAGAAGTGTTAATATTGAACACAAATCAAAAATCTAGTTAGAAACATTTTATTTAAATGTGCCAAATAAAAACCCACATTTTCAGACCATATGATGTTAATACATTCAACAAAATTTATATTATCTTACTGCTGTGAATTTACATAGTAATCCAGATCCATTTTGATTAGATGGTTGAATTATCTTTCCTAGGTTACACTTTACAGACATCACAAATCCCTTATAATAATGTAAACAAAATAACTTTTCCCTAAAGGGTGAACTTGAGAGCTTCAGTCCATTCTTTCAGGACTTGCACTTCTGCGAGGACTTCCTGATGGGGAACGACTAAAAAGAAAAACATTAGGTTTGGATCCAATTAGTGTCAATTGAAACTCTCATGTACATGTACTAACTTTCAATAACTTCAAAGGTGGCCTAAGGTACTAATTTCCTATAGCAAAGACCTAAAAATGACATGAAACTTACATATATTCATCTTTTGTCCCTGGCTTAAGATTAGGCTACCCTGGCCAGGCACGGTGGCTCACGCCTGTAACCCCAGCACTTTGGGAGAGGCCGAGGCAGGTGATCACCTAAGATCAGGAGTTTAAGACCAACCTCGCCAACATGGTGAAACTCCGTCTCTACTAGAAATACAAAAAATTAGCCAGGCTTGGCGGTGGGTGCCTGTAATCCCAACTGCTCAAGAGGCTGAGACAGGATAATTGCTTGAACCCGGGAATCGGAGGCTGCAGTGAGCCAAGATTGAGCCACTGCACTCCAAGCCTGGGGACAGAGCGAAAACTCCATCCCAGAAAAAAAAAAAAATTAGGCTATCCTCCTTGTCAAAATTGCAAGGTCAACCTGCAGTTAAATATGACAACTATTTGAAGTCTTCTGGTCATTAAGAAGCACTAGATAAATATGACAACTATTTGAAGTTTTCTGGTCATAAAGAAGCACTAGGCAGGTAACTATTTCCAAGACTTTTCTCCACACTTTGTATCTATTGTACATGTGGGGAAAAGGCATCTATCTTACCAAAATTTCTACCAAGTACTCACAGGACCAATCACATCTTAATAATCACCCTAACATTTTATGACTAAGTATTTCCAGCAAAAGTATAAACTAATGTTACTGAATCAAAAAAAAAAAGTATTTCAGAAACTTAGCATAGTATTTTAATCTATATAGCACCAATTCTCCAAAGAGCTCAAAGACTGCAAAGCAGTAAGCAAACAAATTCTGCAGAGGCCACACTTGACAGGCAAGATTTGGCAACAAAACATTTAGCTTACCTTCTTTTTGGAGATGGAGATCTGGACTTTGATCGGCTGTCAAAACATGAGAAATTCTATTAAAGAAAGAGTACTAACCAATCCCTTTCTTGTAGTCACCAATACCGTAAAACCCCCAAATGTCCTAAGCTTAAAATGTCAGACTGCACTTAAACTGAAAAACATCCTACCAGTTGTTGCTAACAAAAGCCAATCTTTCAACAACTGTTTTTCAAAAAATGACTCAATTACTACATCATGATTAATCTTTTACATTCTGCTTTAAGCACATCGATTTCAGGATGCTTCTCCATGCACCTATCAGTTCTAACAAGGGCCTCTTTAATATAATCCCCCAAGTCATAAGCTTCTTTCTCACTATAGTTTTACATTCCCTTGTTCAGGGAAAGTCAGCCAGTAATAAATAGGACATACACAAATAAGGTACTGTGTTCCCACTAAAACCTAAGTTTAGAGTTAACACTTAAAATTTCAACAATTAAAAACACTTTGAACTCTTTGGATATTGGTGCCATATAACTAGAAAAGCATAATCAAATTTTTACCCTACCTGCTTCTTGGTCGTGAAATAGACCTGGATCTTGATCTTGACCTCGACGGGGATCTTAATAAAAAAAGTGAAAAACACAATTATATCAATCAGTCCAAAGGAATTTCCTTAACTACTCAACACTGTATTAGGTTGGTCAGGCATAAAGAAGCTAAAACTAAACAAGATGCAACACTTGCCTTATTCTGTCTAACACACTGTCAAACAAAGTGTTACCAGACATAAGGAACCCCCATTTCAATTACTTGTTTCTATCACTCAATTGGTTAGTTTCTGTACAGGTATAACATTCTCAAACACTGTGTAATATCCAAGGGAAATACATGGTTTTCATTTGATGAGACTGGTATGAAGGAAGCAAAACTAACCTCACTTAAGGCACAGATCCCTCAGCTGGGCACTGTGGTACACAATGGCAGTCCCAGCTACTCAGGAGGCTAAGGCAGGATGAAAATAACCAGACCCCTGAACTGAGACTAATTCAGGTGATAAGGCCAGACGAAAAGAAAGCCGCCCCCCATTTGTAAGGCTTTATTCCTGGATCAAGTTATGTTTGAGAGCCATCAATCTGTCAGACAAACCAAATCAGACTGACATATCTATCTTTTAAATTTATCTAAAGAGATGGTTCATAGCTTTCTCAAATAGACCACAAGATTCAGAATTCCTGCATTTAAAGGTTTTGTGCTATTAAACAGCAATTTAACTCCCAGTAGCATTCCGTACCACGGTTTTATCGTTGGTACAGATAACAATATTGTTAATTACATGTTGCAATACTTATTTTACAATTTTTTCCATTCTATCTCCTTTTAAGGCCTTCTACAAATAGTAAAGCTCTGGTTCTTTAGTTTTTTCAGGTCTGAAACGGTCTAAAAAAAAAAATCCACATTCATTTCTGTGTACACACTACTGCCCTAGTCAACTTTCCAGTGTCTCAAATCAACCCCATCATTCCAAAAATGAGAAATGTTTCTACTTGCTTCTGATCTCTTTTCCTGGTGCTAATAGGCCTTTTTGTCGGGAAAATCAATTACCATCTTTCAGAGCTAGTATCATCCAATCTGAAGCCAGAAAAGTTTATAGCAACATGCCTACCCAGAGTGTTGAGTAGAACTGTATTGCTTGGGACCCTTGTCTACCACACGGCCTAACAAGCCTTAAAATCTCTAGTAGCCCTTTTCTTCATCTGTAAAACTAGGTTAATATTTATGTTACAAGTTACACATAAATTCCAAACTTTTACATCTCAAATATTCCCTGAAGCAATCCATTTGAATTATGTCCTTAAGACACTCTACTGATAAGATGTGAACAATCCAAACACAAGTAAGGAAAAAAAGTGTTACATACTGGAAATACCTCGATCCTTTTATAGAACCAGACCTAGATCTTCTGAGTGAAGCTGATCTTGATCTACGAAGAGAGATAGATCTTGATCGTCGAGGAGATGCTGACCTTGACCTAAAATAAAGAACTTTAAGTCCATCTCCACAGTTTTTTTTTTTTTTGGCCTGTTAAGACTTCAACTGGGGAACGGTGCAGTGGCTCATGCCCATAATCCCAGCACTGCGGGAGGATCGTTTGAGCCCAGGAGCTTGAGACCAGCCTGGGAAACAGTGCAAGACCATTTCTACAAAAATAAAAATTAGCTGGGTATGGTGGCAGTGCCTACAGTCCCAGCTACTCGGGAGGCTGAGGTAGGAGAACTGCTTAAACCCAAGAGATCATCAAGGCAGCAGTGAGTCGTGGTTA
Organism: Homo sapiens; assembly: GCF_000001405.40. Lineage (NCBI taxonomy): Eukaryota > Metazoa > Chordata > Mammalia > Primates > Hominidae > Homo > Homo sapiens. The sequence continues at coordinate 38,748,449 of NC_000002.12, forward strand.
TGCCCCTGTACTCCAGCCCGGGTGACAGAGCAAGACCCTGTCTCCAAAAAAAATAATGAGCTTTTTCTGTGTTGGACTACCAGTGAATTTAATAATAATACAGAAAGACTTCAGTTAAACAAGATCTCACCTTCGTCCCCTGCTCCTGCTGCGTGAGCGAGAGTATCGCCTTCCTCTGGATCGAGAATGTGATCTAGACCGTGACCTATTTTTCAAGTTAGAGAAAAAACAAAATGTCAGACAATAACTCGTTTTTAAGAGTTTGTGTGCCTCTGCTGAAATCAAATCTCAAAACTATTTAAATTTAGTGTCTCATTTGGAAATAAACTCTGGGCCTATTAGTTGTTGAGTATTTTTTTTTTTACTACCTAAAAAAAGATTTGTTAAAAGCTGAATTACAACTTAGCATTACATAATATAAAACACTGTAATGTGTATTTAAAATAAACCTTGCAAGTTTGCAGGTCGACCCTCTTTGGCCCATGGTCTAGTAGATCTAGACGATCTAGAAGTATCTATAGCCGATCGCTGCATCTAGATGTTTTCTTCAATCTAACGACGATCAAACTGACAGCCAAATGAGCCAGGTGAGGCTTGATTGACGCAAGAAGATTTTTCTAGTTGGGAATGTGGTCAATCTGGTGTTCCTCTTTCTAAACCGGAGGGGGGCCCCAATTGTAAGCCAAATTTACTGTTACGGCGATCACCGTCTCAAATTTTCTGCCCTTTAAAGAATAAGGTGAAGCTAGGTGTAGATGACTCGAGGGGATCTGGCCTCTTATGCTGATCACCTCAAGGTCTAGGAGGATCTTAATTGTCGGATTTGCAAGGCGCCTCAGCATGATATCATAAGGCTCGTGACATTCTGAATCAAGGCGACTGACTCAAACGAAGAAACCTGAAAGGTTTTGACCAGGTTGATTATTAATATAGTAACATTTTTTTAATTAAACAAAAATTGTAAAATACACCTGTACAATTAACATTCAAGTTTATAGAAAAACACTAGTTTCTGCCTTGCTAATAAAAGAATTACTTGATTAACTAGAATACCAACCATTCCTTTATTAAAATAAATACCTGCTTCTTCTTCGCCGGCTGTAACGATGACAATCATAAGCATAATGTCCCTTTTCGCCACACTCATAGCATCTATCATTTGGATCAAAGGGACGTCGGGCAGGTGGTCTATCAAAACGTGATCTCCGAGGCATGCCTGTCGATAGTTCAACCCTCACTCGGGAGCCACAAATCACCCTAATAAAAGCAAATTAACAAAATTCTAAAGTTAAAAATATATTCAGGACTTATAGATTTAAAAAGAACTCTTTCCAACCACTCACTCTTTCCAACCACTCCTTCCCCCCCAACAAACTTTGGCGGTCTTTACCAAGCCCTAACTCCATCTCCGCTATCTTCTTTAACCTTCGTGTGCCTTTAGCATTTAACACTATGACCAGCTATTTAAGGTCTCTTCCAGACTTCAGAATCCAAATTTAGCACTAAGTTCATTATCTAGCCACAGTATATTTTAATGAACAGAAGATTCATAACATCTTACTTACTTTCCATCCAGTCCTCGTACTGCATCTTCTGCATCTCTAGGATCTTCGAATTCCACAAAGGCAAATCCTGGAGGATTTCTCGCAATCCATACAGTTCTTAAAGGACCATAATAACTGAAAGCCCTTTCTAACTCTCCTTTGCCAGCGCCAGTTCCCAGGTTACCAACATACACCTTGGTTTCTGTTTAAAAACGCAAATAGAAGAATGCACGTTACGCAAAATCTGGCCCAAGTTTCAATTACTTATTTGCCTTAAAACGGGCCATCCTCAAGATTGGGTAAAGCACATTTAATGCCCTCTATCCAAGACAAAACTTAGTCGTAAAACTGGTGAAAGTCCGCAAATCCCTGAGAAACTAGACTTTTGACAAAATTCTTAACGTTCTAAATAATGCGGGGTGACCCTCCCGAACACAAGCAGAAACGCGTGGTAGGATACACCGAGGCGTGGGGCGGAACCTGGCCCGGCCCCACCCATGAGTCCCGGCAGCCCCGGGCGCACCGGGAGCGCGCGGGCCCGCAGCGGCAGCGGCGTCGGCGGCGGGAGGGCCTCGGTAGGGGCCGGGCCAGGAGAGCAGGGCTGCGCCGGCTCTCGTCCTCCGCGGCAAACGTCCCAGGCACAGGCTCGCCCAAGACTCCAGCTCCCCGCCCCAGAGCCATAAACCGCGCTGGAAATAACTAAAAAAAACCCAGCCGCCAGTCGCAGATTACGTCCCCATTCCCATTCCGCAATTTAACCGATTGTTTGACGAGAACATGCAGCTCACAGCTGCCAATTTCGTTCTATCTCAAACACAACCACGATCTTACAGCTGCGGCCAGATCTGTCCGCTGAAGTGGCGGGAAAGCGCTGAGGAAATGCGCCACCACGGTCCTCAATGTGCGCAAAATGGCAGCCGCCGCCGAGGGCGGGGGGGGAGGGGGGCCGGCGGGCAGCTCCGAGAAAGGCAACGCGAAAACCGTCATCTCAACCCTGCTTTAGGCTGGATTGGGCCACAAAAATGCCCAAGAGTACGGAACTCGGCAGAGATGTACACCCGCCATCCCGTCTCCCTTCAGCACCCCGCCTCCGCTGCCTCCGGCTTCGTCTGGCGTGCTCCTAAGCCGCCATTACGCACGCGGAATAACCGTCTCCCAACCTCCGCGACAACCCTACGGCCTCGCAGTGCTCACTACACCCACACCAACGTCCCTCACCGGACTCCAGCTTCTTACCTCCTCCGTACCGCCCGTAACGCGACATGATGACAGACCCGCGTGCTCGGCTCTTTAGCAAGCAGCGCCCAGGGCTCGAGTGACGCAAAAGCTGACACACACCTTCACCCGCCAAGAGTCCCGGCGGCACTACGAGGAAGAGCCCGGGTTCGCGTTTATATATGCGGCCGCTGCGCTTTGCGCATGCGTCATCTCGTTGTTCTGCGCGGCACAAAGGAGCTGGGCGGAAACAGCCAAGAAACGACGCGGAAGGAACTGAAGAGACTAACACGCGGGTCATGGGCGGAGGGATACGTTTCTATGGGAACGCCACGATCTCTCCAGTAAACCTGAGGCCTTCCCCATGCTGTCCCGCCCCCTCCTCTCCCCGTTTTCTACACCCTCCTTGTCTTCTTTCCCGTCTCCCTACCCTCTGCCTCCTTTCGTTTTTCCCCAGGCTAGGGACCCTCAGCCTTAACAATCTTAGTACGGATGCATTAGACCGGCCTATGAAAGGCTGTACAATTTAACCGCTGATGTTGCAGCCGTCGCGCCCTTCTGCTGGGGGACCTGGCCTAGTCAGCTACTCTGATCTTTGGGGCTCATCAGAGGTAATCGAAGGTTTGGCCATGGTGAAAAGTCCATGAACCCCGCCATTCTGAGTAGTGGTTTTTACACCATAGACCTTGACGCACCCTGGGACTGGTGGTAAAGCCTCCTGTCCTACACGCCCCCTCCAACTTCTTTTGAACCAGTCACCAGTTTGCACCACCACGGTCTGAGTTCTTGGAGTCTGAAAGACAAAGGAATAGAGCTGTGGGGTCCCGCTCCCCCCTCCCCCCTTTATATTGAAATTGTGACAAAACCCTGAATGTTTAAAGCATTTTGGCCAGTGACAATTTGGAAATTATTTGCATCTGAAGCTCAAAGTAACTGATTTGCTTTTCCTAATGCTTTCTGCTTTGTAACACGTGTGATCCACCAATACTCCGATCCTGAGGACTGGGACTCCTAAGTCATCTTTGTGTATCTCCACTCAGTGGAAATAGCAGCCTTGCTGCTCAGCCACTCAACAGTACCAAATAAATGCAAAACTTCTTTACATTAGAATTGCTCTAGACACCAACTACAAATAGAGAAAAAGTTCTTTTTTGCTAGAAACATAGACATTACATCGTAAATTCTTGGAATACACAAAAGTTGGAAATGTACATAAAAAAAGACATTTAGGTATTTGCATTTTTATCTTTTTCGTCTTTTGCAACTTCATTTGGTGAGTATAGGTGTGGAATGGAGAGTACAGGGAAAGCAGGCCTAGTTGGTGAATAAAGCATGGATTCTTTCCAGGTCATGCTATGATTTTATGCATATTTTTTACGTTGATTAAGTTATGGAGAGAATTAATCTCTCTCAGGAAGATCTCTAAGAAGAAAATAGAAGCTCTGTAGAGTATATGTGTTCTCCCTTAGTCTTGGTGATTTTTTTCTTAACAAGGTTCTTCTCAAAAGAAACAATAATTATAAAGATCTATAGGTTCTTCTCAAAAGAATTAAACAATAATTATAAAGACTATATAGGGGCCAGGCGCAGTGGCTCACGCCTGTAATGCCAGCACTTTGGGAGGCCGAGGCGGGCGGATTGCCTGAGCTCAGGAGTTTGAGACCAGCCTGGGCAACACAGTAAAACCCTGTCCCTACTAAAATACAAAAAATTAGCCTGGCGTGGTGGCGTGTGCCTGTAGTCCCAGCTACTCCGGAGGCTGAGGCAGGAGAACTGCTTGAACCCAGGAGGCGGAGGTTGCAGTGAGCTGAGATCGTGCCACTGCACTCCAGCCTGGGCGACAGAGCAAGACTCCATCTCAAAAAAAAAGATTATATGGTATCTGAAAGATAAAATATAAATTCTGTAAAGCCTCACTAAGTTGACTTTCTTCTGTTAAGAAGCTATGAAAATTACTGTTGAGGCCGCGCGCAGTGGCTCATGCCTGTAATCCCAGCACTTTGGGAGGCTGAAGCTGGCGGATCACCTGAGGTCAGGAGTTCGAGACCAGCCTGACCAACATGGAGGAACCCCGTCTCTACTAAAAATACAAAATTAGCTGGGCGTGGTGGCGCATGCCTGTAATCCCAGCTACTCGGGAGGCTGAGGCAGGAGAATCGCTTGAACCTGAGAGGTGGAGGTTGTGGTGAGCTGAGATCTTGCCATTGCACTACAGCCTGAGCAACAAGAGCAAAACTCCTAGGCCGGGCGCTGTGACTCACATCTGTAATCCCAGCACTCTGGGAGGCCGAGGCGGGCGGATCACCTAAGGTCAGAAGTTCAAGACCAGCCTGGCCATGGTGAAACCCCCGTCTCTACTAAAAATACAAAAAATTAGCCAGGCGTGGTGGTGCGCACCTGTAATCCCAGCTACTTGGGAGGCTGAGGCAGGAGAATTGCTTGAACCCGGGAGGTGGAGGTTGCAGGGAGCCGAGATTGCGCCATTGCACTCCAGCCTGGGCAACAAGAGTGAAACTCCATCTCCAAAACAAAAGAGCAAAACTCCGACTCAAAAAAAAAGAAAATTACTGTTGAGCCAAGCATAGATAACTGCTTGAAAGACAGTGCATGTTATACTGTATAATTCCTAATAAACCTCAATAAACTTTTTTTTTTCCAATAAACTTTTTTTGACTCTGAATACAAAGTCTAAGTCAGGTTTTGTGGCTCATGCCGGTAATCTCTGCACTTTGGGAGGTTGAGGTGGGAGGATATCTTGAGGCCAGGACTTTGAGACCAGCCTGGGCAACAGAACCAGACCCCCATCTCTACCAACAAAACAAAACAAAGTCTATAGTTGTACTAAAGAAATTTCTAAGCAAGTAATAGTAAACAGAAGCAGTTTTAAAATTTATAACCAATTGCTTTCAAATCCTGATTCACAGACATGCTTGTCTTGCAGACAGGTGTTCAATAAGCTAATTACATACTGTTTATTCCTATGAAAGCAGGGCCAGTACAAGGCCAGGCTTTGTTAATCTGGTTACCATGAAAAAATAATAGTACTGTATACTATTTCCATAGACTATTCTACTTTCTACTGAACACTCTTTCTCTAAGAACAGGCAACCAATTCTTTTCACTAAATGTCAGTCCAAATCAGGGAGATTTTACTGTGCAGAGAACTTTTATTCCTGCTGATTCTTGTTGAAATCACATTCACCCACATAAGTTTCTGCCTCTAGAAATCTGTTAAATTTAGATTACATTCTCAGATTGTTTGAATATGAAAACTACTTTCTTCAAATATTGTAATATTTCCTAATATGAAATATTAGTTATTAACATGTTACTATTGTTAAATTTTAAAAATATTATTAGTTTAGGAAAGGGGAGTAATTCATAAGCCTTTTACAGCAGTTTTCAAAATGTATCTGCATTTTCTACATTTGGTATTTCCAGATAAATATTAAAGAAAAAGTTCCCTTTTTAATCGTACTTCTCTCACCATTTCAGTTTCACTTTTAAGTCATTATCACCATTTGAGCTTGGATGTGAAAACGTTAAAACAAGAAAGGAAAAAAAATTTAAATGTTTTGCACATTAGTCTATTTTGTTTGTTTTTTTGTTTTTAAGGCAGGGCAAGAAGTGGGCAGACCTCAGACTCCGCCTCCTGGACCCCAACTTCCCCCTCTGCCACACCAATATTCTATTTTTAATATAAATAAGTAGTCTATGCTAAAAAATACTAGTCTTTTTTTTTTTTTAATTTTATTTTTTGAGACAGAGTCTTGCTCTGTCGCCCAGGCTGGAGTGCAGTGGCACGATCTTGGCTCACTACAACCTCTGCCTCCCAGGTTCAAGTGATTCTTGTGCCCCAGCCTCCAAAGTATTATAGGCATGAGCCACCATGCCCAGCTAATCTTTGTAATATTAGTAGAGACGGGGTCTCGCCATCTTGGCCAGGCCGGTCTCGAACTCCCGACCTAAAGTGATCCACCCAACTTGGCATCCCAAAGTGCTGGGATTACAGGTGTGAGCCACCATGCCTGGCCTATAGTCTATTCTTTTTTTTTTTTTTTTTTAATTGATCATTCTTGGGTGTTTCTCACAGAGGGGCATTTGGCAGGGTCATAGGACAATAGTGGAGGGAAGGTCAGCAGATAAACAAGTGAACAAAGGTCTCTGGTTTTCCTAGGCAGAGGACCCTGCGGCCCTCCGCAGTGTTTGTGTCCCTGGGTACTTGAGATTAGGGAGTGGTGATGACTCTTAACGAGCATGCTGCCTTCAAGCATCTGTTTAACAAAGCACATCTTGCACCGCCCTTAATCCATTTAACCCTGAGTGGACACAGCACATGTTTCAGAGAGCACAGGGTTGGGGGTAAGGTCATAGATCAACAGGATCCCAAGGCAGAAGAATTTTTCTTAGTACAGAACAAAATGAAAAGTCTCCCATGTCTACTTCTTTCTACACAGACACAGCAACCATCCGATTTCTCAATCTTTTCCCTACCTTTCCCCCTTTTCTATTCCACAAAACCGCCATTGTCATCATGGCCCGTTCTCAATGAGCTGTTGGGTACACCTCCCAGACGGGGTGGTGGCCGGGCAGAGGGGCTCCTCACTTCCCAGTAGGGGCGGCCAGGCAGAGGCGCCCCTCACCTCCCGGACGGGGCGGCTGGCCGGGCGGGGGGCTGACCCCCCCCACCTCCCTCCTGGACGGGGCGGCTGGCCGGGCGGGGGCTGACCCCCTACCTCCCTCCCGGATGGGGCGGCTGGCCTGGCGGGGGCTGACCCCCACCTCCTTCCCGGACGGGGTGGCTGCCGGGCGGAGACGCTCCTCACTTCCCAGACGGGGCGGCTGCCGGGCGGAGGGGCTCCTCACTTCTCAGACGGGGCGGCCGGGCAGCGACGCTCCTCACCTCCCAGAAGGGGCAGCGGGACAGAGGCGCTCCCCACATCTCAGACGATGGGCGGCCGGGCAGAGACGCTCCTCACTTCCTAGATGGGATGGCGGCCGGGCAGAGACGCTCCTCACTTTCCAGACTGGGCAGCCAGGCAGAGGGGCTCCTCACATCCCAGACGATGGGCACCCAGGCAGAAACGCTCCTCACTTCCCAGACGGGGTGGCGGCCGGGCAGAGGCTGCAATCTCGGCACTTTGGGAGGCCAAGGCAGGCGGCTGGGAGGTGGAGGTTGTAGCGAGCCGAGATCACTCCTGGGCACCATTGAGCACTGAGTGAACGAGACTCCGTCTGCAATCCCAGCACCTCAGGAGGCCGAGGCTGGCGGATCATTCGCGGTTAGGAGCTGGAGACCAGCCGGGCCAACACAGTGAAACCCCGTCTCCACCAAAAAAATACGAAAACCAGTCAGGCGTGGCGGCGCACGCCTGCAGTCGCAGGCACTGGGCAGGCTGAGGCAGGAGAATCAGGCAGGGAGGTTGCAGTGAGCCGAGATGGCAGCAGTACAGTCCAGCTTCGGCTCGGCATTAGAGGGAGACCGTGGAAAGAGAGGGAGAGGGAGACCGTGGGGAGAGGAAGAGGGAGAGGGGGAGGGGGAGGGGGGGAGGGAGAGGGAGAGGGAGAGCCAAATACTAGTCTTTAATATATATTTATGTATGTGCTGTGTATGTGTGTACTGTAGGTCAAGCCAAACGGCTATGTTCAGTTTTTCTTTTTCAACATTTCATGATTTTCTGTTTCCTCTAGAATGCTGTTAGGACATTCTGGGAAGGAAGAGGCATGTTCATAATTCTTTCATACTGTATTAAGAAATTAATTTCTCATTAGCCAAGTACAGGAGAACCATCAGTACTAAAAGATGAGAGGCTAGAGACAGCAATAGTTAAAGAACTGCAGTGCTTTGACCAACTTCAAGAGTGAAACTAGGAAAAGGAATAACGTGATGTAGGAATGCCCCACTGATACAAATATTACCTAAATGGATGGTTTAGGTGTGTAAAACAATCTAGGTAATGGTGAGGTTTTCTGAGGAATGTTACATTGTATTATGAAACGGCCGGATAAGGTGGCTCATGCCTGTAATCCCAACACTCATAAGGCAGAGGTGGGTGGATCGCTTGAGCTCAGGAGTTTGAGACCAGCCTGGGCAACATGGCAAGACCCTGTCTGTATTATTTTTTAAAAATAATTTTATTATTTATTATTATTATTTATTTATTTATTTATTTTTGAGACAGAGTTTCGCTCTTGTTGCCCAGGCTGGAGTGCAATTGCGCGATCGCGGCTTATTGCAACCTCCGCCTCCTGGGTTCAAGCAATTCTCCTGCCTCAGCCTCCTGAGTAGCTGGGATTACAGGCATGTGCCACCACACCCAGCTAATTTTGTATTTTTAGTAGAGACGGGGTTTTTCCATGTTGGTCAGGCTGGTCTGGAACTCCCGATCTCAGATGATCCGCCTGACTTGGCCTCCCAAAGTGCTGGGATTACAGGTGTGAGACACCGTGCCTGGCCCAGGGGCTGTTTTTCTAATGAAGGAATAAAGGTATTTATGCATAAAAATACAATGGACTGAGCCTAGTGGCTGATACCTGCAATCCCAGCACTTGGGAGGCCAAAGCAGGAGGATTGCTTGAGCCCAGTTCAAGAGCAGCCTGGGTAATATGATAAGACCCCCATCTCCACAAAACAATTAAAAAACAAAGCCAAAAACAACAGTAAACAACCTTCCATGGTACCTAATTGGACAGAATAATTCTAGGAAACAGTGGGGTGGGTTTTTGTTTGTTTGCATTTGTTTTTAAGACAGGGTCTCTCTCCCTGATCCAGGCTGGAGTACGATCTCAACTTATGCAGCCCGGAACTCGCAGGCGCAAGGGATCCTCCCACCTCAGCTTCTGACTAACTGGACCTACAGGCATGCAACAGCACTCCTGGCTCTTTATTTTTCTGTAGAGATGGTGGGGGTCAGGGAGATGGGGAAGGGAATCTCACTGTGCTGCCCAGGCTGGTCTGGAACTCCTAGGCCCAGGCCCACTTTGGATTCCCAAAGTGTTGGGATTACACGAGTGAGCCACTGCGCCTGGCCTCTTTCTTTTTTTGTTTTCTTTTTTTTTTTTTTTTTTGAGATGGAGTCTTGCTCTGTTGCCCAGGCTGGAGTGCAATGGCATGCAACCTCCGCCACTCTGGTTCAAGCTATGCTTCTGCCTCGGCCTCCTGAGTAGCTGGGATTACAGGCCCATGCCACCACGCCTGGCTAATTTTTTGTATTTTTAGTAGAGACAGGTTTCACCATGTTGGTCAGGCTGGTCTTAAACTCCTGCCCTCCTAATCTGCCCTCCTCAGCATCCCAAAGTGCTGGGATTACAGGCGTGAGCCACCGCGCCCGGCCCCATGAATCTTTTTTAAAAAATCACATTCAAGACTGGGTGCGGTGGCTCACACCTGTAATCCCAGCACTTTGGGAAGCAGAGGCAGGCAGATCATCTGAGGTCAGGAGGTTGAGACCAGTCTGGCCAACATGGTGAAACCCCGTCTCTACTAAAAATACAAAAATTAACCAGGCATGGTGGCATGCGGCTGTAACCCCGACTACTTGAGTGACTAAGGCAGGAGAATGGCTTAAGCCTGGGGAGGCAGAGATTACAGTGAGCTATCATGACATTGCACTCCATTCTGGGAGAGATAGCAAGACCCTGTCTCAAAAAAAAAAAATTAAAAATCACATTCAGTTTTATACCTTCCCAGTCACTATTTGTGACTGTCTGTTTTCTTTAAAAGTCCTGTAGTATTGACATTTTATTTTTTGATAGATTTGCAAACTCAAACTATTTCACTTCTATAATTACATGAGCCAATTCCTTACACTAAATCTTGATAGATAGATAGATGATATAGATATAGATATCCTACTGGTTTTGTTTCCCTGGAGAACCCCAACTAATACAATGCATTGTGCCATAAACAATTTTCTAAGTCATTAAATATTCTTCTACAACGTTTTGTTTGCATAGTATTCCATTAATTAGGAATCCTCTCGTAAGAAGTTTAGATTGCTTTCATGTTTTATGTTATAGGTAATGCTGAAGTGAAAAACAACAAATCTGCAATGGTTTTGGTTCTCAGTACCTTCCTTAATACTGGATGTTAATTTTTTAATCTGCCAAATTTGATTTTAAAAATGGATTTTTGGGCCAGGCATGGTGGCTCATGCCTGTAATCCCAGCACTTTGGGAGGCTGAGGCAGGCGGATCACGAGGTCAGGAGATCGAGACCATCCTGGCTAACGTGGTGAAACCCTGTCTCTACTAAAAATACAAAAATTAGCCGGGCGTAGTGGAGGGCGCCTGTAGTCCCAGCTACTCAGGAGGCTGAGGCAGGAGAATGGCGTGAACCCAGGAGGCAGAACTTGTAGTGAGCTGAGATTGTGCCACTGCACTCCAATCTGGGCGACAGAGCAAGACTCTGTCTAAAAAAAAAAAGGATCTTTTTGGCCAGGCTCAGTGGCTCACGCCTGTAATCCCAGCACTTTGGGAGGCCAAGGTGGGCAGATCACAAGGTCAGGAGTTCGAGACCAGCTTGGCAAACATGGTGAAATCCCGTCTCCACTGAAAACACAAATATTAGCCAGGCATGCTGGCACGCACCTGTAATCCCAGCTGCTCAGGAGGCTGAGACAGGAGAATCACTTAAACCCGGAAGGCAGAGTTTGCAGTGAGCAAAGATCATGCCACTGCACTCCAGCCTGGATGACAGAGAGAGACTCCTGAGACAACAACAAAAAAAAGAATCTTATATTTTTTAATTTGTATTTTGTTGATTTACAGTGAGGCTGAACATTATGCTTATTGGCAATTTGTTTATGTCCTTTGCTGATTTTTTTCTGCTGGGGTGTATGTTCTAGCTTACTGATTCATAGGAACTCTTTCTACTTCAAGGACATCAGTCCTTTGTATTCACTGGTATATTTTTCTGACTTTTGTAGTATTAACAGTTAAATGATTACTTTATCTTAAGTTTGTTATAGTATATGTACATTGAAAATAATCATAACGATCTGGTAAATGTTAATTTAGGTTGTTTTTTTTTTTTGAGACAGAGTATCACTCTGTTGCTCAGACTGGAGTGTGAATGGCGCGATCTCAGCTCACTGCAACCTCTGCTTCCCGGGTTCAAGCGATTCTTGTGCCTCAGTTTCCCAAGTAGCTGGGACTACAGGCGTGTACCACCACATTCCTTACCTCAACTCCTGATCTCAGGTGATCCACCCGCCTCGGCCTCCCAGAATGCTAGGATTACAGGCGTGAGCCACTGGTCCCGGCGAGCCACGTGCCCGGCCTATGTTCTTGTTCTTGTTCTTTTTCTTTTCTTTGTCTCACTCTATCACCCACACAGGTCACTGTGGGCTTGACCTCCCCAGACTCAGGTGATCCTCCCACCTTAGCCTCTAGAGTAACTGGGACACGGGCATGCCCCACCACATCCGGCTAATTTTTGTATTTTTTTGTAGAGACAGGGTTTCGCCATGTTGCCCAAGCTGGTCTTGAATTCCTGGGATCAGATGATCCTCCTACCTCGGCACGCCTCTACCTCTGCCTCTCAAAATGCTGGGATTACAGGCGTGACCCACTACTCCCAGCATAATTTAGTTTAATTAAGTGCCAGTCGTAATCAGTGGTGAAGACAGATACAAGAAACATAATCAGAAGACAAACGTTTAAAAATACAGTCTGGGTGCAGTGCCTCATGCCTGTAATCCCAGCACTTTGGGAGGCCTAGGTCGGAGGATTGCTTGAGCCCAGGCTTGAACTCAAGCTTGAACTCACTTGAGTTTGAGACTAGGCCAGACATCATAGAAATACTTCATCTCTATATATAAAAGAAAAGAAAAATAAAAATGTCACATTACAAAAATAGGACTGGGCGCAGTGTCTCATACCTATAATGCCAGTACTTTGGGAAGTGGAGGCAGGTGGATCACCTGAGGTCAGGAGTTTGAGACCAGCCTGGCCGATATGGTGAAACCCTGTCTCTACTAAAAACACAAAAATTTGGCGAGGGGTGGTGGCTCTCTCCTGTAATCCCAGCACTTTGGGAGGCCAAGGAGGGTGGATCACTTGAGGTCAGGAGTTTGAGACTAGCCTAGCCAACATGGTGAAACCCTGCCTCTACTAATAATACAAAAATTAGCCAGGTAGGGTGGCATGAACCTGTAATCCCAGCTACTCGGGAGGCTGAGGCAGGAGAATCGTTTGAACATGGGAGGCAGAGGTTGCAGTGAGCTGAGATCGTGTCACTGCACTCCAGCCTGGGTGATAGAGTGAGACTCCATTTCAAAAAAATAAAGGAGAAAAAAAATTTCCCTTCTAATTGGCTACATGGCTTTTCCACTCAGAACTGAACCTGTCAGATAAATGTATAATTAACCTAGCTTTTATTTATTTATTTCATTTTTATTTCTTTTGAGACGGAGTTTTGCTCTTGTAGCAAGTTAATTGGCTGTGCCTGGCCTGATAAATGCTTGTTTTTACACTGAAGATTCAGTTATGTTTCAGGTTTTTAGCAACAGTAATCACTAACCTTTTAAAAGCTAGGTTAAGGCCAGGTGCCGTGGCTCATGCCTGTAATCCCAGCTTGCTATTTGTAATTGGCCTTCCATTGTACCCACTCCCTCCCCAGTTTCCAGGTATTAAATGACTCCTAGTAGAAAAAAAAGATTTCCTACCAAATACTATATTAATGCTGTGATAACAACTATTAACATTGGAATTTCTTTTTTCTTTTTTTTTTTTTGTGACGGAGTCTTGCTCTTGTTGCCCACACTGGAGTGCAATGGCATAATCTCGGCTCACTGCAACCTCCGCCTCCCGAGTTCAAGAGACTCTTCTTCCTCAGCCTCCCGAGTAGCTGGGATTACAGGCACCCGCCACCATGCCTGGTTAATTTTTGTATTTTTAGTAGAGACAAGGTTTTGCCATGTTGGCCAGGCTGATCTCAAACTCCTGACTTCGTGATCTGCCCATCTCGGCTTCCCCAGAGTGCTGGGATTAGAGGCGTGAGCCACTGCACCAAGTCTGAATTTCTTTTTTCTAACAGGAACAATGCTAGGAAATCTTTCTAGGTTTACACAACTCTCTCCATGTCCAAAGTTCTATATAACTGACCATAACGTTTCATTTCATTAAAAGTTAGTTTTAGGCCAGGCCCAGTGGCTCATGACTGTAATCCCAACACTTTGGGAGGCAGATGCATGTGGATCACTTGAGCCCAGGAATTCGAGACTAGCCTGGGCAACATGGCAAAACTTCATCTCTACAAAAAATCCAAAAAAAAAAAAAAAAAAAGGTAGCTGGGTGTGGTGGTGCATGCCTATAGTCCCAGCTATTTGAGAGGATGAGGTGGGAGGATCTCCTGAATTTGTGAGGCAGACGTTGTAGTGAGCTGAGATCGCACCACTGCACTTCATCCTAGGCAACAGGGCAAGACTGTGTCTCAAAAAAGAAAAGAAAAATAGAGAGCTACATAAATACATTCCCTTTTCTGGCCAGATTCTTGTCCCCCAAGGCCTTCCCATAGAGAAATTTTACGGCTATCACAGTACAGTTCTACAACACAAATATAGAAAACTTGATCTTATGAAATTGATATGTTGGAGGAATGGTTACAAAAGAATTCTTTTGCTTACAAAGGATTTACTTTGCAGTTTTTTATTTATTTATTTATTTTTTTGAGACGAAATCTCACTCTTGTCCCCCAGGCTGGAGTGCAATGGCACGATCTCGGCTCACTGCAACCTCCACCTCCCAGGTTCAAGTGATTCTCCTGCCTCAGCCTCCTGAGTAGCTGGGATTACAGGTGCCCGCCACCGCGCCCGGCTAATTTTTTTTTGTATTTTTAGTAGAGACGGGGTTTCACCATGTTGGCCAGGCTGGTCTTGAACTCCTGACCTCAGGTGATCCGCCCGCTTTGGCCTCCCAAAGTGCTGGGATTACAGGCGTGAGCCACCGTGCTCGGCCTATAGTGTTTTTAAAAAAGCATTTTTTCCTCATCTATAGTTAAATTTAGAAATTTTTTAAAAAGCATGTTTTGTTTAGTACATTCCAGATGATTTGAACTTTTCAGAAATGCATCTTCTGGGTAACTACAATTTTTTTTGTTCCCCAATTGTCTGACATAGATGATAATATCCTAATGCTGCACCTTACAGCTGGTTGTTTGCCTCTATTTTAACAGCAACACCTCAGACTGAGCTTTGTGTGGAGGAAGTGACCTCAATCAGGAGATGAGGAGCTACCCTCATTACAACCACGTCACTCCACTTCCACTTCAGATATTTCTCATCTGTAAGTGGGGAAACAAATATGTCACTCTAAATAAAATAAAAAGTAATCAGGAGGACGAGTTTGAAGATGCCTGTGAAAGTATCCCTATGGCAACAACAATGAATCTACCATCTTCCTTGGAAGAATGTACCATTGGATTGTATTTATTTCTAAATAACAGATTCTCAGATGCAATAAATCTCATTCATCCATGGTCTAAAAACAGCATGTACCATTCCCTAATGTATGGTATCCTTATGGTTGTCAAGGCCGTCCTGACTTTTGAGCCACAGGATTTACAGATTGGAATGATGGCTGCAAAGGACGCTTTGAAAACCTGTGGTAATTTCTGAAAAAAAACTAAAATGACATTGTCTCATCTAGTAAGTAGACAGGGAATAACAGCTATCACAGAAGAGGAATTGCACACAGAAGTCTGTTATGCTGAGTGTTTGATCTTGAAATCCTTTACGTCATGTATACAGGATGAAAGCATGCTTGCTTTTCTTAAAAGAGAGATCGGTGTTGGGTTAAGTTACCAAATATACAAAGACTGTCAACAAGTATTAACACAGATACCTGACAACCAAAGCAAAGCCCACAAACACCTGGTTGGAGGTATAAAATTTGGACTTGGAGCATTCAATCTGATGTTATCACTTATGCCACCAAGGATACTTAAACTACTCAATATTTTTGGATATTCTGGTGATAGAGAAGTGGGCTTGGCTTTGCTTCATGAGAGTGCATCTGAAACCCATATAAATAATATCTTAAGTCTTTTGACTCTACTCTTTTATTACAATTATATCTATGTAGCTTTTGGTGTTGAAAAGGTTTACAATTCTGCTACAGAGGATCTCTTCCTAGTCTACCTCAAGAAATTTCCGAACTGTGTCATATTTAAATTTTTCCATGCACGTTCTAGTATGTTGAAAGGAGATTTTGAAAATGCACAGCTAAAATTACAGGAGTGCATTTTTACTCAGAGTGAATGGAAGCAGGTTCATCACCTCTGTTACTGGGAATTCATGTGGTGCCACATTTTACTGCAGGATTGGAGGCAGGCTTACCACTATGCCAATCTACTGTCTCAACACAGCAGATGGTCCAAGGCAATATACATGTACAGTAAAGCCATCATCCTGGCTTTGCTTCCTTCCGATTTTGTGAAATCAGCAAGTGAGAATATGAACTCTCTCTTCTTAAAAGTGGAAAGCCTGAAAAGTAATTTTTAGGCAGTTCTGTGCCAATAGAGAAGTTTGTTGCAGAGAAGGGTCAGCGCTATGGTACTACAATCGGCTGGTTTACAGCCCAGCCCCTTCTGGAGTTCATTTATGCCTGGAGTGGTTTCCGAGTCATGAGCAAAAAGAATGAGCTTATTTCAAGCTGGCTATCAATAATTGACAAAGGAGAAGATCTTTTACAAGAAAATCCACATAAAGAGTATGGCACAGATGACATAAGTTTATTAAATTTACTGAAAGGCCTATGCCTGAAACACTTAGGCAAATATTCAAAGGCTGAGTATTACTTTAATCGTGTCATTCAAAAGGAGAAATTATTAAAATATGACCACTATTTGGTGCCATATACTTACTATGAACTGGGAATCTTGCACTATCTAAAAGGAGACTATGCCAGAGCAACAAAAAACCTAGACAATGTAAGAAATTACAAAGACTATTCCATGGAAGCCCGATTACACTTTAGGACCCACATAGCACTTGAACAAATAGCCAAAGAAAAAATGACTTAAACACAAAGTGTGGTTTTGTTTAGTGTAAGTGAAATATCTACAGTGAGCAAGTCATTAACAGGTAGTAGAAAAATCATATCTTTGTGGGAAAAAATCCAAGAGGCGGCTGCCAAGAATCTGATCAGTAACGAGAAAGGAATGGGCCATGACTTTTCCCTCTTTCTTTCTCACACTTATAAAATGCGATGTCTTAGAGGCAAATGAGGTGAAGCACATTCTTGAAAAAGAAAAGGCAAATGAAGTACATTTAAAAAAATTCTCTCCTATGTTATAAATTTGTCAATTATGTTAGAGAACATTTTCAAAACCTCAAAAACATTTTTAACATCTCACTAGATAATGTATACAACTCACTATGCTAGGGATCCCAGTGCCCTATACATATTTTTATTTAATTGTTTTTCTCTCGGCATTAGTGCCGTCTTCTTGGAAACCTCTATGCCATGAGAACCAAGTGGAGGAAGACGTGAATGCACAGGCTGAAGTGCAAAGGAAGAAAGATGAGGCAGACGTCCAAGTCAACCAGTAGCTTGTGTACCCAGAAACATGGAATGCCAGAGGCTGGAGATGCTGGTACAAGTTGTTGGACTGCATGCTGCTGTCTAAGTGGATCTAGAGCTTCCATCACCATCTGATCACGGAAAGCACCTCTGAGACCCACCTTGCTTGTAACCAAAACAGCCCATGATGGTTCTTTGCCCTGGACCTGTTACATTCTGGACTATTTCTGTGTTCACTTGTGGCTGAGCATAAAAAACAAGCATGCAATAAATCACCTCTTCCGCTGTCTTAGCGAAGAATTAAAAAATTAAAAAAAAAGACAAATTTCCAAACAATGATGCACTGAATGGCACAGACTCTGAATGATTTTCCCTTATACACAATCATTTTTATTGGCTTTTTATACCAGAGGGTCTTGTCCGCCCTGTGTGATCAGTAGTATTTCTTACCCTTTTTTAGTAAGAAGCAGAATGTGAGTTTATAATTTGCCACAGGATAGAGAAGAAAGCCCTCTCCTTATTTTACACACACATAAATTCTTTGAAGATAACTGGGAGAGGCCAAGAGGATAGATGCACTGGCTGTCAGAGGAAGAGTTTTGTTACCATGTAACCCTCCCTTTAGTTGTCCTCCCTATGGTGTAATTCTTAATAAGACCAGCTCTTCAATATAATTAAACCGATTGCATCCATCCATTGTGAGTGGGTCAATCTGAGAGTAAATAGTAGCTGTAGGGATGGGGCTTGGTATTATTTTACTTGCCTTAGGGATTGAAAAATGACCTAATTTCCTGGTCATTAAGTCTGGCTAAGTGTGTCTTCCTGGTAGTCACCCTTTGAAACAGAAGTTGCGCCGGGCATGGTGGCTCACGCCTGTAATCCCAGCACTTTGGGAGGCCGAGGCGGGGGGATCACGAGGTCAGGAGATTGAGACCATCCTGGCAAACACGGTGAAACCGTCCCTACTAAAAAATACAAAAAAATTAGCCGGGCATGGTGGCGGGCACCTGTAGCCCCAGCTACTTGGGAGGCTGAGACAGGAGAATGGTGTGAACCCGGGAGGCAGAGCTTGCAGTGAGTGGAGATCACGCCACTGCCCTCCAGCCTGGGCGACAGAGCGAGACTCTGTCTCAAAAAAAAAAAAAAAAAAAAAAAAAAAAAAAAACAGAAGTTGCTAGAATATCGTAGCTTACTAAAAACACATCAATGAAACATGCTACCTTAATACTTTGGGTATCCAAACAACCAACTAAAACAAGATGAGGAACTGGTATTTCAAGATTTAGCAGTGTTTACTTTTAAAAACATTTTCCTCGTAAATTAAAAATAGACTTTGAAGTGAATAATTGTGCTTGAGTTATTCTTTGTTATTTAATTAGTATGGTTATAGTGGTTAAGAGGGCAGGTTCTGGCCTGATTACCTGAATTTGTATCCTAGTTCTGCCACTAACTAGCTGTGTGTGGCCTTGGGCCTCTGTATCTCAGATTCCTTGGCTATAGAATAGGGATAATAATAGTATCTGTCTTGTGGTTTTGCTATGTTAAGATCGAGCTAATAAACATTTATTATTATCATTACTACTACTACTACTACTACTACTACATTGTTCTGCAGTGGAGGGAACTTTCTTTGAAAAAGCATAGGTCCTGTTGTTACTTGCTTTGGCAATCTGAAATTTGACCTGTTAATTTACTTTTTCTGTTCTGTTTATTTTGGTTACTTATGAAACAAGAAACTCTCTGCCTAAATAATGTTTTTGTGTTTTGTAAAGTATTTCAACTTCTTCCAATGAAGAGCACATTTATTAATTGGTTAAAGAAATATGTATTGAATGCCCACTGTATGCAGGTACTGAACAGTGCTGAGGATATGAAGTATGGTTTCTCTCCTGACGGCCTTATTAGGGAGATAAGTTAGAAAAGGGTTTTGTTTGGCCAGGCACGGTGGCTCACGCCTGTAATCCCAGCACTTTGGGAGGCCAAGGTGGGTGGATCACTTGAGGTCAAGAGTTTGAGACCAGCCTGGCCAACATGGCGAAACTCCATCTCTACTAAAAATACAAAAATTAGCCGGGCATGGTGGTGCTCGCCTGTAATCCCAGTTACTGGGGACACAGAGGCATGAGAATCACTTGAACCAGCAAAGCGGAGGTTGCAGTGAGCCAAGATTGCACCACTGCACTCCAGCCTGGGCGACAGAGTGAGACCCTGTCTCAAAGAAAAGCAAAGAAAAGGGTTTCGTTTGGGTGGAAACGCTCAAAACACAGGGATTAGACAGGCATTAATTTGTCCCAAACAAAAGAAATCTGAAGGTAGGTAGTTCAGGTGTGATAGTTCATGGCTTTTCTGATTTTTCTTTTATCTTTCTACTTAGCATGTAAGTCTTCTCATGAATGTCTCCTCATGATGGAAAGAGGCTGCCTCACCTCCAGGCCTTATGTCCAAGCCAGGCAGGCTGAAGGAAGAATGGTAAAGAGACAAAAAGATCTTTCTCCTTCCTAGGAGGTATTGCCTTTTTTATTCCAGAAGGGATGGCCTTCTTAGAGACTTCCATGTGTATCTCATTGGCTAGAGGTATTCATATGGCCAGTCCTACCTGCAAGCGAAACTGAAGATTTTCAGCTTTGAAGCCTCATAAGAAGGCTGTGGGAAATGGTTAAGTGAACCAAGCTACATTCAGCAGCTGCCAAAACATATCTGTCAATAATAATAAGCTACCAAGTGGTATCAAGGGACACAGTTAAAAAGGGTAGTAGGTCGGGCGCAGTGGCTTACATCTGTAATCCCAGCACTTTGGGAGGCCTAGGCAGCTGGATCACTTGAGGTCAGGACTTCGAGAAGAGCTTGGCCAACATGGCAAAACTCCGTCTCTACTAAAAATACAAAAAATTAGCCGGCTGTGGTGCCGGGCGCCTGTGATCCCAGCTACTTGGGAGGCTGAGGCAGGAGAATCGCTTGAACCTGGGAGGCGAAGTTTGCAATAAGCTGAGATGGCGCCACTGCATTCCAGCCTGGCAACAAAGCAAGACTCCGTCTCAAAAAATGAAAAACACAATAAAATTAAAAGGGTAGTAGGCGGAGTTTCCAGATAGCTGAACACACAGAGATTCCTGGAGGGTGGTGCACCCAGGGAAGGCACAGACACTCCACGTCCCATCCCCCATATGCATTTTTTTCTTTTTTTTTTTTTGAGACAGAGTTTCACTCTTATTGCCTAGGCTGGAGTACAATGGCATGATCTTGGTTCACTGCAACCTCCACCTCTCAGGTTCAAGTCATTCTCTTGCTTTAATCTCTCAAGTAGTTGGGACTACAGGCGCACACCACCGCGCCCGGCTCATTTTTGTATTTTCTGTATAGATGGGGTTTCACCATGTTGGCCAGGCTAGTCTTGAACCCCTGACCTCAGGTGATCCACCCACCTTGGCCTCCCAAATTGCTGGGATTACAGGTGTCAGCCACTGGGCCTGGCCCCCCATATACATTTCTTCATATGTATCCTTTATAATATTGTTTATAATAAACTGGTAAATGTTGGATCAGGTAGTGATTCATATAGGAGTACTGAGCTTGAAAGAATCATGAGAACTGGCCCAACATGCCAAAGAAATAGAAGCCAATAGCATTGCTGTCCCTGCCCCTTTCTTTTCAAACCATGAAACAAAGATGCTCTGATTAATTTTCTAATAGAGGCAGCTGCTGCTACCCCTGCATTTTATTACTATCACATTCCTGCCTTGACAGGGGTGAAGATTTGTGCTGAGAAGCTGTTTGATGAGATTCAGCATAAGAGCCCCACTTACTTTTTTTTTCTTTTCTTTTTTTTTTTTTTTTTGTGGAGACAGAGTCTGGCTCTCGCCCAGGCTGGAGTGCAGTGGCACCATCATGGCTCACTGTGACCTCTGCCTCCTGGGCTCAAGCAATCTTCCCACCTCAGCCTCAAGAGTAGCTGGGACTACAGGCATGTGCCTCCACACCCAGACAAAATTTTGTATTTTTTGAGGGGATGGGGTTTCACCATGTTGCCCAGGCTGGTCTTGAACTCCTGAGCTCAAGTGATCTGCCTGCCTTGGCCCCCAAATTGCTGGGATTACAGGTGTGAGCCAGTGTGGCCGGCCAAGAGCCCCACTTTCTAAAGGCTGAAATTCAGTGACACAGATCTTAGACTTCAGGCAATGTGTTGATCAGAATCGCCAGCAATAGTTGACCTTCCTTTTGAGGGTGGATGAGCAACTGTTGAGTGCTCTGGTGATGGGAGCAACTGGAGCAGTGGGCAGATTTATATCGACAGATTTATAAACTTTTTAGTCAAACTAGGTTTTCTAGTGTCACAGATCAAAGCCATCATGACTCTGGTCCCTGCAGTGGAAGTGGGCCCACCCCATCTTCCGCTGCAGAAAGGCTCTAGGGAGTTTACTGATAGTGCTGAAGCCAAACTAAAAAGCTTGGATTTTTTTCTTTCACTGGCTTAAAAGATGGAAACTTGGAAGCCTATAGCCAGTGCCTGTCTATCCAATCAGGCTGTGTGCATTAAGACATAGTCTGCCCTAAATAGTGCATTCTTTTCTCAGGGACTTTTTAGAAAAACTTGAACTGAACTCTCTCCTAGCAAATGAAATCTCACTTCAATCAACAGATATTTAAGTACTTACTATGAGCCTTAAAAAGGTTTATTTTAGGCCGGGCATGGTGGCTCATGCCTGTAATCCTAACACTTTGGGAGGCTGCTTTTGGGAGCTGGAATTAATCAATTACAGTTATCTTGATTTCTAGTTCTTAATCTGATTTTAAAGTTTTCTACTGGACGTAGTGGTGCACGCCTGTGGTCCCAGCTACTTGAGTGGCTGAGGTGGGAAGAACAGTTGAGCCCAGGAGCTTGAGGCTGCAAGTGAGCTATGATTATACCATTGCACTCCAGCCTGGGTGACAGTGTGAGACCCAGTCTCTCAAAAAAGAAAGTTTTCTAATTTTAAACCACTATAATGTACAATACTTTTTTTGGTGGTGGTGGTGGGGGAATGTAATTTCATTTTAATAAATATCCATTTGGTATCTAGGTAACACTGAGCTACAGCATTTAGACAGGTACTTTAAAACCAAATTATAACATGACTGAACTATATACAACTATGAATGCACCAGCTCATTTGGCTGTTCAGTCTAACTCTAGAGCACATGCTTTCAGATTAATTGCAATATCACTGTTTTCTCCCAATACACTGTTACAGGACCAATAGGTTTGTATGCCCACTGCACAGTAACAGATCCATTACACTGAGACATCAGGGATGTGGCAGAGAGTTTAATGATGGCAGGGTGCCAACTGAGGAGATGAGGAGACGGGAGGAGATTTTCAAACCCATCTATCCAAGGAGTTCTGAGCTTGGGTTTTTTTTTTTTTTTTTTTTTTGAGACGGAGTCTCGCTCTGTCGCCCAGGCTGGAGTGCAGTGGTGCGATCTCGGCTCACTGCAAGCTCCGCCTCCCGGGTTCACTCCATTCTCCTGCCTCAGCCTCCCGAGTAGCTGGGACTACAGGCGCCCGCCACCATGCCCGGCTAATTTTTTGTATTTTTAGTAAAGACGGGGTTTCACCGCGTTAGCTAGGATGATCTCGATCTCCTGACCTCGTGATCCGCCCGCCTCGGCCTCCCAAAGTGCTGGGATTACAGGCGTGAGCCACCACGCCCGGCCTTGTTTTTTTTTTTTTTTTTTTTGAAACTGAGTTTTGCTTTTGTTGCCCAGGCTGGAGTGCAATGGCACGATCTCGGCTCACTGCAACCTCTGCCTCCCAGGTTCAAGAGATTCTCCTGCCTCTGCCTCCCGAGTAGCTGGAATTACAGGCGTCCCACACTACGCCTGGCTAATTTTTTGTATTTTTAGTAGAGACGGGGTTTTGCCATGCTGGCCAGGCTGATCTCGAACTCCTGACCTCAAGTGATCCACCTGTCTCAGCCTCCCAGAGTGCTGGGATTACAGGCGTGAGCCACCATGCCCAGCCTTGGGTTTGGGTTTTAAAGGCTATCATGTAGGGCAAGGGGCCAGAAATTTGGGGTTATCAACTGGTCGGGGCAAAGGGGATGAAATCATCAGGATGTGGAAACTGCATTCTTTGGTGAATCAGCTTTTTGTGAGGTCCCTCAGACCAGCTGGCATCAGCGAGGTCCTGCAGATCAGCTGGCATAGGAGTTTTACCAGTATGTGGGATCTAAAGGCATGTCTCAAAGGGAAACCCTTTAGTAATGTTCAAGTTATCTCTAGAGCAGTTAAGGGGAACTAAAATCTTCTAACGGGGTCTACATGATCCTAGGATAATAGGCACCAAACAACTATGAGGAAACAGGTCAGGGAGCAAGCTGACCTCAGGATTAATGCTGAATGTGCTGCAAACTTGGTTTAGTTTTGTTTCTTCCCCTCATTTCTTCCCCGATTAATCTTATAAAGTTTATAGGGGCGGTTTCAACATTAGAGTTAGATGAGGACTTGCTTTAGTTCTATAACTAAAAGGTCTTTTCTCACAACAAAGCAAAGACCTTCTGCAAAGATGAATTTAAGTTTCCACTTCCTGCAATGTAGGAAACTTCTCAAAGCTCAAAGTTTCAAATTCCAAAGGGCTCTTGAGGGCCTTTTCCTCTTGGAAATCCTCTCTCTCTCATTAGAAAGAGAGCTGTTTTCTTTTTCTTTTTTTTTTTTTTTTGAGATGGAGTCTCGCTCTGTTGCCAGGCTGGAGTGCAGTGGCCCGATCTTGGCTCACTGCAACCTCCGCCTCCCGGGTTCAAGCAATTCTCCTGCCTCAGTCTCCCGAGTACCTGGGATTACAGGTGCCCACCACCATGCCCCAACTCTTGACCTTAGATGATCCACCTGCCTCGGCCTCTCAAAGTGCTGGGATTACAGTCTGGGCCACCGCGCCCGGCCCTTAATCTCTTTTCTAACAAAATTTGGTGTATGCTGTGTTTTTTCTTTTAGACAGGGTCTTGACAAAGTGTTGGGATCACGGGTGTGAGCCACTGCACCCAGTGAAGTGCTCACGTCCATTCAGTTTAATTTTTAGCGCCAGTTTATTAGAGCTTGGAGAAGGTACCTCACTGTCACTTTCCTGTACATAAACACAGATATAGTGCTATTGAAGCACTTTTTCCTTCTTTCTCTTTTTTTCTTAACATTTCCATTGAACAGATGATTTTTTTTTCTTTTTTTTTGAGATGGAGTCTCGCTCTGTCACCCAGGCTGGAGTGCAGTGGCGTGATCTTGGCTCCTTGCACCCTACCCCTCCTGGGTTCAAGTGATTCTCCTGCCTCAGCCACCCAAGTAGCTGGGACCACAGATGCGCACCATCACACCTGGCTCATTTTTGTATTTTTAGTAGAAATGGGGTTTCGCCATGTTGGCCAGGCTGGTCTTGAACTCCTGATCTCAAGCAATCCTCCCGCCTCAGTCTCTCAAAGTGCTGGGATTACAGGAGTGAGCCACCACACCCAACCAAAGCATTTTCATGCTTGGAAAACAATCTTACCTCCAATTTACTGCTAGGGAAACCAATCCTCCCTCTCTGAGGCTGTAAAACCTTCCCTCTGGGCAGGGCAGATTACAACAATCAATTTGGAGACACCCTCTCTAAAATTGGATCTTTCCTTCCTTCCTTCCTTCCTTCCTTCCTTCCTTCCTTCCTTCCTTCCTTCCTGCCTCCCTCCCTCCCTCCCTCCCTCCCTCCCTTCGTTCTTTCTTTTTTTTCAATGTCTTGCCCTGTCGCCCAGGCTGGAGTGCAGTGGTGCAGTCTCAGCTTACTGCAACCTCTGCCTCCCAGGTTCAAGCGATTCTTGGTTCCTTGGCCTCCTGAGCAGCTGGGACTACAGGTGCGCACCACCACATCCGGCTAATTTTTTGTATTTTTAGTAGAGATGGGGTTCCACCATGTTGGCCAGGCTGGTCTCCAACTCCTGACCTCAAGCGATCCACTGGCCTCGGCCTCCCAAAGTGCTGGGATTGTAGTCATAAGCCACCTCTCCCAGCCTAAAATTGGATTTTCTTCTTTCTTTCTCTTTCTTTCTTTCTCTTTCTTTCTTTCTTTCTTTCTTTCTTTCTTTCTTTCTTTCTTTCTTTCTTTCTCTCTTTCTTTCTTTTTCTTTCTTTTTTTTTTTTTTTGAGATGGAATCTTTCTCTGTCGCCCAGACTGGAGTACAGTAGTGCGATCTCAGCTCACTGCAACCTCCACCACCCGGGTTCAAGTGATTCTCCTGCATCAGCCTCCTGAGTAGCTGGGATTACAGGCTCAAGTCACCATGCCTGGCTAATTTTTGTATTTTTAGTAGAGATGGGGTTTCATCATATTGATCAGGCTGGTCTTGAACTCCTGACCTTGTAATCCTCCCACCTTGGCCTCCCAAAGTCTTGGGATTACAGGCGTGAGCCACCATGCCCGGCCTGGATTTTCTATTAGAGAGATGGTTGTTCTGGAGTCTTTTTCGTAATACTATTGGTCTAAGCAGGAAAGTATATTTTACATAATGTCTCATGGTGTAGCTGCTCTATACTTCACTATTTTCCCCATATCCAATTTCTCAGCATCCTTTCTAATATGCTAATTTAATCATATCATCATCCCATAAATCAAAATTTCCCCATTCTCTGTAGCTTATTTACTGATTCTAATCCTTTCTAATATACTAATTGAATCATGCCACTCCATATATCAAAATTTCTCCATTGTCTATAGCCTATTTACTCATTCACCAAATGAGTGAATGTTTGAAAGTAATTAGAATAGTGCCTGGCACAAGTTCTAACAAACAGAAGTTTGTTAAAGAAGTGGCTGGGTACTGTGTCTCACCCCTGTAATCCTAGTAGTTTGAGAGGCCAAGGCTGGCAGATTGTTTGAGCCCAGGAGTTCAAGACCAGTGTAGCAACACAGTGAGACCCTGTCTCTACAAAAAATTACCCAGGCATGGTGGAGCATTCCTGTAGTCCCAACTACTTGGGAGGCCAAGGCACGAGGATTGCTTGATCCTGGGAGATCAAGGCTGCAATGAGCCGAGTGGCGCCACTACACTCCAGCCTGCATGACAGAGTAAGACTGTGTAAAATAATAACAATAATAAATAAATAAAATAAAATAAGTCATTTTGGATTTGGCAGAGAAAGGTATGTGTGTGTTTGTGGGTTTGAGGGTGAGGCAGGCAAACCTTTGGAAGGAGATAGAGGAGAAGTAGAAAAGAAGACAATGTGAGGAGAGGGACACCAACTGGAGTGGGAGAGGCTCTAGGGGGACCAAGGGTAAGGGCTGACCTAGGAAAGGAGGTGGCACCATTTGAACTCAGTGACAACCAGCTACAGGAGAGGGCCATTCTGAGAACTTGTATTAGGAAGTGGGCTGGGCAACAGTCTCTTAGAAGTCAGTGATTTGCATCAGCAGTTCCCGAGAATTTTACTTAGGAGGCTAAAGGGGCAAAAAGGTAGGGAAATTGCCCCAGTCTCATCACCTTAAAAAGGGTAACTGGCCAGGCAGGGTGACTCATGCCTGTAATCCCAGCAGCTTGCGAGGCCGAGGCAGGAGGATCGCTTGAGCTCGCTTGAGCTCAGGAGTTAAGAGACCATCCTCGGCAACATGGCAAGAACTTGTCTCTACCAAAAATTAAAACAAACAAACAAACAAACAGAAAAACATTAGCAGGGAGGGCATGGTGGCACATGCCTGTAGTCCCTGTTACTCTGGAAGCTGGGACAGGAGGATCGCTTGAACCCAGGAAATCCAGTCTGCAGTGAATCATGATCCTTGCACTGCACTTCACCCTGGAAGAAAGAATGAGACCCTGTCTCAAAACCAAAACCAAAAACAAAACAAAAAAAGGATGGGGAGTAACTGAAGTTTACCTTGACACTAGTTTCTACTTGTAGAATACACACACACACACACGCACAAAGGCCAAAGTCTTTCGTTCTGGAGTATGGAGTATAGATTATAGCTTAAAATGAAAATGTACAGTTTGTTGGCGGGGCACGGTGGCTCACGCCTGTAGTCCCAGCATTTTGGGATGCCGAGGCAGGCAGATCACAAGGTCAAGAGATCGAGACCATCCCGGCCAACATGGTGAAACCCCTTCTGTACTAAAAAAATACAAAAATTAGCTGGGCATGGTGACAGGCGCCTGTAGTCCCAGCTAGTCAGGACGCTGAGGCAGGAGAATCACTTGAACCCAGGAGGCGGAAGTTGCAGTGAGCTGAGATCGTGCCATTGCACTCCAGCCTGGTGATAGAGCGAGACGGAGTCTCGCTAAAAAAAAAAAGAAAAGAAAATGAACAGTTTGTGACATGTTGGTTGTAACTCTTTTGGACTGAATTTTTACGAGTTCAAGTGTTTTCCTTCACACTGTGATAACAATTGGCACTTATATGAGCTCTTAGTAGATTTACAGAGGGCTTTAACCAGCAAAATCTAAGAATCCACTAAAACTACATTAATATAATCAGCCAATCATGCAACGAATAAAGGCTATGGGAAAGATTCAAATGATGACAATAAGAAAATATACTTTGAAGATTATATGGAACCTAAATCTCAAGGAGTAAGGAAAAAGCTGATACATTTTTGATGTTTTCTACACCTTTGTTTAATAGTGTTTTCATTTGGTTTTTGTAAATCTCCCTTGGTTTTTACATTTCCAGGAATTCAGCGTTTACCACCTTGTACCGTTTTTCAGTCCTAAAAAAGATTCTGGATCATGCCAGAAGCCAGTTAAGTGCGTGACCAGAAATCCGTAGCAGAAGCAAGTCTTTTGCACTTTTCCACTGGAGGGGTTTATAGAGAGTGATCTGCTAGACAAAATTCAACCCGGTTTGGTTCATTTCTTTCCAGCTTCTGCACCTTTCTCAAGATTGTACTGAGGGCACATCCCAAAGGAGCAGGCATTTTAATTGCCTATACAAGCCAAGCAAACAAGAAATACCTTGGCCGTGTCAGAGGCGTTGGAACCAGAGTGACTCCGTTTTGAGTGAGGGCTAGGAAAATGAGGCTGGGACTTGCTGGTCTGCATTCTCAGAAAGTTAGGCATTCCCAGCCTCTAGATGTTTACGGTTAAGGGAAGACATTAATAACGTTTACCGCCGGGCGCGGTGGCTCACACCTGTAATCCCAGCATTTTGGGAAGCCGAGGCGGGCGGATCACTTGAGGTCAGGAGTTTGAGACCAGTCTGGCCAACATTGCAAAAACCCGTCTCTACTAAAAATACAAAAATTAGCCAGATGTGGTGGTGCATGCCTGTAATCCTAGCCACTAGGGAGGCTGAGGCACGAGAATCGCTTGAAGCCGGCAGGTGGAGGTTCCAGTGAGCCTCGATCGCACCTTTGCACTCCACCTGGGTGACAGTGTGAGACTCTGTCTCAAAAAAAAAAAAAAAAAAAAAAAAGTTTACTAAACAGACCCAGACTTGGGAGTGTCCAGATATCGCAATACCTGGAGAACAAAGGCATTCCTAATTTTGCTTTAAAGATAATAGTATTGATGCTTGAAAAATATAGTAATTAAGAAAATTAATCCTTTATCATAAACCCTTGTAGCAGAGCGCATCTCCTCATACATAGGACTATTGTATCTAGGGTGGACACTTTCCTCTTACTTTCGGGAACATCCTACTCTGTCTATGGAGCAGCTGTTCTTTCACCACTTTACTTTCTTACTAAACTTGCTTTTGCTTTGCACTGCGGACTCGCTCTGAATTCTTTCTTGCGCGAGATCCAACAACTCTCTCCTGGGGTCTGGATCAGGACCCCTTTCCTGTAGCAACCCTATCGCTCTTCTCCACGGCACGTTCACCTCACATTCCTAGAGCTTTAGGATTTACTCTGAGGGTTCATGTGCTTTGATTCTAAGGCGAAAGTGCATTTCCAAGTCTACTATCATTGAGGACCTGGCACGAGCTTTTTCCTCTTTATTTATTTTTATTTTTAATTTTTTTGAGACGGAGTTTCGCTCTTGTTGCCTAGGCTGGAGTGCAATGGTGCGATCTCAGCACACTGCAACCTCCGCCTCCCGGGTTCAAGCGATTCTCCTGTCTCAGCCTCCTGAGTAGCTGGGATTACAGGCGCCCGCCACTAGGCCCGGCTAATTTTTGGTATTTTTAGTAGAGACGGGGTTTCACCATGTTGGCCAGGCTGGTCTCGAACTCCTGACCGGTTTCGAACTCCTGATCCACCCGCCTCGGTATCCCAAAGTGCTGGGATTACAGGCGTGAGCCACCGCGCCCGGCCGCTTTTTCCTCTTTAAAGAAAAAAAGATTATTTGAACTGTCCGTCGTGGCAATGGAGAGGGATAGCCTTAGAGGACATGGCGGTTCATTATTATTATTATTATTACAGAACAATCTTAGACTCTGTCCGCACCCTGCACTCTAGGTCCCGCGACTCTCAGACCTCCAAGTAGGACTACAAAACAGAGGTTTCTGGGGGAAGGAAGTGACGATCGGCGCAAAGCATGCTGGTCTCAGGCGGTCTCCGCTCAACGATCCTTCCTCAAAGCATGGTTGCTGAGTACCCAGAGTTGCGAGGAGTTTTTTAACTGGTATTTTTCTCGTTTGTCAGGGTTAAACGTTAAGTACCATTTGGTTTTTAGTACAGTGTTAGGTATCGTGTGGCTGCAGGACAGGACCAGAAATCTAAGCTCTAGAGCTGTAGCCGCTGGCCCTTCGTTTGTGCATCCTTCAAACAAATTTTAAGGGGCAGTTGTCATAAATCGGGGGAGCCTCTCGATGGCGGGATCCAGCGGAGACACAGAGCCAGAGAGCGCGTGGGTGGATATCAGGAGAGTTTTCTGGTTCAGTTGAGGAGTGGGGTGAACTCCTTTGATCGATGGAAGGAAAAGCAGAGTTGAAGGGTTTGAGCATCATCTGCAGGCCAGAGTGAAAGCGATTTGGAATGTGGTTGTGGATCGGAATAGACCTGTGCCAGATGAATTTCCTCAGACTGCACCCGCGGCAAATCGGTGACCCCTCTGCTTTAGGCCGAATTGTACATATTAACTATTTTCCTTTTCCTGATAAAAATTCTCAAGCAGCCTTTACACGTGTTCTTTTCCCCAACTATAGTATCAGTTCCTATCAGTACATGCATTAATACTTAATTGTATTAAGTTACTTATTACGAACTTGAGGCAAATCACAGATGTTCTCTGTCTCTAGGATAGGATGGAGATTAGGGATAAGACATTTGCTTACGTGGAACATATATTAACCAGCACTGGTGGTTGTTTCAGATTTAGCCAGGTGGCAATCATGAGTGAATGGATGAAGAAAGGCCCCTTAGAATGGCAAGATTACATTTACAAAGAGGTCCGAGTGACAGCCAGTGAGAAGAATGAGTATAAAGGATGGGTTTTAACTACAGACCCAGTCTCTGCCAAGTGAGTATGCATCCTACTTGCCTGAAATCTTGACACCCCTTTGTGCTGCCTGTATGTTATAGACAAACTAAGAAAGCAGATAAATGAAAAGCTAATTATTAATATTTTCATATAAGAATTTTTTGTTTGTTTGAGACAGGGTTCTACTGTCACCCAGGCTGGAATGCAGTGGCGAGATCTCGGCTCTTTGTAACCTCCACCTCGCAGGTTCAAGCGATTCTCCTGCCTTAGCCTCCCGAGTAGCTGGGACTACAGGCATTTGCCACCACGTCTGGCTAATTTTTGTATTTTTTGTGGAGACGGGGCTTCGCCATGTTGCCCAGGTTGGTCTCAAACTCCTGATCTCCAAGGATCTGCCCACCTTAGCGTCACAGAGTGCTGGCATTACAGGCTGAGTCACTGTACCCGGCCTACATATGAGAACTTAACTGCCTTTGAATCTAAATGCTGTTCTGACTATGGATTACCTTATCAGACCAGGCAACTTCATAGAAATTGGGCATAGAAATTATTCTTACTATATATATATATATATATATATATATATTTTTTTTTTTTTTTTTTTTTTTTTTTCGGGGGTGGGATGAAGTCTCACTCTGTTGCCCAGGCTGGAGTGGTGCAGTTACAATCTTGGCTCACTGCAACTTCTGCCTCCCAGGTTCAAGTGATTCTCATGCCTCAGCCTCCCCAGTAGCTGGGGTTACACACATGTGCCAACATGCCCCACTAATTTTTTGTATTTTTAGTAGAGACGGGGTTTCGCTATGTTGGCCAGGCTGGTCTCAAACTCCTGACCTCAGGTGATCTGCCCACCTTGGCCTCCCAAAGTGCTAGGATCATAGGCTTGAGCCACCGTCCCCAGCCTATAATTTTGTTTATAAATACTTCACTATATCTCTTAAAAGAAAAGGACTTTAAGGCCGGGCATGGTGGCTCACGCCTGTAATCCCAGCACTTTGGGAGGCCGAGGCGGGTGGATCACGAGGTCAGGAGATCGAGACCATCCTGGCTAACATGGTGAAACCCCGTCTCTACTGAAAATACAAAAAAAATTAGCCGGGCGTGGTAGCAGGCACCTGTAGTCCCAGCTACTCAGGAGGCTGGGGCAGGAGAATGGCGTGAAGCTGGGAGGCAGAGCTTGCCGTGAGCTGAGATCGCGCCACTGCACTCTAGCCTGGATGACAGAGCAAGACTCCGTCTCAAAAAAAAAAAAAGAAAAAGATAAGGACTTTAAATAAATGTAACCACAAAAACTTTTTTTTTTGAGATGGAGTCTCGCTGTGTTGCCCAGGCTGGAGTGCAGTGGCGTGATCTCAGTTCACTGCAACCTCCACCTTCCCAGTTCAAGTGATTCTCCTGCCTCAGGCTCCTAAGTAGCTGGGATTACAGGCGTGTATTTTTAGTAGAGATGGGGTTTCACCATGTTAGCCAGGACGGTCTCCATTTCCTGACCTTGCAATCCACCCACCTGACCTCCCAAAGTGTTGGGGTTATAGGCGTGAGCCACCTCACCTGACCTTTTTTTTTTGAGATGGAGCCTTGCTCTGTTGCCCAGGCTGGAGTTCAATGGCTCGATCTCGGCTCACTGCAACCTCTGCCTCCCGGATTCAAGTGATTCTCCTGCCTCAGCCTCCTAAGTAGCTGGGATTATAGACATGTGCTACCACACCCGGCTAATTTTTATATTTTTAGTAGAGATGGGGTTTCACCATGTTGGCCAGGCTGGCCTTGAACTCCTTACCTCAAGTGATTTGCCCGCCTTGTCCTCCCAAAGTGCTGGGATTACAGGCGTGAGCCACCATGCCCGGCCTAGTTATTGTTTTTTTAACTCTAAAAGTTAAGTCTACCCTGCCTTCTTCTTTTTTTTTTTTTTTCCACGACAGAGTCTTGCTCAGGCTGGAGTGCAGTGGCATGATCTCGGCTCACTGCAACCTCTGCCTCCCAGGTTCAAGCAATTCTCTGCCTCTGCCTCCCAAGTAGCTGGGATTACAGGTGACTGCCACCACACCCAGCTAATATTTGTATTTTTAGTAGGGATTGGGTTTCACCATCTTGGCCAGAGGTTGGTCTTGAACTCCTGACCTCGTGATCCACCCGCCTCGGCCTCCCAAAGTGCTGGGATTACAGGCGTGAGCCACCGCGCCTGGCTACCCTGCCTTCTTTTCTAATACACATTTAAGGCATTCATAACTTGTTTAATCCTTTAACTGTATCCCACAATGATTGGCTGTAGGCTGGGCAAAAAGTTTACCTATTTAGGATCCTTAGTGAATGTTTGTTGAATAAATGGAAGCATTCATTGGTGACAGGATTAATTTCAAACAGAGTAGAGTGTCATCTATTATTTTAGTGACCTACTTGGGTTGATGATGCCTCTAAACTTACTTTTCCTCCAAAGTATTGTCCTTGTGAACTTCCTTGAAGATGGCAGCATGTCTGTGACCGGAATTATGGGACATGCTGTGCAGACTGTTGAAACTATGAATGAAGGGGACCATAGAGTGAGGGAGAAGCTGATGCATTTGTTCACGTCTGGAGACTGCAAAGCATACAGCCCAGAGGATCTGGAAGAGAGAAAGAACAGCCTAAAGAAATGGCTTGAGAAGAACCACATCCCCATCACTGAACAGGGAGACGCTCCAAGGACTCTCTGTGTGGCTGGGGTCCTGACTATAGACCCACCATATGGTCCAGAAAATTGCAGCAGCTCTAATGAGATTATTCTGTCGCGTGTTCAGGATCTTATTGAAGGACATCTTACAGCTTCCCAATGAGAGGCCAGGAAGTGTGAACATACTGATAGAAAAAGACTATATTTTATCCCTCATAAAATGTTTTAAATGTAAATGTACATGACTGTGTGTGTGTATGTGTGTGTGTGTATAATTCTTTGTTGTTTTGGTAAAATCAGAGGAGTGGGTTATAAGTGCTAATTTCCTTGGGAAATTAATGAACTAGGGCAAGTATAGCATCCCATGCATAAAATTAGCACAGGGACATCAGAATTGTATGGGTCTTCTTTTTTCTTTTTTTCTTTTTTTTTTGAGATGGAGTCTCGCTCTGTTGCCAGGTTTGAGTGCAGTGGCGCAATCTCAGCTCAGTGCAACCTCCGCCTCCCAGGTTCAACCGATTCCCCTGCCTCAGCCTCTCGAGTAGCTGGGACTACAGGTGCACGCCACCACTCCCAGCTAATTTTTTGTATTTTAGTAGAGATGGGGTTTCACCTGTATGGGTCTTTTCTTGTGATGGGGTTACACCCCCATTTTTGTTAGGCAAGAAAAGCATTTGGAAAAAAATGTAACATGTTAGATTCAATATAAAATATTATGGTAAGATCATGGTCTTGTTAAGTCTCTTCACTAACTGTATGTGTCTGTTTTTAAAAGATGTGTCTTGGTGGGGCGCGGTGGCTCACGCCTGTAATCCCAGCACTTTGGGAGGCCGAGGCAGGTGGATCATGAGGTCAGGAGATCGAGACCATCCTGGCTAACACGGTGAAACCCCTTCTCTACTAAAAATACAAAAAAAATTAGCCGGGCGTGGTGGCAGGTGCCTGTAGTCCCAGCTACTCAGGAGGCTGAGGCAGGAGAATGGCATGAACCCGGGAGGCAGAGCTTGCAGTGAGCCGAGATCGCGCCACTGCACTCTAGCCTGGGTGACAGAGCGAGACTCCGTCTCAAAAAAAAAAAAAAAAATTATTGGAACACAGCATTACCTATTGAATTACAGTTTTCTGGTTTTTTTGTGGAGTTTTTGTTTTGGTTTTTGAGATGGAGTTTCACTCTTGTTCCCCAGGCTGGAGTGTAATAGTGCAATCTCGGCTTACCACAACCTCTGCCTCCCAGGTTCAAGCAATTCTCCTGCCTCAGCCTCCTGAGTAGCTGGTATTACAGGCATGCACCATCACGCCCCACTAATTTTGTATTTTTTTAGTAGAGACGGGGTTTTTCCATGTTGGTCAGGCTGGTCTCAAACTCCCGACCTCAGGTGATCCGCCCGCCTCGGCCTCCCAAAGTTCTGGGATTACAGGTGTGAGCCACCGTGCCCGGCTGTTTTTTGTGGGTTTTTTGTTTGTTTGTTTGTTTTTGAGACAGAGTCTTGCTCTGTCACTCAGGCTGGAGTGCAGTGGCACAATCTCGGCTCACTGCAACCTCTGCCTCCTGAGTTCAAGCCATTCTCCTGCCTCAGCCCCCTCAGTAGCTGGGATTACCAGGCACATAGCACCATGCCCAGCTAATGTTTGTATTTTTAGTAGAGACAGGGTTTCACCATGTTGACCAGGCTGGTCTTGAACTCCTGACCTCATGATCTGCCTGCCGTGGCCTCCCAAAGTGCTGGGATTATAGGCATGAGAGCCTCCGTGCCTGGCTTTTTTTTTTTTTTTTTTTTTTTAAAAGAGGGTCTTGATATGTTGCCCAGGCTTGTCTTCAACTCCTGGGTTCAAGTGATCCTTCCACCTTGGCCTCCCAAAGTGCTGGGAATATAGGTGTGAGCTGCCATGTCCAGCTGTAAGAAATATTTTAAAATATTTAAGCTTCAGGGCCTTTGAATACAGGCCCTGATAACATAGCTATTTTCCTGCATAGTTGTCTAATAACAAGATGGTATAGCCCAGTGCTTCTTGCACTTTAGCAAGCATCAGAATCAGCAAATATTTAGGTTTCAGGGCCTTTGAATACAGTCTGATAACACAGCTATTTTCCTGCATAGTTGTCTAATAACAAGATGGTATAGTCCAGTGCTTCCTGCATGTTGGCAAGCATCAGAATCAGCTGCAGGGCTTTTCAAAACAGATTGCTGGACCCTCCTCCCAACAGATTCTGATTCAGTAGTTCTAGTTGGGACCCAGGAATTTGCATTTCCAACAGACTCCCAGATAATGATGTTACCGTTCCCAGACCACACTTGCAGAAGCAGTTCAGAAACTTCAGGGGAACAGAAAGTTCCTCCCTCACGGCTTCAAAGTTCCATGATCCTGAAAGCAAAATTTAGCACACATCACCTTTCTCCTAGTGGCTAAGACTCTCCTGTTCAAACCCTGGATGTCTTCAGAAAGCAAATAGAAGGGGAATATGAACAGACTGAAGTCAGCAAGGAAATGACTGACAAGATGAGGGAGGCCTTTGAAAAGGAAGAAGCCAGCTGGGCGCGGTGGCTCACGCCTGTAATCCCAGCACTTTGGGAGGCCTAGGCGGGCCGATCACTTGAGGCCAGGATTTGTGACCAACCTGGGCAACATGGTGAAACCCTGTCTCTACTAAAAAAAAAAAAAATAGCTGGGTGTGGTGGTGAGCGCCTATAATCTCAGCTACTCAGGAGGCTGAGGCACTCGCTTGAATCTGGGAGGTGGAGGTTGCAGTGAGCCGAGATTGTACGCATTCCAGCTTGGGCAGCAGAACGAGACTCTGTCTCAAAAAAAAAAAAAAAGCCACGTAGGAAATTATCCACAGCATCAATTGGACTTGATCTTGGCTCAGGGACCAGGCCCGGTGCCTTGATATTGGTAGATTTATTTGCCATCAGACTAATGAGCTGGGGACATTGACTGTTTCCTGGCAACTGAGTCCTCTGATTGTGTAAACAATTTGCCTGCAAACAAAACCTGAGTGCTTGAAAGGGTAAGTGATCCTGATCTGCCATAGAAACCTTCATGCTTAGGGAGTTTCCCTAGCTAATTCCTCAGCTAAGATTCTCCCCAGGAGTTTCACTCACCTGTTTCCAGTGCCTCCTTTGGGCTGTCAGCATCTGTGATTCCACATTCCCCAGAGGGAGATTCCTCCCCAAAGCTGGTTGTATTTACTGCCAGTCCTGGGCTGTAGCCAGGGCAGTCTTTGAACACATTATCAAGAATACTTTTTAAAATAAAAGTCTGTTTCGACTTCCACTGTGTATTTTTTGTCTCCTTGGAAGCAAAGTTTCCACTGTTTGCACTGATTTCTCACCATCCCCTTTTCATCTGATTTCCTAAGTCCACTTTTTTCTTCTAAAGATACTGAAGTTGATTTTTCCATGCACTTAGTTTTTTTTAAGTGACATTTAAAACATTCAATCAATTGTTTTAATTTGCTGAGAATTGATGAAAATTTCACAATCCTTTTTTTTTTTTTTTATAAGAGTCAAGGTCTTGCTCTGTCACCCAGGCTGGAGTGCAGTGGCGCGATTATAATTCACTGCAGCCTCAAACTCCTGGCCTCAAGCAATACTCCCACCTAAGCCTCCTGAGTAACTAGGACTACAGGCACACACCACCCATGCAGCTAATTTTTTTTTTTGAGACGGAGTCTTGCTCTGTTTCCCAGGGTGGAGTGCAGTGGCACGATCTCAGCTCACTGCAATCTCTGCCTCCCAGGTTCAAGTGATTCTCCTGCATCAGCCTCCTGAGTACCTGGGAGTATAGGCGTGGACCACTACGCCCAGCTAATTTTTTGTATTTTTAGTAGAGACGGAGTTCCACCAAGTTGGCCAGGGTGGTCTAAAACTCCTGATCGACCCACCTCGGCCTCCCAAAGTTCTGGGGTTACAGGCATGAGCCACCACACCCGGCTCTCATTAAGTGTTTTTTCAAGCAAAAATAAAATTATTCCAGTACCTATACATGTTTTTCGCTTTTGCATATTAATATCCTTTAAAGATTTTTAGGTAATTGTAATCAATGTGTATGCTTTTTTCTTTGTTTCTGTAGTCTTTATTTATTTATTTTTGAGATGGAGTTTTGCTCTTGTTGCCCAGGCTGGAGTGTAATGGTGCGATCTCGGCTCACCACAACCTCTGCCTCCCGGGTTCAGGCGATTCTCCTGCCTCAGGCTCCCAAGTAGCTGGGATTACAGGAATGCGCCACCATGCCCAGCTAATTTTTGTATTTTTATAGTAGAGACGGGGTTTCTCCATGTTGGTCAGGCTGGTCTCAAACTCTTGACCTCCGGTGATCCGACTGCCTCGGCCTGCCAAAGTGCTGGGATTACAGGCATGAGCCACTGCACCCAGCCCATATTTTTTAAATAAAATTGTGATTACTTAGACTTTGCTGAGTTTTTTATTTTTAATTAATTTTTGATAAGAGTCTGGCTCTGTCACAGGGGTTGGAGTTTAATGGCAAAATCATAGGTCACTGCCACCGTGACTGCCTAGGTTCAAGCAATCCCGCCTTCAGGTGCAGGCCACCAAATGGGCTTTTTTTTTTTTTTTTTGGCAAAGAGAAGGTCTGGTTGTGCTGCCCTGCCTGGTTTTGAACTGGGCTCAAATGATCCTCCCTCCTCAGCCTCCCAAAGTGCTGGGATTATAGGCTTGAGGCACTAACCACACCCGGCCTTTGTTTTTGATGACAGCCATTCTAGTTAAGTTGTGAAGCAGTATCTACTTGTGGTTTCGTTTTGCATTTCCCTCGTGACTAAGGATATTGAGCATCTTTTCATGTGCATATTAAACCATTTGTTTATCTTCTTTGTTGAAACGTTTATTGAGATATTTTGCCTTTTTTTTTTTTTTTTTTTGCAACTTCTTCCAGGAAGGCACTAATTTTTAAAATAGGGTATTTACTGGCCGGGCGCAGTGGCTCACACCTGTAATCCCAGCACTTTGGATAGGCCGAGGTGGGCGGATCACGAGGTCAAGAGATTGGGATCATCCTGGCCAATATGGTGAAACCTTGTCTCTACTAAAAACACAAAAATTAGCTGGGAATAGTGATGTGCGCCTGTAGTCCCAGCTACTCGGGAGGCTGAGGCAAGAGAATCGCCTGAACCTGGGAGGCGGAGGTTGCAGTGAGCCAAGATCACGCCTCTCAAAAAAGAAGATAAGTGATTTGCAAATATTTTCTCCCAGCCTCTCTCATTTGTATGTTCTTAATGGTGCTTGTTTTTTGTTTGTTTGTTTGTTTGTTTGTTTTTGGAGACAGGGTCTCACCCAGTCACCTAGGTTGGAGTGGAGTGGCACCATCTCAGCTCACTGCAACCTCTACCTCCTGGGCTCCCACCTCTGCCTCCAGAGTAGCTGGGACTACGGGCGCCACCATGCCTGGCTAATTTTTACATTTTTCTTTTTTTAGAGACAGGGTCTCCCTATGTTGCCAGGGCTGGTATGGAACACCTGGGCTCAAGCAGTCCTCCCACCACAGTCTCTCTAGTAGCTGGAACCACAGGCACACCCACCATGCCCAGTTAATTTAAAAAGTTTTTTTTTTTTTTTGGTAGAGGAAGGGTCTTACTATGTTTCCCAGGATGGTCTGGAACTTCTGAGCTCGGCCTCTCAAAGTGCTGGGATTACAGGCATGAGCCACAGAGCCCTGCCTGAGAAAGTCTTAAAAAGCACAATTAAGAGACTTGGTTGAATCCCTTAGCTCCCTTTTAATTTCAACAGACATCCATACTCTTCAGACCCTTCTGGAGGCTAAATTATGGTCCAGATTGAATTATTCAAATAACTTGAACCTGGGAGGTGGAGGTTGCAGTGAGCCAGGATCACACCACTGCGCTCCGGCTTGGGCGACAGAGTGAAACTCTGTCTCAAAAAAAAAAAAAAAGTATTCAAATAAACTTTATTTCTCTGTTCTCATGTATCCCTATTTATCTTTGTATTCTGAGTTCCTAACAGGGTGACTGACACATAGCACTTCTTTAAAATATGTTAAATTGAAATTTTAAGGCCAGGTGCAGTGTCTCACACCTAGAATCCCAGCACTTAGGGAGGCCGAGGCGGGTCGATCAATTCAGGTCAGCAGTTCCGGCCAACGTGGTGAAACCCCATCTCTACAAAAAAATACAAAAATTAGCTGGGCGTGGTGGCTCACGCGTGTAATCCCAGCTACTCGGGAGGCTGAGGCATGAGAATCACATGAACCTGGGAGGCGGAGGTTGCAATGAGCTGAGATTGTGCCACTGCACTCCAGCCTGGGCAACAGAGCAAGACACTGTGTAGAAAGAAAGAGAGAGAGGGAAGGAGGGAGCGAAATAAATTATAAGCATAAACATGGAGGGCATTTTTGCAACCCCAATATGGGTTTCAAACTAGCCAAGTGGCAAACATTAGTTATAAACTGGACAATTGGATTTTTTTTTTTTTTTTTAGATGGAGTTTCACTCTTGTTGCCCAGGCTGGAGTGCAATGGCGTGATTTCAGCTCACCGCAACCTCCGCCTCCCAGGTTCAAGCGATTCTCCTGTCCCAGCCTCCCGAATAGCTGGGATTACAGGTATGCACCACCACGCCCAGCTAATTTTGTATTTTTAGTAGAGATGGGGTTTCTCCATGTTGGTCAGGCTGGTCTCAAACTCCTCACCTCAGGTGATCAGCCTGCCTCGGCCTCCAAAAGTGCTGGGATTATAGGCGTGAAGCCACCGTGCCCGGTGGCTTTCTTGTTAACTAATCAGATTTCATGCTTCAGTTAATTCAGTCTTAGTCATGCTTATTGTAAAAAAGGATGGTATAAATATTTATGAGCTAGAAGTAATAGCAAGAGCTGGAGTTTGAATGGGAAGGTGCACAGGTGAATTTCAGAGACAGAAGGGCAGCATTAACAGAAACGTTTCTAATTACTAATTGTTTTGCTCTTGGTCTATAATCAGTGGATGAGTTTCTTTACCACATGGGATAGTCCCTTGGTGCCCATCCTATAGCATGGCTCCTGATTTGTAAAGACATCTGTCTTCTAAGGAGCATAGCATGTCTTTGCTGTTCTGTCTGGTAATCCTACTAATAATCAAGTCCTCAAACAAACGGATTTTTCCAGTTCACGCTATAGGAGAAGGGTTACTGAGCCTAGGAACTAAAGTTTTTAATCAGGCTTCACTTTAAACATCCTACAGTCAGCCAGGTGCGGTGGCTCATGCCTGTAATCCCAGCACTTTGGGAGACCAAGGCGGGTGGATCACCTGAGATCAGGAATTCGAGACCAGCGTGATCAGCATGGTGAAACCCCGTCTCTACTAAAAATTAGCCAGGTGGTAATTAGCGTGGTGGTGAGTGCCTGTAATCCCAGCTACTCGGGAGGCTGAGGCAGGAAAATTGCTTGAACCCAGGAGGCGGAAGTGAGCTGAGATCATGCCATTGCACTCCATCCTCGGCGACACGGTGACACTCCTTTTCAAAGAAAACAAAAAACAACAAAAAACAAAAAAAATTCTACATTCATAACCCTCTAGAGTCATATACTTTAAAACAAAACAGGCTGGGCGCAGTGGATCAAGCCTGTAATCCCAGCACCTTGGGAGGCTGAGGCGGGTGGATCACGAGTTCAGGAGATGGAGACCATCCTGGCTAACATGGTGAAACCCCGTCTCTACTAAAAATACAAAAAAATTAGGTGGGCGTGGTGGTGGGCGCCTGTAGTCCCAGCTACTTGGGAGGCTGAGGCGGGAGAATGGCGTGAACCCGGGAGGCGGAGCTTGCAGTGAGCAGAGATCACGCCA
The DNA here is from genome assembly GCF_000001405.40 of Homo sapiens. Lineage (NCBI taxonomy): Eukaryota > Metazoa > Chordata > Mammalia > Primates > Hominidae > Homo > Homo sapiens. The sequence continues at coordinate 38,789,521 of NC_000002.12, forward strand.
CTGCACTCCAGCCTGGGCGACAGAGCAAGACTCTGCCTCAAAAAAAAAAAACAAAACAAAATAACAAAACAGGCCGGGCGCGGTGGCTCACGCCTGTAATCCCAGCACTTTGGGAGGCCGAGGCGGGCGGATCACGAGGTCAGTAAATCGAGCCCATCCTGGCCAACATGGTGAAACGCCGTCTCTACTAAAAATACAAAAAAAAAATAGCTAGGTGTGGTGGCGGGCGCCTGTAGTCCCAAATACTCGGGAGGCTGTGGTAGGAGAATGGTGTGAACCCGGGAGACGTAGCTTGTCGTGAGCCGAGATTGTGCCACCGCACTGCAGCCTGGGCGACAGAGCGAGACTCCGACTCAAAAAAAAAAAAAAAAAGCATATTGGCCAAAGTCGACTAGGTTGGACTTTGTTCAAAGATAAAGTAACAGGGTGTGTGTGTGTGTGTGTGCATGGGTGTGTTTTAAACATTTTAATGTGGGCCTAAGTGTGACAACTTGAATTTTGTAGTGCAGAGGTTTAGCAGTAGTAGCATTCACATACAAGTCATGTCTTCACATTTTCAAAATAAGTGATTCTGGCCAGGCGCGGTGGCTCATGCCTGTAATCCCAGCACTTTGGGAGGCCGAGGCAGGCAGATAACCTGAGGTCAGGAGTTTGAGACCAGCCTGGCCAACATGGTGAAACCCCATCTCTACTAAAAATATAAAAATTAGCCGGGCATGCTGGCAGGTGCCTGTAGTCCCAGCTACTCGGGAGGCTGAGGCAGAAGAATTGCTTAAACCCAGGAGGCAGAGGTTGGAGTGAGCTGAGATTGCTCCATTGCACTCCAGCCTGGGTGACAAGAGTGAGACTCCATCTCAAAAACAAAAACAAAAGAAAAGTGGTTTTTTTGGTAAAAAGCCAAAACAAAATTTAATGGTAGAACATGTTTTTAAAGTAAATGTATCCCTATTCATCTGTGCCAGGCTTTTCTCATTTGTACATATAATTTCTTCAAATTCTTAAGTACTTAGAATTCTTGATAAGAACAAAATGTACACACAAGCTCTTATTCACACAGTACATATTTATTAGAGTTGATTTGGCAGAGATTTTCACTATATTTTTATTTTATTTTTTTTTGAGACAGTCTTGCTCTGTTGCCCAGGCTGGAGTACAGTGGCATGATCTCTGCTCACTGCAACGTCTGCCTCCTGGGTTCAGGCGATTCTCCTGCCTCAGCCTCCTGAGTAGCTGGGATTACAGGCGTGTGCCACCATATCTGGCTAATTTTTTTTGTATTTTTAGTAGAGACAGAGTTTCACCATGTTGGCCAGGCTGGTCTCGAACTCCTGACCTCAGGTGATGCACCGGCCTCGGCCTCCTAAACTGCTGGGATTACAGGCATGAGCCACTGCGCCCAGCCGAGATTTTCACTTTCTGTAGTTCAAAATATATTTTCATTTTCAGAGATGTCTATGGGCATAATTTACACCTAATAGCTATTAGGCTTTGTTAGTGATTACTTATCTCATTTTGTTTAAAGCAGGGTTTTCTTCACCTTGGCTGTATTGGCATTTTGGACCGAGTGATTTTTTCTTTGGGTATCCTGTGCCTTGTGGGATATTCAGCAGTATCCCTGGCCTCTAAGCACTAGATGCCAGTAGCACCTCCCACCCCACAAGCTGTGAAAACCAACAATGTCTTTGGACATCGCCAAATGTTTCCTGCCCCCTCAAAACTGCCCCCATTTGAGAACCATTTGTTTAAAACAAATAAAAACTACATTGAGCTGGGTACAGAGACTCAAGCCTATAATCCCAGTACTTTGGGAGGCAGAGGTGGGTGGATTGCTTGAGCCCATGAGTTGGAGACCAGCCTAGGCAACAGCAAAACCCCGTCTCTACTAAAAGTACAAAAAAAAAAAAAAAATTAGCCCAGCATCGTGGCGCATGCCTGTAATCCCACCTACTCAGGAGGCTGAGGTGGGAGGATCACTTGAGCCCGAGAGGCAGAGATTGCACTACTGCACTCCAGCCTGGCCTACAGAGCAAGACCCTGTCTCAAAAAACAGAAAAATAAAAGAACCCCTACATTGTCTCCCGGGTGAGGAAACTTCTTTAAACTCTTTGTACAGGATAGGGCCCCGTATTTGTTAATCTCTATGGACAAATAAAGTCTTATTTGAAAGGTTAACAGGCATTGTTGTTAAAATACATTTCAAACTCAAGGATGGACAAGCCTGGGCAACATGGTGAAACCCCAACTCTACAAAAAGTACAAAAAATTAGTTGGGCATGGTGGCACATGTCTGTAGTCCCAGCTGCTCCAGAGGCTGAGGCAGGAGGATCCCCTGGGCCCAGGGAGGTTGAGGCTGCAGTGAGTGGTGATCGTACCACTGCACTCCAGTGGCATTGGTGTGAGACCTTGTCTCAAAAAAAAAAAAAAAAAAAGAGGAACCAAAGGATGGAATGAAGCAACACTTCCTCAAAGTGGAATCTCAGGACATAAATGGACCTTCTTGGCTGCTATTCTGTCTTTTATTATTATTTTCTTTTTGTCCACCTGAACATTCATGTCTTTTATGAGGAATAAAATGTTCATGTTTTTTCTAAGGAAGAAAACCAGACATGGATAATCTCTATAGTATAAATTCATTCAACATAGAAGAAAAATAACTCCTTCAGGCCATTTTCAGTAAAACCTAGGATGGAGAAGGTAGCAGTAACTGCATTTTCTGAATAAAGGAATAATTAATGACACCTCACTGAAATGCTCTTGCTGAGAATGTTTATTAAATAATAATAATATATTATTATGATGATGATTATTATTTGAGACAGAGTCTTGCTCTGTTGTCCAGGCTGGAGTGCAGTGGCACAATCTCGGCTCACTGCAACCCCTGCCTCCGGGTTCAAGTGATTCTCCTGCCTCAGCCTCCTGAGTAACTGGGACAACAGGTGCATACCACCACGCCCGGCTAATTTTTAAAATATTTTTAGTAGAGACAGGGTTTCACCATATTGGCTACACTGTGCCTAGCCTCCTGACCTCGTGATCCACCCGCCTCAGCCTCCCAAAATGTTGGGATAGCAAGCGTGAGCCACCGCACCTGACACAATTATGTATTATTATACCTGACTTCTCAATATTGTGTTTGTAGCATATCAGGGATCATTTTAAACACTGATTTTCATTGCTAGTAGTTATGAGATTGGGCTGAATTTCTAAGACCACCCCTTAGAAGTTGGTTTTCCAAACAAATGCCTCATAATGGTTTTTGTTGCCATTTCTCTCCTAAAAAATTCAAAGAGGTGAAAAAATCTAGGTGACTAGATTCTAAGCCATCCCTTATCATAGCTGTCTCAACTGGAGCCCTGTGTCCTGGCTTATTTAGTCAATTAGCCAGGCATGAACTGACTCAGGAGCAGCTCTGGGGCTAGCCTAGATGGGGCAAAGAGGCTGAACTATCTGGGGGAACAGGTTGTTGATGTTTTGGTTGCTGCCCTGTATCTTTTCTGTTTGTTTGGTTGTTTGGGACAGGATCTTGCTCTGTCACCCAGGCTAGAGTGCTGTGGCACAATCACGGCTCACTGCAGCCTCAACCTCCTAGGCTCCGGGTGATCCCCCTGCCTCAGCCTCCCCAAGTAGCTGGGACTACAGGCACACACCACCATGCCTGGCTAATTTTTTTTGTATTTTTTGTAGAGACAGGGCCTCCCTATGTCATCCAGGCTGGTCTCGAACTTCTGGGCTCAAGCAATCCTCCCTCTTCAGCCTCCCCAAATGCTGGGATTACAGGCTTGAGCCACCATGCCTGGCTGTCCTGCATTTTTATGAAACAACACCATGGCCAACATGTTGAAACCCTGTCTCTACTAAAGATACAAAAATTAGCCAGGCATGGTGGCGCACGCCTGTAATCCCAGCTACTCAGGAGGCTGAGGCAGGAGAATCACTTGAACCTGGGAGGTGGGGGTTGCAGTGAGCCAAGATGGTGTCATTGCACTCCAGCCTGGGCGACAGGGCGAGATTCCATCTCAAATAAAATATTTGTTTTAATTCTATTGGAATGTAGCAAGGGAACAATATTAATAAAATACTTGCTGTGAAATGAATCTGCTCTTCTATTTTGTACTATGACTAATTGGGAAGATCTTAGGAAATGAGACGAGCTAAGCATTCTGATCGAAGGGGTCAAAGGCCGACAAAGCATGAGCTTTGTCTTCTTCCTCCTTGAGTTCCATATCAGATTATTAACAACTCAAACTCCCTGGCAAGTAATGAACTTTGATCTTTATCCTCCTATTTAATATTATCTGAGCAGCTTAATTTAGATAAAACTAAGCCTAGCATGTGGATCTGTAGGCATATGGTAATGTTAGTTCCTTTTCCTTTCTGGGCAATGGTTTGAACATGGTCCTAAGAGGTTAACATAAAATAAGATTTTGTGGGCTGGGCACAGTGCCTCATGCCTGTAATCCCAGCACTTTGGGAGGCCAAAGCGGGCAGATCACCTGAGGACAGGAGTTCAAGATCAGCCTGGCCAACATGGTGAAACCCAGTCTCTACTAAAAATACAAAAATTAGCCGGGCATGATTGTATGCGCCTGTAATCCCAGCTACTCAGGAGGCTGAGGCAGGAGAATCAATTGAACCCGGGAGGTGGAGGTTGCAGTGAGCCAAGACTGCGCCACTGCACTCCACCCTGGGTGACACAGCGAGACTCCATCTCAGGAAAAAAAAAAAAGATCTTGTGAAAGCAATCTGTAAAATTAAAATACAGCAAATGTAAGGCATTAAGACTGAGGATGTGATTTTTCAGGTGCAGCCCGGGCTGGCTCTGTGGGGACTCCAGTCTGTGTTGTGTTTTCTTGATTGCAAGGCCCATAGCGGGTGAACTTGGGGCATCACACTATTGAGGTTGTCTCGTGGATGTCACTCAGTTGCCACATAAATAATGAATTCCTGGAGGCAGCAGAATATGCTCATACTGTATTATGCTTGAACAAGCCTAGGCAGAGGTTGGCTTTTTCCTCCTAAATCACATGGGAATTAAGCATAATTCCTCTGGCTTATTTTCCCCCACATGCAGGGGTAAAGTTTGCTTAAAATACTCAGCTAGTTAATAAATACAAGGCTAGTTGTTGTTTTCAGAAGTTAGATCTTGGTCACGAATCTGTGTCAGTCAATACTTGCATGATCACAGTACAGAGGTGCCCTAAATGGAAACAACGTGGAAACAGCTCATTCAGTTTGTTGTCAGAGCAATAGTTTCAGACTGTTCCAGAGTGATAAGCTTCTTCCATGTCTTTTGGTCCCATAAATGTAAAGCGATGGAATGACTGGGTGAACAGTTAACCGTGATGAATCATTAACATGGAGAGACTTTCTGCTGTTTCTAAGCTGTCACCTCTAAAATTATTTATCAAAGACATTGGTCTTAGATGAGATTTGTAGCCAATCACTTATACTTAAGGGGCTTTAAAATCTTACAAGTTTTAATCATTTGTTTATCAAAGAGCAGAAGGAATCTGCACTTTGGGAGGCCGAGGCAGGTGGATCACAAGGTCAGGAGTTCAAGACCAGCCTGACCAAGATGGTGAAACCCTGTCTCTACTAAAAAGACAAAAAAATTAACCAGGCATGGAGGCAGGTGCGTGTAATCCCAGATACTCAGGAGGCTGAGGCAAGAGAATTGCTTGAACCCGGGGGCGGATGTTGCAGTGAGCCGAGATTGTGTCAGCCTGGGTGACACAGTGAGACTCCGTCTCAAGAAAAAAAAAAAATCCTTGAAACACTATACTGCATTCTGATCTTTCTTTCTTTCTTTTTTTTAAGACAGAGTTTCACTCTTATTGCCCAGGATGGAATGCAATGGTGCCATCTTGGCTCACTGCAAACTCCGCCTCCTGGGTTCAAGTGATTCTCCTGCCTCAGCCTTCCAAATAGTTGGGATCACAGCATGTGCTACCATGCCCAGCTAATTTTGTGGTTTTAGTAGAGATGGGGTTTCACCATGTTGGTCAGGCTGGTCTCGAACTCCTGACCTCAAGTGGTCCACCCACCTCAGCCTCCCAACGTGCTGGGATTACAGGCGTGAGCCACCATGCCCGGCCTGCATTCTGATCTTTCATCATAAATAAGTAATTCTATTTCATTTCTTATTTCATTATTTTAATAATGAGCTTAAGAAGTTTAGTCTTTGGGGCGAGGATATTCTTACTCAATGCGTTATGTCAAGGCTTCCCAACCTTTATCACATTCTGGCATATCTATATCATGACAGTATTCATGCATCTATATGTGGTTGGAAGTGACCATCCAAGAGCTGGCTTTCCCGAAGGAATCAGTTTCACTGGGTGGAAAGTTTTGCTGTTAATTATCTCCCAGCTGAGTGCTCTGGGGCAAACTTGTGTTAAATGCTGCAGGCCCACTTGGGCAGATGGCTCTAGCTAGGGTGGCATGAGCACCACTGTAGCACCAAGAGTGAAAACTGATGGGTTTTTTGTTTTTGTTTTTTGAGATGGAGTTTCGCTCTTGTTGCCCAGGCTGGAGTGCAATGGTGCGATCTTGGCTCACCAGAACCTCCGCCTCCCAGGTTCAAGCAATTCTCCTGTCTCAGCCTCCCGAGTAGCTGGGATTATAGGTATGCACCACCACGCCTGGCTAATTTTGTATTTTTAGTATAGACACGGTTTCTCCACGTTGGTCAGGCTGGTCTCAAACTCCCAACCTCAGGTGATCCACTCGCCTCGATCTCCCAAAGGGTTGGGATTACAGGCGTAGCCACCGCGCCCAGCCGTGAAAACTGATTTTTAAAAACTTTTTTAGGCTGATTGTGGTGGCTCGCGCCTGTAATCCCAGCACTTTGGGAGATCGAGGTGGGTGGATCACGTGAGGTCAGTAGTTCGAGACCAGCCTGGCCAACATGGTGAAACCCCATCTCCACTAAAAAAATACAGAATTAGCCGGGTGTGGTGGTACATGCCTGTAGTCCTGGCTACTTGGGAGGCTGAGGCAGGAGAATCGCTTGAACTCAGGAGGCGGAGGTTGCAGTGAGCCGAGAACCCACCATTGCACTCCAGCCGGGGTGATAAGAGTGAAACTCCGTCAAAAAAAAAAAAAAAAAAAGGAAAACAAAACTTTTTTAGAGGCTTAATGCAGTTTTCTTAATTTCTTCTAAAGGTCTCAGCCTAATCAGTTCTGTAATAGGAGCCTTGTTTCAACAGCAAGTCAGAATTTGGATTCTGTGGGTGCTTGCATATGTATGTTTTTTATTTAAAGCAATGACATGAATCGATGCCTTTTAAAAATACTGCTTAGAGTCTAAGCTCTTCAAGTGCACCAAAGCTTAAATATACTTGATAATAATCATTTTGGACAGCCAAGCAGACTTCCTGAAAACTTAACTAAAATAATACCTTGAAAAGTGAATACCTTTCACTGATTTCACTGAGATGGTTTTGATTTAGTTTGAATTCTATCCATACTATGGAACCTGTAGTGACCCTGTCCTGAGGTCCATTTTTTAATTTTTATTTTTGAGACAGTGTCTCACTCTGACACCCAGGCTGGAGTGCAATGGTGCAATCTTGGCTCACTCCAAACCCCACCTCCCATGTTCAAGTGATTCTCCCGCCTCAGCCTCCCGAGTAGCTGGGACTATGGGCACCTGTCACCATGCCTGGCTAATTTTTGTATTTTTAATTGAGATGGGGTTTCACCAAGTTGCCCAAGCTGGTCTTGAACTTCTGACCTCATGTGATTGGCCTGCCTCGGCCTCCTAAAGTGCTAGGATTACAGGCATGAGCCACCGCGTCCGGCCCTGAGGTCTAAACAAACATACAAATATTTTTTCTACTCAGCAATTTGGGATCCTTCCTCGCCATACTGATAGATGTCCAGGGAAAATGTAAATCCCCTGATGTTTTTCCAAAATGCTAGCGCCCCATTAACCTAACAGGTGGTTGAAAATAAGCAATTTCATGGAAAGCATTGTGGTGGCTGTAAATCCGATGGTAACCTTTTTGACCTCATCCATGCCAACTCTGCCCCAGGAATGCTATTAAAATTCTCCTTCGGTGATTCGTGTCTGGGTGAGTTGATAAGACAGAGTAAAGATTCCTAAATGTAGAACTATGACGACATCTAGATTGTTCTGCTTTTAAGAATAGGAGTGTTATCGATAAGACCAGCTTGCACTTTAATACCAAAAGAGAACTCATTCAATTTTTTTAAGTTGACTTTTAATGAGTAAAAATAAAAACCCCTCACAAGTCAAGTTTACTCAGTAGCCAATAGCCTAAAATGAAATTTTAATTTTGCTTGTTCACATAATTTTGGGTTTTTTTTCCCCTTCTCTGTTCTGACTTCTCTCAGTCGAGCCTTGGCGACAGGAAAAGAAAAAAAAAAAAGGCGTATTTCTCTTCATGCCCCTCTCACCCCAGTAAAAAGTAGGAGAAAAAGAATACACAGATTAAAACAGAATTGTATTATACATTCACTTTTGAGTTATCAGGTGAACTTAATTCACTCCAGAACAATCACAGAGACAAAGACAGGCAAGCTGGGTTTTAGGCTCTCACCCTTGACACTCCAAATTGTGCTGGGAGTGGCCAAGGCTTTGTTAGAAATGGCCCTAAGGGTATATACACTGCCTCAGCTGCCTTGGGCTTCATGCCCTGGGCTCCTCCACCAGGGCCAGCCCCAATAGGTCTTTAGTTCGAGGTAGAGGTTCTGCTGTTATTTCCCAGGTGAGCTAGAAGCAGGTGAGTAGCAAGCACTCTCTAAGACTGCTTTTTATTGTGTGGTGACAAGTTTCACAATTGTGCTGATGATCCGGGATCCTCGAGGACACGTACACAGATCAATGCTTGGGTTTTTAATTTTATCCTGGAGAAGCTGATCAAGTTCGCAACGAAGCTCCTTTACCAGTTCAGCCACCTAAAATGAAAGCTACAATATAAGCAGTGCTTGGAGGAACAGGCAGGATAGGTTATTGGAGGGAAATACCCAAGTTATGATTACCATTATTTAGATTTCTGGTACTAATTTTAACTCCATTAGGAGCAAAAACCCTAAATACATTTTCATTTTGTAATAGACTAAATGAGGTCCATTGTAAAAAAGTGCCTCTATCACATCTCATCTAAAGAAAAGATTCGGGCCAGGCGCAGTGGCTCACGCCTGTAATCCCAGCACTTTGGGAGGCCAAGGCGGGCGGATCATGAGATCAGGAGTTCAAGACCAGGCTGGCCAACATGGTGAAATCCTGTCTCTACTAGAAATACAAAAATTAGCGAGTTGTGGTGGCATGCGCCTGTAATCCCAGCTACTCAGAGGCTGAGGCAGGAGAATGGCTTGAACCCAGGAGGTGGAGGTTGCAGTGAGCTGAGATCGCGCCATTGCACTCCAGCCTGGGTGACATAGCGAGACTCTGTCCCCCCTGCTCCCCAAAAAAGAAAAGATTCAGTCTGGAAGTATGGCTTTTATATAGTGTTCTCCATATTAAAGTTTGGTCAATTTTTATGATTTATTCCACGAGGAGAAGCAGGAAAATGGGGAATTAAAAGTGGTAGAGAGGGCCGGGCCCGGTGGCTCACGCCTGTAATCCCAGCACTTTGGGAGGCCGAGATGGGCAGATCACCTGAGGTCAGGGGTTCGAGACCAGCCTGACCAATGTGGAGAAACCCCGTCTCTTAGTACTAAAAGTACAAAATTAGCTGGGATGGTGGTGCATGCCTATAATTCCAGCTACTTGGGAGGCTAAGGCAGGAGAATCGCTTGAACCTGGGAGGTGGAGGTTGCGGTGAGCCAAGATTGCGCCATTGCACTCTAGCCTGGGCAACAAGAGCGAAACTCCGTTTCAAAAAAAAGAAAAAAAAAGGAAAAGAAAATTTACTGATCACCGATCACTCCACTGCAGACCTTGTTGTCTCAAAAAAAAAAAAAAAAAAAAGGGTGGTAGATAGGCTGGGCCGGGTGGCTCACGCTTGTAATTCCAGCACTTTGGGAGACTGAGGTGGGCGGATCACCTGAGGTGGAAGTTCGAGACCAGCTTGACCAACATGGAGAAACCCCATCTCTACTAAAAATACAAAATTAGCCAGGCATGGTGGCACATGCCTGTAATCCCAGCTACTCGGGAGGCTGAGGCAGGAGAATTGCTTGAACCCAGGAGGCAGAGGTTGTGGTGAGCCGAGATCGCGCCATTGCACTCCAGCCTGGGCAACAAGAGCAAAACTCCATCTCAAAAAAAAAAAAAAAAAAAAGTGGGCCAGGCTCAGTGGCTCACGCCTGTAATCCCAGCACTTTGGGAGGCCGAGGTGGGCGGATCACAAGGTCAGGAGTTTGAGATCAGCCTGTCCAAATGGTGAAACTCCGTCTCTAATAAAAATACAAAAATTAGCCTGGCGCGGTGGCTCATGCCTGTAATCCCAGCACTTTGGGAGGCCAAGGCGGGCAGATCACCTGAGGTCGGGAGTTCAAGACCAGGCTGACCAACATGGAGAAACCCCGTCTCTACTAAAAATACAAAATTAGCCGGGTGGTGGCGTATGCCTGTAATCCCAGCTACTTGGGAGGGTGAGGCAGGAGAATCGCTTGAACACGGGAGGCAGAGGCTGTGGTGAGCCGAGATGGCACCATGGCACTTCAGCCTGGGCAACAAGAGCGAAACTCCATCTCAAAAAAAAAAAAAAAAAAAATAGCCGGGCTTGGTGGTGTACGCCTGCAGTCCCAGCTACTCAGGATGCTGAGGCAGGAGAATTGCTTGAACCCGGGAGGCGGAGGTTGCAGTGAACCGAGATTGCGCCACTGCACTCCAGCCTGGGTGACAGAGCAAGACTCCACCTCAAAAAAAAAAATAAATAAGTGGAAGATATTAGATGAATCAAAAATCTCTGTAGCTTTGGGATATACTGTATGCTTTATGGCATTTTGCTTATGCTGATGTTGTGGCACTGTAGACATCTTCCCAGCATCTGTTTTGCCCCTTCCCCACTGTATGGGAAACATACAGTTCGGACCCTGCTCTAACACAGGTTCACACTGTGAGCCCTGCCAGGGTGAATGGCTCAGGTACTCCAGGTATTCAAGTTCAGGACATCCCTTTGGTCACAGGGATTGGTTTAGGAGGGGAGCTTTGATTGAGCTTGTAGGCAAGAAAGTTTCTGGCTCTTCTTCTGGACCATATGCTGCATACATGTGATGCCAGGAGCTATTGCAGCCCTTTCGATACCACTAGGTTAACCACGTTTTTGTCACCACTGAACTGCTAAATCAAACCAACGTTGCCTGGCCTTCTTGACCTGGACTATCCAGTAAGGTAGCCACTAGTCACAAGTGGCTTATCTAATGTCTATATGAAATGTGGCCAGCCCAAACTGAGATGTGCTGCGAATATAAAATATATACCCGATTTTGAAGACTTAATATGAAAAGGTAATGTAAACTATCTTAATAATTTTATATTGATTACATGTTAAAATTAAAACATTTTGGATGTATTAGGTTAAATAAAATATATTAAGATTAATTTCATCTATTTCTTTTTACTTTTAAAAATGTGGCTACTAGAACAATTAAAATTACATATGTGGGTCACATTATATTTCTGTTGGACACTGCTGCTCTGGACTTTAAAGTTAAATATGCCAATCAATTTCTTTTAATGTTTGAGTTGGCATATCTGCTTCTTGTAACATAAGAATTCTAACAGATGCAGATATTAAAATGAAATTTTATTTATTTCTTTTTTTGGGACAGAGTCTCACTCTGTCACCCAGGCTGGAGTGCAGTGGTGCAATCATGGCTCACTGAAGCCTCGACCTCTTGGGCTTGAGCAATCCTCCCACCTCAGCCTCTGGCAGTTGGGATTACGGGTGTCCACCTGAAGTTTTATCTATCTATCTATTTATTTATTTATTTGAGACGGAGTCTCATTCTGTCACCCAGGCTGAAGTGCAGTGGTGCAATCTCGGCTCACTGCAACCTCTGCCTCCTGGGTTCAAGTGATTCTCCTGTCTCAGCCTCCTGAGTAGCTGGGATTACAGGCGCCCGCCACCACGCCCAGCTAATTTTTTTTTTTGTATTTTTATATATTCATTTTTTTGAGATGGAGTTTCCCTCTTGTTGCTCAGGCTGGAGTGCAATGGCGCAATCTCGGCTCACTGCAACCTCCGCCTCCTGGGCTCAAGAGATTCTCCTGCCTCAGCATCCTGAATAGCTGGGATTACAGACGCCCACTACCACACCTGGTTAATTTTTTAAAATTTTTAGTAGAGATGGGGTTTCACCATATTGGCCAGGCTGGTCTCGAACTCCTGACCTCAGGTGATCTGCCCACCTTGGCCTCCCAAAGTGCTGGGATTACAGGCGTAAGCCACCGCACCTGGGTGAAGTTCTGTTTCTTAAATATGTACTCTCCATGATATGTTTTTCACAGAGACTCCATATAGGGAATAATTGAGACCTGAGAATAAATGAAGAATTCAGACCCATTATCTTTTTCTCAAAATGGTAGTGGTGGAATCAGGGTGGTTTTTATTTACTTATTTTTGCTTATCTGTATTTTCTGACTTTTCTTTGGTGAACATCTATTATTTATATAACAATAAGGAAGGTCCAGCACCCTCACTTTACAGCTTCTGTCCTAGCCTTTTATACTAACCTCAGCCCGTACCAGACTTCCCCTCACAGTGTGCTTTCTGGAACTCTTACTAGGGCTCCACTCCTGGCTTCACTTCAGCCTCACTCTTTCTTAGTGTCTCATTGTAGACCATCATTCACTTTTTTTTTTTTTTTTTGAGAAGGAATCTCGCTCTGTTGCCGAGGCTGGAGTGCAATGGCACGATCTCGGCTCACTGCAACCTCTGCCCCCTAGGTTCAAGCGATTCTCATGTCTCAGCGTCCTGAGTAGCTGGGATTACAGGCACCCACCAACATGCCCAGCTAATTTTTGTATTATTAGTAGAGACGGGGTTTGACCATGTTGGCCAGGCTGGTCTCGAACTCCTGGCCCCAGATGATCTGCCTGCCTCGGCCTCCCAAAGTGCTGGGATTATAGGTGTGAGCCACTGGGCTCGGCCACCGTCATTCATTTTTAATTAGCTCTGTTACCTTGGTCCCTAGAGGAATGCCCTTGACTTCATAACTTCATATTGTCAAAGCCCCTCATGGCCTGAGCCTCATAAAACAGACCAATTCTGCCTTTACCTGATGGGAAGCAGCTACAAAACGGATCCAACCATCATCCAGGGAGACAACGAACTCTCCTCTTTGAAGCTGCACATTCACTTGGCCTCCTCCAAACAAGACCAGCGGGTACACAGACACCATGCTGCAGTCTCGGATGAATACTCGACTAGTTTTTATCTTCTCGTGGTACAACAGGTAGGGGCTGTCAAAGTGTCTCACCTGTAACAAAAAACCTCAGATGATGACAGTGATGTCACTGGCAACAAAAAGGGAACAACCCCCCAGTCCCACGGATTTAAATACTGCCTATTAATGACTCCCCAAATTTATCTATAGCCCGTGACTTTCCTGAGCTCCAGATCTGCAGTATAACTATTGACTTGCCATCTCCTCTTGGACATTTAATACATATCTCACACTTGTGTTTAAAAAAAAAAAAGCTTTTATTTTTTAAATTTTTTCGTAGAGATAGGGTCTCACCATGTTGCCCAGGCTGGTCTCGAACTCCTGGGCTCCAGCAATCCTTCTGCCTTGGCCTCCCAAATTGCTGGGATTACAGGTGTGAGCCACTGTGCCTGGCCCAGATGGAATTCTTGATTCTTCTTCCTTGCAGTGTTCCCTATCTCAGGAAATGATGCTCCCATTCACCCAGCTGCTCAGGCCCCCAATTTAGGAGTCATCATTGACTATTTTTTTCCCCTCACACCATCTACACTGTCACTAAGTCTAGTCAGCTCTCTTTTCAAATTACAAAATGCCTTGACATATTCTCACCACTTCTACAGCTAACAAATTTTTTTTTTTTTTTGAGACAGAGTTTTGCTCTTTTTGTCCAGGCTGGAGTGCAATGGTGTGATCTCGGCTCACTGCAACCTCTGCCCCCTAGGTTCAAGTGATTCTCCTGCCTCAGCCTCCCAAGTAGCTGGGATTATAGGCGCCTGCCACCATGCCTGGCTGATTTTTGTATTTTTAGTAGAGACAGGGATTTCATCATGCTGGCCAGGCTGTTCTTGAACTCCTGAACTCAGGTGATCTGCCTGCCTCGGCCTCCCAAAGTCCTGGGATTACAGGTGTGAGTCACCACACCCAGCCTTTTTTTTTTTGAGATGCAGTCTCGCTCTGTCACCCAGGCTGGAGTGCAGTGGCATGATCTTGGCTCACTGCAACCTCTACCTCCTAGGTTCAAGTGATTCCCCTGCCTCAGCCTCCCAAGTAGCTGGGACTACAGGCTTGCACTATCACACCTGGCGAATTTTTGTATTTTTAGTAGAGATGGGGTTTCACCATGTTGGCCAGGCTGGTCTCAAACTCCTGACCTCAAGTCATCCGCCCGCCTCGGCCTTTCAAAGGGCTGGGATTATAGGCACCCAGCTACCAATTTAGTACAAACCATTGTCATCTCACAGAAACCACTGTGATGCCTTCTAGAGTGCTGTCCCCACTTCTAGTTTTGCATTTTTATAGTGTCTTTCCTACCCAGCAATCAAGGTGATCTTTTAAAAACATAAGTCTGGCAGGGCGTGGTGGCTCACGCCTGTAATCCCAGCACTTTGGGAAACTGAGGCAGGTGGATCACCTGAGGCCAGGAGTTTGAAACTGGCCTGGCTAACATGGTGAGACCCCGTCTCTACAAAACTGCAAAAATTAGCTGGGAGCGATGACACATGCCTGTAATCCCAGCTACTCAGGGGGCTGAGGCATGAGAATCCCTTGAACCTGGGAAGTGGAGGTTGCAGTGAGCTGAGATTGTGCCACTGCACTCTAGCCTGGGTGACAGAGAGAGACTCTGTCTCAATAAATAAATAAAATAAAAATAAAAATAAAAACAAAAACAATAAGTCCAATTATGGCTCAAAACCCTCCAATGGTGTCCAAGGATAAAAATCTCAAGTCCTTGCCATGGCTACCAGGTCCACCCAGCCCTACCCCACCCCTGCCTACTCGTCCCCGTGCATCTCCCACCACTCTCACCCTTGATCATCCCTCTCCACTGGCCTCTTCATGCATTTCCTGGAACACACCAAATACACTCCCACCTTGTGATGTTTGCACTTATGTCCTCTGCTGGAATGTTTCTCCTTTCTCTCTATCTGCATGACTTGCTCTTCATTTAGGATTTGCTCAGTTGTTTCTCATCCCGGAGTTCTTCCCTGACCACCCCACGTGCAGGGCCCCTCTCCTGTCACTCTCTGTCTCTCTATCCTGCTCTATTTTGCTTTATAGCATTACCTGAGATTCTGTTTACTTATGTATTGCCTGTCTCCCTCACTAGAACATAAGCTTCTTGAGGGCAGAGACTGTGTCCATCTAGTTTCTTCCACTGTCCTCAACAGCCTACAACAGTGCCTGGCACAGATTAGGCGCTAGTAGATATTACATGGATACATGAACGATTTGGATTCTCAAAAGAGGAGTAGTTCTTTCTTGAGAAACATGCAAAACAACAACAACAAAAAGTATATATAAAAAAGGAGGGGGTGTGGAGCTAACTCAGGCGTCTGGTTCCTAACAGGCTGAAAAGGCAGATGACCTCCTGACCCTCAAACTCCTCTAAGCTTAAGGAAATCCTTTCCAGGCTTTGTGAACATGGTCCTCAGTAGTTCCAGAGGATAGAGCAGCCTGAATGTTTCAAATTTGGTGACAAGGTATAGGAAGGGCCATGTAAGGAGTCATGTGAGAGTGTGTGGTACACTCTGGATATGAAGATTTAAGCAAGGAATTGACATAGTCTAATTGATGTTTTGTAAAGGTAATTCTGGCAGCAGTAGAGTAGTAGAAGGTTGGAGACAGAAAGCACCAGATGTAAGATTATTATAGAATTTCAGGCAAATGATGTTTGGGGTTTGAGCTAAGGAAGTGGCAGTGGGGATAAAAGGCAAATCTTAGAGATGTCAACAAGGAGGCATTCTTGGGACCTGGTGACCAACTCAGTTGGCATAAGAAAAGAAGTGGGAGTCTATGTGACTTCAGGGTTCTGGTTTTGATGGTATCATTCCACCAAGACAGCACAGAAAGAGAAGAGTGAATTGGGGATCATTGAGTTTGATTTTTCAGCTTTTATGTTTGAGATGACTAAAAGACTTCTAGCTGATGTTTTCCAGCAGGAGAGCTCAGAAAAAAACTGCAGGTCTGGAGAGACAGATTTGGGGTCTGCGTCTGTGTGTAAGTGGCAGTTGGGATGTGTAAGTGCTGTTGTGCCTTTGGTGGTTCAGGAAGAGGGCATGATGGTGAGAGAATAAGGACAAAGGATAGAACCACTGTTTCAGAGCAAAGGAAGATAAGCTAATAAAGGAGATAGAGGGGATGAATAGAGAGAGAGAAGAAAGTGATATTTCAGAAGCAAAAATAACATCAAGGAGAATTTCAAGAGGAAGACAGATTAGCAATGTCAAATACCATGTGAGAGGTGGCATGATGAGGACCAAGGGATGACACTGGCTTTGACAACTAAGAAGTTATTTGTTACTTCTGATGGGTTTAGTGAAGTGGTGGGGGCAGAAGCCTCAGTGGCAGGCTGAGAGCTGAGGAAGTGGTATGCAAGAATAGGTCATTCATTTCCTTTTAAGGCACAGATTCAGTGATGTAATTAGCTCATGACTTCAATTACCATTGCAAAGAAACAATTTTATATCTGAAAGCAGGCTTGAGTACTTTTTGGTATTCAGTAGAATTTTCTTCAAATGGAAATAGTCTTTCCAGAAATAGTCCAATTTCCAGTCTGTTTATTCTTATTCAATCTTCCCTCAGTCAGTGGTATTGCTGGGGACAGCAAGTGATAGAACATGGTGTGGCTGAATTTAAGGAATTGCATTTCCTACCCCAGGACGACCTGTAAACATTAAGTATACTCCACCATTCTGACCTGATAGTTCACTGATGAAGGGTGAATGTGTACATATCCATCGTTCTTGGTGACAAACTTCAACTCAGCTGATTTTGGTTGCATTCTGACAGCTCCAGTACTGGTCTTCTGAAATTTTCCTTCTGGGCTTTTCACCTAAACAACAAGTATTTGTAAAAATAGACATATAATATATATATTCTCATAGAAAGTATCTCTTGGCACAAAAGCACAAAACCAGTCTTGCTCAGTCTTGCTTGAATAGCTTTCCTGTTTGTTCCCTTTCTTTCTTATTTTGTTTCCTTCTGAAAGCAGAACAAGCACATGCTTTTTTTTTTTTTTTTCCACCAAGAAGTATGAATATAGGTGCAGTGGCTCTGGGTGTCTATACCACATTGAGGCCATGTGGGAGAAAACTATATTGATATTTTGGGTCTGTACTGATGATCAGGTGCAGTGACCCAGCTGATGACACTGGACCAGAGATCTGAGTATCCCAATCCCAACACATTTCTTGTTTTGTTTTGTTTTTTTTGAGACCGAGTCTCACTCTGTCTCTCAGGCCAGAGTGCACTGGTGCGATCTCGGCTCACTGCAACCTCCGCCTCCCAGGTTCATGCAATTCTCCTGCATTAGGCTCCCAAGTAGCTGGGATTACAAGTGTGCGCCACCACACCCAGCTAATTTTTGTATTTTTAGTAGACATGTGGTTTCACCATGTTGGCAAGGCTGGTCTTGAACTCCTGACCTCAAGCGATCTGCCTGCCTCGGCCTCCCAAAGTGCTGGATTACAGGCGTGAGCCACTACAACCGGACCAGTAAATATAACTTTTTTTTTGAGACGTAGTCTCCCTCCGTTGCCCAGGCTGGAGTGCAGTGAAGTGATCTGGGCTCACTGCAAGTTCCGCCTCCCGGGTTCACGCCATTCTCCTGCCTCAGCCTCCCTAGTAGCTGGGACTACAGGCGCCCGCCGCCACACCCGGCTAATTTTTTGTATTTTTAGTAGAGACGGGGTTTCACCATGTTAGCCAGGATGGTCTCGATCTCCTGACCTTGTGATCCACCTGCGTCGGCCTCCCAAAATGCTGGGATTACAGGTGTGAGCCACTGCGCCCGGCCTTTTTTTTGAGACGGAGTTTCGCTCTTGTTGCCCAGGCTGGAGTGCAACGGTGCAATCTCGGCTCACTGCAACCTCCGCCTCCTGGGTTCAAGTGATTCTCCTGCCTCAGCATCCCAAGTAGCTGGGATTACAGGCATGAGCACCACGCCTGGCTAATTTTGTATCTTCAGTGTAGAAGTGGTTTCTCCATGTTGGTCAGGCTGGTCTCGAACTCCTGACCTCAGGTGATCTACTTCCCTCTGTCTCCCAAAGTGCTGGGATTACAGGCGTGAGCCACTGTGTCTTGCCTTTTTTTTTTTTTTTTTTTTTTTTTTTTGAGATGGAGTCTTGTTGTGTCACCAGGCTGGAGTGCAGTGGCGTGATGTTGGCTCACTGCAACCTCCGCCTCTCGGGTTCAAGTGATTCTCCTGCCTCAGCCTCTTGAGTAGCTGGGACTAAAGGTGCACGCCACCACACTCAGCTAATTTTTGTATTTTTAGTAGAGACAGGGTTTCACCATGTTGGTCAGGATGGTCTCGATCTCTTGACCTTGTGATCTACCCACCTCAGCCTCCCAAAGTGCTGGGATTACAGGCGTGAGCCACTGCACCCAGCCAGTAAATATCATTTTAATCTTCTCTTCCAAATTTATATTTATATATAGAAAAAGAGAAAAACATAAACACATAAATAAAATAGCTTGAAAATGATGTATTTTCAATGATGTCTTGAAAATAAACATGTCTTGAAACTAAAATAGAATCTTTTTTTATAGCCTACTTTTTTAAACTTAATATATTAAGAACATTTTTCCATGTTGTGACATATTTTCCTAAAACATAATTTTTGATGGATATATAAGACCTTGTTGTAAGAATTTATAATAATTTAACCAATAAATACCCTGTTTTTTCAAATTTAGATTGTCTGCAAATATAAAGTGCTGAAATGAATATTCTCCTAGCTGTATCTTTGTGTATATATGCAATTGTTTCCTAATAACAAATCCCTAGGAATAAAACTGCTATCTAGAAAGGGGGTATAAACTTATATTCCCACCCAGAGTAAGAGTACTCATTTTGGGGGGTTCATGACAGCACCAGCATTATATTATTTATTTATTTGCATTATTATCAAACAACTATTTATTTATTTTAATCTATTTTTGGTAGAGATGGGGTCTTGCTATGTTGCCCAGGCTGGTCTTCAATTCCTGGCCTTACGCAGTCCTCCCACCTGGGCCTCCCAAAATGTTGGGATTGTAGGTATAAGCCACCTTACCTGGCCTATTTTTAATTTCAGGGATAGGGTCTCTCTGTGTTGCCCAGGCTGGAGTGCAGTGGCTATACACAGGCACAGTCATAGCTAACTGTGGCCTTGAACTCCTGGGCTACAGTGATCCTCCTATCTTAGCCTCCCAAGTAACTGAGATTACCAGTGCATGCCACCATGTCTGGCAGTATTATAATTTTTAAAAAGTTTTGCCCATTTATTATTTTTTGAGACAGTGTCTCACTCTGTCACCCCGGCTGTAGTGTAGTGGCACAATCACGGCTCACTGCAGCCTCAATTTCCTAGGCTCAAGTTATCCTCCCATCTCAGCCTCCCGAGTAGCTGGGACTACAGGCATGTACCACCGTGCCTGGCTAATTAAAAACAAATTTTTTTTGTAGAGACAAGTTCTCACTCTGTTGCCCAAGCTGGTCTCAAACTCCTGGCCCCATGTGATCTTCTCACCTCAGCCTTACAAAGTGCCACGAGCCACTATGCCCAGCCCAGTTTTGCCAATTTAAAAAGTAAAAAGAGGCTATTTCTTTCTGTTTTTTTTTTTTCTTTTTTTTTTTAGACGGAGTCTTGCTCTGTCACCCAGGCTGGAGTGTGGTGGCGCAATTTCAGCTCACTGCAACCTCTGCCTCCCAGGTTCAAGCGATTCTCCTGCCTCAGCCTCCCAAGTAGTTGGGACAACAGGCACCCGCCACCATGCCTGGCTAATTTTTTTTGTATTTTTAGTAGAGACAGGGTTTCACCATATTGGCCAGGCTGATCTTGAACTCCTGACCTTGTGATCCACCCTCCTCGGCCTCCCAAAGTGCTGGGATTGCAGGCGTGAGCCACCGCACTCGGCCTTCTTTGCTGTTTTAATTTGCATTTCTTCTTGCTAGTAACACTGAATATAATTTTTGTGTATGTATTATCTGTTCAGTCATGTCCTTTGCCCACTTTTCTATTAGGTTCTATTAGATCTTTTATTTAGTCTTTATTTATTTATTTTTTTGAGACGGAGTCATGTTCTGTAGCCCAGGATGGAGTGCAATGATGCGATCTCTGCTCACTGCAACCTCTGCCTCCCAGGCTCAAGCTATTCTTCTGCCTCAGCCTCCCAAGTAGCTGGGATTACAGGCACACACCACCACGCCCAGCTAATTTTTGTATTTTTTAGTAGAGATGGGGTTTCACCATGTTGGCCAGGCTGGTCTCAAACTCCTGACCTCAGGTGATCTGCCCACCTCGGTCTCCCAAAGTGCAGGGATTACAGACGTGAGCCACCGTGGCTGGCCTTAGTCTTTTTTTTTTTTTTTTTTAATTGTCATTTTATAGCTCCCCACTGTAGCTGCCCCTCACCCTTCCCTTTGATGACCATTTCAGGGGGACCAGGGAACAAAGCTGGGGCCCGGCAGCCCCACTACACTCTTAGCCAGGGAGAACAAGTCACAATTACAAATTATCACAACAATTAGTGCCTGTACTTGGGGAATCTGCAAAGTGAGGTGGCCCTAGCTCCCCATTGTACAGGGGTCTATTTGGCAGTGACCTTGCTCTGGAGATGATGATATTCCTTCATCCTGAGGGAATTGATGTTGATGAGACTGGTGTCACCGACTGGCTGGCTCATCATTGCCCTCCACGTTCATGCTCACCTGCTCTCCACTGTAGAGAGACAGTGGGGGCTCCTGGCAGAGGATGTACACCTGGCCCTTGAAGATGGATACCTGCACTTTCCCTTCCACTCGGTCCTGGGACTTGGCAATGCAGTGGTGGGCAAAGTCACACTGAGGGTTGTGCCAGAAACCGGTGTACACCAACTCAGCAAATTTCAAGCCCAGGCCTTGTTTGATTTTGCGCACTTCCTGTTCCATGGCAAAGCCCTCAATGTCTAAATGAGGGTGGTAAAGGATGGTGCCTGCTGGGGTCTTGCAGATACCTCAGGACTTCATTTCAATGAAGCGGTTCTCCACGATGTCAATATGGCCCACGCTGTGCTTGCCTGCGACTTCATTCAGGTACATGAAGAGCACCAAGGAGGTCTGGTGGGTGGTGCCATCCTTGATGCTGGTCACCTTCACAGGGACCCCTTTTTTACTCAGTCTTGAAAATGTTGGGGGTGTTGGGGGCTTTGGCCAGGTCCTGAATCTTCATGTAGAGACCTGAAGGTGGTTGGTTCTTGGGGTTCTCCAAGATTCCAGCCTCGTGGCTGATGTGCATGAGGTTCTCGTCCATGTTCCATGGGTGCTTCAGAGTGACTGGGATGGGAATCCCATGTTTCTCTGCATATTCCATCAGATCACTGCGGCCCTTGGACTGGTTGTAGAACTCAGGGATCCTCCCGGGAGCAATGACCTTAATCTGGGGGGCCAGCGAGTAGCAGGCGAGCTCAAACCAGACCTGATCGTTCCCCTTTCCCATGGCACTGTGGGACACATACTTTGCCCCCTCCCACTGAGCAATTTCCACTTGTTTGCGGGTGATGTAAGGCCTGGGAAGAGAGGGGCCCAGGAGGTAGCAGTCCTCATACAGGCCAGATGAACTCCTCCACGAACTCCTTGCTGACGTCCTCAATGAACACCTTTTTGGACCCAAGGTTCAGTGCCTTCTTCCTGGCTTCCTTGAAGTCTTCCTTCTGGCCAACATTGGCCAGGTAGGCAATAATGTCATAGCCTTGTTCCTTCAGCCACACGAGGATGCAGGAGGTGTCCAGGCCGGCACTGTAGGCCAGAACCATGGAGCCTTTGCTGAACATAGCATCTGGGATTGGAGGTGCAATTCCTGGTGCCTGGAATCTGTCTTCATGGCTCAGTGAACCACTCGGGGCCTGGGGAGCAAAGGCAGGCAACAGAGCAGGGCCCACGTCTTTCTTATTGGTGAGTTCTTAGATATACAGTCAGATATATCTCCTTTTCCTTTTTGGTTTAGCCTCAAAACTATATTGTCACCTAAAACTTCTTATACCACATTTATGTTCTTTGTTTCTACATTTTAAGTCTCCAAATGATTTTTCCCCACATTCTTTTTCTTTTTTCTTTTTTTAGAGACAGGGTTTTGCCATGTTGCCCAGGCTGGTCTCAAACTCCTGAGCTCAAGCAATCCGCCCACCTCAGCCTCCCAAAGTGCTTGGATTATAGGCATGAGCCAATGCTCCTGGCCCCCACATTCTTTTTTAAATAATCTTTTTATTTTGAAATAATTATAGACTCACAGGAAGCGGCAAAATAGTACAGAGTTCCTTGTACCCTTCACCCAGCTTCCACCAACGGTAAGACCTTACATTACTAGAGTATAATATAAAAACCAGTAAATCTATATCCAAATGACTTTTTTCCCTTTCATAACCACACTACAAAGCACAAACAATTTTTTAAAAGTACATTTCAAATGGTTTGAAAAGCATACAAATGCTAAGCAGAAAATGAGCCATAAATCAGTCAGATGTTAACTGAGGATTTAATAAAAAAAGTTAAGGCTTTGAAAAATGATTCAGTATTCTGCCAAATTGAAACTCTCTGGGGGAAAATGGTGCCTTGTTAGGGATGGATAATCAAAACTCAGGTAAAAGTCCAAGAGCACACTCAAGTAGGGTTTCCAGAAGGCTGGCCACAGGTGGTCTTATGGCAAAGCACTGATTTTTTATTTTTATTTGAGACGGAGTTTCGCTCTAGTCGCCTAGGCTGGAGTGCAATGGTATGATCTCGCCTCACCACAACCTCTGCCTCCCGGGTTTAAGCGATTCTCCTGCCTCAGCCTCCTGAGTAGCTGGGATTACAGGCATGCACCACCACGCCTGGCTAATTTTGTATTTTTAGTAGAGATGGGGTTTCTCCATATTGGTCAGGCTGGCCTCGAACTCCTGACCTCAGGCGATCCGCCCGCCTCGGCCTCCCAAAGTGCTTGGATTACAGGCGTGAGCCATCGTGCCTGTCCCTTATTTACTTGTTTGTTTGTTTGTTTGTTTTTGAGACAGAGTCTCGGTCTGTGGCCCAGGCTGGGGTACAGTGGCATGGTCTTGGCTTACTGCAACCTCCGCCTCCTGAGTTCAAGCAATTCTCCCGCCTCAGCCTCCTGAGTAGCTGGGATTACAGGCATGCACCACCACACCCAGCTAATTTTTGTATTTTTAGTAGATACAGGGTTTCACCATGTTAGCCAGGAGGGTCTTAAACTCCTGACTTCGTGATCTGCCCAACTCGGCTTCCCAAAGTGTTGGGATTACAGGCGTGAGCCACCATGCCTGGCTATTTTACTTTTTGTTCAGAGTAGAGAGTGTAAGATAAACTGTAGTTGAATCAAGTTTCCAACTAACATAGAAAGTTAGTTATATATAGGTTGGCCGACTGACATTTATGTCTATTTTAATTTTTGGAATATCATATGTCAGAAGGATTAAAAATTTTATACAATAAATGTGTTATTGAATAATGTATCCAAACAGATTTTGGGAACTGAAGGATTGAAAATGTATACTAAGTTTTTTTTTTTTGAGATGGAGTCTCCATCTGTCACCCAGGCTGGAGTGCAGTGGCGCAATCTCGGCTCATTGCAAGCTCCGACTCCCGGGTTCATGCCATTCTCCTGCCTCAGCCTCCCGAGTAGCTGGGACTACAGGTGCCCGCCACCATGCCTGGCTAATTTTTTTTGTATTTTTAGTAGAGATGGGGTTTCACCGTGTTAGCCAGGATGGTCTCGATCTCCTGACCTCGTGATCCGCCCGCCTCGGCCTCCCAAAGTGCTGGGATTACAGGCGTGAGCCACCGCACCCGGCCGAAAATGTATACTAAGTTTAAAAGGGTGTGCGTGTGTGCACACATGCGTATATATCTCTTTAAGATGATTAATATGCACATCTTAACTTACATCACTTGGCTACAAATCAAACAAAAAATGGAAAGATCTAGGAAAAATGTTTTGTTACCTGCACTACATTTGGATACAAAGCAGCACACAGCATTGCTGATATCAGCTTGGGGTTCTCAGCATTTGAGTTTGCCTATGAGAAAAGCACAGCATTAATTAACAAGTGATATGGCTATTTCTTTTTTTTCTTTTTGAGATGGAGTCTTGCTCTGTCACCCAGGCAAGTGTGCAGTGGCGCCATCTCAGCTTACTGCAACCTCCGCCTCCCAGGTTCAAGCGATTCTCCTGCCTCAGCCTCCCGAGTAGCTGGGATTACAGGCATACACCGCTATGCCCGGTTAATTTTTGTATTTTTAGTAGAGACAAGGTTTCACCATGTTGGCCAGGCTGGTCTCCAACTCTGGACCTCAAGCAATCTGCCCACCTCAGCCTCTCAAAGTACTGAGATTACAGGCGTGAGCCACTGCGTCTGGCTCTAATATGGCTATTTCTGTCTGTGCTGTAGGATTTACCGTTTTATTATATTTGATCTCTATCTTAAAGCAAAAAAAAGAGCACCTAATTTCTATCTCTTTGCTAGAAAAATTATTTCTAAGTAAAAAAACAAATCTACTGGACCACAGTCACATTGGACCCACTCCAAGGAGCCTACAATGACTTTCTAGACCTTTGCAAAGCGTTACAAAGCCAGTGTTCCTGAGTATAAATGGAGAAAAAAATTATGGTTCATGAGATGTTCAGAATCTCCAGAAAGTGCTAACTGCACTCGGAACACAGGAGCATCAGGTTCATCTTACAGAAGTGCTCTTCCTATAGTTATAGAAAAAGCTGTCTTTTGTTAGAAAAAATGCTGGCCTGATTTGAGAAAATTCTACTGGAAGTCTATTCTATCTCTTATGAATTTATCAAGAAGCAGCATGAAATTTAAAAACCAAAAACAACAGCAACAATGAGCAGAAAACCCTGTTTTTTTTTTTGAGACAGAGTTTCGCTCTTGCTGCCCAGGCTGGAGTGCAATGGCGCGATCTCGGCTCACCGCAACTTCCACCTCCCGGGTTCAAGCGATTCTCCTGCCTCAGCCTCCCGAGTAGCTGGGATTACAGGCATGTGCTACCATGCCTGGATAATTGTGTATTTTTAGTAAAGACAGGGTTTCTCCATGTTGGGCAGGCTGGTCTCGAGCTCCTGACCTTGAGTGATCTGCCCACCTTGGCCTCCCAAAGTGCTGGGATTACAGGCATGAGCCACCGTGCCCAGCCCCCTCTATTCTTATGAGTGTTAGCTGACACTTAAAAAAATTTTTTTATACTTTTTTTTTTTTTGAGACAGGGTTTGGCTCTGTTGCCCAGGCTAGAGTGCAGTGTCTCAATCTTAGCCCACTGCAACCTCTGCTTCCTGGGATCACATCATTCTCCCACCTCACCCTCCCACATAGCTGGGAAGACAGGTGGTACACCACCATGCCTGGCTAATTTTTTTGTAGAGAGATGAGGGATTTCACCATGTTGCTCTGGCTGGTCTCGAACTCCTGAGCTCAAGCAATCCACCTGCCTCAGCCTCCCAAAGTGTTGGGATTATAGGCACGAGCCACCGTGCCAGATCAGCTGATATTTATTTGTGCGAAGCAGAAAATCAAGAATGCCATTAACCCACTGCTCAAAGGCTTAAGTGAAGAAGAATGTCTACAAGTGTTCCCAGGTTAAGATTGTATTTAGGTGCTAATTAAAGAGAAATGAGAACCAACTCCACATTCTTTACCTCTTCTCCTGTGGCATCTAAGACACCATCTCCTCCTTGGGCCCTTTTCTCAATTTCCCTTGCTCTGAGCCCTTCCCTTGCAAACCCTATATCCGATAACAGTTCCGTGAATTGTCGTTTGAGGCTGGCCATTTCCTGAAAGAAGTGGAAAAACCTTTAAGCAAGGGCATCAGCATAACAAAGTGTTAAGTCTTACAAAAATGAGTGATTATAAAAATGCATTATTTCAGGGGGTAGCAATGAGGCTCAAGTGGATTCATTCCTCAGGTATGAAGAGGATCTTGTCTGGTCATTTCCAAGAAGCAGCTTTCACTTACGCAAACTGGCAGGCAAACTGAAACGGTTATGCAGAAATGCAAAAATTCAATAAATCCAAGGATCATTTATTTAACTCTAGATTACAATTTTAAACACTCTCATTGGATTTTGGGTAGGCCTGATTTTCCACGAAATTCTTAGGACAGCAAAAAATGCTGTTTGTTTTGACTGGAATTCCAACTCCAAGTGCTGCGGCACTGTCTACTACCTAGCTTTTCCTACTTGCATTTTTGCTCCTGTCCTCTCAGTTCCTTACTCAGGCCTAGAGTGGTTCGTGCTCTCAGTGGAACTCAGCAGAATGTTTCCTCTTTCTCCTTCATTATGGTCTTGCTGGCTCATCTCTTTTCCTAGGAATAGGGACATCATTAAGTGATTCAATATTTTTTTTTTTTTTGAGACAGAGTCTTGCTCTGTCATCCAGGCTGGAGTGCAGTGGCGCAATCTTGGCTTTCTGCAACCTCTGCCTCCTGGGTTCAAGTGATTCTCTTGCCTTAACCTCCCGAGTAGCTGGGGCTACAGGTGTGTGCCACCACGCCCAGCCAATTTTTGTATTTTTAGTAGAGACGGAGGTTTCACCATGTTGGCCAGGCTGCTCTCGAACTCCTGATCTCAGGTGATCCGCCCACCTTGGCCTCCCAAAGCGCTGAGATTACAGGCATGAGCCACCACGCCCGGCCATGGTTTAAGATTGAGATGCTCCTTTTAGTGGCTGAGCACAAATGTGAGAAAGAAAGCACAAACTTCTTTTTCTTGTGGCTACTGTTCTCACATAGGCTGCACATCAGACAAAGAGAAGGAAATAATAATCATTCAAGGAACTGAAAGCTAAGCAACACTACCCTGTCTCTCAATGATGGTTTAAGTATTTTCTTGGAATGTCTCAAGTATACATGGATAACTAGAATATAATTAGGAGTTAAATATACCGCAGTTTCTATTTCATGACAAAGTTTTAATTGAAATCTTAATAAAAACAATCCTACAATCTAAGTTGAAGTTTAGTGAAAAGATGCAACTCTTGTTTGATGGACCTCATAAGTCACAGCAAAATCTACACATATCCTAATGAAAAAAAAATTTAGTAGGAAATGTAATTTAAAAGAAATATCCTCATCTTATATTTAAGCATCTTAATGACTTGAGAAAATATTTCTTATTGCCCTGTACATATAAACACAGCCCCCCACCCACTTTTGATTAGTGATTCTCAGCCTCCAAAGTAGCTGGGACCACAGGCGTGCACCATCACGCCTGGCTAATTTTTATATTTTTTTGTAGAGATGGGGTTTCGCCATGTTGCCCGGGCTGGTCTCGAACTCCTGGGCTCAAAGGTTCTGCCTGCCTTGGCTTCCCAAAGTGCTGGGATTATAGGCATGAGCCACTGCGCAGGGTCCCAAAATCTTTGAGTAAAACATGCTTTGCAAAGATGCGTGCCATCATTATTTTGGCTTCTCATACCACTTTGGAATTTATTTATTTATTTATTTATTTTTTGAGACAAAGTCTCCCTCTGTTGCCCAGGCTGGAGTGCAATGGCACAATCTCAACTCACTGAAACCTTCATCTCCTGGGTTCAAGCGATTCTCATGCCTCAGCCTCCCGAGTAGCTGGGATTACAGGTATGAGCCACCATGCCCAGCTAATTTTTTGTATTTTTAATAGAGATGGAGTTTTGCTATGTTGGCCAGGCTGGTCTTGAACTCCTGGCCTCAAGTGATCTGCCTCCCTCGGCCTTCCAAAGTGCTGGGATTACAGGTGTGAGCCATAGTCCCTGGCCTCATCACTTTGGAAGGGCACCTAAAACACTGTTGCAACAGGAGACAGAAGCCCTGTCTACATTATACAGAAGATAAGACATTTTTTATTTTTATTTTTTGAGGCAGGATCTCCCTCTGTTGGCCTAGGCTGGAGTACAGTAGGGCATTCATGGCTCACTGCAGTCTTGACCTCCCAGGCTCAAGTGATCCTCCCACCTCAGCCTCTGGAGTAGATGGGATTACAGGCCCATGTCACTAGGTCTGGCTGATTTTTGTATTTTTTGTAGAGATGGGGTTTTGCCATGTTTCCGAGGATGGTCTCAAATTCCTGGGCTCAAGCAATCGTCAGCCTCTCAAAGTGCTGGGATTACAGGTATGAGCCACCAAGCCCGGCTAAACATTTTCTTGTATACTCATTATATTCACATAGTAGGTTCTGATAGATGTAAGAAAAATTAACAAAATCTGGTTCAGTATTAGTTCTTTGGTTTTGGGGAGAGGGGAAGGGGATTAGAGATGGCCATGGACCCCTCTGAAAAGCTGATGAAAGCTATGGTCCGCCTCTCCAGAATAATGCACATATGTATAAGCATACAATTTTGTATACAATTTCAGGGGCTTAGGGATTCAGGTTAAGAATGCCTGGTGTAGCCCGGTGTGGTGTCTCACACCTGTAATCCCAGCACTTTGGGTGGCCAAGGTGGGCGGATCATGAGGTCAGGAGTTCCAGAGCAGCCTGGCCAGCATGGTGAAACCCCATCTCTACTAAAAATACAAAAAAATTAGCTGAGCATGGTGGCATGTGCCTGTCGTCCCAGCTACTCAGGTGTCTGAGGCAGGAGAATCACTTGACCCTGGGAGGCGGAGGATGCAAGTGAGCCGAGATCGCACCACTGCATTCCAGCCTGGGAGACAGAATGAGACTCTGTCACAAACAAACAAGCAAACAAACAAACAAACAAATGAAAAAGAATCCCTGGTGTAATTACTGAAAAAACTGACTTCCAGTAAGCAGCAATCTTACTGCCTATATTCTACCCTATCTTCCGCATAAGTAAACAAAAATTCACCACAAAGAGGAAAAGGAGGTCAGTGGAAAGGTTCAGCACAGAAAGCCTGATGCCACAGTGCGGGAGTCCATTTTACACGGCTGGTAAGGCCAAACATATTCCAGAAATAACATTTGCAATGTTAAGACAGGACACATGAGACAAAGTCGCAGCACCCTCTGGTGAGCTACTCTAATAAAAAAATGAAGAAAAAGCCACAGACACAACTCACCTGCAGAACTCTTCCAGACAAGAAGTTTTGTCTGCAGTAATTATAACTTGCACGCACGCCTTCTTTTGTACTTAGCTGCCATCCCTAAATTTTGGAGAAAATCAAACTGAACTTACTCAGTCTTCAGTGCCAACACTGGTAATAAAACTAAGCTATTAGGTTATATACTTACCTTATACGCTTGTAGAAGGGCCAGATAATCACTGTTTGCGAATGCAAATTCCAGCTTTTTCTGGTTAGCTTCTTCTTTTTTATCCCAGGGAGATACCTAAAGGAGAGAGGAAAATCAGATTTAAAGAACACTTTTTTTTTTTCAAAGACAGGGTCTTGTTCTGTTGCCCAGGCTGGAGTGCAGTGGTGCGATCATAGCCCACTGCAACCTTTATCTCCCAGGCTTAAGCAATCCTCCTGCCTCAGCCTCCCTGGTAGCTGGGACTATAGGTGTGCCCCATCAGGCCAGCTAATTTTTTAAAATTTTCGGTAGAGACGGAGTCTCACCATGTTGTGCAGGCTGGTCTTGAACTCCTGGGCTCAGGCAATTGGCCCACCTCGGCCTACCAAAATGCTGGCATTATAGGCATGAGCCACCACACCAGGTCCTACAGGACACTTTTTATCTGAGGTTTCAAATGGCATTTTCCCATTGCTAAAGCCAGATGCCTTGGGAAAGGATTTTGTGTGGAAAAAGTGTAATCAGTGGGTCAGCTAATGAAAGGCAATTATGACGGTAAATGGCAAGCTCACAGTCTTTGCTCTGTCAAGTCTGCCTGCCCACCCAAAATAAGCTCTTCTGGGTCTTTTAGTTCCAAGTGGCAAGAGTCATCAAAGAGCCACTCATTCTAAAGCTATATCTAAAACCTAACATTCTGTTATCTGGGTTCTTTATTTTACAGATTCTTATTCGTCTTCTACGTTTGAGTCTCCCTTGCTTCTATACCCATAACTAGTGTTTTACTCTTATTTATTGTTTTACTTGAAAATCTACACTGGGAAGAATCCTCTTATTTTATTACAAATGTTTACAAGTCTTCCTTTTCCCTACAAATGTGTAAAATCAGCAGGGAAGTTAATTTTCACCACTTTACACATACCGATTCATTAATCCAATAATAATATTTCTCTACCTTCTCAGGCTCTAAAGGTATCAGCATGAGCTGCAGTAGTTTCTCATGGCAATCTAAACCAATGCCCTAGTTGCAACACCACTGAAAATCATTCTAAACCAACCATAGTGCTTCTCTCTAATTTTTGTATATTTAAATAATCTTATAACTAATACAATAGCAATAAAATTTTAATTTCTACTTGAAAGTAAAATTCCTTCCTTTTTAGACAGGCCAGTGGGAAAAGGATTGCACGTGGGAGATTAATATTATGTTTACAGAGTCCAGCAAAGGGCAGGTGCTCAGTTTTGGCCAAGGATGACATCAATATTTCTTTTCTCTCTCTCTTTTTTTTTTTTCTTCAGATCACTAAACGAAGGCAGACATCAACATTTCTGGATTCAGGGTCCAGAGTGCTCACCATTACACCATGGAACCTCAAACCAGACATCAACGTCTCTAATGAGTCTTTCTTTATTCCAATAAAAGAAAATGGTCAGTGAGAGGTTGGTTTAGATGATTTGGGAAAAGGTAATAGAAGTCCTGTTCACAAGGTTGATACTGTGTACCCCCAGCAAGTTATGTCACCTCTTCTGGTCCTTGGTTTTATCATTTCTTTTTTTCTTTTTTTAAAGAGTAGTCAAGTCCCAACAATCAATTGAGATAACTCACTACCACTGGACCAGCTGGTTTATAATTTGTTGTTAAGTCAGGGAGCTGGACTAAGATATTTTTGCAGATCTGTGAGTTTATAATTCGATGACATATAACATTAAAACTGAAGAAACTGAATACATCCATTTATTCTCCGAACTATATAAAATAAGCCATGATAAAAATAAAGGCAGATTGCTTATCATGAAAGGACCAGTAAAAAAAGATTTTTTTTAATGAAGGAAAAAAAAAAAAAAGGCAGACTGACACTCTACCCAACAGCAAAAAATCCTTTCTTCTCAAGTATACGTGGAACACCCTCCAGGACAGACCATATGCTTGACCATAAAACAAAGCTCAATACATTTTAAAGAGGATTGAAATAATACAAATATGTTCTCTGTTCACAGTAGACTGAAATTAGAAATAATGAAAAAAAAATTGCGAACTCACAAATATATAGAAATTAAACAACCCATGCCTAAATAATCAAAGGGTCACAGGAGAATAAAAAGGAAAATCAGAAAATACTTCCAGATGAATGAAAAGGAAAACCAAAATGTGTGGGATGCAGCTAAAATAGTCCTTAGAGAAAAACTGAGAGCTATACATGCTTATATAAAAAAGAAAGATCTCAAAACAAGAAACTAAACTTCTACTTTAAGACACTAGAAAAAGAAGAGCCACCTAAACCTTAAGTAAACAGAAGGAAGGAAAGAATAAAGAGCAGACAGTAAAGAAATAAAGAACGGAAAAACAATTGAAAAAAATTAATAAAACTGCCAGGCATGGTGGCTCACACCTGCAATCCCAGCACTTTGGGAGGCTGAGGCAGGCAGATCACAAGGTCAGGAGTTAGAGATCAGCCTGACTAACATGGTGAAACCCCGTCTCTATAAAAATACAAAAATTAGCTGGGCATGGTGGCACACACCTGTAATCCCAGCTACTCGGGAGGCTGAGGCAGGAGAATCGCTTGAACCTGGAAGTCGGAGGTTGCAGTGAGCCAAGACTGCACCATTGCACTCCAGCCTGGGCAACAGAGCGAGACCCCATCTCAAAAACAAAAAATAAAACCAAAAGTTGATTCTCTGAAAAGACAAAGAAAATTGACAAATCTTTAGCTAGACTGACCAAGAAAAAGAGAGGGAAAGCTCAAGTTACTAGAATCAGAAAAAGGGACATTATTACTAGCCTTACAGAAATAAAAAGGATTATAAAGGGACATTATGAATAATTATATGCCAATAAATTAGATAAGTTAGACAAAATAAAATTCCTAGAAAAAAATAAACTATCACAACTGACTCAAAATGAAATAGACAATCTGAAAAGTCCTAGAACTAATGAAGAGATTGAATTAATAATAAAACAACTACCCACCAACACTCCTGCTCCACCACCCCCCGGCCCAGGTGGCTTTATACCACTGAATTCTACTAAACATTTAATGATAATTTTTTTTTTTGAGACGGAATTTCGCTCTTGTTGCCCAGGCTGGAGTGCAATGGCGCGACTGGCTCATTGCAACCTCTGCCTCCCAGGTTCAAGTGATTCTCCTGCCTCAGCCTCCCGAGTAGCTGAGATTATAGGCATGCACCACCATCCCAGCTAATTTTGTATTTTTAGTAGAGACGGGGTTTCTCCATGTTGGTCAGGCTGGTCTCAAACTCCTGACTTCAGGTGATCCACCTGCCTCGGCCTCCCAAAGAGCTGGGATTACAGGCGTGAGCCACCACGCCAGGCCCTAAAGAAGAATTAATATTAGTTGTTTTTTTTTTTAGACGGAGCCTTGCTCTGTCGCCAGGCTGGAATGTGGTGGCGCGATCTCGGCTCAGCAACCTCCGCCTCCCAGGTTCAAGCGATTCTCCTGCATTAGCCTCCCAAGTAGTTGGGACTACATGTGCACATCACCACGCCTGGCTAATTTTTTGTATTTTTAATAGAGACAGGGTTTCACCATGTTGGCCAAGCTGGTCTCGAACTCCTGACCTCAAATGATCTGCCCGCCTCCGCCTCCCAAAGTGCGGGGATTACAGGCATAAGCCACCGCGCTTGGCCTGGATTACTTTTAATAAGTTATATCTCTAGTTCTCAGTCTTTAATTGGAGGGTGGATCTCTTTGAGGATTGGATGACATTGCTCCCTAAAAAATCCTTTTGTTTGTTTTATTTGTTTTTGTCTTTTCAGAAATTTATTTTTGACCTTCTCCCTCCCATGCAGATGTGCCCTAAAAATTCACAGCTAACATACAAGCAAATTTTTAGGGGGCTCACATGCCCTTGATTTCCCCCATGGTCCCCTTAGAGACCTATGGTCCTCTTAGAGACTCCAGTTTAGATGAATGTTGTTTACTTACAAACGGAGACTTAAAAGCCAAACTGGCAGCAATGGTGAGAGCAGGATCC
This sequence comes from Homo sapiens, assembly GCF_000001405.40. NCBI lineage: Eukaryota > Metazoa > Chordata > Mammalia > Primates > Hominidae > Homo > Homo sapiens. Next base: position 38,823,042 of record NC_000002.12, read on the forward strand.
AAACAGCGGAAGATAGACCCAAACAACATTAGTTTGCCAATTCTCACATCCACGGGCAGAGAGGCCAAATGATACCCAAGAGGGGTCAATCTTTCATCTGGAGTTAATGCTCCTAAGTCTCGTAATCGTATTTTTGAGGCACGAAGAGAATCGGTGTGTGGAGGTTCAATGAGCCGAGAGAACACAGACTGGAGATTATGAGCACTAAACATCTCTAAAATTTTAATTCTGAAAAGGAAACAAAATAATAATTTGTCAATTTTATTTCTGGTGGGATGACACAGAGGAATAATTTCTTTTGTGAGTGATAATAATTTACAAGTTTAAATAAAAAATTTTAAAATCTCATGTTTTCTACTTCTACCAATAAACCACAAAAACACTTTCAGATTCTGAAACTTATTCATATTCAGAACAAAATTCTCTCTATAAACTTTCAAAATGCTTCTTTCCATAACAGTGGGATCAAATTATGAAACAGAGTTCATGACAAAAGATAATAAGTGTTGGCAAGGATGTGGAGAACTTGGAACCCTGCACGTTGTTGGTGGGAATGTAAAATGATGCAGCCACTATGAAAAACAGGATAGAGATTCCTCAAAAAACTAAAAATAGAACTACCATATGATCCAGCAACCCCACTTCTAAGTATACATCCAAAAGAATTGAAGTCAGAATCTTGCAGAGAGGCCACGCGCAGTGGCTCACGTCTGTAATCCTAGCACTTTGGGAGGCCGAGGTAGGTGGATCATTTGAGGTCAGGAGTTCGAGACCAGCCTGGCCAACATGGTGAAACCCAGTCTCTACTAAAAATACAAAAATTAGCCAGGCATGGTGATGTGCACATGTAATCCCAGCTACTTGGGAGGCTGAGGCAGGAGAATCACTTGAACCCGGAGGTGGAGGTTGCAGTGAGCCAAGATCATGCCACTGCACTCTAGCCTGGGTGACTGAGCAAGACTCTGTTTCCACAAAAAAAAAAAAGAATCTTGCAGAACAGAGATACTTGCACTCCTGTGTTCACTGTAATATTATTCACAATACCCAAGATGTGGAAACAACCTAAAAGTTCATTACAGATGAGTGGATAAAGAAAGTGCAGTATATATACATACAGTGGAATACTACTCAGGCTTAAAAAAGAAAGAAATTCTGCAATATGCAACAGTATGGATGAAACCTTGAGGACATTATGTTAAGTGAAATAAGCCAGTCACAAAAAGACAAATGCTGGATGGTTCTACTTGTATGAGGTATCTAAAATAGTCAAACTCACAGAAGCAGAGTGGAATGGTTGCCAGGGGCTGGACATGAGGGGAAAATGGAGAGTTGCAGTCCAATAGGTATAAAGTTTCAGTTTTGCAAAATGAGTAAGTTCGAGAGCTCTGCTGTACAACATTATGCCTATAGTTAACGGTACTGTGTTGTAAAATTAAACATTTGCTAAGAGGGTAGATCTCATATTAAGTATTCTTACCATAATAAAAACTGGACATGATTAACTTAGATAGTTCTGACTGCTATACAATTAAAGGTATTTATGAAAAAGGTTTAAACGATCCACTTATTCCTTCTCACATCTGAAGTTGCAGTCATTATTTATATATTTTTATTTTTTGGGGGGGTATAGAGTTTCATTCTTATTGCCCAGGCTGGAGTGCAATGGTATGATCTTGGCTCACTGCAACCTCCACCTCCCGGGTTCAAGTGATTCTCCTGCTTCAGCCTCCTAAGAAACTGGGATTACAGGCGTGCGCCACTATACCTGGCTAATTTTATATTTTTTTAGTAGAGATGGGGTTTCACCATGTTGTCCAGGCTGGTCTTGAACTCTTGACCTCAGGTGATCTGCCTGCCCCAGCCTCCCAAAGTGCTGGGATTACAGGCATGAGCCACCACACCCAGCCCAAAGCTGCAGTCATTGTTTATAAAATTAATCTGCATTGTGTCCTGCCTTGTGATAGCTCTTCAAAAACTAGTGTTTTAAATTATGAACTTCATTCAGAAAAAGAGTTCTCATTTTAAAAAAAAACAAATTATGAATATCGGCAACTTAGAGAAAAGTGCAACATAAACAAAAAATTTTATTTACTTCACATACAGCTCCTTTTTAAGTTGCCAATCTATATACACACAATTTTACATTTTTATTAACATGTATATTTTTGGTACCTAGCCTTTTCTCACTTAATGTAGTTCACTTTAAGACGTGAATTGACAGTAATCCACTTACTTAAATTTCATTTTTATTTTATTCATTTATTTAATTTTTATTTTTTGAGATGGAGTCTCACTCTGTTGCCCAGGCTGGAGTGCAGTGGCACGATCTCAGCTCACTGCAACCTCTGCCTCCTGGGTTCAAGAGATTCTCCTTCCTCAGCCTCCCAAGTAGCTGGGATTACAGGTGTGTGCTATCACACACAGATAATTTTTGTATTTTTAGTAGAGATGGAGTTTTGCTATGTTGGCCAAGCTGGTCTCGAACTCCTGACCTCAGGTGATCCACCTGCCTCAGTCTCCCAAAGTGCTGGGATTATAAGCATGAGCCTCCATGCCCGGCCCTACATATGTACTCTTAAGCTCTGTTTTAGGGCCATGCTCTGCAATGTAAGAGATCTTTATGTGCAGAAATTTAAAAGGAATGGTAAAGGCAACACTAAGGATATCTTTCTTCACAAATAAATGAGATTATTGGTGGTCATTCTTAGCCAAATATCTTCTAGAAGTAAAAGGAAAACATGGAACTTAATAGAGTGAGAAACATTTAGACCTTTTGGAAGCAAAACACAAAAAACCAGATGTCACCTTAGACACAGCTGTTCCAATGGCACTCTTTGTATTTCTGGTAGCTGTTGTTTTAAAAGCTGGTGATTGTAGTGATGGCTAGTGAATAAATGGAAGCAGACCCCAGATGCAACACGGCCTGCTCGGCCTTTCCTTTGTAGAGCATTAGCTTGAGATACAAAGGTGTCCTCTAGACTTTCCATCCCTTTGCTGGCATCATATCTATAAAGAAAAAGAAAATATAAATTGAGTCATTTTATAAAAACATGGCCAAGACTGCTTGCTATGGACAGAATAGATGAACCAGCTTCCTCCTGTAGAGGGACACAGTGCCCTGTATATTCTGGGATAGTTGAGCCCCTGGTAGGAGCAGCTAGTGCTGATTTAAGTGGCATCAAGTGCAGAGTTTCCCAAACTACACAGTTTCTTTATTCAACCCCTTTTCATACAAGCACATATAAAATCACATGACAAAAAGAGAGAAAAAGCAATTCATTACTTTTCATCCCCATTTGATGTTAAGGTCCATGGTCCTGGCTACACAATCATTCACACATCCACGTACAGTTTTCACAAAGTATTTTTTCATACAGTAATCCGTGTAGCTTAATAGCATTAGCCACTAACAACGGTGTCTCCCTAAATGAAGCATTTTTAGCCCCTCTCTTACATCACCACAAGACGGAATACCTCTTTTCTTTCATTTTCCCAGAATCGATAACATAGACAACATCATCGATGGTTATGGATGTCTCAGCAATGTTGGTGGAAATTATAATCTTAGTTACTCCTGCAGGAGGTTTTACAAACACAGCCTGCTGCTCTTCACTGGATAAAGATGAATGAAGTGGGTGAATAACACATCTGGAAGGAAATAAAAGCACATGAAGTATTCTAGCACCTAGCACCGAAACTAGATTACAGTAGGTGAATTTCTACTAAAACCAACAATATGACTTCAGGTATTAGCAACTTCTCCACAACCTGTCCTCAGAGCTCAGCTCTTCTACATAGTAAAGTCTTGGCCGGGTACGGTGGCTCACACCTGTAATCCCAGCACTTTGGAAGGCTGAGGCAGGCGGATCACCCGAGGTCAGGAGTTTGAGATCAGCCTAGCCAACATGGTGAAACCTCGTCTCTACTAAAAATACAAAAATTAACCAGGTGTGTTGGTGGGCACCTGTAATCCCAGTTACTCGGGAAGCTGAGGCAGGTGAATCACTTGAGCCCAGGATGCAGAGGTTGCAGTGAGCTGACATCCTGCCATTGCACTTCAGCTTGGGCGACAATAGTGAGACTCCGTCTCGAAAAATAAAATAAAATAAAATAAAATAAAAGGTAAAGTCCTTTCTGATTTTTACAAAATATTTACTTAGTTCTAGGAACCAAAAACCTCATACCAACTTGGGAAAAATGTTGGAGTGTAATTCAGTAGTAAATAATGAAGAGGAATAAATAATTGATATTCTACAACCAACAAGCCTAGTGCAAACTAACCAGCAAAGAATTATTCTTCCTTTAAATACAAGATGAGCCTGTAACCCCAGCTACTTGTGAGGCTGAGGCAGAAGAATCACTTGAACCTGGGAGGCGGAGGTTGCAGTGAGCCGAGATCACGCCACTGCACTCCAGCCTGGGCCACAGAGCGAGACTCTGTCTCAAAAAAAAAAAAAAAAAAAAATATATATATATATATATATATATATATACACACATACATATATATACACATACACACACACACACATACATACACACACACAGAGAAGACAGGCAATGACAATGATGTAACCTCAGAAACTTCATTCTTACATTTTAAGGGAGTGTTCGTTTGTCAAATAGTTTTCCCCTTAAAAATGAAGACACACCCAGTGTGTCTTGCTCCTGGAATAGGAACTATTGAAGATGATTTTCTCTCATAATGGTAGGACTTCTTTGTTGTTACTAATGCTGCCTTTCCCCCACCTTCCCCCACTATCTGGGGCTCTGACATCTAAAATTACATGCAAATTTGCTGAGTCACTATGCTAAGTGAAGAGAATTTTTTTGAAACGGAGTTTCACTCTTGTTGCCCGGGCTGGAGCGCAATGGTGTGATCTCAGCTCACCAAAACCTCTGCCTCCCGGGTTCAAGCTATTCTCCTGCCTCAGCCTCTTGAGTAGCTGGGTTTATAGGTGCCGGCCACCACACCCAGCTAATTTTGTATTTTTAGTAGAGATGAGGTTTCTCCACGTTGGTCAGGCTGGTCTCCAACTCCTGACCTCAGGTGATCCGCCCGCCTCGGCCTCCCAAAGAGCTGGGATTACAGGCATGAGCCACTGAGCCTGGCCAATATTTTTCTTTAATAAAAAGGGAATAACTGATTTCCTGCAGCAAATAGGTTTGCTCATTTCCAGCTGGCATAAACAAATGTATGCTCGAAGACTGGTGCTCTTCCAGGGTCTAAAGAGGGTGATGATATCTTTAGAGGTAACTGCAATGGATGATTAAGAATATAGAAAGCAATTAGCTTACCGATTACTACGTCTGTTGTTGAAAAGAGAATTAGACTGTAGCTGTTCATAAAGCATTTTGATTTCTGCTAGTCCTGGTAAAAATACAAGTATAGCACCTGGGTATATAAAAAGAATCAATATGTGGGTAAGCATAGGCACAGAAAAGAAACAAGAAAAATTTTTTTAAAAAAGAATATGATAAATGAAGTAAATGAAAAACTAATATAGATTATAAAGCTGTTTTTAACCAAAATATGCAATAATCTGAGAATTTCGCCTGTGGTCTCAGCTACTCGGCAGGCTGAGGTAGGAGGGTTGCTTGAGCCAGGGAGGCGGAGTTTGCGGTAAGCCAAGATTGTGCCACTGCACTCTAGCCTGGGCAACAGAGCAAGACCCTTTCTCAAAAAAAAAAAAAAAGAGAAATTTTCACTATCAGTTTTATTTTCTTTGTAAAGTCCCAGAGGATTTAAACAAATAAATAACTACATGTTTTATATATTCTCTGACTTAATAAGGACAAAATGGAGATTTATCTTTCTATAACCAGAAAAACTGAGGTGTGGAAAAGTATAATGTCTGTCGGTATAATGCCAAGAATTATTAGCTAAGCTCTTTTTTTATTTTAATTTTTATTTTTTGAGACAAGGCCTTGCTCTGTCACCCAGGCTGAAGTGCAGTTGCGCGATCACGGCTCACTGCAGCCTCAACCTCCCCAGGCTCAGGTGATTTTCCTACCTTAGCCTCCTGAGTAGTTGGGACTACAGGTACATGCCATCACGCCCGGCTAATTTTTTATATTTTTAGCAGAGATGGGGTTTCGCCATGTTGCCCAGGCTGGTCTCAAACTCCTGGACTCAAGTGATCCACCCGCCTCAGCCTACCAAAATGCTGGGATTACAGGCATGAGCCACTGTGCCTGGCCTAGCTAAGCTCTATAAATAAACTTTTTCAGTACACTGGCTATTTTTTTTTTTTTTTGGAGACAGTGTCTTGCTCTGTTGCCCAGGCTGAAGTGCAATGATGTGATCTCAGCTCACTGCAACCTCCACCTCCTGGGTTCAATTGATTCTCCCGCCTCATCCTCCTGAGTAGCTGGGATTACAGGCACACGCCAGCTAATTTTTGTAGTTTTAGTAGAGACAGGTTTCACCATGTTGGTCAGGCTGGTCTCGAACTCCTGACCTCGTGATCTGCCCGCCTTGGCCTCCAAAAGTGCTGGGATTACAGGCATGAGCCACTGCGCTTGGCCCCACTGGCAACTTTCTATTTTTTTATTTTTTTAGAGATGAGGTCTCACTATACTGCCAAGGATGGTCTTGAACTCTTGAGCCCAAGCAATCTTTCTGCTTTAGCCTCCCGAGTAGTTGGGACTACAGGCATGCACCACCACACCTGACCTTGACATTCTATTTCTATAGGAAGAGTTATTCTCCTAACCTTATAAGACAGGAAGACAATTTTATTAATAAATAAAATCCATAAACATTTTACTGGAAATGAGAAAAAGAAACTATAATTGACTGGCCAATCTGGTAATCTAAATTCAGATATATTTTAGAGACAGCCCATTAACTAATCATATCATGTTAACAGTTTATGGGCTTTTAAATTTTACATTAAATAAAATAAGCATGAAAACTGATTATAGTATATTTCTGCGTGAAGAGCAGTCACTCAGCAATAGTCACCTTCTTTTGTGCTTTATTCAGGGAGAAAAATGGTACTGTTTTCACCAGCCCCCCTTTAATCCCACAAATATTTATTGGGTGCCTATGTCAGCTCCATGTGAAGTGCAATGGGATATAAAACAAGCATCTGTCAGCAGAGAACTCATGACCTATTATTCAGTCATAGTTATCCTTCCCACTAAATAAATGAGGAATCTGAATTACCACAAAACTGGAACTCTGATGAAGGCTGAAAGAGATCTTATAGCATTTTAAAAAATACCTCACAGTAACAAAGAATGTTCACATATATTATCCCATTTAATCCTCATAGCCATCCATTGAGAAGGTTATTAGTGGCCAGGCATGGTGGCTCAGGCCTGTAATCCCAGCACTTTAGGAGGCTGAGGTGGGTGGATCACCTGAGGTCAAGAGTTCAAGACTAGCCTGACCAACATGGTGAAACCCCATCTCTACTAAAAATACAAAAATTAGCCTGGCATGGTGGTGCATGCCTGTAATCCCAGCTACTTGGGAGGCTGGAGGCACGAGAATCACTTGAACCCAGGAAGTGGAGGTTGCAGTGAGCCGAGACCATGCCATTGCACTTCACCCTGGGCCACAGAGTGAGACTCCGTCTCAATAAAAAAAAAAAAAAGAAGGCTACTAGTACCCCTACTAGTGACTCAGTAACTTCAGACTCAGGTCACAGAGTTAGTAAGCATGGAGCTTGGACACAAACCTAGGGTTTCTGGCATCAGATCCATGTTCTTTCCATTACATACCCCATGATCCTCTGCTAAAATGCCACAAAATTTTATTGAGGTCAGGTGTGGTGGTTCATGCCTGTAATTACAGCACTTTGAGAGGCTGAAGTGGGAAGACTGCTTGAGCCTAGGAGTTTGAAACCAGTCTGGGCAACACAAGGGAGACACCATCTCTACAAAAAATTAAAAATTTAGTAGGGCTCGAGAGGCTGAGGGAGGTTGTAGGATTGCTTAAGCCAGGAAGTTGGGGCTGCAGTGACCCGTGATCATGCCACTGCACTCTAGCCTGAGTGACAAAGTGAAACTCTGTCTCAAAAAGAAAAATTAAAAAAATTATTTATTAAAAGATAAGCAAAAAGAAAAATACAAAGGAAAAAAAAAGCCACAACATTAAACAACGATGAAACATACTATTATATATGGATTGAAAAAATTTTTGTCTATATTTTTATGTGCCTCATCTGTCTGGGATATCTTTAATGTTCACAGATATGTCACATATGTCACTGACTTCCTAGTCACTATATCAACTCTGCTTTAAATTTAGGTAATTTTCTTTCTTTATTTCTTTTTTTTTTTTTTTTGAGACGAAGTCTCGCTCTTGTCCCCCAGGCTGCCAGGCTGGAGTGCAATGGAGGGATTTTGGCTTGCTGCAACCTCTGCCTCCTGGGTTCAAGCGATTCTCCTGCCTCAGCCTCCCGACTAGCTGGGATTACAAAATTTAGGTAATTTTCTAACATTTCTTCTTCATTTCTGATTTTTTTGCTATGCTTGATTTTTTTCAGTAATAGTCTTCTCCTTTGGAATGAAATGACATAGGCTGGGCATGGTGGCTCACGCCTGTAATCCCAGCACTTTGGGAGGCCAAAGCGGGCGGATCACCTGAGGTCAGGAGTTCCAGACCAGCCTGGTCAACATAGTGAAACCCTGTCTCTACTAAAAAAACAAAAAAATTAGCCGGGCATGGTGGCGTGCACCTGTAATCCCAGCTACTCGGGAGGCTGAGGCAGGAGAATCACTTGAACCCGGGAGGCGGAGGTTGCAGTGAGCTGAGATCACACCATCGCACTCCAGAGTGAGACTTCATCTCAAAAAAAAAAAAAAAATTACAAAAATTAGCTGGGGGACATGGTGGTGCACACCTGTAGTCCCAGTTACTCAGGAGGCTGAGATAGGAGAATTGCTTCAACCTGGGAGGCAGAGGTTGCAGTGAGCTGAGATCCCACCACTGCACTCCAGCCTGGGCGACAGAGCAAGACTGTCACACACACACGAAAAAGAAACAAGATATACAGTCCAGTGAAGTGATACTGTATTAGCCAACACTCACTACTTGCCAAGTAAAAATAAGGCATTTAAATAATTTTATATGGCTCACAAGTCTCTTTAGACAACCACACAGCGGGCCGGGTGCAGTGGCTCACGCCTGTAGTCCCAGCACTATGGGAGGCCAACACGGGCAGATCATCTGAGTCAGGAATTCAATACCAGCTTGGCCAACACTGTGAAACCCCGTCTCTACTAAAAATACAAAAATTAGCTGGGTGTGGTGGCACATGCCTGTAGTCCCAGCTACACGGGAGGCTGAGGCAGGACAATTGCTTGAACCCAGGAGGCGGAAGTTGCAGAGCCGAGATTGCGCCACTGCACCTCCATTGCCTGGGTGACAGAGACTCTGTCTCAAAAAAAAGAAAAGAAAACCACATAATGATTAAAGTGTAAGCAGAAGAGAGCAGCCATTCTCATTTCTCTTAAGTTCTTTATGATCACATAGATTAATATATATATATATATATATTTTTTTTTTTAGAGACAGAGTCTTGCTCTGTTACCCAGGTTGGAGTGAAGTGGCGCAATCTTGGTTCACTGCAATCTCCACATCCTGGGTTCAAGCAACTCTCCTGCCTCAGCCTCCCAAGTAGCTGGGATTACAGGTGCCCATCACCATGTCTGGCTAATTTTTAGTAGAGATGGGGTTTTGCCATGTTGGCTAGGCTGGTCTCGAACTCCTGACTTTAGGTGATCCACCCACCTCGGCCTCCCAAAGTGCTGGCATTTCAGGCATGAGCTACCATGCCCAACCAACATAAAGTAATTTTTTGATCTATTATTCCATTTAATCATTACATTCATTTATTCATGCAACAAATATTTACTCGGTACCTAAATGCTGTAGGCACTGTTCTAGGGTCTGAGAAATACAGTGGTGAACAAGAAATGTCTATTCTTTTTTTTTTTTTTTTTTTTTCTGAGACGGAGTTTTGCTGTTGTTGCTTGGTGGTGAGCCACTGTGCCTGGCCGAAATCTCTACTCTTAAGGAGCTTATATCCTACTGAAGTATGCAAAACTCCAATTTCAGACAGTGTTAAGTGCTACAATGAAAATGAATTCTTTTATTTTTTTTTGAGGTGGAGTCTTGCTCTTGTAGCCCAGGCTGGAGTGCGGTGGCGCGATCTTGGCTCACTGCAACCTCCGCCTCCTGGGTTCAAGAGATTCTCCTGCCTCAGCCTCCTGTGTAGCTGGGATTACAGGTACCCGCCACCATGCCCAGCTAATTTTTGTATTTTTAGTAGAGATGGTGTTTCTCCATGTTGGCCAGGCTGGTCTCGAACTCCTGACCTCAGGTGATCCGCCTGCCTCGGCCTCCCAAAGTGCTGGGACTACAGGTGTGAGCCACAGCACCCGGCCTATTTTTAGATATTAGGATAGAGTAAGGGGATTGGGGCAAGACAACAGATAGGGTGGTCTGTAGAGGTAAATTGAGGAGAAACCTGAAGAAAATAAAGGATTTAGTTAAGAGAAGATTTGGAGTATTCATTCTAGGGATAAGGGACTGCAAGTGAGGTTAAGAAGGCTACCGGGATGGGAAGACAGTGAGTAAAGTAGTGATTGCTCTGTGTTTAGTACAGTAGTAGTAATAGTGTTTAACTATAATAAGTGTTCAGTTGATCCTTGAACAACATAGGTTTGCACTGCATGGGTCTACTCATTGGCAATTTTCTTTCAATGAATATATTGGAAAATTTTTGGAGATTTGTGACAATTTGAAAAAAACTAGCACACAAACTGCATAGCCTAGAAATATGAAAAAAAATTAAGAAAGAGATATGTCATGAATGCATAAGACATATATAGATACTAGCCTATTTTATTATTTATATCATAAAATACACACAAACCTATTATAAAAGGTTAAAATAATCAAAACTCACACACACATACTTATGGACCATACCTGGCGCCATTTGCATCTAGAGAAATGTGAACAAATGTAAAAATGCAGTATTAAATCAGGCCGGGCATGGTGGCTCATGCCTGTAATCCCAGCACTTTGGGAGGCTGAGGTGGGTAGATCACCTGAGGTTGGGAGTTCGAGACCAGCCTGACCAACACGGTGAAACTCCATCTCTACTAAAAAAATACAAAATTAGCCGGGTGTGGTGGCGCATGCCTGTAATCCCAGCTACTTGGGAGGCTGAGGCAGGAGAATTGCTTGAACCTGGGAAGCGGAGGTTGCGGTGAGCCGAGATCACACCATTGCACTCCAGCCTGGTCAACAAGAGCAAAACTCCATCTCAAAAAAAAAAAAAAAAAAAAGTGGTATTAAATCAAAACTGCATACAATGAACTATATAATACAGTATACTACTGTAATAACTTTATTTAAAAAATGATTTTGTAGCCACCTCCTGTTGCTACTGCAGTGAGCTCAAGTGTTGTGAGAATCGACTTAAAAAAATGTATTGTGACACTAATCATCTCCAAGTAAGTCATTTGTTTTGTCAGAATATTGTATATTATAGTAAAAAGTGATCTCTGTGGTTCTTGTGCATTTTTCATTGTGTTTAGTGGAATACAGTAAACCTTGAATAACATCATGGCTATACGAAGTGCCACTAGTGATGCTGTAAGTACTCCCGAGAAGCAGAGAAAAGTCATGACATCACAAGCAAAAGGTGAATTGCTCAATATGTTCCGCAGATGGAGGTCTATAACCGTGGTTGCCTGCCATTTCCAGATAAATGAATCCAGAGTAAGGGCCATTGTGAAAGAAGAAAAAGAGATTTGTGAAGCTGTCACTGCAGCTATGCCAGCAGGTGTGAAAATCTTACGCTTTTTGAGAAATACCTTTTTATCTCATTGAAAATGCAGTTTTTATGTGGGAGCAAGATTGCTATAAGGCATACCTGTATGAGTCAAGAAAAAGCAAAGCAACTTAAAGCAAACGGAAGGGAAGGATCTAAAGCTGGGAAATTTAATGCCAGCAAAGGATAGTTTGACAATTTTAGAAAGAGGTTTGGCTTTTAAAATATCAAGATAACAGAAGCAGCAGCTTCTGCTGACCAAGAGGCAGCAGATAATGAGTTCCCAGATGCCATTAAGAAAATCATTGAGGAGAAATGTATCTGCCTGAAAAGGTTCCAAATAACTGATGAAAGCGCCCTCTTCTGGAAAAAAAATGCCACAAAGGACATTTATTAGTAAGGAAGAGAAGTGAGTACCAGGATTTAAGGCAGGAAGGGATAGGCTAAATCTACTCTTTTGTGCAAATGTAGTTGGGTTCATGATCAGCACTGCCCTGTCTATAAAGTTAACCCCTGGCCTTGAACAGAAAGAAGAAACACCAGCTGCCAGTGTTCTGGTTGTACAAGAAAGGCTGGCCAATGGGAACCCCTTTTCTGGACTGGTTCCATCAATGCTTTGTCCCTGGAATCAGGAAGCACCTTGCCAAAGTTCTTTTCATACTGGACAGTGCCACTGGCCACCCAGAACCCCATGAGTTCAACACCAAAGACACTGAAGTGATCTACTTTTCCCTAAATATGTCTCTAATTTAGCCTCTATATGCGGAGTTCATGAGGACCTTTAAGGCTCATTATACAGGTACTCTATGGAAAGGACTGTCAATGCTACGAAAGAGAATTCTGATAGAGAGAACATCATGAAAGTCTGGAAGGATTACTTCATTGAAGATGCCACGGTTGTTATTGAAAAAGTGCGAAAGCCATCAAGCCTAAAACGATAAACTGATGCTGGACAAAGCTGTGTCCAGATGTGCATGACCTCACAGGATTTATAAGACAAGTGAGAAAATCATAAAAGAGACTATGGATATGGAATAAAGGTGGGGAGATGGTGGCAGTGGTGAATGATTTCAAGATATGGATCTTGGAGAAATTCAAGAGCTAGCCAACACCACACCAGGGGAATTAACAGAAGATGACTTGATGGAGATGAGTGCTTCTGAACCAGTGCCAGACAATGAGGAAGAAGATGTAAAAGAAGCAGCAGTGCCAGCAAACACATTGACATTAGACAGTCTGGCAGAAAGACTCAAGACTGCTTTTAACTTCTATTATGACGTGGACCATTCTATGATAGAGCACTGAAACCAAAGCAAACAGGGGAAGGATTGGTACTATATAGAAACATTTTTAGAGAAATGAAAGAGCAAAGTCAGACAGAAATTACAATATGTTTCCTTAATGTTGCAATGAGCGTGCCTGCCTCTTCTGCCTCCCCTTCCACTTCTTCCACCTCTGCCACCCGAGACAGCAAGAGGAATCCCTCCTCTTCCTCCTCCTCAGCCTACTGAATGTGAAGGCAACAAAGATGAAGACCTTTATGATAATCTGCTTCCACTTAATGAATAGTAAATATATTTTCTCTTCCTTATGACTTTTTAAATAACATTTTCTTTTCTTTAGTTTACTTTACTGTAAGAATACAGTATGTACACCAGGTGCAGTGGCTCACGCCTGTAATCCCAGCACTTTGGGAGGCCAAGGTGGGTGGATCATGTGAGGTCAGGAGTTCAAGACCAGACTGGCCAACATGGCAAAACCCTGTCTCTACTAAAAATACAAAAATTAGCCAGGCGTGGAGGTGCACACCTGTAGTCCCAGCTACTTGGGAAGCTGAGGCCAGAGGACTGCTTGAACCCAGGAGGAAGAGGTTACAGTGAGCTGACATCATGCCACTGCACACTCCAGCCTGGGCAAGAGAGTGAGACCCTGTCTCAAAAAAAAAAAAAAAAAAAAAAGAAACAAAAGAGAATACAGTATGTAATACATATGACATACAAAATGTGGTGTGTGGTTTTTTTCTGTTTTTTTGAGACAGGGTCTTGCTCTGTTGCCTAAGCTGGAGTGCAGTGGTGCGATCATGGCTCATGGCAGCTTCCACCTCTCAGGCTAAGGCAATCCTCCCACTCCAACCCCTTGCTGGGACTACAGGCATGTGCCACCACGCCTGACTAATTTTTGCACTTTTTTGTAGAGATGGGGTTTCACTATGTTTTCCAGGCTGATCTCAAACTCCTGGACTCAAATGATTCACCTTCCTTGGCCTCTCAAAGTGCTGGGATTACAAGTGTGAGCCATTGCACCTGGCATGTATTATTATAATTATAATGTCATCAGTATTAGGGGTAGTATCTACTGAGCCTTAACTATACTGTGCTAAGTGTCTTACATATGGTTTCTTTTAATCCCCAAAATAGTTTTACATAACAGGATTTATTACTGTCTTCATTTTACAACAAGGAAATTGAAGCATAGAAAAGATAGGACTAGGCCGGGCACGGTGGCTCACGCCAATAATCCCAGCACTTTGGGAGGCCGAGGCAGGCGGATCACCTGAGATCAGGAGTTCGAGACCAGCCTGGCCAACAGGGAGAAAACCTGTCTCTACTAAAAAATACAAAATTAGCCAGGTGTGGTGGCACATGCTTGTAATCCCAGCTACTCAGGAGGCTGAGGCAGGAGAATCGCTTGAACCCGGGAGGCGGAGATTGCAGTAAGCTAAGGTCACGCCATTGCACTCCAGCCTGGGCAACAAGAGCAAAACCCCGTCTCAAAAAAAAAAAAAGATAAAGACTTTATTCAAGGTTTCAAGATTCCTGAATAGCAGAGCTGGGAAGTTTATCAGACTGCAAAGCCTGTATTCTTAACCCCACTGCCTTGTAGCCTGTGTGCAGAGTCTGCATGTAATTCAAGCACTCATGAATAGACTCCCATTTAGCCAAGGACTAAGTGTTTCAATTGTCATTCAAGCCTTAATAAAGAAGCAGTTACCTGGAGGGTAGGAGTGCTTTCCATCCACAATCCACTCTAATAAGGCCTCTATTAATTCAAGATTCACCTTTTCAAAATCCATGATGGACATTGTTTTGATGACTGACTTGCTAACCCCTGAAAGAAAGAAAGGTAAAAATGAGAAGGATATTTATACCTTGTTGATGTATTTTATTGTATATTTATACCATATACAATATGCCTGTGAATTAGGTGAGTGTTGGTTTAATAGCACAGATATTAACATTTAATGTACTGAAATGAACTTTTTTCTTTTCTTTATTTAGAGACAGGGTCTTGCTCTGTCACCCAGGCTGGAATGCAGTGGTGTGATCACAGCTCACTGCAGCCTCGACCTCCCAGGCTCAAGTGATCCTCCGATCTCAGCCTCCTGAGAGGCTGGGACTGCAGGCATGCACCACCATACCTGGTTAATTTAATTTTATTTTTTGTAGACATGGGGTCTTGCTGTGTTGCCCAGGCTGGTCTCGAACTCCCAGGCTAAGGCAGTCCTCCTGCCTCAGCCTCCCAAAGTGCTGGGATTACAGCCACCACAACCAGCCCACTTTTTTCTTTTAGTTTCCCAGAAAATCCAGCCTCATCAGAAGTAATTTTTGCTTGAACAATGACCCAAAAAGCAGGCTCCTGCCCCTGTTGGAAAGACCCAGATGGGCCACTTTTTACTCTCCTCATTCCTTCCCCTCTTTTACCCTTCAAATATTTATTGAAAGCTTAAGTTCTGGAAACAAAATTCAACGTCAAATACATTTTAGAAACTTCTTCTAGATTCAATCGAATCATGAATGAGATATGCTGGAAGTCCAGGTAACACTAACCTATGGCAATCAATGGACAGAGACCCCAGCTTTCACCAGCATTTTTATAACAGTGACTCGCTGAACCTTTAGGTTCCTTTGAGAAAATGATAAGTGGTTGATCTTCCCTGAAAAATAAATGTGATTGTAATATCTTCATTAACACCCACGGAGTCTACTCATAGACCCTCACAATCTCCCCACTCACAATCTCCTAATCTATCTGCGATCTGGTAAACGATGTAGTTCTATAGGATGTACTACAAGCCTCGGCTCTTTTATTTTTTTATTTTATTTTATTTTTGAGACAGAGTCTTGCTCTGTCACCCAGGCTGGAGTGCAGTGGTGTGATCTCGGCTCACTGCAACCTCCACCTCCCGGATTCAAGCGATTCTCCTGCCTCAGCCTCCTGAGTAGCTGGGATTACAGGCACGTAGTACCACGGCCAGCTAATTTTTGTATTTTTAGTAGAGATGGGGTTTCACCATGTTGGTCAGGCTGGTCTCGAACTCCTAACCTCGTGATCCACCCGCCTCGGCCTCCCAAACTGCTGAGATTATAGTCGTGAGCCACCGCGCCCGGCCACCTCAGCTCTTTTAAAAGCAATAGTATATTGTTGGGGTGACTAACTCTTCAAAGACTGCTGCCCATTCTTCTCAGGCTCTCCTAATGACCTATCGCCCTAACTACAGTCTAACTGGAACAAAATAACTATAGTTGGTACCAAGGAAGGGAAACTTCCTATATGATGCTGAGAAGTTTGAAGAGGGACAAAAGCAGTTTCGGCTGGGCGCGGTGGCTCATGCCTGTAATCCCAGCACTTTGGGAGGCCGAGATGGGTGGATCACCTGAGGTCAAGAGTTTGAGACCAGCCTGACCAATATGGGAAATCCCCATCTCTACTAAAAATACAAAAAAAAAAAAAATTAGCCAGGCATGGTGGTGGGTGCCTGTAATCCCAGCTACTTGGGAGGCTGAGGCAGGAGATTCGCTTGAACCCAGGAGGCGGAGGTTGTGGTAAGCTGAGATCGCGCTACTGCACTCCTGCTGGGCGACAGAGCAAGACTCCGTCTCAAAAAAAAAAAAAAGGAGTTTTGAAACAATGTTGTTCTGGTAGAATGAATACCATGTTGGTCAAAAATGAAAAAAAGGAAGCAACAGGCTGCACAAACAAGGGTGTGGTTGGGTGAGAAAGGTGGAGCAGAATCACTTTTCTTTGCCAAGATTCCAAAAAGCCAGACTTTTCAAAAAGAAGAAAGGATCAGCTAATTGAAAAAAGAAAACTGAACATAGTTTTGTTTTTTAAAATTATTATTATTGAGACAGGGTCTCACTCTTCTCCTCAGGCTGGAGTGCAGTGGCGTGATCATGGCTTACTGCAGCCTTGGCCCTTGGGGTTCAAATGATCTCTCACCTCAGCCTCCTGAGTAGCAGGGACTATAGGTGCACACCACCACACCAGCTAATTTAAAAATTTTTTTAAGAGACAAGGCAGCACCATGTTGCCCAGGCTGGTCTTGAACTCCTGGGCTCAAGCAATCCTCTGGCCTCAGCCGCTCAAAGTGCTGGGATTATAGGCATGAGCCACTGTGCCCAGCCAAATCAATAATATATTTTAAATGACTGATCATTAATTTTTTCAAAGAAAAACTAGAAAATGCCTTAAAAATTGAGCTAGGAAACATTATTTAATTTTCTGAAAGGCGAAAGAGAACATTGAGATCAACAAATTCAAGGCATTTTTTTTTTTTTTGAGATGGAGTCTTGCTCTGTTGCCCAGGCTGGAGTGCAGTGGTGCAATCTGGGCTCACTGTAGCCTCCGCCTCCTGGGTTCAAGCGATTCTCATTCCTCAACCTCCCAAATAGTTGGGACTACAGGTGTGTGCCACCACACCTGGCTAATTTTTGTAAGGACTTTTGTTTTTTTTAAAACAAACAAACAAACAAAAAACAGAACCAGAAGCTCAGAAAAGCTAAGCAATCAGCCCAGTACCATACAGAAGCTGGTGGCAGAGTCATGTTTCCTGACCTCAACTCCTCCATTCTCCTTCCTTAAAAAGGGGGTCCCAAAGGTACTTTCTGAACTTTAGTAACCTTTGTGCTTAAAATTAGAAAGTCATGGATTAGATTCAGTGATAATTTTAAAAGAAAACTCCAAAATTTTGAAAGAAGCCAAAGGGATTTTCTTTTTTTTGAGACAAGGTCTTGCTCTGTTGGGGCTGGAGTGCACTAGTGCGATCATAGCTCACTGCAACCTTGAATCCCTTTGCTCAAGCAATCCTCCCGCCTCAGCCTCCTGAGTAGCTGGGACTACAGGTGCCAACTACCATGCCCGGCTAATTTTAAAAAACATTTGTAGTAGAGACAAGGTCTCAATGTATTGCCCAGGCTGGTCTTGAACTCCTGGGCTCATGTGATCCTCCTGCCTCAGCCTCCCAAAGTGTTGGGATTATAGGCGTGAGCCACCATGCCCAACCTCAAAGGAATTTTCTTGTTCCATAATTTAATGGAATAAGGGAATCTGAATTATCAGTTGGTATGACGTACAAAAAGCACACAAATTTTTTAGTTAGACATATTTTAATTAGAATCATGGATCTGCACTTACTAGCTGGGCACTATCCTTGTGGGTTTGTATTATACTCATCTAAATGATTCCACTTTATAGATAAGGAAACTGAGGCACAGAGATGATAAAGAACTTGCTCAAGATCATTAGCTGGTTTTATGAGAGCCTTGGGAGTTGAACCCAGATCTATAAAACACAAGTCCATTCTCTTAGCTTTACATCTCTCAATATTGCGAAGATGAAATAAAATGTTAGGGAGCTATGCTTATCTTCCTAAACAACAGAATAATGGCTAATATCTTAATTCCTTGGTGATTACCATTCCACATCCAGGATTGGGAACTGTCTTTGGTAGATGCAGAAAAAGGAAAATTCATTTGCCTTGTATCCTACAGAAGCAGTAACGGGTTGGAAGCTCTTACTCATGAACAATAAACACCCTTTTTTGGGAAGAACTAAGAACAGGGTGACAGTCTACGGAAAAAGGAGCAAGAAGGACAGCTGAGACCTGCTTGTAGTCTAGGCTTCAAGGAAGAAAGCAAAAGTAGTGATCCTGGGGTTTCTATGGGCTCAGTTTAGCTTATATGGATAGAAGACCACATAGGAACAAAGAGTAGCCAGCTAGAGTCTGGCATGGGAGGAGGAAGTACCTAATAACATACATAAAAAGCTCAGCACAGGGTAGGCCTCAAAAGATGTTATTTTAAAAGCCCACGAATAATGCTAAAACTATTGGGATATTAAATGGTTTTAAAATCATGTCAAATATTGCTTCACAAATGACTTATTAACTACAAAAGAAATAGCAATTACCAAGGGAGAAACCTAGCAAACATTACCTTTACCAAGTGAACAAGTTAACATTGCCAATAATGGGACAAGCCAACACCACGGGGCCCATGTGCCTTTTGATATGATGCATTGAGAAATCAAGATCGTTTTTGTGATGCTCCAGCCAAAAATGTATAACCTAAATTTAATCATGGAGAAATACTAAACCCAAATGGATGGACATTCTACAAAATAATCTTCAAAAATGTCAAGGTCACTAAAAGACAAAGGATGAGGAGCTGTTCTAGATCAAAGGAGACTAAGAATACATGACTGAATGTAATATATGATCCATGATAGGATCCTGAATCAGGAAAATACAGCAAAAATAAACATTACTGAGATAATTGTTCAAGCCTGAGTATGGACTGTGAATTATATAATTGTATCAGTGTTAAATGTCCTCATTTTGATCACTGTACTGTGGTTACGTAAGAGAATGTCCTTGTTCTTAGGAAAGACACACTAAAGTATTAAGGGTAAAGGAGCATCATATCTGTAACTTACTCTCAGGAGATTCAGAAAAAAAAAATACATGAACCCAGAGCAAATGATAAAGCAAAAAATGAAGTAAACATTAACAACTGGTGAATTGGGGTAAAGGATATATGAGAGTTCATCGTTTAGCCTTGCGAACTTTTCCATAAATTTGAAATCACATCAAAATAAAAAGCTACAAAATGCACAAGAATATAACTTATATTTTACTACCTCACAATTTTTCTCTAATGAGCACATATTTCTTTTATAATTAGAAAAAAAACCCATTGGCAAATATAGTAACAATTGTATTCTAAATATGTATCTGAACTATTTTTCTAGGTTTAAGGTTGCTCTGATGAATTAAAGGCAATGTAACTATGAAACAAGAATCATATTTTTCTTCTTCCGAATCTTGGTAAGAAAGAATACTAGAAATCTTTGGCATAATTATAATATTCCCCCAAGAGGCATGTTACCTTTATAGCGGGCCAGGAGCTGCTTAAAATCTAACTGTTGATCTGGCACTGCATCTTTGACAGAATCCTGATCCTGGAGGTGAAGGGAGAGCCTTAGGTCTTCTTCCACTTCTTCAAATGCAGTTCTGTTCCGCCTTGCTTTAAGCTTTTCCTTTGAAATCTGTTTCATGGACCGCATATATGGGCTCCCATCCTGTAATACATACCTGAGAAAGACAAAGGAATGTGGTTGTGTGTATGTGGTCCTGTTGGTGAGGAGGGAAAGAATTCACCTGTTTCACGTGCTCGTTCAGCAAAATGTCACTGTCTGCCCAATTCACATGCCATCCTTCCACCAGTCCAGGATTCTGGCTGTACCCTATTTCTGGTTGGGAACACACTGCAATGCTTTTAGGTCTGTCTCGGAGACCAGCTAAGAATTTGGAGAAAAGCTCTATCCAGGAATAATGGCATGGACATTCAGAAAACACATTTGAGTTATAGCCTTAGTAACACCCCTCTTCATTTTTGATTTTTCTTCAGCAATCTTATTGATCCTCTTGTTTCTATGATAATTCCCAGGCAGCTGATTTCCTTTTGTTGCAATCAAATTTGGACCCAAGTTTCTAGCTGTTGGCTGAACATCAACCTAAGACTATTCTTAAAACATTTCAAAACTCTTACAACTGGATAGTTTAATATTTGTTAGTGACAATCCTATTAGACATCATGGCAAAGCAGAAAAATGAATAGATTTGGAAACAAAAGCTCTGGATTTGAGTTCTGTCTGCCACTAAACCAATCTGCCATGAGACTTCTAACAAGTCAATTTCAAAAGGCTTTACTTTCTCATGTTTTGGGAAATTGGCATAGGTAAGTGGCTCGATTTTTTTTCCCTGGAGCCTTAAATGTTGCTCAAAGCCCCAAGGAAAGGTAAGGGAATGGGAGCAAAGTAAGTAACTGGGGGCTATTCTTTCAGCCCAATCATTCTTGTTTTATGTTTCATTTCTCTATGATTTCCTATAAGATTTCATTTGCATAAAGTGTATTGTAGCTTTTTAAAAAAAAGATTTAAAAACCTATGATTCTATAATCCTGACTTCCTCCAACCCCTTCTCTCCATTAAATGCCAACACTCTTTTCACATTCACCGTTTGTTTGTTTATTGAATATTTACTGAATGCCTATTTTGGACAAGGGACTATGGTGACGGTGGTGGTATGGTATAGAAAAATAAGTATACTTTCAAGGAGCTTACAAACTAGTGAGAACAGAACAAAACAACACACTATACTGTAAGACAGAAATAAATGTTATTAGAGGCACAAGAAAAGTATTCTGTGACTTCTAATAAAGAAATGATTAGGCCGGGCGCGGTGGCTCACGCCTGTAATCCCAGCACTTTGGGAGGCCGAGGCGGGCGGATCACGAGGTCAGGAGATCGAGACCATCCCGGCTAAAACGGTGAAACCCCGTCTCTACTAAAAATACAAAAAATTAGCCGGGCGTAGTGGCGGGCGCCTGTAGTCCCAGCTACTTGGGAGGCTGAGGCAGGAGAATGGCGTGAACCCGGGAGGCGGAGCTTGCAGTGAGCCGAGATCGCGCCACTGCACTCCAGCCTGGGCGACAGAGCGAGACTCCGTCTCAAAAAAAAAAAAAAAAAAAAAAAAAAAAAAAAAAAAAAAAAAAAAAAAAAAGAAATGATTAATTTTTAATAGCAGAAAATAGGAAATTTCATGGAGGTAGCATTCAAGTTGGGTGTTAAAGAATGACTAGAGAAGGAAGTGGGAAAAAGAAATACAGATAGTAATAGTATGGCATCTTTCAGAAATAACAAGTAGTCTGAGAGTGCTAAGGTTTTATAGGTAGGAAACTAAAGAAGGAAGGGAACTTAAATATTGGCTGGGGTCAGATGATATGGGCCTTTAGTGTCCACAAAGTGTGAGTGATAGGGAACCAATGAAAATTTCTAAGAATAGGAGGAATGTGAACAATTCTATGTTTAAAGATAATTCTGAGCCTGGGCAACATAGTGAGACCTTGTCTCTACTAAAAATAAAAAAATTAGCCAGGCATGGTGGCACACATCTGTAGTCCCAGCTACTTAGTATTCTGAGGTAACAGGATCACTTGGGCCTGGAAGAACAAGGCTGCAGTGATCTATGATAGCACCACTGCACTCAGCCTGGGTGACAGAGTGAGGCTGTCTTAAAAAAAAACAAAAAACAAACAAAAAAAAACCCATATATATATATATTCTGGAAGCAGTGAGTTTGAAAAAGTAAAGACAGGTAAACTAGTTGAAAGATGATTTCCTCAGAAACTCATATTCAATGGTAGTGGGATAGGGCCCAGAAAATAATAATTCTAATAAGCTCCCTAAGTATCCTTATTGCACATTAAAATTTGAGAGCCACTGGTTTTGGGTTTTTACCTTGAGAATATAGTACCATTAAATGAATATGGAATTAGGAGGGGGGCTTATTAGAGAAGGAAGGAACAGAGAAGGAGAAAAATTCTGACTTGTATTTAAGCTGTCAGATATTAGGGGTGTTTCATTCTAGAGCTCAGAGGTCAGGAATGAAGATACTAATCTGGGAGTTCTCGGCACAGGGATGACAGCTGAAATCACATGAGTCTAAGGTAGCCAAGGGAGAGTTAATAGTGAGAAGAAACAGTGCAAGGAAAATCTTGCGGAATCCTCAAGATCAGAGACTAAGAAGAGAAAGTAGGGCTTTCAAAGAAGAGAGATCTGTTTATATGCAATACACATTAACATTTTCTACCTAGCACTTACAATTGTTTATACAGATATCTTAACACTCAGGCTATACTGCAAACTCTATGCGAGTACAATGATGATGATGATAATAATAGCTAACTTTTTTTTTTTTTTTTTTGAGACAGAGTTTTACTCTGCCGCCCAGGCTGGAGTGCAATGGCGTGGTCTCAGCTCACTGCAACCTCTGCCTTCCAGGTTCAAGCGATTCTCCTGCCTCAGCCTCCAGATTGGCTGGCATTACAGGCATGCACCACCATGCCCAGCTAACTTTTGTATTCGTAGTAGAGACAGGGTTTCACCATATTGGCCAAGCTGGTCTTGAACTCCCGCCCTCAGGTGATCTGCTCGCCTCGGCCTCCCAAAGTGCTGGGATTACAGGTGTGAGCTACCACACCCAGCCAATAACTGCTAACATTTGAGAGCATGCATTATGTGCCAAGCACAGTTCTAAGCACTTTGCAAGTATTAATTCATTAATTTTTTAATGCTCTCAGCAGAATCAGCAAGTATAAATTCATTAAAACTAAAGTACAGAGAGATTAAGCTACTTGCCAAAGTTATAGTAAGTAGAGGGGGCCAGGCATGGTGGCTCATGACTGTAATCCCAGCACTTCGGGAGGCAAGGCAGGAGGACTGCTTGAGGTCAGGAGTTTGAGACCAGCCTGGGCAACATAATGAGACCCGTCTCTACAAAACCATTAAAAAAAATTAGGCATGGGGGTGTGTGTCTGTAGTTCAGCTACTCAGGAGGCTGAAGTAGAAGGACTGCTTGAGCCAGGTATTCGAGGCTGCAGTGAGCTATGATTACACCACTGCACACCAGCCTGGGCAACAGAGTAAGACTCTATCTCAAAAAAAAAAAAAAAGAAAGAAAGAAAAAGTAAGTAGAGGGACTTAAATATTGGCAGTCTGTTTGCTGAAAGAGAGGGGAGAACAAAATGTTCAAACAGAAAAAATAGAAGAAAATCACTTCTTGGCTTTTTGGCTGAAATCAAGTGCAGAAAAATTAGAAAAAAAGACTAACACATGTATTAGTATTCTGGCACATTGAGGGTCAAATATTATTCTGTTTTCAAAGTTTCACTGAATCTTTTTTTTTTTCTCAATAGATGGGGGTCCCAATATGTTGCCCAAGCTGGTCTTGAACTGGCCCCAAAAGATCCTCCCACCTTTGCCTTCCAAAGTGCTAGAATTACAGGGATGAACCACCATGCCAGGTCCTTTCACTGAATCTTAATTAATATCTTCCTTACCTTGTCACAGCAATTGCATCTTCCAAAAAAAATTGATCAACAGGAAATGTACGACCTAGAAAAACAAGGAGACAAAATAGAAAGCCTGAGAACACCCATTCAACCATCTTGAAATAGTTTATATATATAAAATTCTCTTAAAGCTTGTCATGCTAACGTCCTATTTGTTCTGTGGTCTTAAAAGTATCAAGAAGAAAAGTTCTGGTAACAGAAATTGGAAAGGGCAGATTTCAGTCAGTAAACAGAAGCAGTGTATAGGTAGAGAAATGATCCTTTGCTAAGACTTTTTTTCTTTTACCTGTTACACCTTTCATACCCTCCTCCCCTGCCCCCGCCACTTCCACCATAGAGGACCTTTAAACATTCAACAGTTGTATTCTAGATCAAACACAAAGTTTCTTCCTTAGATTTACTGCCAGCATTCCCTATAACTAAAACAAACTGCACTATTTTTTATCAGTCAGTGTTTCCAAAGTGTCTTTTTAGTATTCAATTGAAGAAGGATAAATCAAAGCTCAGGGTGATAAATTAATTCCACAATGAGACTGTGGAAGTGCCCAAAGAAAACACAGACTGTCCAATGTCACTTTCTGCCAGAGTGGACCAACACCCAGAAATTTAGCAGAATCCAGAAATGAACAAATATACTGTCACAGACACAAGTTCCCTCTTTATGACAGACTGCCACTATCAACTTTGATGTTAAACACAATGGAATGCTAGAAATAAGTAACTATGACTTTTTTTAAAAGTCCCCTAAAAAAATTAAAATCTCCCAGCAATGGCCGGGTGCAGTGGCTCACACCTGTAATCCCAGCACTTTGGGAGGCCGAGGCGGGCAGATCGTGAGGTCAGGAGATGGAGACCATCCTGGCTAACACAGTGAAACCCCGTCTCTACTAAAAATACAAAAAATTAGCTGGGTGAGGTGGCGGGCACCTGTAGTCCCAGCTACTCGGGAGGCTGAGGCAGGAGAATGGCATGAACCCGGGAGGCAGAGGTTGCAGTGAGCCGAGATCACGCCACTGCACTCCAGCCTGGGTGACAGAGCGAGACTCTGTCTCAAAAAAAAAAATCTCCCAGCAAGATATGTTACCTCCTTATCAGCTGCATTATATGGTTTATGATTTTATGTTATAAATGAATCGCTTCTCTAGAAAGAGGTATAAATATCTACTTATGTCTCAAACTTTAAAATAATTATATTTGCTTATTAGAATGATACATATTTAATGATGCATTTTATTCACCTGGTATAGTAATAACGGGGCAGGAATTAAAATAGTCTGAAAAAAGCTCAGCGTTTAGAGTTGCACTCATTAAAATAACTTGAAGACCTGGCCTCTGCGATACAATGTCCTTCAAAACTAGCAGCAAGAAGTCACTAGAGAAAATAAAAGAAACACCTGAGGATCAAACAAATTCAACACATGAAAATTAGTAACTTTTACTATATTTTGAGCAAGAAATGTGTAAGATCTCTGTGAAAAAAAAAAACCATTAACGTTCATAGAACAATATGTCCTGTTCTTGGATGTGAAGCCTTACTATTACAGGTTGAATATCTGTTATGTGAAATGCTTGGAACCAGAAGTGTTTCAGATTTCAAATTTTCTCAGATTTTAGAATAGTTGCATATACATAATGAGATATCTGGGGGATGGGGTCTAAATCTAAACAAGAAATCAATTTATGTTTCATATATACCTTATATACACAGCCTAAAGGTAACTGTATATAATATTTTGAATAATTTTGTCTGTGAAATAAAGTTGGTATACATTGAACCATCGGAGAGCAAAGGTGTCAGGTGTGGAATCTTACCACTTGTAGTGTCATGTCAGCACTCAAGAAGTTTCAGATTTTGGATTATTTCTGATTTTTGGATTAGGGATGCTCAACCTGTATAAAGATATAAATTCTTTCCCAAAGAAACCAAATCCAGGCAGTACCAATCAAAATCCCAACAGGATTGATAATCAAATTTTATAATTATTATTTTTTTACTCTTAGCTGGTATAGGGTACAAATTTGATAATTCTACTTCTTGATATCTATGTGTACCACAAAGAGGCACATACAAAGATTTTCATTATAGCATTGTTTGTAATAGTAAGACAGTAGAAACTACCCAAATGTCCATCAACTAACTGATAAATGGTTAATTATAACAATATCATCCAGTCTATGAAATAACATGAAGCAGATACAAGGAATAAGGTAGAGCTCTAGAAAATAACATGAAAACATCTCTAAGACATATTTTTAGTAGGAAAAATCCCAAGTTGCCTGGAATAGTATGCACGGCAGAATAACACCACCCTAATTGGTCTCTTGGCCCTTGCCCCCTTGCAATCTGTTCTCAATACAGCCAACCAATAATGCTCTTCGAATGTCAGTCTGATTGTGCTGACGGGGTGCGGTGGCTCACACTTGTAATCCTAGCAGTTTGGGAGGCTGAGGTGGGAGGAATGCTTGAGGCCAGGAGTTCAAGACCAACCTAGCCGATATAGCAAGACCCCATCTCTTAAAAAAAAAAAAGAAAAATCTGATTGTGCCACTCTTCTGCTTAAAATCCAATGACTTCTCATTAGAATTCTTACTAACAAGGCTCTATATGGCACGGTCTACACCCCATGCTCCCCATCTTTTTCTAGTACTCTCCCGTTCATTCACTCAGCACCGGCTCACTGTTCTCCTTGCCGTCTTTGAGGCATGCACCTTGGGTCTTTTGTACATGTTATTAATCTGCCTGGATTACTGGGCTTCTCCTAGCCCTTCACACAGGTAGCTCCCTCACTTCCTTCAAGTCCTTACTCCAAAGATAGTTTTTCAGTGAGGACTTCCTTGGCTACCTTATTTAAAATTTCAAATGCCCTCCTCCCTTGAATTTCTATTGTCTTTTTTCTGCTTTATTTTTTCTTCTTAGCACTTACCATATTCTGTATTTTACTTATTTATCTTGCTTATTGATGAGCTCTCCCACTAGAATAGAAGTTCTACAAGGACAAGAATTTTATTCACTACTGCAGGATCTACAACAATGCCTGGGACATAGTAAGTACTCAATGAATATTCATTGACTTACTAAATGAATATATCATCTGTGTAAGAAAAAAAGGTCAGAAAACAAAAGTAACTATTTCTAACAAAGTAAACATCTATATCCATGCATAGAAAGATGTACTACCAGTTTACTTCTAAGAAAGGAACTGAGAGTGGTTTGGGAGTAGTAAGAGGGACTTTCACTTTATCTATAACGTTTTTCTTACCTTTTTTTTTGAGACAAGGTTTCGCTCTGTCACCCAGGCTGGAGTGCAGTGGCGTTATCATGGCTCACTGCAGCCTTGAACTGGGTTCAAGTGATCCTCCTGCCTCAGCCTCCTGAGTAGCTGGGGCTAATTTTTTTGTTTTTGTTTTTATAGTAGAGATGGTGTCTCCCTATATTGCCCAGGCTGGTCTCAAACTCCTGGGCTCAAGTGATCCTCTTGTCTTGGCTTCCCAAAATGCTGGGATTACTGAACATATAATCAGTAATCCCAGAATGGAAGGTCTGTAGGTGTGAGCCACTGCACCTGGCCTGTTTGAGTTTTTAATGAAAACATTCTTATACTACTTAGCTCTTTTTAATGAGCTAATTTAATTACATTTATGACTATTTTTGTTTCTTTTTCAGGGAAATAGTCCAACAACAACAGGCAAATGGTTAAGTAATTTATGGTATATCCAGACTTCAGAATTTCCTTATGAAATTCTTAATTTTACAGATAATTCAGCTGGGTGTGGTGGCTTACACCTGTAATCCCAGCACTTTGGGAGGCCAAGGCGAGCATATCACTTGAGCTCAGGAGTTCAAGACAAGCCTGGCCAACATGGTGAAACTCCGACTCTATTAAAAAAATAGAAAAATTAGCCAGGCCTGGTGGCGTGCACCTGTAGTTGCGGCTACTTGGGAGGCCGAGGCAGGAGGATCGCTTGAACCTGGGAGGTGGAGGCTGCAGTGAGCTGAGACTGCACCACTGCACTCCAGCCTGGATGACAAAGACTTTGTTTCAAAAAAAAAAAAAGATAATTCATTAACTCATGCTATCATTCTGTTAAATCAAAAACAGCACAACAAAACTATATAATCCCAATAGTGTTTGTGGAAATACATCTCTCTTTCTACCATATCCCTCTTCTAACTCCCAATATACTCCCAGAAGAAAAGAGACTAAAATTATAACATGTAACTAGCAATTTTATAAGGGACAGAGATTCTTCTTTTACATTTTTTGGTATTTACTGTATGCCTTAGAATGATCATGTCATCTCTGTGATTAGAAAATTTATTAAAATTTCAAACTAACACAACTGTCACCTTTCTATATTCAACCTTTAATCTTGCCAATATTTTTACTGATTTTTGTTCCTAGATTTTATTAGTTTTTGCTTTTTTCAGTCAGAGTTAGCAAATATTCCCCTACTTTTCCTTGTAATTTGTATACCCTTTCTTGTAAACTGGTATTTGTAAATATTTGAAGCACCCTTCTCCACTGTGTAATTAATCTTTATTCAGATGTGAACATCTTTTGAATTTTTAACGTTCATATTCTACAGATCCTTAGGTTTTATAAAAATCTTTCTCCTATTTTAGCCAGGAACCAAATCCAGTGCTATGTTCTCATTTCTTCAAGTTTGTGGAAGTACAAATGTTATAGAATCCAAAGCTACTCTTCATATTCAAAATTATACTGGATATAGGTTTCCCTAAAAGTTTAAACTTATCTTTATAAATCAATCATTTAAATACCATTAATCTGAGAGAATGTTTTATTTGGCTTCCTCTTCCAAGTTGTTCAATGATTTTGTTAAAAAAATTTCTTCTTTCAGATGTTCATTTCCAACAGTGGCAAAATGACATTATTTACCATTAATTTTTTTTCCCATTGTTTTCTGGAGTTTCTACAAAAAGATTATTTGCCCCTTAGAGATTTCCAATGTTTTCTGTATAGTAATTTAATATTTATTATTGTCTTGTTCTAGGAATTATTTCTTTTTCTTTTGGTTCATTCTTTTTATCTAAAAGTCTTTCTTTAGTTTCTAATTACTTCATATTTCTTATTTACTAATAATAGTAATGTATTATTTCTTCTAATAGTTCTTCTGGTTATATGCCTTCTCTGTTCAATTCCTTTTTTTTTTTTCTTGCTCTGTCGCCCAGCCTGGAGTACAGTGGCGCAATCTCGGCTCACGGCAACCTCCGCCTCCCAGGTTCAAGCGATTCTCCTGCCTCAGCCTCCCGAGTAGCTGGGACTACAGGCGCCTGCCACCAATCCTTTTTTTTTTTTTTTTTTAATGTTTTGCTTTTAGCTATTTTCTGCTTTCCTATCAGTCCACCAAGTTTACTTAGACTTTTTTTCTTCTTCTCAAGATATTTATTGTGGTACAATACTTTGTGGGAAAACTTCATAATTTTCACAGGACTTTCTCTTTTTTCCCACTAGTTTTCTTTTACTGCTCTAGGGCATGATCCACATGACAAACTATGATTAATGCCATCCATCTTCCTGGCCCTCCTCAGTACTTAAAATATTCAGACTTTTAATTTTTTTTTTTTTTTTTTTTAGAGATGGAGTCTCATGATATTTCCCAGGCTGAAGTGGCTCTTCACAGGTGCAATCATAGCACACCACAGCCTTGCACTCCTGAACTTAAGCAATCCTCCTGCCTCAGCCTCCTCAGTAGCTGGAACTACAAGCATGCACCACTGTGTCTGGCAAGAATTTTTATTTTATGCCTCACCCTTTAATGACTTCTAATTTCATAAGATAAAATCCACATGCTTTATTATTCGTGGTGCTTAAGGCCCTGGAAGGTCTGGCTCCTGCTGCTTCTTCCCTGTGCTACTTTCCCCTTTGCTGCTACACAGCAGGTGCACTGGGCTTCCTTGTTTCTGGACTCACAAAGCCCCTTCCCACTGCAAAATCTTCAAACATACTTTCCTTACCCCCGTTTGTCACCTGGGATTCCTTCTCATATTTCAGTTTTCTTTTCTTTTCTTTTCTTTTCTTTTGAGACAGGGTCTTGCTTTCTTGACCAGGGTGGAGTGCAGTGGTGCTATCACAGCTCACTGCAGCCTCAACCTCCTGGGGGCTCAATTGATTCTCCTGCCTCAGCCTCCTGAGTAGCTGGGACCTTAGGTGTGAGGCATCACGCCTGGCTAATTTTTTTTTTTTTTTTTCTGTATCCCCAGTAGAATGACTACTGGCTATTTTTTGTTTTGTTTTGTTTTTTTTACTTTTCGTGGAAACATGGTCTCACTATGTTGCCCAGGTGGGGCTCCAACTCCTGAGCTCAAGCGATCCTCCCACCTTGGCCTCCCAAAGTGCAGGGATTATGGGTGTGAGCCATTGCGCCCGGCCATACTTCAGTTTTGAATTTAAATTGTCATCTTACAGAGATATGATCTTTGAGCATCTATGGGTCTCTCCCTCCAAACACAGCATGCCGTTTATTCCTTCATAGTGCTTATTCCAATTTACAATCATTTGCTTGTTTACTTGTTCATTATTTGTTTTTTCTACTGGACTGTAAGAGATGAGGGGGAGCCATACATGCTTGTTCATCACTGTATCCCCAGCAACTAATATATCACTTGGCATTTAATGCAGGCTCAATAAATACATGAATCAATGTCAGGACTGAATGGCCAAATAAACAAGGAAGAAGATACATTCAGCCACAGCATGCATGACATCTGTTATTTCTACTAAGTACGGTATTCAACTTAGCATAATGCCCAGGATGGTGTGAAGTATACCTTCTAACCTAACAGGATGACTCCATCTAATAAGTGATGAGCATGTGCTGTCCTTTTTAGTGTTACAGACCCTGGAGATCAAGAAAGCAGTTGCTCTTCTCTAACATAGGCCTTCCTTGTGGCAAATTACCATTACTAGCTGCATGAAACTGAATTGGAACTAGAAAACAATTTTTTCTGCCATGCCTTCAATTCAGGTGAGTGTGTGTTCCCTGGGAAAGTCTTTGTTTTACCTTTCTTCTGTCCTCTCATGAACTTCATCAACAATGATATGGGAAACTCCTTGTAGAGCTGTATCTCCTTCTAGCCTTCTCAGCAGCACTCCCGTGGTGCAGTATAACAGTCTGGTGGCTGAGGACTTACACATGAAAGGGCAATATAAATCATTAATAAAATTTTCAAAAAAAGGAAACATTACTGGAAAGCCATTTTGAATGGATAGTGATAAAAAATATTGGAAACACCAGCAGTTCCATTTAATAGGAAACCATACTAAACATAGTTTCTTGCCAGGGACAGTAATAAAAGCCTTTCTACTTCATATCACAATGTTAAGATTTTCATAAAAAGCATTAAAAAACAGTGAATAATGAAAACAGTTCTCAATCTGTCTGCTCCTTATTTGGTTAAATGGATTATGTCCCAAGTTCAAGAGCAAAACAGTCTTTACTAGATGACTTCTGCCAATAAAAAATAAAAAGCTTTACAGAGGAAATTTAGTACAACCAAATAAGAGTTTTTTTTTTTTTTTTTTTTTTGAGACAGAATTTTGCTCTTTTTGCCCAGGCTGGAGTGCAATGGCGCAATCTCGGCTCATTGCAACTTCCGTCTCCCAGGTTCAAGGGATTCTCCTGCCTCAGACTCCCGAGTAGCTGGGATTACAGGCGTGTGCCACCACACTTGGCTAATTTTTGTATTTTTAGTAGAGATGGGGTTTCTCCATGTTGGTCAGGCTGGTCTCGAACTCCCGACCTCAGGTGATCCACCTGCCTTGGCCTCTCAAAGTGCTGGGATTACAGGTGTGAGCCACCGCGCCTGGCCATAAGAGTTCTTATACCAAAATATTTCTAAATATTTCTAAATATTTAAATAAATGATTACCAAAGGTAATCATTAATTTAAAAATAACCTGAAAGTATATATCCCAAATTGCCCATGAATCTCCTAACCCCCAAAACTTTTTATACCTAAAAACCATAAATTTCTGTTACCAGGAAATAAGCAGAGCATACAAACCTTGACACTTTCTAACCGAATCTGGTATCCCACGGTCAGACCCACCCTCTCTGCTCTTTCTTTAGCAACGCGTTCAGCAACAGAGATTGCAGAGATTCGTCGGGGTTGGGTACAGATGATGTTGGCTACCTTCTCAGGTGGTCCATTCAGAGAATCATCCAGAATAAACTGCGGAATTTGTGTGGTTTTCCCACATCTGTACATTAAAACAAATAAGTCCTAAAATGAAGTTTTCAAGGGCTAGTTAACTAAAGAAGCAATCATATGGAATGAGAAAAGTGATAAAGCTAATTAGAATAAAAGTTGTTCAGTTTCAGGTATTTTCTAAAACAACCTCCTGACTTATTACCAAGAGGTGGGAAATTCTAGGAATTTGCACTCCAATCAAAAGGACAATCAAATAATAGTTTAGTAACATTTGTAAAATTGGGACTATTGAACAGACATTAAATTAAGGTCTGTAAATGCTTCTAGGAACGTAAACTCTACACATGAACCCCAAAGAAAAGGAGTATTAGCTTATGATTATCAAAATATTTTATAGGTATTAATTTAGCTATGATTAGGCTGAGGTTAAAAAGATAAACTAGAAGGTACGAATTATTACCATATCACTGAGTCTGGACACAAATATAATTATTAAATTGTATACTCTTGAATAAATAAATGAAGTCTGCAATTTGTCCCTGCTAAATAGGAGAATGTAAAGCAGGAAAAATAACGCACCATAATTAAGTTGTTTTTAAAAGAAAAATAAAGGCTGGGTGTGGTGACTCACACCTGTAATCCCAGCACTTTGGGAGACCGAGGCAGGCGGATCACTTGAGGCCAGGAGTTCGAGACCAGCCTGGCCAACATGGTAAAACACCCCTCTCTACTAAAAACACACAAAAATTAGTTGGGTATGGTGGTGCACCACAGTGGTGCGCCTGTCATCTCAGCTACTCGGATGGCTGAGGCATGAGAATCACTTGAACCCAGGAGGCAAAGGTTGCAGTGAGCCGAGATCATGCCACTGCACTCCAGCCTGCGTGACAGGAAATCAGAATAAATTCAGAAGATAAAAAGCTCTCAAGCTAAATGTTCTAGAACTATCCTTTAAATTTAAACATGAGCCTTGTTAAAAGTCTTCAGCTGGATTTTTTTGCCTTATGTCTCAAGGCAGATGTATATAATATCTATAAATCCAGCTACAGTTTTTAACAAGTTCAACTGGTTATGGTAACCAGGGTGCATATAATATTTATAGATGAAAGCTACAGATGAATAAACTGCATTCTTACCCAGTCATACCACTTATGACAACCACCTGGTGCTTACGCAATAAGTTAAGAATGGTTTCTCTTTCTTCCCAAGCAGGGAGTGATTGCCTCTCTTGCAGAATGGACTGGAACTGTCTGGAAGCCTAATAAAATCAAAGATAAGATATCAGTTGGGTTACTTTTTCTTTTTTTTTTTTTTTTTTTGAGACAGGGTCTCACTCTGTTGCCAGGCTGGAGTGCAGTGGTGCGATCACGGCTCACTCCAATCTGCACTTCCCAGGCTCTAGCGATCCTCCCGCCTCAAGCTCCCAAGTAGCTGGGACTACAGGTGTGTGCCACTATACCCGGCTTTTTGTATTTTTTTGTAGAGACAGGACTTCACCATGTTGCCCAGGCTGGCCTCAAACTCCTGTGCTCAAGAATCCACCTGCCTTGGTCTCCCAAAGTGCTGGGATTACAGCTTTTTTTTTTTTTTAATTATAGAGACAGAGTCTTGTTATGTTGCCCTGGATGGTCTTGCACTCCTGGCCTTGAGTGATCCTTTGTTGGATTTGTTGGGATTGGATGTAGAAGACTTTATTCAGAATGCTGCTCAGAGAATCAGCCAGAATGAGTTGTGGAATCTGTACATTAGTTTTCCAACATCTGAATAAACCGAAAGATTTTCTGGGTGAAATAAAGCCCTCTTGCTTAGCACATATCCAGTTCTTCCCAACAAGAGTCTCTATACCAGTACTGTCCAATAGAACTTTCCGTGTTGATGGAAATGTTCTATACCTGTGCTGTCCAATACAGCAACACCTGGCTACATGTGGCTATTGAGCACCTGAAATGTGAAGAATAGTGTTACTGAGGAACTGAATTTTTAATTTTAATTAATTAATATAAACAGCCAAACATGGGTAGGGGCTACCATATCAGACAGCGTAGCTCTAAGCAATATCAGATTTTTACCTAAATCAATAATAGAAAAGCACTCACTAAAGGGTTATTTTTGGGCAGTCACTACAACTATATAAATCAATTTCATATTTAATGGCCAATGCTATAAAAATTGCCTTGTTTGTTAAAACTCTGGCTATACTTTTGAATACTGTAATAAATTTACAGGAACTTGCTATTTCCTACATATAATTTTATCATAAACTTATCACACTGATCAAATTGAATATCTAATTTTTTGTTTCTATCATCTTACCTACAGTGCAATTTATATACATTGTGATGTTCTTTGGGTATTGTACTACATATGTGATGGTGTTACATGGTGTCAAAAATCAGACTCACAGAACTTTAGAACTGGAGGGCCTAGAGAGCATTTAATCCAATTCCCATATTGGTTAAGCAACTTGCCTCTGTCCTATCTCTAACTTTGCCCTCAGGATTCACTTATGAATTCTTTTAAAATAATCTTCATGTGAATGGGGTAAAAACAAAATGGACTTTAGAAACAGAATTGGCTAAACCACTTACTAGCTATGCGATCTTGGGCACATTATTTATCCTTTGAGTCTTTGAAACAGGGTAAAAGTCCTTCCTTATCCTTCTCCTTTTATATATTAATTTTTTCTAAGGTAAATCGCAGTATTTGTTTTGTTTTGTTTTTAGAGACAGGGACTCATTATGTTTTCCAGGCTGGCATTGTCTCAAGTGATCCTCCTGCCTCAGCCTTCCAAGTAGCTGAGACTACAGGCATGTGTTACCACGCCCGCCTGGCTCTAAACCACAGTATTTGTTTTTATTTTGTTTTGTTTTGTTTTTGAGACAGAGTCTTGCTCTGTTGCCCAGGCTGGAGTACAGTGGTGCAATCATGGCTCACTGGAACCTGCACCACCAAAGTTCAAGCAATTCTTGTGCCTCAGCCTCCCAAGTGGCTGGGATTACAGGCACCTGCCACCACGCCCGGCTAATTTTTGTATTTTTAGTAGAGACAGGGTTTTGCCATGTTGGCTAGGGTGGTCTTGAACTCCTGACCTCAGGTGATCTGCCTACCTTGGCATCCCAAAGTGCTGGGATTACAGGTGTGAGCCACCGTGCCCGGCCAGTAAACCACAGTATTGATATTCCTTTTACATACCAGATTGTCTGTCACAGTACCAAAGGCACATGACTCTGAGACTATTTGGCATATATGTGTGTGTTTGCTATGTACCAGCTATAGGATTTTCCAAAACCATCTAGCATATGCACTTAAGTTTGCTGTGGCCTGTAGAAACTTTGACCACTCAGGGAGAAAAAGAACCAGAAGAATTTTAAGGAGGGTAGCCAAAGCTCCCTAATTCCTAATCCCATCATCCAGATATTAGGGAGGCAACGTTACTCATTCTCTCAGCATACCCTACCTGTTTCATTCGGAACTGCTTGCAGATTTTACCATTTTCAGCATGTACTGACTTTGCCTGCCAGTCATATCTTTTGGAAATCTTTTTCTTAAGGTTCACATAGCTTTCATTCTCTACTATAACAGGTGCAGGACCGTCATCCTCATCTGACTCCTCAGATTCTGATGCTTTTTCAACTTGAAGGAAATAAAAGAAAACATTTCAGTATGGAGCCCTTTCTTTAACAAAAGGGGAAAGTCGCTGTCTAACAGAGTATCAACAACAAAAAGTCAAAATGGAGAAAAAGTGAAAACTTGAATAAAGTAAGTTCATTCATTTCTAGTATTTCTATTTCTAAAGAACTTAAAATGCATCCTCAAATAAACTTTTATCAAGCACAAACAAAGTAATTAGCATTAAAAGAATTAGCAGTGAATGTTTCAACTGTACGCAAGTGTCCCCAAATCCCACAACGTAAAACAACACAAATATCTATCAAATGATGAATCAATGAACAAAATGTGGTATGTCCACATAATAGAATATTATTCACTAATAAAAAGGAATGATGTAGTGATATGTGCTAGAACACGGATGAACCTTGAACACATTAGCTAAGTGAAAGAAGCCCATCTCAAAAAGCTGCATATTGTGTAATTCCATTTCTATGAAATGTCCAGAGTAGGCAAATCCATAGAGATAGACA
The DNA here is from genome assembly GCF_000001405.40 of Homo sapiens. Classification (NCBI taxonomy): domain Eukaryota; kingdom Metazoa; phylum Chordata; class Mammalia; order Primates; family Hominidae; genus Homo; species Homo sapiens. The sequence goes on from NC_000002.12 coordinate 38,859,346, forward strand.
GCAGATTTGTGGTTATGAGGGGCTGGGGGAAGGGGAAAATGAGGAGAGACTGCTATGGGTACATGGGTACAGGGTTTCTTTTGGGGTTGATGATAACGTCCAGGGATTAAAAGGTGGTTATTGTTGCATAATTCTATAAAAATACTAAAAACCATTGAATTGTGTATTTTAAAAGAGTGAATTTTATGGTATATAAATTATGTCTCAATAAAACTATTATTTTAGAAAAAAAGTGCATGACACATAATTTTCATTTCCCAAGGAACACATTTGAATCCCATGCGCTAGAAGCTGCCATCTGGGAGTGGGTCGGGTGGTTAGTGAGTGAATCTGGCTAAATGACCAGCAGCCACATCTCAGAACAGTGTCACTGTTCTCTACTCATTGAAGTTTACCCAAGGACTCTCATGAAATAATACAAACTTTTGTTTCTCTGGAAGAAAGATAGATGGCAACCAATAAAAGAGGATCCTTTTTTTTTTTTTTTTAATTAAGAAATAGAGTCTCACTCTGTCTCCAAGGCCGAAATGCAATGACTCACTGCAGCTTCTACCTCTGAGGCTGAAGTGATTCCCCCACATCAGCCTCTTGAGTACCTGGGACTCAGAGGAGTGCACAACCATGGCTGACTAGCTAAGAAAATATATATATTTTCTAGAGATGGGGTCTCATTATGCTGCCCAGGCTGGTCTCAAACTCCTGGGGTCAAGCAGTGCTCTCACTTCAGCCTCCCAAAGTGCTGGGATTACAGGCATGAGCCACCACACCCAGCAGAGAATTCTTTGAAAGGGGCTTACTTGTGGTGTAAGAATCTGCATAGCAGCCCATGTGCGATGGCTCACGCCTGTAATCCCAGCACTTTGGGAGGCCAAGGCAGGCGGATCACCTGAGGTCAGGAGTTCAAGACCAGCCTGGCCAACATGGTGAAACCCTGTCTTACTAAAAATAGAAAAATTAGCCAGGCGTGGTGGCGGGTGCCTGTAATCCCAGCTACTCAGGAGGCTGAGGCAGGAGAATCGCTTGAACCTGGGAGTCAGAGGTTGCAGTGAGCTGAGATCATACCACTGCACTCCAGCTTGGGGGACAAGAGTGAAACTCCATCTTAAAAAAATAAAAATAAAAAGAATTTGCACAGTAAACCTAGATCTAGACAAAGCTAGAAGCCTGCACAAGTATTTGAGGATTTAGGGATTCATAGAGCTATCCCTAAAGAATTCTGGGGGTCTAGTACACCAAAAGCAGGAGGGTATGGATAGTGGTATAGAAAGCAAAATATCTCTAAAAATTCATTTGAAAGTAATTCAGTATACAGTATAAGAAGTAAACAAAAGAAAACCAAATGAATTAAATAAAACAGATTTTCTGAGAACGTACCTTAAGGTCCTTCCAAGCCTCGGATTTTATATAGTTAAACATACGTCACTACAAACTTTCAACTCAGGGAGCCCAACCACAGCAACACAATTGAGCCTTACAATTAAAGTCAGATACAATTACAGTTCAGGGAATTCTCATTCCCTTTTGCCCTTGGGACTTAATGGCTTGTTCAGCTTGTTCAAGATCACTAAGCCATCCTAGACCAGCCTTAAAGGCTTTGACTTCTAAACCCATCATTCTGAATGCCTCCCTCCACAAGATCAATGCCTTACATACCTTCTGGAATTTGATTAGAAACAAAAGAATTATTTGGAATCACTGTTTTATGACAGGCAGGATTATTTATTCTGGTCCTAGAGGGTACTGGCAGAAAGTTCACAGGAGGGTCACTATACTTGTGGTGGGTATTCGTTAGTAACTTGACTATTTCCGACTCTTCCTCTAAAAGGGTTATCAAAGAATATACGACAGGTTCCGAAGTTTCCGCAAATGTCAAGGCCTTGTCATAAAGAAACTCAGAAATATGTAAACGACAAGCCAGAGGTAGGTTCTCATTGGTGGAATAAAATGCCACGAGCGGAGCTTGGTAGGGATATTTGTGGTCTTTAGAAAATCGAATTTCAAGTTCATATAAAAAAGATGCATCTTCAATAGCATTAAGATGAGAATCATCTACACTTCTTTCTATTCTTCCAACAATTTGATTTGGGGGCACTTCATGTTTGAATCTGCATTTTGATCCAAATTTACAATTTCCTTTGAGGTAAAATTTACAGATTTCAAGTGAATTCTCTTGTACATTTTTGGTACTTTCTTTTGGCTTGGATTTGCGGAATCTACTTGTCAGATACTCCAGTTCTAACCCAATGGTCCAGACTCTGTTCTGAATTCTTTCTATAAATTTTTCTCCACAGATGGACTTGAGAGCAAATGCCTCTTCCTGTCGCTGTTCCATACACTCATCCAAGCTTATCTGGTTGACTGCCTCAGAGATCTTCATCCTCTCTCCAAATGTCTCTGAAAAACACTGGGTAAGGAGATGCTCTAGTGATGCTCCCACATCTCCATCACACATCCTCAGGACCGCTTGACAGCGTTCAGTATTGAAACCATACCTGTCAAGGGCAAAACATGACAAAAATGACACATAAAAAGCAGTATCACACCATTACAGTAAAATTCATTTAAATATGCTTAGATGAAGTTATGACTACACATAGGCAGGGCTTGTATTTTGAAAAAGCATCCCTGATAACAATAAGCCCCCCTGAATGACCCCTTCTGATAAGATAGAATATTAGGCCTATCAGGCATTGCTGGAACCCACATAATAGGAAAGTACACAAAGAGGGGTAGTGGGTTTATATGATTTCGGTTTCCTTGAATTCTTTCCCAACTCCCATAAATGATCAAAGCAATCACCTGGAAAGTTTTTGCACTGCAAATGGGGAGACTGTAAATTCTGGAACATAAGGCTCCACTGAGGCTAAGCCAGCATATTCCAAAGGATCCAAGTCGGGAACGAGGGAAGGTTCCTGTCCAGCTGGCCAGTACCGCTCATCGTTACAGCAATCAGGCTCATCATCTTCCTCCTCCCCAGAAAGGCCTCTTCTAGCAAAGGCAACATTTTCATATATTAGATATTACTTTCTACTTACTTCAAAGAAAAATTTAGCAAAGGTCTAAGAATTTAATTCATAGGATCCTGACTACTCTTCAGTTGCTGATTTAATCTTATATTGAACTATTAATTTATATCTTGGCAATTAACATTTACCAGGCATTTATTAAATACCAGTTACTGTGTTAAGTGCTTTATATGAACTAACTCCTTTAATCTTCCCAATAACTGTACCAAATACTACTGGAATGTCCTTTTTTTTTTTTTTTTCTAGATGATCAACTAAAACTCAGAGAGGATTAGTAACTGCCTAGGTTACACATTAAGGAGCAAATAGAGATTTTGCCAAAGGCAGACAGATTCCTGTGTTCTTAACCACAGAAACCTTGGCTATTCTCTCTCTTCTCATTCATAAAAACACTATCCCTAATTGTTTGTTTTGCTACATAATCTCCCTTTCTAAATCTAAAACAGATAAGAGATTTGTAGATAGGATGGAAAATGAGCTGTTCATGACTGGCCACTAATTAATTTTGGTAAATGGAAAGAAGGAATTAACTTCTCCAACTGAAATCCAAAGCAAAAGAGCCGAAATGCAGTAGAGTGGGAAACGAATAAGATTTAAGAGTAAAAGCTTTCTCTTAGGCAGACAGTCATGACAAGCAAATCCTAAGACTGCACCTGACCGAGTCAATATTTGCTCATTCAACACTACTTCTACTTGTTCATTACAAGGGTTTATCTGGAAGGTTACAGATAAATCAGTTACTGAATCCATATGAGCACTGCCCTGGAAAAAAATAAAGATAAAAAGGCAATCCCATGGATGTTGCAAAACAAACTCACTCTAAAATTGTGGCTGAATAATTATTCTTGTATTACTCTTGGCTCACTTTCAACTAATTAAATGGCCACAATAGAATCAGTACTGACACAGCATTCCAAAGATGCACAGGACCTTCACACTGCCAGTATGTTTTCCTTAATATAATAATTGACTCAAATAAAACAATTTACTCAGATCCAGCATCAGCATCTTGTTCTTGCAGGTCTCGGAGAAGAGCTTTCACTTTCTCTTGATTCTCAGAAGTCATATGTAGAGTCTGAAGGGGTACTTTGGCTTTGGGTTTCCATTTTGGGCGTGACTCTCCTTTGCTTATGTTACTGTTGCTAGGTCTATAGAGAACAAAAGAGCAAAATTACACACATATCTTCAATCAGAACTTTTACACTCTCCTCAGGGGTCCCCAGATATACACAATACAAACTGGATTGTCAAGTATCTTACAAAAGATGACAATGAATGTGAGGAGATTCTCCATTTTCTATAGTATTTACCAGACTTCATTATATCAGACCTGCTGGAAAAAAACCTTATCAGATTCTTGGCCAGGCGCAGTGGCTCACGCCTGTAATCCTGGCACTTTGGGAGGCCGAGGCTGGCGGATCACCTGAGGTCAGGAGTTTCAGACCAGCCTGGCCAACATGGTGAAATGCTGTCTCTACTAAAAATACAAAAATTATCTGGGCGTGGCAGTGCGCTCCTGTAATCCTAGCTACTCAGGAGGCTGAGGCAGGAGAATCACTTGAACTTGGAGGTAGAGGTTGCAGTAAGCCAAGATTGTGCCACTGCACTACAGCCTGGGCAACAGAGCGAGATTCCGTTTAAAAAAAAAAAAAACAACAAAACTTAACAGATTCTTAATCATTAATTCTGGCTTCACTAACTCAAGAATCCTTAGGAAAAAGCAATGCTAATGATGGTTTCCTCTGCACTATAGGACATGAAGAGCATTTCATTTCATTCTGCATTAAAATCTGAAAACCACTGAGTTTCATTCTTCCTTGTGAATATTAAGGCCCCATTTCTAAAATACCCAATTATCTTTATTTCTGATTATTAAAAAAAAAAAAAAAAAGGCCAGGGGCATTGGCTCACACCTGTAATTCCAGCACTTTAAGAGGCTGAAGTGGTAGGATTGCTTAAGCCCCAGGAGTTCGAGACCAGCCTGGGCAATATAGCAAGATCCTGTCTCTATTTAAAAAAAAAGAAATAAAAAAATTACACAGCATATATAATCTCTTATGATTTGTCTGATCATTAGGAAATGATCAGTTAAACATGAGGGGGAGTTGGGAGTTTCACATGCTCCTATCTTAAAGTCATCCTTTATCTTAAAGTCAGCCTTTCTATTTGTAAACTATATGCCAATCTCTTTAATCTCCTCAAGGAAATCATTCCAGCACTTATCCCCCTTTCTAAATCACTGGTTTTTCATTCTTCTTTGGATCATTCCCATCAGCATACAGACATACTATAAGGTCTACCCTCTTAAAAAAATGAAACCAAGCCAAATCCTCCCTTGAGTGCACATCTCCCTGTAGCTACTGACCCATCTCTCCTCCCTCTAGCTCCCTTATAGTAAAACTTCTCATTTAGGTTATCAAAATCATTGTCTCTGTCTCCATTTTCTTTCCTCTTCTCTCTGAAACACAACCCAATCAGTATTTCCTATGCTACTACAGCTCTTGTCAAGGTTAACCATGATACCCACATTGTCAAATGCAGTGGACAATTCTTAGTGCACATTTTCCTTGACCTACCAGAAGCATTTTTCCACAAATGTGTACCCTCTTTAAGCATACAATTCGATCTTATTGGCTACTCTCCTTTAAAACACCTTTGTCCCTTGGCTTCCAAAAACCACTCTCTTAGTTTCCTACTTCATTGGCAGCTCCTTCTCAATCCCCTTTGTTTTTCATACTTTCTCTTAGCTTTATTTATTTTTTAACTAAAAATTTTTATTGACACATAATAATTGTACATTCTTTATACGGTTGATAATGGTTTGGCTGCAAGTCAAATCTCATCTTCAATTGAAGTTCCCATAATCCCCACATGTTATGGGAGGGAACCGGTTGGAGGTAGTTGAATCATGGGGGCAGTCTCCCCCATGCTATTCTCGTGATAGTGAGTAACTTCTCACGAGATCTGATGGTTTTATAAGGGGTGTCCCCCTTTACTTGGCTCTCATTCTTCTTTCTCCTGCCACCTTGTGAAGAAGGATGCTTTTGCTTCCCCTTTCAGCATGATTGTAAGTTTCCTGAGGCCACCCCAGCCCTGTGGTACTGTGAGTCAATTAAACCTCTTTCCTTTATAAATTACTCAGTCTTGGGTATGTCCTTATAGCAGCGTGAGAATGGACTAATACAGGGGTACATGTGCTATTTTGATACATGCATACAATGTGTAGTGATCAAATCAGGGTAATTAGGATATCTAACACCTCACACATTTATCATTTCTTTGTGTTGGGAACATTCCAAATTCTCTTAGCTTTAAAACCTAGAGTGTCCCAGGGCTCAAACATCAGATACCTTCTCTATTCGATTTTATCCAGACTCAGAACTTTAGCATTTATCTATAGAAGACTCACACATTTACATCTCCAGCCTAGATCTTTTTCTTGAACCTCAGATTTATATATTAAATTATCTATTTTATATCTACACTTGGAGAACATCTCCTAACTGGTCTCCTTGCTTTCAACTCATGCCCCTTTATAGTTTATTCTCTACAAAGCACACCCAGTCAATGCTATTGAGTATAGATTCATAGACTGTACACTGCACAAAGGTTCCTGGCTGGGAGGGAAGAAGAGGGAGGAAGGGACAGCAAAATCCGGTCCATGTTCTGCTGGCTAAGCCATGATCCTGGTGTGGGGCTATAACTGTCCAAAGGAAGGAGCACCATTTTCTAATTCACATAAAGGCATACACTGAATAGAAACAACTCTGGCCAGACTGACTGATAATATCACACACCCTTGCCTCAAACCCTCCAAAGGCCTTCTGTCTTACTTCATGTAAAAGCCAAAGTCCTAATAATGGCCCATGAAGTCCTATACAGTCTGGTCTTTCTGATCTAATTGCCTACCACTTGCCTTCTTGCCCACTCATTCTAGCCACATGGTTCTTTGCTATTTCCTAAACCTTCCAAGCACATTCTTGCCTTAAGAAATTGCTCTTCCCTCTGCCTTGAATGCTGTACTCAGAACTTCACAGCTTATTCCTTTACTTACTTCTTGCCTCTCTTCACGTGATACCTTATTAGGGGGGCTTTCTACATAAATTAACAATTCTATTTTGGTATTTTATATCCCTGTTACACTCCTTTATTTCTCTCCATAGCATGCGGCACCTGGTAATGTTATACATTTGTTTATGGTTTTTCTATCTCAAATCCCATTCTATCTAGATAAGGACAATATTTTACTCCCTGCTGCAATTCCAAGTCCCTAAAACAGTGCCTGGTGCATGGTAGGCATTCAGTAAATACTTACCAAATGAATGAACATCTACGGACTCCAAGAACCTATAATGTCCATGTTTTGAAAAACTATGGAGCTGCAGCTAACTCAGAAGTTAGGTTCTTGGCTAGGCACAGTGGCTCACGCCTGTAATTCCAACACTATGGGAGGCCAAGGCAGGAGAATCGCTTGAGCCCAGGAGTTCAAGACCAGCCTGGGCAACATAGAGAGACTATGCTGCTTGCTATTTATAAAGTCTATAGTAGTGTACAGTAATATCCCTAGGCCTTCACATTCACTCACCACTTCCTCACTGACTCACCCAGAGCAAAATCCAGTCCTGCAACTTCCATTCACGGTAAGTGCCCTACATAGGTATCATTTTTAATCTCTTATACTCTATTTTTACTATACCTTTTCTACAACTAGACATGTTTAGATACACAAATACTTACCATTGTGTTATAATTGCTTAGAGTATTCAGTACAGCAACATGCTGTATAGATTTGTAGTCTAGGAGCAATTGGCTACATCATACAGCCTAGGTGTGTTGTAGGTTGTACCATCTGGGGTTGTGTAAGTACATTCTATGATGTTTGCACAACAATGAAATTGCCTAACAATGCATTTTTCAGAACACATCTCTGTCACTAAGTGATGCCTAATTGTAGTTATACTGTATAACATGCAATAGCAAAACATTTACTTTTATTAAATACTCATTAGAATTACTAGAATTCCCATAATTTATTCATTAGTTAAAAGTTGAACAGGAGAGAAACCTAGATAAGGCATCTGTTACTGGTCACCACATGTAACACCATCAGATGATGGCTGATTTGGCTGGAAAATACACAGCTCATCAACTAGAAAGACACAGTACAGTCATGTTGCACTTTAGGCTGTTCAATGTTTGTTTTTTGAGATGGAGTCTCACTCTGTCACCCAGGCTGGAGTGCAGTGGTGTGATCTCAGCTCACTGCAACTTCTGCCTCCTGGGTTCAAGCAATTCTCCTGCCTCAGCCTCCCTAGTACCTGGGATTACAGGTGACTGCCACCATGCCTGGCTAATTTTTGTATTTTAGTAGAGACAGGATTTCACCCTATTGGCCAGGCTGGTCTCGAACTCCTGACCTCAAGCGATCCACACACCTGGGCCTCCCAAAGTGATGGGATTACAGGTGTGAGCCACCGTACCTGTCCATGTTCAATGTTAACATCATCATTTTAACATCAGTCTATGATGCATAAGGAATACTTAAAATAATTTTCATCACACTATTTCTGTATTTACTTTCCTAGTAACACTGGGTATAATAGCAGTATTACACTCAATTCACAGTGTCATGCAACCTACATACACACAAAAGCTGTTATTTCCCATCATGTCTTCAGAAAAGGGTTACAAAGAGGAAGACAATTTGACCAGAATTACTCGACTTTTTTTCCATTCTCAGCCATCTGTTGTCCCATACATTAGGGGTTGATACCATTTCCATATTTAAACATTCAAAGAGTTATAATGACCTGGAAGGGCGCCTTGATTCACTGAAGATACAAAAGTCATCTCCATCATCCCATATTCTACTGGAGGCCTTTCTGTTGCCGCCACCTCCACCACCACCACCACCGCCACCGCCACCACTCCCATGAGATTTACTGGCGTGACTCCTGCCTCCTCTTCCTCCTCTAGAAGACCCTTTTCCACCTCCTTTGCCTGGCTTGCCTTTTCTTCTTACTGAAGAACTCATTTTCACCTGCAAGAGAAAAAAATTAATGTAGACATCATAAAACCAGACATGTATGATAATCCTTTGTTTGCCAAACTTATGAATATAGGCTACTTTAAAGAAACAAAGGAAAATGCATATGTAAAAAGAGCTGGTCTTGGGGCAGGATTCTGAATCTGTTCCAGTGAAAAAATTTTAAAACTACAAAATAAAAAGAGCCAGCCAGTTTAGGGATAGTATGGATAAATCTTCACAAAAGATTTATAAGCACTTCTACCTCAGGACTAATATTTAGTGAATGTCTCTGATACAGATTTCTAAACTAAAGATGTACATCATAAACACATGGAGAAGTGTCAAAATACACATGTCTAGGCTTTAATCCTAGATTCTCATTTGGTTAGGTCTAATTTAGAGTTTTATTTATTTATTTATTTATTTATTTAGAGATGGAGTCTTGCTCTGTCGCCCAGGCCGGATGATCTCAGCTCACTGCAACCTCTGCCTCCTGGGTTCAAGCAATTCTCCTACCTCAGCCTCTGGAGTAGCTGGGACTACAGGCGCCTGCCACCACGCCCAGCTAATATTTGTATTTTTAGTAGAGATGGGATTTCACCATGTTGGCCAGGCTGGTCTCGAACTCATGACCTCAAGTGATCTGCGCACCTCAGCATCCCAAAGTGCTTGGATTACAGGTGTGAGCCACTGCACCCAGCCTAGCATAGGATTTTAAAAATCCAGTTGAGAAGTTTTCATGTATTTAATATATGTTTTGACAAAATTTAAATTTATATATGCTCTATCAGGAACACAGCTTGGGCTCAGAGATTCTGCCAAGGGCAAAAGGGAAGTAGGCCGTAAGACAGATAGCTCCTAATCTTTTTCCAAAGGACTGACTCCATTTACAATGGAGTGTGGAGAAGTTCAAACCTAAAGGTGCTTTCAAGAATAGTGAGGTTGTGGGGAAAGGGAGATTACAGGATTAAATGAAGATGTAGTTTAGACTGTTGGCCAACTAGTTTGCAGGAAGCAAACCAAGGAATAAGATCACTAGGAAGTTCCTTTTTGGGATTAGAATGAGTATTAAACTGGGATCTCAGAAACTATTGCTTCAAAGAAGCCATACTTTGGTTGGATTAGTTTGTAAAGGAATTTACTCTCCAGAGCATTGTTGAAAACAATTCAGCAATCAACCATGGGCATACCTAAAGCTGTACCTCCCAGAGGAGCAACAACAGAGGCTTAAAATCGTAGGAGGGAAATAGACTTCACTAAAATATTCTAGCCAGTCACTAAAAATTAAACCAGCAAATAACAATAAGAAGCCCCTGAAAGGGGAGAATCAGTACCCAGAGTTGTTACAGTATGTTATCCAAAATGTTCAGTTAACAACAAAAAAGTCACAAGGCATGCAAAGAAACACTTAAGTATAACCCATACACTGGAGAGAAAAAGCACAAACTGCCTATGAGTGAGAACAGATGTCAGATTTAACAGAAAAGGAGTTCAAAATAGTCATTATAAGTATGTTCACAGAAATAAAGGAATGCACAATTAAAGCAGTAAAGGAAGGTATGATGACAATGTCATATCAAATTGAGAACATCAATAAAGAGATAAAAAATTATATATATAAAAAGAACCAAATGGGAATTCTGGAGTTGAAAAGTATACTAATTGAAATTAAAAATTCACTAGAGAAGCTCAACCATAAACATGAACTAGCAAGAGAAAGAACTGATGAACTTGAAGACAGACTGACATTGATTATGCAAGCTGAAAACAGAGAGAACGATAAATGAAGAAAAGTGAACAGAGCCTTGGAAAAATGTGGGACACCATCAAGGGTACCATATACATATAATGAGAATACCAGAAGGAAAGGAAAGAAAGAAAAGAGCAGAAAAAATATTCAAAGAAATAATGGTAGAAAACTTCTCTGATTCATTAAAAATCAATAACCTCTACATGCAGGAAGCTCAATGGCCTCCAACTATTAGAAAATAAACACAGAGATGCACAAAATAGACATGTTGCAATAAAAATGTTGAAGGTCAAAAGACAAAGAGAAAATCATGAAAGGAGTAAGAGAAAAACAACTTATCACTTACAGGGGGGAACCCCAATAAAATTAATGACTGATTTCTTCACAGAAACAATGGAGGGCAGAAGGTAATGACATATATATTTAAAATACTCAAAGAAAAAAATAGGGCTGGGCGTGGTGGCTCATGCCTGTAATTCCAGCACTATGGGAGGCCAAGGCGGGCAGATCACGAGGTCAGGAGATCGAGACCATCTTGGCTAACACAGTGAAACCCTGTCTCTACTAAAAATACAAAAAATTAGCTGGGTGTGGTGGCACACACCTGTAGTCCCAGCTGCTTCGGAGGCTGAGGCAGGAGAATCACTTGAACATGGGAGACAGAAGATGCAGTGAGCCGAGATTGCGCCACTGCACTCCAGCCTGGGTGACAGAGTGAGACTCCATCTCAAAAAAACAAAAAACAAAAAACAAAAAAAAAACAACAAAAAATAGTTAACCAAAAATCCAGAAAAGCTATCTTTCAAAAATGAAGGTAAAATGAAAACTTTCTCAGACAAACAAAACTGAGAGAATTTGTTGTCAATAGACCCGCCTCACAAGAAATACTAACAGTTCTTCAAGTTGAGGCAAGTATCCCTGGATGGTAATTTAAATCTACATGAAAAAACAAAGAGTACTAGTAAAGGTAATTGAGTAATTATTTTTAAAAATCCACATTTATATTGGACATTTATTTATTTGAAAACCAGTACAAAAGTATTGTCTCTTCTTTTCTCTGAAATGATTTAAAAAGCAGTTATATAAAATAATATGTATATGATATAATGTTGGGCATGTCACCTACAAGAAGGTAATATGTATGTAATATATTTGCCAATAACAGCACAAAGAAGATTGGTGGGAGCGTAATTGTGCTGTGCTGAGAAAATGACTACAGACAGTAAAGTAATACTTGTAACAAGTATAGTTGGGTATATAACATTAATAGATATAATATGTATAACAATACTATAAAAAGGAGGAAAGGAATAGAGCTATATAAAAGTAATACTTCTATGTATCTGTCTTAGTCTGTTTTCTGCTATAACAGAATGCCACAGACTAGGTAATTTATAAACAACAGAAGTTTATTTGTCTCATGGTAATGGAGGCTGGGAAGTCCAAGAGCATGATGCTGGCATCTGCGTAGTGTCATCTCATGGTGGAAGATGGAAGGCAGAAGTGGGCACGATACAGAGAGAGGTACCAGCTGCCAGACTTATTTTATAATAACTCATTCTTTTTTTTTTTTTTTTGAGACAGTCTCACTCTGTTGCCCCAGCTGGAGTGCAGTAGCGTGGTCTCAGCTTACTGCAAGGTCTGCCTCCCTGGTTCATGCCATTCTTCCACCTCAGCCTCTGGAGTAGCCGGGACTACAGGTGACCGCCGCCGGCTAAGTTTTTGTTTTTTTGTATTTTTAGTAGAGACAGGGTTTCACCATGTTAGCCAGGATGGTCTCGATCTCTTGACCTTGTGATCCGCCTGCCTCGGCCTCCCAAAGTGCTGGGATTACAGGCGTGAGCCACCGCGCCCGGCCTAATAACTCATTCTTGCTATAACTAACCCACTCCCATGCTAGTGACATTAAACCATTAATAAGGGCTCTGCCCTCATGATCGAATTACCTGTTATTAGGCCCCATCTCCTAACACTGTTGCATTGGAAATTAAATGTCTAATACATGAACTTTGGGGGTAAACATTCAAACCATAGCAATATTGCTGGAATTAAGCTAATATAAATCTGAAGTTGTTCATAAACCCCAAAGCAATCACAAAAATACTACATTAGAAAATATTCACTTAATGACTAAATGCAAATGAAAGCATAAAGTAAGAACAGAAGAAAAAATAGACATTGAGAAATACAGACATCCAAAAGTAGAATAGAGTTAGATGTAATTCTCAGTATATAGACAATAAAAATAAATGTGAGAGAATAAAGCAGTCCAATCAAAAGACAGAGATTGTCAGACTTGATTAACAAACAGGATCCAAATATATTCTGTCTGCAGGAGAGGCACTTTAAATTCAAAGACACAATAAATGAAAAGTAAAAGGATGGAAAAAGATGATCTTGCAAACAGCAACTACAAGAAAGGTGGAGTGGCTATGTTAATAGCTTACAAAACAGACTTTAAAGCAAAAAATATTACTAGAGATAGGGATATTTCTTAATGATAAAAGGGTTAATCTGCCAGGAAATGATAACAATTAAAAACACATATGTACCTAATAATAAGGCACCAAAATACACAAAGCAACAACTGACAGAAATGAAGGGAGAATTAGACAATTCAATAATAATAGTAGGAGACTACAGTACCTCACTTTTAATGGTAGAACAACTAGACAGAGGATCAACAAGGAAATAAAAGACTTGAACAACACTCTAACCAACTAGACCTAATAGGTGTCTATAGAACACTCCACCCAACAACGAACTATACATACTTCTGAAGTACACATGAAACATTTTCCAGGATATAGACCATACTAGGTGATAAAAGAAACCTCAATACATTTTTTTTTTTTTAAGACAGAGTCTTGCTCTGTCGCCCAGGCTGGAGTGCAGTGGCACAATCTTGGCTCACAGCAACCTCCGCCTCCCAGGTTCAAGCGATTCTCCTGCCTCAGCCTCCCGAGTAGCTGGGACTACAGGCACCCGCCACCATGCTCCCTGACTAATTTTTGTATTTTTAGTAGAGATGGTGTTTCACCATGTTGGTCAGGCTGGTCTCGAATTCCTGACCTCAGGTGATCTGTCCACCTTGGCCTCCCAAAGTGCAGGGATTACAGGCGTGAGCCACTGTGCCCAGCCATAAACCTCAATAAATGTAAAAAGAAAGAAATAATATGAACTATGTTCTCCAACCAAAATGGAATTAGAAATCAAAAGCTAGAAAAAATTTGGGAAACTCACAAATATGTGTATATTAAACTAGGTCTTCCTAGGTATTCCTTTCTTCAAAATTGCTGATGATTATACATATGTATTCAGAGTTTATCTTAAGTTTGTCTCTCCTTTCTACTCCCAGAAAGCTCTTTGAAAACAAGACTATGTCTATTTTGATTACCACTGTACCCTTAACACAGTGTCTAGCATATGGTAGGAATTCAGTATCTATTTGTGGAATGAATGATTGAAGGTTGAAAAAATGACTTATGTGGGAATGGAGATTTGTTCATCTATTTATTCATTCCACAAATATTTATTGAGCACTTATTATGTGCCAGATCCTGGGGATATAACAGCAAAAAAGACAAAATTTCTGCTTCATGAAGCTTACCTTCTAGAGGGTAACACAGACATTAAACAAATAGATATATATTATAACTTAAGTGCTATCAAGGAAAAAAAACCCCCGAGGCAGTTATTTTAGATAGAGTGGTTGGGTAAGGCCTCTTTGAGATTTTAAAGGACATCCGGAAGAAATTGACAGAATGAGCCATGAAATAGTCATCCCTCGGTATACACAGGGGATTGGTTCCAGAACCCCCATGTATACCAAAATCCACGGATACTCAAGTTCTCCAGTCAGCCCTGTAGAACCTGCATAGAGGAAAAGTTGGCCCTCTGTATGTGGGTTTTGCATTCCAGGAATACTGTCTTTTCTTTTTTCTTTCTTTCTTTTTTTTTGAGACTGGATCTTGCTCTATCACCCAGGCTGCAGTGCAGTGGTACGATCATAGCTTACTGCAGCCTCGATCTCCTAGGCTCAAGCAATCCTCCTGCCTCAGCCTCCTGAATAGCTGGGACCACAGGTGCACCACCACACCCAGCTACTTTAAACATTTTTTAGTAGAAATGAGGTTTCGCTTTGCTGCCCAAGCTGGTCTCGTACTCCTGAGCTCAAGCAATCGTCTCACCTTGGCCTCCCAAAGTGCTGAGATTACCGGCATGAGCCACTGTGCCTAGTTGAAATACTGTATTTTTTTTTTTTTTTTTTTTTTTTTTGAGACAGAGTCTCACTCTGTCGCCCAGGCTGGAGTGCACTGGCGCAGTCTCAGCTCACTGCAACCTCCACCTCCCGGGTTCACGCCATTCTCCTGCCTCAGCCTCCTGAGTAGCTGGGACTACAGGCACCCGCCACCATGCCCGGCTAATTTTTTGTATTTTTAGTAGAGACAGGGTTTCACCGTGTTAGCCAGGATGGTCTCGATCTCCTGACCTCGTGATCCGCCCGCCTCGGCCTCCCACAGTGCTGGGATTACAGGCGTGAGCCACCGCGCCCGACCTGAAATACTGTATTTTCAATCTGTGTTGGGTTGGGAAAAATCCACCTGTAAGTGGAGCCGGGTAGTTCATACCCATGTTGTTCAAACGTCAACTTTACTCACAAAAATGTAGAGTCATTAAAATCTTAACAGGCAAGAAAAATAACAGGTCAAACTGAATTCTGTAAGGTTGTGCACCAATAATTACCTATTATTTCTAAAATTTAGGGAAATGAAATAACAAATCAGTTAGATTAGAACTTCATCTCAAAAACCATGCAGCCCAGGTAAATTTGTGTACTGAGAAACATTAGGAAAAAGCAAGAGGATACTTACGCTGAATCAAAACAAGTTGTCTCACACCAACCCAGAAAATGTTACTTTTACAACTAGATCTGAGATATGCGCTTAACATTTTAAACGAAGATTTACTGACTGTAATGGTGTCCAATACCACTCTCCCAGAGTTTTCAAGGGAATAGGAATTAGGTTGTATAATCCACGTGGTTAGATTCCACTATCTATTCCATCTAGCCCGGGAAGACTCCAACTATCTTTCTTCACCATGGATACAGGGACCTAAGTTTGGCTGTAAGAGTATTCTTTGTTTGATAGCCAAGGCACTGAAAAGTGACTACACACTACTCTCCTCCCAGGCAGATCTCTGACTGATCACAATATATCCAGCTCCATCCAGATATCCAGATCTCGTATCCTTTTTCGAACTCACATCGTCCCCACCCTTCTCCCCAAAAAAGCCACACAGACGGAGTCAGAGAACGGAGCCTGATCCCTTCAATCAACCCCTTAGCCTGCTCCAAGACTGAATTTCACGCCCCGCCCCCCCCGGCCCCAACCTGCAGTTTGAGCGTGGACAACCTCAGCGGCAGAGCCCGCCTTGGTTCGGTATCAGGGCCTGGGATCCTGCTGGTCCAGATTCACCGGCCCCAGGCAGACTGGATGAAACACACTGGGCCGCGATGCTCGTCAGATCCCGACCACTCCTGGAGCAGGAGGCGGCAGACACACTGACAAACAGGGTGACGCGCACACCGTGCGCACAACGCGCATCACTTGTCCGCAGAAGTGGAAGACGTACCTGGCTCGCAGAGTTGGGTCCCGAGCCGGCTGTCGGGAGGTGCTGCCCAAGGGTCAGAGGTCCAAACTGGACTTGGCCACCCTCACGATTCTCACTTGGAGCAGCCCTGCGGTGGCCCAGCTGCAGCGGCACAGTCCCGGCGCCTTCTGATTGGCTCAGCTACAGCCCCTCGCGTATTCGCTTCCGGGTGAGAGGTGCCCGGTCGCCCCAGCAACCAAGTCGCACCTGGAGCTGTCCTAGCGCCTAGTTCTCTCCCGGCCGCAGAGCTGGCCGCCCAGGGGGAGTCGCAGAGTTTGGAAGATCTCTCTAACACCTCTCGGCCAAGTGAGTGTCCCTCCTCCTAACGACCCGGGCAGAGAAGAGCTCCTTTAAGTCGAACTAGCGTGGAGTCAGAACCTGCTTGGCTCCCGGTAACTCCTGTGGGGGTGTGATATATTTCCTGACCGTCTAGCCGAGGGGCACGGGGGAACCCCTGGTCTGGGAATCTAGCTCTGATTCTGTTGTTAATTCGCTGTTGAGACACCCGAGGCGCGTGCCAACCTCCCTGGGCCTCAGTTTCCGCTATGGTGCCGGGTGGTCTCTGTGAGGTTCCCTCTAGCTCTGACGTTCCCAAGTTTCGAATGTAGAACATTTTAGCGGCAATTGAAAACAGTCCAGTTTCTGATATGATTACGTTTAATGCTCTGCTTCATAGGCACTTAACGATTCCTTCCGAAGTGCCCTTCATTCACTAGACGTTCTGTTACTATTAGTACTAAACACGGAGTCGGACAGTGGGGTGAGAAGAGATTTGACTAATCTGCCATCCGTGTCCTGGAGGAACTGGGTGGGATAGGGGATCCCGATACAAAAGCATGGTTTTAATAGAACCTTAAGTACTACAGTAGGAATAGGCCCAGAGTGCCGTGGGGGTTCCTGAAGGAGTCTGAGGTTGACAAGTAATGAGAAGAAAGGCTTTGTGGGAGAGCTCATACCTGAGCTGGGGCTACAAGAATACAATAGCTAATATTTACAGAGTTTAGACACTGGGCTAAGTGCTTTAACTAGATTAGCTCATTTACTTGATTTGCCCCATCTAAGGATGAGGAAACTGAGGCATAAGATAATTATTTGTCCAAGGTCAGAGAAAATGGTGGAGTCTGGATGCAAAGGTAGGTAGTCCGATGCCAGAGCATGAACCCCTAACTACTACACTCTATTTTGCCAACTCTTGAGGATGAATAGCAGTTAACCAGGTAAAGAAGAGAAGGGTGTTCCACCCAGAGTACGGCATGGCATCTGTGGGAAACTACAAGCAGATCTGGTAATCTAGTTAGTTATCATTAGTTAAACACTTAGAAAGTAGCTCTGACGCCTGTAGTTCCAGCTACTTGGGAGGCTGAGGCAGGAGAATGGCGTGAACCCGGGAGGCGGAGGTTGCAGTGAGACGAGATCAAGCCACTGCACTCCAGCCTGGGCGACAGAGCGAGACTCCGTCTCAAAAATAAATAAATAAATAAATAAATTAAATTAAATTAAATTAAATTAAAAAATAAAAAAGAAAGAAAGTAGCTCTGTGTCCCTGCTCTCTTGGAATTTCACATCTTGCAGACATGTAAATAACTAATTAATGAGCACACATGGCAATTTCTGTATACCACCATACTTCACCCTTTATCCACAACCAAATCTTAGAAATTATGGGGAAAAAATAAGCAAACATAACTAAATTCAGATTTTTCTAAGATTTAGTGTTAATTAGTGTCTATATTTAACCCCTAAACGAGATCAGAATTCTAGCAAGATTGCTCTCTATCCTCCACACCATTTCCATATTGATATTACCTGAGTTTTAGTTACAGATTCTTTTTTTTTCTTTTTGAGTTTTTAATTTTGGTGTAGATGGAATCTCACTATGTTGCCCAGGCTGGTCTCAAACTCCTGGGCTCAAGCAGTCCTCCCACCTCACCCACCCAAAGCGTTGGGATTACAGGCATGAGCCACCAGATTCTATTTTTAAAACTTAATTTTTTTTATTTTATTATTTTTTTAAGACAGAGTCTTGCTGTCTCACCCAGGCTGGAGGGCAGGGTGTGATCGGACTCACTGCAGCCTTCACTTCCTGGGCTCAAGCGATCCTCCCACCTCAGCCCCCAAGTAGCATGGACAACAAGCATGCAACACCACACCCAGCTAATTCTTGTATTTTTTGTGGAGAATGGGTTTCACCATGTTGCCCAGGCTGGTCTCGAACTCCTAGGCTCAAGCAACCCACCCTCCTCAGCCTCCCGAAGTGCTGGGATTCCAGGCATGAGCCAGTAATTCATCCTACCAGCGTGCCTGCCAGTTTCCATGATTTTAGATTGATAGTTTCGTTGGATGTAGAATATTAGGTTGAAAATAATTTTGTCTCGGAATTTTAAAGACATAGTGCCATTTTTTTTTAGAATCCACTGTTGCTAATGTCAGTCCTTTGTAGTTTATTGTAGGTAATCTGGTTTTTGTTTGCTTGTTTTTAACTAGCCTAGCTGGCCTTTGGTCTTTATGTCATGAAATTGTACTGTAACCTGTCTAGGTGTGGGATTTTGCTTAGTTCCCATTTGTAGTCCAAGCAGTCATTTTCTTCAGTTCTGAGAAAAATTTGGCTATTTATTCAAATATCCCTTATTCTTTCCCTCTGGAATTCTTATTAGACTGACAGTAGCCTTTTGGATCCACTTTCCATCATTTTAAAATTCTTTGTGCTACTTTCTTTTTTTTTAATTAAAAAATTTTTTTTCCAGCCATCTCACTCACACTTTGTGCTACTTTCTAAGCACATTTTTCAACCTAATGTTCCAGTTCACTAATTTGTTTTCAATTGTATCTATTCTGCTTTTCATCCCTTCTAAGAAGTTTTATTTCACCAATTATATTATTCATTTCCTGGATTGCTAATTGTTTTTTGTTTTTTGTAATCACCTGTTCCTATTTCAAGGATACTAATACTCTCCCTTTCTCTCTGAGGATGTTACAGTTTAAGTCCTCTACCTATTGTGTTAACTCTGTTTCCTCAGTGATGAGCCTCCAAGCCTTTCTCAAGTGGTACCTAAATTAATTTTTAAATTCCCTTGCCCCACCCGTAAAGACTGATTCAGTAGATGTGGGGTAGAGAGAAGAAACTTAGAAGCATCTCAGGTGATTCTGAAGGATGGGCCTGCATACCGTCTCTACATAAGTTTTCTTCAGTATCGGAAAATACAGTTTCTAGTTTTAGTCCAGTAAGTGTCCAGGGATCTGAGGCCCAGAGTCCCCCTCAGTCTTGCGGTCCTCTTTCTTCCTTTTTCACTTGGTCTCCATTCCAGTCTCATTCTGTGTGGACCTACCAGCCCTTCCCCACTTGCTATCTTTATTTTCCATTTCTTCCTATTGCCAATTTAAAGATTCCTCACTCCACCTTACCTCTGTGGGACAATCAGTAAATCATATGGGCTACCAAAGAGAAATAAAAACATATCCACACAAAAATCTGTACACCAATTTTTTTTTTACTCCTAGGAAGCTGTATGTTTTGAAAATGTACATCAGTGTTTATAGCAGTATTATTCATAATGGCCTCAAACTGGAAACAACCTACATGTCCATGAACTGATGAATGAATAAACAAAATATGCTGTTTCTGTACAACATATTTATACAATATACTTGGCTATAAAAAGGAATGAAGTACTGATACACGATGCAACATGGATGAGCCTTGGAAACATTAAGTGAAACGAGCCAGACATAAAGGACCACATATTATATGATTTCATTTATAAGAAATGTCCAGAATAGGCAAATCCCTGAGGCAGAAAGTAGATTAGTGGTTGCCAGGGGTTTGGGGTTGTGGGGTGAGGGGTGTTTGAGGGGAATCATAATGGGTAACTGCTAATGTGTACAGAGTTTCTTTCTGGGATGATTAAAATATTCTAAAATTAGATTGTGATGATAGTTGCACAACTCTGAATATACTAAAAAAATCAAATTGTATTTTTTTAAAGGGTAGATTTTGTGGTGTGTGAATTATATATTAATAAAGCTATCATAATAAATAAATTTTAAAAGAGATCATCTAGGCAAAATTGTTTATTTCCCCGGGACCCTACATTAGACAATGGAAATACCAAGTAATCATGATATGATGTGATCTTGAGAAGTAAGTCCATTTGGATAGTGCTGAAAGCACATTGGGTATAGGTCTTATGACATAAGAATGTTTACACTTGGTTGGGTGTGGTGGCTCACATTTGCATCCCCAGCACTTTGGGAGGCTGAGGCGGGAGGATCGCTTGAGCCCAGGAGTTTGAGACTGGCCTGGGCAATGTAGTGAAACCTTGCCTCTATCGAAAAAAAAGTAAACTTATGTCACTGTTTTTAAATCTTTTAAAACAGCTTCAGAAGTGTATAAGATCAGCTTTATCTTTCCAAATGGAGACAAGTATGGTAAGTATACGCTTCAATTACTTTTTCTGTATAGAAAATTAAATAGCTTAGGAATAAAAAACTGAGACTGTTAAATTTTATAAAACTACTATTAGGATATTAACTTTATTAACTAAAATAACAGAAATCCTAATAGATAAAGAGCTTTTAAAATCAAAATTCCAATGCCTTGGAAACCTATGGGATCTGTCAATCTTCCTGGCCCTTGAGTCTCAATTGTTACAAGATGTTCTGTGTCCATGGATTTTCTCATCTCTGGTCTCACTGGTTTCAGTGCTAGGGAGCCAAAGAAACCCATGAGGTGTAGTTGCGATTAGGCCCAGACATAACTATTCTCATTTATAATCTTCAGTTTTTCTCCTCTGTTTAGATGGTGACTGTACAAGAACATCTTCTGGAATCTACGAGAGAAATGGAATAGGTATTCATACCACTCCTAATGGGATTGTCTACACAGGAAGCTGGAAAGATGACAAGGTATTATTGTTGTTTTTAATATTGGCAGTGGATAAATAACCCTGTAGGTTTAGTGATTCCAGGCATTTCACCATTAATCAAAAACTCCTATAATGAGTAGACTATATAATAAAAATAACAAATGATCATATTAACATATATTAACTTATGAGTAATATTAAACTCACTGTAGAAAGCTAATCATCGTTACTTTCTTTCTCATCTCCTATTCATTGAGTAAAGCTGAATCCGTTACATAATTTTCTCATTTAATCCTCATAATAACCTCATGAGATAGGTACCATTAATACTCTATTTTACAAATGAGGAAAATCAGGCTCAGGTTTCTTGCCCAGCTAGTAAATGATAAAACAGGAAAGTATACCCTGGTCTGCTCAAATCCAAATTTGAATTCTTAACAACTACTTTGTACTGGTTTCCTGAACTAACTAAACTGGTTGCCCTTTAAGATTTCTGATACATTCAGGGTATCTTGAGGACCCCTATTTATCTTCATCATGGACCCCCTGATGTTCAAATGTCCCAGATCCAGAACATTTAATTTACTGGGCTTCACAGATAGATACAGATGAAGGAAAATGATAAAAATGTTGTCTTTATACTATGGAAATAAAGGACAATACAAAGTTGGTTAAGTAATAATTAGCAGATGATAGACTTATATTTGTACATTTTTTAAAGGTTCTTGGGAAACTGAAGATTAGTTTCTAAGGTAATTTCCTTTGTTACAAACAGATGAATGGTTTTGGAAGACTTGAGCATTTTTCAGGAGCAGTATATGAAGGACAATTTAAGGATAATATGTTTCATGGACTGGGGACTTACACATTCCCAAATGGGGCAAAGTATACTGGAAATTTCAATGAAAATAGGTAAGCTTAAAATAAAAAAAAATCACTGCATTTCTAAAAGATTATTTTCTGGTATGTTTGCTTAAATACTTATTTATTTATTTATTTATTGAGACAGAGTCTCCCTCTGTCATCCAGGCAGGAGTGCAGTGGAGTGATCTCGGCTCACTGCAACCTCTGCCTCCCGGGTTCAAGCGATTCTCTTGCCTCAGCCACCCAAGTAGCTGGGTCCACAGATGTGCACTACCACACCCAGCTATTTTTTGTATTTTCAGTAGGGACGGGGTTTCACCGTGTTGAGCAGGCTGGTCTAGAACTCCTGACCTCAAGTGATCTGCCTGCCTCGGCCTCTCAGAGTGCTGAGATTACAGGCGTGAGCCACTGTGCCCAGCTGCTTAAATACTATATTTAGTTAATTCTAAATATTCTTTTATGATATAGTTTCTAAAAATTGTTGGAGGCCAGGTGCGGTGGCACAGCACCTCAAACATCATTGATAGTGAAAAAATATTTGTTGAATAAGTGAAGTAATTAAGCTAGATAACCGATATAAACTTTTCATTTTTTTAACTCATTGTTTTGGTTTTGTGTGAACCTAGATTATGTGATCCTAAAATCTTGGACACCAAATAATTGTTTGTTTTTGTTTGGAATAGTATGTGGTTTTTTTTTTTTTTTTTTTGGTTTGTTTGTTTTTTTGGTAGGATATGAAAGCAGGATGCTGGGTTTAAAAGCAAAGCTTGAAAGTAGAGGATATAATCTTCAGACATAGTATATATTATGCTAGAAAATCTTATATCTGGACTGTAAATTATTCATCTTTGTTAATGGAAAACTTATTTTCTACTATTGCAGGGTGGAAGGTGAAGGGGAATATACTGATATCCAAGGACTAGAATGGAGTGGTAACTTTCATTTTACAGCTGCTCCAGACCTGAAATTAAAGCTTCACATGTAGATGTGATGTTAAATTAAAGTTGAAATGTAGTAATTGAAGCTTTTAGTTGTAAGGAAAGCAACTTAATCTGTTATTTGAAATGACTTCATACACTACCCCTATAAGTTTGCCAATAAAACCATCACCTGCTTACACCTTTTTGAACTTTATATTCATTGTCTTACAATTAGTTTAAAATAAATGACATGATTCAATTCAGTCTGCTTATTATAATAACTATGGCAGAAGCATCCAAATCTTGGCAAAGTTGATTTCCAATCCTCTGTTTGAGTTTTGTCATTTTTTTTTTTTTTTTCTAGTTTGTGCTTGTGTGTCCTGGTCAACATCCGACCTCTTTAAAAAAAAAACAACTTTTTTTTTTAGGCTGTAATACATTTTATTCATTTCTTATTATTTTCTAACTTTTATTTTAGGTTCAGGCGTACATGTGCAGGTTTGTTATACAGGTAAACTCATGTCACAGTGTTTGTTATACAGATTATTTTGTCCCCTAGGTACTAAGCATAGTACCAATAGTTATTTTTTCTGATCCTCTCCCTCCTCCCAGCCACCATCCTCAGGTAGCCCCAGTGTCTGTTGTTCCTTTCTTTGTGTCCACAAGTTCTCATCATTTAGCTCCCACTTATAAGTGAGAACATTCGGTATTTGGTTTTCTGTTCCCGTTCTGTTAGTTTGCTAAGGATAATGAACACAATTTTAAGTGTACAATACATTATTGTTGACTATAGGTACAATGTTGTACAGCAGATCTCTAGAGCTTATTCATCTTGCTTGACTGAAACTTTATGGCCTTTTATTAGTTACCTCTTATTTTCCCATCACCCCAGCCCCTGGTAACCATATTCTACTCTTTGATTCTATGAATTTGACTATTTTATTTTTCTTATTTTTTATTTTTTTGAGATGGGGTTTCACTCTTTTTGCCCAGGCTGGAGTGCAACAGTGCAATCTTGGCTCACTGCAACCTCTGCCTCCCGGGTTCAAGCTATTCTCCTGCCTCAGCCTCCCGAGTAGCTGGGATTACAGGCACTTGCCACCATGCCCAGCTAATTTTTGTATTTTTAGTAGAGATGGGGTTTCACCATGTTTACCAGGCTGGTCTCGAACTTCTGATCCACCCGCCCTCGGCCTCCCAAAGTCCTGGGATTACAGGTGTGAGCCACCCCACCCGGCCACATTTGACTATTTTAAATACCTCATACTTAAAAGTGGAATCATATAGTACTGGTCTTTCTGTGACTGGCTTATTTAGAATAATGTCCTCAGGGTTCATCCATGTTGTCACAAATCACAGGATTTCTCTTTTAAGGCTGAGTAGTATTCCATTATATGTGTAAACCACATTTTCTTTATTCATTGTGGTGGACTGCTACTATATGAGTCAGCAATCCTACTTCTGGGTGTTTATCCAAAAGAATTGAAGCCGGGTGCAGTGGCTCATGCCTGTAATCCCAGTATTTTGGGAGGCCAGGCAGGCCAGGCGTTCAAGACCAGCCTGGCCAACATGGTGAAACCCCATCTCAACTGAAAATACCAAAAAATTAGCCAGGGGTGGTGGACGTTTAGTTTGTTTCCACATCTTGACTATTGTAAATAGTGCTGCAGTGAGCATAGGAGTACTAATATTTATTTGAGATCTTGATAGCAATTCTTTTTTTTTTTTTTTTTTTTTTTTTTTTGAGATAGAGGAGTCTCACTCTGTTGCCCGGGCTGGAGTGCAGTGGTGTGATCTCGGCTCACTGCAACCTCTGCTTTATGGGTTCAAGCAATTCTTGTGCCCTGGCTACCCAAGTAGCCAGGATTACAGGTGTGGTCCACCATCCCTGGCTAATTTTTTGGTATTTTCAGTAGAGACAGGGTTTCACCATATTGGCCAGGCTGGTCTTGAACTCCTGGCCTGCCTGGCCTCCCAAAATGCTGGGATTACAGGCATGAGCCACTGCACCCGGCTTCAGTTCTTTTGGATAAACACCCAGAAGTAGGATTGCTGACTCATATAGTAGTTTTTTGTTCTTGTTATTTATTTATTTATTATTATTATTATTTTAATGTGGACCACTTCACAAATCTGCATGTCATCTTTGCACAGGGGCCATGCTCATCTTCTCTGTATCATTCCAATTTTAGTGTGTGTTCTGCCAAAGCAAGTACAGTAGTTATATTTTTAATCTCTTGAGGAACTTCCATAGGATTTACCATAGCAGCTGCACCATTTTGCATTCCCAGCAACAGTGGGCAAGTGTATGGTAACCCAGTTCTTCCCACTTTCTTTCTGTGCCCTTACTGAAAATCACAGAGTACCTTGACTGCTCTGTGACCCAGCTGGCTATATGTTTTTCTCAGCAGGCTTGAACCCAAACTGGGCCTTGAACATTCCCAAGCACTGAGAAAGGTATTTCGGTTGTTGCTCAAAACACTGAAACTGGCCCCCAGCCCTGAGCCAAATTTCTCAAACTGTCATAGAAACTCCAGACTCTGATCCCCTTGCTGCAGACATACCTGGGTAGAACATTCCTTTTCTCTCTCAGCAATTGCTGCAGCCCTCTGTAAGGAAGTTTCCCTAATAAATTCTTTGGACTGATCACCCTAGAGCTTAGAGTTTTTTCTTTGGTATTCCAGCCAGCCCTATCTCAGGACAGTTGGAGACTCCCTTGTGGGAAGTCCCCCTGCCACTGCTTTTGGGGTGATTCCAGCCGAGGATTTGAGGGTTTAGAGAGACAAAACAGCAAGGGTTCAATTTCTCCACCTCCTTAGCATTTGTTTTTTGTTTTTGATGATAGCCATCCTGTCTGGTATAAGGTGGTATCTCATTGTGGTTTTCATTTCTATTTCTCTGATGATTAGTGACATCGAGCATTTTTCCAAATACCTATTGACCATTTATATGTCTTCTTTGAAAAAACGTCTGTTCAGTTCCTAATCCATTTTTAAATCAGGTTATTAATTTTTTTTACCATTGAGTTGTAAGAATTCCTCATATATTTTACAGATTAAATCCTGATCTGATATATGATTTGCAGATATTTTCATCCATTCTGTAGGTTGTTACCTTTTCACTCTGTTGATTGTTTCCTTTGCTGTGCAGAAGATTTTGGTTTGATGTGGTTCCACTTGTTTATTTTTTGTTTTGTTGCCTGTGCTTTTGGTGTCATTATCCATGAACTCATTGCCAAGATCAATGTCATGAAGATTTTCCCCTGTTTCCAACAACACATGGAAAGGGTCATATACCATGACCAAGTGAGATTTATCCCTGGGATGCAAGGATAGTTCAACATACGAAAATCAACTAATGTGATATTCTACATTAACAGAATAGAGGACTAAAATCACATAATCAGCTCAACAGATGCAGAAAAAGCATTTAACAAAATTGAGAACCTGTTCATTATTTAAAAAAAAACCTCTTAACAAATTAGGAACAGAAAGAAATTACCTAAACATAACAGAGGTCATATATAAAAAGCCCACAGCTAACATCATACTCAACAGTGAAAAACTGAAAAGCTTTTACTCTAAGACTGGGAACAAGGCAAGGATGCTAACTCTTGTCACTTCTATCTTTAAAAAAGTATACATTAAAGGAGACTATCAAGAAAATGGAAATACCATCCTCACAATGGGATAATATACTTGCAAATCATATCTGATTGTCAGAAATTTGCTTAATATAGTCACTGCCTCAGCATCCATTTTTAGGCCTGACATAAGTTGTCTGACATCCAGTCATATCCCATTACTCTTGGCCTAGTTAAAACTTTCCTTCCCCTTGTAGTTGTTTGCAATACAGCCCACTTGTTCCTTACCCTGCTGACCCAAAACCCAACACATCCCACAGGTGCTGACCATGATAAAACCTAAAGGTCAAAATAAGTCATGCAAAAATAAGTTCCCCCTTTCCACATGTTTTCTTTAAACTAGCCAATCCACAACCCCAGAGGGAAAGCCTAAGGGATAACATCCGTGGACCTTAATAAAGGTGTAGTCCTGTGGTCTTCTCTCTCACCCCCACCCCACTGGTTGAGCTCACTGCTACCTCCAGATTTCCAGAAACCATAGCAATAAAAATTATGACACTGATACAAAGTCTAGTTTCCAAAATGTATAAAGAACTTTTACAACCCAACAATTAAAAAAACCTTAATTTTTAAAATGGGCGGGGGGCAGTGGCTCACACCTGTAATCCCAGCACTTTGGGAGGCCGAGGCAGGCAGATCACCTGAGATCAGGAATTCAAGAGCAGCCTGGCCAACATGGTGAAACCCCATCTCTACTAAAAATACAAAAAATAGCTGGGCATGATGGCGGGCACCTGTAATCCCACCTGCTCAGGAGGCTGAGGCAGGAGAATCGCTTAAACATGGTAGGCGGAGGTTGCAGTGAGCCGAGATCGCGCCATTGCACTCCAGCCTGGGCAACAGAGCGAGACTCCCATCTCAAAAAAAAAAAAAAGGTCAAAGAATTTGAACAGATGTTTCTCTGAAGGAGATATACAAGTAGCCAATAAGTAAACAAAAAGATGCTTAACATCCTTACTCTTCAGGGAAATGAACCTTAAACCTACAAACCCACCGTGAGATACCACTTCACACCAACTGGGATAGCTATTATTATTATTATTATTTTATTTTAAGTTCTGGGGTACATGTGCAGGATGTGTAGGTTTATTACATAGGTAAATGTGTGCCATGGTGGTTTGCTGCACTTATTAACCCATAACCTAGGTATTAAGCCCAGCAAGCATTAGCTATTTTTCCTGATGCTCTCTCTTCCCCCACTTCCACAACATGTGTGTTGTTCTCCTCCTGTGTCCATGTGTTCTCATTGTTCAGCTCCCACTTATAAGTGAGAACATGCATTGTTTGGTGGGATGGCTATATCAAAAAAAAAAAACAGACAATACAAAGATTGGCAATGATGTGGGGAAATTGGAGGCCTCACACATTTCTGGTGGGAATATAAAATGGTGCAGCTGCTGTGGAATACATTTCCTCAAAATATTAGACATAGAGTTACTACGTGACTCAGCAGTTCCTAGGTATGTACGCAAGGGAATTGACTTGCACACGAATGTTCATAGCAACATTATTCATTGCTATAGTCTGAATGTGTCCTTCCAAAATTCATGTTTAAACCTAATTTCCTCACGACTGTAATCCCAATACTTTGGGAGGCCAAGGTGGGTGCATCATTTAAGGTCAGGAGTTTGAGACCAGCCTGGCCAACATGGTGAAACCTCCTCTCCACTAAAAATACAAAAATTAGCCAGGCGTGGTGGTGTGTGCCTGTAATCCCAGCTACTCGGGAGGCTGAGGCACAAGAATTGCTTGAAACTGGGAGGTGGAGTCTGCAGTGAGCCAAGATGGCGCCACTGCACTCCAGCAGGGGCAACAGAGTGAGACTCTGTCTAAAAACAACAACAACAACAACAAAAACCTAATCTCTACTGTGGTAGTATTAAGAGTTGAGGCCTTTAGGAGGTGATTAGGTTATAAGGACAGAGCCCTCATGGATGGGATTAGTGCCCTTATAAAAGAGATGTGAAGGAGATTGCTTGCTTCTTCTGTCACAAGAGAATGATGCAAGAAGGTGCCATCTTTGAAGAAGAGAGCAAGTCCTTACCAGACACTAAATCTGCTAGTGCCTTGATCTTGGACTTAACAGCCTCCAGAACTGTGAGCAATACATTTCTGTTGTTTAAAATTACCCTGTCTAAGGTATTTTCTTATAGCAGTTCAAATGGACTAAGACATGTATAATAGCCCCAACTGGAAACAATCCAAATGTCCATCAACTAATGAATGTGTAAACAAAATGTCCACATAATGGAATATTATTCAGCCATAAAAAATGAAGTACTGATACTACAACATGGATGAACTTCAGAAACATTGTACTGGCCAGGCAGGTGGCTCATCCTGTAATCCCAGCACTTTGGGATGCCAAGGTGTGTGGATCGCTTGCCAGGAGTTTGAGACCAGGCTGGGCAGCATGGCAAAATCCCATCTCTACAAAAAATACAAAAATTAGCCAGGTGTGGTGGCACATGCCTATAGTCCCAGCTACTTGGGAGGACTGCTTGAGCCCAGGAGGCAGAGGTTGCAGTGAACCAAGATCATGCCACTGCACTCCAGGATGGGTGACAGAGCAAAACTTCATCTCAAAAACAACAAACAAACAAACATTGTACTAAGTGAAAGGAACCAGTCACAAACGGCCACATATTATATGATTCCATTTATGTGAAATGCTCTGAATAGGCAAATCCTTAGGGACAGAAAATAGATTAGTGGTTGCCAGGGGAGGAAGAAATTGGGAGGCATGAGGTTTCTAGAATTAGACAGTGGTGATGGTTGCACAGTCTTGAAAATGTACTAAAAACCACTGAATTGTTCATTTAACAGGGACAAATTTTATGTATGATGTGTAAATTATGTCTCAATTTCTTAAAAAGTAGATCTGTGTGTTGTCATATATTCTATGTCCAGAAAACTTCTTTACTTTTTACATAAGATAATTTAAAAATTACCAGAGCAGTATATGTCAACTACATTTAAAAAATTACAATAAAGACCTGAATGTTTTTGCTGAAACTCTATATTCTAAAACTGACAAAAAATAGTGTACACAATAGATAACTTCTTTGTCATATTTCTCTATTCAAAATCTTGTGAATATTTGTATTTCTCAATATGTTATTGCCAAAAGATGTATATTTTTATTTTTTGCTGTACTGGCACAAATTTGGGTTACAATGTCTTCTAAAATGTTAAAATAAAAATGGCATTTTTGTTAGTTTCTCATAATAATAGCTTTATGGCTAATTTTGAAAGACCCTATTTGTAAGTTTTCAAAGACACATTTTAAGAATTGGACATTTTTGTATATGTTGCTAAACATTAGCTGGCATGGCTTTAGAATTAAATATTATTATTATATGGAAATTCATGAAGAGACAAATACTGGACAAGTTAAGATAAGGTGAGAAGATGTTTTCAGGGACCAGGACATATAATTTAAATTCAAAAACTTCTGGAAAATATAGAAAAGTATCTGCTTTGCTGCAAAATAAATTTTCCCTAATTTTTTTCAATTTATTTAAGGCAGCAAGATATATATTTTACTCTTAAAATATTTAACTTGTATTGCTATGTTAATAACTTTTCAAAGTACAACTTTTCAATTTTCTAGTATACCAAAGATATTCCTCCTAAATGGGTTTCTTCCTTTTTACTCATTGAAACTAAATGCAGTTCAGTTATTTGATTAGTTGATGCTAGAATTTGACCTGGAGCTTATATAATTAGAAGAGACACTAGTTTTCCTCATTTAAAAGCCTGGTTAGCATACTACGGTCTCGTTTCAGGGGAAGTCAAGCCTCTCTACTGCTTCTTTTTATAACCTTTAAGTTAATTCAGAACCCAGATAAGCCTTGATCTGAGGATGATATAACCACCGCAGGCAACATGGGGTAAGTATGCGCTTTTATATGCTTTAAGGGGCACTGAAAGGGGAAACAATTTTATAAGAGATGAAAACCCATCAATCCTTACCACGTGGTGTACTAATTTAAATCCAATATATGCTAACATTTATTTGAGGTAGGCATTCAAAGAAATAACTTTTATTTAAGAGTTATAACAATTTGTAAAACATTTATTTCCTTGCTTAATTTTTATATTATGTCTTAACTGCGCTTTGCAGGTTATCGATAAACTGGAGACTGAAGTTGTTCTGCATATTAATAAATATAGTTGAAGATGAGTTAAATTTTGAGAGCAGTCTTAAAGAAAGGATGCTAGACAGCGTAAATCTGACATGGACATGCCTCTTTGGGATTAAGAATAATTAAAGAATGAAAAAGATTAGGGATGGAGGGAGATTGGTTTATTCCTTTCTAACACAGAAAAAGAATAGGGGAATCTTCAGCATTCACTCCCCTATGTACAGAACAAAAAACATATCCTGATTGAAAATGTGTACTGATTAATTACATGGGGGCTTTATTGGTGAAACCTAATTCTAAACACTTCATGGGGCTTTGGTGTGTAATGAGAAGAACTGAGTTTCACTTAAACATTGTCTTAAGTGAGAATAGCGTTCTATTATAATTAGTATTGGAATTATGTGAGTTTTTATATGCTGAAATAGTATTCTGAATATGTAGAAATCTCTATATCACCCTTTTATATTTTTAATAGCCCCTTTTAATACAAAATCATATTGCTGTAAATGGAATAGCTATTTCATTGAAGGCTACTTCTGAAGGATTCAACATAATGATCAGAAATGTATCCTAGAGAAAAAAGTTTTTGATGCACATTTATTCTAAACATTTTTCACAAACTGAATTAATTAATGTCTACATTTTTCATAACCATGGGCTCTGGAAATGCAATCTAAACTCATTTGAAAACTCAGAGGCTTTTGAAACAAGATGACCATACTATTGGTTTTTTTTTTTTTCTTTTTTCTTTTCTTTTTTTAGACAAGGTCTCACTTTGTCACCTGGGCTCAAGCAATCCTCCCACCTCAGCCCCCACAGGTAACTGAGACCACAGGTGCACACCACCACACCCGGCTAATTTTTGTATTTTTTGTAGAGATGGGGTTTCGTCATGTTGCTCAGGTTGGTCTTGAACTCCTGATCTCAAGCAGTCCTCCCACTTCAGCCTCCCAAAGTGCTGGGATTACAGGTGTGAGCCACCATGCTCGGCCTTATTGTTAACTTTTTCTTAATTCCCTTTATTTACCTTCCCTTTTCTCTGTGTATAAGGGTGTACTTCAACATAGCAGGCCAGTAATAAACTAAGTAATGTAGATACAAAGATCAACTGATCTTCCTCCTTCCCTTCCTCTCTCCTTTCCTCCCTTCCTCTCTCCCTCTTCCTTCCTTTCTTTTTCTTTAATGACAGCAGTTCTTAACCTTTTCGGTGTCAAGAATTGCTTTTAGAATCTTCAGAAACCAGTCCACCATTTCTGCAAAAAAAAAAGTAAAATCACACAAAATTTTGCATACAATTTCAGAAGATTTACAGGTGACCTGAAACCCTATTCCTGGGACCACAGGTTAAGACCCTTAGACTTTGATTTTAGGACTGGAGTATGATTTGTTCAATATTTCTCTTTGTTTGGATTTTTATAAATGTAAGAATCTTTAAATTCATAATTCTTGCTAATCTTCTCAAGGACAGTGTGGAAGATTCCCCACCCGCCCCCCACACAATTTACATGAGTGTGAAACACAGTTTAACCAACATGCATCACATTACTGCTGCTGGGCCCCAAGGACTTGACTAATCACTTGTGCCTTTTGAGAGTGCCAGGAATCACCTTGGGAGTCATGGAAGGAAAAAAAACCCTCATTATGTTATTTGTAAAGCACTTTGAATGCCCCAAATAAGATGAACGAAACAAATCATAAATGCTAATATTACAGAGAGCACTCTTCTGATTGGTATGTTCATGATTATTTTGTTGTCTGTTCATGCCTTTACTGACAAAAAGACAGGGTAGTAAGTATTAACATCTGTTTGAGTCTTCCTAAAATAATCAGAAAAATAAAGAAAAAGTGGCAGCTAATCGGATTCTCAAATTTATCCATTTGAGGAAATCTCTAGAATTTATTTCCTGAGAATGAGGGAGTAGCTGTTTTGGATTTGTCTTTGGGGCCTACTTATCTCAAATGATTTGAGGATATAATTCCCTTATATGGGGCAATGCCAGCCCTTTCCACCTTTCCCCAGGCTATGCTGGCATGGTTTTAGCAAGCAATGAAGAAGCAAATACTGGAAAATTCTTATGCTCTCTAAAAAAATCTCCTCCTCGTAATTTTCACTGGGTTTTTTATGGAGTGTGTGAGTAGGTGGGGTGGGTAGAGATGATGCCTAAAGGTGGGTAAACAGATAACTGGGGAAAAGTAGAAAAACCTAACTGACATCTGCTAAGTACCATAACACCCGGGCAAAGGATGAACAATGGGAAAGAAAGGATGGTTGTATTTCTTTTTTGAGACATTTTAAAATGTGCTTTCCCCATCTCCTAGCAGAGTTAGTCAGTGCACCCCCAATTGACAAAAACAAAAGTTAAGGCTCTGCTAAAATTGTAGAACCAAGTTCATTATTATAGCATATTCAGCCTCCTTTTAGTCTCCTGGTTCAAATAAGTTAGAGTAATTTTAAAAATTATCTTATGACATATTTCCTCCTTCTGAATCTGAGAGTGACTATCCAACTCTTTTTCTTGGGTGAAGCATACATTTGGCTCATGGAGCAACCTTTGAAATGTCGCTTCTATCTGTGCCCTCCTTTCCTTTCTAAGAGTCACTTCCCTAATTCAGGTCATCATTATCTTTTACTTGAGTTATTAAAGGTGCCTGCTCACTGGCCTCTTTGCAGCTGCTCTTTCCTCTACAGTGCCACTAAGTCATCTTCTTACCAGAGATATGTGATCTTGTTATACCTCTGCTTAAACATTTTCAATGACTCATTCTCTCCACTGCAGAGCAAGCTCCAAAGAAGAGATTCAAGGCTCTCTATCTGCCCCCAATCTACCTGTCTAGCCTCACCTTCTACTCTACCTTCTTTGCTCCCTAGGGTTCCTAAATCCACCTAGGCCTTGTGCTTTGTTCCTCTGGTAATCCTTTTTTTTTTTTTTTTCTTTTTTTGAGACAAGGTCTCACCCTGTTGCCAGGGTGGAGTGCAGTGGCACAGTCTTGGCTCACTGCAACCTCTGCCTCCTGGGTTCAAGCAATTCTCCTGCCTCAGCCTCCTGAGTAGCTGGGATTACAGGCACCCGCCACCATGGGCTAATTTTTGTACTTTTAGTAGAGACAGAGTTTCACTATGTTGGCCAGGCTGATCTCGAACTCCTGAGCTCAAGCGATTTACCTGCCTCAGCCTCCCAAAATGCTGGAATTACAGGTGTGAACCACTGTGCCTGGCCCCTCTGGTGATCCCCTTTTGACCGTTTCTACATATCATGCAAAGCCTGGCTCAAATCCTATCTTCTTAATGAAGCTTTCTCTAATCCCCACAAGGGAATTCATCTTTTCTCTGAAAATTTTAGGCACTTTACACTTTTCTTTTTCATTTGTCACAATCCATTATATGTTACAGTTATTTATGTGTCTCATCTTCCCTTCTAGACTGGAAGCAGAAACAATGGCATCCTTTCATTTCTCCTAGCACCTGGTACAATGCCTTTTATGTGGTATATGCTTATTAAATACTTGTTGAATGCACGTGAACTCTGTTTAAACCCCTAAAAACTTAATTTTAGCCAAACTTTCTTTCTTTTTTTCCCAAGTGAGTTACCTCATTTTCCAGGTTTCTATCTGAAGAGCTCAAATGAGTGAGTAGTATCTAAAATGTAGGCAATTCAAGGGAGATAGGGCACAAACAAGGGCTGGAGTGAAGACTTCTAAAGTCTGAAGACTGAAGACTGAAGACTGTTGTTAATAAGCAGAAAGCACACATAGGCTCCAAGGAAATATAAGAAAACTTTCCAGAATTAAAAATCGTTCTTGCCAGGCTGGCTCACTCTTTTGATCCCAACACTTTAGGAGGCCGAGACACTGGGATCATTTCAGCCCAGGAATTCGAGACCAGCTTGGGCAACGTGGCAAAACCCCATCTCTACCAAAAACAAAAAACAAAAAACAAAAAAATTAGCCAGGCATGGTGGCATGCACCTGTAGTTCCAGCTACTCAGAGGCTGAGGCAGGAGGATTGCTAGAGCCCGGGAGGTCGAGGCTGCAGAGAGCCACAATCACACCACTGCACTCCAGCCTGGGCTTCAGAGAGAAAACCTGCCTTTAAAAAAAAAAAATGTTGCTTTTGGGCTCTGGATAGCTTCCTAGAACGCCAGCATATCAGTAAAGATTGAGTTAATCTGTATATGCTGGGGGAAAAAAAAAAAGAATAATAATAGAGGCTTAAACAAGCTAGAAGTGTATTTCTCTCTTACATTAAAAACAAACAAACAAACAAACAAGCCCACAAAGGTAGGCAGTCTAGTGCTGTTAGATGAGTTCCTTAGTGAGAGGCCCCCAGGTTCCTGTCATCTTGCTCTTCTGCCATCCTTAGTATATCACCTCTTGGTCCAAGACAGTTGCTAGGTCTCCACCTATCTCACTGATGTTCAGCCAGCAGGAACGAGGAATGGGGAAAAAAGGTGTGTTCTCTCTTTTAGGAGACTTCCCAGTGGTCACTCAGTGTTTCTACTTGTATTGCATGGGTAGAAATCTAGTCTCATGGTTACACTTAGCTGTGAGGAAGAGGGGAATACAGTCTTTTAACTGGGTTTCCAAAAAAAGAGGAGAATGAATACTGGGTGGCAACTAGCAGTGTCTGTCAGAGCCAGTATCAGGCCTTACATGGCCTCTTATATTCCTTTAGACAAAGTACAGCATTATGTACAAAAGTAATCTTTTAAGAAAAAAAAAATCAGTAAAATTAAAGGAAAAAAAGAGGAAGCCAAGCTGGGAATAAACAGATTCACCCAGAATAAAGGCCTCTTGATAAAGTGACAAAAGGTGACCAAGTAAGGCTTTGCCCCTCCCTAAACTCTATGTCCCAGTCTCCCTCCCTCCAGGCTTCGTGTCCCTGAATCTTCACATCCACACTGTGAGGCAAGTATTACTATTACTAAGCCAATCATACAGGTCAGGAAACCGAAGTCCAGGAAGATTCAGTGAATTGGCCAAACTGCCCGTACTGCAGCAAAAATTATATAAATCACAGAATGTTTTCTAAATAGATTTGTTCTTAATTTTGAGTATAGATCACTTCAATTGGCGCTTAAAGAAAAACCTATTACAAACACATTTCACTTGTCACTTGAAGTAGGTGATTTAATGTGGAATATTAGAAAAGACTCTAGATTTGTGGCTTTCAATATTTTACGGTCATATCAACTGCTTTGAACTCTTCTGATTCAGCAAAGCCCCCTAAGCCATGTTGGAGTTCTCGAGCTATGTTTTTAAATACATAGAAATTTATTTTTATTAGTCCCCCAAACATATGAATACTGAGGTGATTGTACTTGCTCAATACCAAGTGACTTAAAAATTAAAAGACTAAAAGAAACAAAGACTTTTACTTTTTTACTTTATATGTTTTTTACCTATTAGAAATCTTTAACAACAGTGAATTGCATATATAATAAGAACTTTTAATTACAAAATTATAGGAAAAAATGATGGTATAAAATGCAAGGTAGCTATCATTATCAATGGCGTTTTTTTTTTTTTTTTTTACAGAACTTCTAGAGAAAACAAGAAGAAGACTTCAAAAAACATGCTGTGATGTCTCCCAGTGGAGACAGGGCACGAGGTGAGTGAAAATTGCAAAGAACTGTTTTCTAATAAGAACACAGGCAAACTGAGAACTTAGCTTAAACCAGTGATCATTATTGAAGCAGAAGTATTATAAATTTCTTTGTAGAATTTTATAACCATTCTTGGTTTGATAACCATCAAATAAACAAATTGTGAGATTACTTAATTAGCTAGCAGTAAGGGCAAATAGCCACCTTCTAAACCAGCTATGTTACATCAGACTTGATTGCGTATATGAATGCTAACAGCATTGAGACAAGAATGAACTATGCTTTTTTGTTTGTTCGTTTTGTTTTGTTTTGTTTTGAGATAGAGTCTTGCTCTGTCGCCCAGTAGTGCAGTGGTGTGATCTTAGGTCACTGCAACCTCTGCCTTCCAGGTTAAAGCAATCCTCCTGCCTCAGCCTCCCGAGTAGCTGGGATTACAGGCTCACGCCACCATGCCCAGCTAATTTTTGTATTTTTATAGAGACAGGGTTTCACCATGTTGGCCAGGCTGGTCTTGAACTCCTGACTTCAAGTGATCTACCTGCCTTGGCCTCCGAAAGTGCTGGGATTACAGGTGTGAGCCACTGCGCTCAGCCATATTATGTTTTAATTAAGTTCT
The DNA here is from genome assembly GCF_000001405.40 of Homo sapiens. Classification (NCBI taxonomy): domain Eukaryota; kingdom Metazoa; phylum Chordata; class Mammalia; order Primates; family Hominidae; genus Homo; species Homo sapiens. Next base: position 38,896,461 of record NC_000002.12, read on the forward strand.
ATTTTGGATGTCTTTGATGATTGTGAAAAATAGACAACATCTACTTTCCATTGAAGTTATGTATTCTGAGTTCCTACTTCATGCTGGGCTTTGTCACTTAATAACCATGTGGGCTAGGTAACTATTATGCCCACTTGACAGTTGAGGGAGCATAGGCTTAGGAAGATTAACTTTCCCAGGTCACAAAATGAAATAAGTAGCACAGCTGGGATTGGAAGCTAGATGTCTGACACACTTAAGAAAAAAGTCTCATAATTTAAAACATTATTTTTAAATTTCAAAACCCAAAAGTGCTCATTGTAAAATAAAATACAAACGTGATCATGACAGAAGAGTTTAAGTGAGATTTAAAAGCCCATCATCCTACCCCTAACCCCATTCCTCTTTCCAAGCATAACCACTGTTAGTAGTTTGGTATAAATCCTTCCATATCTTTCTTTTTGCCCGGCATACTTTTCTTTTTTTCTTTTTTTGAGACTGAGTCTCACTCTGTCACCCAGGCTGGAGTGCAGTGGCACGATCTTGGCTCACTGCAACCTCCGCCTCCTGGGTTCAAGTGATTCTTCTGCCTCAGCGTCCCGAGTAGCTGGGACTATAGGTGCACACCACCGCACCCAGCTAATTTTTGTACTTTCAGTAGAGATGGAGTTTCATCATATTGGTCAGGCTGGTCTCGAACTCCTGACCCAGTGGTCCGCCCGCCTCGGCCTCCAAAAGTGCTGGGATTACAGGCGTGAGCCACCACACCCAGCCAACCCAGTGTACTTTTCATAGTACACTCGGCAAGAGAAAGATATGGAAAGATTTTCACAGTATCACACTTGAACATATGAAAAATATCCATACTTTTCACAGTATCACACTTTCTATCCACTTAAATAAAAAAACAGAGGAAGTTGAATTTAGTATATATCTTTACTAGAATAAGCAGCTACCTCTAAACAATAACTGAAATGCTCATTCAGCTAATATTAGGCATCTATCTGTAGAAACTCAAAGAACTCTAGAACTCACTCTCTGTTTCCCAGGGACTCATAATCTAGTGCAGTGATTTCTAAGTTTATTTTTGAGAGAGTAATTATAGACTCCTTTGAGAAACTGATGTGAGCTCTGAACTCTTTCCCAGTAAGAAAATGAACCTATAAAATTTTGCCTATAATTTAGAGGATTTGTGGAAACCTTGGGAGTATGGATCCCTGAACTTGTAGAAGTGAGACTTTTAAATTTATAGTTTGATAGAAATACTATAATGGAAGTGTAGACAAGATGCTATACCACAGCACAGAAAAACAGGGCTGAACTCTCCTGGGTCATATCAAGAAAGCCAGGGAAGAATGACATTTGCACAAAATATTGAAGGACGCTAGGAGTTTGACAGCTAGCCTGGTGCAGGGGAAGGATGTCCACAGAGGGAACAGCCCCAGAGGCTAGAATGGATGGGGAACCATGACTGTCTTCGTGATAGAAGCCCAGTATGTGCATGGGAGTGACTAAAGATGAGTCTCCAGAGCTGGGCAGAAGCCAGAGCACAAAGGGGTTGGTCCGTTGGGTTAGGACATTTGAACTTCAGGAGTCACGGAACGATTTTGATCAAGACTTTCATTGGTAGGCAGAAAGTCTATATTAGTGCATGGCTAAATAAATCATCATGAGAATAGTAATTTGGATGATGGAATAAGGTATAAAAAGTAGACGAGACCACTTGATTCTGATTTTGGAGGGGATCATTGACTAAATGATATATTATTTAAAAAGATATATTGCTAAAATCAAATGGAATTGATTGGAAAGCCATTGCTTTTACAAAGGAAGTTGGGAGAATAAAGTTCTGAAACTGTATGAGAAAAAACGGGTGCGTGTCAAACACAAAATTTGGGCAGCACATTGACTCCTTGGCTGCAGTAAGTCCCATGCACAGGCAAGCTAGTATCAGTCACTCAAGATGGATCGCTCACTCCTGATTCAGCCACTGTCATGCCCTCTGCTGTCTTCCAGGCACTCCAGATGGGCCACGTGACTTCCCATTGACCCTTCCACCTACAACTAGCAGGAAAGAGAAAGAGGGTACAGTGGGTCAGGTTTTTAACATCTCTATATTAAGCACGTATTGCTTTTATAATTGAGATTTTAAAGCAATGTAGTATAAAGCCAGGCTTGCAGATAACATCATAGCTGATTCATTTCTATTTGGCTATACTTAACCTAATATACTTAAAAAAAGGAAAATATTAGTTTTACATCCTGCTTCTTGGCACTGGCTTCATAAAGTCTCAAGGATATTTCACTTGATAAATACATCTTATTTATTATTCATTTAAATTTTTTACTTATCAGATACTGTAAAGACTTGGAAGAGTAAACTGTGCATGTATTGCATATGCTATTTTATGTGTATAATGTATCTTATAAAACATTTTTGAAATACAAAGAATCATTTGGTCTTTGCCAAAGGGTAGTGCTCTGAAAGATTCTCAGACATGTTTAAATAGTGAGCTTTGTTAAGCCAAAATTTACAATTTGGGTGAAGTAGCATTGATTTTTCCAGTTTGCCTTTTCTAACTCATTAATTTTTTTTTTAAAGAGTGGTCTTCTTGCTATTAATACGAATAAATAAACTTCTGTGGTTTTTTTTAGGGAAAGAAATAATTGATTATAAACATCTCCTGAAATTAAATTCAACTCAAACTTGTGTTGAGTGCCCACTGTGAATAGTTCCCATGTCAGAGGAATGTGAATAAATGATTTAAATGTAGTTATCTTTAAAAGTCCAGCTAATTTTGCACTCTCCTCCATAAACTATCTGATCATTAAAAAATATTTGATAATTTTTTAAATTGCTGAAAATTAAGTAAAATTGCTAGTATAAACAGTAAAATTGCTAGTATAAAGAGTAAAATTGCTACTATAAGGAGATATGCCATGTTTATCCTGAGGCTTCAAGTCCAGCACTCTAGTATCATAAGATATTATGCTCAGAGAAATAAGCCAGCACCAAGCAGCAAATACCACATGAGCTCACTTATATGTGGAATCTAAATAGTCAAACTCATGGAAGTCAAGAGTAGAATGTTGGTTTCCAGAGGCTGGGGGTGGATGGGTGAGGGGGTGGAATGGAGACGCGTTGGTCAAAGGGTACACATTTCAGTAAGACAGGAGGAATACATTTTTGAGATCTATTGCATAACAGGCTGACTTTAGTTAATATATTGTATATTTCAAAATTGCTAAGGGAATAAAGTTGAAATGTTCTCACCACAACAATGACAAGTATATAAGGTGACAGGTAGGCTAATTAGCTTGATTTACTTATTCTATGTTGTATGCATATATCATAACATTGCACTACACTTTCTAAATATATACAATTATAATTTGTGAATTAAAAAAAGAAATTAAAAAAAGAATCATTACCTGCCAGGTACAATGGATATGAATATGAAATGGTCAGCTGGGCACGGTGGGTCATGACTGTAATCCTAGCACTTTGGAAGGCTGGTGGGGGAGGACTGCTTGAGGGCAAGGAGTTGAAGACCAGCCTGGGCAAGAAAGTGAGACCTCACTTCTACAAAAAAAAAATTAAAATTAGTCTGGTGTGGTGGCATGCACCTGTAGTCCCAGCTACTTGGGAGGCTGAGGTAGGAAGGTTGCTTGAGCCCTGGAGATCGAGGCTGCAGTGAGCTAGGATTATACCACCGCATTCGCTCCAGCTTGGGCAACAGAACAAGACCCCATCTCTAAAAATAAATAAGTAAATACATAGAGACTATTGCCTATAATTCCTGGTAGGAAGAAATACCAATAATGCAGTTTGAGAATGTAGCAGAAGAGGGATTGACTAATTATGACTTAGAGGATAGGGGCAAGCTTCATAGAGAAAGAGGTGCTTGAACTGAGCCCTGAAAATGAGAAGTATTTCATTAGATAAAGAAAGATATTTGAGGGATAGAAGATGGGAGGAACAAAGGCATAGAGGCATGAAAGTGTTTGGTGAAAGGCATGAACTGTGATCATCTGCACATGTATATCACATATGCTAACTACTATAAAGTTTTATTTGAATTACTCTGAAATAGAGGAACAAACCAAGTGAATTCAGCTAGTCCAGTCACTAGCTGTTACAAGTAGCAAAATCATATCAACCAATGTCTAATTGGCTACAGGGACACACCAGGAGCTCCTCCCAGACAACCTTTCCAGATTCTGATTAGAGGAGCAGTCCCATAGGATATGGGGAGGTGTGATTTGCAGAGCCGACGAGGTGGAGTTAGTGAGATGGGGTTTCTGAGATTTAAGATTAAGGTCCCACAGACAGAGCTGAATCAAGATACCTGAGGCAGATTAAAAGTCTGGCACTTGCTTGAATGGATTTTCTTTCAATATCTCACACTTGAATGAAGACAGGGTGATCTCTTCCTGGAGGAAGGGTGGAAGAGGAGGCTCCCGAGAGCAGTACTCAGCTTCCTGTCCAGGATCAATAACAGTTCAGCTCTGGCCTCACACTGGCTACACTGCTCAGCAAAATGAAAATCCCACAAGAAAACCAGACTCAGCCTTCTTTGAAGGCTGAAGGCTTTTTAGTGACCATGTGTTGCTACTCAAGCCTGCATTTAGGATACCCCACTCTCACCCCAAACACACACACACACCTGCCCTCAAGGGGCTTATCGGAGCATTTCTTTCTTTTTATTTATTTATTTATTTACTTATCTTACTTTTTGTGATCAGTAAAACTGCCAGAAAGAAGCATTCTTTCAATCACACAAGAGACTTTCCTTAAGAGAAATCCTGATAAATCTAGTTTTCTCCTTCTCACATTTCTGGGGATGTTTTAGCACCTCTGATAAATTGGTGCCAGGGCAGCTCCTTCATCCCGCTCTAACACCAACTTTAGGCCCAGAGTTGCCAAGCAGCTGGTTGCTGGTGGGCTCCCTTCCTACCCACTGCTGAGCTGAGGCTGTGCTGTGGATGGGAGCGCTCCATTCTGAGGGCTGCAGCAGTAACCAGCTCCCGGGTAGGGCTCACTTCTGAGCTCGGTACTTCAGACCTTGGAAGCTAACACATCCCTATCCTGGAAGACCTTTACATCTGGACTCCTCAGGAGAATTCTGCATTTGCTGCTTCTGTTATCTCTACTGATCTCAGGCTAGAGCTGAGCTTCCAGCTTTGTACTAGGACCAAAATGCAAAGCATAGCAATAATCACCACTGGAGTCTTACGGTCGTTCCAGAGACTAAGCCAGCAGACTCGGAGAGGGTAAATAATTTTCCCAAGGTCAATCAGCTATTTAAATCATGGACTTGGGATTTGAATTCACATCTTCCAGACTTCAAACTCAAACTCTTCATTTCTACTCCCTATTAACAACTAGCATGAGGCCGGGCACGGTGGCTCACGCCTGTAATCCCAGCACTTTGGGAGGCTGAGACGGGTGGATCACAAGGTCAGGAGATCGAGACCATCCTGGCTAACACAGTGAAACCCCATCTCTACTAAAAATACAAAAAATTAGCTGGGCGTGTTGGCGGGCGCCTGTAGTCCCAGCTACTCGGGAGGCTGAGGCAGGAGAATGGCGTGAACCCGGGAGGTGGAGCTTGCAGTGAGCCGAGATCGCGCCACTGCACTCCAGCTTGGGTGACAGAGCAGCCTGGGTGACAGAGCAAGACTCCATCTCAAGAAAAAAAAAAAAAAAAAAGAAAAACAACTAGCATGGTTCTTGGTGTTGCTTTCAACTGGCTGAAGTATTAGCTGAGAACAGATTAAAGTGTGTTTTTAAAAATCTCTCAAGATTCAAAGGAATAGAGTCATAATGTTGGCGACAGGCAGTGAGGTTGATATATTTGGGCAAGGCATCTGACCTGACAGCCATTTTATACCACTTACTTCTGAGGTCTGCCTCACTGAGATTAAAGACGTGTTATCCGATTCCATAATCACCATATGTATATAAGAAATTGGGACTCTGTAGTGAAGCATTTTATTTTTTCTGTCAAAACAGGAGCTTATGACTTAGCCAAGTCACTTATCCTCTCTGGACCTCATTTTCCGTATTTGTAAAGTGACAGGGCTTGGCTGGCTGATCTCTGTATAATCTTTCTGTTTAATTTTCTTTACCACTCTACACTGATTCCTTAGCTAAATATTGCAAGTAGTTATGGTGGGTGCAGTTTTGTTTCGTTTGGTCCTTCCGAACTATGAGATTGGTTTATTCATTTATTCGGCACCTATTTATTCAAGGCCTATTCTGTGCTGGACACTGGTTTAGGTCTTGGGGAATACAGAGTGAACAAAAATGTCCAAGTCCTCATGAGGGGGCACTGATAAGCCAAGATGGTCAATGAGCAAAGAAATATATAACATTATCATTTGATTGGTAAATGTTGTGGAGAAAAATAAAGCAGTGAAAGGGAGATAGGGTATAGAGGCCAGGACTCCTCTCTTATATGTATGGGTCAAAGAAGGCCTTTCTAATAAAGTGACATTCAAGCAGAGACCTTAGATCTTTTTTATCCTTGATGTAGGGTAGTAGGATATTGTAAATTTGGGAAGATTCTGAAGTTGCCAAGAGATAGGAACGAAATAGGCCTTGGTGGAGATAAATCATAGCTTGAGGTTCAACCTAGCTCTTCTTCCTCATATCCCTTATAGCCCAGGATTTCCACAAATGAGCTTCTCTGGGCTTCTGTGATTCCAAACAGTCTTTTAACATTTTAATGACTTCTCAAGTGTGTTGCATCTACTTATTTATTTAATTTTTACCAATGGACAATTAATAGTACATTAAAAAAAACTATGATAACTGAATTTACAGGATTTTAAGAAGCAGGGATCTGTTTTGCATGTGAATTTTACATCCAGATTTATATCACACGCTAAAGGAAGGGCCTAAGCTAAAAAATGTATAGGAAGAAGTTAAAGATGCAAGGACTAGGCTGGAAATACTATCTTCAAAGGGATGGATTTTTTTTTTTTTAGATTTATTCTGCATCTACTGGCTCATTCAAAGCCCATCACATAATTTGTTTTGGAGACAGGAGCATCCAGGAGCAGATGAATGGCAGACACTAGGGGACAAAGGCAAGCCCTCCAGGTGTTAAGAAGAAAGAAGTGGGCAAACACCAGGCAGTAAGGATTCTAAGGTGCATTCCAAAGTGGGTGAAGGAAGAAAAGGATTGAGTTTGCTTCTAAATTTTAAACACTAGAATCTAATATATATAACAAGGACTAAGCTATTGCAGATCATCCTATTTTATGACCCTATAACTCTGCAAATACCCTTTAGGGCCTAGATAGAACACTAAATCCTTTTGTTCTACTCACCCAGTCTGGATTTTCTTCTACCAATTATTTCTCCTTTAATCTCTACATCCATGATTTTTAGATGCGAGAACACCTTATCAATTAATTATCAATAATTCATTAATTGAGGGGGATTATTTGCTAGATAGTTACCACTGCCAGTGTTTAGGACAGTTTAGTGTCTTTGTCAACAAACCTTTATTGAACTTCTACCCTATGTTAGAATATATCCTATGTACCAGGGATAATAAGAGGTGGAAAAAAATAGCCTCTTTTCTCAAAGAAGTTTACAATTAACTTAGAAAATGAGATTATTTACATAAAATGAATAACAGTAGAAAAATTTGTTTTGATTCCTATTGAGTTTTACAGTTATTCCAAGAAAGGAAGGATAATTTCCCATTGGATTGAAGGGGGAAAGTTCTAGAGAGGGAATGGGCCTACATTAGACTTTGGAGAATGAGTAAGGATTTGTCCATTGGAGTGGGATGAGCAGGGCAGACCAGGCAGCAGGGAGAAGGAGAGACAAAGTAGAAATGCAAGTGGCAGAGAAGGCTGAGGCAGCTGGCAGGCCTCCTACACATCAGAAATGAGGCTGGAGGGGCAGGCCAGGGACATTGTGGAGGACTTTGAGATCTCGATTTTATTTTATGAAGATGAAAAAACAGGCCGGGTGCAGTGGCTCACTCCTGTAATCCCAGCACTTTGGGTGGCTGAGGCAGGCAGATCACCTGAGGTCAGGAGTTCGAGAACAGGCTGGGCAACATGGCAAAATCCCATCCCTACTAAAAATACAAAAATTAGCCAGGCGTAGTCGTGGGTGCCTGTAATCCCAGCTACTCCTGAAGCTGAGGCAGGGAGAACTGCTTGAACCTGGGAGGCAGAGGTGAGCAGTGAGCTGAGATTGCACCACTGCACTCCAGCCAGGGAGACGGAGCGAGACTCTGTATCAAAAAAAAAAAAAAAGGAAAAGAAGAAAAAGAAAAGAAAACGCCTATTGCAGTTTTTGAGCAGGAACAAAAGATCATGTAAGTGACATTTAAAGGAAAACAATCTACTGGCAGTGAAGAGGATGGATGAACTAACTAGGATGCTCCTAGAGACGTTTAGGCATGAAGCAGTCAGGGCTGATCCAAAGAGGCGACAATGAAAAGCAAAGGAGAAAATGAAAGACACCTTAGCAAGGAAGACTCGTAAGGATTTCACAGCTGGTGAATTTTAGGATGAGAGGCGATCATTCCGAGGTCTTGAGAGTGGGTCAGTGGTGGTGCTAGTGGCAGAGCTAGTGGAACCTGAAGGGGGAGCCTGGAAAGGTTAAAGATACCAATGTGATTTCAACAGACTGAGATTCAGGTGACCATGGAACAGCCCAGTGACATTATTCGTTGGAAAGAAATATAAGGGTGACCAAGGACATTCATTTAGCCGAAAAAAAAAAAGCCAGTTTTGTTTCCTTTCCTTAAAGACCTGAATACTAAAACATAGGTAAAACTGCATAGTGAAAATACTAGTGATTGAGAAATGATGAACTGTTTAGCATAATTTCAGTTTAGGGTAAGGTGATGATTTGTTTGGATTAAACAAAAGAACAGTTACAGAAGGCTTTGGGGGCTGGAGGGCTGGGGAAGGGAGGCCATTGGTTGTGATATCACCGTGTTACCACACTGCTGAGTGATATTTGGAATTACCCTGTTAAATTTTAGCCTCAGCATTTTAGAGCTACCAGGACTTTGAAACGCTCCTTATACTACAGATGAGGAAATGGAAGCCCAGAGAGAGTGCCTGGCTTTCCTAAGGCCCCACAGTAAGAAGTCAGTGTTAGATCTCAGTCTAGTATTCTTCTATTCCCAGACTGTATGGGCCAGCAGGTGCCCTGCCTTCCTGACTCTTTGAGGAACTCTTTTATTTAGTTCTACAGCAGGAAGCCTGATGAAAATTTTCATAGATTGCATTATCAGAAATCAAAATGGAAGACCCTCTGAAGAGCATTAAAGGCAGGAAATGGTGTGGGGCAGCGTGTGTGCCCTGTTAGATCAACTTGTCTTCAGGTGAAGGAATCATTTTCCAGTGGCATCAGAACAAGATGAAATGAGCATAATCTGCACAGGGACTGACTGCCTTACAGAATGCTTAAGCAGCCCTAGAATAGACTTCAAGTGAGGTTGTTCAGTGTCTTTCCTCACATACTTTAAAAAATGCTGAAGAAGCCAGGTGTGGTGGCTCATGCCTGTAATCCCAACACTTTGGGAGGACCAGGTGGCCAAATCACTTGTGCCCAGGAGTTCGAGATCAGGGCAACATGACCTGGGAAACATGGTGAAACTCCACGTCTACAAAAAAATACCTAGGAGGTGGAGCCAAGATTGTGCCAAGATTGAGCCAAGATTGTGCCACCGCACTCCAGCCTGGGTGACAGAGCAAGACTCTGTCTCAAAAAAAAAAAAAAAAAAGAAAAAAATTCTGAAGAACAGGATTGCTATCTAACTATCTGGGACAAAGGAGAAGTATGTAATTCAGTTTGGAGGTAGGGGGATGGAACACTTCTCTTCTTTTTTTATTAACTTATTCCTGTCCCAACTTGTTCCAAACAAGGAAATTGAAATAATGCAACAATAGATTGAGGAATCAAAAAATAGCTTCTTAGCAAAACCAGCCCCAGCATGTTCTGGTCTCCTTATGGAATGTCTCTAGCCCTTTTCTCATTGTTCCAAACTTTTCAGATGTGGTAAAAATGTACTAATTTGTGGGGTTCAGTATGCCTTAGCTCTAGGGAGGGCATGTATGAGGTAAGCTGGAATTATAAAAGAAATAATCAAACTAATGATGAATTTACACTTTTCATTGATCAACAAAAATGTTGACTCTTTCCCATATCTAGGCTTCTGCTGCTGGACTTTGTGATAATAATCGGTTATAAGATGAGACTCGGCTGGGTGCAGTGGCTCATGCCTGTAATAATCCCAGGATTTTGGGAGGCCAGGGCAGGAGGATCGCTCGAGCACAGGAGCTTGAGACCAGCCTGGGCAACATGGTGAAACCCTGTATCTACAAAAAAAAAAAAAAAAAAAAGGTCTGGGTCTGGTGGCAGCTACTCAGGCAGCTGAGGTGGGAAGATTGCTTGAGCCTGGGAGGTCAAGGCTGCAGTGAGCCATGATTGCACCACTGCCTGGGTGACAGAATGAGACCCCCTGTCTCAAAAAAAGATGATCCTTGGTTTAGGTGAGGAGAGTTGACAGATGACAATTGAGGAGAATGGCCAAAGCAGGCTTCATGAAGGGTATAAGACATGAGTTGCCCTTTGAGGGTTGAGCAAAACTTGGTTGACAGAGAGCAGAGGGTTGTAGGACCGAGATCCCCAGGTAGGAATGCCTAAGGCCTGTGAGTGGACTAGTTCTGTAGGGGAAAGTGCTGTGGTTTTAGTACCCAGGGACCATCGCTGACCCCTGTCAAGTATGCACGGGCTGTGGACCATTTTTCTAACTGAACTCATCCATTTTCAAGGTTTGACTATGATTTCCAACTTTTGAAGGCTTTGCTCACTGGGAGTCTTTGTTCACTGGGCAGTAGTGGGAAATTATAGTCATTCTGAAGATGGATTGTACTCTTTTTCTCCTTTCTAGCTGTTCTGAGAGCACCAAAGGCAGCTCCAAATTGGATGTCATTTCATCTGAACTATGAAAAAAATTCTCCCAGGAGGGGCAGCAGTAACCTGGTTTCCCCTCTCACCTAAATTAAGCTTTGGTGACTGATGATCCGTTTTACAATGTACTACTAACTCAGCCACCTGGTTCAGATCTTGGGAGTCCTGCCACTGCCTGTGATTTAGCAGAAGGAACATTTCCTGAGGACTAAAGTTTTTCCATGTTAATGTACCCCTCTGCAAATCAGGGCCATCTCTAGGACTGGAGGGAGTTGTCTCTGGAGCTCAGGGTTCTTTCCCTCCAGCGTTTCCCAGGAGAGCACTCTTGTCCTTCTTTGTCTTTCCTTCCTATCAATTGGGACTTACTTAGTGAAAGTATAGTGACAGTCACTTTATTGTCTTTTTAAGTAGATATTTACATTGTACTGGGGCTCTCTGCCTCTTGCACAGTGTCTCTGGGAGGATTTTTTTTTTTTTTTTTAGACAATGTCTCACTCTGTCATCCAGGCTGGAGTGCAGTGGCACTATCATGACTCACTGCAGCCTTGACCTCCTGGGCTCAAGTGATCCTCCCACCTCAGCCTCTCAACTTGCTGGGACTACAGGTGCATGCCAACATGCCTGGCTAATTGAAAAAAAAAAACTTTTTGTAAAGATAGGGTCTCACTATGTTGCCCAGATTGGTCTTGAACTCCTGGGCTCAAATGACTCTTTTGCCTCAGCCTCTCAAAGTGCTGAAAGTTATAGGCTTGAGCCACCGTGCCTGGCCTCCAGGAGGCTTTTAACTTCCACTCAGATGAATCCAGGGAGAGAATCTGTTTGAAAGATTGAGATTAAAGAGAGTCAAGTCAGGATAAGAAAAGAGATGAAGAATATCTTCCCTGACCAGACACAGAGGCCATGAGACATTCAGGCTCACGAAATCTGGTTCTGACACAGTTAAGTAGGTCAAGTATTAAAATGAGTCAGAAGAGCCCCTGGAAGTGACTTTCAGCCCTGATCTGAAACTTTTGATAAGTTTTTATGTCTTCAATGAGGCATTTTTAAACTTAAAATATCTCTGGCCAGTGGTTGGTTTTGTGTGTGTGACAGCATGCTGATGTTCTTTTTTTCTTGACTGATGTAGACACATATTAACTCTACCAATTTACTCTATCCTGACTGATCTTAGGTGAACAACAACAAAAATTAACATGCCAGTGGAGTGAGGATGGAAGGATCTTTGTTATTTCACTTCTGAGCCTTCTGTGCTCCTGAGCTATGGAATTACCTATTCTCTGTGCTTTGCTCCTGTTCTCACTGGCTCTGGGCACTTTGGTGTTGCTGGCCGTGATGAACATCACTACAGTTAGTTTTGGTGTGGGACCATTTACTAGGAGAGCCTGCTCTTTCTTGGTTTTTCAAGCCAGGGAGTGGGAACAAGGGGATATATTTCTGCCAGTGGAACTTTGCTTGTTAAAATAAAATAGGCCTTTTTTCCTAATAAAAATAATCTTCAGGCCAAACTCTCTATATTTACCACTAAGTCTTTATTGTTGATGTGAAGCAAGTTGTAGTAAAAAGCGTGTTTCACTGGTAGTCTGCTGCATGAGAATTCAGGTCACTTCCATAAATATTTGTTGAGAGTATGTTGAGAATGGTGCCAGGAGCTGGAGACAGAAAGAGGAATGAAACTCCGTGTATACCCCTTAGTTGCTCACAGTCTGGGGAGTGGACAGCCATGAAGGCAGTTAACTAAGGAGGGGTGATGGCCTTGTGACCTGGTTCAGTGGCAGGAGCCACCTTGTTTCTAGCAGCACCCATATTTGACAAAGGGTCACGTAAGGGGCTGACTTGAGCACCAAGGACCATTTTCAAAATAAGGCCACTTATTGTTTGAGATGTCTGGTGGCAGAGTCCTATTTTAATTCTTTTATTTATTTCATTAAAAAAAATTTTTTTTTTAGACCAGGTCTCACTCTGCCGCCCAGGCTGGAGTGCAGTGGCTCTATCATCGCTCACTGCAGCTTTGACTTCCTGGGCTCAGGTGATTCTCCCACCTCAGTCTTCCAAGTGGCTGGAATTACAGTAGTGCACCACCACGACTGGCTAATTTCTTTTTTTTTTTTTTTTTTGTATTTTTTGTAGAGACAGGGTTTTGCCATGTTGCCCAGGCTGGTCTCAAACTTCTGGGCTAAAGCTAACTGCCTTCCTTGGACTCCAAAAGTGCTGGGATTACAGGCATGAGTCACTGTGCCAGACCCCTATTTTAATTTTAATTCTTTAATTTATTACCTTTGCCACTTTAAATTGCTATGTATTCAAGGATGATTTTTTTTTTTTTTTTTTTGGTTGTGGGCATAGAAAGCTGCATTTTCATTGAGGTATCCTAGTTTTAAGCACTTGTGTATCTTCATATTGTGAGAATTGTCTTATCTCCTTACCATTTTGCTTCTAAGGGTCACACTGTACTCTTTGTTTTCTTGCGTTACATTGATTAATTAATTCTATTAATAGTTTTATAACCATTAATTTTTATTTTTTTGCTGATCATAGTGTTATATTTTTGTTTTCTGACATTTTATTTAGAATACGTATAGTTATTTTTTTATTTATTTATGTAGGCTATCCTAGAGTTGGTCTCAGAACCTCATAGAATAAATTTAGCTATTTACATGTATTCTATCTATAGCATAGACTAAATAACACAGACACTGTTATTTATAGAACCTTCCTGTGATATTATGCTGAATCATTTCCTATTGGGGAGTAGATATTTGACCTTCTCTTTTAATATTTTCTGCAGATAGTTGTTCTGGATAAAAAAATTTATACTGTTTTTAAAACAAATTTCAATAATGTATGTTTTCCTAGAAAATTATCTGTTTCATTTAGCTTTTAGAAATTATTGGCAGCCAAGTGTGGTGGCTCATGCCTGTAATCCTAGCACTTTGGGAGGCCAAGGCAGGTGGATTGCCTGAGCTCAGGAGTTCAAGACCAGCCTGGGCAACACGGTGAAACCCCGTCTCTACTAAAATACAAAAGAAATTAGCTGGGTGTGGCGGCTTGTGCCTGTAGTCCCAGCTACTCGGGAGGCTGAGGCAGAATTGCTTGAACCCGGGAGGCAGAGGTTGCAGTGAGCAGAGATCCTGCCACTGCACTCCAACCTGGGTGACACAGCAAGACTCCATCTCTACAAAAAAAGAAAAAAGCAAGAGAGAAAGAAATTATTGGCAACAAATATTGCATACTGAATTTTACAAATAATATTTCATATTCTCTGAATTGGTGGTTACATCCCTCTTTTTAGTCCTACTTTGTATTATTTCTCTTTCTCTCAATCTCTTTCTCTCATCAGACCTGCCAAAACTTTCTTCCTTGTATCAGTCCATTCAACCAGTTTACGCAGATGGCTATCAGAGCCCACACAGGAATTGATACCTTTTTTTAGTGACAATGGTACCTTAAAGTGGTACCTTAAATTACAGTACTTTGAAATACTGTGGCATGAAGCAGTTTATTTAAATTTAGAGAAACATAGAAAGACTACTGGTCTTACTTGAAGCGACTTCCAGTGTAACTTTGGGCAAATAATTTGTATGAGCTATGGCTTCCTTGGGTATAAAATGAATGGAACGTGTGTTTGGCCCACTGCACAGCATTGCCGTAGTGATCAAGTGAGATAACATACATGAGAGTGCTTTGAAAACTACGAAGCATGAACAAACAGGGTGTTACTGTCACAAAATAATGTTGCTTTTAGGCTCTATAGAAAAAAAAAGCAAATAGCCCTTTTCATAATGTTTATAGCATTTTTTCTACACCACAAAGATCATATAGACTCTCTTCTTGAAAATGTCTACAGGATTTGTCCTGATGAATTATTTTAGTTTCAGGGGAAAGTATTTCCTCATCACCCTCCCCCCAGCATAAAAAGTTCCCATTCTACTAAATTAGAAATGTGCACTAAAGACCCATTCAATAAAGGACACTGAAATGGAAATTAACTCAAGTCTGCTTTCAATTAATTTCAATTCCCCAAAGTGCCAAACTTTCCTTTTCTGTCACAGCAGTAATTGGAAAGTAATAGACAATCCTCAGTTTTTGTAGTCTTATGTGTGTATATGGGGAGGAGGGTACACGTTCTAGGTCAGTCTAGGGGAGGGTCAGGAGACTTTTCAGTATTCTTTAGGTTTCTGTTAACTTATTATTTAAAAAAATTTTTCTGAATTAATTTTACACAAATATGGCTATAACTTCTTATTGTTTCAACATTCTTATTTCTCTATATCAATAATTTTAGAACCTTTGTTTTTAAACAGCAGAAGCTGATCTTCAAAGGAAATCCTTCCCCGCCAGGCACTGTGGCTCACGCCTGTAATTCCAGCACTTTGAGAGGCTGAGGCAGGAGGATTGCTTGAGCCCAGGAGGTTGAGGCAGTGAGCCATGATCATGCCACTGTACTTTGGCCTGGGTAACAGAGTGAGACCCTGTCTCAAAAAATAAAAAAATAAAAAAAGGAAGTGCTTCCCCCAAAGCTGTAGTACGTGAATCAGACAAGAACAGAGAGGCTCTGGTTGAAGGGGGTAAAAAGGGGGACCCAGAACCCTACCAGCTTGGTGGCTTCCTCTCTCCACTCAAGACAGACTCAAGAAAGCCTGGGCTTCAAAAAATATAAACTGAAAACCATGGCTTTGTAACATGATCAGGCATGATATAGACACCAACAGGCTCACTTAACATTATTTTCCCCAGTGTCCGCCAAGGCCTGAATGGGTGTTTTTAGAGGTTAGCACTGCAACTGTAGAGACAGAAAGAAAGGAGGAAGGTCAGGGAGGAATAGGAGCCACATTAACTTGGTGAGAGGCATGTGGCAGCATCTGATGGTTATTTATTCAAAGGCAGGCAGTGATTCAAGGGCTATCAAGGGCACAGTGA
This sequence comes from Homo sapiens, assembly GCF_000001405.40. Classification (NCBI taxonomy): domain Eukaryota; kingdom Metazoa; phylum Chordata; class Mammalia; order Primates; family Hominidae; genus Homo; species Homo sapiens. The sequence goes on from NC_000002.12 coordinate 38,912,314, forward strand.
AGAATTACTAGGCTCAGAGTGAGAGATTCCCAGTACAAAATGAAGAGCAGACTACAAGTGAGATCTCAAAGGGACTTTCATAATCATAGCAAGGCTTTTTCCAAAATAAGTCATATTACCTTTCTGTGTAATCCTGTTATTAAGCTCCCTTTTAAACTGTACCCTTTAATACATATTCATTATTACAGTCATTCTCGTCAACCTAGAAATTCTGTTCTGGAAACTTAGCTTAAGAAAAAATGTCCTAAATATGAAGAAAAAGGACTCTGTTCCTTTTTATATCCATTTATTATAGTAAAAAATGAAAATTACCCTAATAATTGGGGGAGGGAAAGAAAATGATGACATGTTTTCTCAAGCAACTATTTCTTAGTCAATAAATATAATTATTGTTGAAACTATTTGGAGAAAGCCAGGAGTAATAAATGAAAGAACCAGTTCTGAAATCATATGGACCTGCCCGAATTACAATTCTGGCTCTGTATGCCATGATCCTGGGCATATTATTACCTCATTTTCCCAAGCCTCAGTATTCTCATCTAGAAAATGGGGATAATGATACACCCTCAACAGAATCAATATGAGAACTTAATTAAATGAGAAAATATAAATAAAATATGAAGCATCATGTTTGGCATATAGCAGCTGTTCAAGAAAAGTTCATTCTGTCTCCACCATTCCTTATATAGCATATGGGAAAATGCTTATGCTCTGTCAACAAATTGTTTTTTTTTTTTTTTTGAGACAGGATCTTGCTCTGTCACTCAGGCTGGAGTGCAGTAGTGCAATCCTGTCTCACTGCAGCCTTGAACTACTGGGCTCAAATGATCCTTCCGCCACAGCCTCCCAAGTAGCTGAGACTACAGGCTTTGTCAACAAATTTGATGAACTTAAGGAAATACGTAGTTTCCTAGGAAAATACAAGTGACTAATTAAGTTGAAAAGCTGCGTAGATAAATTTCTTTTGAAGAAATTGAAAAGGCCTTGAAGATCTGACTACTTTTTTAAAAGATCAAATGGTTTCATAGCTCTGCTCTATTATCTTTTAAAGAACTGATAATTCCAATGTAATTGAAGTTTTTATAGGTTATAGAAAAAGATGAAAAACTTCCAATTCGTTATGGCTAACATAAGCTTAATGACAAAATAAAATAGAATAAAAAACAAAAACAATCTACCAGCTGGGCAAGGTGGCTCACGCCTGTAATCTCACCACTTTGGGAGGCCAAAGTGGGTGGGTCATTTGAGACCTGGAGTTTGAGACCAACCTGGCCAACATGGCAAAAACCCATCTATATTAAAAATACAAAAAATTAGCTGGGCGTGGTGGCGCACGCCTGTAATCCCAGCTATTCAGGAGGCCGAGGCACGAGAATCACTTAAACCCAGGAGGTGGAGGTTGCAGTGAACCGAGATCATGCCACTGCACTGGGGGACAGAGTAAGACTCTGTCTCAGAAAAAAAAAAAATAAAAAGAATATTTCAATAGCAAAAGTGACCACATAGTCAAAAGACAAAAAGATAAATGGGAAAAATATTGCATATAACAAATAAACAGTTAATACGTATTATTTAGAAGCTGTCACTCCTTGGTTAAAAAAAAAAGGCAGATAACCCAAAAGAAAATTAGGCAAATCAGAGGATTAGATAATTGACAGACGAGCAAATCTAAACTTATAGTAAGTATACGATATAGAGATGCTCAATAGCACCAGCAATCAGCAAAAGTAGCTATAAACTATCACTTGTCACCCATCTGACCAACAAGAACTAAAAATGTTAACATCCACTATTGGCTGGAATGCAGGAGAAAGGTATTCAGGCAATGAATATTCCTGGGGGAAATAAGAATAGTTATAGCCTTTTTGGAAAGCAGCCTAGCCACATCTATGGAAACTCCACATAAATAAAAACACCAACATGTAAGGCTCTATGTACCAAGATGTTTGTTGTGGCATTGTTTGCCATGGCAAAATAATGAAAATAAAGGGAATGTTCATCAGTGGAGAAATGATTAACACAGTTCATTTGTACCATGGAATATTATGCAGTCATTACAAGTAATTTCTTAGGGCCAAATGTGGTGGCTCACGCCTGTAATCCCAGTACTTTGGGAGGCTGAGCCAAGCGGATCACCTGAAGTCAGGAGTTCAAGACCAGCCTGGCCAACATGGTGAAACCCATCCCTACTAAAAATACAACAATTATCCAGGCGTGGTGGCACACACCTATAATCCCAGCTACTTGGGAGGCTAAGGCAGGAGAATAGTTTGAAACCGGGAGGCGGAGGTTGCAGTGAGCCTGGATCTCACCACTGTACTCCAGCCTGGGCAACAGTGAGACTCCATCTCAAAAAAAAAAAAAAAAAAAAGTAATTTCTTAGATCTATACCAATTAACTTGGAGAGATTGCCACAATGTATTATGTGAGAGTGAGATGCAGAGAAGTACAATATATAAACCTACAATAACAACCCCACTCCATATATGTATATTCTGTATATGATTGTGTGCAATTATATGAGGATGGAAAAAATACCAGAGATTATTAACATCAGTTGGGATTGGGGAGGAACACTTTTACCTCTGCTCAAACAGCCACAATAAAAACAGTATAAATAATAATGGTCCATTTTTTTTTTAATTTTTAAAAAGTTTTTCTTCATGTATTTTATCTGTACAACAATAATGATCCTATGTTTATTTTATTTTTTCCATTACAGAGATGGGATCTTAACTATGTTGCCTGGGGTGATCTTGAACTCCTGGCCTCAAGCAATCCTCCATCCTTGGCCACCCAAAGTGCTGGGATTACAGGCATGAGCCACTGCACCCAGCCATGGTCCAATTTTTAAAAGAAAGTAAAATGTTTATGCTATAATATAGGTGGGAAAGGTAGTTACAAAATTTTAGGTAGGCTTCATTAATAATTATGTAAAACATTCCAGAGAAAAAATATTAACAGGCAATACAAACAAGTGATCATGATAGTTGTTTAAGTAGAGGCGTTATAGTTGCTTTGTCCCCTGTAGAGTTTCCAAATTTTCTCTAACGTAGTTTTTTTATTGACTTTTTTTTTTTTTTTTTTTTGAGACAGAATTTCGCCCTGTCCCCCAGGCTGGAGTGCAGCGGCGTGATCTCGGCTCACTGCAATCTCTGCCTCCCGGGTTCAAGCAATTCTCCTGAGTAGCTGGGATTACAAGGCGTGTGCCACCAAACCTGGCTAATTTTTAAATTTTTAGTAGAGTGGGGTTTCACCATGTTGGCCAGGCTGGTCTTGAACTCCTGGCCTCAAGCTATCCACCTGCCTCGGCCTCCCAAAGTGCTGGGATTACAAGCATGAGCCACCATGCCTGGCCTCTAATGTAGTTTTGTTGCTTTTGTAATTTACTAAATAAAATTTCTAACTTACTATCCATCACACGTGTTTATTATGTCTCATGGTGGCTCATGCCTGTAATCCCAACATTTTGAGAGGACAAAGTGGAAGAATTGCTTGAGGCCAAGAGGTCAAGAACAGTCTGGGCAATATGGGGAGACCCTGTCTCTACAAAAAGTGAAAAGTTAGCCATGAGTGCTGGCACATGCCTATAGTCTGAGCTGCTTGGGAGGCTGAGGCAGGTGGGTCCCTTAAGCCTAAGAGTTCGAGGTTACATTGAGCTATGATCATGCCATTGCACTCCAGCCTGGGAAGAGCAAGACTCTGTCTCTACAAAAAATAAAATAAAAGAAAGTATTATGTCTTGAAATAAGTTGTCATATGTACATATGTGACCATATGAGCATGGGGATATTCTAGCTCAGAAAATGTGTAAGTTTTCATTTTACCTATGATATATGGATTTTGTTGTTGTTTTCAATTAGTTGTAGACTAACGACTAAATTTCCAGGAAAAATCACCCACAAAAATCCCATAAATATATGGCTTTGCATATTTAAAGATTTTCTTCCCCCAAATAGTAACAGAAATCACTTCTAAAGACCGTTTTTAAAGCCGGATGGCTTTGGGCAGGCCACTTCTCTTCCCCTCCTTAGGTCTCATGTGCTTCTTTTACAAATGAAGAACTTGGATAGAATAATTTTCTCAGAGTCTCTTTGGCTGTAACATTCTGTGATTTAATTATATTCATCCTAGAATGGATTAGATATCAAGTAAATTAACAATTGCTAAGGAGAAGAAAGTTTTCGTCTTAGTAATATTTGTATCAGCAATGAAAAAAGATTCAAGATAGTTAGGAAAGATGCCCTAGCTTGACATAACTTTCATGCTTACATGAAAAATGTGAAAGAGTTTAAACAGCATATGGCCTTGACTTTGGGCTTTTCTTTATATTCCTCATTTATAACCATGTAGCTATTTCCCAATGGCTTTTTACCTGTGTGTACCCTCCCACCCTGCCAACTTATTATTTTGCTTTATAAACCTCAGTATGTGAATAAAGGTCTTTTTCTTTTGGTTTGGACACACTCCATATTTTATAATAAAGTCTTTTTTTTTTTTTTTTGAGACAGAGTTTCATTCTTGTTGCCCAGGCAGGAGTACAATGGCACGAGCTCAGCTCACTGCAACCTCTGCCTCCCAGGTTCAAGTGATTCTCTTGCCTCAGCCTCCTGAGTAGCTGGGATTACAGGCATGCGCCACCACGCCCGATTAATTTTGTATTTTTAGTAGAGACAGGGTTTCTCCATGTTGGCCAGGCTGGTCTGGAACTCCTGACCTCAGGTGATCCACCCACCTTGGCCTTCCAAAGTGCTAGGATTACAGGTGTGAGCCACTGCAACCGGTCTTCTTTTTTTGAGACGGAGTCTCACTACGTCACCTAGGCTGGAGTGTAGTGGTGTGATCTCAGCTCACTGCAACCTCTGCGTCTCAGGTTAAAGTGATTTTCCTGCCTCAGCCTCCCGAGTAGCTGGGATTACAGGCACCTGCCACCATGCCTGGCTAATTTTTGTATTTTTAGTAAAGACGGGGTTTCACCATGTTGGCCAGGCTGATCTCGAACTCCTGACCTCAAGTGATCCGCCCACCTCAGCCTCCCAAAGTGCTGGGATTACAGGCATGAGCCACCGCATCGAGCCCATAATGAAGTCTTAAATCAACTTTCTTCAGGTATAATTTATGTAAGATAACCCAATTAAAATATACATTCAATGAGTTTTGGCAAATTTGTGCACCAATATACCACTAACACAATTAAGCAGTAGAACATTTCTATCCAAAAAAGTTTCCTGTGCGGCCAGGCATAGTGGCTCATGACTGTAATCTGAGCACTTTGAGAGACCGAGGAGGGGAGTCGCTTGAGCCCAGGAGTTTGTGACCAGCCTCAGTAACATAGTGAGACTCCTGTCTCTACAAAAATAAAAAAATTAGCCAGGCATAGTGGCATCCACCTGTAGTCCTAGCTACTCAGGAGGCTGAGATGGGAGGATCACTTGAGCCCAGGAGTTCAAGGCTCCAGTGAGCCATCATAAGGCCACTGCACTGCAGCCTGGGCAACAGAGCGAGACCTTGTCTCAAAAAAAAAAAAAAAAAAAGTTTCCTGTGCCTCTTCCCAGTTATCCCTCCACCTCCTGCTCTAGGTAACTGTTGATCTGCATTTTGTCACTATAGATTAGATTTGTCTATTCTAAGTGATGAACAAAGTTTAAACTTGCGTTTTCTTAATCTTGGATAGTGTTCATATATTTGTATTGTTTCAATCAGGTTTCTTAGTTGTAAGCAACAGCAAACAATCTCTGGCTGATTTAAGCAGGAGAGGAATTTGTTGAAAGGAGATGGACAGCTCATGGAATTGCTGGGAGGCTGGAGAATCGAGTTTGGGATTCTACGGCTAGCAGCAATGCCTAAATCACATAGTACAACTGTCCTAGTGAGGAAAGCACTGAAAGCAGAACCTTGAATTTCCTAATATATTTCTAACAGATAATGGTCACCACCACTACCCTCGCTGCCACTGCTGTCTTAGAAGGTAGAAAGAATATCAAGTATCTGCCTTAGGAATTCTTTTTGCAACTGCCAGTGTTAATTGGGGTAGGTGCATCTGAGTGATATGTCCCAGGTCATGTATCTATCATGCCTTAGCTGCAAGGGAGGCTAAAAGAACCTGGCGTTTTCAGCCTCTACAGTGGGAGGCATCTGATCAAGTCTCATAAGGCAGGGGAATTCTTCAAACTTAAGAAGGGGTTAAAATGCTGGATGGCTAAAAAGAGGGCCAGTATCCACAACACTGACTGTGTGTTAGGCTGCATTCTGACCTTGCAGCTTCATGTCTAATGGTCGTGTCAGACACAGCACATTTGCTAAGCATTTCCTGGGTGCAAAGGAGTCTACCAGATGCCGAAAGTGGGGACAAGGCTATCAAGGAACATACTATTTAATGGAATAGAAACAGATGTATTGGCCTTCATATCTGCTTAAGTTTTTTCTCCTTAAGATAATTTTCCTGGGGCTGGGTGTGGTGGCTCACACCTGTAATTCAGCACTTTGGGAGGCCGAGGTTGGAGGATCACTTGAGCCTAGAAGTTTGAGAACAACCTGGGCAACATAGGGAGACCCCATCTCTACAAAAAAAAAAAAAAAAAACAAATCCAGGTATGATGGCATAAGCCTGTGGTCCCAGCTATTTGGGAGGCTGAGGTGGGAGGACCACTTGAGCCCAGGAGGTCAAAGCGGCAGTGAGCCATGACTGCATCACTGCACTCTATCCCGGGTGACAGAACAAGACCCTGTTTGAAAAATAAATAAATAAAATAAAATTTCTTTAAAATATAACTTGCTAATCAAACCAATAGATCTTAATTAATGGATTTGATCCAAATAAGAATGTAGCATTTTGAAAAACTACCCTAAATTTGAATAATGAATTTCATATGTATTCACAAAATATTTACCTTTATGCTAAATGTGTACTTAATTTAATATTTTTCCTCTTCTGAAATTGCATGTACCTCAAGCTGTGTTCATTTCAATTTTTTTACTAATGTAAGAAGTAAATACAGTTTCTTTGACAGTTTTACTTGTTATCCCTTACTCTTGATTTGAATTGACAGGTGCAGGGAAGAGGAGGTGGCCTGAGCCAGGACGATGAGGATGCAATGTTGAAGAATAAGCTGGAGAAGAGAAGTAACCGGCACTATGGAAAAAACCAAAACAAAGCAAGGTCAGATTTTTCCTATGTCTTGCTTTAGGACTTAGGATTCAAGGAATGTAGGTTTTTGTCTTGTCTTACCACTGTCTCGAGACATGACAGTATGTTAACTATTTTCATTTCCCTATCATCATATAATGACTATGAAGAATATAGACTGGGTGCTGAAAAAATAGGAAATGCTATTAGAATTTGGTCTGTGTTGTTACTTTATTTTTCTTAGCAATAGCTTTAGGACTCCCTCAGAACAACATGCTGGGTAAGGCCAAGACACAGATTCAACTACTAGACATCTATCACCTTCTAGACTAGCCTAGAAGCATAAATGCTTTCTCTTTTAATCTTTACCATATAAAAACAACTATATAGAAGTAGATTCTCTTATCATCTCCAATTTACGGAAGAGGAAACAGTCATAGGGAAGTCAGGTGACAACTGCAAAGTATCAAAGTTAGGTCTGGGATCTGGATCTTTCCTCCCAAGCCCTGATTCTTGTTATTATACCAGGCTGTTGGGACATAGTATGAAATTGTCTAAATAATCTACTCAAGCTTATGCAGGAAGTTTGGGTAACCTCACATCATATGGATTTTATAGGGACAGTCTTCTGTGTGTATAAATTCTGGGCTAAGGTTATGTATTATTTATCGACTTAAATACTGAGGTTGGAGGGGTTTCCTGTACCAGCATGCCTTAGGAGAACAATATACACATCCACACAACCAAATGTTTGCAACCAGGGGCTTCCTCTATAAACTGTTTGATGCATACAGTGTGACACACTGGAGATGAAGCTAAATGGATAAGCAACGAGCTGAATGTTTTACATGGATTGCCTCATCTTTATGGCCAACCAATGTGGTGCTGAAAAGTACATTCCAGGCCAACCTCTTTTTCTCTCTAGGTTGTGAATGGTTTCTTTTCTTTTCTTTCTTTCCTTTTTTTTTTTTTTTTTTTTTTTTTTGAGACAGAGTTTCGCTCTTGTCGCCCAGGCTGGAACGCAATGGCACGATCTCAACTCACTGCAACCTCTGCCTCCCGGGTTCAAGCGATTCTCCTGCCTCAGCCTCCTGACTAGCTGGGATTACAGGTGCCTGCCACCACAGCCAGCTAATTTTTGTGTTTTTAGTAGAGACAGGGTTTCACCATGTTGGCCAAGCTGGTCTTGAACTCCTAACCTCAGGTGATCCTCCCGCCTTGGCCTCCCAAAGTGCTGGGATTAGAGGTGTGAGCCACCACACCTGGCCTGTGAATGGTTTTCTACAACCTACCACTTCCTCTGCGTGTGCCCTGTGTTTCTCGAAGTCTAGTATTATACATTACTGTTTTCTTCTGCCTGCATCCTTCCCAGAACCTTTCCGTTGACAATTCCTTTTATCAGCCCTGTTGCCCAGGAGGACAGCAAGATTCCCTTAGCTGAATTTGGCAGTGACAGCAGGGCAGAGTTCAGAAGTCTGTCAAAGATCAGAGGTGGGAGAAGTAGAGGATATTTTATGCAAGCTCGCTGAGGTCACTAAGTGCCTGGTGAAGAGCCGCCTTCCTGACTGTAGAACTGTCCCTGCAGGTCAATTCCAGTTAGCCTCAAGAACATAAGGGAGACACTTCCTGCAAATTCCTTTGTGGCTATTTAATAATCACACATCATTCAGTTTGGTTGAGAAACTTCCCTACTGTAGTAGAACGTGGTTTTCTATTGCAAGAGTATATCAGGTAGATAATGGTTTAGTGATTAGGATGTGTGAATATGGACACCACCTACTTCAGCTCATTTTTTGTTCCCCTGGAATCATTGGTTTCTTGTCGTGCGGGCACAAATGTAGGATCCTGTAAGTTCCCTTATTCCCTGCATGTATCTGGAGGGGATAGGGACAGAATGAGTAGTGTTGATTAAACAAAGCTCTTTCTCCCTGCAGGAGAGAATGAACATATGCCGGTGAATAATCCTTCCACGCAGATTTACCAGGTAAAGACAAATCGATTGTTTCAAATGCTCCCATGTATAATAGCAATGACTGACTATTCTTTATGTGTACACGTTTTTAGCACTCACAAGTGCTTCCACATATATCGTTGCACTTGTTCTCTTAACAGGGCTGTGAGACAGGCACCTCAGTGGGTCCCGCCACTCACAGTGTACTTTGGAGAGAACTGATTTTTTTTTGAGACAGGGTCTTGCTGTGTTGCCCACTCTGGTCTTTAACTCCTGGGCTCAAGCTCAGCTTCCTGAGTAGCTGAGGCTATAGGTGAGCACCACTGTGCCTGGCTGAGAACTCATTATTGAAAGACAAGTTATCTCATTTATAAAGTGCAGCACTACCACGCCCACCTCAACTCTGCTTCTCTTGCCTGCTGCCCCCATCGCCATGGCCATTACACTGCAAGATAACATTTCCATCAGAGAGGAGAGGGCAAAATCTGTTTTTCTTACTTTTCTATTTTAGCAGGGAGAATTGAGAATGAAAAGGGGGGTAACATTGCAAATGTTCAAATATCTGTACAGGAAAAACTTTCAAGCTCTTTTTAAACAATGGAAACAATTTGCTTTACAAGGAAGATAAAAGTTCTGCAAAACATCTTTGCAGTAAGAGTCGTATGAGATTGTTTTGGTCCTCTAAGTGGTATTTACTTGGCTTCTGTCTCCCAACTGTAAATTTAAAGCACATCTCTGTTCTTAAAAATCATGGAACTTTATTCTGACATAATTTGTAATATAAAAGCAGCTTGGGCTAGGGAAATCCATGCTTCTCTCCAGACTTCAGGCAGTGCTGTCTGAAATACGTGAAAAGGAAGAAAACATTGACAGAGCTTGGTGGGGGTTGGGAGAAAGGATGCTTTCAAAGTTGATCTAAGGTTTTAAGCCCTGGTAACTAGGAAAAAGAGTGCTCTCACAAGCAGAAATACAGGAGTCCAGAAGGGTAGATAGTTTAGGGGAAACGTTATTTAGATTTGTCGAGTTTAAGTGACAGTAAAGTGAAAATGACAACTACTTCCCAGAATTATCATGTAAGAGACCATTGCTATAAACCAAACTAGGGCAAGTCAACACAGGATTACGAAAACATTATTTAACCATATTGTCCCTAGACTCAGGCCAGCTATAGGATGAAAGGGGGAAAGGGCCTCATTTCAACTGAATACACATTTATTGAGCAGTTACTATGTGTAAAGTCTACTGCTTGGCCTCATGGCAGATTAAACAGATGAAACAGACATTCTCATTGATTTTTATGTGTCCACAGCCTGAAAAACACATAGAATAATAGCTCTTACAAGGTAGGCTGTTGAAAGGATTGCGATAGAGGCATTGATACAATTCTGTGGGGAAGGGATGAATTAGTATTGACTGGAGGATTTGAGCTAGGTACTTAAGGACAAGTTGATCATTTGACAAGTAGGTATAGGTAAGGTTGTTGTGGGCAGGGGGACTAGCTTGAACAAAGGCCTAGAAGCAAAAAACTGGTCTTCACTCAGTGCTGCTTTGATGCTTCACTGGTCCAAGTCCTCCAGACGCTTTCCCTGCCCACTTCCCCTCTGTTCTCATCTGACCTGTGTATAACATTTGAATGAGTATGAGTACCTCTTTAAAGTCAGGTATGATTTAAAGTCTATTATAGATTTTATGTAGGTCACTCCCTGAATGTTGGCTAAATATAGCTGCAGTGGGGGTGGCCTCATTATCTTATTGCACTACAAATCCTAGTACATCTGTTCGCAGTGGAACACACAAAGCAATGGAAGTGAAGTTGGTCTATATGACCTCTGTGATGCTATTATAACCCCATCCTTGTTTTAAAAGAACACTTCCTAAGCCCCAGTCTGTTTACTCCAAGCAACATTTAACCAAAAGAAGAAGAAGAAAGAGGAGAAGTGAAGAAAGAAGAAGAGAAAGAGAAAGGAGGGAAGCTGGGGAGGAGTTAACCATAATAGAATAAAATCTATACTAGAAGGGAGGGCACCAGAAGCAAAATATAATATTTTGGTAATTCTCTATCTCATTTTATTTTCTGGATAGATCTTATCCCATCTGACATTATCGTATGTATCACCTTGTTTGTTTTTTAATTTTCTGTCTCCTCATCTAGAATGTAAGCTCTAAGGGCAGGAATTTAGTCCATTTTCCTCTCTGTTGTATTCTCAGTGTAAAGTACAATGCCTGGCATATAATACATATTCAATAAATATGAGTTGAATGAATGAATGGATGACTATATTACAAGATGTCTATATTGCTTTGAGCCAAGAGGTCTCATGCAGTCATTCAGTCTTGTGCCAAACAGTGTTGGAAAGATTTTGTCTGGTTCTTTGGAAAAAGAGAAGAGATCCTCACTTCATACCCTAATCAAAACAAATGCCAAAGTGGATTAAAGGTTTACATATAAAAAAATTCAAACCATAAAATTTTAAAATAAGTGAATATTTATTTTGTCTCCAAATGTGAAATGTCTTTCTAAGTTAAAAAGCACTGGAAGAAATCACAAAGAAAGAGATTTGAGAGTTCATCCACATTACAATTTAAACTATTTCCATCATGAAAATATTTTAAACAAATTCAGAGGCAAATAACAAAATCAGAAAGACACAACAAATATTTCAAAGGTTTAATTATAAATAAGTAGTTCATGAAGGTCAATAAAAATGGAAACTTCTAAAACCCTAGTAGAAAATTAGCAAAGAACACAGACAATTTACCAAAGTAAAATTATAGATAGCTAAGAAAAAGTTGAAGCTCAAAGAAGCAATGATTAAAATAAGGAGTATTATACTTTGACTAATTAGCAAATAATAATTAATAATATTTAGTTCTGGTGAATGTGTGTAATTGTTAGAAACTTTTAGAAAAGTCTATTCCCTATTTCCTTTTTCTCTTATCCTTTGTCCACTGCACATACCCCTCTCAAAGTCGTTGAATCAGAGCTCTTTTCCCGAGTCAGGTGGTCTTGTTTCACCCTAGATTACTTCATTTTGCATATAGATTATTAAAATTATGATCCCATTAACATGAGAGGGGATCCCATAATTAAGGCAACAGATGTGGTAACTGCACAATTTAGTGCTAGCCCAACACTCATACTAATGATTTCAACTCCAACTGTGTTTTAAGCTCACTTGTAGCCTTAGGAATGTAAACAGTGTGGCTTCTTGTATTTCTATTGTTTTATGTATTTTATTATTCAAGTTATGTTTTTCTAAATCCATGAATTTAGGACATTACATATCATATGTAATGTTTGCAAGAATATACAGCCATATTGCTATAACTTTTCAAATCCTCTGGTCAAATATAATTTGTATAGTTACTAATTAGTTGAATATATTGCCTCTGTGACATAGTAGCTTCCCCTTTGGGTCATCTTTGACCCACAGGCATTTCATATTAAGGAATTTATTCTAAGGAAATAATCTGAAATATATACAAAATTTTAAAACAAAAACATAGTATGACAGCATTAGTTACAACATTGAAAAATTACAAGCAACATAAATTTCCAACAAAAGAGAATGGGTAGGTAAACTCTGGCAAATTCATAGGATGGGATATCATGTAGCCATCAAAAGTAGACATTTAGAAAAATTTTGAAGGCTACTGTAAATGCCTTATTAGAATATTAGGAGGGAAAAAAGAGAGGTAGAATCAAAATGTATCTGCAGTGTGATTTCAAGCATATAAACATCTGCATTTATATGCATAGAACAAAATAGAAGGAAATGTGAGTGTTAATGGTTATACTGAAATAATGAAATTTGGAATGATTCTATTTGGCGATTCTCTTTTTTCTTCATTTTTCTCTGTAATGAAAATAATTTAAGAAAATAAATGATGTGCCAAAAGTGTCTAATTGAAACACTATGGGAACCAGTCCTACAGTAATAGGTTTCATCGTCAAAACTGCCATTGAAAGTTTTCTAGGATTTGTAAATCCTGATTGAGACTAAGTCTCTTTTTGCCATTGAGGAATGTTCTTCTGATACTAGAGAAGTTAACTCTTCTAGGCCTGTGGTGTATCCAGGGATCGATAAGCACACCAGGCTGCATGTCAGTCTCAGTAAGGCCCTGCAAGAATGATTTGAAGGGTCAGCTTCTGCAGGGAATATAGAGGAGTAGATATGGGAAGTTTACTCTCTACATTCAGATTACTTGCTGCTCACTTTGTATTTTAAATAATTGGAAGATGGAAGTTGGCAGAAAACTCGTGTTGCTTCTTCAGTGACCCTGGTTTAGGGGGAAACCAAAGCAATTACCTTCGCCTCCTTGCCATCATGTATGTGCCACTGCAAAACACCTGGCTTTTGCTTTTATAGAATCATAGGAATTGGGAGGTTTCCCAAACCTTGACATTTATGACTTTGCAAGGTTCCCAAGGTACAGGTCCAGTCCCCCTAATTTACTTCTTGGTAGCCTCCTGGCCTGGGTAATGTGGCAAAAAGGAAGAAATGTCCATAAAACACAAGTTGAAATTTGTGAAAATTAAGTATGAGGCCTGAGGGATCTTTCATGAAAAAAAAAATTGGAAGACACTGACTAAAATTCATCTTAAGAAGAGTTAAGAAGCCAAGAAAAGAAAGAAAATTGAGAATCAGAAATTGAGAGCAGGAAATAGGAAGAATTCGGACTCCTCTCCCCTATTTCTTTGAGCCTAAGATGCCCTCTGTGGTACCGTAGGCTTCGAAGTACAAGTCTTCCCTGAACCTACCTCCAGTGGGAGCCCGCCTCCAGCGGCAGGATGGAGGGATCATAACCTCTCTAGAGCAGCTTCATGAAAAAATCAACGAGATGAGGAACGTGTTCAACTCGCTGGAGAACAAGGTAGACACCCATTTCTAATCCTTGGGGTGGGCTGTGGGCTCTCAAAAAAGAAAGCTGAAGAGAGAGCAGAAAAAAGATGTTAAGATCGTGTCTTCACAGTATTCATAGTTTACAAGGGAGTGGTCAGGGTCGGTAGTTGAAAACCGCTCTGTAGGGGCTAAAGATACTAAGATCCCTCAGCATCTTAAAAGTGACATGTTGTATCAGGTGTGTGTTCTCCTGATGGCTTCCCCTCCCGGGCTGGTCAGGGCTGTGAAGCTGTTTACAAAGCAGTAGCAACGCTTCAGTGGCAGGCACCCATGGAGCTCAGAGTAATATGTTGGTAGGAAATGGGCACATGACTCAAAAATAGCCTCAGAATTCCCAGAGTTCCTATGTCACCTGGCTGTTAGGGGAAAATTTTAATAATTTTTTGAGAGCTGGGGTTCTGCAGGGAGGAAGGTCCTTTTCCTAGGAGTCTGCTGCTGCCTTTTGGTCTCTGCAGAAAACTCTGCCTAAGGGAGCAAGGATAATGAAACCTATTTCTGTTGGATAGTGGTTCCCTTTTTATTTTTTTTTCCAAGCAGGAAACCTAAGTGAATGTCACTAAGAAGAATGTCAGCTTTCCTTCTTCCAATTTTAAAACTCGCATACATTTTTGATTTAATGTTATATAGCCATCAATTTTGTTTATTTTGCTCACAGAAGATACATTTACATAATGAAAAATTACCAGATCAGAAAGTGGTTGATCTGGTGATTTAATCCACCAGGATGACTGAATTAGGACATGAGCCAAAATCCATTGCAAAGATTAATTATAATTAAAACTGATTGAAATGAAAAATAGATTGCTTATGATGTTTCCCAGCCTTCTAGCCCCAAATACTTGACAGGCCCTGCTTTTTTCCTCAAAATGATCTCTCTGATTCCTCTTATTGCTCTCTATTCCCAGCAATCCTTCGTAAAGCACAATGAACCACAAAATCCTATATTTTAAAAATGTGATATAGGAGACAAAGTCACTGTATAGTGAGTGGGAGGTGCCATTGCAGGTGGGAATCATGTGCATGACCTTATTCTGAAAATGTTCAGAAATACACATTCAAAGAAACTTTGTTAAGGTATCTGGACTTTAGTTTTCATTCCTTTAAAGTAAAAATACTTGAGGCCGGGCACAGTGGCTCACGCCTGTAATCCCAGCACTTTGGGAGGCCAAGAAGGGTGGATCACCTGAGTTCAGGAGATCAAGACCAGCCTGACCAATATGGTGAAACTCCGTCTCTACTAAAAATACAAAAATTAGCTGGATGTGGTGGCGCATGCCTGTAATCCCAGCTACTTGGGAGGCTGAGGCAGGAGAATCACTTGAACCCAGAAGGTAGAGGTTGCAGTGAGCCAAGATCATGCCACTGCACTCCAGCCTGGGCGACAGAGCAAGACCCTGTCTCAAAACAAGACAAAACAACAACAACAACAAAAACTTGATTATAGGATAAATCTTCTAAATGGTTCTGTTTTAAAGAGACATGTGGAGCTAAGAGTTCCTCCACTTGATAGAGTGTAAGATCATAAATGTCAAGAAAGTAATGTTATTATCCTGTTGTTACTATTAACTTACTGTCTGTTGAAAATGCTTTTTTCATTTGTTCAATAAATACAACGAACTTTAGAAGTGCTCCATTTTCTCCACATTTCTGTTTGTGCTTAACTTTTTGATTTACCACCTAAAGGGGGAGAAGAATGAACGTTTCTTGAACATCTGTGTACCAAGTATGCGCTATGGTAGGCAGCTTACCTACATTTACTCAGTTAATTCTCAAGGCAGCCCTGTGAAATAGATATTATTATAGCTATTTTATGGATGAGGAAACTGCTACAAAAAAGTTAACCAACATGCCTAAGGTCCTAGTACTTTAGGGTAGAACTAGGATTTGTACCCTACCTGATCCAAAACACCTCTTTCATGATGTCAAAGTTGACCTGCATGACCAGGACTGACTGCTGGAGATGATTCATATCACCATCAACAATATTCTGAGCTCCTACCATACCCTACCAGATATTTCTTTGCCTTCCTTATGAGTTAAAGCCCACCGTCATTGAAAATACTGTTACCTCCTTTCCCATGATATCATCCAAGAGTATTTTTTTTAAAAAAAACCTTCTTTCCTTTCAGATAAATTCTCAGTTATGCTTAGTTGTTACTCTATTTATTCTTTAATTTCTTAAGAAAACAAGAACTGAGTTTCCTTGCCTCTCATAATAACCAGAGAGAATATGACCCATTTTCTTCTTTCACAGAATTCAAAGAGTTATTGGATCAAGATTCACATACATGTTTCTTTTCAAGCAAATCTCATTTTAATCAAAGGTGTTAGAATAAATCGAAGCTTGCAGAAGCACTTGTAAACTTAATTAACAGCTTGCTTTCTTGTCATTTATCAAGCTTCAGCATATGCTATATATAAAGAAGACACTCTTTTTCTTAGATAAATGGGGCCAGGGTTGTCTTAAGTTGTCCAAAGTGAAGTACACTAGTAAATGAGGTCTGTAGATTTTCAGGAGGCTTGTTTCTCAAACAAAAGAAAAATTCAAGGTCCAATGGTGCCACTTACAGTAATTTCCAGCAAATTGAATTAACTTTTCATGCATTATTTAGTTGCAGGCCCTAGCCTCCGAACTCAAAACTGGTTTCACAGAAGCAATGCAAGAACTGTCAAGAATTCAACATGGAGAATATGCTTTGGAAGAAAAGGTTAAGAGCTGCAGATGTTCCATGGAAGAAAAAGTTACTGAGATGAAGAATTCATTAAACTATTTCAAGGTAGGCCTCTCTTTAATTTCCCTGCTGACAAGAGAATTTTGGTCTCAGTAACAGCAATAGAAAACTTGCCTTTTTCTGGCTGGGCGTGGTGGCTCACGCCTGTAATCCCAGCACTTTGGGAGGCCGAGGCAGGTAGATCACAAGGTCAGGAGTTCAAGACCACCCTGGCCAATATGGTGAAACCCCGTCTCTACTAAAAATATAAAAATTAGCCGGGTGTGGTGGCAGGCGCCTGTAGTCCCAGCTACTCGGGAGACTGAGGCAGGAGAATCGCTTGAGCCAGGAAGTGGAGGTTGTAGTGTGCTGAGATCACGCCACTGCACTCCAGCCTGGGCGACAGAGCAAGACTCTGTCTTAAAAAAAAAAAAGAAAGAAAACTGCGTTTTTCCATAGCAGCCAAATATAAGAATTTTTCCTCTGGGCCATCCATAGTTATCATGGAAAAATATCTTTCATGTTTTCTTTTTTGGAGCTCTGTGTTAAAATTTGAGGCCACGATGGAAGTAAATTTTTTAATCTCTCATTCATTCATTCATTCATTCAATAAATATGTATTAAAAGTGTACAGTGTGCTAGATTATGTTATATACTTTTACCCCATGTACCACGTTAAAACATAGCAATTCTTATTTTTTAGGAAGAGCTGAGCAATGCCATGTCGATGATCCAAGCCATCACTTCCAAACAAGAAGAAATGCAACAGAAAATCGAGCAGCTTCAACAGGAGAAGCGAAGAGAATCTCGAAAAGTTAAAGCCAAGTGAGTGTCTTTTAAAAATGTACCAAAGGCAAACCCATAAGCAATGGCTTCTGCAGAGGCACCTGGTACACATTCCCCACTATCAGTGTATAGCTAGCTGGCCACTGTGCTCCACAGCTTGGCATGCGATGGAGGTTATAGAATTATAAAATTGGTTAATACCAAAGATGGATGGTACCTATTACATAGAAAAATCCATTTAATACGATATGTAAAATGAAAGTGACATAAAATGGCATGAATGCTTTGATTACAAGTGTAAAAATATGTAAAATAACAACTAGAAAGATTTACTTAAAAATAATGATAGTTGTGTTAAGATAGTGGCACCATCAGTGATTTTCTTTTTTTATTAACTTTCTAAAATGTCTCTAATGCGATTATTATTTTAATTCTAGGGTTGAAAATAAATTTATGTTAAACGATGTCTGGACTAGGTTGAATCAAGTAAAGTTTCACCATTAAACATATATAATCTTTATTGCTACTTATTTGGTTTTCTTTTTCCTTTTTTCTTTCTTTTCTTTTTTTTTTTTGGAGACAGAATCTTACCCTGTTGCCCACGCTGGAGTAGTGGTATGATCACAGCTCACTGCAGCCTTGAACTCCTGGGCTCAAATGATTCTCCCACCTCAGTCTCCTGAGTAGCTGGGACTATAGGTGTGGCCATCACGCTAGCTAATTTAAAAAAAAATTATAGAAATGGGTTTCCTTATGTTTTCCCAGGCTGGTCTTGAACTCCTGGGCTCAAGTGATCCTCCCACCTTGGCCTCCCAAAGTGGTGGGATTACAGGCATGAGCCACAGTGCTCAACTTACTTATGTGTTTTTAATATTACCAAATTGAAAATAGAAATGTAGGAATAATATGTGTGTGACCCTGGAGAACAGGTTGTTTTCAGGAGAGGACCTGCTGCTTCCTGATACTTTTGAGTTGCATTGCTAAGCGAATATAAATCATTTCAAGCAAATTGTCACCACTGCAAACTCTAAAGATCCCGATGATAAGGAAGCCAGCAACAAAAAAATAAGAATGTGGATGTTATAATTAGAAGGGTGATTTGTAAATATTTGAAGTTTTTTCTCCAGCTGAGGTAATGAATTAAGTTGAACCATATGAATTGCTAGTATTTGACCACTTTTAATTTTCAAAAATAGCAATTTATATAGTTCAACCTAATAATTCAGACATTTTCTTGAGTTGTTCTGAACTGAATCTCCTCATAACCTATCAGATATTAAGAACCAGAATAGCCTTGTCTTTGTTTCTCTTTCCTAGGAAAACTCAAAAAGAAGAGCACAGCTCACAGGCCGGGCCTGCCCAAGCACAAGGAAGTCCTTTTCGTTCTATCAATATCCCTGAGCCTGTTCTTCCAAGCGAAGACTTTACCAACCTTTTGCCTTCTCAGGCCTACGAGAAAGGTACAGTTCACAAATCATACTGAATTAATCAAGTATTTTTTTCCCAATTCCCCCAATTAAGAATGGGCTTAAACCCTCCATCTTTGTTAGAAGAAAATGGTGTATTGCCTAGAATTTTTCTGCTTGTAACTGGAATTCAGAAGAATCCAGAGGATCTAAGAGACCACAAGAGTGCCCAGTTTTAAATATTTTTTTTTTGGTGTGTGGTCGGGGGAATACTAATCTGGATACTTCTAAATTTCAATTGAATTAAAAATAATTTATTGTACAATCATTACTATGCTAACCCATAAGACAGAAATGTTAGAAAAAAATCACTTACTCTAACAAGTCATTTTATTGGCAGTCTAACTCAGCACCTGTCTTTCTCTGGAAAACCAGAGCTGATGCTGCCTGTGGGCTGAAACAGTTACCAATCTCATTCCTGACCTTAGGGATGTTAGAACAGATATTAAAAAATGGTACCGAAGAAACTGGCTTTCCAGTGGAAGTCAGAGTTTTGGTTATTAACTTACATTCAACTCAGGAAAAGTAAAAACAAAAAAAATTTGCCATGTCTTTGTATCCTCAACCATGTCTAGCAAAGCACCTATACACAGAAAAATAAATGTAGATATTAACGTTGTTTAGATGACATTTCCTCTTATTTATGGTCTCACGTAGAAAGTCCTCAAAAGAAAGACTCAATGATTTCTCAACTGTCAGTGTGTCAAAGACAGGGTTGGTGGTTTTCTATGCTTAAGATGAATGGAACAATTAGGTTTATATACTCATAGACAATGTGTATTCTGAATAACTGAATCTAAAAATCTAAATCAAGTGGCTTTTAACTGGCATACTTCAAAGTACAGATTTGCCTTTTTAATATTTTTTATTATCATTTTTTTTTGAGACAGAGTCTCGCTCTGTCACCCAGGCTGGAGTGCAGTGGCACGATCTCGGCTCACTGCAACTTCTGCCTCCCGGGTTCAAGTGATTCTCCCACCTTTGCCTCTGCCTCCCAAGCAGCTGGGTCTACAGGCGTCACCATGCACGGCTAATTTTTTGTATTTTTAGTAGAGACAGGGGTTTCACCATGTTGGCCAGGCTCATCTTGAATTCCTGATTTCAAGTGATCCACCCGCCTTGACCTCCCAAAGTGCTGGGATTACAGGCGTGAGCCACCGTGCCCGGCTTGCCTTTTTATTTTTATTTTTTTTTTACCTATTTGCGTAATTCATTGAGAGACTGATAGGTGCAGCCTGGGAAAACTCACTTGGTCCATCTGGGGACCGGGTTCATTGCAGGTGGCTCTATTTTCTTTCCTCTAAGACATGAACAGCTCTACATAAAAGGATGATCCTCTCTGGGAAAGAGTATAGTATAGGATAGGCTTAGAATGTAAAAGTCAGTTCAATGGCAGGTCTGGAGCAGCTAAACATGTTCATAAGATAAAAGGTTAAAAATTATCTTTACAAAGTAAATTTGTGCATGTTTAGACAATGTGTAACAGCCCCCAGGGACTTAAATAATCACAGAATGTGTGGACTCCACTGAAAACAGCTGATCCAGATGATTTCAGTGCCTACATGGATTTCAATGAACTATTTAGTGGCAATTCCTCCTTCCTTTCCTCCTGTATAGACGTGGTCATAGTTTATTCTACTGAGTTGCTGCAGAAATTTAAGAATAATGTGCCATGATAAGACATTCTGCACATACTTGGTGGCAGCTTGTGTTAAAACTCAGGGCTCAAGAACCAAACACTCAGAAAGTCTTGGCTTATCCACTGTTGATAAAATGGTACAACTGTTATCTATTGTCCCAAAATTCAGTAGCTTAAAATAGCAAACATTCATGGTTCACAGTTTCTCTGAGTCAGAAATCTGTGCACAGCTTAGGTGAGTGCCTCTGGCTCAAGGTCTCTCATTAAGGCTGTAATCAAGGTGCTGGCCATGGCTGTCATCTCAGGTGAAGGCTCTACTCATGGGGCATCTATACCAAGCTTATCACCTGGTTATTGGCAG
Organism: Homo sapiens; assembly: GCF_000001405.40. Taxonomy (NCBI): domain Eukaryota; kingdom Metazoa; phylum Chordata; class Mammalia; order Primates; family Hominidae; genus Homo; species Homo sapiens. The sequence goes on from NC_000002.12 coordinate 38,933,258, forward strand.
GCTCCAGTTCTTGTAACCTGGGCCTCTCCAAGTTGCTGCCTTACAATTTGGCAGCTAGCTTCTCCCAGGGCAAGTTATCTAAAAGAACGCTCAATACAGAAGCCACAGTGGGTTTTTTTGTTTTGTTTTTTTTTTCTTTTTTTGAAACAGAGTTTTGCTCTTGCCGCCCAGGCTGGAGTACAATGGCGCGATCTCGGCTCACTGCAACCTCCACCTCCTGGGTTCAAGCAGTTCTCCAGCCTCAGCATCCTGAGTAGCTGGAATTACAGGCACCCGCCACCATGCCTTGCTAATTTTTGTATTTTTAGTAGAGACACGGTTTTGCCATGTCTCTGGTCTCAAACTCCTGACCTCAAGTGATCTGTCCACCTTGGCCTCCCTTGCTGGGATTACAGGTGTGAGGCACCACGACCGACCCATAGTCTTTTTATAACCTAATCTTAGAAATGGTATTCCATTTTTTCTGTCATATTCTATTCATTAGAGACTAATCAGTAAATCCAGCCTTTACCTAAGGGAAAGGATTACATAAGGACGTAAATGCTAAGGGGTGGGGATAATTGGAGCCATCTGGAGCTGCTTACCACAAATGGCTGATGGCCCCATCTGAGAAGGCAGCCAATTTATGTGAGCCATGATGCAACATCATTTATGTGCCTGATAATTGTAGAACTTGTCAGTTTGAAAATGTCATTTTACAGGCCCAAGTATACCTTACCTTTAGGTTCCTTTCCCCACTCAAGAAACTCTCAAGATGTTTAGCCTCCCTACTCCTGACATATTCTTGCTTGAGAAAATTGAAAACTAATTTTTTTGAAAGATGTGGTTTTATTATCCGTCTCTTCTTTCTTACTTTGTATTTATTCTACCCACTCAATATTGGCTTTCATCCTTACCACTCCTGATAGTTTTTGGTACCCTTGATACCCACCTTCTTGAAACATTCTCTTCTTTTGGCTGACACTGTGCTTCTTTGATTTTACACCTACTTTCTGGATGCTCCTTCTTAGATTCTCTTTGATTCCTCATCACCCTCAGAATAAAGTCCAAGTTCCTTAACACAGTTTACATGGCCGTGTTTTAACTTGCCTCTGCTTTTCTCTTCAGACTTATATTTTGTTACCCTCGACTTCTCCCTCTGCATTCAAGCCACCCTGACATTTTCCCTCCCTCCATCCCTCCCCCTTCTATCCCTCCCTCCCCCTTTTCTCTCTTCCTCCCGCTTCTCTCCCTCCCTCCATCCCTCCCCCTTCTCTCCCTCCCTCCCCCTTCTCTCCCTCCCTCCCCCTTTTCTCCCTTCCTCCCGCTTCTCTCCCTCCCTCCCCCCTCTCTCCCGCTTCTCTCCCTCCCTCCCCCCTCTCTCCCGCTTCTCTCCCTCCCTCCCCCCTCTCTCCCGCTTCTCTCCCTCCCTCCCCCCTCTCTCCCTCCCTCCATCTCAGGCACTGTTTTAGGTGGTAAGATATAGGAATGAACAAAACAACAAAAATTCCAGCCTTCATGGAGACTTTCCTCTGAGGCAAGCAGACAATAAACAAGATAAGTAAGATATGTAGTATGTTAGAGAGTGATGAGTTAAGGAAAAAAATAAGTAAAGAGGAATTGTAATTTTAAATAGAGTGCCAGGCAAAGACCTGAAGGAAGTGAGAAAGTTCGCTTATGGGTACTGAGGGGAAGAAACGGAGCAGCCAGTGTCAGGGTCCCGTGAGAATATGACTGACGTGTTCAAGGAATACCAAGAAGACCAACGGGGGTAAAGCAGAGTGAATCAGGGAGAAAACAGTAGGTGCAGTTAAAAAAAAAAAAAAAGAAACAGCAGGCATGAGTTGGGGGCAGATATTCCAGGGCTGTATGATCATTATAAGGGCTTTGGCTTTTACACTGAAATGGGAGCCATTGGAGGGCTAAGCAGAGAAGTGATAGGGTCTGGTTTATTCTGTTTTTGAGACAGGGTCTTGCTCTGTCACTCAGGCTGGAGTGCAGTGTCACAATCTTAGCTCACTGCAGCCCCAACCTCCTGGGTTCAAGCGATCCTCCTATTTTAGCCTCCCAGGTAGCTGGGACCACAGGCACATACCACCATGCCCGGCTAATTTCTGGGTTTTTTTGGGGGGAGGGGGTGGGGGGTAGAGATGGAGTTTTGTCATGCTGCCCAGGCTGGCTTACATGTTAACAGTACCATTCTGTCTCTTTTTATTATTACCATCATACCACTGCCACCACCATTATAGTTAAACAACTATTTAACTCTTACAATATGCCAGGTAGAACTTCAAGCAGTTTACAAATACTAACTTATTTATTTCTTATTGTAATCCTTGAGGTAAGTACCACTATTATATCTTTTTACAGCTGAGAAAATAGCACTTGCCACACTATACTGTAATTTCTTTTTTTTACTGCTCTGCCTCCCCCATGAAACTACAATCTCTGAGTCTGCCCCCAGTGCCAGGCTCGTGGAAGGTGCTTAGTCCATGTTAGTGGAATGAACGCTGAATGAATGCTTTCCTTTCTCTGCAGCCCAAGAGTCCAGATCTGTTCATGTAGGAGACAGTAATGTAAAAGGAATGATGGGTCCTGGTAAGTGACTCTTCTCTTAGTTTTCTTTTCTTCCAGCAATTCCATTATTTTCCACTTCTATCTTCCCTGCTTCCACTTCCTTAGTTTCAAACCAGGCATGAAAGAACTCACAAAAGATAAAGTTATGAAGTTACGAAGATTCCAAGATGTGTACTAGAGCAGGTCAGTGACTCATTTGAACCAAGGAGAGAGAAGGGCTAGGGAAGCTTAAGACAAAACCAGTATGTTTCATTTTTTCTGGCTTATTTCAATGACTAATAAATTCACATTTGCCAAAAACTTGCAGGTGAATGTAGCATGATGTAAGTTTTCCGTGGATCACACACTGTATAGTTTAATTCAAAAGTTACCTACTTTTACATCTGTGTAGTGCAGGTAATAAAGGACTAAATAATAGAAAAGAAACAAAAGAAGATAAAAGAAAACAAAATTTTAAAAAGGATTTACTTAATTGACAATTCACCAGGATTTTATAAATTATTTAAGCTTCCCTCTCTCCTTCCTTTCTAGCATTAGGGTCAAGGGAAAAATGGCCAAATAAGACATTGTTTTTGGCACCCTTCCTCCTCCTCTTTCTGTTTCTCTTCCCAGGAGTGCTCCAGCATCTGGTGTGCTCACCTGAAAGGAAGCAGATATAAGGAGTCAATACATACTATAAATTAGCTATACTATTTGATAAATTCATTTTAAAAAGCTCCTTATATAGTAAAGACTATGTATAAAGCATAGAGGATGTATAGACCAGAAACAGAGGGAACCCCGTGCAGCTGTGGACACTTTTAATCCTTAATTGGTATATTTAATCCTCAAGGGATAGTTGTACCCAAACAGAGGCAGATTCGTTAAGAGTTAGCAACAAGGCCGGGCATGGTGGCTCACGCCTGTAATCTCAGCACTTTGAGAGCCTGAGGCAGGTGGATCACCTGAGGTCAGGAATTCAAGACCAGCCTGGCCAGCATGGTGAAACCTCAGCTCTACTAAAAATATAAAAATTAGCTGGGCGTGGTGGCACACACCTGTAATCCCAGCTCCTTGGGAGACTGAGGCAGGAGAATCGCTTGAACCCAGGAGGCAGAGGTTGCAGTGAGCCGAGATCGCCCCATTGCACTCCAGCCTGGGTGACAAAAGCGAAACTCCGTCTCAAAAAAAAAAAAGTAACAAACTTTTTTTTTTTTTTTGAGACAGAGTCCCACTCTGTCACCCAGGCTGGAGTGCAATGGGGCGATCTCGGCTCACTGCAACCTCTGCCTCCTGGGTTCAAGCGATTCTCCTGCCTCAGCCTCCTGAGTAGCTGGGACTACAGGTGCCCGCCACCACGCCCAGCTAATTTTTTATATTTTTAGTAGAGACAGGGTTTCACCATGTTAGCCAGGATGGTCTCAATCTCCTGACTTCGTGATCCGCCTGCCTCGGCCTCCGAAAGTGGTAACAAACATATTTTTTAAAAAGATTTTGATAGCAGTTTTCTTTGTTTCCCCGCCCCTCCCCCCACCCCACCAGGAGTGAACCCAACAACTCCAGAAGCAGAAGAAAACCTCAAGTCTTGCCTCTCGGCTGATATCCAGTCCAAGGGCCATCTCCCATCTGGCATGTGGAGGCAGCCTAAGGATGGTAAAGAATGGGGTGAAGAATACGTCACAAAAGACCACCCAGATAAACTCAAGGAGGCTGGCCAGGGTAGACACAGCTCCTTGGAAAACGTTTTATGTGAAACCTCCTTAGCTGGTAAGTTCCAAGGGGGAATGCAGGCTAATAGTTTAAAGAACAGGATGTACCAGAGCTTTGAACTCAAAGGCGAGAATCCTTGCCGTTTAGATTCAGTGGACACATGAGGCCACCTAGTTCCTGGTTTCCTTTTCAGATGAACTAAAGCCTATAGAGGTAAAGGGACTCATTAGAGGTCACAGGGCCAGTGACTACCACCTTGATTCTGCATGTTCAAGACACTTAGTAATGGAGTGCTGTGGGCGGGAGGGGGAAGGCATAAGGTTGGTGGAGAAGGCAGAACTATTTAGCCAGTGATGTGGTATCTTCTAGAAACAAGCCTTTCATCAACAGTCTACCACCAAAATATCACACACTGCAACACAGCCTGTCCTCCCTCCTTTTTCCCTCCCTCCTTCCCTTCATATCACAAAGTATTGCTGAACAATTACTGTGTCAGACAATGGCATTTCCCCCTGGCTATTTGGGGGGAGGTAATTTTTAAAAATTATTTTGAATTTTTAAAGTCAAATACATGAAAAAAAGTATTAAAAGGTTTGTTATGAAGAAGAGCGCCAACAACTTTAAACTCTTTTGACCGTTTTTTCTGGTACTTGCTTCCATGTTTTCTTTTCGGGGGCATGGGGGAGGGAGAATGGCAGGCTCAGGCTGGGTACACAGTCTTCCCCTGCTTCTATGTTTTTAAAAGATGTTTAGCCAGGCATGGTGGTTCACACTTGTAATCCCAGCACTTTGGGAGGACAGGTGGGAGGATCCATTGGGCCCAGGAGTTGGAACCAGCCTGGGCAACATAGTGAGACCCCTGTCTCTACAAAAAATAAAAAAACAAAGTAGCTGGGCCTCCTGGCATGTGCCTCTGGTCTCCGCTACATGGGAGTCCAAGGTAGGAGGATCACTTGAGCTCAGGAGGTCGAGGCTGCATTGAGCTATGATAGTGCCATTGCACTCCAGCCTAGGCAACAGAACAAGACCCTAACTCAAAAAAATAAAAGTTTTACACTATTTTTTTTACTAATACTTTATTGAAGGTGAATTTACATAGAGTAAAATTCACAGAGCTTACATTTAAGCTAATAGACATTTTACATGTGTCTATCCCCTGTGATCACCACCCAGATCAAGATATACAATATTTCTGTGCATGAAAGAACCTGAGAAAGTTCTTTCATGCACTTTGCCAGTCAATATCCACCCAAAGAACCACTATTATGACTTCTATACCACAAATTAGTTTTGTCTGTTCTTAAACTTCATGTAAATGGAATAACACAGTGTACTCTTTTGTGTCTGGCCTCTTTCTCCCAACATAATGTTTTTTAAAAAAGATTTATGCATATTTTTGCACACAATTCATTCCTTTTTATTAATCACATTGAATGAATTTATCACATTTTTAAAAATCCATTCTCCCATTGATGGACATTTTTTTTTGAGACAGAGTCTTGCTCTTTCACTGAGGCTGGAGTGCAATGTCGTGATCTTGGCTCCCTGCAACATCTGCCTCCCAGGCTCAAGTGATTCTCCTGCTTCAGCCTCCTGAGTAGCTGGGATTACAGGCGTGCACCACCACGTCTGGCTAATTTTTATATTTTTAGTAGAGACAGGGTTTTCACTGTGTTGGCCAGGCTAGTCTTCAACTCCTGATATCAAGTGATCTGCCTGCCTTGGCCTCCCAAAGTGCTGGGATTACAGGCGTAAGCCACTGTGCCTAGCTAGCTATGAATATTCTTGTACAAATTTTTTTTTAGTGGGGGGATGTATGCCCTCATTTCTCTTGGGTGTATACCTAGGAGTAAAATCTCTGGGTTGTAGGTTATGATTATGTTTAACTTTAAAAGAAAATGTCAAGCAGTTTTCTAAAGCAGTTGGCTAATATTCCCACTAGCAATGTTTGAGAGCCCAGTTGCTTCACATACTTTCCAATACTTGGGAAGGATGGTTAGTCCTTTCAATGTTAGCCATTCTCAGGGATGTGTACTGGTATCACACTGTAGTTTTAATTTGCAGTTCCCTGGTGATTATTAGTATTAAGTATGTTTTTATATGCTTATTAGCTATTCATATATTCTTCTTTTATAAGGTGCCTAAGTCCATTGCCCAACTTTTTTTGAAGCAGGGTCTTGCTCTGTTGCCCAGGCTGGAGTGCAGTGGCATAATCACAGCTCACTTCAGCCTTGATCTCCTGGGCTTACGTGATTCTTCCTCCTCAGCCTCCCAAGGAGCTAGGACTACAGGTGTGCACCACTGCACCCAGCTGTCAATTTTAAACTCTTAAAATAGCTCGTGACTTTCTTGTCTTTCTGAGAAACCTTTGCTATCTCACAGTTGTGAAGGTACTCTGGTATGCTTTCTTCTAAAATCTTTATAGTTTTAGCTTTCACATTTAGGTCTATGACTTATGGTGAATAAATTTTGATGTACAGTGTGAGAAAGGGCTCCAGGTTCATTTTTTTTCCAGATGGCTATCCAGTTGTTTCAGCATCATTAATTGAAAATACCTTCTGTTTCCCATTGTTGTATGTAGAAAGTCAAGTGGTCTTATATGGGTATCTAATTTTAGACTCTCCTTTTAAAAATTCCAATTATCAGGTAATTGACATCTTGACAGTATTGAGTCTTCCATTTAAAGAACATGGTATATCTCTTCATTTATATAGATCTTGAATTTTTCTTAGCAATATAACAGAAACTTTACTATTTACATCATCAATGTTTTTAGTTTTTAATTTATTTTTATCCATTTAGTTTTTCAGAGGTGGGGGTTTCCCTTTGTTGCCCAAGCTGGCCTCAACATCCTGGGCTCAAGTGATCCACCTGCCTCAGCCTCCCAGGTAGTTGGCACTACAGGCACAAGCCACTATGCCCAGCCATCTTTTTTTTTTTTTTTAAAGAGCATTTGCCTCCGTCATCCTATTCTGCTTTGGCCCAATGTACTCCCATCATCCTGGGACTTTCCAGTCTTCTTAAGAATTCCCTTTATATTTCTCCTCTGTTCGATTCCTGTTTGTTGCTGTTGTTGATTTTTTTCATCTTCTGTATCCTTGGTTTCTTGGTTTACTCCTGGTTTTGGTGGAACACATCATCCAGTAGTTTCCACATATGTAATCACTTGGCGGGTCCTTCTTGCCGGCTTGCTGTGCAGGTGGAGCTGATTTACTGCAACTGCTGTATTGCAATTGAGAAAAAGTTGAATAAACGTACAGCAAGCTATTGCAGCAGACCAGAGTTTATTACTCAAATCAATCTCCCTGAAAATTCAGAGACTGGACTTTTTTTAAGGATAATTTGGTGGGCAGGGGGTTATGCAGATGAAATCACAGGGATGTGGTCCTCATATGCTGAGTCAGCCTCTGGGTGAGGGCCACAGGACTAGTTGAGTCATGGGTGTAGGTCCAGGTGGAGTCAGTCAGCTTCCAGAAATGCAAAAGTCTGGAAAAATGTCTCAAAAGACCAATCTTAGGTTCTACAGTAGTGATGTTATCTATAGGAATAACCAGGGAAGTTACAAATCTTGCCACCTCCAGAACAATGGCTGATTATCATTTAACTATGCCTACATCTTAGTGTAATTCATAATATGAATTCATAATTCATAATCCTAAACTTTTGGCCTTTCATTAGTTTTTCAAAGCCAGTTTGGGTACCAAATTGGAGGGTGTGGGGTTAATTTGGGGAAGGGCTATTATCATCCTTGCTTTAAGTTGAACTATGAACTAAATAAATCCCAAAATCTCAGCCTATGCTCAGGAATGTACAAGGGCAGCTTGAGGTTAGATATAAGATGGAGTCAGCTATGTCAGATTTCTCTTGCGGTCATAATTTTGCAAAATGCTTTCACATAGTTGATTAATAATTTGGCCAAATAAGACATCTTTTTTCCTCATGATTTTGAAGCAATTGTTCCACTGTCCTCTAACTTCTAATTTTGCTATTAGGAAGTCCAGTACCATTCTGATACTCAGTTTTTTGCATGTTACCTGATTTTTCTTTTTCTTTTTTTTTTTTTGAGACGGAGTCTTGCACTGTCACCCAGGCTGGAGTGCAGTGGTGTGATCTCAGCCCACTGCAACCTCTGGCTGCCAGGTTCAAGCAATCCCCCTGCCTCAGCCTCCCGAGTAGCTGGGACTACAGCCGTCCACCACCACACCTGGCTAATTTTTGTATTTTTAGTAGAGATGGGGTTCACCAGGTTGGCCAGGCTGGTCTCCAATTCCTGACCTCGTGATCCGCCCACCCCGGCCTCCCAAAGTGCTGGGATTACAGGTGTGAGCCACTGTGCCCAGCCCGTTACCTGATTTTTCTATCTGGTAACTTTTAGGATCTTGTTTTTATTCGTGGTGTGCTAAACTTTCACAGTGATGTGATATGCCTTGTAATGATGTGAGTCTTTTTTATTAATTTTGCTGGGCACAAGGGTCCTTTTCTCTGGAAATACATGTCTTGGGATTTTTTTTTTTTTTGCCTGTTATTAATTTGATAATATCTTCTCATCCATTTTCTTTCTTTTTTCTGAAACTTCTACTAATTTGATGTTGGACCTCTTGGATTGATTTCTCAACTGCCATCTTTTGCTCTTCTATTTTTCTTCAATACATCTCTCCTTTCTTTTTTTTTTTTTTTTTTTTGAGACAGAGTCTTGCTCTGTCACACCCAGGAGGAGTGCAGTGGCATGATCTTGACTCACTGCCACCTCTGCCTCCCGGGTTCAAACTATTCTCCTGCCTCAGCCCCCTGAGTAGCTGGACGACAGGTGCACACCACTATGCCCAGCTAACTTTTGTATTTTTAGTAGAGATGGGGTTTCACCATGTTGGCAAGTCTCGACGTCTTGACCTTCTGATCTGCCCACCTCGACCTCCCAAAGTGCTGGGATTACAGGCGTGAGCCACCACGCCCAGCCCCTCTTATCTTTTTTTTTTTTTTTTTAAGAAAGGGAGATTTCTTTTCTTCATCTTCTACCCTTTTAATTTTTTCTATCTTTTAAGCAATGTTTAAAAGTTTCTCCTTTTTAAAAATTAGCCTCTCTTTTTAAAAATAGCATCCTGCAATTGTTAAATGACTGGAATATGTTTCTTATATTTCTTTGAGAATATGAATTGTAAGATTAAAAATTTTTATTCTTTTGTATCCTGCATTGTCTCTGTTTCTTCAGGGTCCCCCCTCCTTATAAAAAAAATACGTATATATGCTTTTTCTTCTCATTCTTTTATAGTATAAGCTTTATGCAAATGTATGAGCATCCTTAGCTAAATGTATGTAAGAAAGAGCTCTTAGAAAAACTCTGGAAATTTTGTATTGACCGAGCTTGTCAATCAGTGGGCTTCATTATAGACAGGCTAATCAGATGGCAAATTAACTTTTGATAATTGACCTCTTTTTGTTTTTTGAGAGAGAGTCTTGCTCTGTCACCCAGGCTGGAGTGCAAGGGCGTCATCTCAGCTCACTGCAACCTCCGCCTCCTGGGTTCAAGCAATCCTCCTGCCTCAGACTCCCGAGTAGCTGGGATTACAGGCGTGTGCCACCACATCTGGTTAATTTTTGTATTTTTAGTAAAGATGGGGTTTCGCCATGTTAGCCAGGCTGGTCTCGAACTCCTGACCTCAGGTGATCTACCCGCCTTGGCCTCCCAAAGTGCTAGGATTACAGGCATGAGCCACCATGTCCGGCTGATAGCTGACCTCTTTGTGTCAGTGTCTGTGGATCTTTTTCCCTTGGGCAGTTCAGTTTCTCAAGTGGAAGACCCTCCAATCTCCTGCCTGAAGAGTTTAAACCTGGCTTCTGGCACTCTGGGATCTACAGGGGAAGAAGGCTGAGGGAAGTCTCACTGTTCAGTATGAAGCCTTCCCTGAGTCCCTTTGTTTTCATTTTAGCATCTGAACTCTACTATGTCTAAAGTCTTTAGCCCAGATCCCAGAAACCAGGGCTTCTCTAGTTTCATTTTTCTTGTTTGCCATGGGGAGGAAGTGAGGAAGCCATCTGGTATGGGGGGTGAGGATCTGGAGGTTCAATTGCCCCATATGTATACTTTCAATGATTGCTCCTGCTTTCAGCATTGTCCCTTATTTGCACTATCTATATTGCCCCTGGTGTCTCCAATCCTTGAGCTTTCCAGATGCTTCTCAGCAGATTTTCCAGCTGCAGATGGGGACACCAAGACTTCGTGCCCTTTGCTCTGCTGAATGAATTACTGCGCCTCCATTCTGCTTTCTACCTTTCAAAAACTTGCAGATGGTTTTTTTTTTATTGCTTTCAATATCCTTTTATCACTTTTATTGCTTGCATTTAATGGGATTTTAGGAAGAAATGGTTAATATCAAGTCCTCTTTGGTTTGTTTCTAAAGCTAAAAGACAGACTGTGGCCCTGGAACTGCTTGAATCTGAAAGAAAATATGTCATTAACATCTCTCTGATCTTGAAGATAAAAGCCACATTCCAGGGGTCAGATGGAAAGAGGAATTCCAAAGAGAGAAGGTATCCATGCACTCATTGCCTTTGCTTTTCAGATTGATTAGGATTTAAGGTAAGTGGTTTATTGTTTCCACTTTGGGATTTCTGGGGCCTATGAAGAGTTCCAGAAATAGTCTTTGAAAAGAGAAGAGGCAGTGATGGCAGATGTCTCAGTTCACTTTGTGCTGCTATGACAGAATATCGTAGACTGGATAACTTTTAATGAACAGAAATTTATTCTCTCACAATTCTGGAGACTGGGGAGTCTAAGATCGAGGTGCTGGCAGATTGAATCTCTGGTTCCAAGATGGCACTTTGTTGTTGTGTCTTCCAGAGAGGAGGAACATTGCAGCCTTACATGGCAGAAGATCAGGAGAGAGCAGGAGAACCCACTCCCTCAGGCCCCTTTTGTAGTGGCAATAATCCATTCATAGTGCGGAGCTCTCACAACCTAAACACCCACCATAGGCTCCACCTCCCAGTACTGTTGCATTGGGGGTTAAGTTTCCAGCACATGAATTTTGGGGGACACATTTAGATCATAGCAATAGGGAACCCCTGGCAAGTCTTAAACTTAGATTTTCATCAATGTAAGAAAATGAGTATAGTCTCCTGGGCCTTCAGGGTCTCTAACATGTCTTTTAAAAACTTAAAGGGGGAACAAATGCTACAGTGAGGGAGGCGTTGGTCTCTGTTGCCATCTGCATGGAGTCCCCATGGGTCACAGGTCTCTTAGAAGCACAAGAGAATGAATGTGTGGCAAACCGAAGCACTCAGTGGCCATTAGAGAAATGACACAGGGCTGATATAACTCTGGACCTGGGCCTTATTATTCATGTGGGTGATCTTATGGTACTGAGTAATGCATGGGTGTGTGTGTGTGTGTGTGTGTGTGCGCGCTCATAGGGTCTGCCACCTGTTGTAACAGCACGCTTTCCCAATGCCGCAACACTCCACCTATATCTGTTCATAGTCTAGATTTTTTTCTGTTTCCCTCTCTGTTGAGAGAAAGCAGGAAGGAGGAAAGTAAGACTTGGTGAAAAAGATTAATGTAATGAATATATAATAATCCAGAAAAATTGAAGAAAAGGCCAATCCAAAAGAATGGAAAGTCTGGATTATGGACTACTGTGGACATATGTGGCATTATTACTTTAAACATTCCATTGGGTAATATACACTGGTGGTTCATAAATTCTGAATCTACCCAGGGAAGCCCCTAATTATATTTTCTTGCTCCTTACCATCCCCCCAAATCTATTTGACTTGGTGGCTGCCAACAATACACTCAAAACACACGCTGCCCTCCTACCTAAATGACCGAGTGAGGCACTACTCCCTGACAAACCCACGAGTGGCCTATTTTCAAGAGTTATTTTACTACAAAACAGAGGTAAACCAAATATGAAGCAACAAGAACAGAAAGGCTAAGGTGACCCAGCTAAAGCTGTGACCATCTGGACTGGGCCTCACCTCTCAGATACTGCCTAGATTCTCAGCCATCCTTCCTTCCCTATCTGGCCCTTCCAGTTCCCCCTCCTTGACCCTCCCAGCTGCGCTGCAGGCCTCTGGAAGTCTCTATGGGCTCCAGCTGTCTTGCTGTTGCCAAAGACCTACTCAGTTTATGGTAATGAAATCTAAAGGCGGTGTACCCTTTGGTGTGGCTTTGCTTCCACATAGAAAATTCTAAGCCAGCAGCGTCTCTTCTTAGTCTGAAAATCTGGGGAGGCGGGGTAAGTCAGGGAAAAGAGAAAACTGTTTACTGTGGAAGGGAGTAGTAAGCAGCTGCTCTGCTAGGCACTTGATTCGTAACTTCACGAAATATTTAGCAGAACCCTGTGACCCCTACCTTACAGACGAAGGAACTAAGGCCCAGAGAAGCTTAAAGCCGCAGAACCAATTAGTGCCGGGATTCAAACGCAAGCCTGCCGGACCCTGTAGTGTGTGCTCTTATACATCATACCACTTCCCCAAAGCCACTGGCTTCATTAACTGCAATGTGTAAAGTTTCTCAGAGAGCCAGAAGGATACAGTTGTCTCTTCCTATTTCAAAATTCAGTCTTCCCTCTTGAACAGCCTGTACGTTTTTACTTCAGATCTCAGTTGATTTGTTAAGTCTGCTACATATGTTGTCTAGCCCTTGTTGCAAGCCTCCAGCAGGCGGGAGGTCATAGGGGAGAGACCAGACCCTGCAGAAGATTTGGGTAGATAAAGAGAAGGCCCTTATTGACTTGCTGCCACTTCCTATTTTTCTAAATTGTTCTCTTATGACCCATCACTGGGAGGAAGGAGTAGATCTCTCCCTCAAATCCTACGAGATTGAAAAATTAAAGCTATCATACAATCCTCTATGAAAGTAAGATCATAGTTATTTCAAGATATCTGCGATAATGCTATTCATGTTAGTTATTTGCTAGACTAACCTTCTTTTTTCTTTGCATGGACCAAGCAGAGAAAAGCTTCAACCCCACCCTCTTCGTTAGTACTGAATATGAAGTCTCTGGTTCTGAGCTTGGTGGTACTGCCGTTTTTCTATTTTAGGGTTAGATTTTCATTATCCTCCTCCACTCATTATCTTTCTTCTTTAAAGCTTTCCTGAAACCTCTGTGTGTACTTTATTTCTTTCTTTATTTTTTTGAGGCAGGATCTCACTCTGTTGCCCAGACTGGAGTGCAGTGGCATTATCTCGGCTCACTGTAACCTCCACTTCCCGGGTTCAAGTGATTCTCCTGCCTCAGCCTCCTGAGTAGCTGAGATTACAGGCACACACCACCATGCCTAGCTAATTTTTATATTTTTAGTAGAGATTAGGTTTCACCATTTTGGTCAGGCTGGTCTCGAACTCCTGACCTCAAGTGATCTATCCACCTCAGCCTCTCAAAGTGCTGGGATTACAGGTGTGAGCCACTGTGCCCAGCCTTTGTGTGTACTTTAAATAGACCAGCTGAAGGAAATACAAAGCAGAATGAAATTGTTCCTTTTCTCTATCGGCATTTTTCTCCATGCAAAGATGAAAATAAGTATATTAACATTTACTATCGGCATTTTTCTCCATGCAAAGATGAAAGTAAGTATATTAACATTTACTAACTTTCCCATCACAAACCACAAACCTTCAGCACTTTTTACCCCATTGGAAAGTAAGTTGGGATGCAAATAACCTCCACTGCAAGTACAACTTGACATTCAAGCCTGAGGTGGCCACATCTTCTCCAACCTATTAAATAAAACCTTAGGTTTTTCCTAAAGAAAAGTGAGTCACTCAAGAGCTTCCTCAGCCTGTTTGAAGCCAGCCGTGCCCCTGGCTGAAAGGGCTGGAAGTTGCAGGGGCACATTGCTGCTGGCTGAAACCTGGGCAGAACTTGAGGGCTATGATTCATTTGTTTGTTTTGTTTAGAGACAAGGTCTCTGTCTGTCGCCCAGGCTGGAGAAGGGTGCAGCGGCCCAGTCACAGCTCACTGCAGCCTCAAACTTCTGGGCTCAAGTGATCCTCCCACCTCAGCATCCCCAGCTGGGATTACAGGCATGAGCCACCCTGTGCTCTTATACATCATACCACTAACAGCTACTTTTTCAGTTTATTATAAAGACGGTGTCTTGCTCTGTTGCCCAGGCTGTCATTTGTCGAAGGATCACAGAAGTTGGAGTTCTGGGCTTTTTGGCTCTGACTCACCTAGGTAGAGCCACAGCCTCAGGATCACAGTTCTGTCTGAACACTTATGGAGGGAGCAGTGATCAGCTCAGCAGGATTGTCAATTAGCCTTGTAAGCTAAACTCCAGTGCTGTGTCCACCAAGAGCTCAACAAGCTTCGTGCTACAGATCACCACCAGGTGGCACACGTTTAATGATCATGCCCATCCAGGGTGGCGGGAACCTGCTACTGCCAAGCTCAGGAGTTATTTTGGCCTCATTCTGGGCTGACAAAAGCTACATTATTAACCTCAAACTATAACTGGATTTTTCTTTCTTGCTTTTAGTGTATTTCCCTCATTGATTAAGTACTATATTGTTAGGAGATAAAAACTTTGAAGGCTTTAGAAATAATAAACTACTAATGTTGCCAAAATTTCATCCCAGTAAGGAATAGGAAAAAAAAAAAGCTGAGCTCTGAATACTTCGTCTTCATGAAAAAGTTGCTTCTGGGCGTCAGGTCTGGCGCCAGGCAAAAGAGTGAAACAGGTTAAGTGTGGCTTGTACTTGCCATCTTTCTCCCTTTGCTGTCTGTCTTCTGATTTCACACTCCTCCCTAATTTCAAATAATACCCTTGTTAAATTTTTTTAAAAGGTTTAAAGCCCGTTTTCAATGTTTCGTATAGAATCCACTGTAGGTCATTGTTTTTCATGTAACTTATGTGCTTCCACAATGCTTGATGGAGGCCTTAGCCTTCTCCAACCCCACCCTGAAATCTCAAACAGTCATCCCGGTGGGCAGTCCAGGAGGAGATTGGTACCAGCTCTCCCATTCTCCAAGTACATTGACCACAGTGTAGCAGAATGCAGCTCTCTGGAAAGAAAGGGAGAAGGAAGGAAGAAAGGGAAGGAGAGAGGGAGGGAAGGAGGGAGAGAGGAAGGGAGGAAGAAAGGGAGGGAGGGAGGAAGGGGAATGAAGGAAAGAAAAAGGAAATCGATAATCCAAGACATTTTATATACATATATGGACAATTCTTCACAAAGTCAGATCTTCCCATGGTGCCCTAATATCTTCCAGGGTCACACCAGGACTATTACACAAAGTCATTTACAACCACTGGGTAGGAAGAAATCTTTTGCACCTAGATCTTTGGCTGGTGCAGCATTTTACACTTTCAGTACAATCAGTTGTGTTTTTCTCCATCAGGTTTATGGTCTTCTCCCAGTCAGTATACCCCGTAGCTACCCCTCCAAATTCCCCTCTGATCTGGACAGGGATTTCTTTGATCTCCTAAACCCACTGTTCCATTGTAAGCGCTCAGGTCAGGAGGCCTCTCCTCTTTTGTACCTGTAGGGGATCCAGGCACAGGAGGTGGAGGGAGTGGAAGATGGGAGTGGAAGTCTTCCTCATATCCTTTCATAGGGGGCTAGGTACCCTATTCTCGTGTTTGTGTGTCTCCTCTGAGCTACAGTCACAGAGGTCACTTTGCTTTGCTTGGAAATGAGTTGAAAAAAACCTCCTCTCGATCTGGCATCCTTCCTATTGTTCCAACAAAGGTTTGCTTGTTGGGAAAGCACCCCAGTTGTCCACGAGTTTACTCTCATTTGACCCTGGGGAAATATTCAAGTAAGTTCAGATCAACCAGACCATCTCTTTTCTGTTTGTTAAACTTGCGGTGCTGAAAGCATAAAGGAACCTACCTTAAGTCACCAAGTTAGAGCTCCAATCCTTGCTGTAACCCAAAAAAACTCTGCTTCTTTTTATTTTTTTCTTCCTCTTTTCTATAGGCCTCTAATCACATCACTCTTACCCAGCTAGTCCCCCTTCCTCTTCCTCCCATGATTCTCTATCTCTCCTCTCCACCCCACCCTTCTCTGACGTCTCCCTTCTTCCCTTCCTTACTTCTGAAAAAGGGAAAAAAAAGAAAAAAGGAGGTACATTGCAAGATGGAGAAGAGAGGGATGGAAGGGTAGAAAAAGTGCTTTGTAAAATTCCAGGGAGTAGCAAGCCAGGCCTGGTCAGTAGCTGTGTTAGGCCGTTCTCACATTGCTATAAAGAATAGCTGAGACTGGGTAATTTGTAAAGTAAAGAGGTTTAATTGGATCACGGTTCTGCAGGCTGTACAGGAAGCACGATGCTGGCATCTGCTCAGCCTCTGAGGAGGCCTCAGGAAACTTACAATTATGGTGGAAGGCGAAGGGGAAGCAGGCATGTCACAGGGCGCAGCAGGAGCAAGACAGAGAGACGGGAGGCGCTACGCACTTTTAAACAGCCAGAATTCATGAGAACTCACTCACCATCACTATCACTTGGTGGGACAGTAGCAAAAGGGATGGTGCTAAACCATTCACGAGAAATTCACCCTCATGATACAATCACCTCTCACCAAGCCCACTTCCAACACTGGGGGTTACATTTCAGTATGAGAGTTGGGCAGGGACACACATCCAAACTGTATTAATAGCCTACCCAGACAAGACTGTCCTGGCCCAGTATTCCTCTTAGAAACTGAAGAAAAGGAAAAAAGAAACCCTCTGATACCCTACAACTCCCTGAGCTTTTTAGTTGCCAACTTTAAACAAATTTTCCTACTTACCTAAATAGCAGTCTCCTACTGGTAGCTGAGAATGGTCTTGTAGATGCCACCTCAGTGCTGCATCTACAACACTAATTAGAATAGACTATTTTGCACATCAAATAGGAATAGCTCTAAAACATTGAAAAAGGTATCCCTTAGAATTTCCACTGCGTGTCATTTAAATGAGCATGTAAAAAGGTCTTTCAAGTGATGTGCTCTTTATTTATTTGTATTTTATTTATTTATTTATTTTGAGACAGAGTCTCGCTTTGTTACCCAGGCTGGGGTGAAGTGGCGTGATCTGAGCTCACTGCAACCTGTACCTCCCGGATTCAAGTGATTCTCCTGCCTTAGCCTCCCAAGTAGCTGGAATTAGGTGCATGCCACCATGCCCAGCTAATTTTTGTATTTTTAGTAGAGATGGGGTTTCACCATGTTGGCCAGGCTGGTCTCGAACTCCTGACCTCAGGTGATCCGCCCAACTCCCAAAGTGCTGGGATTACAGGTGTGGCATGCCAGGCCTCTTTATTAGTTCAATACACATTTGTATAGAAGCCATTAGTAAAGGTTTTTTTTGTTTTGTTTTGTTTTTCTGTAGTCGGGATATCTGCTATTAGGTGTGCAATGAAAAACTTTAAAAAATCCTTAATGCAGGCCTGTGACTCACAGTATGTTGGATGGCTGGGAGAATGGGCCCTGCTGCATGTATTTTTGTAGGGTCCTTTCTTCTCTACACCTTGTTTGTGTGATTCCGTCTCTATTCTGTTTCAAGCCTCTTCCCTGGCTCTTTACGGTACCTCGTCCAGCAGCACCTGGATCTGCTTCACGCACTGCAGGAAAGGGTCCTGAAGTGGCCACGCCAAGGCGTTCTTGGAGATTTATTCCTTAAGTTAACAAATGACGAGGTAAGGTTTTTTCTGCCCCTCTATACATTTTACTTATACGGATTTGTGTCTCATTTGTCTACTTCTCTTAATAGAGAATCTAGAAGCAGTGAATTTCACAGCTAGAACCACTGAGATCTAGTCTAACTTTCTCATTCTACATACAGATCATGGAATGATTCAGAGAGATTTAAAAGCCTTGCTGAAATCACCCCGCTAGCTAGGTAGTTGGAGATGTGTGACTTTCAGAGGCCTAAGTTAGGTCTTCTGACTTCTAGTTCATAACTTTCCACTGTATTATAACTGCCTCCATTGAATACGCATGTCGATGTGTGTATGTATTGTGTGTGTGTTTTTATATAAATGTATGTATATATATTTGTGGGCCGGGTGTGGTGGCTCGTGCCTGTAATCCCAACACTTTGGGAGGCTGAAGCAGGAGAATTGTTTGAACCCAGGACTTCAAAACTAGCTTGAGCGACACAGCAAGACCCTGTCTTTATTAAATTAAAAAAAAAGTATATATACATTAAAACATGTATATATATGCATCTGTGTATATATATACACAAATATATATGCATCTGTGTGTATATATACACAAATATATATATACACACATGAGATATATACACACACATGCATATATATATACACATGAGAGTTTGTATATACATGTGTATTTTCACACACAATTTTCATTCCTTGGAGATTTTTTAAAAAATGTGATGGGTGGCTATTATCTTGAATTTTGCAATCTCTACAATATCCTACAAAGAAAATATGATCCAAGCCAGAGGCTGCAAACTCAAATGCCTATGGGGCCAGACAGTGGCATAAATGAGTGAAGTGAACACAGTATGGACTGGTGTGAAGTGTGAGCTGCAGTGGAGCAGCTGTGTTGTTCTACAAGGAATAGCTACTCAGCTTTATCCAATCATTATGCAGGAAAAAAGGACTAGAGTTGCCAGAGCTTCTGATATTTTAAGAAAAGCTGGAAATCCAGAATTTTGTGGGAAATTTTCTTATTTTTAAAAGATTGTGTGGGCTAATTAAAATTGGTCTGCAAGCCAGACTTTGCCTGAAATCAATTTCTGTGTATCAATTATTCTCAACTGTGGATAACAATACAAAGTTTACAAATTATTTTCTTCTACAGACTAGAGTGCATATAATGTACTAATATCCTCTAATATCATTTTTACTCACTTGTGTTCAGTATGCTTCCTTTAGCTGAGAATTATTATAACTTTAGAAGCTGAGAATGATTTTCCTAAGGGGATAATGCATAGATAAATATGTAATTAGTGGAAATATGCAATTACTAGAAAATGTTGTGAACTACTGATCTGGATGACATGAAGTGGGATGGGCAGAGTCCCTCATCTGGACGTACATGATTGACTGAAATGAAATGGAATTACAAAAATAAAAGATACATTTTTATTGTTAAGTGACTAAAAAAATACATTTTCAACTTACATGAACCTCCCTCCTCCCTGGTTTCATTATTTCACTTTCTCTCATTAGGGAGGGGATGCTGAGTTTTGATTCCAAAGGGTAGGAATGTTTACCTTAAAACCAAAATTTTTTTTAAGATACATTTTTTTTTTTTTGAGCCGGAGTCTCACTCTGTCCCCTAGGCTGGAGTGCAGTGGTGCAATCTCGGCTCACTGCAAGCTCTGCCTCCCGGGTTCATGCCATTCTCCTACCTCAGCCTCCTGAGTAGCTGAGATTAGCGGCACCTGCCATCATGCCTGGCTAATTTTTTGTATTTTAGTAGAGACGGGGTTTCACCGTGTTGCCCAGGCTGGTCTCGATCTCCTGAGCTCAGGCAATCCACCTGCCTTGGCCTCCCAAAGTGCTAGGATTACAGGCGTGAGCCACCGCGCCTTATCTAAGATTAATTCTTTAAAGCCTCAAAATATATAAAATGAAGAACATATTAAATGAATAAGATAATCTCTGCAAAGTACTCTTCTTTTACATATATGACTCTATAAAAATATTATAGATCCTGTTTTCAGGTTCTTACCATGCATTTTTGTGTTTGTTTTAAAGAATAATTTCTTGGATTATTATGTTGCCTACCTAAGGGACCTGCCTGAGTGCATCTCATTGGTTCATGTTGTAGTCCTGAAAGAGGTGAGTTAACGCCATATATATGCTATCCTTCATCTGCACATGGCATCATATGATGTTGCTCATCCACCCAGTCAATACAGCGCATGCACTGTGCTTTCTAGGCTGGGGAATGGCCTGAACACAGCCACTAATACCACTACCTGGCATTAAAGGAACTCACTTGAGGATCAGTGCCATTGTGTTGGTCCTCTCCCTGCCTTACTGACCCTCTGTTCCATTCCATTGGAACTATAGACAAACTATAGTTCTATAATGGGCATTCTATGCAGAGATCTCCAGGCTGCAGCTTACATGCTGTATGTGGTGGGTTTTTTTCCAGTCTCAGAAGATGTGAATCTGAATATTAAACTTCAGTCATCCTTTGTCAGTTTATAAGATAAGGTGGCTCTAGTCATGTTGCTTGAAGTATTGCTACTGCAATGATACATTAGGTGCTCAGTAAGCACATACACATCTATAACAACTTAGTTACTTCAGATCAATAGGAAAAAACAGTATCAGAAGCCCCAACACTAAGAGTTAATCAAATTTCACAAGAGATGAGAGGCTCTGTCTTACTAAGTTTCTACTTCAACCCCCCACTACTCCCAACCCAGTATAATGCCTACCATGTTAGCTTTCAGCAAATATCTGGGAAAGAGAAGAGAAGGAAAAGGAAGGGACACAGAGAAAGTGCAGCATGTTTTCTGCGGCCAGGCCAGCTAACTAGGTTCTAATGACACTCCCTTTTCCATTGTCCTGAAGCGCCAAGTCTCCCTTAGAGCCTGTTACTACACCATTGTCATGATTACTTGCTGGAGAGTCTTAATGAATTAATTCAGCTAAAATATAGTTCATTGAGTGCCCGCTTCTGTCTGGAACTGCGCTGAGTGGAAGGAGAGGGTAGTTTGGAAATTTGGGTGGATTCAAAATAAGTATATGATATGCTCCCTGAGGGAGAAGAGCTGTCTCCTAGGGCATGTCCCTGAACATGTGGCCTCTCCTATGAGACAGCAATGCTCTATGACAATCTCTGGGAAGAAAATGCTCTGGGAGGAAACCCTTCCTACCCTGGTGGGACTGATTCGAGGTTCTGCTGCCACAGCTGGAGGAACACTGAAGAGTAACTTGACCTTTCTTTCATTCAGGGTGATGAAGAGATTAAATCTGACATCTACACGTTGTTTTTTCACATAGTCCAGCGCATCCCTGAATATCTGATACATCTGCAGGTAGGCATGGGTGGGAAAGCCACCAAACTGATTTGCATGCTAAGTAATTATTGGTTTTGGCTCCCAACTGAGAAATACTGTAAAGCCTCAAGAATCATTAATATTTCTAAGAAGTGTTTATTTAGATTGTTATGATTACCTGATAACCCATAATACCCTGTGGTATGAGCTAAAACCTTTTTTTTTTTTTTTTTTGAGACAGAGTCTTGCTCTGTCACCCAGGCTGGAGTACAGTGGTGTGATCTAGGCTCACTGCAACCTCTGCCTCCTGGGTTCAAGTGACTCTCCTGCATCAGCCTCCCGAGTAGCTGGGACTACAGGCATGTGCCACCATGCCCAGCTAATTTTTGTATTTTTAGTAGAGATGGGGTTTCACCATGTTGGCCAGGCTGGTCTTGAACTCCTGACCTCAAGTGATCTGCCCGCCTCAGCCTCCCAAAGTGGTGGGATTACAGGTGTGAGCCGCTGCAGCCAGCCTAAAATCTTTATTTCTAAAAATTTTCAGCTCATGATGCTTACCTCTGAAGTTCTATCTTTACTTACCAGCAACTTCCACCTCAGCTGATCCAGGATCTTTCTAGAACCACTCCTGCTAGATTCTAAGCACCTCATCCAGTTCTTTCCATTTTGGTTTTTACAGCTATCTAAATGCCACCACCTGACATCTAAATATCCATCTAACCTGTTCACTTAACTGCTATCCTGACTACTTTCTTTTGGCATTGGTCCAAGGTTCTACCATGCCATGCTTAAGCTTTATGTCACAGAAGAGGCATGAAGATGATGAGCTGATGTCTTCACACCAATTTCCTGCAGGACTTGTGATATCCTGGAGGAAGAAGAGTTGAAAGAGAGGTTCACTAACCCCCACCAGACCCTCTTCTTCCCACCACCCACCTGTTCTGGTTTAATTGCTGACTGATCTTCTTAAGTAATTCAATGAAAGCGTCTTAGAAATGCTTGGGATTAATTTCAGGTAGAAGTAGTCCAGTAGTCCAGTATCAAAGCATCAATATTGAAAAGACTTTTTTTTTTTTTTTTTTTTTTTTTGAGTCAGGGTCTGGCTCTGTTGCTCAGGCTGGAGTGCAGTGGTGTGATCTTGGCTTGATCTTGGCTCACTGCAGCATCAACCTCCCAGGCTCAAGCAATGCTCCCACCTCGGCCTCCTGAGTAGTTGAGACTACAGGCACTTGCCACCATGCCTGGCTTATTTATTTATTTATTTATTTTTATTTTTTGAGATGGAGTCTCACTCTGTCGCCCAGGCTGGAGTGCAGTGGCATGATCTCAGCTCACTGCAACCTCCGCCTCCCGGGTTCATGCCATTTTCCTGCTTCAGCCTCCGGAGTAGCTGGGACTACAGGCGCCCACCACCACACCCGGCTAATTTTTGTGTTTTTAGTGGAGATGGGGTTTCACCGTGTTAGCCAGGATGGTCTCGATCTCCTGGTGATCTGCCCGCCTCACCTCCCAAAGTGCTGGGATGACAGGTGTGAGCCACCACCCGTGCCCTGAAAAGACTTTCAACTGTATATAGCTTTAGATCCTAAAAGCATTTTCTCACAATAATGATCTTATTTAATCCTTTCAACAATCCCATGAAATAGGTATTATTGTTGTCATGTTTTACAAGAGAAAATGCAGGGCCAAATAAGTTAACAATTTACCCAAGTTAACACACCTAGTAGGTAAAAAAAACTAGGACTGAAACCCAGGTTTTGCAAATAGTAGAATATGGCAAACAAGCCCTGGTTCTACTCTCTGACTTGAGTTCAAATCTTGCCTCCATTATTTACTAGATGTGTGACCTGATGAAGATCATTTACCTTCTTCGTACCTCGATTTCCTTACTTGTTAAATGGAGTTTATAATGGTACCTATTTAAGCACGTTGCGGTAACAATTAAATGAGATAATATACATAAAGGGCTTACTACCTGGCAATAGGAAGTACTCGATACATTTTAGCTTTCCCAAATCCAAGTCCTAGGCATGTTCCACTACAGCACAGCGGGGAATGTAACAGAAGGGGCCACCAGGCTTGATCATAAACATCCCCCTCCCTTGCCTGCCTTGATGCCTGACGTTCTCATCATTGGTCTGGCTCTTTTGAGTTAAGGCACTACTTATAGACAGTAATTGTTAGAATGCCGCTATTATTTCAGAGGTCCAATTAGGAGATGCTTCTAACTTTTCAGATGAAATTATTTTATGTTCACATTCAACTCAAACAGGTACGATAGTGACTTATTTTCCGTTGGTATGATAGAGAGCAGCCAGTTTGACCTTTCAGCGTATAATTAGATGGGGGTCATGTGTATTGTTCATTGTTTTGATTAAATGGCTATGAATCTCCCACAATAGATCAAGGTGAGGTGCAGAAGAGAAAAAACAAATTTTCATGCTGATTATGCAATGCTACTTCCTTTTCCCCTCCATCCAGAACGTCCTGAAGTTCACAGAGCAGGAGCACCCTGACTATTATCTACTACTGGTGTGTGTCCAGCGCCTCCGAGTATTTATCTCACACTACACCCTGCTGTTTCAATGCAATGAAGATTTGCTTATTCAGAAACGGAAAAAGCTCAAGAAGTAAGGTTCTGATGGTGTGGTCTAGAGGGTCGAAGACCAGTTACTATGGGTGTCTTTCACAAGTAACCACGTTGTGTGTTAAGTACCTGAAATGCAGTGGTGGGAGGTAGAAGGAAAGAGAGAAGGGGAGAGAAAGAGCTAGTCAGACTGGTTATAGGAGCAAGACACTGACTACCCAGTGGAAATTATTTTAGCAAAAAAAACACTTCACTCTACTGCTTACATAGACCCCCTCTCATCCCATGTTGCTAACCACCTCAAAAATAGTTCAACTGCCCTAAACTTGCCTGGTTCAAAACTGCAGTTAAAAGACCACAACATAGTTTTCTTTATTAATTCAACAGATATTTATTGAGCACCTATTGTGTGTCAGGCACTGTTCCATGCACTGAATATAGTGAAAGGAACAAAATGGCCCCAACCAAATCTTTGCCACATGGAGTTTCCTTTTTAGAGTTGGACAGTGAACAAATAAATAAGATGGTGATATGTGATATGGATAAAAATAAAGCAAATAAGGGAGAGGAATTTCAGATAGGTTTTATATTAGGGAGAAATAGGAAGTGTGGATTAGGGAGGATCTGAGCTTCGGAGGGAACAGAAGCAACCCACAGCACAGCTTCCTAATGACCTGGATTTCCTTCAATTTCATCCCAACTCCTGTGGAGGAGAACAACCATTTCTGTGGAAGCCGCAGACCAGAAAAAGATGCTGTCTCCCAAGCCAGGGTTCCTGTTATGGAAGCTGTCTCTCCATACCCCCAACCCCTTCCCCCAAGCTCTTTTCAGCCAGTGAATCAGCTTCCCTAGTCCTGCCAGCTTGCACCCTATTAAGCAAAGCAACTTAGTTTGCAAAGGCCCCTGGAGATAGAGACCTTCACAGCAAACTTTATCTGAGACATCTCTCTATCTTTTTTGGCATAATATGTGTTCAGAGAGCCAGTTTGCCACTGTACAACCTGAGAACTGTTATTTCCATTCTGTTAGGTCATCCATGGCGAAGCTGTACAAAGGGCTGGCTTCCCAGTGTGCCAATGCTGGGCAAGATGCTTCCCCCACTGCAGGTCCTGAGGCTGTCCGTGACACTGGGATCCACTCAGAAGAGTTGCTGCAACCCTACCCTTCTGCTCCCAGTTCTGGCCCTGCCATCACGTAAGCACCTGTTGCTGTGGGAAGGTTAATGCCAATGCCTTTGGGACCCAGCCAGTCTGTGCGGGTTAGCAGGGCAGCCTAGATTCCTCCATCCCCTTTCCCCATCAGGCCTATATGTGCCAACCAAGCAGCCAACCCGATTCTTGGGTCCCAGAGGAAGGCACTAATGTTAAGGGACAGGTGTAGAAAGTGGGAAGAGAGGCAGAAAGTAGATATTTACTTCATGGATCACTTCAACTCTTGAAGCAGTTACAAAACTTCATCTTCTTTGAAATGCAACAAATAGAGCCAAAATATGAAACCCCTAGAGATTATACCCAGACTCAACAATATGGCTGCCACTGCACTCTGCGTATGGAAAATAAAACCCCCAATCTTTCTTCCAAGTTAAAAGAGAATTCAAATGAGGTCAATATTTTGTTTCACTCTTTCACATGTTAACGTGAGACCTAATTTTCATTTTCAGACCACCAGAGTAAGATATTGGTTTTAGCATTTATATTTGCATTGTTTTTATTTTTTTTTGAGACCGAGGTACAATGGCATGATCTCAGCTCACTGCAACCTCCGCCTCCCAGGTTCAAGGGATTCTCCTGCCTCAGCCTCCCGACTAGCTGGGATTACAGGCACCTGCCACCATGCCCGGCTAATTTTTGTACTTAGTAGAGACAGGGTTTTACCATGTTGGCCAGGCTGCCACCATGCCCGGCTAATTTTTGTACTTTTAGTAGAGACGGGGTTTTACCATGTTGGCCAGGCTGGTCTCAAACTCCTGACCTCAGGCGATCCGTCTGCCTCGGCCTCCCGAAGTCTTTATGCATTTTTGTGGTAGAATTAAAATATGAATACATAAACTAGCAGAATAACCACTTCTGGTCAGTGTCCACTTACATCTGTCAATTTAAGTCCAGAACAACTGGACATCCCATCTGATGGTACCCTATCCTAGTTTGTAAACTGTGTAAATTATCCATTACCCATGACTCCAAAACCAAAAACCCTCCATGAAATTGGGCATATCGAGTGACAGCTTTTACATGTTGGTAATTCTTTGTGGGTGGAAGTTTGAGATTAATTATATAGCATGCTTTACAGTGACAAGGAATATTTTAAAATTTTTATTATGAAAATTTCAAATTTACATAGAAGAGTTCAGTGAACTCCACATGCCCTCATCCAGATTCAACAGTTATCAAGATCATGCCACGTTTACTTTATCTAGGAACGTAATTTGTTTCTGAGTGTGAAGATCCACAAGTCGAACAGAAGTTGAGTTTTCCATTATTCCGTATGACTCTGCTAGGGCAAGCAAGGGAGAGAAGAGAGTTGAAGGTGTGCCTTGGAGCACCGCAGGTGGTGAGGAGGGTCAGGGCTTCCACGCGGGGTGATGACAGTCCCTGGCCCGCAGGCCATTTCCCAGAAGCTCAGACAATACCTTCGGGCCTCCGCTCGACGGACTGCCTTGTCCACTCTCCGCCTGGGAACGGGGGTTCGTGGGAGCGCCTTAGTGGAAGTTTGTGGAGCTCGGGAGGTGGCATGCACAGGCGCCTCGGAGCGCGGCCCCGAGGGGCGCCGGCAGGCGAGAGGCCTGCACTAACCGGCCGTAAGCACAGCTCTTTTGTACTCTGTTTTCCCCCTAAAGACATCTGATGCCCCCAGTGAAGAAAAGCCAACAGCAGCAAAGCCTGATGGAGAGCATGCAGCCCGGGAAGCCCAGTGACTGGGAGCTGGAGGGCAGGAAGCACGAGCGGCCCGAGAGCCTTCTGGCACCGACGCAGTTCTGCGCGGCCGAGCAGGACGTGAAGGCGCTGGCCGGGCCCCTGCAGGCCATCCCGGAGATGGACTTCGAGTCCTCTCCGGCGGAGCCGCTGGGCAACGTGGAGCGCTCCCTGCGCGCCCCGGCCGAGCTCCTGCCCGATGCCCGCGGCTTCGTGCCCGCGGCCTACGAAGAGTTCGAGTACGGCGGCGAGATCTTCGCGCTGCCCGCGCCCTACGACGAGGAGCCGTTCCAGGCTCCGGCCCTCTTCGAGAACTGCTCGCCTGCCTCCTCCGAGTCCAGCCTGGACATCTGCTTCCTGCGGCCCGTCAGCTTCGCCATGGAGGCCGAGCGGCCGGAGCACCCGCTGCAGCCGCTGCCCAAGAGCGCTACGTCGCCGGCGGGCAGCAGCAGCGCCTACAAACTGGAGGCGGCGGCGCAGGCGCACGGCAAGGCCAAGCCGCTGAGCCGCTCTCTCAAAGAGTTCCCGCGTGCGCCGCCAGCCGACGGCGTGGCCCCACGCCTCTACAGCACGCGCAGCAGCAGCGGCGGCCGCGCGCCCATCAAGGCCGAGCGCGCCGCGCAGGCGCACGGCCCGGCCGCCGCCGCCGTCGCCGCCCGCGGCGCATCCAGGACCTTCTTCCCCCAACAGAGGTCCCAAAGCGAAAAACAGACCTATTTGGAAGTAAGGAGGGTAAAGTAAAACCGAACCGAAACCCACAGCGTCGACGGCCCCAGGCCTAGATCTGCAGGAAGCATCCCGAGTTCTCCTAGCGTGGAGAGGAGCGGGGCCGGGCCAGGCTAGGGGGCGGCTGCGCGAGCCGTCGGCGGGTGGAGGCGGAGGGAGAGCAGGGGCAGCCCCCGCGCCCTGCGAGCTGTAGGCTGCTGGGCCCTGGAAGGCGAGTGGCAGCGCCTGTTCTCCAGTACCAGGACCCAAAGAGCTTGCCTCATATGGTACACGAGGGATGGCAGAGGTAGCAGAGAAGCCCGCCACTCTTTAGACCTGATTAACACACACGCATTTAGGGAGTTATGGGTAATCTCTTCCTGCTTATGTGAAGAGTTGCACTTTTTTCAGAGCCCCGCACGCAGGTCCCGGGCCAGTGTGTTTCTTCTGTCTGTGAGGTGTCGTTTCTATGTTGAGAATATGGAACACGGTGCGCCAGCCTACTCCACTTCTTCCCGGCAGCATTCTTGCTTGTAGCTAGGGAGGAGGCAAGTTGCCCTAGCTCAAGGTAGACTCGCTGCGCAATTTGCTGCAAAGCCAGCTTTATTTCTGCTTGCTTTTCTTTTGACTGGAAAAGAGTGTCCTATTAATTTGCAAACTCTATTGGGTCAGGGACATCCCAAAATAGAAACCTTCTTTGGCCTCAGTGAATGTTGAGGTATTCTGATGGCCAACCCCTGTGTCTGCAGGTCTACAGGTGTTTGATATTTTGGTGTCTAATTGTGGTGTCTGCAAGCCTGGAGGGCATTTAAAGAGGTCTTTAAATACTTATCCATGAAGTGCTAATAGTTTCTGAGCAAATAATTGCTCTGATCTGATTAAGCAGAGCATAAGTAACATGATAGTTCTGACCTGTGCGACCACCCTTCCGTTCCAACTATTCTCATTTTCGAATGGAAACAGTGATGACACTGACTTTTCTCATTCATTAATTTTTCAGCAAACACTGAGTTCTTGTCTTGTACCAGGCTCTGTGCTAATTGCTGAAAATTCAGAAATAAACCAGTCTCTATCCTCCGGGACCACTGGCTTAGTACAGGAAGGAGACACAGGAACACAGAATTATGTAATAAACTGTGGGAGCACATGGGAAGGATATTTAAAACCTTTGGGGTCATGGTGGTCAGAGAAGGCCTCCTAGATAAGTTGAATGTCCGAATTAGATTGTAAAAGCTGCCTAGAAGTTGGCTAGGGGAAGAGTGAGGTAGGGAAGCGTGAGAAAAGCATGGTGATGCCTTTTCTCTGGCATACTGTGCCATGTCAAAGTGGTGGAAATTAGGCCAGAGGAACAGGAAGGGGCGGGATCATGAAGAGCCTTGGAGCTTGCTGCCCACCTGCACTCCAGCAGTGAAAGTCTGTGTCTGGTCCCTGCAGAGGACAAAAACATGTAATAGTGTGCTCAGCTAAAGCTGCTGAGGTTCCCTGGGGTTCTCAGATTTTCCTCTAGCTCTGATTTTCAACCCCAAGCTTTGTAAAATTTGATTAGGCAGAATTTCTTGGAGAAATCAATCTTAGGCATGTGTCAGAGTTTAGAAGTTTATTGAAAGGGGAAGTAAATGGAAATTATAGTGCCAATTCAGTGTGACTTGGGATAAGCAGAGGTTTACATACAAAACCTTCTAACTAGTATAGTCTGTACTGTAAAGAACTTTTATTTCGTATGTAATAACAATGTCCTTTTGTAGTTGATTTGTGAAAAATTTGGGGTTCAACAATTGTAAGGCAAAAACCATTAATCAGAAATATATCTGAGAAGCAAACAATGAGTAATATATTTGTGGCTGTTTACCAGACATACCAAATAACAATAACAGTGTATCAGGAACCGTTAATTGCACATACTGGCCAGCAAGTTTCATCTCCTAACAGTGTAAGACATGCGTCAAGTCAGTTCAAAATGAGATACCAAGGAAATTGCAAATGGAAGTCAGTTAAAAGAGGCATTTTCTCTAGCAATATCATTAAAATTTTCAAGCATGCAAAGTTCCCATTACTTATTTCTGTTTCTAGACACAATTTTTCTTTCTAAAAACTTAAAAGGCCCTGGTTGTGGCCGGGTGCGGTGGCTCACGCCCGTAATCCTAGCACTTTGGGAGGCCGAGGTGGGCGGATCATGAGGTCAGGAGATCAAGACCATCCTGGTCAACACGGTGAAACCCCGTCTCTACAAAAAAAAAAAAAAAAAAAAAAAAATTAGCCGGGCATGGTGGTGAGCACCTGTAGTCCCAGCTACTCAGGAGGCTGAGGCGAGAGAATGGCGTGAACCCGGGAGGTGGAGCTTGCAGGGAGCCGAGATCGCATCACTGCACTCCAGCCTGGGAGAAAGTGTGAGACTCTGTCTCAAAAAAAAAAAAAAAAAGGCCCTGGTTATTAGAAGTCCTAGAGAGAGGTAGCATGCAGAGTGCAGGTGGGCAGAGACCATGTGGGTATACATATGTGCATGGGCATGTATGTGCACGTCTGCATGTCTAAGTATATATATGCATGTTTGTGTGTGTTGGAGGTGATGGTGGAATGGTGTTTTAGTTGCAAAAGATAAACCCCTTAAAAGCTCTATCCTTAAAGGTATCAACTCTTTGCTTTTGAGATGTGCAAAACTCCTAGTGTTTCTTCCCTTTAAATACTCTGTATATCTTTCACCCAGCCCAGCAGAGCTAGCCGAGACCTAGTCTTTAGTGTTTTGTCTCTTTTAGAGTCAAGAAAGAAGATGGTATGCTCTAGTGAGAACACGTGACTGTCAGGAGCTCTAGGTTCTAGTCCTGGCTCTGCTGCACAGTAGCTGTGTGCTTTTGGACAAGTCACTTGGCTTCTCTGTGCCTCCAGTTGTCTCAAAATAAAACAACCTATCTCACAGGGTTGTTGGGAGGATCAGGCCAAAGAAGATACAATTTTTGAGTAGGCTTTATAAAGTATGAAATGCTATTGAGATCATGGTTCCATAGAACGATTTTCCTTAAACCATTAATAGATTTAGTCACTAAATAGTCTCTAAAAGCCCATTTCTCAAAATATGGGGGTATTAGCAAATGCATTGCCTGGGAACTTGTTATAGATGCAGAATTTGCACCCCAGACCTACTGAATCAGAATTTAGGATCATTCGCGGTGATTGATATAAACATTAAGTGTAGGTGGGCAGAAGCATGCCTTAAGTCAGTGGTCCCCGACTTTTTTGGCACCAGGGACCAGTTTTGGGAAAGGCAATTTTTCCACAGACTGCGGAGGGGGAGGTGGTTTTGAGATGATTCAAGTGCGTTACAATTTATTGTGTACTTTATTTCTGTTATTATTACGTTGTAATATATAATGAAATAATTATACAACTCACCATAATCTAGGATCAGTGGGAGCCCTGAGTTTGTTTTCCTGCAACTAGACGGTCCCATCTGGGGGTGATGGGTGAGAGTGACACCTGAAGTGTGTCACTTATGTCCAATCTACTCTGTAATCTCATTTTGGTTGCTGTCACTGCAGAAAACCCTGCTTCACAAAGATGGGATGCTGGAAATGGAAGCAGGCTTTTCAGTGCTTTGTGGCAGTCTCATGATATTCTGCCTTGACTTTAATCCAGAACGTATGGAGATTTGAAATTATCTCAAACCTACTTTTAAGGCCACCAGATGCAGCTGTACCATTGAAGTTCATCAACTCACTTGCAACTGTAAAGACTGCCACCAGATGCAGCTTAATTGTCACTTGCCACTTACTGATAGGGTTTTGATATGAGTCTGCAAGCAATTGATTTATTATGGTCTCTGTGCAGTCTAACCTCTCTGCTAATGTTAATCTGTATTTGCAGCCACTCCCCAGCATTAGCATCATTGTCTCAGCTCCACCTCAGATCATCAGGCATTAGATTCTCACAAGGAGTGCGCATCCTAGATCCCTTGCATGTGCATTTCACAATAGGGTTTGTGCACCTATGAAAATCTAATGCCACTGCTGATCTGACAGAAGGTGGAGCTCAGGTAGTAATGCAGGCAATGGGGAGCGGCTATAAATACAGATGAAGCTTCGCTTGCTCACCCACCCCACTGCTCACCTTCTGCTGTGTGGCCCAGTTCCTAACAGGTCACAGACTAGTACTGGGAGTTGGGGAACCCTCCCTTAAATCATTCGTTTTCAAATCTAAGTGTGCGTAAGGATTACCTAGGCCTAACTGCAGAGATTCTGATTCACAAAGTCTGGGATGGGGCTCAAGAAGCTACATTTTAAATAAAGGCCCAACCTGATCCTGTAGTCACAGGACCGCACTTTAAGAAACACTGCATGTCTAGCTCCATGGTCTAGTTATGAATCTTAGTAGAATCTCAGAGAATTTCTGTATCTGCAACCCCCAGTTCTCAAAGTCAGACCCATATGTTTCCCGAAAAAAAAAAAAATCCACCCTAACACTTTGCTTCTCTGTCAGCAAGCAGTCACCTATCTAATTCATGAGACTTTTAGGGCATCATTGGTGTGGTTTTTGCTTTGACTTCTTGGGGTTCTCTAAAGGTTATTCAAAATTCAGCAGCTGTTTTTAAAGTTGCTCTTAAATTATAGTCACCTCAAGGTAAATACTTTGTTCGTATGGAATATAAACATGTATATAAGTGCATATCTGGCTTGTATGCATATAAATATACATGCACTTCTATTTAGCACATCTCACACTTAGAAAAAACTAGAGAGGTCACAAAAGATACAGCCTTATTTTTAACTTATTTTACTTTATACTCCAAATAGCATGGGTTAAGAATTGTAAAAACTGTATTACAGGCATATTTTCAGGTTGAAAGTATTAGTTGACATTTACTTCTAAACAGGTCTGACTTCTCAAAAATGCCTTCCCTCGATTATGCTTAAAATGGAGAGTTAGGAACATGAGTTTAAAACTAGCATTACAAGTAAGGAACATCCTTATTTTGTAGAAAGAGAAACACCTGGAGATAAGAGGGGACTGCTACTGGTTTTCTAGCACGACAGTGTTGGTGTCAAAATAATAATTTATTCACTCGTGGAGGACGTTCTTGCAGTCTTCTTTTAAAGTCCACTTTTTAAACATTAGCTAATGTTCTTTATTTCCTTATCTTTAATTATTGTTATATATTACACTAGACTATTTGCCTTGATACATAGAAAATACTACACTCAGCAGGAAATTATCCTCTTTTCGCCTGCTGGTTTCTTCATTAGCCTAGGTTTGCTTTAGTTGGGATTGGGTGCCCACTGGTAGTCTTTTGGCATGGGAGAGGAAAGTCACAACACCACAAAATTGTCCCATAGTCAGGATCCATAATAACATTGGAAGGAGTAAAGAAAAAAATCCCTCTTTTTTGTTTCCAGGAGATGCATTTAGAAGATACTACCAGATTCTGTCCCAAAGAAGAAAGAGAAAGTGAACAAACATCTTTCAGCGATCAAAATCCCAGGCAAGACCAGAAGGGGGGCTTTCGCAGCTCCTTCCGCAAGCTCTTTAAAAAGAAGTGAGTAGCCCTTAGACAAGACAGCATTGTAACTCATTTCCCTTTGGGCTAAATCTTGAGGTTTTAACAATAATAAGTATCAAGTAGCCTGGTCTCACACAACTGCTTCAAGTACAGTGCCTGCACCCAGTAGCCACAGTTCCGGCGGGGTGAAGATGTTTCTCATTGTAATATCCCAGAGTAGAAGCAAACTCAGCTCTCTGCCCTGCCTCTTCTGTCTTTTATCCCTCCTTCCTTGTTCCCAAAGTCATGTGTCTTGAGAGGAGTGGGCAGAGGTGGTTCCCTTGAGAAATGAGCTGGTGACAGTCAAAGCCCTTTTAGACTGGGAGGAGTGGGATCCACTATTGGGGTTGGGTGTCATGGGTGCTCCATCAGATCTCCCCATCTGTGGAAAGTTTTCTAAGGGATCTCAGCGCTTCTGCATTTAGGGGCCTGTTGTCATCCTGGGTGCCAATTCATGTTTATTAGGACTTCTGTTAGTGCTTTCCCTGAATGAGTGGATTTGGCTTGGCCCTAGTTAGAAATCACTTTAATGGAGTTTCTGTATTCCATAGGAGGCAAAAATAAGGCATTTTCCTCCTGTGGTCCTTCTGAGATTCTAAGTCGTTGTTGTGTAAAACATCACCCACAGGCATTTTGGTCAGCACTGTCTTACAGTCTGGGAGGCAGTGGCCAAACCCCAGCATAAAATGTAAGGAAGAGAGAGGTGAGCATTAGCATTTGACTGTAGAGGGATCTGCCAGTCCAGCCACTGCCTGCCTGAGAGACTGCTGTTTCAATCTCCACTGGCTCAGCCTACCTCCCTCTCCCTTAGAGAGATTTTTCCTGCTGCTTAGTTACTCTTGGTGGAGGATGTTCTTGCAGTCAGTTTTAAATAACAAGTCTTCATATTTTAGTAGATGGAAAAGTTAAACAGAGGCATTATTGCTGCCTTTGGAGAGTTGCCAATAAGTGAGGAAGCACAGGGAAATCACCTTTTCCTTGAAGGTCGAGGTCACTGGCTGATTTAGACTGTGGTCCTCATGGAGGAATTGGGGGCAACCCTGGAGTGAGGACTTTGTTTTTGCTGGTTTGTCTAATTGTAATTATCCTCCTGTGGGGAGGGTGGTACTGAGATTAGTGGGCCTCTGACTGTTGGTCTCTCCCTGTTGTTACTGGAGAAGGGGGAAGAGGAAGGAAGAGCGACAGCTCTGCATGTAGCCATAGCCCTGCATTCTCTCTCAGTTTTGCTAAGGAACCCAGTGCATGCTTGCATGCTGCTTTGCTGGATCCTCAACCCACCTTACTCAGGATTTGAAGAGTTGAGAATTGTATTCCTCTTTCTAGGATCATATAGACTTAGATCTTTCTTGACCCAGCGCCAACATCTGTCAAGTTGACAGGGGTGGGAGAACCTGGAAACAGACACCTCTCCAGCCCACCCTGATTTAGACTCCTGAATCTTTCTTGAGACGGAGTCTGGCTCTGCTGCCCAGGCTGGAGTGCAATGGCGCAATCTCGGTTCACTGCAGCCTCTGCCTCCCAGGTTCAGGCTATTCTCCTGCCCCTGCCTCCTGAGTAGCTGGGATTACAGGTGCCCGCCACCACGCCCTGGCTATTTTTTTTTTTTTTTTTTGTAGAGACAGGATTTCACCATGTTGGCCAGGCTGGTCTTGAACTCCTGACCTCAAGTGATCCATCTGCCTCGGCCTCCCAAAGTGTTGGGATTACAGGCGTGAGCCACCGCACCCGGCCAGACTCCTGAATCCTTCTAAGGACTGCAAAATCCTAAGGGCACAGCTTGAGCCTATCTTTTTTTTTTTTTTTTTTTTTTTTTTTTAAACCACAGTATTCCCACAACAAACAGCCATTTTTTGCCCACTGTCATTTATAATGACTGGGTGCTGTCTATTGGAAAACAATGAGCAATAGATTCACCACTGGTCCCTTTACTAATTCCTATTTATCAGAGAGATGTAAGAAAATGTTTTGCCAGTGACATGAGGCAGAGGGAGTGGATTTGTCCTCTCTGGATTCAGAGGGCAGAACTAGGAGCAGTGGCTAAGAGGAAGAATTTCCTAAAAATGCAGCTGCGTGGAACTGGAGCTGGCTGCGTCATGAAGGAATGGATTCATGGGATGCCTCTGGTCAGGGATGCTATGAAAGTGGTGCCTGCATGGAGTGGGAGATTGTTTAAAAAATCACCAGAGTCCTTTCTAGTGTGGAGATTTGCTTTATCTGTAGTTTGACTTTGTTGTAGCTTGATCTGAGTAATCACATCTTTATATCACCTGAAACAAGAAATTAATGAAGCCTTGGGACCCATAATTTTGAAGCCCTAGCATGTAGAAGACCAGGTTTTATCTTTCTGTAGCTCCCCACTGACCTTGGTATAATGTAGAGGACTTGCTATGGGCTCTCCAAGTTCATGTTGGTTAATTGCTGTCAGTCCTCTTGTGGCTGTTCGGGATTCTCCTTAGATAAAGAGCCAGTGGATTCCCTTAGTCCTCTTGTCCTTTCTCATAGATCAGTCCCTCCTGCATCAATCATGTTGCCACCACCAATACTGGTGCTGTCCTTTGTATTTAAAATCCGAAGTGTTGTCTGAGTGGAAGTAAAGGTGGAGCCACAAAGAAGACTGTCTGTCTGGCAGGATTTCCTGGCTTTTTAGATCTGGCCTAGGGCAGTCAGTACCATCAGGTGCTTAGGGTGCTGCAGTGGGCACTTTGGAGACTTTGCATGGGTTGAAGAGGCAGCTTAAGTAGCGTTTTCTGAGTGTTTTCATATGAGGACCATGGAAAATTTGCTCCATTATAAGGTAGAGAGGAAGGTCAGGGAGGCCCCAGTGTAGCACAGGAAGGGCAGTGGCTTTTAACTCAGATGAGAACACACCATTCTTCTCATCAATTAAGCATTCAATCTTACATGCATGCACTATGCAAGACACTTGTATAGGAACCATGAGCGACATAGTCCCAGCCATTACACAGGAACTTGCACTCTGAAGTCAGGCCTGTGGACAGGTATAGGAAGGAACCAGAAGAGACATTCAGCCCATTTTCCTCCTGCGTGTCAGGAGGTCAGGCTGGCAGCAAGCCCTGGGACTTTAAGAAGTGGCCAATCCTGAGTACTGGAACCATTGCAGAGCCTGGCCTCACAGGTCCAAATGGGCCAGTGCCAGCAAAGCCACTTGTGTCATGTCTGGGGCTTGCTACCTTCCTCCCCCACAGCCCTCTGGAGGCTTATTCCTGTCTACACTGACACACTTTTTGTTCCATAGGGGCTTGTTTGGCTGGTGGCCCCACACACCCAGAATGCTGCTTCGGGATGAAGCTAGGCATGGAGCCAGATGCAGCAGAAAACCTGAGAAAGGGTTCTCTTCCCTCTGAGGCTGGGAGGGCCGAAGGCTCATACCCACAAGGATTCAAAAGGGAGAGTCAAGTTGACATCATTAAAAAAATCCTGAAAAATGCCCAAAATATTTGGGGAAAAGAATGACCTTCTGATTGTTTCCATCTCAGGCACATTTGTCCTGGGCAGACACAAGGTCACATGTCCCTGAAAGGTATCCATAATTGATCAGAATAAAGGCTACATATCTTAAAGTTTGGAAATGTTAAGTGATTTTACACATTTTAAATGAGGATTCTTAGAGGGAACAGACTTACTGTGGTAGGCTGATGTTAGCTAGACCAATACTTATTCCCCTGCCTTTGAGCAGGATGGAAGGCAAACTGTCCCATTCTAGAAGGATCTATACAGAGGCTGTCAAAGACTTAAACCTAGATTATTGTGAAGTCTGAGGCAAATGATACTTCATCTTAATATATACATCTTGCAACACTTAATGTTAACGCGTATTCTTGATGGCAGATGTGGCAGTGGGGAAGAGGATCACGTGAGATAACTTAGGAGTAGGGAATGTAGATGGTACTCTCTCTTTTTATCCTTAAATTTTGGGATAGTGGAAGATAAGGAATATGGCTTCCAAATGATTAATTCTACTTCCTCGCTCATTCTCTTCCTCTTTAGCACTTTAAAATTTACATGTGTCAGAGTGTCTCCCTTCTCATCATCACCCTCCATTAATCCCATCACTGTCTATTTTCTTAATCACACACAGAGAGAGTACTTCTACAGGGCCCCGTATGTAATCATTTTATCTCAGTGAATCCTCTTCTTTTGGTGTCTTCCCAGCAGTTTTTGTATATGCCCAGCTTCAGCTGTTGAACAGACCATGTAATAGAAAGCAGGGCTGCTAAAGAATCCATTGATAAGTTTATCTCACCTATTCTGTCTCCTTAAAGCTCATTTCAAGTCCCTCTCCCACTCTTACCCACTTTGGGGTTCTCTCTCATTTTCCATTTCATTTCCTATATAACTTGAACATTAAAGGGGATAATTGAAGGGGTAAACATTTTAGATTACTTAACCTTAATTACAAATGTTTCTCAATAAGCCATTTGAAATCAACCATTCAATTAAGTGTCTTCAATGTACTAGGTTCTGTCCAGCACAAAAGATGTAAGAGAAATAGTTCCTGCCCATTAGGAGCTTACAGATCAATTTAAGGATAACCTAACTATTGATACAAGGTATAGTACGTAGCACATAGTAGGCACTCAACAAATATTTATTAAATGAATGCTCATTTCCTTTGGGCTCTCCAAACTCATGTTGGTTAATTGCTGTCAGTCCTCTTGCAGCTGTTTGGAATTCTCCTTAGGTAAAGGGCCAGTGGATGCCCTTAGTCCTCTTGTCCTTTCTCATATATCAGTCCCTCCTCCATCAATCAGATTGCCTCCACGATACTGGTGCTGTCCTTTGTATTTAAAATCTGAAGTGTTGTCTGAGTGGAAGTAAAGGTGGAGTCACACAGGGCTGTTGCTTTGATTACCAGGGCTGACTGACTGGCCAACAGGATGGGTGTTTCCTTGCCCCTTTACTTCTTGAGACAGATGCATGTCTCCTAAAGCTTTCAAGGAGGATAGTCTTTCCAATCAGAGAACCAAGCCTTCTTAAATCAGAGGTTTTTGCAGCACTGGATTCAACTACCCCCATCCCCAGCTCCAAACAAAAGGTTTATTTATAGCAAATCTAGACTTGGTATGACCTACTGAATTTGCTATTTTCTTTGTCACTTGAGTGAAAGGAAAAGTTAGCAACAGGTCTGTTGTCTTTTCCTCTTTCCATCAAATACTTGGATGGTTATGTGTCAGTATGTCCTGGCAGCCATGGTACCCTTCCCCAGCGAGTGTTTGCCTGTCCCTACAATGTCTGCTCAGATGTGCCCTGCAGTCGGCCACGGTGGCTCCAGGAGCTCAAAAGCCATTTTTGTTTTATAGAGAAAGGGAATAAAAGCAAATCTGCTGGCCTTTTCTCCTTGATCCTGCAGGTTATTTCCTAGTAATTTAGGTATGCAAGGTATGCACTACTTCAGAGCCTAATGGCCACACCTTTGGAAGAGTCCAGGTGGCCACGTATATGTAAGCGTTATAAAGAGGTCAGTTAAAATGGTCTTTACAAGGATGAAAATGAGCTTTTAGTCATGGCTATAGTAGAATGCTGGATTTTGAAAAGGATGAGCAATTTAGCTGTTAGTTTAATTAATATCAAGAAATGCAGAGAAATTCAGACATTGGAGACATAGGGAAGGTACAATTTGTGAGAAGAGCAGTTAAAAAAATTTAAGCTGAGTTTATGGACTTTGAAAACTAGACAGGGCGATTTTGGCATTTGTTTCAGAAATGGGAACGCAACTGG
Organism: Homo sapiens; assembly: GCF_000001405.40. NCBI lineage: Eukaryota > Metazoa > Chordata > Mammalia > Primates > Hominidae > Homo > Homo sapiens. The sequence continues at coordinate 38,971,888 of NC_000002.12, forward strand.
TGAAGATTTCTGTGGTCCTTGGGGCTGGTGGTGACATCAAAGCTTTCCTATTTTCAGGTAAACACTAAACAGTTGCATGTTGGAACCATCAAAGTGTGACATGTTGGGTTTTGGATAGACCAGATGTAGCTAAGAGGGGAAATACGAGGCAAAGATTTCAAGTTTTGAGTAATGACTTTCTGATGAGAAACTGTCCTGTGGGGGAACAAGAAGAAATAGCAGCCCAATTCAAATCCTGCCCCTGACCTCCTGCCCCTAAAACATAGGCATTCCTAGTCTTCTGAATAATGGAAGACATAGAGAAAGAATGAGATGGTCAAAAATATATCTTCCTAAATTTGGGGCACAACTGCACTCATCAGGGATGATTTGAACTGGAGGTAAGGGGGATCTGTGAAAGACAAGAGAAGGCCCGGAGTTTTAGGGTGGGCCATGTGGAGGCTCTTTCAAGGGAGAACTCGGGGGGGTTCCTGAAAAGGAAGAGAACCTCATCCCACCCAGATATCTTGCTTGATGAGTATCCAGATGTACTGGAGTTGAGAGATAGAGTAGTTTTTCCTCTCTGCACTGGGATGTAGTGGAAAAGTGTTCCTTACCAACCAGAAGTAGAAAGCATGGTGGGCGGCTATGGCTTCATCTGTGATATTGAATATCAGAGGGCAAAGTGAAAATACCTAGTCAGTCATCAGGTTTCCAGACATTAGGGTTTTTAGTCTTTGTGGATCCAACTTCTTTCTTTGAATAATGTAAAGAGATGTTTGAATTCTGCCCATTAATTCAGTAAATGATAGTCATGATTAACTTATCTAATAACAAGAGTGAGGACTCAACAGTAGCAAACCAATGATAGTACAAGGACTCGGAGGCCCTGGATCCTTCTTTGGTGGATAGTGGAAGCATACCTGACAGCCTCAGCATATGGAGAACTTGGTCAGTTGTATAGAAGCTTTGGACAAGCAACTTCATGTCTAACATCACTTTCATACACCCTGCATGAGGTTTTTTGATATTGGTTCTTAGTGTCTGGACTAGTTTTACCCATTCTAGGTCAGAGTTTAAGCTAGCCAAAGGGCCCCAGTCTAGCTTATCAGAGGTTATTTCCAGAAAGCCTCCTCCCTCCAGGGACTTCTGACATGAGAAAACTGGAGAAGGTGCAGAGCTGGAATGGATTACCCAAGTGGCTTAAGCAAGATAAAGGAAGAATGCACCCTCGACTGGGGACTCAAATGGACTGATCTGAGTTGTTGACTATTGATTGGCTTTGGTCTCTTTTGTGGTGGTTGAGATTATAGTATCTCTGCAATCTGATTACTGTACGAATTTCTGCATTCTACCAAATGTAGCATATATGTGTGGTTGGCTTCAATAAATCTTTCATTTAACAATGAAAACAAGCAAGAGTTTGTAATGTAATGCCAAATTCAGTGAAGGTCCTTGATAACCTTGGTTGAGAACCATGATTTCCATCCATTTTAATTTAAGATCCTTGATAATTTGTGGAGTTGTTACTTCATTGAATCAAAAACAGGATTTCTTGAATTTTCTGAGCTTTTGTTCCCCTATTATGATGTTATTACACAATATCTTACACTGACATATACAATTGTCACAATTGTCCCCATAAAGCATTAGAAAGATATTCTCTTTATGTTCAATGCAAATCTTAGATACACATGTCCTAAGTCATGAAATTCAGGGGAGTAAAAAGTATTCCAGTTCTAGGAAGCAACTGTTTTACAAATGCAAAACAATTGGGATAGATAAAAATATTTGAAAACAATTAAAACCAAATCAACCTGTACTTTATCTGTGTGCTGAGATTTTAGGTCCAGTGGATCAGAATACAGGGAAAAAACTAATGAGAATCCCTCAATGGATCCTTCACCCACCAAACAAGATTTCTTCAGAAACCGACTTGCTCTTGCAAATGACCTTGACCAAGGAACAGCTGTGTAAAACATACTTAAAGTTGTATTGTCAAGTGGTAAGATGAGGATAAAAAGCTTGTATATATCTGTGTAGGAATATATATATATATCTATATCTATATATATATATATATCGATGTATAAATCCCTGAGGAAAACTAATATAAATACTTACATATGAAACTAAACATACAAGACATTGAAGAGATGAAGATTAGTTTCTGGTTAAGATCTGGCTTTTTGAACCTCAACACTGGGGAAAAGGGAAATGAAGACTTTTCACATCATTACAGAAAAACACAATAAATTTGGAGGAAAATAAATGTTTGTAAGAATGAAAACTTCCAACTTGAAGTCATTCCCCGAGTATAATACTGAGCATGTTCATATTTAACATGGATTTGAATTTTATGCTTCCTAGGCATTTAACTTATTAACTCATCCAGTGTTCTTAAACTAATATACACTATGTTAGGGGCCAGTTCTGTCTTGCTTCATGTCTTCCAAAAACCCTAAGGCAATATCTAACATCCCTTAAGGCAAAGGATTAATTAACAGAACTGTATTTTATATGTTGCATATCTGAGTTATGGAGAATTTGTGCTTAAACCATGATTCAGAAGGTTCAAAGCTTAAAAACACATTGATCTCCAAACTTGTTCTGTGGTTATGGAAATCAGTAAAGGGAACAAGGATTTCTGTAGAAACTGGGGAGAGAGGAAGGCAAAGAAACATTTTCCCTTGTGTGGGTTGAGCTGAGGATGGAAACAGTCCAGTCTGTGTTTTATTGAGTACTCAGTATTCAAGACCCACTCGTGATCTTGAGTGTCACACACACTCACAACCAGATGGACTAGGAAAAAAGCAGTGATTTAGCCACATCTTGTTAAAAAGACTTTCTGCAGCCTGAAAAGAAGGTGGCAATAGCACCAAAACTTCAATGGCTCACACACAGCAGTTGCTACAAACAGCAGGTCAAAGTGAAAATTCAGGATTGCAGCACTTGACTGTTTTCCTATTTTGTAAAGAAACCAAGCTCTTAAAGCTTAGAGGAATCAGATTGCAACGAGGCCTGCCTGGCTCTGGGGTGATAAAATGTGCTCTGTTTCCACATGGATATGTGCAAGATGGTCAGCATCCTTGATATGCCCCAAACATCAGATTTATAATAGAAAAAAAATTGGGTTTAAACAATTTGTCTTTATTCCCAGGCAGTTCGGTATAGTAAATTAGGGGTATTTGGTTTCTGTTCATTCAAAATCTTGGTACTCAAACTGGTGTCTTCAGAAGCTGTTCCTCTATTGAAGCGTTTGTTGATAAAATAGGCAAAGGTTCACATGTAAGTGTTGCAAGTTTTCTTCTCCTTGTCTGATGACAAATTAGGAACTCACCTACTGCGTTTTGAATAGTAGTTGTCTGGAACACATAAAGGATCACTGCCAAGTTTTTTGAGTTTCCAGGATCTAAGTTTAAGCCAAGATTTTTGTTTCCCAGAAGTTTATGAATTCATTTGAAATTAGATTTTTCTCTTATTATGTGGCCGGCAGTGCTTGCAAGCACAACGCCAAATCGACTGGACGTGGAAAGTGAAATACTACAGAAGTCACAATCTATTAAATAAAATGTTAACATAATAAAATTCTTTTCCCTTTCATCTTCTGTTTATCACTAAAATTGATCAGTTAGTAGAAAGGTTTAAAAACTATCACACACTTCACCAATTTTATTTTGGCAGCATCCTCTGAAAAATCTTGATGCTACATCTGTAGCATAACTCCAAAATAATTGAGTTGTATTTTATGAAACTAGCTTATGAAACTAGTAATAATTAACGCTGCTACGTACTTGCCTACTCTCCAGGTGAGTTCCCATCACTTGATACCTGAAGTTTTCCTGAGGTTTCTAACTGTCTCCAAGTACTCTTTGCTCCCATCTATCCTGCATGTCTCTAATACGGTATTCCCAAATATTGCTTTATGTGAAACTCTTCTGTTTTTACTTGTCTACAGTGAAATTCCAAACTTCTTGATGTGACATCCAAGGCTTGCTCTCTCCAGTAAGGCTTTCTTTCTTTCTGGCTACCATCTCATATTTTTCAGAGTCCTAGGTGGACTGACTTACCTCAAGTAAACTGGGTTTTTACCGTTTCCCAGTCAGCTGTGCACCTTCCCCAGGCTCACTCTTGCTTCATGCCCTTTCTCTAGTTCCTTCCTCTCTGCCGATCTTAAGACCCAGTTTAAGTGTCTTCATCTTTTTGTGACTTCTTGTGGTGTAACTTGTTTATCTCTTTATGTGTTTGTTGTGTCTTCCCAGTAAGAATGCAAGTCCCCTCAAGGGCAGGAACTATGGCATATATTTTTAAATTCCTTTCCACCTCTAGAAGACTGCATAGTAGGTGCTCAATAAGTAGCTGATGCCAACATTAATGGTGGTGCTTTAATAAGCAGAAAGCTACAGAAAATAATTTTTACTCTTAATTTGACAGAGAATTCAGTTATCACTCTACCTCCCTGCCTTTTTTTTAAAGAAAAAATATCAGTCATGAAGGAAATATAGTTGCCTTCAGAAGCAGTTAAAGCCACCACTGCCACTTTCACAACATCTAGCATTAGAAAACATCTCTCCAGTTTAAAAAAGGTCGTAGCTCACTGCAGCTTCAAACTCCTCAAGCAGTCCTCCTGCCTCAGCCTCCTGAGTAGCTAGGACTATGGGTGTGCACCACCACACCTGGCTGATTTAAACATTTTGTAGAGACAAGGTCTCACTGTGTTGCCCAGGCTGGTCTCAAACTCCTGGGCTCTAGCTATCCTCCTGCCTCAGCCTCCCAAAAGGCTGGGATTATGGGTGTGGGCCACCAGGCCTGTAATGTAATGTTGCATTATGGCCTAGTAATGTACTGTTGCATTACATTAAATAATGCATGGATGGAGCAGTGTGGAAAAGAACTTGACAATGACTACATCTGTGACCTCCAGCCCTCTGGAGAAGTGCACTTTACATAGGAGACCACAGATGTCTTTGAGAAGTATTTGGGTTGATAATCAGAAAGAAGCACTCTACCAAAAGATGAAGTAGATATTTTGCACAGGCTAGGAGTCGCAATAGGCCCTTTCTACAGGCTTGCGAGATCAGTATATATAGGCCCAAGCAAGGACTGCCCTCCTTCTCTGACTACAGAATTGGAGCCTTTGAGAACCAAGGATTTGTGGACCAGTACTCTAGGGTTCTCCCCAGTGGGCTATTTCATCCCATAAGAAATAGTTTAGTCTGGGACCTGAAACTAGAACATCAGGGAAACCCTTTGAGTGTGTTTTCTATAGCAACTCATGTCTCATTTCCTCACTGCCTTTAAGTCTTAACTAATACATCACCTCCATGAGGGCACTTGTAGAAAATGCAGATTCCTGGGCACCATTGCAGTCCCACTGTATTAGAATATCTGGAGGTGGGGGCCTGGAATCTGCATTTTTAAACCTTTAGGTTCGGGGTACATGTGCAGGGTTGTTATACAGGTAAATTGTATGTCATGGGGGTTTGGTTTACAGATTATTTTGTCACCTAGGTAATAAGCATAGGACCCGATAGGTAGTTTCCCAAAGGAATCTGCATTTTAATGCAGTCCTGCGAGTCATTTTCCCACTGAAATTTTAGAGATACCACCTATTAGACCAATAAATAGTATGATCTAGTATGTAAGTTTCAGCACTCAGATTCTATTCGTAGACTGCATTTTAAAACAGAATAAAGAACTGATTCTTGAGATACAGAAAACAAACTGTTCATTGAAACCCAGTGAGTATTTTTGTATTCGTAATTGTCTGTAACCTTTGCTATCACACACAGTAAGATTCTGATTTAAGAATATACATATGCACATCATCATTACTCTATAACTTGGTAAAATTGACTGTATATTCCAGATAACCAATTGCATGCACTTAGAAAAATGACAAATTTTTCTGCATTAAGTTGTATCATAAAATTAGGTCTAGTTTTCAGATTAAACTTTTTCTTGAAACATCACCATTAATAACTTTCTGCCTGAGCCTAGAAAAATAATGCTTTTGGTACAGTTGGGATTCTCTTATCCTGAAAGTTCATTTGGAGGTGTGAGAGCAGCATTCTCAGCATCTGAGCAGCCTGATATTTATAGTATATGGGCTGGTGAGTCTCACCTGGTGGGGATGGGTTGGGAGGAAAGGAAGGGAGAGGTACAGTTTTTCAAATAGGGGTATGGATAAAAAGAAGGTTGAGAAAACTGATGGAGACGTATATATTTTAAGGGAAAAAAATAGAAATTGATGTGTAACACTACAGCTGAGTTTTAAATATAGAACATAAAGGGATGAATTTAGGCAATACTAAAAATATGTTTGTGGGAGATTGTCAGATGTTCAAAATAATCAAAATTTTTATTCCCAAACCAAGTAACTTTAAAATCTGTTGTTTTCCAAGAGCTTAGTACATAATCTTTAATAAGTCATCTAAACTTGTTCCTTATCTACAAAATAGAGATTTTTATGCCTTCTTGCCTCATTCCCTTCAGATATATAGTAGCTGTAAATGCTCTTAATTCTTATCAAGAAAACTGAATGTGTTGGGTTTCGTCTCATGTATGTAAGCCTATCTATCTGAAGATGTTAATAGGATCTACTGTAAAGGACTGTTGGTAGATACCATCTGTGCTTCTGTCTCTTCTCATTATCACATTTTTCTTTCAACTGGGACAAACCGTTCAGCATACAAACATGCTCTTATTTCTCCCATCTTTAAAGCAAAAGAAATCCTCTCTTGACGGTTCTAGCCATGCCCCAGTTTTCTGCTTCCCTTTCATAAAACCTCAAAGAGGAAACTGCTCCAGTTCCTCTCTTGCCATTCTTTATCATACTAGGGCCCAGGCTTTTGCCCACACCACTCCCCTGAACTGCTTGTGTCAAGATCACCAATGACTTCCACATTGTCAAACAAATGGTTCCTTCTCAGTCATCTTACTCTATCAAGCAGCATTTGACAGGCTGATCACGTCCTCCTTCTATCTTAACTAGGCCTCAAAGACACAACATACTCCTGGTTTTCGTTTTTCTTCACTGGGAGTTTCTTCTTGGTCTCCTTGCTGATTCCCCATCTCTTCCTGCCTTTTTTTTTTCTTTTTTTCTTAATTTTTTAATTTTAGAGACAGGATCTCCGTGTTGCCCAGGCTGGAGTGCAGTGGCTACTCACAGGCACAATCATAGCTCACTGTAACCTCGAACTCCTGGGCTCAAGTGATCCTTTCGCCACAGCCTCCAGAGTAGGTGGTGTTACCAGGCCTGGCTTGTCCCCTCTCTTTTAACATTAGAATGCTCCAGGGCTCTCCTTTGCTTAGAGCTCTTCTTTTTCTAGTCTATACTCAGTTCCTTTGTGATTTTATCCAGTCTGCTAGCTTTAATGTCTTTATGAAAGTGACTCCCAATTCACTATCTTTAGCCTATTCTCCCAAACTCCAGACTAACATCTTCAACTGCCTCCTTGACATCTCTGAAGATGTCTAATATATTTATTGAACTTAGTATGTCCAAGCCTGCTTCAACCATATCTTCCCCACCCCAGTTAATGGTAAATTTATCCTTCCAGTTACTCTGGCCAAAACCTTGAAGTCATCTTTAACAATTCTGTTTTTCTTACACCTCACATTCAGTCTATCAGCATATTGGCTGTCTTTAAAATATATCTAGGCCCTGACCTCTTCTTATAAGGCAGCTCCACTGCTATCACCCTGGTCCAAGCTATTTTCTATTGGGTTAGCCTCCCTATTCCCACTGTTTTATTCTCAACAGGGCAGCCAGAGTGATCCTGTTAAAATGTCAATCAGATCTTGTCCCTGGTTACTCTGCCACTAAGAAGTCAAAAGTCATTACAAGGGCTTTTAAAGCCTTAAGTGAGCTTTGTCAAACCTCTGATGGCATCTCCTTCTCTTCTGCCCACATTTATTCTTCTCCAGATACAAGCAGCGTCACTCTGCCTCACATGTACCAAGTACGCTCCTGCCTCTGGGCTTTTCACTGGCTGTTTCCTGTGACTTGACATAGTCTTCTCCCAGATATATGCATGTCTTGTTCCCTCACCTCTTCCAAGTCTATTAATGTCATCTCTATGAGGCAGGCTTCTGACCATCCCATTTAAATTTCACCTCCCCTGGACTTCCACATTCCTAGTCACCATATCCTTTTTTGTTCATAAGTGAAAACATTCGAATGTATAATATATTTATTTATTATGCTTACTACTTTTTATTGTCTGCATCTCCTCACTAGATTATAAAACCCCATGATGACATGTACTTTTGCCTGTTTTGTTTATTGCCATATTCCTAATATCAGAATTGTACCTGAAGAATAAATATTTGTTGAATGCTGAATAGTCAGATGGGCCCTTATCAAATGCTTATAACCTAAGGTCACTCAGAACTAATTTAAGTGATGATAAACAGCAAAGGAAATCATAAAGAATCAAATTATGAGGGCTTCAGAATAAGCAACCAACCTCTTAGAAGATACCTAAAAGCCAGTAAACTTTGACAATGCATCCCTCGTAACTTTAGTTAGCATTTACTAAGCACCTACTCTGTGAAAGGCATGTGCTTTACACATATTACCTTTAAACCTCATAATAGCCTCAAACAGTACATCTGTTAACCTCCTTGTATTGATGAGAAACAGATTAAATAACTAACTTCTGCAAAGACATGATTCCAAAGCACCTGCTTGTTCCTATCACATTGATTCTTCCTTTTCTTGATGAGTTACTGAGGTAGAGAAATTAGCTGTTAAGTGGGCTACAGTTTTTCTTGCCTCCAGTAAGAATCAAGAGTCCTAAAATGTTAGAATGGCCATAAACTGCTTTTTTGGAATTGTACTCTGTATTGAAGCCATCCTTCCCTCTGGACACCATGTGCAGCTATCAGCAAAAAGGCAGGCTTAACTATGGACTGTACCAAACAGACTAATCTGCGATGACCTAAGAGGATTAAAATAAGTTAAAAAGTAAATCACTGGGTTAAAGCTCAGAATAAGTGATAATTCAAGAGAAAATTCAGAATCAAGTTTAACAAAAACATTATTGTCCTATAACTATTAAATTTATTACCTAGAATATACTCGATAATTCATGCTTGGACTGCCACATGATATTGGCTAAGTCATCTCATTTCTCTAGGCCTCATCTACCTTAATTTTTAAATCAGGGGATTGGCTCTCTAAGGATTCATCAATTTTTACATCCTATAGTTCACACTGAATGACGGTACATTTGCATCATTCTTTAGTTACAACCCTAAACTCACATTTTCATGCCAAGCCTAGAAAAAGAATTGCTAAAGGTCAGGCTACCTCATTCCAGCAGATCTCAGCAAAAGCTGCCTGTCAGGGAACGTGATATCTCAAAACTTCTTTTATGGAATACAAATGCCTTAGCACTCTGAAACTTCATCCAGGTGACACTCAAGGTCACTTTAAATTACTAGTTTTCATCCCAGAGGCCTCCCACTCACTACAATCAATCAGCAGATTTGACACAGAGGAAATGTGGAACTTCTTTTATCCTTTTATAACTTGATACAGGAAAAAAGTGCCTCCAAAGAAAGACCACAATAAAAATGCAAAATATTTCTATATGGCATATATGAGCTAAATGAGAATCACTAATGATTTCAAAAATACTGCCCTCTAAAATAAATACATGCAAAAATAATACACTTGTGGGCTATGTAAGGCATTTTTCTTTATTATTTTTCAGTTTATCTTAGTAATGCCAGAAAAATAACAGCCGTTATTTTCACTTTAAATGCAAACCAAATACTGCTGCACACAGAGTACAAAGATTACCTATGAACATGGTTAGGTACAAAGGCCATATTAGATGTATAGACCACACTTTGTTCTTACATCAAAGACCGACCGACAGAGCAATTTTTTGACAATTATTTTAGCAAATAACCGTGCTACTAAACAAAGGCAAATACACATATATACACAAACACGTCTCAACTAAAATTATACATGTCACTTTGACAAACAAATTCTCTGGTGGTTTCACCAGATATTTGCACCCCAAAGTTCCCTGCCCAAATCCCGACCCCAAATGCTGACTTGATCTGAAGAAAAAAATTAGAGATGTTCTTAATTAAAGGCACATTTGGCAGCTACTGAAAGTGGCATGCATCTGGCACAGGTGCGCTCTCCCTAAGCCACACCACATGTACCTTCCATCATCTGTTATGCATCTTGTTTCTTTGAGTGGTAGTCCAATGTGACCCACTGTTAGCTAATTTGCTTTATAATTCTGCAGCAATTGGCTACTTAATGCACTATTTTCATTAAAGGCAAAAGGGAAATTTGCTCACAGTCGACAGAAAATGCACTTTACGGTGTCAAAAATGGAAAATAAGGCATGGAATTTACTAAACAAGTTACAAGTGCTTTTGTTGTTTAGATTTATAATATAGACTTCATGCTTCTTAAGTAGAGCTCAAAATATTTCATTGGCTCATGTATAAGGGATTATGAAATAATCTTAAAAGTTAGTAATGAGATGTTTCAAAGAAGAAAAATATTGAATAAAGTCATCATGTTCCCTTATAAATAACTTTACTGCATAATTCTTTCAGCCAAACCAATATTAACCTTGTGATGTTTAGTTACTGGTAAAGATTAATGCAATACAACAGGACCTATACTTGCGTAGTCACACAATATATGTTAAAAGAATAAGTAAACCTATTCACAGCAGCAGAATACCAAGAAATAAATGGTTAAACTGTTTCTTTCTAAATCTGAAGGAACAAAAAGGTTTTCTTCAATATGTACAACACTAATAAATTGGGACACTCCTCCTATTTTGCTGAGTCACTTAAAAATCTGAATTTAAGCTGTCATATTAGAAGACAAACAATGAAATACAAGATTAAGCTAAACTTGAGAATTAAGATCATGACCATAAATACCAACTAATTTTTGGTTTACATAAGGTAATTTTTGATTTATGGAGGGAAAAAAACCTTTAAGAATTTAGAATCATAATATAGCCTCCAGCTGACATAGTAATTGTTCTCTGGGCTGTTGTTGACTGTAGTATTAGTGTGGCATGCTCTTTGTCAAATTCAGATCCATTAAAGCATCCTTGAGTTGTTAGAGAATAGTAACCTACTAAACATAATTTGATGCCCAACAACCTTTAATTAAGCGAACTCTCAATGTATGTTTCCTGATAATGTGTAGTCTTAAAATACATCAGCCTTGAAATATTTTCATTTCTAAAAGAAATGTTCCACATTTTGGAATGTGGTTAACAAAAAGTCATGCTGCATTTACCCCCTTGTAATGTCCAGGATTCAAAAGCAGAATTTTGTAATGATGCATTTATCTCCTCAGCCATTTCTGGTCCCTGATTAAATAGATTTTCATTACTACAAGGATAAATTTGTCAACTAGTTAATGTTTCATATTGAGAAGAAGGCAAGGATGCCATTTTCTCACCTCCACCTAAGGGCATCCAATTGGCATTTTTCTAATCAGTTACCACTGCAGAAAATATTTTTACCTAAATGTAACAGTTCAGAATAAAAATATCCTCCATCCACAATGCATGTAAAACTGTTGCACAGTGAAGTGGTCTCCTAGAACCATGGGGTAGAAGAATAGTTCCCTTTGGGAGAAATAGGATTAGAACTCCAAATCTGAATTTTTCCTCTTTATAGACTAGATAGGTTGAAAAGGGGTTATCACCTTATTGAAGGCTAACACATTAGCCGAAGACATACTGAAGGGGGTCCAATGTGACTTTTACCAGGTTCTCATTTGGAATGTGCCTGGGGCAATTAAAAAGAGAAGTAATCCATGAGACATAAAAAGAGAAATCTTAGGGACAATGAGGCTGGCCCAGTATAAAGTCCAGGGAGATTCTGGACTGTCTATCATGATTAGTTGTAGCGGCTCTAGTAAGTTGGCTCACATAAATACTGTTGAATGGATGGTCTTAGGGACACTTTGCATCCAAGAGGGGATTTGAAATTAATGTTTTAGGACGCTTTTCAAAGAGGAAATATTTTATAAAGAGAAGAATGGCTACCATCATAGGAATGGTACAGATATTGAGAAAGGATTCAATTCTAACAAATAAATAAGAAAATAGGATAGACTGCTTAATGATGGTGCAGTTAACATACCTTCTGGTCTTAAAGGACTACATACTGTACTATCGTGATGTACATTTTATGCTCTAATAAATATCATAGGAAATTATTAAAGTACTAGGTTCCCACCATGTTGCAGCACTTCTAAAAATGTCTCTAATGGTGTGGTTAACAGAATTGCTGAAATGTTGCTTCATTATTCAGAGGATACATGCAGATGCTGATGAACCAGATAAACTCTCTAAGGATGGAATACTGCACATTTCACAGACATTATAGTGGAGATTAATAAAATGTTTTCTCTTCAACAAGGTGCATGCATTTCAGTCACAGTATTTGTTAGACTCAGAAGAACAGTACATACGCTTTATGAATAATCCATATTATGATAGTAATGATGCAGGTAGATGTTCTATTATGAATAGTTTTGATAAAGCAGAAAACCTCAAGCAAGGTAGAATGTTCAATATAAACCTTAACAAACTGTATACTTGTTGCTTAGGAACTTAAAACTTACTTACAAAGTTCTGCTTAAAAGATACCCATCCTATTCTAACCAAGTATCTTCCTATATGCCAAGCTGTGACTTTAGATCATTCTTTAAGATTAATACATATATCCAGAACTAGAAACCAAGGCGTACCACAAAACGTGCTTTTATGTTTAGTGTTTTTGTGTGTTTTTCAACTAAAAGAAATAAGAATCAACCATTTTCTTCATATAATAATTTAATATATGCCAGCCAAACAAAGTATTTGTATCTTTATTCAATTAAATTAAAACAGACCTGCCAGGTATATTATATAACATTCACTATATACATATGATTTAGGCAATGCAAGATAATTCTAGATATGCTGATTACTCAACTATGTGTAAAACATGAGCGGTGTCAGTGATGCCCAGCAAGTGCTCCTTTTCACATTGGGTGCCTGCATTTCCATGGTATGGTTAGAGGGATAGCTACGAGCCATGACATGGACTACCAGTAAACTTCTGTGGGAGAAGGAGGGAAAATGACAATCTAGCATAGATGAACAGTCTCCTAAATGCAAATAGAATAGTTGACAGTTATTTTTTTTTAAAAAGTTCTTCTGTCATGTTAATGACACAAAACTTCTCTTTTTTGAAGGCAACACCACCACATTTTGTTTGGGTGTGTGGGGACAGGTGGGGGGAATGCTCTTAAAATTGGTACAATTATTCCTAAAACAACAACAACAACAAAAAAGTACCTCTTTGGTGAAGCCTCGGTACCCATTCAGTTCACCGTAATAATCTGTAAACAGGCCTGTAGTACAGTGCCGGGCCTTGATTTCAACAAGGTCAGGTACCACAGCCTTTCCTCACAGTCCTTTGAGTGATTTTTAAGAAAATATTCTAAAGTAGAAGAGTAAAGCAAAGGAAAACAAAGGAAGATATTAAGATCCCTGTTTAAGTTTTTTTTTTTAAAAGTGCATAATTTGAATTACAAAAACTGTCATGTGGGCCTGCTGGACACTAGACTGTGTTTTCCATCCCTTTAATGATCACTTCACAAAAGATCACTTCACAAAAAGAGGACTCCTGCCTATTGGCCAGAAAAAGTCCCTTTATGATTTTCAGGTGCAATCAGTTGTCCAATTCCTCTAGGTCGGTCTTTCCATATTCTAAACTGGAATACCATTTCCATTGTATAATTACATCTAGGTTAAAATTCATTGTCTTATACTGCATCTTGAAGAAGAGTCGTTAGTGTTTGGAGTTCTCATTTTAACTCCTCAGTGCTGGCACATTCAGTGCATCCATTGCCAGCAATGGATTTGGGGCTAGGAAAATATACATCCCAGTACAGAGGAACTCAGGAAGAATGGGCATTCTCCAACAGTGGTGGTCCATCTCTGTGCATGGATGGGTGTGTGTGCTCCCTTTTGTAAGTTTTTGGAGGGAGTTTAGGGATATGTTGAGAAGTGCTTTGTCGTGGAGGAACAGGCGGCCCAGCAATGGAATGAAGGTCCACTTCTTGTGTCAATGGTGGTGATGGCAGATGCCTTCTTGTGCCGTGAGGAGAAGGTGTTTGAGGAGGAGGTGGTGTAAAGGGGGAAGGGCTGTTTGGGAAGAAGGCATTGCCATGGTCACTTTTTTTGCCCAAAGGGGGAGGTTGGAGATGTAGTGGTGAGCTTGAGAAAACATCAGGTGTCCTCACAGGTTCTCGTGGTGGTAATAAGGGAGGGCTTTCAGGAGGGTCTGAGATAGAGGTCCGGTCTGATATTGAATATCGTGGTGAATAGGCTTTTGATGTGGGTTGCCTAGGAGGAATGGCTGGGGGACTGTCCAAATGCTTAGACATAATCTAACAAATGAAAAGAATAAAATACACATTTATTAATAAATTTATGAAGTATCATGACTATAAGAATTAAGTTGGGGTTTTCAAACATGCTATTGGCAGGATGCTAAGTGTGGAACAGGGAGTTTTGCCATATGTTTTCTTTTTAATTAAAAAAAAATTTTTTTTTTTGAGACAATGCCTTGCTCTATTGCCCAGACTGGAGTGCAGTGGTGCAATCATGGCTCACTGTAGCCTCAACTTCCTGGGCTCAAGTGATCCCCCGACCTCAGCATCCCAAGCAGCAAGGACCACTGGCATGTACCACCATGCCTGGCTAATTTTTTTCATTTTTTGTAGAGTCAAGGTCTTGCTCTGTTGCCAAGGCTGGCATATGTTTTAAATGGGAGGTTCTGTCAATTCATAGAAAAAAAAAGTTTGCCGTAGTTTTTACTTAAATTTTTTTCCTCAAAATTTTGTTTGCTACTGCTTGCTTAGCTTATCACTCAATCTAAGATCATTTCTAATTTAGCATAAAGTACCTATTTTATAATTTTAAGTTAACTATGTTAACATTCATGAAGTTCTACAAAGAGTGTCTTGTCTTGACTTATCCTGGTGCTCTGCACTCTGGACAGCTTAAGAACTAATGAATTAAGTTTAACAGCTGGCCAAAAAGAAAAAAACAAAATTAAATAAGTAGAAATAATAGCTATTTTGAGCCTTTGGGGTCTCTTCCAAACCCAGAATTTTCATGAAAACTCCATTTAAAAGTATGTCAGATTTACTATTAAGGGCTCAGATAAGTAAATTTTAGCATATGTCAAAATACAGTTTGACTTATAATGTGCCTTCATACAAAGCTTCAGGACTTTCTCTGTATGCTTTTAAAGAACTGCTTGAAACCAAATTCCTCTTACTTTACAGATTAAAACTTTTGTTTTTTTCTGAAAATAACCATAGCCTTAGGTTTACAAGGGTCTTGAATGCATACCAAAAAACTACCTTCAGAAGAAAGAAACATTACTGCATGCTAAATCTATATGTAATCCTTGTTTAAACTATTAAGCCTGTATACTCTGAAATGTTAACTTATCCTAGTGAGAACTAAACTAGACAGCCGTTTATTATAATGAACTGTAATGATTCCAATTTCTACACAACAAGATTTCTTACTTTACCTTAGATGGTGAAGATTCTGCTGGGGCAGATTCTGGTCGTCTTCGTGGAGGAACAGGAGGAGGGACAGGCACTTCATCAGTGCCTTTGGTTAAACTTATAGATGATACAGAAGCAGATCCTGTGGGATGTTAAATTTTTAAGAAAAAGTCCACAGGAATTTTATTTCATTTATTTACCTTGAAAAGTCTTAGCTGGAAATTGCTTATAATTAAAAGTAATGTGTAGAAATACCAAAAGCTGTTCAATAAACCAATACCGAATAGTATTTCATTAAAGCAAACTGCCATAAAAGCATGCAGACATTTTTTAGCAGAATATTTAGAAAAAAGCTGCCTAAGGTATTCTGTTATTTTGCCTGAACAAAATAACATTCCCATGGTTACTCTATTATTGAAATTTTTAATTGAGTCTGATTCTCAGATGTCTGGGAGACAGTGAGCTACTGAAAATCTTTGGAATGGTAATTTTTAGATTCTATAATGGGTTCATTTTTTTCTTTGACTTTATTAGAATTTATAGAACTTCCCCACCTTACTGGATAGTCCCTGGGAGTAGAGTGTGTGCTCTTAACCACTCTCTCCAATGTCTCTCCCTAGCATTTCTCTCAAAGGATGCAAGGGAAAGAATCATAGTGTCTAGGTGAGGGGCCTCTCCTCATTTTGTTTAGTTATAGGCTCCCCTTTGCCTGTAAGCAAAAAGAGGCTCATTATACTCTAAATCCAAAAATTTTAACGGTGATGGCACTATTCAAGACAACGGAGGCAGCCCTGACCATGAAAACAGAAATTACACTAAAATCTAGTGAATCTGATTTAAGAATAAGTTGGTGGACTGGCACAAAAAAAGTAAGTAAAGCTACTAATTAGAACCTCTCTTACAGACATTTATGGTAACAAGAACATAAGGTAGGCATATAAATACACTTTGGAAAACAACACTTAAGTTAGTTGTTTATACCTACTATAAAAAAAGATGTGAAAAAAATACTTAAACCATCATTCAAAATTATAGTTGGCAGTTTTTTTTCCCTTTAAGCATTAAGCTTTTTATTTTGTCACATGTTATAAAATATAGAACTTAAAAAGAGTACTTTGTGTACTGATATTATTTAAATGATCAACATTTTGATCACCTACCTTTTTTCTTAAGAATATAGTTAATTCAGCTTGTAACTAGTATTTTCCATTGTACATATTTTGAAATTGTATGAAAGGACAGCAAAAAAATATTAGCTTAAATAATTAAAATAATGGAATTTAGTGACTTGTTAGTTTACCTTACAATTAAAATGGAACTTTATTTTGTTTATCAGTATTTAGGCTATACTTTGAATAATTACAATTATAAGAAAGTTCTTCTAAAGTCAAAAGCAGTTGTCTATAATCTATCCTGCCATCAGGCTAAGTATATTTTGTGATTTAGAAACTGCATGTAGCTGCCAGCATTCCCATATGCGCATGCATGCTCTTGCCTTTTTTTTTTTTTCAAAGTTGAGCATTAAAATATACTTAGAACTCTATAGTTGGAAAAAAGAAATGGTTAAATGTGGAAGCCACTTATTTAATATGTTCTTTTAAGAGAGAAACAAGGTTTTATAAAAAGCATGAGAAATATATAAATTTAAGCAAATCACTTATGATCTAAAGATAGCACAAGTGAAGGCCTCACTTCTAGGATGTTGCAAGCAAGGTACCAATGCTGCCAGACCCAAGAAGAGTTTTAGCAGGAAAGGTTACACTTGGTTTGATTTTTAAAGCCAAAGCAAGAATTATGAGTCTTAAACCAAATATACTAACTTGGGCCATGGGGCAGAGTAACTTGGATAAAGACGGTATCATTGCCTGTGAAAGGAAACAAGAAAAAGTAGATTTTTTTCTTTCATTGATATATTCAACTCATCTGCAAAAATTTGTATTATGATGAAAATGTTATTGTCATTGTCGTTTTAAAGAATGCTGTAACAGTTTATAGTAAAACCTCATTACTACTTACTTTTGAGAAGAAAAAAATGATATCATATTGGGAATTTAAGATTCCTTTTAGCTTTACTTGATTTCATAATTATTAAATGAAAAACATTCATAAAAAAATCGTATATTACTGAAAGACTTTTTAAAATGTAGAAACCCAATTCAAGCAAAAAGTTCAGCTGGATGTATATAAATATGCCATTTAGTAAATATTATTTTGAAAACTCAAACTTGTGAAACAAGTAATAAGTTTATTTTATGTAAGTTGAAAAATAAAAAAGTTACTAATTATATGTCTTTCAAAAATGTTCTTGGGGCATATATTCTCATCACAAAATAACTAGCACTTTGGATATAAAACAAGCTTGAAATTGATACAGGGTTTTTCCTTTTATAGTCATAAACATTTTTTTTAAAGTCATTAAACATTTGGTGCCTAGACTCATTTTACATAGGAAATTCTGATAAATTTAAATTTAGAAAGTCTAATTTCAACAATATTAATTATTTTAAGGAAAAAACTGAAAATCAAAAGCGAAAGCCCCAAGAGCATTAAAGTAGGAAAATTGAGACAAAAAGCTAGGTGATCTATACTGATTCTAAATCAATATAGTTGTTTGTTTGTACAGTGTCTCATATTAACAACAGATGGAACAGATAACGTTATAACATCCAAGAGACTAAAATAATACTAGACTGTGGTAATTTTTTTTAAATTCAGATTTCGTTTTTTTTTTTTTGCACAATAGGCAATCCCTCACATAATTTGGAATATTAAGTTTATTCAAGCATATTTGGTCAGAAGGAGGGTGATCTCACATTCCAGATTTCTAGGCAGCCCTAATTTCAAATAATCTGTCCCATTATCTGATTTCCGTATGTACTGATATTTATTTGGAACCTATGATTCCTAAGTGTAGCAATCCAGCTAATTCTAATATTACCTTTCAGAAGATTAAAATTCATTTTTCTACTCTGAAATTACATGAAGCTGTTGCTCTGCCGATGATTTTCTTCCCTATTAGCCACCTATAATTGAAGATTGCCTGGTTGTAAAAGGGAGCCAGAGATCTGACGTAATAGAGATTAAAGGAGTATCTAGCTCTAGCGTTTACCCTACTTATATATGTCCCACTTTTCCTGGAAAAGAAATAAACATATCTCCTGGAGATATGCCTCAAGAACATGATAGTACACTTAATACAATACAGGAATAGGAGTAAAATCAAAACACAAGCTCATGACTGTTACAACTATAGTCTTTAATTGTACATATGCATGCACACTTGTGTACACAGATGTAAACTTGGCTTTGAGTATATTTATATATAGCACAGGCTTAGACTCATGCATTTGGTAAATTTGGGGCACTAGTTGTCTTATTGCCTGGAAAATACTATAGAAATTCTTTTAGAATTTTACATGCACTAATCAAGAAATATATGCTAGAAATTCTTGTCAGTTAGATACTGAGTAAATTTACTGATAATGACTTAGAAGTGAAATCTAATTAATTTAAAAAACAGTATTAATTTATTAAGCATAATCCCAGATGACAGACAAATGGTCCTCAATCTTGGCTGTACATTAGAATCCTATGGGAAGTTTTTAAAAAATACTGATACCAGGTACCAATGCCAGTCTAGTGTGGGCTGGGCCTACATATTTTTTTTAAGCTCCTCAACAGATGATACTATACAGTCAGGGTTGAAACCACTCTTAAAGATACTCCCCAGTTTATAAAGGAGTCATTCTTGATAGAAACAAGCATTTTTCTATAGAAAAAAAAAAAAAGATATGATAGATAACTTCTTAAACTCACAAAAGCCTGGTAAATGCAAATATATTTGGGATTAGAAACTCATCACCTACAGCAATCTTCCAGGAGGAAAAGCCTTGCGTTATCAGCTTGACATACTTGTAATACATTCTTTTTGTTGTTAAAGAGTCCCCTAAGGGATGGAAATGGAGAAGTCAGACCTCTGACTCCCTTTTATGACCAGGCAATCTTCAAACAGGAAGGTAAAAAGAGCATTTCATCATTTTCTCCTCTCTATTATAGCAGCAGAAACAAGTAGTGAGCCAGTGGTCTTTTCTCTTTTCTCAGCAACTGTCGTCATCACCTCAAAGGTGGACCTGGCCAGGGCAAGGTGTGGAGCAGGGCTTTGAATGTATGTGTGGCAGCACTAAGTACGTGGCCACTTCTCTGCCCTGTCTTTGCCACAACGCTTTCCATGACCACTCTTGCTCATTCTGAGGTCATCTTTCTATAAGCTTCTCCAGTATTTATGTCTTTACCACTATTTTTAGCGTTTAACTGTGAATCTCTTTGCACTATGATTATTTTTAATCTCTCAGTAAGACTGCAAGCTTTCCCAGTGAAGACGTGTAAGTGTTTAGCAAGGAATAAGATATGCAGCAGATACTGGCTGAAATAATTAATTATAGGTTTTTAAAAGTAGATTATTTTGGGAAAAAACCGTAAGAGTAAAAAAAGAATAGTATAGTATTATAACTGATAAAAAAAAATTCTAGTCAAACTCTGCCTTTTGAAAAACTTAAACAATGGAACTTTGTACTGCTTTGAGTGGAATATGTTGGGATGACATATGACTGCAGTCAAGGCAGTTCTTTTCTGCCAGGCCCTGAGGGAAACAAGGAAATAGGTATTCACTCTGGTGGCAAAACAGTGGGTAGCAAGTTGGAGGCTCTGGGTGATCCTCTGGCACTCGCACATCTGTTAGTTAGGCAAAAGTGAAGACAAAAGCATGTGGAGAAGACCTTTAATACACAAAAGCAACTGATAGGTTTTAAGGGATTAGCAGAACACATGGATGGCTTTATATTACACTGGTTTATTTGATTTCAAAATCAGTTATTTTCAGTTTTTAACCAAAAACAAAGGGAGTAGTAATAGGGTTTTTCTTTATCATAAACAAAGAGAAATTGAGAAAACCCTCAAGTCTAAGATTACAAAGCCTAACTCCTGAAACAATGTTTTCTCCACCTGTCCAGCTGTTTAAGTGAAATACTGTTAACTTAATGCTATTATAACTGTTTATAACAAAGCAGGATCCAGAGCACTGCATTCTAGAATGATTTCTTCTTCGCTGCTTAGCTAGTCATTTAAAGATTCAGCACTAGTAGAGAACTTAATATGCTTATCTCCTGTTTTTTCCACCACTTTCATTTTTAGCTACTTAAACAAAGAGAAGTAGAATTTGCAACTGATGGCTTTTATGTGGTTTCAATAGTTCACTTATTTGAGAATCCTTAATGATACAGGCCTATAGCTGTCTGCTCTAGGGAAAAAATCCTGCAAACAGTTAAATGGGTCAGAATAAATAATGATTTTAAGTCAGATATACTGAAAAGGTGCTGGTTTCATTTCATTACTTAATTTAGGGGGTTGGCAAGCTGGGGAGAATAAATGGGAATCTTTTTTTACTTGGTGTCTATTTGAACTTATCAAAAATATCTGACAGCTTACTATGTGTATCACATGACTCCATGGCGGGGCACAGTGGCTCATCTATAACCCCAGCACTTTGGAAGGTTAAGGCAGGAGGTTTGTTTGAGGCCAGAAGTTTGAGATCAGCCTTGGCAACACAGCGAGACCCTATCTCTACCAAAAATTTTATAAAATTAAAAAAAAAAAAAAGACTCCATGACCTTCAGTCACCAAATAATGCCAAGTCATAGTATTCTCAAGACAAATACACTTTATTTATTTTGAGACAGGGTCTCACTCTGTTGCCCAGGCTGGAGTGCAGTGGCATGATCACAGCTCATTGCAGCCTCACACTCCTGAGCTCAAGCAATCCTCCCACTTCAGCCTCCCAAGTAGCTGGGACTACAGGTGCACACCTCTCCTCTCAGCTAATTTTTTTATTTTTTAGGAGAGATGGGGTCTCGCTGTGTTGCCCAGGCTGGTCTCAAAGTCCTGGCCTCAAGTGATTTTCCCACCTTGGCCTTCCAAAGTGTTGAAATTACAGGTGTGAGACACCATGCCCAGCCCAAATATACTTTAGATGGCCCAAAGACAACAAAGACTACTGGGTAACTACAGACGTATGTATACTACAGGAATAAACAAATAGGATTCTGGACCAAATTTCAAAATAATATACTACCAAAGAATTATTTTAAGTATATTTTTAGTTAGATTTCTTCCAACTGAGAGAATCTTAAAAATCGAATTTGACCCCCAGAAGGCACAGAAAAAGTATTTTGTCTTAAATCAGAAAGCTAATTAGCAGACTGGGATGACAAACCAGAAATTCTAACTTCGAGGTTAGTGCTTCTCAACCTCCTCCCCCATAATAATGTCATGCTGCCTCTAGTATTAGATTCTAGTATGTCAAATTAGGGGGAACTTGATTAGCACATCGAGCTAAGATAGCCAACGGTAAGGGCATGTGGAAATGGTCATGAAAGAGTTAAAGGTGACTGGATTGAAGTTTTGATTTAATAACGAACAAATGAAAAAGGGTTCTTAGAAGAGCTTTAAAGTTTCACATGAAATTAATTTAAAAAATTATTGGTGATCTAGATTGAAAAGGTAGCCTTTCAAAAGGTGAGCTGTACAGTCCGGCAACCACTAGCCACATGTGATTATTGAGCATCTGACTGTGGCTTGTCTGAACTGAGATGTGCTGTAAGTGTAAAATGCACGCTGGATTTTAAAGATTTAGAACAAAAGGAATGTAAAATATCTCAATCATAAATTTTTATATTGATTTCATGTTGAAATGACAATATTTCTGATATACTGGGTTAAATAAAATGTATTAAAGTTATTTTTGCTTTTCCTAATGAGGCTAACTAGACAATTGAAGTTATACATGTGGCTCACATATTTCTATAGGACAGTGCTGGTCTAGAAATAAGAGATGGATAAGCAGTAGTGTGCAGTCTGTGAGATTTGTTTCGCTGCACTGAAAAGCACAGATAGTGTATTAGCAGCCATTATATACCATCAGGGGACCACTGGGTAGACGAAAAGGGCTTAAATCTGATACATTGCAAAATTAAAAGCTACTAAAGAATTTGGTGGAGAGTAGATGGTGTACCCTGACTAGTATTCAAATACATGTTAAGTATCCTTTATCTGAAATGCTTGGGACCAAAAGTGTTCTGGACTTCAGAATATTACATCATACTTACTGGTTTAGCATCCCTAACTGAAAAATCTCAAAACTTCCAATGAGCATTTCCTTTGAGCATTATGTTGACACTCAAAAAGTTTTGGGTTTTAGAACATTTTGGATTTTGGGTTTTTGGATGAGGGATATTCAGCCTGTATAATAATTTTGGAGCCAGGCAGCATTTGAAACATGGGACTAAAATTACTTGCAGATTTTAAGACTGATCTTTGTCTCCTCTGGATAAGAGGAATGCATTTGAAAAGCTCAAATGAAATTTAAGCTGCCAATTTTACCACTAGGCCTTTCATTAACGTATAATAAATTTAAAGAGGGCTGTTCCAGCAGATTTTTTAGAAATTTCAAGTTGGTGGAGTTTAGAATTTGTCTTATATTTTTATAATATTATCTTTTGAAATGGCATTTGACTTAACTACAAGTTCACACATACAAAAAAATAACAGAGATTCTTTTTTACCTCTAGCATGTATAGTACTAACAAATACCTTAATGCACTTAGAATTTTTGCACCTACTTGAGTGAAAAGGGCTCGAATGATCGGAATCAAATACACTGCAAACATCTGTGGTACTGGAAGCACCAGAAGCAGGCGGAGGTGTTAACGGTGTTCTTGGAGAATTTGGTGCAGATGCTGTACTTTCTGTTTCACTTTCAGGGATCCTACTATAACTAATTTTCCTTGGCTCCTGCTGCAGAGGTGTGGGATGCCTCATGGTACCTGGTCTTGGGTTTGATGGACGAACACCAGGAGATTTTAGGGGATAGCTATATTTTTTTGGCTGTAGACATATCAAAAGAAACACAATACTTTAAACACTGTAGTAGAAAGGAAAGTTTTTCTATATGTGCCTGGTAAAATTCAGCTAATATACAGGAAAATCATAAATCACTAATAAGGACATAATTATTCAAATAAAAGTAGAACATTTAAAGCATTAACATTCTATTTTGCTAAAGCCCTGGTATCTAAATTGTTAAAGAATGCATTTCTTTAAATAACTAAGTTTTAGTCCTATAAATACTAGAGTATTTGTTATTTTAATACATTTGGGTAGAAGTTTTTCTAAAATGTATTGTATATTTCCCTGGTTTTTAAAACAGACTATTTTGAGCAAATTTAACCTTGTTGAAAAGCCAGGATCATCACTGTGAATTACAATACCTTTCTATTCTGTAATACAGTGATGCCATCAGGACCATTTGAGATATTTACGAATACATTAAATTGCCCAATTTTCATTTGTGTATGTATGTTGGTTTTATTGCATTTTCCTTGCAAAATGATCATTTCTCAGTGAGTGCTTCATTGGATCAGATTATATACCTATTTATAATTTTCTATTTTTAATCCATCTTATTAAAAACTGAACAAGGGCTTGAGAAATTTTGCTGTCAGGCAATTGCATACACTTTAATTAAAAGACATTATGTGATTTATCTTGGTCACTTAGAAGCCATCTATGTTTAATTCAGGATTCTTGACTTTTTTTTTTTGAGACGAGTCTTGCTCTGTCTCCCAGGCTGGAGCTGGATAGCCATGGCACGATCTTGGCTCACTGTAACCTCCGCCTCCCGGGTTCAAGTGATTCTTCTGCCTCAGCCTCCCAAGTGGCTGGGACTACAGGCTCCCGCCACCATGTCTGGCTAAGTTTTGTATTTCATTAGAGACAGGGTTTTCACCATGTTGGCCAGGCTGGTCTCAAACTCCTGACCTCAGATGATCCACCCGCCTCAGCTTCCCAAAGTGTTGGGATTACAGGCACGAGCCACCGCACCTGGCAGACTTTTGACTTTTTTATGAACAAGAGAGTACATAGTCAAATCAGTGAGTTGGTGATTCTATTCATAAATTTGGCTGGGCACTGACAAGTAACAAAAAACAATGGAAACTTTATTTTCCCAAGAAAGTATTGTTAGCAAAACTTGGTATTTTATGGCTCATGATTCATGGTTGAAAGTTCTAATAAGTCATTACTTTTAAAATGTCATAAGTAGATATTTTATTACAAGTGAATTAGTATAAATTCATTAAAATTCCTGTCTTTAAAATCTTAACATTTTTTGGGGTAAAAAAAATTAAAAACTTACATAATATTTGCTCAATTTCATCATCTTTGATATCAGGATTTACTCAAATTAATACTAACATTCATTTATTTGGAAGGAAGTGGGATATTCCTGGACATAATTATTAAGTACTTTTTCATTACTTTTAACTATCACATGTATACTTCATCCCTGAATACCTTTATGGAAAACTATATAACACATATGGTAGTAATGACATCACCAGACAAATATACAAATGCTTACAAATCTTGGGAGAGGCTTAGGGTTTCGTGGTTCTATTTCTAGGGATTTGTTGAAAAGATAATCTGTAAATTCCTTCTCCATGCTATTTCCCATCGGATTCAAGTTTTCAAAGAACCTCTAAAATAAATGCAAAGAAAAAATTATTAATATTCAAAATTATAAATTCAGTTTGAAATTCATGGAAAGTTAAGAAAACATTTAATACAAGTAAATTTGAATTATTTCTTTTAAGGTTTATTTTACTTTTTCTCCCCTATAAAATAAACCTGCCTTTTATTAAGTAGTTTAGAAACTTAATCAGAAGTATGAATCTTTAAATAATTCAACTTACTTTGATATCTGATTCTACTCGTAAACAGTAAGGCTGATTTTGGTACTGCTGGATCTCTCCTGTTATTTCTGCTACTTTCCTCCTTTTGCTAAAGTTTATAAGCTCTTTTCCATGTCTTTTTAGGACCTCAGGGTTGCCTTCTTCTGTTTTCAAGATATTAGTGAGATAAATTCCTAGAAGATATAATGGAATGATTTCAAGGATAAAGAAGGAAAATGCAAGTTTTTTTCTGTTTCATTAATTGTGGGTATATTACACTGTACCATCTCAGTTGCCAAAACAAAAGAACCAAGGCTCAGATTTCCATGATATGAAAACAGCAGCTTAAGAGAAAGTATCTGTGAAAGACTTAAATTTTTTTTTTTTTTTCCTCATCAGAATCCATGGAGGCCAGAAGGCAGTGGGATACATATTTTTTATTTTTTTATTTTTTTTAGAAAGACTTAAATTTTATAAACATCCAAGAAAAAGGGAGGGAGACCAAGTTTAATAAAATTAATAGATTTGTTAGGAAGAATAATCAATTTTCCATACCCCCTCCAAGCCATTGTTATTTGATATAAATCACAGTTTTGTTAAAGGAACTTTAAGAATAACTTCGTCACTAATGACACATCATTTTTGGCAAACAGGAAAAATACTAAATTCAGAGGATCATAGTTTCTGCTTAGTCAGCTCTGACGGCCACACAAGAGGTTGTTATGATTTGCAATTGAGAAGTAGTACTATTTGGATAGGCTTACTCATGGAAATGTGGAAGGTTTTGCAAGCCTGTCAAATGTGGGACTGCATACGATTTATGTAAATTCTGGTCTTCAATAGTTTGTAGACTTAGTGGCAACCTAGTAATTGATTTCCTGTTTCCCCATCACTACAGCTGTACACTGGACGAGGAGGAGAATGAACAAAATAACAGGCACTTTCTATTCTAGCATAAAGGCTCTGGAACCAGTTCTGCTGCCTTCTCTGTGTGTGATCTTATTTTTTTTTTTATATTTTATATTTTATATTTTTTGAGATGGAGTCTCACTCTGTCTCCCAGGCTAGAGTGCAATGGCACGATCTTGGCTCACTGCAACCTCCTCTTCCTGGGTTCAAGCGATTCTCCTGTCTCAGCCTCCTGAGTAGCTGGGATTACAGGCATATGCCACCACACCCAGCTAATTTTTGTATTTTTTAGTAGAGACGGGGTTTCACCATGTTGGCCAGGCTGGTCTCAAACTCCTGACCTCAGGTGATCCACCCACCTTGGCCTCCCAAAGTGCTGGGATTACAAGCGTGAGTCACCGCGAGCAGCCTGTGTGTGTGATCTTGTGCAAATTGCTTAATTAGTCTCTCTGTGCCTCAGTTTTTCTCATCTGTAAAATGAGGACAGGAGGGTTGCTGTGAGAAACAAATGAGTGAATATATGTATGAGCTTAGAATAGAGCCTGACGAACGTTAAGTATTAATTAGCCGTGGTTGTGATTGTTGATGCTGTTGTTGCATCTTGCCCTAATATTCTTATGCTTCTACCTTTTTCCCTAAAGTACTGATTACAATGCTTTGAGGAGAAAAAAGATCCTGAGTTCGTTCACTCCCCACATGTGTACGGATTCTCTGCTGTAAGCCAAGTCCTGCATTAGGTACTGCAGGTACAAAGATGAGAAAGACCTCCAGCAGTCCAGTGCTTAAGGCGTTCCTGACCTCAGGGATCCAGAGCTTTGAACTGTTGGCTACTACAGTATAATTTGCTAAGCGCTACATACTAGGAGGTGCTATATTAGTAGGAATGCATAACATGCTATGAGAGCAAAAAGGAGGTATTCCAAACTCTGTCTTGAGCTGGGAGGACTAGAAAAAGCATCACAGATGAGATAATGCTTAGAATAAGTCCCAAAAAATGAGAAGTGTAATGAGTAGAATAAAGTAGAAGAGCAGTCTAAGCAAAGCAGCAGTGTGTATAAAGGCATTGATTCATGATGATGAAGCTTGCTTGAAAGGCATACTTAGAGATAATTTGCTCTTTAGTATGGCTAGACCATAGGGGTTTGGTGTGTGGGGTAGAGGAAGAGTGGCAGGATATGAGGATAGACATAGGCAAGGGCTGGGTTTGTACTTCTAAATGCTTTTGTGGTAGAGGCATACACCACAGAAATCTTTGGCCACATCCTTGGAAAGATAAAAGGATCCAAATCAATATTGAACAGATCAGCAATAATGAAATCTGACATCAATGCCTGTTTGGTTTTTAAAAGGATCCAGTTATTAAGTGCATTAGTTACTTGGTTATTTCTCAGCACCTGGGCTATGCCTGATGATACATTCATAAGACAAAGTGACTGTGTGTTCTAGTAAGCACAGGCTTTTTTATTTTCACATCTGCCTGTCATTTGGCTTTTATTTTCAGCCATTTATACTGTCCTCTACACAAGTTGCATGATCCACTCAGCTCAGTGTTCAGTCTGACAAACACGTCCATAAGAGTATGCATGCTCAATGGCAGCCCAAATCAACCTTCCATAGTGGTCACAAACTGATGGCCCATCTGTGAAGAGTTTGTGGGTATTAGCACTTGGACTGGGTCATGAAGTGTGCCTTTTGTCAAATAGCTTAACTTTTATCTAGGAGATAATTAGGGAATTAGAAGGATTTTGTTTGCATTCTGGAAGGATTACTCTAGGTGTACTATGAAGCCAGGTGGGTTGGAAGGAGTTAAGACCAGTAACATGAAGAGCAGTTAGTAGGCTAACAATAGTCCTGGTGAGATGATGAGGGCTGCCCTAGTGTCTGTGGGGATAATGGGGAGTGGATAAATATTTAAGAGGTAGACTCCCCAAGAACTGATTAACTGGTTTGGGGAGGAAATGGGGGCAGTGGGAATGAAGACTCACAGCTTTGTTCTTGAAAGCACACTTGAATGAAGTTGTGAAAATGCTTATAAGTAGCACTTTGGTACAGTTTGGGATGAAATTTGGAAATTATTTTGTGCCTAACTGATGGCTAGCTAAAAGAACAAATGATCACAGCAGTGGTGTCCAAACTTTGATCTTACACTGCATCAGTAAAAAATATTTAAGCACATATCCTCGCTTTCTCCCTATATACACATATATAGTTTAATAAAAACATAGCGTATATGTGTGTATGTATAACATAAACCTGAGAATTATATATTAGTAAAGCTTAGGTTTTTTTTTCATGTTTTAAAAAATATATAAATAGAAAGTCTAGTTACTCCTGTACTTCAATATATCATTTAACATACCCTACCTCTGGAGGCAGCTCTTCTAGGGAAAGAGAAAACAGAGCATTATGACAAAGAAGAGGGCTGAGGTTTCACCTTTTTTGCTGATGTCTTTCCCATCCTTCCCAGGATAAAGTAGCTGCTTAGGATTCTAGGCTTCTCTGGCATTTGTCCACACTTCAGTCTACACTTTTCTACAATACAGTGTTATGCTTACTACACAGTGCTGTGACTTATTTCTCTGCTCTTTCAAGGGAACAGAAACTACGGAACTGTATCTTATCTGTCTATTCTTAGCATGTAGCCCTGGGCATAACACATAGAGGCATTCAGCAAAGGTTTTCGATTGAATGAAAGAAGTATATTGTTTCAAAATAGAAGAGAGACATTTAAAAGACAGGCCAGGATATGAGAATCAATTCTAAAATAGCTGGAAAGCAAGAATGGAGACAAGGCAAATTTACACATAACAGAAGGAGGACACAAGATCAGAGCTGTGTAAAAGCAAAGGGCAAAGCCAATGCTAAAGGCTTGGATGTTTGATGACAAACCTGATTAAGGTACATCCTCCTTTTACCTTAGAAAAAATTCTATTTTTGAAACAGAGTCTCGCCTTGTCACCCAGGCGGGAGTATAGTGGTGCGATCTTGGCTTACTACAACCTCTGCCTCCTGGCAGGTTCAAGCAATTCTTGTGCCTCTGCCTCCCGAGTAAGCTGGGACTACAGGAATGCACCACCATGCCTGGCTAACTTTTGTATTTTTAGTAGGGATGGGGTTTTGCCATGTTGGCCAGGCTGGTCTTGAACTCCTGGCCCTAAGCAATTCGCTCACCTCAACCTCTCAAAGTGCTGGGATTACAGGCTTGAGCCACTGCGCCCAGCTGAAAAAATTCATTTCTTAGCCCACCTATCCATTCTCCTATCAGTAGAATATTTTAGTTTATGGAGAAAAACTGTGTTATAGACCTGAAACATCTGGCAGAGCTTTGGAAGGAGTGACTGCCCTACTTTTATTCTTTAAATGGTGGTTGTGCCAGCAAAAGATGGGACTAACGCTGGTAAAATAATAGAGGAAGTATCAGCTACTATCCCTGACCCTCCCCCAAAGAAGGGGTTTGAAAACCAGTATCCAGAATTTAGGAAAAGAATCTGGAAGGAGTTTCTATAAACTACCATATAGACAGGATGGAATTCAGAAGCAGCAATAACATCTGGCTTTACCCACCGGATCAGAACTGTATGAAAGGCTGTCTAACTCCAGAGACTGGTAACTTTTAGCTTAAGAATAGCACAGATAGGGCACCAAAACTGACCAGGGTCAGTTGTAGATAAACTACCTTAAAGGAGCAGAGGCTCAGTAACTAGGAAGATGGGCAAGAAGAAAGGGGTACGAAGGTTGGCAGATGGGCTGCACCTATTAAACTTTGTGTGCCTATCAAACTACCTACATGTTTGTATTCACTCAATAAATCACACAGCTCACCTTAAAACACCTTATGAAATCATACTCTAAAGTGGGTCTGAAACTTCCTCCTTTCACTTAAGAACATGTTATGGCCAGGCGCAGTGGCTCACGCCTGTAATCCCAGCACTTTGGGAGGCTGAGGCAGGTGGATCACCTGAGGTCAGGAGTTTGAGACCAGCCTGGCCAGCCTGGCCAACATGGTGAAACCTTGTCTCTAGTAAAAATACAAAAATTAGCCGGGTGTGGTGGTGGGTGCCTGTAATACCAGCTACTTGGGAGGCTGAGGCAGGAGAACTGCTGAACCCGGGAGGCAGAGGTTGCAGTGAGCCGAGATCGTGCCATTACACTCCAGCCTGGGCAACAAAAGTGAAACTGTCTTAAAAAAAAAGAGAACATGTTATGAAGATCAGTTAAGTTTATAAAGATCTGAGAGAGGACTTTGGACAGTTTCAGTTTGTATAAATAAATACCAACCATTAGGATGTTACAGGAGCAGGGGCCAAATAGTGAGTCAGTGAATGGGTCCTGAGGTTTCTTTTCATGTCTGTGTACCGGAGACCATGGGATATCATGAGTAGCATGACTATAAGCTAGGTGAGCAGACTGACTGTGTATTTTTCACTTTTCTAAGCACCTGACGTAGTCCTGGTACTTAGTAGGTATTCAAGAAATATACGTTGACAGATTGAATGACATACCGTCAGATATATCCAGAGCCTTTCCAGTTCCTCTTAAACGAACTGGTAATATCTTTAAGCAAAAACATATAGGCTTTAATATTTTTCCAGGAAGAGAAAATCAATGAACTCAATATTTTTATCAAGAATGTAGAGGGTCAGGCTGGGTACGGTGGCTCACACCTGTAATCCTAGAACTTTGGGAGGCCAAGGCAGGTGGATCTCTTGAGCTCAGGAGTTCGAGACCAGCCTGGGCAACCTGGTGAAACCCTGTATCTACAAAAAATAAAAAAATTAGCCAGGCATAGTGGTTTGTGCCTGTAGTTCCTCCTACTTGGGGGATTGAGGCGGGATGACTGCTTGAGCCCATGAGGTGGAGGATGCAGTGAGCCAAGATGGTGCCACTGTACTCTCTAGCCTGGGTGATAAAGTGAGACCTTGTATCAAAAAAAAAAAAGAACGTAGGGGTAGGGGAAAAGTCCTCAGGAAAACTAGGAATTAATAATGATTTTTTTTAAACCTCATAAGATCAGCAGATAATTAGAGACCTTATCTTTTTGGAGAAAAAGTAAATTAAAGCAAGTAAGTGAAAACAGAAATGAGAAAGATATATTACAAATAGCGGTAATTAAAAAAAGTTTGTAGATATAAATTGAAGGCTAGTATTTTTAAAATAATGAAATGAAGCAATTCTGTAGCAAGAAGGATGCTTTCTTAAAAGGATAAAAACCATCTAATCAAGCAAGTAGTAAAATTATACTTTATCCCCGCTAAAACTGAGTTTCAAACAAGCTGCTTATTTCTGCCATTATTTTTAAAGCTTTGTTTGGGAAGTTAATGACCAATTATGTAAGGCGTAACATAGAAATAAGGTCAAAGGAAGAGACACTGTATCATATTTTGTAAACATGATTAAATATTTAGAAAACCCAAGGAAATTAAAAATTCTTGGAATTAAAGGTAACTTAATGAATACCATTCAAACCAAAAATACCCAGGAAAAATAATAAGGGGAAATGCTAAATATAATAAATGTTCTTTACAAATTAATTGACAGATTGTTCCAGTTACATTTGGGGGCATCCCCCCCCACTCAAACTTATAAAGTTCATTTGGAAAAATAAACAGGCAAAATTGGCCAAAAAAAAAGGACTGAAGAAACCCTGAAGAACCAACTTTATCATCTGTGAAAACACTATATAAAGCAGGGTTTCTCTGTCTCAGCACTGCTGACTTTTTGGACTGGATACTTACTTATTGGCTGTGGGGAAGTGTCCTATGCATTGCAGGATGTTAACAATATCTCTATCCTCTACCCACTAGATGCCTGTAGCACCATCCCAATTAGGACAATTAAAAAAAAATTGTCTCCAGGCATTGCTAAATGCTCCCTAGGGGGGCAAAAACTGCCCCCTGCTGAGAATCACTGATTATAAAGTGACAATCCTTAAAACTGTGGCAGGGGTATAGGAAGTCAGTGAGATACAATACATATTAAAGAAGGAGGTCCCTGGCCGGGTGCGGTGGCTCAAGCCTGTAATCCCAGCACTTTGGGAGGCCAAGGTGGGCGGATCATGAAGTCAGGAGATCAAGACCATCTTGGCTAACACGGTGAAACCCTGTCTCTACTAAAAATACAAAAAAGAAATTAGCTGGGTGTGGTGGTGGGCGCCTGTAGTCCCAGCTACTTGGGAGGCTGAGGCAGGAGAATGGCGTGAACCTTGCAGTGAGCCGAGATGGCAGCTACTGCATTCCAGCCTGGGTGACAGAGCAAGACTCTGTGTCAAAAAAAAAAAAAAAAAAAAAAGGAAGTCCCATATGTAAACAGGGAAAAAGTAGAATCATTCAGTAAACCTAGATTAACAAATAAATAATTTGGGTGGGGAAATAAATTTGAGTATTTCATAAGATATTAAAGATACTTCAGTTTGATATTAGAGTTAAATATAATTTTGAAAGTCATAAAAAAAGCTAGAAGAAAATATGATTATTACTAGATTATATGAACTTTCTAAGGTTAGAAACAATAGAAACCAGAATGAGAAAGGACAGATGGTAGAATTTAAAACTAATACATGTCAATGAATAAAAAGTACAAGGCAGATTGTTTGCAGGAGATACGAAAAATGACATGGACAAGAGGAAATACAAATATTAAAGAATGTATGAAAAAAATCTCCACAGTAATCAAAGAATGGAAATTATTGCAACAAATAGCTTAGTAGTTGTAATAATAGAAATGAAAAAAAAAAGTATCCAAAATTGGAAACCATGGGATGAAATTTGCTTTGTCATACACTTGATGGCAGCATAATTGTCATACACTTCTCATGGCAGCCTTTCAGAAAGCAACTTAAAATCACATATCAACAGTTTAAAAATGGACACCTTTTAACCTATGTATAGTAGTCCCTCCCTTATCCAAAGGTGATATGTTCCAGGATCCCCAGTGGATACCTGAAACTATAGGTAGTACTAAACCCTATACATACATATACACATACATACATACGTATGAGCTTAATTTATAAATTAGGCACAGTAAGATTAAAAATAGCTAAAAGTTACATGAATGTGGTCTTTCTCTCCCAAAATATCTCATGTTTTTGGACCAAAGCTGACCATGGATAACTGAAACCGTGGAAAGTGAAACCGTGGAGATGGGAGCACTACTGTAATTCCTCCTCTGGTTATTTGTCTCAAGAAGATATTTTCAAATACAGAAAAATAGTATAAATGAAAATGTGAATCAGAAAATCATGTGGAAAGCAAAAAAGCTGGAAACAATGTGTCCAATCACAGGGTAATGGTTAAAACAAATTGTCCAACTTTATGGAATATTATGCAGCCATTATAAATAATTAAGATTATTTAATAAAATACAAAAATATAAGATATGATAAGTGAATAACCTTAATATGCACATCATACAATTACAATTATATACAATGTGCACAGCAAAAAGATTAGAAGTAAATACAAAAATGGTTGCTATAAAGCCCAAACAATAAAATGTGGGAAAATATATTAAAAGTATCAGGACATAACATTGTTATATGCAGTGGGATTTAAAACTATATAAAAAATATAGATGAGGAAAAGGCTAGAAGAAACTATAGCACATACTAAAGAGACTATAGAGAGATCATAATTTCTATAAGCATTCAAAAGAAGGATCATCAGAGCATATACTCAGGCAGAGAAAAGATGAGAGTAGGAAAGAGATATTGAATACATGAAAATAAAGGAAATAAAGAACGGAAAAAGATAGAGGAACCTACAGAAAGGGAGATTCAGGTGGTAGATTCAGTCCTAAAAAGGAAGGAAAAGGTACTTCCTTCCTCTGATGCAGAAGGGGAAAAATAGGAGAGGATGAAGAGAATAAAATTTTGATGTGCCAGAGGTGTGGGCCCAAAGGCACAGCAGGCACACTATGATTTTTAGCCATGTGAAACTGTTTACAAAAATGATTATAAATATAGTTGAGTTTGGCTATGCCTCTGCTGTATTTAGTTTATTAAAATGCAATTAAAAAGGCTTTTATAAATATAAAAACACAAGTATTAAATAATATCTAATGGCTGCCTAAGATGAAAATAGAAAATGAAATGTATATTAGACTTCACCTTAAGTCTTAATGAGAAAAATTCTAAAGGGCTTCAGGTGCTAAATATTGATCAAACAAGTATTTTCTGCTGGCATATTACACATGTAATTATTCAGTCATTTAATGAAATGAGTGTTTTGTTTTATCCAGAAATGCAATAAAAATTCAGAAAGAAATACTTACCAAAGAAAGGCACACATGGTGGATTAATAGACCTGAGTTTTGCCAAATATTTCTTATAGTGATCTTCACTCAATTCATGAGCTTCTTCTAAAATTTTCTTCTGGCGACTTGGTATTTGCTATAAGGAAAAAAAATAGGCGTAAGTTTACAAAAGGAATCAAAGGTCTTGTCAAAAAAAATACTAGGCTAACAGAAACGCCCAAATACAACAGTATCAATTTGATTTTATGACTGTAACATTGCTTCAAATATTGCTTCAAATAAATTATCTTCATAGACCTCAGTATAAACTTAAAGTATGTGTGTGTGTGAGAGAGATCTAGTTTATCATGTCATTCCTTACACAATTATGTGAACATTTAACTGTACATTATCTTACAAATTAAGTGCCGAAAGTTTTTTCTTCTAGCTTAGGCTGGGACCTGTGAATACATTTTAATAGGAATGCTTAAATTTTAAAAAGCAACCAATTCATTACAAAACTTAGATAATTCAGTCTTTTAATCTACTACTGAAAAGACAAATGAGACATTTAAAAATTAAAGATAATAATTGTTAAAAATCTAATTTTTCTAATAGGGAATGAAAGTTCATTTTAAAAACACATGTAGAAACCTACCTCAAATGTGTGGTCTAGTCTGTAAACAGGTGATGAATTCATAGCACTGACAACCTCAAGGACACCATTAAAGTTGTTCAACTCTTGAAAGACTTGTAGAATCTCAATAATTCGACTCACCACAGCTACTCTTTCTTCTAAATTTTCAGTTTCTACAATACATCTGGGAATAAAAAAAAAGTGAACTAAAGGTTTTAGAGTTTTTCCAATAAAGTTATAGCTTAAAGAATTTAGTAAATAAAATAATGTAGAGAGTAGGGGGGTGGCGATAGTATAACTACTATAGAGAAGACACATTCAGGGTGACTGATAGAAGGAAGGCAGTGCCTCCAGTCAGGCATACTGCTCTTTCCCGTCTTCTAGACTGGTACAGTCAAACAATCATTTTCCTACTATATTTGGTGCATCCTCTATTAGCATCAGAATTAACTGGTGAGGCCACTATCTTGTGGAATGTATGGAGGTCTTTGTGAGGTCTTTGTGATGTGGGTGTATTCTAGTAGAATTCAAGAATTCTGTTGTGTTCTATTCTTCATCTAATTGCAAGATTTTAGTGATTAATGCTCAATTTCTTTCTTTCATATATTATTGGCTACATACATTTCTAGGAACAGCTCTGTTCCTATGTTTCCTACATTTCTACGAACAGCATTAAATGTAATGGCAAAAACTGCAATTACTTTTGCACCAACCTAATATATAATTGCATTGAGATTCTGGACTTGTGGTATGATAGTATGAGGAGCTTCACTGAGTGAAACTGGTAAAAATTATTAAAACACACATACACACAAACACACACATGCACACGCACACACACACATTTAAAGTCTCTAGTAATGGCCCTGAGAGCAAATGGCAAAAGAAACATCTATTCAGGAAAATCTACAAAAATTTGGTAAGAGAGGGGAGAGAGTCTGTGGTATTTGAACCAAGACTGGTCCCTCCCTTCTTTCTCCCAGCTCAGTGAGGGTGAACTGAGCATCTACTCCAGATTCCTGCAGTCAAGAACACCTAGCTCCCGGTGAGGTGCAGGAGCAGGACTTCAGTTTTCTCATCCTGTCCCTGCTGCCTGTTGCTGAGGCCAAGTCCCAGTTGAGTGCAGCTGAGAAGTAGGAATACCCTTTTTTGCCCAACTTCCACTTATGGAATGGAGACGCTACCTTGGGTGTGATGTTTTGAGCATACTGAGAAAAGAGCCCTTCCTCTGGTTCCTGAGGGCGTGGTTCCATGCCAGAAGAGGCGGGTAAGAAGACCTCAGGCTGCAGTAGCATCCGTCTGCCACTCTACCTGCTCAACCAAGCACTTAGCTCCTAGGGCAGAAGTGTCACTCAGAGAAAAGCTTGCCATTGTTGCCCAGCCCCAGAGCCCTGTTTCAAACAGATAGCTCCTAATTTCTTGTCATTTGCAACAAAGTATAAAGTAGTTTAAATTTAATGGTGCCCTTAGGAACAGTGGAAATTGTGGTGAAAGGCAATGGGGAAGAGATTTGTGGATCTAATGAAGATACACCCTAGACTGTAGGCAGAGTAGTTTGCAGGAGACAACTAGGAAATAAGACGGCTGAGAGGAGCCCTCCTGGGGTCAGAACAAGTATCAAACAGAAATCTCAGAAACCATTCCTTCAAAGGAGCCACAATTTGATTGCATTATTTTGTATAGCATTTATGCCACCAGAAAATTGTTGAAAACATCAGAGCAATCAGCTGGCAAATTGTGGAGTTTCATAGCTGGGTGTGTGTGGTCAGGTAAGGAGTGGATGAGTCTTTCCAGTACCACTGCCATGCAATAAGAAGCCCTGGAAAGGGGGCTGGGGAAGGAGGAGCAGTACTCAGAGTTGCTACACTATATTATCTGAAATGTCAGGTTTCCAGCAAAAACAGATGAGGTATGCAAACCAATAGGAAAGTATGACTCTTACAAGGGGTGGGGGTGGGGCGGAGGGGGTGGAAGGAACAGAAACTGCCTGTGAGAGCAACCAAATGTCAGATTTAACAACAGTAACAAAAAAGATTTCTAAGTAGCCATTATGAATACGGTCACGGAATTAAAGGAAAGCATGAAAAAGAAGGAAAGGAAGGTATTGATGACAATGTGCATCGAAGAGAGGATATCATTAAAGAGATAGAAACTATAAAAAGGAACCAAAGGGAAATTCTGGAATTAAAAAGTACAATAACTGAAATAAAAAACTTACTGGATAAGCTCAATAGTATATTTGAACTGAAAAAAAAAATATTAACTTGAAGATAGAGCCATTGTTCAAAAACGAAGGTAAAATAAAGATTTTCCCAGATAAACAAAAACTGAGAGAATTTGTTGCTAGCCCACCCTCCAGAAGAAATACTAAAGGAAGTTCTTCAGGCTGAAAAGCAAGTGATCCCAGATGGTAATTCGAATCCACACAAAGACCATCAGTAAAGGTAATTGTGTAATTATTAAAGACATTTTGTAAATGCGTATTTTTTTCTCATTTCTTCTCATAACTGACTTAAACAACTGTATAAAATAATATAAACATTGTTGAATTTATTGACATAGAAATGTAATATATTTGTAATATGTTGCCAATAATACACAAAGAAGGTGGGTGAGAGCAAAGCTTTAATGGGCTAAGAGGATGATGACAAATGGTAAAGTAATAACTGTTAACAATGTATTGTTTGATTTGCATCATTAATAAGATGTAATATGTATTACAGTACCACAAAAAAAAGGGAGAAAGGGAATAGAGCTACATAGGAGTAATATTTCATATGTCACTGGTATTAAGCTACTATAAGTCTGAAGCTGATTCTGATAAGATGTGTAGGGTAAACTGTAAGGCAACCAGGCAACCACTAAAAGGACCTCAAAAAAAGTTAATGAAAAAAATTAATGCTACATTAGAAAAACATTCAATATTTTCTAATGACAAATATTATCATTTTCATCAACACTCAATGCAAAAGAAAGGAGGAATAGAGGAAAAAGACATGAGACATATAGAAATAAAATTGCATTGGTCAGGAGCGATGGCTCACGCCTGTAATCCCAGCACTTTGGGAGGCCAAGAGGGGTGGATCACTTGAGGTCAGGAGTTCAAGACCAGCCTGGCCAATGTGATGAAACCCCATCTCTACTAAAAATACTAAAATTAGCTGGGTGTGGTGGTGTGCGTCTGTAGTTGCAGCTACTCAGGAGGCTGAGGCCTGAGAATTGCTTGAACCCGGAAGGTGGAGGTTGCAGTGAGCTGAGATCACACCACTGCACTCCAGCCTGGGCAACAGAGCCAGACTCTGTCTCAAAAAAAAAAAAAAAGAAAAAGAAAGAAAGAAAATTAAAATTAGGTGAGTGTGATATCACACACTTGTAATCCTGGTTACTCTGGAGGCTGAGGTGGGAGGATCGCTTGAGCCTGGGAGGTGGAGGTTTCAGTGGGCCGATGTGCCACTGCACTCCAGCCTATGTGACAGAGCAAAACTCCGTCTCAAAAAAAACAAACAAAAAAATTGCATTGAAATTCATAACATAGCTGACAGCTATAAAATATAAGAATGCTAGGAATACTTACTTCTCAAACCACAGAGTGAGGTTGGTGGTATGTCGAATCATTTTCAGAAGATTAGGAGAGTTAATTTCTTTGTCTTCTTTTGTCCACACACTTCCAACTAATTCTGATGGCTGTACAGCTCTAAAATCATCAATACATAATTCTACATGACACTTTTTTCTCTAATATAGACATTGTTTTATTAAGTAAAGGAGACAAATAAAAACTAAACTCTCATATGAACTTTCCTCTTATACCAACAGAAAGGTCTGTGAAAACAAGGTATAACAAAAAAGTGTAATTATGCATATTTCCTTATGGATTTTTTTTAAACTTTTTTTTTTTTTTTTGAGATGGAGTTCCACTCTTGTTGTGCAGGCTGGAGTACAATGGCATGATCTTGGCTCACTGCAACCTCCGCCTCCCAGGTTCAAGTGATTCTCCTGCCTGAGCCTCTTGGGTAGCTGGGATTACAGGCGCCCGTCATCATGCCTGGCTAATTTTTTGTGTTTTTAGTAGAGACAAGGTTTCACCATGTTGGCCAGGCTGGTCTCGAACTCCTGACCTCGGATGATCCACCCGCCTTGGCCTCCCAAAATGCTGGGATTACAGGAGTGAGCCACAATGCCCAGCCTTTAAAAACTGTTTTTAAAAACTATTTTTATGGAAATACCTGTGTACTTTTAGCGTTCCTTTATAGTAGCATTTTGCTTTGGGCAAGGTTGAGACTCCTCCATAATATCTTTCCCAGCACTTATAAACATTATTAATAAATTAGGGTGACAAAGTAGACATTTAAGTAATGATATCTGTTATAATCAGTTCAAAGAGGGTACAGTAATCAATGCATTCACACATCTTTTTTTTTTCTTTTGGTCTAAAGGAGGAGAGGAAAAAAACCTACCACAAAAGGGTCCTAGGAAATAAAATAGATTCTAACACTGTAATTTTCAGAAATACGATTTTCAGTGGGAGATCTATAAATTTATCTCATTTTCTCATTTAGTTATTAAAAAGTGAATAATTTAAGATTCTAAGTAGTCTCCATTTAAAATCAGAAGGACATTTTTGAGATAATTACATCAATGTAGTATGATTAAAAAAGACTATAATGGCTGTAAGTTCACAATAAAGCAGTAGCTAACATTTATTGAGCCCTTACTTTGTGCTAGGTAATGTACATATATTGACTTGCAAACCTCAAAACAGCCCCAGGAGTAGGTACTATCAGTAGCCCCATTTTACTCTTGAGGAAAATAAGGGGCAGAAGGATAAAGTCACACAAGGAGGTTAAAGTTGCCCAGGGCCAGCAATTGGTAAAGCCAGGATTTGAACCTAGCCTTACCAACTAGGGGTGAACACAGAAAGACAGAAGGTGTAAATTCAGCTAGAGGGACCAGGGGAGTAAAAGAACAGGAACTGCCTGCCTGGCCTTATTACTAGACACTTCATGTAATATTTCAGTTAAGTCTTATGAAAACCCTATAAGGCAGAAATCAGTATTTCATTTTAAAAGTTAACTCTTTTGAAATGACTTTTCAACTTGAATGTTAAATTACATACCGGTATAGATCTGATTCAAGTAAAGTGAGTTGTCGAGCAATTTCTATTGGGTGTAAGGTGAGCAGGTCAAAAGTCTCTATGTGCCCAGGTCTGCTTATATGCCACTCAACTGTGGGAGGTGAACTCTGAAATGTAATATTATGACCTGGTCCATTGTCTCTTGCAATTTTTTTCCTTTGGATTATTTTAGTGATGGATTCAACCCATTTTTTCATTGCTTTACCTGCAATACATTATATTTTAAATAACATTTAAATATTCTTTATTTAATATTTTATATTTTAAAAATGGTTTAAAGTCACACGGATGACACCTGAATGTATCTTTGCTATAAAAAGTTCAAATGATCAAAATGAAAAATGCAAGTTCTCCTTTTCCATTTCCCGGTCCCCAATCCTAATCTTATTCTTCTTCATTTGGGTAACCACTGTTAATAGCCTGGTATGTATTCTTCCAGATCCTTTCCAAATAAAATTAGAAAGTACTTAATTTGTAGAGACTGTCCATCCCATTGTTCTGATCTTCAGTTTAATGTATTATTTTATAATCCTCCAAGAAAAGGTATATCTTATGTAAATCACAAGATTTATAAGGATAGATTATACACAATATTCATCTAATTAACACTGCATTTTATAAACCAATAAATATCAGTGCCAGAGGACTGATTCCTTAGTGTGAGTTTTGATGTGGCTCTGTTTTATATTGTACATGAAAGTACTATTATTTAACTATTTTCTGATTATCATTTAGAGCATACAAAGGAAATAAAAATAAGTTTGTCTAAGATATCCTTAGAGCCATACACTCACGTAATCTTTAAAACTAGAAGGAAAACCTTAGAGATCGACAAACCTAGCTCCTTATGTTATTGATAAGAAAACTGAAGTCTAAAGAATCTAAGTGATTTTGCCCAAAGTCACGTATCTGATTAGTGGCAGTGTTAGACATAGAGTCTCAATTTAATCCACTCTGCTTCCTCTCTGATTCTATTTGCCTGTGGCCCACTCGACCTCCATCAGTGGTGTTATAATGGCACAACGTAATTCCCAAATGCCCTCATACTTTGGGATATATATGAAGACTTGGCTTAATCAACTCTAAAATAATCAGTAAGTTGAGTCACTAAATGAAAATACATTGGATCAACAGGGTGACTTGAGCCATTTGCAGGTCTAAATGCTATTTGATGAAAATTTTTAACTTTTTGAAATGGTTATGCTGGTACTATTATAAACATCTTACATTACTGAGCCCCAATGACATCAATTGATAGTCACCGTGTTGGTACTTTTATTACATATAAAACTAGGCACCTAAAAAAAAAAACATACCTCTTACTGTTCCAATAAATTCTTCCATTCGTTGCAAAAGATATGCATCTCTTTCAAAATCATAGAAGTGGTGCTCTACCCAGTGCCGACATACATTTAATACTCTATGGCATTAACACAGAATTGAATTACATGGGAATCAAACATAAATGTTTATCACAATGCACAGTACAATACAAATGAAAATGCAGTAACTCTTACCAAATTAATCTTATCAGTGTGCTTAACACTTCCAAAATTCTATGTTAAGGCTTATACTATAATTTCTGATAACTGCTCTAATTAGTAAATTTAATTTACTAATTTTATTGTCACCCCTCTCCTTGTTTGGGAAAGGTCCTTATATACTTCAACATTGAAACGAAAGTTTGATAAAGACTTATTTACTTCATTTATTTAATGCTTACCGCAGTTGCACAGGCTGTATATATTCTTTTCTAAATCTTTTCAGTTCTGCACTCAAGGGTTGATCTCCATTCTCTATAGCTATGCGATCAGCTTCTGTTGGCTCAGGCTCTGGAATTTCAAACCTAACATAAAATAGAACAAATTAATGAAAAGACTAATTATATCGAGTTATACAAATAGAAAACCACAAACGTTTTCACCAGTCAGCAAAATCAAGAGAATACTGTAAAAAATTACTGAAGATATGCATATCAGTGTAAACAAGTGAGACTCCTATAGTATTAAAGGCTAATAAAATTATTTTAAAATTTTTAAAAGAAATTAGTACTTGCCAATATAGATAAAACTAACTACAAACAAAATAAAGAATACATGCAAATTCTAAAAATAAATGTGACTATAAAGTTACGGGACTGATATTCATTTTTGGTCTGTGGAATTACTCTAAATCAGGTGACATAATCACTGTTAAGGGTAATTCCAGAAAAACTGACTGCTCTTTGTTTGGGTACATGAAATATTTTCCTTCCATCACAGTATTTGTTCACTGACAAGTTCCATTTTACTCAACATGAAGTATGTTTGAAAACTTACTTAGAACATCTAACTCATCAGAATTTGAATTTCTTGACTCTATAAATTTTATATAGGTCTTTAGTTCTGTAAATTTGAAATTTCAAATACTGAGTTTTCACATACAAAAAAGAATATTTTTGTATTGAAATAATAAAAGCTAACATTATTATAAAATAAATGTTCATCTAAGAGATTTTATTTATTGAAAAAGTGCTTGTGAAGTATATTTTAAAGCTCATCTAACATTTCTGAAAAGGATCTTAGCTCAATCTCTTTTTTAACAAAAAATAATGAATTTAAATATTTTTTAAATGGACAGACCTTTCTATTATAAGACTCAGTAGTTCTTGAGGTTTGCAAAAGGATCTGTATGTTGTAAGAAATGTCCGAACAAAATTGGGATCTAAGAAGAAAAAGGAAAAATATCTTATTAAACTCTATGATTCAAAATGATTAAAACTGTTATGTACATTTTCAAAATAGATCAAATAGTCAAGTTTAAAAGTTCCAAAATGTTTTGCCAAGTAGAAGGCTTTGGACTTGGTAATGCACTGCTAGCTTAGTGCCTCCTAAATTAGTGGTGATATTAAAACTTTACATCAACTTATTTCTTGCCCTCTGCACACTGACAAGATGATCTTAAACTCATCGGCCACAGGAATGAGCAAGAAAGAAAAGCAAAGGTAAAGCAGGGAACCAGGCTCCCCTCCCACCTGCTACCAGGATCTCAAAGTATCACCAGTTGGTTTATCCCCCTTATAAAGAGAAAGGC
This sequence comes from Homo sapiens, assembly GCF_000001405.40. Lineage (NCBI taxonomy): Eukaryota > Metazoa > Chordata > Mammalia > Primates > Hominidae > Homo > Homo sapiens. The sequence goes on from NC_000002.12 coordinate 39,015,216, forward strand.
CACAGCAATAACCCATTACTTTTCCTTACATCAAGATGAGTTTATCTAGGATGACTTATCTAGCTTTCTTTAAATCATGTTAACAGAGCATGCAACTGGAAATTGGAACTTATAAAGTAGTAGCTAAAGTTAAATACAGTTTTTAAATTATTTGCTAAAAATCTCACAACTACTTAAAGATGCTTACAAATACTTATAAGCTATTAAAACTATTAAATGTGATAGAATATGTTGGTTTGGTCCTATTCCAACCTTTAATTGCCTTTATTTCAAGTAGTCACAATGAGAGGTCAATCATAAATATAGGAGTCTCCAATCCCTTCCATGAAAGGACCTACTTTTCATTCACATCTCCATGAAGTAAAACAAGAGGCTGAGTGTGATCACTCCCCTAGGCCTGACCTACTCCCGTCTCTCCTTAACAGTATTATCCTAAGTTGTGGAGAAAGGCTGCTCTCACCAGCACAAGAGACTTGGGCTGTTGTCTTCTGCATAAAGAGGGGGAAAGACATCTCCCATAATAGGGGGGAGAAATCACTCACTTCTATAACTCAAATTTTATCAAGGCCCACATTTAATTGTAAATCTTTTTTTTTTTTTTTTTTTTTTTTAAGGAGGGGAAAGTTCAGTAACTTGAGTCTTTTATTGGGAGCATTCTTTTCCTATTTGTATTAGGGACTGGTAGACTCCAATAGTAAATTCATAGAGGGTAGCAGATGCCTTTATTTCTGTTAGGCTACATAATGTGGGTCAAAGTTTTATAAGAAGCACAATGTCTTTTATTAGCATAGGATTTAGCAAAAGCAGAATGTATTTGTTTGGAAAATTTTCATTTAGGCTGATTCTCACTAAGACCCATCCTAGGTTTAGCCTTAAAATAACATGTTTATAATAGCTTTTTCCCCAAAAAGCAAATTCATGGATTTATCACAAAACAGAAATATACTTCCAATCTATTGATATGTGGTCATCGAGATAATAACTGATTTAAATATCAGACAACCTTGAATTCAAAATACTATTTTAAGTTAAAGATTTACAGAATAAAAATACATTGGTTTTAAATGTCCCCTTCTCCGTTAGCTTTATACCTTCTGAGGCTAGAGTGGGTTACTGATAAAAGTAATTTAAATACATATAATCCTTTAATAATTTCCTCTCTGTTGGTATTTTATTGTTTGTCTTCAGTTACAGAGTTCCTCAAAAGTTAAAGACTAATGTCTCATCCAGAAGAAAAGATATTAAAACAGAAGGCTGTACAAGATTTTAATACAGAGATTTTTATCGGTTTCATCACAATCTTCCCTTTCAAGAATCTTCTTCCTGTTCTGCAAATCTATTTGTAAGGTGAGGCTACTCAAAACAGCATGTTTAGGAAGCAAAAGCAGTGGCCACTAGAGAGATGCTGAGTTGTCACTGCTGGAGAGAGCCCATACCCGCAGTACAGAGTACTCCAAGCATCCTTGACCTGTGTTCCAAATTTAGGGTGCCCTCTCCCTTTTTAAAGGAAAAGTTTATTTCAGTCTAAAAATCTAAAATCAACACTCACCTCCATATTTTCTCAAATGCCATGAAAATCAGGCTAAAAAGTTGAGGGACATCAAGAGGAATTTTAAGTTGAAAAACAGAATAAAAGCCAAGTTCTAAGTGACTTAAAGTATGTTTTAAGAAAACTGTGGCTATGTTTAAAGGCAAGCTATTTCTAAACAGACTTTTCATCTTCTTAAGCCAAAACTTCTGGCCATTTCAGTTCTTTAGTAATTGATTATAATGCTGGGAAAGCCATGATGTGTCTCAGTGCCACAGTCAAATGGGATCACACCAATTCTTGGTCTATTATGTAACATTCTCAAAGAACTTTGACATAACTTATTTCATATGATTTATGTGAGGTGAGCAGGGCTGGAAGAGATGTAACTAGACTTATCTAAGGTCATACTGTAGAGTGGCAGAGATGGACCCAGAACCTAGATCATGTGATTCCTGATTTAGTGCTCTTTTCTATCATATCGTATAACCTCCCTGGATTAAAGAAACCCTTAAAGTTTCCACAGCTGTGAGATCTAAATATAAAGAATTAAACCTTGAGTTATATAACCACTATAGAAATTTACATGAATGATTAACTCAGAATGTACCTGTACTGCTAATCTTGGTTAAAGGCACCAGAAAGTCACTGAAAAATTAGCAGTCTAATTGTGATTCTGTAACTCTTGATCAGCCTTATTCTAGATTTTAGGAATTAACAGCTGTACCTTCCTGTATGCTGTACAGGGTTTCTGCAGCTGGCAGTGAAATAAACACTCCCATAATCATGACTGTTGTATTAGGTTCTAGAGTTGTTTTTAGCTTGACTGGAATTAAGAGTAGTCTTGCCAAAAAGACAAAAGCAGCAGAAACTAAAAACAAACCAAGAAAATCTGGCAAAAATTTAAGTACTTTCAAAAAATATCTTAAAGGCTGCATATAGTCCCAGGCTTGTATTAATTTATATTCTGTTTTTAGTCTAAAGCAATGAAAAATTGCTAATGAATGAAAAACATACTAAGACGACAAAGTACTTATATTTGAAATTTTACACAGAAAAGCATAAAAATTCCAGACATTATTTTTATTTCTATTGGATTGGTTTCTCCATTTCAATGACTGTAACACACACCATGTCGCTAACCACTGGAGACGTTTATCTTACTGATGATGTAAAGAGCTAAGATAATATAAACAAATGCCCATCAATAAGGACAGGTTATATAATTCTGTAAGAAAACAGAATACCTAGTTCCATTGATTAGGCAATGGTAAAAGCTAAGTTTTATACTGCCGTTGTTAGTTGTGGAGCAGCAGTTATCTACCCATATTCTAAAACCATGTTGCAGAGAGAGATGAAAGGTAAACACATAAAAATACAAAAGCCAGTCTGGGTTTGGCTTTATAACATAAGCAAAAACATATAATCCTAGAAAAAAATTAAAAATAGCCCATTTTTATATTCTCCTTTCTGTTTATCACTTACTTGTGGAGATAATTCCACAAAATTCTTTCTCAAACATGATCTCCTGATGAATTTCAATATGGTCAACAACCAAAACTTTTTCTACAGTTTTTCCCCCTCATCATTAGAGATAACATTACTTTGCTACTTGACTCTCAAATCCCTACGCTAAGGTTTCCACCATGTTCACTAGTTGCTCTGCTTCCCCCAATCAAAACAGCTAGGTTATTTTCAAACAGAAATAACCAGGTTATTTCAAACAGAAGCTGTAGTTATTTTTTTCTGCTGACCTTCTGTCTCTGTTTTCCTCACTATAAAACCATTATTTGATATTTTACTGCACAATACTTCAAAATTTTAGGAACTCAGAGTATACCTACATTAGTGTTCAGAATATAGATTGGAAGTGATAATCCAATCCTTTTTCCTTATGTGCCTATTTTGATTGACATGACATTTTATTTGACAAGGTCAATGAAATTTGTATTTATTACATAAAAAAGTTATTTATGTAAAGACCACCCCACCCCCAACCACCACAGTAAAACACTGTTATAATCAGGATGTCTGTTCATGTGATAATTCTCCCTTTAATGCAGCCATTTAAAAAGCTACAAGAAACAATAAGCTCCTCAACAAGGATTTATAAACAATCAGTCTTGAATTCCTTAAAAAAGGAAACAGACGCTATGCTGACGCACAAACACTTTTTTAAAAAATCAGAGAGTATAAAAATAGAACAGCGCTGCCCTATAGATGAAAAATTGTTCAAAAGATTTAAATAAGTTAAAACACCGAAACTGAGCTTATATAGGACACAAACTCAAAATAAATCTAATTCAGGTTTTTGAGGCTTTTCCCTATGAAGGTATAAAATAGCAGTAAATACTTTAAAGAAAACGATCTTCTGGCTTAAGTTTTTTCAATACCATCTTCTGGAAAAGAGAAATTCCCAGGCAAGGGAAACACCTTTTCCCTCACTTCAATATGCAAAGCTTTTATTTCCCATAAAATGTCAATTCTGAATTATTATCCTTACTTCAGGGTCATCTCATTTTTCTAAAATAGACTACCAAACTGGACACAGCACCACCTACCATTTATCTACTCGTGTTGTTTTAGGTCTCATTAACTTGTACTTTGTTGCCTACAACAACTCTGTAACAGACGTGAAATTCCTACTCTCAACTTTTTATTTGTGCATATTGCTTTGTGCTTTCTTACTTAGGATAAGGAAATAGTCTCTTCATACCATTGCCAGATTTAGAATGATCCATCCAATTGGATAATTTTTCCCCTAGTTTTTGGGACAAACCCCAAAGTTCTGATATAGTCAGCAAATTATGATACATCCAGAAACACCGAATCTGAGAGACAAGCTATAAATTAGATTCCACCTAAGACCCTGTTGCAATCTTTTAAGCAAGTTAACCACTTTCTAATTCACCTAAATTTAAATTTTTCTTTCCACAAAGCTTTCCCTTTAGTGAGCAAACTACATCAATAGACTAATAATTGGGTTTTGTAAAAAAATAAAAATAATAATAATGACCAGTATCTATACATAAAAAATCTATGCATTCCAATGGAAGTGTATCTATAGTCAGAGCTTACCTATATCCTATTTCAAGAAAAAAAAATTACTGACAATATCTTCATAGTACGCACGTTTGCCCAGAAATGAACAAGCCATTTATATTATTGGCAGTTCAAACCAAGGAAGTAATTTATTTATTTTTTTTGAGCTCACATCTGTACCAGATCCTTTTACTTAATTATTAACACATATAATTAAAAAATTACAACATATTCTATTCATGAAAACAATCACCTTATATGAGTCAATGTAACATGGTAGAAAATATACTCTATTTAGAGTCAAGAAACCTAATTCTTGACTTGTTCTGGAATTAACTCGTAATAGAACTTCTGGGAAATCATATAATCTTCAGGGGCCTTGGGATTTGTCTACAAAGTGAAGGCTTGGGCATCTCTTCTAGCATTAGAGATCTATAGCTCCATTTTGTACATTACTGTTAAAATATTTGAGGGATAAAGTTGGCTGACACCACAGTGAAGTCTGAATAAAGTAAGGTTAAACCAGTTTCTCTTCTGTTTTTATGACAATGTCTAACCAAACTATAATAATCTAAAAGATGTCTGTAAGTCGTGTCTTATAGTATTCATTAAATTTTCTCATGTATTATATCCAATGTCTTTTATTACAATTCTATATAATAAAATAAAAATGTGTAAGTTAAATGTTAGCTTTGTTTCAGTGTAAGCCACAACCTGTACTGCATGTTCTCCAATAAACATACCTACTAACCAAATCACAAATCCCTTTTCTCTTTGGGGAGGCTGAAGAAAGATGAGAGGAGAAGAGCAGACCAGTAGTTCTTAAAAACAAATGGTAACTTGATCTGTTACCATTGTAGTGAGGCCTTAAAAGTCCATTTCAGTTTTACAAGTTCACAGATGGTCTATTAAAAACCATTCTATGTTGCCAGTAATAACTTCAGTAACAGACCTTACAGAATAGCCCAAATAAGCTAACAGTTAACACTAATGTGTGTGTACTGTAAACCACAACTCACGAAAGCTGCTTGTAGACTCCAGTTTCACCAGTAATATATTTATGACATAAATTAAAATATTCAGTTAAGCTTCAAAAGAAGACAGAAAAGAAAAATATCAAAAAACTTAGCCACAACACTGGCCTTTTATTTCTCAAAAAATTATTGGAAGGAATTTTTTAAAAACATTTTTTTTAAGTAAAATAATCTCATCAACTTAAATTTTCAATACACTTAACTTTGGCAAAGTTCTATAAATCTTGAAATTTAAGTGTTTTATATTCATTATAAGTAAAAGCACTCAAAATATTACTCTATACCAAAGCTAAAAATTGATATAGAAAAGAAGTATCAGACAGAAATAACTAATAAAACATCATTACAAAAGTACCATGTCCACGGACTTTACCTAACATTGTACACATTAAGGAAAGAAGACTTTCAGGACTACAAAACAAGTATCAGCTTGTTCCAGTTAATTTTGCTTTAAAGTGTCCTCATTTAAAAAAATAAATAAAAGGGACAGTTCCCCAGACAATAGTTGTAACCATTCTTCAGCTGCTTATTAATAATCATAAATTAACTTTGTGAAATATAGCAATTTAGAGAAAACTTCTATCACTCAATCAAGTCTTACAGAAACAATTAAAAATTTTGTAATTTGAAAATGTTTTCCTGCCCAAGTATCACTGACTTGTGACAGTAAACACTAGTAGTAAGTCTTCTTACAATGCTCTACAGGAAAAAAAAAAAAAAAAAAAAAATTAAAACTTCTTTCTTACAAACACAGAGAAAAATCTAAAGATTAATTTTACTCCAAATGAGTCTAGGAACCCCAAACAAAAGTACTTAGGATGAAATGATAAAGTTTAGAATGCTCATGTTATAAAAATTCTATGAGTCCTCTAAGGGGACTTAAAAACCAGGAAAATGTGGCAAGAAGGGCAATTTGAACTTTTATAGCCTTAAAAATCTCTTAAGCAGAAAAGAAGTATTTTGCAATCACAAATTTTGGGTAACTGAATAAAAAACATTTTTATAGTTGTAGTCTAGATCATAAAGAACATAGAAAAGGTTGGTGAAGCACAACTAAATCGGCAGGTCATACTACCGAAAAATTGTACCTCTCAAAAAACAGCTTTATATGGAAAAAAATGACAATAACCTATTTGTTTTTCATGTAAAATCTAGGCAGCCTATTTACATTTCCTATGATTTTTTAAATTTTTGGGTCAGTAAAATAAATACACTGACTATAGACATTTCTAGGTGAAAAATTATAATAAAACTGGAATCCTTGGCTTCCAGGATTGCAACATTTATTATTAAATAATCAGGTTTAGGAGTGGAAACTGAGAGAAAGCAATGCCGTGTATATTTGTACTACCAGCACAATTTTGTTATATTAAAATTTTTATTTATAATCTCAGAAATGGAAAAAGAAGAAAGAAAAAAAAGATAAAGGAGTAAAAAACTTTTTAGATCCCAATAATGATGATTTACTACTAACTTTAGTCTTGTTTCTGTCACTTTCTAACTGGATAAATTTAGCCAAGTGACCTCATTTTCTCATCTATAACTGATGGTAAGGTTAAAAAAAAGTATTTAAGTGTAGTAGAAAAAGTAAAACATTCCAAAGAAATATAAAGTGGGGTATTTTTAGTCAAAGAAAAGAGGTCTTTGGTTGTTAGTTTCTTTTCTATTTTAGGCACAATAAACCCATGCAGGAAAGAAAATCAGTTTGAAGCAGGAAAACAAAAGTGACAGGCAACTGCATAATTCTTACCTGCGTACATATGGTACGTAAGCCTCTCTATAAGTTTAATAACAGTTCCTGCTTTGATAATTGGAATTCCAGCCTTGGGCTGCATGTTCTCTTCAAATATAATATTCTCTTCAGAGTCAGGCTCTGCAAATCTATAAACATCAGCACTAGGCAGCCTCATCTGCTCCTCTTTCTCTTCCTGTAGCATTGTTACATCAAGCATCCTTTCCAGTGTACTCCGGTACTGTAAAGATATCAATGCTGCCATCCAATTGTTTTTCTCTTCAGCTGACTTGGCAGAAAATATAACACTATTTTCATCTTTTAAAATTATTTCAAAAGCATGCTTGTATTCATTGGTGTCATCTTTATCATTAATTTGTACCTTTCGCATAAAAAACTTTTCTTTAAGACGATATTCTGCATTGCTAGCACCAGGAAGTCTTGGCTGCCCATGATTTGATTTACAGCAAATCATTAAGCCATCAAAGAGAAATATGTGTCTCTCATGTTTGGCTCCTACACGTGTAAGAGTTCCTTCCATTATAAATTCATTACAACACTGTCCAATGTCTTTTCCCTCCCAACCATCAATATTCTTCTGAATCTCGTTCATCTTCTTGATTGCTAGTTGTTTCCCCTTCATTTGCTGACTATAAAACCGACATGCAGATTCACTGGAATAAAGAAAAAGACATTATTAGTACATAGATGACAGAAAACCTAGAGCTCATGTAAGTAAGGGAAAGTGTAAAAGTAGATTTTTACAAGTCTCACTGAGAAGGTATTCACTAATTCCCCAAATAGATTAGAATTACAAAATTACACAATTTTGAAAATTAAAGCAACCTAGAAATTTTTTTCAGTGTTCTAAAAAGCACAATGATTGCTGACAAAATTCTCCTTAAATGTAACTACAAAATGATTATTTCTATCTTGGCTACTAAATATTTAGAATGACAACTAATAAAAAGTAGCCCAATACAGTAAAAAAAAGTAATCTGAAAGATTAAAATAAATTATTTAGAAGAGTTTAAATGGACAAGACCCAAAGCTAAAAACATGTAGCACATATTATAATCAGGAAAGTGGAAGCAATGTTATCTGAATTAATGCCTCAAGTTATATAATCCCTAAAATAAAGGACACTAATAATTTTACTTTGACAGAATAACGATGCCAACATAAATCTACCCGATACATTTTACTCTGTCTCTCCTTCAGCTTACCAGTTGACTCTCAGGAGGTCTTGTCTGGGAGTATGCAAGGAAAATGCACAAATATGAAAGGTTTTTCAAACAATAACAATTCTCTTGGCTTTGATGTCACTTCCTCTAAAAGACCAGGCTTGTCACTAAAACTATTTTCTTCATTGTTTACTTGAGGAGGGAACTGGGATCCCTGAATTTACACCACAATATTCAGGGAAAAAAGGATATTTTAAAAAGTAAAAATATTCACCTCAGTCTTCGTTTTGCAAGACTTTTAGAACATATTTTTTCCATACCACTCTGAACATTAAGCAAAGCTGTTATTGCTTGTTTTAAACATTCCTTGTCTTCTTGATCTTCACTTTTTTCTTCTAACTGCTGTAAAGCCAAAATGACAAATCTGAACCAGTAGTACATTTTTGGATAAAATAATAATAAACTCATTTAAGGATAAAAATAACATTTATTCAACTGTCACAATAAAAATTTTAAATGTGTCATCAAATATTCTTTTTAAAAGTGTTTTTCTTGTGTGTTACTATTAATACACAACCAAGTTTTCTACATTAAAAGACCAAGATTAGCAGTGTTAAGATGGGTTATATCTTGTGACAGGCAGTAATATGTAGTTTTTCAAGGTGCATACCACTGAAAAGAAATGGGGAGCATAATCGATCTACTGAATTATCATAGAGTTAGCATACCACTAAGCATGTAGACGAGGTTTTTTTTTTTTTAAGTGTGGAATTTGGTCTTAGGTTTCTGACCCCTATATTATTGTTATATAATATTGAGATGATAAGGAAGATAAATATACAGAGAACGATGCAATATAGTAGAAGGAATCTCAATTACAAAATCTAGGATCAAATTTTGACTCTACTTCTGTGTGACCTTGGGGCAAGTCACTTGATCTCTGAGTCTTACTTTTCCCATTTGCCAAATAAGGCTTATAAAAAGCCTACCCTGCCTACTTTTAGGGGTTGTTATTAAAAACCAAAGCACTTTGTAAATGGTAACACACAATGTAAGTGTAAATGGTTTTCTTTGTAATTATACTACAGAATTAACATTAGTATAATAAAGAACTTTGTCCATATCCACATTAAGATTTTGAGTGAAGCTATAATATACATATTTATGAAACTGAAACTCAAGCATATTTTCTATTACTGGCAAATATCTGTGTCAGACAGAACGTCTCTACTTAACAAGAACTAAGTCATCAGTAACTAATTGTCAATACAGTAAGGTGGCTATGATTCAAGCAAGCACTTAACAGATGTATGAGTCACAATAATTCACTCATACATCTTAAACCTGTTCCTGGTTACCAAAAGGAAAAGTTAAGAAATCACATATTGGCTGGCTGCAATGGCCTATGCCTATAATCTCAGCACTTTGGGAGGCCCAGGTGGGAGGATCGCTTAAGCCTACGAGTTTGAGATACCGTCTATTAAAATAAAATAAAATAACATTTTATCAATAGAGTTTTCATCCAACAATTTAGGAATACCTACTCTCTACCATGAATGAAAAGACTTGAGATACACAATCATGAAATATTCAAAGTGATTTATAAAGAAGTTTATTTTTCTTTTTTTTTTTTAGATGGAGTCTTGCTCTGTACCCCAGGCTAGGGTGCAGCGGTGCAATCTCAGCTCACTGCAACCTCTGCCTCCCAGCTTCAAGTAGTTCTCCTGCCTCAGCCTCCCGAGTAGCTGCGATTACGGGTGTCTGTCACCACACCTGACTGATTTTTTTTTTTTTTTTTACTTCTAGTAGAGACAAGTTTTCACCATGTTAGCCAGGCTGGTCTCAAACTCCTGACCTCAAGTGATCTGCCTGCTTCGGCCTCCCAAAGTGCTGGGATTACAGGCGTAAGCCACCATGCCTGGCTAGAAGTTTACTTTTCAATTAGCTTAAGTATTCATTAGTACATTAGTACTTTAAGGATTTTGTGTTTTTCACAGGTATTCCTTAAAGGTCAACAACACATTCCTTTCTGCTTCAATTGATAAAAATCAGTTACATGCATGCGCATGCACATACCACATGCACTGATGACCTGTGAAAAGTAAACAGATTTCTTACTTATATTCTAAACCATTTTTATTAAAATTTACTTAAAATACTTTAATGGTCAAATATTCTAGAAGTAATGAATACCATATTGTAATGTTTAATACTTAGCTTTTATTATCCAGATTTCTTATATTCATTATTAAAAACTCACCATACTTTCTACTAGAGGCATAATCTACATTTTTAGGAAAATTTTCAGTCTTAACTGTGTTAAGTAAAAGAAAAATTTAGGCTGGGCACGGTGGTTCATGCCTGTAATCCCAGCACTTTGGGAGGCTGAGGCGGGGGGATCACGAGGTCAGGAGTTTGAGACCAGCCTGGCCAATATGGTAAAACCCCGTCTCTACTAAAAATACAAAAATTAGCTGGGTGTGGTGGCACACGCCTGTAGTCCCAGCTACTCGGGAGGCTGAGGCAGAAGAATCGCCTGAACTCAGGGGTCAGAGGTTGCAGTGAGCCGTGATCGTGCCACTGCACTCCAGCCTGGGCAACAGAGTGAGACTCCGTCTCAAAAAAAAAAAAAAAAAAAACAGAAAAATTTATTCCTAACAATTCTCAACATAAAAAGGGTAACGAAAGATATTTTCCAAAGGATAAGAGACTTTAAAAGTGTACATATTAATACAAAAATCAAATATCTTTTATTCATAATATTGTTCTTCAATATGGCCAGCTAGATTAAAGAAAGCCAATGGCCAGGGTTCATAAAGAAAGATACTAGGTTTTTACTTAACAGATATTACTAGTAGGCTGAAGGCTGGAATCCAGGTAATCTCTCAAAGTACCTTCCATCCCTATCATTTGAAACTATTTGCCTCTCACATGGCAGAATTCTGGGAGACAAATAAAATGTTACCATTAAACATTATCAAGTTTAGTCTTTAAAGCAGCAGATAATCTAACATTGAAAGCTATATACCAGGGGTATCCAATATTTTGGCTTCCCTGGGCCAAACTGGAAGAATTATTATCTTGGGCCACACATAAAATATACTAACACTAACGAGAGCTGATGAGCTTTTTAAAAATTGCAAAAAAATCTCATAATGTTTTAAGAAAGTTTACAAATTTGTGTTGGGCCGGGGGTTAGACAAGCTTGCTGTATACCTTAAGGCAAATTTAATGAAAGCACCACTGAACGATGAATTAGTTCACTGAGTTGATTGAGAATTTAATCACTCAAAAGCAAAGCCCAGAGAAATTCAAGTCAGTAAGATACAAGGCAATTTTTCGGTCTTAAATAACTAACAGGTAGCAGAATATTGAGCATTTGATATTTTGTCCTGGATACATTTTTTATATTTTTAATTCAGGAAAACATACCTAATGGTAGACAAAATATATAATTCTCATACACATAAAAATATTTATAAAAGAAAAAATCCACTTGGACATCCTTTGATTTTCTATCCTAAAAATGTTTCAAGTTTTGGAATCATTTATCTACTATTTAACTGTAGCATTTTACATACAGAATATTCTGGTATCTCAAAAATGTTAATATTTTAAAAGCCACAAACCCAAAGTACATTTCAAACCCATAAAACTTTCCTGATGAAATACTTTTAAAATGTCATTTTTACCTTTATAGCATTAGGCAAGCCTCTAAAATAAATTTCAGTGTAATAAATGACCTTTCTTCTACCACTTTTTGCTTCTTTTACTTAACATAGCTAATTTAAACTTGGCACTGGTGCAATATAATTCAAGCTAACTACCATCAAAAGGGTGGCTTATTGTGGCTACAGAGACAAAGCAGTGGCAATTAGTATGTAAATGAGACTCAACAAAGCAGCATCCTCTTGTTACCAGTGATATTCAATACCATGCTTTTCATGAGTGCCTATTTAATAATAATGTGCAATAGTAACAATTACATTTGTACAAAGGCAGTTTATTTGAATAGTTTTAAAAAAAGTACTAAATCCTGAGATTATATTACCATATGAGATTGTACTTAAACTCATCTAGGGAATCATATTATTATTTTTTTTTTTTTTTTGAGATGGAGTCTTGTTCTGTCTCCCAGGCTGGAGTGCAGTGGCACAATCTTAGCTCACTGCAACCTCCACACCTCCCAGGTTCAAGCGATTCTCCTACCTCAGCCTCCAGAGTAGCTGGGATTACAGCTGCGTGTTACCACACCCAGAAAATTTTTGTATTTTTAGTAGAGACAGGGTTTTGCCATGTTGGCCAGGCTGGTCTCGAACTCCTTGGCCTCCCAAAGTACTGGGATTACAGGCATGAGCCACTGTGCCCAGCCAGGAATCATATTTTAAAGCAGAATGAAAACTCATATGCTCTATTGAGATGATAAAATTTAACTTTTCACAAGAAAGAAACCACTTTTACCAGTGACGAATTTTTTTGGTCCCTTAGAAATAAGTAAAGAGGCAATAGTCAATATGGTGTGTTCCATATGCAAAGGAAACCCTGGGAGATAAATGGGATTAAATGTAAGGAGCTGTCAAAAGAAAAAGCTACAATGAATATAAAGAATATAGCAGTATTCAGGAGACTAAAACTCAAGAGTGTTTGATACATAAAAAATAAATTGTTGTACCCAGTGCATTTTATATGCTCAATTCACTCACAATCATATAATGGCTTCCCTTTGATTAAAAAAAGGAATGCTTGAATTCGTTTTTATTCCTTGGAATTAATTTCCTCCAACATGGCATTGTATACAACGAAGGAACTACCATTTACTTGAAGGCACTAACAGGCAGGTACTAGATCCACAATTCTTGACTTTCAGTCCCGTGACTTTTCACTATAATAGGTACCCAAATAACTGAAATGACTTTGAAAAACCTCAATATTCACTAAATAAAACCTATTCCATAGAACAGGTAAATTGCAATGCACAAGAATGACAAAGTATACACCCAAGAAATATACATTGTAATTGTCTAACATTTGGGATATAAAAATAAAGATCTCCATTTATTTTAAATATTATATACATAGAGCTCATCACAACGTAACAGAACACAAGCAAAGATTAGGTTCACATTTCGATTTTGGAATGTTATTTGCATACCGTTTGATGAGACACCACAGTGGATTACAACATAGAAAATGCAAAGAGTAACACTTGATTTACTAGCCCTCTTAGCAAATGTATGAAATATTATCCAAATTATTCCAGAACTAATTAACTAACTGCTGTGTAATTCAAGGCTTTTGCTCCTGTTTGCCATGACATCATTTTAAACATTCCACTAAAAGCTGAGGGAAAGAAAGGTCATGACATTCAAATAAATTATTATTTTATGGTACCAGCACACCTAAAAGGTATGGGTGGAGAAGATGAAATTCTTAATTAAAACGAAATTTCAATTCCAAACATTAAACAGGCAATCAACCCTAAAAAATGTTACGATATGTCATTTATGAAAACATATCTTTTAAAACCACCTCTCTGTTCTAATCAGAGAAAACATCACTAACTACAAATGTACCTCACAGCAGTCAAGTTTATTTAAAATTAAAAATTGGCCAGGTATAGTGGCTCACACCTGTAATCCCAGCATTTTGGGAGGCTGAGGTGGGCAGATCACTTGAGTCCAGGAGTTCAAGACTAGCCTGGACAACATAGCCAGATGCCGTCTCTACCAGAAAATAAAATTAGCCAGGCATGGTGGCGCACAACCAGAGTCCCAGCTACTCAGGAGGCTGAGGTAGGTGGATTAATTGAGCCTGGGAGGTTGAGGATGCAGTGAGCAGTGACTGTACCACTGCACTCCAGCCTGGGTGACAGAGTGAGACCCTGTCTCAAAAACAAAACAAAACAAAAAACAAAACCCCAAACACCAAAACCAAAAAATTAAATTAAAAATTGGAGTAATACAATAGTTAGCTGTTTGTTTACAATGGCTCCTGTGGTACGCTATCCTATGTTTAACTTTAGACATTCAACATTTGTGGTCAGCTCCAATACCATGTAGCTTTGAGCCGATGGTTTCTAGATAAGAATTTCTGAATTTAGAAAGCTGGTTCAAGGGAATGTACACTAGAGAGAACCTCCATTGATTCTCCACCAGACTCGGTGGCTTACGCCTATAATCCCTGTACTTTGGGAGGTCTAGGTGGGAGAAGCCCTTGAGCCCAGAAGTTTGAGACCACCCTGGGCAACAGAGCGACGTCTCATCTCTACAAATAAAAATTTTAAAAAATTAGCCAGGCGTGGTGGCATGTGCCTACGGTCCTAGCTACTTGTGAGGCTGAGGAATCACTTGAGCCCAGGTGGTCGAGGTTACAGTGAGCTGTGATAGCACCACTGCAATCCAGCCTGGGTGACAGAACAAGACTCCATCTCAATAAATAAATAAATAAAAATAAAAAATATAAGATCAGGATGAAATGATTAATTGGCCTAACACAAAAAAAGAAAACAGAAAAAAAAAAAAAAAAGCGAAAGAGGGGGAAAGAAAAGGCTGGGTGCATTGGCTCATGCCATTAACCCCAGCACTTTCGGAGGCCAATGTGGGAAGATCCCTTGAGCCCAGGAGTTTGAGATCAGCCTGGGCAACAAAATGGGACCTTGTCTCTACAAAAAAATAATTTAAAAAAATTAGTTGGGCATGGTAGTGCATGCCTGTAGTCTCAGTTACTTGGGAGGCTGAGATGAGAAGATTGTTTGAGCCCATGAGTTCCAGACTGTAGCAAGCTATGATCATACCACTGCGCTCCAGCCTGGGTGACAGAGCGAGACCTATCTCTAAAAAAGAGGGATGGGGGTGTTAGGGGGAAGCCAGCGTATAAAGCCAATGTAGCCAGTGTATATGCTGGAGAATCAGAACAACAAAAATTTAATTTTTATAGTGTACCAAAAACTTATTGTTAAGGGTTGAATTGTGTCCCCCATGAAAGATGTATTCAAGTCCTAACCCCTGGTACCTATGAATGTGATCTTCTTTGGAAATAGGATCTTGGCAGATGTAATCAAGTTGAGATGAGATCATCTTGGATTAGGGTGAGCCCTAAATCCACTGACTTGGTGTCTTTGTAAGAGAAAGGAAAGCGAGATTTGGATGCAGACACATAGAGAAGAACGTGAAGCTGTGAAGAAGCTGATGTGCAGATGGAGGCAAAGACGGGAGTGATGGCATCTATAAGCCAAGGACCACCAAGAATCGCTGGGGTCCACCAGAAGCTAGGCAGAGGCAGCAGGGATTCTTCCTTAGAGCCTTTAGAGAAAGTGTGGCCCTGCCCACACCCTGATTTCAGATTCCTCACCTCCAGAACTGTGAAAGAATAAATTTCTGTTGTTTATAAGCCTCTGACTTCGTGGTACTTTGCTGTGGCAGCCTTAGGAAACCAAATACACTCATGTACACACAACAACATAGACTTCAACCTGAATTTTAAAATAGAGGGAAACTTACTTTCCCCTAGGTTACAAGGACCCAGCATACAAGAAAAAGAATAGGCAATTCTCTAGGGAATTCAAAGTCATCCTGGATGGTTTTTTCTAAGGTTTGTTTGGGTGCATCTTGGGGAGAGGGAGATAAAATCCCATGTATAAGGAACAAAGAAAAAGTTAATACCTTTGTGGAACCAAACATGTACTGATTTGCTAACCTTTAAAATATTGGTCAGGCCAGGTGTGGGGGCTCGCACCTATAATCCCAGCACTTTGGGAGGCCGAGGTGGGCAGATCACTTGAGGTCAGGAGTTCGTGACCAGCCTGGCCAACATGGCAAAACCCTTTGTCTACTAAAAATACAAAAATTAGCCAGGCGTAGTGGCGGGCGTCTGTAATTCCAGCTACTTGGGAAGCAGGAGAATCACTTCAGACCGCAAGGCAGAGTTTGCAGTGAGCCAAGATCTTGCCACTGCACTCAAGCCTGGGCGACAGAGTGAGACTCTGTCTCAAAATAAAATAAAAATAAAATAAAATACTGGTCAATATATTTACTTAGCCCCAAGAAAGAAATCTAAATTTGTTTAATGAAGTAAATTAAACTTCACATACAAAAATCACATTATTGAAGCAATATGGTTTTCAAAAGGGCACAAAGGAAGTTTTTTTACTTCATAAAAAAATTAACTTTAACTTTTCAAGTTAAAGAGTGAAGACTTGACTGCTATCTTTAACTGCTGAAGGAAAGAGTATTTTTTCAGTGTCAGCAGCATTAAAGTCACACTATTTTTAATTTATTTTTTAATCAACAAGTAAAAATCATATGTTTATGGTATATAATAGGATCTTTTGATAGATGTATATAATCTGGAATGGCTACATCAAGCTACTTAAAACATGTGCATTAACACATACTTTTTTTCGTGGTGAGAACACAATATCTACTTTCTTAGCAGTTTTCAAATATGCAATGTATTGTTATTAACTGTAGTTACCATGATGTACGATAGATCTCTTGAATTTACACCTCCTAACTGAAATTTTGTGTCATTTGACCAGTATCTCCCTACTCCCCTACCCTCCAGCCTCTGGTAACCACCATTTTATTGTTTCTTTGTGTTCAACAGTCTTATACTATTAATAGCTAAACTTATCTTTTGACTTTGTAAAGTTTAAGGCATTCTACCTAAGTTTCCAAAATAAAGGTAATTATATAAAATTTACAGTTAAACTTTCTTTAAAATATAAGACATAAGAATTTAAAGGAAAATGTATATATATTTTTTGCCACTCATTTTTTAACAAGCATTTATTGAAAGCCTAAATGCCAGACACTGTAATAGGTATGAGAATTCAAAGATAATAGGGCTCCATTCTTCACAGAGCAAACAGTTGAATGATAAGGCAGACAATAAAAATGGAACAAGTTCTCTAAAGAGATGTATGTAAAGAAAGGAAGGAACTCACTCTGGGCATGATGACTCACACCTGAAATCCTAGCACTTTTGGGAGGCTGAGGTGGGCGGATCACCTGAGGTCAAGAGTTCGAGACCAGCCTGGCCTACATGGTGAAACCCTGTCTCTACTAAAAATACAAAATTAGTCGGCTGTGGTGGCACACACCTTTAATTAATCCCAGCTGCTTGGGAAGCTGAGGCAGGAGAATCGCTCGAAGCTGGGAGGCAGAGGTTGCAGTGAGCTGAGATCATGCCACTGCACTCCAGCCTGGAGAGGGTAGAAGAGGAATTCCAGATAAATGGGAAAAAAGAACAAGCGAAGAGGCAGTAATATGAACCGGGATACCCATGGAACCCTGAACACATTTGGCATATCCAGGGCTGCTAGGAAATTCTTTTTCTTCTTTTTTTTTTTTTCGAGATGGAGTTTTGCTCTTTTTGCCCAGGCTGAAGTGCAATGGCGTGATCTTGGCTCACTGCAACCTTCGCCTCCCAGGTTCAGGTGATTCTCCTGCCTCAGCTTCCTGAGTATCTGGGATTATAGGTGTGCAGAAAAAAAAAAAAAAAAAGTGATGAGAGTCTTGTGGACTAATTAGACAAAATTTCCTGCCCAATATACTGCTAACTTTGCAATATAACTTAGGCAGTAATACGAACAAGGGATACACATGCTTAAATCAGTAGAAATCTTAAATTGCTAAATGATGCACTTATTAAAATTCTATTAATGTAAGTTATAATTTTAGAAATTTTAATTGCCTACACTTGAAGGAGTAAAAATTTCTTTTATATTATTAAGATGATTGGGTTTTATAGCCTTCTGAACTTTCATCAAAGCTTCTTGGGTTCATTTGGAGGGGAAGGTTGTTTTGTTTTGTATTTTTGAGACAGGGGCTTGCTCTGTTTCTCAGGCTGGAGTACAGAGGCGTGGTCATGGCTCACTGCAGCCTCGACCTCCTGAGCTCAAGTGTTCCTCCTGCCCAGCCTTTTGAGTAGCTGGAACCACAGGTGTGCACCACCATTCCTGGCTAATTTTATTTCTATTTTTGTAGAGACAGGGTCTTGCCATGTTGCCCAAGCTGGTCTTGAACACCTGGGCTCAAGCAATCCTCCTGTCTTAGCCTCCCAAAGTGCTGGAACTACAGGCGTGTGCCAACACACCTGGCATTCTTGTTTTTATTTATAAACTGATAACGGCCTTAAGATTTTATATGGCCTTTGAATCTTTCTGAATTTCATTACAGGCTCAGGTTAAAAAAAAAAAAATCCCGTTATTAGAGAAACCATTACAAAGAAAAATTCTATATAACAAAACAGTGTGTAAATGTCCCATTATAACTATAGTTAGTAATAATGAATTCTTTCTAAAGATTTTACATACTAAATGCTTCCTCTCTTGATTATCCTCTTAAGATACTCATCCTGTATTTCCAAAGACCTTAAATGGTATGCTATTGCTAAGAGCTTTGTCATTTCTGCCTAGTGATTAAAAATACCTTTTAACTCCCTTAGTCCTTTCTCAATGTAAACATTCCTAATTGAGAAATCAAACTGAATTCCAAATGACTACTATGCAGTGCAGAGACCTGAGAAAATGTAAGGATGAGAGTTCCTCCAGTTTACTGTTAATAAATTCACAGACCTTCTATTCATTCATTGATTCATTACAGAGAGCCCATTTTATCATCTGCAAACTATAAATATGATTTCCAGTAATATATTCTCTGTGAAAGAATCATGATACTAAACAGAAGTTTTCTTTGATGAAACAAATACTCATTTGAAAGCTAAAGAAATAATAACGCTATTAATGCATGTCTTCTTTTGTCTTTACAAGGCTAGTCCATTAAAGGTAGAGAGAATATCACTTTGAGCTACACTATTGAATTATAATTTATACAGACTTTTATTTAATTTCAGTATATAACAGGAAAAGAAAAAAGAGACAACCCCTTTCCTTTCAGTCAGTGCTTAGTATTTTGAACTGTGATCAAATGGGCAATTTTTACTGAGATTACAGAAATTTATTGTTTCTAAAGTAATGATAAACAGTTTAATACAGATAGTTGCAAACTTGAGCTATGAAAGTCAGGTAAACTAACCTTCCCCATTACTTTGGCCTTATCCTCACACTGGCTCCCTTATCCTCACACTGAGTCCCTGAGTCTGCTGAGGTCCCCAAATGGAAACTGCGATGCATAAATCCAAGGTTGTTTTCAAAGAATCAGCCATGTAAACAAAAAGTAAAGGTACAAGACAAAAATATCTGACAATTGCTTTAACATTCACTAAAAAACCAAAAATAAAAAAAAGAAAAAACAAAAAACAAAAAAATTAAAAAACAACAAAAATAAAATTCACTACTAAGACGAGAAAATATGCTACTCTTTTGCAGACTGATTTCCATTTGCTTCTTGACTGGAAAAAGAAAACAGAAACACACTAATGTGCAGGGTACTCACACAATAATTTACAAATGAAGTAGCAAAAAAAAAAATTCACACTTGAATATGTTACAAATAACAATAAAGAGTTTTCTTACCTTCAAAAGTTCAAAGTAATGGAGACAGTGGTAAACAGGGGCCAGAAGCAGCCTGGGTAAAACATATTGAACAGCTTCTTTGAAACCTTCGCCTATTGACTGGAAAAAAAAGTGATTTAATTTTTTTTTTAAGTTTACTTTTCAGACATTGTACATCTTCATTTAAAAATTACTATACCTGCAAATAAAGTGCTGCCCCAGGCTTTGATAACTGACTAAGGAAACGATCATGAAAACCAGGTCGCAAAATATCTCGAGCATACGATTCATATGGATCAAATGCCAGTTCCTTAGAAAATAAAGAAGGTAAAACATAAATAATTTACCATTACAAACACAGAAAGATTTAATTATGGGGCACGACTATGCGAGCACAATTATGTATGTCTTTGAAAGTCTCTAAGCAAAAATTATATGACTACTAATTATAATTTTAATAGAAGAGATCCCAATATTCTCAAGTAAGAGAGTAAATCAGTTCTTTCTGATGAATAATAAAATCCTTATATGTTATAACAGCTCTCATTAAAGGTTTCCAGTAGAGTATTATCAACAAACATGGCCATAAGAGTGGGCAGACTTTTGGTTCTAGAAAACAAATCTTAACTTGACAACAACAAAGAATATAGATATGTACAACTAGGTAAGGTATAAACATTTAGAATACTGAAGCCAGACATGTTTTTATAGTTCTCAGTGGTGGACATGTACTTTCGTATTCTATAAACCAGAAGTAACAGTTCATGTCATCTAAAATTCATTGTGATAATTTCACAAAACAATTAAACAAAATCCGAACTGCCCAAAATTTTGCCATCATTAATATCACCAATCAATAAACTAAATTCTAATGGCTCAGTTAAAAAGACCAGAATCTACTGGTTTTGAAGATTTCTGGGGAAAAAGAGAGTAGGTATCTTGATTTTAGCAGGAGAAATAGAGTCGCTACTCTTCTATCTTGTATAAAACTATTATGAAAATGGTGCTCTAGATTCTAGCATGAGCTCATTTCCATAAAGGGTAATTCTAGCAAGAGGAATAGGACATCTAGTGGAGGAGCATAGTAGAAAAAGGCAGAAGGGAATGAAACAACGAAAGGTTGTTATGAATTAAATCACCCTTAATGTTATTTTTCAGATTGCTTTTTTTTTGAAACAGGATCTTGGTCTTACTCTGTCACCCAGGCTAGAGTGCCGTAGTGCAATCTTGGCTCACTACAACCTCTGCCCCCTGGGCTCAAACAATCCTCCCACCTCAGTCTCCTGAGTATCTGGGACCACAGGCGCACACCACCGCGCCTGGTTACATTTTTTGTGTATTTTGTAGGGACAGGGTTTCTGCCATGTTGACCACCCTGGTCGTTTTTTGTTTTTTCTTTTTGGGACGGAGTCTCCCTCTGTCGGCCAGGCTGGAGTGCAGTGGCGCGATCTCGGCTCACTGCAAGCTCCGCCTCCCAAGTTCACGCCATTCTCCTGCCTCAGCCTCCCGAGTAGCTGGGATTACAGGCATCCGCCACCACGCCCGGCTATTTTTTTTTGTATTTTTAGTAGAGACAGGGTTTCACCGTGTAAGCCAGGATGGTCTCTATCTCCTGACCTCGTGATCCGCCCGCCTCGGCCTCCCAAAGTGCTAGGATTACAGGTGTGAGCCACCGCGCCCGGCCTGACCAGGCTGGTCTTGATCTGCTGGACTCAAGTGATCCTCCTGCCTCAGCCTCCCAAAGTGCTGGGATTACAGGTGTGAGCCACTGCGCCTGGCCTCAGATTGCTTTTTAAGAAATGATTGAACAGTAATACCACCAGATCAGAAATCAGAAGACGTGAGTTCTGGTTGTTGCATTTTGCAATATGGCATGTAAACTTCCAAGTCATACTGGATTCCTTGAGCTGGCTCTTAGTTGACTTCCCAATTTTTAACTCCTTCAACTTTCTTCTCAACTAAAAATTGCTATCATAATATAACACCAGAAATTGGAGTCTATTACGTTTTACAGAAATTGATAGTAAAGTTTCAAAAACAACAAGAGGATGGAGTCAGGCATGAATACAGTGGACGGAAGAGAAGACTAAAAATGTGAAGAGATGCTTATAGCTTAGGTCTCTTCCAATTCAGAAATGATCATATGCCAAATATCATAATGTATACATTCATCTATAAGTTGCCTTTTATACTCAAAAATTTTTCAAGATTCATCTATTTTGATTCATACAGTTCCTTTCAGTTTATTTTAAAACTATAATATTCTACTGTATGAATATATCAGTTTTCTCTAATCCATTCTCCACTGATAGATAACTGTTTCTTGTTTTTCACAATTATAAAAAAAAATTCTGTAATTTGCACTTGGTATGCAGGTACACTTCACTTTATGGTGCTTCACTTTATTGTGCTTTGCATATATTGCCTTTTTTTTTTTTAACAAGTTGAAGATTTGTGGCAACCCTGTGTGAAGCAAGTCTTTTGGCCCCATTTTTCCAACAGCATGTGCTAATTTTGTCTCTGTGTCGAAATATTTCAAACTTCTTCACCATTACTATTGAGCCAGTGTTCACTTACCATTCTGAAAATCCTAGGGCCCTTAAGGATTGTGCTAAATCTACTCTGGGTGTGCCCTATAAATGCAACAGCAAAGCCTGGATGATAGTACAACTGTTTACAACATGGTTTACTGAATACTTTAAGCCCACTATTGAGACCAACAGCTCAGAAAAAAAAAAATTTCTTTCAAAATATTGACATTGCACCTAGACACCTAAGAGCTCTGATGGAGATATACAAGGAGATTAATGTTGTTTTCAAGTCTCTTAACACAACATCCATTCTGCAGCCCATGGATCAAGGAATAATTTTGACCTTCAAGTTTTATTATTTCACAAATATGTTCTGTAAGGCTGTAACTGACATAGATAGTGATTCCTCTGCTGCAGCTGGATAAAATCAACTGAAAACCCTCTGGAAAGGATTCACCATTCTAGATGCCAGTAAGAACATTTGTTATTTATGGGAAAGGTCAAAATATCCACATTAACAGGAGTTTGGAAGAAGTTGATTCCAACTCTCAGGGATGGCTTTGAAAAGTTCAAGACTTTAGTTGGAGGAAGTAACTGCAGATGTGGTGGAAATAGAAAGAGAAATAGGATTAGAAGTGGAGCCTGATGATGTGACTTGAATTGCTGCAAGTTTATGATAAAACTTGAATGGAGAATTTGCTTCTTATGGATGAGCAAAGAAAGTGGTTTCTTGGCTGGGCGCGGTGGCTCACGCCTGTAATCCCAGCACTTTGGGAGGCCAAGGCAGGCAGATCACGAGATCAAGAGATCGAGACCATCCTGGCCAACATGGTGAAACCCTCTCTCTACTAAAAATACAAAAATTAGCTGGGCATGGTGGCACACACCTGTAGTCCTAGCTACTCGGGAGGCTGAGGCAGGAGAATCGCTAGAACCTGGGAGGCAGAGGTTGCAGTGAGCCGAGATCACACCACTGCACTCCAGCCTGGCAACAAAATGAGACTCCGTCTCAAAAAAAAAAAAAAAAGTCGTTTCTTGAGATGGAACCTACTCCTGGTGAAAATACTATGAACATTTTTATGACAACAAAGGACTTAGAATATTACATCAACTTAGTTGATAAAACGGTGGCAGAGTTTGAGAGGATTGACTCCAATACTGAAAGAATTTCTACTGTGGGTAAAGTGCTATCAAACAACATCACCAGCTACACAGAAATCTTTCATAAAAGAAAGAGCGAACAGTTGTGTCAAACCCCATTGTTGCTTATTATTTAAACTGCCAGTCACCCCAACCTTCAGCAGCCATCAACATCAAGGCAAGACCCTTCACCAGCAAAAAGATTATGACTCACTGAAGGCTGAGAGGATTATTAGCATTTTCTTAGCTGTATTTCTAAATCTAGGTATATATGTTGTTTTAGACATAATGCTACTGCATGCTTACTAGACCACAGGATAGTGTAAACATAACTTTTATATGCACTGTAAGCCAAAAAAATAGTGACTTGCTTTATTGTGACATTCACTTTATTGCAGTAGTCTGAAACCTAAGCCACGATATCTCTGAGGTATGCCTGTATAACTTAGTGTGCACATATGCATGAATATTTTTTAGAGCATGTAAACTAGAAGGGGAAGTTGCTTTCCAAAGTGATTATATCGATTTATATACTTAGCAGCAGTGATTTTTCCCAGTTGTCCACTTCCTTGTCAACATTTGATACTATCAGACTTAAAATTTGTTAGCCTGATGTTGTGAGACTATGCCAGTGTTATTTTTATATGTATTTCCCTGATTACTAGTAAGGTTGAGAATCTACTTATATGGTTGTGCGCCATTTATTTGTATCTTCTCTTCTGAGAATTGTTTATTAATAGCTTTTGACCATTTTTATTAGCTTGACTTTACATTTTAATTTATAGTTTTTAGAAAAGCTTTATTGAGATAAAATTCTAATACATTCACTTCACCCATTTAATGGGCAAAATGAGATTATTTTTAGTTTAACAGAATTGTGCAACTACCATCATAATCTATTTTGGAATATTTTTATCACCCCCTCAAAGAAATCACACACTCTTCAGCTATTACCTCCCAATCCCCTAAACCCCTCAGCCCTAGGCAACCATAAATCTACTTTTTGTCTCCATGGATTTGCCTATTCTGGATATTACATGTAAATGGAATCATACAATATGTAGTCTTTTGTGACTGGCTTCTTGTGTTCAGCATAACATTTTCAAAGTTCATCCATGTTGTAGCATGTTTCAACACCCCCTTTTATTTTTTTATTTTTTATTTTTTTGAGATGGAGTCTTGCTCTGTCGCCCAGGCTGGAGTGCAGTGGCGTGACCTCGGCTCACTGCAAGCTCCGCCTCCCAGGTTCACACCATTCTCCTGCCTCAGCCTCCCGAGTAGCTGGGACTACAAGCGCCCGCCACTACACCCGGCTAATTTTTTTTTTTGTATTTTTTAGTAGAGATGGCGTTTCACCGTGTTAGCCAGGATGGTCTCGATCTCCTGACCTTGTGATCCGCCCGCCTTGGCCTCTCAAAGTGCTGGGATTACAGGCATGAGCCACTGTGCCCGGCCTAATTTTTTTTATATTGTGGTAAAATATACACATGAAAATTTCCATTTTAGCCATTTTTACGTGTACAATTAAGTGGCATTAATAGACAATGTGCAACGGTCCATTTCCAGATCTGAACTATTCTATCATCCCAAACTGAAACTCTGTATCCATTAAACAGTAACTGATCATTGCCTCTTCCCCGTAACCCTTGGTAACTTCTATTTTCTGTCTCTATGAATTTGACTACTCCAGTTACCTCATATTAGTGGAAACATACAATATTGTCCTTTTGTGTTTGGCTTATTTTATTAGCATAACGTTTCCAAGGTTCATCCATGTTGTAGCATGTATTGGAATTTTATCCATTTTTAAGCTGAATTATATTCCACTGTATATTCTACTGTAATGTATTTACCATATACATTTAATTTAACCATTCATCTGTTGATGGACATGTGAGTTGTTCCCAGCTTTTGGCTATTGTGAATAATGCTGCTATAAATGTTGGCATACAAGTATAGGATTGAATCTCTGCTTTTTGTTCTTTTGGGTATATACCTAGGAGTGAAATTTCTGGATCATATGGTAATTCTGTTTAACTTTTTGAGAAACCAGCAAACTGTCTGCCAAGCAGTTGCTCTGTTTTATATTTCTATCAGCAAAATACGAGGGTCTCAAATTCTCCACATCTTCATGAACACTTGTTACTTTCCCTTTATTTAAATTTTAGCCATCTTAGTAGATGTGAAGTGGTACTGCATAATGTTTTTTCTTTTAGAGATGGAGTCTAACCTTGTCACCCAGGCTGGAGTGCAATCATGTGATTATGGCTCACTGCAGCCTCAACCTCCTGGGCTCAAGCAATCCTCCCACCTCAGCCCCCGAGTAGCTGAGACCACAGGTGCACACCACCATCCTGGGCAAATTTTCTAATTTTTGTAAAGACAGGGTCTCACTATGTTGCTCAGGCTTCATAGAGGTTTTGATTTGCATTTCTCTAATTTCTAATGATGTTGAGCATTTTTTAATGTACCATGTTGGCCATTTATATATCTTCATTGGAGAAATATCTATTCAAATCCTTTGCCCATTTTTAAATTGGGTTATCTTTTTGTTATATACACTGAATACTACTCTTATCAGAAATATCATTTGCAAATATTTTTTCCCTTTCTGTAGGCTGTCTTTTGCTTTCTTGATGGTGTCCTTTGAAACACAGTTTTTAATTTTGAAGAAGTCCAAATTATCTACTTTTTCTTTTATAGCTTGTGCTTTTGGCATTATCTAAGCATCCTTTGCCAAATTGAAGATTCAGACCTGTTTTCTTCCAAGAGTTTTATAGCTTTAGATCTTACATTGTCTTTGATCCATTTTGAGTTAATTTTCGGATATGGTACATGGTTCCAACTTCATTCATTTGTGCTTCCCTTATAACTATGGTGTCTTTTCTTGAACAGAAGTTTTAAAACTTAATCTCTTCCTTTCTGGTTTACTCTATGTGTTAACAAACCTTCCTATGTCAAAGTCATAAATATGTTCTCCTATATTTTCTTTTGAAGTTCTACTCTTCATTTTTAGATTTTTAATCTGTTGAGTACTTTCTGTGAATTATGTGTTATGGAATGAATTTTTTTCCATTTAACCAGGTATGACCCAGTGTCATTTATTAATGAGTTCACTCTTTCTCTACTGATTAATGTAATATCTGTCACATTTCAGGAGAAGTATCTATGTATATATTTTTTTCAGGGCTCTTTATTCTGTTCTGCTACCTAATTGTTACCTGCACCAGTACTACACTCTTGTTTACTCTGGCTTCATAGTAAGTCTTAATATGTGGCAAGACTTTATCTAACAGGTACTTTACCTAACAAGTACTTAAGGGGACAAGAACAAGTCCCCTCAACTTGTTCTTCCTCAAAATTGTTATTTTTGCTCCTCATTCTTACCATGTGAATTTTAGGATCAGCTTGCTATGCATTAAATTTGTAGATTATCTGGGGGACAACTGGTATCATTACAGTACTGAGTCTTTCCATCCCTGAACATAGTATATATTTCCATTTATTCAGATCTTCCTTGTGAATCTAATTTTATGTATTTATTTATTTATTTATTTTTTGAGATGGAGTCTCACTCTGTCACCCGGGCTGGAGTGCAGTGGCACAATCTCGGCTCACTGCAACCTCCGCCTCCTGGGTTCAAGTGATTCTCCTGCCTCAACCTCCTGAATAGCTGAGATCACAGATGCCCGCCACTACGCCCAGCTAATTTTTTGTACTTTTAGTAGAGATGGGGTTTCATCATGTTGGCCAGACTGGTCTCAAACTCCTGACCTTGTGATCCGCCCGCCTCAGCCTCCAAAAGTGCTGGGATTACAGGAGTAAGCCACTGTGCCCAGCTAATTTTATGATTTTTTTTTTTTTTTTTTTTAAAAACAAAGGTCCTGTGTATCTTTAGTCAGGTTTATTTCCAGGTACTTTATGGTCTTATTTCTATAGTGAATGCAGTCTTTAAAAATATTATATATTCAATGGACTGTAACTGAGCACAGTAATGCTACCAATTTTTACAGGCTGATCTTTTATCCAATAGCTATAATGAACTTGCCAACTAGTTTAATATTATACAAATTTTCTTGGGTTTGCTATATAGATAATTATATTGACTACAAATAGGACAACTTTGTCTTGTCTATTCCTTTTCTGTCTTTTTGTATTGGGTAGTACTCGCTATTAGAGTGAATAGAAGTGGTGATAGTGGTATTCTTTTCTAGTTTCTTAGTTTTGCTATAGTTTAACTATTATTATATCTCTTACAGACTTTTAGTAAATGTCCTTTATTAGGTTAAGAAAGTTCCCTTCTATTGCTTGTTTGCCCAACATTTTAAAGAAATTCATGAGTGAATGTTTAATTTTAAGAAAGCCTTTTTCTTGAGATTTTAACCTACTAAAGTAGAATACTACATTAAAACTTTAAAATGTCAAACCACATAAGAGTAAACATCATAAGATATATAGACATATGTTTTATTGTATCATAAACTGATTTTTCATTGCCATTTCATTGATATCTGAGAATGTCTCATAGTTTTTTCTTTACTGTCGTTATGTAGTTTTGATAATGTATTCATACAATCCTGATAAACTTGTTACCCTTCATGTCTCTATTCATTGTAACAATTTGCAAAAGAGTAACTGTTTCCTGAAGATTGGCAAAACTCATTGTCACATGCTGTTTTCTGTTGCTATAACTAAATACCTGAGACTGGGTAATTCATAAAGAAATTTATTTACCACAGCTTTGGAGGCTAGAAGGTCAAGACAGGCAGGTGCATCTGGTGAGGGCTTTCTTGCTGGTAGGGACTCTGCAGAGTCCTGACGCGGTGCAGGGCATCACATGGCAAGGGAACTACAGCATGTCAGCTCAGGTCTCTTTCTCTTTTTATAAAAACAGGCCTGACATCATGGGGGCCCCACCCCACCCTGATGACCTTATCTAATCCTAATTACCTCCACAGGCCCCACCTCCAATCAATATATACAGATTAAACTTCCAATACATAAAATATGGGGACACATTGAAACCACAGCATTCACAACACCTGGTCTATGCCGCAAGTCATTTGTTGAAATACACTTTTGACTATTCATTTTTTAATGTTTTTTAACTTAGGACATTGATGCTACTCTTTTACATATTTTAAAGGTTATTTCATTACAGTTCTAAAACATTTTGAAGTGGATCTTAGTGTTCTTTCATGATTTAAAAAACAGGCCTGGTACGGTGGCTCACGTATGTAATACCAGCAGTTTGGGAGGCCGAGGCAGGTAGATCACTTGAGGCCAAGAGTTGGAGACCAGCCTAGCCATCATGGCAAAACCCTGTCTCTACTAAAAATATGAAGATTAGCCAAAAGTGGTGGCACAGTAATCTCAACTACTGGGGTGGCTGAGGCATGAGAATTGCTTGAACCTGGGAGGCGGAGGTTGCAGTGAGCCAAGATCACACCTAGTATGTGTGTTTCCTTTTCCCGTTGATCAGCCATGAGAACTTTTGTTATATCAATTTCTAATTCATTAATTCTGTTCCGTTACTTCCTTACATATTATTCTCTTAGGTGTATCACGTTATCTTTCTTCTTTCTTGGTTTGAAAGCTTAACTCATTCATTTTTAATTATTCCTATTTTTTCAAAAAATGTGTAAAACTGTAAACTTCTCTCTGCAAAATTTATAGTTGAAACTTAATCCTCAAGGCAACAGTATTAAGATGTATACAGCTGACCTTTGAACAACCCGTGGGTTAGACCTGCATAGATCCACTTATATGCAGATTTTTTTCAACCAAATGAGGATCAAAAATACAGTATTTGTGGGATGTGAAACCCTTGCGTACTCAGGGCTGGCTTTTCGTATATATGGGTTCCACAGGGCCTATGCAAGTTTTGCAGGGCTGATGTGGCACTTAAGCGTGTGTGGATTTGGGTATCTGCAGGGAGTCCTAGAACCAATTCCCCACATATACTGAGGGATGACTGTGTACACACACATGCGCGCGCGCGCGCACACACACACACACACTCTGTTGTCCCTTTTATCGGTGAGGGATTGATTACAGGATCCCATGCAGATACCAAAATCTAGGGATGTTCAAGTCCCTGATATAAAATGGTATATTTGCATATAACCTTCAGAGGATTCCCTATATTACTTCTATCTAATATAATGTACGTTATGTAAAGAGTTGTTATACTTTATTGTTTAGGGTATTGTAATGTACCCTGATGTAATGTATTGTAATGTGCTCAACATTATGTTAGTACAGATACAATTATGCTTATTTTTCCCCAAAAATATTTTCAATCCACAGTCGGTTGAATCCACAGAGGTGGAAGCCATGGATATGGAGGGCTAATTGAGTGTGAGGGAATGAGAGAGAGAGGGAGAGAGAGAGAGAGAGAGAGAGAGAGAGAGTGTGTGTGTGTGTGTGTGTGTGTGTGTGTAAAATCAAATGTGTTAGTCTAATCTTCTGTGGCCTAATCTTTTTTGTTTGATCTTTTAATTTCTGATGGAGACCTGTTAAAATTTCCTATGATAGCAATTTTTTTCATTTCTTATAATTCTGTCAGTTTCTACTTCTTATATTTTGAGGCTTTATAATCAGGTGCATACACATTAATGGCTGTTGTATCTTCATGATAGTATCCCTTTTACTATTAGGAAGTGTTTCTCTTTTTTCCTCCTCAGTGCTTACTTTGTGTAATTTTATCAGTTAATTTGAATTAATATTGTTATACAGGTTTGATTAGTTTTTATGTTATGATATTTCATCCCTTTATCTTAAAATATTTCTGTGGTTCTGTTTTAAGAAAATCTTTTATAAGCTGCATAAAGTGGATTTTATTTTTATTTATTATTCATTTTTTTGAGACGGAGTCTTGCTCTGTCGCCCAGGCTGGAGTGCAGTGGCATGATCTAGGCTCACCGCAACTCCGCCTCCTGGCTTCAAGAAATTCTCCTGCCTTAGACTCCTGTGTATCTGGGATTACAGGTGCACACCACCATGCCCAGCTAATTTTTGTATTTTTTTTTTAGTAGAGACCGGGTTTCACCATGTTGGCCAGGCTGGTCTCAAACTCCTGACCTTGTGATCCACCCACCTCAGCCTCCCAAAGTGCTGGAATTACAGGCATGAGCCATTGCGCCAGGCCTAAAGTGAATTTTTAAAAATCAAATATAATTACTCTCTTTAAATAGGCTGAGTTTCATCAGTTTATATATACTGAGTTACTAATGTAGTTGGATTTTTTTATATCATATCATTTTATCTTATCATTGTTTTTGTTTGCTTCATTCTTTCCTATTATCAGTGAAAATGATTTAAAAAATTACTATAGTTCCTTTTTCCCTATCTGTACATTATAAGCTACAGGTAGTATTTCTGTTCTTTTGGTGATTTTCGTACATGTTTTTAAAAATAAATACGGTTATCTATAAATTTTTCAAGTTATTCTTCTATCACAAATACAAGTCCACTTTACATACTGTATATTTTGTTACTAATACATAGAAATATAGTTTAGTCTTTCCAAGACGAAAAACTTTAAACTTATTTTTAAAACTATTCAGCAATTCATTAAATTTATCAACACACTTTCTAATTTTTTATTTATTTATTTATTTTGAGACAGTGTCTTTTTTTTTTTTTTTTTTTTTTTTTTTGAGACGGAGTCTCGCTCTGTCGCCCAGGCTGGAGTGCAGTGGCGGGATCTCGGCTCACTGCAAGCTCCGCCTCCCGGGTTCACGCCATTCTCCTGCCTCAGCCTCCCAAGTAGCTGGGACTACAGGTGCGCACCACCACACCTGGGTAATTTTGGTGTTTTGTAGAGATGGGGTTTCACCATATTGCCCAGGCTGGTCTTGAACTCCTGAGCTCAAGTGACCTGCCCACCTTGGCCTCCCAAAGTGCTGGGATTACAGGTGCAAGCCACCGGCCTACATCTACCAATTTCTTTTTCACCATTAGTTCTTATATTTCTTGACTTCCCTTTGAGTAAAACTTTCCTTCTTGCTAAAGAACACCATCCAATGCATCTTATAATGAGTGTCTACAAGTAGTAAACGCTCTTGGTCATTGTATGTTTGAAATGGTTTTTATTCCTCACTTCTTCCTCATTTTTGATAAATTCAGGAATAACTTTACATAAAGTCTGCAATTTGATGACTTTTAACATATGTATACAATGCATTTCTGTAACCACCACCCAGATAAAGAAATAGAACATTTCTAGCACCTCAGAAATCTTCATGTTTCCCAGTCAACCACTACTCTAATAATCTGTTTCCAAAGATACATGTTTCTGAACTTCCCATATATCAATATATATGTACTTTGAGTCTTATTATACTCAGTATTATGTTGCTGCTTTTATCAGCAGTTATTCTTTTTTATTGCCAGATAGCATTTTATTGTGTGAATATACCACTAATTTATCCCTTATGAATAAACCTACTGTGAACATTCTTCAATATGTCTTTCAGTCAACATAAGCACTCATTTTTGTTTGGTATATGCCCAAGAGTTAAAATGCTGGGTCACAGGGTACATTGTATACTTAGCTCTAGTAGATACACCAAACGGTTTTCCAAAGTGGCTGTACCAAATTACACCCTAGCCCCCACCAGCAAGTAGACTTCCAACTGCTCCATGGTTTCAAAATACATTTCCTTGATGAGTAACAATGCTGAGCATCTTTTTTGTGTGTGAAGTACCTACTTAAGTCTTTTGCCTATTTTCTGAAAAACAAAACAAAACAAAAAAACCCTGAAGTTTTAGTTATTGATTTGTAGGCATGTAGGAGTTATTTTGTTTTTGGGTTGTTTTCTTTTCCAGACAGTCTCGCTCTGTCGCCCAGGCTGGAGTACAGTGGTGTGCTCTTGGCTCACTGCAACCTCTATCTCCCAAGTTCAAGCAATTCTGCCTCAGATTCTCGAGTAACCGGGATTGCAGGCATGCACCACTATGCCCACCCTAATTTTGTATTTTTAATAGAGACAGGGTTTCACCATGTTGGCCAGGCTCGTCTCAAACTCCTGACCTCAAGTGATCCACTGACCTCAGTCTCCCAAAGTGCTGGGATTACAGGCATGAGCTACCGTGCCCAGCCAGGAGTTCTTAATATACCCCAGATATGAGTCTTTCATTGGCTATGCATATTACAAATATTATCTTCCAGTCTATAGCTTGCCTTTTCATTCTATTAATTTTGTCTTTTGATGAATGGATATTCTTACATCTAATGAAGTCCAGTTTATCAATTTTTTTCTTTCATGGTTAGTGCTTTTGTGTCCTGTTTAAGAAATCTTTGTGTATTTCACAGGTCATGAAGAACACTTATGCTTTCTTCTACAAACTTGATTATTTTAAAATTTGTCCTCATTCTTGAATAATACTGTAGTTGGGTAGAAAATCCTATTCTACCTTAGTACTTTAAATATATTACTCAACTGACTGTTAACCTCTGTTGTTAAAGAGAAACGTGCTGCCATTCTAATTATAGTTCCTTCGCAAAATATTTTGTCTTAACAGCTTTTAAGATTTTCTTTTTTTTTTTCTTTAAGACAGAGTCTTGCTCTGTCACCCAGTCTGGAGTACAGTGGCATGAACTCAGCTCCCTGCAACCTCTGCCTCCCAGGTTCAAGCAATTCTCGTGTCTCAGTCTCCTGAGTAGCTGGGATTACAGGCTCCCACCACCATGCCTCGCTAATTTTTGTATTTTTTAGTAGAGATGGGGTTTCACCATGTTGGCCAGGCTGGTCTCGAACTCCTGACTTCAAGCAATCCACCTGCCTCAGTCTCCCAAAGTGCTGGGATTACAGGCATCAGCCACTGGACCCAACCCAAGATTTTCTCTTTATCTTTGATGTTCTATAGTTTCACTGCCATGTTTTTAGCTGTGTGTTTATTTTTATTTGTCCTGAACGATATTTGGAATTCATTTTTGATTTGGGAACTAATGTCCTCATTTCTTGAAAATTTTCCATTTTTATCTTTTCAAATATTGTTTCTCCATCACTCTTTGTCTGGAACTCCTATTAGATGTATATTAAACCTCTCAGTGTATCCTTATTACTCTTTTTTGAGATGGAGTCTTGCTCTGTCACTGGACGGCAGTGGTGCGATCTCGGCTCACTGCAGTCTCCACCTCCTGGGTTCAAGTGATTCTCCTGCCTCAGCGTCCCGAGTAGCTGGGATTACAGACATGTACCACCACGCCCGGCTAATTTTTGTATTTTTAGTGGAGATGGGGTTTCACCATATTGGCCAGGCTGGTCTTGAACTCCTGACCTCAGGTGATCTGCCCGCTTCGGCCTCCCAAAGTGCTGGGATTACAGGCGTGAGCCACCATGCCTGGCTATCCTTATTACTTTCAATTGGCCTTTCATATTTCTTATCTTGGTCTGTGTGTCACATTCTCAGTGAAGTCCTCAATTCCATCTTCCAATTTACTAATTTTATCCTTGAACTGGGTCCAGCAAATGTTATACTACATGAGTTATTTC
Source organism: Homo sapiens (assembly GCF_000001405.40). Classification (NCBI taxonomy): domain Eukaryota; kingdom Metazoa; phylum Chordata; class Mammalia; order Primates; family Hominidae; genus Homo; species Homo sapiens. Next base: position 39,049,364 of record NC_000002.12, read on the forward strand.
AATGCTTGTATATTTAATTCTCGAAATCTCTGTCTTTTGATATCTAGAAATCTGCTCATTTCCTTTCCACCTATTTTTGTTTCACAATATCTTCTTTATAAATGGATCATATTCCTTCACTTATCTCTTTCAGCATCCTAAACTTCTTTTAAACTTTTTGTATGTCTATTATACAAAATCAATTTCATCTGGAATAAATTCATGTTGTAATTGTTGATTTTATTAATTACCATTCTGAGAATTAGAATTTGCCTTGTTTTTTGGAATTCTGTATTATATGCTTCTTAGTGGGAGACTTAATGTTTTGTTTCCTTTTTTTCTCCCATTATGATCACTCTTCCAAACCAGAACCTGCTCTTAAAATGACTTTGCGGGTTCAGGCTTCATATTGACTTAATATTGTGGGAAACTTTGTTAAGTTATTATTGTAAGGCAACGTTTTTGTCTCCCCACATCAAGTCCACAACTTTTTAGAAAACTTTACTGTAGATACCAGGTTGGCAGATTTTCCCAGCATCCTGTTATAAGGAGGGACTTGAGCAAGAAATCTTGCTCTGGCTTTCATGGAACACATTTGAAACAATTCATTGTCCTTAACAGCCTGAACACCCAGATACCAGAGTTCACTACCTTGAATGTCTATTCCATTCCTGATCTTGTTTTCAAGTCTAGTTATATATATATTCCACATTTTTCTTTTTATACTTTATTACTTATGTGTGTTTGGAGCAGGAATGGAAGGGCTGTGGTGATGCTTGAACTTACCATTCTATTTTGCCTGAAAGTCTTAATTAAAAAAATATTTTACAAGCTCAATGCTGTATCATAATGAGTGGATTTTAGAGTGAGAACACAGCAAATGCTAGAAACCTCAGAATGACTCTTAATGCTAACTTATTAGGACTGACTCATGTTATTTTAGCATTTGAAATATCTGAGGAGTTAGTTACCTTTCTTTCTATCTCGTGGTATCTGAATCACCCAGGTCCTGGACCTTATTGTCCTATTTACCTCATTCCTATTCTAAATAATAATGCACTTATCACATACTGAGTAAGCTTACTATGTGAAGGTAGATAGGTAAATATTTCAGATAGGTTATTTAATTTTTCACAAAAATCCTGAGATTACAGATTGAGTATCTCTTACCCAAAATGAAGTGTTTAAGATTTCAGATTTTGGATTATTTGTATTATACCTACTGCTTCAGCACCCCAAGTCTGAAAATCCCAAATCTGAAATGCTCCAATGAGCATTTCCTTTGAGCATCATGTTGGAATAGTTTCAGATTTTGGAGCATTTCATATTTGGGATTTTTGGATTAGGAATACTCAACCTGTATTATCATTCTTATTTTACAAATAAAGATACGGAGGTTTAAAGAAATGAAATAACTTGCCACTGGTCACACAACTAATAAGCAGCAGAGCTTAGACTGGAACACAAGTAATCTGACCTCAGGTGCAAGTTCTGTGGTCTCTTACTTAATAGTCATTCATTGACATTTCTTAACGTTTTACAGTAGGCCATTGGGTGACAGCTGTAATACCTCCCCCCTTGGCGGTATCTGTCTTTCTATAATTAACAAGAGACCACTTTTTCTGTTTGCTAAGATAACAGAAACATATGTTGACAATGACCCTATGAAAAAGGAGCAATAACAGATAAATAGTCAACAATTAGTATCTATGACTTTAGCTGGAAAGAAGTAAGACTCTCAATTTTAATGTAAATGTAGGCTTTTATGCAGACTTTTCGGGTATATAATTGAAGTACTTACCTCTGCTAAGTCTTCAAAGCAGCTTCCTACTAGTGGATGGGGACTGCCTTCATCTGTCATTTCTACTGTATCTTCTATATGGCCCAGTAACTTTACACTAAGTTCATGTATATCTACTATGCGACTAAATATATTTTCTACATCCTGTTTGGGGGAAAACACATTAATTCAGTGAGGCTGTATTATTATAATATTAAACAAATTTTGAGCCAATAAGTCATTTTATAATCACAAAATTTAACATGTCAGACACAGTGAAAAATTTTAATGACTTAGAAATATGAATAAAGGACAATTCAAGAATTCCTTCTGCAAAGGTGTACAATTTGCAAATACATTTCTCTAGGTCAGTGGTCTTGTAACTTTCTGGTCTCAGGACTCCTTCACACTCTTAAAAATTATTGAAGATTCTAAAAACCTTTTGTTTATAACTATGTATTTCAATGTTTACCATATTAGAAGTTAAAACCAAAAATTTCAAAAAATATTTAATTCATTAAAAATAATAAACCCATTATGTGTTTAACATAAATAGCACTTTTATAAAAAGTAACCAAATTTTTTTTAAGCCATAACAAAAAACATTTAGTAGAAGAATGGCAATGTTTTACATTTGCAAATCTCTAACATAGCGTACTAGAAGACAGCAGGATTTTCATATCTATTTCTGCATACAATCTGTTGTGACACATTATTTCAAAGTATACGAAAAATCTAGCTTTTCTGTGTAATTTTTTTATTGAGATAAAACTCACATACCATAAAATTCACTCATTAAAAGTGTAGTTACTAGTCAATGGTTTTCAATATTGGTTGTGCAGTCATCACCAGTATCAAATTCTAGAACATTTCATTACCACAAGAAGAAAACCTATGATTTTTTTGGAAGGTGGATACCTAAATACCCAGTAAAGTCACTCTCCATTCCTTTCCTCTCCCCAGTGCCTGACAACCACTAATCTACTTTGTCTCTATGGATTTGCCTATTCTGGACTTTCCATATAAATAGAGTGACTATCCTTTTATGATACTATACTAAAATTCAACAAATGATAGTTTCTTAAGGGTTAGTTGCAATGTAGAATCTGCAACCATATCCATTTTGTATTTAAATTAAAATTGGTTACTATTATTTGATTTTTTTATCAGTGACTATATTTATCAAGTTGACTTTGAGGCATAGTTTATATACGAAACTCCTATTTTAAATGTTCTTTTGGTGAGATTTTGTGTAGTTATTCACCCTTCTAACCATCGGCACAATCAAGATACAGTACCTTTTCATCGTCTTAAGAAGTTTCTTTGTCCCCCATTTCCATCAACCCTTACTATGCCTCACTCCCAGGAAACCTGTGATCTCCTTTTTGTCTCTATAGACATGTCTTTTCTAGAATATTAAATAAATGGAATCATATATTGTCTTTTGTGCCTAGTTTTTTGCTTATATTTCTGAGATGCACCCATGCTGTTGCACGCATAACTATTTCTTTTTATTCCTGAGTAGCATTCCACTGTATGGTCATACCACAGTTTGTTTATACATTCACCTGCTGATGGACATTTGGGTTGTTTCCAGTTTGGGGCTATTACAAATAAAGCCGCTATGAACATTCATGAACCAGTTTTTGCATGGACATGTTTTCATTTCTTCTGGGTAAAAACCTAGGAGTAGAATTGCTGGGCAATATGGTTAGTTTATGTTTATTGTTATAAAGAACTGCCAAACTGGCCAGGCATGGTGGCTCACGCCTGTAATTCCAGCATTTTGGGAGGCCAAGGCTGGCAGATCACTTGAGGTCAGGAGTTCGAGACCAGCCTGGTCAACATGGTGAAACCCCGCCTCTACTAAAAATACAAAAATGAGCCAGGCGTGGTGGCACACACCTGTAATCCCAGCTACACGGGAGGCTGAGGCAGGAGAATCGCTTGAACCTGGGAGGCAGAGGTTACAGTGAGCCAAGATCACGGCCCTGCACTCCAGCCTGGGCAACAGGCCGAGACTACGTCTCAAGAAAAAAAAAAGAGAGAGAACCACCAAACTGTTTTCCAAAATATACTAGTTTACTTTCTCAGGTAATGTGGGAATTTTATATTCCCACAAGTAGTTGCTCCATACCCATTTCAACTTTTGGTATTATAAGTCATTTACATTTTAGCCTTTCAAATGAGTATGTAGTAGTATGTCATGGTTTTAATTTGCATTTCTCTAATGATTAGTGATGTTGAACACCTTTTGATGTGCTTTTTGGCCATTTTGGTTCTTGATTTTTGTGTCCTCAGAAACCTTTGCCTCTTCTTTACTTTTTTTAAAGCAACCTTATTGAAACATTATTTAGAAACCATGCAGTGTGTCCATTTAAAGTGAGTAATTTAATGGTCTTTAATATATTTACAGATTTGTACAACCATCACCATAATCTCCTTTATTTTTTAATTTTCACTCATCGCCATAGCTTGAGCCCAATCCCAGCCTCTGTAGTGAGCACTGTTTCTCTTATCAGTCATTTATGGCTGTGTGGCTACAGTTCCAGGAATTACCAGTGTGTAATTCCTGTGACCGTCTCACCTGTTCTCATTCAACATTTCTTCAGGACCCAATTAGGTTAGTTTGATCACTATCTTAAGATCAGTAATCCTTTGTCTAAGTTTCAATGTTACTGGCCCCTTCCTTTGTGCTCCCAATACTACTGCTGTCATACTTCTAATATGGTAATTACCATATTTTATTGCAATTTATAGTTTATATCTCTGTCTTGACTAGACTAAACTTAAGGAAAGGAACTCTTTTTTTTTTTTTCTTCTGAGACGGAGTCTCGCTCTGTCGCCCAGGCTGGAGTGCAGTGGCGCGATCTCGGCTCACTGCAAGCTCCGCCTCCCAGGTTCACGCCATTCTCCTGCCTCAGCCTCCCGAGTAGCTGGGATTACAGACGCTCGCCACCACGCCCGGCTAATTTTTTGTATTTTTAGTAGAGATGGGGTTTCACCGTGTTAGCCAGGATGGTCTCCATCTCCTGACCTCGTGATCTGCCCGCCTCGGCCTCCCAAAGTGCTGGGATTACAGGCGTGAGCCACCGTGCCCAGCAGAACTGTTTCTTATTCATCTTTGAATCCCTGCTGCCAAGCATGGTACCTGACAATACAGTTGGCATTGATGAAGTGTAGGTTGAATGATTCAAATGACTCAAACAAACATATCTTCCACCTAAACAAGAAGCTTTATCCTTTGGAGTACATGGAGAATTCTGTGAATTCATTTTCACTTACATAATCAGTCTACTTTGTATTTTGTCTCTTAATTTCTAATGTTAAATCTCTTGAAACTGTTGTAAAACTTTGTGATCATGAATTAAGTCCCACAACTTAAAAAAATTAACAAATTAGTAATGATGAACTGTACAACTTCAAATTTGAAGTGGTCATGCAAATTTCACAACACATTCAATGAGAGGCATATATACAATGATACTTACATTAGCTGAAAACAATTTTGAATTGGAGACAAAGGGCTCTCTAAAAACTTTTATAATTAGATTTAGTTCCCTTATATATTGTCGAATTTCTGCCATAAATGCTTTTACCAAATCATAGTAAGTTTGTTCTCCTGAGGTGGAAGGCTCTTCGTCAGTTAAAGATAATATATTAATATCTTCTACATCTTGATGAAACATATCCATCAATACCTATACAGTCAGAGATATAAAAAAGTATAATAAAATATGAAGCTTTCGTAGAATTTGATGTGAAATGCTCTAAGTTCTCTGAATAAAGTTCTTAAATGATAAAAAAGCAGACAAACAAATTTCTCTTCTTGGATATATTGCCAGCATCCCTCCACAGCTTCTCTAAAACAGAATTCAACATGTGATATAACTTACTACACTCCTCCAAGTTCTCTATCACTACTAGTATTTATCTGTCTGTCTCTCTTGTTAACCTATTACTTCCAATTTGTTTCCAGATCCTGTCTTTAATTTCCCTGACTTGGTTTTCTCTGTTTTATACCCTGCCATCATCACTTTATTCCATGGCCTCAGTATCTCATATTTAAATGTTTATAGCTGTCTATTCGGCCGATTTTCCTACATTTGTTGGGAATAGGTCAAAATAAGCTATTATTTTCTGCAAGAAGTCTACTGTTACTACTCTTGCTACAACACATCTTTCCCCTTCTTGAGAACTTCTACAGCATCATATCTCTATAACACAATAAAATATTATTTTATCTTGTGTGCTTTCTGATTGTTTCATGAATATAAGTATACCTTCATCAACTCTGGAGCCTTGTTTTATATATACTTATCTTGCATCTCCTCTCTGTGTAAACATGTAGTAGGTACTCAAAAATATTTTATTTATCTGATTCATTAAAAAGCATCAAGTATTTCGTATTCGTGTCTTCAGTTAAAAATACCCAAACATTTGAAATTCTTCTTCAAATCAGGTGGGTTTTTTCACTCTATATGGCCACATTCTCAAAGAACAAATAAATACTAAAACATAATTTAGTGGAATCAGCAATCAGAAATAATATTCCAAATCAGTAAGAGTATAATGAGGAAAATGGAATGAAATGCTTCATCAGAAAACATTTTCCTTTCTGCAAAGTTGTTTTCATAAAGTGAACATCCTTAGGTAATGACTAAAAGCTTTAGACTCAGAGAGACCTGGAGTTCAAGTCTAGGCTTTGAAACTTCTCAGAAAATTCTGGACCAATTTCTTTATCCCTGTGAATTTCAGTCTCCCTTTTATAAAATGTAGCTAAGATCACTTACCTTAGAGGAATATCATAAGGACCAACGGAGATAAGCCACATATATGCTTAACCTTCAATAAGTGTTTGCTCTTATTATTATTATTGTAAAACCACAAAGTAGTATCTGAAGAAAGCTAGGTGCTGAAGTAAAACTATCGTTTTGTGGTTTTACATTTTGAAAAATTGTTTTTAAGTAAATCCGTAACCTTACAAATCTTTCAATCCAAATAAATTTTAAGAAATTAACTACTAGCTGGGTGTGGTGGCTCATGCCTGTAATTCCAGCACTTTGGGAGGCCAAGGCGGTCAGGAGTTCGAGACCAGCCTGACCAACATGGTGGAACCCTGTCTCTACTAAAAATACAAAAAAATTAGCTAGGCATGGTGGTGTGTGCCTGTAATCCCAGCTACTCAGGAGGCTGAGGCAGGACAATCACTTGAATCCAGGAGGCGGAGGTTGCAGTGAGCCAAGACTGTGCCACTGCACTCCAGCCTGGGCGACAGAGTGAGATTCCGTCTCAAAAAAAAGAAAAAAGAAAAGAAATTAACTATTAAGAGATTACTCTAATTAACCCTAGTTGCAACAGCACAGAAGAAAAAAACTGCATGACATATTTAAACACATTTTAATATTATATATCTAATGTCTTATTTCTATAAAGTGGTATCTTGAATCCCTACTATTAGGTTACTGGAGATATTCCCCAACACATAATACAATTTTATTCTATATGAATAGTACGTTAGCATCTAATAAGTCATAAAAAGAAACTTAAGAAAAAAATAGAAAAGCTCAGTTTCCTACCTTGTCAGCACACATTGCCACTTTAATATCTTGTTTTGTAATTTCATAATGCCGTATATTTCTTACATAATTCCCAACCAGCTTTAAAATGTCTGCAGAAATGTATTCTAAGACTGCTACTATGTAAACAGAAACCTGGTGGTCAATTTTATAACCTAGGACCTCCTGCAAAATTAAAAGAAAAGCATGTTTAAACATCATATACTGTACATTTAACACACTGATTAAAAATAAAAAACATATTTGCACCTTAACTTACACTTTTTTTCCTGAGGCCTGTGCTTACCAACAACATTTAATTGTAAGTGGTTCAACAATGAATAATATATGTATTACTATTGAAAATGTAAGCTAAGAAAAGGCAAGGCAAAATTACCTCTAATGATGTAAAATACTTAAGCGGAGATTACAAATAGATAATCCCTAACCTATAAAGGAAGGCCCAAGTTTGGGGAAGGGAGCAAATGCTCTTTGTTACCTAATTCAGAATACCTGGAAGTAACTATAACAAACAAGTTTTTTCTTTTACAAAAAATGAGAGTTAATATATTATTGGTATCTAGGAATCTCTACCAGGCTTATACTTTTAACTTTTCCAAGGGAAGATGAGCTCCCCAAAACCACAGCGGGCATATTCCTGGTATTCCTGGCAATTTCTACGAAAATAAAATTCATGTTATGTCCTACTGAATAATGGTTGCTGTTAAGAAAATGTTAAATAGCCCTAATATTAAACTTCAAAGAGAATATGGGCTTTTGTGGGACTGGTCTGTTCATACAGAATAACAAATTCTATTTTCCAAACAACCCATTTAAGGGAAAAAAACAACTTTGAAATAAGAAGTTTGTTACAAATTGGAGACAGGCTGCATTTACCTTTTAGGGTATATAAAAACTAATAAGGGTATCATGATAAAGGTGTATTAAAATAAATTGAAATGATATTCACAATTAGCACATAAAACTCAAAATTTAGGATTATTAACATAATATTTATATACCTCAATTTGTTAATTCCCTTAGAATACAATTCAACATATGGCCAATGAAAATCATGAAGAGAATGATGAATGCCTTTTCCATAAGGCAGGTATTTCTATTCAAAGAACTGAATGCAAAATACAACCTTAAACTCATTCAAGTGTTTAACTTTAAATTTTGGACAACATCAAGCAAACCTGAACTTTCTAACACTATCACTTAAGAGTCTTGTGAACTTGGCATAGAAGTTACTTAATCACTTTCTGCCTCTGTCACCTCATTTACAAACTGTGGATAATAATAACTTTGTTGAATAATAAAACTCAGACAATGTATACAAGTATTAGCATTTTGTCTGTATTATAGTATGTACAAAATTACTGGCATCTAAGTTTTTAATTATTATAATACCTATATTTTTGTTGTGAAAGGTAATAGTAGTTCGTTACATTAACTAAAATAGAAATAGCATTATTCGAGCTTCCGGCAGTTATTCTATTAGTTCTATAGAGATTCAACTGACTGACTGACTTATTTACATGATAAGTAGGACTGGAGAGTTTAGGTTATCTTTTTGTTCCAAGATTACACATAGCCTTGTAGCCTTTTCACAGAGGTCTCTACACAAAGTACTAACATCAAAAGGATTTATAGGAACACTTAGGTCTAACCAACAAGAAAGGAGGAGTTTTATAAATTCTCTTTGTGGTCCTAATTACATCTGAGATAAACAAAATCCACAATAACTTTCTTAGTCCTCTCAACTTGCTTATTACTATTGATATGAAATTACTTTAAATCATGTTGCCCAGTTTATATTTTCTTATTATCATAGCATCCCTTCTCACCACATAAATCTCTGGAAAACTTAGAATGAGAGAATTTTACTCTTAAGTTGACTCAATTATCCATAAAATATATTCTTATTGTATAAAAATGGTGGGTTTTATTTTTCCCTTAAAAGGCAAGAAGGCAGTAGTTCAGCATTACCTTTAATAAAGGATGAATTTTTTCTACTGGGAGAGATAAAGGGTTTCTTCGCTTCCTCTTTTCAATAGCTGATTGGGCATCAGCTATTGCCCATTTATCAATTGGATGAGGGAAACTTTTTTGAACACGTTCCTTGGAAAATAGGAAAATAACAACTAAGCAAAAAATATATTAAATAGTGCTCTTCACTTAAAATTTACTTTTAAAATCAAAGAATACCAAAAGTAGAGCTTTTCACATGTGGTATAATTTACATTACAAACATATGAAGCTAAGAGAAAACAGTAATTGTCAATGTATTAGTTCCTTAATTAGACAATAAGAGACTAAACATTCTTTCTATTATCTAGGGGGAATATCACATCCTGAATTTCAACTTCACTGTGATAAAGCTAATTACAAGAATGAGTAGAAGCTACTTTAAATAGTACTTGTATAAAATTTCAAGGAACAACACCCAAGATCAAGAAGTAAATATCTAAATCCAGTTCTCACTCACTTGTCCTTACTTTCAGTGGTAATTACATGCAGCATTTTTCAATTGAAACCTCTATGAATATTCTTTATCCACCATGCAAAGGCACTTCAAAACTATTTACAAATCATGGAAAGCAATGGTTTGCATTGGTGACAGCAATTTTAATACATTGTAGTTTCTTTAAAGTCCTCCCATAGTCATTCGTTTTTAACAAAATACTTCAATTTAATTTCCAGAAATTCTTTAGTTAAAATTTCCACTGAGAGTGAAAGAACTCAGGTTACTATCACAGCTGAATTTCCTTCCTTATTAAACTAATATAATTCACTTCAAAAAGGCGCTTTCATCCTCTCAAAACTTTAAAAAATCCACTTGCAGGATACCATAACTAAAACCAGTAGAGGTCGCTATTACATAACTTTTACACATGTGTTTTGAATAAATGAGTATTCAACTAGTATGTAAAAACTACTAGATGAAATTAAACATCATCATAATTATAAATCTGAATAAAAAGTTTTATTATTTGCTAGTAAAATGGAAAATTAAAAAAGTGTGATGCCATGTGATGCCCTTGGTGGTGAGGGAGGGGTGGAGAACACAATGATTCTTGGAAATCTTAAGAGCAAATCTATAAATTAAGGAGTGTAATCCATTCAATTTTAATAAATTTCCATTATGTCCAAGGCTAAGTCAGCTTCCAAATAAAGTTATTTTAATTCTAATTAATGGAATTAGAAGCATGTTGAAAGAAATTATAGCAGTTAAAAATGGGGTTTACAAACCTTTTCAACTGTCTAGTTGAAAAGCTGTTTGCCAGGACACCAGCCTCATGCAGTAAAACGCAATACAAAGGCCCAAAATATTGAGGAGGCATCGCAGGTGAAAAGGGAGAAAAGGGAAGGGGTAAAGGGAGAGAAGGGAACATCCAAAACAAGAATTCTTTTCTTTTTTCCAAGTTTATTTTACAGACTTGTTAATCCAAAAATGACAAGATATTTAGGACTAACTTACGTGGTTTTCAGTTAAAATGTTTATAGTGATGGGTTTAACCCATGATTAACTAAGTGCAACCATGGTACAAACCTAATCATGTTATGACCCTGTGGCTTTCCAACATTTTTTAAAACCTCAACTCATAGTAAGAATAAATTTTCAACACATTTTTACATTATACCCTTACATACTGCACACATACTCAAATGAAACAGTTTCCTAAAACAAACCTGTCCTTATTATATGTAGCACACTGGCATTTGCTATTCTGTTTTTTATTTGTATATTTATTTATTCTGAGACAGAGTCTTGCTCTGTTGCGCAGGCTGGAGTGCAGTGGTGCAATCTCAGTTCACTGCGACCACCACTCTCAGGTTCAAGTGATTCTCCCACCTCAGCCTCCCAAGTAGCTGGCATTACAGGCGTGTGCTACCATGCCCAGCTAATTTTTGTATTTTTAGTAGAGATGGGTTTCCCCATGTTGGCCAGGCTGGTCTTGAACTCCTGACCTCAGGTGATCCACCCACCTCAGCCTCCCAGAGTGCTGGGATTACAGGTGTGAGCCACTGTGCCCGGCCTGTTTTATTTTTTAAAATGAGGGTTGGGCAATGCACTAAAGTAATTTTATGACTTACTAATGGCCATGACCTGGAGTCTAAAAACACTGGTGAACAGTGTAGACATAAAAGCAGTAGAAAAAAGTAAAAATAAAAAAATAAAAGCAGTAGAGAAGGACAGAAGTTGAACTCAACCTAACAATTAATTCTAAATAGAGTTACATGTCTTTGAAAAAAAAAAAAAATCACCAGCGGTGGAATTACAGAGACTAATTGTAGGCAGGGGTTGAGGTAGAAGAAAAAGAAAACAGAACAGCAACCCCTGTCCATATCAATTATGTCTACCTCATTCCAGGTTTATTGTTTTGAGGAAGGAAAGAAGAGGAAAGAAAATCTCGAATGATTTTTAAAAAGGCAAAGTGGTAATAATGAAGCATAGCACATTTTAAACTTACTTACAAGGGTATTAATGAAATCAAATTACCAAATACATACTTAGGAGACAATGTCAAGGGTCAAAATGCATGCGGAAAGATTCGTAGGGTTAAAAAAAAAAAAAAAAAAAAAGGTGTTTTGAATGTGGAGAGGCCATACTGAAGGAATTACTTTATTTCTTGTAGTGGCAAATTTATAATTTTATGATAAAATAAAATTTCTTTCACAAACACTTTATATTTCTTTACTTTTTATTTATTTTGGGGGGGAACAGGGTCTCGATCTATCACCCGAGCTGGAGTGCAATGATGCAATCATAGCTCACTGGAGCCTCAGCCTCCTGGGCTCAAGTGATCTCCCTGCCTCCGCCTCCCAAGTAGCTGGGACTATAAGTACGTGCACCATGCCCAGCTAATTTTGTTATTTTTAGTAGAAATGAGATCCTGCTATGTTGCCCAGGCTGCTCTGGAACTCCTGAGCTCAAAGTGATCCTTCTGCCTTGGCCTCCCAAAGTGCTGGGATTACACACATGAGCCACTGCATTCGGCCTTCATGTATTTTTAAAAAGAAGCCCAAGGAGGACTGAACAATGAAAGATTCATGAATTAGAATACTATTACTCTCCTAATTTCAAGATTAATAATTTTATTTGTATTAAATGAGAAACTCTATCTTGATTAATATCTAGTACCTCTGGGAAACATTAATGAGATACAGAGCTAAGCTGAAGATTCACCTCTATTATTAGCAGAACCCTGTCTTCTCCTTTACATAATAAATAGGTTTAAAAAGATAATCTTGATCAATTCCAATATAAATATTCTAGGTCCTATATAAATTCTTACATATGTACTTCAGTTAAAAAAAAAATCAGATCCCCACATACTTTGGTATGTGTGGGAGAAATTTGTTTTTGTTTAGAAAGGTAGAAAATATGGATAAATTATTTGGGGAATCTAAATGTTAATGGAAAGCTTATTAGAAATTATAGGGACTTGGCTGGGCGTGGTGGCTCATGCCTGTAATCCCAGCACTTTGGGAGGCGGAGGTGGGCGGACTGCTTGAGGTCAGGAGTTCAAGACCAGCCTGGCCAATACAGTAAAACCCTGTCTCTACTAAAAATACAAAAATTAGCCAAGCATGGTGGTGCTCGCTTGTAGTCCCAGCTACTCAGGAGGCTGAGGCACGAGAATCACTTGAACCTGGGAGGCGAAAGTTGCAGTGAGCTGAGATCACACCACTGCACTCCAGCCTGGGTGACAGAGGGAGTCTCTGTCTCAAAATAAAAAAAAAAATTAAAAAAAAAAAGAAAAGAAAAGAAAGAAAGAAATTATAAGGATTCTTTAGGATTCCAAGGGAAAAAAAGCTAAAGAAAAAAAATGAACGGAAAACGAAAGCAGACGTTTTACATTTTACGATGAAGGGCTAATGACAATAAAAAGTCTAAGATAAAGAAGTTAAAAAAAAAAAAAGCCTGAGATGAATGAGGAAAAGAAAAATGTATCACTGTCCTGAGAAATCAAAGCTGGTTAAATATAGGTACATATAGACCAGAAAGGGAAGGAACAACAAAGGAAATCAGTCCAGTCAAGTAAAGAACAAGTACAATTATGAAAGGACAAGACCTAAGAAATTAAAGAATATACTTTACTAGGGTCAAACACAGGAAAAAAATATTAGCTTTTGCCTCTATTTTTTCAAAGTTTAAATACAGAAAATTATATTTATTATAAAAGAGGGAAAGAAATAGATTGAAGCAATTTTTATACTATCTTTTAATACTTGAATGAATTGGAATCAACAGAGCCAAATAATATATACCCTTCTTCTGCATTCCCCAGCATTAAAATATATATAATACAGTTGGCCTTCCATATCCATGGTTCTACATCTGTGGATTCAACCAACTGCAGATCAAAAATATTTTTTTAAAAATAAAAAAATACAAAATTTAAAATACAATGTAATAACTATTTACATAGAATTCAATTTTTTTTTTTAAGAGTTAGGGTCTCACTCTGTCACCCAGACTGAAGTGCACTGGCATGATCATAGCTTCCTGCAGCCTTGAACTCCTGGGCTCAAGTGATCCTCCCACCTCAGCCTCCTAAGTAGGTGGGAGTACAGGCACAAGCCACTACACTTCGCAACATTTACTTTTTATTAGGTATTACAAGTATTCTAGAGATGATTTAAAGCATATGGGAGGGGTGTTCATTAGTTATATGCAAATACTATGCCATTTAATATAAGGGACTTAAGCATCCATGGATTTTGGTATCTTCAGGCAGCAGCCTGCAACCAATCCCCCATGGAAACTGAAGCACGACTCTACTTCCTTATTCATCTGCAACACTGCCTGATGGTAAATACTAATATATTGGCAGTACCGATTAGTGATTATTGGCTACATCAATAAAACAAAATTCCATTCATTTGGACTATGATACTTTATAATTTGTGATAATCTGTAGTACAATTTATCAAAACTTTTTAATTACCATCAGCAAAACATGTATGCAATCTATCTGTTTTCAAGTACTTTTGAAGCACCTATTTTCCTAAAACTATACAGCAACTAAAAATCACTCTTAGACATATCCCCTAGGAGCTACCAAATTAAGCAGTAATTGCTACCATACTTTGAATTATGCTTATACTTTAAAGCAAAGTGTATTCTTTAAACATTTTTTTTTTCAAACTTCTTTTTTCTTCCTTTTGAGACAGGGTCTCACTCTGTCAAGAGTGCAGTGGCGCGATCACAGCTTACTGCAACCTCAACCTCCTGGGCTCAGGCGATCCTCCCACCTCAACCTCTCAGGTGGCTGGGACTACAGGCATGTAGCCCCATGGCCAGCTAATTTTTTGTATTTTTAGTAAAGACAGGGTTTTGCCATGTTGCCCAGGCTGGTCCTGAACTCTTGGGCTCAGGCAATCTGCCCACGTTGCCCTCCCAAAGTGCTGAGATTACATGTGTGATCCAGCCACCACACCGGCCAAATTTATTTACTCCTTAAATTGATGTATAAAACTGTACATGTATATCATGTACAACATGATGATGCTTAGAAGTACATATACACTGTGGAATAGTTAAATCTAGCTAATTAACAAATGCATTACCTCACATAGTTATTTTTGTGGTGAGAACAATAAATACCAATTCTTAGCATTTTCAAGTGATGTTAACACCTCTTAATACCACCACAGTGGGGTTTAGGTTTCAACATGAATTTGGGAGGGGCACAAACATTTGGACCATAGCAAATGGTGCCTTACATTCTTTTATCAGGAAATAATTTTCCATTTTCCTCATTGACTAGGATTCAGTATTTCTTTAATACACTTACAAAGCTTTGTATTAAAATAATAAGGGCCCATTTCAAGAATATACCATCATTAACTATAGTCACCATGCTGTACAATAGGGTCTCTTGACCTTATTCCTCCCAACTGTAAATATGTATTCTTTGAACGAATCTTCCCCAGTTCCCTTTCTCTCCAATCAACACAGCCTCTGGGAACCATTATGAAGCGTATTCTTCAGAAAGATTTTTAAATGTGTATATTCTGCTAATTCAGATTGATCTATTTTTAAAATACATTTTTTTTTTTTTTTTTTTTTTTGGAGATGGAGTCTTGCTCTGTCACCCAGGCTGGAGTACAGTGGTGCAATCTTGGCTCACTGCAACTTCTGCCTCCCGGGTTCAAGTGGTTCTCCTGCCTCAGCTCCCAAGGAGTTGGGATTACAGGTGCCTGCCACCATGCCCAGCTAATTTTTTTGTATTTTTTTTTTTTTAGTAGAGATGGGGTTTCACCATGTTAACCAGGCTGTTCTCAAACTCCCAACCTTAGGTTATCCGCCTGCTTTGGCCTTCCAAAGTGCTGGGATTACAGGTGTGGGCCACTATGCCCAGTCTCTATATACATTTTTCTTATGTGACCCTCAAAACTTAAGAAAAATATTTTATGACTCATCCCAAAACACACTTAGGGCTTGCTAAATTTAGGGCCCTTATTATTTTAATAGAAAGCTTTGTAAGTGTATTAAAGAAATACCGAATCCTAGTCAATGAGGAAAATGGAAAATTATTTCCCGATAAAAGAATGTAAGACACCATTTGCTATGGTCCAAATGTTTGTGCCCCTCCCAAATTCATGCTGAAACCTAAACTCCACTGTGGTGGTATTAAGAGGTGTTAACATCACTCTTCCATTCTCATGTAAAGTCCTGCTACCATTCTGTCCAACTTTATGGTTTACATTAGGGACACACAAAATACCCCAGCCTCTTAATTCTATAAAGACCTCATCTTGGAGACCTTCACCCCTGGTCTAGCCATATCCTGCTTTGTAACTATGTTACTTATGAAATCTTACATTCAAACAACTCTTTCTCTGATCTCAATCTGCTCTATTTCTCTCTTTCAGATGTCCTAATATTATCAGTTCTCTGACCTTACTGAGAACTCTAGTACCCTTTTCTCTCCATGTTTTTCCATTATATGTGCCCTCTCCTACCTGGTATCAGAATGCATGCTCAAAAAGCTAGACTTTCTGGTTAAAAGTCTTGGCTTCACTACTTAATAACTTGGGCAGGTTATTCAACCTCTCTGTGCTTCAGTTGAATCATTCATTCAACTTATATTTTCTGAGTGTCTTCTCTGTGCCAGATATTGCTCTAGGTGCTGATGATTCAACAGTGAACAACAACAACAAAAATTCCCTGGAGCTTACATTCTAGTAGGGAAAAAACTAATACCATCTTGATGGGATTATTACAAAGTTTAAATGAAATGTAAAGTATGGAAGTATTCAGACTAGTGCATAATACTATATAGCAAACCCATCAGCTATTATCACATTTCACTTTTTTCCTTATCCAATTTCGATTCAGTGATGCTCTTCTCAGCAGTTTCTCATTGGATATGCCTGTCTATCAATCCCTCAGCCTTCAGGGTAGAAGGACAAGGCCTGAGGTTGCTAGAGATTACTTCCTACCCAATCACACATAAAACCCAATGTTTTATGTGTGCCATAAAAACATTACTTTCTATGTGTGTTGTGTCCTGAAAAGGTTGCAAAGCACTGCCATTACCAGTTTTTACAATTCCCTTGCCCTGCTGTTCTCCTGCTATACATCCATGAGGAAACACCATTCAGTCCAACTATCTTTTTTTGTGCTCACACTTGAGTGCTGCAAAAGCAAAGTCACAGAAACCCAAAGATTTGAAGTACTGTACACTTGAAGTCATTAAAGTCAAACGGTCCTTCATCATTGCCAGGGAACTCTTTCTATTTCTAGCTGTATCTCCCATTTTCTACAATTGGTACTTCAAAAACCTTATTCTTCTCTCCAACTTTCGACTCCTTCCGAACTCAGTTTAGATGTATCTTTTTCTTGGAAGCTATCCCAAACCCCAAAGCATCTATCAGTTGCCCCTTTCATGGTTTCCCATATACTCTTTACTCATAGAATATCACATTATGTTACTGACTACATATCTCTCTGTATCTCCATTAAATCATAAGCCCTAAAAAGACAAGGGCCATATCATCTTTCTAAGAGATTACACAATCTCCTTCCTAGGTGTTTAGATGTCTCCCTCTCTCTCAATTGGTGGGAAATAATTCACTTACCACCTAAAATACATGTAACAACTGAAGATCAAAACATTAACAGAAATCTTTTTGGAATGTTAGCTGGCTTTAATAAAAGAAATGCTTGGACATATGCCACTCCTAAAGGTATGGGTATATCATTCTATCATCAAGAAATTGTTCGTTTTAGCTTACAAACAAAAAAATGTATAGTTTAACAGCTAGAATATATACAAACTATCCTATATGCAATACAGGTTGATTATCCCTAATCCAAAAATCCAAAATCTGAAACTTTTAGCATTTTTTTTTGGAGTCATGGTTCCACTCTTTCATTCAGGGCTCACCGTAGCTTCGATCTCCTGGGCTCAAGTGATCCTCCTGACTCAGCGTCCTGAGTAGCTGGGACTACAGGCACATGCCACCATGCCTAGCTAGTTAAAAACAAATTTTTTTTAGAGATGGGGTCTCACTTTGTCTCCCAGGCTGGTCTTGAACTCCTGGGCTCAAGTGATTCTTCTGCTTTGGCCTCCCAAAGTGCTGGGATTACAGGCTTGAGCCACCACATCAGGCCAAAATCCAAAACTTCTAGATGCTGACATGATGCTCACTGGAACACATCAGAGTTTGGGTTTTTGGATTTGGGATGCTCAACCAGTAAATATACTGAAAACATTCCAAAATCCAAAAAAAAAACCTCAAAATCTAAAACACTTCTGTTCCCAAGCATTCTGGATAAGGGATACTCAACCTGTAAAGAGTTAAATCCAGGCTTCATTTTCTTATATACCATATATATAGAGAGAGCAAATTCTTTCCCTGTTCACTGACATTACAACCAACACACAAATTAGATATAAAGTAAATACAAGACAACATTTGTCATACCTCTACATCTGAAGCACTTCGGGGCTGAGCTTGGCATAGCATATTTAATAATTGCAAAATTAATTCTTCAACATACTGAAGAGCATCATCATTAGACTCGAGAGTAGGATGAACTTGCCCCTGGACCTATAAACAAAAAGCAAAGTAATTAAAATGTGGGTTCCATATCATTAAACAAATTTTTAAAACTTTAAAAAATGTGGGTTTGTGGCCGGGCACGGTGGCTCATGCCTGTAATGCCAGCACTCTGGGAGGCCAAGGCGGGCAGATCACCTGAGGTCAGGAGTTTGAGACCACCCTGGCCAACATGGTGAAACCCTGTCTCCATTAAAAATACAAAAATTAGCCGGGCCTTGTGGTGTGCGCCTGTAATCCCAGCTACCCAGGAGGCCGAGGCAGGAGAATTGCTGGAACCCAGGAGGCAGAGGCTGCAGTGAGCCAAGATCTTGCCACTGCACTCCAGCCTGGGCAACAGAGCAAGACTCTGTCTCAAAAATAAGAAGTGGGTTTGTATTTAAAAATGTGGTCTGGCTTGCAAATACAGATTTGAATGATACTGACCTAGAAGTCAGGAGTTCTCAACCCTTTTTCCCAGCCACATGCTTATATGTTCCTGGAGATCCAGTTTACCTAACTAAATAATTTCAGTATGTTTTTTCTCATACTATGGTTACAATATGATGCAGAAATGGGGAAAGGAAGAGAGAGGCTGAGGTGATGATAAAAGATACAGTTTGTATGTTTTTGCCAGGAACCAGTTAGAACATTTATTCAACATTCTGCTTGGGCAAAACTGACCTCCTATGGGCCTCTGACTGTTGTTTAACTTTACCATTCCTAATAAATGATAAAATCCAGGAGGGGCATGTCTCATCAAGTTCACCAGTGTATCTATGGCAGCAAGCACTGTGCAGGCACGCATATTACAAGCTTGATAAATTTAAATAGTATTTGTGAACACAAAGTCACCCTGTATCAAAGGACACAAAATTTGTAACTGTCTATACTTCAGGAATATTGGTGGCCTAAAAATCTTTACCTTCTTTCTCCTCAACCATTTCTTTAATTTTTTTTTTTTTTATGAAAAGTTTTACTTAAGAGTCCACACTGGAAAGAAGCCTTGACCATTTCTTTAGTTGAATCTCAGGCCAGTGGCCTCTGTAAAGCTTGCATGTTAATAAACAGCATGATAGTCTTTACTTGCATCCCTTTGTTCCTCCCTAAATAAATGGCAAGAAAAGACAGTTCCAGGAGAGAAACAATACATGTTCCAAAACATGCTCAACTCTCCAACAGGTGGTAGGGCACTTACTGGATGAAAGTGCACAGTACTCACTGGCTCAGAGCACACAGTATGGCCTGTCCTACTACACTTCATTAGCTGAGAGGGTGTGACAGCCTCAGTGTACAGGGAAAATTTTATAAACAGTGTACTAGACTGAGTGTGGTGGCTAATGCCTACAATCCTAACACTTTGAGAGGCTGAGGAAGGAGGAACACTTAAGGCCAGGAGTTCAGGACCAGCCTAAGCAACACAGGGAAAACCTGTCTCTACCAAAAAGCAAAAAAAAAAAAAAAAAAAAAAAAAAAAAAAAAAGCCCAGTAGGGTGACACATGCCTGTAGTAGTCCCCACCTACTCCAGAGGCTGAGGTGACGTGGAAGGATCGCTTAAACCCAGGATGCCAGGGCTGCAGTGAGCTATGATTAAACCACTGTACTCCAGCCTGGCCAACAGAGGGAGACCCTGTCTCAAAACAACAATAAAAGATAGTATCCTACATAATAATTTTTTAAAAGTACATATATGTATATATACATACGTATGCATTCATATACATTTTAAAGGCAAATAGCATTGTAACAATCCAGAACTGCATGAAGAGGTACTACACAGAGTATGAGCTTTAAAACAAAACTTATTCATTTTTTATTTTTTTGAGACAGGGTCTCACCCTGTCACCCAGGCTGGAGTGCAGTGGTGTGATCTCGGCTCACTGCAACCTCCGCCTCCTGGGTTCAAGCAATTCTCCTGCCTCCGCCTCCCTAGTAGCTGGGATTACAGGCACCTGCCACCACACCCGGCCAATTTCTGTATTTTTAGTGGAGACGGGGTTTCACCACGTTGGCCAGGCTGGTCTCAAACTCCCGACCTCAGGTGATCCACCCGCCTTGGCCTTCCAAAGTGCTGGGATTACAGGCATGAGCCACTGTGCTTGGCCTAAAACAAATTTTTTTAACAATTTAATTTTACAGGTGAAGAAACCCAGAAGGCTTAAATCATTTGCCCAAGAACTTTTGATCATATTGACTACAACAATTACCAATCTGATTATAATTTATCTGTTTACAAGTATCCCTGTTAGGTGACTGGATGGTTGTACAGTTAAAATAATAGACAGTGTGTACTACAGCCCAGAATTCATAATTCTGAGTTCTGTGCTCTCCATTCACCATACCACCACACTCTGACTAACGTGTGTAGGTATCAAACCATATAAACTTATTCCTCTTCAATACTTAGCATGACCTTTAAAAAAAACAAAACTGGAACTTGCAAAAGTTTTCTTTTTGTACACTGATTTGCATGCCCCCAATGGCTTAAACTGTCTTTTCAGATAACCTTTATCTTAATGAACAAGATCTTCATTTTGCAGTGAATGCTACCACCACATGGTAGGCTATTTCTATCTGGTTCTCAGTCAAGTTCCTTTCATTTCTGAAACTCTTTCCTTAGTATTAGGACATACTCTATTCAATTTCTTCCCTAATTTCCTTATTCCTTTTCCATGTCCTTGTAGAGTTCCATATCTTCCTCCATTCCTCCACCCCTTCTACTCTTGTATGTTCACTCCCTTCTCTTCTGCCCCCTAAGTAACCTCATTTACTTCCACATTTAACAGTCACCTGCATGGATAACCCCAAATCTATCCCTAGTCCTGATTTCTCTCCTCAGTTTTAGACCCAAACTTCAAATTACCTGTAGGATAGTTCCACCTATTCTACCAAAATCTCAAACTTAACATGAAAAAAAGAAGAACTTAAGTATTTTAGAAAAACACAATATAGACTGCTCCTGATTTCACTTAGATGTAGTCCTAGAAAATGTAGCTATAATTGGGGGTTACATTCCAGTTCAAAGCCCCAGCATCACATAAACTATAGCTACAGATTTATAAAACCACAGACTTAAGAGTTAAAAGGGACTTTAGAAGTCATTTAACTAAGTCCTCTATTTATTGTATTTGTTTATTTGAGATGGAGTCTCGCTCTGTCACTCAGGCTGGAGTGCAGTGGTGCAACCTTGGCTCACTGCAACCTCCACCTCCTGGGTTCAAGCAATTCTCCTGCCTCAGCCTCCCAAGTAGCTGGGATTACAGGTGCCTGCCACCACGTTGGGCTAATTTTTTTTTAGTATTTTTAGTAGAGACCGGGTTTTACCATGTTGGCCAGGTTGGTCTCGAACCCCTGACCTCAAGTGATCCACCCACCTCCACCTCCCAAGGTGCTGAGATTACAGGCGTGAGCCACTGCACCCAGCCAGTCCCTCTATTTAGATGATGAGAAAGAAAAATGATACACCCACAATCCTGTTGCTAACTAGTAATACTGCAAATATTGAACCTGGGCCTCCTGCCTCTTTCCACTAAACCCTTGACTGTTGAACCTGGAGGAATCTGCGGAGTACCCTAGTGTACGGAGTGGATGCCCATGGACCATATCTACTTATATAGTGGGCTTCCATATAAAACTTGGCTTGAAGTATGTTGTCATACTATTTAATAAACATCTATCTCATGTCATAAATACAACTACAGTCCTATAAATCTTTACAATTTGAAAAGGGAAAATCATCATTGGTTACACAAAGGATCCCAATGTTTATAAGTTATATAAAATTATATTCAAAATCTGATATAAATCTCAAATGTTAGAGAAGATAATAAATGTTAAAATGAAAGTATTTCATCAATAATTCGAATTACCTTTTAAAAATATCACAGGCCTTTGAAGAAGGGGTCTAGACATTCGAAAAGATGTTTTAGAAAGTATTCAAGAAAGTATGATTAAGTTTTTTTTGTAAAGTTCACTGTTTTTCAAAGAAACCCATGTATATAATTCTTCACTAATATAGCTCCATTTCCAGCTGCTCTTCAATTTACACTTTATGCTAATGCAATCTGAACTATTCGCAGTTTGCTAAAACACGGCATGCAGTTTCGCTCACACTGTTCCCCATGCCTGTCATTCATTCTCTCAAGTTTTTTTATCTGCCTATTTGGCTTTTTTTTTTTTTTCAACTTGTTTTCTTTGTCCTTTTCTTCTTCTAAGCTATTTGAATTTCAAAACCCAGATTACACCCCATTTAGGAAGACTTTCTTGTTTCTTATCTCTAAGGCAGAATTAATCTCATTCATTTAACTGATTTGTTGAATCTATTAAATACTAGACCCTCTGTTAGGTATTGGATATACAGATATGAATCAAATATAATCCCTGCTTGTATGGTCCTTATACTCTTACTGGGTTAATCCCTATACTATATATCACATTTCTGTTATTGGGTTTATCATGTTGACTTATAATTACATGTTCCCTTGTCTGTTTCCTTTTTTGGATAGTGATGTTCCAACTGGGCAGGGCTTTATGTACTTATAATTTTCTCCTTGCTTTTCACTCTAAACCCCTGACATTCAGGGGATACTCAAGGCTTCTGTGTTATAGAGGTGAGGGGAATAAAATATTTCTTTCTTGGAATTAAAATTGAAAAGGTGTGATGGTAAGACTAGAGAGTCTGTTTGGTTGTTTGGTTGATTTCAGGAGCATAAGCCTTTAAAGCAGAAACCATTCACAACACAAAAGCAGTTAGAACTAAAACAGATGTTAATTATGTAGAGTTGTATATAGCCACAATGCAATGAAAATGCAATGGTTAAAGACAACAACGTGATACTGCTTATAATTCTAGCACATATAATTCAAATGTTAAGTTTGGCACTTTGTATAAGCAAAATTTTGGAAATTCATATTCAGTTTTATTTATTGATGGTTACTAATATCCAAATAAGAACTATTAAATAAATCAAACAAAGAATTAGCTTAAACAGAAAATAACACGTGATGCCAACTGCACTTCTAAGCTTCTAGACATTAACCATTTTCACATCTTAAAATCTGTCAAATGGGAATCACAAAACTCATCCATGTATTTAAGAGATCAATAAATTGTTTTACCCCCTTAAAAACAAAAATAAAACTTAAAAACTCTAACTGAAAAACAAAGGCAATGGTCCATACTTAAAACGCAAGCAGAGTACCAACTCCTAAAAATACACAGGCTGTTCTTTATTCTTTCAAGAAGATGCTGTTAGGATATTTCTTTAAAGAGCAAACAGAAGTAGTATTATATTTCACATGTAGGCAGAATAAACACACTTCTATTCCATGAGATAGTGTTACAGCCAAAGTGCTCCATTCCATCATAAATGGTACTCAGAGACATTTAATAGATCAAATGATCCAAGTTATTTAACTCTATACAGAATAGGTTACCCTGTCAAATCTTACGGCAGTCTTCAGAAGCCATGTACAGCTGATTCAGAGTTGCATGTGTGTTTATGAGCAATTATAAATAAGCATTTCAAATTGGGACTAAACTATGTGGGTTTTCCCGGTTTTGCCATTTAATGGCAAAACATCAATTACTTTTGCACCAACCTAATAGTTTTCAAAAAACATTACATTTTATACTTATGTTTACTGACACAGAAAATTTCATATACTTCTTTATATTTTCTTAAAGTAATTTAAGTACAATTAATGCAAATACTTTACTAAATAATTAACAACAGCCTTAATAAGAATTTTATAGTAACTGTTCTTTTAAGGAGTAATCACTATATTCAATTAAAGATGAAAACTCTTGAATTATAAACCTTCCTTAAGGACTACTTGATTCTATCTTGACAGTTCATTTTGTCTCTAGTAAGTTCCAGCAGATTCTGAAGCAACTTTATTGGCTATTATTGCCAGGTTTTGTGGAGTCTGAAAAGGCAAAGGGATTTAGGTGTATATCGATTCCTAGTTGTTTGATACATGAGTTCTCCAAGTGTATTCAAGAACCCCTTGGGTAAACTGCCAGAAAATACTCTGTTGAATTCTGATGAATCTTTCATATCCCTTGCTAGCTAATGGCTTTCTGGAGAATTGGAAAAGCTTCTAAATTATGCTCTGTCATGTCTTGAGCTCAGATCTGTTACTTTTATTTAAAAATATAAAGACAGAATTTGAGATAAAACGTAATAAAGATCGGAATAATCAAATCTCTTTCTTAGTGTTACAATTCTTTAGTCAATGTTTGATGCTTTAGGTGCTTATCACTCTGAGGTTAAAAAACAAGGCAAAAATCTTTCATCAAGAAATAAAATTTAAGACCAGCCTGGGCTGGGCGCGGTGGCCTACGCCTGTAATCCCAGCACTTTGGGAGGCCGAGGTGGGTGGATCACCTGAGATCACGAGTTTGAGACAAGCCTGAGCAACACAGTGAAACCCCGTGTGTACTAAAAATACAAAAATTAGCCAGGTGCGGTGGTGCCCACCTATAATCCCAGCTACTGGGGAGGCTGAGACAGGAGAATCGCTTGAACCCGGGAGGCAGAGGCTGCAGTGAGCTGAGATCCTGCCACTGCACTCCAGTCTGGGTGACAGAGTGAGATTGCATCTCAGAAAAAAGAAAAAAAAAAAAAAATAGACCAGCCTGGCCAACATGGCAAAACCCCATCTCTACCAAAAATACAAAACTTAGCCAGCCGTGGTGGTGCACACCTGTAGTCCCAACTGAGGCAGGAGAATTGCTTGAACCCGAGAGGCAGAGCAAAAGACAAAAAAAAGACAAAAATCAAACAAATCAGAGCACTTACATCTTTCCCATAAATAAAATAAACTAAAAATATTTTCTCTGGCTGGGCACGGTGGCTCATGCCTGTAATCCCAGCACTTTGGGAGGTCGAGGCAGGCAGATCACCTGAGGTCAGGAGTTCAAGACCAGCCTGACCAACATGGAGAAAGCTTGTCTGTACTAAAAATACAAAATTAGCCGGGTATGGTGGCACGTGCCTGTAATCCCAGCTACTTGGGAGGCTAAGGCAGGAGATTTGCTTGAACCCGGGAGGCGGAGGTTGTGGTGAGCCAAGATCGTGCCATTGCACTCCAGCCTAGGCAACAAGAGCAAAAGTCTGCCTCAACAGGAAAAAAAAAAAAAAAAAAGGCACAGAGACTAAGAACAAAATGATGTGTTGGGGAAACTAAGTTGGACCATGGACCAAAAAGTACATGTAGGGAGACTGGAAGGCGCAGGTTGTATATCATGCTAAGGAGTTGGGAAGTGATCAGGGTAGCAGAAAATAATTGTAAGGTTTTAAGTGAGACACGGACATCATTGGACTGTTTGCTGAAGTCAAAAATGTCAGTATGAAGGATGGGTTAACAGAGATGAGGTTGAAGGAAGCAAAACTAGTTGGAATGATGCCACAGGCTCCATAAGAAGAGAGATTGAAGACCTGGACCGAGGCACAAACAGTGGGAGGTGGGAAAGAAGGGCCTGTTAAGGTAGAAGGAGGTAGGCTTGGATAACTATTTTTTTGGGTGGTGGGGGCAGCAACAAGAGTGAACCACCAACTTAGGACAGGAAATACTAGAAGACAATATTTTCCAGGAAAGATAAGAAATTCAAGTTTGACATATGAATTTAAGGTTCTTGTATTACATCTAGGGAAACAAACCTGAAATTCTTTTTTTATCAAGTGGCTCCTAAATTTTTTCAGCCTTTTTTTCTCCTCTAAAAGAAGGAAAGAAATAAAGAAAAGCAACAGTTAATAAATAAAAAACAAACTTGAAAGTCACGTGTGGTGGTTGACGCCTATAATCCCATCTACTTGGGAGGCTGAAACAGGAGGATTACCTGAGTCTAGGAGTCCGAGACCAGCCTGGAGAAAACAGACAGACTCCATCTCAAAATATTATAATAAATTTTTTAAATTAAAAAAATAAAAAACAAAGTTGACACTTTGAAAAGTACTAATAGAAAAATTGCTAAAAGATCAAGAAAAAAGAGAAGGCACAAATACTACTGTATTATACACAAGAAGGAGGGGCATAACTACAAACATAACAGTTTAAAAAGAGAAAATTATGAAAAACTTCAAATCAAGCTTTGAACATTTAGGTAAAGTGAACAAATTCCTAAAAATTATAAATTATCAAAACTGACTCAAAAAGAAATAAAACATTTCTAATGGTTTTCTAATCATTAAAGAAATTGTATCAAAGGTTTAAAATCTTCCCACAAAGAATGTAATTTTACCTTTCCAGAAATAGACAATTCCAACCTTATACAATGTGTGCTGTGTACAACTGACATTAAACCAAACCAACACTATCTAGGAAAGAATAACTGTTCATGGACATAGATGAAAAAAAATCATAAGCAAAAGTAGCAAACTTGGCCGGGTGTGATGGCTCATGCCTACAATCCCACCACTTTAGGAGGCTGAGGCTTGAGCTCAAGAGTTTTGAGACCAGTCTGGGTAACAAGGCAAAAACCGATCACTACCCAAAATACAAAAATTAGCCAGGCATGGTAGCACACATCTGTGGTCCCAGTTACTGGGGAGGCTGAGGTGGGAGAATTGCTTCAGCCCAGGAGGTGGAGGTTGCAGTAAGCCAAGATCAACCACTGCACTCCAGCCTGGGTGACAGACTGAGACCTTACCTTAAAAAAAAAAAAATAAGGGTAGCAAACCAAATTTAGGAATGTTTAGAAAAGATACTACACCATGACCGACTTGGGCTTATTTCAGGAACTAAGACTGGTTCAACAAAAGTAAATCTTTTGTGATTCTCACATTAACAGATAAAAGGAGAAAAATGACAATAGATGCAGAAAAGGTAACAATTCATGGTTCCTAACAAATATACAAGCAAAAACTCAGGGCCTAGAAATAGAAGAACATTTCCTAAACTTGATAAAGGATATAAACAAAAAGTGTACAACAAAAATCATAATCAATAGTGCAATACTAAAAGAACTACCTTTAAAACCAGGGACAAGACAAGGATACCTACTATCACAATGTCTACTCAACATTGTCTGGAGGTCCTAGCCAATAAGATAAAAAGGATTGGAAAGGAAGGAATAAAACTGTTATTATTTGCAGGTAATATAATTATTCTAATTGAAAACCCAAAAGAATCTATAGAAAAATTACAAGAGTTAATAAGTGAGTTTAGTAAAATTGTTGAAATAATCTATAAAAGATAGTTGCACTCCTACATAAGCAACAAACAGAAAATATAATTTTTTAATGATAGTTGCAAAAATAAAGTAATAGAATAATTAGGAAAATAATCTTATAAAATGTGTATAAAACCTTTATGGGCTGGGCACAGTGACTCACGCCTGTAATCCCAGCACTTTGGGAGGCCAAGGCAGGTGGATCACTTGAGGTCAGGCGTTCGACACCAGGCTGACAAATATGGTAAAACCTTGTCTCTACTAAAAATACAAAAATTAACTGGGTGTGGTGGTGTGCATCTGTAATCTTAGCTACTTGGGAGGCTGAGGCTAAGAATTGCTTGATCCCAGGAGGCGGAGGCTGCAGTGAGCCGAGATCGTGCCAGAGTGAGACTCCTTCTCCAAAAAAAAAAAAAAGAAAGAAAATCCTTTATGAAGAAAAATTTTTAAACTTTAATGAATGACATTTAGAAGACCTTAAATAGTATTAAGGAAGTACCATAATATCTCAAGATGTCAATTGTCCTATACTCTAAACATTATAATTCCTATTAAAATTGAAACAATTTTCTGAAAAATTGAGATGCTGATCCTAAATTTAGAAGAGCCAAGAACAACTAAGGCACTCCTAAAGAAAAATCAGGCAAAAAACTATTTTTCCTGCCAGATAAAGACATGATTACGCTACAGTGATTAAGATACTAAGATATTAGTGCAGAAACAGAAAGACCACCGTAATGGAGAGCTTGTATACAGATCTTGTATGAAAATAATATAAAACAAGAGCCAGTAGTATAGATTCATGAGGAAAGGATGGATCATCCAATATATAGTGCTAGGACATTGGCAAATTATTCCCTATCACATACCATATATAAAAACCAACTGAAGATGGATCAAGTACATAACGGTGATAAGCAAAAGATTCAGAAACTTTTAGTAAAAGCATAGCAGGATATCTTTATAACCTGAGTTAGGAAAGAATTTATTTAGAAAGACACAAGAAGTATAAAATGAAGAAAAATTCTAATTCAATTTCATTAAGAACTACTGCTTAATCAACATATCACAAAAAGTGGAAAGATAAGTCACACACTGGGACACATATAACCTATAAAGGAAATATCCAGGATAAATAATAACAAAGTTTTAATAAAAACAAATCCTCAGTTTTCTAAAATGGGCAAAAGTCATGTACAGACATTTCATGGAAGGGGAAACACAACTGCCCCATAAATATTAGAAAGGTGCTCAGCCTCAATCTCAATCTCAATCTCAAGCCTCAGCCTTGTATTTATTTGTATTCAAGTAAATACAAATAAAAACCATAAGACATTATTTTACACCTACTATTTTGACAAAAATTCTAAAATCTAAGAATATCAAGTATTGGTAAAGACATAAAGAAATGTGAATTTTCACCCATTACTGGTGGGAATATAAAATAACAATTTGGATTAAAGTTTAACATTACTTAGTAAAGTCAAATACACACACACATTATGATCCAGCAATTCTACTTCTAAGTACATTATTGGAGGAGTCCCCAACACCTGGCTGCCAACCAATAAATCTCCTCAAACCCCATTAGGAACCAGGCCACAGAGCAGGTGAGCAGCCTACCGGGGAGCATTACCACCTGAGCTCTGTCTGTCAGATCAATAGGAGCATTAGATTCTCATTGTCATGGGACCGTGAACCCTACTGTGAACTGTGCATGTGAGGGATCTAGGTTGCACACCTTATGAGAATCTAATGCCTGGTGATCTGAGGTGAAAGAGTTTTATCCCCAAAACATTCCCCCACCATGGAAAAATTGTCTTCCACAAAACCAGTCCCTGGTGCCAAAAAGGTTGGGGACTGGCCGGGCGCGGTGATTCATGCCTGTAATCCCAGCACTTTGGGAGGCTAAGGCAGGCAGATCATGAGGTCAAGAGATCGAGATCATCCTGGCCAACATGGTGAAACCCTGTCTCCACTAAAAATACAAAAATTAGCCAGATGCGGTGGCATACGCCTGTAGTCCCAGCTACTTGGGAGGCTGAGGCAGGAGAATTGCTTGAACCTGGGAGGTGAAGGTTGCAGTGAGCCAAGATTGCGCCACTGCACTCCAGCCTGGGTGACAAGAGGGAGACTCTGTCTCCCAAAAAAAAAAAAAAAAAAAAAAAAAGTTGAGGACTGCTACATTATAGAACTCTTATATGTGCACAACAGATGAACAAGCACAAAAATGTTAACAATACATTGCAGTAGATTTAGAAAATGAATATTACTTACCAGCACAAATGAATGACCTAAAAGTTACACAATAACATAAATGAAATCTCCAAAACATAAAATGGGGCAAAAATATAAGTTACAGAACAATAGAAACAATACGATCCATTTATATCAAGTTCATAAAAAAGCAAAACCAAACTATGTTCATTGTTTATTAATTTATACTTAATGACAAAACTATAAAGTAATTTAAGTAGTTGATTAATCTAAAACTCAGCTATTACCTCCAGGGGAAGGGAAAGAAGATGTAATCAGTAAGGAAACCAAAGAAGCCTTTAAAAGTGTTCGAATTTTTTTTTTTTTTTTTTTTTTTTTGAGACGGAGTCTCGCTCTGTCGCCCAGGTTGGAGTGTAGTAGTGTGATCTCGGCTCACTGCAACCTCCACCTCCTGGGTTCAAGCAATTCTCCTGCCTCAGCCTCCTCAGTAGCTGGGATTACAGGCACGTGCCACCATGCCCGGCTAATTTTTGTATTTTTAGTAGAGACAGAGTTTCACCATGTTGGTCAGGCTGGTCTCAAACTCCTGACCTCGTGATCTGCCCACCTTGGCCTCCCAAAGTGCTGGGATTACAGGCATGAGCCACTGTGCCTGGCCAGAAATACTTCATTTTTTAACCTGTATGTTAGGTACATACATGTTCATTTCATTATTATTTAAACCAGCAGTCTCCAACCTTCTTGGCATGAGGGACTGGTTTTGTGGAAGACAATTTTTCCACAGACTAGGAGGAGGTGGGTGGGGAAGCATGCCTAAAGTCAGTGGTCCCCAACCTTTTTGGCACCAGGACCAGTTCTAGGCAAGACAACTTTTCCACAGACTCGGGTGGGGAGGATGGTTTCGGGATGATTCAAGTGCATTACATTTATTGTTTACTTTATTTCTATTATTACATTGTAATATATAATAAAATAATTATACAACTCACCATAATGTACAATCAATGGGAGCCCTGTGCTTGTTTTTCTGCAACTAGATGGTCCCATATGGGGGGGAATGGGAGACAGTGACAGATCATCAGGCATTAGATTCTCATAAGGAGTACGCAACCTAGATGCCTCACATGCACAGTTCACAACAGGCTCCTGAGAATCTGATGCCTCCACTGATCTGAAAAGAGGCGGAGTTTTGGCGGTAATGCGAATGATGGTGAGTGGCTGTAAATACAGATGAAGCTTTGCTCACTCACCCACTGCTCACCTCCTGCTGTGCGGCCTGGTTCCTAACAGGCCATGGACCAGTATCAGTCTGTAGCCTGGGGGTTGGGGACCCCTGATTTAAACTGAACATTTAAACTGAGGTTATATGTACTCTTTTCAATGTATATTTCAAAGCTTTAAGAAATTAAAATAATATTTTTCTAGTTTTGAAAGTCTTAAGTATTTTCTTCAATGAATGTTACAAAACATAAACAGTATATCACTTTTTAAAGTAAACAAAAATACTCCTATTTTTAATTTGGATGCTGAGTATTGAGAAAAACAAATAAATTGATACAACTATAAACGCGGTCCTGGTATTTAGGCATATGAGATTTTACAAGTTTTTAACTGCAATTTTTTTTTTTGCACTGATAGCCTAGCAATACCCAAATTAGAATTTGTTGGCTATCAATAAATAATATTTTATAAGCAACAGAAACCATTTAAAAACTTGGAAGAATTGTGATAGGCTAGCTAAAATACAACCTACAAAATAATTTTTGTAAGGCCAGGAACAGTGGCTCATGCCTATAATACCAGCACTTTGGAAGGCTGAGGCAGGTGTATTGCTTGAGCCTAGGAGTTCAAGACCTGCCTGGGCAACAAAGTGAGACCTTGTCTCTCCAAAAAAAAAATAATAAAAAAATTAGCTGGGTTTGGGTGGTCCCAGCTACTCAGGAAGCTGACCCCAGGAGTTCAAAGCTGCAGTGATCCATGATTTTGCCACTGCACTCCAGCCTGGAGTGGCTGGAGACCCTGTCTCAAAAACAAGAACAAAAAATAATTTTTGTAGCTGTAATGCAAGATAGTGTTTATTTATTAGTAAAGAATGTTCATAGTGGCTGGGTGTGGTGGTTCAGGCCTGTAATCCCAGCACTGTGAGAAGCGTGGGCTGGCGGATCACTGGAGGTCAGGAGTTCGAGACCAGCCTGGCCAACATGGTGAAACCCCGTCTCTAATAAAAATACAAAAATTAGCCGGCCATGGCAATGTGCAGCTGTAATGCCAGCTTCTGGGGAGGCTGAGGCAGGAGAATCACTTGAACCCTGGAGGCGGAGGTTGCAGTGAGCCGAGATCGCGCCACTGCATTCTACCTTGGGCAACAGAGTGAGACTGTCCTCGGTAAAAAAAAGATAAAGGAAATTTGCCAAGCACGGTAGCTTACGCCTGTAATCCCGGCACTTTGGGAGGCCAAGGCAGGCAGATTACCTAAGGTTAAGAGTTCGAGACCAGCCTGGCCAACATGGCGAAACGCCGTCTCTACTAAAAATACAAAAATTAGCCAGGCTTGGCGGCGGGCGCCTGTAATCCCAGCTACTTGGAAGGCTGAGGCAGGAGAATCACTTGAACCCAGGAGGCAGAGGTTGCAATTAGCATCAGTGCACTCCAGCCTGGCCAACAGAGCAAGACTCTGTCTCAAAAAAAAAAAGAATGTTCATAGTTATTAAATTAATAAATATTGGTAAATATTTTTATAAAAACTTGCTTATTCAACCTTTTTTGGTAAAACCAATTTTTAAAAAAAATTTTGTGGGTACATAGGTGCATATATTTATGGGGTACATAAGATACTTGATACAGATATGTAATGCATAATAGTTATGTCATGGTAAATGGGGTATCCATTCCCTCAAGCATTTACCCTTTGTGTTACAAACAATCCAATTATACTTTCAGTTATTTAAAAATGTACAATTAAATTATTACTGACTAGTCACCCTGTTGTGCTATCAAATACTAGGTCTTATTCATTCTAATTACTTTTTGTACCCAGTAGCCATCCCCACATCCCCGCTACAAAACTTGCCTGTTCAATCTTTAAGACTAATTGGAAATAGTAAATAGTTAATTATTAATATTTAATTCATAAGAGTTTTTTGGTGGATTTTGTTTTTAGATGGGTTCACATATGCTAAGCAGTATAGTAGGCATCTGGGAAAAGCAGAATAAGACAAAGTTCCAGTCCTCACAGAACTTACATCACTTGCTCTATTGTTAGCTTTGTGGTACTGCATCTTTTCCTTTTCCTCTACATTTCTGGCAAAAAAAACCAAAAAACTGGATCTATGTTAATGAAAGAATAAAGAGAAACAGAGAAAAACCCCAGAGGTATCTTACGGTAAATTTTACTTTAAATTTATTAGAGTACAGGTTGAAATCTAGCTAGGTCTGAGGCTCAAAAAAGAGCTTAGTGCTCGCTTTGGCAGCACGTATACTGAAAACGAAACGATACAGAGATGAGGATGGCTCCTGCGCAAGGATGACATGTATATTTGTGAAGCGTTCCATTACTTTTATTTTAATTTTTTTAAAAAAGAGAGCTTAAGGCCGAAAACATGGATCTGGAATTCAACCAATCACCTACAGGTGTCAAGGTCAAAATAAAAATGTAGATGCAAACCTCTAAATTTAACGTTTTATTTGGGAAGAAAGAATTGTACTTTGGGGCATACACGTAGACTGGGTGGTCTTCAGTATGTCCAAACAACAAAGATATGGTTGGGGGTTTTATAAAGAAGAGGAAATGTTATATGTGGTCTTGATAGAAAGTTTATCGGTATTAGTAAGGCTTTGGGGAGCTGGCAAACTCCAGTTGGTGAGCAAAATTAGTCCCAGAGTTGTAGCAAGTTATCTCAGCAGACGTAGATAAAATTGGTTTTTGTTTATATAAATAGGCAGTTCTAGCTGCTGGACTTGCAGAGAATTACATTTCTAGAGCAATGTTACAGACCCTGAATGCTTTTTCCCCTTGGCCCCTCTACTGATTTAGTTGGGTATGACAAAAATGACCCAATTCGGATGATTAACTTTCACACAGGTAATAGAAATAGTACAAGTAGATAAAAATCTCCCAGTCCAAGGTGGACAGGAGCAATTTAAAGCAGAATGGAATCTAGTGAAGCACCTACATCCAAGCAGCAAGCAGATGAAGATGAGGCAAAAGAATCAGGAAATGGTGGTTAGGGTATATTCTTAAGGAAGTCAGGAGAAGTAATATACAAAAACCAGTCTCCAGGAGCTTCAAATGTTGCAAAACGCAAACAGAATATTTTTAAAAGAACAATTAATGTAGCAATAGCACATAATTAGTGGCCTTTGGAGAAGAATATGAATAGAGTAGCTGGAGCAAAACCCAAATTATAAGCAGTTGAGGAGTAGATGGGAGGAGAAAGATGGGAAGAGGGATCCTCAATATAGACTGTTCTTGGAAAAAGTTATTCTCATACCTTACAAGTAGAAATGCTAACTGATAAGACTTTTTGAAAAGTAATCTGGCAACCACTATCAAAATTAAAATATATCCTTTGCCCAGAAAATCCACTTTTGGGAATTTATCCTGTAAAAATAAAAGGATATACATACAAAGATTTTATTGCATGGTGGCAAAAAACAAAAATAATGTAAATGACCACCAGTAAGGGAATGGTTGGATACACTGTGGAATATGATTGTTATGGGCTGAATAGTGTCCCTCCAAAATTCATATGAAGCCCTAAGCCCCAGCACCTCAGAATGTGAATGTATTTTGAGATAAAGTCTTTAAAGAGGTAATTAAGTTAAAATGAGGTCATTAGGGTAGGCCTGAATCCAATCCAAGACTGGTATCCTTAATAAGAGGAGAAAATTTGAACACAGAAGACAGACCACGTGAAGAAACAGGGAGAAGACAGCCATCTATAAGCCAAGGAGAGAGACCTCAGAAAAAAACAACCCACCAACATCTTCATCTTGGGCTTCTAGCCTCCAAAACTATGAGAAAACTAATTTCTGTTGTTTAAGCCACTTAGTCTGTGGTACTTATTATGGCACCCCTAGCAAACTAATACAACTATATATGTAGCCATTAAAAAGAACATATTAGAGCTATTAAGTGAGGTATTCTTAAGTGAAAAAAGAAGGTATTCTTAAGTGAGAAAACTCATTAAAAAATGTAAAATACATAGAATTCTCAAAAAAACCACATATACATATATACACGTGTATGTGTAATTATAAATTAAGTATATATTTATACACGAGCAGGACAGCATGGAGAAAAATATGGAAGAATATAACCTTTGTTGTCAACATGGGTTATAAATGGTCCTGGGCAAGGCAGGGATGTGAAGAGAAGAGAAGAAAAAGGGGGAAAGAATGAATCATTCCTCCCCCAAAGCTCTACTAAAAATTACTCATATTTGTGCACATTTATAACATTTATGTCTATGTGTATATAAAATAAAATATAAATTTAATTAAAAATTTTCATTGGTATGTGGTTTACGCCAGTGTATATATTAGCCATGGGAAAGACATATTTAAAGTCCTTTCCCACAGAAAATAACTATACACATCAAATTCCAAACATGTGTCAAGTGCTAAATTCATATCATTTTTCATGTGTTTTGCTTTAAAAACAGTATGACCTTCCTAAACAACTTTTTAAAAATATTACTATGTGATAACAGAGTTCCCACCAATAAAGCAAGGAACTGACTCAAGAAAAGAGTCTCTGATGATTTTTTAGTTCCTCTTCAACTATGCTCTTTATCTTCCAAAAGTGGCATGTATCCCTTTATCAATGATGTCCTGACACAGATGGGGCGCTTTATCAAATTCCCAGTGTTTTCTCTGCTAGTGTTCCCATCTATCCTATCCTATTTTTATTTGTATTTATTTATTTTTTTGAGACAGGGTCTTACTCTGTCATGAGGTTGGACTGCAGTGTCGTGTTCACAGCTCACTGCAGCCTTGACCTCCTGGGCCCAAGTGATTCTCCCACCTCAGCCTCCTGAGAAGCTGGGACTACAGGCATACACCACCATGCTCAGCTAATTTTTCTTTTTTTTTGTAGAAATGGGTGTCTCACTATGTTGCTGAGGATGGTCTCAAACTCCTGGGCTCAAGCGATCCTCCTGCCTTGGCCTCCCAAAGTATTGGTATTCCAGGCATGGGCCACCACATGCAGTTATCCTACCCTATTTTAAGTTTCAACCACATTTTAAGAGGTATTTTTAAGCTGGAATGGCAATTCACAATACATGTGATGTGTGTCTACTGTCTATCATTGGCAGTCTTCCTTAAAATGCCAACAGATAGCAACTGTGATCCAAGTGTCTTTCTACTATCTTCACCAATTAATTTGCCCATAACCTCTAAGCAGGAGATTCTAGTTTTTAGTAAACCAAAGCCATAACAAGCAAGGAAAAAAACTTTTCAAATTCAAACTTCTCCAAATGAATCACGTTCCTTGATATACAACCACTTCACAGTAAACTGATTTACTAGATGAACTAAACAGATTGCTTCACATTTATAGAAACCATCATTTGTAGACAATAAAACGGTCAATGTCATCTGTGAATTCCACCTACAAATTTTTATCAATTTTCAGACTTTCTGAGTAATGCAAAGGCTATATCCCAAATATGATATATGCACACATTCAACAGATAGTATAAGAGACACAGGCCCCACCCTCAAGGAGCTTAGAAGTACAATAGGGGAACTAGACATTAAACAAATAATTTATTTAAACATAATAATAAACAAAAGTATAACTATGTAAGAGGCAGAGTAGTAAAAAGGTTAAGTGTGGGCTACATTGCCTACATTAAAATCTTTGTTCTTTCAATTACCAGAGTGTAACCCTGCACGAATTACTTACTCCTTCTGGTAATATTACATACCAATATATTGCCAATCTTTAATAAACGTTACCTGTAGCCATTATTGATGTTCTTGTTAAAGTACAGGATACCAAGAGGCTACTAAATGGGTGCCTAAGTTAATCTAGTGGTTCGGAAAAGATTAAAGTTGAAAGCTGAAGGGTGAGCAGAATTTAGGTGAAAAGTATATTGGTGAAGTGAGAGGGATAACATTCTAGGCAAAGGAAGCAGACTATATACAAGTGAAGGGAAGAGTAAAGGAAATGAAATGGAGTTAGGTAGGGCCCAGATCACTGGCCAGATACAGGTGCATATACTAGGATAAGGAATACTGTAAGATGAGCAGATGTTTTCATAAGTGGGAGAGGGAACAAGAGATCAAGAGTTCTGGACTCCATTATGCTTGAGATCTTTCAGACATGCAATTAGCAAATAGGCAGTTTAACATATTAGATATTGGTAAGCAAGCCTGAATTACATTTTTAATGATTTTATCATATAATGCCCTATCCTATCAAAATAAGAAGTGGTTAGATATTAAATCACTATAAAATAAAAATGCCCTTCCCCGACAATTCCATGTTGGTAAACAGGAAGGCCAGAGGAAAATTAGTGTAAAACAGGAACACTAGAAACGGCTTTTCCCCACATCTTTCTACTTTACTAAAACATGGCTGGATGTTCTAGGAAAGGAAGGGAGTCTGCTGACTCCTGGGCTCAACTGTGGCAAATACATTCTTCAAAAGGGAAATAGTCACAGTTGCGTTGTTGTTCTTTTTTTTTTTGAGACGGAGTCTCATTCTGTCACCCAGGCTGGAGTGCAGTGGCATGATCTTGGCTCACTGCAACCTCTGCCTCCCCGGTTTAAGCAATTCTCCTGCCTCAGCCTCCCAAGTAGCTGGGATTACAGGCGCCCACCACCACATCTGGCTAATTTTTGTATTTTTAGTAGAGACGGGGTTTTGCCATTTTGGCCAGGCTGGTCTTGGAACTCCTAACCTCAGGTGATCCACCCACCTCAGCCTCCCAAAGTGCTGGGATTATAGGCATGATCCACTGCATCTGGTGACAGTTTTTGAAAATTATAGTATTATGCACAAATGGTTGGGTATAGAGGCCGCTTCAATGCAAGGGAAGAAAAACTGCCACAGAATCATAGATCTGCTTTAGATTTCCAGATAAATCATATTAATTAGTATTTATTAAGTATTAACATAGTAATACTTCATAAGAATACTTTCCTAGACAAAATAAAGTATCTTAGTTTCGTAAATATTAACCACTGCCAACATGGCAAGAACAGTGGAGCTGTCATATGATAACAGCCATGTTTACATAATAAAGTGGTCTTAAGTCTATGGTTCATGATTAACTTAGTAATTTTACATTTTTGTCACAAAACAATTAAACACAGAATATTTACAATGGCCTGAATAACACCTGCTCTTTTCTTGGAGACTGCTAAGAGGAGTTGTAATCAGATCTATCTTGGACATCTGACTTTATCTGTATGATCTTAGGCAACTCATTCAATCTCCAAAGTCTCAAGCGTCTCGCCTGAAAATGGCAATTATCACCACCAGAGGATAACATGATGATCAAATGAGATCACATATCAGAAAGTGCTTTATTTTATTTTATTTTTGAGACAGAGTCTCTGTAACCCAGGTTGGAGTGCAGTGGTGCAATCTTGGTTCACTGCAACCTTTGCCTCCCCTCTCCTCCCAGGATCAAGAGGTCCTCCCACCTCGGCCTCTAGCGTAACTGGGACTACAGGTGTGTGCCACCATGCCCAGCTAATTTTTAAAATTTTTTTAGAGATGGGGCTTAGCCACATTGCCCAGGCTGGTCTTGAACTCCTGGGCTCAAGTAATCCTCCTGCCTCGGCTTCCCAAAGTGCTGGGATCACAGGCCACTGCACCCAGCCGAAAGTGCTTTAAAATGTGGTAGAATGCTAAATAATTATTAGTAGTCATTATTCACATTACCACATGAAGTAATGTGTAAATATTAACAGCTGAATTAAACATAAAAATCTAGATGAAGATTATACTTTAATTCATCAATCGGATAAATTTCTCTTTAAAGATAATACCAACAAAATCCAGTTTACCCCACTTTCCATTAGATAATCCCACCTATCAGTGGTTCTTAAACCATGCATAACAATAAACTGAAAAGCTTTTTTCTTTTTTTTTAAATGCAGGATTCTGGGCCCGACCACTAGAAATTCTACTTTAGTATGCCTGAGATGGAGCGAAGGAAGTGACTTTTTTTTTCAACTGTGGTAAAATACACACAACACAAAATTTACCATTTAACCATTTCTACATGCATAATTCAGTGACATTGTTGTGCAACCATCACCATTATCCATCTCCAGAACTTTTTCATCATCTTGGCCTGGAACTCTGCACCTGTTAAACAATAACTCCCCAATTCCTCCTCCCTGCAGGCTCTGGAAACTACCATTCTACTTTCTGTCTCTATGAATTGAACTATTCTAGGTATCTCAGAAGTGAAATCATATAGTATTTGTCCTTTTATTTTTGGCTTCTTTCACTTAGTAAAATATTTTCAAGATTCGCCCATGCTGCAGCATCAGAATTCTATTCCTTTCTAGGGCTGAATAGTATTCTATTACATGCATGTATATACTACATTTATCTATTCATCTGGTAACTGACATGTGGTTAGTTTCTACCTTTTGGCTATTGTGAAAAGTGCTGCCTATAAACACTGGTGTACAAATATCTGTTCAAATCCCTGCTTTCAATAGCTAGAAGTGGAACTACTAGATCATATAGTAATTCTATATTTAGTTTTTTGATGAACTGCCATACTGTTTTTTACAGAAGCTATACCATTTTAGATTCCCACCAGCAATGCACAGTTTCCAATTTCTTTACATCCATATGGCTGTCCTTTGGTTTTCATTTTTGGTTTTTTATTTTAAATAATAGCCACCCTAATTGGTATGAAGTGGTATCTCACTGTGGTTTTCATTCCCATTTCGCTAATGATGAGTGTGCCTTTACAAAACAAAACAAAACACCTCTCGTGATACTGACAGAGTGGCCAGTTAAGAGATCATATTCTTCATAAAACACTGATTCAATATTAGGCAGCCCTCAAAATAGGGAAGAAACGAGCAAGAAAGTTGACTCATAAAGTAGTGTTCAAAAGTAGCCAACCTGGCCCGGCACAGTGGCCCATACCTGTAATCTCAGCACTTTGGCCATCCCTGGCCAACATGGGCAGATCACCTTGAGGTCAGGAGTTCAAGACTAGACTGGCCAACATGGTGAAATCCCATCTCTACTAAAAATACAAAAAATTAGCCAGGCATGGTGGCACACACCTGTAATCCCAGCTACTCGGGAGGCTGAAGCATGAGAATTGCTTGAGCCTGGGAGGTGGAGGTTGCAGTGAGCCATTGTGCCATGGCACTCCAGCCTAGGCAACAAGAACAAGACTCTGTCTCCAAAAAAAAAAAAAAAAAGAAAGAAAGAAAAGAAGCCAACCTAAAAAAGCTCCCAATGACCAACGCTGCAACAATTTACACAACAAAATAAGTAGCAATAGTATTGGATTATAACCCAAAAAGTAAAATAAATGTCCTTGAGTCTCCTACTAGAGGGCAGTGACTGTCTCACTTATCTTCATATCCTAACACTTCCCATGTTCATGGTACTAGTATAGTCAATCAACTGATGTAATCTTGGCTTTCATTTATCCTCTCTTTCTGAGATCTGAATCTCACTCTTTTTATTGAAATAATCTATTTACAAAAACTCTGGGCCAGGCACAGCGGCTCACACCTGTAATCCCAGTACTTTAGGAGGCAGAGGAAGGTGGATCATTTGAGGTTAGGAGTTCGAGACCAGCCTGGACAACATGGTGAAATCCCGTCTCTACTAAAAATACAAAAAAAAAAAAAAAAAATTAGCCAGGCATGGTGGCACACGCTTGTAATCCCAGCTACTTGGGAGGCTGAGGCCAGAGAATCACTTAAGCCTGGGAGGCAGAGGTTGTGGTAAGCTGAGATAACACCACTGCGCTCCAGTCTGGGCAACAGAGTGAGACCCTGTCTCAAAAAAAAAAAAAAAAAACACTCTGTGCATAAACACTAAATGCAGACTACTAAATAGCAAATAATTCATCTTCAAATGGTAGCGCCTAGGGCTAGTTTAGTTCAACAAACTCTTATCAAGCACCTTTTAATATGCCAATCCAGAGAAATGTCTGATCCAACTTTTTCCTCTATGATCATTTCTCTTCTTTGTGGGGGCTGGGGGCTGGTTGACATAGTAACATAGTAACTGAGCTCTTACATACAGTATTTTTTGTTTGTAAGAATCTTTAGCAGGCCTGGTGTGGTGGCTCATGCCTGTAATCCCAGCACTTTGTGAGGCCGAGGTGGGCGGATTACCTGAGGTCAGGAATTCGAGACTGGCCTGGCCAACATGGCAAAACCCCATCTCTATTAAAAATACAAAAATTAGCCAGGCATGGTGGCAGGCGCCTGTAATCCCAGCTACTAGACAGGCTGAGGCAGGAGAATTGCTTGAACCTGGGAGGTGGAGGTTGCATTGAGCCCAGATCGCGCCATTGCACTCC
Organism: Homo sapiens; assembly: GCF_000001405.40. Classification (NCBI taxonomy): domain Eukaryota; kingdom Metazoa; phylum Chordata; class Mammalia; order Primates; family Hominidae; genus Homo; species Homo sapiens. The sequence goes on from NC_000002.12 coordinate 39,090,666, forward strand.
AGCCTGAGCGACAGAACGAGCCTCTATCTCAAAACAAACAAACAAACAAACAAACAAACAAAAACTTTAGTGCTTATCACATCTTTTTAATGTATAGTTTATGTATATCAGTGCTTTTCAAACTTAAATCACCTAGCAATTTTGTAAAAAATACAGCTTCCAATTCAGTAGTTCTTGGGTAGAACATTTTTTGTTGTTGTTGTTTTGTTTGTTTGTTTTTTGAAACAGAGTCTCATTCTGTCACCCAAGCTGGAGTGCAGTGTTGCGATTTTGGCTCACTGCAACCTCAACCTCCTGGGTTCAAGCGATTCTCCTGTTTCAGCCTCCCGAGTAAATGGGACTACCGGTGCACGCCACCACACCTGGCTAATTTTTGTATTTTTAGTAGAGACGGGGTTTCACCATATTGGTCAGGCTGGTCTCAAACCCCTGACTTCAGGTGATCCACCCGCCTTGGCCTGCCAAAGTGCTGGGATTACAGGTATGAGCCACTAGGCCTGGCCAAGCATTTGGTATTTTTATCAACCTCTCAGGTGGGACCAACACTGCTGGTCTGAGGAATGTCCTTTGTGCAGTGAGAGTGTACACATCTGTTTATTTGCTGGATTTTTACCTCCTTGAGGGTAGTGAGCATGTCTTACCTTTGTACCCTAGTTCCTGGTACTTAAGCAGCTCAAGTACTACACTATGAATAAGTGAATGAAATTACATAATGCAGCGTGTTCAACTTTTGATGTTTCACCTGTGAATCCAAATGAAAAATTCAACTTTCCCATAGGTATAAATAATCGTCTATAAGCCCCTTAACTCTTTTCCAACTCCTTTTTTCTACTGTTTTAGCTCAGGAAAGCCTCACCTCATTCATGAACAAAAAAATGAACTTAAACATAACGGGATCACTCCTATTGGCATATAAAAGAACTCGAAAAAAAAAAAAAAGTTTTCCTTGTCCTCACATCCCCCAGTGTTCACCACATTCTTTGCCTTTCAGAGGCAGATTCCTCAAAAGGATCTCCACAGTCACCTTTTCTATACCAGCCCCCCAGGCTTCTCCACCCAGGGCTGTCATGGTCACCAGGGGATGCCATTCTATAATACGGCCAGGACTAAATCCCTGCCCGCATCTCATCTGACCTCTTGGCAGTATGACAGTTGACCACTTCCACTTTCTTGCCACTCCTTCTTCATTTAACTTCCAAGTCACCATTCTCTCCTAATGGTTTACTCCAATGGACACAACATAGCCCAATTATGATCATTTCTCACCACCTACACTACTAGTTCATACTGCCATCACCTCTTTCTTCTAAAATAATCACTTTGCTTCATTATTACGCCCACAAAAGTCTGTTTTTCTTCACAAATTGACCATAAATTTTTAACTTAAGTTTATGTCACTCCTTCGCCTAAAATCCTTGAGTGTTCTACTATCACTAGTGCTAAAGCCCTACATGAAGTGGTCCCTGTCTCTGTCTCCAAACGTAATTTTTCTCACTCTTCTTCACATATGCTATACTCTAGTCATACTGGTTTTTTTTCTTTTTTCTTTTTGGAGACAGGGTCTCACTCTTTCACTCAGGCTGGAGTGTAGTGGGAGGATCATGGCTCACTGCACATACTGCTTGTCTTGATGTTTCTTGCGCACCCCAAGCTTGTCTTGCTTCAAGATCTTACACTAACTACCCTCTTCTAGGGTGCTCCTCCACCAGATTTTTTGCATTATTGGCTGCTTCTGAACATTCTGGTCTCTTCTCAAATGTCACCTCCTCAGAGAGGCTGTCCTCGACCATTATTTTTAAGAGTATCCCCTGCTCTCCTGCCTCTCAGACCCTACTTATCACAACCTCCTTTATTTTCTTTATTTTACTTACTGTTATCTAAAACTACAGTATTTCTTTGTCTGTTTATTTGTCTGCTTTCTCCTACCAGAATGTAAGAGACTTTGTCTCATCACCCGATTTCTCCTGGTATCTAGAACACTGCTTGGCATTTCTGTTGGTGGGTTGAATGAATAAATGAAATGATTAAAAACCAAAACACACTAAATAAATTTATAATTCAAGAAAAAGCAACTTGAAATTTTACAAAACTAAAAGAAATCTGAAAGCGTGATATGAAATAAAATATCTTCAAAGCAAGACAAATTTAAATCCACTTGAAAGCTCTAAATTAGTTGTAAAAATAGTCTCTCCAAACTAGGCATTTGAGAAAAACTTCATAATACTTAAATTCCCAAATTAAAAGTTTAAAATGAAAATGATAATTTACTTCTAAATATCAAAGTGCTACAATGTTAACTTCAGAAATTTAATGAGGCAATATTACTTCTTTGGTAAACTGTGACTCTTAAAAAGCCACGTTAAGCATATACAAAGATGTCAAAAAATCAGTTATTAATACTACAGAAATACTTTTTTAAATAAATGCATTTTTTAAACTAACATGATTTAACAAAAGGATCTCTAACCTTCCAATGATCTTGAAAGATAGGCACTATTTTCCCCTACACATATAATGAAGATATACAGGCCATTCTTCCGTATGTGAATAATTAAGACCTGGGTTAGAATCTTTCCTATTTCTATCATATTTTCCTGAAATGCATGATCATCTATGTGGTTAGTTCTTAGTAAACTACAGTAGTAAACAACTTCTAGTGTTATTGCAATGAGGCACATTTGTGTACTCTATAGCAAAGTACTGGCAATCCAAATGACTTGGTACCACTTACACTTTCACTTCCACCAAGACATAAGAGGGTCAGAGTCCGACATAAAGGTGTTGAGTCTTTCTGATTACAATGCCATTGCCAAGTATATAAGCAGTTCTGTTCAGAGATAATTTTCACACTCAACAAATATATTCTGGTAGGTCTTCACTAAATTAAGATTATTTAACACAATATCTAATCTATTTGTTAAGAAATGAGAGGGAATGACAAGCACAGAAGCCCAGAGACACGAGATTGTTTAGAGGAGCAAACAGCAAGGAGACCAGTGTGACTACAGCAGAGTCAGCAGAGCCAGCAGAGCTGGAGATGAGATCAGAGAGATAGTAGGAGGCCAGATCACTTAACGACTTTGACTTTTGAATGTGATGGAGTGGCAATCATGGAAAGCCAAATGGAAGGCCTTTCCAGTCTCTTTAAAAGGATACATTGCTACTTTTACTGGAAGGAACCAAAAGTTCATTGCTATAGTTTCAGATTCCATGTTGCAATTAACCTAAAAGAAACTACCACTTGTGGGGTTTGACATTAAAGAAAAATACAGTATTGATAATATCTGAAAAAGCTGTTACATACCTTAACTCTCTTCAAATATTGAATGTAGGAGGCTGAGTTTTTCTTCATATATTTCAACTAAAACAGCATATCACAAACCGGTTGAATGTAGAAACAGAAAATGAGAATCCAGATCGTACTATTAAGAGATTTGCAAAAAATACTAAACAATGCCACTCTCTGCTAATTTTTTTTTTGTTTGTTTTGGAAAACAGTTTTCTCTTTTTCTTTTTTCTTTCTTGGAAAACAGTTATCTTAATATTAAAAATGTTACTGTTGTTAAAATGTAATGGGTTCATTATTTTTAAATAAATCAGTAATTATTGAAATTTTTTCTTTTATTTAAAAATTGATGGGTATAATGCATACAAACAGTACTTTTGGGGAGCCTCGATAATTTTTTAAGAGTGTGAAGGGGGCCGGGTGCAGTAGCTCACGCCTGTAATCCCAGCTCTTTGGGAGGCCGAGGCAGGTGGATCACGAGGTCAGGAGTTCAAGACCAGCCTGACCAAGATGGTGAAACCCCGTCTCTACTAAATATACAAAAATTAGCCAGGTGTGGTGGCGAGAGCCTGTAATCCCAGCTACTCAGGAGGCTGAGGCAGAGAACTGCTTGAACCCGGGAGGCTGGGAGGCGCAGGCTGCAGTGAGCCGAGACTGTACCACTGCACTCCAGCCTGGACGACAGAGCAAGACTCGGTCTCAAATAAATAAATAAATAAATAAATAAATAAAGACTGTGAGGGGGTTCTGAGACCGAAAAACTTGAGAACTACTATCTACCAATCTAAGATAACCCTGGAATAACATTCCCAATTAGCAGTAAAAATTTCTAAGGACTCTTTGTTTGGTTAACTATGAAAAATCTATTTACAAATAACTTAGCCACATACAGCCTCTTTATAAGGATACATTGCTACTTTTCCCTATTCCCCTACCAAAACCACAAGCCATAAACCTGTTAGTCCAGTGGTTTTCAAAACTTTTAGATGGAGAGAAGCTCCCAAGAGAAATCTTCACTGAGCCACAATATATAATACAAATAAAAGTAGGGCCAACCAGGTTAAAATGGGGGTGGTGTCCTCAGTCTCCAGTTCATCCTTCCTCTCAGCTACCATAACAGCCACGTAAGGCACTTCATACAGTTAGACTGAATGAAGTTTAAAAACCTCAGTTACAAACCAGCTGTTCAAATTTGCTGCTTGCAAAAGTTTCAGAAAGATTCTGGCATTGTTTCACAATGATCATTTTCAACTCCACCCTCCAGTAGACACCAGATGTATGGTGTTTGCATCTACACAGAGAACCACAAAACTGTTTATATCTCAGAGAATTCTCAGACTCCTGAGAATATCTAGAGACTCCAGTTTGAGAAACTACTTGAGGACTGGTAGATGGGTACAGGTCAACCTGAAAAGGCTTCCTGTAGGAAGACACACTATGATTAAGCTAGGGGAAAAGTCTTAGTGCAGAGAAGAGAGATTCAGTTAGGAAAAGCTAAGGTAAGGCATATTTCCTAGGTTATCAAGAGAACTAACAGCCAGGCAAAATGTGGCTCATAAGTACCAGAGTTCTGCAGGCTACATTCGAAAGTTTGTGTTTGAGACACTGAAATAAGTCCTCATTCTCCTGAATCTGGGGCAGAAGTGCGTTTCCTACTCTAATGAGTTCTCTATTCTAGTCAAAATTAAAATGATGAAAACACACCAAGCCTTAATAGGAGTACTTGCTTCTGAGATAAAAATTATTTCAGTTCCACATATTCTGAAATTTATATAGGATAGAGCCATGTGCAAAGAGGACAGAGAGGAATCATTAGAGTTTTAACAATGAAGCAGGAAAATTATTTTAGCAACATTACAGAATGGTTGAGATAGACTGTTGGGTGTGTAGAAGTCTAGGTATGTGCTGACCAAAGGCAATTAGGAAATAATTTCACAAGTCAGTCAACGGTGCTTTCAATCTCTTTTTAGTGTTTAATAGCATTTTCTATGCATTTTACAGTTGATACCTGAGAAGCTAGATGTTTATGTGGAGCTATTTGGCTACCCAAATTCCTCCTATAAAAGAAACAACACAGATCATCTAATTTAGAAAAACAAACCTTGATTGACTACTAAGGTGAAGGGCTAAGGAAAAAAAGATTTTAATAATTCAGTAAGTATTAAAATGAACATCTACAAGCTATAACCTAGACAGGGGAAAGCAAGACTTTCTCCTTAAGCAGACTTGGCTAGAGATAAAGTTTTTAAAAGAAGGAAGAGGATAGCCTTATATTTTTACATTACATATCCCTTCCTCATCATTCCCTCTAAACTTTCTAATAGGTTTAAGACATCTCTAGGAAACAACCTGTTCATTCTACTCAATTTTACATAAGTTTATTGATGGAAATCTGTGCCCCATCTCACTAGCACATACTCTTCAACTATCTTCTTTCTCATATGTTTTAAGACCAGAATAAAAGAGATGCCTATGAGACATACTTTTTAAAAATTATTTATCAGGCTATATTCATGTATTACTTTGGTGTAAAATAATCAAATAGCATTTAGCACAGAATCAAGTCATTTCAAATATCTTAAGCTTATTTATTACCTAATAAAATGTTACCAAAGAGATCTGTATTTGAAAGTCACTAAAAATATCTTGGCTGGCCGGGCACGGTGGTCCACGCCTGTAATCCCAGCACTTTGGGAGGCCAAGGCAGGCGGATCACGAGGTCAGGAGATCGAGACCATCTTGGCTAACATGGTGAAACCCCGTCTCTACTAAAAATACAAAAAAATTAGCCGGATGTGGTGGCGGGCGCCTGTAGTCCCAGCTACTCGGGAGGCTGAGACAGGAGAATGGTGTAAACCCAGGAGGTGGAGCTTGCAGTGAGCCGAGATCGCGCCACTGCACTACAGCCTGGGCAACAGAGCGAGACTCCATCTCAAAAAAAAAAAAAATCTTGGCTGAAATACATATTTACTTTTCTTCAAGCAATATAAAGAATTGCCAGAAATAAAATCCCTAAGAGCTACCTATACCTACCAATAATTAGCTACACAATCTTGGATTAAGAGATTTAACCAATCTCTATGAGGGATGGGAAGAGTTGGATGATCTATAAAATCTCTTTAAGCTGTAACATTCTTTACTATTTTCTTAAACTCAAGGAAATTCATGAGGATCTGACAGGAGACAAGCCTACGGAAAAAAGTAGACTTTATGTATGGCAAGAGTTTTAAAAGAAATCCAACAATTTAGGCACCAACCATGACTATATAACACTTTATATATACAAATATATGCAAATTGAAGAGATGCAAATATGAGCTATAAATTAAAATTTTGTCATTTTTATCAGGTAGAATTTCCTACATATCAGCATATAGCTAATTCTTTATGACAGTTATAGGGACCATTAAGGAAGCGGTCCATGAACCAAAGCATCAACATGTTCTGTTAAAAATGTAAATTCCTGGATGCCCCACTCAAGACTTTCTGATTCAGAAACTCTGGGAATGCAGGCTAGCAAAGAATGTTTTAACAAGCTGTCCAAGTGATTCTGATGCTTGATAAAGTTTGGCAACCACTGATCTAAAGCACAAGACCTCTTTTTTTTCTTTTTTTTTTTTTATTGAGATGGGGTCTCGCTCTGTCACCCAGGCTGGAGTACAGCAGCGCCATCTCAGCTCATTGCAACCTCTGCCTCCCAGGCTTGGGCTCAAGTGATTCTCCCATCCCAGCCTCCCCAGTAGCTGGGATTACAGGCATGCACCATCATGCCCAGCTAATTTTTTGCATTTTTGGTAGGGATGGAGTTTCACCATGTTGCCCAGGCATGTCTTGAACTCCTGAGCTCAAGCAATCCACGTGCCTTGGCCTCCCAAAGTGCTGGGATTACAGGTGTGAGCCACTTTGCCCAGTGAAGTTAATTCTTAACCCTTGATTAAAACAGTTTAAGTGCTGAACATTATTATTTCTTGGAATCTATATAAGCTTTAAATTAACTATTTTTAAATTTACATATTTTTATTAGGAAATGTTTATATCAATACAGCAAAACTAAATTTTAGAAACACTGGGCATCATTAGTTTAGATATCATTAGTTTATTACAAAAGAAAGACATGAAAATTATTTTACATGATAGAAGATTTCAGAATTACAGAATGGGCAGCTTCATGTTGATGCCATTTCAATATGATTTATTTCAGTCTATATAGTTTGCAAGAATGTCACCATCTTTAAATGAGAAGTAATCCTTGTTGTCTAGAACTACTTTGGTGCCTACATATTCTGGGAGAACTCTATCTCCAACTTACATGTTAACTGGTTAACTCTCCACCCTTTACTTTAGAGTCTGATCCAACATCTACTGTTGCTTACAATACTTTTCCTTGAGATTTTTCTGGAAGCATGTCTCCTTTGGTTACAGTTTCAGGCACATTCCTTTCATCAATACACGGTCATACAGTGGAAGAAACCTTCTAAAAGCGTGTGCTGACAAAACTCCCACTGCTACAGCTTGTACTCTACTCTCCTAAATTAACTATTTGTTATTAATCACAATACTATATCTATAAGAAGACTTCACTTCACATAATGGGAAAAAATACTTGCGATTCATATATTTGATAAGGAACTTACATTCAGAATATATAAAAAATTTGGCCGGGTGCGGTGGCTCACGCCTGTAATCCCAGCACTTTGGGAGGCCGAGGCAGGCAGATCACGAAGTTAGGAGATCAAGGCCATCCTGTCTAATACGGTGAAACCCCATCTCTACTAAAAATACAAAAAATTACCCAGGTGTGGTGGCAGGCGCCTGTGGTCCCAGCTACTCAGGAGGCTGAGGCAGGAGAATTGCCTGAACCCGGAAGGTGGAGGTTGCAGTGAGCCAAGATTGTGCCACTGCACTCCAGCCAGGGCAACAAAGCGAGACCACACCTCAAAAAAAAAATATTCTTACAACTCAACAGTAAAAAGACAACCCAATTTTAAAATGGGCAAAGGATCTGAACAGATATTTCTTCAAACAAGATCTACAAATGTTCAATATGCACATGAAAAAATGTTCATCATCAGTTATTAGGGTAATACAAATGAAAACCACAATGAGATATCACCTCATATCCACTAAGATGGCTAGAATAAAAAAGACAAGTGTTGGTGAAAATATAGAAACTGAAAGCCTTCCACACTGCTAGTGGGAATGAAAATATGCAGCTATTCTTAATAGCCAATAGGTAGAAACAACCCAAATGTTCATCTATTGATGAATGTATAAGCAAAATGTAGTATACATCAATGCAACACAATACTATTTAGTCGTAGAAATGAAGTACTGATACATGCTAAAATATGGATGAACCTTGAAAACATTTTGCTAAGTGAAAAAAGGCAGTCATGAAAGACTACATATTATGAGTCCATTTATATGAAATGTCCAGAACAGACAAATCCATAAAGACAGAAAATAGATTAATGGTTACCTGGGGCTGGAGGTTTGGAGGATGATGGCTAAAGGGTATGGAGTTCTTTCTGAGGTGATGAAAATGATTTATAATTGATTGTGCAATAGTTGCACAGCTCTGTAAATATACTAAAAACTACTGAATTGTATAGGTTAATACTAGTTCCTTGATATTTTTTTGGATGGCATACCAAAAGCCCAGGCAACAAAAGCAAAAATAAACAACTTGGACTACATCAAACTAAAAAGCTTCTGCACAGCAAAGGAAACAATCAACACAATCAAAAGGCACCCTACAGACTGGGAGAAAATGTTTACAAACCATATATCTTTTTTTATTGTTTTGGAGACAGAGTCTCACTCTGTGCCCAGGCTGGAGTGAAGTGGCACGATCTCGACTCACTGCAACCTCCACCTCCCCAGTTCAAGTGATGCTCCTGCCTCAGCCTCTGGAGTAGCCGGGATTACGGGCCCTGCTAATTTTTAGTAGAGATGGGGTTTCCCCATTTTGGCCAGGCTGGTCTCAAACTCCTGACCTCAAGTGATCCACCTGCCTCGCCCTCCCAAAGTGCTGGGATTACAGGCATGAGCCACTGTGCCCGGCCAAGACTGTTTTTTTCTGAAGAAGACATACTAATGACAAACAGGTATATGAAAAGGTACTCAACATCATTAATCATCAGAGAAATGCAAATCAAAACCACAATGAGATATCATCTCACACCTGTTAGAATGACTCTTTTGGTAAGAGATAACAAGTGTTGGTGAGGGTGTGGAGAAAAGGAAACCCTTGTAGACTGTGGATGGGAATATAAATTGGCACAGCCATTATGGAAAACAGTAATGGAGGTTCCTCAAAAACTTAAAAATAGAACTACCATATGACCTAGCTGGGTATGTACTCAAAGGAAATGAAATCAGCACCTGGTAGAGATATCTGTGCTACTGTGTTCATTGCAGTATTAGTCACAATAGCCAAGTTATGGAAACAATGTGTCAACTGACAGATGAATGAAAAAAGAAATTGTGATACACACAGATACACACAATGGAATATCATTCAGCCTTAAAAAATGAGATACTGCCATTTGCAACTACACGGATAATAAACCCAGAGGACATTACACTCAGTAAAATAAGCCAGACACTGAAAGAAAATACTGATGACATCGCTTATATATGGAAATCTGCAAAAAGTCTAACATATAGAAACAAAAGAGCAGGCCAGGCGTGGTGACTCATACCTGTGATCCAAGCAGTTTGGGAAGCCAAGGCAGGAGGATTCCTTGAGACTAAGAGTTCAAGACCAGCCTAGGCAACACAGTGAGACCCTGTCTCTACAAAAAATTTAAAGAAAAATAGCTGGGTGTGGTGGTACACACCTTTAGTCCTAGCTACTTGAGAGGCTGAGGAGGGAGGATCACTTAAGCCCAGGAGGGGGAGGTTGCAGTGAGCCGAGACTGCACCACTGCACTCCAGCTTGGGCAACAGAGTGAGACCTTGTCTCAAAAAAATAATAAAATACAGCAAGGAGACATGGAGAAAAACAAAAACAAAAATGTGTTTAACTGTCTTTTAGTCTATTTGCATTGCTATAAAGAAATACCTGAGGCTGGGTAATTTATAAAGTAAAGAGTTTTACTTGGCTAACAGTTCTGCAGGCTGTACAAGAAGCGTGCCGCTAGCATCTGCTTCTGGTAAGGACCTCAGGAGGTTTCCAATCATGGCAGAGCCAAAGGGGGAGCAAATGTGTCACATGGCAAGAGAGAGGGGAAGTGTGTCACACTCTTCTGAACAACCAATTCTCACATGAACGAATAGAGCAGGAATTCACACATTACCTCTGGGACAAGGATGGTACCAACCCATTCATGAGGGACCTGCCCCATGACCCCGAACACTTCCCACCAGGCCCCCACTGTCTAACACTGAGACGTGAGATTGGAGGTGGACAAATTTCAACATGAAATTTGGAGGGGTCAAATATCCAAACTATATCAAACTGCAAAAGTAGTTTCATTATTATGCCTAGATCAACTGTTGAACAACTAGATGATACAGAAATAAACTTTATGCATAGCATTATATGTATCCTGACAGCATTATAGGCACCCATCCTAACTATACCTGGTTTGAATTATATTTATTTAGAAACTATAAAAATTTTGTTCCAAATGTTGAAATTTCTGACAAAGCAACATTTATATTAGGAGTATAAGGAAATGTTTAAAATATACTTAAAAAAAAACAGAAAACAAACTAGCAATGTCTCCTCCATAAAATGCTTGACAAACTTCAGAATAATTTTTTGCTTTTAATTACCAGCAGTATATAGGGAAAAAGGGTTTTCAAAGTTGAGGACTTCCCAAATGTACTCCAGGTAACACCAGGTGAAGGTGAGGGAACAGCTTAATGCTACTCACTGCTTGAGCAAAAGAAAAAATCATTTTTTATGACCTGCCTATGTATTGAGTTTCATTTTGATTCTTTTTTTAATTAAAAAGTACTACTTTAGGCCAGGCTCAGTGGCTCATGCCTGTAATCCCAGCACTTTGGGAGGCTGAGGTGGGCGGATCACTAGGTCAGGAGTTCGAGACCAGCCTGACCAACATGGAGAAACCCCATCTCTACTAAAAATGCAAAAATTAGCCAGGCGTGGTGGCAGGCCCCATAATCCCAGCTACTCGGGAGGCTGAGGCAGGAGAATCACTTGAACCTGGGAGGCAGAGGTTGCAGTGAGCTGAGATCATGCCATTGCATTCCAGCCCGGGTGACAGTGCGAGACTCTGTCTCAAAAAAAAAAAAAAAAAAAAAAAAAAGTGCCACTTTGTCCCGGTGTGGTAGCTCATACCTGTAAACCCAGCACTTTGGGAGGCTAAGGCAGGAGGATAGCTTGAGCCTACGAGTTCAAGACCAGTGTGGGCAACATAATGAGAGTTCATCTTTACCAAAGGGGAAAAAAAATTAGGTGGGTGTGGTGGTACACACTTGTAGTCCTAGCTACTCAGCTAGACTAGGTTGAGGTAGGAGGATCACTAAAACCCAGGAGGCCAAGGCTGTAGAGAGCCGTGATCATACTACTGCACTCCAGCCTGGGCAACAGAGCAAGACTCCATCTCAAAAAAAAAAAAAAAAAAAAAAAAAGAAGAATTCCGCTTCGTTTTAAAAGGGTTATAGGTGAGGGGAAACAACAAGGATTTTGAAGTCCAGAAGATCAGGTTATATAGATTCTGGAAAAGAAAGACTGGTGCGGCCGGGCATGGTAGCTCACGCCCATAATCCCAGCACTTTGGGAGGCTGAGGCTGGTGGATCACTTGAGCAGAGGAGTTCAAGACCATCCTGGCCAACAAGGCAAAACCCTGTCTTACCAAAAATACAAAAATTAGCCAGTGTGATGTGTGGTGTGGTGGCATGCACCTGTAGTCCCAACTACTCAGGAGGCTGAGATGGGAAGATTGCTGGAGCCCAGGAAGTTGAGGCTACAGTTAGCTGTGATCACGCCACTGCACTCCAGTCTGGGTGACAGGGCGAGACCCTGTCTCAAAAAAATAAATAACTTAAAAAAAAAATTTAAGTAGTTGTGTTTCTATGCATATGCAATGAATAATCTGAAAAAGAAATTAGGAATGCAATTCCATTTAACATTGAAAAGAACAATAACATCTAAAAGAGTACCTAGAAAGAGATTTAACCAAGGAGGTGAGTTTTACCCTGAAAACTACAATACGCTGCTGCAGAAAATTTAAAATAACCAAAATAAATTAAAAGCCATTCTGAGTTATTGAGTAGGAAGACTTAATATTGTTGACATCAATACTACCTAGAGCAATGTACAGATTCGATGCAATCTCTATCAAAATTCCAAAATCTTTTCTTGCAGAAACGGAAATGCTGACCCTCAAATTCACAGAGCTGCAAGGGACACTGAAAAGCCAAAACAATCAAGAAAAAAAAAAGTTGGAACACTCACACTTTCTGACTTCAGAACTTACTACAATGCTACAGTAATCAAAATAATATGGTACTGAAAAAGCATAGACATATAGACCAACAGCATAAAACTGAGCATACCAAAATAAACTGATACATCTATGACCAACTGATTTGTGCCAAGTCCATTCAATGGAGAAATAAGACCCTGCTCAACAAATGGTGCTGGGACAACTGGATTTCCACAAGCAAAAGAATGACGTTGGACTCCTAACTCATACCAAACACAAAAATTAACTGAAAATATATCAATGACCTAAATATAAGAGCTAAAACCATAAATCTCTTAGAAGAAAACATAGGGGCAAATCCTCATGACCTTGGATTTGGCAATGAATTCTTAAGATCTGACACAAAAAGCACAAGACAATGAAAGAAAAAACAGATAAATCTGACTTCGTCAAAATTAAAAACTTTCGTTCATCAGAGGACATTATCAAGAAACTAAAAAGATAAACTTTTGATTGGGTTTAAATGAGAGAAAATATTTGCAAATCATATATTGGATAAAGGTCTAATATCAAGAATATATAATAAGGATCTCCTAAAACTCAACATCAAAAACACAAACAACCAAATTAAAAAATGGGCAATGGTCCAGGCGCAGTGGCTCACGCCTGTAATCCCAGCACTTTGGAAAGCCGAGGCGGGGGTGGATCACCTGAGGTCAGGAGTTCTAGACCAGCCTGGCCAACATGGTGAAACCCCGTCTCTATTAAAAACCTAAAAATTAGCCAGGCATGGTGGTAGGTGCCTGTAATCCCAGCTACTCATGGGGCCGAGGCAGGAGAATTGCTTGAACCCAGGAGGCAGAGGTTGCAGTGAGCCTAGATCACACCATCACACTCCAGCCTGGGGGACAACAGCAAGACTTCATCTCAAATAAATAAATAAATAACTAATTTAAAAAGGGGCAATGAATTTGAATAGACATTTCTATAAAGACATACAAATGGCCAATAAGCACATGAAAAGATGCTTAATATCATTACTGGTTAGAGAAATACAAACCAAAAGGACACCAACTAAGATGGGATAAGAAAAGAAAGAAAATAGCAAGTGTGGGCAAGGAGGTAGAGAAATTGACATGTGTACATTGCTGGTAGGAATGTAAAATATTGCAGGTTCTGTGAAAAACAATATGGCAGTTCCTGAAGAAGCTAACCACAGCGAATTACAAAAACAACCCAGCAATTCCATTCCAAGGAACATACCCAGATGAATTGCAAATAGGGACTTAAACCAATAATTGTATGCCAATGTTCACTGCAGTATCCAGTTTAGCCAAAAGGTGCAAAATGTCCACCTGAATAGAGTATTACTGAGCATTAAAAAGGAATGAAATTCTGGTACATACTGCAACACAGATGAACCTTGAAAATATTATACTAAATGAAAGTAGTCAGACACAAAAATACAAATATTTTATTATTCCACTTACATTAAATATCTAGAAGAGGTAAATTGGTAGAGACAGAAAGTAGATTAGAAGTTACTAGGGATTGGGAAAGAATAGATGGTAGTAATCGTTGCACAACATTGTGAATGTAATTAATGGCCTTCAATTGTACATTTCAAGTGGTTAAAATGGCAAATTTAATGTTGTATAAATATATTTCACCACAATAAAAAAAATCAAAGAAAAAGTTATTAAATGTTCTATAGAAATCAGCCCTAGCAAAGCTCTTAAACAAAACATCTATGAATTAATTATCAGTAAGTGCATTCCATTACAAATTACTGAGCCGTACACAGAAAATAATTGTTTCAGGCATTAAAAAAGAACAACTGAAATTTAAGTTAGCTTACTACAAAAAGTTTGTATCAATTAAAAACAACTTAAATTCTGTCAAGACTTGTTTTTCATTTTTTTTTAAATCCTGAACTATTTTTTTTTTTTTTAAATAGAGATGGGGTCTCACCATGTTGCCCAGGCTGTCTCAAACTCCTGGCCTCAAGCTGGTACAGCATCCTAAAGTGCTGGGATTACAGCTGTGAGGCACCAAGGCTGGCTGCCAAACTACTTTCTACATACTAGGATTGATCATATTTACAGTTGGGCTGCTTAACTCATATGGACAGATTACAGATTTTTTTTGAACACCACATATAAGTTTCATAAAAGCAACAATTATGTTTTATTTTTAAATTTTATATCCATGCTTGCCATACAAATAGTGCTCAACTAATTTGGTAAATAAAATCAAACCAGTGGCCAGGCCTGCTGGCTCACAACTGTAATCCTAGCACTTTGGGAGGCCGAGGTGGGTAGATGACCTGAAATCAGGAGTTCAAGACCTGCCTGGCCAACATGCGAAACCCTGTCTCTACTAAAAATACAAAAAAAAATAGCTGGGTGTAGTGGCAGGCACCTGTAATCCCAGCTACTGGGGAGGCTGAGGTAGGAGAGTCACTAGAACTCTGGGTGCAGAGGTTGCAGTGAGCCGAGATCGCACCATTGCACTTCAGCCTGGGCGACAGGGTGAGACTCTGTCTCAAAAAGAAAAAGAAAAATCAAAACAGTAAAAATCAGTCCAGGCGTGATAGCTCACACCTGTAATCCTAGCAATTTGGGAGGCCCAGGCGGGTGAATCTCCTGAGCTCAAGAGTTTGAGACCAGCCTGGGCAACATGGTAAAACCCTGTCTCTAACAAAAAATACAAAAAAATTAGCCGCGCATGGTGGTACGTGCCTGTGGTCCCAGCTACTTCGGAGGCTGATGTGGGAGGTTCACTTGAGCCTAGAAGGTGGAGGCTGCAGTGAGCTGAGACTGTGCTACTGTACACACACACACACACACACACACACACAAATCAGCATGAAGCATTAAAGTAGCATTAAAGGTTCCTCAAGTAATCTTCCTGTTACAGTTTTAAAAAAAAAACTTTCTTAAATAACATCTGAGTGGCCGGGCGCGGTGGCTCACGCCTGTAATCCCAGCACTTTGGGAGGCCGAGGCGGGCGGATCACGAGGTCAGGAGATCGAGACCATCCCGGCTAAAACGGTGAAACCCCGTCTCTACTAAAAATACAAAAAAATTAGCCGGGCGTAGTGGCGGGCGCCTGTCGTCCCAGCTACTTGGGAGGCTGAGGCAGGAGAATGGCGTGAACCCGGGAGGCGGAGCTTGCAGTGAGCCGAGATCCCGCCACTGCACTCCAGCCTGGGCGACAGAGCGAGACTCCGTCTCAAAAAAAAAAACAAAAAAAAAAACAAAACATCTGAGTAATTCAGGGTCCATAAAACCAAATCTTTAAATTACTTATTTTCCCATGTATATCTCCACTCCCAACTCCAACAGGAAGTTACCAGAATTTGACATTCTGAGGAATTTCATTCACTGGTTTGCGCCTTTCTGCCTGTGAGGTAGCCCAGACTAGCAAGGAAAACCAACAAGGAGTCATCTTCGTGGCCACATGGTTGGACTATTCACGAACTTACTGCTGGTTTGCCTCAAGTACTCCTGGTTCACCAGTTCATAGAGTAAAAATTTGGGGTGTTACTTGAATTGTTTTCTTTTGTCTTACTGTTCTGTTTGTGGTTTTGCATATTAAGTATTTAATTACATAAACATTGAATATGAATGCAAAGTTTATATGATTAGCTACTGAAGTAAATTGTGTACCATTAATTTCAATGAAAATTAATTTCTGACTTTTAAGAATTCACCTTAAGGCATCCTTTTTTTTTTCTTTTAAATACAGGGGTTTTTTGGGAACAAATTACCCACCTGAAATGGGGAAAAACTGTACTTTATCCCGAATTAGGCAATTCATAGCCAGAGATGACCCTAATTGATCATGAGAACGAGCCTCTCAGATCTCTGACTACAGGAAGGATAATAGACTGAGTGCTGCAGCAGCTGCACTCAAATCCATCACTGTGTTTGTGTCGAGGCCAGTTTCTCACTAGCTCCTCCCAGTCACTGACTGAGCATGGCAGGCCTGTTCCCGGGAGACACATCATTTTTCCAACAGGCACCTTTCACTCAAAGACTTTCTGAGGCCTTGCAAACTTTCCTTAGTATTGCACTACAGTCTAAGACACTTTCACTCAAAGTTCCTTCCTTCCTTACCTCTCTTTTAACTTGGAGTCAGACTTTCATCAGTCTGACAACTCTCCCTGTCTCCTTCCTTTTCCCCCCTCACAAGCATTTCACCTAACAAATTTCTTATGTGCTTAATCCCATCTTGGCATCTGCTTCTAAGAGGTCCTGGACTAATACAATGACAAAGGCTCCCCTTGAAGCATCACACTAAAAAGAAAAAAAAAAAAAAAAAACCTAGCCATTTTACATTAACTATTTCTAAAATATAGTATTTGCTTCCCTATTTGCTAAAACAAAATATACTAAACATGACTATTCCAAAATTCTGTAGGTACTAAGAATATGAAGAGATTCACTCTACTCAGGGGATGGAGTTGTAGTAGAAAGGCTTTGTGGAGGAGGTGGTGTTTGAAATGTACTTTAGAGCCATCCTCAAAGCCTTGAGGCTATACCTGCCTGTGATTATCAAGGACAGTCCATCAAACAGGCCTTCCACGCTTGGATATCTGCCAAAGAGTAAATCCCTCCTATCACAATTCTCTCACAGCCCTCTAATCTCTAGAATACTGATGGTGCCTTAGTCTCCCTCCAAACGTGATCCTCTCCCAATATTCCCCCTTTCATCACCATCCCCACTTAGACACCTCAGTCAGAAACCTGGGAATCCTCTCACTGCCCTGCTCAATTCAATCACCAATCTGCCTCTAAATCTCTCTAATTAATTTGTCCACTTTTCTCCATCCCCACAGCTACTGCTCTAATCAAAGCCACCTATCATCCCTTCCATGAACTACTGCAAAATCTCCTCAACTGGCTTTCCTGCCTACAGTTCAGTTCCCATTTAATCCATGCTCCATACAGTCTACAGCAGTCCTTCAAAATTCATGTGTGTCAGTTCCCTGCTTAAAACCCTGCAGTTGCTCCCCACTGCTGACAAGATAAAATGCAATAATTTGATTCACACGATCTGGCCCCCACTCCAGACTTCAGCTACTCAGAACTCCAAAAATGCTGAGTTCCTCTTGGCCTCCAAGCTACCACAAATCCTTGGAATTTATTTCCTCCTAATCCTTAACTGGCTAACTCTCATTTCCATTCACTCATTCATTCATTCATTCACCCATTTATGGTCCCACTTCCATTTAAAAAGTCACTTCTGGCCAGGCACAGTGGCTCACTCCTGTAATCCCAGTGCTTTGGGAGGCCAAGGCAGGAGGATCACTTGAGGCCAGGAGTGTGAAACCAGCCTGAGTAACACAGTGAGACCCTGTCTCTACAAAAAAAATTTTTAAAAATTAGCCAGGAGTGGTGGTACACACCTGTAGTCCTAGCTACCTGGGAGGCTGAGGTGCAAAAATTGCTTGAGCCTAGAGGTTCAAGGTTACAGTGAGCTATGATTATGCCACTGCACCCCAGCCTCGGTGACAGAGTAAGACCTGGTGTCTTTAAAAAAAAAAAAAATTATATGGGCTGGGTGCAGTGGCTCACATATGTAATCCCGGCACACTGGGAGACTGACGCAGGTGAACTGCTTGAGCTCAGGAGTTCAAGACCAGCCTAGGCAACATGGTGAAACCCCGTCTCTACCAAAAATACAAAAATTAGCTGGGTGTGGTGGCATGTGTCTGCTGTCCTACCTACTCAGAAGGCTAAGGTGGGAGGATTGCTGGACCCCAGGAAGTTGGGGCTGCAGTAAGCCATGATCGCACTACTGCACTCCAGCCTGGATGACAGAGCGAGAACTTGTCTCGAAAAAATAAAATAATAAAATGAAATAAAATAAATTAAATGTCACTTCCATCACTTCCAAACATAAGCATACAAGGACAGTCTCCTAGCTTCTCATTGCCACCTAAAGACCATTAATCTCAGCCAGTTCCTTTATGGTCTGTGCTATCTTTCCATTAACCAGCATCTTTTAAAATTCTACCTTTTTTAATGCAACAGAACCCTTTTTTTCCAAATGAAATTCTATGCAAAGCCCCAATATGTAAAAGGGCTGAGCTCCTCAGCTTAAAGTAGGGGATTTCAAAGCCCTGTCCATTCAGCCTCCCCCTCTCCTGAGATACTTCTTCCTTAAAAAGCTAAGGTTCAGGACAATTAGAGCACCATCGTACTGCATTATACTTCCTACTCAAAAAAGGCAACACACTGGAATATAAAGAGTTGTCTTTGAAGCTATTCTGACTTAGGTTCAAATCCTGATTCTACTCCTTACTAGTCATAACATCTTGTGCAGTTTGTCCTCATAAAATCTATTTCCTCAGCTGTACAACTGGGACATTACCACTTTCAAAAGTCAATGGGTACAACAGAGATAAGCATGTACACAATATTGCCTAGGATACTGGCACATAGCAGGAACTCAATAAAATACTATCTGCCATGGTTCATTAACACAGCAATGAAAGATTAACATTCAAAAAGATCTAGAAATACTAAAACATAGCTTTTAAAAGAACAAAATTGGAGTATTACACTACCTAACGTCAAAACTTACTATAAGTAGAGAAATCAACAATTAGATAAATGGAGAATGGAGAGCCTAGAAATAAACTGACAGAGATACAGATACAGTTGTGTGTGTGTGCGTGTGTGTGTGTGTGTGTGTGTGTGTGTGTGTGTGTGTGTATGTGCATGTATGTATATAGTCATCCCTCGGTATCCATGGGGGATTGGTTCCAGGACCTCCCTCAGATACCAGAATCTGCAGATGCTCAGTAATCCTACAGGAAATGGTGTAGCATTTGCATACAACCTGTGCACATCCTCCCACATACCTTAAATCATCTCCAGATTACTAATAATAACTAATACTATGTAAATAGTTGTACTGTATTGTTTAAGGAGTAATGACCAAAAAAATCTGTACAAATTTAGTATAGATGCAATTTCCCCCCATCCTCCTCCCGCAGATACTTTTGATCCACAGTTGTTTGAATGCACAGATGCAGAGGACTGACTGCATATATACATACACACGAATCATGTAATTTTCATAAAAATATCAACACAATCCAATAGAGAAAAGAAAATCTCTTCAACAGGCTACTACTCTAGGCATACTGCCTATGGCACAGCCCTGCTCTGCAAGGAGCAATAAAAAAAAAAAAAAGAAGAGGGTTTCTTCAACGGATAGTTCTGAAATAACTAGATATCAGCATTAAAAATAAATGTATTTCAATTCCTACCTTGTATCACAACACAACAATTAACTTGAAATGGACCACAGAGTCTATGAAAGCTACAAGTATAAAGCTTTTAAAAGACAACATTAGGAAAATATCGGCAAAGGGTTCTTAGATATAAGAGAGCAATAACCTTAAAAGAAAAAAACATATATTTGACTCCATCAGTATTAAAAACTCCTGGCTGGGCACAGAGGCTCACACCTATAACCCCAGCACTTTGGGAGGCTGAAGCGGGTAGATCACTTCAGGTCAGGAATTCAAGACCAGCCTGGCCAACATGGAGAAACCCCATCTCTATTAAAAATACAAAAATGGGCCAGGCATGGTGGCTCATGCCTGTAATCCCACTTTGGGAGGGCGAGGCAGGTGGATCACCTGAGGTCAAGAGTTTGAGACCAGCCTGGCCAACATGGCGAAACCCTGTCTGTAATAAAAATACAAAAATTATCCAGGTGTGGTGGCACATGCCTGTAATCCCAGCTAATCGGGAGGCTGAGGCAGGAGAATCACTTGAACCCAGGAGGCGGAGGTTACAGTGAGACGAGATTGTGCCACTGCACTCCAGCCTGGGAGACAGAGCAAGACTCCATCTCAAAAAAAAATAATAATAATAAGATGGATTCAAGGATGAAGGGATGGATAGGCATGCCATAGAGCAAACATAATAAAATTGTAATAAAATGTTAATTATAAAATCTGGGTGATGGGTATACGAGTGTTTACTGTACAATTCTTTAGACTTTTCTGTGTATTGAAAAATCTTCATGACAAAATGTTAGGGTAAAAACTTTATCACAAGACAAAATTCTAAAATGAAGTACAAAGTTTCTTCCTATTTTGTCTATAGCTGTAATAAATACTACATCAGAGGAGGTGAGAAGTAGTTGCCACTTTTACTATTATTTGTTTAAAACATCCTTACTGCTGTTACTTCTGGACCTTCCTGCCACTCCTAGAATACAGTCTCCCTCTCTGCTACAGTACACTCCATAATCTCTGTGGACTTCATCATCATTCCCATATGCAACCCAATACATCAACTTTAGAGCTCCTAATTGTCTTACCTGCTTCATCTCTGGAATCCTTTTTTTTTTTTTTTCTTTTTTTGAGACGGAGTTTCGCTCTTGTTGCCCAGGCTGGAGTGCAGTGACACAACCTTAGCTCACTGCAACCTCCACCTCCAGGTTTCAAGCGATTCTCCTACCTCAGCCTCCCGAACAGCTGGGACTACAGGCACACACCACCACATCCAGATAATTTTTGTATTTTTGGTAGAAGTGAGGTTTTGCCATGTTGGCCAGGCTGGTCTTGAACTCCTGAGCTCAAGTGATCTGCCCTCCTTGGCCTCTATCTCTGGAATCTTAAAACTCCAAAATATAACAATTGTCATCATCTCTAATCACATCCCCTATCTACTCCCACTATCCTTCTCTTCTAACTCACCAAGATTTTGAATCCATGGAGCCCTAATTTTTCTTCCAATCCATTATTTCTCTTATATACCCTTACTTCCTCTCTATCACTTGAAATATCCCTATCTTCTTAATCTCTACTGCCGCTACCTGCAACCAACTGTCTTCTCTCCCGGCTTACCTGAACAGATAAGCGCTATTGGAGGAAAATCTCACAACCACCAGATCAACCCTACTCTGAGTTTATGGTCTCCACATTCAGCACTGCTGAGCAATTCCTCTCTCTCCCTCTCTCTCTTGCTCTTTCTTTCCCATGGCTCACTGCAGCATCAGCCTCCTGAGCTCAAGGGATCCTCCCACCTCAGTCTCCCAAGTGGCTGGGACTACAGGTGCGTACCACCATGCCAGGCTTTTGTTTTGTTTTGTTTTTTGGTAGAGACGGTGTTTCACCATGTTGCCCAGGCTGGTCTTGAACTCCTGGTTTCAAGTGATCCTCTCACCTCAGGCTCCCAAGTGCTGGAATTGCAGGCATGAGCCACCGCACCTGGCTTGCAATTCCTTTCTAAGGCACTGGTTGGCTCCTCTACACTCCACAGCAGCAATTCCCAGACTTCATTATTCCTTCTAAAGTCCTTACTACTTTCCTTTTCTTCACTCTGTAAAAAAAATTTGCCTTTCATTTCATCATGAAAATGGAGGTGATTTGGCCAGGTGCAGTGACTCATGCCTGTAATCTCAGCACTTCGGTAGGCCGAGGCGGGCAGACTGCCTGAGCTCAGGAGTTCAAGACCAGCCTGGGCAACATGGTAAAACCCTGTCTCTACTAAAACACAAAAGATTAGCTGCGTGTGATGGAGTGCGCCTGTAATCCCAGCTACTGGGGAGGCTGAGGCAGAGTTGCTGGAACCTGGGAGGTGGAGGCTACAGTGAGCGGAGATCACACCACTGCACTCCAGCCTGGGCGACAAGAGCAAGACTCTGTCTCAAAAAAAAAAAAGAAAAGAAAAGAAAATAGAAGTGATTATTTAGCATGAACTCCCTGCTCCCCAACCTACAAACCCATCTTTATCACTTTCCCTCCTGTATCTCATAAGAAAAGATGTCATCACCCCTGCCAGAGGTAGCATCACTTAGTGTTTTATTCATTAATGTATTTAGAGACACAGTCTCACTCTGTAACCCAGGCTGGAGTGCAGTAGCCCAATCATAGCTCACTGCAGCCTCAAACACCTGAGCTCAAGCAATCTTCCCACTTCAGCCTCCTGAGTAGCTGAGACTACAGGCATGTACCACCATACCTGTCTTCTTTTTTTTTTTTTTTTCCCTTGTAGAGACAGGGTCTCACTATGTGGCCTAGGCTGTTCTCAAACTCCTCCTGCCTTGGCCTCCCAAAGTGTTGGCGTCAATAGCATGAGCCACCATGCCCAGCAATATAGTGTTTAAAAATACAGATTTTAGAGTTGGGGGAGGGAGGCCATGGTGCAAAAATAAATAAATAAAATAATTTTAAAAATAAAAATAAAGATTCTGTAACTAAATTACATGGGCAAATTTAACTTTCCAAACCTTGATTTTCTCTCCTGTAAAAAGGAAGCCGTAATAGTATCCTATGAGAATTAAATGAGAACACAGGTGAAGTGCTTACCTTATCTCCCAAACAGTTCAAGGCAAATCCCATTGCTTTGTGTTCCTGAATCTTCACCAGCATTCTCTATTAGCTCCTTCCTCAAAGGCTCTTAGTAAGTTTTTGTCATCTCCAAGCAAGAAGCAAAAATGTCTTACCCAATCTTGAATCTCTTTTTTGCCTCAGCACTATCTCTTTTCCCTTCCTTTCCAAGCTTCTAGAAAAAAATAATCTGAGCAAAAAGGTCAGCAGCCCTTGCTATTCTTACTTTTCCCATGTTCTTCCATCTTCTACTATCACAATAAAACTGCTCTGACATAGTGACCAATGACCCCTTAGCTGCCAAACTTAACACTTTTCAGGCCCTTTGACTTTTCTATAGCCTGGTATGATCAATGACTCTTTCTTTTCTTTCTATTTTTGTTTCTTTCTTTTTCTGAGACAGGGTTTTACCCTGTCACCCAGACGGCAGTGCAATGGCACGATCATGGCTCACCTCAGCCTCAACATCCCAGGCTCAGGCAATCCTCCCACCTCAGCCTCCTGAGTAGCCAGGACCACAGGTGCGTGCCACCAAGCCTGGCTAATTTTTTTTGTTTTTTGTTTTTCTTTTTGTTCTTTTCTTTTTTTTTTTTCTTTTTTTCTGAGATGGAGTTTCACTCTTGTTGCCCAAGCTGGAGTGCAATGGCACAATCTCAGCTCACCATAACCTCTGCCTCCTGGGTTCAAGCAATTCTCCTGCCTCAGCCTCCTGAGTAGCTAGGATTACAGGCATGCGCCACCACGCCCAGCTAATTTTGTATTTTTAGTAGAGATGGGGTTTCTCCATGTTGGTTAGGCTGGTATCGAACTCCTGACCTCAGGTGATCCCCCGCCTCAGCCTCTCAAAGTGCTGGGATTACAGGCGTGAGCCACCTGGCCCGGCTGATTTGTTTTTGTTTCTTTTTGAAACAGAGTCTAGCTCTGTCACCCAGGCTGGAGTACAGTGGTGTGATCTCAGCTCACTGAAGCCTCCAACTCCCAGGATTCTTGTGTCTCAGCCTCCCGAGTAGCTGGGATTACAGGCGTGCACCACCACGTCAGGCTAATTTTTGTATTTTTAGTAAAGACAGGGGTTTCACTATGTTGGCCAGGCTGGTCTCAAACTCCTGACCACAGGTGATCCACCTGCCTTGGCCTCCCAACATGCTAGGATTACAGGTGTGAGCCATCGCACACAGCCAACTCTTTTCTTGAAGCATTCCTCTCTCAACTTCTCAGACACTAGGGTTTCATTCCTTCTGCCTGACTCCTTGCTTCTCGGTCTCCTTACATCATTCCTTTTCCTCTGCTATCTCCCTATACACTATTTCCCACTCCCTTCCCCCACTTCTTATGCCAGCCCTTTTTCAGTCTTACTAAAATCATTTTCAGCGTGTGGTCTCATCTACTTTTTAAAATACCTTCATTGAGGTACAACTGACATACAATAAACTGCACATATTTAAAATATACAATCTGAAAAATTTCAGGATATGTACACACCCCTGAAACCATCAGCACAATCAAGATAAGTAAACATAAAAAGCCTCTCCCTAAACAACCACTGATCTGCACTAGTTTGCACCTTCTAGAATGTTCTATAAGTAGACTCATATAGTATATACTCTTTTTTGGTTTCCCTTCTTTCATTGAGTATAATTATTTTGAGATTCAGCCATGTTGTCATTTGTATCAAATTTGTTCTCTCTCTTTTTTTTTTTTTTTTTTTTTTTTTTGAGACAGGGTCTCATTTTTTTGCCCAGGCTGGAGTGCAATAGCACAATCACACCTCACTGCAGCCTTGACCTCTCAGACTCAAGCAATGCTCCCACCTCAGCCTCCCAAGCAGCTGGGACTACAGGCTCATGCCACCACACCTGGCTAATTTTTTTAAATGTTTTGGCTAATTTTTTAAGTTTTTTGTAGAGACAGGGTTTCATTATGTTGCCTAGGCTGGCCTGGAACTCTTGGGCTCAAGTAATCCTCCCACTTTGGCCTCCTAAAGTGCTGGGATTACAGGTGTGAGCCACCACACCCAGCCAGTTTGTTCCTTTTTATTGCTGAGTAGTATTCCACTGTTTGTATCACAATTTGCTTATTCATTCACCTGTTGACGAACATTGGATTTTTTCCAGTTTTTGACTGAAAAGAGATGCCATGAACATTCATGTATAAGTCTTTGTATAAGCTTCATCTATATTTATGGCTTTACTTACACATCTAGAAGTTCCAAATCTGCTTCATCAGATACCAACAACCAATAGTATTCCACTGTTTGTATCACAATTTGCTTATTCATTCACCTGCTGACGAACATTGGATTGTTTCCAGTTTTTGACTGAAAACAGCTGCCATGAACATTCATGTATAAGTCTTTGTAGAGGCTTCATCTATATTTATGGCTTTACTTACACATCTAGAAGTTCCAAATCTGCTTAATCAGATACCAACAACCAATAGCCAGTTGGAGAAGTTCACTTGAATAACCCAAACTTTTAAGTCAACATTTCCAAAAATCATCTTATTATGCCACTCCTCTCTCCATCCTAAGAGCTTCTCCTACATTCTCTATCCTGACTAAAGACAATCAAGTCAGAAACAAGACTATTCCTGTTCCATTACCATTCCCCCAATCACTCAGTGAGTTACTAGATCCTGTCAATTTTGCCTTGTAAACTTCTTTCAAATAAAATCCACATCCATATTTCCATCCTTGTTCAAATGCACCCTTAGTTCAAATGTGTATTATCTCTTGACTGGACTATTAAACTAGGCTTCTAACTTTTCTCCTCACTTTACGTCTCATTCTTCTCCAAACCATTTTCCATTCTATGGCCAAAGTGAATTTTCTAAAATTAAAATGTGCTGTTACTCCCCTACTTAAAACTTATTGGCTGGGCACAGTGGCTCACCCTGTAATCCTAGCACTTTGGGAAGCTGAGGCAGGCAGATGGCTTGAGCCCAGGAGTTCAAGACCAGCCTGGTGAAACCCCATCTCTACAAAAAATACAAAAATTATCTGGATGTGGCAGTGTGCCTACAGTCTCAGGAGGCTGAGGTGGGAGGATAGCTTAAGCCCAGGAGGTGGAGGCTGCAGTGAGCCAAGATCGCACCACTGCACTCCAGCCTGTTAAGACTCTGTCTCAAAACAAACAAACAAAACAAAAACAAACAAAAGAAACTTTATCAATGGCTTCTAATTACCCAAGAAAAAATTTAAATTCCTTAGCTTAACATATATAAAAACTGTTCATAAACCAGTTGTCTCTCCAGACATGCCCTGCCACTTCCCATCATGTTCTAATTTAGTCTTTTCTGATTATGTCATTTACTTTTTTTTTTTTTTTTTGAGACAGAGTTTTGCTCTTGTTGCCCAGGTTGGAGTGCAGTGGTGCAATCTCGCCCCACTGCAACCTCCGTCTTCCGGTTTCAAGCTATTCTCCTGCCTCAGCCTCCCGAGTAGCTGGGATTACAGGTGCCCACCACCACGCCAGGCTAATTTTTGTATTTTTTAGTAGAGATGGGGTTTCACCACGTTGGCCAGGCTGGTCTTGAATTCCTGACCTCGTGATCCGCCCACCTTGCTCTCCCAAAGTGCTGGATTACAGGCGTGAGCCACTGCGCCCGGCCCTGTCATTTACCTTTTTAGCCTGAGTGTCAAGGGCAATACCTGGTCTATAGTAGGCATGATATATTTGTGCAATAGATAAGATAGGACTTAGACTCATAGATGCGGTGAAACAGATACAGTGGGACATTCCAGCCATATTCAGGAAAAGTAGCAGTCCGGACTGGCTAAAGCAAAAAGGAGATAAAAGGTTATGGTAGACAATCCAGTCAGAAAAGCAGGATGAAGCCAAATATCAATTGCTGTTAATTCTATGCTAAAAAGTGCACTTTAGCATAGGTTGAACTCAAAAGACATCAACAATTCTGAGTGTGACATGTTCAGAAGTGTCCTATAACTGGTGAGATTTGAAAAACAGAAGGTGAGGTGGGGGCCAGTGAACCCCATTAAGAAGTTATCACAGTAGTCTGACAAAGGAGACTCAATTAGAGAAGTCGGAGGAGGAATAGACTAGAAGAACATGTCAAAGGGAAATGAACATACAGGCTCTACCTGAGTGTGCACAGTAATACAAAGAAGCCAGAGATGACCCCAACATTTTAAACCAGTCAAATGTAACAATAAAGCCATTAATCGAGAAGAAAAACTGAAATGACAGGTGGAGGAGAGAAGTGATAGTTTTAGTTTGTATATCCCCTCACCTATTTATTCAAATTGAGTGCCTACCAGATGTCAAGCACTATAAGTATGGGGAATAAAATGTGGGTAAGATATCATCCCTGTTCTCAAGGAGCATCCAATCTAGTTATAGGCAAGTAAATAGGAACTTAAAATTCACAGAGCTAGGACAGGGTGCAAAAAGAAAACAAAGGAGTAATATCCAACTCAGCCCTGATGATTTGACAGTTCAGGTTGAGTGAGTCTAGAAGGATGAGTAGTGTTGGACCAGGCAAAGAAGGATGAAGGGACTAGCATATCCAAAGAGCCTCAGGTAAGAGTAAGAGAACACAAGTCGGATGTATCTACGAATAATTCAATAACAAATCAAAGGAAGAAATCAAGATATGGAGATATCCACATGAAATGTCCAGCAGGCAAGTAAAAACGTAGGTTTTGAGCTACCAACAGCATATCCAGATATGAAACATACTGTATTTTCAATCTTGTTTAGAATCATTGTTAGTGGCTATTTAAATAAGAATTGGAAGAACCTTACATATCAGCTAGATTATGTACACTTCCACCTCCTCCTATCACTTCTACTGCAAAAGTATCTCTAACTTAAAGTCAAAAGCTGTTTTATGTAAATATGCAAAAAGGACAAGTGGGGGCTGTGGTAAGGTGGAGATACATGACCTGTCTAAAGAAGGGAGCCATTTACTCAACTCCAGCAGTTTAGTGCCTCGCTTGAATACAGGCCCTAAATGACAAGACCTTCCTATTCTTCAAGAAAAGCCGAAAATTCAGGTTTTATGTAATATCTCCCATTTTCAAATATTAGCAACTAATTACATTTAAAAATAAAACAACACTATGCCAGCCAAACAAAATGCTTTTGTGGACAGATTTCAGCAAGGGCCACCAGTGTGGCAGAATTAAACAACGTCTGTCAACTCCTACAATATTCTTTCCACTGCTTCAAAGGATCCTCAGCTGATACCTTGGTGATTCCCCTGGGAAAGGAGCTGCTTTTGCCTCTAAGCAAAATGGCCCCTATTTGGCAATGCTTTATGAGTTCCTTTACACGTTTTTAAACAATTTCCGTGTCTCCCCTTACTCTATCCGGACACCAGCTTCTAGCATCACAGAGACCTCCTACACCCCTTCCATTACAAGCTAAGAAGTCAAACTTGCAAGTAAAGCAAAAGTAAGGAGTGAGAGCCTGAAGGGATTTCTAAGGAGTAAAGTATGTAAGATATATGGCATCTTTTCTTCTGTTTTTTAAAAAAAATTACATAGATGTTTGTGACTAGTCAGACACTTGAAGGGGAAAATGTCCGTAATTTAAGCCAGAAATATATGAGCAAATTCTCCTGAAAAACCAAATAGTTTCCACTGTAAGACAGCAAGAGGGACCGGAGGAGAACAGGGCAAAAGGGAAAGTAAAAGTTACTGGCCTTTGAGAAATATCAGACACCTTTTAATGTTTAGCATAAAAGGTAAAACATAATCTCCATTCTTAGTAGAAGCAGTTAGCATGAAACATTCTTTGAGCAGCAAGAAACTGGGATTTAGAAACACTATTAGAAGAGTAAAGCAATCTTTACAGAAAAGGTAAATGAAGAAAAGAAAACAAAAATAGTCTGGTTGTCACACTGCTGCTTTAGAAGCTTTAAAAACGTAAGAACACTTCCTAATTATACTAAAACATTTAAAAGCACAGATCGGGGGTATGTAACTTCAGGTAACAATGTAGCAAACTTAAACATACAAAGGCTAAAAATTCTTAACAAGCCAAATGACAGCACCAAGAATCTCGAACGCTGCAAAAACAAAACAAAACCCCCCTGAAATTGGTAGCATGTGCACCAGCCCCTGTTAATCGGAGGAGCGGGGGAAACCAGGAGAATGAGGAGTGAATACTGACGGCGAGCAGAGCAGGCCACGTTCCTACTGGCAGGCGAGCTCGCAATTCCTTTGAGCAAGCCTTACGGCCAGGGCATTCTCAAGCCACTAAAACCAGCGTACTGGACACCTAAAACGGTAGGCTGACAGCAGCTCCGGGCTAAGACCAAGAAGACGGAAAAGTGGCCTGCTTTGACCTCCGCTGAAAACTGAGGCTCCTCCAACTGTTGTTGTCCTGGAATCAAAGGGCAAAGCATTCACCTCTCAGGGGTTGGATTATCCGGATAAACTCCCCCCGGCTCCCTGCGGCATTCCCACACACCCGGTGGATGTCAACACCGAGAGCCAGCCGTATGAGGGGGGCCTCTCCGTGTGCGCCGTCCTTTTGGAGACGCGGCGAGACCGGGAAGAAAGACGGCCCTGCGCGCGCCCCGCCTCCCCAGCCCTTCCCCAGCGCCCGCGCTGGGGGGCTGCGGCCGGGAAGCGGGGTCCCGCGTGCTCCTCACCTTTTTCAGCGCAGGCACCAGTAGTCCCCGCCACTTGGGCGCGTTCTCTTCGCTGAAAAACTCGTAGGGCAGCTGCTGCGCCTGCATGGTGCCCCCGGGGCGCCTCTGGGCGGGGAGAGGGGCGGCGGCGGCCGGGCCAGGGAGCCGCGAGAGGGCGAGCTCGCAGCGCGGAACAGGGCCGCGGCCCCACCGGACGGCCCGGCCCCCTCCGGGCGCCGCGCAGCCGGGCTAGCCCTGGCGAGGGGGCTGGGGGGCGAGGCCCGCGCCTGGCCACCCACCCGACACAGGTACCAGCCGTGGAGAACGGACGCGGCCCGGAGGCGGCGGCATCCCGCACCACCGCCCCGGGGCCAGGCCCCCCGCCCCTCCCCGGCCCGCCGGCGCCGCCCCGGGCTGCCCTCTGCCGCGGCCGCCGCCCGCCCGCCGGGGCTGCACTCCCGGGCCCGGTCTGGCCCCGCGGCGGAGCTGGCGGCTGGGGGAGGACGTGTGGAGGGACGCTCCGGCCGCGGCGCCCGCTCCGCGTAGTTGGGACTCCGAAACGCAAGAGCCCCGGGCGGGGCGGAGCTGGGGCGGAGGTCTCGCGGGGAAGGGGAAGGACCGGAGGTCGTTGTTGGGGAATCTGGCTGCCCTGAGGTGCCGCCGCGGCCGCCGCCGCCACCGCCGCCGCCGGTGTAGCGCTGGAGCTTCCTACTAGCGAACTGAACCTGCTCGCTACTGAGCATGCGCTGCCGTGCTGGGCTGGTTCGCTCCGGGTTTTCCGGCTCCCGGTGAAGGAGGAGGAAAGCTCGAGAGAGAAAGAGAGAGAGAGACAGGGAGGGCGCCCGGCCGGGCTGTGGCTGCGCTCCTGGGGGCTGCAGGGGAGGGGCGAAGGGGCCCGAGAAGTCGCACCCTGGCAAAGTGGGGCCTGCAAGGGTGGGTGATGACTAGGGTAAAGAGGCTCCCCATTGTGTGGCCTGGCCGTGAGGGCTCCCACCCTTCTCGGAGTCCCTGGGCCCTTCGTTTCGGAAAGGGGTGTGTGTACTTTGTTCCTGAACACGAAGATAAGGACTGCCCAGAGCACGCAATGTATAGTAAACAGACTGGACAAAAGACAGGTGCTCTGTCACGAAACCTACTGCTCAGTATCTGCTGAGTAGTAGAAGTGATTGCGGTGTTTCTAAGTGGTCTTTCCACAAAATAATAAAATGTGTACGTGTAGTATTGATTTTGTGTGAATGTTTTAGATTCCCTCTGTTCATCTTTTAAACCCACTCCAGAAATGAACTCCAGTAAGCACTTTCCTCCAGTGGATATCGAGACCTCTTTTACAGCTCCTAGAGCACTGCACTTATGCCCCTCTCAGGGCGTTCAGTCTATTGTGTTTTGTTATCTTTTGCGGTTCTTTCGACTAGATAATAAACTGGAAGGCAGATCTTTTTCACCAGGGCCTCTACACAGTGTAGAACAGGCACTCAGTCAATGTTAGTGGAATGCTAAAGGAGCAGTATTTATAAACTGTCCCTCCAGGCCACTGTTTGTTTATAATAGGGGCACTTTGTGGCAGACACCTTATGATTTATCATTAATTATCATTTTTTTGAGTATCATCTCATTTAATCCCCATAGCAACCCTATTATTTTCATTTCACCGATAAGAAGGCAGTTTAGAGGAACTAGCCTGGGTTAAAGCTGACATTGTGTCCTGCTATTCCTGAGAACAGTAACCAGGATCACATAAACGAGAAAGGTTCAGTGGTTCTTAATCTTTACAGGACCTCTTTGAAAATCTGGAAAAACAACTCTTAGGTTATTTCCTTTAAAAATACACAGGCCGGCCAGGCGAGGTGGCTCATGCCTGTAATCCCAGCACTTTAGGAGGCCGAGGCGGATGGATCACCTGAGGTCAGGAGTTCCAGACTAGCCTGGCCAACACTGTGAAAACCTGTCTCCATAAGAAATACAAAAATTAGCCGAGCATGGTGGTGGGCGCCTGTAATCCCAGCTACTTGGGAGGCTGAGGCAGGAGAATCGCTTGAACCCAGGAGGCAGAGGTTGCAGTGAGCCGGGATCATGCCACTGCACTCCAGCCTGGGCAACAAAACCAAAACTCCGTTTCAATTCAAAAAAAAATATACACACACACACACACACACACACACATACACACAGACCGGCCGGGCGCAGTGGCTCACGCCTGTAATCCCAGCACTTTGGGAGGCCGAGGTGGGCGGACCATTTGAGTTCAGGAGTTTGAGACCAGGCTGGCGAGACCCATCTTTATTGTTTTATTGAAAAAATAAAAATATACATACTTGGTTTACATTTGAAAAACTCCCCACTTTCAAAGTGTGTGGAATGAAAGCTGGAATTATAGGCGCCTGCCACCACACCCAGGTAATTTTTGTATTTTTATTAGAGATGGGGTTTCACTGTATTGGCCAGGCTGGTCTCGAACTCCTGACCTCGTCATCCACCCGCCTCGGCCTCCCAAAATGCTGTGATTACAAGCCTGAGCCACCGCGCCCGGTCAGCCCTCTTCAAATATTTAAAGGGTTGTGATATGGGGGAAGAGATTGGTTTGTATGGTTCCAAATGAACCAACATCAAGCCTGTACCCCAAACTATTGCTTGGCTTCCCATTGCTCTTAGAATACATTTCAAACTTCTTACCGTACCCCACAAAGGCGTGCATCTGGCTCCTGCTCACATTCTCAATGTTTTCTCACCATTCACAACCTCGCCTCACCACACTCCAGTCACAGTAGCCTTCTGTCTATTCCTAGAAAACAACAACCTGCCTAAAGAACATTGTTCTTCTCTCAGCCTAGAACCCCTAACTGTTCCCTTGGCTGGTTATAAACATCACCACCTCCAAGAGGCCTTCTCCGATCACTCCAAGTAATTCTCACCTGTGTATTTCTACCTTATGTTCTTTTTATTTCCTGCTAGCACTAAATCAAATCAGTCCTCTATTTTTGGTTGTTGGTTTCCCTCCTGCCCCCAAATAAAATGTAAACTCCTAGAGAGAGAGAAACAATCTTTTTTTTTTTTTTTTCTTTTTCTGAGACAGAGTCTCATTTTGTTGCCCAGGCTAGAATGCAGGCGGAATCTTGGCTCACTACAACCTCCACTTCCCAGGTTCAAGTGATTTTCCTGCCTCAGCTTCCCGAGTAGCTGGGACTACAGGCGCACGCCACCAAGCCCGGCCAATTTTTGTATTTTTAGTAGAGGTGGGGTTTCGCTAGGTTGGCCAGGCTGGTCTCGAACTCCTGACCTCAAGCAATCCACCCACCTCCGCCTCCCAAAGTGCTGGGACTACAGGCGTGAGCCACCGCGCCCGGCCGAGATCAACAATCTTGTGCGTTTCGTTCTTCATTGGTTTTAATCGTATCCCCGGGGCCTACAATGCCTGCACACAGTAGGTAGCAATAAATATTGTCGAAGGAATAAAATGTGCATGCAGGAAAGTTCCAGGACTACATAATCAACGTTGTTTCCAGAAAACGGGCGATTTTCGGGGTGTGCAGGTAAAAAGCGTACATTCACTCACTCGGGCTAAGAGGTTGGGCATGTTGACCTCTAAGATCCCCTTCAACTCCGAATCTCTGATTTGACTGCAGAGGAAAACAAGCCCTAGAAACATGGGTTACAGCCTGGGCTAGGCTTGCTTAGCGGCCAGGGCAGGTTTTCACTAGCATGGCCGTTTGGGCCGTAGACAGGGCGGGTAACTGGAGAGAAACTGCAGTGAAGAGACTCAGTGCTTCGCAGCGGGGAGACCTACAGGGAGTGCCAGGGTCAGCCCCGCTAAGGTCAAGGAGCACTCCATCACCCCTGTACTGCTTGCCTGTATCTCTTGGGACAAAACAAAACACCTATGTCCATTCAGCAAGAGAAGACAACCGTGCGGACTCAGAAACGTGCAGACGGGTAGGCACGTGTAGACGTAAAAGTGTCGCCCACCAATCCCCCGCGCCAGCCCCTCAGCTTTTACCGCCGACGGGTGCGCCCTGGCGCAGGCGCAGAGGCTTCTTTTCGCTTCCCTCCTCAGCTCTAAGGAGCCTCACGCCACGGCGGACGTGACGCACGAGGCGCGTCCGGGCGGAATAGGCGAAGACCGAGAGGGGCGCGTCCAGGCGGGCTAGCCGAGTTCCGAGCGCGGCGCATCGGAGTAGGGCGGCGAGGACGGGGGCGGGGGTGGGCGTTTGGCCCTTCAGTGTGCCCCCTGCAGGTGCAAGTGCAACGCTCCGCGCCTTTGCCTGCCCTGCTGGCCAGGACGCGGCCACCTGGTTCTCTGCCTTGCTGCAGCCACAGTGATCCTTCTGACGCGAACTTCGGACCCAGCTACTTACTTTTCTGTTCAAGAACTCACACTGGCGTCCCAGGATAAATTCCAAAGTCCTTAACCTGGTATCCATGGCCTTGCACAATCGGACCGCTACTTATCTTTCTAGCTGTATCTCTCACTCAAAATGAACTGCTCTTGCCTCCTACAAACACATCACTTCTGTCTCTGTCTCCTGCTATTCAGAATGCCTGTCGCCTTTTTTCTCTAATGCCGCCCACCACAGCCCCACCCCAGCTCCCAGATACACGCTCGCGCTGGAACTCTTATCCACCCTGCGCGCCCTCAGCTCAAATGCTACCTTCTCTCTAAAGTTTTTTTTTTGTTTTCGGCTCTGATTCCTTCAGAGCCGAACAGGTAGAAGGAACAGCAGTTTCAGCCATCAGCAGTTAAGGTACTCTCTCCTCCAGAACATATTCACCCTCTGTCTTTCCCTCACCCTCTGTCTTTCCAATGCCTCCTTTCAATTCCTCTCCTCCAAAAAATGTATCTCCAGGAAACACACCAGAGAAAATAGTGACTGAGAAGAACACTAGATGCCCACTCTTTACTCACCTTTAGCTAATACTTTGAGTCCCCCGCCCTCTTCCTCCCTCTCTGTTTCCATCCCTGCCTTTGCAAAGATGGTACAGTTAGAAGAGATTATCAGAGGTTCTCCAAGACATATGGGACTATTCCTCGCACTTCTTTCTCGGGATTTCTGCAGGGAGCTTATAGGATATGCCCAAGTTTATCTTCTAAGAGAGAAGAGAAGACTTTTTGCAAAAGTCTCTTTCCAGTTGATTCAAGTTGTAATAGCTCCTCAAATTGATCACATCCAAATGCAATGTGACTTTAACGAAATTCCCAACAGGGATTGTCATGGAATTTGACAAACTCATTCTTAAAGGTATATGAAAGAGCAAAAGGCTAATTCTCCTGTAAAAGAAGAAGGTAGGGGAACTTGATTTACCAGATGTGAAAACTGATTACGTAGCTAAAGTAATTAAAACAATGGATATTAGCACAAGAACCTACAAACCAATTGATCAGTAGACAGCCAAATATATAGAAACCTGATACCGTAAGCATTGCAGATAAATAGGTAAAGGCTATACTGTTCAATAAATGAAATAATGTGCAATAGATAAATGCACATAGAAAAAATATACTTGTAACTCCCACCCTACGCAAAACAATCCCATTGGATTGAAGAAAGTGCAAAAAGCAAAATTATAAAACTCTGAGAAGGCTGGGCGCCAGTGGCTCACGCCTGTAATCCCAGCACTTTGGGAGGCCGAGGCCTGTAATCCCAGCACTTTGGGAGGCCGAGGCATGAGGGCAAGAGATCGAGACCATCCTGGCCCACATGGTGAAACCCCGTCTCTACCAAAAATACAAAAAAATTAGCCGGGCGTGGTGGCGCATGCGCCTGTAATCTCAGCTACTCGGCAGGCTGAGGCAGGAGAGTTGCTTGAACCCGGGAGGCGGAGTTTGCAATGAGTCGAGATCGCCCCACTGCAGTCCAGCCTGGATGACAGAGCAAGACTCCGTCTCAAAAAAAAAAAAAAATCTGAGAAGAAAATAAGGAATATCTTTTGTTGTTGTTGTTGTTGTTGTTGTTGTTGTTGTTGTTGTTGTTGAGATGGAGTCTGGCTCTGTCGCCCAGGCTGGAGTGCAGTGGCCTGATCTCAGCTCACTGCAACCTCCGCGTCCCAGGTTCAAGCGATTCTCCTGCCTCAGCCTCCCGAGTAGCTGGGACTACAGGCGCCCGCCACCACACCCAGCTAATTTTTTGTATTTTTAGTAGAGACGAGGTTTCACCGTGTTAGCCAGGATGGTCTCCATCTCCTGACCTCGTGATCCGCCCACCTCGGCATCCCAAAGTGTTGGGATTACAGACGTGAGCCACGGCGCCCGGCCACCTTTTGCATTCTTAACTCCAGCTCAGCATCTGCTTCCCAGGGGACCCAACTGATTTGTATATGTATATTGTTTTATAGGATAACAACTAATATTTTTAATTATGATGAATCCATATAAATACCTCAAATTTATTGATTATAGAAATATATCTGTAATTTTCCAAAGTGATTTATTTCTTTAAAAAATGTGGAGAAATTGATGTGGCTCTGAATCTATAAGGAAAGAGCTTGCAGTTTACCATCATTTTGGCTACTTGCTTTTTTTTTTGAGACAGAGTCTTGCTCTGTTGCCCAGGCTGGGGTGCAGTGGCACAATCTTGGCTCACCACAACCTCCGCCTCCTGGGTTCAAGCAATTCTCCTGCTTCAGCCCCCCGAGTAGCTGGGACTACAGGCGCACGCCACCATGCCCTGCTAATTTTTGTATTTTTAGTAGAGACAGGGTTTCACTATCTTGGCCAGGGTGGTCTCAAACTCCTGACCTCGTGATCTGCCCATCTTGGCCTCCCAAAGTGCTGGGATTACAGGCGTGAGCCACCGTGCCCAGCCTTGGCTATGTTTCTTAAACATAGTTTACTTATGATAAATATAGCTCAGGCATTCATATTTCATCAGACCTATTATTTTTTGACTGCTTCTGACAGAGACACCCTCTTTATTTTTTGACCAATAAATGACCAGCAACTGTAAAAAAGGGAAAGAGAAAGAAAAATACAGAAACAAAATAACACATCCCATCATCCCTTGTGCAACAGCTCATTTCCCAAAATCTTTGAAAATTACTTATACATGCATGATTTATGAAGGGAACGCCAGGAACACAGTTTCATAAGGATTGTATTAAAGGTTTCTCTCCCCGAGGCAGAAACATTGCTTTTTTAGAATTGTTTTCCTCTTAACCTCTTTTCTCTAAAACTGAAAAAGTTTGCCTTGATTTATAGGGTGTAGAGTTTTTTTTTCTTAAGTCTAACATAGAAGTTAAAACAAAAACAGAACCTTGGGATGGAAAATAGTAACGGTTAAAGAAGAATTGAATTTTAATTTGCTCAGCTGATCAGGCAAAAATGGGTTTTCTTATAACTGAGACTACAGTTCTCATGAAATATTTCATTATAATATTCCTTTTAGTTGTTTATTGATTTAGTTCGGAGAATGTAGAACAGAGGGAAAGAGGACTGAAATGAAACCTCTGTGCTGAATAAGTCTAGTGCATTTCTTATAAATTTATTCCTGATTCTTATCAAGTTTGTTGTCATTTGAAGTGGGATTTTTAATCTGCATTTCTACGTGATTATTGCTGGGTTAAAGAAAAAGTATTGTTTTTCATATAGTTGGCTTAAATCTGGCCTCTTTAATTTTTCATTAGTTCTAATAGTTTTCTTTCTAAAATAACATCTCTGATTCTCTACAATCATTTTATATGCAAACTATGATATTTTGCCTTCAGCCTTTTTATAAATGCTGGAGGATTAGGACTTAGGCTAAGGATTCAGCAGCAACTCCTGGACCCCATTTCTGCTCTGCCTTGACCAAAATTGGCAATGCAGCCATCACTGATGTTGAAAGCTGCTGAATCAGGAAGTCATCTGCCAAATTAATAAGCTGCTGCACAACAGCTGGCTGCAGACCATGCCACCTCTGCCACAGTCTACCCCAGCAAAGCAGATCCTCTTGATATCACCTCTGTCTACATATGACTCAGTTTCAAATCAGTCTCAACAAATGCTTCTGTTTCGTGGGATGCAAATCATATCTCAAGCCCTAGCCACAGGAGAGTCTAGAAAATGTAGTTTTTTAGCTTCTGCCTGTATGTTCATTCTAGAGCATACTAATATGCAATATCTGCCATATCATTCTTTAGCATGTCTAGAAAATTTTCTATTTCTTTTTAAAAATTGTGATACAGGCTGGGTGAGGTGGTTCATGCCTGTAATCTCAGCATTTTGGGAGGCCAAGGTGGGCAGATCACCCAAGGTCAGGAGTTTGAGACCAGCCTGGCCAACATGATGAAATCCCATCTCTACTAAAAATACAAAAATTAGCTGGGCATGGAGGCACATGCCTGTAATCCCAGCTACTCGGGAGGCTGAGGTGTGAGGATCACTTGAGCCTGGGAGATGGAGGTTGCAATGATCAGAGATCATGCACTGCACTCCAGCCTGAGCAACAGAGCTAGACTCTGTTTCAAAAACAAAAGAAAAAGAAAAGAGTGATAAAATACACATAATACAAAATTTATCATCTTAACCTTTTATTTTACTTTTTTTTTAAGCTAGTCAGGTGAAGCAGTGGGAGTGGAGAAGGAACAAAGAAATCTGTAACTAGTTGTAATCAATTAGTTGTATACACCACTGCACTCAGACCAGCCCTTAACCAATTTAAAATATATAGTTTAGTAGTGTTAAGTATATCCACATTATTGTGCAATCAATCACAAGAATTCTTTTCATCTTGCAAAAGCGAAACTCTGAACCCACTGAACAACAACTCTCCATTTCCCCTCCCCACCAGGCCCTGGGAACCACCATTCTACTTTCTGTTTCTATGAATTTGACTACTCTAGATACCTCATATAAGTAGAATCATACAGTGTTTGTCTTTTTGTGACTGGCTTGTTTCACTTAAGGTTGAATAATATCCTCAAGGTTCATCCATGTTGTAGCATGTGTCAGAATCTCCTTCCTTTTTAAGGCTGAATAATTTTCCATTGTATGTATATGACACATTTGTTTATTCAGCAGATCACTGTTCATCTGAGATGAATAAATCTCAGATGACTGTAACCTCAAGAGACATGGGTTGTTTGACCTTTTGTGAATAATGCTGCTATGAACCTGGGTGCACAAGTATTTCTTTGGGATGCTGCTTTCAATTATTTTGCATATATATTCATCCCTCTATTTATTTTGATCTATGAGCTTTCAAAAGGAAAAGCTGCTGAATGTTATGAGATAATTTTTCAGTATCTGTAGCAGATTGTTTTTTAAGATGGCCACAGTATCTCTCGTTCTACATGCTTGACACTGTCTCCATTGCTTCCAACAAAACTGTCATCTGTGGACTGAACGAGGAACTCACTTTGGAGCTAAAGAAGTGCAGCAATGGGCTCATACTCATGGAGTTCACTGGTCTTACAATGACCCCCACCATCTTGAAGCAGCTGGCTTGATAGAATGGTGGAATGGCCTTTTGAAGATGCAGTTATATTGCCCATTACATGACAACACCTTATAGAGCTGGGGCAAAGTTCTCCAGCAGGTTGTATGTTCTTCTGAATCAGCATCCAATATATGGTACTGTTTCTCCCAGAATCAGAATTCATGGGTCCAGCAATCAAGGGGTGGAAATGGAGGTGGCAGCACTCACCATCATCCCTAGTGATCCACTAGCAAAATTTTTGCTTCCTGTTCCCAAGACATGCTCTGCTGGCCCAAAGGTCTTTAGTTCTATAGGGAGGAATGCTTTAATCAGGAGACACAACAATGATTTCATTAAATTGTAAGTAAGACTGCCACCTGCTCCCTTTGGGTGCCTTATGATTCTGGGTCAACAGACCAAGAAGGGAGTTATGGTGTTGGCTGGGATGATTGATCGGGACTACTAAATTGGATACTCCACAATGCTGGTAAGAAATAATATGTCTGGAATACAGGAGATCCGTTGGGGTACCTCTTAGTATTACCATGCCCTGTGATTAAAGTCAATGGGAAACTACAACTCAAATCAGGCAGGACTTCAAATGGCCCAGATCCTTTAGGAATGAAGATTTGGGTGACCCCACCAAGTAAAGAACTATGACCAGTTGAGATGCTTACTGAAGGCAGAGAGAATACAGAATAGATAATAGAAGTTAACTATAAACAACAGCTACAACCATGTGACCAGTTATAGACTCAAGGACTGTAATTGTCATAAGAATTTCCTCCCTATTTTGTTAAGAATACATTTGTGGCCAGGCGCGGTGGCTCACACCTGTAATCCCAGCACTTTAGGAAGCTGAAGCAGGCAGATTGCTTGAGCCCAGGAGTTTGAGACCAGGTGGGGAACATGGCAAAACTCTGTCTCTACTAAAAATACAAAAATTAGCTGGGTGTGGTGGTGTGTGCCTGTAGTTGCAGCTACTCAAGAGGCTAAAGCAGGAGGATCACCTAAGCCGGCAAGGTATAGGTGACAGTGAGCCGAGATCGTGCCACTGCACTCCAGCCTGGGCAACAGAGTAAGACCCTGTCCCCCACCCCCAAAAAATACATTTGTGTGTATATATACACATATTAAGCAAAGACAGGTTTTTTCCATCTTATTCCTTTATCATGTAAGATAAGCTAGCTGTTTTGACTTTATATCAATATTTTTAAGTATTCATAATTTTATATCATGGTATTTAAATTATGGGATATCAGAAGAGTAAACATCACTCAAGAACTTTACCCCCTCTACTGGGGAAGGGACTAGTGTGTTTTCAGTTGTACACAGGATACTTGTATCATGTAAGGTGGAACTATGACTTTGTTATTGTCTGTCTGTCCTTCTTCCTTCCTTCCTTCCTTCCTTCCATTTCTCTTTTTCTCTCTTTCTCTCTTTCTTTCCGACATGTTCTCACTCTGTTGCCCAGGCTGGAGTGCAGTGGCACAATCACGGCTCACTGCAGCCTTGAACTCCTGGGCTCAAGCAATCCTCCCACTTTAGTCCCCAGTATCTGGGACCACCAGGCCTGGCTAATTTATTTTTATTTTTATTTTTGGTAGAGACATGCTCTCACTATGTTGCCCAGGCTGCTCTGGAACTCTTAGGCTCAAGAGATTCTCCCACCTCAGCCCCCCAAAGTGTTGGGATTACAGGAGTGAGCCACCACACCCAGCTTGCTATTGTCTTTATTTGAAGATTAAGTATGGCCTAAGGAGACACATATGGTTCAGAAGTATTTGGCTTTGGCAAAATCATAATAATAATTAAATTTTTAAAAAGGAGACGTGTGACAAGTTGACAAGGGGTGGACTTGTGATGGTAATTTTAGGTGTCAGTTTGACTGAATTAAGGGAAACCTAGACATCTGGTAAAACATTATTTCTGGGTATGTCCGTGAAGGTGTTTCTGGAGGAGATGGGCATTGAATCAGTGGACGAAATAAGGAATATCTGCCCTCATCCAATGTGGGCAGTCACCGTCATGTTCACCGAGGGCCTGGATAGAACAAAAAGGCAGAGGCAAGGCAAATGTGTTCTCTCTTCTAGAGGTGTGACCCATCTTTTGCTGCCCTTATGCATCAGAACTCCACGTTCTTGGGCAAGAGGCCCCTGATTTCTCAGCCCTTGGCCTCAGGCTGAGTTACGTTATTGGCTCCCCTGGTTCTCAGGCCTTTGGGCTCAGACTGAATTATACCACTAGCTTCCCTGCTTCATCAGCTTGCAGGCAATGTATCATGGGACTTCTCAGCCTCCATAATTGCATGAGCCGATTCCCATAATAAATCTCCTCTTGTATGTATATTATTGGTTCTGTTTTTCTGGAGAACACTGACTAATACAGATTGGTGGGGTCCATATCCTGTTTTCTGGAACTTAGGAAGATCTCTGTGACTGCCTGGACAAATAAGTACTGCAGAAGGGCTACTGTGTTATTTATGAGGCTGGATCCTAAAAATGCCATGCACTTCCACCTTCTTCTCTTGGAATGTTTATTCTTGGAACCCATCAGTCACGCTATGAGAAAGCTCAGATGAACCCCTGGAGAAAGCACCCGGAGAGGCCACGTGTAAGTTTTCCATCTGATAGCCCAGCTGAGGTGCGAAACAATATCCAGCTTCAAGTACCAAACAAGTGAATGATGATACCGCCAGATGATTCTGTTGCTCAGCAATCAAGTCACTCCATACTTTGAGTCTTCTTAGCTGAGGCTCTAGACATTGTGGAGAGATAAATTGTCCCTGCTGTGCTCTGTTCTGATTACTGACTCACAGAATCTATGAGTAGAACCCATTGGTTACTTTATGCTACAAAGTTTTTGGGTGGTTTGTTACACAGCAATAGATAACTGATAACAGTATCTGATCATATGATCATTTGGTAATTCTTTCATCATTTAATGTAATATTTAAGCACTTGTGTATTCCTAAAATAAACTCTTCTTGCTCATGTTGTATTATTCTATTGATAAACTTTTGGGTTTAGTTGCTAATATGATGGAGATAAAATATTATTATTTCAAAACAAAGCTGGGGCCGGGTACAGTGCCTCCTGCCTGTAATCCCAGCACTTTGGGAGGCCAAGGCAGGCAGATCACTTGAGGTCGGGAGTTTGAGACCAACCTGGTCAACATGGTGTGAACCCTGTCTCTAGTAAAAAAAAATATATATATACAAAAATTAGCCAGGCGTGGTGGTGGGCACCTGTAATTCCAGCTACTTGGGAGGCTGTGGCAGGAGGATCACTTGAACCCAGGAGACAGAGGTTACAGTGAGCCAAGATAATGCCACTGCACTCCAGCCTGGGTGACAGAGTGAGACACTATCTCAAAAAAGAGATAAAAATAAGAAATAAAACAGAGTTGGTCTTAACTGCCTCTGCCTTCTAAGGGGGAAGGTAATATAATTCACATCAGATTTGAAATGAATATCAATAACTTTCCTCCTTTAAGAGCAATCTCTTGCTGTCTTTTCTCTCTTTAGCTTAAATTTCATTATTATTATTATTATTATTATGCCTTTGAACATACTTTTCCATTTCCTTGCCTCTCTCCATTTGCCACACTTGCCTTGCAAAAAGTCCAGTCTCAAATAACCTCAAACATCCACTAGTTCTGTGTGTGCTCCTGTGTACCCAAGCATTACTAGAGAATCGTACAATTGCACCACTTGGTGTCACCTTAACTTCCTAATCTTAAGCCTCAAAGGGGTGCTCAATATCACCCAGAAATCTACTGAATCTCTAGTAAACTCTATACATCAATCTTCAGAACACCTAGTTACAGCATTTCCTCTTTTCTTGTACCTTTTTTCCCCATCTATTTCCACCTGCCTTTTGTTCCTGACCTTGACTTTTACTTTATTGAGTAAATCAAAATCATCAACCTGGAGCTCCCTCATGT
Organism: Homo sapiens; assembly: GCF_000001405.40. NCBI lineage: Eukaryota > Metazoa > Chordata > Mammalia > Primates > Hominidae > Homo > Homo sapiens. Next base: position 39,133,643 of record NC_000002.12, read on the forward strand.
TGCCATTACCTTCTGCTTCGTTCTTGGTTTTGTTTGTTTGTTTGTTTGAGACAGTCTCACTCTGTCACCCAGGCTGGAGTGCAGTGGTGCAATCTTGGCTCTCTGCAACCTCCGCCTCCTGGGTTCAAGCTATTCTGCTGCCTCAGCCTCCCCAGTAGCTGAGATTACAGGCATGTGCCACCATGCCCCTGCTAATTTTTGGATTTTTAGTAGACAGGTTTCACTATGTTGGCCAGCTGGTCTCAAACTCCTGACCTCAAATGATCTGCCCTCCTTGGCCTCCCAAAGTGCTGGGATTACAGGCATGAGCCACCACGCCTGGACAGTTTTTTAACTTTTAGTAGAGACAGGATCTCACTATGTGGCCCAAGCTAGGCTCCAACTCCTGAACTCAAGCGATCCTCCCACCTCAGCCTCCCAAAGTGCTGGGATTATAGGCATGAGCCACCATGCCAGGCCAGCCCTCTGTTTCATTCTTCATACATAGGCCATGCTCTATCACCCCGTGCTGCCTTTTTCAAATAATTGCTTTGGCTGTGGGGAAAAGAAATTAGCAGTTTTTGAGCATCTCACATCCCAGGTACCTTACTTACATTTTATTTTATGAGACAGTTGTTAATATCCCCATTTTTCTGAGGAGAAAACTGGGGCCCAGTGAATGTAAGCCCTCTGCCCTACCTACATCACCCATTACAAAGCTGTCAACAAACTCCAAGGTCAGCTCTTGCTTCACTCCATCCCAGTGGCTCCTCATGTCAAGGACTATATGTACATTGCTTTTTCAGATTAATCTTTTTGAAAAGCGAGACTGTTCACAAGAGGAAAGTCCCAATATCTTTGTTTATTAATCTTTCGAGGGACATCAGTGTGTAAGGCTATTGTCAGGTCCAGCTGGGGCTGATGGCAGGCTCTGACTTGAAGAGGTCCCCTTGCTCAATCCCTTTCTTGTTCGTCAGCATTTTGTTTTTAGGAGGTAAGTATGATCATTAGTCACTATTCAACTCTTACCCTTAAAACTCAGTGCTAGAAAAATGGATCCTTGACCTACGTTCATGAAACCAAAAACACATTTCTGTGTTTGTGATATATGCATTGCATGTGCCACTCTATATTTGGGCACTGTAAAAAACATGAGACCCAGGCCGGGCATGGTGGCCCATGCCTGTAATCCCAGCACTTTGGGAGGCTGAGGCTGGAGGATCACAAGGTCAGCAGTTCGAGACCAGCCTGGCCAACATGGTGAAACCCCATCTCTACTAAAAATACAAAAATTAGCCGGGGGTGGTGGCACATGCCTGTAATCCCAGCTACTCGGGAGGCTGAGGAAGGATAGTAGCTTGAACACGGGAGGCGGAAGTTGCAGTGAGCCGAGATCCCGCCAGGGCACTCCAGCCTGGAACAGAGGGAGACTCCGTCTCAAAAAATAAATAAATAAATAAATAAATAAATAAATAAATAAATAAATAAATAAATGAGACCCATGCTAAGTTACCACCACCAGAGGAAAAAGAAAAGGCTATTTTGTACAATTTTATAAACTTTAAAAACTATGAAATATTAAAACATGGCCGGGCGCAGTGGCTCACGCCTATAATCCCAGCACTTTGGGAGGCCGAGGCAGGCGGATCACGAGGTCAGGAGATCGAGACCATCCTGGCTAACACGGTGAAACCCTATCTCTACTAAAAATACAAAAAAAAATTAGCCGGGCGTGGTGGCGGGCTCCTGTAGTCCCAGCTACTTGGGAGGCTGAAGCAGGAGAATGGCGTGAACCCGGTAGGCGGAGCTTGCAGTGAGCCGAGATGGCGCCACTGCACTCCAGCCTGAGAGACAGAGCAAGACTCCGTCTCATAAAAAAAAAAAAAAAAAAAAAAAAAAAATTAAAACATCTTCTCAAAACCAAGTAAATAAGTGTGCATGCTTATGTGCACTTTGGAATGTCTTTAATTATGTGTTTCTTTGTATATCATTATCATGGAATGCAGATGAGCCAAAATGGCTGGACACACTTTCCCCTCTTGGTTCTCAACTGGCACATCTGACTTTGGCTTTCATCTAAAGGCAGATCCCAACTAGAGTTTGGGACCACTGGGAGAATTCCTATGGCCCTTGGGGATAAGAAGTAAGGATCTGGATACTGCAGAAGAAGTAAAATAGGTCTCAGCCCTTCAAAGCCTTCGCTTTGCCCTCCTTTCCTGGCTCTACAACCCATTGCTATGACAGCAAGTGACAAAAGGGTATCTTACTGGGGTAGAAGCGTGGGAGGAAGTGGGAGGGGAAGGCAATGTTGATTGAGGCATGGGATAAAAATATATAAAAACGTTAAGCCCAGAACTGCATAATTTCAGCCTTATCAGCTTTGCTGAAAGTGATATTTATAATGCACTTGCAACATAGGAAAAATGAAAGCAGGCCCTGTTTCTCTGTGTCACCTTCTCCTTCCCCACCTGACAGACAGGCTGAGGCTTCAGACTACCGGGAGCTTCCCTCCACCCATACTGCCCACTGGCTACCTCTATGATTTGTCTCCCTATTCCTTACCCAAATCCTGCTGCCCTAGCCCCTCACTTGCCTAATTCCGAAGTTCTATTTCCTCAGAGATTCTAATTTCACTGAACCAAACACTGACATGCAATCTGTATTTTTACCTGTCCTGTCACTTCCCCTTCTTCCAGTGGGAGCTTTTCTTTGGGGAACCAACTTTTCCCCATGGATGACCATCAAGATTATTAATGAGGCCGGGCACGGTGGCTCACGCCTGTAATCCCAGCACTTTAGGAGGCTGAGGCAGGCGGGTCACGAGGTCAGGAGATCGAGATCATCCTGGCTAACACGGTGAAACCCCGTCTCTACTAAAAAATACAAAAAATTAGCCAGGCGTGGTGGCGGGCGCCTGTAGTCCCAGCTACTCAGGAGGCTGAGGCAAGAGAATGGCGTGAACCCGGGAGGCAGAGCTTGCAGTGAGCCAAGATAGCGCCACTGCACTCCAGCCTGGACAACAGAGCGAGACTCTATCTCAAAAAAAAAAAAAAAAAAAGAAAAAAAGATCTTTAATGAGATTCACTTAAAAAAGACAGGAGTCGGAGAGGTGGTCTTTGAGGCACCGTTGAAATTATGCCTACTCCAGCTCTAAGTGCATTTATTCCTCAGAGCAGCCTCAAGATTGGAATGGGGATTCCTTAAGGAGAGTAATCTGGGACCTATCCGAAATGCATTGTCAACTAGCCTCTTTTTACAGATAGTACCGAGCAAAGAAACATATATTTTCTGAAAAGATCTCCCTTAATCTACCTCATTATCACACAAAGAATTTTACAAAAGTGGTTTGTGGTTTTACATGTAGCGAGAAAGTAATACTCAGTTCAAAAGAACTGAGTTAACTTATTTAATTTATTTTTGCAGAGTAAAGGATTCCTAGTCCCCCATATAAAGCAGAGTGGCTGCGGCAACATTGATTTTTTTAAAGTTATCTTAAAACATTTATCTTTCACATTATTTTAAAATCTATATTGCTAAGACAAGCGTCTTTCTTAGAAAAAGAAATCTCTGATGCAATGTTACAAAAATAATTTTCGCTGGAGATGGTGTCTCTCTATTGCTATTTTTTGATTTTGTAGCTGCAGCATGCAGTAATGTCTTCCAGCCTAATTTCTTCAGGCTTTGTTACCCTCTGCCATTATGGAAAACATTTAGTTCAAGACCCCCACCCCTTTTTTTTTTCTTTTTTTTTTTTTGAGATTGAGTCTTGCTCTGTTGCCCAGGCTGGAGTGCAAAGGCATAATCTCAGCTCACTGCAACCTCCGCCTACTAGGTTCAAGTGATTCTCATTGCCTCAGCCTCCCAAGTAGCTGGGATTACAGGCACGTGCCACCACGCCCAGCTTATTTGTTGTATTTTTAGTAGAGATGGGGTTTCCTCATGTTGACCAGGCTGGTCTTGAACTCCTGGCCTCAAGTGATCCACCTGCCCCAGCCTCCCAAAGTACTAAGATTACAGGCATGAGCCACCGCCCCCGGACCCTTATGATTTTCTCAATAACATTTTATTTCCTCTAGCTTACTTTATTTTAAGAATACAGTATATAAGACATATAAGGGCTGGGCAAGATGGCTCACGCCTGTAATCTCAGCACTTTGGGAAGCCGAGGTGGGCGGGTCACCTGAGGTCAGGAGTTCGAGACCAGCCTGGCCAACATGGAGTAACCCTGTCTCTACCAAAAATACAAAAATTAGCGGGGTGTGGTGGCACGCACCTGTAGTCCCAGCTACTTGGGAAGCTGAGGCAGGAGAATCATTTGAACCTGGGAGGAGGAGGTTGCAGTGAGCCGAGATTGTACCACTGCACTCCAGCCTGGGCAACAGAGCAAGACTCCATCTCAAAAAAAAAAAAGACATACAAGATACAAAACACATGTTAATAGACTTTATATTATCAGTAAGGCTCCTAGTCAGTAGGCTATTAGTAGTTAAGTTTTTCGAGAGTCAAAAGTTATACTCAGTGGCCAGTTGATACTGTATATATCTATGGTTTGTAAAAAGAAGAAAACAAAACTGAGACAAACTTTTGATGCTCCTTGCTTGGCGCTGAGGCTGTTGGGGAAGATGCCTTTTGGAGCGGCTGCGGCTCAGCGCATGCACTGTGAGCCTGGACCTGTTGACTTTGCAGCAGTCATACATTTAGCTTCAGATTGTCTTGTTTCTGTATATAGTGACACAGCATTCTGCTGCCATTCTTAGTTGTGTCCAACTTAGCGGTGTCTGTTGACATAAGAAGTGTTTGGAATTTTTTTTTTTTTTGAGACGGAGTTTCGCTCTTGTTGCCCAGGCTGGAGTGCAAAGGTGCAATCTCTGCTCACCACAACCTCCGCCTCCCGGGTTCAAGCAATTCTCCTGCCTCAGACTCCTGCATAGCTGGGATTGCAGGCATGCACCACCACGCCCGGCTAATTTTGTATTTTTAGTAGAGATGGGTTTCTCCATGTTGGTCAGGCTGGTCTCGAACTCCTGACCTCAGGTGATCTGCTGCCTCAGCCTCCCAAAGTGCTGGAATTACAGGTGTGAGCCACTGCACCCGGCCTTTTTTTTTTTTTTTTGTGATGGAATCTCGCTCTGTTGCCCAGGCTGGAGCGCACTCGCGCAATCTCGGCTCACTGCAATCTCCACCTCCCAGGTTTAAGCAATTCTCTGCCTCAGCCTCCCGAGTAGCTGGGATTATAGGTGACTGCCACCATGCCCAGGTAATTTTTGTGTTTTTAGTAGAGAGGAGGTTTCACCATATTGGCCAGGCTGGTCTGGTCTTGAACTCCTAACCTCGTGATCCACCTGCCTTGGCCTCCCACAGTGCTAGGATTACAGGCGTGAGCCACCGCGCCCAGCCTAAGTGTGATAGTTTTCAAAGTGTTTGTTAAACAAACTGTAGAACTCTTCATTGTCAGCAAAGTGAAGAGTCACTGCCATCAATGAAAGTTCAAGAACCTTCTGTACGTAAACTCGATTTGCACGTTCTGTTATTTTTGTTTTGTTTAGTTTAGAATGCTGGAATGTTTTTGAAGTTAAACAGTATTACATTAAAAGAAGAAGAAGAAAAAGAAGAACAGTTGTTTGTGTGAATATCCTGTTCTTCAATAACCCATCACCTGATTGTTTAGATAAGTGGTTCTCAAAGTGTTGTTCTGGAACTGGCATAATCTGGGAGTTTGATAGAAAAGCAAATTATTGGGTTCCACTTCAGACCTGCTGAATTAGAAACTCTGGGGTGGCATCCAGTAATCTCTGTTTTAACAAGCCTCTAGGTGATTCTGATGCACACTGACATTTGAGAACCACAGGTTTAGATAACTCTTGCTTTAATTAATTATAACACTGGGGTTGCAAAATGGTGAATTTCCAGTATTCATTGAATGTTTATTAGCTGCCATTCTTCTATATAGAAAAGCCTTCCTTTCTCTTTATCCCCCCTCTCCCCCATCACCACCCCCATCACTATGGATTCATAGACATTGGAAACTCAGTTGCTAATTCTTGAATGCCACCATTCTTTCTCATGTCCAGCTAGTTCTTCATTTATCTGATAGAATTCCCTTCAGGCTATTCCTGTGTTCTTTCCACCTGGCCCCAGAGTTTTTGAGAGCACCCTTGCATTATGATGCAAAAAGACTCAATGATTTGACTGTGTATTTGCTTGTATCTTGAGGGTAAAAACTAAGTCTGCTACTTAATATTTCCCTGAGGGGACTTGATATCTAAATAATGTTCTATATAATAAATGTTCTTGAGCAAGCGAAGTGTTTGAGCATTTTTTTGGAAAGGGCAAAAGGCTGTTCCAAATTACATTGAAGTCTCTGTGATTCTTAGACTAGGATGATGCAAGGTTGATGTAAATTACAGTATTTTGTTATGACTTTAGGCGAATTAATTTGACTCTGAGGTCTGATCCCAAATCAGATAACAGAGAAATATATTTATAGTTGGCAAGAGCAAACTAGAGATAGTGAAATATCTGGTTTCAGTTTTTATTTTGTATAGTTTTAGGATCTATGTAATACAACACATACAAAGCTACTTAAAATATCTCAGTTACTCTTATTGGAGTAACCTAAACACAAAAATTAATTTGCAAAAACAATAATACCTTGCACTTATTAAGTGATTACTGTGAACCGGGAACTGTACCAAGTGCTTAACATGTATTAACTCACATGTTGCTTTGGAAACCTGGATTAGATAAGGGCTTTTATTATTCCTATCTTACAGAAGAGTAAACTGAGGCATAGAAGGTTTAGTAGTTTACACCAGGTCACACAGCTAAGCAGTGGTTTCACATTCCATGGTCTTCACGACCACACTATAAAGCCTTTCTAAATTTGTGCTTGTAAATATAATTAACTAAGGAGTTTGCCCTATGGTTAACTTATTTAGTTTCGTAATATTTTCAGGAAGAGAATAGAAGCAGTGGGATATTGTGTAAAGAGTCCAGGAGTTTTGAAAGTCAAGACCTGCACGTGGGTTCCAATTAAAGCTCATGTATGACCTTGAACAACACTGTTCTGAACTTCAGTTTCTTCATGTATAAACCAGGTCTAATAATAGTTGCCCTACCTAACTCATAGATTGTCATGAGTATCAGATAGTATAATGGGTGTAAAAGTGCTTTGTAAATTGCAAAGTGATAAACAGAAATGGGTCAGACACATAATCTTAACACTACAAAGAAACAGGTTTTTTTGGCCAGGCACCATGGCTCACGCCTGTAATCCCAGCACTTTGGGAGGCCAAGGCGGGTGGATCACTTGAGGTCAGGAGTTCGAGACCAGCCCGGCCAATATAGTGAAACCTCGTCTCTACTAAAAATACAAAAAAAAAAAAATTAGCCAGGCGTGGTGGCGCATGCCTGTAGTCCCTGCTCCCTGGGAGGCTGAGGCAGGAGAATGGCTTGAACCTGGGAGGCGGAGGTTGCAGTGAGCTGAGATCGCACCACTGCATTCCAGCCTGGGTGACAGAGCAAGACTCCGTCTCAAACAAAAAATGAAACAGGTTTTTCTATTTATAAAACAGTGAGTTCACATCCCAGTTTTAAATATTCTAGATCCTTAAATGATTTCTCTTTACAGTTTATTTATGACTGAATTTTTTCAAACTGGCAATTTTCTTTTTTCCCCCATAATTTACTTGACTTCCCCTTCTGGATGTATTAAAAGTGTTGTAATGTCATTATGCAAATAAAGTGTATTTTGCATGCTTTTTCCAAGGGCAAATTTTAACTTCTTGTCATGTTTCCATTTTATCTGCAATATTCAGGCGACATAGTCTGCTGCTCTGGTGGCTCATGCATTTGTGTTTTGCATATTTCATACAAGAAAATAGAGAAAAAAGAGAAGTCAGCCAGATGGGATTCTCTTTCCAGGCAGAGAAGAACTAGAAAAATTTGCATGGCCACGACCTCTTCTATAGACAAAGGATGCTTGTTTTCAGGACTGGCAATTGGTCAGAGGGTGACAACCCATCCCCAAATTCCTGAGGCAGCCCTAGGTTTACAATCTGAGGTTCTGGAATAGTTCCCAAGATGCAATTATTTCCAAATTTAATCAAACCTCAGAAAATAGCTAATTAAAAATAATCATATAAAACAGCAGGCCCTTTCTCCAAAATTAAACACACACTTTCTTATATCGGCTGTTTAGCCAAGTCTTACAAAGACCCGGCCACCTGTTTGGGGTGGGGGGAGGTGTTAGACTTCCTAAGAGGTGACTGTTCTTGGCAGCCACCTCTACCCAGGCCGTCCTGGAATCTGTCATTGTCAGCTTCTGCCAAGAAATGTTTTTGTACTTGCTGGATAAAGACAGGCAAGGAATTTTTTGACCTCTGTTCGAATCCCAAATCCCTTTTCCATACTCTTATTTGTATTCTTTAAATGACATAATTACAGTAATGCTCCTAAAACAGTGGATGGCACTGAAAATGAATGGGATCCTCCCTCTTTCATCTATCTTTCTAGCTCCCTGCAGCCCTGGCTGACCTATTTCTCCAGGCTCTGCCCTACTACCCAGAAAGTTGGGTGTGGTTCCGAGAAGGTTTGGTTGGGGATTTACATTTCAGTTTGCGTTGATGATTTAATCAATTGCTTGTGTCTTTTTCAGCAGAAAACCAAGCAGAATCTTTTTGTCACCAAATTTGTATTTACCAAAATTAATATCTCATTGAGTAGACTACCATAGAGTATGTAAGGGGAGTATTTTTCTAAAATCAGAAAATTGTCAAGAATACATAGACCATAAAGGAGATGCTTGGGAAAGCAATACTTGGGAGTTGAGGAGATTAAAGCCCTTTTCCTGATTAATGTTAACTTATATTAACAGCTAAAACAAGGCCGGGTTCGGTGGCTCATGCCTGGAATACCAGCACTTTGGGAGGCCAAGGCAGGCGGATCACTTGAGATCAGAAGTTCAATACCAGCCTGGCCAACATGGTGAAACCCCATTTCTACTAAAAATACAAAAATGAGCCAGGCATGGTGGCACACACCTGTAATCCCAGCTATTCAGGAGACTGAGGCAGGAGAATCGCTTGAAACCAGGAGGCGGAGGCTGCAGTGAGCTGAGATTGCACCACTGCACTCCAGCCTCGGTGACAGAGCAAGACTCTGTCTCAAAAAAAGAAAAAAAAGAAGAAAGCTAAAACAAAACAAAAAAAGCCCCAAGAAATAATGGCAAAATATTTTAAGTTCGTCTTGAGAGTTGTGGATTTTTCATGTTGGTTCGACTGACCAGTGAAGAAATGAGCTCTGGCTACTCAGAAAAACCTAAAGTCTTGAAGCAGAATTGCATTCTATCATTTTATTTTACAATAGCTCTTACTTCTAACTAAAAAAAATTTTTACTTTGGTTTTGTTTTTTGCATCATACTGTTTTGTTTGTTTGCTTTTAATTGGCATATCCTTTATATAGACTGCACAGATACTAGGTGTACAGTTCCATGAGTTTGGACAACTGTATACACCACCAATGGTAACCACCACCCCAATAAATATATAGAACATTTTCATCACTCTCAAGGGACACCCTCCTTATGCCCCTTTCCAATCAACCTTACTTGCCCCAGCCTAAATACAACCACTCTTCTGATGTCTATCACTGTAAGTTAGTGTCAAAAGACAAAATTACAACAAATTTAAATAATCTAATTGGCTTCTATTTGTGATTTGTGAACCACGGGAAGATCTTCTCTAAAAATTCAGAAAAGGCTCCAATGAGCTGAGCAGAGGAAGTTGGCTTTATGGGCAGAAAAGGGCTGAAGAAAGCAGAAATAGGGAACAAAAAGCAGATTGATCGCCTTAAAGTTTCTTTCCTTATAGGGTTAAAACTGAGGAGACTTTCTTACATACTAGGCTAAAACTGGCCTGTTTAGGGATTTGGCTATTCTCTCTCTCTCTCCTGATTTCTTGGAAGATCGGATAAACAATTTCATTTGGTGACATGAAACTTTAGCAGGAATGACTGCATTTTGATTTGCTCTATTGGGGCCTAGTGCAGGAGCTCAGTCTAAACCAATCGCCTCCTATAAGTTGTATTTAACAATAAATATACCTATTTCAGACTTATAAATGGAATCATGACTCTTTTTGTGCCTGGATTCTTTCACTCAACATCATTTATCTGACATAGCAAATCTTTCATGTATGTGGTTGATTATATTCACAGTTTGTTCCTTTTTCTGCTTTTAAAAAAATAGTGGTAAAATATACATAAAATTTACCATTTAACCATCTTAAGTGTGCAATTCAGTGGCATTAAATGAATTCAGTGTTGTGCAACCATCACCATTATCCATTTCCAGAACTTTTTCATCATCCCAGACTGATACTCTGTATGCATTCAACAAAAACTTCTTACCTCCCTTCCCCCAGCCCCTGTTAACCACTATTATACTTTCTGTCTCTAATAATTTGACTGTTCTAGGTACCTCATATAACTGGAATAATATAATAGTTGTCCTTTTGTGTCTGACTTCTTGCACTTAGCATGATGTTTTCAAAGTTTATCCCTGTTTTAGTATGCGTCAGGATTTCCTTCCTTTTTAAAGCTGAATAATATTCCTAATATGCATGTATCATGTTTTGTTTATTCATTCATCTGTTGATGGACATTTGGTTACTTTCCACCTTTTGGATATTGTGAATAATGCTAATATGAACATTAATATATAAGTATCTGTTTGAATTTATGCTTTCAAAACCTTTGGATATGTATCTAAAAGTGGAATTGCTAGATTGTATGGTAATTCTATGTTTAACTTTTTGAGAAGCTACCAAAGTTTTCCACAGCACCACTTTACATTCCCACCAGTAATGCATGATAATTCCATTCTCTCCACATCATAGCCAACACTTGTTATTTTCCATTTTTTTATAATAGCCATCCTAATGTATGTGTGAAGAGGCATTTCATTGTGCTTTTGATTTTCATTTCCCTAATGACTAATGATGTTGAGCAACTTACCACACTTGTATTTGTTATGTAGCCCTCAAGCTTTCCCTGACATTTCTCTTATCCCCCTGCAAGAGGGATTTGAATTACTGTGTGATTATCCATTTATTATTTTATTTTATTATTTTTTTTTCAAGAGGGAGTCTCGCTCTGTCGCTTAGGCTGGAGTGCAGTGGCGCGATCTCGGCTCACTGCAAGCTCCGCCTCCCGGGTTCACGCCATTCTCCCGCCTCAGCCTCCTGAGTAGCTGGGACCACAGGCGCCCGCCACCACGCCCGGCTAATTTTGTTTTTGTATTTTTAGTAGAGACGGGGTTTCGCCGTGTTAGCCAGGATGGTCTCGATCTCCTGATCTCATGATCCGCCCGTTTCGGACTCCCAAAGTGCCGGGATGACAGGCGTGAGGCACCTCGCCTGGCCTATTTATTTATTTTTAAGATGGAATTTCGCTCTTTTTGCCCAGGCTGGAGTGCAGTGGCGCGATCTCGGCTTACTTCAAGCTCCGCCTCCCGGGTTCACGCCATTCTCCTGCCTCAGCCTCCTGAGTAGCTGGGATTACAGGCACGTGCCACCACGCCTGGGATCTCGAACTCCTGGCCTCAAGTGATCCGCCCACCTCAGCCTCCCAAAGTGCTAGGATTACAGGTGTGAGCCACCATGCCCAGCCAGATGTTTTTTTTTACTCCGATATAATAACTTTAGCTTGATCACTCTTTTCCTTGGCTCTTCCATCACAGCTGTATGAAAGCTCTTTAATTTCTCCCTATAAAATCAATACCAAGTCATATTTTTTTTTTTTTTTTTTTTTGAGACAGAGTCTTGCTCTGTTGCCCAGGCTGGAGGGCAGTGGAGAGATCTCAGCTCACTTCAAGCTCCGCCTCCTGGGTTCACGCCATTCTCCTGCCTCAGCCTCCTAAGTAGCTGGGACTACAGGCGCCTGCCACCATGCCTGGCTAATTTTTTGTATTTTTGGTAGAGACGGGGTTTCACTATGTTGGCCAGGCTGGTCTCGAACTCCTGACCTCAGGCGATCCACTCACCTCGGCCTCCGAAAGTGCTGGGATTACAGACGTGAGCCACCGTGCCCGGCCGCAAAAATCTGTCATTCGAACCATTCCTTGCAAGCACTCTGCACTAAAATTCCAAATGGATAAAAATATTTAATATTTTAATATATTCTAAATAAAATCAAAGGGTAATACTATCAGAAATGGGTAATGATATCACTTTCCTTTCTAGATGGAGAAATCACCTCCTGAGACAACCCCCAGGGCTGTTTTTCTGCTCTCTGCTAACATTGGACCCATTTACATAATCTGCTAAGAGTTCTCTGCCAGAAGCCAAGCCTTATAACATCTGTCAGATGCTAAACAATCCTACCAAGAAGTAATGCCATGGTATATTAGTGGTCCTGCATAAGAAATCACCCAAAACTCGGCAGCTTGAAACAATAGACATATACTATTTCAGTTTCTACGGGTTAGGAATGCAGAGCAGCTTAGCTGGGCAGGATCCCTTATGAGGTTGCAGCCAAGATGTCAACTGAGGCTGTGGTCACCAGTAGGCTTGACTGGGGCTGGAAGATCCCGTTACAAGATGGCTCATTCCCATGGCTGGCAAGTTGGTGTTCAGTTGGCAGGAGCCTCTGTTCCTTGCCTCAAGGACCTTCCTATTAGGCTACTTAAGTGTCCTCATGACATGGCAGCTAGCTTCCCCTAGAGCAAATGATCCAAGAGAGCAAGGCAAAGGCCTCCATCTCTTGTAGGACCTTGCCTCAGAAGTGACATCCATCATTTCTTCCATATCCTATTAGTTAAACAAGTCATCCCCATTCAATGTGGGAGGAGATGACACGAAGACATGAGCACTAGGAGATGAGAATAATTAGGGTCATCTTTGAGTATCTGGATACCACCCCAGTCCTGTGCTTTCCCCACACTTTTAAAAGGTCTAAGGCTATTATTGGATTCTCAAGAGTATAAAAAGGACCCTGGAAATATACTTATTTTAGCCAAAACAGACTTTTTAAGTGAAATGTGCAGTTCTTCCCATAAAATGCCATGATGGGAAAATTTTCTTTCAGAGACTATTTCACTATTTAAACTCAATCATCTTCAAGAAAGGTTCAGGTGGGAGTGGTGGCTCATGCCTGTAATCCCAGGACTTTGGGAAGCCAGGGTGGGAGGATTGCTTGAGCCCAGGAGTTCAAGACCAGCCTGGACAACATAGCAAGATCCCATCTCTAACAAATAAAACAAAGAAGAAAGCTGAGGTTTCTCCTCCTTTTACATGGAGTTGCTGTCCTGCTTTCCCCCAGTCCCACTGCCAGCCCACTGACTCCACCTGATTGGTTGTAGCATGTTGGTCAACATAAGCAAGTCAGGTCCCCACAGAGTGAGGTGACTGTCATCCTACATGGGACATACGCCCAGTGCCAGCAATTGAACATCTTCCTGAGGGAGGAGACCGGGACCCTGGTGAGTATTCCCAAGGCAAACTCTCCATAGATAGTAAAGGGGACCCATGCCGCAGGCACTATGAGCTGTTTGTAGAGGAGATGGAATAGAACACACTGCAGAGGCTCCTGAAGCTGTAAAGAGCCAGGCTTAATTCCTTTCCAGTCCCTCCCATGGATCTGTGACTGATCTCCTATCATTCCTGACCTTCTGAAAGCAGATTCCCACTGGGCACCATGGCTCATGCCTATAATCCCAGCATTTTGGGAGACTGAGGCCAGGAGTTCAAGATCAGCATAGGCAACATAGTGAAAACCTGTCTCTACAAAAAAAAAAAAAAAAAAAAAATTTAATTAGCTGGGTGTGGTGGCACGCTCCTGTAGTCCTAGCTACTCGGGAGGCTGAGGCGAGAGGATTGCTTACAGCTAGGAGTTCAAGGTTGCAGTGAGCCATGATCATTCCACTGCACTCCACCCTGGGTGACAGAACGAGATCCTGTCTCAAAAACAAACAAACAAACAAACAAACAAACAAACCCACAGCAATAAAGTTTTAAAGAGGATTCTAAATTCAGTAGAGATTCTGGGCATTGGGGTTGAGAGGTGAGAATCAGTTATGCCCTTTCATGACTGTGGTTTCTGAATCAATTATGAACTGAACCCAGGTGTCTGAGATATGACATAATTTTTTTTTTTTATTTTTACTACTATAAACCTCATATTAGGGAATGTAGCTTGCCATAATCAGAATTAGGTTTGCTACTGTTTCGCAGTCAGAGTTCAACTTCCCCATCCGGAACAATAGTGAGCCTCCCTTTCATAGCCACAGAGTCTCTCCCAAAAGGAGGGTGGGTCAGCCCTGCTGAGGATAAGCTGATCCTAGAAGGAGAAGGTGCCCGGCCACACATCATTATGGGACAGCTAGGTGTGATAATATCTCCCAGTTTATGAACTAAACACTGTTGATGGGTTTAAAAAAAGCGTAAGTGTATTATTTAAAGGTATAAAGTTATTCAACAGATAAACTAAATAATACTATTAATGCTATATCTTTTCTTTTTGTTTTGAGATGGAGTCTTCACTCTTGTCACCCAGGCTGGAGTGCAATGGCATGATATCGGCTCACTGCAACCTCTGCCTCTCAGGTTCAAGTGATTCTCCTGCCTCAGTCTCCCGAGTAGCTGGGATCACAGGTGCACACCACCACACCTGGCTAATTTTTGTATTTTTAGTAGAGATGGGATTTCATCATGTTGGCCAAGCTTGTGTCAAACTTCTGACCTCAAGTGGGCCTCCCAAAGTGCTGGGATTACCGGTGTGAGCCACCACGCCCAGCCTATAATGCTGTATCTATTTGGAAGGGAAGGAAGGTAGGAATGAGAGGTATCAAAAATCAAAATCCTCGGCCAGGCGCGGTGGTTCACGCCTGTAATCCTAGCACTCTGGGAGGCCAAGGCGGGCGGATCACGAGGTCAGGAAATCGAGATCATCCTGGCTAACACGGTAAAACCCCGTCTCTACTAAAAATACAAAACATTAGCTGGGCACTGTGGCAGGCGCCTGTAGTCCCAGCTACTCAGGAGGCTGAGGCAGGAGAATGGCGTGAACTCGGGAAGCGGAGGTTGCAGTGAGCTGAGATTGCACCACTGCCCTCCAGCCTGGGCGACAGAGCGAGACTCCGTCTCAAAAAAAAAAAAAAAAGGATTTAGTTTAAAATCAGTACTTTAATTTTTATTTATTTATTTATTTATTTTGAGATGTACTCTTGCTCTGTTGCCCAAGCTGGAGTGCAATGGCGAGATCTCAGATCACTGCAACCTCTGCCTCCCAGGTTCAAGTGATTCTCGTGTCTCAGCCTCCCGAGTAGCTGGGACTACAGGCGCCCGCCACCACACCACCACACCTGGGTAATTTTTTTTTTTTTTTTTTGAGATGGAGTCTCGCACTGTCTCTCAGGCTGGAGAGCAGTGGCGCGATCTCGGCTCACTGCAACCTCCGCCTCCAGGTTCAAGCGATTCTCCTGCCTCAGCCTCCCAAGTATCTGGGATTACAGGTGCCCGCCACCATGCCCAGCTAATTTTTTGTAATTTTAGTAGAGACAGGGTTTCACTATGTTGGCCAGGCTGGTCTTGAATGCCTGACTTCGTGATCCAATTGCCTCGGCCTCCCAAAGTGCTGGGATTACAGGGGTGAGCCACCGTGCCTGGCCACATCTCGGTAATTTTTTTGTATTTTTAATGGAGACGGGGTTTCACCATGTTGGCCAGGCTGGTCTCGAACTCCTAACCTCAAGTGATCCACCTGCCTCAGCCTCCCAAATTGCTGGCAATACAGGCATGAGCCACCACGCCTGGCCAGTACTTTAATATTTGATAATGCCAATGGTGAATATTAACCTTTATTACTACTTCATGAGTACAATTAACAAAGGCATGAACACTATTAACCACGGTTGTTAAAGCATCGTGGTATCTTTTTCCAAAGGTAGGCCTCAATGCAGCATGCCTCCTGTTATTCAGGCGTCTGTATGGTCACCTGCCACGCTGTCCTTGGTACTCACTTGACCTAGTAGGAAATTACAGAAGTGATACTCTGCTGACCCTGGGCCTAGGCTTTTTTTTTTTGAGACAGGGTCTCACCCTGTCACCCAGGCTGGAGTGCAATGGCGCAATCTCAGCTCACTGCAACCTCCACCTCCCAGGTTCAAGCAATTCTTCTGCCTCAGCCTCTGGAGTAGCTGGGATTACAGGCGCCACACCACCATGCCTGGCTAATTTTTTGTATCTTTAGTAGAGACGGGTTTCCACCATGTTGGCCAGGCTGGTCTCGAGTTCCTGCCCTCGTCATCAGCCTGCCTCAGCCTCCCAAAGTGCTGGGATTACAGGCGTGAGTCACCGCACCTGGCCGGGCCTAGGCTTTAAGGCCTGGTAGCTCCTGCATTTGCACGTTTTGGTGCTCTGAGCAAACATGTAACAAGTCCTGCTACCCTGCTAGAGGGACTACATGGAGAGACCACAGGAGAGAGAAGAGCCCTGAGATTATCGGGGGTAGAGAGAGAGGCCTGGGTGCCTCAGCGCCCCAGCTGAGCCCAGGCTCCTACCAGACACATGAGGGAAGCCATCTTGATGTTTCAGCCCCACCACTAAGCTCCTACCAGACACATGAGGGAAGCCATCTTGATGTTTCAGCCCCACCATTATCTGACGGCAGCAGCACGTGAGGCCGCAAAGGAGACCAACAGAAATAATCATCCCGCTGAGCTCCAGCTAACCCACAGAATTGTGAGAGATAATAAAATGGCTGTTGCTTTCAGGCACTGCATTTTGGGGTGGTTTGTTAAGCAGCCAAAGATAACTGAAACAGCCATGTTTAATCTTCTTCTGTCAGGTCACCCACTTCCTGCTCAAGTTCCAGAATATCAATCCCCAAATTCCAAGAACTGGAGAGTGAGGAGGTGGAGAGGAGAGAGAGGAGGATGAAGAGGAGAGAGAAGACAGCAAGACGTGTGGTTATGACATGGGTTGAAGCGGGAGCCGAAGGACCCCCTTTGGTCAGGGAATCAAAGGTCTTTTATACTCATGAATGTCAAAACTGAAATTTGAAGTTTTTTTGTGCCACTGCTATAAATACCCTGCCTCTTCTTTCATATTTTCTTCCTTTTTTTTTTTTTTTTTTTTTTTTTAGTAAAGACTACTACTCACAAAATGCTTTATTTGGATAGAGTTATTATGAAAATAAAGAAGCTGAATTCATGGCTGGATACTTCCTAGGGAAAATTCAGAACTCCAAGGAGAAGACCCGTTCACTTGCTCCTTCCAGGCAGGTGACCTAGACTTGAACTTGGCCCATTAATTTGCCTTGGAAAATGAACTGTGACCAGATGTGACACACACCACTCCTGAACAGAACATTTTAAGGGTATTTCAAGTTTCCTGTGCCCTCTGCCATGAGAAGGGCATATTTCCCATATGAGCTGCTCCTTTGGCCTGGGTCCCTGAATGAGAAGACACTCGAAATCGATTCTCAATGCAGCCTGGAGCAGAGCTGCAGCAGCCAAACACAGCCTCTGACCTGTAACATGAGCAGGAGTAAATATTTGTCGTTGTAAACTACAAGATTTGAGGTTGTGAAGCAGCGTAATCTAGCAAAAGCCAACTATGAAGTCCAAACTCTAAAAGCTTCCAGGCTGGGTGTGGTGGCTCACACCTGTAATTCCAGCACTTTGGGAGGCTGAGGCGGGTAGACCATTTGAGGTCAGGGGTTTGGGATTAGCCTGGCCAAGATGGTGAAACCCGTCTCTACTAAAAACACACACAAAATTAGCCAGGCATGGTGGCTGGTGCCTGTAGTCCCATCTGCTTGGGGGCCTGAGGCAGGAGAATCGCTTAAGCCCCGGAGGTGGAGGTTGCAGTGAGCCGAGATCACACCACTGCATTCCAGCCTGGCCAACACAGCAAGACTCTGACTCAAAAATAAAATAAAATAAAATAAAATAAAAACTACCAGAAGGGAAGAAAGAAACCTGGTAACTTACAAAGAGACCCAAGTCAGACAATGCCATACTCTACATCAGCAGTGCTGGGTATTAGAAGGTAATGGACAGTCTGTCTTCAAAGTTGTGAAACAAAATTATACCAAACTTTAAAATCTACAATGGGCTGGGAGTACTGGCACACACCTGTTGTCCTAGCCAGGTGGAGGCTGAGGTGGGACAATTGCATAAGCCCAGGAGTTTGTGACTTGCCTGGGCAACGTAGACAGACCCTGACTCTAAAATAATAAAAATAAAAATAATCTGTAATGGACAAAACTATGAAGATATATATGCAAGGACCTGAAAAGCTTACCATCCATGTTCTCCTCCTGAAACAGACAAACAAAAAATTCCATTATATTTTTATCCTACCAAAATGAGAAGGAAAAAAAACACAAAAAACAAAAAGCAAACCTCTTTACCATCAGTGAAGTGTACAGCGAAATATGATGGTGGGGGTGTGAGTTCATTTTTTTCTGGAGAATTTAGCAAAACATACCAAAAATTCTAAAAATGTTCCCACCTTTTGACTCAGCAATTTTATTTTTAGTAAGTTATTTGAAGGAAATTGGCATTAATGTGGGCAAAGATTTAGCTACTAAGAGGTGGCATACAGCCTTATATATAATAGTGATAATCAGAAAGAGCCTAATGCAGGCCAGGCATGGTGGCTCACACCTGTAATCCCAGCACTTTGGGAGGCCAAGTGGGGAGGATTGCTTGAGCCCAGGAGTTCAAGACCAGCCTGGGAATCATAGCAAGACCCCATCTCTAAAAAAAAAAAGAAAGAAAGAGAAAGAAAAGAAAGAAAGAGAGAGAAAGAAAGAAGGAAGGAAAGAAAGAGCCTAATGCAAATACTAGGCTGGCATTAACTATGACATTGTAACTTAAAAAAATTATTCCTTTAAAATAAATAATTGATGAATATCATACAAAATTTTAAGATACAAAAGGCTATTCCATTAAAAAAATAAACTTTTTTTCCATCCTTATCCTTCAGCCACTGAGTTTCCTCCTTGAAGGCAACTAAAATGTTTCCCTTTCAATCTAATCCATTCAGAGACAGTCTCTCCTGCTATGTCGTATCTATCTTTTTTTTTTTTTTTTTTTTTTTTTTTTTGAGGTGGAGTCTCATTCTATCACCCAAGCTGGAGTGCAGCAGCGTGACCTGGGCTCACTGCAACTTCTGCCTCCCAGGTTAAAGTGAATATCTATATTTTCTTTTATATATATGGTGGCATATTATACCTACTACTCTGATCTTGGCTTTTTGTGTTTTTTTTTTTTTTTGAGACAGGGTCTCACTTTGTCACCCAGGCTGGAGTGCAGTGGCATGATCACAGCTCACTGCAGACTTGACTTCCTGGGTTCAAGTGATCCTCCCACCTCAGCCTCCTGAGTAGCTGGGACTACAGGTGTGCACCACCACACCTGGATAATTTTTTCATTTTTTGTAGAGACAGGGACTCACTATGTTGCCCAGGCTGGTCTTGAACTCCTGGGCTCAAATAATCCTCTGGCCTCGGCCTCCCAAAGTGCAGAATTATAGGCATGAACCACTGTGCCTAACCCCTTGGCTCTTTACACTTAATTTTTGGAGACTCTTCAATATGAGTAAATGGAGATCTATCTCATTCTTTTAAACAACCACAGAACTTGATGTGTGCCTCTTAATTTATCTAGTCATTTTGATCAATATATCTGTGGAAGATTTGTAGAAGAACATTTAATAACATGGACAGATGTTCATAATTTACTAAGTGAAAAAAAGTAAAGCAGCA
The DNA here is from genome assembly GCF_000001405.40 of Homo sapiens. NCBI lineage: Eukaryota > Metazoa > Chordata > Mammalia > Primates > Hominidae > Homo > Homo sapiens. The sequence continues at coordinate 39,153,393 of NC_000002.12, forward strand.
GATTACAAAGTGGTTGAGAGCTATATTAGTTTATAAGTCTACAATAAGTCTCTTTCCAATGGTTACGACACATATATACATATTCATTCAAAAGCTTGGCATTTGCCATTACATATTCCTGGAATGATACATCCTCTGTGCTCTTTGTCCTAGTGAGTTGGTCTTTGTAGCCAGGGAAACAGTTCATGATCTAAGGAAATATTGGGGAGACAATCCAGCAAAATATAACACACAGGGTTTTATTGTTCTCTGAGTACTTGGTGATCCTGACATACTTTTCTTTTCCATACTTGAGGTGAACCAAGGAATAGGCTGTACCGCCTTCTCCTTTGCTTGCTAATATTTAGAGTTAGAAATATATCAGAGGCATGCATGGACTAATCAATATCAGAGGTCTGTCAGTTCTGCAGAAACTATAAAACCAACTCTTGCAGAAAAACTAGTAGTAGTCCCTGGGATCAGGCCCTAGAGATCAGTCGGCCCCGCCCCACCTGACTTTTCCCTATTGATCTCACTCTGGCTGGATGTGCCCCCTCACCAGGAAACAATGACAAGAGAGGGGCTGAGCATGGTGGCTCACGCCGATAATCCCAGCAGTTTGGGAGGCCAAGGCAGGTGGACCACCTGAGGTCAGGAGTTTGAGAACAGCCTGGCCAACATGGTGAAACCCCATCTCTATTAAAAATATAAAAATTAGCCTGGCATGGTGGTAGGTACCTGTAATCCCAAATACTTGGGAGGCTGAGGCAGGAGAATCGCTTGAACCTGGAAGGCGGAGGTTGCAGTGAGCTGAGATCATGCCATTGCTGTCCAGCCTGGGTGACAGAATGAAACTCCATCAAAACAAAAAAACAAACAAACAAAAAAACAAAAAAGAAGAGAGGGGTCTGGTTCAGGTTCTGATGGTCTGAAAAGCCTGCCATAGCTGGAACCTCATCTCTGCTACCCACAAGTGGTGTTCATATCGAAACAAGCATCCTATTTTTGTGTGTTTTTATTTTCTTTTTGTTTTAATAAAATAGTGGTGGGGTCTTTCTATGTTGCCTAGTCTGGTCTTGAACTCTTTGGGCTCAAACGATCCTCCTGCCTCAGCCTTTCAAAATTCTGGAATTACAGATGTGAGCCACCACACTTGGCCTAGCATCCTTTTTTAAATACACCTTTTATTTTTCAATAATTCTAGATTTACAGAAAAGGTGAAAAGATAACATTGATAATTCCTTTACATCCCTCATCTGGCTTTGCCTAATGTTAATATCACATGAAACTATGGTACAGAAACCAACAGTGGTCCATTAAACTCCCGACTTTATTTGAATTTCACCAGTTTTTCCGCAAATGTTCTTTTCATGTTCTAGTATTCAATCCAGGATCCCACATTGCATTTCATCATTGTGTCTCCTCAGCCTCCTCTGCTCTGTGACAGTTTCTTGGTTAATAGTTGTGAGGAGTACTGGTCAGGTATTTTGTAGACTGTCCCTCAGCTTGAGTTTGTTTCATGTTAATGTCTCATAATTATACTGGGGTTATGAATTGTGGGAAGAATACCAGAGGTACGGTGCCCTCCTCATTACCCCAGATCGGGGGTACATGACGTCAACAGGATTTATACTGGTGATGTTCACCAGGTCACATGATTACAGTGAGCTCTGCCAGGTTTCTCCTTTGCAAAGTCTCAGTTTTTTTCCCCTTTCCATACTCTGTTCTTGGGGAGACAGTCACTAAGTCCAACCCATTCTCAAGGGGAAGGTGAGCTAAGCTCCACCCCTTGGAGGGAGGAGTATCTACATAACAGTACTTGGAATTCTTCTGTAAGAAGGATTGCTCCCCACCTCCCAGTTTATTTATTTATTCAATAATTTTTATATATAGGCTTCCTTTTAATTAAAAGTAATAAATCCTCCTAAGTAAAAGGAGTCAGGTTATGACTTATGCCTTTAGCAAATTGACCATCCCAGGTGAGAAGGAATAGACTCCTCTAGAGGCTGCTATTGGACATAAGAAGAGGGGCTCTGAATATAGATTAATTTCAGCTCTGCCACATATCAGCTGTGTTACCTAGGATCAGTTTCTTAATTTTTCTACTCAGTTTTCCTTTTTATAAAAAAATGGGAACACGAATACTAACAATACTATTATTATATGGGGGTATAAAGATTCAAGGAGCTAACTCACTTTAAACCAATAGCATAGGATCTTGCACAAAGTAATATTAAGTAATATTAATATGTACTATTAGGTAGTTTTTTTAATTTTGTTTTTGTGGGGTTTTTTTTTTTTTTTTTTTTTTTTTTGAAACAGATTCTTGCTCTGTCACCCAGACTGGAGTGCAGTGGTATGACCTTGGCTCGCTGCAACCTCCGCCTCCTAAGTTCAAGCGATTCTTGTGTCTCAGCCTCCTGAGTAGCTGGGATTACAGGTGTGTGCCACAATGCCCAGCTCACTTTTGTATTTTTAGTAGAGATAGGGTTTCACTGTGTTGCCCAGGCTGGTGTCAAACTCCCGGCCTCAAGTGATCTATCTGCCTCAGCCTCCTAAAGTGCTGGGATTACAGGCACTATTAGGTGTTATTTATTACTCCCATGATTTAATTTTAGTAAATTAAGAAATATAAATGTACATGTGCATATAAGTACATATACAGTAACAGAAAATCAGTGATTGATGGTATCATAAATGAATTTTCTTTTCTTTTATTTGTTTGTACATTCTAAGTTTTTATAACAAACCTTTATCATTTTTTAAATAAGAAAAAAATAATGAAAGTTAGTCCCCAGATTAGTAACATCTGGCACTGCTGAAAGTGTGGAAAATGACCACTATCTCATACCACTGCTGGGAAGAAAACTTGCTAAATCTTTTTCTGAAATATCTTGGCAATAAGTATCATAAACATTAAAATGTTGCAGACTACCTGACTCAGCAATTCCATTTCTAGCTATTTATTCAGATGAATTTTTTTTTTTTTTCTTTTTGAGATGGAGTCTTGCTCTGTCTGCCCAGGCTGGAGTGCAGTGGTGCAATCTTGGCTTACTGCAACCTCCACCTCCTCCACAATCCACACCTACCCCCAACCTTATTTATTTATTTATTTATTTATTTTTAATTTTTTTTGAGACAGAGTCTCGCTCTGTCCCCCAGGTGGAGTGCAGTGGCGCGATCTTGGCTCACTGCAAGCTCTGCCTCTCGGGTTCACGCCATTCTCCTGCTTCAGCCTCCTCAGTAGCTGGGACTACAGGTGCCTGCCACCACGCCGGCTAATTTTTTGTATTTTTAGTAGAGACGGGGTTTCACCGTGTTAGCCAGGATGGTCTCGATCTCCTGACTTCGTGATCCACCCTCCTAGGCCTCCCAAAGTGCTAGGATTACAGATGTGAGCCACCACGCCCGGCTTTTTTTTTTTTTTTTTTTTTTAAGACAGAGTCTTGCTCTGTTGCTCAGGCTGGACACTGTAACCTCTGCCTCCCAGGTTCGAGCGATTCCCCTGCCTCAGCCTCCCAAGTGGCTGGGATTAGCACCAGCCACCATGCCGGGCTAATTTTTGTATTTTTAGTACACGGGGTTTTGTCATGTTGGCCAGGCTAGTCTAAAACTCCTGATCTCAAGTGATCCACCCACCTCAGCCCCACAAAGTGCTGGGATTACAGGCATGAGCCACGGCGCCTGGCCTCCAGATGCTATACAGTATACATGCACAAAGACTTATCCATGCAAATATTCATGCATCAATTATGAAAGCAAACACTGGTAACAACTGAATGCCCATATATGAATTATAGTACTGTGTGGCCAAATAATCATTTTGTAGAAGAGCATTTAATAATATTTAAAAACTGTTCACAATACATTTAAGTGACAAAGGGCAGTTATAAAAATTATGGCCAGTATAATTTTATTTCTGTAAAATAGAAAACACACAGTATTATCTAAATGGCAATAGTTATTATCTCAGGATAGGGAGATCATGAGTGACTTCCTATTTTTTATCTGGGGTTATCTATATTTTCCAGTTTGCCTACCAAAAAAAAAACTATATTATTTTTGGATGTAGAAAAGCCAGTACTATTTTTAACATGCCAATCATAGAAAATTTGGGAAATATAAAAGCAGACTGCAAAGCAGTATTATAGGATGATCATATAAAATATTCACCAAGCACTTAATTTTACTTGTCTCTTAAGAAAGAGGGATTGTGGCCAGGCGCAGTGGCTCAACGCCTGTAATCCCAGCACTTTGGGAGGCTGAGGTAGGCCGATCACTTGAGGCCAGGAGTTCCAGACCAGCCTGGCCATTGTGGCAAAACCCTGTCTCTCCTAAAAATACAAAAATTAGCTGGGAATAGTGATGGTCGCCTGTAAGCCCAGCTACTTGGGTGGCTGAGGCAGGAGAATCGCTTTAACCTGGGAGGTGGAGGTTGCAGTGTCCAGCCTGAGCGACAGAGCAAGACTCTGTCTTAAAAAAACATGGGGGTGGGTGGGGAGGGAGGTGCAGATTGTGGGGAAATATTTGGAGGTTTAATTTTTTTTTTCAATTTTTGTATATTGCTATTATCTCTATAATCTGAAAAGTAATACAGATTTTTAAAACCCCATTTTAAAAAGGCCTTTGCTATATTTCACTAGGCCCTAAAATTATCCTGTTTTTGGACTTTTAGGTTTATTTCCACGTTTTCATTATTATAAATCATGATAATGCTGTGATGAAGATCTTTGTTCTCAAACCTTTTTCTGAGTTCATTACATGCTATGATAAATTTGAAGAAGGGGAATTCCTAGATCGGTTTGTGTATACTCATCTTAAAGCATTTTGCTTGAAATGCATGCTTGCGTACATAAAGAACAGATTCAACTTTCTGTTTCCTAGTTGAAATCAACAAGACTCTTTAGTTTATGATTTTTAATTTACTCAAAGATTTTCTCATGAGAAAAATGTATTCTCTTTGGAAATACATTCCAGAGTCTTACTTGGAAATAATTTCTCAACCCCAATAGGAGCTTTAAAATCTGGCCTAATACTCTACCACAGAGAAATGGAGGCAACAGGTCAATGTTCATGATTCATTAAGCTAATAATATAGTGGGGGCTGTTTCACTGGTGATATTCTAAGATAGACTTGAAAAGAGACACGTCATCATTCCCTGGTTTTGTTTTGTTTTGTTTTGTTTTGTTTTTGAGATGCAGTCTTGCTCTGTCACCCAGGCTAGAGTGCAGTGGTGTGATCTCAGTTCAATGCAACATCCGCCTCCTGGGTTCAAGCAATTCTCCTGACTCATCCTCCTGAGTTCTTGGGATTACAGGCATGTACCACCAGGCCTAGCTACTTTTTGTATTTTCTGTACAGATGGGGTTTCGTCACGTTGGCCAGGCTGGTCTCAAACTCCTGACCTTGTGATCCGCCCGCCTTGGCCTCCCAAAGTGCTGGGATTACAGGTGTGAGCCACCGCACTCGGCTAATTTTTCTATTTTTAGTGGGACGGAGTTTTACCACGTTGGCCAGGCTGGTCTCGAACTCCTGACCTCAGGTGACCTGCCCTCCTCAGCCTCCCAAAGTGCTGGGATTACAGGCATGAGCCACCGTGCCCAGCATCATTCCCTGGTTTTATCATCTATTCTATTTTTTTAAAAAAATGTATATAGTGGTGCTTTAAATACAGTTTCATTGAAATTTAATTGATATGCCATAAAATTCACCATTTCCAAATATGCAATTCAGTGTTTTTTTAGTCACAGATTGTGCAACTATCACTATTTATTTTTTAACAATTTCATCGTTCTTGCTTTTTGAAATTGTTTTTCCATTTTATTTTATAATTATTATACATAAAAGTGGCTTCAAACCCAGTTAAATAAGGTAATAAAGAGACATAAATAATTAAACAAATATGGTTTTGACTGCCTATTTAATCTATGTTTAACATTTCTTTTGGTCCTTTAATTTTTTCAAGGCCTTGGTTTCCTTATCTGTAAAATCAGAACTTTGGTGTGATCCCACAAAAGACTCCCTGATTTAAATTCTATCTTTTTATGTAGCATTCATATGACTGTTCACATTTCATGATAATTTTAACGCTGTCACTTTGGTTGGAGTCAAGCCTTGCATATACAGAAGAATATGCAGATAACTTTATTTACAAGGATGATGAGATGTCCACAGAAAGAGATCATTTTGGGCTGGGTACAGTGGCTCGTGCCTGAATCCCAGCACTTTGGGAGGCTGAGGTGGTACATCACTTGAGGTCAGGAGTTCCAAACCAGCCTGGCCAACATGGTGAAACCCTGTCTCTACTAAAAATACAAAAATTAGCTGGGCATGGGGGCACACACCTGTAATCCCAGCTACTTGGGAGGCTGAGGCAAGAGACTTGCTTGAATGTGGGAGGCGAAGGTTGAAGGTTGCAGCGAGCCAAGATCATGCTACTGCACTCCAGCCTGGGCGACAGAGTGAGACTCTGTCTCAAAAAAAAAAAAAAAAAAAAAAAAAAAAAGGATCATTTTGTTATAGTTGGGAGGTAGCCATGCTAAGGACACAGTGTTCTTACAAAGTTGTTTTAACTAAGGTTGGCATTAGAGAAATCACAAGTTATCAAGATGTAAAAGTTGATGGGAAATTGAAAATGGCCCAAGCAAGGGACTTGGCTTTAGGGAGTCAGTGCTTACCAACTTTAAATGCAAAAATAAGTTAAAGATTTGGTGGAAATTTTCTGAAATTTTTAAAGGGGCTCCGCCACTTTCTGGCTACCTCTCTGAACCTGAGATTTCTCATTTGTAAAATGTGGATAACAAAACCTACTTCCTATGTTGTCTGGGAAAGTAAAGAAGAGAAAATAGATAAAGCATCCAGTACAATGCCTGGCATCTGATGAAGGCTTAATGCACTTTAGTTCTCTTGAACTGGTTAATGTACGAAGAACTTAAAGGCAATCAGAAAAGAGGTAATAGTACATACATGTTGGGGAAATGTTGGTCAAAGGATACAGAATTTCAGTTAGAAGGAATAAGTTCAAGAGATCTATTGTGTACACCATGGTGACTCTAGTTAATAACAATGTATTGCATTTATAAAAATTGCTATGAGAATAGACTATATGTGTTCTTACCACACACAAAAAGATAAGTACGTGAGGTAATGTATATGCTAATTAGCGCAATTTAGCCATTCCACAATGTATATTATTTCAAAACAACATTTGTATACGCTGTGTATTATTTTTACTCATTAATTAAAAAGTAAAAATAGTATATATGTAACTATGATACTTGCATAAATGTGTAAAATTAAAATGAGTTGAAAAAGCCATAATTTAGCTCTATTATATATTAATGATTTGTATTTCAATATATGATAGCTGCTTTATATTTAGAATATTGATTTAAAGTATTTCTTTCCTTTTTACTACATTGTTTGAGATTTCTCCAGTTATTTCATGCTTCTTCCCTGTTTTGATGCTGTGAAATTCCCTAAAATATTAAACTGCATTGGTCATTATTGTTCTAAGGGTTTAGAAGTTCTGACAATTAGAAAAAAAACAAAAAACAAAAAGCACTAAGTTTGCCCAAGATAAAGTAAGTGATAGTTAGCAAGTTCAGATAAAATTCAAAATACTGTAAATAATGTTCTGGGACTTTTACATACTGAGAGAGTGCTGGAAAATCTCCTGGCAGTGTTGCTAGATGGAGCCTTCTTGGGACCCTGGCCAAGGATTTACTTTAATCCTTAGGAATTTTGCAATTTGAAATTGAAGTTTCAATTTCACTTGTATTTAATAGCTATTCTCTCCGCCATGCACATTCTTCTTTGTCAATGTTATTGATCAAAGGGCCTGTTGTGCACTTATTAGGTAAGAACAGCATTCTTCCTCTTCGGAGTGGCGTCCAGCTCATCTATTTATGGCATGCTATCATATGGCAACAAGGAGTTGAAAGTGCTTACAAAGGCAAGACTGAACAGCAGCAACAACAAAACAAAAACCAAGCCCAGTGTTAAATAACAAAACATCTTCTACCTCTTATATATCATTGGCTTGCTTAAAAAATAAAAGCTGGGCTTTTTCTTGCAAAGCAACTACACCCTCAGGATCCATTTGCCACTGTGGAGCTAGTAGCTCTCCACAGCAGACAAGAAGGAGAATGGAGATCTCAGAGTAGATCAGGAAGGTGGAAAGATGCAGGACTAGTTTCTTCCCTGTGAAGCGGGTAGAGCGCGGTCCCTAGCCAGGCCCTCTCTCTGTGCTCACCTCTCAATTCAATCTGCAACAGACCTGAGAAAAGGAGGGTGGATGGGGACACAGGAGCAGGACGATAGATGGATGACAGCTGTTTGTTATGTCATTTTATTTATTTAATTAATTAATTTTTTTTGAGACAGAGTCTCACTCAGTTGCCCAGGCTGGAGTGCAGTGGCATGATCATGGCTCACTGCACCCTCCGCCTCCTGGGCTCAAATGATTCTCCCACCTCAAGCCTCCTGAGTAACTAAAATTACAGACACTGGCCACCACACCCGGCTAATTTTGTATTTTTTATAGAGATGGGGTTTCACCATGTTGACCAGGCTGGTCTCGAACTCCTGACCTCAAGTGGTCCACCCACCTTGGCCTCCCAAAGTGCTAGGATTACAGGCGTGAGCCACTGCCCCGGCCTGTTATGTCGTTTCACAAAGTGTCTTAGCTGGAAGGATCCTTAAAATCATCTAATGTAGCTCCATACCCCTTGTTACAGACTGAGGGGCCAGCGAGAGAAGCAGACATACCCAATGCCGTGAGGTTAGGTAGCAGAGGTGGCCCTAGATCCCAGCCAAGGTGTTTTCCACTTTCCTACACTGCTTTGATGGATTTCTTTGGAAGAACAGATGGCCAAGGTCTGAGTTGGTAAATTTCCAAAGCAGACACGGTTTGCTATAGGCAAATTTCCAGCTTCTCTGTTTCTCTCTTGTGGTGCCCTCCAATCCCAACCCCTAAGAAAAGCCCCAGCACCCTCCTGTTGTCCTCTGGTCACCCAACAGTCCCATCGCCCCAGCCCCACATCCATTTTCTCAGCATACCGATGACAAACAGCTCTTGGGAAAGCTATCCCTTTAAAACTGGTACTTAATCTCCCTAATCTTCTCAGTGGGATTGCTTTGAAACTCTAACTTCTAATTACATTCTAATTTTTAAATGTTAAATATTTAAAGCAGAACGAGAAAGGGATTTTTAGTCTCTTCTAGGCCAACCAGTCAATAGTGCAGATTTAGTTATGGTCTTGCTCAATTTCAAGTCAAAAAGGGCTCAACAAGAAGGGAAAAGCAAGCTGGTATGCAGACACTTTGTTGTAGGTGGGAAGTACTCTGAGCTCTCAGGGTGTGAACCCAGTAGAGCTCTCAGGAGTTTGGGGCGGTAGCAGCCTTGGGTTACATCTGGAAATTGTATTTGGAAATTGAAGAGGGGAATTCCAATGAATGCCTTGAAGTCAATTCATGACTAAGAATGCTTAATTAATTAATTAAGACAGAGTCTTGCTCTGTTGCCCAGGCTGGAGTGCAGTGGCACGATCTCGGCTCACTGCAGCCTCCACCTCCTGAGTTCAAGCGATTCTCCTGCCTCAGCCTCCCAAGTAGCTGGGATTACAGGCATGTACCACCACACCTGGCTAATTTTTATATTTTTAGTAGAGACAGGGTTTCACCATGTTGCCCAGGCTGGTCTTGAACTCCTGACCTCAACTGATCCGCCCACCTCAGCCCCCCAAAGTGTTGGGTTTACAGGCGTGAGCCACTTTGCCTGGACAAGAACCCATAATTTAGAGGGAATATTTGATGGAGTCAATTTTGGTGAGGGATTGTTTTTCCCAAATGGGATTACCTTTAAAAATAAGAAGGTGTACAGCATCCAGAGAGATATCAATCTTTAAAATATATTGTAGGGATTTATTTGAATTCAACCTAAGGTTATTTTCAAATGTAGTTTATATAAAATAGTGCTGGTTTTTACAGGGAGTTCTTATATTAGACACAATTAAATATGGAGTGATTTTCTCTGATCTGGAAATTGTAGGTAGTAGAAGGGGGAGATTAGCAAATTTGGGAAGAAGGAAATTGGATAATGGAACTGGTCTTTGTCAGAGCAGAGAGTAGAATACTGGGGATTGGATGAAGGATGAAACTGATGAATAGGAAAGGCATTCAAATCCAAGAAAAGTAGATATTAGCTGGAGAGGAGATTAATTAGGAAAGAGGAAGGAGGAACAGCGGAAAAAAGATCTTGAAATGGGGACTTCTTCAAGATAAATAACAGGTAGGGATTTTTTTTTTTTTTTTTTTTGGAGACAGAGTCTCGCTCTGTCGCCCTGGCTGGAGTGCAGTGGCTCAGTCTCAGCTCAGTGCAACCTCCAGGATTACAGGTGTGTACCACCATGTCCAGCTAAATTTTGTACTTTTAGTAGAGATGGGGTTTCACCATGTTGGCCAGGCTGATCTTGAACTCCTGACCTCAAGTGATCCACCCTTCTGGGCCTCCCAAAGTGCTGGGATTACAGGTGGGCACCACCACACCCTGCCATAAGCATGGATTCTTTCTAGCTAGTACTTTCTTTTCTTTTCTTTTCTTTTTTTGAGACAGGGTCTTGCTCTGTTGCTTAGGCTGGAGGGCAGTGGTTTGATCACAGCTCACCGCAGCCTCCATCTCCTGGTCTCAAGTCATCCTCCCACCTTAGCCTCCCTAGTATTAATAGTTGGGACTACAGGTGTGTGCCACCATGCCTGGCTAATTTTTTCATCTTTCGTACAGATGGGGTCTCACCACGTTGCCCAAGCTGGTGGCCTCAGTCTCCCAAAGTGCTGGGATTACAGGCATGAGTCAGCACCCCTGGCCACCAGCTAGTACTTCTAATGGTTCCTTTTCTATTTTTTTCACTACAACTATTTCTCAAGGATTAGAACTGAATTTTCTTCTTACTCATAGCACTTCCTCACTGTCTCAGGAAAATAAATTGCTCATATGATTTTAGTGGCCAGAATATACAGCTTTAATTAAGATTTGTGTTTCTGGGCTGAGTGCTGTGGCTCACGCCTGTAATCCCAGCACTTTGAGAAGCCGAAGTGGACACATAGCTTGAGCTCAGGAGTTCAGGACCAGCCTGGGCAACATGGTGAAACCCTGTCTCTACTAAAAATACAAAAATTAGCTGGGCATAGTGGTGTGCATCTGTAGTCCCAGCTGCTCAGGAGGCTGAGGTGGGAGGATGGCTTGAGCCAGGAGGCGGAGGTTGCAGTGAGCCAAAATCACGCCACTGCACTCCAGCCTGGGTGACAGAGTGAGACCCTGTCTGAAAAAAAAAAAAAAAAAAAAAAATTTGTGGTTCTAGCCCAGATCTCCTATTCTTTCCCTAATTGTTTTTTTTTACAGCTAATCACTATAAGAAACACAATGACTGTCTAATAGACACAACATTAAATTCGTTTTGTGTCTTCCAAACCAAAAATATTTTTTCTTCAAAACTTAGTGGTACCACCCCAGCCAACTCTTCTATCTCTGATCATTCCAATCCCTCAGGAGATCTCTTGGAGTCACAGTCAGATTTATTTCATGATGTTCCTGTTGGTGTTTTCTTCAAGTTTTCTGGTGAGGTCTTATGTCTTTCAGGTTAAGTTTGTTAGGCTGTTTCCTCTCGGTGGCTGCGTATCCATTGAGGGCTGATTTTCTCCAGGTGATAGTGTTTGCTAAACAATAAGCAAACTTTTTCAAAGAGCGTCAATGAACTAAATTGGTGTAAAGAAAATAACCTGACATATTTTTTTTGCTGTAAGATAAGAGCCTTTTCATATTAGGAATGTAAAAACCACCAAATGGAAGATACAAGCAATTGAGTAAGATGAGGTTTCATGCTTCTTTGGGAGGGAACATGGCAACTACTGCATTAAAAAAAATTCTATGAGGGCGCTTATGGTAGCTCTCGCCTGTAATCCCAGCACTTTGGGAGGCTAAGGCAGGAGGAGAGCTTGAGGCCAGGAGTTCAACTGGCCTGGGCAACATAGTGAGAACCCCCGTCTCTACAAAAAAAAAAAGCCATGCCCAGCTACTTGGGTGACTGAGGTGGGAGGATCACTTGAGCCCAGAAGTTTAAGGCCAGCCTGGGCAACAATATTGAGACTCCTGTTCCTTCAATTTTTTTTTTTTTGAGACTGAATTTTGCTCTTGTTGCCCAGGCTAGAGTGCAGTGGCACAATCTTGGCTCACTGCAACCTCCGCCTTCTGGTTTCAAGCAATTCTCCTGCCTCAGCCTCCCAATTCACTGGGATTACAAGTGCCCGCCACCATGCCCAGCTAATTTTTTTGTATGTTTTAGTAGAGACAGGGTTTCACCATGTTGGTCAGGCTGGTCTCAAACTGCTGACCTCATGATCCACCTGCCTCAGCCTCCCAAAGTGCTGGGATTATAGGCGTAAGCCACTGCGCCCGGCCCTTGAGACTCCTGTTCCTTAAAAAAGAAAAAAACAAAAATGGAAGTTTCCTTTTAGGCCACTGTAAAAACTTGAGCAAATTTCTTTTTTCTTTTTTTTTTTTTTTTTGAGACGTAGTCTCACTCTGTGCCCAGGCTGGAGTGCAGTGGCGAGATCTCGGCTCACTGCAAGCTCCACCTCCCAGGTTCACGCCGTTCTCCTGCCTCAGCCTCCCGAGTAGCTGGGACTACAGGCGCCCGCCATCACGCCTGGCTAATTTTTTTTTTTAAATATTTTTAGTAGAGACGGGGTTTCACTGTGCTAGCCAGGATGGTCTCGATCTCCTGACCTTGTGATCCGCCCACCTTGGCCTCCCAAAGTGCTGGCATTACAGGTGTGAGCCACCGCACCCAGCAAACTTGAGCGAATTTCTAGCATGTGTTCATATATTTGGTAAAATACAATGTTTGGACCATTTCTTTAATACACTGCTTTAGATTTCCCCTATATGGTGCTTACACATGTTTTATGAGACCCTTGGAAGTATAGCAGCCTTGACTGGGTAGGTGGTGGGGACAGACTCCCTGGAATGTACTTAGAGTTCTAGGTTAAATAACATCAGATCTTACGCCTTATCTTAACTGTGCATATTATTTGGGAATGTGTTCAATTGTAATGCAATCTAAAAACATACTCTGTTTTGGCTGGGCGCGGTGGCTCACGCCTGTAATCCCAGCACTTTGGGAGGCCGAGGCGGGTGGAATGCCTGAGCTCAGGAGTTTGCAACCAGCCTGGGCAACACGGTGAAACCGTCTCTACTAAAATACAGAAAATTAGCCAGGGGTGGCGGTGTGTGCCTGTAGTCTCAGCTACTTGGGAGGCTGAGGCAGGAGAATTGCTTGAACCTGGGAGGCAGAGGTTGCAGTGAGCCAAGATTGTGCCACTGCACTCCAGCCTGGGCAACAGAGTGAGACTCTTGTCTCAAAAAAAAAAAAAAAAAAAAAAATTATATATATATATATATATATATATATATATATATATATACTGACACTCTGTTTCAGTTATGTATTGCTGCATAACAAATCATCCCAAAATTTAGTGGCTTAAAACAACGATTTATTATATCTCACAATTCTGTGGGTTGGTTAGGCTCGGCTGGGCAGTTAACCTATTCCACTTGGTGCTGGCTGGGGACCCTTGTTTGCCTATACTCGGCGGGTGGCTACGTGGAGTTGGAAGGTCCAGGAAGGCTTCACTCATGTGTCTGGCCCTTTAAGTGCTTCTCCAAGGGTCTCTGTCTCTCTCCATGTGGTATCTTAATAGTCCAGCCTAAGCTCTTTTGCAGCAGGGGAGCTGGCTTCCCTAGAGAGAGGGAACAGAAGCTGCCAGGCCCTCCAAGGGCTAGGTCCAGAAATGGCACAGCATCACCTCTGCTGCATTCTGTGTGCCTCAGGAGATCACAAGGCCAGCTTGGACTGAAGGTAGGGACAGAGGAGGACGACTTCACCTCTTGATAAAAGGAGTGGCAAAGTATCATTGCAAAAGCCATGTAGGCTGGGAGAAATTGTTGCAGTCATCAATGGAAACAATCTGCTATGCTCTTTTTTTAACACAGGCTCCATTAAAAAGAATAAAAGCAGAAATATTAGTTCAAAAGAAAATGAAAGAATTGGAGCATATTTAAATAGTGACCTCATTCATTATTTTATAGTTGTTTTTCTCTCTTTTGATCATTAGTCTGAGTTTGGTCTTCAGCCCTTTTCACCTTTTACAACCCACAACAGAAATTACTGTGATAGCCTGGAAATGAAGATGCAAGAAAGTTTCATATCCTGCAGCTTCAGTATTATAAGGGATCGGATAAATATTTTGATAAATTGAAAGAAAAAGAATCTTACAGCCTCAAAGTAAAGTTGTAAAGATTTTCTCAAGGATAAGCATCTAGTTAGTTAGACTGGAAAATATTTTGCTAGTTTTTCCATTTGTAAGAATTTCCAACCCAAGGCACACACAAAAAAAGTTTGCCATGCCAGCTGTTCAGATATTCCAACCAATAGGAAATTAAATAACAAGCTGTGGAATTTACATATGAAGATGACAGTTTTTTTCATTTAAATACGAAGTATTAGAAAATTAATGAATAGCTGAGTTGAATAGAAATTAGGAGACAGAAATATTTCTTTTATTAAAATAAGCTAAAGAACATAGTCAAGTTATATATACAAATATAAAGTCACCAAAATATTTAATCTCATATGTGGGTTTTCAAAGTATCTTAAGCTAAATTTTTAAAAACCATAATATTATGTATATTTAACATAATAAAACTAAAATTGCTTTTAGTGAATTGTTTCTAGTAGTTTAAATTACGATTAGGCTAATTATCAATGTTAACTAACATATAGCTACGACTTCAAGTGATTTGAAATATACCTGCTTCTACACAAATATGTGCTAAAATAATAAATGGACACACAGAATCTTCAATATGACAATATTTAGACATATGGTCAATGAGTAGTGTTCATAACAGAAAGAAAAATTTTAACTTTAAAAATACAAATCATTTATATGCCTGTTGAGTAGGATTACCAATTCTCAGCTTAAGCAAATTTTGGGGTAAATTAAAAGTTGACTGAGCCAGGCCAGGCGCGGTGGCTTATGCCTGTAATCCCAGCACTTTGGGAGGCTGAGGCGGGTGGATCACCCAAGGTCAGGAGTTCAAGACCAGCCTGGTCAACATGGTGAAACCCCATCTATATTAAAAATACAAAATTAGCTGGGTGTGGTGGCTCATATCTGTAATCTCAGCTACTTAGTAGGCTGAGGCAGGAGAATCACTTGAACCCAGGAGGCGGAGGTTGCAGTGAGCTGAGATAGCGCCATTGAAACTCCATCTAAAAAAAAAAAAAGAGAGAGCCTGAGTCCTTGTTTTTTTTTTGTTTTTTTGTTTGTTTGTTTTTTTGAGACACAGTCTCACTCTGTTGCCAGGCTGGAGTGCAGTGGCGCAATCTCAGCTCACTGCAACCTCTGTCTCCTGGGTTCAAGCGATTCTCCTGCCTCAGCCTCCTGAGTAGCTGGGACTACAGGCACATGCCACCACGCCCAGCTAATTTTTGTATTTTTAGTAAAGACGGGGTTTCACCATGTTGGCCAGGATGGTCTGGATCTGTTGACCTCGTGATCCGCCTGCCTTGCCCTCCCAAAGTGCTGAGATTACAGGCGTGAGCCACTGTGCCAGGCTTGAGTCCTTGCTTTTGAAACAAAAATGTACACAATTCAGATATATCTGTAAAATTTAATTATCATTTACTCAAACTACTAAAAGTGTTGCTGAAGTTAAAACTTGATTAAATGTTCTTCCTTGATGATATGCATCATATCCAATTCTTTGATGAAAACATCAAATAATGATTACATATTACTCTGCATTTTAAAAACACACCTATTTTATTTACACTCATTAAAATCTAGTGATAATTAGCTTCAAAACCCATTTTCATTTGGAAAATTTAACCTGTGTTAGATGGTTGCCTGTAAACTACTATTGACATGATGGAGCTAGTAGGGTGTAGTCGTGTGTGTGTTTGCGTGAGTGTGAAAGCAAGCAAGGAAGACAGAGATGAGAGAGAGGAAGGTAACTCCTGGCTCCTGGCTAGATCATAAACACTACAATTTTATCTTGGTGTTGTTAATGAAAAACACTCTCTAGAAAGCCTCTTGTAGTGGGAGATATGACCAGGATACAAACACTGTGTGCCATAGAGAATCACAGAACTTTAGAGTTGAAAGGGAGACTTAGAAATGATCTAGCTTCACTACTCTCTTATTTTACAAATGAGAAAACAGCAAAGCTACAGAAGGCACAGAAAAGTTAAATGTTGTGTCAAGGATACACAGAGAGTTGCAGTTTAGGCCTAGAACCTAGCTGTCCAAACTTCCAGACCAAATGATTTTTCTATTTATTTTCTCTAATGACCACTCTTATTATTTTATTTTATTTTTTGAGACAGGGTCTCACTCTGTCACCCAGGCTGGAGTGCAGTGGCATGATCTCAGCTCACTGCAACCTCCGCCTCCTGGCTCAAGTAAACCCGTCACCCAGGTTGAAGTGCAGTGGCACAATTATGGCTCACTTCAGCCTTGACCTCCTGGGCTCAAGGAATCCTCCCACTTCAGCCTCCCAAGTACAGGCCCACGCCACCACTCCTGGCTAACTTTTGTATTTTTTGTGGTAGAGACAGAGTTTTGACATGTTGCCCAGGCTAGTCTCAAACTCCTGGGCTCAAGCAATTCACCTGCCTCGGCCTCCCAAAGTGCTAAGATTACAGGCGTGCACCACCATGCCTGGTCCTAACTACTACTCTTAAACACCTTTAGTCTTCTCCTAAAACAAGAATGAAGTTGTTAATTTTCGTATAAAACAAACAACACTCCAGCCTGGAGACTGAGTGAGACCCTGTCTCCAAAAAAAAAAAAAAAAAAGAAAGAAAAGAAAAGAAAAGAAAAGAAAAGAAAAGATAAAACAAACAAACACATATGCAGAACATTAACTTGTGAGTGGCATTTTATCTTTATGTCCTAAAAATCTGTATCTTTGTGATGAAGCTAACACTGACTCCCCAGTTTTTAGTTTTTTGTTGTTGTTGTTGTTGTTGTTTTTGAGACAGAGTCTTGCTCTTGTCACCCAGGCTAGAATGCAAAGGCACGATCTTGGCTCACTGCGACCTCCACCTCCCGGATTCAAGCGATTCTCTTGCCTCAGCCTCCCGAGTAGCTGGGATTACAGGCGCCCGCCACCATGCCTGGCTAATTTTTGCATTTTTAGGAGAGACGGGGTTTCGCCATGTTGGCCAGGCTGGTCTCAAACTCCTGACCTCATGATCTGCCCACCTCAGCCTCCCAAAGTGCTGGGATTACAGATGTGAGTCACCACACCTGGTCCCCCAGTTTTTTAAGGATATTAATGTTTGCAAAATTTTAAGATCATTCCTCTTCTGGTGGTAGTTTTTAATTAAAAAAAAATTTTTTTTTGAGAATTCTGTGACCAGGATTAGAAATCAATGGTGGTGACAAATGACTAAGAAAGTGCTAACTTTTTGGAAAATTGTAATTTTATGGCAAGTAAGCTAAAGGAGCACAAAACATCTTCAGGTCAGGCTCATTCCTGTAATCTCAGCACTTTGGGAGGCCAAGGTGGGGTGGATCACTTGAGGTGAGGAGTTCGAGACCAGCCTGGCCAACAGGATGAAACCCCATCTCTACTAAAAACACAAAGATTAGCTGGGCGTGGTGGCACATGCCTGTAATCCCAGCTATTCGGGAGGCTGAGGCAGGAGGATCGCTTGAACATGTGAGGTGGAGGCTGCAGTTAGCTGAGATTATGCCACTGCACTCTCGTCTGGGCGACAGAGAGAGACCGTCTCAAAAAAAAAAAAAAAGATTTTCAAAATAACCTTAATATTGTGGTTGGGAAATCTGCAAGTGCAATGAAGAACTGTGATACACCTAATTTAGAAGGAAAAAAAACAAACTACTTTCTGTTTCAACTCTTCATCCCCCAAGAACTTAGTTTTTACCCTTTACTCAATCATCTCCCTAATCCCAAGGATTCAAAAGCTTCTTGAATACAACTTTTCAGCAATTCAGTCTAGTTAAAGTAATCTTCAAAAAGTGATCTCCTAAAAGGGCTTTGTGGTTGGGGCAAGTTGGAACAATTACATTCAAATATCACCAGGACTGAAATAGAGATTAAAGACAGAGCCCAAGCACATAGGCCACCAGGGCTGAGAGAGGTCTAACGAAATGTCCTTTATGTTGGAGCTCTAAGAATAGGCAAAGTCTGCATTTTGAATGGCCTGAAAATACTGTGAAAAGCAAACACACTAAAAAACAAACAAACAAAAAACTGTTTGGAGACTCTAAGATACGTGTGTGTGGAAAGTCTGAGGAAACCAAGGTGGGAAGAGGCCACGAAGAGGCGGAGCACAGAGGAGTGTTCAGGCGGCGTCACTCACCATGATGGCGCAGTATTTGGACAGCATCAGGAAGGAACTACATAAACAAAAGGCTTGAAAGTTGACATAAGTGAGACAGAACCCAGGTGATCCAGAAACTGCACAAGAGCCTAACAGAAACTCATAATTACGGGATCAAGTAGGATTCTATGAAGAGTCTGGGACAAGACTATTTGCTAAAGATAAAAAATGCATTACACAGGCTGGGCATGGTGGTTCATGATTGTAATGCCAGCACTTTGGGAGGCCGAGGCAGGCGGATCACGAGGTCAGGGGTTCAAAACCAGCCTGGCCAACATGGTGAAACCCCATCTCTACTAAAAATACAAAAAAAATTAGCTGGGCACAGTGGCACACACCTGTAATCCCAGCTACTGGGGAGGCTGAGGCAGGAGAATCATTTGACCCCGGGAGGCAGAGGTTGCAGTGAGCCAAGATTGCGCCATTGCATTCCAGCCTGGGCATGACAGGGTGAGACTCTGTCCCCGCTCCGAAAAAAAAAAAAGAAAAAGAAAAAGAAAAAAAGGCACTGCACAATTTGGGAACCAGATGCTGAAGAGCAACTGTTGTTCATGGGCTGAAGGGTGTGAGAGAATTTGTGTAGTACAGAGGTGAGAGATATGTATTTGAAACAGGAAGGAGTTACAGCTTGAGACTGGGGACCCTGGGCAACGCAGGCAGCAGCAATGCTATGCTGTGGCCTGGGCCACCCAGGGACAATTAAACAGGCATATGGCATCAGAAGCTGATTTTTCTTTTCTTTCTTTTTTTTGAGACGGAGTCTTGCTCTGTTGCCTAGGCTGGAGTGCAGTGGTATGATCTCAGCTCACTACAATCTCCGCCTCCTGAGTTCAAGTGTTTCTCCTGCCTCAGCCTCCTGAGTAGCTGGGATTACAGGCGCCCACCATCATGCCAGGCTAATTTTTGTATTTTGAGTAGAGATGGGGTTTTACCATGTTGGCCAGACCGGTCTCGAACTCCTGACCTCAGGTGATCCGCCTGCCTTGGCCTCCCAAAGTGCTGGGATTACAGGCATGAGCCACTGCACCTGGCCTGTTTATTTTTCTTCATGGTAATATGACTATATTAGAGCATTTTTCTAAGCATTAGATGCTCTCTCCTGTCCCCTCCCCAGTGACACCTAAGTGATGGATTTGTCTGAGGAAAAAAAAGAGAAATGCTAGTTTGAATTAATTTTTTAATGCAAGCAAAAATAAGGAAAGACAGTCATCCCACCATCCCTGCCAAAAACTTCGTTGTTATTTGAAACATAATTACAAGCAAAATGGGCAATGGAATGCTGTCTTATTTTCTATATGTGTATGTGTATATCATATTTTATGTGTGTATATATGGATATGCATAAATATATTATCTATATAGATACATAATATAGAGAGATATATATTTAAGATAGCTAGAGCAGTATGAGTGGTTTGGTAATAAGAAGGCTTAAATGAAAAACATTATGAAAGCTAAAAATAAATTGTTCAGCAAAGTTGCCTTTTATCTTTTTTCTCATTTTCTTTGCACCCGTGGTATCGTCCTGTTAAAAATGCAGGAAACTGGCAGGGTGTGGTGGGTCACACCTGTAATCCCAGCACTTTGGAAGGGCCAGGCAGGGAGATTGCTTGAGCCCAGGAGTTTGAGATCAGCCTGGGCAATATACCAAGACCTTTTCTCTACAAAAAATTAGCTGGAGCCGGGCGCGGTGGCTCACGCCTGTAATCCCAGCACTTTGGGAGGCCGAGATGGGCGGATCACGAGGTCAGAAGATCGAGACTATCCTGGCTAACACGGTGAAACCCTGTCTCTACTAAAAATACAAAACAATTAGTCGGGCGTGGTGGTGGGCGCCTGTAGTCCCAGCTACTAGGGAGGCTGAGGCAGGAGAATGGCGTGAACCCGGGAGGCGGAGCAGCTTGCAGTGAGCCGAGATTGTGCCACTGCACTCCAGCCTGGGCGACAGAGTGAGACTCCATCTCAAAAAAAAAAAAAAAAAAAAATTAGCTGGGCATGGTGGCATGTCCCTGTAGTCCCAATTACTTGAGAGACTGAGGCAGGAGGATTGCTTGAGCCCAGGAGGTCGAGGGTGCAGTGAGCCACGATTGCGCCACTCCAGCCTTGGTGACAGAGTCAGACCCTGTCTCAAAAACAAAAAAAGCAAGAAATATACAAATCTGAAAAGGCATATTCCTGATAACAAGATGAAAATAAGAAGGCCTTACTTAACAGGTTATATTTACACTAAGAATGTAGGCCAGATCAGATCAGCTCACTTAAAAAGTCCTTCCTTGCTGGGCGTGTTGGCGCACTCCCGTAATCCCAGCACTTTGGGAGGCCGAGGTGGGAGGATCACTTGAGCTCATGAGTTAGAGACCAGCCTGGGCAACATAACGAGACCGTATCTCTACAAAAAAAGTTAAAAATTAGCCAGGTGTGGTGGCACCCGCTGTAGTCCCAGCTACAGGCTGAGATGGGTGGATCACTTTAGCTGGGGAGGTGGAGGTTGCAGTGAGCTGTGATTGCACCACTGCACTCCAGCCTGGGTGACAGAGCAAGACCCTGTCTCAAAAAAAAAAAAACCCTTCCCGTGAACAAAAAACTATTGCTTAGATGTCATAATTCCTTATTAAATGGATGCTTCTACATAACTGAATGAGATTCTCTGGGAGTTTATGTGTTTCTAAGTGCGGAAGACTTTTAGACACGAACATAGGATATTATCATGTTTCTTCAACAACAATATATCCTTAACTCTTGGTGCTGGACATAGAAAATTTCTGGAATAAAGTGTATTTGCAAAATTTGACAACATTCAGTTAAGTATGCCAGACACGGGAGCGGAAATGAGTTAATAAAATACTCTTTAATTTTTCCTGATAGGAATATCACTGATTGCGCCTTTTTGCCTAACAGTGATAGCCCTATGCTATTATTTTATATGAGTTCCTTGTTAGCTAACTAAAAGTACTTTTAAATATTCTGCATCATTTTTGATGCCCAGGATAAAAGGCACCTAATATGGTGCTGCAAAATTTATAATTTTAAGTATATATTTACAAATACATGTTTATACATATGTGTATATACGTATGTATGTCAAGTTTAGTTGGGAAAAAATATATATATGTATATACGTATGTATGTCAAGTTTGGTTGGGAAAATATCCCAAAGTAAATTCAGCTCAGTTATTGAGGGGTTTGCTTTGCTTTGTTGTTTTGTAAGAGATATGAAATAATATTAACTGAAAGATAATCTTCCTGCTCTTGTGTTTACAAACCAACCTGATTAAGATGCCCTCACTAGTTTTGGGCTGTACAATTTCATAGAGGCCATGGATGCAAATGTTTGCAAGAGAGTACTATCCATGAGCTATTCAGACAACACACCCAGGAGGATCGGCTTGGGTCATGAGATGACTTAGACAGGAGGAGAAAAGGATAAGGAATGGTGATATAGCAAAGGACAGCAGTCAATTATCCGAGGGCGTTACTGATGAGGATGGCAATTCCTTGTCATTGGTCCACTGTTTGCTATGTATTGGAATTTGTATGTAATTTTCTCTAGCTAGCTTTAAAAATAGAATCATCAATGCCTCATGAGACAGACAAAGGAGAGCCTGCCATGGAATCTAGAGATAAACCTGAACGACCTTTCAAGGTTCCCTTTCTACACCAATATAAAAACACAGAATAAGATACCAGCATTACTCAACAGACCTGGTTACAATAAGTATGAATTACAATGCAGGAACATATGTCATTTCTTACACAAACAGTGAGGCAGGCTATTTGATATTGCTTTAAGAAATTATGTGGTCAGCTGAAGCAAGATGACACATGTAAATCTTTTTCATAAATCAAAGTATAAGCTCACAAATTCTCCATATAGATAGCCTCGGGAGGGGCTGCTCTGATGAAATTGAAAATGTCTCTTCCATATGTGCAGTTTTAGGCTTTATAACATTTAAAGAAAATATTCTAAAAGATAAAGTTGGCATGTAAAACATGGGGAAAGGAATCAGCAATGATCAGAGCAAAACAATTCTAGAAGGCATCTTAATTTTCATATGGCTCATTTGCATTTGAAACACTGAGAATTCCTATCTCACTTGTACAAAATGTGTACATATTAAATTACTTTGCACTTGAAAGAACATTTTCCTAAATGTTTGGAAGGTGATCAAATTTTAACTGGAGGACTTGTTTTCTTCCATCAGGTGTGGGGGAGATGTGGCTTCCTGGTATGAGAGGCAACAGTTGATTCTAATAGCAGAACAAGACAACAATAAGAAAGCAAATTGAAAACAATTCCTATTTGTACAGTTTGATTGAAAGATGATAAGACAAGCAGATACTTATGGTACAAAGATGTCAAAAGACATCAATTTTAAAATTAAGTAGGGTTACCTTTCCAAAAATTGAGATTCTCTGATACCTAAAAATTAGGTTCTACTACTTATTCTAGGATACCCATGGATATACTACTATTTATTTCAGTACACTTAATCTGAGTATCTAGTCAATACTTAAAAGGTAGATGCCCATCAGCTACTATACAATAATTCCAGGAGACTACATTGTACCCACCTCAAAAAAATTATTTGTTTTTTCGACACCATTTCACTCTGTTTCAGCCTGTTGCCCAGGCTGGAGTGCAATGGTGCAATCTCGGCTCACTGCAACCTCTGCCTCCAGATTCAAGCGATTCTTGTGCCTCAGCCTCCCAAGTAGCTGAGATTACAGGTGTGAGCCACCATGCCCAGCTAATTTTTGTATTTTTGATAAAGACAGAGTTTCATCATGTTGGCCAGGCTGGTCTTGAACTCCTGACCTCAGGTGATCCACCTGCCTCAGCCTTCCAAAATGCTGGGATTACAGGTGTGGGCCACCCACCTGGCCTCAAATTTTGAATAGCTAGAATATTGGCAGAATAGCAAAGGCTTAAAACCTCTTTACTATCAAATTTAAACATTATTTAGTCTTAAGGAAACCGCAATGAATGAAAAGACTTTTTTCTGTAACATTTATTTTCTGACATGGTAAAATATCTAGGATTCAGGTGTGTCTTCTGAAGGAACACCAGAACTTGAAAGGCACCCCTGTCTTTCTCTTGGCCTGGCTCCCTGGGCACCTCACTTGAAGGAGAGAGCTGTTTAGGACCGGCCTCGTGTAGGTGCTACAGGGGGACCCACCATGCAGAGGTGGATAGAATGCAGTTTACAGAGGATGGAGAACATGGGCTGATCTCTGTAAATGAGATTCTCTAGGTGCATGCTGCCCTTTGTGTTTCTTTCCTTTTGCTGCCTCTGGGCCTTTTGGAAGGCCTTGTTCACAGTCCCTGATCTGTATCAGCTGGGTTGCAGGCATTGAAGGAAGGGTAGCACAGCTGTAAACCCAAGCAGAGAGCTGGAGGCTGTGAAGGGAGAGCAGCACCCAACCCCGTCGAGGCGAGGCAAGGCAAGGTCTGTGACAGATTCCCAGGTAGACAGTGATTAGGGGGACCAGGAGTCCAGCTGGGGCAGCTGACACTGTGGACCCTCCCAGGCCAGTGTTGGGGGGAATCCAGTGAGTTTTTTTTTTTTTTTTTTGAGATGGAGTCTTGCTCTTGTCGCCCAGGCTGGAGTGCAGTGGCACGATCTCGGCTCACTGCAACCTCCGCCTCCAGGGTTTAAGCGATTCTCCTGCCTCAGCCCCCCAAGTAGCTGGGATTACAGGCGCCCACCACTACACCTGGCTAATTTTTGTATTTTTAGTAGAGATGGGGTTTTGCCATGTTGGCCAGGCTGGTCTTAAACTCCTGACCGAGTGATCCACCCGCCTCGGCCTCCCAAAGTGCTGGGATGTTTTTATTTATTTATTTTTATTATTATTTTTGAGATGAAGTCTCACTCTGTTGCCCAGGCTGCAGTGCAGTGACACAATCTCAGCTCACTGCAACTCTGCCTCCCGGGTTCATGCAAGTCTCCTGCCTCAGCCTCCCAAGGAGCTGGGATTACAGGCGCCCGCCACCACACCCGGCTAATTTTTGTATTTTTAGAAGAGATGGGGTTTTGCCATGTTGGCCAGGCTGGTGTCAAACTCCTGACCTCAAGTGATCTGCCCACCTTGGCCTCCCAAAGTGCTGGGATTACAGGTGTGAGCCACCGCGCCAGCTGAGATGTTTTTAACAGGAGAGTGTCCTTTTACACACAATTCACACTGTCTTTCAGATTGCTGCCTCAGCGATCTTTAATTTTTTTTGTTGTTATTTAAGTATAAGCTGCATTGGGCTTGATTTGCAAACATTTAATAGCAAAAGGTAAAATGGCCCATGTAATCAAAATATGGATACCTAGAGATTTTGGATACACAGAAATGATTTAACATTTCATCTTCTGGATTAGTTTGATTTTTCTCTCCCAACAAACTTCTATTTTAACTATTAAAAGGTTGGGAAAAGACAACACTTTCTTCCTTTACGGAAAACATGCTAATGAGAAGACGAATGACTGAAAATTAGATTGAAGATGAAAGATTAAGCAAACGCAAACTGTGAAAATTGCTAGCCTCTGATGAATTGGAAATTACCAACTCAGTTTATTATTAGGCAATGTTCGTCTACTTATTTATTTTAATAATATTAGGGACCTTCTCTGTGTCAGATACTGTTTTAGGTGCCGGGTTTACAAGGTGAGAAAAAGCCCTGAACCAAAACAAACCTATTTCCATGGAGTTTACGATTTAACTTCAAAGTTTTCTGAAAGCAAGTGAAGGACAGTCACCTGATAAACTGCAGAATTAATGTTTGTCATAACAGTCACCATACTGTTCTGCAATATTGGCCCATTGGGTAGAATTTGGTTCCCAGATGTCTGGGTTTCATTCCTTTGTACCTGGCAGATCTTGGTTTTGAGAAAAAGCCTAGGAAAGGCAGACTTAGGTGCCTGCTGTGGGTGAAAAGATGGAAGAGTCAAGTTACCGTTATTGCACATCTGGAGGCTACAGAAAGGCACTTGGATTCCTTTGCAATGCTGGCAAAACTCAGTCCTGTTGGAATCAGCATTTTATTATATGAAGTTGTTATATTATGGGTATACGATCTTGTGGGTGGGATATCCAATCAGAGCAGCCAAAGAGTTGCGTAACGATTTGATTCAGGTGTGTTTGGAATAAGATTTTTGCAATAATCTTGATATTTTCATAGTTCTATGGTTTTATTACATCAATTACCAATATTTATTAAGCTAGACAAATACAACTACACCAGTACAAATGAAAGGTCTTGGTGTCCACCTTGTCTCACTTTGAAAGGCAGACAAACAAAAACAAAAAAGGAATTATTTTTATAGCACTTTAACTTTTGAGCGGAAGTACCTGTTGGCGTCTTCTGTTTCTTCCTTCATTACGTGCTTTTCTTTTAATTTGGGCCTCTTGAAAAGAATCAAAGTAGGAGCTCTCCAGGAGTTGGGAACAGGTTAATCTGTCATCTGGATTCATCTTCAGACACCCCTTTGGAGGAAGAGAATAGCAAAGAAGATGTTAAGGGAGGGGCTCATTTTGTTACCGTGCCCACAAACTGAATAACTTGCTAGGATAAATATGAGTTTAGAAAATCTTCCAGTTTGTGTATTATCAAGTAGTTGGAGCTTGCTAATAGCTAGGATTGCTCTTCTTTTTCCTACTTCAAAGTCTTTTGAGGGCAGAATGAATGGATGGTCAGTGTCTCTCTGAAAGAGGCCACCTGTAGATCTGGTGTTCCCACCAATGACATTTTAAAATCACTGCTGAAAGCAAATCGTTTATAGCAGTCTGCAGAGTATAGTCCCTGGACTAAAAACATCAGCGTCGCAGGAACTTCCTAGAAATGCGAAGTCTTGGGTCCTATACCCCGCCTGCCAAAGGGAATCGAGGCACTGGAGGTGGGGCCCGGCAGTTTGTGTTTAAGAAGCTCTCTGGGTGATTCCGATGCCCATATGCTCAGGTTTGAGAACCACTGGGTTAAGGAGATGACTGAGGAAGTGAGAACCTCAGTCATGAGAATGAACCTAAAACAAGGAAAAATTGACTATATATTCATATAAAAATAACTACAGGCAAAACAGAAAAGGTGACATTATGACCCTTCTATATTTGAGACCATTAGAAGCCTCTAGGTCGGCTTCTGAGAGTGGGGAGGAGTATCACAGCAGAGGGGTCAGTGGGGGTCCTGACACAAAGAGGTTTTCTCTGAGAAACACTGATACTCCAGCCAGACAGTGGGACTTTGCCCATCAATAAACACAGATTATGATCCATAAAGAGCAGCTTTAAGCCAGACCTGGTGGCTCATGCCTGTAATCCCAGCACTTTGGGAGTCCAGAGGTCTAGACCAGCCTGGGTAACATAGTGAGACCGCATCTCTCCTTTATTTACATTTTTAAAAGGAGCAGTTTTACAATACACAGGCACAGACGACCTGACAATTATTGCCTTCCATCATAAGAGAGAAATAAGGCTCACCACCAGCACAAACATTGTTTTGAGGCATTCTCAAGCCCAGACAATTGCGTTGCCTGAGGCTGCCCCAGCCGGGCACTGCCCTGTGGTGTCTGTTCCTCCCTGACCCCAGCTGACCTCAGATTTCTGAGATCCCTGAAGCTGCCTGCCCCTAAGCAGTGTCACCTGGCCCTTGGCGAGGGATCTGATTAGTCCTGTTCTTCAAGAAACAATCCTGCTCAGTAAAACTAGACTTACTGGTCCCTCCTTGTCAACTGCCTGGTCCAAGCAGATGACCCCTAATTAATGACCCATGCCATATATCAACTCCAGCTGCTGCTGGAAAAACATTCTCCTCAAATCCTAGTACTGTTAGGGCTACAATCAGGAGAGAAAGACTTTTTTTTTTTTTTTTTTTTTTGAGACAAAGTCTCGTTCTGTCACCCAGGCTGGAATGCAGTAGCGCCACCTCGGCTCACTGCAAACTCCACCTCCCAGGTTTGAGCGATTCTCATGCCTCAGCCTCCCAAATAGCTGGAATTACAGGCATGCACCACCATGCTGAGTACATTTTTGTATTTTTAGTAGAGACAGGTTCACCATGTTGGCCAGGCGGGTCTCGAACTCCTGACCTCAAGTGATCTGCCCACCTCGGCCTCCCAGTGCTGGGACTACAGGCGTGAGCCACTGCACCTGGCCAGAAATACTATTTTGAATACAAACTGTGATAGTCTCTACTTCTTTATCACTCTATTCTGGCTTTTGCTTCCACTGTTCCATTAAAGTGGCTCTTGTTATTAATACCTCTGACCTCTACTTCCATATCCTTCAACCCATTATGTATTTTGAATTCTCTCTCATCTCAATAGTATTAGACACTACTGACCAAGCCCTCCTTGAAACTTTGTTTCTCTTTGGCTTCTCTAATCTCTCACTTTCCTTGCTCCTCCCTCCTGGCCACTCCTTTTCAAACCAGCCTTTGCTAGTTTATCTTCTTCTCTACTATGTTCTCCACTATGGTTGGATAAAATTCCTCAAGGCCAAATCCTAGCCACCCCTTTTTTTCTCATCTGTTCTTGGTTTCTAGGTGATCTCTTTGCTGCCTATGGCTTCAATTATCAAAGTTTACCAGAGATTTCCACATCTACAATTCCATTCCAGACCTCCCCTGTGAACTCCAGACCTGCAGGTGCAACTGCTTACTTAACATCTGCCTCAAGGTCACTGTTATGGGTTGAGTTGTATCGCCGCAAAAATATGTATGTTGAAGTTCTAACTCCCAGGACCTCAGAATGTTACCTTATTTGGAAATAAGTTCTTTGCAGATGTAATTAGTGAAGACAAGGTCATAATGGCATGGAGTACACCCCCAACCCAATTACAGTTGGTTTCCTTATAAGAAGAGGGAAGATGGTGTAGACAGACACACAGAGTGAATGCCATGCTATGATGGAGGTAGAAATTGGAGTTACATTGTCACAAGTGAAAGAATGCCTGGGGCTACAAGAAGCTGGAAGAGGCAAGGAAAGAACCTTGCCAAGAGTTTTCAGAGAAAGCCCAGACCTGCCAATACCTGAAAAAGCAATACAGCCACTGTACCCTTGCCACCTCTTCTACTTTATTCCCCATATATCAATGATAATTAAGTCCTATCGGTTTTCCTTTCAAATATATCTTGAATTTATTCACGTTGATTTTATTTTATTTTTTTTTAGAGATGAGGTTTCACTGTCACCCAGGCTACAGTGCAGTGGCATAATCATGGCTCACTGCGGCCTTCAGCTCCTGGGCTCAAGCAATCCTCCCGCCTTAGCCTCCCAAGTAGCTGGGACTAAAGGCAAATGCCACCATGCCTGAATAATTTTTATTTATTTTTTATGTTTTGTAGAGACAGGGTCTGACTTTGTTGTCCAGGCTGGTCTCAAATGCCTGGGCTCGAGTGATCCTCCTGCCTTGGACTCCTAAAGTGCTAAGATTACAGGCATGAGCCACCATGCCCAGCCTCATTCATGTTTTTATATGGGCTTTCAAAACTATTGAAATCTAGTCCATCACTAAATACCTATGAATTTTCATTTTAAAGAACATTTTTAGATTCTTAGAAGACACTGCTAATGCTGAGCTCTCTCCATGGAGTCTGAGCTGGAACAATGTCCTGCTTAATTCTGAAGCATTGAGATGAGCTGAGTAGAATTGAGGCTTCTGAGTCCTTGCCTGCCTGGATTAATAACTTTCTGTATATCAAGAAGCTGAAGAATTAATCAGAGGTGTTCCCTGTAGATGTGCTCCTAACCCAGAAAACATCTGGAAGATGAGAAATGAGAAATCAAAATGGTAAAGTCCAAGTCAGGATCCTTTTCTTAAATCCAAACTTCAAATTTCACAGAAAACGCTCTGATAAAATTTCTAATAGTCTATAGTCTTCTTCTTGATGGACCAGCTGAAGCTGATATAGTGATAGGATCATCATGACTATGGAAATAAATGAGTAATAAATAAGAAAGATTGTGCTCATGGTCTCATTTTAAACCTAATGAAGAGAACACAGAAGACCTGCCATAGATTGGCTACTGCATGCCACCACTCTCCTTGACTCTGCCATTGCCAAATACGCCATCCACCTGAGCAGTCCCTGCATAGGTTATGATTCGGTCCCATGGGATAAACACCAGTTATGGTAGCCAGTACTTATTTGCCATTAAAGATGTCTTGGGCTGGGCACAGTGGCTTACGCCTGTAATCTCAGCACTTTGGGAGGCCTAGGTGGGCGGATCATGAGGTCAGGAGATGGAGACCATCCTGGCCAACATGATGAAACCCTGTCTCTACTAAAAATACAAAAATTAGTCTGGTGTGGTGGCGTGTGCCTGTAGTCCCAGTTACTTGGGAGGCTGAGGCAGGAGAACCACTCGAACCTGGTTGGCGGAGGTTACAGTGAGCGGAGAACTCCAGCCTGGGCGACAGAGCAAGACTCTGTCTCAAAAAAAAAAAAATGTCTCAATTGCAAAGAATTAAAGTCTTCTCTCATCTAATATGGGGCAGGAATCTATAAGATAGGGTGTGGTCCATGAAACAGCACAATCCTTGATGCACTGAGAGGATTCTTGGGTCTTAGGTTGATACTTATGGGTCTAAATAAAATAGTCGAGTAACAAACCTAGATTCATCTAAAACCTTAGGCAGCCAACCAGGGCTCTTCATCTTTGGAGATGAGGACAGGGAACTTGTCCTATATCTTGCAGTTTTCATGCCCCAGAGTTGCTTTCCAGGGAACCACAGGTTGTCTCTGGCTTCCATCTGAGAATTCGTTGGGCTTGCAGTGCTTGATGTCTCCCTTCTCCCTTGCAGGTTTTGCTAAATTGCAAGTGGGTCAGAACAACCTGTCAAGAACAAGGTCAGGGAACTGGGCTTCTAGGACAGGACCTGCTGAGTGCTGGGTGAAAGCAGATCTGGGCAGTAAGATAGGGTAGATGGCAGCTGAGGTCAGGTGGAGCAATGGTATGGGGAGTCTGAGAGCACAGGGGTATCAGGCTCTGACTCTCAGGAGGACTTAGGTTGAAGCACTCCAGCACTCTGGATAGCACCATGGCAGTGACCAGCACTCGCACAAAGGCTGGTCTACAAAAGTTGACTCTAGGTCATCCAAATGGCCCCACCGTCTAGATCAGATGAGTCTCAAACTGAGCTGTTTATCATAATCACCTAAGGGCATGTTTAAAGATACACATGCCAAGGTCCCACTCATGAAAATTCCCCTTCTGAATCTGAGGCTAGATACTGGAATCTGTATTTTTCAAAAGTTCCCAGGCCATTCTGATGAATAGCCACATTTGGAAGACACTACTGTAGACAGAACTTAATTGATTGTCAAAGGTAGATACCCTCTCTGGTATCCTCATACCCTTTGTCCAATGAGCTTTTGGTATACACAATGTATGACAGGGTCACACACCTTCTAGTGTGGCGCCATGAATGGCAGACTAGGCATAGGTAAGTTTCTTCTGCTTTTTATTTGAATCTGTCCTTGGTTTGGCGTCTCTCTTGGGCCTAGTGCAGGAGCTAGGTCTGGTGTCTGCATGGCTCTGATTTTGCCTCATCTACTAATGTTAATAGATATGTTAGAACAATTACTGCTTAAACCAATGATGTCCCTTTAACTGGAATTGTTTTACAGTTCTTTATCATTTTCAATGACTACATCCTATTTTGGCATTATTTAATCCACTGTCCACCCCTCCTCAAATTACCAGCTTCAGTCATTACAATTTATAGCTAATAAGAGTTATAATTGATTCTTAAGTACCTTCATGAAGTTCAGAGCCACAGGATGAACATCTGAGAACTTTTCCTCAAGAGTTTCCTGAAAAACAAGGTTAAAACATTCAATATTACATAAGAACAAAGTAATATGTGTGTGTATATATGTGCGTATGTATGTGTGTGTGTGTGTGTGTGTGTGTATTTAGAGATACTGTCTCCCTCTATCTCCCAGGCTGCAGTGCAGTGGCATGATCATAGCTTACTTTAACCTTGAACTCCTGGGCTCAAGAGATTTTTCCACCTCAGCCTCCTAAGTATCTAGGACTACAGGTGGGTGCCACCACACACAGCTAATTTTTTATTTTTCTGTAGAGATGGGGTCTTGCTATGTTGCATGAGCTGGTCTCAAACTTCTGGCCTCAAGTGATTCTTCTGCCTCAGTCTCCCAAAGTGCAGGGATTATAGGGGTGAGCCAACTCACCTGGCCTATATTTTGAATATATTAGTAATAACAACACTTTAAAGAAAGACTCTCTAGTAGGTTCAATAATTCATTTTAAATATATATATATACACACACATATATATACATATATATGTGTATATATATACACATATGTATATATATACATATGTGTATATACATATATATACACATACGTATATATACATATATACACATACGTATATATACATATATACACATATGTATATATACATATATATACACATATGTATATATACATATATATACACATATGTATATATACATATATATACACATATGTATATATATACACATATGTATATATACATATATATATACATATGTATATATACATGTATATATACATATGTGTATATATACATATATATATACATATGTATATATACATGTATATATACATATGTGTATATATATATATATATATTTGAGACAGAGTCTCTGTCGCCCAGGCTGGAGTGCAGTGGCAGCACGAACAAGGCTCACAGCAAGCTCCGCCTCCCGGGTTGATGCCATTCTCCTGCCTCAGTCTCCCGAGTAGCTGGGACTACAGGCGCCCACCACACGCCCGGCTAATTTTTTGTACTTTTAGTACAGACGGGGTTTCACCATGTTCGCTAGGATGGTCTCGATCTCCCGACCTAGTGATCCGCCTGCCTCGGCCTCCCAAAGTGCTGGGATTACAGGTGTGAGCCACCGCGCCTGGCTTTAAATATATTTTTTAAATCACTCTTTTATATAATTGTACACTGTATGTAAAGATCTGAAATACATAAAACTGAAGTTAATTTTCTTAATTTCACAATGTCTTGCAGTTGATGCTGGGTAAATGTGGGTCCCAAATGCTCCCATCTGAAATCCTACAACAGTGCTATAAAATCTGTGCCTGATCTACTTCTAAGGATGCTTTTGAGTATTCATGAAAATACATTGGACTACATGCATAAGAGCACTACAGAAATCAAAAGAATGAAAAACACAACATTCAGAATGATGAGGAAAGAAGGGGATGGAGATGCCTGAAAGATAATGGTGGGAAACTTAAGACACTTAAGTTTGTTGTAGTTTATTCTTTAAACACACGTTATATAAATATTCCTTTGTAACCTTTAACCTTGCAGTTCAACCTTTAACCTTATATTACATTTGTTAAAGGCTTTAACAAAGACAATAAAAAAGAAAACCAGTATATAAATCAAGATATTATATGAAATAATTGATTTAAAATGAACAGGGTGTCTAGAGATGGTTGGGACCATTTGGACCTCAGGTTATTTGGACAGTTCACATCTATCATAGATCATGATTTGCCTTCTCAGACTTTGCCCCATCCCTGCGTGGCTCTGACTCCAGCATAGTTGGAGTGTGGACACATGCTTTTCTTGACAGTTTTTTCTTTTACAGGCAGATTCTGGACCATATGGAGCTTTAAAGAGCATAGCCTGAACTTAGGTAACACACACAGGAAGTCAATGTCTACAGAGAGCAAGAGAGAGAGTCAAATAGTCATTGATATGTTTTCAAATAAAGGCAAAGACCATTGCAAGAGTAGAGAGATGATCCCTGTGATTTGGAGTTTAATGAGTACAATGGGGATCATTTTGTAAAACAATCTCCCATGTAAAAATATATGTTGTGAAAAAAGCTTTTGATTGATTTGAGCTTTGTTTTACAAGCCGAAAAAATTTTAAATGCTTTTTTTTTCAAAATAAAGAAGACTACTATAAGTAGTCTTTATGAGAATATAATTATTTAAGGGAAAATTCTCCTAAGGCTTTGACCAATGGATTAAAATTATGTAGTATCTAAGATACTAAATATATTTTCACTTTAAATTTAACATTAATTTTTGAATAGATAAGACAAGTAAACATTTAAAGCATTTTTCCTGGCTCATTGTAATGTAGTTTTTATATAGTTTCTTCAATATGTGTGATATGGTTTGGCTCTGTGTCCCCACCCAAATCTCATCTCAAATTATAACCCCATGTGTGGAGAGAGGGAGGTGATTGGATCATGACGGGGGTTCCTCCATGCTGTTCTCATGATAGTAAGGGAGTTCTTATGAGATCTGATGGTTTTAAAAGTAGCAGTTTTCCCTTGTGCCCTCACCCCTCTCTCCTGCCGCCTTGTGAAGAAGGTGCCTGCTTCCCCTCCTGCCATGATTGTAAGTTTCCTGAGGCCTCCCCAGCCATGCTGGACTGTGAGTCAATTAAATCTCTTTCCTTTATAAATTACCCAGTCTCGGGGAAGTTCTTTACAGCAGTGTGAAAATAGAATAATACACTGTGCTAATATGTCACAAGGAAAACAGAAGCCAAAAACACAAATATTAAAAAAGAAACAGGCCAGGCATGGTGGCTCATATGAGTAATTCCAGCATTGGGGAGGCTGAGGTGGGAGGATCACTTGAGTCTCGGAGGTTGAGGCTGCAGTGAGCCATGACCTTGCCACTGCACTCCAGCCTTGGTGACAGAGTGAGACATCATCTCAAAATAAATAAATAAATAACAACTACCTCTTTAAAGAAAGCCGCAACACAAGTAATAAAATATTCAAAACAGAGCAGCTTACCATGTCTTCTGGCTCAGGTATACTGATGCCATGGAAAAACCCGTTACTTTTAAAGATTGATTGATGTCTTGGGATTAATTTTCCTGTAAAATACAAACCACATAATTCATCATAAATTTGGCAAAGAATAATCAAGTGTTTAAATGGTTAATGCCTGAAGGCCAGGCATGGTGGCTCACACCTGTAATTCCAGCACTTTGAGAGGCTACGGCAGGTGGATCACTTGACGTCAAGAGTTCGAGACCAGCCTGGTCAACATGGCGAAACCCCGTCTCTACTAAAAATACAAAAATTAGCCAAGCGTGGTGGTCCATGCCTGTAATCCCAGCTACTCAGGAGGCTGAGGCAGGAGAATCGCTTGAACCTGGGAGGCAGAGCTTGCAGTGAGCTGAGATCATGCCACTGCACTCCAGCCTGGGCGACAGAGCAAGACTCCATCTCAAAAACAAAACAAAACAAACAAACAAACAAAAAACAAAAAACAGGGTTAACGCCTGAAGTGCAGGTGTGAAAGAAATATTGTGCCTGATTGTTCCCTCCAGAGATGAGAGGAATGGGATTCTGCAGACGCATGCCTTCTCAGGTAAGGCCAGTTCTCCCAAACCAGTCTCTTTGTCACATGTGGTCACCATTCAGCCTCCATCAAAAGGTGAAGGCTGGGTGCGGTGGCTCACGCCTGTAATCCCAGCACTTTGGGAGGCAGAGGGAGGTGGATCACGAAGTCAAGAAATCGAGACCATCCTGGCCAACATGGTGAAACCCCGTCTCTACTAAAAATACAAAAAATTAGCTGAGTGTGGTGGTGCGCACCTATAGTCCCAGCTACTTAGGAGGCTGAGGCAGGAGAATCGCTTGAATTTGGGAGGCGGAGGTTGCAGTGAGCCAAGATCACACCACTGCACTCCAGCCTGGCAACAGAGTGACAGTCCGTCTCAAAAAAAAAAAAAAAAAAAAAAAAAAAAAAGACAAGGTGAGAGAATGGTACTATGGTCTTTACACACATTATCTCATTTAATCTCATAAATGAGATTTTATGAGACTTCATCTCATAATCTCACAACAATAGTTGTTATTATTTTTTCAGACAGGGTCTCTCTCTGTTGCCAAAACTGGAGTGCAGTGGCATGATCATGGCTCACTTCAGCCTCGATCTCCCAGTCTCAAGCAATCCTTCCACCTTAGCCTCCCGAGTAGCTGGAACTACAAGCATGCGCCATCATGTCCAGCTAATTTTTAAAAATTTTTTGCAGATATGGGGTCTGCCTATGTTGCCCAGCCTGGAGTAGTTGCTATTTTAAATCCCCATTGTGCCAATGAGGAAAATGAGGCTTAGAGAAATTTAATAACTTGTCCAAGATCACACAGTAACTTAACAGATCCAGGATTTAAACTCAGGTATGTAATGTAAATTTCCAGAATCTTTTTAGGGAATGAATCAGACAAACAAAGTGTGGCCTGCAGTGGTAATCTACCCCACATTTTTCATGCTGCAGAATTTTCCATAATATGTTGGAACTGACCAGGGAACTGTCCAGCAGCCATGCTGCCAGGAGAGCCTGTGGGAAGAAATTAACAAATTCTCATTTTGTGTGTAGAGGTGTCACTTTCTTTGCATCCATGCTGTTGGCATGAAGCTGTGGCTCACTTTTCGGGTTATGCTGACACATAATGAAAGCTCACGAAAGAAACCCTTGCAGTCTCATTCCTATTCTGCACTTACCTGGCTATATGACTTCAGGCCAATCATGGAAGCTCCCTAAGCCTCTGTTTCCTCGTTTATAACATAGGCACAATTAAAAACATTATAACTTCCTTAACAGGTTTTTCTTAAGACTGAAAAAGATGATGCGTATGAAAGTAATTTGTAAATTCTTAAGTACTATACAAAGAAGATGTGTTAACATTATTCTAAACTTCAGCAGCCACCCCTAATCAGGAAGTAAAATCAGACTCTTAGGATCTCGGGCAGGAGTGTGGGCCAAATCTGGCCTACTGCCTGTTTCTGTACAGCTTGTGACCTCAGAATTGGTTTTACATTTTTAAGCAGATTTTTAAAAGTCAAAAAAGATTTTTTGATATTGTTGCACGTGAAAACTACAATAAATTAAAATTTCTGTGTCCATAAATAAAGTTCTATTGGAACACAGCTATGCTCATTTGTTGACATGCTGCGTATTGCTGCTTTTGCACTACAATAGCAGAGTTGGGGAACTGCAACAGAGGCTGTACAGCCTGCATAACCTAAAATATTTACCATATAGCTTTTTATAGAAACAAATTTGCTGATTCCTGCTCTAGAGTAAAGGGGGGAACCTCTTTTACAGTGGACAGAAATTGCATTTGATCAAATATCTTAGATTAAGCTCTAGGCAGCTGACTCATATCCTTATCCCTATCTTAGTCTGATATGGAAAGTAAATGTATAGTTTATTCCATGGCTAATTGACTTTTCCTGCAAAGGGATCTGAGAGCTCCCTGAGAGGAGTTACGGTTCTGCATGTTTAGAAAAGGATTGGGCTTTGGCTACAACCCAGAACTGAGAACAACCATCCTGAGTGACACTTTGAAGAAGCAATAAAACTCTTGTTTTTTATTTTTATTTATTTATTTTTTATTATAGTAACATATGAATGCTATAACAATTCAGCAACTCTGTTGCCATAAAATGCAATTCATACCTAGTGTTCTGATTATCAGATAAAGTTGGTCCACATCTGATTTTCCAGGCCACAGTGGCTGGCCTGTCAGGAGCTCTGCAAAAACACAACCAATAGCCCATATATCGACTGAAGAACCATACTGAGTATCTCCCACAAGAAGTTCAGGAGCTCGGTACCATCTCGTAGCTACATAATCGGTGTAGGCATCTCCTGGAACTGCAAATGCATCAATCAGATCAGGTAAGTCAATTCTCCCAACATGTGAACTGCTCCCAAGAACACATCAGGCATTCAGGCTGCAATAACCATCAGAGGCCATGATACTCTTAAGGGTTAATGCATTGAGGCACTAATTGAGGAAACAGTTACTGTGCATTGAGATAGTAAATTTGACATTCAAGAGCACTTTAGATAATTAACATCTCTTACTACTCCAAACTGGGGTGGCGGGTGGTGTGATAGGGATGGGGGGAATGAGAATTTCTGGAGTGTGACTTTAAGTCTAAACCGCATTGTTGGTTTCCACTTTACCATCAGCATGGTGGTTGTTGTGCACTGAATTGTGTCCCCTCCAAAGATAGGTTGAAGTCCTAATTCTTGCTACCTGTGAATGTGATCTTATTTGGAAATAAGGTTTTTGCAGATGTAATTAATTAGTCAAGATGAGGTCATATTAGATTAGGGTGGACTCTAAATCCAATGACTTGAATCCTTACAGGGATGCAGAGACATGGAGAATGCCAAGCGATACTGGAGGCAGAGATTGGAGTGATGCAGTTGCAAGCACAGGAATGCCAACTTTTCCCACATCCATCAGAAGCTGGGCTAGAGGCCGGGCATGGTGGCTCATGCCTCTCATCCCAGCACTTTGGGAAGCCAAGGCAAGCAGATCATTAGAGGTCAGGAGTTTGAGACCAGCCTGGGCAACATGGCAAAACCCTGTCTCTACTAAAAATACGAAAATTAGCCAGGCATGGTGGCACATGCTTGTCGTCCTAGCTACTTGAGAAGCTGAGGCAGGAGAATCACTTGAACCTGTGGAGGCTGCAGTGAGCCGTGATCATGCCACTGCACTCCAGCCTGGGCGACAGAGTAAGACTCTAACTCACACATATACAAAAAAAGAAGCTAGGATAGAGACATGGAAGGGGCCTCTCCTAGAGCCTTTAGAGGGAATGTGGCCCTGCTGAAACCTTGATGGCAGATGTCTGGCCTCCAGAATTGTGAGAAAATAGATTTCTGTTGTTTTCAGCCACTCAGATTGTGGTAATGTATCATGGCAGCCCCAGGAAACTAATGCAGCACTAGACAATTGCATAAATTAATTTTTCTATCCAAATGTGACCCACTGTGACAAAGACCTCAATTTGACTCCTTGTACTATGTATGAGTCATGTGTGATATGTGATAGACAGATGACAGAGAGCTAGGTGCACCCTCACTGCCCAGCCCTGCCCTATGCCACAGGTGTGGACTGCCTGGACCCAAGGCACCTGCCTCCAAGTGGGTGGAAGCCAATCCCAGAATCATCACAGGACCCTGAACGATCAGGAGCTGTACAAATGCATTACAGAGGAGGAACAATTGGAAAGCAGCCCGACTTGCAGAGATGAGGTAATGGGCAATTCTCCTTAGTAAAGTCGTCAGGTAGCCCCAAAGACACTGCCACAAAAGGCAGCTCAGAAAGTAGCGGCTACAGCTCTGGTCAGAGAACAGTCCTCATAGGAGTGGGAAAAGGAAATAATCTTTACTTGCTCATTGCTCTTTTATAAAGTTATATAAACTTTTGAAGGATAAAAATTAATAAATGCCATAATGGAAATTTGGAAATTGGAGAATGAGAAGGAAAATAACAACCACTAACAATTTTCACTATTCACAGGATAAGTCAGCTGTTTTATTTGTTTGGAACATTTTTCGACTTAAAAGTCATATATGCTCACTGCAGAGAACATGAAAAAATACATAAGGAAACAGAAAGAAGGTAAATATACCCAAGTTTTACCACCCAAAGGTACTTTGTGTTAATCTTTTGGTGTATTTTGTTGGAGTCTTTTTCTTATTTACAGCATAGTTCTGAGTACCACTTTTTTGGAGGCAGGGTCATGCTGTCCCCCAGGCTAAAATGCAGTGGCACAATCATAGCTCACTGCAGCTTTGAACTCCTGGGCTCACACAATCCTCCTGCCTCAGCCTCCTGAGTAGCTGGGACTATAGGGGCTTGAAACCATGCCTGGTTAATTTAAAAAAAAATTTTTTTTTTTTTGTATAGATAGAGGTCTCACTATGTTGCTCAGGCCTGTACAAGTACTTTTGATCATACTACATACACAATTCTGTGTCCTGATTTTTTTCATTGAATTCTATGCATTTATCATGTTATTATAAACTCTTCCTAAACTTGAGTTTAATGGCTGCATAACAGCTTACCAAGTGCATATGACAGGATTTACTTTACCTTCCCCAAATTTTCCAATATTTTGTCACTATAAATAACACCACATTATTTTTCAATAATCCCTGCACAAAGCTTTTTCTGTATTTAGAATTATTTCAAGGCCCGGCACAGTAGCTCACACCTATAACCCCAGCACTTTGGGAGGCAAAGGCAGGCGGATCGTGTGAGCCCAGGAGTTTGAGGCCAGCCTGGGCAACATGGTGAAATCTTGTCCCTACAAAAAAAATAAAAAAATCAGCCAGGCATGGTAGCATGTGCCTGTGGTCCCAGCTACATGGGAGGGTGAGGCAGGAGGATAGCTTGAGCCTAGGAGGTTGAGGCTGCAGTGAGCTAAGATCATATCACTGCCCTCCAGCCTAGGCTACAGAGCGAGACTCCATCTCTAAAAAAAAAAAAAAAAAAAAAGGAGCCAGGTTTGGTGGCTCACGCCTGTAATCCCAGCACTTTGGGAGGCTGAACGGGGTGGATCACTTGAGCCTAGATATTCGAGACCAGCCTGGGCAGAATGGCGAAATCTCTCTCTGTTAAAAAAAAAAAAAAAGAATTATTCCTTTAGGATGATTTTCTATGAGTGGAATTATTAGACTGAGAGGTGTAAACATCATTTATAAAATTATTATTATTATTATTATTATTATTATTGTTTTTGAGATGGAGTTTCGCTCTTATTGTCCAGGCTGGAGTTCAATGGCACAATCTCGGCTCACCGCAACCTCCACCTCCCGGGTACATGCGATTCTCCTGCCTCAGCCTCCCAAGTAGCTGGGATTACAGACATGCGCCAACATGCCCGGCTAATTTTGTATTTTTAGTAGAGACGGGGTTTCTCCATGTGGGTCAGGCTGGTCTCGAACTCCTGACCTCAGGTGATCTGCCTGCCTTGGCCTCCCAAAGTGCTGGGATTATAGGCATGAGCCACTGTGCCTGGCCCGTTTATAAAATTGTTAAAGAAATTTATGTTCTTTGTAGAAAACTTGGAAAATACAAAAAAGCATAAAGAAGAAAATAAAACATCACCCATCACCCAGAGAGAAACCAAGTGAACCTTTTGGAATAGAATTGGGACCAGTCTGTGTGTGCAGCTATGTGTTCTTTTTCACTTAGCCCCATGTTGTGAGCTGTAGCGTTTCTCATGTCATTAAAATCCTTTAAAAATATATTTTTACAGTATTAAGTCAGATAAATTCTTTAGCCATTTCCTTATTTCTGAATGACTGGGTTCCTCTTAATTTTTTTCTCAGTAATAAATGGTTCTACAATGAACATTATGTTGTATTATTTTGGAGGGTAGTATCTTGGATTATGGGAGATTCCTAAAAGTGAAATTAAAGATACAAAGGGCACTTACTGCGTTCTCAAGAATTTGTTCGAAATTGTGTTCCCACTAAAAACAATCTTGTGAGCTCTCAGTAGTTATTGTTTGAAAAATCTGGCTGGGCACGGTGGCTCACACTTGTAATCCAGCACTTTGGGAGGCCGAGGTGGAAGGATCACTTGAGGCCAGAAGTTCGAGATGAGCCTGGGCCCCATGGTGAAACACTGTGTCTACCAAAAATACAAAAATTAGCCCTATCAAAAATACAAAAATACAAAAATTAGTATATCTGTTGTCCCAACTACTTGGGAGGCTGAGGTGGGAGGATTGCTTGAGCCCTGGAAGTGGAGGTTGCAATGGGCTGAGATAATGCCACTGCACTCCAGCCTGGGTGACAGAGTGAGACTCTGTCTCAAAACAAACACACACACAAACAAACAGAAAATACTCTGCCAGCTTCATTGGTGAAGAGTAGTATTTTAATGTGCATTTATTTGATATCAGTGAAGAGGAAGATTATTTCATGTTTTTAGCCTTTTCTTTCATCTGTGAACTGTCAATATCTTGCTAATTTTTCTATTCAGAGCTTTTGTGGTTCTCTTTTAAACCAATTTATATAAGCTCTTATCTATCAACCTATTACCAATTTTGAAATATTCTCTCCTTTGGTTATTGACTTTAAAATTTTTATCTCTCTGTGTATATCTATATATCTATATATAGGAGGAGCTTAAATTTATTTTGTGGTAAAATACACATAATATAAAATTTACCATTTAACCATTTAAGAGTGTGCAATTCAGTGGCATGAAGTACATTCGGTGTTGCACAATCATCACCACTATGCACCTCCAAAGTTTTTTCCATCATCCCAGCCTGAAACTCTGTATCCTTTAAACAACAACTCCCCATTCTCCCTTCCCCCAGCCCTGATAACCACTATTCTTTTTTGTCTCCATGAATTTGACTATTCTAGGTAGAGCACGTAAATAGAATCATACGATATTTGTCCTTTTCTGTCTGTCTTATTTCACTCAGCTTAGTGTCTTCAAGGTGCATCCATGTCATAGCATATATCAGAATTTCATTTCTTTTTGAGTAAGATTTCATTATATGTATATACCACATTTTGTTTATCCACTCATCCTTGATGGACATTTGGGTTGTTTCCACCTTTTGTCATTGTGAATAATCCTACTATAAGCATTGGCATACAAATATCTTCAAGTCCCTGCTGCCAATTTTTTTGGGTATGTACCTAGAAGTGGAATTGCTGCATCATACAGTGATTCTATGTTTAATTTTTTGAAGAGCTGCCATACTGCTTTCCACAGCAGTTGCACCATTGTACTTTCCCACTAGCAATGAATGAGGGCTCTAATTTCTTCATATCTTTACCAACACTTGTTATTTTGTTCTGTGTGTTTTTTAAAAATAATAGTCATCCTAATGGGTGCAAAGTGGTATCTAACTGTGGTTTTGATTTGCATATCCCTAATGATTACCATAAGCATCTTTCATGTGCTTATTGGCCATTCGTATAGCTTCTTTTTTACTTTTTATTTTTTACATTTTTAATTAATTTTTTTTTTTTTTTTTTTGAGACAGGGTCTCACTTTGTCGCCTGGGCTGGAGTGTAGTGGTGCAGTCTTGGCTCACTGCAACCTCTGTCTCCTGGGTTCAACTGACTCTCATGCCTCAGACTCCTGAGTTAGCTGGGATTACTGGTTTGAGCCACTGCGCCCTGCCTTATATATCTTCTTTAAAGAAATGTCTATTCTGATGGCTTCTGAGGAAAATGGTTGATAGGAGGCAGGACTAACTTGCAGCTATGACTCAGACGGACAGAGCAGCGTGTGGAGACTTACATCATGAACTTTTGCTCCAAGAACTACCACAGGAACATACCAGGTAAGCCAAGAGAATCCACAGACCCTTTGAAGAAGGTGGATTACCACTGCAGGCTCTGTGGGACAGCCAAGGAGCTCTGAAGACAAAAGCCATATTCTCCTGGGAGCTCTATGGCCCCACCCACTGCCTGATCCACCCTATGCTACCGCAGCTGATGTGCTCTTGAGAGCACCAGCTCCTGGCTGGAGGTCAACCAACATAAAACTAGTGCGCATAACAAAAATACAACCAAGTCAACCAACATAAAACCAGTGTGCTTAACAAAAATACAACCAAGGACCCTCATAGAGTCCAC
Organism: Homo sapiens; assembly: GCF_000001405.40. Lineage (NCBI taxonomy): Eukaryota > Metazoa > Chordata > Mammalia > Primates > Hominidae > Homo > Homo sapiens. The sequence goes on from NC_000002.12 coordinate 39,196,266, forward strand.
TTCACTCCCCTGCTACCTCTACCAGAGCAGGTGCTGGTATCCATAGCTGAAAGATCTGACAATGGATCACATCACGGGACTCTTTGCAGACACTTCCTAGTACCAGCCCAGAGCCTGGTAGCTTCTCTGGGTGGCTAGATCCAGAAGAGAAATAACAATCAATGCAGTTTGGCTCTGAGGAAGCCCCATCCCTAGGGGAAAGGGGAGAGCACCACATCAAGGAAGCACCCCATGGGACAAAAGAATCTGAACAGCAGCCCTCAAGTCCCAGATCTTCCCTCTGACATAGTCTACCCAAATGAGAAGGAACCAGAAAAACAATCCAGTAACATGATGACAAAATAAGGTTCTTTTTTTTTTGAGACGGAGTCTTGCTCTGTCACCTAGGCTGGAGTGCAGTGGTGTGATCTTGGCTCACTGCAACCTCTGCTTCCTGGGTACAAGTGATTCTCCTGCCTCAGCCTCCCAAGTAGCTGGGACTACACGTACGTGCTGCCACGCCCGGCTAATTTTTGAATTTTTAGTACAGACAAGGTTTAGCCATGTTGGCCAGGCTGGTCTCGAACTCCTGACCTCAGGTATCTGCCCACCTTGGCCTCCCAAAGTGTTGGGATTACAGGCGTAAGCCACTGTGCCTGGCCCAAAACAAGGTTCTTTAACACTTCCAAAAGATCACACTAACTCACCAGCAATGGATCCAAGCCAGGAGAAAAATCTCTGAATTGGCAGAAAAAGAATTCAGAAGGTCAACTATTAAGCCAATCAAGGAGGCACCAGAGAAAGATGAAGTCCAACCTAAAGAAATAAAAAAATGATACAGGATATGAATGGAAAAATCTCCAGTGAAACAGAGAGCATAAATAAAAAAACAGTCACAACTTCTGGAAATCAAGGACACACTTAGAGAAATGCAAAATGCACTAGAAAGTCTCAGCAACAGAACTGCACAAGTTCAAGAAAGAACTTCAGCGCTTGAAGACCAGACTTTCAAATTAACCCAATCTGTCAAAGACAAAGAAAAAAAGAATTAAAAAAATGAACAAAGCCTCCAAGAAGTTTGGTATTATGTTTAACGATGAAACCTAAGAATAATTGGTGTTCCCAAGGAAAAAGAGAAATCTAAAAGTTTGGAAAACATATTTGAGGGAATAATTGAGGAAAACTTCCCCGGCCTTGCTAGAGATCTAGACATCCAAATACAAGAAGCCATCCAAATCCCAAGAACATCAGGGAAATTCATTGCAAAAAGATCATCGCCTAGGCACATAGGCATCAGGTTATCTAAAATCAAGACAAAGGAAAGAATATTAAGGACTCTGAGGCAAAAGCATCAGGTACTATAAAGGAAAACCTATCAGATTAACAGCAGATTTCTCAGTAGAAACCCTACAAGCTAGAGGGGATTGAGGTCCTATCTTTAGCCTCCTTAAACAAAACAATTATCAGCCAAGAATTTTGTATCTAGTGAAACTAAGCTTCATAAATTAAGGAAAGATACAGTCTTTTTCAGACAAACAAATGCTGAGAGAATTTGCCAATGCCAAGCCAGCACTATAGGAACTGTTAAAAGGAGCTCTAAATCTTGAAACAAATATTTGAAATACACCAAAATAGAATCTCCTTAAAGCATAAATCTCACAGGACCTATAAAACAGCAACACAATGAAAAAAACCCAGGGTATTCAGGTAACAAGTAGCATGATGAATAGTACCTCACATCTCAATACTGATGTTGGATGTAAATGGCTTAAATGGTCCACTTAAAAGATACAGAATGGCAGAGTAGATAAAAATTCACCAACCAAGTATCTGCTGTCTTTATGAGACCCACCTGACACATAAGGACTCACATAAGCTTAAAGTAAAGTGGGGGGAAAGGGTATTCCATGCCAGTGGACACCAAAAGTGAGCAGGAATAGCTATTCTCATATCAGACAAAACAGACTTTAAAGCAACAGCAGTTAAAAAAGACAAAGAGGGACATTATATAATGATAAAAAAAAAAAAACTAGTCCAACAGGTAAATATCACAATCCTAAATATATACGCACCTAACATTGGAGCTTCCATATTTATAAAACAATTACTATTAGACCTAAGAAATGAGATAGTAACACAATAATAGTGGAGGACTTCAACACTCCACTGACAACACTAGACAGGTCATCAAGACAGAAAGTCAACAAAGAAACAATGGACTTAAACTATATCCTACAACAAATGGACTTAACAGATATTTACAGAACTTTCTACACCATAAATGCAGAATATACATTCTGTTCATCAACACATGGAACATCTGCCAAGATAGACCATATAATAGGCCACAAAATAAAAAAATTTAAGAAAATTGAAATTATAGCAAGAACTCTCACAGATCACAGTGGAATAGAATTGGAAATCAACTCCAAAAGGAATTCTCAAAACCATGCAAATACATGGAAATTAAATGACCTGCTCCTGAATGATTGTTCAGTCAACAATGAAACCAAGATGGAAACTTAAAAATTCTTTGAACTGAACAATAATAGTGACACAACCTATCAAAACCTCTGGGATACAGCAAAGGCAATGCCAAGAGGAAAGTTTATAGCATTAAATGCCTACATCAAAAAGTCTGAAAGAGCACAAATAGACAATCTAAGGTCACATTTCAAGGAGCTAGAGAAAGAGGAAAAAAACAAACGTAAACCCAGCAGAAGAAAAGAAATAACCAAGATCAGAGCAGAAGTAAATGATATTGAAACAACAAAAAAAACCCACAAAAGATAAATGAAACACAAATCTGGTTCTTTGAAAAGATAAATAAAATTGATAGGCCATTAGCAAGATTAACCAATAAAAGAAGAGAGAAGATCAAACTAAGCTCAATTAGAAATGAAACAGGAGATATTATAACTGATACCACAGAAATACAAAAGATCACTCAAGGCTCCTATGAATACCTTTACGTGCATAAACTAGAAAACCTAGAGGAGGATGGATAAATTCCTGGAAATATGCAACTCTCCTAGATTAAACCAGGAAGAAATAGAACCTCTGAACAGACCAATAAGAAGCAGCGAGATTGAAATGATAATTAAAAAGTTACCAATGAAAAAAAGTCCAAGACCAGAGAGATTCACAGCTAAATTCTATCAGACATTCAAAGAAAAATTGGTACTAATCCTATTGACACTATTCCAAAAGACAGAGAAAGGGAATCCTCTCTAAATCACTCTATGAAGACAGTATCACCCTAATAACAAAACCAGAAAAGGACATAACAAAAAAAGAAAACTACAGACCAATGTCCTTGATGAACATAGATGCAAAAATCCTCAACAAAATACTAGCTAACCAAATCCAACAGCATGTCAAAAAGATAATCCACCATGATCAAGTGGATTTCATACCAGGGATGCAGGGATGGTTTAACATCTGCAATCAATAAATGCGATACACCACATAAACATAATTAAAAACAAAAATCACAAGGTCATCTCAATAGATGCAGAAAAAGCACTTGACAAAATTCAGCATTGCTTTATGATGAAAACCCTCAGAAAAATCAGCACAGAAGGGACATATCTTAAGGTAATAAAAACCATTGATGACAAACCCACAGTCAACATTATACTGAATAGGGAAAAGTTGAAAGCATTTCCCCTGAGAACTGGAACAAGACAAGGATGCCCACTTTCACCACTTCTATTCAACATAGTACTGGAAGTCCTAGCTAGAGCAATCAGACAAGAGAAAAAAATAAAGGGCATCTAAATTGGTAAAGAGGAAGTCAAACTTTTGCTGTTGGCTGATGACATGATCATATATCTAGAAAACCCTAAAGACTCCTTCAAAAAGCTCCTAGAACTGGTAAATGAATTCAGCAAAATTTTAGGATAACAAAATTAATGTACATAAATCAGTAGCCCCGCTATATACCAACAACAACCAAGCTGAGAATCAAACCAAGAACTCAACCCCTTTTACAATAGCTGCAAAAAAATAAAATACTTAGGAATATACTTAACCAAGGAGGTGAAAGACCTCTACAAGGAAAACTACAAAACATTGCTGAAAGAAATCATAGATGACACAAACAAATGGAAACACATCCTATGCTCATGGATGGGTAGAATCAATATTGTGAAGACGACCATACTGCCAAAAGCAACCTACAAATCCAATGCAATTCCCATCAAAATACCCCCATCATTCTTCACAGAACTTGAAAAAACAATCCTAAAATTCATATAGAACCAAAAAAAGAGCCCACTAGCCAGAGCAAGACTAAGCAAAAAGAACAAATCTGGAGGGATTATCCTACCTGACTTCAAACTATACTATAAGGCCATAGTCATCAAAGCAGTATGGTATTGGTATAAAAACAGGCATATAGACCAATGGAACAGAATAGAGAAACCAGAAATAAAGCCAAATACTTATAGTCAAATGATCTTTGACAAAGCAAACAAAAACATAAAGTGATGAATGGACACCTTATTAAACAAATGGTGCTGGTATAATTGGCAAGCCACATGTAGAAGAATGAAACTGGATCCTCACCTCTCACCTTATACAAAAATCATCTCAAGATGGATCAAAGACTTCAATCTAAGACCTGAAACCATAAAAATTCTAGAAGATAACACTGGCTTAGGCAAAGACTTCTCATGACCAAGAACCCAAAAGCAAATGCAACAAAAACAAAGATAAATAGATGGAACTTAAACTAAAAAAGCTTCTGCACAGCAAAAGAAATAATCAGCAGAGTAAACAGACAACCCACAGTGTGGGAGAAAATCTTCACAATCTATACATCCAACAGAGGACTAATATCCAGAATCTACAAGCAACTCAAATCAGCAAGAAAAAACAAACAATCCCATCAAAAAGTGGGCTAAGGACATGAATAGACATTCTCAAAAGAAGATATACAAATGGCTAACAAAAACATGAAAAAAATGCTCAACATCACTAATTATCAGGGAAACGCAAATCAAAACCATAATGTGATACCACTTTACTCCTGCAAGAATGGCTATAACCAAAAAAATAAAAAAAAAAAAACTACAGATGTTGGCATGGATGTGGTGAAAAGGGAACACTTTTACACTCTGGAGGGAATCTAAATTAATACAACCACTATGAAAAACAGTGTGGAGATTCCTTAAAGAACTAAAAGTAGATCTACCATTTGATCCAGCAGCCCCACTCCTGGGTATCTACCGAGAGGAAAAGAAGTCATTATATAAAAAATATATTTGCACACGCATGTTTACAGCAGCACATTTGCAATTGAAAAAATATGGAACCAGCCCAAATGTCCATCAATCAACAAGTAGATAAAGAAAATGTGGTATATATATACCGCAGAATACTACTTAGTCATACAAAGGAACAAAATAATGGCATTTGCAGCAACCTGGATGGAACTGGAGACCATTATTCTAACCATTATTCTAACCATTATTCCTGAAATAACTCAGGAATAGAAAACCAAACATCTATGTTCCAATAAGTGGGAGCTAAGCTATGAGGACACAAAGGCATAAGAATAATACAATGGACTTTGGGGACTCAGCCGAAAGGGTCGGGCGGCGGGTGAGGGATAAAAGACTACACATTGGGCACAGTGTACACTGCTCAGGTGGTGGGGGAACCAAAATTCCAGAAATCACCACCAAAGAACTTATTCACATAGCCAGGTGTGGTGGCTAACACATGTAATCCCAGCACTTTGGGAGGCCGAGGCAGGCAGATGACTTGAGCTCAGGAGTTCAAGACAAGCCTGGCCAACATTGCAAAAACTCATCTCTACTAAAAATTTAAAAATTAGCTGGGTGTGGTGGCGGGTTCCTGAAGTCACAGCTACTTGGGAGGCTGAGGCAGGAGAATTGCTTGAACCCAGGAAGTGGAGTTTGCGGTGAGCCGAGATCACACCGCTGCACTCCAGCCTGGGCAACAGAGCAAGACTCTGGACACTGTCTCAAACAAAACAAAACAAAACAAAACAAAACAAAACAAAACAAAACAATGAACTTTTTCAAGTAACCAAACACCACCTGTTCCCCAAAAACCTATTGAAATAAAACAACAAAAAAGAAATGTCTATTCAAGTCCTTTGCCCACTTTCAAATTAGTTTTTGTTATTGAGTCATAGTTCTGAACATTCTGGCTATTAATTCTTTATTAGGTATAAATTTACTAATATTTTCTCCCTTTCCATGGGTTGCTTTTCATTCTGTTTATAGTGTCCTTTGATGCACAGAAGTTTTTAATTTTAATGAAGTCCAATTTATCTATTTTTCCTTTTGTTGCTTGTGCTTTTGGTGTCACATCCAAGAAATCACTGTTAAATCCAATGTCATGAGGCTTTTTGTCTATGTTTTCTTTTAAGAGTTTTGTAAGCTTTATTTCTTATGTTTAAGTTGGTGATTCATTTTGAGTGAATATAATGTAAGGTAAAGGTCCAACTTCCTTCTTTTGCATGTGGATATCCAGTAGGAGCTTACATTTTTATGTGGATGTCTATTGAGCCAGTGTTAGCATTTTATCACATAATGGGACCCCCTCCTTTGCCTTTCTCATTATAAATGGCCAACAATGACCCCAGCAATGACTCATACCAGTACTTAGAAGACTTGAGCTGTAACCAGTGCCTGAGCTCATGTCTTGTGGAGGTTTCAGCCAGCACTAACAAGTTGGCAGTGTCTTGTAGTACCACTTTGTTTATAATAATATGGCAAAAGGTATCATTATTGGAATTGCCACAGTGGGTTCACCATTCAGACTTCTGGATGTGTTCATGCAGTCAAAATTTCTGAGACAGATGACCCTAACATTGAACTCAGTTCTAAGGTTCTTCATTCAGACAAGAATGACTATGTTTGCTACAGGAAAACTCAGTAGGAAAGCTGACTTGCATATTCAGCTCAGAAATGCAAAGGAAAATGAAAAAGGAAAGGAAAAAAAGAATGCATATTCATGAAAAATTAAAAATATTTATACGTTTGGAAGTATTGCCAGTTTAAGAAGCTTTGCCAGCCCATGGAGAAAAATCCCCAAAAGGAACAATTATGAAGTAACTTTTATATGAAATGCTGCTCTTATGTTCTTAATGCTTGTAATGGCGTATCTGTGTAGGTTTTTTCACTTATTTTTGTGACAATTGGGTATTTTGGTGGTATATAATGGATTTCCAGGAAAAAAACCCCAAATCTATGACACCGCATCTATACCATGCATTGGATGACTATCATTCACTTAATTTCCTAAATTGAGGGTCATATATATTTCAGTAATTTTTTTCTATGTATTTCCTGTATAGTTGAGATCATACTGAATACATATGTTTTCACTTTCCTTTTTCTCTTACCATGTCTTAAACATTTTCCGATGCCACTGAAACTCTGCAAACATCCCTACTAATGGCAGCCCAGCATTTCATGATACTGATGCACCATGGTACTATGTGCCGCGTTTGTAACTCGATAGTTTTCCAGTGTTTGTCTATTTCTCTTTTCAGCCGCATGGCACAGGGACCAATTATCATTAGGATCCTATTATCTTTACCACAAAGCACAGCAACCTCAGAAAGCCTTGATCGGGTTTTGTTTTTGCCCAACCCTTCCAAATGCATTGCCAAATCACTCGTGTTTGGGTCCCATCAGGATACCGATTATGTCCACACCCAGACTGCGAGGTGTATGTTGCTAATACATATATTTGTCTGCTGTAAAGTTCTAGATTGAGGGAGAAACAATTATTTGTCCCCCTTTCCCTTCAGTTCCTCCTTGCCTGGAATGATTTCCGTTTTCTTAGCACTCTCTCTGAATCCTCTCTCTTTAATTTTCAGTTTACTCTTCTAGTCTCACCAGCTCTGTGAAGTTTTTTTCAACCACTCTCGCCCACATTAATATCTCCCTCCAGGGAACCGTCTGCACCTTCACTTTAGTACTTTATTGCCAATCATCTTGTATTATTCTTTGTTTCTTTTACTGTAGATTATAAGTGCATGAAGAACAGAAATGCTTTTAGAAATCTTTTCCTTTCCTATGGGGCAAAGCACAGAAAGGTGACATCTGATAAATTCTAGCTGAATGGAGCAGAGTTGAAGTGCAAACGAATGTACTGACTAAAAGGCTAAAGTGAGATTTTCCTTTTTGAATAACAACAATACAATATTTGGCATATGTCCAATATCCAATGTAAGAATTTAAACTATGTCATTTTATCATCATCTGAACTGGGTATTAGTAAAAAAAATTGCTACTTACTCAGAATTTGTGCAAACCCGAAGTCACAAATCTTGATTATTCCTTGCTTAGTTATTAGAATATTTTCAGGTTTTATATCTCTGTGAATACACTGTAAGATCATTATTTGATTATTTTTCTGAACCATCAAAATGACAAAGAATAAACATTAACTACTAGTTTAAATAACAGATACACAGCCTATGAGATAAAAACAAATGTGGGCTTCCTTCACTTTTCTAAAAGAACTTAAATTGGCAATTTTTCACTTGTAACTCTTGTCATACCAAAATTAAAACTTTTATTAAAATATTGTTTTATTATTGAAAAAATTGAAATTATAATTGTATATAAAAACTGTCTTTTTTTTTTTTTAAAGAAGGGATTTTCAGACTGGGTGTGGTGGCTCATGTCCATAATCCCAGCACTTTGTGAGGCCGAGGCGGGAGGATAACTTGAAGCCAGGAATTTGAGACCACCCTGGGCAATGCAATGAGACCCTGTCTCTACAAAAAAGTTAAAAAATTAGCCAGGCAAAGTGGCATGCACTTATGGTCCTAGCTACTGAGGAGGCTGAGGCCGAAGGATCATTTGAGCCTCGAAGGTTGAGGCTGCAGTGAGCTATGATCACACTGCACAGAGCCTGAGCAACTGAGCTAAACCCTGTCTCGAAAACAAAAAATAAAAATAAAAAATTAAATTCAAGAAGAGAGTAACATACAATTATTTCTTTCACTTTTTGCTGGGTCCTATTTAAACCGTAAGAGGTAAAACTCTAAATGAGATTAGACTTAAGAGTACCTCTAATAACTGCTGCCACCCAAGAGTCACAATTCAGGTTGAAAAACTTGCAGATTTGAGAAATTACAAAAACATTTAAATGATAACAAAAAGCAAAATTCACTTATAATTAGAATGACCATATTATTTATCATCCAAATCAGGAGACTTCCAAGTGTGAAAGAGGGGCCTATAGCCGGGCTCGGTGGCTCGCGCCTGTAATCCAGCACTTTGGGAGGCCGAGGCGGGCAGATCACGCGGTCAGGAGATAGAGACCATCCTGGCCAACACGGTGAAACCCCGTCTCTACTAAAAATAGAAAAAATTAACCAGGCGTGGTGGCAGGCGCCTGTAGTCCCAGCTACTCAGGAGGCTGAGGCAGGAGAATGGCGGGAACCCGGGAGGCAGAGCTTGCGGTGAGCCAAGATGGTGCCACTGCACTCCAGCCTGGACGACGGAGCGAGACTCCGTCTCAAAAAAAAAAAAAAAAAAAAAGAAAGAAAGAAAGAAAGAGGGGCCTATTAATAATCATGCCCCGACAAAAGGCACAAACCAGGACTGCCCTGGGCGAGCTGGGGCGCACAGTCCCCTGCTTAGCAGAGATTCCGAAGCATTCCGCGCCAGGGGATGGGGATCACTTCCACCTCCTCACCGGAGCTAACCTGGAACGATCAGCAACACTCCTGAGACGGCCCACGATGCTGTCAGAATCCATACTGGGAAAGTGGGACCCGAGGCACGCTGACCTCAAAGCAGCTGTTTTTTTTTGTTTTTTGTTTTTTTTTTGAGACAGAGTCTCACTGTGTCGCCCAGGCTGGAGCTCAGTGGCGCGATCTCGGCTCACTGCAACCTCCGCCCCCCGGGTTCAAGCGATTCTCCTGCCTCAGCCTCCCGAGTGGCTGGGACTACGGATGTGTCCCGAGTAGCTAGGATTACAGGCGCTCACCACCATGCCCGGCTAATTTTGTATTTTTAGTAGAGGCTGGTTTCACCATGTTGTTGTCCAGGCTGGTCTTGAATTACTGAGCTCAAGTGATCCGCCCACCTCGGTCTCCCAAAGTGCTGGGATTACAGGCGTGAGCCACCGCGCCTGGACCCAGCTGTTCTTTCATATGCAGCGGCCTTACAACTTGCTGCGTCATCATAATGACCCTGAATGAAACAGATGCTCCTCGCTGGACAGGAGCGGCCCGGCTAGGGGCCTGGGTGAGGGCAGGCTGAGTAAGCCCGCGCGCACATGGGCATTCCAGAAATGGGTTTCCATGTTGCGGAGGTGCTGTGAGAAAACAGCTCAGACCGTACCCTTCAGGACTTTACAGTTTATCCACGCTCCCAAAAAAGAAAATGGATGAAAATAATATCGATCTCCACAACTGGGCCCTCACAGGGAACTCTGTACTTTTCAAAGCACTTTCAATTCAAAGCATAAATTATTTCATCCTTGCAACAATCCTGTGATTGCAAGTGGCCACTGACAGAATTAACTGTCATGAATTAAGTGTCCATTAAGTGTCACAATAATCAACTCCTTCTGCCTCCTTTTCTACTATGCTGTCAGGCCCTTTAAGCATTTTTGTCAAACTGACAATTCTGAAATGATTGTCTTTGGTTCTTTAATAGCTATCTAGGAAGAGAAAAAGAGCTGAGCCCTAAAATCATTTTAGGTTGCAGAAATGACACTGGTAACAGGAGCTTGTTCCTATTTAGTCTCAATTACTGTCAATTGCTTCATAATTTGTATGAAGAGCAGTTAGAAGAAACTTTTTTAGGTCTCTTAAAAGTACTAAGGCCTTAGACACTAATTAAAAAAAATACACAGGCTGGGCATGGTCGCTGATGCCTGTAATACTTGCGCTTTGGGAGGCCAAGGTGGGCGGATCGCTTGTGCCCAGGAGTTTGATACCAGCCTGGGCCCAATGGTGAAACTCAGTCTCTACAAAAAATACAAAAATTAGCTAGGTGTGTGGCGTGTGCCTTTAGTCCCAGCTACACAAGACGCTGAGATGGGAGGATGGCTTGTGCCCAGGAGGTGGAGGTTGCAGTGAGCCAAGATGGCACCACCGCACTCTAGCCTATGTGACAGAGTGAGACCCTGTCTCAAAAAAAAAAATTTTTTTTTGGAATATAAATGAACATAGTTTTGATATCCTACCTTTTAAGCAACACACTTAAGAAACTTAGACTAACACTCTGAGTCAGTAACACTCATACTTGGTGATTGCATTAGAACAGGTTATATCCTTTAAATGAGTTTGCATCAAGTTCTAGAATTTCTAGACTATATGTGTAGCATTACCAAGTAAATGGATTTACATCAATATCTGTCCATTGGCCTATACATATGTTTTCTGCATCTAATCCATGTGAAATTTATAGCACTTATTTTTCAACCAAATATACAAAAGGAAATGAAGTATTGACATATTCCAAAGAAACAGGAAAATTTATTTTATAGGAGCAGGTAACAGAAGTTATTGATAAAGAGTGAGAGGATACTGAAGAAATTTAAAAGGGAGTAAAAACAATTGGAACCTGGCTGGGCGTGGTGGCTCATGCCTGTAACCCCAGCACTTTGGGAGGCTTAGGCAGGCAGATCACCTGAGGTCAGGAGTTCGAGACCAGCCTGGCCAACATGGTGAAACCCTGTCTCTACTAAACATAGAAAAATTAGCCAGGCGTGGTTGTGGGTACCTGTAATCCCAGCTACTCGGGAGGCTGATGCAGGAGAATCACTTGAACCTGGGAGGCAGAGGTTGCAGTGAGCTGTAGTTGCGCCACTGGACCCCAGCCTGGGCGACAGAGGAAGACTCTGTCTCAAAATAAATAAATAAATAAAAATTTTTAAAAAATTAAAAAATAAATAATTGGAACCATAAGAAACAGGGCATGGGGGGAAGAAGATGCTTAGACATACAGCATTCACCTACTCCACTGCAAAGCCACACTCAATGCAAACTCTCTGCAATGCCTCTTGCAATCAGCTTATTTTCCCTCGAAGAACAAGAAACATGCAAGTCTCTCTTAATAAAATAATTTTAATAAGTTGAGTTTTATACACAGCTTTTTTTTTTTTGAGACAGAGTCGCTCTTTGTTGCTCAGGCTGGAGTGCAGTGGCGTGATCTCGGCTCACTGCAACCTCTGCCTCCTGGGTTCAAGTGACTCTCCTGCCTCAGCCTCCTGAGTTGCTGGGATTACAGGTGCTCACCACCACGCCTGGCTAATTTTTTGTATTTTTTAGTAGACATGGGGTTTCGCCATGTTGGCCAGGCTGGTCTTGAACTCCTGACCTCAGGTGATCCACCAGCCTCGGCCTCCCAAAGTGCTGGGATTACAGGCATGAGACACCATGCTTGGCCTTGTACACAGTTTTTAGCAAACAATGCTCAGGTTCAGTTGTTGTGGCTGACGGGCAATCTTTTTTTTTTTTTTTTTTTTTGGCTCACAGGCCAGCCTAAAGAGATATCCATGGTATTTTAAAACTGACTTTTAACTTTAAAATCATCTCTGCAAACTTGCACACCAGAAATTGCTTCTTAAATAGCCTGATAAAAACAATAAATCATTTTTTTTATTATCTGAGAAATTTATTCTCTTTGAGCCTTAGGCATGGATGCTCACACATCGAGGAGAGAGAAAAGCAACCCTCTCCTCAACAACCAAAACATGAGTATCAACAAGATGCTGACGGAGGTTGCAGCCTGACCCACTCCTATCTCAGAAGTCATTTTTGCCAGCTGGGCATGGTGGCTCATGCTTGTAATCCTAGCTCTTTGGGAGGCCAAGGTGGGAGAATCGCTTGAGGTCAGGGGTTTGAGACCACCCTGGGCAACACAATGAGACTATCTCTACAAAAAAAAAAAAAAATTTTTTTTTTAAATTAGCCATGCATGATAGCATGTGCCATAGTCCCAGTTCCTTGGGAGGCTAAGGTGGAAGGATTGTTTGAGCATGGGAGGCTGAGGTTGCAGTGAGCCGTGAAGGCGCCACTGCATTCTAGCCTGGGAAACAGAGCAAGATCCTGTCTCAGGAAGAAAAAAAAAAAAAAAGTCATTTTTGCCATTTTGAGATGAAGCCCCTGTTCTCTAATCAATACAGCAAATATATAAAAATCCCTGGGTTCATTATGGCGTTAAATGGACCACTTTGGTTACCTCACTCTAGTGATATTATAGGGTAAAAGAGAACCAAATGAATACGTATTTTCTTAAGTCCTGCGCTTCTCCAAATTTAATGTGCACATGAATCACCTGGAGCTCTGGTTAAAATGCAGACTCTGATTCAGCAGGTCTGTAGTGGACCTCAGATTCAACATTTCTAAAAGCTCCCAGGTGATCTCTATGAACCATAGTTGGAGTAGCAAGGCCTGAATCCCTTGGTACTTTAACCTGCAGTGTCCTGTTTAGGATCTCGACTCTGGAGATGATAAGGTGCACATGGTCTCTACAGGTTTAAAGCTGTGAGTCGTCAGCAACACCACTAGGTCAGATTGCCTTTTCTACTCTTTGAGACTATCATGGGAGTTCCTTTAAAAATAAGGAGAGTATAAAGGTTTTAGTTGTATTATTGTGACAGCTTTATATATGGCTTAGATTTTTTTCTTTGCAAGCATTTTAATTATAGATAAATAAAAAGGCAGATACACAAAGGCTTACCATAAGAAAATGAGAAGTAATTTCCATCTTGGAGGAGGGAAGTTAGTCTGAAAAATTATCTTTTTTTGAGACAGACTCTTGCTCTGTCGCCCAGGCTGGAGTACAGTGGCCCGATCTTAGCTCATTGTAACCTCTGCCTCTCGAGTTCAAGTGATTCTCCCACCTCAGCCTGCTGAGTAGTAGCTGGGATTACAGGCATGCATTGCCATGCCCGGCTAATTTTTGTATTTTTAGTAGAGACAGGGTTTCACCATGTTGGCCAGGCTGGTCTTGAACTCCTCACCTCAGGCAATCTGCCCACCTCAACCTCCCAAAGTCCTGGGATTACAGGCTTGAGCCACCACACCTAGCCTGAAAAATTACCTATTTTTAATAGAGGCCACATATTATCAGTCAGAAGTTTTCAGTGTTTTAAAGCTTAGGGTATAGAACGTGTTGTTCCAAGCACAGAAATGATGGCAGTTGCGTTGGTCTACAATAATGTTTGGCTCCACTGGAAATAGTCACAATCAGTTAGGCAGTTTGGGTTGACTGACTGATTGACTCATCCAACCATCCACCCATCCCTCCATCCAGTTATTCAATAAATATTTATTGATCACCCTGTATATAAAAATATCCAATTTAGGTATTAAAGAGATACAAAGATAAAGCAGCCACAGACATTGCATTCAAGCTTATAACCAAGTACCCAGGAAAGTGTCTGGTTATATAGGGATAAAGTATAAACACTTGTGGTAAGTGGTATTTTTAGAAATCATTTTAACTACCCATAAAACTCCTGCAGCAACTTTGATATCTCCTATAGCATGGTGGAAAGCAACAGAGATAAGGATTCCATTTGGCATCATCTTTATTAAGCATCAGAAAGCACAATTTGCATCATGAAAAATAGGTTTATGTATTTTGTGAAAAATATCCCTCTACATTAATAGAAAATAAAAGCTTTTGATTTAACCTAATAAAAACTTCACTGACTTTCCTAAAACTAAAGAAAGCTTCCCCTCCGTATTGAAATGTATTCTCATGATCTTGTACTTTCTTTTTCAGCAATCCTAGACTGCTATGATAGACATTCTGCTGGCATCAAAACTGACCATATGGTACTCTGTATCATTGCCTCAGCACTGTCTCTGTCTAGGCACCAACTCAAAAGGGCTAGATATATTTTTTTAAAAGCTATCATTGGCTGAGTGCAGTGGTTCACACCTGTAATCCTGGCACTTTGGGCAGCCAAGGCAGGAGTTTGAGGCCAGCCTGGGCAAGATAGTGAGACCCCCATCTCTACAAAAACAAAAATTGGCTGAGTGTAGTGGCATGTGCCTGTAGTCCCAGCTACTCAGGGAGGCTGAAGTGGGAGAATCACTTGAGCCCAGGAGTTTGAGGCTCAAGGGTGCTATGATAACACCACTGCACTCCAGCCTGGGCAGTAGAGCGAGACTGTCCCAAAAATATAATGATATATAGCAAAGGTACCAGGAGCCAACTTGAAGAAGCTCATGTTGGCCTAAGATGGGAAAATCTGAGCATGGGAGAGACCAATGACAGCAAAGAATTGAAAACACCACAATACAAAATTTGTGTTTATAATGGTGCTCCAGCCACCTCTCCCCAAAACTTGTCATTGTTGCTAAGATATCATCTCATCACCCTGAGTGTTGATAAATAAAAGTAACCAGAGTCCATGAGGATGAGTTCTTTTCCATACAATTCCAATTATTAAATGCAGAAGGAATAACAGAATTAGAAAATTACTGTCACGAAATACTAGATACAGGCAATAATCATCACTGGATGCTAAAACCATCAGGGAAACAACGTTGACAGGGAAAATGATAATGGAGGGGACCAAACGAATACCTCCTGAGCCCACTCATCAATTTTAACATTATCGAAAGTGGGACAAGTGGATGCTATACACCTCATAATGGGGATGCGATATGAAGTGTACAGCACCACATAGCAGGCATTGTTAACTAAAAAAAGCTGAACCTGAATATGATCAAGCCTCTAGATATAAACTCCAATTTACAGGAAATACAAGTGAAAGAACACGTTAAATTACATACAAGAAAAAGTCAGCCAAAATTATTTCTCTAACATAGTGGTTCTTGAACCAACAGCTTCAGTAGCATCTGGGAAAATATGAGAAATGCACATTCTTGGGGCCCTACCCAAGACTGACTGAATCAGAAACTCTGGGGGTGGGGCCCAGGAAGCTGTGTTTTAACAAGCCCTCCTTGTGATTTTGATGCATGCTCAAGCTTGAGAACTACGGCTATAAAAAATTAATGAATTTTTTTTTTTTTTTTTGAGACAGAGTCTCACACTGTCGCCCAGGCTGGAGTGCAGTGGCACGATCTCGGCTCACTGCAAGCTCCGCCTCCTGGGTTCACACCATTCTCCTGCCTCAGCCTCCCGAGTAGCTGGGACTACAAGCACCCGCCACCATGCCCGGCCAATTTTTTGTATTTTTAGTAGAGACAGGGTTTCACCGTGTTGGCCAGGATGGTCTCGATCTCCTGACTTCGTGATCCGCCTGCCTCGGCCTCCCAAAGTGCTGGGATTACAGGCGTGAGCCACCATGCCCGGCCGGAAACGGTTTTTAAAAAGGAAAGGAAAGGGGCACTTAGATTGCTATCGAGTAAAGGACTTAAGAGACTTAAAAATAATAGTTAAAAAAAAAAGTACCATGGGGGATTACATCAGCAATATCCTGAAAACTTACTATTATTTTTGGAGACAGGGTCTCACTCTGTTGTCCAGGCTGGAGAGCAGTGGTGTGATCTCAGCTCACTGCAACCTCTGCCTCCTGGGTTCAAGTGATTCTCCAGCTCCAGCCTCCCAGGTAGCTAGGATTACAGGTGCGCACCACCATGGCTGGCTAATTTTTATATTTTTTCATAGAGATAGAGTTTCTCCATGTTGCCCAGGCTGGTCTTGAACTCCTGAGCTCAAAGCCATCTGCCCGCATTGGCTTCCCAAAGTGCTGGGATTACAGGCATGAGCCACCATACCGGCCCTGAAAAATTATTCTCGCCCAATTTAAAAATAGTTTCAGGGGTCACTGGCACTATGGCAAAAGGAATCATTATATTTATTCAAATTTTTAATTCATAAGGAATTAGCAATTTGATTCTTACAGAAATTGGAAAGAGCCATGAATAATGCATCACTTTTTTCTCATATTTTGAACTTTCTTTTGTTATTCCCTTTTCTTCTTTTTTGCAGAGACAGGGTCTTGCTATGTTGCCCAGGCCTGTCTCAAACTCTGGGGCTCATGTGATCCTCCCACTTCAGCCTCCCAAGGTGCTGGGATTACTGGCTGAACTTCCTTTTGTTTTGCTTCTTTGGCTCTTACTTTCCCTTTGTCTTCAGCTCTCCAAACAAAACCCTGAGCTATTTAGAAGAAAAGAGTCATCATGAAGAAATGAATAAATACATTAGAAAATGTTACTTACGTTATGTATATGACAGAAATTAAGAGCTTGAAGTGTTTGCCATAATACGCTTTTGATCACTCCATCAGCAACTCTGAGGGAAAAAATAAAAAAGGAAATGAAAACTCATAGGATAGAGTTCCAGAAGCAAGGGCTGGGAATAGAAGTGGAGTGGTGAGGGACTGTCCTCTTCAAGGAACACCATGCGGAAGGGTCCTAAAAATATATTTTAGTGAAAATTGGGCTTTACTATCTTTTTATTATGGTTATGTAATTTCCTTTTGTAATTTGAATTTTTTACATCCATAAAATGATGCATGCTTATGAAGATTCAAAAAATATAGAAAAGTAAAGGAATAAAAAAAAGAAAAGGAAAGGAATAAAAAAAAGAAAAGTAAAGGAATAAAATGTGTTGGGTCAAATCTTGCTACCCCAAAATAACTGCTATAACTTCTGGTGGCTCTCTTCAGGCATCTCTGCTCCTCTCTCTCCCTGTCTCTCTCTGTACTTTTTTTGTTTTGTTTTGTTTTGTTTTGTTTTGTTTTGTTTTGTTTTTTGAGACAGGGTCTGGCTCTGTCACCCAGGCTGGAGTGCAGTGGCATGATCTCAGCTCACTGTAACTTCCTCCTCCCAGGTTCAAGAAATTTGATTCTCCTGCCTCAGCTTCCCAAGTAGCTAGGATTACAGGCACGTGCCACGATACCCGGCTAATTTTTGTATTTTTAGTAGAGACGGGGTTTTGTCATGTTGGCCAGGCTGGTCTTGAACTCTCGACCTCAGATGATCCACCTGCCTCGCCCTCCTAAAGTGCTTGGATTACAGGTGTGAGACACTATGCCCGGCCAGTATTTACTTTTTAACTTTAATTTTAAAATAAAAACATTCGTATGGTTCAAATTTTAAACATATAAAAGTATATACATGAAGTCTCTCTGACACCTGCCTAGCCACCCATTTATTTTCTTCAATTTCACCCCTGACCACTTTGAGAATTTTATGCATAGAGGTACAAATACCAACATGTACACATATATTTTAGAGGCTCCAGAGGAGATCATTATATGGATATATCATAATTTACTTAGTCTCTATTGATGAGCAGTTAAGTTCAGCCAATTTTTGTTTCTAGAAAGTCTTCAATGAATATCTGTAATCATCCATCTTATGATATTTACACAATTACCTTCTTAAGGTAAGTTCTAGAAGTGGGATTTCTGAGACCAATGGTAGGCACCCATTACATTTCGATCCTGCATGGATGAAATTCAGGTAGACCGGAGACTTGGTTTTGCAGGAAAAAAGGTATACTTGGAAGATGGCTCTTCAATTTATCTAATTCATGGTGGTAGACACTCAAGTTATTTTGTAATAGTTACTTGTCCCTGTAAGCAGATAGCCCAAAAGGCGGCCAGGGAGAATAAGGATCCCATAAGAATGAGAGGGTGTAAGCTTCTTGTCCCTGGCAGACTCATCCCTCTGTATAGAAAATACTGGGAAGTATCATGG
Organism: Homo sapiens; assembly: GCF_000001405.40. Classification (NCBI taxonomy): domain Eukaryota; kingdom Metazoa; phylum Chordata; class Mammalia; order Primates; family Hominidae; genus Homo; species Homo sapiens. The sequence continues at coordinate 39,214,885 of NC_000002.12, forward strand.
GCAGGTGTATTTTCCACTGGGGATTGGGGGTCTGGGAAACTTACTCTGGGAGTATTCTACTTTATGTAACATCTCCATGAATTATAGCAATTACATTCTCTGTAACTTTTCTGTTGGTAGCTTTCCATCACTCACATCACTGTCCCATGATGATGCCTTCACATTTACACACTGCCAAACTACCCTTTCTGAGGAAGGTTATACCCATTTTCACTCCCACCAAACATCTGTGCATCAAAGTCCCTGTCTCCTCATTGTCTTGCCAACATTTGGTTTTGCCAATGTTATGTTTGCCAATCTGTGGTTAAAATAAAAAGATGTCTCACTGTGGTTTTTATTTGCATTTTACTAATGTTTAGTGATTATTATTTTTCACACCCTTATTGGATACTACATTTCTTCTTTTGTGTAATTCCATTTTATGCCTTTATTGCTTTTTAAATTGGTCTGTTCACTGTTTTATTATTGATTTACAAAGACTCAATGTATATCATGGTCTGTTATATATGCTGCAAATATTTTGCTCAGTGTTGTTTGTCTTTCAGCCCTGTTGATGGAGATGCGGCTGTTGTTTGTATATTTTTCAAAAATCTGAAACATAAGAGTTTCTTTTACTAAATGTCAACTGTAAGGATTTTCTTAATTTAAAAAAATTATATTATGTAATACCCCAAACATATCCATCACTCAGATTTAATATTTTATCATATTTGGATATTTAAATCATATATTTAGATCACTTTTTAAAAATTGAACATGTGCAGATGTAGCTGACTTTACAGAACAGTGGGAAGGCCTAGGCATGACTCAGTTATGACACTAGCTACAAGAGTCTGAAGTATATGCAGAGAAACAGCAAGTGATGTACACGGTATTTTCCTCAGAGCAGTTTCCTGATCTTGTACCACAATTATGGTGGCATGTCCTTGACATCAGTGGCCCAGTGGCAACCCTTGACCCCAGTTCTCCTAATTATTAATATTGCAAATGTACCTAATTTTCATGATTAAATCCCTTTCGACTTGAAGTGTCTATTTCCAGCACTGAATACTGATATAACTGTATTCTTCTCCCCACTTCACCTAGAGCCAAACCTGAAACAACATTGCGTACACTTTCAAAATATGAGGCAGGAAGAATAGTATAGCCATGTTGAGCACTGTGAGACAGGTTGCTTGAGTTCAAATCCCAGATATGCTGCTTCCTACTTTATAATCTTGAACACGTTATTTAAGCTCTCTGCACCTTCAATTTTCCTCATGTGTAATACTAGAATAATATCTTATAAGTTATTTGAGTAATCTATCCCCTCAATGTCTGGTTTTAACACCCACATGAGTTCTGGAGATACAGGTCTGAGATTAGATAAGGCCAGTCGATGGGATTGAGACCCCTGTACAAAGAGGGAAGAGGTGCAGAATAGCAAGAGGCCCTGAGGAGAGAAAGAACTGGAGGTGTGGGGAAAGCAGTATGAGGCCAGGGTGGCTGAAACTTGAGTGAAGAAGCCAGGAAGGTTGGCAGAAATCAGTCCATGGAGGGCCTCGGAGATCTAGATCTCAATAAGAAATTTGGATTTTATGCTAAATTCAAAACCATTGAAAGAAATCAAGCAAGGAAGTGACATAATATGGAGAATGGATTTCTGGGAAGGCAACATACATACAGAGAGAGAAATTAGGAGGCTAATTCAATAACCCAAGTGAGATTTGGACACTTAGATTATGGTGGCAGCAGTGAGAGGAAGGGAAATGGATTTCAGTCCTTGAGAGGGACTAGCGAGGGTGGAGTACATGCTCCTGCTGACATGGGAACAGAACGCTAGTCTGGTTGGGATCTAAGAGCCTACAGGTGCAGGAGAGTAAGTACTGGAATTGGGAAACAAGGTAGGGGCTAGGATTGAGAAACTGCAAAACGCCAATTACTAGCCTTAATAACAGGGAATGGAGAATGAAGTAATTTCATAGGAAAGTAATTTCATAGGATGTTAAAGATGACTTTAACATGAAAGAGGATGTTTAAAGGCATCTCACAGGAAGTGTCATATTCAGTTCAGTTAGCTTCCAAGAAGGCAGATTCCGTCAGGGGCAAAACAACACCACTGATCGTGCAAAGAGAAGATAGCCATCAAAGAGAACCACAAACCAACACCACAGATCGTGCAAAGAGAAGATAACCATCAAAGAGAGTACACATCGACGCGGCGCCCAGTCCAGAAAGATAGAGCGCTGCAGCACCATTCAGCCACAGGCAGCATTTTTCAAAGCATCTTGGAGCAAAATGAACCTCTGGTGAAATCAAAAGATGCTCAGTGTTTAAATATTATATTTTGGGCCAGTGCAAAACCAAATATTCGGTTGGTACAAAAGTAACCGAGGTTCTTGCCACTGAAAGTAATACTAAAAGTCGTAATGAAGGCCTTAAAGCAAACATGAGACATCACAGTTCAAGTCTGAATGGGCTAACAAGATAGGGTAACATGATGGGGGAATTCAGACTGAACTGCTCAGAATATGCTCTTTGAACCACTCAGAGGAAGACCTGATGCTGAAATCAGAAGTCATTACCTGGAAGTTTGTTATAAAAACGTAATAGGGGAAGCTTGATTTCATTATTATTACCCAAGATGAATTCAGTCCTTCTCAGTAAATCTTTACTATCCTAGAATAAAATCCAGCCTTGTTACTATGGCCTACAAGGCTGTTAATAACATTTTACTTCCATTTCCCTTCCCAACTTTATCTCCTATCACATCCCTAAAGTCACTCCATCCCAGCCCATTATTTTCTGCTATTCTCTGAACATGCCAGGCTTATTTTATTATTTATTTATTTATTTATTTATTTATTTATTTATTTATTTATTTTTTGAGATAGAGTTTCGCTCTTGTTGCCCAGGCTGGAGTGCAATGGCATAATCTCCGCTCGCCGCAACCTCCGCCTCCTGGGTTCAAGCGATTCTCCTGCCTCAGCCTCCCAAGTAGCTGGGATTACAGGCATGTGCCATCACACTCAGCTAACTTTGTATTTTTAGTAAAGATGGGGTTTCTTCATGTTGGTCAGGCTGGTCTTGAACTCCTGACCTCAGGTGATCTGCCTGCCTCGGCCTCCCAAAGTGTTGGGATTACAGGCGTGAGCCACTGCGCCTGGCCCCCAAGGCTTATTTATACTTTCAATCAGGCTGTTAATAACATTTTACTTCTATTTCTATGTTTACTTCTATTTCTACTTCTATTAACAGTTTATTGTTCCTTCTACTTCCTTTTAGTTATGAGTAATTTTCTGTGTTAACTTGACTAGGTTAAGGGATGACCAGATAGCTGCTAAAACATTATTTCTGCCAGGTGCAGTGGCTCATGCCTGTAATCCCAGCACTTTGGGAGGCTGAGGCAGGAGGATTGCTTGAGCACAGGAGTTTGAGACCAGCCTGGGCCACATGGCAAGACCCTACCTCTACTCAAAGTTTAAAAATTAGCCAGACATAATGGTGAGTGTCTGTGGTCCCAGCTGCTCAGGAGACTGAGGCAGGATTTGCTTGAGTTTGGGAGTTTGAGGCTGCAGTGAGCCATGTTCAGGCCACTGCAGAGAGTGAGACAAGTGAATGAGACCTTCTCTCAAAAAACAAAAAAAACCCAAAACATCATTTGTGGGTGTGTCTGTGAGGGTGTTTCTGGAAGGGATTCACATTTGAATCAGTAGACCGCGTAAAGAAGACCCACCCACAAAGGTGAGGGCAGGCAGGCAGGCATCATCAAACCCGTTGAAGGCCTGGATACAACAAAACGGTAGGGGAAGGGCTGCTTCTCTCTCCTTGAGCTGGGACGTCCATCTTCTCCTGCCCTTGGATGTGGAAGCTCCTGGCTCTCAGGCCTTTGGACTTTGAAACTCTCTGTCCTCTGGGGCCTTAGGACTTGGCCTGAATTAGACCATCGGCTTTCCTGGTTCTCTAGCTTGCAGATGGCAGATTGTGGAACTTCTCTCCCTCCATAATCACATGAGTCAATACCAATAATAAATTTCCTGTTATCAGTACCTCTATGTATCCCACTGGTTTTGTTTCTCTGAAGAACCTTGACTAATACACCTCCTGGGCATTCTCTAACTCCACACTGTGCTTTATTTTTCTTCAAAGACTCATAACTCTTCTTTATTGTTGGACTACATCAGAATGTAAATTGCACAAGGGCAAGGACTTTCTCTTGTCCGTTATTATAGCCCCAGCACCTAGAACAGGACCTGGTACCTAATAGGAGCTCAATTAAGCTTGTTTCTCTGGCACTCCCAGAAATTTTATAAACTAAAACCCTGTGACAAATCTCTTTCTCTCTGAACTAGCTAGAGTGAATTCTGTTGTTGAATCCTGACCAATTCAGGACATGGTAAAAGAAGTGGATGTGGGAAACAATCCAAGGCTGTGAGAATCTAGGATTGGATATCTGATGTAATGAGGACGGAAGGGCAGCATCTAATTACCATTAATGGCTGGGATGCTGGCAGATGGCCACTCAGTAATGAAACAGGTACTTATTTATTTATTTATTTATTTATTTATTTTTTTGAGACAGAGTCTCGCTCTGTCACTCAGGCTGGAGTGCAATGGCATGATCTTGGCTCACTGCAACCTCTGCATTCTGGGTTCAAGCAATTCTCCTGCCTTAGCCTCCTGAGTAGGTGGGACTACAGGTGCCTGCCACCACACCTGGCTAATTTTTTGTATTTTAGTAGAAACGGGATTTCACCCTGTTGCCCAGAGTGGTCTTGAACTCCTGACCTCAAGCAATCTGCCTGCCTCGGCCTCCCAGAGTGCTGGGATTACAGGTAGGAGCCACTGTTCTTGGCCTGAAAAGGGAATTTAAATAATCACCTGAGGCCATCTGGAATAAAATGCCTATTCAAGGCAAGGCTTTGGTGAACTAAGTGTGATAGAACAATATGGGGAACATAAGTAGTAACAGACATGTGAGGTGGTCTGGTTGCTTCTAACTTCACTGGAGAAATTAAAGAAAAAAAAGCACAGGTTCAGAGCTTTAATATCTTGGTTCAAGGCACAGTTAGGACGTCAGGCATTTTGATATCGACCCTAAAAGAACCCCTTACTTCTTGTTTCTGTAGGACCCACTTCACAGATCCACTGGGATCTCCATGAGATTACTAAAACACTGACACAGACAATAACCCTGCAGGGTGCTCAATGACAACAAAGACTGAATTTATGTGAGGATAATTAGTTTCTCAGTTAATGAGATGAGAAGGAAAAATAGTCCAGGAATTGGAATGTGACACTTGAAAGTATTCATGTAACTAAGAGCACCCTAACTTCCTTCCAAACTTCTCTTCTCATAGGAAGTAGCCCCCAAACTTGTACAATAAGGCTGGTTCTGCCTTGCTGCAGACTCTCAGATCTCACCTGAGGCAGGTGCATTTTGTGGGGATGCCCGCTCTCTTCAAGCCTCCTCTCCCCACCTCCCCTCAAGGTCTCCAAACCTTAACTAAAGTCAGATCCCAGCATGACCCAGGGGGCCTATAACAAAGTGAAACAGAGGAAGAGGAGATTTACATAGCAAAAAGAACTACAACATTTTGCTGATTTATAACGGGGAATGTATGAAGAAATGGATTTCATGGGTGTTGGACCAGAGGGGAAGAAATATGACTTTAGATTGGGCTGATTATAACAATATGGGCACAACTTATTCGAGATTCTGGTTTTTTTTTTCTTTTTTTTGAGATGGAGTTTCGCTCTGTCGCCCAGGCTGGAGTGAAGTGGCATGGTCTGGGCTCACTGCAACCTCTGCCTCCCAGGTTCAAGCAATTCTGTCTCAGCCTCCCGAGTAGCTGGGATTACAGGCACCTGCCACCACGCCTGGCTAATTTTTTTGTATTTTTAGTAGAGACAGGGTTCCACCATGTTGGCCAGGATGGTCTTGAACTCCTGACCTCAAGTGATCTGCCCTCCTCGGCCTCCCAAAGTGCTGGGATTACAGGCATGAGCCACTGCGCCTGGCCCAACTCTTCTTTATGCTGTAATTTAGTCGTTGGGTCCCTTCATTATCTCACCATCCCATGGCTCAATCCGCATTCACTACATCGACGATCTTTTTTTTTTTTTTTTTTTTTTTTGTTTTTTTTTTTGTTTTGTTTTTGTTTTTTGAGACAGAGTCTCGCTCTTGTCGCCCAGGCTGGAGTGCAGTGGTGCCATCTCAGCTCACTGCAATCTCCGTCTCCTGGGTTCACACCATTCTCCTGCCTCAGCCTCCTAAGTAGCTGGGACTACAGGTGCCCGCCACCACGCCTGGCTAATTTTTTTGTATTTTTTAGAAGATATGGGGTTTCACTGTGTTGGCCAGGATGCTCTTGATCTCGTGACCTTGTGATCCAGCCACCTCGGCCTCCCAAAGTGCTGGGATTACAGGCGTGAGCCACTGCGCCCGTCCACATTGATGATCTTATGCCCACACACCAGTTATTTATCCTACGTGTTTCCTCTAGTAAACAATAGTCCAAAAGGCTTGGTATGTATACTAGCTGGTTGTTTATCTCTGTTTGCTATTCACTGGGCTTAGGCCTTTAAAAATACTCTCTGGCCTGTTATTTAAATAGATTTTAGGAAGGGAGTACAAGTAGATGAATGCTTTAAATTAATCATTGTTATCTAGAAGTACCCAACATTTCATAAAAGAGCAGCATATTCTAGATTGTTCCTATTTGCATTACTCCATGCATAATAGATTGAAGTCTCAGGGCTGACGCAACGCACTACTGAACACCAGCAGTGCTAAGCACATTTGTAAAACTTAAGAGTGCAAAGTGGGATAGTTCAGAGGTCCCTGGCATTGCAAAACACATATTCAACAGAGGAGTTGCTTGAACATGCCTTGCTCTTTCTTGTGTCTCTGCATTCCGCCAGGGGTGTCCATCTGGCCAACTCCTCTTCCTTTTCAAAGCCCAAATGCTGCCTTCTCTGCAGAATCTCCCTCACTTCCCGGGGTCAACAGATGTTGGAGTTGCTTCTCTTGTGCATCCCTTGCATCAACATTAACCCAATCAACATAACCATTTGTAGTTGTTACTTTGAATATCTGTCTCTTCATCACATTTTAAGCTTCTTGAGGGCAGGACTGTATCATTATAACTGTATCCTCTGCACCAGTGTAAAATGCTCCATGAAATATTTTTTGAGCGAAAGAATGCTAGGCATAAGGAAGCCATTAAGATCAATGAGACATGAAGTATGCCCTCAAAAAACTTATACTCTAGTGAGAGAGAGTATGCACATAAAAACATATACGGTATAAATACCAAGTACCACAACAGGGATGAAAATAAAATTCAATGGGGATTCAAAGGAAGGAAGAAATTCCATCCAGATGAAGGAAACTTAGAGATGTTACAAATATCTAGGATTTCACATTTTAAAGATTATGATAGGCCAGGTGTGGGGACTCATGCCTGTAATCCTAGCACTTTGGGAGGCTGAGGCAGGTGGATCACCTGAGGTTAGGAGTTCGAGAGCAGCCTGGCTAACATGGCAAAACCCTGTGTCTACTAAAAATACAAAAATTAGCCGGGCATGGTAGCGGGTCCCTGTAGTCCCAGGTATTTGGGAGGCTGAGGTGGGAGGACAGCTTGAGCCCAGGAGGTAGAGGCTGCAGTGAGCCGAGATCGCCCCACTGCACTCCAGCCTGGGCGACAGTGTGAGACTCTGTCTCTAAATAAATAAATAAATAAATAAATATTATGATAGAGACAGTGAAGGTGAAAAAGGCTAGAACCTTCTAGATTAAAATGAGAAGAACATGAGCTAAGTCTATAGACAGGAAAGCTTAGGATACAAGTAGGGAAGAGAAAGATGTTCAAGTCAAGCAAACTGGTGTATGCATTGAATGTTTTATAATAGTTTCAGGGCCTTGAACAATACATGAAGTAAGCATAAATTTCTAACTTCATGAAAATGTATGTTAATTTATAAATTAATTTATAGAATGGCTGAACATATCTGTCTTCTAAGTCAACATACAACATCCTATTTAGTGCAGGATAAAGTTTAACTATGAATTAATATGCCATTTTAATTGTTTTTATATTAATTTTTATTTTAAAAGTAATATATGTGCATTCACAGAAATTTGAGAAAATTTGAGAAAACTCAAATTTTCAATTATACTTAACATTCTAGTATGTTATCTCATTTTTTCATATATCATCCCAGGAACATTTCCCCAGGACATTAACTATTGTTCTAAAGCATGCTCTCTAATGGGCTGGCTGCATATTGTACTATTGTATGGATGGATATACCAAAATGCCTGTAACCAATTATTTACTGTTGGAAAATTAGGGGAGTCCAATATTTTTGTTATAAATAATGACGTATTGAACATTCATATGTATAACTTTTGCCCTCATCTGATTATTTTCTTACTATAAATTTCTCTAAATGGAATCTCTTGATCAAAGGATGAAAACAGTTAAAATTTTTTCATACATATTGCCAAATTGCCCTCCTAATGGCACTCTCTCTAGCCATCAATGAGGAGGTCTGATTCCCTGACTGTTGATAAGACTGGGTATAATAATTTTTGAAAAATCTTTGCCAAATTTAACAGATGAGAAATGGTACCTTGCTAAAAAGTTTTGAATTTCCTTGATTAATAGGGAAGGATAAGCATGTTTTCTTAGATGTACTGGTCATTTCCTTCTCTTTTTTTTTTTTTTTGAAGACTTCTGTCTTCAAAAAAAAAAAAAAAAGAGAGATGGGGTCTCACTCTGTTACCCAGGTTAGAGTGCAGTGGCATGATCTCTGCTCACTGCAGCCTTCACCTCTTGAGCTCAAGTGATCCTCCTACCTCAGCCTCCCAACTAGCTGGGACAACAGGCTAGGTTAATTTTTGTAGTTTTTGTAGAGATGGGTTTCACCATGTTGGCCAGGCTGGTCTTGAACTCCCAAGCTCAGCTGATCCACCTGCCTCAGCCTCCCAAAGGGCTGGGATTACAGGCATGAGCCACTGCACCCAGCCTCCTTCTCTTTTTTAATGATTTGCTTCCCATGTTCACTGGAAGGTAAGGTGAGGCTCCTTTTCTGTGTGTGCTCTGTTCAATGCTGTAGACTTAGCACTGGCTGGGTGCACAGTCTACATTTATGAAAGTTTTTTTTGAATAAATATATTTATTAATTGGATGTTAACCTTTTAAAAAATGTTATTTGTAAAATCTGCATAGGTAGACATAAAATTTATTCATTCTGGCAAATAGTTTACCCAATATCTCATTTCTATTTTAGTTTTGTTTATGGTACTTTTTTGTCAAAGGGAGTCTCTTAAACTACTGTGATTTAATATTTGACAGTTAAAAGTCCCTTTTTTCTCGATTTAGTCTTTTTCAAATTTCAAAAAATACCCTATTGGTATTCTGATTAGAATTTTGTTTAATAAACAGATAAACTGTAGAGGCAATATTTTTATAATCATGAATATTTCCATTTAGAAACATGTTCATTTAAATAAAATCCTTACATATCTCAGTTTTGTAGTTGTCTTCATGCAGAGTCAGAACAACTCTTTATCTTTATTCCTAAACTTTTGTTGTTGTTAATATTTGAATGGGATCCTTCTCCACTAATTTTTTTTTTTTTTTTTTTTCTTGAGACAGAGTCTTGTTCTGTCACCAAGGCTGGAGTGCAGTGGTGTGATCTCGGCTCACTGCATCCTCCGCCTCCTGGGTTGAAGCAATCATCGTGCCTCAGCCTCCCGAGTAGCTGGGACTACAGGCACCCACAACCACACCCAGGTAATTTTTATCTTTTTAGTAGAGACAGGGGTTCACCATGTTGGCCAGGCTTGTCTAGAACACGTGAGTTCAAGTGATCCACCTGCCTCAGCCTCCCAAAGGCATGAGACACTGCACCCAGCCATTCTCTGTTAGATTTTCTAAAGTGTTGTTTGATACAAATGCTGTTAATTTTTGCATGTGGAATCTGTCGTGTTATAGGGGTCGCTGTACTGAATTCCACTGGTTTTAATAACTCTTTAGGTGGTTCTCTTAGATTTTGTAGATCAGTAATATCTTGCAAATAATGACAATTTTATTTCATTTCCAAAAGCTATGTTTTGTTTTTCTTATTACATTACATTGGCTAGAGTTCTCAGAACAACGTTGCATTATAGTGGTGACAGCTGACATCCTTGTCTTGTTTCCTCACTTTAATGAAAGTTCTTTTAGTTTTACCATTGAGTATAACATTGGCAGTTGATTTGAAGAGGGGTGTGTGTGCCAACACTTTGGGAGGCCGAGGCAGGTGGATCATGAGGTCAGGAGTTCAAGACCAGCCTGGCCAAGATGGTGAAACCCCGTCTCTACTAAAAATACAAAAATTAGCCGGGCATGGTGGTGTGTGCCTGTAATCCCAGCTACTCGGGAGGCAGAGGCAGAGGCAGAGAACTGCTTGAACCCAGGAGGTGGAGGTTGCAGTGAGCTGAGATCGCGCCACTGCACTCCAGTCTGGGCAACAAAGTAAGACTCCATCTCAAAAAAAAAAAACTATTCTTTTAATCCTAGATGCTAGGGATTAAAAAAAAATCAGGAAAGGATGTTGAATTTATCAACATTTCAAATTTTCAAATTTATCAATCGTACATTTTTTTATCTTATTAGTGAATTATATGAATAGGTTTCCTAGTATCAAACCATGGTTCATTCCTTGAACTCAGATAATCCAATACATAATTTAGCCTCAAATTCATTTTGATTTTATATCTGTGGTAGGTTTTTCTCCTAATTATAACTCCTATAGGTAAATCATTGTTTGCCTTTTGAAGACATCCTGAGACTGGATGGGGTAGCCAGATGCATTGTGGTAGAAAGGGGAATTGTGGCTGGGATTTGAAATTTGCCATGGTTAATTCCACAGAAAATGAAACTGAGAACTGGCTGTACAGAATTTCAGTTTCCAGATTACTTACCCATTTGGGTTTCTTTCCAGCTCATTTAAAAGTGTATGATCACAGTATTCAAAAACTAAATGCATTTTCCTTTTTCTCCTGAACACCTCGATGAGGTTCACAAGATTTGGATGTTTTAATTGCTGTGAAAGAATTGAAATGCAAAGTTAAGTGATCTGTTACTAGTAAAAGCTTCTACCCAGACCCCTTAAAGAAACTTAAAGTTGGAAGAAATTTAAGATTCATCCAATGTACCTATAATAAGTGGTAACAAAATTGCTTGAATCTCTCTGGTGATAGCAAGTAAAGTATGTAACTTAAAATACTGCAATAAAACAAAAAACACTTTATGTATTTTATGGAAATTCTATATATACAAGTCATAAAATAACCTGAGTAGAAAATTGAGGAAATGAAATTATTAAGGACTATAAAAATAATCAATATCCACTCAGCTTACATATTGCCATGGATTTTATGGATTTAAATCCAGTCTGGATTCTAGTGTTGACTCCCAGTAATACTTGTTCCTAACCATCAAATCGGAATAAACTGTCTATTCTAGAAGTCCCCACAATTAGTCTGTGTTTTAAATTTACTTATTTATATTTATATAAATTATATATATTATATATATATTATATATATTATATATATATAATATATATTATATATTTTCAGCATTGTTCTTTGATTCTGTTGTTCTCTCTTATGCATAGATATTTTGTGTGTTAAATTCTATTCCCAAACTGACGCATTTCACAAGACAGCCTCTGTTTAATATCGCAAACCCAAGGAAAAATGCTGATTAGGTAGGACAGACCATCACTACAGCGATTAGATAATTTTATCTTCCAAACTAGGGTAATGGGTAGAAGCCAGGACTATCGTAGGCAAACCAGCACATATGGTCACTCCGTCTGTAACTAGGGTGACCACATAATTCAGCATACACACCAGGACACTTTTTTTTTTTCCTTGCTCTGTCGCCCAGGCTGAAGTGCAGTGGCGCCATCTCGGCTCACTACAACCTCCGCCTCCTGGTTCCAAGTGATGCTCATGCCTTAGCCTTTGCTGTAGCTGGGACTACAGGTGGGTGCTACCACGCCTGGCTAATTTTTGTATTTTTAGTAGAGATGGGGTTTCACCATGTTGGACAGGCTGGTCTCACGTGGACAGGCTGGTCTCAAACTGCTGACCTCAAGCAATCCATCTGCCTCGGCTTCTCAATGTGCTCGGATTACAGGCGTGAGCCATTGGGCCTGGCCACACCAGGACACTTTTGAAAGGGGATGTGAACCAGGCAGGACACTGGGACAAAAACTATAAAGCAGAACTCTCTTGGGCAAATCAGGATACATGATCACTCTTATTCCTAACCCATCTTCCCTGTTGTTTTCCCAGTATAGTAGACAAATCAACTTTCCAAACTCTCTTCCATTTACCCAGAAAGATACTGAGAGAGAACACAGCATTTTGCATATAGTAGAAGCTCAACAAATAACAGGCCCAGTAGAAAATTTTAGGTACAGAGACTCACAATGCATGCCTCTACCTCAGTATCTATTAACGTAAGCATGGCTTGACCAAAACAAATGTCACCCTAAAACTGTGTGCCTGCTGCTCCACAGCTGGGGAAAAGAGAATCCATTATACATTAAAAATATGCCCAGGCTGAGGCAGGAGGATCGCGTGAACCTAGGAGTTCGAGATCAGCCTAAGCAACATACTGAGACCCCATCTCTCTAAGGGAAAAAAAAGAGAGAAGCCCAAAGCACCAAACCAATTTGTTTTCTATGTGCTCCACTGCCTAAAAGAGCAGAAAGGCAAAGAGTGGAAGAGACTAGGTCATCTAAAAAGCCAGTGGCTTTGTGCCGCTGCAAAACCACAGTATGGAAGCAAAGCAGGATCTCTACTAGGGGAGTAAAAGATTTACAGATACTACAGTTTGATGCAATGTCAAGGTTAAACCTGGTCCAATCTCCTGTCTTTGGGTAGGTCAGCAATTTATACCGCCTTTGCAAATGAAGTTAACCTAGCCCAGGAAAACAGTAACTTGCCTAAAGAAAAACAGGTGGTAAGGACAGAGAGGCAAGCAATTTAAATAACAAGACTATGTGAGGAAAGGAAGGTCGACTGATCACAGAAGGAGCTGTTCAGGACCTACATGGACACAACATACCAAAAGCAGAAAGATGGACGTTCTGACATTCTGAGGGCCTTCATCAGAGACCAAGCTGAGTCATAATCAGGCTAGTTTTTACCTTACAGCCTCATTCTCCAGTTGGGCACTTGTAATGCAGAAGGTACTACCTGAGCATTAACTTTATCTGAAGACTTGGGACGGAGAGGCTGACAGGTAAAAGCATTATTTTTATTAGAAAGCCACACTGCTTGGTTCAGACCCGCCCTGCAGCTTAGCTCAGTGAGGGTGCCAGAGCTGGCTAGCTGACCGGCGCGCCCTCTGCTGGCTGAGAGGTAAGAGTGAACTTTTTTTTATCATGATGGATGTGTTCCTGAAGACTGTATCAAGTTATATTTCAAACAAAACCCTAGTGTGTATTAGTTGAGGAAACCTGTGGGAAATAATATTTGAAAATGAGAGAAAACATGATAATTATTAGTGATAATTATTATCCTCCCTTACAAACTGAATTTCTGGGGATTTTCTAAAAACAGACGACGTGTCAAAAATGAAGGTTGCCTGTGTGTCCTTGAAATCACAGGGTCTTGTCACATAATGTGTAGCCCACAAACCAGCAGCTTCCGCACTTCCTGCGTACTCAGAAATGCAGAATCTCGGGCCCACCCCAGACCTCCCAACTCAGAATCTGCATTTCAACAAGGTCCCCGGGGATTCCAATGCATATTAACATTTGAGAAGTGCTGCCCCAGACCTCCGTTTCCTCTGCGGAAAATATGGTTGTTAGATAAGAAGCATCTCTACGGTCGCTTATAGATCTAAAACTGTAAGATATTTAGCGTAAGAAAAAATTTACATTGAGAACTTAGGAATCTTACATGTCAAATCTTATCAGAGTGAAAACAATTATAACAAAAACCTTTATGTAAAAAATGTGTACGTTACCGGGGGTGCTATTCAGTATGTCTAAGAACCTGGGGTGCAGTGCAGGCAGGAACCAACGCATGTCGATGCCTACCAGGGCATTGGTGCGGTCCTGTGGGACTGACTCTCTGTGCCAGGAGGTGCTCTTTTAGTTGCTGGTTGGTAGGGGAAGTATTTGGAGGGATATCCAGAGGAGGGCCAGGGTTGGGGGCGAGCGTAAACACTGGGGTGAGTGGACTTAGGATATTTACTAACAAGAATAAAAGTTCTTTTCAGTATAACAATCTATAGCTGTATTCATACACAGACAAAATCAGAGTGGCCGAAGTCCAAAGTGATAATCAACTTATTACCCAAAGGTGCTGATACAAAGGAATTTAAGTCCAATGGGGGGAAAATAACTTTAAAATTCTTTGCAATTTTAACATGCATATTTCACTCAATTCCATGATATTTTACATATATATAAAGTTAACTTACCTTCAACATACGTATTTCTCTTAGTGCTATTTTCTTAACAACAGGATCATCTTCAGATTCCACAAATTTTTTAACAGCTACTACTTGTCCAGAGGTTTTGTTTCTGCATTTGAATACAACCCCATAAGACCCTTCTCCAGTCTTAGCTAATTTTTCATACTTTTCCATTATAGCTGAAGTGACTTAAATTATTGTATCGATTGACTTGCAGTACAATGCTGCACCTGGAAAATAAGGTAGACTTGCCTTAATCAAGCTATAAAAGACAATGTTCTCACAGGTTATATACAACCAATTTGTCCACATGCCAAAGGTTTATATTCATCAATTAATTGGAAATCCACTTAAAAATATTTGGATATTATTTTGTTAGTTTAGTTTAGTCCTCTGCAGCTCTTCCAGCTATCAAAAGATTTCATATGCTATTTCTGACAATGGTTCTATGTTGACCTCAGTTGAACTAAAAGAATTTGTGGAAAGGAAACTTATCCCATCTATTGTTTTCATTATGCTCAAGCAAACAACTGAAATATGATGCTGTAAAATCCAGCTGAAGGAACATTTCATACTCTGGAATATGCTGTTTATCTTTTCTCTTCTAACCCAAGTGCATACACAATGACTAGGAGGAGTTGTGTAAGAAGACATGGTACAAAAAGTGCTATACTTCCACCTGGTGGAGAGAAGAAAGAGCGTGGGCCATTGAACAAAGCAGTCTTTAAAAACAATAACAGGCCAGGCACAGTGGCTCAAGCCTGTAATCCCAGAACTTTGGAAGGCCAAGGTGGGTGGATCACCTGAGGTTGGGAGTTCAAGACCAGCCTAACCAATATGGAGAAATCCCATCTCTACTAAAAATACAAAATTAGCCAGGTGTGGTGGCACATGCCTGTAATCCCAGCTACTCAGGAGGCCCTTGAACCCAGCTGAGATTGTGCCATTGCACTCCAGCTTGGGCAACAAGAGTGAAACTCTGTCTGAAAAACACAAAACAATAACAGAATCCTTTTAGGGTATTTATTGCTCCTAGCTTTTATTTTCATGGAAGAACAGATTCTTAAGTTCTTAGCCCCAAAAGAAAATAATAAACACAAAGAAAGCATTCATTCTTATGAATTCTTTCACATCTCTAGTGATTTCTATGGAAATACTGGGTTTTTCTGTTTTGTGTCATCCATTCTTGAATGAATGTTTTGGTGACCGAATTAAATATTACATGATGACTAAGGCCAACATATTTAAATAAATCAGTCTAAGAATTAAAAATAGAAAAATTCTAATTAGTCTCAAAAACCCCACCCCACTTTATCCAGCAGAATCTTGTTAATATAACCTAATAACAATTACAATAATAATGGCACTTAACATTGTTCTATACAAATTACATAGAATGTGCACAAATATTCTATGAAGTAGGTGTTATTTTTATCCAATTATACAGATGAGAAAAGACACAGTGAAGGTAATACAGAATTAGAACCCACGGAGTGAGATTTCAAAGAACACAATTTTAATCACTACATTACACAGCCTCTCAGTTAAGTGCAAAAGAATGCATAATTCAGCCAGGCATAGTGGCTCACACTTGTAATCCCAGAACTCTGGGAGGTCGAGGCAGGTGGATCACCTGAGGTCAGGAGTTCGAGACCAGCCTGGCCAACATGGTGAAACCCTGTCTCTACTAAAAACACCAAAAAATTACCCGGGTGTGGTGGCACAGGCCTGTAATCCCAGCTACTTAGGAGGCTGAGGCAGGAGAATCTCTTGAACCCTGGAGGTGGAGGTTGCAGTGAGCTGAGATCGCACCACTGCACTCCAGCCTGGGAGACAGAGCAAGGCTCCATCTCAAAAACAAAAACAAACAAACAAACAAACAAACAAAAAGAATGTATAATTCGAAGAACCACTTTATCCAGGTCTTGGTATTAACAAAATGTCAAGTGAAAAAGTTGACTACTTGTAAATTTCTCTTGTTTCAAATGAGTACACATTTTTTAAAACTTCTCTAATAATATTGTCTTTTCCAACTACAGATTATCTCAATGGTGAAAGAAATAATCTACTTCCACTTGCCACCATAAAAATATACAATGGAGAAAAATGTTTACCTGGATATAATGACTACTGACATACTATTTTTTACAGTGCTGCTTTTTTGAGGGGGAATGAATTCGATTTCCTCTCTTATTAAAGAAAGAAAATTCAAGCATACACACTCAAGTAACACATGGAAAATCCATCACAGATTATGTTCTGAAAGCCCTATTAGTTATACTGTATTTTTACCTATGTATTATTATTTTAAAGATATTTAGATGTGAGCATGCATACATTTGCATAGTAATAGATGGCTGGAAAGAGAGTAGGAGAAACTGGGAATTTGCTTTAGAAAGTTATTGGCATCTGGCTGGGAGCATTGGCTCATGCCTGTAATCCCAACACTTTTGGAGGCTGAGGTGGGAAGATCACTTGAGCCCAGGAGTTTGAGGTTACAGTGAACTATGATTGTACCACTGTATTACTTCCTGGGTGACAGAGTGAGACCCTGTCTCTAAAATAAAATGAGATAAAGTTATTGGTATAAAACTTTATAGATTTGTTAATTTAACCTACTTGATAAGTACTACAGTCATTGGGGGAAACTATAAATATGACAAGAAGCTTAATTATGAAGTTTTAATGTATGCATTATTTTATTATTTCCCTCTAGGTAGTTGATTTGATCTATTGATGTATGTTTTTTCTTTTTTCTCAACAGATTCAGTAACGACTGATTCCTCAGACTAATATTTAGATCTCATAATCACATCAACCAAACTGCTAAATACAATAAAATAAAGCTCCAGGAAATAGTACTTCACCTAGTAACCACTCAATATTTCTGTTTTCAAAAGCCCTACTATATGTTCATGGAAAATGAGTCTGAGTATGCAAGCAGGAATTAGACCAATGCCTGTAAATTCCTTTGTGGAATTTACAGCTCTAATTCCAGCTTACTAGGATTATAACAGAGTTTCTGGAGGCAGTAATTCCTACTCTCTTATTTGAGATCCAGACCAACTATCCAACTGCTTGATGAGTATCTCTACATGAATGGACAGAATCATCTAAAAATTGGAACATTCTAAACCAAATGCCTTCTCTTCTTTCTTATCCTCTGTCCATACCCAATGTTCACAAACATGCTCCACGTTATGCCTAAATGGCTTGTCAAGGTACATGTGGTGGGGGGCTTTGAGGTAGCCAAGGACAGTGACTGCTGCCTAAACCTAATCTCCTCATACATCTTCCACAAAGCAATACAAATCAACCAGGACAAATAAAACCACATAAATCCAGTGCCTTCAATATAACAAGAAGACACAGGACTCTACAAACTTAGGTAGAAAAGCAAAGCCTAGCTGGGCGTGGTGGCTCACTCCTGTAATCCCGGCACTTTGGGAGGCTGAGGCGGGCGGATCACGAGGTCAGGGGATCGAGACCATCCTGGCTAACACGATGAAATCCCATCTCTACTAAAAATACAAAAAATTAGCCAGGCATGGTGGCACGCGCCTGTAGTCCCAGCTACTCAGGAGGCTGAGACAAGAGAATTGCTTGAACCCAGGAGGCGGAGGTTGCAGTGAGCCGAGATCGTACCACTGCACTCCAGCCTGGGTGACAGAGTGAGACTCCATCTCAAAAAAAAAAAAAAAAAAAGAAAGAAAGAAAGAAAAAGAAAAGAAAAGCCTAAATTCTGGAGGGGTTATCTCTTGAGCTCCCACTGTAAACCTTGGCAGAACGCAAAGATATGAGAGGGGTGAGATCTAAAAAGCTTTAAGAAAGACAGAAGAGTAAAAGAAGGGCCTAAGAAAGACTTAAGATCACCTCCTTCCCAAAGAGAAAACACATCACAAGTGTAAAAATACCCTAAGTGTGTCCTGGTAGATCAGAACACTCACTACAAGGAAGGGGTGTAAAAGTAACATGGGTCTCAAGGTGGCACTAGTCAGTGTGGCACCATTTTTGGGGAATAAAAGGACAAGAGGGAAGGGAAAGACATCTGTTGGAGACTGGACAGTGAAGGGAAAAAGAAGCGAGAAGGATACATTTGGCATCTTGCAAGACAAAAGAGAATTCTGAATTGAAGGGCATGCGAATCCTCCCATCACCACTAAGACAGGGAAAAAGTGTCATCAATGAAAGAAACTGCATTTTACTACAGTGACAGAAAACACTCTCTTGGCCTAGGATGATAGTCAGTTACTAACAGCCAAAACCTGCCCAAGAAATGAAACAAGGGAAAGCCGTCCCCATACATGCTATTATTGTCAGAAAAAAGAAATGAGAACCCAAAAATTTCAGTTAATGAAAATCATTTACAAAAAAAAACACACAAAATCTAACCATGAAGCAAAAGAAAACTAACACAAACACTTCAAACTGATTTAAATATCCTCTCATAATTTGGAGATACGAAAAAGCCACAATGAATCAGATATTCAAATCACAAGTGGACAAAAATTATTTAAGAAGATATATATATATATATATAAATTTTATTTTTACTTTTTTTTTTTTTTTTTTTGAGACAGAGTCTCGTTCTGTCACCCAGGCTGGAGTGCAGTGGCACGATCTCGGCTCACTGCAACCTCTGCCTCCCGGGTTCAAGCGATTCTCCTGCCTCCGCCTCCTGAATAGCTGGGACTACAGGCGTGTGCCACCACTCCCGGCTAATTTTTGTATTTTTTAGTACAGGTGGGGTTTCACTGTGTTAGCCAGGACGGTCTCGATCTCCTGACCTCATGATCCACCTGCCTTGGCCTCCCAAAGTGCTAGGACTACAGGCGTGAGCCACTGCACCCGGCCTATATTTTCACTTTTTTCTTTTGGCTATTGATGTGTAGATTTGGATAAAAAGATATAAAAAGATAGTTGATTGAACTCAGAAAAGAATAATCAGAAAAAGACAAAATCATCTCAGAAATGACTAAATTATGAGATGCTGATAGGAGAATAGATTCAAGTGAAAATTTGATTGGGGCATTAAAGAAAGGCAGAACAGTAATTATGAGAATTAAAATGAAGAAAAAAAGGTAAAAGTTTAGACAGAAAGTTGAAATGGAGACAGGAAAAGAAGTCCGAACGTATGTACAACTGGAGTCCCTGAAGAAGACAAAACAATGAAACAGAATCAATAGTTGAAATAATAATCCAATAAAATTTTCTGGAAATAAAATAAAATCTAATTATATCTATTGAAAAGGCCCATTAGGTAGTTGGGAAAACTGACCCAGAACAACGAACTCCAAGACATATTTGAATAAAACAATCAAAGATAAAGAGAATACTCTCTGAGCCTCCAGACAAAAAGATTAAATAAGTGTGAGAGGATTAGAGTGACATCAGACTTATCAAGAGCAATATACATTACAAAGTAACAGTGCAGCAGCATCTTAAACTCAAGGGAAAATGAAAATCAAGGATTTTATATTCAGCCAAGGTGTGTCCTTCAAGTGCAAAGCTATAGATAAACATTTAAAAAAAATTTTTTTTTTTTTTTGAGACAGGTTCTTGCTCTGTTGCTCAATCTAAAGTGCAGTGGTGCAATCATGACTCACTGCAGCCTTGACTTCCCAAGCTCAAGCAATCCTCTCACCTTAGCCTCCCAAGTAGCTGGGACCACACCTGGTTAATATTATTTATTTATTTTTGTAAAGATGGGGTCTTGGTTTGCTGCCCAGGGCTGGTCTCAAACTCCTGGGCTAAATCGATTTTCCCACCTTGGCCTCCCAAAATGTTGGGATTATAGGCATGAGCCTCCACACCCAGCTGATATTTTAAAACATGCAAGAACTCAAGGAATACTGTACCCCATAGTCCTCTTGAATGTATTGGTGAAAGGCCTTCATCCAATCAAGAGTTGACTGGAAAAATTTCAGCAAAAGGATTTATGGTGAGCATTTAATATACTTAAAGATCAAAGTAAAGGTAGAAACAAGAGTGGAAGAATAAGAAAAAAATATTATAAATTCTGACAAAGTAGAAAGTAATGCAACTAAATTATGTTAAAAGAATGAAGAGGGAAAGAAAGATGAACAAGCTTATTGATAATCAAATGGGCAATAGGTGGGAGTAAAAAATGCCATTAATCTACTTAGGAGGCTGAGGCCTGAGGATTGATTGAGCTCAGGAGTTCAAGACCAGCCTGGGCAATACAGTGAGACCCTATCTCTACAAAAAGATTTTAAAAACTATCTGGGTGTGGTGGTACATGCCAGTATTCCTAGCTACTCAGGAAGCTGAGGCAGAAGGATGGTTTGAGCCTGGGAGTTCAAGGTTATAGTACTGTAGAACTATGATCATGCCACTGCACTCCAGCTTGTAGACAGAGTGAGACCTTGTATTGAAACAACAACCACAACAACAACCACAATAACAAACACCCCACAATTGCTATAATATTACCTAGAATGTTAAGTTTTCAACAAAAAAATTAGGAGATAAAACTGGATTTTAGGAGGAAGTAGGAAAGAAGAAGAAAGAAAAAAAAATATGAGACATGCTAAAAAAAAGGAAAGTGTGACTGATACTCAGAAAAAATAAAGTCAATAAAAATGGATTCTGAGTAGACTCAGATGTTGGATTTAGCTGACAGTCTTCAAAGCAGCTGTTATAAATATGTTCAAATAATTAAAGCAAATTATAATTTAAAGAATTAAAGAACAATATGAGGACAATGACTCAATGAAGAGGGAATTTCAATCAGAAAATGAAAATAAAAAAAAGAACCAAATGGAAATTTTAGAGTAAAAAAAAAAAAAAAAACCAGAAATGAAAAATCCTGTAGATGGGACAAACAGCAGATCTGAGATGACAGAAGAAAGAATCAGTAAAATAGACCAATAAAAAGCAGTCAAAATGAAAGAAGAAAAACAAGATGAACAGAGCCTCAGAGACCGATGGAGGCAAAATCAATACTACCAATATACATGTAATGAGATTCCCAGAAAGAGAGGAGTAAGTGGAAATGGCAGAAAAACAATATTTTATGAAACAATGGCCAAAACCTTCCAAATTTAATGGAAAACATTAATATACAGGTCTTAAAAGTTCAATGAATTCCAAATAGGATAAACACAAAGAAATCCATGCCTTGATATATCATAGCCAAACTCCTGAAAGCTAAAGACAACATCTTGAAAAGAGAGAACCATTCGTATACAAGGGAACAACAATATGCTTAATGGCTGACTCTTCATCAGAAAAACAATAGAAAACAATAAACAAAAACTGGTTCTTTGAAAAGATCAACAAAAGTGAAGCTCTAGCTAGAGTAGGCAAGAAAAAAGAAAGAAAGAAAAGTTATCAAAATTAGGACCATACTACAGAAATTAAAAAAAATGACAATATTCCAAACAAGTTTACGCAACAAAATTAGTCAAGTTGGTTGGACAAGTGCCTAGAAAGATACAAAATACCAAAATGGACTCCAGAAGAAATAGAAATCTGATTACAACCATAACAAGTAAATAAATTCAATCAGTAATTAAAAATCTGCCCACAAGGAAAGGCCCAGGATCAGATAGCATCACAGGTAAATACTACCAAACATTACCTAAGAAAAATTAGTATCAATCCTTTGCAAACTATTTGAAAACATAGAAGAGGAGGGAACATGTCTCAACTCATTCTATGTGGCCAATATCACCCTGATAGAAGTCAAAGTCAGACAAAGAAATCAGATGAAAGTCAGACAAAGAAATCACAAGAACACAGATTATTCTCATGAATGTAGACACAAGAATCCTTAACAAAATAATTAGCAAACCAAATCTGGAAACATAAAATAGATTATATACCGTGACTCTGTGGGACTTATCTCAGGAATGCAAAGTGGATTTAATACTGAAAATCAATAATGTAAAATACCATATTAATAGAATAAAAGAAAAACATCACATGATCACCTTAGTACACACAAAAAAGGAATCTGACAAAAGCCAACACTCATTCATGATGAATACAAGGGGACTTCCTCAAGGGCATCTGTGAAAAATCTACAGTTAACATCATGCTTAATGATGAAAGATTGAATGTGTTACCCCTAAGACTGGAAAAAAGATGTTTGCTTTCACTATTTTTATTTATCATTGTATTGAAAGTTCTTGTCAGTGCAATAAGGCAAGAAAAAGAAATTAAAGGCATATACATTGAAAACGAAAAGTAAGGTCAGGCACAGTGGCTCACACCTCTAACCCCAATAGTTTGGGAGGCCAAGGTGGGAGGATTGCTTGAGGCCAAAATTTTGAGAGCAGCCTGAGTAACACAGCAAGAACCCCATCTCTATAAAATAAATAGTTATTAAATGAAGTGCTCAATATATATGAATATTTTTTTAAAAAAGAAAATAAAAAGTAAAACTGTCATTATTCAGAAATGACATGATACTATCTACAGAAAATCGTAATGAATCTATAAAAAGTCTACTAGAAATAATCACCAAGTTTGCAGTGAAGTAGGATACAAGATCAATATGCAAAATAAATCATCTTTTTATATAATGGCAACAAACAATTTGAAAATAAAGTTAAGAAAACAATTCCATCCAAATTAATGTAAAAATGAATAAAATACTCAGGAATACATTTAACAACTGAAGTGCAAGACCTGCATACTGAAAATTACAAAATACCATTGAAAGAAATTAAAGATCTAAATAAAAGGAGAAAAATGCCATGTTCATGGATTTGAAAACCCAGCAAGATATCAGCTTTTCATAAATTCATCTATAAACTAATTCCTGGCCAGGAGTGGTGGCACATGCCTGTAATCCCAGCTCTTTGGGAGGCTGAGGCAGAAGGATTACTTGAGCCGAAAAGTTTGAGACAAGCCCGGTCAACATAGTGAGACCCTATCTCTAAAAAAATAAAAAATAATTAGCCAGGGTCTAGTGGCCCTCGCCTGTGGTCTCAGCTGCTTGGGATGTTGAGGCGGGAGGATCACCTGAGCCCAGGAGTTTGAGGCTACATTGAGTTATGATTATGCCACTGCACTCTAGCCTAGGCAATGCAGCAAGACCCTGTCTCTAAAAAGCCAAAATGAACAAAATTAAACAAAATTAATTCCTTATACAAATTCCAACAGGCTTTATTTGGACAGAAATTGAAACTAAGATTTATACGGAAATGCATACGACCCAGAATAGCCAAATCAACTTTGAAAAAGAACAAATTTAGAATATTTATATTAAAAATTTATCTTAAATTTGACTTAAAATTTTACTATAAAGTTATGGTAAATCAAGACTGTGGTACCAGCATAAAGACATATATCAATGAAACATAATAATGAGTCAAGAAATAAACCCTTCTATTTATGGTCAATTGACTTTTAAAATTTTATTTTATTTTTATTTTATTGTTTAAGATAGAGTCTCACTCTGTCACCCAGGCTGGAGTGCAGTGGTGTAATCTTGGCTCACTGCAACCTCCGTCTCCTGGGTTCAAGTGATTCTCCTGCCTCAGTCTCCCAAGTAGCTGGGATTACAGGCATGTGCCACCATGCCCAGCTAATTTTTGTATTTTCAGTAAAGATGGGGTTTCACCATGTTGGCCAGGCTGATCTTGAACTCCTGACCTCAAGTGATCTGCCTGCTGTGGCCTCCAAAAGTGTTGGGATTACAAGAGTGAGCCACTGCGCCTGGCCCAACTGACTTTTGACAAAGTTGCTGCAGCAATTCGACAAGGAAAGAATAGTCTTTTCAACAAATGATACTAGGACCATTGGATATCCATATGCAAAACAAACAACAAACACACACAGTAGACAGACACCTCACACAATATAGCAAAATTAACTCAAAATGGACAAAGACCAAAATGTAAGCATTAAAACTGTATAACTTCTAGAAAAAAAAAAAGAGGAGAAAAATCTTTGTGACTTTCAGTTATGCAGATTTCTTAGATATGACACCATAAGCATGATTCATAAAAGAAAAAATAGATAAAATGGAATTTATCAACATTAAAATCTTTTGCTCCTCAAAAAATTTCCCCATTAAGAAAATGAAAAGCTAAGCCACAGACTAAAGAAAAATATTAGCAAATCTTATATCTGATAAAATATTTGTATCCAGAATACATAGAGAGCATGCTTACAACTCAATAGGAGGTTAAACAACCCAATTTAAAAATGGACAAAAGATGTGAATAGACATTTTACCAAAGATACACAAATGTCTACTAAGCACATGAAAGGATGCTGTTAGCCATTAGGGAAGTGTTAATTAAAATTGCAATAAGATAGCATTACATACACATTAGAATGACTAAAATCCAAAGACTGACAATATCAAGTGTTGATAAGATGGAAACTGGAACTCACACAAATCACTGGTGAGGATGTAAAGCAGCACAGCTCCATTGGAAAACAGTTTGGCAATGTCTTAAAAGTTAAACATAGGGCCAGGCATGGTGGCTCACGCCTGTAATCCCAACACTTTGGGAGGCTGAGGCAGGTGGATCACTTGAGCTCAGGAGTTCAAGACCAGCCTGGCCAACATGGTGAAACCCTGTCTCTACTAAAAATACAAAAAGTAGCCAGGCATGGTGGCGCACACTTGTAATCCCAGCTACTTGGGAGGCTGAGGCAGGAGAATTGCTTGAACCTGGGAGGCGGAGGTTGCAGTGAGCTGAGATTGTGCCACTGCACTCCAGCCTGGGTGACAGAGTGAGACTCTGTCTCAAAAAAAAGTTAAACACAAATTTAACTTAAAAATTAACCGCCAGGCGTGGTGGCTCACGCCTGTAATCCCAGCACTTTGGGAGGCCGAGACAGGCGAATCACCTGAGGTCAGGAGTTCGAGACCAGCCTGGCCAACATGGTGACACCCCGTCTCTACTTAAAATAAAATAAAATAAAATAAAATAAATCAGCTGGGTGTGGTGGTATGCACCTGTAATCCCAGGTACTCGGGAGGCAGGAGAATTGCTTGAACCCAGGAGGCAGAGGTTGCAGTGAGCCGAGATTGTGCCATTGCACTCCAGACTAGGGGACAAGAGCGAGACTTCGTCTCAAAAAAAAAAAAAAAAAATTAACCATAAACAGCAATTTCACTCCTCAGTATCTATCCAGGAAAAATTTTAAAATAGATCTAACAATGACATGTAAGCAAATGTTCACAGCACCATTATTCAGAAGAGGTCCCTATATGGAAAACAATCCAAATGTTCATCAACTGATGAATGTGTAAACAAAATGTGGATTATCCATGCAACGAAATACTATTCAGCAACAAAAAGGAATGAACTTGCTATAATGTAGATGAACATTAAAAAAAAAAAAAAAAAAGAAAAAAGAACCACATGCCCCAAAACATAATGCTAAGTGAGAGAAGACAGACACAAAATCCTACATATTTTATAATTCCATTACAGGAAATTTCTAGAAAAGACAAATGTGCAAGTGAGAAGGGCACATCTCCTCTGTGGTATTCTTGGCAAAAATGCAAAATCTAAATCTAATTATGAGTTAACAATAGACATGGCCAAACTGAAGGGCATTCTACGAATAACCGGCCTGTACTCTTAATAAAGAATGTCAACGTCATGAAAGAAAAGATCAAAGCACTGTTCCAGATTGAAGACTAGAGAGATGGAAAAACAAAATGCGACGTGTGATCCTGAACTGGATCCTGGACTGGTGAACAACATGACCATAAAGGATACTTCTAAGATAATTGGCAAAATCTAAATTTCGACTGCAGATTTGATATCAGTTTCCTGATTTTGGTAATTTGTACTGTGATTATATAAGAAAATGTCCTAGTTCTTGGGAATACACTGAAGTATTTACGGGTGAAGGGATCTGATGTCTGCAACTTACTCTCAAATGGTACAGAAAAATTAATATGCATGTGTTATATACACACTAAAAAGAAAACGATAAACAACATAAAAATTGAGCAAAACGTAAACAGTGAGTCCAGATATATGAGTTTATTACACTCTTATTGCCAGCTTGAAATTATTATATCAAAGTAGTTATTTTAAAGTGTGTTATCTCACTTTTCTTCTTTATATTTACTTTTATTACACCAAAGACATCTTTCTCAAACATCAACAGGATGAGATATCATCCTTTCTCAGAAATGTCTTATGGCCTCAAATGCCACAGAATAAAGTTCAAACTGTAGTATGATATTTACAGTTCTGTACGCCGTGGCCCCAATTTACCTTGCCAGCATCACTTCTCAGATTCTTCCCCAAACACTTTCAGGTCTCTAAGTCTCCCTTCATACCCCTGCCTGGAATGTCTGACCCTTAAATCTTCATCTTTTTCAAGTTCAAGTCAAATGTCTTTCTGCTTAGCTTCTCCCAATCCCCAAAAGCAGGTTCTTTCTCTGCTCGCATGCTATGTTAACGACTTCCTTTCACCCTTTCAAAAACATTATCACATTGCCTTCTATTGTTAGCCTATTGTCTGGCACATAGTGGACCTCCGCTGTGGCCCTACCGTAATGTTATTTTTCTAACCTTTCTATTAAATATGTAAAATGACTTACTTTTTAAAGCAAAGGCAATAAGTACATTTTGATTATTAATACAGTACTTGGACAAGAAATCAAGATTAAATGGTGATATAGCTATTGGCAGAAAGTAGATTCAGTTGGTTGAAAATAGTTTTCTTTTTCTTTTTCCTTTTTTTTTTTTTTTAACTGAGACAGGGTCTCGCTCTGTCACTCAGGCTGGAGTGCAGTGGCACGATCAGGGCTCACTGCAGCCTGTACCTGCTGGGCTTGAGCAATTCTCCTGCCTCAGCCTCTTGAGTAGCTGAGACTACAGGCATGTGCCACCATGCCTAGCTAATGTTTGTATTTTTTGTAGAGGTGGGGTCTCATTATGTGGCCTAGGCTGATCCTGAATTCCTGGGATCAAGTGATTCTCCCATTTTGGCCTCCCAAAGTGCAGCAGTTACTGGCATGAGCCACCCATGCCTGGCGAAATTATTTTTCATAGTCATCTTTGACCTTCAAACTGAAGCTTTATACTTTTTGGCTACAGGGCTTCCTGACTTCAGAATTTACCAAATATTTGACTCTCAAGTTAAAGTTCTGTGTACAAAGGCAGATAGGTATAGAACTGAGCCCACTTATGATTATCAAAAGAGGTAGATAGATACTTGAGTGGCTCACTAAATTCTTTGAAAATTTCTATTTAATTTCCTTAGTCTCAAGGGTTTGCAAAATGATGTACACAGAAACAGAATAGACTTGGAGGTAGGTTATTTTCCATGATTGTATCACAAATCAAGTCCTGAGAACTCAAGCCAGCCTAAGGAATACAATGAAAGAAGGAAAACAAAAATCAAGAAAGGGAGAGGTAGAAAAAAAGAAGAGTGAAAAAACACATTTTCTAATCTAGGAGCTTTAGGAAACTCATGTAAACAGTGGCATTAGGAATGATGCGGATGGCCGGGCGTGGTGGCTCACACCTGTAATCCCAGCACTTTGGGAGGTTGAGGCGGGTGGAGCACTTGAAGCCAGGAGTTGGAGACCAGCCTGGCCAATGTGGTGAAACCCCATTTCTTCTAAAAATACAAAAAAAGTTGCTGGGCGTGGTGTCCTGCCTCTGTAGTCCCAGCTACTTGTGGGGCTGAGGCAAGAGGATCGCTGAACCTGGGAGGTCAAGGTTGCTGAACCTGGGAGGTCAGCGAGCCAAGGTGGCGCCACCGCCCCCAAGCCTGGGGAACAAAGTGAGACCCTGTCTCAAAAAAAAAAAAAAAAAAAAAAAAAAAAAAAAAAAAAAGGAATGACGAGGAAAAAGAGATTTTGAAGATCAGGCCATATCAGTTAGGGAATCCACAGGCTGGTAAAGTCACAACCTCCTATGTTGTTATTGTTTTCAACCAAACCAAACATGAATTTATATTTAATAAAACTAATTAGTCAAATGGGCCATTAAATCATTGTTTTATCAACATAACAGTGAATTATTGAATTTCAAAAGTACACACACCTGTTTATAAACCTGTCCAGTTGACAATACAATCAGACTAATTAAAAGCATCCCCAGAAAACCAGAATACCACATAATTATACAAAATCCGATAAAGTAATTTTGTTTAAATATATCACATTTCGTGTGTGCACATAACAGATCTGCAAGTCAAGCACAAATCCACTTTATTTCCAGGCCTCTGGTCTTCAGCCTTCTTCATTTAATGACAGTTCTCTTTCTCGGCCATAGGTAGGCCTCCGCCTTGCGCGCTCCTCGGCCCCCGCCGCCGCCCACTCCCTGGGCAGCACCATTTCCGCCCCGAGGGACCCTCACCGGGTCAGTGCTGCCACCTCGAATCCGCCCCTTCCCTTCCAGGGGCCACCGAAGCGGAAGGCGGTCCCGCTTTTCTTTCGGGGAACTTTTCTTGGTTCCTGCAACTGGGATCCGCAGTCTAGACCTCGCGGCTCACCCCATCAACCCCGCACGCTGCCCGCAGTTCCCCCGCCACCGGCAGAATCCGCACTTACTGCACCCACAGGGCGACGGTGACGAAGCTTCGAGCAGCGCCGAACAGCCCCAGCCCCAGCTCCCGCGCGTGTCGCTCGGAGGAGGCGCCGTGTACCCAGCGACTTCGGAGCCAGCGGAACCGCCGCAGCGTCTCCCGGGCAACCGGAACGCTAGGGCGCGCGGGGCACTGCGGCTTCCGGAGCGGGTTCCCCTGGCGCTGGCAGCCCCAGCCCTGATCCTTCTGAGAGGTGACAGCGTGCTGGCAGTCCTCACAGCCCTCGCTCGGTCTCGACGCCTCCTATGCCTGGGCTCCCACTTTGGCGGCACTTGAGGAGCCCTTCAGCCCACCGCTGCACTGTGGGAGCCCCTTTCTGGGCTGGCCAAGGCCGGAGCCCACTCCCTCAGCTTGCAGGGAGCTGTGGAGGGAGAGGCGCGAGCGGGAACCGGGGCTGCGCACGGCGCTTGCGGGCCAGCTGGAGTTCCGGGTGGGCGTGGGCTTGGCGGGCCCCGCACTCTGAGCAGCCCGCCGGCTCTGCCGACCCCGGGCAATGAGGGACTTAGCACCCGGGCCAGCGGCTGCAGAAGGTGTAATGGGTCCCCCAGCAGTGCCAGCCCACCGGCGCTGCGCTCGATTTCTCACTGGGCCTTAGCTGCCTTCCTGCGGGGCAGGGCTTGGGACCTGCAGCCCGCCATACCTGAGCCTCCCACCCCCTCCATGGGTTCCTGTGCGGCCGGAACCTTCCCGACGAGTGCCACCCCCTGCTCCACGGCGCCCAGTCCCATCGACCACCCAAGGGCTGAGGAGTGCGAGCGAACGGCGCGGGACTGGCAGGCAGCTCCACCTGCAGCCCCTGTGCGGGATCCACTTGTTGAAGCCAGCTGGGCTCCTGAGTCTGGTGGGGACGTGGAGAACATTTATGTCTAGCTCAGGGATTGTAAATACACCAATCGGCACTCTGTATCTAACTCAAGGTTTGTAAACACACCAATCAGCACCCTGTGTCTAGCTCAGGGTTTGTGAATGCACCAGTCGACACTCTGTATCTAGCTGCTCTGGTGGGGCCTTGGAGAACCTTTGTGTCGCTACTCTGTATCTAACTGATCTGATGGGGACGTGGAAAACCTTTATGTCTAGCTCAGGGATTGTAAACACACCAGTCAGCACCCTGTCAAAACAGACCACTGGGTTCTACCAATCAGCAGGTCGTGGGTGGGACCAAATAAGAGAATAAAAGCCGGCTGCACGAGCGAGCAGTGGCAACACACTCGGGTTCCTTTCCACACTGTGGAAGCTTTGTTCTTTCGCTCTTTGCAACAAATCTTGCTACTGCTCACTCTGGGTCCACGCCGCTTTTATGAGTTGTAACACTCACCGCGAAGATCTGCAGCTTCACTCTTGAAGCCAGCGACACCACGAGTTCACCGGGAGGAAGGAACAACTCCAGACGCGCTGCCTTAAGAGCTGTAACACTCACCGCAAGGTCTGCAGCTTCACTCCTGAGCCAGCGAGACCACGAACCCACCAGAAGGAAGAAACCCCGAACACATCTGAACATCAGAAGGAACAAACTCCAGACGCGCCAGCTTAAGAGCTGTAACACTCACCGCGAGGGTCCGCGGCTTCATTCTTGAAGTCAGTGACTGCAAGAACCCACCAATTCCGGACATACTTCCTCTTGGTGGGTATAACCTCGGGGCCGAGCCTGTAGCATCAGGCTGTGAACGGAGCAAAAGTTGAATGAGAGCGCTCAGGAAACATTTCAACCACTTTCCCCTTAATACTGTGATTACACCATGTCCCCTTCTTTCCCAAGGCATCGAGAGCACTGAAAAACAGCACACGTAACTGTTGAATATTGATTAGTTCGTTTCCCTGCCTGGGCAGAGACCTTCAGTTTGCAAGATTCTCTGTCATTAGTCATTACTTTTCGGTCTTGTTTAATTATCCAAATACCTTTTCAGCAGACTTCTGTAGGTTTTTGCGTGAAAAGCAGCTATGGATCAGAGGCCATTTTCCTAATTCACCTAGCATTGTACTAGTACCTGAGGCCTAAGAATCAGACACAGGTTTGACACCCATTAGGGAAGAAAGTCAATGAAACAAATAATGTAATGAATGCTCTGTGGAGATAATGTATTACTTGGGAAAGAGAATTTTGGCTAGAGCTTACCCATTTTATTCCCAGGACTAACTTAGAAATGCTATATGTTAATAAGCACACACGTACTTTGTTTCAGCATTAGCAAAATGCTCCCCGTGATCATGGCCAGGTTTAGCATCTCCATACTTCCCTAAACAGGTGACTCTCTTCTCCTTTTCTCATCCATCTCATTTCTTTTCCACTTCTTTCATTTGCTTAGATACATGCTGAAATCTCCCATCTTTAACAAACAAAATCAAAACAAAAACCTTTATCTCCTTCCTCTTTTGAGACCAAATACACTTCCACTAAAGTCAAATACTCATAAAATTCACATCTATCCAATTCCTATATAATTTCCACCATCTATCATGCTATAGAAAAATTTCTCATTAAGTATACAAGTATCACCTTATGTACAAATCCATCAACCCATTTATATCTTCATGATACTTGCTCTCCAGTTTCTGAAACTGTTGATTCCTAGCTGCTTCTCTCATAAGGAGGCTCTTCACAACCAGGCCCATCTTTTTATGCAGCTTCCTGCCCTATTACTCTGCTTCAGGCACCCGAAACTCTGGTTCATTCAATTCAATGTCACTATTTCTTGAACATGCAGTATTTGCATATGCCTTGGTCTAGGCTACAGGTTCCTACCTTGCTTTCTTACTGCATATGGTAAATTTCTCTTCATCTATCAACAACCTGGTTTACAAATCTTACTACACAAAGCAGAATTAGGCACAACCTCTTGTACCTTTTTTTTTTTGGAAACAGAGGCTCACTCTGTTGCCTAGGCTAAAGTGCAGTGTCACAATCATAGCTCATTGCAGCCTCAAACTCTTGGGCTCAAGTGATTCTCTTGCCTCAGCCTCCCTCCCCAGTAGCTGGGACTATAGGCATGTGCCATTATACTTGGCTAATTTCATTTTTTGTAGAGAAGGAGACTTGCTATGTAACTCAGGCTGATCTTGAACTCCTAGGCTCAAGTGATTCTCCCACCTCAGCCTCCCAGTGTTGGGATTAGAGATTTGAGCCATCACACTGGGCCTGTACCTTGTTTTAATACTACTTACTTCCGTTTGCCTTTATTCATCCAAGTGTGCTCCTTGGATGAATACTGGTTGGGAATTAAACCTTTTCCATCTCTTCTCCAGTGCTAGTAAAGTGCCTTGGCTACAGTGTAAATAATCACTATATGTTGTATAAGTAATTGTCTCACAAAAGTTAAAAAAGTCTTTGTTATAATGACTTTTGACTACTTATTTAATATACTTTGACTGTAAATTTTATGTAAATCCTTTTATCTTTATACCAAATTTAGATAAGAAAAATGCCTTTCGGTAAAGCAAAAAATTAAGACAGAAGTTAGTATCTCTTGTGCAGAAACAGTGAAAATAAAAATCTGAAATCCAACACCTGGAGAAAAAAAATCTAATTTTAGAGGAAAGAATGAGAGAGTCTGTTTTAGTGGGCAGTGGATATACTGCATGTATTTTATGTAATAGTCTTGCACAGTGGTTAAGAGAATACACTTTGAATCAAGTGCCGAGGTTCAAATTTTGCTGTATTATTTACCCGCTATAGTTCTGGGCAAGCTGCTAAAACTTTCTGTGCCTGTTTCTTCATCTGTAAAACAGAGTTAATAATACCTCACAGGGGTGTTCTGGGGCTTAAGTGGGACTATATAAAGCATGCAGATGAGTACCTGGCACACACATACGTGAACTGGGAATGTATTATATGCTCTCTTAGTGTTTACCCATTATTTTGTATAGCACACACTTTCACCTCTCCGCCAGTAATGGTGAAAACTAATAGCATCTGTCCTTTTGTTTCCTGGTCTCTACTGAAATCAGAGTCACATGTGCAAGCTGAATGATGCCATTAGGCCCATAACCGGTTGATCTCATTCTCCTCAAAACCAGTGTCTATGCAATTAGCTAATAAGATCGCTTTAACTTCAATAAAGATGAAATAGATTGTTTCCAACATTTAAGTGAGTGGCTGTCTTCCTTTTGTGTATGTAAAGATCCATAATCAAAAATTCCTGGGTGGAATCTAGAAATTTGCACTTTTAAGTATTACCAAAGATGATTCTGAGGCACACTTGGACACACTCAGAAGCACTGATTTAAATTTAGTGCCCACCAGTGGTTTCATGTTGCGATGCACATCAGAATCATTTGTACAACTTTATAAAAATATAGGTTACTGAGCCTCAGCCCTCAAGATTATGACTCCAGATATATCTTAGAAAGCTCCTGGGTAATACACAACCAGTTATGTATTTTATTTTTTGAAAATGTTTCTAAGTGTTTAACAGCTAAATGTGATGACTAACGTTTTTTGAGATATGACCCTTTATGTAAGTCTTAAAAACTGAAAAAAAAGTGGTTCAGAAAAAGGATAAACTAAACAACCTGTCAGTAAGAGCCAAGAACAGAATCTTGATCACTTAAAAATCTTCACTTAAAAATCTTTTCCAACAGTCTCTGTTTTGCAGCAAATTGATAATGTTATACTGACAAAGATGTGTGAAAAAACATAGTCATTAGTCACTAATGATAGGATTATTCCCAATGTGGGAAAAGTGATAAATGAACTCAGTTGTTATGGTTATTAGCATCTGTACGATTTTAGATGTGGAAACTGTTAAATTATTCAAGGCCATTGTGACACGTAGTGGCATAAGCAATATGGAAATGGTGCCTCTCTTGATCCCCAATCCAGTTCTTCCCTCTTAATCTTCCCCTTCCTTACCTCCAGAACTGCATTTCCCAATGCTTCCTTACTTTCTCTAACCCAGGCACTAGCACATTTTTTCTGTAAAGGGTCAGCAAAGTAAGAATTTTAGGCTTTTCAGACCATATAGTGTTTCAGAAGCCACTCAACTCAAATATTGTAGCACCAAAGCAGCATAGACAGCATGTGAGTGAATACGTGGTGTTGTGCTCCATTAAAACTTTATTTACAAGAACAGGCAGTAGGCTGGATTGGTCTGAGGACTGTAGTTTGTGGACCCCTGCCTCTAACCAGAAAACTATGAATGTTTGACTTTTCTTATCAGGAAGTCGAAGTTTCTGCAAAAGATGCCCTTTTCTCCTGTGTGGAAATATTAATGCTTCATGAAACTGAAACCCCATATCAAATAAAAATCATGATTTGAGGGACCAAAATTCAATACTTAAGAATTTAACTACAAAACAAATAAAGCTTTCCCCTCTTAATATATTTTAGTGTTACTATATACAGATTAAACCAGATGACAAGCTACTATACAACAGCATGTTAAAAAACATGTTTATTTTACAATATGTACAATCAGGAACATATTTTAAAACCATTATCATTAAAATAAATGAAGATCATAAATCACAATTTAGTTTGTTCTTAGTGTATATACTCACATTAAAATATAAAGAACATATACCAAAAAGAGCCAAAAGTGTGCATTTTGCTAAAACCTGGTATATACATATTCCATTGGAAAAAAGCAATCAAAAATGACTTAAACCAAAACTAAGTTCCTGTGATGTGTAGTAACCATTATATTGTTTGTATGAGGTAGTAACTAAATTATTTTGGCCATGTATTAATACTCTAAGTCAAAAGAAATATGAAAAGGATCATAAAATAAGGCCAACAAAAGTAAAAATTCCAAGAGAAATTTGAACCACTTCACTCTATGGAATGTTACAGTTCTTCAGTGTGATCATATGAAATGTTTAGTGAGGACTCTTTAATAATGCTAATTAATTCTTTGTGCATACTGTAATTCTGACCACAATTGCAGTATTCTATCATGGTACCGCTATTCTGTGATTCAAAAATGTTCAAAGGTATTGTTTTTAAGCAAAGACAAGCAATCTTACAGGATTCTGCTTAAATATAAAAAGACCAGTTACTACAACATGTGGTTAATTATAATTGGTTTGCTTCACATAGAAAACAATCCAAATACATTTGTGGAGCCAAATGCTTATAGACAATGTCACAGCTTACTTTTGTGACTTAATACATCACATATCAATACTTTGTGCAAATATAAACACCAGTGTACTTGCATTAAAATTAAAAAGATTATAAAATGATTACAGCCTCCATTACAATTTTAAAAGTTACAAGATTTATATTCATATTACTAAATTACATATAATAAAAATACAATAGTGTTAAATGTATTGTTTCATTGCCAGCATCCCATTTTGTAATATAGCCACACCCAAGAATATACTAAAGAATTCTTAAAATATTAACCCCAATTGCATTTTCATCAACATTTACATCTGTACAGATAAGACACTTACTTGTACATCTCATAAAAGTACATTATCTACATAAATTCTTAGTGTATGTCTTCAGCAATATGAAGTTTCACAGAAAAAATACTGCCTATATGTACAAAGATTACATAACAATGAATTAAGCACTTGTGTGGTTCAATATGCTAAATATATCCATACCACTTAAAACAAAATTTTCCCCATCTTATCTCATGCCACAATAAATTACAAAGTAACTGAAGACAGGTTACTGCAGCTTTTGTACAGCTTCAAGCATCCATTAATGTTGCAGTGGTAGTGTTCTTTCTTTCTAGAGTTAACTGTCAAAGCACAACAATTCTCAGTAACTGTTTTCATGACCCGCCAGGATGTACAAATTGCTATTTGCTGTGGGGTTATCAGTTGGCCTACTTTCCAAAACCACGACCCTGAAAGTAATAAAAAACATATAACAAAACAAAGTTATTCCTGAAAATTAATGTTAGCTCCCAAATTTTCCATTGCTTCTCCAATATGTGCCTCTATAAATGCTGCTCATTTGATCGTGGGCAGAAATCATTTGCTATCACTGTGATTACAGGGCCAGTTCTAGCTCTGGGAAGTAATTTTGCTGTCCACTACCTCCCACCTCTAGGCCAGTGTTCTTCTAAGAGTCAGAAGTGGGGAGAAACCTATATTAGAAATTATTTGGGGGAACTTAATTCTTATTACAAGTTCTAAAAACGATTTGCAGTTCAAGAACCAGAAGCTAAATTGCCAGGGTCTGACCCAGAGACCCACGCTGCACAATGGATGAATAACGTACCCAGACACTGGTATTCAGTGAAAGACTGGCTAGGGGGCCAGGGCGCTCACAGAAAGAGTTGTAGTGGCCGTGTGCCCTGACTAGCTGTCCCTGCAGGCATTTATTCAGCACAGATTTAATGACAAAGGCTTTGAGTCAACCTACTTGTGGGTAATTTATCAGGTTGCCCTCCCCAGGAAAGAGCAGTCCTGCCCGCATGATCAAAGGTTGGTTTTAGGACAACATGAGTAAACAAGCTATTTAGATAAACTCCTCTACATTCCTATGTATCTATGCCCTAAGCTTTTAAGAGAATTCAGCTGCCTTCAGCCAAATCTTTTACTGAAGCTATGCAAACCTTCTGGCCTTCCAAGAAGGTTTGTGTCTATTTCCTATAACTTTATAATCTCTCCCACCACCCTGACCAATGTCTTACAGTCAATCAGAACAGGTCTCCAAAATCCTATCGGCATTAACAACACAAAGTTCTGTTCATTAACATATGGTATTTCCTCTTTCTTCTGCTGCAAATCAGATGTCAGTATGTTTAATGGAAACTAGTACTGACAGATCCATACATTCCTGTTACTTGGAAGATCAGGTACATTTTCAAAGGCTAACTTTCTGACCTGTGAATTCTTATAGTGTGAAAAATTCAATGTTGAACATATTGCAGACATTTCAATTCTCTTGAAAAAGAAATCTGTTTCATGCTGGATCTATAAAACACGTTTAGTACTGTGTATTTAATACAGTCCGTTTTCATACCTGTCAGATCCAAGCAGCCTGAAAATTCTTGTGCTATCTGAAATTTCTTGTGTTACCTGTTCAATTAAAACACAAATTTAATTTCTGAAATTAAAGACACAAAATTTTTAATGGGCACTTCATTATAATTCAACAGAAAAGAAACATGATCGCTAAAAATGAAAACATATTCCTGCATGACTGTTTGTTAAAGTCAGCATGTAGATACATCAATTTGTTAGTCGAGGGGAAATGTGGTTAATTTTGAGTTAATCATAAAATGCAGGCAAAGGAAAATGATTTCCTTGTTAAATCATAAGACTTCAAGGGAAAAACTTAAAAGCAAAGCACTAAATCCATTTTATTTATTAGAAACTTTCATCATTTATGTTAACGCTAATGGCAAGGTTACTGGCAGCAGTAAGCTACTTAGATCTGCTTCTTTTACTTAAAAAGGCTGCCACGTAGTGTAACAGGAAATATTTAAAAGGCAGACATGCCTTGAGTTTGACTGTCAGTTCTCCCACTTACTGGGCAACGTATGTAATCCGCTAGAAATGGTTTTGCCTTATGCAAGATGGGATAGAAAAGATCTACCATGCAGTAGAGCCCTGCAGTGTTCTTATAAGGATTAGTGGGTATAATGCCTAGCTAAGGAAGTGCTCAATACATAATAATTATCTTTCCCACTTCTTCCCCATTCTCTTGAAATAATATTTTCTAATGACCATATATCCTTCAAGAAGTCCTCAGTGTGACCAACTACCAGTTGGGGAATTAAGAATAAATATACAAGAAAAAGAGAAACCAACTATTCACAGCTTACTGAACACAAAATATTATGAATTAGAAGGGCAGTTAGCATCTCCCCAAAATTTGGTAGGCTGAAGAAAAAATGGATTTGAAATTAAATTTATTCCATCAATACCCCTACAATTAGATTTTCTAGAAACACTAATGACTCTTAGCTTCTGTTGTAACCCAGCATACCTGCAGGAAACAACATGCTCAGCATGCTCACTTCAATGCCTGTGGCTCATCATGACTGTGATTACCAATATATTTTGGGGTTTGCCTACTAGAAGAAGCTAACATTTTTGGAGGTGTGTATTGATGGGCTGCCTGTGTAGTTCTCAGGTGACTTTTTGGGTGAACTTTTTCCTTTTAGTTTTTAAACCACTTCTGTATTTGTCTGTAATGCTTTTCTTTCTCTGACTAGTGTTTATTAGCTGTTGACTGTTCTTATCTCCCTGCTCAGTTCCTCACGTGATTTTAGAAAGTGTGAGCCCACTTGTGGGGATTACTTTTAGAAACATCGTAGCAGCCACCTTTTTTTTGGAGGGGGACGGAGTCTTGTTCTGTCGCCAGGCTGGAGTACAGTGACGCGATCTTGGCTCACTGGAACCTCCGCCTCCTGGGTTCAAGCGATTCTCCTGCCTCAGCCTCTCCCGAGTAGCTGGGACTAGAGGCACGCGCCACCACGCCTGGCTAATTTTTCTATTTTTAGTACAGACGAGGTTTCACCATGTTGGCCAGGCTGGTTTTGATCTCTTGACCTTGTGATCCGCCCGCCTCGGCCTCCCAAAGTGCTGAGTGTACAGGCGTGAGCCAACATGCCTGGCCAGCAGCTACCTTTTAAACACTTACTATAGGTCAGGAACCAGGCCAAGCACATTACACGCTTTGTTTCATTTAATCATAACAACTCAATTCACAGATGAAAAAATATAGGTAGAAAGAAGTTAGGTGACATGCCAAGGTCACCCAGCTACTAACTAGCTGAACTTGAGACCTGAAGCCTAGTGTCTCAACTCTGGAACCCAGGCTCATGAACACTGTGGTATATTGCTTACTTTGTTAGAAATAAACGCTCTGAGCTTAATGAATGACAGTTTAAGAAACAAATAAGCTTCCTTCCAAGTTACATGACTGAGATTGGCTTGGGGGTACTGGAAGAATTTCTGACAATTTTACGTGCTTGTAACATTCTAGGGGGCAAGTGCCACATCTTGTTCATGTTTATAACCTCAGAACTTTCCGGCATAAATGTTGAACTGACTTGAATATGTCACACAGCTTGGAGTTAAATTATTTCTGTGAGGTAGGAAGGATTCATGAGATGCATAGCTAAAGGTTAATAAAAAGGAAAGGTAAAGGGGGCAAAGAATTATATACATGTCAAATGAATAAGGATGTTGAAAATAAAGAGGTAAGTGGGCTTCCAGAGAAATATAGGACTCTTTACTTATAGTCTGCGCTGGTCATTATTTCTGAAGTACAAGGTAGAAAAGGTGCTTAAGGCCAGAGAGAGCCAGCACTAGCACTCTTGCTCCTGGGGTTCCTCTGGGAAAGTTGAAAGAAAATCATAGTTGGCTCACTTTTAGCAGATTAGCAAGTTCTTGTTCTAAATTTCAGACTGATTATCTGGAAGCACATTAAATATGCACTAAAGTTGTTTGAGTAGTGGAGAGAGAGAGAGGTGGACATAGAGTATGGGCTACTGACTTTATCAATAGACTAAATACAGTAAGTATTAATAAAGTTAGCCAATCAAGCATTACTTGTATCATTTAGGAATCGAACTGTTTGAAGTGGAATTTGATAATGTCTTGTGACTACTTAATGGACATAATTTACTTACCTCATTAGATCTAAAACTTCTACCTTGCATTCCATGTTTCCAGAAAGCTAGCACACTGTCTTGTAGGCACACTAGCAGGCAAGAACAGCTCAATTACTGTTAATAGTACAAAAGTTCAACTGATAAGCATCATTTCATCCCTCTATCTCATACAGCAATATTTCAATTCACAACTAATGTCAGCTATTCCATATTTATATGGCATCTTTACATTTGAAAAGTTTAAAAATATACTATACAGAGCTTATGCATCTTTTTGGTAGGAAAAAATTCACCGAAAATATTTTTGTTATAGTTTTTTTGTATTTCTAGTAGAAATGGGTTTTTACTTTGTTGGCCAGGCTAGTCTCAAACTCCTGGCCTCAAGTGATCTGCCTGCCTCGCCCTCCCAAAGTGCCAGGGTTAAAGCCATGAGCCACTGTGTTCGGCCTGTTTTGGTAATTTTCAAAAATAAAATACTGCAAAATACAGAAAACAGCACAAAAATATACGTGTATCCACCACCCAACAATCAGATCCTAACATTCTGCCATTTTTGCTTTAAATAAAAACAAATACAGCTGGCATCCCCTATGTACCCTGCCCTATTCCCATTTCTGGTCTTTCCTTCCTCCCTGAGATAACCACTATTATAAATTTGGTATTTATCATTCTCATGCATGTTTTTACTATTACTATAAGTTTATACTATCAATATAAATTTTATATTGAATATTTCCAACCTTCATACATTCAGTAAGATGAACATTGAGGTTATTTCTAGTTTTGCATTATTACAAACAATTTTGCAATAAACATTTTTGTACATCTTGAATACATGTACAAATCTTTCTTGAGGGTAGACACCCATAGATAGAATTACTGAAGCACAGGGCATAAACAGAACAAGATTTAGTTTTGCTTTTTATATTTATATTTTTAATATACTTTTTGGCATGTATTCAGGGAGGAATAAATCTTATTTTGTTTTCTGCAGGTAAGCAATTGTACCAGCATCATTTGTTGAATGGCCCATTTCTTCCCCACTAATACATAATGCCACGAATTTCCATTTACATGTGGGTCTATTTCTGGGCCTTTTCTTCTGTCTCACTCTTCTACCTATTTATTCCTGTGTTGTTACCACACTACCTTAATCACTATGGCTTTATAGTAAGTTTCAATATTGGGTAGAAAACGATTTGTCAACATTTATTTTCTTATTCTTGGTCTTTGGCTCTTCCATATAAATTTATTTTTTACTTTAAAAAATTATTTGTAGAGATGGGGTCTCCCAATGTTGTCCAGGCTGGTCTTGAAATCCTGGGCTCAAGCAATTCTCCTGCCTCAGCCTCCTACAGTGTTGGGATTACAGGCATGAGCCGCCGCGCCTGGCCATTCCATATGAATTTTAAGAGCAGCTTATCAAGTGGCACAAAACATCATGTTGGGATTCTTACTGCAGATCCACTGAACCTGTGGATTAACTGAAGAACTGGCATCTTTCTCATTTAAGTCTTTCTACCCATGGACATGATGTAGTTCTTCACTTGCTGAATCTTTTATGTCTTAAAAAAAAATAATTTGGAGGTTCCTAGATAATGATCTTAAAAATGTTTGGATTTCATTTATTCTTATGTATGTTACTTTATTGCCTTTGTGAAAGGGATCTTTTTTCCAATTAAGTTTTTCACTGATTATTTAGGAAAGCTATTCTTTGGTGTTACTCATATCCAGCAACTCTGAATTCTCTTACTAACTCTAGTAACTTATTAATAGGGTTTTATATTCTATGTACATAATCATACCATCAGCAAAAAATGATCTTTTTATCTTTCTTTCTAATCCTCATACTTTCCCTTTCTCATTTAATAGACAATAATGAAATGTGATAATAGCAAACATCCTTATTTAGTTCTCCACTTTAATGGGAATTAATTTGATCATTAAACATATTTTTAACAGGCTTTGCTAGGTGAAGGACATTCCTTTCTATTCCCAATTTGCTAAGAAGTATTATTTAAAAAAAATCATTAATGACAGATTTTACTGAATGCT
Organism: Homo sapiens; assembly: GCF_000001405.40. Lineage (NCBI taxonomy): Eukaryota > Metazoa > Chordata > Mammalia > Primates > Hominidae > Homo > Homo sapiens. Next base: position 39,256,487 of record NC_000002.12, read on the forward strand.
TTTTGGGCATCTACTGAAGAGTTACATGATTTTCTCTTAATACTTGGTATTGTGTATTACATAAATACATTTTCTGATGCTGAACCATCCTTGCTTTCCTGGGATAGTTTACTATTTGATAATGTGTAATTCTATTTGCTAATATTTTATTTAGATTTTTAAAAATGATTTTCATAAGATTATAATTTTTGTTTTCTGTACTAATCTTGTTTGATTTTAGCATCAGTATTAAACACTGATTTATTCAGAATTCCTTGTCTGTAGTCTGAAACAGTTTGCACAGGATAGGGATTATCTCTTCCTTTAATGGGGGAGGTAGGTAAAAAAACCATCATGCCTGATTATCAGGTACCACAAGCAATGAACTTGGCTGTGGTTCTCCATCTCCTGTGGGATACTTTTGTAACTGGAGCCCAGCAGGCCTGTTAGCTTCAGACCTGTATACTGCTTTGAGATTCTGTTGTTGATCTTGCTTTTTGACCCTGGCTATGTCTTTGAAAGCGGATTCCATTTTAACATCTTGATCAGATATCCCTCGAAACTGACTTATTATAATCATTTGTTTGTTGGATGAATGACATTCTAGTTGGGAGAATGTAGAAAACAGAACCAGGAATAAGACAATGAACTAACTGCCTTTAGCCTTACCGTCTGCTAATACACATACACGCAAATATCTTTACTGATAAGGAACACCAGAAAAAGTGTGCCTAGTCAAATATTAATCACCATTCATTTTCCCAGCACTATCCTACATAAGATGATTTTCACCTTATTTTTCCTGAATGTAGTCATTTAAAAGTATTGATTGTCAGAAATCCTTTTCCAGAAAAATACTCCTATTAAGCAAAATGTGAGAATGACAAGAAGGAACTTCCATATACTTAAAATTCTCTGAGCAGCAGACACAACAGCCAAAACATAATCTGGTATACTGAGTACTAAATTTTAAAGCACTTATAGAAAAACCCTACAGGAGTCTGGAGGAAATGGGAATTCAAAACTATGTTATAAGAAATGATATTATTTCAAGGCCAGGCGCGGTGGCTCACGCCTGTAATCCCAGCACTTTGGGAGGCCGAGGCGGGTGGATCACGAGGTCAAGAGTTCGAGACCAGCCTGGCCAAAGTAGTGAAACCCCGTCTCTACTAAAAATACAAAAATCAGCCGGGGGTGGTGGCGGGCGCCTGTAATCCCAGCTACTCGGGAGACTGAGGCAGGAGAATCACTTGAATCCGGGAGGCAGAGGTTGCAGTGAGCTGAGACTGCACCATTGCACTCCAGCCTGGGTGGCAGAGACACTCCATCTCAAAAAAAAAAAAAAAAAAGAAATGATATTACTTCTTACCAGGAAGATAACATTATCTACACTACAGTTATTAAACTATTTTAGAAAATGTGTAAGAATGAAGGCTGATAGTGACCTCATATTTATTATATCCTCTAATTTTATTTTACTTTTTGAGACAAGAGTCTCGTTCCTCACCCAGGCTGGAGTGCAATGGTGCGATCTCAACTCATTGCAACCTCCCCTTCCCAGGTTCAAGTGATTCTCATGCCTCAGCTTCCCAAGTAGCTCGGACTACAGGCGTGTGCCAGCAAACCTGGATAATTTTTGTATTTTTAGTAGACACGGGGTTTCACCATGTTGGCCAGGCTGGTTTTGAACTCCTGGCCTCAAGTGATCCACCCACCTTGGCCTCCCAAAGTGCTGGGATTACAGGCATGAGCCACCATGCCCAGCCATATCCTTTATTTTAAAAAAAGAATCTTAATAATATCAATCTTTAATTTTGGATAATTAGCAGATAAATTATTTTAAGGAGTTCATAATGCAAAGAATTATAAAACTTTGACTTACCTATTGATTCAATCTGGAAATCAAAGGTGAGTTCTGATGACAATTTCCTGCTAGATTTTAATCTTCCTTGGAGATTTACTATTTTTATACAACCTAGAGGAAAAAAAGTCACTCAGAAACTAAGATAAAAGAAGTCTTATTAAAGTAAGACATTCATAAATAAAAACTTACAGTCCAAGCATACAAGGATGGTATCTCTCTCCAGTTGGGTTACATGAGTAACATTTGTCTGTGGGGTATCTACAATACAAACAAATTTTGGTAAACCTACAGAAACTGTGATACTTAAAGCATGGAAACATTGAAGAAAAAGAATTCTGAGGATAACAATACTTGAAACGGATATGTCTTCTGTAATACACATGTAGTGACTGAGCCAGGCTAGTGGGTTTAAATGCTGATGCAAGTGCTAAACAACGTAAGTGCTCAACAGAGCATATGTTGGCTGTTGTCAATACTACTGGCAATGCGGAACACATGGATACAGAATGCCGACTGCACTAGAAAACAAACATACTTAAAATATCCTATAATGCAACTTTTCTTCTTTTAAAAACCAAATTTTCTATTAGTGGGAGATTTGTAAATACATGTAGTTCTCAAACTATGGTTGCTGTATCAACACCATCAGCATCACCTGGGAATTTACAAAAATGAAAATTGTTTTTTTTTTTTGCGCCTGCTGCTCAGGCCGAAATGCTGTGGTGTGATCATGGCTCCCTGCAGCCTTGAAATCCTGGCCTCAAGTGACCCTCCTGACTTAGCCTTGTGAGTAGCTGAGACCATAGGTGTATGCCACCATGTCTGGCTAATTAAAAAAAAAAATTTAGAGATGGGGTCCTGCTATATCGCCTAGGCTGAGGTTTGTCTATATATGCCAAAACTATGGTCTTTGTGTCAACCTCATCAGCAACACTTGGGAATTCACGGAAATGAAAATTCTCAGGTCCTATCTAGACTATAAATGAACAGCTCCGGGGGTGGGGCTCAGAAATGTCACAAGTCTCCCAGTGATTCTGATGAATGCTCAAGTCTGGTAATTGCTGCTACATACTACATACTCAATGATCACTCTTACCAATACCCCTAGTGAAGTGATGGAAGATGATCAAAAAGGTAACATCACCTCAGGGAGGCAGGGCAACTGGAGTTGTGTAAAATGCAAATTTTCAGGTATACACCACTTAAAAATACATAAAATACTTAAAATTTCTGAGAGTTATGAAAATGTTAAGTACCCAAGTTTTGTTTTAAATGTTTCCTATGTTAATATACATTTCGTATTCATTTTCATATTAATGAACTTAGTCAAAACAATTTGATGCATGTAAAATTCTCCAAAAAGGAAATGTGAAACATATAAAATGAAAAGTATTATCAAAATATTAAAAATATTTGAGTCTATATAAATTATTTCCCTTTTGTTTGAAGAAAAAAAGTGCCTTAATTGGCATTTAATTTGTAATATTAATTTAATTATTTCCAAGAAAGATTAATGCAAACATGACTTTACGGGTTTCCTATACACAGTGTCCTTCAAGAGACATTGTTATTTAAAATACATATCACCAAAATCAAATAACAACCCAGGTGTATACCTCATTTTATAGTAAGAGGTGTGTTCATGCACAATTGTTTATTAATATATACCAAATATACATACCAATAATATACACAGGACTTTGAGGATCAGATCCTTATATTCATTTCTAAATAAAAAAACTGGTGTATGTGCTCTCAGTATCATGTTTTGGCAATGTTTGCTTGATTTAGTTGGTTAGTTAGAGACAGGATCTCATTCTGTCACCCAGGGTGGAGTACAATGGTGCGAACATGGCTCACTGCACCCTCGACCTCCTGGGCTCAAGTAATCCTCCCATCTTGGCCTCCCTGGTAGGTGGGACTACAGGCATGCACCACCATGCCCAGCTAACTTACATGCAATTTTTTTAGAGACAGGGTCTTGCTACATTGCCCAGGCTGTTCTTGAACTCCTGGACTCAAGCGATCTTCTCACCTTGGCCTCCCAAAGTACTGGGATTACTGGCGTGACCCACCATGCCCTGCCAGCCAATGTTTTAAATGTGTCATATGAATTAGCTATTTTAAAGAGAGTAATCTTCCCTTCTTCCAGTTTAATAATAGTTATTGAAGACTGGCAGTATATGCAGTTTTTCCTTAGTAAGAGATACAGTAAACTTACTACTTATAAAACCAGTATATGTATTACCCTTAATAATTCCATAAAAATTACAAACCTGATTCTGTAAACCATGAAGAGGTAGAATTTGGATTGACCGTCTCAAATCGAACCACTTGGTTGAAGTCTCTACCTCTACTGACACCAACACAAACTAAAGGGTACTCCTGTTCAGGAACTACCAGCATTTCAAACATTCTAAGTGGACATGGTATAGGAAAATCTATGTGCTAGAGAAAGAAACAAAAATACATTAAACCAAGGAAAATAAAAACCGAATAATTCTATGAGAATACTATAAAACAGCTTTCTACAATAAAGACTGCATCTTGTCACAGAAATTCAGGTAATGCAGAAAAATCTAAATTATGGACTCTCTTTTATAAACATTTTAGGTTTACCACCGCAAAATATTTTAAAGTTATAATTACATGATTTTAGGACATTAAGGCTGGAAGGGAATTTATAAGTCACGTGTCCAACCCTCTCTTTTCAGAGTTGGAACCTGGGGCCCAGGAACTGGGTGACCAGCCCATGGTCCCCCGGCCTTTGTGGCAGAGTCTCCTGTCTCCCAATGTGATGCTTCTTCAGTTATACTCCTCTGCCTTCTTAATCAACTGAGCAAACATGGATGAGAGAAGTGAAATGCTAATTAGCAAGAGACACTCCTCTTGTAAGATGTGAACAGAAAAAGTCATAAATCAAAAAAAATTAGCTTCATATCTCAAGTGATTTTTATCAAATCAACTCAGTTATAATACAACCCATTTTAATTTTATATGTTTAAAATTTATATTGCTACAAAGAATAAATTCACATTCTGAAGGACAAAAAAAATAGATGGAAAACACTAACTTCATTAGTAATCAAGAAATAAAACCACAATGAGATAAATACTATACATACCCACCGAATGGCTAAAATTAAAAAGAATGACAGTGAATAAGCATCCCAGAGGAGTAAGCAAATGCTCATACAACACTGGTGGTGGGACATAGAGTGGCATAGCCAGACTAGTTAACTGCATTATTTATTAATGCTGGAAGTAGGCATTCCTTAGGACCTTGCAATAATACTCCTAGGTATACATTCTAAAGAACATGAGTACACATATACAAGAGACAAATGCAAAACAGATAAAATTACGGCACATTCACAAAATAAAAAATTATATATAGACAACTGAAAAATGAATAAACTATAGCTATGTCCAGCAACTATACAAATATAATGTTGCACAAAAAGCCAGACACAAATGAACATATACTTTATAATTCCACTTAAATACTGTTGAAAAATTAAATAAAATTAGTTCTAATGTTTAGGGATATGAGCTTAGATAGTAAAAAAAGAGAAAAAAGGAAGAACTTTCTAGGTTTCCTTTGTAAAAAAGAAGCAGGGAGCTGACTAAAAGGGAGGATGACAAAGGGAATTCTAAAATTTTTCTTCACAAATTAAAAAAAATACCACTCTCATGCATATTTTATTTAGTTCATTCTTATATATTTTATATTTTTGTTGCTTTTATAAACTGGCTGTGTTTTCACTGTATTTTCCAAATGGTTATTGCTAGCATTTTATGAAGCTACTGGATTTGATTTGTTTTCTTTTTAATCTGGCAACTCATAAATTCTAAAGAAAAGTAAAAGGTGCAACGGGGGATATCCTAACAGGTAGTTTTAAAGTGTTGGAAGACACAAAATGGTACTCATGGCTGGAATGTGAAGCTCTGTGTTCACCTGCTGTTCCTACAGTCCTTCTTTCCCTGTGGCTGCTAAAGTGCCTCCATTCCACGGGCACAGACACTTCATCAATATTCTCCAAACCTCTTCTCTAGGAGCTTTCCCATTACCTTGGGGCACATGCTTTTGATAAAATCTGTCATTTTTAATAAGGTACAGCAACTTAAATAATTCTCTTTGAAATAAAGAGCAACGAAGCAGAAAAAAAACCAATGCTTCTGATTAAAGACGCATCTTTAAACTTTTACAGTTTAAACACAGAAACAACGCTTTAAAAAAAAACACAACAGATTTTGATTACTTCTACATTGCTTCCAATAATAACTAAGCAATTTGTATAAGTCATTAACAGAAGGGGATTCATGTCTAATAGTTTTAAATCCAGTTGCTATTGTCCTCGAGGGCAGCAATTGTATCTAATGTATTTTTGTCTCTCTAGTAAATAACACGGTGCCTTGCCTGCAATAGGTACATCATGTTTGCTGGAGAGATCTTTAATTTTTAACTTTTATTTATAATGAAAATGCAGTCCAGGCTGGGTGCGGTGGCTCAAACCTGTAATCCCAGCACTTTGGGAGTATGACGCGGGTGGATCACCTGAGGTCAGGAGTTCGAGACCAGCCTAGCCAAGATGGTGAAACCCCATCTCTACTAAAAATACAAAAATTAGCTGGGTGTCTGTAATCCCAGCTACTCGGGAGGCTGAGGCAGAGAACTGCTTGATCCTGGGAGGCTGAGGGTGCAGTGAGCTGAGATCATGCCACTGCACTCCAGCCTGGCCAACAGAACCAGACTCCATCTCAAAAAAAAATAAAAGCAGTCTAATGATGCAAAAACTGTCAGAAATGTCATTAGGAGGAAACAAGAATATAGAAAGCGTAACAATGTTTTTGAATACATCTGATTAAGGGTTATAGTATAGAAACATCATAAATACTGATAGAAATAATGTTAAATATGGAGACAAAATATACATATAGAAGTTTTTTTTTTTTTTTTTTGAGACGGAGTCTCGCTCTGTGGCCCAGGCGGGAGTGCAGTGGCGCAATCTCGGCTCACTGCAAGCTCCGCCTCCCGGGTTCAGGCCATTCTCCTGCCTCAGCCTCCCGAGTAGCTGGGACTACAGGCGCCCACCATCACGCCCGGCTATTTTTTTTTTTTTTGTATTTTTAGTAGAGACGGGGTTTCACCGTGTTAGCCAGGATGGTCTCGATCTCCTGACCTCGTGATCCGCCCGCCTCGGCCTCCCAAAGTGCTGGGATTACAAGCGTGAGCCACCGCGCCCGGCCCATATAGAAGTCTTGACGCAGAGAGACACGGAAAGGAAAGCTAGGTTAAGATTAAGGAAGGCAGGCAAACATTATAGCTCAGAGAGTTTAAGAAAAGGGAGAAGAGTGATTAAAATCTTGAGGGAGACCTGCAAGTAGTATTGTACTACAGGTTCACTATCTCAGAATGCTGGTAAGAGGCCTCATTAGAGCCAGGCCAAGCACCCTGGTACCATCTACCCGGAAAAGAGAAGCCATGGATGGGTAATTTTTAAGCGTCCTATGTCTTCAAAGTATATATTCCCTCCTGCATGCTCTTGACATGGACAATTCCTCTAACAGAGAAAAGCATCTTTCATTATATATTAGCATAAATGGTTTACCATATTAGATAACACATAAAATTCATTCATACCAGGTTAATCAGTATATCAGTATACAAGAATAACTGATATGATGAAACATTTTCATTTTGATAGAGGTTAGGAATGAAAATAATAGGAGGGACATATTTAAAATAGCCTGAAGAAAGAAAGGAAAAAGATAGGAAAGGAAGAGGTTGATGAAAAATCAAACTGTGTAGACTTTACCATTCCATCTTGGATAGAGCATTCTTTTGTCAAATAAACAAGAATAAAGAGGAGCTGAGAACAAAACAATGTTTGCCATAAATGGGCTGTATTCAGTAGTTCTGCTTTAGACAACTTATAAGGCTATTTTCCCCTGAGCTTTCAGTTTAAATAATTTTTGTTTCAGTGCATTTACCTGTGAAATTAATACTTCAATAGGTTTCAAATTCTTGAAACTATATTTTCATCTGTTTAGCCCTAGTGAATCTCGAGGGTAAAACTGATATGAAAACGAAAACTAGATTTCTTAGTCACTTACAGGATTTTAAACAACAGGGAGTCAATACTTTAAACATCTTAATACTATAAAATTTAGGAAGAACCCCACTCCAGCTATATTCCGACTCTAATTTCTACTGAGATCAAATGCACATGAAATAAGACCACTCAGTCCATATATAATAGCATGGAAAATGACTTTTAAAATTCATTTGGTATTTCCTTGATGTAATTAACTGAGCCTGTACTTCACACATTTTAAAAGTTAGTTTTTCCTTAAATGTAAGTTACAGATGAGTAACAGTAAATATTTTAAAAATTATTCATTAATTAAATGATTCTATAAAAAAAATCTGTGGAAAGGCCTAGGTAAATTAATGGGTGGGTATATAACTAAAAACAACTTGTTTCCCTGTCATTATGGTTACCCCTAGTTCTCCTAGGCCAAACTGCAACCTGTATGTTGTTTTCAGCTGTGATGGAGGTCAACCAGAGAGTGTATTCAAAATATTTCACTGATCTTTTAGTACTTCCTGTTTCTGCCATCAGGCTCTGTATGTGAGACACTATTTCCAGCTCCCCACCGCCATACCCTTGCATTATTTCTCTAGTCTCTTATAAAACTTTTACTAGGCCAATTAAGTTGCTTACAACTGGGCAGATTTTTACAACCCTGCCACATTATCTAAAATCACTAAATTAACTTGAAAATTAACTGAAAAAAATGTTTCTTTAAAGAACAGTAAGGTTGACAAGCTTTTATAGTAAGAATAAGATAGTCTGACTTTTATGCTTACCTTAATTAACATAAATTTCTGCATTGGTTCAACCCATTCTAATAGAACAATGCTAGTCTGAAGTGCTCCACATAGGTATTTATGGCCCGTGTAAGGATTTCTTACTGTCAAAGCAAAAATATAAATGAGTTCTCTTATAAAACAAAGTCATTATGACAATAATTGCATGCTCAAAAAAACAAACAAAACTAAACAAACTAAACATAAAACAAAATCAAAAGCTGGTTGCCAGTTCAGTTTCTTAATTAGAGGGCTGGGTGAAAAAAATACTGTTTCAGGTAATAGCAGGAAATGCCCTCTTAACTTGCAGGATTTTTATTTGTATGCACAAATGAAACTGCTGGTTATAATGAGGCTGTGGGGTAAGAGGAAGGACTTTTCGTCTTATGATGGTAGGAAAATTACCTGAGGTGGCAACATTCTGATAAAAGGGTCAAAGTAAATTTGGGAAGAAGTTGTCAGACTCCTAAGATACAACACATTCGGGTGGTTCACAAGGTGCTTTTGGTGGTAATGTTCAGAGGCAATAATGTTTTGTTTCTGAAAATAAAACACTTGTCTATCTTCCCCCTTTTGATTCAATTCTTATGGTCACTAGAAAACATCACAGATATTAATCGAACCTTAAAATACTGGTTTACAAATAATAAAATTGAATTACCTCAGATTTTGAAATTTTCTTCTGGTTATAAACCAGAAGAAGTAAAGTAAATATATGTGAAGTAAATATATTTGGAATAAAGATAAAAAAACTGAACTGTGAAAAGGGGAACAGCAGTAAAGTTCACACACTTCAAATAGATTTGAAATATTTAAATGGCAGAGGAGGAGAACAGCAAAACTGTCCCGCCAAAGAAAACAGAGAAGTCTATATAGGAAATTCTTTCCTATAATTAACTTTTCCTAAAAACCTGCCCCTTTGTCCTCAGGTAGAGTCAAGTAAATTTGCTGCAGTTCTAACAGAGACTCAACCACCATGTCTAAACCCAACCTTGTCATCCTCTTTTGCTCTAAACCAGCTGTTCTCGCTTCCTGTTAACACTTGCCCTTCTGCCAGTCTTTTGGGTTTGAGGCCTCAGTCATCTCTGACATCTTTTCCCTTCACACCCAGATACTCCTTCCCTGCTATTTGCACTGCTACTGCTCTAGCACAAGACTTCCTTCCTTACTTGTTGCACAGTAATAAGTACATGCTCACACAAGGCCAATGGCTCACACTCATCTGCCACTCTCCTTTCTATCATCTGTATCCAGCTAAGCGAATAGTCAGCATTTATTATGTAACCTTTATGATTTTTTTTTTGCCTCCACATGTTATGTCATTTCTTCTGTTTGAAATGACTCTCCATCTATTCAGTTCAAATCTGAATCTGCCTTATTTTGAGGCCTGGCCCAAATGCCACCTTCTTCAGTGAGCCTATGTTTAGAGTCCTTTCCACACTATACTTGTGGTATAATGACTCATGTGTTTATCGTCCCTTTTATAATAATAGTAACTTAAGGGAAAGAAATCATTTTTTGCTCTGGCTACATGCAAATAGAACAACTAATTGTTATTGGGGTGGGGGAGGAATTTAGGTGAGAGGAAGGTGAACATAAAAATACATGCTGAAGGAATAAATGCCATCTCACAAGCCATTGCTAAGCAGAATGGTGAATGGTACGTAACAGGACCCTTGGAAAACAGGGTGTGATAAAATGTGGTAAAAAAAAAAAAGTCATACAACTTTCTCCATTTACCTAGGCAATAAATTATTTGTTTAGCAAATAATTTATTTGCTAATAAACATTTATTTGCAAATAAATTATTTGCAAGGTACTATGTATTAGGCTTAGTCTACACAGAGATGAAACAGCCAAGAAATTTGTTCTACTTAAGCAGGAAAAATAAAGTATTGCTGGCAGAATGCCCTGGGGTAGTACTGTTTTATGCCAGATTTTAGGAGGAGTCTCAGAGAGCTATATGCTATTGGACAGTTTACTTACCAACACAACACTTCTGGCACCATTTGGTTTCAGGGATTTTTGCTGATACAGAAAATTTCCTAAATGTAAATAAAAGTGAGTACGTAATATATGTAGGCAAACTTAGTATATGAAAAAGCTACTGTTATAGATCAGTGCACAAAGGATGAGTTCAAAACTGGTGCTGACATACTAGCTCATCTATTAAAATTAGAATAAAAAGGCCGGGTGCCATGGCACGTTGCCTGTAATCCCAGCACTTTGGGAGGCCGAGGTGGGCGGATCACAAGGTCAAGACTTCGAGACCAGCCTGGCCAACATAATAAAACCCCGTCTCTACTAAAAATACAAAAAAATTAGCCAGGCATGGTGGTGTATGCCTGTAATCCCAGCTACTCAGGAGGCTGAGGCAGGAGAATCGCTTGAACCCAGGAGGTGGAGGATGTGGTGAGCCGAGAGCACACCATTGCACTCCAGCCTGGGCAACAACAGAAGAGCAAAACTCGGTCTCCAAAAAAAAAAAAAAAAAAATTAAATAAATTGGATCCCCTTCTCATGGCCCCCAATCAGTTCCAAATGGGTTAAGGGTTTAAATATGAAAACAAACTATAGAAGTCTATAGAAATATATGACCTTGGGATTTAAGAAATACAAAAACAACAAATCATACAGGAAAATGCTGTTACATTTTAATTGGCTTTTTTGCCCCCACTGATTCAACCTTAGCACCTCAAACTACAGGTGGCAGTCAATTACTGAATTAGTAACTTTGGTTTACCAAAAGATATCATTGAGAAAATGAAAAGCCAAAAACTGGAGAGAGCTATTTTTAGTACATGTAATACATTTACATGTACTGTAAAAAGCTGTCTTATTATAAAAATTTGTGAAGAATTTCTTTTTTAGAAATCTTTGTTTCTCTACTCAGGAAAAGTGGGATACAGATGTTCTGCAAAGGTGCTATAGGTGTTTTGCAAACATCTGACTCGAATTTAATAGATAAAAATCAATTCTGAATTTTTTTAAAAACTACAATTTAAAAACTACACATACACTCAAATGTCTTTTAAAATGTAATATAATAAAGGTTGTTGGTGCATCAAATTGTAAAAACCTCAAATTAAACCCATTTCTGTACATACTTTTTATTATTAAATTTTATTTTATTTTTTGGACAAGGTCTCGCTCTGTCGCCCAGGCTGGAGTGCAAGGGTGTGATCTTGGCTCACTGCAACCTCCGCCTCCCAGGTTCAAGCAATCCTCCTGTCTCAGAATGCCAAATAGCTGGGACTACAGGTGCCTGCCATCATGCTCAGCTAATTTTTGTATTTTTAGTAGAGACGGGGTTGTGCCACTTTGCCCAAGCTGGTCTCGGACTCCTGAGCTCAGGTGATCCGTCCGCCTCGGACTCCCAAAGTGCTGGGATTACAGGTGTGAGCCACTGTGCCCGGCTAAAGATTTTTTCTATTTTTTTTTTTTTTTTTTTTTTTGAGACGGAGTCTCGCTCTGTCGCCCAGGCTGGAGTGCAGTGGCTTGACCTCAGTTCACTGCAACCTCTGCCTCCCAGGTTCAAGTGATTCTCCTGCCTCAGCTTCTCAAATAGCTGTGATTACAGGCATCAGCCACCACACCCAACTAATTTTTGTACTTTTAGTAGAGACGGGGTTTCGACATGTTGGCCAGGTTGGTCTCGAACTCCTGACCTCAATTGATCCACCGTGCCTGACTTCTACAAACATCTAAACTCTTTTTTTTAAAAAAATAATTTTTAGAAGAAAGAGACAGATTTCACCATGTTGCCCAGGCTGGTCTCAAATTCCTGAGGCTCAAGTAATCTGCCAAAAGTGCAGCCTCCTTAAGTGCTGGGATTACAGGCATGAGCCACTTAAACTTAAATGTGTAAATTTGCCAAAGATTAGATAGATGCCAGTGCTCTGTACAAGTCTTTTTTTTTTTTTAGAGTTGTACAATTTTATATAAAATTGTACAGCACATGTGTGATGTTCAGTGCAATTCCAAACAAGCTCAGAACAATTTTCCTGATGGATGTTCTTGTAACCACACAATTGGCAACTGAATGATAAGCATAAATATAATATTAAAAAATATAATATCGTAGTACTGTAATTTTAACCCTTAATACATTTTATATATTGACCTATTTATGAAAAGCTATAATTTTAGCTTCATTTACTGAGTCCTTACTATGTGCCATGCATTTTAGACATCTGTGTCATTCAGTCCCTCCAATAAAGAGGTAGGTTACAGCATAGAAATCTGAAGCTTAGATTTTTGCTCAGGTCTTTTTTTTTTTTTTTTTTTTTGGAGACAGGGTCTCACTCTGTTGCCCAGGATGGAGTGCAGTGGCTCAATCTTGGGTCACCGCAACCTCTGCCTCTTGGGTTCAGGCAATTCTCCTGCCTCAGCCTCCCAGGTAGCTGGAACTACAGGCTGTATCAATTTAAATGAACATTATTCAGAGTGTGCAAGGTAAGCTGTCAAAAACTGTTACCTCTTTTTAAGTACTTGTCTTTGTGAATCAAAACGTTTTTCACACTGTGACAGCTAAACAATGACACAGAATTTATTCAGATGTTGAAACACTGAACGACTACAATGGCAATCTAGAATATTCTGATTACGATTTTCTGGTTAAAACACCTCATTGTACCCTTGACTAACTTTACATTAGGAAAAGTTTTACATTATAACTTACAATTATAAAAATGCCCCTTTCATATACATTGGAGTTTAATGCAGCTTAAAATAAAACAAAACAAAAACTCCCCACACTCTTAACGAATCTGCTTTGAACCAAAGCGCTTTTTAGAGTTAAAAAAAATCTGAACCAAGCTCCTGACAGATTTCGGCTGGCAGAAAGTTTAATGTTCCTGTCCACACTTGTGAACTTGTGTCCTAGCTCCCAAAGCTAACTTAGGGGTTAAAACACTGAACTAGTCAAAACCCAGGAGGATTAACTGCCAAGTTCTGAAAGACCATAGGGATGACTACTACACAAACAGAAATCAACTATTAAGTATGGCTGTGAATTAAGGATTTCAAAAACTTTTCAAAATAAGAGTTGTGGGCAGTACACTGAAATGTTTCAAAAATTTAGTTAATGTTCTATAGTGATCTATAGACTTGCCTTAATTTTAGTCATGATTTTATGAAACACAATACAACTTATTTTACCAGCACCCAATTAACTGGAATTCTAAATTAACTGTCTGAATGTATTTAACATAGGATATTTTAGAGTACACTACAAGGCAGAGTTCAATTTATCATGCCCAATAATGATGACAAAAGGTCTATTTCTTGAGAGCTTACTAGGTGCTGTGGTAGGTACTTTACATACACGATTTATCATTTTCAAAACAACTCTGCCAGATGAGTATATAGGTTCCAGTTACAGCTGAATATACGTGGAGAGGCTGTATAATTTACCCAAGGTCCCATACCTAGTAAGTAAATGATACAACTGTACTTGAATTCCAAAGCTTATGCTTTACTAAAAATGGATTACAATATGGTACAATGAGTACCTATCTTCAGAATGAGAACCATGAGGCTCTTTATCATCAGATTAAGAATAAGACACTCAGTAGAGGTTTAAGTTGTGCTCACTGTATGGCAGAAGAAATGGTATGAATGCACATATATAAAATATTATGATGCTAAAAGGGTTTTTAGGTTTCCTGCCAATAAGTGAGAGAATTAAAAGATTTTACAGTAATTACTAGATAATGAAACTGAAGAAAGTGGGAAGGACATATTTGTGGCTGTTACTATTAAAAAAACTAAAGATTGACTATAATAAAATTCCTGAAATAATAACCTGGAGGTGAAATACCCTTAGAGCTGAACACATGGGGAAAGGTTGTATAATTTATCCAAGGTCCCATATCTAGTAAGTCAATGATCCAGGATTTAAATTCAACTTTACTTGAATTCCAAAGCTTATGCTTTATTAAAAATGAATTATAATATGGTACAATAAGTACCTATATTCAGCGTAGGTAAAATCATACCATATGGAAACTCCTTAAAGGAAGAGACTATATCTTATTCAATTTTGTCTCATTTATACATGGGACATTTCATACACATTTGGTGTATTCAGTAAAATCTGGAAGAAACGAACACAGCTAAAAGCAAATAAGCTAAAAAGGTCTCTATTGAGAACAGCAGATTCTCAAGGTACTCGAAAATTAAGGTTTTATGTTAGTTGCTTTACAACAAATATTATAAAAAAGAATAGGCATATTATAAAGTTTTTGTAAAATACAATTTATACCAGAGCTAGAAAATCTTTCAGTCAATAAAGAGGTCCAATATTATATTAAATAACGAAAGAACAGAGCATAATAACAAATTACTGAAACTAGAAAGGCAAAACCACTCAACTTCAAACTAATTATCTTCTAATGCAAAACACTGAGACACGGTCTTGCCTTGTTAGCCAGGCTGGAGTGTAGTGGCATGATCATAGCTCACTGCAGTCTCAACCTCCAGGGCTCCACTGATCCTCCCACTTCAGCCTCCTGAGTAGCTGGAACCACAGGCTCGAGCCACCATGCCTGGCTACTTTTTAAAAAATATTTTTTGTAGAGATGAGGTCTTGCTATGTTGCTCAGGCTGGTCTTGAACTCCTAGCCTCAAGCCATTTTCCTGCCTCAGCCTCTCAAAGTATTGGGATTACAGGCGTGAGCCACCATGCCAGGTTGCAAAAACACTTTTCAATAAATCATTTTGATTTTCTAGGTATAGAAACTTTGAGAAAAATTTTATAAAGTTAACACATATGTCAAAAGCAAAGGCACTAAATGCAATGTAAAATTATGGCAAAGTACAAGAAAAAAACTAGTTTTAAACTTGCAGAAAAAGAATAAAAAATTCAGAGAGAAAATGTCTGATATAATTTGAAAGTACAAAGTAGAAAAATTTTAGAACAAGAGTGTGATCACTAAGCACTTGTTAATGTATATTACTTATTATTTTTTCATCATGATTTTTATTAACCCAAACTGAGTGCTCTTTCACTTTCTGTAACATAAATATTTATGAGAATGAACTGTTAATATCATATTGCCTCTAAGGATGTACCCTTACCTTGGCAGTATTCTGTCAGGGAGTTTGTGTGCTGGAATAGCAACAGGTAACTTTTGCATTTGTCTTGCATAATCAAAAAGCCCTGGTAAATTATGGGAATAAAGCTGAGAAGCTTTACCTATAAAGAAAAACAGATATGACATAAAAGCTAATAATAAATAGTAACAATTGTAAGGTATTTAAAAACTAATATACTTACCAGATATTGATAGCAAGCAATTGTTCATTACATACAACCATGTACACCTTCGAGGGAATAGCTGATTAAAAAAAGGCACAAAGTTTACAAAGAATAATACATAATGGCAATGTAAATCTGTACACAGTAATCACGTAAGCTGTCTTATCTACAGGTCAGTTCTTTAAAAGTAAATTATTTTTAACATAAATTAACTTTATCAAGGATTCAAACCAAGATGATATATATACATACATATTTATGTGAGAGAAAAAATAAATTAGGCTAAATTTTAGCCTAAACACGATATGATCAGCTCAAGTCTCCCTTATGATTAAGGGCTATGTAACCCCAAACTATGCAGGGAATAACAACATTTTCAAACAACATCTATTCCTTTATTTTGGTTCTGGGGTTGAATAAGATTCTCCTCTCTACTCCTCCCAAAATAGACGTATCTAGGCACAATATGCATTCTAGGGTGTATGATACAGGAAAAAGCATCATGGTGTAGTGGAACACAGGATACAGAAACACTAGGTATGGAGGGAAAAAAAAGGCTGAGATAGAAGATGATGAAAACTCATAAATCACAAAGCAGATATATATATATATGAAATTTATTACTAAAATTTAGTACCATAAGAACTGAGAGGCATCTCTGGAAGCCTGAAAGTGGTCACAACTTAGAGCAAAGAAAAAGGAATTTCATGGAACACAATCTATATATTTAAAAAAAAATACTCTCATTAAGACATTTCGTTATGCGTATCAGTGGTTTTTAAATGGTCCTTGGACCAGCAGCTTCAACAACACCTGGGCACATGGTAGAAATGTAAATTCTTGGACCTCACCCCAGATCTACTGAAGCAAGAAGTTCTGAAGGAGGACCCAGGAATCTATGGTTTAACTAGGCCTCCAAGTAATTCTGAGGCAGACTGAAGTTTGAGAGCCACTGATGTACATAATTAGACATCCTGATTTAACAACCTTTGTTGCTGGGTTTGCTCTGGCAATTCCTACAACTAAGTTACTCCAAAACTAATTGAGATGAGAGAATGGAATAGAGAGGACCCAGGGGTGAATGATGAAACACATCAAGGCCTCTAAGGACATTACTTTATGGAAACACAGCCATAATAATGGGACTGAATAACTAAAAGAGAAAAGGTAATAATAAAAGGGAGGAGAAACAAAGTAACATTTTAATAAAAATTTTATTTCATTTACTGGGAAAATGTACTTACATAAAATAACCAATTTCTCCAAACAACTAAAATGTGGCATTGCCAATACAGTTTTTTAATTTGTAAAATGTGCCTATACCTGTGCCTCAAATAGAGAAGTTATCAACATCCATTTCCTACTTTCTGCTTTTCACAAAAAATTCACAACAAAATTGGGACTTCATTGGCTATACTGAAAAAATCAGGTAGAGAAGGGGCAATGACTTATTCCAGACCACATATCAGTACGTGTTATCAAAGTAGCAAGATACAGATTTTTATTTAATTCAGTGTTGAACTGGGTTTTCATACACATATCCACTAAAAAAGTATCTGATACTACATCGATGGTTTACTATAAAATTATATACTTCCAAATGTAAGTAGGTTTGCTTATTTAATATAAACATATATAAAGTAGCAAGACAAGACACAAATTCCTTTCATATTTTCAACATAGGGACAATGAAAAGGTATTTATGTATAGTTTTATTTAAAAAGTACTGGATTTCATTTTGAATTTTCTTTCTCTCTCTTTTTTTTTTTTTGAGATGGAGTCTCGCTGTGTTGCCCAGGCTGGAGTGCAGTGGCGCGATCTCCGCTCACTGCAAGCTCCGCCTCCCAGGTTCACGCCCTTCTCCTGCCTCAGCCTCCCGAGTAGCTGGGACTACAGGCGCCCGCCACCACGCCCGGCTAATTTTTTTTTTGTATTTTTAGTAGAGACGGGGTTTCACCGTGTTAGCCAGGATGGTCTCGATCTCCTGACCTCATGATCCACTCACCTCGGCCTCCCAAAGTGCAGGGATTACAGGCATGAGCCATCGCGCCTGACCCTGAATTTTCATTTTTAACAACTTTTACAAATCTAAAGCTTTACTAGATTTTCAATGCTTTCTTCCTTTAGTGAGTTAGGTTCTAGGTGAAATGATCAGTTTAATAAATAAGAATATAACAGTTAAGAAGGGTAGCTTCTATATTCTGCCTAGACTCATATATCTGTTTTATCAATGATTGTGTGATCTTGGGTAATTTACTGAATCTCTGTCTCAGTGTTCTTATCTGTAAAACAGAATACCTGTATCTCATAGAGCTGAATAGTAATTAAACAAGATACTCCTTGTAAAGCACTTAGAAGAGTGCTGAGTACTGAATAAATGTTAGCTATAAATAATAAAAGCAGATAAAAAACTTTAAATCAGGACCCTGATTAGTGTCATCTTCTCACTTTTCAGAATCTTCCCCTATTTAGTAGGCTCACGCCACCCTGTTTCCTATAAAGTCTAGAGAAAATCAACCTAATCATCAATTTCACAGTAAGATGAAAAATTCAGGCTCCACATATACTAATTCTTTACTCTTATAGGCTCCCTCTAGGAGGGAAAAATGTTTCCTTTGAAGGGCAATGTTTCAAAAAAAATTACTCTAGTAATGTAATTCAAATGCTAAAGCAACTAAGAAGGGAAGTTATTGCAGACTGGGGCTAGGTGTGGTTGATGGGTGCCTTCTCTCAAGAGTCCTGGCCAGGCCTGGTGACTCACACCTGTAATCCCAGCACTGGGTGGGTAAGGCAGAAGGACTGCTGGAGCCCAGAAGTTTGAGACCAGCCTGGGCAACAAAGTGAAATCCCAGTCTCTACAAAATATCAAAAAATTAGCTGGGCATTGTGGCATGTGGCTGTAGTCCCAGCTACTGAGAACGCTGAGGTGGGTCACTTGAGCCCAGGAGGTCAAGGCTGCAGTGAGCTGTGTTCACGCCACTGCCCTCCAGCCTGGGTGACAGAATGAAACCCTGTCTCAAAAATAACAACAACAACAAAAGAGTTCTTCAAATTAGGTTGATAAATGCTTACTCCACCTATGCATAAAGCTGGCCTTATTCCTTACAATTAATATTGTTACCAATATTATTTTTGGATATCTCATTATACCCAATAAAAATATGACCACCTTTGAATTATTTACTAATTATTATAATTACAAGATCCTTTTCCTCCCTTTCCCTGTTCTTAGGCACTTTTCAGCCATTTCACTGTACACCATTTCCAGATTAAAAGATTTACAGTATATCATACAGTTTAGGATCTTGCTAGAAAATTTGATTTAAAAAATGAAGATGAAACTGTTTAGTCATGAATAAATCATTACTTATATATTTTTCTTTCCATTTTATTTGTAATCAATTTATTTTTATTTTTATTTTGTTTTGAGATGGAGTCTCACTCCGTTGCCCAGGCTGGAGTGCAGTGGCGTGATCTCGGCTCACTGCAACCTCCGCCTCCCGGGTTTAAGTGATTCTCCTGTCTCAGCCTCCTGAGTAGCTGGGACTACAGCTGCACATGACCATGCTTGGCTAATTTTTGTATTTTTAATAGGGACGGGGTTTCACCTTATTTGTTAGGCTGGTGTCGAACTCCTGACCTCAGGTGACCACCCACCTCGGCCTCCCAAAGTGCTGGGATTACAGGCATGAGCCACCACGGCCGGCCTTGTAATCGATTTATATTGATAAAAGAATTAGTCACACATCCCGAAGGCACCCCAAACTCAGTATGACCAAATTGAAAGCATTACCATTCTCTTCAAATCAACACATCCTTCAGTATACTATACTCCATCTTTCTGTTACTGTCAGGCACCCAGTCACTCAAGTGGAAAACCTAAAGTTAACCTAGACCTCTCTTCAACCTCCATGTTGAAACGGTCATTCAATTCGGTCAATTCTAGATCTCTGATCTTTCTCTAGGTCCAGCATTTCTCTACAGGAACTATACAATCGGTAGAGAGAATATGGTGAAGTAGTTAAGCACATGGAATCTGGAGCTAGCTTGCCTAGGTTCATATCGCAGTCCAGCCACTGAATAGCTATGGAGTCTTTGGCAAGTTACTAATCCTTTCGGTGCTTTAGTTTTCTCATCCGTGAAGTGAGATTATCAATGGTGTCTACCTGTGAGAGATTTCATGAAGACTAAATAATATATGTCAAGCATTTAAAAACACTGCGTGGACACATAGTAAGCTTTATGTAAGTATTAGCTATTAATAGCATCACCATTATTATCAGTTTGTAGGTTGTTTTATGTTCCTGACTCGTGGGTACTAAATGATAAAAGCTCCCCCCACTCATTGTGACACTCAAAAACATCCCCATACTGGGGGAGAGGAGGAGAGAAATGGGGAATGACCACTAATGATTACGGAGGTTCTTTTGGAGATGATAAAAATGTCCTAAAACTGATGGTGTAATGGCTGCACAACGCTGTGAACGTACTAAAAGCCACTGAATTGTACCCTTTAAGTGGGTGAACTGTATGATATGTGAATTATATCTCGATAAAACTGTTTTTGAAAAATATCTTTTCCCCTCTGTTCTCTACCTTTGCCCTGAATTAACACTCTTTTACCATTTGACCATGGTTTCTAGTCTCATCTCTCACCGTACTGCAAACAGATATTTCTAAAACACAGGTCTGTTCCATCAGCATAGTACACCAAGCTCTGGTGTTTGGCTTCTGCCTGCCTACCCAGCTCCATCTATTGTTACCATTCTGTACTCCAGTCAAATGCCCAGTCATTGTTCCCAAACTTGCCATGCTATTTCACATCTCTATGCCATCATGCTTATCCTGTCTGTGTGACAAACTTCTATTCATCATAATTTAAGGTCCATCTCAAATGCCTCTACTCATCTCCCCACAGGAGGTGCTGGTGACATCCACCTCTGTGGCCAATATCTTATACTCATTCCTAATATGACATCTAATCCTGAGTGCTGTAGTTACTGGTTTATACACCTGTTTTCCCTATTAGATCATGAGCTTCTCAAGGGTATGGACTAGTCCTGTTAACCTGTCTTCAGTATCTGGTAATTAGAACATGCTCCAGAAGGTTTTTTTTTTGAGGTGGAGTTTCACTTTTGTTGCCCAGGCTGGAGTGCAATGGCGTAATCTCGGCTCACTGTAACCTCCTCCTCCCGGGTTCAAGTGACTCTCCTGTCTCAGCCTTCGAAGCAGTTGGGATTATAGGCACAGGCCACCATGCCCAGCTAATTTTTATATTTTTTAGTAGAGACAGGGTTTCACCATGTTGGCCAGGCTGGTCTCGAACTCCTGACCTCAGGTGATCTGCCTGCCTTGGCCTCACAAAGTGCTGGGATTACAGGCGTGAGCCACCATGCTCGGCGTCATGAGGATTTTAAGAATAAAAGACGCTGGGGTGGGGTGGCTCATATCTATAATCCCAGCACTTGAGGCCAGGAGTTCCAGACCAGCATGGGCAACATGGTGAAACCCTATCTCTACTAAAAACACAAAAATTAGCCAGGCATGGTGGCTCATGTCTATAATCCCAGCACACTGGGAGGCCGAGGCGGGCAGATCACCTGAGGTCAGGAGTTCAAGACCAGCCTGGCCAACATGGTGAAACCCTGTCTCTACTAAAAACACAAAAATTGGCTGGGCGTGGTGGTGCGTGCCTCTACTCCCAGCTACTTGGGAGGCTGAGGCATGAGAATTGCTTGAAACTGGTTGCAGTGAGCCGAGATCACACCACTGCACTGCAGCCTGGGCAACAAGAGTGAGACTTGGTCTCAAAAAACAAAACAAAACAAAACAAAAAAGAATAAAAGAGGCAGCAAGTCATGAAACTGAACCTTATTTCTGGTCTAATGTGTACTTATGGTAACTTAAAAATTAAAAAAAAAAAGAATATACAAAATAACATACCTGTTCCATTGATGTTTCATGAAGTTCATTAAGATTGAGGGTATAAATCCCTTCTTCGGCACCAAATATCAAGTACTGATCTGAAATAAAAGTAATTCACTGACTGATTTTGGTAAATAAAATATTTTTAAATAGGATTTCTATAATCTAAACTTCCGTAAATAAGTATTAACATATAAAACAAGAATTACTATGATTTATAAGCAGTGAATACAAAGAGGTTAGACACTTTAGACCCATAAACTGAATTATATGTAAACATTAGCCTCAAAGCAGTGAAGAGAATTTTTATGTAAGGGAGGTTCTGAAGAGTGGCATAGTAGATTCTTCACTCATCAGAGAATGCTAAGAACTGGCAAAGGATCTGCAGCTCCTTTTTCTAAAACCCCCTAAAGACAGGATCATGTGCAACTGACATACAGAATATAAAATCGAGAGTGGCTGATACAGATTCTAATTATTTCTACAGAATTTTTTTTCAGAGCTATACTATAAGTACTCTAATTTAAAAAACCCCAGAATCTGACCACAGTCTATTAAAAAGTTAACTAAAACTTGGATACCTGCTAGGGTACTCAGTATCTTCTAAAAGATATGAGAAGCATGGCCATCGTCCTTTCCATTTTTTTGTTTGTTTGTTTGTTTCCCAGAGCAGGAGCAGGAGTGGAAATTTATTAAAAAGACTTTAGAACAGGAAAGAAAGGAAAGAACACTTCCAAGAGATCCAAGCAGGCAACTTGAAGAAAAGTGCCCGATCTGTTTTTAAGATAATACAGGTCAAGAACTTTTCTAGACTAACTAGGCTAAACTGAAGTACGCTGAGAACAGTATAGAATGCTAAGAGCATTCCTAAAGTGCCCAGAATTTAAGATTAGTACTGGGAGATTAATGGCATAAGATTTGTGGTCAGACAGTATTGGATTTAAACTGACCCTTTCTAGCACCAATTGGCTATAAACAATGAACCTCTCTGAGTGCCAATTTCCTTGCCTATGACATAAAAGTACTCAGCATATTTAATGAGTGTATGTGTATGTATATAAAAATGTTCACGTATAAATGTTCTATGTGTATCTTACATAGACAGCTATTAAGAATCAGATATACAGTGAGAGGACACAGACAGTTCTTAGTGGTTGCCTAAGGACAACTGTTGTGATTATGGCCCCTTTTAAGGTCAGAGATCCTCTAAAGTGGTCACTAAACCCCGGATCCTTGGTAGCTAAATTCCTTCCATAATGGCTGTTTTGAAAAAAATGAAGCTACTGGCCAGTGGCTCCTGTCTGTAATCTCAGCACTTTGGGAGGCTGAGGCGACAACTGCTTGAGCCCAGGACTTCGAGACCAGCCTGGGGAACACAGACAGCTCCCATCTCTACAAAAAATTAAAAAACAAAAACAGCTAGGAATGGTGGCATGTGCCTCCAGTCCTAGCTACTCGGGTGGCTGAGGCAGGGGGATTGCATAAGGCCAGAAGTTTGAGGTTATAGTGAGCCATGATCATGCCACTGTACTCTAGCCTGGGTGGCAGAGCAAAACATTTTCCCTATAAATAAAAAATAAAAAAAGATACCAGACTACTGTGCAGCAGCAGCAGAAACATTTCTGGAGGAAACTAGGGTGGCTCAGAATACATGGCTTCACTATACTGATATGGTAACTATACAGTGAAATTTTAATGTTATGTGTCACCTCAAACACTGATAACAGCACAAAGAAACATATTTACCTTAAAATAAAAAAAAAATTATAACAAAACTTTTTTTCCCCAGAAAGATACTCAGAAAATAAACAAAATCACAAATGCTTTCATGGCCCCAGTTTTAAAAAATTAGGAAGATAACAGATAAAAACACACAATACTACCTCTTGTATCTGGGTTTATCCATGATGATGCACAGTGAATTTTCAAGGGACACCCATTAAAAACTTTTGAAAAACATGCACCCATCTAGGGAAACAAAGAATAACCAATATGAAACAGTGACAAGTAACAGTCTTTAATATATAAAATGTAACTATTATCTATTTTAATGTGAGAGTCTATAGATAGTATACTGAAATTATGATCATCTTCAAATTTACAGAAGTAAGTGTAAGAAATCATCATAGTCATTTGCCTAACAGTGGTACCACAAGTTTCCAGGTGCCACAATAATTTTACTTGGAAAAAAGAGAAAAAAAAAAGGTCTTATTTTTTCTATCTTTTCAACTAAACAAAGCAATAATAGGAACCAATTCTGCATAATAATGTATCTTACATGCTCCATGTCAAGAGCAATACAATAGTCTCTGGTAAAAAGGAAATCATAATCTCTACAAAGGAAGACATTTTTCTTGTTTGGTTTTATGAGCCTAAAAATGGTATTAAAAATTGAATTTCACATTACAAACTGAAACAGGTATGGCTGATTTGAAATTCATATATGTGCTTCAACCTCCAAACACAGACTTTTATTTTTATTTTTTTCAATTAAGCAATCTGATTATTTCCCTGGAAAGATTCATTAAAAAGCTTAACTCTTTGATGTTAATATTACTTATCAAGTCCATTTACAAACTTTTCAGATAATAAATATATCATAATGAAATATATCACCCATTTGAACTTTATATTATCAAAGAGCAAAATATTAACTCTGAAATTATCCTTCTGGTTAAATACTCAAGGTACAAGAATGTTGACTCAGGTAATCACTTTTACTACTGACAACTTGAGGGAAAAACAGTACAAAAATATTTTTGGTCAGAGAAAATTTCAGTATTTGCCATGTTGGCCTAAATTAAAAGAACAGCATTTGTGCATCATTTTATAGAAGGAATGTCTTCCTCACAAACACGGAGGTAACATACTGAACGAAAACATCACTAGTTGACAATAATGGATTAAAAATATTAACATAATTAAAACATGGACCTTAAAATTTCCCTTTTAATGACAGAAATCTACCAAACAATATATCTTTAAAGACTCTGGTACCAAAAAAGAACAATTTAGCTTGGCAATACCATCAAGTAGTAGCAGACCAATAGAAACATGTCTTTAGGATGTAGGGCAGAAACTATCATTTAACTAACCCTAATAACGACCTTTTAAGACAGCTACGGAAATTTCTGTGTTAGGGTACTGCTAACCCCTAGAAATTTAAATGACAAAACGAAGAACAAAACAATCAAGCCAGTTCCCAATCTTAAGCTAATTTGTATAGCTGGAGTCTACCTGGCATTCCACAGATAGCTTTTCCCTGTCAAACTGCAAGCCTGAGGTAAGTGTTTTATCTTACAGTCAAGTGGGAAAATCTGCCCTATTTTATGTATTTCTCTGCTGTAATATATATGCTATATAATATAAAGTATACTGTATAAATCAATATTAAAATTATTTTAAAATATTTATAATTTAAGTATTATATAAATTACAAATATAAAGTATATATATTTTGTAACATACAGTTTATAAAGTATACTCTGTGCTAATTAAAAAGTAGAATTTAAAGGTAAAAAACGGCAAGGCGTGGTGGCTCACACTTGTGATCCCAGCACTTTGGGAGGCCGAGGTGCACACATCACCTGAGGTCAGAAGTTCAAGACCAGCCTGGCCAATATGGTAAAACCCGTCTCTATAAAAACACACAAAAAATTAGCCAGGCATGGTGGCAGGCACCTATAGTCCCAGCTACTCGAGAGGCTGAGGCAGGAGAATGGCATGAACCTGGGAGGTGGAGCTTGCAATGAGCTGAGATTATGCCACTGCACTCTAGCCTGGGCAACAGAGTGAGACTCCGTCTCAAAAAAAAAAAAAAAGAAAAAGGGCAGGCATGGTAGTTTATGCCTATAATCACAGCACTTTGGGAAGCCAAGGTGGGCAGATCACTTGAGGCCAGGAATTCGAGACCAGCCTGGCCAACATGGTGAAACTCTGTCTCTATTAAAAATACAAAAATTAGCGGGGCATGGTGACACATGCCTGTAATTAAATTAGCAATCTTATAGATTTTTTTTCAATAATAATGAAAGTTCTTTCAAACAGACAAAAAAACCTAAGCAAAGATAACACACACAAGTGACTTAGCTTGAAACTTAGCCTACTCCATATTTAGTACTTACATGCACTTTAGGTGTTGGAGGAAGACCATTACTAATAGGCTTCTAGAAAAAGAACACATGTATGATTACACTTTTTTTGCTGCTGTTTGATATAATAATACTGTATTTCAAACACATTTATTCAAATAAAATACATGAATACATTCTTTGTAAAACAAAACATTACAGTTAAGGCTGAAGTTCCCCATAATTCTTTCACAATGCACTATTTCTAGTACTTGCCCCAGAAAAACTAGTTTGGTGTAAAACCTTCCAAATCTTTCTCTAGTGAATTAGATATACTTATGTAATCATATGGCTTTCCAGACATTTTTGGTATATATGTAAATACATGTTCCCATAGAAAATAGTGTTTGTGTGTGTGTTAGGAATTTAAAACACAAATAGTTATACACTATCTGCAGGATCTTTGCCTTAAAATTGGACAGTAATCCATATCGGTCATGTAGACTTAGTTCATTTGTTTTAACTGCAGCATGGCATAAATATACTTTATTTAGCTATCCTTAAACATTATTCGGTATTTAGATTATTGTCAATATTTTACTAGAACACAGATGCTGAAATAAACTTTCCTGTATATACCTACTTACACAGTGTATGAGTGGATGCCTTTATTGGTATACTGTGAGAAGTATACCGCAGTATGGGTATACTGAGAAACTACTGATACACAGGGTCTCTATCTTTTACATTTTAGTGCATATTGACTGTCAAACTGCTTTTCAGAGTGTACATATCACATCACACCCACCAGCAATGTATGAGAGCTCCTGGTTCTTTCTAGTCTCACAGCAATATCACCAAGCTGATTAGTAAAAAACCTTTTCTCCTGTGCTCCTCATTAATTTGCATGCCTCTGACTGCTAGGAAGATTAAGAATCTTTTTAACCCAGTGTTTATTTGCTATCTGTATTTCCTCTTTTGTGAATTCTTTTCCCATTTTTTTTAACTGAGTTATCTTTTTTCATATCTATTTGTTGGAGCTTTTAAAAATATATTCTAGGTTTGAGTATTTTATCTGTTATATATATACAACAAATAGTTTCTCCTTGTGTAGATAATCTTCACCATGTTTACAATGAGTTTTGCTAAGTGAAGTTCCAAATTTTGATGAATTCAAATATATTAATCATTGGTTAGAGTATACAGGCAATTATAAGGAGAAGAAATGTAACACATTTGCTCACCCACACTATGCTGAAGAATGCCAGATATTTCTCCAAGTGGCCACATTCTTGAGTATACGAACTGTCCCCTGAGAGGGAACCCCCTGGGTATACTTTAAACATGAACTTTGTGACAGTCTACATTTCTTTCAAGGTTAATCTCAGTAACATCATTTTAAGGAATGACATTCTAATTTTTCCCTAGAGCTGCCATACATCAGAATCACTTAAACAATGAGATGAAAACTAATAAAAAAGCTACTGTTAATTGATTTCATATATACAACATAAAAATATAACATTTCTGAAATTAAAATGACATACTTTGTAGATATATTTTTGAGGATGCGCACATCTTATTATTGCCAATAATTTCTGATACCTTTTTATTCCATTATGCAAATAATATATATTTTTTCTTATATTGATGTTATTAAATTATCTGATGTCATCTATTTTAGCAAAACATCTTTTTTTGTTGTTGTTTTTTTATTTTTTTTGAGACAGTCTTGCTCTGTTACCCAGGCTGGAGTGCAGGGGCACGATATCGGGTCACTGCAACCTCTGCCTCCCAGGTTCAAGTGATTCTCGTGCCTCAGCCTCCTGAGTAGCTGAGATTACAGGCGCCTGCCACCACACCCGGCTGTTTCTGTATTTGTAGTAGAGATGGGGTTTTACCATGTTGGCGAGGTTGGTTTTGAACTCCTGGCCTTAAATGATCCACCTGTCTTGGCCTCCCAAAGTGTACGGATTATAGGTGTGAGCCACTGTGCCCGGCCTAGCAAAACATCATTTTAAATTAGGGAGCTCTGAGTGTTATAACTCTCAGATTTAACCTAAGCACTAATAGAACTGGTTGTAAATATTATTTAAAATAAATAAGGCTGGGCGCAGTGGCTCACGCCTGTAATCCCAGCACTTTGGGAGGCTGAGGTAGGCAGATCATGAGGTCAAGGATTCGAGACCAGCCTGACCAACATGGTGAAACTCCGTCTGTACTAAAAATACAAAAAGTAGCCAGGCGTGGTGGCGTGCACCTGTAATCCCAGCTACTCAGGAGGCTGAGGCAGGAGAATCACTTGAACCCAGAAGGTGGAGGTTGCAGTGAGCCAAAATTGCGCCACTGCACTCTGGCCTGGGCGACAGAGCGAGACTCCATCTCAAAATGAATAAATAAATAAATAAAATAAAATAAATTTATTATTTATTATCATTTAATTTTTTTTAGAGATATGGTCTTGCTCTGTCACCCAGGCTGGAGTGCAGTGGCAGGCAAGCATAGCTCACTTTAACCTCAACCTCCTGGGCTCATGTGATTCTCCTGTCTCAGCCTCCTGAGCAGCTAGGATTATGGGTGCATGCCACCATGTCTGGCTAAATTTTTATTTTTTGTAGAGACAGGGTTTTGCTATGTTGCCCAGGCTGGTCTTGAACTTCTGCTCTCAAGTGATCCCCTTGCCTTTTCCACTGAAAGCACTGGGATTACAGATGTGACGGCTGTAAATAATTTCAAGAATTACAGCATAAACTGTAAGCATGCTTCAATATATCACTGATACTGTTTATCCTATGATAGAGCCATGGACATATTTATTTCAGAATTACTGAAACAGTTCCTTATCTTAATGAAGTAAGTTAACAGAAAAAGTGAACTAAAAATGCATACATAAAAAATGTTTACTTAGTACCATTGGAAAGGTTAAAAAAAAAGTTTACATCTCTCAAAGGCTATTTATTTTATACTGTGTTACAGTCACTCAGCTGCATTTTTGTACTATTATGTTAGCAGGTCTATTAAAATTTAAATTGTTGAAAGCAAAAAGGCACTGCTCAGTTGGACAGAACTTCATAAAACCCATTCCTAAATTTCAGAAATTACAATGAATAACACCAAATACTTTATGTGAATTTTAAGAATAATATGTCATATTGTATAGTGAAATATTTTTAAAAAGTTAAACAGATATAGCACAAAAGACTCTAGTGATGTGCTTACTGCAGAAACCATAGCATACTGAATGTACTAGACAAACATACCGAATATACTAGAAATTTCTATAAAAATAACAAATATTAGTATATACAAAAACTTCCAAAAAACCCTATTCATCTTGTTGACATCTGTTGAGATATTGGGGATTTTAAGGATTTTCTACTATTTTAAATTCTATGATGATAGTTGAATGTCTTCCAGTGATTGTAAGTCAATTCTTTACAAATGTTTAAAATGTTTCATCTCTTATGATCCCTGATGAATAACATTTATGTTTTAATAGTTCTGATGTTTTAGCTAACATTTGTGATAGGAGTAGCTGCTAAGACTAATTTCACCTTTCTTGAAGTGGTAAGTAAGAGCAGCAATGTCACTACTTATGTAATCTCTAACAGTGGTTCCCCAACCTTTTCGGCATCAGGGACTGGTTTCGTGGAAGACAATTTTTCCACAGATGGGGGTTGAAGGGGAGGGATGTTTTGGGGATGAAACTGTTCCACCTCAGATAATCAGGCATTAGTTACATTCGTGTAAGCAGCGTGCAACCTAGATCCCTTGCATGCACACTTCACAACAGGGTTTGCACTACGAGAATCTAATGCTGCAGCTGACCTGACAGAAGGTGGAGCTCAGGCGGTAATGCTCACTTGCCCACTGCTCACCTCCTGCTGTGTGGCCTGGTTCCTAACAGGCCACTGACCATTACTGGTCTGCGGCCCAGGGGTTAGGGACCCCTGATCTATAGTTAGAAATTTGTCCTGGGGTAGAAGCTACAGCTTTCTTTATCTATGTCCTTCTTTCCGTAACTTCATGAGACTGTAAGAGAAACTATCAAGAATCAATTATCCTCAATGAGAATAATAATAGTTATTTTGTGAATAATCACAAGAATACTAAGCATTTATCTGTATAAAGAAGATGTTTTATAACGTACTACATAACAAATTGGTCTAAATAATGTAAACGATAAAAAGCCATCATTCAAGTTTACCATAGCTAAGTTACTTTTTTCAAGATTTAAATAATCTATTCACCATTATAATTAATATACTAAAATATCAATATAGTAATTGTAAAATATACTAGTGCTATAGTGTCACTAATTGTAAGCATAAAACTAACTTAACAGTTAAAAAGGAAACAAATACAAGTAGAACTTATGACTATCAATACCTACTGGTACATCTTTCTTTTCTTTTCTTGAAAGGTTTGTGCCTCTATGTTCATTCTGTTGTTGACATAATGAGCCATCTCGTTCACCATTTAACTGGAAGGAGCTCATTCCATTTCCTTCAATAAGATATATTCATTGAAAATGATTAATCTTCATGAAAACTTTTATTCAGAAAGTTATCAAGTAGGAAAGAAAAAATATTAACTCTGACATAGTGTCATTATTCATTTGGGATCACCCAATCAGAATATTTACTATGAAAGTAAGACGTCATTTATATATATGTTCTTCTATTTATACCTCTATTTCTGGCATATTAGGCAAATTTAAATTCAGGTTGTGTATAAGTGCATGTATTTGTTAGCATTAAAAAACCAAATACTGAATTCATAACTACTTTTAGAAAAGGGGTGATTTATTATTATGTCATCCAAGAAACTTTAGTTGCTCTTTTTTTTTTTTGAGAAGGAGTTTTGCTCTTATCACCCAGGCTAGAGTGCAATGGCGTGATCTTGGCTCAGTGCAAACTCCGCCTCCCAGGTTCAAGCAAGCGATTCTCCTGCCTTAGTCTCCCAAGTAGCTGGGATTACAGGCATGCGCTACCACGCCCAGCTAATTTTGTATTTTTTTTTTTAGTAGAGATGGAGTTTCACCATGTTGGTCAGGCTGGTCTCAAACTCTTGACCTCAGGTGATCCACCTGCCTCGGCCTCCCAAAGTGCTGGGATTACAGGTGTGAGCCACCATGCCCAGCCTAGTTGCTCTTTTTTAAAATTGCTTCTTCTGGATAAACACAGAGGAGTCTTTACAGTGTTAAAATAGCACCTTCTAGTATTAATTTGGAGGCAAATACCTAGCAAATAATACCAATTATTTTTTTAGAAATGATTAAATGAAATAAGGAGTTAGGACAAGGTACTCTCTTCTAAAACAGAAGTAACCTAGACGCAAAACACATTTTCCATGTTTGTTCATAGTTTAATTTGCATTGTTTCCACACCGTAGCTAAATGAATGGGGAACCAGTCTCTAGAAGAGAGAAGGCTAAATATGAAATGAGAAATGAGGACAAAATATCTCAGACTGTGTCATAGGGAATCCTGTCATAAAAACACTTTAAGCTAGTAGGCAAAAAGCAGAAAACATCTCCATAGCCACTGCTTTCCTTCTGTCCTCCACCAAAAGAATTTCAAATAATCTCTTAAAAGAAAGTTTTTTTTCTCCCCATAGTATGAAAACCTGGTAACATATTTGCTGTCACCCTCCACCATTACCTAAGGCAACAGGTTTGTGTGGGGGTAATCTGGGAGGTGGTGGTCTAGGTGGAACTTGGGATGGCTTTGCTGGGCTCCCTGACATGGGACATCTCTTGATTGTTCCTTGATTTTCATCCTCAGTAGAATGCATTTCCTGTGGTATGAAGATAGACTTAGGCTGAAATAATATAGAAAAAGAGACCAACAATGAAACATCAAATTATTTTCCTGAAGTAAGTACTATTATACATTAAAAGCTTTCAAATTATTTCTACTATACATTAGAGGTTTACCAGATGAGTTTAAAGGTTACTCAACCATCCAATTCAGACTATCTTATTGTTTTAAATATATTCTAAAAATGTACACTAAAATGTGTACATCTCAGGTTTTGCTGCTGTGCAAATAAAAGGGCCTCTAAGTCGACTTTTTTATTAATTCCTCACAAGTCTCCCCACTTAGACTAGCCAAATAAAAATATTTTAGTCTTTCTTATCTCCTTCAATTTAAATCAATCTCTTTTTATTTCAAATATTCAGACTAGTCAAAGTTCAGCTCCGTATCAAGGCTAATCTAAGCTGTCTCTTAGATGACTCAATGTCTTTATGGTAATGCTTAATCTTTCAGACCAGGGGCATGAGAGGATACCAATTAAAATGTTATCATGTGGCCGGGTGCGGTGGCTCACGCCTCTAATCCCAGCACTTTGGGAGGCTGAGGCGAGCGGATCACGAGGTCAGGAGATCGAGATCATCCTGGCTATCATGGTGAAACCCCGTCTCTACTAAAAATACAAAAAATTAGCTGGGCGTGGTGGCGGGTGCCTGTAGTCCCAGCTACTCAGGAGGCTGAGGCAGGAGAATGGCATGAATCCGGGAGGCGTAGCTTGCAGTGAGCCAAGATAGCGCCACTGCAGTCCAGCCTGGGCGAAAGAGCGAGACTCCATCTCAAAACAAAACAAAACAAAAAAACAAAAAACGTTATCATGTTGGAGAATACAAACATAGCAATATGGGATGCCTGAGACACTTTCTGTACAAACAATGGAAAAATCTACAGTTGGCTGACGGTTTGTAGAATTTATAACGTGTCTCTTATTATTGCTCAGCACTTATTTCTTTGAAATTCAGATCTCTTTACTTCTGCTATGATAAAACTAAACAAGCAAGTACAGCATTATTTACTTGCATGAATCAGGATTTTCTCAATTGTATAAAATGAAAATAAATAAAAATAGTAATAAACCGAATGACAAGACTGATAAGACTCCAACTCTCATTTGTAACACTTTGATTTTAAACTTTAAAGCAACTCATATTATAATTAAAATTTGCTATGCATATGAACTTATAAAGTATATATTAGCTCATTTTACCTTTAAAAAAAACAACCCATCAGTTGAAATTACTATTTTAGAATGATTTTGTTTGGAAAAATAATTTTGTTGTTAAAAAGCATTTAAAAATTGTACTATTTTGTATTTTTAATTAAAATTATCTTTTGAAAATTAAATATCTATGATGATAAATTACTATCCTTTATTCATTCTTAGAAGTCAGGAATAGGTTGCAGATTTTGAGAAAAACAATCTTGTAAGAAATGTGAGTTTTCTAACCCAAGTCAAATAACACTAATCCATTAATACAATCATTTTCAGTGTAAATTCCTAGGACTTGTTACTTAGAATGAACATTAAATAAGGCCAGGCACAGTGACTCATGCCTGTAATCCCACAACTTTGGGAGGCCAAGGCAGGCAGATCACCTGAGGTCAGGAGTTTGAGCCAAGCCTGGCCAACATGGCAAAACCCAGTCTCTACTAAAAAATACAAAACTTTAGCTGGACCTGGTGGTGGGTGCCTGTAATCCCAGCTACTGGGGAGGCTGAGGCAGGAGAATTGCTTGAACCCGAGAGGAGGAGGCTGCAGTGAACCGAGATCATGCCACTGTACTCCAGCCTGGGTGACAGAGTGAGACTGTCTCAAAAAAAAAAAAAAAAAAAAAAAGAACACTAAATATAAGTTGGGCATTATAAAATGAGACAAACATAATAAAAAATCATTTACTTATATCAACTTCATGATTTTTCTTTGTGGATCACAAATGAAAAGCTAGAAAAACTCTCAACAAAGTATTAAATTGGCAGAACAATAACACACATATATCAAATTGAAAAATAAATCTGTCTACCTTTGGTGGCAAAGGAGGTGGAATTTTTGCTTTCAGAGTTGAGCTAAAAACAGAAAAGTTTAGAATCAGAACTATTCATTTTACAAATGAATCAATCCTAAAATATAATAATTTTTTCAAAGACACATAAAAAAGCTGCAAAGACAAATATCATTTTCTAAGATTGTAAGTTTTTTCTAAAGTATTTTGTGAAATGTTGCTAGAGGTATTATTCAGAAGTAACTGGGAACTGGAGGACATTATGTTAAGTGAAATAAGCCAAAACAGAAAGTTAAACACCGCATGATCTTACTCATGTGGAAGCTAAAAAAAAAAGTTGATCTCATAGAAGTAAAAAGCAGAACATAGGATACTAGGAACTGGGAAGGGCAGGGAAAAGGGGACGAAAGGGAGAGATTTGTTAAAGAATACAAAATTACAGTTATGTAAATACTTACAGTATGTAAGTATTACTACTCTCTTATACCACTGTAGGATGACTATAGTTAACAATAACGGGCCGGGCGTGGTGGCTCACGCCTGTAATTCCAGCACTTTGGGAGGCCGAGGTGGGCAGATCACGAGGTCAGGAAATCAAGACCATCCTACCATCGTGGTTAACATGGTGAAACACCATCTCTACTAAAAATACAAAAAAATTAGCCAGGTGTGGTGGCGGGTGCCTGTAGTCCCAGCAGGAGAATGGCATGAACCTGGGAGGTAGAGCCTGCATGCAGAGAGCTGAGATCACACCACTGCACTCCAGCCTGGGTGACAGGGCAAGACTCTGTCTCAAAAAACAAAACAAAACAAAAAACCAATAATGTGTTATTTAGTTGCAAATAGTTAGAAGGAGGATATTGAATGTTCCAACACAAAGAAATGATAAATGTTTGAGATGATGGATATGCTAATTACCCTGATCAGATCACTACATTATATGTATCAAAACGTTACTATGTACCACAGAAATTTGTATTATAATTATTTCAGTTAAAAGAATTAAATTCAATTTAAAAAGAAGTAATTGGGTAATACACTTTCTTGGTTCCAAGTACTATATTGTAATTAAAACTGGGAAAGATAATTATAATTCCAGTTTATATCAACTGAAAGGTAAATAATTAAGAACATAAGCCACATCTGGCTTATGAAATAAATGATACAGTATAAAATATATCACATTGTAAACTTCATTTTTGCTACTGTTAGATATGAAACATCTTTGATGAAGCTCATCAAAAACTATATATATGCTTTATGAAATTATATGCAGAATGTGACTGAAGTTAGGATTCATTATAACTCAGGATCAGTTTTAGAAACAGAAAGAGGCTGGTCACAGTGGCTCATGCCTGTAATCCCAGCACTCTAGGAGGCTGAGGTGAGCAGATTGCTTGAGCTCAGGAGTTCGAGCCCAGCCTGGACAACATGGTGGAAACCCATCTCTACCAAAAAATAGAAAATTAGGAAGTGTGGAGGTGCAGTCCCAGCTACTCAGGAGGCTGAGGTGGGAGGACTGCTTGAGCCAGGAGGTCGAGGCTGCAGTGAGCCAAGATCACACCACTGCACTTCAGGTGGGCCACAGAGCAAGCAAGACCCTTTCTCAAAAGAAAGAAAGAAAAAATTGTAATATGATGAAGCACAAATGTCTCAGATGAGGATTTCAAGGCCTAGAAAGTTTATGTAACTTTACCCAAGATCAACCTATGCCCTCAACTGCTACTCAAGTGCTCTTATCATTTTACCATGAAACTGCATCTTTATTAAAAAAAAAAAAGTAAACATCAATGCATACATAATAGTAAAAATATTCCTCCTTTAAAACTATATATTTACATCCAAAGTATTTGTTCACTTGAAATATAACAGATTAAAATTTAATCAAATTTATAATAAGCTTCTTTGTAGTTGTAGTAAAATTACAGCAGCTATCAATCACTGATAAATCTACAATAAAAAATTATTGTCCTTTGGAAAAAATGGACTGAAATGTGTCACTATAAAATTCACATGTTGAAGTATTAACCCACAATGTGATTATATTTAGAGATGGGTTTTTAGGAAGTAATTAAGCTTAAATGAGGTTGTAACAGTGGGATCCTAATCCTATGGATTGGTGATCTTACGAGAGAGAGAGATCACTCTTACCCCTGATCCCACCATGTGCATACACTGAGGAAAGGCCACGTGAAGACATGGCCAGAAGACGGCTGTCTGCAAGCCAAGAAGGCAGCCCTCACCAAGTTGGTTGGTACCTTGATCTTGAACTTCCCACCTCCAGAACTGTGAGAAATAAATTTCTGTTGTCTAAGTCTATGGTATTTTGTTATGTCAGCCCAAGTTAATGTAACTAGAATAGAAAAAAGGAAGGAAACTGAGATACAACCCATGATATTGTGTTACTGATATTGAAATTTCCATCAATATTAAGCTGCCAGATTGATGAAATCAGGTCAAATGACACCTTTTCTTTTTACCAAAAACAGAGACAGAACTTACTGTTTAGATTCATCATCATCTCCTTCATCATCTTCTAAATGTGCGACGTGTCCTCTAAATAAAAAGGATAATGTCATTGTTATTAAATGGATTTTACCAAAACAGTAAGAAGAAATTTTAGAAAATGCAGGAAAAGCTACTGTAAGATAAAATTTTATTTCTGCATCTTTATAGGATAGGATAGATTCAGAATTAAAACAAGGAACTGGGAGCGGTGGATCGTGATGTCCGTTACTAGGGAGGATGAGGTGGAAAGATCGCTTGAGCCCAGGAGTTCAAGGCTGCAGTGAGCTATGATCATACCACTGCAATCCAGCCTGGGCAACAGAGCGAGACCCTATCTCTATTAAAGAAAAAAAAGACAACGCAAACAAATAGGCTACATAACAGAGAAGAAGGCAAACTGACTTTACTTGTCTGTGACATAAAGTACTTTAAGATTAAAAATTAAAATTACCGCTGATGCAATTCTTCTTCAACAGACTTGAGAAGACTCCTTAAAAGAAAAAACAAAAACAAAAAATAATGTGAATAAATTATCAAAGGAATATCGAATGTGTTTTTATCATTTTAACCTTAACCATACATTTTTTGAATGATTACTTTTTTACCATTTACTGAAAATTTGCTAGTGATCACCTCTGCAACCATAAAACATCAAGTTATATTTAATAAAATACCTCTATTTTCCTGTTGCCAATGTCTTTATATATGTATTTTAAATGAACAAAATAAATCCTAATATTTATTGAAAAATACCAATTCAAACAGAAGACAACTCACCATGGAATGTCACAACAGTACTGACAAAACAATAATTGCAGGGTCATAGCCAGGAGTCTCCAGGATTCAAATTTTACCTGGAATTTTATACCTGACACCTGAAATTATATATACTTTCTTTTTCTTAAAATAAGGAAGGTGACACACTTCAAAATAACATCATGCTCTCAGGCAATCCTACAAAATGAAACTCACCATGTTGGATCTCTCTGCAGAAGCATGCATGCATGTGATGTGAATACATGAATGTAGTAGCACTTTGCTTTCACGGAAGACACTCACTTACCTGAAGGATTTGTTCTCCAGTGGTGCACGGGCAAACACATTTACACTTTTGGGAGACTAAGCCTGTATCAGACCAGGTCGAGGATTTTACCATTAGGAGCAGTATACAAAACTTTAATTTTCAGGAATGTAAGAGAGAACTATGGCATTCCTGAAGTTCCCTTACTTCTTTTTACCGCAAGTTCATGCAGCATACCTCCTAAATTACACTCTTCGAGCATAAAGACTCGATAGACTTCTCAAAGCTAATAGGGGAGATAAATATAGTTACTAATATACTACTGGGATAAAAGAGAGTCAGCAAAAGTTTTACTCTCCCTAAAAGTTATCAGGTAGCACCTTTTAATTATTTTCCCTCCTAATACATATCAGGAAAAACTGCCCTTAAAATTACAAAACATAAAACTAGAGAAACTGAAAGGTATGGTTATCTACTGTAAGCAATTAACAGAATAGGTTTTAGGCATCAATATTTTAATTAGCCTAGATTAACAACAATTTAAATTTTAAAAAATGAAAAACTTATGACTCCAGAGTGGTAAATTCTATAGGAAAACCACAAACTAATTGCAAGTCCTATTTTGGAGATACAAAAAGTGAGGTACCACAGTCAAATATTATCTTATTCACAAAGCTCTCCAAGGGCCAACTCTAAGAAAGCAGGAGCTTCTGTCTAGAGGCACTAGAGCAAAATGCAGACAGGCTTTAAAGCCAAGACGGCCTGAATCTGAATCCTGCCTTCACCATCACAGGATATGGCACTGGATAAGTTACTCTGATTTCTCTATGCTTTGATTTCCAGCTATGTAAAGTAGAAATTACCTCAGTACTTATTTCAAAGTGGCTGTCAGAAGGTCTACTGAATTAATGTAGGTAAAGTGCCCAGAAGGGTAATTTAGGACAGAGTTGGGACTTGATTAGTATTTTCTTTATTACTATTGGCTAAATAACATTTCCTTAAACTAGCAGTTCTCAAATTGTGGTATAAAAATCCTGGGGTCTCTTAGTCTCCTGTAGGGGTCTGCAAGGTCCAAACTATTTTCACAATATGTAATACCTTTGTTGCTCTTATTTTCTCATGAGTATACACTGGAGTTTTCCAGAGACTACAAGATGTGTGATACCACAACAGATTGAATGCAGTAGCAGACATGAGAATTTAGCTGTCTTCTATTAAGGCAATGTTAACAAGACTTGAAAAAAAAAAAAGTAAAACAATGCTACTTTTTTTTACTAATATTATTTTGTCTCATAAAAAATAGCTATTTTTTTCATAAAAAAATGTTATTAGTGGACCTCAACAAAAAGTGTTCTGCAGTGCACTGACATATATAATAAAACCTTTTATGGCAATTATTCACTGCCTCTGAGTCTCAGGAGAGAAATCAGAGGTGTTTTAAGAAACCACTGTGAAGAGCTGGCATTTGAGTTGGTCCTTAAGAATGGAGATTTTTTTTTAAACACACACACAAAAGTATGTTATTTATAACAAATAATATTATTTTAAAAATATATTAACATTTTGAAAAGTTCTAAAGTTTAATTTTGAATACTATAAATATTGATAGTTATAACCCCCATAAACAAAAGCTCTTTGGAATCCTCAATAATTTTAAACACTGTAAAAAAATCATGAGACCAAATATTTGAGAAGTGCTGCTTTAAACTATTTTACCAAATTAAACATAATGTATCTGAACTGTACAGTTGGCTTTTATGTAATTTTAGATGTGAAAAAATACTTTTTTGTTAAGCACATGACAATCTTTTTTGAGATATTTCTTTTTACAATAGAAAATATTAGGATTTGAATACAGGAAGATAATTTAAAATGTACCATATTTAATTGGATTTATATTGCATTCGCATTCCATGTTTTTTTTTTTTTTTTTTTTGAGATGGAGTCTTGCTTTTTTGGTCCAGTCTGGAGTGCAGTGGCGTGATCTTGGCTCACTGCAACCTCCACTTCCCAGGTTCAAGCAATTCTCGTGCCTCAGCCTCCCGAGTAGCTAGGATTACAGGCGTGCACCACCATGCCCGGCTAATTTTTGTATTTTCAGTAAAGACTGAGTCTCACTATATTGCCCAGGCTGGTCTTGAACTCCCGGCCTCAAGTGATCCACCCGCCTTGGCTTCCCAGTGTTGGGATTACAGGTATAAGCCGTGAGCCATCACACCCAGCCAGCATTCCACTTTTTTAAAAAGAATCTTTCTGGGAGTTCTCTAACAATAAGAGAATGGTTGAATAAGTGAATATGAAAAAGCAGATAGCCCATGGCTCAGGGATTCATATGTATATTTTAATTCATTTACCTATAAATCCCCATTGTGTGTTAACATATTTTATTAATGAAATTACAGAATTAATACGGTCTTAATGAAAAGTAGGATGCATGATTTACTTTTTAGGCTTTATAAAAGAGAAAATGAAATATGGCTAAATTTGCTAAAAAGTCTGTTTACAGTAAATATTGCATCTTGAGAGCACTGGAGAAAATGTGATACTGATTTATTCACCAAGATTGAATGTTACACAATAAACAATGTCACTATTCACTAGTCCACTTGAATTCTTCTCTTATGGAAGTTTTATAAAGTAAATAACAAAACAAAACAAAAACAATGCTTTCAGATGCTGAATTCTAAGACAATCTAAAATGAGTAAGAAATGTTGACGAAAAGGTTAAAAATGAAACAATGTACAAACAGATATGGCAGAGGTCTAAAATGACCACCAAAATACTCAGCATATTTGCATTAGCTAAAGAATCAGTGCTGCGGTTATTAACATCTTTAAAAATTGTCTAACTGCCCCCAATCTGTAAGTACTGCTCTGATTACATTTCAAACCAACAAGCAAACAAACAAAAACCCTATTTCTCTAAAATTAAACAGCAGTTTTATTCACTCACATTACTACTTGTTCATACAATCAACAATTATTTACTGAATAACTACCATAAATAAAGGCAACTAATAAGTATTTACTAAGTCCTAAATGTGCTAAATGCTTTATAGCAATTATTCCATTTCATCCTTAGCACCCTATGAGGCAGGTACTATTATATTATCCATTTTACTAGCAATAATAGAGGTAAATTTCTCAAAGTCATGTAGCTTATAGGAAAAGCCATCTGGCATTTACTACTACTATACTCAACTGTGCCAGGAATTGTGTAATTCAATGTACTCTTTTAACTATTACTTATTAGAAGAGAATTTACCTTCAACATTTTTGCCCTAAATTAAAACAAAACATAAATAATTTAATGTTTTCTTTTCTTTTTTTTTTTTGAGACAGAGTTTCACTCTTGTCGCCCAGGCTGGAGTGCAATGGCACGATCTCGGCTCACTGCAACCACCGCCTCCTGGGTTCAAGCGATTCCCCTGCCTCAGCCTCCCGAGTAGCTGGGACCTCAGGCGTGTGCCACCATGTCCAGCTAATTTTTGTATTTTTAATAGAGACGGGGTTTCACCATGTTGGCCAGGCTGGTCTCGATCTCCTGACCTCAGGTGATCTACTCGCCTCGGCCTCCAAAAGTGCTGGGATTACAGGCGTGAGTCACCATGCCCGGCCTAGTGTTTTCTTTTAAAAATAGTATTTTGTTGGTTTTAAATAAATTATCAGAAAAGCTGACCTTAGTGAGATTAGAATTCCAAAGAAAAGGAGACAAGCAAGTATAAGTCAAAG
This sequence comes from Homo sapiens, assembly GCF_000001405.40. NCBI lineage: Eukaryota > Metazoa > Chordata > Mammalia > Primates > Hominidae > Homo > Homo sapiens. Next base: position 39,297,532 of record NC_000002.12, read on the forward strand.
TACATATGCTTCCTGTTAGAAAAAGAAAAGACCTATGTTAACAATTATAATTAGATAGTTCCTGCACGGTCTGGAATAGGTAGAAACCCGTCAATGGAAATCTGTCTGCCTGATCACCTATGGAGAAAGCAGGAAATCCCGTTTTTAAAACACTGCCTAATCACAAGAATAAAGCAGACATATCAATACAGCAAGAGAAGTGCTACATCCATGCTCATGTCACATGTATGTCTATACCTACACACGAAACACAGCCAAAGAGCAAACTTTTGGCCAACCTACCTTGCCAAGGGTTCGTTACATAGAATACAGTTCCTTAAGCAGGGATCCAATTCATCAAAAAATGAAGGTTGGGCAAATTATTAACATTTTACCTAGCCAAAATAACTATACACTACGAAAATGTCTAACAATCAGAAATCAGACAATGGAAACTAAGGAATCTGGAAAAGCATTTAGTGAGGGGCTACATTTTTTTTTTGTACTTTGCATGTACAGATTTTTAAAATGTATTTTAAATGAATCAAAAAAGGTAAAAAATATTTTCCCAAAAATTTCAGTCTCTTAAAATACACTAAAATTTACTAACAAGGACCTTAAAATTAGGGACTTCATATTTAGAGAAAATAACATAAAAACACTTCAAAAATTTTTTTTATTTGCGAATCCACTATGAGACAAACTTTCCTTTGTTTTTCACCAACAAACTAAGACAATTTATAAATCACAAATAGTCAACTATTTAGGTAAAATTTCATTTTCTCTGCCAAGAAAATTTTACACTTATTTTCCATTTTAAAAAACATAAATGCTAATAATAATAATGACTTAATAATAGTATCAAAGCTAATAATATTTTTAAAACTCTGATAGTATTTAACTGAAGTTCAGCTTAAATAAAAACTAATATATTTCTCCAGATTGTTATTAAAGCCTTTTCTCTCTGTTAGGAAAGGATAGCATATTTAACTAAAAAAATTAAACATTTGGTATTTAGTTTATTAAAAAAAGAGAGAAACATGATTTTGCATTATTACCCTTAAAACTAAGCTATTTGTCTTTAGTTACTATTTCTCAACTGCTTAACTTAAAATATGGGAATATATATGTCTCAACTCTCTAATGCAACTGAAATAATATTTTGAAATTTTGCGAGGCACGGTGGCTCACACCTGTAATCTTAGCACCTTCTGGGAGGCTGAGGCAGGTGGATCACTTGAGGCCAGGAGTTCGAGACCAGCCTGATCAACATGGTGAAACCCAGTCTCTACAAAAATACAAAAAATTAGCTTGGCATGGTGGCAGGCCCTTGTAGTCCCAGCTACTGGGAGGCTGGGGCATGAGAATCACTTGAACCCGGGAGGCGGAGGTTGAAGTGGGCCAAGTTCACGCCACTGCACTGCAGCCTGGGCAACAGAGTGACACTCTGCCTCAAAAAAAAAAAAAAAAAAGGAATTTTAACTTGTTCTGACTATTAAAATAATATATGCACTGCTGGAAGATTTTGGTAATTTAAATTATATTCCCTTATAAATTAGTTTTTATCATAATTTATCCACAAACTTAGAAAATGAGACTCTAAGGGGAATAGCAAAATTCTGTCTCCCATCATACCTGGCAAATGAACAATTTAAATTGTTAATGTTTGTAAGCTGCCTTTTAAACCTCTGTGCCTCTATCAATTAGACAGTGCCTGGTGTAGAAGAGGCATTAAATAACTGTTGAATTTATTTACTGCATAGATTGGTAACTTTTAAGAATTCAGACACACATTTTAACTGCTATCTTACTTTAAAAAAACCTTATAGCTAAAAAGTTAAGATTTCTAAGTTGTATGAATAATTCCAGCTGTTTTTAGTGACCAACCCATCTTAGAGATGTACCAAAGCAAGTTTTATAAGAAATAAACAGATCAGTTTTAGAAATAAAGTGCTAAAACATGTATCTGCCTTCAGTGGCAATACATGTGGTTTTCTCTAACATACAAGATCAGCAATGTAGCTTGATATAAAAAAATTATGTTGATGCTTCCCATTAGGACAACTATTAACTAAATAATGAGCAAGGAAGCAATGGAAAAAGGTGAAATGCATATTGTAAAATATATCTACCAGCCTAATACAATTTTCTACCTTAAATATTAAAATATAATATTAAAGGCAACTTAATAATTCTTGAATTTAAATTAAGTTTTAAAAGAACTTTACTTACTTGTTTGCACCTAAAAAGTAACCACCTTGGTGTCCTTGTCCATATTCCAGTTGCAGATCCTAATAGTACAAAATAAAATATTTAGCACAATAGTAGTATATGACACACCATGATACATTAATATATATAATACATATTATTTTTAAAAGATAAGTCCCAGACCCCCAAATAAATCTGTATTGCTATACATTCTTAAAAAGAAGGATTTCACGAGTTCATAGTCCTGATTTAAGTATTTTATTATTTGAGTGTTTTTCTTGGAATTTTTCTGAATAATATATGCAAAGTTTCATTTTTGGTTACTGTTACTTTAATTAACTTTTGTAAAAATCAGTTTTTAGAAAGAAAAAAGCTCAAATAAGGTGTTTATTCTCCAGTTATAATGAAGCAAAAACGTTCAGAGAAGTGAATATGTGACAAAAATCTTGGTTTACTTTGTATATAGTATCTAAAATAATTACGTATATAAACACTTTCACATATTTCTACTGCTGTTTCACGCAGGTAACAATTTTTTAAAGATATGAAATTGGGTGCTATTTTAAAAGTAAATTACGTATATGAACTTGTACAATATTATAAATTGTACTGAAGGACTTTTAATAATTTTTTAAGCAAAACTTCAAATGAGTATTAAGGCAGTTCCTCAACTGTTTAAACACCTTCCGACTTAATGCTGTGGGTTATAGAGTGTTAAGAATTAACATTTAAAAGGATGAACAGTACACATGCTCAACTCAAATGCCTTCTTGAGAAAAAGAAATGTGCTTTCCAACAACCATGAAAAGAATGAAGTAAAGCTGCCTTTTGTCCTCTTCTTAAAGAGCCACTGTAATCTAGGCACTGTTTTAACCATTAAGGGGGAATATTTGACATTTAAAAAATGAATCTTATTTACATTAGAATATAGCATATTTAAAGTGCTTTTTATTTTTACAAGATATTCTCAGATTCATGATCAGGGCTTAACACAAAAGCCACCTTGGAGCAGCCGCCTTCCAAGATTGCCAGGGAAAATTATCTGCAGCTTTCTCTAAGTTTCCATAGCATTTAACACACAGAGCTGCTCTAGCACTTACACTGCATTTTAATCTATTTACATGTTTGTAAAAGCGAGCTCCTTAAACAATGGGAAATAATCAAATCTATCTTCTTTCCTTACAGCCTACGGTCTAGCATTGTTCCTGGCACAAACTGACTGCACCATAAATAAATGCTTGTTCAAATGCCAACTGTTTATTTTCCCATAAATAAAACTTCAGCCTCGTTAAGATACACAAAGCTAATTCTAAATGACACTAAAAACTAAGCCTCAAAATATAAGGATTTTAAGCAATACATTACATTTAAGAGAGAAGCACTTTAAAATTTAAATATTCCAAGACCTGTCAAAAAAATCTGATGAAAATTAAAATCAAAATCCTGGTTTAGACAAGACTCAAATTTTGTCTTCTTCAATATTTGTGTTATTCCATGCATAATAAAGTGTTCTTATCAGTGTGAGAAAAGATAACACATCATAAAAAAGACTAGTTGACTGTCACACTGGTATCACACAAAATTCCAATGAAAAAGGACATCTGTACTCTTTAATTTGTAATGATATATCTTAATAAGATAAAATCATTGTTATTACAAAACTGCACAGTTTAAGTGGTCATGACTTTACCACTGAATCCTTAAACTGTAGTATTCAGTAAAGAGAAGTACTAAATTAAATAAACACAAAATTTGTTTTCTTCAGCTATAGATAACTGGGCCCTCTATCAGACCAGCTATATCTTTAGCCAATACAATCTCTTAAGCCTTTAATCAAATGACAGCTTCCAAAAGCACACATTCGTGTGGAATGGCCATGGCTCTTCTGTTATACAAACACAGATGTGTCATAAAAATACTCAGCTCATCTGATATAAGACAAGTAAAAGGCTGGTAATAATGATTAAAAATAAAGGATATAGGCCGGGCGCGGTAATAATGATTAAAAATAAAGGAAATAGGCCGGGCGCAGTGGCTCACACCTGTAATCCCAGCACTTCGGGAGGGCCGAGGCGGGCGGATCATGAGGTCAGGAGGTCGAGATCATCCTGGCCAACATGATGAAACCCTGTCTCTACTAAAAATACAAAAGATTAGCTGGGCGTGGTGGCTCGCGCCTGTAGTCCCAGCTACTCGGGAGGCTGAGGCAGGAGAATCGCTTGAACCCGGGAGGCGGAGGTTGCAGTGAGCCAACATTGCGCCACTACACTCCAGCTTGGCGACAGAGAGAGACTCTGTCTCAAAAAATAATAATAAAAAAAATTAAAAAAAAATAAAGAAAATAAACTGAGTTCAGCAGTATATTTAGAAAGGTAAGAAAAGTATCTAAAATAACTAAAGTAATATATTAATAGAAAATTGAGCATAGGCTCATATAGAGAATAACATTCAGGCCAGGAAAGAAGTTGTAGATACATCCAAGTCCGACGATTAAATGGGTCATGTCCCAAGTCTTACCAGGAAAGGTGAAATTCAAAGGGGCTCATTCTTTAACAATTTCTTCTCCTTAAATTATGTTATAGCAACCATGGAACAAAACAATGTGCTAGGAATACCATAAGTAAAATATTACTTTAAATCCTTCTAAAAAGTTTCTAATCTCATTTAATACAACCATTGTTTACCAAGCACCTATTATCTGACAGGAATTCATACAGAAAATCGGATAGGGAAAATGACAAGAAATAAAAAGGAAAGGAACAAAAGTGAAACCAGGGCAAAGTTAGTAGTTCATTATATGTCGTTGGGGCAGTCTAAGAAAGACTGATATAAAATGCTTTTCAAAAAGGATTTGGAAGTTATTCCATATCAGAAAAATGCTACCAAAATAATGCTTGGAAAGGCGCTCAAACTATCCCAAGATGATGGTATCTTATGGCCATTCTTTACAAGCTAAACAAGAAACACTTGAGTATGCCAGCATAAAAAAAGTTAGTAGCACTAATCAGGCATCAACTTGTTAATGAATGACAGTGTTTACACAGTAGAGTCAAATAAGTAACAGGAGCTGAAAACATGCAATAACCTAGTATAGATTAAAAGTTCAAGATCGTTATCCTAGCCCAATTAAAATATCTTTTTGGGTTGCAAAGTCCTAATTTCAGCAGTTCATTTTAGCGAATGGGAGACTATTTCTAAATTTCAGATGGAATTTCTAAGAACACAAAGTGTGAGAAAGAACTGAAAATGAACAAAGGATGTAACATGGAGCACCGGAAAAGGAAAAGCATATGACCAAAAACATCTTATTGTAGTTTTAAAAAAAATCCCCTTGGGAGATTTAAGTCTATACCTGATGAGAAAGCAGCAGGAAGTCAATAGAATTGATACAGTTCACTACAAAAACACAAAAGAAAAAAATACTTGAGCAATATATCTTGACCAAGAAAGAGAACAGGAGAAATATTTTCCCATCAAAAATGAGAAAATTATGGCACAAATAAGGTTGTTAGTGAGACACTTTTTAACGCAGTAGATGATTTATAGAAATAGAGAGGTGTTGAATCCAGGATAATTCAAATATTTTTTATTTCTTAAAAAGTCAGAAAAGCAAGTAGAGTCAGAATATTAACTGATCAAGTTAGGTTTCTGACTAATAAAAGCAGATTAAGGAGCCTGAAAATGGAATAATATGACTTTTGTACTGCAGGCTCGGAAATGAATATTGGCAGGTGAGGCATACTATATACTTCTTCAGAGCAATGATTATGTTACTATTTATTTATGCCCCTACATAGTCATTAACATAGTGTTTTTTGGGTTTTTGTTTGTTTTTGAGATGCAGTCTTGATCTGTCACCCAAGCTGGAGTGCAGTGGCACGATCTCGGCTCCCTGCAACCTCTGCCTTCTGGGTTCAAGAGATTCTCCTGCCTCAGCCTTCCAAGTAGCTGGGATTAAAGACGTGCACCACCATGCCCAGCTAATTTCTGTATTTTCAATAGAGATGCGGTTGCCACATTGGCCAGGCTGGTCTCGAACTCCTGACCTCAAGTGATCCACCCGCCTTGGCCTCCGAAAGTGCTGGGATTATAGGCGTGAGCTACCACGCCGGGTCAACATAGTCTTTTATACAGAATTAACTTTCAATTTTTTGTTTTTAATTGGTACATGGGCTTAAATAGCCAGTAAAACTATGCAAATTAGAAAAAAATAGCATCAGTTAAGACGGATGTGTAATATAATCTTTTAATCTGCAGATAGCATTTTGCAGATCAGACAAACTGATTTTTATGGTTATGGGCAAAACTCTTTTAATTAACTTACAGTGAGTTTTTGTTTTAAACTCAGGCATCTTTCAAAAATTCTCATACTGTCAATTCTAAAAAATCAAGCCCTATTCTTCTGGCTTCATATATTAATTATCTGATTTTTTTTTTTTTTTTGAGAGAGCACTTTTGGATAGCACAAAAGTTTAAATACAACATTCTAAATTCACTTACAAAATCACAAAATAAAAACAGTTGGCATTTAAAACAACCAGAAATCACAGGTAATATGGAATGTTTATGTAGCAAGGTCTTTAAAGGGGTAAATGTTTCTTCTGGTCCCAAAGGGATTTAGGGTTTTTACCTTGGTGCCAACTGCCAGCTAAGATGAGGGCCAGACATTCTGGATTCCTCAGGCTTTTAGTGGCCAGCCACAAGCATTTGTAAGAGATGAAATCTTGTTCACAGTGCCAAGATTTTAGAATTGATAAAATTAGAACACAGAAATAACTATGGCTACTTTATACCCATTAGGATAGCTATTATCGAAAGTCAAAAACAAAACAAAACAGAGGATAATAACAAATGCTGATGAGGATGTGGAGAAAGTAGAAGTCATGTGCATCGCTGGTGGGAATGTAAAATGTTGCAGCTGCTGTGGAAAATAGTATGGCAGTTTCTCAAAAAATTAAAGATAGAACTACAAGTCCATTTCTAGTTACATATCAAAAGAATCGAAAGCAGGGACTCAAACAGATATTTGTATATCCATGTTTATAGCAGCATTATTCACAATAGCCAAAAGGTAGAAGCAACTCACTGTCCATCAATGGATGAATGTATAAACAAAATGTGGTATTTACATGCAATGGAGTATTATTCAGCCTTAAAAAGGAAATTCTGACACACGCTGCAACACGGAGGAACCCTGAAGGTATTACGAAATTATGCTAAGTAGTGAGCCAGCCACAAAAGAACAAATATGCTATGATTCCATTTATACAAGATAACTAGAGAAGTCAAATTCATAGTCAGAAAACAGAGTGTTCGCTGCCAGGGGCTGGAGGGAAAAAGGAATGGGGAGTTATTGTTTAATGAGTATAGAGTTTTAGTTTGGGAAGATGAAATCATTCTGAAGATGGAGAGTGGTGGCAGCTGCGTAACAATGTGAATGTACATAATGCCACTGGACTGTAGACATAAACATTAAAACAGTAAATTTCGTAATGTATATTTTACCACAGTAAAAAAAACAAAAACAAAACATAACCATGGGACATATATATTTACTTTAAAAAGGTGGGGGGCCCAGTATTACTTTAAAAATATATACTGATGATGTTGGGTAGAGGCAACACAGTACAGTGGTTTAGTTTTGAATTCCTGAGCTAGGCTGCTTAGGAATCCCAGCTCTGCTATTCTTAGCTAAAGACTAACGAATTTCAGCTTCTTTGCACTTTAAATCACCTCATTTGTAAAACAAGAATAATAAGTTAATATATTTAAAGTGCTTAGAATAATGCCTGGTATATAAAAACCTCTAGATAAATGTTAGCTTTTGTTACCATTGGGAGTGAGCTTTAAGGTTGATTTTATAAGTTGTATACTCTGACAAATATTTCATTCATCCCTCTTCTGCCCGAACTAACCTAATAGTCCCTAAATCCCTCCATTGTCACAAGACCCCTGTCAAATGCTCCCCTGTACCACAGGAAACTCCTGATTATAGGGCAGGGAGCAGGGATGAAGGTGGGAGCAGTTACAGGGAACAAAGCCACAATATGGTAACTTATTCAAGTTACTAGGCTAGTTCCACATGTGGCACAGAAAAGAGTATTTGTAATTTTTTTTTTTTTTTTTAAAGATGGAGTCTCGCTCTGTTGCCAGGCTGGAGTGCAATGGCACAATCTTGGCTCACTGCAACCTCCGCCTCCCAGGTTCAAGGATTCTCCTGCCTCAGCCTCCTGAGTAGCTGGAACTACAGGCACATGCCACCATGCCTAGCTAATTTTTTGTATTTTTAGTAGAGACAGGGTTTCACCATGTTGGCCAGGATGGTCTCGATCTCCTGACCTCATGATCTGCCCGCCTTGGCCTCCCAAACTGCTGGGATTACAGGCATGAGCCACCGTGCCCGGCTGAGTATTTGTAATTTTAAAGTATTATGTTTCCAGTTTTGTTGTTATCTTTTCTACATGGAGGATATTAATAAATACTAGAGTCAATTTAAAAATTTGATTGTGTTGTCTTTATTTCTGCAATAAATTTCACTAATTGTCATTCTAGCCTACGTGTGTAATTCTGAAAACATTTTCAATCCAGCAAGCACCGACTGTGTTTTCTTCAGACATTCTATCTCACTTGGCCCCTATGGGTTAATTCCCAATCCTCACACATTCTGTCTCTTTATGCCATTGAACACATTCCCTCTTTATTTTGAGACAGTGCATTTACTGGCTCTCCTAGCTTTTCAACTGCTTCTTCCCTACTTCCAATGTTGGTTCTACCTGAATGTTAAACATAGGCATCATCCACTGAGGTAACCAGTTTTTTGCACTGTTTCTTCAGATTTAACAATGGGGAACACATGCAATTTCATGGCTTCATCTATCACTTCCTCTTTGATAATTTAAATCTACTTTTTTTTAAAGGAATCCGAGATTAGTATGATAATTTCAAAATCTCAGCTCTCTGCCTGACATCTCTCAAACCTGTGGTCTGTGCTGGCAACTGTTTCCAATTGCTGTGAAACAGAGCCAGCATCTGGTCCCTTTTCTTCCTGAAGAATCTACAATGTTCCTACACAATACTGACATTAGTCTTAGTCCCTCCCAGAAGCCAGATAAGCCACATGGGCCCCAGAGCTCTTCTCCTTCTCTCATCTCTACAGTACCTATTGTATGTTAGCTTCCCTCATCAACACTTGCCACCTGGCAAAATGTTGGCAAGCCATTATGTATTTTGTTGCATGGGTAAGAGTTTGTATGTGTAAGTATATTCTGTCCAATAGGACAGCAACCTCCCTAAAGAAGGGAAATTATGTCTAAAATCTCTTTTATATTTTACAAATGTCAGAGGTCCTAGATTAAAAAATTTATATAAAGAATCATTTAAGCCAATCAAAATTGAAAGATGTATGTTACTAAGGTAAAGAGGAAGGAAAGATAAGGAAAATTCCATTTAAAAGTCAGAAAAGTAGAATCTGGGAGTAAATATGGGGGTAACTTGGGGCTCTCGCCAACCACAGTAGCAGAAAGAACTATTTACTTAATAACAACTATTAAAAGTATTATTTATTTAACATTTAATAGCATCAATTTCTCATTTTTTCTTATGTAATGGTAAGACAGTATTTATAACTTCAGGAATGCTTTATAATCTAAATTTTGTCCTAAGGAAACCAGACATGATAGTAATGCTGAAAAATTAAAACTTCATCTGAGAATGATTTCATTGTTAATGTAGGAATAAATTATCTTTAAAAATTATATATGTACCATATATTATCTGAATAATATATGTACCATGATATATGAATATTATATATGTAATGCATATGAATATATGTACCATATAACATATGAATTGTTTATATATATACATGTGGATGGGTGGTTTCTAGTTCATTAAAACAAGTTACATCATTAAACTGGACATTTTTACAGGGAAATGCCATTTCTTAAAAAAAAAACCCTAATATATGAATGAGAAAATTAAATATTAACATTTTTCATAAAAAATACAAGCATGTTTATTACTACAGCATTATATTTGAGTAGATATATATATGTAACTTGTTATGGGAAAAAACTGCTACAATTCTTAATATATAGAAGTTTGCTAAATGATAGCAACTTATAAAACAATGCTTTAATTGGACAAAATGTTTGATCTTAAAAGAAAACAATTAAGACTAAAACAATGCTGACAAAGAAAATCAGAAGATGAGAAATACCAGATTAGATCTTGCAGTGTAGTATATTTCTTCTGAACTGTCCAAAAAACCATCACTGTCGGGCTGTTTAGCAGAGACCAAGAAACCCAAGTTATTTACGCTTAGACTAAAAGCCACAAATTCACAAAGGGAAACTTTCACAAATGAAGTAAGTCCTGCTAATATAATTTTATTAAGGCAAATGGAGAGTCAAACTGTATTAGGCAGCTTCTAAAAAAGCAACATTGCAACAACTTTGCTCTAAAATGCAGTTACTAAATTAGTACAGAATTTAAATACAGGCAATGCCAACTTACAAAGGGAAACAAAAAATAAACTCAAACTGCCTTAACAAAACACAATTAGCATTTATAAATATCATGACTACTTTTTCTTAATTTTCTCCACCCCTCTTCATAAATGTCAGGCTTTGGTATTACAATATGATCATTTTAAGACTTTTTCTTTAACATCCTATTCCTCCACACTGGTACACTGAATTAGAGTAACTATAAGGTAAAGGCTAATGACACCCTTTGTATGCTTCAGTCAAGTGAGTTAAAATAAGCATTAAACTGAAGAAGAAAGCTCCTACTTCAATCCTTAGTACTTATTAACAGTTATTTTCTTCTCATTATTAAATAGCAAATAAAAAAATGAAACAGACATCATATGGAACTCTGGCAAAATAATTTCTTTAGAATTTTGTATTTTCCAATGTCTCATTTTTTTATTGTTCTATAGAATATTAACATCTCAAATAGATGCAAAGTATTTTGCTTTTATGACTGAATCTAATATATTATCATTTATCTGGAAAGGAGTATATAAAACAACAACAAAAGAATCATGCAAAGTATATTCATAAAGTTATAGCAAGCCTTAAATGAATGACAAACTTCATTTACTATGTATGCCTCATCTCCCTAATTTTCAATACTCTATACAGATATGACTCTACTCTAATGTTTGGAAACCATGGCATTTATCATAAAAATAACACATTTTAAAAAGCCCCTCAAAAAGAGAAAAAATAAAAAATAAAAAAAATTTAAAAGTCAGCATTAAAAACATTTAATCACAGAATGGTAAAACAATTAAGTTTCTCTTAAAATAATTTTGAAAATATTCAGCAACACAGATTTATTTATTATGAATTTGAGAATTACTTACCTTTTTGTTTCCCACGATTTTAAAAAAAATTTTATTTTATGTTTTTAAAGACAAGGTCTCACACTTTCACCCAGGCTACAGTACAGTAGTGCTATCATAGCTCACTGCAACCTTGAATTCCTGGGCTCAAGGGATCCTCCTGCCGTAGCCACCCCAGTAGCTAGGACTACAAGTACACACTGCCACGTCAACTAAGTTTTAACATTTTTTTGTAGAGACAGGGTCTTACTATGTTGACCAGGCTGGGACCTCGAATGTTTTTGAAAATATTAATGACTAGCTTTTTTGGTCAGTACTAATACATCACACAAAAACAAATTAAAACATTTATTTTCAGTGCTAACATTCTAAGGCTATACTACTTACAAGTTCATGATGTGGTTCTGTCTCCTTTCTTAAGGGTGGATCAAATTTCACTTGGCCAACTAAAAAAGAAAAAAAAGTAAAACCAGGATTTTTTTTTTTTTTTTTTTTTTTTTTTGAGGCAGAGTCTTGCTCTGTCTCCCACGCTGGAGTGCAGTGGCGCAATCTCAGCTCACTGCAATCTCCACCCCCTGGGTTCCCACCATTTCCCTGCCTCAGCCTCCCGAGTAGCTGGGACTACAGGCGCCCTCCACCACGCCCGGCTGATTTTTTTGTATTTTTAGTAGAGACGGGGTTTCACCATGTTAGCCAGGATGGTCTCGATCCCCTGACCTCGTGATCCACCCGCCTCGGCCTCCCAAAGTGCTGAGATTACAGGAGTGAGCCACTGCGCCCGGCCAAAACCAGGATGTTTTTATATTCTTAATGATATAATAATTTAAAAAGTTATTCCATGGTGAAAGACATTTAATGCTACCATCAACCACACACTGATCTCCAAAGATCTTTGTTTTCAATTTTTAAAACTGACACTAATAATTGTAAATATTCATGGTGGTATATGCGATATTTTGATACACGTGTACAATGTGTAATGAACAAAACAGGGTAATTAGGATATCTATCACATCAAACATTTACCATTTCTTTGTGTTGGGAACATTCCAAATCTTCTATTTTGAAATATACAATAAATGATTGTTAATTTCCCTACTCTGCTACTGAACACTAGAATGTATTCCTTCTATTTAACTTTATTTTTGTACCTATGAAACAACCTCATTTCATCCACCTATCTCTTACCCTTTCCTGCCTCTGGTAACCATCATTCTACTCTACCTCCATGAGATCAACTTTTTTAGCTACCACATATGAATGAGGACATGAGACATTTGTCTTTCCATGCCTAGTCACTTAACATTAATGTCCTCCAGTTCCATCCATGTTGTTGCAAATGACAGGATTTCATTTTTTTTATGACTGAATAATATTCTGTTGTGTATATATACTACATTTCTTTTATTTATTCACCCATTGATACACATATAGGTTGATTCTTTATCCTGGGTATTGTGATAATGCTGCAATAAACTTGGGAGTGTAGATATCTCTTAGATATACTGGTATCCTTTCTTTTGGATGCATAATCCAGTAGTTCTGAATCATATGGTAGTTCTATTTTTAGTTCTTGAGGAACCTCCATACTGTTTACCATAGTGGCTGTACTAATTTACATTTCCATCAATAGTATGTAAGAATTCCCTTTTCTCTGCATTTTCACCAGCATGTGTTATTTTTTGGCTTTTTAACAACAGCCATTTAAACTAGGGTGAAATGATATCTCATTGGGGTTTTTCTTTTTTGATTTGCATTTTCTTTACAATTAGTGATGCTGAACTAATTGTAATATTACAATTAGTGATATTTTCATGTATCTGATGGCCATTTGTATGTCAGCTGGAAAAAGCCCAATAAAGTCTTAACCGCTAAAGCTTAATTTGTTAATTCTAGGCCATTTCCACAGTAAGAAAAGAAGATGATTAACAAAATTATATGTGTGTACAATCAAGTTCTAACTTGCTACTTTGTTGTGACCAAGAATAAAACAGAGACAATCTTTTTTTGGTTTTGTTTTTTGAGACGGAGTCTCTTTCCGTTGCCCAGGCTGGAGTGTAATGGCGCGATCTCAGCTCACTGCAACCTCCACCTCCTGGGTTCAAGCGGTTCTCGTGCCTCGACCTCCTGAGTAGCTGGGCCTACAGGTGCGCGCCACTATACCTAGCTAAGTTTTTGTATTTTTAGTAGAGATGGGCTTTCACCATGTTGGCCAGGCTGGTCTGGAACTCCTGACCTCAGGTGATCCGCCCGCCTCGGCCTCCTAAAGTGCTGGGATTACAGGCGTGAGCCACTGTGCCTGGCTGAGACCATCTTAATTCAGTATTTAGGTGGGTAGACAGCTGCTGATACAGGGTACTTGTGGAAGCCAGCCTGTAAGATGGCCCCCAGTGACTCCTGCCTCTTGGTATTCAAAATGCTTCCACATTGGATCAGCGTTGGCTGATGTGACCAAAAGACCAGAGCAGAAGTTAACTGTATATGAGTTCCAAGATAAAGCTTCTGTCTTGGGCTCTCTCTGTTGGATCACTTGCTCTGGAGGAAGTCACATTGTGAGCAGCCCTAAAGAGAGGCCTCCTGGCAAGGAAGTGAAGCCTCTGGCCAATAGTTACGTGAATGAGCTTGGAAGTAAATCTTCCAGTCCAGTCAAACATTCAGATGACTCCAGCCCTAGCTGATATCCTGTGTGCAACTTTATGAGACCTTGAGCCAGAATCACTCAGCTAACCTGTCCTGGATTCCTGACTCTCAAAATCTGTTAGAGACAATAAATGTTTATTGTTTAATATGAGCAGATATACAGAAAGTGAGAGAATTCAATACCTTCAGACTTAAAGAAATACTAAAAGGAATTATTTAATCAAAAGAGATCCATAAGTAGTGGTACAGAAATACAGTATTGAATGAAGAGCAAAAAATTGGTAAATATACAAATACAAATTAATATTGACCATGGTTAATGACAATAATATTGTCTTATAAGATTTAAAATAAAAATATGGGAGTTGATTTAAAAAATGTTTACTGTTTTAAGCTGCTAAATTTTGGGTTTGCTACACAACCAAAAACAACCACTGCAGCTAAAGTATAAACTAGCCAGAGTAGACACAGATTAACTGTACTACATTCATCTTTTCTTTTTCTTTGCTTTCTAATGTATTGAATGTTTCAGTATCTTTACCTTTTATTTCCACAGCTCATTATCATTTTCTGATCTTATAACCTGGGTAAAACCCTCAAGTCCACTGAGATACAAGCAGAGGAAAAAATACAAAACAATAAAAAGAAAACAGCCACAATATATTACATTTCAACTAGTAAGAGCTTCAGCCAAAACCAAAACTTCTCAACCAAGCTGAGGAAAACAGTGAGATTTCAAAGCATAATCACTTTTCTAACGGTTTGATTTCAACTTTGTATGTAAATTTATTGTGAATGTTAATACCAATGAAAGAAGACCATGGGATTTGAATATTTAGCAATAGGAGGCATAAGGAAAAAAACAGTTGAGAAACACAGCCCTGTAATATCTCCAGTTATGTCTGGGTGTGTATATGCTTTTAAGCTGTTAATGGCTCAGATATCAAATGGCCCTTAGATCTGATAAGTAGGTTAAGAATGAGTCCATCCTAACTGTTCACAATTGATCACACATCAAAGATTACAAAATAACTTTTAGTAAGGTATCAAAACTAACATATACCTCATCTTGATAAAGGCCTATTGAACAGCTTTCACCTATACTTGTCTTCAAATTCCAAAATGCGGTCTGTAATAAAATTACATGAGGACAGTCTTGTGCATCTATCTGCCTTGTGTTATTGCCACCTGTGAACATGCCCATTTCTCCCACCAGATTGTACAACCCCTGAGTGCAAGGATGCTGTCTTACTAAAAGCCGTGACTATAGCAGGTATTCAGTATCACTGTACCTGAACTCTGTGGATGGAGAATGCATTTCCAGAAAGGGAGCAAAGTCCCTATGGAGATTCAAACCTTACACTGGTATCACTCTTCTGCTCTCTTCAAATTCCCTAAAGTTATGACAAGCCTCTGCCACAGAATCTTCCAGTTACTCTTCAAATAACTGTTGGTCAATCATCCCAGTCTGCGGCACTGTTTATGATGCTCTTTTTTATTTTTACTTTTTGAACTTTTATTTTAGGTTCAGGGTACATATGCAGGTTTGTTGTATAGGTAAACTTGCATCGCGGGGGTTTATTGTACAGATTATTTCGTCACCCAGGTACTAAGCCTAGTACCCAATAGTTACTTTTTCTGATCTTCTCCCTCCTCCTAACTCTTCACCCTCAAGCAGGCCCCAGTGTCTGTTGTTTCCCTTTGTGTCCATGAATTCTCATATGATGTTCTTCTTTCTTTCCTTCTTTCTTTCCTTCCTTCCTTTCTTTTTCTTTTCTTTTCTTTCTTCTTTCTCTCTCTCTTCTCTCTCTCTCTTTCTTTCAATTGAGACACTGTCGCCAAGGCTGCAGTGCAGTAGCAGGATCTCAGCTCACTGCAGCCCTCTGCCTCCCAGGTTTCAGCGAGTTTCCTGCCTCAGCCTCCCCAGTAGCTGGGACTACAGGCACACACCAACAGGCCCGGCTAATTTTTGTATTTTTAGCAGACACAGGATTTCACTATGTTGGTCAGGCTGGTCTCCAGCTCCTGACCTCAAGTGATCCACCCGCCTCGGCCTCCCAAAAGTACTGGGATTATAGGTGTGAGTCACTGTGCCCAGCCTAGACATCTAGTTTGAAATAGCATACACATGCATATGCACTTAGAAGTTGAGAATCACTGATATGTTACCACAGAGTGATTCAGAAATACTATGCTATAAAGGGACTGACAATGTAATTTTTTAATAAAATGAGATAACAAGAAAGAGAGTACTTTAAATTACATTTTCAACAGTACTGAATATATAAAGTTTTCTAAATTAACTGCAAGTCACCTCTAATTACTTTTTTTTTTCCAAACAGAATCTTGTTCTTTGCCCAGGCTGGAGTGCAGTGGCAGGATTTCAACTCACTGCAAACTCGGCCTCCCAGGCTCAAGCAATTCTCATACCTCAGCCACCCAAGTAGCTGGGGTTACAGGTGCACATCAACATGCCTGGCTAATTTTGGTAGCTTATGTAGAGACGGAGTTTCGCCATGTTGGCCATGCTTGTCTTGAACTCCTGGCCTCAAGTGATCCGCCCGCCTCGGCCTCCCAAAGTGCTGGGATTACAAGCATGAGCCACTGTACCTGGCCTCTAATTACTTTTTGTATATTAAAGAAATGATAAAGATATTTCATAATTATTTTTTGTATATTAAAATATGAGAAATGCTCTCACATGCTAAGGATGCCATTTTCGGAAAAATAGTTTTGTGGTGAAATTAGCAAATTTAAAACGTGACTTCAGCAGGAGCTTTAAAGATAATTTTATATGATCACACAACTAACTGCTGGCAAGCAAAGTACCAAATCCCACTCCTGAGCTTTTTATATAACCCACCATACTTTCCAGGTATCACTAGAACAAAACTCAGAGAATAAATGCTTCTAAGGAATAAAAAAGTTAAGGCACTATTGTTCGAGGGATTCTTGTTGGCAGTTTATCACTGATGAGTTGACAGTATTGGATCCCATGTGAATGAATGGCTTGTCTTAGTGGGCCCATAACTTGGCTGCCCCTAAGAAATAACTGGAGGCCTATTTTAAAAGGTTTCTGGGCCAATCCAAGACCTACTGAATTGGACTCTATGGAAAAGTGGTGCCTGAGAATCCCTTTTTAAAAGTTTCCAGGTTACTCAGATGCTAGGGCAGTTTGCAGACCTCTATTTCTCTGTTACCCTTGGATCATGAGTGCATGAATGACGTGGGAGCTTGTTAGTAGAACCTCAGATCCCATCCCAGGTCTACTGAATCTGAAACTGCATTTAACAAGCTCTCTAGGTGAGTTACATGCACACAGGCATTTACGGCACTGCCTTAATTACTTCTACCCTGCTTATTCCAGGAATTAACTTATCCTCCCAAACAGTAACAACATAAATACATCCCATCCTGCCACCAAAAATTCCACAAGAATAAGGAAAATGAAATTCTTACTGCCCTAATTAAACTTTACCTTTAACAGTGTTTAGTAAGAAAAACTATTCAGAAGGAAATAAAACAAAAATAACTGTAACTAAATTATAACTTATTTTCTATCATTAAATCATAAACTGTGTATAGTATATACTTACAGGTTATCTCTGAGCGTGTTTTTTCTTCTCTCACGTTTCTACTTGTTGAGTGAATTCTATGTGGTACAGCAACAAGAGGCTAGAAAAGAACAAAATCAATGATATGCAGCATTTGATAATCAAGTCATAGTTTGGTCCACAAAATTACCCAAATAGGAAAAAATACTTCATTTTAAGTAAAAATGAAAGCAAAACAGCACTTTGCAAATTTTTTTTTTTTAAAAAAGCAAACCACAATAGCAGCTCAAACTATTAGGTGAAAAAATATTTTTATTATCCACAACATAAATTATTATTTGTACTAGAAAGGGCACTTCTTTGGCTAAATACATATGAAATTAAACACAATTAGTAACATATTCTTATTTGTATGTGCAACATCAGACTTGTCTAGATCCATTCTACAAGGATGAATCAAGTACACTTGAGTATCCTGGATCTATTCTGACATCGAGAAATTCTGAAGGGAAAGGAAATACAACAGTGTAAACATTACCACTTGCATCTATCATTTAATGATGGTTGAGCTTAGAAGCCTTTTAAGGTTTATTTTTCAATTTATGAATTTTTTTGAAATAATTTTTAAAAACTACACACAGACATTTATAGATGATGTAGGATATTAGTTTGTGTTTCACTTTTGGCACTATCTGAATTGTAATCGATTTAACTAAGACTGGAAAAATTATATAACTTATGCTTATGTGAACATACAGTATTTTATGTTTTTCAGAAGCTTTATTTTTTTTAATTAAAAAAATGCTCTCCACTCCATCTCAGTTTCTCTTGGTTATAGATGTGCCATTATAATTTCCATGAGTAGGAAACATACCAATATTTAATTATTTGCCTTTAATTTGCAAAGAAGATTCACACCTTGAAATTATTTACAGAGTCTAACTAATTAAATGTGATCACAAAGGAATACTGGAAAACTTATACTCTGAATGTCCAATATAAGATTTGTCAAGGGCTCCAACATAAGAAAAAGAAAAAGCTGAAAAAATATGATTTAGAGAAACCCTGTGAAAACTGAACCTCTAGCTTGTCAGGAACAAAACTGATAACTAACTCAAGAAGTCAAATGATTACAAGAAAGGCTATCCAGGTATACAGAGGCCATATTTCACCCTTTAGAACAGAGGTGAACTGGAGACTTGACTGATTATCTTCCCTTCAGATGTACCAATTCAGATGGTTGGATATGAAAACGGTATTTTTTCATATTTTTTCAAAAATTTCTTTTGAAAATGAAATATTTCATGTAAAAAAGGAGAAAGGGATTGCCACAAGATTTTGTTAAATGAGGCCAGGGAATGAAAGATGCCCAACCTGAAATTAAAGTAGGCAACAGAATGTTAGGCATCATCTTCTGAAATGCTAAATAATTTGTTTTGTTTCTAACAATGAAAGATTACACTTAACATCTCTAAAACGGTATTACATTTACTAGAATTTCGAATAAGCAGAATTGATTCTAAAATAGCTCATCTGAACTTAAAAAGTTGCCCTTCTAAGAAAAAGGATATCCTTTAGAATCATTTAATTAGACAAAGGCCATGTAGATACATTCTCAAAAATTAAAATTTATAGAAAACTCTATTATAAAATTCACGTGGAATCAAAAAAGAGTCCAAATAGCCAAAGCAATCTGAAGCAAAAAGAACAACACTACAGGCATCACATTACCTGATTTCAAACTATACTACAAGGCTACAGAACCAAGAGAGAATGGTACTGGTATAAAAATAGACATATAGACCAATGGAACAGAACAGAGAGCCTAGAAATAAAGCCATACATCTACAACCATCTGATCTTCGACAAACCTGACAAAAAGAAGCAATGGGGAGAGAACGCCCCATTCAATAAATGGTGCTAGGATAACTGGTTAGCCATATACAGAAGATTGAAACTGGACCCCTTCCTTACACAATATACAAAAATCAACTCAAGATGGATTACAGACTTAAATGTAAAATCTAAAACTATAAAGACCCTTGAAGAAAACCTAGGAAATACCATTCCAGACATAGACATAAGCAAAGATTTCATGATGAAGATGCCAAAAGCAATTGCCACAAAACCAAAAATTGACAAATGGGATCTAATTAAACTAAACAGGTTCGGCACAGCAAAAGAAACTATCAACAGAGTAAACAGACAACCCACAGAATAGGAGAAAATTTTTGCCAACTATGCATTTGACCGAGAT
The DNA here is from genome assembly GCF_000001405.40 of Homo sapiens. Taxonomy (NCBI): domain Eukaryota; kingdom Metazoa; phylum Chordata; class Mammalia; order Primates; family Hominidae; genus Homo; species Homo sapiens. The sequence goes on from NC_000002.12 coordinate 39,317,525, forward strand.
CTAATATCCTGAATCTGTAAGAATCTTAAATTAACAAGCAAAAAACAACTCTATTAAAAAGTGGGCAAAGGACATGACAGATACTTTTCAAAAGAAGACATATACACAGCCATCAAAAATATGAAAAAATGCTTGAACATCACTAATCATTGGAGAAACACAAATCAAAACCATAATGAGATACCATCTCATACCAGCCAGAATGGTTATTATTGAAAAGTCAAAAAATAACAGATTATGGCAAGGCAGCAGGGAAAAGGGAACGGTTACACACTGCTGGTGGGAATGTAAATTAGTTCAGCTACTGTGGAAAGCAGTCTGGGGATTTCTCAAAGAACTTAGAACAACCATTCAACCAAGCAATGCCATTACTGAGTATATACCCAAAGGAATATAAGTTGTTCTACCATAAAAACATGCACGTTATGTTCATCGCAGTACTACTCACAATAGCAAAACACAATAGCAAAGATACTGAATCAAACTAAATGCCCAACAACAGTAGACTGAATAAAGAAAATGTGGTACGGATATGCAGCCATAAAAAAGAACGAGATAGTGTCCTCTGCAGCAACAAGGATGGAGCTGGAGGCCATTATCCTAAGTAAACTAACTCAGGAGCAGAAAACCAAATTCCACATGTTCTCACTGATAAGTGGGAGCTAAACACTGAGTACACATGGATACAAAGAAGGGAACAATAGACATAGGGGCCAACTTGAGGTTGGGAGGAGGGTGAGGATAAAAAACTACCTATTGGGTACTAGGCTTATGACCTGGGTGACAAAAGAATATGTACATGAATCCCCCGTGACATACCATTTATCTACAGAACCAACCTGCACATGTACCCTGAAACTAAAATAAAAGTTAAGAGAAAAAGAAACGTAATGAATTATTTTTTCAAGATCACTAATAAAAATGGTAAGATTTTTAAAAATTAAAATGTAGCCTTTAATTTCTAAACATAAATACTCTCATTTTTCCTCTATAAATGTAATACACACTAACCATAGACACCTGCGATAACGGGCTTATAGTAACTAATATATGATATTTAGAGAAGCACTGATGAAAATAATCTTTCTAATAAATGGCATTTAAAGAAACAAGCCATTCACAATGATGCATGGTGTCTATTTTTTTTAAACAATGCTTTACATGCAACGTGATTACAATTATTTTTATTACTTCTTGATAAAAAACAAAACCCTGCCCTTACAAACCATTTCACGTTTATTCAACTTTTATCATCTTAAAGTTCTATGATTATTGTTATCATCAAATAATATAAATACAAATAACAGGCCCTTTGCAATGGGAGCTAGATGAGAATGTCAAGTTTGTACGGGAAGGAAAGACATAGACAGTATGATAAATCCTAGTTGACATAAGCCAGTGGTTTTTGACCGGGGCAATTTTGTCCCTGAGGAGACATTTGGCAATATCTGGGGACATTTTTTTGTTGTCACAACTTGGGATTAAAGGGTGTTAACTGGCAACTAATGGGAAGAGTCCAGCAATGCTGCTAAACATTCTAGAATGCACAGGGCAGCCCTCCCAAAACAAAGGATTATCTGGCCCAAAATGTCAACAGTGCTCAGATTGAGAACTCCTACAAGCAAATGCCAATACTTTCTGAATGCTGTCAAATTTACTTTTAGGTCTTCTCATCTTTTTCAAGTATATACACTCAATTACATACTTTTTTTTTTTTTAAACCACAACTACAAAGAACCTCCTTACCCCAATTTTCTCCCTAAAAATTGCTAGGAATTTTAGGAAATACGGAAACTAAAACCTTATTGTTTCTTCATTCCACGTACAGTTTATCCTTGAACAAAAGTTTGAACTGCAGAAGTCCACTTCTATGCAGATTACTTGGGGATACAAAACCCATGTATACGGAGGACCAACATTTCATATATGTGGGTTTTGCAGGGCTGACTGTGGGATTTGGGTATGCACGGAGTTTGGTATACTTGAGAGTCCTGGAACCAATCCCCCTTGTGTACGTCAAGGGACAACTATATTTTCAGTGTTTTTAAAGAAAGGTAACTGTTAATGATAGTAAAATCTCAAGTAATATTTATTTTGTCAAACATCTCTTAAAATTCAAAATCAAGAGTCTAAATATTTCTACTATATAAATGTCATATGGTGAGCTATTATTTAATGTAAGAAGAATCCACTAATCTGCTATGCAGTAGATAAGAACCTAGACAAATGAAATTACAAAGATTCACATACCTGATGTGCTCTTAATCCATATGTAACCCTCTCTTGATTGCATTCATTTTTACATGAATCTTAAGGCTAAAGACCATATTTTACCATTTCTAAAATTTATGAAAGCTAGTGTATTCAAACATTTAGATATGGGGGATGGCTATCATTTTTTAAGAGTCTTGATGAGTTTTTAAAAGTCCCCAATTCTTTGACCATTATTTTTATTTTTTAAACTTTGGTCTTTCTGGCATCTTCCTATTGGCAAACTCCTTTCTAGCAATGTCACTTCCTTTGTGACATCTTCTCTGACTTCCCTAACAAAAGTTGGCTGTTTTTTCTTCTCCTGAAATGGTGAACTTCTCAAGATTAGGAAATAATGTTTTAGCTACAGCAGGTCCCCAGTGAATGTTCATCGAGTTAAATATAAATAAATAGTCAAAAATTAAGTATTTCAATAATTCAATAGCTGTTTACACGTTGCAAGTAGCTTTCCCTATTGCAGAGAAGACTGCAATTTAAAAAATCTGCGTCAACTCCTTATATCAAAAGGATAAGACATAAATGCAATGAAATAATGCTAAAGGCATTAACCCATTTATACCTGAGGTTGCAAATTTTTTGTGTGAAAAATCAAACCTTGACGATGGCCTTGAGCAGTAGGATATAAATAACTCCCACAAGCCTAGTTCCAATAATGGAACACTAGGCTAAATGGGTTAATGATTTATGGTACTTTTTCTTGGTCAACACAATTTTTTTTTTTTGGCCCTTTATGTTTTTTTCTTGGAGGAGCAGTCCTCTATTTTCTTTCCTTTTACTTTATTAAAACCATTCTATGTGCACTGCCAACTTCATACAGGAATATTCTGAAGGTGGGTAGAATGGAGATGAGTTCTATTTAATGTTAATTCATGAACATTACTATAACCTTTGGAAGTAAAAGAGGTCTTATTCAAAAAACTTTTGCAGCTCCATACTCACACTAAGGTCTCTCAACCAGCATCTATTTCATGTAATTATTGCAATACCCAATAGCTTCCTCTGTGGGTGAAATGCTACCTTTGAAGCTATTGTATTACCTTTGAAGGAGATACACTCTTAGATCTATCTTTGTGGAAACATAATTCATAAACATTATGCTCTAAGTCTTAGATTCAATAAGGCAAATCAAGAACAAGACTCAAACTAACTACTCACAGTGTAGGTACATCTCAGGGAAAAAATATACAAATTTAAAAGACTGAAATATTAAATACTTGTGATGGTGAAACAGTAGCAAAAGTAATTTTGAAAATTAGGTATTTAAATTTTACATGTGCAACCTGCTTTTTAGTTTACAAAGTGTTTTGATGCACCTTAGCATTATATCCTTAAACTCGTGAAACAAGCATTATTCTTCATTTCTGTGGGGAAAAGAAAGAGAGATCAGATTGTTACTGTGTCTGTGTAGAAAGAAGTAGACATAGGAGACTCCATTTTGTTCTATACTAAAAAATTCTTCTGCCTTGACATTCTGTTAATCTATGATCTTATTACCCCCCAACCCCGTGCTCTCTGAAACATGTGCTGTGTCAAACTCAGGGTTAAATGGATTAAGGGTTGTGCAAGATGTGCTTTGTTAAACAGATGCTTGAAGGCAGCATGCTCCTTAAGAGTCATCACCACTCCCTAATCTCAAGTACCCAGGGACACAAACACTACGGAAGGCCGCAGGGACCTCCGCCTAGGAAAGCCAGGTATTGTCCAAGGTTTCTCCCCATGTGATAGTCTGAAATATGGCCTCGTGGGAAGGGGAAGACCTGACCGTCCCCCAGCCCGACACCCATAAAGGGTCTGTAATGAGGAGGATTAGTATAAGAGGAAGGCATGCCTCTTGCAGTTGAGACAAGAGGAAGGCATCTGTCTCCTGCCCGTCCCTGGGCAATGGAATGTCTCAGTATAAAACCCGATTGTACATTCCATCTACTGAGATAGGGAAAAACCGCCTTAGGGCTGGAGGTGGGACATGCGGGCAACAATACTGGTTTGTAAAGCATTGAGATGTTTATGTGTATGCATATCTAAAAGCACAGCACTTGATTCTTTTACCTTGTCTATGATGCAAAGACCACTGTTCACGTGTTTGTCTGCTGACCCTCTCCCCACTATTGTCTTGTGACCCTGACACATCCCCCTCTCGGGGAAACACCCACAAATGATCAATAAATACTAAGGGAACTCAGAGGCTGGCGGGATCCTCCATATGTTGAACGCTGGTCCCCTGGGTCCCCTTATTTCTTTCTCTATACTTTGTCTCTGTGTCTTTCTTTTCCAAGTCTCTCCTTCCACCTAACGAGAAACACCCACAGGTGTGGAGGGGCAACCCACCCCTTCAATTTCATAGATGAGGATACTGAGACTTAAAATTAAGTGGCAGGGCATTCAGCTAGCTAGCCATAGAGCTAGGAAAAACCCTAGACTTTTGATCTAATATACAGTAGCAAAACCAAACAAAAACAGGTAACATGCAGGTTACTCATACAGACTGTTATTAATGAACATGGATGAAACTCATGATTATTTCTGAGAACAGTTTTACCTTCCCGGCTTAAACAGCACAATAAATTATTAATTTATTAGCATAACAGATTAATAAAATTGTTAAATCTTATAATGCTGTACATAGTAAGTGGGCTTACATATAGGAGACGAAAACTGAATAAAAATCAGAATTAGAATTACACCAGTGTGTAATTACTTCTAAAATAGAAACTACAGGGGAACTCAACATTAAAAAGTCAAACTTTCTTCCACAGTGCATAACCTATAAAAAACTTAAACTAGACTTAGATGTGGTATATGTGTGTGTGTGTGTGTGTGTGTGTATATATGTATATATAGATAAATACACATATATATATATTTTTCTTTTTCTATTTTTTGTTTTTTTTTTTTGAGATGGAGTCTCGCTCTGTTGCCCAGGCTGGAGTGCAGTCGCATGATCTTGGCTCACTATAACCTCTGCCTCCCAGGTTCAAGCAATTCTCTTGCCACAGCCCCCTGAATAGCTGGGATTACACGCATGAGCCACCATGCCCGGCTAATTTTTGTATTTTTAGTAGAGACGGGGTTTCACCATGTTAGCCAAGCTGGTCCCAAACTCCTGACCTCAGGTGATCCACCTGCCTCGGTCTTCCAGAGTGCTGGGATTACAGGCATAAGCCACTGAGCCCACCCTTATTTTTAAGAGTATGCATACAATAGTTCTAGTATCACAGTAAGTGCTGAAATTCTTAGATACATTCGTATTTTGAGTGACAACACTGCACTTAGCAATTACAATTACAAATCATTTGCAAATAAAAAAGTTATGAATTTCTCTTAAGAAAAACATTATTCTAAGCTACTGTGAGAGGGAATGTAACAGCTTCCCCTCATCCTACCCCTGGAATAATTAAATTCCTTTATTTTACCTACTTACCATAGAGATTTGTAACAATTTATAATTATAATACCAAAACAATGTCTGGATAAGAAAGATGAGTTTCTTTCCCTGCTATATGAGAAAGTTTTAGAAGAATCTTCATTCCACAGATTGCTTCTCTATTTGGTTTATTATTTCTGTTCTTTGAGTACATTTTTAAAAAGACATGACAAGTACATAGGGTGAGGTAAGAAACAATCATGTAGCATTTAGTGCACTGAAAAGGATATAGGCAGTCCTTGTTTTACAGCTTTGTTATGCACCAATTTCAGTTACCATAATTTAGTTAAATAACACTAGTTCCCTACATCATGGTTCAAATAACAGTTACCACTGTATATTAATTGAAATTGCATAAAGTATAAACTTTATTGGTAGCCTTTCAGTTCACAAATTACTACGTAAATAACAGATGCACATCATGATCATGATTAGAAAGAAAATTAGAAAGCAATATGACAATTTGCCAAGGCATAGAAAAGATACTTGCTCTGTGTCACAGACACATGATGAAAAGGCAAACTACTCAATAAGCAGACTACTAGATAAGTAAAAAAAGTGCATGAAAAGTTCATTAACAAAGAAATGAAACACATTAACTCTCGATGATTCTAATATTTATAATACACTGTAAATAATAGTTTTACTATTTTTTCACATTTCTACAATTACAACTGACAGTAACAGAGTTTATGCTTTAACAAAAAATTTTAAAAGTCATGAAACAATTATAATTTTTCCTGATTATTAAGATTACTTTGCAGAATTTTAGCTTATGCAGTCATTTTTACAGTCCCATACTACCATGCACATCAAGGACTGCCTGTATACTAAATAAGACTAGAAGAGTTTGTAAAACTTAACTTTCTTAAAAATAAAATTAAGCAAATCAACACCAAAAAACTTCTTCAGGCCAGGTGCGGTGGCTCATGCCTGTAATCCCAGCATTTGGGAGGCCGAGGCAGGCAGATCACAAGGTCAGGAGTTCGAGACCAACCTGGCCAATGTGGTAAAACCCCATCTCTACTAAAAATACAAAAATTAGCTGGGCATGGTGGTGGGCTCCTGTAATCCCAGCTACTCAGGAGGCTGAGGCAGGAGAATCGTTTGAACCCAGGAGGCAGAGGCTGCAGTGAGCTGAGAGCATGCCATTGCACTCCAGCCTGGGTAATAGAGTAAGACTCATCTCAAAAAAAAACAAAAACAAAACAAAAAAAACTTCTTCAGAGTATAATTATAAGATTAATTATACTTTACATTCCTTACATTTTTAAGCTCCAAACTCTTTTCCAGACCCTTAAACAAAAGGACAAATAGCTTATCTATCATAAGATGGCAAGCTGGGACAATGCTGAATTGATAGAAAGGTTCTCTCTGACTTAAGACAATCTGTGGCCGTCTTTCTAAACACTTCACCTTCAGTCATTAATGAAATTTACAATATTTTTAAGGGCCTCCCATAAAGCCAGTAGAGTTAAAGCCTATCCACTTCTGTTACAGACCCAATAACAGAATTCTGCCATGTCACATATACTGAATTTATCTTGGTTGCCACAACTATTAGCAGTGCTAGGAATGTTACATATGCAAACAGAAGTGAAGCTTCCATTAATATCAATGCTTCTGTCATATTAGAATTATTTTATTAACAACTATACTGGCTCATTTTAAAACATTTCCATAGTGAATAGCTGAGTTTTAGTCACTGGCAAAGTCAAGCCTATACTTCCTACTAACCTCTAATAATTTATGAAGTATTATATAAGAATTTTTTTTTAAAGATAGAAACGGGGTCTTGCTATGTTGACCAGGCAGGTTTCAAACTCCTGGCCTCAAGTAATCCTCTTGCTTCAGCCTCCCAAAGTGATGGGATTACAGACATGAGCCACCAGGCCAAACTGAGGATTCTTTTTGAGAAGCAAACTGAGGGGAAATTTTGAATATTCAAATGTCTTGTTTAGGCACTTCCCATTTGCTTTCCCTTTTACAGTGAATGATTATTTGGCAACTTCACCAAAAATGGCTATTTTGAAATAACTACAGTGATTTCAACAAGTGGATTAAATGATATGCCTTTGCCATTTTCACACTATAGTCACCTATAAGTAGTCAGTAAGAAAAACCTAGCATTTGACTTTCCATGAAAGGCAAAGACAAAGAATTAATTGTTCCCTCAAGAGCTTTTTTATTTAAACTAGGCCCCAAAATTAAAAAAATGGATTTTGAGACGTACATACAGACACACATATATACATACACATATACATGTTATATATGCCCGCTGGTAAAAGCAATTCCTACCTCAGGATCATCATCATCGAAATCATGGTAAGTGGAATGATCTGGATTATTTACTTTATCCAACAGCTCGATTGCCAAAGACCGTGTCAAATGTTGTGTTACAAAAGGATGCTATAAAAATTAAATACAATGCAGAACACTTACTATAAATCTGATTGAATAACATTTTATCTTTTGAAATATATATATATATTTCAGGGCAAAAATAATACCTGTAATAATTTTTCAGCAGTAGGTCTTTTTTTCGGATTTTTGGTAAGTGCCATTTTCACAAAGTGATGAAAACTATTTGACCTAAGAAATTTAGAAAATTAGACTTTTACATTCCAATTCATTTTTTGCTCATCTCACCATAAAAGTAAATAACATAAAAATACTTACCATTTCATTTTATCCTTTAGTTTAGGAGGCTGAAAATTGCTTTTTGTCATTAGAAATAATGCTCTGAAAAATCAACAAATCATTACACAGCATTTTAATATTTCACATTTTTATCTATTACACAAATTCTATTACTATTTGTTCCCCAAATAAGGTAAAACAAGACTAAGAAAATTACTTGTTCATGACAGCATACTAAGAGGATAAAAACCTTAAGCGTAAGATTCTTCAATGATGATGCACTGACCTCATTGGGTGTAAGTCAAACATAGGAGGCTGAAGCTCTGCAAGTTCTATGGCAGTGATTCCCACTGCCCAGAGATCACAGAGTTGATTGTAACCCCCCTTCCTCTCAACAGCTGCAACTTCTGGAGCCATCCTGAAATAAATATTCCAGAAAATAAAAAACTTCTGTTATATGTTTTCCTTTATACTCCCACCCAGAGGCACAAGGAATTATCACTATCTAAATTAAGGCCTCTTTAGGCCTTGGTTTTTGAAAAATAAATATGCAGTACTTAAAAGGTCCACCTTTTCCAAGATCTTGACATCTCATAAGACCCTCATTAGTAACTTGCTTTTGATTATACAGGCTTATAGGTGGAAGGGACTTGCCTTGCCTTGCCTCAGACGAGACTTTGGATTTGGACTTCTGGGTTAATGCTGGAATGAGTTAAGACTTTGGGGGACTGTTGGGAAGGCATGACTGGTTTTGAAATGTAAAAAGGACCTGCAATTTGGGGGGTGGGCAGGGGCAGAATGATATGGTTTGGCTCTGTGTCCCCACCCAAATCTCATCTCGAACTGTAATCCCCATGTGTTGAGGGAGGGGCCTCGTAGGAGGTGATTGGATCATTGGGTCAGTTTCCCCTATGCTTTTCTCATGATAGTGAGCAGGTTCTCACAAGGTCTGATGGTTTTAAAAGTGGCCGTTTCCCGAGTGCTCTCTCCTGCCACCTTGTGAAGAAGGTGCCCGCTTTTTTGCCTTACTCCATGATTGTAAGTTTTCTGAGGCCTCCCCAGCCATGCAATACAATACTGTGAGTCAATCAAACCTTTGTTTATAAATTTTAAAAAAGACTCTGCACTTCAGTCCCCTATTGCTGATTCCATTGTTACTTCCTTATACTAGTTACTAAAAAGGTTTATAAAAATATACAATTCTAATAGACCAACACGTCCAAAATCATTCATGCTCCCAATCTCTCTGTACATGCAAAATTCAATAAATAATATTCGTAATAAGCAACCTATAGCTCTACTTCCTGTTATCAAAAAACTGCGACCAGGCAATCCCTGTTTTTACTTCACCAAAACTATTCCGTCGGGCACCAATAATCTTCATATTTAGTATTTAATTCATATTTACTAAAAACTTATTTGGCATTTTTTCTAGTTCTATTATAATAATGGAAAAGTTATAAAAACAAGTGTCTACTTTTAAAAAATGTATTTATTCAGAGGAAAGTTACCCAAATTCAGTAATTTTTTTGTTTCTCTTTACTTTGCTACAGTCTTATTCTAATTATACTTCCATAAATTTGAATTTGACTGATTTAAACTATTAATTATCAAATACAAAAATTTTCAAATCCTAAACAATATTTTTAAAAGCAACTAATTGAAATAAACATCTCAACTCTTCCATACTAAAGAGCAGTCTAGATAATCTTACAAATACACATTTATCTTCCTGGTATGATTTCAGGAAGGTCAAGTAAGTCAGTAAAGTCAAAAACAAAAAACCCTCTAACTTTCAAAACCCCTGGTCTTAAAATCTTTTAAATCTGAAACAGATCTTATGAAAATTTAAATTACTATAAGAAAAGCGAATTTCAAAGTGTCAGTTATTACTTTTATGATGACTAGATTCCAAGTAGCTGGTAGAAATGCCCTAGTGGAGTGGGAAATGCATGCAAGTGATACGCTCCTAACTTGCCTCCCCTTACTAGTTCACCACATTAGCTGATGCTCTCCCTTCTTCTATGTAAATACAAGGGAAACATTACACTTAGTACATGTCTACTCCAGCCAGCTAAGTTGTGTGCTTATCACAGTCAACTGGGTTCATCTCTGAAACTGTTTATTCCAGTTACATTTGCTATTGTAAACACATAGTTATAATGAAGGTTTAAAAGTTAGCGAATGCTGGCCGGGAGCAGTGGCTCACGCCTGTAATCCTAGCACTTTGGGAGGCCGAGGCAGGTGGATGGTTTGAGCTCAGGAGTTTGAGACCAGCCTGGGCAACATGGCAAAACCCCGTCTCTACCAAAAATGCAAAAATTAGCTGGGCATGGTGGCGCATGCCTGTGGTTCTAGTTACTTGGGAGGCTGAGGTGGGACGATCGCTTGAGCCTGGGAAGTAGAGGTTGCAGTGAGCTGAGATCACACGACTGCACTTCAGCCTGGGTGACAGAGTGAGACCCCATCTCAAAAACCAAAAACAAAAACAAACAAAAATTAGTGAATGCTTTAGAAAGACTTCGCTTTTAGAAAGGCAAATTTCTAAAGATGAGCCAAAAAACCTGGTACGTTAGATAAGAACATGACAATGGCAGAAAACTGGGAAGGCTACAGATTATATGATTCCATTTCTATGCCACTCAAGAAAAAGGCACAAATATAGAGACAGAAATCAGATCAGGGGTTACCAGATGCTACGGATGGAGGTAGAGCATTTACTAAAAAGGGGCAAAATAAAAGATTTTTTGGATAGTGTCAATGTGTTCTGGTGGTTTCTTACCACCACAGCATACAAGTTTTTCAACATTCATACAACTGTATGAATTTGCACAACTGTACACCTAATAAGGGTAAATTTATGCCTCAATAAACCTGACTAAGAAATGTAGTTGATGCATTGGGGTGTGTGTGGTTTGCATTACTAAAATGGAACTCTAGTAAGTGATCTACTCTAAGAAAAGGCCTTGATTCTATATCAAAAGACTGTTGAATAAATGTACATATATGTCTTAAATTGAAATAAAATGTTTAAGGTACATATGTGTTTAATTTTGAGAACTGTCATTTCAAGCAGACTTTTTCGAACAACTGAATAACTGCCGATCTAATCACTTGGGAAGAGAGAGGTTCTAAAGTTTTAGATTTTAGGTAGGAAAGATATAATACCAGAAAGACAGATACAGGGAGAGTGTTCCCAAAATTAACTTTACCTAATTCACAATTTCACATGTTCCCAAGATATTTCCCACATTATTCCAAGAGTAATGACATAAATTTTTAACCTGTGAAACTGGAGTTGGAAATTTCATCATTAACATTCAGTGAATGAATATTGTATAGAATCAAGTCAGATCCTGAAGATTTAATGAGATGTTTACAATAAAACTGAGAAGACAGTGTACTTAAAAATGACAGCAATTCAAGCCCTCACTCTGCTCAACCCAAAACAATAAAGAGAAGAACAAAGAGAAATATATACACATACCATCTTTGAAAAGTCCAGCAGACATATTTTAACTAAAACCATAACACACAGACTAAAAACAGAAGAATAGTAAATGATGTAGCAAACAGGAGGCAGGGCAAACCTAAGCAGGTGCCAAGGAAAAGAACAACAACTAGCAGCCAATGAGCCTCAAATACCCTGGAAATGTTGACAAGCTAGGTTTAAAAAGTAGCAATAGTAGGGTTGAGGTTGGGCTGGAAACAGGAGTATTAGAAAGTGTCAACAGTCAGTCCCTGGCATTCCTACTCTTATCCATTAAGCCCCAGCAACTATTGCCCCCCAATTCCCACTGGATAAGGACCAAGACGAAGAAGAGAGACTGCAGACTCAAGAGACACCAGGAACCAAGGAGTGAAGAGGTTAAAGGGAGAGGACATGATTAAGTAGAAGTACGTATATAGAACAATGAACATCTCTGCTTCCTTCACTTGACCAGTTCTAGAACATAACAACCAGGTTTACACCCGACTTCCCAAACAAAAAGAGTTATGAACCAGTTTTTAGTGCCATGCTCTTCAAAGTGAACCAAAATGTAAGGATTAGTGGACATTTGAGGGAAGGCTCCATCATGAAAATATGAATGTAGAGAGTTGAGGAACTCTTATAAGTAGAACAAAAAAGATTTTTTTGTTCTTAGAGAAAATATAAGAAAATTAATAGATTAATTTAAGTGGTCCAAGATACAACCAGTGAGTTCCATAGAGAGCAGGAAAAAGTACAGCAAAGAAATTATCAAAGAAATGACACAAGAGTACTTCCCAAAACTGAAAAGACATGAGTCTTTGGATTATAAAGCACAAATGCCAAGTACAATGAATAAAAGTAAAAACAATAAAAAAATATTTTTTGAGGTATATAATTATGGAATATCAAAACACCAGGAATGATTCTAGGGGGAGGAGTTACATTCAATAGATCATAGATAATGGTATCACACCATGGGCACCACAGAAGACACTAGTGCAATACTTCAAAAACTCTATCCTAGAATTACCCACCAAAATTATCAATCATGTACAAGGATACACATGCAAAATCTCAAAAATGTTACTCCCATGCACGGTTTCTCAGAAAGTTATTAAAATGTGTTTCACACACACAAAAAGGAAGGAGTACATCATGAAAGAAGAAGACCTAGAATCCAAGAAAGGAATGCTAAGCTGAAGATGAAAGACTGCCAGAGCAGAGCCAGGCAAAAGAGCTAGAGAATTCAACAGTCCAGGCTGGAACAGGAGGGAAAATGACTCCAGGAAGGATTATTCTAGGAAAACAAAAACAAAAACAAAAATAAAGCAACAACAACCCGACAAAAATCAGCACTGACAGATAATGTGACAGACTTTATGGTATAGAAAATTATACAGAGGCATCTTACAAAACTGCAAAATGAGGGAAGGTATGGAAAGTGTTAATCAGGGATTTAAAAACAGAAACAAGAAACTAAGTAAATTTAAAATGAAATTATTAAAATCAGGAAAAGCTTTTTTCAGGAAAGTACTGTTAATTGACTCAGCAAAGTACACTGGAAAGATAAGATGATTGAAAGATGAATGAAGAGAGCTAAGATCTTCAACTGTCATAACGCAGTATCTGTAAATGAATAATGCTAGAGATGGCAGAAGTTACAACTAAGTTTTTCTCATATGCCTTTTTAGCATTATTTGACTTTTAAAATATATATTGATGAAAAGATAGGCTGACATGAAAATGGTATATACATCATATTCTAAATGCAAAAAAATTAGTAGTAGCAATTAAAGCTATATGACTGCTGATGAGTCAGATGAAGAGGGCATCAGGGGAGTGGTTGCACATAAGCTGAAAGCAAGGTAGGAATTCCAGGGTGCTGTTACTTCAAAGTAATGATATGAACAAAAAAAGCTCTATACCAATCCACCATTATCATCATACTGCTTAATATCACATCTAGCATAGTAAGCGGCCAAAAACTATTCTGTAAATAAATATGCGAGTAGGATAGTTTTTATACTATGATCAGTATCTAACAGACAAACATGGCTAGAAAGGAAGGTCCATGGAGAAGACTGGTAAGAGCTAAGGCTAATGAAGCAGACAGAGGCCAGATCACAGAAGACTCAACTGTCAAGAAATCTGCATTTGATCCTATAGGCAACCAAGACATGCCAAAAAGTTTTTAGCAAAGAGGTACTTGAATAATGTAATGTTGAAAGATTAATCACAATATGGACTGGAAATGGGGGTGAAGAAAGATATAAAAACACCTGTGAAAATACATGAGAAATGTACAGGAAAAAGAGTCAGGATTTTCCAGCAAGGCTAGAACAAATATTAAGGTTTCTGAAAGCCATATCAATCATTAAAGCCTTTTCTCCTTAGTGAAAAATAACATGGTAGGATATTTTCTGGCCATGTAATCCACCCATAAGTGTACATGCCTGAATTACTTTGCCTGTTGATGACTTTTTTCTTAATCTTAGTCTGAAAAATTCTGACCAGTCTATTTTTTAGAAATGCTATATCCAATAATGATAGAACAAAGTATTAAATATCAATTAAAATACAATTACCAATATGGTGTGCCAATGAAAGACTTCCGTTTGGCAATTGTAGCTGTTATCTGTGCAGATACTCCAAAATCAGCTATTAAAAAAAATGAGAAACATTTAGGAAACTGAGAGAAAATAAAATTGTTTAAGGCAACATAAAAAGAAACTTTTAAAAGTTATTTTTATTAAGTTAATTTTACAGCAATACGGGATATTCTCAAACATCACATTACAAATTTTAACCTTAATGGACTCGCATTAAAATATCACAAAGTAGTGAATACATATCACAGCCAAATAAGATTCCCATATATCCCCACATAAATCAAATAACAAAGGTCAAGATCAAATAATTTTGAAGAGAAAGTGATAGCTGAGAGAATGTAAATTGCCAAACTTATTAATATTGTAATTTCTAATTCTCAGGACCAGAAATCCAAGGAATATCACTGGAAGGGATCTTTAAGAGACATTATATTCCATTCACTTTCTCCATACCCATGATTGACATCAGATAAACCAGTAAGTCTACTTGCAGCTTGAAAAGACATCCAATCAGAATATCCCCAAACTTAACAATACATTTAGTACCAGTATCAGTCACTATCAGGAAATTATTTTTATGTATGATTTGTTACTATTCTTTTAGATAAGTATTTGGAGATCTAATATTTTCTAGTTTACTAATGATGACTTCTAAAACCTTCTCAAGTAAGATATATTATAAATAGTATGTCTTTGAGTGAGGCACATCACACTGGCACAAAATATTAAACTGCTGATAAAAACTGTTCACTAAGCAATCAATAGATAACTAAAAAGAACAGGACATATCTTTTCTGCTTTTCCCATATTTAGAAGTCACGGAGGAAATTTTTATTATATGTTAATTTCTAGATACATATTCTTAAATCTGATTAATCTCACAGGTTATAGTTCAAAATAGTTATATCTATATTTTTATAAAATGCTTATTTTTAATTTGGGTTTATCTAATAGATATAGTTTAAAATAACTGTTTTCTATTTGTTATTAACTATTTCATTTAATACTAACAAATATGACTTTGTTCATAAAACTATAACGAACACTTGTTCTTAAACTTGCAAATTAAGTCATTATTTAGGTTTTGAACTCTATTTTAATTGAAAATTTAACAACCTACAGTTACAAAATGAAATATGTTACTGTTTGAAATAAAGCAACATTCAGCATCTAAATTACATTCTTAAGTAAGTAATGCTGTATTTTATTTTAAAAGCTTTATGTGAAGAATAAAGTGTTTTTGGAGTTACTGATTTTTTGATATTTGTCTTATTTTTTGGTTACAAGGTAATTCTGTACAGATTTCTTACTATTACAGAAGTCACATTCCTGGGTTTAGAGGTGAAAGAATTCAGAAAGGGTATTCTTTCACAGTATCTTTACAACAGATATGTCTTATGTGAAGGACAGACTTTATCCCTGTTTAAGAGAAGTGGATGCAGAGAGGTGACAGCATGGCAACGAGATTTCCATCTAAAAATACACAGATGCCGTCTTAGGAGAGGGAAAACCTGGTCCTACAAAGGAAAACATAAACTTTACTATATCTTAGAATAGATTTGTGCACGTGACAAAATTCCAATTTACTTACCCAATTTCACATGACCATTATCCGTTAATAGAATGTTAGCTCCCTTCAAAGTAACAATATTTTAGTTAGAGTAGGAAATAGATATTTTATCAGACAGCACATATATAATAAATATACATATTTAAAATAATCACAGCCTTAGACCTAGAAATACTTAAAGTGTGCTTAATTAAAATGTCGTATCATTAGAGTCATAGGTAAATCTACTGTCCACTTTTTAGGCAACTTGACTATCTTTATAAAATGTTCTGCCTTGCAAAAAAGCTGCTACTAACATAGTATGAATGTTAATATAAAAGTGATATATTAGTTTTCATCAAAATGTTATTTCCTCATTGATCAAACACTATCACCACACTATAATGTAACCGTACAATGCATTTTCAACTGTTTACATTACACTTTAAACTTGATTATTGTTTCCCATTTTTGTGTGTGTGTGTGTGTGTGTGTGTGTGTGTGTGTGTGTTTTTAAAAGAACCTCCCTTTCTAGGAACTCACCATCAATTGAACCAGGGTTGGTATGTGAGACTGTACCTTGCTGCTTAGTACATGAGGTTGTCTATCCTAATGTGCCTTACCAAGTGCTTAGGCCCATCCAGTACATAAACAACTAGCCACAGGCCCACAAAATTAAAATGTCACCCCTCTGCATGATCTGGTTGCATTTTAGCCACTTTTGCTTCTTGATCTAAGCTCAAAGTAGATAATGATGACTTCATCTTCAATAAGCTCAAAGCTTTTGGAAGAGATAGCAATACTATATCCCAAAGGTATTGTGGGCTCTTTGGTCCAAGGTGCCATCAATCATGTAAGTATGGGTTTGGTGGAAAAAATACTGGGAACCCTCCTACTCTCAACCAACATGAGGAAAAAACAGTAAAAGACTGGCACAGGAGACAGGGGGTTGGGGAGAAAAAAAAAGGCTCCTAAACTCCAAATGTCACCAGTGAAGCTGAGCTGCACCCACCCACTGATACTACTGTAGCTCTGTGGAATAGTAGGGGAAGGAGAAAAAGGAAAGAGACTAGGAGCAGGGATTTTAACTTGATCTAGTACCTAGCTATCTAAGACTTCTGTCAGAGGCTTCAGTTTGGCCTTTCTTCAGCTCAGACTAACTTTCCTAAGTTATAGCTTATAATCACATCACTTGTACATTATGGCCTTTCTCTCCTCCCTCCTTTCCCTCCCTGAGAGGCTACTAGTAGTCAGGTGCTATTTTAAGCTCTGGGGTTACAATAATGAGTAAGTTCCAATTCCCATGGAGTTTACATCCAAGTAGGAGGAAAAAACTTAAAATAAATATATTTATCATCTATGAATGAATGAATCAACAAATGATTCAAAGTCAGGTAGAAATAATTACTCTGAAGACACAGCAGGGAAGGCCTCTCCAAAGGCAGTAATATATGAGCAGAGATCTGGGTGAAGTAAGGGTACAGAGCCACACCAAAATCTGGGAGAAGACTATTTCAGGAAAGGAGGAGGAAATTTGAAGACCTGGGGCTAGAATGAGCTCAACATATTCTAAGATCGGCAAGTTTAGTGTGGCTGGAAAAGAATGAGTAAAACAGAGAAACCTGGAGTATAAGATGAGGTCACGGAGAAATGCATGGGTCAGACCACGTATAACCTTGCAGGTCATGGTAAAGGCATCTGGACTTTATACTGAGTACAATGGGAAAGCAATGGTGGTTTATAAGCAGGAGAGTGATAAGATATGGTTGAAAAGGTCCCTTTGGTCGCCAAGCAGAAAAGTGACTACAAAACCACTAAGAATGGGAGCATTGAGACCACTCAGGCTATTACAAAAGACCACATGATATAATATTATGGTGGCTTAGACAGGAGTAGAAATGGTGGCGATGACCCAAATCAAATCAACCCAATTAGGCCCAGACTCTGAAGTCTAGCACACAAGTCCTTGCATAATGGAACATCAAACTACCCAACCAGTCCCATCTCTAATTAGTCTCATACATTCTCTTCTCTTCAATAATATGGTACAGTTTTTATGTTCTCTAAAATGGCCTCACACTTTCTAACTTCTGTATCTGCTCACATTGTTTTCTCTGCTTGAAATGTACTCCAACTTCCATTTCTGACAAAAATCTGTCAATCCTCCCAGATCATCTACATGCCAATGACACAGAACCTTTCTTGAGCTGCTCATCTTCCTGTGAGCTCTTCTACCTTTGAACTCCAAAAGCTCTTTATGTCTTTTAAGTGGATCACAAAAAAATACCTTCAAACAAGGGATCTCAGCAGGTTATCTGCGAGTCCATTGAAATTTCTTGGAAAATTTGAAGACATGCGCATAAGGGCATTTTCTCAGAAGACAGTTCATAGTTTATCATCAGAAACCCAGAGGACAGTAAGATTTGCCCCAGCCTCTATCCTCAAAAAAGGTTAAAAATCTTTATGTTAGAGAAAATGTTAGAAAACAAAAGGGGAAGAGAGAAATATGAGGAAGGATGAACAAAGAAGGCACAAGAAAAATAAGTGAAAGAAAAAAAATCTAAACTGGGGAGATGGCAGTATCTTTAGAAATATGCTAAGGATTCCTACCAGAGCACATGCTGTACCACTGGGCTAACCCCAGCACATTCAGAGCACCTGCTCTCCTTTGCCAGCTAAATAAATAAAAGACTATGAGAAGGCAGGACACAGTGGCTCACGTCTGTAATCCTGGCACTTTTAGGAGGCCGAGGTGGGATGATCACCTGAGGTCAGGAGATCGAGACCAGCCTGGCCAACATGATGAAATCCTGTCTTTACTAAAAATATGAAAATTAGCCAAGCATGGTGGCAGGTGGCTGTAATCCCAGCTACTCGGGAGGCTGAGGCAGGGGAATCACTTGAACCCGGGAGGGGAGGTTGCAGTGAGCCGACATCGTGCCACTGCACTCTAGCCTGGGCAACAGAGCGAGACTCCATCTCAAAAAAAAAAAAAAAAAAAAAAAAAAAAAAGACTATGAGAAAGTGTCAAAGGTCAATTTATCCATTTTGATGCATTACTAAGACTTAGACTTAAGACTGCGAAAGCTCACTGAAATAGTCAAAGCATAAAACTTACTAAAAACTATAACTTGATGAAAGCTATAAGCTTACTCTGCATTTTACTAATCAATAACTACAAAGAAGCTAAAATGAGTTATTAAAACATTAATCTACTGAATGATATACTTTAAAAGGGTGAATTTTATGGTATGTGAATTGTGCCTCAATAAAGCTGCTATAAAAAATTAAACTATTAAAAGTATCACTCATTTTTATTATGGTAACATTTCAGATGCATTTATCAAATAAAACAATTTTGCTCAAAACAATTTGATCAGAGTATTTAAAAATGAAGAGAGGGTTATTATGTTAAAAATATAATGTATACCTTTATATCTCTGTGCATTTTTCCTTTACTGTGAAGATAATATAATCCCTGGAGTTTCAAAAAACAGAAAAATAAACAAGATTTTATCAAAGAGCACTCTTTTGGATTTTATGTAATCAAATGGGTAGTATTCTGTGTATTTTATTTAATCTTTACAGGAGATCTAGTACTAATCATTAACATATTTTAATGAGATATCCTAAAAAAAGATCAAGAAAATGACTAATTTTTCTAAGAAAATTTTCAGTGAATTCTACAAATAGTTTGAAATAACTTTTAAAAAGTATATACCTAATTAGTATCAGAGTGTTTGAATTCCCATGATAGTGCTTAATTTTCAAGCCTTTCTTTGGTATTAAGAGGAAAATATACAATAACAGATGCATAGTGCTTAAATTTTAGGTTATATCATCACATTTATGCTTTAAAGTATTTATTTGTAAATATAATTTGAGTTCATTACACAATTTTCAAATGTATTAAAACTCATTTTAAGAGTTTACCAAACTAAAATATTTAGTTCTTACTTTGCTGAACAGGTAATGCACAGTAAGTAAAGCCTTAGTTTAATGAAAAATGTTATTTTTGAATTAGCACTTGATTTACCTGCAGTGTTTCTCTGCTAACATATGCAATTTGCAGTTCTGACAGAGGTCCAGTTACTGTAAAAGAAGACAATTAATACTCATAAAATTAGTCAACGCATGTTTTTCAATATATAATAAAGTTTTACAAGTTTAAGCAACAGACTTAATATCCCTAAACAATTCTACTGAAATGTAAGCTAGGACTACAGGCATGAATTACTACTGTCCTACTGTGCCTGGCTCCAGTTTTTTTTTTTTTTTTTTTTTTTTTTTTGAGACAGGGTCTCATTATGTCACCCAGGCTGGAGTGTAGTGCAATCACAGCTCACTGCAGCCTCGACCTCCTGGGCTCAAGTGATCCTCCCACCTCAGCCTCTTGAGTGGCTGGGGGCATAGGTGCATGCCACCACACCTGGCTAGTTTATTTTTCATTTTTTGCAGAGATGGGGTCTCATTATCTTGCCCAGGCTGGTATTGAATTTCTGGGCTCAAGCAATCTTC
The DNA here is from genome assembly GCF_000001405.40 of Homo sapiens. Taxonomy (NCBI): domain Eukaryota; kingdom Metazoa; phylum Chordata; class Mammalia; order Primates; family Hominidae; genus Homo; species Homo sapiens. Next base: position 39,338,008 of record NC_000002.12, read on the forward strand.
CTGCCTCAGCCTCCTGAAGTGCTGGAATTACAGGTGTGAGCCACTGTGCCCAGCCAATTTTTTGCTTTTTAAAAATCTGATTTGCTCATTGTTGTATCTCCAGTGTGCAGAACAGTGCCTGGCACAGAAAAGCAGCCTGATAAATATTTATGGAATGAATGAATGTCTAAAGTAGTCACTGAAATTAATTATATTCTCATTTTTATATCTCATTCATCAATATCATCTCTTAAACATCAAAAGAAACGATGTCCAATAGGTTTAGCTGGCTTTTATTAAAGCTTTTTAGTTGATATAGAACATGTATTATGACTAGTTTTAAATCAATACTTCTTATAAAAATATTAGCCAGATAGCTATAAAATTAATACATGTTCACTCTAAAGTTCCAATCAATAGAAAAGTTTGGAAATTAAAGGTCTCTTCTTTATCCAAAATGTTACTCAACAGTAAGCAATACCAATAGTTTGGTCTATAACCTACCAGACTATTTTAAACGGACATTTTATAAACTATTTGTATCTCAGAAACTTTACATAAGTGGAATCATACAATTCTGAAACCTACTCTTTTCACTTACGATGAACACCTTTACATCAATATATAGGTCTTAATCTTATAAGTAATATTTCCTGTGTATGCATCTGCTAAGTCCCTCCAGAACTCACGTTGAAACTTAATCTCAAAGAGGCAGGACACTGAGGAGGAGATTAGGTCATGAGTGCTCCTCCCTTGTGAAGGAGATTAAGACTCTTAATAAAAGAGACTTCAAGCAGTGTCTACTCTTTTTTGCCCTTCCATCTCTTCTGCCATGTGAGGACACAGTGTGTGTGCACTCTATGAGAAATGGGTCCTTGCCAGACACCAAACCTGTTGGCACCTTGATCTTGCACTTCCCAGCCTCCAGAAGTGTGAGAAATAAATTTCTGTTGTTTATAAATTACTCAGTCTCAGGCATTTTGTTATAGCAGCACAAACAGAGCATCTGTACACTAAAATAGTTTTCTTTTTCACTATTAAATCACTTTAGAATAAAAAGTGGGAGAGACTATTCTAGAAATTGAATTAAATTCCAAGGATAAAAACCTTGGCTAGATAGTAAACTCACATTTACACAAACTTAACAGATTTGTAAACATGTTTAGTTTGGAGTACTTGTGGTATTTTACAATTATGAAAGAGAGAAATCTATTCCAATTAGATTATTTTAAGGACCGGGTTGGGTTTAAATGTCTATGGATAAACCATGTAACTTATTTCTGTGGCTTCCAAGCCCACACACATTCAGTAAGATAAACCTCCTTGAGATTTCTGTTTCTATAATATGATAAATAAGATAATCTGAAAACCCTGAAAATAACACTTGGAAGTGAAAGACAATTTTTTTTTCAGAAATAACCTTTTCAATTACTAGCTAACTTTACAAACAGTAAGATACTTTCCCAGGAGACAAATGAAAAACAGAAGGTAAAACTGTGAAAGAATATTCTAGCTGTCTCTTAGGGGAAGGTTAATCCTGGTAAGCTAGGGCTTTAGCATTATCCTCTACATGGGTACAGAAGACAAGGCCCTAGGTATGCAGAAGAGCTAAAACAAACACCCACATAAAACCAGAAGTCTCAGAGGGCTACATCCTCATTAAAGGTGTAGACAAGCACGACGATAACTAGGGATTTTGGCTGTCATAGGGATGGAGGAAACATGCCTCCTCTTAGAATTTGTCACCATAGGCCTCCTTACTCAGGTTGAGCATTCAAATATATATTGGAAACAATGAGGTCACCAGGATCCCAGAAAAAAAACAACAACAACCCAAAAAACAAAAACAAAACTCTGGAAGGACACATCTTCAAATGCCACATAGAATTCCCACTGAAAAACCTCACTAAAAATGATCTCAAAATCCAAAATTATAAAATAAGTGAGAAAATAATTAACCATAAAGATATAACGGGTTGTGGAAAGTTATTAAAGAACAATATTAAATAAACAAACACAAAAAGCTCAATGGAAAATAGAAAAAAATCCTATTATGTTGGAACAATAAAAGGTTCTACTGTTAGTTCTTCAAAGTAAAAGTAAATAAAAGTTAAAGGGGAAACCTTGCAAGCACTAGGATTATTAAAAGAACTTCCCCTTCATTAAATAAATTATTCCAGGATATAATACTCTCTCTATATAATGACAATGTGATAAAAAAGAGGCAGAAGAGAGAGACACATAGAAAGAAATGGAGGTACGTGTCCTACATGACCGTGCAAGTATACAACACCATAGACTAGCCAAAGATTATTACACATTGCCACGAAAAGGTTATTTGGTGAAAACATGGGTACAGCCAAAAGAGTGAACACAGAGAAAGATAGGATTTGGGGTTCTGCATAAGCATATGAATCCCCAATATTCATATATGAGAACATCCAGGGTACCTGAAAACTGCCATTTTTTTCCACTGAGCCAGTTGCTGACCAGTATAAATAAATCAGTATTGACGAATTCATATTACTTTGTTACTTTTACCAGTTAGGTTGAAATGGAATGGTAAGAATCATGACAACCTATTTCTGTAACGAAACTGGTCTTGCTTCTTAATGAAGAAAGCAGAATCAGACACCTAAGACCAATCATATGGATATATGATGAAATCACTAAACAATCTGAGAATGACTAAAAAAAGGTACGCCTTAAAAACTAAAGATGTAAAAGAAGGAATGAAAACTGTAAGAATAAGACACAAAGGAAAAAATAATGGAGGGAGATATAAAATAGAACCAAATAATTTCTAGACATGAAAATATATGGTAACCAAAAATAAAATCTAATGGATGTTCTAATACAGCTGTAAAATCAGTAAACTGGAAGATAGATATGAGTATCTCCAGGCTCTCCTGAAGGATAAAAAACTGGTAAATAGGAAATTGAGTTGAAGAGACATGAAGACCTACTGTACATCTAACTAAGATTCTAAAGGAGAGATCGCAGATTGGGGGAGAAAATATTTGAAGACATAATAATTGATAATTGTCCAGATGTGATAAAAGAGCAAAATTCACAGAGGTAAGCCTGTTAAGTCCCAAGCAGAAAAAGTAAAAATAAACCCATTCTTAGGCACCAGAAATTAAGAGAAAAAGACAAAAAGCAATTAGAGATAAGAACAGATTACCTGCAAAGGATCAATAATTAGACTGACAGAAGGTTCTAATAACCATAGAAGCTAAAAGACAATGGCCCACCTTCTTCAAAATGCTGAAAGAAAATACCTGTCAACCTAGAAAATACCTATCTATACCCACTTAAATAATCAACTAATACTGAGGGTCAAACACTGAGGAAGTTTACCACTAAAATATCACTGAAAAAACTTCAGGAGGCCGGGCGTGGTAGCTCATGCCTGTAATCCTAGCACTTTGGGAAGCTGAGGTGGGCGGATCACAAGGTCAGGAGTTCAAGACCAGCCTGGCCAATATGGTGAAACTCCATCTCTACTAAAAATATAAAAATTAGCCGGTGTGGTGGCAGGAACCTGTAGTCCCAGCTACTCAGGAGGCTGAGGCAGGAGAATCACTTGAACCCGGGAGGTGGAGGTTGCAGTGAGCCGAGATAGCACCACTGCACTCCAGCCTGCGCGACAGAGCAAGACTCCGTTTAAAAAAAAAAAAAAATTCAGCAAAAGGGAAATTAAACCAATTAGTAAGGAAATCAATAATAGAGAAATTCACCCAAATTCCAACCAAAAAAAAGTGGAATAGCCATTTGAATTTCTAACATAGAAATTACAAGCTTCTAGAAATACTGTTTTGTCATGTAAAATAATGCCAGATATCTCTTCATTTTCACTGAATCTTTGAAATCAAAATGCCACAAATAATAAAGAAAAGTTTCTCAAATATTTATCAAAGAACAACTATACTTAATTAAAAGTATCCTTAAAAAGTAACTTTTCATAAAGCAGAAACCTTCTCATACTCTTTCACCTGGTCTTCAAGGCTCTCCCTATTCGACCCCACACCCACACCAACAAGAGTGATCACACATGAGTCACACCTTCATGTTACTGTGCCAAGGCTTCATCTCTGAAAATGCACTTCTTTGTCTTTCTAGTATTATTATTATTATTATTATTATTATTATTATTATTATTATTATTTTGAGACAGAGTCTCGTTCTGTTGCCCAGGCTGTAGTCCAACGGTGCAATCTTGGCTCACTGCAACCTCCGCCTCCTAGGTTCAAGCAATTCTCCCGCCGCAGCCTTTGGAGTAGCTAGGATTACAAGCACCCACCATCATGCCCAGCTAATTTTGGTAGAGATGGGGTTTCACCATGTTGGCCAGGCCAGTCTTGAACTCCTGACCTCAGGTGATCTGCCCGCCTCAGCCTCCCAAAGTGCTGGGATTACAGGCATGAGCCACTGCACCCGGCCCTTCATCATCCTTTTTCTACCGAGTTTACCTATCTTTTAAAGACCAATGTAAGTAGCTTATTTTCTTTATTAAGTTTTCTAAAATGATTCCAGAAAATCCATCATTTCCTTTTCCCTATTTCAACTGTAATCCCAGTAAAATACTATTATGTCAATCTTTATGTTAAGTAAAACCTATGCCAAGAAGATAAAGTGAAATGAAGTAAAATAGAAACAGTAAAATTCTGACCCAAATAGTCTTACATCTCTGCTTTAGTGTAATTCACCCCTCAAATTACTTAAGTGGCCCCACACTAGAAAATAGGAGCCCAAATTCTATGAAAAAATGAGAAAAAAGGTCCACAATATTTTCTCAGAAAATAGACATTAAATAGATATTATTTTATTTTACATTAATCAAAAGCCTACTCTACAGTTTGTGACAATAATCCACTAATAGAAAGAGAAAAGGAAGAAAAAGAAAAGGCTATTTTACTTTACAAATCTCTTATACACTCCTTGAAATCCCAGTGAAAAATGTTTTAATCATTTTTGAATCCCTCGGAATCTGGCAGTATCTAAGAGAATAAACATTTAATTGATATTTCTTGAATACATGAGAGCAAAATAAATTATCTTTGTATTATCACTACTCATGTATACACTGGATATTTTACCAGCTTAGCATTAGCCAGCAAAGCCCTTGAATTTTTACAAGTCTGAGTTTAAATTTTTGAAATGACTACAATATGCCTCTGCAGAATTAGCAAATAATTCAAATGCATTTAATTTTCCAAATTAAAAAGCAAAGACTCCTCCTTTCTTCCACCTATATCTAAAATACCTTTATATAGCCAAACAATATAACAATAAAACATAGCTTGCTTTCCTTAAGATAATGTTGATGTTTTAATATAGTAAATAGCTGTATTTTAAGAAATTCAACCTAACCCCTATAAAAATACAACTTTGGTCTTACCGTGATAAATATCCTGTAAAGAACCACCTCCACAAAACTCCATGCAAATCCAAAGCTTATCTCGCCTATAAAGAGAAAAGAAGCATGTATCATATTTTCATGATTAAAACTGTCTGTGTGAGGTAACAAGTATTTTAAGGTTGTAAGCTGTAACACTGAAAAACAACAAATGCAATGTGTTATCTTTAAAATAACTAATTAATCTTTATGAGTAATGAATTACTTAATATAATGTGTTACTATAATCCAACCTGAGGTTTTAAACTTATAATACACCATTTGTTGGATATAAAGCTGTTATCAGGCACATCCAAATAATGAAAATACTTCCCTTTAGTTAAAAACTTCTCCTCCCCAAAAGTTTATACATCTACCCAGATTCTTCACAGACAAATGGCAATAAATCTCAAAGTATACTACTTTGATAGCACTCTCATCAACAAAACAGGCAAAATATAAATGTTAGCTTCATATCTAGATTCAACAGTGATTTTCCCAAAACAGTCTTAAAATTTATCACTCACTTCTCTTTAGATAGCACTTCTCTCTCATACTCAAATTATAAGCTGTTGTAATCATATAGTCATAGGAGAAATAATCAGCTGTGATTTATATAGGTCATTCCTTTGTTCAGTCATTCATTATTTAATCTCTTAAAAATGTACCAGGAAATGTACCATTCATGGTACAGAGATGGGACAGAAAATCCCTGAACTCAGCAAGCTCTAATGCAGAAGAAAGATTCTACCTTAATATATGTCTGTCTCTCTCACCACTGCCTTCTTAGTGTCTAGAAGAATATCCAGCAAATAATATTTGTTCCATAAATGAATGATTGCATGAGTGACTGAAAGAATAAACATATCGAATTAGATTGAGGTCAGGAAAATATGGCCAGCGGACCAAATCTAGCCTGCTGCCTGATTTTGTACACCTCTGCAACTATGAATCGTTTTCCTATTTTAAAATGGCTGGGAATGGTTGTTACTTGTAACTACAATTAATAAATAAAATGGTTGAGAAAATAACAAAAATATTTCTTGACATATGATGATTGTATGAAATTCAAATTTTAGTGCCAATAAATAGTTTCATTGGAACACAGTCATACTCATTTATTTCTATACTGTATGGCTGCTTTCACGCTAGAACAGAAGAGCTTAGTCGTGGTGACAGAGACCATGTAGCCCACAAAGCCTAAAATATTTACTATGTATCCCTTTATAGAAAAAGTCTGCTCACTTGGGTTAGATCATAATTTGATGAATGCATAATCCAGGCATGTATAAAGTACTGTGGGAACCCAGAGATGAAAATACCTAGGAAAATGAATGGAAAGTTTTAGGGAGGAGAAAACATTTAAATTGGGTCTTGAAATTAAAGTAGAAATTTACCAGGGAGAGACAGGAAAGGGACCTGTGCAAAAGAATGAAAACTTGAAAGAAATGCACATGTGGGAGACTGTGGGTGATTTAGTGGGAGTTGAAGAAAGACTGCCTGAAGAGACAGTAGCAGGAAATAAACCCAGAATAGGCTGGGTCACACTGTGAAACAATCCTATGTTTACTAGCTTCTCAGTTTAGTTACCTTCCTGTAGATAATCTCTAGTCAGTCCTTGTGTCTCTTAAAATGTGGCACCCAAAAAATCAAGTACTAAGATTCTGAGTGTTACATGAACAATACATTAAAAAGTGGAGATGCTGAGCCAGGCCCAGTGGCTCACACCTGTAATCTCAGTAACACAGGAGTCTGAGGGAAGAGGATTTCTTGAGGCCAACAGTTTGAGACCAGCCTGGGCAACACAGTGAGACTCTCATCTCTTAAAAAACAAACAAAAAAAGTTAGCCAGGAGAAGTGGTGCATACCTGTAGTCTCACCTACTCAGGAGGCTGAGGCAGGGTGCAGGGGGTCGGGGGGAAGGTGCAGGGCGGGGCGGGGCGTATTATTTGAGCCCAGGAGTTCGAAGTTATAGTGATCTATGATAGTGCTACCACACTCTGGCCTGGGTGACAGACCGAGATCTGAATCTTAAAGAAAACAAAAAAGCAGAGATGCTTTTATCAGCCATAGGTCACATATGGTTGGGTAGTAGCAGAATTAGCTGGACCTAAGAGGTGAGCTGACTTGACCGTAGTGGACAAGGTAGCATACAAAAAGAAAGCACAAGCTATCAGAGCGCAAAGGTCAACCAACTTAAGAGTATGAAGTAGCAAGGTATCATGATTCTAGAAAATAATGCTAAAAAGAGTGGGCCAGATGCAGTGGCTCACGCCTGTAATTCCAGCACTTTGGGAGGCCGAGGCGGGCGGATCACGAGGTCAGGAGATCGAGACCATCCTGGCTAACACGGTGAAACCACGTCTCTACTAAAAATACAAGAAGAAATTAGCCAGGCGTGGTGGTGGGTGCCTGTAGTCCCAGCTACTCGGGAGACTGAGGCAGGAGAATGGCATGAACCCGGGAGGCGGAGCTTGCAGTGAGCAGAGATCGTTCCACTGCACTCCAGCCTGAGTGACAGAGCTAGACTCTGTCTCAAAAAAAAAAAAAAAAAAAAAAAAAAAGAGTGAAGCCCAAAATAAATCTGAAGCCATCCAGGATCTGCAATTCATAGGTGGTTCACATAACAATGAAATTGAAGCATACAGCTGATATAAAAATTTGTTTTAATTTCTAATATGGTAAATACCAATAGCTATAAATTATATAAATATGTGCCAGCTGCCCAGTGGCCTGGTATTAAGAACTTTCAGAATAGATGTCTGAGACTGGCAGATGTGTGGTCTTTCTAATCCCCCAGAGAATGTAACCACTATCTCCTTTATTTGATCACTGTATTTCTATTAAGTTAGCTGAAAGCTATCGTTAACTTCTCAGCAACTACATTAAACTGCTAGTTTACTGTTTGTAGTTAATCAAAACCTCTGGATCTTTATAAAACAAAAGGCAGACCAGTTCTCTCTCCAGCTTCATATTTGTCTACCTGGTTCAATGACACTAAGCATAGGACTTTTTTCTTATTTGTTAAATCTTATACTTAAAAAAAAATAGTAGTTTTGATTCATTTCCCTTTGTTTTTGACAGGTGTCTTATTAGCTCTCCCAGCATATCACTTTAAAATGCTTCGGCAAAGAAAGCATCACACACATTGCATTAGGTTTAATCCACACCCTTGGGGCAGTGAGCTAACTTTTTAAAGTATCCTAATTGGAAATACACCTCTCCACTCCTGCTCCCAACCCCCACAATCCAGAAGCAGTTGGTTAGCATCTGAACGAACCTAAATCAGGAGTCCACCCTCCAGAAGCAGCAATTGTAAGAACTTGGCTTATAAACTATTTTAATCTGCACTAGTGGGTTTACTAATGAGCTTAAGTAATATTACAAATATTTTAAAACATGAAAGACACTCTATGCAGATTACTTAGAATTACCATTTGGCACTTCTCTGCCTCTGCCTGAGATATAAAGGCTCTGGCAAGTCAACAATATTTGGAATGCTGCTTAGGCTCCAATTTGGATATATCTAGAATGCAGGATTCCATAACCTGATCTCTATAGGTTAGTTGAATCCTTCCTCTAAAAGAGTGAGTGGTTCTCAAAGTGTGATCTGGAGGTCCCATGAGAGTCCCTGAGACATTTTCAGAGGGCCACCAAGGTCAAAACCATTTTAATAACACTAAGAAATTATCTGCTCTTTACATTCTCTTTCTCTCATGAGAGTACAATGGAGTTTTCCAGAGACTACATGAAGTGTGAAAATGACGTCATCCCTGACAGCTACTGGAATACGAGCTTATGTTGTATTCTTGAGTTTTAAAAATGTCTCAGCTTTAATTTCTAATATGGTAAATATCAATAGATATAATTCATATAAAACAAAAGCTCTCTTGCGGTACTCAGCAATTTTTAAGAGTATAAAATAAAGGGGTTCTATTACCAAAATGTTTTGAGAACCATAGCTCTAAAATATCTTCACATCTGCCACAAGTGAATCTTTCATGTTAAATGCCAGCCTAGAGTTCTTAAGATGCAAGCAACTAGGACTTCACACAGCTTACAAAAAACAGGTTGAATGACTGTTCTGGGGTCTGCTTAGAATTAACAGAATAACATGTAAACTGCTTAGTAAAGGACCTGGAATATAGCACAATAAATGTAAGTTGTTTTCTACTCCTTTTGTTATAATTTATATTGTAGTGTACAAGTCATCTTAATTTAAGTGTAGTGTAACTTAAATTAACTTGTAGTGTAGTGTAGTATAACTTAAATTAACTTGTAAATTAACTTAAAGATGTTTAAGTCATCTTAAATTGCTCCTGGAACTCGGTGAAACTATAAATAAATAAATAAATTTTTTTCTTTTTTAAGGAAAAAAGAGAGATGGGATTGATCAGGCATATATTCTTACTAAAGTCATGTTAATCACAACTTCTTTCTTATAAGTGGTCATTAATTATCTGATTAGAAATTTATCCTAGAGCTTTGCTAGTGATCAATGAGTGATATCAACTTTAATAGTCTGTATTTTCTGGAAACCAACTTCTCCCTTCATTTACAAACTGTTCATTGTTGATCTCTAATCTCTGATACCTCTTCTGTTTGTCAATACTCATTGATAATGGACTACCATCACATTTGCTGAACTTTCAATATGAGATATAATTTACATAAATCTAAAAGTTTCTAAAAATTTAAGGTGTCTAGCTGCTCTATAATTATCTACTCACCATCTTGTGTTTCAATTCCATCTTAATAGTGTTTTTCCTACCCCTTCCAGTTTGAAAACAATTTTCCTTGCTAGAGAAAATGAATGCAGGAAATGAGTTCTCGCTTTTTATATATTTCAATATGACACTACCTTCTACTTGAAGTTGGTCTATTCTCTTTTCTTCCTTTGCTTAAATATACAATTTTCTATTCATCCTATGTAAAATGACTTTCCAGCTTATAGGCAGAAAAAAAAATCACGACTATATAGTAATACTTTACTTTTTAAGATGCCTAAAATACTTTACTTTTATAATATTCTATTTAGTTAAAGTCTAGTATTATCCAAAAGCTTGAGTAGTCATAGTCTATTAGAGAAATGACTTTCATCTGTCCCATGAATATCTTTCTTATAATGACAAATCTACATTTGCTTTTGGTCATTCACTAAGCCATATGCCTAATAGGAAAGGACTTCAGTCAATCAGCCCATTTTATGCAGGTCAATTATAAAATCTTTGTCCCTAGGTATCTGAATTGAAATAAAATTAACCACTGAAGTAAATATTCAATGTATCAGTATTAACATCCTGATTCAACAAATCCTCAGAATTCTTTTTTCTCATTTTGTAAAATTATTTATCTTATAAGAAACAGAAAATTAAGTAGAGGGGGAAAAGTTAACTATTTTGATGTCTACCAGAGCATACAGGGACCAAAATTCTAATAGCTATTTTATGGTTCTGAAATTCTTATAATTCCTAAAACACACTTTTTAATCTTCCCACATTTTGTAACACATCACAGACTTAAAACTGACCAAACTAAGTATAATTATTTATATATTTTTCTCAAATATAGCATAATTTAAACAGCAAAATAAAATGTGACCAAGACTACTGAGGATCAGCAACTCTCTAATATCTGCCTGAAGTTGGCATACGGAGTCTTCCTCCCTGGGAGAGGATGGCTAGCTATCCTGTACACTGCAGTCCCCTGATTCCTGTACTGTACTGTGAGTTGTTGTCTTGCTGACCAAAGCAATGGCTATTCCACTATATTCAGCAAAATAATTCAACCTTAATCATCAATGAGAAAAACAAAGTTTAGTAACTGCTAGATGTTTTAATATAAATAACTTATTTAACGTGAAGAAAATTTTTAAACTTTTTTGGTTGATTTAAAAATTACTAATAAGGAAAAATAATTGCATTCCAAATTTATTTATAGGTAACCTATACCATCTGCTTTCCCTTTAATAAGGAGGGGTAAGGATGCTGTACTCAGGGGGATACAAGCTGATCTATTTCTCTATAATTATACCTAATAATCCCCCAGTGTTCAGCATAATATTTCCAAAGGGTGGGCCACTGAACATCAATCCTACATGAAGTATGCTTCCAGAAAGAAACCACCGTATAGTTAAATCAGTTTTTAAAAATATCACATAGTCTTTTCTTGAAAATTAGCAAGGCCACTGGTATATTAAAGGCTCTGAGAAATCCTGTAGTGAGAAGGCGGTTGGAGAGACAGAGGAGGGAGAAGGGAAGAGAAGGGAGAGGTAACAAAATGGAAGGATGAAGGGTACCAGAAAGAAGATAAAGTGGGAAGAGGTGGAGGAAGCGAAAAAAGAGGAGAAGGGGGATGGGAAAAGTTGAGAGGGGGAGGAGATGGAGGAGAAAGAAAAAGAAGAAATAAAACTTCTAATTCTGTTTAATTTACTATTTACCCAGATTATTTTTTCAATACACCCATTTTTTTACAAAATACATATTTGTATCCCTCAGAACTAATGATCTATAGAAAATATCCTAGCAATACTGGTAAAGGAACGTATCTGTAACTTCACCAAAGTTTTTTTGCTTAGAGTAGTAGTTCTTAACTGGGAGTGACTGTGTCCCCCAAGGAACATTTGGCAAAGCCTGGATACATTTTTGGTTGTCACAACTAGGGGAAAGGGTGCTACTGGTAACTAACAGAGGACAGGGGTACTAATATTAACAACTATCTTACAATGCGCAGGACTATCTCCCACAACAAAAAAGTATCTGGCCTTAAGTGTTGATAATGCCAAAGGTGAGAAACCCTGGCTTAAACAAATAACAAATTAACATCAACTTTCAGATATATTCCTAATTCCTCTCAAAAACAGAAAAGAGAAAGACATGAACAGAAAACTGATAAAATCCAAATAAGTATACTGAGTTTAGCTAATAGTATCGCACCAATGTTAATATCGTAGTTGTGAAAAGTGTGCCATGGCTGCGTTAAGATGTAAACATCAGAGAAAGCTGAGTGAAGGAAATACAGAGAACTCTGTACTATTTGCAACTTTTCGTAAATGTAAAATATTCCTAAACTAGAAAGTTCCCTTTTTTAAAAGCAAGAGTAGCTGGGTATAAAGTGACTTAACTGTAATCTTTATTCTCATATTCTAAGTATTCAAAAAGATATTCATAAATGTATTTCGAGTTAAGATCCAGTTGTTTCCCTTCTTAGCACTGTCTCTGGCTCTAGAAAAAATTTTTTCCCAGTTTTATATAACTCAAGAGACCAACATCTCTTTCCTGGATTACTGTAATAAATACACCATAATTAGTTTAACTAAATTGCCTCTTTTAATCCCCTCCACCCTAGGTCCATCCTCCACAGAATATACTAACTCTGTTAAAATCTTTCAGCAAGTATGCTCAGTCCCTTAGGTCCTAATTAAGGGATAAAAGATTCATTTTTGCCCATATCTCCACAACCTTATCTACTCCAACTACACGTGGCCCTCTGGAGGCCACAGGTCCAGCACCTGTGGGGTTCAACCAATCGCAGGTTCACCTAACCGGAGACTGAAAATTTTCAGAGGGGAAAAAATAAAAATAATACAACAATAAAAATAACACAAATTAATAAAGTATTACACTATTTACATAGCATTTACACTGTGTTAGGTATCATATGTCACCTAGAGATAATTTTAAACTGGAGGATGTGCATAGCTATGCCACTTTATATAAGGGACTTGAGCATTCATGGGTTTTGGTATCCACTGGGGTTCCGGAACCAATCTCTGCACATACTGAGAAGTAACTATGTACCCCCTTTTCCCTCTCAGGCTCTAATGTGAGACCAGTAGCTGTCTCCTGAATATGTCACAGTTTTTCATGCATGTGTTCCCTTTGCCAAAAATTCCAATTTTCTATACACATAAATATCTACCAATCTTTTAACACCCAATATTTGGGAATTACATCATTCACAGAGCTTTCTCTGATTCCCCTACATTGACAAAAATCAGAGAGTCTATCATCCTTAGCACTTCTGTGCCTTACTTCTAAATTATTACTGCATCTAGCATATTATGTTACGATTATTTGCTCATGCCTACTTCTCCTGTTAGATTATAAGCTCCTTAAAGGGAAGGATTAGGTTTTAGATATCTTTCTGTGGAAATCAACACTGCACTCTACATGCTAAGAAATAATGTATAAACACTTTGTAAATGGTGGTGATTTACTTATTTAAGTTGTTATGAGGTAAAGTATGCTCATCTAAACTAGTACTCTGTACTTCAAAGGTTTATTTATTTTACTTTAGTTTTGAGACAGAGTCTCGCTCTGTCACTCAGGCTGGAGTGTAGTGGAGTGATCTTGGCTCACTGCAACCTCTGCCTCTTGGGTTCAAGTGATTCTCCTGCTTCAGCCTCCCTAGTAGCTGGGACTACAGGCATGTGCCACCATGCCCAGCTAATTTTTTGTATTTTTAATAGAGATGGGAGTTTTGCCACGTTGGCCAGGCTAATCTCAAACTCCTGACCTCAGATGATCCACCTGCCTCAGCCTCCCAAATTGCTGGGATTACAGGCATGAGCCACCGCACCCAGCCCAAAAGTTTAAAATATCTATTCTAAATAGTTTTTACTGTATGGATCAAATCTTCTACTGGCTTATTGTTTAAGGAGCATTTGTTGGCCAGGCGTGGTGGCTCACAAGGTCAGGAGTTAAAGACCAGCCTGGCCAATATGGTGAGACCCCATCTCTACTAAAAATACAAAAATTAGCTGGGTGTGGTAGCGTGCGCCCGTAATCCCAGCTACTCGGGAGGCTGAGACAGAAGAATCTCTAGAACTCGGGAGGTGGAGGTTGCAGTGAGCCAAGGTCCTGCCACTGCACAGCAGCCTGGGCGACAGAGCCAGACTCTGTATCAAAAAAAATAAATAAATGAGCATTTATTGTTTTTCCCCCTAAGCTTTATTGAGTTCAAGCTTGAGAGGAATGTCTCCATTTTCTTAACTTATTCTTAAGTGATATGCTGGGCTAAGGAATGCTTAGAAGGAACCTGAAATTAATTTAAACTCATCTTTAGTTTAAAAGAAGTAATAGTTAAGCTCCAAAAGAATTGTAAAGAATAAGTCTATAATGATTTAATTCTGTTGTTTTATAAATACACAAACATATATATTCAGATACAAATACATACCAAACCGGGACTATTTAAAATTTTTAAATGTTAATGCTTTGTCTATCTACTTTTATTGTAGGTATATTAATGATATTGAACAGTGGAGTAGGAAAGGTCTTGTTAAGAAGAATGCCAGGTATTCTGCTTTATAGAAGCTCAGTTTCAGTATTTCTTCATAAGCGAGCACAGCTACCCTGATATAAAATGGACTTCTGAAACTTAATTATATGCTAGTCATCTACTAAGAAAATTCATAGGGTAAATCTGATTCTCTGAGGGGGAAATTTATCAATGGTCAAACTACATTTGCTCAGTTTTCTTAACTTTTTGTCTAAATTTGTTATACAGGTTGTAATAGCAACAACATAGAAGGAAGAATGTTGCAATGAACAGTATATATTTTACGGGGTTTCTATCAAGTTCAAACAAGATCCTCCTTTGTAAAGTCATTCAGTAATGAGAAAGAATTCAAGAAATCACGTTCCCTCTGAGACTAAATCTGGCCTTTCTGGGCTAAGCAATACAGTATGCCAAAAAAGACATCAGACTAGCTACTTGTAAAGCCAGGATTAAATCCCAGTGCCACTAATGAGACGTTGGATAGACTAAGTAAGTCATTTATACCCCACTTCATTTTCTCATCTATAACCAAGAATGGGCTATATGACAACATCTCTTAGCCCCTTACAGCTCTAACATCCTACAAGTCTAATCATTAGGATTCCCTACTCCAACCTTGGCTGAGCCTGAACTTCAATTAGGGAATAAGGGAAGAATCTCTACAGAAGAAAAGAGCAAGAGAGAGATAAAATTAATTGCTATCCTACATTATACTACCATTTACCTTCAAATCACTTTGATCAGCTATACCCATTTACAGAATAAAATAATATATTTAAATCAGTGTTTCTTAATATTAGATTGTACAACACTAAAAAGAACATAGTTTTACTGAAAAAAATGATCCTACTTTTGTCTGTTTTACTTTGGTTTCTGGGTAATTTTGCTTTTTGTATTTGGAATGAAGCAAAATCATAAAATAAAAAACTTAGATGTTAAATTCTCTCAAGAATCTTATTTGTAAAATGGAAATAATTTCTACCACAGCTATACTGCTATCCAGGTTGCTGAAAGACCAAATGAGGCACTAAAATAATGATACTTTTAAAAAGTTAAGAAGTAGTAGTAGTAGCAGCAGCAGCAGCAGCAGCAGCAGCAGCAATAGTAGTAGTAGCAGCGGCAAATACCTATTGAGCATTTATTACATTCTAAGCACTGTTCTTAGTATTTCACACGTAGTTACCCAGGAAGTACTCACACCTATCCTGTCATGTAGATATTATTATCATCTGTTTTATAGATGAGGAAACAGAGGCACAAACTGGTTAAATAATTGATTAATAAGTGATAGAACCAGGTCTCAGACCAGACAATCTGTCTCCAGAACTTAACCTCTTAACTACCAAAGATACGATTTGTCTCTGGCAAAAAGATCATGCTCATTTTACCATACCAAGGGTGCCACATAAATGAGTGGGGTTATCCTGGAATAACAGGTTAGCCACCATCCTGGCTAACATGGTGAAACACCGTCTCTACTAAAAATACAAAAAAAGGCCAGGCACAGTGGCTCACGCGTGTAATCCCAGCACTTTGGGAGGCTGAGGTGGGTGGATCACGAGGTCAGGAGATCGAGATCATCCTGGCTAACACTGTGAAACCCCGTCTCTACTAAAAATACAAAAAAATTAGCCGGGTGTGGTGGCAGGAGCCTGTAGTCCCAGCTACTCGGAAGGTGAGGCAGGAGAATGGCTTGAACCCGGGAGGTGGAGCTTGCAGTGAGCTGAGATCGCGCCACTGCACTCCAGCCTGGGTGACAGACTGAGATTCCATCTCAAAAAATAAATAAATAAATAAATAATTTAGCTGTGTGTGGTGGCGTGTGCCTATCGTCCTAGCTACTTGGGAAGCTGAGGCAGGAGAATCTCTTGAACCCGGGAAGTGGAGGTTGCAGTGAGCCGATATCACGCCACTGCACTCCAGTCCGGGAGGTTGCACTGAGCTGAGATCATGCCACTGCACTCCAGCCTGGGCAACAGAGTGAGACTCTGTCTCAAACAAACAAACAAAAAAAAAACAAAAAAACTCCCACACCTCTACCTTAACCAAGGTGGGGCAATCAAAGCTGTACAAGAGTGGTTACAACCATGAACAGCAGGTCCAGTTGGTTTTTCAAAAGCTAGAAAGATGACAGGGCAGAATACCCTAGTCTTTTCTGTTGTGCCCAAAAGAGAAGAGAAAAAGTGTTTTGTACCTGGATCATATGAAAATGGGAACCTGCAATAAGTTACAGTATGTTGGATGTTGCTAAAGTATGCTGAAGAAAAACTGAAGAGTTTTTTTAATACATAGGGAAGGCCAGGCAGGATGACTCACACCTGTAATTTCAGCATTTTGGATCATTTGAGCTCAGGAATTTGAGACCAGCCTGGGCAACATAGTGAGATCCCCGTCTCTATAAAAAATACAAAAATTAGGCCAGGTGCGGAGGCTCACGCCTGTAATCCCGGCACTATGGGAGGCTGAGGCAGGCAGATCACGAGGTCAGGAGATCAAGACCATCGTGGCCAACATGATGAAACCCCATCTACTAAAACACAAAAAATTAGCTGGGCGTGGTGCCACGTGGCTGCAGTCCCAGGTACTCAGGAGGCTGAGGCAGGGGAATCACTTGAACCCGGGAGGTGGAAGGTGCGGTGAGCCGAGATCACACCACTGCACTCCAGCCTAGTGACAGAGCAAGACTCCACCTCAAAAAAAAAAAAAAAAAAAAAAAAGGCTGGGCATGGTGGTACGTACCTGTGGTCCCAGCTATTCATGAGGCTGAGGTGGGAGGATCACCTGAGCCTAGGGAGGTCAAGGCTGCAGTGAGCCATGATCACACCACAGCACTCCAGCCCGGGTGACAGAGTGAGACTCTGTCCCGCCCCCACAAAAGAAAGAAAGGAAAAAAATAGTAAAATATTCTCTAATCTTCCCTTGGAGGAAGCTTAAAAACAACTAGGTCACCAGTGATCAACTCACAGCTGCATGTAGAAGTGAATGGAAAACAAGATTTGACCCTAAGGTGATCGCCTATGCAATATAACCTAAGAACCTGGCTTGGGTCTGGCTACCAAAACAAAGTAAGAGAAAGGAAATTCACAGTCCTAAGTTCACTTTAGGACCTGGAAAAATAAGTTACTGAGATGATTATAGTTCCTAGTTCTTTGGATACAATGAAGGAAAGGGATAAAGTAATATAGTACTCTTAGACCAGAAGCACAAAATTAAAAAAAAGTTTTTGATAAACACATAGCTGGAAGAGATGCTCCTGACTCTACACTGACCTAAGTCCAGAAGAAAGGGGCAAGAGAATGGCATATTTAGATCGCTAGTCCACCACTGGAAGACTAACCGTAAGGTTTTTACTTGCCAGCATTTTCACTAAAAGCACATCTAGAATTCCCAAGTCATACGACTGCAATATTGGTTACAGAATTAACATAGGTCCTAAGTAAAAATTCCATTGGTATGAAAATATCCTATCTTCAAAGCATGAAGAAAAACTACAAAACATGGTATTAAAACTAACTTTATTTTGTTTAATGCATTAGGTGATGAAATCATTATTGCTTTTCAAAAGGGAAACAAACAGTATACCTGAGATAGCTTCCAAAATAAGCAACAATATTTGGGTGTTTACAGTCTTTCATCATAATAATTTCTTGCTGCACAACTGCAAAGTCTTCTCCTGGAATAAAAAACAAGCATGTTGAATATTTAGAGGTAAGTTTCAAAATGCTCATTTATTTCAAAACACAATAAAATAATTATACGTATTAATAAGTATAACATAATTAATGAGTTATAAATAAAACATAGCCAATAAGTTAATGGTATTACTTTTAATGACAATTTCAGTCCTGACTTGAGAGAAAATATAGCATAGTGCTTAAAAGCATGAACTCTGGTCCCAGACTTTCTGGATTAAAATCCTAACTCTGTTCCACACTAAGCGGTGTGAGTTTGGGTAAATTATTTGACTTCTCTGTGCCAATTCCATCCTCAGTAAAATAATAATAGCCTATCTCATAGGAATGTTGTAAGGGTTAAATGAACCAATACATGTAAAATGCTTAGAACAGTGCCTGGCATGGAGTATGCTTTATACAAGTATTTGCTATTATTATTATGCCTTGGACATAATCATCGGTATAATCCATCAATAGGAAATGTAAATTACTTTTTCCTTTATTTCCAAGTAACATTTAATATAATTTTAGCACAAAGAAGTAATTCTTTTCTAAGTTAGGGCAGGAACCCTTATACACCAAGTGTGTCAAATTTATCTCCACAGGCTGTTTGTAGAGCTGAGAGGCCTACACTCAAGCAGTACTGGATTACCAGATGGCCCACATTCACAGGCTTATCCTGTATTTGAGTGCCTTGTTCCAACTGTGTTATAATGCAGAATGGGACTGTATTTTAGCCTGGTCAGACTATTAGCAAATAATCTCTCTCCTACTGCCTCCTTGTCCAAATTCTCTAAAATAAGATCTGGCAATCCTATAGCAGTGTCACATGCTGTGGCTCCTGAATGAACACTTGTCATGGAGAGAAACAGAACTGCAGTGAATGCAAATGTGGTGAACCAGAGACTATGCAGAAAGAGAACAAATGGAAGTGCTTACTCTGAAAGAAAAGTAGCTTTGTATTACTAATTCAGCTTTTAAAGTATTATATACTATGAATAGCCTGATTAAATGTAAATTAGTAGCAAAGTAAAAAACAGAAGGCTTCCCCAATTACTGCTCAAATCATAAGTATAAGGTCATTGTGGTAAGCCCTGACATTTCTGGCCTTGGCATTTTGCTACTGCAAATGTAATTGAGACTTGAAACAGCCCAACCATGAACCATGTGAACCCAATATCAAAATCCACCTTACTGTCCCAGTTACAAGGAAAGAAATAATGGAGAAGAGACAGTTGTTATGTTGGGTTCTTAATTTCTGCGTTGATATGAGCACAAAATCACAAATCTCCAAAGACATAATTTTTAGGCTTTCAAAAATTTGGAAGATTATTGAACTATGATCTTATCAATTTACTTCCCACCATTGAGGATTCCTGATTTTCTGTATATTAGAAGAAAACAAAATTAGGAATAATAAAGCCAAAATAAGACTAACACCAATTTTTATAGGTATACTAGGTACTTTGGAAGTTCTGGACTTTTAGTTTCTCACTCAACCCAAAATTATACTTTTAGTCAATCTAGTGAAAGAGTTGCATACAGTAAAAGTTGATCTAGTCAGAGTGAACCCAAGACTTTAGTCTGATGGTTGGAAGACAAAAGCTCTCTTTCTGGGGGTAGCCCTGAGAGTTATTAGTAGTCATGATACAACCTCAAAGGGAGTCAGCCTTAGGATAAAGTTAACATGTGGAAAGCATTGAGGAGAAACAGGTAAAAGGAAGCATACTGAGCTATTACAGCAAGCCTCACCTGTCTCTGTAATTTTCAGATATACCTGTACATGACCAATAAACTCTGTGTATTGTTTAAGCCACTTCAGCTGGGGTTTCTGTTACAGATAACTATAAGCATCATAACTTCTACAGTGATCTTTGTATTGAGCACTTTTATTATATTACACTGATGTCTGCATGTCTTTGCCTTCACTAGAATACAAAGTCCTCTAGGATAGCATTATGTCTTCATCATCTTTGTACCCCTAGTACCAAAGATGTGATCAATAAAGAACTGTTGACTGAATCAATCTACAGCACCACATAATTCCTTTCTATGATGACTGTAAATCCAGAATATCAGCTTTTGGTTTAATTTCATCCAATTGTTAGCATGTTTTATATAATTAATTGCCTACATATTATTCCTTTTATTTCTAATAGAATGTATTAGTGGCTTTAGGTTTTCAACTGCAGCCTTCCCATGAAATACTACTGATCCAAAGTGTATCATTTTGTACTATTAAGTCAACTCTATGTGATTGTGAGAATGGTCAAATTAAATTCAACATTTTTGTGGGAAAAAAATTCAAAGAAAAATTCCACATACTCGATTTTTAAAGGTAAATAAAAAATGTAGATTTGGGTAAGAAAAAAGTAGAGTTTAATACATTAATAATCCAAAGGATTTAAAGAACTTTGTTCAAGGCTCATGAGAAATACATTATAAAGATAGGCCTCCTATCACGAGTAGAGCAGCAGAGGGTAACTGCCCCCATGATTCAATTACCTCCCACTGGGTCCTCCCACAACCCATGGGGATTATGGGAACTACAATTCAAGATGAGACATGCGTGGTGACACAACCAAACTACATCATTCCACTCCTGGCCCCTCCCAAATCTCATGTCCTCACATTTCAAGTCACAATCATGTCTTTCCAACAGTCCCCCAAAGTCTTAGTTCACTCCAGCATCAACCCAAAAGTCCAAGTCCAAAGTCTCATCTGAGACAAGGCAAGTCCCTTCTACCTATGAGCCTGTAAAATCAAAAGCAAGTGAGTTACTCTCTAGATACAGTGGTGGTACAGGCATTGGGTAAATACAGCTGTTCCAATGGGAGAAACTGGCCAAAACAAAGGGACTACAGGCCCCTTGCAAGTCTGAAATCCAACAGGATAGTCATTAAATCTTAAAGTTTAATGACTACCAACAGGGTAGTCATTAAATCTTAAAGTTCCAAAATGACCTCTTTTGACTCCATGTCTCACATCCAGGTCATGCTGATAACAAGAGGTGGACTCCCATGGCCTTGGGCAGCTCCAACCCTGTAGCTTTGCAGGGTACAGCTCCCCTCCTGGCTGCTTTCACAGGCTGGTATTAAGTGTCTCCAGCTTTTCCAGGCACACAGTGCAAGCTGTCAGTGGATCTACCATTCTGAGATCCAGAGGACAGTGACCACCTTCTCACAGTTCCACTAGGCAGTGCTGCAGTGGGAACTCTGTGTGGGGGCTCCAACCCCATGTTTCCCTTCTGCACTGCCCTAGCAGAACCACGAGGGCTCCACCCTTGCAGCAAACTTCTGTCTGGACATCCAGGTATTTCCATATATCCTTGGAAATCTAGCCAGAGGTTCTCAAACCTCAGTTCTTGGTTTCTGTGCACCTGTGAGCTCAATACCACGTGGAAGCTGCCAGGCTTGGGGCTTGCACCCTCTGAGGCAATGGCCTGAGCTATACGTTGGCCCCTTTTAGCCACGGCTGGAGCGGCTAGGATGCAGAGCACCAAGTCCCTAGGCTGCACACAGCAGGGGGAGCCCTGGGCCTGGCCCACAGTACCATTTTTTCCTCCTAAGCCTCCAGGGCTGTGATGGGAGGGGTTGCTGCAAAAGTCTCTGAAATGCCCTGGAGACATGTTCCCCTTGTCTTAGTGATTAACATTTGGCTCCTTGTTACTTATGTAAATTTCTGCAGCAGGTTTGAATTTCTCCTGAGGAAAATGAGGTTTTCTTTTCTATCGCATTGTTGGGCTGCAAATTTTCCAAACTTTTATGCTCTGCTTCCTCTTGAACGCTTGGCTCCTTAGAAATTTCTTCCACCAGATACCCTAATCATCTCTCTCAAGTTCAAAGCTCCATAGATCTCTAGGGCAGGGGCAAAATGCCGCCACTCTCTTTGCTAAAGCCTAACAAGAGTCACTTCTGCTCTAGTTCCCAACAGGTTCCTCATCTCCATCTGACAGCACCTCAGTCTGGACTTTATTGTCCATATCACTATCAGCATTTTGATCAAAGCCATTCAACATGTTTCTAGAAAGTTCCAAATGTTCCCACATCTTTCTGTCTTCTGAGCCCTACAAGTCTCTCGGAACTTCCAAACTTTTCCACATTTTCTTTTCTTCTTCTGAGCCCTCCAAACTGTTCCAACCTCTGCCTGTTACCCAATTCCAAAGTTGCTTCCAGATTTTCAGGTATCTTTACAGCAGCACCCCACTCCTGGTACCAATTTACTGTACTAGTCCATTCTCGTGCTGCTAATAAAGACCTACCAAAGACTGGGTAATTTATAAAGGAAAAGGGTTTAACTGACTCACAGTGTGGCATGGCTGGGGAGGGCTCAGTAAACTTACAATCATGGCAGAGGGGGAAGCAAACACATCCTTCTTCACATGGTGGCAGGTGGAAGAAGTATGGGCAAAAGGGGGAAAAGCCACTTATAAAACCATCAGATCTCATGAGAACTCACTATCACGAGAACAGCAGCAGGGGGTAACTGCCCCCCATGATGCAATTACCTCCCACAAAGTCCCTCCCATAACATGTGGGGATTATGGGAATGACTCAAAATGAGATTTGGGTGGGAACACAGCTAAACTATATCAACAATCAAAACAATAACAGCTTAAAGATGAACCCTGAAAAGGTCCCTTATTTCTGTCACATTAAGTCCATACTTTGCTGCTGGCCTTGTCTACATATCTAGCACAGTGTCACTATTAAGGATATGCACTTTGAAATCAGAATATCTAATTATAAAACTTGGTTTCACAACTTACTAGTTGTATCATCTCAGGCAAATCTGTCTGTCTCTGCCTCCCGTTTCTCTTCTGTTTCTTTCTTTCTCTCTGTTTCCCTCTCTCTCCCACACCCTTTTGTCTCTACATTATAGCAATTATATCACGTTTTATGTAATAATATGATATTATAATAATATACATTATAGCAACTACCCATAGTCACAATTCTATGCCCCCTTACTCTATTTTTCCCCATGTACCACACTTAACATATTATATGTTTACTTATATGTGTGTTTCCCTAGCACATTAGACTCTTTCAATATAAATGAATTAATGAATTATTCTAAAGGTAATAACCAATTGAAACCCAAAAGAAAAAAAAATAAGGCGGTATAAACAGTAGAAATACAAAATTTTCATTATTTACTATATATGACTGTGCTCTTGGACAACAAACACTTGAAAAAAAGGCAGAAACAATTTTTTAAAATCCTTCAATAACATATTAGAATATGTCAAATTAAATTGTGTACCTAAGAATAAGCTTTAAAACCCATAGGCTCCATACAAAGTTTAAACTTGCTTTTAAAATCTTTAAAATGATTATTTAAACATTATTTAAACTACATTTTATTTAAATATTAAATATTTAATTTAATATTATTAAATTATCATTTAAAACAGAATCTGCTCTGTTGTTAGTTTTCATGTTAAATAGCTGTTTGATACTGCAAGTAATTATTTCATTATAATGACATCTGTCAAGATGCTTCTGGAAAACCATGTTAGCTTATGAGAGTCATGAAGATGTTAAACATGTAGAAGACAGAAATAAAGATGACAAAAGGAAAATAAGAAAACAAAGTATTCTGTGAGATAAAAGACCTGAAAAAAACAAAAGACACTTCCCTTCTGAATAGAAGAACTTACTATGGTAAAGACAGCAAGTACCTTATGAATTAATAACTGTATTAATGTAATTCCAATAAAAATGCCAGTTGAATCCTGAAAAAATTATACTTAAATTCACCTGAAAAAAATAAACATGAAGGAACAGTTTTCTACTAGATATTATTTTGAAATAAGTAGCTCTTATTTAGAATTGATACATCTGGAATAATTCTCATCCTTCTGATTCTTTATCCTGGATCATGTTAAATGTCCTTTGGCCAGAAACAAGAAAAAGAAATAAAAGACATCCAAAGTGAAAAGGAAAAAGTAACATTATATTTGCTGGAAGATGACATGACATTGCATATAGAAAGCTCTAAAGATTCCACAAAAAAACTGTTAGCACTAATAAACAAATTCAGCAAAGTTGCAGGATACAAAGTCAAATGCATTTATATACACTAACAACAATCTGAAAAGGAAATTAAGAAAATAATCCCAATTGCAACAGCATCAAAAAGAATACCTAGTAATAGACTTAACCAAGGAGGAGGAAGACCTGTACTCTGAAAATTACAAAACGTTTAATTAGAAAAATAAATGTAAAGACATGCCATGTTTATGGACTGAAAGAGCATTGTTAAAATGTTCGTACTACCCAATGCGATCTACAAATTCAATGTAATCTGGAGAACAAACAGCAACTTTTTTCTTTCAGAAATAGAAAAAACAATCCTAAAATTTAGATAGAACCACAAAGAACGCCAAATAGCCAAAACAATCTTGAGAAAAAAGAATAAAAGCTGGAGGTCTCACACTCCTGGTTTCAAAACATATTACAAAGCTACAGCAATCAAACAATATGGCACTGGCATAAAGACAGACATATAGACCAACGGAATAGAGAAAAGAAAACCCAAAATAAACACATGCATATAAGGTCAAATCCTCTTTCACAAGGATGCCAAGACTATGCAATGGGATAAAACAGTATTCAACAAAGGTGCTGGGAAAAACTGGATGGCAGCATGCAAAAGAATGACATTGGACGTTATCCTACATACACAAAAAATTCAGCTTTAATTTATTAAATACTTGAATATTAATTAAATACTTAAATGCAAGGCCTGAAACCATAAAACTCTTATAGAAAAACACAGGCCAAAACATTCATAATATTAGTCTTGGCAATTATTACTTGGATATGACATTAAAAGCACAGGCAACAAAAGCAAAAACAGACAACTGAAATTCCACCACTAAAAAGCTTCCGCACAGCACAAGAAACAGAATTAAAAGACTACCTATGGAATGTAAGAAAATATTTGCAAACCATATATCTGATGAGGGGTTACTAGGCACTCCTACAATGCAACAGCAAAACAAAACCCACCAAATAACTGGATTCAAAAACGAGCAAAGGGCTCGGCGCAGTGGCTCATGCCTGTTATCCCAGCACTTTTGGAGGCCGAGGTGGGTGGATCACCTGAGGTCAGGAGTTTGAGACCAGCCTGGCCAACATGGCAAAGCCCAGACTCCACTAAAAATACAAAAAATTAGCTGGGCATAGTGGCAGGTGTCTGTAATCCCAGGTACTTTGGAGACTGAGGTGGGAGAATTGCTTGAACCCAGGAGGTGGAGGTTGCAGTGAGCCAAGACTGTGCCACTGCACTCTAGCTTGGGCAATAGAGTGAGACTCTGTCTCAAAAAAAAAAAAAAAAAAAAAGAGCTATGGTTGAATGGGTGATGGATATATGAAATAGCTTGATTTGATCATTTCACAACATACATATGCATCAGAATACCATGTTGTAAACTGTAAACAAACAGTATACAATTTTTGTCATTTATACAGTAATCATACTGGGGATTTTTTTTTTAAGAGCAAAGGACTTGAACAGAAATTTCTCAAAAAAAGATATACAAATGGCCAACAGATCTATATCAAAAGATGCCCAACATTACTGTCTTCAGGGAAATGCAAATCAAAAACATAATGTCACTTCTCACCTGTTCAGATAGCCATTATAAAAAAAAAAAAAAAAAAGAAGACAATAGCAAGTGTTGTCCAGGATATGAATACCCCCGTCCACTGTTGATGGGAATGTAAAATGGTGTAGCCACTATGGAAAACAGTACAGAAGTTCCTCTAAATATTAAAAATAGAAATGCAATATGATCCAGCAATCTCACTTGTGGGTATATACCCCAAAGAACTGAAATTAGAATCTCAAAGAGACATTTGCACTCCAGGAAGCAGAATGGTCATGGCCAGAGACTGGGGGAAGTAAGAATTAGGAGTTGCTGTTCAATGTGTAAAGAATTTCAGTCACACAAGATGAAAATATTCTAGAGCATAATGTATAACATAATGGTTATAGTTAACAATACTGTACTAAATATTTAAATTTGTTAAGAGAATAGGTATCATGTGACGTGTTTTTACCACCATTGATAAAAAGAGACAAACTCTAAAATATTTGAAGAGATTTATTTTGAGCCAAATATGAATGACCAGTGGTCTGTAATACAGCTCCAAGAGATCCTGAGAACATGTGCCCAAAGTGGTTGGTTTTACACATTTTAAGGAGACATAAGACATCAATCAAAACGTGTAAGGTGGGCCAGGTGCGGTGGCTTACGCCTGTAATGCCAGCACTTTGGAAGTCCAAGGTGGGTGGATCACCTGAGGCCAGGAGTACGAGACCAGCCTGGCCAACATGGTGAAACCCCATCTTTACTAAAAATACAAAAATTAGCCAGGCGTGATGGCATATGCCTATAATCCCAGCTACTTGGGAGGCTGAAGCAGGAGAATTGCATAAACCCAGGAGGCAGAGCTTGCAGTGAGCCAGGATGGTGCCCCTGCACCAGCCTGGGCAACAGAGAGAAACTCTGTCTCAAAAAAAAAAAAAAAAAAAGATAATGGGTAGCAGAGACCAAGGTTTTATCATGCAGATGAAGCCTCCAGGTAGCAGACTTCAGAGCTTTTGTCAGACCTATGAAGTGCCAGACTCAGTTAATTCTCTCCTGGATCAGGAAAAAGACCTGGAAAGGAAAAATGAATCCTCTATAGAATACAGATTTCCCCCACAAGAGACGGCTTTGCAGGACCATTTCAAAATATATCAAAGAAATATACTTGGGATAAAATACTTCTATTTCTTTCAGGGCCTGCTATCTGTCATGTGATGCTATACTAGAGTCAGGCTGGAATTCTGTGTCTTATTGCTATAAAAAGTCTGTTCACTAGTCTTAAGATCTCTATTTAAATGTTAATGTTGGTCAGCTGAGCTTGAATTCCAAAGGGAGGAGGGTATAATGAGGATGTCGGAGTCTCATTATGATGGTAACATCATGGCCTGAACTAGTTTTTCAGGTTAACTTTGGAATGCCCTTGGCTGAGGAGAGCCTCCATCAGTCGGTTGGGGGGCTTAGAATTTTATTTTTGGGTTACGCCATAGTAATTTTTTTTTTTTTTTTTTTTTTTTTGAGACGGAGTCTCGCTCTGTCGCCCAGGCCGGACTGCGGACTGCAGTGGCGCAATCTCGGCTCACTGCAAGCTCCGCTTCCCGGGTTCACGCCATTCTCCTGCCTCAGCCTCCCGAGTAGCTGGGACTACAGGCGCCCGCCACCGCGCCCGGCTAATTTTTTGTATTTTTAGTAGAGACGGGGTTTCACCTTGTTAGCCAGGATGGTCTCGATCTCCTGACCTCATGATCCACCCGCCTCGGCCTCCCAAAGTGCTGGGATTACAGGCGTGAGCCACCGCGCCCGGCCCATAGTAATTTTTAAAATGTCCTATAGCCAAGAGAAAAATGTAAGCTTAGACTACGAAAAATCAACAAGGTTTCTCATGCCATTGTTATGGGTATTTCACTCTCAAATCTTCCCATTTCCATTCTATTTTAAACACAGAGAAGTGAGAACACACATCTACGTTACATGTAAAAGTGTTTTAAAGTCAATTTCAAATTAACTTTTAATTTCATGTGTGGTGTCATTCAAAATACATAATTTCTAAACTCCATTTCATATGGTAGAAACAATAAATGAAATTAACAGTACTTCAGTTGTTCGTGAAAGGAGTCAAACTCTGTAAAATATTTGAAGAGATTTATTCTGAGCCAAATATGAGTGACCAATGGCCCATGAAAGAGTCCTCAGGAGACCTGAGAACATATGCCCAAGGTGGTCAGGGTACAGCCTAGTTTTATACATTTTAGGAAGACCTGAGGCATCAATCAAATACATTTAAGATTTACATTGGTTTGATCTAGAAGGGTGGGACAGCTTGAAGCAGGGTGGTGGGGTGGGGGTGGAGGTGGTGGCTTCCAGGTTAGAGGGAGATTTTAAAAATTTTCTGATTGGCAATTGGTTTAGAGTTATCATCAATAGAAAGGAATGTCTGGGTTCTGATAAGGGGTTGCGGAGACCAAGGTTTTATCATGCAGATGAAACCTCCAGGTAGTAGGCGTCTCTTCAGACGTAAATGTTTCAGACGAAATTTCAGACGAAGAAATGTTTCTCTTGAGATGTAAGATCTGTACTGATGTTAATACCAGTCAGCTTTCCCTGAATTCAGAAAGGGAAGAGGGCGTAGTTCCACCTCTGCTTCCATCATGGCCTGAATTTTTCAGGGTAACTTCGGAATGCCTTTGGCCCAGTGGAGGGGTTCGTTTAGATGGTTGGGAGGCCTTGGAACTTTATTTTTTGGTTTACACAGTAATCTATGGCTAACATTCCAACTTCTCTTAAGTTGTCAATTACTGTGTCAAACTACTGGAGTACCAGGAAATACTCTGAAACACTATATTAAATTATCAGGGTATCTTGAAACCCACTGGCTAATCTTTAAAAAGATAAGAAATTGGCTTAAGTAATTACAACATAAAATTAGAAAAAACTTTTCTAAAACCACAGAAGCAGCACCCAACTTTGAATTTTTGAAGAAATATTAAAGCCCTGATCAATAACACAGAAATACAAAGGAAGTATCTAATAATCCTATTGATTCCTACTTATTTCAAAACAAATGAAAAAATGATTAAAACAGCAATATTTGTATTTTTTTCAGAAATGAGAATGAAGAAAACAACCCTTCAAATACTTCACCTGATAAAAATAACTTAGAGTCTATTTATTTGTTTGGCTGTATTTTAGTAAGTGTTCTTGATTAATGTTTAAGATAAGTATCACTTACATTTACATACATTGTTACTGAATGGCCTTTGAACTTGGGTTCCACAAAGCCAAGTAGAAATTCCCTTGCTCAAACTATCTAAACAAAAAAAGAAGCCAGGCACAGTGGCTCACACCTGTAGTCCCAGAACTTTAGGAAGCTGAGGCAGGTGGACTGCTTCAGCCCAGGAGTTTCAGACTAGCCTGGGCAACATGGTGAGACCTCATCTGTAGAAAAATTAAAAATAAGCTGGGTATGGTGGTGTGAGCCTGTAGTCGCAGCTACTTGGGAGGCTTAAATGGGAGGACTGACTGAGCCTGGGTGGTTGAGGCTGCAGTGAGCTGTCACTGTGCCACTGCACTCCAGCCTGGGTGACAGTATGAGACTCTATCTAAAAAAACAAAAAAAGAAAAGGAAAAGGAAAAAGAAAAGAAAGAAACCATGGCCCTGGCTCCCTAAAAAAAAAGTCTTACTCTAGAGCTGGGCATGGTGTTGGAAGCCTGTAGTCCCAGATATTTGGGGGACTGAGGTGAGAGTTTGATCCAACCTGGGCAACATAGTGAGACCTCAACTTTAAGATAAAAAGAAAAAATGTCTACCCTAATGCTGTGTTTCCCAACTCTGTTTTCCTAATGCCTCTCCCCAAGAAATTTTAATACCACAGATATTCTGCATGTTTATGTATTATGCATATATACATACATATATCTGTGCTTTGTACATAAAAAGAATTAAGATTTTTTTCATCCCAAAGAACCAGTTCCACTCCTTTCTTATTTTAAAGGAATATTTGAGAAAACATTCTCTAGTGCAAATGGATTGTGTCCAGGTAGTCAGGGAAGGAGGGCTTAACTTGAGCTTCCTGACCTATAAACCTGTTTGGTCTCCTTTTCTTACCTGGATCCAGCTCTTTTGAGAGCCAGGTTTACCCGAGTGGTTCTGATGGAAGGCCCAAAATAAGGAAGGTACCCGTAACTCAGGACTGAATTTCTAGTGAAAATCCTCTGGAGTATATCGCGCCCCCTGCCTACTAAAAATTATGGCAGCAACCCTACAGTTTCTATATGTAAAGTAAGTATTATAGTAGACTCAAAAAATGTTTCTGGAGTAAGGACAGAAAAAGGAAAAATAGAGCACGGTGTAGATTTTAAGGGAAGTGAAGAATACAATGGGCAAAAAATTTTCTGTTTTTATCATGCCCACCAACAAGAACAATGACATATTGTTTAAAATAGTTTTAGCTGGACACAGTGGCTCATGTTTGTAATCTCAGAACATTGGGAGGCCAAGGCAGGACAATCACTTGAGGCCAGGAGTTTGAGACCAGCTTGGGCAACACAACGAGACCCAGTCTCTACAAAAAAAACTAAAAAATTAGCTGGGTGTGGTGATGCACACCTGTTAATACCAACCAGTAGTGAGGCTGAGGCAGGAGGATCGCTTGAGCCCAGGAGTTGGGGCTGCAGTGAGCTATGATCACATCACTATACTCCAGCCTGGGTGACAGGGTGAGATCCTGTCTCTAAAAGAAAAAGAAAAAAAAAATCCCAAAAAAGAAAAAAAGTTAAATAAAATAGTTCTAATTTTGGACGTTTTTAATTTCTCAACTTTCTGTTCTCTCACCAGATCTGATTTAAAGATAATTTTTTTTAGCAGCTCCTGATCTGTTCTTGAGGTTACATAGGCATAAACCACAGCTGTATAAAACTCATGAAAATGAGTTTCTAAAATCAAAACAACAAACCTATTCTTCCCATAAACTCAATTTTTACATATATCGTACCTCTCCCTTATCCCTTGTAACCTATCAATCACGTTTTAAGTTCTATCCACCCTAAAATCTCATGCAGTCACCCCTTCCTTCCCTCTGCACATAACTCAAGCATGGCTGTCACAACAGTAACATGTCTTCTCACCAGCAGGGCTTCTCTCCCATCTGCCTGTGTACACTGAATCTGCCTACAGTTATACTCTGACCATGTTACTAACCTGTAAAAACAAACGAAATCCCACTGTTTTACAGGGTAAAATCTAAACCTTTGGGCTAGTTTTTTTTTTTGTTTTTTTTGAGATGCAGTTTTGCTCTGTCACCCAGGCTAGAGTGCAGTGGTGTGATCTTGGCTCACTGCAACCTCCGTCTCCCAGGTTCAAGTGATTCTCCTGCCTCAGCCTCTCAAGTAGCTGGGAATACAGGTGCGAGCCACCAAGCCAGGCTGATCGTGAACTCCTGACCTCAGCTGATCTGCCCGCCTCGGCCTCCCAAAGTGCTGGGATTACAGGCGTGAGCTACTGGGCCTGGCTGCTTTGGGCTAGTATTTAAGGCTTTCCATAAACTATCATCAGTTTTCCACTTCTTATTTCCCACCATGCTCACATAGAGCATACTACTCTAGACAAATCAAACTACTACTTCCAAACAGGCCTAGTACTTTCATACTACCTTTGCTTTTATACTATCCTCATGTGGAATACCCTCCATTCTCTTATTCTACTAGCAAAATCCTAGCCAGTCTTGAAGGCTCATCTGAAGTTTTACTTCCTTATCCCAAGGGAAGTGGAACTCACAGCTTCTATGGAACCCACCAAATATAAGTTAGGCTACATCAGCCACTCTGCACTATGTGTATTCTTTCACACAGCATCCTACCTAGATATTCCCAACCCAGAGTATTTCGGAGTAAATAGTCAAAGGCGGATCTTCAGTGACCCATGAATTAAGTCTTTCTAGTCACAGCCATCACCGTTCCTTACTGCCAGCACCACCACCTACATATGCACACACACTCTGCTCAATGGGTTCTCCGTAGTTAGGCTGCTACTTACATAAACATTCTAGTTTTCACATTGGATAACAAGTTACTGGAAGGCAGGAACCATATCTCCGTATCTTCCTTCTAACTAAATTAAGTACTAAATAAACATCCTTGAAGCCAAATCACTGGTCATAAACAGAGGACTGAGAATAAGAAATACACTGCAGATAAACAAAACAAAAAGTCCTTTGTCAGTTGCTTTTTTATTTTGGAGCATTATTACCTTTCAATGTGTAAATATTCAATCTCTCCAGCTCAGTCAGCCTCAAGTCATAGTATGATTCTAATAAATTTAAGAGTGACTAAGCTATCCATGATTAACCTTTGAAGAATAATTATCATGAATGATGTAACAACTACTCTATTCATGATGGCGATAAACACAAGGCAGCACTGAATAAGCACATGGTGGCAAGGGATCCACAAAAACACTCAAGGGAGATGGGAAAAGGCACCAGATAAATCATATCCCCAATGTTTCGCCACTCTATGATGAAAGATAAGGAGGCAGAAAGCACCTCTACTACCTCTCAGGAAAGAAAAAACTAATGTCAAAGGCTGGCAGGAGAGAATATTCCATAACATTTAACTTTGGAGGTCCATGAAAAAATAGTGGAATAAGGTCTTATTGGTACTTTTTTGCACTTTTAAAATTTAGCTTTACAATTTAACGCATGTTGCTCTCACGGAAACAAAGCATAATACCCTATTTTCTCACTACAAGTTTCTCTGTTTATCAACCTCAGTAGTTTTCATTGTGTTGGAAAAGGAATGAGTTTCCCCATTTAGAAGAGTTTTTCCTATGAGTTGCTACCTAATGAATCACTGTTATCTATCTGCATTTGTATCATATTATAATAACTAGTGCTGCAAACAATACCACAAATGAGTATAAGTAACTTTTAAATTCTGACTTTAAATCACAAAAAGATTCCAGATCTATAACTTATTTATATAATAACACCTTATCAGAACTTGAAAATAAAGCCCCAAAGAATATATATATAAATTCTATTCTACTAGCAAGCTCTGCCATAGCTCTCATCTTGATCCATTTTTAATTTTTTTTTCCCAAATAAGTCTCAAGAATTGGCAGTGTTCTAGCCGGATCAGCCACAGACCACAGGAACAAACCCGTCATCTGACAAATTCAGGTTTACTGACCCATTGCAATGAGGAAAACTACACGCCAGAGAAATCTTAGGGCATCTCACCAAAAGAAAAGATAAGAGTTTTTGTAATATTTTGAATAAAATGGAAGTGAGGTGAAATTTAAATGAAGTGGTGTTTTGATAGGCTTAGAGCAAAGGAGAGCTGTATGTAAAGGGGCAGACTTCAGGATTGGATTATAAAATGAACCCAAGGTTCTTTGTCCTTATAAGCAACAAAGTTACGATGGATGTGAACACTGTCTCTTACCTGAAGCTCTGCCATCTGGGATGTAAATCAAGACTGCTTCTCTATGTCAAAGTGACTTAGGTTCTCCAGGAAAGAGTGGAATGTTTAACTCTTGCCAATACACGTTGAATTTCCCTAATTCAAAAATCTGATATACACAATGCTCCAAAATCCACAACTTTTTGAGCACTGATGTGATGCAAATGAACTAAATTCTGCAATCAAAAAACAGAGTGGCTGAATGGATAAGAAAATAAGGCCCAATGATCTGTTGCCTACAAGAAACACATTTCACCTATGAAGATACACAGACTAAAATAAAGGGATGGAAAAAGATATTCCACGCCAATGGAAACAAGAAAAGAACAGGAGTAGCTATATCAGAAAAAAAAGATTTCAAAATAGAAACTGTTAAGAAGAGCTAAGAAGGTCACTACATATATATCCTCTCTCTCTATATATATATATGTATATATATACGTATACATACACACACATCTATCTATATACATCCTCTTGCTGAATTGATCCCTTTATACATATAATATATATTACATATATTTATATATTAAATTTTTGTAGAGCATTCAGACAAGAGCAAGAAATAAACGAGCATCCAAATTGCAAAGGAAGCAGTCAAATTATCCTTGTTTGCAGATTATATGATCTTATATTTGGAAAAATCTAAAGACTCCACCAAAAAACTATTAAACTGATAAATTCAGTAAAGCTGCAGGACACAAAATAAATATTCAAAAAGTAGTATCATTTTTGTATGCCAAAAGTGAACAATCTGAAAAAGAAATCAAGAAAGAAATTCCATTTACAATAGCTACAAATAAAATAAAATAAAACACCTAGGAATTAACCAAAAAAATGAAAGATCTCTACAATGAAAACATAAAACATTGATGTAAGAAATTGAAGAAGTCACCAAAAAAAAATGGAAAGATATTCCATGTTCATGGACTGGAAGAATCAATATTGTTAAAATGTCCATACTACCCAAAAGAATCTAAGGATTTAATGCAATTCCTATCAAAATATGAATGACATTCTTCACAAAAATAGAAAAAATTATCCTAAAATTTTTAGGGACCCACAGAAGACCTAAAATAGCCAAAGCTATCCTAAGGAAAAAAAAAAAAAGAAACTGTAGGAATCACATTACCTGACTTCAAATTATACTACAGAGCTATGGTAACCAAAACAGCATGCTGCTGGAAAAACAGATACATAGATCAGTGAACAGAATGGAGAACCCAGAAATAAATCCAGACATGTACAGTGAATGCATTTTCAACAAAGATACCAAGAACATACACTGGGGAAAGGACAGTCTCTTCAATAAGTGGTGCTGAGAAAACTGGATATCCATAAGCAGAAGACTGAAACTAGACCCCCTTCCTCTTACCATATACAAAAATCAAATTAAAATGGATTAAAGACATAAATCTAAGACCTCAAACTATGGAAATACTACAAGAAAACATTGGGGAAAATCTCCATGACACTGGTGTGGGCAAAGATTTCTTGAGCAATATCCTACAGGCACTAGCAACCAAGCAAAAATGGACAAATGGGATCACATCAAATTAAAAAGCTTCTGCATAGCAAAACAAATAATCAACAAAGAGAAGAGACAACCCCATGAATGGCAGAAAATATCTGCAAACTACTCATCTGACAAGGGATTAACAACCAGATTATATAAGGAGCTCAAACAACTCCACTGGGGAAAAAAACCCTAATTCAATTTAAAAATGGGCAAAAGATCTGAACAGACATTTCTTCAAAGACATAAAAATGGCAAACAGGTATATGAAAAGGTGCTCAACATCACTGATCATCAGAGAAATGCAAATCAAAACTATACCATGAGATATTATCTCCCCTTATTCAAAATGCCTTTTATCAAAAAGATAGGCAATAAATGCTGGTGAGAATGTGGAGAAAAGGGAACCCTCCTACACTGTCAGTAGGAATGTAAATTAACACAACTACTATGGAGAACAGTTTGGAGGTTCCTCGAAAAACTAAAAATAGAACTACCATACAATCATGCAATTCCACTCCTAGATACATACTCAAAAGAAAGGAAATGAGTATATCAAAGAGAGATCTGCACTCCCATGTTTACTGCAGCACTATTCACAATAACCAAGATTTGGAAGCAACCTAAGTGTCCATCAACAGATGAATGAAGAAAGAAATGTGATACATACGTACAATGGAGTACTATTCAGCCATTAAAAGGAATGAGATCCTGCCATTTGCAACAACATGGGTGGAACTGGAAGTCATTATGTTAAGTGATATAAACCAGGCACAGAAAGACAAACATCACATGTTCTCATTTATCTGTGGGAGCTAAAACTCAAAACAATTGAACTTAAGGAGATAGAGAGTAGAAGCATGGTTACCATAGGCTGGGAAGCTTACAGGGCTTGGTGGGGGGGTAGAAGGGATTTGGAGATGGTTAATTGGTACAAAAAATTAGAAAGAATGAATAAGCCCTAGTATTTGCAAGCACAACAGGGTGACTTTAGTAACAACAACAACAAAAAATCCAATCATACATTTTAAAATAACTGGAAGAGTATAACTGGTCTGTTTGAAACACAAAGGATAAATACTTGAGATGACAGATATCCATCTACCCTGGTGTGATTATTATGCATTGCGTGTCTGTATCAAAATAGCTCATGTAACCCAGAAATATATATGCCTACTATGTACCCACGAAAATTAAAAATGGCTCACATCTGTAATCCCAGTACTTTGGGAGGCCCAGGCAGGCGGATCACTTGATGCCAGGAGTTTGAGGCCATCATGGCCAACAGGATGAAACCTTGTCTCTACTAAAAATACAAAAATTAGCCAGGCATGGTGGTGCATGCCTGTAATTCCAGCTATTCATGAAGATTGCTTGAACCCGGAGGCGGAGGTTGCAGTGAGCCAAGATCACACCACTGCCTGGGTGACAGAGCGAGACTCTATCTCAAAACAATAAAAAATAAAAATTAAAATTAAAAATAAATTAGGCCAGGTTCGGTGGTTCACGCTTGTTAACCCAGCACTTTGGGAGGCAGAGGCGGGTGGATCACCTGAGGTCAGGAATTCAATACCAGCCTGCCCAACACAGTGAAACCCCGTCTCTACTAAAAATACAAAAATTAGCCGGGCGTGGTGGTGCACCCCTGTAATCCCAGCTACTCGGGCAGCTGAGGCAGGAGAATCACTTGAACCTGGGAGGCAGAGGTTGCAGTAAGCTGAGATCGGGCCACTGCACTCCAGCCTGGGCAACAGAGCAAGACTCCATCACAAATTAAAAAAAAATTAAACAAAATTTTTTAAATTTTTTAAATTTAAAGCTGCATAATTAAGATGAGAAGCAACAGTCAGACACCTTGGAGTAACTTCACATTTAAACAATTTGGTCAAAAGGTCTGCGTAAGTTTTTATTTTGCTTCAGGTTCAAATTGCTTATCAGCTGTAAAAAAAGGAAAAAGGAACAAACTCTAGACAGAAATTCTTAAAATCCAACATGTTGCACTAGACTATTTCAGACTTAATTTTTGTTTCCAAAAAATGGAAGACTAGCCATCAAAAACTCTAATTTAGGCCAGACATAGTGGCTCATGCTTGTAATCCTAGCAGTTTGGAAGGCCGAGGTGAGAGGTCTCTTGAGACCAGGTATTCAAGAGCAAACTGGGCAATATAGTGAGACCCTGTCTCTACAAAAAATAAAAATTAGCTGGGTGTCATGTCATACGCCTGCAGTCCTAGCTACTTGGGAGACTGAGGTAGAAGTATACCATGAGCCCAGGAGATCAAGACTGCAGTGAGCCACGATCCTACCACTGCACTCCAGCCTGGGCTACAGTGACACTGTCTCTTAAACACACACACACCCCTCTACCTTAGAAAAATGTGAGCGTAACACCACTCGTGAAGTAGTTCCCTCCTCCATACCCCAAATAAAACCGGAGTCTACTCAGTTCTCTAGAGATATCTATCAAGTCACCAAAGAATATATTACATGATGCTACAACAAGGCAATCAGCAAAATCTGGACTGGGGGGGAACTTTACAGGATAAATGATCGAGTTACTTCCACAGAAAATTACAAGGAAAAAAGATAAAAAGAAATTAAGTGGGAACCTATAGATATAACGTAGCAACTATTTGCTAAGCGTAGGTCTTATTAATAAAGAACTGTAATGTTGTTAATGGTTGTAGTTACGTATCTTTAATAATTTTATTAAGGCATACGTTTAAATTGGATAGTTCAGCAATTTCAAGTGTATAATTCAATGGTGCTTTTAGTAAATTTACCAAGTTGTACAACCATCACTAGATTATTCCCATAAGACCCTTCACGTACAATAATTGTTAGTCCACCTCGTCCCCAGCTCACCAGATTAACTTTCTGACACCACAGATTTGCCTTTTCTGAACCTTTCACATGGAATCATACAGTATGCAGTTTTGTGTGTCTAGCTCCTTTCACTTAGCACGTTTTGGTCACCTATGTTACAGCATGCTATCAGCAACTTGTTTTTATTGTTGAATAGTATTCAATTGTATGAACACAACATATTCATTCACCAGTTGATGGGCAGTTAGACTGTTTCCAATTTTGAGACATACTGTGAATAATGCTACTATAAACATTTGTGCATGACAATCATTGTGTCGGCAGATATGCAAGAGTAGAATTGCTGGGTCATTATGGCAAATTTATGTTTAACACTTTAAGGAAGTGACAAACTGTTTTCCAAAGTGGTTGCACCATTTTACATTTCCACCAGCTGTGTATGAGGGTTCCTGTTTGTGATTACACTTTTTGAGTATTTATACTTTAGGCATATACACAGAAATACTATGGGCTGGAATTTTATGATTGAGGGATCAAAATAACTGGTGGCGGGGGGAAATGGGTAGCTGTAATAGAGGAAACATATTTATGGTGATTAACCTTTGTTTTCTCTGGGTGGCAGAATATGAATGATTTTTATTTTTTTCCTTTTGTATAGTTGTATATTCTACTTTTATTACATTGATCAATATACACATGGCAGTGTCCAAGACTGACAGTGCAACAACTTGAACATTTCATGAACAGAAAATAATTGACTTGAACAGTAAGCTTTTTCAAGTTTTTAATTTTTTAAGGAAATTTTAAGATGTACAGAATGAGTACTATGTGCCAGGCCCTAAGCTCAGTGCTGGGGGCACAAATTTGATTAAAACTTAGAAACAAAGAAAGGCAAGTCTAGAATGACAATATAGCTATGGTCAGTGCTACAGCAGAGCTAATCACTCAGGAGTCATCTTAATTAGACCCAGGGTCAAGCAAGGCTTCCTGAAAGAGAAGGTTTCTTGAGGGAATGATGTATACACAAAATACTTCTCATTAGAACCATTTCATTAAGTAACACAGTCACTGCTTAATGATTAAAAATGAAGGCCCTGCTTTAAATGCCAAATTTCTTTTTGTAGCTAATATTTCAACAACTTCAAATATCCTTCTTAAATTTCTTATGAATTGAAGAGTAGGAGATTCAGAAAAAAGATAAACATCTTGTCTTGCGATGTTTAGAATATAACGACTACATAAAATCTGTAAATATGTATAACTGGAAAATTTTTTTAATTCATTTTATTTATGTGTGGTTTGATCACAGTCAATCAGCACATCCTTAAATTTTCATTTTAATATCACTTCTAAAAAGTTTATTGATGCTCTAAATAAGGGGTGAGCAAACTATAGGGAAAGAGGGAGAACTGAATATAGAGACCATACATGACCTACAAAGTCTAAAGTATTGGCTATTTGGCCTTTTTTTTTTTTTTAAACAGAAAAAGTTTTTCCACTCTTGCAAAGTCTCTGAATGGATTTCTGTTCATACTGGAGCTAAAACTTGTTTCACCAATAAACTCTTATTATCAGCTTGTAAAGGAAGAAGTCATCAGAAAGGCACTAACTGCTGTGGTACTCGGTCTAGACACTAGCACAATTATAGACTTGCTTATGGTGGGAAGGAGAAAGAGTGGGAAGGGGTTTCTAAGAGAGAATAAACAAAGAGTGAGTAATTAGCTAAGAAAAATGTGGGTTTTGAGGGAAGTAGGAGGAATTCAAAGAACATAGTTGAAGCAGACAAAAAATAAGGAGTAGCCTTAAGGGGCTTTACAATAAGCTGCTCAATTTGGTAGACAACTGCTGGGATAGCAATGAAATACAGAATGTGGAAGCTAGATCTCCTGAGAAAAACTGAGACTCAGAGACATGAAGCTATTTGCCCAAGTTCACAGAGCAAGGGAGTGGGAGACAAACTGAACTACAACTACCTAAATTTCAGTTCTGTTTTTTCCACTACATCACACTGACACCACAAGACGTCAGCCTGGAAATAAACCACTATCAGCTTGTCACAAGTTAGCTCAACTGAGTTCAGAAAGA
Organism: Homo sapiens; assembly: GCF_000001405.40. NCBI lineage: Eukaryota > Metazoa > Chordata > Mammalia > Primates > Hominidae > Homo > Homo sapiens. The sequence continues at coordinate 39,377,823 of NC_000002.12, forward strand.
ACAAAGTCTTTTCAGGAGGAGTTCCCCTTCCTCCCCCAATTATCAGTTACTTTTCAGGGAAGAACTGAGCAAGGTGTGTTGTATGCAGAACTTGAAGAAGTGGAGGAAAGGGCATACAAGCAGCTCTATTTATCCCAGATGTTGGGGAAAACAAGAGAATGTTAACCAAACATCATTAAAATAAGCCTTAAGATATCCCATGGCTTTCTAGCAGTAAGAAAAAATGAATTTCAAACAATTTACCTGGTTCCAATTTTATTACTTTAATTGCTGCTAATTCACCAGTGTTAACATTCCGTGCCTAAAAGAAAGAGGAAAAAAGGATTATTGTGAAGAAAGCTTTCATAAAAAGTGTATAAAATTTCACTTTAGCTTACTGTTTTCAGTTATATAAAAATATTTTAAAAGAAATGCAAATGTAATTTATATTTACAAAACAAATAGTTTTTCCTTCACAATAAATTTCAACATTTATGTATAAATTTAATATTGGCAAAACTAATAGCTAATATACACTTAGATGTTAGTACGGATGTGCCAGGCACTATTCTAAATGTTTTAATATTAATTCATTTAATCCTCACAACAACCTTATAAAATAGGTACTGATATTATTCTCATTTTGCAAGTGAGGAAACTAAAGGACATAGAACTCAAAAGAACTTAACAAGGTCATACAGCCAGTGAGTCGACAGTGCTGGGATTCAAACCTAGGCAGTCTAACTCCACAGTCTGAGCCTTTAAGTATTACACTGTATTGCTATTCATTCAAAGGCTAGTTGAACTAATTAACTAGCCTTATATTTTTTCATTTAAAAGCTTTAGGATATGAAAGGCTAACACAATTGTGTATATAATTATGAAAACAGGCCCCCTGCATCCTTTTAAACACACCTGATGGTACAGTCAAATACATGTAGTTCAATGCAAAACCTATTTTTGTAAGCCACATATTAAAAATCACTTTAAAAAATCAAATTATAGATTCCTGGCATTTACAACTGTATAATTATGTATATAAGTACACATAATTATATTATGTGTATTTATGTGTACATATAACAATATATATTATATATAATACACATATAAATAAGCAGAAACTATATTAAAATGGCAGTAAGTCTTTGTCAATTTAAGATATTTTATAATTGGATCAGAACTTTCAATTTGATATTTTAAACTGTTAACTACAAATAATATTCATACCACCAATGAAGAACAATACATGCCATTCCCTGATCACAGAAAGATCCATTCATGTGACCAGATTTATTCCTAGTTGCAACACTCTCTTATTAATGGATTGGTGAAAATCAGTGAATCACCTGGCAAGAGATGGTAACACCATTAACAGTGGAATTCTTCTAAGAATACTAGGGCACTAAAAATACCAGCCAAAGATCTAAGATATGAGGCACCGTCATTGCTGAAAATATAAAATTTAACCATTTAACTCTAAGAAGAACAAAGATATTAAGAGATCTCATAGAAATTAATAAAATTTGCAGGGAAAATTCATTTAAAAATTGTTCCTTCAAACAAAATCCCCATAACTAATAAACACTCAAGGCAGTACAAAAGAGATTTGAAGACTTATTTCAAATTAAACTTAATTTCCATAAAATGGGATAGATGTTTCAAATAGACAGTGCTGGATACTAGTTCCTTTCTCTAGGAAGAAAACATATATAAATGATGAAATAGAAATAAAACCAGAATATCATTCTGGGAGCATTCTGTAAAGGAGGCAGAGTGTATCTGAAAAACATTCAGGTGTAATAGTCATAAAGCTTTTCAAGCACCATCACAACTACTTGCCTCTCCTCACACTTTGATATCTTTTCTCTGGTAGGATTCTCCTTTAGCATCTCCTCCAAATAAGACAACTGCCACCATTTAAAAATCATGCTATGGTTTTTTACTTACTGAGAAGAAATTCAGAGTATGGGTGATTCTACTATGGAAGAGCAGACAAATGTGAACTCAGAAAGCTAGGATGATTATAACTGAGATTTTTGTTACCAATGACCACAGGAGGGCACACTCTCTATTTACAAGTTACACAGTGTTTGTCCAAAATGGTTGCTGTACACAATGTACTCTTCTAAAAATAGATTTACTAACACCAGCATATATTTAACAGAAAAATTATGACACTAACTACTGATGAGTGGTTTACCAAGGTCAATATTTCCTATAGGGTTGACTTATGAATACAATTATTTCAAGTGGTAAATCAGTCTAGAATTTCCTAAAGGCTAACAGTTTTTAAATTACAGTTTTTTAGGGTTAACTGAAAAAAACATAGAGCTAAAATGATTACTGTTCTTTTGCTTTCTATGATGTTAGAAATATCTTCCAATATGTAATTTATTTGGCAGTATTAAGATATTTCACAAAAAGGGGAAAACAGACAATTGAAAGTCCTTAAGAAACTTCACTTCTAAGCCTTTCCTTAGTAAAATCCATGTTTATTAATAAAGGGTCTTTAAAGCTTTATGATTCACCAGGAATCTTGGTCTTCTGCCTAAAATAAGTCATATTTTGCTATCTCTAAATTGACTGTAGTCAAGGTTACACACAAAGGTAAATTTAAAAGTCAATATTATCTCTAACATTCTGCAACTGCTATTCTTTTTTTCAATCACCTTGAGCAGTTTATTTTTTAAAAAGGAGAGCAAGATAGAAATTATAAAATATTAGCACGTATAAAGTTAAAAATTTTGAATTCAGAATATGTAACATAAAATGTTCATACTTGTGAAGGGCAGAAAACAGGATAAAATATTCTAAGCAGCTAGATCTAGTCTGCTGCAACACTGATCTGACCACCATTCTTCAAATGCTCCCACAATGATGTTCTCATCATGCTGTTCTTGACTTATAACTCTGCAAGGGTACAACACATCATTGCTTTAAAGACAAAAATCCAAATTCCCTGTCAGAGTATTTAAAGCTTTCACTAAATACAGCACTTTTTATAACAGCTTTATTGGGATAGAATCCACATACCATGAAGTACACCCTTTCATGGTGTATGATTCAGTTGTGTTTAGTATATTCAGAGTTATGTAACTATACTAACTAATTTTAGAACACTTTCATCACCTCAAAAAGAAACCCCAGACCCATTCGCAGTCACTCCATATTCCTCTGACTCTCAATCCCTGGCAACCACTAATCTACTTTCCATCTCTATGGATTTGACTATTATAAATATTTCATGTAAATGGGATCAAATAACACATGGTCCTTTGTGACTCTGGTTTCTTGCACTTGGTGTAATGCTTTCAGACTCATCCATGTCTCAAACTCATTTATGTGTTACTGCCAAATAGTATTCCATTGTATGGAAATACCATATTTGGGCTGTTTCTACTTTTTAGCTGTTATGAATAATGGTGCTATAAACATCAGTGTACACATTTTTGTGTGGACCTGTTTTCAATTTTCCATTTGAATATCTTCTTTGGAGAACTGTCTATTCAATTCTTTGTCCATTTTAAATTCTTTTTAAATTGTTAATTGTAAGAGTTCTTCACATATATTCTGGATATAAATCCCTTATCAGTCACATGATTTGCAAGTATTTTCTCCCATTCTACATGCTTTCATTTTCTTATGGGTATCCTTTGAAACACAAAACCTTTTCATTTTGATGATGTCCAACTTAACTAATTTTTGTTTCTTGTGTTTTTAGTGTTGCAGCTAAGAAACCATTTGCCTAACCCAAGGTCACAAATACTTTTTTCCTATGATTTTTTTTTCTAAGATTTCTAAGTTTTATAGTTTTCTTAAATTTACGTCTATAATCTGAGTGAATTTTTATACTGTGTCAGATAGGGCTTCAGTTTCATTCTTTTGCCTATGGATATGAAATTGTGAAATACCACATTTTAATCTGGCCCCCATCTATATTTCTAGTCACTCCCTAACCTGTACTTTATCCTCTGGCCAAACTAAACAACCTGCTATTCCCCAGAGCCATCCACGCTTTGTTCCAGCTCCCTCCCCTGGCCTAACAGACATCCTTCGAAGCTCAGCTTAGGCTACCACCACTTCCCACAAGCCTTTTCCTGGCCCTGGTCTCACACCTTATTTCAGTATACACGTCCCCCACCACATACTCCCATAGGTTCTGGGTAACCTTTCTAAAATGGAAGTGGACTGGTGAGGAAAATCCTGCAGGTCTAGACCGATCTCGGCTTAGAGGGGCTCTGGGAAAGTACTAACTTTCAAAGCTGTACCAGAATTTAGTTTGATTCAGTGAGCCTTTCAGAGGCCATTCAGATTTGAACTAGTTTTGGAAAGAATTTTTCTGAGATGATTTCACGCAGATTGTGGAATTATCTCCAACTATCAGAAAGGCATTCCTTGAGAGTGAACTGAGGGTTAACAACATATTCAAGCAGCAATCATTAAGAGCCAAAAAATGTGCTAGGTACAATATAAAGTGGGTTAGAAACAGTCATTATCAGTAAAACATCTGACCATCATCTACTATGTATTGAGCCCCTTGGAGTACTCAAACCTTACTATGTAGAAGGGCATGTCCGATGTGAATATGAATACAAGTTCTGAGTGAGAGTTAACAACGTTTAGTCCTGGCTCTGCCAGTAACCAGCAATGGGATCTGAGCAAGTAATTTCCCTTGTGTCTTCTTCCTGACCCCTCTGCCCACAATTTAATAACATGAAGGTGAAGACAGGCTATTTCTAAGGTTCCTTCTAATTCTAAAAGTCAATGTTTATATCAAATAATTTCATTCTAAATCAACAGATTCCAAATACTGAACCAGCTAGTTGGTTATATAAAAATCATATAAAGAGTTTAAATACAAAACAAAACAATAACAAAATACTGCTACAAATTTTGAATTCTAGGTCAAGCGATTAAGAATGGGACCCAGGATTCTGTATCTTAAGCTACTGAGGTACTGCTGATACACAGTCAGGTTTGGGGACCCAGTTTAAAGCACTATGTTACTGACTTTTAGAAAATGTAACCACCAACTTATAAGCCTGAAAAGGTATTACAGGAATGATGGCATGAAGATGTTACCATTTATGCAGAGGTTTGAAAAGATGGCCTGAATTAGGAAAAACATACAAAAGGGATGGGGAAAAGGGCACAGAACGAAAAGCATGAGCAAAGGCTTGGGGACAGAAAACACAGACTATTTTGAGTGTACCAGGCCAGCCAAACCTCAGAGTACTTCCCATACAACTACTCCCTTTCAGAAGAAAATGGATAACCCATGCTCACTGCTGAAGGGATGGCTTCATGTTCGCTTTCCCAAAGTTGATTAGACTAGGTGTATTAGTTTGTTCTCATGCTGCTTTAAGGAATTGCCTGCGACTCGGTAATTTATAAAGGAAAAAGGTTTAATTGACTCACAATTCCGCAGGGTTGGGAAGCCTCAGGAAACTTACAAGCAAGGCAAAAGGGGAAGCAAACATGTCCTCCTTCACGTGGCAACAGGAATGAAAAGTGCCAAGCAAAAGAGGGGAAGCCCCTTATAAAACCATCAGATCTCATGAGAACTCACTATCATGAGAAGAGCAAGACGGTAATCACCGCCATGATTCAATTACCTCCACCAGGTTCCTCTACAACATGTGGGGATTATGAGAACTACAATTAAAGATGAAATTTGGGTGGGGAAACAGCCAAATCATGTCACTAGGTATGTGTCCACTACAAGGGCAACCAATTCATAGGAAAACTAACAGAGTGACATACATCCCTGGTTTACCCAGAGTACTCCTGGTTATGCCTATTGTACCGGTAGAATTATTAATAATTCTACCAGTACAATAAGAGTGCCTGTGTTCACTCTTAAACAACTGAACATTTATTAAATTTGGATGATAAATTATAAGGTTAATATACCAATAAACCCTGAGCTGACATGAAAATAGGAAACAGGGCAAATTCTCTAAAATAGGGATCAGCAAACATGTCTATTTTTGTAAATAAAAGTTTTACTGGTACATAGCCACATGTACATGGCTCATGTCTGTAATTCCAGCACTTTGCGAGGCAAAAGTGGGCAGATCGCTTGAGCCCAGGAGTTCAAGACCAGCCTGGGAAACATGGTGAAACCCTGTCTCTACAAAAAATACAAAAATTAGCTGGGCTTGGTCTTGGTAGCATGTGCCTATAGTCCCAGTTACCCAAGAGGCTGAGGTGGGAGGAGGATCAATTGAGCCCAAGAGATCAAGGCTGCAGTGAGCTATGATCACACCATTGTCCTCAAGCCTGGGCAACAGAGTAAGACCAGTATTAAAAAAAAAAAAAAAATTCAATGGCAGAGTTGAGTAGCTAAGACAGAGGCCATATGGCTCACAAAGCCTGAAGTATTACTATCTGACCCTTTATCGACAACTTGCTGATCCTTGCTTTAAAACAGCACTGTCGGCCGGGCATGGTGGCTCAAGCCGGGCGTCGTGGCTCATGCCTGTAACCTCAGCACTTTGGGAGGCCGAGGTAGGCGGATCACCTGAGGTCAGGAGTTCAAGACCAGCCTGACCAATATGATGAAACACCATCTCTACTAAAAATACAAAAATTAGCTGGGCGCAGTGGCATGTGCCTGTAATCCCAGCTACTCGAGAGGCTGGGACAGGAGAATCGCTTGAACCCGGGAGGCGGAAGTTGCAGTGAGCTGAGATTGCGCCACTGCGCTCCAGCCTGGGTAACAAGAGCAAAACTCCATCTCAAAACAACAACAGCAACAAAACAAAGAAAACCCAGCATTGTCCAAAAGAACTTTCTGCATTGATGGAAATGATCTGTATCTGCAATATCCAATACATTAGCCCCATACCACATGTGCCTATTGATCACTTAAAATGTGGCCAGTGCAAGTGAAAAACTGAATTTTGTTTAATTGTACGTGTGTACAAAATGAAATATTTAAAATTTGGAGTTTTTAATTTTTTTAACTACCAGACAATAAAATGGATTTTTAAAGATACAGTTCTAGTAATTTTAACACATATATTAGATTATGTAACCACCACCACCACCACCATCAGGAAATAAGAAAGTTCCATCACTGCAAAAACTCCAATGGAAGTCATAATCCTCCCTAAACCCTGGAAACACTAACGTGTTCTCTATGACTACAGTTTTTCTTTTTGAGAATGCCATATAAATTCATTCATTATATAACATCTTTAGACTCTTCTTTCACCAAGTTGTTGCATATATCATTAGTTTATTCCTTTTTATTGCTGAGTAGGGTTCCACTGTATGGATTTACCACAGTTCATCCATTTACCAGTTGAAGGGTATCTGGGTTGTTTTCAGTTTTTGGCAAATACGGAAAGAGCTGCTATAAACATTTGTATACAGGGTAGATAAATACCCAGGAGTGTGACTAGGTCATATCATATGGTAGGTATATGTTTAACCTTATAAGAAATTGCCCAACTTTCCAGAGTGACTGTACCATTTTTCATTCCCAGAAGCAACGCATGGTGGGGTTCCACTTGCTTCACATCCTTGCCAAGAGCTGGCATTGTATTTTTTATTTCAGCCATCCTAATAGGTAGGTAAATGCTATTTCATGGTGGTTTTAGTTTGCATTTCCTTGATGACTAATGATGCTCTTAGTCTATTCATGTGCTTACCTGCCATCCTTTGATGAACTGTTTTCCAGTCTTTCATCCATGTTTTTAACTGGAATATTTATTTTCTTACTGAGTTATGAGCGTTCTTCATATATATATATATATATATATATATATATATATATATATATTCTATATATGAGTCCTTTGTCAGATATATGATTTGCAATTTTTTTTTTTTTTTGAGACGAAGTTTCACTCTTATCGCCCAGGCTAGGGTGCAATGGCGCAATCTTGGCTCATTGCAACCTCCGCCTCCCGGGTTCAAGCGATTCTCCAGCCTCAGCCTCCCAAGTAGCTAAGATTACAAGCAACTGCCACCACACCCGGCTAATTTTTTTGTATTTTTAGTAGAGATGAGGTTTCACCATGTTGGTCAGGCTGGTCTCAAACTCCTGACGTCAGGTGATCCACCCGTCTTGGCCTCCCAAAGTGCTGGGATTACAGGCATGAGCCACTGCACCCAGCCAAATGTTTTCTTCCAGTCTGTAACTTATTCTTCATTCTTGTTAACAGTGTTTTTTGCAGAATTTATGAATTGAATTGTGCTCCCTACCAAATTCATATGTTGAAGTCCCAACCCCCAGCACTTTAGAACATGACTATATTCAGAGGAAGGGCATTTGAAGAGGTAATTAAGGTTAAATAAGTTATATGGGTTGGCCCTAATCCAACAAGACTGATGTCCCTTTAAGAAAAGGAAGAGATACCAGAGATATACATGCACAGTGAAAAGGCCATGTGAAGATGCACCAAGAAGGAGGCCATCTGCAAGCCAAGGAGAGAAGCTTCAGGAGAAACCAACCCTGCTGGCACCTTAACTTTGGACTTCCAGCCTCCAGAACTATGAGAAAATAAATTTCTACTGTTGAAGCCACCCAGTCTGTGGCATTTTGTTATGGCAGCCTTGCCAAACAAATATACAGAGCAAAAGTTTTTATTTTTGATAAAGTCCAATTTATCAATAGTTTCTTTTATGAATTGTGCTTTTGGTATCACATCCAAGATCTTTTTGCTTAACTCCAGGTCACAAATATTTTCTCCTGTGTTTTCTTCTAAAAGTTTTATGTTTTTACATTTAGTTTCATGATACATTTTGAGATCATTTTTGTGTAAGGTGTACAGTTTAAGTTTAGGTACATTTTTTTGCATGTATATGTCCAACTCTTTCTTATCATTTGTGGAAAAGTCAATTTTCCTTTCATTGAACTGACTTCCACCTTTGTCAAAAATGAATTGGCTATATTTGTGTGGATCTATTTCTGGACCCCATGTTGATCTATATTGATCTAGTGATTGTGTGTTTATCTCTTACCTACACTATACAGTCTTGATTAGTGTAATTTTTTTTGTTGTTCTTTTTTTTTTTTTGAGACGGAGTCTCACTCTGTTGCCCAGGCTGGAGTGCAGTGATACAATCTCAGCTCGCTGCAACCTCTGCCTTCTGGGTTCAAATGATTCTCCTGCCTCAGCCTCTTGAGTAGGTGGGACTGCAGGTGTGCCACCACGCCTAGCTAATTTTTGTATTTTCAGTACAGATGGAGTTTTGCCATGTTGGCCAGGCTCATCGCCAACTCCTGACCTCAAGTGATCTACCCACCTTGGCCTCCCAAAGTGCTGGGATGACAGGTATGAGCCACCACCACGCCCGGCCGATTATTGTAGTTTTATAGTAAATTTTAAATTTACAATCACAATAATTTTGTGATTCCTCCAACTTTTACTTTTTCAAAGTTGCTTTGGCAACAAAGGTCCTTTGCCTTTCCATATAAATTTGAGCCAGCTTGTCTGTTTAAAAAAAAAAATCTGCTGTTGGGACTTTTATTTGGAAGTACATTAAATCTATAGATCAATTTGGAAAGAACTGACATATTTACTATGTGGAGTCTTCCAATCCATGAACACTACTGGCAGGTGTCTCTGTTTATTTAGATATTGATATCTTTCATCAGTGCTTTGCAGTTATCAGCATACAGATCCTATACGTAATTTCAATTTTGATTTTAAAAGTCACACGTGGCTAGTGATAACTGCATTAGACAGCACAACTCTAAAATGTTTGAAACTGGAAATACTGAGAAATAGCACCACCATGCAATGTAACTCACTGTGAAACCATGCTATGTGCCAGTGTCACAGCATGCAGGACTTTGGGCATAAAGTGAAGTTTTGAAGAAATAGAAAAGACGCAATGAAGAGACAATCAATAAAGAGCAAATAACCCAACAGATGGACAGAAAAAATTACAAGACCATAAGAAAAGAGCAGATCTCCAAGCTGCCTTGAGTTCCTGACAAGCTTCCAGTTCCGTGTATCATGTATCTTTACAATAGCCTCTCTTTTCTTAAGTTAACTTGAATGGCTCTTTGTTTCTTAAAACCAGATAATTAAAGATCTACATTTCTAGGACTACCTGGTCCTAATAAAAAAAAATTTTAAAAACAGATTGAGGCTATCATTAACTTTCAAAAAATGCACTTAGCAGATAATAATTGGATATAGACATGGAAAATAATCTGTGAGTGATAAAAGAGTACAGACAGTTCCAACATATCAGTAATTTGTATTTCAAAGTTTAATTCTGAATTTTGGAATTCAAAAATGGACCTGTTCCATATCAATAACACTTCTAAATGGTAACTGGCAGACCACACTAATAATATGGATAAAACTTAACAGTAGCACTGAGTTTGGGAAAGCATAAGAGATCAGGTAACCAATTCCAACTTTGCACTATAGAAGCAATAGCAGCAGCATTTCTAGCCCAAAGGTGCTCAGACCCCAATGTGCGTAAACACCTTCCAAGATTTCACTTTTGGAAATAAGTTAGACTAGATATAAAATATCCTTCCATTACAAATATCTAGAAATAGCAGACAAGATACAACAAACACTCTTTTACGTGCACTGAACTCACAAGCAAATAAATTCACAGGTGGCACAAAGAGATGTAGTATAAACAGCTTTAAAAAATCTGTTAAATGTATTTACTGAATAAAATCAGAGCTGTAAACAAAAGCTCAAGCCATGGCCTTAGATTAAACTTGGAATCTAGGGACTTCAGTTTTGATTTTTATTAGATGTGGTGAAAGCTGAAATTGGGACCACTGCATAAAACCAGCAATGCCCTTGAAGAGTCACACCGCACAGGTAGGTTGGGGAAAAGGGCTCTATCCACAACAGGCAATTTGTTCAAATCAGGCCTTCACTAGAATCAAAATATCTTCCCTGGAAATCCATAATCACAAGTCTGTCCCCAGTAGAGCATAGGGTTAAAATTTACACTGATTTTGAGGGCCAGGAGCCTCAAGTCAAGAAATAAATTTAAGTTGTTTCTGGGTTGGTGGTAACACAAGGCACCTGGCAGAGGGAGAAACAAATTATCTGTAGATAAACACATCTTCAACCCATACTCCAGGAAATTACCACATAATATTATTAGGCAGATATGAGCTTAAAACAAAATTATCAAGCATAAAAGGAAACAAACCACCAGAGCAGTAAAAACTATGAAAAACCAAATCAAATCCATAGAAGTTAAATTTTAGGAATTAAAAGATATATAACATTACAATCAAGTACGCTTTAAAAGTTTAAAGAAATAAAAGAAGGTATTAAATACATAGGACAGATTTTTTAAAAGTTAACACTAGAAATAAATAAATACATGGGTCAGAAGCAAGAGGCTAACAAAAATGACTTGGCAGACAGGACAAAAAGAACAAAATAGAATTTCTAGAAATAAAAAACGAAATTAAAAACCTAACTGGTGTACACAGACATAAAATTAGACAAAATGGCAGATCTGAAGCAGCAAAGAGAGCAAGAGATAGAAAATGAGAGATTAAGAGACACAAAGAATAGAATAAGAAAATATACATCTAATTAAACAAGGAAGGAAGAGAGAACCAATATTTCAAGACACCATGGCTGAAATTTTTCCAGAATGGGTAAAAGACAAAACCTCAGATTCAGAAGACACAGTCTCAAGGAGAGCAAATAAACAAGAAATCCACATCTAGACACACTACATGAAACTGCAAAAAAACTAAAGAAAAAGAAGTGATCTTTAAAAGCACTCAGAGAAAAGGAGTCAGATTATCCACAAAAGAACAACAATTAGACTTTTCAGAGAAAAAAGAAAGCCAGAAAGACTGTAGAAAATGCAGTGCTGAAAAAAAGTTAAGTCAGTCTAGAATTATATTCTCAGGTAAAACATTATTCAATAAAATAGGGCAAAATAAAGACACTTTCTAACAAACACCAAGGGCTCACTGCCAAAAGATGTGCAATAACATATTCTTCTAAAGGATGTATTTCAGGATCAAAAAAGGCTCAGAAAGAAAGTTTAAGATGCAAGGAGTATCAAATAAACTACCAATCTTGGGTAGAGATAAACATTGATGACTGTAAAAAAACAATAATGTCTATGCAATTTTTAAAAAACTAGAACTCAAATATGGAGCAAAATACCATGGAAATAGGAAGGTGGAAGTACAATTAAATTGCTCTGAAGACTTTATACAGTTTGCGAAGTGGACAGAGTTAGTGAATAATTTGGGGTCTTAGGTTAGGTATGTATATTAAATTATTACGATCAACATCTAAAATAATGAAAGTAGTATATAACAGTGATTCTTAATTGAGGATACTAACCCCATAAAAATGGAAAGGAGGTGTTTGGAAATGTGGAGGGACATTTACATTTTGGGTTGTCTCAATAACTGGGGATGATAATAGTATTTGGTAGGTAGGACCCAATGATTTTTAAAGTCCTGTTGTGCCTTCAGATTGCCACACGATAATCCTGGCCAAAATGCCAGTAGCACCTACACTGAGAAATACGGTATACACCTACCAAAAAATGAAATTTAAACAACTCAGCATGGAAATTAAACAACTCAATACAAACCACTTGTAGATCTGCTTTAAATCACAGAGTCTTGGCTTCCACACCACGCAGACTCTGAATCAGCAGATCTGAGGTGAGCCCCAGGAACCTATGGTTTTAATACTACTCAAGTGACTGATTCAATCAATAGCCTATCACTCACACTTGAGAAACACCATAGTCTAATAAGCGTGAAATGGCAGATGAATGGGGTTTAAGAGACTCCCATTTCAGCAAGAGGCACTGGAGGAAGGGATGCCCAGGGCTGAGAAAAAGTCTAGCAACAGGGAGTAAGTGGTGGCAGAAATTCATGTACGTATATCATTAAGTGTCCCCAAATCAGAAACTGGAGATCAGAAGAAAAAGCACTTTTCTAAGATTAACAACATATAAGTAGAGCAGTGCTTTACATAAAAATTAAAAAAAAAAAAATACTGGAAATGAAAATACAACAGGATAGTTCAGGAAAACATCAATAAAGTAACTCAATCCACAACCTAAAAATCAATCGCCCTATAAACACGATGGGAAAGTCTGTCTTCAGAAATCCTGCCCATATTCTGACCGACATACATCTCTTGAGTAATGACCTTATTCACCAATTTCTAACATCTGCAATATGACTGCCTGGAGCAGCAGAATAGTACTTCTGAAACATGTTAAATATATTCTGGAAAAAAAAGAGTTATTGGTTAAGTATTAGAAATAATACATACTATAGGCCGGGCGCGGTGGCTCAAGCCTGTAATCCCAGCACTTTGGGAGGCCAAGGCAGGCGGATCACGAGGTCAGGAGATCAAGACCATCCTGGCTAACACAGTGAAACCCCGTCTCTACTAAAAAAAACACACAAAAATTAGCCGGGCGTGGTGGCGGGTGCCTGTAGTCTCAGCTACTCGGGAGGCTGAGGCAGGAGAATGGCGTGAACCCAGGCGGCAGAGCTTGCAGTGAGCCGAGATTGTGCCACTGCACTCTGGCCTGAGCGACAGAGCAAGACTCCATCTCAAAAAAAAAAAAAAAAAAAAAAAGAAAGAAAGAAAGAATATATACTATACTCTCCTCCTAGAGATCAACTGTGCACACCAGCACATTAAAAGATTCTGAAAGTTCTGTGGCAAAGAAAACCATTTACTTTTGTTTGATTCTTCATCTCCCACCATTATTTGACTAAGGACCCCTAAAAGCTCCCCAATTTAATAGAAAATTTAGGATTTAGAAAAATACATTCACTTAAGTAAACACTGTCTATTCACTACTATATCCTTGGCACCTTGAACAGTGCCTGGAAGACAACAGGTGCTCAAAATATGTTTGCTGAATGAGTAATTAAAATCAGTTGTGTGCTGGTAAATGTTTAAAAAAACAGCTTGGGGGAATGAAGGCAGAATGAGCATTGATTTCTAACATTTTCGTGGTGTAAACACTCCCACCAAGGCAGATCACAACCTACCAACCTGGCATTTCTGCACATGGAGTTGGGAGGAGATGCTCGTAATCTCGCTGGTACAAAAAGTCTCCTGGACATCACTGATTAAAATGTGAAAATGGGCCAGGCGCGGTGGCTCACATCTGTAATCCTAGCACTTTGGGAGGCCGAGGCAGGCAGATCACGAGGTCAAGAGATGGAGACCATCCTGGCCAACACGGTGAAACTCCATCTCTACTAAAAATACAAAAATTAGCTGGGCATGGTAGGTAGCGCGCGCCTGTAGTCCCAGCTACTCGGGAGGCTGTGGTAGGAGAATCGCTTGAACCCGGGAGGTGGAGGTTGCAGTGAGCTGAGATTGCACCACTCCACTCCAGCCTGGCAACAGAACGACACTCCTACTCAAAAAAAAAAAAAAAAAAAAAATTACAGTGAAGCTTATTTAATGCAAATGCAGAATATCACTTCTCTAACCCGTATCCCTGGGGAATGAAGACTAAGTTTTCCAGATAATGGGATAAATGTTAAGTGAAAAATGCATATTTTTTAATTCAAAAAAGAAACATTGTATGTTTATTAAGCGTGTGATACAAAATTTAACATTTTCTGCTAACTCAATATTGCCTATTATATAAATTATCTATAAAGCATCCCAAAGTGACGCTCTTAAATTAGACACATAAAGCTATTTGCCCCTATACTAAATCATATTTTTAGCCTGGGGCCCAAGGCTGGGCTTCAGTGAGCCCAAGAATTCCTGACACTGAATACAAACTGATATATGTTTTATACTTCTTGCTGAGAAAAATGTTTACAGACTCCATTAGCTGTCACTATGGTCTGAATGGGTCCCTCAAAGCTTATGTGTTGGAAACTGAATCCCCAATGTAATAGTATTGGCAGGTGGGGTGATTGGGTCATAAGGCCAGAAAATGAATTAATGTCATTTCTGAGGAAGTAGGTTGTTTATCTTGAGACTGAGTTGGTTATAAAAGTGAGTTTGGCTCCCTTCTGCTCTCTTGATCTTTCGCCCTTACTCTTCCACTTTCTGCCATGGGATGACACAGTACAAAGACCCTAACTGGATGCCATCGCCATGCTCTTGGACTTTCCAGCCTCCAAAACTGTGAGCCAAATAAATCTTTGATCTTTATAAATTACCCAGTCTCAGGTATTCCATTATAACAGAATAAAGGGGACTAAGCCAGGTGTCCATAAGGTTAAGAACCACTTCTCTAAGTAAATCTGGACTGTTCTGCTTACTTAATTTGAGGCATTTTGGTTTTCTCCTTCTCTCTCATCAGGCTGTTAGTGGTTATTTCTTACTGACTGTGTGTACAGCATCCCTACCTCCAATTTGTTTTGAGTTGGAGAAACTGATTAAGTGAGCTCATTAGAAAATGTTTTCATTAAATTACTGAGGACTTCACCTGTGAATGTAGAGAATGAAACACAAAAATGTACAAACTGGTGGCAAATGTGTAAAATAAACAGAATGTTTACACAGCTGATGGTAGTCCAGATTAAGTACATTATAAAAACACAACATATTCTACCCAATAAAATCTATCTCCTTAGAAGCCTTTTACTTAAGATAATTTCCATTTTACAAGAGAATATACTTTTCAAACGTATCAGTCATAAAACTTAGAACCTATCCATTTCAGAATCCCGTTTTTACCTGAAGTCATTACAATCCATCCATTTTTTAAAAAAAGCTATGTATAGCAAACTTCATTTTTTAAAATTTTAATTTTTTAAAATATTTTTTGCGCAGGGCCCATGCTAATCTTCTCTGTATCATTCCAATTTTAGTATATGTGCTCCCAAAGCGAGCAACAAACTTCATTTTTTAAGATCACTTATGTTTAAATCTGGGGTGAATGAACCAATTTCTAGAATTTGTGCCTATTATTTGAGGGCTGGATCTGCACTTGACCTTTGGTATATGCAGGAGACTGGTTCCAGGACCCTTGAGTGTACCAAAATCCACACTTGCTCAAGTCCCATAGCAGCCCCTGCAGAACCTGTGTATATGAAAAGTCAGCCATATATATATGGGTTTCACATTACACAAATACTGAGTTTGGTTAAAAAAAATCTGCATATGTGGACATGTGTAGTTCAAGTTCAAGCCTGTGTTGTTCAAGGGTCAGTTGTATATCTTTCATTAAAATCAGTGAAATGAGAACGACATACATATGCTTTCTCATGACATAAAATTTCAAAGTAAATTAAATTAATTTATAACTAAGCTCCATCAAGGCTTTGAACATTACTCTTACAAAGCACACCTAGCAATATTAGAAACTTTTGTTATGCTTTATAAAAATTTTTCTACCATTACTCCTCTTGCTAAAAATCTGCCTACTACGAGAGAATGGCCAATATGAATACCACTGTTTTCACTTTTCTCCTGTTCCCAATACCCTTCAACAACATCTCATTTGCTTCTGTTACTGCTGGATATTTACTTCAATTGCATTATAGTAATCTTGGGAGAAACATAAAGGAGGAGCCAGGGAAAGGCAGAACAACTTCTAAGGACACGTTGCACTACAGCAAGCCTGAAATGAGGACAGCTTGAACTAAGGTCATTTAATGGGAATGGAGAGAAATGGTTAAAAATTCTACTTTATCCCAGGTTTTCTAGATTGTGGTTCTCCAGAACAAAAACTCACAAGAGCCACATTATTTTTTGCTTAGGTAATTATTTCCAAGAATAAATAGCTATGTTTTCTGTTGTGCTTTTAATCCAGAGGTGTCTAGAACAGTCCTCAAAGGAAGGGGTGATAGTGGAGGAGGGCCATTCCTCTCCACAGAGACGGACCTGAGCTCACTCAGTCAGCCAAGTATCAAAACAGCATATTCACAAATAAGTTATAAAAGAGCTTGGCCAGACGGACAGGAGAAAGAAATGTAACACCAGATTATGGAGAAACGAAGAGGGCAACTTCAGGGAATAAGATAGGCAGAATGTGGTTATGATGCCAAGGATACGACTAAACAGAAAAACGCCTGGCAGCAACTAGATCTTTGATAATAACTAGTTTCTATCACCCTTTGTCAGTGCTATATCCTCCTCCCAAAGTTTCTTGAGACTGGCCTGGAAAGGGGCTTTCCTGTGCATCAGAAGGAATTTGAATCCATCAGACTCTAATTATTCTTCCAGAAATAGGAAAATCACAATGTAACTCTTAACATCTGAAACAAAAATGGAACAAGAGAATGATTCCACTATGACAGCAATTATTTTTAAGACCAGATAAAATACTAGTTCAGATATACACTGATGAAATTAAACAACCTTCCAGCATTCTAATATCCAGTTTAATTAAAAAAAAGAGATGAATGCCATTGTTCCCACTCAAGAAATAACACCAACACATAATGAAGTACTAATATTGCAATGTGCAATAAACCCACCTGCAAAGGGCTCTGTTGTATAAAAATTACCAAAGAAATTTAGCAACATAGCTTGCTGCTGACAAATCTAAGCAAGTACATAAAAAGTGGATTTTACCAAACAACCTACATGCACGTACACATACACACACACACACACACACACACACACACATTTTTAAAATAATGGTTTTATTCAGGCTACACAGCAAGTATTAATAAGCTTTTCCACTATCTGATAATGCTGGCTTTTTAATCTGAAAAAGAAAATGGAATGCTTCTGAAACTCTTCTGTTATACAATAGAGAAATTACATAATTTGACCTCATGAGGCTAAACTATCAGCTCCCTTTCTCACTATTAGGGTAAGCTAATTTGTCTTCCTGCTTACTGCTTTTGTTCTTTTGGGATGAATGTAATTTCCCAAATATAAGACACTCCTGTTATCCTATTTATCCATTACCATTTACTGTGACATAACAAAACTTTGTTTACTAAAACCTACTATAGCGCTCTACATTTCAATTTTCAATTTTCTCACACTCATTATTCAAAGAATCAGACACTCAAATATGCTACATTATAAAGGGCTCTGGAAAACACTATCAAATAATTCTTTCCATCTGTTTAGTTAAAAGGAGGGGGAGAAACTGAGATTTCAATTACTCTTCAAAATATTTTGATATGTATGCTTTATTTGAAGCCTGAAAGCTTCAGTATACAAAAGACTAGAGCTGTTAAAAAGTTCAGGATGATAGATACAGTATTCATTATGTAGAATATATGTATACTTAAATATTAAAATATCAGGAAAAGGGGAAGGGAAATACAGGTTTGGTTTTTGGGGTTTTTTGTTTGTCTGTTTGTTTTGAGACAAGATCTCACTCTGTTGCACCAGCTGGAATGTAGTGGCATCATCATAGCTCACTGCAGCCTCTTAACTCCTGGGCTCAAACAATCTTCCTGCCTCGGACTCCGGAGCAGTTGGAACTACAGGCATGCACCACCACACCTGGCTAATTTTTAAATTTTTTAATGTAGAAATGGGGTCTCACGATGTTGCTCAGGCTGGTCTCAAACTCCTGACCTCAAGTGATCCTCCCACCTCGACCTCATGAAGTGTTGGGATTATAGGTGAGCCACTGCACCCGGCCTACAAGTATTTGTATACCAATAGCTTAATATTCCATAGTCCACTTAGGTAAAATAAGATAAAAGACAATTCAGTTTACATTTCTGAACTTCTACCAATATCTTTTACTCAAGACAATGTGCTTTAACTTCAAGCCCCCAATTTTTTTTTTTTTTTTTTTTAAGCAGAGTCTCACTTTGTCGCCCAGGCTGGAGTGCAATGGCTTGGCTCATTGCAAGCTCCGCCTCCTGGGTTCACGCCATTCTCCTGCCTCAGCCTCCCAAGTAGCTGGGACTACAGGCGCCCGCCACTACGCCCGGCTAATTTTTCGTATTTTTAGTACAGACGGGGTTTCACCCTGTTAATCAGGATGGTCTCGATCTCCTGACCTTGTGATCCGCCCGCCTCGGCCTCCCAAAGTGCTGGGATTACAGACGTGAGCCACCGCGCCCAGCCCCAAATTTTTAACTTATGAAAGTTTTTCATAAAACCATTTTAGCAAAAATACTAGCCCAGAAACAGCATCTCTCTTCACCTCTTATAAGAGACCAAAGAGTCATTCTTACTATCTAAGGTAAATACATCTCAATTTAAGAGATCTATTACTTGATCTAAAAGACCATTTGCTTTTGAATCATTTAGTAGTATGTACTGACTATTACTGGACTTAGCTAAGTTGTAACACATACCAATAAGTGGCTGGATTTCACATCACCCCTGCCACAATAAATGACAACTTTTCATCAATTTAAAAACTTGAAATTTCAAGTCAAAATAAAGAAATGATTCTTTTTAAACTTGCTGAGGTTCATCATGCTACATATCTAAACCAGTAAAAATGGATAGTGTAATGTCTCTCAACCAAGACTTTGGTACTAAAAAAAAATCCTATATAGTACTCACCAACTCCATAAAATGTGCTTTAAAACAATATTAAGAATTAGTGACTACAAACATAAGAGAATTCAGTAAGATAGTAACCTATGAAAAGAATATACAAAGATCAATAATCTTCATATATACAACATATTATAATACAAACAACAGCAAAAATAAAGACTTCATTTCCAATAGCAACTAAATATTTGTATATTTTCACTTAATCACAAATGTGCAAACTTAAAGAAAACTTCAAAAACCTTTAAAGAAATGAAAGTAGAATTGAATGAAGAGAAAGTTATAATCATATTCTTAGAGAGGCTAAACATCATAAAGGTATCAACTCTTCTTAAGATATTAAAATTCATACAAACCCAATAAAAGTATCAATTTTTTTCCTCCAGGAACTAGAAAGGCTGATTCTAAAGATCTTATTGAAAAATAAACAAGCAGTAATTGCCAGGAAAACTCTGAAAATGAAGAGCAATGAGAAAACAGCTCTAACAATATAACTTTATATGGCCTCAAGAACTAAAAGTATACGAGTGGCAAATGAATAGACAGACCAGTGGGACAAAATACAAAGTCCGGAAATACACCCATATAAAGAATTCTTAGAAACAGAGGAGATAATCCAATGAAAAAATGGACAAGTATGTGAAAAAGAAAAGAAATACAAATGGCCCTTGAATATATGATAAGCTGAAAACAGAAATGCAAACAAAAAATATACAGTGAGATAGTGTTTCTTATCAGATTGGCAAAATCTGATTTAAGTCCAACCACTTGTCAAGCTGTAGGGAAAGGGGGGGCATTCCAAGGACCCTCATATATTGCTGCTGAAATGCAAAATGCAAGATATATATACAGGGAATCCAATAATATCAATCAAAATTACAGACGCATGTACCCTTTCACCTAGCAAACACCCTTCTAGGAAACGAAACCATCACGAAACCTACATACATAAGAAATACACATGTACAAGCTTAATCAGTATGAAATTGCCTGTTAATAGCAAAAGACTGAACAAATTCAAGTGCAAAAGGACTGGCTGAATTAACTACAGCATATACCAACAAACGAATACTATATAGTAAAAAAAGAAAAAAAAAGATAAGGAAGGTCTTTATATACTGACTGATATAACGAGAGAGCTCCATGGAATAAAAATAAAGAAACCAGGGTGCAAAGTATTAGTGTGAATTAGCCTTTTGCATAAAGTCTAAAGGAATAAACAGAAATTAACAAAAATTAATAAAAATACAGTTAGTAATACATAAAATGAACTAAGGAGAAGGGACAGATGGGGATGGGTGGGAAACAAGACTTCTCAGGGGATACTTTTTAAAATAGCACTTTGCATTTTGAAACGTAAATAAACGCATTCTTTATTAAAATTATAAATTAAATTTGAAATAAAAAGATAAGAAATTGGTGGCATGGTTAATATTTGGCCCCAAAAATTTACTAAGCCATGGTGTAAGCCTTTCCTTTGATGGTTTCAGGAATAATTAAAATAATAATAATAATAATAATAATAATAATAATGATGATGATAATAATTGGCCAGGCATTGGCTCATGCCTATAATCCCAGCACTTTGGGAGGCTGAGGTGGGTGGATCACTTGAGGTCAAGAGTTCAAGACCAGCCTGGCCAACATGGCGAAACCCTGTCACTACCAAAAAATATGAAAATTAGCCAGGTGTGGTGGTGCACACCTATAGCTCCAGCTACTCGGGAGGCTGAGGCAGGAGAATCGCTTGAACCCAGGAGGTGGAAGCTGCAGTGAGCTGAGATCATGCCATTGCACTCCAGCCTGAGACAAAGCAAGACTCTGTCTCGTTAAAAAAAAAAAAAAAAAAAAGAATTCTGTGAAACATAAACATCAGAAATGCAATCACACTTATCAACCTGCTCACACGAAATTCCCAATCTATCAATTAAAACTAAAGAACGTACTATGCTTTGAAAACGTATGTTGTACTATGTAACAAAAAGCCACATTGTTTACCTTGTTCAAGCTATAGTTGTAATTTATATGTCACTAAGAAGCCTGCAAGAAGAGTACCACTTGTGACAGGCAGTGAATACTTCAGATGACACAGACAAGGTTTTTAATAACAGCCAGTTCAGTGCAGGTCAGGCTAGGATTATGCTAAAACTGGTAGGCTTAAGGTAGTGCGCAGCAGCCTTCAATCCAGTCAAAGAATGAAAGCCTCAGAGGAAAGGCCATTTCCAATATACATCACATCTCTTTAACAAAATAAAAACACATGGGAACCATCTCATTTCCATCTTTGAGGTGACCTGGAGTTTTGTTCAAGCCAAGAGGAAGACAAAAGTCTACATGTAGCACCTCAGTCACATAAATGAGTACAGCTGATTTTCAAGTATTTTAGGAACTTAAGTAGTTAAATGCAAGGATTTGAGGCGATATTTTAGTGAAGACTGCCTAGCTACCTAGCAGCAGGGTCAGACAAGCCTGGCAATGACTTTTAGAGAATCAGAATCTAAGTCACAGCCATATCACTCAGAGAAATCTGAGTTCTTACACAGAAACTATGCCAAAAAGTTAAGGGCTCCTGTTACAAGCATACATTTTAGTGTTTATTACAAGAGACTGCTGTAAGTAGGATCTTTGTTCTCATATCTAACTAAGATCTAGCCAGGTACATAATATTTATATGGGGGAGGGTTTAATGTGGTTTAAAAAGAGGATATTTTATATTTCTGGAAACATTTAAAGGCATGCTCACAAAAAGAAAAACAAGTTGGTAAGTTTATAAGACAATTTCCCCAGACTTCAGTAAGCTCAAAGCTCAGACCCATATAACCAACTAGACAATGCTACCGACATCCATGTACCTCAAATTAATCCCCCCAAAAACCCTGCTATACTTTAGGTGTAGTGATACCACCCAACATCTCGCAACTGCCCAAGGGAGAACGCTATAACCCAACACCTTAACCCTCCCCATCCCTCCATTCACAGAATTATAAATGTCTGTTGTATGTTTTTAACTTCTCTGTTTCTATTACTAGTGCCCTAGAGTTCAGGCCACCATAATCTCTTCTCTGGAATACTACAGTCTCCAGTCTTGACTCTACCATCCTTGCATCGAAGCTTTCACATTTATTAGCATAAGTTGCTCATAATATTTTAAAGTACTGCTAAATTAGTAGGTATGCTCTTTATATTTGCAACAATAATTAACAAATAATATTTATGCCTTCTCTTTTATTTCTTGGGTGTTCTTACCAGGTTTTTCTTTTTTACATATCTTGTCAAATGTTGAGCTTAGGTTTTATTGTTCCCCCCTCTCTTTCTTCCCCTTCATTTAGTTCCTGTTCCTCCTTATTATTTACATTTCCAGTGCCTATGAGTTTACTCTGCTCTTTTTTTAATTCCTTGGTGTTCATATCTAATCATTTTATTTTTTATTTTTTAATAAGTGAATTTATTATTATAAATTATGACTGGAAGTCCTGCTTTATTTATATCTATAGCTTTAATTGTTTTTCATCAAAATAGATATTGTATAATTTTCACTGTAATTTCCTCTTTAACTAATGAGTAATACAGTAATTTTCAGCTTCCAAAAGAAAGGTATATGGCCAAAATACAGTAGCAGAAAGCAGCTATACCCTTTCACCTAAAAGAAAAGCTTTAAAAATGAACAAAACATATAACACTTAGTCTTTAGACATGAAATATCGGTTAGTTCTGAGACAGGAGTGTGACCCTGTCTCAGAAAAAACAAATAAATACAAGAATCACTGTAGTGTGCTACAGTGATTCCTTAAAAAAGAAAAATAAAATCCTACAGAGTTTTACAATTGTCCCGGCTTATATTCTAGAGACAGTTTCCAGGCCTCAGTGCAGGGCAAGGGAACCCAGATGGAGCCTGATGGTCACCCTAAGTTGAGATGATGAAGCTAAGAATACAGGAAAATGAAGAAAGCTAGAATTCGTAGGACAGAGTACCAAAACAGAGACAACTATACAGACAGGAAGGGGAGGGGGGTGTCCCATCTTCATCTCAAAATTTCAGCTCAATACCAATCCCCATATCCTTGTGAGGAAACACACAAGGCCTAGAGCAGAGTCACCAGAAAGGAAGAGAGAGAACAATTACCAAAGATTTCTAAGGGTTGGGAATAGTTCATGCTCTCATCGGCCAGACTGGAAAACTTCATAATTTAAGAGACACCAGGTAGAATACTCAGAAGAATACTGTCTTAGTATTGGGGAAAATTAGCTGTAGGCTACCAGCTGCTCTGTTCCCACCTAACTGAGCTTCGAAATAATACCTGCAAGGCCAGGCGCTGTGGTTCATGCCTGTAATCCTAGCACTTTGGGAGGCCCAGGCAAGTGGAGCGCTTGAGCTGAGGAGTTTGAGACCAGCCTGGGTGACACGGCGAAACCCATCTCTACAAGAAAATACAAAAAAAAAGCCAGGCATGGTGGCCCGTGCCTGTAGTCTCAGCTGCTTGGGGAGCTTAGGTGGGCATTTCGCTTGAGCAGGAGAGGTTGAGGCTACAGTGAGCCAAGATGGCAATACTGCACTCCGGCCTGGATGACAGGAGTGTGACCCTGTCTCAGAAAAAACAAATAAATACAAGAATCTGTTTCTGAAGTAATTTCACTGCACCACAGAAAAAAGCCCTAGAATACTAACAGGAATACAAAAATATCCAGGGCACAAAGTAGAATTCACAATGTCTGAAATACAATAGAAATTAATAATCATGTAAAAAAGTAAGAAAATACAACCTATAAGGTAAGAAGAAAAATCAATAAAACAGATTCAAAAACAGAATTAGTAGAAACATTAAACTAGCTATGATAACTACATTACATATGTGCAAGAAGTGAAGACTAAGCCAGTTAAATAGAAACACGGACTACGAAAAAAACCCAAATCATATTAATACATGAAAACTAAAATAACTGAGATTAAACTACAATGGATAGAATAAGAGCAGATCAGACACCAGAAAAGATTAGTGAACTTGAAGAAAACGGTAATAGAAACTACAGTCTTTTCTCTGTCTGGAAAAAATGAACAGAGAGCATCAGTTAGTTGTGGGATAACTTCAAGTAGACTAAGAAACAGGTAAAGAGCAAAATTTTTTTGATTAATTGCCAAATTTTTTCCAGTTTTGAAGAAAACCATAAACCTACACCTCCAAGAACCTTCATGAACTCCCAGCAAGAGAAATGAGCAGAAAGCTACATTAAGACATATCATAATCAAATTGCTTATAAAGAGAAATATATCAAAATTTGTGATACACAGCTAAAAGAAACACAGCAACAAATGCTCGTAAAAGGAAAAAAAGAAAGGAAACAGGAAATCAGTGACTTCAGCTTCCTCCTTAAGAAACTAAAGTAAAGCAAATGGCCAATGAACCTCAAGTAAGCAGAAGAAAGAAAATAAGATCAGAGTGTACCTCAATTAAATAGAAAATAAAAACAATACAGAAAAATCCATTAAACCAAAAATTGGGTCTTTGAGAAAAATCAATAAAATTAAGGCTCTGTTACCTCTAAGAAGATAAACTTCTAGCCAAACCAATCAGAAAAAAAGACAGGCCAAAAAGAAAAAAGAAAGAAAAAAAAAAGGGAGAAGACACAAATTTACCAATGTTGGGAAGTAGAGACA
The DNA here is from genome assembly GCF_000001405.40 of Homo sapiens. NCBI lineage: Eukaryota > Metazoa > Chordata > Mammalia > Primates > Hominidae > Homo > Homo sapiens. Next base: position 39,402,867 of record NC_000002.12, read on the forward strand.
TGACATCACTACAGATTGTACACATATTAAAAGGATAATGAGAAAATATTATAAATAATTTTATGCCATTAAATTTCAACTTGGATGAAATGAATACATTCTTTGAAAGACACAAACTACCAAATCTCATTAAAGAAATAAACTAAATAGCCCTATATTTCTAAAAGAAACTCAATCTATAGTTTAAAATGCCCAATAATAAAGCCTCCAAACCCAGATGGCTTTGCTGATAAATTCCACCAAACACAGAAGGAAGAAAATATTTTACAGAAACTCTTTCAGAAAAATGAAAAGAATACTTCTCAAGATAGGGGCAGAGCAAGAGGGCCGAACAGGACTCCACCCACTGACACCCAGCAGGAACACCAAATTTAGCAACTATCTACACACAAAAAAGCACCTTTATAAGAACCAAAACTCAGGTGTGCACTCAAAGTACCTGGTTTTAACTTCATATCACTGAAAGAGGCACTGAAGATGTCTGAAAGAGGCACTGAAGATATCACTGAAAGAGGCACTGAAGGAAAGGCAATCTTGAATTGCCAACGTCCCCCATCCACCCACAGTGGCAGTGTGGCGCAGAGAATGTGTGTGCTTGAGGGATGGAAAGCACAGTGATTGTGAGACTTTGCATTGAACTCAGCTGACACCCGACCATGGAGGGAGTATTTAGATCAGCCCTAGCCAGAAGGGAAGTGCCTGTCCCAACAGTCAGAACTTGAGTTCTGGCAAGCCTCCCCACCATGGGATGAAGTACTCTGCAGCCCTCAATAAACCTGAAAGGCAGTCTAGGCCACAAGGACTGCAACTCTTAGGCAAAGTCGTAGGGCTGAGTGGGGCTTGGAGCCAGTGGACTTGGGGGGCATGCAAGCTATTATGACACCAGCCAGGGCAGCTAAGGGAGTGCTTGTGCCACCCCTCCCCTAACCCCAGCTAGTGACTCTAAAAAAGATCCCTGTCTTCTGCTTGAGGAGAGAAGGAAGAGTGAAGAGGACTCTAACCTGCATCTTGGATACCAGCTCAGCCACACTAGGATATAAGACCAGTTAGGATCGTGAAGCACCCATTCCAGGCCCTAGCTCCCAGATAATATTCTAGACACACCCTGGGCCAGAAAGGAACCAGCTGCCTTGAAGGGAAGAACCCAGTTCAGGCAGGATCCAGTATCTGCTGACTAAAGAGCCCTTGGGCCCTGAATAACCAGCAGCAAAACCCAGGTAGTATGCTGTGAGTCCTGGGTGAAACTCTGACATGTGCTGGCTTCAAGTGAAAACCAGCGCATGCCCAGTTGTGGTAGCTACAGTGAAAGACTCCTGCTTGAGAAAAGCAGAGAGAAGAGTAAAGGGGACTTGGTCTTTCACCTTAGGTACCAGCTCAGCCACAGTGGGGTAGAGCACCAAGTGGACTCTTGGAGTCCCTGATTCTAGGCCTTGGCTCTTGGACAGCATTTCTGGACCTGCACTGGGGCAGAAAGGAGCCCACTGCCCTGAATGGTGAGTCCTAGGTCTGGCAGCACTCACCACAAGCTGACTGAAGAACCCTCAGGTCTTAAGTGAACATCAGCGGTAGCCTGACAGTACTCCCCATGGGCCTGTAGTGGTGGTGGCCAATGCGTGAGGCTCCTCTGCCTGTGGAAAGGGGAGGAAGGACTGGGAAAGACCACGCTTCATGGTTTGAGTACCAGCTCAGCCACAGTAAAATAAAACACCAGGAAGATTTCTGAGGTTTCTTTTTTTTTTCTTCTTTCTTTCTTTTTTTTTTTTTTTTTTTTTGAGGTGGAGTTTTGCTCTTATTGCCCAGGCTGGAGTGCAACGGCACGATCTCGGCTGACCACAACCTCTGCCTTCTGGGTTCAAGCGATTCTCCTGCCTCAGCTTCCTGAGTAGCTGGGATTATAGGCTTGCACGACCACACCTGGCTAATTTTATACTTTTAGCAGAGACGGGGTTTCTCCATGTTGGTCAGGCTGGTCTCGAACTCCCAACCTCAGGGGATCCGCCCGCCTTGGCCTCCCAAAGTGCTGGGATTACAGGCTTGAGCCACCACACCCAGCCGATTTCTGAGGTTTCTAACTCCAGTCCCTGGCTCCCAGATGGCATCTCTGGACCCACCTGGGGTCTAGAGGAACTCCTCAACCTGAAGGGAAGGACACAAGCCTGGTTGGCTTCACCATCTGCTGATTACAGATACCTAGGGTCTTGAGCAAACATAGGCAGTAACCAGGTAGGGGTCACAGCGGGCCTTGGGCAAGACCCAGTGCTGTGCTGGCTTCTGGTCTGACCCAGCACAGTCCTGGTACGGGTGGCAACAGAGGACCTTGTGTCACCCCTCCCCCAGCTCCAGGCAGCTCAGAACAGAGAGAGAAATGATGTTTCTTTAGGAAAAAGTAAAGGAAGAGAATAAGAGACTGCCTATGATACAGGGAATTCTTTTGGATCTTATTGAAGACCACCAAGGACGTACCTCTACAAGTCTACTAGAACTACAGTGTTACTGGGATTGGGTTGTCCTTTACTGCAGGTATGGCTTAGATTACAAAATCCAAGTCCTTTTGAATATCTGCAAGGCCTTCCCAAGAAAGACAAATACAAACAAGCCCAGACTAGAAAGACTACAAGAAATACCTAACTCTTCAATGCCCAGACATGAACAAACATCCATAAGCATCAAGACCATCCAAGGAAACATGACCTCATCAAACAAACTAAATAAGACACCAAGGCTGGGCACGATGCTCACACCAGTAATCCCAACACTTTGAGAGGCTGAGACAGGAAGACTACTTGAGCCCAGGAATTCAAGACCAGCTTGGGCAACGTGTTGAAATGCCGTGTCTACAAAAAATACAAACATTAGCCAGCTGCAGTGGTGTGCACCTGTGGTCCCATCTACGTGGGAGGCTGAGGTGGGAGGATCACCTACCTAAGCCTAGGAGGTAGAGGTTACAGTGAGCCGAGATCATGCCACTGCACTCCAGCCTGGGTGACAGAGTGAGACCCTATCTCAAAAAATAAAACAAAATAAAAAAGACACCAGGGGCCAATCCTGGAGAAACCAAGATATGTGATCTTTTAGAAAGAGAATTCAAAATAGCTGTGTTGAGGAAACTAAAAAAAATTCAAGATAACTCAGAGAAGGAATTCAGAATCCTATCAGATAAATTTAACAAAGACACTGAAATAATTAAATAGAATCAAGCAGAAATTCTGCAGTTGAAAAATGCAACAGACATACTGAAGAGCACATTGGAGTCTCTTAATAGCAAAACTGATCAAGCAGAAGAAAGAATGAGTTAGCTTGAAGACACGCTATTTGAAAACAGAGGAGACAAAAAAAGAATTAAAAAAACAAGCACATCTGCAAGATCTAGAAAAAAGCCTCCAAAGGACAAATCCAAGACTTATTGGCCTTAAAAAGGAGGTAGAGAAAGAGACAGGGGTAGAAAGTGTATTCAAAGGGATAAGCAGAGAACTTCCTAAACCTAGAGAAAGATATTAATATCCAAGTACAAGAAGGTTATAAAACACCAGCAGATTTAACCCAAAGAAGACTACCTCAAGACATTGAATACTCCAAACTCCCAAAGGTCAAGGATAAAGAAAAGACTCTTTAAGCAGCAAGAGAAAGGAAAATATACACTGGAGATCTAATACATCTGACAGCAGACTTTTCAGTGGGAGCCTTACAGGCCAGGATAGAGGGGAAAGGCATAAAGTGAGGAAGGAAAAAGAACTTTTGCCCTAGAATAGTATATTCAGCAAAAATATCCCTCAGACATGAAGTAGAAATCAAGACTTTCCCAGACAAACAAAAACTGACAGATTTCATTAACACCAGACCTGTCCTACAAGAAATGCTAAAGGGAGTACTTCAATCAGAAAAAAAAAGGATGCTAATCAGCAACAAGAAATCATCTGAAGGTATAAAACTCACTGGTAACAGTACACAGAAAAACAGAATATTACAACACTGTAATTGCGGTATGTAAACTACTCTTAAGTAGAAAAACTAAAAGAAAAGAATACTTCTCAATTGAGGCTAGCATTATTCTGATAACAAGACACAGATGTTACAAGAAAACTACAGACAAATATACCTCATGAACATAAAAAATTCTTAAAATTTTAGCAAATCAAATACAATGTTAGAAGGGATAATACATCATGATCAAGTGGTATTTATCCTAAGAATACAAGGTTTAGTATTAGAAAAATCAATCAGTATAATTCACTGTATTAACAGACCAAAAATGAACAAAAATTGGTCATCTCCACAGAATAAAAAAGTAAATAAAATCTAAAATCTGTTCCTGATACAAACTCAGCAAACAGGAAATAAAGAGAACTGTGCCAATATAGCAAATAGCATATGAAAAAGACCTAAAGCTAACATCAAAGGAAATGGTGAAAGCCTAAATAGTATCTTCCTAAGAGCAGGAACAAGGGAAGAATGTCTGCTCTCACCACTTCTATTAACAACTTAAAGGAAAAAAAAAAAAAAGGATTTAAAGTTGAAGAATGCCAGTTGGAGAATGGTTTGATAATCTGAAGAAGTGGTTTGGCTTAAAAACGTCAAGAAAACAGAAGAAACAGCTACTGCCAACCAAGAGGCAGCAGAGGAGCTCCCAGACACCATTAAGAAAATCATTCAGGAGAAAGGTTATCTGCCTAAACAGGTTTGTTTGTTTGTTTTTGTTATTTTTGTTTTGTTTTTTATAGAGCGAGAGACAGGATCTCACTCTATTGCCCAGGCTGAAGTGCTGTGGCATGACCTTGGATCACTGCAGCCTCAACCTCCTGGGCTAAAGTGATCCTCTCATCTCAGCCTCCTGAGATGGAAACTGAGACCACAGGTGCATGCCACCACATACAGCTAATGCTCTTATTTTTTATAGACATGGGGTCTCACTATGTTGCCCAGGCTGGTCTCAAATTCCTGGGCTCACGTGACCCTCCCATCTCGGCCTCCCAAAGTGCTGGGAGTGCAGGTGTAGGCCACTGTGTCTAGCACTGAACAGGTTTTTTAATGCAGATGAAAGTGCCCTATTTTGGGAAAAAAATGCCACAAGATATTAGTAAAGAAGAGAAGCAAGCACAGGATTTATGGCAGGAAAGGATAGGCTAACTCCATCCACTGTTTTGTGCAGATGCAGTCAAGTTTATGATCAGGACTGCTCTTATCTACAAAGCTTTTAACCCTTGAGCCTTAAAGGGAAAAAATAAACACCAGCTGCCAGTCTTTTGGTTGTACAAAACAAAAACAAAAAGCAAAAAATAAAAAAAACCATCTAGATAACAAAACCCTTTTTCTGGATTGGTTCCTTCCATGCTTTGTCTGTAAAGTCAGGAAGTACCTTCTCAGTAAGGAACTGCCTTTTAAAGTTCCTTTGATATTAGACAATGCCCCTGGCCACCCAGATCCCAGGAGTTCAACACTGAAGATGTCAAAATAGTCTACTTGACCCAAGCACAATATCTCTAATTCAGCATCTAGATCAGGGGGTCATAAGGACCTTTAAGGGTCATTAGACACGATACTCTAGGGAAGGGACTGTCAATTCAATGGAAGAGAACACCAACAGAGAGAATGTCATGAATGTCTGGAAGAATTTCATCATTGAAGATATATTGCTGTTACAGAAAAAACCTTTAAAGCCATCAAGCCTGAAACAAAAAATTCCTGCTGGAGAAAACTATGCCCAGATGTTGCACATGACTTCACAGGATTTATGAGAGTCAGTCAAGGAAATCATGAAAGAGATTGCAGATATGGCAAAAAAAAAAAAAAGGTGGTGGGGGGTTGGGTGGGTGAAGGGTTTCGAGATATGGATCTTAGAGAAATTTAAGAGCTAACAGATACCAAACCAGAGGAATTAACAGAAGCAACTTGATGGAGATGAGTGCTTCTAAAGCAGTGCCAGACGATGAGGAAGAAGACAAAGAAGAAGCAGTGCCAGAAAGCAAAGTAACATCAGGCAATCTGGCAAATGGGTTTGATTCTCCAAGACTGCTTTGACTTCTTTTATGACAGGGATCCTCCCATGATACAGGCACTGAAACTAACAGTGGGAGGATTGGTACCATATAGAAACATTTTTAGAGAAATGAAAAAGCAAAAAAGCCAGACAGAAATTACAATGTATTTCTGTAAAGTTATACTGTGCCTGCCTCTTCTGTCTTTCCTTTCACTTCTGCCACCCTGACAGCAAAACCAACCCTTCCTCTTCCTCCTCAGCCTACTCAACATGAAGACAAGGATAGACACTTATGATGATCTACTTCCACTTAAGGAATAGTAAATATATTTTCTCTTCCTTATGATTTCTTCGCCTTTCCTTTTCTGTAGCTTACTATATTGTAAGAATATAATACACAATACATATAAGAAATACACGTTAATTAACTATTTATATTATCAGTAAGACCTCTGGTCAACAGTAGACTATTAGTGGTTAAGCTTTGGGGAAGTCAAAAAGTTATACATGGATTTTCCACTACATGGGGGGCTGGCTCCCCTAACCTCTCTGTTGTTCAAGGATCCACTCTAATATTGCTGAACTTCAATAAATGATCCACTTGGAAGCTGGCTGCAGTGGCACCAGCTTATAGTCCCAGCTACTCTAGAGGCTGAGGCAGGAGAATCATTTGAACCCAGAAGTTTGAGTCCAGCCTGGGCAACATTTAAAAACAAAACGACAACAACAAATCACTTAAAGCTAAACTAGATGTTTCAGCCAGTTTGTAAATTTCTCCAGAAAATATTGAGTATGCAGAGAACAGAAATCGGAAGAGAAAAATAAAGCATAGTAGATATTGAGATATACTCAGAGTTGAAAATAAACAAAAACAAGGTTAATTTAACAGTGTGAACAGAAATAGACTAAAAATAATTATCCATATTCTACATGGAATCTCTGTTTATGTTACAGTTGGTATAAATGCCTATTTACCTAGTACTATAATAAATGTAAAGACAGATCTCTAATTCACAGGCACTGAGATAAAGGACAATGTGGTTAAGCAATAACTGAAGACTCAATAGCACTTAAAGGGATAGTTTCTAAGTGCTAATTCCAATGATGGAATGAAAATAGCAGAAAGGTATTTCCATTGTTAAGGTACTTTGAAAAACTTCTTACCACAAACTGAAACATAAAATGCTACATATGATTATGCCCAACATTTGCTTTTTCAATATCCTTTACGTTTTTCTGACTACAGCGAAGAAGTAACTTTGGTTAATCTCTTTTTAGTTTCTACTTACACCTAGGTCTGGGTATGGTAGTTTGGGATTGTGGAGGAGGGAGCTGCTAATCTGTCATTTAAAGCAACAGCTGATTTCTAGTTCAGCAACAGGCCACTGCATCATCTACACATAAGAGGCAGCTGAACCCTTTATAGATTGGCAGGACATACCACAAATAGCCACAATCAAGAATTTGGAGTTCCCTGTATTCACGCAACATCCTGTACCCATGTCAATAATTAGACATAATTTTACAATCCTAGAAAATTAGAGCAATAAAATCATAACAAAGCAACTGGTAATATTATGAAGATCTTAGCATTTCTTGTAAAGCTTTCTATCTTTATAAATGTTGGTTCTTTGCTAATACATTATAATAACAAACTCTACTGAAAACCATTACAGTCACATGTCACTCTAACAGCCAAAAATCTTATTACATGATTTTGGAACACATACACAAGTGTGTGCAGAAAGCAGTATTTCTCTTCCACAGACAAATGGTAAATTATTTATCATGAAAATAATATTTAAAAGATCATTTTTAAAAAGGTCTTTGCATGGTGGAAGACTAAAACTAGTACTTTTCATAATATGAAGGATAACAACATTTCCAAGTTTTGAAAAGCTTTTCTAGCTCTTCAAAAATGTAATTTTCACTATAGCAATTAAACCAAAATGCACAGAATAGCCATTTTAGCTATACAAAAGGATATACGGTACAATGACATCAAAGGCACATATGTCATAGTTTTTGCTACTGATATCCTAGAATTGTTTTTGTATGTCATCTTTTCAAAGAAACATATCTTCACCATATAATCTACATTAGCATTAAATACACCTTTGAGAAACTGTTTAAAAGAACAAAATATTTTGATATCATTATGCCATTTTTTTTACTTAAGCTGGAGATAAATGAACAGAATCTATGTCTTTTTAAATACAGGACAGTAATTCAACAGTAATTTTTAAAAACAAAGTATACTCCATATAATTGTATGCCTTAAGTTTAAGTGAATTTCCTGTGAGGACTGGGAAATGGATATTTACATCAGAGAAATGTTTTCTTCTTGGCGTCTATTTTTAGTTAAAACCGTTATTTAAAATCCAATTTTAAAGCAGAGTACAGACAGAAAGCCAGTAAGTTTGACTCCCTCACTTCTGACACGAAGGCAGATGTTTTCCCTACATTTTTCCTACTTAAATCATACTAGAAAGTTGTGGTACATATTCCAGATTGAGTGTACCAATTTACATTCCCTCTCTAAACAGTGACTCCATTTCATGATGTGAGCATGAGGAAAGAATGGTGTATGGTTTCAGTGTCTTGTTTAGTTATTAAATACTTACTGAGAGCTAATCACATGCCAGGTATGGTGCCGGGTACAGGGACACAAAGATATGGTTTATGCTTATGCTTAATGTCTTTGCTAGACGATTAAACTACAATGTTACAATTCTGGAAATCCATTTCTCTGATGACCACTGGTGAGAAAGTGGATGGAACCAGTAAGCTTTTATCTGGCAAAGGCTTCGTCATCCATTCAGTTCTAAGTGCATCAAGTATCTGTCAAGTACTTTCATGAGCACAGAAGTTTGTCAGAATTGAACAAAATAACTCTAAGGAACTGTGACTGTTAGCAATGAAAAAAATGTGACGATCTGCAGAGAGGGAAAGTGACTAAACGTAATGGCTTGAGGTTCGAAGGGTAATGGCTACATATCTACATGGTGACTAAATCTACATGGTGACTAATAAAAGGAAGCTTAAACACTTGACAACACGCTTCATGGCACTCTAGAGAGTTTACAAAGTATGTCACATATATTATTTCATTTTAACTTTCCTGACCATATCATTTTACAAGGCAAGAAATGAGTGAGGGTAAACCAGGCTTTCAGTAGTACACTAACTCTGCATTTCCCAAAGTGTGTTCTGTGGAATTGGAATATTACAGTCATTAGGAAGATCACTTTAAAGATCAAATGTTCCAGAAAACACACTTTGGTAAACTGCAATGATTTGCCAAATAAGACCAAAATAATTAAGTCAGAGAACATACTTTCAGGGGCAAAATCAGTAACAGCTAGCGCGGGTCAGGGCCCTGGAAAAAGACCACCAAATTGGATCTACAGGAGATCGCGCCACACCTAGCTGCAGTCACCACCATCTCCTTTCAGCTATACGCTGAACAGCTCACTGTAGCAATTAATGTCGTCCCCCAAAATATTTACTGACCTTCTATTGTAGTCCATCTATTACACTAGAAGCTGGAGATATAACAAGGAATAAGACAAAGAAGGCCCCTGATCCCACGAAGCTTACATTCCAGTTAAGGGAAATAAAAACAAAAAAAATTAGATTGATTAGTCCTAGGCAGGAGGAAAAGCAAAAATACCTAGATGATATGATAGAATATGACTTGAGATAAGCTATTAAAATAAAAACAAACAAACAAAAAATAAAACCCTAGAAACACTCAGAAGGGCTTTCCTAAACGGCGATCATGAAAATAGCCCTAAATTTACATGACAATGAAGAACAGGAACAAATACTACTGCAATAGTAGTTAACGTTTATGAAGTACTTACTATGTACAGGTTATGTACTAAGATTTAAATGCTTTGTTATTTAAACTTCACAATTTAAATATCATTAACTATTCTCGTCTTACAAATGAATAAATTGAGGCATAAAGAAATTAAATTACATGTCCAAGATTAAAAAAAAAACCTTAAAAACTAGTACAGCTAAAATTCAAATCTGGCAATCAAGAGGCTAAGTTCCTAACTACTTGGTCATCTGACCAAATAGTATCTATCTGGTAGATAGTAACCTGCCATTTCAATATTTTTAAAGATTTCTTGTATTTTCTAATTGTCTATTACATGCAACTAACTTGTCTACCTCACTGAAGTGACTAACGAGGAGAAACCCAACAAAGGATTATAAAATGTCAAGCTTTTTGTCTTAGAAATGAGCAGAAAGTACATCTCGATGTTCCATTTTACCTAGAGTATAAAGAAATTCATCAAAGCTTTCATGCAGTAAAAGTTAGAGAGTCAGGCTAAATTCCTTGTATCAGAAAGAGAAAAATACATGAGTAACCAAGTTCTATTAATAATACAGAAACTGAAGAGGATTTAAGCAAGAGATGAGAAAACTATAGTCCTAAGTGGTTAAGGAACTGAATCACACACATTTACCTAATTAACGAGGGAGCTAGGAACAGAACCACCATTCCCCTTAATGTCTCTCCACCATTATGAGGAAAGGGGGCAATTAAGGCAGAAGTCTGGAAATGCCAGTGCAGCCCAGGGGACAGACTGGGTACAGTCAGTGGTCAGATACTGGTATTGCTGAGAAAAACAAGCACAATCACAAGATATATGAAACCAAAGACAGCCAAAAATGGGTCACATCCAGTCACTACAATGACTGCAATTAACTGTGAGAATCCATTGACTGTACATGCAAAGTAAAAAGGTAGAGGTGCAGAGTCCAGGAATACGGACTAAATAGAAAGTGAACACAATCAGAAAAAGTTGTAAGAGAAGCAAGACCAGGGTAGAGGTGGGCCCCCTGTATCACCAGACAGGGGAGTCCGTTAACAACTGTCTTCTCAGAACTACCTGTAGAGTTCTTGGCATACAAGATGCCCAGGCTCCACCTTGTAGGTGCTAAGAACCTCTTAAGTGAAGCTCTGCTTTGGATCATTTTGTCACTCAAGAGGGGCTTTTAATTTCTTGCTTCTTAACAGAAAATATACGATTCAGATATATTCCGAAAGTACATTATTCCTTTCCTCCTCATATCAATATCTACATCTTTAAGTAAGAGCATACACACTTACTCGCTAATTCCTATTACAATCTTTCAAGGTGACTGCAAGGGAAGAGTAGTTCAAGGAATATCTGCTAGAGAACATGATTCTCATGGTCAGCTTTAAAGCACTCTCATAGTTAAACTTGATTTTGTTCCTCTCTGTCTTGATACTTTACAATAAGCAACATGTTCCTAATCTCTATAGAAATAGCCAAATCTAGAAAACAGAAACACTCACCAACCTCTCCATCAAAAGCCAAAATGAGAAGCAAAGAGAGGCACCAATCTTCTCTGAAGATCACTGCACCCCAGATGCAGGAACAAAAATCCTGCTCTTAACCTTAAAATTGTATCTTACTACTAAATCCTAGTTAGTAGGTGGAATTTTGGAGTTTACATTAAAATCTTCTATTAAATAGTTTTCACAAACTATTGCGGGGGAATTAAGAGGCTAGTAGCAATTCCAAAACAGCTCACAAAATAATGTTAGGCAAATTTTTTAGAAGAATACATTTTCTTCAGAAAACATTTCAGTAATGTTTTTGAGAAATGGCCCCCACATTCCACCCCCACTACCACCTGCTTGCAGATCTCTTTCTTCTACTCTGTCTGCCTACTATGCCTCAATTCTCTTAAGAGTATGTACCAACCTAGGCCGGGTGCGGTGGCTCACGCCTGTAATCACAGCACTTTGGGAGGCCCAGGTGGGCGGATCACGACATCAGGAGATCGAGACCATCCTGGCTAACACGGTGAAACCCCGTCTCTAGTAAAAATACAAAAAATTAGCTGGGCGTGGTGGCACATGCATGTAGTCCCAGCTACTCGGGGGGTGCTGGGGCAGGAGAATCACTTGAACCTGGGAGTCAGAGGTTGCAGTGAGCTGAGATGACGCCACTGCACTCCAGCCTGGGCAACACAGTGAGACTCCAACTCAAAAAAAAAAAAGAGTATGTACCAATCTAATACTTTGAACCTTGTATGAAAGCCAAGTATTATGTAAAAAATGGGAATTCATTTATCCAAAATTAAACCACCAACTTCATAGAGAATCTTAAATATTATCACCAACAATTTTTTAGAGAACTGAAAAGTTCAAGAGGTTATAAGCAATTCCATGAGCCAAATCCCTAAGTTGGGTTTGGTTCACAACCAGATTTTCTTTTCTGCAAAATGACAGCCTACACTTGTAAAAGTCCAAACTTCTCCTAGATGTTATTTAAATGTTATAGCTCTCAAAAACAGTTCCAAATGAATGGGCTTCATTTTAAAAGTATGTACTACAACTGAACAAGCATCAGAAGTATTAAAATTTCCTTCAGATGTTTTATGCTTACTGATATGACTTTGTTTAAGCAACAAAGGAAAATTTGACAAGTTCTGCACTAAAATAATGGGAATTCTCAGTGCAAAATCCTTTTGCACTTATTGGTGCACAAGTAAGTAAGTACAATCTAGTTTCAATTTAATTATTACTTAGAAACAGACTTACGGAATTAAATGCCCTTAAATTTGAGTGGGAAAAAGGAGACAGTCAATTAAAAGAAAGGAAAGTGAAATTATGGTGAAAAGATAACCGTACGTATTACTTCAATGAGGATCAATCACACTGTGCCACTTTATCAAGTTCCTGTGGTATTTATGTCTCTCCAATCCTTATAAATTAATGTCAGGCATTAATAGTCACTTTTGGTGTTCATTAATGGTACTTAATATAAAAATAATTATAGGCCAGGCACGGTGGCTCACGCCTATAATCACAGCACTTTGGAAGGCCGAGGTGGGTGGATCACCTGAGGTCAGGAGTTCGAGACCAGCCTGGCCAACGTGGTGAAACCCCATCTCTACCAAAAATACAAAATATTAGCCAGGCATGGTGGTGGGAGCCTGTAATCCCAGCTACTTGGGAGGCTGAGGAAGGAGAATTGTTTGAACCTAGGAGGTGGAGGTTGCAGTGAGTCGAGATCGCACCATTGCACTCCAGTCTGGGCGAGAGAGCAAGGCTCTGTCTCAAAAAAAAAAAAAAAAAAAAAAAAAAAAATATATATATATATATATATATATAAAAATAACATTTGGAAGAATAAATTCCCTCTATCACTATCTTGTTTCTGATTTTAGGACTCAAATTTAAGTCATACTAACTGGGTAACTCATTCAATTATATGGTAAATTGTATGGTATATGAATTATATCTCAATTAAACTGTCAAAAATTTTCAGTCAGATGCTGGGAGGGTGGAGTTGGGAGGGCTGTCCTGTTTGAAAACAAAACTTCAGAATAACTAAGCCTTCTACATGAGCTTACCAATGAAACCAAATGCTAAACAGGCTCTGGTAAAACCAAATAGATAAGATGTTTCTGGCATGTTAATAAAGAAATTCCTTCAACTAATTTGGTTCTTGACTTGATCGGCAGCCAATAAAACGCCTTTGCTAACTGCAATTCTGACCCACTCCTTTCCCCTCTGTGCAAGAGACATATGTGAAGAGGGTGAGAACCACATGCTTCTACCAGAAGGAAAAAATAATCTGGCAATCATCATGGATTGGTTTAAGGAGGGCAGAAAAAAAAGCTGGCCATGTTTTATTCCAGAAGATTTTTAAAAGCATGAACTATTTTCCTCACAGACACAATCTCTTCAACCAGAAGAAAGCAAGCATTATTTTCCTTTAGTGAGTATACAGTTCCATTTCTGCAAGTTTGACTATTTAAAGAAATTTACTCTTTTCTAACCACTGTCCCCTCTCATATCCAGAAGGGTACTTTGGGGATTTTTCTGAGATCACTGAACCCTCTTCTTCCTTAGCATAAAAAAGAATATTTTTAAAAATGATAATCAACACTACAATGTTTTCACACATCTATTTTTGGCAGTATAGCCGAATGTATGGAGTCTGGAGGCAAACTGGGTTCAACTGCTGGCTCTGCCATTTACTAGCTGTGGAGCCTTGGGAAAAAAACTACAAAAGCTCTCTGGGCCCCTCTATTTTCATTTGTAAAATAGAGATAATTAAAGTTCCTACAACATAGCATGGATTAAGACTAAAATCGGTTCTTACATGTAAAAGTTCACAGAATAATGCTTAGCACATAGTAAGTGGTGTATAATTATTATTATTTCAAAGAGTAAATGAGTAACTTAAAAATACGAGAACTGTTTGGCTTGTCAACTTGTAACAGAGTTGTGAAAATTTCTAAAAAGCTATACAGATATACTGAGATTGAGCAAATTCATAAATGGATACCAGGCAGTGAAAGCCAGGTTTCTTTTCTTTTTTTTTTTTTTTTGTGTGTGAGACAGAGTCTTGCCCTGTCGCCCAGGCTGGAGGGCAGTGGCACAATCTCGGCTCACTGCAAGCTCCTCCTCCCGGATTCACGCCATTCTCCGGCCTCAGCCTCCTGAATAGCTGGGACTACAGGCGCCTGTCACCACGCCCGGCTAATTTTTTGTATTTTTAGTAGAGACGTGGTTTCACCGTGTTAGCCAGGATGGTCTTGATCTCCTGACCTTGTGATCCACCCCCTCCGTCTCCCAAAGTGCTGGGATTACAGGCGTGAGCCACCGCACCCGCCCGAAAGCCAGGTTTCTTACTACTGGATTAGGAAACTACAGATAAACAATGGGGGAAGGCCAGAACAAACCATGTGATGCTAGATTAGATCAAGAGATATCAGTTTAGCTTAAAACAGATACAGACAGAGAGATACTAAAATAATTATAGATATGTATGTATACGTGGTTTAGCAATATATACACGTATTTCCTAGCTTCATCTACTAAGAGAAATCCTAGAATCAATGACACGCCAACAGCAAACATACTCAGAGCCCAGATCTTGGTATCTAACACCATTCTCTAACAGAAGGAACCAGGGCTCCTTGGAAAAATGTCTGCTTATCAGGCTAGGGCAGAGAAATACAAGATGAGCCTAAAGCATCTTGCAGTGCCAGAAAGTAAGCATTAAAAACAAAATGATGGCTGGGTGCAGTGGCTCACACCTGTAATCTGAGCACTTTGGGAGGCCGAGGTGGGCAGATTATGAGGTCAAGAGACAAAGACCATCCTGGCCAACATGGTGAAACCCTATCTCCACTAAAAAAATAGAAAAATTAGCTGGATGTGGTGGCGCGTGCCTGTAGTCCCACGTACTCAGGAGGCTGAGGCAGGAGAATTGCTTGAACCCAGGAGGCAGAAGGTTGCAGTGAGCAGAGACTGCACCACTGCACTCCAGCCTGGTAACAGAACAAGACTCCGTCTCAAAAAAAAAAAAAAAACAAATGATGGGGACCTATGAATGGGACACAGGAAAGAGCCTGAAAGAGCTCCCAATGGCTAAGTTGGAGCAATCTGGGCAACAAAATAAATCATGTAGTACTGGATCATAACCCAAAGTATAAAATAAATATCCATACATCCATACTAATATAAAATAACTGAATAAATACATAAATGAGGACAAAGACATAAATCCCTACAGAAGAATTTCAAGTAATTTACGAAGCTACTCCCTTCCTCAAAGAGGTGAAGTTTAACTTCTTACCTCTTGAGTGTGGCGCTGTGTTTAGTGACTTGCTTCCAAACAGAACAAAATGGAAAAGTGGGGAAAAGTAGTTTTACAGTGCAGAAACCTGGTTAACTAAAAAGCCAGGTGATCAAAGTTAACATTGCCGGTGATCAAAGTTAACACTGCCGGTGATCAAAGTTAATATTGCCAGTGATAAATTATGTCAACAGCATACATACTTCATTCTCCCTAGAATCTATAACCGCAATCTAACCATGAGAAAAAAAAAAACAAAAAACCTTAAATTTAGAAACACTCTACAAAACATTGACCAGCACTCCTTAAAACTATCAAAGTTATCAAAACGTCTGTGAAGCTGTCACACACCAGAAAATTCTGCTTAAGGGGACATAGTAACTAGAATATGGTATCCTGGATGGAATCCTGAGACAGAAAGAGGCATTAGAGAAAAACTAGTGAAATCCAAATAGACGGTGGAGCTTAGTTAACAGTCATGTTCTGATACTGGTCCTCAGTTGTGCCAAATGTACCATGGTAACATGTTAACAAAAAACGAAACTGGGTTAGGAGTCTTTGTGACTTTTTGTAAATCCAAAAATATTCTAAAATAAAGTTTATTTTTTAAAAATCTTATATAGTAAGTGAAATATTTTAAATAATGTTTTAAATAGTATGAACTTAAAAAGATAAGTTTAACAAAAAGGTATTTCTCATCCAAAACAACTAATTTTATCATGTATTAATAAGTGAATACTTTCTGCAAACAATAGTGTTAAAAAAAAACTAGATCCCTTTACTGCCAGACAAAATAAGTTTAGTTTACAGATTTTTCTTCTAAAGCCCACCAAAATAAGTTAAATTATATTTTAAAAATACATTGTCTAAAATCTTATAAAGCAGTTTATTTAAATTTCACCTTTTTATATTATTTTCTATAAAAGCAGTATTACCTTATAGAAATATTCTCTACATTTTAATTCAAATATTGCATCATAGCGCGATAGAAACAGCTAAAGAAACTCAACACAAACAATACAGACCTACTATAAAAATAGCAGCTCCGCCCAGTAATTAACAGAAACCTCCAATTTTGGTTTTTGAAAGAAAAAAAGTTTGTCAAACCTCATGTGAACACAGTTTACTGGAGGAAATAAAATCTCAACATTCCAAATAAAAACATCTTCTATGATTAGCAGATCCTAGTAGTATTGGTGAATTAACATCACAGCACTAACCAGAAATAAGAGACCCCAGAAGAAAAATATCAACACAATGATTATGAAATAAAAATGACTAACTTCTTCAAGCTGAATGGCATTCAAAAACTAAACATAACTGTGTGTGGACTGTTTCTGCAAAAGGCTTTATATTCTCTGCTCAATGCTTTTTGAAGATTTGGAGTTTGTGGTTTTACTGACGGGATAGAAGATGGTGGAGCACAGGATGGGGACAGGCAAAAGCAAGGTATGGAAACGGAAAGATGAAAAAGGTTTAGTAATGACATATCCCATCTGACTTTCCTATCACTCAGCACTTTCAATGGTCTCTTCTTTCCACTGTGTCACCTCCTGAGAATGAAATGGAGGAAGAGGAGTATGAACCCCCTGGCCTAGGGTCAGAGAGAGATTCTAAGTCACCTATTCCTCTGAGGCACTGAAAGGAATACAAGAATCCAAAAAGGGCTTTTAAGGACACACAGGTGTTGAAAGCAAACGCTAAACAATCATGGGTAATCAATCTTTCACTACTCTTATTTACTCCATTATTCTTAACTTATTTCAACTGGGAAATATTTAGTAACTTATAATACTTAAAACTAAAGACCATAACTTCCATATACACGTGCACTTACAGAATAGGTGTTTTATATTTTATTTCATTTATTTGCTCAAATGTCACTATTCAAAGGTAAAACTGAAGTCATGAATCATGAATTCCATATTTTTTTTAATTTTGTTTTTTGTTTAGAGACAGTCTCACTGTGTTGCCTAGGCTGGAGTGCAGTACTGCAATCATAGCTTACAGCAGCCTTGAACTCCTGGGCTCAAGTGATGTTCCTGCTTCAGCCTCCCAAGTAGCTAGGACTACAGGCATGTGCCACCATGCCTGGCTTTTTTTTTTTTTTAAGAGATGAGGTCTAGCTATGTTGTCCAGGCTGGTCTCGAACTCCTGGCCTCAAGCAATCCTCCCACCTCAGCATCCTGAAGTGTTGGAATTACAAGCATGAGACATCATGCCCGGCCGCCATGAATTTCTCAAATATTAAAAGTGAGGAAGAAGTTAAGAGCTATTATTCCTTTGAAAACTCAAGCAAAAGATGTCTCTTTCCTTGACACTCCCATCATTGAAGAATTCTTATTCTCAGGTGTCCACTATCCCTCTTGACGATATTTCCCTACGGGTTCCTTCAAATCTGCTAGTCTATAGACATTACACCTCAATCAATCTGTCCAAAATCTAACTCCACATCTTGCTTCACTCAACTTTCCCATCTCTCCAGGTCATCTATGCCCCCAGTTTCCCCTGTCATTAATCTAATTCATATCATTTCCATTCACTCCTAACTGGTACACCATCTTCCACATAATCTGAAATATCAGACTGAGGATTAACTGTCCACTCTCCACCACATCCATCTCTCACAGGACTAAGAAGTGGTCCCTGCCATCAAGTAGCTCACTATCTACTCTTCGGTTCATCAAACACCTCAAATTGCTTCCCTTATTTCTATCACATTTAATTTATAACCTGGAGACAGTTTCTCAAGACATATTCTGGTCTCACCTACCTCTCTACAGAACAACACAGTGACTACAAGGCATGGGTTCTGGAAGTAAGACTGCCTGAATTCAATCCTGGTTTCACCACTTACTACTTACTAGATTTATTGACTTGGGCATTTTTTTTTTTTTTTTTTTTTTTGTAGAGACAGGGTTTTGCCATGTTGCCCACCCTGGTCTTGAATTCCTGGTTTCAAGCGATCCACCCACATGGGCCTCCCAAAGTGCTGGTATTCCAGAGGTGAGCCACTGCACCTGACCTGGGCCTATTCTTGACCTTTCTTTTTGTGTCTCAGTTTCTGTATCTGTAAAATGGAAATAACAATACCTACCTCGTAAGGTTGTGAAGAGAATTAAAATGAGAATACCTATAAAGCACTTAAATAAAATAAGGCCTAGTACATAGTATATACTCTATAAATGGCATCTGCTATGATTATAACTATTGTTATTAATATCTAATGTTCTCTATTATTCTCCAATACAAATCATTTGATGTAGTTTGGCCCGTTTCCTGCATGATCTCTTCTTGCTTATTCCTCCCCCTACCAGGACTTCATTCTTCGATTTTCACCTCAACTACAGTGCCCTTCCACTTTATCCATTTAAATCTAAACAACACATTAAAGCCAAACTTTCATTCTATCTCTTCTAAAAAGCCTTTATTTGGCCATGGGCTGCAATTTTTCTGATCTTCTGAACTTTTATTGGGAATTACATAATACTTAATCACAAAATACCCCATATTACTTAACGCTATAATTACTCCATACTATTCCCGTATCTAGTCTGCCACCAACTTGAGAAGAGGGATTACATTCTGTTCATCCTCTGTCAGCCATGGTACACAGCTCAGCATGGGTGCTCAATAAATACTCCTGAGAAAAACACTAAGATAGAAATGCTATGGTACTAGAAGAAAGCAGCATGATCAAACTCCTTGAAAAGAGACCACAGACAATGTCACCATTTCCTCCTGCCTTCTCAATCATTTCTAATTAGGATGCTTTACCAACTACTCTTTCTGAACAGCAATTATACCCTCCTAACTAGACTCAATAGTCTTCTCCCAGTCCTTATCTCCCCTAGTTCTCTGCTATATATCTGACTCCAAATTACAATCCCAAACTCCTCATGTTTGGAAACAGAGGAAAGACCATGTATAGACACCAGGAGAAAACAGCCAACTATAAGCCAAAGAGTGAGGCCTCAGAAGAACCAAATCTATTGAGACCTTGATCTCAGACTTCTAGCCTCCAGAACTGAGAAAATAAATTTCCACTGTATAAGCCACCTAGTCTGTGGTACTTTCTAATAGAAGCTATAGCAAATTAACACAAGAGTCCAGAAACAGACCCACACAAATATATTCAACTAATCTTTCACAAAGAAGCAAAGGTGATCCAATGGGAAAAGGACGGTCTTTTCAACAAATAGTACTGGAACAACTGTACATTGACGTGCAAAACAAAATAAAATAAAATATAAAAATCTAGACATGGACCTCACATCTTTTACAAAAATTACCTCAAAATGGATCACAGACATAAATGTAAAATGCAAAACATAAAACTTCTAGAAGATAACATACAAGAAAATCTAAGTGACCATGGTCTAGCATTGAGTTTTTAGATACAACACCAAAGGCATGACTCATGAAAGAAAAAACTGATAAGCTGGACATCATTAAAATTAAAAACTTCTGCTCTGCAAAAGACATTGTTAAGAGAATGAAAAGACAAGCCACACACTGGGAAAAAATACTGCATAACATATATCTGATAGAGGACATGTATCCAAAATATACAAAGAACTCTTTAAATTCAACAATAAAAAAAAATCCTATTTTAAAAAGGGAAAAAATCTTAACAGACACCTTACCAAAAAATATATACAGATAGCAAATATGCATAGGAAAAGATGACCAACATCATATACCATTAGGGACAGCAAATTAAAACAATGCGGTAGCACTACACACCTATTAGAATAGCCAAAATTCAAAACACTACACCACCAAATGCTGGTGGGGATGTGGAGCAACAGGAACTCTCATTCATTGCTGTTAGAAATGCAAAGTGCTACAGTCACTTTGGGAGGCATTTTGGCAGTTTCTTATAGAGCTAAAAGCAGTCTTACCACACAATCCAGCAATCACACTCTTTGGTATTTGCCCAAATGAGCTGAAAATTTATGTCCATATAAAAACCTACACATGGATATTTATAGCTGCTTTATTCATAATTGCCAAAACCTGCAAACAACCAAGATGTTCTTCAATAGGTGAATGAATAAACTGTGGTATAAACATACAATGAGATATTATTCAGTAATTTTTAAAAAATGAGGTATTGAGCCACAAAAAGTTATGGAAGAAACTTAAATGCATATTGCTAAGGGAAAGAAGACAGTCTGAAAAGGCTACATATTGTATGATTCCAATTATATGACATTCTGGAAAAGACAAAACTATAGAGACAGTAAAAAGATCAGTGGCTGCCTGGAGTTGGGCAGAGGAGAATGGAAGATGAATAGATAGAAAATGGAATTTTTAAGGCAGTGAAACTATTCTGTATGATACTATACTGATGGAAACATTTGTCAAAAGCACAGAAAATGTGCAACACAGAGTGATGCCTAATGTATGTAAACTATGAACTTTAATTAACATAATAATAATGTATCAGTATTGGTTCATCAATTTTTTTTTTTGAGACGGAGTCTCGCTCTGCTGCCCAGGCTGGAGTGCAGTGGCACGATCTCAGCTCACTGCAACCTCCGCCTCCCAGGTTCAAGCGATTCTCCTGCCTCAGCCTCCTGAGTAGCTGGGATTACAGATGTGTGCCACCACACCCAGCTAATTTTTATATTTTTCGTAGAGACAGGGTTTCACCATGTTGGCCAGGCTGGTCTCGAACTCCTGACCTCAGGTGATCCACCCGCCTCGGCCTCCCAAAGTGCTGGGATTACAGGCGTGAGCCATCGCGCCCGGCCTGGTTCATCAATTTTAACAAATGTATCACACTGAATTAAGATGGAAAGTGGAAAACCAGAATTGAGATTTCCACCAACAGGGGGGAGGGGAATTAGAATCAAGGTGGGAGGGGATGGAGGAAGGAAGTCTAGTGGATCTCTGCAATCTAGGTGCTTGGGGATTTTAAAACCATCTGAGTACAGGTGAACAGTCGTGGGCCCACTCAAAACAGCACATTGGAACGGAGACCCCCGAATAATGCTAGGACTCTGGAAGGGACTGTGCCTTCAGTAAAGCAAAAACAGTTTTTTTAAAAAAGGGTTAGGCCAGGCGCAGTGGCTCAAGCCTGTAATCCCAGCACTTTAGGAGGTTGAGGTGGGAGGATTGCCTGAGCCCAGGAGTTTGATACCAGCCAAGGCAACATAGTGAGACCTTGTCTATACAAAAAATACAAATATTAGGTGGGCAAGGTGGTGGACACCTGTAGTCCCAGCTACCTTGGGAAGCTGAGGTGAGAGAATCACTTGAGCCCAGGAGGTTGAGGCTGCAGTGAGCCTTGATTGTGCCAGTGCACACCAG
This sequence comes from Homo sapiens, assembly GCF_000001405.40. Lineage (NCBI taxonomy): Eukaryota > Metazoa > Chordata > Mammalia > Primates > Hominidae > Homo > Homo sapiens. Next base: position 39,424,803 of record NC_000002.12, read on the forward strand.
CCTGGGTGACAGAGTTATAACCTGACTCAAAAAAAAAAAAAAAAAAAAAAAAGTTACCTACAAGCACAAGAGGATAACAACAAAGTCTGTGTTTGGGTAGAAGAAAAACAGTCCTCCAAGAATTCAAATCCAAGAGTCATTGCTCTTTTGATTTGGGGTTCAAGTTTGTATTATCTATAAGATGTGGGGAATCCCAAACTGAGAAATTAAAATAAAAATCCAAGACCAAAAAGACTCATGAGGTTACTGGAAGAAACAAAAGCAAAACTGTTTTGGAAGGACAGCCACAGTCTCCCACCCACTCCCCACCACCCCCCCAGCCCCTCCACTCAGCTGTCAATTTAAACCACAAAGATTCTTACAGAAAAAAAGTAGATGAATTCAAAATTAACATAGAAATTCACAGGCATGAGTCAGCATAAAACAAAGCAACAAACTGCAAGATGAAATCCCCCAAAATTTGAAATTATAGACTAATCCGAAAGCACTAAGAACAATTAAGTATGCAACAAGAATACAAAGACTTGAAAAAGAATAACACATATCTAGGAATATAATTAATAAAATGTAAAAAGCAATGCAATCTGCTACGGACTGAACTGTGTCCCTCTAAAATCCACATGTTGAAGACCTAACCCTCAATGTGGCAGCATCTGGAGATGGGGCTTTTTGGAGATAACTGGGTTTAGATGAGTTCCTGAGGTAGGGAAGGCCTCAGGATGGGATAAGTGCCCTTATGAGAAGAGACACCAGAAAGTATGCCCTCTCTCTCTGTAAGAAGGCCATCTACAAGCCAGAAAGAGAGCATCACTAGAAACCTGGCATCTTGATCTTGAATGTCTAGCCTCCAGAACTGTGAGAAAATTAATTTCTGTCATTTAAGCCACCTGGTCTGTGGTATGTTGTTACGGCAGTCCTAGCTAAGATAAAATCCAACTGGCCAAATCTGAAATTGTTTGAGCATCAAAATAAAAGTGATGAATCAAAACCCAATGAATAAAAGAAGAATCCATGAGCCAAAAAATAAATAAACAAAAATAGTTCTTCACAGTAGAATGTCAACCAATACATGTAGAAGAAATTAACGGAGTTAGAAAATCATTATTTGGGAACCATTATAGTAATAATTCAAGTAGAAATCAACTTGGATATTAAAATTAGTGGGTACAGGTTTGATGAGGAACAAAATATTATATAGTCTCAAAGTATCTCCCCATAATTTACTTATTAATTAGAAAAGGAAGAGATAATCTGATAGTGAAGAAACTTGGCACACCCACCTTAACCAAATAATCAAAATCAACATTAATAAGGGGACTAATCAACATCATGTTCTTCCTGATACGATTCACTGAGGATACACATCACTATAAATTTCCGTCAAAAAATGTGTAACATGAATTTAAACAAATGAGGGGCATTCTACAAAATAAATGATGCGTACTACTCAAAAATGTTGGTGTCTAAAAGACAAAGGCTGAAAAACTCTTCTAGGTTAAGAGACTGAAGAGTCTTAGAAACTAAAAATAGCATATGATTCTCCTGGATTTCTGGAGTTGGGGGGAAAATGCTATAATAGACATTACTGGGACTCCTGAAATTTCAATAAGGTCTGTAGATCAAATAATAGTATTGTCTTAATATTTAAATTTCCTGATTTTGATAATTTATTGCAGTTTAAGTAAATGTCTTTCATTTTGAGAATACACATCAAAGTATTTATGGGTAAAGGAGTTTGATGTCTGCAACTTACTCTCAAATGGTTCAGAAAAAAAAAATATGTATATATACAGAGAATAAATGTGGTAAAGTATTAGCCATCGGTGAATCTTGGAAAGGATGTATGAGAGTTATTTTATTTTTATTATTCTCTCATTCTTTGCAATTATCCTGTGAATTGAAATTATTTTTTAAAAAGCAAACTTTTTTTAAAAAATGAAAGTTTCAAACAGCAGATTAGACAGACATAATTAAAGATAATAAAGATAAGAACCATAATACATGACACAGAATAAAGAGAAAAATCATGAGAAGTCATGGAGAACTATAACAAAGTTAAAGAATACAACACGAGCTCTAAAGAGAAACAAGAAAGAGATAGGGGAAGAAAGGTATCAAAGATATTGCAGTTTACAATTTTCCAGGACTGAGGAAATACGCTACTCTTCAGATTAAAGAAAAACAGTAAATATTTTTATTAAAATCCACACATAACACTGTGAAACTGTACACACCAGAATCAAAGAAAAAAATCTTAAAAGTCAAACAGGGAGGAAAGAAAAAGTAAGATTAGCTAAAAGCAACAATAATTATATTGACAACAGACTTCTCCACAGCACAACAGGTAACCAGAAGACAACAAAAGATCTTCAAAGTGCTGAGAAAAAAACAACCGTTAATTTAGAGTTCTATACCCCACTAAACTATGATTTAAAAGTAAAGACAAAATAAAGACAATGAGGAGGGGGAGGAGGAAGACTGAGTTTACCTTATACAGTTCCTCACTTAAAAAGAAAAGTTAAAAGAAAGAAAAAAAATCCTACCAAATACAGCTTCAAGATTAAAGAAATCTGAACCCAGAATGAAGGAATATAAGGCCAAGAAGAAACAGTGAGCAAAGAAATTGAAAACTCCTACACGTAAATGTAAAGAAGCACTGTCTGTATAAAACAATAATAAAAACTAAACTGGGACATTTAAGAACAGTAGAACCAAAGTAAGAGACAACACAAAACAGTAAGGTAGTGAATGAAATTAAGCCTTCTAAAATCCACATACTGACCAGAAAGAGAACAGAGAAAGATCAGTTAACTTCAGACTAATTACACAAGTTGCAAATTTAACGGTAACCACCAAAAGCATAAAAGTAAAATCTTTTAACTTCTAAATCAATAGAGATGAAAGGGAAGAAATAAAACTTATTGAATACCATCTAAATAGCTACCCAAGCACGTTAGAGAAAAGAGTGGCCCTAATGAATTTGAAAAATACTACATTGTAGGTCAAGTGAGTTCTAAATTCTTCAACTGGCATTCATTTATCTGTATCTTATATATGTGAAACATTATCTACCACATTTCCCAATATGTCTCCTTAGAATAGTTGTCTTATTACTTCTTTGCCCACTTAGGTTCTACAGCAGTATTTTTAACCCATATTTACTCTTTTGGTATGACTTCACAGTTCTCCACAATCGCAAATACAATTTTTCTTCAAGTCCCAGGTCAAGATTCACTCTTTCAGGAAGTCAACTTATTTTTCCCTTAAATTAAAATTCCTACAGTATTTATATAGTTTTATTGTTTTCTTCTAATTGTTAAAATAGTGCCTTAGGCATGTTCCTTAGATGTTCCATACATGCAGATTTTGTTTCCTTATATCAGGGTTTAAGTTCCTCAGGGTAAGAATTTTCTTTAGGATCTCCTAAACAACCTAGCAGTGTTATTTTTCACTTAAGGATGAAGTAAACTTTAAGTGTATTTTCCTTTAATAAGCTCAAAAGCTGTGAGTTTTGCAAAATACACAGAAACACACACATCTCATATATAAAAGTAAACCAAGTTTTATAAGGTATTTGTTATAATCTTTGGGGCCGGCACAGTGGCTCACGCCTGTAATCCCAGCACTTTGGGAGGCTGAGGCAGGTGATCACCTGAGGTCAGGAGTTCGAGACCAGCCTGGCCAACATGGCGAAACTCCATCTCTACTAAAATAATACAAAAAATTAGCTGGGCGTGGTGACGGGTGCCTGTAATCCCAGCTACTCGGGAGGCTGAGGCAGGAGAAGTGCTTGAACCCGGAAGGCAGAGGTTGCAGTGAGCTGAGATCATGCCATCGCACTCCAACCTGGGCAACAAGAGAAAGAGCAAAACTCTGCCTCAAAAAAAAAATCTTTGGATACATAGAAAAAATGGATATCTTTTTAAATAGTCATTTTGCCTGTTTCCCTTTCATTTTTGTCAATTTTTATTAAAAGGAGTCCATGGGCCGGGTGCAGTGGCTCACACCTGTAATCCCAGCACCTTGGGAGGCTGAGGCGGGTGGATCACGAGGTCAAGAGTTCGAGACCAGCCTGGCCAACATGGTGAAATCCCGTCTCTACTAAGAATACAAAAATTAGCCCAGCATGGTGGCACATGCCTATAATCCCAGCTACTCGGGAGGCTGAGGCAGAATTGCTTGAACCCAGGAGGCGGAGGTTGCAGCGACCCGAAATAGCGCCACTGCACTCCAGCCTGGGCGACAGAGCGAGACTCCGTCTCAAAAAAAAAAAAAAAAAAAAAAAAAGGAGTCCATATGCTCAGGGTTAAAAATGAACAAGACTAAGCCAAAGGAAGTCAGAAACTACTAGTACAATGAGAATTTTAATGAAAACTGAAAATATGGCTCACATTATAATTACTACGCAATCCTGGAGAAGTTTTCCACAATTATGTTTCACTGCAATATTAGTAGGAAAAGCCAGGGATAACATTAATTAATTAAAATAAAGCAACATATTGATGAGATAAAGATCATCTAAATAAATGTAAAGGTATATCATATTCATAGATCAGAAGACTCAATGTTTTTAAGATCTCAATTCTCCACTAACTGAGTGACAGATCCCACACAATCCCAGCAGGCTGTGTATATAAAATATCACAAAATTATATACAAAGATATAAAAAATGAATGCATACAAAAACTGGTGAAATCTGACTAAAGCTTAGTTAACTGTATTGTGCCAACTAATTTCCTCGTTTTGATAATGCACTATAGGTATGTAAAGATATCACCACTGGGGGAAGGTGGGTGTTGGGTACATGAGACCTCTTTTCCTCTTTTTGCAATGAATTTAGAATTATGTATCTCAAAATTTAAAGTTAAGACAAAATTCCAGTAGGCTTTTATATTTAACTTGAAAAGCTGATTCAAAAATTTGTATGGAAAAGCAAAGGACCTAGAATAGATAAAACCATTTTGAAAAGGTAGAACAGAATTGGAGGACCCACTCTGCCTAATTTCAAGACTTTTGATAAAGCTACAGTAAACAAGACACTGAGGTATTGGTGAAAGTATAGACATACAGCTCAAAAGAACAAGAGTCCAGATATACTCACATGTGTACTGTCAACTGATTTTCATCAAAAGTGCTGAGGCAATTCACTCATGATTCATTTATACAAAGTTCTAAAAGAGCTTTCATGGTGACCGAAAGGAGAACAATAATTGTGGGTGGGTGGTATTTATGACTGGCTGGGAAGGGGCATGTATTAATCTGTTCTCATGCTGCTAATAAAGACATACACAAGACTGGGTAATTTATAAAGGAAAGAGGTTTAATTGACTCACAGTTCCACATGGCTGGGGAGGCCTTACTATCATGGTGTATGTAGGTTAGCATACAGGCGATGAAGAGGAGATTCTTTGAGCAAGGTAAGGTAGATGATCCTTTATACAGAAAGAATTTTTACAATCTCAAATTTCTAAGAGCTTAAACAAACAAAATAAGTGTCTTATTTCAACATATGTAAATTTATGGTCAAATCTAAAATTATTCTATAGAGTTTAAGGGCTAAGGTAGGCAGTACATTATTACATTAGGAAACCAAACCTATAATCAGGTCAAGGCAGTTAGAACTCAGAAATGTGGCATCTTCCAGAACAAAAAAAGACTAAAAAAAACCTAAAGCAGAAAAGAAATATGATTTTTGTACATATAAAGGTGGTATGAAAAAATAAATAAAAATTAAAAAAGAAACATGATTTCATCTCTTGAATCGAAGGTTTTTTTTGTATTGGTGAACAAAGTCCTCTTCCTAAAAGCCCAATTTAATCGTATTTTAAAAAAAACAAAATAAAAGTCATATGTGATAGCCTACTGCTGTATTCACTAGTCAGTCACTAGGGGTATTTAGTTCAAAATGACGGAGTATCTTCATATGCATATAACAATTATGAACATTGCTTAATATGCCAAAGATACATTAACCCTACTGATTAGATTTAAGACCTAATAATAACCCATTACATTTAACTCATTCTGTACCCACTATTGCCAGAACTCTAAGTCAAGCCCAATGCCACCTCCTCTGCAAGGCCTGCTGTGATTTCTCCCAGTCAGAAATAATGATCTCCTTCCTCTAAACTCATGTAGCCATGGTTTGTTCCTCTCGTGTTGGTTCATTTATTCATTCCATAAATATTTATTAAGAACCTAATATGGGTCAGCTACTCTTCTAGGCTCTGGGGATACAGCAATGAACAAAGCAAAATCACCAGTTTCCTGGATTTATACTCTAGTGGGAAGAGACAGGCTATAAACAAATAAACATGTGGTGATACATGCCATAATTAAAAATTAAGTAAAGAGTCCAACTGAATTTTTTGTGAAGCTAACAAAACTTAAAGTTCAGGCCCCTTCACTTGCATGGTCCTCTATGAGTGCTGAGAGTTGCTGGGACATGTAGAGTATTCCAGGTGGAGACAGGGAGCCAGGGAGTCATCAGAAAGCATTTTTTTGTGAGCATTTGTGATTAAATGCCTAAGGAAGTCTCAGAAGAAAGGGACCTAAGGTTACAGTATTTTGTTGGGATATCTTTTCTCATTCTAAAGATTCACTTTCATACCTTTTTTAATTCTAGTTTTGTTTTCTTAATGAGGGTCCCCAAAACTGCATCAACTTCAGGTCCCGTAAAACCTGGATCCATCCCTGAACTGTATCCCTGAAAGTGGTGGGAGAAGTGCTGTTTTTTGTAGGGTGGAAAGGAGCAGGCTCATTAAAAGATGACATTTGAGCTGAGACTTTAAACGAAGAAGCAAGCCAAACAGATATTGGTGGGGAGGGGTGGATTTTAGGCAGAGACAGCAAGCTAAAAACCCTGAGGCAAAGCATGAGGAATGCAGTTGGTTAGAAGGACAGTAGGAGGAGAAATACATAATAATAAATACTTCTAGACACTAACAGCAATTAACAATGACCACACTTTTTTGTGTCAGGTACTGTCCCAAGCACTTTTCTAAGCATCTCCATTTTACAGCTGAGGAAACTGAGACACACAGAGAGGGATTAAGTAATTGGCCTAAGGACAAAGCTAGTGGGTGGTGAAACTAGGCAGCCTGGCTCCAGAACCCTGTTCTCAAATCACTATGCTGTGCTACAGAGGTCGGTTGTGCAATTATGGAGTATCTAGAGAGTCTCTCAGCCAGCAAGAGATTTAATATGATATAAATGAGGAAACCAAAAGGTTCTGATCTCAAACTATGACAGCTAATAGCAGGTACACATTTTATGTTCCTGTAAATACCAAGTACCAAGCCTTGTCATTTCTGCTACTCTACTCACAGTTCATAACACATTTCCTCTCATATTACAGCTGTTCAATGTATGATGGCTGTTCAATGTACTCTCATGAGAGAACTTACTATTCATTCTTAATACAAAATGATGCATTAGATACGTTTCACCAATAAATACATATACAGATCAAAGGCTGGAGGTAAGTACTTCCTTTAGGTAATCAGATCTGCATCAAAGTCAGAAAACCTGTTTGTTTTTCAAACACTCTAGAAAAATTACCTCGCTACCTGTTTCATTGTCACTTTTCATCTCAAATAGCAACTGATGATGGGAAATTCTACCTTATTCAACTTCAAATGATCTTTCTGAAGTTTAGGGCCATTTCTTCTGGTCTCTCTAGAGTCTATTAGAGTCTATCCTAAATGGAAGTAAATAGAAGTGAGCATAACTCCAAATAACAATGTTTGAGCTTCCTTCAAATGTTCTTTTCTAAATGCTTAAGGTCTTCATATTCCTTATCCGTTAGGTTTAAGAATTGAGTTTTCCAGAAAGGTTCTCACAAATGCTGATTATAATGGAAGAATTAGTCTATGATGATATTAAATAGAACACCTTGAAAGATGCATAATTACAAATAAACTAACACGTAATTATCTAAATGCATATAAATTGGTTTCCTTATTTTACTGCCCAATCCTCACCTTTTTTCCTGCCAGCTTTCACAGACACTTTAAATCTATTTACACAGACTACGATGTGAATCCTACCTGGAAGCTTAACAACACGGCAGCCCGTGCTTCAGAGGGAATGGCTTCCAAACACACAAAGGTGAAAAAAAATCAATATCAACGTTTCCAAAGCATGTTCTACAAAACACTAGTACTAAGGACAAGCAATATGTATTACAGAGAAAAAGAATCTAATAGTCAAGTAAGTTTGGAGTTTGCTAGGTTAAGCAAAGTTTACCAGGTTTCTTTACCATAGGACTTCTCAGTCTTTAACCTACTCATGGTATGGCTTTTCCTGAAGCACCCCAACCACACTTTGGAAAATGCCTGTGTACAGAATTTAGCTAATGCCTAAGAAGCCCAGTCCAGAAGTCACTAAAGATGACTCTAAGGCTTACAGCCTGGAGTCTTTGTGTATCCAGTCTTGGATACACAGGCTAGGAATCATTCACAGGGACCAGACTAAAACCATAAGACTAGGTAAGATACTTCCTCAGAAACCATATTGAGACTATTCTTTCAAAACTTCTTTTGCCTTATCCCATCTCCAGCTTTACTATCTCCTGCTTCTTTCTAGCAAAAAATCTAGAAAAACATAAGGACATCAAGACTTAAAGGGTAGGAATAATAAAAATTAAACTGGAAAACTGCCTGACAAAAGATGGCACAATGCATGTGAAAATCATATTATGATCTATTATAACTACCTAATTTCTCCAAGAAAACTTTTTTGAATGGCAAACCTATGGATCATTTTTTCATTTTTTTGGATCATGAAGCTCTTTAAGAATGCAATGAATGCTATAACCCATCTCCACAGAAAAACACAAATACATACAACATTAAGCCTATTAATTTCAGAGCACTCCATGGGCCTCCTGAGGCCCAACTAAAGAGCTTCAGTTGCCAGCTCCTAGGTCCCTAGGTAACCCAAGCTGCAGGCACTTCATGACAGATAAAGCCTGCAGAGTTACACGACACTTACAAGATACGACTTTAGACAGTGCAGATAAAATGTATATATGCATTGGCCTGAAAAAAATAAAGATAACTTACTTACTAAGTAAAATTTGAGTCATTTAGTCAATACCAAAAGAAGAAGGGCATATGATGGTAATAATATCTCCACAACAAAACAGCTCTGAGAGGTTGATTTCACAAGGTCACATAGCTAATAAATCCCAGATTGTCCACATCCTTGTTCAGTGCTTTGGAACTAAACCACGCCACCTTAAGTACAATAAATATGTTATTACATTGAGTAGGAAAACATTTTCAAAATAAAAATCTCCACCAACCTTCCAAGAATGACTATAATCGGATCTCTTATTTATTTAATCCAATCATTCCATTTTTAGCACGTAAATGCTGACAAATTAAGGAACAAATTATATATATTGGCTTTTGAAAACAAAATGTACTTCTCTCTAGCACAATTAATTTGTATAAATAAGAAAAAACTAAAACAGCAAAACAAATAACAAAAAAATGTAACTTTATAGAATAAACTTGATTATAGACAAAAACATAAACAAGAGTTTGGCAGGCAGGGGTACATGATGTCAAGAACCACATGAAGTTTCTCTGCTTTGGTCACTGGTATTGGAAGAGTCTGGCAGGCAGGGACCAAGCATCTATTATCTGATATCCACTTGGCAGACTACATAAACAGTGAGACCTTGTGGCACAGCAGGAATTAGGTATTCCAACTACTACTTAAAGATCTACACTGACTCAGAGTGTGGCTACAACTCAAATGCTAAACTAAATGTGTGCCTCAGTTTCTCCACTGGAAATGTAATACATTATCTGCCCATCTCCTATCTTTAGAGAGGCAGCACTGCCAATTGGTTAAGAATACAGTCCCTAATTGGTTCAAATTTTGGCTTTGCCACCTACCAACTTTGGCAAGTTAATCTCCTTGTGCCTCAGTTTATTCAACTGCAAAATGGAGTTAACAATAGCACCTATCTCACAGGGTTGCTGTTAGGATTAATTAGAAAAATCTTATAGTGCCTGGCAAGTAACAAGCATTCCATAAACATCAGCTAGTATTATCATTATTTTAAACGAATGACAAGATTAACCAACTTAGTATACCTCTATTACACTTAGGAAATTACAGGCCCTAATTTTTTTTTGCTTTTTAATCATGTGGCTTAACTACTAACTGTTCTTTTTAATATAGCAAGTACACAGCCAATTAGTCCTGTAAAAAAATTCACTGTATACCCTGCCACCTAAAACGTATACATTCATCGAGTTTTAGTTAACTTTTCATCGCAATATAAGCGAACTCCCCCAACCAGTCATAAGTGACTTGCATCCATCCACTTCTACTTTCACAGTCATCACCATATTCCTTAACACCATTATTCTTACCTAGACTATCACAGTGGCCTCCCAACTGCTCCATTCCACTCTTCATGCTGTAGTAGGGAGCTCTTTTAAAAACCTAAATCTAATGTCACTCCTCTGCTTAAAAGCCTGCAATAGTTCCCCATTGTCCTAAACAAGTCCGATCTCCTAATGAGAACTAAGAGGCCTGCAAGATCTAGGGCCACCCTCCCGCTCTGGCTGCTCAGGCTATACAGGCCTTCTTTCACATCGGGCCTCAGAGCCTTCACATATCATGCTCCCCTATCTGGCGTAATCCCCTCTCCCCAGTACCCTAAGCAACGCCTAATCATCTCTGAGATCTCAGCTGAAAGGCGATGAGCGTCTGATACCCTAAACAGGATCAGGTCCTCCTATTACATGCTCTCATAACCCTGATCCTAATACTCTTTTCTGCATCACAAAATTAAACGGCAATAATTATTTAAATGGCTATTTAATACTGTCCTTGTCCAAAAAAATAGAAACACTTAGGAAGATTTGGAACCAAGTCTATCGTTTACTGCTACAACCCAAAGTGCTTACTTGCCAAGTATCTCATACATTGTAGGTGGGCTCAATATATCTATATTGCATAGTAGGAAAAGTGATGAGATCCACGATGGTGAAAAGTAGATCATCCAGAAAATCAGACTAAAGCAGAACACTGGCTGCACTGTATTAAATATGTAAGTTACCACAGGCATTACACTGAAGAGTAAAAACCTGCTTAAACATGGGCAAAATAAAGTTAAGACTGAACTTTCCAATGCAAAATTAAGTTTCTTTGTGCATCCTCAGGTGTTATGTGAAACTGGAGGAGTTCAACTTCAGTTACCAGTAAGAAGATACACAACTAAATCAAGACTGCTGCCACATTTGGCAACAACCTCCTCTCTTCTTGGCAGTAACTGTGAGGCCAAGAGTTGAGTTGGCCAGGGAAGAGTGATTTATCTTCCCACATTTAGAAGTGGTCCCTCTACAACAGGAATGCTGTACCGCTACTGGACTTTGAATTCTAACCTTGTCAAACCAGTACCTTCCCTAAGTATTCAAGTCACTTTTTAAAAAACAAGTTTAAATGGCATCGCAGTCCAATTCGACTTAGAGAAAACAAAGTTGCTCTTTCCAAAAAAAAAAAAAAGTCATTACTCTGGAAAATTAAAAGAAACTGACAGGGGGATGAATAAGGCGCTAAAGGCTGAGAGCTGTCGATGGAAGATGGAGGTCGCTCAGCATAGTATAATAACTACCACCGAGGCCTGGTGGGCAGCAGCTCCCAACCTAGAGCGGACGACCCCAGGTTGGCGTGAAGCAGGCAGGTTTGACAACACCAGACCCCTGCTGTCCGGTTCGTCGCGCTGACCCTGCCAACGCAACAAACGCCCAGACCTTCTCTGCACTATGGATGAGCAGTGTGGCCTGCTCTCGTTCTGCCCTTCCCTGGAAATGCGCGCAAGAAGGGAGGTGGCAAAAATCATGTCCACCGGGGGGGCTCAGGTAAGGGCTGGGGAGGTCTCGGGGTTAAACATTCGGCCCTTTGTTCACCAAGGCAGCAGAGCCCTTGGCGTCCGCAGCTCCTCCTCCCCGACTGCTCCCTGGCGCCAGCGTCTCCCGAGGACAGGCGGCAAGGGCTCGGACGCCCAGGCTTGGCTGCGGGTCGGGATCCCACGGCCTCGGCGGCGCGCGGCCCCTGCCTTTACCTTGTAGACGTCGCCGTAGGTGCCGCTGCCGATGCGCTGAATCAGCTCGAAGTCCTCCTGCGGGTTCCGGCGGGACAAATCGAAGCCGGGGTTCATGGCGGGCCCCAGGTGCCCCCCGCCTCCCTCCCGGGCAGGGGAGGGGGGCCGCTCAGGGGGCCACACGGAGAGAGGGCGCCGCGGCCGGCTCCCGGCTCCCCCGGCGGTCACAATCACCCGGCTCCACGCTGCGGCCGCCGCCGCCGCCGCCGCTCCCCTCACGCCGCTGCGGACGACGACAAGCGGCCAATCGTCCCCGCCCCCCGCGGCCCGCCGCCGCGCCGAACCTGGTCACACCCACAAGGAGAGGAGAACCCTCGCAGCCCCTCGCTCGGGGTGAAACTCCAACATGGCTTCCGCTTTCGCCGCTCCTCCCCCTCCCCTTACTCCGGCTCCTCCAACCTCCTCCCCTTTTCCCGACTCCCGCCCGACTGCGCAGCCGCGATCCCGGAGGGAGCGCGCCAGGCCTGGCGCGCACCCGACCCCTTGCGCGTTCCGGCTCCGCGCGCCTGCCAGGCCGGGGCCGGCGGCGGAACAGCTTGGGACCCGAAACGCCTCGGCTTTTCTGCGGACCCGCGCCCGGCCGCTGCCGCCGGACGCTTGAAAAGGTTTGCCTGGCCCAGGGACCGGGGTTAGGACTAGCAGAAAGTGGCTTCTTTTCGTTTCTGATTCCCCTAACGACAAAGTTGGACCTTGGTCTATCTGGTCCCAGTTCCAAGCAGGTAGCATAGTGGTAATATCCAAGACAGCCAATGTCCCAGCCTTTATTATTTTAGAAGCAGCTACATGTAGGATACCATGGAGTGCTGCAGCCTTTCTGGGATTGCGGGGAGGGGTCACTAAACACACCGTGAGGAAAACCCCCAGGAAAAGTGAGCTGTGCTTGCTTGCCCCTGTCACCGACACTCGGACCCTTGGAGTTGGCCTGCCAGGGTGCAAAGGAGGGCAGGCCAGGAGGGCCGCGAGGGAGGTGTGTGCAGTGGGCAGAGCGTGAAAGCTCCGGGAGGAAAACACGCGGAACAGCTGCCCACCATCCCGCGTGGGAGGCAGGCAGAGCGCAGAACTAAAGCAGTGATTGACCTCCCTCTTCGAAGAGGGTTGGATTATCAAAGACGGGCGGGGACTGCGCAGGCTGTCAAGCAACCCTGTAAAGAAGGGGTGGAGAGTGGACTAGATCTATTACCGCACCTGAAATATAAACACGTGACGATCCGGAAGCTCTTTAGCTGTGACCTTACCTACCCAAAAACCCCACCCTGCTTAAGACCCAGATTGCGCGTCTTACATCTGAGCTATGTGGACTCCAGCTCCGATTGTTAATACTTGCCCAAGAAAGCTTGAGGGTAATGGAAGGTTATTTTTCTGTTCTCATTGAACTTCCCAATAGACATTTGCAGGAGCTTTAATCAATTAGGTGATGGCCACTTTGGCAATACCACGTTGGAGTTTTGCTTCAGAAATGCTTTCCTAATCCCCTTAGGCACCACACCTTCTAACCACTAATATTCCCTAATACCTCGTGGCTCCTGAGAAACTAGGTCTCATCAAACCTGTTAAGGATAAGTATAATAAATTAATAGTAGAGCAAACTACTTAGAGTTAACTGCTTCATACTTTTTCAAAAAATCTTTTGAATCCTTTTGCTCATAGGAAAATTGCATATGTACTAAATTCTCAAATTGTTTACTTTGAGTATCTGTTGACTAAATTGATGTTTGAAAATGGTTATCTCTTCACCTATATAAGTAGCCTTTCAGTTGTGTAATTTTTAATTATTAAATTTTAAAGCATCAGTAATATGAAAGTATCACTTAAATTATTGCCTTAGGAGTGCATATCATTGAATATCTTCTCGATGGATCTACCTTCAGGCTCTGGTATCTTGAGAAACTCCTGACTATAAATGTTATTCCATAGCCAAAGGTCTTGCTTTTGCTTGTTTAAGGTACTTGCCCAGGACCCAGATTACAGGCCTTCCTTCAGTTTGTCCACATTTGGAGAATTGTTTGGCATGTTTAGGCCAAGCGCAAGAATAATTAGCCAAGGATTCAGATAAGCAGACCTGACAAATTATCCCAAATGGAAGCCAGGTCTGCTCTTTTCCTCTGCCTTTTTTTTTTTTTTTTTTTTGAGAAGGAGTTTCGCTCTAGTTGTCCAGGCTTGAGTGCAAGGGTGCAATCTCAGCTCACTGAAACCTCTGCCTCCCGGGTTCTTAGCGATTCTCCTGCCTCAGCCTCCCAAGTAGCTGGGATCACAGGCATGCAACACCACACCCAGCTAATTTTTGTATTTTTAGTAGAGATGGGATTTCTCCTTGTTGGTCAGGCTGCTCTTGAACTCCCGACCTCAGATGATCCGCCTGCCTCGGCCTCCTGAAGTGGTGGGATTACAGGCATGAGCCACTGCACCCGGCCTCTGCCTTTTTAGTGCCAGAAAGCCAAATTCTCAGGACTGAAAGCTGCACAAGAAAGTTCTAATGACTTCAGTGTTTTGTTTGCTGAGATTATCGTCTGTCCAAATAACTTTGCATTTGCATCACTAATAGACTGCTTTCAAAAGGAAAAGACATTTCAGTAGGGCTAGAACAGTCTTTAAAGTTTTGTCTGTTCCATTTTGGCAGGGCCAAGCTAGTCCTTTTGAGAAGAGATGAATTTCCATGTAAGGGCCTGATTTGCCATGTGGGTTACAACATAAGTAAAACAACTGCTCACAAAGAAAATATTTTGTTTTTTGTAATATATGCATGTGGCCAATTCCAGTGCCTTTTCCCCCTGTTCTAACAATCCTCAGTTTTGCTAGAAGTAACACTAATGATCACACTTTCCTAGAATCAGAGAAAGAGCTTCCCTCTTCTATGATTAGAAGCATTCTTAGAAGTCATCTAATCTTTTTAACTCAGGAACTGCTTCTACAGCATCTCTGCTGGATTTGCTGCTGCTTGAATACTTTCAATAAAAGGTGACTCATTGCTTCCCAAAACAACCCACCTCGTTGTGATACAGTGCTAGTAAATGATCATAATAACTAGGAGAAAAGTAGTAATTTCTAACATTGCTAAGTGCTTACAAGATACCAGGAATGGAGCCAAGTATTTTTCATGTGTTATTTCATTTAATTCGCACAACAACCTAATGACATAGGTAATATTATCTCCATTTTATGAGGCACAGACAGATTAAACTGCTCAAGGTAACACAGAAGGCTGAAATTTGAACAAAGGCAGTATGACACCAAGGCTAGATTCTTAGCCACTAGTCTATACTCTGCTTATATACAATATACTGTAAAAAATTTCTCTTATGGTAAGCCAACCTCTACCTCCCTGTAATGTATTTAGAGGCAATGATTATTAGATTCTGGTGGTATTGAATACAGAAAAGAAAAGCCACAATGCCTTCCCTCAAGGAGTTGACAGTCTCATAAATAGTGTGAGAAGCACAGAGAAGGGACATTAATGCAGACGGGAGGAAGATTTAGGAATGACCCCTTGGCTGGGCGCAGTGGCTCATGCCTGTAATCCCAACACTTTGGGAGGCCGAGGCGGGTGGATCACCTGAGGTCAGGAGTTCAAGACCAGCCTGGCCAACATGGTGAAACCCCATCTCTACTAAAAATACAAAAATTAGCTGGGCGCGGTGGCACGTCCCCTGTAATCACAGCTACTCGGGAGGCTGAGGCAGGAGAATCACTTGAGCCGGGAGGTGGAGGTTGCAGTGAGCTGAGACTGCACCATTGCACTCCAGCCTGGGCAACAGAGGAAGCGTCCGTCTCAAAAAAAAAAAAAAAAAAAAAAAAAGGAATAACCCTAAAGCTGAACCTTGAAAAATGCATAGGCAGACAAGGGAAAGTGGTGCATGACAGGCTGGCTGCTTAGCGCCTTGAAGCACCTACCCGTTTAAGCATCACACAGCAAGGAACACAAGAAGGCCAAGATAGGCAGCAGTCCCCACCTGCCAGCATGTCCAGGCCATCCTTCTATTGCCCCATCCCCCATGGGTTTCTGGCTTAGGAACCCCTTGATCCCCTGCACAGGCTCCCAATTTCATCCTCGACCTCTTGTCTGACAACTCACTGGAGCCCCTTCTTTGGCCTATTAACCTCAGCCCTCCTCATATAACATAACCACCACTCACATTTTCAGTACATTAGCTGCTCTGGAAACAGGATACTGAGCAAGCCTTAGCTCAAAAAAATGCCAGAAGCAGGTCATCCACCAGGGGAGGAAAATCACACAGAGAGCATGTATGTGAAATAATATGGCACATACAACAGACAATTGTGCTTAAATTCTGAAGACAGAGGGAGATGGTGGCAATGGAGCTAAAAAAATCAGGTTTCTTTTTTTAATTAAAAAATTTTTATTTATGGCCAGGCGCTGTGGCTCACACCTCTAATCCCAGCACTTTGGGAGGCCGAGGCGGGTGGATCACCTGGGGTCAGGAGTTTGAGACCAGCCTGACCAACATGGTGAAACCCTGTCTCCACTAAAAAAAATACAAAACTTAGCCGGGAGTGGTACCACGTGCCTGTAATCCTAGCTATTCCGGAGGCTGAGGCATGAGAATCGCTTGAACCTGGGAGGAGGAGGTTGCAGTAAGCTGAGATTGCACCACTGCACTCCAGCCTGAGTGACAGAGTGAGATTCTATCATTAAAAAAAAATTATTTATGTATTTCATTTCTCCCCAGCTTTAAATTGAGGCATAATGGGCAAATAAAAATTGAATGTCTTTACAGTGTACAATGTGATGTTTTGATATATGTATATGTTTTGAAATGATTACTACAGACCAGCTAGAAAAATTTACTTACAAAATTCAAACATGCTTAAGAAAAATTTATACTTTTTTTAAAAAGTCAGAAACTGGCTTGTGAGGAGCTGGTTTTCAGGTGGGTTATCATATGTTTAAGCTGCAGAGACTTCCAAAAGGTTATACAGCCTTACCTAGTACAGCTCTGAACCAGGCTACCTAGGTTTAAATCTTATCTCTGTTCCCTGACTGAAAAACCTTGGGAAGTTATTTAAAACTATAGCTGTTTTGATTAATCAAAAAGAAAATACAGGGAAAGGAGTGCCTGGCACTATAGTAACCCCACAAAATATTAATTATTATTATTTTGAGTGTTCTTTTTTCTTTTTCTTTCTTTTTTTTTTTTTTTTGTTTGAGACAGAGTTTTGCTCTTGTTGCCCAGCCTGGAGTGCAATGGCACAATCTTAGCTCACCGCAACCTCCGCCTCCTGGGTTCAAGCGATTCTCCTGCCTCAGCCTCCTGAGTAGCTGGGATTACAGGCATGCGCCACCATGCCTGGCTAATTTTGTATTTTTAGTAGAGATGGGGTTTGTCCATGTTGGTCAGGCTGGTCTCAAACTCCTAACCTCAAGTGATCCGCCCACCTCTGCCTCCCAAAGTGCTGGGATGACGCATGAGCCGCCGCACCCGGCCTATTTTGGTTGTTGTAAAGACATTCTAAAGATGCCAGTCTTATAATGTCAGTTCTAAAGATGACAGTCATGGAGATGGAGATGAAGATATGACTTAGGAAGCAATTACGATAACATATATAAGAGACCCTGAATTAGGGTCTGGAGTGCTGAGAATGGAGAAGAGAGAAATAACACAGGAGATAATTGGGAGATGGAATGCATAGGCTTGGGGAAGTGAGGAAGCAGGTGGAGACATTAGTGACTTGCAGGCTTATGGTATAGGCAATTGGGAGGGTCATGATAGCATTTGCCATGATAAAGGGAACTGGTATAATTTGGTAGAGAGTCAAAGTAGATGATCTGTTTTGTAGCTAAGTTTGAAGTGCTCAACTGGAAATATAAAATTAGTGATAAAAATGTGGATCTGAAATTTAGAAACAATATCAGGGCTAATATTTAGATTTGAGGAGTCATACTTCAGAAAAATTTATTGGGCATTGATATGGTTTGGCTGTGTTCTCACCCAAATCTCATCTTGAATTATAGTTCCCATAATCCCCACGTGTGATGGGAGGGACCTGATGGGAGGTAATTGAATCATGGGGCCAGTTTCTCCCATGCCATTCTCATGATAATAAAGTTCTTAGAAGATCTGATGGTTTTATAAGGGGCTTCTCCTTCGCTCCACTCTCATTCTCTCTCCTGCTGCCATGTGCAGAAGGACATGTTTCCTTCCCTTTCTGCCATGATTGTAAGTTTCCTGAGGCTCCCCAGCCATAGGGAACTGTGAGTCAATTAAATATCTGTCCTTTAAAAATTACTCAGTCTTGGGTATGTCTTCATAGCAGTGTGAGAATGAACTAATACAAGCATTGATCATGTGTCAAACACTATATTAGATTATGATGATGCAATAGGGCATGGTCTCTGAACTTAAATTGAGAATACAGAGAAGTTCTCAGTGAAAACTTCAGAGAGGTACAGGGAAGTAGAGCCAGAAGGAAATATTAGATGCCCCTGGGGCTAATAATTTGGCTCTTTTTCAAACCAATATATGCTTTTTAATTTTCTTTAAATCAATTTTTTTTTTGAGACAGGGTCTCACTTTGTTACCCAGGTTGGAGTGCAGTGGCATGAACATGACTCACTGCAGCCTTGGCCTCCCAGGCTCAAGATATCCTCCCACCTTAGCCTCCTGAGTAGCTGGAACTACAAGCACACACACCACACCTGACTAAGTTTTCTTTATTTTTTGTAGAGATGGTGTCCCATGATGTTTCCCAGGCTGGTGTCAAACTCCTGGGCTCATGTGATCCTCCTGTTCTGGCCTCCCAAAGTGCTAAGATTATAGACATGAACTACTGTAACCAGCCTAAACCAGTATTTTAAAAAACAGGTACTCAATATTTATTTACAAAAAAGGGAGAGCTCTGCCTTGCTGTGGGTGGAGCTGGGAGTTCTCACGTGTCAACTTTCAACCACTCTTATTCTGAGCAATTTGGCTCAGTTCTCAGATTTGCATACCCCCAATAGTGTTTCTCAATTGAGGTTTTATTAGCATTTTGGGTGGAACAATTTTTCCTTGTGTGGGACGATCCCCATGCATCATAATATCCCTGTCCACCCCATGTCAATACTGCTCCCAGCCATACTGACATCAACAAAAATAGCCACACACATTTTTGAATGCCCAAGGTTTGGCTGGGAGGGTGGGAGTGTGAGTGGTTGGATTGAGAATGTTTGCTTAGCATCTCCCTTGGGAGAACTGTCACCCACACCAATCTGTTTATCAAGGTATTTATTTCTATCTCATACAGTATATTTGCTGAGAGAAGTTCTGATATGTAAAATATTATCTGTTTTATTACATTTCCAATGTCCAAATGATGTTGTTTCACTGTCCTCCATAGATTCACAGCCAACATTCCGCTTCCACCTGCCCCTTATCATATACTTCCTGGGACTACTTAGGAGAGCACCCAATGTAGTCTTTGTAAGTTTTAAAGTCTTCACAGAGGAAGGAACATCTCAGCAGATGCTTAAAAGACAAGTAGAAAATTAGCCAGGCAAAAAGGTACACTCCACGCACACACACAAAACCTAGTTCTGTTTACGGTGAATGTGGTAACAGATGAGGCTGGAATGGTAAGCAGGAACCAGTCCATGATGGAACATATAAATTGTGTTAAATGATTAGGATTTTTCTCTTTTTTTTTTTTTAACTGAGAACAAAAGGGAGCTATTGATGAGTTTTTGGCATGTGAATAACAAGATCTTATTTGTGACTTGGAAACATTTCACTAGCTGCAGTATGGAAAATGAATTGGAGACAGGTGGCAAGACTAGAGACATGATATGAGAATAATCAGGAGACCTTTGCAATGGTATAGGTAAGAGAAAATGGTGGCCTGAATTAACATCTGGAGTGCATATCAACATACAGTGATGGTAGTATTTGAAATTGTGGGTTGAGATTAATTCTCATAGGGAAAATGTATGGAATAGGCAGAAAATGGGTTCCTACAAAACCCCAACATTTAGGGTGTGAGCAAAGTAAGGGAATTTAGCAAAAAAGGCCAAAGAGGTGGGACCCAGTGTGATATGTGGTAATGGAATTGTGTGGCACCTATTGGAATGAACAGTCAGGTTTCCCTCCAGGGAGGTACCGGCCGTATGGGCTGTGATTAGCTGACAGCCTCCCACCACCATGCCTTTGGGATCTATCACAGCATTTACACAGAGGTCTCCCTCTCTCTAGATCCTCCCAGCCAATGCCTGAGCATGGCTATTGCTTTCCAATGTAGTTTCTTCCGATGGGCAGTCTTTGCTCTGGGGTCCCCATTGGCCTAATTGAGCCTTTCTCAGAGCCGCCACGCAGATAGACTCTACCCAATTCTTCCTTCTCCTATTCCCTTTATGGTATTAAGATGTGGTATTAAGATGTGGATTGCAATCTGACATTCTTCCCTCCTACTGCTACTTTTCCTCTTTATCCTTCACAAGTGTTTTCACAGATTTCTTGCACTTCAATTCAATCTTACTATCTACTGAAGTAGTACAAATTGTATCAATGAAACAAAAGAGGAAATTTTAAGGAGAGTGGATCAACACTGTTAAATACCAAAGAGAGACTGGGAAAGAGGGGGACAGAAAAGTATCGTTAGTTGTCATTATGGAGATCAATGCTAACCTTAACTATCAAAGTTCGTATTTTCTCTTCTGCTATTGTGTCTCCTCTTAGTTATATTCTCCCAAATCCCCTTCAGCCTTTCTCATACATCATGAACTCTATACATCTCATCTGGACCCCTTCGTATGGACACATTTAACTTGTTAATATCTTTCAGAGTAAACTCTGGCAAAGAATTGAGCTCAGTATTCCAAATGCAGTCTGGTCACTGTTTACTATGGGGGGATTGTAACTACCTATTACTGGAACGCTTTATTATAGCCTAAACTTTTATCCAATTTTTTTATAGCCCAACAAACTCAGGGTCACTGTACTGCTCGATTCTGGGAGATGCCATTCATACTGTTATCTATAATTCTAAAATCCTCAACCCCTACCTGGCCCCTTGGTCCTGATGAAGAAAAATCTCCAAAAATCATATTTGCCCTCCTCTAAGATCATCACAAGTGTTCTTGAACCCACACTGTCATAAAGTGTCAGGGACAAGAAACCTGGTCTCAAGCATCTCACTGTGAAGTTTCTGCCCTGACATCAATCTAACAGGCTAGATGTTATCTTCTCATCCCCAGGCAAATATAACACCAACAACAACAAAACCGAGCACCCAGTACCTGTATGTTATATTGCTACCAGGTGAGATCTTGAAAACACAAAAGAATTATCTAGACGAGAATCTTTCATCTTCTTGGGAAGCCAAGATTTTAAATGATATCTTTTCAGACTCATTCAGTCCTGGAGGGTACAGGCTACATCAAAAATAGGCAATAAAATCTGGTCCTGTACCGTATGACAACATTTCAGTCAACAACAGGCTGCATATATGACAGTGGTCCCATAAGATTATAATGGAGCTGAAAAATTCCTATTGTCTACTGATATCATAGCTGGTGTAATATAGTAGTGCAACACATTACTCACATATTTGTAGTGATGCTGGTGTAAAACCTACTGTGCTGCCAGTCATGTCAGCATTCAGTGCATATAATTATGGGTAGTACATAATACTCGATAATGATAATATATGACTGTTATTGGTTTATGTATTTACTATATTATTTATCCTTATTTTAGAGTGTATTCCTCCTACTTATTTAAAAAAAAAAGTTAACTGTAAAGGAGCCTCAGGCAGGTCCTTCAGGAGGTATCCAGAAGAAGGCATTGTTATCATAAGATATGACAGGTCCATGTGTGTTATTGTCCCTAAAGATTTTCCAGTGGGGTCCGGGCATGGAGGCATATGCCTCTAATCCCAGCACTTTGGGAGGCTGACGCAGGAGGATTGCTTGAGCCTAGGCATTCAAGACCAGGCTGGGCAACATAGCGAGATCTTGTCTCAAAAAAGTTTTTTAAAAAACCTTCCAGTGGGACAAGATGTGAAGATGGAAGACAGTTATATTGATGATCCTGACCCTTTATAAGCCTAGGCCAATGTACGTGTTTCTGTGTTGGTTTTTAACAAAAGTATTTTAAAAGTAAAAAAAAAGAATTGAAAAAATTAAAAAATACAAAAATGCTTGTAGAATAAGTATATAAAGAAAGAAAAGACTGAACATGGTGGGATGCATCTGTAATCCCAGCTACATGGGAGGCTGAGGCAGAAGGATCATTGGAGTCCACGAGTTCAAGACTAGCCCTAAAAGAAAATATTTTTGTACAGCTATATCATGTGTATGTTTTAAGCCAAGTGTTATTACGAGTTAACTTTTTTTTTTTTAATTTAAAAGTATATAAAGAGGTAGTGGCTCACTCCCGTAATCTCTGCATTTTGGGAAGCTGAGATAGGAGGACTGCTTGAGCCCAGGAGTTTAAGACCAGCCTGGGCAACACAGGGAGACCCCATGTCTATAAAAAATTTAAAAAAAATTAACCAGGCCTGGTAGTGCATGCCTGTGGTCCCAGCTATTCAGGAAGTTGAGGTGGGAGGATCACTCAAGTCTAGGAGGTTGAGGCTGCAGTGAGCTGTGATTGTGCCACTGCACTCCAGCCTGGGTGACAGAGCAAGACCCTGCCTCAAAAAATAAACAAATAAAATTGCAGTAAACTAAGATTAATCTATTATTGAAAAAAATTGTGTAAATTTAGTATAGCCTAAGTATACAGTGTTTATAAAGTCTACAGTAGTATACAGTAATGTCCTAGGCCTTCACATTCACTCACTACTCACTCACTGACTCACCCAGAGCAACTTCCAGTCCTGCAAGCTCTATTCATGGGAAGTGTCCTATATAAGGGTACCATTTTTTAATCTTTCATATTGTGTTTTTCACTATGTCTTTTCCATGTTGAGATACACAAATACTTACCATTGTGTAACAATTGCCTACAGTATTCAATACAGCAACAGGCAGTACAGTTTTGTGGCTTAGGAGCATTAGGCTACACCATATAGCCTAGATGTGAGGTAGGCTCTATCCTCTAGGTTTGTGTAAGTGCACTCTATGATTTTCATACAACAGCGAAATCACCCAGTGACACATTTCTCAGAATGTATCCCTGTCATTGAGCGATGCATGACTGTACTGAAGAACGCTAAGGAAGTACACGCTGCTAAGGGACAGACCGAGGGATGGTTGAGATCATTTTTTTAATAAAATCTTCCTTATATTTATCTGTTATCCCATGATATATTAGAGCATAGTGTTTCCCTGATTCCATCTTACATAACATCCAGCCTAGAATTCCCCTCAGATGCCTCTGGTTAAGAGGTGTTGCCCTGTGTCCTAGTTCCCAAATACAGAGCGCTGTTGGGCCAGACCGACCTGGCCCAGAACAAATATAGTCACATACATTGTGTTTGCAGAGTTGCTCACTGCCCCAGAGTCATATCCTGCTGGCCTTTTCACTAGAAGCTTTATTGTACGTTATTATTTTCTCCTAGGAGGACTTCACCCCTGCACAACAAAACCTGTATAATAGTAAAGCAAATCTATTTGTAGATTTAGAAAGTTCATCTTTTTTGAAAAAAATCATCCACTAATTTGGTTTAAACCTGGATTGGAGTTTTTCTTTCTCAAAACAGATTAAAACTGGAAATAAAAGCTCAGTTAAGGCCGGGGATGGTGGCTCACGCCTGTAATTCCAACACTTTGGGAGGCCAAGGCAGGCAGATCACAAGGTCGGAGCTCGAGACCAGCCTGACCAACATTGTGAAACCCCGTCTCTACTAAAAATACAAAAATTAGCAGGGTGTGGTGGCGCGTGACTGTAATCCCAGCTACTCAGGAGGCTGAGGCAGGAGAATCACTTGAACCTGGGAGGCGGAGGTTGCAGTGAGCCAAGATCCTGCCATTGCACTCCAGCCTGAGCTACAGAGCGAGACTCTGCCTCAAAAAAAAAAAAAAAAAAAAAAAATCAAAACAGCCGGGCACGGTGGCTCACGCCTGTAATCCCAGCATATTGGGAGGCCAAGACGGGCGGATCACGAGGTCAGGAGATTGAGACCATCCTGGCTAACACGGTGAAACCTTGTCTCCGCTAAAAATACAAAAAGAAAGCTGGACATGGTGGCGGGCGCCTGTAGTCCCCAGCTACTCGGGAGGCTGACGCAGGAGAATGGTGTGAACCCAGGAGGCGGAGCTTGCAGGGAGCCGAGATCGCGCCACTGCACTCCAGCCTAGGCGACAGAGCGAGACTCCGTCTCAAAAACAAACAAACAAACAAAAAACTCAGTTAAGGCTGGGCGCGGTGGCTCACGCCTGTAATCCCAGCTCTTTGGGAGGCCGAGGCGGGCGGATCACGAGGTCAGGAGATCGAGACCACAGTGAAACCCCCTCTCTACTAAAAATACCAAAAATTAACCGGGCGCGGTGGCAGGCGCCTGTAGTCCCAGCTACTCAGGAGGCTGAGGCAGGAGAATGGCGTGAACCCAGGAGGCGGAGGTTGCAGTGAGCCGAGATTGCGCCACTGCACTCCAGCCTGGGGGGACAGAGCGAGACTCCGTCTCAAAACAAAACAAAACAAAACAAAAAAAAAAACAGTTAAAATAGTTCGAATACCAGTTTTCCATTACTCCTATTCCCTGCTCACAGTTCAAGGTCAATGGGAAGATAACTCTTTTCTCAAACTGACCCAGATCTCTGCACCGGGAAACAGATCCGTTTGCTGGGTCTGAGCTAATGGCAAAGCCTGTCTAAATCAAGGTATGCCTCTTCTTCTTCTTCTTCTTTTTTTTTTGAGACGGAGTCTCACTCTGTTGCCAGGCTGAAGTGCTATGGCTCGATCTCGGCTCACTGCAACCTCCACCTCCCGGGTTCAAGCGATTCCTCTGCCTCAGCTGGGACTACAGGCGCGTGCCACAATGCCTGGCTAATTTTTTGTATTTTAGTAGACACAGGGTTTCACCATGTTGTCCAGGATGGACTCAATCTCCTGACGTCGTGATCCACCTGCCTCGGCCTCCCAAAGTGTTGGGATTATAGGCGTGAGCCACCGTGCCCGGCCAAGGCATGCCTCTTCTTAGTATTTGAGCCAGACCTTCAGCCTGGGATCATATCGTCTGGGTTACTTACAGATACTTTAAAAATATATGAATCTTTTTTTTTTTGAAACAGAGTTTTCTTCTTGTTGCCCGGGCTGGAGTGCAGTGGCGCGATCTCGGCTCACTGCAACCTCCACCTCCCGGGTCCAAGCAATTCTCCTACCTCAGCCTCCTAAGTAGCTCGGATTATAGGCACGCGCCACCATGCCCAGCTAATTTTTTGTATTTTTAGTAGAGACAGGGTTTCATCATGTTGGCCAGGCTGGTTTTGAACTCCCGACCTAAAGTGATCCACTTTCCTCAGCCTCCCAAAGTGCAGGGATTACAAGTGTGAGCCACCGTGCCCGGCCAAAAAAATATATCTTTACATTAGTAGTTAAACATAAATTAGTAGTTAAATTGTAGTATGACCTCTCTCAGCTAGGCATTTGATGCTATCAGGATAGTTTTAACATGTGGTGATGGAATAATTGTTTTCCTTGTAAAAGAAACAAAAGGAAGGAAATTCATGAAAGTTTCCCCACCACTTTGTATTTTATTTACAAATGGTTAAACTTGTAAATGAAATTTGTGAATAGCCTCTTTCAAATTTAAGCGTGGAGCTTCTTATGGTCAGTCTGTGTCTATCTCAATGTCTGGAAATGTTTGTATGAAACTGTACTGCCTAAAAGCATAACACTTTTTCATTGCTGATGCCAGTATTTAGGGTTTATGTATCCTCTCACCTAAGGAGAGCATTATTCTGTCATTCCACATAAACTCAAAACACCTATCTGCAAATCTGAGTGCACTCTGTTGTCTGCTATATGGTGTGCAAGCTCTTAATTAGTCTCTCTTGCCCCAGTCTCTTCCTCTTCTTATGATAGCACACCTGGCCAATAAACATGCTTCCAGAATGCCAACAATGGAAATATGGAAGTTCCGAGGTGAAGCTAAATTTGGAATAAATGTGAGTTTACATTTAGACATGTTGACTTTGAGGAAATAAGAGGGCATTCAAGGAGGAGCTATTACAAGGATAATGACAGATTCTGAATACGAAGTATAAGAGGGTAAATTGAGCCATACAAATAGAGACCATAGATGGAGTCATGAGATTTATGAATGGGGTCTGAGGGTGTAGAGCAATGTGAGCAACCTTCTTTCTTTCTTCTTCTTTTTTTTCTTTTTAAACAAGGGGCTCTTAAAAGTAACAGAGGTGGGTGGACCTTATTTTTGTAAACATTGAAAGTGAAAATAATGTCACTGAATTCAATGACAAAAATGTGTGCTTTAGGATGATTTCATGAAGTATGACTATTCTTCCTCCAGGCAAGTGTTTTCTGGCATTTCCTTGGTACATATCTGGCGTGGGATTTAAGGGATGGATAGTGGAGGTCCAAGTGGAGAACTGAGAGAAGAAGGGGAACCAGAGAAGAGCTGTCAACTTTCAAAATGTTGGAAGAAGGAAGAAGGGAGAAAATAAGCAAAAGTTCAGCAAACTGAGTACTTGTGAAAGAGATTGTGGATTTATGTTTGAGGACTAAAGAGAATAGAATAGAACTCAAGTGTGGCTTTACAAAATGAATGGGTTCCTCTTTGATGTTTTTTTTTTCAGAGTTGGAAGTAAAGGTTAGAATACCTTTTTAAAATTACTGTGTATCTTGGCTGGGAGTGGTGGCTCATGCCTGTAATCCCAGCACTTTGGTAGGCCGAGGCAGGCGATCACCTGAGGTCAGGAGTTTGAGACCAGCCTGGCCAACGTGGCGAAACCCCGTCTCTACTAAAAATACAAAAATTAGCTGGGTGTGGTGGCATGTGCCTGTAATCCTAGCTACTTGGGAGGCTGAGGCAGGAGACTTGCTTGAACCTGGGAGGCAGAGGTTGCAGTGAGCCGAGATTGCACCACTGCACTCCAGTCTGGGCAACAGAGTGAGACTCTGTCTCAAAAATCAATCAATCAATCAATCAATAAAAATAAAACAAAATAACTACATATCTCTATATGTGGCTCTGAGCAGAGTCTCAGGCATGTGAGACTCCAGGATTTATTAGGGCTACAAGAAGAATGCCAATGAGAAACTTGGCAATGCTTCTTTGAACAACTAAAATGTTATCTGGTCATATCTAAGATGTCACAACACAGAAGCAGCTTTCTAATCTTTTATAACTTAATTTGCATGGCTCTTTAGAGTTTATAAATGTCTTCACATTTATATCTTATTTTATCTTTGGAATGACTTCCTGAATTATTATCATCCATAATTTATAAATGGAGAAATTGAAGCTTAGAGAAGTAAACTAGAAGCATATCAGAGTTTATAATTAGTTCCAGTCAATTTAACATCTACTGAGCCTTGATCTGAGTTTCAGGTTGTACTAGATACTGGGGATGCAAAAGTTAATAAAATGTGCAACCAGTCCTCAACCATTACACCATTACTTTCTTTGCTTTTCCCAAATTCTCTCCCAGAGGTTTGATATCCACCCTTCCCTTGGGTTGGGCCGGTTCATAGTGAGATACAATACTGAGCGTCACCTACACAAACACCAGCTTATAGAAAGTATTGGCTCCAGGGTACTCTGGAAGTTCCACACCTATGATGTAGTTAGCAGAATTGCAAAAGTGGTTCATGCCTGTAATCCCTATGCTTTCGGAGGCCAAGTCAGGAGGATCGCTTGAGGCCAGAAGTTTAAGGCTATAGTGAGCCATTAGTTGTGCCACTGTACTCCTGAGCGAGACCCTGTATCTAAAAATGAAAAATAAAAACAATTGCAAAGGTAAAGAAGATCAGGGAACTCTTATACAACCACATTAGAAGGCAATTCAGCAAAATCTAATAAGCTAAAGATATCTTTATCTTACAATCTAGCAATTTCACTTCTCCGTGTAGAAACTCTCCCTTAAACATACAAGGAGATGGGTAAATGAATGTTCATTGAAGTATCATGTATAACAGAAAAATAATTGGAAATGATGTAAGTTTCCATCCACCTGAGAATGGATAAGTAAATTGTTTTGTGATCACACAGTGAAATACTACGGATTAGTTAAAATGAATGAACTAGAACTGGAACTAAAATATGCATAAATCTCAAAAAATGTAATACTGAGTGATAAAGTAGCAGAAAATACATAAAGTATGCTACTGATTACACTAAGTTTAAACACATGAAAATACTAGATATTTCTATGTATGATAGGCATTTTAGAATATCCATGGTAATAATAAAAAAGTCATATTCAAGATAGTTGTTATATCCTGTTGAGGAAAAAAAGATTATCATATAGCGTGCAGAAGGCTTTAGCTGATTCACTTCAAAAAAAAGAATCTGAAGCAAATATTACACAAGTTAATACTTGACAAAGGTGAGTAGGGAGAAAAAAAGAGGTTGTTATTACTTTCTGTATGTTGATGCTTGAAATATTTCATTTAAAGATGTATATGGCTCCTAGACTTTGGAATTCTTGGCTTTTGTGATTTTTTTTATGTGTGTGTGTGTGCAGGATTTTCTTTTTTTTCCTCTTCCCATGTTGAAATTCCATCCATTCTTTGATAACTAGCTTGTCTCACCAGCTTATTGAGAATTTCCATGATGGCTTTGTCAGTTCACAGTGTGTTCTCACTTTTTTTTTGGATTTATTTATTTATTTATTTAGAGATAGGGTCCCGTTCTGTCACCCAGGCTGGAGTGCAGTGGTACAATTATAGCTCACTGCAGCCTCAAACTCCTGGGCTCAAGTGATCCTCCTGCCTCAGCTTCTCAAGTAGGCAGACTACATGCACATACTACCATGCCTGGCTAATTAAAAATTTTATTTATTTATTTTTTTTATAGAGGCAGAGTCTTGCTTTGTTGTCCAGGCTGGTCTTGAACTTCTGAGCTCAAGTGATCCTCCCGCCTTGGCCTCCCAAAGTGCTGAGACTACAGGTATGAGCAACCATGCCCAGCCTTCTCCTTTTTTAAAACCCCTTCTAAGTGTATAAACTTCTCTTGTATATATGTTTGTATCGCTAGATTTTTTTGATGTTGTTGGTTAAATATATATTGTCTTGCGTTACTATTTGACTTTAATATACATAAATCTTGTTTCTCCAATTATATTGTAAAAAGTCTTCAGAGCAGGGACAATGTCTTCAGCTTTGTTCATTCTTCCACAGTGCCCAGCAGAGCCTAACCAAATACTTATTAAAGTAAAGTGGTATTTTTACCAATAATTATAACTCTTCCTACAAAACCTTTACATAGAAAGTTTAAAATAATAATTTGAGCTACATTTGCTTTTATTTTCCCAGAGAGAGAATGCTAACGAGCTGTGAAATGACCAAAGATCTGGCAGCAGAAGGGAAAAGAAAAAATAATGGGTTTGTATATTATACATTCTGGATAATCAGCTCTTGAATGATTAAGTGTGGAATACGTCTTACGGGGAAAAGCAGATTTTTAATACTCATTTTGTCCCGGCGCGGTGGGTCACGCCTCTAATCCCAGCACTTTATGGGAGGCCGAGACAGGCGGATCACGAGGTCAGGAGATCGAGACCATCCTGGCTAACACGGTGAAACCCTGTCTCTACTAAAACTACAAAAAAATTAGCCGGGCTTGGTGGCGGGCGCCTATAGTCCCAGCTACTCAGGAGGCTGAGGCAGGAGAATGGCGTGAACCCAGGAAGTGGAGTTTGCAGTGAGCCAAGATCGCACCACTGCACCCCAGTCTGAGCGACTGAGCGAGACTCCGTCTCAAAAAAAACAAAACTCATTTTATGACCATGGAATTGTTGTATTGATCATTTCCAGTTTTCAGATGATCCTATGCCAAACTTACACATTATTTTGGAAAAACAGAATTCTCTTATGATATGTCGTATAACTATATACAAATGTACCTTATGATTGTTCTGCCTTCACATCAATATTTATTGGACTAGACCTGGAAATGGTGGTCTGGGAGAACTAAGAAACAAATATTATTCCACCTGTGGAACCACGAAGGAGTTTTGAAGAAAAAAAATTACCTTGAGTTCAATTCACTCTTGGTATATCTTGTAAAAAGTGCTTGCGGCTTGAAGCAACCACTTGAAATTAAGGTTGCCTGAAACCTCAGAATGAAAGTTTAGTCTAGTCCAGATGAAAGCTAAAGAGCACAGGAAATAGTAAGAGGTCTGGACTACATTGTCTCTCCTTGGAATTGAAAGTTGGTATCTAAGAAGAAGACACACTTAGGAATCAGTATTGTTACTTTTAGCAAAAGGGACAGTTGCCATGGTCTAGGTCAAAATTACCACCATTTAGTCCCTGGAGATTTTCCTCATGGACCTTTGTAATGTTTTATTAAACCAAGTCACCATCTCCTGGTTCTTTGGGATAGGCGCTACGACACCCAACACAGAGTTCCCTAAATTAAACTTTACCTACATCTGTATTTATGAGTGCATTTTAAACTTTGCAGTATATTTCAGGGAGAGTATATCTCTGAAAATTATTACTCCCCTCTAGCTCTATGTCATTTGCCTGGCAAAGAAATCAAAAGGCATAAAAATATCTTGCAATTTGGTGAGAGATTATATAGTCCTTCATGTTCACCCCATTTGTAGGTATTAATGTTGAAACAAAATCCTAAAGCAACATGACCAGAGTATTATTGCAGTCATCATGAGCCTTATCATTGATCTCTGCAGTTTTTTTCTTTTCTCAGATAAATAGAAGCAAGAAAAATAATGGTATATAGAGAATACATATTATTAATATATTGGGTTCTCAAAGTTCCTAAGTCTAAGTGTTTATAACCTAGAATTAATTTCCCATGGAAATAGTGTAATTAATTATGGTTAGATGCCAAGGCTAGGCCACAAAACCTCATATAATATTAGTAGGTGTGGCAGGATAAATTGATTGATAAACCATATTTTATTTTCTTGTCTACTGGCTCATAATGGGAAAACGAGAAGTATTTCTTTATCTCTTCTCTCTGGAGGGCGGGTTAAGCTGTGGTGATTTTCTGATGCCTAAGCCCATGAAGGCAGATGATTCAATGATTTGGAATGGGAAGGACTCCAAGAAAAGGGAAATGGCCTGATGTCAGGAGAATTTAGGTCTCTTGAACCTGTCTGGAGAGAACCAGACAGGAGTCAGTTTCTATAAATGGTGAGGAGCTGTGTCCACTCCCAAATAGACCAAAATGGTATAGATGTCCAATGGGGATGTCAGCCAGGATATTTTGTCTCAGAAGTGAGAAAAATACTAAATTACACAAGGATATAATAAGCCAAGGGTGAATGTTGTAAACTCTAGGTCACCATTAAGAGAATAATAAAAATATTTATAACTAACATAATATGGAAATAGGAAAAGGGAGAAAGGATAGTTAATTAAAAATAATTAAGCTAAAGGATGGCAAGAAGAGGCCAGGTGTGGTGGCTCACGTCTGTCATCCCAGCACTTTGGGAGGCCAAGGCAGGCAGATCACCTGAGGTCTGGAGTTCAAGACGAGCCTGACCAACAGGGAGAAACCCTGTCTCTACTAAAAATACAAAATTAGCCAGGCGTGGTGGCACACGCCTGTAATTCCAGCTACTCGGGAGGCTGAGGCAGGAGAATCGCTTGAACCTGGGAAGCGGAGGTTGCAGTGAGCCAAGATGGCGCCTTTGCACTCCAGCCTGGGCAACAACAAGAGCAAAACTCCATCTCAAAAAAAAAAAAAAAAAAGATGGCACAAGAAAAAAGATAAAAAGGAGCAAGTAACAAGTGGGGCAAATAGAAAAAAATAGTAAAATGGTACCTGTGAACCCAAATATCTCATTGAGTACCTTAACTATTAAAATTAAATATAAATTAATTATAAATTTAAAATATTAAATAAAAATGGCATAATATTCCACTAAAAGACAAAGATTGTCATACTGGTTAAAATAATTGCATATGCTTTTTTACAAAAGATACAACAGTAAAAGAATAGAAAAAAAACATGTTATGTGAAAGCTGTAACCCAAAACTCTTATAGCTATACAATAACATACAAAGTAGAGTTTAAGGAAAGAAGCATTATTAGAAATAAAGTGGGATATTTTACAATAATAAAAATATCAATCCATCAGGAAGATACAGTAAGTCTAATTCTGTGTACAACTAACAATATAGTTCAAAATATATTAATTCAAAAATTCCCAAAACTGCAGGGAGAAATAGATCTACAATAACAGTAAGATCTTTTCAGTAACCAATAAAAAAGTAGACACAAATTAATAAGAAAACACAAAATGTAAACAACATGATTAACAGAATTTACAAAATTGATATATATTGAATATTTCACCAAACAACTACAGAATTCACTTTCATTTCATATGAACATGGAATGTTTACTAAAAGTGGCAATAACTTGGGCCATAAAGCAAGCCTCAATGTATTTGAAAAAATTGACATAATACAGAGTACGTTCTTTGAGCAGAGGGGAATTAACCTAATAATATTTTAAAAACTAGAAAAATTTCAAATATGTGAAAATTAAGCAGTCTGCTTCTAAATAATCCATAGGTCAAAGAAGAAATCACAATGAAAATAAGAAAATATTTTAAACTAAATCATAATGAAAGTATGACATAAAAAATTTTAAGATGTAGCTAAAACTGTGTATTGGGGGAAATTTATTATCTTAAGGGCTAGAATCGATAGCTTTAAACAAAAATTACCTAGGTATTTATCTCAATAAGTTAGAAACAAAATGCAATTAAACTTGAAGAAAGCATAAGAAAAGTTAAGAGAAAAAAGTAATGAAGAAAATGTACAGTAGGCTAGGCATGGTGGCTCATGCCTGTAATTCTAGCTCTTTGGAAGGCTGAGATGGGTGGATCACTTGAGCCTAGGTGTTTGAGACCAGCCTGGGCAACCAAATGAGACCCCCCATCTCTAGAAAAAATTTAAATATTAGTTGGGTTTCATTGTGCATACCTCCGGTCCCAGCTACACAGAGGCTGAGGTAAGGGGATCACTTGAGCCCAGGAGGTTGAGGCTGCAGTGAGCCATGTTCATGCCACTGCACTCCAGCCTGGGCCTAGGTGAAAGAGTCTCAAAAAAAAAAAGTACAGTAGAGAAAAGTCACTGAAAGAAAATAAAACTGATAACTCCCTAGCAAAACTAATGACACATACGATATACAAATAAAAAGGAGGAAGGACACATATTACCTCTGTCAGACATAAAAAAAAAAAAGACACCACTGTGGACCCCACAAACATTACAAAGTTGAAGAGAAAATATTTGGGACAACTTAATATCAATAAATTAGAAAATTTAGATAAAATGGGAAATTTCTAGAATAACTCAATTTACCAAAAGTGACACCAAAAGAAATAAAAAACCCCAATAGTCCTGTTATGACATGACAAAGCATGCATCTATGAACAAATTTTTAAAATAAAACAGAGTAAAATGTTTATGACCTTGTATTTCACAAGTATTTCTTAAATACTACACACACACACACACACACACACACACACACACACAAACTACACAAATATTACACATAAATATAAAAGAAGGCCAGGCACAGTGGCTCACACTGTAGTACCAGCACATTGGGAGGCTAAGGTAGAAGGATACCTTGAAGCCAGGCGTTTGAGACCAGTCTGCGCAACAAAGCGTGAACCTATCTCTTAAAAAAAAAGGAAAAAAAGAAAATTAATAAATTAGACTTATGCAAATAAAAGTTTTGCTCTTCATAAGTAACTATTATGAAAAAGAAACTGCAAACCACAGACTGGAAGAAAATATGTGTAAAATAAACACCTGATGATAGGCTTGTGTTAAGAATAATAAAGAATTCTTACAACTCAATAAGAACGCAAATTAACTCAATTTATAAAATGGGCAAAAGATTTTAACAGACATTTCATGAGTGTCAATAAGCATATGAAAGCATGCTCAATGTTGTTAATCACTGGGAAAATGCAAATTAAAATCATAATGAGATACCATTAGATATGCACTAGAATGGCTAACATTGACAAGACTGACAATGCCGAGTGCTAACTAAGATGTGGAGCAACTGGGACACTCACATACTGGTGATGGGAATGTAAATAGCATAGTCACCTTGGGAAAATTTGACAGTTTCTTAAGTTAAATATAAACTTATAAGACCCAGCAATCCTAATCCTAGATACCTACTTAAGAAAAATGAAACATATGTATATACAAATACATGTCTTGAATGTCCATTGCAGCTTTATTCATAATGACTAAAAACTAGGAACAACAAAATGTCCATCAAAAGATGAACTGATAAACAAGTTGAGATATATCCATAAAACAGAATACTATTCACCAATAAAAAGTAATTAACTGGGCCGGACATGGTGG
Source organism: Homo sapiens (assembly GCF_000001405.40). Classification (NCBI taxonomy): domain Eukaryota; kingdom Metazoa; phylum Chordata; class Mammalia; order Primates; family Hominidae; genus Homo; species Homo sapiens. The sequence goes on from NC_000002.12 coordinate 39,459,361, forward strand.
CTCAGGCCTGTAATCCCAGCACTTTGGGACGCCGAGGCAGGCAGATCACTTGAGGCCAGGAGTTTGAGACCAGCCTGGCCAACATGGTGAAACCCCATCTCTACTAAAAATACAAAAATTAATGGCTGTAGGGACAGGCACTTGTAATCCCAGCTACTCAGGAGGCTGAGGCACAAGAATCACTTGAATCTGGAAGGCAGAGGTTGCAGTGAGCTGAGATCGCACCACTCCACTCCAGCCTGGACAAAGAGCGAGACTGTCTGAAAAAAAAAGTAAAAGTAATTAACTACTTGCTGAAATGACATGGATGGGATTTCAAAATTATGCTCATTGAAAGAAGCCAGACACAAAATACCACTAACTGAATGATTCAATTTATATAAAATTGTAGAAAAGACCAAGTTATAGTGACAGAACACATATCAGTGTTGCCAGTTGTCAGGGAGGTGGAAGAAGAGAAGTAACTTCAAAAAACACATGGGAGCTTTTTGGGATAATGGAAATATTCTGTATAATGATTATGATGATGGTTACCTTGTAAAATACACTTATAAAATTAATGCAATTGTATTCTTTAAATAGGTGAATTTCATTGTATGAAAATTATATCCCAATAAAGCTAACAAAAAAAAAGTAGGTCAAAGACTTGAACAGGTGCTTCATAAAAGAGAACATCCAAATGACCAATAAGCATATGAAAAAGCATAAATTAAAAGTAGAATGAGATACCATTATGCTCCTATCATTATGTCTAAAATCAAAAAGATGGAAAATACCAAGGATTGCTGAGGACATTGGCACAACTGGAACTCTCCTATGCTGCTCACAGGGATGTAAATTGGTATTACCACTTTGGAAAATTGTTTGGCAATGTCTAGGAAAGCTGAATACGTGCATAAACTATGACTGGGTAATTCTAGTTCTGTTTGTAGTCAAAATTTGGGAACCAGTAGAAAGGATAAATAAATGGTTGTAAATCTGTGCAATGCAATACTACACAGCGATGAGAATGAATGAATTACTGCTACATATGACATGGAAGGAGCATATAAACATAATACTGAGTGAAAGAAACCATACACAAAAGGGTACATTTATTTAAAGTTAGAAAGCAGGGCCTGGCGCAGTGGCTCACGCCTGTAATACCAGCACTTTGGGAGGCCGAGGTGGGCAGATCATGAGGTCAAGAGATCGAGACCATCCTGGCCAACATGGAGAAACCCTGTCTCTACTAAAAATACAAAAATTAGCTGGGCGTGGTGGCACGTGCCTGTAGTCCCAGCTACTCAGGAGGCTAAGGCAGGAGAATAGCTTGAACCCAAGAGGCAGAGGTTGCAGTGAGCTGAGATCGCACCACTTCACTCCAGCCTGGTGACAGAGTGAGACTCCATCTCAAAAAACAAAACAAGACAAAACAAAAAAAACAAAAAACAGAAGACATTAAGTTATGGTAATAGATGTCAAGATTGTGGTTACCTGACAGAAGGTAATAACTGGGTGAGAGCATAAGGGGCCTTCTAGAGTGCCAGTACTCCTCCTTGATCTTCATAGTAGTTACATGGGAGTTCACTTTGTGAAAATTCATTAGGATTCTATCCTTATGATTTGTGCCACTTTCTTTATGTATGTTATATTCAATAACATTTCTATTTAAAAGTTCCAATCACACCAATACCTATATAACAATCATAACTCAGAGCATAATCTATAACCAAGTAAATCCTACTCATCTGACTTTGCCTGACCTAATAATATAAATGAAAATCCAAACATTCAAGACAGAAAATTACTTGTAGCACAAAAGCACCTTTCACTTTATAACGCAACACATCAAATGCATGAAAGGAACGAGGATGACATCACAACAGATCCATTTTTCAATTGTGTAGATGTATTCGAAGGAAAGAAATAACGTGCTTGCTGTGAATACGTTCACTTTAAACATTATGTCTGTTAGTAAAACACTAAAATCAGCCCAAATATCCAACCACTGGATCAAGATTTAATGAATTATGATATACTAATACAAGATAATAACATACATTAAAAATGACGAATAGAACACCTTGTAGAAACACTAAACATTTTTGCAGGTGTAATGTCACATAAAAAAATCTAAATGTAAGAGGATGTGTACATCATGAGTCTATCTATGCAAAAGTGGACCAATAGGTAAAATGAACAAAGACAAACTGCTGTGTTGGAGTGGCAGATTTATGGATTTTTGTCGGGGAAGAGGAGGTACCCTTATGGAAATAGTCTTTGTTATTATTTGGGTCAGTTGACTTTTTTTGTTGTAAGCAACAGAAACTAACTTAAATGAAAAAGAGATTTCCTTTCAAGCCGTATAGGAGTAGCTTACAGAATCAAAGGCATTGCTGAATGACCAAGAGGAACAGGAACCGGGAAGGTGACAGAAATCTTAGAAACAAAAGTTCTTTAACCAACTCTCTAGGATTCTGCCTCCTTGTGATTAGCTTTAAATACCTTTTGTTGGCTGGGCGTGGTGGCTCATGCCTGTAATCCCAGCACTTTGGGAGGCCAAGGAGTGGGTCACTCGAGGTCAGGAGCCAGGCCAACATGGCGAAAACCTGTCTCTACTAAAAATACAAAAATTAGTCGGGCATGGTGGCGTGTGCCTGTACTCCTAGCTACTCGGGAGGCCAAGGTATGAGAATTGTTTGAACCTGGGAGGCGGAGGTTGCAGTGAGCCAAGATCGTGCCACTGCACTCCAGCCTGGGTGACAGAGCAAGACCTTGTCTCAAAAAAAAAAAAAATAATAATAATAAAAATACCTTCTCTTCCCATGTGCCTCCACTCAAGATTCAAATTAATAAGAGAGAAAATCTGATTGTTCCAGTCTGAGTCACATATCCACCTTGTCCCTTGATTGGTAACCATATCAGAACCACCTGGAGTTGAGGAAAGGTACTTCCCTAAAACAGAGGGATAGTGCTGTGACCAGAAGAACAGGGAGCAGAAGGATGCTAGGTGGACCAAAACAACAATTCCATGAAATTTTATGCCATCTTTTCCATAAATAGAATATTACTAGTTTTTCTTATATTAAATGAAGATATACTTATTGAAGATACTTTGCAAAATTTAGAAAAGTATAAAGTAAAAGAATAATGAAGAGAAAAATCATCTTTTATCACTATCTGCAACCCTGTATTATCTATTGCTGCATAATAAGTTACCCTCAAAACTAGGGTGACCAAAGACGGAAAGTAGATTAGTGAGGGGGGACAAAGGACTGAGTGGTTATAGCAAAAGAGTATGGGATTTCGTTTTAAAGTTCTAAAACTGGATTGTGATGGTTGCACAAATCTGTGAATGTAGTAAAGCCATTGAAATTTTAATGGGTGAATGTTATGAGACGTGAATTATGTATATCAATACAGCTGTATTTTTAAAAATACTAAGGTGACTAACTATCCCAGTTTGCCTAGGATGTCCCTGGTTTCAGTATTGAAAATCCTACATCCCAGTAAACCCCTCAGTTCTGGTAAAAACTAGATAGTTGGCCAGGCATGGTGGCTCACGCCTGTAATCCCAGCACTTTGGGAGGCCGAGGTAGGCGGATCACGAGGTCAGGAGTTCAAGACCAGCCTGGCCAACATGGTGAAACCCCATCTCTACTAAAAATACAAAAATTAGCTGGGCGTGATGGCAGGCGCCTGTAATCCCAGCTACTCAGGGGGCTGAGGCAGGAGAATTGCTTGAACACAAGAGGCGGAGGTTGTTGGGAGCCAAGATTGTGCTATTGCACTCTAGCCTGGGCAACAAGAGTGAAATTCCATCTCAAAAAAAAAAAAAAAAAAAAAAAAAGCTGGACAGTTGATCACCTTACTCAAAATGTAACAACTTAAAACAGTAAGCATTTGTTATCTCAGTTTCTCTAGATTAGAAATCCAGAAGGAGCTTAACTGGATGTTTCTGGCTCAAGGTCTCTCATGAAGTTGCAGTCAACACATTAGCTGGGGCTGCAGCCATCTGAAGCTTGACCTGGGCTGGGGACCTGCTTCCAAGCTCACTCATGTGATGCTGACAAGAGGCCACAATGTCTTGCTATGTGAGTCTCTCATTGTGTGCCCTCATAATGTGGCAACTGGCTTTCCCCATAAGCAAGTGATAGAGACAGAGAAAGGAAAGAGAATTTGCCTTATGTAATAATATCTCATAAATGGAAAGGGAGAAAAACTAAGGACTCAGATAGATGTTCTAGTGTCTTTTAAAATTTTTGTAAGTTTATTTTATTTATTTATTTTTTGGAGACCGGGTCTTGCTCTGTTACGCAGGCTGGAGGGCAGAGACGAGAAAAGGGGTCCCAGAACCTCTGGGGCTCAAGCGATCCTCCCACCTCAGCCTCCTGAGTAGCTGAGCTGGAACTAGAGAGGTGTGTGCCAACACTTCTGGCTTTTTTTTTTTTTTTTTTTTTTTGGTAGAGGCAAGGGTCTCACTATGTTGCTCAGAACTCCTGGCCTCAGGCAGTCCTCCTGCCTTGGCCCCCTAAAGTGTTGGGATTACAGGCATGACCCACCATCCACCATGCCCTGCTCATGTCTTTTAAAACCTAATCTTGCCATCACTCCTGTCATATTTTACTGGTCACACACTTCACCTCTGGTACAATTTGAACGGGAACTACACAAGGGTCTTCATGCTAATGTGTGAATATAAGGAAACCAGATCATTGAGCATTCCTGGAACCTCACTTCTACAAACTGTAATCCTAACTTTTTTTTTTTTTTTTTTTTGAGATGGAGTCTCACTCTGTTGCCCAGGCTGGAGTGCAGTGGCATGATCTTGGCTCACTGCAACCTCTGCCTCCCAGGTTCAAGTGATTCCCCTGCCTCAGCCTCCTGAGTAACTGGGATTACAGGCATGTGCCACCACGCCTGGCTAATTTTTGTATTTTTTGGTAGAGCTGGGGTTTCACCATGTTGGTCAGGCTGGTCTTGAACTCCTGACCTCAGGTGACTCGCCTGCCTCAGCCTCCCAAAGTGCTGGGATTACAGGCATGAGCCACTTTGCCCAGTCTCCATTTTACTGATTTTTAAATTAAAACATCCTCATTATAGAATGCATGGACAATTCAAGAGTATAATAGAGACGCATGTTACAATGAACACCTTTGAACATAAATTTTACTCCTATCTCTGATTAGATTTCTAGTTGTGCAATTATTAGGGCACATGGCTTACACATCTTGAGACTTGTTCCATATTGCCAAAATGCTTTTCTGATACTTGCAGTGTATCAGATGCCCATTTTGCCATACCCTTGCTAGCCTCCAGTATTATTTTTAGTAACTCTGCCAATTTCTAGGTGAAAAACTGTACCCCCTTGTTTTAGAGTGCTTTTTAATAGGAAAGTGGAACATTTTCTCATAGGTTTAGTGGACACCACTAATAAATAAGCATTTAACAGATTGTAAATCCTTTCCATATATATATATATATGTATATACGTATTTATTTAACATTTATTGAGTGCCTATTGTAAGAACAGGAAGTATCCCTGCTGCCAAAATACTCACAGTCAAGTGAGTGAGACTGACCAAAAAAAAAAAAAAAAGTTCAATATATTCTAATCTGAGGAAACATTTAAAAAGCAAAGTAAAGAAACAGTTTGGTTGCTAATTGAGACTTTAAGTACTTTTCCTGCACTGGAACATCAAGTAGAGAGGTGGGGAATGATGGAGTATTAAGAGAATAAGACTAGCTAAGTGAGATCAGATCTCATTGGCCTGTCCAGCTCTGTTAAGAAACTTAGGTCTAATCCCTGAAGGCAATGGGAAAGCAAGGAAGAGTTTTAAACACCCACAAGTGAAATGATCAGATTTGTGCTTTTGAAATCTCCTTCTGCTGAACTGTGGAGGAAAAGCGGAAGAGTGGTACTAATGGAAATAGGACAGCCAGATAGGAAACTGAAGCTGTAGTTCAGGAAAGAGACAAGGATGGCCTGACCTAGTGGAACAGAGAGAAGGATGTTGAGAAATGTTTTAGGTTTAAATGGCAGCCCTCATCCCAGCCTAAGCCTCTGGAAAAATAAAGCAATAAAACAAATGATTGGAAGACAGGCTCTAAAACATTTATTGCTGAAAAAAAAGCTAAGGTATAGGTCTTAGCTTAGTGTGAGAGCCAAATGAGATGCTAAATAAACCCCTTGATTAGGGTATGTGCCTCTGATGTGAATGTTGTGGTGTGCCACCTAGATTTGTTTTCCCAAATATACAATTTATTCCCCCTGCTGGGAGTGCTGCTTGCAGACACGTCCATCAACTAGTAGTCATCTTTAGGGATGGCCTTGTCTAAAGAGAGCCACTAGCCCAAAGTCATGCTCCCTGCCTGAGGTGGTCCATGTGTAATGACTGATCCAAGTAGAAAATGTAAAGTCTTGATCCCAATTTGAGACAATTTCGAAAGGCCATCCCAGCTTTGGTGCTCCCCAAAGTCCAGCTGAGGTCTGCATTGAGACTGAATCTCAGCTCAACTTCTCCCTTTGCCCAATCTTGCTCCCTTCCCTTCTTTTCCTGTTTCTACCCTTTCCGTTCTACCCTTCTCTTCTCATTCTTTCCCCTTCCTTCTCCTTTCCTTTCCTTAGGATCCACAAGGAAACACCTGTCCCTTGGGAAAAAGCGTCGATCCCAAGAGCATTCCCCAATAAAACCTCCTACACACTAATTTCCGTTTCAGAATCTACTTCCCAGGGAATCCAACCTGTGATGCCCCTTGAGAAAAACTATACCTGGAGGATTAGAATGTGTGTCCCCTGTGGCCAGCAGCCACGAGGAGGAAGGGTGGCAGAAACTAGCATGCCCAGTTTGTCCTTTCCAAATTTACAAATCATAGGTCATTCCACCTTCCCTGAGATAGAATGGTTAAGTATGTGGACATATGCCAGGATTTACACCACCTGTGTTTCTTCAATAAAGTGGGAAACATTGAGATAATATCCAGTGATATTAAGGAGCTAGATTCACTAGGAATAAATGTATTAGATATAGTTGAGGAAAAATAGCGCCAGTCAAGAATTACCGATGGGTCTTAGGTAACTGAGTAGGTGGTAGTGTCGTTTACCGAGATTAAAAAAACAAGCCTGGAGGGATCTATGAGTTTCATTTGAAATGCCTTTGGGATGTCAAAGCAACTTGTTCACTAGGCAATTAAAGATATAAATCTGGAGTCCAGGAACATGACCTAGAGAACTGATATGAATGTATATACATACCTATCAGCATACACCCAGTAATGACTGGTATCCCGCAAGGCCGACAGATATAACTTAGGGAACAGAAGTCAGTTAAAAAAAAAAAAAAGACCAACAGACTCTAATTAGTATTTTCAGAGATTTGAGGGGTATTACCTAACTAAAACAAGACAAAAGATGCTATGAAAAGAATTATCAGAAATACAAGGAAATCTTGGGAATGAGAATATGATTGGCAAAGTTAAAATTTCACTGGAAGGATTAGAAAACAGAGTTGAGGCTGGGCACAGTGGCTCACGCCTGTAATCCCAGCACTTTGGGAGGCCGAGATGGGTGGATCACCTGAGGTCAGGAGTTTGTGACCAGCCTGACCAATGTGGTGAAATCCCGTCTCTACTAAAAATACAAAAATTAGCCGGGCGTGGTGGCGTGTGCCTGTATTCCCAGCTACTCAGGAGGGTGAGACAGGAGAATTGCTTGGACCCGGGAGGCAGAGGTTGCAGTGAGCCAGGATCATGCCACTGCACTGTAGCCTGGGCGACAGAGCGAGACTCCATCTCAAAAAAAAAAAAAAAAAAAAAAAAAAAAGAAAGAAAAAGGAAAACAAAATAGAGTTGAGAAAATATTCCAGAAAGATGAATATGAATAAAAAGGAGACAGTCGTGGGGATGAAAAAAATCCAATGGTCAACTAATAGTATCTTTAATATAGATCCTTTTCTGGTTCCTTTTTTGTTCATTAATTCTTGGATGAGTTTCTGGGCAGTTTTTAGTAAGAAGTGTGTAGGAAGAGAGGCCAGGGGTTTTGTGTTAGGCTGAAGGAAAGGACCCAGCAGAGGGAAGAAATGAATGGCGAGGTAAAGAAGGGAATAACGGATGGAGGACCCTTCCTGAGAAGACTAAAGGGGGGTGTATCCAAAACTTGGGTGCAGGCACTCACCTTAAATGGGAGGACACCCTTTCTTTGTGCAGGATGGAAAAAAATACGTGCAGATGCAGAGAACCTTCTAGGTGGCATGATTGGAAATGGAGTTTTCCAATGGCTTCTATTTTGTCTATGAAGTACGGACACTGTCTATAGTGGGTGAATGTGATCGTTGGGGTGGCATATGAGCATGGAACTTTAGGGAGTATGAAGATTTTTAAAAATAGCCTAAATGAAGGGTGAAAGGGGGGAGAAAAGCTGCTTAGGGAAATAAGAAATGATTGCCTGACTACTCTGAGGGCCCAGGTGAGCTGGAGGCACGTAGCAGTGAATGGTTGAGAGTAGATTTTGATAATCAGAGCCAAAGTGAGGACTCACTACAATAGAGGAGACAAACTAGTTTCAGAAAGAAAAGGCATCTAGGCTCTTTTCAGAAGAGGCTTGTATAAGTGAAAAATAGAAAAACATCCTTCTATGAGTCATCATTCTCATTTTCATCAGCTCCCTGGGCCTGCTTATTTTCCTTTGATGTTTACAAAGGGACATGTGATTACATAAGGGAAGGGTAAAGGGTATAATAAACCAGGGTTGTAAGAGAAGGACCAACAGAAGGAAGAGACTTGAAACCCAGCTGGGAGCAGACAGGGGAAAGGGCTTCCTTGAATTGTCTTCATGGTTTTGTGAGAGGTGTGTGAACCAGAGCAACTCCATCTTGAATAGGAGCTGGGTAAAATGAGGCTGAGACCTACTGGGCTGCATTCCCAGACGGTTAAGGCATTCTAAGTCACAGGATAAGACAGAAGGTCGGCACAAGATACAGGTCATAAAGACCTTTCTGATAAAACAGTTGCAGTAAAGAAGCCGGCTAAAACTCACCAAAACCAAAATGGCGTCAAGAGTGACCTCTGGTTGTCCTTACTACTACACTCCCACTAGCGTCATGACAGTTTACAAATGCCATGGCAATGTCTGGAAGTTACCTTGTATGGTCTAAAAAGGGGAGGCATGAATAATTCATCCCTTGTTTAGCATAATACGCCCCTTGTTTAGCATATCATAAAAATGGGCAACCAGCGGCCCTCAGGGCTGCTCTGTCCATGGAGTAGCCATTCTTTTATTCCTCTACTTTCTTAATAAATTTGCTTTTGCTCTGCACTGTGGACTTGCCCTGAATTCTCTCTTGCGCAAGATCCAAGAACCCTCTCTTGGGGTCTGGATCAGGACCGCTTTCCTGTAACAGTCCCCAGGCACAGAAACTCTGAGGGAATCAGACACTTAGTTGTCTTTATTGCTCCCTCTTCAGTATATAGAACAGAGCCTGGCACACCTAGGTGCAAAATAAATATTTCTTGCATGAAAGAAGTCCACAGTGCAGTCACTGGCTTTTTTAGATGGTTAGCTCACTAGAATTTCATTTTTTTTTTCTCCTCCTCCTTTACAAAAAGTTTTCAGACAGACTTTGGGCCTGCTGGGGCATTTTCAAAAGACAAATAGTCCTGCTGCTGCTCCAGAGGACCCACCGCCCACCTCCCAGTCAGAACTATGTCTCTCTGTTCTTGTTGGAAAGGGGGACACAGCTTGCTTTGCAAGAAACTTGCATAGGAAATGGTGCAATCTGGGCTGTTTTTCATCTTCTTTCAACCTAATTTCCTAAGTTAAAAGAAAGAGAAATTTAAGGAATCTTAGGAATATGAAACTTCTCTGGAATGATCTTTACTGAGCTGTGTTTGGAATCAGCTGAAATCCTGAAGGACTGTCAAGCCAGCCAAGAATAAAAGAAAATAAAAAATAACTTAAACAATCCTAGCCAAAATCTGAAAATGATATCTAGAGCAGCTGCTATTTTTTTCTTTCCCAGAATGGTTTGCCTTTCCCCCAGTTTGTAATTGTTATAGGATTGTTTTAGGTTATTTTGGAGTAGAAAAGAAGAAAGAAGGAAGGAATCGAGTGTTTTGGAAGTAGTATGATGCGGTTAGTTCTACCTTTTAAGCTTTATAATTTACACAGCTGTTGTACACATGTGAACTCCCTCTCATTAGGATGCTGCTGACTGGTACAGGAAGTTTTTATTCATGGCATTCTCCTTAGGAGTTTGTTTATGGCATTTAGGTCCTCTCCTGCCTTCCCTCCCCACCCCCACCCCAAATCAATCTATATTTGTAATTTATGGATGATCTCTCCAGGGCTTAATCTGTGGGGTAAAAGGCTGTCTTATCTGCTCTACATTTACTGAAAAAGGGTGCAAGAAAAACCGTATCTAGCTGGCCAGATGGGTAGGGAACACTTGGTTGCACTAAAAATTTTCCAGCAATGGTATCCCCAGCTTGCCCTTTTGCCCGAATAGTGCACAAAGTCAGCAAGCATTTCCCCTGAAGTGTCCACCTCCACACGGCCAAGACTGGCTTGGCTGGTTACCAGAGGCACTGAGAAGATTGAGGAGGCAGCTTATAGAATACTTTGCTTGCATCCTCGTTCTCATCCCATTGTGAGGTAACTGCCCCACAACTGAGCTAGATAAGAGAAAGGAACTGAAACTGATTTGCCCAAGGTCAGTCTGGGTGGATATTGAGCCTAGAATAAAGCACAGAATAGCTGCACCTGGGGCTGGCCCAGGGCATGCTCAGATGAATCACTGGCTTCACCAGAAATGCAGCTAGTCTGGAATGCAGTGCAGGGGCCCAGATGCCTGACACTGAACAGTAACTTAGAAAGGGGAAGGTCTTTTCCTACACATAGTGAAGCTTCAAGGAATCTTTAAGAAAATCACATAAGAAAGATGAATAAAAACTTTTTCTTCCTCCTACTCCTTCAACCCCTATTTCAGGTTCTTCCTTAGAGCAAACACTGATTTCAAGTTGGAGTGTGTCTTTTCATCTTTTTAGTTATTTATATATCTTTATTGATCTATCTGTGTACATACATCTGCATCTACATATGTGTGTATATGTATCTATCTATCTATCTATCTATCTATCTATCTATCTATCTATGTATCTATCTATCTATCTATATCTATACACAGACAGAGAGAGAGCCAGTGAGGGAATTTTGCTTTGTTTTGTTTTGACTGAAATGGTATCACACAGTGGATTGTTCTTCAACTTTGCTTTTTTTTTTTTTTTTAAGTTTAGCCATATCTCTCAGAGATTTTTCTGTGTCAGTACATTTTAGTTTTTTTCAACTGCTGCATGCTCTCACATAAGTCAGATGCATCACTAAGTGTCAGTCTTTCGATGATCATTTAGGTTGCTATGCTATCAGTTTTTACCACTATAAATAGTACTATAGTGAAACAACCTTGTACCTGCTTCCTTTTTGCACATATGCAAGTATCTCTCTACAGTGGATACCAAGGTGTGAGATTGCTGGGTCAAATGATAGGCGCATCCAAAGTGTGAAGGATTGCTGCCAATGTGTACTCCAAAAAGGTTGGCCAGTTTATATTCCCAGGAATACGGTAAGAGAATGTCTGTTTTTCCAGATGCTTCCCAACACATCAGTCTTTCTTATTTATTGTCAATCCAATGTATAAAAAATAGCATCCTCTTCTTTTTGTTTCCCCCCAAAACCAGTAAGACTGAGCATCTTTTCAGATGCTCGTTTGCCATTCATGTTCCTTCTTTGTGAATTGCTTATTTATGTTCTTTGCCCATTTTTCAATTTTGTCTTTTTTCTGGGGACATATAAAGGCAAGTCCTTTGCTACATACATTACAATACTTTCACCCAGTCTCTCCTTTGGATTTGAATCTCATTTTGTTGAACAGATGTAAAGTTTTGATATAGTAAAATTTATTAATCCTCTTCTTTATGACTTTGGTATTTTTTGTATTGTTTCAGGAGGCCTTTTCTACCCATGGTCATAAACATGGTCTCACTGCAATTCTGGGAAATACAAAATTTTTAAATGAAGTATTTTTATGGTGGTCCAACCCCCCATCATCTGTTTGTCTGAATTACTGCAATAGCCTCTTAACTAGTCTCCCTGCTTCCTTCATCGCTTCCTTATAGTCTGTTCTCAACACAACAGCCAGGGTGATTCTTACAAAACAGTCAAATCATGCCATTTCTCTGAATCAAATCCTCCAATAGCTTTTCATGTCACTTCAAGCCAAAGTTATGACAACGGTGCCACATGCATCCTCTGCACACCATGACCTTTTTCACCTCATTACCTACTACTCTTTTCCAGTTCTTGACACATACTAAGTTCTCAATAAATATTGGTAGAATTCATAAATAAATTTTATCCCCATTCATTTCGGGTAAAAAGTATTGAAAATGTTGGCATTGATATGGGGAAGCTCCCATACACTGCTGGTAGCAGTGTAAATTTGTACAAACCTTTACAATTTATAAATACTTGAGGATGAGCAGATCCTTCCCCTAGGCAATGCTCCTTCTAAGTATACACTCTAGAGAGGTTATTTTATGTGTGCATAAAGAGACTGTAGGAAAATACTTATTATAGCCTTGCTTTTAATGGTAGATGGGAGGAAGGAAACAAAGAATGAATGAATGAAGAAATGGTCAGAGGACAATTTATCCTAATAAAATATATACAAAATTTACTAACTCATGAATGAATGTTTACTTTTGTAGAATGTCTTTTTTAAAAAATTCCATAGAGGGTTTTTTTTGTGTGTTTTTCTGTATGTAGGCAATATTATGAACAAATATATAGATATTTTCTGATGTCAAAACATTCTTATATTCTTGGGGTAAATTCTATTTGGTTATGAGGTATTTTTATTTTTTAAAATACATTCTTGAATTTAATTGACTAGGATTTTATTTAGAATTTATCTTTTCCTAAGGTTTCTAATTAGAGATATAGGGTCTTTTATTTTTTTCTTTCTTTCTTTCTTTCTTTTTTTTTTTTTTTAAGTGAAAGCAGTTTGTTAAGAAAGTAAGGAATAAAAGGATGGCTACTCCAGCCGGGCGTGGTGGCTCACACCTGTAATCCCAACACTTCCCAACACTTTGGGAGGCCGAAGCAGGCGGATCACGAGGTCAGGAGATCGAGACCATCCTGGCCAACATTGTGAAACTCTGTCTCTACTAAAAATGCAAAAATTAGCTGGGTGTGGTGGCACATGCCTGTAATCCCAGCTACTCGGGAGGCTGAGGCAGAAGAATCACTTGAACCAGGGAGTCACAGGTTGCAGTGAGCCGAGATCACACCACTGCACTCCAGCCTGGTGACAGAGTGAGACTGCGTCTCAAAAAAATAAAAATAAAAATAAAAAATAAAATAAAATGGAATGGTTACTCCATAGACAGAGCAGCCTATAGGATCTTTTCAATTCAGTTTATAAGTGAGTTTGGTATGTAATATTTTTACTGCCATTTGTTTTGGGTGTTAGGGCTACCCTAGAATCATAGAGTGAATTGGATAGTACCTCCTTTCTTTCCAATTTTACAAAGTAGTTCCTGTATGATAGCTACTATTTCTTAATTGAAAGCTTGATAAAACTCATTTGTAAAAAAACATTTGAGGCCAGGCTCGGTGGCTCACGCCTATAATCCCAGCACTTTGGGAGGCCAACGCAGGCAGATCACCCGAGGTCGGGAGTTCGAGACCAGCCTGACCAACATGGAGAAACCCCGTCTCTACGAAAAATACAAAATTAGCCAGGAGTGGTGGTGCATGCCTGTAATCCCAGCTACTTGGGAGGCTGAGGCAGGAGAATCGCTTGAACCTGGCAGGTGGAGGTTGCAGTGAACCGAGATCGGGCCATTGCACTCCAGCCTGGGCAACAAGAGTAAAACTCCATCTGAAAAAAAAAACAAAAACACTTGGGCCTGATATTTATTGATAAGTAATAATTTTGATTGATTGTTGTTTGATCTATTACTGATTTTTTTAAATCTATTCAGGCTCCCTATTTCTTCTTGAGTTTATTTTGATAATTTGTATTTGTTTAAAAACATTTCTACTAAATCCATGTATACAAGTTTATTAGCATGAGGTTGAAAAATAACATTTTCTTTCTTTCTTTCTTTCTTTTTTTCCGAGATGGAGTCTTGCTCTGTCGCCCAGGCTGGAGTGCAGTGGCGCGATCTCGGCTCACTGCAACATCCACCTCCCAGATTCAAGCAATTCTCCTGTCTCAGTCTCCTGAGTAGCTTGGATTACAGATGCTTGCCACCACAACCATCTAATTTTTGTATTTTTAGTAGATACGAGGTTTCACCATGTTGGCCAGGCTGATCTCGAACTGGCTGGTCTCAAACTCCTGACCGTGTGATTTACCTGCTTCGGCCTCCCAAAGTGGTGAGATTACAGGTGTGAGCCACCGTGCCCAGCAATATTTTCTGAAGAATTAAAAAGCTTGTATTTGTAGCCAGGCACGGTGGCTCATGCCTGTAAAACCCAGAACTTTGGGAGGCTGAGGTGGGTAGATTGCTTGAGCCCAGGAGTTTGAGACCAGCTTGGGCAACATGGCAAAACCTCCTCTCTACAAAAAATACAAAAATTAGCCGGATGTGCTGGCACATACCTGTAGTCCCAGCTACTCAGGAAGCTGAGCTGAGGAGGATCGCCTGAGCCTGGAAGGTTGAGGCTGCAGTGAGCCTAGATGATGGCACTGCACTCTAACCTAGAAGACAGAGTGAGACCCTGTCTCAAAAAAAAAAAAAAAAAAAGTTGTATTTATAAATTTTACTTGAATTGTTTATATTACCTTTTCTTTCCTAATATTTTTGTGCCTTCTCTTGTCTTTTTGATCAGCCTTAATAGAAGTGTGTCAATTTAATTAGTTTTTTCAAAGTACAGTGGTCCCTTGGTATTTGTGGGGGATTGGTTCCAGGACACACTTGCATACCAAAATCCAAGGATGCTCAAGTCCTTGATGTAAAATGCCATACTATTTGCATATAGCCTGCACAATTCTCCTGTATGCTTCAAATTTTCTCTAGGTTACATAAAATACCTAATATGATATAAATGCTATGTAAATAGTTGTTATGCTATATTGTTTTTATTTGCATATTTATTGTTGTATTGTTATTTTTTATTTTTCAGAATATTTTCTGTCTACAATTGGTTGAATCTGTGGATGTGGAAACTGCAGATACAGATGGAGAGCCGACTATACTAGCTTTTTGTTTCATTTTTCACTTCTGGTGTGTGTGTGTGTGTGTGTGTGTGTGTGTGTGTGTGTGTATCTGTGTGTGTGTTTTATTAATCTCTGTGCCTGCATGTTAGTTTCTTCCTCTTTATTTGGATTTTCACTAACATTCTTTTCAGCTTCTTCAGTTGGATACTTGTTGCCAATATATTTTTTTTCATTCTAAGAATTAAATAAATGGGCCAGGCGTGGTGGCTCATGCCTGTAATCCCAGCACTTTGGGAGGCCAAGATGGGTGGATCACAAGGTCAGGTGTTTGAGACCAGCTTGGCCAAAGCTGGTGAAACTCCATCTCTACTAAAAATACAAAAATTAGCTGGGCATGGTGGTGCGCGTCTATAATCCCAGCTACTCAGGAAGCTGAGGCAGGAGAATCACTTGCACCCAAGAAGTGGAGGTTGCAGTGAGCCAAGATTGCGCCATTGCACCCCAGCCTGGGCAACACAGCGAGACTCCATCTGAAAAAAAAAAAAAAGAATAAATGAATGTATTAATCACCAAACTGCTCTTCATCAGAAACTCTTAGCAGTGGTATGTTGAGGTCTCCCTGCCTACCGTATATGTCTCTTAACTCTGCGGGTGCAATATTTTGTCATGGGTCAGTTTAGCAATATTGTACTATTTCCCAATTTTCTAAGTGTGTTCATTTCAGAGTTTATCCTATTCATTGTTCTTTCTTTCTTTTAAAAATTTCTATGACTGAGCTGGACATGGTAGCTCACACCTGTAATCCTAGCACTTTGGGAGGCTGAGGAGAGTGGATCACCTGAGGTCAGGAGTTCCAAACCAGCCTGGCCAACATAGTGAAACCCTGTGTCTACTAAAAATACAAAAAATTAGCTGGCCATGGTGGCAGGCGCCTGTAATCCCGGCTACTAGGGAGGCTGAGGCAGGAGAATCTCTTGAATCCATGAGGCGGAGGTTGCGGTGAGCCAAGATCATGCCATTGCACTCCAGCCTGGGCACCAAGAGTGAAACTCTGTCTCAAAACAAAAAAAAACTTTTCTATGACTGTATTTTTAATTCTCAGGATTTTAATTTGTTATTCTTCATAATCATAGCTATTTTATTTCTGACGGTTCGTGCTTCATAATTTTTATGAATGTTATTCCTCTGCTTAATTCCTTTGAAAGTCTTGAACAAATTCTTTTTAAAGAAGTAATTTTCAGATACTCTAGTATTTTGTTTTTACCTGGTGTGAATGCTTCTCCATGTTGTGGTTTCTATTTTTGGCAGTCTTTCTTATTTCTCTCCCTCTCTCCTTTTCTCTGTTCCTTCTTCTCTTCCTTCATTCCTTCCTTCCTGTCCCCCTAGGCTTAACCTTCCTGGTCTCATAGTTTTGCCGTTACCTACTTTCTGGGCCTCCCAGGCCTAGACCTCGGTTTTATCCTATAGTATTGTAGATCCAGTTCCTTCTCTAGGGTCAAATTCCGTCTTTAAGACTATGCCTGGTTCTTCCATGTCCCTAGGTATACAGATGTTTACAAGCCTGTAGCCCTAGGCAATTCCTTTCAAGGGGGTAGCCTTATCCCAGCCCTTGATTTCATGTGAGTCTTCTGCCTCACATGGGTTATTTAGTTCTTAGTACCCTGTATGAGTCTTGCCCCTGGATGCCTCTGTTTGCTGTTGGCAGAATTGAGCTGGTCTACATCTTCAGGCTACTTACCATATTGTTTCTGTTCCATTTCTGGGCTATGGAGATGTTTTTAAGTGTGAAAATGCCTTACATTTTTCCCATTTTATATTAAATCTATTATCACTATCATTTTGGATTGGCGTGGTCCTCAAAGCCCCATCTTGACTAGAAATCAACTAGCATTTGCTTCTCTGCAGTTCGTAATCTAGCTTCCTCTCTCACCTTTCTCTTGGCAATTGCCCTCTCTGAAGTCACTGCTGTTGTTTCCGAGTCACTGAATGAAACCGTTTTTCCTTCAGCCCCCATTTTCCTTCACTCCTCTGCAGCATCCAGCAGTGTTGACTGCTCTTCCTTTTACCTCTCTCCTGTTGGCTGTTAGGATGCTCTGCTGTCCCGGATCACTACCTCTTCTGATGCTTCCAGTTTTTAAACTGCTTTCACTTTTTCTTCCCCTTTTGTAACTGTGGATGTCCCACAAGGCCAAGTCCTTGGTGCTCTGGTTTTACCCTCTATTTCAGCTAATTTTGCTTATTCTCATCTTTGGTCATTGCTAAGTCCCTATCTGTTCACCAGGGCTTCCCCCTCCCCTGAGTTCTAAGCTACAGATCTGCTTGTGACACGTTCCACTTGATGCCCTGCTGTTCCATCAAATTTCCTCCCCTTTAATCCTCCCAAATGCCATTACAGATATCATTATTCTTAGATGGAGTCTTGCTCCGTTGCCCAGGCTGGAGTATAGTGGTGTGATCTCGGCTCACTGCAACCTTCACCTCCTGTGTTCAAGTGATTCTCCTGCTTCAGCCTCCTGAGTAGCTGGGATTACAGGCATGCACCACCACACCAGAGTAATTTTTGTATTTTTTGTGGAGATGGGGTTTCACCATGTTGGCCAGGCTGGTCTCAAACTCCTGACCTCAAGTGATCCTCCCACCTCAGCCTCCCAAAGTGCTGTGATTACAGAAGTGAGCCACCATGCCCAGCCTGTTATAGATATCATCTTTCCCTTAGTTTCTAAGGCTCAGAATCATACCCTTCCTTGATTCCTCATATTTTCTCCAGAGTCAGTTAATTATACATCCTATCCATCCTCTTTCCTGTCATTTCCTCTTTTTGCCATTGCACGGCTCACACACCTGCTATGGTCCCTTGTTATTTCTTCTTTTGGACCATTTTGGTATTCTTCCAGAGAAGCAGGACAGTTAAATGTGGCAATATTTGGACTCATTTGTGTTCAAAATTTGTGATATGGATTCTTCCCACATCCCCTGCCCCAATAACAAAACTTACCTTATAAATATTCACAGCTTTCTTTGCTGCCCTCTCTCTGACACCAAGGAGGAAGAATTCTCTGATGAATGAGCAAAGTTTAAAGACTTTGTGTTTATGTGTTCTGGGTAATGGATTTACTTTAGAAGAGCAAGAAACTGTTCAAAAGAAAAGAATTTAATTGAGCTGAAACCTAAAGGATGAGTAGGGACTCTCAGGACAACCCAGGGAAGGATGGAGTTGTATTCCAGATAGAGGGGTGGTATGGTTTGGAACTGTGTCCCCACCAAATCTCATGTCGAATTGTAATCCCCAGTGTTGGCGGTGGAGCCTGGCAGGAAGTGACAAGATCATGGGGACGTATTTCTCATGAATGGTTTAGCACTATCGTGTTGGTGCTGTTCTTATGATAGTGAGTTCTTGCAAGATCTGGTTGTTTCAAAGTACGTGGCACTTCCCCCCTTCGCTCTCTCTCTTGCCGTCACTCTAGTCATGTGAGATGTGTGCTTCTCCTTCACCTTCCACCATGACTGTAAGTTTCCTGAGGCCTCCCCAGAAACCAAGAAGATGACAGCATCATGCTTCCTGTATAGCACAAAGAACTGCGAGCTAGTTAAACCTCTTTTCTTTTTAAATTACCCTGTCTCAGGTATTTATAGCAATGTGAGAATGGACTAATACAAGGGGGAAGCACAAGCAAAGACAGAAGGAAAATACAACAGGGTGTCTGTGAGTGTGTGTGCACATTTGTGTGTGCATGTGGCGGGGTCTACAAAGAGTCACTGTGAACCAGGGAGTGGGGAGTGCTGAGAATGGACAGAAAAGATTCATGTGCCCAGTTGAGAAATATAATTTGAGGAGTCACAGAAGTATTGTTAAGTGAGAGTTGAGATCGCATGGCCACGTTCGTCGCCAGGTTTCTAACTTTGGATGGCATCTTTCACCACGCAGGACTCAATGGGGAGGAAGCAGGGGTATGGGTTGAGGATTCTGATGAGACTGTCACTACTACTCTTTCTTGCTTCATTAGTGTTGTTTGTGACACCCAGAAGAGCTGAAGGGGGCATCTTTGTGGGGAAGGAGTAGAAGGGTAGCCCTCAGAAAGGGGGTTCCTGGGATAGTCAGAATGTGTTTACCAGGAAGAGAGGCAGAATTAAGGGGCTGGCAACATAGCTGGGAAGTTGACTGCATGGGTTGTCATATCTAAAAGAGATTTCAAAGATGGAAACAGGAGCATGGGCGAAGTTGAGATCTCAGCCCCCTCATTTTACTGTTCCCCTACTTGTGAAATTCATTTTAGTTCTTCAGGGCCCATCTGAAATGCCAGCTTCTCTCTGAAGGTTTTCCTTTAGACCTTGGCTGGAAGATATCTCTTTCTCTTTGGAAACTCTATAACTTGTGGTTTGCAAGTATTTTATGGCTTTGTATTCCCCCTTATGTGTAAGATCCTTGAAGATTGTTTTGCATATCTTTGTATCTCCTCCACCACCTGAGACTCTCTGCTGTGTGTAGGATCTCTGCTGAAGAAATCATAATGGAACTGAATCTGTACTTTCACAGGAAAAGTACATGCTACAGGATTTAATAAATATGAATCTTACATAAGGAAATAGCTCAAGGAATTTGAATATTTCAAAGCTCTATCCATATAAAGCCTGAATAATTCATGCAAATATTTGAAGAAAAGAACAAAAGCTTATCTAATATTTCAGTACACTGCTCTTTATTTTGGTCCATAAAAGGAGATCTTGTGCTTAGTTTTGGTGGTAAACTCAGCTTTAGCAGCTTTGAAATGCAGATTAGATCAATTACATCACAATTATATTTGAAAATTGAAAAACAGCATTATCCAAAAGTCAAATTCCAAATTTATGCCTTTTCAAAGGAAGTGTCATTTGGAAAGAAACTGATTCACACCATGAAATATGTGGCATTTCTTTTGGTTTCCAGTCTCTTCTATAGTAGTAGAAGGCTCATGTGATATGCAGACATGTGCTTAATCAAATTTAGCTTTCCTTTTCAAGTTAAGAAAATGTATATGAAGTATTTCTGAGATAAAAAGAGGCACAGTCTTTTTTTTTTTTTTTTTAGCACAAACATCTCCTATGCTGCTGCATTTGTCTTAATTCCTTATTTGAAAATTTGGCTTTGTTTATGTAATGTACAAATTCCTATTCACTTAAAACAGGACCAGAATAGCCTGGAACCCTATAGAGCTAAATGATATTTTAGAGTGCTGATCCTCATTTTCTCTTCGGTAAAGAACACAACACGATTATTTGTATTTATCTTGTCGTACACACACTCAGGATTACTCACTGAGGAATGGGGCTCAAGTTTGGTTGCAAGACTTCCATTTACTAGGCTGTGTGATGTTGAGCAAGTCACTTAATCTCTGAGGTAAAATGAGGGGCCTGTTGCCTAAAATTCCGTGCTTCTGTAATTTAAGTATAATTGACCCAGATGTTTGATGATTACTTTGAAAATTGAAAAAAGATGCTAGTGGCCATAAGAAATTTGTACCACTGTGCCCCGAGTAGTGCTTCTGAAATAGTAACACAGGGAGAAGGTTGGGAGGCCCCTTCTTTGTCATTTACATAGGGTTTGTTTGTCTGAAGTAGCAGATGCCAAGTGTTAGGGGTCCAAAGATGCTACCAGAATTAGAGGAGATGGAGAAAAGGCTAACGGAATTTTCTTAATTCGAAAAAAAAAAAAAAGGCCAGGCGCGGTGGCTTACGCCTGTAATCCCAGCACTCTGGAAGGCTGAGGCGGGAGGATCACCTGAAGTCAGAAGTTCAAGACCAGCCTGGCCATGGTGAAACCCCGTCTCTACTAAAAATGCATAAAATTAGCCGGGCATGGTGGTGCGCGCCTGTAATCCCAGCTACTGGGGAGGCTGAGGCAGGAGAATCGCTTGAACCTGGGAGGTGGAGGTTGCAGTGAGCCGAGATGGCTCCATTGCACTCCAGCCTCGGCAACAAGAGGGAAACTCCATCTCAAAAAAAACAAAAAACAACAACAATAAAAAACCCAAAGCAAAACAGAAATGAGTTTCTAATTGTATTGCAAATTACTTGCAGGACTGAAAATGATTGAACTGTCACACATTTCTACATTAATAAGCACTATCCAAAAGAATCAGTTACAACAGAGTAATTTACCAAGATTAATCTTTAAAAAGAATCTCATTTTTAAGAGCTCATTTTCAGGGTTGTAGATATATATATATATATATATATATATATATATTTTTTTTTTTTTTTAAACGAGGTTTCGCTCTTGTTGTTCAGGCTGGAGTGCAATGGTGCGAACTCGGCTCACCGCAACCTCTGCTTCCCGGGTTCAAGCGATTATCCTGCCTCAGCCTCCGAAGTAGCTGGGATTACAGGCACACACCACATTGCCCGGCTAATTTTGTATTTTTAGTAGATGGGGTTTCTCCATGTTGGTCAGGCTGGTCTCACACTCCCGACCTCAGGTGATCTGCTCGCCTTGGCCTCCCAAAGTGCCGAGATTACAGGCTTCAGCCACCGGCGCCTGGCTGGTTATAGCTTTTTAAAACAATTTGCTTATTGTTTCTTAGTTTGTAGAAAGTTTCTCTTGGAGATTTGTGAAGGAAATACATGTGATCGCTTTTGTGATGTGTTCAGATGGAAAGAAAATCTAACTTTCATAAGAAAAATTGTATCACACTAGATGCAGGAAAAAAATAGATATTCGAAGAACCACATACCAGATGCAGATGAAATGTAATGTATAAAGACTATTTTTATAATGATTTTTTAAATTTAGATTTTTACAATATGGATTTTAAAATTTTATTTCACTTTTAATTGACTAATTTTATACATTTATAAGGTACAATATGTTGTTTCAATACATGTATACATTGCAAAATGATCAAATCAGGCTAATTAACATATCTATCACCTTACATTCTTATTATTTCTTTGTAGTGAGAATATCTAAAATTGAAATACAGTCCTTTTTATTGTAACTGAGAGAAACAAGAGCAATGTATATGTGGTAGAATTTAAAAGTCATATGTGTATATTTATATATGTACATCTACGTACAATTGCCTGTGTACATATAATTATCTGCTATATATTATGCATATGTAATACATATGCACCTGTGTAAGTTGGAATTCTTATCTATTCTATAGAAAGAAAAGTTCTACATTGAAATATAGCCAACATCCAGTTAACTCTGAAAAAAAATCACATCATTGCTTGGCTTTTTCTGTTGTTACTTCCTGTTGGCCTAGTGGCAATGATTCATTATAATGCAATGTAATTCAATATCACATGGTGAATTTAAATGGCTGTATAGGAAATCTGTAACACTGTTCTTGCTTAAAAATGTAAAACTTCAATAGAAGGCGGTTCATCAGAGAATTTGGTAACACCAAATAGTAAACGCTTTGATTTCAGTAATACTAAGACCCTGATAGAATTAAAATGTGACTGAATTTTACTTCTTAGTAATTATTTTATAGCTAATATGTAAAAAAAAAAAAACCACCCTTTTCATCAGTTCATTGTCTTTCTGAAAGTAGGCTGCTTCCATTATATGTACTGAAATATATTTTCCTAAATGTTAGGCTTATTTGATACAAGCACTCATTTTATTTTATTTATTTATTTATTTATTTATTTATTTGAGACAGAGTTTCGCTCTTGTTGCCCAGGCTGTAGTGCAGTGGAGATCACTGCAACCTCTGCCTCCAGGGTGCAAGTGATTCTCCTGCCTCAGGCTCCCGAGGAGCTGAGATTACAGGCGTCCGCAACCAGGCCCGGCTAATTTTTTGTATTTTTAGTAGAGATGGGGTTTCACCATGTTGGCCAAGCTGGTCTTGAACTCCTGACCTCAGGTGATCCACCCGCCTTGGCCTCCCAAAGTGCTAGGATTACAGGCGGCAGCCACCACACCTGGCCTGCACTCATTTTAAAGTTGGAAAAACAGAGGCCCCAGTGATTAGCTTTAGGACGGAAACCAGTAAATAGAAATAAAAACACACAAAAATATATACATATATATACCTACACACATCTATACCTACAAATGTTTATATATGTATATACACACATATACACACACCTGTATAATATACACATATTATATATATTATTTATTTATTTAAGTTTTTATTCTTTGTTTTTTTGAGACAGAGTCTCACTTTGTTGCCCAGGCTGGAGTGCCATGGCGTGACCATAGCTCAATGCAGCCTCGACCTCCCAAACACAAGCAAACCTGCCTCAGCCTCTCAAGTAGTTGCGACTACAGGCATGCACCACCACACCTGGCTAATTTTTGTTTTATTCTTTGTACACATGGGGATCTTGATATGTTACCTAGGTTGGTCTTGAACTCCTGGCCTCAAGTGACTTTCCCACCTCAGTATCCCAAAGTGCTGAGATTACAGGTGTGAGCCACTGTGCCCAGCCAAAACCAAACATTTTTGAGTTAAAAGCCCCTAATAAGGATGGCAGAATTAGATAAACAAATAGGTTCAATAAAGAAGATCTTGACAAAGTTTTAATCTACTAATTTAACGATAATGGAAATTAGTGGAATTCGAGAGTGAAGAAATTTCTGCATTTATAAAAGAATGAATAGAATTTTGGCAGAGAAGCCACTTTGTTTTTGAAACGAGTTAAGAATCAAGGAATAAATTAGGATGATGGCAATTACCTGGTTAATGATATCCAATATATGTAAATTATCTTTGCTGTGGGTAGGAAATTTGTTTATTTTCCATGAGCACTTCAAGAACCCCATTAACAAATTGAGTTACATCTTTTGACTCAACTTTCATTATCTGAATAGTCCTGCTGGGACAGGTAATATTCTCCATTTGGGGCTACAAATGTTTGCATTAGAAATCAATCTATTTGTAAATGTTGTATTCAATTTTACATGATCTTGATCTTATTTTGTTTAAATTTGTTGTTTTTTTCAATGACAAGTTGATGCTTCCATAATACATTTAAAAACATAACATACAATCCTGTAGTTCTGACTGAACTTTCGTCAGGTTTCAGCACTGTAAACCAAGAAACATCAACAGATGAAAAGTTCTCCTCCCAAAAGGGTTAAAAGTCTCCGGGGTTTCTAACTAGATTGACTTCAGTATATTCTAGACATTCTTTTGCTGTTGCTTGGCTCATTTCCTTCTTGATAAGATTCTATTTTCCTTCCTCTTCCTCTTCTCTCTGTTACTTAATATAGCTCCAAAATATGGTATAGTCCTCCAAACCATTGCTTTCAGTGAATGTGTTTATTATGAGATAACTGAAGATTCTGGGGGCACGTGTGTTTCTTATGTTCCTGTTAGTTTGTTGCTTCCCAGTCCACTTCTGATATAATAGAATTTGGAACCAGATTTTTTTTTTTTTTTTTTGCTACCATTCTGACATTGTAACAGCCTTTTCCATTCTCTTTGAACCAAGATTAAGCCACAATTCAGTCTTAAAACAATAAATCATCATTTGCTCCACATTCTTGACCCTTGGCTTAATAAGGAGAAACCTTAGGAACAAACAAGCCTCTTTTACTCTTTCAAGTATTATCACTGTGATTTGAATTTGTCCCCCAAAGTTCATGCATTGTAAACCTAATCCGCAACGCAACAGTGTTGAGAGGTTGGATCTTTAAGAGGTGATTAGGTTGTGAGGGCTCTGCCCTCATGCATGGATTAATGCCATTGTCTCCAGAGTGGGTCACTGATTGTGGGAGTGGGTCCTGATAAAATGATGAGTTCAGCCTCTGATGAGTTCAGCCTCCTTCCCCAGTCTCTCTTGCTCTCTCCCTCCCTCACCTTCCTGCCTTCCACCATGGAATAACACAGCAAGAAGGCTGTTTCCAGATGCTGGCACTTTGCCCTCAGGCTTCCCAGACTCCAGAACTGTGAGAAATAAATTTCTTTTCTTTTTAAATTACCCAGTCTATGGTATTGTTATAGCAACACAAAATGGACTAAGATGGTAACTTTGGCATCTCCAGAGTGTAGTGAAATAAGGACAATTCCAATTCCCTTTTTTTTTCTGTGACCCATTCCCTCACCTGGCAATGAAGGATCTTTGCTGCTTGATTGACATGTGCAAATGGTTAGCTGAACCCCTTGATTCCATATGTCTCCCTCAAAATCACTTTACATCCTAAGGCCAGGATTTGGCCCCTCTCCCTAGGGCCACTGAAGTTTTAGCTAATTCCATTTGTATTAAAATACTGGTTAAGAGCTATAATGGAGGGTGATTGACTCTGAATCTTGACAAATTTAGAATCTTTTCCGGCTATTCAATCAGGCTTTGCCAACCTTCATTTCCTTTATTTTTCAAATGAAGAAAATGAAGCAGGTAATTAAGGATAAATTTCTTGTGTGAGACAACATGGGGAGCCTGTGGCACTTCCAGAATTAGGCCAGGAATCCCTCTGCCAGGGAATTCAGTAGAAATCTCTGCCAAGTTATCTCTTTGATGTCTATCTCCACAATTCTTATTTGCTTTGAAAACTACTGCCTCCTACCTTCGTTTCAGATGTGGAAATTGAAGCTGTAATAAATGTTAAGTATCCTAAAAGCAGGACTCACATAGCAAATTCAAGGCACAACAAGGATTCTCAATCGTTGTGTGTTTGTGCTTTTTTCTAACAATTCCTGCCTACTGCCTTCCTGTGTTAAGATAGGGAGAAGAGGATTGTGGCAGATTCTGGTGTTTTAGTGCCATATGCTCTCTTCATATGAATGCTATTAATCATCTGATTACAGTAAATTGATTTAAGTGCTGGTGAGATCAACATCTCCTGAAATTTATTAATCTATTTATTGAACACCTACTGCATACAATGTAGTACATTAGGTTCTTTTGGGGGAAAATGAAAAACAAAAAACAAAAAACAAAAAGCATATGCTCCTGACAGAGTATCTTATACTATAGTTAGGAAACCACATCTACATAAAATGATATTAGAAAACAGCATATGAAAACATATTTCCTTCATCCCATAGTAAGATGAAACTGTTTTTCCTTTTTAGTGGTTTTGCCTTTTCCACAGCATTCCCATTATAGCCAAAGCCTCTTTTTTTTTTTTTTTTTTTTGATACAGAGTGCCACTCTGTCGCAATCTCAGCTCACTGCAACCTCCGCCTCCCAAGTTCAAATGATTCTCCTGCCCCAGCCTCCCAAGTAGCTGGGACTACAGGCGCCTGCCACCATGCCTGGCTAATTTTTTTGTATTTTTAGTGGAGACGGGGTTTCAACATGTTGGCCAGGCTGGTCTTGAACTCCTGACCTCAAATGATCCACCCACCTCGGCCTCCCAAAGTGCTGGGATTAAAGGCGTGAGCCACTGCACCCAGCCAAAGCCGCTCTTAATATGACCCCTTAGAATGAGATCTATTTTGCTCGCAAAGTGGGATCAAACCAGAATCCGTTTCTTCCACATTTTCTTGACATGCTTTGCATTTCATTTAGCAATTTCTTTGAGTTTCTCTTCCATGTTACATTTCTTCTTGACATAGAAACTAGATTTTCAATGGTAGACATTACTAGCCATTTTGAGCCAGACTTGACTATGTGGTTGGTTGGATTCCCACTGACAAGTATCATGGTGGGCACTCCGACACACCATTTCTCTAGCTGCTTCCATGTGAGTGCCTCCAGGCAGCCAGAGATTATTTTCTCTTCCCTTGCCTGCATCTGTTTACTCCTCCCCATTGGATAGGGCCAGCTTGGGTGACAACATTCCACTGGACTGTAGCACAGTGCACGATCTATCAGCTCAATTGGGATTCTGCCTTTGGGGAAGTGCTTCCTTTCAGGGACTAGAGAGGTAAGAGAAACTAGTCCTGCCTGGTAGGAGACCTGGCTCCTTCTTCCCCCAATCCCCTTTGCCTGTTTTTGATGCTTTGGTTCTGCTCTTTGCTGGGTGAAGGAAGACAGCAGTGTTGGCTGCTTTAGTTTTGGGCTTCCCTACTATGGCACCATTTGGGGCAGCAGCCTAGATGGTGCTGTACTTGGTGGGGGACAACCCCTCACCCCCAAGCATTTTGCTGCTTCTCTCTGGCTGACGTGTTTCCCTTTTAATGTGTACTATAAAAGAAAAGAAGAGGAAGAAAGAGAGAGGAAGGGAGATGAGGGAGAGTGGGAAGGAGAAAAAATATTAATTTTTGTTCTTATGTGAAATTAACGTCTTACTTGCTTTGTGTCTCCTCTTACCCAAGTTGGCTGCAGTGATGCCCTCTCTGACACAGTAGGTCAGAGACCCTGAGGTTCGTTCGTTCTTTCTTTCTTTCTTTCTTTCTTTCTCTCTCTCTCTTTCTCTCTTTCTCTCTCTCTCTCTCTTTCTCTCTCTCTCTCTCTTTCTCGCTTTCTCTCTTTCTCTCTTTCTCTCTTTCTCTCTCTCTCTCTCTCTCTTTCTTTCTTTCTTTCTTTGATGGAGTCTCACTTTGTTGCCCAGGCTGGAGTGCAGTGGCACAGTCTCAGCTCACTGCAACCTCCGCCTACCGGGTTCAAGTGATTCTCCTGCCTCCGCCTCCTGAGTAGCTGAGATTACAGGCACACACCACCACGCCCAGCTAATTTTTGTATTTTTAGTAGAGATGGGGTTTCACCATGTTGGCCAGGTTGGTCTCGAACTCCTGACCTCAAGTGATCCACCTGCCTCGGCCTCCCAAAGTGCTGGGATTACAGGAGTAAGCCACCATGCCCGGCCCTTCATCCTATTTTGATGTCAGAGACCACGTATGGATATAGTGCTGGATGCTTTATTTACCAACTTGAGCCTTTAATTTTGCCTCTGAAATGAATTATTTATTAGCAAATACATTAACATAACATTTTTCATTTGGAGGCATGCTAAACTGTTGACCTTTTTCGTAAAGATTCTAAGGGGGCTTGAAAAGGAAAAACCTAGAAATTTATAAATACTGAATAGAGTGTCCATCCTTCTTCACTTTGTTTCCTAGTAGCGCTTTCATCCTGTCACAAATTGGTTCAGCAGCAGAGGAGTTAATATGCACAAGCACTTTTCTTTGTCATAGGACGACATTCCATTTGAGTCCTTTAAGGATGTGCTGGAAAGGGAGTGGGGAAGTTACACCGCAAATATTATCTTCCCCAGATGCAAACAAGTTTCTTTACTAGTAGAACTGGAAAATATGTGCCACTTGCTAATTTTTTACTTCTAAACTTTTGTTAGGCTGTTAAATTTGGTGAATAATACCATGAATTATTATTATAAAGATTAGCACATCTATTTACAATAGAATATTTCAAACAGACAGAAAAGCATACAAAATAATATGACAAAAAATCATCTATCTACAATCCAGCCCTAAGTGCTAGATAGTATTTCATGTAATAAAATTTTGCCATATTTGCTTCAGATCTCCCTTTTTCCCTCCCTCCCCCTTTTGCCCTCTTCCTCCCTCCCTTTTTTCCCCTTTCCTCTGTTTCTTCCAAGTTAAAACCTTTTTTTCCTCAACAAGCCACCAGAAGTGCTGACAAAGTTAAAATCATATAGATGTAGTTAAAACCCCTGAAACCAATCTATCTCATTCCTCTCTTGTGATCTGCAGGGTGACAACTACCCTGAATTTAGAGTTTTAATTCCTCTGTGTATTTTTATATTATTTAAAATTTTTTTTAATAAGAGCTGGAGTCTTCCTGTGTTGCCCAGGGTGAAGGGCAGTGCCTATTCACAGGTGCAATCCACTATGATCAGCACAGGAGTTTTGACCTGCTCTGCTTCCCACACAGGTGGGTTCACCTTTCCTTAGGCAACCAGGTAGCCCTCTGCTCCTGGGAGGTCACTATATGATGCCCAGAACTAGTGGGCTCAAGCAATCCTCCCGCCTCAGCCTCCCAAGTAGCTGGGTCTATAGGCACACACCACCACACCCAGCTATTTTTTATATTTATACTATATATGTATCCATAAGACATAAAGTTGATTTGCAAGTTTTTCATCATTAAATGATATATTATGCGCTTTCTTCTTAATCTCTCACTCAACATGTATTAATACTCATCTTTTTTTTTTTTTTCTAAACAGTCTCACTCTGTTCACCAGGCTGGAGTGCAATGGTGTGATCATGACTCACTGAAGCCTTGACCTCCTGGGCTGAAGCAATCTTCCTGCCTCAGCCCTGCAAGTAGCTGGGCCTACGGGCACACGCCGCCATGCCTAGCTAATTTTTGTATTTTTTGTAGAAACAGGGTTTCACATGTTGCCCAGACTAGTCATGACCTCCTTAGCTCAAGTGAGCCACCTGTCTCAGCCTCCCAAAGTGCTGGGATTTCAGGTGTGAGCCACCATGGTTGGCCCCTAATACACATCTTTTTTTTTTTTTTCTTTTTTTTTTGAGATGGATTCTCACTCTGTCTCTCAGGCTGGAGTGCAGTGGCACGATCTTGGCTCACTGCAGCCTCTGCCTCCCAGGTTGAAGCGATTCTCCTGCCTCAGCCTCCCGAGTAGCTGGATTACAGGCGCTTGCCACCACGCTCTGCTAATTTTTGTATTTTTAGTAAAGATGGGTTTTGCCATGTTGGCCAGGCTGGTCTTGAACTTCTGGTCTCAAGTGATCCGCCCTCCTCAGCCTCCCAAAGTGCTGGGATTACAGGTGTGAGCCACTGCGTCAGGCCAATACACATCTTCTAGTTTATTTAAAGTGCTAGATAGTATTTCATTGTATAAAAAGACCACAGTTTATTCATTCTTTTGTTGATAGATCTTTAAATTGTTTCCATTATTTTTCCCTTACAAACAATGCATGATAAATGTTTTTGTATGTGTCTCCTTGTGAGAGTTATATATCTAGGTGTGACATCACTGGGTTCTATCACAAGTCTTTGGAAGTAATTTTTATGTGGATAGTGCAACAATATGACTAGTTACTTAAAAGAAAAAAATTAAGTCAAGATAAGTGGCGGAAGACACAGAAATTCAGAAATAGGATGTAAAATAGTAATGGAATAGTAGGTAAATTAGATACATAATCCTATGCCTTTTTTTTTCTTTTTGAGACGGAGTCTCGCACTGTCGCCAAGGCTGGAGTGCAGTGGCGCCATCTCGGCTCACTGCAAGCTCTGCCTCCGGGGTTCACACCATTCTCCTGCCTCAGCCTCCCGAATAGCTGGGACTGTAGGCGCCCGCCACATGCCCGGCTAATTTTTTGTATTTTTACTAGAGGCAGGGTTTCACGGTGTTAGCCAGGATGGTTTCAATGTCCTGACCTTGTCATCCGTCCGCCTCAGCCTCGCAAAATGCTGGTATTACAGGCATGAGCCACTCCGCCTGGCGACAATCCTATGCTTTTTTAAAAAGGTAGTTCATCTTTTGGCTGGGCATGGTGGCTCATGTCTGTAATCCCAGCACTTTGGGAGGCTGAGGCAGGAGGATCACTTGAGGTCAAGAGTTTGAGACCAGCCTGACCAACATGGTGAAACCCTGTCTCTACTAAAGGTACAAAAATTAGCTGGGTGTGGTGGTGCACACCTGTAATCCCAGCCACTTGGGAGACTGAGGCAGGAGAATCACGTGAACATGGGAGGCGGAGGTTGCGGTGAGCTGAGATCACGCCATTGTACGCCAGCTTGGGCAACAGAGCAAGACTCCAGCTCAAAAAAAAAAAAAAAAGGGAAACATTAATGAAAAGGTAATTCATCTTTTGAAAAAAAAAGTAGAGTGAACATACTGAACATCACAGATTTTCATCTACATTTAAGATGCTAGCTTTAGGCTGGGCGAGGTGGCTCATGCCTGTAATCCCAGCACTTTGGGAGGCCAAGGTGGGTGGATCACCTGAGATCAGGAATTCGAGACCAGCTTGACCAATATGGTAAAACCCTATCTCTACTAAAAATACAAAAATTAGCTGGCATGGTGGCGTGCACCTGTAGTCCCAGCTACTTAGGAGGCTGAGACAGGAGAATTGTTTGAACCTGGGAGGCGGAGGTTGCAGTGAGCTGAGATTGGGTCACTGCACTCCAGCCTGGGCAAGAGAGTGAAACGCTGCCTCACAAAAAAAAAAAAAAAAAAAAAAAAAGATGCTACCTTTAGTGTCACTGCTTCTGTGAAGCCTTCCAAAAATTGCCTTTTTTTCAATTACTTTCTCCTTTTGACCTCCATTCTCTCTACCTCTGTTATATGATATTGTGCATTATATTTGCTGTGGTTTGTTTATATCTCTCTCAGCAGGCTGAATGTGTTTTGAAGGTGGAGTTCATGTCTTATTCGTATCCCCAGGGTGTGGTGTGCAGTTGGTGGTTAAGTCTGAGGAATGAATGAATGGCCCAAATCACCGAAGATCTTTCAGAGGTGGCAGTGGGGTTTCTTTTTTTCTTTTCGAGATGGAGTCTTACTCTGTCATCCAGGCTGGAGTGCAGTGGCACAATCTCAGCTCACCGCAACCTCTGCCACCCAGGTTCAAGTGATTCTCCTGCCTCAGCCTCCCGAGTAGCTGGGATTGCAGGCACGCACCACCACGTCTGGCTAATTTTTTTATTTTTGGTAGAGATGGGGTTTCACCATGTTGGCCAGGCTAGTCTTGAACTCCTGACCTCAAGTGAACTACCTGCCTCAGCCTCCCAAAGTGCTGGGATTACAGGCGTGAGCCACTGTGCCCACTGGCAGTGGGTTTCTGATGATAGGATAGTTTCATGAAAGTTAGCTTAAAGTACAAAAAACTTTTTTTTTTTCTTTTTTTGAGACAGTCTCATGCTCTGTCCTCCAGGCTGGAGTTCAGTGATCTTGGCTTACTGCAACCTCTGCCTCCTGGGTTCACGCCATTCTCCTGCCTCAGCCTCCTGAGTGGCTGGGACTACAGGTGTGCACCACCACGCCTGGCTAATTTTTTGTATTTTTAGTAGAGACAGGGTTTCACCATGTTAGCCAGGATGGCCTCGATCTCCTGACCTCGTGATCTGCCCGCCTCGGCCTCCCAAAGTGCTGGGATTACAGGCATGAGCCACCGTGCCCAGTGAAAAAGCTTTGATCCTTTGTCTTCAATTGCACCTATGAAAAGGAAGTTTCGTATAAAAGCTGATATAAATGGCTAATAAAGCAGAGAAATAGCTTAAAATTTGACTGTAGACATTTGCTATGTATGATTAATATGTATCAGTTTACAGTTAATTTTAGGAAAACTTAAATTTTATAAATTGCCAAGAAATCACCCATGAAAAACTAATTTTCACTTAGCGGTTTAATTTTTTAACATTAGGATTTTTAAGTTTCGCTAGTCTTATCATCTGGGACACTGGAATTTTGTCTTGTTGGAATTGCTGATTAAACAAAATAATTCTTCAAAAGTGCTTAGCACAATGTTAGGTAAATAGTAAGCACTAAGTAAACATTGGCTTTATTATTATTAGGTGGTCCTATACTATGATTCCTCCTATTTATATCACGTGTGTCTTGCTGCATATTTAAGGACGCTCCCATCTATATGTTTGGACTAGTGCAATAGTAAAGCTGCCAGCTCAGGTGAAGAAAACCATTTAAAAATTTAAAGTTAAGCACATGATGGAAAATTCTTGAATATGTGGTGAGTTAGGTATAAAAAATATAGGGGGATTGTATTGTTGAATACAAAAAAGCCATTAGACTATTTTAAGAATGCTCTCTTCTGTCATTAGGGCTTGGTTATGAATAGTATATCACATGCATGAAAGGAGGTGGTGGCTAGTTTCATTTCCCTAAAACATGTTTCAATGGTAAATTAGAGGCAGCTGTGGTTTACTGACGCATAAACCCAGTGAGGTCTATGATAACTAGTATATATTTACAGTTTGACTCATGGTGCCTGTCAGGCTTTAATCATAGGGGAAGAAGTGATAGTACTTAGACTTCACTGTTTAATCTTCCGTTCATTTGTTTTCCAAGTTTGTTTCAGTCTGTGGGCAGGTTCCCTTTTGATTGCAACATGCAGTCCCTATTTCTGCAGTTTATCTTCATTTGCCATTTTGAGAGGGCTATGAAAGTCCTATGATAAGCTCCTTGTTCTCCAAATCCATGCATATAAGTCTCATCGAGTTGGATGCATTCTAAAGACATTTTGAAATCACATCAACACTTTCAGATCAGCAAGTTATTTCTTAATAAATTACTGTCTTAATGTTAGATGCTATTTTAAAAACACGAAAGAGAGCAGTTTCCAAATATGTGTTACTACTTCCAGGGAATTGTAAACTGGAGTGTTTAATTAAAAGAAGGCCCTAAATTTTTATTATGCTGTCACTGGATATTTGAATAACTAGCTGTAAATGAGTTCTAGTTGTACAAAAGTGATTTTCTAAATCCAGTTGTCCCTATTTCAAAATATAGTTCTAGTTCCTGGGTGAAACTGAAAATGAAATGGCCATGTCTTTATAACTAAAACAAATTAGAGGGTTGCAGCAATAAAATGAACCCACAGAGGGGAAAAAAACCCTTTGAATCAGGTTTTTATTTTCTTCTCCTGAACTGATTGGGTAATTTACTCAACTAATTTTGTCTAGTCATTAGGAAGTTAATACTCCATTCTATAATTTCCTTCCACTCAAGTGAGCAATACTGGTGCATATAATTTGGATTAAGAACATTCCTCTACTCTTACAAATATTTGGATATATGCCTTGAATATGCTTCCTCATTTAGGCCACAGAAATTTATTCAAAGACAAATCAATCAAAGATAATAACATTAACTACTATTTATTAAGCATCTCCTTCATGACAAGACTTTTTCCCATATTGAGATATAATTGACAATTGAAAATTGTACATATTTAAAGTGTACAACATGATGATTTGATATGCATATATATCCATGCATATATATCCATATCCATATCCATGCATATATATGGATATATATGCATATATATGCATATCAAATCATGTCGTACACTTTAAATATGTACATATTTCAATTATGCATATATATGCATATATCCATATCAAATCATATATATATAATATGCATATATATCATATACATATCCATCACCTCACATAGTTACCATTTTCTTTTGTTCTCTCTCTCTTTCTTCCTTCCTTTCTTTCCCTTCTTTTTTATTTTTTGGTGGTGAGAACACTTAAGATCCACCCTCTTAGCAAATTTCAAGTATATAATATAGTGTTGCTAATTGTAGTCACATCGTTGTAGAATACATCTCCAGAATTCATTCATTTGGATAACTGAAACTCTGTAACCCTTTTCCAATATCTCCCCATTCCTCTATCCCTCCAGCTCATGGCAACCAACATTCCACTCTCTGCTGTTCTAAGTTTGACTACTTTAGTTTTTACATATAAGTGAAATCAACACAGTATTTGTTTTTCTGTGTCTCGCTTAGTTTACTTAGCTTAATGTTCTTCAGGTTCATTCATGTTGTAAATGACAGGATTTCCTTTTGTTTTGAAGGCTGCATAATATTCTGTTGTATATGTATACCATATTTTCTTCATCCATTCATCTGTTGATGGACATTTAGGTTGTTTTCATATCTTGGCTATCATGAATAATGCTGCAATGAACGTAAGAGTAGAGATATCTCTTAGAAATCCTGATTTTCCTTTTTTTTTTCAGACAGTCTTGTCACCCAGGCTGAAGTGCAGTGGCATGATCTCGGCTCACTGCAACCTCCGCTTCTTGGGTTCAAGTGATTCTCCTGCCTCAACCTCTGGAGTAACTGGGATTATAGGCATATGTCACCATGCCCGGCTAATTTTCTTATTTTTAATAGAGATGGGGTTTCATCATGTTGGCCAGGCTGGTCTGGAACTCCTGACCTCAGGTGATCTGCCCGCCTCGGCCTCCCACAGTGCTGGGATTACAGGTGTGAGCCACCGTGCCTGGCCTATTTGATCATCTTTTACAGCTTAGGGAATTAAGGTTTAGATGTGGCACAGGACAGAAACATACTTTGAAGATAGGTCTGTTTGACTTCAAAACCTGTGCTCTTTGCCAGGTGCAGTGGCTCACGCCTGTAATCACAGCACTTTGCAAGGCCAAGGCAGGAGGATCACTTGAGGTCAGGAGTTTGAGACCAGCCTGGCCAATATGGCAAAACCCTGTTTCTATTAAAAATGCAAATATTAGCCAGTCATGGTGGTGTGCTCCTGTAATCCCAGCTACTTGGGAGGCTGAGGCACGAGAATCACCTGAATCCCGGAGGTGGAGGTTGCAGTGAGCTGAGATCGTGCCACTGCACTCCAGCCTGGGTGACAGAGTGATAGTCTATCTCAAAAAAAAAAAAAAAAACAAAAAACAAAAAACCCCCACAAAACCCACAAAACCAAACCAAAAAACCTGTGCTCCTTACTGTGCTCTCCTGCCTCTCAGTGCGAGATAAACAGAGTGGGCAAAATAGCCTATGATGTCATCATCCGCAAGGCCTGTTGCTACTGTGTGATGCCTGCTCCCTAGATGACCTCCTGGGGGGGTGAAGCGAGAGGAAATCTGGCACCAAGCTGGTTGAGGGGCAGAGCGAGAATGTCTGGGCTTCCCCCACCCAGCTTGGAATGTGAGTGATGCAAATCATCTCATCGAAGGCTCAACTGCAGCCAGGAGACTCCTCCAGTGATGATGAGAGTGTACAAATGAAGTGCAGGAGCGGGGGAGCCTTCACACACCTCCAGCCCTTCCTGCTTCTTGAAATACTCATATCCTCTGGCAGAGACTAGCTACAGAAATCCATGTCCACTTACTCACAGCCTGAAAGAAACCCACACAGTGGACCAGGAAGGTTGTTGCATGGTAATTAGAGCTACTATTGAATTTCTATTGTGCATCTTCTCAATTAGGCACAATTACCACATATAAGAAATGAGGAAATTAAGACTCAGAGGAATTAGGTGAATTGCCCAAGGTTATTACATAGCTTATACCTGGCCAACCAGGGTTTAAACATTGTTCTATATCCTAATCCAAGACCCATGTTCCTCTCACTACTCAGGTTTATTTCTTTCGCACAGGGATATTACAAAGTCATTATATTTCCTGATTATATTTTTGCTGCTGCTGTATGACCATCTCGTTTCTTGTCACTGACTTTATCCAAAAGCAAGAACATGGTATGGAATTTTGGGGGAAGCAGTTGAAATGAAGTGTTGGAATTTCAGAGCTTGCATTACTGGATTATGTGTGGATTGTTGTTTGTACTGCCTCTTTCTTCCTCCTGCTACCTCATATAGGTGCTTGATATCTGATTATTACAGTCTTTTTAGGGGTTCTTGAACATACTCACTTGTAGAAAAGTGCTGGTTAAAATCATAACAGGCAGACATTTGGGTTCTTATAGCCTTGCAATAAATGGAAGGAAGTAACTTTTGGGCTTATGAAAATGTATACTGCAAGGTTTTTCTTTCTTTCTTTCTTTCTTTCTTTCTTTCTTTCTTTCTTTCTTTCTTTCTTTCTTTTTCTTCCTTCCTTCCTTCTTCCTTCCTTCCTTTCTTCCTTTCTTCCTTCCTTCCTTCCTTTCTTCCTTTCTTCCCTTCTTTCTTTCTTTCTTGAGACAGGGTCTCGCTCCATCACCCAGGCTGGAGTGCTCACTGCAAGGATCCTCCTGCCTCAGCCTCCCAAGTAGCTAGGACTACAGGCATAGCCACCATGCCTGGCTAACTTTTCTTATTTTTTGTTTTATGTAGAGACAGTATCTTGCTGTGTTGCCTAGGCTGGTCTCAAACTCCTGGCTTCAAGGGATGCCCCCACCTTGGTCTTCCAAAATTCTGAGATTATAGGCACGACCCACCATGCCCAGTGGTTTTCTTAAAGTTCTCTGCAAGGTGTAGATAGTTTCATGAGTAAGATGATTAGTCAGTACAGTAGCAACATTAGGTAATTGGTTTTGCCATTTCGAGCTTGTAGCAAATTATCCATTCTTATATGACAAAGCCTATGGGACAACTGGAGGACTTGAACTGTTTCTCTTCAGTGCCCGTAAAGAAGGGACTGAAGCTTCATAAATCTAGTCCTTCACTCTCCTAGCTCTGATCCTGTCCTTTCTGTAAGTAATGATCATATTGCCTTCAGTAGGTGTTTGTCAAGTCTGTATTTTGTTTTAGAGACAGGAGCTCGCTTTGCTGCCCAGGCTGGACTCGAACTCCTGGGCTCACTTTATCCTCCTGCCTCAGCCTCTCTGAGTAGCTGGGACTACAAGCACTGCCATGGAGACCAATTTGTCAAGCATTTTAATACCATCTCATCACTGTAATGATCAACACATGTGATCTAAAAATCTTTTACATGGCAGTGGAAAGGGCTTGAGCCATCTCCGTATTAAAACCCAGGTGGTATCCTCATCCTTTAATCTTGAAATGTTGAAAGAGTTGATTAGCTGTCCTTGCTAGCTATCTCTAGGAAGGATAGCTAATAACTGTTTTGCTTTTGCTTTTGTGTGTGTGTGTGTATATATATTTATATGTATATATGTGTGTATATATATACAAAAGCAAAAGCAAGACAGTATTTGAAATTTGAAGACATTGATTCTCATAACCAGTCTATTTCAGGATTAAATCACATAACCACCAATCTCTGCCAACCCACTTTCCAGTAACCACCCCACCTCCAATTTCCTGTAAATAGCAAACACTCTGTAGTATTTCATCTACAGGGAGCACTGTTGAGTAGCTGGAGTAGTAACAGTATTTGCTTATTTTTTTACTTGAGAAGGCTTTTTGTTTGTTTTGAGATTGGTGTGTGTTGGGGGGGTCTCACTATGTTGCCCAAGCTGGATTTGAACCTCTGAGCTCAAACCTCCTGCCTCAGCCTCTTGAGTAACTGGGACTACAGATGCGTCACCACGTCTGGCTACTTGAGAAGTTTTACAATTTTTATGTTTTAAAAGCAGGAAAAGAAAAAAATCTAGGACTTGTCTCTGTCATAACATCATCCATAAAAAGTGATTTTAAGATGAAGATTTCTCCTAGAGAGATACAAGCTGGTGGATCTAGCATTCAGCTCTCACTTTCATTCAATATAGTTGTCATTTTAGACCCAAGCTTTCCCTAGAGATAGTGATTCCACCAGGGGAAGCAATATGTGAAGTTATTGCAAGAAACTTTTTGTGTGAAATTGTGACTGCTGCCAGAGATGTCATATGTTTTAGTTAACTTTCTTCCCAGGAACCAAGAAAATTTCCCAAGCCCCAGATAAATACAGCTGGAATGCTATTCAGAAGTCAGTAGCATGGGGCTGAAGAGAGAGACTGAATTTTACACACTCCATTTGTTTCTGGTTGAGATAAACCCTCTGTTCTATTTTGCTTACGGTAAAAATCCAATTCACTTTGAAAGTTGTAAAGCCCAAAGAACTCAAACAAATTTACAAGAAACAAACAACCCCATCAACAAGTGGCCGAAGGATATGAACAGACACGTCTCAGAAGAAGGCATTTATGGAGCCAACAGACACATGAAAAAATGCTCATCATCACTGGCCATCAGAGAAATGCAAATCAAAACCACAATGAGATACCATCTCACACCAGTTAGAATGGCGATCATTAATAAGTCAGGAAACAATAGGTGCTGGAGAGGATGTGGAGAAATAGGAACACTTTTACACTGTTGGTGGGACTGTAAACTAGTTCGACCATTGTGGAAGACAGTGTGGCGATTCCTCAGGGATCTAGAACTAGAAATTCCATTTGACCCAGCCATCCCATTACTGGGTATATACCCAAATGACTATAAATCATGCTGCTATAAAGACACATGCACACTCATGTTTATTGCAGCACTACTCACAATAGCAAAGACTTGGAACCAACCCAAATGTCCATCAATGATAGACTGGATTAAGAAAATGTGGCACATATACACCATGGAATACTATGCAGCCATAAAAAAGGATGAGTTAATGTCGTTTATAGGGACACGGATGAAGTTGGAAACCATCATTCTCAGCAAACT
This sequence comes from Homo sapiens, assembly GCF_000001405.40. Lineage (NCBI taxonomy): Eukaryota > Metazoa > Chordata > Mammalia > Primates > Hominidae > Homo > Homo sapiens. The sequence goes on from NC_000002.12 coordinate 39,498,438, forward strand.
ATCGCAAGGACAAACAACCAAACACCGTGTGTTCTCACTCATAGGTGGGAATTGAACAATGAGAACACTTGGGCACAGGAAGGGAAACATCACACACCGGGGCCTGTTGTGGGGTGGGGGGAGGGGGGAGGGATAGCATTAGGAGATATACCTAATGTAAATGACGAGTTAATGGGGGCAGCACACCAACATGGCACATGTATGCATATGTAACAAACCTGCACGTTGTGCACATGTACCCTAAAACTTAAAGTATAATAAAAAAATATTTTAAAAAAAGTTGTAAAGCCTTATGCCATTGGAAAAAAATGATTAAGATTTCTGTCACTGCGATTACAATTTATACCATAATAAATTTACCTAAGGGCGTGATGGCCTCTACTGGATTCCTTCCAGAGTTCTGCAAGGAATAAAAGCATGCAACTGACAATCTATAGGACATTCTGGTTCTGCCTGGTTCTTCTCATCCCATCAGCCTTAGAAACTATCTGCCCCCATGCCATTGATTAGCAACTCCGCATGTGTGCAGTGCAACAGTAATTAATGTTCCCCATGTTGACGCTCAGGAACTACAATACCATGAAGTGCCCTTCAGAATTATCAAGGAGAAATTAAATTATGCTCAATACAGTCTTAGAGCAATTTCTCTCGTGATTTAAAGCACCTCTACAAGGAGGGGCTGGAGATGGCTGCTGCTGGCTTGTGCAAGCTGATTGTTAAATGGTAAGGAATTTTGCAAGCCAGATGTTAAACCTTTGAAATGGGCCATGGAGGGAGTATTTGCATCACAGAAATTGGTGTCTGCTAAAAATAAAGCCTCCTTCCCTCCAACAAACTGGTTTATCAGCACCATTGTCTATATCTTTGAAACTGCATCATTCAATTAATACCTATTAGTTAGAACAGCATATCTCACTCTTGCTGGTCAGACATTTACTGATGAGTCTTGCTAGGTTGAAAAGCCAGTTCATACCTGGATTAGTTTCCTGTGGCTACTGTAACAAATCACCACAAACTTGGTAATGTAAAGCAATCTAAATGTATTCTTGCCTAGTCCTAGAGGCCAGAAGTCTAAATCACTGGGCTGAAATCCAGGTGTTGGCAAGGATGGGCTTCCTCCAGAGGCTCTGGGAGAGAAGCTGCTCATTGCCTTTTCCAGCTTTTGGTAGCTGCTGGCATTTCTTGGCTTGTGCCTTTGTCCCTAGAATCTTCAAGGCAAGCATGTTTCAAATGTCTGTCTTCTCTATCTTTGCTATTTTCACCTTGCCTTTTCGTGTGTGTGTGTGCACACGTGTGTGCGTGTGTGGGTGTGGCGTGAAATCTTCCTGTGTCTTATGAGGTCATTCGTGATTGCATTTTTTAGGGTCCACCCAAATAGTCCAGACAAGCTCCCCATTTTAAGAGTCTTAACTTACTCTTATCTACAAAGACCCCCCCTTTTCTTTCCCAATAAAGATAATTTTTACGGGTTCCAGGAAAATAACCTGGTATCTTTGGGAGGGCCATTTTTCAGCCTACCACAATATCCACCTTAGTAGCCCCTTGTGTATACAGATACCGTGTACCGTGTAACCTCTTTAACAAACTACAGTCTTTTTTTTTTTTTTTTTTTTGAGACGGAGTCTTGCTCTGTTGCCCAGGCTGGAGTGCCACAACCTCCACCTCCTGGGTTCAAGCAATTCTCCTGCCTCAGCCTCCCGAGTAGCTGGGACTACAGGCGCATGCCACCACACCCAGCTAATTTTTTGTATTTTTAGTAGAGACGGGGTTTCTCAGTGTTAGCCAGGACAGTCTTGATCTTCTGACCTTGTGATCCACTCCCCTCAACCTCCCAAAGTGCTGGGATTACGGGCGAGAGCCACCACACCCAGCCACAAACTACAGTCTTAATGATAAAGAGCAAAGAGCAAAGTCTTCATTCTAATGATAGTGGCAGCTCTTTCTTATTGCCTACTTATTTCCTATGCACCAGGCAAAGTGCTTACTGTATCATCTCATTATTACTCCTTCCCAAACCAATAAATACATGCTCAAATGTCATAAATGCTCTTTTTGGAACACAGGTATCAAAACTGATATGTCATGATATACATTCCCTGCTTCCCTCCACCTCAAAGCCATTCCCTGGGGCTGCTCATAAAGTTGTTCCAGGGGCTCCTATTTATGTAGCCTACTTTTCCTATCCTTGTTTCATAGTTTCCAACCCTGTCCTTTAGTTACCCTTAGCGAGCTTATCTTAACACCAACACAAGCCTTGTTTAAAGGGAATGTGGAAAGTATATCTATTGGCTGGGAATGACTTCTCTGGTATGCAAAGTCCCTAGCCGAGTGAATTGAAGGCTCTGGGCCAAGGTCAGTTCCTGGGTAAAACCATAACTGGCAATATCATCCCTCGAAAGGTGGTTTGGAGGGGGCTGTGAACCACGCCTGTCGGTGATTAGCCTGTAATTATCTATCCTGTTTCTGGTTAACCTGATTTCCAGGGGTTCTCTCCTGATCTACTTGCTTAGCTCACTATTTAATTTCTACAACTTACACTAGAGGAAGGGAAAGATAAGGGAACTAATATTTGGTGATTGCCCACTCTGTGTTAGGCTCTCCGCCGTGGGAGTTTTACATATTGGACTAAGGATGACATAAAATCCAAGAACATTTTCTGGGGTTATTCTTTGTAGCTGCAGTTAATAATCTGGTAGAACTGTTTTAGAGATGTGATATAGTAAGTTGATCAGGTTTGGGTAGCACATCCATATTTCTGTTAAAATTTCCAGTTGCGCATAAAAGCTGGTTGAATCTGGACTATATGGTAGCCAGTGTTTTACAAAGGAATTCAGGTCACATTTGCTTAGTTTTAGAAATGCTCTATAGGCCCTGTGTGATTTTTTTTTCGTGCAAGCAGAAAATGAATTCCTAGAAACTGGACAAAGTCAGCAGTAGCAGGTTAAGGGCACAGTTGGGAAAAATGGTCTTGACTTCATTACTCTGGCTGAAAGGTACCTAATCTTTCAGAGCCTCAGTTCCTTCCTTCCTTCCTTCCTTCCTTCTTTATCTCTCTGTCTCTCTCCTCTCTCTCTCTTTCTCCCCCCCCCCCTTTTTTTTTTTAAGAGATGGAGTCTTGCTATGTTGCCCAGGCTAGAGTGCAGTGACTATTCATAGGTGCGACCATAGTGAACTCCAGCTTTGAACTCCTGGGCTGAAGCAATCCTCCTGCCTTAGCCTCCCAAGTAGCTGGGACTACAGGTGTACATCACTGTGCCTGGTGGTTCATTCCTTCCTTCCTTACTTCCTTCATTCCTTCCTTCCTTTCTCTTTTTTTTTTTTTTTTTTTTTTGAGGCAAAGTTTCACTGTTGTTGCCCAGGCTGGAGTGCAATGGTGCAATGTCAGCTCACTGCAACCTCCGCCTCCTGGGTTCAAGCAATTATCCTGCCTCAGCCTCCCAAGTAGCTGGGACTACAGGCACTTGACACCACACCCAGCAAATTTTTATATTTTTAGTAGAGACGGGGTTTCACCATGTTGGCCAGGCTGGTCTTGAACTCCTGACCTCAGGTGATATACCCACCTTGGCCTCCCGAACTGCTGGGATTATAGGCATGAGCCACTGTGCCTGGCAGGTAGTTTCTTTATCTGTAAAATTGTGATAATAATTTTTACTTTTCAGGGTTTTTGGAAGGATTAAAAATGAATTGAGGTATATAAAATGCCTAGCATATGCTAAGCATTCAATAAGTGGTAGCTATCATTGTCAATATTAGCAGCTTTGCTATAGAGTGAATGTTTGTGTCCTCCCAAATTCATATATTGAAATCTTACACCCCACAGTGATAGGATAGTGGGGTCTTTGGGAGGTCATTAGTTCACCTCATAGGTGAAGCTCTTATGATTGAGATTAGTGCCCTTATAAAAGAGACCCTAGAGAGCTAGCTTGCCCCTTCTTCCATGTAAGGTGATAGTGAGAGGTTGGTATCTGCAACCTGAAAGAGGGCCCTCACCAGAACTCAACCACTGGCACCCTCATGTTGGACTTCCAGCCTCCAGAACTGTGAGAAATAAATTTCCATTGTTTATAAGCAACCCAGTTTGTGGCATTCTGTTATAGCAGCCTGAATGGACTAAGACGAGCTCAAAATGAACAAATACACTAGCAGTGAATTTCAGACAAAGCACCATCTTGCTGTAGTCACTTAAATAATGCAAGTAATTAGTGGCTTCCATTCTTCTTTTTTCCACTTCCGCAGTGCATTGGCAATACCAATACCTTTTTCTCCTCTGGGAAGGATTCCCTGGCCAGGTCCCTGCCCTTTCCCTCCTTGGGAGCCTCAAGACCTTCAATTGCTTAAGAGCAAGGAGGATATCTTCTTTTTGCATCTTTATTTCCTATCATAATTCCTAGAACTTGAAAGGGGCACTAACCATTCTTATTGAATTGGAGTAAAGTTCTAACTTTTAAAAATGAAAACAAAATATGTGATTCAATATTTATTCGACTCCAATCTTCCCTCATACGAAAGGAGATCAACAGTATGGCTCTGCTTTTTGTCTTTCTTCTTAAACCTTGATTACTTTGGCTTTTGGTTGGCTCTCAGGACAGAGAAAGGCAATGCTCGATTTTTGTGACTTTAGACCCCCTTCCCCCCGCAAAAGACTAATTACTGACATAATGGATTTTGTTTTTTATTTCGTCATTCTGTGACTCAGACTAGGGAGGCTTTTTAGCTAATTGAATGGAGAGTGACTTTAGCCTACTATCAAAACTACAAGGTAACATTTGAGGGCATTGAACTAAATCCTTTATGTGCATAATGTTATTTCATCTTTCCTACAGCCTTATGAAGTAGGTGTTATTAATATGTCTATGTTATATTTAAGGATACTGAGGATCAGAGAGTAACTGGACCAGGGTGTCATACTAGGATTAGGATTGAGCCTGCGTCTATGAGACTTTGAAGTCTGGCTTTTGAGTACCATACTATACTATATCTAGACTTTTTTTTTTGTTTGTTTTTAAAGAGATGGGGTGTTACTCTGTCACCCAGGCTGGAGTGCAGTGGTGCAATCATGCACAGCTCATTGCAGCTTCGACCTCCCCAGGCTCAAGTGATTCTCCCACCTCAGCCCTCTTGAGTAGCTGGGACTACAGGTGTATGCCACCACACACCTGGCTAATTTTTGTACTTTTTGTAGAGATGGGGTTTTGCCATGTTGCCTGGGCTGGTCTTGAACTCCTGAGTTCAAGCAATCTGCCCACCTGGGCTTCCCAAAGTGCTGGGATTACAGTTGTGAGCCACAGCACCTGGCCCAGACTCAAATGTTTTTTTAAACTGAATTAAGAAAATGATTCCAAGAAAGAAAAGGTAATTCAGTCTTTCACTAAATGCTAATTGAGCACCTGCTAGAATTCTGTGGCGGTGCTAGATTACTCTCTTAAAAAAAAAAAAAAAAAAAAAAAAAAAGAAAGAAAGAGGCCAGGTGTGGTGGCTCACACCTGTAATCCCAGCACTTTGGAAGGCTGAGGCAGGTGGATCACCTGAAGTCAGGAGTTTGAGACCAGCCTGACCAACATGATGAAACCCTGTCTCTACTAAAAATACAAAATCAGCTGGGTGTGGTGGCACATGCCTGTAATCCCAGTTACTCGGGAGGCTGAGGCAAGAGAATCGCTTGAACCTGGGAGGCAGAGATTGCAGTCAGCTGAGATCACATCATTGCACTCCAGCATGGTCAACAAGAGTGAATCTCTTGTCTCAAAAGAAAAAAAAAAAGGAAAATGGCAGAGCAGGGTATAGATGAGGGTGAGTGAAGCAATGGACCTAAGGTGCACTGTTCAAGGAGGCACTCACTCTCAGGTGACCTTGCACTTGAATGACCTGCAATCCCCGAAGCCGAAGCTGTGTGCCTCACTTGCCTCACCCTGGTCCCAGCCCTGCCTTTTGCCCTTGGGGCGTTCAGTGTTTAGCAAGGATCCCATATCAGTATGGGTCAGACCCGAAGAGAGAAACCACACAGTGATTTGAACAGGGAGTTTTAATATAGGGAATTATTAACCAGTAGTCTATTGTTTAGAAACCAACAAGGACACAGAGGGAGAGAATACGACAAGCCAAGCCATGGAGTTTTGACCTTCAGGACAAAGTGAGGACTTTGTTTTTCCCTTACGGCTGTGCCTGAGAGAGCATGACTTCCCCTATTTATTAGCAACATTAGACCGCAGCATTTCCTTTCAGATCACCCCAAGCATTTAGGCTATTTCAGGAATCTAAATAACATCTCAGTCAAACTAACATTCCGAGAGAGAAATGTTTTAATATATCTTTTCCCAGAGTAGCCTTTAGGTCTCGGAGTGGGTGCAAACAGGCTGGGTGATGGTCGATATATTTGAAGATTCATGGGAATCCAGAAGTTTTGGCAGAGGTACATATGAATCTCAAGGAAAAATTAAATATAATTTGATATAATGCAAACTGCACAGTAGAATTTGAATGCAGGACAAATCACAACAGCTGTTTGTCATCTCACTGAAACAGCAGTAACAGGATTGCTTAAACAAATTCCGTTCCTTTCTAGAATGTTCAGAGTATTTAATATTTGCATAATGATTAATCTCCTGCTCCAGAGGAAATTCCCAAAGGAAGAGACAACTCAGAAGCACTTTAAATTGCAACACCACGGCACCACGGCAAAGAGATAAGAGGGAGCATGCCAAATCCCTAGTTTTGGGGCTACTCTCTCAGGAGAATTGTAAATAATGGTGGTCACCTTGCTGAATATTAAACCAAGAACAGGATGGCTAAGAGGACACATTCCCAAACACTGGGACAAAGCATACTAACTGGGCCAAAGGTACACCACCAATTAAGGGATTACATCATGCCCGTATTATGGGGTGGTAGATCTTAAATATTTCAAGTTTTATTCTGTTCTTTGAAAAGGCTAAATTCTTATTCTTGGTGCCGTACAAACCCACCCAAACCTATCCCCACCCACCCATCCAAGGAAAGTTCTGAATATATATATATTTTTTCATACAGGGTCAGTTGTTTATTTGCTGTGATTTGGGGGCCTCTGAGAAGCTTTTGGCTGCAGAAAGGGCAGCAGACTTGAAGTGTACCCCTAGGCTTCAGTAGGAGTTTGCCTGGATCAATGGGCTTTAACCTGGCTGTACTTTAGAATCACCTGGGGAACTTTACAATACCCTGGCCCGTAACAAAAACTCCCAGCCTCGTATGGTGGCTAATGCCTTTGGGAGGCTGAGGCACTTTGGGAGGCTGAGGCGAGAGAGTTGCTTGAGCCCGAGTTTGAGACCAGCTTGGGCAATGTAGTGAGACCCCCATCTCTATAAAAAGAAAAAAACAAGAAAACCCCACAAATTATTAAACACTAAACACTCTCTCCTTCCTCTCCCTTTTTTGCACTTTTGGGTTTCAGGCTGTTTTTCAGAAGGCTCTTAAAGTCTGGCCTCTGAATGTGATAAAGACATCAATTGGCCAGGCATGGTGACTCACACCTGTAATCCCAGCAGCACTTTGAGAGGCCAAGGCGGGCAGATGACTTGAGGTCAGGAATTCGAGACCAGCCTGGGCAACATGGTGAAACCCCCATCTCTACTAAAAATACAAAAATTAGCTGGGTGTGGTGGTGGGTGCCTGTAATCCCAGCTACTCGGGAGGCTGAGGCAGGAGAATCGCTTGAACTCAGGAGGCAGAGGTCTCAGTGAGCCGACATGGTGCTCCTGCCCTCCACCCTGGCTGACAGAGCAAGACTTTATCTCAAAAAATAAATAAATGAAAATAAAAAAAATCTATCAGTATCATTTAGTCACAGCTTGTCAAATAACTTTCTGCCTCTGCTCTGAAAGGGTATTTTATAAAAGAAGTTAAAAATTTTATATGGATATTGACATTCTCATTGCTGAGGGGTTAGTATAGTCATTTGTAATGACTAAACATATTATTCAGTTATAATGACTAAACATATCTCATGACTCTGTTCTGAAACCTAGTACTAAATACATAGTTAATGAATAATATTCATTAACCATGGCCGTCGTAAATATTCATCTAATGCCTGTCTTCATTTGAGGGTTAGTAACATGTTAAGGATATTTGTGGAGAGAATGAAAGTGATAAATTCTATCTATATTTACTCTTATTTAAAAAAAGCAAATTCATTTTTTAGAATACTCTTTGATAAAATCCTTTAACAAAAGGAAATTTCCTTTTAAAAAAGTCTTCTGTCTTTGAGTTAATACTCTTACACAAAGACAGTTTACTAATGTTTTGCTTGTTAAATGGCCAGTTGATGGACAGTGTAAACAATCCAATTCAACGAAGAGTAATACAAAGCAGTGTTCTAAAACGTTAAACTGATGCCTTCCTAATAGTACTTTGGAGTTATTTTTCTAATGAAAAGAGGTAGCAGTAATTCACTGCCACCCTTTCCTGGTCTTCTTGATCAACAACCCATCTTAAAGGTTGTTGGATGGAGTTGGTATATAGTCTGTGAATAGAATGGAGCAGGGACTGGTAACCTTTTTCTTCAAAGGGCCAAATAGTAAATATTTTAGGCTTTACTACTCAACTCTGGTATTGCGATACTAAAGCAGCCCTAGAAAATATGTAAATGAATGGGTGTGACTGTGTTCCAAAAAACTTTATTTTCAAAAACAGGCGGCAGACTGAGTTTGGCTTGCGGGCCATAACTCACCCACTTCTGGAATACAGCAAACCCCATAGGGTGGTAAATTGGCTCTGAAGTTGCAATGGAAGTACAATCTAGGATTAGGAAGAAGCCAATGGGTGCCAGGGTTCTCTATGAGCAGGTGGCTCCACTATGATGGGAAAAGTCATGAGAAAGAATTAATAATAATGAGTGGTAATAGCAATGGCTAATGTTTACTGATAATTTGCTATATAACTTGGGTTAAATACATGTTTTATCTCATATAATCTTTACAATAACCTTGAGGTAGGTATTAACCTACTCCTATTTTGTAGATGAGAAAATTGGGGCATGGAGAGGTTACATACAATTCCCAAAGTCACACAGTTAGTAAGTGTCATGGCTGAGATGTGAATTCAGATAGACTGACTTTAGAGACTGCTCCTCTAAGGATGCATTACTACATCCCCCCAGAGGACAGAGCCACATCCAAAGTCATCACAGCTGGGATGGAATAGAAGGGTCTCTATATAGACACTGTATAGATTCTAGGGTTTCTGTTCTGGTTCTAGGGGTTCACCATGCTGCAGATGGGCCAGGAATTGTGCCCTGGGATATGTACTGGGGGAGACAGTTCTCCATAGGTCTCTCATATTTCTTCATGTTTTCAAGCAGAAGCATTGATAGCATTTTCCAAACATGTTTGCATATTGGAAAGCAGCCTTGGAAGACAGAGGTAGTATCTCCCTCTGGAACAGAGAGGGTTTGCTTGCTGCATAGTATAATAAAGATGATGCCTCTTTTTGGGGCAAAGTTGAGCAAGTTTATTTGTAGCTCATTATAAATTATTGGAGTTATTCGGCCATGATGGAATCCATTGTGTGTGCTACTGGGCTACTCTGTTACCCTCTTGGACCTTGGGGGGCAAGAACTAATATGAACATAAATCTCACATTGCTTGCTGTGCTGAGTGAAACAAAGTCCTTTGCCTTTGGCCCAGGAGTCTCATGTCTTCTGCCAGTATCCTGAATCTGTGGCAGGCTAACTTGTTTTGTGCAAGCAGGGTAAAATGTCAGTTCTTGACATACACAGGAGGCACAGTAGATCCTAATGGCTGGTCTGAGGAGGAAAGCTGTTCACTCTTGGCTTGGTTTTGTGTCTTTTTAAATTATGGATGAATGAGGCCTGTGCTGAAGCCGGGGAGAGGCAAACCTCTACAAGCACCCGTAGCTCTTGATTACATAACTGGCAGAGTGCTATGGTCTTCTGAGAAGTTTTAAAACTGACCATATGGAGTTAAAGATGTACAATTGATTGGTTGGAATGATTTTCAATGAACCATAGCTGTAACATAAATATTACATTCCAGCTGTCTAATGTAGTGGTTCCCAGAGCTGCTCATTAGATCACATGGTAACATTAAAATAACAACGATAAAACAACAGATTCCTGAGCACCGCCTCATATGTGATAAATCAGAATATCTGGGGGAGAGGCTCAGAAATCAATATTTTACAGATTTCCCAGATTATTTAGATGCAGGCAGTCCCTGCACTGTTCTAATGATAAAGATTGAATTCTATCACAGACAAGTCCTGCTTCTCTGTACCTAAATTTTTTCATTTGTTACACAAAAAGCTACTCTAGAGCTGTGCTGTTCAATATGGTGGCAACTAGTCACAGGTGGCTATTTGAAATACAATTTATCAAAATTAAATTTAAAATTCATTTCCTCAGTTCCATTAGCCACATTTCAAATATTTAATAACCACATGTGACTACTGGCTACAGTATCATATAGCACAGATGAAGAACATGCCCATCATCATAGAAAATTCCATTGAATAGAGCTGCTCTAGAATATCTTATTACACCAGAAAGGAAGGATGCTATCAAAGATGACTGAGGTTGTACCAAAAAGACTAGTAGCTAGCATAAATAAGCTTCCATTGGCCAAAGATGGGATAATTTGAGCACTAATTAGAATAATAACTGCAATGGATTTAAATACATCAAATATATTTAAACTCGTGGTTCATAATCATACTAAAATAATATTTATTGGTGACTTTTGGAGGATGCCAGGGAATGAAGTCACTATCTGAAAACTGGAAAATAAAGGGTTATCAAGCATTTAATCAGTACTGTTCATAAAGGAAAGCCTGGATAAATGCTTGAGATGGACAGAGTTGCCTATCAGAAAGCTCATTAGCAGGTCCTACAGAATGGGAGCACTGCTTGCCCTTTGCCATGCCCAGTTCAATAACATACCCTTGTACTGATTTTTCTTCCTCTCTTTTGTCATTTCCCATATCCTGCACTTCTATTCTCTGGGATCCTTAAATAAATTACTGCCTGCAAATCTCTATCTCAGGCTCTGCTTTTGGGGGTGAGGAACTCTGGCTAGGACAGCATTCTACTTCAAATTCTTGAAAGGGAATCCAACCCCACCTGGGTATAGATTTGGTTGCTTGGTTCAGACTTCTATTCCTCGTCCAATCTCTTGTGAGAGGCTGTTTCTTCCAGAGGTATAGTCGGAACTTCTTAAAGTTGAAGAAGTAGAAGGGAGAGAGAGTTATGGGGTCAAAACTGAATGCAAACCTGCATTGGAAAAAGATTCCCCAGGTGATTTTATGTATATTAAAGTCAAAGAACTCTACTTTAGAGGGTGTAATAATTATCTGGCTCAGGAACATTTTAAAAATAGACAAGATGTTGAGTCCAAAGGTCAACGGGAAGCACGTTTGGGGGAAGAGGAACACACATTGTTACATGGGGGGTTGGAAGAGGAAAAGCAAGATTGAATGTATGTGAAACCTTTAAATCCACAGAGGAAAATGGATAATATGCAACATATGGTGCATGGTATAATAGCCTAATACACAGAATGTACACTATGTGTACCTAGGTTATTGTATTCTGTACCATAAACCTCAAAAAATGTTCGAGCAGGAAGGTATCCAGCCCTCCAAATCAATAGAAAGCTGCCTCCACATCCCTGTAGATATGGAACAGCTTCTTACTGAATGACTGTTAAATACTGAACCCAAGGCTGGGGCTGGGGCTGGGGTGTGTGTGTCCGTGAGGGAGGCAGAACCAATTTTGGCAATTCACCACTTCCCACCCAGCACTTTGGGCTTCTCTGTTCCCATCCCCAGACTTCTAACATTGTCCGCCTCAGTACACGGCCTCTTCCTCCCATGCAAAAACTCTCAGTCACAGGCAGGATGTACTGGGAGCTGTTTAACAACTGGCTCTCCAGAAAAAAAACAGAAAGCTCTGATTTGCAGCATTTTCCAATTTCTAAGGCATAAACACTCCCATCGCGGCTGATTGTAAATTACTGAACACAGAGTTGGGAGGTGGTATAAACTGGCCCCTGCTCACCACTGGGAATAAGTGGAAGAAAGCAAGGGGGGAAATAAATGGTGGAAAGACACTGTAGAGGGGTTTAAGACCTTCCCAGAAGTGAGGGAAAGGAAATCAACGTAGTGATGACCTGGAGTCATTCCTTTAACTTCAGTTACTATGATTCGGAAACATTGGTTATCTGCCTCTTCACGTCAAATGGGACTCTGCAGAGGCTTGCCTTGCTTCTTTGGCTCCGTGTGGCATATTTGGCCATCTTATTCAATCTATGGCCTCTTAGCTTCAATGTTCCTGAGAATGTCCTTATATTGTGGCTTTTTTTTTTTTTTTTTTTTTTTTTAGATGGAGTTTCGCTCTTTGTTGCCCAGGCTGGAGTGCAATGGCACAAACTCAGCTCACCACAACCTCCACCTCCCAGGTTCAAGTGATTCTCCTGCTTCAGCCTCCCGAGTAGCTGGGATTACAGGCATGCGCCACCATGCCTGGCTAATTTTGTATTTTTAATGGAGACAGGGTTTCTCCACGTTGGTCAGGCTGGTCTCAAACTCCTGACCTCAGGTGATCCGCCCGCCTCAGCCTCCCAAAGTGCTGGGATTACAGGCGTGAGCCACCATGTCTGGCCTACATTGTGGCTTTAAAAGAGTCAGAAACTCAGCTGGAGAAAAGGTTTTAGGACAGCAAGAGTGCCTTGTATTGTGTTGTGATAGAAACCTCTTCCATAAACATTATCTAGGCCCTGGAATGCCCACACCCACCTTTCATGGGCATGTCACACCCCTTCTTCCCTGCCTGAATGCTCCTGACCCCCATCTGGCCTCCTCAGGTGTTAGACACCCTGCTTCGCTGGCCACAATTCAAGCCCTCACCTGGTTTCCTTGGACTTCATCTGAGAGCTACCTGTCTTTCCTGAGAGAGCTCCAGCTGGCACAGAACCCCTTCCCTTGGGGATACTGGCAAATACATATCCAACTTGCCATAGGCACTGGCAGGAAGCTCAGACCTGTCCTCCTGCCCACAAGCACTGCCTTGAAGGCTCATGCTGGCTCTCTGAGCGCCTGATCCAGTGGCCTGGGTCCTCTGGTCACCTCCCAAGCTGCAGACCATTGATTTCGTTTGCAGCTCTGGGCCAGCGGAACCCCCCGTTCTCATCCTTCCCAACAAAGCACACACTTGAATTTCCCATAACTGCTCTGGTTGCTCACTTTTTGCTTTTTCTTGGAAAGCATCCAGGACGGGAATCTAGCTTAGTACAAAGAGCCTAAATTAATGCTTCTTAGCCTGCACAAAAAAATAATTTTTTGTTATCTTCTCTTTGTTGTCTAATCTGATCCAAGGTGACTTGCAGGAAAGAAATGCTTCCACTAGCAAGTTAAAAGTGTTCATTTTTGCAATCCTAATAGCTGTTTGAAATATAACAGCTTGTTTAGTCCTCTCCCCAGATGAATGTACCTTCATCTTTAGATTTATGATTTGGTTTTTATCTCTTCTGAAAATAGAGACAGATGTACTGGAAGTTCCCTTATCTCTGCCTCTCAGAACTGGGGCCTCTTTTCTGAGTTTTACTTGTCTTCTAGACACCCAAAGCAGCCACTAGTTAGGTTTATTCTTCTTAATTCTCATTTTCTCTCCATATGTTTTCTTCTCTGAGCCCATAAACACATCACCACTCTTCTTTACAAAGGCAGGGCCCCTTACATGATTTAGAACATTCTACATACTGACAGAGCCCTCCAGGTGGCTCAGCTAACTCACCACAGCTTTTATGTCTTTCCAGGTTAGGGAAGGCATTAGGGCCAGAGGTCAGCATGCCCTTCCTGCCAACAGACAGCCTTGCTCCACCCCACTGAGTGTTCTGTTTGGAGTGAAGGCCAAAGGTCTCTGGACTAAAAAAAAATGCCTTTAATTCAAGCCCAAGTTATAAAAGAAAGAATTCCAGCTTCTGCTGTCAGGCCTGCGAGGCTGGCCAAGCTGGAGCATCCTTGACCTTTCTTTTTTCCTTCAGCCGTCCAATGAATTTGTGTCCAATTCGTCCTCCAACCCTCCACAGACAGTTGCATTCTATGATGCCTCTGGTGATTTGGAAGGCGGCCGAGCTAGGCACAAAAATAGGAGCGCCTGAGGCGAGAGATTCTTCCAAGGTTCTTGGTTGTCAGAAAGATGAACATCACCACATGGTTCTAAAAGAAGAGATGAAAGGGATTAACATTGTAAGCAGTTGTGAGATTAGACTCTCCAAGTCACTAGGCTCCAGATGAAGCAGGAGGCATAGCAGAGAAAATCCTGTGCTGGTATCGGTAAAATTATGAGCAAGGTTTTAGAGGATTCATCAGAGGAAGGCTAAGTTGAATGGGCACTAATGAGCTGATGACTCAAATCTAGGAAGGAATAAGATCATAACAACCAAAGCTCTGCATGAAGGTGGGTGCTGTATAATTGTCACATCTACTAGAGACAGGCACTGGTCCCCAAGATGAGACTGGCTGGCCCCTTACCCAGTGAACAAGTTATCAAATACTTAACTAAAATAAGAACTGTGAATATGCCCAGAAGGATTCTTTGCGCATGCACTTAAATATGTTACTCTCCCTATCTTTTATTAAGGCCCTTGTTTGGAGAAGGGACTGAACTAGATGTGCGCATGTCTTAAAAATGCTTACGAATCTTGAGCCTGGTATAACGTAAACACTCAGAAAACACTTTATTGTTTACAGTATAGTAGGACTCATCCCGTCGTGGGGAGCTATGGCAGTGGCCTTGAAAAGAGTGGGTATTAGTACACAAATGTTCAGAATGTCCCACAGTACTACATAGTGCCCAGTTCATGGATGAGCTGCCACTCTGCTGGGACAGGCTTCATCTGTTTATTTCAAATGTATAAATGTTGGGTGTTCTCTTGGTCTTAAAAGGGGTTAGATGTAGCACAGGGCATTTATATTGTCATGAAATCAGTCTGAGAGTGTTGGATGGGGGCATTAATATATGAAATCAGGGAAATAGCTTTTCCCTCATCCTCTTCATCTCCAAGAATATCTTTCTGAGATATTCTCTATTGTTCTGCCCAGTGCAGTTAGGTCTTACTTAGTTTGCCTTGTAAGGTCATTTCAGATTTTAATCGCTCTCCCCATAGGAAGTTTTTCCTGCTGTTCTGCCTGAGTTGCCTTCTGCTTAGTTTTAGTCCATTATGTCTGTAAAGAGAGGGAGGGTTTTATGGGGCAAAAGGCCCAATCATCGTGGGAAGAATGAATCATTCCAAGAACAGTGAGATGGGCTGGAAAGAGAAGGCAGCGAAGGGGCAGGAAGTTGTGGGTGGAATGGGTTACTGAGAACAGCACCAAAACAGTCTGTCTTCTCTCTCCATTACTCCCACTAGGGGGTGCCCAGCATCCCAGAATAATCACTATTGTTAGGAAGTTGAAGTTTGATGTGTCATCTCCTAATAGAAGGGCACTGGTTTCTCCCTGAGGGTTTTCTATATCTCTGCCCTGAGTTGAGAAGAGATCTCTGTGTGTGTATGTGTATGTGTATTGTGTGTGCATATTTGTTTGTGTGTATGTGCTTGTGTATGTGTGGGTTAGAATCAGTAAGTGCACAAATGCCTCTTAAGCATTCATTTAGAGATTCTCAATTCATGGAAATCCTTAGGGATACACTGAGTTTTCCAGGACCCAGCTGACTTGATCTTGAAGTCAGTGGCTGGAGTAGTTGTGGGCCAGAAACATCCTCCTCAGCCCAGGAGAAGTGGCAGCTGATGTATTTTAATTACTGGGAGTCAAGAAGTTGTAGGGATAAGAAATGAGTTCAGCTGAGCGATCAGCTGGAGGTCAGGGATGGAGGAAAGACCCAGGGTGTGTGAGATTCTGAAGTAGAGTGGTGAACAGGTGTGGGATGGATGTCAGGGAGAGGTGAGGGTATCTGGAGGGTTTCCAAACAGCCAGGCCTTCAGGATGGCCACAGCAAAACTTCCAGTTCTGAATGGTTTTGTGGAAAGAACATGGCACCTGGATCTTGGAAGACATGAACTGAAATTTCAGTTCAAGCATTCTATAGCCATGAGACCTGGGGGAATTGGGGCAAGTTATTTCACATCTTTGATCTTCAATTCTCTCATCTTCAAAAGGAGACTAATGATACTAGGGTTAAGTGAGAATTTAAAAAATAATGCATATAATGCACTACATAAATAGAATCTTCTTCCTTTCCCTTTCTCCTACTTGGAAATGGCTGAGAGCAAAGATGCAGTTCTTGCATCCCATGACCACAGAGTTCTAGGACTGCAGCCCTGGGCAAGAGGTTCCACCTTGGCTGCTGGAGTTTTCTGCAACGAAGAACTTCAGTGAGTGTTCAGGGCATGCCTGCAGAACCCTGGTCCTTCTGTTTGGACCAGTGCTCCAAATCTGTAGGCCTTTGGGCCGTAATTTAGAAGCTATTTCTAAATTTTTGAAGGTCTTCTGTCTAGTCCTGAGGCCTTTAGTCTCAGAGAATTAAATTGTCTTACCCAGGGTCGGTCATACAGACTGCCAAAGCCTGGCCTGGCATCCAGGTGCAATGTTCATCTGTGTTACCAGTTCCTCCATGCTAACCTGACAATGACTCACAATTCCTTATAGCACAGTGTTCCAAAGTCTGAGCCACAGACCACCTGTACTAGTAGCAGCCGGTGGGCTTGATAAAAATGCAGATTCCTGGCTCCCTGACAGTCCCGTGCTATCAGATTCTGTAAAGTTTAAAAGTAATGATTTATAAATTTCCCAGACCCGGGTTATACTTTTATATGGAAACATAATGCCTGAATCTGACAGAGCGCTTTTTCATGGAGGAAAGTTGGGACTCTTGGGCAGACTTCCTGTTGCTTTCGTACTCTACAGGTGTTCCTGACCCTGGTATGTATACAGCCATCTCCGCCCTACCTACTTACTTCCTTCCCCCAGAACTTCCTAAAGTGGTTAGGAACAATTGTTGTGAAGGTCACAGCAGACCATTTCTGTGAATGCGAGATGTGTTGGTGCAATTTGAAAAGGTCAATTTGATTGACGCCTGAGCCACAGTGATAACCCAAGGCAGCAGCCCTGTCACTGCTAGCTCCCAACAGTGGTGGCATCTGCAGCCTCGAGCAAAGAGATTGTTTAAACTGATGGAGGGGAAGCTTTAGTTCTTATTTCTGGGAGATTGAGTGGCACCAGGAGAAAGGCTGATCACTAGTTGCAACTTCCTCTGTATTTACAATAGCGTTTGCTGCTAGTTTAGCTGTGTTTAGACTAAAGGTGGGGGCAAAAATTACCCTTCCTCTAAAGCTATGAACCCTGACCTCTCAGTCTAGAGAGAGATGGACTCTGGATATGTGGACAGGCTCTGCGAGATTCTTCCTGACAAGGGCTGTATGAGCCGGCTTTCAGAAGGAACTTATTCATGACGGTGGATCACTATTCAGAGAGACACACTCTTTCTCAAAGAAATGACAGGGGCAGCAGGGACCACATTAAGTTTTGATAGGGTCCTGCAGCTGTTGGGGCAAAAGGGTCTGCCTTGGCCTCTGGGGGTCTCTGCACTGCAGAACTGCAGTGGATGTACAGGGATTGCCGGGGGTTGCAGAAGGATTTTGCGATATGCATTCATGTCAGCTTCAAAGTGCCCAAAATGAGCGTGAAAATGCTGTCAGAAAGGCAGTTATTGCTACCTGAAGTCCCTGTTGGAACAAAGTGCAAATTAAATACTGGTAAAAGAAAACAAAGCAGATCATTGTTGTGTAGCAAATGTCACTGTCCTGTGTACCTATCTGGCCTACTGGCTGACTCCAGGAGGTGGGAGGTGCGACTGCATGGAGCCACGTTCGGCCTCCTACCTTCAAAGCTGGTTACATCTCTGAATGGGGAGCTGGTGAGAAAGAGCTCTCCTTGATAAAACATCATTTTTGCCCTTCCCAATCTATTCTTTCCTTTTCTGTTTTCTAGGAAGAAGAGGATTTATCTGACTCAACTGGAGATGGCTCCCTTCCCTTATTTATTGTTGCATCCTGAAGCTTCCCCCATGCTGGGCTCAGTGTGAACAAACAGCGCGGGAGAATGCAACCACTGCAGAGGTACAAGTTCACAGAGGCAGAGCCGCCCCTCGACTGGGCCAGAGGCAAAGACAAACCCCAAACTCTTTCTTGTCATTCATTGAATTTTGCTGAACCTGGAAAGGAAATAAATTCCAAAGGCAGGAAGTGACCCAGAGACCATAACAATATGTGAAAAGCTTAGCCGGTGCTTCCGCCCCTTTGTTTCAAACTATTCTAATCTGTGTCCCAGGAAGCCTAGCCCATGGCCAGATGGAGATCTGTTTGCAGATGCCTCCTGGCATCTGCCACTCCCGGCTGGTGACATTTGCACATTTCAGAAGGCAAACCTGTCCCAACATCTTCAAACTTCCAGAGAGGTGTAGCACCAGGAAAGTCCTTGGGTCTCTGGCTGTCAGCACCAACCAGCTGATTTGCTTCATCTGCAGCTGAACTGCTGCTGGACTCCAGCCTAGAACACTAGTGCACACCGGGTCTGTTCTTGAAGATTTGCAGATTCTGAAATCAAAATGCCCTGTGTTGCCAGAAAAGGCTGGCTCCCTTGCCTGCTTCATAATCCCTTCTCACCAGGCTTTCCTAAAGAAACTCAATGAGTCAGGAAGGAAGAAAACATGTCTGAGGGAGATCTGGAGGTGGGCCGTTCTCTATCATTGCTTCTGAAAATTCCCTTCTGTTTTGCAATGTGGGTAATGTTTAGGGATTTGCTTTTAGTTTTTCTCTGTTTCTTCCTCTGTCAGCTCTCACTTTGAGAGACCCTTCATTTACCACTCATGAAATTAGCTCTGCAATCGCAGGAGGCTCTCTGATGGGGAATTAGTCACTGTTGCAAAAAAGTTTAGACTTTACTTTCATCCCCAGGAGCAGGGCAAGAAATTGTTCCCACCCTGCTCTCAGAAGGAACCATCACTCAACTGCTCTGCTCTGCTCTGGCTCTGGGGCCTGTACTTTTCCTAGGCTTTTAATTTTTACTGCGTACCTTCCATCAGCCTTCTTACTGAAGGCTGTATGCCAGCTGATGTCTATGCACAGCAAGGTGGCTTCTGGGACACCTGCTTCAAACAGGTATCCAGCTAACTGCTCCCCACCAAACCCCACCAGGTAATTGGAAAGGAACTTGGAGTTGAGTGAATACCTGTTTCAAAATGTTAAGTAGATCAAAGTGTAAAGAATCCAATATATTTGTTGACAACTGATTTATAGAAAACCCCAGCAAGAAAGAAGGGAGAGGTTCAGCCTCAGGCTGGTGAAAATGAGATCGTGGGTAGGGCACCACTGTACAGCATTCTGGCATCAGACCTCTGTCCTAAGGTGCGAAGTCACTCTGTGCTACTATCTGAAATTGTGTTCTGTTTATTATGAAAGAGGTTTTCAAAAGTGTTTTGATAAGCTTGGATTTATCTCTGGAAAGGCAATATGGTCTCCATTACAAGACAGGAGCTTAATATCAGAGACAGGTTGTATCAATGTATGTAGCTGCTAGTAAATAGTAGATAAAAGAAGCTTCAGAAAGGTCGGGGGAGGGAGTCTTTTCTTGTTAGGAAGGAACAATCTTGCAGGGGATGTGAGAGATTTTCTCTTTCTCCTTTCCTCTGCCTATGGAAAATCAAACAGGAGAAAGCTAGAAATATGAGACAGAGAGAAGTAATTTCTCCAACTATTGACACTGGCCAAACAAGATAAATAGTTCATATTCTGATGATGATGACAACAGTTATGATGAGAAGATATTGACCCAGAGGAAGAAAACAAAGGCTTTTGATTTCAAGTTGTGTGTAAGCCCCAAAGAATTGTTGTCAGAGTCACTTTTATGATCTATGGGACTTTTGGCTACAATTATAAGAATTTAGCGTGAGTGAAATAAATATAATTGGTCAGAAAAATCAGTATTAGATTAAGACACGATTGAAAATGGTTAACCATTAGTAAGAAGTATACCAAATTACACGTATTTTTGTGCTTCTTTCAGTCTTGATCTAATTATCTGTTAAAAAGTAACATAGTTAAGAACTGTATTCTGGTTTAAATATAACACAAAGCAAAATATTTTATTGTGCTCTCTTAGGCATATGTTTGAGATACCTGGCCACTGGAGGTCATCTCGTCTACTATATTCACCGCAGATAAAGAATGAAAAGAGAATACACAACCTTGTGATTGCTAGCAGTGAAAGCTCAGAGTTATGACATAACAGTAAGTGTTATATTCTACATAACCTTAGGTTTAACAGAGGTAGTTACTAGATACTTAAAGAACATGCTTTTATTTTGCACAAGAGAAAATGGAATTAAAAATGGGAAAAGAATAGAGTCATGACTCCCAAACTGTGTCCTAGGCACCCAAGACTTTGCAGCAAACTTAGAGGGGGGCTGTGGCATAGTTTAAATATCAAGGAAGTATAGTGGCACTTGACATCTGTTGGATATCAACTGAACTATTAGCTCAAGGTAGTTCATTGTTCCAACATTAGATTGCGCTACATTTCTTCCAAAAATGTCCTGTCTTTGGGAAGCTGAGTTTTCAGCAGTTGTTGTAAAATGCAAGTACCCAGAGAAAATCAGTGTGGAATAGGAGGTGAAGGTGCTTGTGTCCACATGGGTTCCAAGATTTGGGAAGATATTTGGTGCCCAATTGGCATACACATCCCTTTTTCTTTTTTTTGGATGGAGTCTCACTCTGTTGCCAGGTTGGAGTAGAGTGGCGCGATCTCAGCTCACTGCAACCTCCACCTCCTGGGTTCAAGCAATTCTCCTGCCTCAGCCTCCCAAGTAGCTGGGACTACGGGTGCACGCCACCATGCCCAGCTAATTTTTGTATTTTTAGTAGAGACGGGGTTTCACTATGTTGGCCAGGATGGTCTCAATCTCTTGACCTTGGGCACACACATCCTTTTAAAAGTAACTGAGTATTTAAGAATGAAATAAATTTTTTTCTTTCGATTTATGTGTATAATTTTTTTCAAACAACTAAGTTGTTGGGACTTAACTACTGGATAAATGGAATTTTGGGTAGGTATTTCTTTTTGCCTAGGGACTCTGTGAAAAAATTACAGGGATACAAAATGCTGTGACATGAGACAGTTTGGGAACTCTGAATTAGAGCAATACAAAGGTAGATTTTAATGGTTCAGGCTCATTGGTCAGAATTAGAAAGTGGTTAGATCCTCCTCTCCCCACACCAGCCAGGACACTGCTCCCAGGATTTTTCCCTGTTCCCATATGAAATAAGCAATCTTAGTCTAAATTTTTAAATTAATACAACCATTTGGTAGACTATTAAAAGTTATATGACACAAAGCTTCTCAAAATATCTCCAATGCAGGACTTTTTTTTTTCTTTTTAATTTTTTAATCTGTCATGGACTACATGATGGTTAATTTTATGCACCAACTTATCTGGACTACAGTGCCCAGATATTTGGTCAAATGTTATTCTGGATATTTCTGTGAAGGTGGTTTTTGGATGAGATTCATGTTTAAATCAGTAGACTTTGAGTAAAGCTGATTATGATTCATAATGTGGATGGGCCTCATCTAATCAGTTGAAGGCCTTAAGAGAACAGAGACTGACCTCCTCTGAGCAAGAAGGAATTCTATCAGTAGTCTGCCTTTGAACTCTGCATCTCTTCCCTGAATCTCCAGCCTGCTGGTCTACCCCATCCGATTTCTTTGGATTTTGGTTCCACAATTACATGAGCCAATTCCTTAAAATAAATCCCTATCTATACATATACACACACACACATATCCTGTTGGCTCTGTTTCTCTGGAGAATCCTAATACAGACTGATGCTTTAAAAAAATGTGATAAAAATGAACTTCTAGGAAAAGAATCATATGCTTAAATATTTCAGAAATGTCAAATTGTTATAAAGTTTCTAAATGCTTGCTTCCATTTTCTATATTTAGCTTTAGCTTGTCTATGATTGGTAATAAAAGGTTTGTGGAACACACTTTAAGTAGCACTGATCTCATAAAAATGGAAATATATGCATATACCTATCTATATTTATATCTATGTACATACATTTATTTACTTTTAACTTGAAACTAATTTTAAATTGATAGAAAAGTTGCAAAACTAGTACAGAGTATTCCCATATATTGCCTTCCTCAAGTTCCCCAGTTTTAATATCTGTATAACTATAGTATAATTTTCAAAACTAAGAAACTTAACGTTAGTATAATACTATTAACTAAACTAAAATCCTGTATTAATCTGTTCTCACATTGCTATAAAGAACTACCTGAGACTAGGTATAAAGGAAAGAGGTTTAATTGATTCACAGTTCTGCATGCTATATAGGAAGCATGGCTGGGGAGGCCTCAGGAAACTTAACAATCATGTCAGAAGGTGAAGGGGAAGCAGGCACATCTTACATGGCTGGAGAAGGGGGGGAAGAAAGAGTGGAGGGGGAGGTGCTACACACTTTTAAACAAACAGATCTTGTGAGAACTCACTCACTATTATGAGAATGGCAAGGGGGAAGTCTGTCCCCATGATCTAATCACCCTCCCACAAGACCCCTCCTCCAACATCGGGAATTACAATTTGACATGAGATTTGGGTGAGGACTCAAATCCAAACCATATCATTCCACCCCTGTCAATCCCAAATCTCATGTCTTTCTCAGATTTCAAAACACAATCATCCCTTCTCAACAGTCCCCCCTAAATCTTAACTCATTTCAGCATTAAGTCAAAAGTCCACAGCCCAAAGTCTCATCTGAGGCAAGGCAAGTCCCTTTTGCCCATGAGCCTGTAAAATTAAAAAGAAAAAGTTAGTTACTTCCAAGATACAATGGGAGTATAGGCATTGGGTAAATACACCCACTCTAAAAGTAGAACTCAGCCGGAACAAAGGGGCTACAGGTCCCATGCAAGTCCAAAACCCAGCAGGGCAGTTATTAAAGCTCCAAAATGATCTCTTTTGACTCCATGTCTCATATCTAGGCCACATTGATGCAAGGGGTGAGCTTCCAAGGCCTTGGGCAGCTCTGCCTCTGAGGCTCTGCAGGATACAGCCCCTTTGTCTGACTTCCTGGGCTGGCATTGAGTGCCTGTGGGTTTTCCAGGCACATGGTGCAAGCTGTTGGTAGATCTACCATTCTGGGATCTGGAGGACAGTTACCCTCTTTTCACAGTTCCAGTAGGCAGTGCCCCAGTGGGGACTCTGTGTTGGGGCTCCAACCCTACATTTCCCTCCTGAACTGCTCTAGTAGAGATTCTTCATGAGGGCTCTGCCCCTGTGACATACTTTTGCCTGGACATCCAGGTCTTTCCGTGCATCCTCTGAAATCTAGGCAGAGGCTTCCGAGCCTCAACTCTTACCCTCTCTGCACCTGCAGGCTTAATACCACATGGAAGCTGCCTAGGCTTATGGCTTGTACCCTCTGGAGCAGTGGCCTGAGACATATCTTGGGCCCTTTTAGCCATGGCTAGAGCTGGAGTGGCTGAGACACATGGAGCAGTGTCCTGAGATTGCTCAGGGTTTGAGCAACTTTGTTCAACCAAGGTTACTCAAACTTTTCTGGGCCAGGTCCAGAAAACCATTCTTCCCTCCTAGACCTCTGGGCCTGTTATGGGAGGGGCTGCCACAAAGGTCTCTGAAATGCCTTCTAGGCATTTTTCCCATTGTTTTGGCTGTTAACATTCGGCTCCTTTTTACTTATGCAAGTTTCTGCAGCTGGCTTGAATTCCTACATAGAAAAATGGGTTTTTCTTTTCTACCACATGGCTGGGCTGCAAATTTTCCAAACTTTTATGCTCTGCTTCCCTTTGAAATATAAATTCCACCAACCTCTTTGCTAATGTGTAACAAAAGTGACCTTTGCTCCATTTCCCAGTAAGTTCCTCATCTGCATCTGAAACCACCTCAGCCTGGACTTTATTGTTCATATCGCTATCAACGTTTCAGTCACAACAATTCAACAAGTCTCTAGGAAGTTCCAAACTTTCCCTGATCTTCTGGTCTTCGTCTGAGCCCTCCAAACTGTTTCAACCTCTGCCCATTACCCAGTTCCAAAGTCACTTCCACATTTTCAGGTATCTTTATAACAATATCCCACTCTTTTTCTGTATTAGTCCATTCTTGCATTGCTATAAAGAACTACCTGAGTCTGGGTAAAGAAGCTTAATTGACTCACAGTTCTGCAGGCTGTACAGGAAGCATCGCTGTGGAGGCCTTGAGAAACTTTTAATCATGGCAGAAGGTGAAGGGGAAGCAGGCACATCTTACATGGCTGGAGAAGGGGGAAGACAGAGCAAAGTGGGGGTGCTACGTACTTTTAAACAACCAGATCTTGTGAGCACTCATTCACTATCATGAGAACAGCAAGGGGGAGGTCTGTCTCCATTGATCCAGTTACCTGCCACCAAGCCCCTCCTCCAACACTGGGGATTACAATCCAATGTGAGATTTGGGTGAGGACACAAATCCAAATCATATCAGACCCTATTCAGATTTCACCAGATATATCTTAAATAGTGAAGTCACAGCTCTAGGATGTGCAAATTTGGTAGGCACTGGGCTAGAAAATTGTTGCAGAATGAGTTGAACCACTGCTTTGTTTTATTTGTAGATAAGCTAGCTGAAAACTAGAAATGTTTGTCAGTGATTGTGAACTGTTCTATAGAAGAAAATAAAAATCATCAACCTCAATTAAAAACATCTCACACATATTGATTGAGCCAATACCATAGCTACTAAGCATGCCTTTTATTACTGCCAGAAATAACAAATTCTTTTGTATCTGGACACATTACTCCCTTAATGACAGACCGTATAGAAAAGTGATGCTTGGACATGTATCTGAAATGTCATGCATTTTTGGCCAAGCCACTCTTTCTCATCTCTTCTGTGCAGTTTGAGCTTCCACAGGTTGAACCCAGCTCTGGCTTTTTGGGCCCTTTCTGTAGTGACTATGCAGATTTCTATCATGGTACCTGTAACACTTTGTTGCTATAACTGGTGTGGATGCCTGCTAAACTATGAGGAACTCGTGGGCCTGGCTCTGTCTTAGTTGCCCTGGTATTTCAGTGCCTGGCATAATGCCTTAGGCATAGCAGGCAGGAACACATGCTCAATGAAGAAATGAATGAATAAATTTAACATATGATAAGTTCACATTTTTTTTTCCTACTTGATCTCATTGGGAAAAGAGCCTATAACTTTAAATTATTCCAGTGAATAAGACAATGTTGGGTGTGTATTAAAGAGGAAAATCTTTCAAGGGCTTTGTGTTTGAGAAACAGACTTTGAATGCCAGTTGTGACTTAACAGCTGAATGAAGACTATCACTTTTACAAATAGCATACATGTATGGGTGCTGACTCACTTTATTCAGTAGACACAATGTACTCCTTAGGTAATTTGATCCATCTCAGTAAAATCTGCCTTCTACCCAGACTGAATGGTTGTGGTTCGTTATCATTATTATTCAGCATTGCTACAGTTTGTGTTTTCAAAGTACTGTGTTCCCCATTTTTAATGAGCTAGGCAGATGATAGGTAATGAAAGGGGTTTTAGCTAGTCTCACATGTAGCTGGTGTTCAATCAATTTTTGATGACTGCTTAATCACTGAGGTTAATTGGGGACGGGCTGGTGTAAACTCATGGGAAGAAAGGCTCTCCAACTTTTCCATGGACGGAGGAGGTGTGGGAGTGGAGAGAGGAGAAGCTGGGAAAGACTATGAAGATGGAAGAGGGAAGGAAGTAGGAATTCCTTCTGATAGGAGTGGAGCAGGCTTCTGAGTCTCTGACCCACTTCAGCAAACCTCAGGGCCCTCTGGGGCACATCATGTTCATTTGCCCTGTGAAGGAGTAGATTCTTTGGGGTTGGAGCTACTACTTCTTAAGAACAAGTTGTTTAGGGACTACTTTTATAAGTTTTGTGGTCATGTTTTAGCATTCTACTAATGCTTTTCATATCACTGATTCTAAAGCTGAAAAAAAAAAAAAAAACCATGCCAAAACAAATTTATAGGAATTCAGGATATCAAAGCTGAATAATGATTTATTCTCATAGGAGGTATTGCAATTAGGGACAAGAAAACTGTTGATCCTAAGGGTCCCTAGTGGCAGGACAGACTGAATATACAGTTGAGACATGGAGAGAGGGATAATTTAACTTCTCTTCCTTGGAAAATCCATCTCCTCCTTGAAGCCCTGCTCAGTGTCTTGCTCTGGCCCTGTCAACTGAGAGATGAGAAATGTTTTGAGTTTGGGGACTGGGAGTGAGTGTTGTCGGCTTAAAAAAGAATAACGTATTAGATTTGTGTTAAGTGCTCCGTAAACCCTTCCTACCCCCTTTAAAAAATGGTCAGATGATATTTGTATATTTTGGTATTATTGGGCAATGACCACAAATATTTGTCTGGAACACAACTTGGAGAGAAGAAAAGTTGCGAAGACAAAAATATAAGCCCTTGCCAGCCATTGGGTTGGCTGGGGAAGTGTGGAAAAGCTCAGGGAAATGTCCTGCCATACACTCTAATTCCTACGTCATCATGGGCCTGGCAGGCCCAGCTAGCCTGGGGCCATACATGAAGGCCAGTGGAGAGGTAAATTCAGCAGGCTGGAGCTCCCAGCAAAGCAGCAAAGCTGATTTGTCTCATCCTAGGTAGAAGCTTAAATCCAGTTGCCATAGAGTATTTTGAGGATTAAATGAGCTAATGTCTGCAAAAGCAACCTACACAGAGCCTGGCACCCAGAAGATACTCAAACAAAGTAGATTTTCTTCCTTGCTGTGACTTCACAAGGGATTGTGGGTGTCTCAGGACACTGTGTCTCAGTTAATGGCTTTATGCCATGTG
Source organism: Homo sapiens (assembly GCF_000001405.40). Taxonomy (NCBI): domain Eukaryota; kingdom Metazoa; phylum Chordata; class Mammalia; order Primates; family Hominidae; genus Homo; species Homo sapiens. Next base: position 39,525,330 of record NC_000002.12, read on the forward strand.
GGCATTCTACCTTTTTGAAGACACTGGAAACTTGGACCGAAACCAACTCCAAATTCTTCATTCTGGGTGAGATGAGCCCCAGCTAGAGATGCAGCTCAGTTTCCTCATTTGCAAAATAGAATGGTGTGGGGAAGTTATTTTGTGTCCTTGAATAAGGAAACATGGTTCATATCATTTCCTCAGAGAGTGGCTGGTCTGGATTTCAACTCAGAAGAGGTCTGTGGGAAATCACATGGGGCTGCTGCAATTTCTATTTTGGGCAGAGACCTTATCTCTGAGATATCCGAGCTGGGATTTCTTTAGTGATACCTTACCAACTTCTCACAAATACTTCACTCGGAACCCTAAACCTGGGGAGCACCACGGAGTCTTTGACCCCAACTGCTTCACTCTCCATCAGTATTTGCATAATGTCAACACAGTTCTCACCATTTGTGACCACCTTTTGACCAGGCAATTCTACCTGCCTCATGTCCCTAGCCAAAAGGCTAGTCCCCTTTGTCATCTATTCTTTTTCAGTTCCTTGCCCATGTACTGCACTCTCACTCTCTCATTATGTTTTCATGTTTAATCTCTGCTCCTCAACTGGATTCTGTTTGCCAGATTTAAAGTGTACACAAGGCTCCCACTGGCGGGTGGGGTGGGGGAGTGGAGATAACTCTACCCCAAGCATACCTTCCCCTCAAGCTTTCATATTCTCTTCTCCCCTTTACAGAGACTTCTAGAGAGAACATCTATACTTGTTGACTCTTTTTACTTCCTGCTCACTCCTTAGGTCACTGCCAGGCTGGCTCCTACCTCATGAGCTCGACAAACAGCTTGTGCCAGGGTCACTCACCTTCCTTCACATCTCAGCAGTGGTCAACACTGTTGACTGTCCCTCCTCCTCGAAACACTGTATTTTTTTGTCTTCAGTGACGCAAGGCTCTTTTGTTTACCTTCATCTTCTCTGACTGCTCATTTTCTATCTCTTTTGCAGTCTTATCCTATGCTCCCCGGGTCAATACATATTAAAATACTCAAGGCCCAGTCCTAGATAGTCTTGTCTTTTTTTGTTTGTTTGTTTTGATATGGAGTCTGGCTCTGTCACCCAGGCTGGAGTGCAGGCTCACTGCAATCTCTGCCTCCTGGGTTCAAGCGATTCTCCTGCCTCATCCTCCTGAGTAGCTGGGATTACAGGTGCATGCCACCACGCCTGGCTAATTTTTATATTTTTAGTAGAGATGGGGTTTCACCATGTTGGCTAGGCTGTTCTCAAACTCCTGACCTCAAGTGATCTGCCCACCTCAGCCTCCCAAAGTGCTGGGATTATAGGTGTGAGCCACTGCACTTGGCCGTCTTCTTTTCTTATTCTATACTTCGTTCATGGCAAAAATGTTTCTCCAGCCCAGGTCTCTTCTTTGAGCTTTAGATCCATGTATCCAATTTCCTACCTAATACTTTCATCTGGAAGTTTCACATGCATCTAAAACACAACATAGCCAAAACCAAACTCTTGATTAATCCAAAACCTTTTGCTGTTCCCTATGTCACCCGCATTGTTAAGCAGGCCAGAACTTGGAGTCACCATGACCTTTCCCTCTGCCTTACCCTTCACATTCAATTTTGCTTCCTAAACCTCTTTGAATCTGTACTTTTTTCCCTACTTCCACTCCCACTATCCTAGTCTAAGCTACCTTCACCTCTTCCTGGATAACCTTAAAAGCCTCTTTATTGGTCTATCTGCCACTGTTTTGACCTCCACCTCCCACAATGTATGCTGAGTGAGTTCTTCATCTGATTTTCATGTCTTCCCTGAGATGTTTAAAATGTTTGCATGCCCTCCCATGATTTTAGGATGCAACATTCCTTAACATGACCATAGGCCCTGTACCTAGCCAGCTTTAGATCAAACCATGCTCTGCTTTGCTCTCTTTACTCCAACCACTGTGGCCTTCTTTCACTTCTTTTTTTTTTTTTTTTGAGATGGAGTCTCGCTCTGTCACCCAGGCTGGAGTGCAGTGGTGCGATCTCTGCTCACTGCAAGCTCCGCCTCCCGGGTTCACGCCATTCTCCCGCCTCAGCCTCTGCAGTAACTGGGACTACAGGCGCCTGCCACCACGCCCAGCTAATTTTTTGTATTTTTAGTAGAGACAGGGTTTCACTGTGTTAACCAGGATGGTCTCAATCTCCTGACCTTGTGATCCACCTGCCTCAGCCTCCCAAAGTGCTGGGATTACAGGCGTGAGCCACCGCGCTCGGCCTCTTTCAGTTCTTTTTACCTGCCACGCTTCCTCTCACCAACTGCTCTTTGTCCAGAATGCACTTACTTCTGTAAGTTTCACCCTTTCTTCAAATCTCAGCTCAGTTATGGCTTCCTCAGGGCTGTCTTTCTTGACCTCTCTGACCAGGGCAACTCTCTACCATATGGCCCTGGGTACTTCTCCTTCAGGTGCTGATCACAACTGTCATTTTATGTTTCTTGGTGTCATTTTTTGGTTGAAATATATTTCCCACTGAATATGACTCCATTAGGGCAGGAACTGTGCCTGGTTTCCGGGGCTTAGAACCAGTACAGTGCCTAGTGCATAGTAAGTGCTCAGTAAATGCATTTGTTGAATGAATGAACAAATAAATACATCAATAAGTACAGACGTTTGTTTTCTGTATTCCTTTGGCTCCTTCTTCTTCTTCTTCACCCTACCCTTTGTCCAGGCCTTGGGACTTCAAATCATGGATTTTTTTTTTTTTCTTGAGTCAGAGTCTTTCTCTATCGCCCAGGCTGGAGTGCAGTGGTGCGATCTCAGCTCACTGCGACCTCCGCCTCCCAGGTTCAAGCGATTCTCCTGCCTCAGCCTCCCGAGTAGCTGGGACTACAGGCACCCGCCACCATGCCCGGCTAATTTTTTGTATTTTTAGTAGAGATGGGGTTTCACCATGTTAGCCAGGATGGTCTTGATCTCCTGACCTCGTAATCTGCCCGCCTTAGCCTCCCAAAGTGCTGGGATTACAGGCGTGAGCCACCGCACCTGGCCAAATCATGGATTTGGTTTATATGTCCAGTGCCACCACTGGGCCTGCTTCCTATTCTGGGTAATGAAATGTATGAGATGCTGAGTAGCTTTTGGACACTTCCTTTGTAATATATTTTGCTCTCCTGCAATAATTTTGTTATTATCAGGGTTCTATTCAGGAGTACAGGCTTAGGTAATAAGACAGTGCCACCTGAGGAAGGGTGCTCCTTGACTTAGAACAATAAGATAATGAAATTGGAGGTAACTTTTGGTAATCATTTAGTCTAGTTTCTCAAGCAAGGCAGAGATTCTTTATGTACCACTTCTGACAGATGATAATAATGTTTATTGAGCATAGTCCAGTTATTGTCTTAAGGATATTGATACAGATGAATCCTTTTAATCCTTAGCGACCATATGGACAAATACAGTTACTATCATGCCCTTTTTATAGCTGACGAAATAGTGGAATGCCTCATCTAAGACCATGCCTCGTCTAAGTCAGTAGCATAGCCAAGGTGCAAGCCCAGGCAGTTTGGCAGAGCCAGAGATTTTCACTGCTATGCTATGCTATGCTGTGCTGTGCTGTGCTGTGCTGTGCTGTGCTGTGCTGTGCTGTGCTGTGCTGTGCTATGCTATGCTATGCTATGCTATGCTATGCTATGCTATGATATGCCACTTCTGTAGTTAGCCAACGGTTATGTAAACACTTCCAGGGATGGGAACCCACTCGATGGTGAGCTGAGTACTTAGGCTAAAATTGTCTCCTATAACTTCAAGCCGTTTTCCCTAGTTTCAGCCTCTAAAACTATATGAAATAGCCTGCTCCAATGTCCATAGGACAGTTATTAAAATAGGACAGTTATTAAAATACTTTCAAATTCTAAGAGTAGTTTTTCTGTTCATAAAAATAACATATGTGAAAATTTGGAAAATCCAGAAAAGTATAAAGAAGATAAGAACCCTTGATAAACTGGGAGAAAATAAGTATTAACTGCCAAGAGTCTATTAGCTTTTTGTTATAATTTTTAACATTCATATTTCATTAATGGCCCATATAAAATCTGTGGCCTACCAAAACACCTAGTTCTCTGTCAGATGACCTTCCATCAAGCCAGATTTTGTCTCTATATAAAATTCTCTCTCTCTGTCTTTTTGTTTGAGACAGAGTCTTACAGGCTGAGTGGTCTTTAAATCATGGATTTGGTTTATACATCCTGATACAAAGACAGAGTCTTATAGACAGGGTCTTACAGTCTTACAGGCTGGAGTGCAGTGGTGCAATCTTGGCTCACTGCAACCTTCATCCCCCAGGTTCATGCAATTCTCCTGCCTCCTGAGTAACTGGGACTACAGGCGTGCACCACTATGCCTGGCTAATTTTTGTATTTTTAATAGAGATGGGGTTTTGCAATGTTGGCCAGGCTGGTCTCGAACTCTTTGCCTCAAGTGATCTGCCTTCCTCGGCCTCCCAAAGTGCTGGATTTACAGGTGTGCACCACTGTGACCAACCATAAAATTCTTAATGTAAAATTTTACACTTATCCCTTTTAAATTATATTTATTTGTTTGTTTTGATTCTTCTGTCTTACTGAAAACTTTTCTAATCCAGATTCTGCTTTCTAATGTTAGCCTTCCAGCTTCCAAGATACTATGTGATCTTGATAACAGGGCTTTTCAAACCTTTCCCCCAGGCATTGCTAAAATGCTAAGCCCTGTGACACATACTAGGAACCTCCCTGTAGGTTCACATGGGTCTATTCGTCAGCCATTAATTTGGCCACTGAAGAAAATACAAATCTGTATAACTGCATTTTCACTGAGCACATATATATTTTTTTCACCTTTTCTATGATGATTTCATGACTTAATGAAATATGTCACCAAAATTGGGTATGTTTCATCTATGGAATTTCTCAACTTTACTGGTATAGTAAGTCTTTTTAAAAATAGGATATCGTTTTCTTAGTTAGCTTACACTAACTCTGAATAATCACTTCTTAATTTCTAAGTGTTCACAAATCATTATCTAAATATTAATACTTCATTCTAGAACTTTCCTGGAAATCATACCAATCTGTTACTTCAACTCTTCACTGCAGTTGAAATAGCTATGTGCAGACATACTGGCCCTGACTCACATTTAATGGGGCTGAAGAAATGATCCCGTGGGTATTCTTTCTCCTTCAGGAGATCAGCTTCCTGTCAACATACAGGAAACTGAAAAGCTGCAGTCTAATAATATAGCCACTGACAGGAAGATTGTTGTTTAGATTGCCTTTCCAGATTTCTCAATTGAATAATGCTGGTGAAGGATGACTGCTTATTTTATTTATGACTTTGGATCAACTACAAGGATATCTGACTTTACATAGTAGATGTGCTGCTTCAATGATGCATATAAACCACTTTTTTTGTAAGTCAAATTCCACCTAAAATGTACTAATCTGGGAGTTTACTTTTAAGGCCATCTTGTGGTGAGACATTTTATAAAGTGAAGAATTCTTTACTGATTTATCTGTTTGCTTGGATTTTAAAGATCAGGGTTGCTTAAAGCAAGGTGAAATTATACTATTTCTTTATTTTTAGAAAAAGTAGGCTAGCATTATCTTTTGTGAATGTCACCTTGAGCAAACAGGACTGGGAAGATCTTGGCCAGGCAGCCTGCAAATGAGTAAAAACCAGAGCCTCCACGCTAAGCCACATTCTCACCTCGCAATTCTCTGATGCACTCCTGCCGATGAAGGACTGCTTCCGTGATTGATATTTTTTCATTTTTCAATATCCTCAATCAATAGCTGAAAAAGAATTCTATTTACTCATCTTCTCTGAGAGTCCTCCTCTCACTCAGCTGTCAGAGGCAGGGCAGGTGGCTCCCTGGTGAGGCTTCAGTTATACTTTATGTGTTCTTCCCTTCCTTGGATTGGAGCTGTGTGAAGGCCAGAACCTCAGCTTGTTCACCTCTGTATCTCCATTAAACTAGCCCGAGCCTTCTGTGAAATGGGTTCTCACTACACATTCATAGACTCAATGCTGACTCCCAAACTTGAGCTGGAACCAACTGCAGGTGATATGATGGGCTCACTCCATCTCCACCAAGGGGACTGCAACAGTGTGGAGTGTGTGTGTCTTAGTCTGTTGGTGCTGCTATAACAAAATACCATAGACTGGATGGCTTATAAACAACTGAAACTTATCTGTCACAGTTCTGGAGGCTGGGAAGTCCAAGCCCTTCCTTGGTGCCAGGAGAGTCGGTGTCTGGTGAGGGTTCACCTTTGGTTCATAGATGGCGCTTTTTCACTGTGTCCTCACATGGTGGAAGGGGGATGGCAGCTCTCTCAGGCCTCTTTTCTTTTTTTTTTTGCTTTTTTGAGACGGAGTCTCACTCTGTCACCAGGCTGGAGTGCAGTGGCGCCATCTCAGCTCACTGCAACCTCCGCCTCCCGGGTTCAAGCGATTCTCCTGCCTCAGCCTCCCGAGTAGCTGGGATTATAGGTGCCCACCACCACGCCCAACTAATTTTTTTGTATTTTTAGTAGAGACAGGGTTTCACCATGTTGGCCAGGATGGTCTCGATCTCTTGACCTCTTGATCTGCCCGCCTGAGCCTCCCAGAATGTTGGGATTGTAGGTGTGAGCCACCGCGCCCAGCCTCAGGCCTCATTTCTAAGAAGACTACTCCCATTCATAAAGGCTGCCCTCATGATCTAATTATCATGAAAATGCCTCACCTCCAAATACTATCACATTGGTGATTACATCTTAACATATGAATTTTCGGAGGACACAAACATTCAGATCATAGCAGATTGGTTTTCTGGTTCCTAAGATTCCCCTCCCCCCAGAACTTCCACAACATTCTTTGACTCTGAGGCTCACTGGCCCTTAACGAAGATTTCCTTTGAGCTATTTGTGTGTATGTGTGTGTGTGTGCTGTATATTTTATTTATATACATAAATAGCCTGCCTAAGTTTCATGTTTAATAAGTCTCCAGGTGAGGTACTGAATCTTAACTCTAACTTCAATCCCTCACCCTAATCCTAACCCCTAACTCTAATCCTGACCCTGATCCTAACCCTAGCTCTGAAATCCCAGAGTCTGGGAAAGTTTCCCTATTCATATTCAAACTTTAATAAGTGTCTGCTTTTCATTATGAATATTACCATGATCCTGACGTAATTAAGATAACCAGAAACTAATAATTAAGATAACCAGAAACTAAGGCAGACACATATTTTGTGTATGTTGTGTTGTTCAGTGAGAATTATACTGTTTAGAATGAGTAGCCTTTGGCAATGAAAGAGTCAGAATATTAAAATACTTTCAGTATAAATTTCAGTGTTTAGTACGCAACTGAGTGTCTTAAGGCAATGACAATCTATAAAGAGGAGTTCAGCTAACCTTATCAATTAATTGGAGTAGTCAATTGATCAACACTAACACCACACCATTTGCAAATAAAGTGTGTTTACTTTAAGGCTTGTTCTCTTCCTAAAGGTTTCCAGACTCTCATGATCCTGATTTCATAGGATAATTTTATGGACAGCTTAAAAACCAAATAAATGAATCTTTAGTATAATCACAATCACTTAAAACTCCCCTCTGCATAATACCCCAGCTACATAATTTGATGGGCTTAGTGCAAAAGGAAAATGTGGTGCCGTCATTATAAAGAATTCAAGATGGTGACAGCAGATATTAAACCAAGTGTGGGGCCCTTCTAACAATGGGATCTTCTGAGCACAGTTTGCACATCCATGACCTTGGCCCTGCTTAATTACAGGTGAGGGAGCCGAGGTCCAGGAAGGCACAACAAATTGCCGCCATCGCACAGCTGATGAGTCCTATAGACACAGCTGAAAACCTGGTTCCTGGACCCCTGGCCCACTGCTCTCTCCTGTCTCAGACTTTTCCCACCATCTGGAGTCACCATGGGGAGACAGTGGGGGTACATCCCCAGTGCTGTGAGCTGGACATTCTATCCTTAATACATTTCTTTAGCTGTTTCAACCCTCAGCCTGATTTCTTTCCTAAACCCACACCTGAGCTTGTTTGCATGCAGCTTCTTCTCATTGTCAGCCTGTTCTCTTCCACTGGTTTTCTTGGAGACTCTGGGGAGAGGATTTGCAAGGTGCTGGTGGAAAGAGCTAATTAGGGACATTATGCAGATTGGATTCCTCTCCTTGGCTCTCAGTAGCAATATATTTTTTCACACTGAGTTTCTCCTCTCTTCCCATATCCCAACATACACTAATCCCTAAGGGCAAGCCTAAATGTCTCTGGTAAAACAGCCTAGAGACAGGCTTCTGAATAGGTTGAATATTATTAAAGAAATTGCATTTTGAGAATTTCTCAAATAAAAAATTCATTACTTTAATCCCTGGGAAATCAGTTTCCCAATCTCCTGCACCACCTTAATTCATCCCCATCTTGAATTAACCATGTCTGTTGTGTGCCAGAATTCCGTGGACTTGAGAATTTGATAAAGAATTCTATTTCCTTCCTTCTCCCTAAAGGCTTGAGGAATTTAGACCCTTTTATTGTGCTAGAGTCCCCAAAGCAGAGACATTGCATTAACTTCAGAATGTGGCAGAGACTGTCCCTTTGAGTAGAAAATGTTGCTGCTGTGAGCTTGCTGTCTATGCTGGCCCAGCCTCATATCTAGCCTACAGGCTGGATTTTGAGCTTATTAATAAAATTCGAGGAGGGCCAGAGAAACCCTTGATTCAATGAAAATAAGAGTAGTGAGTTTTAAAACAAAAAACGGGGAAAAATGGAAAGAAATTCACATAGTCCCCCACAGCAAATGAAGAAACAATGTCAGATAGATTTGAACAGAATCTTATAAAGTCATTTACAGTCCTTCTCCTTCCCCCTCAAACTTTTAGAATGGACTCAAAGCCCAAGCCCAAGCCCAAGTCATCGACACAATATTGGTTTCATACTGTCAACAGGCAACATTCCTGAGAGTTCTTTGTTCTGACAGTAAGCACTCTGGAGACACACCCAGCAAATGAAAGCCACAGTAGAGGGTAGATGAAATAAAGATACAAAGGCATAGATAGACTTCAATAATGATATAAAACAAGCTGCTTAGGACCAAATGCAAAATACAGATGCACTTGCTATGGCAAAGAGGAGCCGAATGACAGGATCATGTCAGTTAACCAAGGAGGGCTTCCTGCGAGAGGCATTGTTCTAAACACAGTTTTGAAGGTAATCTGAGAGAAGGGACCTGCCTAGGGAAAAAGAAGGAGGGCAATCCCTCTGGGATTATCTGTTCAACAAACTCTGCTTTTTCTCTTAATGATTCTGTTTCATCTGTCACACATATTTTTGCTGTGGTCTAAATAATTCAGACCACTCTGTCTGCGTAGATGTGATCTCTCAAGAATCCTTGTTTGGCTGTGCAGGTGTTTATAGTTTCACTAAAAAGTGTCTCATTTTTTTAAACATAGAGTGTGAATGTATAATGTGCAGATTTAATTCTGGGTAAAAATGCCAAGATGTGGACTACGCTGCCTCCTTCTAGTAATTACTCATTTCTGACAAAAAAGTAGGAGGCTTAATTTACCTCTAGGGCAATTTAAAAACACTATTGCCAGTTAATTCACTCCCAACCCCGTTTCCCAGACAGGTTTGTTTTTCCTTTCTTCTCTCAATCCTTGTTTTAAAAGTTGTATGTCTTTTCTGATTCATGGCTGTGTAGGCATTTAGTCAAAGTTAGTCTGGATAAAGTTAACACTTTCCTCTAAAGACAAATATGTTTTGTCTTTCTGGGAATATGATACTTAGAGAAGAGCTGTAGATTACATTCTATAAATGTGGACAAATTACATATGCATTCTATGCATGTCTCTATCAGTACCTTCCCCACGGGTAAGCGAAAAACTTTCTGTATCTATTAAAGCAGGAATTTAGATCCCATTCATGGGATTATAAATCGTTAATCTTCATGGATCCGATGGACAAAATGGTGGGTGGGGGAACCTCTTGTTGCTTCATAGAACCGGATGGCTCCACATCATTTTACTAAGAGGACTTAAAAGTTAGTTTCAAACAGCTGTCAGAATGATTCCCCCCTTTCTTAAGGCACTCATTAGAAAATAAAACCAGATATAATTAACAAACAAACAAACCTATCTGCCTGCTGTTCTAACTTGTTATAATAAGTGTTATTTCTACTTACAAACACTATCCTGTCAGCATCATGCTGTTTCTTTAATAAGACTTCTGCACTGGGGGGAAAAAAGGTTTGCATTAAACTTAAGTCTTGACTTGTCTCTATTCTATTCTTGCTCATCTGCATTCAGATCCAATTTGCTTCGAGGTTGAAAGGAACTAAAGTGTCTAAACCATCTCCAAGAGAGAGAGGAGGGACCTTTCTGCTCTTACAGTTGGATGAAGGATGGGGCTGCCCTGAGGCTTGCACAGACACCCTTATTTCCTTGCTGTTGGGCCTAGATGACCCCTGTAGCCAGCAGAGTAGGCAAAAACCCCTTCTGCTTCCTGGCGTTAATTTTCCAGGTGAATGACGATGTTTTCATATGCTTGATAAGTTCCAGAGGCTCATGTGAGTGGACAGATCTAGAGAGGACTTCGGCTCCAGAGCTCATCTGTGGTTTGGTAAGAGTGGCAAACTGAATGACAATAATTGGAGAGTTGCTGAGGTGGCAAATACAGCAGCAAAGATAATGCTATGTGATCGAAATGTTAGGGGCTTATGGTTTTTCTTCTTTGGATTCTTAAAATTAGTTTTTTTAATTCTGGAAAACTTCAAACATATACAAAACAAGACAAAATAAAAATAATGAACTCTCCCCAGATGCGGTGCCTCACGCCTGTAATCCCAGCACTTTGGGAGGCTGAGGCAGGTGGATCACCTGAGGTCAGGAGTTCAAGACCAGCCTGGCCAACATGATGAAACCCGATCTGTACTAAAAATACAAATATTGGCCTGGCATGGTGGTGCATGCCTGTAATCCCAGCTTACTCAGGAGGCTGAGGCATGAGAATCGCTTGAACCCGGGAGGCAAAGGTAGCAGTGAGCCAAGATCGCGCCACTGCACTCCAGCCTGGGCGATAGAGCGAGACTCCATCTCAAAAACAAAACACAACCAAACTATCATGCCATCACTCATTTTCCGTAATTATTTTCTGACATCTTGTTAACCTATATCCCTACTAATTTCTCCCTCCTGTATTATTTTTGAAGCAAATTCAAGACATCATATCATTTAATCTGTAAATATTTTAGTTTGTTTTTCTAAAAATTAAACACTTCTTTTTAAAAATGTAACAATATCACAAATACGCTTAAAAGTAGTTAATAATTAATTTCTTAATATAATCAAATATACTGTATTTAAATTTTCAGTTGTCTCATAAACAAATTTTTAAAATAGTTTCATCATGATTCAAGTAAAGTCCTACAATATGACTATTTGATATGTTTATTAAGTCTTTCTTTGCCCCTTTTCAAAATAAACTGTTTATTTTGGAATAATCATAGATTTACAGAAAAGTTGCAGACACAGTACAGAGAGTTCCTGTGTACTTTTCACCCAGTCCCCCTTATATTAGCATCTTACATAATTACTGCATACTTGTCAAAACTGAGGTAATCATTGGTACATTACTATTAACTAACCTATAGGCTTTATTCAGATTTCACTAGTTTTTCCCTTGATGCCACTTTTTTTCCAATTCAGGAGACCACAATACATTTATTAATAGTCATTATGATTCCTTAGACTCCTCTGATTTGTGCATTAGTCAGTCTTGTTTTTCATGAGCTTGACAATTTTGAAGAGTTCTGGTCAGATATTTTGTAGAAAGTCTCTCAATTTGGATTTGTCTGATGTTCTCTTATGATTAGACTAAGGTTATGGGTTTTGGGGAAGAATACCACTGATTCTTCGCATAGAATAAAGTTTCCTTCTCATGGCCTTGTATCTGGGGGTACAGAGTACATATCAACATGACTTTAAGTCTCTTTAATCCACCTCTCTATCTCTATCTCTTTCTCTTTCTTTTTTCCTAGTGCAAGTTACTTTCTGAGTCACTCGGGGTTTTTTGGTTGATAAAAGAAAAACTTAGCTGGGCACAGTGGCTCTTGCCTGTAATCCTAGCACACTGGGAGGCCAAGGCAGGTGGATCCCTTAAGCCAGGAGTTTGAGACCAGCCTGGGCAACATGGCAAAACCCCATCGCTACTAAAAATACAAAAATTAACTGTGTGTGATGGCACATGCCAGTAATCCCAGCTACTCGGGACGCTGAGGCAGGAGAATTGCTTGAACCTGGGAGGCAGAGGTTGCAGTGAGCTGTAATCGCGCCACTGCACTCCAGCCTGGGCGACAGTGAGACTTCGTCTCAAAAAAAAAAAAAAAAAAAACCAAGAAAAACTTCAACCAAGTTAAATTTAAAGGAGTTTAATTGAGCAATGAACAATTCGCGAATCGGGCAGCCTCCTGAGCCAGGGTAGGCTCAGGGGCGCAGCGCAGCCACGTGGTGGAACAAGATTTATGAACAGAAAAAGGAAAGTGATGTACAGAAAATGGAAGTGAGGTATGGAAACAGCTGCATTGGTTACAGCTCGGCATTTGCCTTATTTGTACATGGTTGAACTGTTAGCTACATTGGATTGGCCAAAACTTGGTGACTGGCACAAGTGTAGGCTATGGTCTGGTTACACCTCCACTTGTTATAGTTCACAATGTACAGAAAAACCTTTAGGCTGAACTTAAAATATGTAAGCAGAGAGCTTTAGGCTGAACTTGATTTAACATGGTTTTATTTTGTTTTTAACAAATAGAGGCCATGATGACTGTTTAGGCTGAGTAATGGAGGCCTCTGCTCCAAGGGCAGGCTGCTTTTCAAACAGTTGCCATCTCAGTAATTTTTATCCATTTGCATCTCACAACATCACAAGACAGGTTTACATAAAAGTCCAGGTTACCCTGCAGGCTGCGTGGTAACCTTTGATTTTAGGTTGATACTGGAGAGAAGGTCCGAGAAGAAGCCATCCTTAACAGGAAATACATTAAAAAAATTCTTTGAAACTGGTTCCTGTGTCATTGAAAGGCTTGGGTAAGAACACACACATGGCTGGGCATGGTGGCCCATGCCTGTAATCCCAGCACTTTGGGAGGCCGAGGTCAGCAGATCACCTGAGGTCAGGAGTTCGAGGTCAGCCTGACCAACATGGCAAAACCCCGTCTCTACTAAAAATTCAAAAATTAGCCACACCTGGTGGTGGGCACCTATAATCCCAGCTACTCGGGAGGCTGAGGCAGGAGAATCACTGGAACCTGGGAGGTGGAGGCTGCAGTGAGCCGAGATTGTGCCATTGCATTCCAGTCTAGGCAACAGAGCAAGACTCTGTCTCAAAAAATAAAAAATAAATAAAAAGGACATATATCCATATCCCCTGTAGAGGTATGTATTATTGATATTAGAAAGAGAATACACTGTCTTAGTCCATTTTTGTGTTAGCTGTGACTGGGTAATTTGTTAAAAAAAAAAAAAAGAGGTTTATTTGGCTCATGATTCTGGTGGCCAAAAAGTCCAAGGTGGGGCAGCTGCATCTGGTGAGGTTCTCATGCTGCTTTGACTCATAGCAGACAATGAAAGGGGAGCAGGCATGTGCAAAGAGATCACATGGCAAGAGAGGAAGCAAGAGGGGAAAACTGAAGAAGCCAGACTCTTTTTTAACAGCCTGTCCTGGAGGAAACTAATCCATTCACACAAGAATGAGAACTCATTCACCCCTGTGGAAGGGCATTAATCTATTCATAAGGGATCCACCCCCCATGACCCACGACTCCCTCTAGGTTCCACCTCACAACATTGCCACATTGGGGATCAAACTTCACCATGAGTTTCAGCAGGGACAAAGCACATCCAAACCATAACATACACCAAGACTTCAGGAAATTCTTATAAATGGACACTGGGGATGATTAAAATCTTCTGACATTGGCTCTGACTAACCAGAGTCCTCAAGTTTTCACATGGCAGGATAATAGCACAAGCAAAGGAAGAAAAAAAAAAAACACAATTGTCTCCCTCATGACCACAGTGCTTTACTTTTTCCCGTGTGTCTTTGCCTGTATTACCTAATGTCATTGTTGAAGTACTTGCCTTAGTAGGAAGTATCACCTTTGCTCTGATAAGGAAACTGAGAAGGCTGAGAGAGGTCCTATAGCTTTGTCAGATGGCCAGTTATGGCTGGAACTGGGGTTAGGATACAGGTGTCCTTCCTTTGCATGCTGTTGTCAGGTAAGATTCAGGCAGATGCCATCCAGGATCAACCTTTGAAGGCTTTTTGATATCAAAATATCAAACATCTCAGGATGAATGATTAAAATTAGAATTTAATGGTATAGCCCCAAGCTTCTCATAGTGGACAGCTCAAATGTTGATTTGGAAGACTTGTGCTCTAAATCTGGCTTAGTGTTGCTATACCAATAGATACCTTCAATAGCAATCCTCTTTTGTTTTGACTACTGGGGTTCAGGCAGCAGCTCTGATCCTCTCAGCACATGGTCTTGGTCAGGAGGATGAATAACTGGCCATGTCTTATTACAATTTGTTCCTGGAGGTGCTCCTTGGCTTCCAGCCTCCCCAGAGCAGGGTCACACTTGGAGCCCACATAGCCCAGCATTCTGGAGCAGAATGGTACTTCTGAATCCAGCCCTTGGTAGCTCTCATCATAAATGTGGAAGCACATTTGTAATTGCAAAATATGCAAGGCAAGGGGATGGAGAGAGAAAAAAGAGTGATTCACCAAGGCTCTCCTGCAAGAAAAATCCAGCATTGAAACATACCTTGACATCTCAGATACAATGTCTACTTCTGGTAATGAAGATGCTGACACCAGAGTGCTACTGTGATGGGGTCCTCTTATTAACAGAGCCATGATTGTAATATGGGTGAAAAGCTCAGGCTAATGAGGGTGACTTTGAATATACCCTTGGTTTTACAAGAAGGATCTATTGCTCTTTCCCCTTGCTTGGTCCATGGGCAGGCAGCGGAGTTTAATGATGCTTCACACACAGTGTGCCTCCACCGTGGTAAGGCATTTCAAGGAAACTCTAGTTGGGCTTTTGCATTGTTGGACCATTAATATTTTTAATGGTGACAATAAAAGCTGGAAGAACTCAAATCTCAGCAAGGGTTTTCAAGAGGCAGTATAATAATGAGGCAAGCTGAGCCCTGGGTGGTAGGGCCTCCAGGTTCTTGCTCTGCCCCTGGCTGGCTCTATATCCTTGATCTTGCCACTTAACCCTGCTTTCTGAGTTCCAGAGGAATGTGCAGGTGAAACTCTCCTTGCCCTGCCTTGTGGGTAAGCTTTGAGAAACAACAGATTGGGAGTGTAGAAGGTGGGGGGAGTTTGAAAGAAAGAGAAAAGGGGAAAACAGGTTACATTTTGAACACAGAAATTACTTAATAATAAGCAGTGACAGAATGCCTACACAGTGGAGTTTTGTAGTCAGAGTGAAGATTTATTTGGCATTTAAAATTCGTTTTTTTCAGTGAGCACAGGCTATTTGAGGGAGTTGAGAGAAAGGAGAAAAGGGAAAGAAATTTAAAATGTCAAGAATAATCTATGTAGAGGTTTCTACCAAAAATTCTACTGATTTACAACTCTTCCTACTTACAGGAAACAGATCTTTCTATTAGGATTATTCACACCATGGCTGTTTTCTACACTGTTGAATAGCGCGAGGTTTCTTCACCCACCCCATTTCCCCAACAATTGTCTAAAGCTCAAAAAGCAAAGCCATTTAGATTGTTGGCCCTCTGAGGCCTTAGAACAATGAATGACCTAATTTTTTCCACAAGTCCTGTTGCTGAGCCTGTGTGTCTCACCTTTTTAGCTGGCTTATCTTGGGGACCTTATGAAACTGTGTGCCTAAGAATAACCTAGTGTTTTAAAAACAAATAGACTAAGTCCTGTGTGAGCCTCTCATGAAGGGCATTTCTAATTCCCTCTTGGAAGCTTGAGCTTGGATTGGTCATCGGTATTTTAGGGTTATCTGCTGAGTTTAGTTTTCCCCCTACCCTGTTTTGTCAGGATCTTGCCTTCCCTGACCCTCCTCATAGTTCCAGATGACATCTGGGTCATGGCAAAATGTGGACACTCTGGTGAAGCCCTGAATCTGGCCAGAGAATGTGGCTCTGCATTCAGCCCAGGGTACTGAAGGTTCCTGGCTGGGTGAGGAGAATCATGAATCTCATGGGAGCCAGCAGGGTTAAAGTTGCTTCTGCCTCTCACAGACCAAACTCAGATCTTGCTGGGCTAAGGGGTTAATACATCTGAAGTGGCTTAACAACTACCCCCGCTCAGTATTTCTTGTCCATTTGTTCTTGAGGATGCTATCTCTGACGAATCCTGACTCGATCTCCTGGGAGAGACAATGTGAGGACTGTAGATACTTACTTGGTCACACTTCTGTCATCCGATGACGGCCTGTGTCTGTTCCCATTCCTCACCTTAGTAGACATCTTTGCTCCTAGTCCTTTCCAGGGTTTATACCCATTGACAGGGCACTTTCCTTGGTGGTTAAACATTCTAGAAGATTCGTTGGTGACATCTTGGTCCTGTTTTGAACAGGTCTTACACAAATTCCGTCTTGGTTATACACTTACTATGGACGTGGCTTGGAATGGAAAGAGCACTGGATGGGGAGTCAGGAGATGGGATTCTAGTCTCCGCTCTGCCACTCACTTTATGACCCAGGAAATGCTCTTTCAGTTCCAAGGGTATTATTTTTCTTCCTTGTAAATTGAGGGGTTAGTCTACTGCTAAGAGGATCTCTAAAGGCCTATGCAAAAAGAAGTAGAACATTGATCTGGTGAAAAAGGTGAACAACTTGTAGCGTTCTGCAAGTATGCTGTATGTTTATGTGTATAAGTGCCAACAGGTCTGAGAAAAAGAAGATACTGATAAAAGAAACTGCTTAACTATTCTCATCTCTATGATTGCATAGAAATCAGTTATTTGTAATGGAGTTTTGCCTACTCAGTATAAACAAGGAAGGAAAAGTCTTCCTGTATTGGCCTACTGGGTCTAGGCTTCTGAAGACCACCAGTGGCCATTTTATCACCTGTAAATGTTATCAAGATAGCATGTGAGGGCTGCAACCATGGGGATTTGTAAGCTGCTGGCTATTTTTTTTTTTTTTAACAATAGTGATGGTTTACCAACATTTATTCTTTCTGAAAGTTAGCTATACAAGGCTGTTATTTATTTATAAGTGTAAGATAGGAAAAGAGATGGAAACAGTGCCTTAAACCAGATGGAGCATGGACAGATGCTGGCCAAGATATCCTTCCACTAGTGGCCCTTGCAGGCTAAGCATTCAGCCTCCAGGGCAAAGGCAGGCAATTATGTTAAATCACGCAAAACAGATTGGCAGTTCGGTAAAGCATGCAAAATGGATTGAAAGTAGCAAGCTACTTAATTGTCAGTAGTGATCCCAGACCCAATGGCTGCAGAGATAAAGAACAAGGATTAACTCTTATAATGTGCCCCACTCCTTCTAAAACACTTTTTTGTGGAAAGCACAATACACACATTTCAGCTTATTACCATTTTCCAATTAGTATTAACTCATTAGTACAGCATGAGTGAGTTTGGAATTTTCAGCCCAACAATCATGCAGTAGCATGGGGGTCTTCATACACCTCCTGTAATCTCAGCAAAATGTCCAAGATTACCCCCTCCTTTGCTTTAATTAGAAAACTGGATTGCAAATCAGAATAGGAATATAAAATTGACTTTTGTCTCTCTTACTAATTCCGTCACCTGGAACAAGGCACCTAGTCTATTTGGAATTCAGTTTCTGCAACACCACCTTTTTATGTTTACATCTGTAAAGATGTCCACACTATATTGTTAGGCAGAAGAAGCAGGTGATAAATAATTCATTTATGCATTACTCCACTTTGCTACAGTAATCATGACCCCCCCAGGTCTCAGTGGCTTATAATAATAATGTATTTCTCTTTCATATATATATATATATATTCCTCTTTTATACATATGTTAATGGCTGCAGTAATCTGCATTTCAGCTCCTTGTGTCTGCTTATTCTGGGACCCAAGTTGAGGAAGCTGTCTCCTACTCACAGCAGAGGGAAAGAGCAAGAGAACTCAGAGAAACACACAATGGCTCTTTAAACTTCTGGTCTGTCGTGGTGTATGTGATGTCCACTAAAAGCCATTGGCCAAGGCAAGCAGCATGTTGGCCATAATGATAGAGCAGGGATATATGTTCTTCCCACAGAAGGCACTCCAAGTCATTTGGCAGCTGAAGGTTTCATTAATTCTCCTGTAGGAGAGGGGAGCAAATAGTTGGCAATGATAACATATCAAAATATATTTACCTGTCAATCTAGATATGCATAGAAAACAGTCTGAAATGTTATCTATGAAAATATTCTTAGGCAAAAAGATTTGAAAACATATGTTCACACAAAATCTTGTACATGAATGTTCATTGCAGTGTTACTCATATTAGCCCCCAATTGGAAACAACTCAAATGTTCAACAAATGACAAATGGATAAATAGAATGTGGTGTGTCCATACAATGGCATGTTGTTCAGGCATAAAACGGAATGAAGAACTGTTACATGCTACAATATGGATGAGCCTTGAAAACACTGAAAGAGGTGAAACCCTCTTTAAATGAAAGAGCTAAGTGAAAGAGGCCAGACACAAAAGACCACATATAGTATGACTTTATTTTTATGAAATGTCCAGAATAGGCAAATCCACAAGGACAGAAAAGTAGGATGGGTGCGGTAGCTCATGCCTTTAATCCCAGCACTTTGGGAGGCTGAGGCAGGCGGATCACTTGAGGCCAGGAGTTTGAGACCAGCCTGGCCAACATGGTGAAACCCTGTCTCTACTTAAAAAAAAAAAAAAAAATAGCTGGGCATGGTGGTGTGTGCCTGTAGTCTCAGCTACTCTGGAGTCTAAGGCAGGAGAATCACTTGAACCTAGGAGGTGGAGGTTGCAGTGAGCCAAGATCATGCCACTGCACTGCAGCCTGGGCAACAGAGTGAGACTCTATCTCAAAAAAAAAAAAAAAAAGGAAAAAAAAAGGTAGATTAGTGTTTGCCAGGGACTCAGGGGATGGGATGGGAAGTTATTGCTAATAGGTAGGGGGGTTTCTTTGGAGTGATGAAAAATTTCTGGAACTAGATAATGGTGATAGTCACACAGCCTTGTGAATATACTAAAACCCCCAAATTGCACACTTTAAAACAGTGAATTTTATGGTATGTGACCTATATCTCAATTAAGAAAATTCTCAGAAGTTGTTGGATATGGGATTGTAGATAATTTTCACTTCTTGTATATGTTCTTATGCTGCCTGCATTTTTATGATGAGCTAGTATTATCTTCTTATTCAGAGGAAAGAATGAAGATATTCTAATTGGGAAAGACACAACAATATTAGTTATACAAAATAAAGTTCCCTTGCACATTCATTAGGATGCAATCCATATGCCTTAATCTCAAGTACTTGCAAGTTAAAATTTTGAACCATCCTTGAGTTAAGCACTTAAAAAATCATCGCTTTTCTCTATAATTAACCTGGAGAAGTGCAATAGCAATGATAAAAATATCTGAAATCAGGAAAATGTGAAAATGAGATCAGTAAAGGGTATTTGTGGTTGACACCAATCTATCTCATAGGGAAAAATGGTTTTCCAGAGTCAGAGTCAGAATCAGTCAGTAGCACAACAACCTCCATATTCTTTTTTCTTCCCATGGGGAAAAGTCAAAACCACAGCTTCATCTCTTAGTTCTACCATCAGAAAAATTATGAACTTAAGTCTTTTGGCCAAGGGTCCCCTTTCAATTTTGAGTGAACATGAGAACTAATATTCTAGTCAGGAAACGTGTTTTTCAGTTCTGGATTGTGGGTGGAAGTAAAAGACAGAGGGATGGGTGTAAGGTGGTCCAGGAGAAGTGAGATGAAGACCCAGGCCAGAGTGTCAAGTTGACATCAGAGTGTGGGATGTATTTGTGTGGGTAGTAGGGACTGATGAGTCTGAGAGGGTTAGAGTTCAGACATTTAGACCAAACTGAAGGCTGCAGACGCAACCCAAGCATCTAGCCTACCCACCCAGCCGGGATTCCTTCCTTCCAGGATGCCCCTGGATTCAAAGTTGATTGGAGGATCAGTGGTGAGTGTCTTTTCCATAGTTCTTGGTAAGCAAATTGGTTTTTTTTTTTTTTTTTGGTGGAGTCGGGCTCTGTTGCCCAGGCTGGAGTGCAGTGGGGTGATCTTGGCTCACTGCAACCTGCACTTCCCGGGTAGCTGGGATTACAGGTGTATGCCACCACACCTGGCTAATTTTTGTATTTTTAGTGGAGATGGGGCTTCACTATGTTGGCCAGGGTGGTCTTCAACTCCTGACCTCAAGTGATCGGTCCCCCTCAGCCTCCCAAAGTGCTGGGATTATAGGCGTGAGCCACCACGCACCAGACCTCAGCAATGTTAAAGGAGGTGAGTAAACAATAATGAAAGAGCTGTTAGAAGTCCAACAGCTCTATAGGCATGAAATATATCCTACTAAACAGGCAAAGCCTCTGCCTGCAAGAGATTTAGAGTAAAATATGGCAGATGTGAGAGACCAACATGCAATCAGCAGAAAATTGATACTTAGAAGAGTTGTACAGAGGTATAGGTGGGTGCAAGCACATATGTCTAGAAAGGCCACAGTTCAGGTTCTTTACAAATAGCACATCGTAATGTAATTGTCCCACACATTGCGGTTAGTCACAGTTTTGATCTGAAAGGTCAAATGGAACTAAAAAACAAAAACAAAACCAAGCCCGTGACCTAACACAATTCTGTTAAATGTTCTTTGACCAGGAGCATTCATACACGATGCAGTGATGTAGCCTATTACTCACAATTTATTCTTTGAACAAGGAGAGGGCAGAGAACTTGTCCTCCCTTACAACCTTGGCAGGAAAACACTAAGTCGTGCTATGCTCTTCTTAAAGTGACTTCCTGAAGAATAAAACCAAATCCAAAAACAGCACTGTGGCTCAGGCCATTTTTGTCTGGCATTACCCATATAATATTATGCTAATTCTAATCTGCAACACAGATTACATTAGCAAGATGTAGCAAGAAGCAATCAATGTTTATAAAGTGTGTTTTCTTTTTAGCCCCACCTGACACTGTGCCCCAGAGGTTGCATAAACCTGTAGGTCGAACATTAGAGATGGTTTAATATGCTGCCGGAATGCTGAAGCTCTGCATTATAGTGCTATTGTTAAGCCCAGATATTATGCAATGGCTCCCATAATTTTCCCGTACCTCATAAAGTGACTTTGTAAATATGCTTAACATTTTTTTGACCATCCCAAAGTGTATCCAGATAATAATGTGAATGCATTCCTTGTTTCACATCTAAGGTACAAATCTTTCGATTTTTTTTCTTACAGTTTAATTTTCACTGTGGTAAAGAACATATAACATGAAATTTACCACCTTAACCATTTTCATGTGAAGTCTTTAGATTTTAAAGCTAATCTGGGAAAGGGCAACTTTCACAGCTGAGGGAGTACATGCTGGTTTTATTCAAGCACTTTAAACTGTGCCTGAAACATAGTAGGCTCTCAACAAATGTATATTTTTAAATGACTGAACGAATAAAACACAATTAGGGTATACAGTGTAAAAATTCCCTGCATACTCCACCCTCACAGTAGGACAGGTTGTATGAACCAATCACCCTTTTTCTGACTTCTTTGGTAATGAATGACTCATGAGGCTTAAGTAAACTGTGTGTTTTGTGACCACAGATCAGAATTTTGTGTGCATGAAGCTAATTGGCACAAAAGTATCAAATCTGTGATTTCTAAGAGCATTTAGTACCTGCCAGATACACTTGATTAAATGGGATTGTGCTTCTTTAATCATCAGCCACTCCTCAATTCTTGTGTAATCAAACCAACCTCAAAGTGTGGGATGCTGGGACTAATATGGAGGACAGGGAAGGGGACAGGGCAGAGTCTGAGAAGGCGGGCTAGCATCAGAGAGCAGAGAGGTAGACTGAGCAGAAGGTCTCAGTTAACATGGAAACATCTCAGACAGTAGCTTTCTGTTAGAACTGCCTGAGAAGCTGTAAAAACTACCTTATTCCTGAGCCTTTTTCCAGATCAATTAAATTAAAATCTCTTGGGTGGTGGGAAGTAGCGGAGTCAAAACACAGGTATTTTAAATGCTCTATCAGGCGATTCTGAAGCGTGACCTTGATCAAGAACCCTGTTCTGGGTTGTTCAGTTAGTTCTTTATTTGAATAGAGTGAGATGGATTCAACCTGTGAAAACCAATTCAGTGGATAACAGTGGTTTCCAAACTTCTCTACACATTGGAACCATCTGGGGAGCTTCAAAAGCCACCTATGCCTGGGCCCCACCCCAGAGACTGCAATTAAGTGGGTCTGGGGTGTAGCCTGGGCTACAGAATTTTAAAAACATCCCTAGATGATTCTAGTATATAGACAGGAAAGGATAAGGTAAACATGATGCATGATGGATGCACTGGATAACAATAAGTTAACTTAAGCATACCATGAGAATGACCCTACGGTCTAAGAAGAATGTGTGTTAGGAGTTCCGAGCTCAGGAATCCGGAAGTGACCAACCTGGCGATTCATTCCTTATATATGAGGAACATCTGAACCCCCAGGCCATACAGGGGATTATTGAGGCCCTTTGTTTTTGGTTAAATGAAGGTTGCCAAGTGGAGGTTACTAAGGAAAAAGTGCTAAGTGAAAACGCGACACAAGCTGCATGCTTTTTACAAACAGTAGCAGTTCTCCTGTTCAGCCTGCTACCATTGGACCACCCCGTATGTAAGTCCCCTCAATAAACCCTCTGTCTTGTTCACTGGCTCTAGGTCTAACTCACTGGCCTCTCATACATGGTACTGTCCCTTTTGAAGTCAGTAGGGGTCGGGGATGACACATGGTTAGAAATGCAGGATCTTTAGCTCCATCCTAGGTTTACTAAACCAGAACCTGCTTTAAAAATCCTTGTGGTGGTAAAATACCCATACCAAAGTTTACCATCTTAACCATTTTAAGTATATAGTTCACTATTGTTAAGCACATTCACATTATTGTGCAACCAATCTCCAGAACACTTTTCATGTTGCAAAAGTGAAACTCTATACCCACTAAACAACATGTCCCTTTCCCTGCAGATCCTGGCAACCACCGTTCTACTTTGTCTTTATAAATCTGACTATTCCAGGTACCTATGTAAGTGAAATAATACAGTATTTGTCTTTTTGTGGCTGGCTTATTCCACTTAGCACAATATCCTCAAGGTTCATCCATGTTGTAACATGTGTCAGAATTTCTGTCCTTTTAAAGACGGAATTATATTCCATTGTATGTATATACAACAGTTTGTTTATCCCTTCACCTATTGATGTGCATTTGGGTTGCTTCCACCTCTTGGCTATTGTGAATAGTGCTGCAATAAACATGGGTATTATATCTCTTTAAGACCCTGCTTTCAATTTTTGTGTATACCCAGAAATGGAATTAAGGAATCATATGGTAATTCTATGTTTAATTTTTTGAGGAACTACCACTCTGTTTTCGATAGCAACTACACTATTTTACATTCCCATCAATAGTACACAAGGGTTCCAACTTCTCTGCATGCTCATCAACACTTCTTATTTTCTGTTAAAACAATTTTTTAAAATAGTAGCCGCCCTGCACTTTAACCAGTTCTCCAGGTGGTCATATTTGGTTGAAGTTGGGAAGCTGCTTTACAGCCCAGGCTGGTTTTCTGGCTGGCACAATGCCTCCCTCACTGCACATTCTCCCATATTTAATAGCACTGATTATGGCATTGCCTTCCCAATGTTTGTTTGGCTTTTTATTTTTACATAAATAACCACTATGACTTGAGCCTGCTCAATCTCCATTCTTTGCACTTGGGCTCAGATCTAGTGGGTTGATTTTAATCACAGCTGAGTGATGTGAGTAATTTGCCCACACATTGGGAAAGCTGAGTTCTGCTTCTGAGGTCCGAGCTGGTCCAGTCTCTACAAAGAGACGATAAAAAGGAACAGTTCAAGTAGCACAAAATAACGAAAAGGAAGCCCAACCTTTACAGTTGCAAAACAATTTTAAAAGGAATCAAGACTGGAATGCCTAGCAACATTTCTTGAAACCCCTTCCTTCTCTCCAAATCTCTCCAATCAAATCTCTCCAATCACAGTGCCCTGGAGCCTTTCCTACTTCTACTCTTCCGTCTTTTCTCTCCCCTTCCTCTCCTTCTTGGTACATCTGCCCAATCTCCCTGCATAGCAGGCCCCCTCCTTAGGTCTTTACCTTTTCATTCTCCAGGACTGCAACCCAAAGTCCTGGAAGTGTCCAGGAAAGCTGCATACTCCCCTGATGGCCAGGGAGGCACCAGCAGGCAGGGAAAGATAGCATTTACTATGTTGGAGAAAAGGTGGGGACTGGAAGCCCTTATCTGCTAATGGCTGGCTTGTGTATTTGTCTTCTCTGCTGAACTGTGAGTTTCTTGTGAACTCCTTGTCTTACCCCATGTGTATCTTTCACCATAGTCCAGTTTCTGATCCATGGTATATGTTCAGGTGTGTGTGACAGTTAACTTCTCAGTGACCCATGAAACTCAGCTTCCAGCATCACCTAAGGATTATTTGTTCCCTTCTTCCCCTGATGCCATAGAAATAAAGCTTTGGCCAGGTGCTGTGGCTCACGCCTGTAATCCTAGCACTTTGGGAGGCTGAGGTGGGTGGATCGCTTGAGTCTAGGAGTTTGAGACCAGTCTGGGCAACATGGTGAAACCTCGTTTCTACAAAAAATACAAAAATCAGCCAGGCATGGTGGCGCATGCCTGTAGTCCCAGCTATTCAGGAAGCTGAGGCGAGAGGAGCGCTTGAGCCCTGGGAGGTGGAGGCTGCAGCGAGCCACGATTGTGCTACTGCACTCCAGCCTGGGTGACAGAGTGAGACCCCGTCTCAAAAAAAAAAAAAAAAGGAAAAAAGAAAGCTTCTCAAGGGCCCCAGTTGCTCTTGCAGTCTCCAGCATGTAGGTGACATTCTCACCAGGATTCCTTGATGAGGTGAGAATATTTTGAAAATCCAGAAACCAGCAGGTCCCTTTGGAAGTGATATTTCACTACTGCCTTCTCATCCCTAAAATCAATGCTTGTTTCTGGCCCAGAGCTGGGTACAGATCATCTTTCTTATTTGTAAACAGTATATGCTCTAAATCAGTTCATCACTATATACCTCTGCTCCTAATGACAGATGGCAGCTTTTCCTTGTTTTTCCTGCTTTAGGACACAGACATTAATCTGTGGACTAAACATTATGGAAAGTGCACTGACCGTCCTCCATAGCACATGTGTGACCTTGTCCTGTGGTCCTCAGGAAGCTGGGCCCTAGGAAATAACTTTAACATTCACCAGCAGAGGAAGCTGTCAATATTGCACTGTTTGCTTAACTTGTAACATTGATCTTCTGTGGCTCTGGGCATAACATAATAAGGAAAATACCACAACTTACTACAGCAAGTCAATGGGCTGATAAGATAAACGCTGTTATGTTTCAAAATTGTGCCAAGTTTATGTTGATAAAGTGACTTTCTTCTGGGAATCTAAAAAACAGTGCCTATGGTTCTAATCCTGTATGACTTTAACTTTGTCTTATATTTACATAAGACAGGAAATTGGCCCAAGATGACCTCATTCATCTTTATAACTCTTCTCCTGAAGGAATTTATAGTGAGGGTAGTGTTATTATTTTTTCACTACAGAGGTGTAGAGAGCTTAAGCTTTCAGTCAAACTAACAAATTCAGTATTGGTTCTAGAACCAAGAGAAAAGGAATAGGTCTGCGGCTACGGCTACATTAATAATAACAACAAACAAACTTTAAAAACTGCTATTGTATGGTAAGAATGAGGACATTTTTAAAATCAAAGACAGTTGAGTCTCAGACTAAATCTATTCAGTGCTATTGGTTAGAATTGACTTGTCAGTTCCATAGAACAACTTTGTCATTCAGCCTAACCATCACTTTGATGGATTTTTTTTTTTTAAACTTTGAAGAATGTTTGGTTCATCTACTAAATTGCATGTGATCCAGCAGCATGTGGACCATTTCAATTAAGGTAGTGTTTCTAATAGCCCTTGAGAAAAAGAATGACTCTAAATTCTTGTTCTTGGGTGTTTATTAATAGAAAAGGCCCAAATATCCCCAACTCCTCCATTCCACATTCATTGACTGTGAATTTTGAGGTGGTCCATAATTCTGTTAGGAATTTTATTTAGCTATTAGTACAGGAGACCTGGAAAACTAGTACTTATACCTGATAGAAGTTCATTTTCCCTCACATGCAAAAGAAGTATAGGGAATTGACGCAGTTCAGAAGCAGAACACGAAGATACTGTTCCTGCCAGGTGAAAGCAAATTGCTTATGGTGTTTTAGACTTATTGGTATAGAGAAAAAAACAGTTGTAAGCATAACTGCATACTAGATGGCCAGAGTGGTATCTCCAGTAGAGACAACGTTAAGAACAGTAGCAGCAATTGAAGTTACTGATTAAGATTTTGATAATCCATAAAATCCATCTGTTCACTGCACATTTTAAGCAGGTGAGTTAAATGGAGATGTAATAGAAATCACCACTTCTGCAGTTTTCATTTTTTAAAATTTTATTTCTTTAATTGACAAAAGTTATATATATTTATGGTATACAACATGATGTTTTGATGTATAAAATTATGGAATGAGGTAAATCAAGCTAATTAGCATATGCATTATCTCATATATTATCTTTTTCTGTGGCAAGAACACTTAAAATCCACTCTCGTAGCAATTTTCAAGTATACAATATATTGTTATTAACTTGAGTCACCATGATGTACAATAGATCGCTTGAATTTATGCTTCCTATCTAACTGAAATTTTGTATCCTTTGACCAACATCTCCCCAGTCCCCCCAACCCCCAGCCCCCGGTAACCACCATTCTACTCTGCTTCTGTGAGTTCAACATTTTTAGGCTCCACGTATATATAGGTAAGACCATTCAGTATTTTTTTTTAAATGCCTGGCTTATTTTACTGAACATAATGTCTTCCAGGTTCATCCATGTTTTTGCAAATGCCAGGATTTCCTTCTTTTTAAAGGCTGAGTGGTATTTCATTGTGTATATATACTACATTTTCTTTATCCATTCATCTGCACATAGACACTTAGGTTGATTCTATATACTGGCTATTGTGAATAAGGCTACAATGAGCATGGGAGTCCAGATATCTCTTTGACATACTGATTTCATTTCCTTTGGATATATACTCAGTAGTGGGAATGCTGGGTCATATGGTGGTTTGCTTTTGATTTTGAGGAACCTCAATACTATTTTCTATAATGGCTCTACTGATTTACATTTCCAACAGTAGTACCCAAGGATTCCCTTTTCTCCACATCATTACCAACACTTCTTATCTTTTATCTTTTTGATAATATCCATTCTAACGTGTGAGGTGATATCTTACTGTGGTTTTAATTTGCATTTCTCTGATGTTGAACATTTTTAAATATACCTGTTGGCCATTTGTATATCTTCTTTTGGGAAATATCTATTCAGGTCCTTTGACCATTTAAAAATCAGGTTATTTGTGTTCTTACTATTGAGTTGAGTTCCATATGTATTTTGAATATTAACCCTTTATGAGATGTATGGTTTGTAAATATTTTCTCCCATTCCATAGGTTGTCTCTTTACTCTGTTGATTGTTTCCTTTGCAATATAGAAGCTTTTTAATTTGATGTAATCTCACTTGTCTATGTTTTCTTTTGTCGTCTGTGCTTTTACAGGTCATATCCAAAAAGTCTTTGCCCAGACCAATGCCAATGAGCTTTTCTCTTATATTTTCTTCTAGTAGTTTTAAAGTTTCAAGTCTTACATTTAAGTCTTTAATTCCTTTTGAGTTGAGTTTTATATATGGTGTGAGATAAGGGTCCAGTTTCATTCTTCTGCATGTTGATGTCCAGTTTTCTCAACACTATTTATTGAAAAGACTGTCCTTTCCTCATTATGTGTTCTTGGCATCTTTGTCAAAAGTCAATTGACTACAAAAATGTGGATTTATTTCTGGGCTCTCTATTCTGTTTCATTGGTCTATGTGTCTGTTTTTATGCCAGTACCATGCTGTTTTGAGTTTTATAACTTTGCAGTCAATTTTGAAGTCAGGCAACATGATGCCTTCAGCGTTGTTTATTTTTCTCAAAATTTCTTTCACTATTTGGAATCTTTTATGGTTTCCTACAAATTTTACCTTTTTTTTCTATTTCTGGGAAAATGTCATTGGATTTTTGACAGGGATTGCATTGAATTTGTAGGTCACTTCAGGTAGTATGGACATTTTAATAATGTCAATTCTTCTAATCCATAAACATGGAATATCTTTCCATTTATTTTTGTCTTCTTCAATTTTTTTCATCGGTGCTTCATAGATTTCAGTGTGTATATCTTTCATCTCCTTGGTTAAATTCATTCCTAAGTATTTTATATATTTTTGTAGCTATCATAAATGAGATTAAAATTTTTTTGGAGAGTTTGTTGTTAGTATATAGAAATGTTAGTGATTTTTGTATTTGATTTAGTATCCTGCAACTTTGCTAAATTCATTTATTAGTTCTAACAGTTTTTTTGGTCAAGTCTTTAGGGCTGCAGTTTTCTTTGATAAGGTCACTAATATCTAGAATTCTCCTAAAAGTGTAATGTTGCTTTTGGTTTACTATTTTGTTCGGAAGGGGCAGTCCCAGTAGTGCTTACTTTGGGCCAGGAAGCCAATTTGAGGATTCTGCTATTACCTGGGTTTATCCATTCAAACTATAAATTAGGAAATGGGGGAAATAACCAGAGACTGGATTCACAGAAACTCTGTACCCATCATGAGATGGACTTAGACTCAAACTCTCTATCACTGGATTCCCACAAATAAGGCCCTGTTCTGAGTAGGGGAAACAGTGATATTCTAGGTTCCCAGGGATTAGTACAAGTTCAAAGCCATGTTCAATAATTTGTGAAAGGTATAAATATTTTTCCTTCTCTAGTACACAGTTACCTTGGTGGATGGATGCTGGTCCTTTTGGGGAAGGGGTAGAGGAAGATTTTCATAGGTTCTTGTGATGTCCTTCCTCAAAGGTCCTCCCTTTCATTCACTGAATTGAGAGTGTGGGTATTGGGAGATAGGTCCTGACTCTCTAGTGATAATGGAAGTCAAGTATAATGATTTAATTCTAGATTCACTAGGCCTAGAATTTTTTCAATTATACAGGTCAGCTATGTCTTTTGCAGGCTGCTCATCTAGTTCATTTTTAGGCATACTGTGATCAATTAGCTACCACCAAAAGATCCCTGCAAGTCAAGTTATTTTGCTATTACAATAATCATAGCTACTAGGTTTCTGGCAGTTAAATCCCGCTATTTGGTGTCTGCCCCTCTGGGAACCCATAAACTCCACTGAAAACAGGGAACTAATTCCAATAGCAGTATCTCCCACCTTCCTCTCCAGAGTACAGAATAAATTCATCAAAGCATTATTCAAGGATTCTTGTTCTCGCCGCATCAGTGTTTTTCTTGATGACTTGGAAAAGGCAGTGTTCTCTAGGCTTACTTTGGGTATATGTGAGATGTTGTATAAGATATATTTATTCCAACATTCTTATCACTATAAGCCTCTAGTCTTAGCATTTCAACTTCTTTCAGCAATAGGCCACAGTGGAGTCCAGGTTTCAGTCAACCAGCCAAGTTAACAACCGGCTCAAGCTATGTAGAATGAATCCAGAACCTCTGGTTAGTTTATCTATGTCAGTAATTTGTGCTATAAAATTATGTTTTTGGTAGAAATTCAATATATTCTCCAGGTTTTTGCAAATATTAATTAGCAAAATCTTTCAATTCTTCTGGTGTATGAATCTTTTCCTTCTAGATTTGAATTTTAAAATTGGCCTTTATGGGCATGTTGGAATCTGGAACTATTTATAAATGTGGAGGAAATAAAAGGTCATAGGTGTAGGGTATGAATTCCTGTAGGAAGTAACTGTCTCAGGTGAGGTCATTGTAAGGCAAGCTTGTCCAACCCGCGGCCTGCAGGCTGCATGCAGACCGGGATGGCTTTGATGAGTGTGGCACAACACAAATTTGTAAATTTTCTAAAAGTATTATGAGATTTTTTTGTGTGATTTTTTTTTTTTGAGATTAAGTCTAGCTCTGTCGCCCAGGCTGGAGTGCAGTGGCACGATCTTGGCTCACTGCAACCTCTGCCTCCTGGGTTCAAGAGATTCTCCTGCCTCAGCCTCCTGAGTAGCTGGGATTACAGGTGTGCACCACCACAGCCAGCTAATTTTTGTATTTTTAGTAGAGACGGGGTTTCGCTATGTTGGCCAGGCTGGTCTCAAACTCCTGACCTCATGATCCACCTGCCTCAGCCTGGGATTACAAGCGTGCTGGGATTACAAGCGTGAGCCACCGCACCTGGCATTTTGTGATTTTTTTTTTGAAAGCTTATCAGCTATCGTTAGTGTTAGTGTATTTTATGTGTGGCCCAAGACAATGCCGCTTCTTCCAATGTGGCCCAGAGAAGCCAAAAGATTGGACGCCCGTGTTGTAAGATCTTTAACCAACATCTTCAGATTGGAGAGGAGGGGCTCCTTCTTTTGGTAAGGGAGGCATAATGGTGTTTGAGTGTGCTGAATAATCCAGTTCCTCCTAAATGCTTTCACTCCAATTCTTTTGGCCCATTCCTTCCCAGTCCCTTTCATGTGTGAGATCTAGCAAGGACCATGAATTCAGCCTCTATTGAAATTCAGTAACTGGCCAGATTTGACTCTGCATTTGCTCTTTGGCCATGACAGCTGTTTGGCCTTAAGAGATAAAAATTCTTTAAGAGGAGTCCTATAAACTCTAACAATCCCTTCCCTAACAATCCCTTGATCTGTGAGTTTAAATTCTTTGGCCTTTTACTTTTCCTTCTTTTCTTTGTTTGAGACAGGGTCTTGCTCTGTCACCCAGGCTGGAGTGTGATGGCACGATCTCAGCTCACTGTAACCTCCACTTCCTGGACTCAAGCCATCCTCCCACCTCACCCTCTTAAGTATTAATAGCTGGGACTACAGGTGTGGGCCACAGGGTTTTTCCATTTTGCCCAGACTGGTCTCAAATTCCCGGACTTAAGTGATCTGCCTGCCTCGGCCTCCCAAAGTGTTGGGATTACAGGCGTGAGCCACCGCGCCCAGCCGCCTTGTTCTTTTTTAAAGCTCACTGATGCCAATAAAGTCAGCTATCCTAACCCATACTTCCTGTATTCCTTAGCCCCACATAGTGGCATATTGCAGCAATCAAAAGGGACGCCAAACTTTGGCTTCAGAAGGCATTTTACTCCAAATGATCACAGGTAGTCATTTAAGAAGCTGTTTTACCACCTGGTATAATTACTAGTGTCCAATCACCTAATGGTACCCAAACACTCACTTCAAACCCAACCAGGTCAGATAGCCAATCCAAGTTTTTCATGTTTTTGAAAACTGTTGTTTGCAATCATTTCTGCTATAGTTTTCTTAATTGGTCAGAGTTCCTTAATTGCAGCCAATGAATTAACTCTGGTTACTTTAAGCATGAAGGAATTTATTAAGGGATAAATTATTAAAGAAACATTATGAAGGCTGAAGAAATAGACTCCAGGTGAACTTTCAGGAATAACCCCATTGTGCATTTCAGCATTCTAAAATGGATTTCCAAGGGAGTTACAGCATCTGCTATGATCAGGGGGCCAACACAGCTGCTAGTTCCAATCTGTGCTAGAAATATGGGTGCCCCATGCCCTGCCTTTTCTCCATATTACTTGGTTCTGAATATGTCTAATATGTGTGCATCTGTTCAGTGAAATCTCCATCACCTACTGGCACCTCAGCACAAGAAATGCTGGGAAGTACAGTTTTTAGAAATTTGTTTTTGAAAAGGCAAGATCAACAAAGTGGGAAACTTTCAAAATGTTAAGAAGGTGTTCAAGATATTTTTGGGCATCTGGTAGACAGGGTAGAGAATAGAAAAGGGGAGAGCAATAGTAAGCTATTTCTTGGGTTGGGTGGTAGACCCACAAGTAGTCATTACTTTCTAGTCTTTTATAATGAATGTATGTATTAGTCTGGGTTCTCCAGAGAAACAGAACCAATAAAATATATATTTATAAGGCTGGACGTGGTGGCTCACGCCTGTAATCCCAGCACTTTGGGAGGCTGAGGTGGGCGGATCACCTGAGGTTGGGAGTTCAAGACCACACTGACTGACATGGAGAAACCCCGTCTCTACTAAAAAATACAAAATTAGCCGGGCATGGTGGTGCATGCCTGTAAGCCCAGCTACTTGGGAGGCTGAGGCAGGAGAATTGCTTGAACCTGGAAGGCGGACGTTGCGGTGAGCAGAGATCGCACCATTGCACTCCAGCCTGTGCAACAAGAGTGAAACTCCATCTAAAAAAAAAAAATCTCTCTCTCTCTATATATATAGATATATATATATATCCATCTATCTAATGAGAGATTTGATTTATTATCAGGAATTGGCTCATGTGACTATGGAGGCTGAGATGTCCCAAGAGCTGGATACCCAGGAGAAGCAAAGGTATAGTTACAGTTTAAGTCTGAAGGCTGGCAAAAACCAGTGCTCCAGCTTGAAGACATGTAAAAAGAAAGAATTCTTTCTTACACTGTCTTTAGTCTGTTTAAGCCTTCAGTGGACTGGATGAGGCCCCACTCACACTGGGGCGAGGTGAATCTGCTTTACTCAGTGTACATACTCAGATGTTAATGCCATCCAGAAACACCCTCAACAGACACACCAAGAATATTTAACCGATTTTTAACCAAAATATTTAACCAAAGACACACCAAGATATTTAACCAAATATCTGGGCACTCTGTGGACAATCAAGTTGACACATAGAATTAACCATCACAATATGTTACCTTCTCTTTAATATACATCAGCATACGTTTCTTTGGTAGGAGATATTAAAAAGATTTTGGGGCAACTACAAATGACAGATGTCCACTACAAACCGTAATCCCTTTACTTAAGATATTGATTTAGTTCAAGTGTAAAAGCCTGTGGAAAGAGTAGTTCTTTAAGTTACT
Source organism: Homo sapiens (assembly GCF_000001405.40). Classification (NCBI taxonomy): domain Eukaryota; kingdom Metazoa; phylum Chordata; class Mammalia; order Primates; family Hominidae; genus Homo; species Homo sapiens. The sequence continues at coordinate 39,558,559 of NC_000002.12, forward strand.
ATTAGTCATTTGTACCTTGGTTGGAAGGAAGAATGAATGGATTAGTAAATGGAGAGAGATAATTTAATCTAAATATTTGAGGAATAGGTGGTGGTGAGAGCACCACTTAGGAATAAAGGGAGGAAGAATGGGAGGTTGAGAGCTTTAAGACAGATTTTTGCTAGTTCACATTTTGATTGGAACAGCTCTAACTCCTAACACCTGCGTGAGATTGTTTCCTTTTTATTTTTTTCACTTTAAAGGCTATTGGAATTTTCAGATGCCTAATGGATTATTTCAGATTTGTCATGTATCTATCAATATTCCAATTTTCATTTTATAATATATGTGACAGAACTCTGAGTTAAAACCCATTCTCCCAACCTCTCTCTGGTTATCTGGGCATTAGTTCACACAGATTGAAAGCACAAGTTGGGCTATCTGCTTCATTATCTGCTGCTATTTATTTCAATCCTGGATTGAAGCCACCAGTGAGCAGAATTTGCATAGGGAACTTTATTCAAATCTAAAGTTTATGAATAATGCAGAACTCTCTGTGACTCATCAAAAGCAATGATAAACAAAATGCAAACAGTTGGCCACCCTCTCAGCAATCCAGACAGTGGTCCCACCCCTCACAAACTGTGAATGACAATATTTGAAGGTAGCAATGGAAATCAGTAGTGTTGGTTTATCTTTAGCATCACCCATATGTTTACTGGCACACGGTTAAGTCAGAAAAATGAGCACAAGCAAAGAGAAAAAGGTGTTCTGTCTACTAAGGTATTTAAAGTCAGCGGAAATGGAAAGACCATTCCTTATCCCAGTCCACAGAGTGTTCCTTCTGTGAACTGTTTGCAGTTAATAGATTGGAAACAACACCAGCTTTGTAGTTAGATAGTCCTGGGTTCAAATCCTGTATCTGCTACTCATGAGCTGTATATTGGGCAAGTTACCTATGTTTTTGTCTTTTTAGAAACTTAGTGTCTTTTTTCTTTTTTAAAATAGTATAACAGCAAACCTTTACTTATTTTTCCCTTTTTATTGATACATAATATTTTACATATTTATGGGGTACATGTGATATTTTGTTACACATATAGAATGTTTAATGATCAAGTCGGTATTTGAGTGTTTATATATTGAGTATTTATCATTTCTATGTGTTGGGAACAATTCTAGTTCTCTCTTCTAGTTACTTTGAAATATACATTGTTGTTAACTATAATCACTCTGCTCTGCTGTTGACCAATAGAACGTATACCTTTTATCTAACTGTATGTTTGTACCCATTACCTACCTCTTTTCATTCCTTTCCCCACTCATTCACCTTTCTCAGCCTCTAGTGTCTATAAATCTACTCTCTTTTTTTTTTTTTTTGAGATGGAGTCTTGCTCTGTCGCCCAGGCTGGAGTGCAGTGGTGCAATCTTGGCTCGCTGCAACCTCTGCCTCCTGGGTTCAAATAATTCTCCTGCTGCAGCCTCCCGAGTAGCTGGGACTACAGGCATGTGCCACCATACCTGGCTAATTTTTGTATTTTGGGTAGAGGCGGGGTTTCACCACGTTGGCCAGGCTGATCTCGAACTCCTGACCTCAAGTGATCCACCTGCCTCAGCCTCCCAAAGTGCTGGGATTACATGCGTGAACCACTGTGCCCGGCCTCTATCATTCTACTCTCTACCTTTACAATATCAACTTTTTAAGCTCCCACATATGAATGAGAACATGCAGTATTTGTCTTTCTGTGCCTGGCTTGTTTCATTTAACACACTGACCTCTAGTTCCATCTGTGTTTTTGCAAATGACAGGATTTCATTCTTTTTATTGATTAAATAGTATTCCATTTTATAAATATACACCACATTTTCTTTATTCATTCATCCATTGATGAACACTTTGGTTGGTTCCACATTTTCGTAATTGTGAATAGTGCTGTGATAAACCTGTGAGTGCAGGCATCCCTTTGAAATTCTGATTTCTTTTCCTTTACATAGATACCCAGTAGTAGGATTGCTGGGTCATATGGTAGTTCTATTTTTAATTTTTTTTTTTTAATGTGATGGGTTCTTGCTCTGTCTCCCACGTTGGAGTGCAATGGCACAATCATGGCCCACTCCAGCCTTGACATCCTGGGCTCAAGGGATCCACCCTCCTCAGCCTCCCGAATAGCTGGGACTATAGGCACATGCCACCATGCCTGGCTAATTTTTAAAAACTTTGTGTAGAGGTGAGGTCTCACTATATTGTCCAGGCTGGTCTTAAACTCCTGTGCTCGAGCAATCCTCCTGCCTCGGCCCCCTCATGTTAAGATTACATGTGTGAGCCACCACACCCAGCTATTTTTAGTTTTTTGAGAACTCTCAATACTGTTTTCCACAGTGGTTGCATTATACTAGTTTACATCCCCATACAATGTATAAGAGTTCCCTTTTCTCCACATCCTCACCAGCATAAGTTTGGTGGACTCTGGTCCTGGGCTTTTTTGTTGTTGTTGGGGGACTTTTTATTACTGTTTCAATTTTGTTGCTTGTTATTGGTGTGTTCAGGTTTTCTATTTCTTCCTGGTTCAATCTAGATAAGTTGTATGTATCTAAGAATTTATCTATTTTTTCTCTGGGTTTTACAGTTTCTTAATGTATAGTTGTTTGTAATAGTCTCTAATGATTCTTTTTATTTCTGTAGTATCAGTTGTAAAGCCTTCTTTTTCATTTCTGATTTTATTTATTTGGGTCTTTCTTTTCTTGGTTAGTTGAGCTAGCAGTGTATTGATTTTGTCTTTTCAAAACACCAACTTTTCATTTTATTAATTCTTTGTATTTTTTAAGTCACTGTTTAATTTAGTTCTCTGATCTTTGTTTCTTCATTTCTAGTATCTTTTTTTTTTTTTTTTTTTTTGAGATGGAGTCTTGCTCTGTTACCCTGGCCGGAGTGCAGTGGCGCGATCTTGGCTCACTGCAACCTCTGCCTCCAGGGTTCAAGTGATTCTCCTGCCTCAGCCTCCTGAGTAGCTGGGATTACAGGCATGCACCACCATGCCCGGCTAATTTTTGTATTTTTAGTAGAGACAGGGTTTCACCATGTTGGCCAGGCTGGTCTTGAACTCCTGACCTCAGGTGATCTGCCCGCCTCAGCCTCCCAAAGTGTTGGGAATACAGGTGTGAGCCACTGCACCTGGTCCATATCTAGTCATTTTGATTTTGATTTGTTCTTGCTTTTCTACTTCCTTGAGGTACATTGTTAGGTTGTCCATTTATAGTCTTCCTACTTTTTTCATGCACGTGTTTATTGCTATGAAGTTCCCTGTTAGCAAAGCTTTTCCTGTATCTCATAGATTTTGGTATGTTGTATTTCTATTTTTATTTGTTTCAAGAAATTTAAAATTTTCCTTCTTAATTTCTTCATCAACCCAATGATAGTTTAAGAGCATGATGTTTTATTTCCGTGCATTTTTACAGTTTCCAACATTCCTTTTGTAATTGATTTCTAGTTTATTCCATTGCGTTCTGAGAAGATACTTGATGTGGTTTTAATATTAAAAAATTTGTGGAGATTTGCTTTGTTACCTAACATGTGGTCAATCCTGGAGAATATTCCATGTACTAATGAGACGAATGAGCATTTTGCAGCTGTTGAATAAAATGTTCTGTTAATGTCTGTTAGGTACATTTGGCCTAAAGTGCAGTTTAAATCCAATTTTTTTTGTTGATTTTCTGTTTAGATGATCTGGTCTAATGCTGGAAGTGGGGTGCTAATAGTCCCCAACTATTATTGTATTGGAGTCTATCTCTCCCTTTAGATCTAATTATATTTGCTTTATAGAGCTGAGTGTTCCACTGTTGGGGCATATATATTTAGAATTATTATATTCTTTTGCTGAATTGATCCTTTTATTATTATATAACAAACTTGTCTCTTTCTGTAGGTATTTTTTTTTTCACCCTGTCACCTAGACTGAAGTTCAGTGGCACAATCATGGCTTATTGCAGCCTCCACCTCCTGGGTTCAAGTGGTTCTCCCACCTTGGCCTCCCAAATAGCTAGGACTACAGGGGCACCCATGCCCAGATAATATTTTCTATTTTTTGTAGCTATAGGGTTTTGCCATATTGCCCATGCTGGTCTTGAACTCCTGGGCCCAAGCAATCTACCCTCCTCATCCTCCCAAAGTGCTGGGATTACAGGTGTGAGCCACTGTGGCCAGGCTTTTTGCAGTTTTTGACTTAAAGTCTGTTTTATCTAACATAGGTATAGCTACTCCTGTTCATTTTAAATTTCTGTTTGCATAGAATATCTTTTTCCATTTCTTCACTTTCAGTCTATATCTCTTTACAGGTGAAATGAGTTTCTTGTAGGCAGCATATAGTTGGGTTATTAAAATTCATTTAGCTGGTCTATATATTTTAAGTGGGAAATTTAATTTGTTTACATTCAGGATTATTATTGATAGGTGAGGACTTACTCTTATCATTCTGTTGTTTTCTGGTTGTTTTGTATATCTTGTCTTCCTCTCTTCTGTTATTGTTTATCATTGCAGTTTGGTAGTTTTTTGTAGTTGTTACATTTGAGTCCTTTCTTTTATTTATGTGTCTGCTCTACCAACAAGTTTTACATTTTTCTATGTTTTAATGATGGTAGATATCATGCTTTTGCCTCAAGATGTAGAACTCCCTTAAGCATTTCTTGTAGGGCCAATCTCTATGGGTGATGAATTCTCTCATTTATTTCTCCTTATATTTTTGAAAAGTAGCATTGCTGAGTATAGTATTCTTGGTTGACAGGTTTTTCCCCCCCAGCCCCCCGCCCAACCCCCTGCCCACTGCTTTCAGCACTTTAAATATATCATCCATACCATTTTCTGCTGTCCTGTAAGGTTTCTGCTGAGAAATCTGTTGTTACTCTGATGGAGATTTCCTTATATGTGGCTTGATGCTTTTCTCTGTCTGTTTTTAGAATTCTCTTTGTCTATGACTTTTCATAGTTTGACTGTAATATGCCTTGGGGAAGAATTTTTTGGGTTAAATTTATTTGGGAACCTTTGAACCTCTTGTATGCAGGTGTCCAGTTGTCTTGCAAGTCTTGAGAAGTTTTAGGCTATTATATCATTAAATAAGTTTTATATGTTTTTGCCTACTTCCTTTTCTGAAACTCCAAAACTTTGAATAGTTGCTTTATGATTTCCTATTTGTCACATAGGCTTTCTTTCTTTACTTCTTTCTTTCTTTCTTTAATCTGACTGAGCTATTTTTTAAAAATTTCAGCTTGAGCTAGTCTATTGTCAAAGCTCTCAATTATATTTTTTATTTCATTCAATGAATTCTTCAGTTCCAGGATTTTTGTGTGATTCATTTTTGTGATATCTATCTTTTTTTGAATTTCTCATTCAGATCATGTATTGTTTTTCTGATTTCTTTGTATTACTTATCTGTATTCTCTTGTGTCTCACTGAATTTCTTTAATATCATTATGTTAAATTATTTTTCAGGTGTTTACGATTTGCTTTTTGTTGGATTCTGTTGCTGGAGAATTATTGTGTTTCTTTGGAAGTGTCAAGTTTCTTTCTTATGTTTTTTTTTTGGTCTTTACATTGATATCTGTGCATCTAGTGTAACAGTCACTTCTTCCAATTTTATGGATTAGCTTCTGGAGGGAAAGACTTTTTTCTGTAGGTGTGTCTATGGTGTTGGTTGGGTACGGTGTTTTGGCTTTGATTATGGGTGGGCGCAGTAGTGTAGTCTTCCTATGATTTGTCAGCTATAATCAGTGTCAATGATGTCTGTAAGTTGCACAGTAGCTTAGGCTATGGTTGTTAATGGAGGCTGTGGTCAGGTTTTGCTAGGGACAAGGATGCCAGGAGGGCTGGTCCTCAGGCACCAGTGGTGGTGGTGGGCTGGGTGTGTTGGTCCTTGGGTTTCCAGGTAGTGTATGCAGGCACCAGTTGTAGTGGGTCCAGGCAAGCTGATTCTTGGGCCTTCAGGTGGCTTTCTTGGGTGCCAGCAGTGGTATCAGTGGGTTCATTAGGTGATCAAGTCCTCAGGCCCCTAGGTTGTGTGTGTGGCATCAGCAGTGGCAGTAGCAGTGCAAAGTTAACCCTTAGGCCCCCAAGCATCACATGCGGGTGCGAGCAGCATTGGCAGTGAGCTAAGCAGACCCCAGGCCCCCAGATGGCTCATATAGAAGGGTGCTGCTGCTGCTGCTGCTGGTGGTGGTGGCAGGCTGGGTAGGCCAGTCCCTAGTCCTCTAGGAGACATGTATGGGCAGCGGTGGCAGGTGGGGTGTGCTTGTCTTCAGGCTCCCTGATGGTGAACGTGAATGTCAGTGGCAGCACGAAGGGTAGGATGATCCCCAGATCCCTAGGCCCCTGGATGATGTGACTGGGCACTGACAGGAGTGGCAGTGGGCTGAACAGGCCTGTTTTTAGAGCTCCCAGTGGTGTGTGTGGGCACCACTGTGGTGGGCCAGTTGGGCCCAGTAACTTGTCATCTTTCAACTTTGGTCTTTTTTTAGTAAAAAGGCATAGTAGCATACTTATTTTTAACACTCAGGGTTCTTAGTTGTAAGCAATAGTACCTGACTGTGGCTGATTGAACAGATAAAGAGCTAATTAAAAAGATTATTGCCTGTACAAAGTAGTTGGGAGAGGCAGGCTTGAGGCTAAGCTTCTGGGGTCAAGGCCTGACACTATGCTGCAGAAGTGACCCAATAAAGAAGCTGATGATCTTGCTTTCCCTCAGAGCATGAAATGGCTGCTAGGACCTCAAACTCTACTGCAGCTCTGCCAGCACTGATACTTCTGGACCAGGAACTGATCTTACAACAACTGGTTCCCCAGAAAACTAGATGAGCCTGTTACCACCCTTGTCAGCAAATGAGTCCCAGGCATCACGCCCTTCCTCTGGCTAATTACTTCTAATTAACTTCTAGGTTGGGTACATCTTAGTGGCAGATCCTGGGCTTCATGCCTGTGTTCCAACTACCAAGGTCTCTAGGGAAGCAAATTTTCTGACTTTACTCTGAGGACACAAAACTCACAAGATGGGAAATTCCCCGAACATAGTAAGATGCACAAAAGGTGTGAGGCAGCCAGAAAATATAACATATGTTATCTCTCCAAGAATTGTAAAGACTAAGTGTTATGTCAAGTATTTGGCATGCCTATGAGTTCAATATTTTTTTGTTTCCTTTTCTTTTTTTCTTTATCAGAAATATCCATTTTATCATCAGGTTAACCCCCCAGCCTGGCTTTTGCTTAGGTAGGATTTATAAATAGTGTGGAATAGAGCCTTTCACCCAGGATGAGGACACATGGAAGGGTCTCCACTTTGTACTGCCAATCCCTGGATGGACCTGACCTGTTGGCTTCTGACCCTAGTCCACCCTAACCCATGAAACCTGTTCATTCTTTCCTGTAATATTTGACCTTTTGATTCCTACACCATTGGCTTGCTCATGACCACAGCAACCCACTGACATCCCCCTTTCCATTTTGTCTTAATCTCTTGGCACTTAGACTTTTAGTTTATAATGAAACCTGATAGCTGTTTGATTCTTTCCTAGCTCTGACTTATGAACAGCTTACACAGCATTCTCTTATTTTGCATAATTATTGAAGGAGAGCTACTAAGAAATATTTGGTTGTATCTATTTCTTTTTCTTTTTAGATTTATAAAATAAATTTTCTATCTGTAATGAAAGTGAAGTGAAGAAGGTCTGAAGAGGAGATAAAGACAAAGGGAACAGTTACCAAATGTTTTCCCTATTACTTACCCCAGTGTTCTACTCCTCTTCCTAAGAAATATTCATTGAGACTTTATACAGAAAGGGAAAAATCCCCCAAACCAAAGCCAAAACAAAACTTGATTGAAGCAGTAAGTATCTTTCTTACTGACATTTTTTCCCCCCATACTCTTTTAAGACAGCTTCTGCTTTCTCTTTCATGAAAACTACCCTCACTAAGTTGCCAAAATTTATTTCCAACTTAAACAAAAGGGAGCATTCGCAACATTATCAGCCTGGTATCTAACTGCTGGGACTCTGGACTGAGTGAATGCCACGAGGAGCTGGGGAGAAAGCAGAATGATCATGTTCTACCATCATGGCTCAGGGAGCCAGGAATGATCTGTCCATGATTATTTGTTCAAATTATCCTAATATCTCTCAGCTTCACTTGGCAATCTGGGAAATGTTCTGCTCAGTTGGCTGGAAATGTCTTCGGAATTCTTTAGGCCTGTCTGTATCCTGGAACATGTGAGTTAGAAAAGTATACACAAATAGATATGAAAGATGGTTCTTGTTCAGAGTTGTTTCAGTGCAGTGACTGACTCTTGGGTTAATGGCAATTGAAGCAAAGTCCTATTTTATATCATGGATCTCCTAGAGAGAGCCAGGAAGTTCCACCATAAAATGTTGCAAAGAGTCACCAGACATTTCTTGCTCAACTGAATGTCTCAAAATAAGGCATTATTAGAAAAAGCTGGAGGACATCAGATCAAAACAGCTATCACATCTTTAAGAAATGTAACTTAGAGTGTGGCCCCATCCATTTGCAACAGTGGGAGAACACGACCTAGAGTCAGGCCACTTTGAATCCCAGCTCTCCTACTTTTAGAAGAGCATTTTGGATGAGATATTGGTTCCACTATTATATAATTTCTTTGTTTTACAAAAGCAAAGGGCACAGTTAAAGTACAAATATATTATACCAGCATCCCTTTCTAGCATCTACATTAACTAAGATTCATTAGCTTCTCGGCCATAAAGGTCCTGAAAGAATGGAATAGAGAGTGGTAATTCTACAGAGGGAACCGTTGGGAAATGCCTAGAGTATAATACCATGGAAATGGCAATTCTAGTTGGGGTGCTTAGGTTGTGGTCTCCTGTTGACCATGGGACAGCAGGAGGTCACTGGCATAGCCAAAATCATGCCAGGGTACTCAAAGAGAAATGGAAGGAAGCTCTCAGGCAGACTTCATCTACGGTTAAATTTTGCCTACACTTGGCCCTGCTGAGCATACTTAGGTAAGCAGCAGGGGAAGCAGCAGTGGCAGATCAGAGAAAGTATTCTGTGGATAGGAATGGGAATGAACAGCCAGCATGTTCCTAGCTAGTTGATTTCATGCTGAAGGTATCCATGTTCACAGCCCTGTTGAAGAAGGAGATCCCAGACTTGCTGCCAAGTTTCATCATGGGGCAGTAAGGACCTTATTCTTTCAGGTTCAGTGGTTTTGGCCCAGCTGCAGGAATAACTTGTGCATGGATTGGCAATAGAAACAATTGGAAAGCTACTGGATAAGGACCAGGTGGATGCAAACCTCTCTGCCCCTTTAATATGTGTCTGGTTGTTGGAGGGTTGGTCTGGTTAATTCTGGCAAATCTGTCTGTGGGGCTTCTAAACCCAGCTTCTGGGAGCTCAAGGAACCTGCCTGTTCGCCTTGCCCTGGGTCTGTTACAGGTTTTATTTATTTATTTATTTACTTACTTACTTATTGTGAGACAGGTTATGAGACTGGCTAATTTTTGTATTTTTGGTAGAGGTAGGGTTTCCTTATGTTTCCCTGGTCTTGAACTCCTGGGCTTAAGCAATCCACCTGCCTCGGCCTCCCAAAGTGGTGGGATTACAGGCATGAGCCATCGCTCCTGGCCGGTTACAGGTTTTAAGAACAAGTTCTAAGAACAGTCTAAGATTTTTTGGAACTTCAATGCTGTGTTGAGAGCATAGGTGAAATATTTCCGTTAATACACTGTCATAAAATAGACTGGAAAAACAGGAATGAGCTCTTTTATTCACCAGGTTCAGGAGGGGACACAGGTCCTGAGAAGGGCTGTGATTTTCCCAAGATAACCTGAAAAAGTTTTCCATAGAAGTGGAAACTTCCAAAAAGGAATGAAAAATTAACTATGGGCATGGTTATTACCTCTCATCATCAGGCAGAGTTTACGCAGTAAACTATTGTCATTAAAAAGGGAACAAATATCTTCCACATGCTTCAGAGTTTAACCCACTGTACAAAGACCATATTGCTAAGACACAATTTTACATAAATTCTGGCAGAAAGCCATTTTTTTTCCAGTTTAATGCAGCCCTAGATTTCATGGAAATAAAGTTTTGTTTGGGAGGGATAGTGATAGCTATTTATGCACAGCTAATTCTTGGGCCCTGAAATATAGCTCTGTACTTCCTGTCTTTCTAGGCTGACCATGACTCACTGAATAAGAATCCTTCAATTATTTTGAAAACAGCTGGCTAACTGCAATTTTTCTTCTGTCCTTCCATTTCTGCCATTCATCAGTGTCACTTTCAGGCTTGAAACTGGCTTCTCTACTAGGGTCTCTCTTTCCGGGCAGCGCTTGGAGGTACAGCCACAGGGCATGTCCTTGCCCTGTAATGGTGCAGTTGTTCCTCCCCACGTTGAAGGGAGAGCCCTCATTCCCCATCTCAGATGAGGCCTCCAAGAAAAATGAACCAGGTCAAGACTGCATCTGGGTTGTGGCTGTGTTTTATTGGCTAATCTTTTGGCTTTTTTTCCTTTAGATAAAGTTGATCGTTGCTCATCTTTAATTTTCAGTTTTTATTTTCTCAGCAAGGGTCCATTTTGAGCATCTTCTCTTTTAACCAAGAAAGGATAGTTCTCTTGCAAATCAGATATCTCATTGTTGACAAAAAGGACCAGATCCTTCCTTTTTCTCCCTCCTCAAATGTCTCCCTTTCCCAGCATAAACAAGCTGCTTTCATATAAAGACTTGATTGGCACTCAGGAGACATTTGTTTACTTATTCAGTAAACACTTATCGGGGGTTTGCCTTAAGGAAAGGGACTGCTATGGTTTGAATGATACTGTCCCCTCCAAAATTCATGTTGATCTTCAATGTGACAGTATGAAGAGTTGTGACCTTTAGGAGGTGACTGCTCTCATGAATGGGATTAAATGCCCTTATAAAAGGACTCGATGCAAGGATTTCAATACTCTCTCCTCCCTTTGTCCCTTTCACCATGTGAAGACACTGTTCCTTTTTTCTGGAGGATGCACCAAGATGCCATCTTGGAAGCATAGAACTCCCCTCACCAGACAACAGAGCCAGCTGGTACCTTGATCCCAGTCTTCAGAGCTGGGAGAAATACATTTTTGTCCTTTATAAATTACTCAGTCTGTGGTATTCTGTTATAGCAGCGCAAATGAACTAAGAAGGTGACCAACTGCCCACTTTACCTGGGACTGCCCTGGCTTTAGGACTGAAAGTTCTACATCCCAGGAAACCCCTCAGTTTGGGGCAAACTCAGGCAATTGGTCACTCCAACCCTAAATCAAACACAGTCTAGGAGCTGGGTGTGTAACTGACCATGAGCTTCTTAGGCACTGTGTGACCTTCTGTGGTTCCACGTTCTTTTCTCACAGAGGAAAGCATACCATGGTGGAAAGGGCACTTAATTGGAACCTGGAACCATGGGCTCTGGTCTCAGCTTGGCCATTAAAGAGGCAGGGGCTTAAGGGCAGATCACTGAGCCTCAGTTTCCTCCTCGAAGAGTACAAACGTTGGGTTTGGTGTTCTTTGACTACTTTATCACCCAGAGTCTAAAGGCGATGTAGTAAACCAATTCACACTAATTAATATTCCTAGGTAAGTGTGAGTAGGTCATTAGATATGTTGACATTTGCTGATGATGCTAATATTTACAAAGTCCTCATTCTATACCAGACATATCCATTGTTTAATTTCATCTTCACAACTTTTGATGTAGATGCTTCCTTTACTTTCATCTACAGATGGGGGACTCAGGCCAAGAAAGGTTACATAATTTGCCCCAAATCACAGAGAAGCTTATGGATCAAAGATCAGAACCTAGGAGGTCTGACTTCCAAATCCAAACTTGAACTGCTGCGCCCACTGGCTAGAGATAAGTCAACAGTTGAAATGAACAGGCTAATTGTTTCCCCCTCAAAGCACTGGAAAAAGGAAACAGCAGCTATTTGGAATGAGATTTTTGCATCCTGGTCTGCTAAAGATCATGGTCCTGAAAAACAGAGCATGGTATCTGAGAAATTAGTGTTCTTAGTTTATAGAAGGGCCCCTCCCTGTTCTATAGGACTAGCTAAAGGGTGGTAGAACCAGATTGAGCGTTAGAGCATTCTCCATCCCCTACACCTCTCTTTCCATTTTGGGTAACTTGAGGACATTCTCCACACTCCCTGCAAGATCTGTAAAGTACTTTAGGTGCTGTTAGCAAGGTTCAGAGGGTCACTACCAGCTGATCCCACTGCTTCTCACTGTTGGCCTGAAAAACAATTCCATTTAGATCTGGATTGCCTAAAAGTTTGTGTGTGTGTGTAAAGGGTGTAGAAGGATTACTACTAGACACGATTCTTCTCTTTTTTTAGAAAGAATAATTTGAAATACAAACAAAATAAGGCTGTGGGGTCTTATTCCCAGCAGCTGGCAGACTTTCACTTAATTAAACTACCGTGATTGCTTTATTCATATATTTTGCTTGCCCCCATTCTCTTCCTCTCTGACTCCTTATAAAAACAATACTATTTCATGAAGGGAGAAATTAAATGCTGTTAGTCTTTAAGACCAACACTAATTAACAGCATTTATTTTTACTGTGATTGCCTACGTGAAAGTATGCAAAAGTAAATTTATATTCTGAGAATGTGGTTGCTTTGGTCTGAAGCGGTAAAGGGAATTAACTGTTCCTGGGAACTCATCATTCTTTGCTTGAAATTCTCCAGAGAGCAGTGAAACACCAGTGCCAGGGGCAGAATATAGAAACAAGGGCCGAATGCTGTGGCCAATTGAGCTGCCAGCCACCAGTATGATCATTCTCAAATCCAGGTCTGACCTACTTTCTCTCCTGTTGCAAAACCTGAGATGGATCTCCTGCCTGCTGGGTCAAGGTGAAGCTCCTCAGCCTGGCATTTAAAACATTTTGCAGTCTGGCTCCCTCTCTCTCCAGCCTTATCTCCCTGTACTCACCACTGCATGCCAATGCTCCGATTGTAGCCCTGCCCCTCATCATTCTTTTTACATCTCTGTGGCTTTTTGGAAATGACTCCCTTTTGTTTTAAGGCCTTCCACACCCACCACACCCGTGCTACCTGGTGAGTCTTGTCATCCTTTAAATTGAAGGTTGGAGCTTGCCTTTTCTGTGCAGCCTGTCTGAACTCCCCCGGCAAAGTTAGTTTCTCCCTCCCCTGTGCTCCCACACTACTTTGCATATTTTTATCAGAGCATTTATCACAATGTATTGTAATGTTATTGGCATGGCTGTCTCCTTCATTAAACTGTGTCCTATTTATTCTTGTTATCCACTTCCAATTTCAGGGTCTGGCACAATCCTGTCACATAGAAATACTTAATAGATGCTTATTGAATGACTGAATTATGGCTGTTATTATATGTCAATTAATATTTACTGTGTGTTTACTATGTGCAAAGCCTCATGTGTGCTGTGTTTGCCTGTGTATTGAGAAAGGGAGAGACATATGTAATGTGGGTCACAGTCCTAAAGAAACATAAAATTCTGTGTGAGACAAAAAATTAAAAAGCAAAGCAGAAGGACCTAAACATTATACCTAGATACAGGTATAGTCAACCCTCCACATCTGTGGGTTCCACAACCATGGGATTCCACATCCGTGGATTCAATCAACTGTTGGTCCAAAATATTTGGGGAAAAAATGGTTGGTTGCATCTGTACTGAACATGTACAGACTTTTTCCTTGTCCTTATTCCCTAAACAATACAGGATAGCAATTATTTACATAGCATTTACATTGTATTAGCTATTATAAGGAATCTAGAGATGATTCAAAGTATACGAGAAGAGGTGTGTAGGTTATATGCAAATACTACTGTTATCGGGAAGGGGTCCTGATTCAGACGCCAAGAGAGGGTTCTTGGACCTCGTGCAAAAAAGAATTCAGGGCGAATCCATAGAGTAAAGTGAAAACAAGTTTATTAAGAAAGTAAAGGAATAAAAGAATGGCTACTCCAAAGACAGAACAGTGGCTTGGGCTGCTCGCTTATTATACTTATAGTTATTTCTTGATTATATGCTAAACAATGGATGGATTATTCATGAGTTTTCCGGGAAAGGGGTGGGCAGTTCCCAGAACTGAGGGTTCCTGCCCTTTTTAGATCATATAGGGTAACTTCTGGACATTGCCAGGGCATCTGTAAATTGTCATGGAGCTGGTGGAAGTGTCTTTTAGCATGCTAATGTATTATAATTAGCATATAATGAACAGTGAGGACAACCAGAAGTCACTTTCATCACCATCTTGGTTTTGGTGGGTTTTGGCCAGCTTCTTTACCGCAATCTATTTTCCTGTTTTAGCAGTAAGGTGTTTGTGACGTGTGTCTTGTGCCGACATCCTATCTCATCCTGTGCCTTAGAATGTCTAACCTACTGGGCATGCAGCCCAGTAGGTCTCAGCCTTATTTTACCCAGCCCCTATTCAAGATGGAGTAGCTCTGGTTCAAACACCTCTGACACTGCTGTATTTTATAAAAGGAACTTGAGCATCCATGGATTTTGGTATGGGCAGGGGGTCCTGGAACCAATTCCCCATGAAAACTGAGAGACAACTGTGTATAGTTATGAAAGCATGGAAGAGGGGAGAGTCATTTGAATTGGGGTTGGGGCAGGAGGGCAGCATCACAAAATAGGTGGCATAGGGTTTGATGGATATAGAAATAGTGGAGGGGAGAGGGAATCTAGATTGAGGAAACAGTAGGAACAAAGGCATGAAGATAAAGGCGTAGTAATTTCCATGGAACAAAAGGGCTGGAGAGTTCTGGTCTCACCATAACTAGGGAGATTGCATACTTTTAAAAAATCTGAAATAAATCCCATTAATATCAATAAGTACATTTTCCCTAGTTGCCTATATTTGCATCCTCTAAGCAGGAGTGGTGATTAATCATCTCCAAATTGCTCAAGGATATGAAACAGGGTGCTCATAAGTCTTTAGCAGCAGGAAATGCCTGTTGCAAATAAACTATTTACAATTTACTTTGTGAGCATCATTTCTGTTGGGACTGTGCAGCAGATAACAACAGTAGGTGTTAGCCCAGTCTTAACAGAAACACAAAGAAAATGTTTGTGACAACCATTTCCTATATCTATATATATAAAAAATACATTTTTTTTTTGAGACGGTGGATTCTTGCTCTGTCACTCAGGCTGGAGTGCAGTGGTGTGATCTCGGCTTACTGCAACCTCCGCCTCCCGGGTTCAAGCAATTCTCCTGCCTCAGCCTTCCAAGTAGCTGGGACTACAGGCGTGTGCCACCACACCCAGCTAATTTTTGTATTTTTAGTAGAGATGGGGTTTCACCACATTGGCCAGGCTGGTCTCGAACTCCTGACCTTGTAATTGGCCTGCCTTGGCCTCCCAAAGTGCTGGGATTACAGGTGTGAGCCACTGCTCCCAGTGTGACATTTTTTTTTTCTTTTAGAGACAGAGTCTCACTCTGTTGCCCAGGCTGGAATGCAATGGCACAATCATAGCTCCCTGCAGACTTGAACTACTGGGCTCAGGAGATCCTCCCACCACAGCCTCCCAAATAGCTGGGACTATAAGCACATATTGCCATAACCAGCTAAATAAAGTTTTTTTTTTTTTTTTTTTTTTTTTGTAGAGAACTGTCCTTGCCACATTGCCCAGGCTGGTCTTGAACTCCTGGTCTGAAGGAATCCTCCCACTTCAGTCTCCCAAAGTGCTGGGATTACAGACGTAAGCCACCATGCCCAGCCCAGTTTTAGGCTTTTAACATATACCCAGAAAGCACAAAGTTGATTAATAATTTACACTACAGTTATATTTTTAAAATTAAAAGAAACAACCCTAAAATGTGGCCCTTAGTATTTCTTTTCTTTCTTTTTTTTTAATTTTTGAGACAGAGTCTTGCTCTATCGCTCAGGCTGGAGTGCAGTGGCATGATCTCAGCTCACCGCAACCTCTGCCCCACCGGGGTCAAGTGATTCTTTTGCTTCAGCCTCCCAAGTAGCTGGGATTACAGGTGCACGCCACCACGCCTGGCTAATTTTTGTATTTTTAGTAGAGACGGGGTTTCACCATGTTGGTCAGGCTGCTCTGGAACTCCTGACCTCAAGTAATCCACCTGCGTGGACTCCCAAAGCGCTGGGATTACAGGCGTGAGCCACCATGCCTGGCTCAGTATTTCTTTATGAAAATAAAATATTAAAAAATCAAATATAAATGCTATAAATGAACCAA
The DNA here is from genome assembly GCF_000001405.40 of Homo sapiens. Taxonomy (NCBI): domain Eukaryota; kingdom Metazoa; phylum Chordata; class Mammalia; order Primates; family Hominidae; genus Homo; species Homo sapiens. The sequence goes on from NC_000002.12 coordinate 39,574,775, forward strand.
CCAGGAATTGTACATGGTCAGTTTCTAATTTCAGGATGGAAGGCGTTGAATTTGCTGTCATTTATGTTAAAAACTTGTAAACTTTAACTCATGGATCCACCATTATTAACAATATTCATAAAGTCCCCAGTGTGGCTTGTATAAAGTATGGCTTGTATAATGTGAGGCTTGTCAAAGCACTATTACATAGGCATTGTTGCTACATTATGGGTGCAATCATTTTATTTTATCTTATTTTATTTATTTATTTGTTTTTTATTATTCTTTAAGTTCTAGAGTACATGTGCACAACGTGCAGGTTTGTTACATATGTATACATGTGCCATATTGATGTGCTGCACCCATTAACTTGTCATTTACATTAGGTATATCTCCTAATGCTATCCCTCCCCCTCTCCCCCCACCCCACGACAGGCCCCAGTGTGTGATGTTCCCCTTCCTGTGTCCAAGTGTTCTCATTGTTCAGTTCCCACCTATGAGTGAGAACATGTGGTGTTTGGTTTTTGGTCCTTGCGATAGTTTGCTGAGAATGATGGTTTCCAGCTTCATCCATGTCCCTACAAAGGACATTAACTCATCCTTTTTTATGGCTGCATAGTATTCCATGGTGGATATGTGCCACATTTTCTTAATCCAGTCTATCATTGATGGACATTTGGGTTGGTTCCAAGTCTTTGCTATTGTGAGTAGTGCTGCAATAAACATACATGTGCATATGTCTTTATAGCATTATGATTTATAATCCTTTGGGTATATACCCAGTAATGGGATTGCTGGGTCAAATGGAATTTCTAGTTCTAGATCCCTGAGGAATCGCCACACTGTCTTCCACAATGGTTGAACTAGTTTACAGTCCCACCAACAGTGTAAAAGTGTTCCTATTTCTCCACATCCTCTCCAGCACCTGTTGTTTCCTGACTTTTTAATGATTGCCATTCTAACTGGTGTGAGATGATATCTCATTGTGGTTTTGATTTGCATTTCTCTGATGGGCAGTGATGATGAGCATTTTTTCATGTGTCTTTTGGCTGCATAAATGTCTTCTTTTGAGAAGTGTCCCTTCATATCCTTCACCCACTTATTGATGGGGTTGTTTTTTTCTTGTAAATTTGTTTGAGTTCTTTGTAGATTCTGGATATTAGCCCTTTGTCAGATAAGTAGATTGCAAAAATTTTCTCCCATTCTGCAGGTTGCCTGTTCACTCTGATGGTAGTTTCTTTTGCTGTGCAGAAGCTCTTTAGTTTAATTAGATCCCATTTGTCAATTTTGGCTTTTGTTGCCATTGCTTTTGGTGTTTTAGACATGAAGTCCTTGCCCATGCCTATGTCCTGAATGGTATTGCCTAGGTTTTCTTCTAGGGTTTTTATGGTTTTAGCTCTAACGTTTAAGTCTTTAATCCATCTTGAATTAATTTTTTGTATAAGGTGTAAGGAAGGGATCCAGTTTCAGCTTTCTACATATGGCAAGCCAGTTTTCCCAGCACCATTTGTTAAATAGGGAATCCTTTCACCATTTCTTGTTTTTGTCACGTTTGTCAAAGATCAGATAGTTGTAGATATGTGGTATTATTTCTGAGGACTCTGTTCTGTTCCATTGGTGAGTATCTCTGTTTTGGTACCAGTACCATGCAGTTTTGGTTACTGTAGCCTTGTAGTATAGTTTGAAATCAGATAGCATGATGCCTCCAGCTTTGTTCTTTAGGCTTAGGATTGACTTGGCAATGCAGGCTCTTTTTTGGTTCCATATGAACTTTAATATAGTTTTTTCCAGTTCTGTGAAGAAAGTCATTGGTAGCTTGATGGGGATGGCATTGAATCTATAAATTACCTTGGGCAGTATGGCCATTTTCACGATATTGATTCTTCCTATCCATGAGCATGGAATGTTCTTCCATTTGTTTGTGTCCTCTTTTATTTCATTGAGCAGTGGTTTGTAGTTCTCCTTGAAGAGGTCCTTCACATCCTTTGTAAGTTGGATTCCTAGGTATTTGATTCTCCTTGAAGCAATTGTGAATGGGAGTTCACTCATGATTTGGCTCTCTGTTTGTCTGTTATTGGTGTATAAGAATGCTTGTGATTTTTGCACATTGATTTTGTATCCTGAGACTTTGCTGAAATTGCTTGTCAGCTTAAGGAGATTTTGAGCTGAGACAATGGGGTTTTCTAGATATACAGTCATGTCATCTGCAAACAGGGACAGTTTGACTTCCTCTTTTCCTAATTGAATACCCTTTATTTCTTTCTCCTGCCTAATTGCCCTGGCCAGAACTTCCAACACTATGTTGAATAGGAGTGGTGAGAGAGGGCATCCCTGTCTTGTGCCAGTTTTCAAAGGGAATGCTTCCAGTTTTTGCCCATTCAGTATGATAGTGGCTGTGGGTTTGTCATAAATACCCATTATTTTTAGATACGTCCCATCAATACCTAATTTATTGAGAGTTTTTAGCATGAAGGGTTGTTGAATTTTGTCAAAGGCCTTTTCTGCATCTATGGAGATAATCATGTGTTTTTTGTCTTTGGTTCTGTTTATATGCTGGATTACGTTTATTGATTTGCGTATGCTGAACCAGCCTTGCATCCCAGGGATGAAGCCCACTTGATCATGGTGGATAAGCTTTCCAATGTGCTGCTGGATTCAGTTTGCCGGTATTTTACTGAGGATTTTTGCATGGATGCTCATCAGGGATATTGGTCTAAAGTTCTCTTTTTTTGTTGTATCTCTACCAGGCTTTGGTATCAGGATGATGCTGGCTTCATAAAACGAGTTAGGGAGGAGTCCCTCTTTTTCTATTGATTGTAATAGTTTCAGAAGGAATGGTAGCAGCTCCTCCTTGTACCTCTGGTAGAATTCAGCTGTGAATCCGTCTGGTCCTGGACTTTTTTTGGTTGGTAAGCTATTAATTATTGCCTCAATCTCAGAGCCTGTTATTGGTCTATTAAGAGATTCAACTTCTTCCTGGTTTAGTCTTGGGAGGGTGTATGTGTCGAGGAATTTATCCACTTCTTCTAGATTTTCTAGTTTATTTGCGTAGAGGCGTTTATAGTATTCTCTGACGGAAGTTTGTATTTCTTTGGGATCAGTGGTGATATCCCCCTTATCATTTTTTATTGCATCTATTTGATTCTTCTCTCTTTTCTTCTTTATTAGTCTTGCTAGCAGTCTATCAATTTTGTTGATCTTTTCAGAAAACCAGCTCCTGGATTCATTGATTTTTTGAAGGGTATTTTTGTGTCTCTATCTCCTTTAGTTCTCCTCTGATCTTAGATATTTCTTGCCTTCTGCTAGCTTTTGAATGTGTTTGCTCTTGCTTCTCTAGTTCTTTTAATTGTGATGTTAGGGTGTCCATTTTAGATCTTTCCTGCTTTCTCTTGTGGGCATTTAGTGCTATAAATTTCCCTCTACACACTGCTTTGAATGCGTCCCAGAGATTCTGGTATGTTGTGTCTTTGTTCTCGTTGGTTTCAAAGAACATCTTTATTTCTGCCTTCATTTCGTTATGTACCCAGTAGTCATTCAGGAGCAGGTTGTTCAGTTTCCATGTAGTTGAGAGGTTTTGAGTGAGTTTCTTAATCCTGAGTTCTAGTTTGATTGCACTGTGGTCTGAGAGACAGTTTGTTATAATTACTGTTCTTTTACATTTGCTGAGGAGTGCTTTACTTCCAAGTATGTGGTCAATTTTGGAATAGGTGCAGTGTGGTGCTAAGAAGAATGTATATTCTGTTGATTTGGGGTGGAGAGTTCTGTAGATGTCTATTAGGTCTGCTTGGTGCAGAGCTGAATTCAGTTCCTGGATATTCTTGTTAACTTTCTGTCTCACTGATCTGTCTAATGTTGACAGTGGGGTGTTAAAGTCTCCCATTATTATTGCGTGGGAGTCTAAGTCTCTTTGTAGGTCTCTAAGGACTTGCTTTGTGAATGTGGGTGCTCCTGTATTGGGTGCATATATATTTAGGATAGTTAGCTCTTCTTGTTGAATTGATCCCTTTACGCTTATGTAATGGCCTTGTCTCTTTTGGTCTTTTTTGATTTAAAGTCTGGTTTATCAGAGACTAGGATTGCAACCCCTGCCTTTTTTTTTGTTTTCCATTTGTTTGGTAGATCTTCCTCCATCCCTTTATTTTGAGGCTATGTGTGCCTCTGTACATGAGATGGGTTTCCTGAATACAGCACACTGATGAGTCTTGACTATTTATCCAATTTGCCAGTCTGTGTCTTTTAATTGGAGCATGTAGCCCATTTACATTTAAGCTTAATATTGTTATGTGTGAATTTGATCCTGTCATTACGTTAGCTAGTTATTTTGCTCATTAGTTGATGCAGTTTCTTCCTAGCATTGATGGTCTTTACAATTTGGCATGTTTTTGCAGTAGCTGGTACCGGTTTTTCCTTTCCATGTTTAGTGCTACCTCTAGGAGCTCTTGTAGGGCAGGCCTGGTGGTGAGAAAATCTCTCAGCATTTGCTTGTCTGTAAAGGATTTTATTTCTCCTTCACTTATGAAGCTTAGTTTGGCTGGATATGAAATTCTGGGTTGAAAATTCTTTTCTTTAAGAACGTTGAATATTGGCCCCACTCTCTTGTGGCTTGTAGGGTTTCTGGCGAGAGATCAGCTGTTAGTCTGATGGGCTTCCCTTTGTGGGTAACTCGACCTTTCTGTCTGGCTGCCCTTAACACTTTTTTCCTTCATTTCAACTTTGGTGAATCTGACAATTATGTGTCTTGGAGTTGCTCTTCTCGAGGAGTATCTTTGTGGCATTCTCTGTATTTCCTGAATTTGAATGTTGGCCTGCCTTGGTAGGTTGGGGAAGTTCTCCTGGATAATATCCTGCAGAGTGTTTTCCAACTTGGTTCCATTCTCCCCATCACTTTCAGGTACACCAATCAGAGGTAGATTTGGTCTTTTCTCATAGTGCCGTATTTCTTGGAGGCTTTGTGCGTTTCTTTTTATTCTTTTTTCTCTAAACTTCTCTTCTTGCTTCATTTCATTCATTTGATCTTCAATCACTGATACCCTTTCTTCCAGTTGATCAAATCGGCTACTGAAGCTTGTGCATTCTTCACATAGTTCTCGTGCCATGGTTTTCAGCTCCATCAGGTCCTTTAAGAACTTCTCTGCATTGGTTATCCTAGTTGGCCATTCGTCTAATCTTTTTTCAAGGTTTTTAACTTCTTTGCGATGGGTTCAGACTTCCTCCTTTAGCTCGGAGAAGTTTGATCATCTGAAGCCTTCTTCTCTCAACTCGTCAAAGTCATTCTCCATCCAGCTTTGTTCCATTGCTGGTGAGGAGCTGCGTTCCTTTGGAGGAGGAGAGGCACTCTGATTTTTAGAATTTTCATTTTTTCTGTTCTGTTTTTTCCCCATCTTTGTGGTTTTATCTACCTTTGGTCTTTGATGATGGTGACGTACAGATGGGGTTTTGGTGTGGATGTCCTTTCTGTTTGTTAGTTTTCCTTCTAACAGTCAGGACCCTCAGCTGCAAGTCTGTTGGAGTTTGCTAGAGGTCCACTCCAGACCCTGTTTGCCTGGGTATCAGCAGCGGAGGCTGCAGAACAGCGAATATTGCTGAACAACAAAGGTTGCTGTCTGATCGTTTCTCTGGAGGTTTCATCTCAGAGGGGTTCCCTACTGTGTGAGGTGTCAGTCTGCCCCTACTTTGGGGTGCTTCCCAGTTAGGCTACTCGGGGGTCAGGGACCCATTTGAGGAGGCAGTCTGTCCATTCTCAGATCTCAAACTCCGTGCTGGGAGAACCACTACTCTCTTCAAAGCTGTCAGACAGGGACATTTAAGTCTGCCTAGGTTTCTGCTGCCTTTTGTTTGGCTATGCCCTGCCCCCAGTGGTGGAGTCTACAGAGGCAGGCAGGCCTTCTTGAGCTGCAGTGGGCTCCACCCAGTTCGAGCTTCCTGGCCGCTTTGTTTACCTACTCAAGCCTCAGCAATGGCAGGCACCCCTCCCCCAGCCTCGCTGCCACCTTGCAGTTCGATCTCAGACTGCTGTGCTAGCAATGAGTGAGGCTCTGTGGGTGTGGGACCCTCTGGGCCAGGCGTGGGATATAATCTCCTGGTGTGCCGTTTGCTAAGACCATTGGAAAAGCTCAGTATTAGTGTGGGAGTGACCTGATTTTCCAGGTGCCGTCTTTCACAGCTTTGCTTGGCTATGAAAGGGAATTCCCTGACCCCTTGCACTTCCTGGGTGAGGCGATGCCTTGCCCTGCTTCGGCTTACGCTCGGTGCACTGCACCCACTGTCCTGCACCCACTTTCCGACACTCCCCAGTGAGATGAACCCGGTACCGCATTTGGAAATGCAGAAATCACCTGCCTTCTGTGTCGCTCACCCTGGGAGCTATAGACTGGAGCTGTTCCTATTCGGCCATCTTGGAACTGTGCCCCCGATAACTGATCATTTTTAGACTCTTCTGTGTTCATGCCTTCAAGGACTTGCAGATGTCAGAATAAAGATAACCAACTGACAATGATCTCTTGCATTTCCTCCTTACCCTTTTCAAATAAACATTACCTTTACCTTCTTTTTAAAATTCTATCAATATTGGCAGGGCGTGGTGGCTCACGCCTGTAATCCCAGCACTTTGGGAGGCCAAGATGGGTGGATCACGAGGTCAAGAGATCGAGACCATTCTGGCCAACATGGTGGAACCCCGTGTCTACTAAAAGCACAAAAATTAGCTGGGCATGGTGGTGCGCACCTGTAGTCTCAGCTACTCAGGAGGCTGAGGCAGGAGAATTGCTTGAACCCGGGAGGCGGAGGTTGCAGTGAGCGAAGATCACGCCACTGTACTCCAGCCTGGTGACAGTGTGAGGCTTAGTCTCAAAAAAAATTATATCAATATTAATGTCCTGATTTTTATTGATATATAATAGTTGTACATATTTTGGGGGCACATGTGATATTTTGATATATGTATACAATGTGTAATTATCAAATCAGGGTAATTGGGATATCCATCACTTCATTTATCTTTGTTTGTATTGGGAACATTACAATTTTTTTCTTTTAGCTTTTTTGAGATATACAATAAATTATTGTTAACTATAATTTCCCTCCCATACTATTGAATGCTATGACGTATTTCTTCTATCTAACTATATTTTTGTACCCTTAACCAAGTTCTCTTGTTCCCCTCTCCCCTCTTCCTTTCTCAGCCTCTCATAACCACAGTTTTACTCTCTATCTCCATGAGATCCAGGTTTTAGCTCCCACATGTGAATAAGAACATTGTCTTTCTGTGCCTGGCTTATTCACATAACATAAGATCCTCCAGTTCCATCCATGTTGGTGCAAATGACAAGATCTCATTCTTTTTTAACGGCTGAATAACATTCCATTGTGTATATACACCACATTTTCTTTATCCATTCATCCACTGATGGACACAAAGGTTGATTCTATAGCTTTGCTATTGTGAATAGGGCTGCAATAAACATGAGTGTACAGATGTTTCTTTGATATACTGATTTACTTTTTAAAAATATGTATCCAGCAGTCGAATTACTGTATCATATGTTCTATTTTTAGTTTTTTGAGGAACCTTCATACCATTATCCATAATGGCCATACTAATTTACATTTCTACTTACAGTGTATGAGCATTCCCCTTTCTCCACACACTTGCCAGCCTCTGTTTTGTTTTTGTTTTTGTTTTTTTGTTTTTGTCTTTTTAGTAATAGCCATTCTAATAGATGATATCTCACTGTGGTTTTGATTTACATTTCCCTGATGATTAACGATGTTGGGCATTTTTTTGTATACCTCTTGGCTATTTGTATGTCTTCTTATTTTTTACTTAAAAATTTTTTTTCCTTTTTTTTGTCTTAGTTCATTTTATGTTGCTTATAACACCATTTGTATGTCTTCTTTTGAGAAATGATTATTTGGGTCTTTTGACCATTTTAAAATCAGAGTATTTGTTTTTGCTTTTTGCTATTGATTTGTTTGAGTACCTTATGTATTCTGGTTATTAACCTTTTATAGGAGAGATTGTTTGCAAATATTTTCTCCATTCTGTGGGTTGTCTTTTCACTTTGTTGACTGTTTCCTTTGCTGTGGCAGAAGCTTTTTAGCTTGATATAATCCCATTTGTCTCTTTTTGCTTTAGTTGCCTGTGCTTTTGAGGTCTTATGCAAAAAATCTTTGCCCAGACCAATGTCCTGGAGCATTTCTCCAATGTTTTCTTCTAGTAGTTTTATAGTTTCAGGTCTTATGTTTTAACCTTTAATCCATTTTGAGTTGACTTATTTACATGGTGAAAGATGGGGATCTAGCTTCATTCTTTTGCATTTGCCTTTCAGTTTTCCTAGCACCATTTATTAAAGACACTGTCCTTTCCCCGAGGGATGTTCTTGCCACCTTTGTTGAAAATGAGTTGGCTGCAAGTGTGTGGATTTATTTTGGGGTCTCTATTCTGTTTCATTGGTCTATTCCCTCATTTTCCCTTTTTCAGTTTTTCATAGCCCGGTGAAGTAAATAGAGCATGAAAAATGATCCTCACTTTATAGGTGAAAAAATCAAAAGGCAGAAGTGATAAATAAATCACTTACACTCACACAACTGGTTGTTGCCATGGAGAGAGCCAGAACTCTTGCCTTCTGACATCTTGGCTGTTGCTGCACTATGGTGCTCATGAATAAATTTACCTCATATAGAGTGTTGTAGAGATGGGAGCAAGAGTAATATGATTGCCATAGAGATCAGTATAAGAAAGGATGCCAATTTCATGATAGAGGGGAATGACTCGGAGAAAGCCTTTAGTTCACCTCTAAGGACCAGGCCCACTAGCATGGATATATCTGATGTTCATGCAGTGGACATATTCCCACTAAAATTTGAATTTAAAAATCTCCAGGTGTTTCATAGGTAACCAAATAGCATCACATTTCCAGGGCAGAAGACAATAACAGCAATCATCAGGAATGCCTGTGGAATGCTCAGTCTGGACCAGGTGCTGCATTAAGAGCTTTGTACCCATCATGTCCTTTAATAACTACCCTGTGAGGAAGGTACTAGGACTGTTCTTGTTTTACAGCTGAGGAAATCGAAGCTTAAGTGGTTTGTCAAGGTCTTAAAACTAATAAACCACAGAGCTGAGAATGAACCCGAGTAGCCTGTCCCCAAATCCCATGTGTTTCCACGACATTATTTCCAGCTCCTGCGTATCAACTGTAATGTCTGTGAGGCAGAGGAATGTGGGGTGGACCTGACCCTTAAGATTGAGTTCAGTGGTTAGACTGCATCTGAGAAGGCAGATTCCAGCGGGGCAGCCTCAGTAAAAGGAGCCTGGCACCCACCAAGGCTTTTCTCCTGCGGCCTCTCCTGTAGTGCTCTGTCTCAACAGACAAATCTGTTGGTAAATGGCAGCAGAGTGTCAAGGAACAAACTATGATTTTCTTACCCCTCTTTCCCTCTTGTTGTTCAGAAGTTTATTTCTGCTTGTTGGTTCCTTTTCAGAAGTGATTTTCTAGATCTTGATGTGGTCGCCAGTAGAATTAGGTTTCCATCTTCCTGAATTTTTACCATGTTTTCTAACTTTAGAAGACTCACTGCTTCTGAAGAGACAAATAAAATATTCCTTAGACATGGGATGTGTAGAGCCTTCTCTCAGTGGAGTGTGCTTTCTGTTCATCCCACGTCCTGCCTCAGTTCCTAAAGCATAGGTGAGAAGCAAAGCCAGCGGTTCTCCTGAGAACCCATCATTTGTTCTCTAGTGACCTGATTCATTCCTTGTGACTCTCAAAAATGCTATGCAGCAGCCCTTTGAAATGAAATGCTTTTCTATTGAACTAGAAAATAATCACATCCTCCCATTTACTCTTTAGGGTACAAATTGATCTGACTTGATTTGTCAGAGAGCCAGAACTGCAGGCAAATAGACGCCAGAGAAATCAACCAATCTTTTAAGCCAGCAGTAATTGTTCCTCCTGTCGGCTGGCTAAATGACTTGTATCTGGAGGAGACGCTCAGAATGAATCAGAATGCTTGAGGTGACAGAAACACAGAGCATTCCAAAGTGGGCTGTAACAGAGTGAGTGTTTCTTCATGTCTTACAAGAGTTTGGTTTCATGTTTTTTCCCCTTTCCCTCTTATTCTGTCTCCTGGGGCTAGTGTTATCTGGCAGAGACCAAGCTGAAGCATGTATATAATAGCAAGGAATAGTAGTTTGTGTGGGGATGAGGGGAGGTGAGTACTAGTATTTAATTCTAGAATATACTTACCTGTATCTCAGTCATTAAACCCAGGAAGTCCCTATAGAATAGGTACCACCCAAGAGGGGGTAAAATCCCTTTGCTGGTGAGCTGTCCATCATTTTTTTTTTTTTTTGAGACAGAGTCTCACTCTGTTGCCTAGGCTGGAGTACAATGGCACAATCTCAGCTCACTGCAGCCTCCGCCTCCTGATGAGAGGTGACAGCGTGCTGGCAGTCCTCAGAGCCCTCGCTTGCTCTTGGCACCTCCTCTGCCTGGGCTCCCACTTTGGCAGCATTTGAGGAGCCTTTCAGCCCACCACTGCACTGTGGGAGCCCCTTTCTGGGCTGGCCAAGGCTGGAGCCCACTCCCTCAGCTTGCGGGGAGGTGTGGAGGGAGAGACGCGAACGGGAACCGGGGCTGCGCACGGCGCTTGCGGGCCAGCTGGAGTTCCGGGTGGGCGTGGGCTTGGAGGGTCCCGCACTCAGAGCCCTGCTGGCCCCAGGCAGTGGGGGGCTTAGCACCCGGGCCAGCAGCTGCGGAGGGTGTACTGGGTCCCCCAGCAGTGCCAGCCCACCGGCGCTGTGCTCGATTTCTCGCCGAGCCTTAGCTGCCTTCCCGCAGGGCAGGGCTCGGGACCTGCAGCCCGCCATGCCTGAGCCTTCCCCTGCCTCCGTGGGTTCCTGTGCAGCCCGAGCCTCCCCGACGAATACCACCCCCTGTTCCATGGCGCCCAGTCCCATCGACCACCCAAGGGCTGAGGAGTATGAGCGCATGGCGCGGGACTGGCAGGCAGCTCCACCTGCAGCCCCGGTGCGGGATCCACTGGGTGAAGTCAGCTGGGATCCTGAGTCTGGTGGGGATGTGGAGAGTCTTTATATCTAGCTCAGGGATTGTAAATACACCAATCAGCACCCTGTGTTCAGCTCAAGGTTTGTGAGTGCACCAATCGACACTCTGTATCTAGCTGCTCTGGTGGGGCCTTGGAGAACCTGTGTGTCCAAACTCTGTATCTAACTAATCTGATGGGGACGTGGAGAAACTTTGTATCTAGCTCAGGGATTGTAAACGCACCAATCAGCGCCCTGACAAAACAGGCCACTAGGCTCTACCAATCAGCAGGATGTGGGTGGGGCCAGATAAGAGAATAAAAGCAGGCTGCCCGAGCCAGCATTGGCAACCCGCTCGGGTCCCCTTCCACGCTGTGGAAGCTTTGTTCTTTTGCTTTTTGCAATAACTCTTGCTACTGCTCACTCTTTGGGTCCACACTGCTTTTATGAGCTGTAACACGCACGGCGAAGATGTGCAGCTTCACTCCTGAGCCCAGCGAGACCACGAGCCCACTGGGAGGAAGGAAGAACTCCAGACGCACTACCTTAAGAGCTGTAACATTCACCGCCAAGGTCTGCAGCTTCACTCCTGAGCCCAGCGAGACCACGAACTCACCAGAAGGAAGAAACTCTGGACACATCTGAACATCAGAAGGGAGAGAGTCCAGACGCGCCACCTTAAGAGCTGTAACACTCACCGTGAGGGTCCGCGGCTTCATTTTTGAAGTCAGTGAGACCAAGAACCCACCAATTCCGGACACACTGGGTTCAAGTGATTCTCGTGCCTCAGCCTCCCGAGTAACTGGGATTACACGCATGTCCTACCCCGCCCAGCTAATTTCTGTATTTTTAGTAGAGACAGGCTGGTCTCAAATTCCTGACCTCAAGTGATCCGCCTGCCTCGGCCTCCCAAAGTGGTGGGATTACAGGCATGAGCCACTGCGCCCGGCCCCTTTGTTTTTAAATTAAAAAAAAAATTGAAATAGTTTGAACATACAGGAAAACTGCAAAATATAATTTACACTCATGTACAAACTACCTAGATTTAAGAGGTACTATCTTGTCATATTAGCATTGGTTCTCTTTTTTTTTCTTCCTTCTTCCCTCTCTCCCTCTTTTCTTCCCTCCTTTCCTTCTTTTGAAACAAAATGTTGCAGTATAGCTAAATGTCCATTCTTTTATCACATTGTTTTATTTATTTGTCTTCCTTTCCAGAGGGAGCTGATATCATAAGGTTAGAATTTATCTTTCTTGTTCATTAAAATTACCTTATATATATGCAGAAATAATATGCAGTGCTCTTTGGGGGTTGGTTTTTAATATTAACTTATTTGGTGTATTTTATATGTGTTCTTTTACATCTTTTTTACATATGATGTTTTGTTGGGATTTTTCCATGCTGATACTAATAGGTCTAGTACGATTGTTTTAACTGCTGCATTGAATTGCTTTATATGACTAAACCCAACTTTATTTAACTTTACTGTTATGAACATGTTTTTTCCTACTACAAACAATGCTGCAATACTTGTGAGGTCTCTTCAGGCCCAGGGGTAAGGTTTTTTTTCTACAGGGTATATATTTAAGAGCGGAATTGCTGGGTTACAAAATTGGCTTTTCTTCAACTTTACTAGCTGTTATCGAATTGTTAAACTGTGCACTTAAAAATAGTTTATACAACATCCCCCTAAAGGATAGACCAAAAAGGAATAAGATGTAGGAACTGAATAGCAAAAAGATGTAACAAAAAAACTAGTTCAGTAAAGCACATTATGTTTATTTTCTGTAACCTGGTCCATGATATTTATGGTGGTATTTCCTTTCTTGAAATAAGACACTAATGCAATCTGTATCCTAATTGAGATAAAATAGTGCCTGAACTACCATCTCTATACTATTCCACTATAAATAGACAAAGCAAGTAGCTGGGTAAGAACTCCTAAGTTATCCCTCTGAGCCCCAGACTTTCATTCCATAACTTTATCTTCAAACTTAGTTGCAATATGTGCCCAGGATGGGAAAGTAGCTTCATTTTGCAATCATCTATGAAATCTGAAGAAAACCAGGTCTTGAAAAAGTGGAATGTACCAATCCCCTGGAAGATATCAGAGTATCTGGTGCAGGTCACAGAAACCTCTGACCATCATAAATAGAAACTGAAAAAAGATCTTTATTTCATGGTGTAACCAGCCTGTGAGTACACGTTCAGACACACTCATTTTTATGCTTCCATTTACAGGGGTTCTAAACCCTATAGGCTTATGCTAAACTTCCACCCCCTTCCCCTCAGTTATTTCAAGGTAGTCCCCAAGGTGTTGGCTCATCACATGTGCTGAGAAACAAGTTTGCTCGTGTGATGCCTTGGCTTCTTTGTCAGGGGACTGCACCCTGAGTTGGCCCTCAGTGAGAATGGGACTCCATTAGGCACATCCATATTCTTCCCTTCTTAGGAAGCCAGAGCTATCCGTATGTGTGGCAGGGTTGGGATAGGGTGAGAAAGGGAGCAGGACCTTTTCTCCAGCTCTGCCTCTCAGGCTCTAAAGCAGCACACATGTGCCCAGCTTTGCTGCCATAGGGTTGGAGTCGGGGTGGGGAAAATGTTACTGCATCCTCGCCATTGTAACCCTATTTCCTGTCTTTCCTCCTAGGCACCCTGTCTCAGCACTCTCCCAACTTTGTCCCCAGGCAGTGAGTGCTTCATGGCCAGAGAGAGATAGGACTGAACCCTCGTACCTTCAAACATATCTAAATCTCTGGTGCAGTTCAGGTGAGACAGCCTGCTAAATAGAGTCACTAAAGACACAAGGAGGCCCTTTGGGGGACATTCATTATTTTCCTCCCATGGCAGATCAGCAACAAAAGCACATGAAGACACCAGCCTTGTTTTGACTGGAGAACAGATCTGTGCATGTAAAGAAGAAATAGCTTGATTGGGGTTAAATCAAAGCTTTGAACATTTCTTTTTTTTTTTTTGAGACAGAGTCTCACTCTGTCACCCAAGCTGGAGTGTAGTGGCACAATCTTGGCTCACTGCAACCTCTGCCTCCCTGGCTCAAGTGATTCTCCCGCCTCAGCCTCCCAAGTAGCTGTGATTAAAGGCACACGCCACCATTCCCGGCTGATTTTTTGGTATTTTAGTAGAGATGAGGTTTCACCATGTTGCCCAGGGTGGTCTCGAACTCCTGAGCTCAGGCAATCTGCCCACCTTGGCCTCCCAAAATGCTGGGATTACAGGTGTGAGCCACCGTGCCCAGCCCTCTGAACATTTCTTAAAAATGGAATCATGGCTGGACGCGGTGGCTCACGCCTATAATCCCAACACTTTGGGAGGCCAAGGCAGGAGGATTACTGAGCCCAGGAGTTCAAGATCAGCTTGGGCAATATAGCGAGACTTCATCTCTACAAAATAATAATAAAAAAAATTAGCCAGGCATGGTGGTGCACACTTGCAATCCTAGCTACTTGGGAGTCTGAGGCAGGAGACTTGCTTGAACCTGGGAGGTCAGGACTGTAGTGAGCCATGATTGTACCACTGCACTCCAGCCTGGGCAATATAGTGACTTCATCCCAAAACAGAAAACAAAAACACACAGGATCACGTTTGAAGAGATCTTAGGTGTTATCTAGTTCACCATCCTGTCTATTTTGATTATCTACTGTTTTGTTACAAACCACCCTAAAATTTAGTGACTTAATAGTGATTCATTGTTTTGCTTTTTTTTTAATATTTGTTTTTTTTATTTTTTATTTTTATTTTTTTAAATTTTATTATTATTATACTTTAAGTTTCAGGGTACATGTGCACAATGTGCAGGTTAGTTACATATGTATACATGTGCCATGCTGGTGTGCTGCACCCATTAACTCATCATTTAGCATTAGGTATATCTCCTAAAGCTATCCCTCCCCACTCCCCCCACCCCCCAACAGTCACCAGAGTGTGATGTTCCCCTTCCTGTGTCCATGTGTTCTCATTGTTCAATTCCCACCTATGAGTAAGAATATGCAGTGTTTGGTTTTTTGTTCTTGCGATAGTTTACTGAGAATGATGTTTTCCAATTTCATCCATGTCCCTACAAAGGATATGAACTCATCATATTTATGGCTGCATAATATTCCATGGTGTATATGTGCCACATTTTCTTAATCCAGTCTATCATTGTTGGACAGATTCATTGTTTTTCACAGTTCTGTGGGTTGGCTGAATGGCTTCTCTGCTGTTTTCACCTGGACTGACTTACGTGGCTGTGTTGAATTGGAGGGTCCCGGATGGCCTCATTCATAGGTGTCGCAGATGGCACTGACTGGTGGCTGGAGTGCCTTGGTTCTCCTTTTAGCCTCTTATCCTCTGGAAGGCTTCCTTACATGGTCAGTCTCAGCGCAGCACTTAAAGAGGACGGAAACTACAAGGCTTCTGGAACTCATACAACCACGTACTTGTCACATTCAATTGGTCAAAACAAGTCAGAAGGCTGGCCCAGAGTCAAGATGGAGAAATAGACTCCACCTCTTGATGGGAGTTGTTGCAAAATATCGTGGCCACTCAATCCTAGCTATAGCATCTCTGATGGTTGTTCAAATTAAATAAGGCTAGTGAAGGGGTTCTTTTTCTTTCTTGAGTCAACTTGTTTCATATAGACCACCCACAGTCTTTTCCTTTTGGATGAACACCCCTTTGGTTCAAAATAAGCATCAAGGACTCACGCATTCTTATTCATTACTGCGGATATGAAACCTGTAGGGGATGAATAAGGAAACTGTGCCTTTAGGACACATGGATGGAATAACTTATTTTGTCTAAGCTACACTTGAGCTAGATGTGCCTTCTGGGGAGGCAACCTTGTTCTGGCTAAGCTGGGCCAGTGTAGAGCTGAGGGGAAATAAAACATATGAGCTGAGTGCACCTGTCTCTGGCTTAGATTTTAAGGGAGAAAGAGAAAGGGGGCCCTTGAGGTTTCTGTGCTATTCAGCTGCAGGAGAACAGGGAAGTTAGTTGGAGAGGAAGCCCTGGTCCAGAATAAAGGGTGCCCAGGGCTAAAAATCTCAGGAAATTTTGTGTTGTCGTAAGTATCTGGATGGCATGCAGATCCAGGGGAAGCAAGAGGATACAAACATACTTTTGGTCTAGTGCTCTGTTACTCACAGTGTGTTCATTGGGTCACCAGGAGAATCTTGGGCCCACTGTGTTTTAATAAGATCACCAAATAACTCATCTGCTCATTAAAATTTGAGGCACACTGACTTAGAGAGCCTTCCCCCAATGGGGGGACTCATGTAAATCTGGTCTTATTTCTAAAAAAGAACTAGGTTTGGTACCACTCAAGGCTTTCTGGGAACAGAGAGGATGCAGCTTTACTGTCTGTAGGTACCTGTAAACCACGGCCCTTTTTTCTGAGCAGGGGTTTAAACTTTTTTTTTAAAAGCAGTTTTAGTGAGATATAATTCACATACCATGCAATTCACTATTTGAAAGTGCACAATTCGATGGTTTTAAAAAAATATTCACAGATATGTGTAACCACTACCACAGTCAACTTTAGAACATTTTCATGATCTCAAGAAGAAATCCCATATTCTTTAGCTATCACCCCCCTCCCCACTCTCCCATCCCTGATCTCCCCAGTTTTTGTAGCCATTAATCTACTTTCTGTCTCCATGTATTTCCCTATTCAGGACTTTCATGTGAATGGAATCATATAGTATGTGGTTCTTAACCATTTTTCTGGGTAATGGACACCCATTGAAACTCCTGGAAGCCATAAACCTGCTCCCCAGAACACAAATGACAAGTATAGTCACCCAAAATTTCATGAATATTCTGAATGCTTAGTTTAGAGAGCTGAGCCTAGATTAAGAACTCATGCCCTGTGGCCAGTCAAAGCAGGTAGTTGTAAGTGGGTCCTGATCTAATTGGAGCAACATTGACAGGGATGGGACTGCACAGGGATAGGTCACACAAGGTCATCATCACTCCAAGGTGGAAAGTGACTAAAGCAAAGGACAGGCACCAAGTGTTTACAGAGCTAAAGGAACTGTGTTTATAACACATAGTTTGCCAAGGAGGGGGAGATGGTGAACAGATGTGTCATTTGCAATTATTCCTAAAGATGTTAATTATGCAAATGAATCTCTGATTAGGGTTCTAAAAAAAGAACCCTATATATTATGGGGTGTTGGATGTGTACAATCAAGCATGCTTGCTGACTGTTCATCCTGGTAATCACTGTTGGTGCCAGATTTATCACCTGTAGCTCTTGTTTTCAACGTGAGCTGGAAAGGGGTTCTATGGGCATTTTCCAACTACAGAATATTAAAGTTGGAAAGTGATATCTGAGATCATGGAGTACAGCTCTGTCCTTGTTCAGAGGCAGAAACTGAGATCCAGAGAAATTATGTGACTTGTCACTAGCAGAGCAAGGATAAGAGCCCATATCTTTTATATCATTGATTCCCTTTCCCTTGCCTTATTGCATCAAACAAGGTGTAAGTCAACTCTCAATTTTCCCGTCAGGTTCTACCTGAAATCTATGTGGAGCGAGGGCCAAGGGAATGATGTGAACAAATATTTCCCTTACCTACTCAGCAAGTGCATGTGAGTGTGTGTGTTTGTGGGGGAAGGAACAGGGGGAGAGTAAGTGACTAGGATAACACAAAGGCTATATTTTATTTATTTATTTATTTTATTTTATTTTTTGAGATAGAGTCTCACTCTGTCACCCAGGCTAAAGTGCAATGGTGTGATCTCAGCTCACTGCAACCTCTGCCTCCCGGGTTCAAGCGATTCTCCTACCTCAGCCTCCTGAGTAGCTGGGATTACGGGTACCCCACCAAGCCCAGCTAATTTTTTTATTTTTAGTAGAGACAGAGTTTCACCATGTTGGCCAGGCTGGTCTTGAACTCTTGACCTCAGGTGATCCTCCTGCCTTGGCCTCCCAAAGTGCTGAGATTACAGGTGTGAGCCGCTGCGCCTGGCCAAAGCCTATATTTAGACCATGCTATTCAATAGAGTAGCTACTAGTCATCTGTGGCTATTTAAATTAAATTTAATAAAAATTAAATAAAATTTAAAAATCAGTTCCTCCGTTGCAGTCACATTTCAAATGTGCAGTAGCTACTTGTGGCTAGTGGCCACATTTCCGTCACTGTAAAGTCCTATTGGACAGGGATTTCTAGAATTTAGAGCCAGATTTTCTGAGTCTGAATCCCAGTCCCAGCCCTTATAGTAAAAGCTTGCCTGGGTTATTTAATGTTCCCAAGCCTCAGTTTCTTCTTCTGTAAAATGGTATCTGCCTCAGTGGTTTGCTATGAAAATTATGAATGTAAGTAAGAAAACATGTATCCAACTCTTAGCAAAAGAACCTTATATTTACTAAGCACTAAATAATGATTATCAGTAAGTAGCTTAGCTTCATGCTTAGACTGTGCAATTGGCTGGGCGCGGTGGCTCATGCCTGTAATCCCAGCGCTTTGGGAGGGTGAGGCGGGTGGATCACTTGAGGTCAGGAGTTTGAGACCAGCCTAGGTCAACATGGCAAAACCCCATCTCTACTAAAACTGCAAAAATTAGCTGGGCGTGGTGGTGCACACCTGTAATCCCTGCTACTCTGGAGGCTGAGGCAGGAGAATCTGTTGAACCTGGGAGACAGAGGTTACAGTGAGCCAAGATCGTGCCATCGCACTCCAGCCTGGGTGACAGGGCAAGACTGTCTCAAAAAAAAAAAAAAAAAAAGAAAGAAAGAAAGAAAGAAAAAAGACCATTCAGTCTCTTCTAATTGGAATGATGCAACTTGTTCTCTGGAAGAGTAAGAAGTTACTTGCCCGGGGCACTGGGACTCCAGGAAAGCTAAGTCGTGGTTGGGTTACAGTGGAAGAAGGTTGGGGCCATGGGGAAGGAGGTGGGAAGAGACTGGGGTGGAGGGAGGATGATCAGAGTCCTGGAGACCAAGAAGATAAAGTGGCCTGAGTTGTGAGAAGTGACAGAGAGCTGTGAAGATCACTCTATCTCACAAGTTTGTCAAGAGCTGGCCAGACAAATGCCTGTGTGGTGAAGACCTCAGTCTATCAGTCTGTGTGGCCCTGGAGAACACCTCACCGCCTCAAGTCCATTGTACTAACTGCTTGTCTGCTTGTCCACCAGAGGGAGGCAAGGGGAAGGAGAGAAAGGAATCTTAAAAGCCCAGCTGGTTCTTTGTTGGCAGCTCTGGTCAAGGTTTGCTGTGAGGGAAGCTGAAGTTTCCGATGAGATGAGAGTGCCTTTCACACAAGCTCCTAGGTCTCAGCTGTGTTTTCCTTGAACCCATTACCTCAGTAGAGAGGACCCTTCCAAAAGGCTGTGTGTTCTTAAGAGAGTCATACTTCATGGCCTCTCAGAGGGGCTAGGACAATTTTCACATCTGGCTAAAAGCTATGCTAGCCCCTAGCAACCCCAAAGCCCAGGTTCACAGACACAGAACACAGAGGGTGCGAGTGGAGAGTGGTGGCCATCACCCAGGTGATTTAGCCACATGGCTGGCCGCTCCACAGCATCGTTTGCTCTGCCAGGTCTCATAAAGCATTGTGTGTAGAACTGGGAGGAGATATTAAAAAAAAAAATCATTCATTTTGCCCTTAGGAAATTTTTCAAGTAATTCCAGAGCTATTGAGCCAAGGGCCAAAAGGAGCCTAGTGTGATAGAGGGGAAAGAATACCACAAATGGAAATGTATTTTTTTTTTAAATAGAGACAGGGTCTCGCTCTGTTGCCCAGGCTGGAGTGCAATGGCACAATCATAGCTCACTGCAGCCTCGAACTCCTGGGTTCAACTCATCCTCCTGCCTCATTCTCCTGAGTATCTAGGATTATAGGTATGTGCCACTGTACCCAGCTAATTTTTTTTTTTAATAGAGATGGTGGTGCGAGGGGTATCCCTATGTTGCTCAGGCTGGTCTTGAATTTCTGGCCTCAAGCAATCCTTCCGCCTCAGCCTCCCAAAGTGCTGGGATTACAGACAAGAGCCACTGGGCTCGGTCTGGAAATATATTATATTCCTTGGTCTGTCATTAATTAGCAGTGTGACTTAGGGGCAGTTATTGCAATTCTTTGGTCTCCTCATTCTCATCAGGGATAAATTTAAGTTGATGGACTAGGTGATTTTAATGTTCTCCTCCATTTCTAGAATTCTGAGATTGCAATTCCCATATGAGGAAGTGACTATGCCACAGAGGAAGATTCTTTCATTAGGGTTGTCAGATTTGTCAAATGAAATTATAAGACAACCAGTTTAATTGGATTTGAGGAAGACAGTAATTTTTTTAGTGTAAGTATATCCCATGCAATATTAGGGATATGCTTACACTACAAGATGATTTGTTGTTTATGTGAGATCCAAATTTAACTGAGCATTCTGTATTTTTTCTGGCAACCCCTGCCTTCCACCAAACATGTCTGCCCTACAGACAATGGAAGTTCTGGGGAGGGCATTTCTGCCTGTCTCTATCTTCTCACTGGCATGTCCTGATAGAAAGAGCTGACTAATCTGGTTGGCCAGAATTTATAACATTCCTTGGCCACATTTGACTGACAGGGAGAACTCTGTCTAAGGCAAAGCACTTGGCTTACCCATTGGGCTTTACTGCCTGGACACAGGAACCATGTGCTCTTTTTCCCCTCCCTCTGCCTTGGGAGAGCCCCCAGAACATGGCTACCCACGGGAAAGAGGTGGGAACTTCTCCCTTTGTCCTGCCCCTGCGGCCCTCATTCATTCCAATGGCCAAGTGAATGGACTTGCAGTTAGCTCTGCACGCCCATTGATCATAGGCATTCCGGAGCTCTTAGGTCCCAAGGTAGAGATTTGGAATGGGAGCAGAGGTCCCACTTGTCCTAATGTTTAATCTTTTATTCTGTAATCTAGCTTATACTAGTGAACGCTGAATTTGGAGGCTTGTAGGATGTTTGCTGGCCTAGTAATAAACTGACTTTTGGTTCCCACTGGGCTGGTGGATTTCCGTGTTTTCCTGTTTGACCTAGAAGGGAGGAGCTTTGATAACTAGGTCCCAAGCCTCTTACATTATTGCTTTCTCTACAAGTCAGACTCATTGGCCCATCTTGATTCAGCCTCACTGATTGTAAAAAAAGAAAAGAAAAAGTGGTGGCATGTGAAATCATTAGAATGACTAGAATAGGAGGACGGGATCAACTATAGGTCATCTTGGGATGACGTCTTACTTACTTTTAGGAATGATCTTGGAACTTTATGTTGTAAATAACTGCCTGCTATAAGAAAAACGATGGGGAGAGCCTTAGTCTTGTTATGCAGCATTTCCAGTTACAGAGTTTAACAATGAGATGCTTATCAGAAGATACTGCTGGAGATCTTTTGCCAGCGGATGCTATCATCATAGTTACTGGGATTTTCATAGCTCAGGCTGGACCTTTGCTACACACAGCATTGTAACTCCATGCCTCCTGTACTTGGCTTTCCTAAACTCAGAACTGATTATGACACAACACTGCCAAAAAGCTTACCCTTTCCTACAGAAGCAAGTCCAGACCCTGTAGCACGGCAGAAAAGCATTCCCAGGCTGATATGACATTTCCCGCATTGCCACTTTTCTCCCACTACCGGACTCCCAGCTCCTGGGCACACTACATATTCCCAAATAACCTTTTAGTGATCACCCAAATATTCTCCTTCATATCTCCAAGACTTTGTTCATGCTGGTCCTTTTGTTTCTAATGCCCTAACTCTTGTCTTTCTGGCAAACATTTTCTTTTCTTTTTTTTGAGACAGAGTTTCGCTCTTGTTGCCCAGGCTGGAGTGCAATAGCACGATCTCAGCTCACCGCAAACTCCGCCTCCCGGATTCAAGCAATTCTCCTACCTCAGCCTCCCGAGTAGGTGGGATTACAGGCATGTGCCACCACACCTGGCTAAGTTTTGTATTTTTAGTAAAGATGGGGTTTCTCCATGCTGGTCAGGCTGGTCTTGAACTCCCAACCTCAGGTGATCCGCCCACCTCGGCCTCCCAAAGTGTTGGGAGTTACAGGCGTGAGCGACCGCGCCCAGCCAAACATTTTCTTTTGAGTATTAATTCAAGTGTCAGCTCTCCAAAGACTTGTTGAATTCCTCTCTCCCTGGCAGAATTCCTGTCCCCCTCTTCTATGTGCTCAGACTCCACCATCTCGCATGGTGATGACTAGGCCAGGTATCTATTTCTCCCATGGGCCTAAGAGCTCCCTGAGGGCAAACAGCTTGTCTCATTCATCTTTGCATCCCCTCTTCAATGTCACAGGCTTCTCCTTTTCCTCTATCACAGACCCTGGCACAGCAGGAGCATTCAATAAGTGATCGTTGCATAAATGAAGACCTCAGAATATGGTCCAGATATCTCATATTTAAGTTGTTTTAATTAGGTGGTGTGTGTGAATTGTCAGATAAAATAAAGCTTCAGGGTGGAAATGATCGAATTGAAATATTAGTGTAGGAACATACTGCGGCTCATAAAAAACAAATAGATACTGTAATTTAAGAGTGGAATATTAAATCTTTATCTCAAAGCACAAATCAGAATAGTGCCACAGCATGAAACACTTGTAATAGGCTAACATTAGCATTTAGTATTAGCACGCAGTAATCCTTCCTTCTTTGGGGTAGAGAATGCCTTTTTGGTATCAAACAACATCTCATCAACATATGCATTATGATTTACGGGAGGGATTTTTTTTCCTTGTTATGTAAAATTCATCGGATCAGCAAAATATCTCTGTTGGCAAGTACTTTGTGAGAGGCTGTGAGACTGATCACAGGGATAAAAAGTATTTATTTGGTACTTTCCCTAAATGAAATCTGGAGTGATAGCTCTTCTAACATTTTATTTCCTTCAATATACATTGGGCATAAATTCAGCTCTCAAAGTCTAAGGACCTTAAGGGGAAAACCACAAAGCTAGAAGCACTCTAGTGAAGGAGCACTGGGCTTGGAGTCAAGATTTTAGTCCCTATTTTGTTACTAACCAGCTATGTGATCCCGAGGAAGTCCCATAACCTCTGAGGGCCTCAGGTTTCCCCATCTTTATATCGAGTGTTGTACTATATGATCTCTGAAGGTGTTTCTCTGCTCCATCACTTTGATTCCACATGCTCGTCTGCAGAGACAGATTTACTGTGACTTTAATGAAGCTGAAGCTTCAGGGCTCTTTACTTGCTCAACTCCTTCCAAAAGCCCCGAGAGAGGCCCCATCAATGTCTTTTACATGGTCATATATTTTTGCAAAGTTTCAAAAGTAAGATATTTTTTACTGAAATTGGTTAAGACAGCTGTCTCTTTCCACTCCCTCCTCCTCATCACAAATCTTCAGGTGCAGGTAGGCCTGAAAGTGACAGCAGACATTTTTGGAATGAAGTTGGGGCTATGTCTATTTTGGAAGGCAAACTGAGTTGGGGATGTGTTGGTTTGGGGTTGGTGGGTATATATTTTGTAGTTTATAGCTACTCTGTATACAGTTACACTGTTGCTAGCCATCCTAGTATAGGTATGGCTTCCAGGAATATTTCTACTGCCCACTGTGCAGGCTTCCCCAGCACTGTGGCATGAAGGTGCAGGGTATTATGGGAGTAGGTACTTGTCCTACAATACCTGGCACTAGGAGCATGTGGGGAGTGGAAGAGAAACAAGATTTGAAATGGATAGAGCCAGAAGCAAATCTGTGGAAAATTCTTCCAATCATCAGACATTCAGTTCACAATGATGACTAAACAAAATGGAAATATTCTTCCGTAAGGAATATATGCAGTAATGCAACATACACAATTATAAACACACTCTTAATTGTTTATGGTAATTGCTCAGAATAGAATCCACCAGAATTCTTGTGTTTGTAAGGACAAAAATCTTTAATAATATGATGAACAGTCAGTCTGTGTGTGCTGTTTCAGGTTTTATGTATCTCAAAATGTCTTAGTATATTTGATGCATCTTCTCTTGACAAATTCTGGGAATTTTAGATGAAATGGCATGCAATTTTGACACAATGAAACAGAAAGTCCCGAAGAAACAAGGGTTCTAGCGACAGAACTCCTATGTTCATCAGTATGGCAGCAATAGATGTAGTATAAGGGTAATTTGATCCTACTATTATGTAGCTCAATATATTTGTATTATGTTATATTCAAATACAATATATTATATTTACAATTTTAAAATGTGTCTTTTTTCTTTTCTTTTCTTTTCTTTTTTTTTTCTTTGAGACATAGTCTCACTCTGTCACCCAGGCTGGAGTGCAGTGGTGCGATCTCGGCTTACTGTAATCTTTGCCGCCTGGGTTCAAGTGATTCTTCTGCCTCAGCCTCCTGTGTAGCTGGGATTACAGGTGCCTGCCACCATGCCTGGCTAATCTTTGTAGTTTTCACAGAGATGGGGTTTCACCATATTGGCCAGGCTGGTCTTGAACTCCTGACCTCATGATCCACCTGCCTCAGCCTCCCAAAGTGCTGGGATTATAGGCGAGAGCCACTGTGCCCGGCCTAAAATGTGTTTTACTTGTTCTTGTTTATGCCTTAATTTCAGATGAATTTTGTTTTTATTTTCAGAGTGGTTGATCATACTGTAAAACTCAAATGTGAAGGGAAGGCTGGAACCTACTGGAAACTGAAGATCTAACGAAAAGAAGGAACTTTTAGGAACTAGCAGAGACTTCAAAATGTTGAGAACTCTCTTTTTTCATAAGAGAAGATAAAAACTCTGATGGTCACACTCATAAAGACAAAAAACAAATAAAAAACAAACAAAAACTCAGAATCACAAGAGCAAAGAAAATGTAGGTAAAACAATAACAGAAGAGGTAAAGAAATTTATGTGAATTGGGACACTCTGGGGCACAGAACAGAAGAGGAGAAGAAACATGAAAGTAATGCTCTGCACAAGGATGTCTGACTGTCCTTGATTCCAAGGGCATTTAAAATTAGCCACTGGATGAGAACCATGAAATGCCATGACTCTTACAGCTCCCATGAAAGACATTGGATGGAACTTATCCTAACTGGACCAAATTCTAAAAAATTTTACATGATATTATAATGAGTTGAAAGTTGAAAAAAAAAAGCTCTTCTAGATTACCAAGAATAAAACACAAATTTCTAGCTGACTGAATTAATTCTCATCTCTCTATAGAAAGATCATAGAAATTTTTTTTATCATGCAAAGAAATAGCTAAAAATTTACAAAAATATAGACGTGCATTAGGCAGCTCATGAATAAATGCGTTTTTTCCTTTTTTCCTCCAGAATTTTGTGATGTTTATGGTACTTTTCGGCTTTTAAAATTTTGTATTTAATCAGGATTTATTACTTCATTGTAAGTAAATATTAAATTTGTACTCCATCTTTGTTTGTAATTTTGTATATTTTTCAGTAAAAAGGACTCCCCAGATTATGTAAGCTTTAGGCCCCACAAAATCTAGGCCTGTTGCTGTATCCTTTCTAGAGCAGTGTTTCTCAAACTTCAATGTGCATTTGAATCTCCTGGGGCTCCTGTTAAAATATAGCTTCTGAGATGATGCATTTCTAACAGACTCCCAGGGCTGACACTGCCCATCTGGGGACCACACTTTGAGAATCAAATATCTAGAACAATGGTTCTTACCTGGCTGTGCATTGGGATCATTTATAGTGCTTTTGGAAAATACATTGTGTCCAGGTCCCACCCAGTTCTCAGTAGGCTTGGAATGGGGTCCTACACTTTTTTTTTTTAACTCCACAGTTTGGGAAAGAAGCCTTTTCATATATTGTTGGTGGGAATACAAATTGATACAGCCATTTTTGAGCTTGATTTGGCAATATCTTCCTTGGAGAAATCAAAAGCCAGTTGGCAAGCCAGTCTGGAAAAGGCAGTTTACTGATTCCCACCCGAGGGTCACAAAGCAGGTATAGAAGGATGGGCTTTGGCTGAAATATATGATGGGTACAGGTATATTCTCTATAATCCAGTATTTCCACTGCTGAAAACGTATCCTAGTAACATTATACATATCAAGCCTACATATAAAGTTGGTCAATTCCATATTATTTGTAGTAGGGGAAAACTGAAAGCAGTCTACATGCCCATCAATAGATTATTCAAATTATGGAACAGTTTTCCAATGACAAAACAATAGCTAATCTTAGTTAAGCAATTATTATGTTATGTAAGGTAGACATTGTTCTACCTTATTTATAAGTATTAAGTTAGTTTTTATAACTATCATATTTCCATTTTACAAATGACATAATTTATATTATTGACATGGGAAGATGTCCAAGGATATAATAAGCAAAAAGCAAGTAGCAAAACATTATGTATATTATGCATTACCATTATAATATACTAAAAAGTAATGCACTTGATTCTGATGCACACTCCCCAGTAGGTAACAACTTATCTAGTGTAAAAATGAAAGAACATTCTGGGCCGGGCACGGTGGCTCATGCCTGTAATCCCAGCACTTTGGGAGGCCCAGGTGGGCGGATCACAAGGTCAGGAGATCGAGACCATCCTGGCTAACATGGTGAAACCCCGTCTCTACTAAAAATACAAAAAAAAAATTAGCTGGGCGTGGTGGCCGGCGCCTGTAGTCGCAGCTACTCGGGAGGCTGAGGCAGGAGAATGGCGTGAACCCGGGAGGCGGAGCTTTCAGTGAGCGGAGATAGCGCCATTGCACTCCAGCCTGGGCGACAGAGCGAGACTCTGCCTCAACAACAACAACAACAACAACAAAAAAAAAAAAAAAAAAAAAAAAAGAACATTCTGTTACCTCAAACACGCTGTTTTCATGCAATTTAGTTAACTGGTAGCACTTTCAGAAGAAGACAAAGTAAAAATGGTTAGGTCAATTTGGTGGCATAGAGTATTCTATCGATCAGTGGTCAAAAGAGTAGTCATTCTGAGTGATCTCTAACATTAGGGTTGATGGAAGAGATGACCCATAGATGTCCCTACATCTCATTTCTCTTAGGACACACACTTGGGAGAAATCGTCCAGTGCACTTTGTCCAGGCCTTTTACTTGTACCAACTACTTTGCTTTATGCTGTTTTCACTTTAGTGGTTCTGCCTTCTAGTCCACAGAAAAGTTTTTTCTTAACGTATTTTTTTCCCAACACTTTATTATGGGAATTTTCAAACATACAGAAAAGATAAAAGAAATTTACAGAGAATACTCGTGTCTCTATCAGCTAGATTCTACAGTTAACATTTTACTATAGTAGTTTTATTGCATATCTGTTTATCTCCCTGTGCATCCATGGATCCAATTCATCTTTAGGATGCATTTCAAAGCAAGTTGCTGACGTCAGTACACTTCCCTCTCAATACTTTAGTATGTGGATCAATAACCCTAGCTTAAGATTTGTTGATTGTTTTTCTTTCCTTTTGAAGTAAAATTTACACACAAGGAAATGCACACATCTTAAGTGGACCATTTGATGAGTTTTGAGTAATGCCCACATTGTGTAACTCAAACGTCTATCAAGAAAGAACATTACCATACCTGAGAGTATCCTCATGCTCCTCCCCTGGGGTACTCCCTGCCTCTCCACACCAATCCCCCCAGGTAACAACTGTTCTGATATCCCCCTCACCATATATACCTGCTCTAGAACATCATATAAATGGAATGATACAATATGTCTTTTGTATAAGCTTTATTCCACTCAGCATAATGTTTTTGCCATTCACCCATATTATTGATCATATTAGTACCTTGCTCCTTCTTATTACTGAGTAGTATTAGATAGTATAAACATAGCGTAGTCTATTTTCCTATTTTGATGGATATGTGGGCTTGTTCTGATTTTTGCTTATTATGAATAAAACTTCTGAGTATTCTTGTACAAGTATTTTTTGGACATACATTTTCATTTCTCTTGGCAAAATACCTAGGAATGGAATTGCTGGGTCATAGGGTATACTTTTAGTTTTGTAAGAAGCTGTCAGATCTCTTCCCAAAGTGGTTGTAACATTTTACACTCCTACTAACAGTGCATGGGAAGCCAGTTTCTCTATATCCTCTCCAACATTTGGTGCTGTCAATCTTTTAAAATTTTAGCCATTTTTGTGGTTGTATAGTGTTATCTCATTGCAGTTTTAATTTGCCGATCCCTGAATGTGTGTAGGTGTGTATATGTATTATATAATATATATATTATTCTTTCACTTATTTTGAAGTAATTTCAAAGTTTCCAGAATAATATCAAGAACTCCTGTACTCCCTTCGCCAGATTCTCCAATTGTAACGTTTTATTGCATATGCTCCATTGCCCATTCTCTCTCTACTTATAGCTGCATTAGTGTTTTTCTGAACCTTTAGAGATGAAGGTGAAAAAAGATGCGATATCACCACCCTCCCGTTCTAGTATGCATTTTCCCCAAATAAAGACATTTTCCTACAGAATCAGCATATGATCCTTCATATCAGGTTATCAACAGTGGTATAACACTGTCCAGTCCACAGACCCCATTTGCCAATGAGCCCCCAAATCTCTGCTTTTTCTTTGTGTTCCAGGATATTATCCATGAGCCTGTGTTTCATGTAATTGTCATGTTTCTTCGGATTCCTTCAAACTGCTACAGCTTCTGTGTCTATCCCTGTCTTCCATGTGCTTGACAGCTTTGAAGAGTACAGGTCCTTCATTCAGTAGAATGACCACCAAGCCAGGTCCACCAGATGTTTCATCATGGTTTTAGTGAGGTTATAAATTCTGGGCAGTAATTCTACAGAAGTGCTGCTTTGTTTTTCTCAGTGCCTCACACCCAGTGGCACATATCATCACCACTGGTGATGCTAACCTCGATTGCTCAACCACATTGTCTGCCAGCTCCCGCCTACTTAAATTCAACATTTTGCCTTTTGCAATTTATTTGTGTTTTGTGGGAACATATTTTCATTTCTGAAATTAGTCAATATCCTGTTCCTTATCAAACTTCCAACTCTGGTCTTAGCATCCATTGACTGAATCAAGTGCCTTTGTGTAAGTTTCCACATGATGAGTGTCTATTTCCATCATTGGTTCTATTTTTATGAGCTGGTATTTTACTATAAGAAATAGCATATTATTTTCTATGCTTAAACCACTGCAAGTTTGACCCTTTCAAGCTGGTTTTTGTGTCCTTTTGACATATTCCCATTGTTCATTGAGCATTTCCTTATTTTCTGGCATAAGAAGATGTTCCAAGTGCAACTTGTATATTACCTGTTTCAGCCCTGGAATCAGACATTTTCCTAAGGATCCTTGGTTTCTTTGAATAAAGGATACTATTTAGAAGCCAAGATCTGGTTAATCCGTATGTTAATTGCTACTGGGGTATCATTGCTTTAGGCCCATTCAGTGGACAGAGCTAGGAAAAATACACATTTTTCATGTCTGTCTGGCTACATATGTATGTATTTATACATCTATATGATTTTGATATCAATCTCTATGTATGTTATATATACATATAATAAAAGCATAAGTCCATACTAATACCCTGTTTCAATCCAGCCCCTCAGGATTATTTTCTAGATTTCCCCCTTTTGGTATTTATAAATACCTATTTCAGTAATGAGGGTTTGGCTCCTTTTATGTTCAATATAGTTACTTATTTACTTAATCTCCCAACTACATTGCTGTCTCTTCTGCCCACCACCTCCACATCTTATCTCCTTCCTGACCTAGGTCTCACTGGCTCCTGCCCTGCATCCTTGGTTTTTGGGCTGCCTGTCCGTGCCTCTTCACAGCTCTCTAACCGCCTCCCCTCCTTGTGATTTTAGCTACTGTGCTGACTTTTCCACACTGGGAAGGAAAATGAAGGGACAATGTAGCAGGTTTCAGTGGTGAAACAAACAAACAAAAAATTGAACAAACCCAACCCTTCATTTCCATTTGCAGTAGTTCTATTTCCCAGCTCTCATTCTTGAATTTTTTTTTTTTTTACAAAGAAAAGCACTCAGTGTTTTAAAAAAAACGAAAAACAAGAAAAATGGGAAAGATCAAGTGTAGCGAGTTACAATTTTATTTAAGATCCCCAATAAAAAGGCTTTTTAAAAAGGTTATCAGAATTATAACCTGTTCCTGCTGTGCAATCAGCTCAACCCCATCACAACTCTGCCCAGCAGGAGCTAATGCTACACTCTTTCAAGTGAACATGCTTATGGCCTGCAAAGGGGTTAATTAACAATAAGGAGTTGTAGCAGAAGTCTCCATCTGCACAAGTGTTGGCTGTCCTTTGATGGGCACAGTGGGCGAGGATCCCAGCCACCCGCACCAGTCCTCTGACCTTGGTGTTCACAAGGTCTCAGCTGTTGCAAGCCTGCAGGCACCGATGTCAGGTTTTCAGCACAAACTGGAGCTTCATGGGGGCTTTCTCATCAGAGCCTTTGCCTATTGCCTTTGGGGAGAAGCACTGCAATCATTAGTTTCAAATTCCTTAAATCAGAGAAATGATCTTGCTTTCGGAAACAATCTGATAGCCCTTCCTGGAAACTGGGGATGGTAGACACACCTTGAGAGCACCAGGCAGCTCTTTCATTTCTTGCTTGGCATTGACTCACTCCTCTCACTGCATTCCCTGCACTAACCAGAAGCACAGATTCTTGGCTTAGCATAGATGAGATTGCACAGAACGGGGGCACCCTTGGGGTCTGCCTTTGTCTCTGGTCACACACTCCCCACTCACCAGGGAATCCACTTAAGCATCTTTGAAATAAGCCTCATTTGCAGGTGTACGGTGGCCCATGACCTATGATAGGGAAGGAAAATTTGCCTCAATACATGTGCTAGCTCTGATTGTGAGTGGAAGCCTGGGAGAGCTGTGTGGGAAAGGACTTTGAAGCCTCATCTGGGCATGATAGAGAAGAGTGCTGCAATTGATTAGTGGTATCTGCCATGAGCATGGAAGGGAGGATTGGGACAATGTACAACACATTTGCCATCCCTATCCTAGGATTTAACTCCGTCTTCCAGCAGAAGATTACTAAGGCAGTTTTGCCTGAGATATTTGGTAATCATCTTAATTTCAAGGCTGTCTGGTGATATCTCATGTTCGTTATACTTATTTATATCACTAAGATTTTGGCACTTGTGTGTTCCCTGACTAATGATAAGAAAAGAAAGTGAGAGAAATGAATATTTATTAAGCACCTACTAATTGTCAGTTATTCTTTTAGGAGCTTTAAAAAATGTATCTCATCAAATATTCAAAATAAACCTATAAAAATCAGAATATTACTCCTCTTTTTAATAAAGAAATGAAGGCTCAGAGAAGTAAAATATTTGCTTAAACCATAATAGAAAATTTCAAATCCAAGGATAATGCTCATTCTGATATACTTGGGCAGTGGGTCTCAATCCTGGGAAGATTAAAAAAATTTTTTTAAAGTATAAATGACTGCATCTCATCATAGATAATTACATCAGAATCTCCAGGAAAGGGAAGCTTAGGCATAAGAATGATGTTAAAAATTCCCCAGTTGATTCTTACCTGCAGCCAGGTGCAAGAACCACACACCAAGGGGGTGTGGAGCAAGATAATTCACCTTTATACAATGCCTACTCTGAGCCTAGCTTTTTCTTTCCCCCGCCTATATTCTATCTGATTTAATTTTTACACAATTCCTTAAAGCTTCATTTTTCCTATGAGGGAAAGCTGAGGCTCAGAAAACCTCAGTATGTTTCTGAAGATCATGCAGTAAAACTGGAATTTGAAGGCAAATCTGTATGGTTTCAAAGCACTTGCTCTTTCCACGTCTCCATGCTTCTTCCATTAGGTTTCTGAACCCAGGCTCCATCCTTAACCTTACTGTTGAGCAATTCTGGATCCCACCTGGCTTCCAAATCTGTCCTGAACCTGTCATTCTAGCTTGGGCTGGAACCATCATTTGTAGTCTCAGCATTTAGTTTCGTGGGAGAAAAAATGTAACAAGTGCTTCCTTAAGCTACTACCATTTATCCTGTGGAATTTGGGCAGCTCAGCATGAGGCTGTTTTCAGAGCTAGGGGTCCGGAACAAACGGTGTGACCTTGCCTCTGAAGAATGTCTATGTTTAGACCACAGGAGTTTGGAGTTTTTTCTTTGGTCCCCAGGCGGTTCAAAGCAGTACAAATGAGTTGTGGGGTCCAGAGTTCCTGATCCTGTGGGTTGTGGGCACCTGGGTTCCTGCTTTGGCCATCATGGTACCACACTGACTTTAGCTCCTATGGTCAGAATCGTGGGTGTCCATGAGATAACTAAGCAAACTAACAGAACCTTAGAGTTGGAATGGATCTCCAACTCAATCTAGTTGCAACCCATGCCTAGGGCAAAAATGCCCACTCTAGCATCATTGTCAGAAAGGGAATTCAAACTCTATTTAAATGCTTCCCAGGAGGCTGAGGTGGGCAGATCATGAGGTCAAGAGATCGAGACCATCCTGGCCAACCAACATGGTGGAATCCCATCTCTACTAAAAATACAAAAATTAGCTGGGTGTAGTGGTGCATGCCTGTAGTCCCAGCTACTCGGGAGGCTGAGGCAGGCGCATCGCTTGAACCCGGGAGGCCAAGGTTGCGGTGAGCCAAGATCGCGCCACTGCACTCTAGCCCAGGTGACAGAGCAAGACTCCATCTCCAAAAAAAAAAAAAAAAAAAAAAAATGCTTCCCAGGGATGAAAATGCATGATCTCTGCATTAATTGGCACATTGCTGGGCAGCCCTTGAAGCACAGAAGCTATTTTAAAATTGAGCTTACATATTGCTCCCTATAATTTTCAAGTTCCTTGGTTGGTTGATTTTCCTCAATCTTATCAAAGACTGGTTTCTATAAAGCCGATCCATTACCAAGGCATTTATGCAAGTCAGAGTGGCCTAAGCAAGGCTGGTTTCAGGCAAAATTATTAACAAGGTCTCCAGTGGACTTTATTTTCAGTACCCCTAACCATGCTGCTTTCCTTTAGGGACAGCTGCTTCTCACTCCCTCCAATAAATCTTGCTGTCAGAAAAAGTTTGGAAACTCAGCCACTATCAGCTATAAATGACTAATAAAGCATGATTACCCCCCTCCAAGAGCAATTACACTTTATTAAGGAGGACGCCTTGAAAGGTTTAGCATAAAGGAACACATTTGAAATGAATGGTAGTCATCAGGCAGTTTGAGGGAGGGTAGGGAGGGGTAAGGCAACATAACTTCCCAATGCTTCTGACATCACCTCATGTAGGGACATCTGGTCACATGTCCCCACTTTGGGGCCGCTGCCTGGTGGGAGGCTGCTTCTGTCCTAACTGAACACTGGTGGTCTCATGCAAAGTTGGAGCAGAGCCTAAGGAGGTTAGATCCCTGAGTTATTTGAGGTCTAAGTGCAATAAAAAATGGCTTGTTTGCTAAAATTAGAGCCCTGTAGGATTTCAATGGCCACCCTGGGTTTGACTGATAATCTGTTTTAATTTTCTTCTCAAAGATGACACCTCCAACAGGGCAGTCTCCACTAGGCCATTCCCGCTGCCAAAACAGGAGTCCGCGATCATTGGAGGGAAGTTTTCCTCAGAACAAAGAGCTATGTTTGTTAGTGCAGGGCATAGACATTCCTTGAAAGGCTTTTTGTTCAAAACAGACAAGATCCCAGCCTGCCTTCCTTTAAGAGATGAAAATATCACAGCCTGCGGTGGTTGAGGGCGCCACAGAAACCAAACTTCTTAGCCCTGAGTTGCAGGGATGGCATGTGTGTTTTATATATTATTTACTGAGAAACCTGTCCAAACACTGCATTTTAGGAACTGCTAAGAAGCACTGATGAAAATGTGAGCACTGGAGGCACAAAAGAACCTTTGAAACTAGGACACACTTTCCTTAGAGCCTACTTGCACTCTATGGGTGAGGCAGTTTGCATGTGCCACCCTCTCCTCATTCCAAATCAATTTTTCAACTTGGTTTAGACTCTGGGAAGCAGTGAAATTGGGGCTTTCAAATGAGCCTCTCAGTCCAGATGTGTCCATAATAGAAGCCAGTGGGCAGTGGGGCATAATTAACAATCTCTCCTTCACTGAGACCACAGAATGGCATTAATTTTGCCAGCTAGGCTTGATGTGAATTGGCTAGAATGTCTGAGTAGATTTCCAGCTGCTGCTCATGTAGCTCTGGCTTCCAGCAGTATTTGCATTCCAAATAAAACGAGGCCTGAAATAGATGTGTGATACATGTTCAAAGCTATTTTTAATCAATGATCACTTGGTTAGCCGTGAAAGATTATCAGCAGGTCACAATCCATTTTGAATTTTGCTGTGTCCTGCAGAACTGATCTAAACACGCAGCGACTTCAGCTTCCCTTGCAATCCTTGTGCTTTGTCAGCTCTTTGGGTGAGGGGTAGGAGGGGAGTTAGGTGGGCTGTGGCAGCACAGATGTGCCACAGTGACAAGTACTGGAGCTGGAGGGCCATTTACTCAGGGTAAGGCTGTGTTTAAGTTGGCCCTGCTTCCCCAGAGAAACCTTGTGGTGCAATCATAAGACTGAAAACTCTGTCCCCTGAATGTCCCTCCTGAAACTCACCACGTTACTGTCCCGCAAGCCAGAGAAATGTTTGTTTCTTGTTTGCTAACCCCTGTCTAGCTGTAGGGAAGCTGTGGGCAGTGTACATTTCTTCATAGACAGTGTCTTACTGGAAGCTTGAAATTTCTGTGGGGACTGTTGCCAATATCATTCTCTAGTTGTGTGTGTGTGTGTTTTTAAATAATAGCCCCTTACATTTCCTTACCACACTTACTATTTCCAAGCAAATCTATAATCTCATTTGCAAAAGGTATTTACATAGTATGAATATTTAAATACTTATAATTGCATATTAATTTTGTTTAACAGAATATGCAAATATTATTTTCCCCTCCTTTATTTCTCCCTTTTCTTTTTCTATAATGTGTTTTTCTTTTTGATCCAAGTTTTCTGACATACTTTTGCACATGCATTGCCAACTTTATTTCAGTTGCACTAAAGAGTCTTGATCCTGAGAACCATTAGCTTTAAGGCTTTATCTTTCTATTGAAAAAATAATAACCCACTGTCTTTTGCCCATAATATTAATTTAGCCCTCATTTTTATCCTTCCCAAATATTAATGTTTAGTTTCCAAAAGCTTTCTGCCGTGATTTATTTACAGCTTAGATGTGGCTTTGTCTTTTCTCAAAGAAGTTCTCATAAGCATTCTTTTCTGTGGTTAAATTTTATAAGGATCGATCTGTCTTTTCTGTCAAGAATACTTGATTGCTATGTAAATGAAACAAGAAGGTAGGAGCCCTGAGGTGAACATGGATCTCAGATACACTGTAAAAACACAAAACAAAACAAAAACCACAGGTTGGGCGACCAACTGTCTCAGTTGCTTGGGACTGTCCTGGTTTTAGTACTGAAAATCCCATATCTGGGGAAACCTCAGTGTCAAACCAACTGGAATGGTTGATTACCCTAGCTCTTGGGGTGACCTCCATTGGGGTAACCTCCACAAGAAAGACAGAAGATGCAACTGACCAAGAGGCAAAGAGGAGATGCCTCCACTTTCTCTGGTTAAATCCTAAGGTGATTAAACAGCATCTACTACTTACTTCCCTGGTTTGTGCAGGGACTAGTTTGCTATCATTTCTTCCATTGTTTTTTCTAACCTCACCTCTCCTTTTATTTTATTTTCTTCACAATTTATCCCCATCATTTAGAAATCCTGCCTCTGTGTTTTGACCACAGCCGGCAGAACAGATCCCTAGAGGTAAACAAAGGAGAGTTTAGTAAGAAATTTCAATTTAGGGTAGAGGGAGTTGGAGATGGGAAACTGGGGAGGGGGTGGGGTAATGCATACACTGAATACAGGAAACCTCAGATCTATGCTTATTTTAGTCAATAACGTATGTGCTACATTCCACATTCTTACAAACTTTTTTTTTTTTTTTTTTGAGACAGAGTCTCCCTCTGTCACCCAGGCTGGAGTGCAGTGGCATGATCTCGGCTCACTGCAACTTCTGTCTCCCAGGATCAAGGAATTCTCGTGCCTCAGCCTCTTGAGTAGCTGGGATTACAGGCACCCACCACCATGCCTGGCTAATTTTGGTATTTTTCATAGAGATGGGGTTTTGCCATGTTGGCCAGGCTGGTCTCGAATTCCTGACCTCAAGTGATCCGCCCGCCTCGGCTTCGCAAAGTGTTGGGATTACAGGCGTGAGCCACTGTTCCCATCCTGAGTCCTACTTCTGATGCCGATCACAAGCCCCAAGTTATTTTGCCTGTGCTTCTCACTGAATGGCTGTAAATATGGGTTCCCACAGCTCACTCCTTGGGTTAGATTAATTTGCTAGAGCAACTCACAGAGCTCAGGGAAACATTCACTTTCACTGGTTTATCATAAAGAATATTACAAATGATACAGATGAAGAGATGCATAGAGTGAGATATGGAGAAAGGCTACAGAGAAATTAATTATGGCTAGATTGTGAGATTTGTGAGAAAGAAATGAGTCTGGAGAGGACAGTTACATGTCTCTATGTGAATTTTTCTTTACAAAAATTACAAATGTATGGTATAGATCTTTTCTAGAAGCCTATTGTTTTTATAATAAAAGTGGTTAAAGCAAATTTGAAAAGTATGGAAAAGTATAAAAACAAAAATATAAGGCAGCTAGGTTTCAAAACCAAGTGCCATTCCCTGTGCAGTTTATATAACAACCACCACCATAGCAGTGAACTTTGATTTAGTGCTGACTGTGGGCCAGGCACTATTCTAGAGGCTTTGTATTTAATAACCCATGTAGTCCTCAGGCAACCTCATGAGGTGGGTGGTCTCATGTTTCCTATGTTACAGATGAACGAACTGAGGTGCATAAAGGATGGGTTTCTTTTCCAAACACATGGCCGCTAAGGGGATCAATAGTGATCCAAACCCAGGCAACTGAACACTACTTCCCATATCTTATAATAATATACTATTGTATTAGACTTTCAAAACCTACTTTGGGCACCACATTTTCTGTACTAATATTTGGCACTGAAATACTCACAGGTTTAGATGGAAGATGACATGCAAAATATTAGGGGTGTTTGGTATTAACTTATAAAATATAGGAATTGTTCTTCAGATTTCTCATCAATGAAAATGATTATATTGTTCTATATGTCTCTATCTTTGGGGAAAGGAAACACTTCTAGTTATTAATTTTCCCAGTCCCATGGGCAGTTTACACACTGGTAACAAATGCCAGCACAGAACAAGACCAACTATTGTTTTTAAGTTTTTATTTTGAAATAAGCTTAGACTTACAGAGGTGTAACAAAAACAGTACTGAGAGTTTACATATACCTTTCATCCAACTTCCCTAATGTTAACATCTTACATAACCATGATACAATTATCAAAACTCAAAAATTGACATTGATACAGTACTATGAACTAAACTGCAGACTTTATTCAAATTTTACGTTTTTCCACTAATGTCCCTTTCCTGGTGGAAAGTCTATTGTCTTTGTCTGTTTGTGCTGCTAGAATAAAATAGCTGAGACCAGGTCATTTATAAACAACAGAAATTTATTTCTCACAGTTCTGGAGGCTGGGAAGTCCAATATCAAGGTGCCGGCAGATTCCGTGTCTGGTGAGGGCCTGTTTCTCATTGATGGTGACATCTAGGTGTCCTTACATGGCAGAAGGAACAGAAAGGGCAAAAGGAGACGAAGCGTGTGTCCTCACATGGTGGAATAGTGGAAGAGGGTGAACCCACTCCCTGAAGCCCTTATGTGAGGGCCCTAATCCCATCCATGAGAGCTGCATTCCTGTCAGTTTACCTCTTAAAGTCCCTACCTCTTAATACGATCACATTGGCCATTCAGTTTCAACATATGAATTTTGGGGGACACATTCAGAGCCTAATACCTATCCAGGATCTCTCATTGCACTTAGTTTTCTCCAAATGTGTGACGATTCCTCAGCCTTTCCTGGTCTTCCAGGATCTTCATACTTTTTGAACAGTCTGATCAGGTATTTTGTAGAATATCCCTCAATTTGGATTTACCTGATGTTTCCTCATGGTAAGATTGAGATTTTGCATTTAAGAGAGAAATACTGCAGGGGTTATGCACCCTTCTCAATACATCGTATCAGTGGGTACATGATTCAATATATTTTATTACTGGTGATGTTAGCCTTTACCACTCAGTTAAGGTGGCATCTGCTATGCTTCTCCATTGTATAGTAACTTTTTTTCCTTTATAAATAGTAAGTAATTTGTGGACAATATTTTGGGACTATGCAAATATTCTGTTCCTCTTCAAACTTTCACCCACTAATTTTAGCATTTATCAGTAGAACTTGCCTGCAGCAGTTATTACTGGTGTTCAAATGGTGTTTTTCTATTTCCTTCATTCCTTCTATATTTATTCATTGGAATTATTCTGTAAGGGAGAGTTGTCTCTTCTCTCTGTTTATTTATTTATTTTGTTATTTACTTATATCAGTATGGACTCATGGATATTTATTTGTTGTATAAGCTATAAACCAATACTATAGTTACGTATTTTGTTATATAAGTTCATCTAGTTTTGACCACTGGGAGCTCTTTTAGATTGGCTCTTGTCTCCTTTTGACATACCCACATTTTGTTTTTGGGCACTTCCTTATTTCTGGCACCCAAAGATGCTTTAGCCAACTATGGTTTTGTTTTTCTTTTAAATTATTGGACTTCACTTTTAGAGCAGTTTTAAGTTTCCAGCAAAAGTGAGCAAGAAGTACACAGTTCCATACATGTCCTCAGTTTTCCCTATCATTAACATCTCGCATTGGTGTGATACATTTGTTACCATTGATGGGCTGATATTGATACATTATTATTAAAGTCCATAGTTCGCATTAGGGCTCACTCTTTGTTTTGTACAGTTCTACTGGTCCTGACAAATGCATGATGTCATGTATCCACTGTTACAGTATTATACAGAACAGTTTCACTGCCCTAAAAATCCCTTGTGCTCCCCCATTACTACACCCTCCCCTACCCCAAACCTCTAGCAAGCACTGATGTTTCTACCGTGTTTTTTTTTTTTTTACTGTGATTTTAAGTTTTGCTTTTTCCAGAATATTTATATAGTCAGAATCATACATAGGTACCCTTTACGGACTGTTTTTATTTTCACTTGGCAATATGCTTTTATGATTCTTCCAGCTTTTCGTGGCTTGATAGTTAATTTCTTTTTCTTGATGAATAATATTCCATTGTCCAGATGTACCACAGTTTATTTACACATTCACCTATTGAAGGACATCTTGGTTGCTTCCAAGTTTGGGTAATTATTAATAAAGCTGCTATAGATGTTCATGTGCAGGTTTTTGTGTTGAGATAAGTTTTCAACTCATGTGGGTAAATATCTAGGAGTACAGTTGTTGACTGGTATGGTAAGACTATGTTTAGTTTTGTAAGAAACTGCCAAACTCTCTTCCAAAGTGGCTGTACCATTGTGCATTTCCAACAGCAATGAATGAGAGTTTCTGTTGCTTCACATCCTTATCAGCATTTGGTGATGTTAGTATTTTGAAGTTTAGCCATTCTAGTAGCTGTGTAGCAATTATGCTAGTTAACTGGTCAAATCTAATAGAGATGCTATCTAAAATGTGTTATAAAGAATGTGACTTGAGAGTTGGATTTCCAGAATTGGAGAAAGAGCCAAAGGAGAAGTAATGTTGAAAAAGAGGTTGGGGGCAAGTATCACCCCAGGATGGCAAGATCTACCTGAAAACACAAATAAAACTTGATTTTCAAATTTAAGGTCAAGACCAAGGAAAGGAAGTACACCAGTATTTTTTAGTATCTGGACATTTCTTTTCTTAATATAGTTATGTTGGTTCATTTTTTTTTTGGTTTGGTGAAATTCTTCAAGTACTCTTTTCAAAAAAGATAAATGGATAGTATATTTTCTGAGCCCATGAATATCTGGGAATGCCCTCAAGCAGAGAAGACAAGTCTGTCAGAGTGATGGAACATTGTACTTTTCTACCCAGTATCTTGGGTTTTTGGTTGAGGATGATTTTCTTTCCAGACCTCTGTATTTTTAGTGTAAATATCATTTCAGCGTGTACACATACGCAGATCTGGTTAATTGTGATAACCTGTCCACAAATACTTATCAAAACTGTGGGCATACACTCTAAATAGGGCCAATCATGGTCCTTGAATAAATTACCTGGATGGATTGTGAACTGTATGGATGTAGGGTTGGGCTGTCCGTGACGATTTTTCCTGTGATGTGAACAGGGTCCATCTATGGCAAGAGAGAATGAGGTTAACTTAAACAAAATAAAACAAACAAAAGACAGAAAGAAGTAGATCTGAGAGAGGCAGAGAAAAAGAGGTGTAAACAGATAGAGATGATAGATAGACAGATAGAGAGATAGACAGATAGACAGATAAATAGATGGAGGGAGAGAGAAAGAGAAAGTGAGAATGAGCCCTTGTGAATAGTTTGAGATCCTTAATCCAGCTGTGCTTGAAGTGTTACTTTTCGACTTCCCAATCATACAAGCCAATACATTTCCTTTTTTTAAAAAAAATTGTATGAGTGGTTTTTCTATGCTTTACAACTCAAAAAGGATAGAATTGGTATTAGGGGTAGGCCATGGCTAGAGACAGACTCTACAATGAAGAGTTGGTTAAGTGTGGCGCAGGATGGTGAGCACTCCTATACCCTGGGCAGGAAAGTTGCCATTCCTTGTCATGCTGTTCTGAAACATGTGGCCAAATGGTCACCTGTTATTTCTTTGGACTCAGATCATGTGCCCACTGAGGCTAGAGCTTTAGGGGAATTGTCAAGAGTTCAGGATGTCTGCTTTTTGCATGTCTTTCAAGAAAAGAAAAAGCTTCGGTATGAATTGATCCCCCTGAAAGCAGGAAGGAAATAGTTTGTAACTTCATTAAGAGATGCCTTTCTCCCATTTGGATATGAGCAGTAATCTTAGACTGAGATTGTTCAGATAATCCTGCACCTCTTGGAACTGCAAAAGCCAATATCCCTGCCCCAAGCTGAAGTTAGTGTTGGCAGAGGCTGGGAGGTGGGAGACACAGTGGGGGATGTGGTTGGGACACAGGAGGAATTTCAGAAATCTGGAAGACTGATCCTTTAAGTCCCTCCCCACTCTCCTGCTCTCCTGTGAAGAACTTGCTGGTGGTAAAGGTAATTCAGTCCATAGTAAACAGCCAGCCAATGGGATTCAGCCTGGGCATACAGCTAGATTAGTTCTACCTGAACATCTTACTTAAGAGTCATTTAGCTGAAGGCTCAGACCTGTTGCGAAGGGACAGATATGCAGAAGAGTCTGGTCCATAATCAAGGACATGACAAGACAAGATTTTCTGGTGTGTTCATTCATAGAAGTAGGCTCCAACAGTAGCTGTCTGGAGTTTTACAGGTGCAGAATTGCCAGATAAATGCCAACCCCAAGGAGCTTGGGGTTGTTATGTTTCTAAGGCAACAATAACAAAAGTAAGAGGGATGCTAAAGGGCAGGACCTCTAGAAGGGACCCCCTCCTGGCATTTATTTCAGGCTCAGCTTTAAAGAATAACGAATTTGGGTGGTCTGCCCACAGAGCAAATCCTGGGGGCAGTCAGACTGGTTCCACTGTTAAGATGCAAATCCTTGCTATGCCATTCTGCAGAGCATGGTACATGCAGTGATATATGTCATGTCACCCTTTCTAAATGGAGTTTTAATTGGAGATATCCTGTTTTCCCTTCTCTACTGTGTAATGAAAGTATAGGGGATTATTATGTTAATCATTTAAACTGCAGGTTGTTGGACCAAGAGGTACCATATCTGGATGTGAGAGCTGTGTGCATCACTGAGAGATCCTGGAAGTGGAGATGGGTTGCTGACTGTATGTGTTTCTGGGTTGTTTCATTTGGAGTAAGTGTGATTTGGGATATACATTAGTTGGACAAACATTAAGTCGAGGCACTTTTGAAATTAAATATGCAGAGATGTGTGTGAGTATGTGTTAAGCAGACATGGAGGGAAATGTATTAATAGTTGACATTTGCTCTTATTGTCCATCCACCCTTTTTTCTGTGAAGGAACTGCCTCTCTCCCATCTCATTAGTTTCTTGTTGGACTGTTAATCACAGTGTATCCCCTGGCTGTAGGAGCATTGAATGAGCCAGGCATGACCATTAATGGTCCAACCTCTTATTCATGGTGATGGGACATGTTCTGAGTACAGGTAACCAGAAGATTTTCATGAGATTAAAATCTCATGGATGCATGAATCTATCTTCCATTTGAAACACGAACTAAAACAATGTGGGCTGGAAATGGTTTCTTTGGCCGTGTTTCTTAGGATAGGGAAAGAGTGTACACGTGTTC
The DNA here is from genome assembly GCF_000001405.40 of Homo sapiens. Taxonomy (NCBI): domain Eukaryota; kingdom Metazoa; phylum Chordata; class Mammalia; order Primates; family Hominidae; genus Homo; species Homo sapiens. The sequence continues at coordinate 39,617,125 of NC_000002.12, forward strand.
ATTAAAACCTATTGAACATCACAGCTTAGCCCAGCCTACCTCAAACACGCTCAGAACACTTACATTAGCTAAACTACAGTTGGCAAAATCATCTGGCAACACGGTATGGTTGACCCTTGAACAACACGGGTTTGAACTGCATGAGTCCACTTACATATGAATTTTCTTCCACCTCTGCCGCCCCTGAGACAACAAGACCAGCTCCTCCTCTTCCTCCTCTTCCTCCTCAGCTTATTCAATGTGAAGATGACAAGGATGAAGATATTTATGATGATACACTTCCACTTAATGAATAGTAACTGTATCTTCTCTTCCTTATGATTTCTTAGTAAAATTTTGTTTCCTATAGATTATTGTAGGAATACAGCATATCATATATATAACATACAGAATGTATGTTAATTGATTACTTTTGTTATTGTAGGCTATTGGTAGTTAAGTTTTAGGGGAGTCAAAAGTTATATGTGGATTTTCAACTGCACAGGAGTCAGTGTCTCTAACCCTTGTGTTGTTCAAGGGTCAATGTACTTTAAGTGGGAGAGAATGAGACAAATATAGAAAGAAAGGCAGAGACAGGATGAAGCAAGATTGGTGGGGAGGAAGAGAGAGCAGGAGAATGACATTATTTGAGCCCCTGGATCCAGCTGTACCTAAACTTACATTGGAAGATTTGTGAGCCAATATATTCATTTATTTCCCCTAATGCCAGTTTGAACTGATTTTCCTTGTATTTGCAACTAAAAGAATCATAAGAGCTAGGTGTGAAATCTTGAACGACAACGTTTGCCCTCAAAATTCTGTACATTTTGCTTAATTTCCTTCTGACATATAATAATAGAAAGGAAAATTCTGAGAGCAGCCTGACTTTCCCTTCTTTATATGCAATGTACTATTCCTGTCTGGATGCTTAAAGAGTTTTTTTATACTCATATTAAATCTCTTCCAAGAATGCACTTAGCTGCAGGTATTTTACACACATACACACACACACAAAATCTGAAATATTGTAAGCTCTTTGAATCTGCATACTTGAGACATTTTTCAATTCATGATTTTTAAAACATTATGTCTTTGATTACGGTTTCCATTCCATTTGCTTTGGTTTCTTTTACCTATAATTCATAAGTTGGATCTTCATCCATTGAAGAAGGTATGAAAAATAATATTCTGATAGCTTCCAAAAGCAGTAGCTAGCCAGTAAAGGTCAACTATCCCTCTTCTGGGTTGAAACAGATCTGGCATTCTTATTCCAGGGAGCCAGATTGTTTAGAGAAATGAATGGTCTTTGTACCTTTTTTCAGATGGGCTGTCTTTCTGTTCAGGCAGAATAACACAAGGGGTTACAAACTGCACTCCTAGCACAGTTCCATTAGTATGGTGGTTTGCGAAAATGTCTGAGCTTTCAGAATGGTATGTTTTTATTTTTTCCCCCTTCATATTCATAGATGTTTTAAGAGAAATTTTAGAGGGACTGTGAAATGCTATTTAAAGTTAGAAGTCTTCTGTTGACTTAAGAGCCAGCCAGCCAAAGTATCATGTAATTTGTGTTTTCAACATTCACTTAATTAATCAACTCACAATCCAGCATTATTGAGCACCTTTTATGTGCCAGACCCTATGCTTACTAGGCTATAAAGTTGAGTAAGATGCTATTCTAATTCTTAAGGATCTAGCAATCTAGAGGGTAGACAGACGTGTGAAACATTCAATAACTTGGTGAGCTTATGATACACATAGTTCTCTGAGAGCAATTTGGGGAAGGCTTCACAGAGGAGGTGACAGACATCTGTATCACACTTTGTAGAATCAGCAGTTTACCAAATAGATGAGGAAGTGGCATTGGTGTGTTATTCTATCATTGGTCTCTGTCCTTTCAATGGGAGTGTGATTGGGCTCAGTCTGCATACTGATGATTCTTTTCAAAATTTTACCCCACTGCTTTCAAATTTCAAAGTGTTTTCTTATGACTGACAGATCCGTGTGCCATGCACAATGTATGGGATTACATGGGCAGCTTTGTCTTTCTCTTTGTTAGTTTAACTTCTCTTTCTCTCCACTTACCGGCCATAGGGATGCTGTGTTCTTACACATATTTTTTTTTTTTTTTTTTTTTGAGACGGACTCTCGCTCTGTCACCCAGGCTAGAATGCAGTGGCGTGATCTTGGCTCACTGCAACCTCTGCTTCCTGGGTTTAAGCAATTCTCTTGCCTCAGCCTTCCCAGTAGCTGGGATTACAGGCATGCGCCACCAGGCCCAGCTAATTGTTTTTTGTATTTTTAGTAGAGACGGGGTTTCACCTGCTGGCCAGGCTGGTCTCAAACTCCTGACCTCATGATCCACCCGCCTTGGCCTCCCAAAGTGCTGGGATTACAGGCGTGAGCCACCGCACCCAGCTTCTTACACATTTTAATTGTTTATCTATTGCAACATATATTTATGTTAAGTTTGAAGAGAAATAATAACTTATATAAGCAGAGAATGTGAAAGTTTAAGGATAATCTAGTCTAATCTCTTAATCTCTACTACTATTTTATAGCTGGCAAAGTCACACTGCTGAGTAGGAACTAAGCAGGAATAATGGTAATGATGATGAAGATTGAATAGTACCAGCAATTTGTAAGACTTTTTCACAAACATCATGGCATTTAATGTTCCCCCAAATCCTCGGAGCTTAATATTATTATGATGCCCTCTTTACCAGTAAGGAAATTAAAGTTTAGCAATGTTAAAGTATTTGTTTGAAGATATTATCTTAAATCTCTGGACTTTCAGTCCAGCACTTTCTCTACTACTCAATTAAACTTCACTCTTTTTTGTTTGTGCAATTGAAATGTAGTTAAAAATACTTTCCAGACTAGGATTATCTTTTAAAAAAATTTATGAGAAAATACATACATGGTATTTAGCACCAATACTTGATTTCCTATATTCCTCATAGCCTGTATCAAAAGTATATCTTCCCATAATACACTGCTTTGTGTTATTGTCTAGTTTGTGTTTACATGGTTTGTCTTGTCTGAGCAAAAACTTTTTCCCTGCTCAAAATCTAGTAAATTTTCTCTCTCACCCCTTCTTTGCAACTTCCCTTAAGTTCACCGCCTGCCTATGGCAGACTGCCAGATTTCATTTGTCATGCCGGTGGCTGTGGTTATCAGACATTGCAGCAGGATTTTGGCAAAAATCTCATAAATAGTGTGCAGCAATGTCAGCGGTCTCTGCTGCTAATACCTTCCTTCTCTTCCTTTTAAAATCATGCTTCGACGTCTTGTTTTATTGGCGGACCATTTCACCTTTCTCACATGTGGCAGAGAAGCTCTTCTCATTTAGTAGAAGCAGATCCTGAACTTTTCATAGTCAAAGGTACTTCCCTTCTTCAGTAATTTCGTCTTGTTACTCCCTAAATCCCTTGCTCCTTTAGTTTCCATTAGGAACTCTTAACGGAGATGTGCAGTGTTGAATACTGGTCATAGGCTTCAGATTTAGGGTCCTGTCTTCAAATCCTGGCCCCATCACTGTCTGGTTGGGTCATCTTAGGCAAACTTCTCTGAGCCTCATCTGTAAAATGAGATCACGTTGTACATACCTACCTGGTAGAATTGAGAAGATGGAATTAGAAGAGAAATTAAATTGCCTAGGATAGTGCTAGGCACATTATAATGGCTACTAGGAAAAAAATGTTAATTTCCACATGTACTATTCCTGTAAATAACTCTTCCGCTGAAGTTTCTCTTTGCTGCCATGCCAACCACTCAGTTGGAGGTCACAAAATCACCAATGCCCTCTCACTTTTGAAACATTCTAAGTCAGCTATTTTGTTTCTTTTTACTTAACTTGTATATTTCTTGAGCACCTTGATTCACCTATATCTCTTTTTAAACATTTTTGCTCATTCTTTTCCTGAAGAGTTTTTAGGACCTCCAACTCTCTGGCATTTTAGATTGGAGCAAATATTCCCTCTGGGCCATTCCTCTGACATTTTTAGTCATGTCCTAGTTTCATAGTAGTTTGCTAACTCCACATGTAGTCTGATAAACTAATTTCCAAAAAAAGTGAATTTTCAGTATGTTTGTGGAAAAATTGGTATCTGTCACTTTACAGTGATATGTTCTGATAGTTCTATTGGCTCATTACTCATTTTTTCTAAGTTCTTAGAAAGAGCATTTTAATAAATATCGTGTTATTTATTATTTTGTATTATTTATATTAACTCAAAGCCTGTGATTGATTACTTTTCATCTTATCTCCTTTAGTCGAGAGGCAGGCAAGATCCTCTTCCAGTCCTAATGCTTGTTTCTATATTAGGGAAATGTACCATTTTGCAAATATTTATTGAAAACAACTATAAACAAATTCTAGGATTTAGGTACACAAATAAGGATTCAGGTAAATAAAATATTGTCGATCCTTTAAGGAACACACAATAAGTAAGTTGTCCCTCTCTCATGTCTTTATAAGATATTCATATCTTTTTATTTTTATATCATGAACCTTGGCTTCCTACACAAATGAGCATATAGGCCTATCTCCTTGGAAGAATTCTCACCACCCAGGATTATTCTAGGGCCTACATTAAGGTGAAAAAAGAATTAGTTGGTTCCCAAAAGAAGTGGTTTGTCATTTGTGTGTAATATTTGCATGACCCTGTTTTGAAAAGATGTTTCATTTTGAGTTAAAACGCTGCGGTTACAAATGAGAGTGGACTAACTGCTTCATGTTTAGTGACCAGCATTACTATAGATTCCCTATTCCAGAAACATGCAGCCAGAAGTGAGCTGACAGCTAAATGAAACAGAGATGAGGAAAAGAAGAATCCCAAAAAATCTTCTAAGACAGTAATAGCCCCCATCTGGAATTTCCTTCTCTTTTGCAGGAGCTATTGCAGTTAATTAGAGCGTGGCAGGACCAGAGGGAGCTCTGGTTTGCATGATGAGAGTTGATGGATACTCTAAATCTGCCCATGTTCGGGGAGACCTTTGAGTTAGGGCACGGAAAGGCCCCTGTCAAAATAGAAATGTTTAGTCATAGAATTTTATTGCTGCAAGAGATCGTACAGATCATTATACCACGGAGGCTCCCAAGCTTTTTCAAGTATAAGAATCTCTTTTCAACATCAACATTTTCTGGATTCTCACATAGTTGTACTAACTTATACCATCCATGGATTGAAAAGGTGTATAATGACAATATGCTGCTATAAATTCAAGGATCATTTTATATAAATTTAAGCTTTATGAATTAGAACAGCAATTACACATATTTGAAAGAAATAGCTATTCCTATATTCCTACATGAGTGAGACATGATACGTATGGATTTGGAAATCTCGTGGATTTGGAGGCCCCTAGGGATTTGCACCTTGGGAAACCATGGATCTAATCCAATCTCATGTTTTAACAGATAAATTAAATATGGTTCATGGATATTAAGTGATCTTCCAAGACACAAATTGCTGGTGGCAGAGTCCAAGTCATTGACACCTTTTCCACTGTACCACAGCTGTCCTAAACTCTTCTGAAATTATTATTCATCTAGATCAGCAGAGAGAATTATCATAAATGTACTAGCTCAGAGAAAATTATGATGTACTTACCATACATGGGAGGACATCCTTTTATATTTAACAACAACAACAAAAAAAACCCTTTAAGTTAATTAGATTGTGAATAGAATTCTTGCATAACTTGTCCCAATTGACAATTAAATATTTCTTGAGGATTTCAAGGAGTCAGAGGCCTATGTTAGGTACTTTTTAAACAATAGAGTAAACGTGGAAAATACTGTATTAAATCTCTGGTTATAGATAATAACCACTACACACACTCACACACATACATACACACACACACACACACACACACACACACACCAGGGAAATTTTTGAAAATCTTAAAAATTATGAACTTTTGGCAATGAATGGGCACAAAAGTCAGCAAGAATGGACATCTATAACTTCTGCCAATTCAAGAGAAGCAGTTCTGGTTGCCAAGTTGAGAAAAGAAATGAGAAAATCATCTGCCAAATAATACATTATAATATTGGCAGACATAGAAGGAGGAGTGTGTCAAAGATATTAAAAAGCTGTTTAGTGTTAGAATGACTCGATTCAGCTGGGGAAAAATGAAAATAACAATTGATACTTATTAGATATTTTTTAATATTTAGATACAAGTGGGTGTTTCAAGAGTAGCCAGGTCTTCAGCCAGGTTTTCTCTGAGTGATTCATATGAAGTTAAAGTTGCTAAACTGAATGCTGATCAAATTCATGATCTCCCTGGACAAACCATTTCTCCCAGTACTGAATTGGTTTAGAAAACGTCAGAGGTTCAACAGATTGGCCATAGGCCTCTCTTGATCTGGATGACCTTGGAGATTCCGGGTTGATTTTGATTCCCATAAAAATCTGGGTCATTTTGAGGTAGATCCTGGGCAGTTCAATCATTTCTTTCATGTGGATATTGTAATCATGTGCGTTCATTCAGTCAGCTCCAACAGTGTCTTAAGAAGGTCAAGGCTACTTATCTAGATATTATATGTCCATTCTCCCTGGATAGCGGATCTATTTTATGATAAAAGTTTGCTATTTTCATCCCAATCAAATGATCCAAAACCATGAATTTTGAAAGGAATCTTGGGGTGGGGGGATAGTGCCAAACATGCACAAATCCTCTGCCATCACCAGAAGATGTAACTCAACCTGTGTGGTCTTTGGGGGACAGCACATCTGAGTCTTAGAGAAGCAAAGAGTAGCTATAATTGGTGTTGACAGAAATGCTGTGCAAACAGACCTCAATTAATTAAAAATTAATTCTGTAGCCCTTACAGCTAAATATAATAAAAATGGGGTCCAGGGAGTATTGCTTTGCATCTGAGTTCCCCTACCCTCTAATTCCCAAGACTCTCAGGAGTCTCAGGGAGGAAACAGTGTTTACCATGGAGCAGAAATCCTTTCTCTTCCCGTTACCTCTCCCAATAGTGCTGCAGTGCTGGCAGCCATCCCGAGAAGGCTCTGAAGAGTGGGCTGGTTAACAGGAGCATTTTCACTGCAGGCAGACTCGGTTGCCTTGGTGAAGTCCCCGTGCATCTGAAGAGTGGCTCATCTGTTCCTGCCTGGGGATCACTTGTGCTCATCCAGGCATGGCCCCCACCAGAAATCTGGGAGAATGGCGAGCTGGTGCCAGCTGAACTGTGAACCTCTAAGAATAAGTGAATAAAACGATTTTATGCACTACAATTCCAGGAGGACTAATTCTTGGAGTAAAAGTACTTGGAGAAGAGTTCTGGGTATTAGGGGCTGGGACAGGAAAGGCAGTGGAGAAGGAGGAGGGAAAAGGGGAGAGTAGGGCCAAGCAGTGAGGTGACTTGGGATAAGTGGGGTGAGAGATTCTTAGCAGTTGCCTTGGGTGGGAAACTTTGGAGACAGTCATCTGAAAAGAGTTTTCATGATGTAGCCTTTATATATGCTGTGAAAAATCTTGCCCTGCTCCTCCAAGAAAATCACACTGAAGACCTACATTCTGCTCTGTTGGGTGGTGGGAGTAGTAGCCATATGTGGCTATTGAGCTCTGGCATGTGGCTGGCCCCAGTTGAGATGCACAGCTAGTGTAATATACACACTGGATTTCAAAGACTTAGGATGAAAAAAAGAATGTAAAATATCTGTCTCACTGGCAATTTTTTTTACATTGAATTTGTTGACAATTTTTTTACATTGAATATGTTAAAATTTTTATATATTGGATTAAAGTATATTAAAGTTAATTTTACCTGCTTCTTTTTACTTTTTCTTTTTTTTCAAAAAAAGTAAGGCCAGGTGCAGCAGCTCACTCCTGTAGTCCCAGCACTCTGAGGGGCCAAGGTGAGAGGATCACTTGAGCCCAGGAGTTTGAGACTAGCCTGGGCAACATGGTGAAACCCTGTCTTTACAAAAAATACAACAATTAGCTGGGCGTGGTGGCACGTGCCTATAGGCCTAGCTACTTTTGAAGCTGAGGTGGGAGGATTGCTTGAGCCCAGGAAGACAAGTCTGCAATGAGCTGAGATCACACCACTGCACTCCAGCCTAGGTGACAGAGTAAGCCCTGTCTCAAAACAAAAACAAAAACAAAAACAAAAACAGGTTACTAGAAAACAAATTACATATTTTTCTGGTATTAATTTTTTTATTGGATAGAATTGATCAACATCATTCTTCGCTTCTGGAGTTAGATTTGTGTTTGTTTTGGATTGGTGTTGATGATGACACAGAGTTATACAAGCAAACACCCACACCCATGTCTATCAATGGCCAAAAAGGAAGGATCGGGGGAGACGATAAATCTCAGGGCCCAGAAGGAGCCTTTGTCTGCAGCCTTTGGTAAACATGTGTGTGTGCAGAAACCTGCAGACATTCAGAAAGAGTTGAAATCCAGGAGAAATGGTGCCTGCCCTTAAATACATCAAAAGGAGACAAGTTCCCCGGTAAGAATAGAATTTGTGTTAACAGAGAAATTTCATGAGACAAAGATTGGATATAAAAGGAATGCCCGAGTGAGAAGTGGAGAGAGGATGTGGCCTTCTCCTTGAATGTAAACATCACAGGTCTTCTCTCAGCAAGAATGCCTGGGAGGGAGGAGAAAGGGGGAAGAGGAGAGTGGGGAGGGGAATGGAGGAGAGGGAAGGAACCAGACAGAACTGAATGGAGAAAGCAGAACAAGACGCATGGTTCGTGTGGTTTCTAACAGATCTTGTGAAGCAACGATCACTCCATGGCACAGAAATCCTCTGTGACACCAGTGCAAGCAAAGCAGAACACAGCTTTCGTGAATGCTCAGTAGCCGCAGTGTTGAGTTTATTTATTTGAAAATTGCTTTGGATGGCCCTAATCCTTTGTCAAAACAGGATGAGAAGAAAGGAGTATTTGCATAACTGATGAGGTAAAATGGCTCCAGGGCTTCTCAAGGTGTGTCATGTTTCCTGTGGATGTGCCCTTTAGTGCTCAGCTGTGGCCCTGGAGGGGTCCCCACCTTCATGCCTGGTGTGGTATGATGATACGGCATTACATATAACTCCACTATCCAGAGCGCAATTGGGCCCTTCAATTAACCACATAGTATGTTTTATTTCACAATAAGGCAAGAAACGATGCTCATTCCGAAGAGTTAGTAGAAACACATAAAACCTGTCAACAGAGTTCAGCCCATGCCTGGGATCCGAACAAATTCAGTTCAATTTCTTATCCTATAACTCCTGTATCTTTAGGACAGGAAAGTGAAAATGAATGTTCTAAATAATGACCTGAGGCATTGCAAGGGTCTGAAGTGCCTCACAAATCATCAAAGAAAGATTAAATTATGTCCCTTACTCACCAAAGCCAAAAAGTGAACTAATAATCTATTTTAGAAACCATTGCTCCGGGAGCTGAAACTGAAAACATGGTAGTGTTTAACCCCGGCTTAACTAGAACATCTAAGTAACCAAAGGCCCCACAATTAAAGCTTTACAGTTAATTCTGTTGCAGAATTTCTGCCCCGTAGTTCTGCTAAATCCGGGTTCTTGTGTCACGACCAGGAAAAGTTAGGCTCGTAGACACATTGAAAGGTGAGGGGAATGGAATTTATTAGGCAAAAAGGGAAAAAGAAAACAACTCTCAGCAAAGTGAGAGGGGTTCCTGCTAACAGGCTCCCACCTCACAGATTGAATACCAACCCACCACACAGAAACTGAAGAGGAACTCCCCCGTGCAAACTACAGTAACTTCCATGGTTCCACCCTGTTCTCCCTGTGCACAGGCCTGTCGGAGATTCTCCAGGAACCCACTCCCTTATCTGCCTCCTGCATCTATGAATTCTTTTGCATATTGATAATAGGTATGAAAAAGCCTTATATGTTAGGTATTCTTCGAGGCAAAGTTGTTAACACCACCAGCCTGGCAGACCAGCTGCACTGGCATCACCTGGGACTAGTTGGAAGTGCAAATTCTCAGCGGACCCTCTCCAGTTCCCCCAAATGTACTAAATGGAACAGCATTGTGGCAACATCTCCAAGGGATTCATTTGCACACTGAAGTTTGAGAAGCATTGGTGTAGAGGTGGGGAATTAATCAGTCTCTTGGAAAGGAAGGAACCCCCTTTCCTTGAACAGGACCTTTTTTGGGGATACACTTTCTTCAATGCTTACTTTGTGTTCTAGGGACTGTGCAAAGAAATTTACATGACTTACCTCATTTTAATCCTTATAATAGTCCTATGGAGTAAGTATCAAAATTAATTCCATTTTACAGATAAGAAATTGAGATACAAACCCATTAAGCAATTTGCCCAAACTCATACATATTAAGCACTTGAACCAGGAGTCAAATCTAAACTGCTACTCTGGGCAGGAATTATTTGGTCTTTCTTCCTCAGGTTTTTTTTTTTTTCTTTTATTTATTTATTTTTTTATTGATCATTCTTGGGTGTTTCTCACAGAGGGGGATTTGGCAGGGTCATAGGACAATAGTGGAGGGAAGGTCAGCAGATAAACAAGTGAACAAAGGTCTCTGGTTTTCCTAGGCAGAGGACCCTGCGGCCTTCCACAGCGTTTGTGTCCCTGGGTACTTGAGATTAGGGAGTGGTGATGACTCTTAACGAGCATGCTGCCTTCAAGCATCTGTTTAACAAAGCACATCTTGCACCGCCCTTAATCCATTTAACTCTGAGTGGACCCAGCACATGTTTCAGAGAGCACAGGGTTGGGGGTAAGGTCACAGATCAACAGGATCCCAAGGCAGAAGAATTTTTCTTAGTACAGAACAAAATGAAAAGTCTCCCATGTCTACTTCTTTCTACACAGACACGGCAACCATCCGATTTCTCAATCTTTTCCCCACCTTTCCCCCCTTTCTATTCCACAAAGCCGCCATTGTCATCCTGGTCCGTTCTCAATGAGCTGTTGGGCACACCTCCCAGACGGGGTGGTGGCCAGGCAGAGGGGCTCCTCACTTCCCAGTAGGGGCGGCCGGGCAGAGGCGCCCCTCACCTCCCGGACGGGGCGGCTGGCCGGGCGGGGGGCTGACCCCCCCACCTCCCTCCCGGACGGGGCGGCTGGCCGGGCGGGGGACTGACCCCCCCACCTCCCTCCCGGACGGGGCGGTTGGCCGGGCAGAGGGGCTCCTCACTTCCCAGTAGGGGCGGCCGGGCAGAGGCGCCCCTCACCTCCTGGACGGGGCGGCTGGCCGGGCGGGGGGCTGACCCCCCCACCTCCCTCCCGGACGGGGCGGCTGCCGGGCGGAGACGCTCCTCACTTCCCAGATGGGGTGGCTGCCGGGCGGAGAGGCTCCTCACTTCTCAGACGGGGCAGCTGCCGGCGGAGAGGCTCCTCACTTCTCAGACGGGGCAGCCGGGCAGAGACACTCCTCACCTCCCAGACGGGGTGGCGGCCGGGCAGAGGCGCTCCTCACATCCCAGACGGGGCGGTGGGGCAGAGGCACTCCCCACATCCCAGACAATGGGCGGCCGGGCAGAGATGCTCCTCACTTCCTAGATGGGATGGCGGCCGGGAAGAGGCGCTCCTCACTTCCCAGATGGGATGGCGGCCGGGCAGAGACGCTCCTCACTTTCCAGACTGGGCAGCCAGGCAGAGGGGCACCTCACATCCCAGACGATGGGCGGCCAGGCAGAGACGCTCCTCACTTCCCAGACGGGGTGGCGGCCGGGCAGAGGCTGCAATCTCGGCACTTTGGGAGGCCAAGGCAGGCGGCTGGGAGGTGGAGGTTGTAGCGAGCCCAGATCACGCCACTGCACTCCAGCCTGGGTGCCATTGAGCACTGAGTGAACCAGACTCCGTCTGCAATCCCGGCACCTCGGGAGGCCGAGGCTGGCAGATCACTCGCGTTTAGGAGCTGGAGATCAGCCCGGCCAACACAGCGAAACCCCGTCTCCACCAAAAAAATACGAAAACCAGTCAGGCGTGGCGGTGCGCGCCTGCAATTGCAGGCACTCTGCAGGCTGAGGCAGGAGAATCAGGCAGGGAGGTTGCAGTGAGCCGAGATGGCAGCAGTATAGTCCAGCTTCGGCTCGGCATGAGAGGGAGACCGTGGAAAGAGAGGGAGAGGGAGACCATGGGGAGAGGGAGACCATGGGGAGAGGGAGAGGGGGAGGGGGAGGGAGAGGGAGAGTTCCTCAGGTTTTAAGCCATCTACAAGGTGGGCAGATACAGAGTTCTGTGGGTCTTACCCCCATGAGTTTTCTCTATCTTCTCCAGAAAGCCTGGAATTCTCTGCTTGAAATTCCTGCAGAATTTAGATGGTGAAATGACTTCCCAAAGTCACTCAGTTAATGGCAGAGTCCTGAGTGGAGTGTAGACTTTCTGACATTTTGTGTCATATGTTGCAATCAGAAAATACTGAAAAGTAGAACTGAGACCATAAAATTGATTTGAAATTCCATCTTTCAGAAATACTATCTGTAAGCTTAGAGGTTTACTATTTTTCTACAGCTTAATTGAGGTATAATTGGACAAATAAAAATTGTATATATTTAGGGTACACAACATGATGTTTTGATATATGTATACACTGTGAAATCATTACCACTATCAAACTAATGAACACATGTATCACCTCATACCTTTTACCTTTTTCTTGTGTGTGGTGAGAACACTTAAGATCAACTCTTTTAGTAAATTTCAAGTATACAATGCCGTTTTATTAACTATGGTTACCATGCTGTACACTAGATCTTTGGAACTTATTCATGGAGGTTTACTCATATATGACTCAAGATAGCTCAACTAAAGGGGACTTGTTTAAAAGTGGTGAGAGGAGGGAGACGGTAACACCTCTTCTTCTACCCATCAGAGTCTCAGGTAGCACCATTCTCTGTTTCTTTGTTCTCTTCCTCTCCTCTCTACAGACAAGGCTCTCTCCGCTTACTCCTCTGCTTGCTTGTGGATGAAAAGGGCCACGCCACCCCTGATTTGACAGTATCCTTTAAGTTCACATCTCAACAAGCATGTGAGCCTGGTGTTTGTGTCTCTTATTTCCAATTCTCCAGAAAGAGAATGCCAGAATATTAATTGGTTCCTCATATCAATCAGCCAAAGTCAACTTGTTATTAAAACAGAGCCAAGAAACTGCCTCTTTTGGTAGAGATTGTGGGTGGAAAGTAATTCCAAATAATGGATCATGGGTTAGGCAGGCATGGCCAAATATTTTATATTTAAACCATAATGTTTAAATATAAAAGATAGATCACATATTTTATAACTATCTTTAGCTTAATATTTTGCCAACATACTTTTTTGTCAAGATAATTATATCTCATCATTTTTTGTGACAGTGTAGTATCCATCGTATGTACTTGCCTCAGTTTGCTCAACCAATTGCTATTGATGGATATTCTTTCGTCCAGGTATTTGCCAGTACAATCAATGTTGTTACGAACAACCATCATAAATATTTGTGCCTAGCCTTAATTATTTTTTAGGGCAAATTATTATTTTTGGAACTTTTATTTTAGGTTTGGGGGTACAGGTGCAGGTTTGTTATATAGTAAACTTGTGTCACAGGAGTTTCTTGTACAGATTATTTCATCATCCAGCTATTAAGCCTAGTACCCAATAGTTATTTTTTCTGCTCTTCTCCCTCCTCACACCCTTCACCCTCAAGTAGACCCCAGTGTCTGTTTTCCCTTCTTTGTGTTCGTGAGTTCTCATCATTTAGCTCTCATAAAAAAGAACAGGATCGTGTCTTTTGCAGGAACATGGATGAAGTTGGAGTCTATTACCCTTAGCAAACTAGTGCAGAAACAGAAAACCAAGTATCGCATGTTCTCACTTATAAGTATGGTAAATTATTAAAAGCAAAATTGTTAGGTTAAGAAGTATGAACAGTTTTAAGACTTTAGAAATATGTACCCCAATTTTCTTCTGGAAAAACTGCACCCGTTCATATTCCCACGAGCCATGTGGTAAAGTGCCTGCCTTTCCACACCCTCACCAGCACTGGGGATTATTCTCTTATCGTTGCCAGTTTGATAGCCAAAAACTGAGCTCATTTTTCTTTTAATTTGTGTTCTTACTGAGGTGGAACAATTTTTCATATGTGCATTGGCCTTTTGTATTTCTTATTTTGTGACACACTTATTTTTAAAACTCAACTGTACTTTATACAAGGGAAACAAATGATTTCAATAGCTGTGATTAGTTGTCTGCTTGATTCTTGCCCTAACTGCACCTTGTGTCTTCTTTTATTTGATTATCTTCACCTAAAAATAAACCAGCATCACGTTGTTTTCCTTAGGATAACATTACTGACTCACAAGGTAATATGTAAAACTAAGCCTTTAGTTTATTACATGCTATTGTCCTATCAACCCTTTAGGAAATGCTCTGGGAGAGATGAATTGATCTTCCAAGCCACGTGATAAAACGTCTGAGATGGAAATACCCAGGAGGGTTGAAATGGTGGGATTGAGGTGAAGGAAGAATGTGAGAGATACTGAATTCATCTACTTTCAAGGCAGTTGAATCCTGATCTCTAAGGAAGGGGAGAGAAATCTTTATGAAAAGTTGACTTTTTCTTTTTAATCCCTGCTTTACAGCCGATACGTCTCCTACTAAAGTTGATGGATGGGTAATATTGAGTCTCCTCACAATTACTTCCCAAGACCTTGAAATGATTCAGGATAGAAGACTCCTAAGATATCAGGCTGAGGAGAGGAGGCTCATTGAGAATCACAGGCCAAGACATTTTGAGGAATGCAGGATGGAGGGCTTGGCTGCATTAGTCAGAAATGTCCTTATCTGCAGCCGTCAGTGGCCTCTGTGGTTTGATTCAACAGGGTTTCCCAAGCTTCCCTCATCGTAAAAGTTGCCAGATGCACGGACTAAAAGTAGACATTCTCAGGCCCCATCCCACACTCACTGATTCAGACTCTCTAGGCAAGAGTCTGATGAATCTATCATCAGGAAGTGTGGAAAATGCAATTTAGAGTCTGAGGCAAGGCCTCTAGTAAGATATAGCTTTTAGGATGGCTGTTCAGTCTGTGAGAGACCCACCAACCAAACTCTCTCCCCATAGGTAGGGCCTTAACATTCATATTGAATCTATATCATCCCCACATCCCTGGCCTTGAAGGGATTCAGGCTGTATCAGTCAGTTTCTTTCTCTGCAAATTGGAAATGGTATTTAGAGACAGCCAGTCTGTCTCTTAAACTTTGACATGGAATCTCAAAAGTGTGGACACCCTTACTCTGCCATGTAGTTGAAGAAGCAGTCAATGGTGTACAGGGAGAGGAGACAGAAGAATGAAATTCAGATTCCTCTTTTGCTTGAAGTAGCTTGGTATGCTTTTTAACAACTTGAACCCCTAAACCAAGACACTCTAATACTTTCAAAAATCACCTATACATTATGAAAATCTTTAAATTGAAGATCAGTTGAGGTTAACAGGTCTTATATTTTAAAATGCAAATTCTTCTGTAAAGATTAAGGCTGTCAAACATTTATAATGTAGTGTAAACTACATTAACCAAGTTACTGCAAACTGAGGGAATGGAGTGTTTGCTATTTGTAGGGAAAGGGTGGGGAACAGGTAATGAAGATGATTGGAGAGGGGCAGCCTAGGTTAAGAGTCACAGTAGGAGTGTTAGAGACCAACACAGTAGGGCAGCATGAAGGCTGGATGTGGTCATTACACATTTTCTCTTTGTAACAGGAAATGTATAGGCCTTTCCAAGGCAGGCTGGTCTGTCCACCATCTGTGATGTAGCATGGGCATCAGATGATAATTAGGACCTGTCAGATCAAGTTTTTATTGGTATAAACAATACCTGGTTAGGGTTCCTGAATAAAAGCTTGAAAAACATGAATGGGTTATCTGAAGATAACTCAGTGTGCCCAGTAGAGTTGATTCAGTGTTCACTCAACTAGTCAATTCACTGCACAACGAATTGTGTTTAGCCTTTCCTCATTACACAAGGGTGAGACACATTCTTCTGTGGCTGAGAGTTGGCAGTGTTTCCCTAACTCCTAGGGTTGAGTGCGTGTCTACTCTGCGCGTCCTGGTCTATTGTCTCCTTTTGTTCATGTTTCAAGGGCTTGCAGACTCCATTGGAAGTTATCTCAGCACTCCATTTTAATCACAATTTCTAGACTTTCTAACAGAGTTAGTAAGCTTTTAAAAGCTGGTTCCTGAAATTTCTTTGGCTTTCTGAACACTTAGTAAAAAATATCACATTCCAGTCCTTTTTGATTCCACTGCCTCTTGTTTTTCCCACTATTTACCTATTTATTATTTCACATGTAAAGTATATGGGACGGGTGACTATTATCCCCCAGGAAGGCTTGCTGTTGAAGAGGGAAATCCTTGGTCTCTCTAAGATTGTTCATGTTGCAGTTCTTTAAAGGAAGCCCCAACCACTGAGAAGGAGCTGAAGCCACTGCACGTGGAAGATGCTGGCAAACCTTTTAGGATCTGATGCACTCCTACCTTTAACCCTTTATTGCCACACTAATGATTCATTTTGTTGTTTTATGGGATTCCATTGCTTTGCCAGGGAGGTAGCTTCAAATTTCACTCAAAGGTCCCCAGAAAGTAAAAAATGTAGGATTAGTGTAGACTGTTTGATGTAACTAAAATTTTTATCTTGGTGATACATTTAGAAAAGTAGTGTCTGTGGGTGAGTCCTGAAAGTCCAATCCTGAATCCCTGGCTGAGTTCACAGAGGAAAATGCATTGCAAGGAGGACATATCTGATCTCTTGAATCCAATGGACTCCAAGACTGCATTTGGCCTGAAAGTGACTGGCTGTGGCCTACTAATGCTGGTTATTCAATGGTGGGCTGGGAAGGCATATGAAGATGATGCTTAGAAAATCCACGCTTTCTTGACATGGGGAACAACATAATATACCTATTTGCATATAGAACAAACTCCTTTTTATTATCTTTTAAATAGGTACTTAGGGACTTTGCAAATATAACTCCAACCCTTACTAGGTCTGTGCTTTATTTCTTTTATTTATGGCTGGGCAAACAGAAGAGTAAAGAGATGCAATGACTTGCCCGAGATCGGCAAGTAAGTGAAACAGGTAGAGCTAATAACCTGATTATCTCTTACTGCTCCTCTTGCCCAGCCAGCCTACTTCACACACTGACTTCTGAGACATCTGCCATCCACAGCTCTTCGGGAAAAGGAAATTTCAAGTGCAAATGACAGAAAAGGAAATTGTTTCAATCCAGTATTCTCTTAACATTTGATCCAAACCTGTGCTGTTGGACTGGCAGCACCCACATGACTTAATACAATCATGATTAAACTAACACTGAAGAAAAAGTATATGTACAGTATACTAACACTAATGCATATTTGGAGAGAAAACTGCAGATTCCAGATAAATCTACATTGATTTCCATCACAGGAGCTACAATGACTGCTATTTGTTTCCGTCTGTCCATTCTGGAATTAAATTGAGTTCAAGCAGCTTGGAACAGCTTGATGGCTTCTTTCTGCCACAGAAGGTGCCGGGTGTCCTGCATCTAGACTCTGACAGCCTATTGGTGAGGATAACAATACGCAACTGGTAACCCTGAGAGCTTTCAGCTCTTTTCAGGCCCTCCTACAGACTAATATATATGTTAGGGCTGGCAGTGCTGTTAGAAATGAAACAGAGCGAAGGCCGGGCGTGGTGGCTCACGCCTGTAATCCCAGCACTTTGGGAGTCCGAGGCAGGTGGATTATGAGGTCAGGAGATTGAGACCATCTTGGCTAACATGGTGAAACCCCATCTCTACTAAAAATACAAAAAATTAGCCGGGTGTGGTGGCAGGCGCCTGTAGTCCCAGCTATTCAGGAGAATGGCGTGAACCCAGGAGGTGGAGCTTGCAGTGAACCGAGATTGCGCCACTGCACTCCAGCCTGGGCAATAGAGGGAGACTCCGTCTCAAAAAATAAAAAATAAAAAAAAAAAAGAAATGAAACAAAGAGCCTGCACTTTGGAGACAGATGGTCTTAGGTTCAAATTCTGCCACTTAATAACATTGTGACTGAGAACTCCATGAACATTGTTTTTCAGGTGACAATTAAACAGCATATGATAGGTGGGTAATAATAATGATAATAGTAACAATGATAATTACTAGAGCAGCTATCATTAAATGAGTGCTTGCTGTGCTAAGTGATCTCAAAGTCACTGTACTAAGGGAATCTTTTAACTTTTACAACAACTCTAGTAGATGGGTACTACTAACACATGTATACTTAACCAATGTCAGTTGCTTTATTCCTTGACTAAGCAAGTATTTACTGACTACTGGTTACATGCAGACATTGTACTAAGTGCTGGGGATTCAACGTCGGATAGGTTGTGATCCCTTCTTGTAAGGAATTCTCATATTAGGGGGATGGGGAAGAAGAGAAAGAAAACATAGTATGACAAGGGCTAGCCAGAGTATGATGGGAGAAAATGAGGAGGAGAATATAAAAGGGACTGGGAATCAGAGAAGGCTGAATCCTCAAGAATGTGTAGCCAGAAGGGTTACTGAAGTGCTAGAAGTCATGGGCTTCTGAGTTCAAGACCAGTGCCCTCTACTTCCTGGATGAGTATCGTTTCTAAGACAAGGCTCAAGGCAGCATCTTCCCAAGGAAAGGATTACTTTTAAAAGAATAATAGCAAAAACACAATTCACTGTGTAAGATTTCAAATTCACAAAAACAGAGTAGAATCATGGACCCCATCCACCCATCCCCTAGATTTGAAAATCAATCTACATTTTGCCACACAAGCTAGGTGAAAGGCACTTTTAATAAGATGATTCTGCAGTGGGCTCTACTGGTGATTCCAAAAGGACTGGATAGATCCCTCCGTTTCTCCTTTTCCAGAAACAGGATCTTCTTCCTCCCCTCCTTTGAGAAGGCATCCTTGGTTCTAACAGTAGTAAGTTGTGGGGCTGTCTTCCAACCTCTAACACTGCTGGAGGGAAACAGGTCCACACACTTGTTGGAGTAGCAGCCTCCTTGTAAACTAAAGAGATCATTATTGTTGCTGTAATCAGATTTGCATTTTGCATGTATGGGTTTTATTTAAATGCTGGCTTGGTGAAGAACAATAACACAGTTATCACATGGCCAGTGTAGTATGGATATCTTTAACAAATGGATTGGACACAATGGGCACCTTAGTTAAGATGCTGAACCATATTAAGTAACTGTTGTCACATTACTTGGCAATCATCTGGTGAATGGTAGACCTGATTGTAAAAATAGATTGGAATTTTGTCTGCTTTCCTCCTTTTTCTCCATTAGTCCCAGTCCCTGGAAAGGAGTCTGTTTCAGGCAGTATGCCCTGAGTGGCAATTTTGAAGGCAAGGAAAGTTAAAAAAAAAAAAAAGGAGTGCTTAGACAAGTAACCCATGGAATTTAATTCATGGTGCATATTTTTGGATTACAAAAGAATTGATCGAGCTTATGAAACAAGAGTAAGTAATTTCTGGAAAGAAAATCTTTTTAGCATTCACTTATGAGGCTGACTGAGGTTTACCGAAGTTAGAATAGTGCTGTTTTTGTTAAAGAGGAAGTGAATAGATACAGAGGAAAGCGTTTTGGATTGTTAGGAGTAGTATTGGGCAAGGTACTTCACACCTCTGAGCCCCAGTTTCCTTACCTGTATCATCTGCAAGATGCTCTTAGTCTCTATTATTTTTATTTATTTATTTATTTTTGAGACAGGGTCTCACTCTGTCGCTCAGGCTGGAGTACAATGGCATTATCATAGCTCACTGCAACCTTGAACTCCCAGGCTCAAGCCATCCTTCCACCTCAGCCTCCCAAGTAGCTGGGATGACAGGTATGGGCTACCATGTCGGCTAATTTTTTTTTTTTTTTTTTTGAGACGGAGTCTCACTCTGTCACCAGGTTGGAGTGCACTGGCGTGATCTTGGCTCACTGCAACCTCCGACTCCCTGGTTCAAGTGATTCTCCTGCCTCGGCCTCCTGAGTAGCTGGGTTTACAGGCACGCACCACCACACTCAGCTAATTTTTGTATTTTTAGGAGAGACGGGGTTTCACCATGTTGGCCAGGATGGTCTCGATCTCCTGACCTTGTGATCCACCCACCTTGGCCTCCCAAAGTGCTGGGATTACAGGCGTGAGCCACCGTGCCCAACTAATTTTTGTATTTTTTGTAGAGACAGGGTTTCACCATGTTGCCCAGGCTGGTTTTAACTCCAAGTGATCCACCTACTTTGGCTTCCTAAAGTGCCGAGATTATAGTTGTGAGCCACCGCACCCGGCCAGTCTCTGCTATTTTGTGATATTAGAGAGTTTAATGCACTGTGATGGTTAAAAGCAGTGTAGTGGCCTTTCGGTATCGATAAAACTGGGTTCCGTGTCTGTGTTAGCTGCTTGTTTGCTGTGTGATCTTGGGAAATCTCCCTCAATCTTTATGTTCTCCATTTTCATCATCTGTAAAACTGGTGCAATAGTAATAGCTGTAGCCCAGACTCGCTATAAAGATTAAATGCTTTGTGCTTAGCACAGTGCTTGGTACATTTAAACTTTCAGTAAATGAAAGCTATGATTATTATTATATATTCTTCTCCATTTTATATCATATTCTACTTAAATAATTAAAGATCCAGGAATAAAAATAAAGCCCTCAACAGAATTTTGCAAAAAAAATTAAGCAAAACATGTCTTCAGCTAGCATGATTTTCACAAGTGCTCTGCTCTGATCTAGTGCTAGATACGTAAAGAAAGGAGGCACTATTAGATCCATGGCAAGTATATGGTTCATCTCCAATTTCATTCATTTAAACAACCAACCAGCATCCCTGAATGCCTTCTAGGTTCTTGACATTCAATTAGCCTCCCAGGATAAAAAAGCAAATGTGACATTTTTCTTGCTATTATGAGGCATACAGTGGAGAGGGCAGAAGTAGACATAGCAATACTGTTGCATTACGTTGTTTATCAGGTCTCTCACCTTGTGCTTTGTGGAAATCCTGTCAGATCTGGAACCCAGAAGTCTGTGCCAATTTTAAAGTTTGCCTTAAAGCCAGCTTTCTTTGTGATGGTGTTTGGTTCCGATAGACCCTTGCTTATATTCTAAGTCCACACAATTTCAAATTCTACTTGCTGAAGTCTGCAATTGGTAGAATTCTCCTCTGCTTAAAAAGAGTTTATTTGAAAGAAAATTGGAAACAAACTTGAAAAACGTAGATTTTTGTACAGTTACTTGAAACAAGCAAGCAAACAAAGCAAGAAGAGGGGGCAGGCTGGTTCCACTTTAAAAAATAATAAACATAGCTAACTTATACTGAGTACTCATTATGTGCCAGGCAGTGGTTTAAGGTCTTCCTGTGCAATAATTCATGAATCCTCACAACAGTCATGTTAAGTAGATTCTACTATAATCCCTGTTTAACTGGTGAGAAACCTGAGGGACAGGTAGACTGAGTAATTTGTTGGTCAGACAACTAGTAAATTGGGATTTGATCTCTTGCAACGTGACCCAGAACCAGGCTCATAATCAGTAGTTTCTGAATGGCACAAGACACTTGTAATCATTTTCTATTGTTTTATTAAATATTGAACTCAAGAAAATTAAATCCCAGCAGGTTGCAAATATAATTCAAACTTTTATTAAATGTCAGTATATTGTATCCTTGGATGCGTTTTGCTCCTGGGCAATTATCCAGGTTTGGAGCACATATTTAAGTATTTGCTGCTGTGATTGTTGCATTGACTTACAGTGGCAAATCAGATTACACAGTGTGGAGAATGAAATTACTGACACACACTTTTGGGAGGACACCTTTTGATTTTGGTTCGTGAATTCAAATGTTACCTCAAAACCAGCAGGGGTTCTCCACAGCCTGAGTATTTCCTTTGAACTACCTGCTCTACTGAAAAAGTTGTCATCCAACCTGGAACCTCCTGTGAGTTCCAAAAGGGAAATAAAAGATCTTTTTCTGTCTGTCTTACTCTAGTATACTAGAAATAGTCATTTTGTAAGTCTCTGAGTCCTCCAAGAGGCATCCACGTTACTTACTTCTTGTACCTTAAAATGATCCCAACCACATATCCTCCTCAGTTACAAAATCCATCCTGGCAGGAAGTATTATATAGTCACCTTACCTCTGGAATTTGTTCACGCTCCCAGCCTGGGTGTCCAGCGACAAGGTCCCTGAGCACTTCCTCAGTGTCAGGCCTTTATTGCCCAGTGCTACCCAGTAACCTCCTTCCTGACACTAAAATTGAGTCTGCCATAAGAATACCTTGCCACTGTGGTCCTCCTTTTGGGAAGAAGCTTCATGTATCTATTCTCAATTAGGCCTGACTTCACTATGTCCTTTGAGGAGTATGCTGTAAGACTGAGTCTGACTCCTTCTGTTTCCAGAATCAAGGGCAAACTATAAGCTGGGAATGTTGGACTGAATGCTTGGGCTGCCTATGGAGCCAGTTGCAGAAGTAAGTCCTGGAGACAGGCAAGAGGGCCACGGTGCTCATGATTCTAGAAAAGCAGTTAAGGGCTGGGTGCGGTGGCTCACGCTTATAATCCCAGCACCTTGGGAAGCCGAGACAGGCAGATCACTTGAGGCCAGGAGTTTGAGACCAGCCTGGCCCACATGGTGAAACCCCATCTCTACTAAAAATACAAAAATTAGCTGGGCGTGGTGGTGCGCACCTGTAGTCCCAGCTACTCGGGAGGCTGAGGCAGGACAATTGCTTGAACCCTGGAGGCGGAGGTTGCAATGAGCCGAGTTTGTGCCACTGCACTCCACCCTGGGCAACGGAGTGAGACTCGGTCTCAAAAAAAAAAAAAAAAAAAAAAAAGCAGTTAAGTATTACAAAACAAAGAAGGAGAAGAAACACCATGAGCCTAGAGGTGAAATGATGGGTTTGCTGTCCAAAAGCACAGGTAGACAGAGGTACAAGGTTGAAACTGGGGCTGAAATGAATGGTTGGTGAACACAGAGTGCAGGCAGGGATGGAGCAGGGGGCAGGTGGCAGGGAGTGAATCTTGCAGGTCTTTTTACCCTTTTACAGGACAGTGAGTGGCACCTGTCAGACTGGATGCAGGACCTTAAAGTTTGCAACTGGCCTGGCTTATAGTCTGGTTCACCGTGCCCATGCCTATCTGCCCTTTGCTGCCAAGGCCCTAGCAGACCGCCTGCCTGCCAGAGTCTGGGCTCTGTCCCATCTTCAGTTTAATAGAATTGATGTTACTCAATGCTCCCAGGACACATGGCATTGCTCTGTTTGGCTCTGGCCTGCTCTCAACAGAAGGGGGAAAGAAAAGAGGACTGCCAACAAGGCTATTTCCTTCCACTGCAGCCCCACTGTGCCTCCTGCTTCTTCTGAGTGATGAGCCTGAAAGATTCTGAGAATTTTTAAGTTAAAATATTTTATGTTTTCTATCATAGAACATAAGTAGTGGGGGGAAGAAATCATCTCTAATTAAAGTCAGCAAGTGTTTATCAAATGTCTAGTACTTATCAACATTACTTACATCCCTAACCTTGTTATAAAGGTCACAGAGGGAAAAATAATATAAAATGTGGTTGCAGACTTTAAGGGCATATCCAGAAGTCACTATGACTTAAAATCATCTAATGCATATAGAACTGTAACTAATATTACAAAATGGCTCATGAGTTTAGATATTTCATGACTCAAATCATGTTGACTGAAACATAAACCACACAGAGAACATTTGTTTTAGTCTCACTTTCCAGCACCAGTCTTTAAAAGAATTCTTTTTTTCAGCTTTATTGAGCTGTAATTGACAAGTCAGAATTGTACATATTCAAGATGTGCAACTTGATGTTTTGATATATGCATACGTTGTGAAACGATTACCACAATGAAACTGCTAGCATGTCTATCACCTCACATAGTTGCCATTCTCTTTTTCTTTTTATTTGTGGTAAGAACACTTAAGATCTACCATTTTAGCAAATTTAAAGTGTACACTACAGTATTAAACACAGACATCATGATGTACATTAGATCCCCAGGACCCATTCATCTTACCTAACTGAAACTTTATACCCTTTGACAAACATCTCCCTATTTCCTCCTCCTTCCCTCACCCTGTGCCCTTGGCAATCACCATTTTACTCTCTGGTTCTGTGAGTTTTATTTTAGATTCCACATGCAGGTGGGCGCTTGCAGTATTTGTCTTTCTGCATCTGGCTTATTTCACTTAGCATAATGTTTCCCAGGTCCATTCATGTTGTTGCAAATTTACTTCTTTTTATGGTTGAATAATATTCCTTTATGTATGTATACACACACAATGGAATATATATATATATACGCACACACACATATATATATTTATATCACATTTTAAAAGAATTCTAACTTTAAACTCTTTCTATGAATCCTTGAATTTACAACTAGTGATAAAATCTCACACACACACACACACACACACACACACAAACATACACATGTTCTACCTTGAATTACTACCAAGTCAAACAACCACAAAGCTGGCCAATGAATAGCTAATAACTGGTTGAATGATCAGCCCATATATTCTTTGGCAAATTGGATCAAACCACAGAAAAGTAGTCTCAGATAAAGTGAACAATATAACATAATTTACTTTCTCATAGAGAGAGGCTCTATTTAATTTTCACACCCCTGTGTCTGGTGTCCTTTCATGAAATACAGTAGTCTCCTTCTCAAAACTTCCCTGCTGGTGAAAGACATGCATTTTTTTAATGCACTCTTAATTTCTGGTATATAGGAATAAACTATGCCTCTGGGAAAGAAATGCATTGCATGGATACACTTTGTGAAGGTAAACACACAGAGGCATTCTGCTTTCTGTTAATTAATGACAGTGACGACAAGTTTTTATAGGAAACCAATTTTGCTTTTGAACACCAGGGAGATCTTTGAGCATAAGAAATATTTCAATTTAGGAAAATTATAGCACAGCCAAAAGCCCAAATGTAACAGGTGAATTATAGTTGGTCTAAAAAATTAGACACATTAGGAATTGGTCCATGAATGTTCAGTAAATACAACTAGATCCCTGAAAATATTTTCTCGAAGCTAAAGACAACTCTGAAAGTTGGGATTTGTTCCAGCATTTTCCCAGGAGGTGGAATTCAGATGCATGGGCTGGGACTGTGGGAGCTGAGAGATGCTAGAGTGGTGAGCAGCCCGCTGGGCAGAACCTTGCCTGGCTGGTGAGAGATTGATGTTCCCTGGTTCCAAATGGAGACTGAGTCTGACATATTTGCAGAGTGGAAGTTTGAGCTTCTCTTGTTTTTATTCATTACAAAGTCATTTATGAATGCACACTAACTGTGACATGACCTCGCTGGTATATTTAAAGCAACCCTAGGCTGGTGGGGTCAAAAGTTTCATTGTACACACAGATGCGGCTTGTCAGCAGGAATGCAGATTTTGGCAGGGTTAGAGGCAATGGATGTGAGGGCTGAGTCACCCTGCAGAGCATGCCAGATAACCCCTCCCCAACCCACACAATGGGTTCTATTCTAGTGCCATTCCTAACTGCACGATCTATACTGTATCTGTCTTGGATTTGTGTGCGATTGTCTGCATAGAGGCATAGTTGGTGACAAAAGAATGATGAAAATCAGAACAGTTACTTAAAGTGAAAACACCAAAGTCTGGGTTCTCTGAGCTCTCTCGCAGGTGTTTACTCTTTGACTTCTAAAATCAGTTCCACAGAAATACTCAAGTGTCCACAAATACACACATACAAAGAAGTTAATTACAGCATGGTATAGAAGAATGACAAATTGGCTGGGTGCGGTGGCTCACGTCTGTAATTCCAGCACTTTGGGAGGCTGAGGCAGGTGGGTCAGTTGAGCCCAGTTTTAGACCAGCCTGGGCAACATGGCAAAACCCCATCTCCACAAAAAATACAGAAATTAGCCAGACATGGTGGTGCACACCTGTGGTTCCAGCTACTGGGGAGGCTGAGGTGGGAGGATCACCTGAGCCCAGGTGGTTGAGGCTGCAGTGAGCCATGATCAAGCCACTGCACTCCAGCCTGGGTGACAAAGTGAGACCCTGCCTCAAATAAATAAATAAATAAATAAATAAAGACAAATTGGAAACAACATAAATCGGAGGGGGTCATAAATTATGACAGGGGTCCCCAACCCCCAGGCCATGGACCAGTACTGGTCCGTGGCCTGTTAGGAACTGTCCATAGAGTAGGAAGTGACCTGCGGCAGGCCAGCATTACCGCCTGAGCTCAGATCAGCGGCAGGCATTAGATTCTCATAGGAGCGTGAACCCTATTGTGAACTGCACACGCAAGGGATCTAGGTTGCACGCTCCTTATGAGAATCTAATAATGCCTAATGATCTGTCACTGTCTCCCATCACCTCCAGATGGTACCGTCTAGTTGCAGGAAAACAAGCTCAGGACTCCCACTGATTCTACGTTATGGTGAGTATGAAATAATGATAGAAATAAAGTGCACAATAAATGTAATGTGTTTGAATCATCCTGAACCCCCGCCCCCTGTCCTGTGTAAAAATTGTCTTCCACAAAACTGGTACCTAGTGTCAAAAAGATGGGGAAGTGATGAATTATGATACATTTTTGCAATGGAGTATTATGTAGCTGTGAAAAACAGCCAGGCAGCTTTATATGGATAAAAATGCCCATCACAGATTGCTAAGGAAAACATCAAATGGCATATATATGTATATGTGTGTGTGTATATATAAAATCTCATTTCTGTGTTTTAAAAAACCATGTGTGTGAACCAGGGTTACAGTGTTACCTTTGGAAAGTGGAGTTAGACCAGGTAAAAGAAGGACCAGCACTTTGTTTTTTGTTTTGTTTTGTTTTGTTTTGTTTTTGAGACAGAGTCTCGCTCTTGGCCCAGGATGGAGTGCAGTGGCGTGATCTTGGCTCACTGCAACCTCCACCTCCCAGGTTCAAGTGATTCTCATGCCTCAGCCTTCCGAGTAGCTGGGATTGCAGCCAACCGCCACCACGCTTGGCTAATTTTTGTACTTTTAGTAGAGACAGGCATTCACCATGTTGGCCAGGCTGGTCTCGAACTCCTGACCTCAGGTGATCTGCCCGCCTCGGCCTCCCAAAGTGCTGGGATTACAGGCGTGAGCCACCAGACCCGGCCAGGACCAGCACTTTGGCTTCCTACATTTCTGTAGTACTAGAAAGTTTGCAATTAATATATATTACTTCTGCAACTAAATATACATTTGAAAAAAGGAGATTAAATAACTACAAAGTTTCAGTCAAAATTCCCAGAGTAATCCTGGGATTACATAACAGCCAAAAAGCACAAATCCACAGCTAGAGACAGAGGTTCTATGGTAGCTCTAGGCTGTTGGATGAAACATTTCATCATCAAAGTATAAAGTCATGTGTTGCTTAAAAACTGGGATATATTCTGAGAAACGCATTGTTAGGTGATTTCACCCTTGTGCAAACATCATAGAATGTACCTATCAAATGTAGTTGGTAAAGCCTACCACACACCTAGGCTATATGGTATAGCCTATTGTTGCTAGGCTATGAACCTGTACAACATGTTACTCTACTGAATACAGTAGCCAATTGTAACCCAATGGTAACTATTTCAGTATCTAAACATAGAAAAGGTACAGTAAAAATATAATATTAAGGATAAAAAATGGTACCTATATAGGGCACTTACCATGAATGGAGCTTGCAGGACTGGAAGTTGCTCTGGGTGAGTCGGTGAGGGAGTAGTGAGTGAGTGTGAAGACCTAAGATATTACTGTACACTACTGCAGACTTTATAGACTGTACACTTAGGTGACACTAAATTTATACAAAAATTTCTTCTTTAATAATAAATTAAACTTAGCTTACTGTTAACTTTTTACTTTATCAACTTTTTAAAAAATGGTTTAACTTTTGTAATAACACTCAGCTTAAAACAAACACAAACCCAAAGTACTTGGGTATAGCTGCGCAAAAGTACTTTCTTTCTTATATCCTTATTCTAGAAGCTTTTTTCTATAGATTTTTATTTTTTTTAACTTGTTAAATTCTTTGTTAAAAACTAAGACACAAACACACACATTAGCCTAGGCCTACATAGTGTCAGGATCATCAATATCGCTGTCTTCCACCTCCACATCTTGTCCCCTTGGAAGGTCTTCAGGGGCAGTAACAAGCATGGAGCTGTCACCTCCAATGATAACAATGCCTTCTTCTGGATACCTCCTGAAGGACCTGCCCGAGGCAGTTTTACAGTTAACTTGTTTTTTTTTTTGTTTGTTTGTTTTTTATATATAAGTAGAAGGAATACACTCCAAAATAAGGATAAAAAGTGTAGTAAGTACATAAACCAGTAACAGTGATTTAGTATGAAGTATTATGCACTATATATAACTGTACGTGCTATACTTTAATACAAGTGACAGTGCAGTCAGTTTTTTTACACCAGCATCACCACAAACGCAGGAGTAATGGTTATGATGGCTACAAGCTCACTAGGTGACAGGGGTTTTTCAGCTCCATTATAATCTTATGGGACCACCTATATGCAGTCAATCATTGATTGAAATGTTATATGGTACATGACTGTATTTCTAGGATATGTGTTTTATCTTCTGAGAGAAGATGAGACTAATTAAGTCCAAACTTTATTGGGCCGGCCCTTTTCTTCTATCAGTGTAATTGTACTACCAATAATGTGCTGTTATTCGTTTCCTATTTTACAGCTTACAAAGCACTTTTCACACCTTGAATAATACTTACAACAAATCTGTAATGGAGTATCCTTATTTTCAGAAAAAGTAATTGAGGTTTAGGGAAGTTAGTTTCTGTGCTCTAAATGACACAATTAGTTAGGGCAAAACTTTAGAAGGAGTCACATAGGGATTGTATCCCCAAGCAGACCATTAATTCTAGGTAAATCACTGCTTTCTAGGTCTCAGGTTTCTCAACTATAAAACAGGGTGGCGAAGTGTTCTAAGTATAAAAGTATACAGTTGTTTAAATGAAACTGAGTAGCCGCTCCCTACCCACCACCCTTCAATTAACTGTGGAAAAATTCCCTGGATGTGGTTGAAGATATTTATGTTGTGTAGACATCCTTCTATTAGCATATTTAGGTGTAGGGTAAAAGGCTATCTACTGTGAATGGATTAAAAGGACAAATTCTGTTTTTACAGATTGGTTGGAAAGAACCCAAGGGGACATGGGCACAGCATCCCTTCCTGGGCCTCTTCCTCAGGTGGTGCGGGTGGGAAATCAGGAAGCTCCCAGACATGGAGCAACTCAGGTGATCATGGAACAGAGAGGTAAGGATTTTGCTTGAATTTAGAGGGATGGTTTTGTACAGATCTGGTTGGTACATAGTAACTCTAAATAAATATTTATAAAACAATTGGATTTGTCATGTGGCTGTTTGGCAATGGGTCAGAGTAAAACAAATTGACTTTTCTTATGACTGAGCTGTCACCTGAGTCTTATTATTAATACCATCTGTCAAACAACTGAATCCTAATCTTTAGTTAATCAACAAAATTTTAATGAGCCTACACCCATAGGGCCACCCTTTTTTTTTTTTTTTTTTTTTAGACGGAGTCTCGCCCTGTCACCCAGGCAGGAGTGCAATTGTGCAATCTTGGCTCACTGCAACCTCTGCCTCCCGGGTTCAAGTGATTCTCCTGCCTCAGCCTCCGGAGTAGCTGGGATTACAGGTGCGTGCCACCACACCTGGGTAATTTTCTGTATCTTTAGTAGAGACGGGGTTTCACCATGTTGGCCAGGCTGGTCTTGAACTCCTGATCTCAGGATCCACCCGCCTCCGCCTCCCAAAGTGCTGCGATTACAGGAATGAGCCACCGTGCCCGGCCAGGGTCATGCTTTAAGGTGTGGGTGTTTTTATTATTCAGGAGGTGACTGCCATTGAAAAGATGTCTTGTTACTCCACTTTCCAAAAGGAGGGGCCATGCCACACAGGGTCACACCAGGGAGTGACAAGGTGGGTCAGGAGGCAGAGGGAGCAATGGAAAACCTGGGCCAGAGCCTTTATTTATGGTTTCCATGAAGGAATGGGTGAGGCAGGGTAAGCAGGCTAGTGTGAACACTTCCCATGGGCTCTGGGGTACAGGGCCTGTCTCTATCAGGTAGTTTGATACCTGGCCCTGGGTGGTTAGGGTATAGTGTCTCCACCAGTGAGAGCCCAATAAAGGAGGTGATTGGGGCCTGGGATCTGGATTGGTTGGTTTGCATATGAAAGACAGACATCCTTCACTATCTCTAGGAATTGGCCCAGCCCTGGGAGGGGCAGTCTCTCCAGGGTCAGCAAGGCCCCAGCTGTCAAAGCATCAGAATAAAAAGACATGCTTAATTCAGCTGATATAAATTAGGTTAGCCTTAAAAGGAAGCACAGAATTGGCAAGTGGGAGTGCTAGGAAAAATCTGGATATATAACTTATCGCTCTGTATAATGACATGTGTACCAACACATATTACACATCCGTTGTGGGTCATGGGTTTGGCATTAGTGAGTGGGGGAAAGGCTTTTATGTGTTTTACTAGGTTACCTTGTCATTTGAGATAGTGTGTTTCTTTAGATGGTTTTCCTGCAATTGAGCTATACAATTACCAGGTGACAGTGGGTTCATTAGCATGGTGTTTCTAGCCCCTCCTACGCCACCCCCATATGTATACATATATATTCTTGGTTGTTTAAAGGTAGCATTTCATTACCCACCTGTTTTCAAGATACAGGGAGATAAATACAATCCTAATATTAGTACCACAGATTTCAACAAAAATATATCTTGAAAATATATTTATTATATTATTGCCCCTCCAACTCCCCAACACCAGCCCCTTCCCTGTTTAGTTAGAGAGAACAGTTCCTGAAAAATATATAAGTAAGCACACATATTTTATTTTTGTTCAAGAATGACATACATAGACACATTATCAGAATCAATAGTTTTTTTTTTTTTTTTTTTTTTAGACAGTGTCATGCTCTGTCACCTAGGCTGGAGTATAGTGGCGCAATCTCGGCTCATTGTAACCTCAGCCTCCCGGGTTCAAGCAATTCTCCTGTCTCAGCCTCCCGAGTAGCTGGGACTACAGGCA
This sequence comes from Homo sapiens, assembly GCF_000001405.40. Classification (NCBI taxonomy): domain Eukaryota; kingdom Metazoa; phylum Chordata; class Mammalia; order Primates; family Hominidae; genus Homo; species Homo sapiens. The sequence continues at coordinate 39,648,192 of NC_000002.12, forward strand.
CATGCCACCATGCCCAGCTAAGTTTTGTATTTTTAGTAGAGATGGGGTTTTACCATATTAGTCAGGCTGGTCTCGACCACCTGACCTTAGGTGATCCACTGGCCTTGGCCGCCCAAAGTGCTGGGATTATGGACATGAGCCACTGAGCCCAGCCCGAATCAATAGATTTGTTTGCTGTAATTCATGGTACCCTTAGGTGAGTCTCTGAAAAATTAGCTCCCATATATGACTTAACATTGGCCTTGTTCTTACAGATGTATCATTTATAGAATGATAAATGCCACTGACTCTTCTCTTACACACACACCCACCTGGGCAGGCACAGGGCAAGTGACAGGTACCACCCATGCCTCTGATCTCAGGCCAGCTGATGTAGAGCATGAGGGGATTGCACTGCTTCTTTGTCCATGGGCTGAGAATTTCCTTTCATGTGGGGCTGGCAAAGCAATGCTTATATATACAAACATGCTTTTTTTAAAAAAAAAAAATACTTACACTCATTTGCCAGTTCACCCAGAGAAGCAACAGGTCTCAGGGCCAGTTCTTTCTGCTGGGAGGGTCCAATTTAATCCTTTAGACATAGCTAATTCATTTCCTTCATGACCTCATTCACTGCTGCATAACCACTCTTCCTCCAAACCTCTACCCTGATCTCCTCCCCAAGTGGTGCTAAGTAGTCACATGGAGCCCAATTTCTAATAACAAATGAAGTATTTTTTCCTTGTCATCACTTTAATAACAAGGGAAAGAAGCCTCCAAAGCCAGAGCAATAGAGACTGGATCAGGCATAATTTAGCTTCTCTTGCAGCCTTTGCTCTACATACCTAACCCCCAACTGTGTTCTTAACACCTTTCACTTTTATGGCACCAAGAATAAGAATATAAATATTATGCAGTTTCTTCTTCCTTTCTTTTTTTCTTTTTCTTTCTTTTTTTTTTTTGGCTGTTTTTCTATAAAGTCTTCATTACCAGTCCACATTCCCCTGGATTTAATAACTGAGTCCCTTTTCTTTCTTCTAGTTAGCCTTGATGTCTTTTCTTTCTTCTGTACAATAGTCCTCCTCTGGATCAATAATGGTTACCTCCTTTATAAGTAACTCTCAAAAGACTTAGATCCTTTTTCAGAGTCCAAAGGCAACCTCTGGGGTCTTGGTGGCTTGGGTTCAGGTAATGAGAGGGACAGCAACATATGCTTTATTCTGTTAAATGCCAGGTGAAAATCCATTCTGATTGAATTCAAAGTGAAGTTGAAAGAAAAAAGTCTTCACAGAAACAACTCATGGTTTTGCACAAACCTGAAGAACTCACTAGATATATCCTTCCTGTGACTGTAACAGACAGAATAATCTGCACTTGGGTTTCTCTGTTGCTTTCTAGAGCATCCGCTATAGTAATTCTCACACCTTTCCAGTTTCTGCATGGCAGATAGAGCAGCACCTTGGGTAAGGGAGTGAGGGCTCAGGTAAAATAAATACCCCAAGAGAAAGGCAGCCAAGCTCTCAGGAGGACCAGCTCAGACCTTCATGCTCCAGCTGTTAAGAATGTTTATTTTAATACCTTTTGTAATTCCATAGACCTTTGGCGCATTCTCAGAGGGAGTAGGGTCAGGGAGGAGGGGAGACAATGGTGAGAGCTTCAGGCTACCTGTCTGAACAAGGAAGTGGCTTAACCACTGTATTAGTTTCCAATTGCTGCTATATCAAATTACTACCAACTTACTGATTTTAAAAAAGATCGTTTGTTATCTTACAGTTTTGTAGGTCAGAAGTCCAAAATTAGTCTTACTGGGCTAAAGTGTTAGCGAGGCCATATTCCTTCTGGAGTCTCTTAGGGGGAATCCATTTCCATTTCCTTGCCTTTTTCACCTGGTGGAAGTTTTCACGTGCATTCCTTGGTTCTTGGCCCTCTTCCTCCATCTTCAAAGCCAACAGGGTTGCACCTCTCTGACTCTTTCTCTATTGTCACATTTCTCTCTTTCCCAGGCCATAGCTGGGACAGTTTCTCTGGTTTTAAGAACCCACGTGATTAGATTGGAGCCACATGAATAATGCAATGGGGAGAGGATACCCTCCCCATTTCAAGATTCTCAATCACAGCTGCAAAGTCCTTTTTGCCACTTCAAGTGACTTATTCATAAGTTGGGGAGGGGGAAGTCAATTATTCTGTCCTACCACAACCACAAAATTGACACCCTCACTGAGATGGAAAAAGGAAGCCTCTACTTTGGACCTGATGTTGTGAGTGAGTCAGGAGGCCACACCAGCTCAGGAGGCAGAGTTTCCAGGAGGCCCTTGTCAATGGTATGGAGAATTACAGGACCATCCAGAACTGGTAGAAGAGAAAGGGCTCCCGTGATGTGACCCCTTAGGCCTGCAGCCTATTAGTGTCAAGAGAGAGGTTAAAGCAAGAATCAAGCTTCTTGGGTCTGAGGGGCAAATAGAAGGCAAACAAAAATAAATAAAATAGAATAAAAAATAAATATTAAAAAATATGTTTAAATAAAAATAAAATTAAAAATGTTAATTTTTGGAGAACTTCGGCAGCCAAAGGAGGGAGAGGAATCATTCTGTAGCTTGAGAGGATGGGAAGATTAAAGGTTTTTTGTCTGTTTGTTTTGTTTTGTTTTTTACTTTAAGTTCCGGGATACAAGTGTAGATTGTGTAGGATTGTTACATAGGTATACATGTGCCATGGTGGTTTGCTGCACCTATCAACCCGTCATCTTTATTTAAAGCCCCACATGCATTAGCTATTTGTCCTAATGCTCTTCCTCCCCTTGCGCCCCCACCCTCTGACTGGCCCCTGTGCGTGTTGTTCCCCTCCCTGTGTCCGTGTGTTGTTTTCATTGTTCAACTCCCACTTATGGTGAGAACATGTGGTGTTTGAAGTTTTTTTGAAGGTAGAGAAAACTCATGTGTGTTTGAAGAAGGGACATGGAGAAGAGACCAAAGTCACCCATAAAACTGAAATTAAGGTTTCAATGTGAATTTAAAAATTGTCATTATTAATATTATTATTGCTTGCCTGTAATAAAATTTCATGTGTCAGACTGATGTGATGTCAAATAAAGTAGAATTTTAAAAAATCCCATTACAGCTGAGGGTCCTTCTCGCTTCTCATTTGTTTCACCATCATTGCTAGATTAATTCTTAATCACCCTTCTTCCATCATGTCATTCATGGCCTAAGATCTTGAGTTTCTCGTGTTGTTCAAATCTTCTACAGTCTGAATCTAACCATTATTTCCAAACTTAATCTGAACTTTTTAATCACAAACCCTCCTGTCTGGCAGGACCTGGAAGCTCAATGTCTTGTGTACATAACTTGTTCATTACTATCTGAGTTCACATGGTTTTCCATTGCCCAAATACTCTTCTTCCTCTCCACCAATATACTCATTTAGATATTTGAAAGCTTAAATTTCATTAATACTTTGGCTATCTCCATTTATAAGAGTCCTCCTTTCTTTGAACACATTAACATTTATTTTATTATTATTTTTAATTATACTTTAAGTTTTAGGGTACCTGTGCACAACGTGCAGGTTTGTTACATATGTATACATGTGCCATGTTGGTGTGCTGTACCCATTAACTTGTCATTTAGCATTAGGTATATCTCCTAATGCTATCCCTCCCCCCTCCCCCCACCCCACAACAGGCCCCAGTGTGTGATGTTCCCCTTCTTGTGTCCATGTGTTCTCATTGTTCAGTTCCCACCTATGAGTGAGAACATGTGGTGTTTGGTTTTTTTGTCCTTGCGATAGTTTGCTGAGAATGATGGTTTCCAGCTTCAGCCATGTCCCTACAAAGGACATTAACTCATCATTTTTTATGGCTGCATAGTATTCCATGGTGTATATGTGCCACATTTTCTTAATCCAGTCTGTCATTGTTGGACATTTGGGTTGGTTCCAAGTCTTTGCTATTGTGAATAGTGCCGCAATAAACATACGTGTGCATGTGTCTTTATAGCATTATGATTTATAATCCTTTGGGTATATACCCACTAATGGGATGGCTGGGTCAAATGGTATTTCTAGTTCTAGATCCCTGAAGAATCGCCACACTGACTTCCACAATGGTTGAACTAGTTTACATTCCCACCAACAGTGTAAAAGTGTTCCTATTTCTCCACATCCTCTCCAGCACCTGTTGTTTCCTGACTTTTTAATGATTGCCATTCTAACTGGTGTGCGATGGTATCTCATTGTGGTTTTGATTTGCATTTCTCTGATGGCCAGTGATGATGAGCATTTTTTCATGTGTCTTTTGGCTGCATAAATGTCTTCTTTTGAGAAGTGTCTGTTCATATCCTTCGCCCACTTTTTGGTGGGGTTGTTTGTTTTTTTCTTTGTAAATTTGTTTGAGTTCTTTGTAGAATCTGGACATTAGCCCTTTGTCAGATGAGTAGATTGCAAAATTTTTCTCCCATTCTGTAGGTTTCCTGTTCACTCTGATGGTAGTTTCTTTTGCTGTGCAGAAGCTCTTGAGTTTAATTAGATCCCATTTGTCAATTTTGGCTTTTGTTGCCATTGCTTTTGATGTTTTAGACATGAAGTCCTTGCCCATGCCTATGTCCTGAATGGTATTGCCTAGGTTTTCTTCTAGGGTTTTTATGGTTTTAGGCCTAATATTTAAGTCTTTAATCCGTCTTGAATTAATTTTTGTATACGGTGTAAGGAAGGGATCCAGTTTCAGCTTTCTACATACGGCTAGCCAGTTTTCCCAGTACCATTTATTAAATAGAGAATCCTTTCCCCATTTCTTGTTTTTGTCAGGTTTGTCAAAGATCAGATAGTTGTAGATATGCAGCATTATTTCTGAGGGCTCTGAACACATTAACGTTTACTAAACATATTATAGGTCAGTAGATAACTTCCGTAAGGTCCAATCATCACACTCACCCATCTTCCTGCAACGTCACTACATTCTCAGTTCTTTCCACTGTTACTGTGAATGAACTATGTGTGTGCCTACCTAAAACAACCTCTCCACTTATCTGCCAGATCCCTTCCCCTCCTGCCCACTTACAGACTTTGCTCCAGGAAGTCTCCCTCTCTTTTTTTGTATCAATTTTTCCATCTCTCAATAACCATTCTCATCCGCATACAAATATACTGCTTTCCCCCTGTCCTCAGTAAAACAAACCCTCTCTTAATGCCACTTTCACCACTAGCTGCTACTCCTTCTCTTTCCCTTTATGACAAAACTCCTTGAAAGAGTTTTGCGTATACCCATTGCTATAACTTCTTTCTTTCCATTCTCTCTTCAACTAATTCCAAACATACATCCCCAGTGCGCTTATTAAACTGCTGTTATTAAGGACACTAAAGACCCGTGTTGCTAAATCTAATGCTCAGTTACCAGTTCTCATCTTGCTTGACTAATCAGCAACTTTGAGATGCTGGTGATTCTCTACTGTTTGAAATACTTTCTTCACTTGGCTCCCAGGATTCCACACTCTCTTACCTCTCTGGCCACTCCTTTTCAGTCTCTTTTGTTGGTTCCCATTGATCTCCTAGACCTCAGCACAAAGCAGTTTTCCATGTTCCTCTCTTCTATTCTATCAACACCCACCCCTGGAGGACATCATTCGGTCTCATGGTTTAGGTCCCATCTATATGTTGATTATCATGTCTCTCAAATTTACATCTTTAATCTGAAACTCTCCTGTGAACTCTAGACTTGTGTATCTTACTGCCCACTCAACATGTCCACTTGGATATCTAATAAATATCTCAATATCAGGAGCTCAGTGTGCCCCAAACTGAGCTGATATTGTCCCTGCCCCACCTTGTACTTTCCACGGTCTTCCCCATGTCTGTTGATGACAACTCCACCCAGTCCTTTTCTTTCTCTTTCACCACACACTACATGTCAGCTAATCCTATTGGTTCTACTTTCAATATGTATCCAGAAACCAACCACTTCTCACCACTCTACTTTTATGACCTGGTCCAAAACACTGTAATCTCTCTGTTAGGTACACAAATAACAGTTAAGAGTGCAGGCCCTGGAGTCACACCATGAAGGTTTGAATCCTGGCACTGCCACTTACTAAGAGTAGGATGTTGGGCAAGTTATTTGCCGTCTCTGAGCGTCGGTTTCCTCATTTGTAAAATGGGGATAATAGTAACAGCAATATTACTGCTTCTAGTACTACTAATATTAATTGTTACAAGGATTAAATGAGAAAAACGTATAAACTGCTTAACAGTGCCTTGCAAATAGTATGTGATCCACACACATTTGCTATATACTATTATGCTATAAATCTATGAAAGCTTCATGACAATAGGTGGAAAATTGTAGGCAAGAAGATCAGAGAAATTGTGGAAATGGCCATTTTCCCAAGCATAAAGCATCCAAATCTTTAAATACCCAAACTCACACTGAACCAGGTTGGGAAATTTTTGTACCAACCCACTCTGACCTGTGTCTATTGCTTGGTATGTTGCTTTCTTTGTGCGGCTTTTACCTATAGATTTATAGAATAACAATCCATGGCTAACATTTCTTAATTATGTACTATTTGCTGTCATTGCTTCTCTTTCTTTTGTCTTGAGAAGAATTTCTACAGCTCCTCTTTTCCAAATTTTCATTCAGATATTCAGACAGGCTTAGACCTGATACTGCCTGTATGTGGGTTGGCCTCCCATTTCAGGATTTCATATCTAGTTTGCTGTCACTTCTACCTATTATAACATTCAAAAGGGGGCCCTATAAGAACTACAAACCACTGCGCAAGGAAATAAAAGGACACAAAGAAATGGAAAAACATTCCACCTCATGGATGGAAAGACTCAATATTGTGAAAACAGCCATAACGCCCAAAGTAATTTATAGATTCAATGTTATTGCCATCAAACTACCACAGACATTCTTCACAGAATTAGAAAAGAACTACTTTAAAATTCATAGGGAACCAAAAAATAGCCTGCATAGCCAAGACAATCCAAAGCAAAAAGAACAAAGCTGGAGGCATCATGCTACCTGACTTCAAACTATATTACAAGGCTACAATAACCAAAACAGTATGGTACTGTTACCAAAACAGACATATAAACCAATGGAACAGAATAGAGACCTCAGAAATAAGACCACACATCTAAAACCATCTGATCTTCAACAAACCTGACAAAAATAAGCAGTGGGGAAAGTATTCCCTATTTAATAAATGGTGCTGGGAAAACTGGCTAGCCATATGCAGAAAACCAAAACTGGACCCCTTCCTTACAACTTATACAAAAATTAATTCAAGATGGATTCAAGGCTTAAGTGTAAAACCCAAAACCATAAAACCCTAGAAGAAAACCTAGACAATACCATTCAGGACATAGGCATGGGCAAAGATTTTATGATGAAATTGCCAAAAGTAATTACAACAAAAGCTAAAATTGTCAAAAGAGATCTAATTAAACTAACCAGCTTCTGGCCAGGTGCAATGGCTCACACCTGTAATCCCAGCACTTTGGGAGGTCGAGGTGGGCAGATCATGAGGTCAGGAGATTGAGACCAGCCTGGCCAACATGGTGAAACTCCATCCTACTAAAAATACAGAAATTAGGTGGGTGCAGTGGCATGTGCCTGTAATCCCAGCTACTCGAGAGGCTGAGGCACAAGAATCGCTTGAACCCAGGAGGCGGAGGCTGCAGTGAGCTGAGATCGTGCCACTGCACTCCAACCCAGTGACAGAGTGAGAAACTATCTCAAAAAAAAAACAAAAAACAAAAAACAAAAAAGAAACAAAACAAACAAAACTAATGAGCGTCTGTACAGTAAAAGAAACTATCATCAGAGCAAACAGGCAACCTACAGAATAGGAGAAAATTTTTGCAATCTACCCATCTGACAAAGGTCCAATATTCACAGTTTACAAGGAGTTTAAATAAATTTACAAGAAAAAAACAAACAATCCTGTCAAAAAGTGGGCAAAGGATATGAACAGACACTTCTCAAAAGAAGACATTTATGCAGCCAACAAATATATGAAAAAAAGCTCAACAGCACTCATCATTAGAGAAATGCGAATCAAAACCACAATGAGATACCACCTCATGCCACTCAGAATGGTGATTATTAAAAAGTCAAGAAACAACAGATGCTGGTGAGGCTGTGGAGAAACAGGAACACTTTTGGTGGGAATGTAAATTAGTTCAGCCATTGTGGAAGACAGTATGGCGATTCCTCAAGGATCCATAACCAGAAATACCATTTGACCCAGCAATTCCATTACTTGGCATATAGCCAAAGGAATATAAATCATTCTCTTACAAAGATACATGTACACATATGTTCATTGCAGCACTATTCACAATAGCAAAGACATGGAACCAACCTAAATGGCCATCAGTGATAGACTGGATAAAGAGAATGTGGTACATATACACCACAGAATACTATGCATCCATTAAAAGGAATGAGATCATGTCCTTTGCCGGGACGTGGATGAAGCTGGAAGCCATCATCCTCAGCAAACTAACACAGGAATAGAAAACAAAACACCACATGTTCTCACTCATAAGTGGGAGTTGAACAATGAGAACACATGGACACAGGGAGGGGAAAACACTCATCGGGGCCTCTCAGGGGGTGGCGAGGAGAGGGAGAGCATCAGGACAAATAGCTAATACATGTGGGGCTGAAAACCTCGGTGACAGGTTGATAGGTGCAGCAAACCACCATGGCATACATATACCTGTGTAACAAACCTGCATGTTCTGCACATGTATCCTGGAACTTAAAGTAAAAAAAAAATAATAATAAAAATTAAAAAAAAGGGGGCCCTATAAACCCAGTTAACACTGCAATGAGAGCCATTGTAAATTCTCATTTTATTGACAAAAAGAACCTGGGCTTCTTGGCAAAAGTAGTTGATACAAAAAAGGTAAACTGCTGAGTGAGAATGAAAAAAGCAAGTAATTAAAACTACACCCACGAAATTCAGGACCAAAACAGCCAGACATCTTTCAGAAAAGGAAGTTGATAAATTAAAGAATTTCCCTAGATACCCAGAAAATAACCTTTTATATTTGGGATTCAACTTCAGTGTTTGAAACTCCAGGATTTTCTTTTGGCTAAATACAAGGATTCTTAGGAGGGAATCCCTTGCTGTTGTGATTTGGTTTCAGCGGGGTTCAGAAGGGCACATGGTGATTTGGCTGCAAAACACTAAGAGATACCTTCCCCACTGCCAACCCCCTCCCCAACTTGCCACTCATGTAATCTGAGGCTCTCGGTAACATGCAGGTTGCAGACACCAAATGAATTAGGCAGATGGAACTCATACGTCAAAGACACATACTTGGATTCCTTTTTGGCCATTGGTGCATTTCCTCTCTTTCTTTTTTAATCAGCCTCATAAATCTGACCTTGACAAGGTCCTGCCTCTCTATAGCATAGTTGGAGGTGAGATGGTAATATGTCCTGAAGCTTTCATTTTCTTCTCCACTTGAGTGACCATCAATGCCACGTGGCACCCATTCATTATGGGGCTCAGGTGCGGCTGTGAGGAGGCATGTGCCAAGTCCTGCCAAATTGGTTACTCCTTCCAAAAGAACAGGATGGTTCTCCAAATACTGCATATCAGATGATAACACTTCGCAGTGCCCGATGAAATCCTGGCATGCCTAGAGCTGTGAGGAACACAACACATTGTTAGGTATTCTTCTGAGTATCTGGTTCATAATAGCTATTTACATACTGACTAATGACTACCTGGATTCACATAATTTTTAAAGGGGTTTATCCAAATCGAGAATTGAAGACAAAATCAGAGTGGTCCAGAATAGTAACCTTGTTCTCTGAGGTGGGGGCAAATGCCAATGGATTTGTGTTGAATTCACCATTTTCAGGGATATCTGACTCAATGTTTGTCTCCTGGTCTTGACAATGGGAATCTGGAATACTGACCTAGCTCATGTGGGCAAAGTATGGATTTCTCACCACTTGTGAAAAGCTGCCTTCTGGCTTCTAGCAGTTACATCTTTGCTAGTCTTTGGTCCTTCCTGAGTTTTTGCCGTTTTCTCTCTGCCCTTCTTGGAAGGAGGCCGTCTCTTTTTCTCCTCTCAACCAGAGGCTGTCCACAGCTGGCTCAATGTCCCCTTGTGCTGCCAGGTCCCCTCCCCTCCTCCTTGGTTGGGGAGGGGAAGTTCCAGGCACTCTCTTTATTCTCCAAGCATGATTTGTACCCATAAAATGTGGTAGCTATGGGCAGTCTTTTTCCATAGCGGCCTTTCTATCTAGTCCATTTTAAAGACCTTGAGAAATGGAGATACCTTATCGTACTCTGGCAGCTTATTTCTGCTATTCACAAAACAGCATTAAACTCCTTTTATGGGCTCATAACAAAATAGCCTATTGAAAGAATATAATGGCCCCTGTGCTTTTGAATGCTCATCATTTCACTATTACTAAAGATGCTTTATGTTTTTAGGGTCCTGATGATAGGTCTTCATGCTTTTCATTAGGGCATAATCCTTGGGAGAGTAATGCTCTATACCACTTCCAGGACTGTGGCCTGCAAATGTGAGCAGTCACCAAATATTATTGTTGGAGCTGATAAATGAGAACAATGACAATAGCTGTCATTCATATATTGAGCTCTTTTTATAAGTCAGATTTTGCATTCTTTATGTTGATAAGTGCTTTATATCCATTATATGTTTGGATGCTCCTAACATTCTAAAGGTATTATTATTCTTATCCCCATTTCACGGATGAGGAAATCAAGGCCTGAAGAAGCTAAGTACTCCCCCATTGTGCAAATCACACTAGAATTTAAATCCAAGTCTCTCTGATGCCACATCCTAGACTCTGTGTTGTACTGTCACTGTGTCATCATAGATTATTAGATTCCCCTGTCTTGGCTATGAGGACACATATTTTCATAGTTTTCCCCCCATTTTCCTACTCATGCTTTTTTGTGGTACCTCCTCCTCTAATGGAGATCTAAATGCTTGTGCCTCAGAGCCTGGATATTGACCTCTTAGTTTTTCTAGCTATACTTTCCCCTAAGCAATTTCATCAAGTCCCATGAGTTTAATTATCAGTATGCGTATAGCACCTATGCGCTGATATAGCCAAAATCTAAATCTCTAGACCAGATGCTTCCCTCAGGTTCACACATCCAATTGCCTCTCCAACTGAGATTGGCAGCACCATTCAAGCACTCACACTAGAAATGTAGCATGGCTCTTGATCGCTTCTTTCCCTCATCTGCACTCGCAGTAATTTTTAAAAATTCATTTTTATTTTTAACTTTTATTTTAGGTTTGGGGGTACATGTGCAGGTTTGTCATATAGGTAAACTCATTTCACGGGGTTTATTGTACGGATTATTTCATCACCCAGGTACTAAGCCTAATACCCAACAGTTACTTTTTCTGCTCCTCTCCCTCCTTCCATCCTCCCCACTCAAGTAAGCCCCAGTGTCTGTTGTTCCTTTCTTTGGGTCCACGAGTTCTCACCATTTGGCTCCCACTTATAAGTGAGAACATGCAGTATTTGGTTTTCTGTTACTGTGTTAGTTTGCTAAGGATAATGGCCTCCAGCGCCATCCATGTATTTCTATGATTTTGACCTTTACCCATTTCTCTCTGTTTCCACTGCTGCCTCCTTAGTCCAAGTTACTAATATTTCTTGTCTGCATGATTGCAATAGCTTCCTGACTGGCTTCCCTGCCTTCACACTTGCTACCCCCAGCTTCAATCCATTTTTCACACAGCTGTCTGAGTGACATTGCAAAACAATAATCAATGCCTCTCCCCTGCTTAAAACTCTTCAAAGTTTTTCTTTGGACTGAAGTCCAAACTCCATAGTTTGGCCTTCAAGGCCTGCATAATCTAGCATTGCATATATCTGCAATTTCATCTCATACTACCCCTTCCTCATTCACTACTCTCTAGGTCTCTTTGCAGTTCCTCAAAGCTCTTTCATGCCTCAGGACCCTTGCACTGGCTGTTTACTCTGCCTGGAATGCTCTTTCTCTGGCCCATGGGTGCTCAATAATGTTAATGGAATAAATGAGTATAGATTGTTTCTCTTATTTGAATACTATAAATAACTAATGAGAAAAATAATGTGTCATTAACGTTTTAGCCATTTGTATTTATAACATTTAAATTATATGGTCTTAATATGATAGACCTATGGAATTTCTGAAGCATGTTTATGTGTTTACATGGATGGAGTAGGGAGGATAAGAGAGTGGGAGGAATGTATTCAGCATGTGATAACCATGAATCATGCATCCTGTGAGATAGATGGTGATATCCCTATTTTTCAGAACTCAGGTGGTTTGGGAAATTAGGTCGCTGGCTAAGGGTGAATAGGTAGAAAGAAGTGGGTAGAATTTACACGTGGTTTGACCCCAGTACCCATGTGCATTCCCCAGATCCTGGTGCCTTTGAGCAGACACAGCAGAGAGAGAAGTTTGAAGGTAGAAAAGAGGAAAGACAGCTGGAAATACTGGTTTTTTTGTTCATCTGGGCAGTATCACAGGTGGCTGTGAATCAGAGACACCGGATATCTTAGTTATATCCAATTCTGCCTTATTTGTCAAACATGGCCCAAATGAACTGAATTAGACCCCAACTTCAAAACCCAGTATCCATACACAAAGAAAAGGTGGTGAGTACAGTTAGGTGTGGCAATTAATGAGCCACCATCTGCTGAAACATCACACTTTAAGTGGGACTTAACATGGTTATGGGTTTCTTTGAACTTTTTTTTTTTTTCCTTTCCCACCATATGTGCTTAAAGGCTCCAAAAAGGAAACAGCTTAATCCAGGAATGTGAAAAAGAATGGTGACATTCTGCGGTGTGTCAGTGAAATGAGAAACTTATCAGGCACTGTCTATTTTGGGGGTTTTGTGGTATTTTATGGTTCCAGGCTTCTAGTCAGTGACAAAATGGCACTGCCAAGATGACTTACCACATGCGTGGGGTATAGCAGAGCACTATGGTAGGTGCTGCTTCTAAAATTTACTTTTGGCTTTGCCCTGGACTGAGTTGACACACATACAGAAAATACTCCTTTTCCTCCAAGGCCTAACTGAGACAGCATCTTGGCTTACCCATATTCTTCCCAATGGAGAAAGGAATCTCTCTGTAGTAGGTTTTCCTGTTGCATTGTTTTGTACCTTGGTGACAGTACTAGTTTCAGGCAGTTCTTCTTTGTGGCTTCATGCATTTCTATCTTCCTTACCAACTACCTTAAAGCTCCCTCAGGGCACAGGCCGTGTTTTCTTCATCTTTACAAAATCCAGTGGGACTTTGCACAATAACTTACATTGAAGGTGCTCAATATATGCTGTTGAATTAAAATAAAATTGTTTTAGGAGAAAAAGTTAGAGTGATGACTTTAACATAAGATACTTCAAAAATGTGCAAAATGCACGTTTTGTATATATTGTATATATTTGTAGGTTAACAATATAATTGACTGTATGCTTATATTGAATGCTGAAAAAAATCTGATACTACCAAGAGGAAACTTTCACACTCTTTATGAAACCTAGTGTGTAGTTTTGGTTAAAATTCATAGTTTAAACTGCAGAATCTAAACGTTTGAAATGAGGAAAGATGTTGCTTTTAATCTTAGCACTGGTGCAACAGGGTGAAAATCTTTTAGAATATGCATGGTTAGGATGGTTAGCTTAGCACAGGTATGTCAACAAAGCATTACCATAGCTCTGTGTTTGAGATCTCTCTCTCTCTCACTCTGTGTGTGTGTGTGTGTGTCCATGGACCTTTTTTCTTAGGAAATATTTATTTAAAGAATTTCCTGACTATAGAGAGAAATATGATGAATGTCATAGATATTATGGTAAGTGCGTTTGGAGAAGGCAAAAGTATTTTGTTTTCTAAATATTTAAACATGACCTGCACATCAGTTGTGATGTGTAAATGCCATGGGAATACTGGGAGCAACAAAGAAGGGGTTTGGAATGCTAGAGTGGATAGTTCTCTCTAACCCAGAAAGGACAGTTGGAAGCCAAAAGATGAGATAAAGTAACACTTGAAGAATATGCATTTGGCAACAATATCCGGGATAACTGCAGGAAGGTTGATCCTGGAGTCATGGAGGCCAAGGAGGAAGCTGTAATATAATACAGATGTGACGGGTAGAGGCACAGTAAGAGCAAGTGGTAGAAATGTAGAGGAAGGAGTGGATATAAAAGAAATTTCAAAGGAGAGATCTCTATAACTTTGTCAATGTGATAGATAATTCTAAAATACTGTGTCTAAGTGAATTGAGTGATATAACACCAGCAAAAGAGTTGAGGAGGGCAGTTAGACCATAAGGAAATATGAGACTTTAATTTTGAATATCTTGAGCCCAATAACACATTAAAATACCCTGGTGGAAATTCTCCGGCTCTCCCTGTCATGTGAGGGATTCTGTTTTTCTCTGAGGGATGCACTGGGGATATCGGATCTGGAGATGGCAAAGAGAAATTTAAGACAAATAAAAAACAAGCTAAGTTTGAAAACATCAAGGTCATAGCATAGCCACAGCTAAGATATGCCAGGTGTTCTGGCTGGATATTTGATCTCCCATCATCTTGACTCCATGCTGAGCTAAATGGCCTCCTACACTGATTATATTCAGGTATAGACTTTTCCTTCCACTCATCTACAGCTATCCAGCTTGTAGTCAGTCATTAGAACATGTTAACTTTATGACTTAAAAATGTACAAAAAATACTTATTTTACAGTGGCCTAAGACACTGAAGCCTCCAAATGTATGAAGTAGACACTAGGCCAAAGAGGTATTCTCTGACTGCAATACAAATATTTCTGATATCCTCTTGGCAAAGTTTAACTCATCCTTTAAGAACTAACTCAACAGTTACTGTCTCTATGTAGCCCACCTGACTCCCCACGGCAGTTAGTCTCTTCATTGTCCATGTTCCCATGACCCTTTGTTCTCTTTTATTTTTTTACTACAGCATTTGCCTCTCATTCTGTCAATACATCTGTTTCTCGCCACTAGGCTGGGAGTATCTTGAAGATGGGCACCACTTACTCATCTTCATATTTTTCACTCCCCTAACAGAGTAGGGGGCTACTGGGTGATAGTTCATTGTTGGAAGTATCCAAAAGGGGAATTTTAAAAACATAGATGGAGCAATGTGCAGTTGCTGTAACAAAGCCTGTGTACACATCATATGCCACATCCCTGCTGGCGCCATTAATGCTGCACCAGCAGAGGCAGCGCTCTCATTACATACTGCTGGCCCATATTTGTAATGTGTGACATTTTTTATGAAATACTGTCAAGGGCAATCCATCATATAGTAACCTTTGGATTATATGCTGAGAATGGTCTTAAACATAGACATAAATGAACTTGAAGAATAATGCTATTTTCTAAAAAGAGTATGATCAAAGAGTTCTAGCTAGGAAAATGAGACAGAATGGTAAGTTCTTTTAATTTAAACAGAAGTGCCTTAAAAAGAGGCTTTCTTCTGTCTAGCTCCAGCTGAAGACAGGGTTATTGTGTGAAGATGATTAGGTGACTCTGGAATGTGGCTGAATATTTATTTCTTGTAATACATGAGGTGAAGACTTGAAAAGGGGATGAGGACTTGCTAAAGGCTTGACAACCCTTGGGGCTTCCAAGGTTTTGATAACTTTATCTCAAGATGCATTTCTAAAAATAAAAGAACACATGATGACTTGAGTGAATTTCAGATGTCAACTGTGGACTCACAGTTAAAGGTATTCTCTCTGTGCATCTATTAAGATCTAGGATTTTATACATATTGTAGAGTATAAATTAAAGAAAGCTTCTAAGTCTTATCATTTTTGTGTAAATCCAGCTAAGACTCCTTTGATGAGCTCAGTGTTTGCTGTGAAGGAAAAGCTTATAGGTGAGAGGAACACTAAAATTATAATTCTTTGTCTTCCTTAATTAGACTAGAGCTCACCATAGACCTTGCTGAAACTGTGAGAAAATCCAAGCAATAATTCACACTGTCAGGTCAGCAGAAATGGGAATGCGGGTCTGATATAACTGAAAGATTTGCTTAAGTGATCTATCTATGAACTGAACCGCTCAGAATAGGCACACGATCTTCACTGGAAATGTACCCTCTGAAGATGCTAAACACAAACAGCAATGAAAATAAATCCCAGCAAGAGCCTTATACCACCTTTACAGATGTCATCCTAGAGGAAGGATATAAAGCATATTAATACCAATTGATGTAGGGCACTAATTAATAAGTCCCATTAAATCATGGAGTAATGACATTTAGCATGTAATGAATGCCTCATAATTTCTTCATCATTAATATTTCATAGCATAAGAACACAAGCATTTTCATCCCTGGGCCAGTGCAGCATGGTTTTCTGTCTCTGACATGACCACAAGGGCATTGAGTGGCACGAGTGTATTGCACCTCTGTGGTATAGACTGACTATACCGCACAAGTGATTAACTCTTAGCACCCCGGGTCCTAGCGTTTCCTCATTTTAGAAAATGTGAATCTGCCTGCCATTCTTGGAAGTAACCTCTGTGACTGGAAGATGGAAGAACTGCCCCAGGCTCAGGTGTTGACTTTGGTGTGTAGCATTGCTTTGCTGTTGACCCCCACCCCCCAGCCCAAGAAGGAAACCTGCACAGGAGAAAATCATTACTTTGATTTATTACTGGGGGCTTGCTGTATGCAAAGGCAATAATCACCTCATGGAGCAGGTGCCACTGCCAGGGTTCATTGATTCCAGGCTCTTCTAGAAATTCCAGGAGGCCAGTCAGTCTGGCGGGAGATGGACGTAGTCAACGAAAAAAGAAGTCCATCTCATAGCAGGTTGAAATGAAGTGGGAGAAAAATCTCTGGTCATCGTTCTATCGCTCCACTGACACTCGGTGTCTTTTTCTTTCAGAAGAGGGGCTTGAGCAGAGAGAATGCTTAGAGGCTAAGCGATGGGCAAGTGAGAGGGAAAGAGCCGCGACAGATAGAGCTGGCTGCCTAGGGGTCTCAGAGGCTTCATCCTGCAGGCGGCAGGCGGCAGGACAAAGGGACCTTCGGACTCCAGATCAAGATTCCAAGGAGTTAAACGCTACCACGCAGCCCGACCTGGATGGGATTTGCTCCTGGGTACAAAACGGGACACTGATCAAAATCAACTTGGACAAGTGACAAGAGTGAGTCTTATGTCGGTGGATGTCTTTTAAGGTCGTTGGAGGGAAGAGGACGGGAGGGGTGTGCCGAGGGGTAGGTGGAGAGAGGCACCGAGTCCAGAGCCGGGATATAAATGCACCAGGAGCCGGGGAGCAGAGGAGCAAATGAGTGGGGGAAAGTGTGAGAGGAAGAGTTGGAGAAAAGTCGGGGGAAAGTAGGGACAGGGTTAAGGGGAGAGAGGAGGATGAGGGCGGCGAGGAGAGATTAAAAGGGGAAGGGGGGTCGCTGGAGAGGAGGGCGGACTGTGGATCGGAGGTAGGGAGAGGGGCGAGAGGAGTGCGCGGGGTGGGGGGCGCCGGGGCGAGGAGAGGGGGCTGGGGAAGAGGAGGGGGGCAAGAAAGCGAGAGCGGCGCGGGGGAGGGCTAGGAGCCCGGGGGCCGGGCCGGGGGCGGGCGGGCGGTGGGAGGCGAGATCAGGCCAGGGGAGAGGGAGCGAGCCGGGCCGGGCTCGCAGGGCGAGGAGGCCGTAGGAGGGAGGTGGGGGGCAGGTGGGGGGAAGAGGGAGGGAGCGGGCGGAGAGCTGGGGCCAAGTGCATTGTGTCTGGCGGCGGCGCGCGAGCCCACCGGCGGCTGCGGCGGGGCGGGAAGCCATGGAGCCGCGGGCGCTCGTCACGGCGCTCAGCCTCGGCCTCAGCCTGTGCTCCCTGGGGCTGCTCGTCACGGCCATCTTCACCGACCACTGGTACGAGACCGACCCCCGGCGCCACAAGGAGAGCTGCGAGCGCAGCCGCGCGGGCGCCGACCCCCCGGACCAGAAGAACCGCCTGATGCCGCTGTCGCACCTGCCGCTGCGGGACTCGCCCCCGCTGGGGCGCCGGCTGCTCCCGGGCGGCCCGGGGCGCGCCGACCCCGAGTCCTGGCGCTCGCTCCTGGGGCTCGGCGGGCTGGACGCCGAGTGCGGCCGGCCCCTCTTCGCCACCTACTCGGGCCTCTGGAGGAAGTGCTACTTCCTGGGCATCGACCGGGACATCGACACCCTCATCCTGAAAGGTGAGCGGCGGGCGCACCCCGCGTCCCCGGCGCCCGCGCGTGGAGCGCAGCCCGCGGCTTCCCAGGGGCGCGCCGGTCCCCGCAGCCCCCTCCCAGCCGCGGCCCCGCGCCTGGGCATTCTTGCATCCTTCCCGCCGCCTCCAGTCTTTATCTCTTCCCTTTCTTTCCCCACTGCCTCCCTTCTTCTCCCTCTCCTTGACTCTCTTCTTTCGTCCACATCCTGCGCGTCCTTTCAAGTCCGTGCCGCACCTCCCGCCTCTGTCTCCTTCTTTCCTGCCTTCGCCTCCCATTCCCCGGTTCTCTCTCTCTCCCCGTCCTTCTCTGCCTTTGTACACCTGCCTGACATGTGTGTCTTTTCTTGACGCTGCTCCCCGTGAGGGGGACTAACCGTCAAAGACTCGACTTTTCTCACCCGGGCTCCTTCCTTCAAGTTGTGCTCCTTTTGGAAATACCGTTTGGAAGAAAAGTGGTGCCGACCTCCGAAGAGAGGGAAGGGGCTTTGCCTGTATTGTGCGGATGCTGGTGTCAGACGGAACTGATGTGGTCATCCCAGCCTGGCAGGGCTGATGGGCAGCGAAGGAGGCCCCGGAACCTTCCTTCATACCCCTGAAGTGCAGGGTGTGTGTGGATTAGACTTCAGAGACCAATCGTTGGCTGGTGGAGGCTGGTGGAGGCTGCCCGAGGCAGATAGGACACCTGCTTTCCAACCTTCCTGAGGACCCCATACCCCCACCCTCCTCGCTGTCCAGGCACTGAGGAGAGAAAATGTCCTCGCCCTTTAAACTAGAGCTTTCCAGATTTGGGCACTCACTCTCTGCTTATCACTCTGTCTTCTGTTCGTGGTACCTTGTCAGGTTGTTTTTGTTGTTTGTTTTGTTTGGCACTGAGTTGCAGAGCATCAATTTGTTCTTCTGAAATCTGTGCAACACCTGTCTTCTGTGAATGCTATCAGATAGTTTGATTTTTTTTTTTTTTTTGGTAATCCCATTCACGTAAAAATATTCAGTGTGACAACTTGTGAAGCTTCCTTTAACTTTCAGAACTTGACTCAATGTATTTTTTTCCCCTTTGAGATTAAAAAAAAAAATCAACATCTCTTCTCTTGGACTCATGATGCCAAAAAAGAAAAAGTCCAAAATCAGTACATTTTAATATTTAGTAGCCATGTAGGAAAACAAACAGACGGATTTGTGTTGAGTTACAGCCTGGAATGGAATGACATAGAAAAGAGGGGGTTAATAATGTGTTGGCCTTCAGAGTCTTGCTAGTTGGCGGATTCTTCATTTCTCAAACATGTCAACTTCCTCCTTCCCATGGCTAACTCAGCTGGGGACTGCCATCCAAAATCTGTCTGCGTGTGGAAGGACTCCAGCACTTTTAGGGGAACCAGATACAGTAAAATCTTTTGGGAAGTGCACCATTTTCTTTTCTCTCCTAACTTGCATCCAAATCTGATTTCTCCTCATGAAGATGCTGCATAATTAATTCTGATAGTAGCATAGTACATGAACAAACTGTAAAAGCTGAATGTGGAGGCTCAGTTATGGAGTGCTCATTTAGGCAAGGCAATTTTGAAAGCTAAGCAGTGTAGTCTGTCTTTGGAAATGACAGAACTGCATTTCCTTACACTTTCTATGCTTAGAGTATTTGATTGCATGTAAATTGGATATAGAGCAATGCCTGAAACAGCAGGGCAGAGTCAAACCTACAGTAGAAGAGGGGACCCCCACAGGATATTGCACAATGCCTCTGCAAATGCCCTGGCTAACTGAGGTGCCAGTTCCAGGGCAGTCCAGGGTCAAATAATAGAGGTGGAAGGACTTTAGAGGTCATTGAAGTTGAACATCTACTGGTTGTTCAAATTCCCTTCTACAATCTTTCTGACAAATGGTTGTCTAGCCCAGTACTTCCGTAAGACGGAACTCATATACTCGTTAAAAGAACTAGATTTTCCCAGTCACGAATGCCTATTTTTAGATGAAAACAATCTCAGCTTTATAATATTGATGGTGTTTAGCTAATCTTTTGTGTAGAACACTGAAGAGTTCTAGGTTGTGAACAGAAGATATGGGCCCCATTGCTGGCTCTGTTGCTAAATTGCAGTGTGTTCTCCAAGTATCAAGACCTTCTTCGCCTTCGGTTTCCTTGTCTGTGGTATTATTAGGAGGGATGACTATTCTTTAGAGAAATTTCTAGTTCACATATCTGTCATTGTTATAATTAATAACAATGTAAATTTAGCTTCTTGCAAAGTTAATGAGCCAACGCTATTAAGCAATGAGGAGTTTGGAGGAAAGAACAGGCATTGGTAGATTATAGGATCATAATTTGTTGTTTGGGAGATGTCCAGAAATGCCTTGTAATGTTGCTACTAACCAACCTTGGGCTAGTTACATAATTCTTCTAGATCTCAGTTTCATCATCTGTGAAATGTATGGGTGACAAGAGCAGCTTTAAAATTCTGAGTCTATGAATAATTTGAGAAAAGAAAATGTCACCAACATTTTCCTGGCTCAAAGATGATTTTGGCACCCATATTAGGCAAACATTATCACCTTTGTTTTGGCATCTGACATTAGTGGCTGTGGTATGAATTTCTTAAATGAGCCATTTATAAAACTAGAAATTAACACTGTATCTAATTTTAAAATTTGAGCAACTAGAGTCCCAAGTTCCATTCTTTCTTCTATGAGTTACCTTGTTTATGAGTCTTAGCATCGTTTAGAAATTTTAATGGTAGGAAATGAAAAGTTTATTCAGATGGGAGAGTGGGGAGGGGTGGAAAAAGGGCTCAAGAACTGTCTGGCATGCTTAGTGAGCTTCTGAGAGGCAAAGATGTCAGCATTTTCTTCTCTGGACCTAGAGGGCAAAGCTAGGAGTTGAATGAGGAGTGCAGGGAAGAAAATGTAGAGTTGATAATATGGAAAACATTCTCATAATAGGAATTATTTACATTTCCTATTACTGGAGGCAAGACAAGAGAGATATATTTCTGAGAGATGTACAGGGGATAGAAACATGCAATGTGGGCAATAAGAGATTAATTTAGAAATATGCAAGGCTCTATAATATTAGTCTACTTAAGAGAAATCACTGGAGCTAGAAAAGCATTTATCTCAATGGGACAAGTATTTGGGAGAATCATCAAGTTCTTGTTTTCACACTCTTATTATGATACAAGTTCACTTCTATCTAGCCCAGAGCCTGGAATGGTCTAGGCTTGACGTTTAGCCAGAACCTTCAGAAAGAATGGAGGTAAAGTTATTGATACGCTCATTAAGAACCAAGACTAGAACCCTTTGCTATTCTACCAGACTGACAAATAAAACAAAATATTTGCCAGCATAGTTTAAACATAGTTATTTTTCTAGCAGCAAGTTCTCTTAATAGCACTATATTGACCAATCCACATTTCACTATCTTGTTCACTGGGATAACATGATAACTTATCAAATGCTTTAGAGATATTACATTCATACTGTATTTCCATACTTACTGTCCAATTCAGTAAATGCCCATTAGAAGCTTATTATGTGCAAGGTAATGTTAGAAGATTTTGGCTAAACATGTGGGGGTTCTTTTGTGTTTGAGTTGGTCAGTTGACTCTAAATTAGTCTTCCTTATATGCCATTCTTGCAGCACTGGCTAACTTTTGATGCTGAGGAAGCTTTGCTGATCCAAGTAAGGACTGACTTGGAAAAGTATGCAAATGAAATCAGCCTTCACCCAGCGATTTGAGTGCTGGAATAGTTGAACAAAATGGACTTAAAGCTTAGGGCTTCAGGTACCTCTGTGGCACTGGGAATGTGGGGGGCGGGGTCTGAAAGAAGTCTTTAGGTGTAAAAATCTGTAAGGTAAGTGAGTGTGTCATGGATTATAAAAGGATGCCAGGAAATGACAAGTGGCCTAAAGATAGTTCTTCATTCATTCATCCATTTATTCACTCAACAAATAGATGTTGGAGTGTTGGTTATTGTACCAGGTGTAGAAGATACAGGAGTGAATAAAATAGATAAAAATCCCTGCCTTCATAGAGTTTATTTCAAGTAGTGGAGTTAGTATTTTCTAGTGGATTATATTATAACTACTCTTAGTAGGTCATAGGACCAGGGTAGGAGAATACTTTGGGATGGCTGATAGCACTGGTGGGTAAAATGACAGAAAATACAGGGCAGAGTGATCACATGCAGCATCCTTTAGGGGACTCCTAGCTGTTCTCTCCCAAGTGCAGTATATATGTTTCAACTACTGGATGAATAGGAAGACAGGACAGATGGAAGCAGACTCAGTTGGAAACATTATGTAATGCTTCTTTCAGTTCTTGAAAACACTGACTTTAATAAATAAACATTGAT
Source organism: Homo sapiens (assembly GCF_000001405.40). Lineage (NCBI taxonomy): Eukaryota > Metazoa > Chordata > Mammalia > Primates > Hominidae > Homo > Homo sapiens. The sequence goes on from NC_000002.12 coordinate 39,670,730, forward strand.
GTGACTTGCAAATACATTATGTAGAACTTTGGAGAAATCAATTTTGAATAGAAATTGGAGTCATAGAAATGACATTAGAAGTTCAGCTATTCACACTAGCCTTCACTTTAACTTTTTAATGAAACATTTTCATTAAAAACAATTAACATTATTTTCTATTATATATACTTTGTGCATGTCAATGAAATTCTAATATTACATATTATCTGCAATAAAAACAGAAAATTAATGTGTTTTGTTTTTATAAAATTAAAAATGATAGGATTTCAGAAATGTGAAGATTATAAGGCTGTATGCACAATGCTGACCTGTATAAATCAACTGGGTTTGAATTCTTGAAACTTGGAATAGAACATGTTCTTGTAGTTGCAGAAGCATTTTTCCTCTAATGAGATAAACAGATATCAAAGACAGTGGGTCATAAATACTTTGTCATTTTGTTCTCTATAAGAAAAGCAAAGTAAGAGATTTGGTAGGAATTCATTGGGTCTGCTTTTCACTCTGCTCATGATTTATCTGCCTCTCCTGTTGCTTATTTCCCATGAAATTAATAGTCTGCACAGGACCCACCAAGTTCTACCTGACACAGAAATAGATTGATGATTTTCTTCAGCTCATTTGTAGACCAAAGTATAATTTGTGTTGGAATAATTATCTTCCAAGAGCAGATATATCTAGGGAAGTTGAGAAACCAGCACCGTCTCTCCTTCTTGACCCAGTGGTTCACAGATTGTTCTCGGACCTTCTCTTGGGTTAAAAGATGCTGCTGGTAAAAGGGATTCCTCAGTTTTGGGGGTTCTGGGGATATGATTAAGACTTCGTTTTTCTTTCCCTCTTTACTTCTCAAGGCGAGTAGTGTCTGAAATTCTTTGGGCATCACTCTGTGATTTATGTTTATTCATTTTTAAATTATGTGCATGGACTGTACTGACACATACATCATAAAACAGACAAAAGCAAATTTCGAAGGGATGTGGTAATACATATATATAACTAGAAGTTCAACCATTTTCATGCCACTGTCCAAAGAATTTCATGTGCACCCCTGGCATGTACAGACCGCACTCTCAAGACTGCTTCTCTCACTGCTCAGAGCCAAGTCTCTCATCTGAGCAGAGGAGGAGGGATTTTTCCTATCACAGCTGAAATTCATGGCGGGTATCCCAGTGCGCTCTTATATCACACACATTTATCTTGCACAGGGGAGAGAAGAAGATGCATTTTATTTCTGTACCAATTCTGACATTAGGCACAGTATTAAATGAGCCCTTTTTGATTAAACAACTGCTAGCTCATACTACACAACTCTTAATGACTAGATTTGTAGTTTTAGCTTGTTCCACAGTGTGCTGAGGCTGAACATACCCAAGTGTGATATTCAATGTTTCAACACATTCTATTGCTAACATCATGAAGGTTATCTTGAATAGAAATTAAATTCTTGCCACTCTGCCATCAAAAGAATATACTTGCTTCCATTCTTACTATCTGCACACAGGAATTGTCTTTTAAAAGTGATTTATAAACACAAAAGTGGATGGTACTTTAAGTAGTTTATGATCAAAATTGCCAGAATCAATGACATTTTCATTCACTATGTTTCATGGATAACATTTAGCAATGGCCTTGAGGGGAAAAAAGGAAGAGTTTGCTATGTCATAGAAAGTTCACATCCAATTATACCCGAGTTGCTGTGCTTTTTTTCCTTAGCTACTGATTTTTCTTCTTCAGATAGCAAAAAGAGCCCTCGAACCCCATCAGGCAGACTGCTCGTAATTATAATTGCAACGGTTCTTTTTTCATTTTTTTTGAGACAGAGTCTTGCTCTGTCTGTCACTCAGGCTAGAGCTGAGTGGCACGATCATAGCTCACTGCAGCTTTGAATTGGGCTCAGGTTATCAGGTGATCCTTTCACCTCAGCCTCCCAAGTAGCTGGGACTACAGGTGTGTGCTAGCACACCTGGCTGATTTAAAAAAAAAACAACTTTGTAGAGATGGGGTCTTGCTATGTTTCCCAAGCTGTTCTCAAACTCCTGGCCTCAAGAGATACTCTTGCCTTGGCCTCCCAAAGTGTTGGGATTACAGGTGTGAGCCACTGGGTTTCCCTCACCCAGCGAGTGTCCTTGATTGCTATAAAAGATCAGTTTTTGTTGGAGGAGCGTCTGGACATTCCTTCCCATTGAGAAAATGTCAATGCTAAGTGTGAAATGCCAGGGGATGGGAACATTGAAGGAATTGAGGTGGGTCACAGGGTTTTCCCAACAGTTAGCAAGAATGAACTCTGCTTTCATCTTTGTGTACATCTGTAGTGCTGTGTGCTCCAGATAATCAGCTTATAATTACAGATTATATAATCACAGATTTTCAGATTATAATCACAGATTATTCATGCCAGCAAACCACGACCTCAGATTGGCCATCTCTTCATGCCCTGAGCCTTGGAGCATGAGAGAGTCCGCCTTGGCCGTCGTCATGAAGCTGACAGCCTTTGTTTGCTGCAGAGTCACGGGAAACTACATGCTGCACCCCATCTTTCTTGCAACTCCGCCAGATAGCTGATTGCAGACCCAACAGTAATGTCATGGGGACACCCATCAGGGAATGCATTAGCAAGTGAACAAACGGGGACAAATACAAACCATATTTAAGTTTCTGTTATCTTTAATTACTGAGGACACACTGAATTATTTTCTATAACTTGCTGGATGTCCTCCAGTGTTCAGACTTTTTAATATTTCGTTCATAGGTAAAAATCAATCAACTCATTTTTCCCCTAAGAACCTAAAGGATGTAATATATTCCCTTTTGGTTTCACCAAGTGATTTGACATTCTATAGCTAGGGAAGAGACTCCAGAAATGTAAGTAGGAAATTCTGAGTGTACAGATAATTCCAGAAGGCTTAATTGTCTCTTTACAACAGGTCACTCAAATGCAAACCCACACCATGCTTCCATCTGCCTTGCAAATAAGTACTAACTTGCACTCTTAAGGTCTGTTACAGCAGAACTAGCAGGGTAGGGGCAGTGGTGGATGGGAGGCTATACTGGGCTTGGATCTCTTTTGTCTACATTTCAAGGAATTTTTATTTGGTGTGGGGGATGTGAGCACTTGCTTCACTCAACAATCATCAACAAATGTTAAAAATGATTTTTTTTTAAACAGGAGGCTGTTTAGTGAAAAACAGGGGTGGTCCCATGGGAATGTGCTTTCCCTAACTATACCCAGAGCAGTGAGGAAGGGGGTCTAAGTGAGTGGGGGCAGGCTGCTGGTTAACTTGAGTTTTAACACCTTTTTTTAAGTTCTCACAATTTTGAAAGCTGCTTGTAGGAAAACTTCTCTTGGTATTCAGACAATGGAAGTTTGGTTGAAGGAAGCTACAACTTACAAGTATTGGAAAAACAGATAGGCTGAACTAAGGAGTGGCGGGAAAAGCAACAGTGACTGCCAACATCAACGGTTCAATATTGTCTTTTTCTAAGATACTTGAACGTGCATGTTTATAGCAGCACAATTCACAATTGCAAAATCATGGAACCGACCCAAAGGCCCATCAATCAGAGTGGATAAAGAAACTGTGTGTACACAATAGAATACTACTCAGCCATGAAAAGGAATGAATTAAGATCATTTTCAGTAACCTGGATGAGATTGGAGACTATTATTCTAAGTGAAGTAACTCAGGAATGGAAAACCAAACGTTGTATGTTCTCACTGATCATTGGGAGCTAAGCTATGAGGACTCAAAGGCATAAGAATGATACAATAGACTTTGGGGACTTGGGAGGAAGAGCGGGAGTGGGGCGAGGGATAAAAGACTACAAATATGGTGCAGTGTTTACTGCTCCAGTGCTGGGTGCACTAAAATCTCACAAATCACCACTAAAGGACTTACTCATGTAACAAATACCACCTGTACTCCAATAACTTATGGAAAAACAAAATAAAAAAAATTAAAAAAATTTGTCTTTTTCTTCAGGTGTTTGAAACAAACAAAAAAGACACAAAGGAACTGTTTACTATACAGCAGTACAAGAAAAAATCCAGCCAGAAGATACCCGCTGAAGAAGCATCAAAGTCTTGTATTCCTTTCTCTCTCTCTCTTTTTTTTTCTCAAGTTACCTTTTCTTTCTGAAATTCAAGTTGGTAGGAGGAAAATAAGCACGCGTAGAATAAAAAATTCATAGAGTTGAAAGGAATTTCAAGCAGTGATTCTTACCTGATTTTTATACTATAATGTGGGTGATAGGTGATTTGCACTCGGGCTACAGACTCCTGTCAATTATCCACAAAACCTGGCATACCAGCTCTAACTGCCTTCATTTCTCTCTCAAACCATATTATCAGAATGCCTGTGAGCAAGGGGGATGCTATTATCAGCATAATCTCAAATGGGTTTTAATTTATGAGACAGAATATATTGCTTGGAAGGAGTAGGCCCTTTGATTTTTGTATAGAAGATGTAGGGGTGGGGGCTTCATCCAGATCATGCATTTTGAAGTGTTGGGGGTATATGGTGAGCTGAAGGATGAGTGCTCAGTCCCCCAAAGTCATCTCTAGGCACCACCACTGATTTGGAAAATTGGCAGCTGTATAAATAACTCATTACCTACCAGTCCTCTGAACAGGTCCCAACACATCTGATTTGGGAAAGTTAAAAAATAATGACAGGAGAGGTTATAAAAGGGCAGTTTTGTATGCCATACAAATGTGACAGTTACTGAAATAAATAGGTCTGAGAGCCACTGAGAGGCGTGAAACAGAGTAGTTCCCCGTTGACTTAACCACCGATACAGATGATTCTGCGGTATTATTTTGATGATGCCACAGGGGAAAGTGAGTGCTGCTTACTAATAGGCCCCAGATTGTAATTTTGGAAATCTGTGGCATGGGTGTTTTTTAGAGCATGTTTTTATTTATAAGTTATCACACAGTTCTTGTTTTCACATTCTTCTGGCTGTATTTACAGGTTAAAATGCCAGACATTTTTTTTTTCCTGGTCAGGTATTCATCCATACATGCAGTCTTCTGGAGTTGTTATTTATTTCTTAAAAACGATTTTCTTTTTTAGAGACAAGGTTTCATTCTGTTGTCCAGACTGGAGTGCAGTGGCGCGGTCATACTTTGCTGCAGCCCCAAACTCCTGGGCTCAAGTGATTGTCCCACCTCAGCTTCTGGAGTAGCTAGGATTACAGGCATGCTCTACCATGCCTAGCTACTTTTCTTTTTAAATTTTTTTGTAGAAACAGGGTGTTGCTTTGTCGACCAGGTTGGTGTCAAACTCCTGGCCTCAAGCGATCCTCCCACCTTGGCCTTCCAGTGTTGGGATGATAGTTATTTCTAAACAAGGTCAGATATAGCAGTATTTCTCATTAGATATGAAACATTATAATTTGGGTTGTGGGTGTAATTTTAAAATATGTAGTTGATAAAGTGCTTGATAAACATTTATCCACTCACTTGGGTGGGCCTTTAAGTGCCAAATAATAGAATACCCAAATAAAAATGGCTTAGCCTACAAGGAAAACGTATTATCTTGTGTAACAGGACGTTTGGAGAAAGCCTGCATGTGGCTAGTTAATTAAAGAGATTCAATGGTTTTGGGCTTTAGCAGACCCAAGGTAGGCAGTTTTGTCTTGAGCCATGTCTCTACCTGGTCATGACAGTTCTGTGAGTTGCTAGTTGTGAATTCTGTGAGTGAGCTAGGAAACGGAAGAAGCCAGTCCCCATTTTCCGATGTCTTCTTTTACAATAAATGTAATTTCCCAGAAGGCGTCCTGCAGACTTCCCACCGGTCTCATTGGCTAGAATTATGTCACGTGACCATTCTTAAAGCAATCCCGGGCAAGTGGAATGGACCATGATTTTCTTAGACCAATCAAGCTTCAGCCCTGGGGCTGGAGAAAGGGCCCAGGCTCCCCAGGAAGCACTTGGCTGGCTGACACCTGAACAAAATCTGGCTTTGGTCAGCCACGGAAGAGGGGTTCCAGAGAGCCACACAAGATAGAGCCTGAAGCAGCAGGTGTGTTCAGGCGGCAGTCCCATCCTGCCTATGGTCATTCCATAGTAGGAGAAGACTGAGAAGAGAACTCAGATTTTCTTCCAGCTTTTCCAGATCTACCACTTTCTCCACATACTGCCCTAATAGACACATGGAAGTGCCCTGAAAGCCCTGTGCTTTTCTGTTTGAAGAGCTGTTTGAGTCTCTTTAATCTCTAGAGATTCAGAGATGGCATGGTTGGTTCTAAGGAGGCTTATTTATAATTGCACTTTTAAAATTGAAGGTAAATGTTCAAAATTGTGCATTCTAGGGAATATTAATGTACTTTAAGATCAGAAGGTGCAGTTGCTATGAATTTAATACACATTGGATTGGAGAGCTTGGTGCTTCAGTGCTTCCTATGTACAGCCTTTGTCCTCACTCTCGTCCCCATTCCCCCACCCCTGGATGTTCAGTGCCTCCCAAGAAGAGCTTCATGGAGAGCATTTTTCTGAATATCTCCCTTCACCCCCACTCCTCAAACCAGGTTCATTTATAGAATCTGTTCAAGCCAGGCTATGACTTTTTTTAACTTCTTGATTTCTTGGAGGAAAACAACAACAACATATTTCATTTCTATCCTTTGACTGGCAACTGAGTGACCATGATTACAACTTCCCAGTGCATCTATAAATATAATAACTTTGAACAAGAAAATTAGCAAATCACTCCTTGCTATTGCCAGTGTCCTGGTGTGTTGATAGTGGCGCGTGTTCAAAATTAGAAATTAAACAATTCTAATTTGAAGAAAAGCCACTTAACTCATGTCTGTATTGGGCTTTCATTATCTTTGAAATTTCTGTGAAGTATCATCTGCTTTTGAAATGACAAGCTGGAAGACCTGGGGAGGAAGCAGTTGTTCAGCAGTATATGTTTCTGTGTTTGGAGGAGTGGGATGGACCCTGGTCATCTCAGCAGGAATGTTCAAGTCAAAACCTTTCCAGCAAACCTCAGGTTTCCTGTGCTAGGCTCCTCTTGGACCTCTCGTTCGACACCGAGAGACCTATTTATTACAGCTTGATACTTCCTCAGAGCAGGAATTATGAAGCAAGAAAACAATCTGAACTGTTACAGATGGGCTGAGCTAGCAGGATTTTAGCACAGAAGCCTCAGAAGATGGTGTAAAGCCACAAGGTATGTGGGTGGGCATATATTTGGACCACCATATTGCATGCCAACTTGTAGGTTCGACAAGAAAAAAAAAAAGCAAGCAAGCAGGCAGGAGAGAAAGGAAAGGAGATAGGAAGCCCAAGAAGGAAGGCAGGAAGGAACAGATGAGCAACTATTTGGTGGATCTTCAGGGAACCATCTCCATAGATCTTGTTTCCTTAAATATCCATTAGGTACATTTAGCTTTCTAAAATACAATGTTATGTCTTTCCTTTAAGTAAAAATATCGGATAGATTCCTTAATAAGTTAAACATAGAAGAACCAAATATCCCAGCAATTCCACTAGTAGGTATATACCCCCAAAAGTTGAAAACAGATACTCAGACAAAAACACTGTACATAAATGTTCACAACAGCACTATTTGCAATAGCCAAAATATGGAAACAATCCAAATGTCCATCAACTGATGAATAGATAAGAAAATGTGGTATGTCCATACAATGGAACATTATTCAGCCATAAAAAGGAATGAAATACTGACACACGTTACAACATGGATGGACCTTAAAAACACTATGCTCGGTGAAAGAAGTCAGACACCAAAGGCCATAAGTTGTATGATTTTATTTATGAAATATACAGATTAGGCAAACCCACAGAGACAGAAAACAGGGAGGGGATAATAGGGAGTGACTGCTTAATGGGTAAGTGATTTTCTTTTAGGTTTGTGAAAATGTTCTGGAAATAGATATTGGGAGTGATTGCACAATGTACTAAATGTCACTAAATCGTACACTTTAGTTAAGATGTAAACAAAAAAACCCCAAATCTCTGATAATTTCCCACTGCCTACAGCTACAAGTCTGAATTTAGCAGGTCATAAAAAAGCTTTTACCTTGTGGCTCCAGCTGCCTTTCTGGTTATATACCCAGCTACTTCTGCATGAAATCTAGGATCAAGTCACATAAGACCATTTTCTAGTCCTTCAATACACATGCACTTTCGTATCTCTGTGTCATTGTGAATACTGCTTCCTCTGCCTGAATACCATCCTCTCTTGTCCATCTGGACAGCATCTACTTTTCCTTGAAAGCTTAGTGCTATTCTTATTTCCTCTCTAGCTTTCCTTGCCTCTGTCCTCAGCACCTCTCTCATTCCCTGCAGAATTAATTGCTGTATTAACTGGGATGCCATTGTACTTTATACATACCTTTATGATAGCACTTTCTACATTGTACTGTATGGTTTCCTTGTTAATTTTACATCCTATCTTAAGGCCAGGGATGGATACCATCCAGGTTAGTATTGGGCACATGGCGATCTGCCATAGAATGGTTGTTGAAATTTGCCTTAGATTGATTCAAATCACGGTCATATCTGACCCACTCTCTTCTCACCCACTTCAGTGTTTTTGTTGTTGTTGTTCAATTCAAGGACAGGAGAAGTGAGAGTTATTCTCAGTTTTCAAAGACTAAGACACTAATTATTAATCCAAAGAAGATAAGGTACTTGGTGTTAAAAAAAAAGTAGTAATAGTGGTAGATGGGTAAAATGCTGACATTTATTATACACTTTTTTTTGAAGTATTCAAAAAAAATCAGTGTATAACTAACAAAGAGTGCATCTTTATGGAGATTTTCCTCATAAAATGTTCTTAATCCTTAATAGAAGGATTATATCATTATGTAGGTGTTTTTGTCTCTTTACTTATCTCCATAGGAAGTCACTACCTTCAAGAAACTCTTCCTTTGTCTCTGTTCTTTCACAGGACTTAGTAGGGCAGTTTTCAGAAGACGGAAACTCAATATATTGGTCATACTTTGCCAGGTTCATTCTATGTATGTCCTTTTTCTGTTTTGGTTTATTAAATATTCTTTTTCCAGTAAAACGGTTGCAATTCCAGTTACATACTTTCCTTGATCAGAAAGCAGAATAGCTGGAATGAGTTGCTGCAAGAAAGACTCTTGGTTGCTGTCCTTCATCAGGCTCTTCACTGAACCACCCTGCTGCTGTGTCAGACTTGCTACTAGGGAGATTCCTGTATGCTGAAAAAAGCCTGGAGAATCACGTGGGGTGTGAGGGTGCTCTTCAGGCTCTTCAAGCAGAGGTGGCTCTTCAAGAGACCGGTGGTTTTACTGGCATTCTGAAGCAATCTTCCTCCTAACAAGTTGATTTTGCAGTTTATTGAGGTGACAGGAGACTGGAGATTTGGGGCATGTTCTTTACTCTGCTCTTAACTAGCTATGTGACCTTGGCAAGTGACCTTACCTCTTCAGATCTTGATTTTCTCATATGTAAATATGGAGGTTGGATTCGTGTAACCTGTTTAGTCTCTTGTAGCTTTAACCAGCTGTAGTTATAAGATGCCTAGAAAACAGCAACTTAATTAACTCAGCAAAGTGTCAGGATGGGAAAAGGTCAGTTCTCTCTAGAAGTGGGTAAGCATTAGGACAGCCCAAGTTTAAGGGCCTTTTTCGGTTTTCAAATTGTTCACTCACAGAGCTTTTCTTTGCTCTTTTGAATGTGACATGCTTTCTTATTGCTAATTTTCTTTTTCATTTCCTGAGGGATTCAAAGGAGAAATTGGAACTTTTCTATCGTTTCAGGAATTGTTTTCTGTTGGAGCAACATTTACCATTTGGTTAGAAGGACTCAACTGTATAATTTATAATTTTTTTCTTAGATGATTTCATAGGGAATTGATAATAAGTTATACCTGGTGTCAGGAACTGGAATTAGAGTTCATAGTAGAGAATGCAAAAGGAGTATACCCTTTAGAAAACTACTTAGTATAATTTAAATTTTGCCTTAATTGCCCATTTTAAATTTCTTTGAAGAAGTTTTGAAAAGATTTTGATGAAAGAAAAAAACATGCTTTTTTTTGTTTCAACAGGAAAAACATTGTAGGTTTATTCCTTCTTTGCTTCATGAGAGTATTTAATACTCATAATTCATGTGAAGACAAAGAGAAGTCTATAATTGTGCTTCATTTTATTCAAAAGTTTTAGATAGTGCTTTTTGAATTTAATAATTCTGTGTTAAATACCTGGAAGTTATACTTAATCACTTTAATTTAATTTGTATTATGAATCTGGATTATTCATTTCAATTTCTTTGTTTTTTTTTCCTTGAATGTTATTTCTAGGTAGCTTGCCACATATTGCAATTGGGATAATAGTTAATTTTATTCAAAGCCCTACTCAAGAAATTTGAACATGACATGACTTTCTGTGACCCCCAATTTCCTCGTTTATACTGATGAAAGGACATATCTAGGTAAACCTCTTTAGTCATACGTGGCAATGATTATAATGGCAGATCTGCTACTCAACCTCTGATGCTTGATAGGACCTGTTTTTACTTAAATCCTTCCACACAAAGCAGACATTAGGTAGACATGCCAAGAGATCTGTGTCATCTCCATCAGGGTCAGGCTGATTCTCATTGAAAGAGCCACAGTGTGACTTCCAGAAGACAGAATGTATATGATCTAAGGTATTGAGCATACCACCTCATGTTTGCCCTGTCATAAGCATTTTGGTCATTCGGAAGACTTAAAAGATTAAGAGGAGAAAAATGAAAGTGTTCAATATAGCTTAATAGAACTGTACTGGACAGTGATGGGAAAGAGGGGGAGAGAGACACCTCCGTGGATGAGGACCATCACATATTGGTCTTCGAATTGGTGTCTTGATTTGGAAATATGTTTCTTAGAATTTTTTTTTATTCTGTTGGGATTTTTGTTTGTTTGTTTCATTCTACTAGCAGTCACACTAGGGAAGAGTCTTACAAAATCCATGGGAGACTATGAACTAGAAAACTGAAATTACTCTGTAGTAGCCATATGATGAGTGCATTAGTCATGGAATAAAAGAAAAAGCACCTTAAATTTACACAGCAACTTTCTCTCACAAAACTCAGAGCAGTTTTTACAAAGGGAGAAAGGAGCCTTGTTTCCTGACTAAGTGTATATGATCAGGAGAATAACATTGGAACTGCTGGTAGTTATCACCTGTCTACAGTGGAGATGGTGTTCATGTACTCCAGAGGGAGAGGAATAGGAACCCTGAGAACCAGGAGCTGTAGGCCTGGCCTTGGCTCTTCCTGCTCCCTGTGGGACATTGGCAAGTCATTTCAACTTCTCTAGACCTCAGTTTCTCATTTTAAAAGTGAAGGGTCAGACTTCATGCTTTCTAACAGTTTACCTTTTTATTATATTTTATGACTTACTTGGAGCATCAGGAAGTACAGAATGAGTTTTCCAAATAGCTAAAACCTACCTCTCTGTGCATCAAAACTTGTATTTATCAAACTGGATGAATATATTCATTCAGTGCATTATGCACATGTCTGCCTTCTGAAACAGAGAGCGCTAATTTTAACTTTTGCTTAATGACTCAAGGTTATCAGTGTGAACTATGATGTAATGCCTAGGTTCCCTTAGGGAATGCAGAGGTTTGTAGAACTATTTGCCTTAAAACTAAATGATGCAGTTTACTATGTTTTTTTTTTTTAAATATTGTGCTTGTTTTGATTTTTTAAAATGCTTATTGCCTTCCTAAATATCGTATGCTTCTGCTTCTGTTGTCTGCCTCTGGCTGTCCCTTTGAATATTCCACTTTGCTGCTTCTGCTGGCCCAGGAGCCAGGGGCCATAGATGAAGCAAGTAGATACTAGGTCTGAAGTTGGGGCAAATAGTTCCCAGGTGAGGTTTCAGGAGGTACTCCTGCTAGTGAAGACTTTGGGACATTATTGCCACTGCCTGGGGCCTTTGAGATATTTTTCTGTGTTCTAATGAGAGACCCTTAATAAGTACACTATCAAGGTATATGGCATTTACTATTTAGAGAATGATGTAAATTTTGTGGCTCTCCTTCCTAGAGGAGAAAATGAGGATGAAAGCAGGGCAAGAATTACATAGCCAAGGGACCTCAAGAGGGCTCAGAAATATAAATGGGTCACAGGGTCTGTGAAAGTGTCCAGATGACTGACAGGTGTGAGCAGATCTCATTTGTGGGGCATCCCACACAATTCTCCTCTTCACAGCCTGGGCTTTCCAGCCAGTCTCTAACATGACAGCCCATTACCACCTCCTCAAGATAAAGCAGATACAGGGGGATGGCAGTGGCAAAGGCTGAATTAGGACCCATGGATGCAGAACTTCTAGTTAATTGTTCTTCTATTGATCTTCAGGACTACTTGCGGTAGATTAAGAAAATTTAAATTGGTTATTCATTTTCTCTGTATTTACAGGCAAATGCCACTTTATTAGCTTGCAAAATACGGTGTCGTCCATTTCAGCATAAATCTGGACACTGACTAATTTGCACTTGTTTAATCTGCAAGGCTGGCAATTTTGGGAAGCCTCCTACCTCCTCCATCGTCCGTCCCCATAGTCTCACCTCACCCATCCAGCAAAGCCGAGAATGTTATTTTAGGCTATGGAAGCCATGTTAAAAATACCACTGGGTTTCTCTAAGCTTTTCTGAAGTTTTAAAAGAAATAAATAAAAATAAGGCCAGTCTCACATGGGGCTCTCCTTTGCTGTATTTTCTGGGCAGTCACGGAAGAGAAGTAACATGCCCTGCAATCGGATCTGGTGCTGTTCCAGGACACAGCTTCCCTGTCCAGGATGTGGACAGGAGCTTATCCCAGGCAGGATAGAGCCTGGAAAGTCTAATATATGCAGCTGTAATTTCACCTAAGATTGGGTATTTGTAGTTCCTGAGGGTGATAGGGAAGTGTTGGAAAAAGCCACGAGGTGATCAGCAATTAGGGAAATAGGGCTGTATGCCACCTATTTTGGCACTGCAGTTAAGTATGCCACAATCGTGTACCACTTGCATTAGCTTTTCCCTTCCTTTTAACACAATCAGTATGGATGAGGATGGGCACAGTGTGGAAGCAACTTCTGCTTTCTTCCCTTCTAATATCAGCCCCCTCCTGACTTCTAGAAAAATACTGACGTACTTGAGATCAGGCTTCTGGAATTACAGTTCCTTTAGCAGTGCCTTATTTATTGAAAGCTTTGGATTGACTTCTTTATTGATTTGGGCTGATAATCATGCAGTCTGTTGGGCTGTTCCTAATTATTTGGTTATCTTAATTATTGAATTATGTATGATCTGTTCTGTTCACGTAACTTTTCAGCAAAAATAATTGAACCAGCTGAAGAGTGCATGCATCTACCTAGTTCTGATCTGCTTCTGCCTCTAGCCTTTTGTGTCATGTTAAATGAATCATTTTGCTTCCATGTTTTTATTTTCTCCTCTGTGAACATAGAATGATATTTATCTTGTGGTTTAAGATTTAGGGTTGCTAAATATCAGGTGCTATCAAAATGTAAATTATTGCTATCAGTTTGATAGGGCCATTCATGCTGACTTCATGGAGTTTAAATTTTTTTTTTCTGATTATGAACTTTCATATATACATGCTTATTGTGATAAATGCAGAAAACTGTAAAGAAGGAAAAAAATAATCTGTTATCCTGCCAGTTAGTTATATAAACCTGTTAAAAGATTTGTTTTCATTCAGTCTTTATGCTAATGTATACACAAACATATTATTTGAGATACTGTGAAATATACTGCTTTGTATCGAGCATTAAGCCACATAATTTTCCAGTTTTGATCATTTTTAATATCTGCAAAGTATTTTAATGTGTGGATGCATAGCCACCTATTCCCATATGTCCTCATATCCCTTTCTTACCCAACTGACAGAACCATCTAAAATAAACTTGATCATATCACCTCCTTGCTTAAATCCTTCTGCAGCTCCTGATAACTTACTGGATGGAGTCTTGTTGCGTGGGGGAGGGAGCTCTTCTCCCCCGGTCCCTGTCGACCTTTCCTCTTAGCTCTTTATTTCTCATCACTCTCCCTCTCATGCTTTTTGCTCCAGCAATACTGAACCTCCTGTCAGTTCCTATAAACAACCCTGTCCCCTACACCTTCGCTTTTGCTGTTCCTCTGTCTGGAACAGCCATTTACTTCCCCCAGTGCCACCCACACGTGCCCCTGGACCCGGCTGAGTTTGACAAAGGAAGGATTCTCCAACCTCCTCTCACTGGAACCTTTTTCTCTTGGCAGTTTTGTATTGGCCTGTTTATATTTCCATCCCTTATATTACTGCCTCTAATCTGTTCTTCATGCAAGGGCCACAGTAAAATGTTTTTTGCTTGTTTTAAAAAATCAATTCTGATCATGCCTTTTCCTAGTTTATAATCTCTGGTGACTTCCATTGGGGTTCCCAATAGAGAGCAAGTCTCAGCCCAGCCTTCATTCCCTCCATGGTCTAGCCGCCTCCTTCCTTTCTAGCAACTTCTTCAGTGATGCCCCCTTACTCTCCACAGCCCAGGCCTGCAGGTCTTCCTGTTCAGGAGTGAGCTGCTCTCTCACCACAAAACCCTGTGCATGCTCTTCCTTCTGCCCTAAAGGATCATCTTGCTTATCCTGGGGATGTCAGCCCTCTTCCTGTTATGGCTCAGGCACCCTGTTCTATGATTTCAGAACACTCAGTACTTCTCCTTTATGTCAGAGTTGTAATTTGACATCTCTTTGTGCTAGTCTTTCAATAATGCCCCTGTCCTTCTCTAGACTCTAAGCTCTGTGAGGGTAGGGCTTTTGTTTGTTTTCATTCATTTTATAGGTAGGATTGAACTGAGTGAAAATTACAAGGTCTAATAGGTGAGGCTCTTCAGTAAATCGGGCTAGATAAGACTAGTTAAGTTAGATGTGACCAAGTAAGGTAAGGCAGGAAGCATGGATGAAAGGTGATCATGCATAAGAAGTGCCTGGTCTCTTGTACTACTTGGAATTCCAATGAGATAAACATTATCAGCCCCATTTTTCACATTAACTAAGACTCAGAGACTTTCTCTGCTGCAGGTAGAAAGCTACCTAATGGGTAGTAGGACCATGATTATTAAGCCAAACTCCAGGATAGGGAGGCTGTGTAGAATGAAGAACATGCCAGGCCATCTCTGAGGAAGTGACAACCTCCTGGTCTGCAGTTTGTAGAGCTTGTGTTTGTTTGTGTGTCTCAGGAAGTGTTTTGGCTTACTGTGGGTCTGAAACCAGCCAGGCTGTGAAGTGGGGCATCCAGAAGCAGGGAGCGCTGAAGCCGATTTCACCCCTGCACATTCGTGCCTTGGTGACTAGTGGTGCTCTCTGAGACCTTTTGCATTGCCCTACACACATGGGGGCAGCTGCTGGCCAGGGTGCCAGTCCTCAGAGAGCAATCTACTGAGCCCTGAGCAGGAAGTCACCAGGTGCTCAGACTTTGGAAAATTCACGTACTTCTGAGCCCTGCAGGGAAACAGAGGTGGGCTTTCTACTCCTAGCCCAAGGCTCTTTAGTTACCCTTGAGGAGTGGCGAGGACTGTGGGATGCCCTAGAATAGTGGTTGTCCAGCCCCAGGCTTGGAATATCAAACAAAGGCACAACAGAAGTGTTCTGGTAAAAGGGGATAATCCATAAAGGATGTTGCCAGAGAGTTTTTAAAAATGTCTTCAGAATTCTCTTAAATTAGGTTTTTTTTTTAATTACCTACTTATCCTTCAGAAACTTGGAACAGCCCCATTTCTTATCAACATATTCCTTGTCAATTTTGCACAGGCACCGGCTTCTGGTGCCGAGGGTGATGCTTAAGTATAAGGCAGCTGGAATGTTTTCCCCTTGGGTTGAGGGGAGTGATAGGAATGCTGATGTGCTGCAGCTCTGGGCTACGGATGGTGGCTGGTGGCAGAGGGGAGAGCCTGAGTGCAGTAGGCAGTAGCGTCTGGGGGCAGGATGGGGAGAAGATGGGGGGGCGGAGCTGTAAATGACAGAGTGAGTGGGGGCTGGGTGCTAACCTCTGATTTTGGTGTTCCTCTAAACTCCTCCTATCCACTGATTCTTAGCAGTGAATTCCCAAATAGCTGATTTAAGGGATGCTTAGGAAAACTGCCTAATGGCGCTTTTTTCCCTCCTGCCTGGTTGGCTACGTCATCATGCTGCTTGACATAAAATTAGGGCTGGAAATGTTTTGGGGGCCTGAGATGTAGGCTAAAATGTGGCAGAGTATATGTGCACATATGCATGTGTGTGTGTGTGTGTGTGTGTGTGTGTGTGTGTGTGTGTGTGTGTGTGTGTATTATGAGATGCAGTGAGTAGGGTAGTAAAGTACCGGTCTGGACTGTCTGCAAGTTGTCTCACCCTCTCCTTCTTGTCCAGCCAGGAAATCTGTGTGTCCTTGTCAGGATTAGATATGATAAGGATGGGTGGTAAACAGAAAGAGGATCATACCTCCCCTTCATGCTGTCGTCAGAACTGGACCAGATGGCTATTCATATTTTAGGGTCAAGCACCTGATAGTTATTTGGACTGTTTGAACTATGTGGGGTGGGTGGGTACGTTCAGGTAGGAGGAAGTATAAGGAATTCAGTTTAGAAGGCGCAACTGTGGGGATGGGCCCCCTTTTCCCCACTCATAGAGAGATTTCTGTCTGGAGATGTCAGTTCCACTTGGTCAAGAGGAGGTTTTCCCTTCCCATCCTCACCAGGTATTGAACCCCTAACTCCCACCCCTGATGTGGGGCTCATGCATGTCTAGGGCTCTGAGGTTATAGAGAGGTGGAGTCACTTCCCTGCATGTCCCCCATTTCCTGCACCTTTTTCATGCTTCCTAGTCACTTCTGTGCCCCTTTTCATGGTTTTCCTCAGCTCCAGTCAGGTGTTCAGGCACCTGAAAACCAAGCAGGGAAAGGAGCTTTTCTATGCAGAGCTTGATATAGGGATTTCCTTGAGTCTGTTTCTGCTTCAGTGTGGGTAGAAGGCAGCATCAAGGTATCAGTGTGAAAGCAAAGGGGATGGAAATGTACAGATTGATATGATAAAGGCAATGCCATGTGTCAACACAGGCCTGCCTGCTCTGTCCTTGTTCACTTGAAAGGGTTAACTGGGCATGATCAGATGTAGTCATAGTGATTCTTAACTGACAAAGTCTGTTTAGATATCTAAGAACTGATTTTGGAGGCAGATGCAAATTCAATCCCATCTATGTCACTTGTTAGCTGTGGGACTGTAGGCAGATTATTTAACTTCTCTCAGCCTCAATTTCCTTCTCTGTAAAACAGAGGTAACAATAGAACCTATCAGATGAGGGAAATGTCAGTAAAGCTCTCAGCACAGAGCCTGGCATATAGCATACTTTTAGTAAGTTATTATCAGTCCTGTTTAATTATGTGGCCTTTGGCAGGCCATTTAAGTGCTCTATGCCTTGTTTTCCTTATTTGCAAAAGAGGAAGAATGTCTTCCTTAGGTAACTAACAAGGATGTATGAGAAGGCACTTTGAACAAAGCATAACATGCTATATAATCAATAAAAGCAGGATTATCATTTTCCTAGAACTACACTAAAGCAATTCTGGTGGTCTCAAAAGTGTGCTTATCTGGCTGCAGACTTGGGTCGTGATTTAGAGATGCCTGTGGAGCTGCTGGAGGAACTAGACACATGGGAAATAGTGATAAAGGCTGCTAAAGACAGAGGGCCCTGCCCTGACTGTCACTTCCTGCTGCTGCCACTAATGGCTTTGGGATTTGGCTTCTTCCTACCATGAGGCTCTTGCCACTGGAAGGTGGTGAGTGCCATCCTCAACTCTTGTTGCAGCATCTAAATGATAACACGTCTAATTTGTACACTTTATTGCCCTTTTCCTTCTTTGACTCTGGTACTAACCAGGCTATCTAACTGTAAGAGGGTGGGCTGAAAAAGTAAAAGGAAATGCAATTCAGTCTTTTCAACTTTGCTTTATCATTGCTTAACTTTGATTATTGCTTAGAAAAAGTTGAAAATATTGTTCATAATCAGTTCAGTATTTTTTTGAAATTGATTTCAATTATCTGTAAAAATTCAGAAATACAACTCTGTCAGTTAACGAGCCAGCTATAGAACAGATTCTCTTTGTAGATCCTGAAGTCCAGCTTGAAAGGAGCTCCTAGTTTCCATTTATCTTGCTATGTATCTATAACATATCCCATCATAAATGCAGCAGCCCATCTAGTAAAGGGGACATGAGAACATTGTTCACGGTATCAAATATGTTTAAATTTTTTTCACACTCTGAGCAGAGCTATTGCCCTTGTCTATATTTTCATAAATTAGCTGTACCAAATGCCACTTTCCTATTCACCATATACAGTAGTAATTAGTCAATTCAGCTTGATCCAGAGTTCATTTTCATAAAGGAAACAAACTTTTGAAAGTGTAGCTCAATACGAAGGATTCTATCAAGACACCTGGAAGGGACCAACAGTATATTGTTTTTAAGGATAATTTGCTCTGGAACACTGCCAACCCATGCTAAAATGTGCAGCCTTTCTCCAGTAAGTTGCTCTTTTCTGAGTATTTGGGAAATTGCTAAAGCCATTAATGTTTATGGATCATCATGTGGCAAGTAGGAGATCTCTTCCTCCCCTTTTCCCTCCCCATTTCAGAGATCTAGTTTAGTTTCATTTTGTTAGTTTTTAGTTTTTGTGGCACCATATTCTAGACTCAGAAAGCAGATCATCTGTCTAAAAGCCATGTGCTAAATAAATGTTTGTTGAATGAATGAGTGAAAGAAAGAGTAAATAAAATGATTGACTTTTGAATGCAAAAGTAATGATTGACATGGAAATAGAATGATGGTTGCTAGGAGCTGGAGAGGAGCAAATAAGGAGTTTTTGTTTAATGTGTACAGAGTTTTTGTTTTCAAGATGAAAAGAGCTCTGGAGCTGGATGGTGGTGATGGGTGCACAACAATATGAATGTATTTAATCCACAGAACTGTACACTTAAAAGTGGTTAAGAAACAGTGATGTTAGCAAATGAAAGAATAGGCGGTTCCAACCCTGAAAGCCACACAAAAACATTGATTTTGACAATTATCCATGTTAAGAATACCCCTGTGGTAACTCAGGAGTCCAGTGGAGAGATTCTAGAACCCCATTTGAGAAAAAAAATCTGAGAATAGATACCTTGAAGAGGAGAATAAGAACAGTTTCACCTTACCTGTGTCACATCTCTGTCGAGGTGGCACAGCTCAATGCCAAGAGAGACCACCTTGGCCTGTGATTTTTCCAGTGGGGTAGAGAGTGTAGTGACTATCTGATTTCCAGAGCCTCACAGGACGTTGTCCAAGATGCTCGCTTCTGCCTTGCCCCACCCCTAGATCACTAAGGGGATTGGCATGTTTGAATAGTCCAGGGGAACCTAGGAGCAGGGAAGAGAGGCAGGAGCTCACAAAAACCATTGCGTAGATCTCAAAATCTGGCCACAGATCCTGTTAACTGACGGTGAACTCCATCAAGGGGCCCAACCATGAACCCCATGGGATGCCTCACCTGCAGTCACGTGCTCCCTCAACTGGCTGTCATGTGCCCCCAGCTATCTGTGTATATCCCTAAGTGGTGTACACAAGCTTCTGAGATGGTGTGTGCCTGCTCTTTCAGACAGCACGTGAATATCAGCACCTAGCTCAACTCTGGGATGCAGAGAAGGTGTACAAATGTGAACAGTTCAGGACACTGCCGTGGGGAAAATAAAGGGCAGTGCCCTGAAGTGTTGATTAAGTAAAGGCCAGTGTCCTAAGGTGGAATTGAGAGAAGGCCAACAATACTAAGATGCCCCCCACTGCCTGCAAGAGGGAATGAAAGAAGTGGGACAGGTGTGTCCATAAATATGAAGATCATTCTCTCCCTATACCAGTCAGTAAAGACAGGAGGAGGAGACTGCTTCTTCAAATGTGAAAACAGCAACACAAGCCTTCAAGGAAAATGAAGAATCAAGGAAACTTAACACTACTAAAAGAAAAAAATAAAGTCCCAGTAGCTGGCCCCAAAGAGGTGAATATCTATGAACTGCCTGATAGAGAATTCAAAATAGTTGTCTTAAAGAAGCTCTGTAAACTACAAGAGAACGGAGACAACTAAATGAAATCAGGAATACGATACTGAACAAAATGATAAGTTCAGTAGAGATAAAAATCATACAAAGAACCAAACAAATTCTGAAGCAGAAGATACTGTGCTAAAGTGAAAATTCTACAGAGAGCCTCAATAACAGACTCAATCAAACAGAAGAAAGAATCAGTGAACTTGAAAACAGGTCAATTGAAGTGATTCAGTAAGAGGGAGAAACAAACAAACAAAAGAATGAAAAAGTGAAGAATGTATCTGTGACATATGGGATAGTATCAGACAAAATTCCAGAAGGAGCAAAGAAAGAAGAAAGGGACAGAAAGCATATTTAAAGAAATAGTGGCAGAAAACTTCCTAAATCTGAGGAGGGCAGTGAACATCCAGATCCACAATGCTCAAAGAACCCTTAATAGGCTGAACATCAAGAGATCTTCTCTGAGACATATCATAATATAACTGTTGAAAGTCAAAGACAAAGAGAATTTTGAAAGCAGCAAAAGGGAATCCTCATAAGACTACCAGTGGATTTCTCAGCAGACTCCTGCAGGCCAGGAAAGCATGGGGCAATATATTCAAAGTGCTGAAAGAAATTAAAAAACACCTGGCAACTAAGAATACTTACTTTTTAGAGTGCCTGTTGTTAAAACAAAACAAAACAAAAGGTAAGTGTTGGCAAGCATATGGAGAAAAGAGAACCGTGGTACACTGCTAGTGGGAATATAAATTGGTACAACCATTATAGAAAACAATATGGAGGTTCCTTAAAGAATTAAAAATAAAACTACCATATGACCTGGCAATCCCACTTCTGGGTATTTATCCAAGGGAATTAAAATCAGGATCTCGAAGAAATGTCTACACTCCCATGTTCTTTGAAGCATTATTCACAGTAGCCAAATATTCACAATAGCCAAGAAGCAACCTAAAGGTCCATCTACAGATGAATAGATAAAGGAAAATTTTTATATATAGATATATAAAACATTTACATACATATATAAAACATTTTCTTTATCCTTTCATCTGTAGATGGACCTTTAGGTTGCTTCTTGACTAAAGCATACACACATATATAATGGAATATTATTTAGGTTGCTTCTTGGCTAAAGAATATATAGATATACATATATATGTATATAATAGAATATTTAATTCAGCCTTAAAAAAGAAGGAAATGCTGTCATATGTGACATGAATGGACCTGGAAGACATTATGCTAAGTGAAATAAGCCAGTTGCAGAAAGACAAATACTGCATGATCTCACTTATATGTGGAATATTCAAACTCATAAAAGCAGAGAATAGAATGGTGGTTACCAGAGGGTAGAATGGTGATAACCAGGGGCAGGGGGAATGGGAAGATGGATGCTGGTCAAGGAGTACAAAGTTTCAGCTATGCAAGATGCATAGATTCTGGAGATTTATTTACAGCATGGTGGATAGATAACAATATTGTATTATAGACTTGAAATTTGCTAAGAGGGTACAACTTAAGTGTTCTCACTACACACACCCACAAAGGGTAACTATGTGGTGTGATGGATATATTAATTAGCTTGATTGTGGTGATTAGTTCACAGTATATACAGGTATTAAATCATCAAGTTTTGTACCTTCAATATATACAATAAAAATGGCTAAGATGGTAGATTTTATATTATGTGTATTTTACCACAATAAGAAAAATTGGAGAAAAAAAGACAGTGATTGATAGTTGGCTACTTTTTTTTTCTCCTAAATGTTGGAGATGAGGATGAAATTACAAGTACTATGATCCCTAGGTCACACTTTACTTGTCCTGCCTATAAAGGGGGAGGGGAGAGGGAGTAGATGGACATTAACATTTATTAAGCGTCAACTATGGGCTAGGCACTGTGTTAGGACAGTATATATGTATTAGCTCATTTGATCCTCAAGACAATAATGTGAGATTGTGTGACCGCCTATTTCACAAATGAAAAAATATACGCTCAGAGTAGTCAAGTTGATTGCTCTAAGTCACACAGCATGTCCTGAAAACCAGTATTCTAGTTTACACTTTTGCATGATGCTTCTTACATACACACATTTAAGGCAGAAAAAATACATTCCCAAATTTCTGTTAACATTTGGAAGCACGCAGGCTTAATTAACCTTACAATTTAAAGTTACATTCATTGATGTTCACTCTAAAAAAAATTCATCAGGAGGATGAGGCAGGAGAATGGCTTGAACCCGGGAGGCGGAGCTTGCAGTGAGCGGAGACCGTGCCACTGCACTTCAGCCTGGGCAATAGAGCGAGACTCTGTTTCAAAAAACAAAAACGAAAACAAAAATGAAAACAAAAAACAACAACAACAAAAGTCATACAGGAGAGTGAAGAAAGCTGAGGTTTGCTTCCCACCTTCTTTGGATGCTTTCCTGAATCCAAGAGATTTTAAGTTCAGGTTTGTAAAAACAATAGCATTAGACCCATGTACTATTAAGACAACTTTTGTGTTCTGACTATATTGATCTTTCTGAGGTATGTTGTGACTAGAGCAAAAGTAACCAGTAGTGACTGTTAGCCTGTTTTTGTAACATGGGGTCCCATGTGGAAAGGAAAATCTCACAGTGTGTTCCACATGAGCATCCACTGAATTGATGGCTGTATTCAGTTTCACATGAGACAGTGACTCCGGGAACAAGGCACTGGATGGATGTCAGGTCTTGCCTGTGTCTGCCTTCTCTCTAATGGCATAATCAGGTCCCTTTTCTCCTGAGTTGGAGAGAAAAGAATAGTGTCTCTACATTGTGGTTCTCTTGTCTCCTGCTAGAGAGGGAAGAAAAAGGAAAGGAGAAGAGGAGGGCAGGGAGGGAGAATCCTCTGTAAGCCACATAAAATTATATCTTCTCTTTAGTCTTGAGTTGTAAATACTGTACCTGCCACACCAGATAAGTCACCAACTGTATGCCAAGATGGTTCTGAGAAGCTGAGAATCTGATTTAAAATTTTAAAATACGATATTACTTTTTATTATAGATACAATATAATAAGTACATTAAAGGAGATTTAAAAATCAATTCAGCAAGCCAGTGGTCAGCCTAACCCAATGACAGATTCCACTGTTGCACAAGATCATGCCTTTTTGAACACTATTATTTCTGGTTTATTCCTCAGCCACCTTTTTTTTTTTTTTTAACTTCTGTGATGATGTTTACTATCTCTGAAATGGGTTGAATCTGTCTGACTTGTCATTGAACTCTCCCTCTTTGGCCCCTAGAGATAATGTGTTTGCAGTTCAAGGAACTCACCTGAGTCTTGCCTTTAAGTCTTGCCTGGATTTGTTCAGATAAAAAAAGTAGCAATAGTAGTAGTAGTAATAATAATAATAATAATAATAATTAAAGCGAACACTAATAATATTATATTATTATTTCATTTAATCCTCCTTTGAGATAGATGAACTGTCATTGTCTATGTATTGGTGCTCAGAGAGGTTAAATAACTTGCCAAGGGCTCACAGATAGTGAATAGTGAAGCCAAAATGCAAATCCAGCCTGTCTTGCTCCAGAGAGAATATAGAGTGAACACAGATAAAATTTCTTAGTTACCAGGAAGTTGAGTCTCCATTAATAATAAGAAACAATTATGGCAGAACCAGATATAGTATGTGGTAGACACAAGATCTAAACAAAGAATAACCTCACACCTTTCAGGCCCTTTCTATATCAAACATTCTTGCTCCCAGTTGCTTTTGCTTTGGTTGGAGTCTTACTCATTTTCATCTAGTAAACTCCCCTCTCCAGGATGGAAGCCACATGAGACTATTGAGCATTTGAAATGATGCTTGTCTGAAAAGAGATGTGCTATAAGTAGAAGATATTAGATTTAGATTTTGAAGACTTAGTATGAAAAAACTATATAAAATATCTCATTAACAACTTTCAAAGTATTGATTGCATGTTAAATTTAAAAATACTAAAATTAATCTCACCTATTTTTCAATATGACCATTAGAACATTTAAAATTCTTACAATTTGCATTATATTTCTACCGGACAGAGCTGCTTAGATTTACTAATTAGTATCTTTCTCCTTTCAGTTCTGTAGACCTGATGAAAGGTTTGTCCTCAAGAGCTTTGCCTTTGGGACTGGTTTAGCCATTTGAGGCTCTAAAAGTCAGTGTTAAGCCCCTAAACTTACTGTATTTAGTTTATTTATTTTAACAAGGTTAACTGTTTATACCCAATACAGGAGGTGATAAGGAAAGCATTTTTGTCTGTCTGCTTTAGCCCCTGCTTTGCTCTGAAATTAAATCTCTGACCAGAACATGGCTGCTACCCTGTCCTATGACTGCATGATTGATTTTTCTTTTCAAACTGAGACGTGTGCTGGGGAAATAATTCTTTATTTTTCTGCTCAAGGGCCAGCTGAAGAATTCCAAGTTGTCTTTGAAATGTTTAGGAAATGGTGTAGCCTGTTGTTAACTCTTTCTGCTAGAGAACCTTAAGCATTAGTGGTACTGCTATTGCCATCAACTGTTTCAGACATACCTCTTAAATGTTGTAATCCAGAAAAAAGTCACAGCCTCCCTGCTTAAGGAACTTGGGACATTAATGAAGAGGCAGACTTTCTGATCTAGTAGGCAGTGACAAAGACCAGTAATCAAGAGTGAGATGGTGAGGCTCAGCAAAGAGAGTGAGCTATGTGGTCTGCAGTGTTTGGGGTAGGCTTTTCGAAGGCAGTGAGCCTGGAGGGATTAGTAGTTTTTGGACTGTTCTAAAGTTAGTGATGTAGGCTAGGATGGTCACAGAGATGGACATGATGTTGCCAGGGGACAATTTGGGGAGGGAGGGAAGTAGCCCCTGGGAACCAGTCACAGGTAAGTGTAAGTGAAGTTGGAGGTAGGGATAGATGGTAGGGGTCTAGAGTCTGAATTCGATTCAGGGGGAACCCAATTGTATGTTCCTGGACAGAGCCAGTCAATGAAAACCCCAGTCTTATGTTCTGAGGGACCGCGTGTGATTTTCGCATCTTCTGTTGGTCAGTGTGGAAGTTGACACAATGGCAAAGCATTAAAACATTTAAATAAACAATTATATAGTACTTATATGTGTCAGACAATTTATTTTTAAATAAATACATAATTTTAAAACAAATACATAATTATATCATAGCAAGTGAAACTGTTCCTTGCTTACAGTAATCAATTTAAAGCCACATATTAAGTTAATGATACTGTAAAAGGCAGGTAGATGTAACAAAAATCTTAAAGGTTTTCATATTGCATTTTACTGATGGGCAACTGAGACTCCAGAGGCCTCAAAACTTCACACAGCAAATTTATCTAGCAGTGGCATGCAGGGTAGGTTGAGGGTTGAGCAAGGAGGTCAGTTAGCAAATTCTTCAGGAGTGAGGTGATGGGAGTCTTGTTCTAAAGTGGCGAGAATGGAGAGGAAACATGAGAGCTGTTGGTTGGGCCATTGTTCAGGCAGCTGTTGCCATGTGTCTGTTTATTTCTCTGTGCACTTGGGTTAATCTGTGATGACCATTTAAGGTGCAGACTCCTGGTGTGTGGCAGTGGTTCTGTATGGCGAATTGGGCAGGTGCCAAGAGGGAATTCATAATCCATCGCTGACATTATGGAGTACTTACAGTGGGCCACACATCCTATGCTAAGTCCTGAATTACCTCTTTCATTCCTCACCATAACTCAGTGAGGTATCTGCCATTATTCTCCCTCTTTTACAGACGAGGGAACCAAGGCTCAGTGAGCTTCAGTAATTTGCCACAAGTCACACAACTAGGATTCAAACCCAAGTCTGTCTGACCGCAAGGTCTTTAACCATCATGTATACTGCCCGCCTCATTATTGATTGATAGTAATGACTGTTTATAGCATCTTTCTCATGTTTCTTCCTTATTTAACCTCGAGTAGGGGTTTCTATGACTTAGCTTGGAACTCAGTATTGAAAACAACAGAAATTCACCAGGCAAAAAGCTCCATTTCTAACCCCCTGTGCAACATACTTATGTATCTTATTCTATGGTTTATATCATCATTAAAGTGGCTCTACTTGGCCCTTTAAGAAGCTAATTAATCACTAAATATAAACCACAACTTGTTCTTTTCAATCCTCTGCATGTTTCTTCCCCCCATTGTGTGATGCCATCTGGTGCTATGAGCTCATGCTTTTTGTGTTCCTTTTCAGAGAGCCAGATTCATTGCTCTCTAAACCCAGAAAGCCAGTTAATTTCAAAGTTTGCATGTATGACTTTGAAAAAATTGGAATCTAATGCCTCCTTGTGGATTTTAACAGTATAAATTATTCCTTAACATAACACTGCATGGAACTTCCGTCACCATCTATGTATATATATGTGCTTGTCTTTTTATCAGAAAGACCTAATTTGTCTTTGGTTGCTTGATATGTTCTGTCAAGCAACTACAGGTCTTTCCCTGTAAGATTTTTGTGGTTTCATTTTGTCAATTTAATGTGTGTGCTGTAGGGAGCCAAACCTTAATAATATTGCTTTCCTCTTCAAATCTATCTGACTTTCTGCTATGACAGTGGAACAAGTGTTTAAGAACAAGGACATAAAACAGCTAATGGCAGGTCTCTGACACTGCTGGTGAGCTGTCTTTCATTCCCACTTTCTCTTCTAATTCTGCCTGAAGTCTCTAATCATCTTCCAAGGGAGTGGAACACCTGGACCATAGAACATTTTCTTGCAAACTCAGCTGTGGAGCTCTGGGCTTGCTACCAGACCCACACTCTTTGGAGTCCTTGAGTACTGCTTGTTACTGTCAGCCCACACCTCATCATTTTCCCTACCCTCTTGCTCTTTTCATTTCAGAATTCTTGGCACTTTAAATTTAGCCTGAGAGCCCCATGGAGAAGGAAAGGCGATTTGGTGATGTGTGCACTACTTACCTAATTCCTGGCACATGCAGAGGAAGCAGGAGAACCCTGGGCCAGCTGCCACCTCCTTCCTGTTACTCTTCTTGCCCACTGGGATCCTGCCCATTACAAGCACGGAACAGAGGAGGAGATGGGTCTTGAGTATATTTGCAGTGATTTAAAAGGGACCACACATTTCCCTAGCACAGAAGCTGTTCTAAGGCCAGCTCTTGTGAGTCTGAGAAAATAGTTTCTCCCCACTTCACACCCTCTCTCCAGCATTAAGCAGCTTCTGTGAGATGCAGGTAGGATGAAGCCACTGAGTCAGCCATGTCGCCAATCCAATCTCCTTCAATTAAGAATCAGCTTTGTTTCCAAAAGAGCACATGTTGGTTCTAAATTGGAAAGATTGTTTTTTATTTCAAATTGACAGTACATGTAGCAACTCTAGCTTAACTATCCACAAAATTAAGATGCATGTCTAGAAAACTAAGGACTGCTAACATTTCTGAGTAATAGTATTTAATATATAGAGTTTGGGTAACAGCATTTATGTTAAAGCTTGGTTACAACCGAGTAATAGCCTCAGGCTAGTTACTTAACTCTCTGAGCTTCGGATTCTTTTACTCATTTAGTGTAGTTAATAATACCTTTATATTTAGCTCACAGGGTTGTTGATGAGTAGCAAATGGATTTTGTCAAATACTTTTTCTGCATCTTTGAGATGATCAGGTGGTTTCTGACCTTTATTCTGTTGATATGGTATATTGTATTAATTGATTTTAATATATTGAAATGATCTTGCATTCCTGAGATAAATCTCACTGGGTCATGGTGTACAACTCTTTTCAGATGTTGCTGAATTCAGTTTGCTAATATTTTGCTGGGGAATTTTGCATATCTATACATAAGGAATAGTATGTAATTTCCTTTTCTTGTGGTGTCTTTGGTTTTTCATATCAGGGTAATAATGGCCTCATAGAAAGAAGTAGGAAGTTTCCTTCATGCTCTATTTTTTTTTTTTGTTTTGAAGAGTCTATGAAGGTTGTTAATTCTTCCTTAAACATTTGGTTAAATTTACCAGTGAAGCCATCTGGTCATGGAATTTTCTTTGTGGCAAGTTTTTACTAAGTTAATTACTAAGTCAATTTCTTTACTTGTTATAGATGCGTTCAGATTTTCTATTTTTTCTTGAGTCAGTCTTGGAGTTTTATATTTCTAGGTATATGCCATTTTATCTGTTTTATCTAATTTGTTGGCATGTAATTTTTCACTGTGTTCTCTTAAGCTTCTCTATATTTCTCTAAGATTGTTAGTAATAGCCTCTGTTTCATTCCTGATTTTTTTTTTTTTTTTTGAGACAGAATCTTGCTGCCTTGCCCATGCTGGAGTGCAGTGGCACCATCTTGGCTTACTGCAACCTCTGCCTCCCAGGTTCCAACAATCTTTGTGCCTCAGCCTCCTGAGTAGCTGGGATTACAGACATGTGCCACCATGCCTGGCTAATTTTTTGTACTTTCAGTAGAGATGGGGTTTTCCTCTGTTGGCCAGGCTGGTCTTGAACTCCTGGCCTCAAGTGATCCGTCTACTTCAGCCTCCCAAAGTGCTGGGATTATGGGCATAACCAAATTTTAGTTTTGTTTACTTTATCAATTTTTAATTCTTTATTTTATGTATTTCCACCCTAGCTTTGTAATCTCTTTCCTTAGTGTGCTCTTCTTTTTCTAGTTTTTTAGGGTGGAGAGTTAGAATACTGATTTGAGATCTTTCTGGTTTTGTTTTTGTTTTGAGACAGAGTCTCACTCTGTCACCCAGGCTGGAGTGCAGTGGTGCAATCTCAGCTCACTGCAGCCTACATCTCCTGGGCTTAAGCAATCTTCCCACCTCAGCCTCCTGAGTAGCTAGGACTACAGGTGCGTGCCATCATGCCTGGCTAATTTTGTTTATTTTTTTAGAGACAGGGTCTCACTATGTTGCCCAGGCTGGTCCTCAACTCCTGGGTTCAAGTGACCCTCCCACCTCAGCTTCTCAAGGGTTGGGATTACAGGCATGAGCTACTGTGCCAGGCGAGATCTTTTTTTAATGTAGGCATTTACAGCTATAAATTTCCCTCAAAATTATTGCTTTAGCTGCATCACATAAATTTTGGTATGTTGTAATTTTGTTTTTATTAATTTCAAAATGTTTTCTAATTTACTCTAGTGATTTCTTTGCCTTATCGGTTATTTAGGAGTATATTACTTAATTTCCACAAATTTGTGAATTTCCTAAATTTTATTTTCTTATTTATTTCTAATTTCATTGCATTGTGGTGAGAGAACTTACTTTGTATGACTTTAATGTTTTTAAATTTATTGAGATTTATTTTATTGCTTACATATGGTCTATCCTAGAGAATATACTATGTGCACTTGAGAAGAATGTGTATTTTGCTGTTGTTGGATGGAGTGTTCATAGATGTCTCTTGTATCTTGTTGGTTTATAATGTTGTTCAAGTCTTCTGTTTTTTGTTGATCTTCTGTCCAGTTGTTTTACTATTATTGATCTTCTGCCTAGTTGTTTTACTATTATTGAAATAGAAGTATTGATGTCTCCAACTATTATTTTGAATTGTCTATTTCTCCCTTCAATTCTGTCAGTTTTTGGTATTGCATGTATTTTGGGGCTCTATTGGTCAGTATATGTTTATGACTGCTGTATCTTCTTGATGGATAGACCCATTTATCATTATAAAATATCTTTTTTTCTCTCTGGTAACAATTTTTGTCTTAAATTCTGTTTTGTTTGATATTAGTATAGCCATTTCATCTTTCAGTTATGGTTTTCATGGTATATCTTTTTCCATCCTTTAAAATTTCAACCTATTTGTGTCTGAATTTAAACTGTGTCTCATGTAGACATCATGTAGTTGGATTATGTTGTTTTATCTACAATGCCAATCTCTGCCTTTTTATTGGAGTATATATTTATATTTAATATAATTTTTGGTAGGGTAGGATTTATAGATGCCATTTTTCTATTTGCTTTCTATATGCCATATGCATTTTTGTTCCTCTATTTCTTCATTAATGTTTTCTTTTGTGTTAAATACATATTTTCTAATATGGCTTTTTAATTCTTTTTGTTGTTATTGTTTCATTTACTACATATTTTTTTTTTGTTATTTTCTTAGTGGTTGCCCTGTGGATTACAAGTAACATCTTAACAATCTAGTTTGGATTAATACCAATTGAATTCAATAGTATATAAAAACCTTGCTTCTATATTGTTTCATCCCCACTCTCCTCCTCCATACTATTATTGTCATACAAATTACATGTTTATACACTGTATGCTGATCAACAGAGATTTATAATTGTTGCTTTATGACTTTTAAATCAGATAGGAGAAAAAAAGAGTTGCAAACAAAAATACATTTATACTGTCTTTTACAGTGACCTATGTTGTAACCTTTACATGTGCTTTTTATTTTTTAAATATGGGTTCAGTTATTATCCTTCATTTCACCCTGAAGGACTCCCTTTAGTATTTATTTTTAGGCCAGGTCTGCTAGTGATAGATTCTCTCAGTTTTTGTTTAGCTGGGAATATTTTATTTTTTTCCTAATTTCTGAAGGATAACTTTGATGCATATAGGATTCTTGGTTGACAGTCTTCTTATTTCTGTGTTTTGAATGTGTCATCCTATTCCGTTCTGGCCTCCATGATTTCTGATGAGAAATCAGCTGGTAATCTTTCAAAGTTTTTTTTGTGTATATGATAATTTGCTTTTTTCTTGCTGCTTTCAGGATTCTCTGTCTTTGGCTTTCAACAGTTTGATTATGATATATCTGGGTGTGGGTCTCTGAGTTTATCTTATTTGTAGTTCCTTGAACTTCTTAGGAATGCAAGTTCATATTTTTAATCAAATTTGGGAAGTTTTGGCAGTTATTTCTTCAAATACTCTTTTTTGATCCTCCTTCTCTCCTCCTTTCTGCAGCTCTCATTATGCTTTTGATGGTGCCTCACAGGTCTCTGAGGCCCTGACCATTTTTTAAATCATCCTTTGTTCTTTATTTTTCTCAGACTGGATGATTTCAATGGACCTATCTTCAAGTTTGCTGCTTTTTTCTACCTCCTCAAAACTTCTTTTAAGCCTCTTTGGTGCATTTTTCTTTTCAGTTATTATACTTTTCAACTCCAGAATTTCTATTTTTTTCTTTACAAGAATATTTCTGTCATGTTGCTAATATTCTCTATTTAGTGAAATATCACTCTCATCCTTTCCTTTAGTTATTTGGATAGGTTTTCTTTACTTCTTTGAACATATTTAAAATAGCTGATTTAAAATCTTTGTAAGGTAAGTTCAATATTTGGGATCCCTCAGTGACAGCTTCTATTGACTGCTTTTTTTTTTCTTTTACTTTGAATGTCTCGTACTTTTTTGGTTGAAAACTGGGCATTTGAAATAACATACTATGGCAGCTCTGAAATTAGATTCTTGTCCCTTTCTAGGGTTGATTATTGTTTTTATTGTTGTTGCTGTTGTTCCTTTAGTGACTTTCCTGAACGAATCCTATGAAGTCTATATTCTTTGTCATAGGAGGCCCCTTAAGTCTCTGCTTGATTAGCTTAGTGGTAAACTAATTATTGTACAGAAATGTTCTTAGCCTGCTAAAACCAATAAACCTTCCAGTCTTTGCCAGTGGGGTTTGTTGTGTGCATGTTGGGTATGCCTTCAACTCTGCCTTAGCTTTCACTTCCTGCTTACAGAGCCTCAGGGTCAGTCTGATGAGTACCAAATGGAATGATAGTTTTGAAGAATACAAATGTAAGCTACTACTACATTTGTGGTCCTTTATCTGTCATTGTTCTCATACTATATTGTTTTCCCTTTGGAAGCACAGGCATTTCCTGACTTATAAACAGCTAACTTATATGTAAACAGCTACCTTTAATGCCTTAGACCTCACAACCACTGCCATGGGGCTCATGTTGAAAAAACAAATTAAAAAAAAAAAAAGAACTTCGAATTTTGAGAAAATGTGTGGTTTCATCAAAAAATAAAAAATAAAAAAAAAAGCTTCCAAAAATCAGAGATAGTTTGGGTAGTTTTTCTCAAAGGGAGATTCAGAGACTACCTGCATCAGAATTACTTGGGATGCTTGTTAAAATTCAGCTTCCTGGCTCCATCTCAAAACTTTTGATTCAGTATATCTGGGGTAGAGTTCAGGAGTTTACATTTTTAACGAGCCACCTAGGTGATTCTGATGTACACTAATATCTGAGAAACTCCTTAGGGAAGATGATCCTGTAGGTACATTCACAGGAGGGACTGGGGCTCATGATGCAAATTATGCTCAAATATTAATCTCTTCCCTTCACTATATAATCTTTTTAAAATTTCACCTTTATATGCACTCAGATTCCACCAATTAGAGATTTATTTGCATCTATGAAGATTTTTTTAAATGGCTGGCAGTGTTAAAGGACTAACATTCGCTCATGCCTTTAAAAAAATTAGTTTAATCAGATTGCATTTATCCAAACAACTGGCCAAGATTATTTAAAATGAGAGGAGAACATTTTATAAGTTTTTTTAAATTTTAAGACAGAGTAGATACTTTTCATGAAATTCAGAAGCCTCTAGGAGAAGAGAATAATGGACCCATGTTAATTTATGCAGTAAAACATGGGTGTGTGAGGTTGGTGTGAGGAGGTGGAGAGTGTACTAGATGAATCAATGTGTACACCTGCCCATATCAAAATATTGTGCCTAGGGCTGGCCATACAACCAGATAGGGGAGGAAAATTATTTTCTTTCTTGTTCCTACTTCTAGTATTACCCTTTTTTCTCGAGATCTAGAATTCAGGTCAGTATAACTGTATTAAGGAATGATATCAGCTGCACTAGAGTTAAATAGGTTTTCGAGGTTTGTCTGGAGATATAATCACCACCTAAACCATGTGGAAGGTTATCTTTATGGAAAAATGTCTTCTGGTTTCCAAATAACACACTTCCTAATGAACTTCATGAGGCTACCCTTGAGAGTTTGAGACTGGATCAGATCCAGATGTGTGATTTATCTGTGCTAATTTAAAATTCTAAGCTGATTTTCCCAACCATCTGTGTACTTTTAGGCCATTGCTCCTTAAGGAGTTTTGTGTTTAGGTAAAACAAGCTCCGTATGGGAAAACAATTAGGGGAGTATAGATCCTTATACAATTTAATACATTAAAAAATGAAACCTGATTTTAAACATTATTTTATGTTTTAGGTTTTTATTGCTCTGAATCAAGAGATTCTTATCCCATCTCCCATTCAACCCAGGTTAGGTTACGGTATTCTGCCTCAGGTCTCAGAATTCTGTTACAAATAAGCAGACTCGTAAATCGCGTTTCTTATTTCCTTCAAGGTATTGCGCAGCGATGCACGGCCATCAAGTACCACTTTTCTCAGCCCATCCGCTTGCGAAACATTCCTTTTAATTTAACCAAGACCATACAGCAAGATGAGTGGCACCTGCTTCGTAAGTATTTCCAGGAGAGGTTCAGAGAGGAAATGGTGTCATTCTGAACAAAATTCCCACCACCCCTCTCACATCTGGACAGAAGGATGTTGTTCTTATCCTCTGTGAGCCTCTGGGCCCAATCAGATGTGGTCAGAGACTCAGAGGATCATTTCCCTATGCTGTGGACACAGTTTGCTTAAAAATAAAATGTGTGGAAACCTGGTATAAGGTCTTGTGAGATAGTCTGCCCTGGTGGCATCTGTACACAGCTGCCTACTGAATCTTTTGTTTGCCGAGTTGTTGGGTGTAAGGACCTGCTGTACCCCTTGTCTTGTAAACCAAGGAGATTATACCTTAGGGGCTCTTATTTTTGTTTTGTATATACAATATTTATTTTAGCTACTGTGTTCATCTCCGACCTTTGTATTTCTGCTAAAATACCTTTATGAGTGTATGTCATAATTTTCTCAGAGGGTGTCTACATCTCAATGAAAGGAACTATTCTTTTTCACTGTCAGGAAAATGTGAAACTCTAGAAAGCATCATGCAGTGTGAAACTAAAGAGGGCTGATATTTACCTAAAAACTGTTGATTTAAGCTGCCTGATGATAGATAGCTCCCCGAAACGAAAAACTACTGTGAATTTTTTTGGTCTTTGCCCCCATCAGAGGTTGACATTGTCATTTTCCAATGAAATAAGTAACAAGGACTTCAGGATCTTGTTTGGTGGCCAAAGCCACTGTAGAAAACTAATCAGAGTCTCTCATTCTGTAAGTAAATCTCTCTGCGGATTAAAAGGCTCTGTTCTGAATCTCAAACACATAAATGGAAGCTCTTATGATATTGCCAGAGCAGTGGTCTAATATACATATTATGGCAGGCAACTTTAAGACTTAATCATCTTTCCAGAGAGCCATGTAGTTACTGGCTCAGGTCAGGGGAGAAAAGATCATCATAGGAGCCTGAAAAAGAACCTTAGCTCTTTAATAGTTTGTACCTTGTGATTGCCCAGCAAGGCAGTATTTGAAGATTCTTCTTTTAATCCTTTTTGGAGTTCTCATGGAAAGATGCTTTTAGCAGTCTCATGCATGTCTATTTCTAAGAAAGTCACACTTGGTGATCTGTAGCACATTTACTATATAAGCTTAACATGACTGGTACTAATGCAAATCCCATGTGGATTATATCTGAACCTTGTGCCTTTTCAGAGTCACAGAAAATAGACTATCACTCAAACCATAGGAAATTTGGGAGGCTGTAAGATAATGGTGACTGAACCATACTACATTTCCCCTGCTCAGATGTGGCTGTCTCAAAAACTACTTATACCCTTAACATTAAACTCAGCGTCTTTAAATTATCACTGCTCCTGGCCCCTTATTCATTGGTGTCCACATTTCTTCTTCTAGGCAGAAATACTCTCTTTTAATTTGGATGCTCTGAGTGGGAAATGAGAAATCCCTCTTTAAAAAAGGGATGGTCTCTCTGTGGCTAAGGTGCTAAGAGCAAGACTGGAAGCTACTGTAATCCATCCTCCATGAAGCCGCCCCTAAGCTGCCCAGGAGCCACACAAACACACAATAAAGTGATGGCTGCATGGGCACTTTCACTTTAGCAGAGCAGCCCACACTTCGAACAGTGTGATCTGCACCTTGTCTTGGCCCCATGTGTACACAGGTGTGGATGATCCACGTGCATTTGCCCAGACCTGTTACCTGGCCTTGGGGGCAGCAGATGTATGCTTGGGATGTGTTGTTTTAAGAAGGGTGATTGAAATTTAGCGAACAATTTTTAAAGTTAGTTTTGTTAAAAAAAATCCTTTGAGATGGAGCTGCAAGGTAAATAGAAAAGATTCAAAAGCATTTTTTAAAAAAAGAAGGAAGAAAATAGAAAAAGTAAAATAGCTGGAAGGTAGGCAAGGTGAGTGCTGGTTTAGCAGTTGGAGGCAACTTGTGTCCAGGTACACGTAGTCAGCCTACCTCTTGGTTTTGTCAGGCATGTGGGGAAAGAGCTGGATTTCTGGCTCAGTGATCACAGTTGTGTTTTTGCAATAGACCAAACTAGACAGTTGGGCCACTGTATAGTGGAGATTATGTAGTGGAGACTCATCCTATTGGACTAGTACTTCCTTCACCTGGGTAAATGGATGCCCAGGTTGTGGGATCTATGCTTTAGGGGAGAAGGCATTTCTGAGCAGATGTTTCAGAGGAAAGGGTGTTTATGAGCACATGTATCCTGTGTGCACTTTACACCACTGTTCCACTCACCACAATTGCCTTCGCTTTCTCAAATTGTTTTTGAAAATAGGCAGGAGTAGATGTAAATGAAGAAGTAAATAATTGGCATCTGTGGTGATCAGATAAAACCCTATTTCACAATAGCTTTTTTAGGCTCTTTCTCCAAAGCTAGATTAAGTACAGCCACTACCAGGGTAGTAACCTACATTTCTTTTTTTTCCCCTTTTAAAATTTCAATAGTTTTTGGGGTACAGGTGGTTTTTGGTTAACCTACATTTCTATTGTTCTGTTAAGGCTAACAGATATTTCTCAGACCCACCTCACTCTTTGTTTAAGTCATTTGACATCTGTTACTCAGGTCTATCCTGGGCTTGTCCTCTAGTCTATTCTCCACTTAGTGTGGACTTCTCCACGGACTCAGAGACGGTATAGTCTGACCCTCCATTGGTTACACCCCATCAGTCCTCTTATGGAATACCTGGGAAGAGTATTCCCTATGCCTCCTTGTCCTGTGGGCTCTAAGCCTGTCCATGTAACTTACTAATTTTCACAATGTATACAAAGCCCTAATTCTCTAATTCTTAATGACTTTCCTGAATTCTGATTGTGAATGTCTGTGTCTGTTTTGAGATTAGATTTAAGAAGAATCACTGCTGGCTTCCTCGGCATGGCCGTAGCCGTCCTTCTCTGCGGCTGCATTGTGGCCACAGTCAGTTTCTTCTGGGAGGAGAGCTTGACCCAGCACGTGGCTGGACTCCTGTTCCTCATGACAGGTAGGCTGCATGCCTCAGGCCGTCTGTCCCAGCCAAGGTGAAGGCTGCTCTGCATGCGGCTAGCTAGTGTCGCTTTGTTATCTCCCTGTTAATTTTGTTTTCACTGTTAGAAAAGCAACCAGAAGGTCATTTTGGCTTTGCTGGAAAATACAGAATTTAAGGAAAACAACAGTGTGAGAAATGCATCCTCTATATCCCCATTGTGGCCTGTTAGTAGGTTGGATGGAAGTGTCTTGGGTTTAATCTCTATATGAGCCCAGTCTGTTTTTTTGCTGTACTTTCTTTTTTCTTTTTTGTTTTTTTGAGATGGAGTCTCACTCTGTCACCCAGGCTGGAGTGTAGTGGTGCGATCTTGCCCCACTGCAACCTCTGTCTCCTGGGTTCAAGTGATTCTCCTGCCTCAGCCTCCTGAGTAGCTGGGACTACAGGCATGTGCCACCACACCTGGCTAATTTTTGTATTTTTAGTAGGGTTTCACCATGTTGGCCAGGCTGGTCTCGAACTCCTGACCTCAGGTGATCTGCCTGCCTCAGCCTCCCAAAGTGCTGGGATTACAGGCAAGAGCCACCACACCCCACCTTCTGTTCCTTCTTTCATACTGTGCCCCAAACCCTGGCCTGGACTCTTGGCAAACATGGACCATTGCTTATGAGGTGCCCTCAAAGACAGAGGGGGATAGATCAGCACAACCCATGCCCCGCTGGATGTCAATTCAAAGCATGCTTTAGTGATGGTGTCATTTTTACATACACAACACTCATTCATTTTAGTCCACAGATATCTTTTGAGGACTTACTATGTACGAGGCACTGCTGTGAGTGCTAAAGACACACAATGAATAAGGCAGGCAAAATTCTTGTTCATTTTTATTGTGGAGAGACATAAACAATGATTTGTGGTAGTGATAAAAGCTGTGAAGAAAAGAAACAGGGTGAAACAGGGACTCAGGGAAGATCTTGCTGAGGTGGCGATTTCGCAGCTAATTCGTGAGAAGCAGCCGGTGGTAGGAAGAGCGTAGCAGACTGGGGAAACCGCCAGTGCCAAACCTGAGAGAAGCGGCCAGTGGGGCTGGAGGGAGTGAGGGACAGGATAGTATCACATGAGGTGGGGGAAGTGGGCAGTGGCCAAAGCGTCAGGGTTTTGTTGGTCATGGTGGAGAGCTTGGATTTGAAGCTAAGGGTGACAAACGCCACTAGAAGGTTTGAAGCAAAGGAGTGACTTGATTTTTTTTTTTTTTTTTTTTTTTTTTTGAGACGGAGTTTCGCTCTGTCGCCCAGGCTGGAGTGCAGTGGCGCGATCTCGACTCACTGCAAGCTCCGCCTCCCGGGTTCACGCCATTCTCCTGCCTCAGCCTCCCGTGTAGCTGGGACTACAGGCGCGCGCCACCATGCCCGGCTAATTTTTGTATTTTTAGTAGAGACGGGGTTTCACCGTGTTAGCCAGGATGGTCTCGATCTCCTGACCTCGTGATCCGCCCGCCTCGGCCTCCCAAAGTGCTGGGATTACAGGCGTGAGCCACCGCGCCCGGCCGATTTTTAAAGAAGGGATTGGAAAGATGGGGGTGTGGAGACAGGGCTAGGATTTTTTTGACTAACAGCTAAAGGGTAGTTTTGTCTAAAAATGTGCCAGGTGCTGAGTTGATGGCTAACACTGACCGAAGGTAGCTTCAGGGAAGAAATCTTTCCTTTCTTCTCCTCCTTCACAGAAAACTCGTGTATTAATGATTAGTGAATGCCACATTAACTGGGCATTAACAGTTTCACACAGTATACTCAGCAACAGAACTAATATTCCCCGAGATAGATAGCCATTTTAAATAGGCTTATTTCCACTTGCTTGGAATTCTGTTATTCAAGTGACTATGCCTAGATTTTCTTGCACTTCTCACTGTAATGGGTCACTTAATTAAGCCTGCGTTAACAGGAGGCAGCCACACCCCACCGGGGCTGACACTGTTTGCTGACTGTCTGTCTCTGAGCGTTGACGGGTAGGGGGTACTTTGCCCTCTGGCATGTTCAACCACCCTGCAGCCTTAAGGAACCCACATCACAGGCAGGGATCCTTCCTTCTAACTCCCACTCACCCCTATCCCACTCCACGAAATGGTGCTGCAATTGGCAGTGATCTGGAATGTGGGGCATCATCACCAGCATCCTGGAACATTCAGAAGTCACATGGATGCTGCCTAGTTCTCAGCAGAAAACCAATTTAGGTTTTCTAGATTTTGGTGAATACACAGTGGCCACCAGGACTGTAGCACAGGGAGGCTAAAATGTTAGTTTCTGAGGTTTTAGAGGAGGATTTGGACCCTCAAGACCAGCCACTGGGTTCCTGCCCAAGGGATGCATTTAAAATCCAAATTATAGACTAAAGCAGACGCGGGCAGCAAAGAACCAGAGAGGACTGCACTGCACAGAGGATTCCTTTACACCTCTGCTGGGGCTTAATGGTTATTTAAAAATCTCCCCCGTTTTCTTCTCTCCCTTTATTTAAGCCCCCATTTCTCTGACTCTTGTCTCCATAAATATCAAAGAGGTACAGATGTGTTGCCTCCCAACACATGGGAAAGGCCCCATAACACTCCCCTTGTCAGGAAAATGGGGGATGCTCTGGAGTGGACAAAAGCCTCAGTAGGAGGAGTTTTTAAAGGATACTTTAAATATATGTACTGCCTGAATAGTTTAGTATGCTCTTAGCAAATGAAACAATTGTTAGAACTAAAATAAATTACAAGACCATGAAAGCCTACTGAGTGCTCCTTGGGAGACTGAGGGGCCAGTCTGGTTTTAAATGAAAGGAAGTTGAAGGTTCAATGGCAGGTGGGCACAGAGGAGAGGCAGTAGTTTCCTGGGCCAGCTCCACCTCTCCCTGTTCTCAGCCCTTATTTTGGATCCATGTGTGGATTGTACCTCTGGACCAGAGGAGCTCAGAGGTCCTCAGGATCGAGCACGGGAAGCTCCTGTGTAATTGTTAGGCAACATCAAAATATGCAAAGCAATAGCCACAACAGAAACCACCACCACCACCAACAAAAACCCAAACAATAAACTTGAAGTTTGATGACCAGTTCTGAAGGACTAACAGATACAACCTAACATTGTTAACATTGTTCTGTTGTTTTGTTTTGGTTGCCCAAACAACGTTATTGAAATTAAGGGGGAATCCACTTACAGACCTCATCACCTGAAAACAAAACAACCTTTTTTCAATATTTCCTTTATTTTGGACCAAATCTTGCCATGTATTTGCTTCACTGTAAAAAAACAAGAAAGGAAAAGGAAGGAGAAGAAAGGGGAGGGGATGGAAGAGGGGAGAGGAGGAGCATGGAGTGGATATGCTATGCTGGATTCACCTGTTCTGTTGC
This sequence comes from Homo sapiens, assembly GCF_000001405.40. Lineage (NCBI taxonomy): Eukaryota > Metazoa > Chordata > Mammalia > Primates > Hominidae > Homo > Homo sapiens. Next base: position 39,710,551 of record NC_000002.12, read on the forward strand.
TGTGGGATTTAGGGGCGTTTGTTTTGCTTTTGTTACTACAAATAATGCCTTGAAATTTCCTTTGCAAACACTGAGACAACCATGTCAATCTATTGCTTGAGATAAATTAGCTGTAGAACGTTCACATGCAGTAGGAGATGAGAGCAAAAAAAGGGTTAAAAGAATCGATTTTAATTAAGCAGAATGTCTTTAGCCACTCAAGTCAGCATCCTTCCCACAGATTTTTGATGCTAAACTTAGCCCCTTCTAATGCTCTGCCATCTTCATTCTGTGCCTGAACTTATTAGCTAAACCTTCAAATGAAGAACATCAACCATGTGACAGGTTGGCTGGTTAAAATGGAAACTCTGAAACGATATTTCTCCTTCTGCCTTATTGATTGCACACAGACAGGTCTTGATTACCACATGTTACACAGCAGCCCTGCTGACTGTCGATGCACATCTGGAGCCAGGTCTCACCCCTCTTCCTCTTCCCTAGGGCCATGCAAGGGCCCTCCCAGAGAGCCAGGGGCAGCCTGCACATCTCCCACCGGCCTTGAATTTAGACTTTGGATGTCACACCCTCTGAGGTTACACACACACAGGCACAGAAGCATACACAGGTGACTGAGGGAATAAGACTCTTATCTTCCAGCTTTAAGCTTCTGCCCATTACTAGACTATACTGCTTTCAGTGTACTGTGAATGAATATTTCCACCTACATTATTAAGTGATGCATTCTATTAGATGGGTATAATATATACTTATTATAATTTAAGTTATAAATCTTTTAAAAGGTTATTCAGTGCAAACATTTTAAAACACTTTTTAAGGTCTCTGTTGTAGGATTTTTAGTATTTTTTAATTCACCAGGAGTCTTAAAAATTGGATAAAGCTTGGGCCTCCCTTGGTGGGGGTCTCACTGCTCACGAAATTCATTCACCTTCACAGGCTGTGCCTTGAGTGGCCAACTGGAAGATCACACACAGCATGAGACAGTCCCTTCCTGACAGCAGAGACAGAGAAGACAGAGTCCAGGCAGCCCTAGCAGAGCTCCAGGGACAGTTAACACCCACCCACACTGGTTATTCATTCTTTTGTTTTAATGAATCCAAATTTTTTTTAAAAAAAGACTCAACCATGGTAGGTGTATTGAATTATCTAGATTATCCATTGATTATGACATGAAACTACAGGTCCATGATACTTTTTCTATAACCTTGGGGGCCAGGTGTGTTTTGTAATTCAGGATCTAAAACTTTTTATTTTAGAAGAGTAACACGGTGCATATATCCTGTGTTATTTAACACCCTCTGCAAGGTCTGGGGTGGCATCTTGAAATCAAATACATTAATATTCCTGTAGCTAAACATACGAATATTCACACTAAATGGGATCAATAAGTACTAGAATAGCCTGTGTCAGACCAGGCCAGGATTTGCCACTACAGAGATTGCTTCAATCTTTCAGAAAATGATTGGATGCTTTTGGGATTTAGGAATTGCATTTTGTGTGTGTGTGTGTGTGTGTGTGTGTGTGTGTGTGTAAGAGTTTCTTTCTCTCTATTAGTTCTGCCAGTCAGTTAGGACAATATAGGAATGGCTTTTTGAGTAATCTGTGTGCAAACTAGCATGAGGCATTTGAAGGAAGACCAAAGAGATCAGAACGATGGGCAGGCCATCTTTTGAAGGAGCAGGGGAAAAAAATCAATGTTTATGCCTTTGGGTGTTGTAGTTACATTATTTATCAAGCAGGCTAAACAGGGTGAAGCAACTTCCACTCCTTTCAGTCTTTTAAGCACATTAAAAAACGGTGGTCAAAAGAGTGGGCCCCGTTACCCTAATTACATCTTACCAGCCGGCATCATGAAGATTTTAGGGTAGGAAATTAGGTTGATGATTGCAAGGATGATAGCATAAATTTACTTCTGTCCTGATGTGAAAATATCCCTTCTAGCCCTATAATTCTGTGATATCGTGGTATCTTCTAATTAGGAATATTGGCAGAAAACCTTTTAATATTTTATAAGAAAAGTAGTTGCATGCAGGGCTTGTCAGGAAACCAGTAATTTATTCACTTTTTTGAAGATGCTGCCAGCAGTAGTAAGGACCGAGCTCAGGACTCAGGAACCTCTCTCTCTCTCTCTCTCTCTGGGGGACACTAGCTGGCTGAAGAGTATCAGCTAGGCAGGGGAGAAGTGGAAAGGAAGGGAAAGCCTCAGAGAAGAATGGAGGAGAGGCCACCTTTCTCCCCATGGATCTTCAGGAAGGACCATTAGATTTTGAACTTTCTGAATGCAGAGGTGATACCTTATTAATCCTTCCATACTCCTTTCGCATACCTTGCATTAATTAGATTGCTGCCAATGAAAATGCAGCATTATCAGAAATAACTTGCTACATAGGTAATCCCTACTTGGGGTAATTTGTGATGAACCGACTCTTAAGTTGGTAGAACTCAATGTATTGCAGAATTCAGTTTCGTTCAGGTTTTCTTCACTCCATGTGCTCAGCTCTGTTGGACTCCATGCAGAACTTACGGGAAGTCTAAGAGATCCCTATGACCTTTTCCTGAGATGCACGGAGGAGAGTAGAGTGGAGAGAATGCTTGAAGTTCCTGACCACATCAATGTTGAACTGAGTCCAATTGTGACCAAGAAGAGCTCATGAAACTAAACTATCTCTAATATACCAGAACTAGGCTTGGGACGTGGTAGATACTTGATAAATAATTGCTGAATAACTTATTGAGTAACACTTAGAATAGCACAATCTTGCTAAAACCTATAAAAAAGCTAAAAATATATTTCATGCATGAGTACAAACACACACATACTCACATGTGTGTGGAATGTTATGGGCTGAGTTGTGTCCCCTCAAATACACTTGTTGATGTCTTTGTCCCCTACCTCAGAACGTGACAGTATTTGGAAATAGGGTCTTTAAGTTAAAATGAGGTGATATGGATGGGCCCTAACTAAATATGACTGGTGTCCTTATAAGGAGATTTGGTCATGGTGACAGAGGAGAGACTATGTGAAGACACAGGGAGAAGATGGCCATTGACAAGCCAAGGAGAGAGTCCTCAGTTTAAAAAGCCAACCCCGCTGACACCTTGATCTTAGACTGTAGCCTCTACAATTGTGAGAAAACAAATTTCTGTTGTTTAAGCCACCCAGTCCGTGGTACTTTGTTTGGCAGCTCTGGCAAACTCACACATATGAGTACTATAAGACATGTATGTGGAACCTGAAATAGAATTCCACACTCTCAACATTGACCTAAAACTATTAATCCAGCTATAGTAAGAATGCTTTCATCATTTCAAACAACTCTTTTTCTTGATGCCTTTGAATTTAGGATTTTTTGTTTTGTTTTTTAAAATATCTTGAATGGGTTAGGCTTCTTTTACAGAAGCTTGTTGGAAAAGTTGGAAACAATGCTTCTCTCCTCTTAGTACATTTCCTTGTAATCATCACACATTCCTGCCCATCTCACAAATCATTGTGGTGGCAGCTATGCATGTGCAAACATTCTTAGAAATGCGAGGGTCTGAAAATGAAGAGCTCCTAGATATGGTTTTCTTGTCATTCTTTCCTGCCCTGCTTTCCTCTTACTTACTAAGAACAACTTCGAGAGCACTTTGAAAGGAGAAGAGATGTTACAGAAGGGCAAGCTATAGGGGCATTTGTGGGAAGGGGGATGGAGAGAGGGGATGGATTTTTGGGCTGATAGGCCTCCTCTCCACCACGCTCAGCTGAATGAGTAAAGGCAACAAGAAATAAAACAAGTCTGCATCAAAGTTTGATGCGTGCCCTGTTCCAAAAAAAAAACTTAACTGGCATAGAGATAACACTTAAATTAATACAAATAAATAAAGTAAGACAAAGGGACAATCAGGTTTCTGAGGCAAGATGGATCCAAGAGTGAGATTAGAAGCCAAAAGCATGCCATGAAATCCCATACTTTTGCTCATGGTGGGCTACAGATTTAGCTTTAGGGAGCTTCAGTGCTCTGGCAACTTGGATAAAGAAAAATTCTGTTAATGACATCATTCACAGTGTCCATGAGGTAAGCACAAATCAATTCCCCAGGAAAAGCACAAACATCCATGACACTGAGAGCAGAGAGAAATCATTCTGGTTAAATCCCCAGATTAGATTGTTTCTTGTAATTCTTTTCTATTCAGTATGAACCGGTGGTTTAATGATAGAATTCATGTCATCAAAAGCAATTTTATGGGGTTGGCAGGGGAGAGGAGCTAATGAAAGAAATGTTAAGTGTAAAATCAGAGGGAGTATATACAGAAAGATAGATACATAGGACATTCCATTTTCATTTAATTGCATAAGCTGAGTACTAGATTCACTAGGAAGTTTTAATAAATATTCTTGTTTCATGTTTCATTTTGGAATAACAGAATCACAGAAATTTGACACTCTTAGGGACTTCAGTAATCAAGTTTCCCACTCTTTTTTTCCCTAGATGAAGAAACCAAGGCTCAGAGAGGTTAGGTAATTTCAAGTTTGCACAGTGTTTAGTAGAGCTGGAAACTAGAATACTTATTTCTCACATCCCAACCCAATGCACTTGGACATGAAAGGATGCTTAAAAGTCTAGGTTTGAACTCAAGCTTTCATAGGTCATTAAAACAATGTTACTTGTAAAAATGCTTGCTTTTAGGCATTCAGCTATGTGCAAACAGCTAAATGCAGAATAAAGTTGTTTTTCCTGTGAAGAGGTCATTGTTCTATTATTCTATTTTACTTGTTGATGCTCCAAAGATTATTTTTTCTAACTGCCTATTGTTCTATTACCAGCATTTATTAAAAGGGCTTTGTTATATATAAAAACTGCCTTTGTTTTGGTGCCAGTGAAAACATTTGTGTAGATCTAAGAACATTTGCTTTTCACAAGGTTTGAGAAAAGTGGAGTATTCTTTTTTGAATGGCCCATTACTTTATGAGAGAATTATTTCCATCTTGATTTTTCTCTTTGAGAACTCAAAGTGATATGTTTGCTGTAATAAATTGGAGCAAGAAGTCAGAAGAAAAGATTTTATCCTTTTTAGTAAAACAGAATCACTTTAGAGTTTAAATGCAGAATTAAGCAAAGAGTAGGAAATATCAAATTATCTCAGATCCAGTGTCCTTTTAATTTAGAACATTTATTGTCTAAGTGCACATTTGGAAGCGGATTCAGGCAACGTGCTCTTACATGATTTGAATGGAGGCAGAATTCTAACATTTTAAAGATGGCATTAAGGTGGTCTTTATTTCCTCCAAATTGCTGCCTGCCCTGAATTTGTTTTTCTGCTAGCATTTCTAATCTCCAAAGCTATAGGTTAAAAAAGGGTGGTGGGTAGAGGGCGGGGAGCTTTGAATGGGTTGGAGAGGTAATCTGCTACTTTTAGCTCTCTCTTTTCAGTTTCAAAATCTGTGTCTCTGTTTCCAGTGGAGATGCTACGTGTATCCCTAAGGATGCCAAAGGAATTTTCCAGTCAATAAATGTTGTCTCTGTTGTATACAGGGATAAACCAGACTATGAAGAAGAGATGTGTAGGATTCAGAACAGAACTGGACATTCTGATACTTGATTGGGTGCCAGTTTCTGTTTTTATTACTCACCACACTCTGATCCTCTGCCTATCCAAAAGGAGCATCTTGAGGGTCCATTGCGGTGGAATAGAAGCACCTATATCCACATGAATTGAGTACTAAAAATCCTGTGTTTGGGGCTTATGAAGTATTTTTAAAATCAGTCCTGATTTTAGTGTTGCAGAAGGAAAATTACACACACATGGATTGGTCTAAAAAGCAAAGTTTTGGGTCTGTCCATGTTCCTTATGTCACTCCAATTGCCTCCATTTTGAATGGTTGAAATGGATGATCTCCTTGCTCAGCTATTTTACATCATATGGTATATGTAAGACTGTGCCTTAACAAAAAAGATTTAGCTACTTGTATGACTTCATCTAAAATATTATTTAAGGCAACATGATAAATATTTATGATAATGTTAATTGAAAAAGAAAGCAGATGTTGTATAACGATTACAACAGAATAACTGTATGAAATTAGGTGGAGAGCGAAGGAAAATGAAAACTATTTTGTGCTTGATTTGAGTGATTATAGAAGTTTTTCTCTTAAAAATAGAACTTTTATTGTTTTTAAGAATAAAAAAAGAATTCCAATATATATAACCATTTGAATTAGATAATTCTGAATAATTCAGGTTATCAGAATTTTCCTGTCTCTTTCACTCCTGCATCTCCATTCCCTAGTGTAGGGTCTGGCACACAGAAGTTTTGCCAATGTTTGTTATATGAATTAATTCAAGTAAAATAATTATGGATCATTTGTGAATTTGGAGTGACTGCCTCAGTGGTTGATCTGATTTTCATAAAGGCCTGTCTGGCATTTGTCTTGTAACAGGCAAACTGTAACTAATCATTCTGTTCTCTTTGTATTATTTATAGGGATATTTTGCACCATTTCCCTCTGTACTTATGCCGCCAGTATCTCGTATGATTTGAACCGGCTCCCAAAGCTAATTTATAGCCTGCCTGCTGATGTGGAACATGGTTACAGCTGGTCCATCTTTTGCGCCTGGTGCAGTTTAGGCTTTATTGTGGCAGCTGGAGGTCTCTGCATCGCTTATCCGTTTATTAGCCGGACCAAGATTGCACAGCTAAAGTCTGGCAGAGACTCCACGGTATGACTGTCCTCACTGGGCCTGTCCACAGTGCGAGCGACTCCTGAGGGGAACAGCGCGGAGTTCAGGAGTCCAAGCACAAAGCGGTCTTTTACATTCCAACCTGTTGCCTGCCAGCCCTTTCTGGATTACTGATAGAAAATCATGCAAAACCTCCCAACCTTTCTAAGGACAAGACTACTGTGGATTCAAGTGCTTTAATGACTATTTATGCGTTGACTGTGAGAATAGGGAGCAGTGCCATGGGACATTTCTAGGTGTAGAGAAAGAAGAAACTGCAATGGAAAAATTTGTATGATTTCCATTTATTTCAGAAAGTTTGTATGTAACAATTACCCGAGAGTCATTTCTACTTGCAAAAGGATTCGTAACAAAGCGAGTATAATTTTCTTGTCATTGTATCATGCTTGTTAAATTTTAATGCAGCATCTTCAGAACTTGTCCTGATGGTGTCTTATTGTGTCAGCACCAAATATTTGTGCATTATTTGTGGACGTTCCTTGTCACAGGAAGATTCTTCTTCTGTTGCCTTATTGTTTTTTTTTTTTTAAGTCTCTTCTCTGTCTTTGTACTGGAATCGAAATCATAAGATAAACAGATCAAACGTGCTTAAGAGCTAACTCGTGACACTATGCAGTATTGTTTGAAGACCTGTTGTTCAACCTCTGTCTCTTTATGTTAACTGGATTTCTGCATTAAATGACTGCCCCCTTGTTAATCTGGGTGTGTTTTCCTATGTCTTTTAGCTGTGTCAACAGGTCTCCCTAGCCATAAGGACAGAGGAAAACTCTGTTGTTTTAATAAGACTCTTATTAAGACTTAATAATTGCTTCATTTCAATTAGGTTGGGCATTATTATCTTTTGTAGCAACCACACACTTGCTATTGACAAAAGATGTCATTTTCAAACTTGTTTTTAAACCTTCCTATACTATTTACAATTTTCTTCTTCTCCTTCTCTTTTTCTCTCATTTTCCCCTCTCTCTTCCTCTTCCTCCCCTGTTTACCATCTGCCTGGTATGTATCCAGTCATAAGGATACATGGTCTCTGTTTTTGTTCTTGGACCTCCTAAAGCAGCGATTTTCAACCTTGGCTGCTCAGAGTCACCTGGTGAGGTCTTCAGCTGTACCTAAACAGGGCCTCACCCCAGACCAATTAACTCAGAATATCCACAGCTGGGCCTAGGCTTGAGCATTTTTGTAAAAACATCCCAGATGATTCTGATACACAGCTGTGATTGAGAGCCACTCATTTGGGCCAGAACCGTGGTTATCTCCTTAGCTACTAACAAAGCGAACTCACTTATTTAGCACTTACTATGTGCCAGTAACTGGGCTGTGGTGTTATTTCACTTAATCCTCTCCAAAGCTCTATGAGGTAAGTGCTGTTATTTTATGTTACTCATAAGCTGAGGATCAGACTCAAAACATTTGCTTCATTTTTTTTTCTCGATCCTTTTTCTCTGTGTGGGTTTGGGACAACAGTTAAAATTCTTCCGTTGTGTTTGCTTATCTTTCAGCGGAGGGTGGGGCACTCGCCGACTTCTAAGCTTTTCCTTTTAACTCCAACCCTTGTTCCCGATTCTACACACAATGTAGGATAAAGACAGCTTGTAAAATAGAAGACGCCATTCCAGAATATGCTGTTTCAGATTTTGATTTCATAAAAGATTCTTTTCTTTCTTCTTTATAAAAACTGATTTAGTCCTCATAAAAGGAAAATGATCATCTACTCCCAAAGGATAGAGTCTGATTTCCAAGTGATGGTGTCCACATATTGTCATGTAAGGGCCGAAAGGGGTTGGAGGATGCCGGCGACCACACCAGCTTTGGCTCCGTGGCTCCAGGCACAGCACAGGCTCATGAGTGTATTCACTGGCACTCTCTCAGGCCTTTTAATATACTGGTCCCTCTGGATGAGATCAGAGACGTATAGAAAGGGTCAATTATTTTCAAAGCAGGAGAGCTCTTTCTTTGAAGTCTTCTTTAAAGATCCCCATAGAAGATGTCAAGACTCTTGGACATTTATATTCCAACCAACAAAGCAGTGTCTGAGTGAGTAACTTTTGAAGTTTCAGAGAAGTTTCCTAGGGGTTTGAGGTGAGAGTGGAAGAAAGCCTCGCGGTAGCAGGAGGTTGAAGGGTTCACACACCAGAAAGATTTGCCTCGAAGCCAGGGGAGTTCACTTAGGATTCAAACGAGTGCTGGCAAGGACTGAGGCTCCCTGCCTTCCAGCCAAAGTGAGCTCGAAGCAACCAACGTGCCAGGCCAAGGTTCCTCGCTTTCTACTTACTGTCACGCAAGTGTGGGCAAATGTTGCCAGTGCTGGGCATTTGGCCCTGAGTCCTTGGGCTTCTCTTAGGAGTTTTTTCTTAACTGGCTTGTGAATGAAGAATGATTGAAATGATTGCACAGTACTGTGCAGGACAGAATAATTTATTGAAATCCTTTGTTCTATGTTCTCTCTGTCCCACACACCCCCCTTTTTAACAGACTTGTCCTTGGTTTATTTGCTGTATTAGAACCAGTGTTGTCCATTCTCGGGGAAGCCTCCCTCATCTTTCAAGGACTACCATGGACCCTCGATAATCGAGATTTCCCAGGATATGGGAAACCTCCACAGAACATAATAGCCCCCATAACATTTCTTATATAGTCAACAAATATTTACTGAATGGCTATTATGTGCTCACATTCTAGCACTTGGGAAACATTAATGAAGCAAAACAGACAAAGGTTTTTGCCCTGGTAAAGCTTATGTTCTAGAAAAATGCAGTGAAGGACATAGTGAAAAAAATTAAGCTTACTCTTTTTGGCCCTAAATTGTTTTGTAAGTCCAGGGTTAAAGTTATTCAATTACTAAAATAAGTTTCTTTTAAATTACATTCCCATTGGCTGTGCATTTCATACTTCACAACATTCTCATTATTTGAATCTAGCCCTGGCAAGTTAAAAAAATACTAACTTTTTGCAAGGGCCGGGTGGGGGGTGCCTCTTAAAGATTTCTTATTCGAAATTGAAGTCTGAGAATGACAAAAGTGTGCCCCCACAAGTGAGCTAGAGGGAATAAAAACCTGGGAACCCGGGACTCAGGTGAATGGGGGCCCACGAGCTCAAAATATACCACCTGATGGAGGCTGGTGCAGGTGGGATACTCACACTGCCTAGGCAACCACCCACTCCAGATCTTTGCTCAGGCTCTTTCCTCTGCTGGGGACACCCCCTCCTCTGCCTGGCTTATTCTGACTTTTCCTTGTGTCTCAGCTTCTACACAACACTCCCGGACACCTTCCTCAAACATGCTGCATTGCTTCAAATCCTTTCCTGACCAGTTACGCTCCGCACATGAATTGCCTGGCAACCCATAACCAGATCATAGACTCTTTCAAGGAGGAATCTGTGCCTTGTCCCGGTGCTCAGCCCACCCAGTGCCTGGTAGACCGTAGGTGCTCTTAAATCTTTGTGGAATCAATACATGGATTCAGAGTCATAGATAAACTCTTTTCTTCCCTGGACAGAGCTGACTCCCTTAGCACCAATTTTAGGGAGCCCATAAAAAATGTACAGTCGTGTGATGAGGCTAAATGGAAAGAGAATATAGCTTGGCAAGCAAGGAAACCTCATTAGAATAATTAAAGGGACTATTAACCCAAACCAACCTAGACGTAACTTAAAATGTGTTATGAACTACTGTGGAACATTTATTTGATGGCTCAAACATTAAGTTAGTAACCTCAATATGGTTCTACACCTCAATTTAAAGCGTTCTCATTTATGTGCATGTGTGTTTCAAATCCCTAATTGGAATTCTGAAAGGAATGCTTCAGAAATGACTTCCTTTGAATGCAAATAGCTATCCTGACGAAGAACACATTTAAATTGCATATGAATTTCTCTGGGGCCTTGCCCTTTGACTGGAAGAAGAGGAAGTTTTCTGTGCTGCATGCAGGACAACCACAAATGCTTGAAGATGCTCAGGGCACCCAGTTGCATACTGGGAACTTGGCTATGCAATACATATTCCTCTTAATATGCAACCTGTGTTTTGCCAGGCATCAAAGCAAGATTTCTAATTGTCCTAAAACATTAGAATATGTCTGCCTGGAGCCCCTGTAAGAGGAAAACAGATTGGCTGGCTATAAAAGAAGATAGCATTTTTTCTGTTTTTATTTCCAATTTTTTTCTCCCCTTCAGCATTCACTATAAAATACTGCCTGCTACTATAAGGTCTGGCTATGCTTGGTTTCTCTTAGGTCTCTAAGTGAATGTTTTGCAGAGAGGAAGGAGACAGGACCATGGGTCTAGAGCAGAAAGAACAAGGGAAGAGTGGTGCAGGTGAGGTTGCCAAGGTAGGCAGAGGCTTGCTGGTCACAGTAAAGAGTTTGGGTTTTACTCTGGTAATTGAAAACAAACGGCCTAAAAAAGGATAATGATGTGATCTGATTTCCACTTTAGGACTATCAGTTGGCCAGGTGTGGTGGATCACACCTGTCATTCCGGTGTTTTGGAAGGCTGAGGCTGGAGGATCTCTTGAGTCCAGGTATTCAAGACCAGGCTGGGCAAATAGAGCCTGTCTCTATAAAAACATTTTTAAAATTAGCCAAGTGTGGTGGTACATGCCTGTAGGCTTAGCTACTCGGCAGGCTGGGGCAGGAGGATTGCTTGAGTCTAGAAGCTATTGAGCTATTATCACACCACTGCACTGCACTCCAGCCTGGGTGACAGAGTGAGACCAGTCTCAAAAAAAAAAAAAAAAAAAAAAAAAAAAAAATCAGTGTTGCCACTGCTGCTGGATGGAGAATGGATTTAAAGAGGCACCACTAGAGGAGAAGAACCCAGTTAGGAAGGAGGAAGTTGCATAGGAACCCAGGAGACAAAATTGTGCCTGGATGGAGAGGGTGGTGATGAAAATGCACAGGAGTAGGTGGACATATTTTAGAGATGGAATTGATTTGCTGGTAAGTTACATGGCGGTGGGGAAACAAGGGAAGTTAAGGATGACACCTAAAGAATTTGTAGAGTTAGGTTAATTACTAAGGGAACTGCTTCTTGTATCAAAAAGGAGATACAATAATTTGGGGAAAAGGGGAAAAAGAAAAAACTGCTAAGTTTTATGGTTAACTCAGCGTTATACAGGATAGCGTTTATTTAATGGAGACTGGAATTGAAAACTGTAGTTGAGAAAATATCAATGGCCCAAATGCTCCTTCTTGCTAACTGACCCAGCTGCCAGCCGATTCCTCTCTGATTTCCAGTTGTTTTCCAGAAGTTGTGCATCTAAGACCTGAAGATAGTATTCAGTTTAAGTGTGAACTTGATCAATTAGTGGTGGCTGGGAAGATTTCAGTCCAGGCACAAAGGGGAAAGATGTAGTGTTTGTGAATGAATGGGAAAGGCAGATGTCACATACTGGCCAACCCCAGTTTAAATCACAGCAGATAGACTATTGGTCTGCTTCAGGTAAGCATTTCCCTTTTTTGGAGCTCACTAAGAAATTCTGAGAATAAACTCCCACATCTTAGGGCTGATGTTCCTAATGAACAGACCATTGTCCCAGTGAAGTGCTTATCCTGGTTGGCCCAGAGTCTGACCAGGCCACTGCCTTGAGTGTGGGTGTGAGGATGGATGAACTGTACCCTCAAGTTCATCAGCAAGTGTTCTAAATCAGGACCTTAGAGGTAAATTCCCTCAATATCTGGCTAACTGTGAAGTGGCATCCTCTGGGGATTCTGGAAAGGGCATGGAAACCTTGCTATAGCAAGGGTGCACGGAGGCTCCGCTGGATCCTACACAAAGGGCCTGGGCTCCCTTGACTTGCTCCCAGAACGCAATCACAGTTCAGGGCATTTCATTCTTTAATCATAAAACACCTTTTATTTCCATCCTCATAGCTTTGCCTGTTAGGTTGATTGTGATGAACACATAAATACTTGCTTTAGAAACCTAGCCACGCCTGAACTGAACTTCACTCAGCTGTGGCTTCAGTGGGCTTCAAATTCATTCCCCACAGGTAAAACACATTGCACTTATCATATTGCTTAAATCTGTTAATCACAAGAGTTTAAAATGAACTTAAAGACCTGAATAAATTGTTGAAGTTTTCTCATTTCTCCTCTAAGCCCTGATTTGCCATTTGTTAGTTCTGGACTCTGTTGGTTGCTCAAAAAATAAATAGATATATAAGTAAATAAATAAAGCACTTAATTAATTCTAAGAGGATGGCAGTGGAGCCATATTATTGTTAACTTTTAGGTCTCCTTCATTCTTGTAAGTACTAAACATAAATAAGAAGTGGCAGAGAAAGCTCGGATTCTCAAAAGCTTCTCCAGTGCTGTTTCTTGGCATTAATGAGACTGAGTCCCTGGGTGAGGGACTGCCTCAGTACCTCCTCAGTGACTGTGTCAGGCTGTGTCCTTTATAAACCATATCTTGTTACTATTTGCCCCTACTTTATGGGTAGAGAAGCCAAGGCTCACAGAGGTTGAGTAACCTTCCCTAAGATACTAGCCAAGATTTGGTTTCCAGCTTGCTCACTCCAAAATCCTTCCACCTTCCTGCACAGCATCCACGTCAACTACCCAAGACCCAGCAGCATTTCCATAGTGCATTTCTAACCCTATCTGAGCCTACTGTCAACATGTTATACATCTAGATAGGTTCACATTCCCCTGCATTTTCCAAGGGTCCCTTTGGAAGTTACTGCTCTATAGTTTTTAAGCAAGCTTCTATATTTCTAAGCCAGAGCACACACTGCACTTTGTAATTCTGTAAAGAATGCCAGACCTATTTTTGTAAGCACAGAATCTCTCCTTACGTGACTGACCTTCAAGAGACCCTGTAGCTTGCAGTAGCCTAAAGGTATGACAGCAATTTTAATTACCTTCTTGGCACTTCCCCCACAGAACATTATGAGAAATTCCCGTGTTACTAGGGCTGCTCAAAGATCTCTATTTAAGTGGGTATGTCCTCCTTACTTTGTCCTGTGACAGCATCCCTGACGGCATTTTTTAAATTATTAGATGAAAGTAATTATTTCAAAAAAAAAAAAGAGGCTATCTAGCCTTACGGTTAGAGGTAGGATAGCAACTCAAAGACTCATGAATTTCCGTCCTTTCTCCCTGACTGTCTTGATGTGTGGCCCTGCAAGAATGCTGGTAATAACCACACATTTAAGAAGCCTGAAAATCACTTTGAACACCTCTACAAACTTTTATTTCCTTTATCCAAGTTGAATGTGAACTAATTTAAAAAACATAACATATTAAGTTACACTAACAATAAAATAAAACCATCTGATGTGGAGTCAAAACAAGGAAACCTTCCAAATTTTTTTATTATATCTCAAGGAAAGTACAGTACTTCATTTCGTATTTTCCCTTTGAGAGACTGGTCGCTGTGCAGTGACTTAGAAAACACCCCATAACCAAACCAAAACAAACCTCAAGACAGCCTCGGAGGCATATGGAAACTATAATGGTCATCTCTCTTTGACAGCAGAGGAACAGAGACTCAGAGCATTAACCCAAGATCTCTCAGCCAGTCTCTGGCAGAAGGTTCACCTCCCCAGCAAAAAAGCGAGGTAGATTTTGAGGTCAGCATGTCCAAGTATCTATATTCCTGCAAACATGTCGAGCAGCCTCTACTTTACAGGACTCTGTGGTGACGATGGTAAATCGCTATCATGCCAACATGTTTCTCAAATAAACTGGACTTGGGAATTGAAATTAAACCAACTGTGAAAGGTAATCTGGGGGAGATGACGCATGTGATTAATACAGTATTGACTCAAGGGATGAACCAGTTCTTAAACAAAGAATTCTCCAAATAAAGTAACAGTTTAAAGAGTGTTCACAGGAGTAGGGGAATGGTTTTCAAGAGAAGTGAAATGAAGATGAGGAAAGACCGAGGGTGAGCTAGAGGGACAGCCATGTAGAGCCATGCGGGGTGGGACGGGTGAGTGGCCCTCAGAACCCTATCCCAAACACCCCTACAAAACCAGTTCCTTTGAGGAGCCAGATGAGTAAGAATACAATGAGTTAAGAGGAAATTCAGTACAATTTCATTATTCTTTAAAGCAATTAGCCTGTGGGTCTGCGATACGCCTACATAATCAAGAAAGGTGTCAGAAAATGTCAAGCTTTTACCTAGTAACGATTGAGGAGCTGGTTCTGTGTTGCACGATTCCATACATTCCAATATCACAAAGGAAGAAAAAAATCTTCCTTCAGGGAAAGACAATTTGTTCTTGTTTCCTTTTGACAATGGAATGCATGGATTTGGTCAATGCGGGGGAAACTTGGTTCAGCATTCTGGACTTTTATGGCTGTGTTCACTTGGTTGGCAGATGACCATGAAAAGTAACTTGTTTGGGATGTCAGTGGGTGTGGAGGAAATGCCAGTAAATGTGTGTTGAAGGAATGAGGGAATAAATGAATGACGCATCACTAAGATGGTGATCCCTGGTCTGTGAAGCCGACTTGCTGCCTCACAGCCTCTATTTCTCAAGGTTACTTTTCTTTTATTGTTCTCAGGCCTAACATACGATTGTAGACTCAAACTCTTTGTGTCACTTTAGGAGCAGGTCCACCGTGGCAAAATGGTTCTAGGGCCTCGGCAAAAATAGGGACATCTCAATACTGTGGAACAAAGACACATGTGGTCAAATGAATGACCAGTTGTGTTCACTTGCTCATTCATGTGTTCTTTGATTTGTCACATCTCTATAGAGCACCTAGTATGTGCCAGAGACTGATTTAAGTGCAGGGAATACATAGTGAATAAATCAAAGCTGCTGCCTTCAAAAAGCTGCCATTGTAAGGTGACAAAGGAAAAAAGTAAAAAATCTTCCTTCAGGGAAAGATAATTTGTTCTTTTTTCCTTTGTGTCTGTCTCAGAGAGACAGACAGTAATAAAACAGGGCTTGTGCAGTAGGTGGTGGTGATATGTGCTATGAACGAAAAATGAGGTGGCTAGGAGAATAGAGTGCTAAAGGTGAGGGGATGGCCAGTTTAGGGAAGCTGGCGTTGGCCTCTCTGATAAGAAAACATTTGCACAGAGAGCCTGAGCAATGCAGGTGTCCTGAGGAATGTCCAGGAAGGGTAGATAGCAGGTGCAGAGGCCTGGGATGGGAACAAGCTTTGCATGTGGCAGGGTCAGCAAAAGGTAGAATGAAAGTGAGAGTGTTGAGATGAAGTAAGAGGGAAACCAGGCTATCCAGCACCCTTTGAACACCTTTCCAATAAAACCCAAGACTTCGGGTTTCATTCTGAGTAAGATGGAAAGTCATTGGAGGATTTCAAACATAAGAGTGATAAAATCTGGCTTACAGAAAAACAGGCAAAATACCTTTGGCCCAGTGAATGAATTGTCCTTGGTTTCCATGTTAATACCCAGAGGCCAGTACTGGGCGTTTAGGTCTATCTGGCAAAATATATGGTTAATGTGCCCATTCTTCCAAGGTGAAGTCAATCTCACAAAGTGTAGGATACCAAGGGCAAGAGTCACAAAAAGGCAGCTAGCAGGGTGACCAAAAAATGGTAGAAATAATGTGTAAGGGTTGGGGGTGGGTAAGGAAGGGCCCTGGAGTAATTGCTGTCATTTGTTTCATCTCGAGCAGGCAGTTTCTCACTGAAGAAACTTAATGAAAACTGACAATATTAAATGATTGTGGCATTCAGATGGCAAAATTACACTTCAAATCTCCTGACTCTCTTGAACATAATTCATGGAATTTAAGATAAAAAGCTGAGCTCTTCATGCACGTTTTGAGTTGTTTCTTTAAATTTCCAACAATCCATAATTTTTCTCTCAAATGTTTTCCTCGACTCAGCTCATTTTTCTCTCTGCCGAGGTGTTCCAGAGAGTGGTTTCATCCCTCCATTTCCAAAGGTCAAGGATATTCCTCTATCTCAGAAGCCCGGACTTCTGGCTGGTATCCTCTTGCTCCTGCTCACATCCCTTTCAGATAGCTGTCACAGCAGCCATTCAGGCAGGGCCAGTTTACCAAGGAGCATTCCCAGAACCTGACATGGAGCAAGTACTCACTAACTGCCTGGTAGCTAAGTAAATAAAGAAGCAAATGAACAAATGAATAAATAACAAGATTTGAAAAGGCTACTAACACTATGGCAAAATATGAACATGCACTAAAAAAACTCACCTGGATTTCTTAATTAGCAAGATTTCTCTAAGACTTTGCATCTCACCTAATTTTAGTCCAAGGGCTTTCTTGCATAGCTCTCTGAACCGACACATTTACTTAATATCTAAGTGAGCATTTCTTCTCAAACCTCAGTTTATTTTGAATCCCTGAGACTTAGCTTTTTTATTTTTTAATTATACTTTAAGTTCTAGGGTACATGTGCACAATGTGCAGGTTCGTTACGTAGGTATACATGTGCCATGTTGGTTTGCTGCACCCATCAACTCATCATTTGCATTAGGTAATTCTCCTAATGCTATCCCTCCCCCAGCCCCCCACCCCTCGACAGGCCCCGGTGTGTGATGTTCCCCACCCTGTGTCCAAGTGATCTAACTGTTCATTTCTCATCTCTGAGAACATGAGGTGTTTGGTTTTCTGTCCCTGTGACAGTTTGCTGAGAATGATGGTTTCCAGCTTCATCCATGTCCCTGCAAAGGACATGAACTCATCCTTTTTTATGGCAGCATAGTATTCCATGGTGTATATGTGCCACATTTTCTTAATCCAGTCTATCATTGATGGACATTTGGGTTGGTTCCAAGTCTTTGCTATTGTGAATAATGCCACAATAAACATATGTGTGCATGTGTCTTTATAGTAGCATGATTTATAATCCTTTGGGTATGTACCCAGTAATGGGATTGCTGGGTCAAATGGTAATTCTAGTTCTAGATCCTCCAGGAATCGCCACACTGACTTCCACAGTGGATGAACCAATTTACACTCCCACCAACAGTGTAAAAGCATTCCTATTTCTCCACATCCTCTCCAGAATCTGTTTCCTGACTTTTTAATGATTGCCATTCTAACTGGCGTGAGATGGTATCTCATTGTGGTTTTGATTTGCATTTCTCTGAGACTTAGCTTTCTAGGTTACACAGGAAGTCGGTGTCTCCCTGGACAGCTGTCTGCTTCTTGAATGGTTTCCGAGTGTCCCTTTGATTCACTGTTCTCAGATCTACAGGCATTTATTTATTCTCTCCTACCAGGAGCTAGTTCAATTTAGTTCAAAAAATATTAATTGTTCTTTTCTGGGCCACACTCTGTACCCTATTCTGGAGGAGGAAAAAATGCTATAAAATAGTACTCCATTTATTTGACATCCTCAAATTTTCATAAATTTTCAAAAACTTTATAGTTGTATGCATTTAATATTAAAGATATTTTAGCAGAGACTAAAATCATGATTTAATTCTGCAAAGTACACCGAGATCATTAGTACTGCTACCTCTTACGATCTACATCACTGTCACTCACTTCAAGTCAAGAAATGAATTTTTTTTTTTTAACCCATCGTTTGTTGCATTTTGGTCACAGAGTCCACCCCTACACGTTTTTTCTTTTCTCCTAAAGATGTATGTAAGGCTTAGGCAGATGATGACAAAGACTGTATTATTCAAAATCTTTGGGAGGCCAAAACATTAAAAATGATTTTGGAGAGGGGTGCCAAATACTGATAAAATAGACAACTAGAAAATATGGTAACAGAAAAAATGCAAAACATTTGGAGGGACTCCACTGAGAATGAGATGTGCAGAGCCTGCAGGGCAGGAGAGTGCTTCAGTAACCTTGGTGTGTGGCACAGCGCCCCCAGCTGCAATCAACAGAATAACTCTAGGTTGTTCGGCAGAAAAGGAATTCATTAAAAAAAAATTAGAATGCTCAATAGGGCCAGAAAATTAATCTAGGGGACTACACAACCAGGAACACCATCCAAACCATACAACAAGATGGTAGTTTCAAAGATTCACTGCCACCCCTGCCGGGGATCCACACCATAGCTTGCACCATGGATATTGAACGCTGAATGCTGTCCTCTACCCCAGCTAGCCCCTGAGGCCAGATGCTTCTGCTGCCTCTCCCCCAGAAAGTGGATTCCATGGTGCCTGGTTCCTCCGCATAGCTCACATCTGAATCCAATTATCATATGTCAGTGTCTGGCCCCCATTCTACCTATAATATAGGTCGGAAAAGCTGGTGTTCTGGTTTCTGCCTTGGAGAGGTGGGACTCAAACATTGGAAAATACGATAATTCACCACTTTGATGTACCCTTTGGATGCCCAACATCAATATCTGTTCTTAATTTGATATTTAAACTTCCTCCAACCAACCAATATTCGCATGTAAAATATGCAATTATACTTGACAGAAAAACCTGCTCATCCTCTCCCCTTCTGACAAGGGTAACACATCCATGTCAAGAACATGATTTCTGGGTGGCTTCCATTCCTCCTCTAGTTCCATCTGATATTCTGTAAGTTAGGGTTTAAACTATGCGATGGAAGTCTTAAATTGGGAGGGAGTTGAAAGTCATCCTACTCTTGACCAATGGGAGACAGGAGCTGGTGGATATTCTCCTCTTTTGCTCCTTAAGCAGACAATTCTGGGTTGCATCCTATACAGGTCTTCAGAGGGGCCCTACAGGATCAGATCCCAGCTTCTCACAGTGGTGATCAGCTCAACAGTGCATCCTTGGATTACCTTTTTCCCTATTTCTCTTTTACTCCTTCCAGTCCCCAGCTCCCAAAATAAATTATCTCCAAAAAAACCTTCGTCTCATCTCGGGTCTTGGTAAGAACCTAGGTTAACACTGGGTTCTAGACATACCTCTCTCTGATTACTAGGAACAAACACTCCAGCCCACATAATTCAACCTGTTTATGTGTTTCTGTCCAGTGGAATCAAGGACCCAAAATAATTGGGTGGCAGTCTTACCTCTTAATTCAATGGTTTCTTGTTGTGTTTGCTGACAGAAGAAATCCTCTCTTGGGAATGATTTTGAAAGGAGGAGGGTTTCCACGAATGACCCTGGGTGCTCAGAGTGGATTAAATGGACAATGAGCAGCTGGGAATTTGGGGGCACCTCTTTTCTCAGAAAAAGGGGCTGACTACATTCAAGCTCAGATTCCCATACAACTGGTGGTTTTCCCCTTGCCTCTCCCTGGCAGGGAGACTGTAACATATCATGTGTCCCCAAGATCACTAGGTCCGTCAAGTTTCCCACGTGCAGGGCAGCTGGCTTTCTAGACAATTCCTGTAAAGAGCTGACAGACCAAATCCAGACTGTCTGGCACCAAGAAGCTTATGCATTCCCCTAGTGAAAGCTCCTTTCTCATGGTTGCCCTGTAAGAAAGGAGACCCACAGGCTGGTGGCAGTATTGGTGGTGGTGGTGTGGTCGTTCGTTCTAACGTAACTGATCTTTCCATGAGATGGAGAGACCAATGGATGGTATGGAATATGTCTTGACTTTTTATGCAATAGCAGACAGCACTGAAGGTTTCCATCTGGAACAAGAGGCATTGAGACCTCTAAGCCAGGGAGCCCAGACACTCTAGTGATAAGATGCAAACATTTTAATAGCGTAATTAGGAGTGATATAGTAACAGGTACCACTCTCACTTTCAGCTCTTGGGCTCTTTATTCTGACTATGGGAGAAATAGCACCATCTATTGGCTGTTGGTTCATAGCACACAGAGTATCCTGTATGGAGACATCTCATCTTCTCAAGGAGTTATCTTCCTGCTGGCACAATAACTGGGTGTTCAGTAAGCCATTCCATCATGCCGTAAGGCCTTATGGTGAGACAAGAAATCCCATGAGCCTCAGTCTCTTGTCTCACTGTCATCCCTGTAAAATAAGCTCTTTAGTGAGAAGCACTGTTACATGGAAATGAATGATAGTGAATAAGGCAATTTGTTAAGTTCATGGAAGGTGTTGTTGGCATAAAGAATCCAAATACAGAGTAAATAGTTATTCCAGTGAGGACAAATTATTGCCCTCTTCACAAGGGGGAGGGTCTTCAATATAATTCCCCTCCTGTTTGTAGTTGTTTTAGTCCATTTAGTGTTGCTATAATAGAATACTTGAGACTGGGTAGTTGATAAAGAAAAGTTGTTTATTGAGCCCATGATTCTGCGGGCTGAGAAGTTCAAAAGCATAGTGCCACATCTGGTCAGTTTCTGGTGAGGGCCATGGGCTGGCTCAAAATATGGCAGAGAAGCAGAAAAGTGAGTGGGTAGGTACAAAGAGAGCAAGAGAATGTCTAGGAAGCAGAACTTCTTTTACAACAGCCAATCACTGGTAACTAATTTAGTCCTGGGAGAGTGAGAATGAACTAGCTCCCTCAAGAGGGCATTGATTCATTCATGAGGGATATCTACCGACATGACCCAAATACCCCTACTAGGTCCAACTTCCCCAAACCATCACGTTGGGAATCAAATTTCAATGTGAGCTTCCAGGAGGACAAACTCAAGCTACAGCAGTAGTGTTATATTAAGTCTCTCAGGGTTGGTCACTGCTGCTGGAAATTAGTCAGCAGTGGCAGTGGCCACATCTTGGCGAGAAGTCCTTGTTGGGCCAGTGCATTGTTTCTGTCTGTCTCTGCAACCATTGTCTATGGGGCCACTGAGCAAGCACCAGGATGGCTGGGGAAAGGGTAGGGCACTGGGCAGGCAATCTTCCAACTACATATTTAGAACCTCCTACACAGTATGGCCTCTTGAGACCATTCCAATAGGACAAAAATATTCACCTATATTGGGGTCTAGTATAACATGTCCATCCACATTCCTCTTCCCGAGACCTTATTTCATGTTCCTGACCATCCATCTAAACTGATACTCATGAGGATGACATGTTGAGGATCTGCCTCTCAGGCCATCTCTCCTTCCAGGAAAAGTGTATAATGTGGACTACTCCAAGTTCTGCTCCCTGGGAGGAGAACTTCCCCACTTTCTTTCCTGTCTTTCACCCTGAGTGGGGCTGCAATTAAATTCCCACAGGTGCCAGCAAAACTTGCAGAGTCATCTGTAAGCCATATTTGACTTCTTTTCTCCTTGGTGAACTGCTCACTGGAGACTCCTCATGAGACCATGGCTATGAGGGAGGGGTGAGTGTGGCAGGAAGCACACTGAGAGGAAAAAGCACTGACTGCCCCTGCAGCTCATGAGTGCCGTCAGCCATGTGGAACTCAATGCTGATATATACCGCTCCCATCTGATGAGGATGTGCTGCTGGGTTGGGTCCATGCGACTTTTGGCTTGGCGTGTCATTACTTCAAGATGGGCAGCTTAGGTCATATGGTCACCTAGTGTCCCATGGTCAAGCCCTCAGAAGCAAGCCCCAATAGCAAGTCAAGAGTTATTTCCAAAAGGAGAATAATTAACTTGCATAGGAGAGCTTGGCTTTGCTCCAAAAGCTAAGATGCTGCAGCTGTGCTTCCTCTACTGGGATTTGCTGCAGGCTTCACACACCCTCCAGGTCTGCCCCAGTTGCTCTGAGCACCATCAGATCTCCTGGGTCTCTAAGGGCATTAGGGAGCTGCTTACAGTAGGGCTGGTGCAAGTAGAGAGCCATCTCTTAGCCCAGGCCTCAATTAACAGTAAATGAGTCAGAGCAGCAAATCCAAAGCTCATGTAGGCTGCCTTCAGATGCCACAGAGTTCCATCAACATCCGTGCCTTTCTTAGTGTTGGCACTAACATCTGCAGCTCCTACAAATATATGGTATTGCCTTTGTTTATTTCGGTAAGAAGGGGAACCTAAGGAGTGTGACATCAGCCCTTCCAAAAATCTATACCCTTACTCCATGGATCAGAAAGCCATTATGGGTATTCTGCAATTGCTGAGGGTAGCTATTCCAGCTATAGACTCAGACACTGGGTAAGTTACCGGATGGTTTGTCACTGAGAAAGTTGAAGTAGTTGAAAGAGAATTTCCACAGTCTACCACCACCACATCCGCCCACCTTCCAGCATCTGCTCCCACTTATAATCTGTTCTCTTACAACACGTATTTCTGTAATAGGCATTAAATCGAATATTGCTAAGTAAGGAGATGACGTCACTCTCATGTGGAAATTGGGTTGGTTCATACATGATTTTTTCTTTTTAGCATATTAATGCTTTGTGTCACCAGACAGGAGCAGCTGAACGTGAAGGATGCCAATGGAATGAGTTGAACGAACAAGGTGCGGAATAAGGCTCTTTATATGACGTCCATCATCACAGGCTTTTTCTGGTTCATCTTGGCCGCAGGTTCTGCCTTGGCCAGGCAGACAGTGCCTGTTGTGTAACTCAGCATCTCCTTACCCTTCTTTATGCCTAGTCTATCAAGGTGACATTGCCCTTTTCTTGGAAAGGTGAAGTCCTTATTTACTTACATATTTATTAGGAATATAATGTCTTAACTGTGCCAATATTTTCACTAAGATTGGTGTTTCTGTTAGTGTTCAGGTTGCAAAATTGGATGTTTGCAATGGTTTTCCCCAACCAGAATTTATGTTTCTTTTTCATAAATTGTTATTTTTAGTGCATAAATTTGAGAATGAAAAAATTTTTAGGAGCATATTTATCATACTATAGCTGAAATGTCTGTATGCTGTCTTCCTACCCGTAATCGTGAACAAATTATCATGCTCCTGTCTAAAGCTAATTCCTCCAATTGTGGACTGCATTTTATCCCCTTATTCAAGGACGTCGCTCTAGCACTTAGCCCTTTTTTCCTATTTCATCATCTTTTCGTCTTTCCTGGAATTCTCTTTAACATAAAAAAAAAGCTGCTACTTCTCCCAACAAATCTTTCTCTTGCTTTCACACTCTTTACCAATCTACTACTCCTATTTCTTTGCTCACCTGTTCTGCAAAACTAGTTGTAAGAACTGTCTATGCTCACTATCTCCAGCTCTTTTCCTATTTTTTCTTAAGCTCACTGCAGTCTGGTTTTGCTCCCCTTCCATTCCACCAAAAGCCCCATGGTCAAGGTCATGAATGACTCCCTCACTGCTAAAGCCAATGGTCAATTTCCAGTTATCTTACTTGGTCAGTTAGCAGCATTTATAGGGTTAAATACTCCTCCTCTATACCCTTTATTCATGTCTTCCAGGCAACCACACTAGGTTTTCTTTCTATTTCACTGGTTGTTCCATCTCAGTTTTCTTTGGAGTTTCCTCTTCTCCTGCCAACCTCTCAGTATGGGAGGAATTCAGGGCTCAGCCCTGGTCTTATTCTCCTATTCCCAATCCTTTGGTGATCCCATCCAGTTTCATGCCACCTAAATACTGAAAATTCCCATAATGTATCTCCAGAGCAGACCTTTTTCTTAAAGTGCAGACTCACATATTCAATTGCCTAATCAACATCTCCACTTTGTTTAATGCATATTTCAAAATTAGCAAGTCTAAAACTGTCTAGCAAGCAAGTCTAAACAAGATCTGCTAGTTTAGACTGTCTAGACTAGTCTAAATTAGAGTGTCTAGACTAGCAAGTCCAAAACAGAATTTCTGATATTTCTCACCAAACCTGCAGCCTCTGCAGCCTTTCCTCTCTTAGTTGATGAAAACTCTACTGTTCCAAGTTCTTGGCTAAAAGTCTTCAGTCATTCCTGTCTCCTCTCCATTTATCATACCTCACATCTAACACATCAGTACATCCTTCTGGTTCTACTTTCGAAATACATCCAGAATCCATGTGCCTCCTACCAACACGACTGTTACCACCCTGGGGCAAGCTACCATTTTCTTTTGCCTGAATCATTGCAAAAAACTCCCAGCTGATCTCTTTACTTTCACCCTTCTCTTCCTACAATCAATTTGCAATATAGCAGCTACAGTATCCTAAAACATATGTTAGGTGACATCACCTATTCAAAACTCTTTCAGTGGTTTTGAGTAAAAGCTAAAGCCCTTAAAATAGTCTTCAAGGCCCCATCTCATCTAATATACCACCTCTACCTGCCACCCATTACCTTGTTAACCTAATCTCTCATCCTTTATCCGCAGTATCCACTATATGCCAGGAGTATCTCTCTCCTCCTTCAAGTTGTGGTAATCAAAAATGTCTGCAGACATTGCCATATGTCTTCTGAGGACCAAAAATTGCCGCTGGCTGAGACCCCTGCTTTAACCCAAGGAATAAGGACTACAGAAATCTTGCTTTTTCTTTGAGTTGTCAAGTTCTACCAAAAGCAGATAGCCCGCCTCATAGGGCTCGTATTCCTCAGGTTTTTGGTGTTTCCCAGAGCATCAGGTAAGCACAGGCATTATGAACTGCTTCACCATCACATGCCATACACTTTCTATAACACTAGCTGTATTCTCACTGCCTTTAACCCAAGTAGGCCAGATACCGAGTAACGAATTCACATTACTGGGGGCCTCTTGCTTGAAACCCCTCAGAGTATCAGTCTCCATTATCAGAGTCCCAGCTGTTAACAACACAACCACATTTACTTAGTTTTAGCAAAAATGAAATGTATTCAAGATTAGTAGGTGGCTCTTAGAATTTCCTAGGAAGGCCAGAGAGAGAAGCTTAGCGGTGGCTACGTAGCCAAGAGCAGTGCTGAAACCTCAGGAGAGGAATGTTCTGGTGAAGATCGCTTTGTGTTGCCACTGGGCACAAATGCCATAGCTTGCACATGGGTGGACCTGATACCAGGGGCCCAGGTTTCCACACCCTGGCTGGAAAACAGATTTTATGACTTCTGCTTTGGGGAGCTGATTCACAGGGTGGAAAATTACCCAAACATAGCAAAGTTGTTCAAATACCACTAAAGCTGCCAATAAGTTGAACAATTGTATCACACTATTGAAAAACATTAAACCAGAGCATATATTCTCCTCAAACTTACTGTTTCTTTTTCTCAGGTAGTGAACATAAGCAACAAACTGACTTTCTATATAAATAAGGGCGAGGTGACAGTGTATGAATGCTTTTAGAAAAAAAGCAAATTTCATTTTCCATCATGTTTTGAAGGATACTGGCTTAATTCAGTTATTATTCTCACTGTTGGTTTACATAATAAACATATAAAATGTATTGCAAATACAAATTATTTTCATTCCAATGGAGAAGAAAATTACAGGCTCAAAAATCAAGTTTAATATCAAAAGAAGTTACACATAAAGGTTTTTACATTTCCGAAAATCTGATAGTTAAAATATCCCGTCTGGTGTTGATTGTGATACACTTAAGTGAACCCCTGAAAACCTTTATTTTGAAATTGAAGTTTTTGCTCAGAAACTGGGCAGAACTTTTCACATTCTGACAGAAGATAAAACTTAAGTCTAAAAAATATTCGATAACTTTTTTCTCAAAAACATTAAGTACTTTAGAATATAAAGCAGAAACTCTTACCAAGCATGTGTACCCATCAGCCACACCTCCTGTCTTTGGGGGAATTTGGTTACTTGGAGCTCTGTGGGTGCTATATGAATCCTAGAGACAGCAAACTTCTGCTGTACAGCTAACTTACAAGGGCCTGAACCCGGCTGATGGCAGCAAGCCTGCTACAGTCCAGAAGAGTGCGACTTCTTATATTTACATATGAACGCATCTGTCTTTCCAAGGCTAACTTTGTAGCATTCCACTGGTACCAAGGAGCCAAATGGTGACATTCTGTCTAAGAATTTGTGGTTACTGGCTTCGAATGAAGTTGACGCTGTCTTGAATGCACCAGTTTTTTCTTCAGGATTCAAGCACTTTTTAATTCCAGGTTCATCTGTGTGACTGTCCTTGGAATTGAAAGGGATGTTGCTCTCTTTACAATCTGTAAGGCGCCTGTGGTGATCTTCACTAAGCAACAATACAATGGTTCCGCCAACATGAAGCACTCTGTGACAAAAAAAAAATGGTAATTGCTATCTTTCTCCTTTCTAGACAACAAACAATCCCACTTCATTTAAAATGGTTCATGTTTTTAATTTGAAATTTAATTTTATCCATTTAAATATAAGGATTTTTGATAATTAGGTAGTATCTTCTATAATGTATATTCATTATAGTAATTATGAAATCCCTAGTACAAATCTGCTTTAATTATCTATTTTTACTCAAAAGGCAAGCCTCAAAGTAATTTGTAGTCACGGTCTAATAAATGATTGTATAAAGGAAAAGGCAAATGACAGAATCCTAAAGACTGCATGTATTAAAAGCAGTAGCCTGACAGCAGAAGAAAGTTAACAGGAAAGAGTTAGGACACGAACAAAGAAATGGCGAAGGAAAAATCAGAAAAAGAAGGGCAGATCTTGAAATGTCAGCTTCTTGAGGAGAATGCATTTACTCAATTATCAAAGTCTATGTAGCACTTATGTGGAAAAAGTCATGAAAACACTTGCCTGTGTCCCGTGACATAGCCCTGTAAGTTGCCAAGAGATCACTGAACATCTCTTTGGGAGAGAGAGGCGAGTAAAGGGTGTGAAAATGCTATAATCAAGGCAAGCATGAGGGGCTTGGGAACATGAGGTGGGTCCCAAACCCGAGCATGGGACAGAGGAGAGAATTTCCCAGAGGAAGATACCTGTGCTATGAGTTAAAAGACAAGTGGGAATGAGCCAGGCAAAGCGACGGCAAGCGGCTGCAGCAAGGGAGGGTGCTGGAAGCAGAAAAAGCAGCAAAGACGGGAGGAAGTGGAGAGGAGGCAGCTCTGAAAGCAGCTCAGTGGGTGGGTGAGTCACAGCGGGTGGGAAGTGGAGGGAGGAGGGGAGTAAGGAGTTCAGCTTGGAACGTGCTGATGTACCTAAGGAACACATAAGTGCGGATTCCACCAGAGAGCTGGATACACAGCCTGGAGTAATGGAAAAGACCAGGCCTTGAGGTAAAGATACAGTAAATGGTAGCTAAAGCCATAATGGTGGATGGGATCACCTGGGGTGGCAGTACAGGTTGAGAAGAGAAAATGGGACAGGGAGCAGAGATTTCACATTTAAAAAGTGACGGAGGAGAAGACCCATGAAGTAGACATCCTCAGAGAAAATCTGGACAACAGTTATGTCAAGGAAGCCAAAGAAGTACAGTTTCAAGAAAGAAACAGTTTCAACAGTGTCAAATGCTATAGGGCCGGCATGGTGGCTCACACCTGTAATCCCAACATTTTGGGAGGCTCAGGTGGGAGGATCGCTTGAGCACAGGAGTTTGAGACCAGCCTGGGCAACATGGCAAAACATGTCTCTACCAAAAAAATACAAAAATCAGCCAGGTGTGGTGGCGTGTGCCTGTAATCCCAGGTACTTGGGAGGCTGGGATGGGAGGACTGCTTGAGCCCAGGGGGCAGAGGTTGCAGTGAGCTGAGATTGCACCACTGCACTCTAGTCTGGGCAACAGAGAGAGACCCTGTCTTTAAAATAAAATTATTTTTTACACACATACATATGTAAAAATATATATATAATATATATTATATATTTACATATAAATACATAATTTATATACATATAAATTATATGTATATATACACATATATACATATATAAATTATATATATATGTAAAATAACAAATGCTATAGGACTAACAGGTGATCAGGATTATGAGAAATCAGTGAACCCAGGGACAGCAATCCTAGCTGAAGGCAGGAGCAGATGCTCGTCTGCCAGGGTAGAGTGGGGCTGGAAACTGAGGAAGCAGAGGTGTCAAGTGTAGGCCATTATTTCAAGAAGTTCAGCTGTACAGGAAAAGAAACAGTGGCAGCTAAAGGACCAAGAGTTAAGGGGAATCTGCCTCATGCCCAGCAAAAATCTAAGAAGCTTAGGTAGCTTTCCCTAGTCTAATCCATCAGCAAAGCTAGACAATTCTGTCTCTAAATTGTATCACATATTTGTCTACTTCATTCATAGTTTGCCTGGACCACAGCAACAATCTGGTAGACAGGTCTTGTTTCCATTCTTGTCGCCCCTCCCACTCTGTCTTCCGTTTCCACACAGAAGACAAATGTAAATTCTTTGCTAACTCCTCAGTTGCTTGCACTGTACTTCAAATACATTCTAACCCCCTTACTCTGGCATCCAAGGCTCCTACACAATCTGACCCTTACCTACCTTTTTGATGTCACTGCCTGCTTTCTTTGCTTACTGACCTTCCTTCAGCTGCTCAAACTCACCAAGCTGCTTCTCACCTTAGGACATTTGGAATTGCTGTTCACCCTGCGTTTATCACTCATTCTTATCACTCACGCCCCACAGTCAAATATCACTTTCCCAGAGAGGCCTTTCCTGACTACCTAGCTAGGGTAGCCACTACTTTTCTCTCACTCTAAAGCAAAACATTTTGTTTTATGTCCATCACAGTACCAGTCATGATCTGACATTATCCAGTTTGTTTACTGATTAACCATCTGTCTTCTCACAATGAATGGTCAGAGACCTTGCCTGTCGTATTCACTGCTGTAATCCCCGGGGCCAAGTACATGCAAGTGCATGGGAGATGCAAAGACTTCCAAACGTGTCTGGGGAAGGGATAAATGAATCTCCTGGAAAGAACCGGCAGATGAGTAGGCAGAAGATAAAAATGAGAAGTGGGCAGAGTGTGATCCTTGAGGAGGAAGGAACTGAGAGGATAAACCCTTGCAGGAAGAGGGAAGCCTCTTCTACTGAGCAAGGAAGAAGTGGATGGGAAAATGAGTACTCTTGAAGACAGAAACTGAAGTAACTTTTTGGGGCAACAGTTTAGCAATCATGTATCAAAAATATGAAATGTACATAACCTTTGACCCAGCAATCTCACTTCTAGGAAATTATCCTAAGAAGATGTAATAGTAGTAGTAGTAGAATAACAGTGATAATAATGGTGATATAGCTAATATTTATTGAGTACTTAATATGTGCCAGGCAGTTGGATATGCTCTGTATTATGTATCATTTAAACTTCAGAATTATCTTTCTAAGTATGCTCTATAACACTGTCATTTTGCAGATGAAGAAACTGTGATACTGTGACTGTGGTGCTTGGTCATATAGTTAAGTTTGAAAAACCATGCAAGGATGTTCAAAGAATAGTTCTTTTTTAAAATAAAAAATTGGGGATTATCTAAATATTCATCCATAAGCACTGGTTGCATAATGGTACATACATATAATGTGGCAACCACTGAAAATTATAATGTATATTGTAACAACTGATCAGAAAGGAGATTCATGACATTGTTGAGTAGAAAAAAAGCAATGCTACAGTACATTAAGGACAATCCTATTTATGTAGAGTAGTAAACATGTATCCTTTTGTGCATATGTACATGACAAGATGCCTAACAGGACAGTCACCATTTATTGTAATTTTGTTCAAATAATGGAGAGAAAGTGAAAATCACCTGAAATCCTGCTACTCTGAGATGAACATTTTCCATAAATGTCCTTCTAGGCATCTTTCCATGATCATACGCACATAATTTCTTTTCTTTTCTTTTTTTTTATTTTTTTAGAGATGGGGTCACTCCGTCACCTGGGCAGCTTGATCATACCTCAAGCTACTGGTGTCACCTAGTTCATATACACATAATTTCTTTTCTTTTCTTTTTAGAGATGGGGTCTCATTCTGTCACCCAGGTAGCTTGATCGCAGCCCACTGCAGCCTCCAACTCCTGGGCTCAAGCGATCCTCCTACTTTAGCCTTCCAAGTAGTGGGACTGAAGGTGCATGCCACCACACCTGGCTAATTTTTAAATTTTTTATTTATTTAGAGATGAGTTCTTGCTATGTTGTCCGGGCTAGTCTTGAATTCCTGGCCTCAAGTGATCCTTCCACCCCAGCATCTTGAGTTGCTGAGACTACAGGTATGAGCTACTGTGCCCAGAAACACATAATTTCTTACTATGAAAGCTATTCAGAATTATAAAGCAATGTTTACCAAATTGTATTCCTTTGAACACTAGTGTATCAGTGATGATAATAATAAGAATACAATATTACTATTTCTTAAGAAAAAACTCTGCAGTCAGTAAGTTGGGGGAAGTCTGTATCAAACAGCATAAGAGATTTCCCTTTCGTATGTGAACCTGAAAAACTAGGAGTAGATGGTACAAATAATCTTAAATTATTTGTCCATGGAACACATTAAGTCTTAACCACCTACTATAAATCCTTTGCTCCAGGCAGTCTGGTATACTCATTGTTCCATGAACACACCTCCTGCTGTACTGCTCACTCAAGAAATACTTAATAAACATCTGTACATATAAACATGATGTGGTCTCCTTTTCAATTCTGTCTTCACTTCCAAATTTCACTGAAATCTGGCTTCTTCCTGAAACCATCTCAAGCCTCTTTGGCACACAATGCCTTCTTCCTTCAAGCGGTGCAAGGTGAATTTTTAATTTTGCTCATGTATTTGCACAGTTACATTTGAGGAGAAAACTCAAATGTACTTCTCTGAATTCCTGACAATGCTCTGTACCCATAATCCTTTAATACATTAAAGGAGGAAATAATTGAGCTGAGAATGCATAGCTCATGCCACCAGAGTAATCATTTATCTGACAATCTTTAATTCTGATTGCATGTCCTTTCTCGAAGAGTCCAGCTCTGTAGTACATACAGTACTATTTCCACTGCCTGTTATGAACAGGTTTGTTGTATTTTCATGAACACAATTTCCTATCCCTTCCATTTTCTATCTAGGGCCTTAAACTATCAGTAAACCATTGGGATAAAAATTATGTGTACTCCGATATATTTAAATATATCCTCACACACTTCCCAAAAGGATTTTCAGTGGTATACACTAAAAAATCAGGTAAGTGATAACAGATACTGAGTAAGTTCTAGGTGGCCAGCACTGTTGTAAGAGCTTTAAATCCACTGACTCAGAACAATGCCATTAAGTGGGTATTAAAGATAGGCAAGTGGTTAAGCAATATGCCTGTGACTGAAGAACTATTAAGTAATAGAGCCAAGAGTGGAACTCAGGTAGTCTGTCTCCAAAGCCTATACTTCACCACTATATTATGCCACACTGCCTGTATAAAACTTCAAACCATAAAAAAAACAAAAACAAAAGTCAGACATAAAGGTTGGGGACAGGTGGCAAGGAAGCTTGGTCACAGAAGGAAAAGTCCCTTATATCCAAATACATACACTTTAAACTGGTCCCACTGAGGCACTTTAGTTTTGCAGGAAGTCAGGAATATGCATTTTCCTGATTCTTAAGTATTTAAATATCACAATGTGACAATGTGAGGGCTGTCACATCTATTACTGTCTCATTTTCAATCAATCACCTGGAATAAAAACCAAACCCATCCTAGAGAAAGTCAGGCTGGTATAATTTACTAGGCTGAAAGAACTGTCTACTCATAATACTGCCCTCCACTGACTTGTAGAGGTGCTATAATATGCAGCATTAGATTTTCAGTTAGAGTAAGCCACCATCTCTCTGGAAGCTTCTAGGTTAAATGTAAATCGTTGCTCACACATTAGTATCTCACCATGAATTGGTTAAAGGTATAGATGCAGATTATCTAGTTAGGTTCAAAGACTGCAGTCATTAACTCTGGCTGCACTACAGCATCACCTTGGGAGTGTTTAAGAACTACCAATGCTTGAGTCCTCCACCAGATAAATTAAGTTAGCGCCTTCGTGGGGAGGGGTGGATAGCAGGGATCAGTATTTTTTAAAAGCTCCTGAAATGATTTTTATATGAAGTCAGGGTTGCCAAATCTGCTCAAGGTGAATGTGATATTGGGCAGCAGGGAGTACAGGTGCTCATGAAATGTCTGAATTATAGGTGCTGTCCAGAAGGAGAGGTCTCAGGTAATATTTCAAGAGTTAGGCAACTGGGTAGCAGGGAAAGTTGCTTAGAAATAAGATAATCCCTAAAGAAGCATGGGACACTCAGCTCCCAAAATGCAGTGAGATGACTTTTAGTTGAGCTTAGACTAAGTGTCAAGATTTAATTTTCCTTATAGAATGTTAGACTTGACCCTGATTTTTCTCCATCTAAAACACATGGCTCATATTTTAAATTGGTGACCCATTATTTACATAGCAGGCTCTTGAAATGTGTGTTATCAAATTCCCAGCTAGACAATTTAGTATCAACTGACCTCTTATATTCATGTCCATTCATAACTGTATGCATTCTATGTTCTCTTCTTCACCAATTTAAACCATTAGAAAAATGCATATCCATGACTCATTGTTTCAATCTCTCAAAGGAATGCTTCCACTGAATTATATTCCCTTAGGTCATTAGAAACCATAAGATGAATACTTTCACATTTTCATTTCAGAGCTGCTATAGTTTGGATGTTTGTCCCCCTATACCTCATGTTGAAATTTGATCCCCAGTGTTGGAGATGGGGCCTAATGGGAAGTATTTGGATTATGTGGGTAGATATCTCATGAATAGATTAATGCCCTCCCTGTGAGGGGTGATAATTGAGTTCTCACTCTATTAGTTCCAGGGAAAGCTGGTTGTTAAAAAGAGCCTGGCACCTCCCCCTTCTCCCTCTTGCTTCCTCTCCTGCCATGTGATCTCTGCACACCGGGCTTGCCTTCTGCCATGACTAGAAGCAGCCTGGGGCCCTCATCACAAACTGAGCAGATAGATGCTGGCACTGTGCTTCTTTTACAGACTGCAGAATCATGAGCCAAGTAAACCTCTTTTCTTTACAAATTCTCTAGCCTCCAGTATTCCTTCATAGCAACAGAAAATGGACAAAGACAACAATAAATAATAAGGTGTTGCCCATTCTATGTTATGGAAGGTTCCTTATTTAACAGAATTCTGTTCTGTTGTTTAGTAGCAGAGTGATCATAAGAAAGTTAATCTTTCTGTGCCCCAGATTCTCATCTGTTAAGTGTGGGGGATTAACACAGAGAAGGCAGGTTTTTTTTTTTTTTTGTGAGGGATGGAAGCAAATATGTAAAATTTTGCTTCAGACCACTGACTGAAATATAGGTCACTATTTCATACATTCAAATCTCAGTACATAATAGAAAATTAATATTTTTCTGAATAAAATTTATAGTGTAAGATGATATGGATAACATTTATTTCAATTATAAACTTCTGACTTAAAACCTTAGAAAATTAAGCTACAAAAACTCTGGGAAATTGCTAAAAAGCAATCAGACCTTAACTGAAGAGCTATGATGTATTTCGGTTAAATGCCCAGTAGCTAAAAAAATTATGAAAATAAATTCAACAACTTACCTTTCCATTTCTTGTAGAATGCTTTTGATGTCTTTTCCTAACTTAAACTTTTTCCCAAATGGAATGTCAGAAATAATAATATCAACACTTTCTGAAGGCAATGGCAATTCTGAAATATAGAAATCAGAGAATCCTATTACAGTAGGGTCAAATATTTACAACTTAAATAATGAGAAAATTGAAGTACACAGGATTATTTTTGCGTAACAGATTAACATTTAGGGTTGCTAATATTGTTTTAAAGTAATTACAAGATCCCAAAATGCTTTCACAATCACTAATGATAAATGATAGTTATTGTATTCTGTTCGTTGAAAATTGGTTTTTCAGATACAATAAAATGTAAGTTAAGCAGAATTTTACATTAGCCAGAAAACTCAATTCTCTAAATATATAGCTTGTATAGAAAGCTGCTAGCTCCACTAAATTGCCTAGAAAAATCTTCCACAAAATTATATTCTACAACTTTCATTTCCCATTTTAAAACTGTACGTTTAGATCTACTTGTTTTTGAGGGAGAGGATCCATAGCTATCATTGTATTTTTAAAAGAGAATTTGGAAG
Organism: Homo sapiens; assembly: GCF_000001405.40. Taxonomy (NCBI): domain Eukaryota; kingdom Metazoa; phylum Chordata; class Mammalia; order Primates; family Hominidae; genus Homo; species Homo sapiens. Next base: position 39,744,933 of record NC_000002.12, read on the forward strand.
GTTAAGAATATCTATTAAGTCCTAAGACTAGAGAAAAGGCTACATAATCAATAATCAACACAATGATTATCACTAAAAATTATTGTGTCTGATTAATTCTAAATTGCTTTATCTTAATGTTTTCTTCTCAGAAGTTACGTTATCAGAAAGTAACACAGTACACTCTACCCTAACATCCACATCTTCTAGATGTACTTTCCACTTTTTACTTATTTTACTTCTCATCCATCTCCTAAATTCAGTTAAATACTCATAAGACAGATGTCCCAATTTTCATTTTGAATAGTACCTAATTTTGCAGAAATGTAATGAAATTTAAATAATCTTCACTAAATATCAAAAGTTTCTGTTGGTAGGAAATTTAGCAACAAAAAGTGCTTTGTAATCTCGGAAAGTCTAATGACTACTTGCTAGATCTCTCCTAGTTCTAACCCTTATGTGGGGTTAATAGAAGAAGAGTAGATTGTTCGAAAAAAAGAAGGATAATATTCTTTTAAGCTGAGACAGGAATTCCTTTTTTCCAAGTTATGTTTTAACCTCATGGTTTTAGGGTGTTGATATAGTACACATCCATTTACAAAATGACTAAAGACAATAAATAGACAACGAAGGCAACCATAGTTCTCAAATGTTTTATTTATGAGGAAGCATGTAGTAATTTACTTTTGAATTTAATCCCAAGTCTTTCTTTTGCCTCACACTACACACACAGTACCTACGTATGAGTTAGCTGCCCATTATGTCCAGGTTTAGAAACAATGATTTTTTTCTTCTGGGTCTCCATTTTTATTGGGAACTTTGCTGCTCTATATTATATAATATGCTAAAGTGCTTTAAATAAATTTAGAAGTTGAATACATAAACTTCATATAGATGGAAGAGAATAATTTTTAAAAAAAATCTCCAGAACTAAGCAGTGTCATCTTCCAATAGAGCATAAAATAATCAAAGCTTTTCTTGATGTGGTTGAGAGCATAAGCTCTGGAGTCAGACAGCTTGCATTTGGCTCTGCTGCTCACTAACTGTGGGACTTTGGGAAATTACTGCTTCAGTTTCTTCATCTGTAAAATGGAATAAGATTATGTACCTCAGAAGTCAATAAAAGAGGTTAATATATGGAAGACATTTAGAACACGGCCTGGCACAAAGTGAGCATTCAGTAACCGTTAGCTGCTTTGTGGTCATTATTTATAATGTCCCTCTCTGATGTAAATGGGAGATGACAGCCAGGTGGAAACCAGTGCGCCATCCTTCAAAAAAGCTTTGCAGAACACAGTAGTATCCCCTTCTCCCTCATTCTTGGGCATCCAAGGTTGAGGTAGGGCAACTACTTCCAGGTGGGCCTCTCTCCTGCTCTCCTTTCCTCTAGCAGTGGTTCTCAAAGTGTGGTCCCCATAGCAGTAGCATCAGTATCATCTGGAAACTACAACTTAGTGCGTATTAGAATCAACTGAAAGGTCTTTGTAAAACAGATTGTTGTCCCCATCTCCGTAGGTTTAGATGCAGGTACTCCTAGAACCATGAGCACCTGACCGATACGATTCAACATACAGTAAAATCTTTTAAATTATTAGATGCTTTAAATACTGCTTGTGAACAAAAAATTTGCTTGTAACTAATCAGCTAAGATTCTGAAATAGAAACATAGCTCAAAACAAGTAAAAATCATCTTTTTACATCTCTGCAGGATGATTCAAGAACATGAAAAAAAAATTTAGTTTTAAAATACCAGTTGTTTTGAAGAAAAAAACTGCCCTATTTTTCCTACTTCCAGGAGAAAAATGGGTAAAAATTTCCTAAAACTCAGGACTATGGCCCCAAGATACTTTCTTCCAAAGGGATTTATGGGCCTTCAAGATGTCTTTTCATGCATATATTTAAACTAAAGACCAGGTTCATTGAGCACTTTTATAAAACTGAACATATCCTTCTTCCTATTTTTGTTCCTTGTTCTTTCTGTTTATTGTCCAGGTTTATAATATTCATATTCTGTCTCCTAACAGTAATTCCCATAATTGTTTAAACTTAGTTCTACAGTTAAATTAATTTCATCCTTATCACTAATCATTTTGCCTTGATTTTCTCCATTTCTCAGCCAATTAATCTCTTAATGCCTGGATTAAATACTTTTCCCCAAAGGACTTAGTGTGAAATGTTGTCGGAACTTTTTCATATTTCAAAATGTTTGTCCTTAAGATGATGTTTTGGTTAGGCATAATATTTTTGGGTTACACTTTGCTTTGGTAACTTTGTAAATAGCATCTCAGAACCTTGTAAATAACCACTATTCTATTTTCAAATGCTCTATAACATTTTATTGTGGCCAAAATATATTTTGAGGTTTATTGCATTAGATTATGACCTTCTCTCGTTTGGTTGCTGAATTTGTTTTCTTTGATGATTACTATTCTTTTTCTCATTTCAGTAAGTACAAGAGGGCGTAAAGCTTTCAATGAAATTTTGATCTGTCATCTTAATCAAGAAGTCCATAAACATTAGTCTTAAACACGCAAAATGTAGTCTGACATCTGGATTGGGTCACCATACAGTTTATAGTCCAAATGAACATTTCTGAGAAGAGAATGCTAGAAATAACTATGCTCTTTATTTTATATGAAAATTATATGCTTTGAAATATTTGAAATATTTATTATCCAATAAATTGGTTTATTATGGTGGCCCTGAAAACGTATCTGTGCAAAATGAAATTTTTAAGTTTAATAAAAGACTTTTTTTTGAGAAAAAATAATTTGCCTACAGTGCTAATATCTGAACAAGTTCTAGTAAATGAAATATACTTTCAGTTCTATTTTTTCATATGGAAAGGGTAAATATTTCAGCCTTCCAGTTCACAGTCCCTCCATTGACAGTGCCTTTGACAAATATGTTTACAAAACTCAAATTATCTCTATTATTCTTTTAATTGTTTTACCAAATTTAGATGATACAAAATTAAGGCCTTCACAATTTCATTCCATTCCATTCTAGACTACAAATTTATCCAATTACAATAAGGAAAGTCATCAGGAGATTCTTTCCATACCATATCCAAAGAATATTTATAGAATTTCATAATTAAGTCTTGTGCATTGTTGAGCTTTCAATATTTGTTCATTTCTTCGTGTTTTTAGGGAAAGATGATCAATGTCTTCCTGCTGCCAGCTTTAACAACTGTAATTCACCAAAAAATTCAAAAGCTAATGTATTTTGGCACTTCATTTGTTGAATCCTTTGATTATAGATTTCCAGTATATTCTGAATAAAATGCCATCAAAATTAGGCAACTTTTTTTTGGTAAAGTTTATAGCACCACCCTAGGACACTTTGGCTGATTTACAGAGTAATTCTTTGAAGGCTTACACTTTAAAACCCAACTGATGGACAAGCAAAGAAAGTGTACTGTTATGCAGAAGCATTTTTTTTGCATTCAGTCATCTTCAACACAAATAGTTTGCAGTTCATCTGTTCTGTGTATATTTTAAAAAGAAGGCCGGGTACGGTGGTTCACGCCTGTAATCCCAGCACTTTGGGAGGCCAAGGCAGGTGGATCATGAGGTCAAGAGATTGAGACCATCCTGGCCAACATGGTGAAACCCCATACAAAAATTAGCTGGGCGTGGTAGCATGCGCCTGTAGTCCCAGCTACTCAGGAGGCTGAAGCGGGAGAATTGCTTGAACCCAGGAGGCGGAGGTTGCAGTGAGCCGAAATTGCGCCACTGCACTCCAGCCTGGCGACAGAGTGAGAGTCTGTCTCAAAAAAAAACAAAAAAAGTGGCCAGGTATGGGGTGGCTCACACCTGTAATCCCAGCACTCCGGGAGGCTGAGCTGGGAGGATCATTTAAGACCAACCTGGGCAATACAGTGAGACCCCATCTCTATTTTTTTAAAAAAGAAAATTAGCCAGGCATGGTGGTGAGTACCTCCTACAGTCCTAGCTACTTGGGAAGCTGAGATGGGAGGACTGCTTGAGCCCAGGAGTTCGTTCAAGGCTGCAGTAAGCTATTATCAGACCACTACACTCTAGCCTGGGTGACAGAGCAAGTCTCTCTCTTAAAAAAAAAAACAAAACAAAATTCAATTATTTTGACAAGTGTCTGTTTCAATGGACACTACAGCCTGTTTGGAGGTAATTATGAATTATATGGGTATAACATTAAATTTCAAGTGCATTTCTGCTCCATAGGTTTTAATAAGAATATTAATTTTTAGCATGATGTTGTGGCCCACCAAAGTAATGCATAAGCACACAGATTGGCAATGCCAAACTGAATTCACAGTAGCATTCACAAAGAAGTTGCATCTTTGACAGAAAAAAACCCTATGAAATTTCGAAGAGAGTAAAAAAGAAACAAAGCTACTACTGGAATTGACTTAACTGATTATCTTTCTAAATTATGTGATGATATTGATACAAAACTGGCAACATTTAACTATCTGCAAAGGTCTTCTGCTAATGAAGCCAGCACATTAACAGTACCAGCTTCATTTTGCTTAGGTGCATAACAAAACTCACAATTGAATATGAGCAAAATAAATTTAGAATAGCCATTTGATCTAAAGGGAAAGTCATACTTCACAGAGTGATATTTTAAATGCATTTTCTTCAGTTGCATGTGATAAATTGTTGGCTTTGGGCCTAGCATTCTTAGAATTACTAAGTTTTTATTTTTTTTCCTTCAACTTTTAAGTTCCAGGGTATATGTGCAGGATGTATGGGTTTGCTACATAATGTGTGTACCGTGGTGGTTTGCTACAGATCAACCCACCACCTTGGTAATAAGACCAGCATCCATTAGCTATTCTTCCTAATGCTCTCCCTCCCCTCCCACCTCCCCCTGACAGACCCCTGTGTGTGTTGTCCCCCAACCACGTGTTCTCATCGTTTAGCTCCCACTTATAAGTGAAAACATGCAGTGTTTGGTTTTCTGTTCCTGCGTTAGTTTGCTGAGGATAACAGCTTCAAGCACCATCCATGTCCCTGCAAAGGACATTATCTTGTTCCTTTTTATGTTTACACAGTATTTTACGGTATATATGTACTATATTTTCTTTATCCAGTCTGTCACTGATGGGCATTTGGGTTGACTCTGTGTCTTTGCTATCATGAATAGTGCTCAAGTGAACATATGTGTGCATGTATCTTTATTCTAGAATGATTTACATTCCTTTGGATATATGCACTGTAATGGAATTGCTGGGTCAAATGGTATTTCTGCCTCCGGATCTTTGAGGAATCACCACACTGTCTTCCCAACGGTTGAAGTCATTTACACTCCCACCAACGGTGTAAAGGCGTTCCCTTTTATCCACAACCTCACCACCATCTGTTGTTTCTGGACTTTTTAATAATCGCCATTCTGACTGGCATGAGATGGTTTCCCATTGTGGTTTTGATTCGCATTTCTCTAATGATCAGTGATGTTGAGCTTTTCTTTGTATGTTAGTTGGCCATATGAATGTCTTCTTTTGAGAAGTATCTGCTCATGTCTTTTGCTCACTTTTTAATGGGGTTGTTTTTTTCTTATAAATTTGTTAGGCCAAGGCGGGTGGATTGCCTGAGCTCAGGAGTTTGCGACCAGCCTGGGCAACATGGCGAAACCTTGTCTTTACTAAAAATATAAAAATTAGCTGGGGGTGATGGTGTGTGCCTGTAATCCCAGCTACTTGGGAGGCTGAGGCAGGAGAACTGCTTGAACCTGGGAGGTGGAGGTTGCAGTGAGCCAAGATTGCACCACTGCACTCCAGCCTGGGCAACAGGGCAAGACTGTTTCAAAAAACAACAAAAAAAAATTGTTTAAGAACTACTGAGTTTTAAGATAAATGCTAGATCCCTCTATAAACAGACTTGTTTCATTTGGTCAGTGATATCGCCATGGCCTTCACAGTAGGATTGTAAATATCAACAAATATTGACTCAAGTTATATGTTCATCAGCTGTCTTAAGAAATAGAAGCTCAATACTTACTTTTTCATTAAAAATGCATTTTTAAAACCTTATTGCTTCTGAAAGAGTTTGTTACAAAACAGAAGTGTTACCAAACAATAAAAAAGGACTTATACCATAAAATAAATGATAAAGCTTTAGCAGCAAGAACATGTGAACTACTCTCTATGTTGAACTTATCCCCTATTTTCTACACATATTTCATATACACCTACCCCATCACTTTCCACATTTCCCTCTGATTTCCCAAATGGGCAGCCTGGCAGCTTCATGAATCTTGCAGAATACGGCGTGGGCCATATAAGACACCTGGCTAGAACACCAAGGCCAAGCCAGCAGAGGCATGACAGGCAGCAAGGAGAAAACAAACCAGTATGAAAGAAAATGCAAACACCTTATTATGCGGTGCTTATGGGTGTCCTGAAAAAAGCATGCCATCTTACTACAAGAGTGGAAACACTTGAGAACAAAGCACAACTGTTGCCAATAATCTTGTTATAAACCTACACTTAAGTGATGTGTGACCAGCTACAGAATGCCTAATTGGAAGGAAAGAAAATATTTCCTTTTAGCTATAATTTTGCCATTTTAATTAAATCATAAATGTGTTTCTTTTGCTCAAATCTGTTTATGTTATAGTTTCTATCTTATACTGAGAATGTAAATATATCTGCAGATTTAAAAAAGCCTAACTAATGACTAATTGCTATTTCCTAAGAAAACTTATAATATTCATTTGATTCTAAATTTTCATAACGATTAAAACTTAGGAATAAATACATATGATTTATTCATATTAAAAGATTTTTTTTTTTTTTTTTTTTTGAGACGGAGTCTCGCCATGTCACCTAGGCTGAAGTGCTGTGGCACAATCTAGGGTCACTGCAACCTTCACCTCTTAGGTTCAAGCGATTCTTCTGCCTTCCCCTCCCAAGTAGGTGGGACTACAGCCACTACGCCTGGCTAATTTTTTTTGTTTTTGTAGTTTTAGTAGAGACAGGGTTTCACCATGTTGGCCAGGCTGGTCTCGAATTCTTGAGCTCAACTGATCTGCCTGCCTCAGCCTTCCAAAGTGCTGGGATTATAGGCATAAAGCCACTGCGCCTGACTAAGATAATTTCTTTTTATATTAGTTGAGGGTCATAAAACAAAGTGAATGCTTATTAAAAAGGTAGAAAAAATAAAGTCATTAATGCACACAGAGGCTGAAGATTGTGATTTTATAGAAATGTAAGTCATAATAGGAATGATTATTACTAACTTCCTAGGTATACCAACATACCAGTGCTTACAGATGTCTTACTAATTCATGCTGTGTGTTACACACTGTACTCTGTGTGTTTATGTAATAAATCCTCATCACAGCCTTATGGAGTGGTATTATTATAATCTTCATATTACAGATGAGAAAATAAAGAGAGGTCCAGTTTTTCTGCTGAAGGCCATACAGTGAAAAAACGATGGTGGAGCTAGGATTTATACTTGGTGTGACTCTTAAAGTCGGTAAGTGTTCTTAATTCCTATAGTAAAAAGGCATGAGATCCCTTAAACAAGGGATTCACATATCTCAACACTCTAAATTGTATTTATAATTAGAGCTCTTAAAAACCAAATTAATGAAGAAAATAAACGCTTTTATCTAGCCTGAATGTTTACCTCTGAAGTAGGTGCAATAAAGGGCTAATTATTAGTTAAAATTGGCCCCTGTATTAGCAAGACATATAGTTCCTCCTAGACTGAAACTTAATACTAAGAGGTTGTGATGATGAAACAACCTAAAACAGATGTTTTATTCTTTCCTCCAGAAAGTTATCCTAAAAACAACTCACAGAAGAATCATTTACAAATGATATAATATGAAAAAGTTTATCTCAGTAGTAATGAAAGGTAAATTTAAGCAAACCTATCAAATGTGTAGAGTTTAAAAAATTGTAATAAAAATTATAATCTCCAGTATCAACAGTGGAGAAGAGTGCACTTATGTCCACTACCGGTTTGGTGTGACCTGTTTTAAGGTTTATTCTCCTCCCTCTGCCTTCCCCTGCTCCTAGAAGTGCATGCCCAACCACTCATGCACTGGATCCCATCCTTTTTCAGGGGCCTGGATATAGCAGACAAGCAATTCTCCTCCTTCCTCCGTCATGCCAAATTCCTCCTTTTCATTTGATCTTTCTCTTTAGTGAGATCAAACATTCTATATACAAAAAAATTCTAACTTCTATGTTCAAAAAAACCCCTGCTTGATCCCCAATATCCTTTCTTTCAGTTACTGTCCCATTTCTATGCTCTCCTCATTAGCCAAACTGCTCAAGAAAATGCTCTAAACTAGTTGTTTTCAAGTTACCTCCTCCCATTCTCTCAAGAGCCCCTCCAGGGAAGCTGCCCTTGACTTCTGCAGTCACCAGGCCTCATTGTACTCCACCAATGAGAAGCAGCTGACACAGCTGATCTATCTTTCTTCCCCGGATTTTTACTCTCTTACATCACCAGCTGTTCCTTTACCAGATGCTCACCTTCCAGAAGTCCAAGCATCTGAGTACTCCAAGGTTCAGTCCCCTTTCCCTTCTCTACTTACACTCATTCCCTAGGAGATCTCATGAAACTAAATGTTCTCTATACTGGTGATTCTCTATACTGGTGATCCCCTAAACTCCAGATTTGTATACTGAGGTACTAACTTGACATCTTCACTTAGAGTCTAATAATCGTGCGAAATTTAACAGGTCCTAAACTCTAACTTGATCCACCATCCGTCTTCCCCATCTCAGTAACGACAACTCAATCCTCTAGCTGCTCAAGCCAGAAAGCTTAGAATGTTCTCTCTCTCATAGTCCACATCCAATCTGACAACAAATTCTGTTGGCTCTGTCTGCCAGATGTATATCTGACCTTCTCTCGACATCTCCTTGAATACCACCTTGGGCCAGGCCACTGTCATTTCTTACCTGGATTATAACTAGAGTTGCAACAGTCTCTTTCTAGTCTCTCTGTTACTGTCCTTCCCTCACTAAAGTCTAAGAGGAATCCTTTCAAAACTAAGATTTATGCAGTTACCTGGTACCACAGAGAACCTTTAAAAAGCACACACACACAAACAGTGGAGCACTTCTGACTGTTTTTTAAATGAAATCTTTTAGAAAATGCCCCCTAAAGTGAAAATACATAAAAGTGAAGCTGGGAGTGCAACAGAGGTCCAATGGCCAACTCAGTACTCCCTCCTTCATGCCTACAAGGTGCTTTGGAGAATGTAAAGGGATTGAAAACTCACTGCTCTGGAACAATTTAGGAACCAATTTCAGTTTTCTTAAAGGTTTCAAAGAAATAGCATTCTTAAAGAAATTAGGGATCATGAAAGCTTGCAGTCTAGTCACCCCTTAGTTTGCTCTACAAACTTGTGTCTCCTGCACAGAGTCCTATTAAAAACCTTGGCAGAAAGGCTTAAAAATAAAAGTCACTGGCAGCAAACAACTATGAGATCTCAATCAACAAGACAATTTCTTCTTTGGGGATGCTTTATTATGCTTTTATGCAAGTTATCCTAGTATTTTCTTCTGTTGATACTCATCTTTACTACTTTTCCACTACAATAAAATTTCTTAAACGTATTTTATTCCTCCTGATTATAGGTCTGATACTGGGACCTATCTACTACCTATCACTGTCAACAGAATACAATGTTCTTACCTGGGAATTAAATTCACTCATTATTTAAGGGAGAGACATATACTGGGGGAATAAGAAAAAAACAAGGAATAGTTTTTAAAAATTGTCTAAACGCCAGGGATCTCAGGAAAATATTATTTTGATTGGCCTCAATAGACTTGATTCCTAGTTATGTGTGTCACTGCTGATTCCCCTTCATTAAACAGGGTACTGTTTTCCCTCTACCTCACAGGGTGGCCAACTGTCCTGGTTTACTCCAGACTTTGCTGATTTTAGCACTAAAAGTCCTGGTTTAGCAAATTGGGATGGGTGGTTAGCTTACTCCTGTGTATCTCACGGATACTGTCTAATGTGAGGCAAGACAGTAAGATAATTCAGAACATTTCATATTATTTATTCAAAAGAAATTCAAAGAATTATTATTACACTGCTTTCTTTATGGCTATTTTAAACGATCACTGGTTCTGATACGAGAAATGGTTCAGATGCAACACTTTTTTTTTCTTTTTTTAACAAACACATTTTAAGAAGTCATGCTTTACATGCTTACGAAAACTATAGAATTGTTGCTTCCCAATTATGAACACTTTGAAAATAAAAAGGTTAGACTATTAGAAGTAAACTGAGTATTAGTCCCACAGATATATTAAAGGGTAAAACCAACCTTTACATAGTGAGACTTGTTTTATATTATGATTCTAAATATATTTACATTGTTCCTTTTCTCAATTGTTTTGCATTTTTAGTATCTTACCTATAACAGAGATTTTAAGTAATTCAATTTTATCCTCAAGGCCTGCAGCTTTCAGATTGTCCCAAGTACCTAGTAACTGTGAGTCGCTGACATCAGCACCTACATAATACACATCCTATGGGGAAATAAATATTTTAAGCATAAATAAAATTATTACATATTTCATGTAGTTAAGAAAATCGACTTGCATTTTCTCAAATGACAAGTGAAATTAGTAGATTTTAAATTCAGGTCAAAACACATTTAGGGTATTCTTTTAAAATCATAGTAGCAAAAAATGTAAAGTTTTTGTTAAAATTTTAAAAATCTGTTAACATTTACAATGACAAGTGTCTAAAGAATTTGAGGATTAGTATAATCTAGGTCATGACTAATGATTAGAATTCTCTCATATTTTCCTAAATTTATCATAGTATTTAAAGAAACAACATAGCAATTTCATTAGTCCCTCATCATCTATTTTGAGTAAATAATAACTCATATAATTAAAAATAATCCCCAAATAGACATTCTACTTGTAAATAATTGGTGATTATACTACATATACTGATTAAAGTAGATAAATTGCTTGCTTTACCAAACTTTAGAACTTACTGGCCATTCTTTAGCAGCTTCCAAAAGTATTGTTCCAAGTCCACACATTGGATCTAAAACAAATGCACCAGCCTGCAGACAGAAATATTAATTTGGTATTATTAAGACTACCATAGTACGTACTATAAAAGAAACCTAAAACTTGAGGAATCAATATTTCAAGAGGAAAGATTACATTTTAAAGGGGTGGTGGCTGAAGGGACAGATGGGTTCAGGGGAGGGTTTTTATTTTTTTAAGTTGAAAGATATTTCAGCAGGTGTACATGCTGATGGGGATGACCCAGTAGAAGGAAAAATCCCTAAGTCTACAAGAGGCAATGGAATCCAGCACACAAGTATTAGTGTGGAACAAGGACAGCTCCCTTATTGTAATGACAATAAGGCAGAGTATGTGGGCATAGATTCTGGTATGCTGGTAGACTTGGTGAGGAGAACATGCAGAAGTTCTCTTGTGATTCTATTATTTAAGTCAAATAAGAAGGAAGAGAGCCTGAGAATGGCGTGAACCTGGGAGGCAGAGCTTGCAATGAGCAGAGATCGCGCCCCTGCACTCCAGCCTGGGCGACAGAGCGAGACTCCATCTCAAAAAAAAAAAAAAAATGGCAAGGAAATGACTATAATGATCGAACTTTTTAAAATACAAGCTGTGAAGGAGGGATGAGCACAGGTGGTAAGGAACACGGGTCTGGTCAAATGACTGGAGGGCCCCGTGGGGTTAAAGATTTGTGTTCGGGTAGCAGAGGAAGTGAACAGGAAAGAGGAGGTGGTTAAGAACAAGATTCCTGAATACAAATTATCAATACCAAGCCGATGCCACGTGTAAATTCAAGCTTTGGCTTGACAATTATACGGTAACAATCACAAGAAGACAAGCATCTGTGGTGCGGAGGCAAGCAGGCTAACTAGAAGTTGACATGCTAAGAAAGTGAAACTGTTCTTTCTTAGTTAATGGTCTTTCTCCGGAGCTCTGTTACTCTGAGTATAATATTTCCATGACACTTAGTAAATGCAAGCTAAAATGTAATAATAATAATAATAATAATAATAATAAATGGTATTGGAGAAAAAAAAAAAGAAACTGAGATTTTTGGAAGAGATACCCTTCTGGGTATGACAAGGTCTAGGATGTGACTACAGCAGATGAATAGGGAAGCCAAGAAATGAAGAGGCAGGTTACTGAGTGGTTAGAGACCAAAGAATCATGACGGGATAATGGTCTGTACTCTTACAGGAATGAGAGGGAGAGAACTCTGACTGGGGTGATCTGATGGCATGTGCTTCAAAGGCACTATGAGGTTCTGGGCAGACGGGAGAAAACAATTGTCTAGAAGGGGCAAGGAGGAGCAAGCAGGAACGTACCCCACTGTCAGGCCCAGTCGTGCTCGAGATAGGGGAGAAAAGACATCCACCACTTGATATGTCTACAGAGGAAGCAGAGTCCTCAGTGCACAGCCAGGTTTCAGTCAGAGCCATATGGTACCTAATGGAAAGAAACAAAATGTTCTTCAAGAGACAGAAGCCTTCCCCTGGTACTAAATTTTAAAGAGAATATCACACAAATCCCCCATGAAGGGGCAGTAAGGAGCAGAAGGAAAAATTTAAATGCAAATTTTGTTGAAAATTGTTAATAGCATGAGAACCCATTTTTATTAGGATCTCAAATGTGCCATACGCTGTGCTCCTTCTCTCCCATGGTCTGTGTTCAATGACATAATCTGACCTGAAGTATCTTTAGATGGCTTTACTTTACCTTAGGACCTTTTCTTGCCATGACACTTGTAGACACAGGCTGAGGTAGAGATGTATTTCTGTATACTTACAACAACAATTAAGATTTATAGAACTTGATTTTCCTTGTTATGATATGTAGGAAGGAGAACAGTTTATAGTAAACATGATAAATAACAAACATCCCATTTTTAAATTTCATTTTTAGTGGCACTGGCCTTACCCAAGGCTGAGCTGTCTGTGTACTGCTCTGGGTACCAAGCTCCAAAGAGGGAAATGGATCAGGTTGGATACTGGGGTCACTTAGATTGTGGGTCACTACCACATTCCCTCCAAAAGAACTCTACTATGCCATTTCCTAGGTTCTTTAACAGACCTCCTTTGCCAGTGGTCACATTTGGAGAGACATTTCTTACTTTTTGTAGTCCCAGGGCAAATACACAGTAAGGAAAAGTTTTATCAAGCATTATCTTTGTATATTTTTGATCATTTACTTTTGACTTTTCTGAAAAACATGTTTATATTAAAACAAAGGTAACATTTCAAATGTGTAGGTGATTATATAAATTTATATTTAAATACAAACTCTGGTGAAACCACTGGCAGTTTGGGAAAAAATTAACCATACCTCTTTCTTTATACTAAAAAAATCTGAACTAAACATTTAAATCAAACAAAAAAAGAGAAAATCATGGGTTCTGGGTACCTGGTAATCTGAAAGAGGCTCCCTCCTCCACTCTCAACTCTAAGCTTTTTGCTTCTGCTGAGCCAAGTGATGCTCAGACCTAGAGGCAACTGGCGCTAAGAGAAGCCCTAGGCTCTGTCACAGTCCCAGAAAAAGGAACATGTGTGGGGCCTCCCTGCTGTGGGTTGGGTAGTGATTAGAGAACAGCAGTGGAACCCAGAGGGGAGAATCAGTGGAATTAGGGAAGAGCTTGGTCTTCAGAGATCTATGGACTCAAAGAGAGGTCAGTGAATAGAGAAGCTTCCTCCAGGTATCTCAGCAGGACTGACAGATTCTCTTTACACTGCTGAGCCTGGGGTGCCAGAGATCCATTTGCCTTTTACCATTTATAGGATTCTGGCCATTTAAAATACTTAACAGTCACATTTTAGTCCTAGTGAGCTAAAACAAAACACAAAAACAAACAAAAACCAATGGCACATCTAAAAAAAAAAAAAAAGGAGGAGGTCCCTCAGTAGTTTTAGAGTAAATAGGCAGAATAATCGGAACACACACCCAGTAAAATAGAATTACTAATTACTGGAGAACACAGATCAATATTTGAATAAAAGAAGAGCTTTCAGAGATACTCAAATGTGACACACATACCTTTTGAAGCTAAAAAGTCAGGATTTTTTTAAGCTAAAAATATAAATAAATTAAAATAGAGCATGTCTCTGTGACTCTTGTAATTTGGAAGATAATGTTCAAGAATAACTAAAAATGCAGGGCCAAAATATAAAGAGAGGGAAATCATGTCAAAAGGATAGGAGACTTGGAGGATAGAGCCAGGAAGCTTAACATGTTCATAATAGGAATTTCAGAAGTAGGAAAAAGAGAGTAGTTTAAAGTTAAATTCACTAAATAGTTGAGGCAATAATTAAATAATGGAAGAAAAAGTGCTTAGGCCGGAGAAGTAAAAATAAATAATAATTTTTATAATTATATATTTGAAATAGTAATTATAGTTCTAGTTATTAACTACAATTTTGGTATAATTATTTATTATTACCAAAATGGCAGCTAATACTTAGACACTTTCTGTATGTTAGGCACTGTTCTAATCATTTTATTAATGCTAATTCATTTAATCTTGTCATGATCCCATGAGATATTACTACTCTTTTCATCTTGCAAATGAGAAACTGAGGCACAAAGATCTTAAGTATTCCGCCCAAAGCTTCCCACCCAGAAAGTGATGGCCAGAATCTAAGACTCAACAAGGTCTGGGCTAAATAGAAAAGACATATACATAAGCATGTTCTGGTGACATTCCTTGGCTTTAAGATTAAAGAGAAACACCTTACAAGTTTCCAAAAAGAAGGAACAAAGTAGTTATAAAGGAAAAGAAAAAATCCCACTGGCATGGTCTGCTCATCTGTGTCACCGGAAGCTAAATGACAATGGAACAGCATCTACAGACCTCTGAGAGAAAAGAACTGCAATTCAGGAATCCTATACCCAGCCAAGATAGAGATACCCAGGATAACAGGAAGAAATTTGAAGATACAAAGAATTCAGACAGTATATCGTTTAAATACCACATTTGAGGAAAATACCTAAGACAAGACTTTACCCAAGCAATAAGTAAACCAGAGCAGAGGCCTCAAACAGGGCAAGACAAAGAGAAGAAGAGAAATGGCAAAAAGCAATAAACCTTGTAATGTATCTTAGTGTGTGTGTATATAAAAATATGTGTGTATTACGTGGAATTCTATCTAATGACTAAGAATAGGCTGTGTAAGTGCTAAGAACTTTTGAAACCCAAGAGCATACTCAAGGAAAGTTCTGGTACATAATAAATAACTTAGCTTCTCCAGTAGTTGGGGCTTGGGAGAGAAAGGGGTAAAAATGTTCAAAGGTCTCACTGTAGAGAGGAGAAGAGAAAAAAGTACTCTAAAGGTCTCATCTTATGACAGGGAAGAGGGGGAAGTTGGGGAAAATTGGAGTGCCTTGGTAAAAACGGTGTGTCTTGGCAGAGGGAGTAGTTGATGTTCTGTTTTAAATTAAGAGTAGAGTCATATATATTTAGTTAAGAGAGCTGGGAAAAGGACTGTAATGGAATAGAACAATGAAGTAAAATCTCTAACCACAAAGAGAACAATGAAATGATTAGCAAGTAACTTGGTCAAACTAGCGAAAATAAGAGAAGGAAACAAAGTGTGAGAAGTTATGAACAGAATAAAAACAGGAAGAATATAATCAAGTCTATCTGTCACAACATTTACTGAATTCTCTCACTGAAAGAGAGACCATCAGAGTGGAGTAAAAATAGCTATGTGTTTGTAAAAAATATGTAAAGTTGAAAAAAAAGCAGTGGCAAAGAAATACTAGGCTGATGCAAACAAAAAGGAGTGAAAATATTAGTAAGACAGTGAGACTTAAATTTAAACTTAACCAAGATAAAGAGGACTTAAGTAACAAAAAGGCACACTTCACAATGATGTATTGATAGTCATGAACATGTATATACCAAGCCACATGACAGCTGAATAATTCAACAACTCATAAAAATGCAAAAACTTAAAAAAATACAATATGAGATTTCAAAAACTTCTTTCAAAATGGAGCAGTGAAACACACAGTAAGTAAAAATAATGGAGAACATTTCTTCACTAGAAGATAAAGTCATCTTATGTCCATAGAACATTTACAAAAATTGACCAAGATCTTGGTCACAGACAAAAACTTTAAGAATAGGAGGTTTTACAGGCCACATTTTCTAACTGTGACACAAAACATTAGAAATAATGAAATGTAGCTAACTTTTGACTCAGCTTTTTCAGAGCCAAAATACTCTCAGAAGTTCAATAATATATAAAAGCATTACTGCAGCAGTTTGTAAGTACAATGGCAAAAAGAAAAGAAGTTAAAGAAAAAGCGTCAAGAAAAGAAAAAGCAAGTAACATAAATATCCATCAATAAGAGACTGTATAAGTTAATTATGAAAAGAACCTTGCTATTAACAGGAAGGAAAACATTTTTCTTACCTTAATGTCAGCCAGAGATGCCATTGCCCACGCTATTGTAGATCGCAGTCCAGCTGTCTTGATGTAAGCTCTGCTGGCTAGGGAAACCCTACAAAGGATAGAATCTGATTATATATTATTACACATTGAACAACAAGATATAAAAATGATTTACCTGTCCAAATCTGAGAATCATTTAAACATATTCATCCAACATACACTAAAGTATTCCCTAAGTTAGACAATGTTTCAGTCTTATTACAAAAATTGCTTCTCTAATGGGCACCTTGTCTACCCAGCCAGTGTTGAATTTCAGAAAGGTAAATTTTTAGACAACTGAAATTTACACTCTCACGTATTTAATGTATAAAAATGTAATTACACATGAGGAAAATCTTTCTTATACTTCCCTGTCTTCCCATACAGAGTAGACCTTTTTTTGCTATTTGAAGTCATGAAGGGGAATGTACTATTTTGTGATATAAATGTAGTATGGGAAGTAGAACTGAAGGGATGCTAACCCTTAAAATCTGTTTTCTATAAAAAGTCCCTTTTGTAGGTTTGTTTTTTGGTTATTTGCATCTTTCCCAAAAGATGAAATGAAGCATGACATTGCATTGTCTAAAATAATTTACTGGATGATGGGCCAAAGCAGACATCTCCCAAATGAGTTCACTGGTCTCCAAAAAGCATCAGTTCACACTTTATCCTCCACCTCATCAATGCCACTATCACATCAATGTTTCCAGATTTGATAGAAATTTTCAAAATGTCATCTATTATTTCTGTCTTTCTAATGCAATGAACAAGCAGAATCTCCTTGGAAATTACAACTTTCCAAGCTTTTCTAGTTCACTTCTACAATTTGTTGGTAAGGTACGAAGACATGATGTCAAGAATTTGTGTGGGTTTGTCTTGGGGTTGGCTTCTTCCAAAACCAGCAAAAGAGGTCTTCTACGAACATTACGGAAAGCCATGATTTTCTTCAAACCCTCCTTAAGGTTGTTCAACAGAATTCTAGGTATGTGAATATTAAACATTTCTTTCTTTCACCATTTTGCCTCTCATCTTTCTTTGACTTTAACTTATCCTGTTTTTGTATTTATTGCAAGCCTCTTAAAATCTTAGAACTAAATGATATACCCCTTTAAAATAAAACAGTGTAATTGTATACTTGCTATTATAATGAGGAAGTTCTACATGGCAAACCCATGGGAGTTTGGCTTTTTAATAAAGTTTTTTCAAGAAACAACAATTCACATTGTAAACAGTACTGTATATATACATTTGGAATGAGGGATGTAAACTGGCAGGTAGAAACACTATAAAATATTTTGGCCAGTGAATTTTGCTTCTACGGGGTAAGCTTAGCAATTATCTTGCTATAAAACAGTTTGCACTCTAGATACCAAAGTTATAAAACACAGTTTGCATTCTAGATGCCAAAACTATAAAACAGAGTTTGCATTCTAGATACCAAAAAGGGAGACGCAGTATGGGAAACCAGCTTTGTCCATATATATGAAAAAATGCTCTTCTAAGCAGCAGGAATTTATATGGAACCTTTCAAAGTTTCAAAAACTATGTATATATTTCTGCTAATAGAAGTTTTTGTGGGACATAATTCTATTAATATTTGACAAAAGTGAATGTTCACATTTTGCTTAAACCTGGGCAAAATTATCTCATTACTTCAACAAAAGGGCCCCATTATATCAGTATAACAAAATTATTCAGAAGAAGGCACGTTCAGAAATAAACTCCTTGAAAATAAAAATAATGCTTTACTTTCAGAGAACCTAGCTAATGTACACGGTTCAAAAATAAATGTGGTTTTTGATCCTCTTCTCTGCATGTGTGCATTTTTTTTTCTCTTGTACACCTTGTACCACCAAGACAAAGACGTCCTAATCTATATCTCTAGCCTAGACTTGTTACCTGAACCCCAGATCTTTATCTTCAAATATGTGCTTGAACATTTTTATGTGGAAGATAAGTAGTGCAAAGTCAACAGGTATAAACTGAATACACTATCCTGGATTTCATATATTGATACATTTCTTCATTTTCTTGTGCCACGTACTATCCATATATTGGGTACCATACTCTACCTCTTCAGTCTACACTTGTCACCTGAACTCTAGATCTGTAACTTCAAATATCTACTTGGACATTTTTCACTGAATACACTGTTTTCTTTCCCTACATTTTGTATCTCAGTGACTAATACCAGTATTTACTAATTGTTCAAATCAGAAATCTGAAATTATTCTAGACTCCTTAACTATTTTTTGATTTCATGGCCTTTTTGTTACCTCCAAGAGTTTAAATCCTCTCCTTCTCTCTTTTTATTTCCCTTTCATTTAAAAATATAATTTTCTTGGTAATTTTTTTGAAATCACAAATCTGATCACATCACTCTTCTGCTTCAAATTCTTATTGCTTTAAGGATAACATCCAAGCTGTTTAACATATTTACAAGGCACTTCATGGCTTGTTTCTAATTTTCTACCACTTTCTCTATGTCCCATTTATACTGAAACTACCTGCCATCCCCCATGTAAATCAAACTTCCTTATACATACTTAAACAAGGCACTTCATGGCTTGTTTCTAATTTTCTACCACTTTCTCTATGTCCCAACTACACTGAAACTACCTGCCATCCTCCATGTAAATCAAGCTTCCTTATACCTTGTGCCTTTGCACAGAGATTCCTTGCCTGTAATACCCTTTCCTTCTCTTCTCCATGCGGCATACACTTTCTTATTGCTTTCAAGTCTCCTCTTAGGGACAATCCTTTATCTTTCTGCTCACAGGTCCGTAATTAGAGTTAGTTTCTCTTTCCTAACTCTAATCAAGCATTTATCACAGATCTGTGCTAACACTGGATTGAACTGTTTCAAAAGTTGAAATTTATTCAATGCTTACTGTATCCTAGAAACAGCAGGAAAGATTTTCACGTGGGTTATCTCATTTAATCCCAAGGACGAAGCTATAAAGTAGGTACTATTATTTTCCTGATTTTATAGCAGAGAAATATGATAACTTGCCCAAACTTGCAGAGTTATAATAATTTGTGGAGAAGATAGAATTCAAGTCCACAGTTCTTATCTGCTATGCTATACTGTAGTAGGTGATGTGTACAGAGTGGCAACAGCTATATACAGTTAATGCTTCATGGGGCTATTGATATCCAAATGGTTTTTTCCTTTAAAGAAAGTAAAACTCAAATATGAACAATGTCTTTAGGAACTTAGGACAAATTTTTATGTGATCCTTTAACTTCATGGTGCTCTCTACTTTGTTTCATCATTTCAGACTTTCTTCTGTTGTTAGGGTCACCAGGTTGCAGTTTCTGTTATCCACTGTCACTTCTCTTGTCCAGTGCTATCTGTTGTGCAAGTCTTCATGTCTCCCTTTTCATGTCCCGGTAAATTGTTCTTTTTAGCCAACACTCATCACTGAGACTGCTTCCTTCCTACACTGAGGTAGTCAAACTGACTAAACACAGAGCATCTGTTGTAACCTCATTTTCAACTAGTGCTCATTCAAGGTCTCAGTCTTAATTTTCAGATACATATCTTTTATTTGTAAACTTCAAGGTACACTATCAATTATTATTTGAAATGCCATGGCATGACGTCTTGAATGTTTCTAGCAAGCATTAAAATAATTTTAAATAATCAAATACCTTTTAAAAAACATTAATATAAAGTTATATTAGTTAAATAAGAAGCACAAAATTAAGCATTTTTATATATAATAATTTAAAAATGAGTTATTTTATTTGGTGGTAAGAATCTAATTAATACCACACTCAGCACTGCTACGGGTGAGATACTCTTCCTAAATTTTTTTGTTTTTTTGAGACAGAGTCTCACTCTGTCACCCACGCTGGAGTGCAATGGCATGATTCTGGCTCATGGCCACCTCCGCCTCCTGGGTTCAAGTGATTCTCCTGCCTCAGCCTCCTGAGTAGCTGGAATTACAGGTGCCTGCTACCATACCCAGTTAATTTTTGTATTTTTGGTAGAGACGGGACTTCACCATGTTGGTCAGGCTGGTCTTGAACTTCTGACCTCGTGATCTGCCTGCCTCGGCGTCCCAAAGTGCTGGGATTACAGGTGTGAGCCACCGCGCCCGGTCCCTAAGTAAATTTTTTAGATACTTAGGCTCACTTTTTGGGGGTCAAAGTATTAAAAAAAAAATTAACTACTTTATAAATTTAAAAAAATATACATTTTATATTTTGCTTGTTTTGCTAGTGTTTCCTACTTTTGTCTTGGTGATCATCAATAATTATACTTAATATAATTGCTAAAATATGTCCATCTTTTCGTTTTCTCCACCCTTTCTGTCTTTAAAATTGTCAAAGAATTTAAAAAAACCATATAGGCAAAACTGTTCAAATTAAAGGCACTGGAGTAGGGCAGCCTAGAAGCCTTTTAGGTATAGGTATAGGGCTGTGAAAACCATTTAATAATAGAACTAGATATAATTTTCAGTATTAATCATGTAATCAGTAGATTACCATGACCAAATATTTCCCAGCTCTAACTGGTCAGTTCAAATCATATCCACTAAGTTCCGTGAAAATACTTTATTGTCTTAAGCAAAGAATTCAAATGCTTTGCCTTTAGCCTTCTCTGTTATATGAATGCTTCATTCATGCTGTAAATAAAAAACACAAGTTCTTAATTTAACCATCTGTCTTATGGGACAAACCGGAAGCTTAGAATATCTACCTGAACACAGGAATCCCCACCACAGAGTAAATGTCATTTAGATGTATAAAGATCTGAAAGAACAAACACAGAAGTTAGAATGGAACAAGAAACTTCATTACCAAATTACTGACAATTTGAAATTTCCATTTTAAACTTACATGATCTATGTTTTAAAAAGAAACTCCAAGGCCTTATTCATCATATCTAGAAAAATGTTCTATAATCTTTTTTTTTCTTAAGCAGAAGGAAACTAAATTTTAAGTACATTTCATAGAAAAATTCTGAGGTCAATTTATTATATAGGAGAGTCATGTTACAAAGAACTCAAAACCAACTTTCTTCCTAGAGATTCTAGGAATTATCATAAGTGGACCACGCTTTTCAGTATTTTGCGTTGAGAAGATTTTCTAAATCCACCCTCATTTTAACCTCAAATAGGATGCGAGGCCACACAGGACTATCAGAGGCTGCAAATACTTTCAGGGTAACAGAAAACTTTGTTTAGGCCAAATATATGGCAGCAAGGGTGCTGTTTTCTCTATAAGTTTCTGTCTTTCTTTATTTTCTTTCTTCTGTTAGGCCATGAAGAGTATTTAAGCGCCCCACATTATAATTAGTAGCCAACATAAATTTTAAAAGCTAGAATCTTACTTTTGTAGCCTGATAAGGTTTACAGAATATTTTAAATGCTGTTATGAACCTCAAGAATATCTGGTCCCTGATACTCGCACCCCAAGATAACTTTAAATATTAACAGCTTAATCAGAATTATTCCAATATTGATCAATTTCATCAAGAAAAGACTTACCTGGAGTGATTCCATTTGGTCAATTTAATTACCTGATTAACTGATACATCACAGCTAAACTTCCCAATTTTACATATTATGCATTTTAGCAAAACTATTTATTAGAATTGTTTTCTATTGACAATTTATTCTAAAGATACGACATGTTCATATATCAAATGTTATTAAGAATAGCCTCTCCCACTATAAATGTTTTCCTATCAATTTTGCAGAAGGAAATTTGTTGAGATTTGATTCCTCTGTCAATTTTTTAGTCACAAATTTTACTACGTGTGATTTTTGTGTTGCCAATTTTGTGTTAATTATTTGTATCCATAATAGCTATTATTAATTGCATTAAATGGCTGATAGGAATTGAATTTGCTATATTTATTTATGAGATAATCTATGAGAAAAACAATTCTGAGACAATGAGATGGACTCAGGGAGATGGGGACGAGAAAGCCAGAGAGAAGATGATTAAGAATTGGAAAGGGGGCCGGGCGCGGTGGCTCACGCCTGTAATCCCAGCACTTTGGGAGGCCGAGGCGGGCGGATCACGAGGTCAGGAGATCGAGACCATCCCGGCTAAAACGGTGAAACCCCGTCTCTACTAAAAATACAAAAAATTAGCCGGGCGTAGTGGCGGGCGCCTGTAGTCCCAGCTACTTGGGAGGCTGAGGCAGGAGAATGGCGTGAACCCGGGAGGCGGAGCTTGCAGTGAGCCGAGATCCCGCCACTGCACTCCAGCCTGGGCGACAGAGCGAGACTCCGTCTCAAAAAAAAAAAAAAAAAAAGAATTGGAAAGGGGCAGATAAGAGAATGATACTCGTATGTCAAAACATTCTTGGGATCAAAACATTTAGTATGACAAACAATAAAAAATATATACCAGGTATTATTTTTTTAAAGTGACAAATGTCAGACAAGCGCAAATCTAAAAATAAAACAACACACAATGTTCTGATTTATTTGGCCAGTTATTACTCCATTTAAACCTACATAACAAGTAATAAATAAATTTATGAATTAATGAATCATGAAAATGATTGGTTATACGTCAACTTTATAAGATGGCTTTCAAAAAATAGCAAAGAATATTTTTTGTTTCCCCATACAAATACTTGTTTGTTCCAAATAAAAATACTGTAACCTTATTAATTTTGGAAAATAAAAACATAATCCCATACCCATAACAAAGCCACTATTAACATACTATTGAATTTTGTGTAGGACTTTGTTGTTATCCATTTTTTTAATATTAGCTAAAATTTTTAAAATCACAGATTGTGTGTATTATAGAGACTATAGAGAACATCGCTGTAACCTCATAATAAATGTTTTTTTCTTCAACTGTGACCAGACAACTCCATTCCAAAAAATCTTTTTTTGGAGTTTGCATAAGACATTTTCTCAGTGAAAACTGCTAGCAAAACTATCTGTACTATTCTACTGCTAAAGATAAAATGGACTGTTGGATCCCTGTAGATACACTTTTTATAACTGTAAAATAAAACGGAAAAGTATGATAAGAATACAGGACACTGTCTTTAAAGAATTAGGTTACAAGTATATAAAATAAAACAAATACTCATTACCTCTAATTGTGGATTCCTCAAGTCTGCTTTCCATCCAAAGTGTTTCATAATAGCAATTCCAATTACTTTTCCTACCTCCTGGAAAAGTACCAAGTTAAAGAAAAGAATACTAAAAATGAAAATTTTAAGTTTAAATGTCAGCAAAACTAACAGAGTAGCCTATAAGAAAATCAAGTCAGGCTATCTGATGGTAATTTAGAGTTCTGATATTAAAATTGTACATGAAAGCATTTCCTATTCAAGGCAGTAAGGCTGTATTTTACCTGCCCTAGCCCCCAGTACACCCCATGGCATTAATGTCTACTCATGCATAATCTCTATCCTTGTAATTTTAGGTATATGAAATAACTAGATTATGACCTGATAAATATGATCATTCTGGGTTTCAGGAAATAGATGCAAGCTGAAAGATTAACTATGTCAGCTACTATAAGCCTATGTGTTTAAAAATTATCAGATTAGTATCATTAGACTCACCCTTTAGGGTTTGACTGATTTTAAGGTTGATAAAGTATTCAGACCAATGGCCTTTAACATCACTGAACTTTGTAAGGGCCAACTGATGAGGTCTGGTGATGGCAACAGTTTGTGGTGTTCGCTCTTCTCTACATTGCTGAGACCTCATGTGCATTTGCAGTCTAGGTCCTGGTGACAATCCCATGTACAGGACCTGTGCAGAGTAGCCACTGAATAAGCACAAAGCTGAACTGAAGAGAAACCCCAAAAGCTGAGGACTATGGTATCAGGATTTCCAAATACAAAGGACATCTGTAGATTTAAGGAAATTTTTAGGCAGAAAGTATAAGAAAGTCATTACTTGGAATGGCATACCATTCCTCTTAAACATCTGAGGAAAAATTAAAAGGAAAATGTAGTTTTAAAGACATTTAATTCCATAAGAACTAATTGTCTGCGGCTAGTTATTTGTTCTGTGAGAGGTTTGCATCTCATTTTAAATCTAAAGAATAATTAATTCTTTAAAAAATGGGACCCCCAGGCCAGGCATGGTGGCTCCCGCCTGTAATCCCAGCACTTTGGGAGGCCGAGGTGGTTGGATCACTTGAGGTCAGGAGTTCCAGACCAGCCTGACCAATATGGTGAAACCCTGTCTCTACTAAAAATACAAAAATTAGCTGGGTGTGGTGACGCACACCTGTGATCCCAGCTACTCAGGAGGCTGAGGCAAAAGAATCACCTGAACCTGGGAGGTGGAGGTTGCAGTGAGCCAGATTGTGCAACTGCATTCCAGCCTGGGCGACAGACTCCACTTTAGGATGCAAGCATACCTGTGCAGTGAAGGCCTTTCCAATAGTTCCACTGCAGCGACAAGATACTCTGAAAGTCAAGTCATTCTGATTATGAGTATCAATTGCTTTCTCTATGTCATTCTGAAATTCTTCTTCTTGAAACTTTTCGCTTTTAGTGGTAAAATCTCTTTGCTCCAGAGTTTCTTCTTTTATTTGTTTTTCCAGCTGGCAGTCCCTATTCTCTTCTATCTTTTGCATTTGTTCTATTTTTAATTTCTTTGCAATGATTTCATTTTCTCCCACTTTTCTTTTTAGTTGGTTATCATCTCTCTGAGAAAGTTTTTCCTTTTTTGCATCAAGTTCAAGAAGATTTTTCCAAATTGAAATGGCATTCAACCAACTTCCTGGATCTTCATTTATAAGTCTTTGCATTTCATTAAATATTTTTCCTAAATAAGAAAAATCTTGTTGATCCTCTATTGAAGCTTTAAAGACCATCTATTACAATCATCACCCTCAAACTCAATTACCTTTATTTCCTTGAATTAAGTTTTATTAAATTGCTACACGAATAACTTCACTTTCATTTGGAGTTCATATTCCATTTACCATAAGAATATTGTGCAGAATAAAGTTCATTCTTACATTGCATATATAGCATCCGTATTGTGTTAAAATTCCTATAGAATTACCATATAATACCCTAGAAAGATTATTTGTGCTATGGTAATATATGTATCTCTTCAATATATACATAGACCTAGAGTGTTTATCAATCTTTGAAATAATGGTGATCTTCCCTATAAAAATTAAGTTTTTATAAGAAAAAAATAAACTGAAAAACTCAGCTCAGAAACAGAGGAGCTGAATCTTGGGCCTGTTACATTTTAGCCCACACCATATTAATAAGTATATTATAATGTGTTTCCATAAAGTAACTCACAACCCATTTATAGCTTAGCATACTGCCAGTATGCTCAGCAAAGTTTAATCTCTTCTTGATGAACCACAGTCATCAAGATGATCCAAAATTACTGTATTTCTTTAAGATGAATGTGTGTAGAGTACTAGGAGGAATTATATTGATCCCACAGTATAATACTTTGGGATTTGCTTTAAAACAATTTTCTCTGCTTGGTCTTGATTTCTTGCCATTTGCATCTTTCTTAAAATAGTTTATTATAGGCTATAAATACATGATCTCTTACGTAATTCAAATTGAAGTTTACGGCAGCATTTAATCCTGCAGTGTCTGACCATGTTTTGCTGCTTTTATCAAGATCCATATGTTGTTTTAGCAGCATATTTATAAAATTTAGAGAGTGGACAAGGAATCTCTTATGCCCCCTTTACCTCTAATGCTTGGTAAGTGGGCATAAGTTTATCGAAAACATTTAAGGTCCTAGAAATATAAATTTTTACTATGCAGTATTTTTCCAATTATATCACACAGTTAAAATTTACAAGGTGATGATTTTCACTGATTTACTATTAAAAGAATGCATTTTGGATTAGTTCATGTTTCTAAATCCAAATAAATGCAACTGACCATATATATCTCTAGAGAAGGTACCTGATCATAATTCTCAAAGAAGAAATGTGGCTTAGGACATTAAAATCTCATTAAAAAGGCAGCACGCAGGTTGCAAAGAGAAGAAATATTCTACTACAATCAGGTGATAATATTCAGGAAATACAGAAAAATACATAATTAATGATCCCACACATGTCAATGAATATTAAAGTGTAAAATGGCTACATATTATCAAGCAGAAAATGTTGGAGTACAATGTATCATGTGGGTAAAAGCAACATGCATATGAATATGCCATACCTTTACTTACAGAAGAAATAATAAGTGGAAACTGCTTTTTAATCAGCAAAAATAATCTTTCTGCAGATTTTAATTTCTTCAACATATTCAAATCAGAACAGGTGGTGAAAAAAACCTTTCCTGAAATATATTCAACCTAGAAATAGAAAAACAGCTTTTAATGTAGTCCAGTGTCAGTGAAAAAACCATATTTTTTCCCTCAAGATATAGCATCTAAATTAAAAATAAAAATAACCATTTCTGAAGTATCTACTATTTGTCAGGCTCTGTACTAGGAACACTGAATAAGTATTTTCCTCCTTATCCTTATAACCACCCTCTAAGGTAGATTCGATCACCACCAAAAGTAGACAAAAGAAAGGTATAATGTATTGGACAAATTAGGTGTCTAGCCCAAGATGGATATTTATTGAAGACCTACCTGTAGGCTACCAGGAAGCATAAAACATATATCCTGAATAATAACAGACACACACTGACATACACATTAAAACATAAGATTTATAAGACAATAACTTGAATTAAATCCAGAAGAAAACTAAAAAGTTTTAACATTATAATGCACTGACAAGCTGTAAGTACACTAAGTAGCAATGACTATGAAAGCCGACATTACAAAGAGTCTTGGGAAAGAATCCTGTAAGATTTGAGAAGAAGGATTCTAACAAAAGAACAAGGGGCAGATGCGGAAGTGGGGGTGAAAACCTGGCTGAAGTAAACTGTAAGCAACATTTGCTTTATTATGCTGATTGATAGTGTCAGGTGGATGGATAAAGTAGTTTAGGCCAGCTTGACAAATGGTCATGAAATTTTGAGTACCACGAATGGTAATGGTCAACCATTATAGACTTTTGATGAAAACTGTGACAGCACTGAATTAGCTGGCAGAAAAAATTACTCCAGAAGAGGCATAAAGGACTGAGTGTAGAATGTGATGCTAGAGGGAGAAGTAGGTTACTAAGGTAGAAATGATGAGATACTTGGCTGCAGAAACTAGATAATGAATAGAAGCAAGACATATGCATCAAACAGAAACAGGTTTTGGAGACAGGATGGATATGTGGCAAGAGAAGGAAAATGAAAAGAGCACTGACTCACAGGAAGCCTAACATGCTGTGACAAATGGTGCTCAATACCAGTGGAATCTTAACTCTTTTAGGGTCAACCCAACCCTCTTAAGTCCAGGATGGATGTGGGCTTTCTTGGAATTCTCTTTTTAGCAGTGGCCACCAATTGAATAACATGGTTCTAAATAATCTCCTAGAACACAGACACCAGGGAATGTGGGGTTTCCTGTGTGTTAAGGCAGCTACCATCCATGGGTACTTGAACTCCAAGGGTTTATGCTTGTTTTGGATCTGTCAAGATCTAATTAAGCTCTTGGAATGGTAATTTCTGGGGTTGCTACTCCAGGCTGATGAAAGAGAATCTCTCCTGAGGAAGTGCTAGATTGGCACAGTTAAAACTCAAACAGCTGACAGCAAAGCACTGACCAAAATAGATGGAGGAACAGACAATGACATTATGGGAGGAAGCAGGGAATGAAAAGAATGTTTAGGAATCAATATATAAGGGGATAGTGAAGTAACCAAAACCAGAACTTCCGGTTTCTAGAATTTACTTCTTTCTCATTACATAGGTGACATTTTCCCAAAACTAAAGTATATACTTCAAAATGCTTAGAAACTTGAAAACAAAGTTTCAAAAAGTAAATTATCAAAAATTCAGATTTTGTTACCTGACATAAGAATATAGTTGATACTAAAGCCATCATAGAACAATTTAACAGATGAAATACTTTACTAAGATTCTGGGGGAACGAACTAAATATTTTACTGAAAATGTATGATTTTAAGTTTCAAATTCTGTAAACAAGTAAAATGATGCAAACATCTAGACCAGTGACTTTAACCTAAGTAGCCAGTGATCTAGATATTTAGTTACTTATTTGTACAAAGATCTTCTTTTCTTATTCAAACATCAAGGGAAGCATTTTATCCGATGAGCTTTCTCTAACACACACACATATATAAAATATATATTTATATTTAAAAATATATATATATTTATATTTTAAAAATATATATATATTTATATTTTAAAAATATATATATATTTATATTTTAAAAATATATATATTTCCCCCTGGGGCAAGTGGTTTCCAAAAAGAACACGACTATTAAGTTAATTAAGAGGACCCAAAAAGTTTATTTAGAGCATCAAATCATAAGAATAGTATATATTGGTGCAGTAAAATGCCAAATACATTCTTGAAACCCAAAACTGCAACATTATTCTAAGAATTATACATTCTCAAAACCAAAAGCAGCAACATTATTCTACGAATTATCATAAGGCCTACATTTCTTGTAGAATAAGCATATTATCAGAAGTACAGCAGGTCCTTGAATAACACTGTTTCGTTCAACATGGTTTCATTATGATATTGATAAGAAAAAATACCAATTCCCAGCCAGGGCTACTGTCTGGGTGAACCATGTCTGCATAGGTTTTCTCTGAGTACCCCAGTTTCCTCTGACATCCCAGAGTGTGCCTGTTAGGTAACTGGTATGTTTACGTGGTCCCAGTGCAAGTAAATGTGGGTGTGTGTGAGTGTGCCAGGCAATGGGATGGCATCCTATGCAGGGCTAGTTCCCGCCTTGTGCCCTGAGCTGCCAAGATAGGATCTGGCCAGTGAAAACCCTGGAATAACTTAACTGGAACAGTTGGATAAATAATTATCTTACTTGTTTTTATCAATCTTTCTTAAATGTATGTATAGATTACATTTATTTCAATGTTTAACATTAGAAGTGTTATTTCAGCGTTTACTATCAGAAGTGTTCTAAATAACCTATTTAGAAGTTTGTGAAATTTTTGTGACCAGAAATATGCTATAGGAACTCTTGTTTATTTCAATTAGCCTATGGTAAAAATGATTTAATTATACATCCTTTTGCTTGAAGTCACAGTTTCCAGGAACCTACGGATGACATTAAATGAGGACTTACTGTAGTTTAATAGATTGTAAAATAGTACTCACTGTGAGAATCAAATAATCCTATCTGTGAATGCACTTAAACAGTTCACTCTTTGTGAAGATAGGTATGATACCTTAAAATAGTAGGGAGAATGAATTTTGGTGCTTATGACTTCAAAAACTGCTGAAGCTACTAATTCTCTTTTTCTTTACTGCTTGTAACTGTTCATATTTAATACAACACTCAGAGAAATAAGGCATTTGGAATATTTCATTCTCATGTTTCTTACCTGAAAATTTATTTATATATACAATCTGTTTTTTTCTATCTAGAATGAAATCATAACCAAGTATCTAAAAACAGCTGGTTTTATGTATAACACTCCCGAAGATGAAGTAACAGCCTTGATTAATAACAGCTCTATTATCTGCTAGCATATCTAAACAGCATTTTTCCTTTCTTTTAAAATTCATGGATTCAAATTTAACACAAAGATTAAAAGTTCAAATCTAGGCTGAATGTGGTAGCTCATGCCTATAATTCCAGTGCTTTGGGAGGCCAAAGCGGGAGGACTGCTTGAGCCCAGGAGTTTGAGATCAGCCTGGACAACATGGTGAGACCCTGTTGGTACAAAAAGTAAATGAGCTGGGCACAGTGGCATATGCCTGTAGTCCAAGAGGCTACTCAGAAGGGTAAGGTGGGAGGATTGCTTGAGCCGGGGAAATCAAGGTTGCAGTGATCTGTGATCACGCCACTGTTCCCTAGCCTGAGTGACAGAGCCTGATCCTGTCACGATTTTTTTAAAAAGTTTAAATCTATGCAAAAACACATCATGATATAGGGAGGTACCAAAGGTCTCCTAATTCTACAGATGCCATTTAGTTACAGAATTAATTTGAAAGTGCTACGTGATGGGTTAAGGTGTTGTTTGAGTTTGTTTTGGTTTATTTTAGAAGAAGGAATTCAAAAATATGTTTCACTTAATTTGTAAAAAGGGCATTCAGCTGGGCATGGTGGCTCATGCCTGTAATCCCAGCACTTTGAGAGGCCAAGGCGGGTGGATCACTTGAAATCAGGAGTTCAAGACCAGCCTGGCCAACATGTTTAGCAGAAACCCTGTCTGTACTATAGATACAAAAATTAGCTGGGCACCTGTAATCCCAGCTACTTGGGAGGCTGAGGCAGGAGAATCGCTTGAACCCAGGAGGCGGAGGTTGCAGTGAGCCAAGATTGCGCCACTGCACTCCAGCCTGGGCGACAGAGTAACACTATGTCAAAAAAAAAAAAAAAAAAAAAAAAAAGAGGCATTCAATCTAAAGGGAATGCAGAAAATCTTTAAGGCAACCTTATGCAATTATTCCATTAAATGAAAATAACTATGGAATAACTTGACTTCCTGCTTAATTCTACCCTATTACCCTCGACTGTGATGCCACCATTAAAAAACAAAAATTTATGTGGCCTATTCAGGACCTGTGTTAATAGTGTTTGATATGTGAGTTTATAAAGATCAATGAATCAACTGACAGGACTCTTCTGGTGAACTGACATTAGAGATATCTCTACAACATTCAATTTTATCTTAAAATAACTGATCCTACTACTAGTCTTACAATAAATAGCAGTACTTAATAATACATTAAACATCATTATGAAGTAAAGCTTAATTTTTCTCAATATATTACTTTCTTCAAAGTAGTCTAAGTGATATGTGTTTGTAGATATGTAAATTAAATATTTAACATCATCCAGGGACTTATGAAGAAATTTGCCATACAACGAGAGGGGAGAAAAAACATCAAACCTGAATCTGACCAAGTTCTAGATAAAACTTACAGAATTCCAACTTACAGGAAATACAGAGGATAGAGGAACATGTTAAACTACACCATAGAGACTCAGTATACTATTTTTTTTTTTTTTTTTGAGATGGAGTCTCACTCTGTCACCCAGGCTGGAGTGCAGTGGCGCGATCTTGGCTCACTGCAACCTCCGCCTCCAAGGTTCAAGCAATTCTCGTGCCTCAGCCTCCCGAACAGCCGGGACTACAGGTGTACGCCACCACACCTGGATTTTTGTATTTTTAGTAGAGACGGGGTTTCACCATGTTGTCCAGGCTGGTCTCGAACTCCTGACCTCAGGTAATCTGCCCGGCTTGGCCTCCCAAAGTGCTGGGATTACAGGCATGAGCCACTATACCAGGCTGGATTCGGCATACTATTTTGTTTACTTTTGTATATTTTTGAAATTCTCCATGATAAAAAGCTAAAAAGAATACACAGGAAATTTTCCACTGCAAACTGTGTGTTGGGAGTTCTCTGAGAGGGGAGCATGTTTTCATGTTAAAATGGTAGCACCTGGGCTTATCAGCCACCCTACTAAAAGAAAACCTTTTGGGGCTGGCACCCAGAAATACTCATTTTCAACAAGCTTCCTCAGTGATTCTTATGTTCATGAAAATTGGAAAAACACATTAAAATGAAGTGATTACTTTCTTAAACAATCATTCTTGAATTAATCTGTTTTGTAAATTTACATTTTAGAGTGTTAATTTCCTTGATGCGATCCAAAGTTTCTAACACTCTCTTATCATTGAAAGAATGTTTTAAGTATTCCTGTACAACTCATTGTATGGGAACTAAAATTGAGCACCAACTATTTGTTAGGCAGCATGCTACCTGTGCTATCTTTATTTCAGGGACTGCAGTAATCCTTTAAAGTAGCTATCATCTCTATTTTACATCCAAGAAAATTGAGGCTCAGAAATTTGAGTAATTTGCCCAAAGTTACAAATCCACTAAAGGAATATATAAGATCTGCACACAGGTCTTTTGATTCTAAAGACCATACGTACTCTACCGTGGTGTTACAGAAATAAACTACATCCAATGTTCCAGGGAAGATTCCCATGGTAATTTAGCCTAGTGGTAAAGCACATGGGCTTTAAAGCTAGAGAGACTCAGAGACAAGTCCCAATTTTCTCTTTTTTTGGTAAAATATGGAGGTAAAAGTCTATCAGATAGGAGTCTTTTGAGGATTAAATCATAACATGCACATAACTTGTCTAACATTTTAAGTGTTTAATAAATGTTAGTTGTCATCACTGTTATTTCAGGATTGCCTTAACTTTGAGAGTTCACTTTGTATCAGAGCAACTTGGGTGGAATTTCAGAGATTATTTGTTCAGATCCCATTTCCAGACCTATCTATCTTTCAAACATACAAGAGCAGAATATGGAAATTCCCAAATCTACTGGCATTTAATTACTCCCACTGTCAAAAAGTTTTCCCTGTATTTAATTGAATTTTCTTCCTGGTAATAAAGTTTTCCCCATTTCATTTGTCTTTAGAGAAGATGGAGAACAAGCAGAGAGTCTTTCCTTTTTCTAATAATCCTACATATTAATTGGGCCAAGCTCTCTCTCTCTTTCATACCAAGCACTCTAAGTTAGCATTTAAAAAAACAAGCCAGCGCACCCCTATGTCATGGTCATATAGTGGGCCTGGTTTGAACATGATTATATACTCATTCTTGATTTCCCAGCTCGGGTTTGAATCCCATCTTTGCGATTTTCTAGTTGCATGACTTGAATAAATTCTCGGACTTACCTGTGCTTCATTTTTCTCATCTGTTAAATGTGGAACACCTACCTTATAGGGCTGTTGTGAAAAGTACGCAAATAAATATAGGGTAAAGATCTAAGAACATGTGCCTGACACATATTAAATGTTCAATAAATGTCAGTAGTTATTATATATTGATGCTTTTTAAGATTAGCTACATTCAATACTCTATTAAATTCTGTGACCCAAAACACAAGTGGCAGGTAGTCTAACAAAACTGACATAATTCTTCACGACTCCAACCTTTCACTGCAGAAACTCCTTTTGTGGGCTTCCCACACTGTAGGAGCTGCCAGGGTGGAGGGGTTAATTTCATTTAGGAAGCTCTCCTTTTCCAAGAGTACATCACTCACAGTGTCCCATACACCCCATCAAGATACCTTTTCTATTATACCTTCATCCCCTACTTTCAAGAAACCAGTTTTCAACATTCTAAAACCTAAACCGATGCTTAAAACCTTGTTCATTTCACAGAAATCAATAACAGATAACTATGAGGCCTGCAAGAGTATATTATTTTTCTGGCTGCTATTTACTGCGTGTTTAAAGTGTACTTTGCATACGCTATATAATTTAATTCTCACAACAATCCTATGTAGTCAAATACAATCACTGTCAAGAAACTAACAAAAAGTCAGGTAACTGAACTTGGAGATTATGTTTGCATTTAAAGAGCGAAGGGTTCTAACTCTGACAGGCCAGATTCTAATTACAGGCACTACTTACTACTTTAAAGAATCCAGGAAATAACTTGCCTCAACACCTCTCTTAAAAACTTGAGCCCTGAGAAGTGAGGAACTGGATTTGCTATACAAGGAAAGAAAGGAATGGTGGCTTCTCTCGGCCGGAGCGGAAGCGCCTGCCAGTCAACCTCGGGGGTCGGCGACCGTCGCGTGGAACAGAGAGGGGCGCCAGCGACGCTTTCCCGCGTCCACGACTGGGGTGGGCAACAGGGCAGGGACAGGGCCGCCCACCTCCCCAGGCGCGCAGCGAGGCCAACTCACCTGCGTGGCCGCCAGCCGCGCCCGCACCTCTCGCATTACGAACGGCTCCAGGCCGCGACCCGCAGTGCAGAAGAATCGGGCGCCAGCCTCAGGCCCGGACCCTGGCTCTCCACGCGCCTCCGACATGGCGGCTCAGGCGCGCCCTCGCGCCTTCGGGTCACGTGGCCTCGGGCGCGAGCGGCTCGCTCCTGGAGGCGGCGCGCAGGGGCGTGTGATGCCAAAGGGGAGAGGGAGAGGGAGAGGGAGAGGGGGAGGGGGAGAGGGAGGGGGAAGGAGAGGGTGAGAGAGACGGAGAGCCTGGGAGGGTCGCATCAGCCCTCTGTGGCCCCTATGGGTCTTCCTGGTTGACCATCTGTCCCCTCCTTGATTAGGCACCAGAATGGGTTAGAATCACAGGTGGAAGGGTTAGAATTGATAATTCAGTCCAGTTGCCTTATTTTGTAGATTGAGGAAATTAATGCCCAGAGAGGTCAAGAGACAGCGAGTTAGCAGCACAGCTGAGGCTGGAGCCTAGATTTCTCCCTATCTAACATAATGCCTTTTCCTCCATTCCTCCCAACTCCGTCCTCTTCCTGTCCTTCATTCCTCTCCTCTACTCTTCTCATAGAAGGAGCCCTGGTCTGTTTTCACAAAGAATCGGGCCAAACGTTGGAATCTCCAGGACGGAGAGCAGAAGTTCCTGTTCTCTAACAAACGTCTGCGTTCTGAAACAGCTCATATTTCTTGCACTACTTAGTTAACCATCCAGCCATAGATGAATCAATGTGCCATCTAGTTTTGGGCACCTGATTTGAATGGTTCTCCTAACGGTATTTGAAGGCATTTTTCTAAACTCTGAATTTTAAAATGGAAATGAAAATATTACTTGGGAAGCATAGACAGAATCCATGTTACAAGATAAACAGCGTGAAATTAGCTCTGTAGCTGTATATTGAGTCAGTTATACAGAAATGATAAATGCATGTGTGTCTCTGACAAGGGGCTGTCCTGTGCTTCAGAATGGGATGTTAAGGTGAAGAACTGATACTCCCTCACCTCCCCCGACACTCCCACACACACCCCCGCCCCCACCCAGCTCATGCTCTACTGGGCCGTACAGTAAAAATTCTTCATGGAGTCACATAACATGAGCTTTTCCAAGGTTCAGTCCTAAGACTCTTCTGATGCTGCTTTTTATTTTTTATTTTTTGCGACAGGGTCTCCCTCTGTCGCCCAGGCTGGAGCGCAGTGACGTGATCTTGGCTCACTGCAGCCTCCACCTCCTGAGCTCCAGTAATCCTCCCACCTCAGCCTGTCCAGTAGCTGGGACCACAGGCAAGCCCCACCACACCGGGCTAATTTTTGTATTTTTTGTAGAGAAGGGGTTTCACCATGTTGGCCAGGCTGGTCTCGAACTCCTGAGATCAAGCGATCCGCCTGCCTCGGCCTCCCAAAGTGCTGGGATTACAGGCACCCAGCCCTCACACACTACCGTTTTGATGAATTCTTTTCTTGCCCTCAGACACATGTTTTCCTTTTCTGGGCTACTGCCGTAGTTCATTTTAACTTCTCTATACTTTGGGGTTCTGACTGTCAAGTCTGTCTGGGGAGGACAGGAACCCTCTTTAGTTCTCTCTACATTCTGTGCCCAAGATGTTAAGTATGCAGATAGGATGCATTCCATTCAGTTCAACAAATACTGAACACCTATTCTCCGCCAGTCACCACCCTGTCTTGAGGATTCAAAGATGGGTAAGCAAGGGTTTGGACTTCAAGGGCTTAGAGGATGGTGAAGTTGAATGACTCACTGAGGACATACCCGGGAAGCTATGACAGCACCGACAAAAAGGAGGCAGGGAGGGCTTCCTGGACAAAATCGCTCTTGAGTCCAGCATGAAGGATGTGTAAGAGGGAGAAGCAGCAGATGAAAATGAGACGGCGTGTGGGGGGTGGGGAACAGGAAAGCCACGATAGCGGTTAAGTGTTATTAGAGCATAAAGTATATGAGTGGAGTAGATAGAGATGCGGTAGAGCGGTGGGTAGGGGCCCAGTTATGTCAGTACAACCAAAGGCAGCTGAAAAAATGAAATGACCTATTCAGTCCAGCACCGACCAGCAGTGTGCTGGCCTGGGTGAAACCACAGCTGAGCTGAGGCTGCAGTTTTGCAGAGCCAATCGATCTTCCCCTTACTTTCTCCTCTTTCTTCTGATGTCTTTTCCCCTCCAGGAGCCTTTGGTCAGCAAGGTCGGGGCTACTCTTGTTTCATATGTGGGAGTCATGTGCATTTGTTCCTTTTGAACTGTGCTGCAGTATGTCAGCTGTACCAATGCCCTTCACAAAATGCTTGCAGTGCGATGGAATGGGGGAGTTCTGCCTCTTTAGGGAGAAATTAGTTTCGTTTTCTGGTAAGAGAGTTGCCTGGAATTCTCTCCCCCATTACTCAGGTACTCTTTTCTCCATCATCTCTTCTTCTTTAAAAAAGTCTCTTCTGAAAACTATGGATCCCTATAGACAAATTTAGCATATCCAGCTGCAATTTACTGTTCGAATATTACATATTTCAACATGTAGGAAATTGGAAGTCGGCAGGAACAATTTTAGAATGGACAGACTTTTAAGTGGAGGTGTTTTAAGAATTTAGGACAAGAATATTTGCTTTGAGATAGCTCCCTATTTTGGTGCCACTGGCAATTCTTTTAGTTCTTAAAGGTGTATGATGTATATACTTATATATTAAAATGCAAGTGCTATAGATTGTGAAATCCTTGAGGATGGGATGACTTCATCTGGGCATCTGTAGCGAGAACACTGGCTTGCCTGTGGTGGCCTCTCAAATGTATGCCAATAAAAAGTAACTAAATGAAAGGGCAACTAAGGAGGCCCCTCTCAGGAGAATTGCTGTAACTGCCCTATCAGCAGGGGCCTTTGCAAGCAGGATACAGGAATAAGGGCAATGTAGTGAGGCCAATGAAGTAGAGAAGTGAGAGCACAAAGGGGATAGGAGTACCTCCAAAATAAACTTCTTCACAACTTTCCTTTCTAGTTCCTCTCTTCCTCACTATCTCTTCTTCCTCCCTATACACTTTATAAATAATGTTTCTTACCCAGGAATACTCCTCAGAATTACCTGAGAAGTCACCAGTGTCAAGCTTGCCACCCCACTCTCCTGTATTCCAGTACAGTTGAGTAGGGTTGGTGACAAGCCTTGGCCTCTTCTCTCCATGAGATGAAGAACCGTTGCTAGATGCCAAGCAATTCAAGTGCTAACGTCTTCAAAATGCCCACTACTTCCCTTCTCCCAGGCCTCTGCTTATATGGTTCCCTTTGGCTAGAGCGCTCTTCTCTTCCTTTCTTTCTTTTTCTTTGAGGATAAGCTAGAATGCCACATCTTCTCTGGTGTACTTTCCTGCCTTTCTTGTACCCTTTTATGCAATATTTTATACCTTTATCATTCATTTATTCATTCATAAATATTTGTTGAGTTTGTGGCAAATGTGCCAGTTAAATGTTCCAGCCTTTGAGAAACTTTTAAATCAATGGGAGGTAATGGTGACAGGGCTGAATTGCTGAGATGGGCATATAAAGGATGACAATACAGTGTCATATATGGGAATAAAATGAAAGCAACTGGGCCCAGCAACGGTAGCCACTTAATGAAGTTGAATGAATGAGCTTATTCTGAAGCTGAGTAAGCCTTTGTCATGGTTTTGGTTTCTTATCTCCCTTTGAGCACCATATTAGCCCATTCTTGTACTGCTATAAAGAAATGCCTGAGACTGGGTAATCTATAAAGAAAAGAGTTTTAATTGGCCCACTGTTCCGCAGGCTCAACAGGAAGCATGGCTAGGGAGGCCTCAGGAAACTTACATTCATGGGGACAGGGGAAGCAGGCTTCTCTTAGATGGCTGGAGCAGGAGGAAGAGAGAGGATGGGGAGGTGCTGCACACTTTTAAGTAACCAGATCTCATCTCACTCACTGTCGTGAGACCAGCAAGGGGGAACTCCGCCCCCATGATTCAATCACCTCCCACCAGGCCCGTCCTCCAACACTGGGGATTACAATTCGATATGAGATTTGGGCAGGGACACAAATCCAAACCATATCTCTGCCAAGTCTGGGGCATCATCCTTCTGATGGGCCCCACCCACCTCCACAGGTGGAGCCTTTTTGCTAACCAGGGCATAGTCATGTGATCTAGACATTACCAGTGAGCCTCACGTGACTCAGAAATGAGCAATGTGGGGGAAAAGGCTCTTTCCACAATTCATTTTACTTCCTGGGGTATTGTTGGGGTGTCTGACCTTCAGGAACAGCTTCATGAACAGGATTGAGTTCCTGAGGCAGAAGTGGAACTGCTGGGGGTGGTGGTAGTAGTGGCAGCAGTTAGTTTTCTGGTCAGGCCAGTTTCTGAAAGCTTAGCTTCCAGATTGGTTTTCCAGACTGCCCAACAAATGAGTCATACACACACACACACACACACACACACACACACACACACATACACACACACACACACGCACGCTTTACTTTGCTTAATCAGTTAAAGTTAGCATCTATTTCTTGCAACAAGGAATCTTGATTGATACAGGCATCCACTCTTCCCAGGTAGGAGCAGCTAGCTTGGTTTGCTTCTCTCCCTGTGATTTGTATTAGCTTGGTCTCTTCCCCCATTCATTTGTGAGCATTGCACTGTGGAGGTATGATGAACTCCTGCCACGTAGCCCCACAGAGTAACTTGGAAAGAGTAGGATTTTATAAATTTTATGGAATTCAATTGTGTTATGGTATTGTGGTAAAACCACAGAT
The DNA here is from genome assembly GCF_000001405.40 of Homo sapiens. Taxonomy (NCBI): domain Eukaryota; kingdom Metazoa; phylum Chordata; class Mammalia; order Primates; family Hominidae; genus Homo; species Homo sapiens. Next base: position 39,783,901 of record NC_000002.12, read on the forward strand.
ACAGACACATGAATCTGTCAGACAGACACATTCCAACCAAGTCAGTATAGATTGTGAAAAAGAGAATCTACATATTTTTACGACTGCAAGTGCAAGCCATTTGGGAAAAAACTATTGGTCACATACTGATCCTTTAAACCACTTAAGTACACACAATAATCATCTTGAATGGTGCTTCTTTGAACATACAATCAAAAGGAGAAAATTCAGCAGAACATTTCATGGTATATGTAAATACTGTCTTTAAAACAGTATTTGCTAATTAGTGTTTATAGCACTAGTTTAAATGTAGAATCAAAATTCAAAAGATACAATCTTTATGCTCTGATCTGGAGAGATAATTCTTTTTTTATATGTTATTTTTGCTTCAGATCTATAGTGCATGAAATTACTTTGATATACAAGTATAGTTGACTATTTCCAATGTCTTTTCTGAAAAGTGTGGCATGTATTTAATGCATATTTCAAGACATGAGGCTGTTTGATGTGATTTTGTTTAAATATATTTTGAGCTCATAAAACTCAAAATATAGACCTAATGATGCCCCAGTTGGAAGAGAGTATGGATATTATTTCTTGGATATATATGTTGAATGAATGAATGACTATATCTGCAATTTTCTTCAATTTACTTGAATCAACTGTAGTGACTAAATAAAGCCATTTTCTTTTTGCAGTTATGTTCACCTCCCTCAGACTATTGTTTTAATATTCCTTTTCTCTTGTTGCATTCATGATAATATTGACTATGAATTATTATTTTCCTTAGAGGTTTGCTATTACCTAACTTTTTCTATTTCTTGGTACAAAGAAAGCCCCAGAAATGTCCAACATTAGCTAGGATACCTATGTTTTGATATTTATCCTTTTCATTTTCCTGTATGTCTTATTCCATTTTAGTAGATGGTCATTTATTTTGTGTATTTTCTTAGTGGTAACTGAAAAAAATAATTCCCTCAAAACTCAAGCAGATGTGATCTGCAAATAAAAACAACAAAGGGTTAGCTTTTATTTTCTCAAAAACACAAATAGAGTACCTTACTTCATTATGAATGGTATTTGGCAGAATAAAATCTGAAGAGTTTATTAGAACATTGGCTTTATTCAGTCAGTATTGCTCCTGTCGTTGGCATGAAGGAAGAGTAGACTATGGAACAAGCAGACTTACTTATTACATATTTGTCTTTTTATATTTTTCTTTTTGTTGAAGAGTGATAATTACTTGCTGCCCATGGATATCTTGCATGATTTTGAAAAATGGATTTTAGCACCGTTGAAAAAGTGTTCTCTGTTATATCTACACATAATCAGGCCTATCCTCTAATGATTTTCTTTTAAAAAGTCTGAAATCTAATAATTAAAAATTTACTATTTATATTCATATTTAATGTTACAATTTTTGCAATGAGTATGAATTACTTGGCTAAACAGAAAAACAATACAGATACAAAACAAAAGCATACAACCTGAAGCACTGGCTTAGGCAATCATTTCATTCTCTCGTAAAACATCTTTGAAATAAGACATAATGCCTGAAATTATTTGATGCCAGTTGAGCTTTCAGATCACAGACAGGTAACAATATTTGCACCTTCAATCACTATGTATGGCTTTGGTGCTCTGTCTCTCTGATCAGTTTAGATGATATGGAACTTCTGTCTCATAAACTTCGAAATCGAAATGTAGCCAGGTTAAGAAAAATAATTTTAAAAGCTGGTCCTGGAATTCATCTTAGGTACAAAATAGTCTGTTTACGAAAATTTTTTGATGGAGTTTAGTGAGGCTCTGAAGTCATAAACAGAGAAATACAGAGATAATTAAACTGTTCTGCGTAAGAAGTCAAAAGGAGGTAGGAAATACCCTAACGGGGGGGAAAGATCAGATAATGGGGAACCTGTGGAACAGCATCGTGCAAAGCTGAGACCAGTGAGGATGAGCTGGCCGTAAGAGACTCGCTGTGGGGTGTTGGCTGAGAACTTCTAAGAAGGATGTTCAGTGCTCAAATTTGTTTCTGGCACTGCCAGGTTAAACCATCTTTAGTGGTCCAAACTTTCAGTAAAATAAACAAACAAAACACAGCCATTTGCTTCAAATAGTAGGAGTGAAAGTACCAGGGTGATGCACTCAAAGTAAGGTGCTGTGATAAGGAAAAGGAGTGGCATCCTCTGCATGGGTTGTGGAGGTCTTTCAATGGAGTACATTCAGGAGAAGCAGGAAGTCAGAGCACAGGCTGGTAAGGGGCACCTAAGCATGTGGTCTGTCATCAGGGAATGCACAGAGAGGGGTGCTGGGTCATCATTGCCATAGAATGCGGGTGCAAACCAATTTTAAATCAAGATAATCCAGTTGACATCTGAGTTTGGCTGAATTTATTCCTCACTGACAATAGATTTTCTATAAATCAAACCTCTAATGCTTAAGTGCTTATTACTTATTGTTGATAGGTGTGGACAATGCAATCTTGGGCCAACTCAGGGCAGGTTAATTAATGGGGATTATAATCAGGGGTTGGGCCTTATAGTCTCAATTTTATATTTTGTGATTTCTTATAGGTTTTCCAGCACTTTGGGAGGCTGAGGCGTGTGGATCACCTGAGGTCAGGAGTTCGAGACTAGCCTGGCCAACGTGGTAAAACCCAGTCTCTACTAAAGATACAAAAATTAGTGGGGCATTGTAGTGCATGCCTATAATCCCACCTACTCAGGAAGCTGAGACAGAATTGCTTGAACCCGGGAGGTGGAGGCTGCAGTGAGCCTAGATCTCTCCACTGCACTCCAGCCTGGGCAACAGAGTGAGACTCCATCTCAAAAAAAAAATATTTTGTACTAGCACATTGATTAATTGTGTTAATCAGAATTGATTGAATCTGTTATCTGGACATTGTACGTAGATTGCGTTGAATGTTGTATTGGCTGTCTACGTTAGATGCAGGTTACAGTGTAGGTTTTCCAGAGTTTTTGGGCTGGGCACACACACTCTTAAGTTGGCAGCTTTCTTTTTAACAGTGGTGGTGAGCTTCTTTAAATAACGACTTCCTAAATTTGTGAAAGAGTGTGTGTACTGGGAGGGAGAGAAGTGCTGTTACAAAACCCCAAGGCTTCTTGTCTGTGGGTTGAGCACAGCCCGCTACGGTTTTGGAAAGATGGATTTCCTGGAAGACAACTTTGCTACTGAGCATCATCTAGTAAATAAAGTCCTAAGACACAGAAGTCTATAACAAATATTGGAAATTATTGTTAATCCAAACAATCTCAGATATATTTGACATCCATATGTTTTAATTGTATAGCCCAGTTATGTCAAGCAGAGTCATGTACTGCATAAAGATGTTTTGGTCAATGATCAACTGCATATATGATGGTGGTACTGTGAGATCATTATGGAGCTGAAAAATCCCTATTGCCTAATGACATCATAGCTGTCATAACTTCATAGCACAACATGTCACTCATATCACTCATATGTTTGTTACAACATGTTACAAACATATGAGTAACGTGTTGTGCTATGATATTATGCAGGTATAAACAAACCTACACAGACTGCATTGCCAGTCATAAAGAAGTATAGCCCATACAATTATGTACAGTACATAATATTTGATAATGATAATAAATGACTATGTTACTGGCATATGTATTTATTATGCTGTATTTTTAAATCATTATTTTAGAGTATACTGCTTCTGCTTATAAAGAAAAAGTTAACTGTAAAACAGCCTCAGATGGGTCCTTTAGCAGGTATTCTAGAAGAAGAGATTATCATAGAAGATGACTGCTCTGTGTGTGTTATTGCCCCTGAATACCTCCCAGTGGGTAGAGATAAGGAGGTGAAAGACAGTGACTTTGATGATCCTGACACTGTGTAGGTCTAGGCTGATGTATGTGATTGTGTCTTAGATTTTAACAAAAAAGTTTAAAAACTAAAAGAAATAATTTTGAAAATGGAAAAAACTTATAGATTATAAGGATACAAGGATATAAATAAAATAATTTGTAGAGCTGTGTAATATGTTTGTGTTCAAGCTCAGTGTTATCATGAACAGGTTGAAAAGTAAGAAAAATTTAAAAAGTTGATAAAGTAAAAAAGTTACACTAAGCTAAGATTACTTTATTATTGAAAAAAATTTTTATATAAATTTAGGGTATCCTAAGTGTACAGTGTTTATAAAACCTATAGCAATGTACAGTAATATCCTAGGCCTTCACATTCACTCACCACTCACTCACTGACTCACTCACTGACCCAGAACAACTTCCAGTTTTGCAAGCACCATTCATGGCAAGTGCCCTATACAGGTATCATTTTTCATTTTTAATACAGTACTTTTACTGTACTTTTTTCGTGTTCGGATACATAAATAGTCACTATTGTGTTACAACTGCCTACAGGATTCAGCATAATAACATGCTACACAGGTTTGTAGCCTAGGAGCAATAGGCTATACCATATAGCCTAAGTCTGTAGTAGGTTATACTATTTAGTTTTGTGTTAGTATACTCTATGATGTTTGCACAACTATGGAATAGCCTAATTACACATTTATCAGAGCATATTCTCTTCATTAAGTGATGCATGACTGTATTTGCTACTTCAAGCTGGGAATACATCCAATTTTAAAAATTTATGTACATTATTGAAAACTGTGCTAGGTGATAACTTGATTTGGAAATCTCTTGCTCTTCTTCTTCAAGTTATAGTTGGCCTTCTACCCAAACACCGTCGAAGTGATATTCAAAAACTTGAGAAAAAAATTATCAATAATAAGATAAATCTGATAGGGGCAAATGCAAGGGAAAGACTGGTTAGGCACAATGTTAATCCCAATTTAGCTGTTATAACCCTAAACACTAAGAGTGGACCATGAACTGATCACAAATTGGACATTTGTTAACTATTATTTAACATAATATTTTTTCTGATATTTATTATAATAATTTTATTTATTTATTTTTTGAGACAGAGTTTTGCTCTTGTTGCCCAGGCTGGAGTGCAATGGCACAATCTCAGCTCACCGCAACCTCTGCCTCCTGGGTTCAAGTGATTCTCCTGCCTCAGCCTCCCAAGTAGCTGGGATTACAGTCATGCACCACCACGCCCAGCTAATTTTGTATTTTTCGTAGAGATGGGGTTTCTCCATGTTGGTCAGGCTGGTCTTGAACTCCCGACCTCAGGTGATCTGCCTGCCTCGGCCTCCCAAAGTGCTGGGATTACAGGTGTGAGCCACTATGCCCAGCCAATAATTTCATTTTTAACATGAGTATGAAATTAGAGAAGTTCAAGGAAAAAAATAACTAAAAAAAAATAAATCTTACATGAAAGGTTAAAGGAGGTGAGATTGTTTAGCTTGCTGAAATGAAGGCTAAGAAAAGCCTTAAATATATGCAGTTTTAAGAGTAGGTTTGTTAGTGGGTTACTGGCCTGTTTACACAGAGGATGGGAAGAAAGGCTTGGGCTTAATAACTCAAAGCTTTTTTAAGCCTTCTAAGTTCCAAGGTCTCTTTCTGGCTCTCTGGTCTGCTGATTTCATTCCCATGAAGGTGTCATCTGGCTGTCCCAGAATGAAGCAACTGCTTGTTTGCCATTTGTTTATCACAGTCTAAGCAAGGTAAGTGTCCCCAGATTAGGTTGTAGAGGGTTAAATTAAAGAACAAAGACAGATAGTTACTGATAAGCTGGGCAGAGATTATCTGCTTCCAGAGATTTCAATAAATGAAAACTATCCTCTGTTCTCCCACAGGCTCTTTAGTCTTAGTCCTTGATTAGGACCTAGCATATTAGTTTTTTGTTTTATTTTATAAATTAGGTAAAAAATACACAACATGAAAGTTATCTTAACCTTTTTTTTTTTTTTTGAGACAGAGTCTTGCTCTTTTGCCCAGGCTGGAGTGCAGTGGCGTGATATTGGCTTGCACAACCTCTCCCTCCCGGGTTCAAGCAATTCTCCTGCCTCAGCCTCCCGAGTAGCTGGGATTACAGGCACCTGCCATCATGCCAGGCTAATTTTTGTATTTTTTTAGTAGAGGTGGGGTTTCACCATGCTGGCTAGACTGGCTTCGAACTCCTGACCTCAGGTGATCTGTCTGCCTTGGCCTCCCAAAGTGCTGGGATTACGGGCATGAGCCACTGTGCCTGGCCTATCTTAACCATTTTTAAGTGTACAGTTCTGTAGTGTTAACTACATTCACATTAAACAGATCTCTAGAACTATCGGGACAACCAGACCCCAGTATTTCAAGGTAGGTTCTTTTCTATTTTTCCCTAAGTATCGGCCAGAGTGAGAAATAAAGAGAAAGACTACAAAAGAGAGAAATTTTACAGCTGGGCCTCTGGAGGTGACATCACATGTCGGCAGGTTCCGTGATGCCCCTTGAGCCGCAAAACCAGCAAGTTTTTATTAGGGATTTCAAAAGCGGAGGGGGGTATGAACAGGGAGTAAGTCACAAAGATCACATGCTTTGAAAGGGCAATAAAAGATCACAAGGGCAGACAGGCAGAGCAAGATCACAAGGCCAGGGTGAAATTAGAATTACTGATGAGGTTCCATGTCCTGCTGGGCACGCATTGTCATTGATAAACATCTTAACAGGAAACAGAGTTCGAGAGCTGACAACTGGTCTGACTAGAATTCGCCAGGCTGGAATTTCCTAATCCTAGCAAGCCTGAGGGCGCTGCAGGAGACCAGGGTGTATTTCATCCCTTATCTTCAACTGCATAAGACAGACAGTCCCAGAGCGGCCATTTTAGAGATCTCCCTCTGGGAATGCATTCCTTTCCCAGGGTTATTCCTTGCTGGGAAAAGAATTCAGCGATATTTCTCCTATTTGCTTTCTGCAAGAAGAGAAATATGACTCTGTTCTGCCAGGCCCCGCAGGCAGTCAGACCTTATGGTTATCTCCCTTGTTCCCTGAAAATCGCTGTTATTCTGTTCTTTTTTAGGATGCCCAGATTTCATATTGTTCAAACACAATGTTTTACAAACAATTTGTACAGATAACACAATCATCACAGGGTCCTGAGGCAACATACATCCTCAGCTTACAAAGATGACAGGATTAAGAGATTAAAGTAAAGGCAGGCATAGGAAATTATAAGAGTATTGATTGGGGAAGTGATAAATGTCCATGAAATCTTCACAATTTATGTTCAGAGATTGCAGTAAAGACAAGCGTAAGAAATTATAAAAGTGTTAATTTGGGGAACTAATAAATGTCCGTGAAATCTTCACAATTTATGCTCTTCTGCCGCGGCTTCAACCGGTCCCTCCATTCGGGGTCCCTGACTTCCCGCAACATAGAACCTTTTCATCTTGCAAAACTGAAACTCTGTGCCCATTGAACAATAACTCTCCATTCATCCCTTCTCCCAGCCCCTGTTATATTGGGTTTGATGGATTTTCTTTACATATTTGTCTCCTCACATTAGATTCCGACTTATGGAATTTGTTCATTTTTTTGTCCCCAGTGCCTATGACTTAGTAGGTGTGTAATAAGTGTCCACTGAATAAATGTAAGCATGAACAACAGAATGAGTCTTTTCAAGTAGAGGTGTGGTAATGTGTCCAGAGTTGGCTCCTGTTGGTGGATTCATGGTCTTGCTGACTTAAAGAATGGAGCCGTGGACCTTCACGGTGAGTGTTACAGCTCTTAAAGATGGCACAGACCCAAAGAGTGAGCGGTAGCAAGGTTTATTGTGAAGAGCAAAAGGACAAAGCTTCCACAGCATGGAAGGGGACCCACGAGAGTTGTCGCTGCAGGCTGGGGTGGCCAGCTTTTATTCCCTTATTGTCCCCTCCTATGTTCTGTTTCTGTCCTATCAGAGTGCCCTTTTTTCAATCCTCCCCATGATTGGCTACTTTTAGAATCCTGCTAATTGGTGCATTTTATAGAGCGCTGATTGGTGCATTTTACAGAGTGCTGATTGGTGCATTTTACAGAGCACTGATTGGTGCGTTTTACTGACTGCTGATTGGTGCATTTTACAGAGCACTGATTGGTGCGTTTTACAATCCTCTTGTAAGACAGGAAAGATCCCCAAGTCCCCACTCCACCCAGGAAGTCCAGCTGGCCTCACCTCTCAGTATTAATAATAAATTGAAGGTGTGGCTGGCACTGTTTTTTGCTTGCTTAACCCCTCCCCTTTACTTCTGTTTTTAACAAAACCCAGATTTCACTCATGATGACAATGTGCCTAGCCCTCACAATGATTCTTGGGTGGTCTGGTCCGCCTGCACAATATAATAATCCAGATGGCTTTTAAAAATACAGATTCCTGCTTTCCCTCCATGAATCTAATTTAATTGGTCAGAGGTGGGGCCTAGGCATTAAGAATTTAAAAATCTCCCACAAGGCTAGACAATCATTGTCAGGCAATTGAGTTCTTGACCAGATATATTTGCTTCCCAGCGTTTTTAATCCCCATGGATGGTCATGTTACCTGGTTCTGGTCAGTGAAACTTTGCTGGATTTTCTGGAAAACTTTTTGCTTTTCTTCTAAAAGGAACAGATGTCAGGAAACCCAGTGTTGCATCACCTGCTTCTTTTCTGTCTTGAGTGCAGGTATGAAGCCTTATGCAGTGGTAGCCATCTTGCAACCATGAGGCACTTGACTAAGCAAAAAGAAAAAAAAAGAAAAAAAAATCCAACAAGGTAAGAATGGGAAGCAGAAAGTTGGACAGAGCCTGGACCCTAAATAACATGATCAAACCCTGGGCCTGCCTACCTTTTCTTGTTAAGTAAACAATGAATGTCGTTATAGTTTAATCCCCTCAAACCTTCTATTATTACTTGCTTACAAAAGCATTCTGATCTGAAACAAAGAATATCCTGCACCAAGCTCATAAACAAAGCAGATACATCCCTGGGATGAAATGGTTTTGAGAAAACCTGGCCAAAGCTCTATAGCTATTTGCCCAAATGTATAACAGTTATTACAAAAGTCCGTGCTATTTCTCATGAAACATTCCCTGAGGCCATTACCAAAAACAGACCACGGTTGGATATGTTATAATTCTTACTCAGTTTTGCACTTGTGGTTTTATATTTCTAGTTATTAATATAAGTATGGTAGAAGGGCATATCTAATTTAAAAAAAATATTCATGCATTGAACAATTAGTGAGCATCCACTCTATGACAGGCACTGTTTTAGCTAAGTATACAGAAAACATTAGTAAACAAAACAAATATTCCTGTCCTTAAAAAATCCCTGTGGCATTTATATTCTAATTGGGGGTAAAGGGAGGGAAGAAAATAAAGACATGTGGTGTGTTAGAAGGTGAAAATGCAACAAACAAAAAAATAAAAAATAACCAAAAACTAAAATAAAATCTGAGGAGGCTAAGGGTTATTAGAGATATAGGAAAGAGAACGGTTTACAGTTTTAAGTCAGGTTGAGAGGGCAGCCCTTACTCACAAGATTTTACTTTTGAAACATCTTTAAATACTCAGATAAAAACATAACTATAAGGAATCAAATGATATAATCTTAAATACTAGTTTCATTTTCTGAATACGTAACATAATGGCCATATGTTCTGCAAAGGGCAAATTAAGTTTAAATCTGTTAAACACAGATAAGGGAAAAAACTATGATCCTTGATTGTGCTAAGACAGCAAGTCCTCCTATCTACCTCATATTCTCATTAGACATTTCAAGATGCATAATTTTTGAAAACCAAACATTGGTATGATCTTCTGCAGTTTGCATTTACAGAATTAAAAACAATGGTTTTTTAAAAATAGTAATTTGTTTGTTTTAGGTACTGGCAATATGGTGGTGAACAAGCCTAAAGAGGCCCATGCTCATGGAGCTAAAAGGGCATTGCAATGGCAACATGTTGCTCTTTGGGAACAGGAAAAGGATACAACCAGTAGTAGGCATTCCGGGGACCTCTGACAGGTGCCACTCTTGTTACTCTTGGCTTTCTGTTTTCCTTTAGTAGATTTAAAAGTAGTCTGTGAATCCCCAAGAAAACCCCACAACCAGGAATACAAACAGTTGGGAAAGAAGCAGATGTAAGAGTTAGTTTCTCCATGGAGTTTTCCTAAGATTTTACCTCAATTAATTGCTTGAGATATTTATAAAAATCGTGTACATAAGTTATCAATTTCTATGTATAATATTTTAAGAGGTTTTTAACAATTACTCTGAGACAATGGTAAAAAGCTAATTACTTAAAGAAATGCCAAGGTCTCCATAGTCCTGGGCTTGAATATTGCTGATATTTAATTATTGTCATCTAAAACTAAAGGTTCTTATGGGAAGCCCACTGGGGTAAATGCTTTACTAGCTTCCCCTTGGCTTATTTTTATAAAAAAGAGTCTTTTAAAAGTGTACTTGGGGGATGGAGAATAGAACACCAAAAACCAAAGAGAAGGTTATTCTTTTCTAAAAATAGCCATGATGGTGGATACAGCTTCACCTTCAGCCAAATCACAGCAGTATATGGGGGTCCCCATGTCTTCTTTAGGGCACCTGGTAATCATATGATATTACTTATTTAAAAAATTATGCAGAACAAACAGAAGTCTCTAGAGGTCAGGGCCTTCAAGGGAAATTGTCTAAGGATAGTTGGTGTTTCATGGCTATGTGTTTTCAGCCCAGTTTGTTGTTATGGAGAGAGAAGAGAATAAAAAATGTTCTGTTTAACCTGCTCTGTGTTCTGTTTTCATCCCTGAGTTTTTATGATGGCCTTGTGGTCTGAAGTTTTATGATGCAAAATGAAAACTGTTTATTTTACTCAGACTTCAACATCTGACAGAGGCAAATCATCCAATCTGACATCCTAGATAAGGTGTAAACAGAACTTTGATAAGATACAACCTGAGGAACAAGTTTAAAAAATAGTAATTGCCTCTGGAAACAGTTTTTTATAAGCATCTTCCTGTTTATTCCATTTGATTGCATTAGCACTAGCATTGCCTACAGAAATGAAATTTTATAATGTATTTTTTTTTTACTGTTCAACACAGTTCAGTAAATAAATGTCAGAAGGAAATCTGCATCAAATTTCAAGTTGCTTGGTGCTGCTTCTTTGATTTTGAAAATGAACACAGCTATATGTTTTGTGTGTGGTAGGCCCATTTCAATAATAATATTTAGAATTCAAAGAATATCTTTTTCCTATACATCTTTGGAAAACGTGAATTGGTAGATGCAGGGATTCTAATTACTTTTTTTGGAGTTAGTAGTATAATTTATTTAAATACAGGTTTTAATACAACCAGTGTAACATTTCACAGAAAAAATGATATGTCAAGCTATTAATTATTTGCAGTTTACTTTGGAAATACTTCTAAATCATTGTGTGAATTGAAATGACTAGTTGTAGTAATTATTGAGTAGGCTTGATGAGTTAATAGAACAAGTTGTTCTATGAGGACTTACAAGCACAAGAGAAAAAAAAAGGCTTAAGTAAAATGATAGATTAAAGGTTTAGGATGAACACAACTAACACATATGTAGAGTCCCATATGCCATGAAGACCATGAGGCACAATGTCAGCCTTGAGTCAAACAGTCCTATTTATAGAAATGATTCCTAAGTAGAAATTTCTCACAATAAAGATTCAGAACCTTTTAAGAAACTTCACCTAAGATGAGTGTATTAGCCCGTTCTTGCATTGCTATGAAGAAATACCTGAGACTGGGTAATTTATAAAGAAAAGAGGTTTAAATTGCTCATGGTTCTACAGGCTGTATAGGAAGCTTGGTGCTGGCATCTGCTCAGCTTCTGGGGAGGCCTCAGGAAATTCATAATTATGGTGGAAGGCGAAGGGGAAGCAGGCATGTCACATGGCCAGAGCAGGAGCAAGAGAGTGATGGAGTTGTGGGGGGTTGCACACACTTTTAAATGACTAGATCTTTCATGAACACTTACACACACTCTAAACCATTCATGAGAAACCGCCCCCATGATCCAATCAGCTTCCACCAGGCCCCACCTCCAACACTGGGGATTACATTTCAACATGAGATTTGGGTGGGGACACATATCCAAACTATATTAATGAGGAATGTATTTTATTCTTCCCCTCTAGGCTTCCTTTGTTACAGAGCTTATGGTTCTTGGAGTTTGAATGTTCAAATTAAAAAGTGTATCCAGAGACATGGAAAGTAAACTTTCCCCACTGGCATCATTAATTACATATTCTGGACCCAAGTTCTGCTTGTGAACCTGATCTTGGAGTCATGAGCTTTGCCAATTTTTCTTGCTCTATTTTTATTTCTGTTGCCTGTATGATTTTTTTTTAAAAAAAGGTCTCCTAAATTTTGGTGAAACTTTGCTACTTGTGTTAAACAAAATTTAGAGGCGGCCTTTGGTTTGGACTGAGATCCTGCACTAGGTCTGACAGGCCAAACCCAAATGGAGTCACTCATGCTGAAGCTCCACACCACCAAGCTGAAACTAAGTTGTTTATCTGACCTTCCCAGAAATAGAGAGAGAGCTATAATAGCCAAATCCCCAAGCAGGCTGGTTTTAGTTGGCATGATAAGGAAGTCCCTTCTGCTTTAGCCTTCACAAGGAAAGTAACTTTGAAATGACCAATCTACTTTTTGTTCTGTTGCTGCTTTATTCAGCTCTTTTCTATCTGTAAAGCCAACCTCCTCTGCTCAGCTCATGGGAACACTCATCCTGTCTTACAGAATGAGGTGTTGCCCGATTCTAGAATCACAAATAAAAGCCAATTTATATCGTTAAACTAAATTTGTTGTAATTTTGTCTTTTGACACTTTTGAAGTCTGATAATCCTATTTTTATATCTTTTCATCCCTGCTCAGAATGAGGTATAGCTTTTTGACCTACACCATCATGGTTGGAGTTAAGAGAAAAGATTCTTTATACTTCTATTTTAAAAATTGATTTCCTACCGTAGAGGTCCTTCATGCTAACAGCTTGCTTTCTATGGTACTGATCATTAAAATATTTCTGCCCCAACTATCATTTCTGACAGTCATTTTTAGGAGGCGTTCGAAGAACTAAATAAAAGATAGCCTCCTAAATTTGGATTTCTTTACATGTCGAACTCTATTATCTCCTTATTACAGATATCAGGCTCTTTCCTCTGTCCCCTCCCCAACAACATTTATTTCTATACATGGATATTCTCCTTTAGTGAGAAAATAGTGGATAGCAGTAGACTGAACTGACTGGTTCAGCTGCTAGAACAGGAAAAAGATAACAAAAGAAAATAATCTTATAGCACATTGTTTCTGGAGTCATGGTGGTTTCCCAATTATTTGTAGTAACCCCAATCGATATGTAATTCAATAGTATCTATTGAAAACTTCCTATGTGAAAACACATAGGAAGTATGCTAAACTCTGTTTGCATTTACATTATCTTACTTATTACTCCCAGTAACTCTGTGATCAGGTGGATATTATTATTTGCCTCATTTTACAGATCAGGAAATTGGGGCAAACTGTAATTAGGTGACTTCCTCCAAAGATACACACTGTTAAGGGGCAGAAGAGAAAATAAGACTTTTGCTGTTTGGTGTCTAAGCCCAAACTCTTACCTGCTATACTTCACTCTTTCTCTTTTAAGAGATGTGCAGCAAGTGCTTACTAAGAACTTGTTGACAAATGTTCACAGTTGCATGGAGATATTTTACTTAGACATCCACATTCATTTAAATTAGCATTGAAGATCTGTATATGTAACTGTCACACTCAAAAGCATTTTTTTTTTAATTATACTTCAAGTTCTGGGGTACATGTGCACAACGTGCAGGTTTGTTACATAGGTATACATGTGCCATGTTGGTTTGCCGCACCCGTCAACTCGTCATTTGCATTAGGTGTTTCTCCTAATGCTAACCCTCCCCCAGCCCCCCACCCCACAACAGGCCCAGGAGTGTGATGTTCCCTACTCTGTGGCCAAGTGTTCTCATTTTTCAATTCCCACCTATGAGTGAGAACATGCGGTGTTTGCTTTTCTGTCCTTGTGATGCTTTGCTCAGAATGATGGTTTCCAGCTGCATCCATGTTCCTGCAAAGGACATGAACTCATCCTTTTTTATGGCTAAATAGTATTCCATGGTGTATATGTGCCACATTTTCTTAATCCAGTCTATCATTGATGGACATTTGGGTTGGTTCGAAGTCTTTACTATTGCAAATAGTGCCACAATAAACATTCGTGTGCATGTGTCTTTATAGTAGCATGATTTATAATCCTTTGGGTATATACCCAGTAATGGGATGGCTGGGTCAAATGGTATTTCTAGTTCTAGATCATTGAGGAATCACCACACTGTCTTCCACAATGGTTGAACTAGTTTACACTCCCACCAACAGTGTAAAAGCATCCCTATTTCTCTACATCCTCTCCAGCATCTGTTGTTTCCTGACTTTTTAATGATCGCCATTCTAACTGGTGTGAGATGGCATCTCATTGTGGTTTTGATTTGCATTTCTCTGATGACCAGTGATGATGAGCATTTTTTCATGTGTCTATTGGCTGCATGAATGTCTTCTTTTGAGAAGTGTCTGTTCATATCCTTTGCCCACTTTTTGATAGGGTTGTTTGTTTTTTTCTTGTAAATTTGTTTAAGTTCTTTGTAGATTCTGGACATTAGCCCTTTGTCAGATGGGTAGATTGCAAAAATTTTCTCCCATTCTATAGGTTGTCTGCTCACTCTGATGGCAGTTTCTTTTGCTGTGCAGAAGCTCTTTAATTTAATTACATCCCATTTGTCTATTTTGGCTTTTGCTGCCGTTGAAAAGCATTTTCTTAAGATATAGATTTTCATCTTCTTTGGTCCTTATGTTTGTCTTATTCTCTAATATTGTGGCTAGGGTTATATTTTGGACAGCTGTGGCATTCATGCAGTGAGGGTGGAATTAGAGCTTTACAGGAATCAATCTGATGCACTTTTTGGAAGATATGTAGACTCTCTAGGTGTAAAATGCTCTCTAGGTATGAAATGGTTGAGCTGGTTAATTTTATTGTTTAAATCTTCTGTAGCAAGTGCTGGCAAGCTTTCCTTAAAGGACAGGTAGTATTTTGGGTTTTTCAGACCATATAGTTTCTGTCATAACTACTCAACTCTGCTGCTGTAATGCAAAAGCAGCCATAGCAAATATGTAAATGAATGGGCATAGTTGTCTTCCAAGAAAATTTTATTTATAAATATAGGTAGCCAGCTTGGAAGCTAGAATTTGCTGACTTGTTCTATTACTTTGTTTATTTGTTGTCTATCTCAAGGGTTCCCAAACCATGGGCCATAGACCTGTACAGGTCTGCAGCCTGTTAGAAACTGGGTTGCACAGCAGGAGGTGAGTGGCGGTGAGTGAGCTTTACCACCTGAGCCTTGCCTTCTGTCTGATCAGCGGTAGCGTTAGATTCTCATAGCACAGTGCAAGGAATCTAGGTTGTGCACGCCTTATGAGAATCTAGTGCCTGATGATCTGAGGTGGAACGGTTTCCCCTGAAGACTATGAACTCTGAGTCAGGCTGCCTGAGTTTGAATCTTGGTGCTGCCTCTTGTTCAGTTTCCTTACCCTCTCTGTGCCTCAGTATCCTCATCTGTAAAATGGAGTCTCACTTCTCTCTGACTGCAGCTTCCAGCCCCATCTTCCCTGAAGAAATGTCATTTATTATCATCCAGTTTTACTTCTGGATTATTATGCATGTTCATTCACTTTTTCTGCCTTTGCTTTTTTAGATAAAATATACTTTACTGAATTATTTGCTCACCTTAACTTCCATGTATCTGGCATTACTATTTTTTTCTTTTTGTTACAGTCCTTTTTCTAAGGGTGTTTTTGCAGTAGGTCTTGTGTGGTAAATCTTCTGAGGCTTTGCATACAAAGAATATCCTTATTGTCTTCTCATATTTAAATGATAGATTACTGGACATGAAATTCTACCTTTAATGTAATTTTCCTGAATCACTTTAAAAATATTCTTCCATTGTCTCTAGTGTAAATGTTGAGAAGACGGGTAACAATCTCAACTTTGTTCTTTATAGTTGAATTGCTCTTTCTTTCTGAAAGCTTTACTCATTTAATCTCAAATTTTGAAGTGCTTCAGTTTTTTCCCATTGATGTCTAGATTTTGGGTTTTCTTTACCCTCTCTCTTCTGTAAGGTCCTTGGCACTCTGAGTCTTTACAAACTGAGGTGTTTCATCTTTCATTCTGAGAAATTGGCAGTCATTAATTTTTCAAATATTTACTTCCTTCTGTTTACTTTGTTTTCTTATTCTGGGACTCCCATTACATTATTATACAGATGGTAACACTATTCTTATATCTTTTCATGCATTCATATCCTTCATCTATTCCATCTGTTACTCCATTCCTGAATCCTTCTGGTATGGTTGTTTTCTTTGGTCTTCCAACTCTCTAAGGTAGCTTTCTGCTCTATCCATGCTGCCTGTCATGGTTCTTCACTGATTCTTTAAAATTCTTGTTTCTGCATCATGTAACCAATACTTGATTTTATGCTTACCTTAAATTCCTAATCTATTTGTTCCATGAATTAATCTCTGCTATGTATTATGGTTTGTTGTCTTGTTTTACAGCACTTATGCCCTTCTAATGCCATTTTCCTTCCAAGCCTATATTTCTCTGGGGATATTTGCTACCTTGGCTTATAATGAGTATTTCGGGAGAGGAGTCCAAGCTTAGGCCTCAGTTTGCCAATCTCCTGGTGAATTTGGGATGCCATTTCTTCCCCACCTTCTGGATCCCCAAAGATCTCTTATGGGTTTTGTGTTAGCATTTTAAATGCACTTGATTCTCTCTAGCTGTTTTTTTATTTTAGTTTGTTTGTTTTGCCTTAAGATGAGGTTCAGGATAGAATGCCACAAGTGTACATCCTTTATAATATTGCCGGTTCTTAAGCTATATCGCTGTTTTGAAAAGGATAGTGTATAACCTGGTCTCTTTCCAAATTTCAGTGATTTGGATAATTGACGCATATTACTGTGTAATCGACTTGGCCATACCAATCACTGTCTCTGGGGACTGCTGACATGCCTAGAATGCTATATTGCAGTTCAGTGTGCCTGCAATATATGGATTTGGCTTAAATTTTCTTGTCTTGTTGGGCTCAAGAAGGCCAATACTCTATTCGCAAGGGCATAATTCATGTACTTGAATGATGATTTTCTGGTTCTACCTTTAGTAATCCTTACCAGTCTTGATAATATACTATGACAGGAAAGTCACATCTTACAATTTATGTTATTTTAATAAAAAGTTTAAATTGAATTTTACTTCCATTGATTTCTGCAAAGTGAAGCAATTCACTTTAGCATTATAAATTCTGCACCTACACCAGGTCTGTCAAGCAATAATGATGAAGAACGATGCTCTTTCTGGTTTTTTCATTTTCATGCAACTTCCTACTTTTCTAAGTCTTCTTGTGGGGAGATTTGCTTGAGAGTTTGATGGGGTATTTTACCACCAGCCTTATGGCACTCACGTAATATCTGTCTTTTGGAAGGAAAAAAATTGGATTTAAACGTAGGTTAAATTGCTTTCTTTTTGAAGAAGCTCCTGTTGAGGTTCTGAATGATGGTTAATTTAATTGATAAAATAAGTAGTGTTAAAGTGCTGAAATTAATTTTCAAGATGGCATGTAGAATCTTTCTTAAAGGTCTTTAAATACAGGATATATTTTTATCTTTCTGAGGTGGCTGGCTTAGGGGTATTTTTAAAGATGGAAGGGTTGAGATGATATATTTTCTAACTCTATTTGAGCCCTTTGATTGAAACTGCTCTCCCATTTTAGCTGAAAAATGCACCTTTAAAAAAGTGCTTTTGTGCAATTGATACCAAAGATAGACATACAGCCTTGAAAGAATGATATGCCATCTGAAGTTTTGTATTAACCAATTTTTTTCCCCTATTGCTCCCAATCATTTGTATCTCCTCCTATTACTCTTTATTTTTGTCCTAACAACGCTTGACTCATTCTCTCTATTCCTCCCTAAACTTGGTATAGACTTTATATATTTTTAGAGAGTTGTCTTCTATGTACACTCACTTCACCCCTTCTAATCTGTCCTCCCCCCACACCTCAAATAAACATGTCATAATGGTCTAGACTAAAACAAAAAATATTTCTGTGGAAGTGGCCCGACTTTTCCCGAGCTTTCTCAATTATTGTAATACTCTTGACCCCTTTCTGCCCCCTCCTGCATTTCTCTCAGGGAAAAAGCGAATTATTTTCCTGATTAAACTGGGAACAGGAAGTGGGCATGTTTGAGTGTTCAACAGGTTATCCCTTTCCATTTTCTTGTGAGACCCTTCTGTGTTAGGTCATTCTTGCATTGCTATAAAGAACTACTTGAGACTGGGTAATTTATAAAGAAAAGAGGTTTAATTGGCTCATGGATCTGCAAGCTGAACAAGCATGGCACCACCATCTGCTTTGCTTCTGGGGAGGCCTCAGGGAGATTTTACTCATGGAGGAAGGTAAAGTGGGAGCAGGCACTTCACATGGAGAAAGCAGGAGCAAGAGAGTGGAGTGGGGGAGATGCCATACTTTGCAACAACCAGATCTTGCAAAAACTCACTTACTATCTCGGGGACAGCACCAAGCCATTAGGGATCCACCCCCATGACCCAAACACCTCCCATCAGGTCCCACCTCCAACACTGGAGATTGCATCTCAGCATGAAATTTCGAAGGGACATCCAAACGTACTACCTTCTTCCATTTTCTCATGGGATCCAGTTGACCAAGTTGCCCCAAGAGAGCATGCATTTTTTTCTGCTCCTCCAAGCTGCAAAGTTGTTGTTGTTGTTTTGAGACAGAGTCTTGCTCTGTCACCCAGGCTGGAGAATAGTGGCAAAATCTCAGGTCACTCAAGTGGAAAAGTTTACAGGGCAACTTGCCTCCATCTGTGCCCAAGGAGAAACTTGATTTTTCCAGCACTTCCTGCATGTGGGTGGAGAAGTCTTTCTAATTCTGAGGTTCTGTCCATTTATTGAAATTACTAAGTGTTTGGATTTAAATCTACCATCTTGGCCGGGTGTGGTGACTCACTCCTGTAATCTCAGCGCTTTGGGAGGTCGAGGCAGGTGGATCACTTGAGGCCAGGACTGGCCAACATGGTGAAACCTGGACAACATGGTGAAACCCCGTCTCTACTAAAAATAAAGAAATTAGCCAGGCGGAGTGGCGCATGCCTGTAATCCCAGCTACTGAGTAGGCTGAGGCACAAGAATCACTTGAGCCTGGAGGCGGAGGTTGCAGTGAGCCAAGATTGTGCCACGCACCCCAGCTTGGGAACGGAGCAAGACTCTGTCTCAAAAAATGAAATGAAATGAAATAAAATAAATCTATCATCTTATTTTGTGCTATTTGTCCCACTTGTTCTTTTTTTTCTTTAATGCCTTCTTTTGAATTTAATTATGATTCCATTGTTTAAAAATCTAGTAGTTTAGGAATTACATTAAACATTCTTTTAGTGCTCACTCTCAAAATTAAAAAATGCATTTATAATTATCAAAAATATTCATTAATAATTTATAAAAGTCTAATGTTAATAAATATTTTTACTCTTCTACCAGATAATACAAAGAACCTTAGAATAGTTTAGCTCCATTTATTACCCTTCTAACTTATATATTACTGTTGCCAAGGAATTTTGCTATAATATTTTAAATGCCATAAGATGTTGTTTTTATTTTATACAGCCAATATTCTTTTGTATTTATCCATATGTTTACTGTCTTACTTGTACTTTATTCTCTGCTGCATTTTGAAACTTCCATCTCAGATCGTTTTTCTTTTGCGTGAAGTATATTCTTTAAAATTTCCTTCTGGTCTTCTGGTGATAACTTCATTTTTGTTTTTTTAAACGTAAACATGTCAGTATTTTCTCTTCATTTTTGAAAGTTATTTTCACTGGGTATGAATTCTACATTGGTATTCACTGATTGCCCCCACCTCCCTGGCCCCAGCATATTGAAAATACTCTACTATTTTCTGGTTTCCATTGTTGCTATAGTGAAGTCAGCTGTAATTCTAACTTTTGATCTTTTGAAGGTCTTTTTACTTAAACTGTTTTTAAGATTTCCTGTTAGTCTTTGTTTTCTGCCATTTGATATGATGTATCTAGGTGTGGATTTTTTTTTATGTCTCCTGTTAAGGATTTGCTTGTCTTCTTGGATTTGTGGATTAATGTATTTCATCAGTTTTTAATTCTTCTCAGCTCCTCTCTTTCTTTAGATATTGCCTCTGAAACATTCTTTCTTCTTTTTTGGGGACTCCAATGAAATATATGTTATAAGCTCTCAACATAGTCTCTATCTTTTTTTTTTCTGAATTTTCTGTCCTATATTCTAGAGTTTCTTTTGACACGTCTTTCAATTCACTAATTTTCTCTTTATCTCTAATACGGTGCTCAAATCATCCACTGAGTTCTTAATTTTAGATATTATATAATTTTTAGTCTTTTACTTGCTTTCATTTTAGACTTTTTGTTGTTTTTCTTATTTTCTATTTAATTTTCTTTCCTTTTTTTTCTAACTATTATTTTAGGTTTGGGGGTACATATACAGGTTTGTTATACGGGTAAATTTTGTGATATGGGGGTTTGGTGTAAGATTATTTTGCCACTCAGGTAATAAGCACAGTACTTACTCTCCTCACCCTCCTCCCATTCTCCACCCTCAAGTAGGCCCCTGTGTCTATTGTTCCTTTCTTTGTGTCCATGTGTACTCAATGTTTAACTCCCACTTATAAGTGAGAACATGTGCTATTTGTTTTTCTGTTTCTGCATTAATTCACTTAGGATAGATCCACCCACATTGCTGCAAAGGACATTATTTCCTTGTTTTTTATGGCTGCATAGTATTCCATGGTGTATAGGTACCATATTTCTTTATCTAATCAGTGATTGATGGGCCTCTAGGTTGGTTTCATGTCTTTGCCATTGTGAACAGTGCTGCAATGAACATACATGTGCAAGTTTCTTTATGGTAGAATGATTTATATTCCTTTGGGTGTACAACCAATAATGGGATTCCTGGGTCTAATGGTAATTTTGTTTAAGTCCTTTGAGATTTCTCCATACTGCTTTCCACAGTGGTTGAATTAATTTACATTCTCACCAGTAGTGTATAAATTTTCTGTTTTCTCTAAAACCTTGCTGTCATCTGTTATTTAAAAAAGTTTTAGTAGTAGCCATTCTGACTGATGTGAGATGGTATCTCATTGTGGTTTTGATGTGCATTTTTCTAATGGTTGGTTATGTAGAGCATTTTTTCATATATTTGTTGGCTGCATGTATGTCTTCTTTTGAGAAGTGTCTGTTCATGTTCTTTGCCCGTTTTTTAATGGGGTTGTTTTTTGCTTGTTAATTTAAGTTTCTTATAGATTCTGGAAATTAGACCATTTTCAGATGCAGAGTTTACAAATATTTTCTCTCATTCTGTAGTTTGCCTGTTTACTCTGTTGATAGTTTCTTTTGCCGTGCAGGAACTGTTTAGTTTAATTACCTCTCATTTGTCAATTTTTGTTTTTGTTGCAATTGATTTTGGTTCCTCTGTTATAAAATTGTTGCCAGGGCCTATGTCCAGAGTGGTATTTCCTAGGTTTTCTTCTAGGATTTTTATAGTTTTAAGTTCAACATTTAAGTTCTTGCTCTATCTTGAGTTGATTTTTGTACATGGTGAAAGAAAGGTGTCCAGATTCAATCTTCTGTATATGACGAACTGGTTATCTCAGCACCATTTATTGAATAGGGAGTCCTTTCCTCATTGTTTGTTTTTACCAACTCTGTTGATCAGATGGTTATAAGCATTTGGCTTTATTTCTGGGTTCTCTATTCTGTTCCATTGGTCTATGTATCTGTTTTTGTACCAGTACCATGCTGTTTTGGTTACTGTAGCCTTGTAGTATAGTTTTAAGTCAGGTAGTGTGATGTCTCTGGCTTTGTTCTTTTTGCTTAGGATCTCTTGGCTATTCAGGCTCTTTTTTGGTTCCGTATAAATTTTAGAATAGTTTTTTTGAAATTCTGTGAAAAATGTCATTGGTAATTTGATAGGAATAACATTTATCTGTAAACTGCTTTGGGCAGTATGGCCATTTTAATAATATTGATTCTTCCTATCCATAAACGTGAAATATTTTTCCATCTGTTTGTGTCCTCTGTGATTTCTTTCAGTAGTGTTTTGTAATTCTCATTGTAGAGATCTTTCACCTCCCTGATTAGCTATGCTCCTAGGTATTTCTGTGCGTGTGTGGCAATTATGAATGAGATTGCGTTCTTTGGCTCTCAGCATGGACTTTGTGGTGTATAGGAATGTTACTGATTTTTTTACAGTGATTTTGTATCCTGAAACTTTGAAGTTGTTTATCATGTGTAGGAGCTTTTGGGAAGAGACTATGGGGTTTTCTAGATGTAGAATAATATTAGCTGCAAAGAGATGTAGTTGACTTTCTCTCTTCCTATTTGAATGCCTTTTATTTCTTCCTTGTGCCTGATTGCTCTGGTTAGGACTGCCAGTTTTATGTTGGATAGGAATGGTGAGAATGGGCATCCTGGTCTTGTTCCAGTTCTCAATGGGAGTGCTTCCAGCCTTTGCTCATTCAGTATGATGTTAGCTGTGCGTTTGTCATAGATGGCTCTTATTATTTTGAGGTATGTTCTTTTAATGCTTAGTTTGTTGAGTGCTTTTTTTTAAACATAAAGGATGTTGAGTTTTATCTAAAGTCTTTTCTGTGTCCATTCAGATGATCATGTGGTTTTCGTTTTTAGTTCTGTTTTATGTGATGAACCACATTTATTGATTTGCATATGTTGAACCAACCTTGCCTCCCAGGGATAAACCCTACTTGAATGTGGTGGATTAGTGTTTTGATGTGCTGTTGGATTAAGTTTGCTAGTATTTTAAAGATTTTTGCATCTATGCATCAGGGATATTGACCTGAAGTTTTAGTTTTTTGTTGTGTCTGCCAGATTTTGGTGTCAGAATGATGCTGGCCTCATAGAATGAGTTAGGGAGTTCTTCCTCCTCAATTTTTTGGAATGGTTGCAGTATGATTGGTACCAATTCTTCTTTATGAATCTGGCTGTGAACCCATTTGGTCCAGGGCTTTTTCTGGTTTGTAGGCTTTTTATTACTGATTTGATTTCAGAACTCATTATTGGTCTGTTCAGGGTTTCAATTTCTTCCTGGTTCAATCTTGGGAGATTTTGTGTTTCTAGGAATTAATCCATTTCTTGTAGGTTTTCTAGTTTGTATCCACCGAGGGGTTCATAAAAATCTCTGAGGGTTTTTTGGTATTTGTATGGGGTTGGTGGTGATGTCCTCTGTCATTTCTGATGGTGTTTATTTGGATCTTCTCTTTTTCTTTTTTAGTTTTTTAGCCTAGCTAGCAGTCTATCTTAAAAAAAAAAAACAACCCAGAAAACCACTATTTGGTTTCATTGATATTTTATATGTTTTTTTGCATCTCAGTTTCATTAAGGTCACCTCTCATTATGACGATTTCATATATTCTGCTAGCTTTGGGTTAGGTTTGCTATTGTTTTTTACTTCCTCTAGGTGTGATGTTAGGTTGCAATTGGAGATCTTTCTAACTTTTTGATACGGACATTTAGCACTATAAACTTTCATCTTAACACTGCTTTAGCTATGTTCCAGAGATTCTGATACGTTGTACCTGTTTTCATTAGTTTTGAAGAATTTCTTGATTTCTCCCTTAATTTCATTGTTCACCCAAAAGTCATTCAATAGCATGTTGTTTACTTCCCATGTAATTGTATTGTTTTGAGTGATATTCTTAATATTGATTTCTATTTTTTTAGGCTTTATATTTTTTATTTTTAAAAAATTTTTATTATACTTTTAGTTGTGGGATACATGTACAGAACGTGCAGATTTGTTACATATGTATACACATGCCATGGTAGTTGGCTGCAGCCAACAACCCATCATTTACATCAGGTATTTCTCCTAATGCTATCCCTCTCCTTGCCCCCCATCCCCCGACAGACCCTGGTGTGTGATGTTCCCCTCCCTGTGCCCATGTGTTCTCATTGTTCAACTCCGACTTAGGAGTGAGAACATGTGGTGTTTGGTTTTCTGTTCCTATGTTAGTTTGCTGATAATGATGGTTTCCAGCTTCATCCATGTCCCTGCGAAGGACATAAACTCATTCTTTTTTATGGCTGCATAGTATTCCGTGGTGTATACATGCCTTGTTTTCTTTATCCAGTCTATCATTGATGGGCATCTGGGTTGGTTCCAAGTCTTTGCTATTGTGAATAGTGCTGCAATAAACATACATGTGCATGTGTCTTTATAGTAGAATGATTTATAATCCTTTGGGTATATACCCAGTGATGGCATTGCTGGGTCAAATGGTATTTCTGGTTCTAGATCCTTGAGGAATCACCACACTTTCTTCCACAATGATTGAACTAATTTACACTCCCACCAACAGTGTAAAAGCATTCCTATTTCTCTACATCCTCTCTAGCATCTGTTGTTTCCTAACTTTTTAATGATCACCATTCTAACCGGTGTGAGATGGTATCTCACTGTGGTTTTGATTTGCATTTCTCTAATGATCAGTGATGATGAGCTTTTTTTCATATGTTTATTGGCTGCATACATGTCTTCTTTTGAGAAGGGTCTGTTCATATCCTTTGCCCAGTTTTTGATGGGGTTGTTTGTTTTTTTCTTGTAAATTTGTTTAAGTTCCTTGTAGATTCTGGATATTAGCCTTTTGTCAGATGGATAGACTGCAAAAAATTTCTCCCATTCTGTAGGTTGCCTGTTCATGCTGATGATAGTTTCTTTTGCTGTGCAGAAGCTCTTTAATTATATCCCATTTGTCAGTTTTGGCTTTTGTTGCAATTGCTTTTGGTGTTTTAGTCATGAAGTCTTTGCCCATGCCTATGTCCTGAATGACATTGCCTAGGTTTTCTTCTGGGGTTTTTATGGTTTTGGTCTTACGTTTAAGTCTTTAATCCATCTTGAGTTAATTTTTGTATAAGGTATAAGGAAGGGGTCCAGTTTCAGTTTTCTGCATATGGCTATCCAGTTTTCCCAACACCATTTATTAAATAGGGAATCCTTTCCCCATTTCTTGTTTTTGTCAGGTTTGTCAAAGATCAGATGGTTGTAGATGTGTGGTGTTACTTCTGAGGCCTCTGTTCTGTTCCATTGGTCTATTTGTCTGTTTTGGTACCAGAACCATGCTGCTTTGGTTACTGTAGCCTTGTAGTATAGTTTGAAGTCAGGTAGCATGATGCTTCCGGCTTTGTTCTTTTTGCTTAGGATTGTCTTGGCTATACGGGCTATTTTTTGGTTCCATATGAAATTTAAAGTAGTTTTTTCTAATTCTGTGATGAAGGTCAATGGTAGCTTGATGGGAATAGCATTGAATCTATAAATTACTTTGGGCAGTATGGCCATTTTCACGATATTGATTCTTTCTATCCATAAGCATGGAATATTTTTCCGTTTGTTTGTGTCCTCTTTTATTTCCTTGAGCAGTGGTTTGTAGTTCTCCTTGAAGTGGTCCTTCATATCCCTTGTTAGTTGTATTCCTAGGTATTTTATTCTCTTTGTAGCAATTGTGGATGGGAGTTCACTCATGATTTGGCTCTCTGTTTGTCTATTATTGGTGTATAGGAATGCTTGTGATTTTTGCACATTGATTTTGTATCCTGAGACTTTGCTGAAGTTTCTTATC
The DNA here is from genome assembly GCF_000001405.40 of Homo sapiens. Classification (NCBI taxonomy): domain Eukaryota; kingdom Metazoa; phylum Chordata; class Mammalia; order Primates; family Hominidae; genus Homo; species Homo sapiens. The sequence goes on from NC_000002.12 coordinate 39,809,575, forward strand.
AGCTTAAGGAGTTTTGGGGTTGAGACAAAGGGTTTTTCTAAATATACAATCAAGTCATCTGCAAACAGGGACAATTTGACTTCCTCTCTTCCGGTTTGAATACCCTTTATTTCTTTCTCTTGCCTGATTGCCCTGGTCAGAACTTCTAATACTGTTTTGATTAGGAATGATGAGAGAGGGCATCCTTGTCTTGTGCCAGTTTTCAAAGGGAGTGCTTCCAGCTTTTGCCCAATCAGTACAATATTGGTTGTGGGTTTGTCATAAATAGCTCTTATTATTGTGAGATGCTTTCCATCAATACCTAATTTATTGAGTGTTTTTAGCATGAAGGGGTGTTGAATTTTGTTGAAGGCCTTTTTGCATCTACTGAGATAATCATGTGGTTTTTGTAGTTGGTCCTTTATGTGATAAATTACGTTTATTGATTTGCATATGTTGAACCAGCCTTGCATCCCAGGGAGGAAGCCGACTTGATCATGGTGGATAAACTTTTTAATGTGCTACTGTATTTGGTTTGCCAGTATTTTATTGAGGATTTTTGCATCGATGCTCATCAGGAATATTGGCCTGAAATTTTCTTTTTTGTTGTGTCTCTGCCAGGTTTTGCTATCAGAATAATGCTGGCCTTATAAAATGAGTTAGGGAGGTGTCCCTCTTTTTCTATTGTTTGGAATAGTTTCAGAAGGAATGGTACCAGCTCCCCTTCATATCTCTAATAGAATTCGGCTGTGAATCCGTCTGGTCCTGGGCTTTTTTTTTGTTGGTGGGCTATTAATTACTGCCTCAATTTCAGAACTTGTTATTGGTCTATTCAGGGATTCGACTTCTTCCTGGTTTAGTCTTGGGAGGTATATGTGTCCAGGAATTTATCCATTTCTTCTAGATTTTCTAGTTTATTTGTGTAGAGGTGTTTATAGTATTCTCTGATGGTAGTTTGTATTTCTTTGGGATCAGTGGTGATATGCCCTTTATCATTTTTTATTGTGTCTATTTGATTCTTCTCTGTTTTTTTCTTTATTAGTCTGGCCAGAGGTCTATTATTTTGTTAATCTTTTCAGAAAATGAGCTTCTGGATTCACTGATTTTTTGAAGGGTTTTTTTGTGTCTCTATTTCCTTCAGTTCTGCTCTGATCCTAGTTATTGCTTGTCTTCTGCTAGCTTTTGAATTTGTTTGCTCTCACTTCTCTAGTTATTTTAATTGTGATGTAAGGGTGTTGATTTTAGATCTTTTCTGCTTTCTCCTGTGGGCATTTAGTGCTATAAATTTCCCTCTAAACACTGCTTTAGCTGTGTCCCAGAGATTCTGGTACATTGTTTCTTTGTTCTTAGTGGTTTCAAAGAACTTATTTATTTCTGTCTTAATTTTGCTACTTACCCAGTAGTCATTCAGGAGCAGGTTGTTCAGTTTCTATGTAGTTGTGCAGTTTTGAGTGAGATTCTTAATCCTGAGTTCTAATTTGATTGCACTGTGGTCTGAGAGACAGTTTGTTAAGATTTCAGTTCTTTTGCATTTGCTTAGGAGTGTTTTACCTCCAATTATGTAGCCAATTTTAGAATAATTGCTATGTGGTGCTGAGAAGAATGTATATTCTGTTGATTTGTGGTAGAGAGTTCTGTAAATGTCTGTTACATCCACTTGGTCCAGAGCTGAGATCAAGTCCTGAATATCCTTGTTAATTTTCTGTCTTGTTAATCTGTCTAATATTGACAGTGGGGTGTTAAAATCTCCCACTATTATTGTGTAGGAGTCTAAGTCTCTTTGTAGGTCTCTAAGGACTTGCTTTATGAAACCGGGTGCTCCTGTATTAGGTGCATATATATTTAGAATTGTTAGCTCTTCTTGTTGCATTGATCCCTTTACCATTATGTAATGCCCTTCTTTGTCTTTTTTGATCTTTGTTGGTTTAAAGTCTGTTTTTTCAGATACTAGGATTGCAACCCCTTTTCTTTTGCTTTCCATTTGCTTGGTAAACACTCCTCCATCCCTTTATTTTGAGCCTATGTGTGTCTTTGCACGTGAGATGGGTCTCCTGAATACAGCACACCGATGGGTCTTGACTCTTTATCCAATTTGCCAGTCTCTGTCTTTTAATTGGGGCATTTGGCCCGTTTATATTTAAGGTTAATATTGTTATGTGTGAATTTTATCCTGTCATCATGATGCTAGCTAGTATTTTTGCCCATTAGTTGATGCAGTTTCTTCATAGTGTTGATGGTCTTTACATTTTGGTTTATTTTTGCAGTGGCTGGTACTAGTTTTTCCTTTCCATATTTAGTGCTTCCTTCAGGAGCTCTTGTAAGGCAGGCCTGGTGGTGACAAAATCTCTCAGCATTTGCTTGTCTGGAAAAGATATTGTTTCTCCTTCTCTTATGAAGCTTAGTTTGGCTGGATAGAAAATTCTGGGTTGAAATTTTTTTTTTTTTAAGAATGTTGAATATTGGCCCCCACAGTTTTCTGGCTTGTAGGGTTTCTGCAGAGAGATCCATTGTTGGTCTGATGGGCTTCCCTTTGTCGGAAACCCAACCTTTCTCTCTGGCTGCCCTTAACATTTTCCCCTTCAGTTCAACCTTGGTGAATCTGATGATTATGTGTCTTGAGGAGTATCATTGTGGTGTTCTCTGTGTTTCCTAAATTTGTGTGTTGGCCTGTCTTGCTAGGTTGGGGAAGTTGTCCTGGATATTATCCTGAAGTGTGTTTTCCAACTTGGTTCCATTCTCCCCTTCACTTTCAGATACACCAATCAAATGTAGATTTGGTCTTTTCCCAAAGTCCCATACTTCTTGGAGGCTTTGTTCATTCATTTTCATTCTTTTTTCTCTAATCCTGTGTCCATACTTTATTTCATTAAGTTGAACTTCAGTCTCAGATGTCCTTTCTTTGGCTAGATTGGTTTGGCTATTGATACTTGTGTATGGGTCCTGAAGTTTTTGTGCTGTGTTTTTCAGCTCCGTCAGGCCATTTATGTTCTTCTCTATACTGGTTATTCTAGTTGTCAGTTCCTGTATCCTTTTATCAAGGTTCTTAGCTTCCTTGCATTAGGTTAGAACATGCTCCTTTAGCTTGGAGGAGTTTATTACCACCCTCTGAGGCCCACTTCTGTCAGTTCATCAAGCTCATTCTCTGTCCAGTTTTGTTCCCTTGCTGGTGAGGAGTTTTGATCCTTGGGATGAGTAGAGGCATTCTGGTTTTTGGAATTTTCAGCCTTTTGTGCTGGTTTTTCCTCATCTTCGTGGATTTATCTACCTTTGGTCTTTGATGTTGGTCACCTTTGGATGGTGTTTTTTGCATGGGTGTCCTTTTTGTTGATGTTGATGCTATTGCTTTGTGTTTGTTAGTTTTTCTTCTAATAGGCCGCTCTTCTGCAGGTGTGCTGGAGTTTACTGGAGGTCCACTCCAGACGCTGTTTGCCTGGGTAGCACCAGCAGAGGCTGCAGAACACCAGAAGGAGCTGCTTGCTCCTTCCTCTGGAAACTTTTCCCTGAGGGGCACCCAACAGATGCCAGCTGGAGCTCTCCTGTATGAGGTGTCTGTCAACCCCTGCTAGGAGGTGTCTCCCAGTCAGGAGGCATGAGGGTCAGGGACTCACTTGTGCAGGCAGTCTGTCCTTTAGCAGAGCTGGAGTGCTGTGCTGGTAAATCTGCTGCTCTCTTCAGTGCTGGCAGACAGGAATGTCTTAAGTCTGCTGAAGCTGTGCCCACAGCCACCCCATTCCCCAGGTGCTCTGTCCCAGGGTAATGGGAGTTTTATGTATAAGCCCCTGACTGGGCTGCTGCCTCTCTTTCAGAGATGCCATTCCCAGAGAGGAGGAATCTAGAGAGGCAGTCTGGCTACAGTGGCTTTGCCGTGCTGTGGTGGGTTCCCCATCCAGTCTGAACTTCCTGGTGGCTTTGTTTACACCGTGAGGGGAAAGCCACCTCCTCAAGCTTCAGCAGTGGTGGACGCCCCTCCCCCTACCAAGCTTGAGTGTCCCACATCAAATTCAGACTGCTGTGCTGGCTGTGAGAATTTCAAGTCAGTGGATCTTAGATTGCTGGGCTCCGTGGGGGTGGGATCTGCTAAGCAAGACCACTCGGCTCCCTGGCTTCAGCCCCCTTTCCAGAGGAGTGTACAGTTCTCTCTCACTGGTGTTGCAGGCACTACTGGGGTACAAAAAGAAAAACTCCAGCAGCTACCTTAGTGTCTGCCCACATGGCCGCCCAGTTTTGTGCTTGAAACCCAGTGCCCTGGTGGTGTAGGTACTTGAGGGAATCGCCTTGATGGCGGGTTGTGATGACCATGGGAAAAGCACAGTATCTGGGCTAGATAGCAGTGTCCTTCACAACATGGTCCTTCATGGCTTTCCTTGGCTAGGGGAGGGAGTTCCCTGACCCCTTGTGCTTCCTGGGTGAGGCAATGTCCCACCCTGCTTCTGCTTGCCCTCTGTGGGCTGCACCCACTGTCTAACCAGTCCCAGTGGGATGAGCTGAGTACCTCAGTTGGAAATGCAGAAATCACCAACCTTCTGTGTTGGTCTTGCTGGGAGCTGCAGAGCAGAGATCTTCCTATTCGGCCATCTTTCCAGCCCTGACATGATTTGTATTTTTATTGTGCTGTGATTTGAGAGTGTGGTTGGAATGATTTTGGTTTCTTGGACTTTGCCAAGAATTGTTTTATGGCTGATTGTGTGGTCAGTTTTAGAGTATGTGCCATGTGCAGATGAGGAGAGAATGTATATTCTCTTGTTTTGTGACGAAAGTTCTGTAGATGTCTGTCAGGTCCATATGGTCAAGTGTCAAGATCACGTCCCAAATATCTTTGTTAGTTTTCTCCCTCAATGATCTGTCTAAAAGTGTCAGTGGGGCCTTGAAGTCTCCCAGTGTTATTGTGTGGTTATCTATGTCTCTTCATAGGTTTCTGTTACCTTGTTTCATTAATCTGGGATTTCCAGGTTGGGTGCTTATGTATTTAGGATAATTATGTCTTCTTTCTGAATTGTACCCTTTACTATTATGTTATGTAATGCCCTTCTTGGTCTTTTCTGATTGTTGTTATTTTGAAGTCTGTTTCGTCTGGAATTATCAATTACTGTCCTTCTGATTTTCTGTTTGCTTGGTAGATTTTTCTTCATCCCTGTATTTTGAGCCTTTGGGTGCATTGCATGTGAGATGGGTCTCTTGAAGACAGCATACAGTGGGGTCTTGCTTCTTTATTCAGCTTGCCCCTCTGTCTGTGCCCTTTTTAGTGGGACATTTGGTCCATTTGTATTAAAGGTTAATATTGATCTGTGTGGGTTTGATCTTTTGTTGTTAACTGGTTGTTATGCAGACTTTATTATGTAGTTGTTATGTAGTCGTTTTATAGTGTCAATGGTTTATGTATGTAAGGGTGTGTTTTGGTGGCTGGTAATGCTCTTTCATTTCCATGTTTAGCATTCCCTTATGGACCCGTTGTGAGGCAGATCTGGTGGTAACAAATTATCTTAGCTTTTGCTTGTTTGAAAAGGATCTTAGGCTGGGCGAGGTGGCTCATGTCTGTAATCCCAGCACTTTGGGAGGCTGAGGTGGGCAGATTGCTTGAGGCCAGGAGTTTGAGACCAGCCTGGCCAACATGGTGAAACACCATCTCTACTGAAAATACAAAAATCACCTGGGTGTGGTGGTGTGCACCTGTAATCCCAGCTGCTCAGGAGGCTGAGGCAGGAGAATTTCTTGAACCCGGGAGACAGAAGTTGCAGCGAGCCAAGATTGCACCACTGCACTCTAGCCTGGGCAATAGAGTGAGTGAGACTATGTCTCAAAAAAAAAAAAAAAAAAAAAGAAAAAGAAAGAAAGACAAGAATTTTATATCTCATTTGCTTGTGAAGCTTACTGTGGCTGGATATGAAATTCTTGGTTAGAATTTCTTTTCTTTAAGAGTACTACCCAAATGCCCATCAATGATAAACTGGATAAAGAAAATATGGTACATATACACATGGACTACTATGCAGCCATGAAAGCGAATGAGATTGTGTCCTTCGCAGGGACATGTATAGAGCCGGGAGCCGTTAACCTCAGCAAACTAATGCAGGAACAGAAAACCAAACACCTTATGTTCTTACTTATAAGTGGGAACTGAATGATGAAAACACATGAACACATGGGGTGGTGGGGGGTGGGGAACAACACACACTGGGGCCTGTTGAGGAGTCGGGTGAGGGAGAGCATCAGGGACAACAGCTAATGGACGCTGGGCTTAATACCTAGATGATAGGATGATCTGTGCAGCAAACCACCGTGGCACATGTTTACCTATGTAACAAACCTGCACATCATGCACATGTTCCCCTGAGCTTAAAATAAAAATTGAAGATAAAAAATTGCTGAATATAAGTTCCCAAACTCTTCTGGCTTGTAGGGTTTCTACTGAAAGGTCCACTGTTAGCCTGGTGGGATTCCCTTTGTAGGTGACTTGCCCCTTATCTCTAGATGCCTTTAATATTTTTTCTTTCACATTGACCTTGGAAAATCTGATGACTATGTGTCTTGGAGATTGTTGTATTGTATATTATCTCATAGGGGTTCTCTGCACTTCCTGAATTTGCATATTGACCTCTCTAGTGAGGTTGGTGACATTTTCATGAGCAATATCTTCGAATATGTTTTCCAAGTTACCCTCTCTCCCTCTCTCTCAGGGAAGCCAATGATTCATAGTTTTGATCTTTTTACATAATCTCATGTTTCTCGGATGTTTTGTTAATTCTATTTAATTATCTCTTCTTTATTTTTGTCTGAGTTGAAGAACATGCTTGAGGCTCTGAGATTCTTCCCTTAGCTTGGTTGATTCTGCTGTTGATACTTCTGATTGTGTTATGAAAATCTTGTCGGGAGTTCTTTTTAGCTCTGTCTTTCTTACAACGGCGATTACAGTGTTCAGCTCTGGTATTGTTTTGTTAGATTCCTTGGATTGTGTTTTGACTTTCTCCTGAATCTCAGTGATATTCACTGTTTTCCAGATTCTGAATTCTATGTCTGTCATTTCAGCCATTTCAGCTTGATTCAGTACCACTGCTGGGGAACTAGTGCAGTCTGGTTTTCTGAGCTGCCAGAGTTCTTACGCTGGTTCTCTCACCAGTGTGAGCTGATGTCCATTTAATCTTTGAAGTTGCTGTTTTTTTGAATGGGGTTTTTTGCTTTTATATTCCTTGATGCCCTTGAGGGTTTGATTGTGGTATAAAGTGGGTTTAGTTGACTGGCTTCATTTCTGGAAGATTTCAGAGGATCAAGGCTTAACTTAGAACTCCTGGGCTTTGTGTTCTATCTAACCCTGAGACCTGGTATCAGGCCCATGGTTTTGTTCTATGGCCCGTCGAGTTTAAGCACCTGCTGTTCCAGAGGGACTGAGATGTTCCAGGTCCACTGGCAACAATACTCCAGTGGGGGATGCTGGCCAAAGTGCTTTGTCGGGGCGTTGGCAGCAGGGTCTGTGCTTGTGTATGTGTGCATGTCAGCAGCAGCAGTGGTGTAATGGAGTGTATGCACATCAGCAGGGGCCTTGCATCGGGCGTAGGGGGCACACAGGGCAGTGTGTGCACGTGTACACCAGCAGAAGGAGCGGGTTATTTTTCATAGTTTCCAGTTTCCTGCCTCAAATTTTCATCCTGACTTTTATTTCTTTAAACATAGTAAACACAGGGTTTTTTTGTGTTGTTTTGCATTTTTTTACTAGTCTGTGTCTGATAATTTGAAGACATCACATATCATTTGGTTATTTCTGTCACCTGTTGTTTATACCGTTTCTTGCTTAGGATTTTTTTTCATTGCGTGCTTGGTTATCTTTAAGTCTGTGCTGGACATTGTATTTAAAAGATATTTAGAGAAATGTTTTGGCTTCTGGATGATGGTCTCTTCTTCCAAGAGGCTTCATTTGTTTCTCTAGGTGTTTGGGAGAGATAATGGATTTTGAGACCTCCCTAATCTTGGTTCAAAATTTGAGCTTCCTGGATATCCAGGTGATGGGATCCTAAATTACAGGTCCTTGCTATGACTGATTTATTTTTAGTTCACCTATATTCTGAGGGTATGCTTTTCCTGACTGTTGTTGAAAGTGGGGATTAATTTAGCAGAGTCCCATCCCTTAGCAGTGTCCAGGGCTTGATTTCTGTCTCTTTAGTTCCATGCAGACTCTAAAATACAGATGAACTTCAAAGTTTCTTTTCCATCATCAGCGAATAAATGCCTTTGGTAAAAATGTAGCTTTGAGTGGCTCGGCTTACCTTTCTTGGTCTTATCTTCTAATTTTGGCCTACAAAGACCTCAATACTTTGTGGACTTTTTGGTACAGATCTCTTAGTTTTCCTTAGTGAGACTGTCAGTTCAAATGACCTAGTCTGACCTGGTCTGCTATTCCTTTGTTCCTTGAGAACTCTCTGCCTACAGAGATCAGGAACTTTGGTCTGCTCTTGAACCCCTAAGGCTTTGCTTGAGAAGAAAGTCCTTAGTGAGGCCAATAAGTCTGCCACATGCTTCTTAAGTTGTATTTGTCGATTGATTGTCTAACTAAATATGATGAACTTTTTTTTTTTTACCTCACCTGTGATATATCCTAATCTGTTTTTCTCCGGGCATTTGTTTCTGAAATGAAAATGAGTTTCTCAAATGAGGGAATGTTCATTTGCCATGCTGTTAGCACAGATTTTTATAATAAAGTCAATGGAGCGTCACTGAAAGATTGAGAAGCTAAGGAAGGAGCTGGAGAGGTCACTTAAGATATGATAAGATACTAATTCAATCTGTCAGTGAAGAGTTCATTGGCTACCTGGGTAAGAGTAATTATTGGTGAGGTGGTAAAAATGAATGGAAGCTGAGGGAGAAGAGATAGCAAACGTAGCATGTTTTATAAAAAGCTTGCCTGTAAAGGGAAGGAGAGAAGTAGGGTAATAGTTAGAAGGGGTCATGGGAGTAAAAGACACTTTAAAGATGGCAGAGATAAGCATATTTCTATGCCAAGAAGAAAAAGCTAGTATAAAATGAGATGTTGAGGATGTGAAAGAGATAATTGACAGAGAATTATTAGATGATAATGGGCTCAAGATTAGAGTTAAGTTGATCCTCTGAATAGAGGGTGAACACAGCTTCCACTGAGTTTGTTTGCTTCAGCATTAGGGGCCTTTAGGATTCAGTATAAATGTTTCCTCCTAGGGTAAGTGTGCTAGTCTGTCCGGGTTGCTATAACAAAATACTTGGTGGCTTATAAACTTGGTGGCTTATAAACAACATAAATTTATTTCTTACAGTTCTGGTGGCTGGGAACTCTAAGAGCAAGGTGCTGGCAGATTTGGCATCCAGTGAGAACCTGCTTCCTGATTCACAGACAGCTGTTTTCTTACTGTGTTCTCACATGGTGAAAGGGGTGAGGTTTTCTGTGGTCCCTTGTAGAAAGGCACTAATCCCATTCATGAGAATTCTACCATCATGACATAATCACCTTCCAAATGCTTCACCCTCTAATAATATTGAATGTTAGAATTTAACATACGAATTTTGGAGGGGACAAATAGTCTATAGCGGTAAGTCTCCTTATATATCTCTAAGATAAGTTAGACACCCTCCTTGTTCCCATTGCACTGTGCGCATTCCTCCACTGAATCCTAGCATAGCATTACTAATGTTAACCTCACCAGAATCTGAGGTCCTTCAGGTCGGTGCTTTTGCCTTTATATTCCCGTAATAAAAGCCACTTTGTAGTTTATTGAATGGGTGACTGCTATCCCTCTCATTTTTGAGCATACAGATCAAAAGGATGGATTACAAATGGCATTTTTCAATTTGTCTGTGGTACAAAATTTCTGTAGGTATCTTTGAACTCAACCAGTAAAAATACAGTGGCAGCTCTAGAGTGATTTACCAGCTGATTTGTACTTTCTTTCAGTTTTTACTTGTTGTAATGCATTCTTTGGGGGTCTTGAAATAACTGCCTAGGGCAGTGAATGTAGCAACTTCTTACGGAAAACACATTTTTACCTTGCACTGAAGCCTGTTGCTTTAGTTTGTGATGAGAATATAGTGACACTTCACTTTAATTTTATTTTCAAAACAGCAAAAGCAAATGTATATGTTTTTAACGTATTATTTTTTGAATTAATAATGTATTTCCAGGCCAGACGTGGTGGCTCACTCCTGCAATCCCAGCACTTTGGGAGGCCAAGGTGGACAGATCACCTGAGGTCAGGAGTTCGAGACCAGCCTGGCCAACATGGTGAAACTCCATCTCTACTAAAATTACCAAAATTAGCTGGGCCTGGTGGTGGGTGCCTGTAATCCCAGCTACTCTGGAGGCTGAGGCAGGAGAATTGCTTGAACTCGGGAGGGAGAGGTTGCAGTGAGCCGAGATCACGTCATTGCCCTTCAGCCTGGGTGACAAGAACGAGACTCCAACTCAAAAAAAAAAAAATGTGTGTGTGTGTATATATATATATATATATATATATATATATATATATATATATTTACATTGTTTAAAATTTATAAGACACAAACGCTATAGAATGAAGTTTACCTTCCATCCTCATCTCTAACCACCCTGTTCCCACCACCTCAGACAACAGATATGTGTGTGTATATGTGGGTATTCTTTAAGAAATATTTTAGGCACCTACAATCATATGTAAATGTTACTTATTCCATTTTTTACTCAAATGGTTTGCTTTCCACACTATACTGCACCTTGCTTTTTTCACTTAGTGTATTTCAACAGCAATAATTTCAACAGCAGGAGTCGTGGTGTAACCATCACTGTCTGCATGCATAAAATGGATTAACTGCAACTTCTTAATGTTATAGTCAATAGACCATTGAAAGACCACTTTGGAAGAAATATGAGTCCTGGTCTCTGTCTGAAAGTTTTCCAATTTTCTTGTTCTAATAAAAGTTAAGAAGGTTCTAATAACAAAACTAACATGACATGTGTCAGTATTTATTTTTATTTTTTTAAGAGACAGTGTCTCACTATATTGCCTGGGCTGGAGTGCAGTGGCTATTCACAAGTGTGATCATAGCATACCACAACCTCGAACTCCGAGGCTTTAGGGATCTCTCCCACTTCAGCCTTTTGAGTAGCTGAAATTACAAGAGTGTGCCACTGCACCTGGCTGTGTGTTGGCATTTTTGAAGATCTTGTAGATGATAGTAGAACACAGAGAATGACATTCCGTAGCATACTATGGATTTCTATGACACTGAGTCTCAAAGTGATTCAGAAAAGTTGGCATCTGAATGAAAAAGTTTTAGAAATTCTTTAACCAATTTATTTCATTAATCTTTTTCATTTATGCACAAGAGTAATAATAAAATTCCACAAATAAGTCTGAAAGAATGTGCTTTGTTTAAAATTGAAGTTATAACATGTCACAGTTTGAATTTTGTAATATTACACCTTGTTTTTAATCAGCTGCACTGTATTTCACTAGATAAATATGCAATATTTATTTAACTTATCTCCTATTAATGATCATTTAGGATGTTTGCAATCCCTTGCTTTTACAAACAATGCTGCAGTGATTAACCTTGAACCTGGATCATGATGCTAATAGATTTGTAGGATGAGTCCCTAGAATTGAGATTTGTATGTGCATTTAAAAATTTGGTAGATCTTCCTGATTAGCTGCCAAAGATACAGTTGGTATTTTCTTTTATCATGGTTGGAGCTTGTCTTAGATTTATAGATTAACTTGAAGGAGAATTGTCATCACTACTGATATTGATTTTTCATATTTTCAATTTATCTTTTGGTTCTTTTAGAGTGCTCTTTCCCATAATATGAGTTTTGCATATTATTTTTACCTTTTTGGTTGTTATTGAAAATGTAATCTTTTTCTTCTAGTGTAACTTCTTATGGTTGAAAGAAATAAAGGTAGTTCTTAAATGCTAAAAATCAGTCTCTTTCAAACTTCCTTGAAAAAAAGTACATTATGTTAATTTAAAAGTTGTCCAAATTATAAAATCCTTAGTTAATGACAGAGGGCCACATTCTAAATTTCCTAGAGGAATAAAATGTTTATTGATGGCATGAAAAATATGTAATGATAGTGACATAATAGTGCGTTTATTTGGATCTCTTTCTGGCTAGTAAACAATGGACCGATTTGGATGTCTTGTGCTGCTCTTGCACCTGAATTCAAGTTTAATGATGTTGTGCCTGAGTGTAATGCTGAAAACATTCCTGCTTGAGAACCATTGATCATTACTCTATTGACCATCCAAACTACCTGGACACTGGGAATCATCTAGGTCACTGGATGACATTTGGACTTCACGTCTAATTTTCTTGAGGAGTCTTTGGCAAGTAAAAGGTTCAATTTCATTACATGGATTTGCAAAGAATTCTTAAACAATCTGGGTCCTTCACTGCCCTACCGACCTCCCCCCCCGCCACCCACCCTCCACCTTCAGCTTCATATTCTCATTAGGAAAGAGTGTTTTTCAGCTCTAATGTAAATCCATTTGAAAGGCCACATGCTGTTGTATTGGAGATATGCCATCTTTAGCCTTCTACTTCATTAGGCTGGGGTCTGCAGGCTTTTTGTAGAGAAGCCACATTTTTTTCTCCATAAAATTGTATTCTGTACCAGCATGTACAGCTTCATTAACCATGTCAAACATGAAATGAAATTTTCGACTATGAAAACATTGATGATTCATGCCATCAATGGGTTTAAAGTAGTAGTATATGCATTTTTTTCAAATAATGTTTATTAGATTTTCTTTTAGTACATAAAATACAAAGAACAAAGCAAAAATGGCCTATAATATCACCATTCTGTTAAACCTTATTGTTGAGAAAACAAAATAATGCACGTGTGTGGTTAGGAGATTTAAACAATCCAAAGAGAAATGAAATGAAAAGTACTTTTTTTCTTTCTACCCCAGACTCTTTTTCAAATTTAAACTACTGTTTACCCTATTTACCCCCAAAACATTTTTGCAGAGATATATACAATTTTGCACACTTCAACATATACACATACATATCTATATTTTAAAAAGGAAAGTACACAAAGTAAATCACGTTACACATAATATTTTGCTATTTACGTCTTTCACTTATGTCTTGTCTCTTTATGTAAATACATGCATGTCGTCTTCATGTACATCAAACATATGGGCATAGGGAGAACTATCAGTAGAAATTTAGGTTAATACCAGGTGTTTTTTAATATTTTAAACAATGCCGTGACAAGCATTCTTATTTGGGATTTGGAACACTGCTGAGAGTATATCTGTAGATTAGGGCAGGCAGTGTAGCATAGTGATTAATGACATAGATTCTGGTGCCAGATTGCCCGGAGTTTTAATTCATTATTTGCTCCTTATTAGCTATGTGACCTTGGGCAAGTTATTGAACTTCTCTACTCTTTACTTTCCTCCTTGTCAGATGAGCCTAAGGATAGTACACACCTATGTTGTTTTTTTAGTCCATTTGTACTGCTACAACAGAATTACACATACTGGGTAATTTATAAATAACATAAATTTATTTCTCATAATTCTGGAGGCTGGGAAGTCTAAGATCAAGGAGCCAGAAGGTTCCGTTGTCTGCTGAGGGCTATTCTCTGTTTCCAAGATGAAACTTTTTGGTAAATCCTTGGAGGGGAGGAATGCTGTGTCCTCAAATGGCAGAAAGTAAAGAGCAAGGAAACAGAACACTGTGTGAAATCTCTTTTATAACGGTCTTAATCCCATTCATGAGGGAGGAGTTCTCATGGTGTAATCACCTCTTAAAGTCCTCACCTCTTGATACTATCACATTGGCAGCACCTGAATTTTGGAGGAAAAACATTCAAATCATAGCAGTTAGTGTGAAGATCAATGTATATAAAGAGCTTGGATCAGTGCTTGGCATGTAGACCATGGTCAATGAATACTAGCTATTGTTATTTTTATTATTATGATGGTAAAATTTGTGACACCTCTATGTTAAAAGACTTCTTTCTGGGAGAAAAGTTGGAAGTGAAGGGGAAGAAGGGAGAGAAAGGAAGAAAAGAAATGATTAATGACCAGGAAGATAAAAGAGAGAGAAGAAGAGAGAAATGAAACAGAGGTTGGGAAGGGAATGCTGGAGAAAGAAGAGGAAGAGATAAAAAGTGGAGAAGGATGGGCTAGACAAGGACCACATTAATGAGGATGGAAAACAAAGATGTAAGGTTTGGAGAATAATTGAAACCTCACAATGAGTGGTTGAGGACTTCCTTTATAATTGTAATTATTACACTGGAGCCAAGTCCAGAGATTTGTATCATCTTACCCCTGAGTCATGGCACCTTGTCCTTACAAGGCCCTTTTCTTGTTTGTCCACTTGTTTCTTTATACACTCATTTATTCTCTTTTATCCCTATTCCAAACTTCATTCCCCTACTAATTCCAAAAGCATTCTTTCTCTTTTTAAAAAATTGAATAGTTAATTAACTAATTTTAATAGACAAATAAAATGGTACCTATTTATCAAGTACAACATAATGTTTTGAAATATGTATACATTGTGGAACATCTAAATCAAGCTAATTAACATATGCATTACCTTGTGTGCTTATGTTTTGTGGTGAGAATACTAAAAATCTCTCAGCAAATTTCAAGAATACAATACATTGTTATTAAGTACAGTCACCATGTTATACAATAGGTATCTTGAACTTATTCTTCCTATTGCACCAAAATTGTGTTTTCTTTCACCAACATCTCTCCAATCCCAATCCAATTCCCCAGCTCCTTGGAGCCACCATTTTTCTATCTCTACTCCTATGAGCTCAACTTTTTTATATTCCACATAAAAGTGAGATCATGTGGTATTTGTCTTTCTATGCTTGTCTTATTTCACTTAACGTAATGTCCTCCAGGTTCATCCATGTTGTTACACATGACAGAATTTCCTCCTTTTTTAAGGCTTAGCAGTAATTCATTTTGTAAAAATACATCATATTTTCTTTATCTATTTATCTATTGATGGACACTTATGTTGATCCCATATCTTGGCTGTTGTGAATAGGGCTGCAGTGAACATGAAAGTGCAGATATCTCTTTCACATACTGATATCACTTCCTTTGGATATATACTCAGTAGTGGTAATGCTGGATGATACGGTGGTTCTATTTTTAATTTTGTGAGGAATTAAAATTCCATATCATTTTCCATAATGGCTACACTAATTTACATTTCCAACAACAGTGTGCAAGGGATTCCTTTACTCCACATCCTCACCAGCACTTGTTATCCTTAGTGTTTTTGATAATAGCCATTCTAACAGGTGTGAGGTGATATCTCATTATGGTTTTAATTTGCATTTCTCTCTGATTAGTGATGTTGAACATTTTTTTCACATACCATTTGTATGTCCTCTTTGAGAAATGACTATTTAGGTCCTTTGCCTATTTTTATTTTATTTTTTTATTTTTCCTTCATAATTACTTTTTTAAAATTATACTTTAAGTTCTGTGATACATGTGCAGAACGTGCAGGTTTGTTACATATGTATACACGTGCCATGGTGGTTTGCTGCACCCATCAACCTGTCATCTACATTAGGTATTTCTCCTAATGCTATCCCTCCCTTAGCCCCCCACCCCCAACAGGCCCCGATGTGTGTTGTTCCCCTCCCCGTGTCCATGTGTTCTCATTGTTCAACTCCCACTAACGAGTGAGAACATGCAATGTTTGGTTTTCTGCTCTTGTGTTACTTTGCTGATAATGATGGTTTCCAGCTTCATCCATGTCCCTGCAAATGACATGAACTCATGCTTTTTTTATGGTTGCATAGTATTCCATGGTGTATACGTGCCACATTTTCTTTATCCAGTCTATCACTGATGGGCATTTGAGTCGGTCCCAAGTCTTTGCTATTGTGAATAGTACTGCAACAAACATACATGTGCATGTGTCTTTATAGTAGAATGATTTATAATCCTTTAAGTATATACCCAGTAATGGGATTGCTGGATCAAATGGTATTTCTGGTTCTAGATCCTTGAGGAATCGCCGCACTGTCTTCCACAATGGTTGAACTAATTTACACTCCCACCAACAGTGTAAAAGTTTTCCAATTACTCCACATCCTCTCCAGCATCTGTTGTTTCCTGACTTTTTAATGATCGCCATTCTAACTGGTGTGAGATGGTATCTCATAGTGGTTTTGATTTGCATTTCTCTAATGACCAGTGACGGTGAGCTTTTTGCCATATATTTCTTGGCCACATAAATGTCTTCTTTTGAGAAGTGTCTGCTCATATCCTTTGCCCACTTTTTGACAGGGGGGTTTCTTTTTTCTAGTAAATTTGTTTAAGTTCCTTGTAGATTCTGGATATTAGCCTTTTGTCAGATGGCTAGATTGCAAAAATTTTCTCCTATTCTGTAGGTGGCCTGTTCATTCTGATGATAGGTTCTTTTGTGGTGCAGAAGCTCTTTAGTTTAATTATATCCCATTTGTCAATTTTGGCTTTTGTTGCAATTGCTTTTGGTGTTTTAGTCACGAAGTCTTTGCCCATGCCTGTATCCTGAATGTTGTTTCCTAGGTTTTCTTCTAGGGTTTTTATGGTTTTAGGTCTTATATTTAAGGCTTTAATCCATCCTGAGTTAATTTTTGTATAAGGTATAAGGAAGGGGTCCAGTTTCTGTTTTCTGCATATGGCTAGCCATTTTTCCCAACACCATTTATTAAATAGGGAAACCTTTCCCCATTGCTTGTTTTTGTCAGGTTTGTAGATGTGTGGTGTTATTTCTGAGGCCTCTGCTCTGTTCCATTGGTCTATATATCTGTTTTGCTACCAATACCATGATGTTTTGGTTACTGTAGCCTTGTAGTATAGTTTGAAGTCAGGTAGCACGATGCCTCCAGCTTTGTTCTTTTTGCTTAGGATTGTCTTGACTACATAGGCTCTTTTTTGGTTCCATATGAAATTTAAAATAATTTTTTCTAATTCTGTGATGAAAGTCAATGCTAACTTGATGGGGATATCATTGAATCTGTAAATTACTTTGGACGGTATAGCCATTTTCATAATATTGATTCTTCCTATTCATGAGCATGAAATGTTTTTCCATTTGTTTGTGTCCACTCTTATTTCCTTGAGCAGTGGTTTGTAGTTCTCCTTGAAGTGGTTCTTCTCATCCCTTGTAAGTTGTATTCCTAGGTATTTTATTCTCTTTGTAGCAATTGTGGATGGGAGTTCACTCATGATCTGGCTCTCTGTTTGTCTATTGTTGGTGTATAGGAATGCTTGTGATTTTGCACATTAATTTTGTATCCTGAGACTGCTGAAGTTGCTTATCAGCTTAAGGAGATTTTGGGCTGAGACGATGGGGTTTTCTAAATATACAATCACGTCATCTACAAACAGAGACAAATTGACTTCCTCTCTTCCTATTTGAATATGCTTTATTTCTTTCTCTTGCCTGATTGCCCTGGTCAGAACTTCCAACACTATGTTGAAGAGGAGTGGTGAGAGAGGGCATTCTTGTCTTGTGCCGGTTTTCAAAGGGAATGCTTACAGATTTTGTCGAATCACTATGATGTTGGCTGTGGGTTTGTCAGAAATAGTTCTAATTATTTTGAGATAAGTTCCATCAATAACTAATTTATCAAGAGTTTTTAGCATGAAGGAGTGTTGAATTTTATTGAAGGCCTTTTCTGCATCTTATTGAGATAATCATGTGGTTTTTGTCATTGGTTCTGTTTATGTGATAAATTATGTTTATTGATTTGCATGTGTTGAACCAGCCTTGCATCCCAGGGATGAAGCCGACTTAACTGTGGTGGATAAACTTTTTAATGTGCTGCTGGACTCGGTTTGCCAGTATTTTATTGAGGAGTTTTGCATCGATGGTCATCAGGAATATTGGCCTGAAATTTTCTTTTTCTGTTGTGTTTCTGCCAGGTTTTGTTATCAGAATGATGCTGGCCTCATAAAATGAGTTAGGGAGGAATCCCTTTTTTTTTTTTTTTTATTGATTGGAATAGTTTCAGAAGGAATGGTACCAGCTCCCCTTCATATCTCTGATAGAATTAGGCTGTGAATCCATCTGGTCATGGGCTTTTTTTGGTTGGTAGGCTATTAATTACTGCCTCAATTTCAGAACTTGTTATTGGTCTATTCAGGGATTCGACTTCTTCCTGGTTTAACCTTGGGTGGGTGTATGTGTCCAGGAATTTATATATTTCTTCTAGATTTTTTAGTTTATTTGCATAGAGGTGTTTATAGTATTCTCTGATGGTAGTAGGTGTTTCTGTGAGATCAGTGGTGATATCCCCTTCATCATTTTTTATTGTCTCTACTTGATTCTTCTCTCTTTCCTTCTTAATTAGTCTGGCTAGTGGTCCATCTATTTTGCTTATCTTTTCAAAAAACCAGCTCCTGGATTTATTAATTTTTTTTTGAAGGGTTTTTCATGTCTGCATCTCCTTCAGTTCTGCTCTGATCTTACTTATTTCTTATTTTCTGCTAGCTTTTGAATTTGTTTGCTCTTGCTTCTCTAGTTCTTTTAATTGTGATGGTAGGCTGTCAATTTTAGATCATTCCTCGTTTCTCCTGTGGGCATTTAGTGCTATAAATTTCCCTCTAAACACTACTTTAGCTGTGCGCCAGAGATTCAGGTACATTTTGTCTTTGTTCTCATTGGTTTCAAAGAACTTATTTATTTCTGCCTTAATTTAGTTATTTACCCAGTAGTCATTCAGGAGCAGGTGTTCAGGTGCCATGTAGTTGTGTGGTTTTGAGTGAGTTTTTAAATCCTGAGTTCTAATTTGATTGCACTGTGGTCTGAGAGACTGTTATGATTTCCATTCTTTTGCATTTGCCGAGCAGTGTTTTACTTCCAATTATGTGTTCAATTTTAGAATAAGTGCCATGTGGTGCTGAGAAGAATGTATATTCTGTTGATTTGGGGTGGAGAGTTCTGTAGATGTCTATTAGGTCCCCTTGGTCCAGAGCTGAGTTCAAGTCCTGCATATCCTTGTTATTATTCTGTCTCGTTGATATGTCTAATATTGACAGTGGAGTGTTAAAGTCTCCCACTGTTATTGTGTGGGAGTCTAAGTCTCTTTGTAGGTCTCTAAGAACTTGCTTTATGAATCTGGGTGCTCCTGTATTGGGTGCATATATATTTAGGATAGTTAACTCTTTTTGTTGCATTGATCCCTTTACCATTATATAATGCCCTTCTTTGTCTTTTTTGATCTCTGTTGGTTTAAAGTCTGTTTTATCAGAGACAAGAATTGCAACCCCTGCTTTTTTTTTGCTCTCCATTTACTTGGTAAGTATTCCTCCATCCCTTTATTTTGAGCCTATATGTGTCTTTGCATATGAGATGGATCTCCTGAATACAGCACACCAATTTGTCTTGACTCTTTCCAATTTGCCAGTCTGTGTTTTTTAATTGGGGCATTTAGCCCATTTACATTTAAGGTTAATATTGTTATGTGTGAATTTGATCCTGTCATTATGATGTTAGTTGGTTATTTTGCCCTTTATTTGATGCCATTTCTTCATGGTGTTGATGGTCTTTACAATTTGGTATGTTTTTGCAGTGGTTGGTACCAGTTTTTCCTTTTTATATTTAGTGCTTCCTCAGGAGCTCTTGTAAGGCAGGCCTGATGGTGACAAAATCTCTCAGCATTTGCTTGTCCATAAGAGATTTTATTTCTCCTTTGCTTATGAAGCTTAGTTTGACTGGATATGAAATTTTGGGTTAAAAATTCTTTTGTTTAAGAATGTTGAGTATTGGCCCTACTCTCTTCTGGCTTGTAGGTTTTCTGCAGAGAGATCAGCTGTTAGTCTGATGGGTTTCCTATTGTGGGTAACCTGACCCTTTTCTCTGGCTGCTCTTAACATTTTTTCCTTCCTTTCAACCTTGGTGAATCTGATGATTATGTGTCTTGGGGTTGGTCTTCTTGAGGAGTATCTTTGTAGTGTTCTCTGTGTATCCTGAATTTTAGTGTTGGGCTCTCTTGCTAGGTTGGGGAAGTTTTCCTGGATAATATCCTGAAGAGTGTTTTCCAACTTGGTTCCATTCTCTTCATGACTTTCAGGTACACCATTGAAACGTAGGTTTGGTCTTTTCACATTGTCCCATATTTCTTGGAGGCTTTGTTTGTTCCTTTTCATTCTTTTATCTCTACTTTAATGTTCAGATTTTATTTCATTAAGTTGAACTTCAATTCTCATATCCTTTCTTCTGCTTGATCGATTTGGCTATTGAATCTTGTGTATGCCTCACAAAGTTCTCAAGCTGTGTTTTTCAGCTCCATCAGATCATTTATATTCTTCTCTAAATTGGTTATTCTAGATAGCAATTCCTCTAATCTTTTTTCAAGGTTCTTAGCTTCCTTGCAATGGCTTAGACCATGCTCCTTTAGCTCAGAGGGGTTTGTTGTTACCCACCTTCTGAAACCTACTTCTGTCAGTTGGTCAAATTCATTCTCCGTCCAGTTTTGTTCCCTTGCTGGCATGGAGTTGTGATCCTTGGGAGGAGTAGAGGCATTCTGGTTTTTGGAATTTTCAGCCCTTTTGCGCTGTTTTTTCCTCATCTTCATGGATTTATCTATCTTTGGTCTTTGATGTTGGTGACCTTTGGATGGGGTTTTTGTGTGGATGTCCTTTTTGTGGATGTTGATGCTATTCCTTTCTGTTTGTTAGTTTTCCTTCTAACAGTCAGGCCTCTCCTCTGCAGGTCTGCTGGAGTTTGCTGGAGGCCCCCTCCAGACTGTGTTTAAATGGGTATCACCAGCAGAGGCTGAGAACAGCAAAGATTGCTGCCTGTTCTTTCCTCTGGAAGCTTTGTCCCAGAGGGCACCCGCCAAATGCCAGCCAGAGCTCTCCTGTATGAGGTGTCTGTCGATCCCTGCTGGGAGGTGTCTCCCAGTCAGGAGGCACAGGGTTCAGGGACACACTTGAGGAGGCAGTCTGTCCCTTAGGAGAGCTGGAGTGCTGTGCTGGGAGATCTGCTGCTCTCTTCAGAGCCAGCAGACAGGAACGTTTAAGTCTGCTGAAGCTGCACCCACAGATGCCCCTTCCCCCAAGTGCTCTGTCCCGGGGAGATGGGAGTTTTATCTATAAGCCCCTGACTGGGGCTGCTGCCTTTCTTTCAGAGGTGGCCTGCCCAGAGAGGAGGAATGTAGAGAGGCAGTCTGGCTACAGTGGCTTTGTGGAGCTGTGGTGGGTTCTGTCCAGTTTGAACTTCTTGGCAGCTTTGTTTACACTGTCAGGGGAAAACCGCCTACTCAACCCTCAGTAATGATGGACGCCCCTCCCCCCATCAAGCTTGAGCATCCCAGGTCAACTTCAGACTGCTGTGCTGGCAGCAAGAATTTCAGGCCAGTGGATCTTAGCTTGCTGGGCTCTGTGGAGGGGGGGATCCGCTGAGCTAGACCACTGGGCTTTAGCCCCCTTTCCAGGTGAGTGAATGGTTCTGTCTCGCTGGCATTCCAGGCCTCACTGGGATACGATAAAAAATCTCCTGCTGCTAGCTTGGTGTTTGCCCTAATGGCTACCCTGTTTTGTGCTTGAAACCCAGGGCCCTGGTTGTGTAGGCACCCGAGGGAATAACCTGGTCTGCGGGCTGTGAGGACCGTGGGAAAAGTGTGACTTCTGGGGTGGAATACACTGTCCCTCATGGCACAGTCCCTCGTGGCTTCCCTTGCCTCATGGAGGGAGTTCCTGGACCCCTTTCAATTCCTGGGTGAGGCGACACCCCACTCAGCCTCTGCTTGCCCTCCATAGACTACACCCACTGTCTAACCTTAAGTCCTAGTGAGATGAGCCAGGTACATCAGTTGGAAATGTAGAAATCACCCACCTTCTGGATTGTTCTCACTGGGAGCTGCAGAGCAGAGTTGTTCCTATTCGGCCATCTTACCAGCCACTTCTCTTGCCTATTTTTAAATTGAGTTATTTGTTTTTGTTCTATTGAGTTGTTTGAGTTTCTTACATATTTTGAATATTAAACCCTTATCAGATGTATGGTTTGGAAATATTTTCTACCATTCCATAGGTTGTCTCTTCATTTTGCTGTTTTATTTCTTGTGTAGACATTTTTAGTTTGATGTAATCCCACTTGTGTATTTTTTTTTCTTGTGTTGCCTGTACTATTGGGTTCATTTCCAAAAAAAAATCATTGCCCAAGTTTCGTAGAGCTTTCCTCCTATGTTTTCTTCTAGTAATTTCATGGTTTCAGATCTTATGTTTTAATCAATTTTGGGATGATTTTTATATATGGCATGAAGTAGGGGTCTAATTTCATTTTTTGGCATGTGGATATTCAGTTTTTCCAACATTATTAATTAAAGATATGTCCTTTATCCACTGCATGTTCTTGGCACTTTTGTTGAAAATCAATTGACTGTATATGTGTGGATTTATTTCTGGGATTTCCAGACTGTTCCGTTGATTTATATGTCTGTTTTTATGCCAGAAGCATGCTGTTTTGATTGCTATGGGTTTGTAATATATTTTGAAGTCACATAGTGTGATGCCTTCAGCTTTATTGTTTTTGCTCAAGAGTGCTTTGGTTATTGAGAGTCTTTTGTGGTTTCGTACAAATTTTAGGATTGTTTTGTCTATTGCTGTGTAAAACATCATTGGAATTTTGTAGGGATTGGATTGAATCTGTAGATAGCTTTGGGTAGTATGCACATTTTAACAATATTATTTCTTTCAATTCATGAACATGGAATATCTTTCCATTTGTTTGTGTCTTCTTCAATTTCTTTCATGAATGTTTTATAGTTTTCAATGTGCAGATATTTCATCTCTTTTGGTTAAATTTACTTTTAAATATTTTACTTTTTTGGAGGTATTGTAAATGGGATTGTTTTCTTGATTTGTTTTTTGGGGGAGTTAGTTCATTGTTAGTGTGCAGAGGTGCTACTGATTTTTGTAAATTGGTTTTTGTATTCTACAATTTTACTGATTTACTTAAATCAGTTTTAGCAGTCTTTTCTTTTGGTGGAGTATTTAGGGATTTCTATATGTGAGATCCTGTCATTTGCAAACAGGGAAATTCCTGCTTTCACTTTGTTGCTTTTTCCTTTCCACTTTGTTGCTTTTTCTCTCTTTCTCTTGCCAAATTGCTCTGCCTAGAGCTTCCAGTTCTGTATTCAATAGAAGTGGCAAGAGAGGTTATTCTAGTCTTGTTTCTGAACTTAGAGGAAAAGCTTTCAACTTTTCACCATTGAGTATGATGCTAGCTGTGAGTTTGTCATATATAGCCTTTATTATGTTGAGGTACATTTCTTCTACACCTAATTTGTTGAGAATTTTTATCATAAAAGTTTGTTAGATTTTGTCAAATGCTTTTTCTGCATTTACTAAGATGATCATGTGGTTTTTGTCTTTCATTCTGTTAATGTGATATATCACATTTATAGATTTGCATATGTTGAACTGTCCTTACATCCTTAGAATAAATCCTACTTGATCATAGTGAATGATCCTTTTAATAAGTTGTTGGATTAGTTTGCTGGTATTTTGTTGAGAATTTGCACCTCCATCTTCAACAGGAAGATTGGTGCGTAATTTTGTTTTTAATTAGAGTGTCCTTCTCTGACTTTGGGGGTAATGCTGGCCTTATAAAATGAGTTTGGAAGTATTTCTTCCTCTTCAATTTTTTTGGAAGAGTTTGTGAAGAATTGACATTAGTTCTTTAAATGCTTGGTAGAATTCAGCAGTGAAGCCATCATGTCTTGGGCTTTGCTTTGATGGTAGACTTTTTATTACTGATTAAATCCCCTTACTCATTATTGGTTTATTCATATTTTCAATTTCTTCATGATTTGTTATTGGTAGGTTGTAAGTGTTTAGGAATTTATCCATTTCCTCTAGAATGTTTAATTAGTTGTTGTATAATTGTTCACAGTAGTCTCTTATGATGGTATCAGTCATAATACTTCCTGATTAATTTCTGATTGTATTTATTAAGTTTTCTCTCTTTTTGGAGTTAGTCTAGCTAAAGTTTTATTGCTTTTGCTTATCTTTTCAAAAAATCAACTATGTTTTATTGATCTTCTCTGTTTTTCTTAGTCTCTATTTCATTTATTTTTTGCTCTGATGTTTATTTCCTCCTTTCTTCTAACTTTGAACATCGTTTGTTCTTCTTTTTCTTGATTCTTGGTGTATAACATTGTTATTTATTTGAGATTTAAAATTTTTTTGCTGTAGGCATTCATTGCTATAACTTTTCCTTTCAGAACTGTTTTTGCTGCAACCCATAAGTTTTGGTATGTTCTGTTTCCACTTTTGTTCGTTTCAAGATATTTAAAGTTTTTTTTTCTTCATTCATTCATTGACCCGTTGGTTGTTTAGGAGCATGTTGTTTAACTTCCATGTTTGTGTGAATTTTCAAAAAATTCCCCATGATTGGTTTTTAGTTTCATGCCATTTTGGTCAGATAAGAGACTTGATATGATTTGTTAAGTTTGTTAGGGCTTATTTTAGGGCCTAACATATGACCTGCCCTCAAGAATATTCCATGTATACTTGAGATGAATGTGTACTCTATTGCTGTTAGAATGTTCTGTATAAGTCTATTAGGTCCATTTTGTCTAAAGTGTAGTTTAAGGCTGACATTTCCTTACTGATTTTCTGTCTGGGTGATATGTTTGTTGCTGAAAGTAAAGTATAGAACTTCCTTCCTATTTCTGTATCACAGTCTATCTCTCCTTAGAGATCTATTAATGTTTGCTTTATTTATTTAGGTGCTCCAATGTCAGATGCATATATATGTACAATTGTCATATCCTCTTTATAAACTGACTCCTTTATCATTATATAATGACCTTTGTGTCTCATTTTCCAGTTTTTGACTTAAAGCATATTTTATATGATACAAATATAGCTACCTCTGCTCTTTTTGGTTCATTTGCATGAAATATTTGGTTCTCAGCTTGAATGTTTTTGGTTTATAGAAATGCTACTAATTTTTGTATGTTGAGTTTGTATCCTGAGACTTTACTGGAGTCACTTGTCAAGTCTAGGAGTCTTCTGGAGGAGTCTTCAGGGTTTTCTAGGTATACAAACGTCATCAGTGAGCAGATATAATTTGACTTCCTCTTTTCCAATTTGGAAGCCTTTTATTTCTTTCTCCTGCCTGACCACTCTGGCTAGGACTTCTAGTACTTCCAGTTGAATAGCAGTAGTGAGAGTCAACATTCTCCTCTTGTGCCAGGTCTTAGGGGAAATGCTTTTCCGCATTCAGTATGATGTTGGCTGTGGGTTTATCATGTATGGCTCTCATGATTATGATTATTTTGAGATATGTTCTTTCTATGCCTAGGTTGTTGAGGGTGTTTATGCTGAAGGGATATTGGATTTAATCAAATGCATATTCTGTAACTATTGAGATAATGCAATTTTTGCTTTTGTTCTCTTTATGTGGTGAAATGACATTTATTGACTTGCATATGTTGAACCAACTTTGCATCCCTGGAATAAAGCCTACTTGATCATGATGAATTTTTTTTTTATTGTGTTGTTGGATCCAGTCTGCTACTATTTTGTTGAGAATTTTTACATCTATGTTCATCAGTGATATTGTAGTTTTCTGGTTTGATGTCCTTACATGGTTTTGATATAAGGATCATACTGGAATCATAGAATGAGTTAGGTAGGATTCTTCCTCTTTGATTTTTTAGAATAGTTTCAGTAACATTGGTACCAGCTCTTCTTCATACATCTGGTAAGATTCAGTTCTTTATCCTTCCAGTCCTACACTTTTTTTTGTTGGAGGATTTTTTATTATCAATTCAAATTTAATCCTTGCTATTGGTCTATTCTGTGTTTCTATTTCTTCCTGGTTTAATCTCAGGAAGTTGTATGAATCTAGAAATTTATCCATTTCCTCTAGGTTTTCTAGTTTGTGTGCACTGAGGTGTTCTGATCTTTTGTATCTATCTGATATCAGTTGCAATGTCATGTTTATCATTTCTGATTGTGCTTATTTGAATCTTCTCTCTTTTTTCTTGGTTAGTCTAGTGGTCTGTCAATTTTGTTTATCTTTTCAAAAAACCAACTTTTTGTTTTATTGATCTTTTAAATTGTTTTTTTTTGTCTCAATCTCATTTAGTTCTGCTCTGATCTTTGTTATTTCTTTTCTTCTGCTAGCTTTGAGTTTGGTTTGTTATTGTTTTTCAAGTTCCTTAAGGTGTGATGGTAGATTGTTAATTTGAGATCTCTCTATCTTTTCAATGGAGGCATTTAGTGTTATCAACTTTTCTTTAAGCACTGCTTTTGCTCTATGCCAGAGGTTGTTTTATGTTGTATCTCCGTTTTCATTCATTTCAAATAATTTTTAATTTTTGCCTTAATTTTATTGTTTACCCAAAACTCGTTCAGAAACAAATTGTTTAGTTTACGTGTACTTGTATAGTTTTGAGAATTCCTCTTGGTATTGATTTCTAATTTTATTATCCTGTAGTCTGACAAGACACTTTATATGATTTTGATTTTTTTGAATTTATTGAGACTTGCTTTAAGGAGAAGCATATGGTTGATTATGGAGAATCTTTCACGTGTAGGTGAGAAAAATGTATGTTCTGCAGTTGTTTGGTAGAATAAATGTCTATCAGGTCTCTTTGGTCTATTGGCCAGTTTAAGTCCAGAGTTTCTTTGTTGATTGTCTGTCTTTATGATCTGTCTGTTAATGTCAGGGGGTATTGAAATCCTCACTATTATTCTATTGCTATCAATCTGCTTTCTTAGGTTTATTAGTGTTTATTTTATGAATCTGGGTGCTCTGGTATTGGGTTGATATATATTTAGAATTGCTAAATCTTGTTGTGTTGAATCCTTTATTATTATATAATGACTTTGTCTTTTGTAACTGCTCCCATTTTAAGTTTATTAGTTTTATCTAATATGAGTATGTCTATTCCTACTCACTTTCATTTTCCGTTTGTGTTGTATATATTTTTCCACCCTTTTACTTTGAGTCTGAATTTGTCTTTAGGTGCATCTCACGTAGACAACAGATGGTTGTGTCTTGTATTTTTTTAAATCCAATTTGCCACTCTATGTTTAAGTAGGGCATTTAGGCCATTTACATTCAAGGTTAATATTGATATGTGAGGTTCTGTTATTGTTGTAGTATTGTTAGCTAGTTTTGGAGTTTTGATTGTGTATTTGATTTATAGGCTCTGTGAGCATTTTACTTATGTGTCCTTTTTCTGATGCAAGTATCATTTTCTGTTTCCATGTGTAGAACTCGTCTGAGCATCTCTTGTAGCACTGGTCTCATGGTGACAAATTCTCTTAGCGTTTGCTTATCTAAGAAAGGCTTTATTTCCCCTTTATTTATTAAGCTTAGTTTGGCAGGATATAAAATTCTTGACTGGTGTTTTTGAGCTTAAGGATGCTAAAAATAGGCCCCGAAACTCTTTTAGGGTTTCTGCTAAGGAGTCTATTGTTAATCTGATTGTTTGTCTTTTATAGATGATTTGACCTTTTTCTCTAGCTCCCTTTAAGGACTTTTCTCTAGTGTTGACTTTGGATTGTCTGATGACTATATACCTTGGTGGTGTTCATCTTGTACAGTATCTCACATATATTCTCTGAATTTTTTTCTTTTCTTTTGTTTTCTTTTTTTTTTTTTTTTTTAAGACGGAGTCTCACTCACTCTGTCACCCAAGCTGGAGTGCAGTGGCATGATCTTGGCTCGCTGCAACCTCTGCCTCCTGGGTTCAAGCAATTCTCATGCCTCAGCCTCCTGAGTAGCCAAAATTACAGACTTGCACCACCACACTCAGGTAATTTTTGTATTTTTAGTAGAGACGAAGTTTTGCTATGTTGGCCAGGGTGGTCTTGAACTCCTGACCTCAGATGATCCCTCCACCTCAGCCTCCCAAGGTGCTGGGATTACAGACGTGAGCCACTGTGCCCAGCCTGACTATGTTAGTTTTAAATACTGGTTTTCAAGCTCTGAAATTCTTTCTTCTGCTTTATCTAGTCTATTGTTAATGTTTTCTATTTATTTTGAAATTCCTTAAATGATATTTCACTTCTAGACGTTCTGATTTTTAAAAACAAGACATTTATCTCTTTCTTCATTTCCTGGCTTGCTTTCGTAGCTTCTTTGTGTTGGTTTTCAACCTCGTCTTGGATCTCCTTGAGCTTCCTCGTAATCCATACTTTGAATTCTTTATATATCATTTCTGAGTTTCCATTTTGGTTAACGGCCATTTCTAGAGAGCTAGCGTGATCCTTTGGTGGTGTCACAACATTCAAATTTTTTTGTGATGCCATAATTCTTATGCTAATTTCTTCCCATCTGGAGAGCCTGCCACTTCTTATTTTTGACATTCTTTTCATTCAGATGGGATTTTTAGAATTTCCCTATATTTTTCCTCCCAACCCTGGGGTTGTGATTGTAGAGTATGTTGGGTGAGGTCCTTTGGCTTTGCTTCTGTTACCCCGTGCACTTCTGTCTGCAGCTTTTATATTGGCCTGTGCAGTTTGACCTGCGGCCGGTAGATGGCACTTACGAGTAAGAGCCAGCTATAGCACAAAGTATGTACATGGGTATGTACTTGATCTTTGTTTACCGTCAGGTGCTATCTGTTGTTTCAGGTGGTGGGCTGGACAGTGGAGTGCCCAGAGTCCTAAGCTTCCTGTTCAGCAGGGGAATAGACAGAGCTGAACCCCCTGGGTTGTTTATGAATACCCCAGTGATGAGCACAGGCACCAGGCCTAATGAGGGTGACTAGAGGGGCTGCTGGTAAAATGTGCTGAAGTTCTCTGTGGGGCATGAGGAGGTTGCACCAGCTCCATGTCCTAAATAGGAAGAAACATGATCTGTTTGCTTTTCACGCCCCTGTTCTTGGCCTTGTGAATGTCAGTTCAGACACACACTGTTGTCTATCTTCAGAGCCATGACAAGTGCCTCTGTTTCGACTCTCCAAGGGAGTGGTTTTGGGGTTGAACCTCTTCACTCAGCCCAATACAGACATCTTTATGGCTCACCTATTCTCTAACGTGGTAAAATTGCTACATCATGTGGAGGGGAGGGGACTCTGTCTTCTGGCCTGTGTGATGAGCGTCAGCTGTGGGCGTATTGGCTGATTGGATCAGCCCAACCTCAGGCCCTTGGGGGAGTGGTCAGGTGCCAGCAGTGTTGGACTGGACTAGGTAGTTCCCCAGGCCCAGGCCCCAAGATGGTCCACTGGATGGCATGCATGAGTCTCCAAGGGGCTGGACTGGGGTCAGGCCAGCCCTGAGTTCAGGTGCTGTCTGTGATGAGGAGGGGTGGGCTGGTCCTTGGGTCACCCACAGAACTCTCAGGCAGGGACAGGCAGAATGCCAAGGTGGTGGGAGCCTGAGGCAGATCACAAGCCTGTGGGGGTTGGGCTCTCAGAAGGGCCCTGGGCCGCAGCTGAAATGTTCAGATGGGGGCAGGGTGGCTGTGCTGTAAACCTTTCACTGAGAAGGGCAGGTCCCTTCAGCTGGGGCAATGGAGACTCACAGCCATGGGGCATGTGGCACGTTTGCACTTCCCTCCTGCAGAAACAACACTGGATTTCACTGTTAGGGGCATGCAAAGGTGCCAGCCCTCTCTGCTTCCTCCCTGGCCTGGGGGAAGCAAAGGAAGGGGCAGTAGGGGGTGGTGGCTGTAAAGGGCTTGTAAGTGACCTCTGGGAGTAGGGCTTTCAGATTAACACTGAGCCATGGCTACAGTATTCATGCAGGGACCAGGTGGATGCACTGGGGGTCTGAAGCCAGCAAGTCTCATATGGCAGGGAGCAGCAGAGGTGTGGAGTTGTGGGGTGCAGAGTCTGCCCACTGCTCCTCCATATCTCAGCTGCAGCATCTGTGCTGGAGATGCATGACAGTGCCCAGCCTCCCTATTCTCTTCCTGGCCCAGGAGTGGCAGGGGTGGAGACAGTGGCACTGGTGACTGCAAAGCGCCTCTCAGTGACTTCCGGGAGTTGGGTTCTCAGAGGAACACTGGGCCATGGCTGCAGTGTTCAGGTAGGGCTGGGGTGGGTACACTGGGGGCCTGAAGCAGGTAAACCTTATTTGGCAAGGCACAGTGGAGGCAGGAAGTCATGTGGCAGGTAGTCTGGCCACAGTATCTATCCTGGGGATGTGTGAAAGTGCTTGGCCTTCCGGATTTGCAGGGCAGTGGCAGCTGGTGCTGGGTTGCTCAGGAATCAAAAGCCTATGGGAATCCATGTGGCTTTTGGTTGGTGCCTCTGCACAGTCTCCCGGTAGCTCTCGTGTGTGTGTGTGTGTGTGTGTGTGTATGTGTGACTAGGATTTTAAAGGTTCATGGTGGAGGTGTGGATCCCCAGGGGGCTCTCACTCACTCACCCTTCTTCATATTAGCAAGTCTCTCCTGGCTCCGCACCAGTCCCAGCTTGGTGGCTGCTTGGCTTTGCCCTTTTAGCTTTCCATAGGTGCCATCATTTCTCTAGTGAATTTCAGGGTGCTCTCTTTGACTAACTTCTTGAAGTGTTAGTATTTACTCCCTATTTTGGTTTCTCCCGGTGAAAGAGGTGCCTACTACCTGGTTCTAGTCAGTCATCTTAAACTGGAACCTCACTCTGTGCCTTTTAATTGGAGAATGAATTCACTTATATTCAAGGTAAGGATCGATAGCTAAGGACTTATTACTGCCATCTTATTAATGATTTTCTGGTTGTTTTGTAGATCCTGTGTTACTTTCTTTTCCTCTTGCTGCTCTCCTTTGTGATTAGGTGATTTTCTCTAGTGATATTCTTTGATTTCTTTTCATCTTTTGCGTATCTACTGTAAGTTTTTGCTTTGTGGTTACCATGAAGCTTACACAAGGCAGCCTATATTTATAACAGACTACTTTAAGCTGAGAACAACTTAATTTTGATCACATAAAAAACTCTACACTTTTATTTTACCCTCCACTCCCACATTAAAATTTTTAAATTTGTCACAATGTGTATTTGTCATAATTCACATCTTTTTATGTTGCGTCTCCCTTAACATATTACTGTCACTATTATTGTTTTTCATAGTTTTGTCTTTTAACCTTTATACTAAATATACATACAGGCAGCCATTCTAAAGTGTTTACTATGTATCTTGTTGTCTATGTTCTAGCAAGTTGTGTCTTATTTCATGTACATGTATTTTAGTCTACATAAATTGTTTTGTATACTATGTCTCATTCAGTTTTTTAAAAGAAGTTTTCTCTCAATACCTTATTTTCAAAATCCATGTATGTTTCTGGGTGTACGTAGAGCCGTTTGATTGCAGTTGCATGGGACTCCATGGTGGGCATCCACCTTTTGCCTATCCATTCCCCTAGGTTTCCTCCCAATACCTGCTACCATCAAGGAATGCTTAATGAATATCTTTCTATATGTCCTCTTATAGACCCATGTGAGAATTTCCTTCGTATATATGACCAGGAACAAAATTGCTGTACCATAGATCATGCAGATACTAATTTGTCTAAGTACTGGAAGATTGCTTTGGGGGAATAGATGCTCCTTTCTACTTCTACCAGCACTGCATGAGAATGCAAATGTAGTCAGACTTCTGCCAGCATTTGGCATGGCCTCACATTCTTTTTTTTTTTTTTTTTTTCAGATGGAGTCTTGCTCTGTCGCCCAGGCTGGAGTGCAGTGGCGTGATCTCGGCTCATTGAAAGCTCTGCCTCCCGGGTTCACGCCATTCTCCTGGCTCAGCCTCCCGAGTAGCTGGGACTACAGGCACCCACCACCACACCCGGCTAATTTTTTTGCATTTTTAGTAGAGACGGGGTTTCACCGTGTTAGCCAGGATGGGCTCGATCTCCTGACCTCCTGATCCGCCTGCCTTGGCCTCCCAAAGGGCTGGGATTACAGGTGTGAGCCACCGCGCCCGGCCCAAATTCTTATTTTTTCATTTACTTCGGGCCCTCATTCTTATTTTTCATTTAATTTGATGTATTTCACTATTGCTTTCATATGCATTTCCCTGATTACTAATAAATTCATATGTCTTTTTTATGTTTGTCATTTTTTCTTCTCTAAATTGCCTGTTCATTTTTTTATTGAGAGTTATTCTTTTTTCCAACTGATTTGAAATAGGTTGTTTTATATTCTAGATATTAATTTCCCACTGGAGTTAAAAATTCCAGTTACCTCCTCTCATTCTGTCCTTGGCTAACTTTGTTCATGCTATAAATGGTTAAACAGAATTCTTGTCTTATGGACTGTGTTGCCATAGCTATACGTATATATAGTTAATAGAGGAAAAGTAACTTTGTGATTTTTTAAGAATATCTTTCTGTATGTCTTCTTATAGACCTATGTGAGAATATCACATATTTCTCACATAGTCTATAAGAGAACGTATAGAAAGATATTCATTGAGCATTACTTGACAGAGGTAGGTATTGAGAGGAAACATAGGAGAATGGATAGGCAATATATATATATGTGTGTGTGTATATATATGTGTGTGTGTGTGTGTATGTGTGTATATATGCATCCCGTACATATATATATATATATATATATATCTCATATATTTATATATATTTATTTATTTTTTATTTTTTTGAGACCAGGTCACCCAGGCTGGAGTGCAGTGATGTGAACACCACTCACTGCAGGCTCTACCTCCCAGGCTTAAGCGATCCTCCTGCCTCAGCCTCCCAAGTAGCTGGGACCACAGGTGTGTGCCACCATGCCTGGCTAATTTTTTGTTTTTTTTTTCATTATTTGTAAAGACAGAGTCTCAACATGTTGCCCAGGCTGGTCTCGAACTCCTGGACTCAAGCAATTCTCCTGCCTTGGCCTCCCAAAGTGCTGGGATTATAGGCATGAGCCACTGTGCCTGGCAAATATGTGTTTTTCGCTTTCACATTAAGTCTAGTTTATCTGGTGTCCACACTTGTATGTGATGTTAGGTGATTATCCAGCCTTTTGTTTTCTCATTATGAGGCATTTCCACCAATATCTACTATTAAACAATTTAGTCATTCACCATTGATTCTAGATACCATCTTTATCATATATTAAGTTTGTATGTTGAGTGTGTCAGAGAGAGAGAGAGAGAGAGAGGGTGGGGGTTGGAGATATTAACCTATAAAATCGCAGGAAAGTGGTGGGGTAAAAGGCTATCTTTCAGCATAGACAGACAAACTTTATACTCACTATACTTACTCATCTGACTCTTACAACTGTCTAGCATTTTGTTATGGCTTGTGGAATAACTGGGGAAGTTTTTTTTGTAGCCACTGGTAGTGTTTTCAGTCACAAACTAAATAAACTGGCCTATGTGCTTTTTGGATATTTCATTTCCCTTCTCTCAAACCGATTGATTAACTGGAAGAAGACACAGTGGATTCAGAAGACATGTAAGCCAGGTTAGGAATAGGCATCAGAGTTCCCCAGAAAAAAATTACAGACCAGAGAACAGAAAGACAGCCCTTACCACCTGTCCTGTGCTTCACTCCATTCTGGGTGCAGAACCTCGTGAAAAAGTACAGGTGCCTCCAGTGACTTGTGGCCCTACTTTTGGACCTATTGGCATTAGCTTAGGCTCAAAGCTTTTGTATTTCTGAATTTCCAGGGTAGCTTCTGCCAGATTAAGTCATGCCCTGGCTCATTACTCACTGTAGAAACTAACAGGCCCAGAAGTAGGGTCAGGTAGTGTCTATCTGGGCTAGTCCAATTAATTTCTCTGAACAGCCCCCAGATATTGGAGTAGAGCCTACTTTTTGGCACTTAGCAGTCAAACAGAACCCTCTGGCATCCTGTTCTTCTACACGACTAAATCTTTCATCTGAGATATTGCAGTAGGGGATGCATAGGAATTAGTTTTTGTTCCCTAAATAGTTCAAAGAGACCATATTATGCCTCTCACCTCAGGGAAGGCTTAAAGCAGAGGTGAATCTCAAACATTTTTCAAACAAAGACAATCTGCCATCCACCAAGTTCCATTTGCTCAACACTGTTCCTCAGACTTGATACATTTGATGTCCCATTTTGGATGCCATAGGTGGGCTGTATGGACCAGGTTTGAAGAAAATGCCTGGAGGATGGTCCTAGAAAGGGCTACCTCTATTACCCTTACTATTTCTCAAGGCTTCTGAACAATGCCTAGAACACAATAGGTGCTCAATAAACATTTGTTGACTGAATCACTAGGATGAGGATTTGCTCTCTCTCTTTCTATCTCTCCCTCTGTTATGGTTAAAATATTTTATTTATGAGGGATTTCTAACCCAGTGGCAGCTCCAGAATTTTGCATAGAAGGGTTGAGGAGCAGTAATCTGGCTGGGAGATTGTGGGAGGAGGCTAGGAACTTGCCTTGATGTCACATTTGCATGGGTATCAAGGATAATAGCTTATATATATATATATATATATATATATATATATTTTTTTTTTTTTTTTTTTTTTCTGATGTATTTTCACTCCTTGAAATCTTTTCCCACTCATAGCCTCTTTGGCCTTTTTCCCTTACTGGGAAAGAGCAATCTCATTTAGAGCAAAACATTGACCCTGAAAACAGTCTCTCTTCAGCCTTGAGATAATTGTCTTGAAAGCTAGGCTTTGGAGGGAGATAACAGGGATTTCTAAATTCCCAAAACTTCTTTAACTATCAGGAGAAAACTTGGATGTTTAAATGCTTCAAATTTATTATAAATTACTTATTTTTAAATTTATTTAGCGCTTCAGTAGAGTAGAGAAACGCTTTAAAAAGAGAAAGATGGAGGAAGAGTTTGCCATCTTTTATTCTGAGAGGGGAGCAGGGAAAAGAGAAGTGAAGACGTGCTACGAGGCTGGACAGTGTCTTGCTTCCTACACTGGGATCCAGCATTAGAAGAGAGGGTTTGGTAGTGTGTGGGGAAATCTCGGGGAAGTAGGAAATTGCTTCTTGCTTTTCTCAGGGTAGTGAAGGATACCATCAAGATACCATACTTACCATGTATTTCTTTTCTATTGCTTCTGTAACAAATGACTGCAAACTTAGTGGTTTAAACAACATAAATTTATTGCCTTACAGTTCTGTAGGTGAGGAGTCAGAAAAGAGTCTCCCTGGCTTAAAAATGAAGGGGTCAGTAGGGCTGTGTTTCCTTCTGGAAGCTCTCAGGGGGAGTCCATTTCCTTGTGTTTTCTGCTTCTAGAGGCCACCTGCATTCCTTGGCTTGTGGCTCCTTCTTTCATCTTCATAGGCAGCACAGGTCTGGTTGATTCCTTCTCACATCACATCCCTCTGACTCTGACACTTCTGCCTCCTGTCTCCACTTTTAAGGACACTTGTGATTACTTTGGACTCATTTTAGATAATCCAGGATTACCTTCTCATCTCAAGGTCAGCTGATTAGCAACCTTGATTTCTTCTGCAAACTTAATTCCCTATTGCCAAGTAACATATTCACGGGGCCTGGGGATTGGAACATGGATCTCTTTTGGGGGCTGGGCCCTTATTCTGCCCACTACAGATGGGCAGCCTGGGACAATCTGTATGCCCCTAGTTTGGTACAATGCTTGAATGACATGGTGCTTAATATGGTTTGGCTCTGTGTCCCCACCCAAATCTCACCTTGAATTGTAATAATCCCCACATGTCAAGGGCAGGAACAGGTGGAGATAATTGAATCATTGGGTCAGTTACCCTCATGCCGTTCTTGTGATAGTGAGTGAGTTCTCACGAGATCTGATGGTTTTATAAGGGGCTTCCTCCTTCACTCGGCTCTCATTCACTCTCCTGCTGCCCTATGAAGAGGTGACTTCCACCATGATTGTAACTTTCCTGAGGCCTCCCCAGCCATGCAGACTGTGAGTCGATTAAACCTATTTTCTTTATAAATTACCCAGTCTTGGGCAGTTCTTTGTAACAGTGTGAGAATGGACTAATACAGTGTTGCATGGGCAGTAGTTTCATGATGGTTAGGAGAGTTGTCTAGGTGGGTGGACAGAGGGCAGTTTTTCAGAGCCCTGCAAAATATTAAGAAGGAAGCCATGAGTTCCCACACCTTTCAGGAAAAAACCGAGATGCAGAAAAAGTGGGCTTCAGGGAGGTTTGGGCTCAGGAAGAAGAGTCTTTAATGGTGAGGACTTTAGAAGAACCGGAAGAACCAGCTACACCTCAGCACCAGCCCCTATGACCAGGCAAGGGCATGACTAACTGCAAGGGCCGGTATGAATCATGGGCACTCTCACTGCATGAGCACGTACAAGCTTCACCTGGACACACTTGAAAAGGAAAATGTGGAGGGGTTAGAAATCTGGAATCATTGAGTGTTACCCAAAAGGGACTAAGTTAGACTCCAATTAGGCTTCCAATTAAAAATGTAAATATTTTTTCTACCATCAAAAGTAATAGGAGTCTAGAGAAAGATAGAATTAATTTTGCATGGCATATGTATTTTGTTCTTTGTTGCCCAATATATATGGCAAGCTCTGTGTGAGTGTCTGTGTGTGTGTGTGTGTGTGTATGTATGTGGGTGTGGGTGTTACTTAAATTGTACTTTTATTTGGTGTAGGCCTGGAGTTGCATTTGACCAGCAAAGAAGCTGTTTGTACTTAGATAGTAAGTTCATTTGAGGGAGAGGCAGGCTTCGAGAGGTATCTTCTGAACCTCTCAACAACCCCACCGTGGCAGTGGGTTGTGATCAATTCAGCAGCAAAAACGATCATTCAGCACTCAGGTGTTTCATAATTATTGGCATATGTAAAGTAGATTTTTTGGGACAAAGATACAGATTATATCAGTTACACCAAAGGCATGACTTTTGCTATAGGTCATTAGTTCAAAAATTTGTTCTTAAAGGTCAGTTTATTTTTAATATTATAGCTTGGAGTTACAATAATTGGGAGTTCAAACTTGAAAATCTATTTCATACCTCTAGCAATGGGTTTATTGCAAAAATGCACATTGTTTATTAAAGCTCTGAGTCTAGTATTCCAATACAGTAAGATGTTGGTTTGAAAATGAAAGTATTTCTGAGGATAACTTTGCATCCTCTGGTGAGATTTATGTTGCAATTTAAGCAGCTGCCTGAAATTCAATAGAATATGAAATTATTACAAAGTGCACATAGTGAAACTAGCATTAGAGAAAAGCCTCTTGAAAATGAAATATTATTTTTTT
Organism: Homo sapiens; assembly: GCF_000001405.40. NCBI lineage: Eukaryota > Metazoa > Chordata > Mammalia > Primates > Hominidae > Homo > Homo sapiens. Next base: position 39,846,631 of record NC_000002.12, read on the forward strand.
TTACTAAGGCATAAAAGGAGTGGGCTATAAGACATTGAAAACTTAGTAAATTCCAGCCATTATGTTATGTTTTAATCATAGAGTATTGAAGGCTATCTCGCCAACCAACTTCGTTTTCAAATTAAAAAAAATGGCCAGGTATTAATGTTGAAAAAATTGCAAATACATTAAAAATATTTGTTGTTTTTTTCTTTTCCTTTCTTTCTTTTTCTCTTTCTATTAATGTGAACCTCTAGCTATATTTAGTGTTCTAGATTATGATCTGTAGCATGAAGCTTATTCTAGGAACCATGGAATAACTCTATAGTGGATCATCTACCCGAGGGGAAGCTTTGGTTCTCTCTGACCAGGATAGGAAAGCAGAAGCAGCTCAGCCAGTTGTGTAGCGGGAGGAGAGGGATTTGGGGATCACCCAGAAGAGATGCTGAAGGATGATTTGGAGTTTGTCAGGTGGGAACAGTGGGATGCCTGGGAAGGCACACCTAGCAGATGGACAGTGGGAAAGGTTACATTTAGGAAAATTTCTGTGTTGGGAGATAGGCACAGTGAGCACCTCCTAGGCATGAGAGCTTATAAAGTATAACACTTTGTAAAGTATTCTATTTATGAGAAAAGTAACTTAAAATGCATCACAGTGCTTTCAACAAAATAAAATCCTTAAGAAGAGACTTTGACTTCTAGGATATCTGGGACTCAGCTGAGAGCAGTGATTTAGGGCTTTTTCATGTTTTTTAACACCATTTTCCTAGCTGCAGGTAGAGGATTTTGTTATCATACAATATACGACAGAGAACCTTCACAAATTTGGTTTAGGGGAAGCTGGGATCTCAACACATGGTGGAAAGGGAGATGATGAAATTGAGTAAAATTAGGGATTCAGTCTAGGGCTTAAAAAAAGAAAGAGCCAGAAGTCTAATAAATATCACAGTCAGTGGTGACTGAGTTAAGATGCACCTTGTTCTTATCTGAGAGATATTGATGCATAAGTGGGGCATGGCAGTAGTGATTTTCTGCTTTTCATAACCTCTCAATTATATTATTGCAATGACTTGTTGATTGGTTTTCAATGTCCATAATGTTTCCCCACCAGGCTTTTCTATAACCGTCCTTCTCCAACTTTAATGTGCTACATATTACCTGGGGATCTTGTCAACATGCAATTCTGATCCTATGGGTGTGGAGCGGGGGTGCTGAGAGTCTGTATTCTAACAAGCTAATGCTATTGTATGTTGATGCTGCTGGCCTGGGAAGCACATGTTGAGTAGTAAGGTCTACACAATGTTGTTAGAGCTTCTCATTACCAAAATTCTCTTATGAAATATTTTCCTGCTCAAACTCCTTCTATGACTCTCAAAGGTCCGCCCTTACTAAGTTAAAAAATCTTCATCTTAATATGTGTGTAACGTGGCTCCAAACTCTCTTCTCATTTACATCTCTCATGAATCCCCTACTGATTGCTACGCACTGCCTCACCTGGTAAAGTTTTCTGATCTTTCTTCTTTACCTGGAAAAACATTGAACTTCTTCCATGAACCACGCCTTTCTTATTTGTCTTTCCTTTGTATACCTGATGCTGGGTAAACTTCATAGTCTGCCTTTACTTATAGTCATATGCTTTTCTTTTTCTTTCTTTCTTTCTTTCTTTTTTTTTTTTTTTTTTTTTTTTGTGAGACGGAGTCTTGCTCTGTCACCCAGGCTGGAGTGCAGTGGCATGATCTCGGCTCACTGCAACCTCTGCCTCCCGGGTTCAAGCAATTCTCCTGCCTCAGCCTCCCAAGTAGCTGGGATTACAGGTGCGAGCCACCATGCCTGGCTAATTTTTTGTATTTTTAGTAGAGTTGGGGTTTCACCATCCTGGCCAGGCTGGTCTCAAACTCCTGACCTCGTGATCCACCTGCCTCGGCCTCCCAAACTGCTGGGATTACAGGTGTGAGCCACCTCTTATCTTCTCTTTTGGACGTCTAGGCTGCTGGTGGCTGTGTTTGTGTCTTACTCCTTTTTGAATCCCTGTAGCATCTAATTACATGCTAGCTATTGCCATTTTTATGGAATTGAATCTTGTTTTAATCATTACACACATCAATTATGACATTTTGCTGTAAGAGAAAAGTGCTACCAGCAGTGAATACTTCATTTAGATTATTTACTTTATATTAACAACTGGCAATACTGCTTTCTTTTCATCATTTGTAATGATCATTTATCAGTATGTTTCAGTTAAAGTAGTTGTACCTGTTACTTTTAATTTACTGTCTTAAGTTATTAAACCAATTAATTTTCATTTACCTATAATTCTAAGCCATTCTCTGGCCTAAAGGTAACCACTAGCCTCTCTTAAATACTAAAGTACAAGTGTTTTTATGGCAGTTAATCCTTTTTCACTTATTTTCTCTGTTACCATCTGTGTTGTGGATACTTAGAGCTGCCAGAAGTTAAGCTGTTTTTTGTTTTTAACATTCCATAAGAAATGCTTGTGTAAATGTATTGAATAATGACCATGACATTTTTCTTTACAGCTAAATAGACTTTGATTAAATTCCACAAATGTTAATTAGACGCCTACTGCACAAGCCACTGTGGGTGATACAAAAATGAATAACACATAGTTCCTGCCAAATGGGAACTTTCATTCTATGCAACCACTTGGAGCAGCATATAACTCCCTTCCATTTTATGTTTCCTTCTTGCAGGGGTGAAAGGTAGATAGTAACAGATGGAACTTCTCATTTTATTCAGCTTGCAATTTTGATAATCACCAAATGAGATAATTCTGTTTTACATTATAAATTGTTTCACTGTACCAGAGTCTTACTAAACTATGGTTGACTCATTTTTCACAGGTGGTTGCATTGTATAATAGCTACCATATTAAAATGCAGAATTGGGCCAAAAGATTTTATTTACATATGGTGTTCATTTTTTTTAATGTTAAAATTGTTTTAAGCGAGCCAGTTAAAAATGAATCCTTTTTAAAAACTTAATGATCTAGCCTCAAGGCATGAGACAGTGAGTTGAAATGAATGCTTTTAAATGATCATGTGCAACTCTAGATGTCAGCTAGATATCTCAGAATTAACAGAATCAAAAGTCAACTCTTGATTCTTGCACTTTCTCTATGAATTTGACTTTTCTAGTTACCTCATATAAGTGGATTCATAAAGTATTTGTTTTTCTGTGACCTTTTAACTTTAATGCTATTTATTTTTAATATTGGGAAACTGGAAAGAATTTAATAAAAAATAAAGTAATTAAATAAAGTATAATATTCCCATACCTTTGATAACATGCAATTATTTTTACATTTTATTTTTGTTTTTTTGAACAAGGTCTTGCTCTGTGGCCCAGGCTGGTGTGCAGTAGCAAGATTACAGCTGACTGCAGCCTTGACCTCCCAGGCTCAAGTGATCCTCCCATCTCAGCACCCCCTTCACGCTACCCTGAGTAGTTGGACTACAGGCATGTAATACCACATCTGGCAAATTTGCTTATTTTTTATAGAGACACAGTCTCACTATGTTGCTTAGGTTGGTCTTGAACTCCTGGGCTCAAGGCATCCTTTTGCCTGGGTCTTCCAAAGTGTTGGTCTTACAGACATGAGCCACTGCACTTGATCATTTATTTATTTTATAACACAGGTGTAGGCGTGCTGACCAGGCAAGAGGAAATAATGACTTAGACAAATATTGCTATCTTGGGTACAGGTAGTAAGGACCAGCCAGAGTCTAGACACGTTCTGAAGTTTGTGTCAATAGTGTAGTGGATATAGGACAGAACAATGACACCAGTGTTTTTGGCCTGTAGAAAGGGAAGACTGAAAATACCATTTCCTGCGATTGAAAGATGGCAAGAAGAGCAGGTTAGAATAGTTTCTGCTTTTATGATGGTTGAGTTTTTAAAAAACATCCAAAGATAATACAAAACATTGTATTTTATATAATAAAAAATATGTAATATAAATATAAATGTAATATAGGTAATATAAATATAAACAATCTAATAGAAAAATGAGCAAAGGGCTTGAACAAAACAGGAGATGAAATTTTTACAGAGTAAGAATGTATAAATGTTCTATGCACTAGAAATCATACCAATTCATCTTTAAGTAATGAGACACTGGTTTTCATCTATCAAAGTAACAAAATTTTTAAAAGTGATAAAACTTCAGCTGGTGTGTGGAAGCATTGCTCAAAAGAATGTAAATTGGCATAGTCCTTTAGATAGTCAATTCGGCAATATGTTTGAAAAATGTGTAAAATATTAATATTGTTTAACCTAGAAATGTAACTTTTAGGAAATTTTTCCTAAGAAAATAGTCAGAATGTACACAAAGATTTACACAGTGGTATTTACAGAGAGAACTATCTAACTGCTTAAAAATTAGGGTGGGACTTCTTAAAAAAAGATACATCAATATAGAGAACACTATGTTGACATTAAATTTCATGACATGGGGCAATAATGTCCACACATACTGTGTATGTATATTAAAATGATCTGCTTGGTGAAACAAGTTGAGCACCAAAGATATTTTTATAAAGGACAGTGGGGAGAAATTAGAAATGACTGGCACTAATAAAGATGGTTTAAAATATCTTTGCAAGCCTTTTGATGTTGCTTCAAAAGCAGTAAGTTGTGATCGGACAGGTTAACAAAGAGCTGAATGCACGGATTACTGCGCAGATAATGCGCGTCTGCCATACTCGGGGGCATGATTTCAGTATGAAGAAAAAATGCCGACCTTTGTCTTGTATGTCTGACAAGAAGAAAAAAATGCCACTCCCCTCCAAGCTGGATGTTCTGTGAAGCCAAAGATTTACAGTCTAATGAAACCTCCACCACAGTTATTACGGTGTCAGAATTCTTGCCTTTGTTTGGTATGCAATAAACATTTTTGGTCTATTTTGGCTTCCCTCATGGCTCCAAATGTGCAGGGCTTTGCTCTTCCCTGCATTGTATTTAAAACTCAAACATGGAATTGCTCTAAACCCACAGCTACTCTTTTCTATCTTAGAAATAGGCCACGTGTTTTAAGAAGCAAAGTGCCTGAGACCATAATTACAGGAAGGGTTAATCTGCTAGGCTAAAGAAGCAAGAAGAGAAAAATCTCAGGAAAACTGAAAATCAGGGTTCCCTCTCCCCTGCACCCACAGTGGAATAGAGACGGGGAGAAGTGAGAGCCAGCTGTGCAGGAAGCAGCTCGTTTTTGTGGTCTGGCTGTCAGATTGTGTTTACTAAACCAAGCAGCTTCCCACCCACTGCTTTCTCTCTTCTGAGGGCTACTGCAGCCACCAAAGGGCAGCAGAGGGGCTGGCCCCAGGGGGAAAAGACATGTAAAAATATGCATAGTTGCCAAGAACCAGATGCTATTTTCCAAACTGTTTTGCTCAACAGGGAAAGTAAGCTTATTGCAGCAAGTTGTGTTGGTGCCACAAGATGCCACCCTTCCCTTGAAAAGAAGAGACTAAAGGTAACTAAATTCTATGCAAGTGTTTTATGAGTCCATCTCCCCCACTTCTATATCTGTAGGTTTATCTCGAATGAAGGAACAGCAGTTGCATTTTGTTCTGCAACATTCTGGTGCCAGGAAAGAAACTAGTTCTTGTTAACAATTTCCAACACTCTTTTAAACTGCTATGGAAACACTACTTTTTCATTTTATCTGATAATGGATTACGATTTTGTGTGCAAGTTTTATTAGTTTAGGTTCTTGGTCTTAGCCTAGCTTTTGATATATAGTCAAGCTAGTACAAAAGGCCACAACATAACATATTGTCACTATCCACCATTTAAAAATTTTTAAGCTTCCAATTTCTCCAAGAGAGTTGTTTAGCTCTGTTGTCTGTGGAAGCAAAAAATAATACGGGATTTGTTTTTGATAATTTGTTTGATGGGTTATTTCTATGAAAAACCACATTTCTCTCTACCTCCATCAACACACGCTCACCTGATGGAAAGTAGAAGGCTGCCATACCAAAAGGTTATTGACTTGTAAAATGGAAATCAGTGTAATTTACAATCAAATATTATTTGTATTCTCAGGTGAAATCAACACATACTTATTAATCATAATTCTTGAATTTATCTTTGAGTTTTGCTAAAAACAAAATATCAGGAATTACTTATGTTTCTCTAGTCTTTTGCCTTTTACTTTCCAATAACCTTCTAGTCATAGTAAATCAGCCTGCTGCTGTCAGTGGTTAGTCTGCAGTCATCTTTCTGCATTGTTAGGAAAAATGAAATTTGGAAAATTTCAGTTATTCATCCTAAAGGGAAGCCATGAAATAGATGTGACTTTGAATGACTTATCTAACCTGTCAGTACCTCCATTTTGATATGTAAAATGAAGCATTTTACTGGCTGCTCTCTAAGTTGTCTTCTACACTTTTGAGGAGATTTTTATGACATCCCCTCATTAAAAACGCTCATGTCTAGAAGACTCTTGTGGTTAATGAGGAAATATTTGGAATTTGAAGGGATACCAATATTTATATTAAATTCAGATGTTATTCTTATAATCCTATTTCTCCAAACCATTCTGCCTCCTGGAGCAATGTCCTAAAAGTATAGCTACAGAAAGCTTGTCTACATATAGGTACACTAATTTTTGAGGTTGACATAACATGAAACATTTATATGTGTGTGTGTGTAATATATATATATGTACATGTATATGTACACACACACACACACACACATACATATCTTTTTTTTTTTTAAAGAAACAGGGTCTTGCTGTGTTGCCCAGGTTGGCCTTGAACTTCTGGGTTCAAGGGATCCTCCTGCCTCAGTGTCTGGAGTAGGTATGACTACAGGCACATGCCACCATGCTCAGCTTATATTTCATCTTTATTTTTCCCTTTTGAAGTTTTGCCATGGAGAGGAGTCCAAAGAGTCTAAACACCTGATACTCCTCATCTGAGAAAAGCAGTTCAAATTTTTCTTTCTGCATATAATCTCTGTGGTTTGCACCATGTTTGTAAGATGAAACCATTTGTTTTAAACGGGCCATGTCTAGCCACACCAAGACTTGCTGTCTAAGTCAAAGGCATCCTAGGATGAGCTGGTCCTTGGAGAATCTGTGGGAAATCCTACCAAATATGGGGAACTCCATATTCATAGTGACAAGCCAAGTTTTCTATCTGTTGGGACATAAATGAGAAGATGACGGCTCACTAGAGTTTAAATCGTCTTTTCTTCCCAAGCCCTCTGTTTCCAGTTCCCCATTAGACTTGTTGTCTTGGATACCCAGTTAAATTTTAATTTCAGATAAAAAATAGATTTTGTGGGGGTGTATATCCCAAGTATTGCACATGTATTATACTAAAATTAAACTATTGTACTAAAGTATATTTTCTACGAGTCATCCTAAATAATTATTTTTTTAATCTGAAATTTAACTGGTATACTGCATTTTTATTTGCTAAATGCAACCCTAAGTAGCACCCAAAGGAAATGTGAGGATGCTGAGATGGTTTCTGTGCTACACACATCTTTGTAAGGAATAGCAATAGACCCCTATTACCTGAAATGATGTAATATTCGTAAGATAAGAGTTCCCCGGTGTGTGGATTCACATTTCCCAGTGTAACCATATAGTTATATATTTTTTCAGAGTCTAAAAATTTTGTATTTTGCCTTTTCACTAAATATATACAATATTTCTATACCTATATCTTAAAACTGCTAATTTCATGTTTTAGATAAATTACTTAACATTTCCCTATTATTAAATACTTAGGTTATATAGTTTTTCTACTATAAATATTATGGTAGGTTCTCGATGCATATAGTACTTGATTTTTGTTAAACTGTTTTTCCAGAATAAATTCCTCGGAGTGAGATTAGTAGTCATAGGGAATAAAGTGGTCAAATTACGTCTGAATGATCACATTCAGATTTTTCTTTTCATCCTTTGTTAGAAGGGGGTACATACTGGGAAATAAGAAGAGATAGGAGAAATGCATATGGATGCAATTTTAAGTCTTACTAGTTCTGCAAGTGAACAATCCCTTTACAAAAATATTTTAACTTTCTTAGAGGAAGCCATTTCTATTTTCACCACTGGTAGTAAAAAAAAAACAGGCATGAAAATGGTTTTAAAAAATTCAGCTGAACATGAAATATTTTAGTAACCTATAACATTATTCTGTCATCCATTTCTTTCCGGTATGCCACCAGGCTTCTCTGATGATCATGAGAGACCCCATAGCTGCTCCTAGGCCATGTGATTGCTTCTTAAACACATTTTCAGTGGTTACATTGTCAGAAGAAGCTGCAGCGTGTACCTGCTCAGAAACTCATCATCCACGTCTCCTGCAATGTGTTGGAGATGGGAAATAGGTTTGCAAAAATTCTACAACAAGCTGGTTCAAGTGATAAGTGCCTCAACAATGCGCAATTGATTAATAATCGTATCCAGAAAGGGGAAGGAAACACAACAAACCAGGCAGAACTATTTTCTGTTAAGGGGGAAAAAAAAAAAAAAGATCAGGGGAAGATTGGGGAAGGCAAATATAAGGTAAAGTAGGTGCCCAGGAGGATATAATTGTAGTTTATTCTCTTTTTAAACTTTGAATATCATTTAAGTGACTTAAAAATCAAACAAGATAAAATGGAATGAAATAAAATATATAAAAGTATAAAGACTCCAAACTAGGTTTCTTTCTAGTTGCAGTGTCTGGCTAACCTCAGCTTTATGCGGTTAGAATTAAGCCACCATCAGGATATACCTTATTATTTACAGCTTTCAGGGCAATGTCATAAGCAGATAGCTTAGGTTTTGCTGGGAATACTGTGCTGTAAGAAATTAAGCTTTAATGAGAACTACAGTGCAACAGTATTTCAATATAGAGAAATAATGAGAGGAATATAGTTTAACAAAAAGGCCTGCTAGGTCCTAAACCATCTTCTTCAGTGACCTTGCTTGAAAAAGGTCCTCCTTCTTACTAACCAAGCTGTAGTTTAGTTAGGAGTTATGTCAGCATTTACCAAATTGTTTTCACAGGGAAGACTGCTACAGTAGTTCATCATGATGTTAATGACTGATCTCCAAAAGTGGGGTAAAATAAGCTGGGGAAAGTTAATTGCTACATACTCCTCCCTTGCAGATCCACAATACACCCTAGAATATTGAGAAATTCTGCAGTAGAAAAACCTGTTTAGCTTTATTTGACTTATAGCATCCCAAACTTAGAGTAAGAAAGTCATTTTTGTACAATTCTGATAAATGTTTCAAGGAATACTGATAATCTAAAGAATAATTTATGCACAACTCTAAGTTAAAGTAATATCTCTCAATCCCAAACAAAGGTGTATAGGTAGAGTTGCTTGGAGAGCAATTTTCAAACTAATTTTCAATGTATTTTGTAGGTCTTGTAGCTTGTTCTACTCATCTAGAGCTTGTGTACATCTGCTAAGTCACCTGGGGTGAGTCATCTATCATTTTCTTTGGAGATTTGAATCTCTAGCAGGAAAATAAAGGAGAAGGGTAAAGGTGGCCCAGGCTTTATGTTCATTTATCCTTTTTGTTAAACTACGGCTTTAGAATAGAAAGGAGGGCGACGAAGTGAGCTGGCTATAAATATAGCTTAGCAGAGCAGAATTTTGTCTACTAAATCATGACTTCTGAACAAAACGGCAAGACAAAATAAAAAAGACAAAATACATTTTATGAACATCAAGATGGACATGGTTAGAAAAATAATGTTTAGATGGTTAAAGGTCTCAATACTGAATTGGCCAGAGGGAGCAGAAGACTGGTACGGAAGGGAAAATCAGGTTCTATGGGGGATAATGCATGACAGAGAAGGGAGTAGCCCAGTGGAGGTGGTGGTGAATTATTTTCATTTGAGATTGCAGTGAAATGATTTGGAAATAATATGTATCATTTCAGATGTCTAACTACTGATGTTTAGACTGTGAAGTAAAAAAGAACATTTTAAGTTTTCTAACAATGGATAAACTCGTTATTCAGTTAAGTGAATAAATATCAATTATCTACCATGCATAGTACAGTAAAAAAGAATTTTAGAATATAAAAGACAAATTCTTCTTTCAAAGAAGGAGTACTATAAATGCTTTAGTAATATAATAAAATAATGTGGTATTAGAGGCATCCATAAAATAAAAAGGAAAGAAGTACATAGTGTACAAATAACTCATATAAGGCACAGAATACTATCATTTTTGAGCAGAAAAATAATGTAATTATGATGGAGTTTTGAAATATTAGTCCACCAGTGATAACCAGAATGGGTTAGAACACTGAGAGTGGGGATAAAGAGAACAGAGAAATAAGAGTGGCTAAAAGCCTTGATTTGCAAAATAAGAAAATGACAGATTTTAGGAATTAAATCAGGGGGTCAGCAAAATTTCCTGTAAAGAGCCAGATAGTAAAGATTTTGGCTTTGCAGGCCATATGGTTTCTATAGTGTGCAAGCAGGTATAGGAATTATACAAATAGGTGTGGTTGTTGTTTTCTAGTAAAACTTTATTTACAAAAACAAGTGGCAGGCCTGATTTGTTCCACAGCCTGTAGTTTTCCCACCCTTGAATTAAATAAAGGAAGTTTAAAATCAACTGCTGGTGAAAATATAAAATCTGTAACTACATATCATAAGATAAGCTGCATCATAAGGAACTTTGATGTTTATCTTTAGGAACAATGAAAAAAATCATCGTTTATTAATCTAATTTAAAGTAGAGTAATTTGGGTTTCCATATCCAAAAATGGCAAATCAGATTGTTATAGACCAACTCTTCCATTAAAAAAACTAGAAAATCTCTGTGTATATGTACATGTGTGCACATCAGGGGGTTTAAAATATATGTAGAATTAAAATACATGGCAATGATAGCATAAAAGACAGAAGGAGTAAATGGAATAATATATTCAAAGATCCTTGCACTCTTCATCAATTGGTAAAACCACGAATTTAAATTAGATTTTAATTAAATGAGGGTTCATTTCATAATTTCTATGTAATAGAAATCTTTTAGTAGTTACTAAAAAATAGTAAACAAATATATTGTGTAGCTAGGAAGTGAATAGAGGGGAAAATGAAATAATACAACACCACCTAATTCAGAATAAAGCAAGAAGGCTAGAAAAATAAATATAGAACAGAGGGGACAAAAAAAAAAAAAACCCTCCAGTGATAAATGGTATTAGATTGGTGCAAACTAATTGCAGTTTTGCCATTACTTTCAATGGCAAAAAAAATGCAATTACTTTTGCACCTACCTAATAGATTTAACTGACATATCAGAAGTCATATCAAATGGTAAATGGACTAAAAGATAAATGGTAAATAGACTAGGAGATAAAGATTGTCCAAATGGATTAAAAGGCCAAGATTCAACTATATGTTGCTAACAAGACATAAACCTTGAATATTATGTTACAGAAACATTCAAAATAGATGGATATAGCAAATATATCTTGCAAATGATTTAAAAGTAAGCTGGTGTAGCTATGCCAATACCAGACAAAGTACACTTTTAAGGTAATAAGTATAATTACAGATGGAGAAGGACATCTCATAATGATACGTCAATTCACTAGGGAATTATAATTGTCTTAAATTTACATATACTAGATAGCCTCAAAAATTGCCAAAAGAAAAAGAAAAAGTATACATATACAATAACAGTGGGAAATGCAATGCGTCTCTTTTTGTAACTGATAGAATGAGCACAGAAATCTATGTAAGGGTATTATCTAAGGATATAAAGTATCCAATTAATATGAGTAAAATAGTATCATTTGAGAGATCAATGAGGTCTAGTCTATTTCAGTGAATCATTTGACAAAGTTTTTCCATGATAACCTTGTGACAAGATGAATAAATGTAGGCTGCACAAGTAGAAAGTTAGGATAATTTTGGTGAATGAAATACCCAATGAGTTTCTGTAAATTTTCTGATGCTACAAGTTATGTTCTTGGTCCAGTTCTATTCAATTTAAATAATAGATAGCTATTACCCATGATGATGGACTCAGAGTCACAATTCTCATAATGGTTTGGAGCATTGAGCTAAACCTGTGAGATGAAAATTTAATTGATATAAATGCAAGGTACTCTTTGTTGCTTGTTTTAGAGTAAAATAGCGTGTTTAAAATGAGACACAACATGCATATATGCAATAAACTACGTAAATCTTAATGAATTTGTATTTATGTGTACACTTATGTAACCAGGTCCTAGAATATTTCCAGCACCCTGGAAAGCTCCTTCATGTCCCTTTCTAGTCAATAACCTCCCCCTACAGAGGTAACCAATATTCTGCCTTCTATTATCATAGATTCTTGGAGAAAACTCTCAAACCATGTTTTTCCTCTGTTCTCACACAACCACCCAATCACCAACTCAGAAGACTTCTGTGACCAAAGGTGTGGAGTTTTTCCTTCACATACCAGGTGGCAGACACCAGCTGGGTGTCTTCCAATTCAATTCTGGCACTATCTATGCTGAAGACAGTGTCAGATCCCATAGGTCAGAGGCTCAGTCCCCAAGACTGCCCCTCTTCTCCCAGACACAAGTCACAAGTTCAAACATCTGGAACTTCTGAGGGACTGGCTCCAATTTGGGATTCCCATAAACCTCTCTTTGGGTTTGATTAACTTGATGGAGTGGCTCACAGAATTTAGCGAAATGCTTATTTACATTTACTGATTTTTTATAAAAAATATTACAAAAGACACAGATGAAAAGATGCATAGGGCAAGGTATGAGGGAAGGGGCATGGACTTTCCATACCCTCCCTGGGCGCACCACCCTCCAGGAACCTCCACATGTTCAACTATCTGGAAGCTCTCCAAACCCTGTCCTCTTGGGTTTTTATAGAGGCTTAATTACACAGGCACAATTGATGAAACCATTGGCTATTGGTGGGTGACCCTTCCGTCTTCCCTTCCTGGAGGTTGAGGAGTGGGGCTGAAAGTCCCAACCTTCTAATCCTGCCTTGGTCTTTCATGTGACCAGCCCCACCCTGAGCCTATCAGACAAAAGACACACAACAGAGAGCACTTTGAAGATCCCAAGGATTTTAGGAGTTGTATGCCAGGAAATGGGAACAAAGACCAGATACGAATTTCACAGTATATATTATCTGTTATATATCTATTAACGTAAATACATTCTGAATGTAATATACATGGAGTTATATATATGATTTTTTCTGTGTTTAGCCTCTTTCTTTAAACAGAGTGTCTCATAGGTAAAAGAAGCTTGCTGAGGTTTTGCTTGAAATTGCACTGACTCTTAGATCAAGTCAGTATTGACAAAAACAGTTAAGTCTTGCAATTCAGAAACATGGTATTTATATAGGTCTTCATTAATTTATCTCAGAAAGATTTCTTTCATTAGATTTACTCTATGTATTTTATGTTTTTGATGCTATTATGAATATTTAAAATTTTAATTTTCTATTGTAGGTTGCTAGTATATATTCAATTCAGGTGTATAATGACTTTATATCAAGTAATCTTTCCAAATACACTGATTAATTAGATTATAGGGTCTTTCAATTTCCTATATTTAAAGTCATATCATGTGAGGATATAAACAGTTTTATTTATTTATTTTATTTCTGTAACTTGCCTTATTTCACTGGCTAGTCCTTCTATATACTGATGAAAAGAAGTGCTAATCCTGGACATCTTTATCCTGTTTCCATATTAACAGGACATATTGCTTTTTAAGAAATTTTTTCAGATACAGTGATTCCTCACTTAATTTTGTAGATAGGTTCTTGGAAACTATGATTTTAAACAAAACAATGTAGAACAAAACAAATGTTACCATAGATTAATTGATATAAACAAGAATTTAGTTCTTATGGCCTATTTCTGGTCACAAAAACATCATGACACTTCTAAATAAAGACTCAAAACACTTCTAATATTAAACATTGAGATAAACGTGAGCTATACATACATTCAAGAAAGATTAATAAAAACAAGTAAGATAATAATTTACCCACCTATTCCAGTTCAGGGTCATGGGTGACTAGAGTCTAATCTGGTAGCTCCGGGCACAAGACTCTCAAGAGCCAGTCCTGGATAGGATTCCCTCCTATTGCAGGGCACAGTCTCATACACCCCCAGTCACTCACACTGGGCCTGTGTAGACATGCTGATTCACCTAATGTGCACATATTTGGGATGTGAGGGGAAACTGGAGGACCCAGAGAAAACCCACACTGCAACTCCACATAGACAGTGGCTCTGACCGGGAATAGATTTTTTTTTTTTTCTCATCATGAAATAATATTGAATGAAATGATACTATTTGAGAGCTTGCTGTACATAATATAGACAACCTTACTTGACAACTGGTTATGTGAACAGAACTGAATATGACTTGGAACAGTGATATAGCTGCTGCTTTTCTTTTTGTTTCTTTGAAGTAATTCACTTTTATATTGCTAAGAACAACATGCAGAACATGGAAGGTAAAAATTTTGTTTAATTTTGTACTTTCTTTTGAATTGCATGCGGAATATTTAGTGTTGAGTGCTACAGTTTAGGAACAACACTGGTGAAGTAGAGTGAGTGCATAGAATGGTGGAATTAGGCTACTAAAGGTTTTGGAACCATCTGTAATGAGGAATGATATGATTTGGCTCTGTGTCCCCACCCAAAGATCATCTCGAATTTTAATCCCCACATGTTGAGGGAGGGATCTGTAATCCCCAGGTGTAGAGGGAGGGAAGTGTTTGGATTATAGGAGCAGTTTCCCCCATGCTGTTTTCTCATGATAGGGAGTGAATTCTCATGAGATTTGATACTTTTATAAATGTAGTTTTTCCTGCAGCCACGCACACTCTCTTGCCTGTCGCTATGTAAATGTGCCTTGATTGTGCATTTGGTGTACCATGTAAGGTGCTTCACAATTGTATGTTTCCTGAGGCCTCCTCAGCCTTGCAGAACTGTGAGTCAGTTTAACCTCTTTTGTTTATAAATTAGCCAGTCTCAGGTAGGATCTTTTTTTTTTTTTTAATTGAGACGGAATTTTACTCTTTTCTCCCAGGCTGGAGTGCAATGGTGTGATCTCAGCTCACTGCAATCTCTACCTCCTGGGTTCAAGAGAGTCTCCTGCCTCAGCCTCCTGATTAGCTTGGATTACAGGTGCCACCACACCTGGCAAATTTTTGTACTTTTAGTAGTGATGGGGTTTTACCATGTTGGCCAGGCTGGTCTCGAACTCCTGACCTCAAGTAATCTGCCTGCCTCGGCCTCCTACGGTGCTGGGATTACAGGCATGAGCCACCACACCTGGCCTGGGGCAGTATCTTTATAGCAGTGGGAGAACGGACTAATACAAGTAATTATTGAAAGAAGTAGGGCGAATATTTAGTTTGTTTGGTGAAAAAAGGAGTAAACTTGATGCCTCAGAATGATAAAAATAGGATGAGAAGGTGAAAGTCACAGCAAGGAAAATTAGACTCCATATAAAGAACACTGTTATAATAATTAGAATTTTCTAACAGTGGAACTGTGTTGCCTCTTATTACCTGGAGGGAGTAAGTGTAGAATAACTGGTAATGTTTCCACAAAGCCTGGGAGTGGTTGATGGGATCCTTACTATTGGCAGAAAGTTGTACTAGTTGATTCTTTTATTAGGAAGGAAGATGTACAGGTAATTTATGAAGTCTATTCTAATGTTAAAATTGTGATTTGTAGAAATGCTTTACAGGACATGTATTCTGGGTCTCTTTCACATTTGAAAGATGTGACCAAAATCTACATTCAAGAAATTGTTCAAAAATTAGTATAGCTTTATTGAATAGTTGACATTTGATTTGTAGGGCTTAGAAATATTTTGAGGGAATGTGTCCGCCTGAGAAAGTGATGATACATTTGAAGACTGACTTAGAGAAAAAGATTAAATAACCTTAATTTTGTTTAAATCATTTGTTCTATTCTGGTTGCCTCAAAAGTGGTATTGTTTTCAAGAGCCTTCCATTATTTTATGATAGCATGATGGTCACAAGTAGAAATCTGTACTCAGACTGACTGTTCAACTTAAAGCTCTGACACTTACTAGTCCTATGACTTTGGTCAAGTTACTGCATAAACTCTGTAAACCACAGTTTCTCATCTGTAATATGAAGACAACAAAGGTAGTTATCTAAAAAGTTACTGAGAAATTGAATGGGGGAGAAGTCTTGTAATGTGCTTAGTCTGTTTCTGGCATGTAGACTTGTTTAAGAAACTGATATTGTTTGATTGTGTGCCCACCGAAATCTCGCCTTGAATTATATCTCCCATAATTCCTATGTGTTGTGGGAGGGACCCGATTGGGAGATTATTGAATCTTGGGTCAGGTCTTTCCCATGCTATTCTCATGATAGTGAATAAGTCTACGATTTCTGATGGTTTTATAAAGGGGAGTTTCCCTGCACAAATTCTCTTCTCTTGTGTGCCGCCATGTGAGATGTGCTTTTTACCTTCCACCATGATTGTGAGGCCTCCCCAGCCACATGGAACCATGAGTCCATTAAGCCTCTTTCTTTTGGAAATTTCCCAGTCTTGGGTATATCTTTATCAGCAGTGTGAAAAGCTAATACAGTAAATTGGTACTGAGAGTGGGGTGCTGCTTTATAGATACCCTAAAATGTGGAAGCAACTTTAGAACTGGATAACAGGCAGAGGTTGGAATAGTTTGGAAGGCTCAGAAGAAGACAGGAAAATGTGGGACAGTTTGGAACTTCCTAGAGACTTGTTGAATGGCTTTGAACAAAATGCTGATAATGATATGACCAGTGAAATCCAGGCTAAGGTGGTCTCAGATGGAGATGAGGAACTTCTTGGGAACTGGAGTAAAGGTGACTCTTGCTATGTTTTAGCAAAGAAACTGGGAACATTTATCCCATGCCCTAGAGATTTGTGGAATGTTGAACTTGAGGGAGACGATTTAGGGTATTTGGCAGAAGAAATTTCTAAGTAGCAAAGCATTCAAGAGATGACTTGGGTGCCGTTAAAGGCATTCAGTTTTATAAGGGAAGCAGAGCATGAAAGTTCAGAAAATTTGCAGCCAGATGATGTGACAGAAAACAAAGTCCCATTTTCTGAGGAGAAATTCAAGCAGCTGCAGAAATTTGCATAAGTAATGAGGAGCAGAATGTTAATCCACCAAGACAATGGGGACAATGTTTCCAAGGCGTGTCAGAGACCTTTGTGGCAGCCCCTCCCATCACAGACCCAGAGGCCTGGGAGGAAAAAATGGTTTTGTGGGCTGGGCCCAGGGTCTTTCTGCTGTGTGCAGTCTAGGGACTTGGTGTCCTGTGTCCCAGCTGCTCCAGCCATGACTAAAAGGGGCCAGGGTATAGCTCAGGCAGTGGCTTCAGAGGGTGCAAGCCCCAAGCCTTGGCAACTTCCATGTGGTGTTGAGTCTGCAGGTGCACAGAAGTAAAGAATTGAGGTTTGGGAACTTCTGCCACCTAGATTCCAGAGGATGTATGGAGTTGCCTGGATGTCCAGGCAGAGGTTTGCTGTAGGGGCGGGCACTCATGGAGAACTTCTGCTAGGGCAGTGCAAAAGGGAAATGTGGGGTTAAAGCCCTCACACAGCATCCCCACTGGGGCACTGCCTAGTGGAGCTGTGAGAAGAGGGCAACCATCCTTCAAACCCTAGAATGGTAGATACACTGTGTGAAAGCAGCCAGGAGGGAAACTGCACCCTGCAAAGCCACAGGGGTGGAGCTGTCCAAGACCATGGAAACCTACCTCTTGCGTCAGCGTGATCTGGATATGAGACATGGAGTCAAAAGAGATCATTTTGGAACTTTAAAATTTGACTGCCCTACTGGATTTTGGACTTGCATGGGGCCTGTAGCCCCTTCATTTTGGCCAATTTACCCCATTTGGAATGGCTGTATTTACCCAATGCCTGTACTCCCATTGTATCTAGGAAGTAACTAACTTGCTTTTGATTTTATAGGCTCATAAGTGGAAGGGACTTGTCTTGTCTTGGATGAGACTTTGGACTGTGGACTTTTGAGTTAATACTGAAATGAGTTAAGACTCTGGGGGACTGCTGGGAAGGCATGATTGGTTTTGAAATGTGAGGACATGAGATTTGGGAGCAGCCAGGGATGGAATGCTATGGTTTGGCTGTGTCCCCACCCACATCTCATTGTGAATTGTAGCTCCCATAATTCACATGTGTTGTGGGAGGGACCTGGTGGGATGTAATTGAATCATGAGGGTGGGTCTTTCCCATGCTCTTCTCATGATAGTGAATAGTCTCATGAGATCTGATGATTTTTATAAAGGGGAGTTTCCGTGCACAAGCTCTCTTCTCTTGTTGGCTGCCATGTGAGACGTGCCTTTCACCTTCCACCATGATTGTGAGGCTTCTCCAGCTATGTGGAACTGTGAGTCCATTAAACCTTTTTCTTTTGTAAATTGCCCAGTCTCAGGTATATCTTCATCAGCAGCATGAAAATCGACTAATACAGAAACCTCCATTTCCCTTATGAACTAGCTAGTCTTACATAGAAAATATTTATTTAGGGAAATTACTGATTCAGTGACATAGAACTTACACGAACAGTTTGAGAACATAGTTCAGAAGAATAATAAAAGATTACAGATCCATCTACTAGTTTCCTTAGGATTTGAGTGTTAAGAAAATACTAGTCTGTACTCAGTACCTGATGACTACTAGCATTGTACATCTTTGTCTCTTATCTCTGTCCTCTTGCTCTGCTGGGCTATGAATACAAAGCTGGTAACTTCCAAGCACATCTCCAATTGTGTGAACAGGCAGGAACTGCTATCGGGAACTGCATGAGAACTTCTGGTAGAACTCCTATGTCTAATTTTCACACTGTACTTGAAGGACAAAAATTTTAAATGTAAATGCTACCTTTAAGTCATTCAGAGAAGTACTCACCTACTACATAATCACATCACACACACACACACGCGCGCGCACACACACACACACACACACACACACACACATACATGCTGACTTCAAACTGTCTTTCACTCTGACCAGAAGAGTAAAAGAAAGAAAAAACAAAGGGAAAGAGGTACCTTGAATTTATAGGTGATTGCTTTGTAATTCTTATTTTTTCTTATATGGAGGTGAGCGCCTCAGGGAGCTATAAAGGGTGTCAATTATCGGTATGACGAGGATTCAGGTTGCTTATGTAATTGCTTAACCCATAGCAGCTCACTTAGAGTGAAATTGTCATGGCAAAGGGGAACTAGCTGAAGAAGTAGGGTATTGTTTGGACAGAGCTCATCTTCAGCTAGCATCACTCAGGAACACTGAGTTCCTCCCTCCCCACCTGCAGGTGACAGCTGCCTGTGGCTTCCTTACATTTGGTGGATCGCTCAAGTTGGCATTTTTTGCCCTGAGGGGGTGAACATGATTGCTGCTGAACACTCCTTTCTTCCCCAATGTCTTTGCTAGTTGGTAGCATTTTCTGTGGATGATTGCTACACCAGTGAGGGCTATTTTTACTCATCAGAAGTTTGCTAGAATTTTAAGAAATTAAAAAGAAATTCCAGGAATAACTGTTACACTTTGAAGCCAAATCCCTTCTCCACCTTCACGGTTACATTTGTTTATATTTTTTGTTTGATTGTCATTAAGTTTTCAGGCATAGATTCCAGTCTGGTGGTCCTGGAAGCATTCTCTCAGGGGTAGGCTATATCAATATTGAAGGATTGAAGTTCTTACTACAGGACAATTGTCTGGGTGGCCTTGAACCAACCCAGTTCTCTCTGCCTTCTTGCTTGTAGTTCTCAAGAATAACTAGAATGTGCTGGGAATGCAACATCCTGAGTTAAGGAGGGAACGGCCAGAACAGCCCAAGCTCCCTTCAGCCCCTCCCAGAATAGGATGTCTTTCATTACTTTAGTCCGGCAAGTTCTGTCGCTCCTGGGGTAGAAAACCCAGGGCAGGCTGCTTTTTGGGGTCCCTAAGTGCCATGCAAGTGGAGCACACTCAGACAAGACTCCATCTGCCCTGGACACCTTCTCTGAGTCTTGGGGAAGCGGTTCATCGTGAATCCTAGGCTTCCGTTTTTCCTTGCTGCCTATCTGCAAGTAATAGACAAGCTTCATGAAACCTGTGTGTGTGAGTGTTCTGTCTCACTAGACTTGGGCAAGTAGTAAAAGTACACCCAAGACCCAGTGAGTGGTTCCAAGTAGTAACCAGTGCATAGTGAAGCTGCTTCTTGCTTATGCTTTTGCCTATAGGTTCCCTATTCATTAGATAGATGAGAACGTGTAGACCCAGGAGGAGTGGACTGAATTTTTCTAGCTCTCATATTCCCTATCCTGCTATCTTCTTAGCTTTGTAGAGAATTCATGCAGTTGATTCCTGACACTAAAGAAAAGAAGCCTCTGTAAAAACATATGTTGAATGGCATTTACAATGGTTCCTAAAATCCCCTCTCAGCTTCCGAATAAAGTACCCTGGAAGACACTGAAAAATAGGGCAATAATGACTGACAGTTAACCCACTGCCAGAATCTGAGAGAAATTTCTACAAAGTACATGGCTGAAGAACACAATTGACAGCCCACCTGTGCTTAGAAATGAACCAAGATGGCTTTCCTAAGAGTAGGTAGAAAGAACCTTTGTATCCTATTCCATGGGGGCTACCTACATGTGAAAGGAAAGATTTGTATCAACCAGAAAAGTATACGTTATTCCTGTTACTACCTGGCCAATGTGATTTTAGTGTTACCGTAATACAATGCCCCCTCTTGTTTTCATCTCCATTCGGAGATTAGGACCTCCAGTGGGCAGGAAGTGGTGATGGAGGACTCTCTGGAGTTTTTCCACTACTTTCATTGGTGCTCCCCTCATGAGTCAGCGAAAGTCAGGAGAAGAGAGAGGCTTTTATTTACTCTGTCTATTCAGCATGCCAGGGGAGAAGCCCATCTGAGCTGGGGAAGATGTCACAGAAGCCTGGAAGAGTTACCCTCAGGGAAAGTCCACTCCAGACTGAAATCTATTGTCTGAATTGTCCAAAGCCACCTGTGGTTTTGAGCGGAGATTTTCAATAAGGACTAAATGAAACAGAGAGTTGAGTCAAAGGCATTTCAAACTCCTGTCCCTTGGCAAATGGCGGTCTGGATGGATCTCACCTCAGTTGAGTTTTAATAAAAATAAAAAATAATAACAACATGTTTCCTATGGGACGAAACTTTCCACAGAGTAAGTGAGTAGATACATCATCCTGAAAATTCAGAGGCAGAGCAGACTTATAATTTACTGTGGGTGCCATAGGGAAAATTTAATAACTATTTAACTGCCTCAATAAAAAGCTAGAAGATATGGTGCTATGAAACAAAAGTAGAGAACTCTAAGGCGAGAATACTAGACATGTACTCTACTACATGGACAACTGGTGTATTAAAAAAGGATGAAAATAAAAATGAAGTAGAATATTAAAATTCTTATCGCGGGAGTAATGAAAAGGATGGATATTACTGAACATCATATCAGTGATGTAGAAGGCAAACAGAGGAGCTCTCTCAGAATTCAGAGAAAAAGGACAAAGAGATCATAAATGAAAGATAATATTTTATACATATGCAGATCAGATGATATTATATGCATGTGCATATAAATACATATGTGCATATATGAATATGTACATATCTGTGTATATATATACAGATCTATGTATATACAAACACTTATTTATAAAGCAGAGAGTAGAGAGCCAAGTTAATCATTGTATGTTGTCCCAAGGATGTACTAGAGCATTCCAAATAAATATGATAACTAACAATATGTTTAAACTTTAAACTTTCCTGAGTTAAAAATAATTTTAATAGGCTGATTGGGGGCACCCTCTATATTGCAGGCAAAATACCTGAAAAAGAGACTTGACTCAGGGTCAAATTTTTAAATTGCAAGGATACAGAAATAAGTTTGCGTATGTCCAAAGAGTAAAAGGAGAGATTGTACAAAGAATGAATGAGCATGGTTTCTGACTTCCCTGAGATAATAAGTGTCAACACAATGGAAACTGTGTCCGTATTCTTGAGGAAAGGCTGCAGCTCTGTCATTCTGTGGGGATTTCCTTTCCCTTTATCAGAAGGCAGTTAGTACTCTCCACCTTGTTCTTGAGTTATTGTCTGCAGGGCTGCTCTCCTTTTCCAGGCTTCAGGCTTCCTGGGAGAGAGTCTGAGTCTGAGGCATCGTTGTCTGCAGCGGTTCCCAGCACAGAAGCTTATGTGCCGCCTCTCTAGAGAACTTTGATTGGTTGGAAAAACGAGGGATAATGGCGTTGGATCAGGTGCAGAGCCCTTGGATTTGGACGGCCGGGGCAAGTGGCAGTGCTATGGCTCCTACTGTAGATGTTCAGTTCCATTTAAAATGTTTATGGGGTGGGAACATGATGCCATTGTCCAGGACAGTGCTTTTCAATTATGGAAATTTCTCAGTTATTCCCTTGCTTAAAATATTTTAGGGACACCAATTTTTCTTGGTAGGAAGAGGAAGTCCATGTCATTGCAAACCAGACTCTGCCCACACCATCCACTTCCTTGCTCTCTGCTGTGCTGGCTTTCTTAGGGTTTCTGGAATGCATGGCTAGCTCTTGTATAGGGTCTTTGCATGTGCTGGTTCCCTCTGTCTGGAAAACTGTTATTCTACCTCTCTCCTTGCAAAATGACTTTCCTTGTTATCACCACTGTCACTCTTGGATTGATGCTGCATTTATGTCTGTTACATTTTAGCACCTGTCTCTTTGTTGGACTCCCAGGTCCATATGGGCAGAGCCTGTCTTGGGTTTTACACATCATTTTATCCCTGGCACCTAGCACAAGTCTGGCCTATAGTAGGTCCCTCATAATTTTTTGTTGAATTAAGAAACATATGGTCAAGTTTTGAAACCTGATTCTGTTGCTACCTGTGATGTCTTGAGGTCTTCACGTTGTCTCCATGAGACTTGTTTTTTTTCACCAGTCAAGTGGGAATTATGTCTTCTTCACAGGATTGCTCTCGGAAACCATTTAAGCAACAGACATGAAGGTGTTTGGTCATAAACAACACATTCTACAAGAGTAAGTTACTTTTTTTGATTCTGTTGCTTTATTATCATTCTAGGACAGATATAATCAGAGCTAAATGAAAATGAATAAAATTCATGTTGGGTTCAGAAGAGAATCTTCTCACCTTTTCTATTCTTTTCTTCATTCAGTGACATCTCTTCTTATTGTTCTGCTATCAAAGCCTGCAATAAGTAAAGAATCTGACACACACCATTTTTGTCTTAGTGTTAGTTTAAACACTGTGGGTATTTGCATTTTAAACATGATCTCTGATGGAAGAACAAAAGGCTTCTTCTATTTTTAAATAAATATCAAACATCAGTGAGGCGGTAGGGACTGAGCGCCTAGCAGTGGGTCACTGGAGACAGCAGTGGAGAAAAGCTCACCCCATCCAGAATCCCCTTCCTTTTCCTGCCCTGCCACTGAGCCTGGTGCCATGTATATCAGTGTCCTTGCTGTCACCAAGGGGCCTTCTTCCTGGTCAGTGATTTCCCATTAGCTTTATTTGTTTCAGTTCAGATTTCCTTTAGAACACAGTGTTTGTCAATTTTGGGGATTTCTGAGAATGTTTTAATTGTTTCTGGGGAAATTGGAAGCAATTTGGAATTTTGCCAAACACGTACTACTTATGGGATATTTTTAGCAACTTCCCACCCCGTCCCTAATGCAACCGTCTCCAAAGACTTTTGGAAGATTGGAGTAGAGAAATGCCTTTAACAGGGAATTGGGTCCTTGGATGTGGGGAATTAGGAAGCCAGTGACAGTGATGATAAATGAAGAAAGAATGGACTATGGCTGCTCTTTCAGGCCCTTTTGGGAGAAAATAATCATTTGCACTGGTTACTATTGTTGACAAATCGGTTGCCTCTAATCAATTATGAGTGCCTGTGATTGTTTTCTTAGGATAAATTCTGTAATGGAAAATCATGGCAGGGCATGCACAGATGTATACTTCATAATCTCTGACTTTAAGGAGTTTGCTATTTAGTTGTGGAGGTGAGACATACACACCAAAAATTCACTGATAACACAGACAAGTATAAGCCCCAAAGGAGAGGAAAGGATGACAACTGCTGTAGAAGATTAGGGAAGGGAGAACTCACTGCAGCCTGGGTGGTTAGAAAGAACTTGGTGATGGGGATGGATGCAGGACTTGCTGTGACTTTGAAAGATGACTGAAGGGTAAATAGCATTCAAATAAGTGGAGAAGGAGGAGTGGTGGGAAGAGATTACTTCAAGTGAGCAAAATAAGGCTCACATAGATTTCTGAATTCTGACATAATTAACTCCCGGTTACTCAGGATTTACCCCTAAAGACTGAAGGCGGGTAGTGAAGTACAGAGGCAGTTCATAAATGATAGGAATTGCTGGTCCAGCCTAACAGCCTGCATATGCAAGAGAGAGAGATGTGAACAGTTGCCAGCCTCCCCAGTTTACAGGTAAAGATGCCAAGGAATCAGTGGAGAAGGAAGAAATGGAGCCAAGACCTTAGTGATTTTCACCTCTAAGCAGCTTCTCCACCATCTTCTCTCCAAGACCACATTGCTTCCCTCTATATATTATAGCATCTGCCATAAACTGGAGAAAATAGGAACATAGCGCATCAAGTGATTATCTGGAAGAATGAGAAACCCACATTCTCTCCAGCCCACGCAAACTAGTTAATGGCTCCAGGCAGACATGCTGGGGATGCAGGAACCAGCCTGCACACAGATATGTGGCAGCCAGGGAGGTGAGCACGTTCAGTTTTATTGTGTGATTCATTTCCTCTCCCCAGCTGGTGCATTGGAGAGGGCTCTGCAGCTTGCAGCCAAATGACTGCAGTGCTCCAATGAGGGGCCTCTCTGTGTTGTACCGACGTGAGGATTTTCCCCTGCCTGCCTAACACAAGCACTGGAGCTTGTAATCACAGGGCTGCAGGGTTATGAAGTGCTTGTCATGCCTTCCATTATGAACACGCATCATAGGCTGCAGTATATCCCGACTGGTGGTAAGCGCACAAGAATGCCATCTGTTCCAGAGTGGCTTTGCTTCTACACAATGCAAATTGATTAAAGGTCCACTTAGTCACATGTGGAAGGAAAAAAGGGCCACTGAAGGATTCCAGATACTGGAAAGCAGCTGAAATTCAATGACCAAAGAGCGTCAGGAATATGAGGGAAAATTTTATGTGATTCCGCTGACAGAACTCAACTTGGCTAATTAGCTTTCTGCAAAGATGTAAGAGAGCAGTTCAAATTCCAGGAAGCATGTTGGTAATTGCTGTTAATGCTGAATTGTCAGGCCTTCTCTCTCGCTGGAAAGAAGACTTCGTCTGGGTGCTAGAATCTCAGTTCTCTTTAACATGGCAGCATGTGGACAAATCCATGTGTTTTCTTATTGATTCTTTGGTGAGCTAGGTGCTTCAGTGACTAGTAAAGACAGAAAATGCCTGCCACCGTTATTTGAACAAACATAAATAGGCATCTCAGAAAAATTCCAAAATGTAGAGATTAGTCTTTGCTACCAGGAAGAATAAAATTATAACACCACGAAGAGCAAATAAAGAGCAAACCTTATTCTTTTCTGCTTAGAATTTACTTCATGGGGATAACCACAGTTGTGCACAAAGAAACAGCTATAATTTGTTCATTGTAATATAAGAATTCCAAATTGTAAATAACCAAAATAGAAACAATAAGCGATTTCTTTCTTTCTTTCTTTCTTTCTTTCTTTCTTTCTTTCTTTCTTTCTTTCTTTTGTGAGGCGGAGTTTCATTCTTGTTGCTCAGGCTGCAGTGCAATGGCGCGATCTCAGCTCACCAAACCCCCTTCCGAGTTCAAGTGATTCTCCTGCTTCAGCCTCCAGAGTAGCTGGGATTACAGGCATGCACCACCACGCCTGGCTAATTTTTTTTGTATTTTTAGTAGAGATGAGGTTTCTCCATGTTGGTCAGGCTGGTCCCGAACTCCCTACCTCAGGTGATCCACCCGCCTTGGCCTCCCAAAGTGCTGGGATTACAGGCGTGAGCAACCGTGCCCAGCCGGGGATTTCTTAAGTTACGGTAAATCCACTGAAAGGATCACCAGTCTATTGTTAAAAACATGATGTATTAGAAATATTTAGGGACATATTCATGATTATAGCCTTCAATGAAAATAAGTAGGTTCTAAAACATTATGTACTTTGAATTCTGTTTGGAGTCTGTATTTGGAAGATATTCACAAAAATATGAATAGTGGTCAAGTCACATTGTAAAACTCACACAGTATTTTGTGTGAAACGTAGCCCCAGGGTTGTGCAATGCGGTGGTCCTAATGGGTTATTCTAGGTTGTGGGATTACAGATGCCTTCTATTTGCTTGTCCTGGATTGCTTATTTTATTTTTCTTTCCCCTCCCCTCCCCTCTTGCCTCCCCTCCTCCCTCCCCTCCCCTCCCATCCCTCCCTCCCTGCCTCCCTTCCTTCCTTCCTTCCTTCCCTCTCTCTCCCCTTCCTTCCTTTTCTTTCTTTCTTCAAAACACATGACTTTAATTTTTTCTTATGATAAAAATGATAAAACGTGTCAAACAAAGAGAGTTTGCATTGAACCCAGCACCATTTTAGACACAGAATCATAAAACTAGGAATGTCATGCTTTCTTCACTATACAGTGAAATAAGCAGCACTTCTCAAACTTGAGCATGCATCAGAATCACCTGGAGGACTTGTTAAAACACCGATTATTGGGCCCCAGCCCTGGAGTTTGTGATTCAGTAGGTCTGGGCTGGACCTGGAGGACATACAATTCTAACAAGGCCTTGCTGCCGCTGCTGCTGCTCCTGCGGGCCCCAAGGCCACTTTTTAAGCATCACTGATGATGACTATGATTTGGTAGAAAGGAGACGCTGGTACACTGGGTCTTAGCTCTGTTTTCAAAGTTTTGTGGCGACACAGTTTTTAAAGCCTCAGCTCTGATCACCAGCGTTCCACAACATCTTCCCTTATCATTCCAGGTAACTTCATGTAATACAGACACTTGACTTGTGACTTCTTTTCCAGGCCCAGGACAGAAGAAATATAGCAGACTTAAAAGCTTTTTTTGGACTGATTTGTTTTGTGCCTCTGATTTTTATTTAATTTTTATTGTATTATCAGCATTTTGTGAAATGCTGATAGTACAATAATTCTTCATTGCAGGTCCAACATGAGGAATACAAGTATATTTAAGACATTATGATAAGATTTATTTGGAAAAATATTGCAAGTTTCTGGTCTACGAGAAAGGCAAAAAATCTGTGCCTTTATGCATAACCAGTTCTACTGAGTTATGTTAATGGATTGTTTAATACCCGAAAGAGTTTAAATGAAGATTTAGACAAAGAAGTGCTGTTGTACTTAAATTTATGATATACACTGTCTTAGATTTGTATATACTTTGATATTTGGTAATGTACCAACATTCACCTGCACATATTTTTTCATTTTTTTGACAAAAGCGTTCATGAAGACTTGGGGATATATTACAAAGATAAGAATTATTTTCTTTTCTTTGGAGATGTACAGTGAAGGGTACATACCAATCATAATGGGATGTTTTGAAGGCCAGGATGATGATACTTTGTATTTATCTATTGCTCTGCTTTTTTAAAACAAAGCAATAGTTCCCTCCTCTTCTCAATCAAATGAGGTAGGCTGGATTGTATGTTATTTGTGCTTACTTGTATGGATTGAGAAATCGAGGCTTGCAGTAGTTTAGTGACTTGCCTAAGATCGTTATTGCCTTGGATGGTGGTGAGCTGGGACTTAAACCCAGGTATTGTGACTCAAGGGTTTTTCCTCCTGTCAACACATGCTGCTTTGTGTTAACCAACTGGTCAACTCTTTTAGCCTTTTGAGCCTCCTACGGGAATAGTAAAGACAAAAAGCCATTACCTACTCAGAAAGCCGTGTTGTAGAGTTTCTTCAGAATTGTGCTGGTAGCACTGCATATCTTTTTCTATGTTAGTAATATATGTGTATATATATGTATATATATATATGTGTATATATATATATATATATATATATATATATATATATATTTTTTTTTTTTTGGAGACGAAGTCTTGCTCTTGGTCCCCAGGCTGGAGTGTGATGGCGCAATCTTGGCTCACTGCAACCTCTGCCTCCTGGGTTCAAGCGATTCTCCTGCCTCAGCCTCCTGAGTACCTGGGATTACAGGCATCTGCTACCATGCCTGGCTAAATTTTGTATTTTTAGTAGAGACGGGGTTTCACCATGTTGACCAGGCTGGTCTTGAACTCCTAACCTCAGATGATTCACCCGCCTCGGCCTCCCAAAGTGCTGGGACTGCAGGGGTGAGCCACCGAGCCTGGCCGATAGTCATAATTTAAAAAAAAAGAATAAGGATTTTTTGAAGTTGTCATTATCATAGAATTTTATTATAGGGCATTATTGTATAATTATTAATAGAAACAATTATGAAATGAAGTCATTTTAAGCACCAGACTAGGAACAGCCTAATGCTTTCTAACTCTGAGAAGGGATTTTACATTTAGAGGAAAGTTCTTTTATTTTTGTTCTTTGGTGCTCTTCTCTTCCCATGAAATTTGCATCGTAAGTGCCTGGGTGATTTCTTGGCAAGAGCTCTGCAAAGCAAAGGCCAAGTGTTCCGCTGGGAGAAGGAGAGTTAAGGAGGCAGCCCAGGACTGTTTAGACTTTGCTTAGTCATAGTTTATGAAAAGTGCATGTCTCAACCTTGGATAGTTGCAAAAGCCAAGGGAGGTAGCTCCTTGGAAGAAAAATGTCAGTTTTCAAGATTGCTTTGACAGGAGGTGCCTTGGCAACTGGGCCAAACATTTCTTAAGGACATGTGGATGCTTGGTGCATCTTGGGAAAGAAATATTTCACAGCAGACATTTGTATAATACCTTCTTTGAATTCTGAGAAAAACTGGAGACATTGAAAGCTTTTCATCTTAGGGTCCCCACAGACATGATGTCCAAATGCCAGGAATAAAGTCCTGAAGCTAAGATCAGAAAGGTCCACGGTGAGCTATAGTTAAATACGTATTGGCCCGTGATGCCATCCCAAGGGTGTTGATGGGCTAAGTCCCCAGCCAGCTTGCTGCAGACACAAAAAGAACCCCAAATGGTGTTGCCAAATCTCTTCCTCTGTGAAGAAGCTTCAGTGAAACTTGAGCTTGGTCAGTGGTTGAGGACTTTGTCAAATAAAAACAAATCTGGACTTAGGTAAGGAGAAACTTTATTCAAAGAGGCTATTGTAATAGTAAGCTCCCTAATCTCAGGATCTACAGACATCTCAAAACCAAACAGAAAAAGACATTTGTGGGATGGGGTAAGCAGGGATAGCAGGAACTTAGTAGGGGAAATTGGGCAATTAGGTGGAGGTAAACAGACAGCAAGATGGTGGTTTGACAGGTTTCTGCTGTCATCGGCCCATTCTCAGGATGGGCTATTAAGTACTGATGTTGTGTATTTTAGTGCTAGGTCAGGCTTGGAGGGAAGCCAAAGTTCAGGGATCTGTGGGGAGAAGAGAAGACTGACTGAAGTTTGGTCAAGACAAATCAGTGCATAAGACTGTGGACCACTGAGATTGTGTGGTCAGCTTGGAGATCTCTGGGAAGCTGTCATAGAAAGTCTGTCACAGCCATTCCTGAATGTAGGTCCTGAGGCTGGCTGCATCTGGGGGCTCACCAAAAACACAGAGTCCACCTCTGGGAATCTACATTGTAACAAGCTTCTCCAGATGATTCTCATGTTTACCCAAGTTTAAGAATAAATACTGCAAACAACAATCGATTTAATCAGGATACCTGATTTAGAGTGGCAGATATGCTACTTATTAGCTGGATAATTAGATAAGTCAAGTAACTATATTTAGCTTCAGCTTCCTTAACTATAAAATGGGACTATTACCTGCTTCAAAGAGGCATTGTGTGGATTATATGATGCTAACATGAAAGATTCCACCAGGAAACAGGGAAGAAAATTTTAAGCACTAACTTATTATCATAGAGTAATAATCTCCAACCAGTTGCTGTAGTTTGTTGGTTGGGTTTTGTTTCTTTTCTTTTCTTTTTCTTTTTCTTTCTTTCTTTTTTTTTTTTTTTGAGATGGAATCTTGCTCTGTCACCCAGGCTGGAGTGCAGTGCCACAATCTTGGCTCACTGCCACCTCCACCTCCCGGGTTCAAGTGATTCTCCCGCCTCAGCCTCCCAAGTAGCTGGGATTACAGGGGTACATCAGCATGCCCAGCTAATTTTTTGTATTTTTAGTAGAGATGGGGTTTCTCCATGTTGGCCAGGCTGGTCTTGAACCCCTGACCTCAAGTCATCCAGGCACCTTGGTCTCCCATAGTGTTGGGATTACAGGTGTGAGCCACAGAGACTGGGCTGTTTTCTTTTGTTTAAAAATAAATTCTCATTGGTCTATATGTCTGTTTTGGTACCAGTACCATGCTGTTTTGGTTACGGTGGCCTTGTAGTATAGTTTGAAGTCAGGTAGCGTGATGGCTCCAGCTTTGTTCTTTTTGCTTAGGATTGTCTTGGCTATATGGGGTTTAATTCCATATGAAATTTAAAATAGTTTTTCTAATTCTGTGAAGAATGTCAATGGTAGTTTGATGGGAATAGCAGTGAATCTATAAATTACTTTGGGCAGTATGGCCATTTTCACATTATTGATTCTTCCTATCCATGAGGGTGGAATGTTTTTCCATTTGTTTGAGTCCTCGTCTTATTTCCTTGAGAAGTGGTTTGTAGTTCTCCTTGAAGCAGCCCTTCACATCCCTTGCTAGCTGTATACTTAGGTATTTTATTCTCTTTGTAGCGATTGTGAATGGGAGTTCATTCATGATTTGGCTCTCTGCTTGCCTATTGTTGGTGTAAAAGAATGCTTGTGATTTTTGCACATTGATTTTGTATTCTGAGACTCTGTTAAAGTAGCTTATCATTTCAAGAAGTTTTTGGGCTGAGATGATGGGGTTTTCTAAATATAAAATCATGTCATCTACAAACAGAGACAACTTGACTCCCTCTCTTCCTATTTGAATACTCTTTTTTTCTTTCTGTTGCCTGATTGCCCTGGCTGGAACATCCAATACTATGTTGAACAGGAGTGGTGAAAGAGGGCAACCTTGTCTTGTATTGGTTTTCAAAGGGAATGCTTCCAGCTTTGGCCCATTCAATATGATGTTGGCTGTGGGTTTGTCATAAACAGTTCTTATTATTTTGAGATATGTTCCATCCATACCTAGTTTATTGAGAGTTTTTAACCTGAAGGGATGTTGAATTTTATCAAAGGCCTTTTCTGTATCTATTGAGATAATCATGTGGTTTTTGTCTTTGGTTCTGTTTATGTGATGGATTATGCTTATTGATTTGCGTATGTTGAACCAGCTTTGCATCCCAGAGATGAAGCTGACTTGATCGTGGTGGATTTTGTTTGCCAGTATTTTATTGAGGATTTTCACATTGATGTTCATCAGGGATATTGGCCTGAAGTTCTTCTTTTTTTGTTGTGTCTTTTCCTGGTTTTGGAATCAGGATGATGCTGGCTTCAGAACAGAGACCTCAGTAATAACACCACACATCTACAACCATCTGATCTTTGAAAAACCTGACAAAAACAAGCAATGGGGAAAGGATCTCCTATTCAGTAAATAGTGCTGGGAAAACTGGTAACCGTATGCAGAAAATGGAAACTTGACCCCTTCCTAACACCTCATACAAATATTAACTCAAGATGGATTCAAGACTTAAATGTAAAACCCCAAACCATAAAAACCCTAGAAGAAAACCTAGGCAATGCCATTCAGGACATAGGCATGGGCAAAGACTTCATGACAAAATCGCCAAGCAATTGCAACAAAAGCCAAAACTGACAAATGGGATCTAATTAAACTAAAGAGCTTCTGCACAGCAAAAGAAACTATCATCAGAGTGAACAGACAACCTACAGAATGGGAGAAAATTTTTGCAATCTACCCATCTGACAAAGGTGTAATATCTGGAATTTACAAGGAGCTTAAACATATTTACAAGAAAAAACAAACAACCCCATAAAAAAGTGGGCAAAGGATATGAACAGACACTTCTCAAAAGAAAACCCTTATGTGGCCAAAAAACATACGAAAAAAAGCTCAACATCACTGATCATCAGAGAAATGAAAATCAAAACCACAGTGAGATACCATCTCACGACAGTCAGAATGATGATTATTAAAAAGTCAGGAAAGAATAGATGCTGGCAAGGCCATGGAAAAATAGGAAAATGTTTTTACACTGTTGGTGGGAATGTAAATTAGTTTAACCATTGTGGAAGACAGTATGGCAATTCCTCAGGGATTTAAAACCG
Organism: Homo sapiens; assembly: GCF_000001405.40. Lineage (NCBI taxonomy): Eukaryota > Metazoa > Chordata > Mammalia > Primates > Hominidae > Homo > Homo sapiens. The sequence continues at coordinate 39,879,000 of NC_000002.12, forward strand.
GAAATACCATTTGACCCAGCAATCCCGTTACTGACTATATACCCAAAGGAATATAAATCATTCTACTATAAAGAAACATGTGCATGTATGTTTATTGAAGCACTATTTATAATAGCAAAGACAGGGAACCAACTCAAATGCCCATCAATGATATACTGGATAAAGAAAATGTGGCACATATATGTCATGGAATACTATGCAGCCATAAAAAGGAAAGAGGTCATGTCCTTTGCAGCAACATGGATGAAGCTGGAAGCGATCATCCTCAGCAAAAAAAAAAGTAACACAGGAACAGAAAACCAAGCACCACATGTTCTCATTCATAAGTGGGAGTTGAACATTGAGAACACATGGACACAGAGAGGGGAAACAACACACATCAGGGCCCATTGGGGGGATGGGAGATGGGGGAGGAACTTAGAGGATAGGTCAATAGGTACAGCAAACCACTGTGGCACATGTATACCTATGTAACAAACCTGCACGTTCTGTACATGTATCCTGTTTTTTTTTTTGTTTTTTTTTTTTAGAAGAAATAAAGAAAAAAACATAAAACAAGAAGGGACAAAAATAAAGAGTTATAGTTTCCAACTAAAAAATAAAATTAAAAACTAATTCCATCCCTCTCAGCTAGCAGGCCTTGGCCTATTGCGTCCAACTGTGAATAGCTGTCCACTTAGTCCAACGTGCTGTAGGACTATTGATTTCTATGTGAACTGGGGTAGGGAAAAGATTGAGAATCTGAATTGGACAGGCTTCTGAGATTTTATGATTCTGAATGGATCTGGAATCAGAATCCATCTTTTGGTATTTGGTCCAGTGTCCTATAAACTGTAAACTTTTTGTATAGGCTCATAAATCCAGGGCTTATCTGGATATAAGAATGATGTACTCAGAGCCATAATTTCTCTGGGAGGTAGAGTGCAAGAGGTGAGCGATAGAACCTTGGCAGTAGTATAATGAAACTCATGCCCTTTTTCAAGTATCTATTGCTGTTTTTGTTTTTAGTTTTCATATTAGGTTCTTTGTTTTTGATAGTGTAATTGTTTCATAACAGAAGGAAAAAAGAACTAGTGTCATGGCAGAAACTTCGATCTGAGCAAGCATTTTCACCACTGATTTTACCTGCCATTTGGACTTTCTCCAAGGCTTCCCCAACTCATGTATTCATTGTGTGGAGAAGGGACAAAGTACTCAGGAAGTCACAGGAGCAAAGAAAATATTTTCCTAACCATAACACTATGAGTCTGTCTAGTGTGTGTCCTTTTCCCACTTCTTTTCTTTCTCATACTTGTTTTCTCTCCTTCCCTTTCCCTCTTTTCCCCTCTCACCATAGTAGCCGCTAGACTCTAATGATGAACAAAGCATAATCCTACTCTGCAGGAGCTTAAAGTCTAGCCACAGTTTTAAATGGAGCTTGGAGTATGAAATGGATTCGTGTGGCTTCACTTCCCCAAGGAACATTGGGCCCATATGAAATAGAAGCGTTTAGAAATAGATAGCGTTTAGAAGGACTAGAAGCCATTATGTGTGGGATACAGAGATCTCTACTAAAGATCAACCTGAGACCTACCATTGAGTAAATGGATGACTTGGAATTATATTTTTGAAACTTATATCTTTTGAGTCTCTAAGAATCCTGTGATATGTGTAGCACAGGTGTTATTAGAGTGTCAAATGAAGTGTTGAATACAAATCCCTGAGGATTATAAACTACATTACAGGAAGAAAGTATGTATGTCAGTAATGAGAGTCCCAGTTCATAGCAGCAATAGTCACAATCACCAAAAGGTGGAAACCACCCAAATATCTATCCACCGATGAATGGATAAGTACAACACAGTATATCCATGCAATGGAATATTATTTGGCCATGAAAAAGAATAAAGTACCGATATATGCTAAAACATGGATGCACCTGAAAAATGTTATGAAAGGTCAAATATGATATAGTTCCATTTACATGAAACATTCAAAATAGGTACATCTGTGGAGACAGAAGACTAATGGTTTCCAGGAACTGGGGGGAGGAGGAAGCAGGGAGTAACTGCTTAATGGGTGTAAGATTTCCTTTTAGAGTGACGAAAATGTCTTAGAGCTACAGCTAATGGGTGCACAACATTGTGAATGTACTAAATGCCACCGATTGTACTAGTTGCCACTTAATTTAATCTCAAAAAAAAGAAAAAGAATGAGAGCACACGGAGCATTCATTCTTTAGGATTTTGAGCATGCCATGACAGTGAATAACTTACTATTGCTTTTAATGAAGAAAGGCCTGGGTAAAACTTATAGGAGTTCCTCCCGTACTGGAAAATTATGTTTCCTTTGAGTGGCTTGTGTTATAGTCTGTAGATAAAATGTTCCCCTTTGCCTTGCGCTGCTGTTCCTGGAGCCAGATTTATTTCAGGGAATGAATGGCATTCCTTACTGAATCTGGAAAACCTGTTCTTATAACAAAGGCAATTATCTTTGCAACAGCTTGGGAGTTAATTTGACATCAAGATTTTTATTTTTGACTGTTTAGCCTTTGTTTCTGGATTGTTTACTAGGTGAATTATTCCCTGATAAGGTGAAGATAGCCTCCTTAATTTATCTCCTGATGTGATGTGACTGTTGCTATTTCATTACTCTGCTTTGTAGGTCAGGAAGTCAGTGCCCAAAGAGTAAATATACAGTCATGCATTGCTTAGTGATGGTGATGCATTCTGAGAAATGTGTAGTTAGGTGATTTCAGTCTTGTGTGAACATAATAGAGCACACTCACACCAACTTATGCTATACATCTAGGCTGTATGATACAGCCTTTTGCTCCTAGGCCACAAACCTGTACACCATGTTATTGTAGGGAATACTGTAGCCAATTGTAACACAATGCTAAGTATTTGTGTATCTAAACATAGAAAAGGTTCAGTAAAAATACAGTATCATAATCTTATGGGACCACTGTCACATATGTAGTCTGTCATTGACCAAACATCATTATGCAGTGTGTGACTATTATGTAATGTGTGACTATAATTTAATGGACTCTACCCAAGGCTTTGCTAAGGTGAAATAATGGAAAAACGGTTCACTAAATGATGACTGATTATCTCAAAGTACATGCACAGGCTCACAGAGTCTTCCAGGGCCAAAAACATTAATCTAGAATACCAAGTCCTGGCTGGCTCTCTATTGTGAAACCTTATTTTTAACACTTTGAAAAGAACACATCTAGTCATTGTATATATGGCTAATTTTCTGCTCTCTTGATAGCTGATTATATTTTACTGGAATTTTCCTTTTCTTTTGAAGGGCTTTTCAAAAGCTCTGTCTAATTTCTGGTCTTTTTTTCTTAAAAAAAAAAAAGATTTCTCTTTACTAGAAAAAAAGTGTCCCATATTTACTGGAGTTATAGTTAGTGGCAGAACCCATGGGGAGGATGAATCATACCGGAGAGGCTTCTAGTTATTTCCAAAGCAGTAGCAATGGTGGTAAAGTGCTGATTTGTTCTCTCTGTAACTTAAATAAATCCCAGTGTCTCAGGTGGCCCAGTGTATGTTGATACTGCATCACAGAAACAGCAGTCTAACTACAGAAGACTTGAAGACCCTTGAAGGGTCTTTTTTTTAAGCCTTAACTTTCTTTAGAAGGACAGTATAGGTACTTATTGCAGTATTCCACTCAGAAGCCTTCCCCAAAGTCAAACTTAGCAATCTTCCTTTCTTCATAGTTTCCAGTTCATGGCAGCTGCTCCAAGTCTCTCCTCTCTGCCTGTGGCAATCTCTCACTGTTGCGCTGACCCCCGTTCCTTTGGCTTCTCCTCTGCTGTGACCTTATGCCTCTGTCCTCTCCTCTAAAGCCTTTATTCTCTATAGATGGCCCTCCCTTGAGTGCAGCTCCCTGGAAAGAGAAAGGGTGTGTCTTTACCTGTCCCATTCCCTGGTGCAGGTCTGTCCCCTACCCCATTCCCTTCCTGTTCCCAGGCTTCTAGTGACTCAGCATGCTGGGTCCCCTGGCAGTTGAACATTTGGGTTTGGGGCCTGAAACTGCTGATGAGTCAGGCTGGGGGGCTAGGACTCCTTGTTTTTATTTGTATCTGCTTATTTAAAGAGCAATGAAGATTCTTTAGGGGGATCATGGGAAGGCACTACACTAAGACTGGGGTCGTGGAAGATGGTATAGCATAGAGGTCAAGAGTAAAGATTCTGGGGTCAAGCAGTCTGGATTTAGGTCCTTCACTTACTGGTTGTATGACCTTAGCAAAATTCACCCCTTTAAGGACCAGTTTTCTCTTCAAAATGACTATAATGATTGGATGTATCTTGCAGAGGTACTGCGAGAATTAAGTGTGTCCTGGATCTCAGCCGAGCAGAGGGATCCATCTTCTGACCCGACCTAGCTTGGCTGCTACTGGGTCTTCGTGGAGTCACAACCTCTGAAAAATATTGCTTCAGGGATTCTCTTCCTTGAGAGTTAGGGACCTGGAGAACTGGATATCTTCCAGTCTAGCAGGTTGCAGAAAGGCCACTTGCTCAAGGAGGCCCTGTTGTTCTTTCCTACTTCACTGTTCAGGTCTATTGGAGATGAACTTTTTTGGCTCCACCCCTAGTAATGAAACAGGTAGAACGGAGTATAAGTTGTTTGCCATTTGCTTTCTTAGTAACTTTATAACATCTCCATATTTATTAGTATCACCTCTCCCTAGTGATTATCTATAAGACCATCAAAATGAAAAATGATATCTTTGATGTCAGCTAAGAAGCAGAGAACCAATGTATTCAGCATCATCCTGCAGCCAATTTAGGCGGTGGCACGTCCCAGTAATAAAGAATGCAGTGGTGGCACTAAGGAGGAAATGGAGCATGCTGAGTCACTAGAACCTGCTTTAGGAAAGTAGAGTTTTAGATGCAGAGGAAGAAGGGCCTGCATCTGATTTTGGATGACAAGTGTGGCCAAGACTGGCTGATAGCTTGCAGGGCTCAGAGCAGTATAAATGTGGGTACCCTTGTTAAAAAATTACTAAAAGGATAGTGACTATGAGGCTGAAGGGAAGATGGAATCAAAACACATTTGTCTTTTGAAAGCATGAAGGTAAAATTGGAGTGGGAGAAATAAATAAAACAGCATTATAAACAGGATTTGATTTTAAAGAGAACATTTAAAAATACTAGAATCTGAAGATAAAAGTCAATATCTTCGAAGGAAACAAGTTGTTGTGGAAGGGGTGGGTGTCAGCTGTCAGATCGATTGGTTATCAAGATTAAACCTGAGAAATTTCATTTTTATGATACTGAAGAAAATGTTTTGTTCTCCTGGCTTCATTAATCTAGTAGAGTAGTCTGGAAGAGAATTTGCTATTGTTTATTTTCTGGAAGATAATATGAGAAAGCTATATTTTTACAATCTTTGCAGAGATAGGTTTAGCAAATGAAGGTCTCACGCAAAGATTCTTTAGTTTACTAGAAAAGAATAAGGTGCTCTGGTTTAGCTATCTCTTGATAATACATGATGAGCTTCTATTTGAGTTCAATAGATTTTTTTGTGTTCTGAACTTTCACCCGTGCAGCCCTCATACCTGCTGAGCACAATGATAAGGAAAAAGTATCTTGAATGCCGTCAAAAAGTAAAAAATGTGAAGTTTCGCTCTGAGATCACATACTTTGAAATATACAGTTCATCACAGTATTTGACATGTCCTAAAGTACATCTAAAACAGGAGGTAACTACAGGTAATGTTATTTAAGTGGTCTACTGGTTGACCCATCTACCTATTAGTAGAAAATATTGGAAACCATGTTTTTTTTTAAAAGAGTGTAACAAAAGATTTTTGTTTTGTTTTTTTAAGCAGTTCTTTTATGACATTTTGAATACTGAAAAATCATGCACTAAGAGTATTTCAGATTGTGAATAAAATTACAAAACGTTGAGTTTCTTCTCTGATGTAAAGGATGCTTACGGTGTGATGAGAATGACAGTTATGAGCTATTATTTATTCTTTAGGGTCGAATAAAATTGAATGAGAGCAAGCTGAATTATGGACAGTGCCAAGCAGCCTTCTGAGGATTTGCTAGTGATAGCGAAAGGCAGAGAAAGGACACAGGGGTAACATTAGAAATAGACACTATTAAAATGTACAAAGAAATACTGCCTTCCATCTAATGGTCTGAGCAAGTCTTTCCCAGTGCCATTGAGAGCCTGAAGTTCAGCTAGCACATTCTCTGGGAAGAAAGAAGTGAGAGCTTTCCATATCGAAGGTGGGCATTCTACTTTCCTAGACGTTGAAAAGATGTTGGGAGACATTGAGAAGAGTTGCCCGCTTTTATTGGTAAACCAATGGAAGCTTCTTTAGGCCCCACCAACAGGAGGTGATAAGCTGTGACTGTTACTATTGTCCAAGAAAAGGAATTTTGTGGAGGCGGCCAAATTTTTGGATGCTGAGAGTGTGACACTGGCAAGATGTGCTTGTTTCCAATAAATAGGACTTTTCAGTGTTTGGCAAGCTTTCCAAAGGGATTTGGCATTTGTTTTGTTTTTACAGTAATAAAGTTTTGACTTTCTAGGGTAAAATTTATTGAAATATTTAATTTTGTAGAAGAGAGAGAAATTTTCTTTTGGATTTATTTAACATATATTAAGATATATTTAGAAAGGTTAAGGCTAGTATAATTTAATCTTAGACCCGCATAAAGGAGGTTTAATCTTAGACCTGCATAAAGGAGGTTGTAGATTAAAAAAAGCCATTGTATGTTCTTCAGGCTAACCATTCCTCAGTAAGCATCTGCTAAGCATAGCGAAATGGAGAGATGGCTTAATAACCAGGGTTCTGCTGGCAGCCCTGCATCCCTAAATATCATCATCATTGCAGCCATCTTTGTTGGGATTCACTAAGACTCAGTCATTGAGTGAAGCCATTTGCATACACTAAGGCCCTTAAATACTTCTATAAGGCAGGTATTATTATTACTATATCATAAAAAACTGAGGATCAGAAGGTTAAATAACTTGATTTAGATAACATAGCAAGTAAAAGTCAGAGGCAGGTTTTAATTTGTGTTTATTTCCCAAATTTACACCACCTCTGATGTCCTCAGGGATTCTGGGAATCCATAATCAAAGCTCTCTCTGGGCAGCTAGGATGAAAGCCACACTTAAGCTTTTTTGGAAAATGGAGTACATGTAACTTGTTTTTGCCTCTAGCATCTACTTCCCCTTCTTATGAAAAACATAGCCTGATAGTACATTGGGGATACCACCTTTCTTCCGACTCTATGTGTTTCAAGAGAAGTTGACTCCATACCTGATTATAGGGATGAAGCATGCAACCCAGGTATAGGTCCATCAAAACATCCCATCTCTCTAGCCAAGATGGGCATCTGACCCAGGCTAGGCTAATCAGAACTAATGAGACTCAATTCTGGGACACTGGTTTGTGCCATCATTGAAACAGACTCACTCTTTTCTGCAAGACCTGAAATTGGAAAGATTTGGAGTAGAAGTGTTGTAGCCTTTTGCAGTCCAGAGTGAAAGCCTATTTGATGATAGAACAAATGCAGAAAAAGAAGGAACCAAAAGATGGGGGAAATAAATTGGGTCCTGATCTTATCACTTGCACCCTGCTGAAAGCTGGACCTGAAACCAGTACCCTGGACTTTCCAATTGCCTTGGATTGGATTTTCTTCGCTTACAAGATAAATTCTAAGTCAGATTTTAGGGGCAGTTAGATAGCTGATGATCTTTTCTTAATTGTCCCTTTGCAATCCTCCTTAGTACCAGCTGTTGCTGCTGGTACTTCATACTCTCAATCCCTTCTCTGACTATCTTTGCTCATCACTACTTTGTCTCCTTTTAGTATCTCAGCAGAAGTACTGAAAGGCCTCTATTCACTGTTCTTAATGTGGGTCTATTCTTTCCATCTCTTCTTTTTCTTTTGCATTAGGCAGGTTTTAGAGGAGACTCTAACTATTCTTGGAAATGTGTCCTCTATCCCTCTCGTTCAAGGTTGTATTCAATTTTGTGTAGTGGATCAAGTTTCTTCTAAGCAAAACTAAGCAAAGTGATTGCGGAGAGATGGGTTTATTTATTCATGCAACAAATATTTATTGTGCATCTTATGTTGTATGCTATTTATTACGCATTTACATTCTAGGCACTTCCTTTATGAAGCATATAGTAGTGTAGTGGGAAAGACGAAGAGATGTGTATTTGGGAAAAGCTTGTCCCAGGCAGAGGAAACAGGAGTTGCAAATCTGTTCTTGTCCAAAATATTCTTTGAAACTACTTTCAAGGCCAAGTTCAATTTAATGTAGTTATTGAAGGCACCATGTTGTGAAAAGAAGATATGTAAGAGGCAGTAGACTATTGATCATCAGGCTGTGAAGTGATTCGTACTTGAGTCTATCAGTTTCTTAAAAAATAAAGTTGATCAAGAGAAGCAGCACGCTGTGTTGAAAGAGTTGAAGGGACCCATGAAATCCTAGATGCAGGCACAGTTAGGCCATTAGCTATGAGAAGAGTAGACTTTGTGTAATTTTGAATCAGTTCTATAATCTATGAAATAAAGACAATCTACTTTGCCAACTTTTATAGTTGTTCTGTGGATCAAAATGAGACATCCATATATGTGGGACTTATTGATACCACATGAATGTTTGATTGATTTTAAATACATAATACCTATCACTTTTTAGTGATATCTATGGACTAGTCCCTGTACTTTTTCACATAATAATCCAATAAGTTGGGAACTTTTATTATCCTCATTTTATAAATGAGAAAACGGAGGCGTGGAGAGGTTAAACAACTTACCTGAAGTCACACATCTAGTAAGAGGCAAAGCTGAGCTGTTAAGTACAGAGGCCTTGTGTGTAATTCCTACTCAATACTGCCACCTGAGATGCCAACCTAAAGGTTTTTCTAACCCTCTCCTCGTGTTGACTTGATATTTTATGTTGGACAGACAAGTGTAGCAAAGATTTTTACCTAATGTTTTAGGAGTGCCAATCATTTCCTCCTTGTATTCAAAATGTCTTTTTTAGGTAATTTAACACCCCTGTCTTGCAAATAGCAACCTTAATCCCTGATTTCTTCAGGGAGAAATGTGTAAATGAAAATGGGCTATCAGACATAGAGGGATAAACTGATTATGTAGCTGCAGGCTCTAAGGAGGTGTAGCCCTAGATGTTGAGGCTCCATAAAGGGATAATGCGTAGATCCATAAGGAAGAAATAGATACGCAGAGAAGTAGAGCTAACAGACTATATAGAAATTGAATAAGAGGGAGACTGAAAAAGAGACTGAGAAGCAGAAATATAGATTCATGGTTCCTGATCATCTTTTCCTGCTTCCAGCCTCTCCTGAAGATCAACCATTCATTTCACCCTTGGATTCTATGAGATGCCCCTAGGTCCTTCCAGTAAAACTTTCTCATTGTTTAAGCTACTTTGATTAGGTTCTAATTTCTTGTGAACAAATGATTCTCAGAAGAGGAGAGAATCCTGGATGTAGATATAGGAGTCTTATGAAATCATAGGTTTCCTATCCAATTTAAGAATCAATCTTACAACCTTCTTGGCGGATGTGATTTGGCTTCTGATGGAATACTTCTAGTGATGGACAGCTCACTGTGACTTGAGATCTACACCATTATTAAATGGTTATCTTTAGTTGTCTAAACTTTCTTACATTTACCCCCAAATTATTCTCCTACATTTATGCCTACTGCTTATGGTTCTGACGTTCAGAATAGTGCATACTAATGCGTTTTCTTCTAGATGGCTCTTCAACTCCTGGTGGAAACTACTATAACCATTACATACTATATAATATATAAGTTTATATATGTGAAATATATAATAGTCTAGAGTGGGACAACAAGACTGATAAGGAATATGAATTGTTTCTTCAGTTGTTTTTTGTTTGGCTTTTTATCCAGATTCTTTGCCAACCTTGTTGCCTTATTCTGGGCAATTCTGGTATATCAACCAATATCCTTTAAAAATATGTGCTCTAGAATTTATCACAATGTTCTAGATGTGTAGAACCAGTAAAATTGTTGAGTTCCATAATTTGAACAATATTTAGACATGATAAACTTATATAATCTCATTGTCCCTTTGTAATATGCTATCGACATTGGTTATTTCTGAGCAACATTTTAACTCTGGAATGTAGAATCCACCAAAGAAGAATTCATTTGTACAATATTTATTAGTATGCATAAAAGATACCTAAATAATTGGCAGCTATGCTTATATGAACTCTCTTTTAGTAGGTAAGTCAAAGTAGTGTTATATCAGTCTTAGCAAACCTTCCACATAGCTTTAGATAGCAAAAGAACCTGAACTTTGAAGGTATCCAGTAGTTCTATTCATTGGCCTTGGTCCATCTAAGTCTTGGCTTTCCCTTATCTGGTGCATTATATGTTTTGCTGCTAAGTTAATCTTGTTAAAAAATATTGTTTTGATTGTGTCATTGGTCTGTCAGGTTTGGAGCATCAAGGAGGTGTTTCTTTCTCCCTCTCTGTCTCCTTTCCTTCCTTTCTTTTATCAGAGAAGTCAAAATTTAAATTTACCTTCAAGGTCTTTCACAATATGCTCTTTTTCAATCTTTTCTCCTGTGGTTCACTTTTACCCTCTAGTTCAGTCAAATTGTTCAACTTCCTGCCTTCTGGATTTTCTCACCTTTACATTTTGTTTGGCAAAGTGAAAGACTTTTCTCTTTTATTCAGCCTGTCATAATCCTATTCATCTTTGAAAACCTGATTGATTCTGATTCTGATCCTTCTCTCTGTGATGGCTTCCCAAGTCTTTCCGGTTCACAGTAATTCCTTTGGCTTTGTTTTCTAACAGCACTTAGTGTGACCTATACATAGGTCAACTAATCAATTCTACTTTATAAAATCCCTTGTGATTGTGTAATGAACCTTCATTAATCTCTTGTATTATCATATTTTCTACTTTCTCTAGTATTTTGAAATAAAGCTGAAAATTTTAAACATTCTGTTTTTCTGGAAAATCAGGGCAGGAGCCTCATAGGATCTGATATGTTTTTGAGAGCCCTTGACAAAGTGTTTTGCACTGGGGTGAGAGGAACGCATCAACAGTTGATCTTTTTTACAGCCCCGAATCTGGGGATTATTTGAGGACAAATAAAGAAGCCCATTTCAATAAAGTTAATATTTAGTGTGTTTTCAGGGACAGATGTAGGAAGAGTAAATATTTATTCCTAGGTGTTTTAATATTAAAGTTTTCTGAAAGGAAAAAAGACAAGTAAGCCCAAAAGTTATATATTACAACCACTAACATTTCTTAGTTTCTTGAGATTTGGAAAATGATGCCATTCTCATGCTTTAAAATTCACGTCCAAACATAGTAGGAAAAGTTGCCTTAATTCTGCACTGAACATGACTTTTTAAAAGTGACACATCTATAATTTATTATTTCCCTTTGCAGCTCATTCTCATGTTAAGTTCTTTTAAGCTTTGAATTCATTGATGTCTTCTTAATTCTTACCCTCATTTTAACATCTGTTTTTACAATCCTGACAGTAAAGATTTTACTCTGAATATTATTAAATTGTAGGAGATTATTGATGTAGGTTGACTGTGAACTAATATTAAGACAAACCTCAAAGAAAAATCTCAGAATTTTATGGTCAGTTTATTGGCCTTTGTGGCATACAACTAAGTGTCCTAAATTTCAAGGGTTTGCAATAAATTAAACATATGATTTGAACTTTCAGGTGTTTCTTCCTCATTAAGTGAATTTATGATTTGTGAAGACAGTTCCAGAACATGAATCTCTCTTTTTCTCTATGCAATGCATAAAGAAAAAAATATTTCAGGACTGATTTTCTACTAGAGTCTTCTTCAGCTAATACTAACTGCTTTTCTAAATTTCTTTGCCCACTGTTTTCAGAGAGTTGGCCCTGGGCTTGTCACTAATTCCTAAATTCTAGACAGTCACTCAATATGGATTTGGGATCAACATGTTGTGGTAGAATGGCTTTGCAGTGTTATTTTCAGTCTATAAACAATGTGTCTCTATTTAAGGAACTATTGTTGGAATAGAAGGAAATTTGACCTTACTGGCAGGCTCCAGTTGGAAGTCTGCCTCGGGGTAGGCTAGCTGGGCCATTGCCCTGGTGTCCAAGGGGGGTCAGCAGTAGAGGGAACAAGTATCCTTCTTTAGACGCTCTCCCAGGTATCTGCTAGATGCTCTTTGAGGGACTGAATTTGTTCTAGAAAGAACTTGGGAGTTAAGGCCTGATCTGGAACTGGGATCCTTTTGGAAAACTGTCCTTCTCTGGGGGTATTTATTAGAGTGCCATGTTTGCAACTATGACCTTGGCCTGGCCTCTGGGAGCTGCTCATTTTGAGATGCGCTGTCTGGCTGAGGTCACCTTTAACTTAACTACTTGACTTTGGTTCTTTCCTAAGTGTATTTTAATACTAACAACATATATTTATATTGGTACTTGGAGTTTATGGTATTTACACATTTTTTGGGGTACCATATAGGGTCTTTATAACACTTAGGAGGTATATAAGAAAAGAATTTCATGATCCACATCACAATTAAGAAAAGTCATTCGATCGAGCACACATAAGCAGAAAGTGGCAGAATCTGGTGTGAAGCAGAGTTTCCCGACCTCAGCACTGTTGACTTTTGGGACTGGAGAATTCTTTGTGGTAGTGGGTTGTCTTGTGCATTGTAGGATATTTAGCAGCATGAAAAATTTACCCTGGTCTCTACTCAGTAGATACCAGTTGTAAACTGCCCTCTACCCCAATCTGTGTCAATCAAAAATGTGTCCAGATATTGCCACATGTCAGTTGGGGGCAAAGTTTCCCCTAGTTGGGAACCACTGTTTTAGAATACAGGTATTTCCCACTTTAAATCTAATGCATTTTCTACAATGCTGGAGAAGTTCCACATTGCTTGGTCGCATTTGGTGTAATATTCACAAAACTAGAGCCCTTTACAACTAGGAGAAACCTTATGTATAATGAAAACTTTCCTTATCAAAGTGAGGAAAGTGATACTTTCAGACTTTAAGTGAATTCTTCCTTGATCTTTTTTCTGTAAGAGCTAACATAAATTACTCTTTTTCATAAGAATGGTGAAGTAGACCACAGGTTGCTTTCTACAGTTCACCAATTAATTATTTGTTATATCAATTGTCCAATTTAATTCCCACTTATTGAATATTCAGGGAACGTTTCACTGTATAATGTGTTCTCTCATGTAAAGTGCCAACCTTGCCTTAAAGAAGTTAACAATCTACCAACTCAATAAAATAACCAAAGATATCTGATGTCTGGCCCAGACACCTGGTCATATTGCAGCCTCTATTTGATATTCAAGAGGTGAATAAGATGTGGTTCAATTGATTTTAAATATTAATCGAGCGTCCATTATGTGCAAGGCCCTGAGCCGGGAACCGCAATGAATTATTTGGCATCTGCCCTCCAGGGAATAGAATCATCACCAGACATCAATGGGGTACCATTAAATTGTACCTTCTGCATGGGAGGGTGTGCATGAGACTGTGAGAGGGATTTAGCGAGTAGTAAAAGTACTCAGGGATGTCAAAATGATAGAAAAATACAAAAGAAAAATGAAGTAAATTATAGTTCCATAAAATTATAACATGGATTTTGTTGTTTCAGATAAAGCATTCAAAGCATTTGATTGTAACTGCTGAGTTACCTGTACTATTTTAAAAAAGCTGCATCTGTGTTTATCAAGTATGGCAAGTCATGTGTAATTAGATTGGTAGGCTACCTGTGGAGGTTTATTTATTATTACATTGTCAGTCTCCTTTGGAATATTTGAGGGTGGTAGGGACCTCCAAAAGCCAGACCTTTGGGACAGAGAAAGACTAGCCAGAACTAAACTCTAATAAAATCAATGATTTTTTAAAAATGAGATATGAAGACTCTTTCTGGAGCTATGCCCATAGGAGAGATGAAAGGAAGAAAATCATATTTGAAAGCCAATTATCAAGTATATTTTCATCTCCCACATGCAAGTAAGGTGAGTATAGAAAAGAATAACCCAAAGGGAATGGATTGGCTGAGGGTAGATTTCTATTCAGAATATTTTTTTTTTCAGTGGATTATAAAATTGCAGGAGAAAAGAGAAACCTGGGCCATGGCAAGGTTATACATTTCGTTAGACTGAGATTACTCTTTTGGGTTGTGTGTTCGTCTGGCATGAAATTGGGAGATGCAAGAGGGGATTCATGGGTCTATGGAAGAGAGTTGAAGGCATTAGCATTTCTTAAGTATTTGCTGTATTTTAGATGATTTAATGTACGTTAAATCATTTATGGTCTCGTAACAACTCTCTGAACCAGGTGGTTTTAGCTCTGTTTTACAGTAAAAAAACTCAGAAAAGCTTAGAGGAATCTTGTAAGCTGTGGTTTGTTAGTGACAGAGCTTGGAATAGACTCTGGATCTGTCTCATGCTAAAGCCTGTTCTCTTTCTTGTAAAGAAAGAGGTTGAGTCACCAACTTCAGGTTGATGTGTCCTGATAATTCATTTTATCTTGTAAGCATTGTAACAGTTTATGCTCAAGAGATGCCCATTTATTTATATCAGTTCTCTATATTCCCTCCCTTTCTTGCTTCCAGAACAGTTAAGGGTCTCCTGGGATATGGGTATATGAGAGAGGGAAAGGAAGAGATTTTTCCAAGGGGCCACTCCTAGGATCAGGGTATGTAGGAGAGGGACAGGAAGAGATTTGGAATCAGAGCTGGTTTCTTAATTACTCTCAGCTTCCGTTTCTTTAACCGTAAAATTTAAGCCACAATCTCTATCTTCCAGGATTGTTGTGTAGGTTACCAGGACTACATAAAGCAAACGACCACAGTGCCCAGCCTCCAGGAAACATCCCATCAGTGAGAGTTACTGATGGGGAGAGAGATGGGGTGGGAGAAATATTGTTCTGGCTACCCATCCCTCCCCAGAGTGATGCTCCAGCTCCTTTTGCTTTCTCCCTTTCGGGTTTCCATTTTCTCTGTAAATTACAGCTCTGGAATAATCTGTTTAACTCTTTCTGATGAATGCTTACCTTTTGGCAAATTTAATTACATCTGGTGTCATTCGAGGTCTTTTATGACACATAACTTGAAACAGACCATTAGAAGGAAACTACTTGAAAACAAACTGGAATCAATGGAAAATAGATTAATATGACTCCTAGACGACAGAAGACGACAGGCTATTACCCTGGGTAGTTAGTGTGGTTTATAGCAAACAAGTTTCTGAAAATAGTCTCTGCCATCAGCGTCCAGTAGGTCCCCGCTGGATCATGAGTGTCAGCCAATATCAGAGAGCTCCGGATTGTTTTTTTTTAAAGGTCTCAGTGTACCCCTGAGATACACATAAACATTAATAAACCTGAGCCTTGGTCAATGTGTGAGGACTATATGGTGAATATATTCCCATTATGGGAGGAAAAACTCAAGGCGGTGAAAATAAATCTCCCGAGGTTGCTCAAAGTTAGTGGGCCTGAGGCCATGGCAAGCCTGTCATCCCTGCTGCCCTTCTGGGAGGCTCAACCCTCTTCATAAGCCGAACTCCGTCAATATCTGGAGTGAAGAGACAGTGCTGAGATTAAAGCAGCAGATTTCTTGTCCCACAAGGGCAGTGTGTCTTTTAATGTAAACCTGTGGGTTTACTCAGTGTTGGGGCTCAATGAAGAGCCATGTCTTAGTCAAGTAAAAAAAATAAATAAATAAAATAAAAAAATAAAAAAATAATAAGACCAGCTAGACAGCATGTAACCATGGGAATGAAAATGTTAACTAGGCCAGGAACTTTTCTCTAGTTTAATCTGAGTTATTTCATATTTAAAAGTCTATGCTATAGATTTTATTCCAAAAGAGGGGGAAGAGAATACTCCCAGAGGAAATCAGTATGAAACTAAAGGAGAGCAGGCTCTGAGACAGATTGCCTGGATTCAGGGGCTCCTGGACAAGTAACTTCCTTTCTCTAAGCCTCAATTTCTTCACCTTTAAATTAAGGCTGACTCCTGCCCCCAATCCCTGTTTTCATCCCTCAAAGCCCTACCCATTCTTTGAAATTCAGATGAGATCCCTGAAGCCTTTTCCTGACTTTCCCTCCTGGTCACCCTGCCCACGTACCTTGTGCCAGTCCACTCCGTGGACGCTTCTCCCACACCATAATTATAAATACATTTTAATTCCATAAATGGGAATAGGACCTCTGAGAACAGAGACTGAGCCATGTACTCTTTTGCATGATGCCCTCAGAATGCCTTCAAAAATGTGTTAATGAAATAAATGAAAACCTCAAAACTGGGCAGTCTTTAAGTACTATGTGCCAGGCACCTGGCAAAATACTTTGCATGAATCATCTCATTTAATCCTTGCCAAATTGAAGAGGTGCAATGGGTTTTGAAGCGTTCAGATGAGTAGACTTCACTTTATGGAGGTTAGGTCACACTGTTGTTGAGTACTAAGTTTCACGCCAAACCAGTCTTAACCCTGGTTTCCTCATATTTACCAAATTGTTTAATACATATAGATAGCGCTTCTTCCATGCCAAGCACTGGTTTAGGCATTTACATATATGGACTCATTTAATCTTCACAAAAGTTCCATGAGGTAGACAGAAGCCTATCTCTACTTCATGCATGACAAAATGAAGGCGCAGAGAGCTTAATTTTCTCAGAATCATATAGCAAGAAAATAGGAAAGCTGGGATTCAAATTTAGGCAAATAATTTTGGATTTTTAATTAAACTCTTTATACCTGGATAGGTACTTCTTATAGTGGCTTCCAAGGGAAGAAAACAGATGTTGACTCTTGTTGAGGTTCTGTGAGGGCGGTCTCACATTGCTTACTATGGTGGTAGAAAAATTAGTTCCCCTTTAGTTTCTAAAGTAGAATTTCCTACATTCTATTCAGGAAAGTTAAAACAGTATAAAAATAGCCCAATCCATGAATCTATAGCGGTGTTTAAGTTTTTATGAAAGATGTGAAGATTTGGAAACCAAAGCAAAAAATAAAATTTTTCTAATGGAGCCTGTCCTGATTTCTTGTCTCTGCAAATATGTGAGAAATTTTTGGTTGTTTTCTGTCATCGTTTCTCCCAGGGCAGTTATTAAATGATTAAAAGAAACCTTGACAAAATAGCAAATCAACAATTTCTGCTTGCTATCCCACTTTAACCCCTCTCTGTATCCCAGTCTCCCAAATGGAAATTTAAATGACTCTGTAATAGTTAAATGACTCTCAAATGGTTGAATGACTCTCAAATGGTTAAATGACTCTCAAATGGTTGAATGACTTTCAAGTGGTTTATTCATACCCATGGCTATACTGGGGGTCTGTGGGTTGGGCAGAATATACCGGTTTTAGGATTACCAACCTTGCTAGATGACCCTGGACAACTTCTGTGGGTTTAAGTTTCCTTGTCTGTAATATAATTGACAAGTTGGTCTGTCTCTTCTCCCTTCTGGTAAGATCATCATTAGAAAATTGAGTTCGGGTCGAGTATTTACACTTACGATATTATAATCAATTTTTCCTGAGATAAATGGTATGAAGAAGAGTTTGTGGTTTCAGGAGACTATAAAATATGACCATTTGTGTCAGTGAGGGAGGTCAAGGGAGACTTCAAACCTTTGGATTTCCTGTTCCTTTGGTTCCATCCACTTCTCTTAATCTGCCCTTCCTCTTCAAGTGGATGTTCCCTTAGGATTCTCTTTTCTGAACAGTGCTTCTCACACTATCCACCTCATTCACTAACGCTAACAGTTCCTATCCCCACTCCCAGCTCAGACCCAAATACCATATAGGAAGAAGGTTTCCGTTGGTTCTTCTTAGGGGAGAAACTGAACCCCCTAATACTTTTTATCACTATATCTGGCAGAGTGTCTAACCATAGGGATGTTTAATGAGTATACATAATTTATGTAATATGTAATAAATTATGTATAAAGTCTGTTGACCAATTAGGAGAGGAACTGTGATGACGAGAGAAAATTCACTGGCATTTGAGGACTCAGGTAATCAAACTTTGTGGGAGGGGATTGAAGGCTCAAGGTTGGAAGGTTGCATTAGATAATCTTTAAGGTACTTTATGACGCAAGGCACTGGCAGAGCTAGAAAAGGAAACAAAGTCTCTTAGTTATTCTATTCATAACACTTTTCAGTCTTGACTTTTAAGTTTGACAATTTAGGCAGTCCTAGGATTAGGCCAAAAAAAGCTATTTAATGGAAAGTGCTCACCATCAGTTTTTCACCTTCCCCTGAGACTATTAATATTTTATTAATTTTCATACACTGTATTAGCCATGAAAACACCTTCTCATGCCTGAGGCCTTGCTACATGGAGATTCTGACTCAGTTCACTTAACCACATTTAACAGATTAAATTAACTGGTTAATGCAGTGCAAAAACTAGCGTGAGTTGTTCATTTTACATTGATTCAATAAGATTTTTTCCAAATGGACTGAATCAGCAGTTCTTGTCCGTGAAAACACAGAATATCACAATCCAGCAAGTAATATTTAAACACAAAGCCGGTTGCACTGATTTCTGTTTCTTTTTTAAAATTTGTGGTAAAAAACATGTAAGATTTACGATCTTAATCATTTTTAAGTGTACATTTCATTAGTGTTAAGTCTATTTACGTTATTTTGAAACAGACCTCCAGAGCTTTTTCTTTTAATCTTTCCAAACTGAAACTCTACAGTCATTAAATAATTCCCCTTTGCTCCTTTCCCTAGCCTCTGATGAGTACCCTTCTACTTTGTTTCTGTGAATTTGACTATTTTAGATATCTCCTATAAGTGAAATCATGCAGTATTAGTCTTTTTGTGACTGACTTCTTTCACTTAGCATAATGTCACCAAGGTTCAACCATATTGTAGCATATGACAGGATTTTCTTTTTAAGGCTGAATGATATTCCATTGTATGTATGTACCACATTTTGTTTATCTACTCATCTTGGATGAATATTTGGGCTGCTTCCACCTCTTGGCTATTATGAATAGGGTGCTATATAAACATGGGTATGCAAATGTCTCTTTGAGATCTTGTTTTCAATTCTTTTGGATATATACCCAGAAGTGGGATTGCTGGATCATATGATAGTTCTGTTTGTAATTTTTTTTGGAAACTTCCATATTATTTTCCACTGCAGTTGAACTATTTTGCAATTCCACTAACAATGCACAGGATTTTAATTTCTCTATATCCTTGCAAACATTTGCTATTTTCTGTCTTTTTTTGTTTTTGTTTTTCCGTTTTGACAGTATTCATTGTAATGGGTGTGAGGTAATCTATCTTTCTCTCTGTCTTGAGAATAATGGAGCCGGAGTTGTGGAGATTATTATTTTTTATTATCAATAGCATTAATAACTGTATAGGTGAAATAAATTGCTTTTCTCTTTGTACTCATACCTCTGTCAATACTCCAGAACACTTTACTTCTGACACCAAATGTGTGTGTGTTTTTTTTCCCTCACACCAACCAATTTTCCCACCAGCTGGGTGTCTAAAATTCAGTGCAATTCTGATACTATCTACCTGGAGTTAGCTCAGGCCCCATAGGTTAAGGAATCAGTCTTACAAGACTATCTCACTTCAGAGCCCGGTTGCAAGTTCAGGTGTCACTTGTGCTTCTGATCAACCAGCTATAAATGGGAGGTTCCCACTACCCACTTCCTGGATTCAATGATTTGCTAGAACAGCTCCCAGAACCCAGAAAAATGTTACTTACTATTGCCAATTTATTACAAACGATATTTTAAAGGATGCAAATAAACAGCCAGATGAAGAACTACACAGGGCAAGGTTTGGAAGAATCCCAGGTGCAGGAGATTCTGTGCCCATGTAGTTGCTACATACCATTCTCCTGGCATATAGATGTGCTCAACTAGCTCAGAAGCTCCCGAATTCCATAGTTTAGAAATTTTTATGAAGGCTTAATCATATAGGTATGATTGATTGTTAGCCCAACTTCCAGCCCCTCCCTGCTTCCTGGAGGATGTTGGGAGGGTAGAGCTGAAAGTACCAAGCTTCTCATCATGGCTTTGGTCTTTCTGGTGACCAGGGTCCATCCAGGAGCTCACCAAGAGTCAGCTCATCAGAACAAAAGACACTCCTATCACCCAGGAAATTCCAGGAGATTATGAGCTTTGTGTTGGAAACCAGAGTCAGAGAACAAATATTAGAACAAAAGATGCACCTAGCACCACTGTTGTTCAGGAAATTACAAGAGATTTAGAAGTTGTGCGCCAGGAAATGACTAAAGATCGAAATATTTCTTATTATAAATCACGATATCACAATAACCTATTTAATTTGGGAGATATGCAACATATTAGAAGTAAAACTCTTCTTACCCTTTAAAGCAGGGGTCCCCAATCCCTGGGCCACAGACCAGTACCGATTTGTGGCCGGTTAGGAACTGGGCTGCACAGCAGGAGATGAGCAGCTGCAAGAGAGCATTACCACCTGGGCTCCGCCTCCCATCAGATCAGCAGCAGCCTTAGATTCTCATAGGAGCTTGAACCCTATTGTGAACTGCACAAGCGAGGGTTCTAGGTTGCATATTCCTTATGAGAATCTAATGCCTGATGATCTGAGGTGGAAGAGTTTCATCCTGAAACCATTCACGCCTTATCCGTGGAAAAATTGTGTTCCACAAAACCAGCCTCTGGTGCCAAGAAGTTGGGGACCATTGCTCTAGGGGCCTCTATTGCAATAAAAGAATGCCCCAGACATCTCACTACCTCCATGAACTGCACTTGCCTTTTTGCTTGCACATCATATAAAAGTTATATTGTGTAAATAAAAAGGAACTCTTAGAATTTGCATGTTTAGGCAGAATAAATTTTAGGGGAGATAGCCATTTCTTTTCTAATGGGTCAGAGTTAGAAAACAGTATTGTAGCAGCCTTTAAAAAAAAAACTCAGTTGAAAGCCCAATGACTTGATGGGGTTGGGTAGAGTGGGATGGAGTGGGGCAGAGGGAATGGATGGCTGGAATAGGATGGGCGAGGATGCTATTCCAGGATAGGATGTGCCCTGGGAGATCAATGAAGGCAAGAGTGAAATGACAATATAGTTGCAGAAGAGCAAATTTGCTTAGAAGGTGTAGAGGAGCTAGTTCAAGGAGCTGAATGAAAAAAAAGGAAGACTCAAGTCATAAGTTCTTTACCTTGTGTCTCTGGGCTTTGGGAACCCATAACCCTGTTTTTATCTCAAATTCAATGAGAAACTACTATAGGCCTCAATATGGTTTGACTCTGTGTCCCCACCCAAATCTCATCTCGAATTGGAATCCCTATTTGTGGAGGGAGGGACCAGGTGGGAGGTGATTGGATCATGGGGATGATTTCCCCCATGCTGTTCTTGTGATGGTGGGTAAGTTCTCAGGAGATGTGATGATTTAAAAGTATGGCACATCCCCCTGCTCTCTCTCTGTTCTGCCACTATGTAAGAAGATGTGCTTGCTTCCCCTTCGCCTTCCACCATGATTGTTAGTTTTCTGAGGCCTCCTAGCCATGTTTTCTGAGGCCTCCTAGCTGTGCTTTCTGTTAAGCCTGTTAAGAGTCAATTAAACCTCTTTTCTTTATAAATTACCCAGTCTCAGGTAGTTCTTTATAGCAGTGTGAAAACAAACTAGTACAGGCTTAAGGAAATGGTGGAGGGAAAAAACACCTTTGGTCCAAATGTTGAGAAGTGATGAAGAAAGTCCTGGGCAGTTCATCGAATGTGAGATGCATGGATGAAATGATCAAGGCTTGGCCTATGGATCCTACTGTGGAAAAGGAATGGACAGGATGTGTAACGTGATGTGTCTTCATGTCCTTTCACTTTCTTAGTTTGCTCTTAACAGTGCCTTTCACTTTGACTCTCTTCTTTATATTTTGTCCTTGTTATTTGCAGGGTCTCTGTCATTGGAAGTAGAATAACTGCTTCAGAATATCAGCATATCTGTTCTGCCATTTTTGGGTAGAAATAATAATGTTTCACCCTTAACTCCATTAACCATTAACCATCAATTTTACAATGATGTAAACATTGTAAATGTCTATGGCTCGCCTTGTGATTTTTGACTCTTCTGCTATATAATTTCTTGATGCTTATATATGTCTACTCTTTTTCACAAATTACCTCTTTTACCCTCTTAGGCTTGATATTTGCTTGCAAGGAAGAACAAAAGTCTGATTTTGTTTTAATGACACTGATTCTTTCAAGGAAGTCTTAGCTATGCTGTCAAATTTTCTTCTATTGCTTCATCTCTGCTAGTCCTTTCAATTTTCCTTCCCATGTACATTACAGTTTATTTCTTTCTATTTCTTATGGAAGGCTGATAAGATCCTTAACCAGATTAAATGGCCCATTTTATTCCTGTCATTGAATAAGACATTAAAATTTAATGAAAGCTGCACTTCAGGAGAATTGTTATTATTCTGCTCGCAAAATCTCATACTGGTTTTTATTGGGGTTTAAGGAGGAGTTGATAAATTTTACCCCTCTTCTGTCTTTGACTTATAACCTATTGAAAAAAAAGACACAGGAGTTAAAAAATGAAGATAAAATATTGTTTTATTACTGAAAATGTTGACTTCAGAACATGCCTTGACTTGTGACCAACTGGGTTTCCTAATTTCTTCCCTCCTCCCTCAGTTGTACTTATTTGACTACTCACATACTACCCTTCTCTCTCTCTTGCAGCTATTTCTCCTCTTACAGAAAGGGCTTCTTATTTGCCTTCTGAACTGACAGGAACTGCCTCAATAACTTGTTAACCTTCTGCCCAGGTGATGTTTATCCTCCTCTTCTTCTGTAAAGCAAAAAAGAAAGAAAGAAGAAGCAGTTCAGTGGGGTGCAGTGGCTTATTCCTATAATTCCAGCACATTGGGAGGTTGAGACGGGAGGATTGCTTGAGGCCAGGAGTTTGAGACCAGCCTGGACCACAGATCAAGACCCTGTCTCTACTAAAAAAAAAAAAGGTGAAGGCCTACAGGGAAAGAAACAATTACCAAGAAGGCCCAATCTGCTAGAAGGTATTTAAACAATATTCCCATTGCGTACACAAATGCAAATGGCATTTGATCATAACTGTCTTTCTCTGTCTGTCACACCCTAGCCCCATGCTTGCTTTAGCAGAACAGATAGTGCCTATTATTCACAAATGATTTCTCTTACCTTCCTAGACCTGACACTTATTTTGGAGGATGAACAGAAGTCATCAGCCCATGAGATCTTCAGAGGTTCCATGACAATGTTACACCCTGAGTCACAGGCTAAATGTCTAGAACAGTCAGATGCTTACTGGGAACCAAGATGATGTTTCTGTGAGTAGGATGAATCACTGCAATCAGTGAAGCTAGAAGTGTAGGTTTTTGAGGAGGTCTAATTACAAGATTTTGATATGTTCTGTAACTGCATACACTGAGGCAGAAAACTAAATAACCCAACTTAGTAAGAAAAACAAGAGAAAAAAATCCATTTTTATCTCAAGCACAGCTTGTTCTTACCCTCCTAATGCTCATCAGGTTTAATGATGTTTATCTCTTCTTTTCTGAGAAAAAGATAAAATGGAGAAACTGTTACTATTAAGCAAGTTTCACTAAGGTCTGTGTGTTCTTTTTCCAGAAGGAGGAAATTCATATAGGGTAAAATTCGAGCAAATCGCTTTCAGAATTCATGCAAGAATCTCTCCAAAAATTGTGCCAGCTGCTGTCTCGTGCTGTAGTTGAAGTCCAGAATCGAATCTGCCCATGTGCTGTGCTTTGGATCAGGTAGCAAATTCAGAATCAGCCAAGTCATGATTACCCCTTTGAAACAAGTTACCCCCTAGTAGGCAAGACCCATGTGATCATCCAGACTACATTTTTCCCTCATTGACAGCCTTCCCTAGAGTACACAGGCAAAGTGCTGAGTGTGCAGGGGAGTTCTGAACATGTTCTAGGGTTGGGGGAAGCAAGGGAAGGGCGTGCAAAGGGGACTCTAAAGAGGGAATGTAGATGTAAATGCCTATGGTGCCAGGCAGGGAATATACATCCGTAATCGGGTGTCTAAAAATAAAGCACAACAACAGTAGCACAAGATGATGGTAAAAAGCAGCTTCCATGGAGGGGAAACAAAAGGGAGTGGTGGGGACTGTGATGAAGTGGACAGTACAATTCCTGTCTAGGGAGGCGAGGCGTCCTCTGCTCAGTTCAGGCAGAACGGTGACTGGAGTGCTGCTGGACCTCCTGCAATCTCCCAAGTTTCAATGGATGGAAACTAATTCAAAAATTAAAAACAAAAACACTGGGCAAGTAAAATTAAAAAAAAAACTTTGTAGGTGAATTTAATGCTGATTTGGAATATTATAAAGACACCCAATGTTTTAAAGTGAGGAAGGGCTTTTATGAGTGCAGGACTAACATAGGGGAAGCCTGGGGTTTTCTCTTTATCTTCCTTCCACCTGATACCCCTACCCACCAATCCATGGTTTTCCTGAACTTCTGACTCAGGTTACCCTTTATTAAGATAATGAGAAGATAGATGGATGAGGGTCTCAGACTCCTTTTTAAGGCAAAAGATTTGACTTGTGACATTTGTATTCTAATCTGCCATCTCCTTGGTTCCACACAGGACTCCTTTAATGGACAAAGATTTGTGTCGTTCTGTGTCTGGGGGCACAGACACACATGTGTACTAGGACACATGAAGAGGAGATGCTTAATTCATACACCGTAATCTTCACTTGTTTTATGAACTGGAAATCAATTCAATTTCTTCAGAAGATACACAAATTGTTTGCATACACCAGAGGTCACAAGTGGTGTCCTGCTGACCAAAAGGACTCAGGGTTAGCTGTAATGTTACATTGAAATGCTGCAGGTAGGCATGCCTTGCCAGTTTCTCACAGGCCACCAAGCCTGATTCCACTTCATGCCCCACACAGTTGTCTTATCTGCATAAACACTAAAGCCATTTGGATTTGTCAAGGCTTGACTTACATACACTTTTTAAAGATCAACCATGATAGACATAAACTTCCTACTGTATAATCTTATTTCCCCCACCATAAATATGGACAAAATTAGAGGTTTGCTCTAAAAATTCATTCTAGTTTAACGTGAAGTGAAATGTAGCAAGTTTGTAACTCTTCACTTGAAATACTTCTGAGAAGCTTTTTTTTACCTCCCAAATGCTGCCAACTCCCTTCCCACTCTGACAACACTAATAATTTAGAACCATTTTAATTCTCTGTGAGTCTCAAAGATGGAAAATTCAGGTTACAGGATAAATCTGGCCTTAATACATGCTTTGTTGTGGCTGGGGATGGGGGGAGTTGTAAGGGGTAAGAGACAGTGTTTAAGATATTAAAAAATATTTCTCTGCCGCTTCAGATACATATGCTCTGTGCCTGCTGCCTGGAAACATCTGAGTTTGTGGCCTCTGCTGAATACAAATACAGAGACTCAGGTTAGCCCAAGTCAACCCCTTCTCCATCATCAGGAGTATCTGGGATACTGGCCATAGGTTGATGCTATGATGGACCACTCCAGGAGACCTGGAGCTTCTTTAGGCTATGTCTTCCAGGCTTCATGAACACCATGGAATCCCCTGTACTAAGATCTAAAGAAGCTTCAAGTGGTCAACCCTCCAGAGGAGGTTGATCCATGTCTAAATTCCATTCCTTATCATCCCATGAAAAGGTTGTAACTTACCCCAAGGTATTTACCTGTCTGTCACAGGGGTAATAATTTAAAAATGTATCAGTTTGCTATCTTTCTTCTTTTCTCTTTATCAATAGCTCTCAAGCTTAGCCTGTGCTAGGCAGCATCTGTGGGAATGGAGAGAAGGGCTGGGGAATAGGTATCAGTTTGCTGTTTTTCTTCTTTTCTCTTTATCAATAGCTCTCAAGCTTAGCCTGTGCTAGGCAGCATCTGTGGGAATTGAGAGAAGGGCTGGGGAATAGGATATTTTACAAAAGAAAAATGCTAAGGGAAAGAGCAAGGACATACTCAGATTTTGGTATTCAAAAGCAGATTATTCATTGAGACAATAAATAGGCTGGCAAACCAAGATACGGTACTGAGAAAGGATGTTTCCATTTCCTTTATGCCCTCAATTGAGAACATCAGCATCATTCAAATCAGACTGGATGGATCACGCATCCTCTCAGGTGTGAAAAGGATGCCCTGTCCGCTCACGCCAGCCTGGACCCTCTGAGAGTGAGAGAGAGAGAAGAGAGTGTGTAGGAGAATTAAGAGACCACTGCCTCCATTTGCTGGTCCTGTAATAGTATGGGAGAATGGAGACATTAAGATCTGTGCTGCTTATTTTTTCTTCTCTGGGTTTAGGCTTGGGGAGAAACATATGTGTTGGGTGAATGCAGATAACACCAGAAGGAGTAGGGTCTGATCGATCCTTGTTTTCCTGCCACACAGCCAGAGGGTATAATATTGAGTTGTCAGCACAGAGAAGCCAGAGGTTTAGCTTTTCTGAGATGCCCTAATTCCTTCGTCAGGAAGTCACTGAATTGAGAGCCAGTGGGCCTGGGAAGAGGGCTGCTATAGCAGTGCAAGGTGGCCCTCCACTGAGGATGTGGCAAGAGGCTTTTGGGTCTGCAGCCTGTAGGAATCAAACGATGGTGTCAGAAGAGAAACACTGTTGGGACCAGGAGGATGAGTCTGAGTTACATTCACTTTGGTGTGTAAGGCCAGCAGAGCTCAGGCACCCCAGGAAGACTCAGGCCATTGTCCCAGAGACAAGCCCATGTCAGCCAGTGCACACAGCATCCCAGTACAAGGTCAGCGGATCCCTTGATCTCACCAAGAACTGTCATACACTTCAATGCCAAGTTAGGGAGAGAGGCAGAGGCAACTTGGGATACTGAGCATCCTTTCTTAGAGGGACTGAACACTGTTTTCAGTGGCCACTAAAATTACTGAATCAGATTATATCTAAAGTGAATTGAGTAGAAGTTAGGGACTTGCAAGAAATATTATGTTAATCGTAGACTATAGAGACAATGTTTCGTCCACCTTGCAAATGTGAGTTATAGTGTGAATTAAAATTTTTTGACTCTGCTCCATGTATAGGCAGATGAAAAGAATCCGATCCTTCCTTGAAGAAGTCGGAAAATTTTTAGGTTGGGGAATTATATGAACCTTGCAAGTCAGAAGACTGTCGTTAGGAAAATTATCCCTTTTATTTAGCCCACAAAATGGTACAAGCCAGCCATGAAATGTTTCCGCACTTTATAAAGCCAGCCTCTGCCTCCTCCTCCTCTTTTATTAAAACCACAAAATTAATGGATTCCTTTATTTTTGCTTATTTACCATATATCTTTGCTTCCTTCTGTATTCATTTCCCGTCTTCCTGTATAATATCTTTCAAATAGCTTCCATGTTGATATATTTTCAGACATCTTGCATATCTGAAAATGCTTTTATTGTATCTTCACTGTTAAATGCTAGCATTATAAGATCTAATACTCTGGGGTTAATGAACTTTTTTTTCCAGCAGTTTGAAGATAGTAGTAGCACATTGTATTCATCTATCTGGTGCAGCTGAGAAATCTCACACCAATTTCAGAATTTTCTTGAAGGGGATTTTCTTTCCCTTGTGCCCTTCAGAAGCTTTTGTCTTTAATACATTTTTTTAATCATCATAAGTCTCAGAAATGACTTTGTTCCCTCAAGCCTCCTTGCTGTCTAAACTTTTTTAGTCTGCAGTCCTGGGTCTTTGTTTAGTTCTGAGAAATTCTTATTAGTCATTTCTTCACATAATTTCTCCTTTCTCTTATTTTTCTCTTTTGTGGACACTTCTGATCTTTATATCATTTATCCTTGTTTTTTCTCTTTCAATAACTTTGTCCTTTCTGATGTTTTCTGGGAGAGTTCCTCAACCCAATCATTCTGCTCACTGATTTGTCATTTAACTTTGTCCACTGTGCTGTTAATTTCTTCTACTGAGTTTTTATTTCAATGCAATATTTCATATCGCATTTTTCAAATTGTTTTTATTTTATCATTTATCTTGTTCCTGCTTTACGTGTTCAACATTTTGCTTGTTTTATGTTATGACAGTTGTGTATATTATTATACTTGTGTTAAATTCCTGTTGCATTATTTTTCTTTATATATGTTTTGTTCTATTAGTTGGCTTGTGCTTTATAAATAGTCTGATTTGGCCTGATTGTCTTGCCCCCTTCTGCTCAGGACATGGCCCCACAGGCTGAGAATCTCACTCCACTGTGGGCTCATCGGTCCCAGTGCACAGAATGGGAGATTAGGGACTAAGACATTCAAGTGGAGTCTCCTGTTCTTGGTAGATAGTTCCACTGAGAACACATTTACCTGCTAGACACATGGTCTGTCAGAAATGACCAGGGTATGGCTAATTTAGTGTGAAGTTCTTTTGATTTAGAAAAAAAATTTAGAACATGATTGCTTTGCTAATTCCCATGAAAGAGTCGTTTGTAGCGTGGAATATACAGCATTAGTATAATAAACGAAAATAACTGTAAAATCAAAAAGTAAGACAAAGCTAATATTTTCAATAAGATGAATGAACAAAATGCTATTTAAATGATTTGAAGCTGAAATACTTATGGATATTAAAATGCAATTTCATGAAAAATCTAGATCTCTATCTCCAGCTCTTTATCAGATAGCTTGAGGAAAAATACATAAATTTTAAGTCTGTCACTGCTTTTGCCTCACAGTTTGTCAATCTCATCAACCAAACTGAAACAAAATCTCTAGAAAACCATTATGAACCCAAAATCAATGTTCAGTGTCATCATTATCTTCTCTGTCATCTTCTGCTAATTAATTCTGATACATTTTCAAACAAGCCGTGGATTAATAGTTTAGTGCAAATTCTCTTCAATTACATCAAAAAGCAGGGGGAAAAACATATGGGTTAGCTGCAGCAAGGGATCAATAATTCTATCAGCTCTTTTCTGTCAATTTGAATGTCGCCCTTCACCTTTTTTTCCCTGTAATTTTCTTTCTTTCCTAATTTATGCCTCACTTTTA
The DNA here is from genome assembly GCF_000001405.40 of Homo sapiens. Taxonomy (NCBI): domain Eukaryota; kingdom Metazoa; phylum Chordata; class Mammalia; order Primates; family Hominidae; genus Homo; species Homo sapiens. The sequence continues at coordinate 39,908,024 of NC_000002.12, forward strand.
AATATCTCACATTCTTTTCTTTCTTTTCTTACAGGGTTCTCTTCTGATACTCCATCTTCTATATACCTACTTTGTGTTAATTTTAGGAAGCATTATTTAAAATATTAGTGTAAACTGAGACAAGAGATAAAAGCAAATAATGGTTTTAATATTAAATAACTTTTTTTTTTGTAAATAAAATGAGTTGATTCCTGTGCTACTAAAAATATTAGGAATTAGAAGCTCAGTGGATATCTACATTAAAATCTGAAGAGACCAGAACTGCATATAGAGTCTTTAAAATTAATATCCCCAGTTTGAATTTGAGTGGTAATTTAAAGACATGTTTACCTGTTTGTACACTTTTCTTTCCAAATAGGAGGTGAATAGTATGTGGTCAAAAACTGTCTTTTTCATCTTTATATCATAGACTTTAAAAGAATTCCTGACACCTAGCAGAGGTTCAGTACCATGTTTAAGATGAATTAATGAATGAAGACATGGGTTTAACTTACAATATCATGGCTAACTATGACCTGCCATAGACTATCATTGTGACATTGTTGACAAAGTAAGAGAATAGACTTTGAAGTTAGATACCTTGAGTTTAAATCCTGGGATTTTGATTAACTAGATGTATTACTCATCAATTGCTGCATAACAAGTTACCCCAAATCTTAGTGGCTTAAAACCCTATTTATCCCACAGTTTTTTGTGCACCAAGAATCCTGGTACAGCTTATTGGATCCTGTCTTAGGCTCTCTCATAGGCAGGAATCAAGTTGTTAGCCTGGACTGTCTTCATCTCAAGATTCAACTGAAGGTAGATTTGTTTCCAAGCTCACTTGTGGTTCTTGACAGGATTCAGCTTTTATGTGTGTGTGTGAGCTGTTGAATTGAGGGCTTCATTTCCTTGCTGGCTCTTGGCCAGACGCCACCTTCAATTCCATGCCACATGCACCTTCCCATAAAGCAGTTCCCATTATGGCAGCTGTCTTCACTGAGTTGATCAAGCTAGAAGAACTAGAGTATGAACAAGTTGGAAGTCAGTCTTGTGTAACCTAATCTCGGAAGTGACATCCCACTACTTTTGCTGTATTCTATTTATTAGAAGTCAGTCACTAGTTAGAAGGATATGGTTTGACTGTGTCCCCACCCAAAATCTCATCTTGAATTGTAATCCCTATAATCTCCACGTGTGAAGGGAGAGACCAGGTGGAGGTAATTGAATCATGGGGGTGGTTTCCCCTGTGCTGTTCTTGTGATAGTGAGTGAGTTCTCACGAGATCTTATGGTTTTAAAAGGGGCTCTTCCTCCTTCGTGCGTCACTCTCTGTTGCCTGCTGCCATGTAATGTGTGCCTGTTTTGCCATGATTTTAAGTTTCCTGAAGCCTCCTGAGCCCTGCAGAACTGTGAGTCAATGAAACCTCTTTTCTTTATAAAAGTCTTGGGCAGTTCTTTGCAGCAGTATGAAAATGGACTAATACATTAGTAAATGTGAATACCAGGAGGCAGGGATTGTTGGGGGCTACTTTAGAAGGCTGCCTACCACAATAGCCATGTAACCTTGAAAATTTGCTTAAGCTGTTTTGCTCGGTTTCCTTACCTGGGAAACAGGAATACTAATAGAACCCACCTGTTAGGGCTGCAGTGCTAAACATACTAAGAATGTATATGCTAGTGATTAGCAAAGTGCTACACACAAAGCAAAATTCAGTACAATAATACTGTGCTATTATACCTGTTATTTTTTAGCTATGTCATCTCTTTTTAGGTTGATTCTTTCTTCATAAAGTGAGAATTGGATGATCTCTAAGTTTCCTTGTAAGCCCAAGGAGTTTACTGATTTTGTAGACTTAGGAATCCACAGACTTCTTCATTTTCAACAATCTAACCTTTTTTGGACCCCACATTAGCTTTTCCCCCTCGCTCTTATAATACCTAATTGGGATCACATAGAAAAAAAACCCTGATGTTTCTGAAGGAGAGATTCTATTAATGTTTGGGACAAATCAACTGTTGCAGGGGCCCTGCCCTGAGAACCAAAGTTTTATGAATTTTAGTCCGCATTCTGCCAGTTGAAACAAGTTCTTTAACCTCTCCCGTCTCAGTTCGTATAATTCACGGAGGGTGAGTTGGACTGGATGAGATAGCATTCCTTCTAGCTTAAAAGTCTTTGGAACTAATTTCCGTTTGCTGCATATATTCGTTTTTAATTCTCCTTTCCATGTGTTCCATATGTAGTTATTTAGGGACAATTTCCTCAGGCATTTTCAGAACATTCTCAATTTTACAAAGATTATAGGATACAATTATAGCTTATATGATTTTAGGAACTATGACATTGTAAAGAAAAATTATTGTGATAATCAGTAAACCTCTAAGATATTCTTACAAAGGCCACTTTTAGAAAATCACAGAAAATGAAGTCGGGTGATGTTATTTGTATGCATCAGGTGAAAAAAATACTCCCAAATGAGGAAAAATATTTTGGGACTTTTGAGTTGACTAGAATTCAAAGTAAAAAAAAAAAAAAAAGCCAGATCATTTTCTGTAATGATTCAACTCATTGGACATTTCTTGAGGTGTCAGTTATACCTTCTTAGAAATAGCTCTAGACATTTACAAGTTGTTAGAATAAAATAAACAAATGAATTAAAAAACCAACCAGATCTTGTGCATCCAGAGAGGTTCAATCTCTTCCAAACAATAATTTTTTTAGGATGCTATTATTGCTTAATTGTCTTTGAAATTCCTTTCCTGAAGCTACCTGTAGAATCTGAGGCATATGCTTTTGAACATGCTCACTGATGAAAACTATTTTTTTCCTGAAATCAAATCCGCGGTCAAAAATCATTTAGAAGTAAGAACAGTAGGTGAAAGGGCAGATCAAACTGGATAGTACTTTTTAGTGTATAAAATAGGGAACAACAGCAAGATGAGTGATTTTCTTACATTGAGAACTAGCTCCAAAGGTGGTTCAAAAGAGAACTCCTTAAATTGTTTAGAATGAGGAGTCAACATAAAAAACGCTTTGTGTCTTTTGTCATGTTAAAAAATGAGTCTCACAAACTTACATGACACAAGTTTACCAATGAAACAAACCTGCATATGTACCACTGAACTTACAAGTTAAAACAAAAAATGAGTCTCACAGTTTGCATGAAGTGTTACTTGATTTCAACCTGAAGCATCTTGGTAGTCAATTCAAATTCTGGTTCTGCCACTTAGGAACTGTGTGACATTGGGAAAGACTTGGTTTCCCAGAGCTTCATTTTTTCTTACAATGTGGGAAATATGTCACAGAGATGAGATGAGTGTTCAGTGAGGATGTGTGAATATATCTCACAAACTTTAATGGGTAATACCCAAGATAGTTATTAATAATGCCATTTTATGCATAATTTCTTATATAAATTTAATTAAACTATAAGCTCATAAAATATTCCTATCAAATATGATAGGAAAAATAAGGGAGAGATTTTCAGGATACTTATTGCCAATCCAGGCACCCTACTAAGCTCTTTATAATTTTTATTATAAGCTCTTTATAAATTATATTGAAATTTACTTGTATAATTTTAAATTTAGTTATTATGAACACTACAAGTTTCCATTGTATAGGTGAGAAAACTAAGGTTTAGAGAGTTTAATTTTGCCAGAGTTATAAAACTAGCAAATGATGGAGCTGAGGGTGGGGTCCAGATCTGAATGACTCCCAAACCAATGTTTTAAAAGCCCTATGTTACACTGCTTCCATTTCTGGCAACAATGTGAAGAGAAAAAGGAATGTACAAGACTTTGTTATATTGCACCAGTAATTACCAGACTTATTTGCATATGAGAATTACCCTGAACGTATAAAAACCATTGCAGCATCCAGGGCACACCAGAAATCAATTAAATTCCTTGAGGGTTGAATCCAGATATTAGCCTTAAACAAGCAAAACAGAAAGCTGTTCAGGTGATTCCAACATGCAGCCAAGTTTGAAACTCCATGTGTTTTAAGGTCAGTCCCTGAGACTGACTAGGAGATTTGTGATGACTGTGGGCTTGGGAGTAAGATGGTTCTAACTCCTGTTTGGCTGCTTAGGAGTTGTATGATTACGGACAGGTTACTGCCCTTCTCTAAACCTCAAATGATACTGAAAACATGTATTTGTGGGTAAAATAAAATAACCCAAGAAATGTTCCAGCACACTGCCTGGACCTACCAAGTAGTGCCTGGTGGTAGTAATACTTTGTTTCTCAAGCTCATTCTCTGCACAGATTTTCGGTTGCTTCTTGAAACTTTTAAGCATGTGATCTGCTGCCCCTGAGTGAAAGCAAGAGGCTACTATTGGCTCCTAAGTCTCTTTTGAATCATAATGTTATGCCATTTTTATTTGGGACGTGTATTTCTATAAGTGGTTCACAATATTTAGCAATGGAAACAATGGCTTATCTTGGGAGTAACCCAAGCCACTTGGTAATGAGAATAGTTATTTGATGATTTGATAGTTAATATTGGTGTTCTGGAAATGGCCATGTACATATGTTTATAGATGTGTGTTTTCTGTTTTTTGTTTTTTTGGGTAGATGTCACCCTTTCCCCTTATAGCTTGTTTACTTTCCTCACACAGGTGTAGGCAGGCAGCAGCGTTGTTTGAATTAGTCTTTTAAGTGAGTGTTTAATGAAGATGAGTAATTGCTTGCAGCTGCATGTATCTGTAGGGATTTGATTTTCTTCTAGTAGAGAACAAGGTGATTTTCCAGACAACTTTGGAAAGTGTGATCTTGGTTGTCCCCACATACTTGAGAGTGACTGCCTCTTGCACCAAAATGCCATGAAACTTCCTGCTTCCCTCCAGAAGACACCATCCTAGCTGGGGTATAGGCAGCTCATTTTATCTTAGAGAAGGTTTCCCCCTTCAATATAAAAGGTAATCAATGTGGTTTCAAGTGAAGATTATAAACATGAATGGCTCCTTGAGGGTGTGGCACTATGGCCTGATGAATCCTAGATTTGTTTCCACTTTCCCCCTAATTAAGACTGAAGTTTGAACTGCTGGCATGGTTGAAAGTAGATTCTGAGATTTTTTCACTTAGAAACAGGATTTTCTAGAGTCGATCTATGCAGAGACCTTGTAGGGGAAAGAACAGGATTGGCACCAAACATTGGGGTTTAGAAGTCATAAGTAGGACCTAAGAGAGGCAACCAAGGAACCACAGAGTTGAGTGACTGGACTAAGACCCTTAACCAGTGGCAGGGCTGGATTCTAAGTGTGTATCTGAGTTCCTCCAAAGCGTATTCTTTACTTCATACAATTCCCTGAATATCCTCACCTGTGAGGAGGCAGAATCCTTTCATCCCTCAATGGCAATGGAAATGCATGTACGCATCTTACACAATGGGTGTGTTCTTGAAGAGTGGTGAGAAAAATTGCTTTTATAAATCAAATCACATACCATGTTTACAAGGAATATTAATATTTAAAAGGAATTCAATCTTAAATCTTTTTTGAATTCTTGGTAAATGTAGATGTTATTCAAAGTGAGGCTTCGGTGTAGTCATAATCATTAAACTGCTAGCAAATGTTATTCTAATATATTAGTCCATGATACCATAAGATGGATTAATTTTTATTACAAAGTACGATTCTTGATTTTTTTTTTTGGTGAAGTTGTGTTTGATGAGGAAGTGCTATCAAATTACAAAAGGAGAATTGACCAAGCAGGAGAGTTGAGCTCTATCAAGCCAGCTACTTGTTTTATCCACTAGAGGGTAGCATTGGCATTGGAATGACACGTAGACATTTACAGTTTTTCAAATTGAAAGAGCTGCCTGTGAAATGCAGACTATTGCCAAATCTACAATATATTAAATGATTTGATAAACAATTTGATATGACGGAAAACACCACATGATTGTAATTGGATTCTTCTGTATTACTGGGCGATGTACACCCTGAAGGACATTCTTAAGGCCCACTACCTGTGTCTTGTGGGGGTGGTTACTTTGGGCCTCAAGCCAACCATGTGCCATTTGGGACTAAGACCTTTCCTTCTCACCTTTCCAGCTCAATTCCTGCTTTACTTCTCCATTTGCAAATTGTCAGCATGCTGGAGAATCTCAGTGTGAATTACCTTCCCTTTCCTTCAACCTAAAGCCGTACTTACCATAGAAGTTGATTCTTTTAATGAGTCTCTTGAGGAATTCAACACTTGTGACAGGCATTTCTGCTTATCCTCACTAGAATGCTGTGAGGGGCCTGAGGACTGCCGTCCTCATGCCTTTTAACATAGAAAGACAAAGTCCTCATGTCATTTCACATCACCCTTCTGCTTGGTAGTGGAGCCAGGGCTGGATTCTGGTTGTGTTTTGTCTAACTCATCATTGACTGAGTGGTTTCCAGTGCTTAGCAGGGACTTCCTAGGTGTATGACACTTTTTTTTTTTTTTTTTAACTTAGCCCCTCATCCACCACATTGCTACTAGCAGTAACTACAAAACCACCAGACTACAGTAGTAGGTCCGTATACAGAACAAGATATTTAAAAGAGGTTGTTTTATCCAAGAAAGAAGTATTTTTGTTGTTCAAAATATTAATCTGTGAGAGGCACTAACATTCAGACCACAGCAGGCAGCAAACAATGAGCTTGTCTTGGAACTCACAGTTCTCCACCTGGCCTGGTAGCTGTACTACAAACATAGTATGTTCTTAATCGCTTTATGTTCTTTTTTGCATTTTTAGAATTTTTTTGATAGATAATATTTGTATGTTTTGAGATTCATGTGATATTTTGTTACATGCAGAGTGTTGTAATGATCAAACCAGGGTATTAGGATATCCATCACCCCAAATATTTATCATTTCTATGTGTTGGGAACATTTCAAGTCCTCGCTTCTAGCTATTTTGAAATATACCGTATGTTGTTAACTATAGTCACTCTACTCTGCTGTTGAATATAACTTTTTCCTTTTACCTGTATGTTTGTACCCATTAACTAACCTCTCTTCTTTCCCCTATCCCCAACACAGATCCTTCCCAGGATCTGCTATCTATCATTGTACTCTACCTCCATGAGATCAACTTTTTAAAGCTCCTACATGAGAACATGGGATATTTGTCTTTCTGTGCCTGGCTTATTTCACTTAACGTAATTATGTCCACTTCCATCCATGTTGCTGCAAATGACATGATTTCATTCTTTCTAATGGCCCAGTGGTACTCCATTGTGTATATATATATACCACATTTTCTTTATCCATTCATCTGATAATACTTAAGTTGATTTCATAGCTTTGCTATTGTGAATGGTGCTGCAATAAACACGGGGGCCACAGGTATCCCTTTGAAATAATGATTTCCTTTCCTTTGGCTAAATAGCCAGTAGTGGTATTGCTGGATCATAAGATAGTTCCATTTTTACTTTTTTGGAGAAATCTTCATTTTTTTTTTATAGTGGCTGTACTAATTTACGTTCCTACTAATAGTGTCTAAGAGTTCCCTTTTCTCCACATCTTCACCGGCAACTGCTATTTTTTTTGCCTTGTTTCTAATAGTACTTCTAACTGGGGTAAGATGATATTTCATTGTGGTTTTGATTTCATCTACCTGATGATTAGTGATGTTGAGTATTTTTTCATATACCTGTTGACCCATTTACCTGTTGTATGTCTTCTTTTGAGAAATGTCTATGACATTTACTCACTTTTTTATGAGATTATTTGTTTTGCTGTTGAGTTTACTTTAATGTCTACTGATTACTAAGTCCCTTGTCAGATGAATAATTTGCAAATATTTTCTCCCATTCAACAGATGTCTGTTCACTCTATTGATTTCTAGTGTATGCAGAAGTTTTCCAGTTTATTTATTTTTTAGAGACAGTCTTGCTCTGTTACCCAGGCTGGAGTGCAGTCGCATGAATGTAGTTCACTGCAGCCTCCAACTCCTGGGTTCAAGTGATCCTCCCTCCTCAACCTCCCAAAGTGCTGAGCTGCTTTTCAATTTAATAAAGTCCCACTTGTCTATTTTGTTTCTGTTCCCTGTGCTTTTGAGGTCTGAGCCATAATAAAATCTTAACCTAGACCAATGTTACCATGTTTTCCTTCCTTATTTCCTCTCCTCCTTCCTTCCTTCCTTGGTTGCTTTCTTGCTTTGTTTTTGTTTTTTTTTTGAGCTGGAGTCTCACTCTGTAGCCCAGGCTGGAGGGCAGTGATGGAATCTCCGCTCACTGCAACCTCCACCTACTGGGTTCAAGCTATTCTCTTGCCTCAGCCTCCTGAGTAGGTGGGATTACAGATGCATGCCACCATGCCTGGCTAATTTTTTTTTGAATTTTTAGTAGAGATGGTTTCGGCATGTTGGCCAGGCTGGTCTTGAACTCCTGAACTCAGGTGATCCTCCTGCCTTGGCCTCCCAAAGTACTGGGATTACAGGCATGAGCCACTGCACCTGGTCCCACTATGTTTTCTTCTAATAGATTTATAGTTTTGGGTTTTACATTTACCTTTAATCCATCTTCACTTGATTTTTACATATGGTGAGATAGGGATCGGGTTTCATTCTTCTGCATGTTGATATTCAGTTTTCCCAGCAGTATTTATTGAAGAGAGTGTCCTTTTCCCAATATGTTCTTGGCACCTTTATAAAAAAAAATCAGTTTGTTGTAACTATGTGAATTTATGTATGGGGCCTCTGTTTCTTTCCACTGGCCTATGTGTCTGTTTTTATACTAGTACCATGCAATTTTGGTTACTAGAGTCTTGTAACATATTTTGAAGTCAGGTGGTGTGATGCCTCCAGCTTTGTTCTTTCTACTCAGGATTGCTTTGGCTATTCTGGCTCTTTTCAGCTTCCATATAAATTTTTGGATTGTTTTTTCTATTTCTGTGAAAAATGACATTAGTATTTTGATAGGGATTGCATTGGATCTGTAGATTGCTTTTGGTAGTATGGTTATTTTAACAATATTCTTCTGACGCATGAGCATGGGATGTCTTTCCATTTATTTGTGTTCAACTTTTTTCATCAGTGTTTTGTACTTTTCCTTATAGAAGTCTTTCACCTTTTTGGTTAAATCGATTCGTAGGTATTATATTTTACTTCTATAGCTGTTGTAAATGGGATTGTTTTCTTGATTGCTTCATCAGCTAGGTCACTAATCATGTATAGAAATGCTATGATTTTTGCATGTTGATTTTGTTTCTTGCAACTTCACTGAATGTATATATCAAATTGAGGGTTTTTAATGGAGTTTTTAGTTTTTTCTAGATATAAGATTAAGTTATTTGCAAAGAGAGCAACTTGACTTCCTCTGTTCCAATTTGAATGCCTTTTATTTCTCTTACCTGATTGGTCTGGCTAGGACTTCTAATATTATGTGATATGGTTTGGCTGTATGTTCCCACCCAAATCTCACCTGGAATTGTAATCTCCATAATCCCTACATGTCAAGCGCAGGACCAGGTAGAGGTAATGGGATCTTGGGGGCAGCTTCCTCCATGCTATTCTCATGATAGTGAGTTCTCATGAGATCTGATGGTTTCATAAGCATCTGGCATTTCCCCTGCTTGTGCTCACTCTGACCTTCCTCCCTACAAAGTTGTGTGCTTCTCCTTTTCCTTATGCCATGATTGTTAAGTTTCCTGAGGCCTCCCCAGCAATGCAGAACTGTGAGTCAATTAAACCTCTTTTCTTTATAAATTACCCAGTCTCAGGCAGTTCTTTATAGCAGTGTGAGAATGCACTAATACATTAAGTAAAATTCTAGTGGTGAAAGTGAAACTCTTTCCCCTAGGAACTCTTTCTAGTTCTTAGGGGAAAGAATGTCAGCTTTTCCCCACTCAATATCATGTTTACTGTGGGTTTGTCATATACAGCCTTTGTTATGTTGAGGTAAGTTCTCTTCTGTGCCTACTTTGTTGAGAGGTTTTATCATGAGGAAATGCTGAATTTTATCAGATGCTTTTTAAAAATCTATTGAGAAGAGCATATGGTTTTTGTCCTTCATTCTGTTGATGTGATGTATCACATTTATTGATTTGTGCGTGTTGAACCATCTTTGCATCCCTGGGATAAATCTTACCTGATTGTGGTGTTTCATCTTTTTGATGTGCTGTTGGATTTGGTTTGCTAGTATTTTTTTGAGGAATTTTGTATCTATGCTTATCAGGGATATTGGTCTGTAGTTTTCTTTGTTGTTGTTGTGTCTTTGTCTGGTTTTGGTATCAGGATAATGCTGGCCTTGTAGAATGAGTTGGGAAGAATTCCCTCCTTCTCAATTTAAGATAGTTTGAGAAGAATTGGTGTTGTTTGCAAGTTGGGTAGAATTTGGCAGTGAAGCCATCTAGTCCTGGGCTTTTCTGTGTTGGGAGACTTTGCTACTGATTCAAACTCTTTGCTCCTTACTCTGTATAGGTATTCTATTCCTGATTCAATCTTGGTAGGTTGTATGTGTCCAAAAATTTGTTCATTTCCTCTAGGTTTTCCACCTTTGTTGGCATATAGTTGTTTATAATTGTCTCTGATCTTTGTTGTTTCTGTAGTACCAATTGTAATGTTTCCTTTTTCATTTCTGATTGTTTGGGTTTTCTCTAGTTTTTTCCTTGGTTGGTCTAGCTATTGATTTTGTTTATCTTGTCAAAAAACCAACTTTTCATTTTATTGATTTTTTTATATTGTTTTTGGTCTCTTTTGTTTAGTTCTGTTCTAATTTTAAAATTTATTTCCTTCTACTTGTGTGTTTGGTTTTTCTTTCTCTTTTAGTTCCTTGAAGTGCATTGTTAGATGGCATATTTGAAATCTTTCTACTTTTTTGATGTAGGCATTTAGTGCTGTGTACTTCCATCTATATCCCATAGGTCTTGGTATACTGTATTTCAAGATATTTTTTGATTTGCTCAATTTCTTCATTGATCCAGTGGTCATACTGGAGCATGTTGTTTAATTTTCATGTATTTGCAGTTTCCAAAGTTTCTCTTGTTATTGCTTTTAGCTTTATTCCATTGTGGTCTGAAAAGATACTTGATGTGACTTCCATTTTTAAAAATTTGTTGAGGCTTGTTTTGTGGCCTAACATATGGTCTATCCTGGAGAATGTTCCATGTGTTGGTAAGAAGAATGTGTATTCTGCAGCTGTTGGATGAAATGTTCTATAAATGTCTGTTAGGTCATTGAATTATTCATTTCCAGAATTTCTGTTTGATTATTTTTTATGATATCTCTTTGGTAAATTTCTCATTCATATCCTAAACTGTTTTTCTGATTTCTTTGTATTATTTACCTGTGTTCTCTTGTATCTCATTGAGCTTCTTTAATTATCTTGAATTATTTTTCCAGGATTTTTGTAAGTTTTTTTCATTGTAATCTGTTGCTAGATAATTATTGTATTTCTTTGGAGGTGTCATATTTTCTTATGATTTTTGTGTCCTCACATTGATATCTGGTGCATCTGGAGTAACAGCGGCTTCTTCTAATTTTTTGGATTTGCTTTCTTGGGAGGACTTCTCCTGAAGATGTATCTATGGTGTTGGTTGGTTAGGGCACTTTGGCTTTGATTCTGGGTGCATGCAATGGTCTAGTCTCTGTATAATTTCTTTGCTTGTAAACAGTGTCAGTGGTGTCTGATTTCCTTAGTGGTTTAGGGTGCAGTCATTAGTAGAGGCTGTGGTGAAGATTTGCTGGGGATGAAGACACCAGCTGTGTCAGTCCTCATCTGCAGTGATGACAGTAGTAGGTGGAACATGCCTGTCCTTGGGCAACAGGGCAGTGCACGTGCCAGCACCAAGTGGTTCCAGGTAGGCTGATTCTTGGGCCTCCAGATGGCTTACTCAGGTGAAGACAGCAGCAGCAGCAGCAAGGGGCCAGGCAGGCTGGTGGGCCCTTGGGACCCTGGACAGCAGGCATGGTATGAGTGATGGCAGTAGTAGTGGCAGGAAAACCCTCTGCCTCCCCAGCTGTCTGTACTGGTGTTGGTGGGGGCTGTGATGTGCTGGGTGGGCCAGTCCCCAGGCCCACAGGTGGTGCATACAGGTGGGTTCCAGCTGTGATGATAGCCGCAGGCTGGGTGGGTCTATCCTTAGGCCCTTGTTAAGAGTACTCAGGTGCCAACAGTAGTGGATGGGGTGGGGCAATCCCCAGTCCACTGAACAGCATGCTTGAGCACTAGGGGGCATGGAGCCAGGCTGGATGGGTCTGTCTTTGGGGCTCCCAGTGGCGCATATGGGCAAGGGCTGTGGCGGGCAGAGCTGGGTGATCGCCAACCCCCCAGTGTAGTGCTCAGGTGATAGTGGCAGTGGTGGATGGGGAAGCCTGTCCCAGTGTGCATGCAAGTGGCTGCAGCCCTGCTGATGGGAAAGTGAGGTTGCTGTCAGTGGCAGCAGCTGTAGGCAGGCAGTTGAGGAGCTTGTGTTTTGGCCACAGGTGGGGCTGTGGGTGTGGGAGCTTGTCCTCAGTTCATATGTAAACGCACAGCAGCACCATTGCTGGGGCTGGCAGGGTTGTTGCCCACGGCTTGCTTTTCAGCCCAGTGGCAGCAGCCAGCAACGGTGGTGGCTGTAGGTAAGAATCTGTCCTCAGGGTGTGTGCAAATGTGTGTCAGCCCCACTGCCAGGAGTGATGGATTGCTGCCTGTGGCTCATGCTTCAGGCCTGATGGCAGCAGCTAGTAAGGCTGCGGGTGGAGGATGTCAGGGGGCCCCAAAGATGTGGAGATGCAAGGGCTGTTGAGCCCCGGGGCAGGATGCAGGTGGGTGGGGGTTGGGCTCTCAAAATAGTATTCTGCTTAAGCTCCTTAGGTCTGGGGCAGGTGTGGGATCCAGCCTCAGCTTTGTTTCTGGAGAAAAACTTTGTGCTGTCTCCTTGGAGCTCCCTAAGTTAATCTCAGGGCCTGGAAGGTCAAGGGCTCTCCTGTCACTGAGATCGCAGGAGTCTGTGGTGGGAATGTGGACCTTTTGGGGATCTTTCACTTACCTTTCCCTGCACTGGGCAGCCTCTCTGGGCTCCTCTCTCCTTCCTTATTTTAGGTGTTTGCTGTCACTTCTCTATTAAATTCCAGTGCCCTCTCTTAGATGATCCATTTAAAGTGTGAATATCTACTCATTTTGGTTTTTTATGGAGGAGGTGAGATGTCTCTAGTAATCCATCTTGAAGCCCCTCCCTTTACATTGTATTTCCTAACGTCCAAGGGTCTCTGTTTCCTTTTTGTTTAGAGAACTTCCTTTTGCTATTATTTTAGAGTATATCTGCTGGTATAAACAACAAAACTCCTTTACTTGTTTTCATCTGAGAGTATGTTGATTTTTTCCCCTTCATTCTTAAAGAATCTTTTTTCTGGGTATGGAATTCTGGGTTAAATTCTTTTCTTTCATCACTTACTTTTAGCCTCCATGGTTTCTGATGAAAAATCTGCTGTCATTGACATTTCCTTTTTCCTAGAATTAAGGTGTTATTTTTCTCTTGCTGCTTTCAAGATTTTTTTGTCTCTAACTTCAGAAATTTAAGTGTGATGTGTCTTGGTATTGGACTCTTGGATTTAAGTTGCAATTTACTTAGTTTTTTGAATTGGTAAATTTTAATCTTTTCTTAAATTGGTGGAGTTATGGGCTATTGCTTCAACTTCACAAGTATTTGTTGGGCACTCCTTATGTTTGACACTGTACTAGACTACGGATGATGATGAAAATTTAAAATCATGGGTTGAGATATTAAGAACTGACATGCACTTTCCACAAGAAGAAAAGGTGAAATAATGCAGGGAACATTGGGCTGTCAGTGGGAGAGCAGAGATCTACTTCTCTTGGCTCTTCTCCTACCTCTGTGACATTGGGTAAACAAATGAATCTCTCAGGATTACGCTCTGTAATATGAGGGAGTTGGATTAAGTACTCAGTTTAGCTCTACATGACTTCAGAGGAAGAAAGAGGTAAGTTTGGTTTGGTCTGGTCTGGGAAGGCTTTATAGAAGAGGCTGAATTGAAGACAGGCCTCACATGACTGTTAATTGATACTCTCTTCTTCCACCTTCAGGACACTTTAAGATAGACAAATCTGAATGAAAACACCCCAGAAGGGAGAATTATTGGCTCAGGACTAGGCTGGCACTGCTGGTAGCCAATCTTTTTTGCATGTTTGCCGGGCCTGCTGCTTGTCCACTCATTGCACCCCCACATACCCTGCCCCCTCATGCTCTTCTCCTGTCTTTTTCCAGAATGGCTTCTTCCATCTTTCCTACTTCTTCACATTCTGAAAATTCTGCAATACTTATCTTAGGGCCTTCTTCTATTACCCTGTTCTGTTTTAACTTTCTAATTATATTTCAAGCTTCTGGAGGGCACAGACCATATCTTCTACTTACTGAAGTCCTAGAAGGGACTTAAAAGATCCCTGAGAGAAGTGCTCCCCTAGCTGATTATTGGTATCACCTGGGAGCTTTTTAAGGCTCCATCTTAACATAATCAAATTTTGCTTGTGTTTGGGGGTAGGGGAAGAGTGGGTCAAGGGTGTGTGAGAATAAGCTATATTTTAGTTTTTTTTTTGTTCTTTAACACTTACTGTGCAAAACTAATATGGTACCCCCTTATATGTTTGGATTGGCATCTATTGTATACATCTTCCTTGTTCTTCATTCAACATAGGACTCTATGGTTTCTACCACTTCCCACGAACCTGAATTAAATTCTGAAAAGAGGGATAATGTATTCTGAGAACGGACAGCAAGCCCAGCTCAGTGTCATGACATTCTTCTGTAGAACTTTCCTGCTTACATTTTCGAAATTGTGCTCTGATGGCTCTCTAGTATCCTGCTGTGTACACTATGGGCTGGAGAACAAGGATCCTAAATTTTACTGTATTCTTTCTCCACAGAAGTTTACGAAGACAAAAGAGGAATGACGACTCAGCATATTGTAATGTATATTCAATATGTGCTTTGCTAAATATATTTGAAAAGTATATAGGTATATTGAAAAAGACCATGTCCAACTGAAAATGCCCAGCTAATGAAAATAACATTTTTCTTCCTACTGAAAACTAAGGTATAACTTCAGCATTTGGTGTCAGAAGTTATTCAGAAAAAACAAGTTAAACTTTTTAAAGGATTTTTATTCCTTCGTAAGTCTACTGGAAAATTAATCATACAAAATATAATGGAGCCAAAAAAGCATTTGCAAGAGCACAGATGCATGAATATGAAACATTACATTTTCCAGGCAGTGTATTTCCTTATCAGAGCAAACTCCTTCATGACTAAAGTGGTCATTTTTCAACAGTGATGGGTGACAAAGGCTCATATTTTCCTATGTTTTAATCTTCTTTTGGAGCTGACTGTGGAAGCAGGAAATGTGGGGGGGGTGGAAGTGGGGGAGAAATGCCCCTGCCCCTTTGCTTTGTAGCACATGTGGCACAGGAGATGGGGCATTTCTGAAGGGCCTCTTTCCCTTTCTTTACGGAAGTATCTATAAACACTGAATTGAATATTGAGATACTGGCATGCTGCATTTCAACCATCTGTCTAGTACAATAAATTGCCACATTGATTAGAATGTTTTGGTCCTGTGTGAGGAAGGAGGTAGGAACAAAAGCTCGAAAGTCCTTGTCTGCCTCAGACTGTTCAGGATGGGCTTAATTTGTATGGTGCTCAGGAAGCTCCATTCTGGGGCTGTGCCAGCTGTGACACAGCTCTAGTGGGAGCAGCTCGTGTGGCAGCATTTCAGTGCCTTGCACCCCAAAGCAACCACTGCTACCTGTCTCCTTGGGAGATCTGCTCAACTTCTGTCTTCTCTTGCATAATGAATTTTAACATAGATTTTTAATTGTCACAACCTGTTTCTTGTTCCATGCTGTTCCTTTTTATTTTTCAAAAGCATTCTATTGTTTTTAAAAATATTTTCTTATCTCTTGGAGCATAATAATAGAGCTCTGCAAGTATTCTTCTCTTCCCTCAATTAGCTCTGCCTTCTTTTTGTATCCTGCCCCCATCCCCACTCTGTTTTGGTCTCTCTCTTCATTTTAGAAGCATTTCTCAAACATCTGGTGATCCTTGCCTATTCATTCTGAGAGTAGGGCATTGAAAAACTGTTAGGAAAGTCTCATCTGAGGGTGAGATTTTGCTGACTTTTGTGATTGTGACCTGGACATTTCATTGCAGAGGGGAGAATGCAAAATGTCAATATATTTAGGTTTTTCTCTTGAGTTGTAATTTTTCTTAGAATTGTCCAAGCTACTGGCTGTGGAGCACATGTCTGGCAGCTTTGCCTTCTGTGAGTTAACTTGAGGAAAAGAACTAGAGGCTGCATATTCAGCATGTGGATTTTCACTAAATTCCCATGCCCTTAAAGGTGTCTGATACCTCCAAGGAACTTGTGAGCCTGAGGAATTTGGCCTGCCATTGTAGATAAAGCCTTTTGAAAAAATTAGTTCACAGCAAT
The DNA here is from genome assembly GCF_000001405.40 of Homo sapiens. Classification (NCBI taxonomy): domain Eukaryota; kingdom Metazoa; phylum Chordata; class Mammalia; order Primates; family Hominidae; genus Homo; species Homo sapiens. The sequence continues at coordinate 39,924,411 of NC_000002.12, forward strand.
TTTAGTGGGGCTGGGAAGAAGTGAAGATAAATGTATGTTCAAGCTGTGATGTTTAATTGGAAGTCCAAGGTTGATTTTAAGACATATGGAAAATTCACTTTTTCTAAATAAAATTTCTGTAAGAAGACTTTAGATACAGTTTAGATATAAACAGTTTGAATAGCAACTGATCTACTAGTGACTTTCTAGCACCAAAGAACTTTAAAGTAGTTAAGAGGGCTCAGAAAGATGAATTGCTGCAAAGACCTCTGGCCAGGGATATGTGGCAATGAGTTTTCGACTAAGGATATAATTTGGGACATGAAAGAAGTTGAGCACCTTCCTACTCTGTATCTGGCATGTAAGGTCTTAGGCTTATTTCAAGTTGCATTGTATCCAAATTATTTTGTCTTTAGCTTTCCCAAGGCTGACCTCCTTAGAGGAGTGGAGGCAATACTTAATGCTTGTCAAAGCCCTTTCACACATGTTAGATGTTGAGGATTTTTTATTTCTAAAAGATAAATGTGTAACATATTTATAGTTACTGCCACAATATTTTTCAAAATCACAAATAATAAATTGGTTACACATCACAGTCTTATGAGATACTCTCTTAACAACAGAGTAGGTAGAAGTTGGAAAAATAGCTCCTTAAACAGAGTGTCATCATCCTTTATTCTGGGGCTGTTATCCTCCATCCCTTGGTCTTTTAGTTGAACCCAGAGCAGAGTTCCCTGTTTGGACTTTAAAAGGGTTGAGATTTCTTGATCCCAAATTGCTAAACTGTTTGATGTTATAATTTAAGTCTGTCTTTAGAGCAGACAGAATTGCATCTCAGAGGATTGTTTCTTTGAGAACAGACTTGTTTCCTATGCATAGATTTGGACTTCCTTATAGCCATGTATTCGTGCTCTTGCTCTGGATAAATCCATGTGTATGTTTCAGCAGTGGCTGATGAGAGTGGAAACTGAGACCTGTCATGACTGGAAACATGTGCAGGTCTCACTTGACCTTATGTGGCCTGAGTCTGATGCAGCCCAACACAGGCTGGACTGTTGATGTCTCAAATCTCGCATAATTCAGGAGTGAATAAGCCAGAACTGGAAAATACATTGCATGAACTCTTGTATATTCTGGGGCTCACTCTACAGAAGGTCACAGAGCAGACCTCAACCTGGTGGGGTTTCCCCCTGGAGGGGGTAGGCAGGTCTCAGGTCATGGAAGGAATGAACTTATTTTCCTAGGCCTTGCGATTAGGAACTTGTTTCACTGAAAAGCAGGATATTTTAAAGAACTCACTGGGGTATACGTGTGGTTAGGAAGCAGGTTCCTAACACATGGACTAGCCAGGAGGAGTGCTGTCATGGACCCTTGGGTCTTGGTAGGTTTTGAGTGCACCATATCTAAAAGCAATTTCAATTTTATTGCCCTATTTCCTTTTCTTTGATCCTCCAATTATCCCCAAAGCATCAATAGACTCTTGCTGACCTGTTCTATTCTAACTGGGACTTGAAGGAACGACTGTACCCAGGCTTCAGGTGAAGCAGTCTCAATGAGAGGAGCTGCCTGAGGGAAACATGTGGAGGTGGCAGGGGGTCACGCATGCTGGGGTGAGCGGTGGTCCACAGAGAGGGGCCTGGAGCTAGGGGGCTCACTGAGGTGGGACGTGACAATCAAGATGGCTTTGGAGAACATGAGAGCATTTCCCAGGGAGTCCAGAATATTTGGGGATGGAAATCTGGTAAGGACTAAACTTAACCAGTAAGATGGGATAAGAATCTGAGATATTATAATTTGAGAGTTGACTCATGGAATGTGTGGACCATGCTGGTTACATTGATGAAACACATTTGTAATTTTTATCTATCCCTTTTTGCTTTTTAATTAAAAATATGCCGTATTCTTTTGATGTGTACTCTTAAATCCTTATTAACAGATGCAAATCATGATTCTTAATGACTTATTTCCTTTCCTTTTTGAATGAGATTCTGACAATGTCATCCTTTGTCTTTTGTCTGATCACACTTGTGTACCCTCTCACCAGTCACAAATCCTCAACACATGGCTCCAAATTCCCCATCACCTTTGAAGTAGCTGTTGTTGCTCTTTCATTCTCATCCTAATCCTCTCCTCTTGAACAGGTAGTATATTCCTCCCTTTCCTGAAATGGTGTTGTTTTATATCACACAGTTAACAGAAACTGTATGATATAAAATACAGTTCTTTTGCTATCTCTACTCTTCCCTAATTCTCAAGAGTTTTCTTGATGCTTCAGGAAGTCCCAGAAGCTCCACTGACCCTGTGACTTTAATTAGAATATCAGGACCTGCTGATTGTTGTCAAATGTATCTGCTGGATCTCTGGTCAGTTGCTATTACCCTTCTATGCTTCCCAGTGTGTTTTCTTCTGCTCTGGAATCTTACTGTCAGCACTTCATCCCTAGGCTCAAGAAAGCAGAATGAAACTCATCTCATAAAATGTCTGGAGAACCCAGCCTAATCACTCCATTTCCTTTATGTAGGTATAAACCTTTGTAATAGTTTTTCCCATATAATTCTCCTGGTTTTCCTTTTCTCTTTCTCTATTTCTCTCTCTTTAGTCGTCAAATCTTTGGTTCCTGGAACAGTGCCTAGCATATAGTAAGTGCTTAACAAATATTTATGGGATGAATAAATAAACCTAAACTGAACCAGAATCTTAGTCCCAATTTTAATTTCTAAAGAAAGAAGGAGACCTAACTTGATAAAAATTTAAGAATAGATCAGAATTCTGGAACTCTTCCTGTTAAGTTTTATTCTGCTGCCTGCCCTCAGGAACTCCATGTGTCTCCAATGTGTCCAGAATGTTGTTCTCCAAAGCCTGCCTCTTTCACTCAGAGTGATTTCCCAGTAACTATTCACTACTGTATGTCAGGAGCTGTGTGAGTGCTTTGCAGGTCCTATGTAGCTAGATTCCCACAACAAACTTATGAGGAGGTGATATTCTGATTTACAAAGTAGACTTGGGTACAGAAAAAGCTTTGGCCAAGAATCTACATCTGGGAATCTTGTTAGGATCTGGGATTTAAATATAGGTAGAGTAAATCCATACCCTCATGGTATGCTGCCATCTCTCCCTGCCCTAGGTTCCAGAACATTCTTGATTTCTTCTCTCTTCTTCAGAAAGCCATCTCTTTCCTTAGTGTTAACATTAGACAAACTATCTGGCTTATGCAGTAAGAATATACTTATGAATAATTTATTGTCTTCAGCATTGAGGATGTGATGCTGGCATTCTAACCATTGTGATGCCTTTTGTTTTGTGACTATGGTCTCATAACTTACTATTCTGTACATTTACAAACATTTATGTACACATTTATGAATATTTATGCTTATAAATAGTTCTTACTAAAAAGATGGCTTTTACATAGACTGTGTTATGTTGGTTTGTCATTTCTTCTGCACTTGCCACACCACTCACCATTGCATTTATTGAACAGCTATTAAGAGCCTGACACTATGCTAGACACTGGGATTACAAAGATTCTCAAACATGGGTGTACAAGTCCTTCCCCAGTTTAAGTTTCTTTAATGTCTCTTCATTTTCTTAAGATAAATTGCAGACACCTAAACATGACTTTTAATGATGTGGCTGCTGCCCCTCTCTCATTTCGTCTCATTCCCTATTTCCTTTCTCCATTTCTCATTTTCTCTCTTCTTATTCTCTACGGTCAACTCACCTCCCACTGCCCAAATAAATGACCTCTCCTGAAATACTTGCAGTCATTCCGGTCTCTAGGTTTAGCACTCACCATTCCTCTGCTTGGAACACTATCCTTTACATCGTCAAAATTGATTTTAGTTTTCAGCTTAGATAGCATTTTCTGCAGGAAGCTTTTCTTATCCTCAGAGTCTGGGTGAGGGGGCACTTCTCAAGACTCCTGCACACCCTGTGCTTTCCTGATTACAGACAGGCAGGGATCCACTTTCTCTTTTTCATCATTTTATGACCCCAGCCAGCATAGCACCATTCCAAGCAGAGACAATGGCGAGTGGGGTGGTGAGAGGCTGGAAGAGGAGGGTGTGTTTGGGAAACTGCAAGGATTTTGATTTGGACTTTTGATGCCCCCCCTTTTTTAATCAGAGGAAAGCATACCATTTCCTTTCAATTAACTGTTAGTATTAGCTTGATTTATCTTGCTGGGGTTTTTGTTTTCCTTTTCTAGAAGGGTAACAACTCAGGAGCCCTTCTTCTCCTTCGAGGTCAAAGTACACTAAAATCCTCTAGAGAGCAGATGGAATTAGTGACGGAACATAACGTATTGTTTGCAAAACTCACTGCTTTATCACAGAGTTTGGAAGCTTGTCAACTTCAAAATCCCTTTGTTGAAAGTTATGTGTTCCCCAAAAGAAAAAGAAGCCACCCTGGAATCCTGTGGATTAATCACGGGGAGAATGAAGCTACCATTGAGTCCCTGTATGTGTCCAGATGGAGGTTCCAGCTGTTTTAGAAGCCACCAGCTGATTGTTATCTCAGCCTTGGATGTTAGAGGCAGGATCAGAAAGTGTAAATTCCAGACAAGGACTTTGGGACCCTGGAACAGTGAGTATCCCTTCCCCGTATTGGTTCTCTAGCAGGCGAGGATACAGGGAGCCATTTGTTTTCTTTTTCCCCTCTGTACAACTGACCCAGAAATGTTTGGCTGTACTTCATACAAAATACAACAATAAAGAGTTATTTTCTGGCCACTTGCCACTGGAGCCCCCGCTTTTCCCCAGAAGCACAGAAGGAAGGAGCCCAGGTGATGGCCGTCAACCCTGAAAGCCGGGCACCAGGATACCCAGTTTGCAAACTTGCGCGGGTCTCACTTCTGGTAGGAGGGGATATGCCTTGGGTCCTGGACACACAGGATGATCCCCCTGCAGAGGGGACCAGGGATGCCTGTAAAGATGCTGAGACCAACAATGACAACGAGTCCACATCAACACAGGGAATTTCTGAAGAAACAGACATGGTGATGCCACGTGGGCTGTTAAAGAATGTTTCTTAGGAAGCTGACTTTCCAGAAACACATGACATGGAGAAGCATCAGAAAATCTCCACAGAGAAAAAAATTAAAGGAAAAAGATGAGAGAAGCCACTATGCAAGGAAACCCTTCAGATGTGAGGAGTATGGGAGGTGCATCAGCTTTTTCTCTTAGTGTGTCAGACAACAGAGAATCCACACTATCCATGTAAGGAGTGTGGGAAATCATTTAATGGCAATTCTTCATTGATTTGTCATCAGTCCATATTGGAGAGAAATCTTATCAGTGTGAGGAGTGTGGGTGAGCTGATAATAATAGTCAATCTGATGAGTCATCAGAGAATCCATAGTAGGGACAGACCCTAACTCTGCAAGAAGAGTGGAAATGGCTTCCCCAGTAGTTCCAAATTGGTTATACATCAGAGAATCCATACTGGGGAGAAGACCGATGAAGGTAATGAGTATAGAAGAGATTTTGCTGTTAAATCCACATAATGTCGGCATCAGAGGATCCACAGTGGAGAGAAACCCTGAGTGTAGCCAGTATGGGAAGATCTTTAGGACTTTCTCCCATCTGTACCATCTAAGAGAAGCCTGGGCTAGATCTTAGTTCTTTTGGGGTCCCAGCATTTTTAACCTCCTTTTCATGGTAATTATTCCTACTTCTGATTTTTTCAGTAACGTGAATCAATAAATTTCAGTGGGTGTTCTTTCTTTAAAAAGTAATTTCCTTGAACCACACATCTTACATGCTTTAATTTCTGAGCATCACAACAAGATCTGTGCACATAATGGATGTTATGAGATAAACATTGGGAGTTTTAATTGCAAAACTAAATTTTATACATGGTGGGTCTTTACAGTTTGATACTTACGTTTGACTTAAAAAATAGTATTTTTTATTTATCACTTCTCATGACTCATCTGTGAATATTCTGGGTGAGAGTGAGAAATTTAAATGGTGTAGTAGGGGAATGTTATGTGGTAGTAAGTATTGCGTTGTGACTGTCAAATGTCATCAGCTTAACATCTGATCTGATTCCTGCTTTTAGCAGGACAAAAGTAGAGCTACAGAGGAAAAAAATGCCAATCAGAAGAAGTTCTCTCCCTAGCTTCTTTCCAGGAGGACCCCTAGAACTCCACCTTTGATTTCTGACTGCATTTTTCTTAAATTCCCCAGCAAATCCAGGAGTGTGTGGTGCATCTATTCTCTTTGCTGCAGTTGATGGTATCTTCCCAATGCAGGGGTGCACCTGTGGCTCCCCCTCTCCAGAGCTGCCTCATCACATTTCTCTCTGCTTGATGCCTGCTGCAACTGCCAGGGACTACAGTCAGTATAACCACCACACACAGCGTCAAGACCACGGCTGCTCTCCGCATAGAATCTGCCCAATAAGCCTGCAGGAAGAAGGAGGAAAAAAAAGCAGTGCTCAGCTGAAAATAGACAGTTATGATTATATTATTTGGACCCCCAGAGCCAGTCGTATCTGAAGCAAACCCTACCTATTAGTCTGTTACGCTCACGCTTGCTTGAATGGCCTTTTTACTACCCTCAAATCTCAACTAATGAAGGTGCCAACACATCATCTCATGCTGTGGTCATAAAAGAAAAACAACAAAAAAACCCTGACTCTTCCTAGAAGTTGAATGCTTATCTCTTGCTAGTCCCAACTAAGTTGCATGGTAGAGGTGAAAATCTGTTTTCACCTCTAAGCTCTACTTTTGTTCTGTTGGCTTAGTTATTGGACACTAAGAGGCTCAAGACTGACATTTTTCCAGCTTCAGTGCCCCAGCAGAAAGAAAGCATTTTTTTCTTAAAGCACTGGTATAAAGATTCCAAGATTGGCTTGGCTCCAATCAGAGACCAATCCCTGAAGCAATCATGGTATGTAGGTTTCTTAGTTCACTTGTGCCTCTCTAACAAAATACCACAGATTGGGTAATTTATAGCAACACAAATGTATTCTTACAGTTCTGGAGGCTGAGAAGTCCAAGATCAAGCACCAGCAGATTTGGTGTCCGGTGAGGCCTGCTTTATCAGTGGCAGCATCTTCTCATGGTGGCATTCTCATATGGCAGAGGACAAAAAGGGGCCTAAGCTAATTCCCTTAAGCCCTTCTATAAGGCACTAATTCATACATGAGGGGGAGCCCTTGTGGTCTAATCACCTGCTAAAGGCACCACTGCCTAATAACATCACAGTGGGGATTGTTTCACCATAAATTTGGAAGGGAAACATTCAAACCATAGCAATAGGATGAACGGAGCCTCTGATGGGGCAGGCCTGATCTCATGCTCATCCTTGGAGTGATGGGGTCAGCACCATCAGAACAGAAAGATTTATGAAGAAAAGGATTATGGGAAAATCTGCCCATTGTTCACTGTAGGGCTACTCCTTGCCTTAATCATGGGCATTGGGCAAGGTTTTTGGGAAATTCACAAAGACTCCTTTGCTTCTGGGGAAGAGAGGCTATACATCAGAGTTGTGATATGGGTGTATGGTGAGATCCTATTGGGTTGTGCTCATATGAAGTTGGTCAGACTTCCCACAGAGTTGGTAGCCACTGATGGTAAAAGCCCTGGGGATGGGTGAATATAAGAGAATCTGACTTGGCATGTAAGAAGTATCTGATTCATGTTCCCTCCCTATGGAAACCTTGCTTGCAGAGTGATGGTATGCTTGTCAATATTCTCTGATGTACTTCTATGAAGTAGACAGGTAAGCTATTGAGGAGGTAAGGAAGTTGAGGACACAAAGTTGAATTATACACGGTAGGTTTTTCTCTCAAGGAGTTTGAATTCAGACATATCCTCACTTGACAGGTAGGAAAATGAAATGAAAAAGAAATGGTAATTATCTCTGAGCCATTCAACTAAAACATGGCAAAGCTGGACCTATCAACAAAAATTCCTAGTTTCTATTCCAAACAAACTCTACTGCTTTTACTAATTATTGAAGTATTAAAACAGCAAATGACTGGCATACCTAGTCATGAGTCACCAGAGTTTCAAATTTAAACAATGCCATATAGTCGGTAGTGATTCGTAAATTCTTCTGTGATAACACTGTATAATTGAAGATACACCTGGGATGGGGCTTTTTGTTACACTTGCAGCATGTAAAAGGAATGACAAATTTATCGTCAAATAATGTTGATCCCTCTAATTAAAAAACAAAATGACTAATTGTGATATCTTTAGAAAATAGTTATACCAAAACATGCAAATAAATAACATAGTATGTAATCTTTTTTTAACCTTAATATGTCATGACTACCTTCGTACACCATTTAATATTCTTCTACATCTTCATTTCAATATGTAGTATTCCATTATGTGATAACATAATGTATTTAACCAGTTATTTTTGGACACTGATTTTCCCAGTTTTTCACTGTTAAAAATGATGCTTTATGAAATAGCCATAGAGCTCCATCTTTGTGAAATACATGATTATTTGTTTGTAATAACTTCAACATGAATTCCTGATGCATATGCATATCAGCATGTGAGACTGCTTATTTTTTTCCATTTTGAACCCTGTCTATTATAACTTTAAAATATTTGCTCATCTGATGGGAGAAAAATATAAACCCTCATTTTTGAGTACAGGAAAAGCTTTCTTTTACTAAGACTCCAATCCAAGTAAGGATAAAGTTAACATGTTTACCTGGCTCTTATGCATACTCATTGCAGTATATTTGAAAAATGGCCACAATTATTTTTTTCTTCCCTATATCCAACATTTTTGTAGTGTGATTTTGCAGTATCCTCCATCAAGGGGTGAAGTCTATTTCCTCAATACGTGAGGCTAGACCTGTGACTTGCTTTGACCTGTGGAATACAGCAAACAACAACAAAAAAATGTTTTACTGTGTCTGAGCTAGGCTCTGTTTGCTTTCTTGGAACCTCATGATCGTACTGTATAAATAAATCTGGACTGCCTAGGGGATGGTGGGAGATGCATGGCCCAAGTATTCTATCACCCAGCTGTTATCCATTCAACTCCCAGAAGCAGAGTTACATAGCTGATATGATTTTTCAATTAAAATATCCAAGCTCACAAATATGTGAGTGAGCCCAGCTGAGATCAGAAGAGCCACTCATGTAAACACAGCCTAAATTGGTGACTGTAGATTCATGAGAAAAATAAGTGATTATTTTAAGTAAATTTTAAGACCGTTTATTATCCAACAAAAATGAACAGAAATACAACACCTATTTAGGTGGAGAAGATACATTCATACTTACTGAAAGATTTTCTTAATTAAAAACAGGAAGAATGTTTCAATAACAAAGATCAAATCATTAGAAGCATAGTATTTATAAAGTGATGAAAATACGTCTTGAGTTCTATTGGTTATTAAATTTATGAATTGATGTTTCCTGTAAATACCTTCTAGAATTGTTATAGATGAGGAATTCTGAGAGACTGTAGTTTAGTAGAAAGGATCCCTTGGATGAGAATATGACTATGGAGGGTTTAGTTTTAATTCTGCAACCAGAAATCCATGTGAGTGGAGACAAGGTATTTTATTTCTCTGGATTTCAGTTTGCACAACTGCAATATAAAGAACTTGTAATAACAACAATAGCTAAGATTTATTGACTGTTTATTATGTGACAGGCACTGCTTTATGGACTTTCACATATCTTATTTCTTACAGTTGTGCTTTGACTTCTATCTGTAAAAGTATAATAATAGTGCATTCTTTGTTGTGAGGCTTCAGATTGCTCTAATTAGTCTCTGGGGTTTAACAACCCTAACAGTCTAAGACTAATCATTTTTCCTTTATAAGGCAATGCAATTAATCAGAATACTTACTTTGTTTTCATCTAGCAAATTGATTGCTATGTAATTATGAAGAGTTTTTTTTCTCCAAGAGATCCTTGTTGCATTGGGGATCTTTCAGGACAGAATTTCTTAAGCTCATGCCAATAAGTCTTATAATATATTTAAGGGAAGACATAAAGATAAATAGTAGATCAGTAGTATATGGATAAATGGAAGGTCAAGGCAATTTCCAGGCTGGGTTTTGAGAACAGTCAAAATGTTCAGGGAAAATCTAATAAATTAAAGTCATACAGATGGTAAAAGTACTGACTATTCTGAGTGACTTTCATATCAACAGATGCTAAAGTAGGGGCAATTTTATACCAGAAGCAGCCTGTCAATTGCTATGCTTCTTGCAGAACACAAACCTAGCCATAAAGAAAAAATTTGATTCATGGACTCGGTTATAAAGTTAAAAATTTCTTTATCAACAGATGCCATTAATCGACTAATAAGGCCAACCATAGAAAAAATTTGCACTACCTGCAGGTACTAGTATTCACAACACATAGAAAGCTCCCACAAGTCAAAAGAAAAAAACATGTGAATAGAAAAATGGGCAACTAAGACTTGATCAGGCACTGATAAAAATGAATATCTAAATAACTAATACATTTTTTAAAAGGTACTTGAACTCATTAGTTATCATGGAAATTATATTAAATCACAATAACCAGAATGGCTAAAATGAAAAAAGACAATACCAGATGTCTGCAAAGATACAGGGTAACTGGAACTGTCATACACTGTTGGTGGAAGTGTAACTTAGTACACCGCCTTTGGAAAGCTGCTACACTTGCTAAAGGTTAAGGTGTGCATACCCTCTCACCCAGTTAGTCTACTCTTAGTTATATACCCAACAGGAAATGAGTACCTTATGTTCACCAAAAGACATAAGGGTATTTTTAGTAATACTATTTGTAATAGAACACAACTGGAAATAAATAGAACAAAACTGGAAAGAAACACAAGTAGGTAAAGAGCAGCATAGTCATACAATGAAATACTATATGCTAATAAGAGAATAGACTACAGCTACACACAACATGGATGAATCTTGCAAACATGTTAAGTAAAAGCCTCCATGCACAGGAGAGTACATGCTTCATTATTCCATATATAAAGTACAAAAGCAAGCAAACGTAATGATGGTGTTAAAAGTCACTGGAATGGTTATTTTGGGGAGGAGAGTAATGGCTGTGAGGGGCAAGTATTTATCTTAGAAATTTTAATAACTAGGAGATGGCATGAATAGAGTGCTAAGATCTCATGTTCTCTCTTCCTTTCTAAATGGGAATTATACAGGTGTGTTCACTCAATAGTTTTTGAGCTATTTGTGATGTGTATACTTTATTATACTTCAATAATTTTTTTCTAAACACTCTTCCAAAAGGCTCCTGCAACTGATAAATGACTTCAGTGAAGTTTGAGGATACAAAAATCAATGTACAAAAATTAGTAGTATTTCTATATACCAATTAACATTCAAGCTGAGAGCCAAATCAAGAACACAATCTCATTTGCAATAGCCACCAAGAAGAAACAAACAAAAATCCTAGGACTACATCTAACCAAGGTGAAAGATCACTACAAGGAGAACTGCAAAACACTGCTAAAAAAAAAAAATAATGGATGATGCAAACAGAAAAATACTTCGTGCTTATGGATTGGAAGAATTGGTATCATTAAAATGGCCATACTGCCCAAAGCAATCTACAGATTCAGTGCTACTCCTATGAAGCTACCAACATCATTTTTCACAAAATTAGAAAAACATATTCTAAAATTCATATGGAACCAAAAAGCCGGAATAGCCAAAGCAACCTTAAGCAAAAAGAACAAAGCTGGAGGCATCACATTACCTGACTTCAAATTATACAAGGCTACAGTAACCAAAACAGCATGGTACTGGTAAAAAAAACAGACACATAGACAAATGGAACAGAATAGAGAACTCAGAAATAAAGCTACATTCCTACAGCCATCTGATCTTTGACAATGTTGACAAAAATAAGCAACAGGAAAATAACTCCCTATTCAATAAATAGTGCTGGGATAGCTGGTTAGCTGTATGCAGAAGAATCAAACTTTACCCTGACCTTTCACCATATATAAAAATTAAGATAGATTAAAGATTTAAATGTAAGACCTCAAAGTACAAATCCTAGAAGAAAACCTAGGAAACAACATTCTGGACATTGGCCTTGGGACAGAATTTATGGCTAAGTCCTCAAAAGCAGTTGCAACAAAAAAATTGACAAGTGGGACCTAATTAACTAAAGAGCTTCTACACAGCAAAAGAAATTATGAACAGAATAAAGACAACCTACAGAATGGGAGAAAATATTTGCAAATTATTCATGTTACAAAGGTCTAACATACAGAATTTATCAGGATCTTAAGCAATTGGATATGAAAAAATCAAATAACCCCATTATAAAATGAGCAAAAAACATGAACAATTCTCAAAAGAAGACATACAAGTCTTCTTGGCCCTCTCAGCCATTACCCTACTCCCCAAAATAACAACTCCCCTGACTTTTAAAACCATAGGTTAGATTTGTTTGCTTCTGCACTTTATGTGTGGCATCATGAACCATGCATTCTGTTGTGCCTGCATGTTTTTACTCAAATATAAAAAAGCCCAACATCACTACTCATTAGAAATGCCAGTCAAACCATCTCACACCAGTCATAATGGCTATTATTAAAAAGTCAAACTGAAGCTGGTGAGATTGTGGAGAAAAGGAAACACTTATGCACTGTTGATGAGAATGTAAATTAATTCAGCCACTGTGGAAAGCAGTTTGGAGATTTCTCAAAGAACTTAAAACAGTTACCATTCGACCCAGCAATCCCACTACTGGTTATATATCCAAAAGAAAATAAATCATTCTACCAAAAACACACACACTGTAAGTTCATTGCAGCACTATTCACAATAGCAAAGACATGGAATCAACCCTAGGTGTCCATCAACATTGGATTGGATAAAGAAAATGTGGTACATATATACCATGGAATATTATGCAGCCATATAAAAGAACAACTAAATCTTATCCTTTGGAACTAAATGGAGCTAGAGACGAACATCCTAAGTGAATAAACATAGGAACAGAAAACCAAATACCCCATTATTTTCACCTATAAGTGGGAGTAAACAATGGTTATTCATGGACATAAAGATAGCAACAATAGACACTGGGGACTACTGGTGGAGGAAGGGTTGAAAAACTACTGGGTACCGTGTGTGGGCAACCATACTCAAAACCTTAGCATCACACAATATACCCAGGTAACAAACCTGCACATATACCCCTTGAAACTAAAAAGCTGAGATAAAAAATTTTATTTCTCAAGTAATCTAACCTGGGAGTTGTGAGAAAGCTTCCCATAGCACCACCATGGAGTTGTAGATAACAGTGGTACCTAGATACAGCAAAAATAGAGCATGCTGCTTCGTGAGAATGAAGAGCATGTGGATGTTCAGTACTAAGGCTTCAGAGGCCTTAAGTTCAAGTGACCCAGGAAAAGCCAGGCCAAGGCACTTTTGCTGTGGTTGATGCTGCTGCACGCTGGCAAATATCACAGCCAGGGGATCCCTGGGGAGCTATGGAACTGAAGGTGTGTGAATCCTGTGAATACCGACAGCAACAGTGAGATCTGAATGAGTTAGCATAAATCAAAGGAAGCAGGCAAAGAATCTGAGTAGGAGACCTGGGTTCAACATCCAAATACATGAAGCAAGTAAAAGGGCATCAATAGGAATACAGATTTGCACACAGGCAGGAGTTCCTGTACCAGGGAAACAGGTGGTGGACAGGGCTCAGACCAGAGGGTTAGGGAAAATACATCCCTATGTAAGATAAATGCTGTGGCTTGCCTGTTGATCCAAGGACAACAGCTGTCTGCCCAGGTAGGTGCAAAAAGTTTCCTTCTTGGTGTGGACAAGGCTGTTATACTTCTCAAAGTGAAGCAAGAATCACCAGGGACCTGGTGGCTGAAGCACAGAAAGAGGGTAAGGGCCCCTGGGGAGAACTCACAGTTCTAATGGTTTTAGCGATTCAGGAAGGAAGGATGGTTATTTCTTAGAATTCTGTTAGTGGTAAGGGAAAACTTACTGCTGTGTGGGTGCTGTGCAAGATAATTAGAACCAAAATCATTTAATTGGAAGATATCCTACCTTCGCTGCTATGGCTTCTTGTCTAAGAACAAACAACAGTTGGTCCTAAAATGTGAATCGTGATATGGCCTGGATCTGTCTTACTAAGCATGAACCAAGCATGTGTTAGGAAATGGCAAGTAAAATACTAATGCTTAAATAATACCTCATTTTATGCAGCATTGGTATTCTTTTCAGAGAACTTTCACAAATCTGATCCTATCTGAAACTCAAAACATCAGAGGGAGGCAAGGCCTTTATTCCTACCCTCCTTAAGAGATGAGTCAGCTGAACCTCAAAGAAGAAAACATGATCTAAAGACACGCACAAAACTGGTGAGCTCAGGTCTCACATTCCTGGTTTAATGCTTTCCTGCTTAAGCTGTGATGTATGCTGGATGTGGGAAGCTAACTAAAGGAGGCATGGAATATTGAGGATTTTGTTTTTTTAAAGGAGATTTTACATCACTGATGTAGGACTTAAATGGTAGGCTGACACCTGGGCTCGATTATTTTTTGGAGCTCTGTTTTCTAGGAACAAGCAAAAACTGGATTTCCTCAATTCCTAACACTGGTTGTGTTTCCACTGATAAAAGCTCGGAGCCCCTTGCTGAAAACCCATCACACAGAATAGTGCTTCTGAAAATTTCATGTGCATAAGAATCATCTGGAGGGGTGGTGGTGTTAAAATGTACATTATAATTCATAGCTCTGGCATGATGATCAAGACTGTACTTCTAGTAAGCTCTTGGGTGATGCCAGTGCTGCAGGTTTGAAGAATACATGTGGAGTAGCATCTTAGTTCAGGCTGCTATTATAAAGTACCTTAGGCTGGGTAATTTATAAGTGATGTAAATTAATTGTTAATAGTTCTGATGGCTGGGAAATCCAAGAACAAAGTGCCAGCAGATTGTTTGGTAAGGGTTTGTTTATGCAGCATTGGTATTCTTTTCAGAGAACTTTCTAAGTAGTTCTTAGAAACTGCTTCTTAGAACTTCTTACTTAGAATCTGCTTCTAAGATGGTGCCTTGTAGTGGGTTGTTACATGATGGAAAGGGTGGAATATTCCCTTCAATCTCCTTTGTAAGTACATTAATACCATAATCTAATTACCTCCCAAAGGCCTTTACACGTAATACTACTGCATATGGGGTTAAGTTTCAACATAAGAATTTGGTAGGTATAGGGGCATGGCACAAGTGCTCAGACTATAGCACTCTGTTCCTAGGCCTCCCAAATTTGTCTTTGTCATATGCAAAATACATTCATTTAATCACAATAGCCCCTAAATCTTAACTTGTTCCAGCATCAGCTCAAAAATTTAAAATTTGGCGTCTCATCTAAATCTCATATAAAGAGACGTGGAAAAAACTCAAGTTACAATTTATCCTGAGACAAACAGCTCTCCAGCTGTGAACTTATAAAATTAAACATGTGATGTGCTTGCAAAATATAATGGTAGGACAGGCACAGAATAGACATTCCTATTTCAAAAGGGAGAAATAGGAAAGAAGAAAGGAATACTCAGTCTTGACCAAATCCAAACTCAGTGGGGCAAAACATTAGATCTCATGGCTACAGAATGATCTTCTTTGACTTGAAGTTCTGCCTTTCAGACACACTGGTATGGGAATTGGGCCCCCAAGGCTCTACCTTCTGGTTTTTCTGGGCACAGTCCAAGTTGCAGCTCTTACAGGTTGGAGTCTCTTACCTGTGGCTCTCCCAGGCTGGAGTTTCATACCAGCAGCTCTTTCAGTGTGGGACCCCTTCACCCGAAAACAGCCACCAGGGTTGGGGGAGGTTGGTTTTTGCCTCCATGGTTCCACTAGGCATTGCTCCAGTAGGAGCTTTCTATGGGGCCTCTGCCTCTGTTGCAGCTCTCTGCTTGAGCCCTGAGGTGTTCTCCAGGGTATCATTTTGAAATCTAGGTGGAGAGGGCCAAGCCCCCATAGCTGATGCATTTTGGCCCCTGGTGGAGATGGCACTGTATAGGTGCTGCCAAGGTTTACTGTCCCCAGAAGGGGTGGCCTGAGCTGCACCTGGGCCAACTTGAGGCACAACAACCTGGGCAGCCAAGAAGTGCTGCACTGGAATTTGGGGAGTGGAACCTTGAAATTATTATTCCCAAGGCCCTGGAATTCTGGGGCTGAGATGGGTAGAGCAGCCTCTAAAGATCTCCAAAATGCTTTGTGGGCCATTTTTCCATGTCTTGATGAAGAGTACCAGACTTCCGCACATCCATAGTAATATCCTTATCACACAGCTGCGTGGCCACACCCTTGATGATCTTTCCTGAATGCACTTTTACATTGTTGGCAACATGGCCAAGCTGAGAATTTTCCAAATCTTTAAGTTTTATTTCCCTTTCGATTATAAACTGATTTGTTTCTCCCTTCTCACCTTTTGCTATAAGCAATCAAGAGAAGCCATGACGTACCCTCAATACTTAGCTTAGAAATGTCTTCTACCAAATATTCTAGTTCATCACTTGCAAGTTCTGCCTTCGGTAGAACATTAGTACATGAATACAATTCAACCAAGTTCTTTGCCACTCTACAAGGATTGCCTTTCTTCTAGTTTCCAATAACGTGTTCCCAATTTCTGTCTGAGACCTCATCAGAATGGCCTTTACCATCCATATTTGTACAATATTCTTATCACAGCCACTTAAGTAATCCCTAAGAAGATTGAGGATTTCTTTACGGCTCTCCTCTTCTTGTGAGTCCTCAAGAATTGTCCTTAGTCCTACATTCTTGGCAGTGGACTTCAAAACTCTTCTAGCATCTACTCATTACCCAGTTCCGAAACCACCTCCACATTTTTAAGTATTTGCTACAGCAGCACCCCACTCTTATTTCCAATTTCTTAGTCTATTTGGGTTGCTATAACAAAATACCATAGAGTGGGTAGTTTATAAATGACATAAACTTCTTACTCACAGTTCTGGAAGCTGGAAAGTCCAAGAACAAGGTGGCAGCACATTCAGTGTCTGATAAAGGCTCACTCTCATTCTAAGATGCCACTTTGTTGCTGAATCTTCACTTGGTGGGAGGCGTGGAAGGGGTTAGGGTGTACCTTTCAACCTCTTTCATAAGGGCATTAAATTTCATTTACGAGGACAGAGCCCTCATGACCTAATCACATCCCAAAGGCCCAGCTCTTAATACTCTTGCATTGGGGATTAAATTTCAACATATGAATCTGAGAGTGGGGCACCAACATTCAAACCATAGCATGTAGGTAGTAAGGACAGCCTATGTTCTTGTGATCACTGAAGATTGCTTTAGTGTGATGTCTTAGGGATTGAGGCTTTCAGAAACTGCTATTTATCTGACTAGAAATAGGCCAAGGTCTCCACATAAAGCTACATTTAAGTATATTTAGAAAAATCTGAGTTCTGGATCCACATTTTTAAAAGCATTGAGAAAATTTGATTTTACTTTATTTTTCCCTGACTCGTAGGAAGGAGAATTAATGAGTTGGATGCTTCATGCATTCATTCATAGAATGCCTATTGTGTGGCAGTCACAATTTTTGACGGTGGAGATAGATCAAATAACAAAGTGGGAAATGTCCTTGCCCTCATGAAGTTTACAGTCTAGTGCGATGGAAAGTAGGGCTGAGTCAGATAAATTGTGAATGTGTGATGCATAAGATAGCAATGAGTGATACGCAGAAAAATATTTTTGAGAAAGGAGAGAAGGGAGATGTGGCATAAGATGTGGATTTTTAAGTTTAAGTAGAAAGGTTCATGGAGAAAATGACATTGGAACAAAGACAAGAAGGACGTGTGAGACATTACACTGTGGGGTTGTCTGATGGAAGATCATTCCAGGCAGAGGGGACCACAGATACAAAACCCTTGAGATGGGAACATGCATAGCATGTTTAGACTAGCAAAAGGGCTGATGGTGTTAGAGCAAAGGGGTGTGGGGTTAAGGATGAGATGAAGATGGGAAGAAAGTAGGACAGCTTAGACAAAGCCTCCTAGCCCATTGTGTGGACTTTGACGTTTGCTCTGAATAATGTGGAATGTCCTTGGATTGTTTTGAGCAGAGGGGAAAGAATGATAGGCTTTGACTTACGTTTTAAAAGAATTATAGCACTTGGGTAAAAAATATAGAAGATAAAAGTGGAAGCAATGATACCAGGTAGAGGGCTATTTGTCAGCTAGGTGAGAGATGAGGCTGGCTTGGGCCATGGTAGTTACTTCTCTGGTGATGGCGGATATCTTTAGACAGATGTGATTTTCATGTGTGTCTTGCTGGGTTGATGGGAAACTAGGATTTATTAATCTGGGTGCTTGACCCAGGAACTCCTGGCAGTTGGTTGTCAGTTATGAGTGGGTTTTGTATTTTTTTTTAAAGCATACCACTTTATTTTGTCTTTACTGCTGTATTATCACTTTATCACTTAAAAATTATAAAATGTTGAAAGTGATGGTATTTGAGGTTAAATTTTACTAATACAGACTTCACAACAATTTAGCAGCTTGTATTCCATTTTTAAGTTTTATATCACAGATGGGTGTCTTTCCATTAAAAAATAAATCAGGAGTGGCAGCATTGTCAATGTTATTTTTCTTATAATTCTAACTAGAGTTAAATATAGAAACTCTTCTGAGAATTCACTATTCCAGGAATGGCAAACATGCAGCAAATATTGTCACTCTACCATTTTCTCACCAATGGCAGACATTGCTAGATGATCACAGCATTCTCTTCACTGAGTCCCGATGAAACATTGGACACTTTATCAAAACAACCACTGATAGATTAGAGTTGGCATGAGTTAAAACCTATTTGCCATTCCTGTGAGTAATCACTCCTCCTGACAGCTTAATAGGATTGGAGAGGAAGCCTTATTGCACAGTGGTGTAGCTGGAGTCAGACTTCATCTTTGTCTTGTCAAAATCCTGTCTTGTCACTTGCTAGCTCTTCAACCTTGGACCAATGACTTACCATTTCTGAGCCCTAGTCTCCTCATCTATAACATGGGAGAAAACAATACCTATCTTATAAGGAACAGGAGATGTAAATAAAATGATACCTGCAAAGTGCTTAACACAATGTCTCACTTAAACACTTAATCTCAAATGATACAATTGGCATTACAGTTTAATTAATAGACTTTAAAAGACTAATTTCTTGAGACCAGAAAATTTACAAAAGTATTCTGGCTTTGCCACCTAGCCTTTTTGTTTAAAAAACAAAAACAAAAACAAAAACAAAAACTTTTTATCTTGCAAGTATGTCCATATCTTTTCAAGGAGAAGAAACCTTCTTTGCAAATACTCCCAAGCCCACACGGGTATTATTGAAGCCCTTTATCCTGATAGATTTCACTGGGTTTAGGGGTTGGGTGGGTTCAGCGTCCAGGAATAGGAGAGTTGTGAGACACATGGTATAGTAGGAAAGCCATGGCTGGAGGAACAGACTTTGGTCATGTGGTCCTATGTCTTCCATTTTATATTGAAACTATATATGGACATTCGCATAGGGACAAGACACATTGGTGAGGTGGTACCCAGTGACATGTCTTCTATTTTCAGGTTCACTATGAATGATGCAGGTTTTTGTCTTTTATATAGCTTTTAGAGTGATTACTCGTGACACTATTCCTTTTTTTTTTTTTTTTTTCCTTTTACTTTTGAGACAGAGTCTCACTGTTTGGCCCAGGCTGGAATGCAGTGGCACAATCTCGGCTCACTGCAACCTCTGCCTCCTGGGTTCAAGAGATGCTTCTGCCTCAGCCTCCGAAGTAGCTGGGACCACAGGCATGCGCCACCATGCCTGGCTAATTTCTGTATTTCTAGTAGAGATGCGGTTTCACCATGTTGGCCAGGCTCGTCTTGAACTCCTGACCTCAAGTGATCCACCCGCCTTGGTCTCCCAAAGTGCTGGGATTTGGTTACACTATTTCTGTGGGGAAAATCTGTCCAAAGTTCCAAAGGACTTTAGGTACTTTATAGTACTATAGTAGCAAAATCCATTTCCTTAATTTGGAGTTTGCTTTTTTTGTTTTTTTTTTAAATTATACTTACGCTGTACTACCTATGCACATGAATACCAGGCTATTGTCAAGAAAGGTAGCATTAAGTAGCACCAGTCTGACCCTGGCTCCCTTGAGTTGCATCTTCAATCTCTGTACTGCAGAGGAATCCTTTGAGTGTTCTCCTGCCAAGTTGAGGGAGGCATGTCTGGGTGTCAAGTACCGGTGCTCAAAGGCTGTTCATGAAGATCCTTTCAACAGTATTATCAGAATTGCCTTCTGTGTATTTAATACAACTTTTTTCAATGATATGTTGTAGATGAATTAGTTTCATTCTCTGAATGACCTCATCAAATAAACTAGAGGGCCTTTATTCTGGCTTTATGGTCGCAGAGGGGTATTTTCTACTGCAGACAGTAATATTTCATTGGGCCTCACTATGGCCTAGATCTTGAATGGATGACACATACATACCACACACACAGACACACACACACACACACTCTGGAACTTTCCTGGCCCTTCTTCTGCCAGTGGCAGACAGCACTAATCGATTAGGGTTTTTGTTTGTTTGTTTGTTTTTTCTGAGGCTGAATGAACTTTAAAATCCTCCCAGTGAGACATAAGTAGGTGATGGGAGATGGCACACAAAGTAAAACCTACTTGTCGTCTTTGGCCTAAGTTAAACTTGCTTGTTTTTTAATTCATTCCATAAATATTTTATTCTGCTTTCTATTCTTGAACAAAAGTCTGCTATTAGTCTAATTGTTTCATTTTAAGGTATTCTAACTTTTTTTTCCTGGTAACTTGGAAGATTTTCTTTTTGCATTTGTTTTCTACAACTTTACTATGTTGTGTCGAGGTGTGGATTCAGTGTTACGTATTCTTCTTGGGATCCACTGTGATTTCTGAATTTTACGATTCATGTCTTTTTTTCTGTACTAGGCCATTGTAAGCTGTTACTTCCTTGAAACGGCCTCTCATCATCTATTCCCTCCTTCTGGAACTCCTAGACATAAATTCAAACTATATAGTATTCACTTCTCTTCCATGCTTTTTCTTTTTTATATCTCCAATGACTTATTTGTTTAATTTTAAACTTTCTCAGATCTATCTTCTAGTTCATTAAGTCTTTCTTAAAGTATGTTTAATTTGCTATTAATCTATCCACTGTTTTTAAATTTCAATGCCTATATAAATTTTTTTTGATAATTGGTGATTTAATTCTTTCTCTTGTTATAGAATGCCTCATTCTCAGGTCTTCAACTTTCCTTTTTATTTAATAATATTTTATATATTTCAGATTACATAATAACCGAAGTTCTGCTCCTGAATTTTATTGTTCGTTACTTTTATGGTTTTATTCTTTCCTTAGGATTTAGATTCTTCGTTAAGTGTATTTAATAATTTTGTATATGTATTTTTTATTCTTTCAGATTGTCATACTAGTAGCCAAAGTTTTGGGAATATTATAACTCTAGCTCATAATAGATTGTTTCTTTGTGTGTTTTGTAATTTTAAATCACAGTGTAGATTTGCAGATGGGAAGTCATAGCTCAGGTTGAGACCAGGTCCTTTCACAACAGGTTTTCCTTGTATTCTTGACAACCATTGTAGGGACTTCTTGAGTGTGATTGATTTCTATGAGTTTGTTGATTTGGAGATTCTAGGGCAATGCAAATTTGAATTACAAATCCAATGGAAGTACAGGCCTGGGCTTTAAACTCTTAGAGATAATTTTGTTTGTTTTTATCCATAATCTAGCAGAGAGATGTTTCCCCTGTTGGTGGGAATTTATTTTCTAGTCAAAACTTACACTAAAATTGTAGCCCTGCCTGGATCTTAACCTAACCCCACCTCTTTACACTGGACCATGGCCTTCTCTATTTCTGCATGGACCTTGGAATTCTATCCTTTAGCTACCACCATTTGTCACTTAACTCTCCCAGGGATACCATAGCATTAGCAAAACGTATTTGGTTTTCAATGCTGCCTTCATTTCTGACATTTGGGCATTTGCCATCTTTCTTGGCAGCTCAGCTATGCATCTTAGAGTGTTATTATGTTACATCTAGCATATCTAGGTGTTTGTAGTAGGAAGGTTTTCAAGTTCTCTTATTCTGCTATCATTTTACAACCAGAAGCTCTGGACTGCCATGCATTTGTTGAATACTAATTAATGCCAGGTACTGAGCTTAGTAGTAGGGACACAAAGATCTGTGAGACATACTCTCTGCTCACAAGATGATAGTCTAGTGAGCATGGAAGGTAGCCATGTAATTTTTGGGTAACATAATTGGTACAAAAAAAGATACATATACAGTACTTTCAAAACAAAATAGAGGCCACTCAAGCTTATGGGTGAGATCAGGTCAGAGAAGGCTTCCTAGAAGAAGAGATACTTAATCTGGTCCTGAAATATAAATAGGAGTACATCAGGTAAGGGTAGTAGAGAAGGGAGGAAAGTGCATGGTAAGCTTGAGAGAACTACAAGATTGGAGTTCAAGGAACTGACCACATCTTATTTGTAGACCCAACAACAGATTTCTGATTGAGCTCTTCTGATACCTTAATAAGAAGACAAACACAATGCGATACAGATATAGCATTCTAGTTATAGGAAAGATATGGTTACCTGAGTCCTCTGGGGAGCAGATGTCAAGAAAGAATTAGAAGTGTAAGAGATTTCTTGGGAGCAATGTCCATAAAATACCAAGTAGGGAGAGAGCAGGAGAAGGCAGGCAGAGCTGTCAGTCTGCAATACAGGTCTCACATTTGTGAAATGAGAAGGGAAGAAAGGAAGATTGGGTAGGAAGAGTCTTAGATTCTGGTGCAACTTTGAGAAAATATTTGCCAAACTAATGGGGAGCTCTAATGCGTTGCCCACAGAGGAGTCCACATTGGGCAGAAATGACCAGGTCACAGTATTCCTGCTGAGTGCTGTGCTCAGTAATTAGCTGGGGCTGCTGGGTAGAAGCACAGCCTTAGCGCAAATGCTGCAGCAGATCTCAAAGGTCTAACCACACTCCTGGTGGTGAGTCTTCTCTTGAATCTCCATGGCTACCACATCCCCACTTGGAAATTTTATAATCTGGCCTTCTGGTTTATATACAAGTTTCATGTGAACTTAATTAGGTACCTATCACTAAGCATCTGTTCATTTCTGAGTTTCCAGTACCTAGGGCTGTAAGGTTGAAGATAAGAGCCATATCATGACAGATTTTTCCAGTTAATATCTAGTGGGTTTTGGACTTAGCATCCTTTAAACCTGCCTGTTTATGGCAAAAACCTCTCTGCCTCATTGTGCGTCATATGCCTGCCTTATTTTTTTTCTTTTGGTCCTAAATTCATTCCTTTCTACTGTATTGTTTTATCCTGTTGATCCAGATAACATTTTCACTCCAGATACACTTGTTGACCTCTGTTCATCTAGACTGGAGAAGGTGGCTAAAAATAGTATAATTAAAAGTACTGTGAGAATGATTATTCATAAAGGGATTTGAGTGATTTTATGAAAATATACATTAATATCAGAAGGAAACTAGAAGATTACTGTCATACCCTTCCTCCCAGGAAATGTTTAATTACTGAAAAATTTCTTAACACATGTCATGGAAAAATTGGTCACATAATTTGAACTTTGGAAATTGCATGGTGTTTAAAAAAAATAAGAGAGAATGAGAATGAATCATTGAGTAATTTATGTTCCGTCTGTGCACTAACCACTTCATCAAACAGCTAAGTTCACACACATATTCCTTGAAATTTAGGGGACATAAAGTCAAAGGAATGCATCTCTGCCTTTAAAGTTTTCATTTTCCTTCCTTTCTCTGGGGCACAGAGTGAATGGGATTAAAGGTGAAGCTGCTTGAGTCACACACATCTTGATGTTTCTGTTGCCTTTGCACAGAATCTCACATCCTAACATGTTTTGTCTCTGGCATTCTTAGTATGTCCTTTACATTGCAGAACAGCATTCATAGTGTCAAACTTTTTTGTTTTTCTTTTCCAAAGAGAATTTTAGTTTTATCAAACTGCATTAAATATTCTGTGCCTTCACTTTGACTCAAGTAGCATATTCTTGAGAAATGTGATATTTTACAGCAACTGATTTAGGCACATATGAATCAAAACCACATCTTCCTTGAGAACTGAGTCAACCTGTCAAGTACCTAAGCAAGTGGGTTTAACATGAATTTATAGTTTCCATGTGAGAATGGTAAGGAAAAATGGAAGGATGTAAAAGGATATTGGGAGAGGAAGGTCAGAGAAGTTGTTCTGTTGTAAAGTTTTCCACTGGGGATAAAGAAATGGTACCAGAACTGCAAACAGGTCTCCCAGAATTATCTGACAGTTTCCTTTACAGGTAAATGCTGGAGATTTTCCTGAGGAGCTAAGGGGTTGAAGGCCTGGTTAGAAATTTAAGGCTGTGTGCCTAGATAGATGCAAAAGATCTAACTCCAGATAAACTCCTCCACATATTTCTTCCTTGTTGACCTCTCAAAGTGTCCTATAATTACACTCCACCTGTGTTTCCAAGGCTCCTGGACATATCTACAAATTGAAATGAGTGTATATTTGTATATGAAGGTTGACAGCTAAATAAGAAAAATATTCTGTGGCATCTAATTACAGAACACTAATAAACATGCAAAAATCAAAGAAGAACGTAACAAAACAAAAAACCACCAGTCCCTGAACCTCAGGGTGTGCATATGCAGATTAGGTCTCTAACCAGGCTAAATGTTAACCTGGAATTCTAAAGCTCTTGCTTTATAATTGTTCTGCTGCAAGTGTTTATATAATTACTCCATTCTTTAGCTCAGGGTGTTTTTGTTAGATAATTCAACTAAATGTTAAGACATCAAATGAATAAGTAGAACTGCAATTGACTGGGGATGATGCCAGCACTGAATATCATTATTAAGGTTATAGGTTTTAGCAAAGATTGAATTAAATGCTGATTATATCTAAATACTCCAGTAGGAAGGTCTTTGAAGAGACTTTTAAAATTTGACATGTGGTATGTTTTTGTTGCTTTTAAAAACAATATGTTCAAATGGGTGACTCAATGCTAAAGGGTATTACCATAGATTTAAGCTTTTTTTTTTTCTGGACGGAGGTGGGTTGAAAGGAGAGACAAAGTTTGTATTTCACCACTAATTTAGATTCAAGAAAAAATAACAGCAATACAATTTTAGAATAAGATTTATATAATAAACTGATATTTTTATTTTATATCCATTTATTATATAAATAATAATATATATTATATATTATATAATATATATAATAAAAATATATATAAATAATCCATTTATTATAAAAATAAACAGATATGTTTATTATTTCGCCAATTTTGTCAGTTCTTGAGAATGGGATTTGTCCAATGTAGAGAGAACTGGGAAATTTTCAGTCAAATAATTTTTCTGAAACTCCTAAAAATCTGGTGAAACTGTCAATATGTAAATAAACGTAGATGTAAAACTTTTAAAATGTGGGGACGAAGGTGGAAGACTAAAGTACAAATGTTACATGTTGTGATAAAGTAGAAATAATGCAACTGAAAAGTGCAAGTGAGAGAGAGAAAGAAGAAAATAAGCCTATGGATTGTTGTGTACCTTGCAGGTAAGGAAAATACGACAGCAAAAACTGATAAAGCAGGTAGGTAGCCAAAGGCAGAAATAGAAATGAGCAAACCAAAAACTCCAGGAGATTACTGGTGTTCAATAAGTGTAAGTACAATAGTAGCTACCAGACCAAAATAGAAGCTTTTCTAAATATAAAAAAAATTAAGGAACAAAAAATACACATATGGAGAAAAGTATCAGAAAATAACAAAATATATAATACTTTGCCACAGTTAAGCCCAAACATAACAGGGTTTTACCCATCTACTAAAAGACTTCCAATTTTGCTCACAAAGAATGATCTAACTATATATGTATGTGTATGTATATGTGTGTATATATATAAAACTATATGCTCTATATATACACACACACATACATGCACATCATATACAACAGATAGACCTAGACCTAAAAGTGATCCAAAAAGCTAAAAACGGATGAAAAAAGGTATATATCAGGCAAATGGAAAAATAAGGAAGTCAGGGTAGCAATCCTGATACCAGATAAAATAAATTCAAGCCAAAAATCTTAAACATGATAAAGACAGGCACTTTTTACACAGGAAAACCATACTTTACAATGTAGACACATCTTTATGAACAGTTATATGTCAAATAACATAGTAATCATCTTTATAAAGCCAAACTACAGGAGATGCTAGGAGACATAAAAGAAATAACATTGGCTGGGCATGATGGCTCATGCCTGTAATTCCAGTGCTTTGGGAGGCCGAGGCGGGCGGATCACGAGGTCAGGAGTTTGAGACCAGCCTGGCCAACATGGTGAAACCCTGTCTCTACTAAAAATACAAAAATTAGTCACGTGTAGTGGCGAGTGCCTGCAGTCCCAGCTACTTGGGAGGCCGAGGCAGGAGAATTGCTTGAACTCGGGATGGGGAGGTTTCAGTGACTTGAGATTGTGCCACTGCACTACAGCCTGGGTGACACAGCAAGACTCCATCTCCAGGGAGGGAGGGGGAAAAAAGAAATCACATTAATCAGAGATATTCATACAGCTTTCTTAATACAGCAAAGATGAAGTAGGCAAGAAATAAGGAGATTGAAAACCTAAACAACATAATCACTACAGGAGATCTTGTAGATATACTGTATGTCAAACTCTACACCATGTCAATAGAGAATACATCTTCTCAAGAGCTCATGCAACATCCACATAATTTGATTATATATTACTACACACACACACACACACACACACACACACACAGAGTAAGTTTAGTGGCATACTGGTAAACAAGTAGTTTGGGTTGGGGTCGGGGGATCTGATTTATATCATTTACTGATTTCTTTGATGTAAATCCTTCAGTGGTCAATTAGAGCATAAATTGATAAATCAACCGGTGAAATAGAAGACTCAATAATAGAACTAAAGTTCATATGGAAATTTGATATATAATAAAAGACAAAGATAGACTTTTTAAAAATTAAAGCTGGGACAACGGGACAACCCAGGAGCCATTTAGAAAAAGGTGAAATTAATTCATAGCTTATATATACACAAAATTAACTCAAAATATATCACAGATCTAACATAAAAATGAAACTGTATGATACAATAAAAAGTAAATTTCTTTTTCATTTTGGTGTAGGAAAAGGCTTTTTAATTATGCTTGAAAATCTATAGGCAGTAAAAAAGATCGATAATTTTGACTATATAACATTAAATGTTTTTGCACATCAAAAATCATAACTGAAAATCTGGGAGAAAATATTGGCAACATATAGAGTAAGGCCTAATAGTTCTTACGTATAAAGAAATCTTGAGGAACCAAGGGCCAAAACCCCAGCATAAATTGAGAAAGAGGCATAATCAGACAACTCAAAAAGTAAGATGTAAAATCAGCTTTTAAGCATATGAAAAATGTTTACATTAAGAAATATAAATTAGTTCTTTTTTTTTTTTTTTTTTTTTTTTTTTTGAGACTGAGTCTCACTCTGTCTCCCAGGCTGGAGTGCACTCGCACTGTCTCAGCTCACTGCAAGCTCCACCTCCTAGGTTCACGCCACACCATTCTCCTGCCTCAGCCTCCCGAGTAGCTGGGACCACAGGCACCCGCCACCACGCCCGGCTAATTTTTTGTATTTTGAGTAGAGACCGGGTTTCACCATGTTAGCCAGGATGGTCTCGATCTTCTGATCTTGTGATCTGCCCACCTCAGCCTCCCAAAGTGCTGGGATTACAGTCGTGAGCCACCGTGCCCAGCCAACACATTTTTAACACTATGAAAATAATAGCAACAATCTAAATGTTCATCCATGGTAGAGGGTGCTAATGGCTTGAACGTGTCCTCCCAAATTTCATCTGTTGGAAACTTAATCCTCAAATTCATATGTTTATGGTGTTTGGACAATGGGGCCTATGGGAAGTAATTGAGATTAGATAAGGTCATCAGGCTGAGGACTTTATAATGGGACTGATGACTTTATAAGAAGAAGAAGAGAGACCTGAGCTGACATCCCATTCTTGCCTTCTGGTTATATGACGCCCTCTGCCATATTATGATGTAGCAAGAAGGCCCTCACCAGATGCTGAGCAGATGCTGGTGCCATACTCTTGGACTTTCCAGCCTCCAGAACGATAAGCTAAGTAAACCTCTATTCTTAATAAATTAGTCTGTGGTATTCAAGTATAGCAACAGAAAACAGACGAAGACAGAAAGGTTGAAGAAACGATAGCACCTCCTTGCAATGGAGTTCTGTGCATCTGTAAAAAGAATGAGGAAGGTCTCTATGAACTGATAAAGAATTTTCCAGGATATGTTGGTTAGGTGAATAAATCACAAACAAAAAGCATCTGTAATAAGTTATCCTTCATGTGAGGAAGAATAGAATATAGGAAAATACATATGTATCTGTTCATTTGTAGAAAATGCATATGGGAAGGTTGAATCAGAAACTATGACAGGCTCAATTTAAAACTCATTTCATGAACTCTGGGTGAGATACATTTCTAATAAAGATGTATCTGGCCAATGACAGTTTTAGCTTTTAATCAGATGCTAAATTTCCAAGTGTAAGAGATAGAATAATTCATTCAACTGCCTTTTGTGTAGCTAGTTCTATTTGTTACCTTTGTTAAATATTTGATAGAGCTTCCAACCCTTACAATCAGTGCAACTGAGGAAAAAGATTGTAGATTGATGCAAAACGCTGATGACCTCCCCCTTGAAACCAATGGCATACGTAGTTTGAGTTACCAGTAAACAAGGCTTCCTGTCCCTGTGTGGACCCTCAGAACTGCTGTTTTTAATATTAGGTACTAAGGAGCCCTGTACTGAGGAAACTATGCTTGAAGGTTAGCAGTTGCTTAAAGCTCCTTGTTAGAATGGAGTATCTCCAGTGTTTTGTGGATCATTATCAAGAGCCTGTGGAAATGCAAATAAAACCAGTCTCATTATTACAATTTGGGCTATATGTTACCAGGGAAAACAGTAAGAGAAAGGCAGAAATAACAGAACTGAGAGGTGAAGTTTTAATATGGTGTAGCTGCATCTGTGCTTATATGTTATAAATAGGAATAGGGAAAAAATAACATTGTAGAGAGGCAGCCAGGTATGGGAAAAGAATAGGAGGTTTGCCTCAGACCCAAATTTAAATCCTGATTCAGATACTTATTAGATGTAACTTTTGTAAGCTGTGTAACTTCTCAGAGTCTGTTTCCTTTTATGTAAGGTAGGGATAAGATCATCCCTTTTTTGAGCTGTCCCGAGAATTGGATAAGGAACTGTATATCTGGCATATACTAGGTTTATAAAAGGTGGTGCATTCCTCCCTCTGATACTTACAGTTTTGTGTGTTCATTTTTGTGTGTTTATTTTCATTTTTGTATTGTTTTTCTCTTTTGTTTCAGATCTAATTCATTGTCTTGGCTCGCTAATTATTAGAGTTGCCCAGGGTTGACTGCTGACTGGTGTTTTTGCTTGTTTGTTCCACAGAGGTCTCTCTGCCCATGGTTTTAACTACGATTTTCTTTCCCTGAGAGGAAACAATACCATTATCAATTTATGAACTGTTTATATTAACACCAAAGAAGAATGTTGCAAAACTACTTTGATTTCCAACTATGGATCATTAATCTCACTATCTTTAAAGGCCTCTTATGTGTAAGGTATTACCTACCTACTAGTATTTTGAAGAAGAATTCTGGTTGTAAAAAAGTTAATAATTAAAGCAGAATGATACAGGTGAAATATAGATGCATTGACCATGTTATGGGGCATTAGAAAACGGAGCCATTAATTAGGATCAGGGAAATCTTTTTTAAAAAAGAAGCATTTAAAGTGGATCTTGAAGGAGAAAAATTTCAAGAGGAAAATTATTAGAGAAATTGATTATTTGGTGTTATAGCTTAATTTTATTCAAAGCACATGAAAGGGGGAAAGCAGAAATCAAAGGGCTCTAAGTGAATAAGCTTTAACATGTTCCTCATTTTTATGTTTATGTTGGGCAGAAAATTGTTACAGAGGAGAGAGTTGTGAGAAAAGGCATTTTTCCCCCACTGAGTCATTCACAAGTCATAGAAAGGACCAAAATCAGGAAATTACCTCTTCTTTTATTGAAGCTAAGGTCTTGGTTTAATGGAAACCACTCACTAGAGAGATGAGAAGTAGTGTTAATTAAGTTCATCTCCCATCTTGTTATGTAGAAATAGCAGAGCATTGAAACCAAGCTGCAGACAGGAGCCTTGTGTCTAGTAATTTGATGTGGCTCTGATGGAAGTAGTATACCAATTCAGAGGTGCAAGTCCAGGTTGCACTGTGTTATGGGAGAAGTTTGTGAAATGGTGGCCATATTATCAGTGGTCACAGTTGATTTGCGTGAGAAGACTTTGTAGTTTATCAATGTGTAGGATGCTTTGAACAGAATAGTTATCCAGTTTTTATTTGTGGCATGAAGGACGTGGTCTCCAGAGTCAGGAAATCTAGACTCACAGCTGTGTGACTTGATCTTTGGGAACCTCAGTTTCTTTATGAATAAAATGAACTGATGTTAATACTAACTAGGGTTGGTGAAGATAGCAAAAGTACAACTACAGACAAACAGGGCTTAAAACTGTTTAGGACTTTCATGTCAGTTACCATTCAAGGGAGCATTAGTGAATCAACCAATAAATTACCTGGCCTATGGCATAGTTTACCATGGAATGAAAAAGCATTCTGCAAAGAAAACAAGGGAATTATTGAGTTCTTTACTTGTGTGGTTCAAATAAACTCTCCATATAGCCTATATAGAGGGCTCTCTCTGGTTGCCAAAACAGTGTTTTTCAAACTGTAGGTTTTAACTTGTTACTGGGTCATGGAATCAGTTTAGAGTTGGCACCAGGATTTTTTTAATTGATGAATCAGAAAAAGAATAGAATACAATATAAAATATCAAACCACCTTGTATAGTAAGAGTACTAACTTATTAATAAAAATGTTATTCTATGCCTATACTCATATATATACACATACAAAGATGAGTTAGAAGTGGCAAATGTGTTTTTTAAAATGGCTTGCAGTCAGTCAGCATCTGAAAAAGTTTGTTCTAGAGTGTCACTGATGAATTGTATTCTCAAATATCTCCTACCCTTACATTTCTCATAAGCTTTACTTTTCTACATTCTCAACTGTCCACCTGACATATTCACTAGGTTGTTTAGCCTTTTTCTCAAACTGATATTCCTAAAACTGAAACTTCTCTACCTTCAGATCATTTTATCCTGCAAATTTTTAATTTTTATGTATTTATTATACACTCAGTTACTTTTTGTCAAGCCTTAGTAGTTTCAACCCTTGCCTTTCTCTTCACTCTTTCCCATCTTTAATCGGTGAGTATAGTTTATGGAATTGACCTTAATTAAGTGCCTAGTATTAGTATGCCATATGCTTTATGTATGTTGTTTCATGGAATTCTTACCATATATTTATAATGAAATGAGGCTGAAAGGTGTTGAGTAACCAACCAGATGTTACATGCATTGTATTTATGTAGATCAGTTCTTTTAGCTCAATCAGCTTAGGTCTATCTGGCTCGAAACCTTAATGCTTTGTTACATCCTGCCACCTTCCCAAACACCCTCTTTAAAATTTCTTCAGGAGCTCAGCATGATATTAGAGCAGTTATAATCCAGAATTATAATCACTACATGGTCCTGGGTTGTAATCAAGGCTCATATTGCTGGAAAGGACTTCAGAGCTCTCAACTGTTATTTTGAAAAAGACATAATTAAGACTTAGATAGGTTAAGCGACTTCTCTGAAGCCATAGGCTAATTAGAGGCAGAGCCGTGGCCAGAATTCCGGTCTTGGTTTTAGTGTAGTGATGTTTTCGTCTTTTCTACTAGCCTCAGGAGCTAGAACAAAGGGTGGAAAAATGAAAAACAGGATCCACAGAACAAAGAGCTATTGAATACCCCAAGGTGTCAGAGGCTTTAGAAGAAATTGATTCCTTATTAAGTCCTTAGGATCAGAAATCCTTTGAGATTTTCATCTGAATCATCATGGGTCAATATCCTTCTAAAAGCTCTTTACTGGCCAATGTTCTATATGTTGCTTGCATGAAATTCCTTCAAGGAAAGAGAATAAAGTTAGAGAGCCTGCAATCCTATAACTGGGTCTTCTAATAAGTTGAGGGATTCCAAGTTTTAGAGAAATAGACTTACTGATTCTTAATTTTATCTTTCCTTTGGTCTCCATCTGACCAAGTAAGGGTAGAATTCAAGGTAGGCTCAGAATTGTGGAGGCGGTGAGTGAATTCTTCATTCCTGCTCTTCATCCTTTCACTTCAATCCTTAATACACTGGGTTATCCCAACCTTGGTCTGCTCACTTGTTCACTCATTTCAACTTTTGGGAGCTGCACAACGATCTTTGTTTTGAATTTGGCTTAAAGATAAGGTTTCCTTTACCTCCATGTCCACCACCCCATTCCCAATAAAACTGCTTTTGCAGTGCATTTACTTCCTTTGTTGAGAGGTGGGTTCTTAGTTCAAGTTTCTGGCAGTTTTCAGGCAATACTTGGTAAAGATGGCACAGTGGTTAAATACTCTTTTTTTTTTTTTTTTTTTTTTTTTTGAGACAGAGTCTTGCTCTGTCACCAAGGCTGGAGTGTAATGGCATGATCTCAGCTCACTGCAAACTCCACCTCCTGGGTTCAAAGGATTTTCCTTCCTCAGCCTCCCAAGTAGCTAGGAAAACGATCTCTTTAACATTGGGCTTCCAGATATTTGGAATACACAGTGGTGTCTAAAAAATATGCATCTTTATTTGAACACATTCAATTTATGAGACACCATTTCAAAATGCAAAAGTTTTGTATTTTTGATAGACTTACCTGAGTCTTTAGATTAAAGGCATATATTCTAAAGAAATGACTTTAGTAAACACCCTCCTACATTCATATAGGCCTACGATAAAAGCATAGTTATTTTGTTCATTATAGTTTAAAATAATTGATCATTTCAGATGGACCACAACATATGTCACACTATGATTTTATTTATTAGGTGAGAGGTCTATTAATATCTCAAATTCAATGTTTGTTTTTATTTAGAAGGAAAATATATTCCAAAATAAACAGAAATTGAACGCCCCTCTGTACCATGCATGCCATGGTCTTTCCTACCTTTGTCTGCATTTGTGCTCATCTCTGCCAGCTTCCATCTGGATTTCCCACCCAGCCAGTTCCTCTTCTGTAAACTCTGCTCAGTTAAACAGGACGTTCCTGAAGCTGCCAGAGAGTCTTTGTCAAATCTTAGGAGCAGAAGTCCTATAAGGTGTTCTTCTGAGTCATCATGGTTAATATGATTCTAAGATACCTTTACTGGTCAAATGCTGTGTGAGTTATTTGAATATAATTCCCTGAAGAAAAGAATAACATTGTTACAATTCCCAGCTGCGCCATGAAAATTTATTTTACTACATTAGTCCCCACATAGAGTTCAACATTCTTAGAATTATTACACTTAAGTCCACACAGTTTAGTATTTAATTTTTCTCTAATTCTAATTGTTTTGAATGTTATTTTGGATCCACATTTAACGAAAATCTATTAAGCACCTGCTATGTAAGGCACAATTTGGCACTTCGGGAGATTTTTTAAAATGGAGAAATTGTCACTGACTTCAAATCATTGACCCAACCATTCATTAGACAACCATTTATTGAACATTTTCTGTGTGATAGGCCCTGTGTTAGTGTATTAGTCTGGGTTCCCTAGAGGGAGAAAGATGGAGGCCAAAAGACTTGAGCAGTCTGGTCTTTTCACGTTCTTCTGCCTGCTTTTATTCTGGCCACGCTGGCAGCTGATTAGATGGTGCCCACCCAGATTGAGGTGGGCCTGCCTTTCCCAGTCGACTGAATCAAATGTTAATTTTCTTTGGCAACATCCTCAAAGACACACCCAGGAACAGTACTTTGTATCCTTCAATCCAATCAAATTGACACTCAATATTAACCATCACAAGTCCACCCCCTGTCAACTTGAACCCATATACATCTCCTGAGATCATACATAGTCTTCAAATAAAGACAATAAGGTCATAACCACACCTAACATAACACAACTATCCTTCCTACTACCAGAAATGCACCAACCCCCAACCCAAATGCTATTACATAGAGTTAACAACACTTGAATGCTGATATGAAGTCAATCTTATGCCACATGTTAAAGGAAAAAGGAAATAAAATGAAGTTACTTTCTTAGTATAAGTGTATACATGCACAAAAGTGTTCTTAACAAAATAAGGAGGGGATACTCATGACAATTACAGTCCTAGTTTCTGCAACTGGTCATGTGGTTGAAGCTGATATTGTTGACTACCTTCTTCTTCTACCCATTCTGTATTCCCTTTGCCTTCAGCAAGCACCTCAGCAGATCATGGTGTTTTACCTGGTGGAGTGACCCAAACCTTCATTCCTGAAGGATCTGGGCCATTTGTAGTCCTGCCTGGAATTGGGCAGTTGTAGTTTCCCATTGACCTTAATCACAGGGCATGGCAGTTTAAGAGACACTCTAAGGGATCTCCTGTATTCCGTGCATACTCTTCCTTATCTCTGTTGTGGAGTAGTAGACTGATTTCATCTTGATAGTCTGGGTCCACCCAGCCAACACTAACTCCCTTAGCCTATTGACTTAGAGGTAGGAGGAGCCCAAAGTGGCCAGGTGGCAATTTTAACTTCCAGTTTAATGGAATCATTGTTGTGTCTCCTGGTGGCAGTGTTAGTCCCTCTGGGACTAAGACCTCTAGGCCTGCAGAACATAATGTCACGGGAAAGGGAAGCAAAAATTTTGTTAGTGGGTCACTAGGGGTGATGGGGAGTGGTGCCACTTCCGCCTCTCGATTCCTGGACCTGTGAATCCTGGCTATAGGAGAAATAGTACCATATATTGGACAGCAATTCAGAGTATACACAGCCTTCTGGACAACTTTGCCCCAGCCCTACAAAGTATTGTCGCCTAGATGGCATTGTAATTGTGACTTCAGGAGACCATTCCACTGTTCTATCAATCTAGCGGCTTCAGGATGATGGGGAACATGGTAAGACCAGTGAATTCCATGAGTGTGAGCCCACTGCCACACTACTTTAGCCATAAAGTGAGTGCCTTGGTCAGAGGCAATGCTATGTGGAATACCATGATGGTGGATAAAGCATTCTGTGAGTCCACGGATGGTAGTCTTTATAAAAGCATTGCGTACAGGATAGGTAAACCTATATCTGGAGTAAGTGTCTATTCCAGTGAGGGCAAGCTGCTGCCCTTTCCTTGATGGAAGAGATCCAATATAATCAACCTGCCACCAAGTAGCTGGCTGATCACCCTGAGGAATGGTGCCATATCTGAGGGCTCAGTGTTGGTCTCTGCTGCTGGCAAATGGAGCACTCAGCAGTGGCTGTAGCCAGGTCAGCCTTGGTGAGTAGAAGTCCATGTTGCTGAGCCCATGCATAACAACCATTGCTGCCACCATGGCTACTTTGTTCATGGGCCCATTGGGCAATGACAGGGGTGGATGGGGAAAGAGGCTGAGTGGTGTCCACAGAATAAGTCATCCTATCCGCTTGGTTATTAAAATTCTCCTTTGCTGAGGTCACTGCTTAGTGAGCACTCACGTGACACACAAATATCTTCACAGTTTTTGACCACTCGGAGAGGTCTATCCACATATCTCTTCCCCAAATTACTTTGTCACCAATTTTCCAATCATGCCTCTTCCAAATCCCTGACCATCCAGCCAAACCATTGGTTACAGCCCATGAATTAGTATATAATTGCACACCTGGCCATTTCTCCTTCCATGCAAAGTGCACAGCTAGGTGAACTGCTTGAAGTTCTGCCCACTGGGAAGATTTCCCTTCACCACTGTCCTTGAAGGATGTCCTAGAAAGGGGCTGTAGTGCTGCAGTTGTCCACTTTCAGATAGTGCCTGCATGTTGTGCAGAGTCATCTGTAAGCCAGGCCCTTGTCTTCTCTTCCCCTGTCAACTTTTCATAGGAATTCCCCATGAGGCCATCGGTGCAGGTTGGGGGAGAGAAGGCAGGGTGGCATGAGCATTTGAGCCACTTCCTTATGTAACTTACTTGTGCCCTCAGGACCTGCTGGTGCCTGACCACATATATACCATTTCCACTTGATGATGGAATATTGCTGTTCATGACCCACTTTATGGCTAATGGGTCAGAAAGCACCCAGTTCATGATAGGCAGTTCTGGTCCCCTTGTGACTTGACCCATAATCAAACGTTCAGTTTCTACCAAAGCCCAGTAACAGGCCAAGAGCTGTTTCTCAAAAGGAGAGCAGTTATCTGCAGAAAATAGGGCCTTGCTCCAAAATCCTGGAGGCCTCCACTGTGATTCACCTATGGCGGGCTGCCAAAGGCTCCAAACAGCATCCCTGTCTGCCACTGACACCTCAAGCACCATTGGATCTGCTGGATCATATGGCGCAAGCGGCAGAGCAGCCTGGACCTGCTGCAGAGCCTTCTCCTGTTGTAGACCCCACTCAAAACTGGCAGCCTTTCCAGTCACTCGATAAATGCGCTGGAGTGATACACTCAGATGAATAACGTGTTGCCTCCAAAATCCAAATAGGACAACTAGGCATTGTGCCTCTTTTCTTGGTTGTAGGAGGAGCCAAATGCAGCAACTTACCCTTGCCTTTAAAAGGAATATCTCAACAGGCCCCACACCAATGAACCCCTAGAAATTTTACTGAGGTAGAAGTTGCCTGAATTTTGGTTGGATTTATTTCCCATCCTCTGGCACACAAATGTCTCACCAATAAGTCCAGTGTGTTTGCTACTTCTCTGTCACTGGATCCAATCAGTATAGTGTTATCAATGTAATGGACCAGTGTGATATCTTGTGGAAGGGAAAGGCGATCAAGGTCTCTCTGAAGATTAAACACCAAGCTGGAGAGTTGATATACTCCTGAGGGAGGACAGTAAAGGTACATTGCTGGCCTTGCCAGCTGAAGGCAAATTGATTTTGGTGGGCCTTATGGACAGGAATGGAGAAAAAGCCATTTGCCAAATCAATGGCTGCATACCAGGTACCCGAAGGTGTGTTAATTTGCTCAAGCAATGAAACCACATCTGGTACAGCAGCTGCAATTGGAGACACCACTTGGTTAAGCTTACAATAATCCACTGTCATTCTCCAAAATCCACCTGTCTTCTGCACAGGCTGAGTAGAGTCGAACAGGGATATTGTAGGAATCATTGCCCCTGCATCTTTTAAGGCCTTAATGGCAGCACTAATCTCTGCAATCCCTCCAGGGATGTGACATTGTTTTTGATTTACTATTTTTCTAGGTAGAGGCACCTCTAATGGCTTCCATTTGGCCTTTCCCACCATAACAGCCCTCACCCCACCAGTTGGGGAGCCAATGTGGGGGTTCTGCCAGTTGCTAAGTATGTCTGTGCTAATTAT
This sequence comes from Homo sapiens, assembly GCF_000001405.40. NCBI lineage: Eukaryota > Metazoa > Chordata > Mammalia > Primates > Hominidae > Homo > Homo sapiens. The sequence continues at coordinate 39,961,944 of NC_000002.12, forward strand.
GCATTCTGGCACTGGGGAAATGACCACAGGATGAGTCCGGGGACCCATTATTGGAACCCTCTAAGTCGGACCTCTGCTAAAACTCCATTAATGACCTGATCTCCATAAGCCGCTACTTTAACTGGAGGACCACAGTGATGTTTTGGGTTCCACGGAATTAATGTCTGCTCAGAGCCAATGTCCAGTAGTCCCCAAAAGGTCTATCATTTCCCTTTCCCCAGTGCACAGTTACCCTGGTAAAAAGGCCAGAGTTCTCCTTGGGAAAGGATGGGAGAAAGATTAACAGCATAAATTGTCAGTGGTATAGTGTGGTCCTTCCTCAAGGGAACCTGGCCTCCCTTTCATTCAAGGGGTTCTGGGTCTGCAGGTTGGCTCAAGTCTAGAAATAGATTGAGGGGCTATGATTCTGTTTTTATAATTCAAACTAATCTTTTGTCCATTCGACCTAGAAATTTTCTGCTTATGTAAATTAAGTAGGAATACAGTACGCTTTCTATCAATTTTACTTCTAGGAACACTGTGATTAATTAGCAAATGCCAGAGCTCTGCACAAGTCAGGCTCTTCTGATTGCTGCTTTACCTCTGCTGTCCATTATGGTACCTATGCCCACATTGCCTCTGTTGGTTGAGTGCTGCCACTTGGCCCCTGCCACCTCAGGATCGAATTACTCCCATTGCATTTAAAGGTTGTAGTTGAGTGACTGCAATTCCTACTGTAAGCTGTGGCATGCCGAGATGAACAATCACAGGGCTTTTCAAGGATGCAGGTGCTGCCTTCACAAATCTATTTCACAAAGTATTGGTCAAGGGTATATCTTCTGGACCCCCTCCCAGCTGGGATGAGTGGGTCTAAAGTGATTGATCCACTCCAGCATCCAAATCTCCCTAAGCCTTTGGATCCCTTCCTCTACATTAAACCAAGGGAGATGAGGCATTTCCAGCTCACTCACAGTGGACCGTCTTTTAATCCATATTTCAGCTAACTAAACAAACTATTAGAATCTTTTTTAGCTCCCCAACCTGCAACATTAAATGCAGAATCCCTGCTTGGTCAGTTTAAATTGATAAATTTAGCCTGATCCAACTCCATGTTCCTTCCATGATTAACCCACACCCTTAATTTGATGTCCATTTCCATGCCTGCTCTCCAGATTTCTGCTTATATAAATTAGAAAACTCAAGCAGTTCTTTTGGAGTGTGGTGCACCTCCTTGTGGGTCGCATTCTGAATCTCACCTCTAGGGGCCCACTGGGACTTTAGTCCAGTTATAGGTCTAGAAGCAAACAGGGGTGTTGGAGATGGGTCCTGAGGAGACTCTACATTATCTTTCCTGGCAACTGCCTCAGGGGAGGCCATCACTGTTTCCTCAGGCAGCGCAGGGTTTATCTTCTAAGACAAAGGTCAAAAGGCTGATGGCAGCATGGGTCCGGGAGGGGATGTTGCCACTACTCAGGATGGGGAAGCTGTTCCTTTGCAAAAAAGATGCATCAGAGTTTATAAGCTAAGTGTCCCTATTTTCATCAGGCTCCTCCCACACATCCCTATTCCAAGTTGCAAGGTCCTATTATTTTCCAATCAATACCCTCACTTTAACAGTAGATACCTGGTGAGGCTGTGCACATGCCTTGCATTGCAGCTCAGCCACTCATATCATAAGAGCTTGTGTCTGATTTTCCACAATTTTAGCTTTCTTCACAGGAGATAAGATTCTCACTCAGGGTAATACAAGATTTGAGGCACAGTATCTGCTTCTGAAGCTGAGTGTTAGAATCCCTGAGTTCATCATTTTCTTTCATCACTTTGTCCACTGAACTTAGGAGCAATCAACTAACTTCATTATATTCCTTAGTTCTCCACATATGGTCAAAGGTATTATGTATAGGGTCACTAAACTCCTTACCTCTCGTGAGAGGTGAATCGCTATCAAATGCATTTATTTTGCATAATTCTCTAAACAGTTTACTCCGTGGACTATGAGTGTTCTCCGTACTTTAGAGGCCTCCCCTGAGGCAGTTGCCAGGAAAGATAATGTAGAGTCTCCTCAGGACCCATCTCCAACACCCCTGTTTGCTTTTAGACCTATAACTGGACTAAAATCCCAGTGGGCCCCTAGAGGTGAGATTCAGAATGCGACCCACAAGGAGGTGCACCACACTCCAAAAGAACTGCTTGAGTTTTCTAATTTATATAAGCAGAAATCTGGAGAGCAGGCATGGAAATGGACATCAAATTAAGGGTGTGGGTTAATCATGGAAGGAACATGGAGTTGGATCAGGCTAAATTAGAAATATATTCCTTTGCATTTTTGGGTCTAATCATATTAAGCAGCCAACTCGAGAAACCCCAAAACCAATGAAAGAGCTCCAACCTTAATATTCTGTTCCTATAGAACCAGTCCTGTTAGCAAAATCTGTATTAGTCAGGGTTTTCTATGAAGCAGCATCATCTCAGGTAAATACCCAGGGTTCATCGTCTAGTGTCAAAAAGATTAAGGACACAGATACACATGAGGAGTGAGTTCAGGAGCAGAGGTTTAGTAGGCAAAAGGAAAGAGAAAGGAGAACAGCTCTCTCCCTTGTGAGAGAGAGAGAGGGACTTCTGATAGGAAACTCCCACCAGTAGCAGAGAGCACTGGGTTTTATACACAGCCCTGAGGAGGTGGTGTCTGATTTATGCAGGACCCACGGATTGGTTGGTCCAAGTGTGACATTTACATAGTACCTGAGGAAGGCTGGCCACCCCACCCTAACCTTAGTATGCAAATGGAATCTTTGGCCTGTGCCATATTGTCTTCTCCTTGCTGTACACATGACTTGGCAAAGAGAAGGGAGCATGAAACCACCATTTTGAGCATGCCCAGTCCCAGGTAGCTTTTTCCTATTGGCACAACTGCCAGCATTTGGCCGTGTAAGGTTCCAGCTTGCTTGTCTATGTCTGCAGCTTGATTTTACAGGCTGCTTTTGGTTAGAAAAGAAAATGATTTGGGGGCTACTTTTCATTAAAAGGAAAACCTTACTGAGGTCTCCCATACCCTCACTATCTGCCTAAATAATTTCTTAACTCCTATAGCATCTAGAGGGACAGAACTAATAGGATAGATTTATATATAAAGAGGAGTTTATCAAGGAGTATTGACTTACACGATCAAAAGGTGAGGTCCCACAATAGTCTGTCTGCAAGCTGAGGAGCAAGGAAGCCAGTCCGAGTCCAAAAACCTCAAAAGGGAAGTTGACAGTGAAGCCTTCAGTCAAAAGTCCAAGAGTCCCAAAGCTGAAGAACTTGGAGTCCGATGTTAGAGGGCAGGAAGCATCCAGCATGGGAGAAAGATGGAGGCTGGAAGACTCAGGCAGTCTAGTCTTTCCACATTCTTCTGCCTGCTTTTATTTTGGCCATGCTACCAGCTGATGAGATTGTGCCCACCCAGGTTAAGGGTGGGTCTGCCTTTCCCAGTCCACTGACTAAAATGTTAATCTCCTTTGGCAGCACCCTCACAGACACACCCAGGAACAGTACTTTGCATCACTCAATCCAATCCAGTTGACACTCAATATTAACCATCATGGTTAGTTATTGGGAATCTTACATTAATAAAAAAGTTACTTTGCTGCAATTAACAGGAAAGCTAACCAACAGGAGCTTAAATGAGCAAATGTTTCTGTCAAGGGATAGACGGTAAATACTTTGGGCTTTTCCGTGTACAACAGCTACTCTACTCTGCTGTTGTAATGTAAAAGCAGCCATAGACAATACGTAAATGAATGAGCATGGCTATATTCCAATAAGCCTTTATTTACAAAAATAGGAAGTGGGCCAGATCTGGCCCAAGAGCATAGTTTGCTAGCTTAAACAGATAGGATTTTGTTCTCATATAATAAGATGCCAAAGACATCTGCTATTGGGTTAGAGGCTCAGTGATGTTCGTGAACCCGTCCCTGAAATTTTCTTTACTTTTCCCTTATGATTGCAGATGAATGCTGTCTTCCAGCTATTATGATGGCATTGAAGGTAGAAATAACAGGGAAGGAAAAGATCTAGGCTAGTGAAGAATATTAGTTTTAATAAAAGTCTTCACAGCAGACTTCCATGTCTCATGGGCCATAACTCCTAGCTACAAGGAAATCTGGCAACACAAACATTTGACTTTTCAATCTTTGTTATGTGATGTGGCAAGGGAGAAAGGATTGCAAATGGCTTTGGGGGTAGCAAATGTCTACCACAAATACAGAGGTCAGGATAGTTCCTATCCTTGGGGAGCTAATAGTTTCGTGGGAAAGATGAACAATAAACAGGTAACCCTACAAATACGATGTACCATAAAAGGGGCCAGTTTAGAGTTCTGTAGGAGCAAAAAAAAAAAAAAAAGCATATAGCATAGCCTTATGTGGGAGTTAAGCTTTTGGGGATGTCAGGAAGCTTGCTCAGAGCATCTAATTTGAATTGTCAAAGAGAAGAGAAAGGTGACATGTAGATAAAAGTATTAAATACCATAGTTATGGTGAAAACAAGGAGCTGTTAACATTCAGAGGGAAAAGAGCTCAGGTAGAGACTCCTGGATAATTTTGTCATTTTACTTGAAAATTGATCAGATTGTCAATGGGTAAAGATGATGGGGGAAGAATGTTTTTAAGGGTTGGGAGTATAGAGTAAGGCATCGAAAGGTAAAGGAAACATGGTGAAGAAATAGGGCCGGGTGAAGTGGCTCATACCTCTAATCCTAGCACTTGGGGAGGCCGAGGTTGGTGGGTCACTTGAGGTCAGGAATTCGAGACCAGCCTGGCCAACATGGTGAAACCCTGTCTCTACTAAAAACACAAAAATTAGCGGGGAGGGGGTGGTGCATGCCCTGTAATCCCAGCTACTTAGGAGGCTGAGGCAGGAGAATCGCTTGAACTCAGGAGGTGGGGGTTGCAGTGAGCTGAGATCGCGTCACTATACTCCAGCCTGTGTGATAGAGTGAGACTCCATTAAAAAAAAAAAAAAAAGGCACAGCTCTTCCTGGTATACCAAAGGTCAGTTCTCTATTTGGAGAGCATAGCCTTACATTGTAGGTGCTTGATAAATACATATACTTTTTTTTTAAAAGATGTGGATACAAAAATAACATTCAAAACAATTAGAATTAGATGAAAATTAAATGCTAAACTGTGTTCACTTAAGTGTAACGGTTCTAAGAATGCTGAACTATACATGTGGACGAGTGCGGTAAAATCAATTGTTATGATGCAGCTGGGAATTGTAAGAATTTTATTCTCTTTTCTTTAGGGAATTATATTCAAACAATTCACACAGCATTTGACCAATAAGGAAATCATAGAATCATATTAACCATGATGACTCAGGAAAACACTTTATGGGACTTTTGCTCCTAAGATTTGAAAAAGACTCTTTGGTAGCTTCACGAACTTCTTGTTTAACTGGGTAGAGTTTACAGAAGAGGAGCTGGCTGGGTGGGAATTCCAGATGGAAGGTGGCAGGGATTAGCACAAATGCAGGCACAAAGGTAGGAAAAAACATGGCATGCATGGTGCAAAGTGGCATTCAATTTGTTTATTTTGGAATATTTTTTCCTTCTAAATAAAAACAAACATTGAATTCAGGATATTAATGAGACCTCTCAGCTGATAAAATTATTTATGGTCTGGCAAATCTAGTGGCCTATCTGAGATGATCAATGATTTTAAGCAGGTTTTGTTCATAATTTAAAAACACATAAGCATTTTTTAATGTTTAAAATTATTTATAAACATAATTTTTAATGATTGTATAATACTCCATTGCTGAGATTTATCATAACTAACTACTCCCCTGATGTCAACTGTTCAGTTGATTTTATATTTTTACTGATTAGCGTGCATATGACTTCAATAAATACCTTATATGTTTGTATTTATATATCTATGGCTGTTTTAAAACATGGCCCCTAATTATTTCACAATCCTTCTATGCAGAGGTGGGGTCTAATGTGGGCTGAAGGGACACTGTGTCAGTTTCAGAGCTTATTCCTTAAAAAAATGGCAGCTTCTACTTCCTGTCTCTTGGAATTCTCACTCTTGCAACCCAACCCCCATGCTGTGAGGAAGCACAAGCAGCCTGTGGAGAGGCCCAATTGGAGAGACACATATGGAGGGAACTGTGAGGACTTCAGCCTCAGCCTCAGTTGATCTCCCAATTGACATCTGGCTCAAATTCCAATTGACATCTGGCTCAAACTTAACAGCTATGACTGAACTATCTTGGAAGGGGATCTTCTCACTAAAACTGCCCCAGCTAATGCTACTGGAATACAGATGAGCCTTCCTTGCAGAGCCCTGCCCAAATTACACATTTGTGGGCTAAATATTTGATTGCTATTTTTATTAACCAATGAAGTTTTGGAGGATTCATTACATACCAATAAATAACCAGAACAATCTCTGATTGTTGTTTTAGAATAGACTCCTAGAAAAGGAAAGCCTGTGTAAGAGCACAGATATTTTAAAGGCTCTTGACACGTATTGCCTTGCAGACTTCTAGAAGAGTTGTGTCTATTTCACTTAAATCATCATACGAGTCTGTTTCACTGTATGCTCACCAGCATTGAATGTTATGTTAAAACACATTTAATTTTCTTTTTTGAATGTTAGCTTATTTACTCAGTATAATTATAGAAGCTATTTACTTACTCTTGTAAATATTTTTCTTTTAGATTTTCACAAACTCTTTAATAAAAGGACATTATTCTCTTATTATGTTTGTGGCCCTTCCTCCCCATCCAGATTATTTGCTTTTAAAGCTTTAGTCCTTTTAATTCGGCTCATGATTTTTATGTAAAGAAACTTATTGTATAAGAAAGTTTATCATTTTTCTTCATGGAAGAATAAGCAGATAGTAAGAATAAGAGAAGGTAATTCATACAGAATGACTAGAAATAGTATCTGTGGCTACTGTAGAGACACCTAGATTCACAAAACAAAGCAATCTATAGATATCAGGTATATAGAGGCAGGAAACTGTGAACTGCTTTCCAGAGGCAGCTGCCTGTGGCTGTGATTTTCTCACTAGGGAAGTGCAAGTTTCTTTGGGGATTATCAACAAATGAAACATTTCTGAAAACAGAGACGAAAAAAACACAACCTTGTTCAAATTTATGGATTGACTATACCTCTAACAACAGGTTATCCCTTCTGTAATACATCTCTCTGTATGAGGTATCTCTATAAAGCAAACAATATACTTAGGAATCTGCATTGTAATGGGCTTCTCTAATATAGAATGAGACTTGATGAACTTAAGCATCAATTTAAATTGTATAGGTTTCTGAAAAATAAGCTTATAGTGTAAAGTTAAAATTTCCAAAGAAGAAAAGATTATTCATTTCCATCACCCAGAAACAATGCTATTAAACAGTTTGGTAAATTTACTTTTGGTCTTTTTTTCTATGCATTTTTAAACACATTCGAATTTTTTAATAAATACATATCCTGTACTTTTAATATTTTATGAAAGCGTTTCTCTTTGTTCTTCAAGACTATTCATAAACATTTTGATAACTGTGTAATGTGAAATTGTGTACTCAATTGCTCTTTTGGTAGCATATTTAGTTTTTCTCAATTTTTGTCACTGTAACAGGTAATTCTGTAATAAATATGCTTGTGCTTTTTCTGTATCTATTATTCCTTAGGTTAATTCCAAGAGGTGAATTTGTGGGCTTAAAGCATATGGACTTCCTTAAGTCTTATAATGGATATTGAGAAATAAAAATATTTACTTTCCCGGAAAGAAAGATTTGTTCACTTGTCTGGCTCGTTTGATATCTGTTTAGGCTTAAGGGCTTTAGGTTGGTTGATATGTCATTGCTAGCCCAAGACCTTATCAGAAGGAAGGCAGGGAGTGAATAAGTATAGCAGTGGCCCAGAGGATGGGTTTCACATGAGCAGTTTAAGTGTAGAAATGTGGAAGTGTTGAGACAGAGATTAAATTGCTCTTCGAATTTGGGCCACTCAAGGTGTGTGGAGCTGGGAGCTTATTTAATGACCTCCCAAACCTTCTTGGGGGTACAAATGAGCCTGTGGACCTTTCTGGCAGAATGAATCGACCCTTGCAGCACCAGACCTGCCAGCCTCATGCTGATGTATTGGAGGCTCCATGTCGCTCTGGGCGCCTATGGGCTGACATTCAGGATAGATGAACAGCTGAAGATAATGCCTCCATGTTCATTGAGTGAAAGCCTCTTACAGGCATTGCTGAGGGTGCTGGAGGAAATTTATTTTAGGCAGGAATTTCCTTTGTAAATTACATCGACCGTTGTGGGAATAGTAATGGAATTTGGACATTATTATTTTCAAGTTCCTGCTTTGTTTGGCAAGTATATATATATTTTTTCTCATATGTACCGCTACTGTAAACCTTTCCTGTGAGCCTGAATCACCTGCAGAGCTTAGTAAAATGCATATTTCTGGGCCTTACCCATAGAGGTTCTGATTCAGTGGTAGAAGTTGGGGCCCAGGAATCTGCTTCTTTTGGGTGATACTGATGCAAGTGGTTGTCTGGGGGCTGTGAGGGACAGTGGGGTGCATGCCCAAATCTCCCTTCTAGGAATCAATGTCCCAACATCTGAGAGCACTGTTAGCACACAGCCTGCAGCTTTCAGTCCCCGCAGGGACCACCTCAACTGCACAAAGCTGCCTCACCCCCATCCCACATAGAGTTGACTGATCCAGGTGAGAGTACAAAGGTCTGGCCAATCTCAAGTCCAAGGTATGTCAAATTTGTGCTATTTTAGCTCCAGAGCACCCATGGAGCAGCTGAGGCTATGGGTCTTGCTTCCTATTCAATTTCTTCGTCCTTTCAATCTGGCCTCCTTTTCCCACCTTTCATCAGAGTTGATCCCAAGGAACTTTCTAATAAATCTCCTGTTAAATTCCATCTCAGAGTTGGCTTCCCAGAAAACTTGACTGTAAACTGGTGCTCACTAAGGCTCTGCTGTCTTGTGAATCGACAGAAGAGGAAAGAAGGAGAGAGGGCTGAAGAGATACATACCGTTCACTCTATTTGCAAAGTTGTTGATCCACCTCCTCCTACCCCAACCACCACCAGCCTGCCCCTGCCATGCCACACAGCTGCTCATTACCTTCTGCAACCCTCTCACCTTTTCATTATGCAAGGCCTATCCTTGGCTCACTCAATTGTAGTTCAGCAAACCTTTGTTTAACAGGTTTTAATTTTAATAAGTTTGTTTTAGTTTAAAAATATTATGATCTGGAAGAAATACAGAGAATACAATGAGGTTTATTCCAGGGTTCCCTTTAAATAGAATATGGTTTATAAATCTCTCGCTCTGAATTTATGATCTGGATCACAAGGTAAACTGTTTGTTTGAGGGTTTAATTGAGTCTCTTTGATTCTTTCTTCCATCTGCCCGTGCTCATATGTCCTACATTCCTCCCATCTACCGTCCGTCAGTCAGGATGCAAGATACAACAATGACTAAGAGCAGAGACTTCAGTGCCAGACTAACCTTAGTTCACGTCCATGCCCTGCCACTTATGGAAAGTGTGATCTCGAGCACATTGCTCAAGTCTCAGACTCTATGTCAACAAAACAAAGATAATTACAGAACATGGCTCACTGAACTGACAGAGAAAGTGTAAAATTTAATCTTTTATTCTGCCAGATACATGGCAAGAATATAATAATAATTGAGCTGATGTTTATATAGCACTTATTCTATACCAGACACTGTTGAATCAATCCTCATACGTCAAACAGTCCCAGGAGGTAGATACTATAAATATTATTAACCCCATACTACTGATGAGGATACTGAGGTACAGAGAGATTAAGTAATTTATAGGTCCCATAACTAGTAAATGGTAGAGTTGAGATTCAAACCCAGTTGTCCATCCTTGTAAGCTGCCAAATATATAATATTGATAATTATGCTTGTTATTAATACAGTATTGCTGTCATTATTAATATGGAAAGCACCTATCTTTTTCTTTTACCAAACATCACCTACTGTTTCTCAGAAATATTCTTGATTTGGAAAGTCAGTGACTGAGATCCATCATAGAAGTAGAGAGAGGAGTGGTTACCAGAAGCTGGGGCACAATGGTTGGGGAGATATTGGTCAAAGGATACAAAACTTCAGTTAGATAAAAGAAATAAGTTCAAAAATTCTATTGCACAACCTAGAAACTATAGTTAATAATATATAGTATTCTTGAAAATGACCAAGAAAGTAGATTTTTAAAAAAATTTTATTATTACTATACTTTAAGTTTTAGGGTACATGTGCACAACGTGCAGGTTAGTTACATATGTATACATGTGCCATGTTGGTGTGCTGCACCCATTAACTCATCATTTAGCATTAGGTATATCTCCTAATGCTATCCCTCCCCCCTCCCCCCACCCCACAACAGTCCCCAGTGTGTGATGTTCCCCTTCCTGTGTCTATGTGTTCTCATTGTTCACTTCCCACCTATGAGTGAGAACATGCAGTGTTTGGCTTTTTGTCCTTGCGATAGTTGCTGAGAATGATGGTTTCCAGTTTTATCCATGTCTCTACAAAGGACATGAACTCATCATTTTTTATGGCTGCATAGTATTCCATGGTGTATATGTGCCACATTATCTTAATCCAGTCTATCGTTGTTGGACATTTAGGTTGGTTCCAAGTCTTTGCTGTTGTGAATAGTGCTGCTATAAACATATGTGTGCATGTGTCTTTATGGCAGTATGATTTATAATCCTTTGGATATATACCCAGTAATGGGATGGCTGGGTCAAATGGTATTTCTAGTTCTAGATCCCTGAGGAATCGCCACACTGACTTCCACGATGGTTGAACTAGTTTACAGTCCCACCAACACTGTAAAAGCGTTCGTATTTCTCCACATCCTCTCCGGCACCTGTTGTTTCCTGACTTTTTAATGATCGCCATTCTAACTGGTGTGAGATGTTATCTCATTGTGGTTTTGATTTGCATTTCTCTGATTGCCAGTGATGATTAGCATTTTTCCATGTGTCTGTTGGCTGCATAAATGTCTTCTTTTGAGAAGTGTCTGTTCATATCCTTCACCTACTTTTTGATGGGGTTGTTTTTTTCTTGTAAATTTGTTTGAGTTCGTTGTAGATTCTGGATATTAGCCCTTTGTCAGATGAGTAGGTTGCGAAAATTTTCTCCCATTCTGTAGGTTGCCTGTTCACCCTGATGGTAGTTTCTTTTGCTGTGCAGAAGCTCTTTAGTTTAATTAGATCCCATTTGTCAATTTTGGCTTTTGTTGCCATTGCTTTTGGTGTTTCAGACATGAAGTCCTTGCCCATGCCTATGTCCTGAATGGTATTGCCTAGGTTTTCTTCTAGGGTTTTTCTGGTTTTAGGTCTAACATTTAAGTCTTTAATCCATCTTGAATTAATTTTTGTATACGGTGTAAGGAAGGGATCCAGTTTCATCTTTCTACATAGGGCTAGCCAGTTTTCCCAGCACCATTTATGAAATAGGGAATCTTTTCCCCATTGCTTGTTTTTGTCAGGTTTGTCAAAGATCAGATAGTTGTAGATACGTGGCGTTATTTTTGAGAGCTCTGTTCTGTTCCATTGATCTATATCTTTGTTTTGGTACCAGTACCATGCTGTTTTGGTTACTGTAGCCTTGTAGTGTAGTTTGAAGGCAGGTAGCATGATGCCTCCAGCTTTGTTCTTTTGGCTTAGGATTGACTTGGCGATGCGGGCTCTTTTTTGGTTCTATATGAACTTTAAAGTAGTTTTTTCAAATTCTGTGAAGAAAGTCATTGGTAGCTTGATGGGGATGGCATTGAATTTATAAATTACCTTGGGCAGTATGGCCATTTTCACGATATTGATTCTTCCTACCCATGAGCATGGAATGTTCTTCCATTTGTTTGTATCCTCTTTTATTTCCTTGAGCAGTGGTTTGTAGTTCTCCTTGAAGAGGTCCTTCACGTCACTCGTAAGTTGGATTCCTAGGTATTTTATTCTCTTTGAAGCAAGTGTGAATGGGAGTTCACTCATGATTTGGCTCTCTGTTTGTCTGTTATTGGTGTATAAGAATGCTTGTGATTTTTCTACATTGATTTTGTATCCTGAGACTTTGCTGAAGTTGCTTATCAGCTTGAGGAGATTTTGCGCTGAGACGATTGGGTTTTTTAGATACACAATCATGTCGTCTGCAAACAGGGACAATTTGACTTCCTCTTTTCCTAATTGAGTACCTTTTGTTTCTTTCTCCTGCCTGATTGCCCTGGACAAAATTGATAGACCGCTAGCAAGACTAATGAAGAAAAGAGAGAAGAATCAAATAGACGCAATAAAAAATGATAAAGGGGATATCACCACCAATCCCACAGAAATACAAACTACCATCAGAGAATACTATAAACACTTCTACACAAATAAACTAGAAAATCTAGAATAAATGGATAAATTCCTCGACACATACATCCTCCCAAGACTAAACGAGGAAGAAGTTGAATCTCTGAATAGACCAATAACAGGCTCTGAAATTGAGGCAATAATCAATAGCTTACCAATCAAAAAAAGTCCAGGACCAGATGGATTCACAGTCGAATTGTACGAGAGGTACAAAGAGGAGATGGTACCATTCCTTCTGAAACTATTCCAATCAATAGAAAAAGAGGGAATCTTCCCTAACTCATTTTATGAGGCCAGCATCATCCTGATACCAAAGCCTGGCAGAGACACAACCAAAAAAGAGAATTTTAGACCAATATCCTTGATGAACATCGATGCAAAAATCCTCAATAAAATACTGGCAAACTGAATCCAGCAGCACATCAAAAAGCTTATCCACCATCATCAAGTGGGCTTCATCCCTGGGATGCAAGGCTGGTTCAACATATGCAAATCAATAAACGTAATCCAGCATATAAACAGAACCAAAGACAAAAACCACATGATTATCTCAATAGATGCAGAAAAGTCCTTTGACAAAATTCAACGGCCCTTCATGCTAAAAACTCTCAATAAATCAGGTATTGATGGGACGTATCTCAAAATAATAAGAGCTATCTATGACAAACCCACAGCCAATATCATACCGAATGGGCAAAAACTGGAAGCATTCCCTTTGAAAACTGGCACAAGACAGGGATGCCCTCTCTCACCACTCCTATTCAACATAATGTTGAAAGTAGATTTTTAACTGTTCTCACTGCAAAAAAAAGTATGTGAGGTAATGCATATGTTATTTAGCTTGAGTTAGCCACGCTACAATGTATACATATTTTGAAACAACATGTTGTCCACAATTAACATACAATTCTTATTTGTCCATTTAAATAATATCTGAGGTCCAATATAGAGATATCAAATCAATTTTTTAGTAGCAATGTATAATAACACTTAATCTATTTTCAGGATTATTGGGCATAGGCCATGCTCCAAAGGGCTTTATACGTGTTAGCCAAATTATTATGACTTTTCCGTTCTATTCAGGCAATTTCATAATTCCAAGAACATATCTGATTAGTTTAATATTTAATGTTTGTCAGAGAACTGCCCGTGTTTCCCCAGATCTCCATCCTTTTCAATACCAGTTACGTTCTGCAGACTATGTAATTGATCTCCCACCCAACATCTAAACATTCCTGGGAAATGGGTGACAGATTGGAGTCCCAGCAATGCTCATAATGAAAACAAATTTTAGAGCTCCTTAGCTGGCTGCACTTGGTTTATGTTTTCATTCTCTTAGCTCATGTCCTTATTTATACCAGGCCTGGAAAAAAGGGAAAAAGCCAAATTCTGAAGCAAAACTTAAGAAATGAGATAAATTCCAGCTGCTTCAGCAAAAGGAAGCAGCTGTATTCGAGCAAAGTAAATGATAAAAACTGGATTACCCTCCCCTGCTGAAGATCAAAAGAGCTTCAAGATGTTTGGGACAGAAATGGAATTATTTCTTTGATTTGAATTTCAGTTTAGCTTAAAGCATCCTCTGAAAAGCAGACATTTTAACTTTCATTATCCTCCCACAGAACAAAGACGAGATGGTCTTTTTGAAAAGTGACCTTTAAAAGTGTATGGAGAGGAGAAGATGAAGGCACTGGACAATTTTCCTCTATTAGAAGTGCAAAAATGTTTATGTACCTCATTGCTAAGTGTGGAATCAATATCATCTTTTTCACATCACCATCATTACAATGAGCAACTACCAGTTACAAAGGTTTGCCATGTATCAGTCACTGGGATACACAGATTATATTATGTCTCTATCCACGATTATAGATCGGCACCTCCAACGTCTGACCCAGCATTGCTCAGGATAATTCTTTGCTTTTCTCCTATTGACCCTCAGTTATCGTCATCAGTTAATTTTTAATTGATCCATGCATTCACTCAGGCATTCATTCATTCATTTATAAAATTGTTCTGCATCTAATAGGAACTAGACTATGAGCACCTAGTACAGTGTCTAGTAGAGGAAGATACGGTTATACAGAAAGAATCACAGTGCTAGGAGATACTTGCTTCAATATGGGTGCTCTCAGAAAGGAGAAAGTTGTCATTGCTGCTTAGGAGTTACATGGAAGAGGAGAATGGGGAGATGCTAAATGTCTTGAGAGAGCAGAAGTTTTCTAGCTTTTGCTCAGAGCTTGATCCTCCTTCTGTGCTCCAGAGGCCTTGAATCCTGCTCACACATGTTGTGGAGGATCCGCCCAGCCTATAGCTACACAGGGCGTCATATATGTATGGCGTGGCTCCTCATTGTAGTTGATTGGACTAGGGGTGAGGCTCTACCTCAGCTGCATGAATAAGATTTTCTATCTTCTTTAGAGGCTTTTAAGTAATTGACGTCGGGACTATCAATGGGGGATAGTGGGCTATGGGGCCAAAATATCAGGACCGAAATAATTTCAAGCTAACTTTCTTCCTCGTTTGTATAAATTGTTATTCTTAGGATGGTCCTTGGGATATTGTAGTTGGGTATCCAAATAAATTGAGAAAATAATTGATCACACGGTTCTAAATAATTAATATAGGATATTTTGGGGAGAGTGAGGGAAATTGGAAGCCACGTTAGATGGTATAGTTAGAAAAGGTCTCTCTGAGGAAGTTGGGACCTGAAAGAAGGGAAAGAATTGATCATGTAAGAAATGAAGGCAAGAGCAATGTAGGCAGTGGCTCATGCACTGTTCTGAAGGTAGAGCCAGGAGCCTGGAGGAGAGAGTGAAGAGGAGACTGGTGGGAAGAGAGGCCAAGCGGAAATCCAGGACAGATGATAATGAGACCTATAGGCATTTGATATTTTACTCTAGATGTAATCAGAAGCCATTAATGAGTTTTAAACAGAATGGCAACACTATCTGATTTAAGTAAAGTTAAATGAATTCATTTCAAGCCCTCTATGAAAGATCTAGCTAGAGAAATTTCTAGAACTTGGTGGAGGCTAGCAGGATCAAGCTATTGTGCTTCATGTATTTGCTGACTTTACATTGCCCAATCTGGCTTTCTTTGAGCCCTGCCCGCCTATTAGATACACAGAATTCAGAAGCACAGGAAGTGAATAACAATAATGGGGATATTTATAGACCACGTTTTATGTGCCAGGATATAAATGTTTTAATATAACTTATTTAATCCTTACATACTAGTCCAACTAAATATTAATGGATAATTGGGATTATTACTACCTCCAAGTAAAGAGAAGTTCTGTAATTTGCTCAGGCATGCAGACAGTAAGCAGTGGAGCTGGGATTCTAATTCAGGTTGGTCTGACTGTAAACCCAAAATATTTAACCACATTTTATCTTGCCTCCTGTTCGGTTAGAGTAGGCTGAGACTGTTGAGCCAAATTTAATATTATAATCTCATTTAAGAAGTGAGGCAGTCATGGCCAAGTGTCAGGTGGTCTTGGCAAGGTCACATAGCAGCAAGTTGGTGGCATGGTCCGAGAGAGGGACTCTGTAGTCATTAGTTCTCACTGACAGTATTGTACTGCATGTGCCCTGGTATTCCATAAACTGATGCTAGTTGCTCACATTTTGTAATAAGAATTGTTGGTTTTGTGACACTTATAAGCAAAACAGTCCACTCTTGCATTAATGGTTTTTCACTAAATAATTAAGAAGGAACAATGAAGGGTCAATTCACTAGTGAATATTTACAAAAGAAAGGAGCAATTCACTAAAGGAGAATTTCACTGTATAATTAACAAGGAACAATGACTGTGAGAGGGATGTCAGAGGGTATACAAGGCAAAGGTGGATCAAAATTATGTGGGCTTTGTTTTGTCCAGAATAACAGTCAAAACGTGAAAAGAATCCCACAATAAGGAATAGCTCAATACCTTTGATTAATCTGCATCTTTTTCCAGCAAGAAAACACCTGTTGGAATAAGATACCCCTTTCCCTATTCACTCGTTTTTTCTTCTATCAACACGAATGAGAAATAACTTTATTTTTAATGCTGTGTAGCTCCTAGGCCTCATCTTCCTATGGCAGAGGAGTGTTTCATCGTGGGTGTTGAAATGATGCAGGGCCAGTCGTTCTGAGTGTCCCTGGAATAACAGATCTGTAATAAGTTAATAAGTGTTACGTGGGAAAAAGGGTCCCATGGAGAAAAGGGTTTGGGCAAAACTGAGCTCATTGAGTCATTCATATATATATATATATATATATATATATATATATATATATATATATATACACACACACATATATATATACATATATGTGTATATATATACATATATAGACATACATATATGAATGTCTATATATACACATATATGAATGTCTATACATATATACGTATATATACATATATGTATATATAGACATTCATATATATGTATATATAGACATTCATATATATATTCATATATAGTATAGAATATATACAGTTCTATATAGAATATATAGTTCTATATATATAGAATATGTACAGTTCTATATATAGAATATGTACAGTTCTATATATAGAATATGTACAGTTCTATATATATAGAATATGTACAGTTTTATATATATAGAATATGTACAGTTCTATATATATAGAATATATACAGTATATATAGAATATATACAGTTCTATATATATACATACATATATATATATAGAACTGTAGGAAACTTCAGAATCTTTAATATGTATTGTGAATATCAAAGAGCAGTGTATACTATGTTACATTTCCCAATTATATTTGACCATAGAAACCTTTTCTCAGGGTTTCCACTAAGACTGAGAACTGTAACTGGCTATTCAATCTCTGACATAAGTTTTAGGCACCTAATCTGCTTCAGCCAGTCTTACTCTATATCAGCAAAACTTGCTCCTGGTTTTGCAGTGAGATTCTCCATCCTTGGTGCTCTTAATAAGTTTCTTAGCCTTTCCTTATCTCCAGGTCTTTTTCTTTTCAATTTGTATTTGTTTTGTAGTGTCAGTACATGGAAAAAAATAAACAAAATACAGATTGATATGGAGGTAGAGAAATATATAGTCTCTGTGTTATACTTTCAGAAACTGTTCGAAGGTATCCACGTTTCCCTTTAGTCCATCACAAGACTTAAATTATGTACTTGGAGATTCATTTACATAGCTTCATTAGTATTGCTTAACAAGAATGTCTACTAGCCATTGTTAATGTCTGGTGAATTCAATTCTCTAATTCTGTTTTCCTCTAAAGGTTTTAGAGATATTCTTTTGAGAAGGCAGGGATTTTGATGAGGGCTGCTGAAGGCTGCTGCATTCTCTTTCTGGAACTTCTCCAGTCAAATGTCTACTTGCTAGCCATACCCTTCCTTGATACGGATATCCTTGATACCCTGATGCACATTAGTGTATTCCGGAAAACCCTATAGCATACAGCAGAGGCCTGCACACTCTGGTACTTGATGAGAGTGTTGAACAAGGCAGAAACAACTGCATGTAAATGCACATCATGTTTTGATCCTTTAACCCAACTTGAATGGTAAGACAGCAAAATCAGTTTGAACACAACTTGATTTCTCACGCTACTCTAAGGTGGCTGGAGTGATGGTTAAAAAGATGCATTTGGACATTATACCTCTTCCTGGTGGTTGGAATGCTCTTAGGTAGCACAGAACTATATGGACCCTTTAGCCACTGTGAACTTCCTGGCTTCTGGCTCCACTATACCCAGAGAAAGAAGGAGGGAAAAGAAAGGAGCAAATATGCATGTGATAGGGGAAGAGCAAAGAATTACCTATCCTATCTCACGGCAACGTTGATTCTCTGTGATGTTGAATCATGGAAGGGACTGTCAAATTGAATTTCCATTGCTGTCTTTTAGAGATTGTATTAGGGTTCTCTGGAGGGACAGAACGAATAGGATGGAGATATATATATATATATATGTATGAATGAATGACTGTATTTAGTATTAACTCACATAATCACAAGGTCCCACAATATGCTGTCTGCAAGCTGAGGAGCAAGGAAGCCCATCTTAGTTCCAAAGCTGAAGAACTTGGAGTCCGATGGCAGGACACAAGGGCAGGAAGCATCTATCACTGGAGAAAGATATAGGCTGGGAGGCTATGCCAGTCTAGTCTTTTCACGTTTTTCTGCCGGTTTTTTTATATTCTGGCCATGCTGGCAGCTGATTATATGGTGCCCACCCTGATTAAGAGTCGGTCTGCCTTTCCCAGCCCACTGACTCAAATATTAATCTTTTTTGACAACACCCTCACAGACACACCCAGGATCAATCCTTTGCATCCTTCAATCCAATCAAGTTGACACTCAGTATTAACCATCACAGATACGAACCAAACAGATGAGAGAGATTAAAAAGGACTTGCCCATGGACACTGAGCAGAGTTTGGACAGAGCTCAAGCCTAGTGCCCTGCTTTGTTAGACCACATTGCCAATGACCTACAGGCTGATGTCAAGTCAAATGGATGGTGGAGATGGGAGAAAATGGGGGCAGGGTGGCCTCTATTCTATGCCACCTCTATTATTTCACTGCCCCTTCAGCATTCCCTTTATTCACATAGTTCTTTCCTTTTCTTTTGTCATAAAATGCCCCTCTTCTCTTTCCAGCTGCTGCATTTGCTTCTCTTTTTTTTCTTGTTTTATTTCTTCACCCTTTCTTGGATTCCTTTCTCTTCCCACAATTTCACCTAAGCGAAATTGTGTCCTATGCCTTAAATGTTTCTCCCCACAGTTGTCAACTACAGTAGCAACTAGTTTTCTTCTTGCTCCTTAGTTGCCTTCAAGGTGGCTGCAAATGGCCATAGAACTCAGCCCGGCCCCACTCCAGGGAGTGCCTTTCACAGAACCTCAATATGACCAATGCAGCCCTTTGGTCCTATACCAAACCAAGATACTTGGTTTGTGTGTAACAAAATGAAAAACAAATGAACAAACTTTCATTAGCTAAGGCAATTGCCCTCCAAGGAGGGAAGCAACTGCATGGCCTTACTGAAGACTTTGTTGGGTTTCATCGAACAAAGGTGAGCTGGGGAAGGGTTTTGTTTTCTTAATTGGGGAGTGTTGAATGACACAGCATAATTGACAGAGGAATTTGAACAGAGGAGAGGATGAGAAGAAGGGGTAGGAGGCTGGACAAGAAAAAAGAAGCCAGTAATTTGCAGTGGAGCTGGTCTTATGGTCAGGTGCAGCTAAGAGAAATTCCCCAAGGTGGAGTGAACAAAACACACTGAAGACTAGAGATGCATAAAAGTTGTCATGTTAACATTGTCCTGTCTCCACACAAAACTCAAATTCATTGAATTATAATCATATATCCTTTGGGGATATGTTTAATTGGTTGATTGATCGAATGATCAATTAGAAATTTCTGATAAAGCTAAGTTTGACATTTGAGGAAATTCAGTGCTGAGTTGAGAAAGCAAGCACATGACAACCAGGAGCCTAGAAACAGAGGTGACCACAAGGACGAGTTTGCTCAAGAATTGCAGGAAATTTTGGGGGAGAGGATGGGAGTATGTGCAGATGTTTTAGACCTGCCCTGGGCATGGAACAGGGATTGCAGCTGATTTTATCTACATTTCTAGGGGCCACGGTACCCTGGTCAGCATCTGGTTTACACATATGTAATCAGAGCACTCCTGGGTTTCCCTAAACAATAACATAGCATCTGCTTCTCATAAGCGGCTCAGAGAGAAGGTCAAAGAGGCTCTTATCCAACGACAATGGCATGTTTACTGTTCATTTAGAAAGAAGGCCTTGGAAAAAATTAAATGGATGAACTTGTTAATATAGCAAATGTGAAAAACCTGAGAAGAGCCTCTTAACTCCAGAGCTCATTGCCAGCTGGCACATGGCAGTTGCCTGAAGACTCAGAGAAAGGCTGGCCTGGAAGGAAGATTAGCAACCATTTCCATTCATAACTGAACAGGGGTGCCAGGTAGGAAAAGTGCTGACTTCTACAATGGGAAGACACTTCTCCTAATGAAATAAAATAGGATCTTTTTTTTTTCCTGGAGTTGACCCAAATGGCTCTGTACTCAGTATAACCACCATCACCCTTTCTCTGAGTAAAATAACTGCTGGAAAGCTGATTTGGGTTAGAGTGCTGGCAAGTAGGACTCAGTGGCCCCAAATATCTTCTACTTCAGAGCAATGAGAAAATTCCTAGCAAAGAGGGTATCATTAAATAAAAATGTCTACCATTAAGTACGTTAGTCCATTTACGTACTAGGTGCTGTGCTAAGAACATGGATCACATGCATCGTTTAATTAAATTTAATTCTCAACACAGATATTATTTATGGCTAGGAGAAGTCCTGTGGTTTTCCCCAACTTGAGCGAATCTTGACTTGGGCCTTTGGGATTGAGTAAAAGCAATGTGTCATCATCACTGTTGATTGATTAAATATCAATGTCATTTTTTACTGCAGTGTCCCAGCTCAAAGAACAAATATCACACATTTTATAGCTGGTGAGGTATCAGATTTTTTTTTAATACGGACTTCTTTATTGATTACTTCTGATGCCCTTGAGACAAAACTAGAGAAGTAGGAAAAACCCTAATATTGGGACACAGCCAGGAAACTTGGGGTATGTAACTTTGGATAAACTAATAACATTCCTGAGTCTTAAATTTTTTATCTATAAAATATGGGATTTGGAATCTGAGCTCTTTTCTGGCCCCTCTAGCTGAAAATCTATGATCCTATTTTTTTTTTTTTTGACTGAAAATGTATTTAATTTTTTTTAAAATTATTATTATACTTTGAGTTTTAGGGTACATGTGCACAATGTGCAGGTTAGTTACATATGTATACATGTGCCATGCTGGTGCGCTGCACCCATTAACTTATCATTTAGCATTAGGTATATCTCCTAATGCTATCCCTCCCCCCTCCCCCCACCCCACAACAGTCCCCAGAGTGTGATGTTCCCCTTCCTGTGTCCATGTGTTCTCATTGTTCAATTCCCACCTATGAGTGAGAACATGTGGTGTTCGGTTCTTTGTCATTGTGATAGTTTACTGAGAATGATGATTTCCATTTTCATCCATGTCCCTACAAAGGACATGAACTCATCATTTTTTATGGCTGCATAGTATTCCATGGTGTATATGTGCCACATTTTCTTAATCGAGTCTGTCGTTGGACATTTGGGTTGGTTCCAAGTCTTTGCTATTGTGAATAGTGCCACAATAAACATACGTGCGCATGTGTCTTTATAGCAGCATGATTTATAGTCCTTTGGGTATATACCCAGTAACGGGGTGGCTGGGTCAAATGGTATTTCTAGTTCTAGATCCCTGAGGAATCGCCACACTGACTTCCACGATGGTTGAACTAGTTTACAGTCCCACCAACAGTGTAAAAGTGTTTGTATTTCTCCACATCCTCTCCAGCACCTGTTGTTTCCTGACTTTTTAATGATCGCCATTCTAACTGGTGTGAGATGTTATCTCATTGTGGTTTTGATTTGCATTTCTCTGATTGCCAGCGATGATTAGCATTTTTCCATGTGTCTGTTGGCTGCATAAATGTCTTCTTTTGAGAAGTGTCTATTCATATCCTTCACCCACTTTTTGATGGGGTTGTTTGTTTTTTTCTTGTAAATTTGTTTGAGTTCATTGTAGATTCTGGATATTAGCCCTTTGTCAGATGAGTAGGTTGCGAAAATTTTCTCCCATTCTGTGGGTTGCCTGTTCACTCTAATGGTAGTTTCTTTTGCTGTGCAGAAGCTCTTTAGTTTAAGTAGATCCCATTTGTCAATTTTGGCTTTTGTTGCCATTGCTTTTGGTGTTTTAGACATGAAGTCCTTGCCCATGCCTATGTTCTGAATGGTAATGCGTAGGTTTTCTTCTACGGTTTGTATGGTTTTAGGTCTAACGTTTAAGTCTTTAATCCATCTTGAATTAATTTTTGTATAAGGTGTCAGGAAGAGATCCAGTTTCAGCTTTCTGCATATGGCTAGCCAGTTTCCCCAGCACCATTTATGAAACAGGGAATCCTTTCCCCATTGCTTGTTTTTCTCAGGTTTGTCAAAGATCAGATAGTTGTAGCTATGCGGCATTATTTCTGAGGGCTCTGTTCTGTTCCTTTATTCTATATCTGTTTTGGTACCAGTACCATGCTGTTTTGGTTACTGTAGCCTTGTAGTATAGTTTGAAGTCAGGTAGCATGATGCCTCCAGCTTTGTTCTTTTGGCTTAGGATTGACTTGGCGATGCGGGCTCTTTCTTGGTTCCATATGAACTTTAAAGTAGTTTTTTCCAATTCTGTGAAGAAAGTCATTGGTAGCTTGATGGGGATGGCATTGAATCTATAAATTACCTTGGGCAGTATGGCCATTTTCACGATATTGATTCTTCCTACCCGTGAGCATGGAATGTTCTTCCATTTGTTTGTATCCTCTTTTATTTCCTTGAGCAGTGGTTTGTAGTTCTCCTTGAAGAGGTCCTTCACATCCCTTGTAAGTGGGATTCCTAGGTATTTTGTTCTCTTTGAAGCAATTGTGAATGGGAGTTCACTCATGATTTGGCTCTCTGTTTGTCTGTTATTGGTGTATAAGAATGCTTGTGATTTTTCTACATTGATTTTGTATCCTGAGACTTTGCTGAAGTTGCTTATCAGCTTGAGAAGATTTTGGGCTGAGACAATGGGGTTTTCTAGATATACTATTGTGTCATGTGCAAACAGGGACAATTTGACTTCCTCTTTTCCTAATTGAATACCCTTTATTTCCTTCTCCTGCCTAATTGCCCTCGCCAGAACTTCCAACACTATGTTGACAGCTTTGAAGAGAGCAGTGGTTCTCCCAGCACGCAGCTAGAGATCTGAGAATGGGCAGACTGCCTCCTCAAGTGGGTCCCTGACCCCTGACCCCCGATCCCCGAGCAGCCTAACTGGGAGGCACCCCCTAGTAGGGGCAGACTGACACCTCACACGGCTGGGTACTCCTCTGAGACAAAACTTCCAGAGGAACGATCAGATGGCAGCATTTGCGGTTCACGAAAATCCACTGTTCTGCAGCCACTGCCGCTGCTGATACCCAGGCAAACAGAGTCTGGAGTGGACCTCTAGGAAACTCCAACAGACCTGCAGCTGAGGGTCCTGTCTGTTAGAAGGAAAACTAACAAACAGAAAGGATATCCACACCAAAAACCCATCTGTACATCACCATCATCAAAGACCAAAAGTAGATAAAAACCACAAAGATGGGGAAAAAACAGAGCAGAAAAACTGGAAACTCTAAAAGGCAGAGCGCCTCTCCTCCTCCAAAGGAACGCAGTTCCTCACCAGCAATGGAACAAAGCTGGATGGAGAATGACTTTGACGAGCTGAGAGAAGAAGGCTTCAGACGAACAAACTACTCTGAGCTACAGGAGGGAATTCAAACCAAAGGCAAAGAAGTTAAAAACTTTGAAAAAAATTTAGACGAATGTATAACTAGAATAACCAATACAGAGAAGTGCTTAAAGGAGCTGATGGAGCTGAAAGCCAAGGCTCGAGAACTACGTGAAGAATGCAGAAGCCTCAGGAGCCGATGCGATCAACTGGAAGAAAGGGTATCAGTGATGGAAGATGAAATGAATGAAATGAACTGAGAAGGGAAGTTTAGAGAAAAAAGAATAAAAAGAAATGAGCAAAGCCTCCAAGAAATATGGGACTATGTGAAAAGACCAAATCTACGTCTTATTGGTGTACCTGAAAGTGACTGGGAGAATGGAACCAAGTTGGAAAACACTCTCCAGGATATTATCCGGGAGAACTTCCCAAATCTAGCAAGGCAGGCCAACATTCAGATTCAGGAAATACAGAGAACGTCACAAAGATACTCCTCGAGAAGAGCAACTCCAAGACACATAGTTGTCCTATTCACCAAAGTTGAAATGAAGGAAAAAATGTTAAAGGCAGCCAGAGAGAAAGGTCGGGTTACCATCAAAGGGAAGCCCATCAGACTAACAGGGGATCTCTCGGCAGAAACTCTACAAGCCAGAAGAGATTGGGGCCAATATTCAACATTCTTAAAGAAAAGAATTTTCAACCCAGAGTTTCATATCCAGCCAAACTTAGCTTCATAAGTGAAGAAGAAATAAAATACTTTACAGACAAGCAAATGTTGAGAGATTCTGTCACCACCAGGCCTGCCCTAAAAGAGCTCCTGAAGGAAGCACTAAACATGGGAAGGAACAACCGATACCAGCCAGTGCAAAATCATGCCAAATTGTAAAGACCATCGAGGCTAGGAAGTAACTGCATCAACTAACGAGCAAAATAACCAGCTAACATCATAATGACAGGATCAAATTCACACATAACACTATTAACTTTAAATGTAAATGGACTAAATGCTCCAATTAAAAGACACAGACTGGCAAGTTGGGTAAAGAGTCAAGACCCATCAGAGTGCTGTATTCAGGAAACCCATCTCACGTGCAGAGACACACATAGCCTCAAAATAAAGAGATGGGGGAAGATCTATGAAGCAAATGGAAAACAAACAAAGGCAGGGGTTGCAATCCTAGTCTCTGATAAAACAGACTTTAAACCAACAAAGATCAAAAGAGACAAAGAAGGCCATTACACAATGGTAAAGGGATCAATTCCACAAGAAGAGCTAACTATCCTGAATGTGTATGCACCCAATACAGGAGCACCTAGATTCATAAAGCAAGTCCTGAGTGACCTACAAAGAGACTTAGACTCCCACACAATAATAATGGGAGACTTTAACACTCCACTGTCAACATTAGACAGATCAACGAGACAGAAAGTTAACAAGGATACCCAGGAATTGAACTCAGCTCTGCACCAAGCGGACCTAATAGACATCTACAGAACTCTCTGCCCCAAATCAACAGAATATACATTTTTTTCAGCACCACACCACACCTATTCCAAAATTGACCACATACTTGGAAGTAAAGCTCTCCCCAGCAAATGTAAAAGAACAAGTTATAACAAACTGTCTCTCAGACCACAGTGCAATCAAACTAGAACTCAGGATTAAGAAACCCACTCAAAACCCCTCAACTACATGGAAACTGAACAACCTGCTCCTGAATGACTACTGGGTAAATAAAGAAATGAAGTCAGAAATAAAGATGTTCTTTGAAACCAACGAGAACAAAAACACAACATACCAGAATCTCTGGGACGCATTCAAAGCAGTGTGTAGAGGCAAATTTATAGCACTAAATGCCCACAAGGGAAAGCAGGAAAGATCCAAAATTGACACCCTAACATCACAATTAAGAGAACTAGAAAAGCAAGAGCAAACACATTCAAAAGTTAGCAGAAGGCAAGAAATAACTAAAATCAGAGCAGAACCGAAGGAAATAGAGACACAAAAAACCCTTCAAAAAATTAATGAATCCAGGAGCTGGTTTTTTGAAAGGATCAACAAAATTGATAGACGGCTAGCAAGACTAATAAAGAAGAAAAGAGAGAAGAATCAGAGAGACGCAATAAAAAATGATGAAGGGGATATCACCACCGATCCCACAGAAATACAAACTACCATCAGAGAATACTACAAACACCTCTATGCAAATAAACTAGAAAATCTAAAAGAAATGGATAAATTCCTCAACACATACACCCTCCCAAGACTAAACCAGGAAGAAGCTGAATCTCTGAATAGACCAATAGCAGGCTCTGAAATTGTGGCAATAATTAATAGCTTACCAACCAAAAAGAGTCCAGGACCAGATGGATTCACAGCCGAATTCTACCAGAGGTACAAGGAGAAACTGGTACCATTCCTTCTGAAACTATTCCAATCAATAGAAAAAGAGGGAATCCTCCCTAACTCATTTTATGAGGCCAGCATCATCCTGATACCAAAGCTAGGCAGAGACACAACCAAAAAAGAGAATTTTAGACCAATATCCTTGATGAACATTGATGCAAAAATCCTCAATAAAATACTGGCAAACTGAATCCAGCAGCACATCAAAAAGCTTATCCACCATGATCAAGTGGGCTTCATCCCTGGGATGCAAGGCTGGTTCAATATACGCAAATCAATAAATGTAATCCAGCATATAAACAGAACCAAAGACAAAAGCACATGATTATCTCAATAGATGCAGAAAAGGCTTTTGACAAAATTCAGCGGCCCTTCATGCTAAAAACTCTCAATAAATTAGATATCGATGGTACGTATCTCAAAATAATAAGAGCTATCTATGACAAACCCACAGCCAGTAACATACTGAATGGGCAAAAACTGGAAGCATTCCCTTTGAAAACTGGCACAAGACAGGGATGCCCTCTCTCACCACTCTGATCCTATGTTTTAAAGCCCTGAGAGCAATTACTGTTTCTTCTACACTGATTTATCTGATTCTTGAGACTGTCACTTGTGAATAAGGGATCAAGTATGAATTAAATCAATCAACCAAGGATCAGGACACCTGATGTTCCAGAAACCAGCCCAGCAGTAGTTTCTTTCTGTTCCTCTCTCTTCTCAATTAGAAAATGTCTTCGCTGTTTCTAAGTGAAAAATATAATATGCTTGATTTCAAGTTCCATGAGCAGAGTCTATGTAAACTGAATATCATAGCTCACTTGGATAAAGTTCCCAAGCATATTGTTGCAGAAAACCACGTTACAGGATATGTACAATGTAATGGCATTTATAGAATACATGTAACAGTTGTATGGGCTTGTTTATGTATGGGTGTGTGTACACAAAAATTAAGAAAAAATGATTAGAGGTCAAAGGCTTATTTATAACACTTTTTTTACAGGAAGATACACTATTTTCTATTTTAACATTTAAAAGCAATAAAAAACACAGTTTTTTTTTTTGGTAGTACAGTATTTGCTGTTGTTACTATTACTGAAACTAATGATCATGTCTTTAAGAATGGACCAGAAGAAATCAGTCACCTATAAGAAGAGATCTGGTAGGTGCTTGTATGGTGGGAAGGGTGTTGGGTGTTAGAAGTGAGTTATAAGACGGGCAGTGTGATATAGAAGAATGGTTGCTGTATTGCAGGCATTTGAGTACTGGCCTTGTTTTTTGCTGTTTCTTGATTTGTCTTCTAAGGTATTTGGTGCAGGTTATTTTGGAATGTGGGCCTTGGCTGCACTTCCCAGCAACTTGCTAAAGCTGTCTCAACTCTGTCAGGTGAGGGAAGCCTTACTCCACTGTCTTTCCCCTGAGAGCTGTGGCTATTTCTTAACTCTCTACAATGACTTCCAAATGCTAGTGAATTCTCTAGGTATGATAACCTAAATAAATAACAATGAAGTGAATACTTCAGTATCTCCAGATACTTGGACTTTAAGGAAAACTATATTGCTTTGAGGAAAGAGACTGACAATGTACTTATTTTGATAAAAAGGAAAGATGACTTTGTGCCTATGAAATTGAGGACAAGCATGGTTGTGGGGTGTGTGTGTGTGATATGTGTTTCCTGGATGTTGGAGGAATATCGTACTCTCCCTTATAGTTCATTTAGGCTCTACAGCAATTAATAGATAATTTTTAAAAACCTTCTGTATTCATTATTTCACTTTATCCTTGTAGCAGTCTTACAGATTAACGTACACAATTATATGGAGAAGAATCTAGAGACCAGAGAAATTAAACGATTTACTAAAGGATATGCAAGTGACAGAACAGAACTGGAGCTCTACCCCAGTAAATCCCATTATCAACCTCCCAATACTTAAGAGCCCTGCTGCAAGCTGAGCTTTCAGAGGGTGTGGCCTGGTGAAACAGTTGCATGCATAGGACTGTAGGGGTTGAAGGAAGCAGGATACAGATAGCATTCTGCTCCCACGTGATTGGTCCACAAGAAATGGTGGATGTTATTGTTATTATATGTTACTCCAGTTATTCAAATTTCAGGAAACATTGAAGGACAACCCTCCTGAGTTTGATGAGATTCTCTAACATGATTATTTCTGCAAAGGCTCTCCTTCCTTCATGCCACCTCACACTTTTTCCCCTTCATTTCGGGTACCTTGATGAGCATAATTGACATCTCAAGCTCTGGTGGCTACCACTGGAGACCTGTTGTGAAGTTGCCCAAATAGTTTGGAGTCCCTGACAAAGATTAAGGGCTCTGGCCTTAGCCGTTCCAGGAGGCAGTGATGTGTGTATGAACAAACTAAGTTTAATCACACAGAGTCATAGTTGGTGCAGTTTATCAGTAACGTAGCATCAAATAAATGACTCCTGGAGAACAGCTCATTCTAAAGCCAGCTGCTTTTATTGCTGAACTCTGATTTCACTATAATTAATAAGAATGTGCTTTCCCATCTTTGGAGATAAGAACAGCATCTCAAAGCCCTCCCACTCCCAGCATTGTCTTGCCATTAATCTATAGGACTCAAGTGGGTTCCATTTCATCAATACCCTGTGGCTTGTGAAACAACTGTCCTGCATGGATAAAGAGGTAGATAATCCTTAGGTCATTGTAAGACCCAGTCTCCTGCTGCTGAAGAGAATATAGCTTCAGGATAACACTAGTAATAATTCAACACCCACCTCCTTACCTAGTAAGGCCTCATATACTTCACACTCTCAGTGCTCTGAAAACAATTCACTGCTACTGAAAAGGGGAGACATTTCTCTCAAGAATGAATCTGATTTTTCTACATAGCTGAGGCCTAAATTCCATGCTCTTTGGATTTTGCCTGTGAGTGTCCCTCTGGGCTTGGCCACATTATATTTTATCTTGCTTATGTCTTTTATTACGTAAGTAATATATTCTCAAATAAAAGATTCAGATAATACAGAAGTATATGAAGAAAAACATGGAAGTCTTTCTCTTTTCTCCTTCCCCATTTTCATTCCTTAGTCCAGAGATAGTGTCATGTTTTTAAACATAAATAATTTAGCATTCTTTAGAATAAAGTTCAAATTATATACATATATATATATCTTTTTGCAACTTGTACATATCTTTTGGAAACTTGTTTTTTCCACTCATCCTTATGTTTATTCATATGGATAAACACAACTTCATTTATTTTTTTGCTGTATGGTCTTCCGTTATGTGAACATACCACAAATTACCTAGACATTCTTCCACTGGGGAATGTTAATCATCTCCAATACTGGCTCTGACAAAGAAAATTGTAATGATCATTCTTATGCATATTGTTTTGTGTAAGACTTGAGTTTCTTCAGAGTACTCACCGATGTGTGGAATTTCTGGATTGTGAAATTTCTGGCTTGTGGATTGTAGTTTATGTGCTATTCAGCTTTAACAAATACTGCTATCTGAAGGTATAATTTTAATAATTCTTTTTTTACACATTTCTCAACATTTGGTATTGTCAGACACTTAACTTTTCCCTGTGATTTTTTGCATTAACTTGCATTTCCCTAGTTGCCAGTGAAGTTGTGAAAATTTTCCGTGTTTTATTAGACATTGATATTTCTTCTTCAGTGACTTGCCTATCTATACCATTTGCTAATTTTTAATTATCAGAATAACATCTGACACAAAGCACTTACTACATGTGTCTAAGGGCTGTTCATATTTAAAGTCACTGAATCTTCATAAGAATCATTTGAAAGAACTCAGCCTAACTCATAAATAGTAAGTGGCCAAACTAGCTTCAAGTCCAGAAAATTTCCTGTGTTTCTCATTAGTTTTAATAATTTGAATATAAATCACTTGGATTTTCTAAAACCTATAATTAAAATTTCAGTGAAGTCGTCTTTTCCAAGACTTACACCTTCATTTAATTTTCTTAGGATTCCTTACTTCTTTTTATGGTCCTTGTCTGATACTGAAATCCAGGCTTTACTTGCCTCCTAAAATGATTGGGGAGCATTTCCTTCTTTTAAATATATATTCTCTGTGATATTTTGCATAATATTAGGATTATCTGTTCCTTAAATATTTGGTAGAACTTGTTCGTAAAGGCATCTGGGCCTTTTTTCACTCCCCCAGTAGGTAAACTTTAAATTATCGATTTATTTCTTAGACAGTTTTGGTCTAGTCTTGTTTATGTATATTTCATTTTGATAAATTACATGTTCTTTAGAAAAGAGTCCATTTGTTCTGTGTTCATGTTTATTAATGTGATTTTTTTCATATTACATAAATTTTACTTTAACATTGCAAAAATTTTTAACCTGTTGAAGAATATAGAAAAATGATATTAACATCATATAATTCCACCAAATTAAACAGGTTAGCAAATATTTGCCATATTTGCTTCAGATTTTTTACTCACTCTCAGAGAAAGGAAGATGAAGAGAGAGAGGGAATGAGGGAGAGAGAAAGGAAGAAAGGAAGGAAAAAAGGGTGAGAGGAGCAAAGGAAGAAAAAGGGGAGGAAAGGAAGGAAGGAAGAAAATATTACAGATACAGCTGGAGATACCCCTTTACATGCTACTTTAATCTTTTTTCCTGAGATAATCCCATCCTGAAGCAAGTGTACACTACATTCCTGTATTATTTTCATAGCTCCACTGTATATTTATATATGCATCTTTAAATAACATACACTATTATATTGTGGGGTAAGCCATATGTGAGAGCTAGAGGCGAGGATTTCCTGGGAACCAAATTAATCCCTTTTTAAAAAAAATAGTATTTTATTTTTATCACATATGAAAGTATTCTTAACAATATACTATTTAGCTTTCCTTATAATTGGGTATTATGCTGTATATAGTCTTCTGCAACTTGCTTGTGTCACTCAAATTATATTTCTAAGAATTGCATATGTTTTTCACATAGTTACATTCATGTTTCACTACTGAATAATATTTTTGTGTGTATTTTTCCAGCTTCTTGATATTAGACACCTTTCTTTCCTTGCTTCCTTTTCTTTATTAAAGAGTAGTTATTGAATACTGACATGCCAGGCCCTATTCTAAAATGTGAAGATATAGTAGTAGAAAACCCAAAGATCTTTGTCTTTGAAGTCTAGATTCTAGAGGGTAAAATAGCTAATAAAGAAGCATATGAATAAAATATGTAGTCTGTTATATGGAGATAAATACTAAGGGAAAGGAGAATTCCAAGCAGAGAGGAGCAAGTTCAAGGATGTTAAGGTAGGAGCATGCCTGGTGTGCTCAAGAGCCTGCGGGGAGGCCAGTGTGGCTGAAAATGTTCAAGATGGAGAGTGGATCCAGCAATCCTACTACTGGGTATATATCCAAAAGAGATGAAATCAGTATGTTGAAGAGATATCCTGCCCTCCCATGTTTATTGCAGCACTATTCACAATAGCCAAGATACATATAAAAAAGAAGGAAGTCCTGTCATTTGTGACAACATGGATGAACCTGTAAGACATTATGTTAAGTAAGCCAGGCATGGAAGAACAAATACCATATGATGTCATTCGAATGTGGAATCTAAAAAAGTTGATCACAGAGAAGTAGAAAATAGAATGGCGGTCACCACAGGCTGGAGTGGTTGGGGAGACAGGGATGTGGAGATGTTGGTCAAAGGATATAAAATTACAGTTAGATAGGAGGAATAAATTAGAGACCTACTTTATAGCATGGTGACTACAGCTAATGACAATATATTGTACTGTCCTGCATAATGACATTTTAGTCAATGATAGATTGAATATAGAATGATGATCCAATAAGATTATAATAGAGCTGAAAAATTCCTATCGTCCTTTTCCAGTAGGGCAAGATTTGGAGGTAGAAGACAGTGATGATAATAATCCTGATCCCATGTAGGCTTAGGCTAATGTGTATGTTTGTGTGTTTTTAACAAAAAGTTTAAAAAGTAAAAAAAAAATCATAGAAAAAATTATTATAGAATAAGAATATAAAGAAAATATTTTTGTACAGCTAATGTGTTTGTTTTGAACTGTGTTATGGAAAACTGAAAACATTTTTTTAAAATTTAAAAAGTTTATAAAGAAATTAGAGTAAGCTATGGTTAATGTATTATTGAAGAAATGTTTTAAATGAATCCAGTGTAGCCTAAGTGTACAGTGTTTATAAGGTCTACAGTACTGAATGGGAATGTGCCAGGCCTTCACATTCATACATTACTCACTCATTGACTCACCCAGAGCAACTTTTAGTCCAGCAAGCTCCATTCATTGTAAGTGCAATGTATAGGTGTACCACTTTTTATCTTTTATACCCTATTTTTACTGTACCTTTTCTATGTTTAGATATCCTTAGATTCACAAATACTTACTATTGTGTTCCAGTTGCCTGCAGTATTCTGTAGAGTAACATGCTGTAGAGGTAGCCTAGGAGCAATAGCCTCTACTGTATGGCCTAGGTGTGTAGCAGGCTATACCATCAGGTCTATGTATGTCTACTCTATAATGTTTATACAAGAACAAAAATCACCTAATGATGCATTTCTCAGAATGTATTCCCATCATTAAGCAACGCATGACTGTATTCTTGAAAAACGCGAACAGAGTGGATGTTACGTGCTCTCGCCACAAAAATAACTGTGAGATAATGCATATATTAATTATCCAGACTTAACCATTCCACAGTGTATATATACTTAAAAATATAATGTCGTGCACAATAAATACATAACTTTTATCTTTAA
The DNA here is from genome assembly GCF_000001405.40 of Homo sapiens. Taxonomy (NCBI): domain Eukaryota; kingdom Metazoa; phylum Chordata; class Mammalia; order Primates; family Hominidae; genus Homo; species Homo sapiens. Next base: position 39,994,879 of record NC_000002.12, read on the forward strand.
AAAATAGAAAAATAAGAAAGATAAGGAGAGTGACCAAAGACCCCGTTAGAGAAGTAGGAGATAGAAAGAGTAGAGAGAGAATGCGGGTCTGCAGATCATGGAGGGCTTTGCAAGTGAAATGACGATTTCTATCAGCATCTCTTGGGCTGCTGAGAAAAGTCTGTAGGACTTAGAGTTGAAGCAGAGACACCAGTTAGGAATCCAGGTATGATATGATGGTGGCTTAGCCATATTTTATCTCACTTGTTTCTCACAACAGCCTGTAAGGTAAATATATACCCGTTTTACCAATGAAGAGTTGAGGCTCCTGTGGGGTCAGTAGGCTCTCTATCTAACTCACTGTCACATATCCTGTTTGTGGTGGAGTAGGACTGAAACCTGTTTGACTTAAACTTCTGTTTGACTATTTATATTCCTAGAAATATTTCATGCTTACAGCAAAACTATTTTGCCTCTTTTAAAACCAAAACCACTAACATGGTATCTAGTCCAAATAATCATGGACTAGATTATTGGAACCTGGAATTTTGTTGAGAATCCCAGCTGTATTGTTTCGGCTTTCAGATACTCATGTCTACATAAGGAAGAAGTATCATCGAAAGGAAAACTTAACCCAAAGCATAGCTAAGATAGTATCAGAACTGTGACAGCTATAGTTCTCTGCAGGTACCACCCTCAAAGATTACTCTGTGATTACATGACTGTACTTAGATTCTTTGAGGAACATCTGTTTTTTTTTTTGTTTACTACACCCAAACTTAGAAAGGGCCATGACAATTTGTTGCCCTCCAGATTCAGTTTTTGTAATTGCCCATTAAGGGTGATTGCTAACAGTGTTTAATCAAAGGAATTTTAAATGGGGTTTCGTGGTTTAGGATTTCAAAGTCTTCTATAAATCTTAGGGAGCCACTGTTGCATGGTATATTTGATAGTGTGGTCTTTGCGGAATTCATATGGTGTCATGAAGATTTGAAGCAGAGAGGAAACTGAAAAATTACTTAGTGCACTACCTTTATTTTATAAATGAACAAAGTGAGGAAAAGAGAGGCCATTGGCTTAAAGTTGTTCATTGTTTCAGAACTGAGCAAAGATGTTGTGAGAGACCCTCTAATATATCTGAAGGAAAAAGTCTTTAGATATCAGATTGGCATGACTGTCTTACTCTCTGGATGTGTGACCCTGGAAATGTTATCTGAACTTTATAAACCTCAGTTTCTTCATTTGTAAGTTCTGGGTAATAACTGTCTTGTAGAATAGCTGAGGAAAATTATAAATATGTCAAAAGCAGCCAGGTAGGACTGTAAGTACTAGCTATAATTTATATTGCTTTTTCAGCTCAACAGTCTTTTCAACTCTACTTTCTAAATTACTTGCCTCCAAGTCTCAGTCTAAGCCAAACTTTAAACCTCATCCACACTGACAAGAAAATCAGCTTTGAAAATAATCTTGAAATGATGTATTTTATGAAGGGGATGGGTGTAACTGGATTCTTCACTCCTCCCACTCCAGATCTACTTGCTCCTCTCCTGCTTTCTTCCAAATAATGTCTTACCAGAACTAATGGAAAAATTATCCTGGTCTTAATGATTCCCATCTGGTTATATATAAGTAATCAATCAAATTCTGCCAAAAATTAGCAAATATATTTCATTTTTAATAATAGACATGACAGATAGTTGCTAGCTGGTAGGTTTGCTGGAGGACACTCACAGGAGACCAGTTTTTCCCAAGATACACTTAGAAGCAGTAGAGAACATTTAAACCTCACAGATGGTACTTACTAGCTCTGTGTCTTTAGGCATATTATTCAGTCCTTCTGAGCCCTGCTTCTTCAGCTCTAAAAGGTGAGTCACAATAATCATTTATTTGGAGGCTAGTTGTGAAGATTAAATGATGTAACAGAGGTCGAACACTTAGCACAGTGGTTTACCCTTTCCATGGTTTTAGCTACTTGCAGTCAACCACAGTCTGAAAATATTAAATGGAAAGTTCCAGAAAGAAACAATTCATAAGTTGTAAGTTGTGCACCTGTCTGAGTAGCATGATGAAATGTCTTACAATTCCACTCCCTTCCCCCCAGGATGTGAATCATCCCTTTGTCTAGTTACTTCTATATACTACCTCCCCCTTAGTCACTTAGTAGCCATCTTGATAAGATCAACTGTTGGGAGAATGCAGTGCTTGTGTTCAAGTAATCCTTATTTTATTAATGGCTCCAAAGTACAAGAGGAGTGATTCTGGCATATTGTTATAATTGTTTTATTTTGTTATTGGTTATTGTTATTAATCTCTTATGCCGTACCTAAAATTAAACTATTATCATAGGTATGTATGTACAGGAAAAGCATAGAACCTATACAGTTTGGTACTATGTAAGGTTTTGGGCATCCACTGAGGGTTTTGGAAGGTACTGTCCAAGGATAAGGGGGAATTACTGTATAGGACTATTTATACAATGGGTGCCAAATAAATACTCTGCACATCTTCCCTCCAAGGACTACTGTCTCATTCAAGCTTCAAAAGTTGACAAAGAACCATTAAATGAGCGTTATAAAAAGCAAAGCAAAATATATCTCTGAATCTTTTTATTGTTGAAACCCAATCATGATGGGTACTTGCTAGTTTTTCTTCTAAAACATGGTTATGACCATATTAGCATAGAAAAAAACATTTGGGTGGTTTGATTTGCCATGCTTTGTTTGCAACAAGAAAATAATTTGTATTTTTATTTAAAATGTCTTGCAAGGAAGCAGACATCAGGAATATTTACTCAATAGCTGCTTGACTGATACCATTAGACCTCATTCCAGAGTGGCCTGGCAGTCCTGAACTGTAACACCAAGTATCACACATTGTGACTTATCTTTCCACAGTGAAAGAGATGTGGGAACAATTTCTTTCCCTCTCTAGGCAAAGTCTCTGTCATTTCAGTGACACCTGGAAATGGGTGGAGTGTTCAGGTGTTTCAGCAGAACTTTTTCTATCACTGAATGGACGTGGCCTTTCTGTCTTTTCCTAGGTTCACTGTGGTTGTCCTTTTATTCTCTTCACTCTCCTTACTCATTTTCATCTTCGGTTTGTGGATTAAGAAGGGGAGGGGATGGAGTAGGAGAGAGACATATCCTGAACTCTGTGGCGTCTATTTCCCCCTATTCTTTACTTGTAGTACTTGGGGCTCTTCCGGCTGGTTTGTCAGAACTGGATACAGACACCTTGGGCATTTCTAAGCTTGTCCGGGCACAGGAGCAGCCATGGGTTTGGAGAAATATGATCATTTGAGCCACCCTTCCTTCCCGGCTCAAATGCTAAATTACATGGCATTGTAAACATTTGTTACATTTAATTTTTGTTGCCAAATGCGTTTTCTTAAGTATGGGAAAATGTGCCTGAAGATTTGTGTTTTGTTTAAGAGTGATAATTCAATAAAAGATTTTAGGCTGCTCAATTCTATAATACTTAAAATACTCAGTGATGAGGATTTAAAATGCGAGTAACCAAGCAGCTCAAGATAAAGCAAAAGACTTTTTGGGTTTGCTTTCATCTTTTTATTCTTGTGAGCATTTATCTTTCAGCAAGACTTAAAGAGATTTGCCATTTAATATAATTTTAATATTTTGAGATCTAATTGAGTATAAAAAAGGTATGTATTGTCTTCTCACTGAACTCTGCTCTGTGTGGGCATTTGAGGAATATGTAGGATTATTGATGAAGACAGTTAGAAAGCTGGCATGTAGGAATAAATTCTACATCTGTTACCCTTTGGCTGACAGAAGCCACTCGCATCTTCAGAACATGTTTTCTTACCCCGAACCAAGGCTTGTGCCTCCAAAACTTTTTTTTCTTTTAAATAAAATATAGCCAAGCTGCAGCTCTTTGTGATGTTTCACACTAAGTCAAGTAAAGAAGACAGTTTTATTGTGCCCTATCACACAAGCAGCCATATTTATGCTACAAGGTAGGACTGCAGAGGCACAGTTTGTTTTTCTCTCCTTTACACATTCTGTCCTCTGCTGCCAGTCCCATGCCTATTCCCACATGGATGCCTCCTCTCTTAGCCTGCTCCCATCATGAGCTCCATGGACAGGTACAGCTTTGCCAGCCCCACTGCCCCCCTACCCTCTATTGCTCATGTTACCCATTTGCCATTTCTCATTGCTCTTCTAGCTAGACCCTTCACTCACTGCTTCTGCCCTTATTCGAGCTGGGTCTTCACTCTTGCATGTCCATCTTGGGATTTGTTCTGCTCTTCTTGTTCAGGACCAAACTATCTTTGCTAGGAAAGCATACCTATGATATTAGCATAGCCTGGTATAGTTCTCAGTGTTTTAAGAAATCATCAATTTTTTCCTTTTGTGATTGAGGCCAGGAGAAGCAGGAAGCCCTTTTAGTATAGGGATGTCCTGAGTCTTTGGAAGTCAAGCTCATCAAGTTTCCCTCCATTCTGTCGTGAGCAAGCATCAGCTTCCTGGCTGTTGAAGAGTTTCTGTATCTGAGCAGCTGAATATGTTGGGTAAGGGAAGAGATCAGGTAAAGAATCAATATTATTGAAGGTGAGGCAGGCCCTTCAGCCATTTCTTTGCGACTCGGCACTAGGCAGGTCTTTCCATGGTGTGCTGGAAAGTGGAAATCCCAATGTGCTGCTTCCCAAGAGCTCCTTGATGTTTTGATTAAACCTGATCAGTTCTGGTTTGGCAAGGTTGATTTGTGTTAGCAGCAAATTTCATCCGGAAATCTCCCCGATGAACATGCATTGTGTTCTCTGGACTAGAAGGGCCTAATGTTTTGATATTTAGAGTCCTGAAAGTGAATAGAATCTTCATGCCCCCTCTCCCCGATGTTTCTCCTGTTCACTACTGCATAGGAATCTACTGAAATTGACACACGTTTTTCCCCTGGTTACCTCATTTCTTTTCTCTTAAATTAGGAGGCAGCAGAAGTGAACGTCCTGGTACAATTTGTCTGTATTTGTCCTGCACAGGAACCTACCGAAATTGACGTGCTTTTTTCTGTGTTACCCCCTCTTTCCCTTATCTTAAACTAGGAGGCAGCAGGAGTATATGCTCTGGAAGAATTTGTATGTATTTGTCCTGTCATCTCAGTGTAATCATAAAGTGATTTTCCTTAGACACCCACAAAACAGCAATCACGCTTTTCCTGGAGCTTCAAATTGGCTGTAGTGATGACATGCTTCTATCCAAGGGATCTCTGTAAATCATACTTATCACGGTGCCCACCTGTGGTCCCATTTACCAGGGAAGCATTTTGTTCTCATGCATTTGCTTGTTGGTTTTGCTAGAATTCTCATCCTTCCCTTCCCCTGTGGCATCCCTGTGAATTCTGTTTTCTCATTCCCCACTCTGATTTTACTTGGATATTTACCTGGTTATTTATTCCTTAAGGGATTTCTCAGCCTGGCTTTTTAAAGATTTATCTCCTACTTTTCTTGACCTATCCCTCATCTCCCCACCCCACTACTTCTTTCTTTTTCTGTCAAGACAGCTGCACTTCTGATCTCCCTTCCTCGTTTATCTTATTCAGTCAGATCTGCAGCCTCCCCCAGATCCACTGACAGCCAGTACTCCCACCACCCTTACTGAGTGCCTACTATGTGCCAGTCCCACCCTTGCAACACTCATAAAATCTCTTAAAAAGCAAGGTAGGTAACACCATCCCTGCTTTACAGATGAGGAAAGTAAAACCTAGAGATGTTAATGGTTGTTCCTATACAATATAATACAAGATGGAAGACTTGGGATTCAAATCCATAGCTCTCTTACTCTAAGCTCATGCTCTTTCCACTGCATTATGCTTTCTGACAAGAAAGGCCAAGAATAGTCAATGAAATGACATTAGCTCATCTTCTCTTGAGCTCTTGGTCAGTGTCTTATCAAGAAGAAACTAGTTCAGAGAAGATAATTTTTTCATAAACAGAAGACTTATAAGTGGCAGAACATCCGGAATCAACCTGGAGTGGCATTCTACATCCTTTTCCTTGTGGTTTAGGGAAAGCTTTGGTGCTTTTCGTTGCAGCTGCTAAGAGCTGGGTGTTCGTGGCTCAAATGCTGGTTTATAATTAGACGCTAGTTAGGTAAAGATTGTTAGATAAATTACTCAAAGTTTCTTTTATATATCTTAATGTGGAGTATTTTTCGTGCTGGCTTATGACAATAAGTATCAATTTAGCCACTCTTTTTCCCTCTTTTATACTCACTAGACAAGGCAGAAGCAATGTTTGAACCTATTTTGGTATCTCCCTTCGAACACTGCAGTAGTGAGGCTCTCAGGCTTTCAACATGAGGATGGCCACTAGACTCCTGTCCTTTAATGTTAATATGCAAAATAATATTCTATATTTGAAGTTAAAGGAGGTCTCAAATAATAAAATGGTGTATTGTTCTAGAACACAAACTCACCTGATTTTACTAGATAAAAACTAGACACCTTACCTTTGTTTTTTTTTTTTTTGTTTTTTTTTTTGTTTTTGTTTTTTTTGTTTTTTTTGAGACGGAGTCTTGCTCTGTCACCCAGGCTGGAGTGCAGTGGCGTGATCTCGGCTCACTGCAAGCTCCGCCTCCTGGGTTGACACCGTTCTGCCTCAGCCTCTCAAGTAGCTGGGACTACAGGCGCCCGCCACCACGCCCGGCTAATTTTTTTGTATTTTTAGTAGAGACGGGGTTTCACCGTGTTAGCCAGGATGGTCTGGATCTCCTGACCTCGTGATCCACCCGCCTCGGCCTCCCAAAGTGCTGGGATTACAGGCGTGAGCCACCGTGCCCGGCAGGACACCTTATCTTAAGTCTCTGGACTTTGCATCCGGGAAATTTGGTTTATATTAGCTCAGGTTTTATCAGTCCTCAGGGGAATTATTGAAACATTGGCCTTTAACATCAGCACTAACTTAAAATTGCTCTTATACCTTTGCTAAGAATTTCCTTGACATTTCTCAAGTTATATAAATGCCTTTTGAATCAATATAAAATGGGCCTCCTAAAAAATGATCTGACTGGACTCCAGTTTCCCCTTGTGGGTTTTGAGATAAAGTCCATAAATATTTAATAACTGGGCGTTATGGGGAACCTTCTGTCCTAGTTTTGATGTGAAGTTGCTATTTGAAGTTGGAGCATGTTTGGCCCCCATATGAAAACTTTTGACTTAAATTTTAACCATATTATTTGTTATTTTTAAAATAATTGATTCAAATGTTATAATGTCCTGATAAGGTGTTCAAAGTGATAGTTTGGTTATTTTGGCCCTGCAAAGTCAACTTAAACACCATTGAGAGGTTTGTTTTTAAAATCTATGATTTAATTTTTTCAACTTACACATTCTGATATAGTAAAACGTCAGTAAAAATGTCATAGAGGATTATCTCGTTTGAGTTCTCTTTTTTTCAGTGTATGTATTATTTACCCATTTCTTTGTATCTTTACCAATTCAGATTTTGAATTAACATAGCATTGTTAGAATTGAGTTTTTCTGATGAACTACTGTATAGGAACTTTCTTGAAGATATGTGCTTCTTTCATGAGACAGTAATATTTAATCTTTAGATGTTTGTTAAGTGCAGATTGAATCCAGTACATCCAGTCCAGACTATTTTCATATAGAAATTGTCTCCTTGGGTTTTACGGCACTAAGCTCAGCTCTTACACACACATTACTCAGTACCTTTATGAGATTTCCTTTGCGGGTCATGGCTTAATTATATTAGTTTGTATGAATAAGAAGAACGAATGGAATGACAAACTTTAAGAGCTAGAAGCAGACATTTACACTTTCACTTAGAAGCCCACTAAACATAAAATAGACCTCTGAGAAAGGTAAGATTGGTCAAAGTCAAGCAGGACACTCCCACTGGCTGCGAATAACAGGAACTCTTGCAAGTCTGGTGACCTTCCAGAAATCAATGCACAGGTGACCTTCCAGAAATCAATGTCATCAACAAGTCTCTGGCACTGTGTGAGGGAGAGGATGCCTAAGCCTGATAATGGGCATATTCAGTTCTCAGTAGTTATAGTTCTTCCTGTAAAGTAATGCATTGGCTTTCTGAGACATAGGTTTCATTTTCCTTCCAGGGCCTGGATGAAGCAGGACTTGAAGATTTTGATTTGTAGCCATGGCAGAATGCCCCCTGGGAACTGGCTGGCCCTCCTATTAGTGCAGTGGTACAGGGCTGTAATAGATAAGGTTAAGGCTCGTTGACAAACATTTAGCCTCACGTATGAAAATGTTGGGATAATTAGTATTCAAAGATGGCAGGTTTTCCCTAGTGAAGCCGAAAGAACACTAGAAAGGATGTTTGTGATGAGAAAATTAGAAAGAATTTGAAGGGCTTACATAAAAATACAACAGGTCTTGATAATTGAACCCTTATATTTTGTTCATGTTGCATTTTTGGGTCTCATTCATCATCATCACTATCAGATTCACCAAGAAATATTTATTTTGAACTTGCTTTGTGCTAAGCACTATTCTAGACATGGGTACAGAGAAGTAGAAACATACCCCTGCCTTCATGTAGCTTACACTTCAGGGACATAGGCCCTACCCATTGTGATTGTAACACACTGCGACTCCTTTTCTCATGTCTTGAGGATTCAGTCTTTTATACCCACTCTATAGTCACTCTTCAAATATGACTTTTTTTTTTTCTGGGATAAAGCATGATGAATCTATCTTGTTTACTTTTTTTTTTCTTTTTATTATACTTAAAGTTTTAGGTTATAGTAGAAAGAAAGTATCTTGCTTACTTTCTTTGTACTGTAAGATATATTGGTATCTAAATATTTCTCCTTGTCTTAGAGGAATGGTGATATTTAGAAAGGATGGAGTGGTGTGAATGGTGGGGTGATAATTATGAAAAGAGAAATGATGTGTAAAATAAGAAAATTTTTTTAATAATTTGAAGGATATTGAGTCTAACTCTTTAAAAATATATCAATAACAACTTTGGTTGGGTCTTGGAGTCATTATTACTTCAGTTTTACTAATCTACATGATTGTTCCCAAGACTATGATGGTTTAAGTCAAAACAAAAAGTCTTGTCATTCCTCTGCTCAAAAATCTTATATCTCAAATCCTTATCTGCTAATTCTGGGAAACATAATGTTGAGGGAAAAATGCAAGTTGCAGAAGTAATGTTCACAGTAAGGTGCTATTTATACAATTTTAAAGCCATTAAAACAATGCTACATGTCATTTATGGGTTGCATATATATAGTAAAAGGGTCATGGATGAGAATGATAAACACTAAATTTAGAATAGTTTTTGGCTATGGGAGTAAAAAGGGAGGGTAATACAAATGAGAAAGGCTTTATATGTGTTAATAGTCCTTTATTTCTTAAGCGGAAGGGCAATGCAAATGAGGAAGCCTTCATATGTGTTTATTTTATTTCTTATTGGTGAGTGTACAGATGGTCCATTATATTCTTCTAACTTTTCTTTTTGTAAGCTACTTTTTTTGAAAGTTTTATTTAAATATAAGAATGAGAATTAGAGAATCTGTTATTTTAATGCATGTATTCAGTCTTTGCTTAAGTCTGTGGTATTTTATATTTCTTCATCTGGACTAGAGGTTCATGTGAGAGAATATCAAGCTGGTTTGTGTGACTCTAAGACCTCTCATCTCTGTACGGTTTGTCAGCTTCCTGTCAGCCTCAGACTCAGAGTGGCTGGCCATGTAAATGTTCCTTCTGAACAATTTCTGGATGGCTGCTCCCTGTCTATGTTGGCTGCTCTCTTCAGTATTAATTTTACATCCACCCTCCCAATGGGATTTTCTTTGTCTGGGAAGCTGTAGTAGAACTCAAAAGCATTTTTTACCAATAGAACTTTGAGCTGCTAAGCCCATCCCTTGGCTCAGTGAGTCCTTCCTTTGCTGGTACACTACAGTTATAAATCAAATATGAGAAGACCCTGAGCTGGTGCCCTGTAGATTGAAGAGTGCAGCTGACATCTTTTAAACTGAGATTGTCATTTGGAGCAGTTTCTGAGTATTTTCACTCAAGGATATGTGAACAACCAAGGTTTTGAAAGTCTGTTTTTCTCCATTTGGCTTGAAAGCACAGTTCAAGTCATTGTGAATCTTTCTAAGCTTTTACTAGTTATGAGAAGCAGGTCCAATCTTGAGAAGCACGTAAAATTGTAGGGAAATTATCTACATTATGATAAATATTTAAGAAGTGGAGAAGTTGTCTGAGGATGGTATAGTTGAATGTATACAGGGACAAACTCTAAAAAATGAACTAAGAAAGTTAAGGAGTGATGATGCAAACTTCATAGGCTACAACACTGGGCATGGCGGACAGGTAATTTATATCACTTCACAAGTGACCTCAGATTTTTTTTGTTTTGGTTTTTGAGAGGAGTCTTGCTCTGTCACCCAGGCTGGAGTGCAATGGGTCTGTCTCAGCTCACTGCAACCTCCACCTGCCATGTTCAAGCTATTCTCCTGCCTCAGCCTCCTGAGTAGCTGGACCTACAGGCATGCACCACCATGCCCTGCTAATTTTTTGTATTGTTAGTAGAGACGGGGTTTCACCATGATGGCCAGGCTGGTCTCAAACTCCTGACCTCATGATCCGCCTGCCTCAGGCAGGCCAAAGTGTTGGGATTACAGGTGTGAGCCACCACACCCGCCCAGTATTTAATTTAATGAAAATATTCATCTCCAACAATGAAATATTACATTAACTGAGAAAAGTTTGATTTCCTTATAAATCACACACATACGTATGTGTGTATGTATATGTATTTGTATGTTTATGTATCTCTACTGTGTCTTTTTTAAAATTCTAAACAACTTGTTTTATATGCTACATAGATTGGTATTTTAACCAGGTAAAAAGTGGTAGTCTGTCATGTAAAACTTCTGCCCTGGTGTATTAGTCCATTTTCACCCTTCTGTAAAGAATTACCTGAGACTGGGTAATTTAGGAAGAAAAGTAGTTTAATTGACTCACATTTCCACAGGCTTAATAACAGAAAGTATGACTGGGAGGCCTCAGGGAACTTGTATTCATGGCAGAAGGCGAAAGGGAAGCAAGGGCCTTCACATGGTGGCAGGAGAGAGAGAGCTAAGGGGGAAGGTGCCACACACATTTAAACCGTTAGATCTTGTGAGAACTCACTGAGTAGCAAGGGGGGAATCCACCCCCATGATCTAATCACCTCACATCAGGCTCCTCCTCCAATCTGACATGAGATTTCAGCAGGGAAACAAATCCAAACCTTATGACCCGGTTACAGTGAAAGAGATAGCCCTATCTTTTCCATTTTCATAGACAAGGAATAATGACTACCCTAATGTCTCAACATGGAAAAGAATGGGGAAAACACACATGCCATCTCTTAACCCCTAATTGTACCTTCATGGGGGAACTGGGGGACTTAGGATCAGTGAGTGTGGATGGCAAACCTTTGGGCATGGAGGGCTAAGCCTTGCATGTGTGTCTTTTGGAATGTTCTCAGAAGCACTTCTTTGTTCATTACTGTAATGAGCTTTCTAGGTAGGTCTGTCTTTGAAAGGAGTATGGGAAAGCTCCATTTGGTGAGAAAGGCTCTATTTGGTAGGAAAAGTACACCTTAGAGATAGATTAAGAAGATCAACTATGGCCAAAAGCCAAGCCAGACTCTTTAGCCTTATCAGGAATTATGCTGTCATTTTCATTATCATTTGTCCAATTCCTATCTTTTTTGTTTTTGAGATAAGGTCTTAGTTTGTCACTCAGGTTGGAATACAGTGGTATGATTATCACTCACAGCAGCCTCAACTTCACAGGCTCAAGTGATCCTCTCACATCAGCCTCCCAAGTAGCTGGGATGACAGGCATGTGCCACCATGCCTGGCTGACTTATTTTTATAGATATAGGATCTCACTGTGTTGCCCAGGATGGTCTCGAAATCCTGGTTTCAAGTGATCCTCCCACCTCCACCTCCCAAAGCACTGGGATTCTAGACATGAGCCATCATGCCTGACTTGAACTCCATGTCTTACCTGATAGGTCCAAAATCATAATGGAGAGAGGAATAAAGTTAATGATTACCCCTAAACTCCAGTGACTTCTATGTGGTACCTACCTGTATGAATATATGTAGGGTAAGGAGAGAAGGGAAGGCTAAGGTTGGGAAAGTGGCATTATCCTTGCTTTTTTTCTGGACCAAATATTGGAAAATAACCTACATTGTTTATAACTGAAAATCTTCTCTCTATATCAGGGTTTTTCAGTCTCAACATTATTGACATTTTGAGACTGATAGTTCTTTGTTTTAGGGGCTGTCTTCTTCATTGTAGGAAGTTAGCAGCACCTCGGGCCTCCGTTTACTGGATGCCAGCATCACCCACCCAGTGTGACAACCAAGAATGCCTCCAGACATTGCCAAGTGTCCCCTTAGGGGCAAAGTCACTCCCAGTTTAGAATCACTTCTCCCTATAAAAACCCAACACTTATTTTTTATTTTTGTAAGCCAATGAAATGGAGAAGAGCTTTTTTTCAAGATTTAGGAGACTTAGAGCAATGTAAATTGGCATTCTTTTCACTTGTTATTTAGTACACCTGAATAGGGTTCAAAAAGCCCCAGTTATAATCTAAATCCTATTTTATTACTCTTCCATAAAAAGTTAACCTGGGTAACCTATCCTCAAACCTCGTAGATTTAATTTTTCTTATACATACATTAGCACAGTTCAGTTGTTATGCAACACATTCCTCCTGATTGTTATTTCTATTATTCCAGATTTGGAGGTACACTTAGACTTTCAAAATGGGCTGATTTTATAGCCTTTGATCTGGTCATTCAACTTCAAGTAATTTATCCTAAAGCAGTACTCACATGTGTATGCAAAGACTTATATATAGATATGCTCATTGCAGTGTTGTTTGCAATGGCAAATACTAGAAATAACTCTAACGCTCATCTTTAGGTGGTAAATAAATTATAGAACATCCATACAGTATAAGGGGATTGAGCCATTGTAAAGAATGAGGATGGGAAATAGACTCACATATGTTATATAAATATAATATATGCACATAAATGTGAAAAGTACTATACATTAAGCAGAAAATGAAAAATATAATCTTATTTCTATTATAAAACTTTATCCATATGCAAATGCATGAATAGAAAAAATATTAAGGTTTATACACTAAATTGTTAATATTTGAGAGACAGTGGGTTCTGGAAAATTTTCTCCTTTTATATGTTTCTGTGGTGTTCACAATGTTTTATTAAAAAAGGAAATAAGGTATCTGTTTAAAAGGAATGTATATTTTTCTTCATACTGGACAAAGGCCTGTAAAAAAAAAATGACTTTATCTAAGTCATGGTTCTCAACTGGAGGTGACTTTGCCCGCTAGGGGACATTTGGCAATGTCAATGTCTGGAGGCATTCTTAGTTGTCAAAACCAAGGGCAAGGGGTGCTAGTGGGACACTGGTAAATATCTTACATAGGACAGGCCCCTACAACAAAGAATTAACAAGCTCAAATGTCCATAGTGCCAAAGTTGCAAGTACTGGTTGTGATGCAGTGCTTGCTTGAAAAAATTACCTTTAGAATTTTCAGAGGGTGTTACATTTGAAACTGATAGATATATTCATGACAGACCATGATCCTTATCCTATTGTCTTTTTCTTGGGATATTAAAAGACATTATAAAAAACACTTTGCTTTACCAAAAGTTGTCTTTTTATTTAAATTAATTAATGAATTAATTAATTTTTTATTATACTTTAAGTTTTAGGGTACATGTGCACATTGTGCAGGTTAGTTACATATGTATATGTATACATGTGCCATGCTGGTGCGCTGCACTCACTAGCTCGTCATCTAGCATCAGGTATATCTCCCAATGCTATCCCTCCCCCCTCCCACCACCCCACAACAGTCCCCAGAGTGTGATATTCCCCTTCCTGTGTCCATGTGATCTCATTTTTCAATTCCCACCTATGAGTGAGAATATGCGGTGTTTGGTTTTTTGTTCTTGCGATAGTTTACTGAGAATGATGATTTCCAGTTTCATCCGTGTCCCTACAAAGGACATGAACTCATCCTTTTTTATGGCTGCATAGTATTCCATGGTGTATATGTGCCACATTTTCTTAATCGAGTCTATCATTGTTGGACATTTGGGTTGGTTCCAAGTCTTTGCTATTGTGAATAATGCCACAATAAACATACGTGTGCATGTGTCTTTATAGCAGCATGATTTATAGTCCTTTGGGTGTATACCCAGTAGTGGGATGGCTGGGTCAAATGGTATTTCTAGTTCTAGATCCCTGAGGAATCGCCACACTGACTTCCACAATGGTTGAACTAGTTTACAGTCCCACCAACAGTGTAAAAGTGTTCGTATTTCTCCACATCCTCTCCAGCACCTGTTGTTTCCTGACTTTTTAATGATTGCCATGCTAACTGGTGTGAGATGTTATCTCATTGTGGTTTTGATTTGCATTTCTCTGATGGCCAGTGATGATGAGCATTTTTTCATGTGTTTTTTGGCTGCATAAATGTCTTCTTTTAAGAAGTGTCTATTCATGTCCTTCGCCCGCTTTTTGAGGGGCTTGTTTGTTTTTTTCTTGTAAATTTGTTTGAGTTCATTGTAGATTCTGGATATTAGCCCTTTGTCAGATGAGTAGGTTGCAAAATTTTTCTCCCATTTTGTAGGTTGCCTGTTCACTCTGATGGTAGTTTCTTTTGCTGTGCAGAAGCTCTTTAGTTTAAGTGGATCCCATTTGTCAATTTTGGCTTTTGTTGCCATTGCTTTTGGTGTTTTAGACATGAAGTCCTTGCCCATGCCTATGTCCTGAATGGTAATGCCTAGATTTTCTTCTAGGGTTTGTATGGTTTTAGGTCTAACGTTTAAGTCTTTAATCCATCTTGAATTGATTTTTCTATAAGGTGTAAGGAAGGGATCCAGTTTCAGCTTTCTACATAGGGCTAGCCAGTTTTCCCAGCACCATTTATGAAATAGGGAATCCTTTCCCCATTGCTTCTTTTTCTCAGGTTTGTCAAAGATCAGATAGTTGTAGATATGTGGCGTTATTTCTGAGGGCTCTGTTCTGTTCCAATGATCTATATCTCTGTTTTGGTATCAGTACCATGCTGTTTTGGTTACTGTAGCCTTGTAGTGTAGTTTGAAGTCAGGTAGCGTGATGCCTCCAGCTTTGTTCTTTTGGCTTAGGATTGACTTGGCGATGCGGGCTCTTTTTTGGTTCCATATGAACTTTAAAGTAGTTTTTTCCAATTCTGTGAAGAAAGTCAATGGTAGCTTGATGGGGATGGCATTGAATCTGTAAATTACCTTGGGCAGTATGGCCATTTTCATGATATTGAGTCTTCCTACCCATGAGCATGGAATGTTCTTCCATTTGTTTGTATCCTCTTTTATTTCCTTGAGCAGTGGTTTGTAGTTCTCCTTGAAGAGGTCCTTCACATCCCTTGTAAGTTGGATTCCTAGGTATTTTATTCTCTTTGAAGCAATTGTGAATGGGAGTTCACTCATGATTTGGCTCTCTGTTTGTCTGTTGTTGGTGTATAAGAATGCTTGTGATTTTGGTACGTTGATTTTGTATCCTGAGACTTTGCTGAAGTTGCTTATCAGCTTAAGGAGATTTTGCGCTGAGACAATGGGGTTTTCTAGATATACAATCATGTCGTCTGCAAACAGGGACAATTTGACTTCCTCTTTTCCTAATTGAATACCCTTTATTTCCTTCTCCTGCCTAATTGCCCTGGCCAGAACTTCCAACACTACGTTGAATAGGAGTGGTGAGAGAGGGCATCCCTGTCTTGTGCCAGTTTTCAAAGGGAATGCTTCCAGTTTTTGCCCATTCAGTATGATATTGGCTGTGGGTTTGTCATAGATAGCTCTTATTATTTTGAAACACGTCCCATCAATACCTAATTTATTGAGAGTTTTTAGCATGAAGGGTTGTTGAATTTTGTCAAAGGCTTTTTCTGCATCTATTGAGATAATCATGTGGTTTTTGTCTTTGGCTCTGTTTGTATGCTGGATTACATTATTGATTTGCGTATATTGAACCAGCCTTGCATCCCAGGGATGAAGCCCACTTGATGATGGTGGATAAGCTTTTTGATGTGCTGCTGGATTCGTTTTGCCAGTATTTTATTGAGGATTTTTGCATCAATGTTCATCAAGGATATTGGTGTAAAATTCTCTTTTTTGGTTGTGTCTCTGCCCGGCTTTGGTATCAGAATGATGCTGGCCTCATAAAATGAGTTATGGAGGATCCCCTCTTTTTCTATTGATTGGAATAGTTTCAGAAGGAATGGTAGCAGTTCCTCCTTGTACCTCTGGTAGAATTTGGCTGTGAATCCATCCGGTCCTGGACTCTTTTTGGTTGGTAAGCTATTGATTATTGCCCCAATTTCAGATCCTGTTATTGGTCTATTCAGAGATTCAACTTCTTCCTGGTTTAGTCTTGGGAGAGTGTATGTGTCCAGGAATTTATCCATTTCTTTTAGATTTTCTAGTTTATTTGCATAGAGGTGTTTGTAGTATTCTCTGATGATAGTTTGTATTTCTGTGGGATCGGTGGTGATATCCCCTTCATCATTGTTTATTGCGTCTCTTTGATTCTTCTCTCTTTTTTTCTTTATTAGTCTTGCTAGCGGTCTATCAATTTTGTTGATCCTTTCAAAAAACCAGCTCCTGGATTCATTAATTTTTTGGTGTCTCTATTTCCTTCGGTTCTGCTCTGATTTTAGTTATTTCTTGCCTTCTGCTAGCTTTTGAATGTGTTTGCTCTTGCTTTTCTAGTTCTGTTAATTGTGATGTTAGGGTGTCAATTTTGGATCTTTCCTGCTTTCCCTTGTGGGCATTTAGTGCTATAAATTTGCCTCTACACACTGCTTTGAATGCGTCCCAGAGATTCTGGTATGTTGTGTCTTTGTTCTCGTTGGTTTCAAAGAACATCTTTATTTCTGACTTCATTTCGTTATGTACCCAGTAGTCATTCAGGAGCAGGTTGTTCAGTTTCCATGTAGTTGAGGGGTTTTGAGTGAGATTCTTAATCGTGAGTTCTAGTTTGATTGCACTGTGGTCTGAGAGATAGTTTGTTATAATCTCTGTTCTTTTACATTTGCTGAGGAGAGCTTTACTTCCAAGTATGTGGTCAATTTTGGAATAGGTGTGGTGTCGTGCTGAAAAAAATGTATATTCTGTTGATTTGAGGTGAAGAGTTCTGTAGATGTCTATTAGGTCTGCTTGGTGCAGAGCTGAGTTCAGTTCCTGGGTGTCCTTGTTGACTTTCTGTCTCATTGATCTGTCTAATGTTGACAGTGGGGTGTTAAAGTCTCCCATTATTAATGTGTGGGAGTCTAAGTCTCTTTGTAGGTCACTCAGGACTTGCTTTATGAATCTGGGTGCTCCTGTATTGGGTGCATATACATTTAGGATAGTTAGCTCTTCTTGTTGAATTGATCCCTTTACCATTATGTAATGGCCTTCTTTGTCTCTTTTGATCTTTGTTGGTTTAAAGTCTGTTTTATCAGAGACTAGGATTGCAACCCCTGCCTTTTTTTGTTTTCCATTTGCTTGGTAGAGCTTCCTCCATCCTTTTATTTTGAGGCTATGTGTGTCTCTGCACGTGAGATGGGTTTCCTGAATACAGCACACTGATGGGTCTTGACTCTTTATCCAATTTGCCAGTCTGTGTCTTTTAATTGGAGCATTTAGTCCATTTACATTTAAAGTTAATAGTGTTATGTGTGAATTTGATCCTGTCATTATGATGTTAGCTGGTTATTTTGCTCGTTAGTTGATGCAGTTTCTTCCTAGTCTCGATGGTCTTTACGTTTTGGCATGATTTTGCAGTGGCTGGTACCGGTTGTTCCTTTCCATGTTTAGCGTTTCCTTCAGGAGCTCTTTTAGGGCAGGCCTGGTGGTGACAGAATCTCTCAGCATTTGCTTGTTTGTAAAGTATTTTATTTCTCCTTCACTTATGAAGCTTAGTTTGGCTGGATATGAAATTCTGGGTTGAAAATTCTTTTCTTTAAGAATGTTGAATATTGGCCCCCACTCTCTTCTGGCTTGTAGGGTTTCTGCCGAGAGATCCGCTGTTAGTCTGATGGGCTTCCCTTTGAGGGTAACCTGACCTTTCTCTCTGGCTGCCCTTAACATTTTTTCCTTCATTTCAACTTTGGTGAATCTGACAATTATGTGTCTTGGAGTTGCTCTTCTCGAGGAGTATCTTTGTGGCGTTCTCTGTATTTCCTGAATCTGAACGTTGGCCTGCCTTGCTAGATTGGGGAAGTTCTCCCGGATAATATCCTGGAGAGTGTTTTCCAACTTGGTTCCATTGTCCCCATCACTTTCAGGTACACCAGTCCGACGTAGATTAGGTCTTTTCACAGAGTCCCGTATTTCTTGGAGGCTTTGCTCATTTCTTTTTATTCTTTTTTCTCTAAACTTCCCTTCTCGCTTCATTTCATTCATTTCATCTTCCATTGCTGATACCCTTTCTTCCAGTTGATTGCATCGGCTCCTCAGGCTTCTGCATTCTTCACGTAGTTCTTGAGCCTTGGTTTTCAGCTCCATCAGCTCCTTTAAGCACTTCTCTGTATTGGTTATTCTAGTTATACATTCTTCTAAATTTTTTTCAAAGTTTTCAACTTCTTTGCCTTTGGTTTGAATGTCCTCCTGTAGCTCAGAGTAATTTGATCGTCTGAAGCCTTCTTCTCTCAGCTCGTCAAAGTCATTCTCCATCCAGCTTTGTTCCATTGCTGGTGAGGAACTGCGTTCCTTTGGAGGAGGAGAGGCGCTCTGCTTTTTAGAGTTTCCAGTCTTTCTGTTCTCTTTTTTTCCCATCTTTGTGGTTTTATCTACTTTTGGTCTTTGATGATGGTGATGTACAGATGGGTTTTTGGTGTGGATGTCCTTTCTGTTTGTTAGTTTTCCTTCTAACAGACAGGACCCTCAGCTGCAGGTCTGTTGGACTACCCTGCCGTGTGAGGTGTCAGTGTGCCCCTGCTGGGGGGTGCCTCCCAGTTAGGCTGCTAGGGGGTCAGGTGTCAGGGAACCACTTGAGGAGGCAGTCTTCCCGTTTCTCAGATCTCCAGCTGCATGCTGGGAGAACCACTGCTCTCTTCAAAGCTGTCAGACAGGGACATTTAAGTCTGCAGAGGTTACTGCTGTCTTTTTGTTTGTCTGTGCCCTGCCCCCAGAGGTGGAGCCTACAGACGCAGGCAGGCCTCCTTGAGCTGTGGTGGACTCCACCCAGTTCGAGCTTCCAGGCTGCTTTGTTTACCTAAGCAAGCCTGGGCAATGGCGGGCGCCCCTCCCCCAGCCTCGCTGCCACCTTGCAGTTTGATCTCAGACTGCTGTGCTAGCAATCAGCGAGACTCCGTGGGCGTAGGACCCTCCGAGCCAGGTGCGGGATATAATCTCGTGGTGCGCCGTTTTTTTAAGCCGGTCAGAAAAGCGCAGTATTCGGGTGGGAGTGACCCGATTTTCCAGGTGCGTCCGTCACCCCTTTCTTTGACTCGGAAAGGGAACTCCCTGACCCCTTGCGCTTCCCAAGTGAGGCAATGCCTCGCCCTGCTTCGGCTCGCGCACGGTGCGCGCACCCACTGACCTGCGCCCACTGTCTGGCACTCCCTAGTGAGATGAACCCGGTACCTCAGATGGAAATGCAGAAATCACCCGTCTTCTGCGTCGCTCATGCTGGGAGCTGTAGACCCGAGCTGTTCCTATTCGGCCATCTTGGCTCCTCCTCCATGTTTTCTTTCACTTTAAAAAGTTTCTATTCTTTACCTTCTTTCCTTCTTGAAAATAATGGTTGCAATGAATTACTTTTGCTGTCAGCCCCCCAACTTGATGATGTCGTGAAAATGCCATGTTCTTCCCGTCTCTGAGTCTGCCATTATCCATGTTGGCTTCATCCTCAGCCATACTGCACAATGGCTGCCATAGTTGCAGTTGCCATAAATGTAGAAGCATCTAGAGGAAGAAGAGAGAAAGCCTCTTTCTGTTGCTTTAAAAGTTTCTTAGGAGACTTGCTCTCACATCTCAATGACCAGAAGTGGGCCATGGGCCTAGCACATTCCTAATTACTGGCTAGGGGAAGAAGATCCCCTAAGGCTGATAACTATGGCTGAGGCAGGTAGATAGATGAACAGAATTTGGGTTCTGTTAGGGAAGGAGGAGGAGCACTTAAAAATAGCAAAAGACGTGAACAGACACTTCTCAAAAGAAGACATGCAAGTGGCCAAAAAACATGAAAAAATGTTCCACGTTAATAATCATCAGAGAAATGGAAATCAGAACCACAATGAAATACCATCTCAGAATGGCCATTATTAAAAAGTCAAAAAACAGCATGTGTTGGTGAGGTTATGGAGAAAAGGGAATGCTTTTACACTGTTGTGTAGTATAATTTACTTCAGCCCCTGTAGAAAATAGTTTGGAGATTTCTCAGAGAACTTAAAAAACGACTGCCATTTGAACCAGCAGTCCCATTATTGGGTATATACCCAAAAGAAAACAAATTGTTGTACCAAAAAGACACATGCACTTGCATGTTTATCACAACACAATTCACAATAGCAAGGACATGGAATCAACCTAGATGCCCATCCATGGGGAATTGGATTAAAAAAAGTGATACATAGCCAGGTGCGGTGACTCATGCCTGTAATCCCAGCACTTTGGGAGGCCGAGGTGGGCGGATCACAAGGTCAGGAAATCGAGACCATCCTGGCTAACACGGTGAAATCCCGTCTCTACTAAAAATACAAAAAAATTACCCGGGCATGGTGGCAGGCACCTGTAGTCCCAGCTGCTTGGGAGACTGAGGCAGGAGAATGGCATGAACCCGGGAGGCGGAGCTTGCAGTGAGCCGAGATCACGCTACTGCACTCCAGCCTGGGCGACAGAGTGAGACTCTGTCTCAAAAAAAATAAATAAATAAATAAATAAAAAAGTGGTACATATACACCATCGGATGCTATGCGGATATGAAAAAGAATTAGATCACATCCTTTGCAGCAACATAGATGCAGCTAGAGGTCATAATTCTAAGCAAATTAATGCAAGAACAGAAAACCAAATACTGAATGTTGTCACTTACAAGCGATAGCTAAGCATTGGGTACTCATGGACATAAAGATGGCAACAATAGACACTGGGGACTACTAGAGGGGGAAGGAGGGAGGGAGTTAAGAAATTACCTATCAGATACTATGCTTTCTACCTGGGTGATGGGTCAGTTGTACTCCAAAATTCAGCATAATTCAAGATACCCAGGTAAAAAACCTGCACATGTAAGCCCTGAATCTAAAATAAAAGTTGGAAAATCAAAGGAGGAGGACTGGTTGTTGGGCAGGCAATTCAGTGTCTACCTCATAAAAGCATCACTATGTGCTCTGAAGTAGCTTAATGACCTTCCATTCAAGGGCATCTCAATCTGATTAACTCCACAGTAAGCTGAGTCAGTTCTGGATCATAAACTCCTTGAGAACAGGATAGAGATTTGTTCATAGATTCATTAATTATTTATGCCTTGACTGCTTTCAAAAGACTTGAAATGACTTACAATGAAGATGTGTACAATAAAAGTCTTAAAACCATGGTAACATAATTAGTCATGTTAATGAGAGGGCAAAAATAAGATTCATCTTTTTTAACCTTCTATATCACCTGGTGTAGTGCTTTTCACATTTTAAAAAAAGACTTAAATCTAAATATTAAATAAACGTCTATGACCACTGTTGGCTGGGAGCATAAACTTTATGAAATACCAAGAGAAAGATTTCACAATTAGCAGCCAGAGCTTCCTTGAGAAAAGGCATCAGAGTTGCTCATCAGACCAAGGTTGAGCAGAGTTCTCAAGCTAAGTGCAAACAACAAATGATGATTGACTTTGCCATTAGCAGTCACAGATGGATGGATTGTTGTCCTTATACTGATATTTCCAGTGAGCAAAGATCCATCTAGACAGCAGTATCTGCAAAACTCCAGGATCAAGAAATATGTTATATGTAGATTAATGTGTATACTGATCTATCCCTGTTATCTATAACCAAGAGGCTCTTGGAAATTCTTCACATGAGCTAAACTATAACTTAAAGCTCCAAACCTCACTATCTAAGAAAATGTATGTATTTCTTCAAAAACATAAACGGGTAAAATGGCTTAATATGGTCCCTATTGATGTTCCAATATTAAGTGGGAACAAAGCCTTCAGCCAACAAACTCCCCAACAGTTGCATTTTAGGTAGTGAGAATTCTACTTCTGGTAATCGCAAACTTAGGTAATTCAGGCCAATCTTCCCACTAGTAATAGTGGAAAAGCTGGATCAAATAGGAAAAACATCTGTCTTACAGCTTAAGAAATCACTAAGACAGTGACAGCTTACAGATCAAAAGAATTGAGAGAAGGAGGAAACCCAAAGAGGTGAGGCTGGCCCTTGGGGCTACTTTTCCTTATAGATTTCTACCATTTCTCCAAGAGGAGACTCAAAGTCGGAGAACCTAAGCAGAGCTGTGAAATACTTATATGGTTGGTGAGACAAACATTGGAATTAAGGGCTCACCAAGGAGGAAAGCCCTGCCAAACCTAGCTTTTGTGTTGAGACCCCAAAGGTGTACTCTCTGGGACTAAGAGTAAGTTGGAAATAGATTTTTAATTATGTCAATCTCTGATTGAATTGAGGTGATCTGGAATTACTAGTATTCTTAGCCTACGTCCAGAGCAAATGTAAAACTCTTTAGGGGGAAGATATCCTCGTATTGCAGAAACCAATTTTTCTCAGTCTTTCATATAATATGAGAAAACACAAATTTGTAAACACAAACCAGGAGAAACATGAGACAAAAGAACAAGACTCATAGGGGATCCAGAAAATAGTAAACCTGGAATTTAAAATAGCTATGCTTAATGTGCTCATGGAAAATAACAGGTGAGACTAACAGAATATGGCAGAAACAATATTTGAAGATATAACAGTGTGAAAGTCACAAAAAATTTCAAGCCAAAGGTACACACCTCAAGTAGGACTCATGCAAAAAAACCAAGGTAATCAAGAGAAACATAGATTAAAAACATAAATTCTGTAAATTTAAAAAAAAGCCAAGGTACGAGAGAGAAGGGGGCTAAGGAGACAGAAAACAGACAGAAGGGACCCAGTAGAAAGTAGACAGTAATATAGTATTTTAAACTCAAACACATCAGTAACCACATTTGAAGTAAACATGCTAAAAAACATTTGAAGTAAAAAGATTGTCAGACTGGATTGAGAATAAAAAATTTAAACCCAACTATATGTTGCTTACAAGTGATATATCTTAAATATAAAGGTACAGAATTTTAGGCACTAGAGAACCAAGTAAGGATTTGGGACTATGAAACATTATTAAGTCTGCCTGAAGTTATTGCAATACAGAGTTACTTCATCTATCTGCTGGACTAAGTCAGCAGCTAAAATGTGGTATGTTAGGACATTGAATAACACTGACTAAGTTGACATTTTTTTTTTCTCTCTGTCACTCAGGCTGGAGTGCAGTGGTGCCATCTTGGCTCCCTGCAACCTCTGCCTCCTGGGTCCAAGTGATCCTCCCACCTCAGCCTCCTAAGGAGCTGGGACTATAGGCATGTGCCACCATGCCCAGCTAGTTTTTAATATTTTTTTTGTACAGATAGGGATTCACCATGTTGCCCAGGCTGGCCTCAAACTCCTGGACTCAAGTGATTCACCTGCCTCAGCCTCTCAAAATGCTGGGATTATAGGCCTGAGCCAGCACACCTTCCCAGTCAGACATTTTTAGCCCAAGCCATTTTATGAATTTAGCAAGGACTACATATAAACGAAGGATTTATAATCTTTTAATAATGAGATACAGTGTTTTGGGTTTTTTTTTTCCCCAAATTTCTCTGAAGTCTTACATTATTGGATGATGTACCAAAATGTTAGGGAGAAGTTCTCTTCTCTCAATTTTTAAAGCAGTGGAGAGAGCTGTAAGTAGTAAGGCAAACTTGGAATTAGCCAGGGGAGTTGGCTATGCTTTTTCAGGTTGCAAGAGAGACAGTGAAATGTTTGGCTACCTTTTGGTGATGAGCGTTTATTGAAGGGACAGGTGAGGATGTGAGAAAACACAGGAAATCATCTCAACAGCCAGGTCTCAGGAGAAGTGAACTGATAATGCCACTTGAGGTGCAAAAGGGGTCACTTTATCTTTTCATGAGAAGTCTTTCTCCAGACTTTTAAATATGTGTCTTCTTAATCCTTGGCATTGAGAGAATATGGTTATTTCAGGATACAGAAAGCAATTTCAATAGCATTGTGATTTCTAATAATTAAAACTGGCCCTTGAGAATTACTTCAGTAAAGTGGTCATTATTATATCAGCAACACAGTTCAATATAATTAATTCTTTATAATCATAATAATGGGCTATGGTATTATTAATATGATTATTGTTATCCTAATAGGGGACTGACATCTCTCTGCACACTATGGCCTGTTTTGTGTGTTTGGGGCTAGAGGGCATGAAAGAAAAGAGCTTTGGTTTTAATGGTGCTTCCTCTCCAGTTCCAGCTCATCTATCTATGCTTCAACTTTAATTAAGTTCCACTTTCATGTCAGTGATTGCTTTGTCGAGTTTATTAAAACAATAAAGTTTATTCATTTGGGTATTCTTTTAAATTATGCTTGCTGATCTTACAATCTAAGACCGTTTAGAACAAAAGGAAAACATTTTTGTGTCCCTGGGAGGTGACACGACTCACTGGTTCTGTGCTGTCTGCTCACACCTCCAATATTTACCAGAGTCAAACACTCCTGGTAAACTTACTGAATTATATCCAAAGGTTCACTATCTAAAATAAGGAGATTTGGGACACTATAGTAATTTCATCCATGCCATTAAATCCTGCCATTTTTTAATGTACTGATGCACCATTTAAAGGAAAACTTCAGAGAATCTTGTGTAACGGAACAGATAATTTTAGTAAGTTAAATAAACCCTCCACTCCTTCCTTTAATCCATAATTTACATGTAGATTTTGAACTAAAATCTTAGAATCTTATAAATTGGATTTCTCTAAAGTGTGGAAAGCTTTTATCTGGAAATAGCATCCAAGAGATGATTTTCTTCTTCAGGTCATTTACTTAGTACATTTATCAGTATTTTGGCAAAGGAGCATACTTTTTGAAGTTGGAAAATGGAAGGTACATAGCTAGTAATTTTTACATGCTAGGTACTAAGATCCAATGCAGAGAAGAAGGAAGGATTATTGACCCTGAGTGAAGGTAAATTTGTTGACCTATTGATATAGTTTGGCTGTGTCCCCACCCAAATCTCATCTTGAATTGTAGCTCCCACAATTCCCGTGTGTCATGGGAGGGACCCAGTGGGAGGTAATTGAATCACGGGGGTGGGTCTTTACCATGCTATTCTTGCAATAGTGAATAAGTCTCATGAGCGCTAATGGTTTTATAAAGAGGAGTTCCCCTGCACAAGCTCTCTTTGCCTGCTGCCATCCATGTAAGATGTAACTTACTCCTCCTTGCCTTCCACCACGATTGTGAGGCCTCCCCAGCAACATGGAACTGTAAGCTCATTAAACTCTCTTTCCTGTATAAGTTACCCAGTCTCAGGTATGTCTTTATAAGCAGTGTGAAAATGGACTAACACAGTAAATTGGTACCAGTAGAGTAGGGCATTGCGCAAAGATACCCAAAAATGTGAAAGCAACTAGAACTGGGTAACAGGCAGAGGTTCGAACAGTTTGGAGGGCTCAGAAGAAGACAGGAAAAATGTAGAAAAGTCTGTAACCTCGTAGATACTTGTTGAATGGCTTTGACAAAAATGCTGATAATGATATGCACAGTAAAATCCAGGCTGAGGTTGTCTTGGAGATGAGGAACTTGTTGGGAACTGGAGTAAAGGTGACTCTTGGTATGTTTTTGTAAAGATATTGGTGGCATTTTGCCCCTCCCTTAGAGATTTGTAGAAATTTGAATTTGAGGGATATGACTTGGGGTATCTGGTGGAAGAAATTTCTAAGCAGCAAAGCATTCAGAAGTGACTTGGGTGCTGTTAAAAGCATTCAGTTTTAAAAGGGAAACAGAGTATAAAAGTTCAGAAAATCTACAGCCTGAAGATGTGTGATTAAAAAAAAAAAAACAAAAAACATTTTCTTGGGAGAAATTCAAGCCAGCTGAGAAATTTGCATAATTAATTAGGAGCCAAATGTTAATCACCAAGACAATGGAGAAAATGTCTCCAGGGCATGTCAGAGACTTTGCGGCAGCCCTTCACATCACAGGCCCAGGGGCCTAGGAGGAAAAAATGGTTTTGTGGGCCAACCTCAAGGACCCCCTGCTCTATGCAGCCTAGGGACTTGGTGCCCTGCATTCCAACCACTCCAGCTGTGGCTAATGGGGCCAAGGTACAGCTTGGGCTGTTGCTTCAGAGGGTGAAAGCCCCAAGCCTTGGCAGCTTCCATGTGGTGTTGAGCCTGTGGGTCCATGAAAGTCAATAACTGAGGTTTGGAAACCTCCACCTAGATTTCAGAGGATGTATGAAAATGCCTGGATGCCCAGGTAGAAGTTTGTGGCAGGGGCAGTGGCCTCATGGAGAATCTGTGCTAGAGCAGTGTGGAAGGGAAATGTGGGGTTGGAAACCCACACAGAGTTCCTACTAGGGCACTGCCTAGTGGAGCTGTGAAAAGAAGGCCACTGTCCTCCAGACCCCAGAATGGTAGCTACACCAACAGCTTGCACCATGTGCTTGGAAAAGCTGCAGGCACTCAACACCAGCCTGTAAAAGCAGCTGGGAGGGAGGCTATACCCTCTGAAGCCATAGGGACAGAGCTGCCCAAGATCATGGGAACCCACCTCTTGTATCAGCATGACCCAAATTAGAGAAATGGACTTAAAGATCGTTTTGGAGCTTTAAGATTTGACTGCCCTGCTGGATTTGCATAGGGCCTCAACCCCTTTGTTTCGGCTAATGTCTCCCATTTGGAATGGCTGTATTTACTCAATGCCTGTATCCCCACTGTATCTAGGAAGTAACTAATTTGGTTTTGATTTTACAAGATCATAGGCAGAAGGGACTTGCCTTGTCTCAGATGAAACTTGGGACTGTGGACTTGTGAGTTAATGCTGAAATGAGTTAAGGTTTTGGCGGACTGTTGGGAAGGCATGATTGGTTTTGAAGGGTGAGGACATGAGATTTGGGAGGGTCCAGGGGTAGAATGATATGGTTTGGCTGTGTCCCCACCCTAATCTCTTCTTAAATTTTAGCTCCCACAATTCCCATGTGTCATGGGAGGGACCCAGTGGTAGGTAATTGAAACATAGGGATGGGTCTTTCCCATGCTATTGTCATGATAGTGAATAAGTCTCATGAGATCCTGATGGTTTTATACAGAGGAGTTCCCCTGCACACGTTCTCTCTCTTTGCCTGCTGCTATCCATGTAATATGTGATTTACTCCTCCTTGCCTTCTGCCATGACTGTGAGGCTTTCTCAGCTACGTGGAACTGCAAGTCCATTAAACCCTTTTTCCTGTAAAAATTCCCCAGTTTTGGGTGTGTCTTTATCATCTTAAATGAACTGATACACCTATGGTATTTGCATTGAATCCACCATGATTTCACAGTTTTTCTATTCTATCCACCCACGTGACAGCTAAAGTTTCATGTATACAGGGTTAATAAAAAATGTTATCCAATGTACCAAAGCTAGCTCTGTTAACGAGCATAAAGACAAACCATCTTAAATTTAATTTCAGTCTGGTCTGATTGTCCTTCAAGTTTTGGCATTGTGGGTTGTTGTCCCGACATACAATGGCATAGGCTCGGTACAGCCATGCATCTTCATATAATTCCATTTAATTCCACTAATTACTTGCCATGAAATCCAAGAAGGATTATTCATTGTCTTTATTTTCATCTGCAAACTGGATCTTCATTTCTTCCTGGAGTATATCATCTATTAAAAAACAGATTCAATAAACATTCAATAATCATATACCAGTTAGACTCAGTAAACCATATATGGGGTTCTATGCAGATAATTGTGCCTAGAGATGAAAAACTGCATCATAAATATGATTAAGACATGGCACTTTCCGTTATTAACCACTGAACTCTTAATACAGGAAAACAAGACTTATGAGTTTTAAATGACCCTTTATCAAAATGATCCATCCTTTTATCCTCCGTGGGTTTCCAATGTGAAAAGAATGATATTCTCAAGCTGGATCTATGCTTGTAGTGAATTGTTATAATTTTATGTTGCCTTGGCATCCATTTTGAATACAAGTTTAATTTTCTCATATCAGAAGCAGGGTGTAATCATCCTGAACAGTTTCCAGTTTTGCACCACACCTAAATGGTTTAGATGGTCAGAGATAAGAACTTAGAGACTCTTTCACCTGCCTCGCTAACTAGGCTCCTGCTTTCTCCCTTTGGTTCCTTTACACAGGTCATTTAGTCATTTGCCTGAGAACTTAAACTGACCCACACTTTATTCCCTTTTATATACTGCTAGTTGCCACGCACGCTCGTGCTCTCTTTATTGGCTTTATTTGTCATTACTGACTTATGTGACCTGGGGACAGAGGTATGCGTAGGATCTGTAAGTAAAAATTATTTAAATATGTTTTCTACTGTGGTGGAGTATTGAATTTGCACCTTCCATCTAATGAACTAGGAGCTGCCCCAGGATGGGTTTTCTCCAAAGCTGGGGAAAATACAAGGTCAGGCTCCCAGTGACAGAGTGATGGTCAGGCAGGCATAAACTGGACATGGGTCAGAGAAGAGCCATGAGAGCATATGCTTGTATAAATAAGTTTCCCATGTGAGGGATCCCCGGGTCACAGATTGAACAACCAGGCATTAGGCCATCCACCAGGTAAAACAAATATCCCGTGAAAGGCACTTGGTAAGCACCCATGTACCCCTTGCTTTAAATCGCTATTAGGGCAGGGTTGTTGGTCACTTGGGTTCTGGAACTCCAATTTTGCTGGGGGCTCTCAAAACAATCCTTCAAGTCAAGAAAGGAATTATTTTAACATTTTGCCTTCGGGTATTCGTGCCAAGGCCATCTGTCACATCTACTCTTTCCCTAGAGTAGTCAGAGCTGTCAGAACAGCACTCTACAAGAAACTGATACTGTATAGCACAGCAAGAAACATTTTCTTTGAAAAAATAAGATGCATCCAATGGCCATCAGTGGGGTTAAACCAAGTCAGAGAGGCAAAACTCTGGCGCCATGAAGTCTAAGATGGTACATTTCTGAGCAGATGTCTTATATCAAAGAAATTGTGATTTCTGAACCAGTTTTAGGGGAAGAGGTGGAATATATACTTGGAGGAGAGTTGGAGCTCAATTTGTCTCTGCTGCTTAAGAACTCTGGAAGCCTTGCGATGGGTTTGAAATTCCTCCTTTAGCTCGGAGAAGTTTGATCATCTGAAGGCTTTTTCTCTCAACTTGTCAAAGTCATTCTCCATCTAGCTTTGTTCCGTTGCTGGCGAGGAGTTGGTCAACATCAGACAGATCAACTAGACAGAAAGTTAAAAAGGATGTCCAGGAATTGAACTCAGCTCTGCACCAAGCGGACCTAATAGACATCTATAGAACTCTCTGCCCCAAATCAACAGAATATACATTCTTCTCAGCACCACATTACACTTATTCCAAAACTGATCACATAGTTGGAAGTAAAGCACTTCTCAGCAAATGGAAAAGAACAGAAATTATAACAAACTGTCTCTCAGACCACAGTGCAATCAAACTAGAACTCAGGATTAAGAAACCCACTCAAAACCGCTCAACTACATGGAAACTGAACAACCTGCTCCTGAATGACTACTGAGTACATAACGAAATGAAGGCAGAAATAAAGATGTTCTTTGAAACCAACGAGAACAAAGACACAACATACCAGAATCTCTGGGACACATTCAAAGCAGTGTGTAGAGGCAAATTTATAGCACTAAATGCCCACAAGAGAAAGCAGGAAAGATCCAAAATTGACACCCTAACATCACAATTAAAAGAACTAGAAAAGCAAGAGCAAACACATTCAAAAGCTAGCAAACACATTCAAAAGCTAACTAAGATCAGAGCAGAACTAAAGGAGTTAGAGACATAAAAAACCCTTCAAAAAATCAATAAATCCAGGAGCTGGTTTTTTGAAAAGACCAAAATTGATAGACCGCTAGCAAGACTAATAAGAGAGAAGAATCAAATAGACGCAATAAACAATGATGAAGGGGATATCACCACCGATCCCACAGAAATACAAACTACCATCAGAGAATACTATAAACACCTCTATGCAAATAAACTAGAAAATCTAGAAGAAATGGGTAAATTCCTGGACACATACACCCTCTCAAGATTAAAACTGGAAGAAGTCGAATCCCTGAATAGACCAATAACAGGCTCTGAAATTGAGGCAATAACTAATAGCCTACCAACCAAAAAAAGTGCAGGACAAGATGGATTCACAGCCGAATTCTACCAGAGGTACATGGAGGAGCTGGTACCATTCCTTCTGAAACTATTCCAATCAATAGAAAAAGAGGGAATCCTCCCTAACTCATTTTATGAGGCCAGCATCATAAAATCAAAACCAAAAAAGCATCATCAAAACCAAAAAAGAGAATTTTAGACCAATATCCCTGATGAACATTGATGCAAAAATCCTCCATAAAATGCTGGGAAACCGAATCCAGCAGCACATTAAAAAGCTTATCCACCATGATCAAGTGGGCTTCATCCCTGGGATGCAAGGCTGGTTCAATATACGCAAATCAATAAATGTAATCCAGCATATAAACAGAACCAAAGACAAAAACCACATGATTATCTCAATAGATGCAGAAAAGTCCTTTGACAAAATTCAACGGCCCTTCATGCTAAAAACTCTCAATAAATTAGGTATTGATGGGACGTATCTCAAAATAATAAGAGCTATCTATGACAAATCCACAGCCAATATCATACTGAATGGGCAAAAACTGGAAGCATTCCCTTTGAAAACTGGCACAAGACAGGGATGCCCTCTCTCACCATTCCTATTCAACATAGTGTTGGAAGTTCTGGCCAGGGCAATAAGGTAGGAGAAAGAAATAAAACGTATTCAATTAGGAAAAGAGGAAGTCAAATTGTCCCTGTTTGCAGATTATGTGATTGTATATTTAGAAAACCCCATCATCTCAGCCCAAAATCTCCTTAAGCTGATAAACAACTTCAGCAAAGTCTCAGAATACAAAATCAATGTACAAAAATCACAAGCATTCTTATACACCAACAACAGACAAACAGAGAGCCAAATCATGAGTGAACTCCCATTCACAGTTGCTTCAAAGAGAATAAAATACCTAGGAATCCAACTTACAAGGGACGTGAAGGACCTCTTCAAGGAGAACTACAAACCACTGCTCAACGAAATAAGAGGATACAAACAAATGGAAGAACATTCCATGCTCATGGATAGGAAGAATCAATATCATGAAAATGGCCATACTGCCCAAGGTAATTTATAGATTCAATGCCATCCCCATCAAGTTACCAATGACTTTCTTCACAGAATTGGAAAACCTACTTTAAAGTTCATATGGAACCAAAAAAGAGCCCGCATCACCAAGTCAATCCTAAGCCAAAAGAACAAAGCTGGAGGCATCACGCTACCTGACTTCAAACTATAGTACAAGGCTACAGTAACCAAAACAGCATGGTACTGGTACCAAAACAGGGATATAGACCAGTGGAACAGAGCCCTCCGAAATAATACCACACATCTACAACCATCTGATCTTTGACAAACCTGACACAAACAAGAAATGGGGAAAAGATTCCCTATTTCATAAATGGTGCTGGGAAAACTGGCTAGCCCTATGTAGAAAGCTGAAACTGGATCCCTTCCTTATACCTTATACAAAAATTAATTCAAGATGGATTAAAGACTTAAATGTTAGACCTAAAACCAGAAAAACCCTAGAAGAAAACCTAGGCAATACCATTCAGGACATAGGCATGGGCAAGGACTTCATGTCTAAAACACAAAAAGCAATGGCAGCAAAAGCCAAAATTGACAAATGGGATCTAATTAAACTAAAGAGCTTCTGCACAGCAAAAGAAACTACCATCAGAGTGAACAGGCAACGTACAAAATGGGAGAAGATTTTTGCAATCTACTCATCTGACAAAGGGCTAATATCCAGAATCTACAAAGAACTCAAACAAATTTACAGGAAAAAAACAATCCCATCACAAAGTGGGTGAAGGATATGAACAGACACTTCTCAAAAGAAGACGTTTATGCAGCCAACAGACATGTGGAAAAATGCTCATCATCACTGGCCATCAGAGAAATGCAAATGAAAACCACAATGAGATACCATCTCACACCAGTTAGAATGGTGATCATTAAAAAGTCAGGAAACAACAGGTGCTGGAGAGGATGTGGAGAAATAGGAACACTTTTACACTGTTGGTGGGACTGTAAACTAGTTCAACCAGTGTGGAAGACAGTGTGGTGATTTCTCAAGGATCTAGAACTAGAAATATCATTTGACCCAGCCATCCCATTACTGGGTATATACCCAAAGGAATATAAATCATGCTGCCATAAAGACACATGCACACATGTTTATTGCGGCACTATTCACAATAGCAAAGACTTGGAACCACCCCAAATGTCCATCAATGATAGACTGGATTAAGAAAATGTGACACATATACACCATGGAATACTATGCAGCCATAAAAAAGGATGAGTTCATGTCCTTTGTAGGGACATGGATACCATCATTCTGAGCAAACTATGGCAAGGACAAAAAACCAAACACCACATATTCTCACTCATAGGTGGGAGCTGAACAATGAGAACACTTGGACACAGGGGAACATCACACACTGGGGCCTGACCTGGGGTGGGGGGAAGGGGGAGGGATAGCATTAGGAGATACACCTAATGTAAATGACGAGTTAATGGGTGCAGCACACCAACATGGTACATGTATATGTAAGTAACAAACCTGCACTTTGTGCACATGTACCCTAGAACTTAAAGTATATATAAAAAGAACTCTGGAAGCCTTAATCTCCTCAGGTGTAAAATGAGGGTAATAATGCATACCTAAAAGGATTACTGAAGATTCAGAATAATGTATTTAAAGCATTTAGCACAGAAATAGATCCAAATAATAATGATGAGGAGAGTGATTATGACTAATGATAATATCAGCCTGACAGCTGCTGAGGAAGCCGACATCAGTACATCTGGTTCCATGGATCTATGTGTGCCCTTTTCTGGAATTTGAATTACCACAAATCTTACTTCCCAATTCCTCATGATTTTATTCACAGAAGCATTGCATACTATAGTATTATGTTTGGAATAGAACCAATTCCATGTTCTTAAAGGTTGAAGGCTCATTCACTTAAATATTTATTGAGGCCCTACTACCTGCTAGATGCTGGTGATTCTGTGATAAGCAAAAAACATGACTTTGCTTTTGTGGTACTTATAGTCTAGTGGGGGGAAACAGACAAGTCAAATAATCATCTGGGTAAACATAAGGATATAACCATAATCATTGCTTTAAAGAGCTAAATATTGCTAATGAAATTTAGTATAGTCTGCAGATAACAGCTATGCTCTAGAGGCGAGGAAGTTAAAAGTTACTGGGTATTTTTCAAATTATTTGGTTGCAGTAGAATTTCTGACGTCAGTTACTATTTTGTATGGTAATGAATAGAAGAAAAAGTAAACTATATTCACTAAACCTCATTCTTCTGACAACTGCTTGTGCTGTCATCTTTCAATTCTTTAGTAGACTTTCCTGAATAAAACCTGTAAATGTTCAGAATTAGTCATTAGTCCACTATCAACATGTATCTTTGTCTTCAATTCTGTGGAGACTCAGAGGATAGACTTGTACTCCTTCTGTTTCTAGGTTCTAACTTAAAAATGTGTAAGAACTATGGACTGAGAGGCTGCTGTTTGCATACCTTCAAGTGCCATTAAGGGAAATCTGAACAGGTGTATCACATTGGCTCCATGATGCTTACTGGTTTAACTGAGTTAGCTTGGAGAAAGCGGTAAATTAACCCTCATTTCTTCAGCTTTAGTAACTCTAGCACAGATGTTAAGCAAGTAGAAATTGTTTCAAAGGGCTTGGTTCTCTGCTTCTTTCACTTGATATTATCAGCACATTTTCTGGTTTTGATGGCTTGGCTTTGTGTACCTTCTAATTTATAAAAGTTCTTTATCCCACTTCTCTACATGTTTCCTTCCCCTGGTGCTTGTAATGTCTTTTTATGCACAAATGTGGCTCCTTCAAGAGCCTCCTGCTAAGAAATGAGCAAAAGAGGAATTGAAAATCCTTTGGCTTCTTTTAAACTCATGAAACTTGCTATTTTCAGAACCACAGGTCTGGAACAGAAAAGCTAAGTTGGTCAAATGCTAGCAGGCAGCCCACTTCACATCTTGGGTGATAGAGATTTATAGAGGTTTCTGTTTGTTTGTTTGTTTTGTTCAGCAATATATTGCAACTCTCAAAGAGTACCTGTTATACAGTAGGCACTCAATAAATATTTGTTGAGTGAATCAGTAACAAATAAATAAACTTCAAATTTGATCTTATGCTCATTGGCAACTTTCACTTCCTTCCTTTGGGATTGTGAAGATAGTTCTCAAAATATAAAATAACACAGAAATTTGCTCTTCTTCCCTGTCTCCAGCTACATCTATTTTTTTTCCATTCACCATTGATCTTTATGTGTGAATCATGTCAGACTTCTCATTGTCCTTGGTTGCTTTAGCAATTCCCCTACTCTTCATTACCCTGTAATTTCTCAAACTCTGCTTAAGCTGGACAGCATTTCAGTCTGGCTTAACTGAACTAGGCAGCTAGAGAGTATTGATTCCTAAATACCATGTTGAGAGCGAGGGTGAGCAAGGCAGGCGGTGTATAATCAAGGTGCTACTAACTGGAGAAAACTAGCCAGTTAGTGTTTTTGTAGACCGTTCTAGTTAAAGTTTGAGAGTGGCTACTGTTGTTAGTGTAATTTCCATCAGTGAAAGTGTTATCACCCATGGTGAATCAGTTCTTGTTTCCCAGAATAACTGGGATTCTAATTGATAAAACACAGAGAACATAAGCAAATCAGAAAGAAATGAGGAAGGCTATTAATTTTAAATATAAACTGCATTGAACAAAGATTTATGAGATTGGTCTGGGCAAGAATATTTTGGATAAGACCCCAAAGCACAAGCAACAAAAGCAAAAATAGACAAATAAGATTATATCAGACTGAAAATCTTCAGCACAGCAAAGGAAACAATAAACAGAGTGAAAAGACAACATACAGAATAGGCCAAAATATCTGTTAACTATACATCGGACAAGGAGCTAATATCCAGAATGTATAACAGCCCAATAGAAAAAGTATCCAATAAAAAAAGCAAAAAATTTGACTAGACATATCCCCGAAGAAGACACAAATGATTAATGGGTATATGAAAAAAGTCTCAACACCACTAAGCATCAGGAAAATGCAAATTGAAATCACAATAAGCTGTCAATGTCACCTTGTTTAGAATGTTATTAAAAAGAGAAAAAATTACATATGCTAGTATAGATGTGTAGAAAGGAAAACTCATACACTGTTAGAAATATAAATTTGTACATCTTGTAAATAGCATGGAGGGCCCTCAAAAATTAAAAGTAGAACTACCTCATGATCCAGCAATCCCACTACTGGGCACATATCCAAAGAAAATGAAATTAGCATGTTGAAGAGCTATTTGCATTCCTATGTTTATTGCAGCTCTATTCATAATAGCCAAGATAAGGAATCAACCTAAGTGTTCAACAGATGAGTGGGTAAAGAAAATGTGGTATATGTACACAGTGGAATACTATTCAACCACTAAAAAGAATAAAGCATCGTCATTTGCAGCAACATGGATGAACCTTGAGGACATTATGTTAAGTGGAATAAACCAGGCACAAAAAGATGAATACCACATGATCTCATTCATATGTGGAATCTAAAGAAGTTGATCTCATGGAAGTAGAGAATAGAATAGTTGTTACCAGAGACGGGTGGGGAGAATAGGGGGATGAGGAATATAGGGTGAGACTGGTCAACAGGTACAAAGTAAAGTTAGAAAAGAAAAATAAGTTCTGGTGTTTTATTGCACAATACAGTGACTATGGTTAACAATATTGTATATTTCAAACTAGCTAGATGAGAGTATTTTGAATGTTCTTACCACAAATAAATGAATACAAGAAAAGAATCGTACGAGTGGATGGGTATGCTAAATACCCTGCTTTGATATTTTACACAATGTATACATTTATCAAAACATCCCACTGTTCCCCATACCTATGTACAATTATTATGTTTAAAAACAAAATAAAAAATTAAGAAGAGAATGAGTGTTAGGAGAAAGAAATCTGTGCTCAGAATCAGCTTATTTTATGAGTCATTTATTATGTCTTAGGACTGTGCTAAGTGTTTTACATGCATTTCTCATTTAATACTTACGCCAATCCTATGGCTTAAGATTATTGTGTGTTCCTTTAATCGATAAGAAACCAAGGCTTAGAAAGTTTAAGCAATGAGTCAAGGACCCAGGCAACCTAACTCCAAATCCAAAAATTTTAGCCACTCTGCCTCATCTCTATCTGGGTGCAAATTGTATCTACAGTCGTACTTTTCTCTTAACTATTTCTTGTCCCTAATGAAGGATGTTGTACTTGTATACATTTGTCATTCTTTTGAGTTCAGACCTGCTTTTGCATTTGACTTAAAACCAGCTACTTGTACAGGGGAATCTTACTAGTTGACTACCTTCCTCTTAATAATTTTGGTTAGAGAAAATAGCACAAAGTTTGTAGGAAGGAGAAATGAATTTCAAAGTAAATAGAGACACTAAGGCATTACATATGAAAATATCTTAAATGGTGCCTAGCACATAATAAGTAGGTTCATCATTAAGTGTAAGTTAAAAACACACACACACACACAAAAACCCACCTTGGAGAGGCACAGTGGCTCACATCTGTAATCCCAGCACTTTGGAACCCAGTGATTTGAGATCAGCCTGGGCAACATGGCAATACCTGTCTCCCAAAAAAAAAAAAAAAAAAAAAAGGTCAGATGTGGTGGCTTATGTTTATGGTCCCATCTACTTACTTGGGAGGCTGAGGTGGGAGGATTGTTTGAGACTAGGAGGTCAAGGCTGAAGTGAGCTGTGTTTTGTGCCACCGTACTCCAGTGTGGGTGACAGAGCAAGATTCTCTCTCAAAAAAACAATCACCTTAAATCTCTTTTCTTTTGCATCTATATCCTAGGAGTAGAGACAGAGAGTAATACTAAGAGAAGGTAGAGGCGGGAGGAGGAAGAGGAAGGAAGAGAAACCAGAACATACGTCCAAAGAT
The DNA here is from genome assembly GCF_000001405.40 of Homo sapiens. Taxonomy (NCBI): domain Eukaryota; kingdom Metazoa; phylum Chordata; class Mammalia; order Primates; family Hominidae; genus Homo; species Homo sapiens. Next base: position 40,032,321 of record NC_000002.12, read on the forward strand.
ATATGAACCCATTAGGTGGGAGATGAAGCAAGGGTTTGTGGAACAGAATCCTATATTTATATTTTTTGCCTTGTTTGGGTCCTGAACACTTTAGAGAAAATTGAAAAGGTGGCTGAGTGGGGAAACTGACAGCACCAGAAGAGAGGAGAACTTTGCTGATTTTTAACTTTGGTGGGACCAGTCCTAAATTAAAGCCATACTTCATATTCTGTGAGGGATGAGAATCACTTTCTGGGATTTTTAAGTCCCATCAAGTGCTTAAGACTCTTTTCTGAGTATTTAAAAAGGCTGTGGAAATCATCCTTATTTTTATTGGTCCGGTACCTACTAGGCTGTAATGAGCTAGTTGAAATGTGAAAACCAACGTTTCAGACTTGTGTCTGACTTTACAGTCTAAGCTATGATGAACTCCACTCTCCTCCACTCAGCCTCTTTCCTTGGGTTCAGGATGTCAAGCCCAAAGACTTGAGCTACACACTAGGCATGGGGCAAAGGGATGGTGCTGCTACCAGTGCCAGGTGTGGTAGTTGATGTCTTTAGTAACATCAGAGATAAAGTCCTAGGTATTTCAGACTGTGTGACACATTTGGGGTTCACTGTTACTAAAAATATTCTGTTTAACTGAAAGGTATTTGTCCACAGATAGACACTACAATGAACAAACAATTTTTCTTTGATAAAAGCACAAAGTACCTTGGGGATCATGCAATCAGAGCTTCAGCTTCATCATTATGAACATAAATTCTCTTTGTACCAGGAAATTGTGGAAACGATAGCTCATAGACAGCTCATATTGAGAGAATGTTAATGAGCCACTACATACTCTCTGAGGTTGACTAACCATTGTGGAGATAATGCTGGTGGCAAAGGATATGAGTATTCTAGAGGGAATGGGCAAGTGAAGCAAAGTGTCTCTTAATGTGTGCCATCTACCAGCACTAAAATGGTGCCCACTTGAACTGATTTGTAAACTTGTAACACTGACTTTGACCATCTGTACTCCTGGGTATCATGGTAAGTTATAAAGTAGATCACTACGCAATGCCTTTTAAGGTGCACACTCTGCTTGTGGTGCAAATAGTAATTCAGGGGCCTGGTTTTGAATCTATGCTGGTCTGCCTCATTTAAGAGAGCATTCAGGTTTCCATTATAGCTATGGCAAACTAAAATCTAATTGAATTCTACAGGCATTTAATAGCATGTCTAATGCGGGCAAAGCTCTTTGCTAGGGGATGGTAGAGGTACAGAGATAAAAGACAAAGATCAGTGCTTGATAATCCAGGGGTTACCGGCTATAGAAATTCTCTTAACTTGGTTCAGTGAATCTGAGGAGCTGGGAAAGGTGAGCCAGGGAGAAAAGGGAGAAAAGTCACTGCAAAGTGTGCTGACATCCTACTCTGGGCAATTGAAGGTGAATCCTGCTAGGACTCTCAGATTCTTTGTGGTATACATCAGAAGTGCCCTACCAGAGAATGGGAGGCGAGACACTTAACTATTGATTCCTAGCCCCTATCAGTTGAGGACTGGCCCTGGGGTTGTCAACTCCACAGTATTTCCTGGTGCCTCCAGGCTGAGCAGGCTCTCTGAGTGCTTGAGAAAGTCTTCCAGCAGAGGAGGAAGCAGCAGGAGCTTGAAGTCAGAAACTGTGAGCAGGCTGGAAATGGTCTATCCCGGTTGCTGATGAGCTCATTTCAGCCTATGGGGTTGTTGTTCACTTATTATAACAGTTGCACGTGCTTGCCACAGAAAATTTGGTAAACAAAATTCTATAATCACATTTTAGAGATAACCACGGTTATCACTCTGGTGTGTTTCCTACCAAAACTTCTTTTTCCACTGTGTGTGTGTGTGTTCTATACATGCATATTGGCAGGGTTATATTGTTTGAAATTTTACTTTGTAAAAAATAGAATCATGAAAATGGAGGAATTTAACTGTTAAACAGTCACCACAAAGTCTTCAGCTGATTCTAACAGGGAGGGAGTGTGAGCTTGGGAGAGACGCCTCTATTCATCTCAGGGCAACAGCTGGACAGTGACTCAGTTGAGAGCTGTGAGCTGTCCATAATCCCAGCAACTCAGGAAATGGATGTCTCAGTCCTAAAGAGGGGAGGAGTGGGCAGGGCACACAGCACCCGCTACAGTCCACCCCTTTGAGCTGATAGGATTGAATTTTTGTATAATAAATTCTGGGAACACCTCTTTAAAAAACGAAATTTTACTGTGTTTTTCTTGTTGTTTCTCCACTATTCAAAGTGGCCTGATCCTTAGTCTTTACTTGTCTCAGGCAGTTTTGAAGAACTCACAGTAGGCAGTACTTGAGGTCAGTGCATCTTCCTGTCTTTTGTAAAGACCTAAGAAAGTTGCTGAAATTATTCCAGATTCTCTGGAAAGAAAAGGGAAATCAAGAATCTCTGATAGTAGTAAGAGAGAAAAACATATAACCCAAGAGTGGAGGGCTGCTAGAGGTGTGAGATTCTGAGATGTGTCAGGAACCCTTTCAGTCTATGGCTGTGCCCTGGGGAGATGACCAGAGCTTGGAAGGGCAACTTCTTGGTGCTCCAGAAAGACTGGACCTGAGGCACACTGGCTGTCAGCCTAGTCAGTGCTTCCACATAACCTCATAGGAGGCACAAAAGAAGCAGACCTGTCCTTCCAAAAGTCTGGAGCTTGCTGGGGCAGCAGCATCTTAGAATGGGGGTGACTAATGCAGATCAATGATGACTGATGTTGTAAGAAGGTTCCCTGGTGCTTGGCTTTGCATAATGTGCTAGGGCTTTTCCTATGGAGGGGGACCCCCAGAAATGACAGATGTGATTTTATATTTCTGTGGATGTGTCCTAAAATTTCATTTTACTTGATTAGAAATAAATAAAGTGAGGATTTAAATTCTAGATTTCTGTTTCCTAGGGGATTACTTTCTCGTAGCCTCCTCGGATCCTGGTGCCTAAGTCCAACCTATTACCACTGGGATGTGGGTCACATCAGTACAGATATGCAACTCTTTCATTGTTTTCCATAAAAAATAAAACCCACTCTAAATATTTGGTCAACTTGGGGTCATGGGGAGAGACCATGTTACTCTGCAGTCTTATACCATTTTGCTATTTCTTCTCCTTCTACATCTCCCCTTTCCTTTTGTATCAAGAATGGGCTCCTATGTCTTCACTGGCTCTTTAGGCTAGTATTGTTCTCAATGGTCTGTTTTCTTTTTTCTTTCTTTTCCTTCCTTTCTTTTCTTTCTTTCCTTTCTTTTCTTTTCTTTTTTTTTTCTTTCTTTTCTTTTCTTTCTTGACAGAGTCTTACTCTGTTGTCCAGGCTGGAGTACAGGGGTGCAATCTCGGCTCACTGGAACCTCCACCTCCTGGGTTCAAGTGATTTTCCTGCCTCAGCCTCCCGAGTAGCTGGGACTACAGGTGTCTGCCACCATGCCTTACTAATTTTTGTATTTTTAGTAGAGATGGGGTTTCACCATGTTGGCCAGGCTAGTCTCAAACTTCTGACCTCAGGTAATCTGCTCACCACAGCCTCCCAAAATGCTGGGATTACAGGAGTGAGCCAGTGCACCTGGCCTCATTGGTCTGTTTTCATAAATTGTTAAATTTTTTAGTATATTCTCTGTTCTTAATCATCCTTCTAAGAAGCAGCAAAACAAATTTCTCTCCTTTTCATTTTATAACAAGTAGGTAATGATCTTTTGGAGCTTGATAATACCCTTGAAGATCTCATGCTCTCCCACAACTTCCTTAAGGAAATAGTTCTAGATATGTATAGTTCCCTTTCTAAAAGGCATTCTGTAGAATAAAGTTATATATGATATATAAAACACCCTCTTCAAAAGTTTTCAAGTTACGTGATTGAGATAATTATGGCAGAAATACCAAATCCCATTTCATTTTTCTCTTCTTGGGTTTTTGGAAGACAACATCCTCTAGCGTTCCTTGCAGTTAGGTTGTGGCCATGTGACTGGTCTGCAATGAGCCATGAGCAGAAATGAAAAAGTGTCATTTTTAGGCTGAAGGATTTGAAAACCAGTGTGCAGCTCTCCAGCATTCTCTGTGTACCACAGCAACTGCAGAAGCTGTGTGTTAAGATATTTGTGTTCCAAAATGGAAGCAACCTGGACCACAGAGCATTTTCTCTAGAGAGTTCCCTGACTGAATTTAACTCCTATTGGCAGAGAAATAAACCGCTGTTATTTTAGGGCACTAAGGGTTGGGTGTTATAGGAAGTTATCAAGTAACTTCTGCATAGCCAAATTGATGGTTAAGCTTTATCCTGATTAATATGACCAACTCTCAGATCAGACTTACTGGGTTCCATTGCATGCCCTACCTCTTTCTAGCTGATCTTAGAAAAATTACTAAATCTTCTTAAGGCTCAGTTTCCTCGTCCTTACAATAGTACCTTACTCACAGAGTGATGAGGAGACAGGAAATATGAGGTGCTTAAAATAATATCTAGTACAAGATAAGTGTTCAAAAAGCATTAGCTTTTTGATGATAATTATGATGCATTATGATGACTAAATTCTAAAACAAAGCTATTGGTGTAAGCATATAAATACTCCTAAACAATTTCAATGTCCATATTTTTGTTTGTATTTAGAACTAATTATTCTTCTAAAGCAATAGCATTAGGAAAGTTATTGTTCAGTCAATATGTTTATTTTACTGAGGGGCAGTCATCAGATGTATGAGCATTAGTTTCTCACATTTGTTATCACATAATTGCATATAGTACTGTTTTATAAATATTTTAATCTTTTGCAATCATGGTTACATCTCTTTCATTCCTAAACCAGGTTATTTTTACCCTTTTTTCTCTCATAGTGTGATTTGTCTTGTCATCAACTCATCTTTCTATAAGTAGATGGCCGTCATGCCTTCTTCTTGTCAGTACATGTGGCAGTGACTTCCAGACATCCCTGATTCTGCTCACCTACCTTTGCTTATGCTGTTGTAAAGGTGGTGGGGAGGGTAGACGAGAGGTTGAGGGAGGAAAGGGACAAGATCCTTTCATGGCTTAATGCCTAGGTGGCTGGAAGTTTGGGTGTGACCTCACCAATGCGAAGGAACCCCGAGCTAGTTTTGTGCCTGCAGCGTGTGGGTGTGCAGTATGGAGAGTGAGATTTCAGGGTCAGCACAGAGCAGCATTTGTCACGTGCATTTGTGGTGCTGGCAGGACATTAAGATGGAGACATCCTGTGGCTTTTTAGAAATACAGAAGTTGAATTTTAGAAACAGTTTGCGCCTGTCTTTGGTAATTACTTTAGAAGAGAAGTTACAAGCAGAGGGATTGAGGCACAACAAAAAAGACTCCTTCACTTAAGGTATGGAGGAAGGAAAGGGAAGCAGTTAAGAGTATAAAGAGGAGGACCGTGGAAAGAAGATATTGCTCTGCAAGTCAAAAAGTAACAGTTGCATAGAGAGTAGCTGGCACATAATAGACACTAAGTAATTATTAAATGAATGAATGGAAGGGCATTGGACTATGCTAAATAGTACAGGCCATTCAAGGAGAATGCAGACTCATTCCTGACTCTATTTCACATCTTTTTTGTATTATTTGTTAATCTTATTTCTTGTTTTGTTTAGTATCCACTCCTCCACCTCAGTTTTATTTTACCTTGCTGGCTAAACTCATTTTGGAACAAAATAAAATATTGAGAAACAAAAGTATTTTTTTCAAGGTGACTATAAATTAGCATGATTTTAAAAACTAAGGAGTGAGTATATTTTCTGTTCTCATTGCACCAGGAGATTTCTGCCCCAAAGAACTTTATTATTAGGCTCTGAGTAAGCACATTGCCATAAGGACTTTACCCCTGATGCTTCTAGATGGCATCATCATTATAACAATAGATTTTCAGCTGTAAAATATTTCCGTGTAATTTCTATCCCAATGAATAGTAAAATATAGGCACGTAAGGGCCTATATGTAATGCCATGTTAAGAAAAGATTAGATAACAAATGATAATAGTGGTGACTTGTAAGTATGCATATATGTATACATATTAAATATACATGCAGTTATAAATCTTTATATAGAACATTTCTGAGGGAACCAAGGAGATGTGACTACTTGTTAATTCCTTGACAATTTTCCTTCCTAGATATTGAAGAAGTTGGAATTTTGGTTTTTGGTTTTGGCACTGTCGATCCCAATCTTTCCTTACTCTCCACTCTACAAGCTGTCTCTCCTGATTTTCCTTCAACTGAACATCGAGGACCTTGTCTTCAACCAAGCCTGCAGGGCTTAGCCATGTCCACGTGCTGCTGCACACAGGTGGTGGCTCTCTCCTGGGCTGCCAGCCTTTAGCCATCTATCTCCAGCTAGGGGTGCCGTGCATTTTGCAGCCGGGAGCCAATTACTCTTTCTGAAGCCTGTCTGTTCTTTTGGCAGCCAGACACAGAAGTGGAGTGAATTGGTAGTGAGCATGGGAACAGAGAAGGAGAAGAGTGGGACTATCTGTGGAGAGGATCTATTTGGTGACAGTTTCAGCCACACCCATGAACTGCTAAGCAAGAAGCCATTCCATTGGCTTGACTCTTAATGTTTATCTCTGATATAAACAGCAGAAAGATGAGCTAGAGAGATAAAACTAAACAGTGCATTTTCCTTGGACAGCAAGTACTCCGTATTATACCATTTTGTGTTTCCACAGTGCTGTTGACAGCTATTGGCTTAAATTAATGTTTCTACCTCAAAATATGGGTCACGTGCTAAAGCAAACAGATAGGACTGAGTAGGTAAATGAGGTAAGGTGAAATTAAAAGTATTTTGCAAGTCCTCAAGATATGCATATTCACATTTCATTTCCCCCTCATTTAGGGGAAGAAAAACTGATATTGTATAGGAAAAGTGCCTAAAATGAAAGAAACTTGAATTATTGCATGTCACATCGTTCAAATTTCACAAACTTGGATTCCTGAGGTCTTGTTTATTTGGGACCTTCCTGTGTTTGAGATTTCATTTATAGCACACACTTGCGGTATGACTCTCATTTCAGCTCCAGTTACCACTAGACTTGTGTAAACGTGTGTGCGTGTGTGTGTATGTATATGTATATGCAATTATATAAATTATATAAATAAATCTCCAAATGCAAGTAAATATTGTGTAACTTAAGGATCTAACCCGGAGTTCTCAGAGTTCTTAAGGAGCAGGGCTCTGAATGTGATAACTGAGTAGTCCCTGTTACTATTTAATTTATGACAATTCCTAGTGTTGGTAATCATTTACATATTTATTTCATGTTTCTGTATTTCAATAGCTGCCTAGCTTTCACACAGTACTTTTGGAACTAATAAACCTATTCCATTACCTTGTTGGATGTGCTGTTTCACTTTTAATCTATTGTGGCTTGTTGCAGTGGCCTAATTAAAAGCATGTAGCAGCCATGTTACTTAATTTCACAAATGACTCACTTAATACCCTTCACAGGAAGTGTGTCTTCTGTAGAACATTTCAACTGAATGTTTTTTTCTGACTTCTTCTCAGTGGACCTGTTGTTGAGTGACATCTCATCAGACACTTTGTGTTGGGTTTACATTTTTTTTAAGCTTTAAGAATAATTTTACTTACATTAAATTATTTTATTAAAAGAAAAGTCTTTTCATTCTAAATTTATTATTGATAAATGCAGCCTTATTTATTAAACTAAAAGAGGAAGAGGAAGATGAGCTGGAATCTCTCTGTGGTGCCTTGGATGGTTTTGGGATTCCAAGGAATTTGAGTCAGTTATCAACACCTTTTAGTTATATCTTCCAGGGTTTCTTCTGGGTTTTCTTTCTTCCATTACACTTTAAATTATTCTGTACCACATTAACCTCTGAATCCCGGTACAGTGGAGTTGATTGTGTATGACTATCTGAGATAATACAAATTGTTAATATTATAGAAAGACTATATTTTGCATTAGAATGCAATTTTGTGATTAAATTTGAATTTCCACGTCTGTAGTCCTGGTCACTCTCAGTATTTCCTCCCAAATAATGATGTCACCAACACAGGAGAATGATAGGAAACAGCCTGGTACACCTCTCTTACTATTTCTCCTCAATACTTCTGTTCTTTCTTATTTGTGCTAGGAGTAGGTTGTACTCTTCTCAGAAATGCAGCTAAAACCAGTCGAAGTTCTAACTGATCTATCCTTGTCTTCTTTCTGTCCAAATCCCCATCCCAATGCAACTTTTTTTTTTTTTTTTTTTTTTTTTTTTTTTTTTACTGGAATGGGGGAGAATATTAAATATTGTTTCTTAAATATTTTGACAGATGGGCTGAAAGTTTTATAGAAAATGTAACAATCAGCTTCCTGATTTAAGAAAACCATCTTAAACAAAAAGGATACTTGGTGGCAGGATATTAGGAGAAAGTCCCTGAGTAGGTAGGAGATGCAAGCTAGATCCAAGGTAGCAAAGGGTTGGGAAACTAAGGGAGTCTTCAGAGGGAGAAGCCAGGTGCCCACCCAGGGCCATGCTGCAGAGCTGCTATTTTCTAAAATTTTTATTTGCATAAATATAAGGAACACAAATGCAATTTTGGTACATGGATATATTACATAGTGGTGAAGTCTGGGCTTTTAGTGTACTCATCACACGAATCATTAATGCTGTACCCTCATTACCCTAAAGTAATTCCTCGTCCCTCATCCCCCTCCCAACACTTCTGTTTAATTTGACCTCTGAGTTTCCTTCTGCCTTTGTTTCACTTGCTAAAGATTTTGTGTCCAGGAACAAGCACCTGATTAACTCATAGATCCTATGAATTTCCACAGGAAGGACCCTGCCGGGGGAGGGTGCGTATGGAGCGGGAAAGAGTATTAGAAATTAACCTCCCATAAACCTGTGCTAACTGGCCTCTCTGTCTAAGAAATAGCCAGTGCTGATTGGAAGAGACATAGGTAGGATGTTAAGACAGCCACAAATAAGTAAATAAACAAACATCTGAAAAATAATTGCTGTATCAAATAAAAATATAGAATTATCTTCAGGAGCAAAGTCTAGTAAATAGTATTTGAGGAAAAAATCTAAACTCTGCATTCAGAGGGCTTTGTAGACCGAAGCCAAGTAAAGAGTTTGCTCATTCGAGGCTGACCCAAATGCAGGACTGAGTCCAAACTGTAATCAAGGGAGGGGGAGAGGAACGTCATCCACCTGTACATACAGGATGTCACCCCTTGGAACCACCCACCCCACGGCTCTTTAGATTGGATCAAGAGGCAACGGAGCCCCTTGCTCCATTTTGAAGCCCCAGGCCTCCAGATCCAGCTGCAGCTGCTGTGAGATCTGAGCTCCCACCAACCCAGCTGGCTTGCTCCATATCACTATTTATCCCTGACATCCTCCAAAAGATGATCCCCTCTGGACTCTGTGCTTTCCAACAAACAGAACCAGATTAAAGGGCGTGCTAGACTTCTTATAAATGTTGAGAATGTGGGGCTATAGTAAACACAGATTTCCTTATAGGGAATGTAAATTTACCCCACTTCAGCTAGTGCCCCCAGATTACAACCTCCAGTAAAAGTAAAATGTGTATCATCTCTACCAATTTCATCTCTGTGCCTACACATTGCATCCATCAGCCTTATGATCAGCCAGCTGGCACCTTGCATCCCACTTGGCTAGAAAAACTGAACAATACATGGCATTGTTCCATTTACTAAAAATGAGTGATTTATTATTTAAAATTCAAGTATTTTAACATGCTTTCCAAGAAATTGTCTGGTTTAGAAAATCATAAAAACTGAAGAAGGAAGTGGAGGAGGAGAAAAATGGGGAACTTCTCTGACATGGAAAACTTTTCTGACATGAAAAGAAGGCAAAAAAATGTTGTTGAGCAACTCTTTCTGATGATGACTCAGAAAACGGGAGAGGGGCTCTTGATCTTCCGTCTTTTCCTGACCCCTGTGGTATTGTCCAAGCCTCAGCAATTCCATGACATCTGGTGGTTCTCTGTTTGCTTTATTTCTTTTCTTTCTTTTTTTCTCCTTTCCCTTCCCTTTCCTCTTCCCCTTCCCTTCCCTTTCTTTGGAGTCTTGCTCTTGCTGCCAGGCTGGAGTGCAGTGGCGGGATCTCGGCTCACTGCAACCTCCACCTTGTGGGTTCAAGCAATTCTCCTGCCTCAGCCTCCCGAGTAGCTGGGATTACAGGTGTGTGTCACCACCCCAGCTAGTTTTTGTATTTTTAGTGGAGACGGGGTTTCAGCGTGTTGGCCAGGGTGGTCTCAATCTCTTGACCTCGTGATCTGCCTGCCTCGGCCTCCCAAAGTGCTGAGATTACAGGCGTGAGCCACTGTGCCTAGCTGGTTCTCTGTTTTCATACCATTTCCACTGAGAATGGGGATCTTTTCTAGGTCTGGGAACCCTGGTGCTGAAAACCTGCCTCCCTGGGGCATACAAGCCATTGCTTTGTCCATGTTCACAGTGGAGTGAAAAGTTCCTTGCTGACTTAAGGACTCATAGACCTTTCATTCCACCTCCCATGCTCTGAAAACCTCCTGCTAATATGGAGGAAATCCCTTTTTCTTCATGTTTTTCTTCCTGCACTCCTTCTCTTTAAATCTCCCAAGTCACATAGCAAATCTCCACAGTGGATTTAGGCTTTTGGAACAAAATCAGGACGGATTGGGTTTGTGCAGCTAACTGCTTCCTGCCGGTTTCTCCCAAGGTAGGAAGCACTGAGCCTTCATGGGGTATCAGACAGCCTATAACCTGTGTTAGGTGGAATAACAGCCCCTTAAGATGTCCATGTCATAATTCCCGGAAGCTGTGACCTACAGAACTATAAAATGAAACAATGTATTTTTATAAGTCACTAAGGCTGTGGTTACCTGTTTTGGCAATAATAGAAAAACAATATACAATCCATATATTTTCTTCCTGGGTTCAAAGCCATCTGAGGAATGGAGACACAGGAGGCAGAAAGATGAAGATAAAAAATATTAGCATCACGACTGAGGGAGGTGATTTGAGAAAGTGGCTTTTTATTTCTGCTCTCTGTGGACTTCCAGATACTTTCCTCCTGAATCAGAAAGTCTCATGCACCCAGCCACTGCTAGAGCTCTGCTAACTCATTCTCCATGAATCTTCCCCAGGGAGCGTTCCACTTGGCTGGGAGCAGATAATGTGTGCATCCCGAGAGCAGACAGAACCAAGAGCAGGCAAACTTAGAAGACACTCAGCTAAGCACTTGCTGACTTCTTACAGGTTCACCGATCAGGTAGGTCACTGTCTTAGAAAGGGAGAGTGATGGAGCTGGGGATGCTGGACATACTGAGGCAGGATAAGTAAGACTAAGAGGTCATATTGACTTTTCTCCTTGTGTGAAGCCCAGAAGGCTCTGCATCCCTTGTATCCTTGTGTGTCAGCACCTAATTCTTTTGCAAGATAAGCAGTCCTACAGGATCCCAGCTGACCATCAGGTGATTAGAAGTACCCGATACCTAGGATGGCCCAGGAAAGGGAACAAAAGGCTTTTTATCCTGATGGAGCTTCTGCATTCTTCAGCCAATCAGCACTGAAAGCCCAAGAAGCTATTAGCTACAAATTCCTGCCTTGGGGGCGGGGCAGGGACTTCTCCATGGTCCGGCATGTGCAGCTAGGCTCAAGATTTACCTTACAGTAACCGTTTCCTCATGTTAATAGTAAAAAACACACCTCTAAGTGGAGATTTTATACGCTATTGATATATGCAATGTATGTTGGAGGATGTAGATACTGAGCACATGTTCCAACTGCAGGTCTGCCTTTGCATACTTGACCAGTATTTTATGAATACGCATGTACAGCTCCCATAAAGGGAATTTCTGTTAAGGCATTAGCTGCTGTCTCTCCCTTTGAGCAGCCTATTCTGCCTCTCAGAGTGTACTTCTGCTTCGCAATAAACTCCTTTGCCTACTCTTTTTATTTTTTATTTATTTATTTTTTGAGACGGAGTCTCGCTCTGTCACCAGGCTGGAGTGCAGTGGCCCTATCTCAGCTCACTGCAGCCTCCACCTCCTGGGTTCAAGCGATTCTCCTGCCTCAGCCTCCAGAGTAGCTGGGATTACAGGCGTGTGCCACCACGCCCAGCTAATTTTTGTATTTTTAGTAGAGATGGGGTTTCAGCATGTTGGCCAGGATGTTCTCAATCTCTTGACCTCGTGATCTGCCTGCCTTGGCCTCCCAAAGTGCTGGGATTACAGGTGTGAGCCGCCACGCCTGGCCCCTTTGCCTACTCTTACTTTGGACTGGCTCTGAAATTCTTTTGTGTGGCAAAGTCAAGAACCTGAACTGTTCCACCAGCAGCAACAGTGTTATTCCAGGAGAATTTCCTCCATAAGGAGAAATGAGGTCAGGGCAGTAGAGAGTCCTTCTCTAATATCAGCTACCTGCCTAAACTGGTGAAGAGAAGGAGAGAATAGAGGAAGGGTATTACTGAGAAAGTTCTACTTTTTACAGATTGAGACTTTATAAATTTGTGGTCATCATCTCCATCTGAGGGATCAAGTCTTTCACTCAGTTCGTTCTCCTATTGCAAACTGTCTCACTGCCCTCAAACTTCCAAGCCAAATATCTCCACCTTCCATTAAACTCGTGGATCAGAGGAACAGCCTCAATTTTATGCTACAAAGTTCACAAATCTCCCTGCATTTTAATCCTGTTTACCACCTCCTGTCCTGCTGCAATGAAGGAGGTATCTCTCCTGTTCTAATAGCCCAATTCCTATATGCTATTCTCCATATCACACCCTACTTATTTTCCAGACCTCATACTTCTGTTAAATTGCTCCTAATTCCAGGGGCTGTAATTTCTCCAACTCTATTGCCTTACTGTAATCAGTTTGTTAACATTCTCAAATTTTTTCCATTTGAAAAAACCCCAGAAAATGAAATGCGTGGAGTAGGGATGAGGGTGAGAAGTCAGTATGATTAACAAAATTGCTAGGGTGGGGATTAGGATGGAGGGTGAAGGTGGAAGTGAGGGTAGGGTAAACTTTGAAGGGGGCCTGGGGCTAATTTCAGATCACAGCTTTTAGCTGTTGGTCTTTTTTTTTTTTTTTTTTTTTTTTTTGAGGCAGAGTTTCACTCTTGTTGCCCAGGCTGGAGTGCAATGCTGCAATATCTTGGCTCACCACAACTTCCACCTCCCGGGTTCAAGAGATTCTCCTGCCTCAGCCTCCTGAGTAGCTGGTAGCTGGGATTACAGGTATACATCACCACACCCAGCTAGTTTTGTATTTTTAGTAGAGATGGGGTTTCTCCATGTTGGTCAGGCTGGTCTCGAACTCCTGTTCTCAGGTGATTGACCTGTCTCAGCCTCCGAAAGTGCTGGGATTACAAGTGTGAGCCATGGCCCCCGACCTGGTCCTCTTTTGCTGGGAGTAACAGCCCACAGCTTTTTTCACCTGGACCAAATCACTTCTTGGCAGTCCTGCTTTACCCTCCATTTCTCCCTCCAGCTACTTCATGAAGGAGTTGTTGTCACCAACCATCTCTATTTTTAATCTTACTCCTCCATCCACCATAATGTGGTTTCACTCCCACCTCTGCATTGTAACTGCTTCTGCTAGGGTCCTTCATGTTGTTAAATGTGATGGACCTCGTGGAAATATTTGTTATTGACGATTCCTCTTCCTAAAAACTCTATTCTCTACAGTCTCTCTGGTTGTTCTGTCTCAGTTTCTTTTATCAGCTTTAAGTAGCTGTCAGCTGTAGCCTGAAAAAGTTGGAGTTCTTCAGGGGTCCATTTTTACTTTCTGCACCTCTCCTGGTCCATCTCATTTGATTCATGGTTTCACTGACTAAGCAAACCCATCTCTGACCCCAGCCAAGTCCCAGCCACTTGTATACAGCTTCTTGTTTGATTTTCCCATTTAGATGTTTTAACACACCTTAAAATATTTTAGAAACATGTCCAAAAGTGAACTTATCAACATCTCCCACAAACCTGCTTATCTTCCAGGTTTTAAAAAATTTTTAATATCTGTAAATAGCTCAGATTAATTTCTGTAAATAGACAGACTTGGCATTTATTCCTGTTTCATCCTGGCTCTCCCTAGTCCCACACTATCTTACGGAGGGTCTTTTGTAAATCTCTCAAATCTGTCCATGTCTGTTTCTAAAGGCTAGAATGCTAGTCTATCCACTTTTATTTCTTATCTGGACTATGATATTAACCCTGTTTTTAATCTTCTTGCTGTTTATGGTTTTTATTTTTGTTTTTACTTCTCTGTCTTTAATGCCCAGAAAAGACTTGGTCACCACTAGGTGTACAATATGAATGAGTGAGGTTATTCATTTTTGTCTTTTTCAAAAAGTCTGGTTTACAGGCAAAATATTCATTGAAAATCATAAGTCTGATCAAATCACCAGTACTGTTTTTATAGCTTAAACACCTTCAATGGGTATATTTGCTTCCCAAATTAAGTCTAAAACTCGGTTAAGCAGCCCTTTGCCTCTGTCCACCTTTCCAACCCCATCATTCCCTGCTCTCCTTCAGCCACTTGATTATCCCTCACTGGGCAACCTTCAATTCCTCTCTCACTTCCAGGCCTTCAGTCATGCTCTTTCCTACAAAGCTCTTCACTAGATTCTTGTGCTTTGCTAACTCTTGTTTATTCTTCATCTTTCATACCAGCTATTCCTCCTTCAGACATGCCTAATCTGAGCTCCACGTTGCTTTTCCCATTATACTCTGCTTCACATTTCATAACACTTCTCACACCTTTGAAAATTTATGTAGTGCCAGTATATTCCACACTAGCACCAAAACCAGGATTCTTGTTCATCACCATTTTCCCAGCACATCCAATAGGAATAATTGCCGAATAAATGAATGAACAAATGAACCATGTGTTCATCAACATGAATAATTTACATTCTCCTACCGCATCAATACGGTTGACTGTACATTCCTTTTGTTGTTCCTCCTTCTGTATATTCTATTTCTGAATTGTCATTTCTCCAGTATTTGGAGACATTTTCAATTTTTTTTTTCCATTTGAAAAACTCTGGAGTATGATACAAGCAGGGATGGACACAGGAGTTGGAGTTGTGGTGTCTGTTTTCCTGTTCGGAAGCAAGATGGTTTTGATTCCTTGTAAGCCCTCTTCCGGGTTCTTCTGACCTTAGACATAATCAAATCTGGAAAACCTTTAAGTCTGTGCAGTGATTTCTAACGCAAAGTACCTTCTATCTTTTTACGTGGTGGTGGAAAACTAAGGGTTAGTTTTGAAAAATATGCTTGATAAGTGCATACATTTTAAATGTGGTTTAGATTAAATCATTTCCTAAGGGTTTCATTTCTACTAGTTTTATTGGCAATTGGCTAATGTGTCCTTACATTAAACTATATAAAAGAAGTTCTAAAGGAATTGACTCAAAAGGCCATTAAATATTTTTCTTTTGAGAGGAAATTATTTGCCACATTTAACAAATCAACATCTCAAATGTAATCTACATCTTCAATATTGCCTTTAGAGCATTTTGAACAATAAAAACCAGAAAAATCTCTTGATTATTGTTGTACAGAGCTCCTTTTGGCCTCTTGGAAATTAGAGATAGAAAGATTGGAAAGAGAGCAATAAGAAAGGAAAAGAAAGTAGGGAGGGAGGAGAAAGATTCTTTTTCCTTATATTTTTATTAGTTTGCACATATGTTAACTGATGCTTTAAATCCACTTTCAAACTATTATGGAACTTTACCAGTAGATGGGTTTTTAAAAACTTTGTGTTTGGGAGAGACTTTCCTTGAGGCTCTGAGGCTTCAGGCTAAACAGAGAAGTTGGGGAGGCTACTGCCGAGGTTTGGGATAAATTACGTGATGTGACTTTAAGAGCATCATCCGTGAGAAGATTTCTCCTCACATAGCTCCATCATGAACCTGTCACAGTGTCGGAAATTTTGCAAGTAATTATTTATTTCTAGGCTTAAGGGATTATATATCTAGAAGTCTCTGAAAATGCAGTTTTCTTGTAGAAGGTCTCTCTGTCTCTCCGACACAAATACATGTATACCACTTACCAGATATTAACACTAGTTAACCAAATACTTATCCTTAAGGGAAAGAAATGCAGGAAGGGGCATTCTGATTGGTGAGACCAGCATACAACAGTTCTTTGGATGTAAGCAAAATCAAGTCATCTTTGTTAATAATAAATTATTGGAAGGAGATCGATGGCACCCACCATCAGAGGAAGAGGTAACCAGTCAGGCCTTAAGGATAGAAACTAGGGCAAGTCTGGAAACTTAGGCAAGATGATTACCTCCCTATTCCTCAGTTTCCTTATTTGGAGACTTGGAGAAATAGTGCTGACTTTATGAAGTTGTGGTGAGGATCAAATGAGTTAATACTCATGAACTGCTTAGTACAGTGGATGGCACATAGCAAGAGCTATTTATAACACAATGAAAGCAATCCCTCAGCTTGAATGTAGAAAGCTTTCAGGAGCTGCCAGTGGGAAAACTCTGGCCGATGGAAAGACAATGGTGACTTGGGCCAGGGACCTGGTGGTGGAGGTGATGAGAAACAATCAGGCTCTGGACTTACATAGAAGGAAGAATGCCAACTGTATTTGCTAATGGATTATGTGAAGCTTGAGAAAAAGAATAAAGAATGATGCCAGTTTCAAACCAGAGCAAATGGAAAGTTGGAAGTTTCCACTTATTGAAATGGAGAAGACTGGGGCCAATAAACAGTCCATTTGTACATGTGTGAAGTTTAAGATGTCTATTAAATGTCTAAGGGCAGTTGTCAAGAAATCAGCTGGGTATAGGAGTCTGGTGTGCACTAGAAAGGTCTATGTTTGAGTGGTAAATATGAAACAGCAAGTGAGAAAAATATATGTAGAAGATAAAATAATCCCCAACTACTTCTAATGCTGTCTCCGACATTAATGAATTTCCTCTGACATTCATTCTATGTTCTTTTTTGTCTCTAGCCAAAGCTTCAACTGATTGGATTTCTATGTCTGATAAGACAATCTACAACTTTATTTCAGAGGTTTCTGTGCCTTTGGTAGAACTGTCTATAGTACATTTACTGAAATCACCATTAACATTTCCTATTGGCCATAGTAAATCAAGGTGGTAGTTGGAGTATCCTACTGGCTGGATAGGACTTGTGCAGTTCTGCAATAGGGAAGTTGGCAAAATGGGACAACATGAAAGTACTTTGAAGGAAGAAGTGTTGGGAGTGGGAAAAGGAATGTTCTAAAGTAAGATTTTGTTTGCTTCATTGATAATTACTTACCATCTTTCTCTAGGGAGCTGAAACAATGTCAAACTACACCCAGCATCATTTATCTCTCCCCATAACTGGTGGGAGACACCGCTGAGAGAAGTGTGGGCAGAACTGCCTCAGCCCTCTTTCACTGCGGCACACAAGGTCAAAGCAGGTTGTGCTTGCACTCTTCTGCTATTAATTTTCATTATCCAAAGAGTCATTAGATGAAACTCAGCCCAGTTCTTTTTTTCTGTTCAGAGTTTATTATCACCACCTGACTAATTATTAAATAGCAAGCAAGCATCAATTAGCTCCAGACACACACATGACAATTAAACTGCAGAGACACTACAGGGTTGAACAACACAGCCCCTTGGGGTGCATAATAATCTGGCAGAGACTAGAGCCCTATGTATAAGCAATAAAAGCCTTTAATTGACTTCATGGGAAATAAGGTCCTCATGTCAAAACATCTGGGTCCAATTTTCTGGGCATTTAAACAACTCTCTGGCTCTGGAGATGCATGGAGTATGCCCCAGGCTGCATCTTGACTGAATTTAACCAACCTCGTTGCTCTTTATCCTTACCCCTTTCCACACCTTGCCACATAATGCCCTTCCTTCAACTCCTGGTCAGGCCAACCTGTTCTGGTTTGAAGTGATGGGTTTTTCTCCCTACATCTCATCACCCAGTCTTCTGTTATGCTGAATTTCTGGCCATTCAATGGTCAGGATAGAAGGGTCAGATAGGGCACTTTGCACATGGTCCTTACCCGTTGTTTTTCTGAAAATGTGTACTTATCCTTCAGCTCCTGGCCTAAATGTCACTGACTTAACGTGGCTTTTATGGACTGCCCCTGAGTAGTTAGCTGTTTTATACTCCATTTTCCCACTTCCAATCTCTGTAACAGTACTTATCAGATTTATGCTGTAATTTAACTGCTCACACATCTGTCTTTTCAGCTAACAGTGAGCTGCTTGAGTTTAGAGAATATGTGGTCCTTATTTTGAAGCCTAAGCTCCCAGTTTATGAGCCATTCAGTGAAAGTTTGTAGCATTAATGAACTGATTTTTGCTTGGTTCACTAAAAAAACTAGGGTTAGAAATATGATTGAACTAAGTTTGTATTAAACAGTTGTTACTATTTTCCTGTAGTTAATTAAACACTAAGAAATATTGGTAGGTTTCATATTCTCTCCATGCTTAGGAAGCACAGGTGATATGCAATAGAATGGTGGTTCTCTGTGGTCAGAAGACAATCAGAATTACCTGGGGGATTGATGGGAATGTAGATTGCTTGGCCCTACTTAAGACTACAGAATCCAACTCTTTGGAAGTAGGGCTCAGGAGTCTGGATGTTCAAAAAGTTCCATCAGTGAGTCTTACGGAAACCTAAGTTTAAATGCCACTCTAGTAGAGGGAGGGAGGGATGATGAGATGAAGTTTTCCTTTATAAATGCAACCAGCATTCATTCAAAATAAATAAAACCATTAGAGACCAGAATATATTGAGAGATGAAACTGTATTCTATCCTCTGATAGAAGAGAGATAACTTTTTATTCCCAACCCTTCTTACCTGCATTCTTATCCTTCCTTCAACTCTAAGGCTCTGTACATATCCTTAGGCCTATGTGTTTCATGACATTTTCCATGAGTGACCCTAATAAAGGAAAGTGGAGTTATACTTCTGGGATTTTGGGGGTATAGGCCAAAGCAGCCTCATGGCAAAAAAATTTCTGTAAAGTCTTCAATTGTATCTTAAATATTCTTGTTGATTATGAATTCTACTCATATATGGGTAGAATGTGTGTGTGTGTATGCACGTGTATATATATGTATATACATATATACACTTGTATACATACATATATACGTGTATACATACACATACACGTATATGTGTATGTATACACGTATATATGTGTATATATATACACACACACACATACACACAAATATATGTTTAAAATAATGTTTTAAAGCACTTACTATAAAATTTAAGTTTCAGGATTTTGTACCTATTTTTCTTTTGTCATAACTGAATGGCTACTGTTTTGTCTGTTTGAAAGGATATCATCTCAAAATATCAGTGAATAAATATTCTGAAAGGAGAAAAAATAGAATTATAAAACAAGAAAAGCTATAATAGGCATTAAAAAGGAAATGATCTACTAATTGCTTCGAGTTGTCTTTGAAATAAGATAGACCTAATTTAGTGGCAATGTAATCTTGAGCAAATGATACTACCTCTCCGAATTTACGGTCTTTCGTATGTAAAATGAAAACACCAACTATTCAGCAGTGGTTGTAAGGAATCGAGATAATGAACATAAAACCAACGGTGTATAATAGGATATCAAAAACAATGACTGTTGGTCTTCTTCTGGCCATGACAGAGTCGCTGATACCTGGATAGCCCACCCAGTATAAAAAACCTGCAAAGTGTACCAAACACAGGAAACAACTGTTTCCATCATTTACCATTGTCAGGACATACGACTGTGGATCCTGACAGAAGCCAAACAACAAGGCAAGCAGTGTGACAATCCCAGCTTGCAGCCTGGAGGCAGTTTCTGGGCTATGCACAGAGAGAGGGAACCCAAACAGGGAAAAGTGGTCTTGCTGAGCTGAGACTACAGAGATCAGAATTTGGTGGGACTAGGGTGTCTACAATTTGTGGTGCAGGATGTTAGAGAGGAGAAGGCTATCCAGAGAAAGAGCTATGGAATCTGCACAGGGGTCTCCTCAGTTCCTTGGACAAATACACATCTGCACATCTAAAGGTGAAATCCACAAGACCACCTAGGCAACAAACAACTTCTGGGGAAAGAACAAATTATCAAAGAGCTGATAAACTGAATAATTCCCAGAGTCATCCTAACAAAGTTTTATAAATGGTCTTAAAGGGCTTGATGATCCACAAGCAAACTTATTGCCAGATAGAACAAAGCCTAATAGTATTTAAAGAAAAACAACAAAATCTGGATACTCAAAATATACTGACATTGTCCAGCATCCAATAATAAATCATTAGGTGAAGAAACAGGAAAATATGACCAATAACAAGGAAATAAATCAATCTCTAGAAACAGACTCAGAAATTAGATATGATAGAATTATTTTATATATCTATAGAATTAGCAAACAAGAATTTTAAAAGAGCTATTATAAATATGAACAGAGTCCTTGACTGTGGCATAATATTTTGTGATCAAACATACATTAAAATTGGATTCTTAGAAATGAGGCAACAAAATGTTTGAAGAAATTGTGGTCAAAAATAATGTCCTGATATGAAAAATACCATTGCAGATTATGTAGAAGTGGGGAGGAAAACTACATTGAAAGGGGCAGAAAAGGAGTGCTAGGCTGATAATCTTACAGATGATCACTAAAGTAATTCTATCTTGGCTGATACTGATAGTAGTGTCATTGGTGGACGAGCATTTTTCATATAAGAGCACAATTTGCTTGGAATGTTTTAACTCACAACAAAGCAGTGAAGGTCATTTTAGGTTTATTTGTGGATTGTTTGATCCAGCCAACGGATTAGAAAAGGAGATAAGAGTTCAGGGACAAGATCTGTCCCGTACCAAGATGCATGCTAGCTAGTTGGGACTTTCCTTGAAAACATGAATACAAAAAAGATGGAGAAAATACAAAATACCAGAGCATTTTAATGAAAATTCACGATGATCTGTTCAGTTTTGATTTGCTGCTTTAGGTCAGGAGAAGGCAATATTGTGGTAGAAGACAATATCTGCTGATTTCAATTGAATCATCGTATCATGATGTCATTGTTGTGGGTTCAATACCTGCTATGGGTTGAATGTGTCTCCTCCAAAATTCAGGTGTTGCAAGTGTGATCGTGTTAGGAGGTTGGGCCTTTAAGAAGTGATTAGGCCACAAGGGCTGCTTCCTCATTAATGGGATTAAGACCTTTTAAAAAGAGGCTTCATGTATCATTTGGCTAGCTTGCCATTTCACCTTCTGCCATGTGAGGCTGCATCAAGATCTTCATCAGATGCTTAATGCTAGTAATTTAATCTTGGACTTCCAGCCTCCAGAATTGTGAGAAAATACATTTATGTTCTTCATTAATTACCCATCTGTGGCATTCTACTGTAGCAGCACAAAAAACCCTAAGACAATACCTAACGAGACACTTTAGATTTTTATGCTTTATTATGAGCCCATTCATCACATATTTGCCCTGGCCTGTTAGTCATAAATGAGTGTTATTGATTACAAGAAAAATGGATATTATAGTGTTGATAGAACAGAAAATTTAGTTAAATACAAATGACAAGGCATGTAATCTTTTTTTTTTTTTCTAAAAAGCAAAAACCACATCAAATGACAAAGATAATATTTGGGGAGAATCAGGCTTGTCAAAATATACTATTCACTTACCAGCACTATCCACTATAGCTAACAGGTAGAAGGAACCCATTGTCCATCAATGGATAATGGATAAATAAAATGTGATATATGTTTACAATGAAACATTAGCCTCAAAAAGGAAGGAAATCCTATTACATGCTACAACTTGAGGACATTATCCTAGTGAAATAAGTCACAAAAAGTCAACTACGATACGATTTTACTTATATGAGGTAACTAAAGTAGTAAAACTCATAAAACAGAAAGTAGAATGTTAGTTACCAAGGAGTACAGGGAGGGAGAAAAGGGGAGCTGTTGTTTAATGGGCATAGAGTTTCAGATTTGAAGATAAAAAAGTTCTGGAGCTGTTTTACAACAATATGAATACACTTAACATTACTAAATGGTACACTTAAAACAGTTAAAATGATAATTTTTTTATGTTGTGTGTTAACTGCAATTAAAAATGAATACACGTACACATTATTTACTTAAAATGTACAACTCTGTGGGATGCACATTATTTAAATCATGTTAAAAGTATAGAAGTGGGCCAGGAGTGGTGGCTCACACCTGTAATCCCAGCACTTTGAGAGGCCGAAGTGGGTGGATCACCTGAGGTCAGGAGTTTGAGACCAGGCTGGCCAACATGGTGAAACCCCGTCTCTACTAAAAATACAAAAATTAGTCAGGTGTGGTGGTGGGTGCTGGTAATCCCAGCTACTCGGGAGTGGGGCTGGCAGAGGCAGGAGAATTGCTTGAATCTGGGAAGTGGAGGTTGCAGTGAGCCGAGATCATGCCACTGCACTCCAGCGTGGGGTTGGGGAGGGGGAAGAAGTAGAAATGAGGTTCAGAGAAATAAAGGGCTTTGTTCAGAGTTACCCAGCTATGTTCACAGAAGAATTAAGATTTAAACGCAGCTATCTGACTCCAAAGTCAATGACCCTTCTGTTCATCTTGCTCCAGGAGAGTGGACAAGTTCATCATTGCAGGATGCTTGTGGCTGCTTAAAGATCCCTAGACCATGAGGAAGTATCCTTTCCTTAAATTCCTTTGTATTTATCCTATTTTTTTTTTTTTTTTTTTGCTTCTCCTTTGAAACTATTTTTTGCTCATTTTATCTAGGAGTGATTTTTCAGGCTTATGAGTTTCAGACCTGATGATACTTTTAAGCATCTCGTCCAGAGTTTTCCACCTCTCTTGTGTGATGTGGGTAACATGGTATTTAGGGGGTCTCTACCTAACGTCTCCTGGAAAAGCTCTGTTTTTACCTATTTAATGTATTGGAATTTTGTGTTAGGATTTCTTTCCTAAAGAGAACATTTATTTTATTGTAAGAATATTTAATATGAGATCTATCCTCTTAGCAGATTTTTAAGTGTATAGTATTGTTAATTATAGGAACCATACTGCACAGCAGATTTCTAGAACTTATGCATCTTGCATAATTGAGACTATATGCTCATTTATTGGCACCTCCCCATTTCTCCCTTCTTATACCTTCTGGCAATCGCCCTTCTATTCCCTTATTTTATGAGTTTGACTCTTTTAGATATGTCATATAAGTGGAATCACACAGTATTTGTCCTTCTGTGACTGGCTTATTTCACTTAGTTTAATTATTGAAGGCCCATCCCATGTAGTCATATAGCAGCAGCAGCTTCTTCTTCCTCTTCTTCCTCTTTTTCGTCTTCGTCGTCTTGTTCTGCTTCTTTAGCTGAATAGTATTCCATTGTATGTATATGCCACATTTCCTTTATCCATTTATCCTTCAGTGGACATTTAGATTGTTTCTACATCTCGTTTATAGTGCTGTAATGAATATTGGAGTTGTACTGATATCTCTTTGGGATCCTGATTTCATTTCTTTGGATAAATACCCAGAAATAAGATTGCTGTATCATATGGTAATTCTACTTTTAATTTTTTGAGGAATATCCTTACTGTTTTCCATAGCAGCTGCACTGTTTTGCATTCTCACCAACATTGTGTAAGGATTCCACTTTCTCCACATCCTCACCAACACTGGGTAACTCTTGACTTTTCGATAGTAACCATCCTAATAGTTGTGAAGTGATATCTGATCGTGGCTTTGATTTACATTTTCCATATGCTTAGTGAGATTGATTGAGCATCTTTTCATATACCTGTTGGCTACTTGGATATCTTCCTTAGAGAACTGTCTATTGAAATCTAAGATTTTATTTACAAAATATAAAAAAGATGTTGTGCTAGGAAACTAACTTAGTCTACCCATGCATAGATAGGTCAGCTGCAGCCCAGAATGACTTGCCGGGGGGAATAACCAGTGAGTGGTAAAGACAGGGTAAGAATTTAAATCTCTTTCATAATTTCCTCTTTGCTTCTCTTGGGGACTCTGCTTGCTAAACATGTATAACTCTGCCCACGAATGTGGAACCATCTCATTCTTTTTATCCTGATTTTTGTGTATGTGTTTTATTTCCCTCTTTGAAGGGTAATGTCTTTGAAGGCACATCACTCATCCTAGTGTCCACTATTGCTCGAGTTAAGACACAATACTTGCACATTCATTTATTCATTTAACACACATTGTGGTTGCTAGATATATTCCTGCCAGTAACATGAGTAAATATAGTAGTGATAGATTTAAGATGATATGGTCATTAACTTTCATCTCCTATTATTTAACCTTTTTGGGGCAAAAAATACAAGTTAGTCTTGAAGGCAAGTTTCAAAAGTAGAGCATTTTTAGAGCAGTTTCACTGTTAAAGTATAATATTATCATTGGAATGTGTTTTCATGATAAAAATGAAGCTTTGCTGTATAAGTACCGCACGCTAACTGATCTAATTAAACTAAAGAGCTTCTGCACAACAAAAGAAACTACCATCAGAGTGAACAGGCAACCTACAGAATGGGAGAAAATTTTTGCAATCTACCATCTGACAAAGGGCTAATATCCAGAATCTACAAGGAACTCAAACAAACTTACAAGAAAAAAACAACCCCGTCAAAAAGTGGGCAAAGGATATGAACAGACACTTCTCAAAAGAAGACATTTATGCAGCCAACAGACACATGGAAAAATGCTCATCATCACTGGACATCAGAGAAATGCAAATCAAAGCCACAATGAGATACCATCTCACACGAGTTAGAATGGTGATCATTAAAAAGTCAGGAAATAACAGGTGCTGGAGAGGATGTGGAGAAATAGGAACACTTTTATACTGTTGGTGGGACTGTAAACTAGTTCAACCAGTGTGGAAGACAGTGTGGCGATTCCTCAAGGATCTAGAACTAGAAATACCATTTGACCCAGCCATCCCATTACTGGGTATATACCCAAAGGATTATAAATCATGGTGCCATAAAGACACATGCACACATATGTTTATTGCGGCACTATTCACAATAGTAAAGAATTGGAACCAGCCCAAATGTCCATCAATGATAGACTGGATTAAGAAAATGTGGCACATATCCACCATGGAATACTATGCAGCCATAAAAAAATGATGAGTTCGTGTCCTTTCTAGGGACATGGATGAAGCTGGAAACCATCATTCTCAGCAAACTATCACAAGGACAAAAAACCAAACACTGTGTGTTCTCACTCATAGGTGGGAATTGAACAATGAGAACACATGGACACAGGAAGGGGAACATCACACACCGGTGCCTGTTGTGGGGTGGGGGGAGGGCAGAGGGATAATATTAGGAGATATACCTAATGTAAATGACAAGTTAATGGGTGCAGCACACCAGCATGGCACATGTATACATATGTAACAAACCTGCACATTGTGCACATGTACCCTAGAACTTAAAATATAATAATAATAAAATGAAGCTCTGCTGCTTGTTTATGCAGCATCTAGTGAAAGCAGAGGGAGATGGGTATAAGACAGGAACTCTGGGAAGTCCCAGACAGAGGAGACAGAGGGCTCATGGTCTGGAGTGCTGCATTCTGGATGCACTCCACCTTCAGATACCTTTTCAAGTGTTTGAAGTTCAGTGAACTGAATGTATTTTGTTAGCTGCCTTTTCCATTTGCTCCTCAACCTCGTGTGTACTTAAGTGACAATGTAATCCATCTGTTTTGTATTCATTTATACTGAACTCATCTAAATGTTATTTGGAGAGAAAGAAATCCAAGGACTCTTTCCTGTGGATTTAGTTAATACAGATTAGTCTTCATTTCCAGAAAGAAAAAGCATAAACAAACAAATACCAGGACCATTAGGCTAATTTGTAACATAGGAGCCCTCTCGTCCAGCCATAGGCAACATGGCGACACAAGGAACTAAACTTTATCCCTGCATCTCCTACTTCATTATCATTTATCCTTTTTGGGTGCGTGTGTGTGTGCGTGCATGTGTGTGTGCACGCACGCATACCTCTTGCATGCCCTGCTGTCCTAAAGTAGTGTTCCAACCTCATGACCTTGAATACAGTTCCTATACGAGGAGGTAAACTTTGCTTTACTTATTGGCAGACTGTTTATCTAACAAAGGAATTTATGCTAAGATGTTCATGGAAAATATTGGGGTGAAACTAACAATAACAAGACTTTATTGAGAGATTACTACATGTCATAAACTGGATTCACTTCTTATGTTCTCATAACCACTCTGGAAGGATATAGTATTATTTTCCTCATTTGAAAGATGGAACTTAGGTACAGAGAGGTGGAGTGACTTGCTCGTAGGGCTTGTACATTGCAGAATAGAAATTGCAATTGAGACCATCTAACTCTAAAGGCTACACTCTTAACCACCATGCTTATTGCCTCTTAATGACTTACCACCCTCTCAAAGTGTTCGCATTTAAGTGTTACTTCCTAGGATAGCTTAATCTTAAAGAATGACTCTCATGGGAAGGAAGAGAAACAACCATTATAGATGGTCATGCAGTTATTGCAGAAAATTGGGAGCTGCAAAACAACCCTTCAGGGCTCTTGAACTATAAAATCTGGTGGGTGAGTAGGTGGGAGAATTACTCCACTTTCATGTGGGATCGATTCATAAGATAAAAAGATACACACATTTTTTCCCTTTTAAATGTCCAGACACAAATCTACTTGTTTCAAGAATACCATTTATGATAGAATATTGGGTATATTATATACTGATTACTGGGTATATACCCAAAAAAATGTGTATCATACTATCATAAAGACACATGCACGCATAAGTTCATTGTAGCACTACTCACAATAGCAAAGACATGGAATCAACCAAAATGCCCATTGATGGTAGGCTGGAAAAACAAAATGTGGTACATGTACACTACGGAATACTATGAAGCCATAAAAAACTAACAAGATCATGTCCTTTTTAGGAACATGGATGGAGCTGGAGGCCATTATACTTAGCAAACTAATGCAGGAACAGAAAACCAAATACTGTATGTTCTTACTTAGAAATGGGAGCTAAATGATGAGAACACATGGTCACAAAGAGAGGAATAACATACACACACTGGGGCCTATCGGAGGGTGGAGGGTGAAAGGAGGGAGACGATCAGGAAAAATAACAAATGAGTACTAGGCTTAATACCTGGATGACGAAATAATCTGAACAACAAATTCTCATGACACAAATGTACCTATATAACAAAGGCCTGCCCACATACCCATGAACTTAAAAGTCAAATTAAAAAAAGAATCTGTCATGGTTCTTTCAATGTTGTACGGCAAACATATTAAAAATGGGCACTAGATATTCCAGGCAGTTTGAAATTCTGCAGCCTGAATTTTCTTTCCCTTCTAACCTCTCCTGCACATGTTAACTGTGCTCTCCCCTCACCCCCAACCAAACATGAGTATCTCAGTGTTACGATTCTCAAAGCAAGGTGTCCAGACCAGCAGCACCTGGATCCTTGTTAAAAATGAACATTCTCGGGGTCTGTCCCAGGTCTACTAAATCAGAACCTCTGGGGCTAGAGCCCAGCAATCTATACACATACATCTGCCCTCCAGGTAATTCTGACCTACATTTAAGTTTTCAAATGACTATCTCTGTGGATGGAGTCAATGAAGTGGAACGTGTCCTCTGATTAACTACACACTGTGCTGAGAAGGGTGAATCAACCAGAACACAGCTAGGCCTGGATCAACTGGCAGGAAACATATTTTGAAATGCAAAACATTAGATGTAAAAGTCCAGGAAGAGACATTAGAAGTCGAAGTTAGGAGGTAGAAAAAGCCTTAGTAGTAAAATACAAAAGATTGACCTCTCTGTGGTATCCTCATGGAAAAGGACAAGTCTGACACCTCACCCGAGTTACCCAAGTTTGGGGAAGGGAGGGAGCATATGGTAGGAAAAGATAGCTTTATTAGTTTTCTCTCATAATAACGTACCACAAATTGGCTGTCTTAAACAACATAGATTTATGTCTCACCATTCTGGAGGCCAGAAATCTCAAATCAAGGTGTCAGCATGTTTATACTCCCTCGGAAGCCTCTAGGGAAGGAACTGCCCCATGCGTCTCTTTTTGCTTCTGGTAGTCTTAGGAGTTCCTTGACTTCTGGGTGCATCTTTCCAATCCTCCATTTTTACATGGCATTCTCCCCGTGTGTCTGCATGTCATCTTCCCTCTGTGTGCATCAACCTCTGAGTCCAAATTTCCCCTCTTTATGAGGACACCAGTCACATTGAATTAAGACCCATCCTCATGAGCTCATTTTAATTTGAATACCCCTGAAGACTCATTTTCCAAATAAAGTCACATTCTGAGGTACTGGAGGTAAGGACTTAAACATATCTTCTTTTTGACGGAGTTGGGGGAGGGAAACACAGTTTAACCCATAACAGTGCCTGAATGAGGAGAGCATGGGGTTGAGACAGAAGGCAAGGGGTCGAGTGGTCCTTGGTGAACATAGCTCAGGAAACCAGAGTGAGATGACTGATGCTCCTTATCTGACTCCAAATATGAGGCAAAGTGTCCTTCCTCCAGCTGTTAATAGCTCCCAAATGAGCAGGTGTTTGGAGCTTTTGGTGACCCTTTCTGTACTTTTCCTGCCACATTTAGATGCTACACATTCTAGATCAGTCCACACCAGGTACCATATTCCCCCTTCCATGGAGTACAGAGAACACTGCATTAGGAACAAATATAATAATTTACATATAATTTTAATTTAATTTATAAATAATATAATTACTTTTACATATCAAGTGGACATATTACCCTCTAAGTCTCAGTTATCTCTTCCATAGAAAGAGAATAATACCTACCCTACCTCTTAAGATATTGTGGAAACCATCTGTTGAATTGTGAGTTTTGCTCCTGGTAAACTCCATAAGGAATTGCGTCACACAGAAGGGTCAAAGACTGATCACAGGTGAAACAAGCTCTTTGTCCGTCCTCAATCCTCCTCCTCACATGCCCTGGGGGATTTTAAAGGATATTGAGGCCTTATATTAAAGCATACTATATAGTGCACATATACATAGGTGGAGCGGGATGGCTGCACCACAGTAACTTCCAGCTGCTTCTAGAATTCTTGAGAAGCCATGGAGAGCTAACCAAATTATAGAGAGGCTAGAAGATTAAAATTTGCTGAATCACCAATGTTTCCTTTTTCCTGGAGACCTGTACCTTTCTGATTGCCTTCTAGACCCTTCTAGATGCATCTAGACCAAGCTTGTCTAACCCATGGCCCACGGGCCACATGAGGCTCAGGACAGTTTTAAAGCAACCCAGTACAAATTTGTAAACTTTCTTAAAACATGAGTTTTTTTTGCAATTTTTTAAAAGCTCAACAGCTATCATTAGTGTTAGCGTATTTTATGTGCGGCCCAAGACAATTCTTCGTCCTGTAATGTGGCCTAGGGAAGCCAAAAGATTGGACATCCCTGATCTAGACCCTTGTTTCACTTTGTCCTTTATGGAGAGAAAATCAGCTTTCACAGTGAACTGCCTCTTTTATATATAAAATTCAAACCTCCTTGATGCCTTTCTTTTTGCAGGATTTAGCTATTACATTTTCCCCAGGGACTTAGATTTTATTGCAGCAGCTTTCAGGCACTGAACCCTTTTACCACTTGACAGTGGCATGATTTTACTGCCTTTAAAATTCCAGGCCCATTTGACTGGGGCAGTCACTTCTCAGTACTGGCCAGCCAGCCAGCCTGCCTGAGGCCACACCAGAGACCAGCGAGGCCTGTTAAGCTAATATTTGCCCCTCTCTTTCCACCACCCATTACCTTCCCTACTGCTGCCACCCTGCACCATTTTTCTTCCATCTTGTTCGCAGCTAGTTTTCAATTTGTAAGGTGAACCTTATACTGACCTCTGGGGTCATGCAGGCTGGAGTGAGTGAGGGAGTAGCTGTTTTTTAGTAGGAGACATGGCAGGGGAATAGCATCTGACTTTGGAATCCTGAGTTTAAATCTTGACTCTTAATTGGTAGCTGTCTGACTTTACATAAATTACTTAAGCTGTCTGAGAAAGCAATCTGAAATTCCTAATCTTTAAAATGACAATAGTGTCTACTTTATGGAGTAATTTTGAGGATTAAAATATACATGTAAAATGACTCACATGGTGTTTTATAGTAATTTGGTGATAACTACTTAAAGTCAGCCTTGGCCACAGCTGGTGCAATTATCTCAGTTGTTGAGGTCTGGTTCTTACCTTGTTATGTGCTGTAGGACTATTATAATCATCAGCCCACAGTTAAGGCCCCAGCTGCTAAAATGGCTTTTCTCCCCAGCCCTGCACCAGCCAGAACAAAAGCTCAGGCTGCTGTTTTTCTTGAGAGGCATCACTGTCCCCTGGAAATGCAACCAGTCTGCTTGTAAGGGTCATTTTCAAAGGATCTGCAGACCTTGAAGCTGCTTTTGGCCATACGATCATTGGTCAGTTCTAGCTGTTGACTCCTTGTCTGCAAGATGGCAAGGAAAAGGGCAGGACAAGGAATTTGAGTGACAAGATAGGGTGAGCAGCTGCGTTCTCCCAGTGCTGGTCACCAGCTACAAGGCAGTATTAGGCTGTTTAAGCTAGGCAAGATGGAGAAAACCGACATTATTACATGCCTTCTACCAGAACAGCAGGAGCAACAGATCTCTAGTACTGAGGGATCTGCCTCTCTTTATTTCCTTCTGGAGTGTGAGTTAACCCCTTTTTATAATCTTGGTTTGCATTGTAAACTTCTCCAAGAACTGCTTCTCCAGAATTCCCTTTGAGATGAAGCAAATCAGAATACATGCTATTCTGCTCCCTCATTACAATTTCTTTTATTTGCATGCAGTTTTTTTCTCATTGAAATCCAGCTAGGATGAGGTGAAGTTATGACTGGCAGAGCAGTATGCACGCAGTGCAGCCTTAACTGGGTCTTAAGTCTACTTGGTTTGATTCACTCAGCATTCTTGTTTATCCTCACTGTTGTGATTAAACTGGTTTATAATTCTGTAAGTGTCTTTGTTTTTACTTCCCTTCTCAAGATTTTTTATACATTTTATTTTGACTTTACTAATTCACTCAATTCCCACTAGATAAATTTGATTATCTATGTTTGTATCATAGATCACCCTTCAGATCAGTCTTTTTCACTGATATTATTGTGTGACACGATTTCTCTATTAATCCCAATAAATGAGACGGGAGCAGTACTGCAGCTCAAGTCTCCATTTAGGCAGCAGGGACTGGGTGTGGCTGGCTCCCACCATTACAGTCTCACTGGGTATCATGAGCGGACAGGAAAATAGTATGAAATGAAGATGACCTACATCATCCAAGGAGCTGAAGGCAGGGAAACACCCTATAGAATTATTGTCTGCTAGATAACCTCCCCAGTCTTTCTTGAAGCCTAAAGACCAGGACCTTTTTCCACTTACGGAGCTGTTTTTATGAGCACACAGGGCAAGGTTGACATGGAATTCTGTGAATTCCAAAGGCAAAATATTGAGCTTTTGTGAGTGTGTGTGTGTGTGTGTGTGTGTGTGTGTGTGTGAGATGCTTGTGTATGTGGTGGAGGTGGGAGATTGAAGGATAATGGCAAGAATTTGAAACTAATCTTTTGCTTTCTTGCCCCCATAAATAATGGCCTTCATCTGGCCACACCTCTGCCTGGCATCTTGATGTAGCCACCCACCCCACAGAACTAACATGGGCAAGCTCACATTTGGACTGTGAATAACTGGCAATCTCCACTGAATAACCTTGCTGTTATCTTCCTTCTTTTCTCTCTTTGTCACCCATGTGGCATTTTTATGAAACCATGGCTCTCCTTTCCTTGCAAGAGCTGTTTGGCTCAGATAAGTAGCCCTGTCTTTAAATATATTAGGAGAAGAAATAAAGAAAAACCCTAGTAGTGGTCTCCAGATTGTATGTTACAAGTCAGAAGAATTTACCACTGCTTAGAAGAAGCTCAAATGTGGCTCCCAAATTCCCTGCTAGTCCTTCACCCCTACCTCAATTTATCTCATCCTTCACAATGGGCCTCTAGCAGGTCAACAATTAGTCAAGAAAAAACTGTGAATTATCATCAACTGTGACCGACCCACTCTGAAAAAATAACAATCCTAGTCTCTGTTCTCCTTTCACCTCTAGGAATTTCTCCAAATTCAAGGTTTAAATAATTTGATCTAATCTAGGAAGGACTTCAATTCTAGCTCTTTTATTTACTGTGTTGCATGGTAATATGTAAGCAAAAGATAACCTGTCTGAAACATCATTTATTTGTAAAAAAATAAAAATAAAAAGGGATACTATTTGTGTGGTGGGTGGTTATAATAATAATAATAATAATATAATAACATAATAGAGACAAATGCCAAGCAGATTGGTTGTGCACTCAGAAGGAACTCAAGATACTGGCCCTTTTCTCGCTTTTCCTAAGCAACAGCCAGTTAGTGTTCAGGAACACCTCACATCTCAGTGCTGGGGATGACCAGGAGACGAGGTGCACTAAAGCGTGGGGAACTCTCACCCTTCTCACCTTCTCTCACAGTCCTCTGCTCCTGCAGATTTCATTTTCAAAGAGGGTGCCAGTACTAAGAAATCATGTTTAAAAGCCACTAGTCTGAGGGTAATGACCAGCTATCACTGAAGGGGGTGAAACATTAAAGGTTAACTCAGTTGAAACCCCTTGTGTTGGGAAATGGGGTGTCTGACAAAGTAAAACGATGCCACACAGCGTGGGAGGGGAGATGGTGACGAGGGAATAAGAGGTCTCCTCTGTCTGCAGACCTGGGCTTTGTGTCCGGCATCATTCTTCTCAGGTTGTGTATTATACATTACAGCATCCACCAATTCCAGGAAGAGCTGTTAGAAATCCTGTCCCTACAGGAATTTACCGTAAGAAGGGGCACAGGTCACACAGCAGATGAATGGTTCTACTCATCTCCCTGCGGTGAGATCTTTTGTAGTGAAGGGTCCTTTCTGGAGAGAATCCCTTCTCAGTCTTCTAGAATTCCCAGGAGTCATGAAAGTCTATATCCTACTTTGACTTCACTCTGGGGTTGCTTGCTGGCTGAAAGGAAGGAGAATCAAATTTAGAAATATCTGAAAGGAAATCCAGATATAGGCTATTAATAGATGAGAGGTGAAGCTAGGCTATATCAGCTGCTGAGGTACTACCAATTATACTTAGATTAAGGAGAGGATTTTAAATAAGAGCATGAACCTAAGGCCATGAGAGTGGGAGGAATAGTGAGCTTTCAAAACTTCTAATTTTCAGAGGCAAGACCTCAACCATGGCTTATGTATATAACAAAGGTGATTTTACATAATAAGAGAAATGAAAATTTATTTTCAGGAAAGTTTAGGAAACTAAGAAAAAAATAAGGTTAATTGTGTTTGAGGGACTATCTTAAAGTTTCAATAGTGCCATAAGAGGAAAAAAATAGAAGAATATAGAATAATGAAATTGTGAAGACTCTCTGGCTTAGGAGGCATCCATCGTTTACTGCTGCCCAAACTTCTCTACCAGGCATTTAAAATCTTCCATTCGCAGGTCTCGTTTTACCTATCCAACTTTGCTGGATTTTTAATTTTATTCTAACTTTTATTTTAGATTCAAGGAGTACATGTGCAGGTTCGTTACATGGGTATATTGTGTGATGCTGAGGTTTAGGGTACAATAGAACCCGTTATCCAGGTAGTAAGCATAGTGCCCAATAGGTAGTTTTTCAGCCCTTTCCCCCCTCCCTCCCTTCTCCCTCACTTCTCCCTCCCTTCTCCCTCTCTTCTCCCTCCAGGGTTCCCCAGTGTCTATTGTTTGGATCTTTATGTCCACGTGTATGCAATGTTTAGCTCCCATTCATCATAAGTGAGAACATGTTGTATTTGGTTTTCTATGTTAATTTGCTTAAGATAATAGCTTCTAGCTGCATCCATGTTGCCGCAAAAAGTATGATTTATTTATTTTTTTAAACTTTTAAGTTCAGGGTACATGTGCAGGTTTGTTACATAGGCACATTTTTGTCATGAGGATTTGTTGTACAGATTATTTCATCACCCAGGTATTACGCTGTATTAGTCTGT
Organism: Homo sapiens; assembly: GCF_000001405.40. NCBI lineage: Eukaryota > Metazoa > Chordata > Mammalia > Primates > Hominidae > Homo > Homo sapiens. Next base: position 40,066,386 of record NC_000002.12, read on the forward strand.
TCTCATGCTGCTCATAAAGACATATCCGAGACTGAGCAATTTGTAAAGGAAAGGGGTTTAATTGACTCACAGTTCAGCATGGGTGGGGAGGCCTCAGGAAATTTACAATCATGGCAGAAGGGGAAGCAAACATGTCCTTCACATGGTGGCAGCAAGAAGTGTGGAGTGAAGTGGGGGCAAAGCCCCTTATGAAACCATCAGATCTTGTGAGAACTCACTATCATGAGAACAGCATGGAGGTAACTACCCCCATGATTCAATTACCTCCCACTGGGTCCCTCCCACCGAATGTGGGGTTTATGGGAACTACAGTTCAAGATAAGATTTGGGTGGGGACACAGCTAAACCATGTCATAAGCCTAGTACCCATTTATTATTTTTCCTGGTCCTCTCCCAACTCCCACCCTTCACCTTCTGATTGGCCCTGGTGTGTGTTGTTCCCCTCTGTGTGTCCACATATTCTAACCTTTTAGCTCCCACTTATAAATGAGAATATGTGGTATTTGGTTTTCTGTTACTGCATTAATTTTCTAAGGATAATGGCCTCCAACACCATCTGTGCCCCTGCAAAGGACATGATCTTGTTCTTTTTTATGACTGCATAATATTTCATGGCATTTGTGTACCACATTTTCTTTATCCAGTCTATCATTAATGGGCATTTTGGTTGCTTCCATGTCGTTGCTATTGTGATTAGTGCTGCAATGAACATACGTGTGCATGTGTCTTCATAATAGAATAATTTATATTCCTTTGGGTATATAGCCAGTAATGGGATAGCTGGGTTGAAAGGTATGTCTGTCTTTAGGTCTTTGATGAATTGCCACACTGTCTTTGACAATGGTTGAGCTAATTTACACTCCAATGAACAGTGTATAGCATTTCTTTTTCTTAACAAACTCAACTGTATCTGTTATTTTTGACTTGTTAATATAGCCATTGTGAGTGGTGTGAAATGGTATTTCATTGTGGTTTTTATTTGCATTTCTCTAATAATCAGTAGCGTTGAGCTTTTTTTCAGATGATTGCTGACCACATGTATGCCTTCTTTTGAGAAGCAACTATTCATGTTATTTGACCACTTTTTAATGGGATTGCTTGTTTGATTCTTGCAAACTTATTTAAGTTCCTTACAGATGCTAGATATTAGAACTTTGTCAGATGCATAGTTCCCAAAAGTTTTCTCCCATTCTGTTGGTTGTCTGTTTATTTTGTTGATAATTTCTTTTGCTGTGCAGAAGCTCTTTAGTTTAATTAGATCCCATTTGTTAATTTTTGCTTTTGTTGCAATTGCTTTTCATGTCTTCATCATGAAATCTTTGCTCATGCCTATGTTTTGAATTGTTTTGCCCAGGTTGTCTTCCAGGGTTTTTATAGTTTTGAGTTTTACATTTAAGTCTTTAATCTATCTTGAGTTAATTTTTGTATAAGTTGTAAGGAAGGGGTCAAGTTTCAATCTTCTGCATATGGCTAGCCAGTTATCGGAGCACCAATTACTGAATATGGAATTCTTTCCTCCTTGCTCATTTTTGTCAGGTTTGTCAAAGATCAGATAGTTGCAGGTATGCAGTCTTATTTCTGGGTTCCCTATTCTGTCCCGTTTGTCTATGTGTGCACTTTTGAACCAGTATCTTGCTGTTTTGGCTACTGCAGCCCTGTAGTATAGTTTGAAATTGGGTAGCGTGATGCTTCCAGCTTTGTTCTTTTTGGTTAGGATTGTCTTGACTATTCAGGCTCCTTTTGGTTCCATGTGAATTTTAAAATAGTTTTTTTTCCTAGTTCTGTGATGAATGTCAGTGGTAGTTTAATAGGAAGAGCATTGAATCAATAAATTGCTTTGGGCAGTATGGCCATTTTCATGATACTGATTTTTCCTATCCATGAACATGAAATGTTTTTCCATTTCTTCCTCTCTGGTTTCTTTGAGCAACATTTTGTAGTTCTCCTTGTAGAGATCTTTCACCTCCCTAGTTAGCTGTATTCCTAGGTATTTTATTCTTTCTTGTGGCAATTTTGAAAGGGAGTTTGTTCGTGATTTGGCTCTTGGCTTAACTATTGTTGGTGTATAGGAATGCTAACAATTTTTGCACATTGATTTTGTCTCCTGAAACTTTGCTGAAATTGCTTATCAGCTGAAGAAGCTTTTGGGCTGAGAAAATGGGGTTTTCTCAATATAAAATTGTCATCTACAAACAAGGATAGTTTGACTTCCTCTCTTCCTATTTGAATGCCTTTATTTATTTCTCTTGTCTGATTTCCCTGGTCAGAACTTCCAATATTATGTTGAAAAGGAGTGGTGAGAGAGGACATCCTTTCATTGGGACAGTTTTCAAAAGGAATGCCTTCAGCTTTTGCCCATTCAGTATGATGTTGGCTGTGGGTTTGTCATAGATGGCTCCTATTATTTTGAGATATGTTCCTTCAATACCTAGTTTATTGAGAGTTTTCAACATGAAGGATGTTGAATTTTATTGAAAGCCTTTTCTGCATCTGTTGAGATTATTATGTGGTTTTTGCCTTTGGTTCTGTTTATGTGATGAGTCACATTTATTGATTTGCATATGTTGAACTAACCTTGCATCCCGGAGGTGAAGCCTACTTGATTTTGGTGGATAAGCATTCTGATGTGCTGCTGGATTCAGTTTGCCAGTATTTTGTTAAGGATTTTTGCATTGATGTTCATGAAAGATATTTTTTTCTTTTCTTTTTTTCTTTCTCTTCTTTTTTTTTTTTTTTAAATCTCTGCCAGATTTTAGTATCAGGATGATGCTGGCATCATAGAATGAGTTAGGGAGGATTCCCTCCTTTTCAATTTCTTAGAATGTTTTCAGTAGGAATGGTACCGGCTCTTCTTTGTACATCTGGTAGAATTCAGCTGTGAATCCATCTGGTTCTGGGCCCATTTTGGTTGGTAGGCTATTTATTACTGTCTCAATTTCAGAACTTGTTATTGGTCTGTTCAGGGATTCAGTTTCTTCCTGGTTCAGTCTTGGGAGGGTGTATGTGTCCATGAATTTATTCATTTCTTTTACATTTTCTAGCTTATGTGCATAGAGGTGTTTATAATATTTTCTGATGGTTGTTCATATTTCTGTGGGGTCAGTGGTAATATCCCCCCTTATTCTAAATGCGTGTATTAGAATCTTTTTTCTTCTTTGTTCGTCTAGCTAGTGATCTATTTTATTTTATTTTTTCAAAAAAACAGCTCCTGGATTCGTTGATCTTTTGAAATGGTTATTGTGTCTCTACCTCCATCAGTTCAGCTCTAATTTGGGTTATTTCTTGTCTTCTGCTAGCTTTGAGATTTGTTTGTCCTTGGTTCTTTAGTTCTTATAGTTGTGATGTTAGGTTGTTAACTTGAGATCTTTCTAACTTTTTGATGTAGACATTTAGTGCTATAAATTTCCCTCTTAACACTGCCTTAGCTGTGCCCTAGATTCCGGTGTGTTGTATCTTTGTTCTCATTAGTTTCAAAGAACTTCTTGATTTCTGCCTTAATTTTATTATTTAGCCAGAAGTCATTCAGGAGCAGGTTATTTGATTTCCACGTAATTGTATTGTTTTGAGTGAATTTCTTAGTCTTCAGTTCTAATTTGATTGTTCTGTGGTCTAAGAGACTGTTTGTTATGATTTCAGTTCTTTTGCATTTGTTGAGGAGTGCTTTACTTCTGATTATGTGATGAATTTTAGAGTAAGTGCCATGTGGCAATGAGAAGAATGTATATTCTGTTGTGTTTGTGTGGAGAGGTCTGCAGATATCTATCAGGTCTATTTAATCCAGAGCTGAATTCAGATCCTGAATAACTTTGTTAATTTTCTGTCTCAATGATCTGTCTAATGTTGTCAGTGGGGTATTAAAGTCTCCCACTATTATTCTGTGGGTGTCTAAGTCTCTTTAAAGGTTTCTAAGAACTTGCTTTATGAAACTGGGTCCCCCTGTGTTGGGTGCATATATATTTAGGATAGTTAGCTCTTCTCGTTGAATTGAACCCTTCACCATTATGTACTGCCCATATTTGTCTCCTTTGATCTTGGTTGGTTTAAAGTGTGTTTGCCAGAAACTAGGATTTCAACCTCTCCTTTTTTCTGTTTTCTATTTGCTTGGTAGATTTTCCTCTATCCCTTTATTTTGAGACCACGTGTGTCATTGCATGTGGGATGGGGGACATTTTGAAGACAGTATACCAATGGGTCTTGGTTTTTTATCCAGCTTGCCACTCTGTGTCTCTTAGTAGAGGCATTTAGATGATTTACTAATTAAGGTTAGTATTGATGTGTATGGATTTGATCCTGTCATCATGATGTTAGCTGGTTATTTTATAGACTTGTTTGTGTGATTGCTTTATAGTGTCACTGGTTTGTGTACTTCAGTGTGTTTTTTTAGTGGCTGATAATGGTTTTTCACTGGCATATTTAGTGCTTCCTTCAGAAGCTTTTGTAAGGCAGGTCTGGTGGTAATGAATTCCCTCAGCATTTGCTTGTCTGAAAAAGCTTTTATTTCTCCTTTGCTTATGAAGCTTAGTTTGGCCAGATATGAAATTCTGGGTTGGAAATTCTTTTCTTTAAGAAGGTTGAATATTGGGCTGGGTGCGGTGGCTCACACCTGTAATCACAACACTTTGGGAGGCTGAGGCAGGTGGATCACCTGAAGTCAGGAATTCAAGACCAGCCTGGCCAACATGGCAAAACCCCATCTCTACTAAAAATGTAAAAATTAGCAGGACATGGTGTTGGGCACCTGTAATCCCAGCTACTAGGAAGGCTGAGGCAGGAGAATCACTTGAACCCAGGAGGCAGAGGTTGCAGTGAGCTGAGATCATGCCACTGCACTCCAGCCTGGACAACAGAACAAAAAAGTGAGACTCTGTATCAAAAAAAGCCCAAAAAGAATGTTTAATATTGGCCCCCAACCTCTTGTAGGGTTTCCACAGAGAGGTCTGCTGTTAGTTTCATGGACTTCCCTTTGTAAGTAACCTGGCCTTTCTCTCCAGCTGTCCTTAACATTTTTTCCTTCATTTTGACTTTGGAGAATTTAATGATTACGTATCTTGGGCATGATCTTCTTGTGGAGTATCTTACTGGTGTTCTCTGCATTTTGTGAATTTGAATGTTGGCCTATCTAGCTAGGTTGGGGAAGTTCTCATGGATGATATCCTAAAATATATTTTATAAATTGGTTCCGTTCACCTATCTTTTTCAGGTACACCAATCAATAATAGATTCAGTCTCTTTACATACTTCCATATTTCTTGGAGGTTTTGCTCATTTCTTTTCATTCTTTATTCTCTATTCTTTATGCCTATCTTATTTGAGAAAGTCTTCAAGCTCTGAGGTTCTTTTCTTCACTTAGTCTATTCTGCTATTAATACTTGTGATAGCGTTATGAAATTTTTATAGTGTGCTTTCCAGCTCTATCAGATCAGTTACGTTCTTCACTATACTGGCTATTTTGTCTGTCAGCTCCTACAGTGTTTTATCATGATTTTTATCTTCCTTTCATTGGGTTACAATATGCCCCTTTAGCTCAGCGAAGGTCGTTTTTATCCACATTCTGAATTCTCCTTCTGTCATCTCAGGGATACCAGACTCAGCCCAGTTCTGAACCCTTCCTGGAGAGCTGATGTGGTGATTTGGAGGAAAGAGGGCACTTTGGCTTTTTGAGTTTACAGCATTCTTGCATGGATTCTTTGTTATGTTTGTGGGTTTATCTACCTTTAATCTTTGAGGTTGCTGACCTTTAGATTTTTTTTTCTTTCTCTTTTTAATAGTCTGACCACTTTTCTGTAGGGCTGTTGCGATTTGCTGGGGGTCCACTGCAGTCTCTAGTTGCCTCGGATTTCCCAGTACTTGGAGGTATCACCAGTGAAGGTTGTGAAACAGCAAAGATGGCAGCCTGCCCCTTTCTCTGGGAGCTCTATCCCAGGGAGGCAGGTACCTGCTGCTGATTTGAACACACCTGTAGGAGATGGCTGGAGACCCTAGCTGGGAGCTCTCACCCAGTCAAGAGGAACAGAATCAGGGACATGCTTAAAAAAGCAGTCTGGCCATGCTTTCATAGAGCAGCTGTACTGTGCTGGTGGATCCCTTCTGCCCCCAGTCAGTTTGGACTCTCTAAAGCCCACAGACTGGAGTGGCTGAATCAAGCGAACAGCAAAGATGGCAGCCCAACCCTCCCCGCAGGAACTCCACCCTAGGTAGGTTCAACACTGTTGCTGGTGGCTGGCCGGAATTCCAAGCCAGTGGGTCTTATCCTGTGAGGTGCTGTAGAAGTGGGGCCCACAGACCGTCACTGCTCAGCGCCCTGGATTCAGCCCCCTTCCTAAGGGTATGTATGGAGGTCCAACCTCCTGCCTTGCCAGAGTTACAGTCACTTTTGCCATGAAGCCCAGAGCATAAAGCTCCTGGGTCTCTGCACATGCCCGAGTGGCTACTCTGCCAAGATTCCATACAGCTCTGTTTGTCAGACTGAAGGCGCTGGTGTAGTGTATTCATGAGGGGATCTCCTGACCAGAGGATTGCAAAGATCCACGGGAGAAGCATGGCTTCCTGGAGTCACACATTCACTCACTGCTTTCCTTGGTAGAGGAGGTTCCGTTAGCTCTGTGTTTCTCCTGGGTGAGTCGTCGCCCTGATCTGCTTTTCTTCATTCTCTGTGGGTGGAGCTGTTTCCCTGATCAGCCCCAATGCGAGTACTTGGATGTTTCAGTTGAAGGTGCTGTGTTTACTCACCCCTTTAATTTCTCTCCAGGATAGCCACACACTGTAGTTGCTTCTAGTCAGCTATCTTGGCCCCTCTGACATGATTTCATTCTTTTTTATGGCAACATAGTATTCCATGTGTGTATGTATCATATTTTATTTATCCAGTAAACCACTGATGGGTACCTAGGTTGATTCCATGTCTTTGCTATTGTAAACAGTGCTGTGATAAACATATGGGCCCATGTGTCTTTTTGGTAGAATGGTTTTTTTTTTTTCCTATGGGTATATACCCAGTAATGGTATTGATGGGAAGAATGGTAGTTCTATTTTTAGTTCTCTGAAAAATCTCCAACCTGCTTTCTACAGTGGCTGAACTAATTAACATTCCCACCAACAGTGTATAAGCATTCCCTTTTCTCCATAGCCTCATCAGTATGTTATGTTTTGACTTTTTAATAATATTCATTCAGACTAGTGTAGAATGGAATCTCATTGTGGTTTTAACATGCATTTCTCTGATGATTGGTGACACTGAGCATTTTTTCATATGTTTATTGGCCACTTGTATGTTTTCTTTTGAGAAGTGTCTGTTCATGTCCTTTGTCCACTTTTTAATAGGGTTATTTGTTTTTTGTTTTTTGAATTAAGTTTCTTATAGATTCTGAACATTAGACCTTTGTCTGATGCATAGTTTGTGAATATTTTCTGCCATCCTTTAGGTTGTCTGTTTACTTTTTTATTTTTGTTGCAATTGTTTTTGAGAACTTAATCACAAATTCTTTGCCAAGGCTAATACCCAGAAGGGTATCTCCTAGTTTTTTTTTTTTTCCCCCTAAGATGTTTATAGTTTTCAGGTCCTACATTTAAATCTTGAATCCATCATGAGTTAATTTCTGTATATACAGAAAGGTAAGGGTCCAGCTTCATACTTCTGCATATAGCTAGCTAACTATCTGCACCATTTATTGAAGACAGAGACCTTTCCCTATCGTTTATTTTTGTCAACTTTGTCAAAGATCAGATGGCTGTAGCTGTGCCACTTTATTTCTGGGATCTCTATTATTTTCCGTTGATCTGTGTATCTGTTTTCATGCCAGTATCATGCAGCTTTGGTTACTGTAGCCTTGTAATATAGTTTGAAGTTGGATAATGTGATGTCTCTGGCTTTGTTTCTTGTGCTTAAGATTGTTTTAGCCCTTCGAACTCTTTTATAATGCCATAAGAATTTTAGAACAGTTTTTTCTAATTCTGTGAAAAGTGACATTGGTAGCTTGGTAGAAATAGTGTTGAATCTGTAGATTGCTTTGGGCAGAATGGCCATTTTAACAATATTGATTCTTCCAATTTATGAGCATGGAATGTTTTTCCATTTGTTTGTGTCATCTATGATTTTTTTCTCTTTTTCTTTTTCTTTTTTTTTAGAATGCTATAAATTGTTTATTATGTTACAGATGGAAATAATTACAACAATAACATAAAGGATGAGCTCTTCCATAGCATGCTTGTCCTGGTTCAGAGGATAAATTATTTATTTATTTATTTATTTATTTATTTTTTAATTTTTTTACTATATCTTTTTTTTTATACTTTAAGTTCTGGGGTACATGTGCAGATTGTGCAGGTTTGTTACCTAGGTATACACGTGCCATGGTGGTTTGCTGCACCCATCAACCTGTCATCTACATTAGGTATTTCTCCTAATGCTATCCCTCCCCTAGCCCCACACCCCCCATAGGCCCTGGTGTGTGATGTTCCCCTTCCTGTGTCCATGTGTTCTCATTGTTCAACTCCCACTTATGAGTGAGAACGTGTCGTATTTGGTTTTCCGTTCCTGTGTTAGGTCCATATACCTATACCTACAGGTATTCCTATTCTCTCCAGAATCTCTTGTTTCCTGACTTTTTAATGACCGCCATTCTAACTGGCATGAGATGGTATCTCATTGTGATTTTGATGTGCATTTCTCTAATGATCGGTGATGATAAGCTTTTCTTCATGTGTTTTTTGGCCACATAAGTGTCTTCTTTTGAGAAGTGTCTTTTCATATCCTTTGCCCACTTTTTGTTGGGGTTGTTAGTTTTTTTCTTGTAAATTCAAGTTCCTTATACTTGCTGGATATTAGCCCTTTGTCAGATGGATAGATGGCAAAAAATTTCTCCCATTCTGTAGGTTGCCTGTTCACTCTGATGATAGTTTCTTTTGTTGTGCAGAAGCTCTTTATTTTAATTAGATCCCATTTGTCAATTTTGCCTTTTGTTGCCATTGCTTTTGGTGTTTTCGTCATGAAGTCTTTGCCCATGCCTATGTCCTGAATGTTATTGCCTAGGTTTTCTTCTAGGGATATTATGGTTTTAGGTCTTACTTTAAAGTCTTTAATCCATCTTGAGTTAATATTTGTATAAGGTGTAAGGAAGGGGTGCAGTTTCAGTTTTCTGCATATGGCTAGCCAGTTTTCCCAACTCCATTTATTAAATAGGGAATCCTTTCCCCATTGCTTGTTTGTGTCAGGTTTGTCAAAGATCAGATGGTTGTAGATGTGTGGTGTTATTTCTGAGGCCCCTGTTCTGTTCCATTGGTCTATATATCTGTTTTGGTACCAGGTTCATGCTGTTATGGTTACTGTAGCCTCGTAGTATAGTTTGAAGTCAGCATGATGACTCCAGCTTCGTTCTTTTTGCTTAGGATTGTCTTAGCTATATGGGCTATTTTTTGGTTCCATATGAAATTTAAAGCAGTTTTTTCTAATTCTGTGGAGAAAGTCAATGGAAGCTTGATAAGGATAGCACTGAATCTTTAAATTACCTTGGGCAGTATGGCCATTTTCATAATATTGATTCTTCTTATCCATGAGCATGGAATGTTTTCCCACTTGTTTTTGTCCTGTCTTATTTCCTTGAGCAGTGGTTTGTAGTTCTCCTTGAAGTGGTCCTTCACATCCCTTGTAAGTTGTATTCCTAGGTATTTTATTCTCTTTGTAGCAATGGTAAATGGGAGTTCACTCATGATTTGGCTCTCTGTTTGTCTATTATTGGTGTATAGGAATGTTTGTGATTTTTGCACATTGATTTTGTATCCTGAGACTTTGCTTAAGTTGCTTATCAGCTTAAGGAGATTTAAGACTGAAACGGTGGGGTTTTCTAAACATACAGTCATGTCATCTGCAAACAGAGAGACTTCCTCTTTTCCATTTGAATACCCTTTTATTTCTTCCTCTTGCCTGATTGCCCTGGCCAGAGCTTCCAATACTATGTTGAATAGGAGTGGTGAGAGAGGGCATCCTTGTCTTGTGCCGGTTTTCAAAGGGAATGCTTCCAGGTTTTGTGCCTTCAGTGTGATACTGGCTGTGGGTTTATCATAAATAACTCTTATTATTTTGAGATACATTCCATCAATACCTAGTTTATTGAGAGTTTTTAGCATGAAGGGGTGTTGAATTTTATTGAAGGCCTTTTCTGCATCTATTGAGATAGTCATGTGGTTTTTGTCATTGGTTCTGTTTATGTGTTGGATTACGTTTATTGATTTGCATATGTTGAACAAGGCTTGCATCTCAGTGATGAAGCCGACTTGATTGTGGTGGATAAGCTTTTTGATGTGCTGCTGGATTCGGTTTGCCAGTATTATATTGAGGATATTCACATGGATTATTTCTTCTCGCAGTGTTTTGTAGTTCTCCTTGTAGAGTTCGATCTTGGTTAGATGTATTCCTAGTTTTTTTTTTTTTTTTTTGGTGGGGGGTGGCTATTGTAAATGGGATTGTGTTCTTGATTTGGCTCTCAACTTAAATGTTATTAGTGCTAGAAATGCTACTGACTTTTGTACATTGATTTTGTATTCTGTAACTTTACTGAAGTTGTTTGTCAGATCTGGGAAACCTTTGAGAGAGCCTTTAGGGTTTTCCAGCAATTCTTCTTTTTCTATCTGGATGGCTTTTATTTTTCTTGCCTGGTTGTCTGACTAGGACTTTTAGTACTATCTTGTATAGGAGTGATGAGAAGGCCTTGTCTTATTTCAGTTCTCAAGGGAAATGCTTCCAACTTTTGACCATTCAGTATGATGTTGGCTGTGGTATCCTAATGATCAAATTTCAAACTTTGCTTGACAGGTATAAAAACTGATAAACAGAGATTTTAAAAGATGAGTTACTCTCACATAGCTGGTTAATATTAGAGTCGACATAGGCAGTAAAATCTGTGAAAATATATTTGCATTATATTGTTAGTAAAGATGATTTTATTAAGCAGCATATTTACACATACAATTGTGTGTGTGTGTTTATTCTTGAGTAGTGACTGTGGTTGATTTCTATTTTCTTCTTTCTGATTGTCTATATTTTCCTCAATATGCTTAGAACGTTGTTGGTTGCTTTGAATAAAAAGGGAAGTTTTGTGGTGTATGACTGGGAAGTCTAGGGAAAGTGTTCAGGAACAGCCAGAGCAGCAGGCTCAAAGCAGGATGCTCTTCTTCATTAGGTTTCTTGACTGCATTTCTCTGAATGTTGACTTCATTCTCCCTCACAGATGATGATTTTCTTTCATGTGGCCAGAAAACGTGGCCAATGACACTAGTTATCATTTTTACTTCATAACCCCAGGAGAAAGAATTTCTCCAGTATGAATCTAATTGGCTCCTTTGAATCACATGACCTATGTAGATGCATAACTTTGTTCAGGAGAGAGGGACCCTCACAGATGCAACCACACATAACTCTATGTTCGACACCCCTGGGAATACTTTGTGGAGTGGAGGAAGAATTAGTCCACAGAAGAAAGGAAACCAAACCACGTTTCTACCATGACATTTATTATTTTTGCAGTAGAATAGAATATAGTTATTTTAGGAAGAAAATAGTCTTCCGACTTTCCTGGTCTCTTCTCACCAATGCATAGAGCCTCTCACTTTACTATCCTCATTACTTTCTACTCCCACAACACTTACCTCTGACTCTGTAGTGTTGTTGGGATTCCCTCTCTGGTTGAAATGGCTTCCTCCTTTCTGAACATGGACCTAAGTACACAGATGGGTTCTAGTCCAATCTCTGCCATTAACCACTTTGTGTGAGTTGTAAATGTAACATTATTTCTGGGTTTCTGTTATCTTTATTGTATAAATACATAAGATCGGAAAGGACTCCAATGACTAATACACAAGACCTGAGCAAGGAGACTCCACATAAGGTATCTTCCATTTTCCCCAATAGAAAGTAAACAGACACACAAAACAGATTCACTTGATATAATATGTTAACTTTTAAGCATCCAAAAAGATAAAAAATATATTCATTTTTTATTTATACAGACATATTAAAATAGCATATTTCAGAAAGAATTAGTAATATAGTATTTTCTACTCTCATATTTCATAATGTTTTAAACACATAAATATTCTGCATTAACATCCTCAGTAATAAAGCTGCTTTTGAATCATCTAACAGTTTTCCAGAGAATGTCATTTTCATTTCCATCTAAGGTTTTTTGAGCGATAGTCCTTTGGAATCTGTATATGATACAGATGCCTTTACTGGCATTTATTATCCCTAGTCACAAATATCCTTAAGAAACATGAGTATGCTTGATTTTTATTCATTTTGGGAGTGTGTGTTTGTGATAACCACAACATAACTTATTATGTTTATTTTTCAAATGATCTTTCAAAGGCTTCTCTATGATGATATCCGGCGCTCACTGAGATGAGGTCATACCCTAGGAATAACTACTACACCTTTATTAGATTTCTCGTTTTCTTGTAGTCCACAGACTAATTCATCATGTGACCTATATAAACATCCAAATGAACATTGACTGTGGGCATTTCAGGCTAAGGGGTCTAACTCAAAAGATACTTTCTTGTTCCAAATATAGTTGTATAGATTGCACTCATTTCTTTAAAAAGGTTTTGTAAGGATGTGGATAAATGTGATTCCTTCTTTACTGAGGGATAATTTTGGGGGTAAAACCTTCACCTTAATATTTATGATGGCTAGAGAGGCAAGAGGAACAGCTGATTAAAGCCAACTTTTTAAACTACACACAGTAGAGGAGAGGCAGAGATGTGGTGGGGTTGGTGGTGGTAATTACAGTAGAGAATTAGCCATGGGTGTCCTGCCTGAGGCTCTAGTACAAAAGCAGGCATGGTTTATATTGAGCCAGAAGAAGCCTAGGAGGGACCACTGGCATCTGGAAAAGATAGTTCTGGGCATGAATTAAAGGAAAAGGAAGGCAGGGTGTGTTTTAGAAGGATATCTCTGCATAGAGTGAAAGCAAAACGATAAACAAATCACCTGTTGCACCTCAGTTAGCTTCAGTACTAACATGTTACAAGTCCTTTCTCTCGGACACCTTGCTATTCATAAACTGTCATATTTCAAATCTGAAATGATCTAAAAACGGTTATAACTATCACGGGGAAAAACTCAGAGGCAGATGAATAGTGAATATAAGTAATATGTTGAATAATCAACTTTATTTTCTGAGAGGCTATATAAAATTGCTCAGTGGGCAGAGACGGGGTGAGATATAATCATCCTCAAATGCCTGCTATGTCTGAAAGTTAAGACTGTTAAAACTCATGTCATATTTAACATAAAATAAGAGAGTGATGAGCTGTACTTTTCTTGGTTTATTTCCACAAGAAAAGAAAATAGTTCAGTGACTCCTCTATCAGAAAACAACATTACTAATATGTAAAACTGAACTAATGTTTTTGACAAGTGTTTTTCAGGGACCAAAATGAATAATATACCTGATAATAATATTTATTGATGAAACACTTTCACGAACATGATTTCATTTGATAATACAAACCTGTGAAGTAGGCAGGCATTACCGTAATTCTTATTTTTTTCAGATGAACACAGAACAGAGGTATGGAGTGGTTAAGTGCTTGAATCTACCTCAGTGAAAAGAGCTCAAAGGATGCTTGACTTCCCTGATGATACTCCCTCTGAAGCTGAGGGTTCTAATACAATTACATGACATGGCATCCAAATAAGAACCACGTCATTTTTCTTACCGTTTTGCTTAGCAGAGTCAAGGTAGTCTAGCTGCTAGGAAGAATTTGTATTCTGCTTTGTGAGAAAATGGCGACATTGTAAAACTCAACGAGATTCAGAAACAAGGGGATTGTTTTGCAGGCAAGAGGGTTATTATCTAGCAGTGTAAATGCTGTATCAAAAAGTCAATGCATTTAAAGTCAATGCATTATGTTGCTGTTGTTGGTTTAGTCAGATATAAATGTGGAACAAATTTCAAATAGTACAAATGTTATATTTAAAAATATAGTTTTGTTTTACGTGCTCCTGACCATTTATCTTTCAGTTCCAGTCCCAGAAGGTAATTCTCAAAACACTTTCTTGTGAATGCTTCTGAAGAAACTCTGTACATATCCATGCACATTGTTGTTTATTCCTCCTGCCTGTATATATTTTTTCATAATTTTTTTCTTTTTAGAGGATACGTAGTCTTTCATTAAGTAGATCTGACATAATTATTGATGAACTGTTATTCCGTAACAATGCTGAATGAAATATGTTTTATAAGTCTATGTGAATAAGTGGACATACCTCTTGCAGAAAAAAAAATCTAGCAATATAAATGCTCTATCAAAAAGTCAGTGCTGGCCGGTGTAGTGGCTCACGCCTGTAATCCTAACACTTTGGGAGGCCGAGGTGGGTAAATCACTTGCAGTCAGGAGTTTGAGACCAGCCTGGCCAACCTGGTGAAACGCTGTCTCTACTAAATCTACAAAAATGAGCCAGGTGTGATGGTGGGTGCCTGTAATCCCAGCTACTAGGAAGGCTGAGGCAGGAGAATCACTTGAACCCAGGAGGTGGAGTTGCAGTGAGCTGAGATTACACCACTGCACTCCAGCCTGGGCAACAGAGTGAGACTCTGTCCCAGTAATAAAAAAAAATTACTCATTTTAGGCAATGTTCATCTTTGTATACCTGGCTTATTTCACTGAACATAATGACTCCACTTCCTTCCATGTTGCAGCAAATGACAGAATTTCATTCTTTTTTATGGCTGAATAGTACTCCGCTGTATATATGCACCCCATTTTCTTTAACAATTCATTCATTGATGGACACTTAGGTTGCTTCTAAACCTTTGCTATTATGAATAGTGCTGCAATAAACACGACAGTGCAGATTATCTCTTCAATATACTAATTTCCTTTCTTTTGGGTATATACCTAGCAGCGGGATTGTTAGATCATATGGTGGCTCTATTTTTAGTTTTTTTCGGGGAACCTCCAAGCTGTTTTCCGTAGTGGTTGTACTAATTTACATTCCCACGAGTCTCCACATTCTCCCCAGCATTTGTTCTTGCCTGTCTTTTGAATAAAAGCCATTTTAACTGGGGTGAGATAGTATCTCATTGTAGTTTTGATTTGTATTTCTCTGATGATCAATGATGTTAAACACCCTTATACAGACACTTGTTTGCCATTTGTATGTCTTAAGAAATGTCTTTTTAGATCTTTTGCCCACTTTTTCATCAGATATTAGATTTTTTCTTATAGAGGTGTTTGAGCTCTTTATGTATTCTGGTTATTAAACCCTTGTCAGCTGGATAGTTTGCAAATACTTTCTTCCATTCTGTAAGCTGTGTTTTCACTATGTGGATTCACTTTGCGGTGCAGAGGTTTTTAAATTGATTGATGTGATCCCATTTGTCCATTTTTAGTTTGGTTGCCTGTGATTATGGGGTGTTACTCAAGAAATCTTTACCAAGTGCAATGTCCTGGAGAGTTTCCTCAAAGTTTTCTTGTAGTAGTTTCATAGTTTGAGGTCTTAGATTGAAGTCTTTATTCCATTTTGATTTGATTTTTGTATTTGGTGAGAGATAGGAGTCTAGTTTCATCCTTCCACATAGGGATATCTAGTTTTACCAGCACTATTTATTGAAGAGACTTCTTTTCCCAATGTATGTTATTGTCACTGTTGTTGAAAATGCATTCACTGTAGATGTATGGAATTGTTTCTGGGTTCTTTATTCTATGTCATTGGTTATATGTCTTTTTTCATGCCAGTATCATGATGTTTTGGTTATTATAGTTTTGTAGTGTGAGCTAAAGTTAGGTAATGTGGTTCTTCCAGGTTTGTTTCTTTTGCTTAGGATAGCTTTGGCTATGCTGGGTCTTTTTTTCACATAAACTTTAGGATTTTTTTATACTTCTGTGGATAATGTCATTGGTATTTTGATAGTGATTGCATTAAATATGTATATTGCTTTGGGTTGTATGGACATTAAAAAAAGATTGATTCTACCAATCCATGAACATGGAATATCTTTTCATTTTTTGTGTCCTCTTCAGTTTCTTTCATCAATATTTTATAGTTTTCATTGTAGAGGTCTTTCACCTCTATGGTTAAGATAATTCCTAGGTATTTCATTTTATTCGTAGCTATTGTAAATGGAAGTACTTTCCTGATTTCTTTTTTCAGACTGTTCACTGTTGGCATATAAAAATGCTACTATTTTTGTATGTTGATTTGTATCCTGAAACTTTGCTGAATTTATTTATTAGTTCAAATAGTTTTATGGTGGAGTGTTTAGGTTTTTTCCTAAATATAAGATCATATCATCTGTAGATAACAATAAGTTGACTTTTTCCTTTCCAATTTGAATGCCCTTTATTTCTTTCTCATGACTGATTGCTCCAGCTAGGATATCAGTATTATGTTGAATAACAGTGGTGAAAGTGGGCATCCTTGTTGTGTTTCATGTCTTCGATGAAAGGCTTTCAATTTTTCTTATGGTAGTATTCTAGCTGTGCATCTGTCATACATGTCTCTTATTCTGTGGAAGTATGTTCCTCCTATCCCCAGTTTTTTGAGGGTATTTATCATGAAAGGATGTTATATTTTATCAAATGCTTTTTTAGCATCAATTGAAATGATCATATAGTTTTTTTTCCTTCATTCTGTTGGTATGATTTATCACAATAATTGATTTGCATATGTTGGACCATTTATGCATCCCAAGGATAGTTCCCACTTGGCTGTGATGAATGATCTTCATGTGTTGTTGAATTTGATCCACTAGTATTTTGTTGAGGATTTTTGCTTCAATGCTCATCAGAGATATTGGTCTGTATTTCCCTTTTTGATGTGTCTTTGTCTGATTTTGTTATCAGGATAATGCTGGCCTCATAAAAATAGTTTGAAAGTATTTTCCCCTCCTCTATTTTTTGGAATAGTTTGAGTGGGATTGGCATTAATTCTTTAAATGTTTGACAGAATTCAGCAATGAAGCCATCAGGTCCCTGGCTTTTTTTTTTTTTTTTTTTCTGGAAGACTTTTTTTATCACTTCAATCTTTTACTTACTATTAGTTTGTTTCAGTTTTAGATTTCTTCACAGTTTAATCTTGATAGGTAGTATGTGTCTAGGAATTTATCCATTTCTTCTGGATCTTCCAATTTATTGGTATATACTTCCCCATAGTAGCCTCTAATGATCCTTTTAATTTCTGCAGTATCACTTGTAATGCCTTCTTTTTCATCTCTGATTTTACTTATTTGGGTCCCCTCTGTCTTTTTTTTTTTTTTTTGGTCTGGCTAAGGTTCTTTGATTTTATCTTTTCAAAAAGCCAACTTTTCATTTTGTTGATCTTTTGTACTGCTTTCTTCCTTTTCATTTATTTCTGCTCTGATTTTTATTATTTCTTTTCTTCTAATTTTGAATTTGGTTTGCTCTTGCTTTTCTAATTCTTTAAGGATTTTACTGTTTGGTTTGTTGTTTGAAATTTTTCTTTTCTGCTATAGGCACTTAAAGCTATGAACTTCCCTCTTAGTACTGCATTCACTGTATCCCATTGGTTTTGGCATGTTGCATTCCCATTATCATGTTTCAAGACACTTTTCAATTTCCTTCCTAATTTCCTTATTGACCCACTCATCATTCAGGAGCATACTGTTTGTATTTCCATGTGTTTGTATAGTTTCTAAAATTCCTGTTATTGATTTCTAGTTTTATTCCATTGTGGTCAGAGAAGATATTGATATAATTTCAATTTAAAAAAATTTTAAGACTTATTTTTTGGCCTAACATATGGTCTACCTATGAGAATGATCCATACGCTGAGGAAAAGAATGTGTATTCTGCAGACATTGGATGAAATGTTCTGTAAATATCTAATAGATCCATTTAATCTGTAGTGCAGATTAATTCTGATGTTTCTTTGTTGATTTTTCCACTTGGATGATCTCTCCAATGCTGAAAATGAGATGCTGGTGTTTTCAGCTGTTACTGTATTGGGGTCTACCTCTCTCTTTAGCTCTAATAACATGTGATTTATATATCTGAGTGCTACAGTATTGGCTGTATATATATTTACAATTGTTATATTCTTTAGCTGAATTGACCCTTTTGTCATTATATAATGACCTTCTTTGTCCCTTTTGTAGTTTTTGTCATCCTGAAATCTATTTTGTCTGATATAATTACTCCTGTTATTTTTTGGCTTTTGTTTGCATGGAATATCTTTTCCCACCCCTTTATTTACAGTCTGTGTGTGCCTTTATAAATGAAATGTGTTTCCTGTAGGCAACAGATTACTGGGTCTTTTTTTTTTTTCAATCCATTCAGCCACTCTGCATCTTTTGGTTGGAGAGTTTAGTCCATTTACATTCAACATTATTATTGATAAGTAGGAACTTACTCCTGTCATTTTGTTATTTGTTTACCGGTTGTTTTGTGGTCGTGTTTTCCTTTCTTTCTGTATTCCTTTTAGTGAAGGTGATTTTCTCTGGTGGTATGTTTTAGTTTCTTACTTTTTATTTATTGTGTATCTGTTGTATGTTTTTTGATTTGTGGTTACCATGAGGCTTGCAAATAATATATTTTATGCTGAAGACTACTTAAAAGTGATTGCATAAACAAACTAATAAACAACGAAGAGAAAACTAATAAAATTCTACGCTTTAATTTCATGCCTGAGCTTTTTAACTTTTTATTGTCTCTATATCTTATTGTACTGTGTATGTCTTGAAAAGTTGTTGTAGTTATTATTTTTGATTGGATCATCTCTTAGTCTTTCTACTCAAGATATGAGTAGTTTACACACCACAATTTCAGTGTTATAATATTCTGTGCGTTTTTTTGTGTGTGTATTTACTATTACTGATGAGTTTTGTATTGTCAGATGATCTTAGTCCTCTTTTAAGACTGAAGAATTCCCTTTAGCATTTCTTCTAGGATAAGCTTAGTGTTGAAATCCCTCAGCTTTTGTTTGTCTGGAGAAGTCTTTATTTCTCCTTGATGTCTGAATGATGTTTTCACTGGATATACTGTTCTAGAATTTTTTTTTCCTTCAGCACTGTAAATATGTCATTTCACTTTTTCCTGGCTTGTAAGGTTTCCACTCAAATGTTGGCTGCCAGGCATAGTGGGGCTCTATTATATTTTGTTTATTTTCTCTTGCTACTTTTAGGGTCCTTTATCTTTGACCTTTGGGAGTTTGATTCTTAAATGTCTTGAGGTAGTCTTATTTGGGTTAAATCTGCTTGGCATTCTATAACCTTCTTGTACTTTAATATTGATACTTTCTCTAGGTTTGGGGAATTCCCTTTTATTATCCCTTTGAATAAACTTTTCTACCCTATATCTCTCTCTCCCATCGCTTTAAGGCCTTGGATTAAACTCTTAGGTTTCCCTTCTTAAGGCTATTTTCTAGATCTTATATGTGAGCTTCATTCTTTTTTATTCTTTTATTTTATGTTTTAGATGGCGTCTCACTGTCACTTAGGCTGGAATGCAGTGGCACGATCTTGGCTCACTGCAACCTCTGCCTCCCAGGCTCACTTGAACTTCTCACCTCAGCCTCCCAAGTAGCTAGGACTATGGGCATGCACCACCATGCCAGGCTAATATTTATACTTTTTGTAGAGATGGGGTTTCCCCATGCCACCCAGGCTGGTCTTGAACTCTTGGACTCAAGAAATCCACCCAGATTGGCCTCCCAAAGTGCTGGATTATAGGCATGAGCCACTGCCCCCACCCTTTTTTATTCTTTTATTTGTTTGTTTCTTCTGTGTATTTCCAAACAGCCTGTCTTTAAGCTCACTAATTCTTTCTTCTGCTTCATTAATTCTACTGGTAGGAGACTCTGCTGCATTCTTCAGTGTGTCAGTTGCATTTTTCAACTTCACAATTTCTGCTTGATTTTTTTAAATTATTTTAATCTCACTGTTAAATTTATCTGATAGGATTCTGAATTCCTTCTCTGTGTTATCTTGAACTTCACTGAGTTTCCTAAAAATAGCTATTTTGAATTCTCTGCCTCAAAGGTCATTTCTCTCTCTCCCCAGGATTGGTCCCTGGTGCCTTATTTAGCTCATTTGGTGAGATCATGCTTTCCCGGATTGTCTTAATGTTCATTAGTGTTTGGGTATTGAAGAGTTAAGTATATATTGTAGTCTTTGCAGTCTGGGCTTTTTTGTACCCATCCTTCTTATGAAGGCATTCAAAGGGACTTGGGTGTTGTGATCTAAGATTTGGACACTGAAACTGTATCTGCATTAGGGGACACCTCAAGCCCAGTAATACTGTGGTACACTGTGTCTCTTGCAGACTCATAGAGGTACGAACTTGGTGGTCTTGGATAAGATCTGGATAAATTCTCTGGGTTACCAGGCAGAGATTCTTGTTCTCTTACTCTCTCCCAAACAGAGTTTTTCTCTGTGCTAAGCTGCCTGGATCTGGGTGGGGGTGGCGGGGAGTTGGGGGGATGAAACAAACACCCCTGTGTCCACCACCAATGGGGCTGTGCTTGGTCAGACCTGAAGTCAGCATGGTACTGGGTCTCACCCAAGGCCTGTGGTAACCATAGCCTGGCTACTGCCTATATTTGCTCAAAGCTCTAGGGTTCTAGAATCATCAGGTGGTGAAGCCAGCCTGACTTGTGTCCTTCCCTTCATGGTGGTGAGTTAGTTCCCCCCACCCCAGGTGTGTCTAGAGATGCTGTCCGAGAGCCAGGGCCTGGAGTCAGAAACGTTAGGAATCTACCTGGTGCTGTGTTTTACTCTGGCTGATCTGGCATCCAACCCACAAGACAAAGTCCTTCCCTCCCTTCCCCTTTCCACAAGCAGAGGCAGTCTCTCCTTGTGACCACCACTGTCTCAGGCCTGCAGGAATACTGTCTGGGTACTGACAATGTTGACTCAAGGCCCAAGGGCTCTTTCAGCTTGTTGTGAATGCTGCCAGACCCAGGACCCTCCCTTCAGGGTAGTGGGCTCACCTATGGTCCAGGGCAGGTCCAGAAATGCTGTCCAAGAGCCAATGCCTGAAATTGGTGACCCTAAAAGCCCACTTGGTGCTCTACTCCACTGTTACCAAGGTAGTGCTTAAAGGTGAAAGACAAAGTTCCCTTTACTCTTTCCTCTCCTTTCCTCAAGCAG
Source organism: Homo sapiens (assembly GCF_000001405.40). Taxonomy (NCBI): domain Eukaryota; kingdom Metazoa; phylum Chordata; class Mammalia; order Primates; family Hominidae; genus Homo; species Homo sapiens. The sequence goes on from NC_000002.12 coordinate 40,087,490, forward strand.
GAGGGTTCTCACCCCATAGCCACGACAGGTGGGAGTGTGCTGGATCATACCTGAAGTCAGCACAGCTCTGAGTCTCATCTAAGGCCCACAGTGAGAGGCCTGGCTACTACTGTTGTTTATTCAGGGCCCAAGGGCTCTTTAGTCAGCAGATGATGAATTCTGCCAAGACTGGGTCTTTCCATTCACGTCAGCAGCTTTCCTCTGGCCAAGGATGTTGTCTAGCAATGTCATCTGGCTACCAGAGGCTGAAATAGAGGACTTAGGACTCTGCCGGGTGCCCTATCGTACTGTGGCTGAGCTGGTAACCAACTCTTCGTTAGCCTTTCATCTCTTCTCCTCAAGCAGAGGGAAGAAATCTGTCCTCGAGCTGTGAGCTGTGCTGCCTGGGATTGAGGGGAGGGCTGGTGCAAGCATTACCTTGGCTGCCCTGGCTGGTGTCTCAGTAGGTTGTGTGCCTCTCAAGTCCACTGGCTTTGAGTCCAGCTCAGCGCCGGGACTTGCCCAGTAGTTGAAGTCCTTGTGGCCTAGGTTGCCTTTCAAGTTTATTTAGAACCCTGGGCATGTTAGCCCACAAGATTAGCCTTGCCAGACTGGGAAGTGCAATTCCTCTGTGGCTGGGAATGGTCTAAAAGCTTCCTCCATGTGCATCAGCCGAGCTCCGCCCAGTGTTGCTTTCTGCTGTGATAGGGCAGCACTGAGTTCCAACGCAAAGTCCCACAGTCACTGCACTTTCCTTCCCGCAAGTGCATAGATTCTCTTCCCATGCCACGGTTCCACTGCTGGGGGGATGAGGGAGGAGTGGTGTTGGCAATTCAAGACTCTTTCCTACTCTCTTTAGTGTCTCTTTCAGTGATAAGAAGTTAAAACCAGGTACTGTGATCTCTCATCTGATTTTTAGTTCTTTGTTTAATTGTTGTTTAATTTGGTTACTTCCGGGAGGACGATTGGTGGAGCTTTCTATTCTGCTATCTTGCCCTGCCTCCCTTCGAATGAGGAAGCTCCTATATTTTTTCATTGCCATTTCAAGTGAGATATAGTCTACCATTATATTTTCTAATGGTTTTTACTGGGATACCTTTGGATTTTTACAGGAAGATAAAAACTCCTCAAATCTTTCTTTCTTTGATTGTTCCATTAATGTCAAAATCTACTTTTATTTTGCCATTTTCAGTTCACAAAAGAAAACTCTTACAGGTAGTGACTGACATTTATCTTGTTTAAGGATTAACCTCTTAACACTGTTCTCTTGGCCTGTTACCTTGACATAAGTGCTGGTCAATAGAGATACTTTAAAGAGTTATCAATGTCAATGTTGGCTTGTTAGCTGATTATGCTGTAATGAAATGTCTGGCTCTTTACCTCAAAAGGCTTCTAATCACAAAACTAAGGCCATTTCAGAACTCTTTTGAAATTATATAGCCTCTGCCCTGGAATGAGTTCATTCCTTAGTGAAGATAGTATTAAGGCCTTCTGGATGCATAATTTGGTGCCAGAGTGGAGAATCTTGCCTATTTGTTAATTCCATTCTCACCTTTTAACTCAGTCCACAGAACAGTGCTCTGTCCATCAAAACCCATAGTATATCGTATTAAACCATTAAGTCTCTGACTTTGTTTCCTTAAAGTTGAGTTTCTGCCCAGGCTCTTATTTCGTGGCCCAGTTTCTCTAAAACTGGGGGTTCACTTTAAGTCCATTAGTTTTTCCAGAATCCATTACTGTTTCTGAATCTATGTCTCCACCATTGGTTGCCACGTGCTGGGTGTCTTTGAGATCCTAGTTTGCTGCTACTATATTTTCTTAATGTCATGCCTCACCCACTTATCTCATCTTAGTGAAATGCAATTGTTCTCAATACTATACAGTAAAATAACTGGAGAGGCAGAGTTTCCAGATAGAGTAAGATCTCCCAGTTAAGTTTAAATTTCAGAAAAGCAACAAATAATTTTTTTAGTATGTCTCATGCAATATTTGGGACATACTAAAAAATTTGTTGTTTATCTGAAATTCAGATTTAATTGGACATTTTGTATTTTTCTTTATAGAATCTAGCAACTCTACTTGGGAAACATTTGAAAAAGACCCATTCTTAAGCTCCACCACCTACTGTCATGTGCAAAGATTTTTTATTTGATTTGCCTATGGTGGGTCCTGAGCCAAGAATTTATATTAAACACTCCCTATGCACTATTAATGTGTGGCCAGGATTGAAACCACTGCTCTAATTGCTCTAATTGGACTGAAATATATCCCACATACCAGATTCACCACAGTGGTCCCATCCACTCTAGATCCTGACTATTCCTGGCTATTTATCTATTCATCCATCCATTCATTAAATACATTAGTGCCAGCCCTAAGTCAGGTATATGGCTTTTGAGGCTTTGGGTTAATTTTCTGCACATATTCTATATGAAATAATATAGCAGTTTAGTAAAATTAACCCTCCCCAGAAGTGAAGAAAAACTTCTGCATTTTGGCAGAGGAGAAAAAAACAATCATGACTTCTATAGGTTCTACAACCTTCCAACTCATTTTTAATTCCATTTAATTAATTACTTAAAGACAATAGCTTATTAAATGTTTCCAATTATAAGTAAATCAGATGGAAATGCTCTATCTTGGTCATAGTAGATTTAGTCTTAAATTCCTATGGGCAGTCTTTGATGCAAAGTAATTACCCTTAAAGCACTTTGCCAATTAGACACATGTTATTTATAAGAGATTCTCCTATGCAGTGTGTAAGTGGTCATTTGTCATCTTGCCAGTGGGAAGAAATTAATCGCAACCTTGAATAATGACTGGCTCTCTTGTGCCTACCATAGATATAGTGCTACAGTGTTATTACAGTGGAATGCAGATGACAACATACAATTTTGCTTGGATGCTTAAGCAACTCTGCATCTTTCCGAGGGACTCTTCGCAGGTTTATGTAAAATTTTCCCAAAAACAATAATTTGTAAATTTTATGATCACAATAAGCATGTTCTTTCACTTTCTAATCTCTTGCAGTAAAAATACTGAAGGGACTGTAAAAGAATTCTTAAGAACTTTGTCAAGTATTCTATAACGCAATGTCAACTTCAATATAATTTCCTGCAATTAGTTGGTCGCCTTTTGGAAAAGATTTATATGCATTTTAGAAGGCTTTATGCATTTCAGCTTAGAAAACTTGATACATTTCAGAACATAATAGTTTATCACATATGAGTTTATAAATATATGCACACCTACTGTGTACTCACAAAAACTAAAAATTTAAAAAGTTTGTGGTTATGAACCTAATCTTTCATTTTTCACATATTGCCCCATTTGGGAAAATTAGACTTGATTTATAATATTTTGACAGGTGGAACTTTTTAAAAAAAATAGACCCATAATGTGAGGATGACTTTTATTCTATTTATGCCAGAACACTAGTCCTGCAATTATGCAGCTTTCTGAAATAGTATACTAGTTTTTTGCATAAATGCAATAGCAATAATAACAAATCCAGAGATTCATTAAGACTATCATAGAGTTAGAGGTTGTTGCTAGTGGTGGAGTTATACAATATAAAATTATCACTATAACACACACAAAAATCTGCAAGGAGAAGAACACAAGAGAAAATTTCAGGAGCAGTTCTCTTTATAGCTGTTACTATTTTCATCAGTTCAACTCTTGGATGTTTTCAGAATTGCACCTGTGTCCTGATACCTGCATGGGAGTGGTTGAGCTCAGTGGGTGGTGTGCAGCCTCTAGGGTCAGTTAGGTCCTCCCGCTGGCTCTGCACTGACTGGCCACATAAGCCTCACAAAGTAGGGACCCTCTTTATTTCTCAAGTTTTTCCATTTGAAATATAGGGATAATAATATCTGACTCATGGTGGTTTTTTGTTGTTGTTGTTGTTGTTGTTTGTTTGTTTTTGAGACGGAGTCTCACTTTGTCACCCAGGTTGGAGTGCAATGGCATGGTCTCGGCTCACTGCAACCTCCGCCTCCTGGGTTCCAGCAATTCTCCCGCCTCAGACTCCTGAGTAGCTGGGACTACAGACGACCACCACCACACCCGGCTAATTTTTGTATTTTTAGTAGAGATGGGGTTTCACTATGTTGGTCAGGCTGGTCTCGAACTCCTGACCTTGTGATCTGCCTGCCTCGGTCTCCCAAAGTGCTGCGATTACAGGCATGAGCCACCGTGCCCGGCCATGGTTTTTTTTAATTTTATTTTTAATTTTTATTTTTTTTTAATGAGAGTTGAAGGAGTTAATGTGTGTCACGTGTCTAGCAGTGGCTAGTACTGAATTAAGGTGAACTATTGATATCAGTATTGTTTATGATACAGTAATAAAGCAAAAGTTACTGGAGTACCTTAGCATAAATTACTAATTGTTTATATCAGTAATTTAACCCATCAAATTTCCTTATGTACTCCCTCCCTTAAGAAAAGTCTTAATTCTTTTCTTTTTCTATATAAAAATGAACCCCTTCAGTGACCATTTCCATGTCACCACTTTGTTTTACTTTTGTATCCTCCCAGTTGCATCTCAGTGGCTTCTGTTTATCGTGGTTTTTCTCTGTTTTCTTAAACATACAGTAAGAAGTCATACTTCACTATCACAGCTCTGATCTTCCAGTCAGCGTTGATAGTATGCAGCACTTATATAACGTTCACTACATGCCAGGCACTTTCCTAAGGGATCTGGGCATATTAACCCATTTCATCTTTGCAGGAACACCATGAGATAGGTGCTATAATTCTCCCCATTTTACTGATTAGAAAACTGAGGCACAGAGAAAGTAAATAATTTGATCATGATCACACAGCATAGCAGAGGCAGGATGTGAACTAAAGTAGTCTGGCTCCAGAATATATGCCCTTAACCATTACTGTATACTGCCCCTTTGGAGAAATATTAGGAGTTAGAAAACTGCAATACAGTGATGCTTAGACTCATAGGATTCACCCTACAGAGTGAAAACTCAGGCATCATGATTTTTCAAAGGTCACAGCAGGTTGAGCATCCGTGCTTCCTATGACTATAAAACATGTTGCAGGAACATGGATGGAGCTGGAGGCCATTATCCTTAGCAAACTAACACAGGAACAGAAAAACACTGCATATTCTCATTTATAAGTGAGAGTTAAATGATGAGGACACATGGTCACATAGAGGGGAACAACACGCACTGGACCCTTTCAGAGGCTGGAGGGTGGGAGGAGAGAGAGAATCAGGAAAAATAACAAATGAGTATTAGGTTTAATATTTGGGTGATGAAATATTTTGTACAACAAACCCCCATGATACAAGTTTACCTGAACTTAAACTTGCACACATACCCCTGAACTTAAAAAAAAAAAGTTTCTGTATCCCAGGTTTCGTTTGTCTCCAGTAAAATGGAGAGCCCTGGTCAACTGACCTGAAAGGGTCTGACATTTTGCCTATGGTTTTGTTCTGTTGCATCCTTCATCAATTCTAGAAGGCCCTCATATTGTCTTTGTTCTTATTAGCCATGTTGTGTGTGTGTAGTTTTTAAAAAATCATTTTGATGCTGGTGAGTTTCTTGATGAACAGAACCAATGTCTGTACTTGGCTTTAAATCATCTTCAGAAAGACACAGGCACTCTGGTAATCTGCTCTTATTGAATTGAAAAACCTTTGGGAAAGGATGTTTGTGAGAAATGTCTACGTTCTGGTTTGTCCACAGGAGATGAGTTAGGAATTTTGAGTTCATTCTTCTGGAACTTATGGAACCCTGGCTTAGTGGAACCCCCACCAAAGTGTAAGGAATGAAGCATGTGGTAGCCTCATTCACAAACGTACCGATTTTCTGTAATCACTAACCGCAGGAAGCATGATTTTTGCCTAATTTCTTTTCACATTGTACCCAAACAGAGTGCCCTCATTAATTAAGAACAAGATTTTTTCATTTGCGTCTTTAGGTCCTGGCTTCTTTTGGGCTGGGGCTTATATACACTTGGAATTTGTTGGCTAGAGTTTTAAAACAGACGGTCACATGCTTTTTTTTTTTCTCTCTCTCTCTTAGAAACTTGCTTGATTGTTTGTCTTCTAGTTCTCATGGTAACCAAAGAAGGTTGTTAACACTTTTTTCTCACCAAGTAAAATCAGCAGAGCTGTCAGACAGTTGCAGCTGTTTGATAAAGGCTTGACCTTTTGCTGTATTTTTCTGTTTTCTGTTGATGAGCTCTTATTACATTGAACCTTGTTTTTAGTGACACGTAGTAAGAAAAAGAACCTAAAGGGCATTTTTTTTGCATGTAGCCTATTTAGTAATGTGGCATTGCTATCAGATAATAAAGATATTCCTACAATATAAGATCCTTGGTAATGAAAGCCAATGTTATATATGGCTCACAAAGATAAAACATGCCTGGGACCATTTAGGTTACCTTCACATGCTACAGATTTATCATCTCAGTTTCTGAAAATATTTAGTTGCATTATATTTTCAGTCAGATGAGATATGGAGTCAGTCACTTAAAAAGGATCTGGCTTAGGTACCAGTGGTCAAATGTAAAATTTTACTAGTTGTATATTTGCAGTGTGTTCACCATTATTTCTTGAAATGAAGTTTCACCTGCCACTGAATGGCTGGGCATAGATTCTAGGAAGAGCTCCTTATGGTTCCACATGAATAAGCATGTAAAGTTGTTGGATCCTGGGAGCCTACATTTAAATATGTTCATTATTAGTATCTAAATAAAAATCAAGAATTTACTGGGAATCTCTCAATTTTATTGTATTATCTTTTCCTGTAGCCATTAAGCATGGAGACTAGGCATGATTGGAGAATCACCGCTGTTGACAGATGATAAAAATAGTGCTGCAACATAGCTAATGTCATGGGAAATCTTAAAACAGAATGGTCATTTGGAATAAGAGAAAATTCCTTGTGTGCTCAATCCCATTTTTGGACTGGTAATTGTTGCCACTCTTAGATTATCTACCACAGCCAACGTCCTTTTTGTTGTTGCTGTTGTTCTGGATAATCTTGTAACTTGCTTTGTTAAAAGAAAAGAATTATATTGTAAATTTGTGAGTGAAATCAGATTTATTTTTGTTCCCAAATCAGATGTCTATAGATGAGACAGACCAAAACAGCAAGAAATAAATATATCCATTCTCCATGGTTATCTGAAAATATTGAAAGTGACGTTGGATGAACTGTTTCCAAGGTGACTTGATGAAGCATGAAACACTTTTTGGAGTGCTTTCCTTGAACTGGGGGATACTATTTAAAGTCTCTCTACTGATATGATATTCTGCATAATCTATTATCACAAATAATAAGTTCTATGATGATATATAGGGTGATTGTTACTGTGGAGTGGTACATCAAATCTAGATGGAATTTTTTTGACTGACCTGGTGTACATTGTGATTGTCTAGGTTGTGTCTATTGGAGGATATTTGCTATCATTTTATCACTTCATGTCACTTTGGGAGTTTACTTAAACCGAGCAGATGTTTTCAAGTTTTATGAAGACAGAATTGCAAAATGATTATAAGCTTGAGCTTTGGAGTCAGATAGACTTGAATTCAAACTCTGGTTCTGCCTCTTAGTGTGATTTTTGGCAAGTACTTAAGTTCTCTAAGATTCAAGTTCTTACATGTAAAATGAAGTAGAAATTATACTTCTTTTAGAAGGGTTTTATTAGGATCGAGGATCTAACCCAAGTAAAGGGCTTAGTCATTGCCTGTTTGTTGGCAAGGATTCAATAAATGTTGGCTGAAGTGACTGTAATGAAGAGAGTTAGAACTCAGCTTATCTGGTCTTTTCATCTTTCAGCATGAAAGATGGTGCTGGTGTTAACGAAAAATTTATTCGTTTGCTAAAGACATTTGCTTAAAGACAGTATGAAGATTTTATTCAACAAGGAGATTACTGACTGCAGTGGGATTTTGCAGTAGGGAGAAGATACTCAGCTCAACTCTGAATAGAGAAAGGACAAGTGGAAATTTATCACCAAGGAGGAGAGTGGGGATCAGTGGATAGAAAATTATTAAGAGGAAACAGCAAGTCTATACGGGGATTCTTGCTAGACTGACTCAACTGTATTCTTGCTGAATAAAGGCCAGGGTGATAAGATAGAAAAGGTGGGGAATGAAGAATTTGATTAGCTATCAAGAATGGGAGATTTTTGCTAAACTGACCCAGAAGGATTCTTGCTAAAACTAGGCTAAGTTGACAAGGAGCCCAAGTTCAAGGCCTGGTAGAGAGAAGAGGGCTCAGAGGGGCCTGACTCAAGTTTGGTCAAGTAGAGAGTCTTTGTCACTGGCATAAGGGACATATATACCATATAGGACATAAACACCGACTAACATTTATTGAGTACCTTATGAATATCAGGCACTGTATCAAACACTTAGCAAATGTTAATTGTTGTATTCCATGCTTTCAACAACACGAAAGAGCAGGTACTATCAGTCTTATTTTACAAACAGGGAAATTGAGGTTCAGAATGGTGAAAGAGCTACCCAGGTAGACTACCCAGGTAGACTGACAAAGCTAGAATTTAAATCCAGAGTTTTCTGATTTTATTAACCAGCATTGATGTACACTGTTCTGTCTTGCACACATATGGTTGTATGGATAGATGTAATCTCACCTTCAATGTTTAGCAAATATTTACAGTGAATGAATTAATGAATACTTGTAAGAATGGCAAGTTACAATAGCTTTCAATAGGTTCAGAGGAATATTTAAGTGCTGCAAAAATTAACTTAAAATACCAAGATCAAGGCATAGACCACTTTTCAATCTCATTACCCCGAGTACCATAATGGCAGAAACTACAAGGTTTCATGCTTCTTTCAAATTATCGAATTGCCTTGGAGCTCAGGGCTTTAGTATTTCCAGGTGCTGGTCATCTGCTTTTGACTTGTATGAATCTGAGACTCATTTATCTTTGTTATGGCCACAATTCACCTTGAAAGACAATGGGGGCATCTCCTTGAATAAGAGAAATGGAAATGTGCTTGGAGATGTGAGTCTGGCTGTGAGTGTGTGTGTGCACAAGCACTTTTAAACAGTGATAACAGGTTTGGCACATGTAAGTATATGAGTCATTGAGAAAACATCCTGGATGTTTTTCCCTCTTCCCTCTATGGTATTCTGTGGATACATATTTATCCTTTCAGCCATTTTCCTCTTCTTTTACAGATATCCTTGATCACCTCCTGGGGCACCATTTGAAAAAGTGTGGTCTGGTGCTGCATTTTATGTGCAGCAAAGAACCTTAGAATAATGATTTGAAATAGACACAATGTGCAGTTTTCAAGAGAGGGACTTTGAAGTGTTATTTCCAGAGTTACGGTCAAATCTCTTAAATCGAGTTTTATTTTAACTTATTTTAAAGCTGGACTTTGAGACTCAATGCTTTGGTGAGTGATAGTGGCATTTCCCTGGACTGAATGTGCCATATTTTAATTTAAGACTCTTTTGTGGATAACTTTAATCTTTGTTATAACATAGGAGAAACAAAATAATTTCTTAACTCAGTGGAAGTTACAGAAGAATACTTTAGGTAGAGTTCAAAAATTCTCACTGGGGAATATAGGGTTTGGATTTCTCTCGTTCTTAAGCATTCTCCCAAAATTTGGTATAGAGCCTGATTCACAGTAGATACTCAATAAATACTTGTTGATTCAATGAATAAATGATTTTGGCTGTAAGTAAAATGTCCCTGAGCCTATGACAGGGAAAGCTTTGATTTTCCTTTGTTTAGGTTAGTTTAATGGAGTCACACTAAAGTTTATAAAGATCAATACAATATGAATGGCTAATTGACAAACATTTATATTTCAGTGTTAGGAAATATGGTAAGATTAGGAAAACAATTAAGACAATGATTTATACAGAATTGACTAGTTCAGGCAATGAAAACTTCACAGATTACAGTTTAACACGATTAAACATCACATATAACATACATGTATGACAAACAATGCTTCTGCTTTTGATATTAACATACCATCAATTTTACACATGAAAAATATTGCCAGTTCAACTTTGGGTTATAACATGTATAATTTTTTGATAAGACATTTCAAATTACAACATATCTCAGGCAGCATGCAGGAAGAGTCATTTATTGTATGTTTGTTAGGACACACCTTGCAACAAGCTTCCAGTTTTTGGTAGTTAGATCAAGAATATAGAAACCATTGAAATGATAGTATGGTTGAAATCAGCAGTTGTGTTTACTGGCTGAGAGCATTTCTGGTAAAAATAAAACTCTGAAATCATTCATTAACAAAATGCACAGTGATCATAAACTCAATTCTTTAAAAATTGTTTTTCACAATTCTCATTTATTGGTGATATGGCAGCTGCAGGAAGTCTGAATTCTGAGAGTTGGTTGTACATAACCTCAGGAATTTATTCTTCTGTGGGCTTACATGATTACGACAGAGATGCTTACCCTTTGAAATCACATATAACGATGGTGCTATACAAACATCACAAATATTTGGTGTCTGAGTCTTAACAAATATTATGTTTTTTTTTAATCACAAAGAGACTAGATTAACAGGCAGTGTAAATCACATATATCTTAAGATTTTAAAAATACATTTTATACAATAGGTTTCTAATTTCTTCACTAGCATTTTATTTTGGTGTGTTTTGTCTTCATACTTATAGTCCTAAAGGAAACTATGAATCTCTGGCTCATGCCATGAAAGTCAGTAAGATTGATATTTCCCCACAGGAATATGGCTGAGTGTACATTGAATCACAGAGTCAACAAAGTAACATCTAATTTACAACAGATTACTTTTAAAATTCAAATAAAATCTAATTATTTTAAAAGACATCAGTTTGAACAAAATTATAGGAGTCAAAATTTTTATTTACAAAACATTTGAGTATATTTGAAATGGCTAGTTCTTGCTAACTGCACAACTTAAATATTCTTGGTGCACATAGTCTGTCAACCTTCTGTACAACATTGTTAGACTGCTCAGTTAACTTACATGGAATGGTTAGGTAGGTGGGAAAATTATATGGCAATTTTCATCCATTCAAAGTGCTTGAAAGGGAATGTTTTGATGCTTTTCATATTAGAGAAGATCTGTCATTAATGTTGGTGCCTTTAATTTGAAAAGATTAGCTAAAATTTCCAAAATGTAATTTAGTGCAGTATAAGAATTATAGGAAAGATTGATAAATTTATCATCAAATGCTGGAATTCTAATCTAGCATTATGCAGTTGATCCAAGTCATTGTACCTCTCATTTACAAGGCTTCTGTGTACTACATTGGCTTAAAAAATATTTTCCTTGGTCCTTAGAAATACAAAATATTCATTTTCAAAAGTTAGAGAATGTTAGGGTGTTTCTTACAATCACATTCATAATAAAAGAAGATAATCTACATTTTACAGATCATTAAACAATGGTCTTTGGCAGAAGACTTTATAAATACCTCCACTTTTAACGTTTCGTTTAGGCCATTTTCCTTTTTAATGATATCAGGTATATGGTCACGTGTTCACTAAGAGTAGTTAATAGGAAAATACCACAGATATAAAAATATTTGTTTAGTGCATTTTTTTGAACCTTCAATTCAGAGTGAATCAACTCATTAATACTAGAGAAGATACTTTATGCAAGCATTTCTAACAGTGTTGCTTAAGATCATAATTTCAACAATATGGTCAGCAAAGAGAGTATGTATACCTCTATTCCCCCACAAAATTTTATCACTGAAACACACTGAAAGAATGTGCTGGAATCTTTTTCATTATAATACATTGTGTTTCCCACAAAATGAGTAATATATGATGCATATACCATTATGTGTGTGTGTCTGTGCGTGCACTCGAACGGCAAGTCGTGGAGATTACATTCATTGGCAGCAAAGAATAGAAACGGAAAAATTCAGTTAAGTATTACTGATAAACCACCACTAAGGAATTTCAAAGTGTAGTGAAGTTATTTAGAAATAACCGTAGACATGGGAACAAACTTTAGGATCAACTACGGGAATATTAGGATTTCTTACTTCATTTTTCAAGGTAACATCTTTTTCTCTGCATTTTTGCCTCCCTTCTACCTGCCCCCTGTCAGTCTTTGAAGGTCATTTGTGATGGGTCCTTCAAACTGTGAATACAGAATATGAATAGGCTATTCTTCCCTTTTTTGCCCTGTATAGGAAATTCATGATCACCTCTTAGGGAGACAAGGTTTCTGGCATTATGATATGCCACCCTTTTCTTTATGGATTGACTATTGTGCTTGCTCGGTATGAGTTCAGTTTACTATCAAAATTGTCCACCAAGTTATTCAGTGGGAAACACAATTGCCATCAGTAACCATCAAAGGCAAGAGAAGTCCTAGATTCATTTCCTACCTGAATCCTCCCTTCTGGCCTGCCCCTCTGAGAACACTCCAAAGGCACAGACCAGTGTTCTGTGCACGTACACAGTATGTACAATATGCTAGTTCCTTTCTTTGCCCTTGTCCAGGAAGTTACCAATGTCTCCTCGGTGTGAGCTTCCTACTGTCTGTAAAAATTAATAGATGGAACCCAGGCAAGTCCTGTTGTAATAACAGTTGTGCCAACAATTATTATTATGGCTTATTGGAAGAGTGTTGAATTGTACCACTGACCTACGAAAACCACCACAAAGGACACTGAAAGGCAAAGCTGTTGTGGGATAAGAAACAATTTGCTGTTATCTTCTAATATCAAGACCTTTTTAATGGACCACACACATAAGGGTCTTGACAATATGTAACTTTTTTTCTTAAGCTAAGAGAAAATTTTAATTTAGGCTTGTTTCAAGATTTCAAGGCTTGAGCCAATACAGAAACCATGGACTGTAGACAAAGGCAAGTCCCCACTGTAATTTAGCCTTGAGCTTAAGAGTTTCTGTTAAAAAAAGAGAGAAAGAGAAAACAAGAAATCAACCACTATGGACGGCAAAAGTTGGGAATGAGGTCAAGGCTCCTCATTGTTTGAAATAGTCTGAGTGAAACCCTGTCAGTCTGATCCAGCTCCTTCCCCTGCAAAGATGTATTTCCCGTCACGAAGTGGCCAGAAGTGGGTGATTGTTCTAAGTACCTTGTTGGTGAGGCTTTAACTTTGATTAAAAAATAGGGTGTGCAAATGAAGATGTACACAATGGTGGAAACACAGGAAGGAGTGACTGTGATTTCGTTAGAGCTATTTGGTAATCAGGTGTGAGTGAGAGGAATGGGACAATGGGGAAAAGAGCCGATGAGAAAATGTCCTCAGCGACAGACAATGGACACTCAAATGCTGAAGCTATGACCAGCAACAGGGGAGGGTCACAGATTTTAAAGCACACGGAACACAGTATCATACTTCAGTTATTCTAATTCCTGAAAAAGAGCTACCATTCCAAAATATCTGACAAGTTTGGTTTCTCCTAAGGGAGGCCTGGAGTGACAGTTACAACATTTTTCTCCAGAATATCACTGTTAAGCTTACATTTCCAGCCTCCTTTTACATACTTTGAATTGCTTTTGTGTATCAAAATGCATATGAGTATTTTAAGTATCCACAAATGTGATATTTTCAGGTTAGAATTCAGGAAACATACATGTGTGTGCACACATACACACATATAACCCACAATCTTAAGTTCCTTTTCCTAAGCCATTTTTACAAGCAGAGTTACTTTCTGACTCTCTGCTTTCAGTTCTGCACCAATTCAAATGAGAGACCCTAGAAAGGAGCCTCCAGGGAACTCCAGCTACTGTATACATCATCTGTGGTTTTCAAGCTTCTTGAGCCTTGTGAGTCTTTGAAAATGAATTCTAAAACTAAAACTCACTCATAGCCAGCAATCCTTTTAGCTCAGTCAGTCATACACAGCACTCTTCAAAACAGTAGACTGTGTCATTAAGTATAATTTAGTACTGTTACACAGTGGTTTAGCATTAAGACAAATCAGCCAGAGCTAATCAGTTAGAGAAAGGTGTCCAGGGTCATTTTCTAGGCCCCGGGGAAGTCAGGCAAAGTAGATCAGCTGTGGGGTTTTAAAAGAACTAGATAAGCTGATTAGAAATCTCTGACTGGAGAGGCTGCCTCAGACTCAGTTATGCCAGAAAAAGACATAAGGATTAATGTCCCTTAAAATTATATTTTAAGTCTGAATGGTGGACATATCTCCCATATATCTGAATGCATTATCTTTATAAAGAACCTACCTTTTAAGCATTTAAACCTTTTCTTAAGGGAAAGCATAATTAAGCAGTGGGTGACATTGTTCATTCTTGGCCACTCAGAATGCTGTGTCATAGATCAATGATTCTCAAATTTGAGCATGCATCAGAACCATCCTAGGGGCTTATTAAAGTCCATATTGCCAGGGTCACTCCAAAATTTTTGATTCATAGATCTGGGCTGAAGTCTCAGGTGGGACTGGATAATTTGCATGTCTAACAAATTTCCAGTTGCTGATGCTGCTTGTTTGGGGAACAAACTTGAGACTCACAAAAGCGGCTTATTTTTAATCACCCTAATTGCACTCTGGGGACAAAGATTTTCCATGTGGAATGTGAAGGTCAATATTGGATTTCCCCCACCAGACATTCTTACAATGTGGGTAAGGGACAGATTATATTTGTGCTAGTTTAATTATAGAGAATCTTTAGGTTCAGAAGTTTAATCAGTATATACAGCAAACCTATAAGTAAAATATGATTCAAAATGTGAGTCCCTACAAGTCTATTTGTAGAAAATTCTATGGCCTCTATTCATAGAATACTATTTTAGTAATAGCGTTAAAATGATCTCTTGTCACCTAGGTGATATTTTCTCTCTCACCTCAGGATTATTACCATAACAGCTAAATTTGTTCACAATTTCTTGAATGAACACAAGGGTTTGCTGACTTGGTTTTTTTTTTTTTCCTAGTCAAATCCATTTTAAAGTATATCAAATGCAAGGACTTATAGAAAAGAGTGAACAGAGGGAAGGAACATCAAGGGGCAATGCATGAAATTCAGTTGGTGAAAAATTAAGTTGAGCAACTGTCGGGACATGTAATTAGAATCTGCAGTTTGTTCAACTGCTAGGTGGATGTGGGTCAATCCAAGAGGCGGGATTGGTGCAAGAAGTTGAGGAAGACGAGATGAGCGTGTGTGAATGAGCAGCTGTCTGTGAGGAAGAAAGGCTAAATCTATTCACAGGTTCTCTTCCTTAAACAAGCACCTGCCACTGATTGACAGCTCTACCAAGATTGCTTAAGGCAGACATCCGCTGAAAATGCTTATGGTGCATACTTGTTTTTAAAAAGATGGAAAAACCTGCCTTCTCAATTTAGTATTTCCTAATCAAATCTGAAATGGGGGGCAAATTCAACGTGAGGGATTTATTAAAATATGAAAATACAGTCCTTACTGCATTAAAATAGCTCTATATAGAAATTTATAATGAGAGAAGGAAAAGTAATTTTATCCCTTGGCAGAAGTCTTAGTAATCACTGGAATTATAACAGAAATATTAGCTATTTTAATTTTCTTTCTCAATATTGAGTCTCACAAGATCATTTTATCGGTTGCAATGTCAGTAATTTTTGCTTACCTTTCCCCCTGACAAATTTAGCTTTGTGCCTCAGTGGTAATAAAGTTGGAATATATTACTGCTATGAAGCTGAAATAGTTTTGCCGTTTCCAATGACATTCTAACTGGGATTCCTTCAAGAGAAAGCTTACATTTATTCCACTAAAACATTCTTTGTTTATGCAAGCAGAGTTCACTATGGTTGCTTTTTCTTTCTTCTTTTCTTCCACCCCATGGAAATGTCTACATTCTTTTGCTATGTTTCGTCTGTTGTGCAATTTCATTTTGCTAATGAGGCATCTGAGCTGTGGCCGACCGGTTGATTGCTAAGGGTGAGATTTAAGTCTTTTGTGAAATCCTTTTGAGTAGTCATTTACTCCATGACAAGGGAGGCATTTAAAAGACAGTTGAATCTGTAGCAGATGAATTTTTTCTCATCTTCCTTTAGAATAATTACACCTTTAAATATCTTTCTGCCTGGTCATTGCACATCCTGTTTGTAATTCACATACTTTAGTAAAAAATAACTGGTTAGTTTTTTTTCCTAAAAGATTAAGCACACTGACTAAAAAATAAAAGTAGAATTACTATAAGAAACTGTATGAACTTAAAGTTTTCATTTAAAATAGTGGTTTCAGCCTTAAAAAGGTCACTGATTTGGAATCCATTCCAATCTCATTACATTTTCTACTGTACACTTCTTGAAAAGGGAGAAATTACTCATTCCTCTCAGGGAAGGGAGACTGTTTTTCCAACCGTGCACATGGAATTATTTCAAAATAAATGTTTATATTTCTATCAAACTTCATGTGGTTACATGGGCTTGACAAGTGCATTGGTGACCCAATATGGGCAGCAGCTGGCTCACAACTTAAAGTACCTTCAACCCATACACATAAGTGGATGATAACAGGGAAACACTGACCATACGGGGCTTGATGTGTTCTGGAAAATCAAGCTAAAGGTAAAGTCTTCCCATTTAATGATGAGGACAATCAAGTCCAGAGAGAGCTGAAGATTCCTCACCCTCTGAAACAATTAAAGATTCCTTTTCCAAAGAGAAAAGCCTTTGGGTCTTCTCTCTGGTGACTTTTTGATGTTAAAATGAAGAGAACACTGTGTCCTCAGAGATGAAGAGTGAGATGTTCTCTAGTTTGCTGTTAAAAGATGAGAGCTGGAGTTGTAACTCACTGAAATAGAACCACATGCCTCAAAGTCCAAAAGAGCAACAGGCAGAGTTAAGAAAATCCAGTGATGAATTAGCATCAACACCTAGTAAAAGAATTCAGCAATGGTGAGGCAAATGATCTTTGTAATAAGATTTTCCCAACTTGAAATGTTGAATAAAAGACCCTATATCAAACTTACACAGGTCTTGGCTCATGGTAATCTCTGGATGTGTGTGTTGGGTCTGAATCCATTTATCTTATTAGTGGAAGACAGAATGTGAAATTAAGAAAATTAATATTTCTATTTCTGTTAGAGGAAAGTTTCTTGATAGGTTTCAAAATGGCCCCATTAAGCAATCTCAAATTGATAAAATGTAGACCAAAATGGAAGGTTAATTTAATTAGAATGCCATAAGTGGACTCTTCCTGACTAAATCAAAGACTAGTGTTAATTTTCTTAAATTACTCTGTTTTGAATTCTTTATATACCATTTAGGGTACCTAATATAATACTTTGCACAAAATAAATGCTTGATTTATGAAATTGTACATCTGAAGAAATATAAAAGGCTCTAACTTTTGATTTTAAAATTGTTTCACTCTCTTGACTGTATAGTTTATGAGCCTATGATCCTGGAAAACACGCTTGCTAAACTGACCAATTTTTTGCTTTTTTTTTGGTTTGATTTCTTTTTTATTCTTTTTCCTTAGGTAATTATCCAGTTGATATTTATCTTGTTCCAGTCACCTTTAGAAAGCTGTTTGGTGAGTACAATGTTAATATAGAGACAATCAGAATGGTGTGTGCTTTTGTACAAAACTTGTGGATCCATCAATGAGGCATCTGCCATTTTTTCTTTCTTCCCCTCTATATTACAAGTTCTGGAATGCCTGTTCTAATTCTCCAAGGAGAATTAGAAAATAAAAGGCAGAGTCTAGAGCCATGTCAATATCCTCCCACAGAATGTGTATGGAGAATATTCCACTGGGAACCATGATAGATAAAAACTTACCAGGAAGAGCAAAACATCAAGAGAGTCTGACAAAAGCTCTGCCCTCCTCTGTAACCCAGCAGCCTCTGCAGAATCATCCTTTCTTCATTGTTTTAAAATGTTGTTAAATACCTTGTCAGTTGCTTTAAAGGGACCCAGACCCATTCTGATATTTTTACAAAATAAATCCAGTCTTTGGGTAAAGGTATAGTAATACTATCCATGGATCTGATGTTGAGTCGTGGAGGCTTCAAGCTCTGAAGAAGTATGAACTAATTCTAAACAGTGATTAAGCAATTATTATTTTCATTTTACTAATGACATGACTTCTAGAGTTGGAGTGTCAGAATATTCTCTTGGAAGAAAAGGATGCAAGTGTAGACACCTCATCACTAGGTCCAATCCACCTCACAGTGCTACTTTCAGTTTTGTAAAAATTGGTCACGGCAACAAGTTTGAAATAATAGGTTCACTCTCAAACTGGCAACAAGCACGTGATTGAGCTGCATGAATCTGGAAAGGCTTGTCAAACAAAACAGGCTGGTTCACAGCTGAAAGAAAAAAAATACTTCTGGCATTGTACTAAATTCAGAAACCGTATCCGACAAGGGGCTGAGCTGAGGTTGTGGTATGGCCCCAGTCCTAGGATTGGTCCCACCTACTTTGCCTAGTTCCTGACCACATCTGGTAATTCAGTGGTGATGTGATTATGACATTAACAGTGATAGGTTTCCCCTGCTTAGCTGCTTATTTGATTGTGGATAATGTGTGAATGGGGGCAGGAGAGGCAGTGGTTGGGCGCTGATGTGTTAATGAATCCCATGTCTCAATAATTAACACATCTTCTGGATAGCTTTGCAAAAATGCAATCTTTGCTTCAGATTTCACATTTAAGAGCATCTCCCTTTGCTTTGTGTTTAAAGTTTAAACATTCAGTCCAAATTTTAAAGGTGATAAGCAAATTTAGTGTATTTTGAAGGAAGGAAAACTTTTTTCCTTTTCACTTTTCTCTCACCATGTACAGTTGTTTCTGAAGAATGTGTCTAGGGATTGAGTCAGAACTATCAGGCTGGGCAAAGTGGCTCATGCCTGTAATACCAGCACTTTGGGAAGCCAGGGCAGGCGGATCACCTGAGGTCAGGAGTTCGAGACCAACCTGGAAAGAGCTCCTAGAAGAGTCACTGGTAGAACCAACTGCTCACAGCTTCTTTGGGTGCTAGACTCATTTAACAACCAGTTGTTGGAAAAATTTTCAATCCTTTTTGATAAGAAAGGTTCTCATAAAAAAAAAAACAACTAAATCTATGCAGAATTTGTGAGAACAACCTGAGAATATCAAGAATATTTTAAGTCTCATACATATATTTATCATAGACTTATCTGTCTCAAATAAGATCTGGAGTGTCAAATTTCTCACAGGATTACCGATGGCAGTAAAAACCTTGTTCTCCTTAGAGTTTTGGACTGAAACTTCAAAGACAATATTTTCTTCTAAATTTAACAATAACAGTTGTAGTTAAAAATAACTTTCCATTATAATATGATGTTATCCTTTGCTTAGATTCAATGCTACAAAAGTTCTGTTGATGAAATAGAAATAAAACAAAGTCTTTCCACCATTTCCAAGGGCAAGTGTCCTAGACGGGCTCCAGTATGTAATGCAGTGGCTGGTTAAGTAGTTTCCAATAACTTGGTATTGACATTACTGCCCCTTCTGCAATCTCACTCCTTACTCTTGATAAGAGAGCTCTGAGAAATCTCAGGTACCAACTGTTTGAAAGGGCTAGTTTGCCTGTTAGCAGGATCTTGGAGGGAAAATGCTAGGGACAAGATGATCAGTGTATATGAAAATTGGAAGTTAGTTCAGTTAAGAACATCTAAGCTAAAATACGAACGGCAGAGGACCCATGTGGTCAAAGATGTCCCGGTATGTGTGGTGGGACTGGGTGGGCCTCCTACTCCTCTGCTCCCAGCACACCAAAACACGTGTTTAGAAAATGCCGATTCGTGAACCCGGGAGGTGGAGCTTGCAGTGAGCCGAGATCCCGCCACTGCACTCCAGCCTGGGCGACAGAGCGAGACTCCGTCTCAAAAAAAAAAAAAAAAAAAAGAAAATGCCGATTAACAACAGGCATGGGAACCTGCCTGCTCAGTGCTATGTTTGGAGGGAAAATATAAAAATCTCATGTTTTTAATTCCCCAGGGTTCGACCTTGACCAGCATATTTTTTTCCAGAGCTTTTTTCAACACTTTCCCAAAAGGCAGAGGGCAATTAAAAGTCAGAAAGAAACTCTAATTGGCCCTAAAGATTTTCTGTCAGAAATGCCTGCTAAAAAAGAAAGAAAAATAAATGTATTTTAAAAAAGTACTTCTCTTTGTATTATAGAATATGTTTAATTAATATTATTCTAAGCCCTTTTCAAACAGCTCTGAATTTGTATCTTTAGCTAAAAAGGGGGGAGGTCAGGAATATGCTTCCTTCCATGCCTCTCCAACTCTTTCTCAAAGGATATCTGATACTAGGACAATCCTAGACATACAGAAATGCAGCTGAAGTTTACAGAGATCACCTACTTTTACATGTGTGTCTCTGGGCTGTATGCTGTAGCAAGAGAGGGGACAGAGGAGATCCAGTGCTGAAACAATGTCTGATCCTCATATAAACAGTTCTCTAACTATCATTATAAATATTTTTTAAAAATTTTTCACCAGTTGGAATGGAAACTTTTAGTCAAAAGAAAGAATATTGAAAACAACGCTAGTATTTACTGTACATTAGAAAGCCAGTGTATTAGAAGCCTTCTAACTACTGATAGATCAGTCTGGGCCTTGTGGTTCATTTGGGCCAGACTCAAGCTCAGTATCCCATCTAATGCATCAAATATTTATATATGAAAAATTCTGAAATGTAAAAATCAACATCAAAATGGAATCAGCCTTTCATAAATGAAATTGCTAAACTGTGAAGTTGTAAAATTTAGAAACTTGATGGCTTAAAGGAAGAAAGGGAAATTATTGAAGGTAATTTTAATGAGATACCTGTACAGGTCCAATGTATTCTACAAATAACTCAATAATTTGGAAACGTGTGCCAAAAACATGCTTTTCTTTGGTTGCCAAAGCCAAAAAGTATGTATGCCCAACTTTGATTTTCATATAAAACCTGCGAATATAAATTGTACTGTTGTTTCTGGAAACTGGGATTTATTTCACTTAAATATAATAACTTGCAAATATCTTAGGGCAATTTGTAATAAAATCCTAGTTAACACATTTTTGTGCCAATTCTCTTATTTTTAAATACGCTCTTATTCTCATCCCAAATGCCATATTACTCAATTACATGAGCATTATTTGAATGTACAATCTTTCAAGATTTCTTCCTTGGAGTATTTCTCAAACTTGAGCATTAGGATGAGTACAGGAAGGGAGAGCAAGGTATCTACAGAAAATATTATTTTTCTCAAAACTAGCCATCTGGTCATATCACTGTTAGGTTTAATGTTTGTACAATTTAGTTCACTCTTTGTTTTTTAGGTGGAATTACGTCAAAAAGTGGTTACATAGTTGGTTACTTAATTGGACTGTTCTTTCCATTTGGAAAGAATGGGAAATACAGTCAAGTATGTGATCTTCACATTAGAGGGAGGGCCAAAAGTTCTCCTTAGATAATTCATCTCTTGTTTTACTATGTGGCTTCAAGGGGTCTAATTAAAAAGTTGTGTAAATTAAAAGAAGGTTGGGAATGTAAGGAAATGTCTCTGAAAATCTCTGGGCAGGATTCTTCTTGGCGAATAAGCAATCTTAGTACGGAGGGTTGTATAATTATTCTAGTAACTTTATCCCCCCGTCCCCCAGTGCATTCTTGGATTTAACTAGGCGTATCTGTCTTTGCAGTCAACAAATTAGGAGGGCTGGGCTATATCTTAACTGTCAAAGTAGACAGATTAACAGTGAAGTTAGCTAATTTCTCTCTTGGTCTGTTTGGCTATTAATGTGAACTTTTCTACCATTTGCATAGCAGAAAAATAGTACCCACAGAGAAGCATTTGACCCACTCATATTTCTTAGAGGCATGGAAGCTATCTGTTACGTTTTTCTATGTTTACATACTCCACCTTTGTAGAAACCCTCATGAGCATCAGGGATGTGAATGTCGGTTCTCATTCCCAATCCACACCTACATATTGATAGAATAAAAGGCTAGGTCGATGGGCAGCACTGAAGCATAATAAATATGATTCAAGAGGTATAAAATAAACAACACTATTATATGTGTAACTGTAGGTATGATCTGTCCCGCTCATTTACAAAGATTCCATACTATGTCCTAGTGACTCTTATCTAGGTGGAATGTCATTATATTTGATTTCTCCTATGATAAGTTCACTTTCAGAAAAACATGTCTTGAGCAATCACTTTATAGCATAAGCTCTTTCCCTATTGCCGGGAGGTAATAGTGAGCATCACTAAGGGTAGTTGGATATAATGGGAGTAGTCACCGAAGAACTGCAAAGGCTGAAATTAGGGAAAGGAAATATTAAGACTGTTTATTCCCATGGGGAAAACTCTCCAACTCTTTGAAAAAATGCTAGGGAAGCATAATTCTAAAAAATGTGAACCACTGAGGCAGCTATGAATGACTACATTGATAACAGATAGACAAGACAATTTTGGGCAAGCAAGTCTTCCTGAAAAAATATGGGTCATAATTTTAACTACTAAGTCATATTGCTTTTTGAAGTTATACAGTAATGCTCTTTCCTAAAAGTAAAACAAAATAAACAATAATTTACATAACCACTGATTTAAATGTTTCTTACAAAATTGAATCAGAGAACCTTTGACAAAACTGAAAATGTGGACAGCCTCTGAGTACATTTGGACATCTTGACAGGCAGGGAAAAAGTCAAAGAAAGTGAAATACGTACCATTTCTTGTGGGCTGGAAACCTGCAGTGCTTTCCTTTGGGAGTTCCACCTCTCAGTGGTTGCTCCTTTTATAGATAAGACAGTCTCTGCTTTGAGAGACGATTAATCATGGCCTAATTAAGCTCCCAACATGAAATATCTATTTCAATTGTTTACCCTTCCTATGCTGTCCTTGTGGGTGTAATACCATCGGGACCGCCCAGCATTTTGAAATGTACTGCGTGATGGGAAGACAACAAGATGGTTAGAAGTGGTGAGTACATAATGGTAAAAAAGAATAGCAGAACTACATTCTATTAGCAAAACTCCGTAGGTAGAGCTGAACAAAATCTAAGGAATCCACTTATAATAGCATGTTTCTTTTTCTGAAATAGGATTCTGTATCTTCTGCATAATGCACTCACCAATTTAATGATTGGAATTTATATTTAACTTTGCTCAGTTTTACCAACTGCCTTGGCCAAGTGAAGTGATTACAATGATAAAAGCTGAATGCCAGTTGTAGGTCAGGTGAGATCCAATATTACATGCTGTCAATCATAAAATGGCCAAACGTTCTTGAGATTATGAAACTACACTCAGAACTTGCTCTGCATGCAACTGCCCAAAATCATAGTCAGAAAGTCAGAATCAACAGAGAGACTCCATATCCCCAGCCCAAAAATATTAAAAGAAGTCTTAAAGGGGCTGATTTATTCTCTTGAGAAGGCAAAGTTCTGCCACTATTAGAGGATGGAGGGCATCATCATCTACCAGAGAAAATTTTCTAATTGCTTCCACAAAGTTATCAGATGTATATCAGTCTCGCTACTTTATTTTGACAGTTTAGGATCAGGGACCTTTTGCTGTGGAATCACCAATGAATCAAGACCCCTGTGGAAAATGCAATGTGAGTGGTGAGCTTTCATTAATAGTGAGGCCACAGGGGAAAGGCATGCATCAGAATTTTTGCAGGGTTTCTAAAACAATATTTTGTAAAAATTTTATGTTTGAAAAGCAACAAAAAATTAGTGCTATTAGGCTATGAACTACAAAAAGCAAAATTTTATAAAACACTCACTGGTTGAAGGATGGAATCAGGAAATTTGAACCCATTAAAATTTGCTTGTAAGAAACTGATAATTATCAGGTCACAGAATTTTTCTGAAAGGTTGTTAGACGGTCAAGGAGCTCTGGTCATTGAATTAATCTTTTTGCTATATAAAGAAATAGAGGTTGGCTGCTCATTTTGTGTTAAACCAAAGGCTGGTACTCAAGAGACATATTGACAGTTTGATACTATAAAATATTTAAATAATTCCTTCATTCATACATGAAAGTATACCACATATGACCATATAAAGAATATAATGAGGAATACTAAAGAAAATTTTAAAGATGATCGGATCAATAAAGTAGCATTTACTTGTACATGTGGACAGATTCTATTATAGTAAGAACTAAGTCCACTAATATGTCAACTTCAAATAAGTACACAAACCTTAGAGGTCACATTTTTTCCCCACAAATGCTTATTCCATTTCTGACATCACTTCCTTCTATACTGTTTTGACTATATGATATATGAAGTTAATAAGATATAGACAGAAATCGTTAATGCGAGGCAGAAGTTCTACAAGAGGAATATAACATATGAAACTAAAAGAGAAATTTACTTAAACATCCCCTTGGGAAGAAACTGTACTACCATCAATTTTGGGATTGGAATTTTTTGGGATCGACTGATTTGATGTAATACTCTGCATGCTAAAAAGTTGTCTGACATGTAACTGTTTATGGGCTTATGATCCTGGATGCAGGAAAGGATGTAGATAGAGTCATACTAAGCAACGTAAAAAAAATCAGTGAAATGGAGGAATGTCCAACATATATCTCAGCACTGTAGGACAGACAAATATTCTGACACTGTGTTCTCCTGGGACATTAAAAAGAGAACATTGCATGACCGAAGGGTTGACGTTTGCAAGAGTTTGAATACTTGGTGTCTGTTTTTTTCTTTGGATGATGATACCAGTTGCACAATAATACCATTTTGGTTTTTATTTCTTCAAAACATGAAAACAAAAAATGAAGTAGATGACAATGAGAAAGGAGAAAACATTTCATACAGAATATGCTGTATCACTAGTGATTAAATCAGAAACAATTAGAAACTTTATTTGTCTGTGTCAGTAATATGTACCATTTATAAGGAAGAGCACAATTAGTGCATTTCCCGCCCCCCCCCCAAGCTGTGCACAATACACACAAAATAAAATAATTTTACACAACTATAATAATAACAATCCTGAACAACCAGAATCATAGTTTCCTAGAACATGAAAATTTAAAAAGCAAACAAACCAAAAAGCTTTCAAATTGAAATCGACCAATGCAAGAATTTCTTAAAGTTCTCTGTGAAAATTTGCTACAGGATTATTGACATTCCTAATACAGCTAAAAAATGAGTGCAAAAATTTTTCTAATGTTTAAACAACTTATATTCCTTGAATATATTTACTTGGTGCTTCTAGGCTAGCTTTCCATTTAGCAATTCTCAAAAAAAAAAAAAATAAGGATGGGAAGGATGGGTTAGAATGACAAAGAATTGTAAAGTGTGGGCCATAGAAAAGTTCCATTGCCAACAAAGATAAAAGATGGGATACACTGGGCTTTCTCAGTGATCTGGATCACCAACATGATTGCCCTTCTTGGTTTAAAATGGAGAGATATATTTATCTGCAAGTCGGTCAAAGATAAAGAGGGTGGTTTTCCAAACATATGCCTTATGCTCTCTTAGTTAAAGAAATTCTTGGGTATAAATACAATTTGGACAATTGCTTTGATACAGTTTCAGTGTGTTTATGTTAAAAGAGTTTCATAATTGTTTTTTCTTGCAAGATAAAAATCTTTCCATATGGCTTTCTTCACTTTTACTCATGAAAATAGTAATCACATAAACTGTAACCCTTCTGAGGGCAGGGATCTAGACTGTTTTGTTCATGGCTTAGTCCCCAGAAAGTATCATACTACCTGGCACATTAAGTGGGTAACCAGCATTTAATTACTCATTCAGTCACCAAATGTTTATTAAATGAGGAAGGATCATGGTTACTGAGTGACAGAAGAAAAAATAAGTCTCAACAGCTTTAATTTATTAAGTATTTTTGAATCAATACAGAGGGCTAGGAATGTCTCCAGCCTGGGATTCCTTATAGACACAGAAGTCTCCGAGAGGTGACCAAAGTCATTCTATTATTTTTCTCATTAGTGGACTCACTACTTTGGAATGTTGGGTTTATCCATGTTCTTTGGTATTTTAACATAGAAACAGCTATTCTTTTTAAAGGGTTAAAAATATCCCAGTCCAATCCTCCTGGGAGGTACTAGTCTTATTTAATTGCCTTCTCTTTCAGCATAAGTAGAGGAGACAACACTTTTAAAGGCCCGTTGGTCACCCTGGCTTCTTTCTTACTCAGCAACTACTGATATAATCAAAGAGGACTAGACTGGACAGTGAAAGAAACAGGGCTCAAAATAGCCTTTTAAGTAAAAAAATAAAATGAACAAACCAGCACTATCTACCATCTGTGCCAGACAGTGCAGATGTGAAATAAATACTTTGCAGGGAGGGGTGTTGTGGAAAGGGTGGCTCTGAAAGCCTAGGCACATCCAACATATCAACGTCTCTATAAGGCCTTTCTCCTTGGCCTTCCTGAATTAATGGGTGATTTTTAGAGGCCTCTGATGTGTTCCACATGGCTAATTTTCCATGAAGATCTTTGTAGTTTGCCTGCTATCCTCTCAATAGCTTTAACTTCTCCCCACATGACAGTTATTGCTTCTTAGAAATGAATGTGCAGAACCGTGAACAATAATCCATTTTCTCCTTTTATCCCTAGTAATTAATCAAACTCAATAACAGCACAAAAGTAACAACTCAGGTGAAAAGAAAACTCACTTATGTCTTCAATGTCCAATCAACATTGCCAAATGGGAGAACAGTATGTACTATACTCTACTATATACAGATACTCTTTGTTTTGTTTTATTTGTTTTTCACCATGCACTGTGTAACAGGTATCACAACAACATTTCCGAACGGCACATGAAGAAGGAGCAAATGTTCAGTCATGACTGGAACAGGATTGTGCAAGCCATGGATGCCTTTGAAAATAAAACTGACAGACAATCCCAAGCAACGGCAACATGGGACTGAGACACATGTTAATGCAAATGGAAAACGATGATGTGCTTTTTGAATGGGGTTATTCTTACTGTTTGCATAGGGGATGGCAGGTGGACAGGAGGAACAGGGTTGGGATGGGGCACCTGGGGGCTTAGCTGGGCTGAATGCTGGAAGAAGGACCTTGCCAATCACAGTCCAGAGCTAAAGAGATAAGAAAGAAAGGATTTTGCACGTTCCTGGGAATCTAGGCACGTTTTCCTTGTACCTGTTAAACGAGACTGCCAGGTATCACATGTTTAAATATCAGACTATTTCTAGAACCATCGGATTTCCTGGCTCCATTCCACTTTTATGCTTCTTCTTGGAGGCAGCTTCACCTCCACTCACATTCCGGAGATAAGCATGAACTTTGGTAATACGATGAAGACATGCTTCTTTCTTCTTCCATGCCCAGATTTTTTCTTAATCCAAAATAAGTTTTAAAGTGATTGGGGGAGGTGAGGGGGAATACTAATGATTTAAATTTTTACCAAAACCCATTTACATTTGGATGGTTTCACTTTCCACAAAGAAAAGCAACAACCCTGACTCTCCCAAAAAAACAAAACAAAACAAAATAACAAAAATAAAGCCAAACATTAACTACCTCCCCAGCTCCACTGAAAACAAAACCAAAAACAAAACAAATCAAAGCCTTAAGGATTTATCAACCTGGAGAGAGTGCAGCCCTTCTAGACTGAGCTGCAAAGATGGCCCTGCCTCCATGCCTTGTTGAACATGATGATGCCCCTGGGAATGGGAGGTGATGGTTTTTTACTTCGGCCCTAGTACAGAGTATGCTCTTGAAGCTGGATTCCATCAGCAGGTAAGTGAACATGACAAATGTCAGTTTCCTCTGTCCATTATACATAATTTTTATGTATATATATGTATATATATAAATTTACTATATCTGATAGTTCCTTTAGAAGCCTTTTATGTGGCAGTAGGCCTCCAGGGAGGAGAAGAAAATGTACAAGAGCCATAGGAGCACAAAGAGGCAGGATGTGAGGAGCTTGGCAGTCCGGGGCCCACCCAGCTCACCTCCGATTTCTGGCCTCCGCCGATACAGCAGCACCCCCACATTGATGAAAGCAAAAATGGTGAAGAGAGTGACAGAGAAAGCTAGTGTGCCAGGGGACACTTTGAACTGTTCCCCATTGGCTGCGTGGTAGATGGCAGCGATGGACCAGGCCACACCGATTCCCAGGAAGACATTCACCGCGTTGCTGCCCGTGACGTTACCTATGGAGGCGTCTGCATACTGGTCCTGGGTGGCTGCCACTTTGCTGGCAAATGTGTCTGCAGAGGAAGAAGAGAAAGTCAATGACACTCAATCTTTTAGAGATGTCTTTGGAGTGCTGCAAGCTTCAGCTGTGTACTCTAGGACCCAACCCTTAATATAAACCCAGTGACCAAGAAATGGCTTTGATGTTCCTCTGAGTCAGACTCATGGGGTGAAAAGAACAGGATCTAGATATTGGGAGTTAAGGGTTCAGTGCTGGCTGTGTAATGGACTGAGCAAGTGATCTTGGTCAAGTTTTGTATCCACAGATACTGCAGTTCTTTGTAATATTGACCTTGCAGGGCAGCATTTTTTCAGAAAGTAGTCACAGCTCACCTACATCAGAATCAAGTGGGGTCCTTTCAAAGAGTGAGTATTGCAAGGTGCCATGCGGCTGTGCTGGTCATAATGACAGCGGCCCAGGAATCTATTTTAACAGTATCCTAAAAGATTCTAGGTCACTAAAGTTTCGGAACAGCTGCTGGAGGGTATTACTAAAAGATGCTGTATCAGCAGCTCTAGTTTATAGATGAGAAAGTTAAGATGTCGGGAGAGATTTTTCAAGATTCAAGAGCAAGCCAATAGTGGAATTGAAAACAATTGAACTATAATAGAGTAGCTGACATTTGCTTAGAGCCTTAAGAATAAAAAAGCAGATTCAGCTATATTACTGCATTGATTGTGATGGTACTTTTTTATTATTATTTTTTATTATTATACTTTAAGTTTTAGGGTACATGTGCACATTGTGCAGGTTAGTTACATATGTATACATGTGCCATGCTGGTGTGCTGCACCCACTAACTCGTCATCTAGCATTAGGTATATCTCCCAGTGCTATCCCTCCCCCAACCCCCACCCCACAGCAGTCCCCAGAGTGTGATGTTCCCCTTCCTGTGTCCATGTGATCTCACTGTTCAATTCCCACCTATGAGTGAGAATATGCGGTGTTTGGTTTTTTGTTCTTGCGATAGTTTACTGAGAATGATGGTTATGAGGTGAGGGAACGAGGCTTAGAGATGACAAGTAGTGGATGCAATATCACAACTAGGAAAAAAACATGTTAGGGCTACAGCTCCTGCCTCATGTCTTCAAAACGAATGCTTTCTCATGGTGCTTTTCTACCTTTCACTGTGCTGTGGGCACCAATGATCATTTTCAAAGCCCTTTATTTACTCATAATCCTGACTGTATCTTTTTGTGATGATAGGAAAATCTTGGTCCACTACAGAAGGTTGAACAACAGTGACTTAAACTTCTTGATGGGTAGAACACAGGGGTTTAGAGCACATTTGAGCTGGGGGACTTCAAATCCTGCCTTCGCAGCTGACTGTGTGACTCTGGAAGATTACTTAACTTCTCTGGGCCTCAATTTCCTAATCTGTTAAATGGGGATGGTACTGCTCACTTCAGAGTGCTGTTGGTAAGGTGAAATACTACATGTAAATAAAATGCTTTTGATGCTTTTTGGCACAAAGTAGTAGGAGAGGCTGTTTTTGTTGTTTTGGAAACACAATATAAACCGAGCAGGCTAGATCGGTTTAAAAGTTGAGGTAGGATCTGAAATAGCTTCCTGTATTAAGCATGTGAACAGAACTTGCAAGATACTAAATTTCTTGTCCACATTATGCCTACTTACATCAAAGTCCTGGCTGGGCACGGTAGCTCATGCCTATAATCCCAGTACTTTGGGAGGCCGAGATGGGCGGATCACTTGAGGTTAGGAGTTCGAGACCAGTTTGGCCAACATGGTGAAACCCTGTCTATATACTAAAAATACAAAAAAAAAAAAAAAAAAAAAAAAAAGCCAGGCGTGGTGGTACACACCTGTAATCCCAGCTACTTGGGAGGCTGAAGCATGAGAATTGCTTGAACCCGGGAGGTGGAGGTTGCAATGACCCGTGACCATGCCACTGCACTCCAGCCTGGGCAACAGAGTGAGACTCCATCTCAAAAAAAAAAAAAAAATCAAATAAAGTCCTTTCAGCTACCTTGCACAGTAGGATTATAGCAGATATTAATAACTGTCAAATTGAACTTATTTCCAAAGCCAGTAACAGCAAGCATTAAATGACTGCAAGGTGTTGTGTTATCTGCTCTGGTCCTCCTGAGGTCCTGGGCATGCTCTGAGCATGTATGTAGTTGTACGATACCTGTACTAGTCTCTCCCCTCTGTTGTTATGCTATTGCCACCATCCTTCCTCCGTAAACTTCCAGTGGGGAAGATATGTACAGCATGTAAATATAGATCAGCCCATGGATTCTCCTGCTTTACAATGGATAAGAAGGCTTTTTAGGCTACTAAAAGGCTACTGCATCTGCAGTATGACATTCTTCCTGAAAGGGAGTTGGTCAATTCTGAAGGCCTATCATCAATTCTGCCCTCTGCCTGTGATGAAAAGCAGATCTGATTATTATTTCATAATTAAAGAAGTAGACAAACACTGCTTATTCCATGCTAGGCACTATGCTACACAGGCAACGTGTGTATTCTCATTCACCCCTCTCACAAGCATTATGGGCTAGATGTCATTACTCCTCTTTCATGATATGAGAAACTGTGACGTTGTGATATTATGCCTCTTGGATAGGGTCTTAGCAAATGTGAATTTTTAAACCAAAGTCTGATTTCAGAGCCCAGTCTCAGTCCACACCACATTGCCCCTTCCAGGAAGCCTGAAGTTTGTCTTTCCTCTTAGTTCATTTCAGGTGGCCCTGTTCCTTTCACTCAGAAACTTTGAAGCAGGTTCTTACCAAATGCTCTTTACTGTATCAGGAGAACAAAGATTGAAGAAGGTATGGGCAGTTTGTGAATCCAGACTCCTGGATTTGTGCTGCTTTGTGCATTCATGATCACACATTCACACAGCCCAATCAACTATCACAGAGACTGGTGAGTAAAAGCAAAGCGAGACAAATCTTAATGGTTTCTTGTACTTCATTATTAAAAGTTAATAGAAACAGGGCAGCAGCCTCAAAAAGAAAAAAAAGGAAGTTTTTTTTTTTTTTTTTTTTTTTTTTTTTAAGGTCAGGCAGTGGAACATGGAAAGTAAAGGAACAAAAGTCTGAGGCAGGAGAAAGCAGCTTCCAGCTCAGGTACAGCTGAGAAACACCTGAGATGTTATTCTAAGCTGAAATGGCTGGTAGCACTGGCTGGTGGTGAACAGATGGCCACGTTAGGTGGGGCAGTTGCGGGGGTGGTAATTCCCTCTGTATGCTACAGGGACAGGTGACCTGGTGCTGTTCCATAGAACACACCTGCTTACCTCCCCTGGCACCTGATACATTGCACACTGGACTTCCTGGGTATCCCATGTGTACTCAGAAACTCTGGGCTTTCTAGATGGCACCTTTGCTGCCGCACCAGAAGGAAAGGAAGTTTAAAATCAAAGACTCCTGGGTCTGGGGACTCAAAGCACCCAAACCAGTCCTTTAGGCTGACATGGAGGGCACACCTGGGTATGCAGTGATTTCCTCTCCCTCAAGCCATGTATCAGTAGCCTATTAATGTGAATGTTGCATAAGGATTCTTACTTGTAATAATAATAGGTTCCTATTTTCAAATGTCTTTCTTTGAATTTCCTAAGAGTTAATAGCCAAAGTGACTAGCTTGTCACATAAGTAAAACATGTTTTTGGCTACTTTGTGTCTCATAGGTTTTATTTACTTGGGTTAGACATCAGGCCTTTTGTCTGTTTTTATTTTCAATTCAAAAGCAATGTAAAAAAAAAAAAAATTGCAGGAACACACGCAAATCCAAACCACTAACCTTAGCTCCAACAGAGAGAACTCTGTTTTCCAAATGAAGTGCGATGGATTCTCCCCAAATTACCTTTTATTGCCGCTTTGCTGCTCAGCACATAGGGCAATACATCACATACCATATGTTAGGTGCTGCCAAGCCCTACTTTGAACACTAAGCCTGTAACCTGCCTATGGTTAAACCAGGCAAATGCCATATCCTAAAATAAAATCCAAGAAATAACTACTGCCTTGGGTTTGAAGGGGATATAATAATATTCAGAGGTTGGCCCATTAGATAAAAACTTTTATATATGGATCAGATTTCCAATGCGATTGACACAAAATATGTTGATAATAACACATGTATTTTTTCCTTCATCTATGTCCCTGGCTAGGTTTTTAATAGTTTTTGCTATTAACTCCCACCTTGAATTCTAATTAATTTTAGATCAGTCATACAGTTTTAGACTTTTAGTCCTGGCTCCTTGATACATATGACTATAAATCAATAAGAAGGAAGACTGTTGAGGAGACAGCATGGCTGGAATTAAACTACACATCACAAAGTCAGGACGTAATTGTTCTTTGCAGACCTGCCTCAAGTTCATGGTATATTACCTTGCCCAAGTCATCTGGTCAACATGCAAAAATAGGCCAATACTCTCCCTTTCCTTCAGCAATTATTCTTTACCTAAATTTCTCAAACTTTATTGCTACTTATAGGCTAAGCCTTAAACATCTCTTCTGCAAAAAAAGGTCATTCTCACAGTCTTGCAGGATGGATGCAGGGATAATGTATTATCTGGAGCAAGGGTTTCGCCCCAGATGGTTCATCTTATTCTTGGCTCTTAGTGTTCTTTGGGGACCAGCTGTTCAGCTCTCCAATGCTTCATGCCCAGGAACTGACACTGGCAGTGGTTTTAATTGGAGTCCATCCTGGCTATGAAGGTCTGCTTGCTTCTCCCAGCAACCAGACCTTGACGTATTCGTTCACTGACAATGAAAGAGGCAGCCAAGGTGTACAGATCTTCATGGTGTAGTAGTGGAAGAAGCCTCATCAAAGAGACTCTCGGCTCTTCCAACTGTCTGTATGCTCTCGGCAAGTCACTTCACTTTTTTAGATTGCAGTTTCCTCATTTAATTAGAGTATCTCTAAGACTCTTTCTAACTTTACTGTTTGGGTGGTGCACAGAATACATTAAAATACTAAATTTATATGCAATGTTTGATTTTGCTGGTTTTTTTGATAGGAGTTTGTACATAACCACTCTTCACAATAATTAACTGATGATTATAACTATTTTATCATTGTGAAGAAGAAATGACTTAAATATTTGAAAATCCTAGGAAAATCTCAAGACCTGAAGATACTACCTTTGATCAAACTGTGACAATATTTATGGAATTAAACTACATGGCACAGTCATTTACCTTTTAAAATTAGGTAAGAAATGTTGGCAAAATTATCAACTTCAAATCACTCTGACTGGCCATTCATTGATACGAGTGAAGCCAAGGTGGCAGACAGATGACCATGTTTCAAAGGCTGTGTCTAGTGTTAATAGTGTTAGAAGTACCTGGAGAGCTTTGCTTAAAAAATGTAGGTTTGGGGCTTCACCCCCAAGCTTGTCCAGCCTGCCTTATTTTGTTGTTGTTGTTCTGTTTTATTTTGTTTTAGGCTTTTGACAGCCTGAAGCCATGGTTTTTAGTTTCTGTCTCTAGTGATAAGCAGACAGGAGGGATGTCGAAGGGGCTTTACTGGCCCAGACAGAAACAGAAACTAAGAAGCCATGACTGTATTCTCTCTCTTGGGCATCCCTGCTAGATCCACTTAATCAGACTCTCTGAGGACGGGATACAGAAATACACCTTTTAACAAGCGGCCTAGGTTGTTCTTATTTATACCAAGGCTTGAGAACCACAGTTGTAAGACATGGGAAGGGGAGATACTACTCGAAGTGCCCACAGTTTTGGGGGCCTTCCTGCGAGTAATAGATGTTTGAGTTTCAGGGAAGCAGCTAATCGGAAAGAAGTAAGAAGCTGGTTTCTCTTAGAAACATGGATGCCCTTAGCTATAGTGGTTATTTTGCTGATAAAATGTGGGTAGGCGTCACGGAGATGCTGGGGGCTGCTTAATTGTAGCTTCTTCCACTCACAATATGGTTATTCTCCTATTTTTTTAAACCCTATTCCAGCTACCCTAAAAGGCCAAATGAGGGGGAATTACCTAAATTGATTGAATTGTGCTGCTCTGTTTGCCAGGTTGGAAGCTTACCTACTTCATAGGGTTTTGAAGGAAATGAGTTAACATGAATAGAATAGGGCCTGGCACTTAATGGGTGTTCAGTATTATTAGCTATTTTTATAATACAACAGAGCCAGATCCCCAGAGAATCCATACATGGTAGGGAATTCTGACTATTGCCAATGATTCTATACTTTTAAGGAGTTATAACACCCTTTAAAAATTATTAATTTGACAATCCTTTGCATTTAAAAGTGTGATAGAGCTTAAAATTCTTAATTATTTTACTTTGAAAATTTCATACAACCAAAGTCATTAAAAGACATTAGAGCTCTTTTGGTTTAGAGCCCAAATCTTACTAATGGCTGTAAGGTAGATATCTTTACTTAAACAGTGTATATATTCCTCTCTTTTTTCTTTTTTGCCTTCTATACCCTCATCTGTCTTGCTCTTTTAGAATTAAAAGAGAAATAGTGTTTACTTATGTACTTGTTCTTCTGCTGTCACTGAAGACCTTAAACAAGCATTTGTCTTTGGTTGCGATATTTATTTACCCAAGTAAATAGAAAACCTCTCTTTCTCTCTCACAAGTGCATGCGCGCGCGCACACACACACACACACACGTGTGCGCGCGCACACACACACACACACTTCACTGGTTCATGTGAAAAGAATCATCATTTGGCTTCCAAGTGAAGTTCAAGAGGTAACAGAATTGCTGATGTTTGACTGATTAATAACCAGGTAGATGAGGAGTTGAAAAAAGGAAACACACTGAAAATTTCTGCCCATAAAAGTTGTCCCTGAAGAGGGTAAAGAAGAAATGGAGACAGTGACATGACCTACTTTTAGAAGAGAAGGAAGCAGCGATAAGTAAAAAGTTCAAGAGGACCTATATTGGCAGGATCAGGGCACCTGCTTCTAGTCACTTTTGTCCCCAGCTACAAATGAGAGTCAGCAGGACAACTTTTGAAAACATGAACTTGCTAGCCCCACCTTGAGTTTCTGCTTAATCGGCCTGAGATGTGGCTGGAGCATTGGTATTTATCAAAGCTTCCCCAAGCAGATTGAGCTCCACTAACTGACCACTCACAGCCCTGGTTTCTTTGTCCCTGTAAGGAGGACAATGATGCCTCCCTTAGATTAACTGAGGTAATGATGTATGGAATGAGTGACACATAGATTTGTTTTTAGAGTAACCATTTTTGTTATTGAAAAATTAGCTATTTTTCATTTTTGCATGTTAACTTGAATGTTTGCACTTTATGGAGGTGCCCCGGGCTTAGTTTTCCTACTTTGTATCTGATATCCTGCTGTATTTTAAGTTCAAAGAAAGAAATTTATTCTAATTAAAGGAGAGAAAAAAATGGAGGTTTATTTTTCAGGGAACACAAAACAGTGAAGTGAAAGGATACAAACCAGCAGCGCAGCACTATTTGATCTGCTTTCCAAACTGTAATTGGAGTCATGTTCTCAAAAGGAAATGATAAGACTCCACTACACACACCTAGAATAGGATTATTTTTCAGTGTGATGTTCACAGGTGTCCAAGAGAGAATCCAAGGGGTGCTGACAAGGTCTAGATAACTGATACATTTGACAACGGACAGAGTGTCCAAGGAAAATATCAAGAAGCTTCATCATGTTCAACTCCGACTGTGACTACACAATGGTAAAGCAGCTGATCGTTTGAAAGAAAATAAATACAATTATTCCATATAGAAACATCAGGCTGACTCCTTTAGCAAACATGGATAAGAAACAGATTAAGAAGGAGCTATTTTCATGAAAGACTCCTTATTCTTTAATACCATTAATGGAGATAATTCTCTGATAAGGAAAATTACACTCTGCCACTCACATACACACACTCACTTCACTGGTTCATGTAAAAAGAATCCTCATTTGGCTTCCAAATGATGAACAATTTTTTTTTGATTCCTTAAATTCTTGGCTTCTCCTGGCATTACATTTGGGCTGTCTTTATAGTACTTTAAAATGGGCTGGAATGAACTTGCTTTTAAAATAGCATCAAGTTTTTGATATTTTCAGTTTTAAGCCATGATTCTGTTACTTTCATAATAACTCTTATTTTAATAATGCAAAGTCCGTGAG
This sequence comes from Homo sapiens, assembly GCF_000001405.40. Taxonomy (NCBI): domain Eukaryota; kingdom Metazoa; phylum Chordata; class Mammalia; order Primates; family Hominidae; genus Homo; species Homo sapiens. Next base: position 40,123,718 of record NC_000002.12, read on the forward strand.
GGCAAAAAGAATCATAAGATTTAGTTAAGCAACATTTGGCTAATTTTGAAAAGGAAAAAAGCAAGGGCAAATTTGAAGCTAAAAACAAATAGCTGAATTAATTGTCATTTTCCCAAGCCAGATGGTTTGTTATTATATAGATATAACTGAAACTAACTTCCTGCTTAAACACAATCTAGGGCTGCCCTGCACAGATCGGTGTCCTCTGACTCGCTTCTCCTCCCTTCCCAATAATCTCCCTCTTTCAGTTAATCCTCTTTGCATTTGAAGCCTAGTTCTTTCTTCTATGCTTTGTTCTATTTCTGGAACATCCATCTCCTATCCAAATCTCCTCAAATTCTCTTCTCTCCTATTTTAGAGATAGTAAAGACATAGGTTCGCCTGTCTTGCTAGAGCTAGCTGAGAAGGATCAGATAGAGAAACTGTACTCTAACTTGAAGAGAAATAAAAAGAAAACAGAAACCTTCATTCTCACCTGCAGGTAGCCTTAATGGGTTATAAGGAAACTTCGTTGTCAGCTGGATTATACTGGTGTGATTCTAAGTGTATGGATCTAGACAATACACCGAAGATGCCCAAAATGTGCCTTTCCCCAATGGATATCTACCTAGTTAGTTACTCACTCCAGAGACACTTTTTTGAAGGGGCTGCTTTGTGTATTATCAGTTCACAAAAATATGAACACTATTAAAAGTAGGCCACTGCATGCAACCTCAATCCAGCACAGGAGGCAGCAGGTGACACTTGAGGACACGTGAGACTTGAATGGGTTCTGAAAGTTTCCAATAATTCACCTATTTTGCCTTCCACCTTGCTGTGATTTGGTGTAAAATTTCCTCCATTAACTCATTCCTACAGATTAGTCATAGGATACAAAAAAGCATATGTGCCTATCAAAAGCCTGAAAAGTCTACTAACTATTTGGCCCAGCAATTCTCTACTTCTGAGGCTCTAGAGGCAATTTTACAAACACACAAATTTATATCAGGGATTGGAGCAGAGTTTCTATGTTAGAGAAAAATTAGAAACAATTGTCTATCATTTTAGAAAAAATAAATTGCAACTTCATATAACATGATACTGTGCAACTGTTAAAGTACACTAAGAAAAACATTCATGACACACTGCTTTGTGAGAAAGCAGGTTATGTAACTATGCCTACTATTAGTCCATAAAAAAGTATGGGTAAATATTTGCTATATATCTGTATACACATTTTTTGTGCAATTTACTTAAATGTCCCAGGATTTCACAATTTTAAAGGTGCAAATGGCTGAATGTAGATGGTGGTGAGATGGCAGGATTTCTTTTTGTTGCTTGCTTATTAACATTTTCTATTTACAAAGAGCATGTATTGTTTATTGCTTGTGCTACTAAAAACTAATAAATATAGGTTAAAAATAGACATTTAAATAGAGTCTCTCTGGGAAGGAGTGAACGGCTGAATTTCAGCTTTTTCCTGGTCCTTTTGGTTAATTCAGCATTCATAATTATGTTAGACAAATCCTTGGATGAAAAGCATCCTATATACTACACACAGAGCAGGTGCATCTCGAAGGGTGTAGCGGGGAGGAGGAAGGAGTGGAATAGAAGAAGAGGAGATAGCCTTGACATCAGGATCTGGCCTGGGATCCAGTGTCCCGAGGGTGCCTAGGACAGTCCACAATATGGAACAAGAATCGTAAAAAGCAACTTCACCCACTATGAAAGTTTGCCCAGGACCAGCTGTGAAGGGAAGATGTGTTTGTGTCTTCATTTTCCCCCACCTACTCGTGTTAAGCATTGAAGAACTGCAGAGCAGCACCAAAATCTTCTCTCTTAATTTTATATTTTGTGCTACAAATACCTTCTATTTTATTTACTAACAGTATGTTTTAGTGACTTCAACCCACAAAATTGCTTTGCATATTCACTTAACCTGACAAATACTTTTTACAGGCTTGTTAAGAGATTCATGTCCTTGAGATGTTTGGGAAGGGATTGTAATGCCCATCTTTCTTGGGCTCTTACTAGATACGTAACTTATAATGAAAAAAAGAAAAGAAAAGAAAAAAAGGCATAGAGCTCTACCTAAGCTGCTAAGAATATGCCATGAGCCTGATCTCTCAAAATGTTCTCCTTTTTCTCTCTCCCAGGGACGTAGGACAGTTTCTTGTGGATACTTAACAAACAGCTTTTGTTAAATATCTCTTATTTTTATAGATTCTTGTAATTTTCAGAGCACGTCCATGAATGTTATACTATCTGCTGTGCCTGACAATTCTGAGGAGGAAGATGGGTGGGAGCAGTTACCCTTAGTTTCATTTTGTCAGGGTGAGGAAACGGAAGCTCCTTAGGGGTCAGATGAATGTGAGGGCACGAGGTGGGATTAGAATCCACATCCTGTAATTTCTGGTGTTCAGGTCCTCATGCTGCCAGTACATTTCCAGGATCCTTCATCAGTTTGCCAGATAACAACTCCATGCTCTGAACATGATAACACATCTACGCTGACTAACTCTCAGGGCTGCTGTGGGTATCAAAGAGATGAATTATAAAAACATACTTTTAAAATGATGAAGCTATATAAATGTAGTTACTATGAAAGCATTTTTTATGTGTGTGTGTTAAATGCAAGGGGTCTATCTTCCTGAAACCATCATTAACCACTGGGATCTTACTGTGATCATTTGTTGGATATTCCAAAGTCCTAACTAATCCAGAATATTTAGAATGGAGGGTCTGTGGGAGAAGAATCCAGGGCAGTGGGATACCATCTGCTGAGAACAGAGGTGGTAGGGGAGCTCATATGAGAGTATCAAGTGCTGGAGTGAGAAGGAAAAATAATTCAAAGCCATTATTTGAAGTGGAAAGAAAATAACTTTTCAGTTTCTGGGACTAGACCTGCCTGAGTAAATCTAGGGGTGGGGTGGGGGAGGACACAGATTAGAGGTTTGAAGTGTGATTTGTTAGAGATTAGTAGTGTACAAAGTCAAAGTTTCCTATTAAAATACCCCCTCCCCCACATAAACACTCTCCATTCTATGGCTCCATGATCTCGTTTAATTTTCTTCTCAGCAGTGTTCATCCTCTGTGCTACCTGAAAGTTTATCATCTGTTTATAAGTACCAGTCTTACTCCACGGGAGTAGACATATCATCTGTCTTGTTTATCCCCCACCTCCGCCATGCCCAACACTGGCCAGTACATAGTGGGGGCTCCTTAAGTATCTGAGAATGAACGAAAAGAAATGCAGAATGGCTTGAAAGCCTATGCTTTGCCACTGGGTCATATTGCTTCCTTTGTTTTAATTTTTTAAATGGTATTTATCTCTTTTTTAATGACTTTATGAATGGTGTGGAGGAAAAACCACTTGAAAATTTGAGGATCAAGAATGCCACATTGCTTCAGAGACTCAGTTTGGGCTTCCTAGTTAGCTATTGGCATTGTCAAAATACAGTGTTTCATTGTGAATATTTCTTGTCATTAGTATTCCACTGTAGACTCAGTTCAGTTATAGAAGCTATAGATGAGAGAGCTTAATCTTTACTCTCAGGATAAGAATACTTGACATAGCAGAAAGTTATTGTCAGGTTCTTCTATGTGGTTTACCCCATTTCTCCCCAAAGCACAGACTAAACGGCAGGAAGCACGTCCAACCACTTCCAGCGCAGCCTCAAACCAAGTGCTGGTTCCCCTTGAGCAACCAGAACTGCAGTCTTCTAATGTGATAACTGGGTTAGTTTTGGGGTTCTGATTTGCCATATTTCACCCATCTGAAGGCTCATCATACACAGAATCCTTCACAGAAGGACATTTTCATGATCACTTGGCATAGTTGTGGTTACCTGCTTTTTTGCGACTATAACTCAGGAATCACAGGCTATGATTAATCCTCTGGTGGGCCTATCTGTGGACCCCAGTGGGGGTCATTTTAGTCTGGAGCTACAGCAAGCCTTTCTTGTTATCTTGACCCAGGATTTTTTACAATGATGACCTAATAATAGCTTATAATTTATGGAGGACTATGCCAAAAAGTCCCCTGGGCTCCAGAGAGGCAGGATGGGGTGGGGAGCAATCGAGGGAGAGAAAACAAATACAACACATAATTTCTTGAATGTAACTAATACAACCAAAATAAGCTGTTTTCTCCTTGAGTACAAAATACAGGATTTATAGATGCTGAGCTGAACAAAGGTTATAAAATACGGGCACTAACGGAGTTAGTGTTTTTAGATCATGTGCTAGAAAAGATGGGTGAACAATGCAAAGCATCTGATGGATTGAAATCCTTTTCTGGAATGAATCAGAGTATAAACAAGTAATACACAGCTTATGTTTCATTCCTGAGAAAAGGCAGGATGTGAGGTCTGTGTGCCGAGGAGCAGTGATGGGATTCCAGCTGGCGCTGTGCATAAATGCCAAGCACCATGATTTCATATCTATAATATGCACTACCCCAAACAGATATTAAAATTTTTTATGGCCACATGTAAGCTTTGCCTTTTAAATTGAGTTAGCATTTTATTTGTTCTCTTTTCTAAAAATACCAGTGGGCTTAAATTCATTTGTTTCTCATGCAGGGACCAGACATGGCAATGAAGTTTTGCTTTCTTATAGCCCCTATTTTCTTCTCTTGCATTTAGCAACAATGTGTCATTCTTTGTGCAGGGAGATCATGCACAGAGCCTCTTACCAATAGGCCTTGGTCTCTGTACTCTCTTCCTAATGGTTGTAATGGATTTGAATTGATTTAGGAGCCAGCAGTCAGCACCTACAGTATGACGTGCTGGGGCCATGAATGAGAGTAAGAAGCTCCATTTGTGAGAGTTGCCTCCTTAGCACTGTGTTGTGATCAACTGACTGAACTGGTCACCGACATTTGGCATTTGTCTATCATTAAACATCAGGTACTGCCCTAAGAGTCACAGTGCTAATTCTAAGCGCCATTGTGTGATCCCCACCCCCAGCAATTTGCAGTGTATGAACCAAGATTACTGTTGGGGGCAGGGTAGTGGAATTGTTTTAAAAAGGTGGACAAATCCATATATACACAAAACAATGAAGAACAAAAAATATCTCATGTAATTTACAAATATATAGAGAGAGATTCTGTGATGAATAAAACAAAATAATTTCAAAATCTTACAGAATCCATGGTAAATTCTGACACTATCATGTAGAGAATCCATGACATTTTTATATTAGAATTAGTCCTTGTGAAAAATAGAGAAAAGTCAAACCTATTGAGTCAGAAAGTACATCAGTGGTTGCCTGGGGCAGAGGGTGGAGATGAGGATTATCTGTAAATGGCCGTGAGGCATCTTACTGGGGTGATGAAATGTTCTAAAACTGGATTAGGGTAATGGTAGCAAGACTCAGTGAATTTACTAAAAATCATGAAATTGTATGTACTACAAATGGATGCATTTTATGGTATGTAAGTGATACCACCATAAAGCTGTTAAAAGATGCAGACTGAGACAGCATTAAAATAAAAACAACCCACCAGAAAACAGTGGTCCTTGAGATGTTTCATTTTTTTTTTTTTTTGAGACAGTGTCACACTCTGTCACTGAGGCTGAGTGTGATGGCATGATCATGGCTCACTGCAGCCTTGGCCTCCTGGGCTCAAGTGATCCTCCCATCTCAGCCTCCTGAGTAGCTGGGACAACAGGTGCATACCACCATGCCCAGCTAATTTAAAACTTTTTTTTTTTGTAGACACAGGGTCTCTCTATGTTGCCCAGGCTCATCTCGAACTCCTGGACTAAAGCGATCCTCCTGCCTTGGCCTCCCAAAGTGTGGGGATTACAGACGTGAGCCAGCACACCTGGCCACCTTCATTTCAAATGTGAAAAGGGAGAAATAAAAGTCATCAACTCAACATTATTTACAAATCATTCCTTAGAGACTGACACTCTTGTGAATGCTTCTGCTACACTCGATGCTCATTCCCTTTGCAATACACCCTGAGCCTCAAAAGAAAGGGAAATTTACACTCATTCACATAACACATGCATAACACCAACCCTCCAAACACAAAACACATGAACGCACACCTGTACAGCATGATGTTTCTACCAAGTGCCCTTGCTCTGGCCAACCTAGAGTATGTAAGAAGGCCTAGATAGAATAGAATAAAATATTTTTAGCTCTCTTCTCTTACACTGTGACTTTTATGGGACTGAGTAAAGTTGGCTGGTATGGGGTTGGGGCACTAATCCAAAGGCTCTGCAGGACTTCAGATTGGGCAGGACACATGCTGAGCATCCCTGCTCCCTGGACCACCTCCTGGTAAATGACATCATTGTTATCATCCTGATTCCCCTCCAGCTTTGTACTCAATGCCAGGTGCCCATGCAGTACTGCCCTTTGAGAGAAATAAGGAGTATGACTACCAACAAAAAACCCTTAAAAGTATTTAATAAAAAAACTCTTCCTTTGAGGAGAAAGAATAAAAGATGCAAAGAGCTTTGAAATGGATCTTTCCCAGGTTTTTACAGAATCTTTGGGTCGGCTGCATGCGGCCTATTCCCCACTGTTTCTTAGTATACGATAACAGGCAGTTATGGTGCCATTTATAGAGAAAATCTTGTAAATTCTGGTTGCTAGCCTTCTTTTGTTTCATTCTCTCCTCAAAAATGTTTGCCTTTGCAGGCTTCCTTTAACTCTAATGACATCATCTATTCATGGGAAAGTGTGCTGGAAAGTACAAAGCATTTAAACTCCAGACTGCTGCTTGCTAAAGTGAGGTTAAGATAAGGTCCTGTGGAAAGCCATTTGAGTGATTAGGGCTGTCCCGTGCTGCCCGTCTGGCAGTGTCCCTGGTTAGCTTTGCCTCTTGGCCTGACTGCAGATCTGAGGGTCCATTCAGCAGTACTGAACTTTTTTGGTAGTAAAGAAACGTGTTGCTTATTAGAGTATGTGAAAACAAAATATACTTGCCCTTTAGTAGCCTCTTGGGGAAACTGACACCATAGCCACTGGGAAATACTGGCTTAGGGTAAAGTCACTCTGTTTTCTTTTCCATTTAAGCTGATGTGAAATGTAGCCATCCAATTAAATATGTATGCACACTGTCACAATGGCACCTCTTGACACTGGCTATCTGACTTGAAATGTCAATGTTGAGAGGAGAAAGCTCATGGTCAGTGAAACTGCAGGAAACAGAAGCACATTTGGATATGTCCACCTCACTAGAATTCCTACCATAGGGAAAAATGAAGATAGGCTGAAAATTTACTTAGTTTTTCAGTTTTCAATTGCTGCAATGTAGCTAAGGTAAATAACCCAGGAGGCCTAACTTGTTTATCAGTGCATTGAAATAGAAAGTAAGGGAGATCCAACATTTTTAAGGGTCTACTATATGCGAGGCTCTGTGTTGGGTACTTTATAAATTCTCTCTCATGTAATCCTCACTACAACTCTGTGAGATGGATTTTCATGTTCCTATTATTCTGGCTTAGAGGAGTTAAGCAATTTGCCTCTGGGGATGTCATACATCTAGTAAGTAGCGGAGGGAGGGTTGGGTTTGAACACAGGTCTACCTGCCTCTCTAAAGCTCATGTTCTTTTATAACCCCTCAGCACGTAGTCATTGTGCTAAGACTTTGCATAACTTCTCTGAGACAGAGGCTGTTAACTGTCAATCTATCTGTGAGCTTTGCACTGAGAACAACACATCTATTTGAAGTAGGATGGGATGAGAAGAAATGATGGAATTAATCTGATTCCCTGCTGTCCTTCAAGGGAGCTCAGAATTCAGAATGACTGGGTACAGTTTCCCAAGGGGAACATGTTTGTGATGAGTGGGCATTTTTGTGTTCGCTCCTGACCACCTCTCTGCTGTTAAGAGTAGACTGAGTGTGTTTACTGGTTGGTGAGACCTTGGAATATTAACCTCTATGGTTCCCACTCCTACTTCTGCTCAGAGATCTAGAACACTGGAATGTAATTTCCAAAGCTGCCAGTAAGCCTGGGCAGAACATGACTGCTAGGAGGGTGTCCTCAACATGCCCTTCCTGGGCCCCACTGACCGGCACCTGGGTAGCTGTGTATCACAGCTGTGTTTGGTCTAGCTCGGGAAGACCAAATCTCTCTTTGTGTTCAGATTCATTAGTGGCACATGGCTGTGCTGATGAGGATTATCTTGGTATTCTATTTTTTTTTTTTTTTTTTTTTTTTTTGCCAGCTGGGTCAGAACTGAACATCTTTCAGTTGTCTTAGTGATTAAATTTTTACATACAGGAAATGCTAATAGTTTACAGGTATAGAACTGGATCTTGATTCATTTCTGAATTTTTTTGAAAGCATGGACTCCATTAGGTGTTTTTCATGCCAAACAGAATAATAGTTCCTGACCTTGAAGAGTTTAAATGTAATCTTACTGTTGCATGCCTTAAAAGTAAAAAATAATAAAATTGAGGTAAAGAGAGAAATTTAAAAATTTCTTAAAACGTTTGTGAGGCATATGGAAAAGAGCATATGCAATACTTTAAAAATAAGTCCAAGATGGCACGATAGAGTAGCTAAGTACCAGATTATAAAAACGAGAGATAACATGGATTCCACAGTTTACCATCCCTACAAACTTTGGCTAAATATGGACAAGTCATTTATTCTCTATGAGTTTTAGTTTCTTCATGTAACATGAGGATACTTGTATTCACTCTCCTATAAGCTATTAAGTGATTTTAGACAGGGCCACTGGAGTTACATCCAGGCATATTGTACCCTATACAGCTCCAGGAGGGTCACTCAGATTATGGGGCCTCTTGGAGTATGTAGCATACAACCTGCACAACCATACAAGTTACTTGATGGTCCACCGAGAAGTAAAGCGACAGGACCCAGTAAATTGTAAAGTACTTGCTGTTTAAGTATTCTACAGAATATCTTAGTTTTGAGAGTTATTAGAAGCCAGAAAATTAAAAACTGAAAAACATAAGCTATCAATAGCTAACTGTTTTTCTCAGTTACTAAAAATAATATAATGTTTTGTAGCACAGTGCTGAACAAACAGAAAAAAATATCATTTTCAGGGGAAGGATCTAAGCGTCAAAAAAAATAAAGGTTGAAAGGAGGCAAAATCAGTTCACATCACTTAATGACATAACCTAAGTAAGATAATAGATAAAGTATATACAGTGCTTATGCCTAGATATAGTGGAGCTTTGTGGTAAATTTTAAAAATGTTCCTTCTCTGCTCAAAACTTTTCCCATTTATTCTCATTTTCTGGTGTTTTCTATTCCTTTTGACATTTTTTTAGAGTTGATCTCAGTGTAAATAATGATAATAGTTTCCTGTATTTTATACCAATTTTCAGTTGATACATTCTCTGAGATCCATGCTGTTACTTAATCTTCTTGAAAAGTTTGTTTGAATTGCCATGTATCATTAGGCTGATTTTACAGGCCCAGAGAGTCAAGAAATTGGTTAAAGCCATGCAGTAAGTAAGGGTTAGAAGTCCAGGTTCCTGAATTCAGCTCTAAAGCTCTTGTCCCTCTACCCTCTTGGTGCACAGTCGTTAACACCACGCTAAGAGAACATGGTGAACAACCAGGGTAACCAGTTTTATATATCAAGTTCTTTCTATGGAATTCAGAAGTCGAAAAGTGTTGCAATTTAAAAATGACATAAATTTTCCCCAACATAAGGTTTTATTTTATTAAAAAGGTTCTATATACAAAATTGGGGGGGGGGGGGGTGGAAACCAAAACCATCTATTTCCTTCTCCTTCAGCCTTAAAATCCTTAGAGGGAAATAATTCATGTTTGACAGAATCCAAGGGATAAAAGAATATTCGAAACATAGGAAGGACACAGAAAATCATACAATGCCAGAAACTAAAGGACAGCCTATCATACCCAATTTTTAAGCTTTTCTGGCCCAGTAGCAACCAGCTGGTAGCAGGAACTAGTGGGAGAAGTCAGCAAGCATCAGGCACAACCCCCACCAAGACGCGCAGAGAAAGATGAAGGCAAGACTTAATGGGGCAAAAATCCCCCCCCCCCACCGACTCATCAGTATCTCAGAGTTCTCCCTGCAGTTAAAGGAGGATGCTTACTTCTATTTATTTGAATCCAATAGGAACAAGACATGAAAGGAAAGTCCATATTTTGAATCTGGGATATAAGCTGGAATGTCCTGGCCCAATATACCCAAGGCTTATCCAAGTAAATAACTGTAAGCTAAAAGAATGTCCAATGACTAGGTGGCCCTTAGTCCAAAAAAAGGCTGGGCTCCAAATGCTCCTTCTTAATTTTTTCCCTTTATTTTGAACCTGTTTTTCCATAGAAATAATGTGATACATAACATAGTGATACACTTGTGTTAGGCTACTGCAAAATTCAGCACTCCAGAGTATACCTAAAGTTTTTGTTTGTTTGTTTGTTTGTGTTTTTTTTTTTTGAGATGGAATCTTGCTCTGTTGCCCAGGCTGGAGTGCAGTGGTGCAATCTCGGCTCACTGCAACCTCCGCCTCCCGGGTTCAAGCCATTCTCCTGTCTCAGCCTCCCGAACAGCTGGGATTACAGGTGCCCACCACCACGCCCAGCTAATTTTTGTATTTTTAGTAGAGACAGGGTTTCAGCATGTTGGCCAGGTTGGTCTTGAACTCCTGACCTCAAGTGATCTGCCTGCCTCAGCCTCCCAAAGTGCTGGGATTACAGGTGTGAGCTACCGCACCTGGTCTACCTAAAGTTTTAAAAGTACTGGCCTGAGGTCTGGGTCTTGCGAGAAGGGATCATAGAAGAGAAAAGAATGAAGAAAATACCAAAAAAATACCTTGCTCCTCATCACAGTTCCCACCATAGCCAAAATTATGAAAGAGGAAAAATGTTTGTTCTGAGGTCCTCAGTGCTTTTAACTTTTGTCCCTTCTTACTACAATAACCGTCTCAGATATGTCCTATTCAAGAATAAGCAACACTAAAAATCATCTACTTACCTCCCTCAATAATTTCAATTCTTAACTGTCGCTAGAAGTTATTAGGAAGAAAGCAATCTGATTGAACCAACTTGTACTAATGTGTAAATGACTGATTTGTACATGTATTTACATATACAACCCAAAGACAAACACACAGATACACAATTGCATTACTTCTGTGTTAGCTAGGCACCATTCTAGGCACTAGATTAGTGGACAGAGTTAGAAAATAATAACATTCAAAAATAAGTAAACTAAAAAAATCCAGAATGTAATAAATATAGAAAATAGAGTGAAATAATACATAAGAACTGGTTGACTACTTCACAGTTGGTGATTATGAAAGGACTCTTTAAAGATATCATTTAAGATGAGATGTAATTGAAGACAAACAGCCAGTCTTGTGTAAATGAAGGGGATATGAGACAGCTAGTGCAATCCAAAGAAAGGAATGAGCTTGGTGTGTGGATAGAAAAAAAGGCCCATGGGCCCAAAGAACAGCAGGCAAGGAAGAGAACAGACTGGAAAGATAGGCAGGGGCCAAATCACATTGGTCTTGGTAAGACAGAGTGATGCTTTTCAGAGTTTATCCTAAGTTAAATAAGAAGTTACTGGAAGACTATAAGCTGTAGTCTGGCCTGATTTACCGCTTAAGATGATCTCTAGCAGAAGCAGGGAGACAGATAGGAGGCTACTGCAGAGATATGGGTGAGAGAGGACAGCTGTGTAGACTAGGATGGTGGTGGTGGAGAGATAGCTAGATGGGCTCAAACAAGACACACTTTATAGGAAAGGTCAGCCAGGTGCAGTGGCTCACTCCTATAATTCCAGCACTTTGGGGGCGGCAGGGGAGGGGTGGCAGGGGGATCACCTAAGGTCAAGAGCTTGAGACCAGCCTGACCAATACGGTGAAATCCTCTCTCTACTAAAAATACAAAAATTAGCTAGGCATGGTGGTATGTGCCTGTAGTCCCAGCTACTCGGGAGGCTGAGGCAGGAGACTTGCTTGAACCCGAGAGGCGGAGGTTGCAGTGAGCCAAGATCGTGCCACTGCACTCCAGCCTGGGCGACAGAGCGAGTCTCCATCTTAAAAAAACATAAATACAATTAAAAAATAAAGATCTGTAGGACCTTTGACCATGGGGAGGAGAAAAAGGAATCAAGGATACCTGGACGGAATATGACTTGTTCTCCTGAGAAAGGCAAGATGTGGAAAGAGTAGGTTTGGTTAAAGGATAAGGCCATTGGGCAGTAGAAATCAACAGTTCTGTTTTAGATACAGTAATTCTGAGCTGCAAATTACATGTCTGGCATCAATATAGGGAAGACAGCTAGTACATAAATCTTTCACTTAGAGGAAAATTGAGGCTGGGGATATACATTTAGCAGTCATTGGCATATAGATGTCATTTACACCATGGAGACTGATGTCCAGGAAGTAAGCATGGACCAAGATGAGAAGAAGGATGGAGACCAGTCTTGGGCTTACTCCAACATTTAAAGGTGGGAAGAGGCTACTTGGGAAGCCTCTTTCTCCAGAGAAGTAAGTCTGAAAAATGGTGATTTGGGAAGAGGAGGCCCTTTCTCTATTCACAGGCACGGGTCTTCAAGCTCTTGCCAAAACACCTAACATTGAGGGTAAGTGAAGACCTTTATGAATCCTTCTCTGCCAGTAGAGTATGAGCATTTGCTACCAGCTGGTGCAAGGAAGAAGCTTTGTCTCACTTGAAAATGTATAAGCTTTTCCCCATACATTTTGAATAGTATGGTAAAAACACTTTTGATGAGATATATAGATATTAATTCCTTCCTTGAGGCAGGAGGACTAACGGGAAAGTTTTCAATGTCCGTCTGGCCTTTAGAATCTAAGAATCCCAAAGTCTAACCTAGAAAGAAGCAGCAGAATATCAGACACTAGGAAAGAGCCCTTCTGTTTCAGGAAAAGTGCCAAAACATGGGCCTAGAGAAAACGCTGGGCCCCAGGACTGCTGCTGACTAAATAGTAGGCTATAAATGAAGGGAATTATTTTTCTTTATTCTTCTGCCTGTAGCAACTGGGCTTTGTCACCTAGAAACAATAGCATCATTTTTCTTAGGAGTCAGGATATATAATAAAACATTGCTCTGAATCAGCAGGGTCAAAAAATAAAGTCAGAAATGTGATGTTCATCCAACAGCCTGTTCAATTTTCAGTTTTTGGAAAAAATGTCTTTATATAGATATGATTGTCTGAGATTACCTCTGAATATATTGTTTGGGGAGCTTGCTGCACAGTTAATATTGCAGCAAATTATGGAATTCTCTCAATAACAGCACAAAGAAATCTGCGTCCCGATGGAAAGCATTTATGGCAGTGTAGGGAAACTGTTTCAACAACAAATGATTCTGTTGTATTTTCCCCAAACAGATTTTCTTACCTCTTGATGTCTCCACCTGGCTTCTGAGTTAGTTTTAAGTGGCAGAACAAGTGACTCCTCTAAACATGAAGGTTTGCTGTAATCCATAATTCATATTATAGGGAAAAATTTTAATTATAAGGCTGCCACAATTTTCAAGAGTTTCTTAAAACAAGAGACACACAGAGGCCTTTTGGAAGACTGACATTTAGAAAAAGCCAGCTTGAGGGTATATTGGATAAGAGGTATTGGGGAGTAAAAACACTTTCAGGAACAAGGATTTCAGATAGGAAAAGCATTTTTTAAATCCTTTTGAAAACAAGAGATGTATTTGGTTGGATAAACTGCTGATTTTGGACAATTGTTATAAGAGACCTAATTTTTGCCTTTATGATCATTATTTGCACATATTCTCCTCAGAGACTAAACCCATGACCAACAGCGTGTGCTAACTTGGACACAATGTGATTCAGTGACTTAAACCATAGGAAAAGTGGACTCCAACATATTTTCCTATAATTACCTCAGATAGAAGCAACGGACAACCACAATGTTGATTCCTTTGGTTTTATATATAGTCTCTAATCAAAACACCTTAAGAATATTTTAAGTTTTTCCTTCTGCTTGGTAAATTTCTGGTAACTCTGGAAAAAGATGCAAAGAAAAGGACCAATATGGAACTGCTGGAACGTAGTTGGGATTGAGAGGGAGTCTGCTCTTCTGTAAGGATCGATGGTCAACTGAACGACTTCAAACAGCCCTGCTTGCTAAGGTGAAAGTAAGAGAACCCTCTAGGTCTCCTAGCTCCTCCATTCCCTTAATTGGTTACCAGAAGCATGTGGAGTCTTTAATCAGAACCCCCAGGCAGGCAGTCAGTTGCATAACACCATGCCTTATGGCTGACCAGTATAAATCTGGATACTTCATCCATGGTTAATGAATGAAGTGTCCAGATTTATACTGTTCAGATCATCCTAACTTATTCAATATAAAAATCACCAGAAATACAATTTTATTAAATTTTTTCTATGTCCCAGGTGCTTTACTAGATGCATAATTTGCAGGTATTTTTTTCCAATCTTGACCATAATTCTGCATGTTAAGTATGATTATCCCTATTTTTTAAATGAAGAAACTGAGGCTCAGAGAGGTGAAGTAACTTGGCCACAGTCACTGGACGATAAATAGCTTCCTGAAGAAGAATAACTGGTGAATTTGAGTAGAAAGAAATACATGATTTAAACTGTAGTTGTTTTCAGACTCAAACCAAAAGTCAGGCTTGACAACTATGGCAAACTTTAGTAGAAAACAAAGTGACTATCTCAGGACTGTGGGAAATATGGAAAGTGGACAGTGAATAGCACCATTAGCACAGCTGTATTTGCTTCTAGTCCTGCCTTTTCCCAAGTCTACTGTAATGCTTGTCCTTGGCTTGGTATTTGGTTAAGAACGTGGGTATTGTTGCTCAAAGTAAAGGCTATATATCTGTCAAGATGCTAATTAGTGCTGGAGACTAGATCCAGAGTTTCAGTTACAATAAGCTCTGGTGTGTACCAGAGTCACTTGTGAGCTTTACAACCCACATTCCTGGGCCCTGTCACTCCTAGATCTTCCAGAGGTTGTTGATGGTTCTTAGGGATTTGTATTTCTTAACAAGCTCTCAGGTAATTCTGATCCCCACCAAAGTTTGAAAATTATTGCTATCAATGTTGTTTGGGAAGATGATGTCTTACTCAGAAATATGAGTAAACATAATAAAGTATAGTTGCAGGTCAGACAAAAAATTCAGCTTGTAAGGAATGCATGAAGGGATGTTCATGAAATATACATTTGGCCTGTCCACTTTTGTCAGGATTACTTTTTTCCTGTCTTGATCAATGCCTACTTTCTCTTTTGTCTCATTAATATTTGGGTCAAGAGAATATTTTATCAGGTCTCCAGTAAGTACGTTTTCCTAGTTACCTAAATGAATACAGTTTCATAGAGATCATTAAAATGTACCAAGTATATAAAAGACAGAAATTTGGTTCTTAAAGCTGACTCTATATTTTTGTTTTGTCTTTTCAAAAGTGCTCATTGCAATGGGAAGCTGATCTGAAAATCTATCCATCAAACCAATCTGGTCTCTTACAGGCCGTGGAGACCCTCTGGGGATCTGGGATGCTTTCCTGTCATTGCAATGACACTGACCGGCTTTTGAACCTTGAGAAGGGCCATGACAATGTTCCGGCAGTAACATTTATTTATACCTCAGGGCTCTCGTCTTTCATAGGTCTTGGTTTGTTATCACAGCCCTTGAAATTGTAGGAAAGAAAGTGTCAAGAAGGCAAATGAACTTCTGCTACTGGGGGAATTATACATGAATGTAATTTGTACCTGGCACTGATGTTCCAAGTGCGACGAACACGACTGCAGTCACAGAATCTTTCAGGCCAATGGTGCAGCCAAAGTGGGAAGCCAGGTCTCCAATGAAAGCTGTCAGTAGGCCAATCATGAGGATGGAGACAATGAAACACGCCCAGCCATTCCAGTATTCAGTAGGGGGGACGAAGGCAAACAGGACCTTCCAGAACACAGTCAGAAAGTGCATCACGTAATCGAAACAGGAGGGCAGCTTCTCTTCCCCACATTCATCGTCGTCATCATCTTCCCCTAGAGAGAATGGAAGGAAGCACATTTCATCACAACCTGTGTTGCCGGGTCTTCCTCTCTCTCAATCTCTCCTATCTAGGTCGGTCATCCCTCCACTCTGTGACAGGAGGCCATGAGAGGTGGGTGAAGTTTAGGGTTTTCCAAGAGTTAATCATAACTAATGAATTAGTTATCAAGACACTGAAATGCCTCTTACCTGTGGCTCATTGGTCAATGGCAAAAACTTAACCCCTACCCAGTTCTGCATCCATGCAATCAACACACCCTTTCTACTTTCACATCTGGTAAGACTTGTCACTTCAGAGAAATGAAAATGATTTATTCCAAAAGGCTGGCAAGCCCTGTGTCAGCCTGAGAAATAACCCTCTTTTGAAGAAAGAAAACTATAGATGGAGTTCTACTAGGGTTCTTTTCTTGCAACTTGAAGTCCAACTCTGGGTTATATAATCACCTACAGGATAATGTTCACACAGGGCCGTTAATCATGGCTCTGAGCCTTGCATATTTCTCCAGCGTCATCTCCTGCAACTATTTCAAACTCAAGCCTTGGAATTACTTGCCAAATAATTATATGCCAAAAAATGAAATTTATTTGCATTTTTCCAAACCAGATACACTTTCTCCTACTTTTGTTCTTTAGAACTAAATGTGCTTGGCATATCCTAATCGCTCCACCCTTATCCTTCCTCACCCATCCTTTAAGACTCGCTTCCTCTGTGATGCACTCTCTGACCTCCCCCCAAACCCATGCTGGGAACTCCTTCTCAGAGGAGCTTCCCAACACTTGTAACTCTGGATCAGTGGTTCTCACAATGTGCTTCCTGAGCAGGTGGCACAGAGAACTTATTAGAAATTCAAATGATCAGTCCCACTGAATCAGAAATTGGGGAGGGGGTGGACAGCAAGCTGGGCTTGAACAAGCCCTCCATGTAATACTGATGCATGGTCAAGTTTGAGAACCGCTTTTCTAAATTGTACATGTTCATGTTCTCTTCTCCAGTTGACTGAGAACCCTTCCAGGGCAGGAATTCATGCATCTTTGTGTCCCTGCTGTTTGATACCATCTCCAGCATGTGAACAAAGGTGGTTAAGTATGTATTAAATGAAGGAGTGCATGCAGAAATTTCTATTGACTTTATATAACTATGCAATTACCTGATATATATATATCACAATTTTGCCAATTAAGTCATATTATCAGTGTACAAAGAAATGCACAAAGCATGCTATTTAAAGGAACCAGGAAATCAATAATAGTAATCTAAAATGGAGATTTCACTTATGTGAAAATAATGCCCATTGACATGTTTTAAAATGAGGATATTGAATGTCAACTTTTCTTGAAGTGGTGGCAAATACATGTGTTATGTGGCCATTTTGGAAAGAAGAACATCTCCTTGAAGTCTTTGTTGACCCATTCCAACCTTGTCATCAGGGTGCTACTTTACTTGGTCCCACTAGTGCAGCCGGCAGTAGGTGGGGCTGCAATTTTCCACCTGAACCACGTGACCTGAGATGGCCAGCATGGAGCACACATGTATGGTCTTCGTGAGACACTCTGTGGTAGGCAAGCCATTGGGTGCAGATGATGATTGAGAAGACCCTCTGAAAGCACAAGAGATTTGAGGGAAAAACCCCTCTCAGAAAACATCTAAAGAGGAATGTCTGGATTTGTCCTCTGTCATTTTACAGGAAAAGAGAAGAGGCAATGGCCTGCTCTTTCATGAGCACATGGTTGGAATTATATGAATACACTTTGGGCGTCTGTGAAGAAAGCAGCCTCATCTTTGAGGCTTTGGATAAACTGCTGGGAGAAGCCATTGCAGATGAGTGGAATAGCCTTTGGAGAACTCCCCAGTGAGGAGCTTGAGTCAGGTCAGCTCATCAGAATGTTTGTGAGTGAAAAAGCATTGCTGACCGTTTGCTCTGCTGTTCATGCAGTATTTATTATATCAACTTTACCTGGAAGCAGAAGATACTTTTTAATAAAAACACCTGGTATGGGCTGCACTGTGTCTCCCCAAAATTCATATGATAAAGCTCTGTCATCACCTCAGAGTGTGACCTTATTTGGAAATAGGGCCTTTAAAAATGTAATTAAGTGAAAACAGAGCCATTAGGGTGAGTTCTAACCCAATATGACTGGTGTCCTTATAATAGGAAATTGGGATGCACAGGGAGATACCAGGGATGTGCGTGCACAGAGGAAAGACCATGTGAGTGTCCAGTGAGAAGACAGACATTTACAAGCCAAGGAGATTGGCCTCAGGAGAAATCGAACCTGCCAACACCTTGATCTCAGATTTTCAGTTCCCAGAACTGCCAGAAAAGAAATTTCTGTTATTCAAACCACCCAGTCTGTGGTATTTATTACAGCAGCCCTAGCAAACTACAGCAGCCCTTCAGAAGCCTCTCTATATCATGACGTGGAAATGTAGGAACAATTACTCAGTGTTTCTATTACCTACTCTTTTTTGTTTGTTTCCTTATACATTTCTTCTTTTTTCTTTCTTTTACTTTCCTTACCACTTCTCTTTTACCCTACACTTTAGCTCCAGGTAGAACTCCATGTTAGAGATGCAATTCTCAGGGTTTATTTGAAGGAGGAAGGAAGAAGAAAGTCACATTAATACATTCCCATTCCCAGGCTCTCCTCTTACCCACTCCCCATTCCAGCCGGGGCTGAGAAGGGTGCATATACTCAGAAAAGTTGAGAAAAAGCACTAGGTTTTCTAGTTATATTTATTTTGGATCCTATCCTTTTTAATTTCTATATTTGTGAACATTTTATAATTTCACAGGGCATATGAATAAAATGCTTTGGAAAGCATTTTAATCAATCATTCACAGAAACATGAACTATGCTGCCTTTTCTCTACAAAATTACTTAATTTGGGGCATCTAAATCTCTTATTTTGAAGACGAACAAGAGAACAAATAATGAAGCTTCTCAGAAGAAATGCCATTTATAAATTGAGAGTAGACATTATATTTGTCTTCAAGATGGAAATAACACCTTTCCCGTGAGAGATGTACACAGGAATAATTAGATCATGTTTGTAAAGTGTCTGAGAATATTTCAAGGTAATGATTATCATGGTAGTTATCATTATTTCCCTCCATTTAAGATTGTTACTGTGTTTCTCCATCATTATTTGTTTAGTCAACATGCTAGGTCCTAAGGTTACATTATAGGTTTTTAAAAACAAAAATTAATTTTGCCCTCTGAAATTACCTTCATGATCAATTAATGCAAAATGTGTGTGTGAGTGTGTGTGTGTGTGTGTGTGAGAGCGAGAGAGAGAGAGAGAACGTGTGTTCTTTCTGTAGGCTTCCAATATCACAAAGAATCTTAAATGTTTTAATGCATAAGTCTGGAATGGGAGGCCCATCTGCTTTTATAACATTTGAAAGGAAAGTGGCCTCCCATCCTTTTCTCTGGGATCTCACTGCTCTTTATAAATTTTAATCTCCAACTCAGACATCACTTAAATATTAAAAATGACCACGGACTGCCATGCATGATGCACAATTACCCTGTCTTGGGAAAGGACAAAGAAATATCATGTTCATCCATCACCATCTGGACTACACTTAAAAGTCTGTTCTTTCTTTGTGAAGAGTAGTGAAACATTAAAAAATCCTAGGAGCATCTTTTATGTGACAGCAAAAATGATGGTAGGATGCCTGTTCTGTGGTTCTGTATGTTCACCAGCCTAGGGTTCCTGGAGGCTACATAATTCTTTCAAGTCCCTTCTCTGTGTTAGAAAAGAAAGACAGGTTGGTGGGTTTGCTTTTATAGAATCCCAAGTAAATTCCTCTTATCTCAGAATCATTCTTTTCAGCTAATGGAAAATAACCTGTATTTGATTAACCCTTCCTATTGCCTTTTAAATGGCTTCCCTGATACACACTGGACTTCTTAAATATAACTACAAAAGTAACCAAATCATTAAAAATGCAGATAGTGCACAGGGTGTCAGTTCAGCTATTGATGTAACAGTACTTGGACCGTTCCTGCTCGGAAACATGAGAGCAAGAGCATCATCAGCATGACTGACGGTGAAAGACAACCCCCTGGGCTTTGCATATATCTTTCTTTTAAAGTAAACAGGTGTTTCTTTACGTGTCTCTCTACCTGCTCAGGGCTTGAATTCAGGGAGAGCTCTGATAACCAGAAAAAGAGACTGCTGGAAGGTAATGGACACGTGGGTCAGAAGACTTAAGCCACTTTATAGTTCTGACAGCTTGTTTTGGGGCAAGACACTTAAATTTCCCAAGCCTCAGTTGCTCACCTGTCAAATGAGTTTCCTAACTCCCATCTCTCAGAGCTGTTGTGGGGATTGGAAGAAGAAATGCTCAAGTCCTTTATAAAACTATATGCATCTTTATAGACAAATGTGCCATATTCCATTATTGTTACTTGTCTGAAGGAAGGCAGTATATCAATACAATGTGAGTATCCTGATTTCACTGAGTATATATTCTGTTTGAATGAGCCATTATCATTCATTTCCCCAAGCTGCTTGCTTTTAAGAAAAGAAAGAAACAGGAAGGGAACCTGGTGGGGTGTCTCTTAAATGACAGGCACTAAGCTAAATTCTTTCACATACCTGATCTTATTTCATCCTTAAAATAACACTGCAAAGTGGGCATTATTAATCCCATTATACATATGAAGATCCTGAAGTTCAGAGAATTTAAGTGACTTGCTAAAATAATCTCACACAGAATTTAAGTGACTGAGTTGGGATTTGATCTAACAGTCCAGGGAACATTTTACTATAGAAAATGCCTTATGGAAGAAAGTAGAGGAGTTCAGTATCACATATTGATTCGAAGTTTGAGTCGGAATTTTTTTAATGCCTAGTGTTATATAGATACAGTGGTACCTTTTTTTTTTTAGGAATGTGAAAATATTGAGGTGCCATAATTAATATTTGTATTCTAATACTTTCTAGATACGATTTTTGGGTTGTTTATTTCTTTGGCAGAGCCAGCCATAAGCTCTTTCTCAGACCCGTGGGGACCAAGAAAACATGGGAAATAAAACAATCAGGTAAAAGCAGGGGATCATGGTGTGACTGTTTTGGAACCTCTATTTTTTTCTATTTAAACATTTGTTTAAAATTTTATCATATGCATTTGAGATTAGCAATGTCATGTTATAAGATATATTTAGATAGTAAAATTATTATAGGGAGGCAAATTAACATCTATCATCTCATCTAGTTACTTTTTCCTGTGACAAGAGCAGTTGAAGTCTACTTATTTAACAAACATTTCTAATACAATTTCATTAGCTTTAGTCCCCATGTGGCCCATTCGATCTCTAAACATGTGCATCCTTCCTATCTGCTATTTTGTATCCTTTGACCTATGTCTCTCATTGCCTGCCCCAACCCCTGCCCATAGTAAGATGGTAACCACTGCTTCATTCCTATCTTGGTGTATTTGAGCTCTTTTCAAACATATATATTTTCCACATATAAGTGAGACCATGCAATATTTTTCTTTCTCTGTCTGGCTTCTTTCACTTAGCATAATGTCTTCCAGGCCCATCCATGTTGTGGCAAGTGGCAGAATCTCCTTTCTTAAGGTTGAATCATAAGGAATCTCTCCTTTAGAGTGTGACAAGTTCTTATTTCCATTTCTGGTTGCCAAAGGTCAACCATCCAGTTCTGAATCAAACATCTTGGTTTGCCTCTAGCTCATCACCCTTGAATTTGGGAAAGTGGCCTGAATCATCACAAGTCTGTATGTAAAGCGGTCTGGAAAATGTATGCTGCTGTTCATCTGCGGATGTGTCTGACTTTCGATTCTTTCCAGGCACTCAGTAGGCTTTCTCCTCCAGAATTATGACTTTTTTGCAACCTGACATACAGTAATTACAAATCAAATTCTACTCTCCTGTTACATATTTCTGTTTCTCTTTTCTTTAAAGGTTCTGAGAGAATCGTAAAGAATAAAAGATGAAAGACCTTAGCGATCAGCTAAGAAAAATAAAACAGAATGGTGATTCAATTGATACATTTTTGTTCCCTAGTTTGCATCTGTATATATCTGTTTGTGTATGTGTGAGAAAGTGTGTATGCATGTGTATGTGACGCCATAAGGGCCAGCAGTTTTTACTGTCTTGCTCATAAAATGATCTGAAACTTCTTTTCTTTCTTTTCCCTTTTACATGCTTTTACCTTATGTCTAGTGACACCTTATCTCTTCCCACTCTTAATGGCCTCTGCCACTAAATTCAGTAACCCAAAGATTTATTCCCAAACAAGAGTTGATCTCTCTTTTTTTTGTATTTTGGAGATGTGCAATAAACATTTCTCTATACCTTAATTGGTGGGAAGTACTTAACATATTCTCTGATGCAAAGTAGATGATGTCAACAACTTTTCTTCTAAGTATATTGGAAGACACTTCCTATCAACGATAGCTCAGAAAACAATAGGTTCGAATTCCTAGATCTATGAGTTGCCAGTGCACAGAAGAAAATGTAGGCATTTTCTTCTACCAACTGAAACGTGGGTCTTAGAAAATACCTGAGCTTAAAGCTTTAGGAGGGTTTTGCAGTGTGCCAAGTTCAACCCCGGCTTAATGTGAATTTCTTTAAAATTTCTCTGCCGAATGGTTACTTGTGCCACTTCTGAGAGTTTCAGCTATTGGGGAACTCATAATCTCACAATCCAGGTTTAGAGTCTCTGGCAGTCAGCTCAGGCTGTTAGGTTCTACTCATTTGTCCAGGCCCCATCCCCTAGGCCAGTGGTCTCCAAACTTTTTGGCACCAGTGACTGGTTTTCTGGAAGACAATTTTGATGGTTTTGGGATGATTCAAGCACATTACATGTATTTTGCACTTTATTTCTATTATTGTTATGTACTCACCATAATGTGGAATCAGTGGGAACCCTGAGCTTATTTTCTTGCAACTAGATGGTCCCATCTTTGGGGGATGGGAGGCAGTGAAAGATCGTCAGGCATTAGAGTCTCATAAGGAATGCACAACCTAGATCCATCACATTGGATATTAATACTATTGTACATAAAATTTGAGTTCAAGTTTGCTATATATTTGTAACTTGGACTACTGGACTGTTCTTGGATGGAGAAGACACTATACAGGCCCCATTAGCCATCCCTACCCGCTTCTTCCAAGCCACAGCTAATCTGTGGGCCATACTGTCCCACGGGACTAGTGCTACTTCTTAAGGGGTTTGGGCCAGGTGATGTGTGACAGTATTGTAAAGGGCGTCAAGAAGGCAACTCACTCTCTGTTAATAACTTTCAAACCTGGCTGAAATGAATGAACATCTAGATGAAATCATCCACAAAAAACAGAATGCTTACAAGCTTAAGCCATTATGGTCTTTGTTGGGGTGGTTAACATAGCACAAGAAATATTTAACGTGACAGAAATATTTCTCAGCAAATGTAGCCACTGTCCAAATGAAAAACGGATTCACTAAGGAGTTCTAGCTCCATGCAAGTTCGATTATTACCAAAACAAATCTGTTTAAAGCTGAAAATTGATGGCTTTAGTGTCTCTTGTTCCTAAAAAAAAATCCGCTATATGAATTGGGTGTTCCTAAATTACAGTTTAATGTAATTAGTCATGTGTGTTTTTGCCCCAAGCTTGGTTGTTTATAAAATAACTCCAAGTTAGGGTAAGAATCTTGAAATTCAGAGTGTTCTCTTACCCTTAACTAATTGTAGGACTGACAGAATTCCAAGCTCCCGAAATAGGGAAACATTCCCTGTAGACTTGAATACCTAAGAAATAAGGCTTTGTCAAGTAGAATTGGTACTCAGCAAGTGTAGATACCTCCTGCTAGTGTAGATGGTTTAGTTACAGTGGGAAGTATGTGGGCACACCAGGTTCTAAGACTGGCCTGAGGACTCTGATAACACTTTGTAAATATCACCAGCTGTGTCTAAATTAGCCTCCTGTAGTGTGGGAAGCTGAGTCGTGAAGCAACTGTTTGGGCAGTGATAACCCTATAATTTTTAACAGACATATCAATGTTATGTCCTAGAGAATGTTAACATGTATATAAAGGGTAAATGTATACCCAAGTCTGCTCCACATGCAGAGGGGCATAAATGCTGCCCAGAGCCTCTTAAGATGCTGCTATGATTCATCTATGAATGCAGGTTCACTTACTGAGTGTTACTTTTATGCATGTAGGTAAAAGTGTACATCCCACTTAGTCTTCATCCTCCCAGGAGCCTGCTGCAGTAGGTATTATTTTCTCTGTTTTAGAGATGAAGAATCTGAGGCTCACACCATTTAAATGACTTGCTTATGAGATCTAAAACTCTGTCACCTCGCTACAATTACATGACCCATGGTTTCCATAGAGAAAAATCTCTGTGGTTTGTACAGCAAAAATTCATTCTGATAAAATGTAAGCTCACTTAGCATTGTTTTATGAAAAGTGTAATTGGGAAATGTCTCTCCTCCTTAAATTAACTCTCTGGATATGATATAATACACAAAATACTATATTGTTCTTTCAGAGAATGAATGGCTGGCTCAATTTTATTCTTCCTGGAATTTTATTTAAAAAAATGCATCTTTATGCAAATCCTCTATTCGTGATTTATTTCAGCCTCATTGGGAAGTGGGATTCTCCTCATTTTGGTGGCAAACATCTGTCTCTCTGGGCAGCAAATGGAAAGGACGCTGGCTCTACAGCAATGACAATAACACTCTCATAACTCTTTTCCTGATCTCAGGATCTCCTGAATGGACTCTGTTCTGAACATAGGGTTTGAAAGTTGACGTTTGAGCAAAGTGGTGATGCAAATTGAGTAACAGTCTAATGATGGCCTCGGTTTGCACAATACAAAGTGATGGCAGTTGCTCAAGGCACCCCTCATCTGCCTGTTCCTCTTTCCTTCTTTCTGTTGTGATTTTTTAACGAGATCTCAGTAAACACGGCCCTCCACTGACCGTAAGGTCCCATGATTTACTTGCTCTTGGCCACCTCACAGATCCTGTGTGCCTCAGTTTCTCCTTCTGGAAAATGGGCATAGTCAAAACCAACTTTCTCTTTTGTGCTATTGGAAAGGTATAAACAAGATTTTTAAGAGAAGTTATATGCTTACATATAGTAAACTTAGTTTTGGCTTGAGGGAAATTAGCTGATTGGTGGAATTCAGATGGAGCATCTCCTTCCCTCACTGCTCCTGAACACTTCTATTAGAGGGTAAGTAGGCTAAGGTGGGTGCTGACAATCTTGTTTGTCTGTCTGCCATGGCTTTCTTGTCTCTCATAAATAGTAACCATGCATCACGATGTTGTGATGTTTTTCTTCAATATCAGCCATCTGGAAAATCTCTCTTTCCCTCCTATTGTCAATAAGTCAGTGGCCTATCTTTTTTATTTGGTCAAGGCCTGGTGCATATTCTATTAAGTCTGTAGGTTTGAACTCTAAAATATTTTGGGTCACTGTTTTGCACCTCAAGCCCAGGCTGAACCCCTAACCTGGACCTCTAGGAAATCTTCAAAGGGAATGGGATGGTTGGAAGACTGACTTTATTAGTGCCACTCATTTCTTTAGTAAGTATTTATTGTCAACTTATGTATCAGGCACAGTTCTAGGCATTGCAAATGCAGAAAAATAAGATCCCTGATCTCATAGAATTTCCATTCTGGCAAGGGGAGATAGTAATCAAAGTAAACAAATAACAAATATAATATGTAATAATTTCAGATACTGATATGAGTTATGAATATAATGAAGTCTGGTGACTGGGAGGCCGAGAAACCCCTCTGAGCAGTTGACATGTGAGCTAAGACTTTAGTGAGGAGAAATAATCGGATATGGAGGGAAAGTATTCCATGCAGAGAAAATATCTCATGCACAACTGTGTAGAGAACAGAAATATGCCTGTGTCCTACTGGCATTAAGCTTTGGGAGGCAAGTGTGACAAGATGGAAAGAGGATTGACTTGGGAATCAGAACTTGTGGGTCAGGGTGGGAATCCCAACTTCAATTTCTCCATTTCTTGTAAATGGGTTCATGAGTAGCTACTGCACGAGGCTGCTGTGGGGCTTATGTGGATATAAAACAACTATTCACCAATTGGGAGACCATTTGGTCACTCAGTGCTGCTAAGGTGTTGGTCAGGAAAGCTTCAATCTTTGCTTTGTCTAATCCTAAGGCATCACATCACCAAGAAGCCCATTGGTCAGTAGGTAACATCAGAGGGCAGACATGGAGTATCTGATGGTTAAGGCGTTGGTTCTACAACTCCAGAAGAAAAATGAGCAATGCTTTATGGTGCAGCAGGAGCCTTGGGTTCTAAAACAGTCTCTCTGTGATCTTGGAGGAGACTCCCTCTCTCTGTTCTCAGGTTCTTATTTGTTAAAAAAAAAAAAAAAAAAAAGGCAAGGGGAGGTTAGAATCACTGCTCCTTTCCAGCTCGGGGCCAGGATTCTAAGATGCTCTATCTAACAGGCCATAAGACACAACACCCAGCCAGACCTGACCAGGCAAAGGCAAGGCAAGGGAGAAGCATGCGGTGGGATGTATGTGCCAAGGTTGGTTCACGCGAGTGGCTTTTCATTGCAGGAGTTGGAAAGACAAGGTCTTTATCAAGAGAGCAGGCTGTGAACAGCAAGAAGTAATGCTGCCAGTCACTTTTATGTGGCTCCTCTCTGCCTATGGAGAGTGTTTGTGTGTGGTGGAGGGTGGCTATGGTTTCTCTTCCTTCCACTTCTTTGGGTTAGGCTGCAATGTTTCCCCTACTGAAAACAGCATACAAAGGCTCCCGACTGGGGATGAAAAGTCCCCTCATGCCTCACACCTTGATTTGCAAGCAACAACTAAAACTGTATTCACATTGCAGCAGCCCATGCCAACAAAAGAGCTCTTGGACCCAGTGATGGCACATTGTTTGCAGAGCAGAGCTGCTGCCACCCCAGACAAAACTGCGTTAGAGACACGACTTCGGGCATACAAATAAGAGTGCTGAATCATTCTAGAGCCCTTCAATACGGTGTTTTCCTCAAGATTTTATAATACGCAATTTAAGAGAAGAACAGACCAATGAGCCAATATTCTTTTCAGAAACATCAGCTAAAGCATATCCAGAGGCCAGAAAATAATTGCTTTTTTTCTCCCACCCTCTCGTACTTCCACCTTTGTTTCTGGCCTGCCTTGTTCTGGAAGTGGAAACTGTAGCTACCTGATTCAACATTTTCTCCTGCTACTGCTGCATTTTTAGATCGACAGATATCCTAAATTTGCTTTGCTCACCTACTAGTATGTCCCTAGAATATCTCCCA
Source organism: Homo sapiens (assembly GCF_000001405.40). NCBI lineage: Eukaryota > Metazoa > Chordata > Mammalia > Primates > Hominidae > Homo > Homo sapiens. The sequence goes on from NC_000002.12 coordinate 40,150,973, forward strand.
TAAATAGTTTATATCTGGAACTTACTCTGTCTTTCTTCTTAGTCATGTCCTCCGCTTTTCCTCTTAGGATCATCATTATCAGCTACATAACAGTGAAATTTTACTAAGAATACTTAAGAACACTGAGAGAAAATGTCATTTTATATTTGCATGTCCAATTTGCAAATACACAGATAAATATATCTTATGTGTACAAATATGTGAAAGTTCACATCTCCATGTCAAGTGATATGAAGTTTGACATAGAGAAAACAAATGTCTCAAACTCCTTTTGAAACATGGCGTGTGTATGGTGCGTGTGTGTGTGTGTGTGTATGTATTTATATAGATTGTTTTCTAGATCAGACACAGTATGATGATGTCTTTTAATCCAGTTATATACGGATTGGAAAACTTTAATTCACAAATAAATGTATTCATTCTTTATAAAACAAAGACTTAGCATTGCCAAGCGCTGTCTTAGTGCCAAGCACTGTCTTAGGTGTTAGAGAAATAGCGATGAACAGGGCAGATTTGCGGTTGTTGTTGTTTTTTTTTATTTAGATTCTTCCTACTTCTAAGAGGACTTGAGCAGATCTGTTCCTATTAATAGAGCATAAGATATTTTAAGACAAAAATAGGACAAAAAATGTCTGAAGCAGAAATAAAGGATGCTTTTAGTCACCTGAGTTGACTGAATTTTGAACACGTAGATTAAAAAAAGACTGTGCTTTCCAATGGCCAAAGCAATTTAGAAACCATTGAATTATATAGTTATGATCTTCCAGTTGCAAGGTGACAAAAATTAATTTTCTAGGGAAAAAAGCTTCTCTTTAGGAATTTATCATGTTTTCTTTAAAGTTTAGTGAGTGGCATTGTGAGGTTTTATAAAAGATAAAGTACTAGTTTTCAAATGTCATACATTAAAGATAAAAATTAAAATTACAGATAAGTTAAACTCCAATGAGGGCAGTTTTAAAAGAGGCTCTGATAAGAACTTTAAGATTTACTTTGTGATATCCAATTCTCATCAAGGATGAATGGCTATTGAATTCACTTAATGTGACCATTAAACAGTGTATTTTAAGCACCAAATGTCTTAAGTGACATATTGTGAAGTCAGTGTAATTACACACTTTAACATGTATTCTAAGGTAGGTATTGCATCTTGATTAAAGTTAGAGTCCTAAATTTCTTTCTTTTTATTAATAAAAAGGAAATTCTTTATTGGGGGCATGACATGCACAGAAAGTATGTATTTCTTGAAAGGTACTTGAATCTTTTGTATCACTCTCTTACATAAATTCTGGTGCAGCAAACAACCTTCCAATATATAGTTGTTTATGTGCAATGAATACAGGTTAGAAAAACCTCCAACATAGTAAAACAACAGATAAATAGAGTTAATGTGAGGCAGAAGAACAGGCGTGAGACTTGTAGTTTGGATACTACCTCTGCAGTTTTTTGTTTTGAGACACAGTCTTGCTCCGTTGCCCAGGCTGGAGTGCAGTGGCATGATTTCGGCTCACTGCAGCCTCTGCCTTCCAGGTTCAAGTGATTCTTGTGCTTCAGCCTCCCTAGCGGCTGGGATTTCAGGTGTGCACCACTACGCCTAGCTAATTTTTTTTTTTTTTTTGTATTTTTAGTAGAGACAGAGTTTCGCCGTGTAGACCAGGCTGGTCTCAAACTCCTGGCCTCAAGTGATCCACCAGCCTCAGCCTCCCAAAGTGCTGGGATTACAAGTGTGAGCCACTGCACCTGACCTCCTCTGCAGTTTTGAATAAGATGGGTCTACCAAGAAAAGCAGGGTGGCAGCTTGGGTGGGACACTCAGCAAGACCTGGATGTGTAATAATTACACAGAAGCCAGGCATGGTGGTGCCTGCCTGTAGTCCCAGCTACTCAGGAGGGTGACACTGGAGGATCACTTGAGCCCAGGAGTTCAAGGGTACAGTGAGCTATGACATGCCACTATGATGTGCCACTGCAGTCCAGCCTGGGCAATGGAGGAGACCCCATCTTTTTTAAAAAAATAGAAGAGAGACTATAACTGAGATTTCAAATTTCCAAATTCAATTTTGTCAGTACATTTCAAACCGAGAAAATGTCCTAAATGTAATGAACTAGCTTACATTTTAAAAAAATATCACTTACAAGGATGGATTGGATAATTTAAAGATACCTGTGAAGTAAAATTAGTAGTAATTTGTGTGATAATTTAGAACTCTAAATTTCAAATAGCAGTTACACGGAAAGCAAGTTGGCATTTTATTTATGAGAATGAAGGGTCTTTAAGAGACCCTTTAGTATTTCCATGTCCTAAAGACAACTCACAAGGTCATCTCTTCTAATGCTATTAACTCACAGGGGAGGTTAGAGGTCTTGTCCAGAGCCCCATAACTAATTGGTGGCTGCACCAGAATTCATTGAACTCAAGTATCTAGAGAAGCCAAAGATTCCAACAAATAAAGAATTTAAACACTTTATTTGTCATCCATGTTATATGTACTCTGTATCACAGAGAATGGGAATCTTTTAACTCTACACTGAAACAAGGAATAAGAGCTAAGTTGGATGGCAGCAGTGTTGCTCATATCTCCTGTTGGTTTCAAATAACTACTATTTGACCTTTGTTCCTACCTTTTTCAAGCATGCCAGTGATTCCAAGCCTGAAACAACCTACCTACCTAGATAACTAATAATATCACAGAGAAAGAGCAGGAGCTTGGAGAAAAGGCTGGGCATTGATTCCATTTTGTTTCATAAGACCTGACACAATTTCTAGCTCCAGATATAAATACAATTCCTACACCACAAAAACATTCCTTATGATGGGATTTAGTCTGGACTTTCTAGGAAATCCAGTAACTGATCCTGCCTACTTTCTAGGACTGATTCTATTCTTCCTGGTCCTTCTGCACTTCTGTCCCAGGCTTGCACACTCATTTCCAAACCCTTACCTTCCCCATGTGTAACTGAGATTAAAAGACTTGTTAACTTCATCCCTTTTGTCCTGAATTAACTCATCTGAAATGTGAGCACTTGAAACCTAAACTAAAGTTGTAGGAGGAACACCTAGGATTGAGCTGAAAGCCTACTGGAATTAGACTCACGATGATGGGGTTTCATATTCCAGCTAATCACTTGCTAGTTGTGTGACCCTACACAAGTTACGTAACCACTCTGGGCCTCAGGATCCATAGTTGTTAACTTTGGGAAAAATGACATAGCTCAGAATATAGGTGAAGAACAGAAATAATGCCTACAAAGTACCAGCCATGTCATAGAAGCCAAATGGTAACATTAAACAAAAAGTGGGCCACAATTTTTAATTTATTTTTATTTATTCTTTTTTTTTTTTTTTTTTTTTTGAGACGGAGTCTTGCTCTGTCACCCAGGCTGGAGTGCAGTGTTGAGATCTCGGCTCACTGCAAGCTCTGCCTCCCGGGTTCATGGCATTCTCCCGCCTCAGCTTCCCGAGTAGCTGGGATTACAGGCACCTGCCACCATGCCCGGCTAATTTTTTTTCTTTTCTTTTTTTTTTTTTTTTGTATTTTTAGTAGAGATGGGGTTTCACCGTGTTAGCCAGGATGGTCTCGATCTTCTGACCTCATGATCCGCCTGCCTCAGACTCCCAAAGTATTGGGATTACAGGTGTGAGCCACTGCGCCCAGCCAAAGTGGGCCACAATTTCACACTCATATGTCTTTGACAAAGTTTTCTTTTTTGTTTTTGGAGTTAGGGTCTTACTCTGTAGCCTAGGCAGTCTAGTGGTGCAATCACAGCTCACTGCAGCCTTGAACTCCTGGGCTCAGGTGATCCTACTGCCTCAGCCTCCTGAGTAGCTGAGACTACAGGCATGCACTATCACACCCGGCTAATTTTTTATTTTTTTGTAGAGATGGGGTTTCACTATGTTGCATAGGCTGGTTTTGAACTCCTTGGCTCAAGTGAGAAACTTTCTTAGGACAGTTCTACCTACTTTTGCTCATGAGACTAGCATCCTTCTTCATGAACCTCAGTCAACATATGATTTTAGACAAAGGAAAATTATGAATGTTGATATCACATAAGAAAAAGGGCAAAATGAGAAATCCCATTGGTAACACCCTCCTCCTTTTTTTGGTTGTCTTCTAGACACACTGAGGCTATGTCAAATCTGACACAGCAGAATTATTATTATTATTATTATTTTTTGAGATGGAGTCTCGCTCTGTCACCCAGGCTGGAGTGCAGTGGTAAGATCTCTGCTCACTGCAAGCTCTGCCTCCCGGGTTCACGCCATTCTCCTGCCTCAGCCTTCCTAGTAGCTGGGACTACAGGCACCCGCCACCACGCCTGGCTAATTTTTTGTATTTTAAGTAGAGAGGTGGTTTCACCGTGTTAGCCAGGATGGTCTCCATCTCCTGACCTCGTGATCCACCTGCCTCGGCCTCCCAAAGTGCTGGGATTACAGGCATGAGCCACCGTGCCTGGCCCTAGCAGAATTTTTAACTGCTTAAATTGGATTTTCAGATGACCTAAGGCTACCACAAGGATTAAGTAATGACAATTTCCCCATAGTAATGATGTTCAATAACAGACGAGATGCTGAAAAGTCTCCTGCTTAGACCAGATTTCACGGCAATCCCTTGAAACTCATTTGAGGTACCATTTTTATTAAGACTTTTAGAGTAGATTAGCCTTCAGGCTGATAGTCAAGTGAATTATTGTCCAGGGGACCACTGAGTTGACAGTATTTTATATTAAATAATTGAGGATATTAATCCACAAAGCATGCATGGATGGACTGATGACAGAAGCGTCCTTTAAACTGAACTAGTATCCATATTGGACTGGTGGGCTAAGGTGACATGCCCTCTACTTATTTATTTAGCTGGAACTGGGTCACTTTAATTTGCTGTGAAATGTAGTGAGTGTGGACAGGTCAGCAGCATGCACCAGCTGGGCCTCATGTAGAATGTCTTCCCTTGTACTGTAGAAGATTCCACTGGCATTCCCGAGATCCAATTATGTAACAGGAAGATAGGCACTTCTGAATCATCATCTCACTTGGCTTTCTTTGAGGCTAAACTTCAACTCTCCTCTAATCCCCTTCCTTCTAGAAGAACAGAAGTGAAGTGTATGCTGCTATTGTGCTGAATATTTAGTTTAGGCAAGCCAGAGGATGGGCAAGATATGCTTTTCCATTGTCAAAATCCAACGGGCCATGAAGCAAAATCCCCATCAGGGCTACTGTAGGACTATAATGGCCATCGACAGAGCTCCCATGTTTCAGTATTGGATGGTATCTTAGAGCTAGCCTAGTCCAACTCTCTCCTTTTCCTGATGATGAAACCAAAAATCAGAAGTGTTAAATTCTTTGCCAAGATTATACAGTTGGTAAGAGACAGAACCAAAACTGCTGGAGTTTTTTTTTTTTTGAGTCACTTTTGAGTATTCTTTCGTTATAAAGATGCCAATACATACTATGTCTGATATGCAAATGGATATGTCAAAAGTAAAACAATTTCAGGAAACTCTTTAATGCTGGATATTTAACATTAGGTAAAAGAAAGAGGGAGGAGTGTGTTGACTTCAAAGAATGTCACAAATTACTAGGCAGGATAAGCCTATGGGTGCACCTAGGAAAACAAATTCTTCCCTTTGTTCTTCAGGGAATTGACTGGCATCCTCCCCAAGGAACTTGTGCACTGGACTATAAGGAGACCTAACAAATATTAAGGAAAAAAAAAAAACATTTCTATTTCAAGCTGCGGCTCCAATATCCAAACAAATATCTACTATATAATGTGCATGTCTATGTATGCATGTTTTGTGTATCTTTGTCTTTGTATGTGTGTATGCCTCTGTGTACGTGCATACCTGATTTGTATGTGTGTGTCTGTGTTCGCACAATGCATGCATGTCTCTGCGTACCTGTGTATACGTGTGTTCTACATGTGTGTTCACTCAGGCCTCATGCACAGCAAGCAAGTGCACCCTTCATGCTGGAGAGACTGTTGGGCTGATTTGTTGCCTGGTACTGCCCCTTAACAGTTTTGCTTCTTGAGCAAGTAGTTACATTGTTTTTCCAAACCTCAGTGTTCTTATTTATAAAATGGTATGCATGATACCATGAAAGAAAGAAGTTAACCAGTGTGTTTTTAGTCCCATAGCTATTTTATTAATTAAATTGAATTAACTGCATTTGCACAAAATTTGATCATATTTTATTATAGGTTCTATAATAGAATTGCCTCCCAAACAACCAACTTTGGCGTTTCCATGTACAGATGGCCTTTGTGAAAATGCATACGGTTTAAATTAATTCTTATGGCAGCTCTATGAATAAAGCAGTTATCTCTACTTTACATATGAGCAAACTGAGATTCTGAGGTGTGAGCGAACTGAGATCTTGAGGTGTAGTAATCTTCCTGGAGTCATCCAGGGAGGTTTTGGAAGGCAGGGACACAAACCCACACCTGTCTCCAAAGCCAGCCTTGCAATCATTCTCTCCTTTGCCTCACCTCTGCCCAAAGCTGTTGTGAAGAACAATATGGTGGTTGTGGAACTGGCACTGGCATCCTGGTTCCCTTTATCCAGCTAATGTTTGCCCTCTTCTCTGACACACTTGTTTCCCTTGATACCTCAGCTGGCACACGATTTTTTAGAGTCGACTCACCATTCTGCCCTGGTAGAAGGAGAGAGATTTGGGAAAAACTCAAACTGGACAGGGAATGCTGGCTTCATGGAGAAGGGCATATGCTGGCACACTTTAACAGCACCTCGTGGTACTGGACTTGCCTTGCAAGTTTTGACAGCCATTGAACTGCAGAACCCACTGTTCCTAGTGTTCAACCCAGGAAGAAACAGAAGGAGAACTGCCAGGATGTAACTGCTTAATCGCTTCCTAATCTCTGGATTCTCATAAATCCTTTAACTCTTCAAATATGGAATTAAAAGAACTGGGTTGGCAGAATCATTATGGTCACAGGAGGCCCAAGTACTGAGCTATGAAATTCAGAAAAAGCAGAGGGACAAGAAGATTGCCACAGGGTTGACTTTGAAACCAGTTTGAATACAGTTACTGAGAAAGAAAAGCAAATCCCTATTTACAAAATTATTATTTTTGTTTAGCGAGATATATTGAGTTAATTTTGCACAGAAAATTGCATAGCAAAGAAACCTCTCAGTAGAGCCCTTTAAAAGCAATTTAATATTTGTAATAAGGCAAATTGTACTGACTCTCAACTATTTAGCCATGAAATTTTAAAATCCAATGAAAGTCTGACTTCAATAAATGCTGCTTTACAAATTTTATTGCCTGTGTAACAGCCTAAGAATACTGACATTCTTTAGACAGTTAAATTTAATCATAAAGACAAATACTCAACTTTTGAAACTGCCCTTCATGTAATTGCGTATAATTTGGTGCTTTTAAAACATGGGTTTGACTTTCTGATATGTTGTTTCTCAAAATTGTAAATAAGGTCGATTTACCCAGCAGCCTGCGAATTTCTAAGCAATTGTGCCTTATTTCCAAGCGGTCATTTAGAAACATAAAGCACAATATATTGTATGACAAGAAGACTTGAGAGGTTTCATATCTCAGTTATTAACAATTCTTCAAAAGCTCTAGGCAGGAGTTAGTTCCATCATGAAATGATGACACCATGGCCGCAGGTAATGTGACGCGGCCAGTCTCTCTGTGAGAGTAGGGAGCAATTTTCCTCATTTTGAAATTTCCTTCTTCTAAAGGGCAGTAGATAGCACACTGGACCAGTCTTCATTAGATATAGGATCTAAGGTCTGTTCTAAAGACATGTTGCCTCTCTCAGACTCAGATTCTTCCTTAATTATCGTAAGATAACGATAATTATAATATTAAACACAACATATGAAAGTGTTTGCAAGTCAAAATCCACCTCTTTTAAGTAAGGCAGTATTAACATCTTTATAGTTGTTTCTCTGTATACCTATTCTCACCAGAATCAAACACATGACACTGGCCTTGTTGGCAGCATAATCCCATTCACTGTTTAAAGCTGCCCTTTTCTATTGCTATAGACTGGTCATAAAATGTTTCCTTGTTCTTGAGAGTCATAAAACTATGTGAATGAACCAACGTAAACCACTCCTCTGCTAGAAAAGCAAATTTGGCCTTAATAGGTCTATTGATGGGGTCATCTCGGCCATCTCTCTGAAATTGCAGACTCTATACGTATTTCCTGTTCCCTTCCACAGCTTTGCTTTCCTCTATGACAAACTTATCATCATAAATATACTTTACTTTAATGTATCTGTCTGATTTACTGTATCCTCCATTAGACTGTAAGCTCCACTTGGGCAGGGGTATTTGTTGCATTCGCTGTCATGTGCCTTGCACCAAGAACAATAATTGACATAGAAAAACGAAGGAATGATGGCCAGCTTATGGTTGTTATACAAATGCTCATATACCTGCAGCTAAGAAAACAGAAATGATTAGAAATGGTTCAGTATAAGGCTTAGGATGCTTTTAATGTTTTAATTCTAATATGTCAAGGCCCATAAAAGAGTTTGTTCATTTTTAATATTTTCTACTATTGGCTTCGTCAGCAGTTTCTTATTCTAGAAATTTTTGTCTGCTTAGTTGTGTCTGTGAAGAGGGAGTATAGCTCATGCCTCATATATTAAGCTTAGATTTATAGAAAAACATAAGAAATAAAAGAGAGTTTACCCCTCCTTCTATTAGAGCTTATATGCAAATTCCAAATCCACTCTCCTGAGCAGTTACCCACCATTTAATGTTCATAAATTCCCACTATATATTCAATTGCAAAAAACCAAAGCAAGATTATAAACACACTAATAATAAACAGGCATAAAATTTTTACTACCCTCTCTTCTCACAGCACTTGGGAGATGTGTCAAATTACCCTGTGGCAGACTGGAAAAAGGGATTTGGGGTAGAAATCATGGCCCAACTGCTAGTGACGCAGTTTCCAAATTTTACAGCTTGGGAATCACTACGTATTTAGGAAACTCTACCTTTGTTAATTCGTTGCAACTGTAGAAGATGAGCCTGGAGGGATCTTTAAAGAGAGCCAGTGTAGATGGAGCAGAAGAACAGGAAAAAAAATCCAAGGACGGGGTTGCTTTCATGAATCTTTAAGAGGGACTTTCCTGTATCGTTATACAATCACACAAAGAGTGGACAGGGTTTGACAATACAGGAAGAGCACACCTCTCTCTCTATTTAATTCCCTCATGTTTCTGACTCCGTGAGTTTGAAAAACACTTCATTTTGTAGGAACTTCCTAAATAAAACTCTGTACTTTGCTTGTGCAAGAAGAAACAGAATGTAATTCTATTTCTATTTCTAGAGCCAGTGCAAACACGTATTTGTTGCATGTTGTTGAAGAGAGTGTAAAATGATGCAGATGGTTGTGGTCAAGTGTCTTAGTGTCTTCCCTTTCCACCTAGGATTTTGCTGCTTTTTTTCTTGACCTTGACTTGGCCACCTTTGTGCTGCTTACAGGGAATTTTCCAGACAAAGCCTAGTGATTGGCTATTCGTGAATTAGAGACACAAAACGCTTTAAATTTATCTTGTCTATTTCCAGAAAGATGCAATATAGATGGAGGAAAATGTCATGTGTGAAGACATTTGCTTCATCTAGATAGTCAATTTAGTCTTTAAAATGTGCATACATTAACAAATAAACTTATTTCTCCCTTAATTTTGCCATGGAAGCCCTTTGGTGCTTTGCCATAGACCAAGTAGCCACAGTAGGAAAACTCAGCTCAGATTGGGCAATTTTAATTTATAATATGCAGAGAAAGGCACTCACCAGCACTGACAGTGATAGCTTCAATGAACTGTTCTCTCCAGCTGTTAGTCCCAACCACAAGGGCCAGGTTTGTCTTCTTAATGAGTTTGTCCACAGTACTCTAGAAATGTTGAAAAGAAAAATATAAATGCTGGGTTCGCTAAGGCCTCAGGAAATCCAAGACCTTGTTGATTTTGAAACTCCAGAGTTATATAAAGGGTAGCAGATGTTAGGCTCAAAACAACAGTATTGACATCAAACACTGTTATGATTATGCAAACAAGCATGGTCCTTAGTTGGAAACATTCTGAAATGGAAACTTCTTTGTAGCAAATACAAGTCTCCTTCACTGACTAATGAAGAATAGCCTCAGTGTTTAGAATAGCAGATGCTGCAAAAGCCCATCCATCCCCCTGAATGCTTTGCCAACTTGCTTCTCTGCTGGTTTCATCTGTAGTGTTTCGTCTGCAAGTGAATTAACATATGCCCTATTCAGCACTACATATCTGCGAATAGCCGGAAGTGACAGATTATGGAACCAAAAAATATTGCTATTGTATTTTGTTTATCAATGAAATGTAGCCAGATAATGGAGTCTCCAGGTTGCCTGCTGCATGGTCATCAATAAATGGATTTGTCTCTGGGTACTATTTTGTCAGCCTCTTGCCTCTTAGAGAATCTCATGCTCACCCTATTCCTATTGCAAACAAGAATACACAAAAATACAAGAAAAGTTCAGTTCTTATGGTTTAGGGCACGTTGCAGTTTACCTTGCCCTAAATCTCCCCTGCTTTACTGGCACTGTGCTGCATACCCCTTATTTTTCTTTGGAACTTTTTAAGCACCTTGTTTTGTACAATCAGTACTCTCTAGCTTTCTAAATTCAGTTAATGTAACAACAAGAGCAGCCAAACATTCACGAGAAAACTAAGTAAGCAGATGGACTGAAAGCACTACTGCAAGTCATGGCAACTACAGGGAGAAAAGTCATTTCCAAGACACTAAGGCTGCTCATCCCAAGAAACTACCACAGTGACTAGTCTACGAAACATCCACACTTACTGTCAGAGCATCCTTGAATTTCCACTAATTGCAAAGAGGCAGAAAACACATTATTTGTCATAGGTCGAAATCTGTATATGTTTTATGCAATGTACTTGAGTGGACTATGGTTTAAGAGAGCACATTTCCAACTAACTGGGAGTAAGCAAAATGCTATCTAAAGGGCTTGTATTAAAGGCCAAAACCAAATCATAATATCAAGCATGTTTGCTCAAGAAGAGTCATTGGAACAGACTTGAAACATTGAGAAGATAATAAGCATGAAAGGGCCCATCTCCAACTGGCTCACTCTGTATTCATGACATTATTCTTGAAAGAATTGTATGTCCTTAGGGTGATGACCTTTCAGCTTCCAGCTTTGTGTCTAGAACTGCTGGTGCCCCTGATAACAGCTGTAACCATCACTGCTCTTGGCCACCATAACTTGAAGCACTTGACCAGCATCCATCTTTCTTTTCTCAACTCAGCCACATCTCATCAAGTACTCTGACCATCCTCACTGCTACAAATTCAAAGTGCCTTGTAGAATGTAATAAGAAATGACCTCGATTTTTCCTAATGTAGTGGAAACTTGGGACAGTTCTCTCCAAAGAGGCACTCTGTGCTGAATCCATGACGGAGTATCCCATCACCTGGGAAATAAACAATTGAACAGATAAACTTCTCTAACATTGAGCACAGACTTTCCTCAAGAAATAGCTGCTAAAGAACAAATGTTTAAGATAAACTAAACTTCTGTGTGTAAAACTCAGGGTAGATTTTAAACTGTAGTTCATGTTAATCCTGGGGGATTATAGTATAGCCAGGGTTCTTCCTAGGACTTAATTTTCATATGTATCCTTCCTTGACCTATGGGAAAAATGGGAGTGAATAAAGATATAGTTCAGACACCTGAACTTGGACACTGTTGTCTGTATTTACCTAGGAGGTTCCTAAATGCTTGTGATCAGTTTTTCACTGCACTAGATTTTCAAAGGCTTGTGAAAACCTCACCCTCAGCAATGGGTGTTAGTAAAACCAGGTCCTCAGTCACACCATAGTAAATAAGAACTCAGTGGGTAAAGCAGAGTGGGCCATTGAAAGGTACCACCCAGATTTGGGTCTCTGGTACAGTTCTGGGAGCTCTGAGTAAGTTCTTTAAAATACCTATGTTCTAGTAAAAGAGATTTCTTAAATAATATAAAATCTAGGCTGATACGTAAGGGCAGTTCTAAAACATGCCCCTAACGTGCCTTGTAGGTATTAATGGTAACTATACTGATGAACTTTGAAGAGATGACTGGAAATAATCTATGGAAGCTATCCTACAAAGATAAGTACCCCAAACAACTGGTTTCATGTAGAGACTTGGGGCACTTTCAAATGGTCAGATCATTATAGTGGTTACCAGAAAGGGCTTTGGACCCAAGAAGGCTTTGCTGCCTGGAAGACTGTGCCCGGCCTTGCTTAACTTAATGCTTCTTATGGGAAGTTACTATGATTGCTCTTCCTGTCATGGGTGCATGGAAGGGGAAGGTCTGAGATCATCCCATAAGGGAGAGAACACACAATTCCCCAGGAGAACCCAGGCAAAGGGCAGGGGCAAGCTTGCTTCAGGAATACCAACCCATAGACTCTCTGCTACAGAAAATGGCACTCAGCTCTCTGATTCCAAATGAAAAGAGGGTGAATGAGGAAGAGGGAGGTTGAACACACATGGAGAAAAGATGAGTAGATGGGTCACCAGAAATGGACAGTCTGAGATTCCCCGACTTCTGGAATTACAGGGAACTTGTGCACATTCCAGGCATGGTTGTGCAACAAGCCAAGTTCTGTGTCATACAATGGGGGTCTAATGATCGGGGTCTGCCTAGAAAGCATTGGTTCCACTGTTTACCCCCGGACCCCCTCCTCCTATGGAAATGTGTGAAAGAAGAGTTAACAGACAGATTCTCAGTGGCCTAAAGGAAAAAGATTAATTGCATTTTTATCTTAAAATATTCCACTTTAATTTCAAAGACATTTTGTTTTCCACCTGTCTCCTATCAGGCACCTCCATTTGTGAAGTAAATTAAAAAATAATTAATGGATCCAGCTAAAGGAAAAGAGGGGACTATTATGAGAAGTCCAGATAAAATCTGAAACTTCTAAATTGGTGGTCTGATTCTCTCTTTTGAAACCTTCATTCTGGTGTTTCAAACAGGAACAGTGTCTGCTTTTGAAAAGTAAGCAGGTAAAATACTGCTGTGCTCTGGGTTTGTAATTCTGGAAAGCAAGAGAGGGGATGCACATTTCATATCCCACTGCAGAACTGAACTGTTTCTTCCCCTGTGGTCTTCCCAGATGCTAGAACCATGTAGGGTAGAAGGGATGGGAGGGGACAGAGGGAGCAGCTAAGGATCAACAGGAAATTTCACTTCAAAGTCTTAAGCTCCATCCCCAGGCCCACACATTCAACTTCTGCAAAAATGACTTTTATCATCTAGAGAACTGAGAATCCAATTTTATCAGCTCAACTGTAAACTCCGGTTGCAGGCACTCTGCATTCGGTATATTGACTGTACTAAAATGTCCTTGGATCTGAAGAGGATGATTAAATATAAATGAGAGCTTGTCAATGGGATGTTCCATAGGGAGATATTACTATCCCCCTGCAAAACAAAAGCCTCCTAATTTTCAGCAGTGTGAATGCCTTGCTCTGACAGATTTATTAGCATTTTCAAATAGAACTTGGTTTCTTCCACACATAACAATCTCTTAGGATTCACCTTTGCATGTTCCTTGCTGCCCCTCAGATTAAACCTTCCCTTTGGGGCACCTCTGACCTTGTGCAGTCATAGATGTCTCCTGCTGGGCCCTGGTTCGGATGCTGTTTGGTTTACAGGACTCCTTGGTTCCTGATTAACTCTATAATTCCAATTTGGCCCCAAAGGCTCTCAATTCACAAGCCAGTTCCTGAAATTACATCTACTACTCTTTCCAGGTGGATCTTAAGCTTTGGCCAACCCTATGAACAGTTTCTGTCCCAAGGTGAGACTGGCTCCTGGTGGGCAGTGTTGGTGAGCATACCTTGAATTCATAGGATTCTTCAATGATCACTTCCAACTTGGTGTGCTCTCCCAGGATGGGGCGCCCCATTTCTGCAATGCGCCTCTCCTCTTCCTCTTTGCTGGTCAGTGGCTGCTTGTCATCATATTCGTCTGTGAAACGGAAGTATCAGAGAGTGAGCACTGTGTTCTGTTTAATTTGGAAATCCCTGGATCCTGCCATAAGAAAGCCAAGGAGGAAGGAAGCCCTAATGACCTACTAAAGCCCCCTGGGTGAGATCACGATGCTGGAGGGAAGAGCCAGACAGACACTTGGCATGTAAGGCAGCATATCACTGTGAGAGCAAGTGATTATAACATCTCACAATCTAAGCTCATGCAAAAGTTCAGTTGAGGAAAAGTAATGTATGGGGCATATCACTGAGAAAAGACTCTGCCTGTACATTGTCTATGGTAAGGGAGTCACGCAGCTATTCCCTGTGACGCTGGCTCAGTTGGCTGTTTGTACACATTCTTTCAGCACGTGACCAAAGGGAAACACAATTGAAAGTGCTAGAGTGACCCTCAGAGATGGCGGAGTCTGGCCTCTTCCTCTTCACTTTCTAGGGGCAACAGAAAATGCCTGAGGCCCAAAGAGATGGGGAACAGGAAATTCTGACTTTAGCCTCTCTCTTGCCAAGAGACCCTATTGCAAGTTAAACAGCAAAACATCCATTCCATATTTCTGTGAGACGCTTGGGCTCCAGTGCTGCTTCAGTCTGGTGCAAAGCCAAAATTTGTTAGGAAAACCTTGGCCATGTTAATCTTAAAGTAAACAGGGAGGGCGAGGGTGAGGCCTTTCGGGAGTTAAAATACTCACTCACCATGTGAGCACAATTATTTCCAGAACTACCATGTAGCTTACAGTCCAGGAGAGGACGGTGGGTGCTGAGGAAATGTTAATGGATCCAAGAGCCCATTAATGAGGGGAAGCTCACAGTTGGCTCTCTCTTTGTGAAGGTCATTAGGATAAATCCCAGACTGAAAAGGCCATGCATATAAGAAGGGCAAACACTGGTCCTATAATTACCCTTATCCTTTAGGCCCAGAATGCTGAAACAAGACAAGCTACTTCTTCTCAGATTTAAGTGGAATGAACATTGTCTCCAATGAAACATTATCTGATATGGAAAGACCTCAGCCCTGATGGCCTCATTTCTAGGACCTCTGGACAAAGTGCCTCCAACAGGGGGCTGTTGACTAAAAAGACATGCAATAAAAGGGATGTTTGGTCCTGGCTTCCTGCCTGGTGCATTTAAATATTAGCT
Source organism: Homo sapiens (assembly GCF_000001405.40). Taxonomy (NCBI): domain Eukaryota; kingdom Metazoa; phylum Chordata; class Mammalia; order Primates; family Hominidae; genus Homo; species Homo sapiens. Next base: position 40,166,139 of record NC_000002.12, read on the forward strand.
TCTGTAGAAGTCCATACCTCCCATTACCTCCAAAGACCCATGGCCTCCCCCCTGCTGAGGGACCACGCTATGGTGGCTCCATTGTTGCTTTGGCAGCTGTTGCAGGGAATGAATGGTTCCTAGGCTAGCTGCTCGTTGTGAGGGCAGGGAGTGAATGAGCTAGAGGCAGTGCCAGCATTTAATATTTCAAGGGTCAAAACCAACAAAAGGCAAAAGCAGAATGTAGCATATTGATTAATTCTTTAGTATACATTTTATAGTGTCATCCTAAAAGCCCATTTTAAAATCTGCTTTCCTAGCCTCAGAGATTACAGGGCACCAAATAAATTAGTTGCAGACTAAAAATAAATGATTTTGGACTGGCCAGAAGCTGCTGAATGTTAGCAGAGGCAAAGGAGAGGGGCAAGGAGATTAATTTTAACTATAAAAGTGGCAATATTTTTTATAGTAGGATTGGGAAGTTATGACCCAAGGGAAGGCAAAGAGTTCTGGTTCTCCAAGATTTGTCCTTGCAAAATTATGTATGTCTAGTCAAGAGAGGTGGCTGAGATACATGAAGTGCAATTTATCCAGCACTGAAATTAATAATGTTGATTACCACTGCTTTGTGATCCTTGAACCCAGGATAATGTTATTAGTAGTTTTCATAGCAGTAGTTTATGCTAGCATCTTTGTTTGAAACTTTGGCTGAACATGGATGAGTTGAAGACTTACACAGAACAAGAATGGTTTTCTCAGAAGAAGGAATATTACAACTTGGACATCTATTTAAACTGTGAAGCTATTGGGGGAGAATATTTATTATGGCCTTCTTTTTGTAGTTTACTTATAAATGACAAGCTGCTTTTAATGGGACTCAAGGCAATCTACCTAGAAAAAATAGAGAAATTACAAAACAAAGCTGATGTGGTAGCATTGTTAAGTGCAGCATTTCATGAAATTAAACTGGTTTTGATCATGGTATTAAATAACTGGACATGGAATAAGCAAATGAAGTCAAATCATACAATGAGTGAAAAGGTTCTTTCTTTTCCAAAAATCCTTCAGTCCTTCTGATCAGGAAGAAATGCTTAATTCGGTGCTGTTAGGTCTGTAACTAGTTCCTAGTATCTCGACTTTTGTACCTTTTAAGATAGGTAGTCAAAATAGTTCTCAGGTGTAGAGCACTTGCCATCATCTAGCTAGAATTTAATAACTTTTTTCCATTGTAAAAATTTTTTAATTTTACTTTCTATTTGTGGCAAACGATACTAGTTTTCCTGTGTTAGTGACTTAAAGTTTTCTTTTAAAAACAAACTTAATAAAGTATAAACATGAGGCAATTTTAAAAATTACATTAAGTAAATAGTATAGTTGGTATGCAACCAAAGCAGTATGGGAATGACAAAAATTAAGAAATATAGTGTTAACTTATTTCATACTAACCTAAAAAACAGTAAGGCACACTGTTTCTATCATTTGCTACACTCTTGCTTCAAAGGGACTTAGATTTCTTAATTCCACACTTTTATCCCTTTATGTATTCACCTGGACAAGCTTCACAATTTTCATTTTGTTAAATCTTATCTTTCAAAACCCCACCTCTTCTGGCAGGAAATAACTCCCTATTGATGAGTGAGAAGGTTTATGAACTACCACTCTAACCTTATATTAATTCCTTAATATTCGTTGTGTGTATAGACCATGGACATTTTCATAGACTGTTTTTAAATTTTTTAATTATCTTTACATATAAATATCCAGCACATAAACTCACTGAGATAGAACAATAAGTTTCATTGTGCTTTGAACCATCCTTGTATCCTCTGGCACCTATTACAATATATGGAATATAGTAGGTGCTCAATAAGCATTTGCTGTGTGACTCTCCAACTCACTGTTAATAAAGCCTCTTAGTTGCTCAACCCATACAAAACGGATCATTTTTTCATTGAGCACATCTCATTGTACTCCATACCATGTCAGCACTTCCTCCTCTACTTTCCAGGAACTTATGATGTAATGGGGACAGGAATAGACAATGGGCAACTTCTAGGCATGATAAGGACTAGGGGACCAGGGTTGGGGAACAACTCAGTTGGCCTAAAGGGAGTCAGGGAAGGAAGCCTTCCTTTCCTGAAGGAAGCTTCAGGAAAGAGGAGCTATTTGAAGTTGGCCTTGAAGCACATATAGAAGATTGCCGCCCGGTGAAGGTGATGGTAAGGATAGATAGGAGGTGGTGGAATGCGGAAGTTCATTCCAGGCAGAGAGAAATCAAAGTACAATGGTACAGGGTCATGGAAGGGTCAGGGCAGTTTTGACTTAAGTATCATAAACTTTTATTTATATGTAACTGAGAAATGGCAGCTGTATAGATTCTATTATTGCTCTACAGTTATACTGATAAATTCACATTTATGGTCTAGATTTTTGACTGGCAAAAATGAGAGCCAAGTCTAATTTTTAACAAAACTGTTTTCTGTCTTTAGATACTTTCTGTTGAATACGGAAATGGTTTAACAGCATTTTTAAAATTTTAATCATCTATTTTGTTTCCTTTTCTCTTGGAGCATTGGATCAAAAGCAGATCATTTTACTATGGTTGAGGTCAGTTTCATTTCTTTACTTCTGCAGAGTGAGATAATATGCTGTGGTTTTAGTTTTCTCAGATGGAAAATATACTCTTTCTCCTCCTGAGTGCACATGCACACTTTTAAAATTCACCATATTTTATTGAGAAGTTGGGAATAAATTACATAACATCATAGTCTTAACCAATCCAAACAACTTAAAGATCAAATGCATAATTAACAGCCACTGCTAAAATCAATATTGACAGGACATAAAACAGTCCTGGAATAGAATCACCAGTGGGGGATCTCCCTTCTCCTGAGTAATTGATTTTGCAAGCAATAGCAAATAATAAAAGCTAATAGGTACCTGGCATCTGGGGAAAGCAGCATTTTGAGAAAGCTGTTTCTAACGCTCTCTGGTTCAAGCTGTATTTTGAAGCAGAGTCAGTGTAAGAGGTGAAGTGCTGAGAGTGGGAAAACAACACAACCCATAAGGTCCATCTCATTATCAAGATCTCTACCTCAGGGGACACTGTTGAGAGTCTTCAATGTAGTCACATTTTAAAACTGTACAAACAACGTAGAATTTGGAGAGGCGGACAAGGCCAGTGGTGGGACAATTTGCTCCAGATCATTTTGATCCTCCACTCAGAACTATGCTGACAAGTCAGAAAGCAGAGGTCTCTCCTGACAATTTTTAGCATGTGGCTGGCCTCTTTGATTGGAGGCTAAAGTGACTGATACAGACCCAAATATCATTAGAGATGATATTTGGGCTCTAAACCTGTATTAGATCTGGGATAGCTGTGTAATCCTCTAGTCACCCTGTCAATGTCATTTATTTCCCCTGTGGAGAAACCCCACAGATGTACTATCATCTGGGCATATCTGGCTAACATCATGTTGCCTGGGGGCAGCAAGGGCAGGCTCTGGGAAGAAATACAGCTCAGCTTTAAAAGAAACTTCATGGTTGGGCACCATGACTCATTCTGGTAATCCTAACACTTGGTGAGGCAGAGGCGGGTGGACTGCTTGAGCCCAGGAGTTCCAGACCAGCCTGGGCCACATGGTGAGACCCCGTCTCTACAAAAAGTACAAAAAGTAGCTGGGCATGGTGGTACACACCTATAGTCCTAGCTACTCAGGAGGCTGAGGTGTGAGGATCCCTTGGGCTCAGGAGGTTGAAGCTGCAGTGAGCTGTGATTGATTCCACCACTGCACTCCAGCTTGAGTGACAGAGAGAATCCCCATCTCAAATAAAATAAAGAAACTTCATTACACTTGGGATAAAAACTGATGTGCGAGAAGAAATATTTCCAAGAAATCTGGAATACATTAAAACTCAGGAAAGAGAGGCCATGGGATCAGTCTTCTCTGCAGGCTGGGCTGGTCCCTACTCAGTGCTCCTTTTCTGCCCTCACGTGCTTGTGTTTTGTTGTAATCCACCGTACCACTGGCTGCCAGAGAAGCTGCAGCATTATTTAGCAATGTTTTACAGAGGAGAGGGGCTAAAATGCATGACTGTAATGTCTCTAACATTAAAGAACTCTGGGAGGCTGTGGTTTTCAAGGATCATGATGAAATGAGTACCTGCAATGGTGATTACAGTAGAGAGAATCGGATGTTCTCTAGCATGAACCTTCCTGAAGACAGGTTGGCCTAGCAAAAGGACAGGCAGAAAAATCAGCAGAATGGATTGCATTGATTTGCTATCAGAGCTTTGTGGAATTAGTAAGCTAAACATCACACCCAGATGCACACATCACAAGCAACGTTAGTTTGGGGATTCAATGATCATAGGTCACCCCTAGGTAGGTCACAGAAGGGAGCTCTGGTGGAAGTTACTGATGGAGATCACTGCTCAGAGATGAGCGAGTATTTCATGAGCCAAACAAGACTGTGTCAACAAACCACAAGCCCCATGGTAGTGAGTACAGCCAGATTCCTACAGGTATCTTAAATGATGTGTCAAGGTCCTTCAAGGTACCGCTTGCAGAAGCATCATGGAACAACAAAAGGTATAGTGGCAGGTGTCGTGGTTGGCAAGCCAGTCTTCATGACTGAATTGAAGTAATAATGTTTTTAAGTCAACCATTATAGAAATAGTGTACTAGTGATTGGGAAGCCTATTAGTGCCAACAATATAGCCTTGTGTAGGCCATTTCTCCAGTTTCTCCCCATGTAAAATGGTGATAATAGTACCTGCTCTGTCTAAGACAGGCAGAATGTTATGTACGCCTGTAGGTTTTGCAGAGGTAGGCCATCGTCACAGCAACTGTTTGGATAACCTAGGGTTAACCTAGGCCTAGGGGGTTCTCATTGAACTCCTGGTTCAGCTGACTTCCAGATTCACTTGCTATTTGCCTCTACCAAGAGCTACCCATAACTGACCTGGGAGTCATGAGATTTGGGATTCAGTGCCACCTCTGCCATATGCTTGTCATCTAAACTTGGGCAAGGTCTTTCTCCTCTCTGACTCTCAGGCTTCTCAGTTATAAAGTGAAGCTGAATTTGAACAGGCTTTGTTCCTCCAGCCTACAGACTGAAGTGATGAAAACATTTTCAACTGTCAGAATTTTCATAGTTTGGCTTCCTTAAAAAGTCTTGTGTCTTATTAAGTCTATTATGTGCTGAGCATAATAGGATTAGAGGAGTAATATTAAATAGGTATACTGACTGATTTTTAATTAGAGAACTCTATATCTTAGAAGTTTTGGGGATCAAACTTACATTCTTCTCTCCATAGTGAGCCAGAATACTTAATTTATTAAATTATTCATGTTTATATGGTCCAGTTTCCCCATTCTGGGGTACTTCTCACTTTTCACTTAACTGGAAGTCATAATGATGGAATTTATTAGATACATGTGGGTTTTGAGTAGAAAAGGGGTTCAATGTATAATTTCAAGATGCAGGTAGAAATAAGCTAGAGGAGAGGAAACAGGACAGTGCTGGGATTAGAACAGTCATCATTAATTTCTTCAAACCTTCATTTCCTCCCCTATGTGTGAGAACAATGTCTTACTCTATAAGATTGGTGATAAAGTGATATGATGAAAAAGAAATATTTACAAACTCTAATGAGTTATAATATTTAGAGTGTTACCTTGTCGTATGACTGGAAGGTCAAGGGGGAATGAGATCATAGGCCCAAACAAGGGCCTTTCAATGAGGCAAGGTCTGGGAACAATAGGTAAAGATCTGCAGATTCCAAAAGCACCTCCAACACTTAATGTCCATCACTAATGAGATCTCTGAAATATTGGTATTAGGCTGTGGATCAGACGATTTTTTCAATTTCCATATATTCTGCTTCAAATTTAGATTTTCACACTCAGCTGCGCAAGTCCATGTAAAAGCTGCAGGCAAAGTCCCAGGGCTAGATTAATTCTTCTTACTGCCCCTGCATCTCAAAGCCTTGACTTTAAAGCCTCCAACTGACTTCCAAGAAAAAAAGTTCTTTAGGGCTTGAAGCTGCTTTTCGCTGTAGACCTAAGTTTTAGAACTGTCCTCAGGAGCATCAGTAGAGAGTGGCTCCTAGGCATTCTGGTTTGATTTAGGAAAAGAAGGGTCATGTAAAGTGAGACGATTTCTTAGAAAGTAGGAATGGACAGGCCAGTGTAGAAATTCCCAAGTTTTGGAACATTCTCTTGTTCTAACTGCATTAATTTCAAGTCTTAGGAAGAGGTGATGGTAATAGGAAACTGCCATTTCAGATTACAGTTTCAGCCATAGGAAGAACTTAATGAACTAACTACATGAAATGATAGAAACCTTTGTAGGAGGTGATTCTGTCATCTTGGATGCCAGTTGTGGCCGAGGCAGGAAAAGTTGGATATTATCAGACAGATATTATAGAATTTGATGTAAAGAAGTTCTGAGAAAAGAAAACTAGGATCCCATTACCTGAGATATTAAAAGGGAGGACAGTTCAAATGACATAGAAGGAAGGCCCTTAAAACAAAATTTGGGCCAGGTGCGGTGGCTCACGCCTGTAATCCCAGCACTTTGGGAGGCCGAGGTGGGTGGATCACGAGGTCAGGAGATTGAGACTCTCCTGGCCAACATGGTGAAACCTTGTCTCTACTAAAAATACAAAAAATTAGCTAGGCGTGGTGGCACGTGCCTGTAGTCCCAGACACTCGGGAGGCTGAGGCAGGAGAATCGCTTGAACCCTGGAGGTGGAGGTTGCAGTGAGCCGAGATCGCGCCACTGTACTCCAGCCTGGCAACAGAGTGAGACTCCATCTCAAAAAAAAGTCCTGACACATTCAGTAATAAAACAGAAAGATATTCAAACACGTCAATGTGTTTTTGACGTGTGGCTACAGAGCATCCTAGTAGCCACAAGTTTTTAGTTAGGGTCTCTTTATCAGATTTCACAGGATGGAAGGTGCTGTTGGATAGTACACTATTTCTATAATGGTTGACTTAAAAACATTATTACTTCAATTCAGTCATGAAGACTGGCTTGCCAAATTTATACCTTCTTCAAATCTCCCAGGGATAACTCATTTATCCTTGGGTGATAGAATTAGAGTGTTTACAAGGGGACTTCAAGCAGTTAAAATGATGGAATGAGAAAAAGGAGATAAAAGTTTAAAAAAAGGAGTATAAATTCCTGCACTTGATTTAAAAAATAACCTTTAGTAGTGCACAGTTGGGGACATCTGACCCAGAAGAGCTTCAGATGAATCAGATTTAAGAAATCCAACACAAAGACTTGTCCTGTTTAACATTCTTATCCCTTTCAACTTCTGTGTGTCTCAGAGTCTATGAATCATTTTGTCATTAAATGCCATGTCTAGAGAGAAGCAGTGGAGAGCAACAGCCCATGTGAAACGGCCCACATGAAACTGCACATATTTAGAAAATTCTACTTCGGACAGAATCACATTGGAATTGCTTGTTCATGAGTTTACACTAACAGTGGATTAAGTTCATCCCAATTCCCAACATAGTATTTTCATGATCAGAAATTTGAAGTATATTTTCTTCTAAATATTTTTGTTCAGATCTCTGATTTCAAAATTTTGATATCTGCACAATATATTGGAAAATTTTGATATTGGCACAATATATTGGAAGATGTCACATACTGATATAGAATGTAGGCCATTAAAGATATCTTCAACCTACAGCTTCAGACAGACCTACTGTTTAAATATTTATCTCTCTAAATGTGCACAGATGACTCTAAAAGGGTGAGAAGATATTTAGAGACAACAGAGGATGCTGTAAGGAAATATCTTTGTTTTGTACACAAGAATATAGTTTTAGAGTTGTGCTAAATAATGCAATCAACACAGGCTGAGTACCATTCTAAATTTAAATGTTTGAAACTTTTTAATTTTGACATTTTGAGTTTTTATAGAATACTTTGTAATATGCTTCAAGTGGCAGAAATATTACTCATTACCATGTTATTAATACTAAAACCTAAGTCCCCAGAGAAACCCTCAGATTGGTGTGGTGGGATGAGGGGAAGGCTCTGCTCAACATGATATTATATTATGTATTATAAATTATATATTTACATACATAATTTATGAATTAAAATTTATGTGTTAAAGTGATGTATTTTTACGTATTTTCTCAACATGTATTTTTATGTATTTTCTCAATATGGCATTTATGTGTTATTAGGATCCTGAGCTTGGACCACGGATCCATCTTGGATGTCAGCTTCTATGTTTCTCTGAGGCTAGCAATTGTGTCACCTTATTCTAGAGCTCTTTGGAGCCTCTATCAGGGAACTGTACATCATTAGCACTATGTGAACATTTGTAAATTGGTCAGTGTCAAAATATGAACAGTTACAGTTTTTCCATATGAACAGCTTATAAACACAACACACACACATTATTAATTTGTAAAACGTTAAATGTGTAAAACCAGCAAGAGCACACCATGTGCCACAGTTAAATATTAATGCAAGTTACATAAGATGTAGGTTTGGATTGATGGTTAAGGGTATTTGGGGAAAAATAAGGAACATTAAAAAAATAAGTCTTACCAAACAGGTATTTTCCTTCATTAAAAGCAAATAAAAATGAGAAATTTTTTTTAATGTAATAACATCTGGTGAGAACAGACAGTAAAAGTTAGATAGCATTAGACTTGAAAAATTCATACCTGTTATTGTGAAGCCACCTAAAAAAGAAAAAAACAACAACAAATGTTATAATTTGACACTCTACATAACAAATACCAGTGACATCAGACTGCCTGACAACCCACCCAAGGTACTTGCCAAATTATATTTACAATTAAGAAGACTAGGAAAATGTTCATGACTGAATCACTAATCGTTCTTTTAAGATTATGAGATTTAATGCACAAATTTAATTCTTGTGCATACCTAAGAAATCACCGATTTTTCAAAAGGTTGTACTAAATTAAAAATGCAATATAAACTATTTGACCTTGACAAAATGAGGTCAATGGCCCTAAACAACAATCTTGCTAGCAAGTCAAGAGAAATAAAAGTCACAGAGCTACTGTATCACCTGACGGAAATGGAAAATAATCTAGAAAAATGGAAAGGAAATGCAAGAAATGAAATGCTTACCAAGCTCATTCAATAACAGGGCTGTGAAGGAAACAGACAAAGACAAACACAGAATAAGAGACCAGATGAATAATGAAAGTAAGAGGAATATCAGCAGAAAGAAATCCAGGCAGATCTGATTACAGTGGTAGGGAGCCACTGCTAAAAATGGGTATACCCCAAAGAAATATAGTGATGGGAATATTTCTGAATAAACAATCCCAACTGAAATTTCTGAAAATGTGTGTGATTGAATACATACGTATATGTGTGTGTGTGTGTGTATATGTATTTCACCTTATATATAATTTCTTTACATTTAATAAGACATTGCTAGTATATATGTTTATACCTAGTATGTAAATCTAGTTTACCAAATACAGTGGAAACATTGTATGAAATTCATTCTTAACTTGATATGAGTGAGGCTTCCTCATTAAATATTGCCTCGGATTTGGTCAATCCAACATATGGAAGTCTTAAATCACCCAGGAACTCAGGTATCACACCTTTTATTCAGTAAGTACAGGTGAAACATCCTGGGACATTCCATTTTGGGTTCCCTGCCTGGAAAGAAAGTTTAGCCCAAGGTAAAGCACTATCTTGGGATGTTCTATTTGGATGATATTTTGTCCACCAAGAATTGCTTATGTTTTAAAATCCTTAAAGCTTAATAGTCCCAGGAATTAACACCTACTTGTGTCCTTATCTGTGACTTCTGTACATTATTAGATAACCAGAATCCTTCTAGTGGACATATCATCCCAGGAAACTGACAGGGCATTGGGTTGGGGGGAGGGGGACGTATAATTTGTCTTTCAGCTTATGTGCTTTAAGCCCAGAATGTACTGTAGCACTTTATTTTAGTAAAAGCAACCTTGCTAAATATATCAAATTATTTCCTGAGTTGAAGACGGGAATGTTACAGTTACTTTTTTGGGCCCAGTTTTCTCTCTAATGATGGTGGCATTAGAGGATACTTTCTAAAAAAAGTCAGTAATTTATTAATAGTGACAAGAATCCACTTGGCGGGTGTGAAACTGGATAGTGCTATTAAGGAATTTTAATTTGCTGTTACATGAGAGCATATTTTACTAAAACGGCAATTGTAAGAGCAGAATCCAAGATGCTCCTCCTTGAGATAAAGTTCTTTGGAGGAATACATTGAGAAGAAAGTGCTTTCTCCTGTATGTTAATGAGGCATTTTGGATCCCATCTTTTAAGAAATCAGCATAATTTTCTGGTCTCTTTTTCTTCTGTCTACCATCTATGGAGCATATTAAATAGGCTTCATTAAAATAGGCCTTGAGTGCTCCTTTTCCCATCACTCCAAATACTCCAAATACTCCATCTTGAACTTGATTAACACAGAAACATACGTGTTTTTTCCCCACCAGCGGACTGTGAGGCCACAAACATGGGATGAACGTGGGATAAATTTTCCTATGTGTCTACATAGCAATTAGTCCTATATATTTTATTTTTCCCTCTACTTGTAAAAGCATAAATTTCTTACAAAGTGGCCCATCTCATTATATCATACTGCTCTCACCAATTGTTTGTATGCAACTAATAAGAGCTATTAATATGTGGTCTGCTCATTTTACACAATAAGTAAATCACCAGAATTCCTTTTAAAATGGCCACCATTAGAGGATAATTATATGAAGCCCTATGAACAATTCAGAATAAAAAATCCTCTGTAAAGCTGATACAAGATTGCTGTCTTTCCTATGAAATATATGCCATATATTAATAATCAGCAAAATCGGCATAATCTAGTTATAAAGGACACTACTTTTATTTTTTCTTTTTTTTATATGTGTTAATAATTTACTAATTCTGTAATTATCAAGAGATTTTGGAGCATAAAGCTAGGTAGGCTTTGGTTTCATAGATATGGTGCCTTTTAAATGTTGTATTTGATGATATAAAAATATGCTAAAATGAGCACTAGAATATTGAAAATACTACTCTTTAAGGATCTTTGTTCTTATTAAATATTTTTAAACTGTGTTCTCCAAAGAAGCCTAATTATTTGAATTCTGAAGTTTCCTGTTAGTTGCCATTAGGGTCATCTACTAATACTAATAGGTATTAAGCAGTTTCTTTTTTCCAGCTTTATTGAGGTATGATTGATGAGGTATTAAGTCGTCTTTATCACTAAAATTTTAGGGAAGATTTAATAATTGGAGTGACATTTTAGAATAAACCGTGAGTAGTGAAAAACTAAACACATTCTTTTATGTAATCATTTCTGAATTACAGAAATCCCTTTCAGTGTTATTAAATCTGGTTGCAATCAAGGTTAGTTGGCATTTCCTGAAGAAAGTGGGCGTTGCCTGTTGCACTTGTGAATTAGGGAAGGGAAATGAAATTGCTAAAGCTTCAAAGGCAATGAAGTATAGTACTTGGAAGCCGAGGAAGAGGAGAGAGTTAAGTGTGAGAGTAGGGAGACACGGAGAGAGAAGAGTACAATTTCTCGCTGGTATGTCTTTGTTTACTCTCACACCTTTCATTCCTCTTCTTATCCATTTTGGTTCCTCAAGCACAAGGGAGAAACTGCACTCTTTCTCATATTCCTCACGGTCAAATATTCTAATGGTAATGATCTTCCTGTGGGAACACAAGACAAAGGCAAAACAAATGGTTGGAGTCACACGCTCATGCTCTTGGTGTCCACCAAGCTGAATGTTACTGTGATGTTATGGAGGGAGAACTGGCAGCACATGGGCCTCCTGAAGTATGTAAAAGGGCATCTTGGGTACTCTTGGCTGGCCCCCATTAAGTTTTCTTTGCTAATTTATCACTTTCACGAATTATTCCCGCTTCAGTTAGCAGTCAGTAGGTACCCCATTTTGGGGTATTTTGGCATGGCATTGCATGGCATCTGCAGCAACTTTCCCAGAAATGGATGCTTGATTGACTGCCCTGAAAATTAATCTCTCAGACGTTAATGTGCAGCGCACCTAACGCTGGCTGATGTAGCTACAGGCCTGCCTACTGTGGCTCAGCATGAGATCTGTGCCCTGTTACATAGGTGGAGGGATGTGTGCATTGTAAGTCATGTTCTGAAGAGTGCAGGCATCCAGGGGTGGCACAGGCCAGCAGAAGCTGTTGGGCTCAGCCCTGGAGCAGCTCCCCCACCTTTCTTCTCACTCATCTCCACCAGGCGGGGCTCTCCAATCTCAAGGAAGAAGGTCTTGTTTTTCTCATACTCCTCATCATCAATTACCTTGACTGATATTGTTTTGCTGAAACAGAGAATAGAAATTGACGAACAAGGGGAAGAGGAAAGAGAAGAGAAGGAACATAGAGAAGAGGAAAGCAAGGTTAACCAGCTGCACTTTCAGACAAACAGTAATCGAGAAACTTCTGTACTGTGAGTTTTTTCTTCAAGAATGGGTATCAGATAGGTATGAAAGATCAGAGATTTCACCCAATGCATAGCTCCCCTGAGCAGGGCCACAGAATTATTTTAGGCAAAATATAGCATTCAGTATTAATAGGTTTGTCATCATCATAAGGAGGAAAAGCAGAAAAACACAGATCACAATAATAAGAAAAGAAAAACACATTAATTTAGTAAATGCCTTAACCATTGGATTGTCTAAGCTATGCCCTGGAACTCACTCCTTTAGAACAAGTCAAAAAATCCCATCAAGATATTAATAGAAGTTATCTCTGAGCAATTGGCTTACAGGTCATTTTTTTTCCTTCACTGTGCTTTATTATAGTTCCAAATATAGTATTTTTATCATAAATTGTTATTAAAATAATAAATGAATAAAAATATCACAAAGAAAATATAGTCAAGTTATTTCACCCCACCCAATGTCTTAGAATCAAACTCTTATTCAGGTTAGTCAGATTCTCCAGCTAGACCACAGCAGGAAGTTGTTCACGTTTTGTTTGTCTTTCTAAAGATGGAAGCTGTGGCCTCACAACAGCTGTTGTGAAAGTGGGGTGGCAGCAGGTGCGAGTCATGATGTTGTAGTTATTTTCATTCTTCCAAAGTTGAGTTTTAACTTTCTATGAAACATGCCATTTACACTACTTTCAAACATCACCGATACACCAAGGTGTTTTGATTAGAATTCTTCCTGTAATCCAACCTTTAACAGTTCTTGCCTTATGGCGCTATGGCTATGAGTGACTGACAGGCAGGTAGGACAAATGCAAATATTATGCAAATCTCAACTTTCCATAAGCATTCTTGATGACTCTGAAAATAAACCAACCTAATGTTACCTTATAATTAATAAGGGCTTAAACAATTCATATACTACAACTAACTTATTAGAAGCCTCTTAAACCCTGATTTGTCTTGAAAAAATGTTTCCAGTAACATTGGCCAAGTACAATTCTGATCAATGTTTTTGAAACAATGAGTGTTTGTAGACAACGGAATTTTAACAGCATGGCCATTCTTTAATTTTGGTGGAGTTTTTTAGGTCTTCTGGAAGGAAATTGGCTTATGATCTTGTTTTTATTTTATTTATCTGAGCCATTAAGTTTCATTAGATCTATGCATACTAAAGAATATCAGTCTTCTTTCCTAATATGAAGGAGTCATAGGTAGAAGATGCTTTTAATTCTCTGAATTTCCCAGCGCCTAATGCCAAATGCTTAAGTCTTGCTTTTTGGCTTAGCATTGTAGACCTGAGACCAAATGATTGGTTCTGGTTCCCTGAAACCCAATAACGTACTCTCTGTTCCTCAGCTAAAGAACATTCTTGAATGATACTCACATTCCAATTTCTCACTCCTAAAAAGCTGCAGCTCATGAAACTCCTTTCTATCTCATTTCTGTCCTCAAATACTGAAATATGAACACACTAGATGAACAGCTATAAGTGACTAAAGCCACAATCATCTTTTAAAGAGTGGTTAGATATTTACAAAACTACCAACAGTATGATAATGTCCAGTTACATGTATACTGTAAACAGCTCCTTCCTGACTTTTAGAATTATTTTTTAAATTTGCATCTTTAGTATAAAAAATTATTCTGCTGTGACTAAACTAGAATATTTAATTTTTCCCTAATATCCAAAAATTATAAAATATTAGAGAAGGCACAGGAGGATGGATGTAAGGAATGATTGATTATTTGATAATTAGAACTGAATTTGATGTTGTAAAATAGATCAAATTTGCTCTACACAAAACTGCCAAATGTCTGTCCTCTTTGTCAACAAAACTTACGCATTTTGGGTATTAATTTCCATCTCACAGTCTTGCAATCTTAAACTTTAGTGGTACATTTCTACAAAAACAAACAGCATGGTGAGACCAAGGGTAGGAAAGTGTTGATGGACAATAATAGGGCCACGCTACTGTTCTCTGCACTTGATGGCCCAACATCCATTATCAAGATGCTTCATTGTAGGGTACATCAAACTGAAACCCCTCATTGTGAGAGTCACGTTGCAATATTCTTGTTAGCATTACTTAAAAACATCTGACGTTATATTTCTCCATCTTGTATTTGCAACCCACCCTGCATCTCATCACATATTTTATTGGATTATAGAAGTAAAGCACAGTGGGGATGGTAGAAGTAGCCTTGCTAATAGGGTGAATGTTTGTGTAGAAAAGGTACCTGTTTCATGTTCACAAAGCAACTTATTCACAAATAAATAAATCACCAAACAACATATTGTTTCTAATCCTTGGTGAATATCATAAATATTTAAATCTTTTAATAGCTTTATTTTCTTTCTTTTTTTTTGTTGAGATGGAGTCTCACTCTTATTGCCCAGGCTGGAGTGCAGTGGTGTGATCTCGGCTTACTGCAACCTCCGCCTCCCAGGTTCAAGCGATTCCCCTGCCTCAGCCTCCTGAGTAGCTGGGATTACAGATGCCCATCACCATGCCCAGCTAATTTTTGCATTTTTAGTAGAGACAGGGTTTCACCATGTTGGCCAGGCTGGTCTGGAACTCCTGACCTCAGGCGATCCACCCGCCTTGGCCTCCCAAAGTGCTGGGATTACAGGGGTGAGCCACCACACCTGGCCTATTTTCTATACTCTAAGTAGCTGATGGGTGTGGGAAACACAGTTATATAGCTCCACACAATTTGTTTGCATATAAAATAAGCATTTATGATTTATCACTAGCATATCCCTAGTCATAGGATCACAATTCTTAGAAAATTTTGAAGTACTTGATAACTATGATACTGGAAAAATCAAAGATGAAGAAAAAGAAAAAAGTACTTTTGTAGGTGCCTGGCAAAGACATCTAAAACAGATGGAATTTGCATAATGGCATATCATTTCAAAATCATTAGTAATGGAATCAATAATGCTCCTGACAGGAAGAGCCACTAAATTATATATTGATTTCACTCCTCTTGCACAGTAAAGCTATTAATAGGAAACTTGATTATTAAAGGACATTTCAGTGGATCTAAAGTGGCAGGATGAAGTCAGTCCTTATGAATTAGCCCTTTAAATCAACAGAGGCAAAAATCAGAAGGCACTGGTAATGTTCACCTTTTGCTTCAGAACAGAACAATTTCTCCCCTTAGCAAAGGTAGCTGAGGTGAAATAAACCAATGTAATTTTTAAAGGAACACATCCTTAGGATGTCTCCTTTTCACCTTCCAGAGCCTAATGCATGAAAGATACTGCTACCACTTCTTCCTTCACAGGGGATAGTATGGGGTTGGTTTGGTGAAGATGTCGTTATTTTGGCTTGATAATCAGCAGAAGCATGTTCCTCACAGTTCTGCAGTAGAAAGAATCTCAAGGACTGACGGAACCTTGAATGTCCTCCAGTTGGCCCCATTGCCACACCAATCCCATGTCCACAGGACTTTTGCACTGTCACAAGGACTCCAGCTCCCTGAGAACCTACATCCATTTTGGCTGTTCTGTTCTGTTTACCAACGGGAAACATAGCTGTTGCTACTTCTTTTCTTTAAATAGACAGGTTAACAAAATCAAGACTGGAACTGTTGGGTAGACACAGTCCTTCATCCAAATATAATTCTTGCATTTTTACTGCACTGATAAAGAACAAATAGAAAAACTGGTATCATGCAACTTTCAACTATTATAATTATTATAAAGACAGGAAAACTCACTTCTTTTTTACAGCTTTTCAAATTTGAGCAGTATACTATAAAAACTGTGGTTTCTGGAAACTAGCAAAGCAGTTACAAATCTTACGATAGCATTGAAATATTTCTTAATATGGCCAAAATTTTTATGGAAGTACATTTTGGTTCTATTTCTAAAAAAAAGAAAAAGAAAAAAACATTCGGTTAAGAAAGATCAATTTATTCAGTGGAAAAATACAGATCATTCCTTTTGAAGTTGGCAGTGCCTTTTATTTGATGATACCAAACCAACATCTATACTTTACTTCCCAGTCTCTCTCTTATCTTAGGTGTCTCAAAGGACCTGAACATCTTCAAACAGACTACCAAGGAGTTCTTATATCTGGTTTTGACTCAGGCAGACAGTCAGAAAAGAAAGAAAGATGTGGCTTTATTAATGAGGGTTGAAAAAGAAAGTCTCTTCAAAATATATTTTAGTTTCTCATTGTTAAGCCAAAGTGGTACCACAGTCTCTTTTTCAACTTAAGCCTCAATTTGTCCTTCTATGGTTTCTTTTCTTTAAGTCTGCCCTTGATGTTGGGAGAAGATCAGGAAAGGATGAAATGGAGGATTAAAGAGAAGAGACTCCTCCATTTTAGATCCTTACACAAAAGATTTTAGTGAGGATTTCACATATTTAGATGCTTACAGTTGCTTTTTGTCTTTTAAGGTTTACCCTCTCCTTAGATATTCTCAGAGGCCAGTGGAATGATAGGCTCTTTGCATTTCTTAATTCACAGATCTTCATAACAGCCCTAGAAGTAATTCCTACTACCTGCGATTGACAGGGAAAACAATGACTCTCAGAGAAGTTGGTAACTTCCAAGGTCACAAAGTGAGTCTCCTGTGACTGGCTTCAGGAACCAAAACCTTTCAATCATATGACTCAAAATTAGCCACTAGGTCCCTTATTCATTCAACTGTGCAGTATTTTTATGGCCACTTTAAAGGATCTGGATCATTAATAACGAGTTTTATTGTTTCGTATTTACATTAACAAAGAATGACTGTATGAACAATGATAGAATTTCAATTCTGTTTTTAAAAGGACTGCAGCACACGTTATATTCCATGATGGCTGCTTTAAAAAGTTAAATCATTGAGGAGATAAAGGTTTAATTAAAAAGAGCGATGAGCATGCAATGGCTCACCAACTCTGAGGACTCTGAATAGTTTTAACCAGCTGTCTCAGCATCAGCCTCACCTAAAGTGGGGGACTTGTTAGAATTGCAGAATCATAGGCTCCATCCAGGCCCACAGAATCTGCATTTTAACAAGATCCCCAGATGACTCTTATGTATGCTGAAGTCTGAGAGGCACCAATCTAGAGTGGACAATGGGTTCTTGTTATTAAGTTGGATGATAAACCAATAGGCTGGTAGTAGTTGGGCTTGTGTTTTGGACCCAGCTGCATATTAGAATCACCTGTGGGATTTTGCAAACTAGAAATACCTAAACCCACTCCAGATCAGTTAAATCAAATTCTGCTTGTGGGAGCCCAGCATGAATATATTTAAAAAGTTTCTGGATAAGTGCAGTGGCTCATGCCTGTAATCCTAGCACTTTGAGAGATCGAGGTGGGAGGATAGCTTGAGTCCAGGAGTTTTAGAGCAGCCTGGGCAACAAAGTGAGACCCTGTTTCTACGAAAAATCAAAAAAACAACACACATGCAAAAAAAACCAGATGGGTGTGGTAGTGCTTGCCTGCACCCCAGCTACATGCGAGGCTGAGGTGGGAGGATGGCTTGAGCCCAGGAAGTTGAGGCTGCAGTGAGATGTGATCATGCCACTGCACTCCAGAACTGCGAGACAGAGTGAGACACTGTCTCAATCAATCAATCAACCAATAAAAATGTTTAAACATTAAAAGTTTTTTAGGTGCTTCTAATATGCAGCCAGGGCTTGCTTTAAAAGGATACATTAAATAATAATATACATAAAATAAAGAATATATAGAATTGTGAGACAGTAATAGTCCAAACTAAATTTTAGATCTAATTAGCAAGGTAGGTGGAAACATGGGAAGATCATTTTGTTTTGTCTTTTACTCCTGCTCTTTTCTGGATTATAAAATGTACTTAAAGTTGTTTTCCCCTCTCAAGAAATGACGGTCTCTGCAGGCAACCTTAATAGTATAGGTGAGAAAACACCTTTAGTATTCAGGCATCAGCGTTTACACTCATGCACAGTGATTTCCTTCTCAAGAAAGTGATGGGAGCTCTGGCGATACGTTTTTACACAACAGTGATTATATCTGGAAAGTAGACAAACTAAGCATTTCAGTTGCCGCAGAAGACAGTAATGCCTCATGTCCCTGCCACAGAGCCTCTGAGCCATGTCAATGAAGGGCCATGTCGGGAACTGGAACTTTCCCACATGTAAGCCATCACAATCCCAGACTCCAGAAAGACCTGACCCAGGACTGACCACGCATGAACCTGGCAAGTTCTCTGACCACAAGGAGTTTGAAATTTAATCCACAGTACACTTGATGTTAAAAGCTTCAGGATAAACTCCTCTTACAGCTTACAAAGACAAACTAACCAAAAACAAAAAAAAAAAAAAAAAAAAAGGAAAAGAAAGAAAAAAAGATGGGCAAAGGATCTGAATGGCATTTCTCCACAGAAGATAAACAAATGGCCAATAAGTACATAAAAACATGGTCCACATAATTAGCTATCAGGGAAATGGAAATCAAAGCATCTGGGAGATACCATGTCACACCCACTAGGAAGACTACGATAAAAAAGACAGACAATAACAAGTCTTGGTGACAATGTAGAGAAATTGGAACCCTCATATGCTGCTAATAGGAATGTAAAATAATGCAGCCACTTTGGAGAAGCCCTCAAAAGTTTAAAAGTAGAATTACCATGTGAACCAGCAATTCCACTATATGCCAAAGAGAATTAAAAACATGTATTCACACAAAAACTTGTGCATGAATTTTCATCGCAGCATTATTCATAATAGCCAAGAAGTGGAAACAACTTAGGTTCATCGGCTGATAAATGGATAAATAATATGTGGTGTATCCACACAGGGGAATATTATTTTGCAATAAAAAGGAATGATGTAGTGATACATGCTACAACATGGATGAACCCTGAGAACATCATTCTAAGTGAAAGAACCCAGACACAAATGGCTACATGTTGTGTGATTACATGTTATAGGAAAAGTCCAGAATAGGCAAATCCAGAGACAGAAAGCAGATTAGTGATTGCCTCAAGCTGGGGACTTAGAGATAAAAGGCCGGGTGGGGTGGAGGGAGTTGGTGACTGCTGATGGGTATTTGGAATAATGAAAATGTTCTAAAATTGATTGTAGTGATGGTTGCACAATTCTGAGGACATATAAAAACCCAACTAATTGTATATTTTAAATGGTTGAATCCTATGTTATGTAAATTATGTCTTAATAAAGCTAGCATTTAAAAAAATAAGCTTTAGGCTAAATTCTAGTCTTTAGAAAAGGCTGTTTCCTTGGGTGAGAAAAGGTTGTCAGAATGTTTGGAGTTTTCAGTAAGGAGTTTCAAATTTTGCTAGTACAGCCAAATAGAAAACTGTGATTTCCACAGTTTTCATTTACATGAAAGCTAAGCGCCACTGCTGTGTCTGTCTGTACCCTACTCCTTTCCTCAGGATTTTGCATAGAATGCTGGTTGCCCCCTCCAGGATCAAGGACTAAGTTGTACTTTGACACACTAAGCAGTTCTGGTGGCTGTTACCTCAGGCTGGCTTCCTTGACTCCTTTCTTTTCCCCAAAATATAAGGTATTATGAAAATGTCAGAAGCAGCTTTTCTTGCATTGTGTTTACTATAAAAGCAAAGGAAATGATTATAATCATAAGGAGGCCTGCTGCCTTTGCAAAGTCAGTAGCTCTGTTCATATCACCTTGGGCATTCTCTAGTTCTTTTGTTGGCATTTATTTCTTACTACCTACAGGAGATGATGAGCTTGCCATGGGTTGCCTTTGTATCACTTGGTTTAAATTCCTGGTGCATTTTTAAGCCTTTTTTTCCTTTCAAAAGTTGATTGGTGAGTTGCTTACTGATTTGGGGTTAGGGAAAGGGAGGAGCAGTCAGAGAAGATCCATGCATATATTATCATTTTCTGTAAGTGACCCAAACCAACTCCTCCATCTAGTAAACATTTCAAGTGGAATAAGGACAGGTTGCTATTCATATTATTTCTACTAATATTTTTACATCATTTTTAGATTACTGGTGAGATATTTTGGGCATGGATTCATTTGGGGGGATAGTCATAAAAACAGGACTGAATCATGACTTAAATCTATTGTTTCCTTTCTCGAAATCTTGAGAGAATTAATCCAGAAGTCAACATTACCCAGGTTTGTAACTTGGCTCTGCTACTTTCTAGCCAAGGTATTTGGGTCACTTCTGGCATCCTTCTAAACATCAATGTTGTAAATCTATCAAATGAAGATAATAGAACTTACTTCACAGTGATTATGATGTTCACAGTGTTGTGATGATCAAATAATGGTTATCATCATTTATCAAATATGGATAATGAAATTCGCAGGTTATTGCAAAGATTAAATAATATATTGCATGCAAAAATTATTTTGTAAAGAGCTAATGAAATGTTAGGTACTATTATTCTTATTAGTTGAAAAGGAGTGGTTTGTTTTGCAGTTCTTGCCTGCCTGTTTACCCAGTTACTAAAAGGAGCAAATTGGCAGATGGTAGAGTTGTGGGTCAGGAAATATTCAATGGAGTAATAAGCAATACCCTCAAATCCACTCTCATATATAACTTTGGATCAAATCCCATATAATGGGGCATCCAAGTCCAGAATCCGAAACTCAAGAACGCAGGGAGCACAGCTCTGCCAGGTTCTCATTCACCACTAGCAGGATACGCACAGGGATCTGAAGTCATGCTTTTCCTGGAGCTCCTGCTATGAAGCCTAGCCTGACAAACGGTGGTGGTGCTATTCTGTAATTTAAATAGACTCCAAGGACAAGAGTTGCTAAAGTAGCTAAACCAAAGTAATTCTCCAGGAGGCCTTGTTGTCCGTGCCCTGATCTTTTGGTATTGTCAAATGGTTATTGAAATCATTGCTTCAAGCAGAGCAAGAGACAGCGACAGCTAAAATCCTGCTGTTCCCAGGGAGACCAAGGGAGCTTTAGAGAGTTCTGGAGTTGGGGTTTTCTAACATAACCTTGCCCTATTTTACTTTCCTCTGCCAACTATGGAAACTTAATGGCAACCAGTTCATTTTGTCAAATGCAAAATAAGAATAAATTTAGTTCTTTAGTCTATGATTTTAGCAATCAATTGTCAGTGTCAGTGTCCAAAAAACAAATATATGAGCTACTTTTCTGTCCCTAGAAGACATTCTGGTTGACTACTCGAAAGAGATACTACAGGGATCCATAGTTATTGTTTTTAATAAATAATAGGCTAGTCTGTCTAGTATCCCCACAATGTTCTATGCTATTATGGTAGGTTTCAGAGAAGATCAGGTGAGTAAGTTTGCTAAGACAAAATTACATGGGTGTATTAAAAATTGACCATAATTTTGTGATATATAAAATGTATACCTTACCATTGCCTCACTCTTCTGCAGTTGATAAACTTCAGCCTTAAGGAGGGTAAAGCAATAAGGACCTGGGGTCTGTTACCTACACATGCCTGCTGAGACCATTTCTCTGCTCAGTGAAAATTAAAGTGGATCAAGCATAGGGTACCATGTTGAAATATGGCAAAATAGATGCAAATTGATTTTTTATTGCTTAAAAATACTGGCATTTTGCAAATTCTATGAGAGGGTCACATTTAACAAAACGATGGCAGATTCTTGGCATCGTCAAACTTATTAGTTAACATTCTTATAAGACTACCTATTTTTCTATAATCTGAGATCTTAACTGTACTCCTTAAATGCAGATTCTCTAGAAAATAATATTTTAACAAAATGTTCAAAGTTTAAGGTAACGTTTAAAATGATTTGTGGCAAAGAGCATCTTTTCTAGAAATGAAACACATCAACATCTTTGTCTGGTTCAGTTTTAGAAAGATCAGTTCTCCATTTGCCACTGCCTATTACGAGAATTTAGAATGACAATGAAATTGATGCTGCTGGATTTCAGACTGCTGGTTGCCCAACCTTTTCAAAAGCTCTCTTCGTCCTGAACATTTTAAACATTCCTGGAAGGTCATCAGACTCGTTCCAGAGATTATTTCTACCTTTGGTCTTTCTTCCTATGTTACGTTTCTTTTTTCAAAGTAAAAAGTGTCAAGGAAAACTCTGGAAGGACTTCACTCCTGGCATGTTATAGGACAGCAGCTAGAATATGCTGAAAGCATCTCTGTCAGAAAGAGGTCAGCTTTAAAATAAGAACACCAGGAAATGAGCTGGGCTTTCTTAAGTCTTAAAATTCATATTCTCTTTCTCTGTTTTCCCTCCTTCCCTCTCTGTGTCCCTGGCCACAAAATGCACAGTGGCAAATCAATCTCTGTCTGCATGTACTCTTGTAAAACATTCTTAAAGATGGATGCCAGATATTTTCTTGAACATGGCTAAAAGAAACCAATAATTAGTGAATTGGTGCTGATTTTTAAATTTCACATTTTAATTTTATGTCTAATATTTTATTGGTATTTCACATTAGATTAGGAGACAAGAGAATAGGACCTTAGGTATTAGTAAAGCTAATTTACTAATATCAAGGGGTAGACTAGTAGAAATCAATACCAGATTTCTTTTTTTAAATAAAATTTTTGATGTATCCCTTTGGCTGTTGCTTTTCCTGATAACCTGGATAAAACTAAACTTGATTCTAAACAGAGTTCTGTCCTTGTCTATATGAAACATCATAAATTGCCAGAAGGAATAATAGTCCGTATTAGCCAGTTTATATTCCATGGGTTCTTTCTCACTAAATACAATGTGGATTGCTTTAGGATAATGTATATTCTTTTAAAGCATCTTCCTGCATATTATTATGTTTATTATCGAGACGGAGTCTCGCTCTGTCGCCCAGTCTGTAGTGCAGTGGTGCAATCTCGGCTCACTGTAACCTCTGCCTCTCAGGTTCAAGTGATTCTCCTGCCTCAACCTCCTGAGTAGCTGGGACTACAGAAGCATGCCACCGCGCCCGAATAATTTTTGTATTTTTAGTAGAGACAGGGTTTCACCGTGTTGGCCAGGCTGGTCTCGAACTCAGGTAATACCACCCACCCCAGCCTCCCAAAGTGCTGGGATTACAGGCATGAGCCCCTGTGCCTGGCCCATTTTCCTGCATATTAAAGTAATACTTGCTAATTATTGCAAATTTGAGAAATGCAGAAATGAAGAAAAAGTCACCCATAATCCTATCACTAGAAATTAACATTTTAAAATGTTTTGTTTTAGCTTTTAATGAAGTTGCCAAGAATATTATGAATTTTTGATGTTCTTCTATGGATGAGCTACTTGGGCTTAGCTCTTTTAGAGGCCAAAGTTTATTTTCCCGACAATCCTCCTCACATGCTTGGGCCCCACTCTGGACTCTTAATGTAGAAGGTAACGTTCCCCATCTTCTCTTTCTATTGGCTTGTATGGAAGTTCTTGTCTGAATTCTGCCATATGGAAAATGTTCACATACATTTTTAAAAGGAGAAATTCTCTCCTCGGTCATTACTAACCTTTTGGCTGGTTTTGCTGGAAAAGTTTTCAGGATTCATCTGCCAATGTTGTTTCCCTAGAAGGCCATCCTGGCTACCTCGCTAAGCATCTTATTTGTTCTGTAACAAAAAATTCTTCATGCTAAATCACTCGCAAATGCCATGCTGCTTAGCGCCCTTCTGCTAATCACCCATTCCCAAGTTTGTCATCAAAATAGCATTAGTTATTTTCCACTCAACTTCAGCCCTCATCTTCCCAAGCCCTCCACTTTTCATTCTAGAAGCACAATCTCTCAATCCTTAATCACAGAAATCTCCCTGTTCACTTCTCATTATACACATACGCAAACTGAGACTCAGTGAAATTAACCAATGCCTCAAAGCTAGTGGATGCCAGAATTAGGATTAAAACTCATCTTCAGACTCCGAATCCACATCTGTTATTTGTTTATTCTGCCATTATCCTAGTGTTTTTCTTCTCGATGCTGCTAAAATCTAATTCACCACTCTTCATAGAAAACTTTTCTTTTTCTCCTCTCTTTTTAATTAAGTAAAAACCGATGCTGATAACAGAAAGAAATGCATGATTTTCTTTGGTAACTCAGTACCATTTCATCATTGTCCGTCACGCTGAGGGATGCCTTATAAATTCAATGGCTCATGCAATGCAAACAAATACTTCCTTTAGTAAGGATGGCTGTGTTGAATCTTGGCCTGAAAGATCTTTGACCTGAAACAAAACTACAACATCCACAGAAACGCTACATAAAGTGTACAGGTAAAATAATAGTCAATAAAAATCAACCCCTAGTCTTATTATTATTCTCAAGTCTTCTGGGCATCCCACTTAGCAGTTGCCTGTCTCTCCACTTTTTCTTCCTTCTTCAAACATAGTCATGGTATGCAGCCCCTCTCTACCACTAGACGTGGTCAATAACTGTGTGTGTGGGTGTGTGTGTGTGTTTTCCCCTTAGAAAATCTATTTGCACTTTTAAAGGAATATTCATTTTCTAATTCAAAAGGGGGTAATTGTGAAAAGAACTGGCTTTACAACAATGTGGTAAGCTTGTAGGCATAGTTGAGTAGTGTGCCTCTATATGGTGAAATACTCCTTGAATGTCTAATCCCAAACAAGTAATTAAATATAGTATAAACTACAAAGTAAAAGTCACTACCGACAAAATATCAAGGGCATCAATATGCCTCCTGTTTTCTGCTTTCTGCTGCTACTTTCTACTCCTTGCAAGGTCCAGTGATGTACCCACTAACTGTGGACTCTCACCGAACTTTTCACTATAGCACTTACTTGAATGTTTAAATCTTTTCTGGGTATTCCATTTAGCTTAAAAAAACATCAGTTATCATTTTGGAGTTCATATTCTTGATAGAAGGGATCCAAACACTTTATAGGTAAGCATCACAAGATAAAATCAGCAAGACAATTTAGCTATTTACTGGTACTTGCAATTTAAAGCTTAAAATCAAAATTAACCAAAACCAGAACAGACTTTATTGGGTTTAAACTAAAAATGTGTTTTGCTTTCTTTCCCTTTTTTGTTTCTTGTTTATGATGGAAGTTTCCCCAGCTAGACTTTATAGAACCAGAGCAGGTTTGCAAAATGCAAATAATGACACTGTTTAACAAAATTGAACCACTGGACCAAACAGTGAGAAAGTACTTGCTGAGCAATTCCTGGGTTAATTACAGGATTCTGATGAGCTACATTTAATGTGCCCATTGATTGTAGACGAAAATCTGTAAGTAAGCTTTGAAAATTTTTTTAAATTTTATTATGGATCATGTGTAGTTCAGTTAGGGCTCAAAAAAGCGAATCTTCACCCCTATTTCAGCTTTTGACCCAGACATAATCTTATAGGGAAACGTTGTTTTGAGGATTTTTATTAGTTTGTAAATTTTGTAGGAAGTCTGTGCTTTTGTTCAGAGAATCATGTAGGTAGAGAGGACCTACGGGATCTAGATTTGCATTTGCAATAGAGTTACAGCTTTTAGCAGCATTATTTAGTCACTTAACATTTCAATTTAAATATACAATAAGACAAATTATATGTAACCCACAAGGTTAATATGGAAAACAAATAAAATAATTTATATAAGAGATTTTTTTCACACTTTAAGCATTTTCACATGTGCTTTCATTATTATTATCTAACTTAATCGCATTCTTGCAACTGAGCAAACTTAGATTTCTTGATTCCAACAATCTTTCTAGTAAGCTAAAGCTTCCTCAGCTGTAATTCAAAAATATATATGGGGCATTAATATGAATATTATAATATTCATTTTGGAAAATAAGAGTTTTCTGTGTGAATGAAAAAGCAATGATTTCTGACACCTATCCATGGATCTCCTTTTAGAGTTTTTTTTACATTTATATAACTAAAGCCTTTCAAAATTGTAGCAGCAGATACAATTGACTGCTAGAACATGAGCAAATACTTTATTAAATATTTATGACAATTTCTTATTGAATTTTAACATTTATATTAACTTTAATCATGGTACAATTAAGTTTAACTTACATAGAATACTAACGCAAATGGAGAAATACGGGAAAGCTTTGCAGGGCATCTCAAGGGTGGGTCTATGTATAATGAATAAATCCTATTCAATAAAATATACAGTTTTACTTTTTGTATTATTTAGGCCAGGAAACTCTTAGAAGATTATTATGGATTTTCCCCTACATATTAACTTGCTGTCTTGGTGTAATATTTGTTGGTCCTGAATACTTTTTTTTATTGAGTTATCTTTGAGTTTGTAGAATCATCAAAATCCTCTTAATAGATTTAATTAAATTGCTTTCACAAAGTTAGACTTCCTGAGATAGAGATTCAAAGTTTGGTGAGACTGGTAATGGAACAGAAGAGAATCCATGGAAATACAATCCTGGGTCTTCAGACCCCCTAAGAATGTCAGCTCTTCAGGCAGTACTGTCTGTATTCAACAGTAACCATCCGCCACGGGATAGGACAGCATTAAGTATGTGTGCATTCCCCGTGACAGTGAGCACAGTGCTGGCACATAGTGTTTGCGTAATAAATGGTTTTGGTTGACTCACTGTCTGTACTTGAGTTTGTGCCAATCAATCAAGGTATCTTACATTTCTTAGTAAAAGGCAGCTTACATATGTTTTAGATAAAAAGATAGGGTTCTTAATGTTGATCTCACCATGACAGTAAGCAAAATGAATGGTGTGTAGGTGATTCAAGCTCATGACCTGGACATCATGAGGAAGGGCAAGATGAATTTATCAGCCACGTTTTAGATTCCTGCAATATGTTATTCCATTCAGCCATTCCACAAACCTTTACTGAGTATCCAATTTTTGTGACTGGCCCACATTAGGCATTGGGGATAAAAAGAGGAGTACGAATTCACAGCTTAGAGAAGGGATAGGCATGTAAACCAAAGATTATGCACCTCTATGTGTGTTAATTGTAAATATGGGCTCTGTGCTGTGTGAGCACAGTGGGTGGGGAAATAAACAGAGACTTGGAAAGGCATGGCATGTTTAAGAAGCATCAGGTTCTATCTGACTTATGTTTATGGTGTGCACATGTAAGTGGTAGAGGGTTGATGGGAGGTGAGTCAAGAAAGAGAGCTTGGAGACAGGAGAAATGCTAAATCATGTGGGCATAATTTTGCAAGAAGGAGCCAATGGGCCTTTTTGATTATGGACTGCTATTATCCAATTTAACTTTTAGTACAATCACTAACTCTAGAATAAAGCTTGTATTGTAGTGAAGGAGAGGGGGCAGGGAAGCAGATGTGGAGAAGATATTATCTCCTGGACTGGCAGAGCCTAAAGTCCCTGCCTGAATAATTAGCCAGGTACCCCTCCAGCAGCATACTTTAAAGAAGTGTCTGGCCCCCTATCTCCAGTCTAGATCTGTCAAAGCTGAATAAATAAAGAAAAGTTGCTTTAATTACTTTTCTGAAATTTCTCCTTCCTGAAAACTTGTCTGTGGGTTAGAGAAAACAAGTTGAAATTGCATGAAATGCTTTCTCTGAGTTCCTCTGCCAAGATCAATTTCTTGTAGCACGATGGAGGTAGTAAAATACGAATTCTGCTAGAGAAAACATCATGAGATTGTAAAACTGACCTGATTTTCATGAAAAGAAAATCTATCTACCATAAATTCAGATCTGAGCACATATTTCATTTTATTTTTATCAACCGTGAGTAGGTTTGGCAAGCCTTATGACAAAATGATATCTGGGCATATATGTTAAGTTTTTAAAGGAAATTATCAAAAACTAAGGTCTCAGGTTAATGATTTACATGGAAAATTGCTATCACATTACATTATCTTCTACAGTATTTGCAGGAGAACTGGTGAGAGAATTACAACCAAGATGATATAATGAAATGAAAATTTACAAGTTGAGGTGTGGGAAAGGGTAAAAGGATAACACTGAGCGATCACTAAGAAAAATGACTCAGGTTACTCAGTAAGCAATGTGTGTGTGTGTGTGTGTGTGTGTGTGTGTGTGTGTGCGCGCGCAAAGAAAACGAGAGGGAGAAGGAAAGAGAAATTTAAAGACAGAGATAGAATAAAATGTCTTGAGTTTTATGATAAGAAATAGCCACTTAATATTGGAGGCAAATGAGGTCTAAAAAGATTGGAGGCATTAATAAAATTAATAACACCAGTTCCTCGCCCTTCTTTGTGTTAAGCAGATAGGAGCAGTGAGAGGTTGAAGGCCAAGGTGATAGCAAGGGTTTGGTAGCAGCAATTATGTCATATCCTAGGGCCAGGGCCTAGGACCACACAATGGGATGAGACAGACTGGAAGAGGCCAAGACTGGAACTCAACCCGCCCACTGGAGTAGTGCAGGTAGTAGGATATCAGGGAGTCTGTACAAAGCCACCAAAGATGGAAGGTCCATTCCGAAGAAACAAAACACAGAACCCAGAAAATATGGAAATCTAGATTATACAGAAGCCAGGTAAACCACTGGGTGAGATGGGCAAGAAAGCATGGAGCTGAGTGATGTAGAATGGAGGATAAAACAGGACAGATGGCTGCTCATAGCATCATGTAGCAGAGTTCTGTCATTATCTGTTCTCCAAAGGGACTGATCACAAGAAGAATGTGCCTTCATTTAGGATGAACTGAAGTCTTGAAATCAACACAGGGAAGCAAAAACCAGTTAGAAAGTCAAATATGACTTTCAGGCAGATTTCAGGAATCTAGTAGTTTACTGCTTTTGTTTCTGAGTATCTGGAAGAACACATGTGATATGCAGAAATTTGATAGTAAAGTATCTGGTAAATGAAAGACTGGACTTTTGGAACTGGAGAATAGTTCAGAGACCGATGATCAACAAGCTTATTGGGATGCTGAGGCTCAGAGGAGAGCTAGGCTCAGGCTTGTGAAGTTCCTCCTGCTTAAGGTCACGGTGGAGTGGGGCTGAGAAAATTGGTTGGGATCAGTCCAGACTTGTGGAGAACTGGAGGAAAGGAATGAAGCTGAGAAAGAATTTGGAGAAAAATTGAAACTTTCTACCTGCTTCCTCTCAAATCTCTTCTGTATGACTATATCTTTATGATTATCTATAACTTCTATTAATTATTTAAGTAAATAGTGTTTGCAAGGGTCCGAACATGGGAGAAAGATAATAATATGGGAGGTTAAGGAATCTTGTGGGGAGAAGATAATAAATTCTTATCTTGATATATTTAATCCAAGTCATGATGGGAAATGTCTTATAGAATGTATATTAACAGCGTATTTGTACATAACAGATCTGGAGTGAAGACGAAGTATCTGGATGGCAAGACTCTCTGTATATTTGTCATGCATTCTGAAGTGGTAATTGAAGGCACTGATGTGAGCTAATAGACTTTTTTCCAAAGGAGTGACCTTAAAAGAAAAATCAAAGAAATGTGAAATCCAATATTGTAATAATATCACTGGTAAGAGTGTAAAAGAGTAAAGGGAGGCGGGGAGAAAGGGAGACCGAGAGGGGTGAGTTACAGGAAGGCTGAGAAATGCTAGGGTCCTTGAAGCTTAGGGTAGGATGTCTTTCAACTTGAAGGAGGAAGTGCTAATATTTAAAAATCAGGAGACTAACAACTTTATGGGGGTGGGGGGAAGGGTCACAGTTTGGGCTGAGAGGAGGCTATTAAAAATAAAACCAAATAGCTGACTTGTGTTGTGATTTGAGGAAGGACAAGGAAAAATTTTCAAGTTGTAATGTTGGTGGTGGTACGCTCAAAGAGTTTTAATACAAAAGAGGAGTTGAATGAAATGACACATGGTAGGGGCAGTTGTAGTGAGTGGTGACTTTCCAGAGAAGTTGTCCTGAGAAAACTCAAGCATGCATTAAAACTTAAGAAGTGAATTCTCAGTAAATACAAGGCTCATTTCACCTTGAGAAATGAGCCTCTGACCTTGTGAGGTCCTCAGTTTTATGGAAGGAACATAATATTAGACCAGTGGGTCCTGAGATCCAGCTGGCTACTTGCATTTCCTGTGAAGCTTTAGAAACGAAGATTCCTTGTCGTTATCATCAAATCAGAGCCTCTGCATGCGTAGATGAAAGGTGAGCATGGGGAATCTATAGTGCTGAAAAGCTCCCCTAATATATCTAATGCAATGATCCATCAATTGGTGTTAGGGAAATATTCTACTAGACCTGCACCTACTCCCAGGTTAAGAGGCTTAACAGCAAATATCATTAAGGGCCTTAAAAAATAACCCTTTTCTTTCATTATCTGTCTCACTCCCCACATTTAAACCGCTCATGAAATTTACACTTTTCCATGACGCTTTCTTAGATTGATCAGGTGTCATATTCAGGGGATGAAAGCAAAAGGTAGTTCTTTGTGGCTCTTGTGGATTCTTCACACTGTATTTTAAGAGAGAAATTTTCTATCAAGTCTACTCTCAGTGCATTGATTAGTGGTAAAAGTCCATTTATTATCTCACAGAATTACTAAGTCTGTAGCATATTCTGCAGAGGGGGTGTTCTTTATGGTAGATCGATTTGTTCTGTAACTTGTATAATTTTCCATTAGAAGATGTCATGGAAGTGCTCCTGTTCATATCCCACACATCAGTGGCTGCAAATCAAATGAAGCCTGTTACTTGTTACTGTAGAATTGGACCAGGTTTGTCTGATACTATTCCATGCCAAGCCATTTGCCCCAGTTCCCATTTGGGGGCCAGATGAAATTATTTTGAGTGCATTTCGATAGTGATATCCCTCCTGATAAATTTAGCATTTACTGAGGGATCCACTTTCTACGCATGCATGTAACTGCTATTTTCCCTGAGCTCAGAGATCGTTGGCAGAAGTGACAGCTGGTGCCTCGGGATGGAGCTATAATTTTATGGTGCAGTGTCTACGGCTGGAAATGCAACTAGCAAACCACAAATGCCAAACACATCATAAAGGAAAATGTTCCTTAGGAAGTACTTGCCAATTTCTGAGCAATTAATTAGTCCCTAACATACACACTGACTTGTATGAATAAAACAGCCTAGGAAATTAATTTAATTAAGCAGACAGTTACGATAAAATTAGGTGCTTTCCCCCTTTAGCAAAAGATCTCTCTTTCATACCCACTTCTGGCTTGCATCCTCACTCTCTGGTAGGTCTGCTTCCATTTTCCAAACTCTTATAAGGACTCTAAAGGAAATTCAGTATTCTTAGAATGAGAGGAAACTGACTGGTTATTCCAAGTGAAACTGCTTGTCTCCCAGACATTTTCCTGTTGAAATTTTCCCCAGCTTGCTACACCTTTTCTCCACTTTCTATGGAACCAAGAGAGTGGTAGTATCTGTGAGGTTCAAGATAGGATCTATTGACAAAGCTCCAGAGTGGTAGTATCTGTGAGGTTCAAGACAGGATCTATTGACAAAGCTCCAGGGAAGAATGACTGTCCAGAAATGCTCCTTGGGAATAGCTTTTGTGGAAAGAAAGCAGTGCCTCCACCCCACATCTTTAGTTCTGGCAGCTCCCTATAGCGACAAAGTGAATATAGATCAGAAGGACAGGAGTGCATATCAGAATGGACCAGATGAGGAACAGCAGAGGAACATAAGATTCAGGGCAGCTCCAAACTTCTAGAAGGACTTGCCAACTCTGGTCAGTTGAAAAAGTCATTATATGAATATCTTATTTTTCTAAAATGAATGTGTGTTAGATTAAATGAAAGATATAGGAAGGGAACATGTGAACATTGGTAAAATATAGGGATTAGAAGTAAAGGAGGGATTAGTGTTTTGGAAGATAACGGTAGCAAAAAACCTCAAAACAATTGTGTTTGAAATCACATACACACTGGCCTAATTGACTGGACATTCTTACATGGAATGCTACTAACCAGAGTTCTTGTTTGCATTTCCCAAGCCTAGAAAGATGATATATAATTATCACCATTATATATTTATTTAGTGTGCTCTCTGAGATGCCCAAAACACTTGGTGACATATTTAATTAATTCATATCACTTCTATAAAATATTTCAGGTATTTAATTTCAGTTGCTATAAGAAAAATATTTATTGATTTCTTTTTTAAAAAAGACTGCAGTTGGTAAAACTGACCCAGAGTATAAATACAGAATGAAACCTGCAGTGAGAAATGAATTCCACAGTAATACAGATAACAAGGAGAATAAAACCCAAAGTCAGAGACCTTGATATTTGATTATCTTCAGTTGTTTGGAATGCATGGTTTGAGCATGCTCATGAGAACACTGGCATGATACTGGGTAGGTTCCCTCTTTAAGGCACTAACTACTCTGGAGAGTGACTCCAAAATGTGGTTTCCCACTCCTCATTACTATGACAAATTTCACATTAACTCAATTGTCAGACCCTTTCCCTGCTGATACAGGGTTGAAGGGTTGGCTTGGTGATCAATTCTTTGAGCTTTCAGAGAGATTTTGCAGCTTAATGGAAAGCTAATTTAAGGAAAAAAAAAAAAAGAAGTTGAACTAGGATTTGCTCTAGGGACCATAACATGAATGTTCTATTGTAAGCTTCTTGATGGAAGGCATTATATTTTAAAATCCTATAGTAATACAATTAATAAATACAGAAAATGCCAGCTGATATAATAGAAAATTGTTCAAGACTCCAAAAATTAATCTGATCCCATTTCAAAGTGAAGCTAAAAAGATGTCCATGTTTTTAGTTGTGGAATTTAGAGTATGTGATGGGGCCTACTTGGAATCCTAGTAGACAGAGGAATTAAATAATAAAATTTGCATTACTCAGATCTATCATAGTGGTGGAAATGGACACTGCTCACCTTGTGAGCCTTGAATGAATCAATGTTGGATCACTGGCTTGCAATGGATGAAGCTTGGCAGGCGTGGTCTTCCTGAAGTGGCACTCCTCTAGACCAACACATGATACTCTTATTCCATCATAATCATACTACAGAGAATAGACCCCCATAAGGACCATAAATATTGTTTGTCTGTACTGTACTGCAGGTGATCAAAACTCTGGCAACCAATAGGATTTATTTTCTAGAGGACAGATACTACTCCAAAACAATACTAGATCAAAAAGGAAGGCTTTAAAAATTACACAGAAGTGTTTGTGGCAAAGATCCCTCTTTGTATGTGTAGGACTATAGGTATTAAGATTCGGAAGCAAGCAGAACAAGTTCTGCTATACTATTTGCCAGGAATCTATGTCCTCAAAATTCCTCTCCTCATTTAGAAAAACACAATTACAAAAACTCAGCCATAGAGTTTGCAGTTTGACATGTTGCTGATTCTACATGATAATTGATCACTTCAAAACTGACAGGACTTACATTAGGCTCTTGTTCTTAGTTTTAGTTTTAACAGGGGAACCAGGAAAGAAAGAAAGATTGCTCATCAGTGGCCATATTTGGCAAAGGCAAGACTCTCTTCCCCCAATTCATTCATCCTGATAGAGATTGACACAGACCAGATGTTATTCCAATGTTAAAATTACATTGTTTTCATAACAAAGTCAGC
Organism: Homo sapiens; assembly: GCF_000001405.40. Lineage (NCBI taxonomy): Eukaryota > Metazoa > Chordata > Mammalia > Primates > Hominidae > Homo > Homo sapiens. Next base: position 40,199,980 of record NC_000002.12, read on the forward strand.
TTATATTACTCTTCAAGAGATCACACTAATGCTCCTTTGTATACTGTTATGAGGAGGGTGAGTTAGATCTTTCCAGAGGACTTGCCAAGCACAAACTATAAGAAGAGTTAAGATTTTCTCAAGGCATTCACTAGCTGGCTTACAATCTACATATCTATGTGTCTCTGCAGCACATAGAGGATTTCAAGTCATTGATATATATATATATATATTTATATATATATATAAATATATATATATTTTTTTATATATATATATAAATATATATATATATATATATATATATATAACCTCTTTTAGTAATTTCTGATACTTAGAAGAAATTACAGGTACTTGTTCTTCAGGTAGGTTGAGAGCTAGCGATTTCATTGGCTAGAGCTTTTTTGTTGCTTATTTTCTTTGTCCTTTCCTCTCAGGTCATGGTGACCTTAAATTATGATTCCAATGCTTAAGAGTTTTATGTGTGCTATTTTTCCCATGTAACATCTGGAACTTGGAAGGTAAAAATTCCAAATCAAGGGCCAGAATCCATATGGGCTCAGCACATGTAAACCATAATTTTGGAAGCTTAGTCCCTCTTAGCCCCCTTATCATTGCTGCATTCCCACTTACTATATCACCTCTGTGGCCTTGATGGCAAGTTTGGGAACTGAGAACTCCTGAAAATGCCAACAAGCAGTCATCTTCAGGGGATTCTAATAGTAAAAGGCCAAATGAAGACATTCCTTGCTGACCAAGTCACCATAACTCTTAAACTATTGCCGTGAGCCAGAAGAAGGAATTTTTTTCTTTTAGCTTTAGAGACTTTGTCCTTAATTGACTTCATGCTTCTTATTACTCACAATATTCATTTTTATATAGTCGGTTTATATTGTAGAAAACAACCCACTTAAATATTTATATATGATAAAACTGGTGAGTATGAGTGAGATTATAAAACAAGTTAATATATTTAATATTACAAAGAATGCTAACATTTCTTTATTTCCACACAACACTCTCTTCTCTTCTTTTATTCTCTTCTCTTTTTGCCTTTAAGCAAAATAAAAAAGACTCAAAGTAAGGGCGAGAATTATAATGCCAAAATACTCAGGAATATCATTCAAATCTTGAACGGAGACCCCCACTCCCTCAAAAAAAAAAGAAAAGAAAAAAGTTATCCATAAATAATGTACTTCTCCTTCAAGATTACTAGGTTATGTAAGATAAATGCCACCATTTTCTCCTCATGCTACTTAATCTAAGAAGTCTTATGATTTTCTGTTTTTCAATTTCTTATGTTTTCAATTTCTTGTGACTTGTCAAAGGTATGACTGGTTGGGTTCTAATCAATATTTTTCTACTCATTCAACACTATTTGGCTCTAAAACCAAAACAAAATTCAATTTACAAATATATTATTTTTGTGGTAAATTTTAGATTGTCTATTACTCCAAACCAGAGATTTTAATGCTAATGTTTGTTTTGAGGAGAAATGAGAATTAAGCTTGATCTTGATGATCAACCACAGCAAAATTATCTCCAGTTAGGAAACACCAGTCTAAATTGAAGGTATAGTATGTCTCCACTTTCCCTGAATGACTACATGGTATTTTACTAAGCTTTGCCTTTGTAAGTACACACAGAAGGGTTCTTGACTATTCTGGCTTGAAGAACTTATGCTGAAATGAGTCATGTAAACCATGGCAGAGAGTCACAAAACTGGAAACATGGAAGGCTGTATGGTCATAGAAACACCTTACCAGTAGAGTACCCTGAAGAAGACTTCTTGTTAGCATTTGCATGAGTTCTTGGTCCCCAAACTTACCATCAAGGCCACAGAGGTAATAAAGTCAATGGGAAAGCAGCAATGATAAGGGGGTCAGGAGGTCATAACACAAACTATTGGAGGAGTTAAGATTTTCTCAGAGCATTCTCTAGCTGGCTTACAACCTACATATCTATGTGCCTCTTTGCAGCACATGGAGGATTTCAACACTGAACATTTGAACATTAGATATATAAAAGCATGTGTATATGCATGCATGCTGGTGTGTGTACACATGCTGGTGTGTGTACACGTGGAGGTGTGTGCACCCTAGACCTTTTTTGCTATACTATCCTTAGAGGATGTGTTTCCAAAGATTAGATCAGCACCATGGAGCAAAGTGCAAGGAATGAAAATTAATCCAGTGTTAACAGCTTTATACAGTAAGAAGAGTAGGTCAAAATGTTTAAAATTCTCATTGGGATCTATGAACAATTTTTTATGCTATCCTCTCCACCTCAAATGTCCTACTTCCACATCCTTGCACGTCCAAATCTTGCTCAATCCTTTTAGATATAGCTGTTAGGACACCCCTTCACAAAGCTATCTGTGATTTATCACTCAGAATTACCTCTTTTCTGAATTTACCATCAGATTTTTTTCTGTAAATTCACATGGTATAGATCACTTCCTGACTTGTATGGTGATTATGTTTCTACCTGATTGTTAATAGTGAACTATAAACATCTTCAGAACAAAATCCCTGTCTGCTTCAACTTTGCATTTCTGAATAGAAGGGGAAACAATCAAGAAATATTTACTGAATCAAAATATATAATGGTGGCCATATATTTTATCCTTTTTTTCTAAGCTAATAGCATTTCTCCCACTCTTAAAAGGCATATGCAGAAATCACCAAGGGTGATGTGACAGCATAACATTAGCAAAGTTTAAAAGTACACAAGAGCTAAACTGTGGATACCCACACAAACAGGGAGAGACCTACTTCCTGGTGTCAATGAAATTACAGCTCTAAAGAGCCAATATGTCATTTAATTTAAAAGTCACTGTTCATGAATTGCAATTACCCTCTGGCCTGCAAGCATGTGTTCATAGCTAAGAAATTTTCTCTATGCCCAGGTAGAATATATTGCTGGCTTTTCCAGGGGAACCTAATGCCAAATAGAATGGCACCTACATAACCAACTTGAGGCATGCTTTAAAAAGTGTCCCTGTGATAAGCCACAAGAAATGACAGACTATGTTGAGGAACTCAGTGACTCTACAGCCATGCTAGGCTTGGAGCCCACTCAGACAACAACATGGGATTGTTGTTTTTAAGCCAATTGCTCACAGTCGATAAAACAAAAGGATTAAACTTTTGACAGACTTTCCCTATTCTCACCAACTGGCTAATGCTAGTGCTGCTTTGCTCAGGCCTCCTTAAGCATGTTTACTTGCAATTCCTTCCAAATGTCACTTACTAGAAACTGCATTCCTGATTCTGGAGGTAATAATCCTGGAGACACAGCTTTCATCAGCTAATGGGTAGTGACTCAGAGTATATCCAGAGACAAACAAATTAAAGAGCATGGAAGATTGGAGCAAACAGCTAAAGAACTTTGTTGTGATATATTTAGAAAGCAGGCATTCTGTTCCCCAATAACATTGTGCTAATATTGGTGCTTTCCATTTACTGGATTTGATTGCCAGCAAAACCTAAACAGAAATGTTTTACATCCATAAACTACTCCCAAATCATTGGTCTGAAAAAATGCCATTCTGTAATATGCCTACTGCTAACACTTCCATTAGTTGCTCAAGAGAAATGCAAGAATAGCTTAGAGGAGTCTTAGCCAAAAATATATAATTCTGACATATGGAGAAAACCAATGCAATAATTTACAAAAGATTAACTGTTAAAGTGCTGCTAAAGGTTGGGGGGATTACTTTAATCAAATGCCTGCATTCTAATATGGTGAGGGTTATTTTATTTTGAGACAGGGTCTTGTTTTGTCACCCATGCTAGAGTGCAGTGACATGACCATGGCTCACTGCAGCCTCAACCTTCTGGGCTCAAATGATCCTCTACCTCATCCTCTGGAGTAGCTGGGACTACATGCATGAACTACCACACCTGGCTAATTTTTTAATTAAAAATTTTTTTTTTGTAGAGATGAGGTTTCACTATGTTACTCAAGCTGGTCTCAAACTCTTGGGCTCAAGTGATCCTCTAGCCTTGGCCTCCCAAAGTGCTGGGATTATAGGTGTGAGCCACCGTGCCCAGCTGGTGAAGGTTGAAAACAATTTTACAAACCACATTTAAGTGAGGAAGAAAAACATGTAGAAAGATCCCTGTGTTCTTTAGATGACATTTGAAAAATGCACACATGCTTTTAAAAGCCATTTGTTGCACTTACTCTTCAGGAGGTATGCTTAAATGTCTGTTCAGAAAACATCTTAAATTTGGGATACATTGTTCTGTCTTTTAAGATTGCTTTAGACTGCTACTTACTTTAAAAGAATTGTGAGATTACTCTAGGTGTATGTTTATAAAAAATTCAAAGTTCAGAAAATTCCTGTAAGCCCCTTAAGAGCATTTTAATTGTAGCATTTTTCCTATGATCCTTTAAGAAAATCCGCTACGGGTTTTCAGATTATGTTTCCACCCCAGTTGAGAGTAACCACAATGACAACTATGTACTGCAATTTGCAGCAGAAATGACTACACATTTCTGCCCTTAGCTGAAAGAAAAACAACCATATGGACCTTGTTCTTAGCCAGCGCTCCATTAGCTAATTAAATTTACAAAGCCCAACCAGTAAGAGAACATGGATTAGCCCCATTCTAATGACTCTATCCCTTTGGCGGAGCTAATGTTGTCTTGTTTCAGAGCAGACTAGAGAAACTTGACTTACTTTGAATAGGTCAGACAGGTTAGTCCAACAGAAATACAATGCAAGTCACATATATATGCAAAAAGATAAAGGTGAAAATTTAATAATAACTTTTATTTACTCAATATATCCAACATATCATAATCTTAACATATAATTAATATAAATTTTAAGATTTTTATATTCTTTTTTTCATACTAAATCTTTGAAATCTGGTATTTATGGTTACTGCACTTCTTAATGTGGGTTAGCCACATGTCAGTGATTTAATAGCTACGTATGACTAGTGGCTACCATATTGAATGGTACAGGATTGAGTGGTGAGATGTGCCATTCCATCTTCTTTCCATTGTTCACACTCATAATCTATTTCAGGAGTACAGTGCTTCACTTTTCATACGTGCATATCAGCTGGGCATATAGTCATTTTAAATTCTGAATTAACCTGAAGATGAAAGAACAGTGGCCAACTTATTTCCTTTTAAGAAAAACTGTCTCTAGTTAAAAATACAACATGCATAAGTATGTGAGGTAATGTATAATTATTAATAGCTCAATTTAGCCTTTCCATAAGGTATACCTATTTGAAAACATGTTGTACATCATAAATATATAGTTTTCATCAATTTAAAAATAAATAAAAACATCGTTTATAAGTCTAAAAAGTGCTAGGGGCAAAATAAGGCCCTCTCTCTAGCCTATTGACCCATTTTGAAGTAAATGATTACAGCTGTGGAATGCTTCAAGGAACTTAAGGTATGATGTGACAGCTTGAGTTTGAAAGTCTTCTCTCGTTCTTTTTTATGACTGCATAGTATTCCATGGTGTATATGTACCACATTTTCTTTATCCAGTCTATCACTGACTTTGCAGGGACATGGATGGAGCTGGAGGCCATTATCCATAGCGGACTAACAAAGGAACAGAAAACCAAACACCGCAGGTTCTCACTTACAAGAGGGAGCTAATTGATGAGAACACATGGACACACAGAGGGGAACAACACACACTGGGGCCTTTCAAATGGTGGAAGGTGGGAGGAGAGAGAGGATGAGGAAAAATAACTAATGGGTACTAGGCTTAATAACTGGATGATGAGATAATCTGTACAATAAATCTCCATGACACAAGTTTACCTATGTAGCAAACCTGCGCTTGTACATCTGAACTTAGAAGTTGAAAAAATATCTTGAAAAAAAAAAAAAAAAGAAAAAGTCTTCTCCTAAATTTAGGCAACATTCTATTTCAGTTGAGCTGTGTATAACTGGCCCATGGGTGCAGGGATCACGTTTTCCTACCTAGAAAGGGAAACATGATCTTACAAAGGAATTATTTGTCCTTGTATGATTTGGTGACACAAAAATTCTCATTGGGGCATGAAAATAAAATATATTTAATGAAAAGATTTGATTGGAAAAAGTAAAGTTACAGAAAACTAGGTTGTTTTCAGAGAATTCAACAAACTTAGGGTGAATAAACACTAAAGTTCTACTTCACAATTATAATTGAATCAACAAATGGATAGAAGCTATGAAGAACCAATTAGGTTGTGTCCTTACCTAATTTCTGGAATGCTAGTGTGAATAAGCCTGTGCCATGACAAATATCAGAACTGTGGACAATTATTGAATTTTAGTCTTAAAATCAGGGTACTTTCCTCAACTTCTAGAATCAAAAGATGTCACTTCATCATCTTGGAACATTTATTTTAATCTGTCCTGAATGTAATTATTTGATCAAGCTATTGTCACAAAATCCTATTAACTCAAAGAGTGATTGCATTATTCACTCCTTACTCATTTCTTGATTTCAGTGCTTATTAAATGAAAGTTTTCAGGCAGCCAAAATGAAGGATAACCTTAAGGATTCTTCCTTCTTTTTAATTTTAGGAATTGTATACTGTAGTTTATCATAACAACATATCTAGGCTGCAGAAATTCAGGGAAGGCCTGAAGGTTTTAATAAAAATTAAAAACAAGACCCATCAAATGATCCAAACACTTCCTTTGCTTATCTTAAAACACAAGAATCAGAACCAGCAGAATGAGCTTTAGGCCTGGGAACAAAATGTCAGAGATAAAATTGGTATACTATTTTCACCCCTACGATCTACATGGTTGAGGGGGTTTGAAGGAAGTGAAGAATCAGATATGTTTCTGAACCAGGACTCAAAAACAAGTTTTATAATTGCAATATCTTCTTAAGAGCTCGGCGAAAATGGTTTTCATTTTCTTCTTAGATTCTTTTAAGAGGTGCCACATTGTAAATGATCATAATGGCACAAAATGTGAATTCATGTGGAAAAAACAGGCATTAATGATTCTGAATACAGAAAAGCTGGATTCTGAAGGGAAGAAGTCTTAACTAATTTACTTCAAAGTATTTTCCTTATGATGTATGAAAAAGAATGATAAGATAAAAATCTATTTAATTAAGACCAAAAACATCTCTGTAGGTTTAAAATAAAATTTGTACGTGGTAAGAAAGCATTGTGTCATGGTTACTTATGGGCATTTTTTCTTGGTTAGTGATACATAAAATAATGGTATATACAATCAATGCTGTCTTAGGTTCAATTAAAGATGATGTGACTCCTACATCTACTTTATTTCCTAGGGCCTTTTTTTCCAAGTGATATGTTCCATCCACTGGGAGCAATTTTCAGCTGGCCAGACACCTTCCCATTATCCCCGAAGCAGTGTGATTTTATCCTTTTACATGAACAATGCCCTTAGGGAGAATGACAAAGATACTGGCTTTCTGAATGGCAATATATTGGATGGTCTTATCTATAACTTTCTCATTTTTCCTATACAAATGTTGGGTTCTATTTCTTGAATAAGTTCTACAGAACTCATGATTACAGTTTCATAAAAAAAAAGTGATCCAAGGTATAATAAAATATTTTTTTAACCTTGGGTTTTCAATATAACTACTCGAAATGACTTTAAATGCTACACAAAATATATTTTTATATTAAACAAATCCACATTAAGAAGATGAAAATAATATAAAATGATTGCTTAAAAAATATGGGCATAATGTCCCCATATTACAGATTCTGGCTCCAAGTTTCTAAGTCATATAATGGGAATCATGTCTTCTGGAATATTTGGTTTAACGGTGTGTAGTGCCAGGGCTAGAAAATGTGTTAAGTTGGTGAAACAACTACCCTTTCCCTTTTTTTAGTATTTCTAGAGTGTTACCCTTTGGGGCTCCCACCAGTTTGGAACCTGTTTTACTTAGAGTGTTTTCTAAAATAAGGCACCAAAATATGTGCTAGGGCTGCACATATTCAAAGTATGCTGCAGCTCTGGGAAGTTGGGCAGATTGAAGTAACCTTAGGGTCCGTGAACCAGACCTCCTTCACAGCCACAGCACTGCAAGAGCTTCCTCTCTTCTTGTAAACCAAGCTATCAAAGATAACTGTTACATACATGTATATTCACCTCTGACACCTACAGCCAAGGAATGAGATGAGAACATGAAGGAAGAAGTTAGGCGCAGGAAAAATAAAGGGTGTTAGTAGTGTCCAGCTTGTAGAAAGAACTCAAATTATGCCTCAGTCCAGTGAGCACTGAAGAAAATTCCTCAAGTTTCTCTCTGGGCCTCTTGCTTTCTAGTTCCAGCTCTCTTTCCATAGTCAAGGTTCCAAAGGCCCACCTCCTCTCCTCATCAAATGCTTTTTGCAAAAACAGATCTAAAATCTCAGATATACACATGACAGATAACTGCTTGAATTTCTCTTAGGAATCACTAGGTACTTCTAAATCACTGGAGAGTCAATCTGAAGTCAGATGCATACTCCCTGAATATTAGTCTTTCAGGTATCACTGGGCAGGAAGGGGAGGGAATGGAGAGAGATTCTGGGCCATGTGTGTAAGAGGGAGGGCAGCTTGTCTGAGAATCCAACAGGAACTCCCTTTTTTCTAGGCATCGTCCAGAGATTTTGGTTACAATACTTGGAGGTAAAATTATATAGAGGGTAATGGTTTTCTCTTTGGCACATCAATCAACTCTGCTCTATGATCCTATAAACAGGAAAGAGTTGCCAAATTTGGGCACCAGAGGAATCCTTGGGGCTCTCAGCAGTCTCCTCTTCTTACCACAATGCAAAGCAAACAAGAGTTGAAATGAGAAACCAGAGGGCAATTAGTGTCCTTTTTTTCCTTCTCCTCTCATGTATCCATTTAGGCTTTAATGCACTTTAAAGAATTCAGAACACTGAGCACCAATAAATGCTTACTTTTCAAGGGAAAAGAATCCAAGAATGTCAAATTTGGAGGCCTTTGAGATGGTTTAGTCCAGATGTCAGACATCATTCATTTAGTAATTATTTACAAATTCAGTAATTATTTACAAATACCAATTATATGCCAGACACTGTTCTGAGAACTAGCTACAGATCAGTGAAACAAAAGAAGAAAAAAAAAATCCTTGTCCTGTCCTTGAGATGAGACAGGTGCATGTAATATATAATAATTAAAGTATTTAGTATGCTAGATGTGCTATGGAAAGAGTACAGGAAAGCTAGGGAGATGAGGAGTAATGAGGTGAGAGATGGCAGTTGAAATCTGAAATAGGATCATCAAGGTAGGCCTTTCTGAGAATGTGACATTTGAGAAAAGAGTGTGAGGAAATGAGCAAGTTAGCCATCTGGATTATTTGAAGGGGAGGCAGGGGCAAAGACAGTCCAGACAGTACACATATGTGCTAAGACAGGAGCGCCTCACCTGTGTAAGGTTTAAGGACATTTCTATGGCTGGAGAAAAATGATCCTGGAGGAAAGGTGAGAGTTAAGAGTAGAGTGAGGGGAAGTGGTTGGTGGGGCCAGATCACATGGGCCATGTAGACTCTTGAAAGGACTTCTGAGGGAAATAGGGAGCCACTGGAGGATTTTGAGCAGAGAAGGGATATAACTTGACTTATACTTTACAGGATCACTCTAGCTACTCTGTGGAGAACAGATTGTAGAGATAAGGGTGCTACCAGGGAGGCTACTGTGGTTCCCGGCAAAGGATGATGGTGCCTCAGGACAGGATAGTAACACTTAGGAAGACAGAGTATAGAGTGATAGACGCTGGCCCATGGGTAGATGTGGTCATGGGAGTCTGCGGAGAGTCTCTTCTGATTGCTTCTATTTTCTCAGGGAGACAGGAAGCAAAGCAAGATCATCAGCTGACAGTAAGACACAGGAGGGGAGGCACTGGACATCTGAATGGGGAGAAGAAGGCTTGACTGAAGTAGCTAAGACAGTGGCAGAGGAAATGGACTAGGGAAATACAGATTGACTTATGACATCATCAAGTGCCTACTACTTAATATTGCCTCTGTATCCACAGCTCTCAAATCTCCAGGCAGCCTCTATTGATTGATCTGAGTTGGCAGATGAGTTGGCAGGTGAGAGAATGTATATTTGCTAGTTCTAATCTAATCTAATTCTGCTTTAGTAAACTGAGGCCTAGACAGTGCCTTTTAAACATCTATCTATCTTTGGGGAGGGTTTAAATTATGAATTACCAATCAGCTATGGCTCCAGTAAGGAAAACATATACAGTACCTATTTAAATATCATGTAGCAAGAGGGCCTGACAACTAATGCTCTTGGGAATTGATGCTATAAGAGAAGGGTATGAAGAGCTGCAGATGAGTGCCTGAAACAAGAGCTTTATTAACACAGCAGGAAGAAGATACCTGCTGGCTGGATTTTCACTGAACTCATAGCTCTTTGCATTTGGGCTCAAGGTCTTAATCTTCTACAAGTAGTGACTTCAGTTTCTAAAGGTTTCAAGGGGATCATCCAGTGCTTGTCTTTTGAATAGACTGGCATGACTTTTAAACAGGACCCAACCAAATCACATTTGATTTCAAGAAATTGAAGGGATAATTAAGAAAGTGTTAGTCACTACTGAATGTAGTGTATATGCTTTCTTCGGAATTTTAAGGGGGGAGAAAGGCCCATTAAGTCATCTTAAAAGGGCTCTTGCTGTAAAATGAAAGGTGGAGAAGGGGTAAATCTGAAATGCAAATGAATTTCCTGTTTCACCAGAAATTCAGTATTATCTAATGAATGCTGAGTAATTGAAGCACTTATTGTCATTTCTGCACCCACACTGGGAAATGGTTTCTGACCTTTAGATTCCCTACTCTTCTGAATTGCTTCTCATCAGCTCTCTCTTTATTCTCACTCCCACTCAGTTTACTTCTTGGAAGGCCTGTTGACCTTTACCTTTTTGTCATGTACAGAATACAGAATGGTTATGTATATAAGGTATCATTAACATCATAAGGCTACATGCAATTATAAAAGAAGATGAGGGATAACTTACACAGGACATAGTCCTTGCTAGATTTTATCAAGACCCTCATTTTCTAGTGGTATATCACCTTTGGAAAAGCCAGGCCATTCTGAAGTAGGTCTTTGTCTTTCCAGTCTAGAAATAATTGTTATGTCAAGTTCAGTGATAAAATGAATGGCTGCCATTGGCTGAGGACCCACTGTGGGGCATGGAGCTAGTGGGCATCTCTCCAGTCATCTCACAACAACCTTGCTCATCTCTTCCTTTTAATTATTTTACTGTGCATACTCATGAGATCTGAAACTCATGTACGTTGGCACCTTTAACATAACTACACTAGTTCTTCCTATAAAGTTTTCTAATGATAGTGGAACTTTTAAATTCAGTTTAGTTTTTGACATTTTATTTGTCTTTTTGAGAAGCCAGTAGGACTTCAAAATGTTGGGCTTTTCCAATAGACAGCTAAAAATGTAGACCTGAAGTTTACAAAAATGATTAGAGCTAAAGGTATAGATGGGAAAGTCATCAATGCTGAAGTGATAGTCATTATGTGGAAATTTAGCAAAGGAAAGATACTTGGAGGCATGCTAAGTGGTTGAAAAAGGCATCTTGGAAGATTTTCATGTTTAGGTGGTGGGAAGAGAAACACAAGCCAGAAAAGAATCCCTCAGGGACAATGAGAAAAGCAGAGCAGCAGACCCTGTGAAGTTATGGAAGTGAAATGAATGGATCCTGAAGGTATTTCAAATGGTTTGGACTATCAGGGCCAAAAAAGAACTTCTGGAAATCTGGACTTGGACAAAATCAGTCATCCTTAAGGGGCTGGATTCAGCAAAGAGGTAGATGAAAAACCCAGGTTCTAGGGTCCTCTTTTATTTCATGGGAGTGATACAGAATCCGGATCACTTTAGAAATAAAGCAAAATAATTTTTCTGAAGATGTGAACAGTGAAGTGATGTGTCTGTCACACACTAAAAACATAAAAGATGATGCATGAATAAAATAGGGAACAGCATCACTAGTTAATGCCCACATAATATCATAATTCTATACCTAATCCAAATTTGATGAACAAAATATATTTAGAGCATAAATAAAACATTTTCAATTGTTCATAATATATTCTCCAATGCACTGTATTTGTCTTGGTTTGAAAAATCCATAAAGATTTTATGTAATTTAAATAAGCAATGAAGAGAGGAAGAGGAGGAAAAGGATTTCAATATGGCCCAGAGAGAGAGACAGAGAAAGAGACATAAATCCCAGTTAATCTAAGGGAAGACTTTTAAGTCATAGTTCCTCATTCTGGCGACTTATCTGTTACTTATTTCCAGGTGCTAAACAGAAGAGATGCAATATCTTTTTTTTTTTTTTTTTTCCTGAGACAAGTCTCGCTTTGTCGACAGGCTGGAATGCAGTGGTGCGATCTTGGCTCACTGCAACCTCTGCCTCCCGGGTTCAAGCGATTCTCCTGCCTCAGCCTCCCATGTAGCTGGGACTACAGGTGTATGCCACCATACCCAGCTAATTTTTGTATTTTTAGTAGAGACGGGGCTTCGCCATGTTGGCCAGGATGGTCTGTATCTCCTGACCTTGCAACGTGTCTGTGTGGTCCTCCCAAACTCCTGGGATTACAGATGTGAGCCACCATGCCTGGCCGAGATGCAATATCTTGAAGGCATCAGGGATCCTGTTGTTTCTCTTCAGATCTATAAATCTGCTGCCTTCTGAAGGCATTAGGAGCACCTCAAAGAAAGCAAGATGGAGCATTAACAAGTGAAGACTCTTCTTCTTTTCTTTTCTTTCTTCTTGCTTGCTCTTTTCTCTTTCTGCATCAACAATTTCAAATTCTTGGGCAGAGTATTGCTTGAACTCAGAGTTCCTGTTTGTGCAACAGTGCTGCCTTCTGCTATCAGCCACATGTAGACTTAGTTGAGGAGTCCTATGTGTAGATTCATAAATTTAGGGCAACAAAGCATGTGTGTGTAGGGGGGTTGGGCAAGAGAGCTAAGGCTAAGTCAGGGCCAGAAGTTGCCTGTAAGTAGCTCTGTAAAGCACCCATGTCTGATTTGTGGAGGTGACATCATCATTAGCTGCAGATCAATACTGACCAGAATTTAAGGTACTATGCCATAGCTTTAAGTCTTCATAATTTAAAGATGACTAAGTTGTCTCTTCTCTGTAGGTCTCTACTTTGAGTTAGATGACTTCAGAAATGATCACACATTTCATGTCAAATTTCCAGGCCTCAAATTCCTGTTCCCAGTGATATGAGTACCCACAGATAATTCACTGGTAAGATCACCGAGTGACCCAGGAATGAAACCTACCATTGAAGATGTTTATTTAGAGCTGTATCCACTGTCCACAGCCAAGGGAAATAGCCTTTTCTAGACTGGATATATTTGACCAGTAGATGGAGTAAGTGGATCCCAGAACCACCAACTAACCACCCAGAACCTGCTGATCAATGCTGTTGTCTTTCAATATTCTATCAAAAAGGGACAATGCCATCACCAGCAACTAAATCTTGAGCTTAAGGTGCATCTTCGGCAGGTGAATGTCATGTGTGACAGTTGCTCATGGATGAATGAATAACCGAAAGGGGCACCAGCAGTAGCAAAGTACTAAGATACTGAGGAAACTTGGGGTACTTAACCAAAGTCCCTTCATTTCTTCACAATTATGCTTAACACCAACCAGCCCAGCATCTGACAAACAATCCCAAGGACATTTTTTCCCCCGTCATCTCAAATATTTTTTCAAAAGTGATCATTTTACTCTGTGTTTTGGTAGAAGGGGCGAAGTCCACTTTGCAGCTGGTACAACAGAAACTAGAGCTGCATCAATTCTCTCACACTGCCAAGCCTTTCTTCTGGCAGAAGCGCTGGGGATATTACACTGGGGATAATTCATCAAGCTTGCTTTGGGTGTTCCAAATTTGCAAGCTGTGGCTAATTTCCAGAGACTTCAGGGCAATAATCTCTGCTTTCCTAAAAGAAAAACAGTAACCACACCACCTTTCAATTAAATGGGTCATGGAAAATGAATAGCCACAGATGATCACAGATATTCAGAAATCCTCAGAAAACCTAAGTGTGTAGCCAGTGGTAGAAATGATGACTGTGTGGCTGAAGAAGTCCCATTTGATGAGGGCTAGGAATCTGGCATCTGCGTCTGCCTCCACATTTGTTTCTCCCCATACATTTTCCATGTATGAATATGCACACACATGCACATGTGAAGCCTCACATGTTCAAGACCAAAACATATTGCTGGATATTAACAAAAGGAATTATAGCCTCTTCAGCTATGAATCAGGTGAAGTTTTCCTCACAGTCTCTGGAGTCTGCTTTGCCCACAGAAAAGCAGACTTCCTTCCCAGGTCAGTAAGCCATGCTGGAGAGTTGCCCTCAACCCCGCAACTCTCCCCAAATATATCTGCTGTCTTTTATGCTTTCCAGGCCCCGTGTTCAGAAGTTGTTTAGCAGATCATTTCTTTGTACACTATCTTTTTTTTTTTTTTTCCTCTTTTCTGAGATGGAGTCTTACACTGTCTCCTGGGCTGGAGTGCAATGGCGCAATCTTGGCTCACTGCAACCTCCGCCTCCTAGGTTCAAGTATTCTCCTGCCTCCGCCTCCCGAGTAGCTGGGATTACAGGTGCCCAACACCACACCTGGCTAATTTTTTTTTTTTGTATTTTTAGTAGACACGGGGTTTCGCCAGGCTGGTCTCGAACTCCTGACTTCCTGATCCGCCTGCCTTGGCCTCCCAAAGTGCTGGGATTACAGGCGTGAGCCACTGCATCCGGCCTGTTTGTTTGTATATTATCTTAACTCATATAATGGATCAGTATTTTTTTGAGAATTTCCAGGCCAACATTCAGAAGAATAACATATGGTAGGCATTTTAAGCAATTAATGGATAAAGGAAGGGATATTTGAGGGCTGTCTCATCCCAAACTACCTTAGTTTTTTACTCTGGATTTTCCTTTCTATGGATATGTCAATGATTTTACCGGATCAATTCTCATGGAGCAGTGGACTAGTTTGGGATGGTCCCTACTTTCAATTTCAGGAACACTGTAAAGTCAAACAGAACCTTATGAGTTTTATATTTGCTAGTTCTTTTTGTGCTATGTATTTATTATATGTGTAATTTAATAGTTTCAATTCTTTTCTCTGCTAAAGTATTTATGAGTTGTAGCACAGAGAAAGAGCTCAATATATGCTAATTATTATTATTAATATTATTATCTTTAGAGATAGGATCTTACTCTGTCTCAGGCTGGGGTGAAGTGGTGTGTTCATGGCTCACTGCAACCTTGAACTCCTGGACTCAAGCTATCTTCCTGCTTCAGCTTTCCTAGTAGCCGGGTCTAAAGGTACACACTGCTATGCCCAACTAATTTTTTAAAAAATGTTATGTAGAGGCCGGGCGCAGTGGCTCACGCCTGTAATCCCAGCACTTTGGGAGGCCGAGGCGGGTGGATCATGAGGTCAGGAGATCGAGACCATCCTGGCTAACAAGGTGAAACCCCGTCTCTACTAAAAATACAAAAAATTAGCCGGGCACGGTGGCGGGCGCCTGTAGTCCCAGCTACTCGGGAGGCTGAGGCAGGAGAATGGCGTGAACCCGGGAAGCGGAGCTTGCAGTGAGCCGAGATTGTGCCACTGCAGTCCGCAGTCCGGCCTGGGCGACAAAGCGAGACTCCGTCTCAAAAAAAAAAAAAAAAAAAAAAAAAAAAGTTATGTAAAGACAAGGTCTTGCTTTGTTGCCCAGGCTGGTCTTGAACTCCTGGCTTCAAGCAATCCTCCTGTATCAATGTAGTGTTGGCATTACAGGTCTGAGCCACTGTGCTTGGCCTATGTTAGCTACTATTATTATTATTACCTTATAATTGCTAAAGCCATCTACCTGAAAATCTATTCCAATCATTCCATAGTTCTCAGCTCCAAAACCAGTGGAGATTTGTTTTTTCATAATCCTACCAAACTCCTCTGCACTGGTGTCATATCTGACAAAATACCCAGAATTAATTGCCAATGGGTGATCATGGGTTGACATATAAGCCTTCCCAGTGTATGCTTTTTTTTTTTTACAATTTTTTAAAAATTTTACTTTAAACTCTGGGATACATGTGCAGAACGTGCAAGTTTGTTACATAGGTATACGTGTGCCATGGTGGTTTGCTGCACCTGTTGACCCATCCTCTAAGTTTCCTCCCCTCAACACCCACCCACCGACAGGCCCTGGTGTGTGGTGTTCCCCCTCCCTGTGTCCATGTGTTCTCAATGTTCAACTCCCCCTTATGAGTGAGAACATGTGGTGTTTGGTTTTCTGTTCCTGAGTTAGTTTGCTGAAGATGATGGCTTCCAGCTTCATCCATGTCCTTGCAAAGGACATGATCTCATTCTTTTCATGGTTGCAGAGTATTCCATGGTGTATATGTACCACATTTTCTTTATCTAGTCTATCATTGATGGGCATTTGTATTGGCTCCATGACTGCTATTGGAAATAGTACTTCAATAAACATACATGTGCATGTGTCTTTATAGTAGAATGATTTATATTCCTTTGAGTGTATACCCTGTAATGGGATTGCTTGATCAAATGGTATTTCTGATTCTAGATCCTTGAGGAATCGCCACACTGTCTTCCACAATGGCTGAACTAATTTAAATTCCCATCAACAGTGTAAATGCATTCCTATTTCTCCATTGTGTCGCCAGTCTCTATTGTTTCTTGACTTTTTAATAATTGCCACTCTGAATGGCATGAGATGGAATCTCACTGTGGTTTTGATTTGCATTTCTCTAATGACCAGTGATGTTGGGCTTCTTTTCATATTTTTGTTGGCTGCATGAATGTCTTCTTTAGGAAGTGTCTGTTCAGATCCTTCGCCCACTTTTTGATGGGGTTATTTTTTTCTTGTAAATTTGTTTACAATCTTTGTAGATTCTGGATATTAGATCTTTGTCAGATGGATGGATCGCAAAAATTTTCTCCCATTCTGTAGGTTGCCTGTTCACTCTGAGGATAGTTTCTTTTGCTATGCCGAAGCTTTTTAGTTTAATTGGATCCCATTTCTCAATTTTGACTTTTGTTGCCATTGCTTTTGGTGTTTTCGTCATGAAGTCTTTGCCCATGCCTAGATATTGCCTAGGTTTTCTTTTAGGGTTTTTATGGTTTGGGGTTTTACATTAAAGTCTTGAATCCATCTTGAGTTGATTTTTGTATAAGGTGTAAGGAAGTGGTCCAGTTTCAGTTTTCTGCATATGGCTAACCAGTTTTTCTACCACCATTTATTGAATAGGATATCATTTCCCCATTGCTTGTTTCTGTCAGGTTTGTCAAAGATCTGATGGTTGTAGATGTGTGGTGTTATTTCTGAGGTCTCTGTTTTGTTCCATTGGTTTATATATCTGTTTTGGTACCAGTACCATGCTGTTTTGATTACTGTAGGCTTGTAGTATAATTTGAAGTCAGGTGCATGTTATTTCTTGACCTGAATCTTTCCTTTGGGCTTCAGTTTTTATTAGGCTTTTCCTTTGTCCTGTATAGTTTCTTGGATGCTTCTCTTCTCTACACTCAAGGTTTTCTTTCTGTTGTTGTTGTGTAGGCAACACAATAGATGTCATCTTTTGGGAGGCTTCCTAATGCTGCTTTTGGTGTTCTTGTGAGCTCAGAGGATTCCTACTTTAGAGTGAACTGTAATGTCAACCTCTACCCTAGACAATGAGTAGGAACCATATTCAATAGAATAAGAAGGTGAGGCTTTGCTAAAATTATCCCATCTGTCAGTCTGTGAAACCAGTAGTTTGAAGATTGTAATCACAACATTGACACACATAATGTTAATTTCAAGCAGTTACATAACTTAATTGATAAGTCAATCTAAATCATACCTGCATGGCAACAGAACTAGGGTTAGAAAGTGAAAAATATTGTTAAGTAACCATATACTTCTCTTAGATTTGATCTGGCAGCAGACATTTCTGTATTCTGAGATAAAATAGCTGTGGTAAACAGATTGTGTGAAGGCATGCATTTGCATCCAGGCCTACAGGACCAATATTAAGAGAAAGGGAACAATTAATTTGTCTCAGTGGGGTAGTAAAGAGACACAGCCTTCAGAGTACTATGGGAGGTTATATTTCAACTTCTTACAGTTAGTTTGTAAATCTAACTGTAAGACTGGCATTGTTATTAATGAAAGTTTCAGCTAAGAATGAATTAGATCTAAGTTACACTTTATCAGTATTTATTCTTCCTGCTACCTATTAAGGGCACCTGAACTGCTAGGCTTACATAAAAATGTCCCATTTCCTGTTGCTAGCTGTGCTTTCCTTTGATAAACTCATTACAAATTGCATGTAATTACTGTATTGTGAAGAAGGGAGTGGCAATAAATTAGGCACAGAATTTTTGAATAAAACTAGGCAGCTAGAAAGACTGTTTCTAAATAACAAAAAATTTGATATGACCAAGTAGGTTAAAATTACCATTACATATTTGATTGGTACAAAATTAATTGTGGTTTTTACAATTACTTTTTAACATTTTGCCGCTACTTTTACTATTTTGCCATTACTTTTAATATGGCCCATTTTTAATGGCAAAATCTGCAATTAATTTTGCACCAACCTAATATTATCGTATATGGAATTTTCTGTATATAAAGCAAAGGGAAAAAAAAGGAGGCATATAGACCTTAGCTTATGTACTTTATGATTATAAATGATTACATTTATCTAGTGACCATAATGCTTTATGAAAGATGAAAACATTCTTCTGGGGGAAAAAAAAAAAACTAATTAACATCCTTGCTTGCAGAGATTGGTAGACCTGTTTCTTCTATTTTAGATTTCAGCAGGACACCTCTATCGTTGGATGAAAAATGCTGACTTGCATGTTCTGGGAATCTGGGCTCACCCCGAGGCTAATAGCACAGTGCCCTGGCTGTGTGCCCAACGTTTGTGGCAGGGAGTTACCCCTGAGTGCTTTTTTTAACTTACACTAAAGTTTTGACTTAGAAAGCAATATTAGCTAGTGCTTCACAGGAAACTGGGCTTTCCCTCTGTAACACTCAAAGTCAAATCCTATTTCTTGGTCTGATATAATCTCCATAATCATAAAGATCTTTGTTGGAGAAGTTAAGCAGGGAAGACTACATGTAGGATTCTCCTAATCTTGGGGAACCCAAGTTTTGTGCCCCTTTCAATTGGGATGCTGGAGCGGAGTTGGGTCATGGAGATTAATCTTTAGAGGTGTGTGTTCATAGAGGAGAAACCATTGAGAACAAGGAAAAAGGAAAAGTGGAGAAGCACAGCTCTTGTTTGACCTTGGAGGCTTTTTACATGGAATTAAAATTCAGAAACTGGCTGAGGTTACAAGGAGTAATTGTGGCAATTGCCTCATCCCTACTGTCAGCACATGGCAAAGTTTGCTATGGACAGAATTGCAGGGAGTTCTTTCAAAACAGTTCAAAATATTGTCAAGATTTTCTTCAATTTCTCATCAACCTTTAAGAGCTCATTGAAGACATTAGATATTTTGTGCCCAACTCAATGTTGCAGAGAATTTCAGGGCAAGAGAAATAGAAATGAAGTTGAAATATACCCATGTAGTTTCCTTCAGCGATACTATCTGGTATATAAGAAAACTTACAAACATTTTTTAAGAGGCCTCAGGCATTACAATTATAAGTTTTTTTCTTCTCTTCAGACTTTTATTCTAATAAGTTGTTAGCCAATCAAACAAGCAAAGGTGTTTTAAAATACTTCAGTTTATAGCAATAATGATTTTTAAGTTTGAGAAATAGAAAAGAATCAAATCAGTATCTTAATTAGCAAAACCTAGTTGATGAGAGAGATGTGCTTTGTTTGCTATGCATGAGATTGCTTGAAAAATGTGATTTAGCTCCAACAGAGCCTCCCTACTATAGGATTTTTTTTTTTTTTTTTTTTTTTTTTTTAGAAAATCAATACATCTTTCTGTCAAAATTTGGTTAGGGCAAAATTTGACTAAAATTGTGCCAAATAAATAAGATTTTTTTCTTATCTGAGATTGATACATCTCTATTTCTTATGTATAATTTTTTATCTCAGGCCAATGAGCCCAAAGTTTCTTGGCTCTTGTTATATCTTTGAACCTGTGACCTTTCAACTGGCTAGCAATGGGCATGAAAAGGAGAATAATTGTTGCTGAAACAAAATAGGCTTTTTTTTTTTTTTGAGGAAAAAGAAGAAAGAGAAAGAGACAAAGGAAAAGGAGAAAGACAAGAGAGGAAGAAGCAGGAGGAAAACAGTGGAGAGAAGAAGAAAAAAGAGAAAAAATAAATTACAGCTATCTGGGCTTCCATGGGAGTGCCAACTCTGACAGCTGAGACATCTCTGACTTGGCTCTTTCACCTCTTGTGCAAGGGAAGAACAGCACTATTTTTAAAGGAGGTCATTAGTGAGTCATGTTTAAGCTCAATGCTTAGCCATCATCGCCATTTGGGTGCTTGTTGGGAAGGTCCTAAATTGAGCGGCCTTTGGGCACAGATCTCTGTGCACTTTGTTTGCCACTTGCTGGCTAGCTGATCTGGAGACTAGTTGAATTTTGCAGTTTTTCTGTTTTATTTTCCTGACAAAGCAGTCGTTCCATTAAGAAAAAAGCACTCAGCTATTAATTTCTGCTAACTCCTAACCTGGTCAATGAATTATAAGAATGTGCAGTTTTATGTCTATTTTAGGGCATGGATGTGGGGGTGGTGAAAAGTCTTCTTGGCTTGGAGCTCTCTCTATTTGTCTCGCTCTTTCTAGTTCTTTTTTGTTCATCCTTTTCCTGACAGGCTGCTTGATGCTTACAGAATGATGCAAGATTGTAACAGATTCAGACTAGATGAGGAAGAGAAAGAGCTTAGTAAAAGCCCACTTCTTAATAGTTGAATTTTTTTTTCTTCAAAAAAAAAGTCCTATCAACCAAAAAAAAGCTCAGGACCAGACAGATTCATAGCCAAATTCTGCCAGAGGTACAAAGAGGAGCTGGTACCATCACTTCTGAAACTCTTCCAAACAACAGAAAAAGAGGGACTTCTCCCTAACTCATTTTATGAGGCCAGCATCATCCTGATACCAAAACCTGGCAGAGACACAACAACAACAAAAAAGAAAATTTCAGGCCAATATCCCTGATGAACATCGATGTGAAAATCCTCAATAAAATACTGGCAACCTGAATCCAGCAGCACATCAAAAACCTTATCCACCATGATCAAGTGAGCTTCATCCCTGGGATGCAAGGGTGGTTCAACATATGCAAATCAATAAACATAATACAACACATAAACAGAACCAATGGCAAAAACCACATGATTATCTCAATAGATGCAGAAAAGGCCTTCAGTAAAATTCAACACCCCTTCATGCTAAAACCTCTCAATAAACTAGGTATTGATAGAACGTATTTCAAAATAATAAGAGCTATCTATGACAAACCCACAGCCACTATCATACTGAATGGGCAAAACCTGGAAGCATTCCCTTTGAAAACTGGCACAAGACAAGGATGCCCTCTCTCACCACTCCTATTCAACATAGTATTGGAAGTTCTGGCCAGGGCAGTCAGGCAAGAGAAAGAAATAAAGGGTATTTGAATAGGAAGAGAGGAAGTCAATTTGTCTCTGTTTGCAGATGACATGATTGTATATTTAGAAAACCCCAACGTTTCATCTCCTTAAGCTGATAAGCAACTTCAGCAAAGTCTCTGGATACAAAATCAATGTGCAAAAATCACAAGTCTTCCTATACAGCAATAATAGACAATCAGAGAGCCAAATCATGAGTGAACTCCCATTCACAATTGCTACAAAGAGAATAAAATACCTAGAAATACAGCTTACAAGGGATGTGAAGGACCTCTTCAAGGAGAACTCCACTGCTCAAGGAAATAAGAGAGGACACAAACAAATGGAAAAGCATTCCATGCTCATGGATAGGAAGAATCAATATCATTTAAATGGCCATACTGCCCAAAGTAATTTATAGATTCAATGCTATCCCCATCAAGCTACCATTGACTTTCATCACAGAATTAGAAAAAGCTACTGTAAATTTCATATGGAACTAAAAAAGAGCCTGTGTAGCCAAGACAATCCTAAGCAGAAAGAACAAAGCTGGAGGCATCACACTACCTGATTTCAAACTATAGTACAAGGCTACAGTAACAAAAACAGCATGGTACTGGTACCAAATTAGATATATATATATATACCAGTGGAACAGAACAGAGGCCTCAGAAATAATACCACATATCTACAACCATCTGATCTTTGACAAACCTGACCAAAACAAGCAATGGGGAAACGACTCCCTACTTAATAAATGGTGTTGGGAAAACTGGCTAGCCATACGCAGAAAACTGAAACTGGACCACTTCCTTATACCTTATACAAAAATTAACTCAAGATGGATTAAAGACTTCAGCATAAGACCTAAAACCATAAAAACCCTAGAAGAAAACCTAGGCAATACCATTCAGGACATAGGCATGGGCAAAGACTTCATGACTAAAACACTAAAAGCAATGGCAACAAAAGCCAAAATTGACAAATGGGATCTGATTAAACTGAAAAGCTTCTGCACAGCAAAAGAAACTATCAGAGTGAACAGGCAACCTAGAGAATGGGAAAAATAACTGCAATCTATCCATCTGACAAAGGGCTAATATCCAGAATCTACAAAGAACTTTAACAAATTTACAAGAAAAAAACAGCCCCATCAAAAAGTGGGCAAAGGATATGAACAGACACCTCTTAAAGAAAACATTTATGTGGCCAATAAACATATGAAAAAAAGCTCATCATCACTTGTCATTAGAGAAATGCAAATCAAAGCCACAATGAGATACCATCTCATGCCAGTTAGAATGGTGATCATTAAAAAGTCAGGGAACAACAGATGCTAGAGAGGATGTGAAGAAATAGGAACCCTTTTACACTTTTGTTGGGAGTATAAATTAGTTCAACCATTGTGGAAAAAAGTGTGGCGATTCCTCAAGGATCTAGAACTAGAAATGTCATTTGACCTAGCAATCCCATTACTGGTTATATATCCAAAGGATTATAAATCATGCTACTAGAAAGACACATGTACATGTATGTTTATTGCAGCAGTATTCACAACAGCAGAGTTGGAACGAACCCAAATGCCCATCAATGATAGACTGGATAAAGAAAATGTGGCACATATACACCATGGAATACTATGCAGCCATAAAAAAGGATGAGTTCATGTTCTTTGCAGGGACATGGATGAAGTTGGAAACCACCATTCTCAGCAAACTAACACAGGAACAGAAAACCAAACACCACATGTTCTCACTCATAAGTGGGAGTTGAACAATGAGAACACATGGACACAGGGAGGGGAACATCACACACCAGGGCCTGTCAGGGGGTGGGGAGCTAAAGGAGGGATAGCAGTAGGAGGCATACCTAATGCAGATGACGGGTTGATGGGTACAGCAAACCGTCATGGCACGTGTATTCCTATGTAATGAACTTGCACTTTCTGCACATGTATCCCAGAACTTAAAGTATATATTAAAAAAAAGTCTGAGTGTCTTAAGTATTAGTCATTGCTATTTGGATGGTTTCTTTTCCAGGGAAAATATTAAAACTGTCTTGTACCTCTCTATTCCTTTTCTTTCTCCCTAGGTTTTGGAAATCACTAGTGGGTAAAAAAGACCAATTTGCAACTAGGCTCTCATGCTCTGTTGAAAACTATGTCACAATATCACAATACTAGATGCTGGGCTCAAGACAGCAAACAGAAAGCAGTAAGTTACACATATAAATGACAAATATCTGATTCACTTCAATTAAGTAACTATTTTTTTTTAATCACAAGAACTGCTTTTTCCCGAATCTGTTGGATTGTCAGTGTATTAGAAGTGAGCATGTTCTAATTTATAATAGGAGAAGTTGGAGAGGATGAGCAAGAGGTTTGCCCCATTTCTGTAACCATCAGAGACAAAGCAGGAGGAGCCTCCAAAAATTAGAGCAGACCTTGCCCTAAAATGACATAAGTAGCTATTTAAGTGATGTGGGCCCAGCATGGTATAGCCATAAATACATCCACCACAACTGTATTAAAAGGCCTGGAATGTTCGCTTCGTAGGGACTCATACATGATGTTGCTCGGCAGTGAAATGATAGCTAATTGTCTAGTGCGGTGGATTACTGTAGCCAATCACTTAGCACCATACTCTTTTAATTGAATAGCAAACGTATAGGCTTGGGATGAGATGAGGCTGTCTAGTATGGGTTGGCATCCTGGGGAGGTCTGAAAAGACAGAGGCCCGATTAAAAGGCTTCAGGAGGCAGAGTCAGAGAGGCCAACAGTGTACTTTGTCTCTCATAAGATTTGCTTGGAATCTGCTCAACGCTAAAAGCCCCTATTTAGAACTGGAGGTTCCCAAGAGATACATTTCCATCATTTTGTGAGAAAAGAGGCAGAATACGAGGGAGATAACACAGACGTCATAGCTGGAGAATAAGAATGATTTAATGTGTTCTTGGCACTGTGCTAAGTGGCTTGAGGTTCACACACCTCATCTGATCCATGGTTACCATGGCTGTGCAGCTCCATCATCCACGGAAATGAAAAAAATACATAATTGCCTACCTGTTTCAACCCATCACCCACTAGACAAACTGATTGCTTAGGCTTTGAGTTAGAGCTAGGCAAGTGATATTTTTAAAGCTGCACAAGTGATTCTGAATTATTATCAGGCATAAAATTTGCTTATTTTTTACAACTCCTCAAACAGGAATATTGCCTCATCTTCTGCAGAAGATGAGTTGCAATCTATCCATCTGACAAAGGTCTAATATCCAGAATCTACAAACAACTTAAACAAATTTACAAGGAAAAAACAACCCCATCAAAAAGTGAGTGAAGGATATGAACAGAAACTTATTACCAGGCTTGAGATGTGCTTAATTTTTACAACTCCTGAAGTAGGAATACTGACTCATCTTCTGCAGAAGGCGAGAGTAAAGTTCATGTTTGACTGATGGAGAGCTAGAACCTGGGCCTATCATTTCTGGTTTCTTGGTTTTTCCATTTAAGACAACAGCTTCCCTGAAGGTTTGAAGTCTTAGGTTTTGAGTAGGTAACTATAGGACTTCCAACTGTATCCCACTTTATCCTCTGAGTGATTGGTCCAAAAGAAAACAAGGAATCTACTTACTGTCAGCAGGATATACAGAAAACAGCATAGGAATTCACATACCAGTGGCTTTAATTATGGCTAGTTGTGTGACTGTGGGCATACGACCTTGCTAAGCTTTCATTTCCCTATTTGTATAGTGGAAATGATAAAATGATAAACAGTATCTCAAATTTAATTTGAATATTCAATAAGGAAGTATACATAAGGTATTTAAAATAGTATTTGGCACACAGTGGGTACCCATCTATGTGCTAGTTCTTGTTACCATATTAATGGCTACTAATAGTTTTCTCTTGGCTAGACAATGGCATTTGTCCTATTCTCTTCTTTTTTTCTTTAAACAAAAGAATGTGGTGACTGGAGAGAAGGCACTAGAGGTGGGACGGAGTTAAAGACTATAATGAATCTTGCAGAATCTCTCTTGCACCCAGTAAAAGGTGCCTAATTTCTGTGTAAAGGGCTCACGATGGAAATCAGGTTAAAACAAGGAACTTAATCTTAAAGCCGCGCTTGCCTATGTCTGTTAAATCCTTTATTTTTTCTTAGACAGTGTTCCAGTGGGAGTTGGGGTGGCTGATGGAGACAGATGGGGAGGTGAAAGCCCCTCCCAAAGTTGCCTTTTGGTGACACCACAACTTAAGCATCACACTTTACCTTGGCCTCACTTGGATAAACAGATTCCTCTGGTGTAATTTTGTGAGCTGCCAGACACAGACAAGTATGTTTATCACTTGAATGGCAAGCTTCAGCGTTAGAGTTGCTCTATTTATACACTGCTTTGCAGACAATCCTGATGCTTTTACATAATTGGTGAGCTCCACTAGCTTAGCAGGCAAGTAAATAAGATGGTAAACAATACTCTTTTTTCTGCACAGGCTTGTGATGAATTCTCAAGCCAGCTTTGCTTGCAATTAGTCTGGATAACTTACATATTTTACATTACATGAGATGACAGTTGGTTTTATTGCTTTTCCCCTAAAAGTCGGGCCTTGCTGTGACAGCTACTTCACAAGCACAGGGGAGCCTGCTGGGCAATGGGAAGGGCAAAGGATGGCAAATTGGTCTGGTTCCATTATTGCAATGTAATTACTCAAACTTAGCCTTGCTGGATTTGTGCAACTTCTCTGTAATTACATAATGATCCAAGGCTCAAGAGAGGCTGGAGGTTTGGATGCATTGCATGGCATGTATATTCATTGTGCTGCAAACTTCCATGACTTCTAGGGTAGGCATTGTGGTCCGTAAGAAATTATAATGAAGGCTTGGAAATGTATAGACTGCATGCAGGAATCATGCATCTGCCAAGGCACAGGGAAAGTCTAGAATGCCAAGGCACTTGAGAATAATCTGGTTTCTGTACACAGATCTTGCCTCTAAATCCTTGCTCTACAAAGGAGTCAACTACAGTCACTCAGGATTCTGGAAAGGGTCTAGATTCTTCCACCTTGCTTCCCTCCACTCTAGAGGCAGAAGAGAAGAGCCAACAGTGTAGGTATTAAGACAGACTTACATTTTGTTTCCTTCAGAGATGAAGTGGAAGCATCTTTGACTAATGTGTACACACTTGAATGTCCATAAGAGAAGCAAATGCAGGCATCCAACTGCTAATGAATGATCTAAAAGATTACTTGGTAGCTTTTAGTATAATCCTGAAATTAGTTAATGGAAGTGCCACTAATGAGCATCTATTAATAGAAGGCAAGTGTAGTAACACTGCTAATGTAATGGCCTGGAGCTATAATAAAACATGTGAACAAAACACATCTAATACTGTTCTATGTTAAAATAGCTCTCTTGAAAAACACAGAGCTAGAAAATGATCACAACTAAGAGACATTTTAACAACAGGGACATTACTTGATGGGACTCACCATCAAGTTTTAAATGGGGTAGTGGACAGTAATACTTCCAGACCCTCTTTCCCCAGGGGATTTTCTTGATTATTCTGGCTGGGTATCAAAAGTTCTGATCTTTTCTTAGAACTCTTTATATAACAAGGAACTAATATTTAAAATTCAACATTTAAGTTTGTACTTCTTTATGGTTCTTTGTTTTGTGAGTTAATATAGTCTCCACAGCAAAATTATTTCCAACCTGAAAACAGGGGACCTATCTATCTGTAATAGAATATCTTCCCTACTGTTTTTCTTTCTCACCACTCCAGCTTGAGATTGAATGAGTACCACACTCTGTGATCTCACAGAGTGTTCTGTTTTCCTTTCTTTATACCCTAGTCATAGCATATGCAAATAACCACATCCTTTGCAGGGACACGGGATAGCTGGAGGCCATTATCCTTAGCAAACTGACACAGGAACCGAAAACCAAATACGACGTGTTCTGACTTACAAGTGGGAGCTAAATGATGAGAACACATGAACACAGAGGGAAACAACACATACTGGGGTCTTTTGGAGGGTGGGAAGAGGGAGAGCATCAGGAAAAAAATTGATACTAGGCTTAATACCTAGGTGATGAAATAATCTGTACAACAAACCCCCATGACACAAGTTTATCTATGTAACAAACCTGCATTTGTACCCCTAAACTTAAAAGTTTAATAATAATAATAATAAATCTCCTTGATGAGGTTCTTTGGAATTAGGGGTTCTGCCTTTTTGTCTCTAGTCATATGCCCAGGACTAAGGCACTGAACAATGACAGCACGGTGCTATATATGACCAACAAGTTAGTTGTGTTGTTTAGATTCAGTTTGTTCCTGTATCTTAGGAGAAACTCAGAGAATAATGAGCTACTCCCTGTCTTCAAAGGGCTTCAAGTCTAGAAATGGTTATTACCCATGTTTTACATACGTAAAATTCAGATCATGCTGATGAATGAATACCCACAAGTGGAAATGTAATGAGAATATTCATAACGTGGGCTTAAATTTACTTTTCTCTTTTCTAATGCAATTATTTATTTAATTAAAAAACCATTTGTCTTGAGGACTGCCTTTCATCAGTGCAAGTGTTGACAAATTCCTGTTCACTGCTATGGAATACAGAATGATGAAAGTCAGTCATCCCATATATTTTCATTGCAGTGTAAAGGTTACCCAAGCTTTGACATCATATACATAATATTTTTCCCTGCCTGCAGCAGACATTAGCTGTAAGTATGCCTATGCAAAGATCACATACACACCACAAGAATCAAATATGCTTATGTAAGAATTCTTATACTTAAAGCAGTATAGATAGATTTAGTCTTCATGTTTATGGCTACATGATGTGGAAAAGGCTGCGGAAATGCTGCTGTCTACATTGGCATGACATTGGAATTAAAGCCAACTGGAGGCAGCTGCAGCTGTCTACGAAACAAATCTGGGGAATTCAACAGTAGAAGCCAACGGCTGCAGCCAAAATCCCACAGTGGAAAAAGCCCTGCTGTGGGACCTGGCATTGGCAGTCATGTGTTGGCATCACTGAACTTCATTTAATGAAAGACCCCCAGGTCTTCACTGTGGGCCAACTCCATTACTGCCATATTCTAGTCCTCATTAAAGGTTTGGGTGGCAGGGAGCTTTTCTATGCAGATATCTGCTGCCATCTATGTTGAACGCAGAAATGGTAGGCGAGCCTCAAAGCAGTTTAAAATCCACCTGTTTTGATGCATAAATAGTCAAGTAACTAGACTTGATCACCAATCCAAGGTGAGGTGTCAGGGGTGGAGGAGGGTGGAAAAAAGCTATACCTATTGTTAGAGAAATTTGCAGAATGTTTTGATTATATGGAAGTTATTCACTTTACAGTTCCTTTTGCAAATTACATATTTTACTAAATTGTCTCCTTTTATTAACCATAAGAAAGGAAAAGCAAGCATAATCTTTTCATATACTCAAGCCATCATTATGGTTAATTTCATAATGGTTTACATGCAGTGCCAAAATGTTCACATGCTAGCAAATTATTTTTATTTTATACATAATCTAATAACCATAACCATAAAGCTGAAATGATTTCTAGCTTTCATTTTGACCATGTCCCTAAAAGCTGTTTACCTGGCTGCTGATCACATGTAAACTGAATTGGTTCCTTAACAAAGGGATGAAAATTGAGTGGAAGAGGTATCAATTAGAGAAACTGAATGGCTCATGACCCTACTAAGTTGCAAGAATACTATTTTCACAATTGTAATGATAAAAAATAAAAAAATGAAAATGCCACTGTTCAACAGAAATATATTTTCCTATAAATAAATATATTTGTAATTACAGATACCAATCACAACTTGGGCATTAATTAAACAGAGAAAACACTTAAAAAAAATCTGTTGTTAGAGAATCTCCTTAATTTTTTTCAAAGCTGAATAGAACTTGTCCTTGCATTAAACTCTCTTCTGTGTTATCTGTGCAGCTGCAAAACTTTATTCATTCAGTCAGTCAAAAGTTGATATTGTTTGCAAGACTCTC
This sequence comes from Homo sapiens, assembly GCF_000001405.40. Taxonomy (NCBI): domain Eukaryota; kingdom Metazoa; phylum Chordata; class Mammalia; order Primates; family Hominidae; genus Homo; species Homo sapiens. The sequence continues at coordinate 40,229,564 of NC_000002.12, forward strand.
CAATGGCAAATCTCCTAAATAAGTCCTTACAGCTCTTCATATTTTCACAACACCACATCAGTGTCATTAATGTGCATCATCTCCACGTTCCATCCTTTCCTGGAAAGGTTCATTATGATCCTCCAAACATAACCTAACAACTATACTTTTCTAGAGTGCTTCTGGAACTAGCCAGGCAAAATTCGTGTGCTGTATCTTATATCTTACTTTTTGCCTTCCTGTATTGTGTGCTTGGTTCTTTAAAAAACAGTTATGCACATGTAAAAAAAGTATTAGGCAAAAGTATGCAGGTTAAAGATATGTACACCTAAGTCTAGTTACTGATGATTATAGCAATAGCAAAAGATAAATAAGTTCATATCTTTTTTGATGGAATCACATATCTTTTATGTTGTTATTGTTCTATGAAAAATCTTAGAGATCAACTAAACCAAAACTCTTATTATTCAAATTTGAAACTGTAGTCCAGAAAGAAGAACTGATTGGTTACAAGTTCCAGAGCTGGCATCATCAGAGCTAGGGCTGCAATCCATCTCTAGATCCCCACTTGGGAGCTTTTTCTTAGGCTCCACGCTGAAAGACAAGCCATCCTATGATAAGTACTGAATTATAGGAAGGTCTCGCTAGTCCAGAAACATTACAGGTTACTCTAAAGATTCTAGTTTTGCTAGATGTGTCTTGTCTTCCCCTACTTTTGTTTATAGAAATCCTTGGCTCCAAATAAAGCCTGTGACACATAAGCTTCTTGCTGTTATCACTTTTTTCATCCCTTTAACACTTCCTGGAATGCTGTTACCTTCACTACCTCATTCTAATTCCATCAGTGCTTCTTTATAAGCAGCCCACAGGATGGCTTTCATTATAACAGCCACACATTGCACCTTGGCTCAAGTGAGAAATGCTGCTTAGATCCACAAGGTAAAACAAAATAAACAGTTGCCTTCACCTGTTTCACAATCTTCATTCTACATCAACTCTTAATCACTATAAAGGATACACATGATAGGCGTGTGCAAATTAGAAATGGTTCAAAGAATAAAAATGCTACTATGTGATCAGTTTTTCTTTAAAATTATAATTAATTATCATTTAGAATTAATGAACATATATGGATATTCATGTAAAATTTAATGCAAAATGTTGTAAGCAAATCCAGTTCTGCTCTATACCATATTTACTTACAGCTTACAAGAACAAAAAATAAATGTACTTTCATAAACAGATTACTATGATGGTTCTGTTCACTCTACATTTAAAACAGCCACTTTGTCATTTTTTGAAAACTTGCCTCATATGGGAGGGAGTTCTCCACATGCAGATGTCTGCTGCCATCTATGTGGAAAGCAGAAATAGTGGGTGTGGTTTGAAACAAGTCTCTTTTGTGTGATGCACAAATACTCAAGTGTCCAGACTTTATCATCAAACCGAGTGGTAAGTTGGAAATGAAGCCCAATTTTTAGTGACCTGCCACCTCTCCTAGGCCTTGCTTGATTCTCTGAACGGGACTCATAGCTTCTACATTCTCCCTGGCCTGCTTTGCCTTAGGGCATAAGATAAGGAATGCTCAGTTTCCAGAAGACTGAGAAATGCCACTTCTACAAGAGAGGTGCTGGTTCTTGGCACAGTTGCTTTCTGAGCTGAAAAAAAGTGCCATGACATGTACAGAACTACAATGGAGTTAAATTCTGAAGAGTGTAATATATGTATGCACATATATTAGACACGGGAAATGTGCATATGTAAGAAATGGAAAATGTTCATTGGACTTATGGCATTCACATCTAATTGGGGATATACCTGATCCACATCTACAGGTCTTTAGGGTTGCTCAGGATTTCAAATCTTCCCATTTAATCTTTATAGGTGATACTTTGGAGGGTGGCTGCCCATTTCTCTCTAAATGGCTATATCTAGTCCCCCACTTTTCACACTCTTTTTTTTATTTTCTTTGAGTCTCAGTTGAACTATTCATTCTTGTCTTCCAGAACTCACTTCAAATGGGTTTTCCATCTATCATGAGTCTAGTGTTCTCACCTTTGTCTTACAATTAATTCTTCTGCAGATCCCCTCACACTGATCTCCTCCCCTGAGCTTTGGACAATTATATTCTCTCATCTCTTTCACATAAATCGCACTTGGAAGACAAACTCCTCAGGTTAAGCTGCCATCTGGTGTGTGTATTTTTCATCAAGAACTAGCAACACCCACATCAATAGCATCCACCTTTACCATCACCTATATAAGCAACTTACTTTGGGAACCTATTTCCTTATTTCAGCATTCTCATTTGAATCAATCTAGCCTAGGTTAGGGACACTGGAACCAAACTTGGCTGTCCCTGGACTGGCCTGGGATACCTATAATATAGGAGGGACTCGACGAGGAACTGGAGGTGTGAGAGCAAATAGGAATAAGATACAGTTTCTGAGATGAAGAATCTAATAAAATCCAATAGAATGGGGCTGTGTCCTAAGATGAAGCAGGCCAGGAAGATTTTAGCAGGAAATGGGTCCAGTTCAAAAAATCAAGCAAGGCTTGGGAGAGGTGGTAGATCACTGAAGGTCAAAGCACAAAGGATCAGGATCTAGTAAACGGGCTTTGGAAACGGAAAACCTTAGGAGACCCTGAACATTTCAAAAAGACATTTGTGCTCTACCTTCTTTCAAACTCTTAACTCTGGGCACCTACACTGTAGAGATGTAACAGAAGGCAGAAGAAATCAGGGGCATACAGGTAGGTGTGTCATCTTTTGGTTGGCACATAGATGTTCTGATTACAGACAGATTGTATTATTTTAAGAGAGATGGGGCATGTGAATATGGTGCAAGTTATTTTTTTTTTGTCTTCAGTTTTTTTTTCAAGGGATAGCAAGGTTTATATAGAGTGGTGTGCCTTTCGAATGGCCTCTATTTACACAAAGAGATTGGGGATTAGGGGAGGATAGGGAAGGGAATTTAACCTTACATCCTCACATTGAATGGCCTTTGTGGAAGCAGTCCTAATAATTTTCCATTACTGTCCAACTTTGTATTCTGTTTTTTTTTTTTTTTATATACTTTAAGTTTTAGGGTACATGTGCACATTGTGCAGGTTAGTTACATACGTATACATGTGCCATGCTGGTGTGCTGCACCCACTAACTCGTCATCTAGCATTAGGTATATCTCCCAGTGCTATCCCTCCCCCCCCGCCACCCCACAACAGTCCCCAGAGTGTGATATTCCCCTTCCTGTGTCCATGTGATCTCATTGTTCAATTCCCACCTATGAGTGAGAATATGCGGTGTTTGGTTTTTTGTTCTTGCGATAGTTTACTGAGAATGATGGTTTCCAATTTCATCCATGTCCCTACAAAGGACATGAACTCATCCTTTTTTATGGCTGCATAGTATTCCATGGTGTATATGTGCCACATTTTCTTAATCCAGTCTATCATTGTTGGACATTTGGGTTGGTTCCAAGTCTTTGCTATCGTGAATAATGCTGCAGTAAACATACGTGTGCATGTGTCTTTATAGCAGCATGATTTATAGTCCTTTGGGTATATACCCAGTAATGGGATGGCTGGGTCAAATGGTGTTTCCAGTTCTAGATCCCTGAGGAATGGCCACACTGACTTCCACAATGGTTGAACTAGTTTACAGTCCCACCAACAGTGTAAAAGTGTTCCTATTTCTCCACATCCTCTCCAGCTCCTGTTGTTTCCTGACTTTTTAATGATCACCATTCTAACTGGTGTGAGATGGTATCTCATGGTTTTGATTTGCATTTCTCTGATGGCCAGTGATGATGAGCATTTTTTCATGTGTTTTTTGGCTGCATAAATGTCTTCTTTTGAGAAGTGTCTGTTCATGTCCTTTGCCCACTTTTTGATGGGGTTGTTTGTTTTTTTCTTGTAAATTTGTTTGAGTTCATTGTAGATTCTGGATATTAGCCCTTTGTCAGATGAGTAGGTTGCGAAAATTTTCTCCCATTCTGTAGGTTGCCTGTTCTCTCTGACGGTAGTTTCTTTTCCTGTGCAGAAGCTCTTTATTTTAATTAGTTCCCATTTGTCAATTTTGGCTTTTGTTGTCATTGCTTTTGGTGTTTTAGACATGAAGTCTTTGCCCATGCCTATGTCCTGAATGGTAATGCCTAGGTTTTCTTCTAGGGTTTTTATGGTTTTAGGTCTAACGTTTAAGTCTTTAATCCATCTTGAACTGATTTTTGTATAAGGTGTCAGGAAGGGATCCAGTTTCAGCTTTCTACATATGGCTAGCCAGTTTTCCCAGCACCATTTATTAAATAGGGAATCCTTTCCCCATTGCTTGTTTTTCTCAGGTTTGTCAAAGATCAGATAGTTGTAGATATGCGGCATTATTTCTGAGGGCTCTGTTCTGTTCCATTGATCTATATCTCTGTTTTGGTATCAGTACCATGCTGTTTTGGTTACTGTAGCCTTGTAGTATATAGTTTGAAGTCAGGTAGCGTGATGCCTCCAGCTTTGTTCTTTTGGCTTAGGACTGACTTGGTGATGCAGGCTCTTTTTTGGTTCCATATGAACTTTAAAGTACTTTTTTCCAATTCTGTGAAGAGAGGCATTGGTGGCTTGATGGGGATGGCATTGAATCTGTAAATTACCTTGGGCAGTATGGCCATTTTCATGATATTGATTCTTCCTACCCATGAGCATGGAATGTTCTTCCATTTGTTTGTTTCCTCTTTTATTTCCTTGAGCAGTGGTTTGTAGTTCTCCTTGAAGAGGTCCTTCACATCCCTTGTAAGTTGGATTCCTAGGTATTTTATTCTCTTTGAAGCAATTGTGAATGGGAGTTCACTCATGATTTGGCTCTCTGTTTGTCTGTTGTTGGTGTGTAAGAATGCTTGTGATTTTGGTACATTGATTTTGTATCCTGAGACTTTGCTGAAGTTGCTTATCAGCTTAAGGAGATTTTGGGCTGAGACAATGGGGTTTTCTAGATATACAATCATGTCTTCTGCAAAAAGGGACAATTTGACTTCCTCTTTTCCTAATTGAATACCCTTTATTTCCTTCTCCTGCCTAATTGCCCTGGCCAGAACTTCCAACAATATGTTGAATAGGAGTGGTGAGAGAGGGCATCCCTGTCTTGTGCCAGTTTTCAAAGGGAATGCTTCCAGTTTTTGCCCATTCAGTATGATAGTGGCTGTGGGTTTGTCATAGATAGCTCTTATTATTTTGAAATACGTCCCATCAATACCTAATTTATTGAGAGTTCTTAGCATGAAGGGTTGTTGAATTTTGTCAAAGGCTTTTTCTGCATCTATTGAGATAATCATGTGGTTTTTGTCTTTGGCTCTGTTTATATGCTGGATTATATTTATTGATTTGCGTATATTGAACCAGCCTTGCATCCCAGGGATGAAGCCCACTTGATCATGGTGGATAAGCTTTTTGATGTGCTGCTGGATTCGTTTTGCCAGTATTTTATTGAGGATTTTTCATCAATGTTCATCAAGGATATTGGTCTAAAATTCTCTTTTTTGGTTGTGTCTCTGCTTGGCTTTGGTATCAGAATGATGCTGGCTTCATAAAATGAGTTAGGGAGGATTCCCTCTTTTTCTATTGATTGGAATAGTTTCAGAAGGAATGGTACCAGTTCCTCCTTGTACCTCTGGTAGAATTTGGCTGTGAATCCATCTGGTCCTGGACTCTTTTTGGTTGGTAAGCTATTAATTATTGCCACAATTTCAGATCCTGTTGTTGGTCTATTCAGAGATTCAACTTCTTCCTGGTTTAGTCTTGGGAGAGTGTATGTGTCGAGGAATTTATCCATTTCTTCTAGATTTTCTAGTTTATTTGTGTAGAGGTGTTTGTAGTATTCTCTGATGGTAGTTTGTATTTCTGTGGGATCGGTGGTGATATCCCCTTTATCATTTTTTATTGCGTCTATTTGAGTCTTCTCTCTTTTTTTCTTTATTAGTCTTGCTAGTGGTCTATCAATTTTGTTGATCCTTTCAAAAAACCAGCTCCTGGATTCATTAATTTTTTGAAGGGTTTTTGGTGTCTCTATTTCCTTCAGTTCTGCTCTGATTTTAGTTATTTCTTGCCTTCTGCTAGCTTTTGAATGTGTTTGCTCTTGCTTTTCTAGTTCTTTTAATGGTGATGTTAGGGTGTCAATTTTGGATCTTTCCTGCTTTCTCTTGTGGGCATTTAGTGCTATAAATTTCCCTCTACACACTGCTTTGAATGCATCCCAGAGATTCTGGTATGTTGTGTCTTTGTTCTCGTTGGTTTCAAAGAACATCTTTATTTCTGCCTTCATTTCGTTATGTACCCAGTAGTCATTCAGGAGCAGGTTGTTCAGTTTCCATGTAGTTGAGGGGTTTTGAGTGAGATTCTTAATCCTGAGTTCTAGTTTGATTGCACTGTGGTCTGAGAGATAGTTTGTTATAATTTCTGTTCTTTTACATTTGCTGAGGAGAGCTTTACTTCCAAGTATGTGGTCAATTTTGGAAGAGGTGTGGTGTGGTGCTGAAAAAAATGTATATTCTGTTGATTTGGGGTGGACAGTTCTGTAGATGTCTATTAGGTCCGCTTGGTGCAGAGCTGAGTTCAATTCCTGGGTATCCTTGTTGACTTTCTGTCTTGTTGATCTGTCTAATGTTGACAGTGGGGTGTTAAAGTCTCCCATTATTAATGTGTGGGAGTCTAAGTCTCTTTGAAGGTCACTCAGGACTTGCTTTATGAATCTGGGTGCTCCTGTATTGGGTGCATATATATTTAGGATAGTTAGCTCTTCTTGTTGAATTGATCTCTTTACCATTATGTAATGGCCTTCTTTGTCTCTTTTGATCTTTGTTGGTTTAAGGTCTGTTTTATCAGAGACTAGGATTGCAAACCCTGCCTTTTTTTGTTTTCCATTTGTTTGGCAGATCTTCCTCCATCCTTTTATTTTGAGCCTATGTGTGTCTCTGCACGTGAGATGGGTTTCCTGAATACAGCACACTGATGGGTCTTGACTCTTTATCCAATTTGCCAGTCTGTGTCTTTTAATTGGAGCATTTAGTCCATTTACATTTAAAGTTAATATTGTTATGTGTGAATTTGATCCTGTCATTATGATGTTAGCTGGTTATTTTGCTCGTTAGTTGATGCAGTTTCTTCCTAGTCTCAATGGTCTTTACAATTTGGCATGATTTTGCAGCCGCTGGTACTGGTTGTTCCTTCCCATGTTTAGTGCTTCCTTCAGGAGCTCTTTTAGGGCAGGCCTGGTGGTGACAAAATCTCTCAGCATTTGCTTGTCTGTAAAGTATTTTATTTCTCCTTCGCTTATGAAGCTTAGTTTGGCTGGATATGAAATTCTGGGTTGAAAATTCTTTTCTTTAAGAATGTTGAACATTGGCCCCCACTCTCTTCTGGCTTGTAGGGTTTCTGCCGAGAGATCCGCTGTTAGTCTGATGGGCTTCCCTTTGAGGGTAACCCGACCTTTCTCTCTGGTTGCCCTTAACATTTTTTTTTTCCTTCATTTCAACTTTGGTGAATCTGACAATTATGTGTCTTGGAGTTGCTCTTCTCGAGGAGTATCTTTGTGGCGTTCTCTGTATTTCCTGAATCTGAACGTTGGCCTGCCTTGCTAGATTGGGGAAGTTCTCCTGGATAATATCCTGCAGCTTGTTTTCCAACTTGGTTCCATTGTCCCCATCGCTTTCAGGTACACCAATCAGACGTAGATTTGGTCTTTTCACATAGTCCCATATTTCTTGGAGGCTTTGCTCATTTCTTTTTATTCTTTTTTCTCTAAACTTCCCTTCTCACTTCATTTCATTCATTTCATCTTCCATTGCTGACACCCTTTCTTCCAGTTGATTGCATCAGCTCCTGAGGCTTCTGCATTCTTCACGTAGTTCTTGAGCCTTGGTTTTCAGCTCCATCAGCTACTTTAAGCATTTCTCTGTATTGGTTATTCTAGTTATACATTCTTCTAAATTTTTTTCAAAGTTTTCAACTTCTTTGCCTTTGGTTTGAATGTCCTCCCGTAGCTCAGAGTAATTTGATCGTCTGAAGCCTTCTTCTCTCAGCTCATCAAAGTCATTCTCCATCCAGCTTTGTTCCGTTGCTGGTGAGGAACTGTGTTCCTTTGGAGGAGGAGAGGCGCTCTGCTTTTTAGAGTTTCCAGTTTTTCTGTTCTGTTTTTTCCCCATCTTTGTGGTTTTATCTACTTTTGGTCTTTGATGATGGTGATGTACAGATGGGTTTTTGGTGTGGACGTCCTTTCTGTTTGTTAGTTTTCCTTCTAACAGACAGGACCCTCAGCTGCAGGTCTGTTGGAATACCCTGCCATGGGAGGTGTCAGTGTGCCCCTGCTGGGGGGTGCCTCCCAGTTAGGCTGCTCGGGGGTCAGGGGTCAGGGACCCACTTGGGGAGGCAGTCTGCCCGTTCTCAGATCTCCAGCTGCGTGCTGGGAGAACCACTGCTCTCTTCAAAGCTGTCAGACAGGGACATTTAAGTCTGCAAAAGTTACTGCTGTCTTTTTGTTTGTCTGTGCCCTGCCCCCAGAGGTGGAGCCTACAGAGGCAGGCAGGCCTCCTTGAGCTGTGGTGGACTCCACCCAGTTCGAGCTTCCCGGCTGCTTTGTTTACCTAATCAAGCCTGGGCAATGGCGGGCGCCCCTCCCCCAGCCTCGCTGCCGCCTTGCAGTTTGATCTCAGACTGCTGTGCTAGCAATCAGTGAGACTCCGTGGGCGTAGGACCCTCCCAGCCAGGTGCGGGATATAATCTCGTGGTGGGCCGTTTTTTAAGCCCGTTGGAAAAGCGCAGTATTCGGGTGGGAGTGACCCGATTTTCCAGGTGCTGTCCGTCACCCCTTTCTTTGACTCGGAAGGGAAACTCCCTGACCCCTTGCACTTCCCAAGTGAGGCAATGCTCGCCCTGCTTCGGCTCGCACACGGTGCGCGCACCCACTGACCTGTGCCCACTGTCTGGCACTCCCTAGTGAGATGAACCCAGTACCTCAGATGGAAATGCAGAAATCGCCCGTCTTCTGCGTCGCTCACGCTGGGAGCTGTAGACCGGAGCTGTTCCTATTCGGCCATCTTGGCTCCTCGATCGTCTTCTGTTTCTTACTGGCAATATTCCCCAAGCTAGAGCTATGCAATCAGTCTTCTATATTCCTTAAATCTGTATAGTCTATTGTAAAGTTAAGTATGAGTTTCTATTATATAAATTAACTCAAGTATTGTTCAGAGATTTTACTTATATAAATTTTTTTTCATCTGGAGGAAATTAATGTATATCATTATATATAGAAGCCATTTTCTCCTGAAAGTAACAATGTAGGTACTTTGATGTTATTTGCAGTGAAATTTACCTTTACAGGGATAACTGCAGTAACCTTTTAAATGAACATATGTATATATGTGAACTTGCACCTGTTATTGTTGTCATGGAAACAGTTCCAAAACATAAGATACAATTCTATTATTGAGGCAGTATAGTTCCCCAAATGAATTTTAATGAAATTGCAGCAGAAAAAAAAAAAAGAATTTTATGGAGGCTTCTAAATTATTTAGTAAAGTTTGCCAACTAGAATCTGACTACATCATACCATAGTAATCTTCACCTAAAAAGGAAACAACAGTCAGCAAATGTCAATCATGCAAAAAGGGGCATAAAGTAGGTTTATTTAAAAAGTGAACACAGTACCCCAATTCTAGCTTTTTAGTGTCTATCTTTAATATTGCCCAATCACTACTCCTATTGTTGATGGAAGTATATTTGACCATTAGCTGTCTGAGTGGCACACACCAAGATCACTGAGTTATCTGGATTTTTTTCCTAGTTTCTGTCATCTTTGGGCTTTCTATTGACATGAGGTGAATAGATTTAGGGCTAGAATGTTTTAAATGCTGAGAGACCTAAAGGACCTCTATTTCAACCCATTGCATTACAGATTAGGGAACCAATGCCTAAAAAAGTTAGGTGATTTGTCTGAGGTACACAAGTAAATGTGGCAGGGCTGCATTAGGGGTTGGGTTTCTGACTCTCCTCCTCCCATGCACAGTCACTGTGCTGCCTCGTGAAATACAGCCCTCTCTGCTGCCAGTTACAACTGGTGCATTCTACTCCAGCCTGGGCAACAGAGCAAGACTCTGTCTCAAAAAAACAAAAACAAAAACAAAAAAACTGGTGCATTCTTTCATAAAGGAAAGAAATCAAATTCTGAATGTGAATACCTGAATTTTCATTCCCCACTTACATTGTTACAGGAGTGAAGTACAATTTGCTTAATGAAATAAAATTTCAGTATCCTCCTTAGTGTATGTATCTCCTCACTAAATATGTTGATTGCATGTAGATTACTTCTTTTACCCATGGAAACCGAACGAATATCTTAATGTAAGAAGAGTAGTTTTCTCAATTTGTAACCACTGCTTCACCTCTTCTGTAATCCGAAGTCATGTGAATGAAATGTCCCAGGCTCATAATGAAGCCAACTGTGAAACCAGCGCTTACCTCCAAGTCAAGAGCCTGGGAAACATCTATGGAGCTTAGCTTAAAACTATCTGATGATGAATTGGGACTCCAGTATATCATTTTGTGCACACAGTTATGGCATAATATTTGGGGGAAAGGAAGCCTTCACAGTTATAAAATATGAGTGGGAAATGATTATCCCTAGATACAGAGAGTACTTATTATGTAACTGTTGTTAAGGGCTGACGACATGGCAGGCTCTGTGCCAAGTCAAGTCTCCGACGGAGCGGAGGACTCCCCAGGCTCTAGAAGGCCCCTGAGACAGTGTGTCATACAGTGATGAGGGGTAGAAAATACTCTAACCATTCAGGATGTGATTGTTTTGGCTTCCTCTCGGCTGAGCTTTTGGCACTTGAACTGGACCCAATGCAACACCACAGCTGGGAAATGACATTATTTGGATTGGTTAAGAGGAGTTTTTGAAGCAAACCCCACTGTAGTATTAGAGAAATAAAAAAATTCCTGCTATATCCAACAAGTCCCAGAGAGGCTGTCTCTCTATTGTTCACATGTTTGGACATGAATGTGCATTTATGAACACTTTTTTGTATAAATACACAGATATATAAGCTATGCAAAGCCATATAAATCTGTACTACTAGAATAATTCATTCCATAAATATTTCTTGAGCATTCACTACATACCAAGCACATTTTTCTAGTTTAAAAGTGAAGTCGGGCATGGCAGCTCCTGCCTGTACTCCCAGCTACTTAGGAGACTGAGGCAGGAGGATTGCATGAACCTAGGAGTTCAAGGCTGCAGTGAACCATGATCATTGCCATTGCACTACTGCCTGGATGACAGAATGATACCCCGACTCAAAAAAAAGTGACCCACATGTGTATTTGTCACTTTTAAAATAGAGACAATAAATTTCTTCCGTGATTTTTAAAGAACTTAAAACAGAGGTACTATTCAACCCAGCAATCCCATTATTGGGTATATACCCAAAGGAAAATAAATCATTCTACCAAAAAGGCACATGGACTTGCACGTTCATCACTATGCCATTCACAATAGCAAAGGCATGGAATCAAGTCAGGTGCCCATCAACAGTGGATTGGATAAAGCTAATACGGTATATATACACCATGGAATATTACACAGCCATAAAAAAGAACAAAATCATGGTTTTTGCAGTGATATGGATGCAAGTGGAGGCCATAATCCTCAGCGAATTAACACAGCAACAGAAAACCAAATACCACGTGTTCTCACTTACAAATGGGAGATAATCACTGAGCATACACGGACATAAACGTGGGTATAATAGACACTCTGGACTACCTGGAATAGGGGGCATGGGTTGAAAAACTACTTTATCAGTACTGTACTCAGTACCTGAATGACGAGATCCACACCCCAAACTTCAGCATCACACAATAAACCCGCACATGTACCCCCTCCGTCAAAAATAAAAGTTGAAATTTAAATAATAAATTCCTTCCTCACAGGTATTAAAAAGCACAATGTGAGTAAAGTACCTGATATGTGACCATAAATACCTGTCCCCCTTTGACCTCTTCTTTGCCCTCCCCTAACCTTGAGGTGTGATTAACCTTCCTGCCTTTTCAAATTCTGAAGACCACAACAGAGTAGGGAAAGAAGAGTGTGAAGGTGGTCCATCTAATCCCAATTCAGAGCCTGGGACAGACACCCATACTGAATCCTCTACTTTAGAAAAGAACTCCACAGGCTTTGAGAGTGACCTGTCACTTGTCATAGCCCCTAAGGACTATGAGCTTTTTCACCATAAGCATTGCCTATTTGTTCCAATCTAGTAAGATCAGATTTATCAACAGACAGAAAAATAGATATCAGTTTTTTTCTTATTCTAAAAACAATATGTTTATGTTGTTGAATACTGGGATAAAATATAGAAAATATTAATTATTCATAATTCCTAATCCAAGCAGTGTTCCACTCAATAATTTGATCTATTTCCTATAGTTTGCTACTAACTTCGGGGCAGATCTCCAGAAAATAAATATTGATGGGGCTATGATGTCTCCATTTTGACTAAATATATTGTTATATAAAGTGGTAACGCCTTACAATTTAAGTGTGAGAAGGATGTGTGTGTGTGTGCGTGTGTGTGTGTGAGAGAGAGACAGAGAATATGAATATGAATATGACAATACTTTGGAGAAATGTGTCCATTAGAATTTTACCACAAGCCAGACTGAAAACATCAAAGATGTTTAAGTAAAGCCTGTTTAGTTCTTTGTGAATGTAATTTTGGAAAACAAACTAAAACATAAAGATAAAAGGTCCACATTTCCTTTCATATTTGCAAATAAGGCTTATTTCATGAATGGTGAAATCGCTTTGTGTAATTTGTAACCTCATTGTTGTCCTGGATTGCCTGCCATGCTGCCTGTGTTTATGTTGCTTCTCCCTATGGCATGTGCTCTGAGCAGACAAGGGTATAATTATAAATCTCCATCCACTAACAAGAACAATGGTTGCATCCAGCAACTCGACTCTCCCTTTGTGAAGCTCTACAGGGATACCGTCTTGAATGTCAAAGGTCTACAAATGTCATAGAAACAGCTGCCACCACTTCTTTGCATTAGGCATCTCTTTCAACATTTACTCATGGTATTGCCTTACCCATCTAGGCAGAAGCAAACCAAAATCCAGAGATTTTAAAATATGGTATCTATAATTACAAGAAACAACAAGAAACCAAAGAGGAATACAAATACAACCATGCCTTGTGTTTCAAGACTTTCTAGACTTGCTTAGAAAAAAAGAGACTAAATTTTTGTCTCTGGGCAAAGTTAGTCAGACGAGAAAGACAAACTTCACATGCAAGGTATACTTTTTGCTGTCTCCATTTTTATAAAAGCAAAGTTAATGAGGCTTTGATCTTTATTCCATAGTTATTAAGATTATTTTCCTAAATCTGAGATCATTGCAGAGATATACAAGGTAGTTCTGCCAAATCATTCATTCATTCCTTCACCAAACGTGGATACGAGTGTCTACTGAATGTCCAGTAAAAGCAGGAATACAGACATTGAAGGCTCATTTCATTGCCCTTAGTTTCTACATATCATAGCTGTGATGCATGGAATATTAAGGAAACCCCTAAATCTTTAACTGAGTTAATTCACAACTTACCAGAGCTATTTTCAATTCATGAAAATAAAGGCCAGGCGTGTAATCCCAGCACTCTGGGAGGCCAAAGTGGGTGGATTGCTTGAGCCTCAGGAGTTCAAGACCAGCCTGGGCAACATGATAAAACCCTGCCTCTACCAAAAATACAAATAAATAAATAAACTGGGCATGGTAGTGTCTGCGGTCCCACCTACTTGAGAGCTGAGATGGGAGGATCACTTGAGCCTAGGAGGTAGATGTTATAGTGACCAAGATCACCCCACTGTACTCCAACCTTGGTGACAAAGTGAGACCCTGTCTCAAAAAAGAGAAAAAGAAAAGAAAGATTTCTCAAGTCTAAGTTCAGTATTTAAGAAAAAATAAAAAGTAACATCATGGCTTTGAGCTTGATTTTACCTCTGTTTTAGACTAAGAAGTCTATTCAAATGGAGCCTATGGCCCTGTAACCTGGCTCTGGGAAAATGAACAAAGGAATGCAACATCACATCAGCACTGTGTATTTTTGGAAGGGTATTGCATTTTTCCTTTGTGGTGGATTGGTCCGTGCACTTGAAAATACATTCACAGTGGGAAGGCACCAACTCTGCTGCACATTTATAGTTGAATCTATTTTTTTTCCTGACAAATATTCAAGTGGGGGAGGAATTCCATGTGAATGCTCTAGTGCCTCCTTCCCTCTGATGAGTCTAAGTGCTAGATAAACAAACATTATTTCTAAAACCTCAAGGGGAATACTTGAAACTGGAGCAACGTAAGAGGAAAAGTGGGCAGAATGGATAGCTTCTAGGGAGACTGTGACATTTCTGAGTAATTACTGAGGGGTCTAGGGTCTGGGGGACAACGCTCCCATCAGCAGCCCTTTTGTTATTAAAAAAAATGAACATCTGAGCAATTTAATGGAAAGTGCTGTGAAAACACAGCTGCAAGCCTTACATTCTTACCAGATCACCTCCTCTAAGCTTTCCTATGTAGAAATTTTGAAGCTTTCCTGGTATCTCCTCACTAGGGGGTTAGGAAGTAAGTAAATACACTGCACTCTTGGTTTAGTGGTGGGAGATACATTAGGAAAGCGTCAGTGCACATGAAGAGACCCACAGGCTAACAGCCATCATTTACTGAGCATCTACTACGTGAGTCTCCTTCTGAGCGTTTCCACATCTATTATCTCTTTAAATTTCCCAACAACACTAAGGTAATGACAGCCTTTCCTGCTGACCTATGAAGGCCAGGCTGGGAGTTGTCCGATGACTTTTCCTGTATAATGTCACCCCAGGGGAAGACGTTACTCTGATTTTTCCACCTCATGTTTTTCCCTGGCAGTTGCTGTGAGAGAATGTTGTTTTTGGAGCTGAGTAGGCAAGTGGTGTGCATGATATGAAAAACCAAAAAAAAAAAAAAAAAAAAAATGCACCAAACCCCACAAACTTTCTGACAGAAAGCACTCGTCAATTTTAGCCTGTCTATGCAATGATCGAGGCCTTTTCCTACTGCTGGATATTTCTAAGTGAGAAGATCCTACCTCAGTTTTCAGCTGGGCTTTAGCTCTGCAAGAAGTGCTGCCCCAGTCAGCCTTGGGGAGATCAGTAGAGGATTAGTTAGCAGAGCAGCCACTGGAGGGCACTCCTGAAATCTAGAGGCTTCTTCCTCCCGAGGAAAGGGTTGCTGGAGTCCCTGCCTGAGACTGTGGGTTTAACAAAGAGAAGGAATGTCTGGGGGATAAGTCCCAGTGCACTCATTCTCTGGAAAAGGTCTGCTGTACATATTTGCCAAGTGATAAGGAACCTAGGAAATCAAAAACCATTTGACAATTTACAGTGTTCAAAGGTAGCTTCCTGACTCTTGAGTTACATAAATGGCTATGTTAAAAATAGGCAGCCAATATAATTGAGCAACCTTAAATGGCCTAGGATATGTACCATATGTGATAGCCATGAAAATAATCAAAAGAATAATTCAGTATAAATTAGGAATCATTCCCACTCCAGTGGACTCAGTCTTATGGAAGTGGCACATAGGAGAAACTTGGGATTCTGTGATTTGTGCTGTTCATGTACAGGTCTCTCTCTCCCTAGTGAAACTCAGCTCTTTAGTTTGGGAGCCTATACCGGATCTCTCTGATATCCCTCTCCAGCTCTAAACATATACTACGTAGTCACACTGATTGTCCGTTAAATACATTCAAGTCGTTATTTTCCTTATGACAAAATTCACAGTGAAAGGCCACGTGTCCACCAGAAGAATAAGGTGCAAATCTAAAGTGGGTTAGTGGCATTTTCTCAGGACAGAGTGCATGGGAGGACAACATAGCAATCCTGGAAGTTGACAGGGTAAAACTTTTGGACACTCTGACTCTGTGCTGTATGTACCTGTTTGCTTCTGCTTTGAAAATAACTAGTAATATACAAGATCCACTTGAACCACTGAATTTAGCAAAATCAGGCCAAACCAGACGTCTTTGCATTAATATTGTCATTTTGTTTTATATTACTTAAAAAGTCAAACTTTTTTTTTTTTAATCATTCCTTCTCTTGACTATCTGCTGCTCTCCTGTGATGTATATTGTGAAAAACACATTTTAAAACCAAGACAGATATCTCAAGATAGACATCATGTTCAGTTTCTAAGCTACAATTAAATCTCGTAGAATGGTAAGAGGTTTATATCAGACTGTTGACTGCTTTATATACATTACTTTCATTCGAGACTCATTTCATGGATGAGGAAACTGATGTTTACATAAGTCAAGGAACTTGACCAAGGTTACATAGTTATAAGAAGCTGAGCTAGGACCCTACAGGTCCATCTCAGAGACCTATGATGTTAATCATTATGCCATATGACCTGTCTTAGACTAGTTTAAGAAATAGCTTCTCAATTAACCTCTCTTCTTTTAAAAGTGTTCATAGGTTTTAATTCCTTTTTTTTCTGCTTAGGCAATACTTAATTTTTAAACTGTGCACATAGAAGATGAAATGGAAAAATGTATTCCAGATGTAGGTTTTATAGTTGCACATCTTGGATATGGTTGGTTACACATACACTACAAGCATGTGGTACACATCTATCTCATTTTTACTTTAGAAATACATTCTCAACAGGGGAAACTTGAAATACGCAAACTGTGGTCCTGATTCCACTTCAAAACGTCTGCTTTTATTGGGTTTACCCTGCAATCATGCAACTTTTGGCCAGAGTCAAATAGGGCAACTAAATTTTTTTCTTGAGTTTTACTTGGTATGGTTCACTGTAAATGCTTCCAACTAGTCCTAAAGACAGACTTTGTTCATTTGTTCTTCTATGAGTTTTATTCAGCAGAACCTTGGATAACAGCAGCTTAGCCAAACACTGTGGGGTAATCACTCTGCTCAGGACTGATTCCTGTGCAGTCAGTTCTTCTGCACATCTTGCCTTCAAGGTCTGCCAGCTGAATGCACTGTGTTTCCAACATTGCCCTCCAAACAGACCTTTCATAAGGAAAAGTCACTGCTACTTCATTAATTCCAGAAGATGGATGGTGAAGTCATATTGCTTTGATATGCTTTCAGACTCAGGCTGTTCATGGGAAGCTAGAACTCTCTGAAACAGAAAAGTTTTTAAATTCTGGCTACTTTTTCATAGGATTCTATTATGACACCTCAGAGGAATTTTTTTTATTTAAGTCTGTCATTTTAAAGGAAAATGGTTAGATGTGACTAGGGCTGTGAAAACACAGTAGCTACCAGTGCCTGGCAAAGTTTGTACTCTAACATATTTCTGCTAAAAAAAAAAAGAATATTTTCCATTATTGCCTTGGATTCTTTCATCTTTTCTTACATGTTAAGAAACTTAATATCTGAAGAGTGAGAAATAGCCATTTTAGTGTGAAATCATGCTGGGGTGGAAAGGCCAGCATATTTCTTATAGATTAGTATTATAGGAGAGTTTGGCCATTTTCCTGGGCAGAAGCAAGGAGTTGGCACCTTGGAATCAACTCTTAGCCATCTGAAGGCTTTGAGCCTTGGTGAGTTTTCCAACCACAGGGCATTAGCTTTCTGCAGCCTGGAATGGAGCGATCACTATCCCCAGAGAGCTGTCATGGGTGCAGGCAGTGCTCAGCTTGGCTTAGTTCTACCATGGTCCTGAACAGCCAGGCTCTAGGTTAAGCCAAATCCAGAAGTATCTTGTTTTATTTCACTTGCCACGTGTTTGAGAAGGATTAATCTCAGAATATGGCAGAAGCCTTAGCAAAGCAACTTTAGAAAACAGCATATATATGTGTGTGTGTGTGTGTGTGTGGAGAGAGAGAGACAGATCTGAGGCATGGGTTTTACTAATGTTATTATTTAAATAAACCCTTCCTTATGCTAGAGCACCAGATGGTGTTACAAAAATGAGGAAAAAAGGCTCAGGGCATATAAGTCACGTGTCACATTAGCTGTATTGGCCTATGTTCAAATAATAAACATTTTAATCACTGCAGTTTATAACTCTATTTTAAATTTTTTGTTAATACATTAACAGTAACTGCTTACGTATACATAGAATTCTAATAAAAATGCATAAATAACTTACAAGAGGAAAGGGACTTAGGGATTATCCCTGGAAGCCCTCATTTCAAAGGTGAGACCCAGTAGAAACCCAATATGCACAGAAGTTAAGTGACTTTCTGAAAGGTCTTGCAGGTAATTAATTATAGAACAGGACTCCACGTTCAATGCTATGTTCACTATTACCTGAAATAGACTTGGAGGCAAAAATAAACTTATGTCAGCTATACTCAATGCTCAGTAAAGTGGCAGAGCAATATTTTATAAGCGTGTGTTCCGTGAACTCAAATGTGATGTTAGGTAGTGATTCTGAGTCCCTTAAAACAGATTGCTTGATTTATTTAAGGTATGTTCTCTATTACACCAAAAATTGTTTATGGATTTTTTAAAAACTGCACTCCATGGAGTAAGTACCAATTTCTACACTTTTGATGACATTAAGATATGTTAAGAGGCCTGAATGTTCTCAACTATGGATTAAAAATAAAGTACCAATTAGTTGGGTCAGTTTTCTACAGTGATTTGAAATTGATTTCTAAGTTTCCCTATTGCTAATGGCTGAATGTTTATGTTTTCCCAACTCCAAACTCAGAGGTTGAAATCCTAACTCCCAGGGTGATGGGATGAGAAGGTGG
This sequence comes from Homo sapiens, assembly GCF_000001405.40. Taxonomy (NCBI): domain Eukaryota; kingdom Metazoa; phylum Chordata; class Mammalia; order Primates; family Hominidae; genus Homo; species Homo sapiens. The sequence continues at coordinate 40,248,343 of NC_000002.12, forward strand.
GTACCTTTGGGAAGTGATTAGGTCACTCTTAAGAGTGAGGTTAGTGCCCTTATAAAAGAGGCCCTGGACATCTCCCTTGCCCTACCATCACACCACCTGCAGGCACAGCGAAAAGATGGCTGTCTATGAATCAGGAAATTGTACTTCACCAGACACTGACTCTGCCAGAGCCTAGACCTTGGACTTTCTAGCCTCTGGAACTGTGGGAAATACATTTCTGTTGTTATAAGCCACCTAGTCTATGGTTCTTTGTTATAGCAGTCCAAATGAACTAAGATATCTATTGAGGCTTTATTGGGGGAGGTAATAAAATATGTCATTTTTTTCTAGGTTTAACAACCTATATTCAATTCCCCTTTCCGTGATCTATAGTATGGGCATAAATAGACTGTCATGTGTATCCAAATTAAGATGATGGTAGCCAGGAGAAAGATTGAAGGTGGGACTACTGGCTGTTGATAGCCAAGATCTAATTCTGATCTTTAGGGATTTAGGTTCGTTTCTGGTTGGACGGAGTTGTATTATTTATCTATGCATAGTGAAGTAACCTTGTGATCATAATTTCAGAACAAACAAAAAGTCTTCACCTCGTGATGTCTTTTAATTTGATTCCACATCACCAGGGGCAGAATAAGTTTTATTTCTAGGGACATTCATTGAGAACAGGATGACGTGCTGAGTTTCAGATGTGATCAGCTTGCCAACTGTCCCTGGGTCCTTTGTGTCCTGCTGCAATATCTTCTAGGAAACAAACACAATGACGTTTGAAGTTCATCAAGTTCATTGATTAAGCTAAGATCTGCACTACTTTGTCGAAATCTTAAATAGAACAAAAAATGTTTGATGTTATATCTCTCAGAGCTGAAATTAACTGATTAAAGAGTCTCTGTTATGATGTCTATCAATCAAGTAAAAAAATAGGGTTTTGATCTAGAAATGCCTATCCGTTTTTGAGGTATATACTTTCAAAACCTTTTGAAATAAAGAGAACAGTGGTTGCAAAACTTTTAAGTATTTTTACTTTAAAAAAAGGATAGAAACAAAGCAATGTGTCCCATTACATCAGCATTTTTCAAAATTTAGTCTCTGTACTTTCATTTGCATAATTTTCCACTTTCTGTAATATTTTCATAACCCTTAGTGCTTAAATGGGTGGAGAGGCCTGTGCCACAGTCTCCAACAAGGTGTCAAGGGAGAGGAGGTGTTTCTCTTCTCCCAATTCACACCATATTTAGAAGCACTATTCTAGATGATTCCTCTAAAAATATTCAAGCTTTTAGGATCTTGGCTTTGTTTTTTGTAAATTGTACTTAAAGTCAGTGTGACTATTACCATCAATTTGAATAAGTGCAATGTATTTCTCATGTTGCAGGTAGTAAAAATTGCCAACGAATCACTTAAATACTGAGAGGACTGACAAGCTATAATTTATTACTTGGCTCAAAATATGTCTCTACTCTGTATTATCTGCCTAGATCTTACTTAACACAGGAAGGGTGTAGACTTCACTGAAATGACTAATTGATGTTCAATTTGCAGATTTTAATTGAAAAAAATATATTTTGATAAGTAGCAGTACTTGTTTCAAAGGAAGATACCGTTATATTAAAAAGTAAACATCCAAATCTATTGGTCTAGGTCTATACTCAAAACCTTCCGGGTGTATGTATGTGTGAGATATTTTAAAGTAATTCTAACCAAGCCATTGTTCTGTAACCTGACTTAACAAGCTACAGAACAATTCCTTAGCTTAAATTGTTAAAGGGGACATTGTGATGACAAATAAATAAAACGTGTTAGCAGAATAAAAGTTGTCTGGAAATAAGTAAATACTATTTTATAATTTGGGGGAAAGAAATTCAATACAGGGTAAAGAGAACAGGATTTTGGAATTAAGCTGAGTTAAAATTCTTGCTCTGGACAACAGACAAATTACTTAACATGTTTGAATTTCAGTTTTTTATCTACAAGTTGGGAATAATATATGCATTACGAAGAGATTACAAGTACTAACTGGAGAAAACAATCTGAGACCTTGGCAAATAATAGATTATCCAACTTAATTCCAATATTATTAAAATTAGTGATCATTAGCTGGCACTTTACAACAGAAATGATCTGAATAAATTTTCAACATATACATGCTCTGATACCATGACAGGAAAATGTAAGTGCAAGCGTGGGGGGGCGGTGTCAGGAGACTCGTGTGTTTATAATTCTGATGCCTATCTCTCTGAAGAGTGACTCTTCGAGTTATTCTTTTCAATAGATGTACTTATGGAACATAATTTGGTCATATTGTAGTGATCTGCTACTAAAGAAACTTTCGCCTAACTTTCTCCTAGCCAAGGATGTGAGTCTCTCAATAACCCACATTTACCCATGAGTTATGTTAAATGTGCCTTGTGTTCCACTGGTTTAGAATTTGGGGTTTGGGGAAAGGCAAATGGGATGTTTTCCCAGTGTACTTTAGCACAATATAGGTGAAATCATACATGTATATGCAAAAAAAGTACCTGTAACTGTTCTGTAGTTCCAATGATTGATTGGATCACAATACTAAGGAGGGTCAGAATTTGATGATTATTCTGGCTTTTTGGGTGGCCCCAAACTCCCACCAGCTATCAAATGAAGGCGTCGGGGGAGAATATATACAGTCTACAGAACTCGGGAGAGTTAAAGAGTAGCAAGTTCCAATCAAGAAGAAATGTTTTATTCAGTAATTACTTTGAAGAATTTTTTTAAGAGCCCCTGAAAATACTGGATTTCTGCAGGGGATATTGCGAAAATACTAAAATACTAAGGTGTGAAAATGATTCTCTTTTTTGAATTAAAAAAAAAATCAATAGAAATAATTCAGTGTGTGAGGTAGATAAGCTTCAGACAAAGGGAAAAACCAAACCTGCTAGTCAGAGATAGATATAAAAAAGAGAAAAATCAACCTCTACGTTATGTTGCCAAGGAGACTGTGTAAACAGACTTACACAAAGAGAAGTGGCTGGCTGGCAATACTGCTAATGTGGAAAATCTCTTCATTGTTGTGTGGCATGCTTCATCTCAGAAGAGCAGGAAAAGGTGGCAGGCAGAGAGGGAGAAATAACAAGAATGGAAGAGTCGTTCTTCCAAAAAGGGCCATCTGTGACCCTGAGAGATAAACCTGGCAGACCAGGGCTCACATCTTAGTAAATCACCTGTAAATAAAGCTTGTAAGGCCTGTGCATTGTCTCATGATTATTTTATTAATAATACTTTAACCCTTGCAATTTGATACGCTGTGCAAGGTAGTCTTACAGGGGATCTTTTCATTGAGACGCTCAACTTGTTTGTTTTGTGCTTCTCAGGCAAGGGCAGTGACTGGAAGCTGGGAGAGAGGGTCAACAGCTGAATCTCAGCCTGATGGAGGCCACCATTTAATAAGTAAATACATGCACGGTAAGCCTCATATGACTTTCGTCTCTCTATTCTTTTAGAAGTTGGTCTAATCCAACCATATATACAAATGCAATTATTTCTCCTTCAATATTTTCATTCATTCAATATACATCGGGTATTATGAATAAAGTCCGTGTAGATACAAGTAGTCTCAGTTCCCCAAAATGTTTAGAGTGTATAATACCAAAAAATGCTATTATAAAGTTTAGTGAGAAAAAAGTTTGTTTTTATATAACCATATATGCAATATGATTACAAATCTGCTAAATTGTTGAGCAAACAATAAATGGTTAATCAGTGTTGATGGATGAGCAAACTATGAATTATTTTCCCTCTTTTAATTTTCATCTCCAAATTTTCTATAATGTGGTTGTATGAATTTATTCATATAGAGAGAATTTACAGGTGGCTGAAGTGAATCTGGGTTCAGATGTTGGACTTCGCGGTTTATTCTTTTACAGAGTTTGAGATAAGCCAGTGAAGTCTGACAAAATATAAAGCAGCTCTTTCTGCATTTGCAAATATGTGTGCAGTTTTTTTTTTTAGATAGTACATTTGTATTTTGATTGATTGATTGAGATGGAGTCTTGCTCTGTCACCCAGGCTGGAGTGCAGTGGCATGATCTCGGCTCACTGCAACCTCTGCCTACTGAGTTCAACTGATTCTCCTGCCCCAGCCTCCCAAGTAACTGGGATGACAGGCGCCCGCCACCAAGCCCAACTAATTTTTTGTGCCTTTAGTAGAGACAGGGTTTCACCATGTTGGCCAGGAGGGACTCAAACTCCTGACCTCAAGTGATCCACCTGCCTTGGCCTCCCAAAGTGCTGGGATGACAGGTGCACAGGTGTGAGCAATCACGCCCGGCCAAGATAGTGCATTTTTAAATGTTTCTCTCCAGACCTGTCATCATAAAAGTTGCTTGCTTAGAAGGGGGATAAAATAAGATGCAAACCAGCTCTTCTTTTATTGGAGAGTTTCAATTTAATCAGAAGGTGAATGTTAGCACATATATATATGTGTGTGTATATATGTACATATACATATATATGTATATACATGTGTATACATATATGTATATATACACATTTGATTCCAATAATATATATTTTGAGCCAAATTTTATATGTATGTATATGTGTATATATACATACATGTATATGTATGTACATATATACATATGTGTGTATATGTATGTACATATATGTATCTGTATATATGTATATACATATATATGTATCTGTATATATGTATATACATATGTATCAGTATATGTATATATGTACATGTATATACTATATATGTGTATAAATGTATATAGTATATATACATATATACGTGTATACATATATACACGTATATATGTATATGTATATACATACATATATATGTATATACACACAAATATACATATATACACGTATATGTATACACATCTATACATATTTACATATACATACATGTGCGTATATACACATATGTATACATATATACATGTACATATGACGTATATATGTGTATATACACATATATACACATATATACACACACATATATGTGTATATATATACACACACAATGGAATATTGTCCAGCCATAGAAAATAAAATCCTGTCATTTGCAGCAACATGGATGGAACTGGAGGACATATGCTAATTTGAAATAAGCAAGGCACAGAAAGACAAGTATTATATGTTCTCACTCATATGTGGGAGATAAAAAAGTGGATTTCATGGAGGTACAGTAGAATGGTACTTAAAAGAGGCTAAAGGGCCTGGCGCGGTGGCTCATGCCTGTAATCCCAGCATTTTGGGAGGCCGAGGCAGGCGGATCACCTGAGGTCAGGAGTTCGAGGCCAGCCTGACCAACATGGTGAAACCCTATCTCTACTAAAAAATACAAAAAGTAGCCAGGCATGGTGGTGGGCACTTGTAATCCCAGCTACTCGGGAGGCTGAGGCAGGAGAATCACTTAAACCCAGGAGGTGGAGGTTGCAGTGAGCCGAGATCATGCCATTGCACTCCAGCCTGTGCAACAGAGCCAAACTCTGTCTGTCTCCAAAAAAAAAAAAAAAAAAAAAAAAAGGCTAGGAAGGACAGCAGGAGTGGGGGATAAAGAAACAAACGTTGGTTTATGGTACAAGAATACAGTTAGCTAAAAAGAATAAGTTCCAGTGTTTGATAGCACAACAGGGTGACTACAGTTAATAATAACTGATTTTATATTTCAAAATAGCTAGAAGAAAACTTCTGCATATTCCCAACACAAAGAAATGGTAAATGTTTGTTTGAGATGACGGATATTCTAATTACCCTGATTTGATCATTACACATTTTATGCATGTATCAAAGCATCACACATACTCTACTCTAGAAATATTTATAATCATTATGTCAACAAAAAATTAATATAAAAAAAGAAAATAAAAGCTAATTCCAACTGCTAAGTCATTGATAAATTAAAAATAGAAATGAGATTGGGGTCTTAAGTAATTTCCTTACATTAACGGTCAAAATGAATGCCACACCTTGTGAGACAGCATGCAAAACTCAGTTTCAGAGCTGGCATATTGAATTAATAACATATCCTTTTTCTATCAAAATGCTCTTAAGTTGTAAATCATGCTTTTTTGTTTTTTTTTTTTCAGGCTATTTAGATCCTGCATCAGACAGGTCATCAGAAAACATGAAGCTAAATGCAGTAAAGAATTACTCTCTTGAACTCTTGAAAATATCAAAAACATGAAGCTAAATGCAGTAAAGAATTAGTCTCTTGAACTCTTGAAAATATCATTTTCTTATAGAAATGGTTTAAAAATTTCTTTTTTATTATTTCTAATTTTCCTTCAGAAAATTGTGAGTTTTAACCTACAACACATACACTCCAAGGTAATGCCACTCTAATGCTGTCTAGTTGATCTGAATAACTAACTGGTCAATTATCAGATCCACCAAACTGTCTCTCTGGAGATTAACTTCTGCCAGCATATTGGTTTCTGTTCATTTTCACAAGATTGACAGGCTCATTACAGCAATATTAACATCTTCCTTTGAGCACTCACACTGTGCAATTGTAATTTTGCATATGTTGATGAGCAGGCAATTACATCAAAGAGTGAACACTGGGCTGATGTGCAAGGCACTATTTAATTATAAAAACAGTATAGGATTGAGCCCTGTCACTGAGTCTTCCATTCCTTCTATCTCGCCTGTTTCTAATTTATTTCTCTATTTCTTCATTTCTTCCTTGACTGTCTTCATTCTTTGCTTTTTATTTCTTTCTCCTTAAATGACAGACCTTTTCTTAGATGCCATTTCTCTATGTCTGCGCTTAAGACAAGAATTTTTTTCCTCCTAGTTGTTGGTTAATGTCTGCAAATGTGAGAGCATGTTAACATGACAAACAACAAGGAATTTGAAATAAACTTAAATGAAACAGTGTCTTTTCTCCCCCTACTCTCCCCCACCCCCCATGGTGGAAATGATGATATCCTTACCATCTGCACACTTGCAGGCTGTGAGTGGGCAGAAAACCAGCTGGAGATGCAGCCCATGGCAGGGATACAGATCCTCAGCTTCTGGGAGGTCCTAGAAGCTCACAATGCCACCCAGCTATTGGACTATCATCTCTCATCATGTATATTCAAAGGGAAAATGTACAACATTTCTTCTAAACTATTTTGTACAGAGAACATCTCCACTATCATCAAAAAGAGGCTGATGTGTAGTAGGGAGAAAGTGTTCTGGACTAAGTGTCAGGAAACCTCAGTGCTTCAGGTTCTCTTGCAATTATGAGACTGGTTCTGTTACTTCACCTCTCTGGAGTTTATTTTTCTTATTTGTATAGTGAAGGCCTCCAGCTTTAGCATCTCATAATTTTGTTGTGGAAAATAAATACGTGCAGAATTAAGAGAATAATGAAAAGAGTTTGAGGGTATCTCCTCTGCCTTAATTGACAAACTATGTTAAGGGTAGACTATCACGGTATCCTTCAAACATATCTATGAGGCAAGGCTTGTGGCAGAAAAGGAAGCAAAATGATATACTTGTCACATCAATTAGTCAAGAAAATGTGATTACCCTGAGCCCAAGAAACTTCCACTAAAAAGATGGAAGGAAAGACTACGTCTGGTGTTCTCTGGCACCATCCTTGAGTCCACATGTATTTAGAAGTGAATAACTGAATTTAGGGCCATGGTACAGAGGTGTCAGTCTGCAAACTAGAAGAGCAATGCTGACAGGCCCTGGGACTGTTCCTAGTGCTGTATGGGAACTCAGAAATCTAACCGAAGCCACAGGATGGGTAACGACAATGAGACTGTGACCTGGCAATATCTGCATAATCTTGCAAGAAATTTCTAAAACCATAAGACACACGGCATTTTTACTTGAGTCCTAAAATGAACATCCGGTGATATTGGACCTTCCCACTCCTAACCAAATGACGTCAACACACTCTTAAGGACACATCACACACTCTGTGGAAGAGGGTAGGAGAGGTGTGGAATATAAAATTCCTTTTTTGAGACGGCTGCCTGGATTCTAATGGGGTTACTCTAATGTGTTTTAAGACCAAGGCTCACTGGCCAAGATATACTTTCATGAATTCAAGAATGTATGATCATTATGATGTATACATATACACATATATGCATTTACATGACAAAAAAAATGCCAGAAGGCATGTAAAAGACAGACAGTCCTCTTTTCAAAGGGTGCATAATGGGAGTGATTCTATCTTTACGTCTAAAGTGTTCTACTGGACGCATTTAATGTTCTTGTTTCCTCTGTCTTAAATTATTCGTTCCCTTTTGGACACATTATTGCTCCATAATAATGCTAAGTAGCTTCATTTTGTTGTTGTTGTTTTTTAAATCACCCAACCTTTCCTAATGCTAAGCCAGGCAATGGAGGGCAGGAAAAAAAAATGTCTTTAGAGAAGGCTGTAGGCCTATCACCAGATTTTGAGCTGGGCTTTCCCCAGAACACACTTTAGGCCTGCAGGATGCCTGAGGCCAAGGGTACTTCCTGCATCCACAGGGTTGGGGATGCTGAGTGCAATCCCTCTATTCTGCCACCTGGGACAGCCTTTTGCATTACTCTCTGGCTGCCTTCCCTTTTCTGAAACTTGAGAGGGGAGAATGTTGCTTCCCTTTAGAACAGTAGGTGAGCCCATCAGCAACTCAGCCCCAAAAGTCTCTGCAGTCTCATCTGACAAATTATAAGATTGAGCCTATCAAGTAAGTAAATAAATAAATAAATAAATAAATAAATAAATGAATAAAATGAATCATAACAAATATACATATCTGTGTATTTATTACATCTTATCATAATTCTCAGCCTGAATCTAAATATACGGTCTACTACAATCTTTTTAATTGGGCTTTAGCTAAATGCATGATGAAAATCATTTTCAGATCTTAGCTCATTGGAAAAAAGTAAAGATAAAAAATAAATAAATAAAAAGATCTTAGCTCACTGTCGTACTCTAGTGCCTTCCTAACACGCAAGCATACTTCCCATGTCCCATTCACTTGCAATCAGCTACTGGTGGAAAATTAGATGGTCCCAAATCAGAGGAAACCGAAGACATGATAATGAAACTCCTGAAAAAATCAATGACGATTATGGAAATTAGCTGTTTACCACCTTTTTTTTTTTTGACCTTTCCTTTTTTTGACCCTCTAGGCAGCCTAGTTTATGGAAGGAACATCATCAGTGAGGTCCCAGAGAAAGGAAAATGACTGATTACAGAGATAGCTATTATTTCCAGCCACTATATCCAAGAGCGTATCAGATCACTCAAAGCACATTTTATCAACACTCCCCCTGTGACAATCTAGTCTTTACTGGAGTTAATTAAAGCAATTAATTCCCTTCCCTTTCAAAGCAGTGTGATTACATAAATAGATAATTTCCCAATCCAAACCCATAAAGCAAGTGATTTCTCTGCATGTTCCTCAGTGTGCAAAGCACCTAACTGAACCAAATTGTCCTTTTTCTAAATTTGACCTTCATGAAATTCTCCAGTAACTTTTTCTGCTCTGTCTTCCTATCTGGTTGGATGGCAGAACCACATCTCCACATGGACACAGGACTGCAAGATTAATAAAGCATTTCCCGCAGCAAAGATAGATAATGCCTAAACTGTAATCACAACGACAGGAGTAGAGTGAGGAGGAAAGGAGAATGGCGGGTGCCTGCTCTGACAGGCACTACAGTTCCCTTCAACAATATACCAGCGTGGGTGATGCTGACAATAATTAAGCAAACAGAATGCCAAACAATTGTAAGAAAAGCTGTCAAACATTTTGTGTTATTATCCCCTGCACAGGCCTGTAATTTATCATCACAGAAAAAGCACATAAAGAAAAATCTCTAAACAGTGACATTTTGTTCAAATTACAACCCTTGGCTTCCCTGACTGCCTACAGACTGACATCTCCAAGGTCGGATGTAGTGCTCAGCAATTTGTTCCTTCATTAAGTGAGCATGTCTCTGGGATGGGTTCTAGCCACTGTGAGTGCTGGCATGCCAAGAGCAAGAACAAAGTACTTCCCAACGTGTGGGAAGCCACTTACCTTCAGACGTCAAAATGAAAGAAAGTAACTGACATTCGTATTTCCTTCTCAGATTGGTCCTAAAGCTTGAAATATGATCTCCTGCACCAAGGCTCCTACCTGTCATTTCTTCCTCCCTCTCCACCCAAAACCCTGCTTGGGGTTCTGGACTTGGCTAAAGTGTAAGGGCTTTGATCTTGTTGGTATAAACTCAGTCTTTACTGGCCGGGCACTGGTGGCTCACACCTGCAATCCCAGCATTTTGGGAGGCTGAAGACAGTGGATCACTTGAAGCCAGGAGTTTGAGACCAGCCTGGCCAACATGGTGAAACCCCCGTCTCTACTAAAAATACAAAAATTAGCCAGGTGTGGCGGCAGGCACCTGTAACCCTAGCTACATGAAAGGATGACGCAGGAGAATCACTTGAACCCTGGAGGCAGAGGTTGCAGTGAGGCAACATTGCGCCACTGCACACCAGCCTGGGCAACAGAGTGAGACTCCATCTCAAAAAAACAAAAAACAAACAAAAAACAACAAAAAACCCAATCTTCCTGATGATATCCCCCAATGGTTGTAATTGAACCAGAAAGAAAATAAAAAAAAAAAAAGGAAATACTTTTCTCATCCAGTTTCTTTAGAGTTTAGCACAGTTCTATAGATTAATTACTATAAATTGTGAGACATAAAGAGACCTCAGAGATGCTGAGCCAGTGAGACAGGTGTGAGGGTGTGAGGTGTTACTATTAGTACTTTGGAGAAAGTCCATAGGCAGTCTCCAACGTAGATTTCTGGATGGCTCAGAGTTGAAATGGACCCTAGAGGTAATAGAATCAATCTTTTCAAGTAATGAGAGAAATTCTGTCTGTGATATTCCTAGCTGATGTTCTGAGCTGGACCACTTCCAAGGATGGAGATAATAGAAGCCTTCCATTACAAATACTTGGCTGCTGAAAGACCTAAACATTTGAGTCTTCACTGTTTTCAACAGCTCCTTCCACACCTGTCCAACATAGAGATCCACTTAACAGAAGTCCTACCCTCTAGATATTGCCTTATTTGAAAAGGTAATATCTTTTAATCCCATTTCTTTCTATCCCATTGCCAGAGCTCTTTCCCATTGCTTTCTTCACTTTCTTCACAATCTTTTTTCTTTTTTAATTTTTAAAAATAGGGTCTCATTCTGTGCCCAGGCTGGAGCACAGTGATGCAACCAAGCTCACCACAACCTTGAGCTCTTGGGCTCGAATAATCCTCTGGCCTCAGCTAGGACTACAAGCATGTGCCACCATGCCCTGCTAACCCCATCTCAATCTTTATACCCATAAGAGAACCTTTTCTTAGAAGCCTCTTTTCTTAGGGTTTGGAGGTTGATTTACTATTGCCAATATAGCAAATCTTTATTTTCCTTAGGTTTATTTTGATTTTTTAAAACAATAGTCTTTTTACTCAAACTTTGGCAAAGAGTTTGGGCTAGTATACCAAGTAAATAAGCTTTAATTTTCTCTTGGCCATGTATCTTCTATTAGTTTCTGCATAAGACCCTCAGTGCTTCCATGTTTACTGCTCGCTGCACAGGCACCTCTCACTAGATGGCACTTAGGATATTTTTCAACCATCTTTCTGACCAAAATTGTATGTGTTCTATGTCTCATCCCTAAGAAAGTTGATAGTGAACTCAATTGGCTGATTACAAGTACAGTGTGAACAACTTATACCTGAACACTTTAAATATATTGCAACCTAACAAACACATTTACATATCAACAATGACTCATTTCCTTAGTCCAAGAAAGTGAACACAGGCTTGATTCTCTCTCCCAACACCCTCCCCTCCTTTTTTCTCTCTCTTTCATTCCTTATAATAGACAAATGTGAATTATCTTCACAACCTGTTCATTTAACTCTGTCAAGCTATTCCTCAAGGACAAACCACAAAAGGGAACCAGGGAAGGGCTGTTCAGAGCTCACTGAAAATCCAGATCAGCTACAGAGGTCCTTAGCCCATAGAAGATAGGTCTGTGGTCTCAACTTGGAATATAAATAACAGCTTCTTTACCAACCTCACCAAATCGACTTTTAATACCTTTTTTTCCCATAGGCTTCCAACCTACTCTGATTGACTTAGGCTGATCAGAAACAAAACTTTAACAGTAACGTCTAAAATAAGTGAACTTTGTTTTATAAGTCTTCCTTCTTGCCAAAGCTGATGACTAAATAAGTTCAAAGACATTTAAATTAATGTCAGTTATACCCACAGTCACTGGAGGAGAGGTAATAGGAATTCAAGCTTCCAGTAAAGAAAAAGAGGAAATGAGAAAGAAAAAGAGGTGTCTTTCAACTCTAGTTGTGATATAGTCTGCTGAATTATTGACCTTTCCTTTCAAAGATAAGAAAATGTGTATGTGGTTTTTTTTTTTTTTAATTTAGACTTCCTACGTGTAACTAAAATCTCTAAAACAAGGTGGCTTATTTTACATATCTGAAGAAAGTGAGGCATGCAATTTTCCCTTCCTCATAGTCCGACCTAAGAGTGTGTGGCAAACTTTGTAGAATTCTAAGTTTCCTTCAAGAACTTTTCATCTTATTTCCATCCACAAATTAAAAGGGATGGAATTACTCAATGTAGCCATAGCTAGGAATACAGTTTAGTGAAGAACAGGAAGGGAGAGAGACAGAAGGACTCCTACAGTTTTTCTTTACAATCTAAATATGTTAAATGCATGATGGAAGCAATGGAGCCAGGTCAAAATGGCACTTGCTGTGTTGTGAAAAATCCTGACTATGAGAATCTTCTGTAGTAGAAAGGCAGGTCATTCTATCACACCAACTGGAAGGCCAGTCTGGGGCGTGCTTGCTGGATGTGTGGAGATCAATTACCCACAAGTCCCTGTGGAGTCTCTTCCATAAGAAACTGGGGAAGCCCAGGCCATCAGTATTCTGCACACACACTAACAGCTTGTGCTTGCAGAGGCAATCATTTTTCAGCTCTTTTCAGATTCTCTTTCTTGGTTATTTTTCCATCTTGGCTAAAAGGGTTTCTCTTTTGTACCAAGCAGGGGCACCAATCTAACAGAATTTATTAGAAACTGCTCGATTGGGATTTTGCTGGAGTTCTACTGAGGTTGAAAATCTCAAACAATATGTGATGAAAATTTTAGGCTGTTTTGGGTGACTTCAATCCCAAGGTCTTTCTTGGCTGATTTGAGTTCCTTCTTTCAGAGATTTAGGCAATGTTAGTTTCAGATGGGAGGTCTGGTAGATCCTAAAAATGAGGTAGCTCTATGTCAGCCATTCAGTGGAGAAAGAGCCCATGCTACTCTGTATGACAAAATACTATGCCTTTATTTGCATACAGGTGTGAATGAATTATTTAAAGAGAAAAATGTGCGAGTGGGTACTGCGTAAGTGCCACAGTCGTTGCACTGTGCTTTTCAGTAAGTGTGAACATTTTCCTTCGCATGTCTTTTTAAGAGAAAGAGAAAATGATGATGGGAAGGATTTTGGGTAAGACAAGATTACTTTTCTACTATTCTTATCAAAATTTACTATTTTGTCTTCCTTTGTGTAGTACCTGTGTAATATTTGCTCCACAATTGTAAGCTCCTTGAAGACATGAAATGTGTCTTTTCACTTTTTTTTTTTTTTTGAGACAGAATCTCACTCTGTGGCCAGGCCGGAGTGCAGTGGTGTGATCTTGGCTCACTGCAGCCACTGCCTCCTGGGTTCAAGCAATTCTCCTGTCTCAGCCTCCTTAGTAGCTGGGACTACAGGCACGCGCCATCACGCCCAGCTAATTTTTGTGTTTTTAGTAGAGACGGGGTTTCACCATGTTGGCCAGGATGGTCTCGATCTCCTGACCTTGTGATCCGCCCACCTCAGCCTCCCAAAGTGCTGGGATTACAGGCATGAGCCACCGCACCCGGCCCTCTCTTCACTATTATATTGCCAATATTTATGATAGCTTTTGGTTTACTGCAAGAAACAATGAGTAAGTAGTTTGTCTCTTTAAACCAATGCTTTCCATTCTTCTCCAGGTGAGAGGTTGGTATAGATTTTTATGAGGCTTTATCATAACTAAACCCAGTGGTGGACTGAATAAGATCAGCTGGTAAATATAGTCTTTGATCCACTGGAAAATCCAGCAATATCTAACTTAAACAACAAATGAGCGAAATTCTAACATTTCTAGTATATTTGATCTATTGGTTTGTAAACCATCTTGAAGCCATGATATAGAAACACTAACTCTGTATTTTTATAAAAATAAAACATAAGGGTATGCATTTATTCATTCAAGAAACATTTCTTGAGTCCCTAATTGCACTAGGAACTGTTCTTGATTCATGATAGAATGTGACAGACAGGTTGTTCATGGAGATTTTGCTCGAGTAATGCATATATGGTTGGAACTGGTGGGCACGGAGTCCAAAATAGCAATTCTAGGCCAGCTTGCCCTAAACAAATGATACAGATATTATATGAGAGAGTTGCTAAAATTTGGATCATATTTAGCTCTCCTCCCACCTCTTTCAAACACTTACTAAGTTTAGGGAGAAATGTGGGAACATAGGATGAAGTGGCCACAGAGGTACCCAAGAATCAGTACAGTAACAATGTCCTTAGCAAATGGCCCTCCCGTAATTCCTAAGAAGGTAAAATATTTTAGCATTGAAATAACTTCATGACATGGCTATGCCAACTCTAAAATGGTTTCATCATGTAAACAGTCCTTCAGCGAATGACTTACATTTTGAAAAACCTACAGAGCAGAGTGAAAAGCATGGGCTGAGCAGTCAGCTGATGAGGATGACTGAAGCCATGCTCCACCATTTGCTGGTTGATTCAAGAGGAAGTCACTTAACCTTTCCAAGCCTCAGCTTCACCTGCAGAATGGCAATAATAATGGCCAACTTGTAGAGTTGTTGTGAATACAAAAATAATGCAGTGCATTTTTAGCATGATACATAACATATAATAGCAACACAGTGCTAGCTGTAATTCAATTGGAAAAAACTACTTTAAAGTTCATATGGAACCAAAAAAGAGCCCACATTGCCAAGTCAACCCCAAGCCAAAAGAACAAAGCTGGAGGCATCACGCTACATGACTTCAAACTATGCTACAAGGCTACAGCAACCAAAACAGCATGGTACTGGTACCAAAACAGAGATATAGACCAATGGAACAGAACAGAGCCCTCAGAAATAATGCCACAGATCTACAACCATCTGATCTTTGACAAACCTGACAAAAACAAGAAAAGGGGAAAGGACTCCCTGTTTCATAAATGGTGCTAGCCATTTATGGAAAACTGGCTAGCCATATGTAGAAAGCTGAAACTGGATCCCTTCCTGACACCTTATACAAAAATTAATTCAAGATGGATTAAAGACCTAAAACCATAAAAACCCTAGGAGAAAACCTAGGCAATACCATTCAGGACATAGGCATGGGCAAGGACTTCATGTCTAAAACACAAAAAGCAATGATAACAAAAGCCAAAATTGACAAATGGGATCTAATTAAACTAAAGAGCTTGTGCACAGCAAAAGAAACTACCATCAGAGTGAACAGGCAACCTACAGAATGGCAGAAAATTTTCACAACCTACTCATCTGACAAAGGGCTAATATCCAGAATCTACAATGAACTCAAACAAATTTACAAGAAAAAAACAAACAACCCCATCAAAAAGTAGGTGAAGGACATCAACAGACACTTCTTGCAAGAAGACATTTATGCAGCCAGAAGACACATGAAAAAATGCTCATCATCACTGGCCATCAGAGAAATGCAAATCAAAACCACAATGAGATACCATCTCACACCAGTTAGAATGGCAATCATTAAAAAGTCAGGAAACAACAGGTGCTGGAGAGGATGTGGAGAAATAGGAACACTTTTACACTGTTGGTGGGACTGTAAACTAGTTCAACCATTGTGGAAGTCAGTGTGGCCATTCCTCAGGGATCTAGAACTAGAAATACCATTTGACCCAGCCATCCCGTTACTGGGTATATACCCAAAGGATTATAAATCATGCTGCTATAAAGACACATGCACACGTATGTTTATTGCGGCACTATTCACAATAGCAAAGACTTGGAACCAACCCAAATGTCCAACAATGATAGACTGGATTAAGAAGATGTGGCACATATACACCATGGAATACTATGCAGCCATAAAAAATGATGAGTTCATGTCCTTTGTAGGGACACGGATGAAGCTGGAAACCATCATTCTCAGCAAACTATCACAAGGACAAAAAACCAAACACCGCGTGTTCTCACTCATAGGTGGGAATTGAACAATGAGAACACACGGACACAGGAAGGGGAACATCACACTCTGAGGACTGTTGTGGGGTGGGGTGAGGGAGAGGGATAGCATTAGGAGATATACCTAATGTTAAATGACGAGTTAATGGGTGCAGCACACCAACATGGCACATGTATACATATGTAACAAACCTGCACGTTGTGCACATGTACCCTAAAACTTAAAGTATAAAAAAAAAATAGAGCACACATGTCATTAATGACCATTAATTATAGCAACACCCAGAGGACAGCAGTACTGTATCATTTTGCAGGTAAGAAAACTGAGGCTTAGAGGGTGTTTATGAGCACAGGGGAAGATACACTTCACCTTTCTCTTGAAGTTATTATGTTGCCATGACTTGCTTTGGCTAATGAAATGTAAATGACAGAGGAATGTGTTGCTTCTTGGTGAAAATCTTCAAGTCATCTTCTCTTCACTGTGCCACAATGAATTATGTTTCAGAAGGCGGATTGTCCAGGATCCTGTATCCTGAATTAAGGACAATGTAGAGTAGACGATGGGCATGCAGCATGAGTAAGAAATAGATCTTTATTATTTTAGGTCACTGCAATGTTTACAGTTGTCCATTACAGCAGGATAACATAGCTTATTCTAACTTTCCAAAGATGAGAAACTATTAAGATCTAGCATTCAAACTCAGGTCTTATGGTATTAAGGCCAATGCTTTTGTACTACCTTACAGTACACTGCTTATTAGAAATAAAACACCCTGTGAATGTACCTTCCACTTCGAAGAAAATGGACTTTTCTGTTGCTCTTTGACTTAAAAAAAATTAAAAATTCTCTGAGCAAAGGTCAATGGAAAGGTAGCGAAAAAGTTGGTAGAGGTGGGCAGATAATAAAACTGATGAGAAAGATCCATTAGTTTAGCAGAACCCTTTATTTCCCATAGGTTCATGACCTGAAGATTACATAGGATGGAGGGAGGCCCTTATCATAAGCCTGCAATTCTGTGGCTAACAAAATCAATTTTTAAATGATTTATGTGATGTTTTTCAGGACCAAAAGAGCAGTAATTCATTTCCCATGTGGTACTTGGAGCTGCTGCTTAGATGTTGAAAAATGATTAATCTTTATTTACAGCATGGCTCCCTTCATATATTACTGGAAACAAGATTTGAGAGTGCAACACTTCTATAGCATGCAATTATTTGCTGAAGGAAGTTCCAGGCATAAAGAAAAAAAAAATCTACTAGCAGCCAAGGATATCTGGACATGCACTGAAGTAACCACTGTGAAAACCTTCCAAGGCCAAATGCTTCCAATCTATTCAGTTTGACCCACTTAACATAAAAAAGCCACATTAATTTCCCAAGGGGAGCCACTCTTCTATCAAATCATACTAACTCCTAACTTCAACAATGGGAGAATGAAGAATTCAGAATTCTTAGGTTTTTGTTCCCCCAGAAGACTGAGTTTAAAAATTTTCTAGAAATTGGTGCACATAGCTTACTTCAACTTAAGTTGAAATATGTGTGCATTTTTAAAAATTGCTATAAGGATGCCTTTTCTGGGCCACCATATGTAGACATTCCTTTCTTTTAAAACTACAGAAGTACCATATTCTCAGGTCTCCTATTCTCCATCTTGCCAGCCTGAGCCTAACAGGTCCAATCACATCTAAGGAACAGTTTCACCTAGGGTAAAGTTCACATTTTTATGACTAGCTATATCACTCTGAAGCCCCTAGTTTAGGGCCCACAATAATTTGATAAGGACAGGTAAATTTCCATGTCCCTTGCATCTTGTGATCATTAAGGTTGGGGTAAAGACCTTGGATATCAAGGAGATAGAGTAGAGACTATTCTTAGACCATTGGAATGAGCTCTGCCCATTGCTTCTGGACACTAGAATGTTAGAGGGCTGTGGAGAATGATGCGTAATGATGCCTGCTGTTTTCTCTCCTATCATTTTCTAGGACAGATTTTCCCAAGGAAACAGTTAAGAGAGCCAGACTAGTCAGTTACGCACTCCATACTGGAGACCACTCATATGCACATTGTGTACCTCATCCTTCTCCATGGATCATTGCTCACTTTCTCTTTATTGGGCTAATGGTATTGGTTAAACTGTAGGCTGATGACTATGGACCACTATTTTCTGTATCATTAAACATGGCCATATCCCTTCAAGTGGGTTGTGAATAAAATTGGCACTCTGCTTCCACCCCAAGTTGGATTATTTAACAGGCATGACTGGCTTATTAGGAAATAGCTTGAACTGGTATGACTGAGGATGAAACATCTTGTCAATACAGGTTATTTGTTAGGTCCCATAGAACTGGATGTACAGGTAAATGAGGGGGTGAGGGCTTTCCCTCCTGTTTGTAGTTTGTATGTGGGGTTCATCAGCAAACTTATGAAGCCCAGTTTATTAAGTTTCTTGGGCAAAAGAGTAGGCAAAGCTGTTCTAAATAGAGTAGGAATAAAAGAGGGCTGGTACCACAATAATGGTGAGGCAATTTCATTAACTAGAGTATAAACAAGAAAACAAAGTAACAAGGAGTTTGTTGATGTATTAGCAGGATCCTGGATCTTTACTTGCCTGAGTTATCTGGATGAGTCTTTTGTCTCTGGGTAACTTCAGTCATAACCCTTATCATTTATAAGTAACACAGGGACCTGTGCTGGGAAAATATGGACCAATATCCTAGAAAGTTAGTAACATATACTTAGTGAGTAAGCTTGTAACACATACGAGTGACCAATGTTTTCATTAATATTTTCCTGTCATGCCACCATTCTGTGTACTATGCTTTTCTTCTTGAGTCCTGTAGTTGCCTCTAAGAATGACAGTCCTGGGAAAGATGCTAATTACTCAACAGAGTATTTAATTGCTTGTTTGCCTCAACTCAGTTGTAAGCTTTGTGAAAGCAGGAAATATGTGTATTGACTGTCTATCCCAGCAATAATTGCCATGCCTGGTATGCAGTAACTATTTGTGGAATGAATGAATGAATGGGAAAAAATTATAGATTCTGTCATTTATTAATCCCCTACTACAGAGTATGACAGGTTGAGTGTTGTGCTACGTGTTTCACTAACCGTATTTTTGAATCCTCATAATTCTACAAGGTAGATATTATTTTCCTGATATTATAGGAGAATAAAGAGCTTCAGTGAGTTTCAGGTGTGCATCGAGCACACAAGGAACTGTTTTGCAGAGAGTCCCTTCTCTGTGACAGTCAGGGCCCCTCCCACATATTTCCTTGAGTAGCTCCCTCACTGGGTATGCAGGATGACATGAGGGAGATTTGCTGACAGCCACCCTTTTCTGTTGAGCACTTATCTCTCGGACAGTGGGATGAGAAGAAGAAGGAAAACACAATTGTTGAATTACGATGGGCATTTTACACATTTTATCACATTTAATCCTGAAAAGAAATCTCTCATGCTGACACAATTCTTTTAATAAAATGAGTAATCAAAAGTTAGGAGATATAAAGTGACTTTCTCCACAGTGAAGAGCCAGAATTCCAATTCCACTCCATTGTGTGTGTGTTTGTGTGTTTCTTTCCCCTCCAGTGTCCTTTGAGTGTAGTACCATTAAAAACTTAGAATGCTTGATAATGGCAGGGACCAGGTGATTCCTGGTCCCTACACCATACTCACTAAAGTGAAATTCCTGAAAATGGCTCTAGGAATCTCCATTTTCAACAATTCACTAAGTGGGTCTAATGCAAAGTAAAGTTTGAGAAACATTGAACTAGGTAGAGTTGCCTCTAACATTTTTCATGCACTTGGATAATACTAGGAGCCAGAAGGTCTACAAATGGAAGAAATCACCCTGTACCAAGCACTGGTGGTGCATTTGCAGCTCAGGATATGGGGAATGCCTTGGTACCCCCCATTAATGTTAATAGGAATCATGTGGATAATTCTCTATATTCCACGCTGAAAAGTGTTCCCTTTAGGACCAGGAGAGGCTATATTTAATCAAACCATCTGAAATCCTATGTACGTGTATAAGGGCAGAAAATAGGTCACAGTTGGTAGGCTACTTTCTGGGAATTATTCCATTGTATCAGCAAACTCCAAAGTCCTCAAAGGGCTCCTGCTCTCCTGGCTCTCAGTGAGTGACAGCCCAAGAACTAAGAGAGGTCAGAGAAAGTCCAACACTTAAGGAAAAAAAGTTCCAATCACAATAAAACACATAAAACAAATTATCCCCAAAGGACAAAGTGTGGAATAAACTTGTTAAAAGCTATTAACCTCTCAAAATAACACATTTCTACTCCAGAGTAACCTCAGTTGCAGCTTGGAGAGCAGCATGAAATTAAGGAACACAATTCAGAGAACATAAGGACTCCAAATATGAACTCATGATGTCCAAGGGTTTTACAGGCACTCATGCTCCTATGAAAACCACGAAGATGATGGGTCTATGAGACCTGAGAGAGTCAGATAATCTGGTGTTAAAAAGTAGTGAGTGTTCATAAGGCTTCCAGAACTCAACTCTATTATAGACTAAGAACTTTACTTCGTCAATCAATCCAGGTTTTTGTCTTTATTATAGAAATTATAGGACTGTTAGCTTATTTTAACTTTATAATAACATAGCTTATTCTAACTTTCCAAAGATGAACAACTATTAAGATCTAGCATTCAAACTCAGGTCTTATGGTATTAAGGCCAATGCTTTTGTACTATCTTACAGTACACTGCTTATTAGAAATAAAACACCGTGTGAATGTACCTTCCACTTCGAAGAAAATGGATTTTTCTGTTGCTCTTTGACTTAGAAAAAAATTAAAAATTCTCTGAGCAAAGGTCAATGGAAAGGTAGCGAAAAAGTTAGTAGAGGTGGGCAGACAATAAAACTGATCAGAAAGATCCATTAGTTTAGCAGAACCCTTTATTTCCCATAGGTTCATGACCTGAAGATTACATAGGATGGAACATTACATGATGAATCTTAAAGCAAGAAGAGGATATATTTGGGTTAATCTGGATTTGAACCTTGGTCACGTCTTGGAGGAGGAAGCCACTGATTGTAAGGGAGCATGAAGTGACCACACAGAGGTGGTCACTGTGCTCAGCAGCATTTCACCTTGTTACTCCCCACCGCTGTGTTGCCTTTCTCATGGATCACTGTGACTGTTGCTGTTTTTTTTTTCTATTTTATTATTATTATACTTTAAGTTTTAGGGTACACGTGCACAATGTGCAGGTTAGTTACATATGTATATAGCACAAAGTAAGCAGAGATATAGAAAGGTGGAGAACTAAAGTCTTCAAGGGCATATGGCATGCAGGGTGAATGGCATATTTTACACTATTTGCTTTTTGGTATGTCTGAGATCCTGATAGCTCCTTAATTAAGATAATCAAAATCCCTAGTCTAGAGTGGGCAACTGTACAAAATTCTTACAATAAATGGTCAGTAGGTCTTCAAGCTAGCTCTCATGTAAGCTATGCTATCCCTGAGGCATAAGGAAGGGCATAAAGCCCCAGAATGACTACCACTGTGTCTATGAGACAATTCAAAAGTCCAGTTTTTTATGCCAGGATACTTTCAATTTCTCCATCATAGGATCAGGGACCTTCCAGCCCTAGCTTCAGATCCACAGTGGTGCCAGAAGCACTACCAAGGAGGATGGTGTAGGAAGGTATATTCCTTTTCTAATGCTGCTGTAACAAATTTTCACAATTGGTGCAAAACAATGCAAATTTATCATCTTCTAGTTTGTATGTCAGAAGTCTGACACAGGTCTTACTAGGCTAACATTGAGGTGCCAGCAGGGCTGTGTTCCTTTTCGGACAATCTAGAGGAGAATCTGTTTCCTTGCCTTTTCCACCTTCTACAGATCACCTGCATTCCCTGGCCTTTGGCCCTTTCCTCTATCTTCACAGTCAGCAACATTGCATCTCTCTGACTGTCCTTCCATAGTTGCATTTCCCTCTGACTCTACCCAGGAAAAGCATTCTGCTTTTAAGGACCCATGTGATTAGATTGGAACCACTGAAAAATCCAGAACAATCTCCTCATCTCAAGGACTTAATCACACCTTAAAAGTCCCCTTCGCCAAGTCAGGTGACAGATACACAGGTTCTGGGAATTAGAACATGGACATCTTGGGTGGGAGCATTACATTATTCCACTTACCACAGGTGGTAAGAGGTGGTGAGGAGGGAGGTTTCCAGAGACTGAAAAGATCTAAGATAAGAAGCTGGCAGCAGGAGGGAGTGAGGCTTCAGGCTAGAGCTGTCTTTCCAGGACCCTTGAGGGAGTTCCGGCTGGTTTTCCTAACGCCCTCTTTCATTTTATCACCTTCACTGCCACCATCGTCATCCTGGCCTATGCCCTCTCTCCTGAGGTATACCCTAATCTTCCTCACTGGTCCACTGTGGTCTCATGTACTAAACTGCTTCTCCTCAGGCTATTTTCCACACAGTAGCCAGAGTTATCCTTAAAAACACAATCACAGTATGCCACTCCCGTATTCAAAACTCTCTAATGGCTTTCTGTCACTTAGAACAAGACCCCCAAGCCCCCCTCATATGGCTGACAGAGCGTGACATGATCTGGCTCACTACTCCTCTCTCACGTCCCCTCCCACTCCTCTCCCACCTCCCCTCCCACTCCTCTCCCAGGTGTTATCAGGCTCCAGCCACATGGCCCCCTTGCTGTTTCTCAAACTCTCCAAACCAGCTTGTGTCTCGGCTCCTGTTTCTCCCTCTGCATGGAAGGGTTGACCCCGGATCTTTGCATGGTTAATTTCTTCCCTTCTTTTCAGGCCCAGATGAAATACCACCTCCTCAGAGAATTTCTCTGACCACGCTCACTAAAATACCAACCCTTTCTTTCACTCTCTACCCCCTCACTGAACCTATTTTTCACAGTCCTTACCACGACCTGACATTACATTATACATTGATTTGTTTGCCTATTTTCCACGTTGATTATTTGTCTCTGCCACTAGAATGCAGAAGAAAAAGTTTCTTTAGGGCAAGGAACTCCCTGGGAGCCAAGAACAGTGACTTGCACATTGGAGGTATTCAAATAACTGTTGAATGAATAAATTCAATGTATATTTGATGAGCCCTTTTAAGTGAAAGACACCGTGATATAAACAGTGAAAAGACAGACATGGTCTACCCTTCTTTCCCCAGTGTCCCACGGATTGACTCATTTTCTTTCCGGAGTCAACTTTTACTGATGACCAAAGTTTATTTTTATTATTTTATTTATTTATTTTTTTTTAGAGTCAGGGTCTCACTCTGTTGCCCG
Source organism: Homo sapiens (assembly GCF_000001405.40). Classification (NCBI taxonomy): domain Eukaryota; kingdom Metazoa; phylum Chordata; class Mammalia; order Primates; family Hominidae; genus Homo; species Homo sapiens. Next base: position 40,271,911 of record NC_000002.12, read on the forward strand.
GGCTGGAATGCAGTGGAACCGTCATAGCTCACTGCAGCCTCGATGTCTTGGGCTCAAGCAATCCTCCCACCTTAGCCTGCTGAGTAGCTGGGACTACAGGCATGTACCACCATGCCTGGCTATTTTTTTGGTATTATTTATAGAGATGGGGTCTCACTGTATTGCCCTGGCTGGCCCGGAACGCCTGGTCGCAAATGCTCCTCCCACCTCAGCCTCCCAAAGTGCTGAGATTACAACATGAGCCACTGCACCTGGCCAAAACTTATTTTTTAATTCCCAATTCCATCTCATGTCTCTCCTTTGTTCTTATTCATTTATTCATTAATCCATTCAACACATGCTTATTGAGAACTTAAGCTAGGTCCATAATAGATCGCAGTCCCTAAAACAAGAACATGATCAGTTTGGGAGGGTTCTTTTCCTGATGGCCATTATGTGAAGGGAGATAAGGAGGGAGAAAGGTTCTACCCACACTCCCACTACTCTCTCCCTCCTACCCTACAGACCTCCTCTTTTTTCCATCTGAATTCATTTGCAGACAAGGATGAAAGCCCCTTAGAGTAATAACAGAAGCTCCTTAGGTAAACAAAATATTTCAGTAATCTAGGAGTCCATAGGGGGCTAACACTGCAGAGCCTGTGCTCTGAGGACTGGGTCAGGTCCCTGCACCTGTGCAGAGCCTGCCTTATCTGTTGAGAAGCTCGCATGAGCTCACCACTAACCAAGTCACAACAAGCACACAGTTCGAGTTCCCAGGCAGGCTGAGCTGGCAGTGCATCAGGCAATGCCCTTTTAACATTTTTCACTTCTTGTTCACCGCTGTTCTTGCAATTCTATGTTTTACTTAAAGAAGATATGCTAAATAAATGGTTCTAAATTAGCCTGAGCTAATTTCAGCCTTGAGCTCACTCTGCTGCCACAGACTCTGGCAAGTACGATTTGGAGCACTGACACATGGCCTGTGTACATGACAAGATGTCTTATGCAAAGTTAGTTTGGGCTATATGTAGGGACATGCACACACTCCAAATATTCTTTTGTTTTGTTTTTGAGATGGAGTCTCACTCTGTCACCCAGGCTGGAGTGCATTGGCAGGATCTAGGCTCACTGCAACCTCCACCTCCCAGGTTCAAGTGATTCTCCTGCCTCAGCCTCCTGAGTAGCTGGGATTACAGGCGCGCGCCACCAAGTCCGGCTAATTTTTGGATTTTTAGTAGAGACGGGGTTTCACCATGTTGGTCAGGCTGGTCTCGAACTCCTGACCTCATGATCCGCCTGTCTTGGCCTCCCAAAGTGCTGGGATTACAGGCATGAACCACCATGCCTGGCCCTCCAAATACTCTTTTTTTTTTTTGTATTTTTAGTAGAGACGGGGTTTCTTCATGTTGGTCAGGCTGGTCTCCAACTCCTGACCTTAGGTGATCCACCCGCCTCGGCTTCCCAAAGCGCTGGGATTACAGGCACTAGCCACCATGCCCAGCCCCAAATACTCTTAATAAACTTTAATAAACTAAGAAGTCTAAGATGAAGCTTCCTACGAATGGATGAGTCAAGAAAAAGCTACACAAAGTTCACATATCCTAGTGCTGCTCATTAATTTGGGAGAAAAAAGCTTGATGTGAGGAGCTTGATTTGAAGGACAACCAGTATGGAAAGCCCCAAGGTACTTTATAGGATGTCCAAGATTAGATGCTATTTATTAGGTATAATAGGGCTTTTTTAAAACAAACTCATACCTCTCCACGTTTTAAAAGTGTGGCCCATTAATCAGCAATTAACTAAAATAAGGTTGTTAAATGACACTACAGTAATTCTAGGTCAGTCTGATTTTATCCTCTTTCTGGCTTAATGCCTCAGATAGAGTGAAACTCCCGATAAGGCACTCACTAAGGGGCACTTGCACAATAAAGAGGAGAAGCAGGAACGAGGAAAACATAGTTAATATGCCAAGTCCTTTTTTTTTTTTTTTTTCCATTTTAGTTGAGATGTGCTGTCAGCCTCTCTCTTGACCAGGGAGAGGTGCTTCTACTTCACCAGGGGGCTCTGTCCCCCAAGGCTGCGGCATGTCGGTGTTTATGCAAGGGACTGTGCCCCTCTCTCCACAGCCCCAGCTGCAGCCTGTCTGTCGCCTTATAAAAAAGGCATCGAGCACTGCTTTTAGATCATTTCATCATATTTGCTCATTTCCTTGGCTGAAGAGTCTGGAGTCAGAGGGCCCTCAGAAGATGTGGAACAGCCCTTGTGGATGGAATAGACTGGGCACTGTTGCTTTCTAGCTGTTTGTTCTCCATGATCACATTTGCATACTAGATTTCTACCAAGGAAACCTGGGTACAGCATCTTATCATATTTGTAGCCCCACATAAATGTATTGAGTAATCCGAACTTGCTTATTTTGTAAATAAACACATAATTTCTGGGATTAAAAATAATCTAATAACAGCAAAACTAGGCTGTCCAGCCCCACACTGAAGGGCAATGGAAGTTGTGCTCTAAAATTTTCCAGCAGTATCAGATGAAAAGCCATGGAATGGGGCTGTCTCTGGAAAATGAGCATGCCAGAGAAACCGTTTAACGCTTGTGTGTAGGATGGGGATCTGCCTGTGTACACTTATGCAACTCTTTTGATCATTTGCTCTAAATGCTCATTAACAGACATTTTGCAAAAGATCAGATGATGATACAAGCATATCAACAGGCTTCCGTTTTTACTGTAGGGAACCCAGAAATGAGGATTGTTGTTATTTTCTTTAGAAAATTCATTTAACTGCTGATAGTAAATCAAAATTCTACATTGCCACTTCTGTAAATATAAGTGACAAGAAGTTATATATCTCCCCTAGAGAAAGAACAGTAAACATTTCTAAAATTTCCAAGTGCTCCTACATATAATCTGGTTGTTACAAGTGGAGGCGGCTTGTCAGAAGGTCTCTCTCTGTAAATGGATAAGGATTGAAGCTGTGTCGTGTATCACTCATGTTGTTTATCCTTTATATTAAATGGAAGCTATATATAGATACAAAATTATAATGGCACAGACTGCCCATTTCCTACCAGCAGTAGGTTGACTAGGAAAATATAAGTAATTTACTGCAAAAGTGCATCAAAGTTGAAGCATTTTTAGCTAAAATGCAAAGCTAATCAAATTAGTATTAAAACAATTGACAAATGGTTAAATTTTCCTATTCAATTTGAAGTGAATAGAATTGTATGCTCACATTTTATAATTGAGTTGAAGCTGTTGTATTGCAGTTTTTATTATTATGGAACAAGCAACAGAAGTATAGACAGATGACTGAGTAATCTGTATATACCTTTGCAGGTAAGTAACTAATTATGACCATGAGGCACCTACAGGACAGAGAGGCCATAAGACTCAAATTTTTGTTATTATCTGACCAAAGGAGAGAACTTATGTTCTTAACTTATCCTTAACTTATGTTAAGGATCCAAAGAGTTAGCTGTTAACTACAAGTGTCACTTGAACCTTAAATGAGTATATTACTTTTTTCAAACAAACTGCTCTACCTATGAAGAACAACTCTGAGGTTTATCTCCAAAAGCAAAGAGCAACATATTGTGTGGTCCTTAGGGTAGAGCCTGCGCTCATCACATTAGCAGGTTGTCCGGGAGGAACGCTGGGTTGAAAGCTGAAAGGGCTGGGTCTGATGATGTTTTTTTCTTTACGTGGGTTTTACATGAGCTTGAGTAACCCACAGGCCTCTCTGTAGTCTGAGTTTCCCTGGCTTTAAAATGAAGGTCATTTAAAAATGATCCTCGTCCTGTCTACCTGGCAGAGCTGTTGTGAACATCACATGGGATAATTATGTGAAAGGTGCTTTGTAAACTGAAAAATACTATAATGAGGCAGGGCACAAGGCAGCACTGACTCTTGAGGCTGAATGCTCTGCTGGAGGTCAGGCTGGATGGATGTTGTTGGTGAAGTGGGGCATGGTGGTTTCCTATTCCAGGCTTGAGGGCTGACTCTCCTGCAAGTGGGACCCCCGTACCCACAGACTTCACTTAGTCTCCTTGAAGGATTCATTTGCCACAGCTCCTGAGTACTCCATCAGTAGAGTTGACTAAACACCAAAGATGTTTATATTCTAACTTTCAAAAAGTGGTATGCAGCTACTTGTAAAAATGAAACATGTGAAATCTACTTGTCTATCTAAATTTTGCCAGTTTGATTGGCATATTTGGCAAGCTTTTGAGAAGACTGGGAAATTGGGCAATCATTTGGGAAAACTGGAATTTGAGATCTAATGATCAGCTGCTTTGCCTTCTTCTTTCCCCTGTTACAAAGCCAGGGCAAGAAGACAAGACAGAGGACCTTCTGATGTGCTGCCTGATCTCCACTGGCTTCTTTTGGTGACCACATGTTCCTTAACTGAGTGTCTTTATAAGGGAGGTATTGTTGAAGTATGTGGTGACGGACTGAGAAAACAAGCAGTGAGATTGTTAGCATTCATATCTCACAGGCTTAATGAGAACAACAAGCAAGCCCCAAAGGGTGTTAAATAGATTTGGTATATTTTCCTCATTTCAGAGAATGTCTATTCCTAATGCATTATTCTCTAGCCAACAGAAGAAAAGTGCCCAGCTTATTCCTTCTTCATGGAAACTACAGGTTTAAAGGACAGAGACTCTCATCTATCAAAGCAACTGAGTGACTTCTACTTAAATCAAGGCCAGCAAAGTAGATGATAGAAATATTAAGGGAGGTTGCAGTCAAGGGCAGTACTCTTCTTTCCTTGACTTATTTGGTGTGTTTATGGTTTCAGGAAACTATCACCTCTTTAATCTTTCAAAATACATTTTTAAAGAGGCCATTCTTTTTATTGGACATTTTTATTTTAGGTTGCAAGAATTCTTTATTTCTCTGCTTTTAAAAATCTATACTTGACATTATCCATGGCCAAAATGATTTACATTTGTTGTGGACGCTGACAAGGCCCAACTTACATTCTATGAGAATTTTGTGGAAAAAACTTCACCTTTTGTGATGGTTCAACTTAGAAAGGCTTGAGTCGAATGACCAAGGTTAGAAAGTCTAAACAGAAGGACAATGAGATTCTATGTATCAGCCTAAAGATATTCATCTGAAAAATATGCCATATGTAAATTAAAAACAATGATGGAATCCTGCTGCATGAATATCACAGTTCAAGGTGCAAGAATAGAGGAAGAGAAAGTTACTATAATAAAAACCATAATATATGGTTTATACTTATAATAACACATATTTACATGGTATGGTTATAACACTTGCTTTGTCAGTTTGTCACTCTGACAAGTTACTTGCCCTCTCTATGCCTGTTTTTTTTTTATTTTTAAAACAGAGATAGTGCTGGGCACGGTAGCTCACGCCTATAATCCCAGCACTTTGGGAGGCCAAGGCGGGCGATCACTTGAGGCCAGGAGTTTGAGACCAGCCTGGCCAACCTGGTGAAAAACCGTCTCCACTAAAAACACAAAAATTAGCCAGGCGTGGTGGTGGGTGCCTGTAATCCCAGCTATTCAGGAGGCTGAGGCAGGAGAATCACTTGAACCTCGGAGGCAGAGGTTGCAGTGAGCTGAGATACGACCACTGCCCTCCAGCCTGGGCAACAGAGTGAGACTCTGTCTCAAGAAAAAAAACCAAAACAGATAATAATAAAATAATAGCAAAAGTAGCTACCTTATAAGGTTTTCATAAAAATTAGGTGGAATAATCACTGCAAAGACCTTAGCCCAGCATCTGAAATGTCATAAACAGTCAACAAATAATGGCTGTAATAAAATCAATAATACTTATCATTTGACTACATAAATAAACCAAAAACTAGGAACAAAAGCAATATACGTACATATAAACATATGTATAAATATATATATATGTGTGTATATATATATATATATATATATATATATATATATATTTGTAACATATGGTTGCTTACTATGTGCAGGGCACTGTCCTAAGGATATAAAAGCTTTACATCTAAAATGTATTTAATTTTAACACCAACATCATAACATAAATATGTTGTTATCCCCATTTTACATACAGAGAAACCAAGGCAAAGTAACTTATGTAAGTCTACATGATAGAACTAGGATTTGACCAGGTTATCTGTAGGTATCTCAGTATTTCCTGAAGTGACTGAATAATTTTTTTGTTTTTATAACCTTGTTTATCACATCACTGGTTTTTACACTTTTAATATACAATGGTTATTTTTGTAGACATTAACTCTATAATTTATTTACCTGTATCTCTAAAAAAGGGCATCACAGGCTGGGTGCAGGGGCTCACACCTGTAATCCCAGCACTTTGGGAGGCCGAGGCGTGTGGATCATGAGGTCAAGAGATAGAGACCATCCTGGCCAACATGGTGGAACCCCATCTCTACTAAAAATACAAAAATTAGCTGGGCATGGTGGTGCGCACCTGTAATCCCAGCTACTTGGGAGGCTGAGGAGGAAGAATTGCTTGAACCTGGGAAGCGGAGGTGGCAGTGAGCCAAGATCGCGCCACTGCACTCCAGCCTGGCGACAGAGCGAGACTCTGTCTCAAACAAAACAAAACAAAACAAAACAAAACAAAACAAAAAGAAAGAAAAGCCATCACAAAATGATAAGGGGAGAGTAGAGTAACTTTGCATATTATTCATTCACATGTGCAAATAAAAGGATCTAATGCCAAATGTGGGCAAAGCGACATACCTCAGTGTGAGAGAGTAAGTGCTGGAGGCTAAGGGCATTGTGGTCTCTCCTTCATTTTCTCTTATGAGGCACACTGATGGGGTACGTGGACTTAGGACAAGATGGCACTTCATCTCGCTTTTCTTTCTGCATACCTTGCTCTTAGTCTTCTACTAATGCCACAATGAAAAAAACAGAAACCCCCACTTGACATCTAAACTCTTTAAAAACATGTAAAATTTAAATCAGTATTATTTATTAAAAGGTTTTTTTTAAATTATTATTTGGTAATGATTTACCCTAAAATTTTTTGACTTCTCTTCAAAGCCCAGATGCTTAAATATTGCTTACTTTGGGTCTTAATGGTTATTCCAGAGCCATGGAATTTTAAATTTGATCTCAGATTTTTAAGATGTGACAGCTTGATTATTTTACAAGGCCAAAACCCTGATTCAAGCCTGCAATTTTAAGAATCAAAACTGTTTTCCCATTGATGAAGACATTTTGAAATGTGTGGTCCATAGCTATTTATGAGTAGTTTACAGCTGTTGTCTCTTTGTGCCCAAGACCATGGAGAATCCAGGAGCCGATCTGATCCTCCTGGGACTGCTATTAATATCACTTTCACTTTAGACAGCTTTGCCTTCAACTAGCAATTTTCTGGCTCCCTTATACTACATTGTAGCCTCACAGCATTCAAGCAGGCACAGGGCACTTGGACAATTTAGCAATAATCTATAATACAGATTTTTGAAAGAAGCGATTTGTTCAAATGCTGCTAAAACAGAAAGTGGCTCTTGAATACCAAAGTGGGTGCCAGAAACTGAGAAAAAATTCCTTAAACTAGGATCTTTAGTATAAGGAGAAGTGATTAGAATAATATCAATTTGGGGCACTGTGACATCTGAAACATAATGGAACAATTCCTAATTGTTATTGAGGAAGAAAGCAAGACCTATTAAGGCAAACCAACCAACTTTCATTGCACAGGGACATAATTTCGGAGATGCTATATTTGATTCCATGTTTGATAGGGTCTGGCATATCTCTTCCCAAGTGTGCTCTGGAAATCCTATTTCAGTCCTTCTTTTAGGGGAAGAAGTCATTACATCAGCCTTGTAAAGTACACTGGCATGCAAAGTAAAATCTGTTACTAGGGTGAAAAGTTGGTACATTCTGTTTTTTTGAGGGGAGGTGAGCTCTCACGTGCCCCCAACATGCACAGTTCACTAAAAATCTGTAGCTCACCAATCTCCTATTGTATGCATTTGTTATTTAGTCTTCAGCTCTCCTACATTTTCTTTGTTTCTTTATCTATTAAACTTTTAAAAATTGTTCCCTGCCTCTTTTCCATTCTGATTTTAAAAATTCTGATTAATATACAATTGCATCTGTATTGGCAGACCATGTAGATACAGCATTTGTAAATTGCAAGCTATGGAGTACACTGAATACCATATTAAGGAGTTAGTGAAAATGAAAAGAACTTTAAACCCTAGCCTTTTAGATAGATTTCTGCTTTTAAAGATTATCTCTGGATTGCAAAAACAGACATGAATATTGATAGTGTAAACCTGACTAAAATATGACTCTAAAATATGAATGTCTGCCATTATAAAAGAATCTAATGATAAAACCTGAGGAAATAAACACTAAAAAAAAAAAAAAAAAAAAAAGGTTGTTTTCTCTTCCTTAAAAGTCCTGAAATTTAATTTTACCATTCTGTCACAGGATAAAACATCTGTCCTAATGGAAAAGTAACAAAAACCCATTTTCTGAAAAGCCCCACAGATAATTTTTCACATGAGTACATGGAAATATCTATTCCATTTTTGGATAACTATTCTTTCTTGATGTAAAACACTGGTGGTCAAAATATACAAATATCACATTTGCCTTCAATCATAAAACTCTGATAAGCACACAAATTGCAATACCATCATGCTAAATTAACTAATTCATTTATTAATCATTTTCTTTGAAAGCAGAGTGACATTCAGGCACTGGGAATGCTGAAATAAAAGATTGAATCCCTGCCTTCTGGGGTCTTACACTTCAGCAAAGAGGTCACACATCAATAATTAATATATGATGTCACAGATATAAATACAGAAATGAAGTAAAAAGAGACAATGAATCCAGACCAAAAGTTTCAAGAAAGGCTCCTAAGAAGAGGTGACATCTGAATGGAGTCTTTGAAGACCCTGTAACAATAGCCAGGCAAAGGTGCTCTAGGCAGGAAGAATGTTTTGTGCAAAAGCAGAGGTGGGTAAAACATGACTTCAGTTCTCTCAAATAGAATTAATCAATCTCTTTATACAGTAACTCAGCACGTTGTCTGTACTTCTGTTAGCATGAATAGAATGAATTTTTATTGCTTATCTTTCCTGGTGGACTGTAGCCTACTAGAAGCAGGCTGATACATCTTTGTACCTCCCATTTGTCTTGCACTTATAACTTGCCTGCTTAGTTTTGATGGAATGAGCCAATGAATGACAGTAAGATTTCACAAGAGTCACCTGTGAAACATACTTCACCAAAGCACCCATGGTAGCACTTATTAACAAACGGAGTTTACCAGGGATGGGGCAGAAGAAAGTCTTAGCTTTTCAAAGAATTTCATTCCTGAGACATTTTTGTGGTCATGTATTTAAAAAAAAAGGGTTGGGGGGGTGCTCTGAGAAATGTGCTCTCAGATGGCACAGCTGGAATGAGAGAAATGGGAACTGTTTTCCATTTTACATAGTTTCTGGAAAGGGCAATAAGAACAAAAAAAGCAACACTGTTGGTCAGCATTCTCAGTGCCTGAGTTGAAAGGTGCTATAAACAGAGAAAAGTCTCATAGGCCAACTCTATGCAGGCTATGTGCCAAGAATAGCTACAAAGTGGCAAGTTAAATCAGCCAGGGCTTGTGAGCTGTCTCAGGACTTGAGTCCCAACTTGCACTCGTGAAAGTTATGCTGCAAAGGGAGCTACCTTTCCCCAGCACTGCCTGGGGCCTTGGCAAGTCTAATGGAGAATGAGTTTGATTTCAAGCCCTGCTCCCTTCAGGCAACTTACAAAGAAAAGCTGTTAAGTCTGTGGAGCTGGGAATGTCTGGAAAGAGTGAAGACCCATCATTTAAAACTGATTTCTTTTTAAGGAAGTAGAGCAGAGAGCAGTGATTACTTCAACACCCATTCTCAGGGGAATTTCTGTAAGCCGGAATCAGCTAATGATGGTTAATAAAGGTAAATGTTCCCTGATTCTCAGGAAGTGATTCTTCATCCTGGGGCTTTTTGAAGACTCTGTCTTCACTTGAATTTTGGGTGGAATAAAGCCCTCCTGGATTTATCCTAATCTAATACTCAAAGTTGGTAGTTCACAGGAGTCTGTTTATTCTTCTAGAAAAGTATAACAGTGGATTAGCTACTGGCTTCTATCCCTTCAGCACAGCTCCCCCACACAAGAGCGTACCTTTAATGACTGATGCTGGTGTATCAAATTGTGTCCTCTCCTTCTAATAACAAAATAATGAAATACAGTAAAATGCCACTTTTTCTGACTTTTTTTTTCTTCTAGGACATGTATGTTTCTTACCTCATTCAGAGGCATGCTGGGAAATTTAACTAAATCTGAAAGAAAAACATTCTGTAAATCCTTAAGACTGGATTAGTAATAAGGAGTAATTTCTGATCTGGAATAAAATCCAGAATTCAGCTTGCTCACCCCAGACACAAAACACAATAAAAAGAATGGTTGTTACAGTTACTAAACGAAGGATCTTTTCACACTCAGCAAGGGTAAAGACTGTCTCTTCTGTATCTCTGTATTACCCAAGACATTGAGCATCCATCTTACTGATACAAAGGATGTCTAGTTTGAAAGTTTGCCTATGTACATTTGTTTACGCACTCAGGCATATACAGACTGCCAACTTTATTATTACCCAAGATTAAAAATAAAAAATAGACCTTGCTCTCAAGAGATTTCCTTTCCGTTAACTGCAATGCTAAGTGAGATGCATCAGTTTCATTTTTGCACGCTCCTTTGCTCCGTTTAGTACCGAAATAAAAACATGACGTAGCTTTTGGGGCCGGGGAGGAATCTCATTCTTGCAGGAAATAATTGCCAGGAATTTTAAAGAGTGTCATCATTTTCTCTGTGTCCAGTCCTGCCCAGTAACAGAGAACAGCTATTAAAAGTATCCAAATGCTGGCTGCAAGGAGAAGTTGAACTCTGAACCACTATAAACCCAATCAGATGCAGACATTCTTCCCATCCCATACCCCGGACTCCCAGTGAATCTTGAAGACCCTGGGGTTAGCCTTATCATTTATTCGTCTGTATAGTGATGGCCTGTGCTAATGCCCAAATGATCCTGACTTATTAAAGGTTCTTCCTGAAAAGACATGATTTTTATTAGTTCACCACAACTTATTCTCAAAAAAGCATTTATTCTTTATCAAGCCACAAATTTTACTTAATTAACTATTCTACTAGATTCCAAGACGATTTAGAAGCTATTGAGGTTGTAACAGGATAAGAGAACAACTAGTCCACTCTGTTAAAATAAAATAAAATCCAAAAACATTAAATGTTTTCCTTTTTGTTCTCTAATGAGAGGTAGAGGATGTGAAAGTGAAGATACAGTAAGGCTAGTGTTTCCAATGATTTCATGACTTCTCTTCCAGCTATGCTGGTGTCATAGTAAGAGCCTGATGCTATTATTATCTCTGATTATTTGATAAACCTGAAAAACAAGTTCAACAAATGGTAAAACATCTGGATCTTTGACAGACAATGGCTTATAAAAGAGAATAACGAACAGTTATTTGGAGAGTATTAAGACCCAGATGGTTCATCAGGGATCACTTTAAAGGTGTTTGTTAGATCCTCCCTCTCAAAGACACCTACACAAGAGTCATCAGCTGCCAATAGCACTGAGAAGATTTTCACATACCCAGCACTGTTTTTGTGACAACCCTTTCCAAAATTACGAAAGAAAACAAAAACAAAGGCAAAGCACAAAGAGGAAAAATGAACATTGCTTAATTTTTTCTTGCACCCAGTGCTTGAAACGCATCAAAGTCAGAGCTCCATGCTCTTTATCTCAGCTCACTGCAGCTGTCCTTTCTGCCAAAAGCAAAACAACTCATTCTCTAGAAGAATCTGAATGCCCACTATATCCTTGACAGCGTTCCTAACAATAGACGCCGAAGATAGAACACGGTTAGACTTTCATTGACAAGAAAGGCTGGAGAATAGAGAATTGTGATCAGGCAGAAGAAAAATAAAAACTGGAACAGTCAGTGGTCTGGCATATCTACTACCCCCCACCTTTTATTTTTCTGAAAAGCAAAGCTGTATTTTGGCAGAGTCCAGAAAAACTAGGCTTGTAATTGTTAATGTAGTTCTAGTGGTTTAGGAGAAGCAGTGGGCTTGGCCGTATTATGGAATGACTCTGCAAATATAGCTCAGACCCTAAGGAGGTTAATTTAAAAAACCTATTTCTTATCTGTATAAAGTCTTGCACACGAATTACATTGTTTCCATTTTCTCCAAAAGTGTGCTTTCTCTCTCTCTAGATATCTGTATCTATAGATATAGCTATCTATACCAATATATCTCTATAAGTTGTTTATATCTATATGCCAATATCTATAACATATTTCTCTCTATATATAAATATATAGAGACATCTCTGATCTCGCTATATATTTAGAGAAATGTTATAGATATTGACATATATATAGATCTCTCTATATAAATATATATAGATATATACATATATTTATGTATGATATATGATATATACATACACATATATTTATATAGAGAGATCTATATATCTATATATCTATATATAAATGTATATCTATAGATATATATCTATAGATATGTATGTATACATACATATCTAGCCAACAATATATATAGACAACAATATCTATAACATCTCTATTTATATATATGTTGTTATATATATTGTTATATATCTATATATAGATATTTTGTTATTACATTATATATATAAATTAAATTGAAAGCTTTTGGGGAAAAACATATATAAATATAAATATAAATATATATATACACACACACAATTTCTCATTTTTTGTTGCTTGGTCTTATTCTAAATTCCTAAGTGTAGTCTGCCACTCTAATCTCTTTTCCCATGAAGTTTGTCTTAGAAATGTCATCCGTGCAAACAACGGCTCACCAAGGACAAGTGCTGGTTTATGCAATTGAGCAGTAGAGGATGCTGTATCCACTTCTTCAAGAGGTAAAAGGAGCTGATTTCTGCACTCCCAGGGATGAGCAAGCTTCATATTCATCTGATGGTTATCTGAGCAGGCACTCTCATGCATTTTGATACTCTAGTTTTATAACCAGAGAATGTCAGAGTCAATAACATGATTATAAGCCTTATAAGTCATAGAATACAGCCTCTCACACAATCATCTTTGAAAAATGGTCAGCTGGACTCCAGGAACAGAGAGATGGCAGCATTGCTTCCTTCAAGAGACATTTATTAAGCTTCTGGTAGCAACTCTGTGAATTGGGTATTATTGTCCTCATTTTACAGATGAGGAAATAGAAACCTGAGAAGATCGCAGTTAGAGACAGACAAAGTGGGATTTTTAACCTAGGGCTGATTCCAAAGCCTTTATTTTTTGATCACTACAATATACATCTGACAGACGTTCTCTTTAACCCTTTCAAGACTATAAGATAAGGGTTCTTTGTAAGGACAGACCCATGCTTTCAGTAGTAAACACTGTGTAAAAGACAAGAGCATCATAAACTATGGGGCTGATTTAGGCAGCCAATTTCTAGTGTTTTCTTTTTTTGTTGTTTGTCTGGTTCTTTCACATTCTCTCTCTCTTTCTCCCATAGTATAGCAACAATTGGTCTAAATATTAAGCTTTATCTATGTCACCCCACAAATGCTGAGTGTGATTCATCCAAGTCTATAACAATGGTAGAGTGGCCCATTACCACAGACAGACAAGAAGAAGATAGCAGTGTTTACACATGAGATAATTTGGCTTTTCTGCTAAGCCTTGTGTGCCAAGTTAATTACTCTCTTGGTGAAACAAGGTATTTTGCTCATATAAGGTAGGGAAACTTGCAGTGCTTTTGGTTTTGTTCATTTCTCTTCACTAGTCATTCATAATGTGGTTTTTAACAACAAAATAATTAGTTAACTGAGATAGAAATGAAAATCACACTGGTCCCTGTGCATAAAAAATATATATTATAGATAGAACTTTGTGCTTGCCATTTCTTTCTTTCATGTTGTTTAATAACAGAGTATTTTGCCTGAAGTTCCTTATATGATCTTCTGATTAGAGAATAACTGCCAAAATGATGTTTGAAATGCAAGTAGTATGGCAGAAAACTCTTAAGAGGAAAATGTTAGGACCAGGGCAAGTGCTCCCTAGGAGCCAGAGTTCAGAACTCTGGGCTGGTTCTCTGTGCTAGTTACTGCTCAGTACCCAGTGCCTAGAATAGTGTCTAGTACACGACAGACAGTAGTAGCTAATAGATGTCTGTCCAGTCAATGAATATAATTCCCTACTCTGGTGCCTGCTGCAGCTTCCAGAGGTGGACTCTTTCATTCAAACTATTTTTACTCCATTTTATCTTCAAGAGAAGAGGCTTCACTATAGGGATAACCCCAGGTTCACAGGAAGGCATCTTCTGTTCAGCTGTTCCTTATTCAAGCTTCCATACTGTCATCTATACAACAAATCAGACCAGGATATGAAAGACAGAGGGCACCTCCTCTAGGTTGCCATTGCCTTAAGACCATTTATTTTGAGAGGTAACCATGCTTGAGACATGCTTATGTTAAGACTACTACATGAATTTTATTTAAAATGCAATCCCTGATTGTAGAAGACAGTTTTGTGACCAGTGAACTCCGTGGATCAGCCTTTGATGGACAAAGAGAAAAGACTTGGCTTCACCTTAACGACTGGTCTGTAAGATAGGAAGTTTAAGTTCTAAGGCAACTGGACTAAAGGCCAGCTTAAGAAACAAAGCAAACCCCTTACACTGGTGTTTCTGTTCCACTGATGACTTTCTCCATGGTCCGGAGCTGATGGACAGCTATATTCACACACACTCTTCACAACCATTCTGAAAGTAATTTTCAGCTGCAACCAAACAACCAGGGACCTACTGTGTGACACATGGAGCAATTGATAATACCAGTGCTCTATGGATCATGTTGTCTTATACATCACATGTGCTTGATTGGTCTGATCAAAGTTATGATTGAACCAGCTCTGCACCTGTATTCGTCCTTGCACGTTCAAGTGAAAGATGATGCAACCACGACAGGCTGGAATCAGGCCTTTGGGCCATCTGAGTGCAATTTGAGACATGGAGTTAGGCTTTAAGAATGACTTTGAGGGTTCTCAAGTAATATCCACCCTCTTTCACAGGAGTAACAGGTCACCTACCTCCCATGAAAGGAATTTAAAACAATTTGGAACTCAGTAAGCAATGTTACACTCAGCTTGTCTGTCTGGCAGAGAACACTAAAAAAATATGTAAGACTCATCATGTTACCAGTCTGTCAGTAAATATTTACCACCTTGAGACAAAAGTATAATATTCAGCATTTGATGTCTAAATTAGTAGAAAAGACAAACACAAATATAATAATTAGAGAACAATACAAGCAAGTTTAGGTGTAGAATTCAGTGGCTGGTTGAGATGTCAGTGAATCAACAGCTTAGAAAACAGCTGTGTTTCCAAAATATGTTGGCAGCAGTCTATACGTGTTCTCAGTGATGTAATAGGAGTCAGGCACTCACAGAAGCTGACATTATCCATAATGACCCTGAATCATAGACTTCAGCATGCAAACTCATGATGTTCTATTGTTCCAATAAGAATAATATCTGGGATGCCAGACATACACCTGCCCAAAGCTCCCTGCAGAAGGCAATCCAATTCCTCATTCTTTCAGCGGACTTGGCAGAGGAATGATGTGTGTGTGTGTGTGTGTGTGTGTGTGTGTGTGTGTGCATGCAGGGACAAGGGGGCATCTTAGCTCAAGCTTACCATACTGGGAGGACAGGGCCATGAAGGCTGGAGTGAGGAACAGGGGAGGATGAGGGATAGGGACTCAGGGATGGGAAACTGGCATGGGGCTCTGCAAGCAGTGATAATGAAGAGACATCCTGGTCCTAGAGGGCAGAGAGGAAGCGTGGGAACTGAAGGCATTTTTCCCTTTGCTCTGCTGCTTGTCACTCACAACACCCTGCCTCACCAAACCCCAGCTCTGATCAGGGCTCCTGCAGGGATTCTGGAAAGAGGAAGAACACGCACGTTATGAGACTTTGATGGGTATTGTCCTGAAGCAACCAGGAAAATAAAAAGAAGTAAATTTTAGTGTGAAAGCAGCTCCTGGTCCTTTGGCTTGGAAACCACTTCTGCTTTCCCCTTCTGCTGTCCTGATCCTCACTGCTTCCCTGCAGACTCTGCAAACCTTGCATACTGCTTCAGGCAAGAGGGTCTGTTCTGGTAATACAAGTGCCTTGGGGTTTGCATTCATGATAGTGTTTTCATGAATTTTCATCTAAAAACAAATAATAGACCCCCTCAAGAATTGTTCCTAGGATTTCACACATATGACCTGAAACTTTAAAATCAACTTTTCACCTGCTGTTTTTATTTAGCAGAATCACATTTTAGGAAAGCTAATCATTTGCTATTTAAAAATCTGAAATAGAGATAAGGTTTTACAATAGGCTTCAGAGGGAATACTTGCTCAACTAAAGGAAAAGAGAAATGGCAGGAGTTCCACCAGGGATGATCTGGCTTCAGTGCAACCTCATCAGTGTGAGATATTCTTGCTGGTCATGGCTTGGCTAATATTCTCCCCAGCCCCTACTCCTCTCCCCTCCACTTCTACCTCAGCTGAAACACCCAAGTTGAGGAAAACTTCACAGGGAGAATAACCCCTGTGTTGTGCTGCAGCCAGTTCATCCTGGGAGTCAGTTATGTATACCTCTCCCCAGTTCTGTGTTTAGTGACTTCATGTTGGTGGCTAGAAATCATCCGCATAGTATTTACATCATGGGTATAGGCAAGTGCTACAAATCAGGACTTTTCCTTGGGGATGGATGTTTGGAGCTAGTTTACCAGCACACCAGTGGGTAAAAGTGAACAAATACTTTTTTGATCCCACAGAATCTTAAAAAATACTTTACTTCGAAAATGTCTCTACTAAGTAATCATATATATATATATATATGTATATATATGATTTTTTTTTTTTTTTGGTAGAGATGGGATCTCATAATGTTGCCTGGGCTGGTCTCAATCTCCTAGCCTCAAGTGATCCTCCCAACTTGGCCTCCCAAAATGTCAGTATGTTGGGATTAGGCGTGAGCCACTGGGCCAAAATGACCATATCTTTTGACTGGACAATATTATCCTATGTTCTATAAACCATATTAGTTTCAGAACTAAATGTAATGCTAAAATACGATGACTGATTCTTTTTTTTTTCAGTCAAATGTATTATAAAACTTTTACGCAATATCATTTTCCCCCTTTGGGGAAAGTAGAGGGATATAAGCTACAAAAGAATAAAAAAGTAGGTAGATTAACCAAATCCTGTTTTTTTTAAAAAATAAGTTACTTTGACAGAGTCTGCTGAAAAATATTGTTAAACTATTTGTAATAATATTTCTGGTCTGGTTAGAAAATTTATTAGTTTATAGTACAATGCAAAGGGAAAAAATCCAACTTCTCTATTCAGGTTACAAATGTGATTTCACATTTGGGAGTTGTGAGAGAAACGAAAAGAAACCTTAACAACTTTCTTGCCAGATTGCTTTGAATCCCTAAATGCCTTATTTTGTAGCCAGCCATTGGAATTGAGCTACTGTCTCCAGACAATCCCATTAAATATATATTGGTTCCCTAGAAAGGTAACAAAAAAAAGTTATTAAAAAAAGAGGAAACAGCCCAGTGCAGTGGCTCATGGCTGTAATCCCAACACTTTGGGAGGCTGAGGCGGGCAGATCACTTGAGGTCAGGAGTTGGAGACCAGCCTGGCCAACATGGTGAAACCCTGTCTCTACTAAAATTATAAAAATTAGAGGGGCTTGGTGGTGCTTGGTGGTGCATGCCTGTAATCCCAGCTACTCAGGAGGGGAGGAAGGGAGAATTGCTTGAACTTAGGAGGTGGAGGTTGCAGTGAGCCGAGATCGTGCCACTGCATTCCAGCTTAGGCGACAGAGCGAGACTCAGTCTCAAAAATTAAATTAAATTAAATTAAATTAAATTAAAAAATAAGGAGGAAAAAATGATGAGATTAGCAGACAGGAATGGGAGATGAGGAAGTAGATTAGAAGACAAACATATTTTTTAGGTAGTTGGTGCTAGGAGAAGTCTTGAGCAAGTGTTTCATTGGATAATTAAAAGGCCTGTAATAGTGAACTTAAAATGACATAAGTCAATTTGGCAGGGAAAGGAAGGAGGAGGAGTTTTTGCTTATTATTTAGTCTCAGGTTGGACTGCCACCTAAACTGTTGGTTCCATTAAGTCAAGGAGACCCCATATCCTCTTCATTACTGTGCCTTGCAAGGTGCCTGGATGAAATGAAAGTGAAAGAATGGGAAACGCAGTACGAAAGGCAAATAACTGCAGCTGAAAAAAAAAAAAGGTTTCTTTGTTTCTTTGTTTTTATCTTGGTTTAGTAGTTTCAGGCAAATTCTGTATCTTCTAGTTGACCCATATATAGCACTGATTCTCACAAAGTTCGGAGATAGCATTAGATTTTAAACTTCATTTTCTTTGCACAACAATTTATTCATCCCCTTCTATAGAATATATGCTTCTAGAGAAGCAGGTGCATTGTCTCAAAGAAAAAGACGGCAGCAGAGTCTGGGCCAGATTTACCATAATGTGCGTCCTGGGAGATCTTGCTGCTGTCACATTTGCCTGGTTAACTATCCATAAGTCCATGTTAAATACTCAAAAAGAGAATTACAGTGAAGAAAAATGGATATTTTAAAAACAGTGGTATCTTTTTTTGGATCCAGAAAACAAAAAGTATTTTATTTGCCAGAGGTAATTTTATGTGTTAGTCAACAGGATTTGAAGGATCCTAAAATACCCATTACTACAGCTATAATAATGAGTAATAACAACTTTCTTCTCTTTATTTCTTAGATGTTTGGAAGTCCTATATGCATATCCCATATGGATATTTCAGTCTATATAGGTATATCCCTGTCTTCCCTTTTGATACATACCAGTTAAAAAACTGAACAGAAAGTTTCAAGCAAATTGGTTAAACTCTAATGGATTCCTCTGGCAACTTTGATGAAAAGGTTTATGCCTATGACAGAAAAGTCCCATCAGTGGGCAAACTTTCTAGACATAAAAATTCAATGTAATCTACAGCAGGTAAATTTTATGTCAATTGAACATCAGGATTGGAATTTCTGGTAGGTGTCTAGTGATCATAGTACAAACTATAGTTTTATTTATAAGGGAACTGGATGTAGGCGACTTCTTTCAGTCTTCTTATCACAATCTTTCTAAGAAGACCCTTCTTTTCAGTCATGAAGAAGCTTTGTGCTGTTGATTATTAGGAGTATTTTCTCAAACAAACTTTCCAGTCTAAAATGTCAAGCCACAGATGAATATTGAGAAGGCTTGTCCAAAGTGTTCAATCAGTGATTTTGAGTTTATGGAAGTCACTGGTATGATGACACAGCTTTATAGCTGAGTTTCTCACTGTGTTCATAAAATAAACAATTTAAAAAGTAAATCAATGCTTTGCATCAACAATAGAAAGATAAGTTCCCCTGCTCATATTCCGAAAGTTTCCTAGGTTTCAAGCTGGGAGTTCCTTGAAAAAGCCCAGGGCGCCAACAGCATGATGTGATCCGCTCCCATTTTTAGATGAGTCACTAGGACAGTTTTACTCAAAGAGGCAGGGGTTTGTGGAAAGAGGAGTGGACCTCTATAAATGGCATAATTTGAATGTGCATTTTGAAAATGCCACATGAGCAAACTTGCCCACCTGCCAGTCCAGAGAAGTACTGCTAAAATCACCTCTGAAAGAACCACATGATCTCAAATATTTAAAGAATAACTTCCAATGTCTCTCAATGCACCTTTTGTTATTTTATGTTAGTGCATTTATCCATTGGATTTTTCAGTTAATATAAACATTTTTATCATATTTTCATTAGATGAGCTAAAATGGATGTACTCTTAAATTTCACTGCGAGGTTGAAGTCATATTCAGTCACAACACCCTGAGTGCTGGACAAGACATCTTTACTTTTTTTTTTTTTTTTTAACACCACGAGCTCTAAATCCTTCCAAGATACAAACCATTAAAAGCACCTTTATAATCAACGTATGTCAGAGATCTAACATCATATTAACTTCTAGCACATGCAGGTAGCTAATTATTATTTTATTTCTAGTCTTTACAAGTACATGGTCAGTTAAATAGAAACCACATAAAGAGTATTACAAGTGGTACAGTGGAAAGAAATTTTAAAAAGAGGGAGGAAAAACTAAACCATGAGACCAATATACAGGGTTCTTCTCTTTCTATGACATATGTGCTCTCATTAGGGCATTGACAAAAGAAAATATATTTTTCAGAACTTTTGTACCCCTGATGCTAATGTACACAAGAGAAGCCATCAAAAGCCTACTGCTGACAAGTCAGACTATTGATCCATCCTGTCTCTCATGATTTCCCCTGCCTCATAATTTGATGGCCTTTTGGAGGCGTGGACAATGAAACTGCCAAACAAACAGGGACTCTCACATAGAGCTTTGGGCTTTGTCTCCAGTGTCTAAGCTAGATTTTTGGGTTATGCTGCTGTGGAACAGCTGCTTCCAGAGTCACCCCTCTAGAGACATACTTGGTCACCTGCCAGGATTTACATGATTATCCATCATGGGGACAAATCTATCCCAGGAAGGCTCATTTCAGAATATAATACAGTGTGGATTGAAGACCTAATGGAGAGAAGTGCACCCACAGGAGTGACTGTGATCTATTAAATCAGTAAGACCTTGGAAGCCTTCTGTCAACTGACTTCAGAAAATAATGGTTCCCCTCTCAACACACCACTGTACTTTTTTATTTGTCTTTTGTTAAGTCATCCTGAGGAAAAGGCTGCTGGACTGGGAGATTTAAGACTTTGAATAGTGCTAACAGAATAGAAAAGGAAAGTTAAATTACGCTGCCTATTCTCTTACCAAACTCTGTAATAACAACATCTATTCCTTCATCTAGTGAACTGTCAGGTAGGGCATAGAGAATACGCATTTGGAAATTGATCTCAACTGCCTTTGAGAAACCATAGATCATGGGAAAAGAGGACCTGTGTGCCTTTCCATCTTAACTCTGGATCACTCTGCTCCTCATTTCAGAGGCCTTCTTTCCCTTCTTAGAGTAGATCTTATTTTGTTGTTGTTGTTTTCTGCCAGAAAATCTTTACACATGCTGTTTCTTCTTCCTTGGAATGCTTTTCCTCCACTGTTCATTTGCCTGAACACCTAAGTTAACTCAGGATCCTCCTATTCAATGTCTATTGACCTCGTTAATTTTTATAGCATTTTCTCACAATCTGCATTTGTACTTTTGGTTCATCTAAAAGTCTCACAAAGGCATGAAAGCCTCACAAAGGCAGGGAACATGGATGCTAACATGAAGTAGGAGTTACATAAATATTTGTCATATTAAAGAATTTTAAAAAATAAAAGTAAATAAATGAAGACTGCAAAAAATTGACAGCCATAACTCTGGATTGTAAATAAAGTTGTATATTGATGCTGCTGTGTCCAGTTAAATAAACCTTAATCTAAACTTGGAGCTTTAGAGTTTGTATACTAGTCACTGGAAGTTTCAATCATTCATGTTTTAAATCACATTTTTCTCAATAGGAGCATATCCTTTAGGTAAAATTTAAACATTGCTCTCTTCCCTTAATATGAGGGACTTAATATCTAGCTTTACAGGGCTTTTTAAGAGCAAGGAAAATCACTCTATTGATGCTAAGTGAAGGGCAGAGAAAGCAACTCTATTAAGCTTTTGACCTAGTTTCTCTCTGGTTACTTCAAGGCAATTGAAAAGTCCTCGATTAGGTGCAATTTGCTAGTGACTATTCTACTGCTATCAGTGCAGAGGCATATAGATGGAATAGGGTATGTAGACTTATCTATGGTATATTCATTTACATAATTTTATGTCATAAAAAACAAAAAAAATCAAACTTGTAACATTACTGAGTCAGTCGTAAAACAGAGTATCCAGATGTTATTTTAGAAACAGCATTGATTGGGCGCAAAGATCAAGGTGTATATGGCAGCTTTAGTGAGTTTGGAGTATAGAAAGTGTTGGGATCAACAGAATCCATAGCAATCAGTTTAAAGTTTTCAATAAAGCTATGAATGGTAAGAGGGAAACCAACTAGAATTTGCTGCTCATTCACCTCAAACTGCACTGAGATATCTTTATGCTCAAAATGGACAAGGAGACTATTATGTGTATTCTTTGATGCAGCAATGCTACTTCTAAGAGTTTATCTTACAGATAAAGTTTCACAAGTGCATAAAGATTTTTAATGCAGCATCATTTTTTTAAGTTGGAAACAACTTAATGTCCATCATTTGAGGTTCCTTTTTTCCTATCATATTGATTATTTGCTATCTGCCAGGAACTGTTCTAAAGCACTTTTCACATAATAACTCAATTTGTCTTCAAAACAACAACAATCTTCAGTTACTTTCCCTACTTTAAAGATAAGGTAAAGTAAGTTGTAGGGGACCACAGAGGTATTTAGTGGCTAAGCTAGGGTTTGAATTCAGACAGCCATTAAAAAATGAAGTAGACCCAAACTTACTGATAAAACACCTAGGGCATATTTTTAGGTTGAATAAAAAAGCAAGTTGCATATATATATATGGGGAGAGAGAGGGAGAGAGAGAGGGATACATTCCTTACAAAGGTCTAGAAGAATCTGTTCAACCAAGCGTAGTCACCTCTTGCTTATAAGCAGATGCTTGAAGAGAACTTTCCCCTTTTACTCTTTAAAAAACATCTCAATCATTTTAATTTTATATCCTTAAATGTTAAAAAGTTATGTATGCCTGGTTTTATAAAATAAAGTTAAATGCAATTTCACCCCCACTTTAAAAACAATAACTAAAAAGGTATAGCGCTTACTGTTCATAATTTTGTTTCCTAACAATTAAAACATGTTATTAAGGAATTCAATTTAATATGGTCTATAGTCACATGTACGTATAATCTGTATGTAGCACATATAAAGTTCTGAATAGATGGCTTCCACCGGGGTGACAAAAGGAACAGAAAAAAGTTATACTATGTTAAGTTCAGAACTTTACCCAAATATCTTTAGACACACAGCATAATACATGAGAAAAATGATAACTACAGATAATCCATAAAGTTGTTTAATAAAGAATGGATTGAAAAGTTATTTAAGAAACAATTATTATTTTTTTTTTTTGATGCAAGGTCTCACTCTGTCACTCAGGCTAGAGTGCAGTGGTGCAATCATGGCTCACTGCAGTCTCAAACTCTTGGGCTCAAGTGATCCTCCAGCCTCAGCCTCTGGAGTAGCTGGGACTACAGGCATAAGCCACCATGCCCAGCTAATTTTAAAAAATTATTTTGTAGAGCCTGGGTCTTGCTATGTTTCCCAGGCTAGTTTCAAACTCCTGGGCTCAACAGATCCTTCCGCCTCAGCCTCCCACAGTGTTGAGATTATAGGAGTGAGCCACCATGCCCTGCCAAAAAAGTAACATATTGAATGTAAAAATCATAATAAAAGTTATAATGATTTGGTGTATACTATGTCATTCTAAAATAATTTGTGCATTTCCTTCTAAATATCTATCTATAAACATTAGTAAAGAAGTGGGAAATTTTTTTGTCCTGAAATTCATTTTACTTAATTAGCATCATACAGAAAGTCATTTATGTGCCAGATGCTAAAAGGGAGGATTACGATCCAGCAGATATTGATCATAAGAATGAAATGAGGCACAAGAAACACCTGTGAATCATGAAGTATTGACGCTGGATTTTATTAACTCCTATATAGTGATAATGTGATTGAAAGATTATGAATCCTATAAAGGAAATATATTTAACAAGTCCCTACTAACACCAACTCTTGACTCTCAGACCATCCACAAATAATCTACAATTAGAATTCATTATGTCTAAAGACAGCTATCATTAAAACTGAAGGCCAAAATCGCCCTTTCTGCGTACTTCTGAAAGAGCTTGCCTTTGTGAGCAGGAGGAGAAGGGAAGAGAGACAGTGTACCCAAGGAAAGGAGGGTGTTGGTGGTATAGAGAGAAAGGCATTTCTAGCGCCCAGGCACCACAATGAGAATTTGAGAATTGTGTTTATTGTCTATAGAGCTTGTTATTGCTCTTGGGTTTTTGGCTACAAAACCTAATAATTTACTCAGTTTTGCAAGGAAATAAGAAATGGGCCTCAATTCACTCTCCTTAATTCATTTAGTTGGATCTGATTTGCAATGTATGTTAGTACTCCTTCTGTAGCAACTGAAACATATTAAAAATGACTCTAGAAAAAATACATGCTAGAAAGTGCTTCGGTTACTTTTTCCTTAACTAGGAGACCCCAAGAGGGAAATGACTAGGTCTCAAAATTTCTAGGAATGACATTTCCTTCTTCTGAGCAACTTGAAGGTGCTACAGACCAATGGAATATAAGGGATTCATTATTTAATGTACAAAATTCAGGCTGCTGCTTTAGGGCAAACAGAAAAAAGTCAAAATTTGCCTCTATATAGAAGGCTAAAAACACTTTTAAGAAATAAAGTAAGTCATAGGGAACTGGGCATAATTGAAGTTCCCAAAGCCAAAATTTTCCCTTTTTTATTTGTAATCCAATTTGTGGTACAATTTTCCTAAATCCTACTTCTGATTATTTTTAAATTTTTCTTTATACCAAATAAAACAAAGTTAAAGACAGAACTCTGCTAAAATTTTCAATGTAAATAAAAATTAAATCATTTAATAAATTATATTAGTTGTCATGCTATATTTTATGTTTACTCTTGTTATGTTTTATTTATTTTATGTTTGACTAATCCCCCATCCTGTGGGAAACGTTTGTTGATGCTGAAATTGCCATGAGCTATCTTTGCTCTATTTCCTTTACTTATGTCATCATCAAGTTCACCAATTAACCTATATTTTCACCCAGGTAGTTGACAAAGCATTGGATGCACCTAGCCAAGGACTGTTCTATGGCTCTCCACTAGAAACTCCCTCTAGACCAGGCTGATGTCAAGCCATACACATTAATGATAATGGTAATGAGCTACATAATCCAGCCCTCCTTGACCTCATATTTCTACATCTGGGTCATGTGACTATAATTAATTTTTTTTTTCTTACATGTCTTGGTGAACTGAAGGCACATGATACTCATGGTATTCTCCTGATCTTACCACTAGGCACTGTGTCAAAAGACATAGAAATTGAAACTGGGTTCCTTGAGAGCAGACATTATATCCTATTCATCCCTTAATTCTGTTTCAAAACCAGTGACTGCAAGACACAGAAATACATGTTCAATAATAAATATGTAATACATAAATACATGTTCATAAACTATTGGGAGAGTCTCAGGATTTTGAAAAAGTTGTTTTGTAGTCCTAGCTATGCCACTTTCTTGCTCTGTGACTCTGGACACATTTCATAGTCTCCAAGAACCTGAGTTCTAAATCTGAAACAAAAATGTACTGACACATTTTAAGATTCTCTTTCAGGCATAAAATCCTACCTAGATTTATCATTTCCACTGTGTAACAAAGTGGGACGATGACCCATTTTTTGTAACTCAGTAGTTTTCTGGAAAAAATTTAAAATGCATTTTTTCAGTACATCAATACATCTTGAGATAAAACATTGTATAGTCTCTACTTTGTGTAAAGCAAACATTTTCATTACTTATCTAAAGACTTAACCTTCTTTATACCAATCATCTGTAAGTTTGGAAAAACAATGCAATTGAATTTTTCATCCAGCTGTTTACCATACATAACTTAGAAATCCTAAAATGCCTTATTGAAAGTGCAGTGATTTTAGCATTGGTAGAGTAACAGTCTCAAGAAATGAATGAAGCTTTAATGACTCATCTTCAATTCAAGAGGAGGGGCTACTATTATAAAATGTTAAGCTGAAAAATTCCAAACACAACTGAGATGAAGTTACATGATTTAACAATCTGTTTTTTGTTTTTTTGAAATAAAGTCTCACTGTGTCGCCCAGGCTGGAGTGCAGTGGTGCGATCTCGGCTCACTGCAACCTCCATCTCCTGCGTTCAAACCGTTCTTCTGCCTCAGACTCCTGAGTAGCTAGGATTACAGGTGTGCACCACCACTCCTGGCAATTTTTTTTGTGATTTTAGTAGAGACAGAATTTCACCATCTTGGCCAGGCTGGTCTCGAACTCCTGAACTCAGATGATTCACCCACCTCAGCCTCCCAAAGTGTTGGGATTACAGGTGTGAGCCACCATGCCTGGTCTGTACATCCTAAAAAACCCCAGTGTTCTTTCTGCTGACTGAGGCTAATTAGTGTGGGTGATAAAAATTGGGCACACATATCAAACACAAATTGGCTACTTTGTCCAGCAAACTGCTTCCACCAAAACTCCGGCTAGCAATCACATTACAATGACTACTTGGCTCTTTTCTTTCCCTAAATGGATTTGGTTATAGAATTGGAAAACCGGGTATACTTTGTTTTCAACAGATTAAATGTAATGGGTTTTATGAAGACAGTCTTTATATTTTCCTATAAAAAAGGTAATTAGTTAAGGGATTTTGGGGGTAGGAGAATGAGGCACACAGGGGAGTACTCATTTCAGGAAAAATAATACGTAACAAAATATTCACAAATATTCTGCTGTCCCTCAAGCTGATGAATTAATCTTCTCGATTAGTTCCAGATAAATCCTACCATTTAATCTATTTTGAAAGAAATTAGAAGGCTATGGTTTTAACACTATGTTCAAGTTTTCGCTAACTTGTAAAATGGTAACATACGTGCTGTAAGGATGACATAAGAGATGGTAAAGGAAAGCATGCAGAAAACTGTAAAAGCTTATAGGATTTTAAATATAATTGTACAGTAACTAATGATGGTGAAATAAAATAGATGTTCCTTGATTTAGAACTTATGGATGTTTCTGAAGACTACATAGAATAAACAATTTAGATGTTCACACTCTGGCCTTGGCCTTATCAATTCGCCTTCCCCTCCTTGCTGACCCCACCCCTTTAATCTAACTCCCCCCAAAAGTGGCCACATACTGGGAGTAAAGAGAGTGGCAATGAACCTGGATCTACTTGGGGAGGAGGCCTCGGCTATTCAAAGAGTAAGAAAAACACAATGTTCCAGGCTCCTGATTCTCAAGCAACACAGTTACTTGGGGTATTTCTCACCAAGTGACCTGGATTTGAGGTTGGCAAGTGTCGCACACCCCACCTTTCTGGGTGGCAGAGCCATGTGAGGCTGTTGGGCTGCACCTACCAGCTAATGGCTCTGTGACTCTGTGTCACAAACCATTTGTTTCTACATCTCCTGGCATCAGGATCCAGGAAAGATGTCCACACTCATTATCCATAAAGGGAGTTGATTGCCTAAGTGATCTGCCTGCATTCTACAGAGTGGAGAAAAACTTATTAAAGATAGGTTTAGTCACAAGATTGCACTGTCAGCAGTCAGACTCTCCTCCTTTCTTGACTTTTCTTTCCCTCATGCTCTAATAGAATTGTGGCTGAACTCATCTCCTACTTGGATTATTTGTCTTGAGTTGAAGGAGCCCTGGAAGATCTGTTCTGAAACTGGATGTGACGTTAGGAAGGCAAAGGAGATTTAAAGTGACAAATTGCTGGCTCAATTCTCAGGAAGAGGTGCTGCAGAGGTGATGTGCAAACATTTGGACTTGTAAGGGTGATGATCCAGGAATCTGGGGACTGGGTTCTTTGCCTAAATCCTCCCCCACCTTCAATGCCATTGCTCTATGCTACACCTGCAACAGCTTCCCATCTGCCTCTGCCCAAATAGCCTCCAAAGTGGAAATGCAGTTCGGTGAAAGAGAGTTTCAGCATAATAATCCCTGGGCCTTTTTCTATACTTAGGACAGAAACAAAGTGAATTGCCAAGGAGCAGACCTCTCTCCCTACTAATCGGTTTAGAGTTGTGTTGACAAAATAGTGGCAAAATCTCCAGAAGAATCTCCCTATGAGCCTCCCTGAGCCTCCCAAACTCCTGCATCCCATGCATGCATAGATATCTCTATCACATTCCTGGCTTTTGGGAAAGGAATTGCGCATACAGCACCAATACTTCCAAAGTATTTAGACCTTCAGGCTATCACTGTCCTCAAAGTTTCAGGTTCCTTATCCATAAAATTCTGAAACTGGGCCACAGGATCTTCTAAGTCTGCCAACCCAGCCCTGAGGGCCCATGAAGATCTATGCTGCTTGCTTTGGTGACAAAAATAAAAATAAAAAACAACAGTTGGGGCTTGATTCCCCATATTAAATATATGCCAAGTATATACTAAGTATATGTTAAGTACAATGCTAAGTATTATCTTGTTCCATTCTTACTGCAATCCTATAAAGTCATTCTTGTTATCACACCCATCTGACAGATGAGAAAGCAGATCTAGACAGGTCACATACCTAATACAAGGTCATGTGACTAGCAAACTGTGGAGCCAGGATGTGCTTCACTGCTTTAGAAGTTCGAGTGTTTAAAATCCAGAATGTTCCATTCCATAAAAAAAAAGACATTCTACATTTCTTATTTGTTTCGTAGGCTGGCCCACAAAAACAAAGTATTGTTTCGTGCCTCAGCGTAAGTCTGAAACAAGACATGCATGGTAAACTAGTTTCTTGAGCCCCACTGTGCCCTTCTGACCCCAGGAATTCTCCACAGTTCAAACCTCAGACTCATGCTCTGAGGCTTCAATTTCACCACAGACTAGAACTTGAGCTCAGATTTTGGAGACCAGAAACCTAGCCCTTCTGGCCCTAAGAATGACAAGCCTCTCCAGGAGCAAAGTCAGGAAAAGGCTGAAGACACCAGCAGCCGTTGAGAAATTAATCGAGCTGCAGCAGTCATTTTGCTTTATAGGGTATCTTTTTTGGCAGAATGATCTTAAAAATCCAGGACAAAGTATTTAACCAAATATGTAGAGCAAAGAACTGTGATGAGTTACCAACACATTTCTCACACTAGTAGGTTAAGATGATTTACTTGATATTTAGTAATAATCTATACGTAATTGTCCTTTTTATGAGGATAGGGATATTTCAAGGTGAAAAGAGGTAAGAAAATGTGGTTGATCCCTACAATTTTTTGGATATAGAGGAAGAAAAACGTTCAAGGAAGTTCAGAGGGCTGAAGATAGGTGGTCTTCAGCTTTGCATCTTGATTTTTGCACTAACTAGCTCCATGACCTGGGATAAAAACAATGATAAAAATAGTGATAATAACCTTCATTCACTGAATTCTATGTGCTGAGAATTTGCTAAGTGCTCTATATGTATTATTTCCTTTAAGATTTAAAACAACACTATAAACTGGATGTTATAAGTCCCATCTTAGACATAAAGAAACTGAAGTTGAAGTTGTGATAACTTGTCCAAGGCCACAAAGCTGTTAGTGGCTAAGTTAGTATTAGAACATAAATATGAATCCAAAACTTATCCCAACTGAATCTGAACTGATTACCTTCAGGCTATAACTGTCTTCAAAGTTTCAGGTTTGGAAAAGCCTGGAGGGAACTGGAGACTATTATTCTAAGGGAAGTAACTCAGGAATAGAAAACCAAAGATCATATGTTCTCACTCATAAATGGGAGCTAAGCTATGAGGATGCAAAGGCATAAAAATGATACAATGGATTTTGGGGACTTGGAGGGAAGGGTGGGAGGGAAGTGAGGGATAAAAGACTACAAATTGGGGCTGGGTGCGGTGGCTTACGCCTATAATCCCAGCACATTGGGAGGCTAAGGCAGGTGGATCACTTGAGGTCCAGATATGGAAAGTTCCTTATCCATAAAATTCTTTTTTAAATTTTTCATTTCCATAGGTTTTGGGGAAAACAGGTGGTACTTGGTTTCATGAGTAAGTTCTTTAGTGGTGATTTGTGAGATTTTGGTGTGCCCATCACCCAAGCAGTATATATACTGAACCCCAATTTTTTTTTGAGATGGAGTCTTGCTCTATTGCCCACGCTGGAGTGCAGTGGCACAATCGCAGCTCACTGCAACCTCTGACTCCTGGGTTCAAGCAATTCTCCTGCCTCAGCCTGCAAAGTAGCTGGTATTACAGGCACCTGCCACCACACCGGGCTAATCTGTGTGTGTGTGTGTGTGTGTGTGTGTGTGTGTGTGTGTGTGTTTAGTAGAGAAGGGGTTTCGCCGTGATGGCCAGGCTAGTCTTGAACTCCTGATCTCAAGTGATCCACCTGCCTTAGCCTCCCAGTGTGCTGGGATTACAGGTGTGAGCCACTGCACCCAGCCCCAATTTGTAGTCTTTTATCCCTCACTTCCCTCCTACCCTTCCCTCCAAGTCCCTAAAATCCATTGTATCATTTTTATGCCTTTGCATCCTCATAGCTTAGCTCCCATTTATGAGTGAGAACATATGATCTTTGGTTTTCTATTCCTGAGTTACTTCCCTTAGAATAATAGTCTCCAGTTCCCTCCAGGTTGCTGCAAATGCCATTAATTCATTCCTTTTTATGGCTGGGTAGTATTCCATTGTGTGTGTGTGTGTGTGTGTGTGTGTGTATACACACATATATATGATACATATATATCATATATGTGTGTGTATACATATATAACATATATATTTACACACATATCATATATATGTATATATATCTGTATAACATATATATCATATATATACATATGTATGATATATATATATATAAAACAATTTCTTTATGCACTTGTTGACTGAGGGCATTTGGGCTGATTCTATGTTTTTGCAGTTGCAAATTGTGCTGCTATAAACATGCATGTGCAAGTATCTTTTTTCTGTAATGACTTCTTTTCCTCTGGGAAAATACCCAGGAGTGGAATTACTGGATCAAATGGTAGTTCCACTTTTAGTTATTTAAGGAATCTCCACACTGTTTTCCACAGTGGTTGTACTCATACATTCCCCCCAGCAGTGAAGAAGTGTTCCCTTCCAAACCACAATGTGATACCACCTTACTCCTGCAAGAATGGCCTTATCCATAACATTCTAAAACTAGGCCACAGGATCTTGTAAGTCTGTCAAGCAAGCCCTGGGAGCCCATGGAGATCTAAACATTTAGAAGAGGGAAAACCAATGAGACATTTTCAATTCTTCCTTTCTTGTAGACTGTAAGCACTAGCAAAATGAATTGAATCTGTATACAGTTACTACACACTGCCAAAATCTGATTCATTTTGGATAAGTGATGATTTCCAGAAGTACAATTCTCAGCTGACCATACGCTGCTATGTTCATTCAATTTAAAAACCTTGAGCCATTCTAGGTTTTGAAGTCCCTCACCCTGCCTTGCCACACCCCTGTAGCAGGAAAGAAGCTTTCCCAAAGAGGAGGAGATTTTACTTCAAGAGTTATTACCCGCTTAGTTGCACACACATTCATCACATTCTGAGCCTGATTGGTGGCTAGAGTTCTCAGGGGGCCAGCACTGGCTGGGGAAAGTGGAAGGAAGAGATATATTTTAGGCACCCATTGATAGCTTTGCTACAAAATGCACTACCCGGGCACAACACACTGAGTTCTGGCAAGTACAGCCCATGTTAAAGACAAAATACTCCACTAACTTGACTTTGTCTTTCTTGGACCATCTCAAATTTGGGGAACCTCTAGGTATCTGATTGCATATGTTCCTGTGTGCTCCTAAAGGTGCCAGGGGAAGAGAAAAACACATGGCAATCAGTTGACTTGCAAGGCCTAGTTATAAGCCGAAATAAAGTTTTAGGTACAATCCAGATGTATAATTTGCTATAAAAATGGACTCGGAGGAATCCTTGGTGATTTCCCACAAGACTGAGCCACTGTCCTCCTTTCAATACGAGGGGGATTCTGGGTTTTCCAGACCTCACTTTCTTCAGGTCTGAGATAAGCCTGAGACATACACAATTGCTGAAGGTAACGTGAAGCAGGAAAAGGAAGGCCAGTTGCTCTATTAAAGGAGCTTGTGTTTTCCTCTAACCACCACAGTCTGGGCAGCAGACAATTCTCCTTTTTCTTTCAGAGCAAGTAAAATGTTCTAGGTCATGTTTAGGTTGTGACAGGCACCCGGATCAACAAGACGTCATTTACCAAGATAAGCTGGAGGTCAACATCTCCTTATGAAAGGGCTCCAGGAGCTGTTGCATAAATGCAAAATAACAGATGCACAATATTTGAGTCCTTTAGTATATCTCATAAACTTTAATAATGTGATAATATTCAAACACATGGTAGTGTTTTAATGGTAACTACAGAAGAGCCCCTGGAAAATCTGACAAATGCTGTCATAACTGGCCCTTCAGAGATGTCCTTCCAGCTAGTCCATATTTGCCCTTTTAATTAGAGTTTTAGTCCACTTGTTCCTTCTTGAAGGAAATAAGGAGGCTGTTGGAATAGCAATTTTCAATATCCAGATTCCAGACACATCACCCTGTTATAGACAGAACTCAAATCCAAGGCATTTCTGGAATCCCTATGTTAATTACCACATTATCAAGTCCTGGAAGGACTGTCGCATAAGGATTCTGAGTAACTTGATTCTCCTAATGAACCTGAGCCACCCAGACGATGGAATGAACAGCCTGTAGCCAGTCTGGGCTGCTGCCTCTCACCCCCGCAGTCTCAGAGCTTTGGCCTCTCCTGGGTTTGGCACATGGCCTGTCCTTTCCCATTGTCAGCCTCCTTTTCAGCGCGGTTTGGCATCCTCTTCAACATGAACTGCCTAGAGTCTCGTCGTGCCCCTTTTCTTGACCCAGCCACTGCCTCATGTGCTGCCGTGTCTGCTCACTGATCACCTCCACTGTCTTCTAATCTGTTGGTACTGCATTGTTTTACCTGGGTTTGCAACTGGGGCTCTGAGATCCCCAACGCTAGCTGTTTTCTGGGCTCAGCGATGCTCACCTAGACCTCATGCGCCCGCCAGAGATGAACCCAGGTGGAATCCCTTTGCCTATTTTTGTCAGGTGAACATGGACTTCCGCTTTTGAGAATCTTCCACCTACCCACCCCATCCATTTGACACTAACATGTTTAGGTCAGTGCTTCTAAACTTTAGAGTGCATCTGCATCACTTAAGAATTTTGTTAAAATGAGGATTCTGACTCAGTAGGTCTGGTGTGGGGCTTCAAATTCTGCATTTCTAACAACTTCCCAGGTGATAGCCATTCTGCTGGTCCATGGATTGCATTTGAGTAGCAAGGCTCTAGGAAACAGCCTTGTCCTATTCATCTTTGCTGGCCTGCAATTTCCACAGCAGTTTCACTGCCACCACTTGGGAAGCCCCTTCTAGTGGTGTGAAGCAGTGAAGACAGAAGGATGACCATGACACAGTCCCTGCTCCCCAGGGTTCATAGCCTGGAGCAGTTTTCGAGTTCAGCACTGGATGTTGAGGGCTGATAATATTTAGTTGTGAGGGAAGTCAGGTGAAATGTAGGTTATTTAGCAGCATCCCTAACCTCTACCCACTAGGTATCAATAGCATCTTCCCAGTTTTGACAATCAAAAGTGTCTCTAGACATTGCCAGATAGTTAAGAATCACCGGTATAGGGAGGGAGACAAATATATAAATTAATAACTGAGAGGATGGATCAAGTTATAGAAGCTATGTATACACTATTCAGGAAAAGGGATTATTAATATTTCAGAGGCTGTGATAAGCATTTGACACAGTGTGTGCTCAATAAGTTTGTTAGATACACAAATGCACTGTGATGTCCCCACACTTCCTATAACAGTTTACCTTTCTGACTGTCTAATAGAAAAGACAGTTTTACATTCCAAAGATTAGCATCTACTTCACTGACATAATTCACTTTCATGGACATGTTTGCCAAGTGTATTACAAGAGAAAGAAGCCTCCTTATTTTTTAGGATAATGAAGATAGAGTATAGACATTTGTAAGAAAATAAGACACTTAAAATAAATATATTTTGTGAAACAGACCGTTTGTACTGCTTTTTTGACATTATATGCACATTCCTATCAGACAACAACTAAGAGGAGCATTGTACATATTACTTGGTAAATGAATTCAAGCAGGATGGTGCATTTTGTTGCTTGGCACATCTTAAATGCATGCTCCTAAGCAGCTGTTTCTTTTCCCTTACAGGTTTTGGGAGGATGAATGTATTTCCAAGGAACTGTCTATTCTGGGATGCTCATGCTCTTATACAGATGCATTTGACATCTCACCATGCATACATAGAAAGGCAAACCAGTAAGCAGATAAGCTTGGGGAACCCAAATAAGAGGAAAACCAGTGAGCATCCACATTTATGAAATGGAAAGGAGATGAGGAATGCTCATGTCGAGCAGCAGCTCTAAATCTCAGCCCCAAATGGCAGAGCTGAGAAAAGAAATAATGTCAGCATTGGACTTACATAACAAGATGGCAAGTTGAAGATTTTTTGGTTATTTATCTTAATATAGAGGCAGGAATTGAGAAGGGTCTGACTTTGAGGCAGAACAAAAGGGCTGTGAGAATACTGAAGGTGTAAGGGCATTTAAGGATAAATAAAAAAAGGAATGGTTGTGGGGGGGGGCATAGCGTGGAATATTTCAGTGCAAACTTTCAGACATGTACTTGGTAAATGTTATTATCCCTTAACATTTTATAAATGGAATCCAAAATAGGCCAATGGGAAACATTCTTGGAAATATATACCAACTGGACAAGAATATTCACAGTTGCCAAAGGAAAGTGTGACACTTGGTTCTCGTGCCAAAGTCAACAAGCCTTTGCCCAAATAATGGCAAATCTTTTCGTTTGGAACACAGTTTCTTAATTAAGCCCCAATGTCAATTACTGCACGTAAGTAGAAATCAGCAGATCTGAAGTCAAGGCCAGGCTCCACGGCTGGTTGGCCAGGTGAAGTAACATTTGTGCTCCAATTTTCCTATCCAGGGAATGGGGAAGGTAATACTTTCCACCAATCTATGCTGAAGGAATATTGTGATGAGTCAGAGAATAAATCTCTGATTTTTTTTGTTTGCTTAATGAAGAGTATCACTGCATTTACTATAGTAAAGGCTTGTTCTGTTTTAGTCCATAAGTTGAAAAAAATCAATATATAGCATTCATATATCCAAAATATTCACAAGAAAGGTCTTCAAGAAATATTTGCTCATCCATGTTCATAGCAGCACTGTCCACAATAGCCAAGAGGTGAAAGCAAACAAGTGTCAGTAAACAGATAAACAGATGACTGGCTAAAGAAAATGTGATATACACACACACACACACACACACACAAACACATACACACACACACACCAATATAACAGAATGTTATTCAGCCTTAAAAAAGGAAGAAATCCCTGTCACATGGTACACGGTTGAACTTTGGAGACATTGTGCTAAGTGAAACATAGTAGTCACATAAAGGCAAGTATGATTGCATGATATGAAGTATCTGAAGTAGTAAAATTAATAGAAAGCAAAATGGTAGTTATCAGGGGCTGGGAGAAGGGGAAAAGGGGAGTTGTTTAATGGGTACAGTGTTTTAATTTTGTAAGACAAAAAAGTTCTGGAGATCTGTTCCGCAATGATGTGAATATACTTAACACTATTGAACTGTACACTTAAGATGGTCAGGATAGTAAATTTTATATTTTTTACTACAATGAAGTTTTTAAAAAGATATAAATAATTCAGCGAAAGGAAACAAAAGCCTCAAAATAACATCCCATTTTGGTTTTAGCATTAGAATTTGGCTAAAGGGGTACAGTCTCTGATGAGACTTCTTTACATAAGTAGCCAAGCTCCTGGTTACCAGAGGTGTGTCTGGTCAGTAACACACTTTGTTCACAGACAGGAACCAAGAGTGCAAGTGTCCCCCATTCTATCTAGTTTGTGCCTTTCAATGGCATAGGATAGCAGCAAAGGCATCATAACCTTCCAGGGGGAAATGGATAGTTAGTACTTAATTCTATGTAGGCTGCCCTATACAGGAAGCACTGATTTTTGATCATGTAACATTCTAAATAGCCACAAATGAAAATAATTGCCAGTTCTGCATCATGAAGAGCAGGAGAAGAAGACCTGCTAAAAGAGTCAGAAAAATAAATAAATAAATGAAATACTGAGATAATATGAAATGGAATGAAATAAAATAATATAAATAAAAGTAAACAAACACTTTTCAAGCAAGTTTTGTTTCTCAAGCCTAAGAAACCCCATTTTGGCCCAATATACAGACTACTAGAGAATTTCTTGTCCTTAAAGCACCAAGTGCTTAGTGTGGCATCTGCTTTTTGCTAATTTCTGAGGAGAAGGTGCCTCATGATTCGTGGCAGTGACATTATCTTTCCTATTATGAATAAAAAACCTTGAATCAAATTGGAGTGATATAAACTTAATAGGATAGAGCCTTCAGATCTGCATTCTCAGCCAATCACTACTTTACTGGGTTATCCTGGGCAAAACTGTACTTCATTTGTTTTTTCTGCAAAGGTAGACACTTTTCAGATCTGATTCGAGGGACAGCAAAGGTGGAGTAGAAAGGTCACTGGATATGCTGATACAACATGCTACAGAAAGTAACCAAAGACTTCGTGGTTTGAGGGAACCTGGGCCATTTCTGCTAGGCAGTAAATGACAGGAAGAAGCTTGGAAGGTTTTCTCTTAAGTGATGTTTAAGGCTCTGAGCTACCAAGACTTCTGGGAATCACCACCAATATCATAGTGCTATACTTTACTCAGTAAGCAGAAGGAATTTCTCTGTTGGAAAAAAAAATCAAACAAAATAAAAACAAACCTCTAAAGGTGTATTGGGCTCGCAGTTATTTCCAATAGGGGCTCAGTCCTATGGGGGAAAGGGAGTCAGGTAGACGCCATGGAGATCAGACACCTGGCTGATTAGCTCCACTGAGAACGCTGCAAAGGGCAAAACTTTGTCATCCCATCTCTTTGTAGAAGCATCTTCTCTGGAGGCTTTTAAAAATAGGACTTGCTCTCAGCATTTAGAGAAGACAGAGCATAAATCTTCCTGGGGAGGAGTGGAAGAAATAACCTTGCAAAATATTTGGGGGACTGGGTCCTGTGGACAGTTGGTCTCCATAGTTAACTGGAGATGTTGAAATTGCATTCATGCAACCTAAAATGCTTAGACATGGTGAAATAACTAGTTGAACCAATTATTTTGCAGTGAAAAAAAAAGCTTCACCAGTGAAATCCAACCTGTTTTGTTATTGTTGATGTTTCATTATTTTTACTGCATTTAGCTTTTGAGGGGACACATACCAAGGTGACAGTGCTTTAGGTAAATTTTGTTTATTCCTTATTTATCTTCTTATTCAAGAGGTATTTCTAATATTTTAGGCAGGAGCTGCATTTTCAACACAGGAATAAAGTTTGTAGATATTTATTGCAGCTTCCTGTTGCTGCTATCTCTACAGTAATCATCATAGCTTCTTCCCTAGGGAAAGAGTGCTTCAGGCTTTGGAAGGCGCACAGATAAAAAGGATACGTGTTTTTGGCTGGAGCTACCTGATTCTATGATCTCCCTAAAATTGGTTACTGAAATATTCTCAAATGTCTAAGCAGGTCATATTGTGTAAATGAATGATCTCCTGAATATTTTACTTTTTTTTTTTTTTTTTTTTGTGAGACGGAGTCTCGCTCTGTTGCCCAGGCTGGAGTGCAATGGTGCAATCTTGGCTGACCATAATTTCTGCTCCCAGGTTCAAGAGATTCTCCTGCCTCACCCTCCCAAGTAGCTGGGACTACAGGTGTGTGCCACCATGCCCAGCTAATTTTTGTATTTTCAGTAGAGACAGGGTTTCACTATGTTGGCCAGGCTGGTCTCAAACTCCTGACCTCATGATCCGCCCGCCTTGGCCTCCCAAAGTGCTGGGATTACAGGCGTGAGCTATCGTTCCCATCCTAACCATTTTTTATTGATATATAATTTACATATAATAAAATCCAACATGTTTAAAGTGTATAATTCAGTGGTTTTTAGTATATTCATAAGGTTGTGCAACCATCACCATTCTCTAATTCCAGAACATTGTATTCAGCCCCAAAAGAAACCCTGTACCAATAACCATTCACTCCTGCTTTCCCTTCCCCTCAGCCCCTGGCAATCACTAGCCTACTTTTTATTTCTGATTATTTCATATAAATGGAATCATACAATATGTCACCTTTTGTGTTTGGCTTCTTTCACCCAGCAGAATGTTTTCAAGTTTATTCATGTCATACATGTATCTGTACTAACATCTTCCAAGTAATTACTGTGTCCAAGGTAATGAGGTGTTGAAGCTTTTCTTTTCTTCCAGATGTATGGAGTTGGTGCAGACCCAGTCCAGTCTTATGACGAGCCTTGGATGCCATGGTCACAGGCAGCACATTTACGGTGTAGCCCTAAGGGTTATGGGAAACCCAAGTAGTTGGGTTAACCCAGTGAGACATGAAAAACTGCCCAGAACACAAGCAAGAAACAGGTCATAATTGAGAATTGAGGAAAGAAAGTGCAAGACAAAGGTGTTCAGATACACAGTTAAGATCTGAGTCCTGGGTCAGGACAGAATCAATTAAGAGAGAAAGAACAGTGGGTGAGAAGAGGTCAGTGGCCAGGGATGTACACCAAGCAGCCAAGGATCTGTAGTACTCGGGTCTGTAGCAGCTGCCCTGACTCAGGCCATGTGACTTCAGAGTTCTCTGTCACAGAAGCATAGAATATTTGCACTGGAGAAAAATTTAGAGCTATATTCTTTAGCACCATGGTTTTGAAGATGAACAATCTGAGCTCTAGAGGGGCTAAGAGACCTCCCCTCAAGCTCACCAACCTTAGTGATCACTTCCTTCATCTCCCTCCACTCAGTAGAATACATTTTCCACAATAGCTCACTGCCATGGGACCACGGCATGGGATCCCAACAGATGGATCTGGTCATATGTTAGTGCCAAAATGCAGTTTAGCAACCATTTACTCACATACCCTTATACTATGTGACAATCAGCAGAAGGTCTTAGATATTTTTATATTAGCTTAAAAGAAAAGTTTGATGTTCTTTGACCTAATTTTTATTGGTTTAATTGTCTAAATACCTGGAGTTCCTTTACATTTTAAATAAATTTAATAGTATCAATCTATAGGTTTAGAAACTGAGAGAAATAATTTTTATTGGTTAATTGTCTAAACACCTGGGGTTCCTTTACATTTTAAGTACATTAATAGATTAGTATCAATCTATAGGTTTAAGAACTGAAAGAAATGAATGAGGTCCCCAACACGTCAGTCAATGGGAATTAGAACAGTGATGCCCAAAATATGCACATAAATATCACGTGATGACCACTAAAAAACACTTGGTGTTCAACAGAATTGTAAAATTAGTAGGTCAAAAGGAATGACTCCAAAACCCTTCATCATTTAACATTCAAAGCTGTAACTTTTAAATCAGTTTCTTCTAGCATCATTGTATAGAAAAAAATCATTTTTTCTTCAGAAAAAAAATTAAAAATAAATAAATTTTAAAAATAGCCTTCAGATTAGTCAAAAAATTTTGATGCATTCATATGAGAAAATCGAAGGCATTAATATGGCGGTATGATGTATGTCTACTGAACTCAAAAGTTTAGTAACATGTTGAGTGAAATAAAAACTATAGAAGAACATTTAAAATTTGATGTCTTTATATATCTTACAAGTGTGTTTATTTATATTTGTGTGTATATACAAAGAATATATCTGGAAGGACATCCATAAAGTATTGACAATTGTATCCCCAAGTAGTGGAATTATATAAGGATTTAGTTTCTATAATTTTTTGTTGTTTTGTTCTCTTTATCTTCTATTTTTTTTTCTGGAATGAACATGGATTACTTGCATAATTAAAATATTAAAAATAGACTTTGTTTTGAATATTGTGTTTGCAAGACTGGTTCATTATCAGTTTCTACAACAAATATCATTTTAGAATCGATAACAAAAATAAAAGCAAGTTGTCCTTATCATCTCCACAAACTCAGAAAATAGTTCTACATCAAATATAAACCAGTACAAAGAGGCACTTGTGAAAGGAAACAAATGTTTGGGGACTTGACCTACTCCCCTTCCCTCCTCCCTTGCGTCTCAAAGAGGTACAGCTCATTCTCACTCCTTTTGATTTATTAAATCACCATCTTCTCCCTAGGCTAGACAAAAAATTCATGGTTAGGATTTACCCTCAAGCTTCAGGCTGACTACATTGTATTTGAAACAAGCAAGTCATCTCTGTCTTGTTGCAAAGTTTACAGGAACATCACCTCAATAAGCACACTTGCTGAGCTTATTGTTATCCACCTTTACCTCATAGGAAAGCCCTACTAGTAATGGACTTTGAATCACCTTCTTTGTTTATTCATGAAGTTGAAAGCTACAATAGATCATGATTATTTTCCAATAAAACAAACTACCAGGGTCATCGTGATGCGCAACTGTGAGGGGTACTATTTTCATCATAGGTTATATTAATGGTGCCACTTTGCTCATCACACATCTGCTAACAGTGGTCCAGGAAACTTCATCCTGTAACATTTTAATCAAATTCTGCTTTTCTATTCAGTATTTGACTCTGAAGGGCATTTTCTCCACAAATTATAAAAGTATAAAGGGTTTTAGATAAGTACAAGTATAAATATAAATAAAATATACAGGTATAAATATGTATATGGAAGCAAATTTTTCTATATATCCTGTATATTTCATAAGTTTCTATAAGGATGGACTTCTGATTCTAAACCAATGGGTCACATACATTGGAAAATACAAGATAAGATTGCATACCAAGTTAATCACATAAATAGAAGCAGAAGTTCCTACTTTTAGATTTGGAACCATGGTGTGCCAGATATAATGCCAAACTTTATCAACTGTAGAAAACTATAGATTAGTTTTAAATTGTATATTCTTTTCACAGTTACTCCCATGTTCTAGAGATCGATTGTTCCAGTTTTTTAACAGCTTTATTTGATGTATCACTGACATATAATAAACTGAACATAAAGTGTTCAATGCGATAAATCTAATGGGTTTTGAAATACATACACACATATGTATATGTGTGTATAAAATATATGTATACATATGCTGCATATACTACGTATATACACACACACACATATATATGTACCTTTGCCATAATCAAGGTAATAAACGTATCCATTACCCCCCAAAGTTCTCTTCTCTAGCTATTCCCTCTCCAAGTAATCAATAATTTTATTGTCACTGTGGATTAGTATGAATCTCCAATAATTTTACACAAATAGAATAATCCATTATGTACTTTGGGGAGGGGAAGGAGGAGAGTCAGGCTTTCACTCAGCCTAATTATTTTAAGAGTCATCCATGTTGTGTGATATATAAATAGTTCATTCCTTTTTATTGCTGAGTAGTATTGCTGTGTATGGAAATGGTATAATTTGATTACTTATTCACTTGCTAATAGATATCTAGGTTGTTTTGAGTTGTACAAGTCTTTGTATAGCTATATGCTTTCTTTTCTGTTGGGTAGATACCAAGGTGTAGAATGGCTGGATTATATGATAAGTGTATGTTTAACTTTTAAAAAAACGGTCTCCTAAGGTAGTCGTACCATTTTACATTCCAACCAGCAGTGTAGTTGAGTTTGGGTTCCTCCATGTATTTATAAATATTTGGTGTGGTCAATTTTTTTTTAATGAGACAGGTTCTTCCTATATTGCCCAGACTGGTCTTGAACTGCTGGGTTCAAGCGAACCTCCCACCTCGGCCTCCCAAAATGTTGGGATTACAGGCGTGAGTCACAGTACCTGGATATGGTCAATTTTTAATTGTAGCTACTCTATTCAGTGTGCATTACTATTTCA
Source organism: Homo sapiens (assembly GCF_000001405.40). Taxonomy (NCBI): domain Eukaryota; kingdom Metazoa; phylum Chordata; class Mammalia; order Primates; family Hominidae; genus Homo; species Homo sapiens. The sequence goes on from NC_000002.12 coordinate 40,313,754, forward strand.
TTGGGGTTAATTTACATTTCCCTAGTGAGTAAATGATGTTGAGCATATTTCCATGTGCTTATTTGTTAACATATATTTTCTTTAGTGAAATATCTGCTCAAATATTTGACCAATTTTTTGCTGTGTTTTCTTAATTGTTAAATTTTGAGCATTAATTAAATATTCTGATATAAATATTTTGTTAGATATACTATTTGCCAGTATTTTCTTTCAGTCTAGCCTGTCTTTTCCTTCACTGAACAACATATTTCAGAGTAAAAGGTTTAAATGTTATCAATTTTTAAAAATAGATAATGTTTTGGATAAAGAATCTAGGAAATCTTTGCCTAACCTAAGTTCTCAAAGACTTTCTTCACCGTTTTTTGAAAAAAATATAATTGAGGTTTTTTATTAGGTTTCAGATACATTTGGAATTTGTGCATATAGTGTGAAGTAATAGATCAAAATTCATTTTTTATTTGCTGCATATACAATATTTCGGGAAGCATTTGTTCTGCACAGAATTGCCTTGTATTTTTGTTAGAATAACAACAACAACAAAATCCAAAACCAGTTTATTCATATATGTGTGGATCTATTTCCATAGTTTATTCCATTCTAATCACTTATTTCTATTTTTATGCCACTACCACACTAGCTTGGTACCTGAAACAATAAAATAAATCTTGAAATCAAGTAGTGTTATCCTTTTGTTCTTTTTTTCCAGTGGTATTTTAGCTATTTTAGGTCCTCTGTATTTATACATGAACTTTAGAAAAAGCTTGAAAAATTTACACCAAAAAAAAAATGCTTATTGGGATTTTCACTGGAATTACATTGAATCTCTAGATCAATTTGGGAAGAACGATTATCTTAAAAATATGATGTTTTCTGACCTGTGAAAGGCATATCTGTCTATTTATTTAGGTTTTCTTTAATTACTCTCAGGAATGTTTTTAATTTTCAGTGTACAAGTCTTGCCCATCTTTTGGTCAGATTTATCCCCAAGTATTTTATATTTTTGATGACATTGTAAATGGTACTGTTTTTCTAATATCAGTTTGCATTTGTTTCTCGTATTTAGAAATACAATTAATTTCTGCATATTAATCTTGTACCCTGCAAACTTGTTAAACTCCCTTACTAGTTTTAGTGGTTTTACAGATTTTTATCAGATTTTTATATAAATAATCATGTTGTCTACGAATACAGAGGTTCATTTCTGTCTTTCCAATCTGGATGTAATTTTTTTTCTTGCTTTATTGCACTGGCTAGCACCTCCAGTACAACGTTGAATAAAAGTGGTGAGAGCCAAGACATCCTTGCTTTATTCCCAATATTAGGAGAGAAGCATTCAGTCTTTCATTGTTAAGTATGATGTTAATTTTAGTTTTTTCATGTATGTCCTTTATTAGGTTGAAGAAGTTCCCACTATTCCTAATATTTCTGAGGGTTCTTAACATCAGGGACAGATGTTGGGTTTAGTTGATTGCCTTTTCAATATCTATTGAGATGATCATATGTTTTCCCTTTTCTAGTTCGTCAGTATGGTGGTTATCAATACAGTAATATGGTTAACATTTTATTATTATTAATGCTGAATTGCAAAACGTAATTTCTAGAAAAATGGAAGGTTAGTCACAGTTGTGCCTCAATGATACTAGATTAGAGTGAGTAAGGTAAATAACCATTTTCTTTCCTAAGAATTTTTTTTTTTTTTTTTGGAATTTCAGTTGGCTATCCCTGTTACAACTGCTTTTGTATCTATATTTGCTACATCCAACTGGGTTAGTATTGAACTAGCGTTTAAAAAGGGAAAAAGAACAGTGAATTTTAAAGTTGGTATGTAACTTAAAATGTGACCCCAAATCATGATCCCTGCTTGAAGAATTGGTCAAAATAAATAAAAATGGATCACATGCTCTTTAATGTCACTGTCTTGTCTGAAATCAAACCTTCAGGAATATTTATCTGAAGTCTTTTCATGTAGCTAAAGTGCAATCATCTTGGAGACTTATTTTCCAGTAACATGTCCCAGAGATAGAAATTTATCTAAATGTTATCTAAGTTCTTTATAGCCTTTGGCACATGGTGATAATGTATTAAGAAACAAAAGGGGGAAAATACTCAAAAGCTTCTTGCAATGAGAACATTTGTCACTGGTATGTGTCATGAAACGGACCTGGGCATGCAACCAAGTTAAGTAATTACACTGGTCTCAGGCCAATTTAAATTGTGTGCTATAGACCTTCTATGTAGAAAATAGTCCATAGGTTCTGCATACAAGCATCACATGCAAAAAAACGTGATATGAAAGTCTTTTGTTCCCCAAGAAGGACCTGAATGTCTGTCTGTCGACAAGACAACCTCTGTGGGTACCTCACTGACATAGTATACATGGTGAAAAAGAAAGTGTCAATTGGTTGTGATCATGATCAGTAAAAACCTATTTGGTTTATAAGCCTGGATCCAATCACACTGATATCATTCTGGACTCAACTGTCCTTTGTGGTTCAAGGACATAAGAAAACTGAAGAGAAGGCTTGCAACTTGGATGTTGAAAAGAAATTTATTGAAAGGAACACCACTTGAATAACTTTTACTACCTCCAAAAAGCAGTATGTTCTCTCTACTGGAAAAGACCTAAATACACTCAAAAAGCTTACTGGAGGATTTTTTCCTATTAATTTGAACGTCGTATAGGAACACAAAATTTGGTTAAATATTTGATAGATAAGTTTGGTATTAAAAAGTCCACTTGGTTCATTATAAATATTAAAATTAGGAACATGTGTTCTTTGTTTAAGCCTGATAAAGCTTTAGCTGAGATCATGAGTTTTCATAAAACAACTTTTCACAACACAATAATGTATTAGGTCAGGGTCTACTGCCCTCCTGCAGATTTTGCCTGATAGTATTTTCATACAAACCTCATCACTCCTGCTTTTTCTCAGATCTTCTCTGAGCTTATTTCCTAATGCAAATCTTGATTTATATCAGGGCCCTAACGTGGCTGTCCAAAATACCTCCCTCCCCCAATTTGTGTTTTATCTCAATACATTACCCAGTGGTGGCCCAGCATCTCAGAGTGCCCAACATGTAATCTTAGTCTCATAGGGATAAAGGAAAGCAACCATACCTCAGGGCATTCATCATCCCTGAAAGTCCCTCTCCCTGTCTTACCATGCTTTATGTCATCATCTGGCTCATTTATTTATTTATAAATAGCCCTCCACTCAAATAACACTCCTGAAGGGTGGGGAATTTTTCTACTTTGTTCACTCATACGGAGTAAGTGCTCAAAAATTGTGTTAAACTAATAGCATTCAGTTTTAGTAGGATTAGTTGCATTAAAAATACATCTCCTAGAATTAAGATTGCATAATATGTTACTGAATAGTTCGGCTTCTTTGAAGGTATCCTTGGCAGAGACAAGGTTAGTTCTCCCTGACTCAAGCAGAGATACTGTTTTCTCAATTCTCTTGTTCGACTAACTCCTCTCTGTTATTTATTACTGGAGACAGACAGTATCCATCACTTCTCAGATTGATGCAAGGCAGTGGTAATAAAATAAGCTACATACATCATGTAATCATATTGGTTTTATGAATCATATTTTTCTGAATTAGGGAAAATAGTTGTTTTGGTTTAAGCTGGAGAAAAATTCTGACTCATGTCAACAAATCACTGACAAGGCAAGCACTGATAAAAATAAAAAGCTTAAAGCAAGTTTTATTAGAGAAAACTTGCAACAACTCTACACAAACATTGATTAATTATAGGCTCACTTGGTCTTCTTTAAAATGAAAATACTTTTAAAGACATGACTGTATGTCAACAACTAAAGAACAGGATATATAACTAGAAAAATAGGAATATTTATTTAAAATGTTATACTGCATTGTGCTTTTTTTTAAAGATAAAAGCTATTTAAAAATGAAGCAAGCTCAATTTGTAATTAGGACACACAATTCCTCAAACTCTGTAAGTCTATTACCTTAAGTTGCCCTTACTTAAAAAATTTATTCTTATCTGAAAATTATGGCAATGTTTAAAATGTTTAAAGAAAACAGTAAATTTGTGTTATGTCCCCAATTTTTGAAATTTACATTTTATTTTCATCATACTGAAAACCTGATGCTGACCTTGGCTTCACTCCTCGAGGTGGTATGTAGAGTTCTGTGAGGTCATTGCTGTGGATATTCAGCATGCACTAACAGTGCAGATTTCCTGGTGGGTCAGGGCTGAGAGGATTGGAGAGCAACACTGAAGTGTATAACAAGAGACCAGTGCAAGCTTTGATTTGAAAGAAGGCACTAAATATGGATTCACGGCAACAAGTACTATCACATGGAACACTTAATTATTTTTCTTTCTCTCTTTACATCTTAAGCAGGCAAAGTCAACTTGCTGGAACTGGGCTAAGTTTGGGAGTGGTAAAAACAAAAAGTCATAATCATCCAGTGATTTTTAAAATTCTGGTGTGCGTCAGAATTTCCTAGAGGAATGGTTCAAAATATGATTATCTGAGCCTCATCTCAAAACTACCTAATTAGAGCCTCTCCTGAAAGAGGCTGGGCATCTGTCTTTTAAAAACCTCATTCCAGGATATTGTTCTACTTAACACTATTCAAGAGCTGTTAGTTTTGACTCACACTTACTATGTACCAAGGATCATACTAAATCACTTCAATGTACTACATTAACTAATGATCCTACAATTCTAGGATTTTGGTATTATTTTTATATCTATTTTACAGAAAAGAAAAAAAAACTTTATAACATTTCCAAAGCCATGTGACCAGTAAGTGATGAAACCAGAATCACCTGACTTCAAATCACACACTTAACTCTTATACAAACTGCCTCCAACCATATGGAGTATAGTGCCCCCTATAAATGTAGACCGTTGCTGTCTAAGTAGAACCTAGAGATATTTTACAAAATTCAGTCCCAAAATAGTGCTACTATTTTTATTTACTAACTGCAATTGATGAGGAAAGTATATGCATTGAAATTCAGTCTTTAGGACTCCGGAAGTTACACAAGGCTCTATCAGACGAAAGCCTACCAGCTATATCAAGTGCCTACTGTGTGCAACGCTTAGGAAAGTTATTCTCTGGAAGTTGTTCTTTTTTTTCCCTCAACTTTTCAATACAATGTTTGAGGGTAAAATTGCTATCTGGGGCAAAGAATTTCTGCAGATGTTACTGTTACTAGAATGTGAACAATGATTCTATGGATTTGCCACTGCTATAAATACACCAACTGGAAAGCTTTCAACTCCCAGGAAACAGGATTTGGAAAGTGAGACAGGAATACCCAGCTGAGAAGGTAATTTAGGTAGACACAATGAGAAAGCCTTAATTCCTGGCATATTTCTGTTAACAGGCAGTGTGGGAATGGCTTTATTTCACCTCTGAGAGAAATCCAAGCGATGGATTGTTTTATGAGATGCGTGTGATCACAATGAGAATTTCCAGTTTCCTAAATAGAACACTTAACAAGTGTTCGTGAAGCTTCCAGCAGGTCACACCATTTTAAATGCAGCACACATAGCTCAACACTGACTCTCTTTAATTTTGCTTTCTTTCACTATTCTTGGAGGTACAGGACTAAGGAACCCACTATGCCTCACTTAATATCATCAGGGTTTTTAGTCTTCTCACTGGTTTTCTGAAGCATGGATTTTTGCAGTTCCTAGTCAATTAATTCTTGGAGCTTCCTTTGTCACCTGGTTGATCCAGCTTTGGTAGCACTGAATTTCTCTCTAGACCATGTGTTCTTTATCAGAGACGTTCAAAACACGTTTTCTGAACAAATGATTAAGTGAATGAAAGAGTAGATGCCTCACTAAGCAGCACATCTCATACTCCCATATATTATATATGAGCAGTTCCGCCTGTCACAAAGCTCCTCCTTATGTTAGGCATGACAGTAACACGAAGTCTTCATTTGACTTTCCTCCATTAGCCATCATTCTGCCTTTGGAGAGCTCTGCAAACAATTCTTCCCCAGGACAACCATTTTAGTAGCTGAAAGAAGTTATTATGAACTCCCAAGTCCTAATTATTCTTCCACTTTCTTATCAATTTCTTAAATAATATGACCTCTAGATATATCACAATTTTGCTCCTCCTTCTGTGGAGAGAGCTTACCAATGTCGTTATTAAAAAGTGGCACTAAAAACTGAACACAATATTGCTGATGTGAACAAGTGGATGGTTCTGCATCTTAAATGGGGATTATGGCACCTCCCTTTTAAAGCTGTTACATGGAAATAGAATGATGGTCAAATGCCAAGGGCACAACAATTTAAGAGATGGGACTCAATAAATATTGGTATTTGTCTCATGTCATCATTATCATCATTACCATCACCATCATCTTCATATTACCTAAGTCTCTCACAGCCTGTATAGTTGCAGGTGTTTTTTATTTAATGTAAGTGCCACATACTACATTTGTAAATACACATACATTGTTTTTCCCTTTCAGAAAAATTTCAATACTTATTCTTTTTTTTCAATGCAAAAATAAACATCCGATGTTTTCATTAAAATATAGATTAAATATTAGCCAGGGAACAGGGGTCAACCTTGTCCTCCAACATGACATTATTCTCCAAACCATTATGTCCACTGCCCTTAGTTGCTGGTACAGTTTACCTGGCATTAGCTGATGGACTTCTGAAAATATAATTTACTTTTAATGAGTTGTGTGTGTTTCATGTTGTGGATAACCCTAAACAAATAAATGTAAAACTACAATTTGATGTCCAAAAATAAGGAAGAATGGGATTTGCCTAAAATCAGACGTTTATTAAATAACAAGGAAATAGCTTTCAGCTATATTAGGTATCTTAAAACTCTTAACATTGTTTTGAATTCACTTTGATGCGTGTCTCACTGTTAAGAAAAGTGTTAAGACAAGTGAAGAATGGTTTGATGTTAAATGGATCATGGAACACAGGAGATCATATTTAAAAGGGAGGTTTTCCTCCATTTTCAATATTTCCTAAACTTAATCTCTTAAGAGTCTTCTCAAAAGAACAATTTATGAACTCTTTAATGGAAATGCATTAAAATAAAATGTGGCCGACCTCTTCTTTCCTTGTAGCCTCAGAACACTCTATCAGTCACTACTCAGAACAAATTAGCCAATTTGGCTGTGAGTTACCCACAGTTTTTATCCCTTCACTCCAATAGCCTGGATCCCTGGACTGCCCACTCTAACCATGCAGGCGGGGGATTGTGTGTGAGAAGGAGCCATGCAAGCCACAGGGAAGAGGCTGTAAACTCCCTGAATTGGGAGCTAAAAACCCTTTGTTCGATTTGGCTCTGTATATTTTTCAAGATCATACATCTACTTATGATGCCAATGAATCAATTTCCTCATCTACAAATTAAAGGGGATATGAGACATCTTTATTTGCAAAGTCTTTCTGTCGTACAAATCCAACAGCTGTATATTTTCCTTTTCACATAATGACTTTAGCATCTCATGGACAAACATCTGTTAAGGAATGTAATTGTTTTTTCTGAAATCTCGGTGTATGGTTTGCACAAGTAAATTAAGACATTTATAACCAGTATAACCATGTATATCATTTCTAACTGGGATTATATTTTTCAGAAAAGAAACTAAACCTCAAGATTTGCATGCTAAGGCAGACAGTGATCTATAAACAGACCCGAAGGCTCTCAGTAACGCATGGGGTCTGTGGGTCCTTACTATCTGTATTAGTCTGTTCTCATGCTACTAATAAAGACATACCCGAGACTGGGTAATTTACAAAGAAAAGAGGTTTAATTGACTCACAGTTCTGCAGGGCTGTGGAGGCCTTAGGAAACTTATAATCATGGCAGAAAGGGACGCAAATACATCCTTCTTCACATGGTGGCATAAAGGAGAAGTGCCGAGTAAAAGCGGGAAAAGCCCCTTATAAAACCATCAGATCTTGTGAGAACTCACTATCACAAGAACAGCATGGAGGTAGCCACCCCCATGATTCAATTACCTCCCACTGAGTCCCTCCCATGACACGTGGGGACTATGGGAACTACAATTCAAGATAAGATTTGGGTGGGAACACAACCAAGCCGTATCACCATCCATGTAACAAATCACCTGAGATACTAGTATGTAAAGTATTTTCCACTCATTTAATCAATTCACAAGCATTTATTAAACCTCTACTGTCTGATTCAACTAAGAAATTCTGCTGTCACTCATTAGTCAACTTAGGGTATGCTGGTGAATCTCTAAGCAAATGGAAAGGCCTATGATGACTCTCACTAGAATTGACATAGCAATTATTCACAAAGTTCACATATTTTTAGCAGTAAGTCAGTTTCTTTGACCTTTTTTACCCATATTATACTGCACTGGATGAGCTTAAGAAAAGATTATATCAGTAATAATTTTAGGAAGGCTGCTGTGTGGTTTTGCATAGTAAGAAACGAGTTTTCCAGGTATCCCTGGGTTCATCAGCTAAACTTCTTGAATCAGAAAACTAATTTATTAACCTTTCTTTTTTTCATTCCATGGAACCACCCCAATATCTTCAACTCAGTAGGTAATCCATATATAATTTTTGAAGGAAAAGGACACCATAATTTTCTCACATTTAATGCCTTCACAAGCTGGGCAGTGTGGTTCACACCTGTAATCCCAGTGCTTTGGGAGGCCATGGTAGGAGGATTGCTTGAGGCCAGGAGTTCAAGGCCAGCTGGGCTACATAGAGAGACCTCATCTCTACAAAAGGTTAAAAAAAAAAAAAAAAAAAAAAAAATTAGATGGGCATGGTGGTGCACACCTTTAGTACCAGCAAGTCAGGAGTCCGAGGCAGGAGGGTCACTTGAGCTCAGGAGTCTGATGCTGCAGGGAGCTGTGATGACATCACTGCATTTCAGCCTGGGTGACAGACCAAGACCCTATCTCTAAAAATAATGATAATGATAATAACAAAAATAATAATGCCTTCACAAGTATCTATAAAACCAAGTTTGAACACTACCAATTTAATAAGAAATAAGATGATTATAATAAATGCCACTTATATAGTGCCTACCACCATTTATTGGGTAACACACACACACACACACACACACACACACCACACACACCCCACACACAGAATCTCATTTAATCCTTAGAGCAACTCTCTCTGGTAGGTTTTATAATTCATATTTAAAGATAAATAGAGACATATTTAGCGTTGTTCAGAAAAGAAGAGGCATATTCCATTTCATTTTTGCTAAAATTTTAGTTCAATAATTTTTATAATTTAAAATTGAAGGATTATATAACACTTAAACTAATGATGGACAGAGATTACTGACAGAAGGTAGGAGCATTTACAGAAATATTCTTATTTGTAAAGCAACATCACATAGGCAACTATAATGCTTTTGTTCTCGAGCTTCCAGTGTCTTTATCATAGAAAAATTACAAGATTGATAATAATTTTTCTTAAATGGCTGTGAAGACTGACATCCATTGCAGTGTTTCCTTGATAAATAATCATCCTGGATTCTGTCAATATTTCCCTTTCATAATTTGATATACAAATGGATGTAACTTAAGACTTTAAGACACTATTACTGTCCATAAAAAGCTCACAGGTCTTGCAAATAGAATTGTCATGTCTGAATCTCAAATTATTTCTTCACCTGGTTTTTAAAAAAGGTCAATTTCCTTAGCTAAAAATAACTGAGTGATTAATCTATTCAACATAAAACAAATCTGGATTCTGACTTACTTGCCCATCCTAACTTCTTTTTTCAATCCCCAATTTAAATTTCTATTAACACTCATTCCGTAAATATTTGTCTGGCAAAATTCAAGTACCAGGAAACAGCATAATGCAAAATTAACAGAGTAGCACTATAAAGAAGCATATGACCCAAACAGCTGCAACTCAATGATTATCTGTCCCAATGCCCAGTTCCTAAGGGGGGAAATACAACAAAAACAAACCCTCCTACCCAAACGGCTTCCGAGAGTGTTTAACTAGATCCTAAATCCATTGCTGAGATTTAGAAATATTTTTAAATGTTTAAGGGATATGAAGTGATGCCAGAAAACTCAGTCTCTTATCAAGGTATCTATTTCACTTATGAATAGATAGGAAACTAGTATGAGAAAGGTGTTTCAGGAGTTTAATTGTAAAAAAATTATAAGAATTTTTTAAAGTCTGTACAAAATTTTGCTTATTTCCGTGCATACTTAACTTATAAATAGAGTTACTATGCCATTTATATTCCAAATTGCAATGCTTAGCAAGTTAAAGGTGGGGGGGGGGCTGTTAACAATTACAGTATGTGTAAACCAAGATTGTCTCATGAAAAATGCGGCATATAGTCACCCTACTTATAAATAAATTTATGTAAAAAGGTGATGGAGATATTCTAAACAGAAATCCACGAGATTGAAATATGATGAGGTAAAAGGAATTAGTGAAGAGCTTTTAACTTTTAGATCGATACTGGGTTAAAAGTAGAGGTAGCATGAATTGATACTCTAAGTGAGAAGGTAAGAAGGGCTTACATTTTTAAAGAGGGGAAACGCTCACAAAAGTCAAGGAGTGGGAATTATACCTGGTTTTGAACAGACAACTATAAAATGGGGTTCAAATAAAGATGGGGCTATTTCAGAGGCACTTCCTAAACCAACATGGCAAGATTATTTAAATTTCCTGTTGTACACTTAAACAGGATCAAACATTCCATTTCTTTCCTAACTCAGAAGTATTCTTCCCCTTGTTATCACTACGAAGGGAAATGTCATAGATTCCTGCTCTAAATATGATTCAAAGTGAAGTAGCTCATTTGTTTATTAAAAATGTAGGGTTTTAGTCTCCACAAAGTGGCAATTTTGTTCATCCACTGGGGAGAATTAAGTTATTAGTTTCTCTCCCTCTCTCCCTTCCTTTCCCTTCCCTTCCTTCTTCCCTCCCTGTCTTTCTCTCTCTCTTTTATTCAGAGGCATCAATGTCTCAAATCTTAAGTTTATCAGGAACATACTACTTTTGATTCCCCACAAAGGTTGCATCTTGACAAGTTCTTGGTTGAACTAGAAATGTCGCAGTAGCATGTTTTGCTATTAAAGCACACCTGGAGGAAAAGAACATCCTCTGATGGTGCAGCTGTTTCCAGATGACCTCCTTGCAGTGCAACAACCAAATGACTGCAAAGATGATGTGGCTGAGATATGGCCCTGGATCTCTCCTCTCCATGTGCCCTTCTGTATCCTAACAGCACTTCCACACTCTCTTCTCCAAGGAATCCCCACCACATCCCTTCTCACTCTTTCCTTAATAATGATCCAATTTATTTATGTGAAGGCCCACTTCCTCCCCACAGACAGAGTCTGTAGAGAAAAAAAAAAACTACAATTAATTCCTTATAGGGAAAACAACTTGTATTTTCTCTTTTATGACCAGAAAAATAGCAGACAGTTTTCCTTGTGAGGCTTCAGATTGATGCTCAATGATGTAGAAAGAGCATAACTCTGCCAGCCCTAGTAAGTGCCATGAAAATACTTGACCTTTTGAGGTAGGGCAGGAAGAGAATGTTTCTTGAGAGGGCTGCCAGGCCCCTGAAACCAGGAAAAAGTCCCAGCCTGGCCCAGGGAGCTGCTTTTCCCTTGCAAACCAGTGGAGCAGATAAATAACTGGGCTAATGATATCCCTGAGAAAGGCTAGGCATAATGACTACATTTTCTAGAAACTCATTATTCAATTTATGAGCAACCTAAGCATATAAGAAGGCTGCACCTTTTCATATTTTGTATCTCATTGTTATATTACATGTTATATTATAATACCATTAAAAAATTGGGTCAGTTTCTTTCAGATCCAGTCTTAAAACCTGAATCAATATAATAGGTGTTTGATTTCAGTCATAAAAAATAAGCATCTCTTGGGCCGGGCGCACGCCTGTAATCTCAGCACTTTGGGAGGCCAAGACGGGTGGATCACAAGGTCAGGAGATGGAGACCATGCCGGCTAACATGGTGAAACCCTGTCTCTACTAAAAATACAAAAAAAAAAAAAAAAAAAAAAAAAAAGTAGCTGAGCGTGGTGGCAGGTGCCTGTAGTCCCAGCTACTTGGGACTGATATTCGATATTTCTTTAAGTTTCACTATCCTTTATAGGTTACCTAGAATGGGTAAAAAGGTAAAATGCACATTAATGTACACATGAGAGTTCACTGCTGGGCCTCCATAATGTCAAGAAGCATGAGCTGCCTTCTTCACACGCCCACAGGGAAAGTCAGCAACTCACCTGTCCTGAGCTGACTGACAAGCAGATCTACTGCACCTTCTATCAGCAGCTGTGCAATCTGTACAGTGGTGAAACTGAGGATATCTTGTCTGGATTTTTCAGACAGGCCTAGGTAGCAAAACTATAGGACTCACTCATTTGCACCAGCCTCTTCGAACTCAGAGCTAGGGACCGCAGCGTGGAAAAGGCTACTGGGGTGCCTGCCCATACTCTCTGTTTTCTGTTTACCCCTTATTTTGTACTTGTCTTTGCCTGTGCTGCTAAACCTCCTACTTTTGGTACAGTGCACTATGTAAATCAAGAGAACAGATCTCCTGGCCAAGACCACCTCATAATATAGATTAGAGGAAAGATCAAAAATAGTCATAGCTTTTGAAACCACAGTGCTTCTATTTGAAAGGCTCCAATAAGCAGCAGGGAAGAGATAAAAAAAAAAATGGTGAAGAAAGGGAACATCAGAGAGTTATCTTACTGTTAAAAACCTTTCTTCTCTGCCTTGGTCTTTTCTTGTCACAGCCCACTCATTTTGCTTCCCCACCTTCCTTCTTAACTATCCTCTTCCTCTCTTTCTCTTTCTAACTTTCGAACTGCCAAGAGTTAAAGGAAAAGGTGGTCCCCTTGTCCAAAATGAAGAGATGAAACAAATTTCTGGTACTGATCAATGGTTATGGTCATCACTACTATGGGCTACTAATGGTTCTTGACAGCCTAGTAATGACTTGCATATTTAAAGAGGACTCCTTTCAGTCACTTCCAGGAGGGCCTGTGTTTTAAGTATTCTCTTAATCTAATCTGTTTGATCCATTTAAATTGACGATGTAAATTTAAAGATGATTGTGTGGAAACAAGAGAAGGATCCTAACCAGACTGCAGAGGTATTGATCCCAAGGTCAGGGCTCATTAGTAGAAATTGCTAATGGTCCAAGTAATCTTCCAAGCTCACTGTACAATATTAGGTCCTCCATAGGAAACAAAACATTACTTTTGTGTAAAACAACTTGTAACAACAATAGTAATACAATATACCTATTTTAAAAAGAAAAGAAACTACTTACAATTCTACTACTGTCTTAAATTATATAATTTTAATTTATTCCCTTTCAATCTTTCTCATATGCATGTTATACATTTGAAACCTATAATGCACAAATAATTGTATGCCCTGCTCCTTCTTAAATGATAATTACATTTCTAATTTGATAGTCTTCATAGTTTTTAAAAGTTGCATGATTCCATTGAATGACATACAATTCACATGAACATTCCACTGTTACAATACTGGACCTTTGAATTGTTTTGAAAGAACTCTGTGAAGTATGTTTGTGCATATGACATTTTAACATTTCACATTATTCCCCTAGAATAAAGTCCCAAAAGAGGCATTATGTGTCAAAGGAAATAACTGTTTCATGACACTTAATACATGTTGCCAAATTTCGCAGCATAGCTTTTTAAAAAACGTTGTGAGCATGTTCTTTCTGCAAATCACTTTGCTAGACTGTGAGGCACAAATGAATGAGTTTAAAATACAGTGCTTCACCGTGGAATACTATGCAACCATAAAAAAAAACATGTTCTTTGCAGCAACATGGATGCAGCTGGAGGTCATTATCTTCAGTGAATTAATGCAGGAACAGAAAATCAAATACTGCATGTTATCACATATAACTAGGAGCTAAACATTGGGTACACATGGACATAAAGATGAGAATAATACGACACTGGGGACTCCAAAAGGAGGGAGGGAGAAAAGGGCTGAACAACTACCTATTGGATACTATGGTCCCTACCTGGGTGATGGGATCAGTCATACCCCAAACCTTAGCATCATGCAATATACCCATGTAACAAACCTGCACATGTACCCCATGAATCTAAAATAAAAGCTGAAATTATTTAATAAATAAGTAAATAAATACATGCAGAAATAAAACTGAAAAAAAAATACAGTATTTGCCCTGAAAATCATATAATACAGTTGGGGAAATAAGACATACACATGTGAAAAGAGAACTAACAATACCAACCACAGGAATTCAGAGAAGAAAGAAAAAGAGCATATTTAGCAGAAGAGGGTAAAGAGTTAGACTTTTGGGATATTCTGAGGTTTGGATGAGTTGAGGTAGAAACTATTCAGGTCGATAAATAGAGTAAAAAGAAAAGAAATTAACCATTCCAAGGAATTTTCTGTGACTTAAAAGCACTATGTGATTAAATTTAATGTATTATCCTGGTCCACATAGACTCCCCAAGGATCTTTCCATTATTAGTAATAGTTATTCTTTCACCTTTGTCCTTGAAACATCGACTTCCCCCGTTCCATTTGATGTGATACTGTGGAGGTTTATCTCCTCTGCCTCTAATCAGTCCTTAACTTCTTTCTTTTAAATTCATCTTCCTCCAACCACCACCATGAGAACATTTCTCAAAGTTCTCCTGCAGTTTTCTCCTTCTTTATATATTTCTGTAGGTAATGTCACCTGATGACTTAGCTCTTGTCATTACTTCTTGCTGCGAATCCCCCAATCTCTATTTTCAGCTCTCAATTCTCATTTTTGTTCGCATACATACATTTTCCACTGCCTCTTACAGCAGTTTAAACTAGATATCCCAAACTGAACTCTTTCTGTGGTCTCTAGATAATCTGAAAGCACCACAGTTCGCAAGCGTGTCATCTTTCAGGTCTCTTTCATCTTCATAGCTCACACTGAATCAGTTTCCAAATTTGGTCCCAGCTTCCCAGTGACTTCCAATTTCCTCCTATTGTAGGTGATCAAAATCTCCCACCTGGACTATTGCAAGGGCTCCCCCATCTGATCTGCTTGCCTCCAGCTTCAGCCCCTTCAATCTGTGGTCTACACCATTACCAGTTGCCTTTTAAGAGCACAGAGTAGATTATGTCACTTGTCTGCCCAAGGACTTCCAGCAACTCTAGAAAACCAGCAAAGCCCAATCCAGACACATTAATGTATCCCTCCTGGTCCCTTATGGTTTCAACTCACACTACTTCTCTATTTTCATCTCCTCACACTACAACCTCACACACACACACACACACACACACACACACACACACACACGCACTGGACTATTTAAAATTCACTGAAAACAGACAAACTTTCACTCGGCCAAACCTTTATTCCTGCAGTTTCCCTTGAATGAATACTCTCATATTCTCTGGCCCATTGAAACCTTACGCAACCGTTAGGTCCAACCAAATGTTATCAGTTCCAACAATCCTTCCCAGACCTCTGTCTCCACAATCTGAAGTACTATTAACTTCCTGTATTTTACAGCACTGAATGGTTAATTTTCTTGCTGCCTGTGCAACTACAATGTTCCCTTTCTGGAGGCCAAGTTAATAAATTCAATACATCCAAGTGTGTTTAAATTTTTTAATCTCTTTGGCCAAGGGCTGAACTTCCTCTTGCTGTTTGTTAAATGGCTATTGGAAGATCTCTTGCTAAACCTGAAAGTATTTAAGATGTTCAACAGAATCCTCATTCACAGATGTGAGGAAGAATAAGAGATGGAAAGAGAAAAGGATTTAAGTTACTAATGATTTTTCTTTCCAATCAGCCCTATGACGTATCTTCAAAACCAGGCCAAGAATTCTCATCACTTGTCATGACGAGTCCCTTAGCAAGGATAGGGTGCTGCACATTCAAGTTCTTGTTTTAGGCTCTTGCTCCCATCCCAGGCCCTTGCTTAGGTTTAAAGTGAGAGCTTTAAGCAGGGAAGACTCCCAGGTTGCAAGTATTCCTCAATCCCATCCCACTGCATGTGATGCTGACTGGAGTCCTGGCACGCTGTCACAGATCCTAGCATAAAAATAACCTGAGGTAGGATAGAGGGGAAAGAGAGGAAGGGAATTTATGACCAACCCTCCAGCTTTATTTATCACTTACCCTGGGAAAGTACTATGTAATAAAAAGGGGGGGAAAAACAAGACAGCCAAGCTATTTAAAGAGCAGGAGCTGAAACTTCAGAAGCATAAACTAATGTTTCTAACTAAAAACGGGTGTGGAGCTTAAAACTTTTCAAAAAGTAGATGCTAGATGCATATCTTAATAAAAATGAATTTTAAATAATATTTTTGAATGGACTATCCTACGCTATTTATTAGGACTAATGGTTATTCCCAAGACCCGTTCTAACTTCTGATCATTAGAAGGTACCATATTTTTCCATTTGCATAGTAGAGGCAGGATGATAGTATATGTTTTTGTCTGAAGTGAGACTATTAAAGGAAACACATTAAAATGATGAGGATAAATGGTCATGTGTCATCAAGGCCAGTCCTTCCTGCCATTCTTTAAGCTGAATTCCCATAAAATTTAGTTTTACCTCTTTGAAAACTATGTGTGTTGTTGGACTAAACGTAAGAAAAGAACAAAACCAACCAGTGAATAATAAAGGCAATGTCTAAGGCTGACTACATTTGGTATATTAAAATAAAGTAGAAAACTGGAAATACAAGAGTAGTATTCCTTTATGTTTTCTAATTAGTCATTTCTGATGTTTTCCCTGAATTTACACATCAGTCCATTATTCCAAGCAGGGACACACACACACCCATCAATAAATTACTATTATAAAGAGAGGTAATTGTCTATATACAAAATAAATATACTACTAGTTGCTTATAGTTGCAAAGGTAAATGTGGAAATTCTCTTCATTTTACCAATTACCAGCTCATAAAGGAAAAATAAAGTTAAAATATATTCTCTTTTTGCACAGACTGCTAAATAATTGACTGATCATGATTAATCAAGTAAATTGAGGCATTCTGGAAAAATGACAAATGGCAAGATTTACTGCCTCTGGAATCTACGGCATTTGCTAAATATAACTTGCTTGTAACTACAGATAAATATCTAATCTAATACAATCGAGTTACCTGCAAACCAGAGCCACATACAAAATTGAATGAATAAAAACGTCTCAAAAGACAATAAATACTTTCTTTCTTCCAAATGAAATAAAATCTTATGATAGGTTTTGAGGAGTACACGTAGATGCTAGGAGCATCAGCTTTGCAGGCCTGCAGACAAGGGTTCAAATCTTGGCTCTAAGCCTCTGATTCCTACCTAGGAAAATGAGGGTGATATTATCTATGGTATGAGATTGTTATAAGAATTTATTGAGATAATTCAGTAATTGCCATATAGTGTGCTAAGCTTAGTGTCTGGCACATAATACATTATCAATAAATGTGTCTTATCATTACTATTGTCATTATTTATTACCACTAGTGAGAGGCTAGAAAGTGAAAAGTCTAACCAATGCTTTTAACTTCATTTTCTACAGAATATTCATAGAATATTCATAGAATCATAAAACACACACACATAATGCCTACTATATTTGGTACTTGTCTGTATTCACTTCTATGACCCACTTTAATGTATATGCAACCCTACAGTAAAGAACACTCCCGGGAGAATAAAAAAGTGCCCTTTATATTAGCAAAATTTTATGTGAGTTAACTGCATAAAATAGGATGAGTTTTGTACTAAAACTCATCAATTATTTTTCATTAGGGTGGCTTTTTATTTATTTATTTTATTTTATGTTTATTTTTTTTTTGAGACGGAGTCTCGCTCTGTCGCCCAGGCTAGGGTGCAATGGTGCGATCTCGGCTCACTGCAACCTCTGCCTCCCGGGTTCAAGCGATTCTCCTGCCTTAGCCTACCGAGTAGCTGGGATTACAGGCGGCCACCACTGTGCCCATCTAATTTTTGTATTTTTAGTAGAGACAGGGTTTTGCCAGTTGGCCAGGCTGGTTTTGAACTCCTGACCTCAGGTGATCCATCAGCCTTGGCCTCCCAAAGTGCTGGGATTACAGGCGTGAGCCACCGTGACCGGCCTAGGATGGCTTTTCTAAATATTTTCGTCTATGATAATTTTTCTCTCCATGTATTTATTTATTTTCAGACAGTTTGAGGTTACAGTGAGCTATGATCGCACTGTCTGGAGTGCAGTGGTGTGATCACAGTTCACTGTAACCTCAAACTCCTTGGCTCAAGTGATCCTCCCACCTCAGCCTCCCTAAGTGTTGGGACTATAGGCATCAGCCATAGTGCCTGGCAGTGAGTTTTCTAAACAGAGATTTACTAAAAGGCTTGTGTAGTGACTTGGCAACACCGTAAGTATTTTATTTCTAAACTTTGAATGCCTTTCTAAATGTCACAGGCTAGGTCTACGTAATTCCCTTTACAGCACCACATGCAATTGGCTGTTTAGAAAATGCTTTTTGAGGATGGTGAAGAGCTCTGTTTTTCATTAAGTGGCTTTGAACTTTGAGACTGCAAGTCCTGACTCTGGATTTACCCTTTACTTCACTACATAATTCAATTCAAACAGTCAAATGATATCCTCTTTCTGCAACATGTGTGTGGGGGGAGGACGGGGGCGGGGGGCGGTGTTTCCCCTTACTTATGTATCTTTATCCCGTGAGTTCATTTTAATGAAAGAACTCCAGTCTTCCCTCAACTTCCTTATTCTGACCTTGTGCTCTAGTACTAAGTAGTGACGCCAGGGAGAAAAAAGGCTGGTGAGCCAAAAATGGCTTAGGAACATAATTCTCTACCAAGCTGCAGAAAATAAATGACAGGGTTGGCTGAAATCCAAAGGTCAAATATATACAGGCTTTCTTATGGGAAAGGAATGTCAAACCTGTTTAAAAATCCTGTGAAGTGAGTTTATAATCCCTGACTACCAAAATTAACCATCCAGCTGAATCATTTTAATATTTCCGTGAATAAAGTAGATTGATTAGCTTTTCCAGAGTTATGTGTTATCAGATAAACAAACCAATATATTTTAAATAAATCCTTTTGACCCAAATGGCATGGTGGAGCACAAAATGCTTAAAAGATGCCCTCTGGACCTCCTAAGGTTTTTCATAGGAAAAGTAAATTAGCTAGACTATTTTCCTTTCTGCACAATGCAATACAAGCTGAAATAAAAATGTAGCTTTCTCTTCCTTAGTCTTCTTTTTTAATGCTTCTGAATTATGTTAGAATTTTAGAGCTTCCAACTGGATTAAAAATTGATTCAGCAGAATGGTAAATTACGAAAAAAAATCTCTTAACGAAAATACTTGTTGCACTCAGTTAAAACTGTCTTTTAGGCCGGGTGCGGTGGCTCACGCCTATAATCCCAGCACTTTGGGAGGCCAAGGCGGGCGGATCACGACGTCAGGAGATCGAGACCATCCTGGCTAACACGGTGAAACTTCGTCTCTACTAAAAATACGAAAAATTTGCCAGGTGTGGTGGCATGTGCCTGTAGTCCCAGTTACTCGGGAGGTTGAGGCAGGAGAATCCCTTGAACCCGGGAGGTGGAGGTTGCAGTGGGCCGAGATCGCACCACTGCACTCCAGCCTGGGCAAGAGAGCGAGACTCCGTCTCAAAAAAAAAAAAAAAAGAAAAGAAAAAAAAAAAGAAAAAAGTGTCTTTTATTCCCAAGCTAGCATAAGAATGTTGAGGTAACCAATGTTATTGGGGAAAAATCTGAATTCTATTCATTTTATTCAAGACCTAGGTATCCCATTGAGCTTATTCTACTTTGTGGTAGAAAATATATATATTTTTCTAACTCTCATATCTTCTTAATAGTATAAACAAGAATAAATAAAACAATTTCAATTTTAAGAGTCTCCTTATCATTATTGTAGCATACCATCACTTGTCCCCTATTAGTTTGGAGTCAGTAATCATCACACAAAAAATATCAATATGGGCTGGGCGCAGTAGCTCACGCCAGTAATCCCAGCACTTTGGGAGCTAAGGCGGGTGGATCTCTTGAGGTCAGGGGTTTGAGACCAGCCGGACCAACATGGTGAAACCCTGTTTGTACTAAAAATACAAAATTAGCCGGACATGGTGGTGCACACCTGTAATCTCAGCTACTTGGGAGGCTGAGGCAGGCGAATCACTTGAACCTGGGTGACAGAGGTTGCAGTGAGCCGAGATGGCACCATTGCATTCAGCCTGGGCAACAAGAGAGAAACTCCATCTCAAAAACAACAACAACAAAAAAACAATCAATATGCATTATCATGTATATCCATTTTGTTGCAACATCATCAACATATCTATAGAAACATAAGTGTTAGAATTAGCTAAAAGGAGCCTTAGAGACTATCCACCTGCCTTGTTTCTGAAGTAAATAAAATGAGGTTTAGAGAAGTTAGTGATTTTCTCTGCATTCCAGTCCAATGTGATGTTATCAATGGAGGAAAGAAAAAGTACCATGTACTGAATATTGTATTAGGCTTTTGATGACTTTTAGCCCAGTCAAATACTCAACGATTTAATACCAAAGGCATAACCATTTCAGTTTTATATAGACATGACTTAAGTGTAGTTTAAGGCCATATATCTGGACAATGACAATATTTTTTACAGCCAATGCATATTTTTGAAATCACACTAGAAAATGAAATGTATTAATACAATTTGGATAATATATATGTGCATTAAAATTCTTAAAAGCTTATTTTATTGGTACCAGTAATAAAATCATTATCTGTGATTCTACCCTGGAGAAGGAAGAAGGGTATGTCCTGCAATGCACTAAAAGGGCAGGAATCATGCCCTTAAAATGTCCTGAAAACATTTTTTTCAGCCATAAATATGAATAACCAAAGTTGAGGGTTACGCACTAATGGCAAAATTATCAGATCATTGATCAAATGACGTGCTATTTTCAGGCAGGCAATACCATAATAGCAAAGCAAAGAGAAATCTAATTTGCATCTGGGACATTTAAAATAAATATATTAAAGAAGAACTGTTGAGCCAGTCCCTCGGCCATACTGCTCTCATTCTCAGCCTAAAACTAGTCCCTCAGCCTTTAGGGG
Source organism: Homo sapiens (assembly GCF_000001405.40). Taxonomy (NCBI): domain Eukaryota; kingdom Metazoa; phylum Chordata; class Mammalia; order Primates; family Hominidae; genus Homo; species Homo sapiens. The sequence continues at coordinate 40,334,892 of NC_000002.12, forward strand.
GTGAGGGGGCAGCAGTAGGCTTCATGTCACCTACCACTGTCCTTGTCTTCCCCCTAACCTGTACCAAGGCCTTCAGTAAATTCGGTCATCCCTGCTTTAGCCAAAAAGCCAAAAACTCTACTGATATCAACTCATGGATCTCATTCTCCAAAGAGGTCATTAGTGCTCCCATTTTGTAAACAGTCATATTGTGAATCCCAAATGAATTTCCTGCTAAGATAAATAGATATAGGGAAATAGTTTTGGATATGGATATGATATAGATATACAATATCCGTATATTATTTTCCTACAATTATCATACTACAACTGGCTTTCTTTTCTATCATTTTAGAAATTTAAATAATGTAAAGACAAAGCAAATAGATGTATGCCCATAAAGTTTAGCAATGTGCTCATATATTTTTCTAATTTCCTAGAATATCAAAATATGAAGAAGCACTGAAAGAAGAAACATCTACCATATATTGATGTATTTCAAATTCAGATATGGCTTCATCTGGAAAGCACACTCCCTGTAATTAAGCAAAAGTGGTTAGTCTATAACCATAATTAAATTTATATTGTGTTGTCAAGTTAAAACTGTGAATACTGTGTACAACCAGGAAAACTGGATGGGAATGACTGACTTAATAAACTAACTTCTTTTAAGAAATACAATGAACATAGCTTCCTTTCCCTTAATTGTATTTTTAAAAATCATGTGAATAATACAAAAATATCTATGCTACAATATGACAGCCCTAAAAGAACAGAAATGGGTGTTTTCCATGGCCCACAGGGCCAGTCTAGGAACAGCCCTTTGCTACAAACTACATAGATCATGAAACTGACAAGTGATTGAAATAAGGTAATCCTTTTATTAACAGGAAATGAATGTGTTTTGAGGCTCTGCCTTTGTCATGATTATCTGGCTCTATGTGAATACAGGCTCTTTGGGAACCTGATCCAATTTATATCAGTGGAATGAGCCTATCAGAGAAATTCAAGAAAGAGATAAGTGAATTAAGTTTAGAAAGCACTACACTGCTAGTTGGTATATGAACCAAGTACTAGAAAGTCAGTGGGGAGAAAGGAAAAGTCCATGAAGTGGGTAATGCTAGAGCTACACCTCAAACAAGTTGGTATTTACAAGGCAGACAAGATAGGGTGGCATAGTTCCTTATGATGTCATGCCATGACTTAAAAACGAAATCCCTGCCAGTGGTGAAGAGCAAATGGCTGTTCTCTACAATGCTCCATTCCCCTCTAATCTCAAGGATGAATTTGGCCATCCTAATTCCACTTTATGTGGTACCTTAAAGACATCTGAGCATCACTGGTACAGCAACTATCATATTGCATTGTAATTGCCTGTCCTTCACTTGAAGGTGGGAAACATATTTATATCACACTGTACCAATGTCCAGTATATCTTATACACTCAAATGAGTAAACAAATTAATGAATGAATAAGGATTTAACCAAGACAACAAAGGCCTTGCAGGGGCCTCTCTTGTCTGCAATTCATCATAATGTCCACTAAAAATCTCAGAATATCCATTTTATACATGGTCAGGCCTCGGTACTCCTGAGAGGCCTAAACTAGTACAGAGGGCTCCTCAAGAGTTCCAGATAAATCTTATTTAACCATAAGGCTCTTTTCTGAAAAAATAGTGTCACATCCCTTAGGGAAGTTATCTAAACTGACCTTTTCCCCTGGGAATCCTCCAGTCATTGGTCTAGGCTTCATTTCTGAAGATGCTATGATAGGCTATCATAGATATAGACTGTTAAGTTCACTTTCGTTCACAAAAATACAGGCATGAACCTCTGTGTACTGCCAGCATGTTCCGCTTTAGGATGCCTTAATATTTTTATTCATGTTTTCTTTTTTCATGAAAAAAATAATAAAGTCCATGGTAATATTATAGACTGTGGTGTCAGAGATGTCACATGGAATCTTGACTCTGCCACTTTCTGTTTAACTCTGGGTGAATTAACTCCCTGAGCCACAGTTTCCTAACCTGGAAAATGGGGATAATAATGCTTACTTTATAGAGGTGGTGAATATAAAATAAGATGCACCTGGCATAATGTACCAAATTGATATTCAGTAACTAGCATCCTTAAAGATGCCTAAGAAGATATGAACCTCTTTGTAATGCACTTCTAGAAGCCAACCAATTTTTCTCAACATGGTTGGAAACAAGGCAAATGTTGCTTCTTTTTACATATAAGCATGATAATTGTGTAAGCGTTTTAACTAATGTGCTGACCATAGTTTACAGTGCTGTGTAAGTTCAAAAATGTCAAACACATTTTTTAAGAATGGGGGAAGTAAATACATTCACTGTTTTGAAATGGTATTTTGATATTTATACATCAAATGTAGTATTTTCTTAGGTATAAAATTTTAGTATGTTTATGCATCATCATAAACAGTGATATTGTTTTGTAAATATCATACTACTACTCAAGACAGCTCAGTCGTACAGAGTAGTTTTATTTTCTCACCCGAGGACCCTAAATTCTATAAACTTTAAGAAAGTACCTGATTCTACAGGGAACCCATGAAGGAAGTCAGGTAAAAAAAGGAAAAGCAAGAAAAACAACAAACCACTCACCTCCATAGCGCACTCAGCAATGCAATGGTAGTTAGCAGATCCAATTACCAGCTACTCAGTGGCACTCAATGGTATTACTTGGTATGGATTCATCTCCTTATTTTCTGTTTTGCTTTTCTCTGTATACTTTAACCACAATCTCCTAAACCTTTCCCCCTAGGTTTCCATTCCATTTATTTTCTTGTGAGTTACACTCCTATATTCCTACTTATGTCCCTAGGAAAATGCAAAATAATTCCTTCTATTCATGGAGAAATATACTATCCTGATGATTCTATGAAGTTTTCTTATTTCAGTTATTGTACATCTTCCGAAGTACAGGATAAACATTACATTCCTTGATTCTTCTTTTTCACTGTCAGTTCTACCTACTATTTAATAATACTAAATCATGTAAGTTAGATGTCTTACTAGTATTTAGTTCAAAAAGTCATTTTGAGGTGTGAATATAGAGGAAAGGGTGTTGAGGCAGAGAGAGAGACAGCAATATGGACAACATCACCCAGCTCAGGAAGCAAAGGCAGCATCTGAACTTAGGAAATAATGAGGGTCTGAAAGTGCTCTGTCTTAAGTTTCTCTCTATCTCTCTCTCTCTCCCTCCCATCTCCCTCTTCTCCCTCTCCCTCTCTCTCTCCCTTTATCCAATAAGGCTACAATTCAGCCAGTAGATAATCGTAGTGGGGTAGCATCATGCATCTTTTTCAGAAGACAGAGATCTTCAAGGATTCATAGCAAGAGAAGCCTGGACATCCTGCCTGTAAGACAAGTCTTGACATATATCAAAATAAATTTGGCACCTGGTTTTACTAATCTGTAAACAAAAACAAACAACAGTGTGTGTGTGTATATATGTCTGCATGTATACATACATGTGTATGACTGTGTGTGTATGCCTTAAAGCTTCTTTTCTATAACTGGGTAATAGGGAATGAATACCAGCTATTCTGAGAACTCTGAGCCTGCTGATTGAAGATTACTCTGAGATAAAATGCAGCACAAGTCAACCCTCCTGGCCCACAAACCATGGTCTTTGATTTTATTTCTGCTCTGTAAACATCCTCATATGGCATCTGACCCTACTGAAATCATTCAACAAATACAAGTCAATGATTACTGAGACTAAGCAAAATCAACAAGACTATAGGTATGTTTTTCATCCATAAGTGACAACAAAACAAGTTGTGTCATAAAGAAGTCACTAGGGATGATTCTTCCTTTGAAATTAGATGGCAATTATCTTCCATAATTGGATTTTCTTCTTTTAGAAATTTCCTAATAGATCCTGAAAGGTATCATATGTATTACAGGAATTCAGTAAAATGCTACGTTAATTACACATAGCTGTGACTTGAAATATTTGAAAACAGCGTGCTGTATCTTATATGAGAACAACTAAACTAAAAATCAGAAATTAAAATTTAAGTTACAAATTAGCATATAATCTACCAGAGTCTCTCCAAGCCACAGACAGTGAACTTCCCTGGAAAGCGAAGTGTTGGCCTCAGATGATGGGCTGCTCTGTGCTATTGTGTCAATAAAAATAAGACAACCCACAACTCAGATCACATAAACCTAGGATCTGTCTGATTTTCAAGAACCAAGATGATTGATATTACTAAACAAATACCCACTACGCGCCTCTGGCTTCTTCTCTCATGTTTCTTTTAGTTCTTAGTAAGCATTGAAATGATAGGTTATTCATTCCTAAGATGTCATTATCTGTAGCAACCACTGTCTTGCAGCCTGCATATGCTTCATGTCAGATCAGAGTATTCTGTTTAAAGATGACCAGTGATTAGATAAAGGTAATGTGCATTCTCTCATTACCTCTCATCTAGATAGCGGCAGGAGGAAAGGATATCAGAAGGCAGCAGCACTGTGAGCCTCTCTGATGAGCAGTGGCAATCCAGTTACAGAGAAGTTGAGGGCTCTCTAAAGTGAGGCAGTGCCAGAATTCACTTTACCATTTTTATGTACACTTGGTTTTAGAACTTGTTCTAGAAACATATATTCTACCATTTTCACTGTACCAGATTGTGAAAAGATAGTAACTGAAGTACAAAGTAAATAAGTATATACATGTATGAAAAACTGCTCAGTAAATATTAACTAATATAGGTTATGAAATAGAATGCAATTTATGATTCCATTGTCAATATCACCAATGAATGTCTCACACATGCATAGGAAAATTTGATTAAGTTCCCAGCTCTTACTGATGAATTGAGGTAAGGGAGTATGAGTTGGGCATTGTGAAATACTTTCAATTTCTAAGACGTATCTAAATAGATGGATGGATAGAAAGACAGACAGAAGTTACTTTGTAACTATAAAAATCATGAACATATATCATTATGCAGAAAACAAATATTCAAAATGCAATGTATCCTATTGCATACCTATTGTGTATACTTTCACAAATTCAGGTGACAAAGCTAGGTCAATCAAACACAATATATTTCATCACTGCATGACTTTTCAGAGCTTTTAATGTGTACTGTGGATGTCCACTGACTATAAGTAGTCATATGAGGCAGAATACAAATGTTCATATGCAAAAAAACCAAAAACTTCCAACGGTCATTGTAGCTCATATCCTCATTAAAATTTGACTCTTTCTTTTAAGTCAAGATATATTGCATGCTCTTTGGAGATCAAAAATGGTGGTTTGTGATTCTGATCACCATGGAACCTCTGAAAACTATAAGAAACATGTCTATTTCAAACTTCTGGTCCTATTTCTGTGAGTTGATTTGGTAAGCTCGTCAAGAAGGGAGTCAAGGCCAGGTGCGGTGGCTCATGCCTGTAATTCCAGCACTTTGGGAGGCCGAGGCAGGTGGATCACTTGAGGTCAGGAGTTTGAGACCAGCCTGGCCGACATGGTGAACTCTCATCCCTACTAAAAATACAAAAATTAGCTGGGCATGGTGGCAGGCACCTGTAATCCCAGCTACTCAGGAGGCTGAGGCAGGAGAATCACTTGAACCTGGGAGGTGGAGCTTGCAGTGAGCTGAGATCGTGCGACTGCACTCCAGCCTGGCCAACAGAGTGAGACTCCTTCTTAAAAAGAAGAAGAAGGGAGAAAGGGAGTTGGGGGACTAGGCACATCAAACACAGTTACCCATGCCCTTCCCAGGTTTAGGGTTAGGATTTTTGATACAGAACTCTCTTATCAGAAGGAGAGCTCCACAAGGCTCAGGATTTTCAGAGTTTAATTCTTGAGACTGGCCTGGGCGAATCTGTTTCTTGCTAAATTGAAAGCTGGGTGTGAGAGTAAGGAAAACGGAAATTCATCATGCAGGTAAGCCTTAGAGGCCTGAGGGTAAGAAAAAGTTTGAAGGAGTTATTTCAGAGACAATGAGATAGCACGCACCCCTCTCTCTACCCAAATACACTGGAGACTTGTACTAAAGGCTTTGATTCCTACACAAATATACATTCCCATGAGAGAGTTAAACTTTGAGCTTTTATTGATCATTTCATATCCTACTATGAACTGCTTTATGAGATCCATAGTGGAGAAAGCATTTGAAGGAACGGATGCTTAAGAGTAGAAAGGAATGGAGTAGTAGAGAGAAGAGGGGTTTTGTTTCCCAACCAGAAAGTAACTCACCCTATTGCCTTGTTTGGTGTGTACTAGCTTTGCTTTGTGTACTCCCTGGCTCTCTTTGCCTTATTTTTTTACATACGGGAGTGTGAGACTGAAAATTAGTTGGCTTCGTGAAACAAGTCAATTCATCTTCAGAAAAAAATCTCAAAGAGCACTAATGAGTATTTTCAAATATATGTCTCAAATTTGGATAAGTAAGTAAATAAGTAAATAAATAAAGCAAATGGTAGTGGCTAAAAACAGCTGTCTTCTAACTTGGCCCTGACTAACTTCTAGTTAGAATCATAACACCATGACTCATTGAAACTATTGTGGAGTCTAAATCAAGTAAATGAGATAGTAGTTCTGGGCATCTTTGCAGGTTACTCTATAAAATGAAAGAGTTCCTTCTGTGGCTTTGTTGATTTTGCAAGGTCTTTCCTTGGCCTATCTTCTATGCATTAAGGATCTTTTTGTTAGCAAAAAAGTTTTATTGTTTTCAAAATATGAAACAAATGATGCTTTTTGGAAAGTTTCTTAATTACCCTAAGCCTCACTTCTTCCAACGTAAAAATTGCAGTTAATGTACCTGCTTCTCAAGGCTGTTTTCAAGATTATATAAATGTGTATGAATGCATGCTTTTAAACTCTGGGGTTCTACAAAAGCTATTATTAGTTACACTGGTTTTTTGCTGGACTTCTAACATTCACAGGATGATAGTGATAATGGGTCAAATTCCATTGCATGGACCATCAAGGAAGGACATTAATTCTTGTACTTGAAGTAGATTTACCTTTAAGCAAATCCTTCCAAAATTATGTATTCTATCTGCCTGGAGTGTGGATCCTGCTTAGGATATTAAGAGAAAGTATTTAAAATCTTATTAAAAAGTAGGTAGCATGACCTTTCAGCATCATATGGGAGCTATAGACCTAATCAAAGGTTATTTAGTTACTTAGAGAAGGTGTATTTTGTTTGATTCACTTTATTACTGATACAGGTCCAAGAGTTAGTAAAGTTTCTTGTTAACCTAGTGAAATTTGCCTGGTAGAGATACAAATAATTTTTGTCTAGTTGAAAAGATAACCCCAAGGGTTTTAGTTTATGGCCCTATAGATATTAACTACTCGTATCTAACACTGCAATCTTATTCTAAGATTTATTAAATGGCCTATATATACTTAGCTCTGCAAATGCTCTTTAAACTGGCCTTACCATCTTACTGGATCTCTAATTAATAAATGAATAAGCTATTTGACATGTGCTCATTTGATGTAGGCAAATCATATTTTTAATGTTTTAAAAACTATATTAACAGTGATACAGAAATTTTGTTGTTGTAGAGATAATTAGAGTGGGATTTGTTAGATGGTAGAATATATTCTGATATTGAAAAGAATAGTAGTAAAAAGTAAATGGGAAGAAAGATGGACGAGTAAGTAGTTAGAAACAAAGAGTTTCTGGAAATTTTAAATTAACAGTGTTAAAATTTGCTTTCTTTCTATTTCCCCCAGGGGGCCAACATGCTGTTAGATAGTTTATGATGACAAGGAATTTAGGGAACTTATTTAAAAAGTGGATCCTTCTAATAATTGGAATATACACTATTGCAATTGTATTCAACGATACTAAAGTCTCACACAATAAACTTCAAGGTGCAGTGCCATTTACTTACACTTTATATCTCAGATGACGGAGACCCAGAGAATCTTGGTTGTTACTAAACAGATCACTCACTGCAAATATGAACAAACGTGAACTAAAATAGAGTATTCGGGGTTCTTGATACTGTGTTAAACGTACTGATCACTTTAAGATTTATAACTGGGTAAAATGTGTCTGCACAGAGGTCCCTCACAGTGTACAATAAGAGATGGTAACCACGATTCCAGTCATAATCTGAAATTGTTGCATAAGCTTAAACTTAAACTTTCAGAATCTCATTTTAATTATGAGTAAAATGAGGATATTGGAATAAATTATTTTTTTCTTTCTCGGGTGATATTCTATTAAAAAAAGGAAGACAAAAGATATATGATTCAATGTAAAACTTGGGCAAAAATTACTTAAAAAGGGAAGCAGAGTAACATATAGTACAGCCTCTAAGAGTTTTTGCTGTGAATACCTCTTTTAAACTCTGTTTAATTATGCATTTTCTCAATCTTATTTGGCCATAGGATAACTCACTTCCACCTCGTCTTTTCTTGCCCATCACCTATAAACATGTCTATGAACATCACCATGAACTTAAAACTCAAGTTGTCAGTAACTCTTTGGGAACTTCTGGATTAATCATCTCTGAAGTCACTTGGAATTCTAAGAAGTCACTTGGAATTCTAACATCCTATTATCACTTGGCTAACATCACAAATTACCCTAAATTTACTTAGCACTTACTATTTGTAAGGCACTGTTCTATTCACTTAAAAGTGCCAACCTATTGAGATCAGGTGACAGTGCTGGAGCTCATAAATGTCAGCCTTGTATGTATTAGGATCTGTAAGATTAAATATCTGTGCCATACAAAATTGTTCCTGGTAATTATGCAAATGTGGCTACAATTTTTTTAAAGCACAGATTATTATAAATTAAATATAGACATATCATAAGTTCTGTAGTGTAAAGGAAAAAGATGTTCATGACAGACTGAGAAAAATATGAATGGGAAATATAGTTTGAAAATTACATTGGGAAATGTATTTATTTTCAAACTACTGTACTTGTAATTTTGAATCAAAGGCTAACTCCCAACTTCTGCTAATGATTGGATGAGTCTTACAAATACCCTTTTCCATTTTTTATAATAGAATTTTTAAGTGACTATAATGTACAAATCCATTCAATAATCAATTGAAGGTCAAACTACATGCCAGTACCCGCATCAGGTACAGGGATAGAGGTCTCAGAAAGTTCACAGCTTTATGAGCAAGAGAGTGTGTACGATGGCAATATAATGAATCAGCAGTATGGCAGCCAGATGACAGGAGAGATGGTCAAGGAAAGCTTCCAGGGAAAATAAGTGAGGCCATAGAGAAGTCATTTTTTAGAGTAATAAGGAGGTCAGCTGAGGGCATGGCATGAAAAACATATTCCACTAGAACTATTTAAAATATCAAGATGTCAACAGCAAAGTATCTAAGTTAACTCCTTTCTCCTGAGACAATGCAAAGGAGGAGGCTCTGCTGATTTCATGCACTATTTGCCTGGGATTTTTTTGCATGATTCTTTTAAGGTGTCAAGCACTGGGTCTATGACAATGTAGATGAAGGAACATGCTTTGGAGGGAGAGATTTAGCCTAAACTTTTAAAGGACTTCTATCCAACCCACTCACTGTCCGTATAGACACAAAAAGAAAGGGACAAGAAACCAGATTACCCCAGGTGTGTACTACAAACATACAATAGTGGCTTTGGTTCTGGGAAAGTTCATCTTTGAGTAAGACACCCAGACTCACTGTTTATTTTAATGTAAACTATTAGAGAGAAAAATGTCTGGGAGAAATGTACTCAAAAAGCATCTGTTGAGAATAACCAGTCCTATGAAGTAATATTTAAATGCTGTGAAAAAAAATTCACAGAGCTTCAGGTCTCCCATTGCCCTTAGTCTTCATCAGTCTATTCCTATGTACACAAGTTTAAAATGTTGAGGACAGCCCTCCTAGGAAAGTCTCACTCAGAATTGACATTAGGTCCTGTACCTAGCAGCATCTGAATTCCCAGACTAATCTTAAGAATTCATGGACCTGATACTCAAAACTGAACATTCAGCATGGTAATCACATGAGATCTCAGGGTACATATACTTCCCCACCCAATCTCTCTTCCTCTCACACCCACATTAGGAACATATTGCACAGGTCAGGATGGACAAATTCTAGAGGACTCTGGGAATCATCTTCCGTATTTTGTTTGTCTGTTTGTTTTCAAAAAGTGACAAGAGGCTATAAGCCATGGATTTTCTAATTTTATAACTGGTTAAGTCCAAGCTTGGAATGCCAAGAGTCTTCATTCTCATTTTTCCAGTCCTGTTTACTACTCCAGAGTCAAGAAACTCTGCACACGGTGGTTGCTTATGATAGGAGTGAAGGGTAGATGTTTTGACACTCCGTCTCCTGTGGCCACAATCAAAGCATAGCAAGAAATTTCACTAGGGGCCCTGCTGCTCCTCTCACTACACTCCTACCTCATCAATAACAACATCTGTATTTAGTAATAAACATGCTAGGAAAATGTTAACGTGCTTCATAAATTATATTTCCATTTATTTGCAAAGAAAATTGAAGTGTGATAGGGTAGAAAACATGTTTTATACCACATGTAGGGAAGCAGTCAGAAGATTCATGTGAGCAACAAAGCTCAAGAAGATTGTCAGAACAAAAAAAATCATACCATTAAGAACATGAAAGACTCTACCTTTCAGCTCTGAGATGGACAGGGCCACTGATTTATTCCCAGAGTTGTTAATAAATGAATAAAAAAAAGAAACAGCAAATTTGTGGTAAAGTATCCCTGACTATGAGCCAATATACTTTGTAATGACCAGAAAATCTGCATTTTGAAAACCCTCTATGCAGCCATAGAAAAGAATAAGTTCATGCCATTTGCAGGGACATGGATGAAGCTGGAAACCATCATTCTCAGCCAACTAACACAGGAACAGAAAACCAAACACTGCATGTTCTCAGTCATAAGTGGGAGTTGAACAATGAGAACACATGGACACAGGGAGGGGAACATCACACACTGGGCCCTGTCGGGCGGTGGAGGGCAAGGGGAGGGAGAGCATTAGGACAAATACCTAATGCACGCGGAGCTTAAAACCTAAATTACAGGTTGACAGGTGCAGCAAACCACCATGGCACATGTATACCTATGAAACAAACCTGCACATACTGCACGTGTATCCCCAGAACTTAAAGTAAAATTAAAATAAATAAACACACTCATCAACATTAACAGTAAAAAAAAAAAAAAAAAAAAAAAAAAGAAAGAAAGAAAAAGAAAACCCTCAAGTTTCCTGTGGTCCCCTCACCACACTGCTCAGAACCAGAAAGAGTTTAAGACTTTGAATGGATTCATTTCTTAGAAAGCCTGGCTGTACATCTCTATATTTAGGGTTGATTTCTTTTATTGCACACAGTGAGAAGTTGATGGGAGGAGTGACGAGATGGCTGAGACTCCCCTTTCCTAAGCTTTTCTTGCCTTTGTAGAGTTGTAATGGGCAATTTCTTACCACATAATGAGAAAACGGACTTGAATCCATGCTACTCAAAGCGGACTGGCATCCCTGGGACTTGTTAGAAATATATATGCTAGGGCGTTTACCTCATACTTAGTGAAATTAGCATCTCTGGGCAGAGGACTCAACATTCAGTGTTGTGACCAGCACTGCTTTATGGCTACAGCAGTATTCCTCCTAGGACCATGCCGCCGTCAGAGTTATTTTGACCCTCTCTGGGAAGACAGCAAGCCTAAGTCAAGGTTTTACTCTATTCCACAAGAGCTTGTTCTCTAATGGAATTTACAAGTCTGGCCTTTCAAGTACAGTCCCAAAAATGGAATGCAAGACACAGGAAGGCAGAGAGGGGAAAAAGTCTGAGTGCCAAACAGAGAAGAATGACCTCTATGGCTAAATTGTTTTGTCTGCATCCTGTCTAAAGGCACCAAAATTTACAGAGAATAAACTAAAGGAAAGGGAAAAAAGTCTTGTAGCTCAATGATCTTTCTAGTTTGGAATAATTTTAAATTGAGCAATAATCTGAGCATATTTTCAGCCAGCATCTGTCTGTGTTCCACTTAGTTTCAGTCTGACTTTTACTCCCCTGGGTAATCAGCCCACACACAAGCAGGTTAGGAATGAAAAAAATAAAATAAAATAAACCCTGCTTATTTCATTTTCTGTTTCCCACATCTCCTTTTGTACATACATCAAAGCACAGCATGTGACAGAAATGCTTCCATAGCACCAAGGCAATAGATAGCACTTTGTATAGAAGGTTGGTGTGTCTTCTGTGCCTAGGTTCAAATTTTGGCTTTGCTACATACTGGCTATTTGAAATGTGGTAACTTACTCTCTGTAGCCTATCGCCCAGGCTAGACTGCAGTGGTGCAATCATAGCTCACTGCAGCCCCAAACCACTGGCCTCAAACGATCGTTCCAACCTTGGCCTCCCAAAGTGCTAGGATTACAAGGGTGAAACACCAACCTGGGCCCCTTGCTTCTTCTAAACTATCAACCTAACCATGTAAAAGGCAGAATCCCTTTGAGAACCTCATATGCCATGCTTCTTCCCATCACAGGGCCTTTGAATGTACTATCGTAGAAGTCAGCAGAGAAAGAAGAGAATCCAGGCTTCAGAGCCAGACAGCTTGAGCTCAATGCCTGGCTTCAGCCTTGCTGTGTATATGACATACAAGTTACTGAGTTATCCTCTCTGACTCTCAGTTCCCATATATGCAAAATAAGCATAATACCCATTTTACAGAGGTGTTGGGAATATTCCATGAGAAAATCCATGATTTACCTTTAGTGGTACTAAGACTTCTAATTGTCTATAACATCTATTGGCTTTAATCGAATGTTATACTAACAATTTTAAAATAAAACTAATGAAATACTTTCGAAATATTGTGTATTAATTTAGTTTATGACTCTTGAAACAAACTCCAAGTTTTAATGACCAACAAAAGAGATCTTTAGTGATTAATCCTGAATTTAAAGCAAGATTTCTCTAATTTCAAAGTCCATACATTTTCATCTTGAAATCAACCATATAATTAATAACAAAGATAAGGAGATAAAATAAAACAATGGCTTACGGTCTACACATTCTTTTCTGTCTAAGATGGCCCACTTGAAATTATAAGCAATTTAAATTAGAATTTTAAAAGCATATTCTCAGGTTTTAAAAAATCAGCTGTATTTGCTCCAGTGCTTCTTTATTTACTGAAGGAAGGAGGTCAGTAATTTGGGAGTCATAGAGAAGCTGAAGTGTGTTTCCTTCTTAATTTTTACATGGGCTGAAATGTTTTCAAGGGCTGGAAGACGGCGTGGTGACAGGAAGACAACGTGGTGTGCAGAGAGAAGATTGAACTGTACATGAAGAAATCTGAGTTCAAACTGCAGTTCCCACCAGCTGGAATCCACAGGGCAAGTCATTTAATTGCTCTGAAGACATAACCGCCTCCTCTCAAAATGAGGGGTTGGCTTAGCTAACTGCATAGGCTCCTTCCAGCTTTATATTTTGCTGGTCTTGAGAATTGTTAGGGAAGATCACAGTGACTCCAAAAAGAGAAGATCAGATCTCCTATCCCATCAAAGAACCTATCTACCGTTTCAGACATTTTAAATGCCAAACCCATACATCTAATAAAAAAGCTTTTTTTCTGAACTCTGGTTTTTAAAATGTATAACTTCAAGAAAAAGATAAATCTGCGCAAGAAACATATGACACAAATATAATGCATTTTATCAGCATATGTTCCATCCCTAGTGGTCACGTTTATTAGAGATTTAGGCTGAGCCAGGGTTGGCTGTGTTCTCAGAAGTACGGGGATGGGTCTTGCAGAACCTCTGCACTCCGGGGTCTCAGGGCAGCTAGTGCTGAAACGTGACCAGAAAGAGTGAGGACATGAAGAGTGCCATGTCTTGCCCTTAATGACTCTTGGTGGTTTCACCAGAAAGACAGAGGGAAGCGGTATTCAGTCTGGAGGAAAGAAGTGGGTCAGTCTCCCCACAGTCGTAACACATGCATCACAGTCCTCTTATGCTTTCATCTGTCAGGAATGGGCCTTCATGTTGTTGTTACACTTTGACCTAATGAAGAGAAAAATGACTCAGAATAAATGAATCTTCCCACTAATAAATGATTTCTTAATTTCGTGGTGCCATGGGCTTTTTTGAGAATCTGAGGAATGTGGCTCTTCTTCTCCCACAAAATACACATAAGCACAAAATTGTGCACACAGCTTCAAGGGCTTCCTAGACTCCTTCATGCCCATTCTCATTCTTCAGGGGCTAACAGGGAAAGAATCCTTCATCTAAATGAAGGAAAATTAAGAGTTTATGAAAACAGACACAATTTGAGCACATCACAAATGTGGTATAAGCCTGTTTTTCCATCAAATATGTCAAGTCTGAAAAAAACCGAAGACATGTCTTAATCAAATTTGTAGTCTCATCAGCATGGTGCCCTGCTCATTGGTTACAGTCGACACTTTGAATCATGGTCATTGAGAAAAGACAGAGTGGGCAGGAAGAGAAAGAGGCAAGGAAAAGGAATGATTTAAGGATTTCTGTGGAAAATGTTATTTCAAAAAAATACTTCTGAGGTTAAAGGGAAGCAGAATAAAAGACTTTCTAGTTACCAGTGAAGTCAGAGAGACACAAATATGAATCCTGCTCCTTCCTCATAGCAGCTAAATGACCTTGGGTAAGTTCCTCTCTGCACCTCAGCTGTTTTCTCTGTGAAATGGGGTTAATAAGAGTATCTACCTCACAGGGTTATTGTGAGGCTGGAAGGAGCTAATAGCTGAAAAGCATTTAGCACAGTGCCTGGCATGTAAGAAGTGTTCAGTAAGTGAGGTATTTATCAAGAATCAAAGCTGTGGCCTACTTAAGATGGTACTATCTGCAAAAGTGCCAGCCTTAAAAAGGATGTGAAAACTAAACCAATTTAGAAAAAATATCATCCTTTTAATATTAGAATTATACATAATTCTGAAAAACTTAAGATTAATTCACAAATCAAAAAAGCTTGAAGAAAGACAAAAAAAGAAATATGGTATTTATCCATAAATATAACATTGTTTCTATTTCCCTAAGAGGGGAATATAAGCAGTAATATTAATATTAAAATGGAGCTCCAAATTAATGGAAAGTATTCATTTCCAGAGATGACTAAAAATCAGAGATTAGAATTTCTGAGCTTTGCTGTAGACTATGCATTTTCCTAAACTCACAGCTTAGCCACCCTTTTATTAATTTTTTGTTGTTTTCCTTACTTGGATGTTTGTGTTTATGTGTTGCATGTCATATTTATATGATGTTTTAAAATCCATTTGATCTAAACAACTCAGAATTCTCTTAAAACTATCAACGACGCCATTTATCAGCTGGGTATGGTGGCTCATGCCTACAATCCCAGCACTTTGGGAGGTTGAGTGGGAAGGATAGCTTGAGCCCAGGAGTTCAAGACCAACCTGGGCAGCAAATGGAGACTCTGTCTCTACAAAAATTTAAATATTAGCTGACTGTGTTGGTGTAGGCCTGTAGTCCCAGCTACTCAGGAGGCTGAGGTGGGAGGATCACTTGAGCACAGAAGGTTGACGCTGCAATGAACTGTGATCGTGCCACTGCGGTCCAGCCTGGGTGACAGAGTTAAACTCTGTCCCCCTAAAAAAATGTCATTTATCAAATGGCATTTATCAAATTACAAATAATTTTTTGTGCATTTAAAATAGCCCCAAGCAAGCATTACTTCTCACGCACCCAGACAAGCAAAAAAAAAAAAAAAAAAAAAAAAAAAAAAAAAGGCATTTCCATGTATGGCTGAATTATTACTCTATGTGTAAATTTGTCTTAACATTAGCCTTATATAAGTATATCTTTTATTGTAAAAGCTAAAAGATGTTATAAATTATAAAAGCACAAAAACTGCCTGGCACGTCACTAATCTATGGAGTATAAGCTGCCATTTTTTGAGTGCCTAGAATGAGCCAGAATGTGTAGTAGGCACTCTATATAAATTATCTATAATTCTCAAAATAATCATGTAAAGAAAATATTATTAATATTGCCATTTCATAGGTAAGAAAATTGGGGCTTTAAGAGGTTATGTGACTTGTCAAAGGGCATGAGGCTAGTATATGGCAGAGCTGAGAAATGACGGCAGCTCTGTCTAAACTTCACATTCTCATCCTTATCCCATTGCCTATAATGCAATATTAAATTATTATTCTAAGTAATATCTAATAAACTTTAGACAATCTCAGGTAAAGCATTATAAGTGGATTTTATCTGGGAATGGGATCACCCATCATACTTTGTATCATATTTTATAACATTTGTATGTCAGTTATTTATATTAAGAACCATATCTTACCTAAGGCAGCGACTGAGTGTGAATTTTATTTCTGTGCAGAGTAGACATCTAAACTCTCACTGAATAAATGAACAAATACTACAGATTTGAAACATGCCATGGATGATACATGATTCCTGACACCTCACCTCTTCCACTCCTCACCTACTTTCCCATCTCCCTGGTTAAGAGTGAGTTCAAGGGATGGAGAATGTGGAGACAGTGTTTGCAGTGAGAAATCCTGAAAAAGGGAGACCATACCAATCACTAGGGCTTCATCATACTACTACTTTTTCCACAGAGACTTCCTTGTCTGCCCCTCCTGTGATGCCGCCAGTATTCTAATCTCCAAATCTAACATCTGTCCTTATCAATGTACTAGAGTCAAGTAGATTGGCATACTGAATGTTGCATCCAAAAAAAAAAAAAAGTTGGAAAACTCATATTCTAGTTCAGTTTCCAACCAAGACAGACCAAGAACTCACAAACAACTTTTGGCATGCACTAAAATCTGCCCCTTTCTAAATAAATTGAAGAAAGGCAGTGATAGGGGAAAGAGCTTTGACAAAGACAGTAAAGAGCTCTATGTATTACAGACAATAGCTTGCCTAAGTATTTGAGGTTGTAGAGATGGTAGGAATGAAAGATTCAAACCAACAAATTGAAGGGACTCCCCATGACCTAGACTAATAAGCAGTACTGATCCTAAGGTGATGTACGACAATTTCAAATTAAATGGTTTTCTGAGCAGACCACTCCTATGTTATTTAAAACAGGGTATATGTGCATTCATAAAGAATCCAAATCTTATCCAAAAGAAGCAAAAAGCTAAAATAAGGAAACATGAAAAGGTTTTTAAAACCAATGGACGTTGCTTAAGTCAATCTAGAGAATAATTATGCCTAGAAATTGTAACAAGCTATTTCCTATGGAAATAAATAGATTAATGCTTCGTATTTATCCAGTTTTCTTCTTTTAAAATTCATTCATAGGCGTTCATAGAGAAGGAACTTGCAGTTGTATTGCAATTTTGAGCCAGTGTGTCATGTGAACAATTCAATTTAGGAATATACTCATTTAGGGAATTAAAAAAGCAGAAGTTAAATTTAACCCAGAAAATTAAGAACATTATCTCTGAAATAACATTTTCCAAAGCTAAAAATATGCCATTATGTTTATTGAGAAGTGTTTGATTTCAACCAATGTCTCAAATGGTTACCTTATGCTTCCCGTGTTATTCATTTTATTGGGAAATGGATGTTCTATTCATTGTCCAAAGGCTTGTTGAGTTCTCTTTCTATAATCCTCAGGAATTCAAAGAAGCCTGTGAGTCATCAAAACTCATTTCCAAAACTGAGTGTGAAATTTAATTTCCTAGAGATTAGGAAAAATATAGCACATATCTTTGGTCTGTAAAACTCTGGATGTAATTTTGGCTATAGGCAAAGAGTGGCTTAAGTGACCTTTGAAGAGGATTTCTATGTGTACTTAGGATTTAGCCTCCAAGAGTCGGCCTACTCAGCCTCTTTTGAAAAGTATTACTGAGGCAGTCACATTTTAGTCAGTAAAATGATTTTTTTCCGAACAAGTTGACTGCTTTCAGAAGTAGGACGTGGCTTTAAGTTAACACCAGGATTCCACGTTACTAAGGAGAGGCCTCGATATGTCTGTTGCATCCAGGTGGGCTACTCCCTGTTCTCCAGTCACGTCTGTATCCAGTAAGAGCTTTCCAACTCTTTGTGGCTTATCTAATACATCTACGAGAAACCAGGGAGGGTTTTAAAAGCTGGCAGGGCATAACTCTCACTTACGGAAGGTCCACACCCCAGCCTTATTTTTAAGGCCTTATCTTTGATTTCCTGAAGGGGTGGAGCTCTCACAGCCTTGCTTTTGTGTTCAACTTCTGACTTACTCCTTGTGCACCTATAACTTTCTATTGTCAACTGAAATTACTTGGGAATCAAAGGGGTAAATTGTTTTCAGCACTGGATAAAGAAATTTTTGAGAATGAGAACTTTTTCTGGAAGCATTCTCCTGCCTGCTCAAATTTTGTTCCTCAAATATGTGCTTGCTGTCATAACCATGTCTCTGAGCCTCCTTAGGAGCCAACTCTTGACAGCTAAAGAAAAAAATGGAGCAAAGAGAGCAATCTTCCTACAGCCCTCGCTGCTGGGGGCCCCACCCTTCTCCATCGTTCAACCTCAAAAACTTGGCCTCATCTGTGACCCTCTCCTGTTCTCCGCAGGCTCTCCAAGGCCTGTAGATTTTTCATTATGGAAAATGGCTCTGACCCATTATTAAGCAATTTCCACCTTAACCTCCCTCCTCTCATGCCTCATTACAACATCGCTAACATCAAGTCCAACATTCTAATATTACAAGTGGAAAAAAAAAATGATCTGAGACTGTGAACTGTGAGAACTGTCGACTGTGGTAAATTTTAAGCATGTTATAATTCTAGGCCTGAAAACTAAGAGATAACAAAAGAAATGTAATCCACAGATGCCCCCTTCTTTATGCTGCCTACCTGCCTTTGTACTCTTTCTCCCAAAGTCATCTTCTGCATATCCTTTTAGAAACTTGTGTCCCATTTTCATTTTCCCAATCCATCCACAATGGCAGCGAAGCGCTCTACCATCCTTCTACCTGCACACCCTTCAGTAGAGGTAAACCTCTTAAGGAGAGGGAGGCACCAGATTAGAATCTACTTCCTCACTGCCCGGTCTGTCTTCCTTGGAAAAGGAAAAGGGAAGTAGATATTGAATAAGCGTACCATTTTACCTACAAGGCACACAGTAAGTGGTTGATCCAATCAACACAATGCCAGGTTGAACATTATACACAAGTCATTTTATTCTTGTGCAGATGTTTTTATAGGAAAGAGCCCCAGAAATGGGGTTGCAAGTCAAATAATAAATCCACATGTAATTAGGTTAAATATTTTCAGATCTCCCTCCATATGCGCTATACCACTTTGCATTCTCCCTAGAAATATATGAGTGCCTTTGTTTTCTCCCAACTTTGCAATGAAGTATGATTTTAAGCTGCTGGATTGTTTTAATCTCATGAAAGAGAAATTGTTTCTTAGTGTGATTTGAATTTGCATTATTATAACTGAGGTGATCATATGTTTAAGGGCCATCTGTATTCTCCCTTAAATTTCTGCATTTGGCAGAAGGCATTTTGTAATCCAAAGAGCTATTTCTTTA
Source organism: Homo sapiens (assembly GCF_000001405.40). Lineage (NCBI taxonomy): Eukaryota > Metazoa > Chordata > Mammalia > Primates > Hominidae > Homo > Homo sapiens. The sequence continues at coordinate 40,354,379 of NC_000002.12, forward strand.
CCTTCAAGTCACACTCCGTGCACAGCCCACCCATCTGCTGACCTATGTAAGAGGTCAATGCTGCTTACACGTGTTTTGGGACTAAATGGGGGTGGTTGTGGCATTTGTGTCAATGGAGCAAAGGACCTAGAAGGCATCATAATTCACACAGTCAGTCTTTAGTTGATGGCTTGGCAGAAGCTGAATGAAGTGTGTGAAGGTGACTCTACAGAGCACAGTAGTAAGGAGGGGTTGCTTCTTCTGTAAGTTTACATCTCATGCTATTTTGGGATATTGCCTGGATGACTTGTCTTCTCCTCTAACATATAATATTCAGAGTGTTTTAAGTTGTATAAATCTTAAGAAAAGAAAAAGGGAGAAAAGAAAGGGAAATGCTAGGAAAAAGTTCTCACATTTGACAATGTGATTTATAGAACTATTTCTAGGCACATCTTATTACATCAAAGTGGCAGTGTTTATTTTTTTACAAATGTGTAATAATAAGGATCTTGACAATGCACCCCTCCCTTTCAGATTACCTCTAGAAATATCCCTGGAAAACTTTAAGATGAGGCAATTGTGGCATAAAGAACAGGCATAGAGAAATGCTTTTTGAAGAGTGTTTGACATAAAATTTCTATTAACTGTTAATAAGCACTTTAAAAATTGTTCTGTTCTCAAATACGTATGGGAAATGCCGGATGAAATAAAGATAAGCAAGCTCTTGTATTGCAAGAACTGAAAAAGCCTTTACTATGGGGAGGAGTTAAAGTAATCAGTGTCCCCCACTATAATTTGGCTGCAGAAACCCCTTCTCCCCCAAAAGCAATCAAGAGTCTGATACTGTGATAATGCTGGAAAATGCTGATGCAGAGGGAAAAACATCTAACAAGGTGATTCCGATGATTTTTTGATTCTGACAACAACATGCATGATATTCTCAGTCACAAAGCCTCTCAGTGCTCAGGTCACTCATCTGTAAAGTGGGGTACTCTAAAAGGTCACTTTCCATTTTTACTTTGACCTATAAGGAGGGATGCCCTGCAGAAGACAGGTCTTCCTGTTAGCTCAGCCAGTGGCTTTCTTGGTCCATTTCAAGGGCACTGTTGGAGGGGTGGGAGAGACAGCACTTCTATCATGCCAAGCTAAATATCCTGAGAAAGATCAGGGGTTTTCTATTATAAAATATAATAGAGACCTTGACATGAATCCTCATTCTGTGTACAGATGTTGAGCCCACACTCTTACTGATTACCACACACTGACCCATCTAGGGAGTGGTTTACCCTGAGGCCAGGTCACTAAGCCAGTCAAAATCCAGCTCGCTTTAATTTGTAGTCCATGCACGTAACAAACACTGGTCCACTGCTCCAGGTCATCATTCGAATGTCAGTATAAACTCACCAGTGGTCCCAAGAGTTCTGTTTCTTTGGCATTTGCTTTCTCTGGTATTATGTGCCATTTTACAACAACAGAAATCCTGATCTGTCAATGTCACTCAATTATTAACATTTCCTGGGGTGTTCTACAAACCCCATTAAGTGGGATTTGCTGGAAAGGTTGATGCTCTGCTTTGCCCCTTGGCCCCTTCAGGCACAAACATGGATTGAACCTACGACATGCCAAGCACCTACCGAGAGCTAGAGGTAGAGTCACTGATGGTTACGCACATGCTGTTCTTTCTGAATGCTCTGCCACACTCTCCACAAAATGGAGCTGAGATGCCTCTTCCTCCAGGAAGCCTTACTGAGCTTCACCTCCTCTCAGTCTGGATTATGTGTCCTACCCACCCCCAGTTAAACAGTTCCTTCCACAGATATCAAACATTACCCTTATATTCCTACATGCCTGCCTCCCTCCTTGAGGGTATCTCTGCTCCTTAAGTGTGAAGACTAATTCCTTAATCTTCATTTCCTCAGCATCAATTGTAGTGACTGCCACATAGGAAGTACTCAGATTTATGACTGACTGACTGACTGAATCAAGGTATGAAAAACCAATTCCTGCTCTCAAAGACCACAGAGAATCTAGTTCAACTTTTCTACATGACTTTAAAACAATTTATAATGCATTTATGATGCTTTAAATAAAAATCGCGTGAATACTTCCAAATATTTTTGAATTATAAACACATTTTCAAATTTGCCTTTCATTAGAAGATACCAAGAAAAAAAAAACTGCCTTTCAAAGATATTGGATAATGTTAAAATGTTGGTTTCAAAATCACGTATGGTCCAAGATACCAAGAAAAAAAAAAACTGCCTGTCAAATGTATTGGATAATGTTAAGATGTTGGTTTCAAAATCACGTATGGCCCCATGCAGAGAAGGGTCCAGATGTAAGAAAGACTAAAACACAGCTAAGGGAGACAAGCACTTATGTCTACTTAAATCGGCCTGCTTTTTCAGGCTGTCAACTCTCCCAACTCTGCAGCTTCCACATGCCTTGTTAATGTGAGGAGAAACCAATGTGAGACAATAGCAGTCATATTTCCAGTTTAATTACAGAAATGCAAACCTTACATCTCCTTAAGCCTCAATTATAAAAAAAAATGACAAGGCACATGCCATGTTTTCTCTGCTTCTTGTCACCAACCATCTTGCCCTATTATAAACAAGAACACTCCATGAGTATTCAGAGTATAATTCTAATAAACTGCTCTCAGTCTGCCAGTTACATCTGCAGAACACAGCAAGAAGAACTTTTACGAATGTAGATATAGTAGGGTAGGAGGCACATGAAAGAGAGTTCCAGCTTCATCAGAGCAAATAACCTGCAGAGTGTATTTTGATAATAGTCACATACCATGGAAAAAACATTCAAAAATATATTTATTTTTCCTTAAAGAATGTAAACAGGTCAGCTGGCTCGTACCTCTAATCTCAGCACTTTGGGAGGCCGAAGCAGGAGGATCCCTTGAGCCCAGGAGTTTGAGACCAGACTGGGCAACATAGTGAGACCCTGTCTCTACAAAACATTTTTTTTTTTAATTAGCCAAATGTGGTGGTGGGTGCCTGCAGTCCCGACTACTTAGGAGGCAGAGGTGGGAGGATTGCTTGAGCCCAGGAGGTCAAGGCTGCAGTGTGCTATGATCATGCCACTGCATGCCGGCCTGGGCAACAGAGCCAGACCCTGTCTTTAAAAAAAAAAAAAAAAAAAACACAAGATGTAAACAGTAATATTTCTGTGCTCAGTGTAGAAGTAATCTTCTCACAGAAATACCTAATGTAGACGACAGGTTGAAGGGAGCAGTAAACCACTATGGCGTGTGTAACAAACCTATGTAACAAACCTGCACGTTCTGCACATGTATCCGAGAACTTAAAGTATAATTTTAAAAAAAGGAACCTCCTCTCATTAATAACCAGCATATAGAATGCTGAGCTACATCACTGGATGCTAATCAAATGGATTAAAAGCCCTAGCTTATACGACATTCCTTTAGTGCACATCATCCTCTTTAAGGAGAGTACAGTTGATGGCTTCTCTCTCCCCCTTTTCATCTTTCCTGTTTCCTAACTTTAGGGAGACGTAAGCTGCTAGGAAGACAGATCATTGTTTTTGAGTTGCATGGTTCCTCTGTGCTGCCAGATATTTTATCCTGATGTGTTTGTATAAAAAGGGATAAAGGGAAATCCATCACAAAATTATTGTTGCTCAGTGAATGCCAAACAATACATGCAACTGAAGGAAAAAAAAAAAAAAAAAAAAAAAGGTGGCGGTGCTGGTGGTGACCTAGCCCTCATTCCTGTTATGAATGGGAAACTGAAGAAAGGTTAAGAAAAGCATTTATCCATCCACTCATCCACCCATTCATTCATTATTCATTCAAGAAAAAAATTCAGTAGCTATTTAAGGTTTTTAGATAATTTCTCAAATGCAGATAATTTTTAAAATTAAAATCTGGGCAGATTAAGACAAAAAAAAAAAAGACCCACCACATTGTGCCCTATGTTTAAATATGTTCTAAAAAATGTCCTTGTAGAAACATCTGCAGCCCACATAGACATTTTCATAGACATCTTGACAGCAAAAGAACAGTACTATCGTTTCAGGTACTTAGGAACATAAAAGGCAGTGAATATATCAGAAATCTCTCAAATTTTGTTTTTTAGTTCATTGAAGCATCAAGGAAAGAATAAGGGATTTGGAGTAAGAACATCTTAATTTTAAAACCTAATCCAGTCTAATCCTATTTATTCTCTTTATTTTGTGGAGCTGAACTGAGGATCAATTAAATTAATGCATGCATAACCATTTGGTTCTTGCATGTAGTCATTCACCCATTCAATTGATTGATTCATTAATTCACTCATTCAACAATCTGTACAATGGCCTAGGTACAGTCCAAGGTGCTGCTAGGATTCTAAGTTTGAGAAGAAACAGGCAAGACTCCTACTCTCATAAGGTTTTTTGTCTATTAAACAGCCAGGGGCTGATAAACAACAACACTAATGAATTTACAATGACACACTGAAGCGTGCACTCTGAAGGAGGGATATGCTTCTACAAGACTGAAGGCAAAGAACCACACAAAAACAGGGATGTAGGAAGGACTTTACTGAGCAGGAGACGCTTTGTACCTGAGAGGAAAACGAGAGCTTACTGGGAGAAGGTGCGGGGGTGGATGGGGGTGGAACGGCTTGTGCAAAAACCTCAGAACAGGAGACAACACGGTGATTGGAGGAATGGAAAGAAGGTCAACATACAAAGCTGGGCAGAAAAGAAGTGAAAGTGAAGCTGAAGGTGGGGAAGGGGTATCTAGCACGTACGCAGCTATTGAGCACTTGAAATGGGGCTAGTTCAAAATATATGGGCTGTAAATGTAAAATACACACTTTATTTTGAAGACTGTGAAAAAATGAAACTCTCTCAATTTCATACATCGATTACATACTGAAATGACATTTTGGACATTTTGGGTTTGATAAAATACATTATTAAAATTAATTTCACCTATTTATTTTTACTTTTTTAAGACGACTCCTAGAAAATGTAAAGGTACATACATGACTCATATTTTTCTTGGACAGTGCTGGTAGTAAGTACATGCATAGCCTTTTAAGTGTGAAAAAGGGTTTTTGTCCTGAGCGCAATGAGAAGCATTGGGAGGCTTTACGAAGAGAGACAATGGGATCTTCGCAGCTTCTGGGTAGAAAAGAGATCAAAAGGCACCTGGAGGCAATGGAGAAAAATGATCTGTGTACTGCATTATAACAGTTTGGTTTAGGGTCAAGAAGTAGAGATAAGAGGAGTGGAAGGATTTGAGAGATATTTAGGAAGAAACACATCAACAGGCTCTAGTAATGAATTGAGTATGTTACTGAGAAACCCCAAAGGGCAGAAATCATGTTGGGAAAACAAAGATACAGAGTATATGGAAATATACAATTTAAGTCCTATAATAGAGGCATGGATTCATTGCAGTAGGGGTACAAAGTAAGAAGCAAGTGTGTGCTTTACATAGGATAAAATATTGCTGCTGCAGCTTTTCAGGTAGGCTTCATTAAAAATCAACATCTCATCAAAAATATGCATTCTGGTTTTAAATATCTTTTACCCAGAGTTTAACTTAAAAAAAAAAAAAAAACAGATACATAATGAGTAACGGCTGTGCAAGAGTCTGTGGTAGGGCTGCTCTTGAAATGGAAAAGAAAGAGAATGTTTCTTTAGTGCCCACTGGCATGTGCCAGAAGTTTTAAGTGTTTAATTTATTTAATCATCCCAAAAACCTTACAAGGTCATGTTACTATCCCCATTTTAGAGGTAAGTAAAATGAGGCTCAAAATTGATTGAAGTTCCACGAAGACAGAAACCATTTTTATTTTGCCCCTCCACTCTATTCCTAATGCCCAGCACACTGTCCAGCATATGCTAGGCACTCCGTAAATAAAGGTTAAAACAGCTCCCAAGAGGTAGAGCCAAGTGCCAACCTTGCTTATCTAAATTTGGGATCATCATGCTACCATTTGTTTTTTTAATATATTGGATAGCAAGTACATTTAAGTTAAAGCTTTTTAAAAATAGAATTAGGCATAGTTTATATATTTATATGTGGTTAGGCTAACAGGTATTTATATAAGAGCCCTTTATCTGTGACAGGTGGTTATCCTCTACCTTATTGAATAACAAGAACAGTTAACACTTCCTGAGAATGTACTGTGTGCCAGCCTGTTCTAAGCACTTTGCTTGTATTATTTATGCCTCATTCTCAGCAACCCTACAGGATAGATACTATGATTTCTCTCACTTTAGACACTGGGAAACTGAGGTACACAGAGCTGAGGCATACAGAGGTTGAGTCACTTGCCCAAGGTCACATAGCTGTAAAGGCAACAAACCCAAGGAACCTAATTTTAGAATCTGCATCACACTCTCAACCCCTATGAGACAGAGCCCACTACTCCATGAGACTCTAGTTCTTACAAAGATCTCTCTAGCATTAGGGCAAGGTCTGCCCTCTTGCCATTGGTCCAGCACCCTCTGCTGGGGCCACACAGTGTTGTGGTTTATCAGGGCACCTCCTTGTAAATCTAGAAAATCATTCAAGGATAAATTGTGAGTCAGACATTTGGAGAGTCAGAATAAAATGAGCACAAAAAGAGCCTGTAGATCTCGTGTGGATCTCATTCCATGAAAAGAGCAAACTTACCCTGAGTCTTTAAATGTCCACTAGCAGGAAGCTATCATTTGTCTATGGTGACATCAGATAGAGTAGAGAAAAGAGGTGAAGAAAGGGACTTAGTAAGTTGAAGATTTCCCAACAGCAGAAACCATGGCATTCGGGTGTTAACAGTGAATTCAAGAGACCCTTGTTCATGAATGGAGTTTAATGGCTAAGATACTCTCTAAGCACACTAGGCAATCAGTGCTTGCTAGGAGTTCACATAATGAACAGGATGGTTACAACCAGACATCCAGGCATTTGATGTGTGCCGGTTACTTCAAGTGTCAAATTACTTACAAGTTTTCAATTGTGATATGTAAGAGGGCTTATTGCTATGATTTGGAAGATCAGTTGGGCACATGTGGGTCTATATATGAACACTTCACTTCTTCCAATACTTTAAAATTGTTATGCACATTAGTAGAGCTCCTGAAGGAGCCTTTTTTTTTTTTTGTTTTGGAATAGTCTTAATATTACTGTAAACACTTGAGAACATGTTCAGTATCTGGCCATTTCATACAAAGGGACCTCATCTGGTGCCCCATCAAGACAATCTGAAGTGCAATCAAGAACTCATTATGAGGTGGTCTAATCTGTAGGGTACCTCACTGCCTATAAACTAAGAGCAGCACGATGCTTCTCTACTGAATGATGTCATCTGCAGTCACTGGGAACACACGGAGGTAGACCAAATGCCCTATATGGTAAGTGGCCACACGTATCGGGTAGGAAGGATTGCCTCTGCCCAAATTCTAATATAAATGAGAAATAAATTCATTTACAAGAGAATATTATGCACTGAAATGCATAATTTTTCAATAATAATTATGCTAGATAGTCAGATGTTTATATCTTTTCTTTCCTTTTTTTTTTTTTTTTTTTTTTTTTTTTTTGGAGACAGAGTCTTGCTCTGTTTCCCAGGCAGGAGTGCAGTGGCACAATCTGCCTGCAACCTCTGCCTCCGGGTTCAAGTGATTCTCCTGACTCAACCTCCTGAGTAGCTGGGATTACAGGCATGCACCACCATGCCCTGCTAATCTCTGTATTTTTAGTAGAGATGGGGTTTCACCATGTTGGCCAGGCTGGTCTCGAACTCCTGGACTCAAGTAATCCACTTGCCTCAGCCTCCCATAGTGCTGGGATTACAGTAATGAGCCACTGCGCCTGGCCTACATCTTCTTATAATGACTAAGTTTGGAAGTAAGAGAAAAAATTGAAAGCCATTCTGTCTAATAGGTACTGGAAAATGGAAAAAGAAAAAAAGAAAAAAAAACTTAGATAGATAGATTCCAGGGACACAAAACCAGTGTTAGCATAAATAATGACAGCCCAGATTTATTTGTACTTAAAAAGGTATACAGGTAAATAATCTCAATTTAAAGTAGGAATAACACTTGCAAGACAAATTACCAACTACCAAAATAAAGAAAGGAAGAAAGAATGCATCATTGTGCTACTATTTTTTAATATATAGGGTAGCAAATTCAAAATATTTTAAAATGCTACACCACTTACCATTTAATCATTAATAATACACTATGTTAATAAAAATGATATATCTTCATGTGACAATTACAGTTGCAAATCAATACAGAGGTGTTGTCTTGGTGACTCAAATATCACAAAATGTTGTTGCCTTGGGTGGGTATAATATTCCAAAATTGGGAATAAATTTTGGTAAGTTTATAAACCAAATAAAGTATAATCTTTCCTCAATTTACATCATAGTTGCATCCCTCAAACATTTAGTACAAATTAAAACATTGTAAAAACTACATCTTTTTGTACAAGTTAAATTCTGTGTTCTCATAATTATAAACTGAACTTGTACTTCTGTGGATTTCTTGGGAATGCTCAGAGTGACCTAGAACTCAAAGAAATTTTTTGTTATTTGAGACTACCCCATGCAATACAGTTTATCTAGCCCCTTAGTTCTGACTAAATGTCCTTTCTGTTCCTCCTCAGTCCCTAGTATGACCATAACATGTCCCCATAAATATCCATAATCATTTCCCCACCACCCCTAGAAGGTACTGCTTTCATTCAGGACTACAGCTTACAACTCTTTTGTATCAAATTTGTACATCTGATCTAGAGGAATGAAAAAGGTTTTACTACTGAAGGTTGGTATTAGATGAGTCTTATAATCATTTTTCACCATATAAGTTAAGCTCAGAGATAAGATTCATTCAACATGCTTTATTTTTTTAATTTAAAGTTAAAGCTCATTGACAAAAGACTAAGAAACAACTGATAATAAAAAGTGCCTCCTCTCCCTTTTTCTGAAGTGGTTTCTAAAAGAACCACTGCAGGGATGATGATGATGATGATGATGATAGCACTAACATTTACTTAAACAGTTATTTTGTGTCACTACTAAACTATGTGCTGTAAATGCAAGAAAGCTACAAAACAGACCTCCAAACTCACTTGTGGAGCACTTGTGAAGATTAGAGATGATCAATGAGAAATAAACTGGCACATGGTAAATGATTAAAAACAAAAGCTATCATTATTATTAAATCCCAAGCTACCCTGAAGCAGTAACTCAAAAAACCGTGCCTTACCATTATGTCAGTTGTTCAGTAGTTATTTATTTATACCACAGACAATATGTTTCTTAAAATATGCATGCAAATAAGCCCATCAGAGCAAAAGACTTCCTTTAAATTTGCCCCTTTGTGGCAGGTAATAATGACATCGCCTCGCTTGGATGATTAATAACCAGTTGTTATGAGGACTGTGCCTACTGACGCAAATACAGCATTGTATTTGGGCCCTGAGTTATAACATTCATTTCTTTAAGGCTGATTGACTCTGAACAGTCACATTATTTGCTTGTTGAGTTTACGCAAGACGTTTTTCCAAGGGAGGTTTATTTATTTATTTATTTAGTGGCATTTACATGTGTGCCTCTGACTTCGGGGAGAAAAAAATGAAAGCACAATGTAAGTAGTCTAAAAAAAGGGCTAATCAGAATAACCCTGGATGTTTTTTCACCATGTTACCTCTGTACTCATATCACTATAGCCAATTTTTAATTAAAAAGCTTTTATTTTCTTTCAATAGGATAGTAAAAATGTGCAACTGCCTGATAAGTATTTGCTCTTAGTATAGCACACTTTTCAGATATTTTTAAAGAAGTATCAGATAATTAAAACAAAACATATAAAAACATATCAGCTGATATTATTTTCTCAATGCTCAGTATATGAATTAACTGATGGGAATATAGAGAAACAAAACAATTTAGAAGAAAAATAGCTCTTAAGCCATCAAGTTTCAAACATTTCAAACTCACTGGAATTGTGCAATCACTACGAGTTTGTGTGTGTGTTTGTGTGTGTGTGTATGTTTAGGGTAATACACTTTATTGATTCATTAAAAATGTAAGTACAGTAAGCTGGAAAGTATGGCAAGTAAAACAAAAAAAAAACAATTAGAAGATTTCTATGAAAACTTTACAATCTAATAAAATTGAATCCTTTTTTTTTGTTGTTGTTCTCTCCCCAGGCAATTATTTTGCTCTGTTCACATGTCTTCACAAAATACTTTCAATTTTATTTTTCCACCCTCAGATAAACAGATTCCTTTTGTTCGGCAGATGAGAAACGTACCAGCTGTTAGTACTACTATATCCATCCATTTACTAATATTTAATGAGAAAAAATTTAACTCCATTTTCAGCCTTTCTTTCCCTCTGCTCATTAAAGAGAAGCCTGCCCTCCTGGAAAGCCCTTACTTGTCAGCCCAGTTCTTGAATTATTTTTAAACAGAAAGTTAGGAGAAAATAATACAGTGATGAGGATAAGAAAGTGAAAGTGCTGCAATTTTTTTTTCTTTTAATTTTTTTTCTTGAGAAATGACAGGGAACAGCTTTGGAGTGTGTGCAGGTAACAGATGGAAGACAAAAAGAGGGATTTTAAGATTTGTTGCTGGGGCACATGTCTCTCTAATCAAGAAATCAAGTAAAGAACTGAGTTATTTTATGGTATTATTGTATTGCATGGCATGTATTCTTTCAACCCTGATGCCTCTCTGGGACTGGCCCACACTGGCCATGTTCTCCATGAGTTATTTATGGTACTTTACCATTTTTAGAGTGTATATAAATGCTTTACCTTATTTGAACCTCTGAAAACCACAGGGTAGGCAGGAAAGATATTATACCCACATTTTACATATGACTAAACCAAAAAAAAAAATGAAAGCGGGACAAGAATTCAGACTTTCTACCATAGAATTTGGTGGTCCTTCTATCAGCTATACATTGACATATCATATTTTTATACTTAATTTATTGTGCATTTGCTTCAGGGCTATATCTTTACACATCCAAACATCTAAATAACCTGTAGAAAATAAAATCAGTGATTTATGTGTTTACAATTATCCGAATATTTGGTATTCATATATAACAGAGAAATAATTAACTGCCCATTTCACTTTTCACCTAACAATCTATACCTTCTGTACTCTTAGAAGTAACAGCACTGCTCAAGAATCACTACGGTTGGGGGCAAGGTGAGGGGCTCTGAATCCCATTTGGAAGCTTTCTTCAGAAATATTGCTTCTTGTGCAGAAGTCATGGGTCAGGTTTTCTGTTTGGTTGATGACCTGTCTATACCTACATTTACACACACAAACATGTCATTCATTTGCATTTAACTTGTCAGTCTAAAACTTGCTTATTTGGCCAGGTGCAGTAGCGAGCACCTATAATCTAAGCACTTTGGGAAACTGAAGTAGGAGGATTGCTTGAGGCCAGGAGTTCAAGACCAAACTGGGCAATACGGTAAGATCTCACCTCTACAAAAAATTAAATATATATATGCATGATGGTGCATGCCTGTAGTCCCAGCCACTAGGGAGGCTGAGGCAGGACTGATTAAGCCCAGGAGTTCAAAGCTTCAATGAGCTATAATGGCACCACTGCACTCTAACCTGTGTGACAAAATAAGACCCTGTCTGAAAAAAAAAAATCATTTTTAAGATTAAGAATAAAAAAATTTGGATCCAGAGAACTAGGACTTCATTCTTCTTCTGTACATTATGAGCTACCTGAAAACTGGTGATGAATATGCTTCCTTTATCTCTACATTCTCTATTTGTAAAATGGGGATAATAAGAGCACCCACCTCATAAGGGCACTGTCAAATGGGCTAATACACATGAGTACTTAGAACAACATATAGTATGCACTCAACAATGTTAACTTTTTAACATTATTAAGTTTTATTATGTTACAGTTGCTAGTGCTTGCTAAAATAGTGCTGACACATGGTAGTCACAAAATAAGTGTTATTGTGGTATATGTTAAATGAATCTCAGTTTTGCCAATGTGTGATCTTGGAAGAAGTTACTTCACCAGAAAAATAAGAATATAAAACCCACAATAATGACAGCTGCCTGACAAGGCTATCGTGAGGAACAAATGGAATAATATGTCAGAAATGCTTTATAAATTATAAGGTGTGAAATAAATGCTAATTACCATGTTTGTTCTCTAACTTTATCCTCACAAATAGGCTGTTCTGTAGATGCAATTATCCTCATTTTATAGAGGAGGCAACAGGCTTAAAGAGGATTATATAACTCGCTCAAGGTCATTTAGATGGTTTGGAGGAAAACACAGATCAAAAATTTGGTCTTTTTCTGGCCCTTTAACTCCAGTACCTTCTTTACTATCTCTGTTCCATACAGAGATATGATCTCCCTACAATGTTATTTCTGAGTATTCTTATGCTTTTTTTTTTCACAAATGCCATTTGAAAATGTTGATGAAAATATACTTTACATTTTATGGATATTTTGCCATCGCCAAGAAATTTAAAAAAGAGAATGTGGCAGCAATCCCATGGCAGCAACTAACAAGTTGAATCAATCCAACATCCTCTGAACAGGATTTCATCTTTAGTTTTAGGTTCGGTATATTAAAAGCAAGCATCTTAAAATTCCACCTGAGATTAACCTTCAGCATCTGATTTTTAAAGTTTTGAGGGTGTGGTTGTCAAAAAAATGAATTACTGAGGTTCTGGGTGATTTCATAGGGATTTTTCATAAAAACCAAAGAGTCATAAGATCTTCCTAGAGAGGCCAGCCCCCAACCTGCCAGTGTGCTGATCCCCAAAGACAAGCTGTCACTTTGCAAAGGATTCATACTAACTCTTGCTTAATCAGGCAGATGGCATCCTTGTTCTGCCTCCTAGTCTCTGCTTCCATTTGTCTCCTAGACATCAAATACTGAGTCTATAGTTCAGAATCTTCTTCTGCCTGTGTTCCCTAGTCAACCTGGAATTCCCTGACACTGACTGACTGACACCTTTACATCCATTGTGCTATAATATTCTAACACTTCGCTGATCTTTGCTGCACCCTCTGCATCCATGGTATCGCTACACACATCCCTTTTTTCCCCGACTGAGTTACCTATATTTGTTCCTCCTCTGCTCTTTTATAATAAGTATTGGTAAACTGTTTCTTCCAATAGAAACACAATGTACCAAACTATACAGTAAGTATTTTCCTTGCCCTATTGAAAACCGACAACCCACTCTCAAGTGAGACAAACGTACATGTGTCATCAGTGTGTGCTGCTCCGCCATAATTGTTCGCCATCTCATCTAGATGCCTCCAGACTGTCAATGAAATCTGAACATGTGGGTCCAAAATGGAATCTAATACTCAAGCTGTGGCCTATCCAGTACAACATGTAGCGAGACAATAATATCTCAGGATCTGAATACACCCCTTCTGTTAAAATGCAGCCTAGGATTACACTAGCTTTGTTCACAGCCACGTAACACCACTGACTCACATGAAGACTGAAGACAACACAACCCCCCACATCTTGTTCACAAAAACTGGTAGCATGCCAGGTCTTCCATATCTTTACAGGACACTTGGTATTTTTCAAAAACTTAAATTCAGTCCTTCATATTTCTCCCCACTGAATCTTAAACCTTTGGTTTAGGTCAAGTGTTTCAGCCTGTTAACAACATGTTGAATTTTTAATCTATCATGCACATTTACATATTCCTCCCAACTTTTTGTGATCTGTAGCTCTGATTAAGCAGTTATCTTGTTGCTTCTTTTAATCATTGATAAAAACGTTAAAGATACTAAGGATAAATCCCTAACACTTTTTCTAAGGACCACTCATGGTTTGATGGTGAACCAGTTATCAAAACTTTTTGTGGATGTCTAACTACAGAAAATTCATTTCAACATCTAGGCCATAGGCTCCCTTTTTATTTACAATAATATCATAAAAGATTTTCCCAACGCTTTTGCAAAAATTAAATTTTTAAACAAAGTTATTTCTTTAGTAACCCTACCAAAAATAAAAATAAATTCATTTCAACATGGAGTTTTAATGAACCTATTTTAGTTTCTTCTGAACCCCTAAGTCTTTCAGTTATCTGTTTAATGTTTTGTATGTAAATTTTATTGGGAGGAACTGGGATTTACCACTTTTTATTTACAAGAATTGGGATTTACTGATTTTATTTAAAAAAACAGAATTATCTTCCTCTTATTAAAATTGATAAATATTTTCAATTACTGTGTTTTTTAAAAACTTTTAAGTTCAAGTGGTACAAGTGTAGGTTTGTTACACAGGTAAACTTGTGTCATGGGGGTTTGTTGTACAGATTATTTGAAAACCCAGGTTAAGCCTAGTACCCGTTAGTCATTTTTTTCTGATCCTCTCTTTCCTCCCGCCCAATATGTGTTGTTCCCCTCTATGTGCCTGACTTCAAACCATACTACAGGGTGACAGTAACCAAAACAACATGGTACTGGTACAAAAATAGACATAAAGACCAATAAAACAGAATAGAGAACCCAGAAATAAGACCACACACCCACAACCATCTGCCCTTTGACAAACCTGACAAAAACAGCAGTGAGAAAATAATTCCTTACTCAATCAATTGTGCTGGGATAACTGGCTAGCTGTATGCAGGAGATTGAAACTGGACCCCTTTCTTTCACCATACAAAGAAACTAACTCAAGATGGATTAAAGACTTAAATGTAAAACCCCAAACTATAAAAACTTTAGGAGACGACCTAGGCAATAACATTAAGGACACAGGCTGGGGCAAAGATATAATGACAAAGATGCCAAAAGAATTGCAACAAAAGCAAAAATTGACAAATGGGATCTAATTAAACTAAAGAGCTTCTGCAAGGCAAAAGAAACTGTCAACAGAGTAAAGAGACAACCTACAGAATAGGAGAAAATTTTTGCAAACTATTATTGCATTTCTTACCACTTTCACCTCGTCATCATCTGAGCTGGTTGTTTCTAGTGTGTCTGCAACCTCAGTGTTCAGGGATATGAAAACCATTAGCGGAATACATAAAGCATTAAGTTGGAAACAAGTATCAGCACAGAATCTCTCTTGTTAACATGCATGAACTTCAAGAATTCCACTCTAAGAGAAAATGAATAGATTTAGCATTGCTAATGTTAAGAGTTCTGTCTGTTTTTCATCCACCAGTTGTCTGTGGATGTTTTACTGTACTCCAGTCAAATCTTAGTTGTTTAAATAATGCTTATTGGGTTGTGGATTAGCCAGCTCTAATGTCCTGTCCATCTATGTCTATCAGCCATTTCAATACTTGTTAGTACCAATACCATGGAGTACGCAGGGAGCAACATTCTGGCAAGTAAACTGGATTTTCTTTAGCAGATCTTGTAAATGTCTTTCCAGTTAAATTGTTGAGCCATTGGCCAGAGCCAATTGAGGAATCATCTGTGGTTGGGCCTGACAGCCAATTCTGAGAGCAGAACACCATGAAAAAGAATTTCCTATGACCACTGCTGGTGTAGAAAAGAAAAAAAACCAAAAAAATAAAAAAACTGCTTAAATACACTGAAGACATAATTCAAAATTTATTCTTTGTTTTTAATATCTTTGTAATATTTCTGTAAAGATAAAGATCTATAAAATAAAGACCACAGAAGATGGAGAGAAGTTGAGATAACTGTAAAATCTTATCTGTTGCTGTTAGTCTTAGCAAACACAATACAGGGAGACATGGCATTTTAATAGCTTCACATGTGTAAATTCTAGATGATCTAGGCAACAGATTCAACACACAATACCAGTTAAAATTAAGGAAAAAGGTCTCATTTCTGTACGCTTGTTGGTGAGTCATTCATTGCGTGGGCAGGAGTGATCACCCTTACAGAATTTCTTCTAGAACCATAACCTCAGTTGGTGAGTTCTGAGAGCTCAGACATTTTTCTAGAAACTAAACAGGGTACAGGACACCAGAACCCTAGGGAATCAATTTACATTTCCAACTTTTCTTCCAGCACCCACACCACCTTCTCCCCAACTTCTTATATAGCAAAGGCTCTCTGGTGCCTCTTTTCTCTTTTCCCCTTCATCTTGCCTCAGACTTGTGTGTTGGCCTCACTTTCCTAGTGTTGTTTTAAAGTGACTTTGCTTTTTCTCATGTAATTGACAGGCTAAACTATCCTTGCGTCTAACAAAACATCCTGGAAAAAACTGCATTTCTTAGATATCTTATTCTTATCAGAATGACTTGAGCTTTCTGCCAAAACTACATTTAACTTGAATAATGAATTATAAAATATGTTAAATTGACAAATGACACTAATTCAATAAATATATTACAAAAAAGCAAAGAAAGCCTCTACTGTATTCTTGAGTCAGTATCTCATGAAACTAATACCAACTCCAGTATTTTACAATTTACAAAGCACTTTCATACCTGTATTCTTACTTATCAGCATTACTAATACTGTATTACTATTATCATTTCCATTTTACAAATAAGGAAATTGAAGGTTTATTGAAGTAACTGGAGACACTGAGAAAGTAAACCCCAAAGCTCATGAAGCCAAGGTCAGTGCATTTTATTTAGCATGACTTAGTACACTAGTTGCTATTTGAAGGTACCCCTAGACATTCATTTCTATAAAGACCACCTACATTTCATTTTCTGACTCGGGGTACCTAAGAGGCTGTCTCTCTTACTTTCAGAAAGGTTTTGCTACATGGGGACAAAAACTAGAAGGGATCTTTTCTAGCAAAATAATGCCTAAGGTTCAAGGATTTCTTAGTATGATATTGGTGGTCCCTGGCCCAGCCCCTGGAATGATCCCTGTGTGCATTCATTTCAGGTGTTCACAGGAAAGTCTAGATTTAGTACAGGCTCACATTTTCCTTTCAGTGTAGGGGTTAAGATTTTGATAAAGTAGAAGCAAATTGCTCAAGTTAAATCCCTTCATTGTTGCCTTTCAAATATACATTACAGCTTCAGAAATAGGGTGGACTTTAGGTAAGAAGGGGGAGAAAATGGTGTTAGGCAGAGGCCAGGGGCAGTCCTGTTGACTCTCATGGATCTGACAGGGAAAATCAGTAGTTTCTCATTGTGAACATAGGCTTTGATGTCTAGCAAAGCTTGACTACAATGTTACCAAGGCTCAGGGACCTCACTCTTAAAACACAGAAGATGTTAGTGTCTTCTACCTCTTAGGGTTTTTGTGAGGACCGAATAGGCTAATGAAGGTAAAGCACAATACATAGTCAACTTGCACATAGTGAATGCTCAATAAATCCTAGCTCTTGCTATTATGAGATTTTATCTGATTTTGGAGATAGAACAGAGACACATATGTTTAAAGAGGAAACAAGAGAGAACAAAGGTTTAAACTGTCTTTGAGATGGGATGTGCAAAATTGTCTCCCAGCAGAAAGAGTTGATCATATCCTCTGGAAACCCGATCTCTGGCAGGCAGATTCTGAGGCTGTGACATCACTGATTCTTGTTGCTGTGGCAGCAGCCCTGCAGCCAGACAATACGGTTTTACAACAGAACCAGGTCCCCAGTTGGTCTCCTGGGCCAGGCACTGAGACAAAAAACCAGGACTATATTCGTACATGGAACTGGGATGTAACATCCTACCCATGACTTAATTTATAAGCATTGTTTATTCTCTTTGGAGCAAATGAAATGCTTTTCCAAGGGACAGCTGCAAAGGCCAAGGATTTGAAAAGAAGAAAATTATGATAAACCCCTCTTAATGCAGGAAAGATTAGATAGCTTGCTACCAGAAATCAAGAAATATTTATAATAATCACATTCAACCCTAGACTTTCCTCTAAGAATCTAAACAGAAAACTTTAATCCTCCAGAATGTAAACTGATGCCATGGCTATATATGGTCACAGAAATCCTAAGGGGAAGAAAAAGAAAAGAAGAGGGGGAGAAAAAATAAACACCCAGTTGCTGTGTCTCTTAAATTGGTGTATGTGTGTTCTACCACAGAGATCTGTTAACCTTGGCAAAATTTACAAGTAAGAAGCATTAATCAACTTTACACAAGTACACGTGACACTTTCCTTTTTAAGTGGAAGCCACAAACTCCTCTCCCTTTGGGAAATCTCACTGTCATGCTGAGGATTTTTCTTCATAGATAATACTACCATGGCAAACATCAAAAACAACTGGATTCCATATTCTGTGGGCTTGACCGCCCCATGAAGGCAAGCAATATTAACTTTTCTTGTGGTTGACTTCTTTTCTTTTTTTCTCCTTTCTCTACTTCTTTTGGCCTTTAGGCTAGAAAGACTGTTTCTTGAAAGTATTCAACTATTCTTGGAAATTGCAACATTTTCCTGCATTCTTTCTATGTTGAAGACACTTCCAGACTAAGTTTGGGTTCTAGGGAATCTTGCAGAAGATACTTCCTCCCCTGTAGTTAATAAGCCATCGCTTATACCACGGTATTTTGTTGTTTGACTCACGTCTCCAGTGTAACAGTGGAAAGTCATTATCTCTGGCTTTGGTGTTAACATAGGGAGGGATAGCAAATTGCCTCACTCTACTAGTGAATGAATAGAAGAGAAATCCTTGATGGTTTATCAAGAGAGGTATTATGGGAACACAAAGGAAAAAAATAAATTCTTACAAAATACCAACAGCAGCCTTGCAATCCCCGTCAAAATGTACCCAACCAACTTAAGGGGGAAAAAAAAATTCAAACTATGTCCTAGCCATAAATTGAAGAAAGAAGTCCAGAAATGTTAAAAATGTTTATAATCATCAAAATTAGTATTTTTTGCCTTGAAGGATGTCTCTTTAAAAGGCTATTCTTACCAGGTTTTGTGTTGTAATATTAAAAGTGGCTTACAAAAGAGTGAATGTCAATTGCAAAATTAAATTTATCTCTGGGTATGTGATTCTATCTCTTTACTAATATACAAAGCTGTCTTGAATGATTTACACCTACTTTCCACCCACAGGTCCTCTGCCAGGGTCAATCTCAGCAGAAACATGACTCTTCAAAAATAGATCATCACAGTTGTGATTAAATCTCCCATGTTCAAAATTTACAGCCTATAATTCAATGCCGATATGAATAATGACTTAAATAAAAAGTTACAGTCACCCTCTTTCCCCTTCCCCCTAAAATGACCCCAAGACTAATTTACAGTTGTGGGAGGTGGGGACTAAGAGCTCTTGAGTATCTATTTTAAGCTAGGCATTTTTCAAGTTTTTTTACTTACATAACCCTATTTAGCCTGCCGAACAATCCAGTGGAATAGTACTAATTTATCTAATTTACACATAAGGAAATGAAGGCTGAGAGAACTTGAGTAACTTAGCCAAATAGTACAGTTGGATCCGAGGCTCAGAATTCCCACTTTTTCCTTCCTACAAACAAACAGTAGATAAACAAAATATTCATGTAAGGCTTAATGGCAGGTGGCATGAGAGTACTGAATTTCATTGTATGTATCTGCACCCTCCATTCCCCCATCTTTTGCCATTTGTGCTCCATATTCCCTGACAGTGCACCAAAAACAATAGGTTTAGGTATTCTCTTTCAGATATCTTCCAAACAAGTGTGCATAAAATGGACTAGAAGGCAACTTGATAGAGCAAATAAATTCACGTGCTCTTCTCAAGAAATCTGAGAAGAGGTATCAGATACACTCCTTGCCTGACCCAGTGTGAAACACAGGACGCAGTGAGGTAAAGTTTGGACTTTTCCATCCTCAGAGCACACACAAATCCACTGAGGATTAAAACCACACAACCAGGAAAAAATGTTAAGTTACAGAAAGAGCTCTTTAAAGCCAAAAGTCATACAGCTCATGAGAAGAGAGAAGTCACTTTGTGCTCAGGTGAACAGGAAAACTTTAAAGAAAAGATGGAATAAGGCCAGGCACAGCGGCTCATCTCTGTAATCACAGCACTTTGGAAGGCCAAGGCAGGTGGGTTCCTTGAGCCCAGGAGTTCCAGACCAGCCCGGGAAATATGGGGAGACCCTGTCTCTGTATTTATATATATATTTATATTAAAAACAAAAACAAAAACAAAATTTAAAAAAGAAAAGATGAAATGAATAAAAATAATTTATATATGGAAAGGACTTAAGGCTATTCAGGTGTGTGTGTATATATATATGTATGTATTTGGAATTATAAACTGTACATTTTGCATAGGGGTGACTTGATTACAGCAAGGGAAATTAACCTGCCCCTGAATAGGCCTGTAAAGGAAAGAACTAGGTAAAGAAACCATTTAGTAAGTTATTACCCAAATCCAGCTTTGTTGGTGATAAAGTGAACCAAGGTGATGGTGGCAGACAGAATAAGAACAATAACTTTCCCAGCCTGGCCTGACACACATTCAGGCCTGATACACACACAGGCTGTATCAGCCTGGCCTGATACAGCCTCTAAAAGATTATTCTAGAGGCTGATCCCACATGGTGATAATAAACCATTTCAACTGCTTTGTGAATGACCAAAGATGACATATGTTTAAGGACTTTTTTTAAGAATTGAGACACTGAAAATACAGACTAGCCATTTTTAAAAGTACTCGTCAATATCCACTAAAAAGGAGCCCCTTATATTTTCATCTTCCTTATTTACCAAAGCTAGCTTCATCAGTATAAACTAGAAAGGTAATTCCAGAGTAATAAATCTTCCATGGAGAGCTCTCTACCTCTGGCTGCTTGATAATGAATTTAATCAGTCGGGAGAACAGCCCTGTCATTATGGATTAATCACCAAAGACTGTTTTGGTAAGTTGATGCTGTGTTTGCAGCTGATGGTGGTCACAAGACACACTTGATATTTTTAAGAAATTTAGAGATTGAAGGAATGCTCAGTTAATTAACAACCACAAAACACAACAAACAAAAAATAGAAACCCTAAGAACAGCATAAACACAGATATTAGTACCTTTGGCTTTGATGAATTCAAGACAGAATTGACTCAAAATATTGGTAATATTTATCTTCCTGTTGGTTTGTTTGGTTTATTTTCCAATCCAATTAGGGAATTTTAAGCCAGTGGATTCTGGAGCAGGGTGAATTTTCCTAACAAACTTACTTACAATATATCCAATTAGTAAAGTGCAGCTCATTTTAAAAAATAAGCATTTTAATTGGATAGTTTTATTAGAAGAATTTTATGTTTCCTTTTCAACATGGTATCAAATACCATAAAGTCCTCATTAAACTTTCATGTATATGACTCCAGGATCATTACCACAGATAGAATTAAGTAAAGTTGGCTAAGAGTGGTCTAGTCAATTATTCTCCTAAAAGATATTAAGGATTTCAGATGAGTTAAGACCCACTCCCAAAGAAACTGAAACAAGTTAATCACTTGACAACTATATCAAGTTATATGCTTAGGCTGGGAGTGGTGGCTCACACCTGTAATCCCAGCACTTTGGAAGGTCAAGGCAGGCAGATTGCTTGAGCTCGAAAGTTGAAGACCAGCCCAGGCAACACAGGGAAACCCTGCCTCTATAAAAATACAAAAATTAGCTGGGCGCAGTGGTGCACACCTGTAGTTTCAGCTACTCAGAGGCTGACATGGGAGAGTCGCTTGAGCTTAGGAGGCAGAGGCTACAGTGAGCTGAGACAGCACCACTACACTCCAGCTTGGGTGACAGAGCAAGACCCTGTCTCAAAATAAATAAATAAATAAATAAAAAGTTGTAATTTGTAGGTTGACTTTTTCAACAGTATATTTAGAATGCTGAATGAAGAGGTAGACTCTCAAACCTAAAATTTTCTTCTAGAATATATTTTTTTCCAACATCTTTGTCATTCCTCTTAAGTTTCACTGATTGCAATATAAGTTTGTGACTTAACTGTTAACCTATCAGTCTAGTATTTGTGGCCAACCTTAAGCATCTAACAATGTACAATTTACATTGTACCTCAACGGTTTCTGTCTCAGATAAGCTAACCTAAGCCAATTTTGCTTGTCAATATTTTGGTAAATAATCATGGTCACCTGGGATTAGAGATAGACAGTAGCTATGGTTTGTTCGCCTACAATTTCACTATCAAACGTTCTGTTCTATAAAAGCAAGTCTCAGACTAAATTCTGCTGAACCTTCCACATTTGTTTACAAACAGGCACAAAATAGACATTGTAAATCTGAGGAGGTCTCACTCTCTGTTGTCAGTCACTCTGACATTTACCTCATAAGCAATGTTCATGCATTTCAGTCAAGTTCAAAAGTGGCGAAAGGAAAAGAAAGGAAAAGGGAAAGGGAAAAGGAAAAGGAAAGGAAAGTTCACGCTGTGGCAGATGCAACCAACAAACAACAGGACCAGGCAACCATGGAGTCACTTAGCCAGTGGAGGCCCCAGTGAAATGGGAGACAAGGACCGATGATGCTTTGACTCTGTGTACTAACTGCCTCAAAAGTATTGAGCAGCTGGGCTAGCAGATTCTATATGTCCTTAATGCAGGAGGAGTAGGGCTTATAAAATCTCTCCTGTCAACTAAATAATCTGAATACTTGTAATTTCCAAAATGGAAACTTATTCCATATGTCTATTATAATTACCATGCCCTCTATTATGCAATAGGTAGAATTCTAAGATGACCCCCATGAACCATGACCAGGTATATAATTCTCTTCTCTTGAGTGGGAACAATACATACAACTTGCTTCTTATGAATAGAATATGGCAAAGGTGAGGGGATGTCACTCCTAAGACTGGGCTATTTTGTATGGCAAAAGTGAAGAAAGTGTGCATATGTAATTAAGGTCCTTAATTATTTGACTTTAAGTTACTCAAGGAAGAGTTTATCCCGAGTGAGCCTAGCCTAATCAGGTAACCCATTAAGAAGAGGGTCCAGGGCTTCACTGAAAGAAGAAACTCAAAGACATTCTCCAGTTGGCTTTGAATAAGCAAGCCACCATGAAGTCTATGGATTCGAGAAAGTGAATTTTGCCAAAAACCACATGAGTTTTGAAGAGGACCCCAAGCATCACATAAGACCCCAGCCTTGGCCAATACCTTGAGTGCAGGCTTGTGAGACCCTGAGCAGGGAGCCCAGTTAAACACTGCATGGTCTTCTAATCCATGGAAACTGAGATAACAAACGTATGTTGTTTTAAGCCACTATATTTCTGGTAATTTGCCATGCACCAACAAAAAGCTAATATAAAAATATTTGAAGTGCTTGAAGTCTCACTTCTGAATTGTGTGCTTCAGATGCCAACTCACAGCCCTAGAGCAGAGCTCAAAGTGAATCTACACACACATGCACCACCTGTTTTTTTCTCAAGTAATTTAAAATAGATTTCCACCATAGATAATAAAAAACTCTGGTCCACATACCTGGTCTTAGTCTCTAGATACGACATCACCGAGTATGAGTGGGAGCTGGAAGCACTGCAGATATTGTTTAGTCTTCTCCTGCCTCTCCAATCAGGTCTACTTCTACTACCTTCTCCCTGTTATAGATGACAAAGTAGAGCCCTACAAAGTTTCTGTGGCTTCCTCAAGGCCATTCAGTTGCAGAATAAGACTGAAATCTTGTGTCCTATGGTCATCAATTCAAAATGTTTTTATTTCACCCTGTTGTAATGAAGTCTTCTTATTGTCTTATAATTTCTACCACAAACTCCAACTTCATTTCACAGGTTTTAAAGAAAATTATCCTGTACTCTTTGTCATCCATTCATTCATTCATCAAATATGTATTAATAACCTGCTGTATGCAATGCGTTGTTCTAGGAGCTGGTGATAAATCAGTGAACAGAACAGATAAAAATCTATGCCTTTATAGAGTTTAAATTCTGGTGAAAGGGAAATAAGAAATAAGAAAAACCACTGAAATGCCTAGTATATTTCATATTGATAAGTGCTCAGGGGGAAACAGTATATGGAAGGACATGGGAGCTGCAATTTCCTGGATTTCAGGAAGATCTCTTGCAGAAAAGTGCCATCTGAGTAACAGCCTGAAGACAAGAAGGGAGTGAGTTAAGCAGGTATGTGGAAGAAAATTGTTCCAGGCAGAAGGATGAAGAAATGCAAAGGTTATGTGTGAGTAGAAACCTTGGAGTACAAGACCTAGAAAAACTGAAGGAAGCCCAGATGGCTGAAGTAGAGTATGTGATGGGGAGAATGGGTCTGACAGGTAACAGGAGGCCAGGCTTTGTGGAGTTTTTACTCTCAGTGAAGTGCGAAGCTAGTGGAGAGTTTTGAGCAGAGGAGTGTCTGGGAAAATCAGCATTATTTCTTGGGAGTTTCAAACTAGAACCAAGTCAGAGTGTTCATATAGCTGATAACAGTTTGTACCTTTCCTGTGGAAGAGAAAGCTGCCCGTCATCTGCAGAGAAAGAGGAATGAGTCAGACACATGGAGAGAAGTAGAGGTCAGAAGCCAGAAAGAATTCAGCCAGGTATCACACACATGCTCCTGTTCCTGTTAAATTCCTATTTTGGCCCAGCGAACTCACTTCTCTCTTTAAAATGGCCTTGCCCCTCATTTTGCTGAGGTTGAGCTCAATGCCACCTCCTAGAGAGGTCTTCTTTGACCATATTCTAAAGTAGCAGTATCAAACACTCTATCTCCTTCTCCTGCCTAAGTTGTATTCATGCTAGGCATTTATCACCACTTTACAATGCACTATTTATTTGTTCACTGTTTTGTTCCCAGACTGGAATGTTCACCCCATGAGGGCAGGCTCTTTGTCCATCTTTGTCACTGTTTTACCGCCAGTTTCCAGAATAGCATCTGGCTCATAATAGATGCCATTTTAATAATTTTTTAGTGAATAAATGCAAATACCTAAAATCCCCATGGTTATTTACTCCACTTGGAAAGCTTGTTAAAACATGAATTACTGGACCCTCTCTTGAGAATTTCTGATTCCGTTTTGAGGTGGTGCTTAATCATTTGAATCTCTAAGCTTCCAGGTCATGTCCTTGCTACTGATCCATGGACCACACTTTGAAAACTACTGTTCTATACCTCGCTAGTTTCTGTTACAATTAAGAAGTTTTAGCTAATGTAGATGACTTGAATTCTTTTTTCTTCAATTTTTCATATGATTTTTGTTTTCTTCCTTCAACCATAATAAGATGATACTTAAATTTTGTCTTAACCAGGAGATCTATAAATACAGGCTTATCCATCCCACTTATAAGCATGGCAAATGGTGCTTCTCAAAAGTGTCCCCCATGAACCCTCTGGTCACCTAACCGAAGTCGCCCCCTTGCCTGTCCTTAGCTTGACTATGTTGTGCAGCCATTTCACTGAATCTCATTCCAGACTAATGTTTCCATAGCCTTCATGATTTTGCCTTTTTTTTTTTCCCTGCAGAGAATGTGTCTGTTTACCGCATCACCATCACCTTTGGGACCCTGTGCCTTTATGTCAGCACTGGTGCTCTAAGAGGCTTCTTCTTTGCTCATTTTCCCAGAGCCACATTTTCCTTGGGGCAGCATCTTCAAAACTTGCCACTGAAGTCTCCTGAAGTCTTTCTAAATATCTATTAAAGTTCTCAGGCTAAACTTAATGTAAAACATATACTCACAGTAAAAACTTAATGGCTCACTCAAATATTTTGCCAATATGGAGCCATTAGGAAAGAGCTCTAGTAGGTCTCATACTGTTAGAGATGTGAAAATTAATAAAATACTTTAAGTCTTATTTATGTCACTTGATACCACATGTCAGCACATTTTCTGACATTATATCATAATGTCTACAATGAAAATCATGGAAAATTTTGGCTTACTACATTTAGCTTGATCAGTGCTTTGTAGTTTACAAAGCACTGTTTGTTGTTCTATCTCAATAGCAATGCCAAGAGGTAAACCGAACAAGTATCCTTGTACTCATTTTCCATATGATAAAGCTGATGCTTGAAGAGGTCAAGGGCTTGACCCCAGGCCATGCTGATAGACAGCAAGAGTCACACTCATATATATGCCAAGCATGCAAGGCCCTTGCCTTCACAGTCTATTTACAAAACAGCCTGGAAGAATAATAAATCAATCCTAAGAATTGCTATGAAATGCCTTTAGCATAGGCATTAATGTGCAATGGATGTACAGCCTATTCAATTTCTTCATGAATCTCTATAGTCTTCACAAGGAACTTTCACTAGAAAAAAAGACAAACTTATCTGTTTTATCTCATTTTTTTTTAACACCAAGGACTATGAGACAGATGCAAAATCATTTTTGATTTGTTGGTTGAGGATTGACTGAAATCATTACTAATTATTCGGCACAAGTGGGTTCCACCAGCTGCACTTGAAGAACACTTCAACATCCTAAAGCAAAATAAAGTAGCTTACGGCAAGTGATGAGTGCCTTAATTATGTTATTGCTACACTTACTGCGATTTCAAAGATTAAACTTAATAGAATTTCCTGAGCAATGATGGTCCACACTGGATCTGAGGGGGCTTTTCACAAAGGAAAAGGAGAAAATACTTACTAACCTGGCTACAGCTAGATCTGGCCTCCCTACTAAAATGAGGGTTACCAGGTGTCCTACTTCTTCAGGGAATGTGCTACTTTTCAACAAATCACCCTGCGTATGGGATCCAAAGTAGGGCAGTAAAAATGTCTGGCTTTCTGTGACATGCCAGATTCTTCTCCTCTCTCTGACTCACTGATTTTCCACACCTTTCAGTGTCCGAGTTTGAAGTTTTTCTTAGACTGAAGAAACTTAGGATTGGTCAATTCCCCAAACCTCTTCATTTCCTATAGCAGAATGTGATTAAAGAAAAATTTCCACCAACCAGGCAAGCCAAATTTTCTAGATTGTATATCCACAACAACAACCTCAGCTGGTTGCTCCAAACATCAAAATCGGGGGTTGGCTGCACTCGGCAATACCACCAGCCCTGCTTGAAATGGTTTACTGCATGATGAATGCTGAACTGTCACCTCTTCCAGGGAGCCTTTCCCAATCCACTACATGCTCCACCCACCCACCCACATGCTTGGCTGAAATTAACTTTTCCATTTCCCTGTCCTTCCACAACACTCCTTATATACTTCTCTTAAAGTAAGTATAACAAGATTCCTAGTATCTTAGAGATTCCTGTGGGACAAACTTCACAACTCCTTTCTCTTCTCACATCTCTCCATGAGTTTATGAACCTTCAATTCATATCTCCAGAACAGGTTTCTTTCTCTTCACTTCGTCAAAATTTTATTCATCTCACAGAATTCAGGTCAAATGTCTTTTACCTGGCCCCATTCTTCCCATCTCCATAAAGTTAGTCAAAACTTCCTTCATGATCTCTGATAACTATGAAATGGACCCAGCTGTCCTATAGAACAGATGTTTATGGTTTCTTTTAAATAAACATAGAAGTTGACTCTCCCAGTCTTAAAACTTGAGAAAGTTACATTTGTCTTATCTGAGTTCCTTTTTCAGGAAACCAACCATTGGGCCTCCTAGATAGTATCAAGGAACTGAAACTTTCCAGATCACCATCTGGACAAAGAGAAGCCACACCCCTCACCTATCATGACTGCCTAACTGACCACCTGCTTCCTGTTCACCAACTCCTCTTCCATACCTCTCCCTAATTCCTGTTCTCCTCATGTACTTACATTTCTTCCCTGCTCTACAAACCCGATTTTAGTCAGTCAGGAGGATGGATTTGAGACTGATCTCCTATCTCCTCGGCTGCAGCACCCAATAAAGCCTTCTTCCCTGACAATAATCATTGTTTCAGTGATTGATTTTCTGTGCAGCAAGCAGTAGGACCTAACCAGAACCCCTGGCATTTCAGTAACACACATTTCTCTACTGTAGCACTAATATTGTAATTAGTTTAATTATTACTTTACATATCTTCTTCACTAGACTGTGAATTCATCCAAAGAGGCCAAGCTTAATGACCTGCCACAGAGTCTAGCATATTATAGCTCAGAAAGGCATAACAGTAGAAGTTCTCCTAACCAATCTCTACTTAATGATGACTTATTGGTGAACTGAACATTCTCTGTAGCACAGTGAGTACATACACCTAGTAGGCGGTCTTCAGGTACATCCAGATGGTAGAACTGCACATTTGCCAAGGGTTAGTATTTTTATTCCGTAACCTGTTTACATCACTTTTGTTACCGTAATTTCCATAATTTGATTAAATATTATTCAAATCAATAAAATATGAGTGTTTTAAAACAGTTATCCCTATAAGAAACAAGCAGAATGCCTTGTAAGTACTAATAAACACTCCGTAAAGACTAGTATTATTTTCTTTTGACTGCCTGATTTGATGTAAAGAAGACAATTATAAAAGACTGGGCAAAATATGTATGAACTCTGCAATTAGATTGCCTTGCAACCATCTAAACTGAAAATCGTATATTATAGGTATGGTTTGAGCAAATAAGAAAACACAAATTTACAACTGGTGGACCTTTGCTTAAAGAAAAGCTTTAATTGTTCTACTAAAATAGAAGTGAGTAAATGTACATTTATATGTTTTAGTTAAAATAGAATGTCTATTTTAAAATTATTTAAAATTCCTACTTTGACATTTTGATTAACTACCAGGAATATAAGAGGGATTCTATTATAATTATGTCTTTCTTGGTTGATTCATTCATTAATTCATCTGAATAAACACTTGATGAATACTATATTTGCTTTTATACTATTTAATACACAACCTGTCTTATGGCATTTATTGTTGACATATAAATGTGGCACATAGTGCTTGGCAAATTAGGTACCCAATGATAAAACACTAAATGAATCTGGACCTATTATCCCTGCTTTGATTTTGTTTTTTAATGATACGTTCTGTTTTGACACATCCTTGTATTCAAAATTGGCAAATTAAAGATTACAGACACGTTGTAGATAATAAACATAAATCATGGAGCAAAGTTTCATGAATTTTTCACATTTTTTTGAAATTTGGAGAGGCTATTGTTTGTATATCTCACTTGTCACTTAGTAACTTTTACATACCGGAACAAATTTGATATATGTTTTTTGTCCTTAGTTGGACAACAAAATAACAAACATTATATTTTAGAATTGCTCTTATCCTTCGCCATGTTTATAAGAAACATTTGACACAGGAACCATCCCAAAGACATTTGGTGACTGTCATTCGCTTCATATTTTGGTAGAGAGCATCACTCAAGTTTAGTAATAAAAATAATAACAATGAGCATATTTGCCATGTGACAGACCTGTGTTAAATAATTATATAAATTATCTCTTTCTAGATTTACAACTATGATAGTACTCACTAGAGAAGTAGGTACTAACAGAGAAAAAAATTAAATCTTAGATAAAAAAATTTGCTCAAGGTCACACCAACTAATTAAGTAATACTTAATACATAAACAAGTATTAAATATTAAGTAGTTGTCACTTAAATCCATTTGATGGATTTTGTCAATTTATTTGGCAAGACACTATTTAACAAAGGTACAGATCCACAGAAGTCACAGACTGTGGTATATGAGATGCATACGTGTGATAGGGAAATTGTCATAATTAATAGCATCTGTAAACATTATCCTTAACAGAAATTTTAGAGATACAATGTAGTCCTATATCCAAGAGTGAACCTTCAGTCATTCACAGATCTGGTAACAGGGCATCTGCGAACTTTACAATTCACTATAAAGTAATAAATGGTAAGCACTGGCCAGGTGCAGTGACTCACACCTGCAATCTCAACATTTTGGGAGGTTGAAATGGGAAGATTGCTTGAGGCCAGGAGTTTTACACCAGCCAAGACAACACAGC
Source organism: Homo sapiens (assembly GCF_000001405.40). NCBI lineage: Eukaryota > Metazoa > Chordata > Mammalia > Primates > Hominidae > Homo > Homo sapiens. Next base: position 40,384,082 of record NC_000002.12, read on the forward strand.
AAGAGCCCATCTCTACAGTTTTTTTTTTTAACAGTTAGACATGGTGGGCCTGTAGTCCCAGCTACTCAGGAGGCTGACACATGAAGATCACATGAATCCCAGGAGTTGGAGACTGCAGTGAGCTAAGAATGTGCCACTGCACTTTAGTCTGGGAGACCGAGCAAGACCCTGTCTCTAAAATAAATAAATAACATTTTAAAAAATGTTAAGAATTATTAAACTGTTATTTATTGTATTAACTAGAAACTTTCTTGATTCACTCTGTATGTTATTGAGCACAGTCTTTTGTAGATTGTTGAAATTTGATGAAAACACAATGAGACAGTCTCAAGCAGAACAGAACCTTGCATCATGAATCATGGGTATAGAAGGCAACATTCTCTAATTATCTTTGAAAGAAGGTACACTATACATCAACATCATCATCATTCAAAAAGAACATAGAAGACAGAACTAAATTCTTCTATAAATAAGAAATGGACTCACTTGGCCATCATTGCACCACCTATTGGTTTCTACTATGCTCATTTCTTCAAGATATTATAGTTGTATTTTGTCATGATCTTTGGTGGAATATTTTATATTTTTTATTTATGTATCAGGGAGGTTTTGTTAAAAAATTTCAAGGACTGGATGAAAGCCTTTCGAAACCAAAAAATATTTAAAAACCTAATTTCTCATTACTTTCACATTTGGGCATTTAAAAATGTATTAGCTTTTACAATTTTTTCCCGGCATTTTATCTTCTATTGCAATTATTGTCTTTTCTGTGGTCAGATGAGTCAAGGCTTTACTTGTGTAGATTAACAACTGTTACTTATAATAGCACTTGTAATTTCACAAGGATTGCATAATCAAGGTCAAATCTCTTTCCTAATGCCTGCCACCACTTCTCCTTAAGTATATAGAGTTCTTCTAAATCTAAGTGATATAGTACTTTCTTATAAAATACATTTCTAAAATAATCATAAATGACATGCCACTATTCAATTCCTATAGTACTCAAAAATTCAACTCTTATAGTACTTTTGATCCTGTAGTGATGAAAAGTTAATTGCAAATAGTACGGTCATTAATTGCTATCACCTTTTTAAGAGCGAGTATGTTCTTAACTGTTTCTGCAAATAGAAGATGCAATAGGAATAATCCTAGTCTCGAGGAGGAAACTCCTTTTTTCTAATCAAGTTTTATAAGGAACAGTTTTTGAGACATACTACTGTAACTCTGGGCTTTTCTCCTTCTCCTTCAGTGATCAGCCACACTTAAAGAAAGTTGTCTTGAATACTGGATTTAAAACATTCATTTATTTTTTCCTACCTTTCTCTTTTAATCTCTCTCAAATCACCATTTTTCAAAGTATCTGTTTTTTGGAAACTGTATCAATTGCTACGAAAAGACAGAAGTATAAATATAGGTGAGGAGATTTATAATAAACACGGGATAATGATAATAATAACATCAATATAATGTAAAAGTTATCATATCAACAAGGAAAAAAATGTACCATGAGGAGCAACATAAAACAAAGTTTAAACTTTGGCAGGCTGAAGCCAAGGAAACTTTTGAACACTTAATATACCATCTTTCAAATGTCTTTCTGGAGAGCAGTTTGCTAAAGTGTACTAAAAAAAGTTTTAAACTTCATGCTTTTTGATTCAGTAAATCCCCTTAAAGGAATCTATTTTAAAACAGAAGCTTGGCAAATATAAGTGTAAAATATGTAATGACAATGGTTTTTAAAATTAAAATAGTCCTGGAAATTATAAAATGTCCAAATAAAAAAAAGTACACAAAATGATAATCCACTTGATGATAGAATATTATTCCACCACTACAAAGATTTGAGAGGTAGAAAGAACATTCACAAAAATGTAAACCTTCTGAATTATAATAGGTGATTTTCATTTTTATCTTTATAAATTTTTAAATTCTCCGAGTTTTCTTTATTGAACTGGTATTGCTTTTGAGCTCCAAATAAATGCTACTATGTGTTTTAAAAGAATATCTGATAGCATGGAGTATGCTTACAATACAATCAAGATATAAAGTATAATTTTAATTTTGAAATATAAGTTTACATATGCCCACGGACAAAAACAAAAAGGACTGTTAGGAAATACGTGGAAATCTTAAATGACTACCTGTTATTAATACAGCTGGAGATAATTTATATTATTTTATTTTAGTTTAGATATTTTCCAGAATTTTATAATGAGTCTATTTTACTTTCAAATGGTAAATGTGTGTGTGTATATAACAGAGCAATAGAAGTCAATGTAGCGGAATTCCTTTCCTTGGCTCAAACCTGAGGCTTCCTCTCAGACCTTGGGACAAAGGTCTGAGAAATAATATGAGGCTTTTACATTATTTAATCTCACCAAAGAATGAATGCATGAAAAATAAAGCCTAAAGCTATTTTAGATCAGGATTTTTATTTAACATCAAGTAAATGAAAAAAGAGATAATGAATAATGGGACTACCCTTTTATGATATACAAAGCAAGGTATTGGGTCTAATTACTTGATGAAATTTAAAAATCAAAAAAAAAAATAAAGGGAAAACAATGCAGTTAAGTTTCCAAGTATATTATTAATAAATAATTGTAGGAAAAGTCAGTAAGTCCATATATTCATGTACGGAAACAGAACCCATGATGGATGAGCATTGGTTACTCCTCATTGCTGGAGGTTTTATAAGCAAACAGGCCAGTTTTCTTCTTTTGTGGCTTTGTGAGTTTTGCCCCTTGACATAAATAATGTATCCCTAAAATACCATGAATGACAACAAACTACCATTTTGTCTTCCTTGTCTATCTTCAGTATGTGGTGGTTCTACTATAGCAGATCACTTCAACCCAAATATTATCTTTAAACTCTCCAATGGTGTACACTTGAATAAAGAGAAACTAGAATATCTTAAGTAACTTGGATCCTAAAATTCACAGAGATCAAATTGTACATGAGCATAACAACCTTTATGAAGATCCAAAGAATGAATGATTCATTGGAAACAAGTATGTTCCAAAGGCTGACCTCACAGAGCATTGGACCTCAGAATTCAACCTCCATCTCTGTCTTTCTTTCCTTGTATTTTATTTAGGTTTATTCTGTAGTAATGGTATTTCCAGGGTCTACATCTTTACTTGGATATTTTGTTCCTCTTTGTGTGCCTTCTCTCTAGAGAAATGCTGCAAGTATAGATCACCACCTTATTTTAGCTTCCCATTACTGTGGCATGTAGAAGAGAAGCAAAGGAGATAACAAAGAAATTGATATATTCTATTCACACAGGGGTAGGATGGGAAGATACAAGCTTTTAATGAACTGGCTAAAGTTTCCAAAACTCAAACTTTTTTTTTCCATAATTTTTGCAAAGCTAATTGAAACCAGATACAAAACATCGCAGACAAACTACCTAAGAGTACCTTGATTATTCCTTCTGCATTGTTCTCACTGTTATTTATCTGAAGAAAGGGGCATCCTAGACGTTATAGCTATATTTTCATAATAAACTATCTATGCTAATTATGTTGAACTAGACTTATCAGGAGGATATTAACTTGGGGTACTTAAGAATTAGTTGTGGTGGCTCATGCCTGTAATCCCAAAACATTGAGAAGCCTAGCGGGGTGGATCACTTGAGGTCAGGAGTTTGAGACCAGCCTGGCCAACATGGTGAAACCCTGTCTCTACTAAAAACACAAAAATTAGCGGGTGTGGTGGCATGTGCCTGTAATCCCAGCTACTTTGGAGCCTGAGACATGAGAATTGTTTGAACCTGGGAGGTGGAGGCTGCAGTGAGCCGAAATCATGCCACTGCACTCCAGTCTGGGCTACAGAAAGAGAGACTGCCTCAAAAAAAAAAAAAAAAAAAAAAAGAATTAGTTGAGACTGATGGGCTACTAAGGAAATCTCTCATACCAGTTAATCAATTTAGCTACTTTGTATCTCAAATTGGCATCTCTAAATTGTGACTGAAAAGTATATAATCCCTTTTCAAAGCAAGTCATGGTGAAAAATGTTCCCACTTAAGCCAAATAAACAAATGTTTATGCCACTGATGAGTAGTGCCCCTTAGAAATCATCAAAACCCGCTTTAGGGATTAGGGCAGAACATTTGAGAGTATAATTAAATGCATAAAAGTGCTTAAACTTGAATTGCTACAAAATATAGAAACCATTTGGAAATGTTTTATGGATCACATTAATGTGTGTGTGTCCCCGTGAAACATAAGATATATAGTTGTTGTTGCATAATGAGTTCTGACAGCACGCTTCCTAGAAGATGACGTTCATCTGAGCAGTATCTTACTTTTCATTCTACAGCATTGCAAAAAGTGACTAATGATAGAGAAAATACTGAAGAGCATCTCCTTTGATACTAACTTCAAGCTTCTAAACCATGAGAAGGACCCATTTAAAACGTTAGGCTCATTTACTGATGAGAGTGGACCAAAGAAAATCACTCTATGCATCTAAGCAACAGTATGTAGTGTCATCACTAATTTATGTCCTTTGGGTAAACGTTCTTGTTAAACACACTGGTTTTTGACAATTTTGTTGGAAATTTTCTGTTTATAAATTTCCTCTTTTATTCAGAAGCTTGGACCAAATCAAATAACGCAAAGTGAACAATGCTCTTTTGGTGATGTGCAAAACAAAGAGAACTCTAAAACATTCTGTTAATTTTAATAAACAACATGACTTAGAAAAAAGTAAATAAATCAAAAAGCAAGTAGAATCCAAATACCCAAATAACGGGTGTGTTAGATAAAACTATTAAATAGGAATAAAATCAGATAAGAAAATTGCTTAAGACCTTGAGCCTGCTGTGAAATATTTAGTGAATCTAGGGAACAAAGGATAACATAATGAAGCTAAAGTTTAGGAAACGTAAGTGTTCACCTATCACACTGTCTTAGAAATGTGTATATAAATACATACGTATATATGTGTGTATACATATTTACACAAATGTGGCTATATATTTTTTGCAGGTTTTTATACATATATTTGAGTGTGTGTGTGTAAATAAAGTTCACAGGGATGGCCTGAAGCTTAACCTAAAATATTTCTATTTCAAAGTTGATCCTATTTATAGGCGTATTTAACAGAGAGGCTATACGGACAATTTGTAGAGATCAATAGTTGGCTGTATAGAAAGGATTTTTTTTTTACCCTTTATAATGTTGTGAATCCCTAATCCCCAGTCTCACGGTAAGTGTCCTACATATTTAGTAGAGGGTGATATGAACATTCAATTCTTAAACCCTTTGGTGCCAGCCTTAAGCTATCAGTTTGCAATATTTCATATTTACAATCTAATCTAAGCTTCCAGGATTTTCCTCACTCTGAAAGATAAAACAGACATTTTAAAATATGTATCATTAATTCTAAGTTTTAGCAAATAAAATTGCTACACTGAGACAAAATGTGGTTACAAAAATCATTGTGTCAGTTACCAAAAATCCCAAGTCTACCACTTAGACTACTTTTATGTCCCACCAATAAAAACTATAACCCCAGACCATCCAACTGAATGAGCCACGAAAATTACCCCCATTCCCATGTTACTGCCTTTCCAATTCCCATGTCACTCCCTTTCCAATTCCCATGTCAGTTGTGGGTCTCATACCTAGGTGTGGGGAAGCAAAAGAAAGTTTAAATTATGAGAAATTGTTTTCAGATACTTTTTTTTATGATGGACACTTAAAAATTTGGGGAAATATATATATGATATATGATATATATGATATATATATCATATATATCAAAGAAAATCAATGTTATAATCAGCCAGTCTCCCCAAATCACCAAAGCTAATAAAATATTTTCTTCCAATTTATAGACACACACACACACACATACACACACAGTGAATCTGGTATTCTACCAACTAACATGTTATAAACATTTTCCCTCCTCATTGAAAGTTCCTCAATCTTCCTTTTTCTAATGGCTGTATAATATTCCATAATATAGATATGTTGTAATGTATTATTAGGCAATTGTAATGGAAGAAACATTTTACTAGAAAATCTGGATTACACAACCTAGTCACTGTAGTAAAGTAAGAGCATTAGTAGAAACTGTAATTGTTTTAGAAGCTTTTAGAAGTGACAGATTCACCTATCGTTTCCCGTACTCTTCACCGACATTCCTTAAGGAGCAGATTCTGTTCAGCTTGCAATTGTCACTTGGCTTGGAATCATATAATTATTTACCACTTTTTTTTTAACTTTCAATTGTGGATAAAATGTTTATTAAATGAGGCTGATTCACCTCAGCTCCAAAGTCTGTGGCAATTTCTCACCTGCTTCCTGCTAATTATTCTAAATAGTTACAGAAACATAATTGTGATTCAAGTGGTTCTCCAAGTAGAGTCCCTGGACCACCAATTTCAGAAATACCTGAGAATTTACTAGAATGTCAATTCTTGCATACCATCTAGGTCTACTAAGTCATAAACTCTGAGGATGAAGTTCAGCAATCTGTATTTTAACAAACCTCCAGGTTATTCTGATGCCCCCTCAACTTGAGGAACCACCATCTTATCCTATAGACAGATCATGCTGTTGAAATGTGCCATTTTCACATACACATAGTCCACAGAGGCTTCTGCCATGTTTTTTTTAACAACCCGATATGTAACTTTTGTCCCAGCAACATTTTAACATCAGGGGACTGCATCCATTTCAATCTGAACACTTTTGTCCAATCACTCCAAGTGAGCTTAAGAAAATGTAGAGTAAATTTTTTTAAAAGATCTGTGTACCCAATTTGATAGACATTTTATCTTATTTTGGCATTTCTATTCTCAGGTAGCAAATTGCCTGAAAGGGCAAACAATAAATATGGGAGCTACCGCATGGCTCTTTGTGGATATATTTGGAGGCAGTTTAACATGCTGTGGAGATGTTTCTAGAAAGATTACTGACAAGATCAACCATTTTATGAAAGTTGCTTTTATTACCTTTGGATTTTTTCTAACTTGAAAAATATTGCTCTTAAAGTATGCTTCTCTACTAATCCTTCCTGTTGAGCATTCTATTCTCCTTAAAATATATATATATATAAATATATATGTAGATGCGTGTGTGTATATATATTACACACACACATATGTCTGTGTGTATGTGTGTGTGTACATATGCACACTCACAAATAATTAAGTAATTCCATTCTGGGAGAAAGACTTTGAAGAAAAGCAGTTTATTTGCTACTCAGAAAGGGAAAGTGATGTTCGTGGGACATAAAGGGATTTGAATAAATAGGAATAAGTGTCCTTTTAAAAGAAAGCAGCATATGGAACTAGAAATACTTTCTGGAAGCTCTAATCTCCTATTTGAAGAAAATCCAATTGTTCTGGCTGGTGGCAAACTAGGAGATTACAGCTGAATTTCTCTCCCTCCATTCAATGTGAAGTAATCATAGAGCCATAAGGAATTTGACAGGAACCATAAATACTTCTCCTGTAAATCCCTAAAAATTTATAAGAGCATTATGACTTTCATGCTCTTTCTTTCCTAGAGTCTTTACTTCAAAGTCTTCTGAGACTAGAAGAGCCCCTGGAGCAATCATTCTGCTTCCATATCCACAACTTGGAACTCTTAGTCCCAGACCCTCAAATTATAGAACCTGAGGGAAAATTTAGGGGGCACTGAAACCAAATACCTTCACGTGTCAGATGACAAAATAAATCAGGTAGACAAAAAGTGTTAACCACATCACGCAAAGACCAAAACCCAAAGTTCCACATTTTCAGGCAGAGCCCTCAGCCTCATGTCACTAGGCTTCATTTCTACCAATATCGCCCCACTGACTAAATGTCCTTTGTCACTAGAATTGTTTAGTTCTGCATAAATACAAAGTATCGATGATCAAATTTGACTTATTTCTTCTCATTCAGTCCTTAAGTGGAAACAGCAAAATGCTGGTTGCCTTCTCTTAAAAAAACAAACAAACAAACAAAATAAGAAGGAAGGAGAAGGAAGGAAGGAGAAAAATAAAAAAGAAAGCGAGAATGAACAAAGAGTGAACAAATGAACCAACGGAAGAATGAAAAATAAAAGAAAGAAAAAAGAAAGGAAGAGAGGAAGAAAGAAAAGAAAAAAGAAAGAAAAGAAAAAGAAAAAGAAAAGAGAAAGAAAAAGAAAGAGAAAGGAAGCAAGCAAGCAAGCAAGCAAGCAAGCAAGAAAACCTAAAGATCTTTATCATCACATTTAAATAAGAGTAAATCTCAAGAGGCCATCTTATCTACCCGTTCCCACTAGGCATTACTCAACAGAGAACCAATAGCTAGGAACTTCCTCTATTCCTAAAGATTTTCAAGAAAGGAAGAGAAATATCTTGGGAAGTTTAGGAAACATAAATATTTAGGCTCATTTATTGATGAAAGTGGGCAAAATGAAATCATCCTATGCATCTTAGTAATACTATGTGGTATCACAAGCAGCTTGACATAACAGGCTGGTATCAATTGTCATGGGTAAGTGCTAATTGCTGAAGATCTACCAATTTGCTGTGTGCTTTTACTAAAAATATCTTTGAAAGTTCCACAGCCTTCCAAGATTTTGTATTCCTTGATATAACCTTTAAATTGCCTTCTTCACATTCCCTCTTGTTTGTTAGTAATGAAATGCCAATGATCACAGTACCGGAAAAAAGAAAACGGAGAAGAGGACAATAAAAAATCATGGTTATGATTTGTGGAGCAAAGGAGGGCTTTCAGCATTAATATTTACATTAATGTTTACGTTAAAGTGGGACAGATTACACTACTTTTTACTCACTTCACTTCTTCTTACCCTGCATAGAGTTAAATACTTACTGTTTGTGCCTTGTAAGAACTCTAAAGATTATAGTGTACTAGTAAATCTACTTTATTTTGCTGGCAGGAGTCAGCAGACAAAAGAGGAGCAGGAGAAATGTTGTCAAATCAATAGTGATACTGACTGAATTTTATCAGTGTTTCATCTTTAGCTGAACTATATGAACTCATTCAGATTTTAAAAAATATGTAAACTGTCTAATCTATTTTATAGCTCCGTTTTACAGAGTTATAACATGTCAAGAACAAAGTTACAAAATCCAAAACATACAAGTTAGCATCACCTCTATTTTTTTCTGAAAATTCCGAAAGTACAATGATTAGAACACACTTCAAACCTCACAGCTCTGTATTACTTAGGAAAAAAATCCCAACAGCTATCCAGTTGTGCTTTGAGGTCATTTCTCAAAGCATGTGCATTAAGAAACTTAGCAATCTATGTTTATGGTTGCTTTATCTGGTAGTATAATACAATGAAAATCTCACATATAAAATTTATAATGTGATATTTACAGGTTCAAGGGTGGAATTGCTATGTTCCAAATGATTTTCTGTCATCCCTTAGTTCACTGTTTCTTTAATCCTTTAAAACAATCTGTACAGCCTTTGCTGTAAAAGATTATTACATTCTTATTTCCACTGTGTAGTCATAATTTTGAATGTACTCTCTAATTTACCAACATTGTTTCCAATTCCATATAAACCCATATGAGGGTGCTCCCAGCAAAACTAATTAGGGGGATAACTGTGTAATGTGAAAAAATAAAGAATTGGAATATTATCCTTGTGTCATTTGATTTGCCAAAATTCAGCTTGTAACAATTAGATACTACAGTTGGAAAATTAGTGATTTTATTTATATAACAGGATCTGTCATAAAAGAGCCAAACTGGCAAAATCACTAATAGTCATAACCTAAATCACCCAATCAACCAAAATATTATAAAGTTCAGCTTTTATTTTTATGCCTATTACCCTTTTCATGGCAATGGGTTATTTCAAATACCCCACCACAAGCCCTGAGAACACAGCTGGGTTACTTGAAACCAGTAGCTCTAAACCAGTGGTGACTTGCCCCTTAGGTGACATGTGTCAATGACTGAAGACAGTTTTGCTTGTGGCAGTCTGGGGGATGCTACTGACATTTTGTGTAGGGCTCAGGAATGCTGCTAAACATCCTACAGTAGTGCACAGGACAGCCCCCCACAAAGAAGAATGACCTGGGCTAAAATGTCAACGGAGCTTAAAAAAAGGTTACTAGTCTAAGTGAGCTTAAGTTGAGAAACCCTGCACTAACATTAAGAACTATGTGTCCAACACGGTTGCAACATGTTACGCAAACACCTGCATTTTGTGGGGTGGGGGGTGAATACAGCCATTCTAGGGAGAGTAATTTGTTCTAACTTGGGTATTTCTGCCCAATAAGCTAGTAAGATATTTGCTTTTTCTAACGTGGATTCATCAGGGCACTGAAATTTAACTATTTTATTTAAAATATGGTATATACTATTTCTTTGTGGTTTTTCTGTTAGTGTGTGTGTGTGCGTGTGTGTGTGGTGTGTGAGTGAATTTCTGAAACAGAGCGGTAGCAAGCAAATGGCAGATTTGGTTTTATCATCAAGTTTCTGTTAGACATTTCGATAAGATTATACAGAGCATATAGTGGATGCCTACTACATATTTATTGATTTTTGAAAATAAAGTTTGTGAACCTATTTCTGCTATCTTCCTCTTTAGAGAACTGTGATTGCATTTTTCTTCTTTTTTTCTAACATGTATAGAGTGCCTGTTGCCATAGTAATCACTGATTTAGCACAACGTGTTTTTTCCTCCTTCTTTAAAAAAAAATTAGTTCCCATTCCTGCCAAAAAGGAACATATTAATCTACCCATCATGCTAGCTTGGGGAAGTTGAAGGCCACAGAAGTTGTCATTTGTGCAAAGACTCCCAGAAAGTCAGTTGTTAGCATCTTCTGTGCCAAGAACTCTACCCCAATCCCAGAGAGGAAATGAGACACTGAAGTAAAAGATTCTGGAGCTGAGGAGGTAACATCTCTCTTCTTTTCTGCAAAGTCCCACAAAAGATGTGCACAAATGCTCATGTCTGTGTAAACAAATTCACCTACTGATTATAGATTTAACAGACCACTGATGTCCAGAAAACAGGGACTAACTAGACAGTGCTCTTTAAGACAAAAGTTTACCTTAATCTACTTACTTCTGAGGGTAGGGGAACAACAACAAAAGCAACAACTAAAGAAACAAAAACCTTTTGAGAAGTCTAAAAGAAGTAGAGAAATCCTACTGAAGAAACCAACATCAACAGTTTCATTTCTTTATCAAATAAAAAGTCCGGCCTGAGTCTCCTGACTGACTACATTCTTTCTAGTATTAGGTAAATCAGATCTCAAATCTGATCTAGCCCTGCTATTCAGACCACGAATTCCTGTAAACATACCTATCTAGAACTGTGTGCAGGCCCCTCTTATGACAATGGTCTGTGCTCACCTGGATTTTTATCACTGGCACTCTTAGTCAGGACCACCAGATTCTTCCTAATTTCTCAAGTCAAATCCGAAGGCTACCCTGCTTGTGGTGTTCCATAACTCTGTCTGGCCCCTCATGAGAAATGCCACCTACTTGGATGAGAGCATTTAAGTCAGAGCAAGACAGCACAGAGGTTGACTTTAGGTTCCCATCTGACATATTTACTGTTCTAAGAGAGGAAAGGTAGTGGAAGAGAAAGAAAAACTAAAGTGGAACTGCAGGATTTCTGATTTTCAGAAATGTCTGCTTATTATCAGAGTGATAAGAACTCAAAATTAAGACATGGGAAAGGAAAAGATAGGGATATAGAGTCAGAGCTGTTCCTTAACCAAAGGCTTTACAGAATTAGAACACAGCTGACACAGGAAATTCAATGCAAGAAGGTCCTGCTCTAAATAAAAACAGATGAGGAGAAAGTCCATTCATTTTTACTAATAGTATGCATGGAGAATGAACACACGCTGCCTTTTACATAGACCCTTATAACTGTTCATACTGTTCTGTAAAATCAGCATATTTCTTATTATTTTCTTCTGGGAAAAAACACTTGGCTATGCATTTCCTTTTAATTTCATGGAAATGGGAAAGGGGTAAAAGGAAAGAAAGATAATACTTCCTGAAAACTTGAATGTTTTGCTGAAAACACCCTTAAAGGAATGTATCTCTGTCAGGGTAACAAAAACATTTAATAAAATATTTTTAAAGCAGTTGGTCTCTAAGAGAAAATGTGAGGTATATGTAATTAGTAGCAAATATGCATTCAATTGTACTAAGCATGACCATTCTTCCCCTTTAAATCCTCAATCCATGAAGTGTGTTTGTTAATTAGGCAGTAACTTGAAGAGCGCTGCTTTTCCCATAGAAGTCAGGTGCTCAACTACTCAACCATGAATCTCTACGGTTACATGAATCTATGAATGGTCTGCAAACCACTTATACTCCAGGTTTCAATTCTGCTGCCAGTAATAATAGTAATAATACCATCATTCTATTCTAGTAGCACAGTGCAAATTTAAGATAATTAGAAGATGATGATAGAAATTTGAAAGCAATGGATTACAAAACAAGACTGCATCAAAGCATAACACGCAACACAACACTTTTTCAATTATGTACATAACCTGGAAAAACTAGTTGGCAATGAAAAAAATGTGTTGAGAAGTACCTTATTAATTCATTAAATATTTCTGTAATCCTATGTTTCTTTAAAAAGAAAAAAAGATTACTAGTCTAAGTGAGCTTTTATCTTTGTTAAGCAGCATCCTTTTAACCTCCATCATCTCTAATAACTAAAAAAAAAAAAAAAAAAAAAAAAAAAAACAAGAGAAGTTAAAGAAGCAAACCAGCAAGAGAAACTGTAGTTGCTGTATCAATGACAATTATTCCAGTGATAATGACCTGACTTTTTGGGTTGGTCTTCTAGCTAGTCCACAGGGATCCACTGTTCAGGACGGTGTTAGGGGAGGTGGGCTTTGTCATTTTGCACAAGGTTTGACAGGTTTCAGGGTTTAAATCTGCAATTTCCATGGCCCTGGAAAAGTAATGTCTAAATATTGCTTAACTGAAAGTTGCTGATGAGAATATTTCAGTGCTCTGTGCAAAGAGTGGATCCGTGGATCAGTTAATTTTATTGAACAGAAAAAAGGTGAAGTATTGTTGTAGGGATTGAATGAGAACAGATACACAGTGTTTAAAGTAATTCCTGGCACATAGTAGATATCCAAGAAGGTGTCTGACTCCACCCCTTCCTTTTCTCTCTTTCTGAATTGTATTCCACTGTCAGCTGCTAGTGTATACATGTCATGAGCTAATGTGCCCATTGATGGTTTAGCTTATGACTTTCAGGTCAGTTTTCTAAGTTGATAAAAACAAGCATTATAGATAATAAAATTCAGAGGCAGTTCCAACATGGAATAATTGGCTTGTCTCATTCCATAGTCAAAGCTCATCTCAACTAAGTTTTCCATTGCTCACAGTGAGGACTAGGGAAGAGGAATTGCTGCAAATCCATTTTCACAGGTGGGTAATCAACACAAGAAGCACTGTCAACTGATTGTGGGTGTGAAACCATCTACGCACTTGAAAGTTTTCATGTTATCATTACTATGTATCCACATACATTTGCCGAGCCTGACCGTTCCAGATCAGTCTTCTGAATGCTAGCTGCATATCAGAACCACATATGTATAGTTTCATAAATGTGACAATACTCAGGCCCTACCCTGAGACAAGTGGCACAAAGCATTCAGAAGTGGAAAGGATTCTCACCAGGAGAACCACTCTGAGAATCAATAGAAACAGAGATCCAGGTCAAAGAAAAATATTATCTTTCTTCCCTGGGAATCACCAGCATTTGCACAGACTTCTACAACTAGCTACATGACCCAGGGCAATTTCTTAAAGTGGGACACAGTGTGCTCTGAATGCAGACCTGACACTAAATTTATCATGGTTGGGTAGCTGCTGCCTTATGGAGAATGGCCTGTGGGACACTGAACTTACACATTAAACAGCTGAGCCAACGGATGTTTCAACTGCCAGGAAAATAACAGAATGGGGAGACCCTCTGTTCATTTGACACCAGTGCCAGCTTGGAGAAACAGCATTTCTTCTGCAGTTATTGAAAGAAAGTAACCCAGAAGTACCCACAGTCTTTTAGCTCTTAAAATATGGAGCCACTTTTTCTTTTCCAGCTTATTTCCAATGCAAACCTGATTCCAGGCTCAAGAGAAGTACAACGTGCCTTGGTCCCTTCTCCCTAGTCTTGGTCAGCTTCTTCAATTCCTCTTGCTGATCTGGCCTCCAGTTTGGCTGGCTTTTTAGAGGAGTCTCTCAGCACTACCAGCAGAGTCTTTTGACCTATGTTACTAACGCGTGTATCATATCTAGATCCACTCCTCACCATATGTCATGGTACTGTCTTGTTCCTGGTTATTGGTGGTATATTTGTTTTTCTACTGTATGTAGTTAAATTTTAAGTAACTTAAAGAATTACAATAGCAATACAATTTCATTATAAAAAGCAGAATATGTGGATAAACAGAAAGAAGAAAATAATATCCACTATCATACCATTAAGGTGACCCACTAACACAATTTTCAAATAAATTTCCTACGTACATATTTTATTTTTATAAAAATGCAATCATAGAATAGTCAATATGATTTTTAAAAGTCCCTTTTATGAAATAAAATATGTGAACATCTTTTTGTAAATAATTATTCATTTGAAACATTCTTTTAAAATGGCTGTATAGTATTTCCTTGTGATTTTCATAACCATCCCCATATTGATATTTAGCTTGTTTTGAATCTTCTGCTGTTATAAACTATGCTAGGATGACAGTTACAGCTCTTCTTCAACTGCTACTACCCAGTTTGATTGATAAATGACACACTTCCCTTGGCCTAGGAAGAAGCAACAGATTCTGATGTTTGCAAAATTTGTCAGTGTGGCTTATCAAGAAACAGACTCTATCTCTCTATTTATCTATCATCTATATATTTGACAAAACATTTTGAAAAATGACTTTTAAAAATGAAATAAGGAATGTAAAGTCACAAACAGCCCAGGGACCCAAATGAGAAAGCATCTGTCAGAGATTCATCAGTCAGGAGTACCTATTATTTTAACATTTTCATGGTCATATAAGAGGAAAGAACAGGTAAAACAGCCAAAGTATCACCTGATTCCCACTGATTTAGAACAGAACTGCAGAAATGTTGAAAGATTTTTTATTAGATTAAGCTTCCCAGCAAGAAATCTAGACAGCAATCTGCAGCTAGCAACATGCCTTCGGAAAACCAAATACGAGATTCACTGACACTGTTTTGTGAGGGCCTCCTCTACCCCTCGTCTCCCCTACCCCTCGTCTCCCCTTTTTCACATACCCCACACTAGGATCAGAGAAGTTTGGGGAAAAATCAACAGAAACAACACGCCAGGTAGATTATGGCCACTGCAACCTTGCTGCAGCTTAGGCTAGGCTCTTAGGATGACCTTCTCAAAATCCTTGAAGGAGAAGTTGGCTGAAGGAATTTTATGCAGGTCTGGAATGGTCTCGTCTCTAGAGGTCTAGATCCAAAAAATAAAAAGACTGCAATTTTTAATCTAACTCTTACCAGAATGAAAAACCATCTAAATGCTCCCTAGGGGCCTTAAATTGTTATGTTACCAAAAATGCTATGCTGTGGGAAATACTAATATTAAGTAAATAGCCCCTGTCATTTTTACCAAGGACATTTGGGGGAAAAAAAGTCACTGATGAATAAGTGAAACCATCTTAAGTTGCTGAAACTGACATAATGAAAACCACCATCTTTCTAAATTCCTTAGCCAATTAACTAAGGGAGGGGACCACCCCTCATATTGCCTTATGCCCAATTCCTGCCTCCAAAGAAAGAAAAAGTAAAAACTAAAAGGCAGAAATGAAATCCACAAGCAGACCGCCCGGCGCCACACCCTGGGCCTGGTCGTTAAAGATCGACCCCTGACCTAATCGGTTATTTTACCTATAGATTACAGACATTGTATAGAAAAGCACTGTGAAAATCCCTATCCTGTTTTGTTCTGATCTAATTAACAGTGCATGCAGCCCCCAGTCACGTACCCGCTGCTTGCTCAATCGATCACGACCCTCTCGCGTGCACCCCCTTAGAGTTGTGAGCCCTTAAAAGGGACAGGAATTGCTCACTCGGTGAGCTCGGCTCTTGAGACAGGAGTCTTGCCGATGCCCCCGGCCGAATAAACCCCTTCCTTCTTTAACTTGGTGTCTGAGGAGTTTTGTCTGCGGCTTGTCCTGCTACGTAACAACTTGTATCATTCATCACTACATTTATTTCCATTAACCTATCCTAGAACCAAAAGATCCTAGAACCGAAAGATGAGGGTACATAATTGAAGGGAAGACTCACCCAGGAAAGAAAAAGAAAAGGAGTCAGACTGGGCTATCTGAGAATTCACAAAGGAACTAGAAGCTGTGTAGTCAAAATGTTCCTGGCAACGTGGCAAATGTATTTCAAATCAAACCATGCATTCACTAGACTCTTCTTTTCTAATCTTTTGTTTTCTCTTGGCCTGAGTCAAAGTCCTTTGTAAAACTTTCATGGATCACATGAGGAGGAAAGGGGAGAAGGAGAAGCAGGCAGACAGGGAGGAAATGAGAGGGTGTTCCTGCTGGCAAACTCAGTGGGGAATGAACTACCTCCTTCAGAGGGAAAATGAGGTGGGAGGGACAGAGAGCCACGGAAAGAAAGGTACCAGTTCCCTTGCAAGATGGGGGTAGGAGAGGGCTCTTCTCAGAAAACTAGAAGAGATTTTGGTGATGATGTCAGAATTGGAGCATCTGCCTTCTAAGGACTTTGTCTGCCAACTGGCATAGGGAGCACTGCCCAGAGAGCCAGTTCTCCGTGTAATAAGCAAAGGCAGGAAATGGGCAGGGAGCAGTAAACTCAGTGGGAAAAGCCACATTTGAAAAACTTGGGAGAGAGGAGGAGAAAAAGGAAGCCACACAGAATTTTGGTGCCACGAGGAGGAGGACATCTGTATCTTGTATTTGCATGGTGTTTTACAGTTTAGAAAACACAGACACCATCATAGGTCACTGTGAGGTGGGCACATTTATTACTATTTTCCAGTTGCAGAAATCATCACCCAGAAATAAGGGAAAAACCTGATTGCAAGTCTTCTTATATGGGTCTGTTCTTTCTACTACATCTAAGACATTTCTCTGTGGCATGCCTGCACTTTGCAGTGTTATCTTCCAAACACCATCTACTTTCAGAACCCTACACTTCGGAGAAACTGTACTTGTACCATTCTTCAAACACGCTACAAGTTTTCCTGCCTCTATGTATTTGTTCATACTATTTCTTCCCCTTAAACTTCTTTACCCAACTTGGACTGTTAGAATGTTGCCCAAACCTTTCAAGGTCTAAATCTCCATGTTACCTGTTTTTCTTCTATGCTATTTTTTTTAACATGATTCTTTGTATTACAGATATTTACAAACATTTCTTCTCCCATACTAAATTTAACTTTGTATTCATTTTACTGCCTAGTAAAGCTCCTTGCATAGTAAGGAAACTAGTTTTGAATTAATAGGCCAGTCAAAAAAAAAAAAAAAAAAAAAAAGAAAGAAAAGAAAGCTTTGTGAGTTCTTAATATGTATTTTTTGTCACATTAAGTGAAAAAAAAAAAAAAGTTCCCCAAAGTCATGAAACCAAAGCAGATTCTATTTACATTTAGTGTAAGATTTTGCTAACTGAATACTATATCCCAAGTTTATGGGGAACTATCTATACTTACTTTTATATATTGATCTTACATTTTGGGTGTGTGGTTATGAGGTTAATTCATTAAAATGAGTAAAGGCTCTTAATGATTCTTTCTTGACTTTATGGGTCATGTGTCTAAGTACAGAAGTTAGTACACATAAAAAACTGTAATTGGGTACTAAAAAATACATATACAGATTGCCCCATATCTAATTTTCTAACTTTAAGTGTATAATTGTCAGAGGCATTTGAAGCAGAGCAACTCCATCCATGAATAAGGGCTGGGTAAAGTAAGGCTGAGACCTACAGAGCTGCATTCTCAAGTGGTGAGGCATTCTTAGTCACAGGACGCGATACAGGTCAAAGGCCTTGCTGGTGAAAGGATGTGGTAAAGAAGCTGGTCAAAACCCACCAAAACCAAGATGGTGGCGAAAGTGACTTCTGGTCTTCCTCACTGCTGATTATATGCTAATTATAATGTATTGGCATGCTAAAAGACACTCCCACCAGCACCATGACAGTTTACAAATGCCATGGCAACATCAGGAAGTTAACATGTATGGTCTAAACAGGGAGAACCCTCAGTTCCAAGAATTGCCCACCCCTTTGCCAAAAACTCAGGAATAATTCACCCCTTGGCATATGATTAAGAAGTAACTGTAAGTATAATCAGTTGAGCAGCCCATGCTGCTGCTCTGAGTAGAGAGTAGCCATTCTTTTATTCCTTTACTTTCTTAATAAACTTGCTTTCACTTTATGTATTTGCCCCGAATTCTTTCTTGCACAAGGTCCAAGAACCCTCTCTTGGGGTCTGGATTAGGACCCCTTTCCAGTAACACAACTGTAGGCTTTTATTGATTGAAACATAGGTGATAAACAGAACTTCAAATTTCCTTTGATTTTCTGTCATGGCCTGGATTAATCGCCACATTTTCCCTAATTATGGCCATCATCTTTTCCAGTGCAAAAGAAAAACTCTTCACCACGTCTTTCTGCAGAGTTTCCACCCAATCTTGTTTTCCATCACAGGAAAGTAAAAGGAAAGCTTGCAAGTGTCTGTAGTCATCATTCAACTACTCAACTTGACTAGACCATCATCACCTACTCCTTTAACTTTGTGCTCAGTAAACTGTCTCTCTCAGATGAAAGTCATTGCTATTAGCTACCAACACAATTGTGCCATTTGATTTTTTATTTGTGACTTACTGTTCCAGAGCTGATCCACAGTTAACGAAAATTAAAGCCACAAATTTTTCCCCTAATTAGACATTTGTGCCTTCCATAATGACACTTACATACAAATGACACTCAAATGTATAAGATGTAGGCTATATGCACAATACACATAACGAACACCACATGAAACAATTTTGGAATTTAAATTTAGATTAAATTGGTATTTAAAGTTAATCCTCATTGAATATGAAACATTAAAAAGGCAAGCTTAAAAATACCAAGCAATTTGGCATTATTCAGTACAGCATGTCAATTCACCTTATTCAAAAGCAAACCTTTTGCAAAGCAAAAATTCTCCCATTAAACCCAGGCATTAAGAAGAAATAAACTCTTAATTACTTAAGGAGGAAATGCTCTCGTTTCATGGTTAGCAGGTTATCAATGTAAACAATCCAGGGAGCTTTCTCAATGGCTCCTGTTTCAAGAGTCCCAGCCTCTATTCCCCATTCCCCATCCGCCACCCTCTTTCTACACAACAGGAGCTAATGTCTTTATGCGTACCAAAAAAGACACTACTGACCACAATGGGAGAGCTTAGGTATTTGCCCACACTTTCCCTGCAGGAGTAAATTCAGTAGAACCCTATAATTCTGAAACAGTCAAGTCATGGACCATCTGACTCATTAAATATTCCAGGCAGCCTTGTCAGTAGTCTGGAAGACCTTGCAGTTATAATTTCTTCCCTCTGTCATTCCTCTATTAATACTCAGCTAACTTGAATTTCAACATGAGCTTTAGACTAGCTGAAGAACATTTATTGTGCAAGATTCATAAGGTACAGAACCTATTCATAGAAAGCATTTTGGCATCCAAAATATGTGTAACTAATAATGAATAATAATAGCATTGTCTCCGAAGGCAAGAGCACAAAAATACAGCTATGAAGCAAAAATAAACTCCTGACAGTGCCATATGTACCCTAAAGGAAATAAGTAAAAAGCTTTTTTTCTGAATATTAGTTGTCACTATTTCATTTGATTATTTCAAAATGTAACTTTTCATTAACTTAGGTTTATCATGGATTTGCAGATACACTGGTATCTAATAGAGAATATTAACCTTAGACTATCAAGATAAAGCAAATCCATGAATTTCAGCATTTTTTTTTAAGACATATGGTCTCACTATGTTGACCAGGTTGGTTTTGAGATTCTGGGCTCAAGTGATCCTCTACCTCAGCCTCCAAAGTACTGAGGATTACAGGCTTCAGCCACTGCACCCAGCCTAGCATAATTCTCTATAGCTTTTACACTTGTCCAACTTTAATGGAAGAAAGGCTTCTTTGTACACAAATCTGACAACATATCTTTTTTTCTTTAGTTGTGTATGCCTATGATGGTCAAACTTTGGACTATTAACATTTTTATTCTCAGTTGCAAACACTAAGAACCATTCTACATTTCCTCTGTAATGCAACAATTTTGCTGATGCCTTCAGTAATTATGACAATACATTTTTTGCAATAGATATGGTAATTTGAAAAGAACACATTTAAATATATGGTTTTATGCAACAGCTATCAAATATGTAAAATTCAATATCCCAAGAGTTTGTGCATGTTGAGGAAAGAAATCCAAGAAATATTTAATTAAACTAATGAATCATCATTTTCTCACTGGTCTTCCATGTGCTGTATTTATTAAGAGAGAGAATATGGGCTCTAAAGACCATTGGTCTGACTTAGGGTGCCATTTCTCGCATTTTCATGATCTGAAAGTAAAACTAGAGCATTTCGGCAGTTTCAAGTTGGCACGAGTGCGTTGCTTCCTAGCTTGAAATGCATAATTAACCAGAAAGCTAGTTGTTGAGCAGTTAAACAGGCTGTCCAAAAAGGCCCCCATTGCTGTTCAAATGAATGCTGAAAAGTAGGGTGCCACAGTGATTTTTTTGTTTTATAGACAAGCTACATACAAGCAATTGACAAAGACTAATTTTCCTTTCTTTTCAAAGCCCATGAAAGCTTGTGGGTAATAGCAATTATTTCTATTTGTCAAATACTTGTATCCAGAAGTGGATTTATAATCCCACGAAAATTCTGTAATTTACTGAACCACTGAGCAGGTCCATGCTACTCCCCCTCCCCAGCCCCATAGGATGTAATTCATTTCAACAGAGGATTGGAGACAATGATGTAAATGAAGCAGTCCTCACAAGGCAGAAGGGGAAAAGTGTCAGGGGAACATACTTCTTAATTCCCATAAGAAATACCCCAATTACTGGACAGAGTGCCAAATTTCAGAACATAAATGAATCCCATTCTTATTACCGAGTGGAGAAGATGCTAGGGCAAGAATAGTGGCTTAGAGTTAGAAGGAGACATACACCTACAATTGCTAAAGCAATTTCTGCAAGAAAAATTTAAATAAATATGGGAAACATTATGGATCAAATCCAAGGAAGGTCTTAAATATATAGTGCTCAAGAAAAGTGCATGAATGTTTCCATACCTCAAATATGGTATTTTAAAAGAGCTTGCCTTTAAAATACAATGGATGTGTCATGATCTAACAGTTGTCCGCTTTTCCAGCACATCCGACTAACTAGAATTCTTGGGAGATCCCATGCCACAATTCATTTTCCAATTTCTAACAAAGACAATGCACTTCACATTTTTACTTTTGCATTCCAGCACTTACTTGCATGGTGGTTTATGGTTGGTTTGTGTGTGTTTCTTTTTTAGAAATGTTAGAATGGGAAAAATGAGGTAATTCTTCAACTGACTCAGTCTTTAATGATTTTAATGAGTTCCAGTGTTTATGCTTGAGCTAACAGGTGCCTTATTTTTTTCCTTGGCTATTCTTTCTTCCCTTGTCCTCCTATTCCGGGCAATCCATGCAACACTCCAGCTGTAAATTATTCTGATGGTATGAATAAGCTTTGACCTGAAATCAGGTTAGTAACTAACTGAAATCTAACTTACATTTCCATAAATTTGCTGTTTTGAAAATGATTAGCATGACTTTGAAAAATCTGTTAGCTGAATCTTCAAAGACTACTATAATCTTCACAAAATCATTTTATGTAATATGTCTTCCATCACTGTATTCTATACATACAACATCCTCTTTCTATAGCACTGAACTCCCAAATTGTTTCCACTAGTGGAAAAATGCAGTTAATATTGGATTCATTTGTTGTCAGTCACCTTTATAAAATATACACACATTCAAATGCACATGGACACAGGCTCCGCGTTTTAAATTCCGCATTTTCTCAAAAATTTAAACATATATGCCAAAGATTATGCAAAATATGATCTCCCTATAGAACATTTTCTTTTTGTTAGGCAGTGTAAAAATAATAGAATGTATCACTGTTCTTGGAGCTTTGTGGATTCCTAGACTTTGTAATTCTTCATGAATGCAGAGTTATTTTTCCAAGATGCTAGAAGATTCCCCAGGCCATTTTAATAGTTCTATTATTAAATATATAATAAACATGATTACTTATTTATTGTATAATGGATGTATAATAAATAAACGTCAGAAAATTTCAAAACTTCTAAATGGGTTATTGAGCTATCAAAGTCTGCAGCTTTTCACTATCAGACAAGTGAGGGTAGGAAAATGGGCCATCACACGATCTAAGGTGAAGGCTAAGGGCAGACGGTATATTAGTAAGCTAGAAGAGGGGAATATCTTCCCAGGTGGACTGATAAGATCAGTGTGGCAGAGCTGTGGGAACCCAAGGCCCTCTGTTACTCAAGGCTGTGTGTGCAGTGCTGAGAGGTCAGCCATGGAGGAAGCAACATGGTCCTGCATTTCGATCTAAGCCTACAATCTAACCATTGTCAGCTCACCCCATTTGTTTCACGTAAAAGCAATGCTCAGAGACATCTGCAGAGGGACCTAACTTCTCAAACTTGCCACTTTGGATTGAAACCGTATATGATATGCATTCCCCCTATCTACGTCACATGCATATACATAGCACAGTAACAAGGCAATCCTCTGTGTTGTGTTCTCAATTCCTTCTCCACAGTTTTTTTTACTTCATGATGACAATGCAAAGAGTGGACTGAGGACTAGGCTTACCAGGTTCTAGGCCCAGATCTGCCCCTTTCTAACTGTGTGATCTTAGTATGTCACTCAGCAGATTTGTGTGTGGGTGTGTGTGAGAGGGAGTCTCACTCTGTCATCCAGGCTGGAGTACAGTGGTGCGATCCCAGCTCACTGCAACCTCTGCCTCCTAGGTTCAACAGATTCTCCTGCTCAGCCTCCTGAGTATCTGGGATTACAGGTGCCCACCACCGGGCATGGCTAATTTTTCTATTTTTAGTAGAGACAGGGTTTCACCATGTTGGCCAGGCTGGTCTGGAACTCCTGACCTCCAGTGATCTGCCCGCCTCGGCCTCCCACAGTGCTGGGACTACAGGCATAAGCCACCACACCTGACCCACCAGATTCCTCATGGACTGGTTCCTTGTCTGTAAAAATGAGATGATTTATTAGATGCTATCTATACTTCCTTCACTTCTTCAAACGTCAGTGGTTTCTTTTTTATTGGTAGTTTTCTGTCTTCCTGCCTTTTGCCTGTGTCCATTTTTCCATTTTCATTTTATGAATTTTTAATCCTCCACCTCAGTGAACAGCCTTTCCTTCCACACCAACAGGTCCTCTGTCCTGAAAGAATATCACAGCTCTATATTGGAGCTCCCACAGCTCTTGGTGCACTGCATTTTGATTGCTGTGCTGCATAAACTGTCAATTTCTTTCCAAAAAGACATCCTCTATCTTGTTTACCCTTATGTCCCCAACTTCCTGGCACTTTGTGAATATTCAGTGAATATATTTTAAATACTTGACCTTCCTAACCTTTTCTTGGAAGGACCCTTCAGGTAAAGGAGATGGTCAAGAGGAGTTGCATTTGCTTTTCTGGCCAACTCTCTTTACAAGGAGCCAGCCTCCTGTTCAGTCTCTTCTGAGGTGACTTTTCTATCCTGTGGATCTTCACTGGTGACTGTAACTACTAACCAGTTTGCATTTATTCACTCACAAATGCAGGGACACACATATAACCGTGTTAGGCATCACAGAGCATATCCCATAAGTGATAAAGTCACAAATATGTTACCCCCATAACAAGTTAATAATCTTCCAGCATGCCAGAATGTCAGTTTAGCCACAGAAACAGCCCTATATATTCTTCTACAATCTCTAGTTTCTTTTCTACCCTTTCTTCCCTATCACACAACTCCTAATGTAGTTTGGGGCATCAAATATAGTTCAATACATTTTTATGCCAAAAGTTTCTTCGGAATTGAACCAGATACGCCTGATCTAAACTTATACCTTCAAAAGTCTTTATGTTGTTCTCTGTGAGATACACAGTTACTCAAATAATCCTCCCAGGCTTAACTTATCAACAGTTTGATAAATTAGCTTAGACTGTGGATATCCTCACTGCAGCACACCTCTGCAGATTCACACAAACAAAGGCCAATTTGGAAGCACTAAGTGAAGAGATTCTCTCCTGTTTCATTTTCTCCATTCTCCTCCTAAAACCACAGGAAATTTTGGCACTTTGGACATTCCTTTTACACAAGGGACACAGTAAAACATAATTCAACTGCTTGAATCTGGGTGAAGGGAGACAGCAATTAGGACAGCTTTGGAAAAATAAGAGAGTAACAAGTAGGTGGCCCAACTGTGGGAATTGAAACTACAATAACAGCTTCTAATGAACAAGTTTCTACACAGAGAAGCATGCCTTCACACACACAACAGTGGTAAAACAGCACGAAAGACCTGTATTTCGAAGGGGCACCAGTTAGATATTTAAAACTCACGAGTATGGTCAAGATTTAGTCATACAAATTTATTATCCCTTGCACTTGACTAATTCTGTTATGCTGAAAGATAGAGCATTTGAGCACATTTCAACTTAAGTATTGAATCCAAAGACACTGAAATAGAAAAAAAATATAGCCATAAGAACCATAGAAAAATGGAACAAAAGAAAGATAAGAGAAAAAAACAAAATTTTCTCGGTAACTGTAACTACATAGGAATGAAAAAAGTTGTAACTATACAGCGTTTTAAACAGTAGTCAATGATTATATGTAAATATTGTTTTTGACATTACAAATATACCAATTCAAGACAGACCTGTAAAGTGCTGCTTTTTCTGTAGTCATTTACATTTTGAGACAATGAGACAAGAATACAAGGTCCTTTTCTCAGAACAAATTTCCCTGCAATAGTCACATCGGTACAGCTTCTGGTATTCATGTAAAAGAACCTATTAGTTGACTAAAATACCCCTGTAAGTTCCCAATCATATTTTGTTACTAGGGTATATTCTAATTTTTTTCCTACGGGAAAAAACAAATCTGTACATTCAGGCTTCAGGAATATAGTTGGAGTAAAGAGAAAAATCAGGATTTCTGCCCTGCATTATGGCCAAAAGATAATGGATTCTTAGGCTCTTTGTCAAAAACTTCCTACTTTACAATTGTCCAGAGCAAGCTTCTGGACAGAAATAAATTTGAACCCCCAAAGATTCTTAAATTCACAAATAATCAGAAACATTCACACATAACACCACATCAGAGCTTCCATTTATCAAGAGCAGGTATGCAGTCATTCCTTGAGAATACTCTAATTCTTACAGCCCAAACTGCATCTACTGTATAGCTTGCTGAATAGAAAAAGTGTTGGAGGTGGTGGCATATAATGAGGCTGGAGAGTGGAAAGGAATAAGAGCAATAGCATGCTCAAGGTTTTGGAGTTGATTACAGTAGAAATCATCTTGCTCAAAATATAGTGGGATTTATGCATTCCAGTGCCACATCATCCACCATTATCCATCTAAAACACAGAAAAGGCAGTGAGAATGTAGTCATTCATGTGTGGTCCCCTTGATCCTGCTTTGCCTTCAATTTCATTACTGTCTGCCAACCAACCAATTAATCTGAAAACTTATCAGTGGTGCTACTGCATATCTGGCATCCCTGCCCCAACAAAACTGGAGTTCTGTGAGCGAGTTTAAAATAACCTAGTGAATAGGAGCAACCACGGACTAAGAGTGAGAAGGGAAAAAAAGGGGGAGGGGAGAAGGAATACAGGGAAAAAAGGGGGCAACTTCTGGAAGCAAATACTAAAGAAAACATGAAATAAAAACTTTATGTTTTAACTTTTTAATAAATCATGGGGCAAGGGATAGAACACATGACTCTTTGAAGTTTTAGACAATAAATCTTGGAAATGGGTTGTTCGATTATTATAGTACCCCTCCGAGGGCAATGAAAGGATGTAATGAAAAAAATCAGGCCATCAGAACAATAAATTATCCTGACTTACCAGAAATACCAGCAAAATCTTTCAATATGACCTGTTACTGGCCAAATTAGGAGGAAAATAACATCCAGCGCTAGGGATCACATTGAAAATAATTTCATTTGATTTTCATTAAAAGCTTTCCAGATAGTGACTGGTAAAAGAAGCCCATATATTCTATCTATAGTTTAATGTATATGAGTACTACAGGAAAGAAGAAAACTTTAGAGATAATCTATTTGCAAATATTTCCGGGGAAAAACAAAATTGTGAGATTTTCCTATGATGAAAATATAGTAATTATAATTATTTTTAAAATGTATTCTTTTATTTTTTAAAAATTAGAAAAAATGTTTTACATGTATAACATGATATTTTGAAGTATATGTACACTATAGTTAAATCCAGCTAATTAACGTATGCATTACTTCACAGTTATCATTTTTTGTGGTGACATGCTATTTAAACATATCTTCCCACTCTGTGAGCTCACCTATAAGTTATCTTCAAAATCTGATAATACATTGCATGTCATTTTCTTATTAAAAAAGCATTTTCACATACCTTATCTTGTGATACTTACCATAGCACTTTGAGAATTATTTTTGCCATTTATCAGAAAAGAAAACTAAGTTCAGGAGTATATAACTAAATTAGCCATGCACATAATACCAGCAAATGGGATTCAAAATGGGATTTTTTGACCCCAAGAATGTGCCCTTTCTATAGTACTGCAATACAGCTGCAGGCTTGATAAATGATTTTGAAAAATAATTAAGTTTTTTTAGATTGGATTTGATTTTGGGGCCAGCCTAAAGTTGTATGGCACTAAGACTTTCATACGAAATAAATGATTAGGTAAGATAATGCCATTAGGAACTTTGAAAAACAGGTATTATCTATGGCTCTGAAGATAATTTCAAAGGGCATTTTAAGAAGAGTTTTGAACACTAATAGTTACTATTCAAATCTACGCACATTTCAAAGGTAACTGATTTAAAGTTAATAATAGCTAGCATAACACTTTGCACACAGCATACACTCAGCAAATATTAGCAAAAACCCTTAAAGTACTTCCATATATAAGCACTGGTAAGGTTTTCTAACAACCAGTCTCATCAGAAAATTACACATGCCCATTAGGAATGTAAATTCAGGCAGATTCTCTTAAAATAGCTTTGTGAAAGTTATTATAAGCCTTACCATGTCTATAAATTTTGGTCTATTTATTCCAATTTGAGAATTTAGCCTAAAGAACTAATCTAAAATGTGAGCCATGATTTTTTTGCTTTCTCAAAAATGTTTACTATGATATTATTTATGTATAAACGTTGTCTTTAAAAAAACCTGAAAAAACAAAAACAATGTCAAAACAAAAACAAACAATAGGGGCCTCATTAAATAAATTGTATTCATTTAATGAAATAATACTTAGATATTAAGACTTTAAAGAATTTTATTCATATAATGAAAACTTCTAACGCAAACCTTCACAAAAAAGCAAGAGTAAAACAAAGATTATACCTGTACACACTAAAATGTAAAAAGTAGCCATCTCTGGTTTGTGAAATTACAATTTTCTCCTTGTCTTTTAAAAATTTCTTATATTGGGTATCCTGTTTTTATACAGACATCTAAGTTATTTTATAATCAATAACTCAACAGTCAAAATTGAATTTTTAGCATGTGTCAGGCATAGTTCTAACCTTTTTGTACATACT
Organism: Homo sapiens; assembly: GCF_000001405.40. NCBI lineage: Eukaryota > Metazoa > Chordata > Mammalia > Primates > Hominidae > Homo > Homo sapiens. The sequence continues at coordinate 40,411,968 of NC_000002.12, forward strand.
ATATAATTTACTTTTCATAAATACCATTGATATAGAAAAATTTACTTTGTTTTTATACGTGGAAACAGGCAGAGAGATATTAAATAACTAGCCCAATATTACTTTCCAAATAAATATTTGACCTGGGTCTTGAACCAAATGGTCTGATTCCAGAACTCATGTTCTTCATGGCGTTGCTATACTCTTCATGTTACACAGGCTGCTTAGCGATATGTCAGAATATATTAATGTCAAGGAGAAAGTGATCTCATGCAACTGCGACCATGTCTATAAAATGTTATAACCTTTTTGGTGAGATGGACTGATGGTGTATTAAGTGTACTTAGCTTACCTCACATATAACTAGTTTTCATGAATGTGTTACTTCTCCTTCCCGAGAATACAAAAGCTGTTTTACATAGAGGGATATTACATCTATTTTGTAATCATATATTTACAACCATTTATGGTATATTAGGCACTGGATTAAAAGCTGGAAATAACTAGCAAGTTATAGCATTCATTGCCATAAATTTAACACTACCTTGGAGTGGGCATACGGTTTTAACTGAAACAGATTCTTGACCATGGGAATGGAGGCACTACCTTAAGAGCAAAGAGATTCAGATTGTTTCCTTGCTAGAACATGCTTCTGAGGCACTACTGACTGTATAGATCAAAGACAGCACAGGTAATGTTATTGACTTCAGAAATTCCTGCTATATTCACTGGCTAATATTATGTCCACAAAACCACAGCTGCTAAAATTGCAAAGGCATGAGTCAGTCATGACAATAATTTAGAGTATTATCATGATAAGCTCAACTAGGAAGACACCAACCTCATTTTACTATGGATGAAAACTATTGATGGATATTTTTGGTATTATTGATTCCATCTAAATATCCTCTGAAATGCTAGAGTGTAATCTAGGTATTTTTTCTGGTTATCATTGCTGATTTTTTTTTATTATACTTTAAGTTTTAGGGTACATGTGCACAACGTGCAGGTTTGTTACATATGTATACATGTGCCATGTTGGTGTGCTGCACCCATTAACTTGTCATTTAGCATCAGGTATATCACCTAATGCTACCCCTCCTCCCTCTCACCTCACACCAGTTAGAATGGCGATCATTAAAAAGTCAGGAAACAACAGGTGCTGGAGAGGATGTGGAGAAATAGGAACATTTTTACACTGTTGGTGGGACTGTAAACTAGTTCAACCATTGTGGAAGTCGGTGTGGCGATTCCTCAGGGATCTAGAACTAGAAATACCATTTGGCCCAGCCATCCCATTACTGGGTATATACCCAAAGGTTTATAAATCATGCTGCTATAAAGACACATGCACACATATGTTTATTGCGGCACTATTCACAATAGCAAAGACTTGGAACTAACCCAAATGTCCAACAATGATAGACTGGATTAAAAAAATGTGGCACATATACACCATGGAATACTATGCAGCCATAAAAAAATGATGAGTTCATGTCCTTTGTAGGGACATGGATGAAGCTGGAAACCATTGCTGATTTTTAAAATGATCTATTTAAGAATCTTTATAAGCAGAGCCCTTTTTTCTTAATAAAGGAGGAATTCAGAAGTTAATAACATTGGTCTGCTTTACATCCTATACTTGTTTTCCCTCCAAATTATATGAAAGTCTTATTTCAAATGCAAGTGAAAACATTCATGTCCTGTAGCTTGAGACCTTACTACATATAATATCACTGCACAGCATGATACAAATTAACGTCTTTAAGAGGGAGCTCAAAGGCATACAGAAGTATAAGACATGCCAAGAAGTTTCATTTAAATTTCCTTTGTTCATAAGGCAAATTTTTATATTTACTAATCCTTGGATAAATATAACATAAATACATAGAAAAAGAAGCATTATGTTTTCTTAAACTATAGGTTGACCCATTGCAAGCACATGATGATGCGTCTCACTAGGTGTGCATGTAGTAAAACAGATTGATTTGCCAACCAACAGTTAAGAAAATTAATTTGTTGAGCATCATATTTTATACTAATTAAAAAAGAAAATTTGTAAGAATTATGTAAGAGAATAACCTAACATTAAATGGCACCATAATGGCATGAACAATTTAGAAACAGAAAGTCAATACCTTGGTTTCTCTAATATAAATGTGTTGCTCATGCTCTTCAAGCATTTTATGAAATGAAACATGAATCAAAGTCATTACAGAGCTAATGAGTGAAATTGTATTATTTGCTGTCTCTCATTTTCAGTGTTGATTTTGTTGGAAAACAGTATCTTAAGACCAAAACTCTGGGAACTGTTGAGATTCTGGCCACAAAGACAGCTAGACCGTGGGGAAGCAAACATCTGTACACATCTGCAGCCATATATGAGGTCCCTCATGAGACTTAGCAACAAGGTGTGTTTTAATGTGACAGTGTGTCTGATGTGTCCCCAGCACATTGGGACCAGTACACAGTGTTATTTGTACATCTGCTGAGTAACATTGAGTGTGTGGGTAACTAAAGCCCTCAGTAATTATTTTACTTAATGTTTTCAAGCTTAATTCTGATCTTGTACTTGCATGATTTATTATTCCTTGTGCTAAATTCTTCAATGTTCTTGCCTTGATTGATCTTTCATTATCTATCACTTAACTAAAATATTAAATTCTTTAATTAAGTCATGTTTAAATGAGGACTTGTTTTAGTCTCTTGGAGGTTTATTCATTGCTTAGGTACTTTTTCAATAACTCTTCTCTTGTTTAAAATCAATAAATATGATTAATTTGCCATACATTTATGATAGGTCAATATATTTATTATGGAAACATATAGCTAACTTGATTTGAATTAAATTGGTTTATGCCTACAGATCAATATTGTTCTACTCCTACAAAATCACCTTGAAAAAAATACTATTGGTTAAATAAAGAAGACAATGATGTATATTTATAAGACAATAGGTATCAACCAGAGAAAACTCTTTGCAGTTGGCAATATTGGGAAAGAAGGCCACAGACAGATTTATGTCATCTAGATATCAAAGAGAATGAAATACATGGCTCAGAAATTTGTTGTAAAAGGGAATGGACTCGTATTTAAGGACAGGACTCTGAGGACTATTCATGGAATGCATGAAGAAGACTGATAAGGATAGCCTATAAGGCACAGTATAGTAGTATAGTAGAAGTGCACCAACTATTTCTCCAGACTTGAACAACCAAGTCTAAGAGTAAGATAAGGTAAGACAAGGTCAGGAAGTCTCAGGGCTGGAGAGGTGGTGATGTTGCTGAATAATTGCTTTTTAAAGCTGGAGGGGACTTCCAAGAGTCTCTCATTTAAGAAGAAAAATTAAAGACATAATTGGTAACGGTTTTGACTGCTGCAGAGGCAACACTTTGCTCACAATCCTACAGATCTACTTCACCTGTAACTACAATTTTCCTGAAGACATAGAAGAAAAATCAATTGTTCTAATCCATATGGAAAAAAAAAAAAAAGAAAACTGCCAATGTGGTTTGACTAGCAAACCACTGGAGTTGTGGCTTAAGCATAAAGGATTACTTCTTCCATTGCCACTAATCTAATTACTTTCCCCTATCTGTCTCCATTCCAGCAGGCATGTTTAGTAGCCAAGCTGTATTACAAAAAAGGATAGGATGTGGGTAGGTAAAGCAAACAAACGGCAACATCAAATGCAAAGTCTTTCATTTCAAAGGACTAATGCTCTCTTATTCCACTTGTCTCCAAAGAAAAGCAATCTCAACCAGGTGTGGCCTGTTATCCCAGCACTTTGGGAGGCCGAGGTGGGTGGGTCACCTGAGGTCAGAGTTAGAGACCAGGGGTGGGTCACACCTGAGGTCCGGAGTTCAAGACCAGGGTGGCCAACATGGTGAAACCCCATCTCTACTAAAAGTATACACACACACACACACACACACACACACACACACACACACACACACACACACATTAGCTGGGCGTGGTGGCAGGTGTCTATAATCCCAGCTACTTAGGAGGCTGAGGCAGGAGAATTGCTTGAACCCGGGAGGCGGAGCTGAGATCACGCCACTGCACTTAAGCCTGGGTGACAGATTGAGCGAGGCTCTGTTTTAAAAAAAAAAAAAAAAAAAAAGCAACCTCTCCACTTTTCTGAGACAGCAAGCACAGAGATGTTCAAATTAGGTTGACTATGCCATACTTCTTAATTATGTATCTGCATAATTATTAATAGTGCCCTCTTTTACTCACAAAAGTGCTCTGATTTGGACAATAAGTTATATTGTTATCCTAAATACATTGTGACAGGAAGGTCAACTTATATAAGACACTAAAACAAATTTGACAAAATTCATTTTAGTAGATCATCCATTTAACATATATAATTCTACAAGTTCATAACTTATCAAGACTCACTAAGAAACAAAGATTTAAGCTATTTTTATATATTTGTTGTCTTTCAAAATGTTTCTTTTTGGCAAATAACTTTACTTTAAAAAGTAAGGCATAGACTAATTTAGAAAACAAAAAAATATCATTTCCTCACACTTTACTCTAAATCTTATTCAGTGTTATGTCATTTTTTAAAAAAATTTTTGCTTTCTCTTAGGACAGCAAACATTTTTGAGATGGAAGAAAACCCATAGATTATTTACTTCAATGCCTTAATGTTACTATCAAGAACACTGAAGTTCAGAGAAATGAAATGACTCACCCAAAGCTGCTGGTCTGGTCTAGGTAGCGACCAACTAACCAGACCAGTAGCCTAATGAGCCAAGTTGGTTCTGGAACTCCTGACTCCTAAATACTTGTTTCCTTCTGCATTCCATTCTGTCTCCTGGATTATATTCTCTATTTTATTAGGTTGGTGCAAAAGTAACTGCTGGTTTTAATTTAAAAGTAGTAACAAAACCAGCAACTACTTTTGCACCAACCTAATAGAAGCCTCCTATCAGGAAGAACTTCATCAAAACCTAGCTTTGCCCTAAGCATCACATTTTCCCACTGGAAAAGGGTAGATAAAAAAGCAAAGGACCAAAAATAAAAATGATAATTTACCAACCTCTCTCTCAGGAGGCAAAGTACAGAGGTCTCTGCAAAGGAGCATTTTAAAATGTCTTAGGTTATTGATATTTGATTGCTTTTTGAAGATTATGCAGAGTTCTCCTATCTCTCAGTCTTGTGATTGTCTTCAGTATGACCAATTGTTATTTTTACTTATTTTTTTATGTAACTTTTCTTTTAGGTTTGGGGTACATATGCAGGTTTGTTATATAGGTAAACTGCATGTCATGGGGGTTTGGTGTACAGATTATTTTGTCACCCAGGTAATATGCATAGTACCAAATAGATATTTTTTTTCTGATCCTCTCCCTAATATCAAAGAAGAGCAACAACTTTGGGAAGGTTGGCCCAGGAGACATCATTGGGAATTGTAAACCAAACAAGAAAAACATAATCAAGACATGTTTCTTAATATTCAATTTATTACAACATTTTATTGGCTCTCAAAGCAAGTGTTAGGATTAGTTTTGCTGAAGAATTTGACAATTTTGTTTGTTTCTTTTGTTTTGTTTTTGTTTTTCTGAGACAAGGTCTCGCTCTGTCACCCAGGCTGGAGTGCAGTGGTGTGATCACAGCTCACTGCAACCTAGACCTCTCCGGCTCAAGTGATCTTCCCACCTCAGCCTCCTTAGTAGCTGAGACCACAGGCTTAAGCCACAGGGATAAAATGAGGATTTAAACCCAGGCTAGTATGGCCCCAAAGCGTGGGCCTTTAGTCTTTATGTTACCAGCAGAAATGGCCTTTGGATGGCACAGTGTCCACAATGAACATCTACCATTCACTTTTATTCCATGTTCATGTTTAGGAAGCAATATGTTTAAAATGAAGATAGCTGGAGTCAGGCACACTGATAGCTTGGATGGATACACACACACACACACACACACACAAGGTAAACGCACAGAGTCATAAAACAGTAAGCTGGAAAACTTTAGGGTCAAAGACCCAGATCTACTTCAAAATGTTTCAAGTGCTTCATATATAAGAATTGATCATAGAATTAATAACCAAATAATCAAAACCAGGTCGATTTAAAAGAATATAGTTTACAATAGCTATAGAAGTCATGAAATATTGAGAAAGATGTTCCTTCCCTAAAATAATTCAAACCTATAGAGGACACTTAAATTATCCAAACAAATAACAACCGCAAGATAGTTTAGCTCTAGATATTGTCAGATAAATATCTGGACTTAATATTCTTTACATTATTTTATTTGTTTTATGTTTACTTCTACACTTATATATTCATATTTACTGTTTATTACATTACATTATATTAATATTATTCCATTTTACTAGACCATGTGTAGGTCAGATAAATTACTTCCTAGAATATATCAGCTTATAGCATCCCAGAAACAACCCACAAAGGGTTCTTCTTTGCATAATACAACAGCTCAGAAAGACTCCCATATCTGATCTTTTGTCTTTTCTCAGTAATCCGTCTGGCCTACTTCAACAACATGTCAGGATATTCTGAGGTACTAGGCCACCTGAGCCTAAGACCTCAAAAGCACTGAGCCTCAGCTCATCAGATTCCTGGCTAAGTACTTTCAATGTCTGTAGTAGCCTCATTTGCTCATGCTTAATAAGCTCATACCATTTAGAGAAAGGACTCAAGTGTGAGTAACACATGCTTCCCCTAGTAATGCACAGCATTAAGAAGCGAAGTAGAAGACAAAACTCTCTCCCTATTTCACATTCTTCTGAGTTCATTATTGCCATGAAAAACGAATCAGATTTGAGTTGTTCCTAATCTCTGCTCTTCTGGTCTCCATCAGAGAGGGCAGCCAAACTGTGACAGGAGCCATCTGGGATGGGGACAGGAGAGGAGAGAGAGCCCTGTAGTTTTCTTCTGGGGAAAAGCAGGCACAGGGGGTAGGTTGCTCCTAGAGTGGACAGCAACACTGACAGCTCATCATCATTTATTCTCAGCCTAAACACCAGTGGCAAGAGCCCCATCAGGTGGCACTGAGAGAAGGAGGCCAAAGAAGGCACAGAGAGGCTTTAGGGGTGACTAAACATACACACTGTTGTAGGACTGAACATTCGTACATCCATCTCCTCTAGTAAAGCTTGAGGTTTTCTATGGCAGAGGCTATGTCTTAGGTACCAGTGTTGTCACAGCATCTTGCAAGGGGCTTGGCATGGGATTGATGCTCATAGAATATTTGCTGGAAGCAGGAATCAATGAATAGGGCCCAGCCCTTCTGGATTCCACCGGCTACTTCTGGCTTCTCAAACACACTCAGGCACGTACACTTGATTTCAAGGACAAAGTTGCTGTCTATTTTTAATAAAGAAGCAGCTTGAGTGAATCCCATTTCTATTTCCTTACTCTCATACTGTCTTCTGTTTGCGTGAGCAAGAGTATGGACTAATTCCAGGCTTCAGTTCATTTTAGTCACAGCAGAAATCTAATCAGGGCTGTATATTCTGTCTCTGTCCCTCTGTCTGTCTCCTTTCTCTCCCCCTCCTTCTTTCTCTGCCTACCTCTCCTTCTTACTCACCCTGCCTCCACCTCCTTCTCTGCCTCCCTCCATCTTTGCCCCTGTCTCTTTTTCTCTCTCTGTCAGGTGATATACAAATCCCAGGAACACAGATATACACACTGAACTGAATAGCTCATTTTTCAAAACTGTGTCAAGATTGTAATGGTTAGTGTGCAAGAAGGAAACTTATCCTTGTAACATTAGGATTTTTCTTTTTCTTTAATTGCGCCCTAAGAATTAAACCCTATGCAAATAGGACTTAATTTTGCGTTCCCACTTTTTCCTTTAATAATTGTGTGTATATGTGTGTGTGTAAGACAAATGTTCTTTGTTGAAAGCTAACAGTTGCAGGCTTCTTTTAAAGGTTATAATTATATTTATAAACACATTGCTATCAGGTTTACACCAAATAGACCAATAATTTGCCGGCAAAAGGTAAAAAATTTAATAAAACCACCTTGTTCGAAAACAAATTTGTTATAGAAACACCTGAACATTGGTTTTGTATAAAGTATATGCAAGATGTAACTGGACATTCATGTGATTTTAGGTAGAATTTTTTGTTTGTTCTTGTCCTCCAGAGAGGATTCAGAAATAAGAATGACTTGGAATTGGGCATTTAAAAAATATATCTAAAAATTCTATGTGCTGCGGAGGTTGGAATTCTAAGTTTTTTATAAGATGAACTGCCATGCAGGTCACTTATTCTAGGAAAGTCTCCTAATAAATAATTCTTACTATTAACCACCTCCAGGGTCACAGAATATGTTTTAACCTCTTTTTAGTGCTGACACAAGGTAATAGCATCCCCTGATACTAATTCTTTGCTGTCATTAATTTGGATTGTCTGGTAACACATTAAAAAAAAAAAACAGACCAAGAAACTGCTATTTCAAGTACGAAGAAAAGCTGCATTCATTATTCAGCCATATAAGGAAGTTAAATGCTACAGCGCCAAAGCAGGCAATGACAGAAAACTAGGAATAAAGAAGTTTCTTTTTAAAAACTAGGAACATAGGGAAATAAATATTGTGTGAGAGAAAAAAGCCAAAACCAACAATAACTAGGTAGGTCAGCTACACGGAGGGACTAAAACATTAAGCATTCCCTTGCCTCTCAAACTCAGCTATTCATGGCCTTCTAGGTTAATGGAGAGTGGGGCACGGGGTGCAATGTGGTTAATACACGTTCTAGAATCCCAGAAAAGATAAATGACTGCTCTAGTTTCTCATCTTCTGAGCAGCTTGAGCATGTGTTGAGGTTACTGTCACTGCACCACAGCCTGATACATATTCCTCCTTGTGTATGAAAGCCATTCAAAGGAAGAAACAGCCCTGAATAAGACTCTATGGGAATTACAGTCAAGCAGTGCTGCTGAATTCTGGATCCACCCTTTATTAGCTGTGTGACCCAGAGAAAGTTAAATCTCTAAGCTTCAACTTCTTCATCTGTAAAATGAGTCTAATAAGAGTAGCTACTTGATATAGTTGCAAAGATTAAGTCATACGGATACTTTAAGAATAGCATGAAACTTGTTGTTTAATAAATCTTAGTGCCATCACCATCATCACCACCACCACCACCAACACCAAAAATAATCACCACTACCGCCATCATCTCCAACACTATCACCACCAACACCATCAGCATCACCATCACTACCACCTCCAACATATCTAGAACCACCACCATTCCAACCACAACCATCACTACCACCATTACCAATATATCCAAAATCACCATCACCAACAGCACCATGACCATCTTCCTCATTTTACAGGTGAGAAAGTTGACTCAGAACCTCAGTAACTGGCTGAAAGGCACAAAGCTGGTAGGGGACAGAGAGCTCAAATTTCCAAGTTTAGCGATCCTCCTAAGCCCATCTTTATCTCAGGAAATTTGTCATGGAAAAATGGTGTGGCCTTGGTTTCAAGGGTCACCACAAGGCTTCAGAATACCTAGGACCCCAGATATCTCATATGTAAGCATAGAAAAGCAAAAATAAAATCAAAAAACTATATCTGGAAAATATCTTAGGGTATTTTATTAATATGTGAATTGCTAAGTATACTGCAACACCTGGTTGCCCTGTTATCATGAGCACCAGCCTGAAAGGTGAGGGACTCAGGTTCTGCTTTTCGTTCTTACCTTCATATCTTCAACTGTCACCAAAGAACACAATGCCTATTCCCATATTTAGCCCTGTGAAGACACTATAGGAAAGAAAGAAACTGTCATCTACAGCACCAAGTCCTCAGGAGAAAGGCAGGAAATGAAAAAGAATTGTTTATTTAGCCTGGCTCTATAGTGAAACAGCTGTATAAGTCTGTGAAAAGAAAGGGCCCTGGCTTGGCTCAACCTTTGGCAAATACATGGGTATTATGTAGGCAGCATGTCGAGCCAGGAGAGGAGGCAATGGAGGAGATTTCCTCTAATGCTTCCCATATTGTTAATTGCTGCTTTCCCTCCCAGGGCCTTCTGGACTTCCCACCAGAAATCCAGGGCAGGAACTGCAAGGCACTATGGGAAGACAGCAGCTTGAGTCCTGCCTGCCCACTCAGCACCTTCCACTGGGACCCTCAGCGGGCTCACCCAAGGCAGTTACGAAGATTATCTCATATGCCACTTACCCACAGTACATTCAGCTATCTTCTCACCCTTTCCTGCCACCTGGCCCAGAGCCATTTAACTCTACTGTTGCAAGGCTAAACTTCTGAGTTTCATGGCATTTATACTGTAATAAGGGACTAATCGATGTTCTACCCCAAACAGTAAATCTCCAATGGTCAGATTTCAGCCATGGAGGAAATATGATGAAGATATTTTATAGGAAAACCTCAATAGTTCCCATGATATTACAATGTTGCCTATAGGCAATTTTCCACATCTCAGCTTTGTTAGCTGACAGAGAAGCAAAATAACAGCAAATAACCCCTTGTATGTCTTAGACCCTCAAGGTTGCTCTACTCAAAAGAATTAAGTATACTTAAATCTCCTTCCCTTGGTTAATGGTGTCCTAAGGAAAGAAAGCAAAGAAAACCTCTTCCCATTTCACAACTTAGTGTAAAATCCATTCAGATTTTACAAGATGGTGACAGAGCAATAACTCTTGAGAAAATGATGTGACAATAGCTAATTGTCAATGGCTAAGGACTCCTCAAAAGCTGCTCAATATCCATAGGATTAAAGTAAAGCAGAACCATTCCTAGAGACCCAAGGACTAGTTAACAAAGAGAAAAATAAAGTACTAACAATATTTTACTACAAATCTGTTAAATTCTCTTTAGGACCTTCAAGAGGCAAAGTAGTATGGAAGAACAAGCACATAACCTTTTATTTCAAATAGAAAAGGGTTCAAATCCTAGATCCATAATTTATTAGCACTTTGAAAAAAATTAATCTCTCTAAGTTTCAGTTTTTTCATCTGCAAGGTCACTTACTTCATTGGGCTATTATAATATCACATGTATGAAAAGCATTTGAGAACGGGAAAACAATACGATAATACCATTAGTCTTCCAAATTTTGTTTCTACACATTCCACAAACAAAAAGGGTTCTACAAATAGCAATCCTTTAAAGGATGTATTCAGGTTGGTTTAAGTACCCTTATAATGATTTAAAATCCCATTATACAAAATGTACTTTTACTTAGCCTTTCATTAATTTTGATAATGGTCCTGTCTATTGAAACTGCCCATACTCTTAGATTTACCAAGGTATGAGTCCATCTTACAATGCACATCCCATTTTCCTTTTAAATTATGCTTTTGTCCTCCAAAAGCAAATGAAAATATTTTATCTAAAATCAAGGCTTCCTATAGTTTACAAAATGTCTTTAAAATGAAATTTGTACTTATCAGAATATACACCATCTCATTATCTCCCATTTTAGAGTATAAGGAGCATATTTTTTCTATTTCTGTTATAATTCTTAGCCCACTGATGGCCACAAATCTGTAGCTTATTAAGTATGTGCAGATTAACTGATATATAAATTCTCCTCTGCCCCTAACCCAGTAAAGCAATCAGCCTTCTATGTAATGGCCTTGAATGATGACTAAGAAAAGAGCCCGTAATTTAAACACTTCAATGTGGCTGAACTATGAAATCTCAATTGCTAAGACAAAATTCCTTTACATAATGATATTATAACCCCAAGCTTTAATTAGTGCTGGAAAAATAAGATTATAATAGCAAATATGGCAATCTGGTTGACACCATAAACAACCTTTCTGCACACAATCAATTTAAGCTCCTGGCAGTACTAAATTCAGACTCATAAATGTTTTTTGGCTCTTATCCTATCTTATTTTTATAATAGCTATGCATTCAGAAAACATGCATTTATAAAAACATCTTTTAGTTATAATTTAGGTTTGCAGATGATATTATATGTGATTTGGCTCTAAAAAGACATAAATATTCTGTTCTGAAAAGATAATCCACTAAAGCAGAAATCCATTCAAATGCTAGTTATTCCATACAAATTTCTTACATTAATACATTACCTAGGAAAATTATATGTCAGTATAAAATATCATACCTCCATCGTATGCTTTAAAGGTAGCAGATAAAATTCTACTGCTATAAAGTAAAGCTTGAATATGTTGGAGTTATTAAATTGTGTGCAGAAATTAGTATGTGCTAACAGCCTTTCTTGTCTTGTGATATTTTTTCTAATATTTTTCATCATTTCTGATTTCTCCACACAATTATCCTTCTGTTCTGATCACTTCAAATTTTCTTAATATCTTCATTTCACCTTGTTTACATCTGGCTGTCTTATTGTATTTTGTTCTACTCTCAGAATTGAATTGCCATCTCACATAGCTAAGTCTATAGAGAATTCTATAGAATTCTCTAGAACAAGAAAAGAACACAGGTCCCATAAATAGCAAAAACAAAATATTTATTTTCCCTGGAATATAATAATAATTCCATAGAACCCATATACTACTGAAATTTTTTTTCCTTTCTAGTCTTTTTTCCAAAAAGAGTAAAATGTGATATAAATATTGAGCATCAGACAGCTATATTGGTTAAGATGTCTTACACATACTATTTCCTAAAGTTAATGAAGTTACAACTACACTGAAAAATATAATAGTTGTTAAAACAAAATTAAGTTTGGGTAGGCCCGTTGTTTAATATGTTATACTATGACTAGGAACCTCTGGTAAGCTGATATTCTAAGGAGTATATTAAGTAAATAATCTAACTTGCATACTCTGATTTTTCAACTCTGTACTTTAAATATATAATACTAAACGCTCATAATCTTTTAAATTGTCTTCCAAAAATAATACTATTGCTGGGCTATAACTAATTAAATTTGATTTGTATCTACATTAGTTAATTAGCCTTATCATTTTTCCAAAACAGTTAAGCTAATGTTAGACCTTGAAATACCAAACAATATTTTGTAATAATTATTACCATTAAACTAGAACCATTAAAGAACAATCATTAACAGCACTTCAAATGTGTAGATATTACCTACCAAACCACAAATCAAATTAGCATATTCTTAATTTATTTTTTATTAGCTGTTAACATTAGACAGAATTCCCTGTTGTAAGTCAAAATTAGTTGGCATTGGTTTAGTATGTGTCATTGATTGAGTTTATAAAAAAGCATGTGCTAGCTGTTAATTATATCTATTTAATGGGATTTTGCTTTGTAATTTTAAAATGTTTTGCTGAGAATATATTTTATTAGAAATTACAAGCATCACTTATCACTTATCAAATTGAAATAAATCAACTCATTTATGTGAGAATATGAATAAATATTTATAGACATTTTTATATTATAAATTTAAATGACTATTTCTACACTAAAAATAAGATCAAAGATTAGGAATCTATCTTGTTTTTGGAATCCAACAATCATTAAAGCTGTAGTGCCTCTTATTCTCCATCCTTGATCAGATTGGACCTTATTTCTACCTTTGTTAGGGACTTCTTAAAATTAGCCTTTAAATTTAGGCTTTTCCAGGAATCTCTTTATGGTGCTCTGGAAAGAATAATAAAGTCTGGCTTTGTGCACAACATTAAACAAACATTTTTTTTTCAAAGTACTTAATAAAGCTTGGTGGCGCCATCAGCCATGTTTAAGTACTGTAGGTTTTGAAGGAGGACATCTTTCAAGATTAACTATGTAATTTGATGAGATATAAATTCATTCTTAAAGATAAGTTGGGTTTAATCTACATAGTCTGACTCCATTGCACGATGACAAACTCTTTCACTTGGATCTGACTGTATGGAAATAAGACAACTGCCAAAGGAAAAATAATCCATAAAAAAATAATGTTTTCTAAGCTGCTAAGAGGGCAGCACAACTCCATTTGACCCAGCAATCCCATTACTGGGTATATACCCAAAGAAATATAAATCATTCTGTTATAAAGACACATGCATTTGTATGTTCATTGCAGCACTATTCCCAATAGCAAAGACATGGAATCAACATATCTTTGATAATATGTTTTTCTAGAAACCTTGTGTTTGAATCTTGGTGCTTAATTTAAGGTTAAGTCCCAGCCAAACAAATCTGTACAATCAACAGACCTATTTAGCATCTACAAAGCTTGTCAGTAATACAACTCTACGAAGTCAAGATGAAATCTCTTCAAAATTAAAAATCTAGAAAAAAGAAAAATGTAGGGCTGTAATTTCATTCCACTTATAAGTTAAATGCTTTGCCATTTCTAAAATTTCACATTTCAATTAAGCAAATGAAGTATAGTAACAATTTTATAGAGCAAGAAACTTGCGATTGATCTTCAATACTCCTAAGAACATATATATAGAGATGGCATGAATTATTAGCCAATTTTCACCAACTCCACCAATGTTTACCAATTCTCACAAGAAATCTAAATTTCTAAAGATGGAATGTGGCAATATTCCTTCCAATTTAATTGCATAGGATGAATGTTTTAAATGGAACTTGGCAGAATAAGTTATTCTATCAAATCAATGTCAATCCTTTTTAAAAATCCTTTTCCTTATTCTTCTGCATCGTACCACCCAAAAGAAGGTTATTTATGGTTTGGTAAAAGTCCTGAACTGCAGAATAGATAGGGAAAGACTGCTTTTCAGATAAACCAGTATAGAGTCCTTATTCTTAAGAAAAGGTAAGATTAAATTTTCAAAAGAAAATATGCTTAGTCAAACAAACAAAACAAAACACAGATTTAAGTTGTTTTAAGGGCTACCCTTATGAGTTCATTTAACGACATGAAATATACCTTTAACAACACGCAGTACACTTTTAGATGGATTACAAGTGCTATCTACTACAGAAGGGTTCAATAATTGAAATGATTAGAAAACATAATCATTAGGGAAAATATAATCAATAGGGAAAGAATTCCTAGCAAAGGAATAAAGTTCATTTGTGTTAACCTGGGCACACATGAACTTTCCAATGCAAGACCACTGAAAAAATTCTTTCTTGGATATGAAGGATATTAATTTGCTACTAGATCACTATCTTTCAGTAAAATAAGTATCCCAACAAAACACATCTCAATAAGTGTAACACTAACAACATTAGAATTAACATAAAATAGATATTAATCAAAACACTTTGCTCCCTACAAACATCAGAAGATGGATATTATAATCCCTGCTTTGCTTGATTTCATTGTGATATTGTACTCGACACTACTTATCACTATAGTATAACAACAAAGAGATGTAAAGACACTGGAAGGCTCTCTCAGGAAAATCTGTTCTCTCTGCCCATCCCCTCCCCCTTTTTGGTTTGTTTTCTCTCACTTTCAGTAGGAGAAATTTCATATTTAAAGAGCATGCATTCACCATTTGGCATATCATATGCCATTATCGTAAGAGTTAACTATTTTCGAACTGTATTTATATATTTATTTTTCTTCCCTGAAATTTCTAAATGTCCAGTGCTTCAACCAACATAATCATTCATTTTAACGTCGTTTGTTGTACTGAAGATATTATAGTCAGCCTCCCTCCCTCTCTCCCTCCCTCCTTTCCCCCCAGAAATTGTTCATAGAGTCAAATTTTCTGGTTTGCTTTTGGTGAGTTGAGTGCAACACACTTTCCTAGGCAAAGGGGGAACAGCCCTCTAAATATCAACTCTCAGTCGAAGAATCACTTAACAACTGGGTACTTCATATTACTACATGAGCACAGTGCCACTGTAAAGTACCACGAGGAAGAATAAATTTTTCCTTCTTTTCTCTGACCTGCTCCCTGACAACTAGACACGTGGACAGAACCTTATTTCTCTCTCCATCACTGTATCAGTGGGGTACAGGGTTTGTTTAATAAGGATGTAAAATAAAACCGGACTTGAACTACAAAAGGGCTGGATGGCCTTTCCCATGTTGGCATAACACTGAAGAAGCAGGATTGGTTATGAAGTCATAATTTAGCATTGGCATTTAAGCAGAAACATTAACTTATATTGTCACAAAACACAATGTCACATAAAAGCCACAAAAATATTTTCAGCCAGCCCTGGTAGCCAAGAAATTATTTTCAGGGTGTTTCCTTTTTGGGTTTTCCCAATTTGTACTCAGAAACGAAGTTAGAGACCTATTGTGATGTTTTAAATATTCCTTTTCTGAGTATATACCATGTGATTCAAAATAGAAGACCAATTTCTCAGCCTGTCTTAAGTCATCTGATAAACTGTGTCCCATCACTCATTTTATCATAGTCACAATGTAGTTAAAATGTGTAAATGTATAAAAGTAAAAATAAAATTCTGATGTAAATAAATTTAAGATCTCTGTGTGCAGAGCATATTGATAACTGGCACCCAAGCAAAGACTGATATCTTGAAAGGGATCTTGTATAAAAGCTATTCCATTCCTTGCATGCTATTTAATTTAAAAAATGATGCACAGACTCACATTCATAAACACACTGAACCACACACACACACACACACACACACACACATATATAATATAGAACTTACACAATTTCATCATTCTGGAATTCGAGCTCTCCACAAGTGTCCTCAAAATCCTCCCCTCCACCTCTGGCAGTCCCTTCGATGGTTTTATATGGAACGATAACATTTCCTCGAGCTCCAGATGTTCTCAATACTTTCACCTCCATGATGCCAATGCTCTCACTCACATGAGTCACAGGTTCCTCAAAAGTAAAAATGCCTGCGTGGTCATCATCAAAAATAGTTACAGTGGCAGTGGAGGGAGATCCGAGGCAAGCAAGTGTAGAAACATGATTGGCTTCCAGTATGCCATCTTCTGAAGCTTCAGAAGATACTTTGACATTGCTGAGATGCACAAGGAAATTTTCATCCTCCTCAAAGATATCATCATCTATGATACCCACTCTGATTTCCTTCTGGGTATCACCAGGCTTAAACACCACAGTTCCTTCAGTAAATTCATAATCAGACCCAGCATTTGCTGTGCCATCCTCTGTTCTGAAGTCAACAAACACAGTGTTAGTCAAATCACCACCTCTGCGGATAATGGTAAGGGCCACAGTACCACAGTTCTCCAGACACTGATATGTCCCTTGTTCAAAGAAGATCTTACTAACAGGGTCATTTTCAGTCACTTCAGTGTTGACCTCGTGCATGCTGACAGCCTTCCTTGCTTGGTCAGCTGCATGCCTCTTTAAAATGTTGCCAGCTCCAGTCATGAGGCGAGTAGCTTGAATGCGATAAAATGCTCTACTTTTTTGCTGCTGACTTAGGACTTGGTAGTTAGCTAATTCTATTAATTGCTCTATTTCTTTATCTGGATGCTTCTGCTTAAGTTCCTTCAGAATCCTAGCCATTTCTCGCCTAGCTTCTTCATCATCTTGGTCCCTCTCATCCACCTCCAGAACCAGAGCACCATCTAAGAAATTTTCAACATGAGAATTGACCACTTTCCCGTCCATTTCAATTTCAGTCTTAGAAGATGGCCTGTCTCCTTCATGTTCAATAATCATCCCCCTCTGCTTGCCAGCTCGATACCTCTTGTAGACATACTTGTAAAACAGAAGTCTCCTATCCGCTACCCAAGCGAACACAACACAGATGGGAAAGAAGAAGAAAGTAAGCAAACCTTCCCAGACCTCCACAACACCAGGAGATATGACAGACAAAATAATGTAAAGCCAGGTGTAGGCAAAGATGCTCCAGGCTGCTGTCACAAAGAAGACACGCAAATGCTTAATCTTCCTTGTCTCTCCGTCAGGCACCACATAAACACAGAGTGCAATAATGATGAACATATTGAATGCAGCACTTCCCACGATGGTGCTAGGACCGAGGTCTCCTGCAGTGAAGTTATGGCCACACACTTCAATTACTGAAAGGAGAATCTCAGGAGCAGAAGATCCCAGGGCCATCAAGGTCAGGTTAGAAACTGTTTCATTCCAGATCCTCACAGTTGTCTTGGTGGTCTCTCCATTGGGTTTCTTTATGGTTATTTCTTTTTCTTGAGATGTGATGACTTCTATAGAGGACATGAACCGATCAGCTATGATAGAGACTCCAAGAAACATGTAGACCATGGCCACAAAATACACAGTAGCTCTAGCAATTTTGTCCCCAAAAGAAGGGTCTTGGGGTTCCCAAATGGGCAAAATCACCCCTTTCTTACAGTAATATGATCCAGTACATTCACCAGTTTCATTTCCTTCTCCTTCCATTTCTGTCTCAGCAATTACATGGTCCACATGGGAAAATAAGAGACTCACAGTAACTAACAGATGAAATCCCATTGAAAAGGTGGGTGAAAGACTTAATCGCCGCATGTTGTACATGACACTTCCAACTGTCACAACCTACTGGTAAAAATAAGATGGGGGAGAGGGCAGAAAAAAAGTCATGTCATTAGAGCTGCAGCCAAAGCATTACTAATTACTTATTTTTATTACTCTTACCAAAATTTGTTTATATTTGACCATCACAAAACCGAAATTTGTTTATATTTGACCATCACAAAATCTATGGTGAATGATTGTTCTAAGACTCCATCAGTGACTAAGCAATCCTTTGTAAAGTTTACAACTCAATCTTTCTGTGAATTTACTACATGTAGTACCCATTCACTGAGCAAGATACACAATTGACTTACTGGAAAGGAAAAGTTCAATTTATATAGCCTTGCCTTATTAAACACACATTTATGCATGCTAATAGCCAAAATCACAGGACTTTTGAAGCATTAAACAATTTCCTCCTTTTTACTAAAGCAGATTTTCTTCTAAATTTGTGTTAGTACATCATCTTCCAAAAACGGTTTCAATGCCAAAAGCACCTTATTACAATTGATGCTTTGAAAATCAGACTCCGAAAAAATCCCACCAACACAAGGCCTGGTGATTATCTTAAACGCCAGAGAGCATCTTACACTGTATTTCATGAAATCATGTCCTATTGCTCCACACTTACTTGGAAACAAAACTTCAAGCTTGCCTGAAATCAAAGCTCAATGGCATTTGTTCTTGAGGAGAAAAAAATTCTGCTATAATGCAATATTTCCACACATTAAGTACAGTTTTTAAAAGCATGTTTTGATGAGAGCACATTTCTTTCTAATTTTCAGCCAGCCCAGGTCTGCTGATACATTAGCAGCTGGGCATCTGGTTCTTCAAGCACAGCTCTTCACATCTGTGTACAGAGCCTGTTTTTCTGCAGGCTGGAAAGGGAGATAAACAGGCCAAGGCCTAGTTGTGGGTAAGCGCCTGGCAGGCTGTGGAATCAGCGTCACCAACCTTAAAATGTTCCTTCTCGGTGTCGGTCATATTTTCCATGGTCATTCTAAAATACATATTAGTTCTGTCGAGGGTTCAAGTGACCAAAAAATGCAGGACCAATAATTCCATTTAAATTAGCTCATGTGGCATGACAAGAGTGACCACAAAATATACACATGATGAAGGACTGTAGGCAAGGAGGGCCATGGCAACAGAGTCAGTGAGCAGCACACAAAGCTTGGTAGGCATAGCAGTGGACTCAACCACCATGGCCTTAAGTCCACCCACCAGCTCAAGCAAAACTCTACTCAGACCTTACATCCCTTCTGCTTCCAGAACCTGGGATGGAGGTGAGGGGAAACTGAAGTAGAGGAAGGTCTGCTCCAAGTCAAGGTGACTGTCTCCCAGGCCTTGCAGGATGGACTAGTTATGACATCAGATAAAGCAGCAATAGGAAGAAGCCCTGAGTCAGAACATACCCTTATGTCCTGGAAAAAGTTAAAAGAGGAACTGGATTACAGGCTTTCATAGCTTCGGGCTGGCTGAGAGCCACCCCACATTCGCCTACACTCTCTGGCTCATGTTTGCTGCTGATGGCTTATACTGCAAACTGCACCAGTGCCCAGGAGAACACCGCTGCCTAGGACATTCTGGCAGACCCTGAGAGATCCCACCATAGACTAAAGCCCTTTATAGCTCATCACTACAGGGAGATAAGCTTCTTTGACATTTTTCCCATACTAAAGAAAATCAGAGGAGGGTTATAGCAGTAGAATTCAAAACTAAGTAAAAGGCTGAAAAATAGAGGTAGCATATTTTCAAAATATGCAAAAGTTCTGGTCAGTATGTCTGCTTGTTCAGTCTTTGAAAGGCTTTGAGATTTCTGCTTGAAACAAGGTGAAATTTAACCATCCTGCAAGAATGTTGGAAGATCTAGTTCCAACTCCCTTGTGTATCCATTTCATCCACAATATTTATGCATGCTTAATATGTATTTTAGAAAGACTTACTAGTCTGTCTTCTAGATCCTGAGAATTCACCAGTGATAAAACAAAGTCTCTGTCCTCACAGAGCTTATATTCTAATGGTGGAGGAAACAAACAAATATAAATATCAGAAGGTTAAAAACTCCTATGGTACATGTGTGTGCAGAACAATCTATAGAGGACAAGGAGAGTGTGAGATTGTGTGTGTGTGTGTGTGTGTGTATGTGTCAGTGTGTATACACGTGGGATGCATGATTTCATACTAGATGGTTAAGGAAGGCCTCTCTGATAAGGTAACACTTGAGCAAAGTCCTGAAGGACACGAAAGATCAAGTTTTGTGGATATCTGTAGGAAAAGAATTCCAGCAAGTGCAAAGGTCCTAATGGGAATCATGCTTGGCACAGTCTAAAAACACAGAAAACCAATGTAGCAAGAGGGTAATGGACCAAGGGGGCAGGGCTCAGGAGTGGGAATGGATCAGAGAACACTGAATTGCCATAAGGCATGGGCTTTGATGGGGTAGAAGATGAGAATCACTGGGAGGTTCTAATCAGAGGGTGATATGATCTGATTTTTCTTTTAGAAGGATCTCTCTGCTGGTTCAGTGCAGAAAAGACTGAAGGGGCAAGGGTGGAAACAAGGAGACCAGATTTTGCCTACTATATAAAATCTAATTTATAAGTGATCCCAATACTTGGCAGGTATACAAAATGGTACAGAAGATATTTAACATTTAAAATGGTGAAAGAAATGTCTTGGGGACCTGAAAGAATCAGAAAGGTGAAATATTTGTGATAAATAGTAGTACTGAACATAAACACTGAAGGGAGATTCAAACCTGTGTCTGTCTCCAAGACTGATATAACTAACCACTCCCTTCAAATTACTGCCAAATCGCATCATTCCATTCTTCACGTTTCAGCCAAAATGAAATTCCTAAAGTGCAGATCTGACACTCTTCACGTCCCTTAAAACTCTTCATTGGTTTCCCACTTCCCTGAGGACAAAGCTCAAACCCCTCAACAGGCTTTCTAAGACCTTTTATGATCTGGCATCTGAGCTCCAGAATATGGAAATTATTCCCATTCCCTGAACAAGGTAACAATTTCTTACATCCAAGTCTTTGCAGATTATTCTGTGTCCAAAACTATTTTGCTTTTTCCTTCTTAGAAGCAAGTTTCAAAAGAGCTGAACACCAAATTATAACCAATTTCCTGAGAGAATACTAGATTCCATTCTTAAACAGTCACAGATACCATGCTAAATTGTCTCTATACATATCAATTATATTTAATATTTCCATTAGCCAGCATTGCTGTTATAAAATGCCTAGTGTTGCTATTTCCATTATAGTCCATGAGAACAGCACCCCTGGAGATGTGCAATGCACAGTACCCTAACAATAATCCTAAATAGTAGGTACTATTAGCCCATTTGGAGGTTGGATAACTGAGGCTTAGATAGGTTAAGTACTTGCTGAAAGTCATACAGACAGTAAACTCCTCAACTAAGACCCAACCCCTGGTCTTTTTCCAAGACTGATATAACTAACTGCTCCATTATATCATCCCTGATAGTGTGTGAAGTAATCTTTGAGAACTATTGGGGTTGGCTTGGACTAGCCCGTTGGAAAGCCTCTTGGCTTCCATGCAGGGTCAGGAGGGCCTAGTTAGCAAAAGTCTTGTGGAAGGTTTCCAATAGCCTGGCTTTTATCTTATGCATTAGACTCAAACAGACAAGCATCAATAACTGTGATGTAACATGAGGGCTAGCATGTTCCTAGAGACAGCTGCCCTTCAATCTGGTCTTTTAGCAATTGCCTGGCAACCTCTTCCTGCATGCACTGTCAGGGCAATCTCCTGGGCCAGCCAAGAAAAAGCCCTGCCCTTTATCCCTTCCCTAGCCCACATCCCACAATATGTTCTTAGCCAAAAGGTCACCAGATGTCTAAAGGTAGACAGGTCAGTAAAAATCCATCATCATTATCAGAGAAAAAGGAAGGGGGCTTCCGGTGTTAACTAAAAACATTACAATTATATTCAAAAGAGAGCAGTATTATAATTTGTGAACAGTGGACACAGCACACTGATGTAGCTTATTGGCAATGAAGCAATTGGAAAGAACTCTCTGGACTTAAATTTCTTTTTCTTATTAAATTAATACCAAATTCAAATGCCCACGAAGATGTGGAATAGATGTTATCTAAATGTGAGTTCCTTCTTCATCCTTTTGTTTTCTTTCTTTCGGGGTCTTTCCTCTATCATCAGATTCAAAGTAGTTCTACTAAACTCTCCCCATTTTCCCTCAAATATACATTTCCATACAAATTAAGCAGAAAGATAAGAATAGAGACTGTGGATATGTTGATTTGCTGCCTGGCTTTCTTATATTCTGCCTTAATTTACCAATAC
Organism: Homo sapiens; assembly: GCF_000001405.40. Lineage (NCBI taxonomy): Eukaryota > Metazoa > Chordata > Mammalia > Primates > Hominidae > Homo > Homo sapiens. Next base: position 40,434,615 of record NC_000002.12, read on the forward strand.
AAAGTATAGGCTGATTTTTATGGTGGATTCAGATCAACTCGTACAACTGTGAGCAGTACTAACTTAAAATATCCATTACATCATGAAATGAGACTTTAGCACAGTATCAAGAATACCCAAATTATCTTCTGATCACTATTTATTTTAAAACAACACACAACCCATCACCCACAGATTACAGACCCAAATGACACTGACAAAGGATGGTAAAAAGATATCCAGCTGTGAGTAGTCCAGCCAGTTGTGTCGGAGGAAGAGGTCACAGCTACAAGGAATAGAAACCCACATCTACAAGAGATAGATCCAACTGCTTTGTAAAGGAAGAGGGAGAGCTTTTGGAGCAGAGGCCTGAAGAGTGGTTGGCAGCACGGTGACCATTCCCTGCTGGAAGCTATAGCCAGTTTTGACTACCAAGGAGGACGTGACTCAGAGCAAAGGCATATGCTGGCATTCCTAACAGCCCAATATATTGGACAGTCATCCTAATGGCATCCTCTTGATTGGCAGCTGGGGTTATTCCAAGGAACTCCTTGATGGCCTTCATCAGTACTTGGAATTCCCTTCTATGTAATTCTTGCTGACTGAAAGACTCAAAGCTAAGCAATTAATCTGTTTCTAAGGCAACATTAAAGCAACCATAAATCCTTATCCACTACCAAGGCAAGCACTTCCAAATGTTTCTAGACAAAGAGATGATGCCAGAGGATGAAGGCTTTTCTCATCTGACCATCTCACCTAAAGTGAAAATTACTGCCCTGGCTCCAGCCTCAGGCTATCAGACCATGGCCAGATTTCAGGAAAAAAAAAACCTCATTTACACAGAGACCCTCTACTAATACCTAATTTTCCCTTCCAAAGAAAGTTTCCTCTCTGCTGTTTAATACTTTGGGACAGGTGCCGAAGGGGATGGGCTATGAGCGGTCACATCATAGGCTCAAGCCTTTCTCTTAAACTCACAAAACAGAAGTCAGGCCCCTGCCTTATGACCAAAAATACCCGCTGAAATTGTCCAGGAAATGAAGAAACTAGGGTGAAGGTAGGCAATGTGGTCACAAAAGGAAAGATAGACTTAGGATATAAAATAACGAAGTTGTTGAAAACTCATGAGATGCACTGTTGGCCCTTTCCCCTACTTTATTTTTCGAGATAGCACTTATTACTTTTTTGTTTTTGTTTTTGAGACATAGTCTTGCTCCTGTCGCCCAGGCTGGAGTGCAGTGGTATGAACTCGGCTCACTGCAGCCTGTGCCTTCTGGATTCAAGCAATTCTTCTGCCTCAGCCTGCCAAGTAGCTGGGATTATAGGTGCCTGCCAACCATGCTCGGCTATTTTTTTTTTTTTTTTTGTATTTTTAGTAGAGACAGGGTTTCACCATGTTGAACTCCTGACCTTAGGTAATCTGCCTGCCTCAGCCCTAAGTGCTGGGATTACAGGCATGAACCACCACGTCTGGCCAGCTCTTATTACTTCTTACATGCTATCTATTTTATTCAATGGTTCTATTTATTGTCTTTCTCTCTTCAAAAGATGCAACTCTCTAAGGGCAGGGATTTTCATTTCTTTTTTTTCATTGAGGTATTCCCAGTTCCTAGAGCACAGCCTGGCACTTAGAAGATGCACAACATCTGCTTATTGAATGAGTAAAGTAATGCTCACAGGGTCACGTGCTGATTCACCAAATCTCCAGTGGTAAACCAGAATCTGGGAAATGGGCCTAAGCATTTGCAGTTAAAAAATGTTGTCTGTGTGAAATGGTTGCACCCTAACATGAGCAGAGTTCAAAATCAGATTGTAAAGTCAATGTCAGTGTTAGGAAGAGAGGAAACACATGATTCAGACTCATGAGCAAAGACTCTTGGGCTGGAAAGACTGATCTCCAGCATAACGAGAGCACCTGGGCCCTGACATTTTCCCCACAACCTGGGTGTGTGTCTTCCAGCATCAGCCCTGGCTTGCTTATTTTATATGCTCTGTTAAGAGGGCCCTAACACTTTGGACATACTCAAGGAAGTACATCTTCCCATCCTTCCAATACAATTAAAAGACACATATTCAAGCACAACAAAAATCACCTTCATTGTAGAGGCCCTACACAAGGGAAAGAACACCAAGCATTTAAATTTAAATATTAATCTGCATGCTAACACGGAAATATGGGTAGAAAAAAGAAAGCTGGAGAAGAGAGAGTCTTTCAATAGAAAATAAATAAAAAAGAATGTAGAAGGAAGATGCTCTGATAATCTTGGGCTCCATGTGAAGTTAGCCAGGTTTGTCCTCTAATTCATTATGCCAGAACCACAGAGCAGGGTTTAAGGGCCCTACTCAGGGCACTGATGGCAATAATGACTGAAATCATGGACTGAGCATCTACTTGTCCCAGGTACTGTGCTAATTACTTTGTATTCACTGTCCCTGACTTTTCTGACGATACTACAAGGAGATATTATCATTCGCATTTTACAAATGAGAAAAATAAATGGTTCATGAAAGTAAGCTGGCTAGAGTCATATATACTTAAGTGACAGAACTAGAATTTTAATTCAGGCATTTTGCATTAAACTATAACGATTTCCAAAATGGCAGACACATTTTATTTTCACGACAATAAGTTAACAATGTTTTCTGGGGACAGAGAGCTCAAGATTTAGGTACTTAACCTGCCATGCTGCCCCTTCTTCCCACCTGAATAAATGTGTGTAGGTTGCATTAGCTCATCAAGGAGCCTCACATGTTTCCACTCCTGCCTGATGCCTTCCCACTCCCCAAGTAAGTATTGTAAGCACTTCTATTCGTCACATAGCAAGGGAAAGATGATCCATGTGAAGGATCATCAGCTGAAGACAGAGGTCTGAAATCACTCCAAACTCATGTAGTAAACTCAAGGTTTTTCCATTTGGTCAGGAGAAAAGCAAATGAAGAAAGAATCCCTAGCAGTAAGCAAGCAAAACTAAAATAAAAGAGGGGAACGGATAATGAACGGGAGCCAGGGAGAATGATACAGAATGTTGCTATAACAAGTAGGTTAACACTTTGCTCTAATAACAATAATTCAGTATTTTTTAAAATAGAATTTCATTGCAGCTCAAAAATTTACTGTCTTGGGGGTCATTTTTCTTAACATCTTAAATTTAAGCCAATAAGTAATCCAAAGAAATGCAAAAACAACACATTCGTTTATGGTTTTATCTGCCAAGCTTTTCTTAGCCACTCATATATGCCAGACACTGTGTTTCAAAGATAAATAAAACATATCTCCAAAGGAGCTTGTATTCTAGTGGGGCACTGGCAGAATCAAGGAGTGAGTCCCTTCTGTGGAAACCAGGACCCTTCCATTACTAGAGATTCACTGAAGAGAAGAGACTTTCCTGGCATTTGAACATTGACACTGAGCACTGAAGTGGACTACCTAGTCCCCAGGTTAACGTACCTTGAGTCTTGAGTTAATAAACCCAGCATTCTAGAAATCTCGGACTGCTCAGACTGTGGTCCTGCAAGCTAGAGATTTCAATTATAATGAGCTCCCAGAGGCAGAGCCTTGGACTCTGTACATCTTTCAAAAGCCTCCTGATAGACAATGGTAATTCTTTCACATAATAATTGTTCACCACTAACCCTGAAGAGAAACAGCAGCCTTTCTTTGATGTTTGACCTTAAACACTGAAAAAGAATGAGGTCATATACATGCTTTTATATCTAGGTCACCAAAAAGGATTTTCTACCTAAAAATATTTCCCCAATAGCTGGTTGACATTTAATCTTAAAAATCTGTATATATAGTGAGCCCTTCCTATGTTTCTAGTTCTAGAGGCAATGAACCCTTCATTTATTCATCAAGCCTCTATGGAGTAGCTTCTATGTGCAAAGCACCATAACAGACACTACAGGGATTGCAAATATGATTGACACGTGGTCCCTGTACTTACTAAATTTACAGTCTGCAAGCGACAGTTACTCCAATGACCATTAATACTAGGAAGAATTGACAAAATGTCATAAAAGGAAGGGATGGGAAGGATGACAACGGCTAGAGAATGTGACAGCACATTCTAAAAGGAAGAAATGATATGGACAAAGGCATAGAGCAATGATTCTCCAACTTCAGTTCACCTAAGAATCACCTGGCAAACTAATTAAAATGCAGTTAACAGGGCCCTATAATCAGATACAGTTGAGGAATCTCCAAATTTGAATTTTAACAACAATCCCAGGTGATTGTCATGTAGGTGGTCTTGGACCACCCTTTGTGAAGTGTAAGGCAGAAAGAGCAGAACTGAGTAGAAGCACAGGAACAGCACACAGGGCATGGGGCTTGTTTAGCAAACAGACTGGAAGTGCGTGTCTGAAAATCAGAAAACAGTGTTTGTTCTAATATCAGTAAGATGTTGATGTTAAGTAATATGTCAGCTGTGCTTTCCCTCTCACAGACTGGGTCTCCAGGCAGGATCAAAATATGAAGCCCCGTAGTGAATATGTGTCCAGGAGGTGGGGGACTAGAGGGCAGAGGAGGACAGATCTTAATAGGAGAAAAGAGGGGCCCCAAAAGGGAGATTAAAGCACTGGAGGTAATATAAAGTTCCTACTTCATGATGTTGCTGCAGGTGTTTTGTCTTCTCTAAGAAGAAACAAGCAAGGATTACTAGGTCACTACATTGGCAGGTGACAAAGACTTAGGATAAAGGGACATCTTCAGAGACCTATTCAGTTTCTATATCCAAACCCTAAGTAGAGGTAGAAAACATGCAGAAACATGAACCCCAAAATGAAGTACTGGGTGGTAAGGAAAGCTGTGCTCTTCAAATGACAAGTTCTTTAGGGGGCAGCCCCTACTCTTTTTCTTCATTTCAACTCAAGAACGAATCCCTGTGGTCACTCTTTCTTCTTTCTAGTCTGCCTCTTGGAACTGGGGATGTTTAATACAGAAACCAATCTCAAGTTGAATGACAGTCAATCCAGCAAGATTTTTTTCTTTTTTATTTTTTAATCTTTTTTAACAAGGTAAATGCTGGTTGTGTGAGCAGAGGCTGGTGAATTTCATCAGCTTTTTCAGTGAGTCATTAAGATTCATCTTCAAGTAGATAGCATTTCAGAAGACAGAATCCTATCAACTTGAGGTTTTTAAGTCTTAGATTTTCCTGCATAGTTTCAAATTACAGTCCTTGAAAGAATAAGCTCTTCTTGAAAAGAGTGGAAGTAGGAAGTAAAAAGAAACATATTTTAAAAAGTCAAGGTGATGGGTGCTCACATAAGGGTGACTCTCCATCAGTGTTGTATGCTACAATTTTCTAAAGTTCCTGACAATATACTCAGTGACAAAGTTCTAACACCAAGTGTCTATTTACATATTACAATATTGTATAGTATATATTACCTATTACAATACACTTTAAAAATGAAACTCACCTTAGAAAGAAACTAGTCAAATCTTATTATTTAGAGGACCAAAGGGAGTGTTGGTGACATGGGAAAACACAACATTCTTACAGAAATCTAGTAGAGAAATACATGGTTTTTCTCTACTAGCTAGGGCATCTAGTGAATATGTTCTTTAAACCAATCTTATATACCTGTGTTTGAAAAATTATTAAAATTGGCTTAAGTGGTATGGTTTTAACGTTAGTAACTATGCTGACACTGCTAGATTATTGTCTTTTGGTGACAGATGAGGATTATAATAGATGTGAATTTATCTATCACAAAGGTGGTCCTAAAAGGAGCCATTGAAAAAGGTAGAGAAAAAAGTCACTGGAGGAAGAAATTCTATTTAATAATTTAATTAGCAATTGAAGATAATTTCTATCTATGAAGCCTTTGCTAATGCAACAATTATTTTCATCAATATCAATGATTAATAGGAGAACATTCATTCATTAAAAAAAATCAAACGTCTTTTATGTATATAGCAAAGTGCGAGGCACTGGGGCTAGAACCATGAGATAGACAGACGTAATCTCTCTCCTTAAGGAACTTATTACCTAGCTGGGAAGACAGATGACAGATGTTCATTTAAATTACTACCCAAAATCCATAATTATGTCCATCACATAAACAGAACCAATGACAAAAACCACATGATTATCTCAATAGACGCAGAAAAGGCATTTGATAAAATTCAACATCGCTTCATGTTAAAAACTCTCAATAAACTAGGGATTGATGGGACATCTCAAAATAATAAGAGCTACTTATGGCAAGCCAATAGCCAATATCATACTGAATGGGCAAAAGCTGGAAGCATTCCCTTTGAAAACTGGCACAAGACAAGGATGCCCTCTCTCACCACTGCTGTTCAACATTGTATTGGAAGTTCTGGCCAGGGCATTCAGGCAAGAGAAAGAAAAAAAGGGTGTTCAAACAGGAAAAGAGGAAGTCAGATTGTCTCTGTTTGCAGATGACATAATTCTATATTTAGAAAACCCCAGTGTCTCAGCCCAAAAACTCCTTAAGCTGACAAGCAACTTCAGCAGTCTCAGGAAACAAAATGGATGTGCAAATATCCCAAGCATTCCTATACACCAAAAATAGAAAAGCAGAAAGCCAAATCATGAATGAATTTCCATTCACAATTGCTATAAAAAGAATAAAATATTTGGGAACATAGCTTACAAGGGACGTGAGGGACCTCTTCAAGGAGAACTACAAACCACTGCTCAAGGAAATAAGGGAGGACAGAAATGGAAAAACATTCCATGTTCATGGATAGGAACAATCAATATTGTGAAAGCAATTTATAGATACAATGCTATTCCCATCAAACTACCATTGACTTTCTTCATAGAATTAGAAAAAAAAAAAAACTACTTTAAGTTTCATATCGAACAAAAAAAGAGCCTGTACAGCCAAGACAATCCTAAGCAAAAAGAACAAAGCTGGGGGCATCACACTACCTGACTTCAAACTATACTACTACAAGACTACAGTAATCAAAACAGTACGGTACGGGTACCAAAACAGACATTATAGACCAATAGAACAGAACAGAGACCTCATAAATAACACTACACATCTACAACCATCTGATCTTCTACAAACCTGACAAAAACCAGCAATGGGGAAAGGATTCCCTACTTAATAAATGGTGCTGGGAAAGCAAGCTAGCCATATGCAGAAAACTGAAACTGGACCCCTTCCCTACACCTTATACAAAAATTAACTCAAGATGGACTGAAGACTTAAATGTAAAACTTAAAACCATAAAAACCCTAGAAGAAAACCTAGGCAATACCATTCAGGGCATGGGTATGGGCAAAGACTTCATGACTACATCACCAAAAGCAATTCCAACAAAAGCCAAAATTGACAAATGGGATGTAATTAAACCAAAGAGCTTCTGCATAGCAAAAGAAACTAGCATCGTTTTCTTAATCCAGTCTATCATTGTTGGACATTTGGGTTGGTTCCAAGTCTTTGCTATTGTGAATAGTGCCGCAATAGTGGTGGGGTGGGGGGAGGGGGGAGGGATAGCATTAGGAGATATACCTAATGCTAAATGACGAGTTAATGCGTGCAGCACACCAGCATGGCACATGTATACATATGTAACTAACCTGCACATTGTGCACATGTACCCTAAAACTTAAAGTATAATAATAATAAAATAAAATTAAAAAAACAAACAAATGTATAAATCTTTTTACTAAAAGTGATAATTCAAAAAAAAAAGAAAAAAGAAAAAGAAACTAGCATCAGAGTGAACAAGCAACCTACAGAATGGGAGAAAAACTTTGCAATCTACCCAATCTGACAAAGGTCTAATATCTGGAATCTACAAGGAACTTAAATTTACAAAAAAAAAAAAAAAGAAAAAACATCAAAAAGTGGACAAAGGATATGATATGAACAGACGCTTATCAAAAGAAGTCATTTATGCAGCCAACAAACATATCAAGAAAAGCTCATCATCACTGATCATTAGAGAAATGCAAATCAAAACCACAATGAGATACCATCTCACACCAGTCAAAATGGCAATTATTAAAAAGTCAGGAAACAATAGATGCTGGTGAGGCTGTGGACAAACAGAAATGCTTTTATACTGTTGATGGGATTATAAATTAGTTCAACCATTGGGGAATACAGTGTGGCAATTCCTCAAGGATCCAGAACCAGAAATACCATTTGACCTAGCAATCCCATTACTGAGTAAATACCCAAAGGAACAGAAATCATTCTACTATAAAGACACATGTACACATACGTGTATTGCAGCAATATTTACAATAGCAAAGACTTGGAACCAACCCAAATGCCCATCAACGAGAGGCTGGATAAAGAAAATTTGGTACATAGACACCATGGAATACTATGCAGCCATAACAAGGAGTGAGATCATGTCCTCTGCAGGGACATGGACGAAGCTGGAAGCCATCATCCTCAGCAAACTAACATAGGAACAGAAAACCAAACACCACACGTTCTCACTCATAAGTAGGAGTTGAACAATGAGAACACATGGACACAGGGAGGGGAACAACACACACTGGGGCTTTCTGAGGGGTTGGGGGCAAGGGGAGGGAGAACATTAGGACAAATACCTAACGCATGCAGAGCTTAAAACCTAGATGACAGGTTGATAGGTGCAGCATACCACCATGGCACATCTATACCTATGTAACAAACCTGAACACTCTGCACATATATCCCAGAACTTAAAGTAAAAAAAGAAATCCATAATTATTAACTCGAATAAATGGCTATGGAAGTAAAAATGTGACTATAAAACTAAGTAACAGAGGACTTCACCTACCAGAGTATTAGAAAAAGTTCAGCTGAAAAATAACATCTAAGCTGAGATTTAAAAGACATTCTGCAGGAAACCAGCCAAAAGGTTGTTGAATTGTAAGGTCTTAGGTGGACACTTTTGTAATTACCCTTCTCTGTAACAGGATTATTCACAGACGTACCTTCTTAGATATGCTGGGGTATGAGATCATGTTTGGAAGGGACAAAAAGTAGCTTCTATAATTTATACAAGACTTTTTCTCTCTGAGGTCAGAGCCATGCAACTGCATTTAATTGCATTCTACCACACTTATAGGGTCAATGTGGTAGATGGAAGGTTCACTGGTCTAGGGACTAAAAGAAATGAGTGCTGGTCTCAGCTCTACTGACCAGTCATATGTCCTTGGAGAAGTCATTTTCCCTCTCTTAGTATCATCTGTAAAACTGGGAAATTCTGCTAACAATCTGCAGCTGTGATATTCGAATCCTACACTTTGGCATTCAGTGCCATCTATAATATAACACCTGTCCATCTGTGCAGGTTTACTGTTAGTCAATATATCAGCTAGTAGTCAGCTGAGCTACTAAATGAAAATTACCCAAATATGTACCACATCATCTTTTCTAATGCTTTGATGGTTATCTTCCATGACCCATCTCAAATGTCAAATTTCCCTTATAAAACTACTTTGATTGCTAGGAAGGCCCTTAAACGTCATCTAGGCCAGGTACAGTAGCTCATGACTATAATCCCAGCACTTTGGGAGGCTGAGGAAGAACTGCTTGAGCCCAGGAGTTCAAGACCAGTCTGGGCAACATAGCAAGACCCCTGTCTCTACAAAAATAAAATTAAAAAATTAGCCAGGCACAGTGACATATGTCTGTGGTCCCAGCTACTCAGGAGGCTGAGCCAGGAGGATTACTTGGGCCTAGGAGGTAGAGACAGCAGTGAGCCATGATCATGCCACTGCACCCCAGCCTGGGTGACAGAGTGAGACCCTGTTTAAAGAAAAGTAAAATTAAAAAGTCATCTGTCTCCCTAGCCCCCACCTTTCCCAGTAAGAAAACTTGGGGCCTGATAACTGAAAGAGACATTTCAAACCCAAATATCTCAGAAGTGATGGAGCTGGGCTCTAAAACAAATTCTGTGAATTTCTAGGCCATTTCTCTTCACACTACACCAACACCAATTGCTAGGATTCCCCAAGCCCATCAATGTTTCATTTGCGTCTCTCATAATCTATACTGTGTGTGTCAAGAGTTGGCAAACTATGGTTAATGGGACATAGTCAACCTCCTACCTGTTCTCGTAAGGCGCACAAAATTAAAATGTTTCTTACCTTTTAAAATTACTGGAAAAAAAAGAATATTGCATGATGTGAAAATTATGTGATATTCAAATTTCAGTGTCCACAAGTAACATTTTATGGAACACAGCCGTGCCCATTCATTTATATATCATCTATGATTGCTTTCTTGCTATAACACCAGAGTTGATAAATTATGACAGATCCTATAGTTCACAAAGCCAGAAATACTGACTATCTGGGCATTTAAAAAATCAGCTCTCTGATCTTCGGTATATGCCATTTTGCGTGTACTTATCTTCCTTTACCTTCCTGTGGCAACCCCTTCACCACACCAATCAGTGTATTCACCTGGGGGCACACAGGCAGGAACAAGGCTCTCTCTCACCATTTATATCTTCAGTAATGAGCTAACAGTTGCTGAGCACCCATGTGTCAGAAACTGTTCCAAATATTTTACTAATATTAATTTATTACTCCTCACACAAAACCACAAGCCTTTTTAATATTTTTATTCCCATTTAATAGATGAAGAAAGTAAACACGGAAAAGGCTAAGTAATTAGCACAATGTCAAATATGCCATCTTTTGAATTCAAACGAATGTTATAACTATCATGAATATGTCTGCTGACCTCAGAGACCTTTAGTCTGAGGACCCTAGGTTGGTTCATTTTGTTAGTCAGTATTCTCAAACTAGATGAAAAGTCGTAGTTCCCTTTCCACCCTGAAGAATCCTTATTAGACATTCAGGAATTCCTGAGGCCCAGAAAACACAGGCAAATTTCTGGAGGCTTTCTACACAGGGAAAGAAAAAGAAAAAGAAAAAGAGGTAACTTGGATGAAATGATTTCAGAGTCATAGAACTGGATTCTACTATCTCCTATTTCAGTCTTATAAAATCATTTAATTTTACATGGCCTCCATTTGCTTATTTGTAAAATATAAACACAAAGCAAAACTAGGTGATATCAGATGTCTCTTCCAGTGCTAGCCATGGTATGAAGCAACAGAAGGACTGATAAAGAGAAGCTCTTAAAAAGAACTTCTGACAGCTAGCTGCATGTCCAGGGGAAGAAAGGCAGACAGGGAGGAGTCAGGGGAAAAGAAGCACTGACTGCCCAACACTGATTCACAAATTTCAGCTTTGAAGGGTCCATATCCCCCAACATTTGAAAGATCATTTTGGAAGAGTGACTTGAAACTTCTGAGAGACATTTGATGGGTACCTCTCCAAACTGTCTGATGCCACCCACAGTTGGGTCTCTAACACGGCCCCCAGAGGAAGTTAAAGCTTGGATGTAGAGTAAGCAGTCTCATTCTCTCAACCTGCTACCAGGATGGGATGCTATTCATGGAGCACAGCAGAGAACCAAAGGGTGGCCCTGGGTCCTGAGCTTTAAGGGAAAGCTGAAGAAATGGGAAGCTAGAGAAGTTCCAGAAGCTCAACTGTAAAAGCACCAGCATAACCATTTGGTGCTAAAGAGATAAATAAAAACCACCTACCCTAGTAGAGGAAACAGAATCATCACCTTTAATAAAGGAACAAGTTAGCAAGTGGTCTGTCTCTTGCCTCACCTCTGACTGGTATAGCCTCTCTCCTCCAAGGCCATGCTGGAAGTTCATCCTACATTTTGGTTTCAAGTATAAAATGCATTTGTACAATGGCTTATGTTGTTATTTGTTTCAGATCCTGTTTCTGTGGCATGGTCCTGACTGGGACACAGAACGGAATGAAAGGGTCTAGAAACTGCCCTAACATTTCTCCACGGTTACCTTGTCGTAAATAAGCTGGGGCTCTTTGACATGTTTCAAAAGTGGCTAGCCTTATTTGCTTTCAAAATCCTTTTCACTCTTTCTGAATAAATTAAAATGCTTCCTCCTCCGTGAAACCACGTCCAATGTTCTCTTCTTCCTTTCAACTCCTTCAGCACTTTGCTCAGTTGCAGTGGAGTGATCTTTCTTGCTCAGCCTTGTACTTCAGCATAGGTGTTCTAGACCATGACATCCCTGGGAACAGAGAACAGTGTAGAGCATGGCTTTTGGAGAGCCTTCCTTATTAACCATTACTTGTTAGCCCTTGGCCCAAGTTATTTCACTGAACCATAGTCTTCATCCTTAAGTCAGAAAAATGATGCTTCCTTGTCCTGCAGAATACTCATAAGCATCCAATGAGAAAACGTGTGTAAAGCATTCAGACTAGTCCCTGGCACATAAAAAGTGCTCAACAAATGTCACTAACTTTTCTTCATCATCTGCATTCTTTGAAAAGCCAAGCACAGGGCCTTGTATACACTGAATGCTCCATAAATATCATAATTTGGTTGAAGTAAATTGCTGAATCACTACCTTGTTTGACTTGCTCTCACATTGGATCCAACCAGGAAATTATTAATTGTTCTCACTTACCATGCAATGATATCAACAAAGTAATTAATCTGTCTTTTTAAAAAAATTAAGATGATCTTTAATATTTACATCTAGTTTCCTAGATCTATTACATGTACAAGAAACCATTTGTCTGAATTGGTATCACACTAGCATTTTCTAGGTTACGGGCATTAATACATATTGCAGAATGATACAGTCGAATCTATTCAAGATTTTAAGGATATAATTTCACTCTAGGGAAAATATTTTGCCCACTCCTCAGAGGACTTAAATGGCTAAATCTTCAAGAAAGTATCAAATTTGTATTACCCTTGTTGCTCTAGAAGCCAAATTTTGGAGAGTTTATCTTTGCCTTTGTCTGGCTACTCTCTATCCCTCCCCATCAACAGCCCCATTCCTGGGCACTCACATCGCCCCAAACTTCCCCACCAAAATGGCCCTGAGTGCACTAACTGGGCAGCAACCTAGTTTTAAACCTCTTTCACATTCTCTGTATTTTCCTGTGTTCCAGGCCCCCAGGACTTTGTCTGCCAGTTGACCTGATAAACCAATCCAAGTTAAAAAAAAAAAAAAAAAAAAGAAAGAACATATGCTAATGATTTGTGAGAATTAATGGTAGCTCCTTCTCGGATAATATTTCATTTTATTAGGGTCTATTAGATAGAATTCCTTTATTCAAATGAATGGTTCTAATTGTGAAAGTTTCAGATACTATTTTGCCCAAGAAATAAATGCTTTGAACCTGGGAATGCTTTGCCCACCCTCAAATCACTGTATAGACTGCTGCCTGCAATGCACTTGCCCTTGATCACAAAAGCATTTTCTTTGCTTCAGCTGCCAGAGCTTTTCCTCTTCCACATGTTCCCCTCCTTCTACTGAAACTCACTAGGAAGTTTCAGGTAAGGTGGAAATGTGATTCACTTAAACTTTTGTCTTGTTACTGTCTACACTCTTGGCTGGGCAGATCAAAGGACAATCACAAATGTAAATTTAAAACACCTACTGTTCAATATAGTCTCTGCAAAGAGAACTTACAAAAATCACTTGAGGCAGCAAGGACTACGAGCAACTGTCTTATAAGTCAATGCACTGGAAAATACATCAGAAAATGGACTGTTTGATTAATAAGTACTACTGAGAACCTAGTCATTGATTAGGTCTTCAAAATATATATTGTGTAAAACGTATTTTGTAATGTATATGTGTGCATGGAGGACTGGGGATGGAAGGTGACAGAGTGGGGAGGCCAGGGAGAGAAAGAGAGAAAAAGAGATTTTGGAAGAGGAAGAAAGAAAACCGAAAGTAATCCCGCTGCACTTAATGAGGCCCCATTGGACTAGTCCTGAATCCAAATCTGAATCTCAAAGGCAGACGCTGAAAGCTCACATTCTCAGAATCTAGTCCATCCCAATGGGTCAGAAAACACCTGATATTTATTTCCACTAAATCTCAGCTATATCTCTAGGGAACAGAAATACCTTCGTTTAAAAAGAAAAGTGGAAACAGCTAGTACAGAAATCCACTGGTTTTGTTAGCCACCTTTACTACCAAGAATTAGAGCCAAAGTGATAGACAGCTAAGGGAACCATAAGTGATGTCAGATAGGATTCTGGAACCCAGAGAAAGTCAGGCAGAACGTTTGCCACAAGAGGGAGCAGTAGAATTTGGTCAGATGGGAGACCATTTGGTAGGGGTTATGATGAGGGGTGTATGAGGTATGGGAGGTTATGATGAAGGATTTAACTACAAGTATGGGTGATATTTGGATAATATTTTAGCAAAACACATTTATCCTTGGGGGCAAAAACAAAAAGATAAAGGGACCAGGAAGAGTAGAGAGATAATAGCATGTTGATTCCTAAATTCTTAGCAAATATAAAGTGACAATTTAATGTTTACTTGAAAGCAACATACTACGAAAATATAAAACATGCAACATATGTGCTCTAACAGCCTCTTCTAGAGGCTGCATTTCTTTTTCCAGATCTAATTTATATTTCAGTTTGAATTTTGTTTATTGCCATATTTTTAGGGCAGTCTCCTTCTTATCTATATACTATCCTCCCTGTACCTAAAAGGCATCACAAAGAAAGAACTTGTCTCACTGAATTGCAACATTAAAAAAAAAAAACAAAAAACAAAAAACAACAACAAAAAAAAACACACAGACATTAATGTCCCAAAATGCACTTACTTTGAGACAACCACATCTATGAGCTAAATGAATGCCTTGGCTGGCTTTTTAAAGGGGAATTGCAACTTCCTTGGATCTGCACAGCTTTTCTCATCATTTATTTTGTCAAAGAAATAGATTGAATACTAAGAGGAATCATGTGTTTATTTTGCAAGTAAATAAAAGTCTATATTTGCCTGGCAAAAGCATGTTAAACATAGCTTTTTAACAGATGCTGAAGTTCTCTTGGAATATATTTTATTTTTTCAAAACACAGAAAGCTTAACAGAGCAATTAACATAATTCCTGCAAATAGTCCTATAGATGTTACTGACTATACCTCACTTTCCATTTGTAATTTTATTGGGAGTCAAAGCACTGTTACTCCCATGCTCTTTTCTTCCCCTGGTCAACAAAAGGGCTATGTGCTTAATCTGAAACGTTACAGTAGGAACCACTATATAATAATATTAAAGTAAAGACATAGGTAGATAGATACATAGAAAATAAGCCTTCATATTTTAGTTCATTACTCTCCTCCTTCAGCCCTGTTAAGCTTTCAAGACAGTAAAGTCTGATTATCATGACACTCTTACATCCTTTGTAGCCCTATACAGCTCAACAATAAATAATGGTTTATCTCTGTTCAGTCCTTTTTGTTGCTGTTGTTTTTCTAGGAATTAATCATTTTTTTAAAAAAAGACAACAACCATTTTAAGGGGACAAAATCAGGGCTTCTTTTATAGCAGGTGTGAGAAATCTTAGCTAAAGAGCCGTGAGATCCAAATGGAATTCTTCAAGCAGGCAGAATTTGTAAAACGAAAACCATTTAAGAGCACACATCTTGCCTCTTGATGAAATAAGTTGGTCCTCCCCCACCTTCTCACTCACAAGGCCCCAAAGATGGAGCTAGTTTTCCCTTCCTTCCTCCTGCTTTCACACCCGCCTAACCTCCCAATTAAGCAAGTTTAGCAAACCCAGGGAGCTCAATCCAAGTAACACAGGATTTGAAAGAGGAACCTAAAACCAATCATCCCTCTTCCGGCTTTGTCTTCTTATTTGAAATGAATGAAACATCTAGATTCATTTTCCTTTTTTTTTCTGACTCGCTGCAGGAGTAGCTTTGAGAGAGAAAGAGAAAGCATGTGAGTGTGTGTGTGTGTGTGTGCACGCGCGCGCGCTGGTGGGGGCATGGGAAAGAGAGGTATACTTTCAGAATTCTCTCCTGGTGGCTCCCTCTTTCCCTTGGGAAATCTTCGCACAAGTCTCAGATTGTGCATGTTCAACTGCTCATATCTGGAGATACTCCAGCAATGCCTTTAACCAGATCTGATCAGAAATCTCCACCTACTCAGCTAGAGGCTCCTCCATGATCAGGACGCTTGTACTGTCTTCACCACATCTGTCATTTTTTAAAAAGCTTCTTCCACTACACCTCCCACTGATATCCTTTTTTTCTCTTTTTAGTCTTTACACCTCCAGCAGGACAAAGTTTGTATTGTTATATTCACAACCACTAGTAGCTGACTAGCAGGAGAGAGAGAGAGCGGCTTCAGGAGAGCCAGGTTCGGGGGCTTCAAAAGGATACCTAGCGCAAAGCATGACTTTCCAATGACTGCGTACAACATGCACATTGCTCTCTTCTAAAAATGCTTTGTTAAATTTCATCACCCCTGTTCTCAACTCAACCACTACCACTTTGGAGAGGGAAATACAAATTGCCAGCCCAAGCCATTCATCAAACAGCAACAGAATCCACGGGGTGGTGGGGGGGATAGAGAAGAGGCGGGGGTGATGCAGGGGGTGGATTTAAAGAATCAAGGATGCACACGTACTGTATTTTCAAGAGCATCGCCTGGGCGGATTTGGTTTCTTTGGCCGGCTGTCCAGCTATAAGACCGCCCTCTTCTTCATTAAGGAGGAGCCAAAAAGGATATCTTCACATCTCAGAACACAGACCATTTCCCCCAAGAGCCAGCAAAGCTCCAGAGGCAGAGAATGCAGCTGCAAAGTTCCCTTCCAATCTCTTGGGGAAAGATGCCTGTGTGTGCAGAATCCCCAAAGCACACCACGGCACAGTGCCCAGAGACGTGGACCCCGCAGCCCACTCCCTGCTACCCCCTACATTTCTTCCTCGTCTGTCTCTGCCCCGCCACACCTCCCTCCTCTCCGCAGTCCGTGGTGAATGAGCACCCAACGCCCGCTGGAAAACAGGGGGCTCGGAAATGTGGCCTTGGGGAAAGACCCCAGGGATTACCGGAAGGAGGGATGTCCGCGGAGAAGAGTCCAGTGGGTGGGGACGCCTGGATCCCCAGCAGCTCTGCATTCGGGGTGGACTTAGCTCTTCGCGCCCTGAATCCTCAGAGCCCAGCGCGGTGCAGGGTGCAGCATCTCTCCTTAGCAGCCCTTTCTTCCTCCGGCAGCCTGCACTGGCAGGCAGGCAGGCACCCTCACGCCCAGACGCACCAGCCCGAGCAATTTCACTCTGGGAAGCGCGGACACCCAGAAAAATGTGCAGGCGCGCACACACCACATCACACACACACACACACACACACACACACACACACACACACACACACAAATTTAGAAGCCGCTCGTTTGCCAAAGCAGAGGGAAGTGTAGCCTTATGAGCAGCAAATGGAAAATAGTTCTTGGTCTCTGACTAAATGCCTTCTGCCTGTCCATCATAAGATCCTACCTGGTTTGGGGAGTGTGAATGGATTCTTCCTCCGTTCCTCCACGCTAGTAGAAAATACGGCGCACTCCCTCCTTTTAAACAGCTCCCGATCAGGAAGAGGTCGCTCCCATCTTCTGTGGGAAGCACAAAGCAGGCGGCGGCGGCGGGCTGACTACCGTGCAGCGCCGGCGCGAGCGGGAGCCGCGGCAGCGGGCAGCGGTGCGCGCGGGCGGGAGGCAGGCGCGGAGGCCGGGAGGCTGGGAGGGCCGGGGCCCGGGCGCGCGCGCGCTCCCCCTCCCTCCCGCGCACACTCGCCCGCCCGCCGCCCGCAGCCTCGCACTCGCTCACACGCGCGCTCGGCCCCGCGGCTGCCGGGCGCCCCGGGGCCCCCTGCGCGCCCCTTGGGCTCCCCAGGCGATCGCGTCGGGGCAAAGCCGGCGCGTTTCTGGAGCACCGAGCGGGTGGGGAGCCCTTCCAGCCTCCCAGCCTCTGCCGGCGAGCAGCTTTTTCGATTTCCTGCCGGCTCTCGGCCCCGCAGTGCGTTGTGGCCGCGCGCTAGCGCTGTCTCTCGCACCCAGCCCATCGATGACACGCGCACACAGGCGCTGCAACTTTTCTTTTGAACCCTCTTCTTCTCTTCCGCAGACAGAACCCTGACCCCCAATTCGCCTACCCGTTTCTCACCTCTGACTTTGTTAATCCAACTATCTTTCTTCCCTCACTTCCTGCCCTTCTGCTAAAGGAAGCTTTCTTTTAGCAAAAGGATCTGGGCATATATCAATGATTTTTTTTTTAATCCTCACCCTGTGTTTTTCTACGTATCAGATATGCACAACTATACGTTGGCTACTAGATGCTGACACAAGCAAACAGAGATATTCGGGGGAGGGTGTCCCCCGGCCAAGAACTGGGACAGAGTCTCTGTGTTGGTATTTCCCTCAAAGATGCGTTTCACCTGGGAATAAAGACCCAGAGTCTGTTTCGTGTGAAAGGCGTGCTGGTTTTAAACTACAGTGAGGAGTAAAAGCCGAGCATTAAGGTTGAGTGGGAAAAAACCTAATGCAGCAATCGACGAACCATTCTTTGCCCTTTCCAAGAGAAGCATTATCATTGCCAATAAATCACTTTCCTCATAATTAATAAAGGAACACTGCACCAGGCCTTTCCTCTCTTGACAGCTCATTCATTCTTACAAACCCTTAATGACTTCACGTGGTGAAAGGCTAGACCTACTGTGGAGTTCACTAGCTTCCAAACCTGGCTGCGCATCACACACACCTGGGAATGTAGTCAGATGCTGTAGAATCTGAGGCCGAATCTGATGCAGACTCTCCCGTTGTAGGTCTCAAATGGGGCTCCAAATTAGTATTTTTAAAACACCAGTTGCTATCGGCCACTGGTGTCGTTTGCCAAGGTGTGTGGGGGGGTCAGGAGCAGCTACTTGGGGAAGGTGGGAGAAGGAGGGACCTGCAGAGCACAAGGCAGAAAGTTAGTTTTTTTTCGTGGAGACGTCCCCCCATACTTACAGTGCAACCAGGGCAGTCACCACGACTGATAGATTCTGACTCCAGGAACCTCAGTTTGCCTCCGCAACAAAGAGGGGGCGGAATGGAAGAAATAGCCTCTTCTGCCCCTGTGCCAGTGGCTCTCAACCCTCCTTGCACCTCAGAATCTCCTGGGCCGTTTTTAAAAATCCCAGTGCTTAGGCCACACCCCCAAACTGATTAACTTTGACTCTCTGCAGGTGGGCCCCAGACAGCCTTAATTTGTTTTTAAGATGCCTGGTTGATTCCTATGTGCAATGAAGGTTGAGAACCACTGCTCTAGGCCAATACTCCTCAAACATGAATGTGAGTATGAATCACATGGGGATTGCAGATTCTTTTTCAATAGACCTGGAGCAGGCCTGGGGTAGGCAAGTGTTGAAGTGATGCTGAGGCCGTCTGAATGAGGACCTCACTTTAATTAGTCGGGTCTGTTGCCAGCAGTCTTGGATACTGGCTTTGTAGAGGACACTCTAAGCTGCTTCACGTCTTATAAAATTTGCAGGAATCGTTCTTGCCTAAGAACATTTTTCTTTCCTTGCTATAAGTTAAATTTTCTTGGAAGCTACTTTCCACACCAACTTGGTTAGACTACACTTACTAGTGGATATAAACAGAATGACCTGTGGGGAGAGACAGAAGGTCACTGTCTCTTTTAGAATATGTCCTCTACCAAAAATTACTTAGAGTCCCTGAATTTAAGGCAGTGTGAGTAGCAGATATTTGGCTCACACTCAATGAAAGGGGCTTGGAGAGAAAAGTGGCTGCCTTCTAAATAACACTAAGGAAAGCTTATAACTAAAGACTCCACTCAATAGGAAATAGAACACAGCCAAATGAAGGAACCAAGAGAAAGCTAAATGAAAATGTGAGTGGGCCATATTTCACTGGAATAGATTTTGTGGAAAGAGTGTAGCCTCTTATTGCTATGACGGGCCGCTTAGTGAAAGCTGAGATTTTCTTGAAATTTTAGGCATGTTTGTGACATGGAGTGACAAGAACCCTGTTCTTTAAATGTTTATACTCCAGTGATGCCCAAAGTCTGTCTTAAGACTTTTTTTTTTTTTTTTTTTGCTTTGACCATTGAAACTGAAAGGCTACATCTTGGCCACTTGATTCTTCCTCTTTTCCAATCGAAACTGCTTTTAGACTGATTTGGATTCTTGGGAAAAAAACAATATTAAATGGTCTTCTGTTTATCTAGAACTATTGGAGAGGCAGCCTAGTGCCTAGTGATTTGGCATCCTTTTTGGTTCAGTCAGTTTCTGAGCCCCTAATTTTCTTTGCCTTTCATTTCTCTTTAAAGGCATTTTTATAATGGTTCCAGGGCCCCAAGGCAAATCAAACCTTTTGCTCCCTCCTAAATGTCATACATGAGTGAGTTTTTATTGCGAGAATTATCAAAGGCTGCATCACAGGCACAAGGCTGAGGAAGACTATGGCTCTAAGAAAGGAAAAAGTGAGGCTGCTGCAGTCTGTGGCTTTGGAAAGAAGACATGTTGAATGGAGGAAGGTGGTAATTTACATTCTAATAGCAGTAATGTTTCTTAATTGCAGTCTTCCATATTGATTGCCATTCTTTCCTCTGGACTTGGAATTAAGAGTCACCGGGTCTCCACTGTTATCTAACCAAAGCAATACGACACAACCATTCAGGGGACTCCACAGGGATATCACTAAGATTTGATATATTCGAAAGATGTTCTGATGTTCACAAACTATTTCCTAGGAAACCTTCAGGGGATCTGTTAGCAAACTCATTTTCAGACCAAGTGTAAATATTGTGAATTAGGCCCTACTTTTTATCTAGTCTATAGAAAATTTAGACATGTGATCAGGTTACCAAGATTTTTAAAAATATTTAATACTTTACTAAAGCACTCAATATGTTTTCATCATAGGGAAAACAAGCACAATACTCTGTTTAAATTCCTTTCATTTTTACTTTGAATTACATAAATCAGAGGTACCTCTATTGTCTCTTCCATTGCTTCGGGCTTCTGAAATATGTTAATACAGTCTTAGTCGTCCCTCACCTCATTTCTTACTCTGCCAGCCTTCACTAATCACCTATCTGTTCAGTCACAGGCTCAGTTTCATAGTGATTTCTACATAAGAAAATGTTATTACATAATAGCCCCTAGCCTGGCCAGTGAGTGGAGCTTAGAATTAGCCATTTTTCCATACCTAAGAATCTCAGGTGAACCATTGGGTTCCCAGTTTTGTTCTTTAGGTTTTCTTTGCTGATGAGTAGATCCAGGGTTCTTTGCTTTGGGGATGACTTTGAGAATTCTTTGTTGACTTCTAAGTGCTGTTGTTCCTCTTCCCTGGAGACTTGTTCCTGCAGTTAAACTTTTACTTCTCTGTTTTGTTTTGACCAACTGAACACCACTCTTGTACCTCACCCAGTTGTAAACCCTGCTACTGCACAACAGTCCACAGACTGGGGCAGCCTTCCTGGCAGACTCACAGTCACAACTCTCCTCCTCTCTGCATTACCGTGGGGTCAACCACTTCCTCTGAGTCGCCAATGAATTTGTCACAGTCTTTGGACATCAGGGACCTGCAATTCTACATTTGAGCAACTGATATTAAAGAATTGGGTTTGGGCTGGGCGCGGTGGCTCACGCCTGTAATCCCAGCACTTTGGGAGGTTGAGGCGGGTGGATCACGAGGTCAGGAGATCGAGACCATCCTGGCTAACATGGTGAAATCCCGTCTCTACTAAAAATACAAAAAATTAGCCGGGCGTGGTGGCGGGCACCTGTAGTCCCAGCTACTTGGGAGGCTGAGGCAGGAGAATGGCGTGAACCCAGGAGGCGGAGCTTGCAGTGAGCAGAGATCACACCACTGCACTCCAGCCTGGGTGGACAGAGCGAGACTCCGTCTCAAAAAAAAAAAAAAAAAAAAAAAAGAATTGGGTTTGTACAAAATTCTGAGACTTCTGTTTTTCATTTCTGCCCCTTATTAAATTAAGGAAATATCTAGTCTCTGTCCTGCAACTTTATCAATGGTAACTCAATGGCAGAATCATTATCTAGAGCTATTAATTTAGAGGTCAGAAAATAATAGCAGATTGGTTAAGAGCCAAGGCTTTAGAGTCAGAATATCTGTGTTAGATTTTTCAGATCCAGCTGTGTGACCTTGGGGAAGCTTTTTAACCTCTTAAATCTCAATATCTTTGTTTGGAAAACATGGATCATAAACTCTCCCTCAAGGTGCTGTGGGAAGGATAAAATGTATATAGGATGCTTGGCATAGTTCCTGATCATAGTAATTGCTCAGCAAACGATATTGCTGTTATTATTACTGGTAAAGTTTCATAAACATGATGTCAATGTAAATTTTAAAATTTCTATATAATTAGATTCTACATAATCAGGTCATCCAATTATTGATATTGATTATGCTGTTGTTTTTGTTATACAGAGTTCTATGCAATGAATAATCCAGAAAAATATACATTTCTACATCAAGAGAGTACTTTTCCTCTCTGTAATGAAAAAAGCTGCTTGTGAACTTTCTGATTTTGTAAGTACATAGTGTGGTTAGTGATTGATTAAAAGGGGCAATGAATTCTTCTCTCCTTCACAATAATTCTGTTCCCTTATGTCTGGGTATCAATTTGATCTTATCTCTATTATAAACTGAGGGTAGAATTTCAAAGACAGTCATTTTACGCAAATCCTGCTACAACTAAAATTTTGATTGTCACATTACATTAATTTTATTAACTGGGAACTTTTTCTGTAGGGCGTAAACTTCTTCACTAAGTTTACACAACACACTTTCCTCAACATTGATTCAAGGACTCTTCATCAAATAGGGGCTCAAGATAAGCTCCCTGGGGTGCTTTGTACCAGGCAGTTGTTCCCTACAATCCAGTTCAGAAGCAATGTCCCTGCGAGATTACACTTCAGCCTTTTTCATAAATCTCTTTTCCAAGGCACCGTTTATGATATATATCTCCCTCGCTGTATCTTCAATTGCTGGTCACTGATTAGACTCTTCTGAGAGCTGCCACTGTTTTAGTGCTTACCACAATGCCCAGACAGTAGCCCTTGAAGATGAAACCTAAGGGGAAAATTGACTAAACTTATGGGTGTTGTAATCCATGATTTTAATGATGCTGATTCTGCTACTACTGGAAGTGTCTGGAAATAATGAAACTGTATGCTCTCGTCTCTTTAAAAATGTAGACTCATACAGTGTGACCTAAAGAATCCTTAGTAATCACAAACAAGTAATACTTAGAAACTGCATTCTATTTTCCCATTCTTTTAAAAGTATTATCCAGTCACACAAAAGTCACCTTTGGGTTTGTTTCAGCATTCCTAAGAATGTCTTTATCAAAACAAAGGATAAATTGTTTGTATAGACATTAACATTTTTTGCCACCTCCAATTTAATTTTTATGTAAGAAATCCTTGTGAACTAGTTGGGGCTGCTATGGTTACTCTCATTTTACAGACTGAGAAAGAAAGTACAAAGGGATTTGCCGAATCCTGGCTGTACGCATGTATCAGCTGGGTTATTTAAAAAAATACTGAAAGCTGGGTCCTACCCTTAGACATTCTGCCTCTATTGGTCAGAAGTCGAGTCTGGGCACTGTTTTGTTTTGTTTTCAAGTTTTTTGGGATGGTTCTATGATTCAGCCAGGGCTGAAAACCACTGACCTAAGGTCAAATAGCTAATTTGTGGCAAAGACGAGTGATAAAGCTCTTTTACGTCTGGCACAACTCAGTTTCTTTTCTGCTGCTCTATCAAATTTCACTATTAATAGAATATAAAAATGAGGACTTTTCTGGGAAATTTAAGAGGACTTACAAACGTTTAAGTGCCTTTTTGAGTCCCTAAGGGGCAGGTAATGTAATTCACCTGACATAAGCAGATTGGAGGATATGATCTAGAAAGTCCAGTCCATTACTATGGGGCCCCCTTCTACTTGAACATTTATTCCTCAGCATCTAGAGCAGTTTTTGGTGCATGGGACATGAATTAGTAGAACATGTATCGTCCCCTGTAAGGGGACTGGTGTAGATGGAAAGAAGGATTCCGGTGATAGGGTAAACTCTTTGGCCTCTCTCCAGTGCAAATTGCAACTTAATAGCAATCATCTCTTTGTGGCTGCAGTTCAGGCTCTGGTTAGCTGACACAGTCACCATATCTACACCGGTGTTCTGCCTGGCCACCTGCTCTGCGATGACAGACAGATTGTCTGTGACACTGCAGGACGAGGAACCACACAGAGACAGCAATCTGACCGAGCCTCAGGCTTGAGTTTGTAAACTAACCCTTTGTCAGTTATCTCAGGAATTACTTCTAAGCTCTTATTTGGACCAATTTGTGACTAAGTCAGAGAATCTCTTATCTCCTCTATTAAGAAGGGTTCACTAGGCATGGGGTTTATAAGCATTATTCTTGTATTCTTATTTATTATTTTTCAAGATTCAAGGAATATGTAAGTTTCCTGATTATGTCAATCGTTGGTCATCAAGCAACTCTTATTAAAGGAAAAAAAGCTGGGTAGAACAGAGAAAAATAAAACACAGCTGAGAGTAGCCATGAATTCATTTGTTCACTCATTTCTTTATGGATTTTTTCAACAAATATTTATAAGGATGGACTCCGGACCAGGCACTGTCTCAGACACTGGAGAGACAGCAGTGAAAACATCAGTAGAAGTTTCTACTCTCCTGGGACTCACATTCTAGTGAAAAAATGACAGGCAACAAGCAAAATAAACAAATTAACACATTGTAGGGTGTCATATGGAGAAACTGCTATGAAGCTCATAAAGCAGGAAAAATGGAATAGAAAGGTTTAGGGAAAGTACTAGTTTAGGTGGTCAGTTCTGCAGAGACTTGAATTAAGATTTCCTGTTGACACCACCAAACCTTTTTTGAGAGTCCCAAACAGATAAAATGATATAGGACAGTATATTTTTTTTTGTTTTGAAAATTTGTTTCTGCCCTGTACTGAGTTTTATTTTGTTTTTAGGAATTCCTGCCTCAAAGCCATCGGACTTTATCAGGGTCAGCAGCAGAGGCATGGCCATATGACTTGTACCACTGCGTTTTGGAGCATATTCATATTAAATACATCCAAGAGTTGTTTCAAAAAGACAGACTGCCACCAGGGGTTGCACATAAAAATAACCATTCCTTCTAAGGCACAGTTGACACAAGAATTCTGAGTGCCTCTTTGGTTTATATTATAGCATCTTATTAGTGCACCTGGATGACCAACTTTATAAGTAAGCTCTGGTGGGTGAACCTCTTGCCACAAAGTCAACAGCATTGGTGGGCAGTGTTGGGGGAGGCCATGGGAATCATGCATGTGTAACTTAATGGTGGTCCCAGTGCTGCTTTCTATGGGTCCATCATACCTCCTTTTCCTTTTTCCTGAATTGTTACCTGAAATTATACTATACACAACACACACACACTCTTCCACAAACTCACATACTCATTCGCATACATGGCTTGTAAATATGGCCAAATATTTAATTATTGAAAAATCACCAATTGCAAATTTGCAAATACCCATGAAAATCATAGCTGACCTCTTGTTTTTGTAAATGTTATTTAACGTCAATGGTGTCAATGGTGTTTTATTTGCAGAGTCTTGTATACTTCTTTTCACGTCTACTTGGAGACTCAGGGCCTAAAGCAGATTACAACTCATATACTGTGCTTTTTTGAAATGAATGATATCAGATTTGAAGCCTAAAATAGATATATGAATTATGTATCTCATGGATCTTAAGAAAGGATTTAATTTTTCTCTTATTGTTTCTTTTGTAAAAAGAAAAATAAAAATCTCTGAATGTTGCTCAAGGAAAAGCAGAGCTTGGATAGAAAATTATTCCACACAGCAAAGTGCATACTTCACTTGTAACAGATAGATCAATAAATATCTGTTGAATAAATGATGCAATTTAATGGAACATGCTACTTTATAGGGTAATCATTTATATTTTGTAGCAGATTACTGGTTTAATTTTTAAGTCATTCCAGCTGCAAATAGGGAGTGACTACTCCATTCAGAGCCATGAACTAAGTTCTGTGGTGATTAAAAAAATGAATTAGACACTCTCCATGGCCTCTAGGAATTTAGACTTATAGGTAAAATCAGACTGTAAGTATTTTTTAATTTTTTTTTTTTTTTTGAGACAGAGTCTCGCCCTGTTGCCCAGGCTGGAATGCAGTGGCATGATCTGCAACCTCCGCCTCCTGGGTTCAAGTGATTCTCCTGCCCCAGCCTCCCCGAGTAGCTGGGATTACAGGCAGGCACCGCCATGCCCAGCTGATTTTTTATATCTTTTGTAGAGATGGGGTTTTACCATGTTGGCCAGACTGGTCTTGAACTCCTGACCTCAGGTGATCTGCCCACCTCAGCCTCCCTAAGTGCTGGGATTACAGGCGTGAGCCACCGCACCTGACTATAAGGATTTTTCAAGAAGTAAGTGCTATGGCCGGATATGTACTTTATGAAGGTAAATCTTGACAGTGTGTCTGAGATGTGTTTAAGTGGGCATGACCAAGGATAAAGAGACCAGAGACTCACATAAAAGGACTCTAAACAACTACTGAGGGCGAAAAGGAAGAATATAGCCATTTTTTTCTTTGGCCCAATTCTTAGCAGAATCCTATTACCGCTCAGCTTAATCTTTTAAAAAAGTACTGAGTTTTCATTTTGAGAGGAATCACTCTGGATGGTTTCAAGTGCAACACATATAATTTCTATAAAGTCGATACTATTATAGGAAAAAAATCATTTTTAAGACTGGCATATCAAGGTGCGGATGGAGGGTGCTAGTCTGCTGTACCAGGCAGAGAGGATATTTCACCACTGAGATGATGAATGGTAGCAATAAAAAGCAGACAGACCCTTCGTTGGTTTTATTATTGTGCCTAACTTCTCTACAGACAATGCACCCCCTGATCCTTTGCAACGTGGATTTACTGCTCCCACTGCCTGTCCCCCTTGGTGTGCTGGTGTTTCTAAAACAGATTATAGTAATCTGAGAATATCCGGTCTTCTTTCTATGACATAGAACTGACTTGCAAGTAAGGAGGAGGTGAAAAAACCCTTGCCCACTCCGCGCCCCTGCACAACCACCAGACATTTAAATTTACTGTGAGTGAAAGCTAAGTCTGACAAAGGATGGATTTTATAAAGAGCCTCTTACTTCCCTTAACTACCACTGATTTTACTATTATTTCAGAAATATACAAGACCAGTGAAGGAAATCTAATATATTTGTAACATTTAATCAAGTCTTTTTGTCTTTTGATCATATATATTCAGAAGAACATTGTTTTGTTAAAGGCAGTCTTATTTGTTAGATAACAAGTCCAAAGATAAAATAAATTGTTTGATTTTTCATGTGTATTTTTGACATCTTTCTGACACTGTTAATCTGACACAAACTAAAACACTATACATTCATCGTTATAAGAAATCTAGTGTTGATTTAACAGTACTTGACATTATAAGATATATTTATAAAATGGAAAGAATATGCTAGATTTTTCGATGTTTATCCTCTCATTTTAAAGTAAAATCCTCCTTTTTTTTTTTTTTTTTTTTTTTGAGGTGGAGTCTCACTCTGTCGCCCAGGCTGGAGTGCAGTGGCACAATCTTGGCTCACTGCAAGCTCCAGCTCCTGGGTTCGAGCAATTCTCCTGCCTGAGCCTCCCAAAAAGCTGGGATTACAGGCATGCACCACCACACCTGGCTAATTTTTGTATTTTTAGTAGAGATGGGGTTTCACCATGTTTGCCAGGCTGGTCTCAAACTCCTAACCTCAGGTGATTCACCCACCTCGGCCTCCCAAAATGCTAGTATTACAGGCGTGAGTCATTGTGCCCAGCCATAAAATCCTACATTTAATTAAATAAATCTAATACTTTTTAATTCTTAATCAACTATAACTAAATAAATTTAAGTAAACTTATTTAAATAAATAACATTCTATTTATATATGAATCCTAGTGTTAGAAAAATACCTAATGAATTTCCTGACAAGTTGGGAATCTTTTCTTTTTTTTTTTTCTTTGAGAGGCAGTATCTCATATTAGAGAAGATCAGAGCAGGCGGGGCATGGTGGTTCATGCCTGTAATCCCAGCACCTTGGGAAGCCTGGGTGGGAGGATCGCTTAGCCCAGGAGTTCGAGACCAGCCTGAGCAACCTAGTGAGAACTCATCTCAATAAAAAAGTCAAAAATTAGTCAGATGTGGTGGTGCATGCCTGTATTTCTAGCTACTTGAGAGGCTGAGGTGGGAGGATTGCTTTAGCCCAGGAGTTTGAAGCTGCAGTGAGCCCAGATTACGCCACTGCCCTTAGCCTGGGTGATAGAGTGAGACTCAGTCTAAAATAAAATATAAAATAAAATAAAATAAAATAAAACAGCAGGAATGAGCTTGAGTTTTGTGGGAATAAACTTGAATTTTGGTAGTTGCCTGCTAGCTGTGTTATGATAGATAAAAATTATTCGTTCATTCACTCATTTGTTTATTGAGTAGTTTTTGAGTGACCACTAAGCAAGGTCCTGTGTTAGACACAATGGAATTATCAGTGAAAAAAAAAATGGGGCTTTCATCGTGGGGAAGAAAACTAACCAAATTACACAATTTAGTTTTTAATTAACATTGTGGTAAGTGGCAGCAAGAAGACACAGAGAGTGGGCTTAGACGTTTTCTAAGAGAGAGAGCTAACCTTTTTTAGTAGACTCTGTAAAGCTCCAAAAGGTAAATAAGCATTGGCTAGGAAAGGAGGGAGTGAAGTGAGTTCAGTAGAGCCCTGGACAAAAGCAGCTTCGGACACAAAGGCCCTGAGATGAGATGCAGTTGAGGAACTGAAAGGTCAGAGGTTCTAATGCACGCAGCCAGTGAGGGAGAAAGGGGTGTCAGCGGCGGCTGCAAGATAAGCATAGTACGTGTTGAACTTGTCGGAATTAATTTTTTGCTTTTGTTTTTCCTAAGATCAAGGTGATATCTGCTTCATTCTAAAGAATCGCCTTAGTTCCACTATAGAACAATTAGCCTTACAGTTACTAAATTTTCTGCCCTTTTTCACTTCTCTCTCTCATACAAAATTTAGCAGAATTCCTTCTAACTTAATTATTAAGGGGAGAATTGACAACTGGAAGATTAAAAACAAATTAACTCATATTTTCTATGCATGGTTTTACTTTCATTGCTATCCCTTGTCTGGGGTCTCCTGTGTGATTATTAGTAATTGCCACAATGACCAGAATTATCCACCAGATTGCTTTTCAGATTGCTTGGTGGAATCTTGTTCTTTTTTTGCCCATATCCCTTCTTGATATGCTATTCTAAATTACTCTCAGACTTACAGACAAGGGAGGAGGATTAAAGAGGATATATACATACACACACACACATACACACACACACACACACACACACACACACACACACACACACACACACATATATATATAGAGAGAGAGACAGATTGATGGTGTCTCGCTCTGTTTCCCAGGCTAGAATGAAGTGACGTGATATTGGCTCACTGCAACCTCCACCTCCCAGGTTCTAGCAATTCTCCTGTCTCAGCCTCCTGAGTAGCTGGGATTACAGGTGCATGCCACCACGCCAGGCTAGTTATTGTATTTTTAGTAGAGACGGGGTTTCACCATATTGACTAGGCTGGTCTTGAACTCCTGACTTCAGGTGATCCATTCACCTCGGCCCCCCAAAGTGCTGGGATTACAGGCTTAAGCCACCACACCTGGCCAAAAGAGGATACATACAAATATATTTCGGGCAGTTCCCTGAACCAGATAGGTTCAGAGAGATTCCCTAAAGAAGAAATATTGGTAGCCAATGTAAACAAAAACAGCACTGGCTGAATTCTAGCATAGAGACAACGCATTTCATAACTTTAAAAGATTCCTTCATTTCTACCTCTTTGTTTGCAGTTAAGTTTTCTCCATTGTGGCATATGAGCAAAACAACAATTAGACCCAGTCTACTGTGCACTCTATTAGGAGTTGTGAAGGAGAGGACCCATTTGTTTCTCCTCTTTGAGGTAAAGGGAAGAGGTTCCAAAAGAATTGCTTTAAAGATTGTAAGAAGGGGAGACTGGCATCTGTTTCCCAATCTTAGCTTCCAGCTTTCTTCTGTATCATATACCCCTAGAGTTGGTGAAAGACTACAGAGGAGGAATGGAGTGGTGTGGGGTTTGTCACTGGAGAGGTATTTAAAACAGTCTGAGAAGTGGGGATGTGGTGGGGGCATGACATTGGAACTGCAGACCTGCCAAGGACTCTACCATAGGACACAGGATGTATTTTGAGTGAGGCCACCAGTTGGTGGGAGTCAACCTATAAGAATAATCTGGTCACATGTAAGTTCCCCCAGTGCCTGGAGGAGATGCTGAGTAAAGAGTCCATCTCAGTGGGGACAGTTGAGTATTTGATCCAACCACACTGATTAGATAATAAATGAGATTGATCAGAAGCAGGTGCCAATATGAAGGAGCTGCAACCTTGCCACAAGAGGTGTTCTCTCCTTACTCCTCTCCCACCCCCAGCTGTGCCAGAACACTATAGAAGCACAGAGGAAAAAGGGCGGGTGAGAGGGTAGATAATATCTCTCTTCTTTGCAAATCTCTAGAGAAGAAGTTGTCAACTAGGGTTGTACCACTCCCTCGGGGGCAATTTTAAAATTCATGGGGTATTTTATGGTTGTCATGATAATACGAAAGTTGTTATGGATATTTATTTGACTAGAGCCAGGGATACAACACATCTTGCAATGTATGGGACAGTCTCCTACCATAGACAATTGTCCTTCATGCCTTATAGCTTTCAAGTGTTTTACAGGGCATTCATGTAGGTGAGGAACCTATTACATATATATATAGTATTTTTGGCATGCTTACATTTACACTGATTTTTCCAGGAATATAACTACTGTGTATATTGAAGAAAAAGTGTACTGTTTTACTTGGAATTTAACAAAAGTTTTTCACCATTTTGATAAAAATCACTTCACTGATGGCAATGTTGCCTGTTAGCAAGCATTTATAGCTGTTGCCTTTGGGGTAGTTCTACATAATGGAACAAGCATCTGATTACTACATCATCTCTTTTAATGTGGTTCTATCTGAGTGTTTATACATTAAGTAACGTATTAATTTATTATAAAATGTTACCATTTATTTCCCTTGTATATTATAGTTAGGTCATTATAAAGAATTTTAATATATATACATGGAATATGTTATATTCGTAATTTTATTTCAGAATAAGGTGCGATAGCGTATTTTTTTATACAAGGAGTACTATGGTCTGAATGTGTCCCCTAAAATTTATTTTTAAAATAAAATGTGTTGGAAAACTTATCTTCAATGCAACAGCATTGGGAGGTGGGGCTGCATTGGAAGTGTTTAGGTCATGAGAACCCTGCCCTCATGAATGGATTAACACCAATATAGAACGGTCTTTTGGGGAGTGGATTTTCTCTCTTCTGCCCTTCTGCCATGTGAGGACACAGTATTTGTCTTCTCTTGCCCTCCTGGCTTCTGCTATGTGAGGACACAGCAAGAAGGCCCTGACAAGATGCCAGCACCTTGATTGTGGACTTTCCATCCTCCATAACTATCAGAAAATAAATGTCTGTTCTCTATAAGTTACCCAGTATCAGGTATTTTTTCATAACAGCACAAAATGGACTAAAACAAGGGGGAAATTGAGTCCGAAGGAATTGATACCCTCACATTTATAACTCTCTAGAGTTAAAGAAATATAGTCCACTGTGGCAAGGGCAGGGGTTGGGAAAGAAATTTGAATTGATTATGACATTGACATTTAACAATAAATAGGACTAAGTCAATTTCAAAAATGAGGCTCTTTCAATCAAAAGCGATGGAAAATTTTGTGGAACGATATACCCGTCAGGAAGCTGGGGCAGCAAAGAAGCTTCACAGGGGCTACACTCAAGCATATTATTAAAACATGTCTTAAAGGTCCTCTACAGCTTTTACATCCAATAAGATGGTCAGCTGCCTGCCATAAGTCTGAGGTGTATGAAAAGAAAATATGTAGTTTCAGTTCTGCTACTAATTAGGTGCTGGTAAATCCACAACTGCTCTGAGCCTTGCTTCCCTTGCAAACTGAGGGTGCTAATCTGCTTCTTTCTATATTACGAGGATCTTGTAGTGCAATAAGGATAAAGTGCTCTGTAATGACAGGAAATATGATTCTTTACCCTCTTGCATTACACAGTACCCAGGCCCATGCTGTGCATATTATAATACCTAATAATTCATGTTGGTTTGTTGAATGTGTCTTTTTTCTCCCTAAGGAGCATAGAGGCTGAAAATTGCAACTTGGACTCTGTATTTCCAATACATGCTGCTTAATTTTTTCATTCACATATTTATGCACCTGAAAAACTATATATGATTACTTGACATCAACTCATTAGAAATAGCCAAGAGAGCATTAAATATAAAAGTGCCCAGATATTGAGATTAGTAAATTAAATACCTTACAGGAATGAGTTATCTAAAAAAAAAAAAAAATGTGCAGAGAACGGAAGAGAAGTGACATAGAGCTTTAAAAGATGGATTAATTTGAGAGTGAAATCCCACCTGGTGCACACCAGGGGGACAGTTAATTAAAGCCTCTGTAGAAAGGACCAGAGAGGATCCCCAAGGCTGGCTGGAGGCTAAGCTGGTTAGAGCACAGTGCTTATGATGCCACTTAGCATATGGATCTGACTCCCAGAAGGGTTGCTCAGCTTCAATTTTTACGTGTCCAAAGACTCCACTATTAACCCCAAGCTGCCTATCTGAAAATGCTGTCCTTTTGCATACAGCTGAGAGTGTGTTGGAGCACTGATGTATATGAACTCAATTTTGTTACTAAAGGAGCATCTCACAGGGAAATGATTTGCCCCATAAAGCACTACCCTATAGAGCTACTTCTGATGGGGGTGGGGGTGAAAGTGCTATTAACTGCTATTCAGTACAGATGGAGAGAGGACAAAAGTCAAAACAATTTTATTCACTCCTCTAAATTATCTTTCTCTCAATTAAAAACATTGGCAGCTGCTATTGTTGTCTCCTTTTATGTTCCTTCTACAGAATAATGATTTGCTGCCTTTTTGTTCCTTTTAGAGACAATTTCTTTCTTAATTAAAGGTCATATAGTATGTCTTTCTATTTGACATTCGCATAAATAACTGCATAGTGTCGGTCTTGTTATTCCTGTCAGAACGCTGTCCACTTTAATTAAATCCCAATTAATTTCCTCTTTTCCCAAAGAAAACAATGGTGGTTTTCTGTAACACTTTTGCATTCACTAGTATGTTCACCATCCTTATCTATTACATTAATGATATTAAATTTTATGGTTACCACCTTTGCAATCTTCACAAAGTGATTTTTGACAACAAAGTTGGAGTAAAGAATTGTATCATGCATGATCATAAGACTGCATATAAATAAGCCAAATGTATTCACTATTAAATATGGGTATAACTTTAAGCAAATCACTTCAGCTTCCTAGATCTCAGTTTGGTTGTCTATAACATGAGAATGTTGAACTGATTTCAGTCTCTTTTACCCATTTAAACATTGAGATATTATGATATAAAATCTGTGTTTAATCTTTTGGTTTCAATGCTTCCTACACATAATATACCCATTTATTTTAATTTGATCTACATTATACCTTACACACAAGATGACATGGAAATGTTATTATTTCCCTCCACTACTGACAATTATTTTATCATGTACAAAGTATACTCATTCATTTTTCTCTGGAAAAATAATTTTGAGATATTACTAACTTTAGTAAGCATTTACGTATTTAAAAATAAGTGGCGTTTAGTGGTGTTTATGTATATTCTACATATTACTATTATTG
The DNA here is from genome assembly GCF_000001405.40 of Homo sapiens. Lineage (NCBI taxonomy): Eukaryota > Metazoa > Chordata > Mammalia > Primates > Hominidae > Homo > Homo sapiens. Next base: position 40,468,339 of record NC_000002.12, read on the forward strand.
GCCTTGACAGAAATACAGACTTTGTCCATTTAAACAGTTTCTTCTAATTGACAATTACTTAGTTTATTTTAATTATGAAGACTTTTTATGTCTTTCTACATAATTCTTAGCACGGCTCATTAAGTTTAAATAAGCGCCTTCTGAAACACGAATAATTTTTAGATTATTACAATTCTCTATTTTTAATTTCTGCTTAATTAAAAGTTACTTTTCTTTTCTGTATTTTGTGTATTCCCAGTGTGCATAAATCTTAATTATATAGTAATCTATGTTTAAATACTTTTTTCCTCCTTTTTTATCATAGTAAATTTCAAACATATGCAAAGCAGAAGGAATAGTGGAACAAACCCCATATACCCATCTTTAGCTTCACCAGTTGTCAACTGGTGCTCACTTTTGTTGCATCTAGGTCTCTTCTTCACCCTTCACCTTCGATGACTTTAAAGCCTTTCCTGGGCTGGGTGTGGTGGCTCACGACTATAATCCCAGCTATTAGGGAGGCTGAGGTGGGAGGGTTGTTTAATCATAGGAGTTTTATACCAGCCTGGGCAATATAGCAAGATCCCATCTCTATATTTAAAATAAATAAAGAAAATCAAAAATCAAAGTAAAGCCAATCCTGGATATAATATTATTTCATCAGTAAATATTTCAATATATGCTTCTAAAAGAAGTCTGTATTTCATAAGTGCAAAAATATTACCACACTTGAAAAGTTAATAATAATTCCATAATCTCATCAAAGATCCCTGATGGTCTCATTAACAGTGTGTGTGCAGTTGGTTTGAAAGAATAATGATTCAAGTAGCATTAAAGCATTAACTATGTTTGCAATGCTTTTTAAACATACATGATGATATGGTTTGACTCTGTGTCCCTAGCCGAATTTCATATGGAATTGTAATACCTACATGTTGGAGGAGAGGCCTGGTGGGAGGTGATTGGATTATGGGGTGAATTTCCCCATACTGCTGTCATGATAGTGAGTTCTGATGGTTAAAAAGTGTGTGGCACTTCCCTCCTCACTTTCTCTCCCATGCCACCATGTGAAGAAGGTCCTTGCTTTGCCTTCCATCATGACTGTATGTTTCCTGAGGCCTCCCAGTCATGCTTTCTGTTAAGTCTGAAGAACTGCAAGTCAATTAAACCTGTTTTCTTCATAAATTACTCAGTTTTAGGTAGTTCCTAATAGCAATGTGAAAACAGAATAATACACAAAACAATGTTTATAAATACCACTCCCTCATCCTTTTTATTTTTATTTTTTTTGCAATTTAATGTTTGAGGAAATCAAGTTTTTGTTCCATCAAGTTTCACACATTCTGGAATTTGCTGATTGCATTTCTGTGTTTTCTTTTCATGGATTTCTCTGTCCCCTGTCTTTCCTATATATGTTTATAAGCTATTGAATGTATTATGGATTTTGTTGTGTATATATCTTTTATTTTGTCATATCAAAAGGAAAATAATGTCTGCTTACACTCAGTGTTGCTAAAATTGTCAATGTGTTCAGGTATCGTCAACTTGATTCGTTTATTATAAACCTTCCCATTGAATGTTTTCAGCAACCATTGCTAATTATTGCCTAATCCTTTATTTCCTTGGTGATTTCAAAACGTTTGTATCCTAAAACTATAATTACTTTATCATTATTAACTGGGATTTTTAAAATAACTTTCTCTCATCGACTATTTGGTTTCCCTAAAGTTCAGTTTCAACATTGTTTTAGTACTTTCACTGAATTCTACTTACGCACACTCTTTCCCTATTTTTCTGCATACTCTTCTTATTTTCTCTGGAACTAATCCACATTTTAATGTATCTTTTTCCCTTTGGATAACAGCATTAAAACTCAGTTTCTTTCAATTAAAGCTCTACACTTTGGGAAAACTTAAAAATTTCCCATTGTGTTTAAATCAAAATAGTTTTTCTGTAGGGCAATCTAGCAAACTTTATAAAATTTTTAATAAGCATAGCCTTAGAATAATTATACTAGAAGTAAATTATCCTAAGAAAATAATTGAAAAGTATGCACAAATATAAAGGCAAAGAAGTTCAAAATGGCATTATTTATTATAGCAAAAATTACTGAAAACAATATAAATGTCCAACACTAGGCTAAGACATTATTATAACCATGGAAACCCATTAAAAATGGGATTGTAAATGTATATTGACATGAACAGAATGAAGTATTGATTAATATAGACCTATATTAACATAAACACATATTGTGTTAAGAGCAAGTTATAAAACATTACATATAATAAGATCCTATATTTATAAAAAGAATAATTTTATATGTATAGCTATAGATATATGTATAGAAAAAAATAAAAGACTATCCCTCAACTGATATGTGTGTTTGTCAACTTCTGGATGGTGGCTTTTGAATAATCTTTTCTTTCTACTTTATTTACTTTCATTAAGACTTAATTTTTTCACAATTAACAATAAAAATAAAATTAAAATTTTATCTTTTATAATTAGGGAAGTGTTTTCAATCAACAATTGTTTAATTGCCAAATTAAACTATCAATTTTCAATGTGGAAATAAAAAAAGATCCTTGTCACTTAAATGTAACACATACCACTGTATCTTCTTCTCTTAAATCTCATGGTACAGATTACAAACACATAAGTGGTTTTGCTATTACTATGAGCTCTACAACCCAGCTTTTAAAATGGGAAGACTTGCTGCTTTTTATCATCTGTGAAATTGCTGATTTTACACTGAAGTGGCTGCTGGAAGCTTTTCACTGAAGGCTTGGTTTCTGAAACAGCAAACCTCTGCCACTGCTAATGGAGACTACATATGAAGCAATTTAATCTTTAGAACCACCCTCTGACATAAGTATTGATAACTTTATTTTATAGGGAAGAAAAAACTTCATGTCATTCAGCTCCTAAGCAGGGCCGTGGACCCAGGGTTTTTTTACTGCAGTGTCCGTTCTTTACCTGCTTGACCACTGCTTTTCCACCTCAGCTGCATTTCCTTCTTTTCTACCTTGAAAGTCCTACCTGACAAGCCTGTGTGACAATCACACAGAAAACATCTTACTTAATTCTCTATCACCATATGAGGCTGGAATAGATGACCTCATCCATCAATGTCTAAACTCTCATGGCATTAGCACACTTTCAGTCCCTGTGAAATAGGGGCGTACTACCTCCCACCCCTGATCCTATGGAGTGAGACAGTAATAAACCGTAAGCTAAGCACACTGACTTGCTTTTGCTGCCTAAAAATAATGTTTCTCCATCAGTCATATAGAGGAAGCACACCCCTCATTAAAATAAGAAGTTACTGACCTCAGGCATCTGTCTGGAAATACCCTATTCATGTAACCCAAGGAAATAAAGTTGACAGGAAATCTGAAATGATTAATGCAATTGCAATAAATGGAAACAAATTTTTTGAAATTACAAATAGTAAAAACGTCAGCTACCTTTGGCAAGATAGGACAAGGTCCATTTTTTAATAAAAACTTTCTAAGACAAAACTTCAAAACATATATTTCTATATCATGCTGGCAAATCTTAAAGAAGTAAGAAATTTAAAATATGTTCATCCAGCTACAATGCATCATCTAATAGATGTAAAAGGCAGGGCATCAATCACATTAGGATAGAGAACTCTTCCTGCTTGTGAAAGGAGGAGAGGAGGAGACTGCGGTTGACTATGAACAAACATGACCTATGTCTGAACCGGGGGAATTGTAAACATGGGGCATGGAAGTGGAGGAATCAAAGTGGTATGGAAGGCCAAGTGCTGCCAAAGGTGACCTTCTGACTTTCATATAAGAAAATGTCCACTTTATATGACAACCTTGCAGTAAACTTACACACGCATATTGTGGAGTAAAGAAAAAAACTTGAATTGGAAGATGTGGATTTAAGCCTAACAACTTCTATGTCTCAAATTATTCCTTTAATCTCTGTGAGCTTCGTAAAATTGCCCCTTTTATAAGATGGAAATGAAACATTCCATCTTCCTTACTCCAGGGAGTTGGAGATGACATGAGAACACACATGACAAACACTTGATCAAATATAAAAGCACTATATTAACATGTCTGAATTTTTAGAATTGTTTGCCAATTATCACAACCCTATCTGTTGTCACTGCACACTCATCTAGCTGTTTCATAGATGAAACAAAGATGTTTCAACCAATGTAAGATCTTTGGTTAAAAAATATTTTTTTTTAGAGACAAGGGCTTACTATGTGCCCAGGCTGGTCTCAAACTCACTCCTTGCTTGAAGTAGTCCTTTTGCTTTGGCTTCCCAAAGTATTGGGATTATTGGTGGGAACTACCATGCCCAGCCCAAATGTGTTTTCAACACCTACCATGGCCCATACCCATTCTAGGTGCTGCCAATATATTAATAAACATAATAAAACTTTCTGTCCTCATGGAGTTAACATAACCAATCAGTGGAATCTAAACTTACGGATTACTAGATTTGTGAGAGATAATTCATGCAACTAAGTCTACTAGAAGCACACTATGTGTCAAGAACAATGATGAAGTAGAATATACTGACTGTTATTGTGGAGCTCATGGCTTAGAATGCTCTCTAGAGACTGTCAAGTTTAAGGTGAGTTACAATACAGCATAATACAGCACAGATAATACATACAGGAGGCAGATAACTCAGATTTGGAAGTCAGGAGGGTAACCTGAGAGCAGCGCTGCTCACGTTAGAAGTCAGAATGGCGGGAGGGGGCGGGAGGGTTGCAATTTTCACATTCTACTCTGTTTCCCGAGTATAGTGTTCCCTGGCTGGGGTATGTCCAGGGGAAAAAGACCTGAGATACAGAGGACCTAAGAATCACAGCACATGGAAAATGAAGAAAGAACTGAAGATATTCCACCTGGAAAATGAAAGACATAGAAAAATACCTAATTATAAATAAATTAAACTTATTTGGTATGATTCCAGAAAGCAAATTTCAATCTATGGCCAAGTAAAATTTTCCTAAAATCCCCACTCCTGCCTCTTCAATTGCTTCTGGGAATATCCATCCCTCACTATTTAACCAGCTAACATCTCCTCCTCTCCATCTCAACATTCCTTTTCCCTCTCCCCTACTTGATTTTTCTCCATAGCACATAACAGTTTCTGACATACATAATGTTAACTTATTTATTATTAATCTGCTTTTTCCCCAAATAATATGTCTTGTAAAGACAAACATTTTACATGTTTTGTTGATTGCTATATTTCAACTTCCTAGAAGTGTGTCTGGCCCATAAATATTTGTTGAACAAATGAGTGAAAGTTGTTCAGAATATGAAATGGGTTGCCACACAGAGCAGTCTTGCTGTCGAAGACAAAGGATAGTGGGCTTGTTTATTACAGTATTAATGAGATGGGTAAGAAACAGAATTAAATGGACTTATATTTTTTTCTGATAGAAATATATAGACTTTTCCTTTTACACACCCAGTGGTGGGGAACTCATTTCCTCAAGCAACTTGGGTAGATAACTCTATTTTGAAGTTTATTGTTAGGTTGAACCAAATTCTTCCACTTTGAAAAATAGATTTAGTGATCCTAATTTTAATATGATTTGATATTCAATATAAATATAGGCATAATCTCATTTAGTATCGAAAACTTGCCAAAAATGTAACTTCCACAAATCGTAGTCATAGTGCAAATAGAAAAATAAGTTACATGATCTAGAACATTCCAGCTAAGATTATTCCTTCTGCTGTCCTTTCTGTAGTGCAAATGTTGAGAACTGCCTCTCTCAATAGACTATCTCCTTACAAGACTGGCTTTCATTGACTCTCATGACACTGTGTCAGAACAATTGTTCTCTAGGAATATGATTTTAAATATATGGCATCCTGGCTTGGGAAACATCAGGAGATTATATACTTAGGAATTAACAGATTGTCTTCCCTGTGAATACTAATTTTCATAAGTTCAGTCTTTGTTGTATTCTTTGGGACATGTATTTAATCTGCATAATGTAGCCTTATCACATGATTACTGGTTAAAGTACCAGAAAAAGAAGTTTACTCTTGGACAAAAACATAAATGGTTTCTCAGAAAAGAAACCTTAAATGGCCAGATTAACTTTACCATTCAATTTCTAATTTTTTTGACACCTCACTACTTCCTAAGGTTTTAATGTCAGCTTCCCCTTTTAATGTCAGCTTCCCCGTTTTCTTCCAGAGTTCCTGCTAGTATTTTGGTACTATTCTCAGAAATGGTGGTAACAGTAGCTAACAATACTAAATTGGCTATGACAGTTACTAACAAATATTAATGTTCCTAGTACTGTTCTGAATACTTCTTAAGTATGAAGTTACTTAATCTTACAAGCCCTTTGATTTAGGTTCTAATATTATTCATATTTTATACTTAAAGAAACTGAAGTACAGAAATATTGAGTAAATCCAGGCAGTTTGGTTTGGGAGCTTGTGCTCATGGCTATAATGTTAGATCATGAAACTTTTCATTGGTTTCCATAAATTCATGTTTGTAAGGCTTTATTTAACTGTATATGCAAATAGTTTGGAGTAATCATCTAAGTCTACATTAAAAACTTTTGCTGAAAGAATAAGACATAACAAATGTAAAAATAAATCATTATTTGTTTGGAGTCCTGGTAAAGATATATAACTAAAGTGATCGAGGTTACTAATATGTCTTCATTGTTTTAAGTTTAACTTATAAAAAAATTATTTAGGAATCGATTTGTTGTAATCTCAATGTCTTGGAGCAGCAGTTCTCAAAACTTGTGAACTTCTTTCTGCTATAAAAATTATTTATTTATTTATTTATTTATTTTTTGAGACGGAGTCTCGCTCTGTCGCCCAGGCTGGAGTGCAGTAGCGTGATCTCTGCTCACTGCAAGCTCCGTCTCCCGGGTTCACGCCATTCTCCTGCCTCAGCCTCCCACGTAGCTGGGACTACAGGTGCCCGCCACCTCGCCCGGCTAATTTTTTGCATTTTTAGTAGAAATGGGGTTTCACCGTGTTAGCCAGGATGGTCTCGATCTCCTGACCTCGTGATCCACCCGCCTCTGCCTCCTAAAGTGCTGGGATTACAGGCATGAGCCACCGTGCCCGGCCTATAAAAATTATTGAGGACCCAAAAAACTTTTGCTTATATAGATAATATCTGTAGGTATTTATTGTATTTGAAGTTAAAACTGAGGATTTATTAAATATTTAGTTTTTAATTCATTTTTAAATAATAATATACCCATTATGCATTAACATAAATACATATGTACATGACATATGTACATGTACATATACATACATGTACACATACATGTACACATGCATACATGTACATGTTTATGTAAATATATAAATACATAAATACATATTTTTTACAAAAATAACTACATTTGCCAAAATAAAGCTCTTTAGTTGCTGAAGGATCTCAAAATCACACTTTTGAGAACTTCCATCTTAGAATGACTGGCTAGGAAAAAAAATGAAATAAACCCTAGGGCATTCTCTTAGATCATTACCTAAGCCCTAGATTCTCCTATTTTCAGTACTATTTTCCCCCAAAAAACATAACTTTCTATGATGCATCACATCATAGAAAAGGATTTTGGGAGAATTTGTCTCCTCTGAGTAGTTTTCTGTTCAAAAGATAATAACCTTAACAAATTCCCAAACTCATTTTTTTCTTTGAGAGGTATTGTTTTGGCACAAAGCATGAAAATAAATAAATGATGACAAATAGCATCATTTTTCAATTCGATTAAAGCATTTTGAGGTTAGTTGTGGAACTTCTTGATTTTTCTATGCAAGTGTAAAAGTCTATTACAGAACTGTGACTCTTTTCTATTCATATATTCCTCATATTATCTAATTTGCAACAACCAATTTTCACTTGTCTTTCTCAAAGGGGAGCCTATAGAAACTCTGGACCCAAGGACTAAAGCAATGCTGTTTCAGTTTCCCAGGGATGCCTCGGACCTTTATCCCTTCTTCATACCTGCTGGATATCAGGCATTCTTGATACCTGCTGGAGGCAATTCATTCATTTAGGGAGAGAGAAATAAAGTCTTAGCCTTCAGCTGGGAAAGACTGAAAATAAACAAAGATATATTTCTAATGTTAGATACTAATAAAGCATATAAAAAAGAAAAGCAAGCTTTGGGGAAATAGAATGACTGAGAGGATGTTTAGGTAAGGTGCTTAGTGAAGGCGTCATTGAGCAGATCACATTTGACCAGAGACCTTAATAAAGTAAGGGAGAGTCCATTATGGGACAAGATTAGTCTGGGCAGAGGTCATGGAAAATAGTAATTTCCTGAGGTCAGAAGAAACTTGACCTATTTGCTTTAGAGGAAATAGTGGGAGCAAGTGTGGTTAGTGCCAAATACATGGTAGAGATTTAGAAGTAAAGGAGGGTGGCATAGCTCAGGGATAGATCATATAGGGCCTTGAACACCATAGGAAGTCATTCCAATTTTATGAGAGTGCAAAAAGCCATTGGCAGAGTATCTAGGAGGAGTGATCATCCTTTCAGATTTTTCTGATACAATCAACTTTCAATAGTGAGTCTTGTTCTTTCCTTTATTTATGGCATCAAATTTAATGCCTACTGCATATTTTTGAAGCAGTGAGTGAATCAGTAAATCAATGAATAAGAGTTATTGGATTTTCTCTAATTTTTTTTGGGAGGATGTTCTGGAAAATACAGGAATTATTGTTTTGTGGGTGCATTTTTCCTATAGCAAACATAATACTGTCCACGACAATGTCATGCATTATTTGTCAAGTTAAATGTTTAAAAACATTTAATACTATTTTCTGAAAACAGAAACAGAAAGTCCATTAAATAATAAATTTCCTGGGCAACGTGATCTTTTTCAGTTTATTTTTAGTAGTCTGAACTACCATGGTATCTGATATCTGAAGAAAACACTGTTTCTCTTACAAGAGAGAAAACCTTGTGTTGTAGTCATGGATTGAGAGCTGAAGTGTTGCAGCTCCCTATTTCTAGAACCTTCTGAACACATGTGAGTAAATCAGTTCAATCCTATGTGCTTCTGGTTATTTGTCTGTAAAATGATCCACCTACTCCTTCTCCCAGCCCCCTCCCTATTTCTTTGTCCTACACGGTTGAAAAGAAGATAATTTATTGTCACTTAAACAATGTCTTAGATACGAACCCTCAACTTTTCAAGCACCACCCAAATGCCAAAGACTCTTGATGTTTTGCGGAAGGAAGACAATCAGAGGTTTGGCTTAGAAAGTTTTCCTTCCTCTGGCTGAAGATGAACTTCACAGCATTTTTCTCCACTTTGTACACGTAAGCCACATGAGTAATTTTCCTTTAAGTTGAACTACTGAATTTAAATAAAGATGAGTGTGTTTTTGTGTGAGTTATATGAGTGTGTGTGCCTGTGCGTAGTGTGTATGTGTGTGTGCACGTGTGTGTAGGGGGAGATTTGACCAACATGGGGAATGAATGCAAAGACATTGAATAACCAAGTTTCCAGCCACCTCTTAGTTAGCATAGCTTGATGTGGCTTACTTTCCAGAATAGTTGTGACTTGGTACTTTTTAGGAGCTATTTGGACTGAAGCTCAGGGAATAACCAGATGACCATAATGTATCAAGAACTTCTCAGAAAAAGGTACTGTATAAATAAATGGCACTTTTATTATTCTAGTCTGCCTCCTTTGGCTATAGGTTTTGACATCAAACTGTGAAAGTCAGTAATACAGTTTCTGAAGAGCTGTTTTACTTTCTTTTTTTCTTTTTCTTCCTGTTCTCTAATATCTCTATTCTGTTTTCTGAAAATACTCAGCTATGCCTTGGCTGGGGATGATAAAACCCTTGTTCACCCAGTTTTCCTGATTGATATCTCCACACAAGCTGATACACCCACCCGCCCTCACACACAATCAGAGTCCATTACCATTTTTCTGAAAAACCAAACAAGTTACTTGTTTAAGGCAGTTCTACCTGTCATGGTGAGACAACTGTTATTTGAGCCTTAATTAGCAGAGTATTGGGCTGAACCATGTGTCTTTTGTGTCCTGTTTGCAGGTTAAACTCAATATGACCTTTACAGATCTAAAGGTCCTAACAAATTGCAATATGCAATCATTTTTGTATCTACAAACCCAAATATTTAAAAAATAACTATTTAAAGCAACATGAGTTAGCTAGTCAAATGTGCTGTCCATTTAAAAGTCTATGATTTTCTTTGGTAAAAAGCTCAGGTAGTTTTTTCACTGAGTTTTTTTCAGTAAAATATTCTATAAATATGAGTGTATTTCTCTCTCCCTTCTGAAAAATCAATATCTGATGAGTTCCAAAATCTCTCATAGACCTAAGTTTTTAATTTGACTTTTATACTTTGATAGACTTTCTGAAGGAAATTTATATCAATTTCCCTGGATGTTACATTTCATTTTCAACCACCTAATTTGTTTGTTTTTTTTTTTTTTTAGACAGAGTTTCGCTCTTGTTGCCCAGGCTGGAGTGCAATGGCGCAGTCCCAGCTCACTGCAACCTCCGCCTCCTGGGTTCAAGCAATTCTCATGCCTCAGCCTCCCAAGTAGCTAGGATTATAGGCGCCCGCCACCACGCCCAGCTAATTTTTGTATTTTTAGTAGAGACGGGGTTTCACCATGTTGGCCAGGATAGTCTCAAACTCCTGATCGCAGGTGATCCGCCTGCCTCGACCTCCCAAAGTGCTGGGATTACAGGCGTGAGCCACCACGCCCGGCCTCAACCACCTAATTTTAAACTTCAGGAGAACGTATAAATTTCACCAATTCACACCATTAATTCAGAATGTACAAAGATTTAGACATGTGACTGTTGTCGAATAAACAGTTAACATATTTTTGACTGAATGTTGGAGCTTTTTGGTGGAAATTCAATTTTAAATTAGTATCTTTTTCAAATAAATATTTAAGAGCTGTCAAAATTTGTATCTTTTGTATGTAACTTCAACTTCTAAATTTAAAATTACTGTCTTTGTCTAATTATTTTATATTTTAGCATAGTCACAGTTAATTAATTGTTCTACTAGAGCTTGAACCCACATTCTTCATTTGCAGTTCATTTTCTGATCATGCATTTTCTCTGGTTTGGGCAAAAAATAAACATTTTTTTAAGCTCATAACAATTTATATCTTGGTCATCTGGTTGGATATTACTTTCTCTCTCAAGATATTCTCATTTGGACATAATAGTAGTAGGTATTTATATATTCTATAGATGAGGAAACACAGAAGTTTCTTATCTTGATTAGAAAGAGAAAATATTTCAGGGGTGGTAAGTGAGCTTTTCATGCTCCTATCTGTTAAAATACCGGTTTTATCTCTAACTGGGGAAGGTAAGTACCAAAGTATTGACAATGAGTGTTTCCATCTCAGCTTCGGCAACAAGGTACTTTGGCATCTTAACATTCCTGGATTTGTGAAAAACAATTAAAAAACCATTAATATTGGGAGAAAAATATAAGCCCAGTTAGTATCCCTTGCATTGTTTGTCCCTTCATAGTGATCCACTTACTAGCTGTGCAGTTGCCTACCCTCAGCTCCCATTCCATGGGCCAGTAATTAATGTACCAGGGTAATTTCTTCCTGACGCCACAGTCTGTTGATATAGTTATGAAAACTAACTGAGGACCTATGATAAGGTTTCCACAGTGACTTGATTTTACTGCAGGATGGGACTAACACAGGTCAAGAAAAAACTGTAAAACTGGAAACAGTGCACGTTTATTGTTTTTTTTTAAAAATTAGATACTGATTTTTTCTGGTGCCAGTAGAGAGGCCAGAAACATTTAATCTTCAGAACTAAACCCCAAAACCTCATGAAACATTGAAAGAGGAAGGCAAAAGTTGCTCTCTTCCCCAAATGTGAACTACTTATTGCATCAAAGATTAAGCTGTCTACTATGGTCTGAATATTTGTTCCCTCTAAAATTCATATGTTGAAATCTTAACCCCCATGGTGATGTATGAGGAGGTGTGACTTTGGGAGATCATGAGGGCTCTGTCTTCATTAAAGGGATTAGTGTCCTTATGAAAAAAAGTCCCAGAGAGACTCTCACCCCTTGCATCATGTGTGGACACAGAAAGAAGGCACCCTCTACAAACCAGAAAGCAGGTTCTCATCAGATACGGAGTTTGCTGGCATTTTGATATTGGATTTCCAGCCTTTAGAACTGTGAGGAATAAGTTTTGATTGTTGATAAGGCAGCCAGTTTATGGGATTTTTGTTATAACATCTTAAATGGACTAAGACACTGCCCTAACTTTGCTTAGATTAAGGAGGTTGAGTGTATCAGCTGAATCCTGACCAAAATTTCTTGTTGGAGTGGAAAGGACTCAAGGACATAATTTAACAAGTTGTGCTGGGCATGTCAAGTGCTCTAGAAATTTCATGAGTCTCCTCCCAGTCCACATATTGTCGAGAATGAATGAGCTCACTAATCTGCTACAAGATGAAGACCACGACGTTATACAGGCTAATTCTGAGTCACTGCATCAGTTGAGACCAGCAGCCACTGACTTACAAACACAACCCAACTTATTTTTTGAAGAGATTCGTAGTAGCCAAAAATCGCACTGCTGTTTAAACACAAATACTTAAGAATATAAAAGATCATAACCACAACCTTTTAATTATAATGATATCCTTTAATGTGGGAGAAGAAGAGAGGAGTATATTATTTGACCTTAGATGTAACTGTATGGAAAAACAGGGCATCAGTCGCAAAGTCATTTTACAAAAGAAAGCATATTTTCTTGTGTGTGTTTATGTGTAAGAGTGTGTGTGTGTATGTTTGTGCATCCATGTGCACACTTGCTCATACACCATAGTATTTTAAAGAACATAGTTTACCATAGGGAGGAATGGATATAAAAAAGGTGATTAATTAGTTCTGTGGCATATCTTACTATAGCTTTCTAAGGTTCACGCTTTTTATATCACCTCACACACAAATTAATGCCATATTTATTTGAAAGCAGCACAGTGTTAAAGAAGACAAAAGAGACATTGAATTCAGCCATACCTGGCTTTAAATTCCTGTCACATGTTAGCTGTGTGATTTTATGCAAAATTATTTAGTCTGCTTGATCTTTAGTTTTCTTGTTTATAAAAATAAGAGTGTCACTTTTCTTACAGAACTGTTGTAAGAATGCAACCAGATTTTTTAGCTTCTAGTAGGATGTCTGATAACTGTTAGATCCTTCTTCTTTCTCTGTAAGAACCATAGTTCGATCTGGCTAATACAGTCTTATACTGAATAGAATTATCATAATCTCTACCACTAGGCTTGTGAGTAGGGGGAGAAAGTGGAATCATAATTTTTTATTCCTGAAAATACACCAACGGAAAAGTAATGATTTCTAAGTCTTAACTCTTTCAGACAAGCTGTTTTTACATGCTGAAAAGTGAGATGCCAGTTCTTCATGTCTCCATCGTTTCTGTCTCTTTAACAGTTCAGAACATTCCTTTCCCTGGACAAATTCTGCAAAATGAAGTTAGGTTTCCAATTCTTCTATACCCTTTTAGTTGGTAATTTTTGAGTCAGGATTATATAGATCAAAATTTGAATTTCAGAGATGGAAGAGATATTAGAGAATAGTTCAAGTTTTAAGGCACATTACAATCATTTGAGAGGCTTGATAAAAACAGAGATTTGTAGAACCTGTCCCAAAAGATTCTCTTTCTGGAGGTAAAGGTCCCAAGCTCCTGCATTTTTTTAAAATACATATTTTATTGTGGTAAGAATGCTTAATATGAAATTGATCCTCTTAACAAACTTTTAAGCGTGCAATAAGATATTGTTGACTATAGCTACACCAAGTTTCTACATTTTAAAAACGAATGTCCCAGATGTCTTTGGTTTAGTTGGGCCACTCTCTCCAGAGGGAGCACTACTGCCTTAAAGTCTTTCTAATTAACTTTTCACACATTGCAGGGTCATTTATAGCCTCTGACTCAGTGCAGAACTGCCAGGGGAGGCTTTGGGTTTTGTAAGGGTTGAAGCTTATACAATATGGGGCCTACATTAAGAAAACAAAGTTTAAAAATCTTGTATTTGTAAATTTTGCCAAGCATATGGCCATGTGAATGTACTGCTAGGGCTTCTCTGAGGGCCTGAGAAGGAACTCATGTCTTTAGGGTCCCTGAAGCATAAGCTTCATATTATATGCACTGCTGAGTACCACCGATGACAATTCATCCCTGTTATTATTTCTATTTTATGGGATGAAGAAACGAAGGAATGGAGACTTTAAGCAACTTGCCTGTGGTCACACAGCTGGTAAGTGGCAGAGTGGGGATTTGAATCCAGACAGCCTGTCTCCAGTCTTTGCTCTTTGTGCCATGACAACGTAATGCCACTTATAGACACTTCCTGTTTTCTGAAACCCAGAGAGACAATGTTTTTCCTTATTTCTATGACAGAAGCCACAGTTAGCACTTTTTTTTTTTTTTTTTTTGAGACGGAATCTCGCTCTGTAGCCCAGGTTGGAGTGCAGTGGCGCGATCTCGGCTCACTGCAAGCTCCGCCTCCCGGGTTCACGCCATTCTCCCGCCTCAGCCTCCCGAGTAGCTGGGACTACAGGCGCCCGCCACCACGCCCGGCTTTTTTTTTTTTTTTTCTTTTTTGCATTTTTAGTAGAGACGGGGTTTCACCGTGTTAGCCAGGATGGTCTCAATCTCCTCACCTCGTGATCCGCCCGCCTCGGGCTCCCAAAGGGCTGGGATTACAGGCATAAGCCATCGTGCCCGGCCCACAGTTAGCACTCTTAATGAATGAACTAAAGTGCTGAAGACAATAAATAAAAATATACAATAATTAGCTGAACATTTATGTATTAGTTATTAAATTACCCTATGTATTTATGTATTTTATATTTTAAAATCTAAATTTAAAATTCACAATCACTGAAAATATATATGTTAAAAAATATATATATATATGATAAATAATTGATGAAGTCTCTAGGTGATTAAAAGATAAAGAAGATACACATCTGGCCCCCAGAAGCTTATAATCTAATACACCAAGGGTGTGAGTAGAGGGAGAGGGTGGGTGAGATAGGTATAAAGTTACAAACAGCATGAGGAAGTATTTGAAAGCTTCAGCACTTGGAGAGGAGAGAAAGCACAATCCTAACCTCCGCAAGAGAATAGCTACAGTCAACAAAGCCAAAACAGAAGAAAAAACTAACAGAGACTGCTAATTCTCTAGTCCAGTATTTTGTTGGTAACAGATCCCTCAATTTTATCTGCTCAGAATAAGGATTATATTACGGTAAAGTGAGGCCACATGACTAGGTTCTGCCTGGTAAATAAACAGAAGTCTCATGTGGCAATTTTCAGAAAACCTTCTTAAAAGATGGCTGACGTACTTCCTTTGCTTATTTCTCTTCCCTCTTTGTCTTTTCTGCTGGATGGAATTCAGGCTGATGGCTGGAACTTGAGCAGCCATCATGGTCCACGAGACAGTACACTAAGAATGACAAAATATCAAGATAAAAGAAATCCTGGTGATTATAAGCCACTGTATCAGCCCTGAATTGCTTATCTCCAGATTGTGATCATCAGAGAGAGACAGAACACTATCTAGTTTAGAAAGCATTTATTGTGAGTTTCTGTCATTTGCAGCTGAACTTAGTCCTAATGGATACAAATCTTTATTGAGAATGCTGACCTCAACCATCATTCTGTTAAAAAGGTTCCAATGCATAGAGAGGGTATAACTGTGACTAATATAACATGACTATATATTTTAAAACAAATGTGTTAAAATGAATCCAAATGAAATTATCCCTCACAGGCTGTCCCTTTGGGAGAAAATATTATTCCAATCACACTATCATTAGTCAGATGAGTATTACAGCTTTTCCTTTGAGACTGTGTTGACAGTGGTAGTGGGAGCAGCAGCAACATCCAATTTCCAGCTAACTGCAGTGATGATAGTGCCATTTGGAAGGACTGGCATTATCCAATGCCAGAGGAACTGTGGTGCAAGCTTTAGCACCCAGGGATCTGTGATGGATGTGATCTGACTGCCTGTCCTTGTTTCTACCCATGCTCCAAGCCTGCTGCTCCACTCTTCTCAGGGATGCTGTGAGCTTTCTCGTATCTTTACAATAGATTATGTTTATGTATCCTTTTCAGGGAGGCCTTTCCTGATGATTCCGCATAAATAGCACCCCTTAGCACTCCCTGTTGCTATCACCCGAATCTAACGCGAGGGGCTTTGAAATTTGAGAGGCTGAAATGTGTCTTCTGGAATATGGGGAACAGTGTTTGACCTACCTTCGGAAACGTTAAACGTGAGGGTTGGTACTATCAGCTGAGTTAGCAAGGAATAAGGAAAGGAGGGCTGAGGCCAGCATTTAGGACTAAAGTGAGCAACTGCAGGCACATTCCAAGGATGCGATAAGTGCTTCTTTTGGACTAGATGTGGACCACTAACACAGAGGAGCTGGTGGAGGGTCATGTTAGGTTCTATACATGAGGGTCACTTGATGTGTAATGAAATCTCAGCAGAAGGATGCTGGAGGTGGAAGGGGAAGCCAGAGAGATATGCATTGCTTGCATCCTATATTTTTAATTTAATGTTACGTGATGAAGTCTCTGAAGAATTCAAGAAAATTTTTATAAAAGAAAGTGTTTGACATCTGCTAAATTCAAAGAAGTCATCATACTAAAGAATAAGAGCTTGCTGGCCTTTTCTTATTTCTATTGCTTCTTTCCCTTCCCCAGCCACATTCAATCTGCTTGGATTAGCAAAAATAGAGGAGGAGGAGTAGAAGCAGGCAGGCAAGGAGAGAACAACCATCCCCTCCACCTTCACGCCGCAGACAACCTCAACAGGGTCAAGGGAAAAGGGTTTAACTATATATCAAATTAATGTGATTATTATATGGAACCGGACATTCTGCTTTCTAAATTGGAACTACATCAATGTCTTAGGCGATTGTAGAACTTCTCCTAACAACAACATTTTCCTACTTATTGGCCAGGTTTATATCTAGGTAAAAGAATAGTGGGCATTTAAAAATAACTGATTTGAACAAGCAGGACTCATGGAAATAATCATAAAAGCAACATGCTTTTTCCTTCCGCTATTCTTTTAAGACTATTCCCTATGTCTCTTGCTTGCTCAACTGCCAGTTACTTTTAAACGTCTGGGGATGTTAAGCAATGAGCCAGGTGATATGTTCTTCCTCACTCTGGTTATTTCCCTCTTTTCTGTAATTCATCTTTATTTCAACAATCATTGTGGTCATTTTGCTCTGATTTCTCCCATCAGATGAAAACACACACTAAAAATGGAATACTCTTAAATATTTTATTCATTGATAAAACTCTTGCCTTCTAGAGTAATTACCACTTCAAAGAAATCCTCAAGAAGACAACTTTAGTAACAAGAAACTTCACCAATCATGGAATTTCTAGCAAAAGAGAGAGGGCATTTTATATGTAGCATTTTTTTTGGCAGTGCTCAAAAAATACTGTGTAGAAAATTCCATATATGATTTGGTCAAATTGGACACTCAATATTTGTTTAAAGAATAAATTGATACATAAATTGCCCTTATACAAACTTATTAAAATGATGTGATATGGTTTGGTTTGTCCCCACTCAAATGTCATCTTGAATTGTAGTTCTCATAATGGCCGCATGTTGTGGGAAGGACACAGTGGGAGTTAATTGAAACATGGGAGCAGTTACCTTCATGCTGTTCTCGTGATAGTGAGTGAGTTCTCATGAGAACTGATGGTTTTATAAGGGGCTTTCCCCCCTTTGCTCAGCAGTTCTCCTGCCTGCCGCCTTGTGAAAAAGGTGCCTTGCTTCCCTTTTGCCTTCTGCCATGATTGTAAATTTCCTGAGGTCTCCCCAGCTATGCTGTACCTCTTCCCTTTATAAATTACCTAGTCTCTGATATGTCTTTATTAGCAGCATGAGAACAGACTAATACATGATTAATGTCTTCTGAAAAAATACACTTATGATACAAAAGAAATAATATGCTGTGAAAGAGAGTACTGATATCCTCTGCTTCAGTATGAATATCAAACACAGTAGAACTTATTTCAGCATGCCCTTGGATCTGGATGCTTAATCAGATCAAGTACCCTGAAACACAATTCTGCCATTAGGCAATAAGATATATTCCTCTTTCTAACAAATAATTTTCATACTCCATAGTGTGTTTTATAAACATGACACTCTGTATTTGATTTTTAAAATTGTTACATTTTTTAAAACACACAGATAATATATCAATGAATACAAGTTAGAAAGAATGGGTAGAAAAAGGGAAAATATGTCTAACCACACCATGTTAATGAGGTTTCCTATTAGTAGTATCTTAATATGTTTTTTTTAATTTCTTTTTTTTTTTATTATTATACTTTAAGTTCTAGGGTACATGTGCACAATGTGCAGGTTTGTTACATATGCATACATGTGCCATGTTGGTGTGCTGCACCTGTTAACTCGTCATTTACATTAGGTATATCTCCTAATGCTATCCCTCCCCCCTCCCCCCACCCCTTTGTAGAGACATGGATGAAGCTGGAAACCATCACTCTGAGCAAACTATTGCAAGGACAGAAAATCAAACACTGCATGGTCTCACTCATAGGTGGGAACTGAACAATGAGAACACTTGGGCACAGGGCGGGGAACATCACACACCGGGGCTTAATATGTTTTTATGTAATACTGCCTTTAATAAAGTTGCATCGAATCCCTTTTGAGCAGAAGTTGGTATTGTTTAAATGTCCACTTCATTTTTCAATTATTCAGTCTATAATATGTATGTATAGGAAATGTGCCTGATTACCAAGTCAGCAGTGGTGAAAATCATACTGTTAGGCCTTCCTGAGGAGGTAGCATGTGAGGTAAAATCGGTAAGATGTAGAAATCCATACTTTGCTGATTTACTATTACTTAGATTTTTCTCCTTAATATTTGACATTTTAACACTTTTGGTATCTAATGTGCATTTTTCCTAACAATTCTAGAATTGTATGTTACAGAAGACAGATGATTGAGAGGAATATTTCACATCTCTTGTTCTCTTTTTTAAAAATTCTACAATTAAGACAGAGTCTAATTGGATTTCCTTTATGAAACCACTGTCTCAGAGCTCTTAACTGTCTTCTTAAAAACTGCTTTTGTGAAAGCAATTTTATCAAAGTGGCATATAAAACCTTTACTAATCCTATAGTTTTGGAAAAGATATTTGGATATATTAACACAGTAGTCGGGGGAAAAATAGTGAATTCCTACTCAACAGAGAAACAGCAGCTCTACCAAGATACTTCCTTAAGAATAACCAAAACTGTCTACTCCCACTACTTTAGTGTTCACTGTGACTCCAAGAGAGGGGAACAGGAGTGAAAGAAGCCCATTGCGGAACCTGCTCACTCAGACTGGTTTTCTCACTGCTGCTGAAAAGGCCAAGCTGGGTTGCATACTTGAGAGAACTTAATGGTCAGTCATGGCATTGAAACAGACACATGCTTAATCACTTTTTCATGCTCCAGTAAGTAAATTGTTCATGGACAGATAACACCATTTAATCTCTGATACCACTTCATGGAAAAACGATACTACCAGCCACAGGGAAAGAGAATTTTAAAAATAATCATAAGTGGGGTTAAAAAGTTTAAAGCCAGCTGACTGAATATCTGGCTTTGAGTTTAGCATTAACTTTCAGATAGAAATGAGTATCTGAGTAAAAGTTTACCCTTTTAGAAGCAAGAGCTACTAAAAGGTGGATAGACAGAATACTAAAAGTCTTTGTCCATGTGTGAAATTTCACAAGATGAGATAAACTGCCAGTCCAGCTTTTTCTATAACCACAAGGGGGACACCTTCTGTAGACAGAAAAAAAAAAAAAAGACTGAAACAAAAGTAAAGGATTTTAATGAATAATCCTCCTCTCCCCTCCTGCTAGCTCACCAAGGAAGCTAGTGAAAGACTATAAATGACAGGGAATTACCGTGCCATAGAATTTGGGAGATTCAGGCCCATTCGTATTCTCTCATCTTATTTCACAGATGTGCAGGCAGACCCTCTTGAAACATGATTCCCAAGCTACCCACTTTCTAGTTTGTGTGTGTGTGTGTGTGTGTGCACGCATGTGTGTATTTTAAGCCCATTTAGCACGTGGAGAAAATGAACATGTTCCCTTTTAACTGTTAAAAGGGAAGTCTCATATGACAGTGTGCTTTTGAGCAAAACCAACTCCATGTGTGTTTAAGTGACCAAAGAGTTGGGGGGAGAAAAAGAAAAACAGACATTTTTGTACTAAGCCACGAATCTCCTAATTCTTCCCACCTGAAATCGTCTTGGATTTTAAAGGTTATTTAAATTCACATGAGTTCTTTCTTTGTGCCGTGTTAATATTATATGCAATTTGATTTCTTTGCTTGTCTGAGATTTTTCAGGACTGTGTTTATGTCTTATAATTCTTAATATCTTTATTGAAATAGTTCAGTAGGAGTGAAGAGAGCATATGAAATGCTCTGTGACTGATGTCCATCTTCAGAGAGAGAGACTTACACTGCTACATGAAACTACATACCTGGGACAGAGGAAATTATGTTGGATTTGGAAGTAGAATATCTGTTTCAGAGTCCCACAAGATAATCCTAACTATAGCAACAATCATACTCTAACGATAAGAACTGTCATTGATTGAGTGCTTATTCTGTGTCGGGAACAGCATTAACTACTTTACCAACATTCTGTCATGTAACTGTTGCATCAACCCAAGGAGGCTGTCTGAGTTTCTGTTTTACAGATAGCACAGTGAAGCTTACAGAACAAGAGAAACCTGCCTAAGGTGACACATCGCTAGCAATTTATAAGAGAAACATAATTAATAATCAAGTCTGTCTGCTCCATTTCACAATCTGTAAAACAAAGGTATAATCTACCTCAAATTTTGCCAGGCTTAAATGGGATTACACGAGCCCCGTAAACCAAAAAGCATACGTGCAAACACATGTATTAAGGTGAACATGCCATATAGACGAGGTACAATATCAAAAATAGACTCCACACAAAGCAGGGTGCAAGGCAGAAAAAAGAGAAAGGAACTTTTCTTCCCATGGTCACGGTCTGTGCCTTTTCACCCACCGAAAAGTCTGTTCTCACTTTTCTGACATTCAATGTTACTCACTAGAGATACCAACGCAGTTCTTCCCAGCTGGTGTAACGGGACTGTGACATACTATTAGAAGGGGAGTAGAGTAGAGTTTCACTTTCACTTTGGGATTAGAACACTTTAGTTGGAGAAGGAGAGAAGATAGCAGAAAGCTTGAAGACAAAAGAACAGGCCCACTCAGCTCTCTCCCTTGATAGAGATTTGGTACTTAACCTTGAGGCTTCAGCTCCATCGAGAACCATTAAGTGGCTTCTTGACCACATTCCCTGGGGTTAGTCTCTGAGCATGGGAAAGGATCAGAAGGTTTGCTGCCACAGGAACAATCCCCAAACTTTAGCCAATAAAACACTTTTCTAAATCCCCCCAAGCCAAAACAGTGTCCCCTTATTAAGAAGCCATTAGTCAGATTTTACAACCTGATATGAAGACAGGCAGCCCCCTTACATTCACTTGATGATACACTGCTAACATTTTTACATTGTGTCACTAAATCTGTGTTAAACAAGCACCAAAAACTATCTTTTCCCTCTCCGATCAAAAAACACTCCTGACAATTTCAATGACATTAAGCATATGTAAGATTTTCTTCCACCATGAAACTAGTGAAATTGCGTGGATATCTTACTTATTTTCAAGGAAGCTATGCATCATCTAAACATCAATCATTTGGAATATACAATCACGTATTTATAAGGGCAGATACAATGTACTTGACTTTGAAGCATGTCACTCATTAAAAAGCATGGCAAGATAAGTTTCTTGTTACTGTTTTAACTTTTGATTTTTGATGTGGATTTTAAACAGACACTTTAGTATTTCAAAAGGAAATAAGCACAGAATAATTTTGTCATATAGCTTTCAGATCACTTAGTCCTCATTTCACAGGCTATAATTGTTTCTCCAACTTTTCCACTAATATATGGAATGCATAAACTATGTTTGTTTGTATAAGTATAAATATATTAACTTAAGACTGATAAGAACCCAGTATTTCAATAAGTTTCGAGGAAACAAAAGTGAGTGTCCTTTAGGTACTAAATGAATCTTATATACATTTAAAATTTTACATATATGCTGAAGACACAAAGTTGACTATAACATCATAATGTTTTTAGATGATTTGTGGGGATGGGTAGGAGTAGTGGATTCACAACTATCTATTTGGATAACCAGGGGTGTCCAAGAATAAAACTCAAAATGAAAGACTTCTAACGTCAACTTGGCAAATATATTGAACACAAGGTATTAATAACACTAGTGAAAAGAATCAAAAATTATAAAGTGCAGTGAAGTTTTATAATGACTGAAATCCAGTTGGAACATACGGGAAAAGATGCTGATTATATTATAGAGAATCATATGCATCGTACTGAGATACAAAATAAAAAGATCCGCAAATCAGGAATAATGAAGAATTGACAAGCAATATTTTCTGAAATCTCAACTTAAAAACCCGGCCATTCACTATACCTTCTATGGAATTTATATTCCTTTAACGTAAGAATGTTAAAACCAACACGAAAGTGTCTCTCTCTCTATAAAAAGGCCAATATTTGAAAACATTACTTGTTTCTCTCCTACATCTACAATTTAACAGTTGTGAAAGCCTTAGGAAGTCATCTAATTCAAGCTCTTATTTTATAGTCAAAGAAGCTTAGGTTTGTAGTTCTCCTTGAAAAGGTCCTTCACGTCCCTTGTAAGTTGGATTCCTAGGTATTTTATTCTCTTTGAAGCAATTGTGAATGGGAGTTCACTCATGATTTGGTTCTCTGTTTGTCTGTTATTGGTGTATAAGAATGCTTGTGATTTTTGTACATTGATTTTGTATCCTGAGACTTTGCTGAAGTTGCTTATCAGCTTAAGGAGATTTTGGGCTGAGACAATGGGGTTTTCTAGATATACAATCATGTCATCTGCAAACAGGGACAGTTTGACTTCCTCTTTTCCTAATTGAATACCCTTTATTTCCTTCTCCTGCCTAATTGCCCTGGCCAGAACTTCCAACACTATGTTGAATAGGAGTGGTGAGAGAAGGCATCCCTGTCTTGTGCCAGTTTTCAAAGGGAATGCTTCCAGTTTTTGCCTATTCAGTATGATATTGGCTGTGGGTTTGCAATAGATAGCTCTTACTGAGATACGTCCCATCAATACCTAATTTATTGAGAGTTTTTAGCATGAAGAGTTGTTGAATTTTGTCAAAGGCCTTTTCTGCATCTATTGAGAGAACCATGTGGTTTTTGTCTTTGGTTCTGTTTATATGCTGGATTACATTTATTGATTTGCATATATTGAACCAGCCTTGCATCCCAGACCACTGCTCAGTGAAATAAAAGAGGATACAAACAAATGGAAGAACATTCCATGCTCATGGGTAGGAAGAATCAATATCATGAAAATGGCCATACTGCCAAGGTAATTTATAGATTCAATGCCATCCCCATCAAGCTACCAATGACTTTCTTCACAGAATTGGAAAAAACTACTTTAAAGTTCATATGGAACCAAAAAAGAGCCCGCATCGCCAAGTCAATCCTAAGCCAAAAGAACAAAGCTGCAGGCATCACACTACCTGACTTCAAACTATACTACAAGGCTACAGTAACCAAAACAGCATGGTACTGGTACCAAAACAGAGATATAGATCAATGGAACAGAACAGAGCCCTCAGAAATAACGCCACATATCTACAACTATCTGATCTTTGACAAACCTGAGAAAAACAAGCAATGGGGAAAGGATTCCCTATTTTATAAATCGTGCTGGGAAAACTGGCTAGCCATATCTAGAAAGCTGAAACTGGATCCCTTCCTGACACCTTATACAAAAATTAACTCAAGATGGATTAAAGACTTAAATGTTAGACCTAAAACCATAAAAACCCTAGAAGAAAACCTAGGCATTACCATTCAGGACATAGGCACGGGCAAGAACTTCATGTCAAAAACACCAAAAGCAATGGCAACAAAAGCCAAAATTGACAAATGGGATCTAATTAAACTAAAGAGCTTCTGCACAGCAAAAGAAACTACCATCAGAGTGAACAGGCAACCTACAAAATTGGAGAAAATTTTCGCAACCTACTCATCTGACAAAGGGCTAATATCCAGAATCTACAATGAACTCAAACAAATTTACAAGAAAAAAACAAACAACCCAATCAAAAAGTGGGCAAAGGACATGAACAGACACTTCTCAAAAGAAGACATTTATGCAGCCAAAAAACACATGAAAAAATGCTCACCATCACTGGCCATCAGAGAAATGCAAATCAAAACCACAATGAGATACCATCTCACACCAGTTAGAATGGCAATCATTAAAAAGTCAGGAAACAACAGGTGCTGGAGAAGATGTGGAGAAATAGGAACACTTTTACACTCTTGGTGGGACTGTAAACTAGTTCAACCATTGTGGAAGTCAGTGTGGCCATTCCTCAGGGATCTAGAACTAGAAATACCATTTGGTCCAGCCATCCCATTACTGGGTATATACCCAAAGGACTATAAATCATGCTGCTATAAAGACACATGAACACTCATGTTTATTGTGGCACTATTCACAATAGCAAAGACTTGGAACCAATCCAAATGTCCAACAATAATAGACTGAATTAAGAAAATGTGGCACATAAACACCATGGAATACTATGCAGCTGTAAAAAATGATGAGTTCCTGTCCTTCGTAGGGACATGGATGGAATTGGAAATCATCATTCTCAGTAAACTATTGGAAGAACAAAAAACCAAACACCGCATATTCTCACTCATAGGTGGGAATTGAACAATGAGAACACATGGACACAGGAAGGGGAACATCACTCTCTGGGGACTGTTGTGGGGTGGGGGGGAGGGGGGAGGGATAGCTTTAGGAGATATACCTAGTGCTAAATGACGAGTTAGTGTGTGCAGCACACCAGCATGGCACACTTATACATATGTAACTAACCTGCACATTGTGCACATGTACCCTAAAACTTAAAGTATAATAAAATAAAATAAAATAAAATAAAATTTAAAAAAAAAGAAGCTTAGGTTCAGAAAGTGTAAATAAATTTACAAAGATCACAAAACTTGGGAGTTGGGAAACCAAGCCTAAACCACACTTCTCCCTCTATTACAATCCGGAAATCTTTCCTCAGTATTTTTTTTTTTTTTTTTTTTCCACGACAGAGTCTTGCTCTGTTTCCCAGGCTGGAGTGCAGTGGCACGATCTCAACTCACTGCAACCTCTGCCTCCCAGATTCAAGCAATTCTCCTGCCTCAGCCTCCTGAGTAGCTGGGATTAGAGGCGTGTGCCACCATCTATGTCTATTGACAACCAGTCAGTAGCTATGTTCCATCTTTGTAATGGGTTTTCCTCTTTCTTTTTCTCTCCCCAACATTCCTTTCCTTTCCTCTCCTCTCCTCTTTTTTCCTTTCCTTCCTTCCTTTTTATCTTTTCTTCTTTCATTCTCCTTCACTTGACATCATTTCCTTCTTCAAATATTAATACAACTTGGATAAACTTTTTTTTTTCCTTATCTACCTGAAAGTGTGTGCTTTCTCTCCTTTACAGGCCTCTGCAATCACTACAATAAAATATTTGAATCATTTGACCTGCATTTTGTAATAATAATAATAATCATAATAATAAACTCTGACAGGTCTGGCTGTCCCACTTCCATGTGGTGACTCCCCTATCACTCTTGTAATTGCTTTCAGCTACCTGGACATTATTTTCTCCTCAATCCAATAGCTTTTAAGAAAACCCTGTTTAGTGCAATCATTAAAAATAAACTCTGGCTTCCAAAGAGGAAACACAAACATGAGAGATTGCTCTTGAGATTAAATAAATGATAAACATTTAAAACCAAATGGTGTATATGTGCCACATTTTCTTAATCCAGTCTATCATTGTTGGACATTTGGGTTGGTTCCAAGTCTTTGCTATTGTGAGTAGTGCCGCAATAAACATACGTGTGCATGTGTCTTTATAGCAGGATGATTTATATTCCTTTGGGTATATACCCAGTAATGGGATGGCTGGTTCAAATGGTATTTCTAGTTCTAGATCCCTGAGGAATGGTCACACACATATACATATGTAACAAACCTGCACGTTGTGTACATGTACCCTAGAACTTAAAGTATAATATATATATATATATATATATATATATATATATATATATATATCCAAATGGAAGCTAGATATTGTTTTGTTCCATTTTTTCTTTTGCTCATGCTCAGAAATATTTATATCATTCATTAATGGATGTAATTTCTGTCAGCTATTGGCAGAGCTGGCATTTGAAGCAAGTGCTTCTACCTGTTGGATGATCTTAGTTATATTTCTAAGGAACTGAGGAACAACACTTTATCATGTACCGTGTTTATATGCTTTCTCATCTACTCTCTTATTTGCCCCTATAACCCTAAACCTAGTGATATTTTTATTATTATCATAAATTTACAAATGAAAAAACTGAAGCAAAGATTGAAGTAAAAAAAATCATGCTTCTGGGAGGTAAGGTTTGGTACCCAAAAAAATCATACTGCTGGGAGGTGAGGTTTGGTACTGGGTTTGTCAACTTTGTAGTCTGTGTACTTTTAACATAAGCCCTACAGGTAAATAAAAGTTAAAAGATGTCTCAGTTGATGCATGATTTCTTGTGTTCATGATAACAAAAATCATTATGAATATATGATTATCTGAGTCACAAGACATCATGGAATGAGTGTAGATTTTAGTGTCAGGGGATACATTTAAATTCTGGCTATTTTGCTTATAATGTAGTAGGTCAACAAATGGAGTCATACTAATTATTGTTGTTATTAATCTCTCTATGCCTGAAAGCAAAAGTGTTTTATGAGGAAAGTGTATACCATATTAAAAATGTAGGAGGAAAGCGAAGGATCCGAGTTCAGGACAAACTCTTAGAGTGTTTTTTTCTTCTTCTTCAATTATGCCTCCTTATGTTTTCATCAGATGAGAATGACTAGGACAATTTAAGTAAAATTGATAAGGAATATCAGGGAAAAATGTGTGTAGGAGCAAGTCACAGATGTATCTGTTGGTGAGTTAAAAATCAACACGAACAATGAGAACTTCGTGACAAAATCTACCAATCTATTATCTTGCACAACTGTTGATAGTGAACTTTATAATAAGAGGTCATTCCAGTGGTTATAAAGCCCAGTCTCCTCATTCTACAGGAAAAACAGAGGTATGGAGAAGATCAATGACTGAATTTACATGTCTTGTGACAGGATTGGAACTTGTAGCCAGGACTCAGGATTCTGAGTACTGTAGTTTTGCTTGCAGTCTCCAGGCACTGAAAGTGACCCCCATTTAAAGAATTACCTTCTTTATTGATAGGATTAGGCTTCGTCATAAAGAACTGTCAATGATTCAGTTGGTAGATGCCAGAAATTATGTGATTCTCAGGCAACAAAAAATTATCTATCTGTCTATCAATCATTTATCTATCGGTCTAATCTATTTAGATAAATAAAACAGACTCATTCAGGGGCTCCATTTGAAGTGTTCTTTGGAAAACTCTTTCAGCAGTTATGAGGTGCCCACTCATTATCATTGCCTGCTCACTGTCAGGAAACATTTTGACTCTAATAAATGCAAGAATACAAAGCCCAAATCAAACTTCAGATGCCATCTGAGCATATGACTCTGGTACCTTTGGGATGTTCACACTGCTCTAAATAAACAGATTACTTGGCTAGATTTACTTGGCATGTCTGCCCGTGCACACTGGAAAACTGGGACAAGTTTCCAGATCCAAATGGGTGGAGGAATCAAGCAGTGCCTGAGGTTATCTGATTAAAATTCATTTGGAAAAGTATTATTCAAAAGGATTTCAGAACTATCTGAAAAGACAGCATGGCTGTATGGCACGTATTTCAAACAGTTGGATCAAGATCTGAATAATGTTGCTAAAAATGCTAATGGAAGCTTCTCAGTGGCACCATGTGTGGATTTTGCCCTTGATAACCAGATAAACCAGAGCTTGACTTTTAAAAGGTTATTCTGAGGATATTTGTGCATATTAGAAGATGAAATCATTACAAGCAGGGTATTCAATTAAAAGAGAAAGATCCGAATTACTTTCTCGTCTGTGAATGTCCCCTCACTTTGAGCCTGGTAAAATTGACAGTTTTTGAGATTGATGAGTTTGTATAGTCCTTACAATAAATAGACTGCATATTTTGCAGTTACTCACCCACAGCCTACATATCCTTCAAAATGTGCATGAGTAATGTTAAAAAATCTGTTTAGATGATTTCCAATTTCATCATTCTCAGTAAACTACCGCAAGAACAAAAAACCAAACACCGCATATTCTCACTCATAGGTGGGAATTGAACAATGAGATCACATGGACACAGGAAGGGGAATATCACACTCTGGGGACTGTGGTGGGGTGGGGGGAGGGGGGAGGGATAGCATTGGGAGATATACCTAATGCTAGATGACGAGTTAGTGGGTGCAGCGCACCAGCATGGCACATGTATACATATGTAACTAACCTGCACAATGTGCACATGTACCCTAAAACTTAAAGTACAATAAAAAAAAAATCTGTTTAGAATTTAGTAGTCAGGTGGACTTTAGAATGCAAAGAAAAAATAGGATTATTAAAATTAGTTTAACAGCATGGAGTTAAATAAAGAAGGGAAAGACCTCCTGCTTGGGGCATGTGAAATACAAAAGAAAAAATTAACTTCTAAGCATCCATTTTCTTCTAGTTTCTCATCCAATGAGATTATTTTGACTTATTAGCTTTGGTATTCAATAAAGATTTATCAAGCATACCCACTGTGTGTCAGACACTGTGTCAAGTCCTGAGTATATCAAGATAAGTAAGATTGATATACACCCTCAAGGCACTTAGAGTCTAATGAGGAGATAGAAAAATACATGTTGACAATATTAAGTACCATTACAGAGATATCCACAGGGGGCAGTGGGAGCAGAAAGGGAAAATATAAATCAGTATTGGGTAAGGGGGAGTTGAGCCTCACAGAAAGAATGGTTCTTTAAAGCTCTATTGAGGGTTCATCAAGTGAAAAAGGAGGGAAAAAAGCACTCAAGAAAGAAGGTATTAAATATGTTAGGAAATGGAGATCTGAGCCACTCTGACTAGTTCAGTGAATCATAAGTAGTTTGGAATAACTGGGACAAAGGGTGCTTATGGGGAGACAGTGAGAGACAAACTTAGGGCTACTAGCAATTGATAATAACTGGCAGAACTACAATTTCAAGGGTCTTTGGTATTAAGTTAATGAATTTGAATTTTATCCTGAGAGTTATAGGGATTTATTGAAAGATTTTTACCTGTGGGTGTGCTTGATAAAACTTGTGTTTTAGCAAATCACTTTGGCAACAACGTGGGGAATAGTAGGGAGCAGCCAGGGTGGAGGTAGGATATCTCTTAGCATGCTATTGCAATAACTTATGTAATATAAGAGGCAGATGGTAATGGATATGAGAGACATTCAGGAGGTATGAACTATTGGATTTTGGGACTGATTTGGTGTGTTGTGGACACTTAAGTAAAAAAGGGGATCTAAGCTGATTTTCAGTTTACAGTTAACCAAAGAGTTAGATAAATCAGAAAGGTCAGTCAGGTGGATAGTAAAGATGATCAGTTTAAATCACAACATGTTAAATTTGAGTCTTTAGACTCCGCAGAAATGGGCTGAATAGACAGTTGCATATATTGGTTGGACGGTGAACAATAAACATTAATAAAGTGAAACTAAAGTCAAATATAAACATGATGGTAAAACAGTACCTGGCTGCTCCAAATTTGTTCAGACATTTTGCAAAAGTAAATTATATGCCAATGTATTAAAGCTTTTTAAAAGAGAACATTGAACCAATCAGTAGTCTTTAAGGGACTCTAGAGGTTGAAATAGGAACCACAAGATTGCAAGTATAATTTCAATGTTCAAATTAAAGTCATTCTAACTTCATAAGCTTTAGGGATCTAAAACCTATCAGACAGATAAATGCTGTTGGTTTCTGACCTTCACTGGGATTTTTAACATAACTACATAAAATTACTTAAGGCCAAATAGAGAAATATGGACTGAACAATACAATTTAATGTAATCCTTCCTAACAACTGTGCTCAAAAATTGCCAACTCTAGATGAATAGTGAGTGGGTGATGTGCTGCAAGGCTCTGTCCTTGGTTTTGTCCAAATACTTTGTCAAACTATTGGATGAAGATATAAAATCCATTTTCACTACATTTTCAATGGATATCAAAGTTGAAGACTGAAAGCAGGCTAGATGACATTTAGAATCCATAAAAATCTTAATAGAGGAAATTTAATAGGGGTGGATCTGAAGATCCTGCACCTGAGCTCTCAGAATTACCTAAAAACTATTTCTTGGCTGAGTTGGGGCTGTCAACTCGCTCAACATACAAACTAAATTAATAATAAAATAGAAATAAGAGCACATTCAAAGAAAAACCTTCAGGCACTGATATAAGCCAGAATCCAGTTACATGATAAGAGAATAGACTAAAGAAACTGGAGCCACAGAGAAAATTCGAGAGAAACACAAATAATTGTTGATCTGTGGAGACTTCAAAGAGTGTCACATGGAAGAAGAATCATGTTATATATAATCGTAAGGACTGGAACTAGTGGTATCGGACAAAAAGAAGATACTTTTTTCAGTTCATCTCTGTGCTGCGTTTGCTCACAGTGGAGTAGAGGATAACATTGACTTTAGAGTCAGACTTTTCTAGCTCTACTGTAATTAGCTGTGTAACCTTGGACAGATTTCTTTAGCATTTTTCTGTCTCATTTTCCTCATCTAAAAATGAGGATGATAATAGGATCCAGCTCATAAGGTTATTGTTAGGATTTAGTGAGTTAATATAGGTAAATCACTGAGAAAAGTGTCTGGCACATAGGAATTGCTTTTGTGCCAACTTCCACTGTTACCAGGAGCAAAAGGTGAGTTGTTCCCCAAGGAACAAGAGAATTAGAGAGATATTCTTCAAGAAGCTTTTAAAAAAGTATTGGTCATTTGTAAGCCAGGGTCTGTGAGTTGGTGACAGTTCCCAACTGTCCTAGAGGCTGTCTGCCCACACACTTCCCATCAGAGTTTATGGGGGGAGCCAACTGCAGGCAACAGTGTTCATCCCAGGACCTAGGACAATCTTCTGGTTGGTTATCGGACCAGCTCAGGCACTCCTGTCATTGCCAAACTCATCTTCTAGTCTTCATACTTTAATTTTCCATACATGTCTCTGACTTCTGTGTCAATAACCGAGTCAGAATCTGTTTTTCTGGAACACAGTCTTTGCCTCTCATCCCAAGTCCTTGCTGGAGGATAAGGGCAGTGAAGCAATAAGCCTTTATTTAAAATATTCTCGGGTATAAACTGAAGTCCATGGAGCCACAAGCACAAAGCAAATATTTGATGTTTTATAGAAAGTGGGAAAAGGCTTCTTTCTATCTCGAGATCAGAACAACCTTGAGATTTTACTAGCAGCTACATTAGTGTGTTGTTGTTTCTAGACTGTGGTTTGTGTACACATGTAACAATTCATCATCTTGTACACATTAAATATATACCATCTTTATTGGCCAACTTTTTAAAAAACAAACAAACAAACAAACAACAACAACAAAACCCCCAGGATTTGGAGTATCTCATACTTCTGAGTTACCTACCCAGCAATCTAATTAAAATTTCTGGGTCAGATCTTTGAATCATGTTCATCATCCTTTCCACTCTATCTATGGACCATACCTTTCTCATATTGAGTTCCACTCATATTGTGTTTCATTGTTTCTTAAAACAATGAAATCCATGGACAAATGGCCTTGAGAAACACTGCATTACTATAACCGTGGCTTCAATATTCCCAAGACAGATTAACTTATTAAAAGCCCCAATAATTCCTCCAGAATAAATTCCCCTAGAGTAAATTTATCTGAGTTTAACCCGTAGTTGCTAGTTTGTTCATTCATAAAGTTATTTTTAGCCTGTGGTCCATCAATATCTTATAAATCTAATATTTGGGGAAAAAATGGAACTATTAATTTTAGCAGCCATTATTTGAACTAAGTATTCATTTATTCTTGAAAAGAGGCTTTTAATTAGGGAAAACATATGTCTCCATTTTCTTGGGACATTCCCAGTTCATTGATGTTGATCCAGTGTCATTATTAATAGCTCCCTCTTTCTCTCTGAAAAATATAATTGTTCTGATAATCAATTACATAGACACTGAACCTATAAGGTAAGGTATTATCATCTGACTTTTTTTTTTTTTTTTTTTTTTTTTTTTTGGCTTTTGCCTCTCTAGTGTCTATCCTGCCTACTGCAGCCAGGAAGAACTTTTACAAAGGTAAACTAGATCATTTATTTCTCAGCTCATAATCCTCCAGTGGCTTCTAGGACCCTCAGCCAAATCTATAGCTCTCAAAGACCTAGTGATTTAGCTGCTGGCTATATCTCTGATGTAATGTTCGAAAAACTCTCCTACCTGTTCTCACGGGGCTGCTTACTGTCCCTAAACATATCAAGTTGTTCCTACTTCAAGGCCTTTCCTTTGCTGCATTTTTCTGTCTGGAAATCTCCCCGGTTATTCACATGACTTGTTTCCTTACTTCATTGAGTTTTCTGCTCAAATTTTATTTCCTGTGATCACCTTATCTAAAACTGCTTTCTTTTCTCTATCCTTCTCTATCTCTTTATCCTTCTTTACTTTGTATTTGTTTTCTGTATTGTTTGAGTTATATATCAAACACCCCAGTGACATTAACACCCTGGAAACTTCATTAAGTTGTATTTATGTACTCTTTGTAAAACATTTCTGCTATTTTCAGTTCTTCAAGTAAATTAGCAAAATAGTTAGGAAATAATTGCATACATTTGCTCACTTTAAAAGACTGACATTTTAAATAATGTTGTCAAGTTTCATTTATCTCCCTTATTTCTGGATATTTTGATTCACAAGCACTCTCTTTTGACCTGTATGCTTCTTTTGATGAATATGGATGCAATCTACCTTTCTTTGGGAAATGTATCTGTAACTAAATCAGTAACTTAGAGGAAAGGAGCTTTCTAGAAATCACCCAGTACATTCTCCTGGTCGGATAGGGAAATATACTAAGGAAGATAAATGTTTCTTTCATGTACTTCAATGTGTGGATGGACATCTATTTTGGTTTGTGCTTCATCATGTCCTTTTGGGAGTTGCCCCTTGCCCACGTAGTAGGGATCTCAATCCAAGGCCTCATCTCATTTGCCACTTATGTGGGACCTGACAAAAGCTTTACAACAAGAATATGTCATCTCCCTGTGGATGCAGAGTGTCCCAGGTCTCAGATTATCTTATAACCAGGGAATCAAAGTGTCAAAGGAACTTTTCTTTCTATCTCTCTACTCAGATGTACTCTGCACCCTCAATCAAGATCTTACCATGAAGCATCAAAGACTGTTTTCATCATCTCTAGACGTCTTAACATCATCCTCACAAGAATTTAAATCTCCCCTTGCCCAGCATCCATAGCAATCCTCCAACAGGATTCTGATATGTTCCATTTGGTTCTTTCTAGGCCAATGGATATAGACAGAAAAGCAAACAAAGTGAATATAATCCTAGAAATGGATCTAAATACTATTGAACTTATAGTCACTACAAAACTTTCTTTAGAAAAATTTGTACTCATTGCTACATGGTTTATTTTCCCAATTTAGCTTCCCTTTCCTCATGTCATTCATCTAACCCACTGAAGAAGGCACAATCATTTAGCCAGACTTCCATCTTCCCTCTCAGGTTTGCGGACTATGGTCTGGTTTTCAACCTCTGCAATTTTCTTTTCTTTAGATTCTCAAATTTCATTAATAAATTATTTGAGGGTAAGGGCTGTGTCTTAGTCATCATTTTGTACACCAAAATATAGTGTTTGAAAGATAGTAGATGTGCAATAAATGCTTGTTGAGTGACTAATAATAACTAATATTTATTGAGTAATTACTAGGTGACAAAAACTAAACATATACTTTATCTCATTGGTTCTTACAATAAGAATATAATTGCATTTTAAAAATATTTTTATTCCTTTAGTACAGTTGTGAAGATTTATTAGAGCATTCAAATACTTTCATGTGACTTTGAATAATAAACACATTACTCAGATTAAGTAAAGAATACTCATTTATTCACTTAATTATTCATCAAACATTAATTATCTACTTTGGGTCAGGAAATAGCAGTCCATATGCAATATAAGGAAGATGTCACAGATCTGGTCACATTCCTGGTTAGAACCCTTACCTCCTACTCTCCAGCCACTGATTTCAGAACAAAGTTCCAACTTATTAGCAATATACAGGATTCTCATCATCGCCTCTTCAATCTTATTCCTGACTATCTCATACCTAAAAGCTCGAGCAATAGCAAAACCCTAATAGAGATTAGGCTAGTGGTTATCCTTGAGGGGAAAATGGTCTGGAAAGAGGGATAAAGGGGCCTTCTGAAGTACTGAGAATGGTTCTGTTTCTTGATCTATTTGATGGGTATATGGGTCAATTCCATTTATGAAAATTCCTTGAGCTGCATAATCACATGTTTCTGTAGGTATGATATACCTCAATAAAGAGTAAACAAAAGAAAACAACAAAGCACCTTTTGTAATAATGAACTATTTCTAGTTTCCCATCCATAATTTGTCTTAATTTTCCCTTTTCTCTAGACTTTGCATATGCTGCTCCCTCAACCCACATCTCTACTGGTCTGTGCCATTAACTCTGTCTCATAGTTCTCACCGAGCTGCTTTGCAACGGCCTGTTTTTGCATACTCTAAGTTCTTCAGAACCATGTCTCCAGCTACTAAATGAACTTGGTATAGTGAGATAGTCACACAATTACACTGGTGTACTTTTTATTCAACATAGTGCTAGAAGTCCTATCTAGAGCAATCAGACAACAGAAGGATATAAAGGGCATCCATATTTGACAGGAAGGAGTCAAACTGTCCTTGTTTGCCGATGATACAATCTGGTTTTGGAAAAACCAAAAGACTCCACATGAAAGCTATTCAACTGATAAACAAATTTAGTAAAGTTGCAAGACACAAAATCAACACACAGAATTTAGTAGCATTTCCATATGCCAACAGTGAAACAATATAAAAAAGAAATAAAAAGTAATCCCATTTATATTAGCCACACATAAAATTAAATACCTAGGAATTAACTTAACCAAAGAAGTGAAAGATTACTACAATGAAAACGATAAAACATTGATGAAAGGAATTGAAGAGGACAACAAAAAATGGAAAATTAATCCATAATCATGGATTGGAAGAACCAATATTGTTAAAATATCTGTATTACCCAAAGCAATCTATAGAGTCAATGCAATTCCTATCAAAATGCCGATGACATTCTTCACTGAAATAGAAAAAATAGTCCTAAAATTTATGTGAGACTACAAAAGACCCAGAATAGCTGAAGCTATCCTAAGCAAAAGAACAAAACTGGAGGAATCACATTACCTGGCTTCAAATTATAATGCAGAGCTAGAGTAAATAAAACAGCAGGTTACTGGCATAAAAACAGACACATAGACCAATGGAACAGAATAGAGAACCCAGAAACAAATCCACACACCTATAGATAGTGAACTCAGTTTTACAAAGTTGCCAAGAACATACACTGGGAAAAAGACAGTCTCTTCAGTAAATAGGCCTAGGAAAACTGAATATCCATATGTAGAAGAATGAAACTGGACCTCTGTCTCTCGCTAAATACAACAATCAAATAAAAATGGATTAGAGACTTAAATCTAAGACCTCAAACCATGAAACTACTACAAGAAAACCTTGAAGAACATCTCCAGCACATTGGTCTGGGCAAAGATTTCTTGAGCAATACCCCACAAGCACAGGCAACCAAAGCAAAAATGGATAAATGGGATCACATCAATTTAAAAAGCTTCTGTACAGCAAATAATACAATCAACAAAGTGAAGAGGCAACACACAGAATGAGAGAAAAATATTTGCAAATTACCCATCTGACAAGGAATTAATAACCAGAATATATAAGGAGCTCAAACAACTCTATGAGATACATTCTAATAATCAGATTTTTAAAAATGGCAGCAGATTTGAATAGACAGTTCTCAAAAGAAGACATACAAATGGTAAACAAGCATATGAAAATGTGCTCAACACCACTGATCATCAGAGAAATGCAAATCAAAACTAAATGTGATATCTCACCCCAGGTAAAATGGCTTTTACACAACAGACAGGCAATAACAAATGCTGGTGAGGATGTGGTGTAAAGGAACCCTTTGTACACTCTTGGTGGGAATGTAAATTAGTACAACCACTATGGAGAACAGTTTGGAGGTTCCTCAAAAACTAAGAATTGAGCTACATTTAATCCAGTAATTCCACTGCTGGTTATATACCCTGCAAAAAAGGATATCAATATATGGAAGTGATATCTGTACTCCTATGTTTGTTGCAGCACTGCTTATAATACCTAAGATTTGGAAGCTCCCTAAGCATCTATCAACAAATGAATGGATAAAGAAAATGTGGCACATATACACAATGGTGTACTATTTAGTTCTGATGTTTCTAAACATCAAAAGAATTGAACTCATGGACATAGAGAATAGAAGGATGGTTACCAGAGGCTGGCAAGGGTAGTTAGGGGATGTGGGGAAGGCTAATGGGTACAAAAATAGTTAGAAAGAATGAATAAGATCTACTATTTGCTAGCACATCAGGGTGACTGTAGTCAATAACAATTTAATTGTACATTTTAAAGTATTGTAAAGAGTCTAATGGGATTGTTTATAACTCAAAGGATAGATGCTTGAGGCGATGGATATCCCATTCCCCATGATGTGCTTATTTCACATTGCATGCCTGTATCCAAACATCTCATGTACCCCATAAATATATATACTATGTACCCACAAAACATTTTTAAAAATTACTAAAATAGAAAAAAATAAAAAAGTCACATTGGTGGAAAATGCTCATAGAGCTCAATTCTAGGTGCTACGGAAACACAATAAATGTGTGCATGCATACACACCTACAAATACTCAAACATCTATAGTAGGCTGAATATAAGTCAAAGGGGAGCAGTTGATTTGTGCAATTGTCACTCCCCAACAAAAACAACAATAACAATATTCAGAAGACTTATCTGTACTTTTAGAATCACTATGCATACATATTTGGAGTACTGGTGTTAAAGATGTCAACGGAGCTTAAATAGGCATTCTGTAAGTTAGGCATCCCACTCTTTTCACATGTAGACTTGTTAAATCACTTGTCCCAGATGTTAAAACCATAGGTCCATGTCAAATTAATTCCCTTAGATAAATGACTAATCTTGAGTTAGCCTAATTTCAGTACTGAGAGGTTAGGGAGCACACCAAATCAATTACTCTTTGTCTGGTTTCTAAACCATCGTTGAACATAACAAGCTTGCGCTCAGATTACCTTCTGCAGAATTTCTCAGAGCTAGTCATGTGTTAGTGTGCCTTCTGGCACCTGAGATGGAGACACATTTTATGCAATATTTCATAGATCCTTTTTTTTTTTTTTTTTGACCATGGAAAGCTTTACTTCACCAAAGATATGAAAAGACAATTCTTTTCCAACCAAATTTTGAAAACTGTGATTTAGAAGTTTACAACGTTGGTGAATTTTTGGAGGTCTGTTTCTCACCTGTTTAATGAATATTTACTGTATCTTTCCTCAAAAAGTAGATACAATTATCCAGTAATTTGGGCATGGTAACCCAAATGGATTATTGAGAAGAAAAAACAAGTTTTGGGGGCATATACTTTTTAGAATGGTTATCTATTTAGTCTGTGTTCCCCAAAAGAGCATGGACTTTTACCTTGGCTCAGGGACACATTTGTTGAACATAAGCTAAATTCATAAATGTTATGTAAATTTAGTTTCTTTATAACAAAACTTTGGGATTTGGTTTTTAGCATATTGGGTTCTTATTTTGTCTTCCAAATCTTTACATTCCTCAGGAAGGTATAATTGTATAAATTACTCTAGTTTATTGTTGACATGGTTGTTGATAATTTTAAAAAATGTAATCTATCAGGGTCTATAGATTTATGGGACCTGAAGGAATTCAATTTTGTGTTTAAATCTCTAATCTCATTAGTTGTTTTTCCTTTCCCCTGCCTGTAGTAGGGCAGTAGATATTTATCTTTTTAAGCAAAAGAATATTTAAATATTAATGATAGCAAAATCATCTCTGGGAAAATGATATAATAAGTGTTCTTAAATGTGTGGTAGAGTGAAAATAGGGTTAGAAGGTGGACATGACCTCTATTCCTCCGCACATGTCTGGTAGAATGTGAGGAAGAAAGAGGTAAGCTTTCATTTCATTCCCTTTTACAAAAGTACAACTGAGCAATTTCCCTACACCTTATATGTAAAATTATTGCTTTATAACTTTTACAAAACTAAATGCACAACTCACAAAATTGGTAAAAATTGTATGTTGAATTTCCAAAGGTCATATGCTCATAAGCAAATGTAAGTTAATTGTCGAGTGGATTTCTTATTGTTCATTTTAGATTAATGAATGTAAAATTAAATGAAATTTAGCACGTATGGGTGATAGGTCCCTCAATATAATACTAACTTTCCTTTAAATGATTCTTATCTCATTTTCCAATCGTCTTTACTTACATAATGTTGCAGAGTGAAGGGAAGGGTGTTAAACATTTCAACATACGTTGATCGAAACATGATTAATATGATAGGCAGGGAGACTACAAGGATGAAATATGGCCACAAAATAATAATTTAACTCTGACATTCAAAAAATGTCTACTCAACACTTTGGAAATGTTAGTTCATAAAGAGCATTTAATGTTATTTTTTATAGAGTTGGTATTCACAAAAACTTTTTCAAGTGATTATTTATTAAACTAAGTGGACTGTAATCTGAGAATAATAATATTATTTTGCTCTTACTCCTTGCCATAACACTACTGAATATCTTTCACACATTAATTTTATTATTTGCTTTCATTTTTAAAAGGCACGGAAATGACTGTGGAGCAGTGTAGAACAGAGCTTAAATGCAGCCTTCAAATCCTACTTCCTCTTTTTACTAGTTGTGTGATCTTAGGCATATTATTTAACTTTTCTGTGTGTCAGTGTTTCCATCTGTAAAATGGGTGACTATCTCATAGGGCTAATTGTCAGAATTAATAAATTAATACCTGTAATTTGCTTAGAAGTGTGCTTGGAAAATAGTAAAACCTTCATACATATCAAGATAGTTTTTAGGTGACTTGCCCAGCATGGCAGAAAGTAACATAGTTGGGATTTGAACATAGATTTGTCTGAATCTAGAACTCAGGATTTTAACTGCAACAACAAAAATAGTTTTTATTTCATAGAATGTATTTTATCTATATAAGTGAAGCAATAAAAGTAGTAAAGATTTAAAAGTAGTTTGTTAGAATTGTGTTTCTTTGCATTAAATTCAACAATAGCTTGCAATTGGCAATGGTTCTTAGAATCATTTCATATATAATTGCACTTTGTCTCTCAGAAGGCAAGCTGCTGGGCAGATTAAGGAACTAGAGTTCTAATGATTATTGTGTATTATTATTTATTGGAATCTAACACATTGCTCAGAATAGAGTACATATTCAATGGAGTCTTCTTTCTCATTTGCCTAAAACACCTGGTTCAGAAAATGATTCAAGACATTTCCTCGTCCTCATCATTTCTGTTAAGGTATGATTTCATTTTTAAAAGTTTAGGAAGTTCTCGACACTTCCTAGAAAGGTAAAAGTAAAAAAAAAAAAAATCTAAAAAAAAGATTTTCCTTTTTTAGAATAAATTTGCCAATGTTTTAGAAAATTGTTGCTATCCAAAATTAACTAACATGCTCTTTCAATATGTCTGTTTGATGATTTTCTAAAACAATATAAAATTTCATTTAGTATCTGTAGTTAAGAACCATAATGTCACATATATATATTTTATAGCTTTCAATAATTGTGGGTAGCATTCACATGGATTCAAGCTAAGGACTATGATAGATATCAAATAGACACATATCAATCCTTTATTATAGAGAAAACTTCCTTTTAAACATGCTGAAACTTTTAAAATAAGGATTCTGTTAGCAAAGAATATGCCGTCGATAAAACTTCCAAAGAAATTATCCTGGGAGAAAGTACATTTTTTTCCTAATCTTCAGCTGTGGTTTTGTTAACTCCTCTTCTGAAATAAATTAGACTGGCAACCACTTTTCTTTAATTGCATAAAGGAAATGATTCTTAATCTTGGTTTCACATTAGAACTTCATGGGATGGACTTAAATTACCCTTGTCTGGACCCCACTAACATTTAATTCCTCAGGGGTACAATGTGGGCATCACCTACCCTACGTGATTTTCATGTGCAATCAGAGTTGATAACCACGGCTCATATCAGGGAAATAAATCAATGGGATAAGGGAGGCCATTTTCTCCTCAACAGTACCAAGTGCCTCTTGAATTTGTTTCCCTTGTATTACTTCACAGACCTTAAAACTACATTGAAAATTCTCTGGCATACAATTTTCTTCCAATACCTTGTCATGAGACTTGAAAACGTCATGTAACTTTAAGATAAAAAATTGAAAGCGGTTCTTCATAGGCAGATCATGTCTGATCAGAATACCAGGTGAACTGGATCCTAGGAAACCTTCACCTTCCAATGATTGAAGGTGGAGAAATCCTATAGCCTTTCTGGCTTTCAGATTCCTTACCAGCACCTTTGCCTAGTCTCAGGCCTTTTGTGTCATTTTTAACGTTCTTAAAATCTTTACTATTCTGTCAGGGACCACTCAGTGTCTCCCAGCTTTTAATCACCTGATCAAGGGGATTTGGAATTTTTTTTTTTTTTTTTTTTTTTTTTAAGAATTGCCAATGATATCTTTTCCCTTGAAACATAATGACCTTTTCTGTGGGCCAAAATTTTCCAGGCTTCTGGAAGTGTACATTCCTACTCTTACTTTCATACAAACTCTCTCCCAACATTCAGAAATACTCTTCCCCATCGAATCCTCTAAAAAGTGCTTCCTCCTCTTGTTATTGTCACACCATAGACCAGGCCCACAGCTATCCAGACAGGTCTCATGATGTAGACAGAAGCCTCCAACCTGTGCTCCATGCTATTTGGAATTATTTCAAATTTTTTCATCATACTTAACCACCATGAATTTGCTTCATACCTCAGCTAACTATAACAAGATCATTAACAGCCTTTTTTTTGTTTTTTTTCCGGTGCAGTCTCACTCTGTCGTCCAGGCTGGAGTGCAGTGGCATGATCTCGGCTCAAAGCAATCTCTGCCTCCCAGCAATCTCCGCCTCCCAGGTTCAAGCGATTCTCCTGCCTCAGCCTCCCGAGTAGCTGGGATTACAGGCATGCACCGCCACACCTGGCTAATTTTTGTATTTTTAGTAGAGACCGGGTTTCACTATGTTGGCCAGGAGGGTCTCGATCTCTTGACCTCATGGTCTGCCCTCCTCAGCCTCCCAAAGTGCTGGGATTACAGGCGTGAGCCACCGTGCCCGGCCGCCATTTTGTTTATTTATTTATTATTTTTTTACGTAAGACTGCCAACACCTTCAATTTTCCTCTCAAAATATGATTTCTTTAAGATTTTCTAGATGTATAGTCATCACTAAATGCTTAAGAAGTCATGAAATAAAAGGGCAAGTAGCTTGACTGTCATGAATTTTCTTCCACAAATGTTGACATAGTATATACAAAATTAGCAGTAAGTCATTGTCTATTACTTATATTATGCTTCTTGGATTAGTTTTCAAGAGAAAAAACAGGAGCAGACATTTCTCATGAGGAGTGCACACTTGAAATGCACTTGGCAGTAGGCAAACGAGAAGATAGTAGCTGATATCATATATGCATTGCATCTGTTCACAAACACTAGTGGCATCATTTATGTCAACCTTTTACATATTGAAAATTGCAAAGACTCCTGCTGTGCTGTTTCTTTTGAGAAGCCGGCTGGTATATAGTGTTTAATTAAGTATTTTAAAGCCATCTTTTCGTAGGCCTGTTCCACTTTAGCAAAAGTTATGACAGCTTGTCTCTGTTAGTTTAAAAAAAGAAGGCATAGTTTATTCTCTCTCTCTCTTTCTAACTCTCTCACAAATATAGAATATTAGTATTTTTAAGTAAAATAGCCTATTTTAGAAATATAGAAATATGTTATTTTAATGTGCTCTCAATGTAAATAGGCATATAAAAGAATAATTTGATGGAAACAATCCCTTAGTATTGTAATTATTTTAATAATTATAGTGCACTATTGAAATAAAAACACATTTCCTCTTTCTCTGCCACTTTTTTGGTGTAATGGGACATTCAGAGCTTGAAAGAAACCACCACATAAGTAGTCATTTCATCTGTATCTGTTAAATGAATTGCTTTTCCCAGACATCTAATTTATCCAGAGAACATCTCCTTGGTCAGTATTACAAATTGTTTTTATTTTCTTACACTTGCTTATTAATAATTTTCCATGTCATGTCTGTCATCAGAGAAGGAAGGTCACATTCAATATTTCTCCATTTCTCTTTTCTTTTTTCCCACTCATACTCTAGATTGAAAACTTAGCTAAGTAAAAACAATTGGTTCAAATCTTATTTGAATTATGGACACATTATTCTCAGTAAAATAAATCTTGAGTTTAAATCCCATTATCTTGTGTAAATTTTTTTAATTCAATCTTGGCAAAACATGCATATTTTAAAGATATGACCTATAATTTTTTCTCTTGACTTTTGTGTTTGGCAGGAGTTCACAGACTTTGCTAACAATTTTAACAGATATGCTTTAATTTAATAACTACAATTTGGTAATTAGCTGGAGTCGCATTTCAAAATGCAATTGATATGATTTGGCTGGATTTATCTGTATTCTAGAAAATACAGGACAGTCGTATAGATACTGGTGTTGTTACTCTGTTCATATTCACACTTTTACCTTGCATCATTCCTGAGACACAGAATTTTTGATATTCTGCCACAATCTATTCCCAAAACATCACTGATGACAAAACGATAATAATCTTTGGAAACATTTCCTCTCAAGTTCCAAAGTTTTCAGTCAGTAGAAAAAAAAGAAAGAAGACAAAATTTTAAAGGTGCTGAGAAAAGCCCAGGGCTCACAGCTGGTTTCAGCAACTTCAACTTGCGTAAGACCCCGTGTTTGTGAAAACAACCCAAGAATCTTTGAACAGGATGTAATCAACCTCCGAACTGCTGAGAAATATTGCAAAAATGACTTCAGCTGCCAAAAATAATGTCGTTTACAAGCAGCTCTTCCTATGTCTAAGGAAGAACTAGTCACACATGCGAGTTTTTGCTGGCTTGAGAACAAGCAAGGAAAAAGACAAATCCCACCTACCCTAGCCTAAAATACACAGTGAGTCTCAGAACCCCGCGGAAGCTGTGGCTCATTTCTAAAGGTGCTGGCAATATCGAGGAAGACTTGTATCCACAAAATTCCAAATGGTAAGTGACCCAGGACAGAGGGATTTTATTTGGCAGCAAATCTGTGTTGCCACTTTCCTTCCGTTGCAAAGCTTCCCTGTCTTGTGGAGGCAGAGCTGTTAAATACCTCTTAGTCACTAGCTCCAACCTATTTTTTTGTTTGTTTGTTTTTCTTTTCAAAATATTATCTGGCACCTTCCCTTAAAGGACATCAAGGGCTCTGGAGGAAATATTTGCAAATGATCCTTTATAGAAGTTCCATCACAAAAGCCCGGCACCTACCTCTGTCAAGCTTTGGCTGCTCAGTCCGCATGGGCTGGATGTGAAAAAAGATCCCAGTATGATGCCTTCTCTAAATTTACCAGAAAGAAAGGACCTGGGATGCTTGTCCTTTAAGTGTCTCTAAACATGGTTTGCATAGCTGGATCTCAGCTTATCTGTGCCTTTCGGCTTTCGCTTCCATACATGGATCTGTTCCCAACAGTAACTCCAAGCTGTCGAAAAGAAGCTATCTGGCAGCTCTCTGCTTCATCCAACACATGGATGATAAAAATACACATATAGCGATTCTTCCAGCCAGGCCCATTTCCCACCACATGATCCTGTCACTATGCTTTTTTTTTTTTTTTTTTTTCCAAAACACTTTTGAGATTGGCATTTCTACTCTCCAAATATTTAGATCATAACCAATTTTTACCTGATTCCCACATAAAGCTTTTAGGGTGTGGGTTCGCCTAGCTTTATGAAAACAGAGAGACAATTATGGTTCCTTACTAGAGTCTTCATCCTTAAAGATTCTAGTGACAGCATGTATATGGGACCTGTGAAATGTTTAATGAATGAATGAATTTATAAACGAATGGCTGAACAGATGAATAACACTGTATGTGAATGAAAAACTACGTACTTTACATATTTACTTAACTGGGAATAGTGGTTAACATTTTGGATTATTTGTCTTCAAGGAAAAGATAGCAGAGGGTAAAAGTTATCAATATCTCTAAGAGAGAAGAAGCTGTTATTTTAAACAGCTTCTCATATAGCGTATTGTGGCAGTTCCCATTAAACTACTTTCTAGAACATAGTTTAAGATTTGTAATTTTTTTAAAAAAATTAAAGAATGTAAATATGAATAGAATACTAATTTTTACATTTGTTAATTGTCAAGGATAGTTTAAATGACAGATATCTGTGACC
This sequence comes from Homo sapiens, assembly GCF_000001405.40. NCBI lineage: Eukaryota > Metazoa > Chordata > Mammalia > Primates > Hominidae > Homo > Homo sapiens. The sequence continues at coordinate 40,513,264 of NC_000002.12, forward strand.
TAAATGTTAGATGGGGGATAAATTCTGCTCTGCGTGGTGGAGAAGTACTCCCTTAGGGGGTTGCTGAAGCTCTGCTTAACACCCCAGTTCTTTAGAAACTTCACTTCTCATTTTTAACATTTATTTCTCTCATTTTTTCCAACTTGTTAATCTTGTGCAACAAGAGGTCAAAATATAGAGAGAAAGAGAAGAGAGGATTTCAAAATAATAATTTTCCATTGATTTTTTTTCGAAATCATGTTAAAACCCTTGTAAGTTATTCTGTTTGAAGAAGCAAAAATAAATTAGAGGCATAGATACAGACATAACTCATTTTGGTGTGGCAGAAATGAAATGAGTTTTGTTAAAATATTCAGGAGGGATAAAAGGAGGGAATAGTCAAAACCAGGCTGGTAAAATGTTCATTGTTGCAGGTGGTTGATAGGTACATAGGGGTTCATTATATTATCCTATTTATCGGTGTGTGTTTAAAATTTGTATTAAAAATTGAAGGAAAAGAGAGAAAAGAGAACAACAAACAGATGTGTGAAAAAAAGACACGAAGTACAAAACGGATGTATTAATGGCAAATGTGAGTATTCCTAGATTTGAGTAATTTTCCTGCCAAAGCATTTAGGTCAGAACAAGAAGGGATGAGACTGTGTTTTTTAATTCAAAATATTCTGATATTCCAACCTCCTCCTTGGAACCTCCAATTATTCTATGTAATAATAATTTGTATCTAATGAAAATTAAGATATGATATTTAAAAAGCCAACCTAATGCAGCTCAGTGCTAGACATGGTAGATGGGTGCTTACCCAGGAGCCATTCAATACCCTCTCTTCCCTTACTTTTTCTACTTTAGAAGTTCAAAAGCAAAACCTTTTTTCCTATTGTCCCTCACACCTGGAGATGACAAGGCAACATAATATTGTCCAAACAGATGTCAATAGGAGTTCCCTGGGTGGGACTTCAGGAAAGCTCATATTTGTTAAAAAAAAAAAAAAGGACAGGCTCAGCTTTTGCCCCTCTTGTTCCTGCACCCCTTCCACCTTTTTCCTTCCCAGAGAGTAAACTTGAAGCCTGAAATTGCAGCACTCATTTGGTGACCAGGAGTGGGCAAACAGAAGGACAAAGGCCTACAAGGTAAGGTAAATGGAGCAGATGGAAAGAACTGCAGTTCTTGCCAGTATTATTGAGTCACTACAGCAACAGTAAATTGTCCCTCTAAACTTTGTGTCATGTGAGAAAAATAAAACGATAATTAATACAAAAAGTAGATTCTACATTATGAACCCAGAAACCAAAAAGCTCTGCTCTGGATCTGACTCTGTTACTTACTACCTGAGTGACATTGATCATGTCATAGAGTTCTATTCCCTCCTCTGTTACTCAAGAGAACACTTGACTTCTTTAGCCTAGAGTTATCCTATGAAATAATGCATGTTATATATCTTCATACATGGTAAGAGAGTACATCAATGGAAGATGTTGCTTATTTAACATGCCAGGTGGTTGATACATAGGACACGCAGTGACTCCACAGTTAAATATAACAGTGCCCAGGAGTCTGCTTTCCGTTCAAAGAAGAATTTGCAGACACTTACTTTGACTGGCTTAATTTCAGACTTCTTGGGAATTCTGTTCTGAAGTTAGGAACTTCCAAGGTAGAGGACGTTTGTGTTTGTGTATTCCAAAATGTATTTGCCCATGTTGGGTCAGTCAGATTGAGTTGGCATGTTCTTGGTGAGGTATACAGTGGAAGTGGGCCAGTTTCCTGCTTCACCTAGGCTAGGCTTTCCTTTTTCCTAGAAAAATGAAAGGCTCAGGAAAGCAGCCATGCTAACTACTATACCACCATCACCACCAGGAAGGCTCAGGACACTCATTCCCAACTCTGGAGGATGCTGTGGGGTTCATGAGCAGGAAGAGATCTCCTGATAAAGAGGTTAAAGACCTATCATATCTCCAAAGAAAGAGGTTAAATGATTTTCTGTGAGCTTCGTAAATGTGGAAGTCAGGATTTAATGTATTGACATTGATTTGCTTAACTCTGTGGGGAAGGATGTAGTCATCTTGGCATTCTATTTTGCCGTGGCTTAGAGGATGATTCTTTCAATGAAATAGACTCCACCTCCTCCTAGAAGTATGTACACCACTGTACATGCAATCCACCTTTGCCTGCTGGAAGAACATATCCTCAGTCTTTTAAGATTCAGCTCAGTGTCTCTTCTTTCCTGAAATCTTTACTGACCTCACCATCATGTATTCTGAAGTATATACAGCATATTGTTGTACATTCACCCCGTCTCCTCTTTGCATTTGGCCATTAGACTGTGAGTGCCAAAGGACAGGGGCTCTGTATTATTTGCTTTTGTATCATCAGCATCCATTATAGTGTCTGTCCTATAGAAAACAAACCTTAACATAAGACTGTTGAAGAACTAAATTCATTGCTAAGTGATTGAAAAATGTGATTGAAAAATGGGTAACTGGTTGTATCTCTCAACTAGTGACCATTAGCCTGGCAGCTTTCCCTGTTGCATAAGGCTTAAGAATCTCAAGTACCCCACTGCCCTGTGGGTAAAAACTGTCAACTAAAAGGAGACAGAAAACAGAGTGTGACAAAATATTAATATCATTCCAATTTAACTGAGCAGATTATCTAAGGTTTCCAGTTATCCAAGGCAGAGGACCATTATATTAGGACAGATCATTTACAGTGGATATCAGACTCAGATTTTTAGTATGAAAGAGAGGGGCAAGTATTGTACTCTTTTAAAAGATTACAAATATTCAATCCTTGGCAATTTAATATTTGTCTTCCTTTGTCTAAGAATACGAGGGGAATCTTTGATGAAAGACTTGTTGAGGCATATGGCAAGTTTTGAAAGAATTTGAAGGTGAATAAGTAATGAAATATCTATTCCCTCTTTTAACATTAAAAACAATTGTATTTAACCAATAAGGAAAAAAATTCAGGTAAAAAAATTCCATGCATATTTTTCTTTTTTAATTTAATTTCTACTAATATTATGACTCAGAGGCTGAATCCAGGATAAAGGTAATCTATCATCAGGGCTCTCTTTCAGGGCAGAAAGAGAACATATAAAGACTAGAAATGAAAAAAAGAGATTAAACAAGGCTTCCACTTCATCTCTGGATTCTATCACTTAGCATAGTGTTTTCAAAGTTCATTCATTTGTATCATGCATCAGTACTTCATTCCTCTTTGTGGCTGAATATAAAATCTCGTTGTACAGATGTACCTTGTATTGTTTGTCCATTCATCTGTTAATGAATATCTGAGTAGCTTCTGCCTATTGACTGCTATGACTAGTGCTGTTAAAAACATCCATGTACAAGTTTTTGTGTGGACATATATTTTTATTTCTTTGGGTATATACCTAGGAGTGGAAATGTTGAGTTATATGGAAACTCTATGTTTAATCATTTGAGAAACTGTCAGATTATTTTCCAAAGCAGCTGCACCATTTTATACTCACATCAGCAGTGTAGGAGGGTTCAATTTCTCCACATACTCACCAACACTTTGTTATCTTTTTGATACTTGCTATCCTAGTGCCTTTGAAGTGGCATCTGATTGTGGTTTTGATTTGCATTTCTTTAATGACTAATAATGTTAAGTAGCTTTTTTTTATGGCTCATTGGCCATGTGTACGTCTTTCTTAGTGAAGTGGCTATTAAGATCCTTAGCTGATTTTTAATCAGGTTATTTGTCTTTTATGATTGAGTCATGTCTTTATATAGTCTTGATACAAGACCCTTATCAGATATGTGATTTACAAATACTTTTTTCCACTCTGTGGATTATTTTTTCACTTTCCTGATGCTGGTCTTTGAAGAACAAAAGTTTTTATTTTTATTTTTCTTGTAGCCATTGCAATTTTGGTGAAATCCAATTTATCTATTATTTATTTCTTTTGCTCATGCTTATCCAATAATTATAATCCAACAGATTATTATCCAATAATCTGTTGCCAAAGCTAAGGAAGGTCATGAATATTTACTCCTATGTTTTCTTCTAAGAGTTTTGTGATTTTAGCTCTTACAATTAGGTCTCTAATCCATTTGGGGTTAGTTTTTGTGTATGATATGAGATAGGAATCCAACTTCATTCTTCTGCACATGAATATCTAGTTGTCCCAATGCCATTAGTTGAAGACTATTCGTTTCTGCATTTAATAAACTTGCTATCCTTGTTGAAAATCAATTGAACACAGATGTATGGGCTTATTTCTAGATGTTGAATTTATTTCTGGATGTTTATTTCTGGAATGGAATTCTGAATGGACGTCTATTCCTTTGATCTGCAGGTCTATCCTTATGCCAGTATCATTTGTTTTGATTACCGTGGCTTTGTAGTAAATTTTGAAATCAGGAACTATGAGTCCTTCAACTTGGTTCTGTTTCAATATTTGTTGGCTATCTGGGGTTATTTGAAATTTAATATGAGTTTTAGAACCAGGTTGTCAACTTCTAAATAGTATCAGCGAGGATTTTGATAGAAATTATGTTGAATCTGTAGATGATTTTAGGGAATAATCTTAACAATGTTAAGTCTTCTGATCTATGAACATGGGGTCTTTTCCCATTATTTAGATCTTCTTTAATTTCTTAATATATTGTATTTTTTAGAATATAAGTTTCGTACTTCTTTTATTAAATTTATTCCCAGGTATTTTATTCTTTTTGATGTAGTTATGAATGGAATTATTTTCTTTGTTTCATGTTTAGATTGTTCACTGCAAGTGTAAAGAAATAAAAACTGATTTTTGTGTATTGGTTTTGTATTCTGCAACTTTAATAAATTCATTTATTAGTACTAACAGTTTTAGGTGGATTTCTTAGAATTTTCTATACATAAAATCATGCCATCTGCAAATAGTCCTAACGCTACTTCTTCCTATCCAATCTTGATCTCTTTTATTTCTTTTTTTGTGCTAATCGGCCTATGTAGTGCAATTTTGAATACAAGTGGTGAAACAGACATCCTTATTTTGTTCCTGAACTTAGGGAGAAAGCATCCAGTTTTTCACCAGTAAGTATAAAATTAGCTGTGAGGTTTTCTTATATGTCATTATTATTTTGAGGACATTTCCTTTTATTCCTGGTTTGTTTAGATTTTTTGTCTTCTTTTTTAAATCATAAAAATGTGTTGAATTTTGTCAAATGCTGTTTTAGCATCTATTGGGATGAACATGTGGGGTTTTTTTTGATATGGTAGAATATATTAATTGATTTTAAGATGTTAAACCAAACTTGCATTTCTGGGATATATCCCACTTGGTCATGTTGTATAATTATCTTTATATATTTCTGGGTTCAGTTTGCCAATGTCTTATTGAGGGTTTTTCTGTCCATATTCATAAACATATTGGTCTATAGTTTTCTTGTGATTTTGTTGTCCGTTTTGTATCAAGGTAAAACAGGCTTCATGAAATACATTGGGAAGTCTTCTCTCTCAGTATATTTATTGTAATAGTTTGTAAATAATTTCTATTGATTCTTTTTTAAATGATTGATAAATTCATCTGTGAAGCAATATGGACCTTGGCTCTTTCTTAATGGGTAGGTTTTGAATACTAAATTAATATTTTAATTTGTTATAGGTTTATTCACGTTGTTTATTTCTTCTTGAGTCAGTTTAGGTTCTTTGTATCTTTCTAGGAATCTGTCCATTTCATATAAATTAACTAATTTGTTTGCATATAATTGTTTACAGTATTTGTTTTAATTCTTTTTATTTCTGTAAGGTCTGTAATAATGTCCCCTCTTTCATTTCTCAGTCTTGCAATTTGAGTCCTCTCTTTTTGTCTTAGTCAGTCTAGCTAAGCATTTATCAATGTACGCTTTAGTCATGATATCTCCTCCATTATAATTATAAAATGCCTTTCTTTATCTCTAGTAACATTTTCTGGTTTAGTCTATTTGGTCTAAGTTTTTAAAACCACTCCAGCTTTCCTACAGTTGTTGTTTGCAAGATATGTCATTTCCATCATTTTACTTGTAGCCTATTTGTGTCTTTGAATCTAAAGTATATCTTCTTTTTTAAATTATTATACTTTAAGTATATCTTCTTTTCTAAACTTACACATGGATAATGTTTTCTTTATTAAAAAAACTCCAATCTGACACTCTGTGCCTTCTGATTGAATTAATTCACAGACGTTTAATGTTTTTATTTATATATTTGAATTTACATCTTACATTTTACTTTTGTTTTCTATATGTCTGTTGTCTTTTTTGAGTCTCAATTCCTCTCTATGGATTTCTTTTGCTTTAAGTGAACATTTTCTAATGTTGCATATTAATTTCTTTAATAATTTTTTCACTATATTTTTGACTTAATTTGTAGTGGTTACTCTAGAATATACTATATACATCTTAACTGATCAAAATTAGCCTTAGATTTAAACTAGCCTAATTCCAGTGATATATAGCTTTATTTCATTTTCCTCTTTTTTGTGGTGGTGTTCTATGTATTACATCTATTAACATTATAAACCTCAAAATACATTTCTATAATTATTATTCTACCATATGTAGTCATTTTCTTAGCCCATTACAGCTTTACTCTCCCTACCGCCTTTGTGCTATTATCAGCAAATATATTACGCATATATTACAAATAGCACATTATATATAAAAAATATATGAAAGTTTTTACAATTTCTCTTTAAATCCATCAGGAGAAGAAAGGAAAAATATTCATTTATAGTGTCTTTTATACTTGCATAATGACTTTTGCTGATTCTCTTTGTTTGTTTGTGTGACTCCACATGGCAATCTGGTGTCAATTGCTTTTAGGCTGAAGAATTTCTTACAGTATTACTTACCAGGTGAGTTTGCTAGAAACACATTTCCTCACCTTCTGTTTATCTGTTAAAGTCTTTATTTTGCCTTATTTTTAAAAAGTAGCACACTGTTTTTCTCTTATGACTTTGAAGAGTTACCATCATCTTTCACTTTTAGCATTTTTACATCATGTGTCTGTGAGTCTGTTTGTGTTTACCCTACTTGAAGTTCGTTGTAATTATTGTCAATAAATGTAAGAAGTTTCAGCCACTATATCTTTAAATATGTTTTTTTTCCTTTCTCTCTTTTATTCTGATAATCCCATTATATGTATATTGATGCACTTAATGGTATTCCATATTTCTCTGAGTATCTATTCATTTTTCCTCATTCTTTTTTCTGTCTGTTCTTCAGCTTGCCTAACTTCTATCAGTCTATTTTTAAGTTCACTAATTCTTTCTTCCTCCAGTTCAAATCTAAGATTAATTCTAATAAATGTTTTATTTCAGTTATTATAGTTTTCTGCTCCAGAATTTTCATTTGGCTCTTTTTAATGATTTGTTTAGTATTTCTTTTGACCTCAGGAGCATTCCTTCAAGTTGTCAGATTGCCCGGTTTTCTCCTGCAAACTAGTTGGCCTACAAACTAGGCTGTATCTTTATCAGATCCTAAAACTCTTCCTAATATTTTTTCACTGTAACCTTCCCTGTTCTTGAGATTGTCCTTTGGCTTCAGCTTCTTCATGTTTCGTTGAAAATAAAGTCAGATCCTTTGGGAAGAATTTAGAGTCATCATTTTGTGTCCTGTTTCTCCTACCAGGCAAAATCTCTGGGTTAAGGCCCTAGAGCTAAGAGTTGGGACATTGACAAGATTCTCTTTGAGTGACATTCTTGTTTCAGCAACTGAGAACTTGATGCAGGGAGGGAGATCTGCGCAGCCTGAGGTCACTTAGTTTAGCTCTCCAGTTGTAGAACAATTATCACTTCAAGTTCTGGGGCAGGGGCTATAAGGATCTCAGTATTCTCAACAGGTGGACTGTATATTCCATGAGTGGGGATTGAGCAGAGAAAGGGAACTGCTATTCTTGACCGTATTTACCCAGGTCTTAGCCTCAGCAATAGGCACTTGGAGGTAGGATGAGAAACACTGAAGTACCGCTCCTCCTAAGAATAAATCCCTCTAGGTGGAGAGTGGGAATGGTAGAATCCCTGTATTCTTGGCTCCAGAAGTCTGGAATGGGGAGGCTCTACCCTGCTGAGCTGGGTAGGGGGAGAGATGGGACTTTCTGTGTTCAAGTATCACGGACTCGCCTTTCTTACTGAATTTTTAGAAATTTCTTTGAATTGATGTTTCTTCATTTGCTGTCTGCCTTTAGCACAATTTTCAAGAGGACTTTAAAAACATATTTTTTATCAGTTTCATTGGAGTCAGTGGAGCTCCAGATATTGTCATGCCAGAAGTTGGTCTTTAGCCTGAATTTCTTTTATAACCCATAGCAGGTTTTACATATGGTGTGATCTCAAGGCATAAAAAATGTATTAGATCTTAATGCTTAGGATATTCCTTGGTATGCTTTAGCTAATCAATTAAATTTTGCTGAGTTATATTTAAATAAAGCATAAACATGTCCTTATTTTTACGTTTTGAAGTCTTCAGAGTGGTTGCATTTTTGCTGTTTAATTTTTTCACCAAATCTTATTTTCATTTACAAATTAGAATACAGAGTCAGAGAAGTAAAATGATTTACCTATGAATATATGGTAAGCCAGTGAATTTTTCAAAAGACAGCATACTCATTTTTTCCCATAGCTGTTAACTTTTCCTTTTTCCCCATTTATCTTTAAGATAAGTCATGAGTTAGAGAAATCTGTTTCATAAACAGCAGAAATATTAGTACTTGCTGTAAGTATCAAGGCCTGAAATTTGATCTTCCCCAGTCCAAAAATTATAAGGAAGAGATGTTTTATAAGGCTGTCAACACATCTGGTGCACAGGTGAAAGCTGTAGATCCCTAAAACTGGAAGCAAGAAGCTTTTCATTAAAGAGTTTGCTAAGCTAAGCATATCTTTTCTCTGTTCACTAACGTATTTCTACAAATTTTACTTGTCTATATTGTTCCAAAAAAGCTTGGATAATCTAACTAAAGGAAGTTACAACCAGGAATCCCGCTCAATCCAGAGAAAATGATGAAAGTATTAGCTGACAAGGCCAATCTAAGTAAGGATTTATTTTGGCCAAAACTTACCATTTGTCTACTTTACAAGTGAAGTGAAAGGATGAATCAAACTGGAGGCCACTATTTTCAGCAAAACAATCAATGCAGAAACAAGAATTCAAATGCCGCGTATTCTCACTTATAAGTGAGAGCTTAAAATGTGTACACATGAACATAGAATGGGGAATGATAGACATTGGAGATTTGGGAGGGCGGGAGGGTGGGAAGGGGTGGGAGATGAGAAATTACTTGATGGGTACAATGTGCATTATTCGGGTGATTAATGCACTAAAAGCCCAGGCTTCACTACTATGTGATTTATTCATGTAAGAAAACTGCACATGTACTCCTTAAATTTGTACAAATTAAAAAAAAAAAAAAAAAGGAAAAAGGAAGCAAACAAACAAAAAACAAAACAACTAAAAAAGGCACACGTGGTCAGACCCCAGAGCTGTTTTCGGGATCACCTGGGGAAATAATGCGGCAATTATCACATCAGCCTCCACTTTTACAATGGACAACTAATTTTAAGAATTATCCTATTTCCAGGATATAGTACACATCTCTGCCAGTTTAAGCTTCCATAGACATGCTTTTATCAAGCACCTTCAGCGTCCAGATTATAGGGTTACATTGTCTTCTCAATTTTTGCTGTAATTCTTATTTTTGGAAATTTCCACGTTGTTGTTGGTAGTATTCCATTACATGGGATATGCCATAGTTTGTTTAACCATTCACCTGTTGAAGAACATCTGAGTTGTTTTCACTGTCTAGCTATCACACATAAAACTACTGTGGACATCTGTGTAAGGTTTTTATGTAAACATAAACTTTTCATTTCTCTAGGATAAATGTCCAGGATTATAGCTGCTGGGTCATATGGTGGCAGCATGTTTAATATTTTAAGAAACTTCCTGTCTTCTAGAGTGCCTATATAATTTTACATTCCAAGCAGCAACATATGATTGATCCAGTTTTCCTATAACCTTGTAATCATTTGGTTACAAGCTATTCTGGTTAGTATATCTCTCATTGTGGTTTTAATGTGCATTCCTCCAGTGGCTAATACTTGATCAACTTTTTATGTGCTTATTTGCCATATGCTCTTTGATCAAATGTCAATTTTTTCGCCCATATTTTAATTAGATTTTTCAAACTGTTGATTTTGAGTTTTCAGATATTAGTCCTTTGAAAGGTATATTACTTGTAAATATTTTCTCCTGTCTATAGATTACCTTTTTATTTATTTAAGAGACTTTCACAGAGGATTAGTTTTAAATTTTTATAAAAATTCACCAATTTTATCATTTATGGATTATTTTTGGTGCTTAATTAAGAAAAACCTTTGCCTCGCTCTAAACCCTGAAGATTGTTCGTATTTTTTTCTAAAACTTTTATATTGTTATGTTTTACATTTAAGTTTATGGTCTATTTTGAGTTAATTTTTGCAGAAGTTGTGAGACTTAAGGTGAATTAGCTTCAAAATATTAATTGGAAGCGTTCATCTTCTTCTATTTTATGGCAGACATTGTATAGAATCGGTGTGAATTTTTCTTTAAACATTTTGTTGAATTTTCCAGTGAAACCATCTGTGCCTGGAGATGGTTTGGGGGAGGAATTTTAAAACTACATATTCAACTTTATTAGTAGTTAGAGAGTTATTCAAGTGATCTGTTTTGTATCAGATAAATTGTGGTAATTTGTGTTTTTCAAGGAATTGATTCTCTTTCTTGGTGGTATTTTTAAGTCCTATCTCTTTGCTGATAATATATCCAGTTATTCCATCAGTTTTTGAGACGAGTGTTGAAGTCTCTAACTGTAGTTCTTGATTTGTCTATTTCTTGTTTCAATTCTAAGATACACATTTAGGATTGCAATATTTTCTTGGTTGATTGACCCTTGTCATTCTCTGTCTCTGCTGCTTTGCTTTGCTTTGAAGCCTACTGCATCTGCAATAATTATAGCCACACTTGCTTTTTTTGAGTAATGCTTGCATGATGTGTATTTTCCCCTCATTTCTTTTAACTTTCCTATATTGTTGCATTTGAAGTGAGTTTCTTGTAGACAGGATCATGTCTTTTAATCACCTCTGCCAATCTCTGGCTTTTAATTGATGTATTTAGAACATTTACGCCATTAATGCAAGTATTAATATGCTAGAGTTGAGTTTCTCTTTTTTTGTTGTTTTCCATTTGTTTTCTTTGTTTTTCATTTACTGTTTTTTCTGCTTTCCTTTACATTTATGAAACTTTCTAAAAATTCAATTTTTATTTATCTTTAATGTTTTGAATATATCTCTTTGTATTGTTGTCTTCATGATTATTTTAGGTGTTACTATATATTATGTATAGATAACTTATAACAGTCTACCAGTGTCATCATTTTGTTTGTTTGAGTGAAATTTGGAAGCTCTACCTTTCTTTATATCTTTTTACACTCCCACATTTATATTACAATTATCTTAAGTATTTTTTTCTACATAGATTTAAAATAATACCAGGTAGTTTTATAATTTTTACTTCAATTATAAAACATAATTTAGAAAACAGAAGAGGAGAATAAAATTGTATTGAATTTACTTGTAGTTTTGTTTACCATGTTCTTCCCTCTTTCCTGATATTTGAACATTCCTTTTTTTTAAAAAAAAAAACAAAACTATTTCCTTTCTGTTTAAAGAACATCATTTAGCTGTTCTTTTAGGAGACGTCTACCAGCAAGCATTGCCTCTGTTTTTTTTTGTTTGTTTGTTTGTTTTAGTCTACACATATATTAATTTCCTGTTCATTTCTGAAAGATATTTTCACTAGGTATAGAATCCTGGCTTAAGAGATTATTTTCTATATCACTTTAAAAATTATCTGCCACTTCTTTCTGTCTTCCATAGTTTCTGGTGAGAAATCCACTGTCATTCAAGTTGTTTTTTCCTTAGAAAGAAAAGTATTATTTCTTTCTCACAACTGTTGAGATTTTTTTCTTTTCCTTTAGTTTTCAGAAGTTTCACTATGTAGCTTTTTTTGTGTATGTGTGAGAGATTATCCTGTTTGGGATTCATTCAGCTTCTTGAACTGTAGATTTACATCTTTTGTCAAATTTGGGCAGTTTTCAGCCATTATTTCTTCTATTTCTAATTTCTCAGCATCATCCTTTTTCTCCTCTCCTTCTGAGTCGTCAATGACCCAAAGTCAGATTATAGTTCCACATATCCATAAGGGTATACTGTTTTCCAGCCTGTTTTCTCTTTGTTGTGTAAATTTGGTAATTTTTATATTTTTCTTCTAATTACCTTCTAATTTACTAATTTTCCCTTTGCCTCCTCCATTCTGCTGTTAAGCTCATCCATTAAGCTTCTTACATTATAATATTTTTCAACTCTAAACTTTTCATTTTTCTTCTTTATATCTTTTATATTTTTGCTGAGACTTTGCATGGTTTCATTTGTTTCAAGCATGTTTGTAATTGCTCATTGAAATGTTTTCATAATGGTTGCATTAGATATTTGGTCGATTATCCTAATATATTTGTCTTCTCATAGCTTGCATCTTGGATTGTCTTTTCTTCACTTATTCAGAGATCTTCCTAGTTCTTGATATGATAAGTAATTTTTGACAGAAATATGTACAGTTTGAGCTTTATATTATAACACTGAATCTCACATAAATCTCTGTATTAACTTGATTCCTCTGACACGATGCTGGTGGGGATGGGGAATTGCTGGCTAATTATTACCAAGTGGGAGTTAATGACAAGGTTCTCTACTAGACCTCCATTGACACCAGAGGAATGGGTCTTCATTATCGCTGATTGTAGGTAAGAGAGTTGGCTCTCCACTAGGCCTCCACTGATACTCCCTAGTGGGAGAAGTTATAGTGACTCATTGTACTAAATGCTTCCCCTATGGTATCCATGACACCAAGAGGGAGAAGTAACACCATTACCATTGGACAATGGTGAAAGTTCTGCCTCTCTCTATGCCTCCACAATCACCCTAGTGAGGAGAAGTAGGGATGGCTCATACTACTTGATGGGTGTGGAAATCCAGGCTCTCCAAGTGGTCTCTCTCCATTGACCCTCACTGGGGCATGAGATGGTTGTAGGTGGTGACTATGAAGGTCCCAACTCCTTACTCAGTCTTCTCTGGCAGCACCTTGGCAGATGTTATGGGACCCTCATGACAGACTGGGGACGATGGAAGTCTAAGTGTTCTACTTGGCCTTTGTTGGCATTTGTTGAGGTGCTAGTCAGCTGAAGTAAGAAGTTATTGTCTAAAATTTCTCTGTCTTTCCATTCAACTCCTTTATTTGTCCTTTGGCCAAAGACAGCAGACTTGTGTTTGGGCTTTTTCTTTTTTTTTCTTCTTATCTCTGGCTTTAAGTCTGGGATATATGATATAAAGAGGATGAAAGGGAACTCATTATCATGTCATTTATGGGTTTTAAGACCCCCTTACTAGCCCGCTTTCTTCTCTCTACTTCTCAGAGTTTTATGTTCATTTTTGTATAGTGTCTTGGGTTTTTAGTTGTACTTAGTGTGAGAAATAGGGAAACGTATGTCTATTCCATCTTTTTGGAAGGAGAAGTTTCAACCAACTATGTCTTCAGAAGTACTTACTCATTTTTCTACCACAAAGTACACGTAAAACTAGTTGTGTTTGCCCTATGGCTGGGGGAATCAAATGCCTCATCCCTTTAGTTAGCATTAGATTTGATAAGTATTCCCAGGAAGAAGACAAATGAGAAAATATAAACAAAACAAACAAACAAACAAAATGGATTGCAACTTTAAAGGATGATATATAAATTTGAGCATAATAGGAGCTATTCAGAAGTTTAAGTTAAAAATTATTGGCCAGGCACGGTGGCTCACACCTGTAATCCCAGAACTTTGGGAGGCCTAGGTGGGTGGAACATGAGGTCAGGAGTTCGAGACCAGCCTGACCAACATGGTGAAACTCTGTCTCTACTAAAAAAATTAAAAAAACCAAAAAAATAAAAAATTAGCTGGGCGTGGTGGTGCACGCCTGTAATCCCAGCTACTCAGGAGGCTGAGGCAGAAGAATTGCTTGAACCTGGGAGGCAGAGGTTGCAGTTAGCCGAGATTGTGCCATCGCACTCCAGCCTGGGCAACAGAGCAAGACTCTGTCTCAAAAAAAAAATATTTACAAGCTTTTTAGCTTTTTAGCATTATGTTGTACTATGTTTCGATTTTCAATCCAGGGATTAAAAAAAATTGAGAAGTCTGGCACTGTGGCATGCACCTGTAGTCCCAGTTACTCAGGAGGCTGAGGTAGGAGGATCACTTGAACCTAGGTACTGGAGACCAGACTTGGCAATATAGTGAGGCCTTGTCTCAAAAAAATAAATAAAAATAAATTAAAAATATGAGAATTCCTGGACATAGCTGTGGATTTTGTGTCAAGTCAGAAAGATTGTGAAAGCATCAATATTATAACCAACCCTATCATACTTAAAATTTAATAGACCTTGGGATTTGGTAATCATTTCCACTGGAATGATTTTAGTCATTACCTTAAAATTTATTATTAACTATTATATTTATTATTTTTATTAATTACCTTAAAATTTTATTAATTACCTCAAACTAATTAGAGTTTCAATAAAATGTTTTAATCCTCACATTTTTGGATGCTAACATTCAAGGCTGAATTCCACAGAAAGTTAAGAATTGTCAGTTTACTTCAATTAACTCCTTAGATAACATTTTTTGTTAAATGTGGCAAAATCTATGTCATTATTTAAAAATACAGTTAATCTACAAATTACAGGTCCACAAGCTTTCTTATGGCTTTCTTCTAAAAATATAGGCCTGTGCTTTCAATTTTAATATCTGACTCGAAGATCAACTAGGTGTCAGGTACAAAACTCAACATCTATTCTAGCTTCTTTTCTATTTCTTTCTCTGCCCTTATTTCATTAATTTTCATGATCACAACTACGATGAATAAGCTTTGAAGTTTTAAATCTTTGTTTCTCTTTACAACACTCTTCCTTCTGTACTCTACATTTCTCACTGTATTTGACCTTTTCTCCAGGAACTACTGCAGTGACCTCAAGTAAAACAAATCCTAATCTAAACTTCCTAACTCTCTCCCAATCAAACCATTTCTCATTGTCTCATTGATTCATTCATTATAAATGGTGGTGCCACTCTTTCAGTCTCTCAAACTGGAAAGTTCAGTGACATTCATTCCTTCTCTACCCACCAAGTATTTAAGTCACCACAAATTCCGTAAGCTCATTACAAATATCTCTTGAATCCAGTAGAATTTTTTTTTCTCACAACACTGTTCCCATGATGTCCATTGTCTCTTTCTTGGAAAGAGTTTCTGCTCTGATTTTTCCAATGTATTCCAAATGAATCCGATATAGGCTTATTTTCCCATTCATCTCAATATATTTTCCTATTCATTCCAAATGAATCCTATATAAGTTCACTTTTCACTTGAGTTACATTTCTAATGTATGAATTCATAATGACATCATCATCAACAATAGTAAATCTCCACATTTATTGTTCGGCTAAAAACATTTCGATCAAGGTTAAATTTCCTCTGCGTTGATATTCCATCCAGTTATGTGTCTTTATAGTAGAATGATTTATAATCCTTTGGGTATATACCAGTAATTGGATTGCTGGAGTCAAATGGCATTTCTGGTTCTAGATCCTTGAGGAACCACCACACCATCTTCCACAACGGCTGAACTAATTTACACTTCCACCAACGGTGTAAAAGTGTTCCAATTTCTCCACATCCTCTCCAGCATCTGTTGTTTCCTGACTTTTTAATGACTGCCATTCTGACTGGTGTGAGATGCTATCTCATCATGGTTTTGACTTATATTTGTGTAATGACCAGTGATGATGAGCTTTTTTTCATATGTTTGTTGGCCACAAAAATGTCTTCTTTTGAGAATTGTCTGTTCATATTCTTTGCCCACTTTTTGATGGGGTTGTTTGTTTTTTTCTTATAAATTTGTTTAAATTCCTTGTAGATTCTGGATATTAGTCCTTTGTCAGATGGATAGATTGCAAACATTTTCTCCCATTCTGTAGGTTGCCTGTTCACTCTGATGATAGCAAAGATTTGGAACCAACCTAAATGCCCAACAATGATAGACTGGACAAAGAAAATGTGGCACATAAACACAATGGAATACTATGCAGCCATAAAAAAGGATTAGTTCATGCCCTTGGCAGGGACATGGATGAAGCTGGAAACCATCGTTCTCAGCAAACTAACACAGGAACAGAAAACCAAACACAACATGTTGTCACTCATAAGTGGGAGTTGAACAATGAGAACACATGGATACAGGGAGTGGAACATCACACACTGGGGCCTGTTGGGGGGTAGGGGGTAAGGGAAGGGATTTCATTAGGAGAAATACCTAATGTAGATGAGGGGTTGATGGGTGCAGCAAATCACCATGGCACATGTATACCTATATAACAAACCTGCAGGTTCTGCATATGTATCTCAGAACTTAAAGTATAATAAAAAAATAAAAGAAAAGCTCTACATGACAGCTTAAGGGGATTAGAATTTACCAGAGCCAATGGGGAGCCAGAAGGTTTTTTCAAACAAGTAAGTGAGAAATTTGAGGTAGGAGGGGGCTTTCTGTTGTTATTGATACTAATTTGTGATTTAGTAAATATTTTGGTTAATTTACTGTTAACCATCATTGTCTCTCTTTTCTCTAACAGAAAAATAGACCGCTAGCCTTGTAAGACGGTAGTTTTCATTGATGTGTGAAAGATTTTTTTCCTAAGTTCAGCTAGGTTTTATTAGTCAAGATAGCTGTCATTTTTTTCCCTTAACAATGTCTCTTTATGTAAATTTATTCTCCATTTTGATTGCTACTATTCTATTTCAGGCCCTTATCACCTCACATCCAAATAGCTGCAGAAAGAGAGAGAAGAAGAAAGGAAGTAAAAAATGAAGGAAGGGAGGAGTAGGACTATGTTCAGACACCCTCCCTAGGTCAATTAAATCAGAATTTTGGAGAAATGGTCAAGGCATTCAAAATTTTTCTTTGTGCCACCAGGGTTGAGAGCCATTGCCTTTTTGGTCCCTTTTAATTAGATTAATTTTACCTCTAAACCTTAACACCAAAACTCAATTAACCTTTTTAAGACATAATTTTCAGTGCATGTTTTACTGCTAAATTTCCTCAGCCAGAGACCGTAGATAATATACCATTTTTTAAATTTCACGAGAGAGATAGCTCTATTGACAAAGCTGTATGAATTTAATATAGTTCCAAGGCTGGTACTTTCCTGACTTGGCTCATTCTCTTACAAATCTAAGCATGTTGTAGAGAGTAGGCTTCTCCTGCCTCTGTTGTCTACAGTGAATATTTATGGAGATAAACTTCCAAACTTTTCTTTGATTCTTCTTCTGACTTTCGATTTTCCCTCATGTCAACCTATGTGCTTTTCTATCTGGCCTTTCTCCTTCAGACTGACTGAATGACATTTAATCACATCTTTCTCTTTTCTGCGAGGTCTCCACAGATTGATGGCTACATAACCATAGCCCTAATTTTGCAGGGCTACACAAACACCCTCATCTATATCCTGCTCTTATAGACAACCCAAAAGCAAGGGTACTTGAAAACAGTCATTAAAGATTGCAGGCATGGAGCTAGGGACAAGGCACAAAATGGCAAATGAAGCATCATTTCATTTATATATTAACATGAGTGGGTCTAAAATGTAGCTTCTTTGTAATATGTGAGATTGTGATCTCATCTTCCATGACTGCGTGCCTTGATTCTAACAACATATATCATCTTCCAATACCTGCACTCATTTTTAAGAAAACAAGTTTTATTTTATCCCAGTGGCGTACTAGCTAGTAAACTCTGAAGTCATTTTCTTCTACTCTATGATTAAGCACCGAAGTGTCTGGATGAAGTGGAACCCTTCAACTTTGCTGGCATTCTTAGATGGAAGCTTTACACATTTAAAACACTGAGCTTCTCAGTCCACTGATTGGTGCTGCTTGGATCACCAGTCCTTGGCGAGATCCAGTCCTATTTCCTAACACTGGGCATTATGTTTTTTCTGCATCCTATCCTTCTATTTAGATTGGGCATCCTTTAAACTGGGATCTTGCTATGTTCCTTGTTACTTGTTATTCTTCAACTCTCTGTTGTGGAGGAGCTGACAATTGTGCCTTTTATTATTATTTTAATTCTGTAATAAGCCCAATGATATAAATACATTCTCCAATTCTGTGGTTTGCTTTTTCACTCTGTTGATGATGTCACTGATTTTTCCCTAGTTCTTTGAATAGCTAGCATTTGTAAATCTTGTGGGTCTCATTTTAGACATAAAGTTCTCAGAAGAACCTTCTTAGATTACTTTGTTTAGGACTGTGTCAATGAAGCATTTTAAGCAAAGGCACAATATGATGAGATTTACATTTTGAGAGGATCATTCATGCTTTTGTCTTAATGAAAGATACAGGAGAAAGGTTAGCATTTTATTGAACAATTCTGAAGATATCTTGGTTGATTATGGCTTAAGATCATGGCAGCAGAGGTAAAAAGAAGTCCATGGATCCTAGATATATTTAATAAAGAAATTTGAGAGTTGATGCATTAAATGTAAGAGATTGAGAGAGGGTGGTTCTATGCTTGCCCCATGGATTTCTAGTTTCAGTAAGCATCTGGATAGATAATACAATACAATGCAATACAATACAATCGCTTGTATGACTAGGACTGAGTACACAGTAGGATCTCAGCTCACTGCAACCTCCACCTCCTGGGTTCAAGCGATTCTCCTGGCTCAGCCTCTGGAGGATCTGGGATTACAAGGCATGCACCACCATGCCCAGCTAATTTTTTGTATTTTTAGTAGAGACAGGGTTTTACCACGTTGGCCAGGCTGGTCTCGAACTCCTGACTTCGTGATCCACCCACCTTGGTCTCCCAAAGTGCTGGGATTACAGGCATAAGCCACGAAGCCCAGTCAACAGTAGGTTTTTAATATAATATTTATTTAAGTGAGTGAATGGATGGATGAATAAACCAGTTCTGATCAGAAGGATAAATGAAGATTTCATGGGGTAATTTCGTTGTTTTGAATAAGACTTCTAGGTCTTGAAGCAGGGGTAGGATTTAGACAGGTACGGGTCAAGTAACAAATACACATGCCCTGAATTCCTGAGTGAATGAATGGTAAAAGCGAATGCAGAAATTCCAGGTGGACAGAAGAGTTTGAGTAATACCCAAGAAGCAACATGGTACAGAATCTGTTTGGCAACTGTGAAGAGTTTACTTTCGCTGAAGCCTAGGGTAATGGGAGGGAGTGGTAGAAAACCAAAGTGCCCATGTAGCAAGCTCAGCACTTTGACTTTGGGTGTGTTAAATGAAGGGGTTATGACATTATCAAGATTTCTGTTTTCTATAAGATTTAATATTCCTGGTTGATGAGATTTGATGATGATAGAATACTGGAGTAATCATAAAGTCACATGTTTGCAGAGACAAGTAGTCTATTGAGTTCTCACTTAGCACTCTCTGGAAGAACATACCTAACATTTTTGTTTTTCCTAAAGGGATGTCTTACTTTCCAAGTTAGCTACTCAATCTAATATGAAACATATTTAGAGGAGGAGGAGGAGGAAGAGAGATATAGTGGTGTGTAATCACTGGTCAGAATGAAGTGCTCAGGTTTCAGCTAGTGGTGCTTATATGATAACTTGCATTTTAAATTCTGCCCAAAGCATCGGAAACCAGATTCCTTGTAGTTACCACAAGACATAGCATCCAGGAGTCTCCTAAAAAATTCTAATAGCCTTAAATAATAGGAACATTTAATTCATGTATTGTTGGTACTGTTAAAACATTTGATAATATGCATTATGTATTTTTGTATTTCAGATTAAATAATCAAGTCATTATTGTGAATTTGGATCTAAATGACCTGGCAGAAACCATGGAGATGATCTTGGTAAACTCACCTAATTTTTAAAATGCCTCACAGAGTTTAATTTTGCCCTTTTGTGTCATGGTAAATGAGAGGCTCTCTTGCCTCCACTTCATTCCAAACTCATGTCCCATGATCTGCAAGGAATGTTTTCTCTTTATTTGCAAGGATACTGCTCAAGCTTCTATTTATGAGCCCCTGAACAATAGAATAGACAGCCCCACTGAGACTCTTTTGCCTTTGTGTGGTACAAAGGGACCTCCCTCTAGGAGAAGACAAAAATAATTTAAGTCTATAACTCATTTTAAAAAATCAAAACAAAGCAAACAAAACAGAAAAACCCCAGCATTCAATTATTTCTGCTTTCTATTGGAACTGGAGATCCTCCTTTTTAACTGAATTAGCATATTCCTGACCTCAGGAACTGCAGCTATTATGAAATTTATAATCTGTTTATATACCTAACATAGTATTCTTATTCTTAAATAAGTTCCTAAGTAAATATTTGTGAAATGATATTTCCCTTAATTCATTCTTATTGTGCAGTTAATGAGATTATTTGTCATTGGATATTGACTATAAAATCAGTGTTGAAAGCCTTTACTAATTATTTATACTAATGTATCATTTAATGTTTATTCTAGCTTCCTATGCAGACAGCCTAGTTAGGTCTGATTATGTCCATGGGCCTATCTCTATAGAACAGGCAGAGACATTAATGCTAAATAAAGTACAATGAAGAAAAGTAATTTTTTTTGCATGTTAGTTCTTTGTTTTGCACTTTGTTTCATTGAATTGTAACAGAAAGAGCTTGAAGAGATGAGCTAAAATAAAGGTAGGCAATTCAAAGATATTTTGATTGGAATTGCTGGGTAAGTGAGTGGAGAGAAAAATGTTGGAATACCTGAGCATTCTCTCTCAGTGGCCTAGTTGAACCCCAGGGAACATTTTGTTCTGAGGGTGATTTAAAGACACTGATAAATAAGAAGGCATCCTGTTAAGCTAGTTAAAGCTAGACTGAATAAGATAGGTTAGTCTGGTACTAATTTGGGATAGTTGAGTAGCAATGGTGAGCCTGATAAGGCAGGGTGGCTCTCAGTACTCACTCAGCCATTGGTACCAAAGGAAAATCAAAGGCTGCAAAAATGCCATGTTATTAAATATGTTTTAGGATGTCTGAAGACTCATCACAGCCACCTAAGCCCATAAACTATTAAACATGACATCTATGCTATTTATTAACACAGGAAAAAGGTACACTTTTTTTTTTAATGCACAGACATTACATGGAGACATATATTTTTCCAAACCAGTGCTTATCTTGAGAGAGTTAAGAACTGTCGACAAACTACTCTAATGAGGCTGTTTTCTGAGGGAAAGCAAGCTCAGTAAATCACTCTGCTTTTCTTTGGTCTTTTCGTCCTGCATGTAAAATTTTAACCACATCTGACAGAGGAAGTGAATCTCTGGGCCAAAATACTCAACAAATGTCTTATCCACAGATAGAGGTAAATGGCAACTACAGCTCGTCAGTGACAGCATTAGTCATTGTGATTTGTTTTTAACTGGTTACAGAGTGAAATAACACTGGTAAGTTCTGGAAGGTGCTTCATAGTGTTCCAAAGTGTGTCATCCCTGTGCTTATGCATTTGTATCAAGGATTTAAAGAGGAAAAACTCAAAGCAATGTATTCTGATCAAGAAATGGCAGGAAATGGCAGCTACCTGATATGGAACAATCAACAACTGAAGGTTTATTTTGAATGAGAGGTGTTGTCCAACTGCGAGACGGAGTGATTGAAGCTGAGAATAAATGGAAACACAATCAATAGTCACTCCAGGTATGCAGTTATTGAGAGCTGTCTTGAAAGTTTCATGTCTCTTCTCTTTTTGCAGCCACGTTTACACTGCATCCACAGATTGCGATACTGTTTATGAAGGAGAGAAAAAGTCCTTCTGTTTATTCTTATTCTTGTTCTTAATAAAAACTTCTGAGCTATTATGCTTTGAAATTACAACGATAAAGTGGCGCTCTGAGAATAAAAGATTCAATATATTACAATTGAGAATAAAAGATTCAATATATTACAAAGTCAACTTGTATATTGGACAGATAAGCATACCTCCTGATTATTGTTTAATACACATTTCCTCTATGGTCAGTCGTCAATGTTTATATTCGTTGTTTTCTCTTTTCTGTAGTTGTGTGGTTATGGGTAAAGTCATTGTATTCTTCCTGGTCCCTACCAATGTAGTTATTTTATTGATATAGACATTAGGAACTACTCAATAAATATTTGTTGTAGGACAAACTATAATTGCAATGTGTCATATTTGGATAATACTTTACAGTTTGCAAAGCACTTTAGCATACCTTATTAAGTTAAACCACACTGTCACAAAATGAACTGTTGAAAATGTGTGCTTTTTAAGTCTCCTTATAGTCATACCTCATATGTCACACACAAATATCATAGACACAGAAAGACAGACAGACAAATAACTACATAAGCAGTATTCCCCAAACTCATATTTTGTGCTTCATTTAGGATTTCTTACCAGTATAATTTTCATTTGGAAAACCTTCCCTCCTCTTTATGTTACAAAAAAGACCTCTTGATGATTCAGAAATAGTTTTTTTTTTTTCTTTTTCTGTTTCGGTTCCTATAACTATGTAAGACACTGATGAGGCCCATCACAACATGGAGTACAACTGTAAATAAGATGAAGTTCTTGACCTCTGGGAGATTAACATCCACTTATTTTCTTCACGCAATCCTCCCCAACTAGCAGTCTCACTAGACAATGCCATTTTTTAAGCACTTATTTTAGAACCTTGGGAGGCAAGCTGGAGCCTGGGAAGCCTTTACACTTGTTAGAACTCTTCTATGCTTAGATGTAAGGCTCTTTTTCATCTGGTTGCTTTTATAATGTAAAAAGCGAGCAAATTATTCAGAGCACAATCAGTGAGTCCAGAGTATTGAAACACTCCTCTTAACAACAATGTCACGTTACTTTATTTGTTCATGAAGCACTTGAAAAATGAGAAAGAACAGCAGGTCTTTAAGAGAGAACAGAGAAAGAGTTGGCCTCGAGTGTTTTATTACCAAAAGAGGGTGTTAACATGCATGGAAATGTCAAATCACTACTAAAAAAAAAAAAAATCAATGAATGACATATCCAGTTGCAGCTCACTCAACTCTGATTTAACAATCATTTGAGCTCTTACAAGGGAATGATTCTGAAGAATAAAATGTATTTCAGTTTCACCTGCTGAGTATTAATGCATTTGAAACATTGGAGGAAGACGTCAAAAGAAAATGGAATATCTTTACTACCACCTACATTCTCTCAAACATAAAAATATAATGTAGTTGTATGAAAGTAAGTTCTATAGAACACTACTTTTATTAAAATGTGTGTAATCCTGTAGGCTTGAAAAGTGTCAGATATTGCCATAAGATAAACTGATAATATCACTGCTTGGTATTCATACAGCATTTTTCTTTTCAGAACCCCGAAGCAATTTATGGGTCTAACTTAGTCTTCATGTGTAGACATTTGGAATCTTAGCCAGTGTGCTTTAACAAACCAAGAAACCTGGAAAGTGATCAGGTCTCACTGTAGGTGAAGTTTTTAGCCATTTGACGCATTTCAATTTCTTATTGTGAGCCTGAAAAACAACAGGGAAATGGTCCCTAAACCTACAGAAATGAGGCACCTGAGCAGTGTCTCCACGAAGTGTTGCTACATGTGTCTAGGGACACCATTAAAAGCCCCAGCCCTGCCATTTCTATACACTATTGAATGCTCTCAGTAACAGATTAAAGGGGATGACTTTAACTCAATCACTTCGTTGAAAGGTCCAGTGACTTTTACTCAGAAATGGCAGAGGGTTTATTCCAAAGTAACATCTGGTGAAGAGACTGCATAAGACTCTCTGGCATTATAGAAATATTTTATTTAACAATATTCTATTGAAGCATTTATATTTCACATCAAGATTTTTGTTTTAGGGATGATATACCATAAAAAGTACAATGGAGTTCTTATGATATTAGGATTTATGCAAGATAAGGCACATTGTTGCCACAGGGGTCAGTAAATAAATAGTCCTAATCTGAGGCACTAGTTCCCGCTGCCAAGACATGGGAGGCAGAAGGTGGTTCCCACAGATGGTTTTCTCCAGATAAAAATACGGTGCAGTTTCTATTTGAGGGCAATTTTTAAAAATTCTCAGTAATTTGACCCAAAAGAAACATACCCTATCATTTTCTGAACAATTGAGCAGTGAACCCCCTTCTAATATTTTGAGATTATATTTGTATGCAGTATTAATTATGCTCATGCTCTGTCATGTCAATGGTGTTGTTGCAACTGCAGTTATTTTTTTTTCTTTTGAGACAGGGTTTTTCTCTGTTGCCCAGGATGGAGTACAGTGGCAAGATCACAGCAGCCTCAACCTGCCAGGCTTATGCGATTCTCTCACCTCAATCTCCCAGTAGCTGGGGCTACAGGCACATGCCACAATGCCTGGTTAATTTAAAAAAAAAAAAAATTGTAAAGACAGGGTGTCGCTAGGTTGCCCAGGCTTGCAGCTTTTGTAAAAATTGTTTTTTCACATGGTCTTAAGAAAGAAATTACTTGTGAAGATTCATGTATCACAGACTCAAATTACTTTTTAACAACATACAATATATACTTCATACATTGAAGGTAACTTTAAAAAAGTTGTTTTGGTTTGTGAAGCATTACTCCAAATTATTGTTATCAACTTGAATTGTATTAATACAGCTTTTATCATCTCTAGTAAGGAAATTCAAAGCATTACATCTCTCCTAATGTTCATTATTAAATCATATGTCAACATAAATATAATTGGCCCTTACATTTGTAGGATGCTGTATAGTTTGCAAAGTGATTTTACCACCAATAATTTTGCCTGACTTACTTCACAACCCTGTGAGATAGGCAGGGCTAGTAATTACTTACTAGTCTCCATGTGTATGAGGAGATTAAGGATCAAAAAGGCTAAAATGCCTGCTTAAAGCCAAATAGATAATAAGTATATAATTGAATACTAGGCCCCACAATGAAAATACTCTCCCTACTGTGGTATTAGGAAAATGACATACTACTCATGCAATTACTCTTATAAACTCTATCATTGTATCATAAAGGCTTTTGGATTTAATTCTATGACAACACCAAAGCATCATCCAAATTACTGTCTGAAATTTCTGTTGAACTAAATAGTTAAGTAAAATGATCCATTGACTAGGGTTGAGTATCGTCATGATCCAGTAAAGGGTATTCATTTTAATAAGATTTCATACGCATCAAAAAGAATTAATTTTGAGTTTATTTTAAATTCTGACCAAAGCAAGTTTTATTTTTCCACTTAAAAGCTAAGTTTCCTTCTTTTATTTTTCCTCCAATCACCTCTTGTAGCTTACCAGCCTTAGTAAGCTTATCATTGCACTCTACCTGCCTTTTTGCATTACTTTGATTAATGTAAAGGTAGCATATCCAGGTTTTTTAAAAAATATTATTATTACTTCTCTTGCTGCCTTCTTTTAAGATATATATATATATATACTTTAATCGGAGTTAGGGTGTTGCCCTGTTGCCTAGGCTGGAGTGCAGTGATGTGATCATAGCTCACTGCAGCCTTGAAATCCTGGGCCCAAACAATTCTCCCACCTCAGCCTCTCGAGTAACTAGGACCACAGGCATGTGCCACCATGCCCAGCTAATTTTTAATTTTTTTTTTTTTTTCAGACAGAGTCTCGCTCTGTCACCCAGGCTGGAGTGCAGTGGCATGATCTCAGCTCACTGTAAGCTCTGCCTCCTGGGTTCACACCATTCTCCTGCCTCAGCCTCCCAAGTAGCTGGGACTACAGGCACCCACCACCATGCCCGGCTAATTTTTTTTTTTTTGTATTTTTTTAGTAGAGATAGGGTTTCACCGTGTTAGCCAGGATGGTCTCGATCTCCTGACTTTGTGATCTGCCCACCTCGGCCTCCCAAAGTGCTGGGATTACAGGCGTGAGCCAGAGCACCGGGCTTGGCTTTAACTTTTTAGTAGAGACGGGGTCTCACTATGTTGTCCAGGCTTGTTTCAAAGTCCTGGCTTAAAAGTGATCCCCTCCCTTGGCTTCCCAAAGTGCTGGGAGTACAAGAATGAGCCACCATGGCCGGCTGGTATATTCTCTGTATAGAATACTCACTGGGCTGTTTCCAATTTTAAATAAGTATAGTTTATTAAGGAATCAGTTCTAAAGTGCAAGCATGTTGATCAACTCTGCTACAGGAGTTCTAAAGTACATGTTTTCCCTTTCTTAAATACCATTCTTCATCATGCAGGCTCTTTCCTCTTTGAATATCATTGATAAAAGCTGTCACTTGACTTAAAAAGAAGCTCGTTTTTGTCACTGCCGTCCTATGAGAAACTTCTGTCTGGTACCACTGCCCAGATCTCTAAAGCTAAATGTTTCATGTCTCTACTCAGCTTCCTCATTGTCTTACCCTTTATTCCTATAAACCACCCTATGACTTTCCACAATTTTTATTTTCTGCTTAGAGTCTGCTTCTGACACTGCAGCCAAAGAACACTGCTTGCTACAGAAGAGTAAAAAAAAAAAAAAAAAAAAAAAAAGTGTTATAATTGGTTGGTACTGTTACCCCATTTGAGTCAAGCATTGTTTATTACAACACTATTATATTTTCTTCAAATTGCTATACATTGTTTACTGAGATATTATACATTTTGCTTGATTTCACGTATTTTTCCTGGGCTGTGTTTATCCCCCCTTTTTTGGCCAAATGAATTACATGCACTTAAAAAGCTTCCTATGATCTGTATTTGTACCAGTGGTTCGCAAACCACATCAGACTCACCTAGGTTTGGGACTCACTCATTTAAATAACACATCACTCACCACCAGGCTTATTTATGACAGAAAGTGAAGTGCGGGTTGCCAGGTAATTTCTCTAGATCAAGGACAAAAGTCACTTAGCCTTTTCTCCAGTCTAGAAATCTGTTTGCTCTGCTAATTGAACTACCCTAATAAAATCAATAATGTCTCTTATCTTCAGTGAGGTAGGAAAGAAAGCCATTCCGAAGTGGCAGAGAAGCTGCTTTTTCCTCCTGCATGCTGCCTGCTAGTGTGGATCTTGGCATAACAGACACTACTTGGCAAAAGGTAAGTGTACCAAAGTAAAAACCATATTCTTGGTGAGTTCATTCATTCCTAATAAAGACTTAGGTCTCTTTTCCTGCAAATATTGTCACTGAGTGAGTGTGAAGAGGTGCCTTCTTATTTTTGGAAATCATGGGGAGTGGGATTAGTGAGCAAGAGGTGAGAATGGGTGACTATCACCACTCTTGTCGCTAAGGGCTAGACTGGTTCATCTCTGCCTCTTCTGTGCATGTAAATAAACACAGTTCCCTGGGAGCCTATGTTAGTTCAGGGCCAAAAAATTAATATGCCACAATTGTATATACTCTTTATTAATTATATATATATATATACATATATATATATATATATAACCTTTTTTTATTTCTTAACATGTTAAAGGAAAGAAGATGAGAACTTACGGAAAAATAATTAAGTTGAAATGTCCTTATTTTATCTAATTCAGCCTGCTCCTCTTCCTCTACTCCCATATCAGTTATTATCATAACCACTTACACAATCACTCAGGTTTGGAACCAACCTATCCAACTGGTCTCTGGGCCTTCTGCCTGGAGGTCCTCCTTGCTCCTTTTCACATTGTATCCAATGTGGTCTTTACTAAGTTTGGATCTGATTTTATCTTTCTGCTGATTTAAATCATTCAGCTGCTTCCCAAAGATTCATGGTTATGGTCAGATTCCTGAGCAAGGTATACAATCGCCTTCAAGATTTGGCATTGCCTGCTTCTCTGGGTTTATCTTCCATCCTTGTGCCATAAGCACCTTCCTCTCCACTCATATCAAAATGTTTGCCTCTTCCAGAACTTGTTGGAGCCTTTAGTGTTCTAATATTATCATACATTTCTGAAAGAAGGGTAAGGGTGTAACATTCCTCAAATATATTTAACTTTGGAACATTTTACAGTAGATGTTATGTAGAACTAATGTTCTGAGAAACACACTTAGGTAAATGGCACTTAACATAGTATGGTATACATTGTAATGTGTATCATGCCATTAAGTGTCTTTCATTCTTTATTTATTTTTATTTTTATTTTTTTTTAAGATGGGATCTCACTCTGTCACCCAGGTTGGAGAGCAATGGTGCGATCTTGGCTCACTGCAGCCTCTGCCTACCGGGTTCAAGCAATTCTCCCACCTCAGCCTCCTGAATAGCTGGGATTACAGGGGCATGCCACCATGCCTGGCTACTTTTGCATTTTTCGTAGAAACGGGGTTTGGCCAGGGAACTCTTGACCTCAGGTGTTTAAACCAGTATTTCTCAAATTTATTTGACTGCATTTCTTTTTCTTCATGGAATACTTATTAAAATCTTGCAAAACTAGACTTCACATAACATAAAGAAAATCTTGTTGGCTGGGCATGGTGGCCCATGCATGTAATTCCAGCACTTTGGGAGGCTGAGGTGGGAGGATGGCTTGAGACCAGGACTTCAAAACCAGCCGAGGAAATATAGCAAGATCCCACTTATACGTTAAAAAACAAACAAAAAAAAATTTAGTGGGGCATGGTGGTGTGCGCCTGTAGCCCCTGCTGCCCAGAAGGCTGAGGTAGGAGGATCGGAAGGCTGAGGTGGGAGGATTGCTTGAGCTAGGAGGTTGAGGCTCCAGTGAGCTATGATCATGCCATTGCATTTCAGCATGGGAGACAGAGAGAGAACCTGTCTCAAAAAAAAAAAAAAAAAAAAGAATGCCCCGGGCTGGGTGTGGTAGCTCACGCCTGTAATCCCAACACTTTGGGAAACTGAGGCCGGTGGATCATGAGGTCAAGAGTTCAAGACCAGCCTGGCCAACATAGTGAAACCCCATCACTGGTAAAAATACAAAAAACTAGCCATGCATGGTGGTGGGTGCTTGTAATCCCAGCTACTCTGGAGGCTGAGGCAGGAGCATTGCTTGAACCCGGGAGGCAGAGGTTGCAGTGAGTGGAAATCGCACCGCTGCACTACAGCCTGGATAACAGTGTGAGACTGTCTCAAAAAAAAAAAAAAAAAAAAAAAACAAAAAAAAAACCAAAAAAAAACAAAACAGAATGCCCCATCTCACATTGTAAGGTCTATCGCATACAAGACAGCTATCTGTTTTGTCTTGTCATTTAAACTTTTTTTAATTTAAATTTTATTTTATTTTATTATTTGAGATGAGGTCTCACTCTGTCGCCCAGGCTGGAGTACAGTGGTGTGACCTCGGCTCACTGCAACCTCCGCCTCCCAGTCTCGGGCAATCCTCCCACCTCAGCCTTCCAAGTAGCTGGGACTACAGGTGCGTGCCACCACATCTTGCTGATATTTTTGTATTTTTGGTGGAGACATATTTTCAATTTTCACCATGTTGCCCAAGCTGGTCTTAAGCTCCTGAACTCAAGTGACCCACCTGCCTCGGACTCCCAAAGTGTTGGGATTGCAGGCATGAGCCACCGCACCTGGCCTAAACTTTTTAAATATACTCATTCACATAAAGTAGCTCACACAGAAAAGTACTGATGTTCTTTCAAAACCATCAGGAACATCAGCTTTTATTTGAATGAACAGAAAATAGAAACTGATTGCTATTCTTTGAAAAGAGGACTCTGTTGTATACATACCATAGCCTTCTGTTAGCTATTCAGTAAAAGTCTTTGATGTTTCTGCAATAAAGCAAAGTGATTTCAAAAAGAAAAAAAAATTGCCTCTGTCCTCATGGCCTCCATAGGTGTCATTCTTTCTACTTAAAATCTTACTTTTTTTTCTCTACCCAGTTAATTTTCATCCTTCAAGATGTTTAAAAGGAATGTTCCCAACCTTTTAATGATAAAGATATATTTTTTTATCTGTACTTCCAAAGCATCCTCAGCAAATATCCTAGCACCTGTCATACAGGATTACATTTGCTGGGGCATGACTCTGTGTCTCTCACCAAATATGAACACTCTGTGAAGGTGAAGGAGCGTGTCATTTTGACTGTATATCCTCCAGAACCTAGAAGTGGGCATGGGATGTAGAAAATGCTTTTTAAATTAAATAAAGAATTGTATGAGTCAATAAAACAAGTAGGTAAATGATGCAAGGAAATATCTGAGGTTTGCTGGGAAGGCAGACTTACAAAGCACACCTTCTTAAGAACAATTGCTCATGGCTAAATAGCTCCTTTTACAATCTCACCACCAATCTTTCCATTCTGTGGAAACCACACTTTTCAGGTCCAGCCTGCTCTCCCAAGTACTCTAGGTGAGGCTTATCTCCCTCCGTAATAAACACCCATTGGATATCACGAATTCTTGCCTAACCAAGCTATCTCATTTCCATAAACCAATTAGCTCAACATTTCCATCTCTTCTGATATTTTTCCCAAGTAATTAGAAAATTCCATTAGTGTTCTTATAGCTAAACATAGAATTCATCAATATTACTCCTTAATATATAGGCAGCTCCATTGCTTCATTAGACTATAATATATAGAAGAAAGACTAAGGGCTGCCGAGTCAGAGACTTGAATGTGAACCCTGGCTTTTCCACTTTCTATCTGTGCCATGTAGGGTGTGTTACTTGTGTTAACGTTTCTCTTTAGGCCACAGGCGCTCTTCCAGAAAGTTGTGCATTACAATATCATCTATGTGTTGTTTTTATAGTATGAGACAGTGAGATCTATAAAGCCTCTAATCTCCCCTAACAAAGAGTAAATTCTCCTAGATAGTAGATCAATAGTAATTATGTGTATCAATATGAAGAATCTTTCAATTGATATTGGATATACCAAATTTCATTTGGTTTCATACTCCTAGATCATAGAGTTTTTGTAACTGCCTGAAGGGGTCACCTTGCCTGCTGCCTAGACAGAACTGATTTATCCAAGGCAGGGGAATTGCAACGGAGAAAGAGTAATTCACGCAGAGCCAACTGTGTGGGACACCGGAGTTTTATTGTTACTCAAATCAGTCTCCCTGAGCATTTGGGATCAGAGTTTTAAAAGATAATTTGGTGGGTAGGGGCTTGGGAAGTGGGGAATGCTGGCTGGTCAGGTTGGAGATGGAATCATAGGGGGTTGAAATTAGGTTTTCTTAATGTCTTCTGTTCTTGGGTCAGATTACTGGTCTGGGTGGTGTGAGCTGATCCATGGAGTGCAGGGTCTGCAAAATATTTCAAGCACTCATCTTAGGTTTTACAATAGTGATGTTATCTCCAAGAGCAATTTAAGGAGGTTCAGACTCTTGGAGCCAGAGGTTGCATGACCCCTAAATTGTAATTTCTGATCTTGTAGCTAATTTGTTAGTCCTGAAAAGGCAGACTTGACCCCAGATAAGAAGGGAGTCTTTTTGGCAAAGGGCTTTTATCAATTTTGTTTCAGAGTCAAACAATGAACGGAATTCCTTCCCAAAGTTAGTTCGACCTATGCCCAGGAATGAGCAAGGACAGCTTAAAAGTTAGAAGCAAGACAGAGTCAGTTAGGTCTGATTTCTTTCGGTCATAATTTCCTCAGTTATAATTTTGCACAGGTGGTTTCATTTTCAATAAATAGAGTATATGAGACCTGAGTCTCTGAGTTGTAGTGGTAGAGAGGTATCTTATTACAGTTATAATAGCATTACGTAAACTTGTCTTAATATTGAGGTCACTTAATTTTTTGACTGGAAAGGGTCTTATTGCTCTTCAAATACAGATGTGGACATAAATGTGAAAGATGGCAAAAGATTCAGGCCTGAGCCTCTGGCTAGATTGTGTTTCCCTTTGCTCAATTCCTTCATCCTTTCTTGCCATTATTTCCATGGTTCTGTAATCCCCTGTCTCAGTACTCCACATTCTGAATTATTTTTGTTCATATCTGGCCCACATTATTATTCATTAGAGTCACTTCTTTGGTCCACTAAATTCAATATCTCATGGTTTTCTTGAAGAGTTAGTTGTGTAAATCTTTTCTCTCTTTCTCATTATTCCCCATTTGCCTCCCTAGATCCATCCTTCCTTTTCCTATACTTTGCTCAGCGGCCTGGAAGATTGACCTCAAAAGCAAAATCACCTGGATTTCCTTGCCATTTGGCTTTCAAATGTGCTCAGCCAATGACAGGCTGGAAAGAAATTGACAGCTGGGAAAAGAGGAAGATTTGTGTACAAGATCCCTTCCACTCCCATCTCATTACCTGCCATGGTCCTAGCAGTGGCTGTTCTTATTATGGCCACAACTACTCTTGGACAGGCCAACATCCACAACTCCATCCTTCAACTAGGCTTCATTAACACTGTCCCTCACCCTTATCTCTTTCTGGGTAGGGGTGATAAAGGTTTCCTGACATCAGAGTTCCTGAGTGCCTCATATATTCTTGTTGGTCCCTGAACCTTGCCCCAACATCAATAAAAAGTTCCTTCATTAAATAATTTTCAGTTGAATCTTTCGTGCTGGGATCTGTCCAATTCGACTTTAGCATACTTTTCGTGCCAAGAAAGTGATAGTTTCTTGCCAGGATTTGGCTCAAAGGGCTCACAGTGGGTGAGGGGATGAGATTACTTATTAAGTGATAAAATGGAGATCACAGTGGTTAACCTGCCTAAGATCACATGGTTGGTCAACTCATGGTCGATTCATTAAAATATTAAAACATAGAATCAGTCAGGCAGTGGATGTAATAGATAAATAAAACACACATGTACCCTTAATAATTTATATTCTAGGCAGGCGTGGTGGCTCACGCCTGTAATCCCAGCACTTTGTGAGGCCAAGGTGGGTGGATCACCTGAGGTCGGGAGTTCAAGACCAGCCTCACAAACATGGAGAAACCCCATCTCTACTAAAAATACAAAATTAGCTGGGCTTGGTGGTGCATGCCTGTAATCCCAGCTACTCAGGAGGCTGAGGCAGGTGAATTGCTTGAACCCAGTAGGTGGAGGTTGCAGTGAGCCGAGATTGCACCATCGCACCCAGCCTGGGCAACAAGACTGAAACTCCATCTCAAAAAAAAAAAGTCTATATACATACACACACACACACACACACACACACACACACACACACACATATATTCTAGTATAAGGAGAAAGGTGTATAACCGATATTTAAAATGTAGCAATAGTAAATACTCAATGCTAAAGGAACCCTGAATTTAATCTAGGCATTGTGGATGAAACCAAGAGAGAGATGGGGAAAACCATGATTATCTGAGTAGAATGAAAAGCATATGTTCAATCTGTCCTCCCTCATCATTTTTCTTACTACCACTCTAATGTGTAAAGTCTAATCCAATCACTAACTGTTTTCTTCCAGGCTGCTTGCAATAACCTCCTGTAAAGTAGTATATCATCTGTGCTTTTCATCATCTAATCCATTCTCTACACTGGGGTCAGAATGATCATTAAAATGCAAATCTGAGACAATTCTCTGCTTACAACTATTTTTTCACTCTCGATTTTCCCTAGGGTAAAAAAAAAAACATGGCTAACAAGTTCTTACATAGACTGCCCGTTTCATGAACTTTGTCTCTAGCTAATGAACTTCTCTTTTTTTATGTTAACTTATATAATCTACTTTTAGTTCCTTGAAAAGTTATTCTTCTTTGACTCCAAGACCTTTGCACGTTCTATTCCCTGTCTTTAATATTCCTCTGAACCGCCTGTCATTTATGTTGATGATTTATATCCATACTTCAAGCATTAGCTCAACAATTACTTCCTTGAGAAAGCTGCCCATGAAAATTCCTAGACCAAACGAGGTCCCTGTTATATGCTGTCACGACACCCGACAGTTACTCTTTACAGTATTTATCTCAATTCTAATTAAGTTAAATGTGTTTGTTGTTCTTATGTTTTTCACTTTTTGAGAACTGGCATGATTTCCGTCTCTTCACTACTTTAGCCTCAGTGTTAGATCCAGTGCTGTACAGGCAGTAAGAGCTCAGTAAATAATTTTTGAAAGAATATGTGAATATAAGAAAACTCAGACTCTGAGAAATCATTTTGCATTAGGGGAAAGTGCAAGTCATTCGGAGTGATGAAACTGACGGGAGAAGACTGCAAAGGGCAAGTCTTGAAAGGGCCTTAAATGCACCATAGGAAATTTAGACTTTTGTCCGTTGTGATAAACAGTCATTATCATTATCATTGTTATTACTTTTAACAAACTTGGACTTGTTCAGATTTGTTGACTGGATGAAGAATAAGTTGATGCAGAAAGAAACTGTAATCAGACAGACCAATGAAAAGAAACTGAAATGATCTGGAAGTCAACATTAAGAGCATACACTAAAGTAGTGCTTCTCAAATTTGGTGCCTATCATAATCATTGGTTGAGGTCATAAAGCCCACAGAGGCCCAGCCTTCTCGAAGTAGGATAGATCCTGAGCCTTTTTATTTTTATCAAGTTCCTCGAGAAGTTCTGAAACCCATACAAGTTTGAGGACCCCTGAAGTAAAGTAAGGCAGTGAGATATACTCTTGATCTGGCTCAATAATAAAAATTAGAAGAGCACAACAGAGGGGTACATTTTAACTATCAGGTATATTAGCTAATGTGGGGAGGTATAACTAGCCCTACAGCTTTATGACTGGCATGAAACTCACTTGTATTCTCCCCAGATTTTGGTGTCTGGACTCTGCAAAATCTATCTCAGTTTGCCACTGAAAGTTAAAGTCAGGCCGGGTGCGGCGGCTTATGCCTGTAATCCCAGCACTTTGGGAGGCTGAGGCGGGCGGATCACGAGGTCAGGAGATCAAGACTATCCTGGCTAACATGGTGAAGCCCTGTCTCTACTAAAAATACAAAAAATTAGCCTGGCGTGGCGATGGGCGCCTGTAGTCCCAGTTACTCGGGAGGCTGAGGCAGGAGAATGGCGTGAACCTGGGATGTGGAGCTTGCAGTGAGCTGAGATCTCGCCACTGCACTCCAGCCTGGGCGACAGAGCAAGACTCGGTCTCAAAAAAAGAAAAGTTAAAGCCAGAATTCCTCCTGACATGATATGTAACAGATTATAAAAGAACTTGGATATTCTAATTCCCA
Source organism: Homo sapiens (assembly GCF_000001405.40). Taxonomy (NCBI): domain Eukaryota; kingdom Metazoa; phylum Chordata; class Mammalia; order Primates; family Hominidae; genus Homo; species Homo sapiens. Next base: position 40,548,392 of record NC_000002.12, read on the forward strand.
GTGTATCTATGATAAGGTCTTAAAAATCACAAGTGAAAAATTTATGACATTTTAGAATATATATCGATATTTAGAATATCTATATATGTTTAGAATATCTATGTATATATATTTAGAATAAATATGTGTATATATTTATATGTGTGTTGTGTGTGTTTGTGTGTATATATATACATACATATATTTCTACATGCATTATTGCCGTATTGTCAACTTGATGTATCCATAAAAGAACACATGTGAAATTCACTGTGGTGTTTTTGAGTTTGCTAGGGTAATATATGCCCATTTGTTGCCAAATCTATTGTGATTCATGGAAGTTTAGCATTGCATCCAAACTCTGGATAATGTTAAATCTTGTGAAAGTCTCAACTGTGAAAGTGTTTACTTATTAACTGAATTTTAAAAGGTACCACCCACATGCTAGCATGGTGCTAATATTTGCTGATATTTGGTACTACTGAATTTTTTTATGTGCATTGCAGATTTAATATTAGTTTGATATCTGTTCAATGTCTGGTGAATGGTAACATTCCTTGCCATTTGGACTTTAATAGAAAATATAACAACTGGGCAATTTTCAGGAGCAGGAATCAGAAAAGATCCAAATAATGCAGTGGTTCATTTTGTTATTATTCCTTAGTCTAATACTACCACATAATATAATATATTCTAAATTTTTGAAATGTAAAGAAAATATTTCTTCATTTGTTGCCAATGAGAGACAACCTGTGATAGCAGAAATGACTTCAGTTCTGATTCAAATACTGCTAACCAAATCTGGGACCTTGGGCTAAGCCCTTAACCTTATTTGAGTGTCAGTTTCTTCACCTTTAAAATGATGGGGATGACTAGCCTCTAAATATTACCATTTGTTCTACAATTCTGTGATTCTAGGTTCTACTGACTGAACATCTCTATAGATTTTAATAAAAATATGATCTAATTTGGGAACATCTGTTATAATCTGTAACATATTCTGCCAAGTCCTTGACCTTAATTTTACTATAGACATCAGATGTTCCTTCATAGACTCTGCCCTGCATTTTACCAAAGGAATATCAGTTATGCTTGTGTCTAGAGTAGTGTCAAGCTGACTGAAAGATATGCCCTATTTGTTAATATTATCATTGAATGATTTCTTAGGGTTTTAAATACCACCAATGATATAGTTCAGTGCTATTTTAGCATTAGAAATTACATAAGCATCCTTTTTGCATTTTTATTTTTATACTTATTGCAAAATACAAGTGTTCTTGTTAAAGGCATTATACTTTCTCTAAATGTGGATTGAAAAATAATTCTGTAACATACATATTAACATATTAATTGATTAAATATGCAGCTGTTTCATTTTCCCTAATAAATAAATAAATAAATATTTCCTTACTAATAACAGTAACTATTTCCATCATTTATCTAAAATTTGCTTCGTTGGATTAAACATTTAATTTTTATAATTTATTACCTACAATAAAAGAGTTTGGGCTATAAAAAAATAAAGTTTCCCGAATTTTAACTTACTAGAATAGAGATATGTATATATCTCCTTGGTTTATAGTAAATCTGTGAAGAAATAAATATATACATATTTCTATTTTATATGATATATAGAATTATATATCATATATATAGAATTATATATCATATATATAGAATTACATATCATATATATAGAATTTTTGCAATCTATGATTTTACTATTTGTGAAGAATATAGCTTATTAAAAGAAAAAGTGTATCCCTCTATGGTTAATTACTAAGCAAAGGCAAATCTTTGACTCCAAAAGGAAGAATGGATAATAAACAAACACATAATTCATTAGACTCAGCACACTTCAGTGCTTTGCCTCTCTGAGTCTAAGTTTCCCAATATGCAGATGCTGGTGGGGAAAGGGCAGGGTAGTGATCACCTTGAGAGATATAGTGGATTATTTGAGATAACAGTAGAACAGCTCTTGCCCCATAGTTATTGGTTAGTGGACAATAACCACTATTTAATGATTAATTTAATATGCAGAATAAAGCTACAAATAAGAAGATTCCCTGGGCTCATGCTGTTTTATGACTGCACGTGAGGAACATACTTATTTTATGTTGCCTCAGGCTCTTTCCTTTAGTTAGTCAGACAAATGTCAATAAGCACATTGGGCTTCTTACCGCTGTCTTCCTTAGTTTAGTTCTGTTCCTGATCCTGTATTGTTGGTCAGAATTGGCCAGATATTTACAGAATTTGAGGACCAAGTGTTGATTTTTTTCTCCCAATATAATTTAGTCTTTTAAAATTAGCTTTCATTTAGCCTTTTAAATAGCCTTGTCCCTTTTTTTCCCTGGAATCCATTGATTACTCCATAAAGAAAAATTCGGTATCATCAAACATGTGTCCTTATGAGAAATAAACAATTTTAGTATTTTGCAAAAGAAATTCTAGAAAGCATAGAGAGGGTATGCATTAACTTCCTCTGATCATTTTACCCCACTATACCACTATCTTCTCCAGTCCTTTTATCCCAGGTTACTTCCAGCCCCGGCCTGTTTGTGCTGGGTGCCTTGCTTGGCTATTTGGGGTCTTATGCTCCCACAGAGCTGCCTGCGGTGTTTGTGCTTGGGAAGTCCAGGTACCTCATGGAAAGGAGTGGAGAAAAGAGACAGAAGAGGAAAAAAAATCAATTTTCATTGTGCTTTGCAAAAGTACGAAATGTCCTTGTAAAGATGGCCTCTTACATATACTCACTATACCCCATTGTGGGCTGGCTAGTACAGGACTTACAGTCTCCTTGGTAAAGACATTGGGGCTCATAAGGGTTAAATAACTTGCTCAAGGTCATGCAATTTGGAAACATTCCAATCCAGTTAAAAGCCTATATCTTCCAAATGCAGCTCCAGGATTCTTTCCATTAGTTCATTCCAACATCTCTATTCTGGGACTATTATCGGTAGTGCCTGAACTTGTTTTTGGGAATTCCCGTCATTCATGCAAGGGTTTCATGAAGTACTTTGATTATGAAAAAAGGAGAAATCTTAAAGCTTTGCTTTGATGACAACTAAGAATGTTAACAGCTAATATATTAAAATAAGATGTAAAACTTTAGCAAAGATACGTATCCCCTCACTGTATCTTCTCACAAGCAGAGTGATTAACACTGTCAGAAGCTTCCCCCATAGCAGACATGAGAAGAATAGTAGGAGTAGGTAGTTATGTTTCTGTCAGAATAGGCAAAATTTTCTTCTGTGAATTCAGGAGAAAAGGATGAGATTGCTATGAGATCAATATTGGCTTATTTCATTCAGTACAAACAGCATAGAATCTACCAGTGGTAGGGACCAGGGTAGCAGGATGCCTTGAACATGTGCTCAGAACAATTAAATAGTTTTTATGTTGTCAGGTGAATGAGATCAAAGCATTCAGAAAATGCCCATGGATTTCAAGAAAATAAATACTCCATAGTTCATAATAGTTCAAATTAGTTGTTTTAGCAATAAATAAGCCAGCACATATTTTCTGAATTTTTTTCTTTTGTAAAGATGGAGCCCCACATCACATTATAATCATTCAGAAATTTCAAAAAATGAAATAAAACAGCAAATCCTATTTCAAACCAATTAAACCCCTCTCTGAGGGAGGTGCCTGGTTATATATTTTTTCATGCTCCCTAGGTGATTTGAGCCTGTGGCCACAGTTGAGAAACAGTGGTTTGTAACATCAGTGGTCTTGGGTAACCTACCAAGAAAGCTTTTTTGGTCATGAAGTTTTATGTGCATCTACTTCAGGGTCAGTGATAATATGCCCTTTCTTCTTTTTCACGGTGGCTCTATTCATAATCCCTCAGTTTTCTGAAGGGGATCTAATGTGGACACACCAGCCTGCAGTGTCCCTTGCAATGATAAGTGAAATGTAAGAAGAGTAACATGAGAGCTGATTCAGGGTCCAAGTCCTGTACAGGCTTCTTATTGCTTGGTGACAAGTTACTACGACTGTTTCTTGCTTTTTCCTTGTCTTGTTCCATCATTTTCTTTATCCTTTTTCTCATTTCCCATCTTATTTATTTATTTGGGTTTCTCAGTTTCTTGTGTGTGTGTGCGTGTGTGTGTGTGTGTGTGTGTGTGTGTGTTTTCCATTTTCTTTTTTTGGGGAAAATATACTTGCTTGAGGATAAGAAAGAGAGTCTAAAACCAATGCTAATGGGCATCTATTGTAATACCAGCTGATTCTACCATGTTCACTTTAATTTTTGGTTCAACAATCATTTTTCAAATGGCTTCGATATTTGTATGATTCCCAGCTATTCTAGATGATCACAGCGTAACTTAGCTTTTGATTTAAATGTCATACATGAGGAATACTTGCAAAGTATTAATTGGTTAAATTTTAGTGGTTATTTTTCAATAACCATTAATTCATTATCTTTTTTGTTATGGATAGTTCACCTATAATATTCTCAGTGAAGACCATATCCTATTAATTAATTTAGCTTTCTAAAAACATTATTGATCTGGAATTCCAGGGAAGAAAATTTTGTGAAAGAGATGTCTTATCATTTTAAAAGCCTTTCTTCAGTCTCCATTGTCCAAAAGCAAAGTTATATTGGAGAACAAATTGTACAGTAAATGTTTTCATGTTTTCCTTGTGATCTAACATGTATAAATTTAAAACTCACACACAAACATTATGCACTACAGATGATTAAAAATAAAGAGTCTAGAGAATAATGTGTGATCTTACTTTCTTTAGTGTATGTATTTGTGTCAATACCACTGGCTGAGCGGTATACAATTTCACTTTCCTTTAGCTCCACAGTAAACTCAAGATCATTTCTAGGTGCTTCTCAGCTTTTCCAGCTCGTGTGGAGCTATAGAAGGGAGGGTAGAATGTTTCTGCTTCAACAGGGATTTTTCCCAATCCACACTGAATGAAATATCCATGTGTCTAATAGTTCATTTATTAATCTTTGTTCTGAGTTCTTTTTACAACTAGAATTTTTAGTTCCTCAGCACAGTCCAGCAAGTCTCATTTCTAATGAAATAAACCTTAACTAAATGCATTTGACTTTCTGTCAGGTAAAAGTTAAGAACACGAAGTTAGTCCTAGACTCTTCTCAAGGAGCCTTCAGACCACTGAGTGAGAAGGATATAAATGATCAATTTCATTAAAGCACAGTAAGTGCCATAATAACACAGAAGAGGAAAAGACACATGCTGCTTAGAAGAGTAATAAAAGAACACCCCCAAAATTACACACGATTTCAGCTTTGAAAGATAATTAGCAGTTAGCTAGGAAAAGAAAATGGTGACTGTATGCAAAGACACACTGGCAGATTCAGAGATCATGTGGAATTCAGAGTGGTTAGATCAGGACATTTATCAAGAAGCGGTGGGTGGAGGGAGGATTCTGAAAAGTTTAATGAAAGTCTGATCTTGAAGGTTTTTATTCTCTAAGGACTTTGGACTTGATTCTGTCGGTAATAAGGCAGTAAAAGGAAATTTAAAGCAGAAGTGATTTGTGAATATCTGTTTTTTATGAAGTTATTTTTAGCATATGAGGATTAATTAGGAATCAGTAGCAGGTAAAGGAGTACGAAAAAAGAGATGTTCCTAGCCTTGGAGAGAAGATGGAGAAGAGGATTAATGCTTGCCAGATGTTCATGAAATGTATTTGACAGGGCTTGCTATTGGTTGGGCTTAAATTGTGAAGGGGTTTGCTTAGGAGGTTAACTTTGAAGTACCTGAAATCACTAGGGGTAATTAACAAATCACTATAAATTCATGCTTGGCGTTTGAGAGAGAGTTGAAGTAACACTGATATACTAGACAAAGTGCAGAGTGGTTAGAATGAAAATATAAATTAACCAAAGGCAAAAGTGCAATGGCAGGGTTTTCATTGTCAGATTGTAGAAGGTGCTATCTTTAGTAGAATTCTCCACTTTCGCAGTTTAGTAGGATTTCTACAGGTTCAACTGAATGAATTATCTTCTGACTCATCCAATATAAATTATATTTTACATGCCCTTTGAATCTCTGAGAAGTGGCTTAATTGGTAGTATATTATCCTTTTTTATTTTTAAAGACATCGAGGTATTAGAACAGTAGTGATATGTTTCTTCATAATAATAACAGTAGTGATTACTAATTACCTTGAAATGTTAACTAGAAGTACAATGCTAAGGGTTATATTTACAGTTCTATAAAGTAAGAACAATTCATAGCCTTATTTTATTACAGATGAAGAAAATGAAGCTTGGAGAGTTCCAAAACTAGGATTCAACTTTGGGTTTCACGTCTCCAAGATCTCATGCTCTACACCAGCGGTTTTGAAATGTTACTGATGCCTAGATCCACCTAGAGATTTTGGCTTAATTGCCGTGAGTGAAACTCAGTCCTAAAAGCTCCCCTGATAATTCTAATTACAGCCAGACACGCAAACCACCTTTTCAAACCTTATCACTTCACTGTCTTCCACTTTGGAAGATACCATCACAATCACAATCTCAATGGCTCCCCCTGGAGCTCAATGCAGATAGTGCACTATGGAGTTGCACAGTGTGGCAGCTGTGCCTAAACACATTCACCCTCTGGAAAACCCTCAAATCCAAGAGTTTGAATAAGTATAATTAATGTAAAGCCCTTCTTTATACTAAAAAAATGAGAGTCTGGAAAAATTTTCTAACTTATTAGGATTATGTAAAAGTTTTTATCATATTGTTTTTATATTTATCAAGAAAAGATATAATCAATATATTTGATTGAATACAGGTATAACCAATAAAAAATCACAGAGTGAGAATATTTTAATTTTTGAAATGGAGGGCAATGTCATGATGTGACTATTCATAGCTATTTTGTTAGAGGATGATAGAAATGATACAACCATGAAATGAGGGGGGTAGAATGAACTGCCGATCTCAAAACGTGCAGTTTTCTCACTGCTTTGGAAAACCTCTGGCTTTACTTACTCGTGTGAGGACTTCACAGAGCTCCTGGCCAACTAGAAGGGGCCAAGAACCTATCCAAAAATAACAAAATCAAGGAAGAGGTAGGACAGTGCTAGGCTGAAGGTCTAGACAGAGTCAGCTCTGTTATGGTGCTGGGAGGGTGCAGTGTGATCCTGGAGACCATGAGAAAAGTTTTATGAATGAAGGCAGTGGGAATGCAAGGAGAGCAATACAAACAGTTGTTCTTATGGAAAGAGAATGGGCATTGGAGATAGATCAGTCTACTCTCATACTTCACTAGCTGTGTGATCTTAGGTCAAATCATTAACAACTCTGAATTTCAGTTTGCTTTTCTATAAAAAGAGGTGGTAATGAACTTATAAATGTGAAAGTACCTAACCCAGAACCTTGTTACTGATTTTTTTCTCCACATTGGCTTCAGCTGAAAGACAGTGGTAGGGAAAGCAGGAAGCTCCAGGGAACAGCAAGGTGGTGGTGGTGGTAAATCAAAGAGAAGGTGAAAATGAGGTGGGCTAGAAATGGAACAGTTTCAAGAACAGACACACACAGTCAATTCCACTTGCTTGCAAACGAAAAACCACCACTGTAACGCAGCAGCCTCTTATCCATCCGGGGTTAATTCAGCTTGCCATGCTTTTGGCAGGATGGGCTGGATGCTCTGTAGGGTCCCCTCAAAAAGAGCACAGGCTACAGTCACTTCATTTTCTAATGCTGCTGCGTGAGTTTTCATTTAATTAAGAAGGCTAACCTTTAGAATGACAGTTTATTTATTTTTTCTTCCTTTAGCTAGTTTACTATGATCCTAATGCAAGCTGAAAATGTGATAGTAAAGAGGCCCAAGGTTTCACTGATAAGGCTAACGTGTTGTTTCTGTATTTACAGAAAAAATATTAATAGGCATATTTATAGATGCATAAGCCAAAATTCCTTTCAGATAAATCTGATCTTAAGTTGGTGGGAACAGTAGGAAAGGAAAGATAAGCCCTGGAGGAGTATATATCAAAAAGACATCCCATATACTAAATAACTGAGGCCCTAACAACACATGTGCTTGTAATTAGCTGTATTAAAAGCATGTAAAGTTAGATTCTTACTCAATCCTCTAAACCTCTGGATATGGAGAAGTAGCTACTTAAAGCCTCTGTTGTGCACAGTGTCTGCGGTGCTCTCTAGACAGAATGGCCAAATGAACCAGAGAGAAAGGGGAGAGTGACCCGTTATGGTGAATGCCATGGGGCCACAGCCCTGCATGCTCTGTCTTTGCCCATGGTTGATGATGCTGTCCTTTGTCCTCTATAGTATTAGCAAGCAGATGGGGACCCTCAAGCACTGGCAGAGTCTAGAGAATAATGCGTCATTTGCTGTGCCCTGGATTTATCCACAAACTCCCATGAGCTAGTGTCTGCTTAGAGAGTTCGCCAGATCTGCCCTGACCCTAAGTATACCTGCCATAACTGTTATGCTTGTGTTGTTTCTTCTTGGGTGCCGTTTTCTCTTTCTGTTAGGGAATACTTTTTGTCTGCTCTTCACGGAGACTGTTCACATGAATGGAATTCTGAATGGAGATTCTATTACTAAACTAGAGCTAACTCTGACTGTTCCTGACTGTGTCTGCTGACTAAGGAGTGCCCCATTGTCATTAACTGCTCGGCCTCACACTAGGATCACTCATACGGATGATGGTGATTTTTTTTTTTTTTTTTTGGACATTGAGGGTAGCAGTGAGTCTTTTCCCAGCTTCGCCCCATTGGTAAGCCACCAGGTATCACTGGTTTATTGACAGATTAAATAAAATAATACCAGGACTATTATAACTGACCCTTGGGTCCAGAGGAATTCTGAAGTTTGTGTTTCCCTCACTGTGAGCACCTTTAATCCTGTACCCTGACAGCAACAAGCAAGTATTGAAGGCAGAGTAGCAGATTTCAATTCTCTTCTCATTAAATGTAAAATAGAGCAAATAAACAAATAAGCTGTGACTGGGATCTTAGGATGAATACTCCTAGGTAAGTTCTATACCACATTATTATGTCCCCTAGTTTTTACTGACAGTGTTAGTACAAATAGCAAATTAACATTACTTTCCCAGGTATATTTCCACTGAATGAAAAGAGAATAGTTCTTATGTTGCTAATCTAGCAGCCTTGCTCCAGGTACCAACATCACTTTAAATGAAGAAAAGGTCAAAGAACAATGAAGCAGGAAGTACTGCTGCACTTACAGCATCTCCTGCTATCTTCCCGGCAGTCTTCCCATCTTTGGATATTTTCAACCCATTATAAATGAGTTCACTGGAGGTCGAGTGATTTGCCACATACCTGAATGAACTGTAGAAAAGAAGTGCTATAAAATTCTTTTTGTGTATCCATTGGTACTCACTCCTACACCCACAAATACACACACACACACACACACACACACACAAATACATATATATGCTCTTATTTTAACATAACCAAGCTTTAAAAGCTGTTTGTCATCTTTAAGCTCTACTATATAATAGATTTCAACTTAGCTCATTATATACCTTATGCAAAATTCGGGGCCAAACAGCAATTTTTATAGCATGCTAGTTATTTCTTCTAACAGCAGTGGTAGGAAAGAGTCCAGCTATTTTAATTTGAGCTGGCATGGTATTTAAATGTGTTCTTATACAGGATAATAGCAATCATTGCACAAATCACAGTAGAAATATAATTCATCTATAAACAGAATGCAAGGTAGAGGGTCACATGACCTTTACAAGGACCTGTGTGGAAAATCCTGTCCTAGCTTTAAATTCTGTTTTTAGTAGGACAGATATTCTCTGACAAAAGGTTTTTTCCTCCGTCTTATTTTTTTTCAGGTATTAACAACATCTGCAATGTTTCCTCCAGTTGATGTTATCGTCCACATGGCAGATTTAACATCATGCCTGTCAGTTTTCTAAATCTTCCCAGGGAGAAGCAGTTTTGCACTCACCTCCTTATGTATCATTCTAGCTCTTATTTCTTTTTCCAGTTAAAAGGCCTGTGAAGCTAAATGAAACTAGAAGCTATAACTGTTATCCAGAGCTAGTGACACTGGATTTCTCTCCAGGGAACCAACTGCATCTATTTAAAATAAACTTTCAGGTGAGCATTTGGGAAATCTTTACTAAATAGAAGGGCTCTTGATAGAATGCAGTAGTCTCTACAATAGAACATTGACCTTGACCATGCAGGACAACTTTGAGGTTTTTGCAGCATTATAAATGAGGGCCCAATAATCTAATATGGATATCCAGTAAAATACTTTTCTTCAGTATCCATATGGTTGTCAAACTAATACTAGACGGGGGAGAGGAAAAACTGCTCATGGTGATTCCCTTTTTCTTCCTTGGTAATGGCGGCAAGTGAGCGTGAGCATGTGTAGATGGGCACAAGGCTAGGAAATCTAAGTCCAAAATAAATTTTCTTTGATTAATTTTTTAACAAATTATAAATATTAATTATTCATTTATAAACACAAACATTCCATTTTCTATCTCCACTTTTCCCTATTTCTTATTGTATTGAAATAAAAAGAAACGAAACTAGCTTCATCTCTTAACACGTGCCTGCTCCTCTTGGGGCAGTGGGGGAAGAGACAGAGAAGCAAAAACCAGTTGTGTAATATGAAGTGTGGCAATATGACGGGAGATCTAACTCAACGTGTGGTGACAAGGAGAAAGAAAGGGGTGTGGTCAAAGGTAGATGCAAATAAAAAAGGTCATAGGATGGAACCGAGCAGAAAATGTGGTGCTGGCTCTTTTTTCTAGCAAATCTGTATCAAATGATTGGTAGGTGCTGTCTATAACGTTGTGTTGTAAGGAGCCATAAACCCACTCATTGGCCTTACAAAGGCTAGAAGCATTTGTTTCCACAGCACTCAATTGGCATTGGCATCGACATTGTACCACTGAGGCCATATTGTGTGGTGTATTTGGCTGCCTATCTTCCCCCGTAGGCCACCAGAGTGAATGGTCTTTGATTTATTCATCTCTATTTTCTCAAAGCTAGCAGAGAGCCTGGCACACAATAATCACTGAAAAATGTTTGCTAAATGTTTATTTGGAACCTGAGTCAAAATGAATCATAGTGGTCTTGTCTTTGATAATAAGGGTTTTGCATGAATGGATAGGGAATATGGGAAGAAATTATACTTCCTGTTCAATGTAAGGATATAGAAATAAAACATTAAAAAGAAAGCACAAAAATATGTGCAGAAAGAGAGAGAGGAAAAGAGGACACCCAGGAGAATAGAGACATCACTTCTTGAGGGTGCAATTTGAGAAGAAACAGCTTCAAGGAGACAATGATAGAAGCGAGATCCTGAAACTCCTAACGGCAAGAAAATTTGAGGCACATTTGACAAATGTGTGGCTCTCAGTTGCAGAGGACAAAAACACCTGTTTAGATATCCACAGCTACATAGGATGGCCATGTAAATAAGCCATAGTGCCATTTAAGAAATTGTTCTATCCAAAAGTACTTAAATTTGAGTTTATTAAAAATACAGAAGATAGAGAAACATATTATCAGATACCATAAGGAAAAAAGAAAACTTTTAATGTGAGTCCCTTTAAAAGACAACTAAATCAGTTGTTTTCAACAAATGTTTAAAGGCAGGAAAAAAAAGGCAGAGGGGCCCTATTCCCAATTAAAGGATATTCAAAAGACATAACATGTAGAATTTATTTCGATCCTCATTTGAAGAAATCAGCTTCAAAAAGACATTTTGCAAAAAAAACAGGGAAATTTGAATATGCATTAGAAATGAAACAGTGTCAAGGAATTACTGCTAATGTTTGTTGACTGTGATAATGGCACTGTAATTATATAAGAAAATATTCCTCTATTTTAGAGAAACATACTGAAATACACAGGAGTGAAATGACATGATGTCTGATATTTTAAAATATTTCAGGCCAAAGAAGAAAGAAAAAAATTTGAAAAAAAGAGAGATTGGGCAAGAGTAGCAAACCTAAATAATTATTATTACATCTAGGTGATGAATCTATGGTGTTTCTATATTCTTCTCTCTACTTTTGTGTATGTCTGATTTTTTTTAAGTAAACATACCTTTAACATTATATATATTAGCATATATTTTATGTTATAAATGAATGGAGAACCATTGTTATGTTTTGTGCAATCCGTTCACCCCTGGATATAGACTATTTACTGTGAACAGACATCCTTAAAGTATATATTTATGATGTAAATTTAAGTTAATATGTCCTATTTTCTTAAATCTTCTTCAGACATAGGGACTACCAATAAGGTCCATTTTTTCTTATGCTAGTCAAATGAAAACCTTGATTTGGCTGTAACTGTAAAAATTCGACTGTATGTTTCACAACTGACTGATGTGATAAAAGAAAAATAATACATTTGTTACTTCTGAGTGACGTAAGATGAAATATCTTTCCGAAGGGTCTTTCAGTGTATCAAAAGGCCTGTTTGCCTCACTAGTGCCTCCTTGGGTTGATTTCTGAAAACAAACAAACACAAACATACCTTTGTGACAGAAGTAAGATAATGTATATTCTAGGAATGATTAACATGATAGTTGGTCTGAAATTCATTACCACAAATCACAGAAGACAAATTGAGAAAGCTGTAACAGAGCATGCCAATCTTGACATTGGAGGTAGAAGCCGTAGATTAAGATAGGAAGTAAGAGCATTTGGGAGATGCTGAACGCACCGTATTACCCAGAGTTTTCTGCTCTGGATGTCTAAGAGGTCATAGTAAGGCCTTGAACACAGGGAGTAAATCATTGAGGTAAAGGTGGTAGAGAACTTGGTTAGCTAGGATATAACTGTGGATGAAAGTCAAAATAAAATAAAATAAATTACACTTTTTCACTCCCACTTCCCATCTTTCCTCTGAAAACATTTTAAATGAAAATATGTCTATATCAGGAAGTTAGCATTTGAAGTAAGGGAAAATAGGGATTGTGATTCTTAGACATAGCTCTGCATTTTCGCAAATAGGAGCTCAATGGTTACACAGAAATGCATCCCTGAAAAGCAAAGTGGGTGCCCACGGAATTGTCATGGTTCCTCTTTCCTCTCGCCCCACTAGGGCTTTGAAGAGGGAGGCCTTGACTGTTAAGAGGAAAACATGAAGAGAAAAACTGAATGGCTCTATGTGTAGACATCCTTTCATTCAGAAATATATTAATAACATTTAGGGTCCGAAAAATACAAAAGGAAACAAAATTACTTTTATTATGTTATAGAAATTGTTTGAAGACTCATAAAATGGAGAGATTTGAATTAGATACCTACAGTTTTTATAATGTATGTTTGGTTATGCATGGGAGAGTGGGCGGAGGTGGATATAAGGAGAGTGTCTGGAAAGGGAAAATTGAAATTGGATCCACGTATTTTAAATTGCAGTGCCATATTTTTAACCACTTCAGTTTTTTCTTCCAATTGTGTCAGTATTTATGTATTTGCTTCTATGTATACTCAGAACAATTTTAAAGCAATTTTACTATTTTATCTCCTTTCCATATTAAAAAATTCCCCTCATTTCCTGAAACACAGATTTGAATGAACGTGAAACTGTAATAAATCATTATTTGGATTTTTCTAATATAAAAATATTTTAATTTGCTCATTTTAACATTTTTATTTCTTGGCTTTTAAGAAGTTTTATTTCCTTCGTTATATAACACTGCTTTTCATTGCCTTCTTTTAAATGATGAAGTTATAAAGCTTTCATTTTGGTTCAGAAAATCACAGCTCTACTGAAAGCAATCTGAACCATATTACCTCATTATAACTAATTTAACCTTTTAACATTATAGACCAAGGGAGACCAAATGCCAAAATAAATTCTTCCTTTTCTGGAGAGAAGTTGATGGCATGCCTTCCTACTAGGTACTCAGGATAGAAAAAGATGGCTAATACAGTATTCTGGACTGATTTCAGATCACGAGTTTTATTAACAGAATAAAGGTGTGCTAAGTTCTGCCCATATTAACAGACCTGAATTTGGTGTCGTAAAACATATTAAGGGAATAGCCAATGGACTTTGCCTAAAGTAGTTGTTCATTTGAGAAAAGAAAGTCTGTTTGTATGGAACGTAACACAAAGCGATGTCAACAATAACAATAAGGCAGCTCAGTTTTTAGGTGCAGGGTGGGAAAGTTCTATGTTGTGTCTGAAATGGTCAGGTAAGCAGTAGACTTGAAATGTCTCAGTAAGAAAAGATAAGTTTTGTATAAATGTCCTGAATAACATTTTAGGTTGAAAGAATACTATGAATAAGGACGGGGTAATAAGAATGTGGATGACAGGTTTGGAAGGCTGTTTCGGTTAGTAATCTTGGAGCAGAGGATTCAAGTACATAGATATAGGGGAAGAGAGCAGGGTATTGGAACATTGGAAAGAGGCAGTGTCCGGCTGTTGAAGGTGGACATTGAACTTTATTCTATAGATAGTGCCGAACCTCTAAGGGCTTTACAGAAGCAATTCCAGTCCAATGCTTGCCTGATCATTTTAGACACAACATAGGACTTGCTGTCCTGTGCCTAAAATTGGTTTATGTGAAGCAGTTTTCAGAAATACTAATCTGGCAATATTTTTCAGATTTCTTTGGAAAGGGAAGAAAAACTCAGTGAGAAAAGGATTCAATAATACAAGCATAATAGATACTAACCAAAAATAGCACAGCGAAGTAGAAAAGATAAAAATTCTAAACTGTGATTTTAAATTTTCAATTCAAGACAAAACAGATAGCTACCTCATGAGCTTTGTCAGCTATTTTTAAAGGTAGCATCCTTCTTTTCTTTCTTCCAGTTTCCTGTTTATATTCTGACCTGAGAGTCTGATAGAGAATGTATTTTGGGATTTTTCTCTCTGCCTTTAATCTTTATTACAAAGCACTGTCCCAGTGATGTTTGTGATGCCCGTAAAACTCTTAGCCAAACCAAGGACAAAGAATCTGACTCAGATAATGAAAAATAGACCTGTCTATCTGAATGTGACAAAGTATTCCATTTTTGGTGGTCTTTGAACCTATTGGGAAACCCATATTATAATTTATTTCCAAAAGATTGGAAGTTCAAGAGTTCTAAAGTCAGACTACCTTCGCTCAATGTCAGATTTACCCTATTTTATTCTAACACCGGAATGATAAAAATACATTATGAACATTGTATGAGACAGCATATTCTTCATGTGGTGAGATGCACATATTGAGTACTCAATAACTTTCAGGAATTACTAACTCTCAGAAATTTATTTTTGTTTACTTTTATATAGTTATTTTGCTTTGTATATAAATGCAGCTACAGTTCATGATGATTATATAATTATTGATGACCATATTCAGTTTTGATTTATAAATTATTTTTTAATTTTTTTTATTAAACTTTAAGTTCTAGGGTACATGTGCACAATGTGCAGGTTTGTTACGTACGCATATATGTGCCATGTTGGTGTGCTGCATCCATTAACTCGTCATTTACATGAGGTATATCTCCTAATGCTATCCCTCCCCCGCTAGGGACATGGATGAAGCTGGAAACCATCACTCTCAGCAAACTATCGCAAGGACAAAAAACCAAACACCGCATGTTCTCACTCATAGGTGGGAACTGAACAATGAGAACACTTGGACACAGAAAGGGGAATATAAATTATTTTTAAGTAGATGTTTTAGTTTCTGCAGTATCATAACTTCTCAATACCACTTTATGTTGATGTAATGTTCATAGACTAGGTGTTGATATTCATGCAGATTAACCAGAGGATATAGAGGAATACTATTTGATTCCATTTAGGAAGCATTCATTGAAAACTATGTACTACGTTAAGTATATATGTCATGGTCCCTGACTTCAAGGGGCTTGTAGGTAAGTAAACAGACACACATGTACATAATAATTACAGTATAGTGCACAAGTTCACAGTAAGTGTAGACATAAGGCTAGGATTAGCACAATTAACTGTCTTAGGGAACGGAGATGACTTTGCAAAGGAAGCGACATATGAACTATGCTTTTTAGCTATTCATCTATTGCATGTCATGGTCATCAATTTGTGCAATAGGGTATAATGGGGTGAAAGTTAAAGAGGAAGAACAATTGTAAAACATGATTCAGAACACTATTTGCAAAGTACTGAAGCATAAATACCTTGTCAAGGCAATAAGCAGAATATGACTTCAAGTTGAGGAGCAAAACATACACCAGTGCTGTCCAATAGAAATAAAATGCTATCCACATATGAAACTTTAAATTTCCTAGTAGCTTTGTTTAAAAAAAGCAAAAAAAAATTAAATTAATTTTTATATTTTATTTAACTCAATGTATCTAAACTATTACCATTTCAACATGTAATTCATGTAAATAATATTTACAAGAATTTGTATCTTCTTTTTTCATATTAAGTTTCAAAAATTCAGTATGTATACTACATTTACAGCACATCTCAATTTTAAGTGCTCAGTAGCTACATAAGGTTAGTGGTCACTGTGTTAGACAGTACAGGGCAGATTCAGACCATGAAGAGCTTGAACATTCTATTAAGGAATTTAGACTATATCCTATCAAGTTTTGATAATATGTAAAGCGTATTCATCTGATGCATGTCAGCATTATATTTTCTCTTTAAGGCATTGAGGATGTTGATGGGTAGTAGAAATATTTAACCAAGAGACATAGGAATATTTGTATTCTGATGTTGAACAATCACCTCTCCTAAGGAGGTCTTTAAGGAAGAAAAGGAAGACAAAGTCATCCTTAATGACTAGATGGGATTTTTTACCCAATTCCCCTGGAGCATTCCAAGGAGCTACATTGGACCCCATGGAGAATGCCATTACCGAAGCCAAATCATTCTGAATGGTCTAGAAGCAAAGCAGCCTCAAGGGCCGGTTTAGATTTCCTTCCAAAGCTCAAACTTGGATCCCATTACTCTACAATGAGAAGAGGGATGAGAGCATAAAATAACAAGAGAAACTGAAGGAAAGATTGATGTCTAAGAGGGTTGGTATTGGGGAGGGGGAGTGGGCAATTTTATTGTTAGGTTCCTAGGCTTTTGGTAGAAAACTTCTTAAATAAAAAATATTAATATCTTAAGTGAAAAAGATACCAGAGACCCTCCAATATCTTACCACTTAACCCCTATGACTCAGGACACTCAACTTTTTGTTCCTACTGTTTTAAAGAACTACACCTTATATTTGTTAGCTTGGTACCTGGAACAGTGGCTTCAAGCACAGGCAATAATGACCACCAACTCTTGTAAAATCAGAATACTGCCTTCTCTCACATAGATGGAATGATCTGACCCATTCTTGGGAATAAGTAATGAGACCCACATAAAAGATGTTTAAACTTCAACCTAGAGGACAGTGTAAGTTTCCAGATACTTTTCTAAATTTTCAAAGAACTGGAGAGTATTTATTGGTTTCCATGGATGAGAGAAGCATTTTTTAAAAATTTTGCTTTACAAATTATGTAAATTTTTACAAATTGTACAAATTCTCTTTTGCACGTGGTAGTTCTAGTTCATGCCCTCCCTACCCCTGGCATCCTGTTTAATTTTGTATTTATCACATTTTAAAAAGCTAAAACTACATTGTTAGTACTGGTTACATTAAAATAAATCAGAATGGATTTATTCTTGCATTTTGTACTCCTAGCTTCTGTCATGGTCTTATCTACTAGCATGTTTGAGGTGCATATACAGTGAATAGAGTTCAAACTCTATAGGACTCTATAGAATATAATTCATTAAATCTTAAAGAAAATGAATGATGAACCCAACTTTCCTCTCCCACTCCTTCCCAGAATCGAACAAACATCTCTTTTTTAGGTATTAGTCAGCAGGTACTTGCTGATGAAACAGTGTGTATTGACAGGGAAAGCTAGGGAGTACTATATCTTTCTGGTTTTAGTTTGTATTGGAAAAAGTGGGCAATTCTGCTGCTTCTGCCAGGCACTTGGTGCTAGAGCCAGTTGTGCCATGGCCTACGTTGCTGGTTTCAAAAGCGTGAAGCCTCCAGACAGCCAGTTAGTAAGTCAGTGGAAAATGTGGGAGATTCTAGATTACTTACATCTGAAATATGTATAGGAAATAGAGGCTAGGTAGTTCTGCCATACGGTTTATAGAGAAAAGTCTGAAATCTCTTATTATAACAGTTTTCTGCTATAAATCTACATTTACTTGTCTTTTTGTAAGATACCTTTTAAGCAGCAATGAGTTCAAAAAGGAAAGTGCATGTACAATAAAAAATAAATACTGCATTTCAATTTCTCAAGAAAATTGATAATGATTGTAAATTGAATAAACTCTTTGTCAACATTTATCATTTTTCTTGGGGGTTGTGGTAATGTCATCATAAACGTTAAATAGAAGACAAAAAGCTGTTTAAGAAGCATTTGCATCTATTTCAAAAGCTAATAATCGGCGGGGCGCGGTGGCTCAAGCCTGTAATCCCAGCACTTTGGGAGGCCGAGGCGGGCGGATCACGAGGTCAGGAGATCGAGACCATCCCGGCTAAAACGGTGAAACCCCGTCTCTACTAAAAATACAAAAAATTAGCCGGGCGTAGTGGCGGGCGCCTGTAGTCCCAGCTACTTGGGAGGCTGAGGCAGGAGAATGGCGTGAACCCGGGAGGCGGAGCTTGCAGTGAGCCGAGATCCCGCCACTGCACTCCAGCCTGGGCGACAGAGCGAGACTCCGTCTCAAAAAAAAAAAAAAAAAAAAAAAAAAAAAAAAAAAAAAAAAAAAAGCTAATAATCATTTTCAGAACACTTTAGAAAATAATAGTAATTTAACACTTGGGGCTGCAGAAAGTGCATGTTCATGCCATTGCATACAACTTTTTATTTATATAAAAACATTGTTCTTTATAAATTTCATTGATTTTTAATTTCAAGTTTTCTTATGCATGTATGAAAAGTGTTAGAATGTCGACTCCATTAGCAGAACTTGGTAGAGTTAAATGATGTCAACATGTTGTCACTGTCATCCGATTCCAAATAGAAAATTAATTAATTCCAATAATAATTTAATTTTTAATCCAATTTATAAAATCATAGTAATGCTTTGGAAGTTAATTTAGTAAAAGATGAAATATTTGACAATTATTTTAGATAAAATTGTTAATTTTTGAAAACAAAACATAAATTGTGGTTGTATTGTTTTGAAATTAATTGACGACATTTAAGCAAAGGATTCAATGAAGAGCATATGCCAAATTTTCAGCTTTTGAAGCTTTAGTGAATTTTACTCATTGAAAATAAAGCAAACAGGAAGATATGGAAATAAATCCCTACAAAAGCAAGGAGGAATGGAACAAATTAAACACAAAGAGCAAACCATATGTAAGATTTAATATTATAATTATGTAATTGTGCTTGGTTATACTTTGACTTGTTGGAAAACAAATCTTTAAATGGAGCTTATAGATATAGATTGGATTTATGTATATTCTGAGGAGGGCTTTCCTATTGTGGTAACTACATTTGACTAAGTATTCAAATGAATCAAAAGTAAGTGAAAATCATTTGATGAGCTTTGACATTTAATCATATTTGTCAGAAAATAGTACTCGGCATGGAGGTTAAAAGGTAGTACCTGTGAAAATATTTAGACTAAAATATTTACATATTTTAATTAAAGATTGAATTGAGAATATTCTTCTTTCAGTACAATTTGCTCTGAGCTTACTAAGTATTCAGCACCTACAGTGAAAGGATTTACATTAAGAACTAATGTGCTCTCTAGAGAGGAGAAAACTGAAGATGCCAACAATCTCATATTTGTTACTATAAAATAAAACATGGAAGAGGATTGTATATTTTATGAAAAATTATAAATAATAAAACCATATTTTTAAAAATGCATTCTTCAGAAAATATCCCAATGTTACAGGTGAAGTAGAGGTATAAATAAGGAATCGATTTAGAAGGATTGTGATTAAGTGCTATTATTAATTATTCTGCTTATATATTTTAATCATTAAAAATAGTATTTTGTTATGTGCTGTTTTTTAGAAGGAATTTTATCTTGAAAATAGTTGCTGGGCCCAGTGGCTCATGCCTGTAATCCCAGCACTTTGGGAGGCCGAGGCAGGCGGATCACGAGGTCAGGAGTTTGAGATCAGCCTGACCAACATGGTGAAACTCCATCACTACTAAAAAAAGAAAAAATACAAAAATTAGCTGGGCATGGTGGTGTGTGCCTGCAATCCCAGCTACTCGGGAAGCTGAGGCAGGAGAATCACTTGAACCTGGAAGTCTCAGTGAGCCGAGATCGTGCCATTGCACTCCAGCCTGGGCAACAGAGTGAGACTCCGTCTCAAAAAAAAAAAAAAAAAAAACGAAAATAGTTGTTGACGATATCATTTTATAAGGCTTTTGATATAATGAAATTAATTTCCTGTCAAAAATGTGTCAACAGTTGACAATTTTTATTTTTTAATGTATCCTTTTACTCTCAAAATTGTCCTGGTTCAAAAGCAGCATTTGGAGCCCAGTTTCCTGGGCCTAATATCCTGCTCTGCCTTTTACCACATTTGAGAACTTAAAGTCATTTAAGAACTTAAGTGACTTTTGAGAACTTAAAGTCATTTAAACTATCCGTGCCTCAGTTTCCACCTGTAAAATGAGGATGGTAACAACTTATGCCTCCTAGGGTTGTGAGGATTAAATAAACAACTAAGTGAATGCTAGTTGTTATTATCATTACTATCACTGTCTTTCAAAATTTTTGCCTAGGTATCCCAATTTATAACTTATTTATAATTCCTGAAATTCAGCAGTGAACCCAATGTGTATGGTAAAAAGAGAGAGAGAAAAGCAAGCTAAATAAAGATGAATAAACTATAAGTAGAAAATAGAAAAAATCATTTGACAATTTTACAACTTGTTTTAACAACAAGTTAGTGTTTTCAAAATACTGGTGGCTTTTATTTAATAAAATATAAGTGGAATTGATACTTTTCTCTCCATATGTGCCAGATAAAATGGTTTTATAACAAAATAATCATGATAAAAGAGAAGTCCAGTGCTATAAGAAAATGCAAATATTCTAAGTACTGTTTTAAAGCACCACTTATCAAAAAAATTAAAAATAGCAACTCACACATGGTACCTGGTAGTCTTTGCCTATAGAAGGATTGCTTGAATAATAGAGATTTTGGACAATAGTTACTATTCCTGAAAAGAGGCATATGATTATGAAAGTTATATGTCTTCTTTATACATGTAACAGTTCAATAAAATATTGTGGGTTACTCTTTGTAGTAAAAAGGAACACTTAGCAAAATTATTCCTTGTGATACCTCAATTCAGAGTAATCATTTATTTTTTTGCTTAGAGTCTTGGTTTTTCTTTCTCCATTACTAAATAGAATGGTATTTGCATAGAACATCTAACTGCTAACTAAAATCTATAAAACATCTATAAAACAAATTAAACTGGTTTTCAAATGAACATCTGGTAGAGTGTTCTTTTCAAATAAAGGTTAATTCAAGATTCACAAATTTCACCAACATGATATATTTGATAAGCACAAAATATTTATAAGCTCAAAAGTGCCTCTGAATATAGCACAAAAATTTATTTCCAAAGGGATGATTTTTTTAAAAAATATCCTATAATTTATATGATTACCTACCTAAAAAGGGAGTTTATTTTAAACAAAGCTTAAAAACTAAGACGGCTGGGCACAGTGGCTCATGCCTGTAATCCCAGCACTTTGGGAGGTCAAGGCGGGTGGATCACGAGGTTAGAAGATCAAGACCATCCTGGCCAATAGGGTGAAACCCTGTCTCTACTAAAAATACAAAAAATTAGCTGGGCATGGTGGTGTGTGCCTGTAATCCCAGCTACTGGAGAGGCTGAGGCAGGAGAATCGCTTGAACCAGGGAGTCAGAGGTTGCAGTGAGCCGAGATGGCGCCACTGCACTCCAGCCTAGTGACAGAGCAAGACTCCGTCTCAAAAAAAAAAAAAAAACAAAAACATAACAAAACACAACAAAAAACACGAACACTAAATGTTTTATTTTGATTTCTTTGATATAGGTATCATAACTTTCTATTTATCAGTAATATAATTTTAGAAAAATAAAAGTATTTAAAAACATACTACATTTCTAGTAACAATAAAAATCAATATTATTTGAATTAGAGAGGCCTTAAAAAGATATGTATTTGTTGTATACAGTAGAAACTGCTCAAACATTTTTAGGATTACAAAAGAAGAAAATAATAATAAACACACCTTATTACAAAACAAAATAACTGGATATCTGAGATTTCAGTAAGTTATTATAGATTATTACACTAAGTTATAATAAGTTTTTATAGCTTAAGATATTTGGTAGGTATCTGGATGGTTGCTTGTATGTTTGGTAGTACTTCATAGAATATTCTACAATTCATCTAATGAGTAAAACAATTAAATACTCTTAGGAAAAAATATTTAATGGGGTAAAGCTGATCTTATTTTATGTTAAAATAAAATAAAATAAAGACTTAATAAATAAAAACAATATTGTTTTAGGTAATTGACAGACAGCTGTGTCATAAGGGGAATTATACAAATTATTATTAGTAAGGAATGGACTATTGTTAACATTGCATCAAAAAAAAAAAACAGTGAAAAAAGGTTACTTAGATAGTGGGATTTAATTAATTGGCTATTTTGGAAAAAAATCTTTATTTTTCCTTTGCTATACATAGCAACATAACTTTCAGATATATTAAAGTTCTAATATTTAGAGACTTGAGCATCCCTGGATTTTGATATCCACTGGGGTCCTGGAATGAATCCCTTGTGATGCCAATGGGACAACTGAACAAGCAAGAGCTAAATCTAACAAATAGTGTATCAAATAAAAGTAGCCAAAGAACAATATATACTGTGTAAGTAAATTTATATTAAATTCAAATCAGAGAAAACAAAGCTGTGGTATCAGAAATCAGGATAGTTATTTGCAACTTTTTAAAAATCTCAATGCTGAGTCTATGGGTATATTCAATTTAAGAAAATCCATCAAGCTGTGCAAATATGATTTCTATATTTTGGAATGTTATCCCAGTTACATTAAGTTGATATTTTCACTGCTAATTACATATGAGCTTTTTCATATGTTATTACATATTCTTGGAAGCACTGTTTCAGTTGCTTCAAATGTTATATAGGCATACCTGGTTTTACTGTGCTTTACTTTATTTCATTTGGCAGGTGTACTTTTTACAAGTTAAAAGATTGTAGCAATCCTGCATTGAGCAAGTCTATTGATGCCATTTTTTTCCAACAGCATTCGCTAACTTCATGTCTCTGTGTCACATTTTTGTTAGTCTTACAGTATTTCAAACTTTTCATTATTATATCTGTTATGGTGATTGGTGATCAGTGATCTTTAATGTCACTACTGTACTTGTTTTGGGGCTCCACAAACAACACCTGTCTAAGATGGCTGAACTTAATTGATGAATGTTTTGTGTATTCTGACTGCTCTACCAATTGGCCATTCCTGTCTCGTCTCTCTCCCTCTCTTTGGGCCTCTCCATTCCCTGAGAACAACAATATTAAAATTGGGTCAATTAATAACCCTAAAATGGCTTCTAAGTATTCAAGTGAAAGGAAGAGCTGCATGTCTTTCACTTAAATACAAAGCTAGAAATCATTAAGCTTAGTGAGGAAGTCATGTCAAAAGTTGAAGTAGTCTGAAAGCTAGACATCTTGGATCAGTCATGTTGATAATTCAAAGGAAAAGTTCTTGACAAAAATTGAATTTACTATTCCAGTGAACACACAAATAATAAGAAAGGGAAACAAACTTATTGCTGATAGGGAGAAAGTTTTAGTGGATAGATCAAACCAGCCACAACATTCCCTTAAAGCAAAGCCTAATCCAGAGCCAGTCTTTAACTCTTCAATTCCATGAAGGCTGAGAGAGGTGAGGAAGCTGCAGAGAAGAGTCTGACACCAGCAGAGCTTGGTTCATGAGGTTAAAGAAGAGAAGCCATCTGTATAGCATGCATGCAAGATGAAGCAGCAAGTGCCGATGTAAAAGCTGCAGCAAGTTATCCAGAAGATTTAGCTGAGATAATTGATGAAGGTGTCTACCCTAAACAACAGATTTGCAATGTAGATAAAATGGTCCTATATTGGAGCCATCTGGGACTTTTACAGTTAGACAGAAGTCAATTCCTGGCTTCCAAACTTCAAATGACAAGCTGACTCTTTTGTTAGGGGCTAATGTAGCTGGTAACTAATCTGAAGCCAATGCTCATTTACCATTCTAGAAGTTCTAGGGCCCCAAAGATTATGCTAATTCTACTCTATAGTGCTCTATAAATGGAAAAAAAAAGCCTGATGACAGTACATCTGTTTACAACATGGTTTACTGAATATTTCAAGCCCATTGGTGAGACCTAATGCTCAGAAAAAAGATTCCTTTTAAATTATTACTACTCATTGACAATGGACCTGGTCACTCAAGAGCTCTGATGGAGAGGTACAATGAGATTCATGTTGTTTTTAGGTCTGCTAACAGAACATCCTTTCTTCACCCCATGGATCAAGGAGTAACTTTGACTTTCGAGTCTTATTATTTCAGAAATACAGTGATTCCTCTGAAGGATATGGGCAAAGTAAATTGAGAACCTTCTGGTAAGGATTTATCATTTCAGATGCCATTAAGAGAAGTCATAATTCATGGGAGGTGGTCAAAACATCCACATTAACAGGAGTTTGGAAAAAGTTGATTCCAACCTTCATGGATGTCTGAGAGGTTCAAGACTTCAGTTGAAGAAGTAGCTGAAGATGTAGAAATAGCAAGATGACTACATTTAGAAGTGGAGCCTGAAGATGTGACTGAATTGCTGCAATCTCATGATAAAACTTGGACAGAGGAGGATTTGCTTCTTATGAATGAGCAAAGAAAGTATTTTTTTGTTTTTTAGGTAGAATCTACTCTTGGTGAAGAGACTATGAGCATTGTTGAAATGACAACAAAGCATTTAGAATATTACATCAACAGTAGACAAAGCAATGGCGGTTTTGAGAGGATTGACTCCAATTTTGAAAGAAATTCTACTATAGGTAAAATAATATCAGATAACATCCCATGTTACTGACAAATTTTTCATGAAGAAAAGAGCTAATCAATGCAGAGAATTTTATCATCTGATTTCAAGAAATCTCCACAGCTATGCCAACCTTCAGCAACCACCACCCTGATCAGTCAGCGGCAATCAATGTAAAGGCAAGAACCTCCACCAGCAAAAAGATTATGACTCACTGAAGGCTCAAATGATTATTAGCATTTTTAGCTATAAAGTATTTTTTCAATTAAGGTACATATATGTTTTTAGATATAATGCTGTTGCACACTTAATAGACTATATTATAGTGTAAACATAAGTTTTATATGCACTGGAAAACCAGAAAATTTGTGTGATTCACTTTTTTGTAAAATTGTTTTATTGTGGTGGTCTGGAATCAAACATTCAGTATTTCTGAGCTATGCCTGTGCATACATCTTCATGTTTACTTAATACTTTTCTTATTATTGTTGAATTTATTTCTAATATTGAGACATTATAAAAAAACTTTGATGAAAAGTCTCCATACATAAATACACATCAGTATATCTGATTGAGAATTTCTTTAGGATAAATTCCTACAAGAAAAAGAGCTTAGCCAAAATATATGAATATTTAGAAGACTCTTGACAAAATTATCAAGTGTTTTTCCAGAAAGCTTAAGCTGATTTAAAGTCCTATATTTAATATGTGAGGTTACATTTTTACCTCGCTCTCAACAACCTAGACATATTTATTAATCTGAAAAGGAAAAAAAAGAGAAGCTACATTGTTTAATTTTTTAATTAATTGCTGTATTAAACCTACTACACGTTTATTTTTCCATATAAGTTGTCTACTTGCATCCTTTGCCAAATTAATTCTTGATGACTTTCATCTCAATTTTTAGCACTCTTTGTATTTAAGGGTGTAGCATTTCTGTCAAAGTTCCTGAAAGCATTCTCACAATATGTTGTCTTTTAAGTTGAGATGTTTTAGTTATCTAAATATGTTTTATGTTTATCATTATTCATATGCACATTGGCTGTGCATAATTGCACTTTTATCTCTTTCTCTCCAGTCCTTATGCCATTTAAATTTTTTTTCTTGTCTTACTCTACTGACTAGAACCTTCAGGATATTGTTGATTTGCTGTGGGAATAATGGCATTTATATTTCATTCCCAATTTCAGGCAAACAACATTCCATCTTGTACCATTAATCATGATGTGCTGTTACTAATTGAATATATGTACACCCCACAAATTCACAGATAAAAGCCCTAATGTTACAATATGATGATATTTGAAGATGGAGTTTTGGGGAAGTAATGCTCAGATGAGGTCATGAAGGTGGGATTCTCAAGATGACATGAGTGTTCTTACTAGAGGAAGAGAGACCAGAGCTCTCTCTTTCCCTACCATGTGAAGATACAGTAAGAAGGAGGTCATCTTCAAACTTGGAAGAGGACCCTTACCAGAAACTGAATCTGCTGTCATCATGTTCCTGGACTTTGCAAACTCCAGAACTGTGAGAAATAAATGTTTATGGCTTAAGCCACTCAGTCTATGGTATTTTGTTATAGTAGCTCAAGCTGATATGCTACAAGTATTTTTTTCAATTTCTTTTATAAGATATCTGGACATTCTTCTTTATCCTAGCTTTCATGCATTAGAGTTGAGTTGTATCAATTATTTTTTTACCTATATTAAAATGTTAACATAATTTTTCTCTTTTTTATGTTTTTTTAATGGTTATACTGATTGATTTGGTTGTTAAACTAGCCTTGCATTCCAAGTATAAACCCACCTTGATCATGATGTATTTTTATTTTTAATATATTCTAATAAGAGTTTGTTACAGTTTTTAGTTTTTAAATTTTTAATGTTTTTTACATTTATTTTCATGAGACATTAGTCTATATATCTTTTTTCAATTTTTGGCATCAAAATTATTTTGACCACATGAAATAAATTGGGTAATATTTTTTCTTTTTTTCTGGAAGAATTCATGTAAGATTAGTATTTCTTCCTTAAACATTTAAGGTAATTTACTGGTAATGCTATATTGGCATCGAATTTTCATTGAAGAAAATCTTTAATTAGTAATGACATTTCATTATTAGTTATGAGTTTATTCAATTTTTCAGTTTCTCCTTGTGTCATTTTGTTATGTTTCTGGTGTACCTTACAAATTTTATCTAACTTCCTTAATGTGTAGGCATAAAGTTGTTCATAATATATTGTTATATTTTAGTGGATTTAGGATCAATATTTCTCATATTTATTATTTATATTTATTTTTCCTAATTAAACCTAAGGTTTTTCATTAGATTGTTATACTAACTTCTGCTATAATAGCTATACTCATTTATTAAAATAAACACTGTCTCCTTTTTATATGTGCATTTGTATATATTGTGCTGATTTCACTGATCTTCTTTGGAATATTTTGAGTTTTAAAAATTATTTCACTGTATAGTATATATTCTTTTTTGTGTGAATAATTTTCTAAATTTAAAAAAGTTAGTGAATTGGTTCTATAATTTTTCTTTCTAGATATAAATTAACATAATACCTACAGATTCCTACTTCTTCTTACAGCACCCCTTGGATACTTACTCAAATGAATCATATATTTATCTGCATATTTATATCCAGTGATTCTATGCAATTAAAATATATTTAAAATGTGTACAAAGTTTTAACGTTTTATTAGGCGGGGTCCGGGGTTGAAGCCTCATAAATTGATGATTGCTACATTCAGCAGAAAAATTGATTTAGTTGAAGGATATTACGTATCTCCAGGAGAAGGCTGAAGACTAGGTAGGGCTCAGGAAATAGGCAGGAATGAAGAGAAGGTGTTTATCCAGAAACAAAGTCACTGTTGTACCACAGAACTTATCTACTTAGCGTGCTGTTGTTGATCCTATAAATAGACATAGGAGGCCATTCTTGCTCCTGATGCCATTGGATGCCATATTCCACAATCGACTGACAGAATGAACTATAATCTATTCTTAACATCACTGTTCCTTGTCACTTATTCAATGTCTCAGGCAAAAGTATATCATCGGTTGAATCTGATACTTGCCTGCTTCTAGGTGCCAGGGAATAGAGAGAACAAACATTTAGCTTTTTGGATTCCACGAAGACTAACAGAGTGTGAAAATCCCTTTGATGGGGGTTCGGATTCTGGTCAGTCAAGTAATGTTACTAAATGACCATTTTGAAGGGCTATCCACTGGAATGGTGAAAATACGATGTAAAGTGTCAAACTGCTAAAGGAAAACATATATATGTCACAAATAAAGTTTAATCTAAGATGAGAAAGGAGATACATAAAAGAAATAAGGAACAATAAGATATTGTGGTGTATGTAGTGGACATTTTCTGTTTTTGACTACCTAAATCAATATATTCTGATTTTGATAACAGCATCTGGATTTGATCTTCAGAACGACCCTATTTTCCATGATTCAGGTAGAGATAACTCAACC
The DNA here is from genome assembly GCF_000001405.40 of Homo sapiens. Classification (NCBI taxonomy): domain Eukaryota; kingdom Metazoa; phylum Chordata; class Mammalia; order Primates; family Hominidae; genus Homo; species Homo sapiens. Next base: position 40,576,906 of record NC_000002.12, read on the forward strand.
TGCTGTGGTGGACTCAGGTTTGGGCTTGACCAGTCAAGACATTCTATCTCACTGGTGACCGAGATTAGCTCAGGGTTGGGTATGTTACTCATGTAGGGCAAATGAAACCCTTACAGAAAATTTTGGAAACTATTAGAACAAAGGAATACACCCATTTCAGAACAGTTGCATGTTTGTAACAGAATCTTCAAACTGCTTATAGCCGTCTTGATCCTGTGTAGGAAGATGCTGACTGAGAAGCAGGAAGGAGCCCAGTGAGAAGAAACCAGACATCAGAGATGGAAAGACAGATCCCTGACCATAGTCATTGCAGTTGATTACAGTCCTGCCTAAATTGGATAAGTCATAAGAAGGAAACTCTTTTAACTTACTAAAATATATAAAAGAAGGTTCAAATTCCCAACTGGCTTTTTTTCTTTTTAAATAGAATAAACAAATTCTAAAGTTGATTCCAAAAGAATTTGGATAAAAATAACCCAGAAAATTTGAAAACCCATATGATGATTAATAAATGTCAAAGCATAAAGTAATGCTGCAGGAATTAAAACAGTGTGGGTTTGGTGCTGGGACAAATTAATTAATGGGAAAGAAGGAAGTACAGGATATTTCATGCATAAATGAAATTATATGAAAAACAACTTCTTACCATGACATTTATGTCCCTTTGTGATCTGGTCCTTGTCAAACTCTTTATCTTTTCTCTCCACAGTCTGTCAGGAGAAGTTATAGTTGGAGCTGACAAAGAAGAAGAGGATAGCCAACTGGAGATTTTCAGTAGAAGTTCACAGCTATAACCCGTGTTTCAGCAGGGAGGGAGTTGGGGAGTAGAGAATAAGTAGCCTGACCCAACTGTTCTCTGTTCTTTCAATCTCCATCATATTTCTCATTGGCAGAGTCCATTTGGAAACTAGAAGGCAACAAGACTGGTTGAGACAATCCTTTAGGTAGTCCAAAGGTAGCTCTGGGGCGCAGAGCAGAGAAGATAAAGAAAGTGGAGTAGTACAAGGAAAATAATCCCTCAAGCCACCATATATCCAAATGATTTTCAACCTTCCTGTTGTACTTCTTCTCCTTCAGGAATGGTCTTCACAGATCCACCCCTATATCTGACTACTCATCTTTCAAAATTGAATTCAGTGTCCCTTTAAATTTGAGTCAGGGCCAGAAGTCAAATAAGAGAGTTCCAGGCCTTGGTATATTTTTCTAATTGCTTCACACCTAGAATGAAAGGTTTTTATTGAATTACTGAATGAAAGCTCCTGAAAGACAAGCAGGTACCAAGCAAAAAACCTGGAATTTATACTTTGGGGGCTACAGAATAAGGTAAACTTGTGGAATACTGTCAGTGTCCTCAAAACCAAAATAAGCAACCTTTATAGGTAGTCAAAGCCCTAAATTTGAAGGTAACTTTGCAGTTATTAAGGGTGAGAGGGGGATTGCTATAGATTACATTTAAACTCCTCAGATGTTTCTGATATGTTTCAACAGTCTATAGAAAAAAGACAATTCCTCAAACCCGTTCTCTAGAAAGCTTGAGTGTCTGCACAGTTCCTGGCCTGGACTGCCCTGTTATTTCTTGTGGGTCTTCCCTCTGCTGATAGTCTTGCTGATGATGCATGTGCGGTGGGCATGTTGGCATGATTCCTCTGGTTTTTAACGGGAGGACCCAGCATCCAAAAATAGAGTGACTTTATATGTAAATACTGAAGTAATACTTCTGGGAACTTGATAGAAAATTCAGTCTCCTAAGTTTCTTTATATTCCATTATTTTATTTGCTAAGAATATTATGGAAACTATTCCAGTATCCTTTAGTAAGAAGCTCATTAACAATGAATGAGTATAGTCAATAGAGATATTGTTCTGTAAGCAAATAGAACAAATTTTGCTAGGTATAATGCCAGGCTAACGTCGTTTATTATACAACATATGCCTCAATTAAATTTTCATGTGATATAGTGCATGCAGATTTTCTAGGATAAACAGCGATGTTCAGAAACTAAAGCCTTAATATAGCGTGCTAGCAAACCCTGAGACAGCAAATCAATAGAATATTCAAGTCAAACAAGACAGTTTCAGACAAGGACAAAGTACTAACCTTAAATGTGAATGCATTTGCATTTATAAATGTAGCTTAAATCAATTTGTGTCTAATTTTCTTGTAATTATATCCTGATATTTAGAAATCATAAATATATTTTAAAACTCTTCTATTGACATTGTAATGATCTAAATTGAATTCAGGTTGTCTGGCCTTTATTATATCCTCAGTGATGTGATATCACATATGAACATGATGACTACAATTTATTCAGACTACAGTAGCAAGTATCAGTGATAAACTCTTGATTACCAAATTTTAAGCTCCCTGTATCTGTATTTTTTGTTTGGATTTCCAAATATATCCCTTCAGTTATTTTATTCTTAATTAAGATACAATGTACATATCACAACACTCATCTTTTAGTGATTTTTAGTATGTTCATAATATTGTGAAACCATCATCACTAATTCCAGAATATTTTCATCATCCTCAAAAGAAATTCCATACCCTTGAGCAGTCACTCCACACTATTCTCTGCCCCAACCCCTAGCAGCTATTTAATGCTGATTGATATTCTATGTATTTTCTTACTTTGGACGTTTTATATACATGGGATCCCATATTAGGTAGCCTTTTGTGTCTGACTTTTTTAGTTAGCATGATTTTGTCAAGGTTCATCCATGTTGCACCATGAATCAGCACTTTATTTATTTTTATGGTTGAGTGATATTCCATTTTATGGATATATCACATTTTGTTTATGCACTTGTCAGTTGAACATTTGGGTTGTTTCCACTTTTTGGCTGTTATGAATAATGCAACAGTGAACATTTGTGTAGATGGGATGCTTTCAATTCTCTTGGATATATGTCTACAGTGGAATTGCTGGATCATATGATAATTGTATGTTTATAATAACTTCTGTGGAACTCCCAGAGTTTTCTAAAACACTGCATCATTTTGTATTCCCATCAGCAAAGCATAAGGATTCCAACTTCTCCATTCCTTGCCAATACTAGCTATAATGTCTTTTTATTGTATCTATTCTTCATTCTTAAATTTAAAAATCCAATTAACCCATTAGAATATCATTTTTTTGTAATGAGTATTGACTATTCTAGATAACTGTTTGTGATTAAAGCTTTTTTCTCAACTGTTTTTATTAGTTTGAACAGCAAAAATGATATAACCTTATTATATTTATATTTGAATTATTTACTTGATTAGTTTAGCCATTCTTCTGACTTAAGGATGGTATATCACTTAATTTTGCATCACACATAAAATCACATCATTCTGAAAGAATCATCAAACACCAACACCCTAGATACTAAGTCTGGATTTGCAACTGGCTACTTATGTCATCTTTGACAAATTATATAAATTGTTCTTTGCCTCATTTTTGATATCTGTAAAACTAAGAAAATGCTAAACACTTGCCAAGAAATTGTAGGAATTTCATGAGTATCTTGATCTTCCATTGATTCTACAATAAGTTACCACAAACTTGGGGGCTTAAACAATACAAATGTATTATTATTTTATAGTATTATAGATGAGTATTCTGACAAGACTCTTACCAAGTTAAAATCAAGATGTGAGCATAGTGCATTCTTTTATACAGGTTATGGGTAAAATATGATTTCTTGCTCTTTTCTGGTTTTCAAGACTTCTCACATTACTTGGCTTATTATCATTGCCCGCCCATCCTTAATTTTCAAAGCCCGCAAGGGTAGATAGAGGCCTCCTTACACTTTCCTTCCTCTGGATTTCTTACAACACCAGAAAAGATTCTCTACTTGAAAGGATTTGTGGTTAGAGTGACCCCACCCAGATAACATAGGATAATCATTCCATCTCAAGTTCCTTAATCTTAATCACATCTGCAAAGTCCCCTTTGCCATATATATTAGTCTGTTTTCACACTGCTGATAAAGACATACCTGAAATTGGGCAATTTATAAAAGCAAGAAGTTTAACTGGACTCACAGTTCCACATGGCTGGGCAGGCCTCACAATCATGCAGAAGGCAAGGAGGAGCAAGTCACATCTTACATGGATGGCAGCAGGCAAAAAAAAAAAAAAAGAGCTTATGCAGGGAAACTCCCATTTTTTAAAACCATCAGATCTCATTCACTATCATGAGGACAGTGCAGGAAACACTTGTCCCCACAATTCAATCACCTCCCACAACACATGAGAATTGTGGGAGTTAAAATCCAAGATGAGATATGGGTGAGGACACAGCCAAACCATATCACCATGTAAGGTAACATATTCACAGGGTCTGGGGATTGGGTTGTGAATATTTCTGCAGGGCCATTATTTTGCCTACCACAATGAGATTATGTGTGTCTCATGACAAATACAGGTCCGACACTTAGTTAATTCTGGATATACATAATAGTACTTTTATTATTTAAAATAGGTACTACATGATAAAATGACAAAGGACACTTCAAAATGCCAAAAAGAGATGGATAACCAAATCTGAGAAGCTTTACATAAACTAAATATATAAATATTATTACTATTCCTCCAAAATAATTCCTCTCTTAGGATATTAGTTCAGCCAGGTAGGCTTCTATGTGCCAGATGATTTTCTTGGTATGAAGCCATTAAAATATACTCATTACCAGCCACAATTGTTTCACCTTTCCTCTGCATGGGCAGCCAAAATATCTCAGTGCCATTTGGATAGATTTCATTTTTGTGATCTAATCATCACAATTCATACTTAAAACTGAAGAAACACCAAACAGACATAAAGGAAAATATTATTGCTATTGCCACTATTTTAAAAAGTAGATTGTTGGCTCTGTCCTCTGTGATAAATCACATTTTTTCTTTTATTAATTCGCATCAATATCTGTAATTTCTGTAACTCTAAGACGTGATGTGTACCTATAGTTTTCTCTTGAAATGGGGAGAGTAGGCAGTAGTTTTTAGGGAGCAGAGACGTAACTTTCATAGTTGCAAAGGTCTCCGTTACGAAGTATGAAATCATTCTAGTTTCTGTCTTGCTTCTGTGCTCCACACACACATGGGTGCAAACATTAATACTTTCTTCAAAATAAGAGTAATTGCAGAAATTTCACTCATTTACAACATCTGGAATTAAAGAAGATTGAGTAGAATTAATCTAGTAAATGTTAATTGTCTTAAAAATAGCAGTCATTGCCACTACCACCACAGTAAAGAGTTTTCTGCTAATAAATTCCCATGCACCACAGGCAAATCAAATGCCATCTAGATAGTGGAGACTGCGGCCAAAGCAAATCACTTTATTAATGACATTGGAAATGTCAATTTCTACTTTAGGATTAGCTTTTCTCTCCTGTAGCTTTTGCCCAAGGGAATTAATTCTGAAATTAGGACTGGCCATATTGTATCAGTTATTGCTTCTTTGACCAAAAAAAATTAAAATACAGACTTTTTGAATGGTAAGTGATTCTTGATTTTTTGAGCAATTCTGGCCCAGTTTGAGCTGGGACTTTCAGTCTAATGCCATCAAGTTATCAGTAAAGTAATTGTATTGTCAAAAATGGCTACAAAGGATGTTTTCTCCATTTCGTGGACATTTTCAAAATATTTCTAAAAGTTTTGTCAGTATTTGCCCATTTCATAATATATTCTGGTAGAAATGTAGCCAGAGGTATTTTAAGCAAATCCTAATTAAGGACCATTTACATGTCAGTGATCAAAACACAGGAAGATAAAGTTGGCATTTAATGATGATAAGACACATTTATGTACTACCTTTTCTTGAGACATTCAAAACAGTTAAGCATGAAGTGTAAGTATCTGTTTAACCCTGAGACTTGGAATTGGGCAAGTCTTTCTAGATGGGGCCAAGGAGTGTTGTGTATTTATTTACCCTGCACATGTGACAGCACAAGGAACAGCCTTATTTAATTTTAGTGGGGAAAAAGTGTATAGCCAGAGGTGAATTGACATAGAGAAACAGAGAGCCTCAGTTCAGGTACTGTTTGCCTCTGAAATCATTGTTGCTACATGATGTTCCGTCCTTTGCTAACAATCTCTGAAATAAATTAAGGATTTTGTTCCCTCAAGAAAAGAAAGCTATAATCCATGCTCCTCGTAAATTAGCAAAGAAGTTTCTGCCAAAGACTGAGTTTCTGAAATGTTTCAGTCAAAGGATGTAAATCAAAGAACAAAGGAGGAAAATTCATATAAAACTGGCAATGCCATATTTTACTGCCAGAGTCAAGTTGAAGGGATGATGATACCTTAGAAAACTTAGAAAGAAGATATGTGTTCCTCTCTCCACTACTTTTTCAGTTGGTTATTGACAACCTACTTTTAACATGGAATGTAAGTAAAATCAGAGAAAAGGAAGCAAGTAAAAAAATAAACTCCAAATACAAGAACCAAGTAGTATTAATATTTTCTTGTATTTACTTCTCCATTTCTCTGAAAATTATTTTTGTTTATGTTTAGTATTATTTCAAATTTATAGAATATTTGCAAAAAGCATACATAAATACCCTGATACTAGAGTCCAAATTTATCAACTGTTAAATATTGCCCCATTTACCAAGTCACTCTCACTCTCTTTCTCTTCATATGCATGCATGTACACACACTCACACTCATCTAGCTATTTATACATAACTATTTGTTATCACGTATGTAGGACATTATTTTTTTCTGAACCACTTGAGAGCCAATTAAATGCATCATGTCTTTACTCCCAAATATCTATAAAAATCAAACACTTGAACATCATTACAATATATTATCTAACCCACAGTTCATATTTAAATTTTGTCAATTGTCCCTGTAATGCATTGTATAGTTACTCTTTTCTCAGTACAGTATCTAATCAAGATCACACATTGCATTTACTTGTCTAGTTATTATCTGGCAATCTGATAAAGTTCTCCACCTTTCCTTTGTCTTTCTCAACCTTGACACCTCTTAACAGAACAGGTCTATTATTTTGCAGATTGTCCCTCTCTCAATCTGAGTTTGTCTGGTGTTTCCTCAGAACTTGGTTCAGCTTATGCAATTATGCCATGCCCTTGTCACTTATCATTCCAAAAGGCACATCGTGTCAGTTTGTTCCCACTTTCATAACATGAGCTTTGATCACCTGGTCAGGTGATATCTGAAAAGATTCTTCACTGTAGATTACTTTTCCATTTATAATTAATCCATAATGTGTAGGTAGATGCTTTTTAGATAATATAAATTCCTCAGAAAACCTTCATTCATTAATTTTAGCAAACATTAATGATTTTAACCCTATCATTTCTTCTATTAATGTAATAATCTATTGACAGAGGTTTATTGTCTTCCCTGTTTATATATCGATCAATTTATTTATTCATGTATATTCATACAGACTCACAAATTTCTTTTTTATTCAATGAGCCATAATTATTATCAATATTCTTATAACTTTCATGCTCAAGATGCTCCAGATTTGGCCAGTGGGAACCTTTTCAATCTTTTCGACTCATTCCCATGATTTATTGAGCATTTCTGTAATTTACGTTACAAAAATGTTCCAGGCCAGTGTTGAATTTTCTCTACTCTAAACTTTATATTAGTCTTTACTTTAGTGAGTCCTGGTTCCTTTTAGTGCAGCATGGTATTTAAAAACCAAAGTCTAAGGGCTAAGTATACTCATTGTCACTGATGTGTCATTTCCTCTAGGCCCACTCAGCAGACAGAGCTAGAAAATATATGCATGTGTGCATGCTCTCTCACACACTCATGTCTATATATATAGATATAATTATATATACCTATATATTTATCAAGTAATAACTATGTGTTCGTACTGACTCATCAGTATGAGTTCATACAAATCCCAATCCAACACCATAGGGAACATTCTACTTTTCTTCCAAATTTTGTAATTCCCTTTTCCTGTAGTATGTTATTTTTTACTAACTGTTAGAAAAGAAAGAGTAATAAATAAAAATAAATAAATTGTATGCATATATACACGTATTAAGGTATCATTCACACACCGTAACATTTACTCTTGTTAAGTATACAGTTAGTGGATTTTGGTACATTCACAAAGTTAGGTGACCATCACTACTAATTCCGGAATATTTTTATCACCCCCTAAAAAATCCCATAGCCATCAGTAGTCACCCTTCACACCCCTCCCTCGATCCCTGGTGAACATTAATCTTCTTTATGTTTCTATGTATTTGCTTATTTTGATTTCATGTAAATGGAGTCATACAATATGTGGCCCTTTGTGTCTGGCTTCCTTCACTTAGCATAATGTTTCCAAATTCATCCATGTTGGAGCATCAATTAATGTTTAATTCTAATTTTATGGCTTAATGACATTATAGTATGTGTGTGTTTGTGTGTGTGTATATATATATATATATATATATATATATATATATATAACATTTTATCTTTCATCATTTGGTATGAGTGTGGGTTATTTCCACTCCTTTAGCAATTTTAATAGTGCTGCTATGAGTTTTGGTAAAAGTTTATATGTGAACATATGTTTTCAATGTATCTTGTGTATATACATAGATGTGGAACTGTTGGGTCACATAGCAAAACTATGTTTACTTTTTATATAACTTCCAAACAGTTTTCCAAACACATCACTGTACATTCCAATCAGCAATGTGTGAAGATTCTAATTTCCTTGTATAACTAATACTTGTTATTATCTACCTTTTTCATTATAGCCATGCTAGTGGGTATGAAGTGGTAGCTAACCGTTTTAAGTTGCATTTCCTTAATGATTAATGATGTCAAGAATCTTGTGCTTATTGACAGTTTCATATATTCTTCAGAGAAATGTTTATTCCCATCTTTTGCCCATTTTTCAATTTTTTTGTTTTTATTGAGTTGTGTTTTTTTAAAAATATATTCTGAGTACTAGACTCTTATCAGATATATTTGTAAATAGTTTATCCCATTCTCTGGGTTGTCTTTTCACTTTATTAATAGTATCCTTTTAAGGACTATACTTTTTAATTTGGAAAAGGTCCAATTAATCTATTTTTCTTTGGTTATTTGTGATTTTAATGCAGTGTCTAAAAATCCATCAACTTATTCAAGGTCACAAATATTTTTACCTGTTTTCTTCTAATGATTTTATAGTTTTAGCTCTTAACATATCTTCCATTTTTTTGAATTAATTTTTGTAAATTACATGAACTTCATTATTCTGCATTTGTGTAGCCATTTGTCCTAGCCACACTTGATGAAAAGACTATTCCCTGCACACTGAATGGTCTTGGCACCCTTGTCAAAACTTAATTGGCCATATATGCATAGGTTTACTTGTGGACTTCCTATTCTATTCAGTTGATTTATACGTCTATCCTTATGCCAGTACTATGGAGTCTTGAATTGGACATATAGTTTTACTTCTGGACTTACAATTCTATTCAGTTGTTTTATATGTCTGTTCTTATGCCAGTACCCTGGAGTCTTAATTACTGCAGCTTTGTACTAAGTTTTAATATCAAGAAGTGTGAGCTTCCAACTTTGTTCTTTTTCAAGATTGTTTTGACTTTTATGGGTCCTTTGAGTTTTCATATGACTTTCAGGATTGACTTGTCAATTTCTGCAAAAACCAGTTGCGATTTTCATACAGATTGCATAGAATCTATAGATCAGTTTGAGGAGTACATCATAACAATACAAAGTGTTCTAATGTTTCAACACAGAATGCCTTTCCATTTATTTAGCGCTTTGTTAATTCATTTCAATAATGTTTCATGGTTTTCAATGTACAAGTATGATAGTTTTTGTATATTTTCTAATAATTTTATTATTTTTGATGCTATTGTGAATAAAATTATTTTCTTAATTTCGTATTAGGATCATTCATTACTAGTGAATAGATATGCACCTTTTGCTCTTATTATTTTTAATTGATATATGTTAATTCTTCATGTTTATAGGGTACAGTGTGATATTTTGATACATATACACAATGTGTAATGATGAAATCAGGGTAATAAGCATAACTATCACCTCAAACATTTATTATTTCTTTGATATACTTGATTTTTGCATATGGAATTTGTATATTGCAAATTAGCTAAAATCCTTATTAGCTGTAATATTCCTTTTGCGAATTTCTTAGAAATATATATATATATCTCACATATAAATGGAGATTGTTTGTGATATTTGCATGTCATGATTTATAATAGTAATAAAATACTATTGTGTGTAAAGCAACACATACAAATATTCAGGAAAGTCACGACACTTACCTTAAATAGTTACATTTCTTTTCTTTCCTTTTTTTTTGAGACATGGTCTCACTCTGTCCCACAGGCTGGAGTGCCGTGGTGCAATCATAGCTCATGGCAGCCTGGAACTCCTGGGTTCAAGCTATCCTCCTGCCTCAGCCTCCCTAGTAGCTGGAACTACAGGCATAAACCACAAAACTCAAACAGGTTTTTTGTCCTGAGAGAGATTTTAAAAGTTTCTGAGACCCTTAAAAGTCAGCATACAGACAGAGGAAGACTCATTCTTATAGATTAAAAAAAGATTTTCATAATATACTTATTTATAATCATAAAAATGTAAAAGCTAAACTGTTCAGCTAGTAAAATTATAAAATAAGCATGCTATATAAACATGACAGAATATAACGGAGCTGCTGAACTATGTTAGAATACATTTTAATATGCAGGGCACATAAACCATCATAATAAAAGAAAGATATGTATTCACTGTGATGACAACAATGTAAAACTGATAAAAATTCCACATCTATGAAATATAGAAATATTAGATGGAAGTAAGGAAAAATATTTGTAATGGCTATCTTTGATTGGTAGAATAATAGATATTTTTCTTGAAATTTTTACACTTTTAATCACAATTTCAAAAGTTATGAACTGCCATATAATAACAATAAAATGCATTTATTTTAAAAATTAATGTAAAAATAATAGTAAATGTACAGTTTTCAGAATGACTATATATGTGATTGGTTGGACTTAGTTAATCCATGAAGCCGTTCAGCAGAGTTGAGTTTCATTTAAAATATGAAAGTGAAATGATATATAGAGGGATGAAAATTTAAAAATCAACAAGAGGACACTAAACATTCTAAGTATGTATTTGATGCTTGCTTAGTAGTTGCCCATATGGGCATGCGGTGTGCAGTACAGATTGACTTGCTTTATTTTTCTATGTGGAATTTAAAAAAATCTGCACAGCTCAGGGATCTTTCTGGTCATAATTATCAGTTTTTATTTGCCCTTGTAAAATTTTGTTTATAGCTTTTTTTTCTATTAAATTTGTTATTTCCTTGAGGACTTGATTAGTCAGCCACTTGGAGAAAAGAAATTAAATATAAACAGAGTCATCTTAAGACCAAAAAAGAGGGGGATTTACATTCAGAAGAATTATTTTTTCTAACACATGTGGAGTTAAGAAGGAGGATTCTTAAATGCTACAACTCCTAAAGCATTGACCACTACCTAAAATATATTTTTAAAAGAACATACTCTCTTGGAACCTTCATCCACTGTTAGTGGGAATGTGAATTAGTACAAATACTATGGAGAAAAATTTGGAGACTCCTTGGAAAATAAAAATATAGCTACCATATGACCCAGCAATCCCATTCTTAGGTATATACCCAAAAGCAAGAAAATCAGTGTATCAAAGAGGTATCCACACTCCCATGCTTATTGCAGCACTGTTCACAAGTGCCAAGATTTGGAGGCAAGCTAAGTGTCCATCAACAGATGAATGAATAAAGAAAACGTGGTCCATATACACAACGGAGTACTACTTAGACATAAAAGAGAATGAGATCTTGTCATTTGCAACAACATGGATGGAACCAGAGGACGTAAGTGAAATAAGCCAGGCACAGAAAGACAAACATCACAGGTTCTCGCTCATCTGTGGGAGCTAAAATTTGAGACCATTGAACTCGTGGAGATAGAGAGTAGAAGGATGATTATCAGAGACTAGCAAAGGTAGTCTCAGGGTGGTGTGGTAGGGGGATTGATTAACTGGTACAAAAAAAATAGTTAGAAAGAATAAATAAGACAGTATTTGCTAGCACAACAGAGTGACTATAGGAAAAAATAATTTAAATTATTCATTTAAAAATAACTAAAAGAGTACAATTGGATTGTTTGAAACACAAAGGAGAAATGCTTGAGATGATGGACACCCCATTTTCCCTGATGTGATTAGTACCTATTGCATGTCAGTATGAAAATATCTCATGTAGATTGCGCCATTGCACTCCAGGCTAGGCGACAGAGTGAGACTCTGTCTCAAAAAAAAAAAAAAGGAAAAGAAAATGTCTCACGTATCTGGGTTACATGAAATTACCCATGACATGGGTATACTTATGAGTTACCTAGTATGTACCCACAAAAATTAAAAATAAGAAAAATTAAAAATAATATACTCTTTTGATGAATAAAACATTTCCAGCTATCTCTTACTTTCCCTCTTTCTCTTTATATATAATCTCTTTATTTTGTTGATTTAAAATAATGAATGAAGGTTTATTATACAAATACAAATAACACAATAGGACATAAAATATTGATAAAGTACTCTATATATCACAACCTAGAAATAATTTTTACATGATACGGTAACCTTACATAATGCAGGCATATACATATATATATATGTTCACACTATATATGAAGCTTTTCATTATATTTAACTTAAAATATCAACAGTAATATAACATACATGTTTTTCTCTATAATGTTTTAACATTTTATTTTTTATGTCAAAGTATATAGAACATCCCCATCTTCCTTAAAAATTATATTGTGTTCTATTGTATGAATGAACCATAGCTTCCTTAATTTTCTATTGATGATCATTGAGATCATTTGCAAATTGCAGCTTTTTCTTTATTATAAACAAACCTGTAATCACTATCCTGGTATACATGTCTTTGCTCTGAATATCCTTTCAAAGCAGAAACATTAAATATAATTGGGAGGTAGTTATATTGATCTAAGCTTGTGCTATACAAGAAAATAATAGGCAGTATATCAGGTGACAGTAAACACAGGGCAATATACATTATTCTATCTTTATACTCGTTCTTATAATGATGAGCTCATAAGACAATAGTCTAATAGAGGACTAAGAAGTATCTCTGTGATCATCAATCAAGAGAATAAGGGTAATCATAGTGACGGTGACTTTTATTGAAAGCTTAGGATATGCCAGTCAGTGAGTTAAATCAACTTACATAGTTCCTATAAAATCTCTATTAGGTAAATGATATTATTACGCTCATTTTGCAAATGGAAAAATTAAAGTGAATTAACTCAACTGAAGTCACATAGTGGAATCCATTTTCAGAGCAAGAATTCAGTTGTATTATGTATAATCTCATAAGAAGCATAACAATGTAAGTAGAAAGACCATCGAATAGAAATCTCTGCTGCCAGGATCCTTATTGAAGTTGACCTCTGATTACTGAAATTACTTTGGCCACTGTAACAATAAATGGCATCATGTGAAATGAAAACAACTCCAGCCTTTATGTCAGGGCTCCTCAGCCTCTTTACCTCAGCAAACATCCAATTCAAGGTGTTATTTTGCAATTTACATGAGTTTACATGTATTAAAATGCTTTGTAATATATTAAATGGCAAAGTGAGTAAATAATAAGAGATTGTGATACATGCCATTTGGAACTGTGAGTTCCACCAGCCGTAGAACTCACCAGCCATGTGGAACTGTGAGCCAGTTAAGCCTCTTTCCTTTATAAATAACCCAGTCCCAGGTATTTCTTTATTGGCACATGAGAACAAACTCATACAAGTCTGTTACTCATATCTGAATACATGAAGCCTGAAATATAGGTAGGTTGGAGAAAAACATATTGGATATCTGAATCATTACTCAACCTTTCTTTAATTTTACATATACTATTAATATCTAATGATAGTTTCTTTAGACTATATCAAACGTATTATTACTTTTAAAATTTTAAAATTATTTTTAAAACATTTTTGGGTACATTATATATATATATACACATACAAATGATATATATGAGATATTTTTATACAGGCATGAATTGTGAAATAAGCATATCATGGAGAATGGGGTATCAATCCCCTCAAGCATTTACCCTTTGAGTTACAAATAATCCAATAACATTCTCTAAGTTAAAGTATACAAATAAGTTATTAGCCATTAAGGGAATTTTGCAATCCACCAATAATGACTGAAGCCATTTTTTAAAAAAAGCAAAATGCATATATTATAAAATTCCACAAAACCACTTAGATATTCAAGTCAAAATATTTGATTCACTGTTTATTTCCTTCTCTCTCACCTCCCACAGCTGTAGGGTCGAGTATGGTTAGCGTTTTCACTCAGAAGATCCTCTTAAATCTGTCCCTTCTTTTCTACCTTAATTAAGAATTCTACACTGATGACAGAAGATGAAGAATATTCTCCCCTTCTGGGGAGGGACAAAGATAAACTAGATAATTTGTGGTCGGAATAAGGTAAAGGGTATGGTCTCAAATTAAGAAATGTGATGGTTGAAGCCGGTAGAAGGAGAAGATTAGCTGAGCAACTTGGCAAGTCCTTCTCAGGGTTTCCAGGTGAGGAAGGGGCAAAGAGTCTAAAAGTATTAGGCATGGACTTGTGTGATGTTTGTTATGTTTTAAATTCCCAGTACTTGTTATCTATTACTAGTAACATTCACAGAGACTCTGTAAAAATACATCAGATTCAGGGGCCCTTAGAAAAATGTGTCCTAGAATATGAAGCTGCCTCTCTTTCTCCACATGTATATTTATATCTCTATATTTATATCTCTACCTATCATTTCTCTAATTGTTTGTTGGTTTTCTTCTCATGCTGCTGTTATAGTATTAATAGTAAATATATTGCTTCTTTCAGCTGCAATAATATTTTTGGAGCTGGGAAATAGGGGGCAACATCAAAAGAACTGATGAAAGCAAACTGAGTAATCACCCTAATGCTTTGGCGTATTTCCCTAATCTAAATACAGAAAGCAAGTCCTTTAAAGGACGAGAAGTAAAAACATGAGAGGAACTTTCCATGGACTCTCTTTTTATCAGCCACATTTTATCTGTTGGCTATTTATATTTCTGCTCATTGTAGCATCAAGAAGCTGCAGTTTGGGAAAATGAATCCTTCCTTTAAAATGCTTTTTGGGAATCACTTAAATTTGATTTTACACATACAAACATCGGCAAATTTTTCAGGTAAGAGCAAATTAATACTACTGCCAAAATAACAAAAACAACATTTTCCAACAACTGATAAAATATATTTCCCATTTTCATAAAAAAGAGTTTTACATGTAGTTCTCAGTTATGTCAGGAAGAGAACATTGAGAATAACTTCTTGATTTTGATTTTTGTCTCTAGTCAGAGCTGTGAACCTTTCCTATCTGCAAGGACCTTCTTTAAGTTGCTATGGCAATACCTACCATTCCCTTTTGTGTGCTTGCTAAGTTCTCTGCAAGGAGCTTAGAAGCATGTGTTTGTCAGGAGAGTGTGCACACGAGTGGTGGAAAAGAAAGATAAAGAGAAGAAAAACAGGGAGAGGTGGTGGAGGAAGAAAATCTGTGTCTAAAATATTCTCGAAATGATTTTATTGAAATTAGTTTTCAGGAAAACAATGTATTAAAAATGAAATAAAACCAAAATGTTTTACTGGTTTTGGTTAATCTGAATTTTCCTGGAAGGAATTTTAAACAACTTATGAATACCAATGATTATTTAAAATATATTTTTAAAAGATATACAAAAGTAATATTTAAATAACCTAATTTTCCAATTGAGTCTACAGATCTTACTTATCCTCTGTAGCTTTTACTTCAATAGAAATAAAATTATGCTTTTAAAGAAATCCTGCCTAAGCATCATCTGCTTACTCTTTTATCCCCTTCATTGCCCACACAGGGTGTTCATTTTGATTCTTTTTTTTTCTCTTCCCACTGCTTTTAGAAACTGGCTGGAGATGTAGCAGGGACGCATCCAAGGTAAGGAGATGCTTGGACAATCCTGCAGCTGCAGCTCTGGGATATACCAGGCCATCTGTCCTAGGATGAGGCCTCATTCACCTAGAAGAGGCTTGATAAGACTGTAGCTAAGAGAGTGCAGTACAGGTATAGAACATTCCAATTCAATAAGAAAACGTGTGATTTATCATGAGGCAATAAAATACATACATAAGAATCTTTAGATTGTATCTCCATTATAATATCTACTAGATATCTGTTACAGCTCAAATGCGAATAAAATGGGTATAATTTTATGACATTCCGGTCTGCTGTCTTGTGTCAAAAAAAGGAAGACAAATTGAGGCAGAGGAACTGTGAACAGCTCTGCTCATAGACCTTAATTATAGACACTATTCTATTTGCGCTTCCTAAAAACAGGAGGCATCTGCACTTTTGGTCATACAATTGAAAGAGTTAAAAAGAGAGAGAAATAAAGGAAGAGAATAAGCTCATTAACAGACCACTAAGAAACACGAGAGAGTAATTTATTTCTTGATTTTATATTGAGTAGGAATAAATAAATTTTACTGAAAAAAATTTTTGAGTCAGTCTACCTTTTAGAGTTCTGATAATTTCACCTTCATTATCTAAGGAAAAAAAAGTCTCTAGTTAATTTGGGACCTAATAAAGAGAAAAATTTTCTAAAAAATAGGCTTCATATACACTTTTAATAGAAGAATGGTCTTTCTCTATCTGAAAAGGCCATCATCACCATTTTATGATGCAAACCTAAGAAGGAAAAAGGGATAATGGGAATAATCTCTGAAAAAGATAAGCTGAATGCTTAAAATGACTCTTGTTGCAAATAACTTATGAGCATATTCTCTCCTATTTTTTTTCTGAAACATAACAAAATCTTATTTTCTAAAATGTAAACACCAGATTTTGAAGCATAAATGAGAGAAAATTGTTCAAAAAAATTTGTTCTTTCCTGAACAAATATCTTTCAGCATTTTATAAAACAAAGCTTTGAAAAGATAAGCATTAAAAAAAACCATTTTCTCCTGGATTGAACGCATAATATAAAGAAGTACATTTTTACTTCTGCCATGTGTAAGAAACACTTTTTTCCCCAAATTGTTCAATGGCATGACAAAACTCCATTTGTGTATGAATATATAAAATAGAAGCATCTAATAAACTCAAATAACCATCAGTGATTTATTAGGAAGGACTTACTGCTTAGATGTTTTAGATATGAATTTGTCCTTCTATTATTCTATTATCCAAATTTTCAATTAATTATTTGTCAGTTTTATACTTTTTTACTTATTTAGAAATGTAATAGGTTGTTTATGGCAGCAAAACAACAACTCTGTAACAGAACCATTCACAATTATAATATAAAGACACTGTAATGTATTTTTGAAATATAATTGTGGAAAATGAAATCAACTGCAAAATAAACAGAAGACAATATGTGAAAAAGCAGACAGCCTTGGAAATCTTATACAAAAGGAATTATTTACTCTATATGGGTAACACAGAGGGACTTTGCTTTTATTGACAGCCATGACAACTATATGCCTAGCATACTTGTTGAAGTCTCTAGATCCTGTGACTTTCTGGTGGAAAAGTCCAGAAACTCTCAAGAAGGTACCTCTATGATGTGGGGGCAGCAGCTAAAAGGTGAAAAAGAAAAAGTCAGACAGAAGAATTGCTGGTGTGTGGTGTGTATTTCTACTAAAATTTACGTAGAGCCCATTCTAAATTAGACCAATTTTTAAACACATGGATTTTTTATGATGTTGTAAATTCTGCATGGTTGAGGCCCTTGAAGAGTCATACAGGTGTGTTTGTGTGTGTGGGTGCATATACACATACACACATATATATACACACACATATATATATATACATGCACCTTTGTGCATGTGTGTACACATATATGTGTGTACACATGCTGACTCATAACATAATTCACTATTACAGGATCCATATCTATATATATATCAATGAAAAGGAACCAGTATTGAATTTCCCCTTTATTTCTCCATTGGGCTTTGTTGTCTCTCAGGCAAGACGGACTGATGTCACCATGAAAATAATGAAAAAATCCACTGGACCTAACTTTCAGGGATGACTGCTCATGTCCAAGTTCTAGGGCATATCTTCACTATGAAAGACCCCTATTTTATAAAGTGGCTGATTGAATTCATTTCCAAGGGTAGTGTCCTTGCATTGTAGAATAGTAGTATAAATTTAGTTTAGAATGAATCAGAGACATTGCTTTGACTTCTAGGCAGATGTGGTTTGTAATAAGAAACATGTTAACTATGAATTTTAATTTATTTGAAAGTGGCATAATTTGATATTTGTACCTTGTTCCTCGAAGACTAATAGATTTAGAGGTAAATAAATGAGGTTGAGAGATGTGTCACAACTTAGGGGAGTTTGCAGTGGGCGCTTGCCAGAGATAGATGTAGAGGGATTTGCATTCAAAATGTAGATGGCTGGCATAATGTAAGCTATGATAAATGGCATGCATTGATTTAATGACCACATCCTTGCTCTTATCAATTTTCCTCTAACCCTGTGATTAAGTTAGGAAACACATTCTGATGACCCTTGGTAGAGGTTTTCTCTGACATTATTTGAACTCTTTCAACTTTAATAGTTTTTTCCCCCTGTTGTTGCCACAGACATTATGAGATCTGCTTGAGGGTAGAAATATCTAGTCATTACTCAATCTGCTAAAAATATATTATAAAGAGGAGTGGGAAAAGGAAAAACCTTCATCGTTTGAGAGTGGCTGGAGTTTGACCCAGTTGCCTTCGAAGAATGGAAGATCTTCCCTTAGGAGAGAACTTCATTTAGAAAAACATCCTTTCAAGTATGAAGAAGCTGTGCCTTAGAGCATTATGCACAGAAAAAAAAAGAAGAAAAAGAATAATTAAAGAAAGAAAGATTTTATTCACCAAAAGGAGGAAATCGTGTGCAAGTTTTGGCTGGCAGGCCAAAGGACTGGAGGATTCAGGAATTAGAATGAGGAAGGTTTGGTGAAAGATCTACAATGGTAATTTTAAACCTGACTGCATATTGAAATTAACAAGAGGAACTTTAAAAGAATACCTCTTGGTTCCACTTCCCAAAGATTCTCATTCATTTAATATGAGTGGTCTTGCATAACAATATTTTTATAAAGCATTTTCAGTGACTCCAATTCTCGCCCAGGAGAGAATCACTAGAGAGAAGGTGTCCATGTCTGTCCCAGGATGGGTTTTACGGGGAAGATGGATAGTAAGATAATGTCAAGAGTGGAAATAGGAGCTTGATAATATTTAAACTTGAATTATTTCTGTTCTAGTTATTTCATCCTTACTCTGTGCTAATGTCCTTACTTTGGTGAACTGTGTCACACGTACCCATCTTGGACTGATGGGATTTTGGGGAATGGGAATGAGGATCCAGTCCTGGTGAGAAGAGGTGCCCAAAAGAGTAGCAATAGCCAAAAATGAAACAAGAATCTGCAGAGGTCAGCTATTAGGAACAAGAGCTAATCAGAAGAATGCGGTCTGCTTGATATGCCTCAGGAATGTTGTTAGGGTTCTGGACATCCCACTAAATGTGGCATGGGGTCTCAGGATTTATTATTTGGAAACAATTATCTCAAGGGGCTAGAGGAATTGGAGTTCACCTCTTGATTGTGTCAAAATTCATGGGATATGTGCACTTCAAAATATGTTAGGAGGGTAGATCTCACTTCAAGTGTTCTATGTACCTGTATATACATACACACATACATACACCTCCAAAACAAAAACAAAAATGAAAGAGCACAAGGAAACTTTAGGAAGTGTTGGATATATCTATTTTGTTGATTGTGGTGATGATAGTATGTGTGTCTGCTTATGTCCAAACTCATTACCTTTGAAATTAAGTATGTGCGTCCTTTGTATATCAATTATGCCTCCACAAAGCTGATAACAGTCAATTTGTGTTTAATAAAAATTTTATGTACCTGTTCAATGAGATTAGTAACCACCTTGACTAATCCTTGTTTTAAATCCAAACTTCCACCTTTTTAATAGCCATGTGATCTTGAGCAGGCTAATTCTTCTCAGTTTTCATGTGTTACACGGGGATAAATTGTGCATTTCAGGTTAGACATGATGTCTGTCTGTAGGGCAAGTATGTTTCCGAAATTAAAATTTTGCCCAGCAGTTTTCTTTTTAGAAATTTGTCTCAAGGAAATAAGCACTTAGGTATGCAAAGATATATGCATAATGAAGTTAATGATGCATTGTTTATTACAGCAACTAATGAGAACTATTAATATTTTAAATGCTCAATAGAAGACATGTTAAACAAATTGTATGTCAACATAATGAAATGCTCTGTATTTATGAATAACTGTGCACATTCATATTTACTGACAAAATTTCCATGTTACTTCCCATGTTGTTGTTAAATGAAAAAGGTTTATGAAATAGTTCAATCCCTTGTGTGTGTGAGTGGGTGGGTGTGTATGTATACGCATGTATACAGAAAACTATCAGGAGGATATATACAGAAATTAAAATCTAATCATTTGTCAGTTTTATATCATTTTTCTTTTTTTAATTTCACAGTTTATTTAAGGCAGCAGAACAACAACTCGGCAACAAACTATTCTGAAATAAATTAAAACACAATAAGTTGGCAGTGTTTTTTATGAAATGTGATTGTGGAAGATGTGAGTTTCCCCGGGTCATAAAATTTTGATGAGTTAGTTTTCTTCTTCATTTGTTTTATATTGTCTGTTTTTAAAAACAATGAGCATGACTGTCTATTATTTTTATAATCAAAAGAAACGCTGACGTATTTCTATTTAGAAACTATATATATATACACACAGACACACACATATAAATATATATATATATATATATATCCATCCAATAAATACCTGGCAAGACACCAGACTTCTCAATATATATTTTTGTTATTATTATCATACCTAACTAGTGAATACAAGATAATTTAACATCCTGACTATCAATACATACAAGTAACGATGTTGACACAGCGCATGGATTTTAAGGCTGTGCTGGCAATTTTTATTATAGCTAAATTTATGACAGCTTTTAGTCATAAAATTTAAATAAATGGGTATCATTTGAGTAGTATGAATATGTATTTGTATTTCTTTCGTCTAGAAAAATAATATAAAATTTTGATTTTTACTGTACTGAAAACGGCATAGTTAAGGTTCCAAATCATCTTTATATTTTCCAATAAATAATAAATTTTCATGAGGAATCATAATAATAAAATTCTCTGACAGCATTGTAAAGGGTTGGTGTCATGGTTCCAGTGCGCTCAGTCATGAGATAATTCGAGATTACAAGTCCTGCACATAGTGTCGGTAGCCCCTGTGTTGCCTTTCTATGTTTGAGCTCCACGTGTACTTACTGAAGAAACCAACCTACCAAAAGAAAACGGCCTCCTTGTGCTCATCCGACAGTTGCCACAAACTTTGGAAAATGCATGAGAGGGGCGGTTATGAGGAATGGTAGCTTCTTAACTGTGTGAAGGCTAAGGCTGAAGAGGGATGAATCTCAGAGAGTGGCTGGCTGCACCTTCATCTAGAAAGGACTTTTTTTCAGATGACTGGACTTGAAGTAGAGGTTCTGCAATCACAGTCCACTTTTCTCAAAACTGCATCTCTGGGCAGGAGGCCCAATGGCGATTCTTCTTGCATTCATCAAAACCGTAAGAAACCAGAAAAACATGCAACATGGAATCTGTGCTGAGCCCACATGCTGTTTGCGGGTTCAGTGAACAGGTAGATTCTTGGACACTATGTGGGAACATTTCTTCTGAGGTAGCTGATGCACTAATTTTTCATTTTAGGAGTTCTTATTTGGAATAACCAATTGAAAGCTAGCTAAGGTAATTCAGAGAATATATATGAAGGGTCTTTAAATTTTACTGCAATTATCATCTGGAAAACTTTTTATAAATACATATTTGAAAACTGCTGATTTTTATGGCCTAGTGAAGGCTCCCTGAATCAGCGTCTCCTGGGGTGGGGCTCAGAGGTTGTTATTTTTAATGATATTACACTGATTCTGATATAAACTCAGGTTTCAAAATCATTTCTTTATCTCTTAGATAACTGAATTAAAAATTGGTAGAAGAATAATAAGATGGAAGGGGATGGGGGAACTGAGAAGAGAGGGTGCAAAGAGAAAAGAAAAAATATTGCAAAAACTCATAACGAGGAAAAGAATGAGAGATATAAATTTCAGACAGAAGGAAATATTAAGCTCTGCCACAAGCAGCTGCCAACTGTGACTTGTACTGGTCTTGAAGAAAGGAACCAGGAGAACAATGTTTTCTAATCCACAGTGGCTGCAATTACTCTTGTATTTGTCATTTGTATACTAAAAGTAAATTAATTGTAATAAGACATTGTCACTGAATAAATGTCTCCTGCTTGGAAAATCAGTGCTTCCGCTTTGCCCCCTTCCTTTATGTTCTGGCAGGAGAGCTGAACATTACTGTGGGACAATGTTCTATTCTACTGACATTATCTTTTAATTATATCTCCATCAAACCCAACCTTCAAAGCCCTAAATGATGTATTTCCTAAAAAGGTTTGCCTTTAATAGGAACATGTACAATAGAAAAGCAGAAATGTTTCAAATCCATATGATTCAAAACACCATGTTAATGTTGCTGAACTCCCAATGGTGACAGCAAAAGTTATCATTTAGACTTCTATTAAACACAACCTAATTACGGTACAAAAATGCTAGGGAATAGGGAAAAACGTTTTGGGGTGGTTATAAGATGCGTAAGATATGGAAAGGTTAAATGTTAAAATGAGATAAAAATATATGCTAATATACTTTTCTAAATAAGACTAAGCAACTCGCATGTAAGAAATAAAATGTACCTATTTTAACTTTCAAATGTTCCTTTCTGCTGTCGAAAGTTTTATTTCCTTTTCATCAAAACTCTTCCTTGAGTTCTAGGGCTACCATTGCAAACAATTCTGTTTGTTTCCTTCTTAAAAGCAAGACCCTTTCTACCCTCTGGGTCTAATTGTCTCTAGGATAAGATAATAGTTAGACTATCCTCATCTATAAAATGGGAAAATAATTGTATCTACCATGAGAGGGCTGAGTGAGTTGATATGTATAAGGCATTTGAAACAATATGTGGCTCATTTTAAATGTTGTACAAGTGTTTCAGACAACTATTATTAAGATTCTCCTAAAGTTTTGGAAGCTCCATAAACAATTTTTCCATTCATTTTCCCATCTTTCTTTCTATAACATTGGTTGCCTTGTAGCAACATATTTTAAGTGTCATAACATCATATATAGTAAAAATTAACCAGTTGTCTGTTATGGCTAGTTCCAGAGATCAACAGTCTCTTGTTCTTAACATCCCCTGTTTATTTATGTCAAAAAATTTCAAGTAGAAATCCTCTTATATTCTTCAGTATAGAAGATTAAAGATAGCAACAGAAAACCAAGAGACGAGAAAATGGCTTGAGAGGGAAAGAAAGAAAATGTATCTGTACTGAAAGAAGGGATACCCTCTTCTAAGGTGGAGACATCATGGGGTCTCAGAGACTGAGGAGGAGCCTTTTCCTTCACATCAGCAAAATTAACCGTGTCGACAATGCCAAACAGTGACAGTTGTTGCAACTAAACCATTTTCTTCTTTCAGAAGTTGTAGAGTTTCTTTAGATTCTCCTCTATTCATCCCCTGTGTTTTTGTCTTCTTTGCTGTCCTGTACAGACTGCCCCCCATACTACCCCCTTTGATAATCTTATCTTACTATCTATAGTACCTATCGAATTCTTTCTTCCGTAGTTGTTGATATATCAAATAACACATTATTTGTGTTAAAGTTCGGTCAGAATATCCACAATTGTGTGTCCGAAATACAGAATAACTCTTTCTGAGTAACACCCATTTATTTCCAAATAATGTTTGCCTAGCTTCTTTCTGTTTTTTTTTTCATTAAAAAATTAACACCCTACTGTGATTGATATTTTACCTTCTTTTGCCATGCTTTCCCCCTCCCATCTGACTGCTAAAATTTATGTTAATTTTATTTTCATCATTTTAAATGTCATTTGTCTTCTCAAAAGAACATCCTCTTTACTTAATGGCATCAGTTAGGAAAAAGAAAGGTAAGTAATATATATGCATCGCAGAGACAGATACGGAGTGAAAGGAGTGAACCTATAATTTTAAAGGAGTGACTGCAACTGAACTGAAAGCTCCCTACACGTCCATGAAAAGAACAAGTGATTTTTTTCATCACGAATCAAGACAGTACTGAATGTATGACTTTTAATTCAGCATCTGTATTTCTAAAGTCACCATAATTATAAGCCAGAAACACTTCCAGATATTTATGAAACAAATAAAATGAACAAATTGTCTTCAAAGTATCCAATGAAAGAGGGCTTGAAGCTATGTGAAGAATAATTACTCAAAGCACTAGGTCCATCTTTACCATGGCATTAATGCCAGGATCCATCTACAACATATTGTGTGGGGGCAGCTTCTTGATTCCCCATTTTGCCCGGCATGTCCTATCACCTGACAATCAATAAGTTCACAATTCATACCTTAGATATATTTTCACATATTTCCCTTCCCATATATGTATTAACACTTTCAAATAATCGGAATCCTTCCCTTTTTCTTTTTCGTAAGTCAATCAGTATTAACAGCCCTCTTCTTCTGTTAGTCATAATAACAGAAAATATAAATGAGATGACAAAAAATATAAATGGCTCCTACTGGAGATAATAATAAACAGGAAATCTTGAGCTAACATTCAGTTTTGACTATGCAAAAATCCAAGTTTGCACACTGTCCACACAGCCTATTAAAAGGGGATTATGCAGATAATCATCATTTCCTGGTCTACCCAAATTCAATCTTGATATTTAGGCTGTGCTATTTGTGACATTTTATAAACCCCTATTTTCTGATTATATATTTAATGTGGGCTTATGTACAAAACTGTTGTTGAATCCTTTGTCTTGTGTATTCTCTAAGGTTTATTATATAAAAAACTATTTGATTAATGTTTAAAACCACTTATTCATTTATTATCCATTTAAGCAACACATATTTGAAAACCCAGGTGGCACATGTTCCTTAGACAGTGGGTAACTAGGAAACAAAAGAGGGAGAATCCTTCCTCTAATCAATCTTACAATCCAGTAGGAAAGAGAGTCAACCAAGTAGTGAACAAATAAATAAGAGCAGTAAAAATATTTATCTCACTTGATATGTTCTATCAAACTTCCCTTTCATCAGGTAGTAAGAATTACATGGTTTATTGTATTATTTATTTTATATGTAACTTTATTTCATATTTATATTTAAAATTTATATGATTCAATATTATGTAATATCATAATTATATTAATTAAAGGCCTTCAAGAGGAAGAATGACATAAAAACAGAAAGGGTTGGGTATCAAAAGATCTGAGTTTAACTTTCACATCTTCAGTTTTACTTGTGAGATCTCTGTGTTAAACCTCTGGGTTCTCATCTCAATATGAAATGAAACAACACCCGCCCTTTTTATTTTATTGTTTTCAGAAACAAATAATATCATGTACATGAAGGTTAACATATGTAATTACTATGATCTGAATGTTTGTGTACCCCCAAACCTAATTCCCAATGTGAGGGTATTTTGAGGTGAGGCTCCTCGGAGGTGATTAGGTCTTGAAGTGGAGCCCTCATGAATGTGCTTTGTGCCCTTTTTACAGAGGCCTCAGAGAACCCTTTCCTCTTTCACCATGTGAGGACACAGCAAGAAGGCACAGTCTATGAATCAGAAAGCAGGTCCTCAGCAGACACGAACCTGCCAGTGTTATGATTTTGAACTTCTCAGTCTGGAGAAATATGGGAAATAAATTTCTGTTTTTTCATAAGCCACCTAGTTTATAGTATTTTCTTATAGAAGCCCAAATAGACCAAGACAGTAATCTAGAAATATAAGACATTAAGGAATCTTTGCTCAATTAAAGAAATAAATTGAACTAGATTTATTTTCTCTCTTAAAGCTATGATGGATACATTCCTGGATATACAAGAGCAGATATATTTTATGTATTGCATTAAAGTTTCACTAAATCATTTTGAAATAAAATATTAAATTATAGAATTGGAAAAAAGCTTAAAGATTATCTATCACCCAGCACTTAAAATCTTATCCATAACTACCACATAATACAAACCAAGCTTTTAATCTCTTTAGTGATGGAGAACTTAGAACTTACTGGAAATAATTTATTGTGACCATTCAAAATTATGTTAATAATTATTTCCTAATTTGGAGCTGGATGTCTCTTGTGAGCTTTTGCCAAATGGATCTAACTTAAAACACTAGAACTATATGTCCAGGTTGCACACTACAGAAGGGTACAGAGTAATGGGCCATTGTTCTGACTGTAAACATCATAGATATGTATGTTTATTGTGACAATTCTTCTGGCCAATAAAAGTAAAATAAATTAAGAAATAAATATCTTTTTCAATTTTTTGTACAAGCATGACTTGTTCTAACAGTAACACAGTTTTATTATTTGTTGTCATCCAGATAAAAGCCCATTCCTCCTCTGTATGAGTATTTTTCAGATATTTTATTTTGACCAAGATGGTTCCCAGAGCCTGTAGATTATGTCTTTGAAAGAAAATAACGTTTTTTATCTCTGAATCATGTAACCCACATTGTTCAATATAAAAATAAATGTAGGCTGGGTGCGGTGGCTCACGCCTATAATCCCAGCACTTTGGGAGGCCGAGGCCGGCAGATCACCTGAGGTTAGCAGTTCGAGACCAGCCTGGCCAACATCGTGAAATCTTGTCTCTACTAAAAATACAAAAATTAGCTGGGCATTGTGGCACGTGCCTGTAATCCCAGCTACTCAGGAGGCCAAGGCAGGAGAATCGCTTGAACCTGGGAGGTGGAGGTTGCAGTGAGCCAAGATTGTGCCATTGCACTTCAGCCCGGGTGAGAGAGTGAGATATGTCTCAAAAAAATAATAATGATAAATAAAAATAATTTTAAAAATAAATAAATGTAACAATTGTTAAAAGCACTTAACTACTTATATGACATTCAATTTTTTTCTCCATCTCTTTTTTACTGTGGAACTGCATTGGCATTTTAACATGCTATATTTTGAAGAATCAATTATCAATAAACCACATTAAAATGTAACAGTTTCTTATACAATTTCAGATATTGCTCAGTTGACACAAAATGGCACTTCTTATAACACTCCATGTCATTCCCTACAATTTCATAGGAACTTCCACTGTCTGTTAAAAAATCCAAAATTTCACCTTCTAAAAAATATTCTTATCAGATGTGTATATATCAGCAACATTTGGTGTAATTCAGTTTAATCAAATTTTTGAGTAAACGATTAACTATTAAAATGCAACCTTTGTATGTGTCTGATTCTAAATAGATGGTGAATGTGGCAGGATAACTTAATTTTATCTAAAGCTTACAGCACAAAGGGAAGAGAGATGGAGCCAGAATAACTAAAAGGTATGGTCCTTAGCAAATATTTTATTGCTGTCTGCCCATCTATCTTTAACCAACCCAGCTCTGTTCTTCTTTTTTGAATCAATTTCTATATATTTTTTATTAGAACCAGACTGTACTTCTAAAACTATACATATGTTTGTTAAATAAGAAAAGATACTGCAATTTTTACTGCGAACTGCAGTAAAATTAAGTATTAACATAGTTCCAAAGCACATGCCTTAAAAGTGCAAGTTTGCTTTCTAGCCAGGACAATTTCCCAGGGCAAATCACCAATCTTTGTTCTTTATTTCTTAAGCCAATTTTGGACTTATTCAAGAGCCATATTTGGATACACTGACTTTAAAAAAATACAAATGAATTTTGTTAATTTACTCAACAAATACTAAGAGTCTACTCTTTCTAGGCAGAAGTGGTTCCTACACTTGGAAATAAGTAGATAATGAAGAAGAAGAAGAAAATATAAGACAGTTACATACTGGCAATAGGAAAAACGAAACAAGAAAATGTGGCAGTGATGAAAGTGATGGTATTTTATTAGATAGGCAGTCAAGGAAGTTCTCTTTGAGAGATGGCATTTCAGATGGTTACCTGGAAGACCCATAAAACAGGGGACAGAGTATTTGGGGACAATGGAGTAGCTAATGCAAATGAGCTGACAGAAGGTGTCGGTATCTCTCAGGCTTTCTAGGTGAGGTTGGGAGAGATTGGATTTTATTTTTAAGTGTGATGTGAAGTCATTGGAGAGTTTTAAGGAGAAAAATTACATGATCTTATCTTCATTTAAAAAATATCACTCTGGTCACAATGTGATTTTAGATTGTACATAAAGGCAGAAATCAATTAGGAGGTTATGCCAACACTGTGAATGTTGGAGGAGTGAGAGTGCAAGTAAGGAGATAAGTTAGAAGGAGATTATGGGTGTCTGGAGTAAAATGGCAGTTGTCAAGATAGAACTGAGCAGGTTTAGGGAAAGAGCACAGGGGTATGGTGAGGTAAAGGAAGGAGTAGAATGCTTTAATGGTAAATCCTAGACAATTTTGACTTGGGTAAGTAAGTCAATGCTTGGCTTGGGCAAACTGTGCATTTGAGGGGGGTGACAAAGATTGGGAGAGAGGCACATTTTGGCATGTTTGAAACTGTCTCTGAGTAACAGAAACACACATGTTTAGTTGATAGTTTGCTATTTAAAAAAAAATGGAGTTGAGGGCTATTCAGTGAGTAAGGTTAGAGGCATAAGCTTGAGAGTCACCATCATGGATGGTATTTAATGCCAAGGAAGTTGGCAATACAAAAAGCCATAGGATATATTTTAATGTGAATGCATATTTTGCCTTCTATCTTTTGCTTTGTGGTTCTTATTTTATTTCCTCTTCATCCTCTCCTATTTGCTGTATTGTTGGAAAGTTGTTTTGACACATTTATTTTTAAATATATTCTTAAATAAGACACGTATATGGTAAAACAAATGTTTTTGTTTAAGTAAAAAGGTACGCAGAATGAAAAGTAAGCCCCTCTCCTTACTCTGTCCTTAATCACACACTTCCTCTCAGGAAAAACAATTCAGTCTGTAGTTTATACATATAGAAAACTATATGTGTAGGAGTGTATGAAATATATTATTTATTCATTATTTATTTCACTGAGTAGTAGATTCAAAAGTTTTCGGCCTAAGGTGCATTTTGTGGTGTGCCATAATTTATTTATCTAGTCTACCAAAGGACATTGGGGTTATTCGTATCGTTTTGTTATTCTCCCCTATTTCTACATCATCGGGTTTTTGCTTCTTTATTTTTTCTTTACCTCTAGCTACAACCCCATCTTTTGGTTCCATTTTACATCAAACTCTTTGGAAGTACTGACCATAATTATTCTTTCTCCTTTTTCCTATCTTGCTATGTCTCATGTGTTTTGGTTCATTTCTGTAATGATTTTACTGTTACCTTCCATGTTTTTCTGATCCCTGTCCCTTCAGTTGGCTTTTGCCTGCTATGTTCTTTTTCTCTTGTTTGCTTTACATCAACTCTGTACATATTCATTTTGATATGAGCATTTTTCACGTGCATTTTTCATTTGTGAATGAAAGCCATCCTATTCTGGCCTGCTCTTTGTACATGTAATGGACAGAGACACTCAATAGCTTCTAATAGGGATTGTTTTCTCAGAACATCTTCCAAATAGGTAGACTAGGTTCCCTGCCCTGGAGGCACATCCCTCTCGGTCTCCTCCAGAGGAAGCATATGCCCTAGACGCCAGGTCAACATGTGTTGTGCATGTCTTATCTTGATTTCTCAGGGTGACTTAGTATTTATGTCTGTTCAGTTGAATTTAGCTAGCTAATGCAAGGTGATTTCTTTTTCTCTCCATTTTTTCTCATTTACAAATTATTTGTCATGGTAGGAATCACGGTTGGGGGCATAAATGAATCATGGTTGGGGACATAAATGAGACATGTTTGGCATCACTTTTTTCTCCCCTACTCCTCTGAAGCACTATGGTGTAAAACCAGATTTCCACGTCACTCTTACTCTGGCCAGCCCACATCCCCAGCCTTCACCATTCCAAGAAATGAATCACTGGGTGGTTCCTCGGGATGCTACCAATGTTTTCAGAGAAATAAGCACCCTGTTTGAGATCTCGAGACATATTATAGGCTTTCAGCTTTTTCCTATTTTGTTCCTTAAAGGGATTTTATAAATTATTTCTGTTTATTATGGTAATTTTGATTATTTTCATGAAAGGAACAGAGCAAAAACTGCTGTTCTCTTCAGACTTTTGTTCGTTTTCAGTAATCTACAATTCTTCAGTATTCCAGGTATTCTTTCTCAGAAAATGAGCTCATTTCCTACCAAGCAGGAGAAACTGATTTCAATTTCCTGACCTCCTACTTATACAAGTATCCCCACCTGCCCCTTCTTCTACAGAATCTGTGCTAACATTTTGCATACATCACTTCATTTAATCATTACCTCTGTGGAATAGGGATTATTATTACTGTTATATAAACAATGAAACTGAGGCTAACATAAATTCAGTATTCTGAAGTTACACAGTTACTGGTGGAGCCCAGTAAATCAAGCCCAAATTTGACTCTAAATACTATGCACTAGGCACTATTTAATCACATGAATTAAATTTTTAGATTTAATGGATATTTTATTATACAATTGACTATTATACAGACCAAACATTGGAAGCCATTTATACAACAGGCTACACTAAGAATTGGACTTTCATAGATATTATATTTAAATGCTTGTTTGCTTTCATGGAGAATGATTTGAGGGCTGAATAACAAAGATGTAACAGTGTTTAGTTGTGTGTTGTGTGAAATTATAGGTGTTCAGTAAATGCTCATTTTTCTTTTGTTAATATCATGCCAAACATCACTGACCAAGCAAAAATTATCAAATAATTGGCTCAGGATATCAATTAACACCCTTTAATTGTACTAACAGTGTAGCCACCTACCCAGTTCCCCATGAGGGGAAATTTAAAATTATCTTGATATTTAAAAACCTTTGGTTTACTTTCTCATATCTGTACAACACAATCCAAAATCACCAAGTGGTTTCCTGAGGCTAGAGAGCATGCCTGAACTTTGAAAGTCAGTGGGGTGTACTGGTCATAATAGGGATATTTTGAGGTTAGATGCAAGTGGGGTTGAATTCCACATTTGGCATTTATTTGTTATTTGACTAAGAAAAGATACTTTATTTCTCTGAGCTTGTTGTACATTTTCTTTGTAAAGGAAAATTTAAGAAAAATATGATTGATATGAGAATTAAATTGTATAAAGTGAGAGAATGTATATATGCATAAAGTAGGGTTTCAACTAGTTTCTATTTCTTTTCTATATAATTGTATTGCATCTTTTGCCACCCAAACCAGTAGGTGTTTTTTTTTTTTTTAATTTCTAACAGCCAGTAAGCTGACAAAATACTTGAGATTTTACGGTCATGAAATAATACAACAGAGAATCCTAAAAGGCTGGGGAAACATTACACAAGAAACATTTTACTCCATAAGATGTGTCCCAAACACTATGCAATGTGCAAAAAGATTCTCAAACCCTTGGTAAAAATGCAACGGTAAAGAGACCTTCATAGGCATACATTCAAATACTAATACATTTTACACACTCACACACACCCACACACTAACTTTGCCAACAATTCAACTGAATTGTCCAATAAGAGATTTCTGAAAGAAGAAGGTAAAAAGAAGATAGCATTAGAAATACTTTTTCTAGAAAAAAATAAAATTGCTTGAAGCCTTTCAAAGGGCAAATGGAAGAGCCCTTATCAAGGAAAGCTATTTCACTGCTTGAAGAATTTTTTATGAGCCCAGTAAAGGAGAAAAGAAAAAAAGTTAATATATATGGGCTTGAAAGAAAACCTGAGTGATAAAGGGCATTTCAATGTTTAATATTTATGTGATAGCTATGTCATACTCATAACCCTGATATGATGGAAATCAATAATTTCTCAACTAGCAAAGAATTCTGCACTTTTTTGTTTGTTTTGCCTTTATATGTAACTGAGATCAGACATGCACTGGGCACAAAGTGACATTCAGTTTGCAGGCGTCCCAGTCCCAGTTCTTTTAGCACAAATCCCTCATGGACAGTGGAGGGACCACCTCCACTGGATTATCCAGGCAGCTCATACCAATTCTCTACTTGCAAGCCCCTGATCCACAGTATAGCAGAAGAAAGTTGCATTAAATGCAAAGAAAATTAGCACACTGAAAACGTTCCTTATTAAGCAAAAGTGCATTTCAATAGCTCAATGACTCATATTAAACATCCCCCAATATCATGAATATTTCTCTTGCTGGCATCCTCCATCTGTAGGTCCCATGACATTTGCTAC
Organism: Homo sapiens; assembly: GCF_000001405.40. Lineage (NCBI taxonomy): Eukaryota > Metazoa > Chordata > Mammalia > Primates > Hominidae > Homo > Homo sapiens. The sequence continues at coordinate 40,609,382 of NC_000002.12, forward strand.
CAGACCCTCTCTTGCTTGTGTCCGTACTTCATCTCAAGCCTGGATGCATGACTGGTATGCTCAGCTACACTGGCCTCTGCTAATGCATTTGGAGCACTTATGTCCCAGTGTTTCCTCCTAACAGACCTACATACTCTCTCAGCCGTCCTGGATGCCCAGAACTTCCTCTGAGTACCTTTGTGTTAGTCAATTTGCATTGCTGTAAAGATACCCGGCCAGGAGCAGTGACTCATGCCTCTAATTCCAGCACTTTGGGAGGCCAAGGTGGACAGATCACCTGAGGTTGGGAGTTCAAGACCAGCCTGACGAAAATGGAGAAATGCCATCTCTACTCAAAATACAAAATTAGCCTGGTGTGGTGGTGCATACCTGTAATCCCAGCTACTCAGGAGGCTGAGGCAGGAGAATCACTTGAAATCAGGAAGCAGGGGTTTCAGTGAGCCAAGATCATGACATTGCACTCTAGCCCGGGCAACAAGAGCAAAACTCCATCTCAAAAAACAAAAAAACCTAAAGATACCTGGGACTGAAATCTAGTTGGAAGCTGCCAAACCTCCTTCACTCTTCAATTCTGTGCACCTGCAGGCTTAACACCTCGTGGAAGCCATCAAGGCTTACAGCTTGTGCCCTCTGAAGCAGCAGAGGCCAGAGCAGTGCCTGGTGTGCTTTGAGCCAGGTTGAAGTTGGAGTGGCTGGGATGTGGGGAGCAGCCTCCTGAAGTGGTGCAGGGCAATACACCCTAGGTATGGCCACCAAAATCATTCTTTACTCCTAGGTCTCTGGGACTGTGATGGGAGGGACTGCTTGGAAGATCTCTGAAATGCTTTCAAGGCCTTTTGCCATTGTCTTAACTATTAGCACTTGGTTCCCTTTTAATCATGTGAATCTCTCTAGCAAGTGATTACTCCATGGGCTGCTTGAATTCCTCTCCTGAAAACACTTTTTCTTTTCCTACCACATAACCAGGCTGCAAATTTTCCAAACTTTTCACTTTGCTTCCCTTTTGATTACAAGTTCCAACTTTAGTCATTTCTTTGCTTCCATATCTGATATAGGCTGTTAGAAGCAGGCATGTCACATCTTGAGTACTTTTCTACATGGAAATTTCTTGCAGCAGATATTCTAAATCATCACTCCTTGGTTCTAACTTCCACAGATCTCTATGGCATGGACACAATGCAACAAAGTTCTTTCCTGGGATATAACATGGGTGACCTTTGCTCTAGTTCCCAATAAATTCCTCATTTCCATCTGAGACGGCATCAGCTTGGACTTCACTGTCTATATTTCTATTAGAATTTTGGTCACAACCATTTAACAAGTCTCTAAGAAGTTCCAAACTTTCCCTCATCTTCCTGTCTTCTGAGCCCTCCAAATTCTTCCAAACTCTGCTTGTTACCCAGTTCCAAATCTGCTTCTTCATTTTCAGGTACCTTAATAGTGATACACAACTCCTTGATACTAATTTTCTGTGTTCATCCATTTGCACTGCTGTAAAAGTATCTGAGACTGAGTAATTTATAAATAAAAGAGATTTATTTGACTCACAGTTTTGAAGGCTGTGCGAGCAGCATGGTGCTAGAATCTGCTTCTGGAGAGGCCTCAGGAAACTTACAGTCACAGCAGAAGGCAAAGGTGGAGCTGGTGTATCACATGGTGAGAGCAACCAAGAGAAAGAGGAGGAGGTGCCGGGATCTTTTAAACAACCCGCTCTCTCATGAAATAAGAGTGAGAACTCACTTATCACCAAGGATGTAGCACTAAGCTATTCAGGAGGGATCTTCCCCCATGACCCAAACTCTCCCACCAGGCCCCGCCTCCAACCCTGGGGATTACCTTTCATCATAAGATTTAGAGTGAACAAACATCCAAGCCATATCGACCTTATGTATTAACAGGGGAAATAATTAACATTTCTTCTGTTATCTGGCCAGTAATGGAATTTAGAGTAAGTGAGAAGACTCATGGGCTTAAGCAATCCTCCTGCCTCAGCCTCTCAAAGTGCTGGGATTACAGATACGAGCCACGGATCCTGGCCTACTCATAAACTTCCATTTTTATGCTTAATCTCTGCTACTTTTGTGGTTACTCTTGTGGTTACTTTTGTGGTAATGTTAGATAACCTAAAATTCTTAGCTCATTAATCTTCAGCCTTTTAGCTTTTCTAATATGATCTGTATTGTAATGTCTCTAAGTTTCCTCTCTGTACAACTTTAGATGTATAAGTTTTGAGATATATTTTATTATTATTTAAAGTTATTTTTAATTTTTATTATGAGTTCTTCTTTGGCCACTCAGTTATTTGAAGTGTTTTTGTGAATTTTCAAATGTATAGTTTTCTTTTTTTACATTTTCCCTGTTGATATCTAGGCTAACTTCCCCATAAAGAACATGGTACAGATGAGACAAGGAAACCTGAGAACATGTTTGTGTGATACTAGTGTTTCTAGTGGTATAATCCAGAATGTAACCAATTCTTGTTCATTTACTTGTATGTGTGAAAAAATACGTATTTTTCAACTGTTTGGTTCAAGGTTTTATGTGTATCTATTAGATTATATTTGTTAACTATATAGTTTAAATATATTATATTCTGTTTTTCCATTTGCTTTGTCTATTATAAACAAAGAAAATTAATAAAATCTCTGGTCATACTGTCACATTTTAAATTTTCTACTGCAATTTAATGTTTTATTGCTTAGTATTTTGAAATATTTTTATTAGGTTGGTGCAAAAGTAACAGCGATTTTTGCAATTAAAAGTAATGACAAAACCACAATTACTTTTGTGCCAACTTAATAATATTTTATAAAACACATATATCTTAGGGAAAATCCAGTTTAACAATTTATTCTTTTTATTGAAGAGTATGCTACAATGATTTGTTGGATTAATGATACTAGCTTTTTTTTCATCATCTTATTTTTCTCCTTTATTCTTTCCACTATTTGACTTCTTTCTCTTTCTTTACCTATCTTCTTTTGATTGGCTGTACTTTTTTCCATTTAACTCAAATAATCCCCTCTACTACTTTGAAAAGGTAACACTTTATTTTTTCATTGTTTAGGCTAGAAATTTTACATGTATATTTAATAAAGTCTAATATCCAAAGTAGGGATTGCTAGCAATCAGGAATTTGATGAATTTATTTGCTGCCTATTAATTATTAAATGTTTTCAGCATGGCTCTAAACTGTCATTTGTCTTTTGAGGTTTGTTGTTCCATTCTTTTAACAAAGCAGAATTGTTTTCTCTTCTATTGATTTCAAATGGATAAGACTCAGCTTGTTTTGAGAGTTAGTCCTAAGCAATTCCCCTTGGCCAAAGATATGATTGAAAGTATAAGTGCATAAGTTGATACATTTAAAAAAACAAGCCTAGATGAGAGGCACTACTAAACCTAGGGCAAAACAAAAAGGTACTAGTACTGAAACTTCTTCCAAATAAATATTTAAGTTGGTTTTAGAATTTTCACCTTAAAGATAGTTAGATTTTTTTTCTAAAAAATGAAAATTACAGGTACTTAATAAATAAACATATGCTTAAAACTAAAAACTCTCCATAAAGGAGAGGAAAAAAGCCAGAAAGGATTAGTAAGGTAAAGAGGTAAAGAAGGGATGCTTCAAAGCAAAACAATTCAGAAGAAAAAAGACTACAATAGTTGTTTATCACAAACCTGTGAAACTAGACAGCAAATTTGATTGCCATTTATATATGCTGGAAAAATAAACAATTTATTTTCTCTTATAATTTTCTGAGATCAATTACTAGGCTTTCAAAATCCTCAGTCATACCAGGAGGCACATTGTATATAACTCTTCAGTCTTGTTTTTCCAGCACAAATTATCTCTCCAATAAAGTAAGTCGATGTTCTTCCAACTTACCTTGGATCAGTTGACTTTGCATGCCTGGGATGTCCTTTTCACTCTCCGTTAAAATTATTTCTATCTCCAGGAGCTTGCCCAAGTTCCACTATTTTTATACTAATATTTCTCTACTTTGAATTATTTTAACATCTTCAGTTTGAATGACAAGAGAGCACTTACTAATAGACTATCTTCTAAGGATTGCTACTCCTTTATTCACAGCAAAGAGTGCTTTTAACAGAGATGATGGATGTCAAAATTTACCTCTATTGCCTTGGGGAGATTTTCCAAAAAACTTGGCCTCAGTTTATACACCTGATAACTGGGTACTTAGAAAATGGTCCTTATTTTGTAAATCTCCTCTGAGACTTTAAGCATCTCTTCTTTGCTAGTGTTTATCTCCTTTTTATTAAAGTTCAAATCTTTGAGATATTTTATTATATCCTACTTTTAAAGATTTCCTCTCATTTTCAGAACAAAGCAGAGCACATACATGTGAACTATAACTAATTAACTCTGGCATTACACTGGTTAGGATAAAATTGTTTAGTCAGTTTAGCATATTTATTTCACATGAATGCACACAAATGACATTGGGAAATATATATCCACTGAAATGTCAAAATTATTTGTAACTGCCAATTAGAACACTAAATTCTTGCTGAGTGACGTCGCTGGTAGTGGGGACGGGACTCTTTCTTCTGTTTAAAGCTGGGGAGTACAGTTAAGTATACCACCTTCCACCAGGACATGAACCTCTGAATTCCATTTACTGGATGCTCTCTGGGTAGATGCTGAGTGCCCTAATCAGTTTGGGTTGTTGTAACAGATACCATGGACTGGATGACTTAAACATTTATTTCTCATAGTTCCGGAGGCTAGGAAGTCCAGGTTCTAGGTGCTGGCAGATGGTGTCTGGTGAAAGCTCCTTTTTTTGCAGATGGCCTTCTAGTTGTAGTCTCACATGGGAAAGACTGGATATCATCTCTCATATACTTTTTCTTATAAGGACATTAATCTCATTCATGAGAGCTCCACCTTCATGAACTAATCACCTCCCAAAGATATTACCTCCTAATACCATCACATTGTGAGTTAGGATTTCAGCATATTAATTTTGTGGGAACACAAACAGAACATAATACTGAGACAACAACAATTTTATGTTGACTGCTGTATTAGGTGGTTCTTATATTGCTACAAATAAATACCTGAAACTGGATAATTTATAAAGAAAAGAGGTTTAATTGTCATGGTTCTGCACACTGTGCAGGAAGCACTGTGCCAGCATCTGCTCTGCTTCTGGTGAGGCCTCAGGGAGCTTTTAATCACGGTGGAAGGTAAAGTGGGAGCAGGCACTTTACATGGCAGAAGGGAGGCAAGAGAGAAGGGGAAGATGCTATACACTTTCAAACGACTAGATCTCCTGAGAACTCACTCACTATCTCGAGATCTTGAGAACAGCTCCCAGGCATGAGGGATCCACCCACAAGACCCAAACATCTCCCATCAGGCCCCACCTCCAACATTGGGGATTGATTACATTGTAGCATGAGACTGAGGTGGGCTAAATATCCAAACCATATCAAATGCTAATTTGAGTGTTATAAGGCTTGGTGATGAAATTGTGCTGAAACACCCACTAGCGAGCACCTATCTTTACCGATACATTTAATATAACATCATGACTTCTGAACTAGTTGTGTAACTTTGGGCAAGTTGTTTAATCTATCTGTGCATCAATGACTCCTTTTCTCATAGTATTTTTATGAAAATAAAATGAGATAATATATGTCAATTTGCTCAGTGCAGGGCTGAGCACATAAGAACTCAATTTGTACATACACTGCATATACTTACATTTTAACATACATAGTATTTATAAAAAATTGAGTATCTTCAAAAATGTATTACTCATCAACAAAGTCATTTAGGAACACATGAACATGGGACAAAAGTCAATTTTTAAATACGTTACCACAGTTATTTCCAAAATCTCATAAATATGTGCTGCTTATGTCAGAGTACAAGACCATATAAATCCTCTGGCTTATAATCATTGAAGGCAGCGGTGACGCAAAATCACATGGTGTAATGTCTGGGGGGCTGGATAGCCACTATTCCCAAGGCAGGTTCATGTACTTCATGTTTGGACCAGAATGTTGGCTAGTAAAGCTGCCTAGAAAATGTTCCTTAAGGGATCCTGGACTGTGTGATGAGAATGAGGTGGTCTCATTCTACCAGAAAATGAAACAGAGACTTCCTGTATCACTCCACCATTTGGTTGAAATATATTATTATTGTTACCATGTTCTCAAATAAATAAAGATCATTGCAGCAATGAATTGTGTGCAATAAAAGACATTCCATTTTTGCAAATCCTTTATGTGTTCTTTAGTCACAGAAACAAATTTTATAAATGTCCACACAACAACACAGAAAATTGGAAATCGAAGGGCAACGCTACAGCAGTTTGGTGCTGATTACATATCTACATTTGGATTCTTTTTTTTTTTTTTTTTTTTTTTTTAATGAGACAGGGTCTCACTTTGTCACTGAGGCTGGAGTGCAGTGGTACAACCTCAACTACCCAGGCTCAAGCAGTCCTCCTACCTCAGCCTCCCAAGTAGCTGAGACTACAGGAGCAGGCTACTTGGGAGGCTACTACATGTGGCTAATTTTTGTATTTTTCGTAGAGACAGGGTTTCGCCATGTCACCCAGGCTGGTCTCGAACTCGTGATCTCAGGAGATCCACCTGCCTCTGAATCCCAAAGTGCTGGGATTACAGGTGTGAGCTACTATGCCTGGCCTACATGTCTACATATAACATTAGTTCTGAGAAACACGTTCTGAAGGTAATTTAGAGATGTATCATGAATGACCATTTACTTCAAAGTAAACAATTACCTCTCATTGAAGGGGCATATTTTTTGAGATTTTCACCATTGTTTTTGAAAAAACTAATGAGAAGAAGGACATCTATACCATTTGGCAAAGGCACTAGATTATATTCTAAGTTCTGGACCTAAGGTCTTGAGAGTTGGGTAAGAATTAGGGGAAAAGGCCTGTGATAGTTATAATTTTCTCTAAGAATTACAAGAAAATCAGATATAGTGATGCTATGTCATACCCTTAAGGAGGGATTTAAACAAGGGTGGTCATATTTGAGGTAAGGTGGTTTCGATGAATGAAGGAGAAATCAAACTGAACTGTAAAGATGAAAGATTCAAAAGTCATTGGCCACTTGGAAATAGGACCAGGGCTTTGTGAGTGACTACACAAATGAGAGCCTTAACTGGAAAATAGTACTTTTTCCCCCCCCTCATTTCTCATACAATCCACTTAGAATGATAGTGAAGACGTAGGATAGAATAGCTATGGTTTTTAACCACTGGTTTACAAGACTACCTCTTCTTTCACTCTTCAGTATTGTTTGAAGAAGGCAAAAATATATTTAAACCCTATTTCTATTTTCACAACCAAAAAATAAAATCTACAACCCCCCTCTTATCTCCCCAAACAGATCAGCTTGTATTTTTATTAACATCATTTACAGTTCTCAGTTTCCTAGTCACAAGTCACATTTTCATGTTGTTATATTCTAAGATTATTAGATGGAGTGAACTAAAGCGGAGCTTTGATCTTGCCCTAAGGGCTCTGAGAGTAATTCCATTTTATCCTTTTTCTTTGTTTGGAGCTCCTCAGCCCTGCTGCTTCAGCTCCAGCTGTTTCTTGTCATATCTCTGAAGTCAATTTGCTGTCAATGTCTGAGATTTAAGAGTTATTCAAATGCTTATGAAAATTTCAATCTTGCTTGTCTTTCTCACCAATTATGATGTTCATAATTCTATATAAAGACCAATTAAAATTTGTATAAACTCTGTGTTATAATTTCAGTAACTGTTTTTGGGATGCTTTTTCAATTTGTTAAGATTTTTGCATTTTGCTTTCAAGAATTTCCAGGAGTCCTTGCTATGCTACTTCATTTCTCTCTTAGTCCACATATTTGGTTGTCATTAATTGCAGAATGAGTTATCATTTTTTTAAATTTTATGGGTACATAGTAGGTGTATATATTTATGGAGTACATGAGATGTTTTGATATAGGCTTGCAATGTGAAATAAGCACATTCAGGAGAATGGGTTATTCATCCCCTCAAGCATTTATCCTTCAAATTCCAAACAATCCAATTACATCCTTTAAGTTATTTTAAAATTGTAGAAGTTATTGTACAATTAAGTTATTATTGACTATAGTCACCCTATGGTGCTGTTAAATAGTAGGTCTTATTCATTCACTCTATTTTATTTTGTACCTGCTAACCATCCCCACCTCCTCCTGAGCCCCCAAATACCCTTCTAGTATGTATTACACTCTTATGGCTCGATAGTTATGGACTCTTCTCCACGTTCTATTCCACATTTTAAGACTATCAGACCAATTTAGACTAAGAGATTTCCTTCACTAGTCATCCGAATGCTTCAACACTTCTTTATTTCTCATCTATCCTTTTTTACAGGTATATTCATAATTCTCTTTTTAGTCATGGCTTAAATGTGCTGAAACAGTGGCTTAACACATCACATTTAAGCTCTATCATCTCCACATCACATTACCAGACATTGATAAAGCCTTAAAACTGCAAGTGTCTCCAATATTTTTTCCCAAAGGCTACTTTACGACCATAAAAGCTACCCAAAAATTGAAAGAAAAGGTAATGAAACAATATTCTCTTTCAAGACTCCTCCCTCTCACTTTCTCCCTTCCAATTACCAAGAGTGTTTGTGTTTAATATGAATCTTAAGGTTGTCATATTATATTGATGATAATCTAGCCTATGAGGACCTCAGAGGTTTGAGCAAGAGAGGGAAGTCCAGTTTAATATCAGTTACCTGAGGAAAATAAGAACACCAATGAAGAACTGTAACCATGGAAACCTATGACTTTGAAGCCAAAGACTTGTGCATGGTAGAGAATAAATGGATGCTCTGCCTAGTGGAAGTAAGGGTGTGGTAGGAGGATGCCATGTATTTAACAATAGATTGGAAATGAGAAAAATACATATGGCAAAACATATATTCTAGATTTATGTTACCCTGTGTGTGCCTTTTGCTTTGGTTATCCTTTAGCTTTCAGCAAATTCTTTAAATGAGCGCCTTTTCTAAACAACATTTTTGAATTGAAAGCATCATATATGTCTAAGCTTAGACTCATATCTTTAAACAAAAGAACAAGAGTTGAAGATCTATGAAATAGACAGTAGGAATCAGTAACATTCATCCGGAGGTGGTGGATCTTCAGAGAGAAATTGGTGTTGTATAATGTAGCCTTCTCCACATGGCAATTATGCTGCTTATTAGAAGTTCTGAGGCTCATTGTTACTAAAAACAAACAGACAAAACTTTAATTTGTAGGAAGACCTAAAGAAAAGGATAAAGGATCAAATTACAGACAGTGAGTTGTAGCAGAATAAAACTGTAGCAGCCAGGTGAATTTGCAGTATATTAGAGGACCAAGAACCTATTACCTTCAACACGCACAAAGAAAATGCTGCATCAATGTTTGTTGACCTGCTTCTGAAAGACCTCTATTGTTCCTTTCGCCTCTCCTTGTTCTTCCATTTGTCTCATGGAATCTCTTTTCACACAGAACCCTCTCTGGATACCAGCGTCGCCTGGATGGAACAAGTGATATTTACAGTCAATTCTCCAGTACTAAAGGTCATATATCCCATTTCTGCTTTTACCTCTAATGGCCCATGTAGTTATAGGTGGCTCTAAAAATGTACTGTCGTGTAGCCTTGCTGGCAAGTGTCTTTCCAATGAGGAATATGATGTCTAAGTTAAAGACATTTCTAAAACACTGCCCTTGTCAGGATATTTACAGAAATCTTAAAAAAAGGTCATTATATAAAACAACAAAACAATTTTTTAGGTGAACTACACAAAAACACACATTATTTTCATATTTTTCACATAGTGTCATCTCTTCTTGATAGCCCTGGAACTCCACTGAGCAATTATTTTAACATTAGACTAGATATGAATGGTTTGTGATTTTTGGCTTAATTTAAACTGATCTGAAAACATACCCTAGAACACTCTTAATCCAGTAGCTAAAATCTTCATAGCATCATGATTAAAATGTAGGTCCTGATATTAGTTCCTCCTCACCTCTAGTCCACTGCTTTATCAGTTTTCTTGGGTAAGTTACTTAAACATCTGTGTTTTGCTTTCTTCAAATGGGTTACAAAAATGCTGCATACATGGTAAGTGCTCAATAAATATTTGTTGATTTCATATAATAGCAGTTAAATTTCATGTCATTTTCCCTCACATATGTAACTTCATCATGGCTATGTAATAAAACTATGTGCATAAATAATTGTCAAATAAAGCACCAGAATGATCTATTCTTAAGCCTTCTTTCATCAAAAGATGTAAATTAAATTTTGACCTATTGATGTGTTATTCCATGAGAAGGGGCTATGTAGGGTTGTTTGAAAAAAAATGCAGGTCACATGGACTATACAAAGGTTAGCTGTGGGTGTCCTCCAGATACCTCGGTCATGTGATACCTACTTTTGGAATGGTTGAAAGTGAGGCCTTGCCGGATGCCCTTTATCCAGAGATGTATACCTAAACTCCTTAAGGCAAGGTTTTTTTGTTGTTGTTGTCTCTTTTTTTCACTGTCCCCCAACAATGCCTATAAAATTACCTGGTTTATAATGGTACATAAATATGTGTTGCATAAAGGATATGCAATATCATTAAGACTGTGTACTGAAAAGATTGTCATTGATTTTAAATAAGAGCCACAAATGAAAGTCTTACAGTCAGATGCTCTGTTTTTGAAAATTGCTTCTTAAAGGAGCAACTCCCAATGTAGTACATTCCAGGTGGAAGTGCAGTGGGTCTCCACTGATTAGACAACTGTTAAGTAATGTTTTTCCTAAAAGACACTATTTGCAGATGATATAACTGTATTATGAACTATGTAAGAACCTTTAGCAGTACCTGGAATTTTTAGCAAGGTCATCCATCAGGAAAGTCAGGAAAACACCCTTAAATTCTAAGAAATAGAATAATAAAAGCAAGGCAATATGATTATTTAAGACTAAAAAAATCAAAATAAAGGGGGGAAAGGTTTTATATCAAAATAAGAAAAAGCTATCTAAGTGGGAACAGGCATCACAGTAACAGAATTTTCCGGTTGCATGGCTGCCATTCTTCAGTCTCTCTCCTCTAGAAAACTGGCTCAATGTTGTAGAAATATAAAACTTTAGAAAATAAGAACCTTAAACGTTTTCCACTGTGCTCTTTCAGGCAAATAGAGGTACAAACAATCTTGGACCATGAAGTTTCATTAATATTTGTCTTATAGATTTGTAAGTGCTAATATTTTCTCAAAGTGTTACCTTTTATTTTCCTTTTTTGTGCACAACCCAATTCAATCAATCAATGAATTTACCTTAATAGAAATAAAAGAGAAAGAAAGGGTTAAAACACTTTGCAGAATACCCCAAAAACATATAACAAAATGTATCATGATGACAAATAACAGGATAAATGTCTGCAACAATCATATGTTTCCTATTTATAGAATTGACAAAAACAATATTTACTGTTAATGAGGGATAGTGACACAGAGGTATTTATAAAACCTCTGTAGGAATGCAAAGTGGTACATACTTTCTGAAATCAATTTGATAACCTGTGAAAAATCTAAAATACTACACTTCCTTTTATCCAGAAAATTCATTTATATTTATCCATTTACTAAGGAAATAATCTGGAATTATGTCAAAGTTTCTTGCACAAAGATAACCATAATAACTTTATATTGCAAATATTTGAATGTAATCTATAAAATGAAAATTAGATGTTATATTTATTTTTTAATATTTATTGCCATATCATGTTTAGAATGATTCTAATTCAATCATTGAATGCAAATGAATAATTAAGTTAAACATAGCTCATATATATAAGAAATACTGTATATCTTGAAATTATATAAAAATTTGTATGTACTTATCTTGGAAAATGCTTTTATTGTTAAATGGAGACACCAGGAATTATAGTTCAGTAAATTATTATTTAATACAAATGTACAGAAGAAAATAATAGATGATAAATAAATTATGAAATGTTGAAAGCTGTTGCCTTTGGGTAAAATAATAGGAATGATCATTGAGAGCACACTCCATAGAACAAGAGCATAATATACACTATGTATATTTTCAACAGAATTTGTACCATGATAGACCATATTTTGAGCTACAGAATAAAGCTAAGTACATTTCCAAATGATTTAAGCAGTAAAAATATAACATACAAAAATTGTTAAATAATAAAACAGAATAATATTAGGAATGTATGTTAGAAATACATCTAAACATTTATAAATATTAGAAACAAATAATATATTTATAAATAATCAACAGACTAAAGAGAAAATAAAAATTAAAATTAGAAAGTATTTGGGACTGGATATAAAAACTTAACATTCAAAATTTCTCCTATACAGGTAAAGCAGTAGCTAAAAGGAAATTTACAGCATGTAAAACTTCTGTCAAAAACCAAGAAAAATTTCTAGTCAATTACCTGATGTTCCACCTAAAGAAACTAAAGAAGCCAAATTAAATATAAAATAAAAGAAAAAGGATATAATATAATAAAGATAATAATGCAAAGTAATGACCTATAAACCCAAAAAACAGGAATATCTGTGAAGCCAAATGGTTTTTTTTTTTAGAAGATCAGTAAACTTGATAAGCCTCTAATCAGACTAATCAGGAGGAAAACTAGAGAGAAACACAAGTTATTAATATTAAAAATGAGAGACGTAACATAATGACAGATCTACAGATATTCAAAGAAAGACCTAAATATATGGAGAGAGATAGCATGTTTATGGATCAGAAAATTTAATTTTTTAAGCTGTGAAGTCTCCCCAAATGACTTCTAGATTCAGTGCAATCCTAATCAAATCAAATCAATTTTAATAAGAGTCAATACACTGATTCTAAAATTGGTATGGAAATACAAAGGATGTAGGATAGATAAAACAATTAAAGAAAAGTTTGAAAGATTTACCCTACGGATTTAAATCCTTATTATAATCAACATAGACAAATAGATCAATTGAGGTGGAGAAAGAATCCTGAATCAAAAAACATTAATTGATTTTTATAAAATTGCAAATTCAATTGGTGAAGAAAGTACAATCTGACTAGAAAAAAGTGAACACTTACACATATTTTGTAGTATACATAAAAATTAACTAAAATAAATAACAGATCTACATGTAAAATCTAAAATTATAAAACACATTGAATAATACATAGGAAAAAATATTTGTGACCTTGGGTTAAGCAAAGAATTCTTAAGACACCAAAAGCATGATCCATTAAAGAAAAAAGTGATACATTAGACTTCATCAAAATTAAGAATTTCTGCTCTTAGAAAATGAAAAGACAAGCCGCAGGCCAGAAGACTACAATTGTAACTTATATATCTAATAGAGAATTTGTATGAATAATATATATATTTTTAAATCTCAAATCTCAAGAAGAGAAGCAATTTAATTTAAGAAATACGCAAAAGATTTGAATGGACACTTCATGAAGGTAATTGTAAAGCCAATGAAAAGATGTGTAACATCATTAATCAGCTGAAAAATGCAAACTAAAACCACAATGAGTTACCACTACATATCAATCAATTTAAATGTCTAAAAAAGATTGACCATAGCAAATTGTACTAGTGATGTGGAATAAATGGAACTCTTCCATTTCTTAAGGGAATATAAAATGGTACAACCATTTTGGTACAAATCTGACAGAGTTTTTACATAGTTAAACATATCCTCATTTTATTACTTGGTATTTACTCAAGAGAAATTGAAGTACATGTCCATGCAAGACTTATAACTTGAATGTTTATAGCAACTTTAATTGTAACAGGCAAATATTCAAAACCACAAAAGTGTTCATCAACAAATGAATGAATAGCAAATTGTAAAATATTCACACATTAATACAATACTCAGCAATAAAAGAAAATGACCATTTATATGTGCAACGTATACACATAGATGAATCTTGGAATAATTATATTGACTAAACAAAGCCAGGCAAAAGATAACGCATAGTATATTATTTCATTTGTATAAAATTCTAGCAAATGCAAATTAATTTAAACTGATTCAACACAGATTACTTATTGCCTGGGGATAGAGAGTACATGGAGGGAAGGGATAGAGGGATTACAAATGGGCAAAAAGGATCTATCCTGTGTGATGGACATATTTATTATCTTGATTTGTTATGTTTTTATAGGTGTTTACATATGTCAACCTTAGGAAATCGACACTTTATATATAAGCAGTGTGTTGTAATTGCATTATACCTCAATACATCTATTTTTTTAAAGAAGCCATATTATGCTTAGAAAAGAATAGAGTGGGCTTGTTCCATCCAGACTTTTTATAATGTTACTCTAAATAAGATAGTGTGATATTCCTGTAAAGATAGACAAATAGAGCAGTGGAATAAAATAGAGAGCCCAGAAAAAGACCTGAGCATATGTGGCATGTTTATTTATAAAAAGAGTGCTACTCCAAAGCTGGGTAAGGGAAGTATGTTTCAATAAATCATGCTGGGACATTTTATATCCATAAAAGTAAAAATAAAATTTGGCTTCTGCCTCATGTCACTCAAAAAATATTTTATGCAGATAATAAATCAAAATATAAAAGACAAAACAATAAAATATCTGGAGGGCAATACAGGAGAATATGTTTATGACCTAAATAGGTAAAATATTTATCAAACAAAACAAAAACACTAATAAATAAGTTCAGATGAATGAATTAGACTATATATAATAAGACTGTTCATCAAAAGACTCAAAAGTTCATCAAAAGGATAATGAAAAGTTGATCAAACTCACCAGTAATCAGGAAAATAAAACCACAGTGGGATACTACCACATACCTGCTAGAATGACTGAAATTTAACAGTCTAACAGGCAATGGGAACTCTCATATACTGCTGGGGAGGGCTGCACATTGGTAGTATTACCTTGGAAAAGTATTTTACATTATCCACTAGAGTTGAGTTGATTAGGTACATACTCTATAAATTAGCAATTTCATTTCAAAGTATATATACTCAAGTTGTGGTGTGCCCAAATCAGCTAGTACTGCCTTCTGAGAGCCAGCTGTTAAATTTTCAGAAAGTTTTTGATCCTACTCTTGGACTAATGGTAGCTTGAAATTGGTCACAATGATAGTATTTACCTTAGAATTTTGTAGAATACTGTAAATGAAGGCTCTTCCCCAGCCCCTGGAGAACCAGTATTTAATATGTGTGCCAAAATACATTAAAGTGATGCTTATAGTAATATCATTTGCAATAGCCTCAACCTGGAAACAACTCGTATGTCCATCTAAGGCAAAAATGATAAATAAATTGTAGTATATGCACACATTGGAATATTCTATGCAATAAAAATGATGCACTACAACTACATATAGCCATAATAACGATTATAATAAAAACAAGCTAGTAATATCAGGTCTTAATATGTGCCAGGATACCTCTCTCATGCTCTCTCTCTCTCCCTTCTCCTCATTGCTCTTTATACATCTATATCTAAATTTGTATGTGTTTATCTTTAGAAAAAATAATGTCAGACTACATACTAAAATGTTATCTTTGTGTGATGGCATTATGGGTTATTATTCCCTTTTTCTTTATATCTTATTTCTTTCATACTGATAAAATATTGCTTTATAATCAGGAAAAACAATATGATTTCCTTTGTTTTAAAAATAAAATATGTAGTTGTAGTGCATCATTTTATTGCCATGAAATATTCCAGTGTATGCATATACCACAATTTATGTATCAGTTCTGCTTTAGATGGACATATGAGTAGTTTCCAGGTTGAGGCTATTGCAAATAATATTACTACAGGCATTGCTTTAATGTATTTTGGTATGCATATTAAGTACTGGGTATCCAGGGGCCAGGGAAGAGCTTTCATTTATGTATGGTCCTAATAGTGGGGGTATAATTTTTTTAATTGCTCAGATGATATTGATGAAGCTGCTGGAGTCAGATGGGCTGGATCTGAAATCTGATGTATGTCTTACAAGATGTGTGATCCTGTACAAGTTATTTAACTACTGAGGTTTGTTTCCTCCAACTGTAAAATTGGAATAATGATACCGTCTATGTCACAGGGTTAGTATGAGGATATACATGCCTCGCATAGTGATCAGCAGAGAATATGAATACACTGTGTTTTATCTAGTATGTTGATGTATGTTTCCTTCCTGCTCTTTTAAGGCAGTTTTTAGTCTACTAGAAGATCCTCTAAAATCTTTTTGGGTGCTTTAATAAAGATGGAACACCTGTGTAATTAATAAGATACTGTGGACATTTAGCTAATAAGCACAAGTAATGAAACTCTTTATTACTATTTGAGGGCCACCAAAAGTGGAGGGTTTAATTATAATTTTCTGTATTTGAGTTTATTTAAAGAATTTTTCACTATTTTATGTGTGTGTTTAATTTATTTACCTGCTTTAAGTCTTTGAAATGAGGGAATATTGTGTTCACTGACACTTACATAGAACTCTTAGAGAAATAATTAAGGCTGGTTTTCTATTACATTGGCAATCTTGGGTAATTATCTCCTTTTTCTCTATTTTCTATAGCTTTCTGTTTTGAACAGACACAGCCTGTTGAGTGAGTTTACTATGAAGGGAAAGTTACTCATCATCATGTGTGCAATTTAGGTTCTGTGAGCGTAATCTCTGACTCATTAAATGCCACATCCACATTTTAACTGAGAGAGTGCCTTTAACTTTATTTAGTCAAGAAGTTGCTAATTAAACCTCCTTGATCTTTGTCACACAGATATCTCACCGGGGTGCATAAATATTATTTTGAAGCCTTCACGTTCCTTCCTATATTAGGTATAATACTCCACTCATAACATTAAGAAAGAAAAAGAAGTATTCTAATATTGCATGTTTTTACCTATGTCTGCCTATCATAAAAATGAGAATTTTGAAATCCTGTCATAGAAGCAGATTTTGAAAGATTTCTCTTAATGTGCAGGAAATATGGTTTGGGTTTTCTTTTATTTTGATTTGTTTTCTGATAGTTTTTTATTTTTATTATTATTATTTTTTGTCCATAGAATCATTTAGGACTTCAGTGACTACATTTTAAAGAGCATGAAATTTCAGATAATATGATACTAATAATTTTTTAAAAGTAACAAGTGTTAGGATATGGAGAAATTGAAGCCCTCATATACTTCTGATGGAATGTAAAATTGTTCAGCTGTTTTGGAAAGCAGTTTAGTGACACCTCCAAAGTTAAACAAAATTACCATATGACCCTGCAATTCCATTCCTGGGCATACACCCCAAAGATTTGAAAACAGATACTCAAAAAAGCACGTGTGCATATATTCATAGTAACACTGTTCACAGCCAAGATATAGAATCAACCTAAGTCTCTCAACAGATTAGTAGATGAAAAAAATGTGGTATATATATACAATGGTATACTATTCAGCCACTAAAAAGAATAAAATCCTGAGACAACATTGGTAACCTTGGAAGACATGTTAAGTGAAATAAGCCAGGCACATAGAGTGAAAACCAATTTTACATTTAACAGTCTAGATTTTTTCAACATTCCACTTTAATATACTATTTCATGATTATTTAAGGATTATTGTTTCTATTTCATTAACCATTTTTCTTACATTATTATTTGAAGGGTCACCAGAGTATAATTGATTATTTCTCTTTCTTTTATTGTTTACATTGTTGAAATGCAGATACTTAGTGGAGTTTAATGGTTATAAGGCCACCTTCAGTTTCTGAACTCTCTGTTCAAATCCCAGCTCTGTATCTTATAAACAGTGTGACTTTGATAAAGTTACTTCACCTCTTTGTGCCTCAGTTACTCATAAGTAAAATAAGAGCTGCATTATAAGAGCTATAGAGGGCCGTTGTGATGATGTTATACATATTTTATATATTTATATATATATATATATACACACACACACACACACATATATATGCAGTTAGTACAAAGAACATATACATGAAGGTAAAAAGAATAGAATAAACAGGTTTTCAACAACAAGAAGAAACATAGAGTATTATTAATTTTGGCATTCCGTAGATTAACATTGTCTCTCTCCAACTCAATTATAACTCAAATTGTTTTTTTCTTAATTTTCATTTTAGTTTTGCTACGTATTGTATACCCTTATTGTTTAGTTTGTGTATTTTTGAAAGTTGTATAAATAGAAAAATGCGCCAAACAATTCTGTCTTGTTTCTGGCATCCAGTGACATGTTTTTGATAGTCATTAATAGTGATGTTTGTAGCACTCTATTCCCATGTTTATAATCATTTTACATTTTTGTAATTTGGGGCCCAGTAATTCCATAAACATTTTATACAGGTCTCCAGGCACACATGCCTAAGAGTTCTGTAAGATTTTTACCTAGAAATAGATTCTGAGTCTTGTATTTACACATATGTAACTTCACAAGATAATGCTAAATTCTTTTTCAGGATATTGTATTAATTTATTCTCTCGTCAGCCATATGAAAGTCCTAGTGGGTCCATATTCTAGCTCCCATGTGGTATTATCAGACTTTCCTTTCTTTTTTCCAAATGATGGGCTAAAATGTCATTTTATTATGGTTGAAATTTGTATTTCTCAGATTACCAATAAGCCATAAGTTTTTTCTTCATTTTTTACTGCCTCTGAGTCTTCTGTGTAATATTCTGTACATGAAATCAGCTCTGTTCTTCTAGATTATATGATATGTTCTAATTTAATGGTATACCACCCCAAATTTCTAAATTATAAAGCAAACAAAATTTTACAGATTTTGCAAAAATATGCAAAATTTGAATATATTGTGTTTTTTCCATTACTGAAGGACTTTTAGCTTTATATGTTTATAATTTTAAGCAGAACATCTAAGCTTCAATTTACAGTGTTGAGGTATGACTCGGTTATAGTAAGTGCATTATTTGCAAAAAAGCTTCTTGAGTTGCTCATACCTTAATCAACTCTGAATTCCCACAAGGATTGACATACAGTAGTAGCTCGGTATAAGTATTTTTAAGTAAATCAGTTCATTCTCTTAATGTAAAGCATGAAGAGCTATTAAAGCATAAACATATATGAAATTAAACATTCATACATAATATTCATCAATAGGACAGTATTTTTCAAGTTGTGTAAACACTGTGTTTAGAGAAAAGAGCTAATATTACATAGTATGTGATACCCTGATGAAATATCCTTGCTCAGGAATATGGATAGATTATTTAACAGTGAATAAAACACACAGCCTTTTTTTCTGGCTCCCCATCATGTGCATTGTAGAATATTTCCTAAGTTGGAAGTAGACAAGAACTTGACTTTAAATAGCACTTTCTATTTTCCAGTATTTTTAAGGTACTTCCCTGAGCAGTGACTTAATGTGATGGGCTTAGAATGAGTAAGCAAGTAATGGGAAAAGACATTTTTACTTACTTGGACAGTAAAATCATTTTATTGAAAGAATAATGCGAGGACATCACATCAAGATTCATATCTACAGGGCAGCGAATTCACATATCCTCAATTTTTCTTCTGTGTAGCGTGAATCAATGCAAAGTAGTATTTGGATATTTTAAAGCTCATCTTTAAAACTCTCATATGTTAGCTGCATGTTACCTATAGTCGATCATTTGATGGAATAAAGTTGCTTCTGCATCATTTGGTGTGACCATAACCCAGAAAAGAAATCCCATTAATATGGCTTAGCATAGAAATTGTAGTCATAAATACATTTTTTTACATTTATTGAAACAATTTCTCCCAGTACATTTTATTTCTAGTTTGACAATGACAATTGCATTTGGAGATTTAGCAGAAAACATCGTTTGAATTATCACTTTATACCACTGGAATTCTTCAAGATATTTGATGAATCCATTTCTATGTTCTTATTTCAGTGTCCATAAATGTACTATGGAAATAATGTTAGTAATTTCATAACTTTTTTGAGATGTTTGGAGAATACACATGTTAATATTCTTTATTTTTTTCCAACTTTTATTTTAGGTTCAGGAGGTACACGTGCAGGTTTGTTACATGGGTAAATTGCACGGGGGTTTAGTGTACAGATAATTTTATCACCCGGGTAATTGACATTAATATTCTTTAAGCATCTGGGAGCTAGGTAGATGGTGTGCAATTCAAAGTCTTATACTAATAATAAGACAGATACTCCTGGTAAAAGCTACAACAAACTTCAGGGGCTTTTAAACTTGCTTTCACTTCTCAGAAAATTTAAAACTGGTGACAAAGAATTTCTTGGCAATTGATAAAGGGAAAACTAATCTTAATGTTTTTCTTCATGAAGGTAATAGTCAATAATATAAACCAGGCATTAACCAAACTTTTCCACCATGTTCTAACTGCCAGAAAATAGCCTAAGTGAAGTTTTGCTTTGCTAGTTATTTTAGAAGATACAAATTTGCTTATAGGTCTTTGAGAACCTTTTTGAATATGACATCTTGCCGGAAGCTCAAAATTATTTAGTGCTGACTGTAATTGCATCTTGGAGGAGGTAACTGACAGCATCTTGACTCGTTTTGCCAAAAATAAAGCTTTTAGGTTTCCTGAGAACGCATTTAAAAATACTGGTTTTTGCTTGAAGATTATCTAGCCTGCCAAAGAATCCCCTTGGTTTTTCAAAACAGAAAAATATAAGTGTGAGTTGTTGAATTTTCGTAAAAAGATTTCCAACAACCTGGAAGCTAGAAAAATCAGAAGAATCAGAGTTCAAAGTAATTTAAAAAGTCATGATAATGCTAAGATGTTAATTCTCCTTTACTAACATTCCTGACAAATTCTTTTGCAAACAAAAATGGCAAAGTCATCAGAATATTCAGATTTTTGCAAATATAAAAATGATGCCAACTTCTTATTTTTGGCATATTACATCCAACATTTCTTCCTATATGTCCCAGGAAACCTATCAAGGTCTTATGTGAACTACCTTTTGGTTATGGTTTCCATTGCACCCTCATATAGGGAAAAATGGCATTGTCCTTCAGTGTATACAGTAATGAAGTTTTTGTATGTTTTTTAATTCTATTTTATTTGATTCTTTTTTTGAGACAGGGTCTCACTCTGTCACCCAGACTGGAGTGCAGTTGTATATTTTATTTTTATCAACAATGCCAATTATGACCAAGGAACTGGTAGGAAAATGAATAAGTCATCTGTCATCAGCACTTTCATGACAAATTAGTGTATTTCTATCTTGAATTCATTTATTCAAGCTAGCTATTTTAATTTTTTCCTGTTAATTTTTTGATTGGTAGGAAGTCAAAGAGATGACTTAAGATTTTTCTATACAGTCAAGCCCAGAACTAGAAGTTCATCACTAGACAGCCACGATGCATTTCTGTACTTTATGTTTTTATTATAATATGAAATTTATTTTATTTTATTTTGCTATGTCGGCTCTCTGTGCTTTGCCAGTGCTATACATAACTTATATATAACCCACTATTAACAATAAGTAGAAAACTTTGACATTATGTTTTTTTAAGTTTTCAAAAAGCATTTTGGGTAGCATCACTAAATTATGCATGGGCTATTTTACAAAATAATTTAATTTTACAACAGGTTTGTGTGTGACTATCATTCTTCTCTATTATCTGTCTGAGACACAAATAGCGAGAAAAGCTACTTCAAATAAATAAAGGAAATACACTGTGTATGTTGCTGGCCTTCAGTATTTAAATCATGCATTGATAATTTTTACTTTTAATATTAATACAAAAATACCATATATATGCTCAGAGGAAAACACTGTTCCTTGATATCAAATCTTTCCCTAAATTGAAGTTTTGGAATTATTATTCCAATGATTACAGACTTAGACTAAACTTTGCAAAATGTGCACCTGGATTTTTCACTTCTAATTGGAATCATTTGGCATCATGTTAATATTGCTACATTTGAGGTTTGAGAAATCGCAGTGACTTGGTGCTTCATATACTACCTCTGCTGCATGAGTATAAACTATGAATCCCTAACTAAATCGGAAACAGAATAAACTGAAAAAAATATTTCCATGAATGCAAATACAGCTGACCTTCTATATAGAGGGTTCATCATCGACAAATTCAACAAACAGTACATAGGTAGAAAATATTCAGAATAAATAAAATATAAATATCAATACAACAATAAAAACTAACAAATTAAAAAAATACAGTGTAACAACTACTTACACAGCATTTACGTTGTACTAGGTATTATAAGTAATCTATACATGATTTAAAGTATACAGGAAGATGTGTGTAGGTTACTTGCAAATACTAGGGCATTTTACATAGAGACTTGAGCATTTGCAGATTTTGATAACTGCAAGGGTCCTGGAACCAATACCCCAAGGATATGAGGGATGGAAGACTGTCGTCCTTTTCAGAGAAGTAGCATGATGTAAAATAAAACTGATATTAGTATCACTCATTCCTGCTTCCCTAACTTTCCTTCCTCTTACTAAGGAAATGTATCTTAATGGTATTAGTTCACATTCAACATTAGAGTCTTTACACACAGGTGAATGATTCAAGCTGAGAATATTATTAATGCAACTCATTTATACTCTGTTTGGTTCTAACATTCTCCTAAACCTACTTATTGGTTTTTAAGGGAATTAATTAAAATTCTTCAATAGCACACACAAAAAAGGAAGGTACTAATACAAAACAGTCAGAAGCCTCCTTAAAGATTCAAATAAACAGTCATTCAATATCATGGTATTCTGAGTCTTGGTTTTTTCCTGGTGTAATTGTGTGATTTGTAGCCAAACATCATTTTCTATTAGATATAAATCAGGAAATAACTAGAATGTATCTTATTAGAATTACCTTTCTAGAAGCATTGTAGAATTATATATATATATGAAATTTATATTTATATATGAAATTTATATATGAAATTTATGTATGAATTTATATATATTTATATATATAAATTTATATATATAATTTTATATATATATGAAATTTATATATGAATTTATATATAAATTTATATATATAAATTTATATATGAAATTCTATTCACGTAAGGTTTTATATACTTTAGTACTGGTGAGGAGGTTAACCACACTTGTCAGCTGTTCTTTGCTTTTTCCCCTTGAGATAGCAAAAAAATGTAAGCCCTCAGTTCCTGATTATATTTAGTTTTGCACTTATTAATTTTTGTAAACAAACTTTGAATTGCATGACTATAAAAAGTACTTAAATATCGCAAAGAAAACTAAATTCCTGCCAGGCATGGTGGCTCATGCCTGTAATCCCAGCAGTTTCAGAGCCCAGGCAGGAGGATCGCTTGAGGTCAGGAGTTTGAGACCAGCCTGGCCAACATTGTGAAACTCCGTCTCTACAAAAAATACAAAAATTAGCTGATCATGGTGGTGCACACCTGTAGTCCCAGCTACTTTGCAGGCCAAGGCAGAAGAATTGCTTGAATCCAGGAGGCAGAGGCTGCAGTGAGCTGAGATCACACCACTGCACTCCAACCTGGGCAACAGAGCGAGAATCCATCACAAAACAAAAGCAAAAACCTGAAGTCCCCTTTGGCTAGGCACAGAATCCTGTCTTCTCTCAAAAGAAAGGCACTGCTTGTTTGATATTTTTTTCTTACTGCCCCATTCTTTTTTATGGAATGAATGGTATCATTCTGTATATATATTTGCAGCATCTACTTTTCCCTGAAAAACATCTCTTTTTCAGACCTTTCTGTGTAGGAACATATAAACTGATTTTATTCTCTGTAAGTAATAAATAGCATCTGATAGTGTAATTTTACTGTAACACATTTAAGAATTGCTGTGTCTTAGGCAATTTTATTTCTAGTATAAATAACATTGCAACAGATATTCTTGTACATGGGTTATAGATATGCATTTGTTTTGTTTTGTTTTCCTGCACACTACCAAATTACCCACTAACTTTACCTTCATCGTGTATCTTGGTTCCAGCATTATGAGAGGATTCTTTTTCCACAGCTTCACCAACACTTGGTATTATTTAACTTTTACATTAAAAAGAACCAAATATGTAAAAATTAGTAAGAATAACTCTAATTTGTATTTCCCAGTTACTAATAAAATGGCATATTTTCCACATTTTTATGGCCATGTATCCTCACTGTTCTGTGAATTGCATTATTTTCTGTTTTAACATTTCTCTTTGTACCTGATGTTCTGCAGCTTCACTACTATGTATCCAGTGAAGATTTACTTTTATTTTATTTTATTTTTTAATGAGACAAGGTATTTTTCTCATTTCCCAGACTTGAGTGCAGTGGAACAAGCTCAACTCACTGCAGTTTCAACTCGAGGGCTCAAGCAATCCTCCCATTTCAGTCTCCCGAGTAGCCAGGACTACAGGCGTGCACCACCACACCTAGTTATTTTCTTTTCTTTTTGTAGAAACAGGGTCTCACACTGTTGCCCAAGCTGGTCTTGAACTCCTGGGCTCAAGCAGTCCTCCTGTCTTGGCCTCTCAAAGTGCTGGGATTACAGGCCTAAGCCATTGCACCCATCCTTGGTATTTTGGATGCATTTTTTAAATCTAAACACCATTTCTTAGCTTAGTCCTGGACTGTTTCTAATTATTTTGTCTTCAAACATTACTTCAACACACGCCTACCTTTCCATTTTTCCAAAATCCTATTCAAATTATAATTTAGTCTCTTTTAAGTTTTTTTCTTTGTTTTTCTGCAGAGTTTTAGGTAACTACTTCAGAACTGCCTTTTAATTACTAATTCTCTCTTTAATTGAGCTTAGTCTATTACTAAATTTAGAAGTATTTTTAAAAATATATTTTAAGTTCACAATTTCTAACTGGCTTTTATTCATTTTTAATTGGTCCTAGTTTATGTTTTTCTGTGTTTGTACCATACCTTCACCTGCTTTTGGATGAATATTCATTCATTTATCCCTTATAGCACTTAAGAGATTGATTTAGAAATCTTTTTATTTTCAGATCACTTCATTAATATACTTTAATCTGGACTAAAATTGTGACTGACTGTGATATATTTTATTTGTATACTTATTTTAATTTGTGAATTATAACACAAAAACTAGTTGTACAGAAAATTGCGTAAAATACAATGTACAGTCTAAAGAATATTTATAAAGCAAATACCCATGAAACCACCACTAAAATATAGAAATAGAACTTTCATCTCTTTTCCTTTAAATCAGGATGAAAAAGAAATTTCTTCAAATCAGGTATAATTATAAAAATGCTTTTATATGAATTTGGAATCTTTTCGAAGTCTGATGTAAAGTTTTACGAATTTTTCACATGCACTTCAGAAAAATGTATTCTGTTATAAAGTTGTATGCACGTCTTTAAATTAAAGCTTGTTTATCTTACTATTATGAGTCTCTTACCCACCCTTACCCCCTTGTTTCTTGCATGCCCTGCTCTGGTGTTTCCTCTCGAGTTCCTGCTGATTTTAATCTAAGTTTGCCAGTGGGTTAGAATGTATTGATGGACCTAAATAATGGTGTAGGTAAAATTACTTGTTCAACAGATTGTAACCATGGGTTGAAGAACAAGAGTGTATTAAGAAGGATATGAGGTCATTTATAACGTACTTGCTGGATGTTCTTCACAGATAATATTATAAGGAAATTATGTGGAATAACCACTGTTCCTTGCATCCGATAGTGGCTTCAGAATTCAATCAGCTGCATTTGTTCATGCCTCCAAAATCCATAGCTTGCTGGGGTAGGGTGGCTGTTGTGTGTATACAGACCTTAGGTGGAGCAGGGCATTTGTTTTGTGTTTAGCTAAGCCACAACCACATAAAACTCTTATTTTACATTGCTGCACTATCATATATTTGTATCCTACTAGTGATTAATATAAAAACTGCTCCCAGATCTTGAATTGTTTTTAAGGATTAATTTTCCTGACTCCTTTTTCGCTATCTTAGAGATCTGTTTATTAATTTACTTTTCTAGAGCTTCAATTTGAAGACTGGTCTGTATGCAGTTCCATTGCCTGAGGGTACAAAGAGGGGAATTAGATATCTTGGCTAGGGCTCTGACCAATAGTGGTTGCTGGGGTTGGTTTTTGCTTTTCCTTCTGAAATTGCTTATAAAACCTTGCATTTGTGTTCAGTAGACCTGTGTGTTGTACTTGTACGGATAATCCTTTCAGACTTCTTGTAATTCTTTCCAATTCAGGATGGAATGCATGAAACTTTCTCCAGACAGAGATAACCGTCTTCAGATGTTCAACTTTCCCACTCTACCTGCTTCTACCCAGCAGCTATTTCTAAGTTTTTCCCAGTCGAATGAGTGAAGTGATAGATAAACCCAAGGGTTTTGGCCATGACATTGTTCTTCTGTGGTAGAGAAGAACTATTCCCTTGGCTGTGCTAATAGTTCTCCACCCACCTCACAATCTGTTAGAGGGTGTGGTCTTTTTTTCCCCCTTTCTTTTTACTAGCTTCTTTTTTTTTTCTTAATTGAGGAAGATAATTAGCTCTGGGCAATTAGGATTAATAGCTCTTCTCCCTCTAGCTTGCTTCTCACTAAAAAGCAAACGGTAAGACATAGCAATTTTCTGACTTTGGTAAGTTGCTAAATTGATCCAGAACTGCTTCTGCAGTAAATGAATTATCTGCATATTTTCCCTGAGCTTTTTTTCATATTCTGCCATTCAGCTGGACTCCAAACTGGAGACATGTTAGTGAATATTTTAAATATATATGCACGTATCTTCACTTCCACCATGCATTTATTTTTTCTTTAAGAGGAGATATAGGCAAAGATTAGTAAACTCTGGAATTTTGTGTTATTGTTTTTCCCTAATAATCATGTTTCCAAGATTATAGTATGAATATATATTCTTCCTTGACACCTGCTGATTTATAGTAATTATGGTTTTACTTTCTAAAAATATATTTAGAGGTACAGTCTATGATTTGGCTTTACTTGATTATGTGGATTCATCAATGTGTTGAGTGCCCTTTTAAAAAATCTGCTTTTGTGGCATTCAGTGTAAATATCTGATAATATCCACTCTTCTAAATTCCAAAAGGCACATGGTAGAAAGACTTCTGAAAATGACCTTCAATAACTCTTCACCTTGTTTAATTCTCTTCTCTGTAATCTGAGGGGACATCTCTTTCATAGTTACATAGCATGGCAAAAGGGAGTTTGCAGGTGGTATTATGGTTACTAATCAATTGACCCAGTTTTTGTAAAATATGTAGGTTATCAGATGCAGGCCTAACTAGGTGAACCCTTAAAAAGCAGGAAGTTTTCTGTGACTAATGGCAGAAGAGAAAGTCGGAGAGATTCAAGTCATGAAAAAGACTTGATGGCTCATTAATAAACGTTTGTAAGATGGAGGGTCCACATGAGAAAGAACACACGTGGCATCAAGGAATGAAGAATGGCTCCCAGCCAACAGCCAGCAAAGATAAAGGGACATAAGACCAACAGTCACCAGAAACTGGATTCTCCCAACACTGTGAATGAGCTTAGAAATAAATAAGCTTAGAAACGAGCCTCCAGATAAGAGCCCAGTCTGGCCACAGCTTTGATTTTGGCCTTGTAAAACCCTAAGCAGGGAGTCCAGTCGAGCTCACTCTGAATTCTGACCTGCAGAATTGTGAATAAATGGGTTTCATCTTAAGCTGCTTAAGTTGTGGTAACTTGTTATGTAAAAATGAAAGTTGAATATAGGGTTCATTCAAGACAGTCTTCTGGGAAACCTGCAAGACACACATTTACCCCTATAGAACTATTTTCATACTGGAAAGATGTTAGCTAGGTACCAGATTTAGAAACCAGCTCCCTTTTCCATGGTGACCCCATTTACGTCTACTGATTGAACCCTTTACTGATTCTGTGAAAAACTTCTCCCCCACCTGGCTCTGTTTTCTGCCATAATCCATCAACCTCAATTTCCATTAACCATCTGATTGAATTTGTAGCTCACTAGGAACTGGTCCACATTCTTTCTCCTTCCTTTTCTGGCTCTACCTATTATTCTGTCTGGATATTTTTTTTTCCTTTACCATGGCTATGATGAATAAAGAGAACTCCTAAGTTTATCCTGTTATATTTCCACAAGTTTCATTTATTTTAGAAAGTCTCCTACAATGTATACAAAATATCCATAGATATTTAAAGAAAATTGAAATGAAGTCCAGCACATATTACTTCTATAAACAAGGCAGAACTTTCAGTTTAAAATAAAATGTCTCTAGCCATAAATACATAGTCAATTTTATTCAATGAGAAAATATTTAAATTCTTCAAATTATCCAAATTGGTATTTAGAATGCTCCATGAAACACATATCATCATTTCCTATGTCCGTGTTATTTAGTTCCATAGCTTTTTTTTTTTTTTTTTGGTAAAAAACAAATGATGCAATCATCATATTCTACAAAAATATTTTTAAGTGGGAAATAAATTGTAATTAAAATAAAACAAAGGAAACAGTAATTTACTGCATCCCTGACCCCTTTCTTTCCCTTTCCTCCAATAAAATTCATATCATTGTTTAAAGACTGAGTACAGACATACAAAGATCACAACCAGATGTATGGGAAAAGGAAAAACAGGTTTGCAGGAAAAAATAGTTTTATTTACTACCAAAAAATTGTTTTACCAAGTCTCAGGATTAATTCTTAAGATTAAAAGAAAATGTTTAATAAATAAACAGATGTATGGAAAAAGTGAGGTTTCTGACAGCAAACTCATTTTTTCAATGTTTACATAAATAAGAGTTATTTGATGTATCTTTGAGTCTTTAAAATTAATTATATCTTATTCTCACTCAGATAAGAATGGGAATAGGGATCATTTAAAGTAGCATAAGTATGTTACAAAAATAATATTCATTTATTTTCTGTTTTCCGTGATTGTAATGCTGTTGGAGTCCCAGAATATTATAAATGAGGCACTAATGGAAATATTTTATAGGAATGCATACTAATGTTCTGATTTCTCCTCAATATGTCTTGTATTATCCCAATACCAGTCTGCAATAAAAATTCACAAAGACAGACTGCATTGCTCAAATGGTACTTGGGAAGGAAATTTAGACATATGAAGCACAATTTGTTTGGAACGGAGACATTTTACAAAATAATTTTAGTTGATATCAAACATGAGACAAATTGACAAACTTATTGGAAAATGTTCTATTTAGAACTATTGATGATTAAATTTGGAGACCTTAGAAATCATTAAGGTATCACGTCCTCTATAGAAGGCAATCTAATTTACATACAGCAGACCTCCCACAAGATAAATTCTTCAAACCCAAAGTAATGTATCATTTCGCACATCCCAAAATTGCTTTCTAGCATCACTTAAAAGTCTTTTAAAAATCATAAGCAAACTCTCCTAAGCCAGGGAACACTAGAGAGAACTTGTGTGCCTGCAACTGCAGAAGATACTTAGAATCTATATAAAAAAAAATTTATATATTAACCCCATTTATCTGGTACATCATCAGGCACCCGGGAGATTACATGGGTAGTTGTGTCATAGTGAATTTAAAAATTTAGTATAAGTTAAATGTATATGTTTTATTTTCCCCTTAGATTAAAAACTCTTGAGAACAGAAGTCAGTTGATTCAGGTTTGTTTGGACACAATGCTTAGGGGGTGTTTGATGAATGTATGTGTGCGCGCGCATGCAAGCGTGTGTGCGTAATTACTTACTTTTGTAGATCTTTAATTATTTGCTTATAAGTTATCCACCATAAATTATGAACCTGTAAAGGGCAGAAAACACATTTCTGTAATTCTTTAATATAGTGTCATTGTTACAGAACCCCAAATTTAGACTTATGTACCTGATGTGCAGTTAACACCAAACACTGGCAAACAACTGCTTGGAGAAAAAGCTTTCTTCAATTTGGCCAACATGAGAAGGCAAGATCTCTCAAATCCCTCTAAACAAAAAGAAGCGGGGAATTTTTATGTGGCTAGAGAGTTAAGGGAGGGGGAGTTTCAGGGAAGCGAGGGGAAAAGTCTGTGTGTCTTCAGTCTCAGAAAACATCTTGAGCAACCAGACCCTTGAGTATCAGCAGCTGGTCGCCATGTCCATTCCTTCTGCAAATCTTTTTCATGACCCTGAAGTCACCTCCTCCTGCTTGGCAAAGAAACAGTACATCAGCAGTTTATACTGTGGAAACAAGGGATGTTGGCTTTTGTGCAGCAAGCAAGCAAAGCCTAATTAGAATTTTCATTATTTCAGCCACTAAAAATGCTGGAGTGCTGAACTCTCAAGGGAGCTGGTTACATTATGATGACATAAGAGCATTGTAAGAAATGTTACGGTCATTGTCTTCCTTATAGTTTTTGATGTTATAGTTTTAGAGGTAGAAAAAAAAAAAACTCAGTAAGTGAAGGGTTGCCATTCTTTGCCTTTGGGTAACAGTCAAGCTTTTACATAGACAGTAGTCTGTCTAATTAAAATTACTGGAGATTTTCACCCTTCCTAAATAAATGTGTAGCAACATTTCTAACATCTAGTTGTGTCTCTTCTTTAGCCACATCTGATGGGTATAGACATAGAAATAGTTTCCTCAATTCAGGCCTAAGTTATTTCTCTTTTGATAAGAAGTGCATAAAGGTAAATAAGATATGGTTGCTATCCTTGAGGAGTGTATAGTCCAGCAGAGAAGACCAACAATTTAGTGTAATTTTAAGCAAAAAAGAACATTTACCCTGGTGGCCTTTAATCTTAGCACAGTGGGGCTAAAATTTGAGCCACATGTGTTTTGGGTAAAAGCTAATTTTCTACGTGGCTATACATTATGCCACCGATTTTAAATTTATTTATTGATATTCTTTCATCTAGGAACCTTTCCTTGATAAGTTAGGAAGAAACATCTTTACCTCTTTTAGACTTTGTATCCATTTTTAATGTGCATCACAATTTATTTAGCAAAATACTGTATTTCTTAGGAAGACAATGAATGGCATGTAATGATAAACTCCTAACACATCACCAGTTATTCTGAATTTGGAAGGATTTTTCAAATTAAAAGATTAAATCAAAAGACTAGAACAGAGCAAAGCTCATATAAAACCGCAGAGCTAATTTATATTTGTCATAAATGTTTTGTCATGTTACTTTTATCTGTCATATTACATTAATATTTAAGCAGTATTCTTGGTGAAGTTTCATGCAACCTATTGCTGATGAGGTTGATATCAAGGAAATAAATCAAATGTTTTTTTCTCTCTCTCCTTCTCTAAGACTAGTTCTCTAATTCTGGGCAAAACTCTGCCTGCCCTGGCTCCTTTATAAATTATAAGCACTTTTCCCCCTCTTTGACATAATTATAAATTAAGCTGTTTTCTCTTTCTCCACTACAAATCTGGGAGGTTTCTAGCACCTGAGAAGTAGTAGAAATAAAAGTTTGCTGGGGGTACAAAATGTGGATTTAAATCACAACTCAGTTACTATCACTGTGAGAGGCAGCGGAGTGACTGCTTAAGCATCTAGATTTTGAAGCCAGTCTCACTGGATTTTAATTCTAGTTCTGCAATCTCACCAGTTAAATGACCTTGGGCACATATTTTCATGTGCATCATTTGCTCCATCAGTAAAATGGTGTAATAAGACTTCATACCATCAGAGTTTTTATGAGGATTAAATACATGGATACATGTAAATTACTTAGAATGATGTCTAGCATAGAGTAAAAATGCTATATATATTTGTTAATATTAGTAGGCTATTATTTGGACTTTAGTGACTCACCTAATTTTTATATCTCTAAAATGGCATATTATGCTATCTACATTGAAAGGTAGCATTTCAACGATTTTTAGTTGCTTATAGTCAAACTCCTGACTGATGGCATAAATGTCGTGTGAACTGCAGACTATTGGTATGTTAGAAGTGTTTCTTACATAGTAAACTGCATCATTTAATATCTCTTACCAGCACATTCCTTATGCTACAGATCAAACTTTTATACAAGTTTATTTGAAGTGAAGATGTATATGTTAATTAGTTTTGGGGCTGACCGATGTCTAGTTTAAGTACTCTCATTAAAATTACATAACCTCTTCACTGAAATGGCTCTTTAAAAAGTGTGCAATGACCTCTAGTTTGCTAAATACAATAGAACATTTCCTGTCATTGTCTAACTTAAACTATTTGCAATATTTGACACAGTTGACCACTTCTTGATTTTTTTTTTTTTTTTTTTTTGCTTGGCAGAAATAATTCAGCCTCTTTTTAATGGGCTGATCTGTGGGATTATAAGCTGATTATAAGACAGCTGATTTTATTGTCGAACCTCTCTAACACTGAAAATGCTCTTTTCTTAATTTAAATTAAAATCTGTTTTCTACTACCGTTTCTTTTCAATGAAATGGAACAGTCAAATACACTTAAATAAATTATTTGAAACCAACTTCTCTCACTCACAAAATACTTGTTAAGCGTATTGTATTTACCATAGTCAGTTCACTTTTCCAGAGGGTAAACAACCCACTTCTTTAAACATTTATTATTATACAACAGTTTCTACCTTCATAGTCATCCTCTTTTGGATGACAAATTCCAGTTCTCAATATCTGCATTTCGAATGTTTCAAAAGCACTCAAATGTAAGTATAGAGATGATTGTCCAGAACTGACATATGATAGGTCATGGACAAACCTTCTGTACAAAACTCTGGAATCACGTAACTTTTTATTTCTGCTAAATGAAATATAGAAGTATTTTCTTTGAAGTAGGAACAAATAAACTGCAAACATCCCTCAGGACACCAAAATCCATCTCCCTAAATGGTGAGGAGTGCTGACGTAACTCCTCCTCTGACCTAATGGTATAAAATAACGAGAGGACAAGAAGCCCACAGTTCTGAGGTCCTCTGATCTGGGAGACTGTCTTTACCCCAAAGGAGCAGCAGCACTGGGAATCATAATTGTGTGTGCATTTCCAAGAAGAACTAGGAAGCAACAGAGCACTGCACTGGCTTGATTGCTTTTTTTTTTGTCTCTTTTATGTCCTTTGCATTGCTTATTTGGTAATTCAATTGTAATTGAGTCCAGAGTTACCATTCTACTGTTCTCACATAACCTGATTTGGCAGACTGCCTAACGCAGCTCAGTAAAATAAACTGGAAACATATTTTCTAAAACTACTAGGCTAATATATCTACATAAACTGTGTTAACTTTTTCCTTTGAGCCAAAGTTTCTCACTTTTAAAAATGATGCTATTGTAAGAGAAGAATATATATCCTCCTCCTAATTATCATCATCAACTGGGGTATTTCTTAAATTGGAGTTCTATTTTTCTGTATTGTGATTTGAAACACTTGATTCCCTGATGCCATCTCAAATTGGCCAAAGCAGAAAGAACAGAAAATTTGAGTGCCTAATGTTGAGCTTTATGGTGAAGTCTTAGTGAATCAGATAGACTAACATTTTCAAATTTGCCTCAATCAGTCATGCTTATAAACCACTAGGGGATAATGCAAACTCAAGAAGCAGTGTGGAAGACTCTATGGACAATAACTTCATTTGTCACGTATTATATAGTGGGTCCACAAATACAGAGCTCTGTACCAATGTCTGTTTTTCTCACGAATGTTATAAACAATTGACAATACAGCAGTAGCCTTCTTTATTTTTACACTATGATAGTTGCTGAAAATAAGAGATAGTTTGATTATCAGTGTCAATGGAAGATGGAAAAAGGACAGCTGTTTTAAGTCTATGTTGTGAGGGTTTTAAGAGAGAGAGCTGGAGCTCATAGAAGGAAATTGTGAGAAGGCATATTTCAGCTAAGCGTAGAACATACTTTTTGTGAAATCACGAGCTTGCTCTAGTTGGGCATGCTTTAAGCATGGGTTTGGTGGCCATCTCCATGGTTTATAAAGGTATTTCTGTAGTGTGCTAAGGTTTGGAATATAAAATCTTCCAAAAATCTTTCAACTCTAACATTTGATGAGTTTATGCCTGTAATTTAATTTAGTGGATAATTTAAATTGAGAACTAGCATTATATATCTGGCATCTTTAAAGGCTGAACTTCTAAATGAACCAGATATGGGAAAGGAGTTAAAAGAGTCTCATTTATCCCCAAAATGTCAAATATTCTTTTATTAATTCTAGCATTTTTGTACATTGGTTTGTATTCATACTAGTGAGTTATAGGTTTTCTGTTTAAAAATGTGTATGTGTCTATATGCACATGTTTTAAGAAAAACAGTTGTGCTTTTTTTTCTTTTCTATGGGTTATTACAGTTATTTTATTTTCCTTGATTCATTTACTGTTGCTAGAATATCTAAAGCAATGTTAAATAATAATGGGTATAAGCAGAAATTATTCCTGTTTAATTCTGAATTTTAAATGAAAGTACTGTAGGGTTTATCATTTAAGTGTAGTACTTACTATATTTTAATAAGTAGTTTGTCATATTTATATAGTTTTCTTAATTTATTAAGCATTACTGCTAGATTTAGGCAAATTATTTTTAGCATTTATTTGGATAATCATATTTCCCTCTTATTTTGAATGATGTATTTAATAAATTGTATTAATCAATTATTTTTTTTGGAGATAAAGTCTCGCTGTATTACCCATGCTGGAGTGGAGTGACATGATCACAGCTCACTGCAACCTTGACCCCCTGGGCTTAAGTGATCCTCCCATCTCAGCCTTCCAAATAGCTGGGACCACAGGTGCACACTGCCTCACCCAACTAATTTTTAAAACATTTTTCTATAGAGATGGGGTCTCACTATGTTACCCAAACTGGTCTCAAACTCCTGGGCTTAAGCCATCATCCTATTTTGGTTTCCCAAAGTGCTGAGCATGAACCACCATACCCACCAAATCAATTTACTGGTTTAGTCAGTCACCTTCTTGGAATTAACTCTCCCTGACTATATTGTAGTGATCTATGGAAACTTTGCAGAATTTTATTTACATTAAAAAAAATTCTGCTTTTATATTCGTAAGAGAGATAAGTGTATAGCTGCAATCTTATCTGCATTTGTTTAAACACTTCCAAAAGGTTTTGGTTCTGAGTATAGGTTGACTTTATAAAATAAATTGGGGAGCTTTTATTTGCTTTTAACTGGAAGAGCTTTAATAACCTTGGGATGACCTGTTATTTAAAAGTTTTTAATAAAGTTCAGTTGTGAATATACCTGGTTCTCATCTCTTTTCCTATGTTTAGAACTTGATCACCTTTCCAAATTTTTTAAGGAAATTGTCATATTCAAGTTTTTTCACCTCTTGGATTAATTTTGATAATTTTTTGCTAGAAAACCAACTATTTCGTTCAGATTTTCATGTTCCGCTCCAGTTCTATTAATTTTTCCAGTATCCGTGTTATGCTTTCAAAAAGTATTTACACGTTTGCCTATTTTGTTATTTTCCTTGATCAGATCTTTAAGAGGTTCATATATCTTATATATTTAATTTAAATATTCAAAGAAGCAGTTTTTAACTCACTTGCTTTTTTCTTTTTATTTCAGTGCATATCCATCAATTCAATCTTCTTCATATATTTTGGCTTTTTAATATTATTTTTCTATTTTTTAATACTAAAGGGTGATAACTATTTACTCCATAGATTTTAATAGGAAGTATTAATCATTATTTGTTCTTTTAAATTGCTTTATAGAATTTTAAAATTTCACATTTGATTTCCTTTTTAATTCAATAGTTATCAAAATATTTCTTGATTTCCAAATAGTTAAGCCCTTAAAAATGTTTTTAATTTTTTATTTTGAATTTATTGAATTATGAGAAGATAATACATTTTGCAAAATCTCTAATTTTTACACTTGCATCAAGATTTAATCTCCATCTAAAACTTTCATTTCTCTGAGTATCTGTCTTGATTACAGAAGCCCTTACCATCATATGAACCCTGTCGGGACTGCAGGCTGAGCCGGGCGCGGTGGCTCACACTTGTAATCCCAGTACTTTGGGAGGCCGAGGCAGGCGGATTAGGAGGTCAGGAGTTCGAGACCAGCCTGGCCAACATGGTGAAACCCCGTCTCTACTAAAAATACAAAAATTACTCGAGCATGGTGGCAGGTGCCTGTAATCCCAGCTACTCGGGAGGCTGAGGCAGGTGAATTGCTTGAACCTGGGAGGCGGAGGTTGCAGGTTGCAGTGAGCCGAGATCGCGCCATTGCTCTGCAGCCTGGGCGACAGAGCGAGACTCCATCTCGGAGAAAAAAAGCAAACAAACTGTAGACTGAGCTTGCGTCTTTGATTTGTTTAAGGAATAAAATGCTGCCTTGTTCCTTATTCTGTGCTCCTGAAAATCACTCTGCTTTTTTCCTGTTAAGACTTAGTTCAAAAGTCCAGCATTCTTTTAGAGTCTACTATAATCCAAACTCTCCCTATTTCTTGATTTTTGGACATTCCCACATCTTTTGA
This sequence comes from Homo sapiens, assembly GCF_000001405.40. NCBI lineage: Eukaryota > Metazoa > Chordata > Mammalia > Primates > Hominidae > Homo > Homo sapiens. The sequence continues at coordinate 40,645,803 of NC_000002.12, forward strand.
CAAAGCACTTTATCTTTCTATTGCTGACCAATCACTGGGTTTCTCGTAGGTAGATCTACTTCATTCTGATTGGGCCAAACCTGCAATAAGGCCCGAGTATGAGGCCATCATGTATACCAGGAGGATACTTTCTGGAAGAAAATTATATTTCTTCTCAACTGTTCCTTTTTGTAGATGCTTATTTCTTTTTCATTCTCAGCTATCAATCTCCTCAGTTTACTGTGGTATTTAAGCAAGATGAAATTAACCGGAAATTTTTATTTTACTCTCAAACGAACCTCTCTGAACTTATTTTTTTCCAGGCAGATGTTGATATTACTATCTCCGTATGCTATGGGTCTGTGATTCTGACAAATGAAGGAGAACAAAACCCACGAGCAAAATAGATTTTCTTATTATAATATCAGATTTCATTAGGAGGCCAAAAATACAGAAAAACTTAATTTTTTTAATTGTCTTAAGATTTTAAACATGGATATATTACCTTGAGGATAAGTGATTTTGACAGGAATCTATTTTCCCCTACATCTATTTTTTTTTTTAAATCCTTTGGATTCAGTAATTACTTTTTGAAGAAAGAAGGTAGTTTCAGATGTTACTTTTTGAAACGACTTTTGCTCCTTACATTTTGTATATAATACTGTAATTAGAAAAATTGTTCAAAATATCAAAACTTTGGCCCAGTTCATGCATATTTTCTGACTCAGAAAATCTGCCCTGCAATAATAATAAGCCGCATTGATAAAAGAACTTACAGCAAGTTTAAAAAACACTGCCATATGGTTAAGCTGACCTGGTTTTATTTGATCTGAGGTTTCCTAAGGTAATATAATACATGTTTGGTCATGATTTAGAGAGAACTAAGGCTTATTCCTGATTTGGGTTCAGGTCATGATGCAGAAGATAAAGTAGAGGAAGGAAGGAGGATGAGCCATGCACTGGGAGACCATAATAAAATCTTTTAAACCTTTAAATTCTGGTGGCATAATTTTATATCTTTTTACTTATCTCATTTGCTGTGGTTTTCAAAAGTATCTGCTATTGGGCTGAAGTTATTCAGTCCCTTCCCACTTCTCCAATTATCAGTAGCAATTTCCTTTACAAATACAATTTGTGTCTCTAAATAACCTATATAACCAATTAAATACACGATAACATATTTATGTGAGTTTTACGATAATTATTAATATGATTACATCTATGCCTTAAGATTATAGATTGTTTTTATTTTCTTTATTGCAAATTTTCATATTTCCCAAATTTAAAAAAAATTATATGAACCATTTTTGTTATCAGAAAGGTATGGGGTTTTGAAACACATTTTTTGAGAAAGATAGAACTTAATTTGTTTCCAAATCTTTATATTTTCAAATGGTATTCAAGGAAATATATGAGAAAATAATATGCAATTAATAAATCAAAAGAAGTTCATTTGGCTTACAAATTATTATGGAGCCAACTTGAATGCAGTAATCATTAGGTATAGGTTTACACGAATGACATTTTTCTTACCTGTGCAGCAATAATATAATATTTTCCAGGGAAATTTGAATAAATGTGTTTCAAGAGCAAATGATTGTCACAGAATAATCATAAAAGAAAATGTTTACAGCAGAACCAATCTTATCTGCATTTGTTTAAAAATATATCATTTTTGGTTGGAAAATAATATTCAAATACATTTTTATACCTTTTGCTATCTATATCTAAATTGTGTTTCCCCGGCATATCATCTCAAATGGTCTCCCAGAACTGCCCTTCAATCCTATCACATTTCTCAGGCAAATCACAAGCCCAAACTCCAGGATTATAATCCAATAGAGAAGATACTATATATTCCCTTTGCATTTCTCCTTAAAATGCTAACACTTACCTCCTATCTCTTCATTTTTATATGATAATTCAATTCATTGAGCAGATAGAAGCCATTAGAAGAAAATTTCCCATTCTTCTCATTATGAAATGGTCTGCATTAATATCCTCTATTTTCCTCCTCTAATAATGGACACAGCTCTCCTTCCTCCTTTCTACTTATCACTTTTTTTTAGGGAGTCCCAGCAGTTTTTGGATACACAAGCCTTTTTTTCCTGCAATTATCTATTCCTTTTACATACATATCATAATTTTTCCCTCTTTGCAGGATTATTTTTATTAGAAACAAACAAAAATTTGTTTTATCATTATATGCCTCCTTGCAGGGCAAATCTCTCTCTAGGTACTGTCCCATTTCTCTTGTCAAGGGAAAAAATAGTTTATGTAACTCAAGTAGAGATTAAAGGTCTGCTCACCTAATGCACATTGGGGAGCCTCTGAAGATCAGCGAACTCTCTGAGTCAATGCAGGATCTTATAGAGAATGGATAAGAGAGGGAGATAGGTGGTTGGGCTATCATAGCACTTTTCATCTCAAACTGATGTAAAACTTGCTACTGGAACGGTGGATGCTTTTTAGTTTTCCATTCCGCCTACTTGGGATTGTTGGCACACTGACGTCCAGGTAACTGTTAGAACAGTTTTTATCAAAAGCTGTTTTGATAAGCCCAGGGTTTGTTGATTAGATAAGGCCCAAGGGAGAGTTAGCCAAAAAAGGTGGAAAGGGAAAACAAACAAAAGAAAACATGAGGGCAAGGGTTACAGCAAGGGAAATTGGGAACTCTATCATTTCTTTTAATCCTTTTATACTCTATTTCTCTTTATATAAACATTTCAGGAATTCATTTTTCACACTGTTTATTGTTTTGCATGTCTCATCTCCCATTTTCTCTTAAATTAATCCAGCTTTATTCCTCAACACTAGTGAAAACCCTCCTGCCAATGTCTTCAATGACAGCCACTTATTAAATCTGACATTAAACACCCAATTCTTATCTTACCCAAAATTGCAACAATCATTTGATGGTATACAATCTCGGCCTTTTCAAGAAATTAAGATTTATCTGGCAGATGATTTTAGTTAAAATTATATATATAGTCCACCAGAATAAATATTTGGGTTACCAATTACCTCATCATTGCTAAATCCAATGGTAAATTCTTAGTCCTTGTCTCACGTAATATACTTGCACTTGATAACCCGACTCAGTTGATTACCCTCTCCTTCTGGAAACAGTTTCCATCTGTCTTCAGCAAGACCTCACTGTCATGGTTTTCCTAATCATCTACTGGACTAACCGGCTATTTGGTCTCATCTCTTTTAGCACCTCTCCATTTCTTTCTAACTTTTACCTAATGTGGAGCTCCTAGACTCAAATCTTCTCCTTCTTCCCCTGTCTGCTTTCCCTCACTTGCTAGATGATTTTACCTAGTACTGTGGTTTCAAATAAAAATCTATACGCTGATGGCTCAAAGTTATATCCCTAGGTCCCAAATTAAATTTGAGATCCAGATTCAATACCTCCCTTCTTCTCCTCAAAATTTTCACTTCTTTGGAAGGCAGGGGCTCTGGCTGTCTGCTTCAGAGCTCTGTTCTCAGTGTCTGAAATGGTGCCTGATATGTGGTATGCATTCTATAAATTTTTGTGGAATAAATGATAGAATGAATCTTCTGTTATTCCTCCAGCACACAACCTATTATTCATTCATAATTATTTAATTGTGGAGTATTCTATCTCTTACCCCTAGGATAGTAATTTTCAACTGTTTCCTTCTGAGAAGTCTTCTACATTCTTCTGCAAACATAGGTCAAAATGAATTGATCATTCCTCTGCCATTCTGCAACATCCACATTATAATTATTAGATTGGAAAACTTTATACTAGTCACTGCTGTGCATGTGTGTGTGTGTGCGTGTGTGTGTGTGCGTGTGTGTGTGTGTGTGTCCTATTAGGATGTGAATTATTTGAGAGCTGGAGTCATATTTCATATATCTTTTTGTTCCTACCATCTTACATGATGCTTACACATTGCACATGCAATGACATTTTTGTTAACTTGGTCAATATAATTTTCTTCATTTGCATAATCAGAACCTAAATCTGTTTAAAAACTTCTTAAAATTGCTTTTTTTCCTGGTGTATAAATACACTCATTTAGTTATCTCTCCAGATTCCACAGCCAATTCTTTGTAATTTATTTTATAAGATGTTCCTTCTATTCTACTATTGGACAAAGGAGTCCTATGTATATCACTTCCATTTATATCATTTATATCACTTCCTAAGAGAAGAACAATTTCTTTGTCTTGAGTTCAATCCTAATTTAAAGGCTTTTTACACAGAAATGATCACAACAATCAGAATACAGTATAAAAGTAAGTTTGGAAGTTTTAGATTTTTTGTAAATACAAATTAACTTATTTTAAAGTTCCTTGGCATATTGTTTTATAGCAAGTGTTATCTCTCTTCTGGAAACAGAAAAAAAGTAAATATAAAATAAAATATAGCTAGAGTGGGAGATGATTTAAAATTTAGGGCCAATAGGACATAATATTATGTATTATATTACATATTATGTATTATATTATTATAAATAATAACTATATAACAAAAATGTATTTAAAATGTATAAATCTATGGGAAAATGCTCATAACCAAAACAAAAGAATAAATGTATAAAATTATTTTTTCCATATCACTTCAGTATTATTTATATGTTTACACATAAATATCTATATAAATATATTCACACATGATTATGATAGAAGAATGAGAGAGAAAATTGTAAAGAACTATATCAAAATAAGATAGGTTCTCTCTGAGAGGTGATTTTTACTTTGTTTTATTTTTTGGTAGTTTCACATAAAATACAAATTCCCACCAGCAATTGTAACAAAATCAAGAGTAGGCAAGTGGAGCCTAATTAAACTAAAAAGCTTCTGCATAGCAAAAGAAACTATCAACAGAGTAAAAAGACAATCTATAGAATGAAAGAAATTATTTGCAAACTATGCATCTGACAAAGATCTAATATCTAGAATCTATAAGGACTCAAATAACAAATAAACCTATTAAAAATGGACAAAGAACATGAACACTTCTCAAATGATGACATACACATGGCCAACAAGCATATGAAAACATGCTCTATGTCACTAATCATTAGAGAAATGCAAATCAAAACTACAATGAGATAACATCAGAATGGCCATTATATAAACGGCAGAAAATAATAGATGTTGGAGAGATTATGGAGAAAATGGAATGCTTATACAAGGCTGGTGGGAATGTATGTTAATTTAGCCACTGTAGGAAATGGTTTGGAGGTTTCTCAAAGCACTTAAAAGAGACTACCATTCAACCCAGCAATCCCATCAGTGGGTATATACCCAAAAGAATACAAATTGTTCTACTAAAAAGTCACATGCATGTGTATGTTTATCACAGTACTATTCACAACAGTGAAGGCATGAAATCAACCAAGATGCCTATCAACAGTTGACTGGATAAAGTAAATATGGTACAAATACACCATTTAATGCTATGCAGCCATAAGAAAGAATGAGATCATGTCTTTTGCAGAAACGTGGATAGAGCTGGAGGTCATTATCCCTAAGCAAATTAACACCAGAGCAGCAAACCAAATACTGTATGTTATCACTTCTAAGTGGGAGCTAAACATCGAGTACGCATGGATACAAAGAGAGGAACAATAGATACCAGGACCTGCTTTAGTGTGGAGTTTGGAAGGAGGGTGAGGGTTGAAAACTACCTATCGAGAACTATGCTCTCTGAGTGTCAAAATTATTTGTACACCAAATCCCGGCACCATGCAACTTACCCTAAAAAAAACTTGCACATATACCTCCAAACCCAAAATAAAAGTTGAAAAAGTATATATATAAATCTAAAATATAAGAACTCTAGAGTTTGCAAATTTTAAAAACAAATATTAAATTTAGTTGTTTTAGGTAGAGTGCAGTGGCTCACGCCTGTACTTCCATCACTTTGAGGGGCAGAGGCTGAAGGGTCTCTTGAGGTCAAGAATTGGAGACTGAGAACAGCCTGGGCAACACAGCAAGACTCTGTCTCTACAAAATATTAATATAAAAAAAGCCAGGCATAATTGTGCATGCCTGTATTTCCAGCTACTCAGGAGGCTGATGTGGAAAGATTGTGTGAGACTGGGAGGTTGAGGCTGCAGTGGTCTGTGACCATGACACTGCACTCTATCCTGGGCAACAGAGTGAGACCCTGTCTCAAAAAAAAATCATTGTTTTGGTTTAATATTAAATATTGCATTTTCATTTATGAATTGTCCTACTTCACAAAAGCAGTGTAACTAAAGAATATAGTAACTGAAGGAATACTGAACTGAAAATCCACTAAATCAGAGAATCCTGATTTGGGTACTTACTTTCTCACAAATTGTGTAACATTTAGAGGAAGCTTCATCTTTCTGGTTATTAGTTTCTTCACCTGAAAACTGAAAGGGATGTGGCAGATGCCCTAATAATCCTGTTCTCATGGACATAAGAGTTCATTATATAAAGGCTGATATGAGAACTATTCAACTATGCTGTTTTACTCCCACGAATAGGAGACTAATTTCATTATTTCTGGATGCTGTTTGAAATAATCATCACAAAGTCTCTGAAATTTAGAAAATACCTAGTTCCGCAAGCTGCAGTGTTATTAACAAACATGGCAGAGCTCAACACCAGTTTTATGTCTTTTGTAGGGGATTTCTCATTTCATAGTTCGTTGTGAGAACCAACTCTTATTGGCATATATTTCCTATGTCGATATATGCTTCAACTATTATTCTGAACATTTTTACGTGCAAGCTACTATTTAAATATGTGTGAGAGGACATAAAATTTTGGACATCATAAATGTAATTTCAAATGCTTCTCTTATGCGAAGAAAGAAAAGAATATAAAAACGTTTCTATAAGATGGGCTACCTTGGATATGTAGAAGTCATACATGTACCAAATTGTATATTAATAAATTAAGACAGGACACAATTGATAAGTGCTCATCTTAAGAGGCAACTGGAGGAATTGTAAGGATCTCTAAGGATGATTTAAGCTCCTTGTCAGCTGACACCCTTGGGCAAATAGAGTGTGTGGGAGACATGTGCAGTAATGAATGTGTGTGCGAGGCCAACTCTGTAAAAAGCTATTTTATTATGGGCTAAATCCAGCTATTTTTACTAAAATTGCTACTTTGACTTGTTCTTGTGAGATTTCCTGCATGATTTTCTCCCTTTCTGGGGATGGACCTTCTGTGAGAAGCAGGGAGGGTGAGTTCCTTGAGAAAGTGAAGAAACAGAAAACAATAGAACCTAGATTCGGTGCATGGAGAAAGTCAAGAGGATGCTCATACTTCTGGTAGAGCAGTGAAGAACGTTGTTGCCACCCACTGCCTCCAGAAACGCATCAGCTAAATCCAGGGTGCAGCTTTAATAACAGGTTTCATAATAATAGTATTTATAAAACATTTCTCTGTAAATAAAGCACTTCCCACTCACAATCTTATTGTGCCTGGGTAGGCCCAGCTACTCTACCCCAGTTAAGCAGAAAGCATAATTTAGTGAGTTTCAGCTTTGAGGACCATTGTTCGTTTATTGCTGTAGAGTGCGGAGAACAGAGAAGCAGGAAACACACAGAGCTTTAAAGGCTATGCATGATGAACTTACATCCTTGTAGCTTACCATTTTTCTTCCCTTCATGTGCAAAAATAAACTAAAAACTCCACAGACCTTTTCTCAAATTTTGAACTAATTTTGCAACTTTGAAAGTAAGTTTTAGTAGTTTCTCAGCCTTTTTCTCCTTTGCCGTGTATCTTCTTCTCCTGGGTATCATTATCCAGTTGCCTTTTAAATGACCTTAGATCACAGCTGTGCTCTATAGGCTCTGTATTTTTAAAAATCACTGAGATTTTTAATTTCAGTTTTTAAATCTCAGGATGCTCATATATACTCTATCATATCCACTACTTTTCAAGCATGAGGGACTGATATAATCAAATAAATCAACCTTTAAAAATTTCTTAATTATAAGCAGTACCAATAAAACAGGTATAAACATGACCTCTGAGTTCTTTTTCAATATGCACACAAACTTAAAAAATCATCATATATAATTTTTTATATCCCTTCTCTAATACTCACTAACACGCTGTTATATTTCTTTGAAATTCAGCATAAATCTGTTTGCTTTCTCCTACTGAAGTCTTCCTTTCCTGTCTTCTCTGCCTACCTTGGCAGTGTAGAATTCAAAACTACCCAAGATAGGAAATCAGTTCAGTGACTCATTTTCCAAATTTTCCAAAGAGGTAGCAAAGCGTGAATACATTCAGTGAAGAATGTTGACTAATAGATGATGAGTACAAGATGATTAACTTTTAAAAAATATTTATCATGTGTATACGTTTTAATGCAGGAGGTTCTATCAATGGGTGGTTTGGAAAGGAAATCATAACAAGTGTGGAATTCTTCCTAACAGTTTTATTTGTTTTGACCTTTCATTTCTTCACAAGGAGAATACATATACTAAACAAGATGTAAAAATTTGCCTGCTCGTAAATAGCTCATGCCTATTACTCACCTGTTTCCAAATTGTATATACTATTACTATCTATAAATATGATTTGTTGATATAAAAATGCAAATATTATCTCTAAATAAAGGAAATATCATTTTGGAACCTGAAAAGGTTTTGAAGAGCTCATCAAATGAACTAATTTTATGGAAATTTTAATGTGTTGCACAGAAAATTACTCTTGTGATAGAAATTTCAGCTTTACCACATGCCAAAGTTCTCTACTCTGTCAACATTCTGTCGTTCATGCAGCCACAGGAATGTTGGTGTGAAAATATATAGTTATATAATGTGTGATTAACTGTGCCATCCTGAGGAATTTTATAACACACCCTTTATTTGTTTCTGAACATTTTCCTGGATGCTTTACAGAACTCATTGCTAGAGCCAAAATTGTCTTTCTCCTTAGACAGACTTTAACCCATGTTCAATAAAAAATCATTTAAATGTGTGCATGATTTTTAAAATTCTAATACCTATTTCCTTGAATCAATCTGGACGGAAAAGAAAAGTGAACAAAATTGTTCCAATATGCTATAAACACTCTCAATTTCATGTGGAAATTATTATTTAAAAACCCTGTAGCCAAATTTTTGGCGGAAAATAAAGAGGGAGCAGATGTATCACAATTTTTTCATCTTGGTTATTACATTAGAAAATGTAAGTAACTTATTCTTCAAACTGAAGATTGAAATCATGATTCTTTAACTGAGATTAGAAAAATATATTTTCAGAGTTCAGAAGGAAGTGATTGTATTTTTTTCTTGAAAATAATATAATATGGAACATTCAATGTGATTTTCCAAACAAGAATGCAATAATTTCTTAGCTTTCATCACATTAATACCTCTGTGTAATACCAATAAGGTGATTTGCAGCAGGGCTTAAGAGAGTAACTATATTACCACTTTTTTCTTATTTGTCTTTTTTTCTCTCGGATTTCTGACACAAAGAAAGATATAATTTTCATTAATAATTTTTTCTCTACATCTCTGTCGGTCTCTTGTTTTCTCAGCATATGTGTGTGTATGCATGTATAATGCATGTACTATATGCAGGTATATTTAAAATTGTTTTAATTATTCTATATTTTACATATATTACAAGTATTTTTATTACAGAAAATGAATCATCTTTTTAGAATTAAGTTGCCATGGCAGTTTTAGAAGAGTTTGACTGATTCTATTGACACACATAATTCTCGTGGTTTCATAATTGTTGGTTTTCTGGCTAAGCACGTAAAATTTAAAGTTGAATGACGTATCTTATAAAGAAGGCAGCTTTTAACTAAGACTAAACTGTGTTGTAAAACTCAGTGGCATAATCTATGTAGTTTGTTGATTAAATAAGTTTTACTATGCTGTGTTTTATTCCTGGATGGAAATCACCCTCAAATATTTATTTATGAAAATAATCCTAGGGAATACTTTAGGAAAAATCCAAGCAAACACTAGATCACCAAATCATTCATGTATGTGATCATTATATTACATAATATGACTGCAGATAACATAGTGACTGCTCCTTCAGTTGATTACTAAATTTTTTGAACTTTGACTTTCCCAGCTGTGAAAGTAAATTTGCTAGCACAGATAAATACTAAGAAACATGAAAATGTTTCTCTCTCTCATTAATACTCTCAATGAACATTTATTGAATACTGTATTGAGATGAAAAAGTATCAATTTCATCTTGCTTTAAAAAAATTCTCCCTTAGCAACTTTAGCAATAATATAAAAAGGAGAAGGTATAAAATTACACTAGATGGCAACCAGTTCCTTGACATTTAAATTTATGCCCTCTTTCCAAGCTCCCCACTTAGGACTGAATTTTAACAACTGTAGAAATTGAGCAAAAATAATTACAGAAAAGAATGGAAGAGCTAAACTGATTAAATTGTGAATTAAACTGTACAATGTGCATTGAATAACAAATTCAGTTATAAAATTTCAAATATACATTTTATAAGGAATCTGAATTTTATGAATAACATCCACTTTGAGTAGATATTCTCACTTAAAAATTTTATAACCTCTGATTAAAGATGGCAGGTTGAACACAACTATTTTTTCTCTCAAGAACCCCTTCTCAAAAGTCAGACAGGGGAAGATCTGTTGCAAAATGAATAAATAATCAAAGATAAAGAGAATGTGAGAGGATACAAGAGTCACAAAATTTCAGAGCCTGGCAGTTTAAGGCTGCAGTGAGCTATGATTGTGCCACTGCACTCCAGCCTAGGTGACAGAGGTGAACATCCCCTCAAAAAGAGAAAAGAAGAAAAGTAAGTGGCCAAAATGTTCTTGACTCAACACACTTAAGAAACATAATCTCTAATGAAGCAGAGGAGAAAGCTAAGATGCAATCTGTCACATACCATTATATGACACACACAAAAGTTGATAGCACTTGTCACTTTGGAAATGACAATACAACTGGTACTAAAAAAGGGAGAATTGATCAAGCAATAGTTGAAGAATAGATTAAAATGAAGCTAAGAAGAAATCCCCAGATGATCTTCGACACTTGGTAGTGAAACTCACAGCACCAGAAACCCAAAGTTTAGCTTCTGGAGAATGTGAAGAGAACTGTTCCTGGGATCAACAAACACCGAAGGTAGAGACACACACTGAACATTGGGGAATCAACTGAACATCTACACCCTGAATGCAGAGGCCCCTCTTACCCCTTCACCAGCTTTTACAGCTTACTTGTTTCCCCCCAAAGTTAATACATTGAAGCCCTAAACTTCAATACCTCAGAATGTGATTGTATTTGAAGGGCCTTCAGTGAGGTGATTAAGTTAAAAATGAAGCCATCAGTGTGGGCCCTAATTCAACTCAACTTGAGTCCTTATGAGAAGGGGATATTGGGACTCACAAAGAGACACCAGGGACGTCTGTGCACAGACGGAAGACAAGGTAAGAATACAAAAAGAAGGTGGCTATACGCAAGTCAAGGAATGCGGCCTCAGAAAATCCAAATCTGCTATACATTCATCTTGGACTTCTAGCTTCCAGATCTGTGAAAACACATTTCTGTTCTTTAAGCCACCTTGTTTGTGATATTTTGGTATGGCAGTCCCAGCAAGCAGTACACTGGTGAACTTCAATAACACTGACAACTTCTGGGTGAAATGATTAGAAGAAACTTCTATGGGGACAATGTTTATTGCTGTACCCACTTAATTTCAGTTTTTAAAAATCATGGAGGAAGATATTCAATTGCCGTAACTTGGGTCACATATTCTAGTACTTTTAGAAATGGCAGATACATGATAAATATATTAAACTCAATAGAGTTAGAAAGTTACAATTTTAATCGAAGTTTGCTTATCACTACATCACGAGTTATATTACTATTTTCTAAAATTTTTGAAACGCATAGAAAAATATTTTGCAAAATTTTTAACTTGTACACATGTAAATATTTTATTCCATTATTTGGGTGTGTCTTTTAGAAATAGAGGTTTAAAATATATTAGAACTTTAAGAACTTCATGTATCTGATGATCTGCCAGATATCACAGTATATAATTGGCAAATATTTTTAACAGATGTATTTATAGGACACATTATAAATCATAGCATTGTGGCTCATCTAAACAAAAATAGAACTAATAGATTTTCAAGTCCGAATTTTTCAATTTAAAGAAGAAAGCTGAGATCAAAAGAGGCATGCAGGCAATAAGTGACAGAACAAGATCTAGAATTGAAGCCTTTGGAATATAAATTAAGAACACTGATTTAATCACAAGGAAAAAGTAATGAGTATGTTTTAAAAATTCTCTTAGCTTTTCTCCATATTGGGTCTAATGTAGATTTCACATGATTTATTTTTGATTTTTAAGGATTTGTGGCTTTGTCACAAATGGTTAAATATGTTAAAAATAAAAATATAAGGGAATGTCAATTTCGAAGAGTAATTCTCTGTACCTTTGTGTGTAAAGTTTTCAACTGTTTTCACCTTCTCATGGTATTTTTGTTCTCCCAGAAATGTATACTTGTACATGCCCTGATGTAGTTTGGATGTCCCCTCCAAATCTCATGTTGAGTTGTCATCTCCAGTGTTGGAGGTGGGTGGTGGTGGGATGTATTTGTGTCATGGTGGCAGATACTTCATGGCTTGGTGCTATACTCACCACAGAGGGTGATTTCTCATGAAATCTGAACATCTGGTGGTTTAAAAGTGTGTGACGCCTTCCTACCCTCTCCCTGCATTGTTCCTGTTTTCCTCAAGTAAACTGCCTTCTCTTGCTTTGCATTCCACCATGATTAAAACTTCCTGAGGCTTCTGGAGAAGCAGATGCCAGCACTATGCTTCCTCTACAGCCTACAGAACCATGATCCAATTAAACTTCTTTTTTTATAAATTACCTAGTCTTACATATTTCTTTATAGCAACATAAGAATGGCCTAATACATGACCATACATAGCAAAGTTTGCATATTGCTCCATCCTTTTTTTTAAAACTTAGTGCCATCCTCACTTAAAACACAGCAATGTGTGTGGATATGTTATTATATATACTACAATACATATTTATTCAGAGTAGATGTCTAGTGTTCTTTATAGGGATGCTCTCAATACTTTTAGCACAGTATTCTTCACAAATTATTTATTTGATAAATTACACAAAAGAGAGTAGACTGATGAGGTACTTGAAGACACCTTATTAACCAGATTAATGAAATTGGAATTCAAGGCAACTGGGAGGAGTAGTTGTAACTGTTAATCAAGGTAATAGGATTCAAAATACCTTCAGGGGGCTATGAGAATGTCAATTTTCATTGTCTGAGATGAGTGAATCCATGAGCTATGCCTCTCCAGCAGGACCATGGAGAGCTCTGTGGTTTGCAGTCCATTTGCTCCAGGCTGCAAGCATTTGGGTTGGCTTCATCCTTCTGGAGTTAGACTCTGCATGCTTAAAGGTATTCCAGCTAAATAACGAAGTTACTGGGCCTCTTGAAAAAGATAACAAACCCCAGACTCTTTTCTTAAACTTCAGGTGGTGCTCCAGAGGCCATCTGTGTTTGAAGAATTTATGTGTAAAATCTGTTAAAGAGCTGAAGGCAGGCAATCAGGATACAAGTAAAACGATTTAAACCTTAAGACTCTCTGTGTGTGTGTGTGTGTGTGTGTGTGTGTGCACGCGCGTGTGTGTGTGTGTGTGTTTTGGGGGGGTGTTACTTAAGTAGAACAATAAAAAAGCACATACACTAAACAGCAACTCATACATATAAAGATAAAAACTGAGTAGTATCACATCCATACAAAATAATTAAATCATGTCTTTTGCAGCAACATGGATGCAGCTGAAGGTCATTATCCTAAGCGAATTAATGCAGCAACAGAAACTCAAATACTGCAATTTCTTACTTGGAAGCAGGAGCTAAACATTGGGTACTCAGGGACATAATGTTGGCAACAGTAGAAACTGGGACTACTAGATGCGGGAGACAGGGAGAGGCAAAAGGGTTGAAAAACTAACTATCAGATAGTATGCTCAGTACTTGGATGACAGAATCATTTGTACCCCAAACCTCAGCATCACCCAACATACCCAGGTAACAAATCTTCACATCTACCTCCTGAATCTAAAATAAAATAGAAAAAAAATGAGTAGTATAAAATATATTTTAGCCCTTACTTGCTAGAAATTTTTAGTATGTCCCTTTTTAACTTAAAAAGATGATTTGATTTAAATTATTTTTTATTGTTGGAAAAAATTTGTATTATGAAACATTTGTATGTGTGCCAGATCCTTGACCCCCCACTCCTGCCTTATATGTAGCTATGGCTTCTCTTCACTCTTCCAAAAGCCGATAATTTGTATTAGAAAAAGCTTTGCATGACCCTTTAAAAATATATCATCTCCACTTGTACCATAAATAACTCTCACTTCTCCCTTTCCATTACAGAGATACATATCATGCCAGAAAACATAAGGAACTTGAAGGATGTGGATGTCAGTCTTTATTACACATGATCTTTATTCCTGAGTGCTCAATAAATGACTTGTGCTGACTTTCAACTCACAGAATATTTAGTAATATTTAAAAGTGAGATGAAACTCATTGGCCAATTTTAAGAAAGAAATAATATGACAAGAGGTTGTTGGTATATTGCTTAATGATATGAGACCCAGAGTTACATTGCCTGGGTTTGAAATACTGACTGTTTAATTTGGACAACTACTTGACCTTTTTGTGGTTCAGACTTGATGCAAATAAAATTAGACTTTTTGATAGTGTTGTTTTGAGGAATAAGTAAAAAAAGGTAAAAGAAATGGCCTGGCGCGGTGGCTCATGACTGTAATCCCAGCACTTTGGAGTGGATTACCTGAGGTCAGGAGTTCGAGACCAGCCTGGCCAACACGGTGAAACCCTGTCTCTACTAAAAATACAAACATTAGCCAGGCATGGTGGCACACGCCTATAATCCCAGCTTCTTGGGAGGTTGAGGCGTCAGAATTGCTTGAGCCCGGGAGTTGGCGGTTACAGTGAGCCGAGATCATGCCACTGCACTCCAGCCTGGCAACACAGCGAGACTCTGTCTCAAAAACAAAGAATAAAACAAAACAAAAAAAGAGGAAATGAATTGTAACATTATTTCTAATGAAATAAGCTCTCAATTATTATTTACTATAAAATATAATCTAAATTTTAATACATGATTCTGACTGCTGTGTAGAGCATGAATTATATGGGAAAGTTTGACACAAACAGACCAGTTAAAAAAAAAAAAACAAACAAACTGCTGTAGTAGCTCAATCCCAGATGATAGTAGCTTGGAAGCATAGTGAAGAGAGAAACATTGAAATGAATTACATGAGTTACAGTTTCAATGAAACATTGAAACGAATTACAATGAGCTACAGTCCACAAAACTTGCTTACAAATTAGATAGGGGTTAAGAGAAGAAAAGAGGGAGATAAAGGTTGGATACTATATTTTTGGCTGCAGGAATTGTGTGGGTGATGGTGTCATTCTCCAAAATAGGAAGCGTGAGGGAAGAAATAGATTTTGGGATAAATAAAACTATCTTTTGGACATAATAAAGGTGAAATGCCCATTAGGTATCAAAGTGAAGATAATGTCACATACAAGTTTTCAACTGTGGAAATACAGGCACACTAAACAACAGCATTGGGTGTGGTTAGGTTGCAGAAAAAATGTCAAAAGTCACTTTTTAAAATTTCTATCTCTGTGTGTACATATTTACGGAAGGATGAGAAAAATGTTTTCTTAATCTCATAATCAAATTTAATATTATAATAATTTTGAAACAATGTGCCTTTAAGAAAAGTATAGTAGGAAGCATTTATCTTAGCTATTATTATGTTTTCTGATTTAGGTCACTATTTTGTGAATATTTGAAGCAAATGTATCATATGAAAGGTATTAATGCATATAAAGAAAATAAATCATCAACTTCATTACTACTAGAAGAATTATCATCTTATTATTTGGTTTTCAGGAATGTAAGAAGAACAACAATAAAGGAAAAACATTCTTAAAGGCAACATTAATAATTCTGATACTACTATATCTTCTTTTGAGAGAGAGACTTACATGCATTTTTTCTAAATAATAGGATTTTAAAAATAGGATACAAAAATTATTTTACTAATACTAATATCTCAGTCATTGTACTAAGCATGTTTATAAATTTTAATCTGAATTCTCACTGTTAATTAATTAAGCACTTTTATTTTCCTTATTTTATAGGTAAGAGAACTGTGGCTCAAAGACCTTAATGAAATTGTCTAAGACAGTAACATTAGAGATTCAAACTAAGAATTCTTGGACTCTAAAACTTGAGGTCTCCCCTAGTAATTCTAACAATTTATATTTGTCTTAGAACTTGCTTTAGAAGATCAGATGTGTTATTCCTTGTTTTTCCTTCAGGATCAGTTCTCCCAAGAATTTTCTCAGTTTGACGTATGTGATTTTATTACGTTGGCCCAATATAACAGAACGTATCTATCAATTCTTCATTTATTCAACAAATAAATAGGTATTTCATATATATCTTTTAATATATATGAAACATATATGTGCATATGTATGTGTATGTGTATATGTATACATATATACACTCACACACACATATATATGAATCACCTGTTTGTGTATGCAATATTCTAGATGCAATCAATAAAGCAGTGAACAAAAAACGTCCTCCTGCTGCCATACTGGGGAAGACAAAAACAGATTAAAAATAAATATTTAATATAATGTCAAGTAATGATAAGAGCTATGGAGAAAAGTAAATCTAGATAACTTGTGGAGAGGAAGAGGGATGTTATTTGAGGTTGGTGGTGAAGAAGACTTCTATGACTGGTGGAATAAGAACCGGAATGAATTGTGGCAGTAGGGTTAGGGATATTCGGAGCAGAGACTGAAACTTGAGTATACCTCAGAATTATCTGGAAGGCTTTATAAATCACAGATTTCTGGGTTTCTTATGCAGTAGATGTGCAGCGGTGGAGCCTGAGAATTTGCTTTTCTAACAAGTTCCCAGGTGGTGCTCATGCTGCTTGCTCAGGGTTCATGCCTTAAAAGCCACAGACCTAGGGAATGGCCTGCTCAGGGAGAATGATCAGATAATCATGTGCAAGGAGAAGGTTTGATGTTTCTAAAGAAATGAGAATAACTGTATCTTGGTGATAAGCTGGTTCATTCAGGGAAATGTAAACACCAGTGAGCTTTAGCTTTTTAGGGGAAAACTTGAGGTTTTTGAAATGAGAAATGACATGTTAAAAACATTACTCTTACTTTTATGTGCAGAATAGTCAGCAATGAAGCAGTACAAGAAACAGAAAAATCAGCTGGGAAGTTATTTTAGCCCAGGCAAGAGAAGATGATGCCTTATTCCAGGGGGGGAAGTGGTGGAGGTGGTAAAAAGTCGTTCTATTTTAGATATCCTTTAAAAGTAGAGCTGATAGGATCTGCTGAAAATCTACATGTGGAAGTTGGAAGGATTGAGAATGGCTCCAATTTGGGGGATTTGAGGCATCAGTGAATGGTATTATAATTTAAAACTTACAGAAAGTCAAAGAGAGCTATGGTTATAAAAAATAAAATAAAAAAGCAACTCAATTTAAAATCAGACTCTGTCATTTACAAGAACAGCCCTGTAAGAAGTCAGAGTGCAAGGTGTACTAGTCAGTGGCTGGAAGCCATTGCACTCTAGTTTTTAACACATCAAGGTTACCACCTTCCTCTTATAACTGATTTGCTCAGCAAGGGAAGATAAGTCTTATAAGAATACGTAGGGACAATGAGCTATCACGATACTCAGCATAGAAGGAAAAGGTGGACATTACAAATTAGCATATTTTAAAAAAGTATTTTAAAAGGGTGTTGAGGTGTCTTTGAAACAGGGTGAAGTATGTTTGAAAACAAAGGAAAGACAGCATTTATAAAGAAAAACAGAAAAGTGTCATATTGAAGATCTTTGAAAATGTTATGATGTTTGTTTGAAGGAGGAAAAAATCTCTTGGATTTTGAGCTTCTAGATTGCATGACTTAAAGTTTTGTTGATTATTGAGAGGCTGATTTTATTCTTGAAATGTGATATGAATAGAGATTTTAAAAATAACCCCAAATATTGTCCTTTTAAGTTTTTTGATATACGTAACTTTAAAATTTCTATTTATTTCAATTTATAACATTCCCTTTGTAGAAGGCCATGACACAGTAATAAATATGGGTGTGTAGATCTATGTTTCAGCAGGGCAACAGGTAGTAGGATGGAACCCTGAGTTTCCATGTGTTCTTGCAATGCTGCTCACATTGAAGTTCATAATATGAGATTCTGCACTTCTGAGCTGGGACCTTTAACAGTTGGGGGCAGCATCATTGCTCATGAACTGCAGGTTTAAAACCATCAGGAACAAAGGGAGATCAAGCAGGGCTGCATCCATGCATGCTTACCTTGAGCTGAATCCAAACCAGCCCAGATCTGTTCTAGATCATCCTTTCTGATATCTATCTTTTAATAAAATATTTACAAAATATATAACTGAAGATTATATAAATAATAATTCATGTTATGCTTTGGTACTTTCATAGCTTTATTTTTACCATTTTAAAAAAAACCTCTGAATGTATTTTACTGTATAAGAATCTAACCCATTTCTTTCTTTAATGATTAGACAATTAATATTTTGAACATTGATCCTTTTTATTTTTATATTAAATAAGTTGATTTAATTCTAAATCTCTTTGTATTATTGCAATCATTGGGGACTTTATATTCTGTCCTGCTGCTGTGCCTGTTATATATTCATCTGTACCATAATATATAACTTTGAAGATCTTGAAATGATACTTACTGAACTCTTATGACAAAGAGTATAGAGATTCTTAATGGCTCTTGTTTTTCAATATTAGCTTGTTTTCTTGGTTGTATACTCATTTTTGCAAGCCAAAGTTGGCAGAAAAACATGAGGTTCTTTGTGTTAATTTATATTAAGATACTCTCCAGTTATATTTACAAGTAGTTTTAAAATACGTTAACTTAGGTTAAAGCACAAATAAGATACTATTATTACTTGTGATTTATTGAACTATGTCCCATAATCAGCATAATAAAAATCTATTATTTTTCAGTGATGACTTGCACATTGCAAATTTTGATGTAGCTTCTCTTTCATTTCATATAAACCTAGATGTAGCAACAGCTAAAACAAAAATTGGGGATTAAGTTATTGCAAATAGATTTTCCAATAATCTGATGACTACTTTAATGGCACAGCATTTAACACAGGTCTAGAATCTGCTGATTAGAAATTCAAACAAGTTCAGCCTTATTATGGAAAGAAAAATAAACAGATTGTCAACTGTTCTACGGATAAGTTTTAAGTACTTATTGATACCTTTTTGGTCTTTATCTTATGTGCAGTAGAATAAGATACACAAGGGTTTACATTGTTACTTTGTATTATCTTGGACAATTTTCTTGATGTCTCAGCCTTTTAGGCTCCCAAAAACTAAGGATAGGTATGCTCAACCCAAACATTTATTGTGGATATTAAATGAGAAAACATATGAGGGAAAGTGGGAGACCATGATAGATGCTCATCACTTACAAATTAGATTCCTCCACACAACCTCCCATGCTCTCCGGTAACAGATCTAGACATAATAGTAATACTGTGTACAATTCCCTCTAAGATAATGCACCTTACTAGGTAGCCTTACAGAATGTGAATGAGTCTTTCCAAGGTGCAGAGTTGTGCCTCCAAAATGTTGTGAAGTGGGTGAAATTTGTCTCAGTTTCCCTCTGCATTTCACAATTCCTTGCCCTCACAGGAATTCAACCTCTTCCTCCTTCTCAGGCACACACGGGGATCCCTCTTCTCCATCCCTACTCTATCCAGGTGGATTGCGCCATTGACAGTGAGGTCACCACACTCTGGCATGTTGACATTCAAATAGGGAGGAAGATATCATGCAAGTCCATCTTCAATTGACACTTGTTACTCCCAATGTCTCAGTGTTCTCATTATTGGAAAAAAATGAGTCCATAGTAGAAGGTGTGGGTTGGAGGTATGATTATATTAGGTTTCATTAACTTAATGGAAAAACAGCTAGATAGAAAAGATGATATTTTAAAAGATTGGACAGGAATGTGGAAAACTGATCATGATACCTTAACTGATAATCAAACTAATAAAATATGCAATCACTTCCTTAATGTCTATATTTGTCACTAAATCATGACCTCTTTGGGGGAAGGGTTTGTGTCTGTTTGACTGACAGATTTACTGCCCTAAATGGGACATGTAGGCACAAGATACACAGTTGTGGAATGAATAAACGTGCTTAAATACACATTAGGTGTAAATATGTATAACCAGTAAAAACAATGTGAAAAATAAAAATAATGTGGAATAATGGATGTTTTGCTCTTTTTGCAAAATTTAAACAGTTTTTTTTAGTATTTTTAAAGATAATAAAATATGAGGTGAGATTTAAAATCTACTCCAGCTCTAAAATACGAGCTAGATGGAGATAATTTGGAGAATAGAGGCCTCTTTCTGTTACCTCTAAAGTCCCATTGTTGGTAATCACTCCAAGAACTTGCCTTTAAAGATAAAAAATGGCTTTCTGCACCAGTGTCCTAGTTGTCCTTCATGAAACATGGTGTGAGCCCTGCCTTGCAACCATGAGGATATAGTTTCCCCCGGGCTGTTTCCACGATGAACTTACAATTATAATTTGTTTTCTTACATCTTCACAACCTCAGCCTCGCTATTTCTTACCATTAAGCTTGTGCTGATGCAAACTGCTTGATGTTTTATGTGGCAATAAAATGAGCACATTTAGATGGCCATTAATCTATTTTAAAAGTTGAGGAGTGCCAGGGAGAACACTTATTTCTGTCTCATTTGGTATGTTGTTTAAGGCCAGGAATTTCTTGAATGTTTCTACAGTAACATATTACCAAGAAAGGAAAAAAGCATTGGTGTAAGCCTCACTTCATCTCGTGAATTACTGGCCTTGTAAAAATGATTGATTCTTTGAAATTAGATTCAAGTTCACAAAGAGTTTATCATTTTTACTTTAGAAATCTGCTTAACAAACAATATCCAAAAATAAGAAAATGGAAATTTATTAAGAAAATGTGTTTGTGAATTTGTAAAATTGCATCTTAAAAATAGTAAAGTAAAATAGTTTATCTTTTCTATAGGTGCCTGAGTCAAAAATCATGTTTTTTTCCTAAATAATTCATACCAGTGTGTTAAAGAGAGAGAGTATTTTTTAGAATTTTTGTAATCAGATAACCCATTTTTTAAAATAAATACTATTTATAAAAGTAAGATCATCAAAAAATAAGATATTCACTAAATGATTAATTTAAAATGCATTTGAAATTAAATTGTGTCGCATTTAGAAGAAAAATAAAAGACGTCAATTTGGGCTTTATCAAATAATGACATATTATCCTAAATGTTACAATTACAGAGCTATAAAGTGATATTATTCTGGAAAAAAATCACTTAAATAAAATGTGAATATTTTTTACTTAATGGATGACTATTAAATAGATTGAGGTATCACAGTTTTGACAAGAGTTTGGTTTTATGACTACTATATGCTTACATTGACCTACGTACATCATGCGTTTTACTCTATCTTATATTAAGTATGTACAGTCTTCCCTGTAGGGAAAAAGTTTATGGTCTATTAAGTAATCCGCCCCCCCATTTCTTTAAATTCAGAATATACTGAAGTAAGAGAAACATAGCACACCTAAGTAGGTTAGTGTGGAAAATATGTAATTATAGTCAGAATAAAAGTCACTCTGATCTACTACTTTTAATTTAGAGGAGCATATTGGTGAAGAAATTCAGCTATTGGTGTTTTATGAGAACATTTAAAAGCTAGTAAGCACAGCTTATACCACGTTTATGTTTCTTGACTGTATAGAGAATTATAAAAACAAGTTGAAAGAATAAAATTATTATTATTATTTCTTTTATTTTCTATAAATGGGTCACTATGAAGTAAGCAAATTTCATTAAAGATCTTAAATCTTTGTTGCTTAGAAAAACTATATGAAACAAAAATTTGTAAAGCCTGTATTTTTTTCATATCTTTTCCTCATAAAAAATCTACATAAAATCATTCAATCAGTGTAATGTTGATGCTGCAAAGTATTATTGTTCCGTAATAATCATAGACAGAACTAGAGAGATGCTGTAATTTTTTAAGTGGACTTTATTTTTAATGAGAACTTTTGTTAGTACTACATTAATAGAATCAGAAAGCAAACTTTGTTTTTTATTTAACTTGAATTTTTATCTCATTGGGTGGGTGGAGGCCTTTACTTCTACACTGTAAACTTTAAATGTTTTATTGTTACTAAAGTGAATTTTTAGTTTATGGTGGCTTATCCATTTTAAGATCAATTTTAAGATAAGTCTTGATATAAAAATGAGAGTGTGTGGTTTTGTGTTATTTTTATGATCTCTATAAACCATTCAAATATTCTTTTGAAGGGTCTAGAAGAGTAAGCTAGGCAGTAAGAAGGTCTAGGTAAAGGTAGAAAAATAAGGAAAAGAACAGAGAAAGTAAAAACAAGAATCTCAGGATGATGTGGAAATAATTCATTGAAAAGAAAATTAAATGTTGCTGTGGTCAGAATCCCCATCACCTGGACCACATCTATAACTGAAGTTTTCTGTTGACCCCTCAAGGCTGAAAGGCAGCATTTGAGTGTTTTTTCTATGTGGCCTTCAGCTCTCAGGAAAGGCTGGTGTTGTCTTAGCAACTTTCACAATTACGTTGCCAGCAGGACTCTCCCAGAATCTGAGAGATAAATTATGAGCCCCTTCCTTCCCCAGAGACAACAGTAATTGTGAAATGTGTTACGCAACACGCATGCTGAAGTTCCTAAGGGAGGTCAACTCAACAATTTTAGTAAAATAAGGTTGAAATTTGATATATATCAGAGAAAAGCACAAGAGAACACTTAGTTACCAGATAATGTGGTAAGAGTTGGAGATGATTCTCCACAGATAACTAGTTTTATCTAGAATAATCTAGAAACCCTCATTTGAAATAGCAGGCTTTGTTTGTTAAATAGAAAGTCTTCATTACATTGTCTCTTGAAAGGTAAATAGGAGAAAACTAAAATTCTACCATGCCAATTTTAAGTATTTTCTTCTAAAAGGTTTTATTTCATGGCCAAAAGATAGCTGTGAAATAGACAGCTCTATGTTTATTGAAGGTGAACCTCCAGCCTGGAGATGCCTTATGAGGTTTGCAGGCAAGCAAGTCAAAGTAGGAGTGTGTACAAGAATTACTGATTTCCAGATCGTGTGTGTGAATGTGTGTGTGTGTGTGTGTGTGTGTGTGTGTGTGTGTGACAGAGAGAGACAGAGGGAGAGAGAGAGAGAGAATGAGAGAGAGAGAGGACAGAGAGAGAGAGAGACTGCATGGGCAAAAACTGGAGAAATAAAAGGAACCTAAGTGCTTATTTGCCCATGTTTTATGAAGAGAAGAGGAGAAGAGGAAAAATAAGGAGAAATTAGAAAAAAGTTAGTGTTTTCACCTCAACACAAAGCAGAACTGGGGACATAAAGAGAGTGGAAATAACTCTTCCTGCCATATCTAAAATTACAGCTGAAAAGAGATACCATCAGTCTTATAGCACATGGTAAGCTTCAAGACATTCAGGACTGACCTAGTTCCCAAAGTAGGGTAACAGACAAAGAAAATGTCCACAGAAAATGCATGCAGCCTCATTTCTTTGAGGTGTTAAGAAATCCCTGAGAAGCGATTTTTGAAGACCCTAGGCTAATCATAATGACTTCCCAAATGTGGCCGATTATCATAAGTGTCAGGCTATTGCCAGCTCAAGTTGCCATTCTGTAGTATTCTAACACGTGGCATTTAATTCCTAGTCAGGCTATATCATTCAGAATAATCATGTTGACAAAACCGATGTTGAAGAATGCAATTTGAAGGATTCCTTATTTTATTATTTAAAGTTTTTTAGTTAATGGTTCTGGCTTTATTCTACATTTAAGGAACATATTGACCCTGCAGTTAATTTTATTTTCTTTGGCCTCTATTCTACTTTGAATGTGAGACATTTTCATCTTCATGATCTATAATAATTCCTGGTCTGGAAATGAGTTACTCTAATCAAATAGCACCCATGAAGAAATCAGGCAAACTATTTTCAGAAATAAAGTTAAATTTGGATAGTTCTCCTTATTAACTTCATTCCTGGATTATACTTTCTTCTATGGTAATACGTCAGGGAGGTTAGGAGTGGTGAGTAAAGCAAGACAAAAGAAAAGAAAGAGGGAAAATACCCTCTAACGTTTCAAGCTATGGAGGAGAACATTTTCAATATATAATATACACAACTCAGTGGTAATTTAAAGTATTATACAACAGCGTATTTATTTTAAATTAATTTAAATTATTTAAATTAATTATTGTATGCAATTGGTGAAATTGCATTTAATTTTACAGCATAAGAACCTTCCATATGAAAGACTGTCTTATATTAAAGTATATTCTGTTAGGAAGTAATAAAAAACACGTAAGTGAAACATTGGAGTTGAATAGTTAACAAACACATGGACTTAATGATAAAAAGAACTATATTTTATGGGCTGTGTGTATTGCAAATATTCTCGTATGTATTAATATAGTTTCTACACGTTGAGATAAAAAAAACAGAATTAAGAAGTAGCTGGACTAAGAACATATAGGAAATGCACATATACTTAATGACTTAAGTTACTATCAAACCTTCCCATGTAGTGAGTTCAATTCACTCTTCCAGGTTTCTCTAACACTATGTAATAAATTTTATAATAACATTTCATAGGAGTTTAACTTACAAAAATTTGGTATATTTTGGTGTCTTATTCTGCTAGTAGGGATTTTGATGGCTTCAGATACAATACAAATTAATAATCTAATACATGTTAAAGAAGGTTTTCATTTTTTAGATTTTTCTATTTCTGCCTTTTCTCTACATGTAGCCTGTAGTTGCCACTTTTTATTGTAAACTTAATTGTCTACTTCAGAAATCTGTCAAGTTCCTTGAAAGCACGGACTGTATCTTACTTAGATTGTATCTTTGGCACCAAATGCAAACCTGAATTCCAAGCACAGGAACTATACATTTCCATCCAAATATGTCCTACATTCTAGGTCTCTGTGTATCTAGGAATAAACACTGATTCTTCAGCATTAATTAATACTGTATTTTAAATATCCCCCCAAAAAATGAGGCAGAAAAGAGATAAATTAGTAAGTTTGACTTACCAGATCTCTCTTTCATGGAAAATGCTTAAATTCTTCTGTAATTCTCAGTGGGATAGTCATGTAAAGAAAAGTTCTGTAGTAAGGAAGTGTAAGATAGTAAGAAAATAAGGAAAATATTTTCACTGCCTCTTCTGAGAAATCAGCACAAATCCTCCTCTCCCTCTGTTCATTATTACTTACTCTCTCCAGTTCCAAAGATATAGATAAAATGCACTTTACTAATATATAAGGTAAATGAATCATTAATTTATAAGAAGTAGTCCAAATAATTCTGTGTGTATTTGAAGGGAAACTTGAACAAGTATATGATCTAGTACATATATACTTCATATAAACACACAGACACATTCATCATATGTACCCTCTAACGCACATACACTTAAGTTATACTAATTACCAGTAAATAATTAAAATAATAAAAAGAAGTTATGTATTATATGCATAATATATGAGATAATATTTTCCAGTGAAGAAATGTTACTAAATACCGAATTAGTATTATTTTCATACAGAAATATTTTGTCAACAATGAATGTCTCTGATATGAATGATTTTAATATCACATTATGAGATTGTTAATTTTTTATTTGAATAAATAAATGTATACATATATATTACTTAAAAATTACCATCATCTTTCATAGTGAGCAAATTCCAGTTTATTCTCTTGCTGTGAATTTAATACATCTAAGTAAAATTGCTAAGATTTCATTTCAATTAAGAAGAGATTCTACCATATTTCCATTTCCCTCTTTCCACCTAAAGGAGAGACAATGTGTAGGCTGCTCAATTACTGAAATTAATCTTTGGTATATCACAATGGGATCTATATTATCAAAGTTCACAGGTCTCTCTTCTACAGACAAGACCAGTCAAGTAACTAATATAGGTTACTTACTCATTCATAGTGAGAGGTGTAGCCAGCTGGACTTCCTGGGTGGAGTGGTGACTTGGAGAACTTTTATGTCTAGCTAGAGGATTGTAAACGCACCAACCAGCACTCTGTAAAAATGCACCAATCAGCACTCTGTGTCTAGCTAAAGGTTTGTAAACACACCAATCAGCAGTCTGTAAAAACGCACCAATCAGCACTCTGTAAAATGGACCAATCAGCAGGATGTAGGCGGGGCCAAATAAGGAAATAAAAGCTGGCCACCCAAGCCAGCAGCAGCAACCCGCTCGAGTCTTCTTCCACACTGTGGAAGCTTTGTTCTTTTGCTCTTCACAATAAATCTTGCTGCTGCTCACTCTTTGGGTCTGCACTACCTTTATGAGCTGTAACACTCACTGCAAAGTTCTGCAGCTTCACTCCTGAAGTCAGCGCGACCATGAACCCATCAGGAGGAACAAACAACTCCGGACGAACCACCTTTAAGAACTGTAACACTCACTGTGAGGGTCTGTGGCTTCATTCTTGAAGTCAGCGAGACCAAGAACCCACTAGAAGCAATAAATTCCGGACACATTTTGGTGACAACAAAGGGACAATCACCAAGCAGTGAGTACCATCGGACCCCTTTCGCTTAATATTCTGTCCTATTTTTCCTTAGAATTCGGGGGGCTAAATACTGGGCACCTATTGGCCAGTTAAAAGTGACTAACACGGCTGCTGCACTAAAGACACGGGTGTCAGGCTTTCTGGGAAAGGGCTCTCTAACAACCTCCGACTCTTCGGATTTGGGAGTGTTGGTTTGCCTGGAACCAGCTCCTGCTTTTCCTGTACTTCTGGGCTGAGCCGAGGGTCGACAGAGAGGAAAGCCATTCAGCTCCAGGGTCCTGACAACAAGTTGGTTGACCCTGCGGCCATGAGCGGAACTCTCAAAGTCATGTCACCCAAGCAAGACTTGCCCGTCTATCCTATCTTTCCTGACCCTTGCCTCCTTGGGTCCTAGCACCTGTCAGACAAACTTCCTCTCGCCTCTTTCCTCCAAGGCTAGTCCTGCTTCTAAAAACCACTCCCTGTCTCTGGTGCTTTTCTAATTTCTCCTATAAGAATGATTTCTAGTATAAACTTCAGGACTCTGTTACCTTCTTTAGGCACCTGGGCTCACCAATCAGAAAGACATAATTTTTACTCAAAGCCCCGTCAGGGTCGGGGACTATCTGGAATTTTAGGATCCCTTCTCAGACTAGCAGGCCTAACAAAAGCTATTCCTGAAGCTAGGATATGGGGAGCTTCAGAAATGATATCCTTCCTATTCAAGTGAGGACAAAAGGTGTCACTCTTCCAACCCTGGAGATCCCTTCCCTCCCTCAGGGTATGGCCCTCCACTTCATTTTTGGGGCATAACATCTTTATAGGAGACGAGTAAAGTCCCAATACTAACAGGAGAATGCTTAGGACTCTAACAGGTTTTCAAGAATGTGTTGGTAAGGGCCACTAAATCTGATTTTTCTGGGTCCTCTTTGTGGTCTAGGAGGACAGGCAAGGGTGCAGGTTTTCAAGAATGCATTGGTAAGGGCCACTAAATCTGACCTTCCTTGGTCCTCCTTGTGGTCCAGGAGGAAAACTATGTTTCTGCTGCTGCATCGGTGAGTGTAACTATTCTGACCAGCAGGGTCCAGGGACTGTTGCGGGTTCTTGGGCAAGAGGTATTTCTGCTGCTGTGTCAGTGAGTGCAACTATTCTGATCAGCAGGGTCCAGGGACCATTGCATGTTCTTGGGCAAGAGGTGTTTCTGCTGCTGCGTCGGTGAGTGCAACTATTATGATCAGCAGGGTCCAGGGACCGTTGTGGATTCTTGGGTTGGGGGAAAACAAACAAACCAAAACTGTGGGTGGTTTTGTCTTTCAGATGGGAAACACTCAGGCATCAACAGACTCACCCTTGAAATGCAACCTAAGCCATTGTGACCAATTTGACCTGCAAACCCTGAAAAAGAGGTGGCTCATTTTTTTCTGCACTACGGCCTGGCCCCAATATTCTCTCTCTGATGGGGAAAAATGGCCACCTGAGGGAAGTATAAATTACAATACTATCCTGAAGCTTGGACCGTTTCTGTAAGAGGGAAGGCAAATGGAGTGAAATACATTATGTCCAAGCTTTCTTTTCATTGAAGGAGAATACACAACTATGCAAAGCTTGCAATTTACATCCCACAGGAGGACCTCTCTATGCTAGCCTCCCTATAGCTCCCCTTCCTATTAATAATGAGCCTCCTCTAATCTCCCCTGCCCAGACAGAAATAAGCAAAGAAATCTCCAAAGGACCACAAAAACCCCCAGACTATCGGTTATGTCCACTTCCCTTCAAGCTGTAATGGCAGGGGAATTTGGCCCAACCTAGGTACATGTCCCCTTTTCCCTCTCCGATTTAAAGCAGATCAAGGCAGACCTGGGGAAGTTTTCAGATGATCCTGATAGGTACAAAAATGTCCCACAGGGTCTAGGGCAAACCTTCTATCTCACTTGGAGAGATGTCATGCTATTGTTAGATCAAACCCTGGCCTTTAATGAAAAGAATACAGCTTTAGCTGCAGCCCGAGAGTTTGGAGATACCTGGTATCTTAGTCAAGAAAATGATAGAATGACAGCCTAAGAAAGGGACAAATTCCCTACTGGTCAGCAAGCCATCCCCAGTATGGATCCCCACTGGGACCTTGACTCAGATCATGGGGACTGGAGTCATAAACATCTGCTGACCTGTGTTCTAGAAGGACTAAGGAGAATTAGGAAAAAGCCCATGAATTCTTCAATGATGTCCACCGTAACTCAGGGAAAGGAAGAAAATCCTTCTGCCTTCCTCGAGTGGCTATGGGAGGCCTTAAGAAAATATACTCCCCTGTTACCCAACTCACTAGAGGGTCAATTGATTCTAAAAGATAAGTTTATTACCCAATCAGCCACGAATATCAGAAGAAAGCTCCAAAAGTGAGCCCTGGGCCCTGAACAAAATCTGGAGGCATTATTAAACCTGGCAACCTTGGTGTTCTATAATAGGGACCAAGAGGAACAGGCCAAAAAGGAAAAGTGAGATCAGAGAAAGGCCGCAGTCTTAGTCATGGCCCTCAGACAAACAAACCTTGCTGGTTCAGAGAGGACAGAAAATGGAGCAGGCCAATCACCTGGTGGGGCTTGTTATCAGTGTGGTTTGCAAGGACACTTTACAAAAGATTGTCCAATGAGAAACAAGCTGCCCCCTCGCCCATGTCCACTATACCAAGGAAATCACTGGAAGGTGCACTGCCCCAGAGGACAAAGGTTCTCTGGGCCAGAAGCCCCCAGCCAGATGATCTAACAACAGGACTGAGGGTGCCCAGGGCAAGCACCAGCTCATGTCATCACCCTCACTGAGCCCTGGGTACGTTTAACCATTGAGGGCCAGGAAATTGACTTCCTCCTGGACACTGGCGCGGCCTTCTCAGTGTTAATCTTCTGTCCCAGACAACTGTCCTCAAGGTCCATTACCAACTGAGGAATCCTGGGACAGCCTGTAACCAAGTATTTCTCCCACTTCCTCAGTTGTAATTGGGAGATTTTGCTCTTTTCACATGCCTTTCTTGTTATGCCTAAAAGTCCCATACCCTTATTAGGGAGGGATATAATAGCCAAAGCTGGAGCTATTATCTACGTGAATATGGGGAACAAGTTACACATTTATTGTCCCCTGCTTGAGGAGGGAAGCAACCCTGAAGTCTGGGCATTGGAAGGAACAAACTCAAGCTCCAGCCTTAGGCCTTCTCACAGGACAAAACTTGTCTTTATACGACACAGAAAGAGCAGGAATAGCTCTTGGGGTCCTTAATCAGACTCGTGGGACAACCCCACAACCAGTGGCATACCTAAGTAAGGAAATTTATATACTAGCAAAAGGCTGGCCTCACTGTTTATGGGTAGTTGCGATGGTGGCTGTCGTAGTGTCAGAGGCTATCAAAATAATACAAGGAAAGGATCTCACTGTCTGGACTACTCATGATGTAAATGGCATACTAGGTGCCAAAGGAAGTTTATGGCTATCAGACAACTGCCTACTTAGATACCAGGCATTACTCCTTGAGGGACCTGTGCTTCAAATATGCATGTGTGCAGCCCTCGACCCTGCCACTTTTCTCCCAAAGGATGGGGAACCAATCGAGCATGACTGCCAACAAATTATAGTCCAGACTTCTGCTGCTCGAGAGGATCTTTTAGAAGTCCCCTTAGCTAATCCTGACCTTAACCTATATACCGATGGAAGTTCATTTGTGGAGAATGGGGTATGAAGGGCAGGTTATGTCATAGTTAGTGATGTAACAGTACTTGAAAGTAAGCCTCTTCCCCCAAGGACCATTGCCCAGTTACCAGAACTAGTGGCACTTACCCAAGCCTTAGAACTGGGAAAGGGAAGAAGAATAAATGTGTATACAGATAGCAAGTATGCTTATCTAATCCTACATGCCCATGCTGCAATATGGAAAGAAAGGGAGTTCCTAACCTCTGGGGGAACCCCTATTAAATACCAGAAGGAAATCATGGAGTTATTGCATGCAGTGCAAAAATCCAAGGAGGTGGCAGTCTTACGCTGCCAAAGCCTTCAAAAAGGGGAAGGAGAAGGGAGAACAGCAGCTTAAGTGGCTGGCAGAGGCAGGGAAAGACCAGCAGAAATGAAAGAGAGAAAGAGACAGAAAGTCAGAGAGAGAGAGGAAGAGACAGAGAGAAAAAGAGAGAAAGAAAGAGAGAGAAAGACAGGAAGTCAAAGAGAAGGAGACAGAGAGAGGAAGAGAGAAAAAAAGGCAGAAAGTCAAAGAGAGACAGAGAGAGAGAGAGGAAAAGACAGAGAGACAGAAAGTCAGAGAAAGAGAGAGGAAAGACAGAGAGAAGGAAAGAGAGAGAAAGAGACAGATAATCGACAGAGAGAGAGAGAGATAGAAGTAGTAAAGAAAAAACAGTGCACCCTATTTCTTTAAAAGCCAGGGTAAATTTGAAACCTATAATTGATAATTGAAGGTCTTCTCCATAACCCTCTAACACTCCAATACCACCTTGTTATCATTGTAGACACAAATTCTAAGTTAATATGGACTGAACGAGGTTTTATTAATAGCAAAGAAAAATTAAAATGCCAAACTTACAAGGTTTTCAACAAAAGTAAAGTTTGCTAAAAGTTAACAGTGTAACATGTATTATGCTAATACCACACATTCTCAAAGGATTTCTCAGACAGTTTGCAAGAAGTAACGAAATCTATGCTTACTCTACAATCCCAAATAGACTCTTTGGCATCAGTGCCTCTCCAGAACCGTCAAGGCCTAGACCTCTTCACTGCTGAGAAAGGAGGATGATGCACCTTCTTAGGGGAAGAGTGTTCTTTTTACACTAACCAGTCAGGGATAGTATGAGATGCTGCCTGGCATTTACAGGAAAAGGCTTCTGAAAACAGACGACGCCTTTCAAACTCTTATACCAACCTCCGGAGTTGGGCGACATGGCTTCACCCCTTTCTAGGTCCTGTGACAGCCATCTTGCTATTACTTGCCTTTGGGCCTGTATTTTTAAACTCCTTGTCAAATTTGTTTCCTCTAGGATCGAGGCCATCAAGCTACAGATGGTCTTACAAATGGAACCCCAAATGAACTCAACTAACAACTTCTACCAAGTACCCCTGGACCAATGGGCTGGCCCTTTCACTGGCCTAAAGAATTCCCCTCTGGAGGACACTACAACTGCAGGGGCCCTTATTCACCACTATCCAGCAGGAAGTAGCTAAAGCGGTCATCGCCCAATTCCCGACAACAGTTGGGGTGTCCTGTTTAGATGGGAGATTGAGAGGTGAAGCCAGTTGGACTTCCTGGGTTGAGTGGGGACTTGCAGAACTTTTATGTCTAGCTAGAGGATTGTAAATGCACCAATCAGCACTCTGTAAAAACGCACCAATCAGCACTCTGTGTCTAGCTAAAGGTTTGTAAACACACCAGTCGGCACTCTGTAAAAATGAACCAATCAGCACTCTGTAAAATGGACCAATCAGCAGGATGTAGCGGGGCCAAATAAGGGAATAAAAGCTGGCCACCTGAGCCAGCAGCAGCAACCCACTTGGGTCCCCTTCCACACTGTGGAAACTTCGTTCCTTCACTCTTCACAATAAATCTTGCTGCTGCTCACTCTTTGGGTCTGCACTACCTTTATGAGCTGTAACACTCACTGTGAAGGTTTGCGGCTTCACTCCTGAAGTCAGCGAGACCACAAACCCACTGGGAGGAACAAACAACTCTGGATGCGCCACCTTTAAGAACTGTAACATTCACTGCGAGTGTCCGTGGCTTCATTCTTGAAGTCAGCAAGACCAAGAACCCACCGGAAGGAATACATTCCAGACACAATAGCACTAATGAGCTAATCATATTATTTTCTACTTATGGTAGTGGGAACTGACATAATATATTTACATATTCAGAATCACAGTTGCTCTTGCAGTATGAACACAAGATATTTACATTGCATTAAAATATATATTATCACATTTTGTTTGCTAACATTTTATTGACTCTGTTTTTGCACCCATACTCATAGGTGAAATGTCATGTATATAGAATTTATTTTCCATGCTAATCTTGTCTAAATCAAACATATATTAGCTTTATAAAACAAGGGAATATTTGGCATTCTATTCTCTGCAAACGTTCAAATTTTTAGAATGGAACAATAGGGACAATAAAGAGTAATAGATTTAGAAATGCATACTTGAAATAAAAGGAATTTATTGAGTTAATGACTTAAGCCCCCAACACAAGAATACTTTGTAAAGACTAATATTTTAATTCCAAAGAAAACCCAAGAAAGAAATTACCAAGAAATAAGAATATAAACAGATTTCAATAAACTAGAACTCTAAGAAACAATATTTAAGTGTAATAAAATGAAACACATGTTCTTTGAAAAGTCTCAGTAAATAGATACATCCTAAGAGCATTGAAAATATGATAAAAAAAGGAGTGAGACATAAGTAGTCACAGAAATGAACAGTAAAACATAATTATACCTACAATAAAACTGAAGTAATAAGAAAGTTTTCAGGAAGTTCTGTGAAAATAAATTTGAAAACTGGGTGAAATCCAGAACTTCTTTGACAAAAATATAGCCTTAAACTCATTCAGAAGATTTTGAAAGCACAAATGGTTCTACCATTATTAAAGACATGGAATCACACAGATATGCCTCCACACACAAACATAGAGACAAACACACACACAAAATTTATACAGTTGTTTAAGGTTTATACTGCTTATTTTTGTTTCTGCTAATGTTGACATATATTTTGTTTCATTGCATGTTTTAATTTTTGTATTATGAACTTATTATTTTTCACTGGATGTTTTCTGTGCAAACTAGCTGGAGAGTTTCTTCTTCAGACCAATATTGTATTTGCTTTGTCAGATGCATCAGAGATAAGTCCTAAAGCAATTCTTGTTAGGGTTTCCTGAACTTTGAGAATGGCATACAGCTGACCTGGAAAACTAGGTGAGGCCAGGTGCCTGTGTAAACATTTTTAGAAAGGACCTCTGTATTTTAAGTTGCAGAATCAAATTATAAATAGGCAATAAATATATTAAATGTTCCAATGGGTTGTTTATTTTTTCTAGTTCACCTTTTTACTGAATATATAACCCTTCTATGATCTTTTTATTGCTGGATTATTCAAGTAATATGAGTTCACTCTTTAAATCAGTAGGGTGCTGGATGAAGCTAGCTCACACTAGCTTGTGTCAGCTGACGGTCCACATCTCTCCCCAATTCCTAGTTCATGATATCACATTGGTAGCCTGAAATCAGCCATAGTAATGTTATTGTCACCACAGAAATTAGCAGATGCTAGATATCAGTACTTTCCTCCTCCCCTAGATACCCTATTATTAAACCAGCAAACAACATCTTCGACCCAATGTGAAGGAAGATCTAAAATTACGAATTTTCCAGGAGATATTTTTTCTTACATAGCCTCCAAGATGAAGCAGACAAGTTGCTTTGTTATCACTCCAGGAATGTGAGTGGATCACTCTTGTCCACACTTTCATTTAAGTTGCAGCCTTGAATTGCCCAGGCTTCATGAAGAAGTTATCACCCGTTGTCTATTGTCAACACAAATCCACATTTCTTCTCCTTGCATAATTATTAAATCCCAGTCCTCTTGGACATTCCTCTCGAATAACAAGTTACCCTAAGAACAACCAAGTCATCCGTTTCAGCTAATGACTCTGTTTACCAATTTCTTCTTTGATTTTGACCTTTGGGGATTCATTTTCAAAATTAACTATGTAATTTCAAATTAATATTAATATGTTGCTACTAGCATTTTCCAGGATTTTGATAACAAGAAGGTTTTCATATTATCTAGTCCACAACATTGCCATAAACAGTAGCTTTCATCCATCTTTAAATTATAAAAGTTTTGATAATATTTTTAAAGTGTGGAAAATAAAAAGCAATTTAATAAATGAAACTCTACTGTAATTTTTATTTTGAAATTAGGACTCCCATACTTCATTACATGTTAGGTACCCAAAAGCTGTTATGAATTTATTTGAGCATTAAAACCACTATGCTGTGCAAATTTGAGATGCATTTATCAGCCTTATTGCTTTTTTGTTTATTAAATTTCACTAGCTAAGCTTCGGAAAGTTTTGCTTTCACTTTTGCATATGAAACTTCTACAGAGCAAACATGACAGTCATAATATTTTGCAATTACATTTAGTGTTCACTGCAGTATAAGCAAATTTCCACTTCTGGATTCATAATGCTTCACAAAAAGATTGTACCATGATTCATTTCACTCTTTCAATACCGTTGGTTATCTCAGTTGCTTTCAAGTTTTTAATACCACAAAAAACTAAACCAAAGCAAACTTATGCATATAAACTCCATATTTGGATCATTTCTTAGAAATTTTTTTAGAAATGATTTTCATATTGATTTATAAATACGATAATGGGAGCCTCTCTGGCTTTTTAGAAGTAGCAAATTACTAGTAGAAATAAAATCACATGTCTTTATCAGTCAAAGTTACTAGGGCTTCCTCTTTTTTACTATTTACTTATTTGAAAAAATTTATGCTTTCTAGCTTCATTTTTTAATTATTATTATACTTTAAGTTCTGGGATACACATGCAGAACGTGCAGGTTTGTTACATAGGTATACATGTACCATAGTGGTTTGCTGCCCCCATCAACCAGTCATCTACATTAGGTATTTCTCCTAATACTATCCCTCCCCTAGGTCCCCACACCCCAACAGGCCCCAGTGTGTGATGTTCCCCACCCTGTGTCCATGTGTTCTCATTGTTCTACTCTCACTTATGAGTGAGAACATGTGGTGTTTGATTTTTCTATTCCTGTGTTAGTTTGCTGAGAATGATGGTTTCCAGCTTCATCCACATCTCTGCAAAAAACATGAACTCATTGTTCTTTTATGGCTGCATAGTATTCCATGGTGTATATGTGCCACATCTTCTTTATTCAGTCTCTCATTGATGGGCATTTGGGTTGGTTCAAAGTTTCTGGTATTGTGAATAGTGCTGCAATAAACATATGTGTGCACATGTCTTTACAGTAGAATGATTTATAATCCTTTGGGAATATACCCAGTAAAGGGATTGCTGTGTCAAATGGTATTTCTGGTTCTAGATCCCTGAGGAATCACCACACTGTCTTCCACAATGGTTGAACTAATTTACACTCCCACCAGCGATGTAAAAGCCTTCCTATTTCTTCACATCCCCTCCAGCATCTGTTGTTTCCTGAGTTTTTAATGACCACCATTCTAACTGGCATGAGATGGTATCTTGTTGTGGTTATTATTTGTATGTCTTTGATGACCACTGATGATAAGCAGGGGTTGCAATCCCAGTCTCTGATAAAACAGACTTTAACCCAACAAAGGTAAAAAAGACAAAGGCCATTACTTAATGGTAAAGGGATCAATGTAACAAGAAGAGCTAACTATCCTAAATACATATGCACCCAATTCAGGACGACCCAGATCCATAAAGTAAGTCCTTAGAGACTACAAAGATACTTAGACTCCCACACAATAATAGTGGGAGACTTTAACACTCCACTGTCAATATTAGACAGATCAACAAGGCAGAAAATTAACAACGATATTCAGGATTTGAACTCAGCTCCGGACCAAGCCGACCTAACAGACATCTACAGAACTCTCTACCCCAAATCAACAGAATATACATTTTTCTCAGCACATCACAGCTATTTTAAAACAGCCCACATAAATTAGAAGTAAAACACTCCTCAGCAAATGCAAAAGAACAGAAATCATAACAAACAGTTTCTCAGACCACAGCGCAATCAATTTAGAACTCAGGATTAAGAAACTCACTCAAAACCGCACAACTACATGAAAACTGAACAACCTGCTCCCGAATGACTACTGGGTAAATAACGAAATTAAGGCAGAAATAAATACGTTGTTTGAAACTAATGAGAACAAAGACACAACGTACCAGAATCTATGGGACACACCTAAAGCAGTGTTCAGAGGGAAATTTACAGCACTAAATGCCCACAGGAGAATGCAGGAAAGATCTAAAATCGACATCCTAACATCACAATTAAAAGAACTAGAGAAGTAAGAGCAAACAAATTCAAGAGTTTGCAGTAGACAAGAAATAACTAAGATCAGAGCAAAACTGAAAGAGATAGAGACACAAAAAACCCTTCAAAAAAATCAATGAATCCAGGATCTGGTTTTTTGAAAAGATTAACAAAATAGGTAGAATGTTAGCCAGACTAATAGAGGAGAAAAGAGAGGAGAATCAAATAGACACAATAAAAATGATAAAGGGGATATCACCACGGATACCACAGAAATACAAACTACCATCAAAGAATACTATAAACACCTCTACGCAAATAAACTAGAAAATCTAGAAGAAATGGATAAATTCCTGGAGACATATACCCTCCCAAGACTAAACCAGGAAGAAGTCGAATCCCTGAATAGACCAATAACAAGTCCTGAAATTGGGGCAGTAATTAATAGCCTACCAACCGAAAAAAAGCCCAGGACCAAACAAATTCACAGCCGAATTCTACCAGAGGTACAACGAGGAGCTGGTACCATGCCTTCTGAAACTATTCCAGACTATAGAAAAAGAGGGACTCCTCCCTAACTCATTTTATGAGGCCAGCATCATCCTGACAGTAAAGCCTGGGAGAGACACAAGAAAAACAGAAAATTTCATGCCAATATCCCTGATGAACATCAGCGCAAAAATTCTCAATAAAATACTGGCAACCCGAATCCAGCAGCACATCAAAAAGCTTATCCGCCACGATCAAGTCAGCTTCATCCCTGGGATGCAAGGCTGGTTCAACTTACACAAATCAATAAACATAATCCATCACATAAATAAAACGATGACAAAAACCACACGATTATCTCAATAGATGCAGAAAAGGCTATCGATAAAATTCAACACCCCATCATGCTAAAAACTATCAATAAACGAGGTTTTGATGGGACTTATTTCAAAGTAATAAGGGCATTTATTTACGACAAACCCACAGCCAATATCATACTGAACAGGCAAAAGCTGGAAGCATTCTTTGAAAACTGGCATAAGACAAGGATGTCCCGTGTCACCACTCCTATTCAACATAGTATTGGAAGTTCTGGCCAGGGCAATGAGGCAAGAGAAAGAAATAAAAGATATTCAAATAGGAAGAGAGGAAGTCATATTGTCTTTGTTTTCAGATGACATGATTGTATATTTAGTAAACCCCATCGTCTCAGCCCAAAATCTCCATAAGCTGATAAGCAACTTGAGCTAAGTGTCAGGATACAAAATCAATGTGCAAAAATCACAAGCATTCCTATACACCAATAATAGACAAAGAAAGAGCCAAATCATGAGTGAAATTCCATTCACAATTGCTACAAAGAAAATAAAATACCTAGGAATACAATTTACAGGGGATGTGAAGGACTTTTTCAAGGAGAAATATGAACCACTGATCAAGGAATTAAGATGCAAACAAATGGAAAAACATTCCATGCTCATGGATAGGAAGAATCAATATTGTGAAAATGGCCATACTGCCCAAATTAATTTATAGATTCAATGCCTATCCATCAAGCTACCAATGACTTTCTTCACAGAATTAGAAAAAACTACTTTAAATTTCATATAGAACCAAAAAAGAGTCTGTATAGCCAAGACAATCCTAAGCAAAAAGAACAAAGCTGGAGGCATCATGCCACCTGACTTCAAACTATGCTACAAGGCTACAGTAACCAAAACAACATGGTACTGGTACCAAAACAGATATATAGACCAATGGAACAGAACGGAGGCCTCAGAAGTAATGCCACACATCTACAACCATCTGATATTTGACAAGCCTGACAAAAACAAACAATGGGGAAATGATTCCTTATTTAATAAATGGTGTTGGAAAATTGACTAGCCATGTGCAGACAACTGAAACTGGATCCCTTCCTTATACCTTATACAAAAATTAACTCAAGATGGATTAAACACTTAAACGTAAGACCTAAAACCATAAAAACCCTAGAAGAAAACCTAGGCAATACCATTCAGGATGTAGGCATGGGCAAAAACTTCGTAAGTAAAACACCAAAAGCAATGGCAACAAAAGTCAAAATTGACAAATGGGATCTAAATAAAGGGCTTCTGCACAGCAAAAGAAACTATCATCAGAGTGAAGAGATGACCTACAGAATAGGAGAAGATTTTTGCAATCTATCCCTCTGACAAAGGGCTAATATCCAGAACCTACAAGGAACTTAAACAAATTTACAAGAAAAGCACAAACAACCCCCTAAAAACAGTGGGCAAAGTATATGAAAAGACACTTCTTAAAAGAACACATTTATGCGACCAACAAACATGAAATAAAGCTCTTTTTTATTTTTGAAAGAGAAAATTCTATTGAGTCTTTTATTGTCAGAGAGTACATAAGATAAACTCCCTTTTATTTTCAAGTCCAACTCTGGTTTATGCTCTCTTGGTAAAAATAAACTCTAACATTTGCAGAAAGCATTTTCCCCCATCTCTAGAACAACATGGCAAATGCAAATCGAAGTAATTGAAGCTGAGAGCACAAAAAGAGAGCTTCCTAGGGGAAGATAGCTGTCTGAAAAAGGATTAAGTTGCCATTTCCTAAGGAGAAGAGTGGAAGAACAGATCATTTTCACCCTAGACGAGAATAAGGGAGATTTCCCCGCCTTTTGATTTTTTAAAGTTGATGTGTACCAGGTATGAGAGGCATGTTTCAGAAAAAAATGACTTCCATTGAACTATGAGTTCAGAAAAATGTCATTTAAGGCCCTTTAATGGCATGGTTTTATAAATACAGAAACTGCAGGGGCCCAATGATTCCATTGTAATTGTAACTTGTTTGATCACATGGTCACAATAGCCCATAATGTCCATCTCTGTGCCATATAGTACATTCCAACAAGAACAGAAAGTGACTGCAGACTAGAATCAATCCTCCCAAGGACTCTCCCTCAGTCTGGCTAATTCCTTCATTCTTCAGCTAGCCCCAGATCAGATTTTGTATTTCCATAAAGCTCAGAAGTGACACTGTTCTTTCTGGTCTGAGGACTACACTTTTGATGAACAAGGCTGCCATATTTCTGTCATTTGACTACTATAGAGATGCTAGTGAACTCCAGAAATTTAAGCTGTGCTGGGACCATTAAAAGAGACCATTAAAATGGGGAGAAAACACTTAATCTAATTTTTCTTGTATGATTAACATCTGTTATAACTGCAGGTATTAGAGTATGGGTGTTCAAACCAATATCAAAATTTTGTGGAAACAGTCCATCCTACCTTGAGATTCAGCCTTTTCTATATATCAATATTCCTATTAAATGTTCAGATTACTTAATATGGTATAGAATGGATTGATTATTCATAGGGATTATTTGGATCATACTAAATCATCAAATGACCAACTGCCTATTCTTATTGCTATGGAAACATTTCAGTTAACTAAATAATTTAT
Organism: Homo sapiens; assembly: GCF_000001405.40. Taxonomy (NCBI): domain Eukaryota; kingdom Metazoa; phylum Chordata; class Mammalia; order Primates; family Hominidae; genus Homo; species Homo sapiens. Next base: position 40,686,054 of record NC_000002.12, read on the forward strand.
TATTGAGTGAGTACTCTTAACACATCATGTTAGGTATTACAAAGGCAAACAACATAAACTCTTCAGAGACACAGAACTCATGAACAGTCTATCAATTATCTGTTACTGCATAACAAGTCACCTTAATTCTCAGTGGCTTAAAACAATAAGCATTTATTGTGTTCATAATTTAGAAATAGATCATTTAGACCACACTCAGTTGAGCAATTCTTCTAATTGAAGCTGACTCCATGAGGATCAGTGGTCAGCCGCAACTTGTTCAAGTTGCTCTGCTTCTGGGGGTTAGCTGGATATCACCTAGAGCAATGAGAACCATTGAACTACGTATCTCACCTTCTAAGAGTGCCCTGGCTCATTTACATTATACTTCAACAGTGTGTCAAGAGAGAAAAAGGAAATGCAAAGTCCTCTTGAAGCCTGGACTCAGAAATGGCCCACATTCTTTAGGCCAAAGCAAGCCAGATGGCCAGTGCAGATTCAAGTTATGGAGAAAGAGGTTCCACTCATCGATAAGAGGATCTGTGAAGTTACATGGCGAAGAAGAGAAAAAAAGAATTATTATAGTCATTTTTATAAACAATCTATTATAAATAAATTTTAGACTTTGTTGCAAGCCCTGAAGACTTGCTAAATCTCTTTGTGGCATATCTCTGAGACATGCAGAAAAGCCTTGTTTAGCCTGCTAAATTGGGTAAACAATTGTCCTTAGAAATTCACTGTGAGAAAGTTGATGAAACAGCTTATATCTTGAGACTAATATAAACGATTAGCTAGACAAACTTGGATTAACTTTTCTGAATAAAATGTGTGACAACGTGATTATGGGTAAAAACGAGGATCAGCTGGTTTCCCATCTGCCAAGAAAACATGCCATAAGAATGTATTCAATTTCAATATTAGCTAATTGACTACTGCTATTCAAATTCCCATTTGACTAACTCACACAGTGAACTCGATTTTTTTAAAAATTGTTGATTAATGATTCTTACTAATATGCTATTAAATTAGCTACACTTGAGTTAGGGATTGACTATTGGTTATTTATACAACAAAGGAAGGAGGAAGTCGTCTTCAGTTTCTATACTTTAGGAGTGAAAAGCCTGCAAAAATGTATGAAACAAAAAAAAATATATGTTTTTGAAGAATACAACAATTCTCGTTAAGCTTTCTAGTGGTAATATTGAATTAGAAGAAACATTTCTGGATTTTGCTATTAACATCTAACTTAATTACATAAGCTTATTTGGAATATTTTATGTGGAGGGAGATAAGACTATTCAAAGAGAAATTGCTTAAATATACTTGCAAATGCAGCGTTGTGTAAGTTCAAACCACATTATTTTCTCTCTTAGGACAGCTGAAGCAAGCATGAAACTAACAGCACAGATTGCCAATTGTTAAAGAAATAAAATTCTTGTAATAGAAAATATGAAAAATACTAAAGAATATATGTGCTTACACAGTGGGCCCAATTAAAACCCTATAATTTGATTTCCCGGGGGTATAAATAAAACACATTGTTCCACTGAAGTTTACATATTTTGCCCTTGTCTTTTTCTAGACCTTAGAGAGATGATGACCTTTTTTTAACCATATTAAAGATAGTTTCCTAAAATAGGTAGATGTAAATTTTTATGTCTGGTTGAAAGGGCACCACTCACAGAGTCTGCATGTCACAGTGGGGCCAGTTGCATATTGGTGCTGAGTCCTTGGCTGAGAGAAGTTACAGATGTTGGCATCAACACACTGAGCTTACCTACTCTGGAGATGCTATTTATCTTTACAGAGGCCCCTCAAGGGCATGTGTCTGTTAAACGCAGGCCTGATTCTCCTATGTTTAGATTGCATTCGTCAGTTATTTTCATTTTGTAGCTATTAACCCAACAAATTAATAATTAAACATGTAAGCTTTAAAAGTTACTTGAAAAGCTTATGTTGATGAATTGTTATATAGTCTATGCTTCTTTCCATCTGTTCTCTTCTTGCTCCTTTGGATGATTTGCAATGGAAAGCCAAGCAGTATGTCTGAATATATTTTCTCACCGTCTGACCACAATCCTTACCAATCCTGAAAATCGAATGATTCTTTAAGATCCTGAGAAATTTAGAAGTGTTGAATTGAGTTTTATGTTGAGATTTGGTATTTGCTCCCCTCACACAATATCATCACCCTCAATTTTCAGAAGTTTTAACTTCTTGGCTAATCTGATACTTTAAAAGCTTGCAGAATTATATTCTACTCAGTCATTTTTATTATTTCTTTATATAAAAATATTCCTTTCACAGGGGTGATTGGATCAGCAGAAAGGGATAACTGACATTATCCCTTGATAGACTCAATTGAGTAAAAATCAAATCATTCTAATTACAGGGTGCCAATCAACCTTAGAATGCCCTTGAGTTAACATGAGTAAAATACTGACCAAGGATACTAAAATGGAACAAGGGCTATCAGATTAAGGCAAGATTTTTTTTTTTTTTTTTTTGCATTCTGTGATTACCTGGCTTGAACATTTAAAATAAAGGACCCACTTATTTAATGAAATTACTGAATTCCAAAAGAGTTTTTGTAAACCACATACCTTTTAAACCATTATTATTTTTTAAATTTAGCTGTATTTTAAAACAACAAAGGAAAAGATGTTGATCTCTGAATGTGATAAGATTATACAAACAAAATGCAGAACATATATTTAAAAAGAAATAATAACACTTTGATAATATGTTGACTATAATTCTCAAAAAGATGCTCATATTCACAAGAATAGCTGTGGTAATAATTATGATTCTTAAAAATGAAACAAGACTAAAATACTGAAAACTAACCATTGTATAAGAGAGGGAACTCTGACTGTTTTATGTATTTTGTTCCCAAAGTAGAGATAGTAATCTTTAAGACTTTAGGGATTTGAGGAAATTTGTTACCAATCTCAAGCGAATCTTTTATTTTGTATAATTTTGTAGGGTATAAGTGTAACCTTGTTCCATGGATATATTGCATAGTGGTTAAGGTAGTGGTGAAGTCAGAGCTTTTAATGTATCCATCACCAGAATAACATGCACTGTACCCATTAAGTTATTACTCATCCCCCACCTCCTCTTAATCCCCTTTGAAGTCTCCAGTGTCTATTATTCCACGCTTTATGTCCCTGTGCACATGTTATTTAGCTCACAGTTGTGAGAACAAGCAGTATTTGTCTTTCTGTGTTTGAGTTGTTTCACTTAAGATAATGGCCTCTAATTCTATCCATGTTGTTGCAAAAGACATGATTTCATTGTTATAAAAGGTTGAATAGTATTCCATTGAGTATATATACCACATTTCCTTTATCCAATCATGGTTGATGGACACTTAGTTTGATTCTGTATCTTTGCTATTGTGTATAATGCTGCGATAAACACTTTAGATTGTATATCTATCTAAACAATGAACATAGTGAAAAGAGTAAGTGTTTAGGGCTCAATAAGACAATTATCATAGCCTGTGACTTTAGACAATTAATCTTCCTGAACTTCAATTTCTCTATGTTTACAATAGAAAGAATGGTACCTATCTCATGGGGTTACTGTGAGGTTTGGAAAAGATAGCATATGTAAAGCACCCTGAATAGAAGCTGGGGCATAATTAGTATTAACTAACTGTTATTTTCTCTATGTTTGTGTGCATATATGTGTGTTATACATCATCAGTTTATTCTGTAGGCAACATAAGAGTTCCTGGGGCTGCTGATACTGTTCCAAGTGCCCATATTGTGCCGTTGGTCATTTGAGAACATACACTTTAAAAAATAATATGTATTTTAACCTTCCTTATATAGATAAATATTTATTGAGAGTCTAACTAGAATTAAGATACTGAGTCAAGCACTGAGGTATCCACAGATATGAATCAGACTGGAAATCTACCTTGACAGAACTCAGAGTACAGTTAGAGGCATGTGTACATATATAACTGCCATGCCAAGTGTGTGAGGACAAGCTTAAACAGTCACCAGTAGACAGCCATGGATACTCAAGAGCAGAGAAGGGGTAGTTGCCATTTGGAGTGGGGTTTGAAGGTGTCTATGTGTATGGATGAAGGCATTTGAGAGTGACCGTGAAGTAAAGCTAAAAGGTGAGCCTACATCACTGGACAAAGGGAAATTCTAGACAGTGGTCATAGCATGAGTAAAAACAAAATAATGTTTGCGGTTCAGGGACTTACAAGTATGCTTAATTGGCCCAAGTATTAGGATGCAAGTGAAAGATTAAAAGGTTAGAAAAGAGGCTAGGGTCAAAAAATAGAAAACTTTGAGTATCTGGTAGGAGTGTTGACTTTTTCTTTTGATTGACTAAATATGATACCTCTTTTTGCTTTCATTAAGCTTCCAAAACGACTCATTCAGAATAACTCAAGCTCTTTCCAGGGCCATCTTACTAACGGCATGGCAGAGTACTGACTTAGGCTGATGTTTTCTTTTCAATGCCTCTTGCATTGTTTCTCCTTTTCCCCTTGTTTTAGCTCACAGTCTTAGTCTGTGGGTACAGAGCCAAAGTTAGAGACAAATATCGACTAGCTTTCTTGGTGTCCAAATGAGTCAGGCCCGTTTGTCTCCTCTCTGGATATCTCATAAATACCATGTCAATGGAACTCATTGGCCCAGTGAAAGGTAGAAGAACAGAGATTCTGAAAGGGGTCCAGGAACATGCTGTTCTCAGCATAGTAAAAGGCAGAGAAATGTGTGTTTAGAGAAAGCAAAACAAAATGCATTCGGTGTAGTTCACCTCATTGCTTTTGTTTCCCTTCCCAGAAGTGAATGATGTGATATTTTGCCAGCTTCAAATGCCTCCAATCTGATTTTTGGTTAAAGCAAAAGCAAAAAGACATTTTTTTAACCAGAAAGAATAATGTCATATGAAAAACACTTAGCTGTTCCACATGTGGATAAAAAGCTTAATAAACGTCATTCTTTGCACATGAAAATTCAGAAGGTCACAGCGAAGGCACATAATAACCCCCCTCTGCTACAGGCGATCTCAATCTGGCTGCTTATGGAAATCACCTGGGAGGACTTCAGACCTACTGAGCTGAGGCCTCGCATCTAGATTGGGTTAGTGAATTTTAACCCATATAGGATTATAAAGTCCAGCCAGAGTTAAAAGCCATTTAACCACCCAAAGCCTCTAGTTTACCTCCTGAGAAACCTCATAGAGTCATTAAGAGTTGAGCTCACATTGCTGATTTAAAGTAAAACTAGGCCCACCTCGGTGGCTCAAGCCTGTAATCCCAGCAGTTTAGGAGGCTGAGGTGGGCAGATCACCTGAGGTCAGGAATTCGAGACTAGCCTGGCCAACATGGTGAAACCCAGTTTCCACTAAAAAAAAAAAAAAAAAAAAAAATTACCAGGTATGGTGGCACATCCCTGTAATCCCAGCTACTCACTTGGCAGGCTGAAGCAGGAGAATACTGGGAGTTGGAGGTTGCAGTGAGCTGAGATCATGCCACTGCACTCCAGCCTGGGTGACAAGAGTAAAACTCTGTCTCATAAAAAATAAAGAAAAGAAAATAAATAAAATAAACAAAACAAAAAATATCTGGGCCTAGAACATAGTTCACCAGAATCCAGGTGTTCTTTCTCCAGAGTTTGTTGTTTTCTCATACATCATGGAAAACAGGGGTTTAAAAAAATCTACTTATTTCTAACATTAAGTTCTCAGTTGAGAAAGTCAGACAACTTTTTATGTGTCAGCTACTGTTCAGCATAAAGGCAATGTAGCAGAAAACAAAACCCCTGCACTCAGTGAGTTAACACTAGTTAATGGAAAGGAGGAAAAGAGACTCACAACAAACATAAATAAGAAAGTGAGGACATAAATCAAGTGACATGGTTGTGTCTCCACATGTTAGGTGGTGAATTTGGGTAGCCTTTGTGCTAGGCACTGTGCTGGATGCTTGATGCTTGCTAGACACTGAGGACACAGACATTCATAATAATTCCCTGACACCAAATAGTTGTACTTGAAAGCTGAAGGAAAATTGCCAGGACAGAGAGACAACAAAAAAAGAGAATTTTAGACCAATATCCCTGATGAACGTCGATGCAAAAATCCTCAATAAAATACTGGCAAACTGAATCCAGCAGCACGTCAAAAAGCTTATCCACCATGATCAAGTGGGCTTCATCCCTGGGATGCAAGGCTGGTTCAATATACGCAAATCAATAAATGCAATCCAGCATGTAAACAGAACCCACGACAAAAACCACATGATTCTCTCAATAGATGCAGAAAAGGCCTTTGACAAAATTCAACAACCCCTCATGCTAAAAACTCTCAATAAATTAGGGATTGATGGGACGTATCTCAAAATAATAAGAGCTATCTAGGACAAACCCACAGCCAATATCATACTGAATGGACAAAAACTGGAAGCATTCCTTTTGAAAACTGGCACAAGACAGGGATGCCCTCTCTCACCACTCTTATTCAACATAGTGTTGGAAGTTCTGGCCAGGGCAATCAGGCAGGAGAAGGAAATAAAGGGTATTCAATTAGGAAAAGAGGAAGTCAAATTGTCCCTGTTTGCAGATGACATGATTGTATATCTAGAAAACCCCATCATCTCAGCCCAAAATCTCCTTAAGCTGATAAGCAACTTCAGCAAAGTCTCAGGATACAAAATCAATGTGCAAAAATCACAAGCATTCTTATACACCAATAACAGACAAACAGAGAGCCAAATCATGAGTGAACTCCCATTCACAATTGCTTCAAAGAGAATAAAATACCTAGGAATCCAACTTACAAGGGATGTGAAGGACCTCTTCAAGGAGAACTACAAACCACTGCTCAACGAAACAAAAGAGGATACAAACAAATGGAAGAACATTCCATGCTCATGTGTAGAAAGAATCAATATCATGAAAATAGTCATACTGCCCAAGGTAATTTATAGATTCAATGCCATCCCCATCAAGCTACCAATGACTTTCTTCACAGAATTGGAAAAAAACTACTTTAAAGTTCATACGGAACCAAAAAAGAGCCTGCATTGCCAAGTCAATCCTAAGCCAAAAGAACAAAGCTGGAGGCATCACGCTACCTGACTTCAAACTATACTACAAGGCTGCAGTAACCAAAACACCATGATACTGGTACCAAAACAGAGATATAGACCAATGGAAAAGAACAGAGCCCTCAGAAATAATGCCGCATATCTACAACTATCTGATCTTTGACAAACCTGACAAAAACGAGAAATGGGGAAAGGAATCCCTATTTAATAAATGGTGCTGGGAGAACTGGCTAGCCATATGTAGAAAGCTGAAACTGGATCCCTTCCTCACACCTTATACAAAAACTAATCTAAGATGGATTAAAGACTTAAATGTTAGACCTAAAACCATAAAAACCCTAGAAGAAAACCTAGGCAATACTCAGGACATAGGCATGGGCAAGGACTTCATGACTAAAACATTGAAAGCAATGGCAACAAAACCCAAAATAGACAAATGAGATCTAATTAAACTAAAGAGCTTCTGCACAGCAAAAGAAACTACCATCGGAGTGAACAGGCAACCTACACAATGGGAGAAAATTTTTGCAATCTACCAGTCTGACAATGGGCTAATATCCAGAATCTACAAACAACTCAAACAAATTTACAAGAAAAAAACAAACAACCCCATCAAAAAGTGGGCGAAGGACAAGAACAGACACTTCTCAAAAGAAGATATTTGTGCAGCCAAAAGACACATGAAAAAATGCTCATCATCACTAGCCATCAGAGAAATGCAAATCAAAACCACAATGAGATACCATCTCACACCAGTTAGAATGGGGATCAGTAAACAGTCAGGAAACAGCAGGTGCTGGAGAGGATGTGGAGAAATAGGAACACTTTTACACTGTTGGTGGGACTGTAAACTAGTTCAACCATTGTGGAAGTCAGTGTGGTGATTCCTCAGGGATCTAGAACTAGAAATACCATTTGACCCAGCCATCCCATTACTGGGTATATACCCAAAGGATTATAAATCATGCTGCTATAAAGACACATGCACATGTATGTTTATTGTGGCACTATTCACAATAGTAAAGACTTGGAACGAACCCAAATGTCCAACAAGGATAGACTGTATTAAGAAAATGTGGCACATATACACCATGGAATACTATGCAGCCATAAAAAATGATGAGTTCATGTCCTTTATAGGGACATGGATGAAACTGGAAACCATCATTCTCAGCAAACTATCGCAAGGACAAAAAGCCAAACACTGCATGGTCTCACTCATAGGTGGGAATTGAACAATGAGAACACATGGACACAGGAAGGGGAACATCACACACCAGAGCCTGTTGTGGGGTCGGGGGAGAGGGGAGGGATAGAATTAGGAGATATACCTAATGTAAATGATGAGTTAATGGGTGCAGCACACCAAGATGGCACATATGTAACAAACCTGCACGTTGTGCACATGTACCCTAAAACTTAAAGTATAATAAAAAAAATTGCCAGGAAATAAAGAAGAAAAGGAATTTCAAGCTGAAGGATCAGTTTGTACAATGGAATAAATTTATGAGAGAAAATAGTACCTTCAGAGGATTACAAATCAGTTCAATAGTACTGGAACAAATAATGGGAAGAGGCCACAGAAAAATAAACTTCAATCAAATAACAAATGACAATGTATGCTTTGCAAATGGATAAACTGCTTCTCTCCTATGAGAGTGTTTCTCAAACTATTCTGTGTTATGAATTATACGTGGGGAATTTTAAAAAACAAGATTACACATCTATCCCCAGTATTTCTACTCTAGTGTTTCTGATAATGTTCTGCACCATTTTGAGAAATACTGTTCTAGATGATGGCAAAGTATTAAAGAAATTTAATGAGAGCAAAGCGTGATTGGATTTTCATACTGTAAAGATTAATGCTGGAAGAAGAACAGAAGATGTATTGGGGACAGAATGATAGATTCAATAGGAAAGTTATGGCACTAGTATAAGAGGGAGATAATGAGGGCCTTACTAGGACAGCATTGGAAATGAATAGGAGTAGTAAATAAGTATTTAAAATATTTAAAAACTATAATTATCAGATGACAGGACTTAGAAACAGCATTTATGTAAGTAAGTAGCAAAGAGGGTGGAGTATACAATTGCTTGCCGGCATCTGATTTGGGAAATTGGATGGAAGGTATTGTCAGAAAAAAGATGAGTTCAGACTTAAGCATGCCCATTTCTAAATGAGGATCCACTTCACCTGGGCTGTTAGTTGTACTCATCCGTCTGAATCTCAGGAGAGAAGGATGTTCAAAGACATTGATTTGAAAATTATCAACACATATTTAACACTTGGATCTCATTAAGAAGATCAAGAAGAAATTATGAGAAGGGAATTATGTTTTTGTGAGTATGAATTTTTTTTAATATACTTTAAGTTCTGGGGTACATGTACAGAACATGCAGGTTTGTTACATAGGTATACATGTGCCATAGTGGTTTGGTGCAACCCTCAACCTGTCATCTACATTAGGTATTTCTCCAAATGCTATCCCTTGTCCCACCTCCCACCCCACAAGAGGCCCCGGTGTATGCTGTTCCGCTCCCTGTGTCCACGTGTTCTCATTATTCAACTCCCACTTATGAGTGAGAACATGTTATGTTTGGATTTCTGTTCTTGTATTTGCTGAGAATGATGGTTTCCAGCTTCAATCATCCATGTCCCTGCAAAGGACACGAACTCATCCTTTTTTATGGCTGCATAGTATTCCATGGTGTATATGTGCCACATTTTCTTTATCCAGTCTATCATTGATGGGTATTTGGGTTGGTTCCAAGTCTTTGCTGTTGTGAACAGTGGAGAGAATTTCAAGAAATAAGTGTGTACTTGTTATAAATGACCAAAGTTGATGAACAATTATTTTGAAGTCTACAATTTAAAAGTCATTGGTGGCTGGGTTTGGTGACTCACATCTCACCTGGTATAACCATCTCAGCACTTTGGGAGGCTGAGGCACGAGGATCTCTTGAGCCCAAGAATTTGAGACCAGCCTGGACAACATAGAGAGATCCCATCTCTAAAAAAATTAAATTAAATTAATTAGCCCAGTGTGGTGGCACACACCTGCAGTTCTAGTTACTTTGTTTACTAAAAGGGGAGGATGACTTGACCCAGGAGTTCAAGGCTGCACTGAGCTATGAGCATACCACTGCACTCCAATGTGGGTGACAGAGCAAGACCTTGTCTCTGTTAACCCCCAATAACACAAATTTACCTATGTAACAAATCTATACTTGTATCCTTGAACTTAAAATAAAAGTTAAAAAGAAAACACTAAGCAAAATAATGGTTACGTATAATGCACAGAATAAAGGAAACTGTTATTTATACCTAAAAAATAAAGAGAATCCTGAAAAAAAATTTTAAGTCATTGGTGAACTTAGTGAGAAAGTGAAGGGGTAACCAAAATTTTATGAATTGGCACTGATAGGGAAGATTAGAGGCAGTGTCAACAAATATGATAGGTCAATAACTAGGAATGTGGGCTTCTCTCTCTTCTCTCTCTGCTCTCTCTCTCTCTCTCTCTCTCTCACACACACACACACACACACACACACACAGACAGACAGACACACACACATACACACACTGTTGCTTTTTATAAAAATTCATTTTTCTTTCTATACATGTGACAAACTGAAATGTGAAGAATGCAAGTAGTATGAAGAAAAGAAATATAGAATAATGAAGATTATAATATAATAGAATAGTAAATACTTGTGTAAAAAATTAAGGGACTCACAAAACTTGTTCGATGTCCTTTAAAAGAAGGAAGTCACTAATATGAAGGCTTATTTTCAAGGCGAATCTCTCCAATTTCTTTTCCTAAGCAAATAAACACAAAACAATCCTTGTTGATTTCAGACATACAAACAGACGCCTTCCACAATTTTTTGTAGAAGTATCAGACACTTTTAGAGAAGGAAAAATAATTTGGAATTATTTACTTCAAATATCTCAGGAAGAACAAACATAAATATTCAGAATGTCTTTAGAACATTAATGTCTAAGCCTCCATAAACTTTAGCGTGATATTTTTTCACATCTTAACTCTCTGGTTCACTGTGATATACTTCAGCAAGCTTTACTTTTATATATGAATCATTCCAATTTCTGCTTGACGATAGGGATAAATTTAGCTTATGCATTTTCTAACATATCTTTATATTTTAATAATAGATATTATATCCTAAAAGGACTTATGAAACTGTTATTCAATAGAAATGTACAGTTTTAATTTTAAATTTTCTAGTAGACATATTAAAAAGGCAAAAGCACATTAAAATCAAGGCAAAACTAATTTTAATAATGTTTTATCACAATGTCCAAAATATTATTTCAATGTCAAATATATATAAAATTATTACTGAGATATTTTACATTATCTTTTCTTCAAAATCTTTAGCACTGATGTGTATTTTGCACTCACAGCACACATCAATTCAGGTTACTCACATTTTCAGTCCTCAGTAGGTACTTTTGGCTAATTGCTGCCATATTGGGTACTGAAAAGTTAGAGTATTTACTATACAGACTGTGTCTTTTGTGTATAACCCAAACTAAATCTTAAAATTACATAGTTAATTTTCAACCAAGGTGCACTTTTTTTCTGTTATTTTACTGTAAAATACTTTAGTGTGAGTAGCTGATGTGAGAAGTTTAGTCTTCAAAAAACCATTAATTTTTACAAAACAATTATTTAGCACCTATGATGTGTCATTCTCTAGTTGAGAGTTTGAAATACACAGATAAATAACACAGCTATGTCTACAAAAAAACACCCATTCTAGCAATGAAGAAAATCCTATGCATAATATTTGTTTCCTATGGGGAAAATTTAAGATGGCATTTAGTAAGTCATTGCTTCCAAAAAGAAAAATGAGCAGTCTAGGCCCAAGTGCTCTGGATATTCAGCAAAGAAGAGGCTCAGATTTGGCAAGACTTAGAATAATGTTTGTGAAAGTGACAGACCTTGAATGAAGACTTAAGGTATGAGTGAGATGAGGTTTGACAGAAAATTTTAACAAAACTAATAAAATCATGAAAATGAGGGTAAAATGTCATGGAATAGGAACAGGAAAACAATCAAATGCATGGAGTCACAGGTTAATGAAAGAAAAGTATGATATAAAAATTGGTAGGGCTTGGACAAAGCAGGCATTTTTCCTTGCCTTGAATGGAAACATATTGTGGTACTGTTCATGAAAGACTATTTAGAAAATTATAATGTGGAAATTTTCATGCACTGGTTGCCTTGAATAAACCCTTGATGGAAAAATCTCATGCCAAAGGCAATATATTTTAAAGGAAATAAAAACCTTTCAGGACTGTGGAGGCAGCAGGAGGCAATTCCATATTTGTTCCATCTCCTTTGGTTTTATCTTATTGTATGAAGATAAGCTAGAGATATTAGAATAATTTTTCATAGTGTCAACTCTCTAGAGGGCAAGTTGTCACTTTATACCAAGACTTGAAAAATTGTTCTTAACTTTTTATTAAACATTTCCACTTCTAGAATTTTATAAAATAACCAGAGAGCTCCACATTGAAGGCTACATGGAGATATCAATGGCATTTATAAAAATAACAAATTTTAAACAATGTCTAACATGTAGTTATTAGTTAAACATATTTTGTTCCACTAATACTATGTGCTGTTTTGAAAATAAACATAATAGTTTTAAGGATTGTTGGATTATATGGGTATTTACTCATGATTTAATTCTTAACTTTTATTGAAATATAAGCACATAAAATTACACATAAGGACACAACTGAAAGAATTTTTGCATCATTAAAACACTCATGTAACCAATATGTAAATCAATAAAGAAATATCAGCTCACCAGATGCTCCATTTACCCTCACTTCTAATAGCATAGATTAGGTTTTTCTGCTTTTTAAAGATTTTCTAACTTCAATCATACAGAATGTCCTCTTTTGTGTCTGATGTTTTGCTAAATATTACGTTTGGCAGACTTAATCCAAATTGTTTAATGTATTTACTTTCGCAATTATCATTGCTGTGTAGTTTTCTAGTATATGAACATGCAAAACCTTATTTATTCATTCTACTATTGAAGGATTTTCAAGACATTTTAAGTTTAAGCTATTATAAATAATGCTGTAAGGAACTTGTTTTTCATCTATTTAATTTTTTTTTTCATGAGCTATATGCATGTGTTCTATTCCTCTGGTTATTGCACTTATGAATAGAAATGAAATTGCTAAGTCATAGGATATGAAAAGATGCAACTTTTGTAGCAATTGACAAAAGTTTTTCAAAGCACTTGTACCAATGTTATTCTCAGCAGCAGTGACTGAAAATCCTGGTTGTTCCATATCCTTGATATACATTTGATATTAGCTGAATCTTTAAGTGATTTTGGTGAGTAGGAAATAGTATTGAATTTGGTTTTATTTTGAATTTCCCCTGATGGCTAATGAAGTTGATTACCTTTTTAATAATTCTGTTAGCTGCTGTAAAATCAATCATGTGAAATCTCTGTTCAAGTCCATTGCCCATTTTTCTTCTGAAGTGTCTGCTTATTATTTTTTACTAATTTATATATTCTGAATATGAGTGTTTTATTGGATACATGCATTACAATTATTTTTCTTCTTGGGTTTCTCTTTTCACTTTAATGATATTCTTTTGCATCAATTACACAGGTTTGGATGTTTGAAAATACAAGACGTTTGCAGGTGTTCATTTAAGGCTTTAATAAAAGTAAAGGTTATGGTAGCATAGAGAAAGAAAGCACAGGCAAACATTGGAGTCCCAAGAAACTTCCAGATGCAGCTCCTCAGGATCCTTTCTGAGTCACACAGGATATACTTTGTCTTCAGATTATAAACCCCTAATATGCTGAGGAAATGTGTGAAGTGCCAAGTTCTATCCTCAGAGCTATAAATACCGCATTGATCAAAACAAAGTCCTTACCTTTATGGAGCTTATTTATAAGCTGGATGGTAAAAAAGAAACAAATATATTAAAAAATATACAAATTTTCAGATAGTGATATGTACAGTTGACTAAGAAAAATGTAAGCCACTGTGAATAGGACATATTTGCTGTGGTGGGATGAGGTGCAAGGAATAAAAGGAAATTCTTTGATAACACGATGTTTGTATAGAGACCTTAATAAAATGACAGAACAGACAATACAGTTATATGTGGGAAGACTTCTCCAGGAAGAATAATTAGAAAGTGCAAATATTCACGAAAGAGCATGCATGGATTTTTCAAGAAAAACAAGTCTGGTGAGTATAGAATGAGCTGGGGTGGGGTGAGGTTGGGGAAAGTCATAAGAGATAAGCAAGTGTGGAGAGATAGCAAAGATCTAGATCACAGTAGTCATGGTAACAGCTAATTGAGACGGAAAAATCATCGTAGTGTAGTTAACAGAGGAGTGACATGATCAGACATATGTTTTTGAAAAGAGTACTGTGGCTGCTGTTTTGAGAATAGATTTTGGGAGGGCAATGGTGGGAACAAATTATCAGCCTAGGATGTTTCAGCGATATTTCTGAGAGAGATAATGGTCTTTGAGATCTGGTAATAGTGGTACAGATATGTTTTAAAGATAGGTCACTTATGGTTTAATGATTTATTAGAATCACTTAAGAGAAGAGTCAGTCAGTAATGACTCCTAGGTTATGCTGTGTGTCACCGTTACTGACAGCATGGAGTTACCATTTCCTGAGATGGGAAAGACTGTGGGATGAAAATCTTTTAGGAAAAATGGGCTAGTTGGTGGAAATTAAGAGAGCAATTAGGGGTATGTTAAATTTGAGATGCCCTTTAGTCATTCAATTGACAGTGTGAACAGAAAGTTGGACATACAAGTTTTAAGTTTATAAATTTGGAAATGAGTCTTTACTATGTGGAATTTAAAGGTATAAGACTATGTAAGAACACCCACAGAGTAAGGAGAGAGAAGAGAGAGAAGCAGTCTCTGGTCTGAACCCTGGGGCATTCTGGTTTAAAAAACGAGTAGATAAGAAGAAACCGGTAACACTGAGAAAATCAGGAGGCAGGAGGAGGAGGAGAAGGAGGAGGAGGAGAGAGAGAAAAAGAGACAGTGTCAGCCAGGCGATGTGGCTCAAGCCTGTAATCCTAACACTTTCGGAGGCCAAGGTGGGCAGATAACGAGATCAGGAGTTCCAGACCAACCTGGCCAATATGGTAAAACCCCGTTTCTACTAAAAATACAAAAATTAGCTGGGCGTGGTGGCCTGTGCTTGTAATCTCATCTACTTGGGAGGCTGAGGCAGGAGGATTGCTTGAACCTGGGAAGCAGAGGTTGCAGTGAGCCAAGACTGTGTCACTGTACTCCAGCCGGGGTGACAGAGAGAGGTTCTATCTAAAAAAATTAAAAGAAAAAAGAAAACAAAAAGAGACAGTGTCTGTGTGTGACAGAAACAGACAGATAAAGCTAATCAAAGAAAGTATATCAAGAAAGATGACATGACCAACTGCATGAAATGCTTTTGATAGACTGAGTAAAAGCTGGGAACTGACCATTGGCTTTGGCAATCTGAGCAATTAGAAACAGGGACTCCTTCAAGTGTGAGGGCAAAACATTGACTGGAATGAGTGCAAGAGAAATGGAGGAGAGGCACTGAAGACTTCATAGAAACATTTCTTTTGATTTGTTTTGCTGTAAAGAGGAGCAGATCTATAGGGCAGTAACTGGAATGGATGTGGAGCCCATGAATGATCCCTTAGAGGGTACACAATTTTGTATAAGAGAGAGATAGTGGGATCAATGAAGTAAACTAGAAATATCAGTAAGCCGAGTCTGAAGACCAATTTTTTATAAACAGATAGATTTGTTTGGTTGAGTGAATTTGTTCTCACATTTATTACTGCACACCAAGGCCTGAAAATTCTTTCAAATATATGCCTCTGATTACATCTCAAGTGGCTCACAAATGCATTGCTGGCTCAGGACAAAACCATCAAGGCAACCACAATTATTAAAAAAAGAAAAGAACAATTCTTGGTGTATGTGTGCTTCTCAGCAATTTGAGTTAGAAAATAAAGCATTAACTCATGTAGGTAAAATGATATTAAGTCTGTTTTTAAACTTTGTTGGCCTATAGAAGTTAGGTATTTGTTGAATACCTCTTCTTCAAGATAATACAGACCCTTTAGGAAATAACATCTGCCTTTGACTGAGATTTCTGTCTACACCAGGGACATGTAAAATTTTCTGGTAAAAACATTTTAAATTTTAGTTCACATAAGAGTCAGAAAAGTTAAAGTAATTAAGGAGTGAATAACTTTTGTTATATTATCAAAAATAGAATTTTCACTAACGGTTCTCTAATTGACACAAGTTACCTTTTCTGCTTTAAATGCATGGAGAAAAATAGATGAAGAAAAATCTGAGAACTAGGAGGTTTAATTGAAGAGTAAAAAAGTCCTACCACTCTCTAGGAGCTAAGCTATGAGGATGCAAAGGCATAAGAATGATACAATGGACTATGGGGACTCAGGGGAAAGGACGGAAGCAGGGTGAAGGATAAAAGAATACACACTGGGTACAGTGTACACTGCTCACGTGTTGGGTGCACCAAAATCTCAGAAACCACCACTAAAGAATTTATTCATGTAACCAAACATCACCTGTTTCCCAAAAACCTATTGAAATAAAAAAAAAAAGAAAGAAAGAAAAGTCCTGCCAATGTAATGTACCAGGTAAGCTATACATGTATAAATGTAAGAATTGACCTGCATTACCTTTACACTAACCGAAATTCATGAAATTTCCTAGGTATAATTTATATAATATTAATATTTACATTAATTTAGTGCAAATTGGGACTGTATTTTTCTTTAAATGTTCTCCCTTATACAGAAGGTGTTTTAAAAAATGATTCTGAAGTCATCATGTTTTTATCTTTTTCTCATTGGGATACAATTTCTCTGGCTTTTATCCATTTTGTTGTCTTCCACAATTCTACTGGATGTACATGACTTTTCCTACCTGTCATGTCTTATAATTTTTATTAGTTAACATTTCATGGAAACATAGATATTTCTTCCTTTTTGTTTCTTTTACGTGTATTACATTTTATTACAGAGTTTTGATTTTAATGTTGCTACATTTAATACTTTGAACAAAACATTTTATTTAAAGGATAATATGATGAGGTGTGTGAATGGCTCTGATCTCTCAAATTTTTAACATCTTTGGAAGAAATGTAGTCACTAACAGGGTGATTACCACCATGCACTTGGTGAATGATTAATTCGGATTGTAAACAGAGGACCAAAAGGGAAATAAGTGAAAAAGTCACCTATAAGTATATCAAGACAGTAATTAAAAAGTGATTCCCTTTTCTCTAGTCACCAACACAGTTTCTGCCTCACTAAAGTGGGTCTCCATGTCCTGTATTACTTATTTTTAGCATTTCTCATGGTTGTTGGTTGTATACTTTTAAAAATGCAACATTATATAAACTTCATTGGGATTATGGAATTAAATCAAATCAAAGAGTTGAATATATCTTGTCTACAGGACAATTCCAATGACTACAATTTTGGGGTCATATCTATAAGGCTAAAAACTTTCATCTATTTTTCCTTTGCATTTGTTTATCTGTCCATGGAAACACACATTTTTCAAAATTTAATGGAAATGTAATCTGTTCCAGGCGCTGTTCTAAGTCTTAGAGGTACAGCCAGTAACAAAACAGACACATGTCTATGCCTGCATGAAGCATATATTCTAGGGTGAAGGCTATAGAATAAAAATGGTCAAATAAGTTAAAATACAATATGTCATGAGTGATAAGTACTACGGGAGGGGAGAGAAAAAAGGAGTCTCATACCAGGCACAGATGGGTATTTTCTCCAGTGTGCTTAGAAACAAATGAGAAATAGACAACAGGTAATGAACAATAACCTGAGATTAGTCCAGATATCCTCCAAATGCAGGGTAGAGGCCAGGATGGAAGTGCTGTGGGAAAGGAAAGGGTAACTATTTTGCCAGCAAGTTGCAGAGTTTCTCTCTGCCCAGAGATACAGAGGCCAGGAAGATGTTCTACTCAGAGCACAAAGAGTTTCTCACGTCCCTCTTGACTCCTATGAGGGAAAATAGAAGGAAGAACAATACATTTTCTAGCATCCAGGCTATTTTCACTTCATTTCTATAATCCAACTTTTCTACTATTTTCTGTTCTGTTCCATGTGTGCATAAGAGTTTATCCCCCTGCCCTAAATTCTTCTGAAATCTTAGAGCTCTAGGGACAGATGAGTTTTGGATTTTTAGGTGAAATGTATATAGTGCAATCAAAATCCCCAGATTAAAATCTCTAAGGAGGAAATTTATCAGTCACTGAAGAAAGAAGAGTCTGAAGAATAAATCAGATGGAGAAAGCATTTAGAAAACCATCAATACTGTTTATAAAGGAGTGCTGCGGTTTTGAAAGAGACAGTGTTAGTTATACACGTACAAAATATTTCCTGCTCCTCACTTTCCCGGCTCATAATGCAGGTTCTGGTTTTCCATTGCTGCATAGAGAACCACCTTAAAAGTTAGTTGAGTAAACCAACAAAAATTTCATTATATTTTCTATTATGTGGGTCATACATGAGGCAGTACAGTGGGGACGGCTCATGTTGGCTCTGTGATAACTGGTGCCTCCTCACTTGTGGTGGCTTCAGTGTTCAGTTACAGATATGATGAGTTGACTGGAGCCACATCTCTGAGGCCTTGGATCAGGCTGTTGGATGTACTGTTCAGTTTTCCATGTTATGTCTGCTGGCTAGGCAACCCTCTCCATGCATCTTCCCCATGTGTCTCCATTCGACTTTCTCATACCATGGCAGTACTGGGGAAGTCACAAATCTTACATAGCAACTGCTCTGATGTGAGCATTCCAAGAGTAGAAAGTGGAGGTTGCCAGTCTCTTAAAAGTGATGCCTGGAAATTAGTGCTGATCATTTTCTTTTATTCTCTTGGTAAAACTAGTTACTAAGCCTGCCTAAATTCAAGGGGTGAGACTATAGAAACAATCTGTCAAGTAGAGGATTGACAAGGAATTCATAGCCACATGAAGACTACAATTTTTGACCCCCTGGTAGTTAGGTAGGTCTTTGTGAGCAGTTCTAATCAGAGCTATTTGCAGAAAGCCTGTACAGCTTGCAGGCGAGGGCATTTATTCTCCATTCAGTAACCTTCACATATTTCTTTCCCTTAGACACAGAGCGTGATAATATTTGAGATCTTAAACTGAGTTCCATTGCAAGTGAAGAAAGATGGAGCATAGGCCCCAGCCAACATAAAATGGATGTGTGGCATGAGTGAAATATAAACCTTATTAATTTAGGGAATTAAGATTTTGAAGTTGTTTCTAAGTGTACAACAACCTAATCCATCTGATTGATACACAGGCTTTGCATCTATTTTCTTGCTTATTTTCCCAAACTATTGAGATATGCTAACTGTATTATCAAGTGAGAAGATTCGATCATTTTTACATCTGAGAACAGATTTATTCAAGGAGAATTGTTGCTGCTTTCTAAACACACCACATATGGCAAAACAACCAAAATGTGATTCAAATACTTATTCCACCTTCTCTTTCTTGAAGCTCAACAGAGAAAAATTGTTTCATGCAGTATTTAGTTTTCACTGAGTAGTCAAAGCACCTCAAGCAAAATTTATCTTTATTAAACTTTCCTTGTTCTCTTAGCATTGCCTTATTCCTGTCAATGTCTCATAATTTATGTTTCTTCTCATTTTTTTTTCTCATTTGTTTCATCTACTTAAGTTTATTTATTGCAGGAATCAATTTCCAATGTTACATGTTTCAGGTTAGCTTCATGTATTTTACAGGAACTACAAATGACAGGGATATTACTTCAAGTTTACATTTAAAGGTCATTTGACCAAATAAGAAGAAAAAGCTAGTCTTTATGCTTTAAGTATTTTATTTCAGAGGGATAAGGTGATCAATGACATTTCTTCCCATATTTTTGCAGCTGAGCTTTTTGGAGAGGATTGATTAAAATTGTATGCTCTGCTCTCCAGATAGAAGGAGCACTCACTAGACAGCAACATTCACTGGGTTCGCCTTTTTAAAATGTACTAATTTGTAACCCTTAGAGCAGAGGTGAAAAACTAACAAGCTAAGACTTTGAATCCCAAATAAGGCGGAACATGTCCCCAGCAAACGTTCTATATTCATATTCATGTGACAAGCAGGAGAATTTTTAGGAGTAGTTATATCAGGTCAGTCAAGCATGGTAAAAACAGAAACCTTGTACAAGATTATAGAATGCAAAAATTGGAATTTACAAAATTCAATTTGCACTCAAATTATGTATTCTTTCCATAGTACTTCTGAGTGATAATCATATAGGACTTTATGGAGGTCTTGTGTGATAGGGAGGTTAGAAGATCAGAAGCAGTTCATTTCATGTATGGATAGCTCTAGGTATTAGAAAGTACATTATTTCATTGACATGAACTTTGCATCACTGTTAACTTGTACCCATGCATACTGTTTCTGACCCTTACTATGATATCAAAGTATAGCTCTCTCATGTTTCTTTCTAACATCTGAAATAACCAGTGCTTTGTCTATATGGCCCTAACGTGTTTTCACTATTAACTATAACTCTTATATGGAAAAATGTACCGAGTGATTCTAATGTGGATATATATGTAACCATCACACAAATCAATAAACAAAACACTGTCAGAAGCCAAGAGATGCACATATGTTCTTTCTCATACCACTCAGTCCATCTCCTCTAGAGGTAATTATTATCCTGATGAGGTATGTAAGAATTTCCTTATTTTTTAAATAAAAATAGATTTGTATTTCCTTATATTTATTTTCCCACGTATGTATGCCTTCCTAAATTATGCAATCGTTTTACCTGTTTTTTGAACTTCATTTTAATGGAAGTATTTCATTTGTATTATTTTGTGTCTTGCTTTTTCCACTCTAGTTGTAAGACTGAGCATGTTGTCTTGTAGTACCATAGTACTGTTTATTTTGAGTGCTTTTTAGTATGCTGTTGTATTAATATACTATCATGTATATTCATCCCTAAAGCCAGTGAACACGCTTATACATGTGTTCTGAACATTTCGATATATTTGTTTCTGAAGGATACATACTCAGTAGTGTGATTTCTCTGGCATAGGATATATGCATCCTAAATTTTACTAGATAATATCACAATATTATCCAAAATAATTATTCCAAACTATACTCCCACCACCAGCACGTGAAAATTCCTTTTGCTCCACATTCTCTCCAACATTTGTACTATTAGATGTAAAATTTATTTTTGTTTTGCATTTTATTTTTTAATTATTTATTTACTTATTACTGTAACAATATTTTTGCTGGATTTTGTTATATTTCATATATATATGTATATGTATACTTTAAATTCTGGGATACATGTAGAGAACGTGCAGGTTTGTTACATAAGTATACATGTGCCATGGTGATTTGCTGCACCCATCAACTTGTCTTCTATATTAGGTATTTCTTCTAATGCTATCCCTCCCCTTGGCTCCCACCCTGCAATAGCTCCCAGTGTGTGATTTTCCCCTCCCTGAGCCCGTATGTTCTCATTGCTCAACTCCCACTTAAGAGTGAGAACATGCAGTGTCTGGTTTTCTGTTCCTGTGTTAGTTGCTGAGAATGACGGTTTCCGGCTTCATCCGTGTCCCTGCAAAGGACATGAACTCATTTTTTATGGCTGCATATTATTGCATGGTGTATATGTGCCATATTTTCTTTATCCAGGCTAACATTGATTGGCATTTGGGTCAGCTCCAAGTCTTTGCTATTGTGAACAGTGCTGCAATAAACATACGTGTGCATGTGTCTTTATAGTAGAATGATTTATAATCCTTTGGGTATATACTCAGTAATGGGATTGCTGGATCAAATGGTATTTCTCGTTCTAGATCCTTGAGGAATCGCCACACTGTCTTCCATAATGGATGAACTAATTTACACTGCCATCAACAGTGTAAAAGTGTTCCGATTTCTCCACATCCTCTCCAGTGTCTATTGTTTCCTGACTTTTTAATGACGCCAATTTAACTGGCATGAGATGGTATCTCATTGTGATTTTGATTTTGATTTCTCTAATGACCAGTGATGATGAGCTTTTTTTCATATGTTTGTTGGCTGCATAAATGTCTTGTTTTGAGAAGTGTCTGTTCATATCTTTTGTCCAATTTTTGATGGGGTTGTTTGTTTTTTCTTGTGATTTTTTTAATGTTCCTTGTACATTCTGGTTACTAGCCCTTTGTCAAATGTATAGTTTGAAAAAAATTTCTCCCATTCTGTTGGTCGCCTGTTCACTGATGGTATTTTCTGTTGCTGTGCAGAAGCTTTTTAGTTTAATTAGATCCTATTTGTCAATTTTGGCTTTTGTTGCCATTGCTTTTAGTGTTTTCGTCATGAAGTCTTTGCCCATGTCTGTCCTGAATGCTATTGCCTAGGTTTTCTTCTAGGGTTTCTATGGCTTAGGTCTTACATTTGAATCTTTAATCCATCTTGAGTTAATTTTTGTATAAGGTGTAAGGAAGGTGTCCAGTTTCAGTTTTCTGCATATGACTAGCCAGTTTTCCCAACTATTTATTTAATAGGGAATCATTTCCCCATTTCTTGTTTTTGTCAGGTTTCTCAAAGATCAAATGATTGTAGACGTATGGTGTTATTTCTGAATCCTCTATTCTGTTCCATTGGTCTATATATCTGTTTTGGTACCAGTACCATGATGTTTTGGTGACCATAGCCTTGTAGCATTTTTTTTGCTTATGATTTGGCTGTTTGTCTATTCTTGGTGTATAGGAATGCTTGTGAATTTGCACATTGATTTTATATTCTGAGATTTGCTGAAATTGTTCATCAGCTTAAGGAGATTTTGGACTGAGACCATTGGGTTTTCTAAATATACAATCTGCAAACAGAGACAATTTGACTTCTTCTCTTCCTATTTAAATACACTTTATTTCTTTCTCTTGCCTGATTGCTCTGGCCAGAACTTCCAATACTATGTTAAACAGGAGTGGTGAGAGAGGGCATCCTTGTCTTGTGCCAGTTTTCAAAGGGAATGCTTCCAGCTTTTGCCCATTCAGTATGATATTGGCTGTGGGTTTGTCATAAATAGCTCTTATTATGTCGAGAGATGTTCAATCAATACCTAGTTTATTGAGTGTTTTCAGCATGAAGGGGTGTTGTATTTTTTTGAAGGCCTTTCCTGCATCTATTGAGATAATCATGTGGTTTTTGTCATTGGTTCTGTTTATGTGATGGATTACATTTATTGATTTACATATGTTGAATCACCCTTGCAACCCACGCATGAAGCACACTTGATCATGGTGGATAAGCTTTTTGATGTGCTGCTGGATTCGGGTTGCCAGTATCTTATTGAGGATTTTCGCATTGATGTTTATCAGTGATATTGGCCTAAAATTTTCTTTTCTTTTGTTATGTCCCTGCCTGCCAGGTTTTGCTATCAGGATGATGTTGGCCTCATATATAACATGAGTTAGCGGGACACCCTCTTTTTGTATAGCTTGGAATAGTTCAGAAGGCATGGTACCAGCTCCTCTTTGTACCTCTGGTAGAATTCGGCTGTGAATCCATCTGGTACTGGGCTTTTTTTGGTTGGTAGGCTATTAATTACTGCTTCAATTTCAGAACTTGTTATTTGTCTATTCAGGGATTCAACTTCTTCCTGGTTTAGTCTTGGGAGCGTATATATGTCCAGGAACTTAACAATTTCTTCCAGATTTTCTAATTTATTTGCGTAGAGATGTTCATAGTATTCTCTGATGGTAGCATGTATTTCTGTGGGATCAGTGGTAATCTCCTCTTTATTAGTTTTTTTTGTTTGTTTGTTTGTTTTTTTTTTTGAGATGGAGTCTCGCTCTGTTGTCCAGGCTGGAGTGCAGTGGCACAATCTCGCCTCATTGCAAGCTCCGCCTCCTGGGTTCACGCCATTCTCCTGCCTCAGCCTCCCGAGTAGCTGGGAATACAGGTGCCCGCCACTATGCCTGGCTAATTTTTTGTATTTTTTTTAGTAGAGATGGGGTTTCACCATGTTAGCCAGGATGCTCTCGATCTCCTGACCTCGTGATCCACCTGCCTCGGCCTCCCAAAATGCTGGGGTTACAGGTGTGAGCCACCGCACCCAGCCTATCATTTTTTATTATGTCTATTTAATTCTTCTCTCTTTTCTTCTTTATTAGTCTGTCTAGCTGTCTACCTATTTTGTTAATCTTTTCAAAAAACCAGCTCTTGGAATCATTGATTTTTGAAGGGTTTTTTGTGTCTCTATCTCCTTGAGTCCTGCTCTGATCTTAGTTATTTCTTGTCTTCTGCAAACTCTTGAATTTGTTTGCTCTTGCTTCTCTAGTTCTTTTAATTGTGATATTAGGGTGTCAATTTTAGATCTTTCCTGCTTTCTCCTATGGGCATTTAGTGCTATAAATTGCCCTGTAAACACTGCTGTTGCTGTGTCCGAGAGATTCTGGTACATTGTGGCTTTGTTCTCATTGGTTTCAAAGAACTAGTTCTGCCTTCATTTAGTTATTTAACCAGCAGTCATTCAGGAGCAGGCTGTTCATGTTCCACGTAGTTGTGCAGTTTTGAGTGAGTTTCTTAATCCTGAGTTCTAATTTGAATGCACTGTGATCTGAGAGACAATTTACATTCTTTTGCATTTGCTGAGGGGTGTTTTACTTCCAATTATGTGGTTGATTTTATCAATGGGTCTTGACTCTTTATCTAATTTGCCAGTGTGTGTCTTTTAATTAGGGCATTTAGCCTGTTTACATTTAAGGTTAATATTGTTATGTGTGAATTTGATCCTGTCATTATGATGCTAGCTGGTTATTTTGCCCATTAGTTGATGCAGTTTCTTCATAGTGTCAATGGTCTTTACATTTTGGTTTGTTTTTGCAGTGGCTGGTACCAGTTTTTCCTTTCCATATTTACTGCTTCCTTCAGGAGCTCTTGTAAGGCAGGCCTGGTGGTGACAAAAATCCCTCAGCATTTGCTTGTTTATTTCTCTTTCACTGTTGAAGCTTAGTTTGGCTGGATATGAAACTCTGGATTAAAAATTATTTTATTTAAGAATGTGAATATTGGCCCACACTGTCTTCTAGCTTGTAGGGTTTCTGCAGAGAGATCCCCTGTTAGTCTGATGGACATCCCTTTGTGGTGACTCGACCTTTCTCTCTGGCTGTCCTTACCATTTTTTCCTTCATTTTGACCTTGGTGAATCTGATGATTATGTGTCTTGGGTTGCTCTTCTCGAGGAGTATCTCTGTGGTGTTCTCTGTATTTCCTGAATTTGAATGCTGCCCTGTCTTGCTAGGTTGGGGAAGTTCTGGATAATATCCTGAAGTGTGTTTTCCAACTTGATTCCATTCTCCCTGTCAGTGTCAGGTACACCAATCAAACATAGGTTTGGTCTTTTCACATAGTCCCATATTTCTTGGAGGCTTTGTTCATTCCTTTTCATTCTTTTTTCTCTAATCTTATCTTCACACTTTCTTTCATTAAGGTGATCTTCAATCTCTGATAACCTTTCTTCTGCTTGATCAATTCAGCTATTGATACTTGGTATGCTTCATGAAGTTCTCGTGCTGTGTTTTTCACCTCCATCGGGTCATTTATGTTCTTCTCTAAACTGGTTATTCTAGTAAGCAATTCCTCTAACCCTTTATCAAAGTTCTTAGCTTCCTTGCATTGGGTTAGAACATGCTCCTTTAGCTTGGAGGAGTTTGAATTAACCCCCTTCTGAAGCCTACTTCTGTCAATTCATCAAACTCATTCTCCATCCAGTTTTTTTCCCTTGCTGGTGAGGAGTTATGATCCTTGGGAGGAGAAGATACATTCTGGTTTTAGGAATTTTCAGCCTTTTTGCGCTAGTTTTTCCTCATCTTCATGGATTTATCTACCTTTGTTCTTTGCAGTTGGTGACCTTTGGATGGAGTTTTTCTGTGGTCACCCTTTTTGTTGATGTAGATGCTATTGCTTTCTGTTTGTTAGTTTTCCTTCTAACAGTCAGGCCCCTCTGCTGCAAGTCTGCTGGAGTTTGCTGGGGGTCCACTCCAGACCCTGTTTTCCTGGGCATCACCAGTGGAGGCTGCAAAACAGCAAAGACTGCTGCTTGCTCCCTCCTCTGGAAGCTTTGTACCAGAGGGGCATCTGCCAGATGCCAGCTGGAGCTCTCCTGTATGAGGTGTCTGTCAACCCTGTTGGGAGGTGACTCCCCATCAGGAGGCATGGGGGTCAGGGACCCACTTGAGGAGGCAGTCTGTCCCTTAGCAGAGCTCCAGCTGGGAGATCCCCCAGCAGGCAGATCCACTGGGAGATCCGCCAGCAGGCAGGAACGTTTAAGTCTGCTGAAGCTGCGCCCACAGCTGCCCCAGATGCTCCAGATGCTCTGTCCCAGGGAGATGGGACTTTTATCTATAAGCCCCTGACCGGGGCTGCTGCCTTTCTTTCAGAGATGCCCTGCCCAGAGAGGAGGAATCTAAAGAGGCAGTCTGGTTACAGTGGCTTTGTGACGCTGTGTTGGGCTCTGCCCAGCCCAAAATTCCTGGAGGCTTTGTTTACACTGTGAGGGGAAAACTGCCTACTGAAGCTTCAGTAATGGTGGATGCCCCTCCTCTCACCAAGCTCGAGTGTCCCAGGTCGACTTCAGACTGCTGTGCTGGCAGCAAGAATTTCAAGCCAGTGGATCTTAGCTTGCTGGGCTCTGTAGGGGTGGGATCTGCTGAGGAAGACCACTTGGCTCCCTGGCTTCACCACCCTTTCCAGGGGAATGAATTGTTTTGTCTCTCTGGTGTTCCAGGGACTGCTGGGGTAGAAAAAACAAAAAACAAAAAACAAATAAACTCCTGCAGCTAGCTCAGTGTCTGCCCAAACGGCCACCCAGTTTTGTGCTAGAAACCTAGGGCCCTTATAGTGTAGGTACCAGAGGAAATCTCCTGGTCTCTGGGTTGCGAGGACCATGGAAAAAGCATAGTATCTGGGTCCGGATAGTACGGTCCCTCAAAGCATAGTCCCTCACGGCTTCCCTTGGCTAGGGGAGGGAGTTCCCCAACCCCTTGCACTTCCCAGATGAGGCAACACCCCATCCTGCTTCTGCTCACCCTCCGTGGGCTGCACCCACTGTCTAACCAGTCCCATTGAGATAAACCAGGTACCTCAGTTGGAAATGCAGAAATCACCGGCCGTCTGCATTGGTCCAGCTGGGAGCTGCAGACTGGAGCTGTTCCTATTCAGCCATGTTGCCCGGGAGCTCTAGATGTGAAATTTCTACCCAATATGATGAGAATAATTTTAATTTGTATGTCTGTGGTAATTATTGAAGTTTAGTATTTTTTGCTTTGATTTGTTATTTTAATTTTTTGTTATATTCTTTTTTATTCTATATAAAATATTTTTAAATGAGGGCAACTTTCATTTTTATATATAATCTACTCTTCAATTCTTTAATGTTCATTAAATTACATAATTTTTTAAGATCACTTCATGTATGTGTATTTTAGACTGGCACCTTCTTTATAATAATACAGGACTGACAATAAAATTCAATATTCTTTATGTGATCTGAACAACGCAGAATAAACTATAGTTCTAGTTCCCTTAATATGAAGAGTATATTTCTATTATTAAACTTAGATTGGCATTAGTAATCTTAGCTGCGTTGCTAGCATGTTATAATTTATCCCACAGCATTGAAAGCCAGTGTTCTGTTGAGCTTGGTGGCATTCTTATAGAGTAATCTGAACAGGTGGGTTGATTTCTCCAGCTCACCAAAGTCAATTAGTGGTTGTTATAACCTACCTACATATTGAGTACAATTGCTTTTCTCCTTTATTGGAGAAATATATTTGAAGCATGGGTATTTATTCTCCTTGGTCAAAGGAAGAGTCAGGTAGCAGTGACAATTTTTTGACACGTAGAATTTGAGCAAATGTTAATAGGAAGATAATTGAGTCTCAACATGAAAAATTTTAATGAGACAATGTTTCATATGCCAAACAGCTAACTATTTCACATACAAATAATTCTACTAAGTACATAATGTTTTGATTCTCACCACATAATGTAACGATAACATTGAACAAATATGTTTCATGGGATGTAATTATAAACAACTTAATTTTCAATTCCCATTCTTGCTTAAGTTTATCCTATAGGGTTAATACCCTCCACCCCCTGATAAAATTCAATAGAGTTTCATGATTTTTGTGTTATTTTCAAGAATTAACAGCAGTTTATGTAATTAGTATATCCATGAGTATAATAATCAAACTTTAACCTGCTTAATTCTTGTTTCTTTTATGTTACAACCTGATCCCACCACTGATTAGAAAGAAATGCAGGTGGCAGGTTTTCTCTTTCCTAGTTTATAATTTAGCTCTTCTCCTGCATCTTCCCAACAGTGATTTCTGGCCCTTCCAGAGTCAATAAGAGAGAGGAAATGAGAGAAGAAAATGGGCAGGAAAAGTTCTCACTTAAGTGTGAATGATGTAATTACTTATTACAATCATTATTATTGTAATTAATACTTATTGTGAATAATTATACTGCTCTGAGTTTTGAAAATATGTAAAACTGACATTAT
The DNA here is from genome assembly GCF_000001405.40 of Homo sapiens. Lineage (NCBI taxonomy): Eukaryota > Metazoa > Chordata > Mammalia > Primates > Hominidae > Homo > Homo sapiens. The sequence continues at coordinate 40,714,749 of NC_000002.12, forward strand.
CTTCTACAACAATTTCCTGTGTTCTTAGAAGAGTTCACTACTGCAGTTCCCTCGATGCAGACGGTGCATTCTCCATTGGTTATCTGCTTAGGGGTGCACTTTCCTATCTTTCTGTTGAGTTCCATTTGACTCCTTTGGACAAATTTCCTTTAAGAAGTTTCCAGTTGCATATGTATACATGTGCCATGCTGGTGTGCTGCACCCATTAACTCATCATTTAGCATAAGGTATATCTCCTAAAGCTATCTCTCCCCCCTCCCCCCACACCCTAAAACTTGAAGTATAATAATAATAAAATAAAATAAAATAAATTAAAAAAAAGAATTTTCCAGTTGGATTTTTCTTTTGTGCATAGAGTCCACCTCTGGAATATTCACCTTCAGCTCAATATTAGGACTACTGGTATCAGACTTGGACTTCCCTCTGGGGTGAAAGTATGCCTTAACCAGCCTCTTAACCTTTAAGTTTCCAAGCCATAAATTAGACCACTGTACTGTGTACAACAAACTATCTGTGTGTTTCATGAAATGATTCTTCCCTAATCTTGAGGTGAGGAGCAGACACTCCTCCTTCCACTTTGGATTAAAACTCACAGCACCCAACATCTCTCTCTGTCTAAAAATTCTTTGTTCACCATTAACCTCCTCACCCTTTTATACTCTTAACATGGGTGAAAGAGGATTCTACTTTGGAGTGAGGTATATAATGTTTTAGAGTTTGAACAAAAATAAGATTAAATAAGTTTATTTAAAGAATCAGAAACAAAAGCATATTGTGGGCTTTATTCTTTATTCCAGCTGATATTTACGGCATGTCTGCTATATAAGGCACTGTTTTAGTAGCTGGGATTCAACTTTGAAAATGGAACAAAAAACAATACGTTTCATCATAGAGCTGTGTTCTAATTTGAATAGAGAAATAACAAGATGAACAAGTAATGTATGTTAGATGATAATAAGTGCTAAGATAAGAAAATGTTAGTGAGAAAAATTTAATAATGGGTATAGTCAATAATGGTGGTGTAATTTTAGGTAGAGGGAGCAGAGAATAGCTCATGAGAAGCTAATGTTTGAACAAGGACCTGCAGAAGATAAAGTAAGCCATGCAGTCGCTCACGTGAAGAGGAATTCCAGGAAAAGTGGTCAGATAGGGCAACTGCCCTGCAGTGGAAGTGGAAGCACTTTTGACTTTCATTAAGGAAGAAGGAAGACCAGTGTGGTTGAAAGGGAATGATCCAAAAGAAAAGTAGTAGGAAATGAATTCAGAGAGGAAAGTGGGGGAGAGGGTTAGATTGTTTAGAGATTTGGGTCATCAAGAAAACAATGGCTTTTGCCCAAGTGCAACTGGGGACCACTGGAGCTTTCAGAGTGGAAGAAGAAGATCATCTGGATTATCTTTCAGCAGGTTACTCTGCATCTGTGTGAAGAGTAGACTATAAGGGCGGGGAGGTAATGGCAGAAGCAGAGGCCATTTCTGAGGCTACTGCAATAATCCAAGCAAGAGGTGATGGTGTCTTGAAAAGAGTTGATCATCATGGAAACATTAAGAGGTAGTCAGGATGTAGGTGTATTTGGAAGAAAAGCTTACAGGAATTGCTGATGAGTTAGACACGGTGTGAAAAGCAGAGATAAGTCAAGATAAGTGCAGGTTTTTAGCATGAGAAATTGGAAGAAAAAGCTTTTCATGACTGAGATAAAGAAGACTGAGAGAGGAGCACATATGGAATGGAATAGTAGGGGTTTAGTTTTGGACATATTAAATTTGAGATATTATTAGCATTTATCACCTTGATTAGAAATATCAAGAAAGCACTTGGTTACAAAGTCTGAGGTTTAGAGGAGACATACAGGCTTGAGATATAAATTATACTCCTGTTAAATTGAGAGTATATAAGTGCTATTTCCAATATAATTCCTAAAATTACACCAGTATTTTAGATTTAAAAAAAATTAAAGGTTTTTTTTTAAATTGTGTACACATGTATATACACATTTAGTTCTTTTATTAAACTTATGTACATTCATAAATATTCATAAGTAGGGACTGAGCAATAGTATTTGGCATCTGCTGGATTGTTTTAATACTTTCTGAAAAAATAATGTCCTGTTATAAAACACTCCAGTTATTCTGGATTTCACTTTGGCCACCAGTGTTTCTTCATTTTTTTCTACATAGCAATCACTACTCTAGTCTATGTAAGTCATGGCTGTGACGGTTAATATTGAGTGTCTACTTGACCGGATTGAAGGATGCAAAGTATTCATCCTGGGTGTGTCTGTGGGGGTGTTGCCAAAGGAGGTTAACATATGAGTCAGTGAACTGGGAGAGGTAGACCCACCCTCAATCTGGATGAGCACCATCCCCTGGGCTGCCAGCTGAGCTAGAAAAGGCAGACAGAAGAAGATGACTAAGCAGACTTTCTGAGTCTTCCAGCCTTTCTCCTGTATTGAATGCTTTTTGCCTTGAACATCAGACTCCAAGCTCTTCAGCTTTTGGACTCTTGGACTTACACCAGTGGTTTGCCAGGGACCCTCGGGCCTTTGGCCACAGACTGAAGGCTGCACTGTCAGTTTCCCTACTTTTGAGGTTTTGGGACTCAGACTGATCTGCCACTGGCTTCCTTGGTCCTCAACTAGCAGACAGCCTATCATGGAACTTTACCTTGTGATGGTGTAAGTCAATTCTCCTTATAAGCTCCCTTTCATATATACATAGATCCTATTAGTTCTGTCCCTCTGGAGAACCCTGACTAATACAATGGCTATTAAATTAAAAAACCCAATGGTGCTTGTCTTCTTCTCAGGCAACGTGTACTCTCTTATGGAGGGCCAGTGCTATCTGAATCAAAGTATAAACTGTTCTCTCTCCTGTTCCCTCAGAATAACGTAGATGACAGGAAGAAATAGCATTTGAAAAAAATTGCATGCTTGAAAAAGTGGAACAATACTAACCAGTGCCTAAGAGGGGCACAAAACTGTCTATACTTTTTACACTTCAATGGATGTGAAATAATTACATCTTATGGAATCAGAATTTCAGAGTTCAAAGAAATATTAATGGTCTTTCAGGCTACGAATAAGAAAACTGAGAAGGTAAGTGATTTTATCAAGTTATTGGGGCTGATATCTAGCTGAGCTAAGAGTTAGGTGTTCTCCTTCTGATCTTTCAAGACAGTGCTTTTAAACTATACTGCAATGAACAGACCAAATAGTTTTCTCTCTTAAACGTTAACACTCTGGGATTAAGAGCAAAACTCAGTACTTAGGTCTTAGTAGTTTGTATTAACGGAGTCTCAAACAGTACTGGAACACAGCACACACACACAGTACATTATAGTTGAAGTTTGTTTCTTCGTGACAGAGTTGTACAAATATCAGGACATAATGTGATTAAATTAGAGAAAGGTAAAAGCATTCTATAAGAAAAGGTGGGCAAGTTATACACACATGGTCTTAATAGCTAATAAATATAAAGGAAATGAGAAGTTGTTAGTTTATTTAGTGGAACAGACCTATCCCATTTACTGCATCCCACAGTCTGGGTGTTGTGACTAGTATTACAATGCATTCTACAGTTTGAGGAAGTAACTTGGCCTTGGTCCTACCAACAACTACACATGCTTTCCTGTGAAAACTATTTAACTTGTCCAGGCCTCAGTCCCCTTACCTGCAAATAAAGGGGTATAGAATATTCTCTACAATTTCTTACAGCTTTATGACGAAGAAGATCTTAACTTACCTCTCAGCTGGACTAAACTTTAGACAGGCTTTCTTCTAACTCTAGGCCTTGATCATCTTTTTTTAGACCATTTACTTTAGAAAGCTTTTAATTGTAGATTGTTTCTCTGCCCCCTTTGAGATATCTCTTTTAAAGCTTTTTGACACATTTTCAACCCAGGAATGTCTTTCTCAAAGACTTGCAAGCCATCCCTTTGAAATGTATTCATCAAGAAAGATAGTATCCCTATCTTTCTGTGTGAGGGTAGCAGCCTAACTTCTAGGCGCCTTTCTCCAAATTGTAACACTATCTTCTGGCATAAAGATAGGAGAAACTTCACTTTTCCTTTGGTCAAGGCCAGCCAGCAAACCCAGATGGCCTTTGATTTCTCCCAGCCCAGCTCTTTAAAACTCCCATCCTTTGTTTCAGGGAGTTGGGCTCAGACTAAGTTCTGACCTCTCTCCCTTATTTCAATAGCCTTAAAGGTCTTTTTTACTTGTTTAACTTGGTATTGGTGCAATTTTCGCTTTAACATTTATTATTCCATGTATCTTTGAATCCTCATGACAGGAAACATTATAAATAATGGTCTCACTGTGAGTACTTCCCAGCTAATCAATTAATTGTGATAATATATCAATTTTGATGGTAAAAATTAATAATAATGTGGGATTAGAACAAATTGGGGACTGTCTTTTTTGAAAAAAATGGTGGCAAGAAATGGAAATATACTTTTTCTCTTTAAAGAGATTTTGTTATTGAAATATCTGAACTACAAGTTAACATTAAATAATCATGTATCTCTAGTTGATTTCATCATGTGCAATTTACTTTTAACTATTAAGTCTATTAAGTGGGGCTTCCATACTTACTTATCATTTTCACTTCTGATACTCTATTAGAATACTAGAGAACAAATACAAACGAGATAAACACATCAGAGAGGACATCAGAAGATGATTACTACAAATCATTGGAACATAAGAAGGAGTGATAATGGGTTTAGCAAAAAAGGAAGAAGCTTCAATATAAAATACTCTTATAGTAAGATTCTCTTGACAAAGGAACTGCAGCTCTGCTTTTCAGAACTCTGGAAAGACTCAGAGAGGATCTAAAAACATCCTACATGATTAATGGAACGCATGAGATGAGCTGGAAGGAGGGGGAAGAAGGATTAAATGTTCCATCTCTCAACTTATGACGGAGGATCACAACAATTGAGTGGTCATTGTTGAGATACTGAGATCATCTTAACAGAACTGCTGGTCTTCTGCCTAATTATCTTCCATTAAACTTTCACAAATAGATAATCCCTATTCACACACAGAGAACTTTCAATAGCTTTTCATTGCTTCTTTCTTAAATAAAATTGCATAACCAATTGCACCATATGTTTAAGAAAAAATTGCAACATAAAAATGAGAGACCAAATAATTAAACATAAAATTATTCTTTGACAAAAACTATGATTGTTAATAGAACATAATATGGAAGACATTTTAAGCATTCTGATAGAGATTTCAGATGACATTCATCATTTCAAGACCAGCATGTGATGAAAAGCATGTCAAACAAATAAAAACAAAACAAAAAAGGACCCCACGTGAAATAAAATTTGATTCTGGCAAAATAAACTGAATATGTTTTTTTAATAGGAATGCCATGAGATAAAGTTAAAGAAAGATCCAGAAAGTAGAAAAAAAAGAAAATATGGAGAAAATGTGGAGATCAAAATCTAACTAATAAAGATTTCAGAGAGAATTAAAAAAACAGAAAACAATAATTTCACAAAAATACAGTAACATTTTCCAGAACTGAGGAACAAAGTAATAATCCTTTTTAAATGGAGAGAAGTCATGAATAAATGAACCAAAAACATGTATCTAGATGTACCCTCATGGCATTTCAGAAAACAAAAATTAAAGGGAATTTTTCAAGAAAAGTAAAGCAGGTCACATACAAAGGACTGCAAATCAGACTGGTAACAGATTTTTTAATCAATACTCAAAGTTTCAGAAGGTGCACAGCAGTGTTTTCAACATTCTGAGGGGATTAATTCTCAACCTACAATTATATCCTTAAACTGCATAGAAAACTACATAGTATAACTTTAGATAGAAGGCATTTTCAGACAAAGACCCAAAAAGTTTATCTTTCCAAGACCCTTTTCTAAAAAGCTATTTCAGGATATACTTCTGCAAAATGAGGCAATGCACCAGTAAAGAAGAAAACAAAGCCTTCATAAAACTGTTGATGCAGTTAAGGAGAATAATTAAGGGAACTTAATTAGGTCAAGGGAGCTTAGTTAGGGTCTCAGGGAAAAGGAATACTGGCAAGTCTTAGTGGGAAGCATTAAAAGCATTTAAATATGTAAGTGTAACATCTGGGGGAATTATAAAGTAGATGATATAATCTTCAACGATTTAAAAATGATAAAATAATTATTAATAATTATGAGGTGAAGGAAGGGATACGGAAAGTCATGACATAATGTAAATTTTCACTATATTTTATTGAGGTGGCATGATCAATAATGTTTAAAACTGAAACATTCTGTTATAAAAACATAAGTTCTGGATATTTTGTTCACATATAAGTAGACACACACACACGCATATATTTTTCTTTTTTCTATAGATCAGTTAGCCAATAATAGGTATGTCATGGACAATTAGTAGTTCGGTAATTAAGTTTCAGTCTAGTTTCTTTTCTCAAATACAAATAAGATTAAATAAAATAATTAGATTGCCTTAGCCTAGGTGCCTAGAAAACATACTGGGGCAAAGTTTACATATTAGTAATGTATTTGGAGTGCAAACTCAGGGCACCAAAAGTAAAAAAAAAGAAAGAAAGAAAGAGAGAGAGAGAGGAGAAGAAAAAGAAGGAAAGAAAGAAAGAAAGAAAGAAGAGAGGGAGGGAGGAAGGAAGGAAGGAAAGAAAGAGAGAGAGAGAAGGAAAGAAAGAAAGAAAAAGAAAGAAAGAAAGAAAGAAAGAAGGAAAAACTGTGAGGCAAGGAAAGACAGTAAACAAATATAATATATTGAGCCCAAATCTTCAAGAAAATAAAACTGACTGTATAAGTGTGCAGAACATCCTTGAGAAGTCACTGGAACACTGTGCCTTGAAATAGTTCAAGGGAAGAAAAAGTATGAAAATTATATGCTGGATCCTTCCTGTCTCTTGTCCCTCATTAGTCAAGTTTGTCCCATGGGACATTTATCTCCCTGTACATCCAGGTTATATGAACCTCTTTCTGTTAGAATCTGAAGACTCCAAGTTTCAGCTGGTTCAGACCTGGACACTGGCATAGTTGTGACTCATGCTTCAGGGGTGTGACATACGCTATGCTGAAGCCAGGCATAATCACTGGGGAAGGCAGACACCACCAGTGAAGTTAGAAGATGAAACTACAGTAATGCAAGAGGCAGCAGAGACTCTCCATTGAGCAAACAACATAGGTCTATGAGCTGGTAGACAGAGAAGACACACCAATATAGGGAGTATACATTCCTGTTGGAAAGGGTAAACCACCATCTCTTCCAAGGTATAAGGGGCTCATTACTGTAACTGACACAGTTCAGCCACTGTGTTTCCCTGAATTGTGCCATAAGGAGGATTTAGCACCTGTGCTTGCTGCTGACAGAGCTGGGTATTCAGAAGTGGCAGTAACTGTAACAGACTTGAGAAAAAGTCCAGGTTATTGAACCCATACATTGTCTCCATTCCTGCCACCGTAATTATTCTCCTCACTGGCTCTTCAGAACCACCAAGATTAACAAAAGGAAAGTCTGGCAGACATTCCACAAGGTGGGTTATCTTGTTCAACTGACTGTTGAGAGACTTGGCTGTGGAGGATTTTCTCCAATGTGCATTAGTGTGAGACCAAAACATCTGCACTTTTAGTGATCACTCACATAGATCCATCTGCATTATACCTCTTCTTCACACTGCCTTGTCTCTGATTTTTCAGTCATGCACCAGGTTCTGCCTAAAGACACAATTCACTTACTAGTTTCAGAACTTAGAATATGCCTTCGCCTTGGGCCACTTCTGCCATACAAGGTGGGCAACCAAGTATACTGCTTACAACTTTGCATCCCCCTCCATCCCTGAGGAGGATTCCTCTTTATACTTTCATTTGGGGCCATCTTTGAATTGGGCTGTTATGAATCAGCAGCAGAGTTGTGGCAGATGTTGCAATATCATGACAACCAATTTGCAAAGTAGGGCTCCAGTCCTTTCCTTCCTTGACTATTGGTTGTAGTGAGGCTCACTTGGATGTAAGCTGGAGAAGAGTTGATATAACAGAAGTAGGTGACATGGGAGTCTGGACAACCTGTTTATGTAATTTACTTCTGTCTTCTTCATTTGCTTGAGCCTGATCCTCAAGAAACACTTTCATTATAATGAATTGGTGCGGCATTTACCTGACCTTGTGTACTGGGGCCCTTCACGCTAATGTCACGAGACAGCGGCATCCCCACATTCTTTCTTGTTGGCTAAATGGGAAGATAGAACTTCTATGTGCCTAGTCAGGACATAAATGATTGTTCAGGCATAACGGAGGACCAGATAAACCCTGGTTCTCAACACCATTCTGGAGGCTGTGGCAGCTAGTGTAACAGGACATGAGGCAATAATAGCTTCAGCTGAAGTTCTAAATTAAGCAAGTGGTTAAAGTTGGGTGACTGTGAGAAGATACAAGGAGATAAAAAATTGGATTTGTCCTAAATCTTAAGAAATTATATGTATTATATTTTTAGTTTTAGAAACAATATTTATATCTACTTATCTACCTACCTATACACTCATTTATCCATTTACCCATCTACTCATGTATTTATTGATTATACTTTAATTTGTAATTATTCATAGAAAGATGTCTAGAGAGATGTTATTAGTGTTTGCTTCTTGAGATGACTTTAGGGAGAGTAATGACGTCAGATGTGAAGAGGAAATCTTTATTCTCATTTTATATGTTTTGGTACAAGTTGAATTGTTCATATTATTTTACATTTATGAAGTTTATTTTTAAAATTTTGTCAAAAGAAATTACTGAGCAAAGATATTTTGGCTCCCATATTTTTCTGAATAACATCCAGGGTTTCTTTTTTTTTTTTTTTTTAAACAATGAATATTATGCAAACTTTAAGCAGAAAAATATGCTACAATTGGAAAAAAATTTGTATTTTCTCTTTGTATATCTTCCCCCTCCCAATGTTTTCCTTGAGTCAAAGTTGAGGAATTGGATTCTGGATGAATGCTGTAATATCAATTAACTACAACTATACATAGTATTTTGAAAGATAATTAGCAATTGTGCTGTCCATAATCATTGTATTCATTCTTTCCATATTCAACTTTAAAAGAACAATTAGAAATGTGAATGCGCTTGGCTTTTTATGGAATGATTTAATAATGGTCTCTAACAAGCTTGAACTCAATTACCAAGGTTTATTTCCATTATATTACCTTCTGTGCTTTGGTTTTAGACAACCAGAATCTGTCACATCAACTACTTTTCTATCTACCAAAGGTACTTATTTACATTTGTATAATGATATTTTGCAAAAACAGTACAATGGTAGTCCATTTGCTATTACAAATAAAGGTCACTTTCAAAGTTTCTGTAACAATTTTCTACACTTTAAAATGCGCACACTTGCTTTTTTGTCTGGTATTTTTTCTGTCATGTTAATGAAAATATCAATTAGAGCAGGGGTGCCCAACCCCTGGTATGAGTCCGTGGCCGCTTAGGAACCCAGTGCCACAGCAGAAAGTGAGCAGCAGGTGAGCGAGAATTACTGCCTGAGAGCTTCACCTCCTGTCAGATCAGTGGCGGCACTGGATTCTCACAGGAGTTCCAACACTGTTGTGAACTGCACATGTGAGGGATCTACATTGCACGTTCCTTATGAGAATCTAAAGCCTGATGATCTGAGGTAAAACAGTTTCATCCTGAAACCATCCCCACTCCTGGTCTGTGGAAAAATTGTCTTCCACAAAACCAGTCCCTGGTGCCAAAAAGGTTGGGGACCACTGAATTAGACGGTTCTATTAGTCTAGTCTAACCATCATTATTATTCCAATAATTGTCATCATGGTTATTATCACGATTATCTTTGTTGTCATCAAAATTACATTTTCTCAGGAGTTTTACAAAGTCGAATTTTTAACTATAGTATTTCATGATATTTTACATCTCCTTCCTTTATAACTTAAGGAAGTCACACTGAAACTTTCTTAGATATTAAATTCATATTTATTTTTCCAAAAGCTTATAAAGAAAAAGACAGAAAAATAATACTATCCTGGATGAAAACCATGAAAGATAAAGGAAATGTTAATGTCACAGATGACACGTTGTACTTAATAGGTACTAAATGATTTCAAAAATAATTCATATTAGATAAATAATTCTCGAAAGAAGGCAAGCAAAAGTAGCAATGAGAAACCAGGTTACATTTCTCTTAAAGGTTGTGTTAAGACATACTGCAAATTTTTCCATTAAATTCTGAGAGGAGTAATACATAGAATACATAGAAAAGATGAAAAGGGACTGCCTTTTATTTATTTTTTTGGGGCAGTCACTTTTGTCACAAAATTAGCATGTTGAGTCTATTTATATTTAAATAGGAAATAAATCATATGCCAAACATTTATGTGCCCTTAAGTTATTTCTGTAAATAGTGCAGTTGTACGTGTGTGGGTGTTTGTGTAACTAGGTGATCCACTGAACATTTTTACTGAGAAGCAGAGTTCTACTGGCTGTCAAATACTAGAGTGTTGGCTAGCGTAGCTTGTGGCAACAGATCTGAGAGCTGTGTCTTGGCAGTACCCACACTCCCTGAATCCCTGACAGTAGGGCAAAGCTGCATGAAATCCAGGGATCAGTCTAGTGGCAACAACGTCTACCTGGGGTCATTTAAAATCTTGCTCAAACAATTATCTAGGGGAGAGAAGAGCTACCAACAGAGAGAAGGTGTGAAACAAAGTGAGAAAGCATGGGCTTTGGAAAACCTGGAGCTCAAAGAAGAAAAAGAAAACAGAAATTGCTTTCCCTATCAATATAGGTGCAGTTATAAGGGATAGCAGGATAGTCTAGCAGGACAGAGCTAACAAAGCTGCCTAAGAAAGAGTCTGCTTTAAAAATTTAAAAATTTGCCTATCTCCAGGAATAATGGACATTTTCCAATCTTACCAGTAATATAAAATATTTTTTAGATGCCTATCTGCCTCTCCTTCTTCTCTCTCTTCCATTCTAGCAGAGTGGAAATTCCTTTTAGCCAGCTTCAGGAGGGGGGAAGAAGTAGAATTTGAGAGAAGTGAATACTACTGCATTGCCTCCTCTCACTGCAAATAGCCAGCTCTCAGCAGGACCCAGATGCAGAAGAGGAAAGGCTGACCTCTTCACCTTCAAAGTTTTGATTATTTTATGGTACTGGACATTCTATTTACTGAATTTATATTATGTTTAGTAATTCTAATTGAATATAGAATTTCCTATTACCTGTGAGTAGCCGAAAAACGGCATGAGATTTCCTGGGTTGTGGAAAACCTGTATCTGTACTTTCCTATTAGCAGTGTTAAAGAAACAGTAGGAGATAATTACTAATTTGTTTTTATGATTACATCACATAGAACTGGTTTTTCAACATGCTGTTGTAAACACCCACACAAATAAGGAAATGGAATTAGTTTGCCCTTTAAAATTTGCTGGAATTCAGGTGCACTTAATCCATCACCCCAAGAGACTCTATTTGTTTCACCAGTTGGCAGGTTTCCCACAATTTACACCTTCATGGTGCTCCTACTGGAAACTGAAATCTCCAGCTAATCACAATATCTAGGTATAAAAAGACCTGTATTAAGGTAGCTGGGGTCTTAGTGTTTGAAAATCAACATACAACTTCCTAAAAGAATTTATAGCACAACCGTTTCAGAGGGAGAATCTAAGAGTGACCAACTGAAGACCCTGTTTTAAAAGGGTAGTCACTGGCCATCTATATCATTGGTTAAAATGCATGTCTCAGAGTCTTACCCCATATCTTTTAAGTAGGTCTGAGTGTGCTTATCAAGCTTCCCTGGTGATGCTTATACACACTAAGCACCCAAAAGCTTCCGCATTAATAGAAAGCTCTGCTGCTTTCATTAATCCCTAGGCCAAATAAATTACAAACAAAACTTTCAGAATTTCGTGGAGCAAGAAAGGACAACGGTGGAACTCTTTCTGCATTTTGTCCATAATGCTTCAAATACAAATTTTGGTATGAATTCTTTAAAAAGTATTTTTCTACTGTTGCTCTTTGTTATTATTTTTATTTAAAATTGTTATTAATTTTCCATATAAACTCTCATCAAATCAAAGATAAAGGCACAGATAGAGTCAAAGTTTTTTGGTTTCCTTAGCAATTTTCCATAGAAAGCAGATAAAATGACCTTTTCATGTTACTGAGAGCTACAGATGCAGAGTCAAACACAGAGAAAATGAACTTAATGTTGGGTAACAATTCTTGACAATGATTTGAACACTATCTTACAACTGGATGTCTTTTTTAAATTCTAGGTCACTGCAATAGCCCATACAGGCTAAGTTACACTTAAATTCCAAATAAGTGTATTTTTTTCAGTGAAACATTTCTTGATCTTTACCTTTCTTTACAATATATCCTATTCAAAGTTCTCAAAATATGGGGAGCATCAATAGATTTTTGTTATTGTTGTTGCTATTGTGAGGTTAGTCATAGTTTTTCAATTCTGTTGAGCTAAAATAGATTAAAAAAAAAACATTGACTAAGGGACACCATATTGGAAAAATGACTAGGCTCCAATAAATTAAAATTATATATTTTTTCACTTTTCTATTAAAACTCATCAATTTGTTGTATTTTTTATTGAGTCTCATACCTTCCCATCCTAGGCAAAGAAAGAAAATGACTGGTCAAATATAACAAAGGCAGTGGTACTGTAGGTAGGAGTCAGAAGCCATTGGTGCTATTGTCCCATGTGTTTCCTCCAGACAGAGTGCTCTGAGTAGAGCAGAGAGGAGTATCAATCATATCTTAGGACCAGGAAGGAAATATGACAACACTGCTCTCTCAAAGAGCCAGAAAAGTAAAGAGCATCTTTCTTTATGCATTGTGCTTCTTTTTAAACATTTTATTTTTATTCTGATTACACCTAGGGCTAACAATAATTTTGCTGACTGGATGTTGATTTGTTCCCAAGGCTGTATTTAACAAAATAAATGTTTATAAGAATTGAGTCTCTGACCTTACAGGAATCTCAAATACCCCAATATCAAAGGGACGCATTGTATTTTTTAACTTATCTTAATACAAATAATATTAATTATTATTATAAGGTATATGACAAACTTTAGCTATTGCATAAAGATTTCAAAAGCCCTGAGAAGTACCTGTAAATTGAAAGGAATAATTGGGAAATACAAGTCAAGAGAAAACTACTGGACATTGGATAAAGAAAGGATGACCTGGTAGAAGAGTAAAACAAAAATTCTGCCTATAGGCTCCAGTCATGAAAAACAATGACTTGAAAAAATACATAGTAAAATAAGAAATATGCACTATTTAACTGTATACATTATATAATTATGTGATGACATTATAGAATATAGTTTCTATATTATTATAGCATGTAAATATTAATATATTATAGAATATATAAGATATATTCTATATTAATATTATAACAGAATAGTGTATAATAGTATATCATACATATTACACATTAATATTTAATGTTGCATATTATACTGCTTATATCATACATAATGTTACATATACTACTACTTATTTTCCTATTATATAATACATTATGGCAGTAGACAAAGGTGAACATATAGAAATTCCTGTTTTGGGGTTTGTGTGTATGTATAGTGCATGCACACATGAGATAAGTGATATTTTCTCTATGTGGTAGAATTATGGGTGATTTTCACTTTAATTTTTCCACTATGCCAGCTGTTTAGAAATGTGTTGTATTGCTCTTCCAATCAGGAAAGAGTTACTAAAACACATTTGAGCAACAATGTCAAGTAAAGGGGATGAGGCAAGAAAATAGGGAAATAGTTGGGAAGAGTGTGTGAAAGAGTCAATAAAATAGGACTGACTCCAGGGATGATATAGCTCCTTTGCCCCCATCTAGCCTACGTGATGCAAGCATGATTCACAGAATACACATACACACATATATACACATACAGATATATAAACACACATTATATATTATACACATTACATATATGATAGGTGTGTAATAAAGAAACCTGATAATAGAACAATCAATACACAATCGACTTTAATGACTAGAACATTATCAATTTCTTCCCATATATCTATGTGCTCCTTCCCTAACCCATATCCCTCTGTCCTTACTGAAGAACTAAACACTAATTTGATTTGTATTTATTAGGAACTTGCTTTGTGTGTGTGTTTGTGAAAGTCTTTCTCTTAGATACATATGCCAGTTTTTCTCTTTGATGAGTTTTATGAAAATAGAATTTAATACCTTCTGTTATTTCTTCATTCAATGCTATGTTCTAACATGCATCTCTATTGATACATACAACCCTCATTTATCTATTTCCATTTCTATGTAGGTATTCCACTATATGAATGTATTACAAAGAATTGATTGACATTTGCTATTCTTGATTTGTATTGGTTTACATGGGCAAGAGAATTCTCTACAGTGTAGGCCTATATATGTGTTATCAATTGTTGGTATTTACTCATTCTCAGGAAAAGTATGTTTCTTCCCTTCCTTTTTAATTTAAAACCATAAGTTGGCATTGAATTTTATTAAAAGTTTTTTACTAATCTATTGAAATATTTATATTTTTTCTTACTTAACCTGATAATTCAATGAATAACAATGTAAGATTTTACAATGTTTAGCCATTCTTGAATCTATTAGGAAAGAAACAACTCGATGCATCTTTTTTATCCATTGCTGAATTCAGTTTGCTAAGACACTCTTTGGGAGCTTTTGTATATATTTCTTGGGGGAGTGATGTTTTAGGGTGTAATTTTTTTTTCTTGGAGCATAATAGTCTGGTTTTTAAATAAAGCATAAAATCTGACAAGTAATGCTTCCTATTTTACTATTGTCTGGAAGGGACAACATAGAATTAATGATCAACTTCTTGAGATAAATTAGAATTCACCTATAGAACTATATAAACTTGGTAATTTCTCTGTGTAAAGGTTTCAATCAAATTAATTTTTTAATGAACATAAAAGTATGCAGGCTTAAATTTTCATTTTCAGTCAATTTTGCTGTCATATTTCAAATGTATTGGTATTACATTATTGTAATATTAGTACTAGTTAGGGTTCCTCAGAGAGAGAGATTTAAAGAAATAGCCTCATGCAATCACAGTGTTAAGTCCAAAATCTGTAGGGAAGGCCACGTGGCTGGAAACTCAGGCAGGAGTTGGAGTCACAGTCTTGAATCCAAACCCATAGGTCAAGCGAACAGATAGACATTCAGGCAGGATTTCTATTATTCAAATAACAGATTATTATATTATTAGAATATAATCTTGATGAAGGAAACTTTCTTTTCTGAGAAACCTTGGTTTTTGCTCTGAAGCCTTTCAACTGATTGAATGTGGCCCACCCACATCATCATCATTCTTTACTTAGAAGTCATTTGACTGTAGATGTTAATCACATCAACAAAATATCTACACTGCAACATCTAGACTAGTGTTTGGCCAAACAAGTGGACACCATAGCCCAGCCAAGTTGACACATAAAACTAAGCATCAATCCCAGCACTTTGGGAGGCCGAGGTGGGTGGATCATGAGGTCTGGAGATCGAGACCATCCCGGCTGACACAGTGAAACCCCGTCTCTACTAAAAATACAAAAATGAGCTGGGCGTGGTGGCGGACACCTGTAGTCCCAGCTACTAGGGAGGCTGAGGCAGGAGAATGGTGTGAACCTGGGAGGCAGAGCTTGCAGTGAGCCAAGATCGCGCCACTGCACTCCAGCCTGGGAAACAAAGCAAGACTCTGTCTCAAAAAAAAAAAAAAAAAAAAAAAAAAAGCATCAAAGTATTCTATTATTTTTGGGGGGAGTGGTACTAGTATACTAGTAGTTATGTAGTCTTTTCATATCTTAATATTTACTGTGCTGCTTCTCATTCTCTTTGATTGCTGTCATTAGAACTTGTCTATTTTATTAATTTTTCAAATAATAAATTTTGGCCTTGTAAATGTATTCTAATATTTTTCTAAGGTTTTTTCTTAAATTCCTTATGTTTTTATTTCTATTTTAATTTTTTTGTACTGTTCTTCAAAGTGTTTAAGTAAATATATGCTAAATCACCCTTCAGTATTTTCTACCTTTTTAATATTAGCTTTAAGGCTATATATTTCCCGCTAAATACTGCTTTCTCTGTAACTTACAAGATACAATATGTAGTATTTTCATTATAAAAATATTTCAAAAATTATTTTATTTTTAAATTTAAATATTAGACACTACTAATATTATTTCATTAGTGTTATTTAACATTATCAATTAGGACATATGAATACAAAGAAATTGTTTTTTTTATAAAAAGCAGTGATTTTAATGCTGCCAATTCATAATGAAATCACTTAAACATTATTGGAAGCTATCTTCATAGACAGGCCCTTATAAAACATGCAAATGATAAAAAAACTGCTCATTGTTTCATTAAAAATATATTTATTGAGCACCAGTAAGTGCCAGTCTGTTTAATAAGTTAATAAGTTATATTTAAAAAACTTCTAGGTATCACTAAAAAGAGTTCTAGAAACTCATATGCATAACTTTAAATAGGAATGCTATTAATTTTACTGAAAAAGATAATGTGTGTCTGTATTTCTGTGTGTGTCTGTGTTTCTGTGTGTGTGTGTGTTTAAATGTTACTGTTGTTGGGGTTCAGGGCTTAGTAAAACCTTTTTTGTTTCACTTTTTTGAGTTTAAGCCAAAAAGGTCCAGAGGGATACTGTGATTAGAGATGTAATTTAGATATAAACTTTGAGCTCTATGCCACATATTTTCAAATAAAAATATTACATAGACCATATGGTAGAGTAATATGTATTGACTGTCTACTACAAACACAATACTCAATGCTTATATGTTCTATGAACAATTTCCAGCACCAAATATGCACTATATGTGTCTATTTTCAAATATTTATATCATGTCCTTTAAGTCTTTTATTGTTTTTATAGCTATATTGATCTCAATTTAAAACATAACCTTAATAAAAATAAGCTGTAAGATTTGATGTATGTGTATGTGTCTATAAATACATGTAAAACCATCACCACTATCAAGATAATAAACATATCTAGAAATTCCAAAATTCTCCTATGTTCCTTTATAATTTTTCCCTCTTGCCTCTCCCCCACCTAGCCATCCTCAGGCAATCACAGATACGCTTTCTTCAGCTACAGTTTTCCCTGCTTTTGAAATAATTTTATATAATTGGGATTATAGAGAATATATTCTTTTAATTTTTCAGAGGCAGGTAATGCTTTTTTTTATTCAGCATAATCAATAGTACATTTATTTTTATTGTTGAATACTATGTTTCCATATGTATGCTGCTATGGATTGAATGTTTGTGTCCCCCATCACCAAACTTATATGTTAAAGCTTTTGGGAGGTAATTAGGTAATGATGGTGAGGTTTTCATGATGGTATTAATGCCCTCATTAAAACAGGGAGAAACAAGAGCTCTTTCTTTTACACCAAAGAGAGGCCACGTGAGGACATAATGAAAAGAAGGCCATCAGCAAAAAAAGAAGAGGACGGTCACCAGACTCCAAATCTACTGGCACCTTGATTCTGGACTTCCTATTCTCCAGAACTGTGAGAATTAAATGTATGTTGTTTAAGCCTCCCAGCCAACTATTTTGTTATAGCAGCCTGAACTGACTGACACATATGGATATTCTATAATTTGTTTTTTCACTCATCTGTTGATGGGCATTTGAGTTATTTATAATTTGGGGGTATTAAAAATCAATATTCTATGACAATTTAAGTGCAAGTTTTCTGTTGAGTAAGTACAAATGGAATGATTGGATCATCTGGAGGGCATTGCATTGTCAATGTTTTCCAAAGTGCTGAAAAACTAGCATAGTTGTCACCTCATTTTATTTTTCATACTCGGAACTTTGGTTTGGATCTTTTTGACCATCTACTCATCATGGTTGCACTTTCTTGCTGTCTCATACCTGACAATTCTCACTTGGATATTAGACATTGTGAACTTGTTGCATGTTTGATATTTCCTATAAATATTCTTGACCTTGTTCTGCAACATAGTGAAAGTTTTGGAAAACAGTTGATTTTATGAAAGTTTCATTCTGAGTAATTCTTAAATTGAATTACATGGATTTTTACTGTGGATGGAGGAACATAAACAATTGCTGGCCCTGTATACAACCCCTGGAATGTTTCCTTTGTTTGTTTTGTTTCCTCTGTTTCTTTCCTTGCCCTCAGGTATTTTTATCATATGCATGTGCTCACCAGTACTCAGTTGAAGATCAGAGGGAGACTCCTGGTAGATTTCCAGACTCTGTTATTCTGTCTTGCAAACTCTACACACATTGATCTCCCTAGACACCCAGTTGGTCCCTTCAACTCAGAGACATTGCCAGGTTCGGCCATATACTTCTATCCCTGTGCTATGGATTTTCTTCTTTCAAGAGTTACAGTCCTGCATTGTCTGAGGTACAATGCCTGGAAACCATGACTTTCTATTTCTTTTCTTTTTTGTTGTTTATGTGCTCTGTCTGTATCAACACCTTTGATTGATATGTTGTTGTTTTGCTGCCTGTTTTATGCATTTTCTTTGACATGGTAATTACTATCTGGAGAAGGTGTGAGTTAGAGGTTTTGACACAAGTGCCAAAAAACAAAAAAGTTAATCCTTTGCATCCTGGGTGTTTAGGTTTTCATTTTCTTTTTTATAATACAGTAAAAGATTCTCATTATCTCTATTTTGGTGAATGTCTTATTTCCAAATGAATATAAATGAATCAACAGTAATTTTCAAATGGATCACTTATGTCATTCAGTCGTCAGGATTAGTAAATACCAGGCTGTGCATCGTTTGTCTAATGGCCAAAAAACAACATTTTTACAAGTTGTGATGGTTATTTAGTACTATTGATTAACTATACCTTTTTATGGTTTGCTGGTGGTTTACATAATCCCACATAATTACAATCTTTCTCTTAGCCTAGTTTCTCAAGACCACAGGATTAACATCCCTTAATTAGATTCCTGATGACAAGAACTGGTCTATCTCAGACCTTCCTTATTTTCTTGGATCTTCTCCAACATATTTAATAGCACTGATAACAAACAACTATCTAATTTTCTGCATTTTTAATATCAACTACAATTAAATATAAAATTATAATAAAATGTGAAGGATTCTTGTAAATACAGCATACTCCTTAATTTAGAGAGCTTTTAGCCAATAAGTCAACTTTATGGTACTTGCTGGGGACCAACAAAAAAAAAACTTTCACAACTAACATAGACCTTTATTTTTAATGTCTTTTTAGGGAGGCATCTTTATACAATAGCACATACTCCTTCCTCTTAAGAAAGAATTGTGTTTTCATTCAAATTGACTGCTTTTAATATGAGTGTATTTCTAAAAAGTGTATTTTTACAATTATTCTGAGCTTATTAGAAACAAAAAATAGAAAGCAGTTACGAAGTTCACTAAAGACAAGTACTACCAATTAACTACATGGAATTTTCTTGAAGAGACAGAATTAGAAAAAAAAAAAACTAAAGAAATTAGTCATAAGATCTTAAAACCCTCACAACTCAACTCTCTAGATCTGCACTGTCCAATAGAGTAGCCACAAGCATCATGCAAATATTTAAATTAAATTAATTAGAATTAAATCTAAAATGTAGGAGGTCAGTTTTACTTGCCGCATTTCAAGTGCTTAGTAGCCACATGTGGCTTGTGTCCACATATTGGATAGCACAGACACACAACATTTCTGCCCCTGAAAAAAGATTCTTCTGGGCCATGTTTCTCCAGAGCTTTGCTTCGTTTGTGCTTGAGAACAATTAGCATTCCAATAAATGCTCCAGAGTTTCAAAAAGCATATTCTATGTTCTACTTCTTATTATAAGTTGTGGAAACATATAACATATTTAAATAATTTATCCCAATTATTTAAGTATTTAATCATTAAATGTTTAGGAATTTAAAGAGGTTAGTTTTCATCTACCTGGATAATTTTCTCTGCTGATACTAAAATATTAAGTAATATTGTATGTTTTTTACAAATTCTTAAAACCCTAAACATCATGAGGTTTTATGATATAATGGAGCATGAGAATATAAGGACTGTGGCACAATGAAGCTAGAATAAGAAACAAAAAACAGGCTGCCTAATTATAGGGTTTATAATGTTAACCACTATATTACGAATGAATGAAGAATGTATATATTTTCCATTTTAACTAACAAGAAAGATGACAATATACAGAAAATATTTGTTGTGCCACCTCAGGAATGTCGAATTTGACTTTCTTTAAGTCTTCAGGGTAGGCAAAATAATTGCAGAACCTCATGGAATGCTTCAGTTAAAGGTCTCATAATCTAGTTTTAGAACATGATTGGAAGTCCATCTCCAAAGCAAAGGAGTATCTTTCTGTGATAAGACACAAAAAAAAAACCCACTTCTACATGAGTTTCTGAGATTCCATAAGCTGATGTGTTATGGACTTAATATGGACAGCTAAAGAGAAAGAAAAAATCATGTAAACTAGATGGAACGACAATTGAACTTCACAATATATTTTATATCACACTGTTTAAAACATACTTGTTTAAACTGTGTCACATGAAACAAGATACATGTCTACTCTTCAGTGACTGAATCTACCTTATTCGATATTTAAAAGAATGTTTTAAATGTACTATTATGAGGTGGGGGTAGGCTTGCCAGATAAAATACAGGATGCCCACCTAGGTAAATTTGAATTTTAAATAACAACAAGTACTTTTTTTAGTATGTTTCAAATATTGCATGGGGCATAGTTAGACTAAAAAAAAAGTTGTTCATCTAAAATTCAAATTTAAATGGAAATCCTTTTTCGAAAAAATTGCTTAATATGGCAATCTAGGCACAGGAGTTCAAAAGATTTATGATTCACAAACCAACCATTTTACCCATTCTACATGCTTTGTGCATTTCAATAGCCCTCTTAGGGGAAGAGATAGTAAGGTACTTATTTACCACGTATAACCACGGAGCCACTGGGCCAGGATCATTGAGAACGTTTTTATCATTCTCTTCAAAGGGTTTATATCTAAGTGAACATATAGAAATGTTTGATAACTTACTTAATAATAAAGATATGATTGCTATGATTTTAATGTCGATTTCCTCCTCAAATTCATATGTTGATACTCTCACTGCCAAGATGATAGTATTAGGATATAGGGCCTCTGGGAAGTGATTAGGGCATCAGGACTCTGCCCACATGAATAGAATTTGTGCATTTATAAAAGAGGACCCAGCGAAACCCCTTACTCCTTCTGCCATGTGACGTTAGAGTCATAAGATAGCTCTCTATCAGAAATCAGGTGCTCACCAGACACAGAATCTGCTGGCACTTTGATGTTGGACTTCCCAGTCTCCTGAACTGTAAGAAATAAATTTCTGTTATTTATAAGCCACCCAGTCTATAGTACTTTGTTACAGCTGCCCAAATGAACTAAGACAATAACCATAATTTAAGGTTGTTGTTACAAAATAGCAATTTGGGGTATTGTGAAATTTTACACCCTGAATATCACAATCTGAAGCCTAGGAATTTCCTTACATGCATCTGGGACAGCTGTGCCCTTGGAATGTCCTTGCTACTGATACTGCTGCTCATGCAGCCTTCATTGCCTTTTCTAATCCAAAGAATAAAAGCTTGATGGTGACCTGATTTCTTTTTTTCCATTCTCCAAAGGAGAATAAAACTGCCAAAATGAAGCTGAGACAGACTGAAAAATAAAAGTGGCTTGAGATAACTTACATTTAAAGATGCTGTGGCCTGCTTTCCTTCTTCTTTATTATTTCATCTTGGGAAAATGTTTTTTCAGTGAAAATGATAAATAGACATCTAAAAATTGGGAGTATTTTCTGTATTTCGGAAGCAAGTGATTTTGGATTTCCCTCTTTCTTTAAGAGAGATACCTGGTGATAATCACATTCACCGCCATTCTCCTTTATCCTGATGAATGTGTCGGGGCTATGTGGTTTTGTTATTCTTGTAGACATGATGAAGGAACCCAAACAAGTTCAGTTAAGTTCAGATCCCTTGGTGTTGATGGCTGGTTTGGAAATATAAAAGTTGCTAATGTCTCATAAGGTGATGATTAGAGGTATACTTAGTAAAGGTACATATTAGAGGTATAGATAGTAAATTTACAGTAACAATTTACTGTATTCTGTTCCTCTTTGTAATGGCCCCTCCAACCACTCCTCATCATCCCTGTGTCTCTGCCATATCATGTTGTCTAGAACAGCATTGGACTATGCAAGCAGACAGAGTAAAAAGTGTCTTCTAACCTACGTAAGTCTATGTAAAAAATGTCAAGTATTCGAGGAACTATATTGTGGTTCTCTATGTGGTACATGGATGATAAAATCAAGTCACTGGAAGCCAGGAGGGTCTTTATAGTTTTTTTCAACACCGAAGACTTCAATGAGACTTGGAAAAGAAGTCTTTGAAATTAAGTTAAACAACAAAAAAAGCTACTTTCGCTTACTCTCCCCAGTCCTAAAACTCACATATGTATGCCTTGCCAACAAATGCACATAAAATGGTCCTTTTATTGACTGTGAACATTATGAGCATCGTAATGGTTCACTATTCATTACTGCAAAGTGTCCTCAGACATAAAAGGCTAACAAAAATTTGATCAAAAGCTTGGGGTTCGTAATGCTGGAAAAACCAACAGTAAAATGAACACTCAAATTTTGTATCTGCTTTACAAGAAATAAACAAAAGACACTCTGTTCCATGACACAGAGGAGATATAATCATAAAACAAACAGGGAGAAACTTCTTATGGAAAGAATAAACTAACTGAAAAATGTTTCTCATTGCAGGGTCTGTAGTTAATTCTGAATTTATATTATTTTAAAGGCTTAATTTTGTATTTTTAATTGAGTAAAAATAGTACAAATAATCTTATTTGGGTCAAATGGAATCACTACAGGCATCTATATAAGTTAGAATTGGCTTCAGCAGCACATAATGCAAAACTCAAATTAAAGAGGCTTTAAAATGACTGAATCTTAATTTCGTCTCACAGAAATTGTGCATAAAAGAATTCCAGAATTGGTACGGCTGTTTTACTGACATTAAGGAATCCTGTCTTTTAAAATCTTTCTTTTCTGCCTTCCTTAGGACGTTTTCTATGCTTGTGGTCACCTTATCGTACAAGAAGACAACTGTAGCTCCAGATAATACATCTGTATTCCAGGAAGGAAGAATGAGGAAGTAGGAAAAACTAAAAGAGCAAATCTCTCACTTTCAATAGGTTTCCTAGATATTCTTACCTGATGGCTTCTGCTTGTATCTCACTGCAAGCAAAGACTGGGAAATGTAATCTTCCATTCAGTTATTTTGTTGCGCTAGATTAAATTAGAATATATCAGTGACAAGATGCAGATAATTGATAGTACATGAGTAACTAGCCGTCTCTAACTTTGAGTCAATTTATTCTCATGATAATAATTATTTAAAACATCTTTATATGTTTCTAGTTCTCGCTGTCAGATTTTAGGAGGTGGTCATCATAGCAGAACGTAGATAACAGAATAGGAAACTCCAATATAGCACTCTATATTCCAGGCTAATTTTGTAAATGTTTACATATTTAATCTTCAAAACAATTTCATGATATGTAGTCAACAAATAGTTGTCCCTTGAACAATATGGTTTTGAACTGTGTGGGTCCACTTATATGCAGTTTTTCTTCTATCTCTGCCACCCCTGAGACAGCAAAACCAGCCCCTCCTCCCCTTCTTCCTCAGCTACTCAATGTGAAGATTATGAGGATAAAGGTCTTTATGATGATCCACTTCCACTTAACAAATAATAAATATATTTTCTCTTCCTTTAATAATTTTCTCTATAACATTTTCTTTTCTCTAGCATACTTTTTGTACGAATACAGTATACAATGCATAAAACAGGCAAAATATGTGCCAGTTGATGGTTTATGTTATCAGTAAGGTCTTAAGTCAACAGTAAGCCATTTGTAGTTAAGTTTTGGGTGAATGACAAGTAACACACAGATTTCTGACTGCAAAGGGGGTCCATAGCCCCTGCCCTGTTCAAAGGTCAATTGTGCTATTATCACCAGCATTTTATAGATGAGGAAACTGATGAACAAAGAGGTTAAGTAACTTACTTGTCAATGACATATAACTATTGAGTGTAGATTTGAATGCAGACAGTCATTAAAGCTACTGGTCAGTAGTCTGCAATCTTCCCACTCAAGTGGGAAAAATTAATTTTAAATTTAATTACTCCTATTTAAAAATTAAGTATATCAAAGACCCTTAGAGAAAGTATAACATTTTAGTTACGTTTTTTTCTGAAACAGAAATAGAACATGAAAAAGTGAAAGGAAATTATTGGAGTGCTTTCACCAGAAGATGACATAATCTGAGTTAAAAAGGACACCACAGAGGATAAACCTTTCCTTCCCTGGGCAGTGAGAAAAGATGGATTAATGTAGACCCTTGGGGTCTCACCTCTCTTTATAAATACTTTTGAAAAGTTCCCTATTTTCAGTCCTCTTCCTTCTTCTCACTCTTATGTTGACCAGTTATGTGAATTCTTGAGCCTTTTGAGTGTCTGTAGAACTAATCAATACATGTGCTTTTGAAGATACTTTTCTCTACCATGACTCATTACTCTTAATTTAAATCTTCTCTTTGATATGTCATTTACATGTATTGCATCCATTTTCTATCTTGATACATTTTGATTAGAGTCAACAGCTCTCTTCTGGCTTAATTATGGGTAGAGTTTGTGCTGAATTTCTGATTTCGGTTCACGTTGTTTTGAGTAAATTTCAAAAAAGAAGGTGAGGGTAATATGTGTTTTTACCATTCTGCTTTGGAATTCCTACTGCTATTCCATTTAAAGGTTCTCAAGAAAGAAATATCTGTCCTCTTCCCTAAACCTTTGACCTTCCAAAACACTCACTGCCAGGCTATTTTCTACAGCATGTGGAGTACCTGACATCAATACCCAGTTAGCCATTTAAGACTACAGTAGTGGCAAGACCATGTGTGCACACATCACAGTGTCATAGTATTTGAGTGCTCATTTCTGTCTTTCATGAGTGGATGCAGATTTATTAGGGTGTCTTTTTAACATTTAGCCACTGATTATTAGCAATACTGCACTGAAGGAGAATATATGTGAGAAAGCAAAAAAATTTACTTTCATTATTAACAGTCATCAAAGGGTAGTTTTAGTAAAATTGGGATGTCTATGATCAGTGTGTTCTCAATCAAAAACAATAATCCATTTGGCTCTAAGGAATAACACAATCATTATAATAATTGTATTATTGTATAACAATATAATACTGAAGGAGAATATATGTGAGAAAGCAAAAAAAAATTACTTTCATTATTAGCAGTCATCAAAGGGTAGTTTTTAGCAGAATTGGAATGGCTAAGATCAGTGTGTTCTCGATCAAAAATAATAATCAGCCCATCTGGCTCTAAGGAATAATATAATTATCTTTGGTGTTCCAGCCTCTACTTTAGGTTCTTGTCTCTTTTAATTTCTTTCTTAACACTAAATAGTTCTCTCTATTCACCTACAGAAAATGACTGATAAATTTATTTACACCGTGGTTTTTGCATATTCATTTTTTTCTAAAACAGTTTGCATTTCAAAAGATAATCTGGACAGAAAAGGCAATTATTAAATGAAATGACATGTTGAACTTTAAGCATGAAGAATAATGATGTGGGGGATTGGAGAGTCTTCTAGTGTTTCAGTCACTCTACTTTCTGCAAAGCTAGCCCTGATCATAATGATAATGTTATCAGTCAGTGCTATATCCTGGAAAATGAACATGTCAAGGCCAGAACTTGGCAATGTGACAGAAAAGGGGTGGGAGTTACGAAATAAAGTGTTCAAAAGACTTAGAAAAGCTCATTGGGAGCAAGCTTATTTTCCATAAGAAATGGTTATTAGAGATCAAAAGAAAAGAAGAGCAAAACAAGGGGGACTCCAGGGGACTACTTGTAATTCCCTCTATATTTTTTGGTAATTCATCCCCAACATCTCTCCGAAATAGCTGTATATACATTTGAAGGACACAGTAGAACATTCAAAAGTAGAACTTCAAAAGTTTGTACTTCTGAGTTTGTGTTCAGTAACACACAGATGTATAGAATTCTTAAGGTTTAAGATCAAATTCTTCATATTTCAGGAATAATACATCAGCTATTCTATTTGACCCCTTTCCTGTAAGGAGAACATAGTTTCTTAAAATGTAAATCATCAAAAAAAATTTTATTGTAGGATATTATTACACATATTAGGATACTTCCTGAGATAATTTTGGAACTCATTTATGTTATCTTCCTTCCTGAATTAAGATTTTCAAATATAAATGAACAAATAACCCATGTGATCCTTGCAATTAAAAATGGTTATGTACTTTAGATGTTTTCAACCCTAAAGTTAGTTGTTTTTTACATACCGAAACACTTTAAATGGAGATACAGTGTTTTCTATTTTTGGTTAATGTTTTAAATTACCATGTTCTATTATGCAGGGTTAACTATAAAATTTGACCAAAATCTGTATTTTATGGACAAAAAAGGACAATAAACATCAATACCCAACTGGCTTTTGACATACCATATAAGACTATAGAGTTACAGCCATATAAGACTGTAGAGTGCCTGTAATCTTGTCTAGACATTTCACAGGATCATGGAATTAAAATGCTTTTTCTGTTTCATGCCTGGTATTCCAGCTTTCATTTTCAAATATATTTTAATTTGGATAATAAACAATATGGTCATCCTATTAATAAATATCATGGTGAATCAAGGTAGTTCTCTGTTCATCAGGATGTGTTTGTTAAACAGGTGAGGTAGGTTAATAACCTTCCTATTGATTTTACTTTAAGAATTCCATGAGTAATGAGCCACTATCAAAGATCTCAGTGGGTCAAATTACTCAACTTCTACTCCAGCTATGTTACCTAATACTGTAATCATGCCTATGCTTCCTCTGGCAGTTAACTATAGCTACAAGGATCCTGCCATCCTCAGATATCGGCATCCATAACGAAATAAGTGAAGTTATTTCAGTTACAGCATTTCTCACTTTCATCTGCAGTCACCACAATTTTTTTTTTCAAGGATGCTTGTGCTGTCTTCTGAAAAGAGGTCTTCTGGGTCACCTTGTGAGTCGTGCTTATGAACTGAGCTAGCAGATGGTACAAGAAAAATCTGCTTTAATATCCATATGTCTCTGAGTCTTTATATACATATATAAAGACTTTATATATATATAAAGACATATGTATATATATATATATATGATGGAATTTCTACCACAACCTTATTCAGCATAAATCACCAATGAGTTCAGTGAATAAACAATTAGTTAGACTCCTATACGTTTGAGTTAGGAGATGGAGTCGGAATTTCTGATAAGATTAACTATATCAATTAATGAAACCCAATTTAAAATCATATTCTTCCTGTGATCAAGTTTTGCTGATATAAATATATATTTTCATTAGCTTAAACTTAAGCTAAATTATTCTGTGGCCATAAAATATATATGTTTGATATGTATATACACATACACATACATATATACATATTTATATATATATTTTTCCATGTTATGTCTCATTTCTGAGACGGCTGCAGTTTGTTTTGCTCTATGTTGTCTTTATCCCAGGGCCCAGCTAAAGGAGTAGGACCTTTCTGGAAATTGTTGATTTTGTGGCAGGGAAAGAGAAACATGGTGGCAGACCACACACTGGCTCTTGAGCTTCTTCTTGGAAGTTGCAAACATCAATTCTGTTCACATTCCATTTGCCAAATCAAGCCACATGGCCAAACCTTACATCAGTCGGGGTACAGATGTGCTAATTTTCCATGGGAGCAGACACAAAAAGTATTTAAACAAAAATGCAATCACCTTGTAGATATTTTGGCATGGAAATCTTCTTTTCCTTGGTTTGCCATTGTAACTGGCCTCTCTGGCAACCTGGGATCTGTTCTAAATATGGTTGTGGAAAAAACTAGATAGTAGTAATAAAGCAAGAAGGTAATTGGTATTTTATTCCAAGTTGACCTGTGAGGTCATTTCAGTTCTGCAATAAAGCAGATCGCTATAATAGTCTTTTTGAGGTTTGAGCATTTAGAATGCTTGCACTTATAAAATTATTTGAATAAAAAATTCCACCTTTGGGGATATTATTTTTTCATAATTAACTTTCACATAAGCAACATAGTGAGTCTGTGGATATAACCTGTTTTGTAATTTAGCATCTCAAAAGGTACGATTTTGTCTGATCTTTGACTGTAATAGCCCTCCAGATAATATAAGAAAATAATTTAGACAGATCATAGACATTTCCTGATTTTCTGATTGTGTCTTAAGCCAAGAGTTTAAAGCCCTGGTTCTATTGCTTTATTCTTTGTTTTTCAGTATTATTAGAAAAAGCCTGTTTCATAGTCTCTCAAGCTACCATTTAATTTTCCAAAGTTTTACACTTACAGATGAAAATTTTGGTAAAGCTCTTAACACTGAACACCATGAACTATTAATCTGCCATTATATAGTGGGGAAAATAAGATATTTCTCGCTTTTAAACCAACCATATCAGAGAACCAATCACTTTCCCATTGCCTACAATCACTGGTGGTACCAAGTACTTTATCAATAAAGACTTGATTTCAGATAACTAAACCCTCCAGCAACTTTAAGCAGAAGAATATTTGACATAGGGAAATATGCATTTATAAAAGCATTAGATATCCTAGAGGAGCAAGCTCCAGCCTGGGCCTTCAAACCGATTCATAGAATAGCACTTCAGAACTAATCTATCAAGAAAAATTTTACCTTTGCTGGAAGCAGGAGATTGCTTTCTCAACTTTTGCTTCCAGGACTAGGGTACCTTAGCTACATGCAAGGATCAGGAAACTGCCACTGGAATTGTTGACTCAAGCTATGCTGTTGGAAGAAGGAGAGGGGTGCTTCTCTTTCTGACACCTTCTACTTCATTGAACGAGATTCTAAATACAAAACTGCTGTGTGTCCATTTAAACTGGTGAAATCTAAAATACAACTATAACTCTGCAAGAGAGTCTGAGATATCTTATAATTTGAGTCCCAATGAAGGAAGGAGGTTAAGAATAAGTGTTGCAAAAAGTCAATCCTCAGCACGTATAAAATTATTCTATTGGATTTTCTTTTTTGTAATTTCTATTGAGAAGTTTGCTTTCAACTTATTGTTCTTCATTTATAGATAAAATTGGTCTCTGGTTGCACTTAGTATCTCCTTTTGTGTTTGGTGTGCTGCAGTTTCATTGTATATTACTTAAGTGTAGATTACTATTTATTCATTCTACTTAATACTCATTATAATTCCTGAATGTAAGGATTTATATACTTCAATAATTCTTGAAAATTTACACTGAATTATATTTTTTAGTTTATATTTGCATGTGTTACCTGTCAGTAACTCAGTTATCTTTTTCTGAAACTTCTATTAAATATATGTATAAAACTTATTTAAGTCCTTTATATCACAACATTTCAATCTCTGTGTGTATATATATATATATATATATATATATATATATATATATATACACACACACACATATAATTCAGATAACTAACAATCTTACCAATGCCCTAATTTGCTGTGAAATTCATCTATTTATTCATTTTATATTGATGCCTACATTATTTATATTTTGAAGTTCTGTTCTGGGCTTTTGCAAAACTGGCCAGCATTTTTCTACAGCATCATATTATTGCCTTTTTTAATAAAGAAGGCAATTATTTTAAATAAACATATAATGACTCCTTGCTGGCTCTATTATCTGAAATTCTTTAGAGAGTGGCGATTAGAATGTGGATGTAACTTTTTTGGCATGCAGCATTCTAATCTCCAGAGCCTGCAAATATTATTTTATTGGAGAAAGGGTCTGTGCAGATGTAATTGAATTAAAAATCTTGGGATGAAGGGATCATTCTAGATTATCCGGGTAGGCCCTAAACTCAATGACTAGTGTCCTTACAAAAGACACACAGAAGACACACTAAAAGAGCAGTAGATGAGGGAGGCAGAGATTGGAGTGTTGCAGCCAAAAGACAAGGAACACTGACAGTTTTCAAAACTGAAAAACGCAAGGAACAGAATCTCCATAGAGCCTCTGGAGGGAGCCCAGTCCTGGCTACACCTTCAAACTCTGGTCTCCAGAGCTGTAAGAGAATACATTTCTGTTGTTTTAAACCACAACTTTAATGGTAATTTGTTACAGCAGCCCTTGGGAATTAAATACAGAATGTAATCTTGCTCTGTTAGTTTGTTTGTTTCTGTCTATTCTTGCTCGTGGGCACTTTGTACTCTTGGATTGCAAGGTCTTCCTTGAGAATTGTGGATCCTGACTTGAAGATATGTTCATTTTCAAAGAGCATATATGTAACTATTCCAGAAGCCTGAGGAGTATCACTAGCCTGGACCAATCTTTTTATGTTAATTTTTTACGGACCAAGGCACCCTGATGGATCCAAATAATACAAATGTGAACCCCAGACTGTGGGTAGGCCAGGCAGTTGATTGTGAATTTGCTTGGGAGGATTTCTTTTCTGTCCTGGCCACCCATCCTGCATTAGTTAATTTTGTTTTAATCCACTCTTTCACTTTGGTAGAGCTGCCCTCCAGTTTTTCGAGGACCGTAGGCTACATCTTCAGCTCCCATATTGCTCTAAAACCCACTTTCATCAATGAGAAGACTGGAACCTTTCCACCTTCACCCCAGATCTGTCCGGTTTGCTTCAGTTTGAGAGCTAAGCACTCTAGTTATGGCTATAATTTTTTTGTCTCCTCTTTGCTTTTAATCTCTGGTAGTCTTTTATGTGAGAGCACTTATAATTTTTAAAGGACTTAAAAATAGTAAATCCAGTATTTCTAAGTAAATTGTACCATAAAGTGGAACAGCTAGGTTTAAGTTTAAAACAGAGATCCAAATGTTGCACATTCTAAATAAATACTATTTTATTAAGTAAGTTTGTAAGAAAGACTCAAAATTCCAGTTTCCTCGTTGTGATTTTATACTATGGCTATACAAGGTGTCACAACTGATGAAAAATGGCCGCAGAGTTTATGGAATTTCTGTATATTAATTTCCCCATCTGTGTGTGAATCTTCAGTTACTTAAAAATAAAGCATTAAAAAAGTAAATAAAAATAAAATTTGCTAAACCACAAGAGTTTCTTTCTTTCTCATGTAAGAGAAAAGCTAGGTCCTGATGAAGGTAGCTTAGGTTTACATATCTATCTAGAATGTAAGCTTTATTTCAGCTTTCTTCTACATAATTTCTATACTATATGCCATGGTCTCAAGCGAGGCAAGGAGAATAGGGTTTGGAGGCAGGGAACCTAAGGCTGATTCTGCCTGACTCGATATCAGAGGCTACTCCCTTTTCAACCCCTCCTTTATTCTGCATGGCAGTTGCTGCTGGCAGTTGTAACCCCTCCTTTTGCTGCCTCGCAGTTGTTGCATGGCAGTTGGAAAATGAAAGTACCTCTGATTGGTCCCCTCCTGCAACCAATCAGATTGGTCGTGGGCCTCCTCTTCAACCAATCAGACTAGTCACAGGTCACTCGAGTGAACCAATGGGAAACCTCTTGAGGGTATATAAACCCCAGAAAATTCTGTCACCAGGGTCGTTGAACAGCTGCTCTGCAAGCTCCCACCCTGTGGAGTGTACTTTGATCTTCAATAAATCTTTGCTTTCATTGCTTCATTCTTTCATTGCTTTGCTGTGCATTCTGTCCAATTCTTTGTTCAAAATGCCAAGAACCTGGACAATTTGCAGTCAAGACCCTCCACCGGTAACACAATTTCCAAATTGGACTTAACATTTTCATTTTTCCAGAGCAGATTGGAGGTAGAGAAGAAAGAAGGCATTTCCTTCTTTTCAAAGACACATCCTCAAAGTTGCATATATTATTCTTTCTCGCTTTATATGTCAGATGTTAGGTATATGGCTACACTTCCTGGAAGCTTCCTGAGAATTGTAGCATTTAAGCAGCCAGCATTCTAAAATTAGAGTTCTAGTTCTATGGAGGAAGGGAGACTATTGGAGTTCCTCTAAGTTTCTGCCATGAGCATTTTCAGGTTACGTTGTCTACATGTTATCTAATACCAAAACCTCTGTTAGTATCTTCTTTATTATATAGAAAATAGGGAATTCTATCAGGCCATAAATACATGTTTGTTTTAAAATAAAAATTAAAGTTCTATTACATAAAGATTCTGAAAGAATATCTACAAAATGAAGTTCTGCATTTGGTAAGCTATTCAGAGGCATTAAACTGCCATCTATGGATTTTTCTAAATTACATATATACTTATAAATAATTTATAAGGACAAGATTTTAGAGTTACAATGCTTGCCAGTGAAATTAAGGAAGAGGTGAACTTCATGGTAGAGATGAGAGCTCCCCTGAACTTTTCATCTCTCTGCTTGACATGAACAAGTTTATGACAAAGTATAGTTGATGACTCAGAAAATCTTTTGACAGATGTGCAGAAGCTGACAAATTCTCCACTTTGCTGGTAAAAAGTTACATATCCATCTTGGTCTTTTTCTGGACTGGCACAATTTGCATCTCCCTTATCAGAACCGTATTCAAGCTTACAACAGCTGATAGTGTCACTAATGTCATTGTACCCTATCACGACAGTCTTCCACTCTCTCTCTCTTCCTGCCCCACATATTGCCCAATATATTAACATTGCTTATGTTGCTGTTTTATTAGAAAAGACACTTACTCTTCATTCATTTCTCAGTCTTTCACTCTTTCTCTTGTATACACACACACACATAATTAATACTTGCTCGTCATTCAATCTTACAGTGAAATTCTGGTAGTGAAATCCATATTTTCCTATAATTCTTATAATGAAATTATCATTTCTCAAGAAAGGAGAACTTAAAGACAGGTTAAAATGAAGTACATTTTCTCTGTCAACACTATGCTTTCCTATTTGATGGATGATTATTTATACACAATTCTGTTTACCAAACAATGGTCTGTTGAGGTATTTAATAAACTGAAATAAGATTTTTTTTTTCTTTGAGACAAATTTCTATTAAGGTAACATATTAAATTTTCACCGCAGTTGCTGTGGATTAATATCTATTTGGAGTGCACAGCATTCTAAATGTTAAACACACACCTAGCTAGCACTATACTTTTTACAGGCAATGTCATATTAAGGAACTTGGAAAACCTTATGGGAAAGTTGTTACATATTATCTTGACTGTTATTACAGTAAATATATTTCTCTTTTTCTGACCAGGAATGGTAATAATTATAAACTCAAAAATGTTCTCCAATTCTTAAGAAACTCAGGCTGAACTAGAAAATTTCTGGGTAAACAATATTTCTAAAGAATATAGAAGGCATACAGAATATGTGTTCCAGAAAACAAACCTGGCTCCCTTAAAAAAACAAAAAAAAAAACAAAAAACACTTTAGACCGGGCGCGGTGGCTCACATCTGTAATCCCAGCACTTAGGGAGGCTGAGGCAGGTGGATCACCTGAGGTCAAAAGTTCAAGACCAGCCTAGCCAACATGGTGAAATCCCGCCTTGAGCTTGCAGTGAGCCGAGATCGCGCGCCCCTACACTCCAGCCTGGGCGACAGAGCGCGAGTCCGTCTCAAGAAAAAAAAAAAAAAAAAGAAAGAAAGAAACCCCGCCTCTACTAAAAACACAAAAATTAGCTGGGCGCCGTGGCGGGCACCTGTAACCCCAGCTACTCGGGAGGCTGAGGCAGGAGAATCGCTTGAACCTGGAAGGTGGAGGTTGCAGCGAGCCAAAATCTCGCCACAGCACTCCAGCTTGGGTGACAGGGCAGGGCTCTGTCTCAAAAAAAAAAAAAAAAAAAAATACACCCTTTGTTTCTAATATATGTGTTCTTGCTTATAAATTTGTACTATTTCTATTGCATTTTATCAGACATCTGAGCGCCAGTCAACTGTAAGGTCTTTCAGAACTCTGACTGCATTGTTCCTATGAGCTTTAATATTTCCATGACTCCAGAGTTTAGCACAGCATCAAATCACTCAACAGGTCATTGTCATTTATAATGCCAGATACACCATGCTTTATTTTATTTACGCTAATAGTTTGGCTTTATTTATGCAGTTGAGAAGTAAATTATTTTGGGCCCTGTTTACGTAAATAAAAAGCATAATTTAATGAGATATAGCAAGTATTAATATACTGTTAATAAAATATATTGGTATCTGAGTTGGGAAGATTGAAAATAATATTCATTCATTAAATTCCCATTTTGTACATCCTTTATGATTTTACCATAAACTGTAATGGGGAAAATCTCAGAAATGGAAAGTTGTGTTAAACAGTGTCTTAATATATTATTTAAACTTCATTAAAGAGTGTCTTAATATGTTATTTAAACTTGTACAATTTTGTTTAGGAGACAGAAAAATGTGGAAGAAAATATGATATATTTATAAGTTAAAAATGCATGAAAAGATTTTTATATTTTGGAATTTCAGAGGGGTTACTTTTAATTTAGTATTAATTCAGACTTTTTAAAAACTTGTGGATAATTCAAATATTAATAAGACAAGAATCCTTTGTGAAAGAAGAGATGAAGATTGCACACAAATTAACATACCATCATATAGAAAGCATTTGGAGCCGTATTAGAGGTGCAGATAAAGATTTGTGGTTGCTGAAATGTTCAAGCATTATTTTTCAAAACAGATGTGACTCTGTGGAAGATGGGGCATTGGGATGGAGCTTGAGGGATGAACAAAAACGGACATGGTTGTGTAGTTTGGAATAAAACTTGTGAAATGCATTTTTAAATAAAATATAAAATCAGCTAGTATATAATTACCAGAGAGCTTTGAAAAAGTATTTGATAAAGAGCTTTGTATGTATGCTTCAGGAAATTATAATGATCAAAATCCTAAAGACTTCAAAGTACTACATTGTGCGCATAGCATTGTTCTTCAGAAGAAAAAAAAATAACGTTTGTTTTAAAAAGAAAGAAATCTTTCTCCAAGGGACTTTAGCAATCCATTCTATCATTCACTATGGTAACAGAAAGAAAACAATAGTTGACATCAAAATTTGGCATCCTGGAAGCAGTGAAGAGGTGGTAGGTGTATTTTCTTTCTCCATTGGAGTGGGTCTGTCCTAAGAGATAATTCAGTTGTTGTTTTCTTTCAAATGAATTTGCTAGATATGTTTTTAAAAAATTGGAGTATGATGGTATAATATTTAGCAATTTCTCCAAAGAAATTCATTAGTTATGGAGCCATTGCTTAATATAGCTCTGCCTTAAACATGATTTAAATTCAAATAAGCATTCTCCTGTCATCTCAAACATGGCTACATGTTTTCTGGCTGGTGTGTGGGAAGGAGTAGCACGCACAAATCTCTCCATTAGCTGATTTAAACATGATTTGCAATTGACAATATTCTATTGAAAAGAATGCTGTATTAAATATACTCTACACATTTGATGTACTAAAGTGACTATGCATAAAACATTAAACCTTTAGAGTAGAAAAAAAATACATTCTCAGGACTGACCATTGTTTATTTTAATAGTCTACCTATGTGATTAAAGTACTATTATATTTGATTAATTAAACCTGACTCAAATGATGTGATACATGAAATATTTTCCCTATGAGTAATATAAATTATTTTTAGACTGCCAGAAATTGTACATATATTTCTATTACCTGTACAAATTAGAATTGGAAATCATTACATTTTCTTCTAGGTATATTCCAGGTACAATGTTTCCAAATCTATAAAAATGTAGGTTCAATCTTTTATTTGAAAAATAGCTAGCTCTTTTATAAAATATTTTTGGGCTAGTTTCTTAAGAAAAACAATTTATAATTTTAGTAGTGCTTTAGATTTCACAGTATAATTCACATGTGTTGCTTATAGTTAAAATATTAAAAACCTGAATACTTCAGTGAAGTTAGTGTAAGTTTTATACCTTAGGAAATACATAATGAAGTATAAATGGAAATGATATATGTAATGTTCTCAAATATATATTTCTATGTAAATCATATATACATATCACAATGTGTGTGTATATATATATGCAAGGAAGAATGATAAAACAATTGTGACAAAATGTTAAAAAATGGTGAATCTGCATAAAGTATGAGAATTATTTTTTTTTTTTTTTTTTTTTTTTTTTTTTTTTGAGACGGAGTCTCGCTCTGTCACCCCGGCGGGACTGCGGACTGCAGTGGCGCAATCTCGGCTCACTGCAAGCTCCGCTTCCCGGGTTCACGCCATTCTCCTGCCTCAGCCTCCCGAGTAGCTGGGACTACAGGCGCCCGCCACCGCGCCCGGCTAATTTTTTTTTGTATTTTTAGTAGAGACGGGGTTTCGCCTTGTTAGCCAGGATGGTCTCGATCTCCTGACCTCATGATCCACCCGCCTCGGCCTCCCAAAGTGCTGGGATTACAGGCGTGAGCCACCGCGCCCGGCCGGGAATTATTTTTGCTATTCACATTATTTCTGTAAGTTTGAAATTACTTTAGAATCTAACTAGAAAGTACTAATATCAATAAGACACATGTGACTTAGCCTTTCATTTAGAAGTAAGCCAAATGAGGAAAAGATCAGAAAAGTGTTGTAATTAAGGTTATGAAGGGCATCAGTGATAGAGTCAGGAATGGAACTTAGATATTCTGATTTAGAGTTAGGGCTCTTCCATGGCCCTAAGTTACATCTACCCAACAACTGTGAAAGTAACATAGGGAAGGCATTATTTTTCCCTCTTACAGATAGGAAATACAGGCTGAATTGGTTCAATCACTCCCTTAGGTTTTATTATTAGTGGTAAAGCAAAAATTCTCACCCAGGATTTTGATTCCAAATACAGTATCCTTTCCATTATGTAATGAATCAGCATATGAATATACGAGATGCATGCTGCTACTTAAAATCAGCATAAAATATGCAATTAAGGATAGTTTTCAAATATCTGCTTTTTTGATTCTTCAGAATTCATTGATTTGTACAGACAGAACACAATACATTACCGTAGCATTCCTTGAGGCTAATCGGTAACAGAATTAAGGTCAGATTATTTGTGTTTTGTGTTATATTCCACTCACATTAGGAAGTAATGTTGTTCATGGTATGAATAAAAATTCACTGCTTATTTGATGTTAAAGGAAAGTAACAAAAATTAAAAAGTGAAGCCACTGGTTTCAAGTTCCAATTTTTAATTCATTTGAATTCACTCTATTCCAATATTTAGTTTGCTTTGACTTATGTGACTCAGAGAGATTACTCAAAGAACTGGAACAGGAACTTTGTATTATGTAAAGGATTTTCTCATTGCTCTGAGTTTAAAGAGAACAGTCTGTTGTTTTCGTTTTATTTTAGAAGAGTAGTCATCTTTCTAGAATCAAATTCTATTAGACCTAATTTGAATTTCTCTATTTAGCATAAGTTTCCCAGTCATTGTATTTTCAAAACCTTCTCTTCACTCTACATTTTAGCCACATTGATCCAAGTAAAACCTATTTATGATCTCTGAAGACATTTTAAATTTCCTATATCTAGCATATAATAGATGCTCAACAAATTTTTTATGCAATTACAAACATCATAAGTATGCATTATTTTTCTGTATATATGTATACACACATGAACATACATCCATGTGCATACATGGGAATACATATATGAATGAGCACATTGGAAAATTCAGTGTAAGGTAGCAGTTCTACTAGAAGTTCACTGAAATAATTGACATTTTAAAGGGAAAATTTTACATCAGCACTGGTAACTAATCAGAAATATAGGGAAATCTGTTGAGGGTAGTTTCAGCCAATTAAGGTATCTAAGGCTAGCTGACACAAGCTAATGAAAGATAGCCTTTCAGAAAGTTGACAAAATTCACTCAAAATCACACGATTGCCTTCTAATTTGGAGTGGTGAAAATAGATATTTTTACCTATGTCCATCATTTCAAGAATGTTTTAAAAGATGGGATGAGATGATTGTACTAGTAAGGAGTGAATAAGAACTCATAAAGAAAAAAAATTACCAAATTAAAATAGACTAAACAAAATGAAACTATTTCTTTAAAATAAGGAAGTCCAGTAGTAAGAAGTTCATGGCTTGGCATGAGGAGTCAGTGGTGTCGGCAAGGATTAGGCTCAGTTATTTTTGCTCTGCCACATATACATCAGCAAGATCGCCTGCTGGCCCATGATGGTGTCTAGAGCCTCAGTCATCCCACTTACACTTGGACCAGTAAAAGGAAGAAACTTAGAAAAGGTCAAGGTGGCCCTTCTATCTGGGTCAATTCCTTTTAACGAATTGTTCTGAAAGTATATCCAACATTTTCTCACAAATTCCATTGGCCAGGAATTGGCAACATCTCAGTCATTAGCCACATGCAGCTTTAAAGACAGTCTAAAAAATTGATGTCTTTTATTCATGTATTTTACCCTGCTGAAATGCACTGTTGCAAAACAAACAAAAAAAAGACACAGAACCAAACTGCTTTCTTTTTTTGTTGTTTTAGACAGATCTATGAATGAGACTAATTTGCCTAATACTTATTCCTATTGACTTTTAGGAAGTTTTTATTGTTAGCAGAAGTTAGAAAAATAAAACTATAAACTAAATTTCTAATACTCTCTAAAACCAGGGTTCTGTACATGATTTAGACTTGCAGTAAGATTCATTAAAGTCTGTAAGACTTTATCTTTAGTTTAGGATTAAACTGCATAGGAAGAGACACAGGATTGAGGCCTCTATCTTACTGCTAAAAGCTAATCTGAGATGCAGAGGATTCTACAGCCTGAAAAACTGAGAAAAACATTGCAAGACTCACATACTTTAAACATGATTACTTCTATGCATATCTCAATTTAAGAAAAGACAAATGCAGTATTATACAACACTCACATTTTAGCATAATTTTGAGGAAGGGTCTTAGCTCATAAATTTGGCCTCCTAATGTGAAAACTAAATTTCTGAAGCAGGGCACGTTAAGCCTCATACCTGGGAACTTGGGAGAGATTTGAGAACTTGAGAGAGACTTACTTTTATTCTCAGTTTTGTCAAATAGTAGTATTTGGACCAATGGCCTGAATGAAAAACTCCTTAGAAAGTGTTCATAGGCTGAAAATTATTCATCATGCTGGAATGAGCCTACCTCAGAATATTTGCACTGGCTGTTTCCTGTACTTGGGGACTGTTTCCCCTGAAAAAAAAAAAAAAAAAAAGTTTGCATGGGTCATTCCCTCACATCCTTCAAATCTTTACTCAGTTATCACCTTTGTAACATGTACCTGACCATCATATGTAAAACTGTGATTCCCACCCCAGCCAGGTTTTCCCCATTCCCTTTTGTTCCCTAAGCACTTAGCACCTCCAAACATATGATATAATGTAATTGTTTAATATATTTTTTCTTTTTCCCTATGCTAAGATTAAACCTCTATCAGAGCAGGGAAATGTATTTTTTTTCATTCATGTAACACCACTTGCAGGCACCTTGTAGGTATTTAGTAAATACCTGTTGAATGAACAAAGAATTAATGAGGAGTCTGGCCAATATTAAATATTGAAGAGCAAGAAAGAATAAAATAAGTTTACATTTTAAGAAAAGATGGTATGTGTATATATCTCCAGTAAATAGATTTCATCATATGCCTAGAAAGGGTAGTGTTTTATTTTATTTTATGCTTCTATTTGCAGGGATATGAACTTCCAATTATATCATTGGACTTGACTACTCCATTTCTTTCCACATTTAAAAATCGTAAGTTTACTTTACTTAGGTTACAGAAGGAAAGGCAGTGATTATTTTCCAAAGTAGGCTGAACATAAAAGTAGCAAAGTTGCTTGGAAAAAAGAAAGATGTAATTTGAATTGATAGTAATTAAAATGAAATGACTTCTCAGCCTAGAGAAGAACATTTTGAATACGATGATCAATAGACAACATTATTCTGACAATTCCAGTGTTGCTGCTTATATAAATGTATGCATTACACTGAAGTACAAGAAGTTAGACTGATTTGAGTAATTCTAAACACTAGTTCAATATACAAAATAGAAGGAGCAGCTTTCAATATCCCTCTAAAAGACCATGCAATGCTTATTACCCAGTTTCACTGCATTCCAGGCCACCATTTCACCTGCAAAGGGGAGTTTAAGATTATGCCAGAGCAAAGGGCTGTGATCACTGCTTGGATTTCATTTGATGGGTTTAATAGACAGGAAATCTGCCATGGAGATGACATCTGCAATATACCTTTTATCCTGAAGAATCAGGGAGAAGCTATTTTGAGAACTTAACACAGTATTTAACATGGGATTTCTGAATGAAGACAGTTTATGGATGAATAAGGTAAGTAAGCATTTAGACTGATGGGAAAAATAGGAGTTGCCAAATCCATTCAAATTTTAAAAATTATCTTTTTCTACCTTCTTGTCTGAGCACCTGAGAATAAATCAACATGTGTCTTTGAAAATGTATATTTAATAACAAATAGTACTTAACACTACAAAGTATTTCATACCGATGGTATTCTTCTGATGACTAAATAGCATATTTCCTAATCTCTACACAAAACGAAATTCTATAATTTAACTTTTTGGTCAAAAAGATGAACTTTGAAACATTTTAAATTTTGAAATTTTATAAAACATTTAAAAGTAGATGAGTATCTGAATATCAATTAAGCCACGTAGCCCTTGGTAGTTTCTTATTCACAGTAACGATTTCATAGGTAAGAGTGCCTGTTATCACTAATTAATATCAAATATTAAAAACTATGTAATTCCCACCTTTAAGGATACTTTAATATATTGTGATTATTAATTTAGATGAACTTTATGAAAAACATTTCGATTAAAATGTCTCTCATTAACAGAGAATACAGAGGATTTCTCTTCTGAACATATGACATTTTTTTTTCCAAATTGCATAAAATTCAAAAGCTCCTTTTTAATGCAAAGATAGAATTGAATGACTACTTTTGGTATTTGTTTGGTTGTGTGTGCTTTGCTTCCAGAAAAATAATTGAACTCTTTTTTTTTTTTTTTGGTCTAAAGAATCAGCATTAAATCTTGCTTACCCATTTGTACATTCATTTAGTAAGCAAATAAACTACATTAATAGAGTGAGACTTATAACAGCAGAATTTTTTGGAAGATCTTGATAGTACTATTAGCCTATTGAGTCAATGATTTTGGCCACTATGACAGTCAACTTCACTCTTTCAATAGCCACAATTGATATAATTTGCCATATATGCTTCAAAATGTTTTATTGGAGGTCTGGATCCTGAATAACGTTTTATACTAAATACTTGTTTTTTTTTTTTTTTTTTTTTTTAGTGACTTAGAAAACAGTTTGATACTATTAAGGAAGCCATAACTGAATTATATTAAAGCTGGAAGCACAACACTATCAAACACTGAAACACACAAAATGATTCTTTGTTTTATCCCAAGGTATTAGTGATAAAAAGATCATAGTTCTCAAACACAGATTTATTTCCTTCCTCCCTCCCTCTCTCTGTCTCTTTTTTCTTTCTTGTTCTTTCTTCTTCCTTCCTTCCTCCCTTCCTCCCTCTTTCTTTCCTTTCCTTTCCTTTCCTTTTTTCTTTTCTCCTTTTCTTTCTTTCTTTTTTCTTTCTTTCTTTCCTTTCTTTCTTTCTTTCTTTCTTTCTTTTTTCTTTCTTTCTTTCCTTTCTTTCTTTCTCTCTCTTTCTTCCCCCTCCCTCCCTTTCTTTCCTTCCTTGCTTCCCTCCCTCCCCCACTCCCTCCCTCCCTCCCTCCCTTCATTCCTTCCTTCCTTCCCTGCCTCTCTCAGTCTGTCACCCATGCTGGACTGCAGTGGTGCAATCTCGGCTCAAGTGATCCCCATTCTTCAGCCTCCCGAGTAGCTGGGATTACAGGTATGCACCACCATGCCCAGCTAATTTTTTGTGCTTGTAGTAGACATGGGGCTTTGGCATGTTGGCCAGGCTTGTCTCAAACTCCTGACCTAAAGTGATCAACCTGCCTTGGCCTCCCAGAGTGCTGGCATTTTGGGCATGAGCCAGCATGCCAGGCCAGCATTATTTTTCTTTTGCATATCTCAGTTTGATTTTTTTGTTAATGTAAATATGAAACTTTTATTTCATATTTTCCTGACAAAGTAATACAAGCTCATTTGGAAATTTTTGAAAATGCATCACACGTTATAATGAAGATATAAAAATCACCAATAAGTTCATCAATCAGTTTAAAAAGTTAACTTGTTAGTGCATTTTTCTATAAATATTTAGATCATATTGTAGGCACTATTATGTATATTACTTTTTTGTTAAATACTATATCAGATTCACTTCCATTACATAAAGAATGTAGCGAGACATATTTTCCAAATAGCTGTGTAATATCCTATCATGCACGTTACCATGTTTCATTTAACTGTTTGATTTTTAAGACTCTTCTTTACATCACAAGCATTGCTTTTGTTTAAAATTTGATGGTTCCATATCTTATCATCATAGCCTCTGTTACTGTAATAAATAGGTATAGATTTATCTAGAATAATACTCACAGAATGATCAAAGTATAGAAAGTTGATTTTAAGAGAAAAGTTAATGAAATTTCCAAGAAAAGACTGAGTATTGTAATACAAAATTTAAGTACTGAGTATAAAGTAGATTTTATTCTAAAGTTGACTATCCCTTTCTTGAACATCAAAGCTTGATGAAAAATATTACTTGAAATAAATCCTGACTTATTTTGATTAGGCAAAGGAGTTACTGAATGTCTGGACTTCAGCGAATTAAGACACTGAGACTTTCTCGCTATTGAAGCTACCTTGAAACAATAAACACTAAATACCTAGTTGGTTTGCCAAAAGCATAAAATGTTACTTTTCGTATTTGATTTTCTTTCCCAAATCTATAATATAATCCAGAATTTGTACACATATTTTTTTCCTGATAATTAAACGTGTAGACAATGGGAATATAAGAGTTTCCAAATCCATTCAATCATTTTATGAACTTTTTCTACCTTCTTTGTGCTCCTGGGAAAAAAATCAACACATACATTTTAAAAACATATTTGATAACTGAAACTAGTTAACCTAAACCCAAAGAAGGCCTACCCTTCTACCATGTCCAAATTAAAACTAAAATTATTAACAGTTTGTTTCTTTACATCCATGAGAATTTGCTTCAATTATTTCTTTTCATGCCAGTTTCCTTTTCAAACCCTTCCTTAGACTTTCATTATATGTTTTCTAGTTACAAAGTCCGGAAAAGATATGCATAGAGATTGGTGTATCCAGGAACAGAAAACCAAACACTGCATGTTCTCATAGGTGGGAGTTGAACCAATGAGAACACACAGACACAGGGAGGGGAACATCACACACTGATGCCTGTTGGGGGATGGAGGTCTGGAGGAGTAGTAGCATTAGGAGAAATACCTAATGTAGATGACTAGTTGATAGGTGCAGCAAACCACCATGGCACATGTATACCTATGTAACAAACCTGCACGTTCTGCACATGTGTCCCAGAACTTTATATATATATATAATGTATGCGTGTGTGTGTATAGAAATTGGTATATCATGATGCTTGCTTAAATACTCCAG
The DNA here is from genome assembly GCF_000001405.40 of Homo sapiens. NCBI lineage: Eukaryota > Metazoa > Chordata > Mammalia > Primates > Hominidae > Homo > Homo sapiens. Next base: position 40,758,478 of record NC_000002.12, read on the forward strand.
TTTTTTACTCTATTTGGTCAGCATAGATCTCATAAGATTTTTCCTTTGATAAAGTTTTGTATTACAGAAGTTGTGAGCACATAATCTTTTCTTCCCATAGCTTGCTCACATTGGTGGATGTGGTAGTTCTTCAATCTAGTTGCCACATTTCCTGCAGATACTAGGCACGCTAATTATGTCTCATAAATACAGGTTAAGCTAATCAAGTACTGTCTTGCTGTGTCTTTGTCTCTGTCTCTGTGAACACATTACATTGCTTCTTTGTACCCTTGCCAGCAAAAAAGAGAAATAATATCTATAACCTTCTCCCCTCAAGAGTATTGTACTTGTTAATAAGTATGCAGAACTTTCAGAGAAAGATACAGTGCTTAGAGCTCTGTGGAAAAAACACTTGTATATAAATGTAATATGTCATTTTTATAACATCTCCTAGCAGCCTAATGAAATGAACACAGGCACTCCACCAACACATTTCTTACTTGGGCTACATCCAACTCACCAAACACAATTAGGAAGTGAAATTCTTCTTGTTACTGTAAACCGTAACAGCCCAAAACTCCGTTTAATGTAGGCTCATTTTGGATTCTGTCCAGTGAGATATTGAAAGTACTAGAAGATCTTCATTATAATATGAATCTATATGGATGATTTTTTATCACAAGTTTCCAATGTGTTGTTTATGGCTTCAAACAGAAAATGATTTGTGTTTCTGTTTTGGTTTTAGTTTTAGCTATTGCTATTTCTAAAACAAATTAAAATTTACTTTTTGAAGTATTTGACACATATCAATGATTGGATCTAAGTTTCATACATTTTCTCTTTCTCTTCTAAAAATGTTACCCCCTTTGCAATCTTATTTCTCTTCTTTCAATTTCAAACTTGTGAAACCGTAGTTGTCAGCTTTTACTTTTATTCTCTTTCCTCCCACTCTTAGTTTAAAAAGTGATATACCCTTGTTTTGCCCTCTTGAATTTACTGATTCAATTTTTCTGGAATAGTATTTAATTATTCCAATAACATTAGAAATAAGTCCAGAATTTTAAAATTTTAGTTTGTTTGTTTTCCTAGCCTCACTCTCCTTATGTCTTAGATGCATTTTATGGTATTGATTTTGATATGCTTCTCATACTTTACCTTCCAATTCATTTAATCCTTTCCAATTAGGTCTCATTGTCTATCTTTACCTCTCCTATTTTCTGTTAAATACTGGCATTGTGATAACATCTTCACATTCTACTACTCCTGTCTAAATTAGGGCTAAAGTTATTTATAGGCCATGTCTCTACATCCTTGAGAATTTGCCTTAAACATTCCTTTTATAATGGCAGTTCTCTGTTCAAAACTTTTTCTGAACTTCATTATATCTTCTTATTTACAAATTCCAGCTGAGTACATGGTTTATAGCAGCCACTCAAGAAATGTTTGTTGGCTAGTCTGAATGCAGTGGTGTTTAAAATCTCACAGACACACACACAAACACACACACACACGTGTTAAATAGATTAATACTTGTTTGATTCTGAAGCATTTACCATTTCCATTTCTATGTATTACTTGTTCCATTTAGTATCCAAAATTTTATACCAATGACGTGATACGCTAGAGGACTACATTCTAAGTCTCTTTTATGGATAGCACTTAAGTATTTTTCTTTTCTCCAATTAAGTTGGAGCCTGGTTCAGGGGTGTGATAACTGGCTACAGACTACTGCATCAACTGCTACTCCAAATGTGTCCATGCAAGGCACCACTGCATCTGCTCCTGGCTCTCTGCTGTCCTCCAGTGGTTACATGTTATATTCCCCCACCCAGAATGTTACAAATAAGAGAATAGAGCCCATACGAAGATCTGAAATGTTCTGTCCCCACTGTCTCCACAAACTGGATTAGCATTGGCTAAGCTAAGTAGTAAGAAGAACCAATGTGGCCTATCATTAAAAGACAAGATCCAGATCAAGGTACCCGTGGAATCTCATTACTGTTCCTTTCATTGCTATTCAAGGCAAGCTGCCTAGAGATCACAATCTACATATCATCCCCTGGTCTTTTAGCACATATGCCACTCAGTGCGTTTCAAGACTTCAATCAGCCTAACCAAATTATATGTTGTGAAAAAGGTATTATTTCACTGAAATTACCAGCGGCTTAGTACATTAATATTTCCCCTAAAAAGGGGGAGTCAGTAAACCTGTAGTGTCGAGGATGGCAGGAGCAGGAAGGAAAACTCATGGAGCCAGTACTTACTTGGGATTCAGCAAAATTGTCTCAAAATCCCTTAAACTGTTACACTTGTAAAATTCTGGCCCATTAGGAGACATGGCCTTAATTAAAAGGTTTAAATTTTAACCTACGCACAGTCATGGAAATAGTAAGAACCTCCCACCTCCCAGATCTCCTTTTGTTCTAGCACACATATATGACATGTAAAAAAAAAATTAAATTCTGAAGTTTCCCTTCCAAATGAAAAATGACAATTCTTAATCCTCTATAATTCAGTTATTGCAAAACTAACTTTAATTTACTTTATTTGGTTTGTAAACTGTGAATTTTATGCAAAGAGATAGAATTAGTGGAATGATTACTATAACACATTTACTTATAAACATTTAAGCAACTATACATTTCCTTAAATCTGTGGTCATGAGGAGCTTGACCTAGTGAGACATAGTAACGTTCTTGAGTTACTAGACTTTTTCCTATTGAGTTGTAAGAGTTCTTTATATGTTCTGGATATAACGCTTTATATATTTTTATATATATAATAGTTTTCCCATTCTATTGCAGACTTGTTAATATGACTTTTATAGGAGAAAAAATTTTAATTTTGATAATAATCATTTTATCGAAGTTTCTTTTATGTTTTGTTCTTAGGTGCCCTTAGAAATCTTTGCCTATACAAGGCTGCAAATATTTCCTTCTAGAAAATTTTTAATGTTTTACAGGTACTATATGATCCATTGCAAATTAATTATAGAATGTGGTGTGAGGTAAGGGTCAATATTGAAATCTTGTGCTTCCTGTACATGGAACATGGATCTGCATTTTATTTCTTCTGTTTTTTAATCTGGATGCATTTTATTTTATTTTACTTATTTAGTTTTACCCTACAAATTTAAATCTGCAGCACACTGTGCACTAGAACTGGAGATAGTTGATATCGTGACTTGTTCATCACCTCAGAGGAACATACTATTTCCAAATTAAGCATGATGCCAGATATATGATTTATGGATGCCCTTTTATAGTTTAAGGAAGTTTGCTTCTCATTTTGATTTCCTTCTCTTCTTATTTTTGAGTTTTATGGATGGCATTTTTTGAGTTTGAGGAAGTTTCCTTCTCTTACTATTTTGATGTCCTTCTTTCCTTTTTTTGTTGTTAGTAGTAGATGTTGAATTTTCTCCCTGAGAGGACTCCCGAGTAACTCTCTTCCATACATATTTCCACATCAGATCCTGGTTCCTTGGAAATTTAACCCAAGAGATCTAGTTTCTTTCATTGCCCCATAAGACATTATATACTTTAAGAAACTTTAGAAAGAAGTAAATATTACACTAGACAGGAAGAGAAAATGTGAAGCTTGCACTTTCTGTCCATCAAAGCACATAAGATGAAAGAAATCAGAGATATGGGACTCTGTATCTGAAATGCCTCTTTCCAAACTGTGTTCTTAGAGTAGGAAAGCTTATTGAATAGGTTTAGAGAGAAAGCTGAAATCAAGGATAGTTTATCCTTGTCCACCATTTGGCCACCTGGGAAGAAATGGTCGTGCACACTGTCATGTGCCAATACGGAGATGACAGAGAAAGAGCAGAGAAAGAATAAATGAACACGGGAAGGCATTCCTAAGCTGTACTGTAGCCATATACCCTTACAGGAACCCACAGATTCCTACATTTTCTAGAAGAGAGTATAAAAAAGTAGCTGAACATCTAGTAGCTATCACTGTGGGAGCAAAGGATCTTGAATATTAAGGGCTACTGAGAAGGTTCATTTATCCTGCAGTCATGATTCAGGAAAAGTTCCTTGGGCCTCAGTGAGAATAAGTCATCGAGGGAAAGCTATAGGATTGTGGCTAGGCCAGGAGGACAGAACTCATTAATGCATACTAGTAGGATGCTTGTGGATATGAACAGACTATCCTCATCTTAGGGTATACCAGCCTCCACACAGCCAGTGGAGAGCCACCCAAGGACCAGCATGAGACAAAGATAACCACTAACCCCAATCTCATGGTGACATCCATGCCATCTTATTCCAAGATGTCGTCTTAAAAAGGAAAAGTGTGGGTAAAACAGCCTTAATAGGACTTGGAAATTTAAACTGTCAATTATACTTTCAGAATAGGAATTGTTGGAAATCAAAAGAAACTTAAAAATGAAAGGATAAGATATAATTAGAGAAAAAGTTAAAATTTGATTCATTACTATATGTCAATGAGGTACAGAAGTGAAGCAGATATATTTTCTCTCCATATTGAAGTGGTAACTTAAATTCTTAACTCTACAATACTGCTAGTAAGCGGTAAAGATTCAAAGTGGGCCCGATTCTATGACTTATTCACCGAAATACTAGTTCTACTGAGTTCACTTTAAGGCATAATTGAATGTCAGTAAAATATTACTGGTTATTATGAAGTCTCAGATAAACCAGAAATTAAATCTCATCATCACTGATATACTAACTACATATATAGAAAGCACGTTACAACTCCAGAAACAGATGCATACATATGCACATATATACATATGTGTGTGGGCATGTGTTTATATACATATGGAGTTTCTAGGCCTAACACATTGATAATTGAAGGTAGTTTAGGTTTCAGCAACCAGGCCATGTCTCATGGAATGGAGATATTAAATCATGGAGGAAACTGTCATAAATTATCAGTAAGGGACTATATAAAACTTGATGTCTCCTGGAGAAAACTTGTGTCTGGCTAAAATTTAATCTCTTCTTTTAATGTCCTCAAATGGTCTCAACAGATTCCTTTCTGAGGGAAATATAGCCAAAGGTAACCATGTTAGGAAATAGTGATCTGGTTATGTGTCTAATTTTACCATTCTGGGAAACCTTCCCACAGTTGCAAATTTCTTACCTGAAAATTTAACATGGGCACTGCATCGGTCTGTTCTCTCGCTGCTAATAAAGACATACCCAAGGCTAGGTAATTTATAAAGGAAAGAGGTCTAATTGATTCACAGTCCCACATGGCAGGGATGGCCTCACAATTATGGTGGAAGAGCAAGGGATGTCTTACAAGAGAGCTTGTGCGGGGGAACTTTAATTTATAACGCATCAGATCATGTAAGACTTATTCACTACCACGAGAACAGTATGGGGAAACTACCCCCATAACTCACTTATCTCTACCTGGCCCGGCTCTTGACATGTGGGGATTATTACACTTCAAGGTGAGATTTGGTTGGGGACACAGCCAAACCATATTAGGTACTCTAATAGGTGGTTGGAAATAGCTGGTAAAAATAATCCCAAATCTGCTTTGCAAAGGTAACAGAAACTTTAAACAATATTTTAAGTATGGATATTGGTGTCTGTGTGTGTGCGTGTGTGTGTGTGTGTGTGTGTTTAAAAGTTTATATTGGACAATAGCAAACTACCTTGGAGAAAAGTTGATTTTGGAACATAAAAATCTCTTCATCACAAAGAGCAAATTCTAAATATATATCACATGGAATAATCAGGAAAAGTACTATGGGAATATTTTAGCTCTCTAGAAGGAAATACTAATCCAGATGTCTTTATTAATTGTACTTTAGGGCAACTTTGGTTCTTTTCAGAAGGTGCGTGATCTGGATGGCTGAAGTTGCTGATTTTGGGGGGTAATCTACAAGGAAAAGGTGATGAAAATACCAGAAACAGTCTGTATCCTACTATGTGGCTAACATATGAGGAAGTCTCAACATGCAAACTTTGGCAGATAAAATCTTAGGCCATGGACAAGACCATGTCCCTTTGTGAAGACAATGCCCACAGCAAAATATTTTTCATTAAATCAAGGAAATGGATACTAGTGAACTAAGATTTTATATATAACTAATAATAAATACCAATTATTTTTGCAAGCATATCTCATCACTGAAATATACATCTGTATTTCAATGTATTATCCTAATATTGATTTCCCTGGGGGAATCAAGAAAAGGATTATCTATTTAAAGAGAAGGGAATATCAAGCCTGTTATTGCCACAATGTGGAAGAATCAACAAAATAACTGTTTTCAAATTTCCAGATATTAATTTTGTCATCATGTATACAAACTTATTTACCAAACATGCTTCATTCTACATTTCTTTCTTGACAGGTTTTACAATCTTTGTTATTCTGTTTTCAAACAAAAAATGTAAAATGCCATTTCTATCTTTATCACTAAAGCTTCCCATCAACACGTTTATCTCTTTTCACCCACATATCTGATTGTATTTTGAATGTAAAATAAAAACAGGCTTTAAAATGAAAAGGCTTTTATAAAATAAAAATTTGCTGTAGAAGAGAAAAAAAATGTAAGAAACTCAGATTTCCACTGAATTTCCAAGGGCCTGTGGGGGCCTAGTAGTGAAAGAGTGATATTTTATAAGTGAGTAAGTATGAATGTTCTCATAGGTTTTGTGTAAAGATGATATACTTGTATTAATGAATGTTCTGTAACAGGGATATTCTTTTGGTTAGTGGTCCTTTTGAAGATGTCAAGATGAGATTGTGTGTCATCCAGATCACATGACATATATCATTCCTCTCAGTCCTTGAATTATAATAGTTATAAGGCAAAAACAACACTTGACCTTTTGGGTTCCCTGATATGTTTACAAAATAATTTGAGTTTTCAAGTGTAATATGATTTAAATATGTGTGCTAATGCTTCACCAATGATTAGGAGTATCTGCTATATGCAATATGTGATTTGTCCTTACTTATATTATCAATAATTATGACCTTTTAATTTCTCCACTCTTTTAAGTATAAAACTTAGGTGCAGTTGACAATGTTTTTGAAAAAAATTGGGTCTTAATATTTCCCAACAGAATTACGTTTTAAAATACAAACGCCTCATTTTATACATGGGTGTAATATTTCAAAGATGGTCTAGTAGAAATTTAACCTCATTTAAAGCACAGACTGAATAGGATGGTTGGAGACTTTATTATTGCTGTAACTCAATGCAGTTTAAATGCTACAAAATTAAGTGATATTGCAACAAAGTAAGAATTGTAAAGGCAGCCAAACTCTCTTAATCTTTAAGTCTTTTAGGGAATATGTAAGAGCTAATGTAAATAGGGGCACTGTGCATAGATGGATATAGAGCAGATTTCAGCAGAGAAAGCATCTTCATGTCAAAGTAAGTACAAGGGATGAAAGGGACTAGTCAACCAACATTCTAGTTGTAATTTTTTCTCACCACTACTTTTCTCTTGTCTTATTCATAATTGCCCTTCATTGATCTTGCTGACACCACTGATTATTATTAGCTGCTTTAATATATGTAGTGCAGGTCTCAGTGACTAATACAAATTGTGAAGTCCTAAATTAGGGAGAAGTAGTTGGGCTGGTGGGACAAAGGGAAAGCAAAATGAGAAAGCAGATAAGTTTTAAGTCTGCCTTTCTACATAGTCCAGAACACATAGTCTTCTTGTGCCCAGTTATCACAAGACCCTCAGCTGATGGAAAAATGCAAGTTAGCTCACTGCAACCTTGGTGTTATCAGTACTGCATAGAGCCCTCTTTAGCACAAAGCAGAAGCACCATCCTATAAAATCTCCAGCAAGCCTTTGTGTCCTTGCAGTCAGCTCCTCTCTTGCTGACTTGCCCATTGCTTCCTTGCAATGTATTTTCATACTGTCTCTAATGAAACTGCCTTTCTTTACCTACAACTGTCTTTGTAAATTCATTTTACTGCTCATACAATACTGGCCTCAGTTGCAACCTGCAACACAAATATCAAAAAAGGAGGATGCTACCTGGCAGCATTATGCAAGAGAATGGAGACTCACAAATATGTGTAGGAGTATGTGTGTAAGTGTAAGAATATGAGTTACCAAAGATGGCCAAAGGTACCTGAGAGCAACCAGTGTGACTGTTGGAGAAAGAGGAAAATTGAGAAAAATCAGGATTCCATGGGTAGGTTAACTAGTGAATGAGAATATGGAAATGAAAATACAGGAAAAAGAGAAGCGTGTAGCTTACTAGTTGATGGAAACAAAGGTACAAAACATGTAGGATAGTGGGTTTTAAACATTTTGATTATTATGTTAACAATTAGGACTAACACCTCAATGGAACACTGAGTTCCCATAGCACTGTTTGAAAACATCTTAGTGTATGTCTATACATTTAGTAAATGTCTGAAGAACCTCCATGTGATATGGTAAACACTGGTGACACAGAACGTTAATTCCTATGTATGAGATTAGGCTACCAACTTATTGATGAGAACAAATAATTATTGTGTCAGAAAGTATATCAGTAATATTTGTAGTCGATAAATTTATATTAGTAATAAAAGTTAAATGTTGATAGGAAAATAATCACTTTTAATGTTATATATACATATAATTTAGATATATGTATGTTTAACTGGCAACTACTCAACTATAATTTTAATTACTATTTTATGTCAGAACCTTAGAGCTTAATATATGCAGAGATTTGTTTCTAGATAATAAGTTTGTTTTCATTTATCTTTATCCCTTTATCCATTTCTCTCATGACCAACTGAAAAGGCACTCTCTCACCAAGTGAGTGGTTGGAGCAAGACAGTGTCTCGAGATTGAAACAGAACACGATGGAGCTGGAAGTTATAGTTCTGAGATCATCAGGAATCAGAGTCAAATCATTAACTAGTGATTATATGCCACACAAGAAATCCTCTCTGGGTTAGAAATCTTAAAATAAGAGGCTGTTATATACATTTGTCGAGATAAAATTATTGATTAGTATTTATAAGACTTTGATTTCATAAACTTAATAGACTACATATGCAACTTAGGATATAATTCCAAAAATCTAGCCACAGCACATTTGTGTGTTTCAACAAAGTAATGGCTTTTTTGTTATTAGAATAAATAAAGTTACCTTGTGAGAAATTGATTGATCTAACTACTTGTGAACAGGGGAAAGAAACGTTGTTAATTAGAGGCCATCTGTTGCAAATGTGATCTGGCCAGAATTTTGTTTAACATGTGGAACGCTTATAAATTATCTGAGTTTGCACATTTACCTTTATTGCGGAGTCTCCCAGCCTACTCATTAGATCACCCGAATGAGGTACACAGCAAACTCATGTAACTATCTAAAATAAAATTCCCCACATTTAGGTGTTTGGAATTAGCTATGAAATAATAAAGTGTCTCTCAATAAGATAAAATATTTTTATAACACTTTCTTAAAAACATGGCCGGCTTTAAAGGAAGGGAGAGTTCAGTTTTTAAATTAAAGTAGGTGTTAAATTGACCTAAGGTACCTTGCAGACATTTAGCCCAGCTTCCTCCCTGGCAGAGGAAGAATTACCACCTAGAGAAAAGCACTAAACTGGCAAAAACAGAGCCCAGTCTTCGAACTTGCAGGCCAATTTCCTTTGCATATACCATGCTACCTAATGATCGAGATACTCTAGAGTAATTCTGAATCCTGACCTCTAGAGTTGAGAGCAATCAGTGGACAAGTAAGACATGGCACTATGGTGCAAAGAACCCCCACTTCATCACATACAAAATTCATCACATTGGGCAACACACAATAATGGGACTTGAAGTAAGCTAACAATACGTTATCTTCTTCAGAGAGAGTTAAAATTTAATTTGAATTAAGTAGAAAATTAGAGACAGTGCAAAAGCATTCAAAATTAGCATTTGCTTATCTTAAACAACTCTTAAAATTAAGTAATTTTGTTAGTTCAGCTATTTTAAAATATCAATAATCCAGCTAAAAGTTTTACTAGCTGTTAGCAGACAAAAACTAAGGGAGCTTTAAAAAAACACTGTCTGCTTTTATAATTATTATCCATTACTGAAATCTTCTAGAGGAGAGATGAGGGCTGGAGAGTAGGCTGCGTTTAGGAAATATTACAGAGGCAGAAATGAGGATTTCAGGGCAGCTACATGCAGCACCTGAAGATCCCCTGAGGCAGCCTGTCTAAGTTGACTGCTATTTAGAGTGCAGCCCAGAGAGTTTCAGATTTCAGGTTGCTACCCATCCATGGGATAGGAAACCAATTCAACGGGTCACAACCAGTATTTTAAAATGAAAAAGACTAGAAAATAGGAAAAATAAATCACAAATACTAAGGGACAAGGTGTTTTGAGAAACATTTGGTTCAGTTGTACATACGTACATGTAATGTTTATATGTGTTTCTTACAGTGAGAAACCATCAGCAAAGTTTGAAAAACATGTATAGACATTAACTTAAGTAGAAATGAAGGGTGGAAAGATAAGGAGTCTAATTAAATTGAAATTTCTCTTTGAGATGCCAGGGAGACATTCAAGTGGATTTATTTTCCCTTTTATACTGGATGCCAAGTGCAGAAAATGGAGTTAATTCTCTTCCTTGGTTCATAGCACATAATCATTACTGTCCTTGGGAGAATTTTTAAGTTATGTTTCATTTCTAATTGGCAAATAATAATTGAATAATTTTATGAGACAATATGTGATGTTTTGATGTATTGTTGTGGATACATTGTCAATATGCTGTGCAATGAAACACCAGAATTTATTCCTTCTAACTGAAACTTTATACCAATTGACCATTTCCCCCTTCCCCATCCACTTACCTACCCCACAACCTCTGGTAACCACAATTCTATTTTCTATTTCCAAGAGTTTGACTTTTTTAGACTCCACTTAGAAGTGAGATCATACAGTATTTGTTTCTCTGTGCTTGACTTATTTCACTTAACATAAATGTTAAGTGCAAATGACATATTTTCCTGTTTCTTTTAAGGCTGAATAGTATTCCATTATGTATATCTTGCCACTTTTAAAAAAATCCATTGATTTTTATCTAATGATAGACACAGGTTGTTGCCATGAATTGGCTATTGTGAATAGTGCTGCAATGAACTTGGGAGTATCGACATCACTTCAACATACTGATTTGAATTCTTTTGGGTATATATTTTGTAGCGGAATTGTTGGATCACATGGTAATTCTATTTTTTGTTATTTAATAAAGATTCATGCTGTTTCCCAAAATGGCTGCACTAAATTACAATACCACCAAGAGGGCATAACTGTGCCCATTTCTCAGCATCATCACCAACACTAGCCATCTTTCATCTTTTTGATAATTGCCAAACTAACAGGTGTGAGGTGATATATCTTTGTGACTTTAATTTGCTTTCTCTGATGATTAGAGATGTTGAACATTTTCATATAACTATTGGCAATTTGTGTGTCTTCTTTTAAGAAATGTCTATTTGAGTTCTTTGCCCGTTTTTAATAGGATTGTTTTGGATTAGTTTGAGTTTCTTGTATATTTTGTAAAAGAGCCCATTATCTGATGTATAATTTTTATACTTTTCTTAATCTGTGCATTTTCTCTTGACACAATTGTGTCCTTTTGTGCAGAAGCTTTTTAGTTTGATGGAATCATGTTTGTCTATTTATGCTTTTGTTTCCTGTGCTTTTGGGATTACACACAAGAAATTATTGTCCAGACCAATACCATGGAGATTTCCCCCTGTGCTTTCTTCTAGTATCTGTAGTATAGATTCAGGAATTGCATTTAAATATTTAATCCATTTTCCTTCTGTACATGTATATCTGGTTTTCCCAACACCATTTTTAAAGACACTGTGCATTGTATATTATTGGCACCTTTGTCAAAAATCAATTGACTCTGATGTCTGGGTTTATTTCCAGGCTATCCATCCTATTCCACTGGTCAATGTGTCTGTCTGTTTTTATGCCAGTACCATAATGTTTTGATTACTATAGCTTCATAATATATTTTGCAGTCAATTTGTGTGATGTCTCAGCTTTGTTCTTTGGTCAAGATTCAGAAGATTTAACCAAAAGAGAAAAGAAGAATTGAAACCAATACACAAATGTTATAGTCAGCTAGATAATAATTAAAGATAAATAAATTTCCATAGGAACTTATTAAAGTATTAGCTTTACTAATTTTCCTCAATACCTCACCTAGTATTGGTATCCTAATTCTTACAGTTTTTAGAGTATACTTTTACCAACATCTATGTTGTATAGTTTCTTAGGGGAAAATATGTATTACTGAGTTATCAGTATTGCAAGAGGCCAGCAAATTGCTGCTATGGGTCGAGCACATTATATACATTACCTGAAAAGCATGGCTAAAGACCAGACAGGAATTATTTCTTCTGATTAACAGGTGAGAAAACCATCACTTGGAGAAGTTATGGTAATTTTCTCAAGCTTTCTTAAAAGACCGGATACAGAATCAAGTCTTTCTGTCTTTCAGAATTAGACATTTGCTTGCATGCAAATCCAGAGATTTATGCAAAGGTCCAGAGAAGTTACTATCAAAACTATGGAAAATCAATTTCTCATGGTGTTATAATTCATTAATTTATTCAAATAAAGCTTCCAGTGGATTAATTTTTGGTCCTTTTTAAAAAACTCTAAATCCATGGTAGAACACTAAGGCTAGATTTATATAGTTTATTAATAAACTCCTACATGGGGATTACTAGGTATTATTAAGTGCTCTCTGTACTTTAGAAATATTCACTCATATAATCTCCATAACACTTTTATGACATAGATATTATTATTATCATCTCTGTTTGACGGAAGCACAGAGAAGTTTGGTAATTTATCTGTGATTACACAGCTTGTAAATGGCAGAGTTGAGTGTTGAACCTAGGCAATCTTGTTGAGGTCAATGCTATTTATCATTCACTATTCCATCTCATGAATTCATCTGGCAAATTTCAAGGTGATTATGAAGGGTCACCAAATATATATATTCCTTAATATATTGGTGAAAAAGTAATTGTGATTTTTTTCTATTAAAGGTAATGGCAAAAACTGCAATTACTTTGGCATCAACCTATAGCTTTCTCTTGTATGTGAAACTATTCTTTTGCCTTATGTTTGGTTTCAGACACTAAAAGCAACTAATGTTGACACTTAAATACCACTTGTGTCATTTCCCAAATTTGTTCTGAGAAACTGCAGTCCCTGAAAATACACAGTGATATGGTTTGGCTCTGTGTACCCACTCAAATCTCACCTTGAATTGTAATAATCCCCACCTGTCATGGGAGGGATCCGATGGGAGGTAACTGAATCATGGGTCTGGGTGGGTCTTTCCCATGCTGTTCTCCTGATAGTGAATAAGTCTCACCGGATCTGATGGTTTTATAAGGCGTCATTCCCCTGCACAAGTTCTCTCTTGCTTGTGGCCATGTAAGATGTTCCCTGCTCTTCCATCATGATTGTGAGGCCTCCCCAGCCCTGTGGAACTGTGAGCCAATTAAACCTCTTTCTTTTAAAAATTACCCAGTCTTGGGTATGTCTTTATTAGCAGCGTGAAAACAGAATAATACATACAGCAAATTAATATTTCCCTAGTTATACCAATGTGAGTAATGCTACAACATATACTACACTCTTGGAAACTCACAATGCAAAAGTTTTACAAAAAAGAAACCATTTTGCACTTTACTTAATCCAGAGTTTCCTAAACATAGTTCAATGTTAATATATTAAAAATATTTAGAACACAGATTTTGGACAATGTCTTATAGTGGTATGAACTTAGGATCTGGTGTTGAACAATATAGGTTCGATTCCTGGACATGGAAAAAAAAAAACACAAAAAACAAACTTCTAAAGACTCAGTTTTCTTATTTGTAAAATGAGAACTGAGACAGCACCTTACTTGAAAGATAGCTGGATGAAAACACAACTCAGTTACTTAGGAATCTTATGTCTCATGCAAATTACTATAAAAATGTTCACAGACTGGTTTCAGTTGTTTTAATTTTAACAATAGATTATTAATATTTCTAACCTCTCCCCAACACTCTTGCCAAAAGACGAAATCTCCTTCCCTCATCATGAAACTTTAACAAGCCCTGACACCTACTCAGGCTAAGAATTGGAAAAACCCATTTGACTTGGTTGCTGCTGCTGATTTGAGAGCTGAATATCCACCTACACACCATGGAGAAGTGCTTGGGTCTAAAGTGTAATTGCACATAATTTTTTTTGAGAAAATTGTGCCAAATATCAAAAGCTCCAACTTTATTTATTTTTAAATCCCTGTGCTCTCTTCTCAAAAAGCATCAACATTATTCTCCTTAGCACTCATTTGTGTTGTTGACATTTCTTGTTTAAATTCTAAGCCTACCAGGTCACCTTGAGAACTGCTCACCAACAGAGACTTTTTTCCCAAAGAAGTTTATCCTGTGTTGATAGCAAAATGCTACTATCTTCAAAGCCAAATTCTTTAAACAAAACAAAACAAAAATCTTTTTGATTTCTTCTCTTACTGTGAGCCTGATGGACTTGGTCTCCAGACACCAAACTGTTTTTCCTCTTATTTTTATCCTCTTTTTACTACATTGTACATGTCACTAAATTCACTACCACGAAAGATGGACAAAAGTCATGCTTGTCCCAAGTGAATTTTCAAGCAGCAACAGAAACGTCAGACAAAAGAATAGTTTCTTGATTCGTCTATATTCTGAATCATAAATCAAATGAATGCAGTAAGCCAATATACCCTGCAGCCCAAGCTACATTATTTTCATGTAGTTCATATCTCTACAACATACCCTGCAAGCAAAACTACATGATTTTCACGTAGTTTGGGTTGCAGGGTATATTATAGGGATATGGATACAGGGAGGAAAGGAAAGCTTTATTTGTGGTCTTTGATTTGGGGACAGATGATAGGCACACCCTACTGTTTCTTTTCCCACTCATTCTTTTTCTTTTTGCTTTTCTTCCCTTTGTCCTCTCCACCAAGTACAGAATAGATGGGAGGAATTTTGTGAATGGTGTGCATACCGTGGAGGCCACAAGAGTACCCGATCCTTTGTTTTCCTTCTCTCTTGCATTCTGTGTTCTTTGTGTGTGACTCTTGTCTAAACTTCTGCTGAGCTAAGTCATATTCACAGGAAATGTTGAAAACAGGTAAATTTCAAACTGGATATTGGGTGTGTACTGGGGAGAAGACAGAGACTCTCTACCATGGCACAACTCCCAGGGTCAACAATCTCTAAGCTTCAAGGATCAATATGCAATTTGTTTTATAAAATAAACAAACATAGTTTATAATGAGATTACATAAAATTCTAGCAATTTTTTAAGAAGATTTTTTTTGACATTTCACACTTACAGAGGCCTAGCGAGAGTCAATAACAGATATTGTTAAAAGTTCAGACTCTGATGTCAGAGAAATATTGCCCTACAATTTAATAGCTGATTCATCTCGGGCAAGTCACTATATCACCCCAAGCTTCACTTTTTACCAGATGCAAGATGAAAATGAAATACCTACTTCATAAAAGTTTTGTCAGGTTTAAATGAGACAAAGTATAAAGGCTTGCATCTAGTAAGCAGACAATAAAATTTCATAAAAATTATCACCTTTTCTCACATTTCAGTCCCTAAGTAATTACTCTCCTCTGACATTTATGTTGCTTTTGTTTAGGTGAATAAGTTAAGGCATCTCTGTTCATTGGTTTGACTTTTTGGAAAATATGGAACTTAGGTCTAAGGTTCAAAAATCCACTGAGAGTATTAATCTTATGTATTATTTTAAACCATATAATCACTTACTGATAAGTACTGAAAATAAAAGATTGGAAGAATATGTTTAAAAAACAAAACAAACTAAACAAAAAACAACTGATATTGTGATTAGCAGATATTATTTACATGTGCCTCATTAGAGAAAACTGAAATTGATTATATAACTGAATACTACTTTTTGTATGAATTGAATTTATATAAATTATATTTAATGCAAGTATTAACTTATTATATTTAATTTTAAACTCCAAGCTCTGCTACAAAGGAAACATCCCCATACTACCAGGTCCCAGCTGAAACAAAGAAAAGAAAACAAAATCTACAGCTTGGAGTCGGACTCCAGGCTTGAGTTCAAGTAAAGCTGTCTTCACTGCACTAGTTATGCAACGCTTAGGCAACTTAGAAATATTTTTTCAGTTTTTTATGTATAAAACGAGATCTCTTTCTCTTCCTTTTTCAATTATTTTGAGGATCTAATGTGATATTATAAGGAAAAAATACATATATTTATTCAACAACTATTTGCTGAGAACATACATTGTACAGGCACTGTACAAGGTGCTAAAAATAAACTGCCATATACATAAATTATAATTCCAAGTAATAATTTTCTCATAATATAATTTAGACCCAACTCACAATATAAGTCCCACTCAATAACTTAGTATTTGTAAATAATTAAGGGTAGGACCTAAGACCAAAAAAAAAAAAAAAAACAAAAGTTCTCAGACTGGTTCCAGATGTTTTAATTTTAACAATAGAAGAAGAAAATAACTGAACAGAAAAGTTCAACAGGTGGGTTCAACAGCAGACTAGGTCAAGTAAAACAAAGGCTGAGTGAAACTGAAGATATGTCACTGGAAACCAATCAGAGGAACAAAAAAAAAATCAGTAAAAACAGTGAAGGTAGTTTAAGGAACTTATGAAACACTGCCAAACAAACTAATATATGCAAGTATGGGGTTACTGTAAGGAGCATAAAAAGAGAAATTACCTAAAAGCTAATTCAAAGAAATGCTAGCTGAAATTTTTCCATTTCTAGGGAAAAAACAGACATACAGATCTCAGAAGTCTCTGGAATACCAAATAAAATAAATCCAAAGAGACCCACGCTGATATACATTATAATCAAATTATCAAAAATAAGAACAGAATTTTGAAAGCAGCAAGAAAAAGCAACTTGTTATATGTAAGGGAATCCTAGACAGGAGTACCAGAGAATTTTTCAGAAGAAACCTTGAAGGCGTGAACGGAGTACAGTGATATATTTAAAATAATAAAAGGAAGCAAATGTCAGTTAGGAATACTATACACAGACAACCTTGTTCAAAAATCTTGATTCAAAAATTGAGAGGAGATAATGACTTTCTGAGACAAAAAATAGCTGAGGGAGTTTATCACCACTAGACCTACCTTACAAGAAAGGCCAAAAGGAGTATTTCTAATGAAATTAAAGGATGCTAAATAGCAACACCAGAATATAAGAAAGGATGAAACTTGCCTGGAAAGGTAAATATTATCTTCATTTTAAGATAATATTTTATTATTTTCTTAATAAAGATAATATTTTATTACTATAATGATAGTGGGAAAATCAATTTTAATGCTACTACAAAAGTTAAATTGCAAAAGTATTACAAACAACTATACCTAAATTATGTTTATTGATACATAATAAAATAGATATAAATTGTGACATCAGTAGCATACAATGTGGGTAGGAGAAAAGGTAAAAGCAGAGAGTTATTGTATGCGAGGGAAATTAAGTCGTTATTATATTAAGATTGACTGTTGTAATTATGAAAAAAAAAATTAGGTAAGTCCCTTGGTAGTCAGAATGAAAATAGGTATAGAAGTTACACAAAAAATAAGAGAAAGGAATCAAAATTTATCAATACATAAAACCATCAAAATACATTATGAGAAGGCAAGAGAGAAAAAAAAAGACTAAAGAACAAGACAAACAGAAAACTGTTAACAAAATGACAATAGCAAATTTTTTCCTACAAATAATTACTTTAAATGAACTGAACTCTCCAATAAAAACAATATACAGAGAGACTGGAAAAAAAACAAATAAACAAAAAAATCAAGATCCAACTGCATACTATCTATAAGAAATTCACCGTGGATTCAAGGACACATATAAGCTGAAAGTGAAGAAATGGAAAAATATATACTACACAAATGACAAAAACACAGTTTAGGTACTGTGACCTCCTCACAAGAATCATAATGGTGTCTAAGATGGTTAATTATTTCTAGAAAATTTTCAGTTTACTTTGCTTAGATTCAGCAGGGGAATCATTATTTATGGGAGCTATGGCCTTAAAAAAATTTCTTACAAAAAGACTCGAAATTTAAAATTACTTCTTCATCCGTAAGCTACAGAATGAATGTTGGCTTAGCAGGCATGAACACATTAATCTCCTTGTACATCTTCATCAGAACTCTGATGAAGTGGTGCAAGTTTGTCAGAACTCTGGTGAAAAGGTCTTGGGTGACTAGGTACATTTGTACCTAGTAATATTTTAGAAAAAATGTATATATATTTTACTGAGCAGTAGGTCCCAATAGTAGGTTTGAAATAGTCAGTAAACCATGCTGCAAACAGATGTGATGTTATTCAGGCTTTGTTATTCCATTAATAGGGCAAGTAGATTCAGGGAGAGCAGATTCAGCAAAATTCTTAAAGATTTTCTGAATAGTAAATAAACATTGACTTCAGCTTAAAGTCAGCAGCTGCATTAACCCCAACAAGAGAGTGAGCCTGTCCTTTGAAGCCAGGCATTGACTTCTCCTCTTTAGTTATGAAAGTCCTAGATAGCATCTTCTTTCAATGTAATCTTGTTTTGTCTACATTAAAATTCTGTTTAGTGTAGCCACCTTCTTCAATGATGTTAGGTAGATCATCTGGATAACCTGCAGCTTCTACATCAGCATTTGCTACTTCACCATGCACGTTTATATTATAGAGATGATGTCTTTCCTTAAACTTTATGAACCAACTTCTGCTAGCTTCAAACTTTTCTTCTGCAGCTTTCTCACCTCTTTCAGCCTTCATAGAATTGAAGAGACTTAGGACATTGCTCTAAATTAAGCTTTGGCTTAAGGGAATGTTGTGACTGGTTTGCTTTTCTATTATTATCTGGATCATTAAAACTTACTTCACAGCAGCAATAGGCTGTTTTGTTTTATTATCCATGTGTTCAACGGAATAGCACTTTTAATTTCCTTCAATAATGTTTTCTTTGCATTCACAACATGTCTAACTGATACAAGAGGCAATGATTTAGGCTTGTCTTGGCTTTTAACATCCCTTCTTCACAAAGCTTAATCATTTCTGGCTTTTGATTTAAAGTGAGTCATGTGACCCTTTCTTTCATTTGAACACTTAGAGGCAATTGTAGGTTTGTTACCTACCCTGATTTAAATGTTGTTGTATCTCAGGAAATAGGGAGGCCAAAAGAGAGGGAGAAAGAGGACAACAACTGGTTGGTTATAACCAACCAGTTATAACAGACACAACATTTATTGGTTAAGTTTGTTGCTTTATATGGGCACAATCCATGGTGACAGTAAACAATTTTAATAGTAATGTCAAAGATCACTTATGAAAGATCACAGCAGATGTAATAATAATCATGAAAAAGTTTGAAATATTGCAAGAACCACCAAAAGCTGACACAGAGACATGAGGTTAGCACATGCTACTGGAAAAATATTGTTAACAGAGTTACTCAACAAACATTCAATTTGTAAAAAATGCATATGTGTGAAGTACCATAAAGAGAAGTATACTACACAGGCATACCTTATTTCATTGTTCTTCACTTTATGGTAGTACACACACACACACACACACACACACACACACACACACACACACACCGTCATGTGTGACAAGATGGATGAACCTGGAGGACATCATGTTAAGTGAAATTAACCGGAAACAGAAAGACAACGCCACATGATCTCACTAATATGGAACATCTTTTCTAAAATAGAATAGATATGATAGAAGAGAGTAGAACAGCGTATAGCAGAGAGTGTAGGTAGATGCGCAGGGGGAGCAGAAAATGGGGTGAGGTTGGTCAGTGGGTAAAAAATTACATTAGAAAGAATAAATAAATTCTGATGTTCTATTGCATAATGCAGTGATAGTGTTTAACAGTAAGATAGTATATATCACAAGATAGCTAGAAGAAAGGTTTTTCAATGTTCTTACTACAAAGAAATGATAAATGCATGAGGTGATATATATACTAAATGTTCCGATTTGCTCACTTTACAACATACGTATCAAAACATCAAATTATGATCCATTAATATGTAAAATTACAATGGATCAATTGAATTTTTTAAACAATTATACCAAGTGTCTTTTCCAGCTACAATGACATGAAATTAGAAATTAATTACAAGAAAATGAGAAAAATTCACAAAGACATGAAAACTAACACACTTGCACAAACTGAGTTAAAGAGAAAATCAAAAGGGTATTTTACAAAACCCGAAGATAAAACAAAAACAAAAACACAACTTATCAGAACTTACAGATGCAACAAAAGTAATACTAAGGCGGAAGTTTATATTAATAAATTAAAACATTTCTACTTTAAAAAAAGAATTAAGATCTTACTGAACTTTATAACTCAAAGAACTAGAAAAAGAAGACAAATATAGCTAGCAGACGGAAGGGAAATAATAAAGATCTCAGCAGAAATAAATCAAATAAACGGTAGAAGAATTCAATAAAACTGATTGGTTTTTTGAAAAAAAATATGCAAAATCAACAACCCCTTAGTAGACCAACTAAGAAAATAAGAGAGAACACTAAAATAAAAACAGAAATTAAAGGGAGATGTTAAAGAGATGCCTCAAAAATAAAAAAGAAAATTGAGGGATTAATAGAAACAATTATATGCCAACAAATTGGGTAACCTAGAAAAACTGAATAAATTCTTAGAAATATACAACTTGCTAAGAGTTAATCAAGACGTAGAAAGCCTGAACAGACCAATAACAAATAAGGAAATTGAAGTAGAAATAAAAAACCTCCCAACAACAGAAGCCCAGAACCAGATGGCTTCACAGCTCAATTATATCAAATATTCAAAGCACTAATACCAATTCTTCTTCAACTCTTCCAAAATGTACAAGTAGTTAGAACACTTCCAAAGTCATTCTATGAGGCTAACACTGTAATCAGTGGGAGAAAAGCTGAAAGCTTTTCTCTGGTTCAAGGCAAAGATGCCCACTGTTACCACTTCTATTCAACATAATTCTTGCTAATAATTCATTAGTAAGAGCAATCAGACAAGAAAATAATTGAAGGCATTCAAAGAAGGTATACAAGCAACCAACATGAATGTGATAACGTGCTCAGCATCACTAATCATCAGGGAAATACAAATCGAAACAACAATGTGAGTGATAGCACCTCACACCTACGATTGGCTATTAACAAAAAGATGACAAGTGTTTGTGGATATACGGAGAGAAGGAAACCCCTGTACACAGGTGATTGGAATGTAAGTTGGTACAGCCAGTATGGAAAACAGTATGAACGTTCCACAAAAAACGTAAAAAAGGACTACTATATGATCCAGCATTTCCTCTTTTGAGTATATATAAAAAGAAGATGAGATCAATACCTCAAAGTGATATCTGCACCCCCATGTTTGTTGCAGCATTATTTACAATAGTCAAGATATGGAAACAACCTAAGTAACTTTTGATGCTAGAATGGACAAACTATACGTGAGGTAGACGCATACAATGGAGTATTATTCAGCCATAGAAAAGAGGGGAGATCCTGTGACTTGAAACAACACAGATGAGGCTGAATGACATATGCTAAGTGAAATAAGTCACACATAGAAGGGAAAATACTACATGACCTCACTTATGTGTGAAATATTAAAAAGTCATATACAGAGAAGCAGAGAATAGAACAGTGGTTACCAGGGTTGGGAAAATGGAAGAAAAGAGATGTTGGTCAAAGGGTACAAAGTTACAGTTAAGTAGGATGAATAAATCTAGGGAACCCATGTGCTGCATAATTAGTATAGTTAACGTTAACAATACCGTATAATATACTGGAAATTTGCTAAGTGAATAGATTTCACGTGTTCTCACCTCACACACACACACACACACACACACACACATAAACACACACACACGTAACATGTGAGGAGATAAATATGTTAATTTGCTTGGCTATAGTCTCATGTTGTTAACATTAAATATATAAAAATTGTACTAATTTTTTTAAAATTTAAAAAATGTTAGGACATTAAGGAAAGCCTTTTGGGTTACTTACTGGAATAGACACTTTCAGAGAGGAATGATAAATTATTTTCTAGGTTTCCACCTGTTCTACTATCCTTTAGGGGAAGAGATTCTAAAATATCACAAATACAACCTACTAGACAAATAATTTTATGTTATCATGCTTTATGGAATGCACAGTGACTAGTCTGTTGTGTCAAGTTGGCTTCTAATGAAGAATATTTTCACCAAAAATACATATTTAATAATAACAAATGATAATGATGTATATTACAGATAGCATTATTTTACCTTAAGGCATCATCTCATTATTTTTATCTTGATTATTTTGACAATTTCTTAAAACTTTTACGCCTTAATTTATGGATGAGGTAGCTAAGACACAGAACTTGAACCTTTTGCTTTTTGATTTTTAAACTTCAACGTAAACAAAGCACTTTTAAGAACTAATTATATCATACTGAATGGGCAAAAACTGGAAGCATTCCCTTTGAAAACTGGCACAAGACAGGGATGCCCTCTCTCACCACTCCTATTCAACATAGTGTTGGAAGTTCTGGCCAGGGCAATCAGGCAGGAGAAGGAAATAAAGGGTATTCAATTAGGAAAAGAGGAAATCAAATTGTCCCTTTTTGTAGATGACATGATTGTGTATCTAGAAAGCCCCATCCTCTCAGCCCAAAATCTCCTTAAGCTGATAAGCAACTTCAGCAAAGTCTGAGGATACAAAATCAATGTACAAAAATCACAAGCTTTCTTATACACCAATAACAGACAAACAGAGAACCAAATCACGAGTGAACTCCCATTCACAATTGCTTCAAAGAGAATAAAATACCTAGGAATCCAATTTACAAGGGACGTGAAGGACCTCTTCAAGGAGAACTATAAACCACTGCTCAAGGAAATAAAAGAGGATACAAACAAATGGAAGAACATTCCATGCTCATGGGTAGGAAGAATCAATATCGTGAAAATGGCCATGCTGCCCAAGGTAATTTATAGATTCAATGCCATCCCCATCAAGCTACCAATGACTTTCTTCACAGAATTGGAAAAAACTATTTTACAGTTCATATGGAAGCAAAAAAGAGCCCGCATCGCCAAGTCAATCCTAAGCCAAAAGAACAAAGCTGGAGGCATCATGCTACCTGACTTCAAACTATGCTACAAGGCTACAGTAACCAAAACAGCATGGTAATGGTACCAAAACAGAGATATAGATCAATGGAACAGAACAGAGCCTCAGAAATAACACCGCGTATCTACAACTATCAGATCTTTGACAAACCTGAGAAAAACAAGCAATGGGGAAAGATTCCCTATTTAATAAATGGTGCTGGGAAAACTGGCTAGCCATATGTAGAAAGCTGAAACTGGATCCCTTCCTTACACCTTATACAAAAATTAATTCAAGATGGATTAAAGACTTAAATGTTAGACCTAAAACCAGAAAAACCCGAGAAGAAAACCTAGGCATTACCATTCAGGACATAGGCATGGGCGAGGACTTCATGTCTAAAACACCAAAAGCAATGGCAACAAAAGCCAAAATTGACAAATGGGATCTAGTTAAACTAAAGAGCTTCTGCACAGCAAAAGAAACTGCCATCAGAGTGAACAGGCAACCTGCAAAATGGGAGAAAATTTTTGCAATCTGCCCATCTGACAAAGGGCTAATATCCAGAATCTACAATGAACTCAAACAAATTTACAAGAAAAAAACAAACAACCCCATCAAAAAGTGGGCGAAGGATATGAACAGACACTTCTCAAAAGAAGACATTTATGCAGCCAAAAAACACATGAAAAAATGCTCACCATCACTGGCTATCAGAGAAATGCAAATCAAAACCACAATGAGATACCATCTCACACCAGTTAGAATGGCAATCATTAAAAAGTTAGGAAACAACAGGTGCTGGAGAGGATGTGGATAAATAGGAACACTTTTACACTGTTGGTGGGACTATAAATAGTTCAACCATTGTGGAAGTCAGTGTGGCGATTCCTTGGGGATCTAGAACTAGAAATACCATTTGACCCAGCCATCCCATTACTGGGTATATACCCAAAGGATTATAAATCATGCTGCTATAAAGACACATGCACACATATGTTTATTGTGGCATTATTCACAATAGCAAAGACCTGGAACCAATCCAAATGTCTAACAATGATAGACTGTATTAAGAAAATGTGGCACATATACACCATGGAATACTATGCAGCCATAAAAAATGATGAGTTCATGTCCTTTGTAGGGACATGGATTAAATTGGAAATCATCATTCTCAGTAAACTATCGCAAGAACAAAAAAGCAAACACCGCATATTCTCACTCATAGGTGGGAATTGAACAATGAGAACACATGGACACAGGAAGGGGAACATCACACTCTGGGGACTGTTGTGGGGTGCGGGGAGTGGGGAGGGATAGCTTTAGGAGATATACCTAATGCTAAATGACGAGTTAATGAGTGCAGCACACCAGCATGGCACATGCATACATATGTAACTAACCTGCACATTGTGCACATGTACCCTAAAACTTAAAGTATAATAAAATAAAATGAAATAAAATAAACTAATTATAAAGGGCGCTTTTTATTCTATCGCCTTTTCTTGCTCCCTTTCTTGCCCTCTTGTTTTCTCGTGCATGTGTGTGTGTGTGTGTTTATATTGAGAATGGATAAAATGCTTTTCCACACTAGACTATTACCAATATCTTTACAAATTGAAATGACTTACAGTGGCAATTAGTTCTCAAATTACTTTCAAATGCCTTATCTTGTCTGATACACTCAATAATGTTAAATGTCTCATGTCCCAGCTAGAATCAAAGTACTAAGGAGCAGAATTTGAATCAAGATTGGGAAATACCTTTAGGGAAAACCATGGAAAGTATTCAGTCTATTATTTTGGAAAAACAAACAAAGAAGCAGAGAAACAATGTAATTTGGAGTGGAAAAGTGCCCTATAGCAGACGGTATTTTCTAATGCTCCCAGAGGAAAGGATCCTGTTCTCACAGTGGATATGATATGTGTAAGTGGTTCTAATGGTGGCTAAGATTGGTCATGGGTTAGAGACGGGAGTAGAAATAAAATTAGAGAGCAATCTTGAGGTCCTTTTTATTACTCAGAAATTTCAAGCATGCCTAGTTTAATACTATTGCACTTTAGATGGCTTCAAAAATCTAAACTAACGGCAGTCTCTTGCACCTTGTTAATATTTTCTTATCTGTTTATATGCTTATTAGAAATTCCTGGAACTATTGTTGATGCCTGATAAATTCTTAAACTAAGAGAACCATAAAGTCAAGCTCTATTAAAACACTGCAAGGAAACCCTTGAGCCTATGAAATTTACATTCCACTGCGCTGATCACATTCTTTTTCTTAATGAAGAAACATTTCCACTCAAGGGTTCTCACAAGATCAGCACTACAAATTTAGTAGTCATGAACTCAGAATGTCACCTCTTGAAACTAGTGAATTAGTTGAAATACCTCAACTAATGTTTGCATATAGTAGATTCCATTCTTCAGTATCCCTTCTAACGGAGAAAAGAAAAGACAAGAAAATACAGATCTGAAGATATTTGAAGGATGTATATTTGACATTAAAAGTATTTTCAATGATGATACCAAATTCGTGAGACCTGAATCAAATCATGAGAACTCACTGTAAAGGTCTAGTTCATTAGAATATCTTTATCCTGTTTTTGTTCTCAAACTTAGAGATAAAATTGTTTTCACAGCACTATAAAAAGAAAAAAATAAATGAGCATGTGTACTCTCTCTCTTTCTCCTCCTTTTTATTATTATGTACTTACTCACGTTTTCCTTAGGGCTGAAAGGTGGTTGTTCTATACTAAAAGGCATCTCTATCAATGGTTTTTGGAACAAATAAAGCATTTGCTTGTGTTAGGGCATAAGCAACTTAATACTTAAGTGGGGCCTTTCATTCCATGCTGCTTTACAATTGTTAAACATTTTTACATGAATGATCTCATATCATTCTCAAACCAATATGAAAATAAAATTGGCAAATTGTTTTGTTTTGTTTTGTCTTTGTTTTTCTAATTAGAAATATTGAGACAGAAAAAAGAACAAAAGCCATAGCCAGACAGACTCACCTAGTAAAAACCAAAGGGCCTAACTATTACTTTATTGCTTTTTCAATTACTTAATTTTTTAAAATCTGTATTGTTAGGACTTTGTCTAAATCATAGTATTCAAACTCTTGTACCTGTCATTCAAGATATTTTCTAATCTAGCCAAAACTTATTGGTTAAACTTTATTTCTGAACATTATTTTGAATCATCCAGCTCAGTTAAGAGATCTATTATCTCACAAACATCCCTCTTCCTCTCTGTGTTTACCTGCACCTGGAATGTATTCTTCCTGCTCCCAAACTGCCCCCCCCCCCAATAAAGCTAAAATTCACCTGAGTTGTAGAAAACTCCAGCTGATATAAAATAAACTACGAAAGTGGCTTTAATACTTCTGAACACACAATAGCTAAGACCCAAAAGATACTCCACTATGCTTAGCCCTAAACTTCAACAGTTAAATCAACACAGAGGAGCACAGGTCTCCTCTGTGCTCCCATGCCCAATTGTTACCAAGTCCCTAGTTGCTGCCACAGAACTTTCATAAAAATTTCCCAGGAACAGATTTCTCTCTTATCTGAACTTCAGAATGTAATTCCTGTACTGCTTATTCCTCATTTATTGGACACTTCCTTTTAAATTTCTTGTTGTATAATGGCTTATGATGGTATTTATCTGTGTACATGCCTCCAAACATAGATAACTTCTCCCTCACAAAACACTGTACTTTTCTTTGGTGAAAAGAATATGTGTTATACCATTCTTTGGTAATGGTAATTTTCCTGTGGTAACTGATTGACAAATACATGTTTGAAAAATGAATGCAAATGTCAACAAAACAGACAAAACTCAAAAACAAAATTTGCTGCAGATAACTATATTTTGGCAAATCAACTAGTATTCCTGATTAACTAGCACATTTTATTGTAGTTCAGTTAAAAAAATACAATTTGATATTCATAGGTAGTTTGGGATTTGTTTTTTCTTTTTTTAGAGATGGGTTCTTTCTCCCTTGTCCAGGCTGGAGTGCAGGGGTGTGATCATACCTCACTGCATCCTTGAACTCCTGGGCTTAAGGAATTCTCCTGCTTCAGCCTCCCAAGTAGCTGAAACTAGCTAAGATTTTTTTAAAACATTTTCTTAGAGATGACCGTCTTGCTATGTTGTCCAGGCTAGTCTCAAAGTCCTGGCCTGATGTGATCCTCCCACCTTGGCCTCCGAGTCGTTAGGATTAAAGGTATGAGACACTCCCTATCACTTGGAAAATTATTTAAGAGAATTCATGGTAGGGATTTTAAACACTGAGATACTTAATTATTGATAACCTTTTTCCATAAAAATTACCTATTAAGCATTAAGTGCTGTGGTAGATAGAATCATGCTTCTTCACTACTCCCAAAGATATCCACATTCTAATCACCAGACCAGTGAATATGTCACTTGGAATAGTAAATGAATATGGTAAAAGGGACTTTCCAGATGTGAAGTAAAAAGTCTTCAAATGGGGAGATTATCCAGGATTATCAGATGGGTGCAATAAAAATCACAAAAGTCCTTATCTGAAAAAGTGTCAAACTAGTGTCAAATAATTTGGTGGCCCCTGAAAAGTAGGAAAGGCAAGAAAACCTTATCCCCTGAAGTCTCTAGAAGTGACACAGCCATTCTACCATCTCGATTTTAGAATATTAAACTCTAGAACTGTAACAGATTAACTTGGTGTTATTTTAAGCCATTATGTTTGTGGTAATTTGTTAGGGCAGCAATAACAAACTAATGCAAACATAATAAAGATATTACCTTTAAAGTCAAGTTGGAATTTAAATTACTGACATAGAGTTGTTTTCTCTCCATAACATTTGGCTGTTATTGTGTTGATCACTGACACTGAGACCCTGATATTCTGAGCATGACCTAATCTCAGCCAAATCTGGATAACACACTCAGACCTAATATTTTAGTTATTCCTTTAGTGTGAAAAAACAGATCTCAAAAGACTTGGGGATCTCTAGATTAAAGTCAGCATCACTGAATAACACTCATAATCTAGCTGTAATTTGGATTCACTGGTTTACATTCATCTCGTAAGTTTAGTGAAACATAAAGTAACTCTCCTTGCTACTGATTAAATGTTCAGTGATTAGGTGCTCATGGACTTGGGAGCAATTATGTTTGGTATTTCCTACTGGTTTATTTCCCCATAGCTATGATTATTATAGGCATTCTGTTAGAGCTGATAAGAACATGTATCATTAATGACTGGTCTGCTATTTTCCTTGCCTGATTTTATAGTTATCAAATATGCTCAGCAGATTGACACAGTAATAAAATTTTAAACAAAAGAAAACAAAACAAACAAGCAGCACATTTAACAGAAGTCCTGTTGAAAAACTTAGCCTTATAATTAAGCAAGCTCTCCTCCCTTCCCAAAGGAAACACACTCTAGCATTTGGTCTTCTTCCCTGTTAAAGAATTAGCTCCTCTCAGGTTAAATGAATTGGGTACATTTAAAAAATGGGATATTACTCAGCCATATAGAAATGGAATTATAGATGCAGATATATTGTCATTACATGGATAAATGTTCCTAGTAGATGGTTAAATAATGGAAAACAAATTGCAAAACAATCTTTAGAGCAGGCTTTCCTAATCTTCTTAGTTCAAGACACGTTTACATGTAGGGCACTGAAGTTATTTTGTTTTTGTGGATTTTATCTAGTGATAGTTATTTGAAATTAAAACTGAGAAATATTTAACATATTTACATCATTTAAAACAACAAGAAGCCATTGCATATTTTCATTAGTAACATTTTTTATAAAAGTAATTATATTTTCCAAAGCAAGTAACAATTTAGTGAGAATAATGGCATTGTTATGCATTTTGCAAATCTGTTTAATGTCTTTCTTAATAGAGGGCACATGGATTCCCATATCTGCTTCTGCCTACTGGCCTCAGAAATTTCACTCTACGTCTGTGAGAAAATAAGAGTGAAAAAGGCAAAAAAATCTTAGTACTATGATAAAAACAGTTTGACATTACAAACTCCCTGAGAGGATCTTGGAGGCCCCAAGATGTCCAGATGTCCCAGGACCAAATTCTGAGAATTGTGTGCTGTATGTGCCTGTATATTTACATAGATCTGTACTTACTTTCATCTGTATATCTGTGTCTTACTCTCTTCTATTTCCTCAGAAAAGTTTTGGAATAACTTAGAGTCCACTAAATGATGACGGTGATGATGGTGATAAAAATAATATCACAGTATAGTTACAGCAACATTCATAATTAACATTTTGAATACTTACTATGTTCCAGGCACTGGAATAGACACTTAAAATGACTAATTGTTTATTCTTCAGAAAAGTCCTGTTAGTCATAAAGTCTTATGATAGGTGAGGAAAGCTATTTTACAGGGAAGGAAACAGATGAGAAAGAGCACCTTGCCATTTAGTAATTAGATTTTATTCTAGCAGGATTTTACTCTAGCATGTATCACTCTGAAACCAATGGTAAATGTTGTAATTATAAACTATTAGAGAAAAATCAGCTAACCAAGCACTTAAGTATGTGCGTGTGTATGCATGCGTGTTCGTATGTGCCTGTGTGTGGGTGATGGTGTATGTATTCCTGAATGCTTGTGGGTCTTTGCCTCTTCATAATACAAGCCTTTTGAGACCAGAATACCTAATAATTAATGAAACTCTAAATTGTAACCACATCTATATTGGTGATTTTTTTTTTCCATTCGTGTGGAAACATTTTCACCCTTTTGCAAGATGAGTGAAAAAGCTTTATATTTTAAGAAAGTAAAAATGACTCAAGTATGTATTTACTTTACTTAAGAATTTTGTTACACTCCTAGAGCAAAATAATATAAATACACCAGTGGACCATTTTCATATTAATCATTGTAAAATGTTATTTATGTCTATCTTTCTGATAAGAGTTTGGCTTGGAAAATCTTTGTTATATTTTTGTTCTAGGAAATTTATCAATTTAATAATCAGCTCTTCAATCATTTTGAATAAGTTGTTATAGACTATTGAGTACATCTAAATAAACTATCAAATAAGAATGGCAGTGACTATATTTTACAATTAACATTAGAGAACAGATTTGACTTCAAATCAACTCTAAATCTGAGGTCTAAGCAGTTTATTTCATTTACCTCCCCTCTATCAATGGTATATATGCCAGATGTGCACTTACTGGCAGATATATATCTTATATACATATATATTTACATATACAAATATATATGCATTATCAGGTTTATGAGGGAACAGTGATCCAAAAAAGTAAAAATAATTTATTTGGTCAAAATTCAATGCATCATGAAAAGAAGTGTATCTAAAGTACGTTAGTGTAATTATGTTATTACCAAGCCTAAAAAATATTTTCTTTGAGTAAAAAATACCCTTTCAGAAATAATTACATATATTTATCACAGTTAACCTCTCTATTAATATGAAAAATTGATCATTACAGCAAGTTATTTTATCAACATCAAAAATAGTGAAAATAATAAAAGGATAATCTAAACAGGTGATTTTGTTAAAACAAGCAAAAATTTGAATTGATCAAATATATAAGGATATTTGAGGTTAATTTCTATTTAAATTTGAAATAAATTATATTTCCCCTTAGGATCTGACATTCTGAAATGTTACACTCAGAGAAGCCTTATTTTATAATTATTTGCTCTTACTAGGACCTATCATGAATGACATTTTTAAAGTTTGTTATAAATTCCATTTTTTGTTGCTAGAAGGAATTACTGGTTTTATGCTGTGAATATTCTGATATAATTTTGAAAGAAATGATCTTTCAGTGTGTTCATACAAACATCTCGTCCTTAATTTTTTCCCCTTTATTTAAACCTACAATGTGAAGCAGATAAACACAACATTTTTATGATCCAGTTTAACCTCTGGGATAATAAGTAGAGCATTTGCTTATTTTATTAAAGGTTACTTAAGAAAGGATAATAGAGGCCAGGCGTGGTGGCTCACGCCTGTAATCCTAGCACTTTGGGAGGCCGAGGTGGGTGGATCACGAGGTCAGGAGATCCAGACCATCCGGGCTAACACGGTGAAACCCTGTCTCTACTAAAAATACAAAAAAGTAGCCGGGCGTGGTGGCGGGCGCCTGTAGTCCCAGCTACCCTGGAGGCTGAGACAGGAGAATGGCGTGAACCTGGGAGGCGGAGCTTGCAGTGAGTGGAGATCGCGCCACCGCACTCCACCCTGGGCGACAGAGCGAGACTCCGTCTCAAAAAATAAATAAATAAATAAATAAACAAATAAATAAATAAATAAATAAATATAAATAAATAAAAAAAGAAAGGATAATAGAAAACATATGAACTTCCACTTTTAGCCTTATTTTTACTAATATCTACCACATTCTTCCACCAGTTGCTTTCACTTTCATTATTCAGACAGGCAAACATACCCAATTATACTTTCGCATCAGCATTCTTGTATTCCTTCCTTGTCATTCCCTGGACTGATGGGAATATGGATACTCAAGTACATTCTAAATTATAGGCAGTGTAAGAAATAAGGAAGAGGAAACTATGGCTTGATGAATTACAGATATATTGTCTGCTCTGAAATAACCTAAAGTTAGACAAAATCCATGTGTTTGCATCCAGGTAATTTTCATGTCTCAAGTTACTATCTAGAAGTACCAGTCATTTATATGATAATAAACTTATGTCCCAGTCAGAAACAATAATTGTTTTAATTTGGAAACGGTCACTGAAAGTTAATTCAATAAAAAAAAAATCAAAGCTATTGAAGTTACAGACTTAGTACTCTCATTTCTTTGTTTTCAACGAAATTTCCCTTGTGGAGTATTGTGGTAATAACCTAGATCTCAATTATTGAACTGCATTTAATTGTTAAATGTTATACAAATAGTACTCCATAAATCTTTACACTTTAAGAAAGATACAAGTGTTGACATTTATGGCTGGACTTGAGCTTCTCCCACCCATTTGAAGATGATATTATAGAAATGATATAGTATGAATTTGGACCCCTTCCTTAAACCTTACGCAAAAATTAATTCAAGATACATTAAAGACTTAAACACAGAACCTAAAACCATAAAAACCCTAGAATACCTAGGCAATACCATTCAGGATATAGGCATGGGCAAAGACTTCATGACTAAAACACCAAAAGCAATGGCAACAAAAGCCAAAACTGACAAATGGGATCTAATTAAACTAAAAAGCTTCTGCATAGCAAAAGAAATCATCATCAGAGTGAACAGGCAACCTACAGAATGGGAGAAAATGTAGATTGTAGAATAAATCTGTATAACAATCTTGTATTGAAATTGTCCCTTTCTTGTAAGCAAGCTCTATCTTGTGCAGGTTTTCTTGTAGCTTCTTAGACATTAGCACTGTATTCTTTCCTATTCACTCTTTTTCTTTGATTTGCAGGAAGCCAGTTGTATTAACTGGCTCTCCATAGTGTCTGTTCTTTCATTATACACTTCCTTCTCCTTCATGTGCTTCTTCTATGTATTCTCAGAAACAAATGAAAAACAAAACAACAAAAAATACAAAAACCCACGTCTTTTTCTAAGTTTTTTGTAATTCTTAATTATTCTGCAACGATTACTCAAAGGAATGTTTAAAAGTTAAAAGTGGTGGATTCCTCAAATATTTCCTAAGTGACAAGTGAGGGTAGGACCAGGATCAGAAAATCATATTTTACTTGTGTAAAATCTTTCTGAGTAGGTTCATTAGCTTTCTATTCATGGTATAATTGCAGGTTTAGTAATTGTGTATATGTTTTCATTGTCAACTGAGTATAGCCCCATTCAATATCCCTGTTCTAGTATCATGAATTAGCAAATACCTATATTATATAATAATAATGATAAGAATGTTGCAGTCAGAAAAAAAAAAAAAGCACTATTATACAGAATTGGCTCATGAGATTATGGAGGCTGAAAGGTCCCAAGATCTGTAGTATGAGTCAGCAAACTGGTAACACAGGTGAGCCAATGGTATAGTTCCAGCCCAGAGGCTGGCAGGATCAAGGCCCAGGACTTCAATTTGAGTCTGAAGACAGGAAAAAGCTGATGTCCCAGTTTGAAAGCAGTCAGGGAAAAAGAACTCTGTCTTACTCTTGGGAGTTGTCTTACTCTTGTGTTACTCTTTCTGTTCTGTTCGGGTATTTAATTGATTAGTTGAGGACCACTTACATTATGGAGGGCAATTTTCTTTACTCAGTCTACAGACTTGAATACTAAGTCTCATCAAAAACACCCTCATAAAAATACCCTAAAAATATTTGACCAAATATCTGGGCACTTTGTGTCCCAGTTAATTTGACACATAAAATTTACCATCACAATATATGTGGCAGGGCCTCTGATTTCCTTTCTGCAAACTGGGGATGACTTCTCACCTGCAATATTCTGAGCTTCTCAAATAGAGTTTACCAGAAAATTTGGAAAATTAATGTTAAAAAGTACTTAATGTTTTTCCAAGAAACCAATAGCCTAAAAAATTCCAAAGGCTCATCTGTTGCAGATTCCCTGCAACCAATAAACTCAGAAGGGTCATGCCTACTTAAGTGGAAAATACTTGCCTTTGGCCTGGTAAGTCATACCACTTAACACAGAGACTTTATTCTTACAAACATGACTTGTATTAGCTTACAGCTTTGAGATCCCTTTCCGAGTCAGAAGTTTTATATCTTCATCAGAGCTGTGTCCTCTGTTCTCCACAATCCAATATCCTCTTTTCCCTTGATTAATGAATGTATGCAATTCATGGCTAAAAGAGAAATTCAGAGGACCATACACAGATTCTCTGAGAGGTATAGCTCTTCTAAGCACAAACACCTGGTTTCCATATGACAACTTGCCACTTCTCCTAATTTACCAGATTAACGTGGTCTTAGGGGCAGAATCTCCCCTAAATCAGCATGTGTGAGTGTGGGTCTGAGTTGTAAACTGTCATCACATTTAGCATAGTCAATGGAAAATCATTGTAACCAGAGTCAGGAGACTGGCAGCTAAGTTCTGGCTCTGCCAGTGGAGCTATTTGGAAAATTATGCTTAGGCTATCACTCCATTTGAAAAAGCAGATGTTTTCTTGTGTCAATCTACCTCTCAAGTAAATTTTAATAAGAAGAAATGAAGGAAAGTTTAAAAATTGTATCACTGATAACAAAAATGAAACAACAATTTATTTTATTGTAGCCACTGAGCCCATTGTAGTTTTTTTGCAATGTTTTAAATAATTTATTAAAGATACTGCTGTGTTGCAACGTGCTACAATTTAAATAATTGTTTTTATTGATATTCACTGGGTTAAAATCAAAGACAATATATGACTTTAATTGAATATCATTATATTATAGGATCTTTCAGGGCTGCATTTTTATTTCTAAATAAAACATGCTTTGTTTAATTTACCTTTCTGCTCTATAAGGTCACTAAGGCTATTTTGGATGCTCTCTTTTTATTCCAACAACAATAGACATTGTATATAGGGTTTTATCTTTGCAAAATGTTTCATTTATATGAATTCTCACAAATGAGCCATCAGAGATGAAGAATTCAAAAGATGTGGCTTATAGAAGACAAAAATATGTGTGAATCAAGGCACAGATACAGCTTTATCTTGAAATATTCAAAATTGCCAATACTAAACATCTCGGAGAATAATATTCCATAAATACTACAATGAATGCTCTTGTTCTATTGTGTTATATTCCATATAGTTAATCTACTAATATAGTAAATTATTTGCCCTCATTTCTTGTTGCTTTGAGCAGAATATATATTATCCTTTATACTGTATTTCCCCGAACAAATCACTGAATAAAAGGTCAGCCTGGATTGAATTATGTGAGCTGCTAATTTGTTTGCCATTTCATAGTTATCAAGTAATGGAAATTTACTGACTTTTCAGAAACAAATCCATAAGAAAAATGTAACAAGAAGGAAATGTTTAAACACTTGTCACAGTCTGAAGATCAAAATGACCTGGACAAGTTATATCCTTTAGCAGAAATTGACAAGAGAGACTTGATTGCACAGAAACTCATATGAAAATCTAGGTGTTGATTGCTTTTGGAATGCATTTCCTCTTGTTATGAATTAAAAAAGTAAGGCGGCCCTGTATGATTTGGGCAAAAATGGGATGATAACTCAGGTTGGGTCTACTTTAATAGACAACTCTCTTAAAAGCCTGTGGGCCTCTGGTCTATTTGTTTTCATGCATTAAAACCAAACCCAGAAATGTTTCTTACCCTAGTGTTTGAGCCTAGGATATAGCCTTGGAAAGATTTTCTACTGATGGCCAGCCTGGCCTTACTTGGACTGCCTCACATCTAGCCTCAGATTGACATCCATTCTATTGAGTAATGTAAAAATGTAGAATAGGTAGTAATACAAAGATAACCTCCCCTTTGCCTTAGGTTAAATCTGGCTGCATCTTCTTAACGAGTCATGATACTCTTTTCAGGTACAGAATATCTAACACAGGTGCTTTGGAACTGGTCTTGCTATTCTTGCTCCCCAATCTTTATTCGACTATATATATTTCCTCCTTATATCTGCTGGCCCTAACAGGTTAGGTTAATCTAGCTTTTCTAATCCTGAATAAGAAATAATCACATTCTCTATCAAGTTGGATGATGGATAATATTCAGAAAAGGCTTCTAGCAAAGCAACGTTTTCTTCCCTTTATGGTCTCAGAATGGCCAGTTTTGATGCAAGCATTAATTCTAACAGCATCTCATTAAGACTACAACAAGTAGCCAGCACAATGTAGCACATTCAAATTCTCTTGTCAAATATATTAATGCCGTAGCCGTTCAGCATATTAATGGCTAGTCAAGGAACTGTAAATACAATTTGAGAAAAAAAGAATTAACTTAATGGCAAAGATTACCCATTTGAAAACTCCAGGATGCTCACTTTACTGTTCCCTCCCAATTGCAACCCATTCCACATTTAGGATCTGTAAGATATAACACTGCTCTTCCTTGAATCACATTCTATTATTAGAGAGAATATTTTCATTTATAATGAAAAGAAAACCTACTCTACTCTTTAAAATAATGAAAGGATTATACAAATTATATTTAAAGGTCAAATTTCAGGATAAGCTTTAGGTAAAATTTGACCAGAATTCTGAACTCTGTCTTGTTCACTGTCTAATTCTCTGCTGTCTTCCTTGTGTTTCCCTCATGATCACAAAATGGCTACAGCTCCAGGCCTCACACTGACAGGCGCACCCCACATTGTCTAGAATGAGAAAGGGAGAGAGCACCTGTCTCCCAGAATTACCAGAAAATAAGCTGAAAGTAATTTTAAATGGAATGGTGTAAGTCACATGTTCACCTCTGAGCATATCCATCTTTTTGAACCCAGGCTACCTTAAATATCTCTGGAATGGAATGAATCTACAGTAGATATCTGGGTTTACTGGAAAGATAGAGGGTCAAGTGATCAAGATGTCTACTTTATTAGTGGAGACCCAGAAGCAGTATCTATATGTTAAGGGTCTGTGCATCATATTATAGCTGAATATGAAGCAGATGGTAAATCTAAAGATGGAATTCAGACTGAGTTCATAGCTCATCAACATCATTTATGAAAATTGATCATTTATTTCGTTTGATTTAAACATACTATTGGAGAACTATGGAATGAAGTTACAATAAAAGTTAACATGATCTTAGGCTATGTTCATAAGTATATAGTTGAAAACAGGGATGATTCTAGCCTTAGTTTCAAGTTATGCCACTTTGATTTAACATGGATTACTATTATTATGTGTGAGTATAACAATTTAAAAGTGATATTATGTGAAGAAGAACAAGGAATTTAAAATAATTTCATATGACTATACTGGCCAGAAAGTCATGTTTTAGCATTAACTACATATACATTTAAGCCATTTAGCTTCTGTGTGTATGAGTCTAGGTTTCAAATATATATATATATATGTGTGTGTATATATATATATATATAGTATGATATATATATGATTTTATTTTTATTTTTGACTTTTGAATGCAATGTATTAAAGCATTCTCATTATAAAAATTCTGGTAATATTTATATTAAGTGAGCAAACCACCTTTTTACCTTCACAATATAACTTCTATCCTTATGAGTATAATTTACATAAATATTTATGGAATTCTTGGTTTTATATTTTGCCTTTTATATAAACCACTTTAAAAAACCCACACAGCTTAAACAAATTTATATACATTTCAATATTTTCTTCAGATATATATCTTTACTGTGATAAAATATAGATCTCATAAAATTTACCATTTTAACCATTTGTAGGTATACAGTTCCACGGCATTAAGTATATTCACACTGTTGTACACAATAGCTGCTATCCATTTACAGAACATTTTTGTCTTCCCAAACTAAACTCTGTATGCATTGAACAATAACTCCATACCTCCTTCTCTTGCAGTTATATTTGTAAAGACATAAAGAATTCTAAATACAATTTAAGCCCTCTTCCAACACCTTTCCTGATACTAATCACTTTCTTCACCCTCAAGATAATTCCATTCAGATGTTGGTTTGTATCCATCCCTCAATGATTTACTAGTTTTGCCAAGAGTTTACTTGTGTCTTTCAAGATTTAAATACATAGTTTTTACTCAATATTAACTGTGGAGATTTATTAAAATGAACACCTGTGACTGTGGTCCATTGATTTTAACTATTGTAACATGTTCAATTGTGTAATTACATGTCAGTGTAAGTTCTTTCTCTTTCTCGATGAATGTTTAGGTTATTTTACATTTTTCACTGTTATTATTTAATTTACTTGATATTTCAAAATTGCTATCAAAGTTGGCATACCAATTTACATTCATACTAGCAGTGAATAAGAGGTGATGTTTATTCACTTCTATTGCTAACGTTTAACATGTGTTTTGCAAATTTGAGGGTACAATTTTAATTAATTAGACTTTATTTTGCTTTTTTAACAGTAAGGTTGGGCATCTTTTCTTGGCCATTTGAATTTCCTACACATGAATTCAAAACCTTTGCCTACTTTTCACATTGGACATAATTTTAAGTTATATTTACTAATTTATATGAGGTATTTGTATTCGCTGGCTGCTAATCTTTTATAGTTTATATGTGTTAAAATAATTTTATTCAACTGTGGCTTTTCTTTTTTCTTTTCCTATGAAACCTTTTCTTGTGAACATGTCACTCATGTTAATTGGATTCAAATTACCAGTCTTTTCCTTGATTTATATCTCTTGCTCCTGTGTTATATACCATGACCTAAACAGTGCTTTTTTTTTCATGTCTTACTTTTAATGTTTTGTCTTTTTTTCCCACTTTTTATGACAACATCCAATGCCATGGGTATGTTTTTCTTTTCCATCTTTTATTCCTTTGTCATAAAACCCAGTTTCAAATGGCCTTCAAAGGCTTACTGGGCAGTTTACTATAATGTTTTTCAACTCTTGATGTCTGCAGGTAGGAAACAGAAGGTCACCAATTACCTGATTATTTTTAATAATTTCCTTGATATATTCCTGTTGGCAGAAAAAGATATTGAATTTGCTGATTTGCTTTCCACAGCTGTACAAAGTCTAAGGTAGTGAATGACTCAGGGCTGAAACGTAATCTCTTGGCAGCTGAGCAGGAGTGGAGGAAGGATCCCTAAATTGTTTTGATTGTTATTCATGGGAGGAGGTTAAATATCAACATTAACAGGAGTTTGAAAGGAGTTGATTCCAACCCTTGTGGATAACTTTGAGAGGTTCAAGACTTCAGTGGAAGAAGTAATTGCCTATGTGGTAAAAACAGCAAGCAAACTAGAATTAAAAGTGGAGCCCGAATGTGACTAAACTGCTTCATTCCCATAATACAACTTGAATGGATGAGGAGTTACTTCTTATGGATGAGCAAATAAAGTGGTTTTTGAAATGAAGTGTACTCCTGGTGAAGATGCTGTGAACATTGTTGAGATGACAACAAAGATTTAAAATATTACATAAACTTAGTTGATAAAGCAGTGGCAACGTTTGAGAGGATTGACTCCAATATTGAAAGAAGTTCTACTGTAGGTAAAATGCTATTAATATCAAACAGCATCTCATGGAGTGGAGAAATCTCTCATGAAAGAAAGGGTCCATTGATGCAGAAAACTTCATGCTGTCTGATTTAAAAATCTGCCACAGCCTCTCCAACCTTCTGCAACCACCACCCTGATCCATGAGCAGCCATCAACACGGAGACAAGACCCTTCATCAACAAAAAGATTATGACTCATTGAAGGCTTAAAGGTTCTCATGATTTTTTGCAATGAAATATTTTTATAAATTAAGGTATATACATTGTTTTTTAGACATAATGATTGCACATTTAATAGACTACAATATAGGGTAAACATAACTTTTATATGCACATTTTGGGAAATCAAAAACTTTACGTGATGCTTTATTCCATAATTTGCTTTAATACAGTGATCTGGAATGTAGCCTGCAATATTTTTGAGGTATGTCTGTATTTTTAACTTCACTGTTTAAATATTCCATATGCCATTTGATTATAACAAAAGCATTGTGAAGTGGGCAAGGCAAGGATTTTTCCCTTACAACAAATGAGAAACAAACTCAGAGTAAATTTCTTTCTTGAGATCATATAACTAATAAAAGAGGCAGTACTGTTTTCATTAATTCATTTAATCAACCAGAAAAGTGTATAGTGATAGATGCTTTCTAGGCCTTCAGTATACAGCATCTAGTGAGAAACTATCAACTACATAACTAGATATGTTTAATTTTGTCCAATTAATACTTGGACATTTATTTACTATAGTAACTCTAGGTACGGTCTCTGAACATTTTTTCAAATTAATCTTATTACTTCATGAATCAAGCAATGTACAAACATTATCCTCTTCTCAAGATAATGAAACATGTAGCAACTTTTAACAGGAGAATTAGCATTATTCTGGCATTTCTATAATTCCACTTAGAATGAAAGTATAATAATAAATTACAGATATCTCTGTAGTTATTAAGTTACCTAAGGGGAAAGGCCTCGATTATATATATATATATATATATATATATATATATATATATATATATATCACAGTTTCTTTATCCACTGTTGATTGATGAGCATTTGGGTTAGTTCCATGATTTTGCAATTGTGAATTGTGCTGCTATAAACATGCATGTGCAAGTATCTTTTTCGTATAATGACTTCTTTTCCTCTGGGTAGACATCCAGTAGTGGGACTGCTGGATCAAATGGTAGTTCTACTTTTAGTTATTTAAGGAGTCTCCACACTGTTTTCCATAGTGGCTGTGCTAGTTTTCACTCCCACCAGCAGTGGAGAAGTGTTCCCTGTTCACCACATCCATGGCAACATCTACTGTTTTTTAATTTTTTCTTTATAGCCATTCTTACAGGAGTAAGGTGGTGTCACATCGTGCTTTTGATTTGCATTTCCCTTATCATTAGTAATGTTGAGCATTTTTTCATGTTTGTTGGCTATTTGTGTATCTTCTTTTGAGAACTGTTTATTCATGTCCTTAGCCCACTTTTTGATGGGATTGTTTGTTTTATTTCTTATTGATTTGTTTGAGTTCGTTGTATATTCTGGATATTAGTCCTTTGTCAGATGTATAGATTGTGAAGATTTTCTCCCACTCTGTATGTTGTCTGTTTACTCTGCTGACTGTTCCTTTTGCTGTGCAGAAGCTCTTTAGTTTAATTAGGTCCCAGCTATTTATCTTTGTTTTTATTGCATTTGCTTTCGGGTTCTTGCTCATGAAGTCCTTGCCTAAGCCAATGTCTAGAAGGGTTTTTCCAAAGTTATCTTCTAGAATTTTTATACTTTCAGGTCTTAGGTTTAAGTCCTTAATCCATCTCAAGTTGATTTTTGTATGAGGTGAGAGATGAGATTCCAGTTTCATCCTCCTACATGTGACTATCCAGTTATCCCAGCACCATTTGTTAAAATGGGTGTCCTTTCCCCATAGTATGTTTTTGTTTGCTTTGTCGAAGATCAGTTGACTGTAAATATTTGGGTTTATTTCTGGGTTCTCTCTTCTGTTCCATTGGTCTATGTGCCTTTATACCAGTACCATGCTGTTTTGGTGACTATGGCCTTATAATATAGTTGAAATCAGGTAGTGTGATGCCTCCAGATTTATCCTTTTTGCTTAGTCTTGCTTTGGCTATGTGGGCTCTTTTTGGTTCCATATTAATTTTACATTTTTTTTCTAATTCTGTGAAGAATGATGGTCGTATTCTGATGGGGTTTGCGTTGAATTTTTAGATAGCTTTTGACAAGATGAAGAAGACATATGTTTAAACTGCAATAAGAAAGTCACACACAATCTAGGATATACACCCTTATACTGTGCATTGAAACTTTATGTATTCATTAGGAATTAGTCTTGGAAAATCTCAGCAGTAAATACAATGTCTTCTATTACCATACTTCTTTATTTAAATAAGCCATTTCCACCTTTCCATTCTTCTTTACTTCATTTTTTATTACGGTTAAAAGTCTTATGTCATCCCAGTGTCTCACTGAAGAGCTCTTCACATCATATCTATCTAATACATCAAAGTAGATTTTTTAAACCAATTTCTTCAGTGTCACCACATTATCAAGTAGTTAAGAAGATCTATTTGCTATAATTAACAAAGCTTTTAATAGTAGTGCATTAATTCTCTTGGGGATATTTACACTAGGTTATTTTGTCTTCAAGA
This sequence comes from Homo sapiens, assembly GCF_000001405.40. Classification (NCBI taxonomy): domain Eukaryota; kingdom Metazoa; phylum Chordata; class Mammalia; order Primates; family Hominidae; genus Homo; species Homo sapiens. Next base: position 40,800,417 of record NC_000002.12, read on the forward strand.
ACTGTGTTGATCCAAAAAATGCATCACAGATATTTTTCACGTTTTGGATGGGAAATATTCAAAGGCTTTCCCAAAGCCCCTCAGACCTCAGGAATGGGCAATTGCTTATCTTGCTTTAACTGAGACGAGCGCTGGGGAATTATTGGGAAGATTTGTATTTGCTTTGAACTCTAATTCATGACATAAGACTATTAATTAATTTTTGTACTTTAATTTCTCACTTGAAATGAGAGTCTTATCCCAATTTAACTTTCCAGAGCATGGTGTAGATTAATTAGATAAAGCACAGTGAACAGTTACTTCAGAGGTTTGTCATTAGTAAAGGTCTGTGGGAAAAACCTTCATTATTCTACCACCATTTGGTTTATAAATTTATAAACAGATAATTAATTGTAATCTTTTTCTGTTAAGACCTTGAAGATTTGTATTTGATGAGTTTGATCGAGGGCTTAATCAAACAATGGTTGCAAATCTCAACTTGCTAATTGGTTTAGTTGTTAATTAAGAACTTATCTTCTTACAGGCAAATTAAAATTTCTGAATTTATGAATATCTCCAAAGTTTATCCTCCCCCCCCCAAAAGAAGAGCAGTTTTCTTCAGTATCTACATTCTGTAAATGTGAGGATATTATCTTTAACTCATGCTACATATTCTTTCAGTTTAAGAATGAACAAATTTTCTAATGATTTTTATTCTTTTGTAGCTTGTTGAATCTTTTTGGAAAGCCCCATCTCTTATAGAAAGACCCTCAAAAATTTTTTTCTCTCAATACCTATCTTGAAGTACCTTCTTTTATGAATAAAATATAGTTACTTATTAATTAACTTGATATCTTACTTCTAATTGTACCTGTGATTCATTTATTAATACATAGATTAATTACTGCATGCATTCATTCCCCTATTATTTCTAAGCATGTCCTAATTTATTGTTTTATGAGTTTAAATAATGTTACATATGATGAAGATAAGTACTTCTCTTCCTGTTCCTCCTTTTTCCTTTCTTTCTTACATCCACCTCCCCTTGCCCTCCCTTTTTTTTTTTTTAATTCCCCCTGGCCTTTTCTTTTTGTCTTCTTTACTCTCTCCTTCCTCCCTTCATAGCTCCACATGGGGGCATTTCTTGCTTCAGGAAAACAGGCAATTCTATTATTTTCAGCTTTCATATTGCTACCTATTCTCAGGTTAAAACTGTTTTTTGTTTGTTTTTGTACTACTTTCTAACTCTGCTGCATGGTCATGATTCCCATGACCATAATCCCTTAAGCAATTCCGCCCCCCCCCGCCCCCTCCCCCCACCCCAAGTCACAGATATCAGACCTTTAAAAAAGTTAAGATGGTATCTCATTGTGATTTTGATTTGCATTTCTCTGATGGCCAGTGATGAGGAGCATTTTTTCATGTGTTTTTTGGCTGCATAAATGTCTTCTTTTGAGAAGTATCTGTTCATATCCTTCACCCACTTTTTGATGGGGTTGTTTGTTTTTTTCTTGTAAATTTGTTTGAGTTCATTGTAGATTCTGGATATTAGCCCTTTGTCAGATAAGTAGACTGCAAACAAAACGACAATGAGATACCATCTCACAACAGTTAGAATGGGGATAATTAAAAAGTCAGGAAACAACAGGTGCTGGAGAGGATGTGGAGAAATAGGAACACTTTTATACTGTTGGTGGGACTGTAAATTAGTTCAACCACTGTGGAAGTCAGTGTGGCAATTCCTCAGGGATCTAGAACTCGAAATACCGTTTGACCCAGCCATCCCATTACTAGGTATATACCCAAAGGATTATAAATCATGCTGCTATAAAGACACATGCACACATGTTTATTGAGGCACTATTCGCAATAGCAAAGACTTGGAACCAACCTAAATGTCCAACAATGATAGACTGGATTAAGAAAATGTGGCACATATACACCATGGAATACCATGCAGCCATAAAAAATGATGAGTTCATGTCCTTTGTAGGGACATAGATGAAGCTGGAAACCATCATTCTCAGCAAACTATCGCAAGGACAAAAAACCAAACACCGCATGTTCTCACTCATAGGTGGGAATTGAACAATGAGAGACATGGACACAGGAAGGGGAACATCACACTCTGGGGCATGTTGTGGGGTGGGGGGAGCGGGGAGGGATAGCATTAGGAGATATACCTAATGCTAAATGACGAGTTAATGAGTGCAGCACACCAACATGGCACATGTATACATATATAACAAACCTGCACGTTGTGCACATGTACCCTAAAACTTAAAGTATAATAATAATAAAATAAAATAAATTAAAAAAAAGAATTTGCCATTAAGGAAAACTTGATAAATTACACATGGGATCGCTTTGTATTATTTTATACAACCACATGTGAATCAGCAATTATCTCTAAATGAAAAGTGTAATAAAAAAATAAAATAAAGGAGTTAAGAAACGGCCGGGCGCAGTGGCTCACGCCTGTAATCTCAGCACTTTGGGAGGCAGAGGCGGACGGATCATGAGGTCAAGAGATCAAGACCGTCCTGGCCAACATGATGAAACCCCGTCTGTAAATACAAAAATTAGCTGGGCGTGGTGGCGTGTGCCTGTAGTCCCAGCTACTCGGGAGGCTGAGGCAGGAGAATTGCTTGAACCTTGAACCTGGGAGGCAGAGGTTGCAGTGAGCTGCGATCGCACCACTGCACTCCAGTCTGGCGACAGAGCAAGACTCCGTCTCAAAAAAAAGAAGAAACATAGGGCTAAAGGCTTAGCTACATTTCAGCAAGCGGAAAACAATCCACTTTCTCTCCTATGGAGAATGAACAGCTGAATGATAGTTGTGCTGTGATCAGTCACCTTAGCCTACTTATTTGCCTGTGAAACCATCTACAGAAACTGCTTAGTGTCAGGAATGGTTACATCCTGCAGTTTGACACATTCAGTAGAATGTACAGGGATTATTGGAGCCTATAATAGACTCATTCTCACAGGAAACTGTAGCATAGAGAGGATTACTTTCTAAAATAATGATAACAGTACCACTTACTGAGCATATACAATGGGTCAATGTTGAACTTACTTTACATGCATTAACTCAAATACTGATTAGCCGAATAACTGCTAATATGGCAGGTATTATAACTATCCTCATTTGATAGATGAACAAGTCAAAGCTCAGAGAGTTAAACTAAGTTTATGTAGGTCACATATTTATCAAGTGTAAGGGATGGGCAGGTTTGTTTGACTCCAAAATCAACGCATCTAACCACTGCAGAAGGGCTTGATAAACAGCCATCTCAGTACCTGGCTAGAAATCCAAGGCAGAGAACACTGCCTTGTAAGAGTAAGAGACAGATTTGAACTCAGGGCTATTAAATTTCACAGTTTCCATGATATACTGATGCTCTTCAATCTTAGACCTGCTGTACCAACATCTCTAAGAGACGGGGTCTGGTTCCTGGAAATTTTATTATTTTAAGCATAGATATCTTGTTCTTATTTGAAAAGAAACTTGCATTTAATTAATTTAGTTGTGAGACAGTGACCAAGGGGGTCATTTTTACCTAGGTGTTACACCAATTACCTAGGTGTTTTCAATAAAACCTCTGTCTGGAACACTGAAAGTACAAAAAAAAAAGATAGAGAATTAAAGAGTTACTCATTGCAGGGTTGGTTGCATTTCAAGTCCAGTATCAATGACGTAATTAAAATTCCAGAGGTGGCAGCAGGTGTTCAGGTGTTGAATCATAACCAGATTGTCCTTGTGGTGACCTTAAACATACACCCCATTCCCTACCCTCCCCTATTATTCCTGAGCGTAATTCTCCAATATGCTTTATGAATTGCTTGATATTCTTTCAACACATATTATTTATGCTTAAGCCCAAATTGGATTTTGTTGCTTACAATGAAGACCAAGCCAGAATCATCAGGTGATTCTCATAATAAGCTAGATTTGGATACACAATATAGATTGTGTGAGAACATTTTCCTGAAACAAACAAAAAGGCAAAGCTGTGGAATTCAATAAACTCCTTCCTATGATTAATTTATATTTAAAACAAAGCTCTCCAAAGACAAAAAAATATATAAGTAATATTTACTCATATTGAAGTAGGTACTACTCTAGAAAGTCAAGGACACATGATTGCTGTGTTCTCTATATGGAAACCTTGTGGCTGAATAGTCAGAGACAGTATTGTGACCTTAAACTGATAACTAAAAGATAAATAGAATCAGCTAGCCTGGAAGATAATCCCTTCAATACGTGTCAGCAAAAGCCCCAAATATGATTAGGAATATGTTTGCTACAGCAAAAAGTTAATGTCCTCACAAACTGAAGTCATCTTTAAGGAAAAATCTCAATGTTCATTTGAAAAATATATTTTTGCTATGATAGAAGATATTTTGAACATATTTAACACTAAGAAAATGCTTTACTCATGGACATTTGGGGAAAAAAGAAAATGCATTACTTGAATAAGCAGTAACATAAGAGAATTTGACTTTAATGTAGCAAGCATAGCAAACTAGTGCTGTCCCTGCGAAATATTTACCTTGACAGGTTGTATGCAAGGAAAACAGACGTTTCCATCGCAAACATAATTTTGATGAACTCCTCTTGGAATTTTATCCAGGGTCTTTGATAGATCATCATTTAATGGTGATCTAGATTTTTTGAAAAAAAATATAGGGTATTTGAAAAATATAGCGTTGGTATGTGGTTCCCATGTTTATACATGTTTTTAATATACAAAACATAGAATGCCCTTAATGTAATAAAATATATTTTTGTGTCTTCAAAACAAATCTCAAAGATCCTTCACAAAACTTTTCTTAGTAATCAACATATCCTTGAAGATGATTGATAGATAGATAGATAGATAGATAGATAGATAGATAGATTTATAACTTGTGCAAAAGCCTCCCTTGAAGGGCACTAATTATTTGGAAATTGGGTACACCAGCTCTGCTATGCAAGTTTTGAAAAACAACCGAGAACCACTAATTTCTGATAAAATTCAGGTTGGCAGGTGATAATAACCTAGTATATACAGAAAAATCCTATATTATTTTTAAATTTTTAACCTACTATTTTTGTTGAGTAAGTCAATTATATATGAAAGTTATAAAATGACTAACACCTGGGCATTATGCTGACACATAAATTATTTAAATGTATATTAATTGTCCTTTTTCTTTGACTATAGATACATTGATTACCAGACTTTTATATTTGGCTCATTCACACCAACTTCATCATTTTTTTAAAAATTAACTCAGTTTGTTAAGAGTTAATAAAGCATATAATTTGTTTACCTGGAAGCAACAATTTCATTTCTTTTCATACTCACAATGTATTGGATTGTTTGATGTTTAGTTGAATTATGCAATTATAGGATCATGTACAATAGAATACATAGGTTTAGGAATAAGTAAAACTGACTGTTAGAAAGTATTCAACTAAAATTATAGCAATCATAAAGTGGGGTGTCCTTAGCCTATCAGCTACAAGGATACAGTATGTTATGAATAGTTGCCAATATGTTTTATAGATAACATACTCAATCCAGTAGGCTTCAGAAATGAAATAGTACATCCACCGATAAAAATGGAACTTAGTTAGAGCTTCTCCTGCATCAAAATAGCTATTCAGAATAATGTTGTATCTGCAGGTATGAGAAATTCTTTTTTTTTTTTTTTTTGATGGAGTCTTGCTCTGTCGCCCAGGTTGCAGTGCAGTGGCATGATCTCACCTCACTGCAACCTCCACCTCCCAGGTTCAGGTGATTCTCCTGCCTCTGCCTCCCGAGTAGCGGGGACTACAGGCACACCCCACCACACCTGGCTAATTTTTGCATTTTTAGTAGAGACAGGGTTTCATCATGTTGGCCAGGCTGGTCTTCAACCCCTGATCTCAAGAGATCTGCCTCCCTCTCCCTCCCAGTGTAATCACGCTGGGATTACAGGCGTGATCCACCGTACCCAGCCCACAGGTGTGATAAATTCTGATGTGAATAGCATATATATAACTAAAATGTTAAATTTTATTTTGCATTTTTTTCAGTATTTGAAGGTTATTTACAATAAATTTGGCAAACTATATTCAGTCTTTGATGATTTGTCAGAGTCAATATATAAAGTCATCATTTCTGTGCCTCAATTTCCTCATCTGGACTGGGATTGATAATAGTCCCTACTCTACAGGTTGCTGGAAGGATTCAGTGAGTTAATATATGAAGTATCTAGAGCAGTGCCTGGCACATAATGAGTGCCAGGGCTCCCCTGTTGTACCCTCTGTTGTTCTACAGTGTACAGCCTGTACAGCTGTGTGCAGCAGCCTTGGAGAGTGCTATGTAATTGTTAGCTACTATTTCAATTGTTACAGTCGTGAAAAGTAGAAGTAAAGAGCTTATGTAACTTACTCACAGTCGCAGAGCTGATAAGTGGGAGATCAGATTCCAACTTATATGTATAATGCTGTATTACTTGCCTTTGGAGGTGAATTACATGAAAAAGGTCAACACAACCTTGCACTTGCTACCTTCTATATTCGGCATTAAAGCCAATTCTGATGACCGGAATTGGGCTTAAATGTCTGCTACCCTCTACCCCAAAAAAGATTGAAGTGCTTACTTTGCCATTTATGTAGAGAATAACAAGTCTACAGGAGAGCTGAGGACATTTTTCAGATCCTAACTAAGCATACCAGATTGCAGGTACACTTACTGTGAAGGATGCCAACTGCTGTGGGGGGTATTTGATACTGTAGTTTGATATTCTATAGTCTATTTATATATGGTTGAAAGTCATTTTGCAAGTTAACTAAGTCAGATATAGTTTCGGAATTCAAAAATGAGAACATTTTAAACAGTTTTTTAGTTCACCTGTATTTAGATAATGCTACTTTTACAAAGGGCCATTGTCATTTTAGTATATTATGATCTGTTTTTGTATTTTTTGAAATGGATACTAATGAGAAACTCCTCTCTAATCTCAAGGTTTATTGCTCAATATTTTTAAAGCTTTTGTTGTCATATGTTCTTGCCAAACTTTAGCCCTTTGTGCATTTCTCTTTTTTTCCTATTTACCCTAAAGTAGAGCCTCATTTTTTACCTTTCAACTTCCTCTTAGGCAGCTTTCAGAATATAAAGCACCATCTTTCACCCACAAATTCTCTCATTAAATAAAGCATTGTTTTATCACATAAACTCTGTTTGCTAGTGTAGGATTTTTTTCCCTCATAGATGACTTCTATGTATCCCAATGCTCAATTTACCCTTTGTTCACACAATACTATAGTTATTTTTAAAGATTTTCTTCTTACTTTTTTTTTCTACTTTTTAAGATTCCTTTTCGCAAGTTCCTGTGTGTTTACTATAATGGGAGCCGAATAATGAATTTCTAATTATTTCTCTTCGGAACTTCACCTCCTGAAGAGATCCTAATAGAGAGTGATCTAGTCTAAATCAGGCAGCAGAACAAGAAAGAGGCAGAACAAATTTCTTAACTAATCCAATTACTGGATGATTCTGGAAACCAGGCTCCACCAGTACCTTGACAATATCACCATGGAAATTCATAAAAGGACAGGATTTTTCAACTAATATTGCAGTATCTTGTGTGAGGGAATGAAACCTTCACATGGTGATACTTATAAAATTTCAGCGGAACCTAGGATGGCTACTTGAGACTTTTTATTTCTAGTTCATTGGGATGTGCTAAAATAAGCCTCTGGCAAGTCAAATTTAACTACGATAGGAATCCCTCAAAACACTGAAATTATATTTCTCTAGGTGATTCATATTTCCTGGGAGAGGTAATATTTTACCCGGAAGGTCTTATCTCCCATCAGTGGCCTCTCTTAGGAGACCATGGGCCTCCAGAATCCCATAACCACCCCCGCACACAGATTTTTCAGATTTGGAGGTTACCAGACCTGGGAAAGGCATGATCACTTGTAGTTTCTCTGCATCATATCCACATTTTTAATAAACAAATTATTCTTTAAACTCTATTCCTACTGAGGCTTTGACCATTAAAAGCTGGTTTCGGAGCAAAACTCGCTTAGAATCCTGGCTTCAGGATTTACTAGCTTCAGGGTTCATTTCAATTATTTACCAGGATTTAATAACCTTGAGTAAGTTACTTAGCCTCTTTGTCACCTGCTTCATCTGAAAACAAAAATAGTCAAACTTTCCTTTCTTTGACTGAATGAGAATTAAATGAGATTATATAGGTAAAATGTTTGACATATTTTTGATACGTAAGTACTTATTTCATGTAACTTCTTGCCTCTCTTTATCCATTTATATGATTAATATGCCATGAAGAAATAATGAGACAAGGAAGATTTTGTCAAGGAAGGACAAGTTTAAAAGGCCTTGTTATCCTCCACTACAATTATGAATATGATTAGTTAAGTCTTTTTATATTTACTTCAAACCAATTGTTTTATTATAATCTCAATCTTTTTTTTTTTTTTTTTTTTTTCTGAGACGGAGTCTCGCTTTGCCGCCCAGGCTGGAGTGCAGTGGTGTGATCTCCACTCACTGCAAGCTTCACGCCATTCTCCTGCCTCAGCCTCCCGAGTAGCTGGGACTACAGGCGCCCGCCACCACGCCCGGCTAATTTTTTGTATTTTTAGAAGAGACGGAGTTTCACCGTGTTAGCCAGGATGGTCTCAATCTCCCAACCTCGTGATCCGCCCGCCTCAGCCTCCCAAAGTGCTGGGATTACAGGCATGAGCCAATCTTTAGGACTAAGATGGCGTGTTTGCGTGTCCGCGTGTGCATGTGCAACAAAGAAAAAGAATACGAGTGTATATGTTTGTGCGTCTAACAGATTGTTACATTACAAAAAGAAAGCTTTTTGTAACAGTTCAAACTAATAGAAAAACAGAGTAAAAAGCAACAGTTTCCCTTCGCCCCAAATCATTCCACTTCCCTCTCCAGAGGTCACTGTTGTTCAATTTTGGTGCATGTGCACACACACACAAACACACACACTCCTATTCACAACAGTAAAGCCTCATAATCTTCTGTTGTTTTAATGTGGCGAGGTATATGAATAAGATCCTACAACCTAAGTTGTTGTGTCTTGCTTTTTTCGCTGGATAATTATTATTTCTATTTCGGAGAACATAGAGAAATGTTCTTGTTATAGTATTCCACAAAAATGGATATTTAATAATATATTTTATATGCCTCTACATATGTGTATTTCTTCAGTTTCTCACTGATAAAGGGTTCTTTAAAATATTGCTTTGTGCAAATGTGTAATTTTCTGCAGTGTAAATTAATAGAAGTGAAATTCTTGGGTAAAAGGATATGCATACTTTAATTTTTGATTGACACTTCCAAATCGTCTTTTTAAAATTCTCTCAAATTATATTTCTAATATTAGTGTAGGAATGTAATAATGTTCTCATATTTTTGAATAATAAATATAATCAGTATTTTAATTTGTGTCCATTGGCATGAAAAATGATATCTTTTATATTTTAAATTACATTTGATTATTTTGATATATTTGTGGACTAATTGTATTTATTCTTCTAGGAAATCCATATTCATGTCTTTGTCCTCATTTTGGACAGTAGTCATATTAGTACTAATTTATGGAAGACCTTTACATGTTACAAATACATATTTTTTTCATTATGTTGCAAAACTTTCCCCACCTATTGCTTATTTAACTTTTGACACTGTTTCTGGTGTCTTTTGGTGCTAACATTTTAAATTCTTATATATTCAGATTTGCCTATCTTTTTTTAGACTTCTGAGCTGCATATTTTGTTTATAAAAATAACTCTCCAGAGTTGTTTTTTTTCCAATTTGTCCTACATAAATTCACTTTGAAACTATAAAATAATTTCCTAAAAACAATTCTGTAGCCTTTCCTATTTTTTCTCCTGTCTAGTGAAAGAGTGGTATAGGAAAAAAAGGAAACAAACTAAGAGTCTGTGCTGTTACGTAACAGGTCTTTGATTATATTTATTTAATAAATGGAATGTGTTGTGCTCTATTGCCAAACAGCCAAGAATGTGTTATTAGCCTTTAAATTGACATGATCTTGATAAATCATTCCATATTTGTGTTATTTACTTCAAAATTGTTCATATCTTGATTTTAAAACATGATTTTCCAACTGAACTATTTGCTCAAAAACAGTCTTTTATAAACCTCTAGTGTTTTAGAGATATTATATTATAAAGATAATATTAGAGGTTACCTTAAGCAAATGAATGTGGGTGAGTAGCAAGTGGAAAATTTCAGAGCTCCTCTTTGACTGCCTTTTTCAACTGCTAAATAGTCTCTTAGGCATCTTTGCAAAAACTGCTGGACTCCTCAGAGACTTCTATGACATGATCTGCTAAATCAGTGATCTCCAAAGTCAGTACTAAGGGTGATCTAGTTGGGGTCTGAAAATCAAATATTAGAACTTTAGTTCATGTCCAACACTAATAATATGATTTTTATCTCTTTGCATGCAGATAAAATATTAGTGCAAATACAGGTATATATATGTATGGAAATATATATAGGGATGTATATATATACATATATAGGGATACAAATATATATATATAGGAATGTGTAATTTTTAAATATCATTTTTAGTTATACAAATCTATTTACTTGAATAACTACTATATACCCACTTCTGTGTCAAGTACTACAAAATTTAAAAACCAACAATATATGTAATGTATGCTCTCTGCAGTGAAGGAGCCCATATATAATATGGAAAATAATTTTTACCTAGCTAAAAACAGAGACCCCAGGGTATATAGGTAAAGTGAATGGTTTAAAAGTGTTTAAGGGTTGCTGAACAGACAGAGACCAGTGCAGGCCAACCTAGTGTGGGAGATTTAAAGAGGCGTTGAACTTGGTATAAATCTTAAAATGTCAAGAATATTCAGAAAGGAAAATAGGACCGAGAAGGATAAACGAACTATCAGTAGCAGAAGCCAGGTGGCAGGGATATACTTGAAAATGCCAGAGAACAGAAATTGAATGTTTAACATTAGTTATCTTCAGGATAAGTATAGACATAACAAAGAACAGAGAATAAAGATCAGTGACTCAGCCTCACTTAAAAAAAAAAAAAATGTCTTCATTAAAAAAAAAAAAAATCATGTCACTTGAAATCCCAATCTCAGTTGCATGGAAAGAGACTTACATTTTCCTTGAATTTACATGTCATTCAGGTCCTAAGAAAGATGTTTAAGGACACAGGCTGCAATCAGTACCACTTTCTTCTCTTGGAGGTGTTGATTCATAGGGCCTAATTTAAGGGACTAGACTGGAGAAGGGAGGTAAGCTAGATAATACCAAGCATCAATATAAGTGTTTCTAATTTGGGTTTGGAAGACAACATTTTACTGAAGCTTTGAACTAAGAATAGAGCTAAATTCATCTGTCATAGCTTTGATTATCTGAGATAAAGTTAATAAAGGCAAAAACTAGGGTTATAATACAAGAAGTAAATACATTTTACTTATAATTATCTTATGATTTTTTAGGACTTAATTTAGTAAATGAAGGACTACCTGATGGAATCTTGTAGAAGAAAAGGAAAATACCATGAATCATTATGTCTAGTTCTCTGTGCTAATATTGCTTGAAGTTGATCTCAAATCTTACCATCTCTGTAAGCTCTTTGTTAACAATAACAATCGATAAAAAGCTGACTGCTTCTCTGCCTATAGCATTTAATTGTCTTCTGCATTGCTATGGCACTTCAGTGGGTTTCTAGTTTCAAAACATGTGGGTAGTTCTATAACGAAATTGATTTCAAGCTCCATGGGAGCAGGAACTGGGTCATAACAGCACCCCATGTGCTTTCTCTCCTTTGCCCTACCATTGAAAAGTTTCATCTCTTAGTCTGTGAATGTTTTGTACATATGCTAAATAAACCTGAGACAGAAGATGCTGATGCCTGTGCCTTTGTGTATCCTGTGTTAAAACAACTTTAGCTTTCTTATTCCAAGAAACCAGAAGCTTCCTAAAAATGCCAAGTAGATGTTAAACAATGTATGTAAACCACCACTCAAAATTACTAACACTATCTTGGGAAAGAGGTAGCAATAGATAATCTAATAATAAAATAATAAAAATAATAAAATTAGACTTGCCCTAAACAAAATGTACGAGACCTACACATTCTCCTCAGAAAATATAAGGCAGTTATGTAGGTGAAAAAAAATACTAGACCTTTTTGATATTAGATATAAGTTTCGAGGAAACTTTCAAGGGATCAAAAACCTGTGCTATGTTCTAAGAAAGCTGATTATTAAATATAAGATTATTGATTATTAAAGAAAAGAGCTGGAGAAGAATAAAATACAGAACATCCTTTCTAGATGTGAAGAAAAAGAAATCTCTTCATTTAGAAAAAGCTATACTGTTTAAGGGGCAGTAATGAACATGTAAATATTCATTTTTGAATGTATCATGTAAACATTTTAAGGAGAAAAACAAAAGGCTTTATAATCACTTGCTCTACAGGCACTTGCCCTCTCTTTAAACCCCATCATCAATCTGTAAGAGTGATTGGAATTGGATTGAACATATGGATCTGGTCCAGATGAATATTTTTAAATGGAGCTTAGAAAAAGAGGTGAGAACCACCATTTAATCTTTTTAAAGTCTGAACAAATTGTGAAATATATGTGTTTGAGAGTAAGTAACAAATAGAATCAGACAGTGTTTATGGAAGAGATAAAGGAGCATTTCATAAAATATTTATCCTCTACAGATGTACAACTGAGGAAGTTTATATGAATTTAGAGGTTTCCAAACCCGGCTGCATCTGAATCACCTGGAAAGATGCTTTTAGAACACCCATTCCTGGCTGCATCCAGGAAATCATAATTACAAGGGTGGAGCACTGAGCTGCCTTTTAAAAAGTTCCTAGATGATTCAGGTGAAGCTGGTTCAATGAGCAGCACTCATGAACTATTGCAACTAACATATCCCAAGAGGCAGATTCCCAGTGGAGCCCCTCTACCAACACATTGTCAAACCCAGAACGTTACCCATATGGAACTTAAATCTTCATATGGGCCCACTTTTCTCTCTAAAGCTTAGGCTTCCCTAATTAGGAAACAGAGATGTCGGACACAGTCTTCTAAGTTCTCTGACCTCATAGATTACTAAAATTGAGAGTAACTAATCTTTTAATTCCCAGAATCTTTGTTTGACATATAAAGAAATTGAGGAACAGATCATTATAAATATGTCAGCGGTCAGGTACCAAATCAGTGACCTGAAATTTAAATCTTCACCTTAACGGCCTGTGATCTTTTTGCATCAATGTAAATGACAATCAATCTGTACAAAATGTTACAGTAGATTTTGAGTGGCGTATGGAATAAAAAGTATAAGGCATAATATTAGTTTGGCGCAAAAGTAATTGCAGTTTTTCCCATTACTTTCAATAACATGACATAGAAATAACAACATCCTAATATAATGACAAAGTAGAAAATATGATTTTAAGTATTCTACTTGGCTTTCTTCTCTTACCTATGTGGTATGGTCTCATGGAATGACATAGCATTTCTGCATTTTTTTTTTCTATAAAATGTTTTCCTAAGTCAGGTTCACATGATTACTCTACTTGTCTTAATATAAGTCCTTGGAAATGGATGCTACACCACACATTTACCCTCTATATGTGGATTATATAAAATCTGCCACCAGGTCACTTTTGTTCTCTTTTGATTAATGACTAATATCATGAAAATGGATTGCTTTCATTATGGTTCCAATGTTGACCACACACAAATTTAAAAGCTATACTATGAAATAGTTCAGATATTCCTGCTTGTAAATCCATAAAGCACCTACTACATTATTTTGATGTGATTATTTTTTACATACAGAAGACACTTACAGCCACTAATGTTCTTCTTAGGCAGTCACCAGGAGGCATTTTGACTTTGGATAAGCAGTTAACACCCTAACTCCATATCACTTTCTACTTCCTCATTCAATATTCTGGGAGTGTCAGCTCCCACTATGTAGGTCTGGTAATGGTCTCTGGAAGGTGATTTGGTCTGTACTATTGTTTATTGAATGATCGTCTAGCTAATAGCTATGCTGTTGCAAATTATAACTATATCCACCTCTGAGACTATGGAGCAAAGTTCTATTAAAATGCCAATATTTTATATCCCATTCAACTGCTAAAATTTCTCTGGCAAATGAAACTCAGAAATATTTAAAAGACAAACCTAGGTTTCCTAACCATCAGGAATCTACATTTAATGACTGAAGGCAGGTGTGACAGAATTTTGAAAATAAGGGCTTCCTGAAGAAACCGCTTTCTGTGTTGAAATGAGCTTGCATTCATCTCCTTATGTGCCTTCCTAATAAAAACAATGACAGGAGTTTGTGTTTCTATTATTCTCAGTTGCTATGACTGCAACTGAAGTTTATTGGTAGGCTGCTTCACAAATGTCTGTTGTTGAGGAGCTTATAAAATCATGTGGCACACAAACCACATCGCTCATACAATCAGCTATGATACATCATGTTCTGGAGAAAGAATAGAGTTATGTTAGGTTCTCTTAATTTGAATTTTGCCTATAATTTAAAATGTAAAAATATCCGTTTCTATCTCTGTACCTCTGGATGCCGTCCCATTTGTTGGCCTGATTTATTTCTGAATGAACATTGAGGGTTTATTTGGCATCGATTTAGTCCCTTCCTAATACAATTAAAGTGTCAGGTATTATTAATTTTAGTTTTAAAAGTGACAGATACTTGAGACCAGATTGATTCTTGAGGACACTCTGGTGGAAGTGATGCAGTCTACTCAGACACCATTTTTAGAAAGTTGATTATTACCAGTTCCGACCCAGTTGCACAACAAATTTTCACTATAATTTTTGAATTAGGCCACCATTTCGGAAGCTCATTATATTAATATAATTTGAGAGTTCATAAAGACAACTGATTTAAATATAAATATATATATTTATTTATTTATTTCTAGAGACAGGCATCTTGCTATGTTGCATGGTCTGGTCTCAAACTACTGGGTTTAAGCAATCCTTTGGCCTGAGCCTCTCTAGTAGCTGGGACTACAGGTGTGTGCTCTACACTGCACTGAGAAAACTGATTTTATTTGAGAAGAACAAATCTACATTACAGCCTTTATAGAGTTCATTAAACAAAACAGTAATTTATCTGTATGTGCTGATATGCAGGAAAATTGCACTTGTAAATCGAATACCCATGGGGGAGAAAGAAATGATCATTAAGTATCTATATACTGAGCACCTTTCTTACTAAATATTTACATTTACCAATACTATGTATACAGCCTAATGTCAGCATTAACTACAAATCCTTTTTCCTAAAGATTTTGGTAAATCTCAGGACAAAATTATAGCCCCAACCTTGCCTTTCTATGGGAAGAAAATGGACTTTCATTTTACTCCCAGAAGGGAACTCACTCTATTCCAGGAGCCACCCTGCACTACCAGTTATTGTTAAAATAATGAAAGAATGACATCATTGGGACTACAGGGACTAGGGGTAGCGATACTATGTTTACGTGGACAGAAGCGATTTAGATGGCCCAATGCCTGGCTAGATGCGAAAGGTAATAAACACACTGGTTTTCCACCTCCATGCACCAAGAAGGTTATTAAGACACTTTTAAAGCTGTTACACTGAATATTTTTTCTAGCAAATATATGAATGCAATATAATTGTACTTTTTACACAATAAAGAATTTATTTTAGAAATAAAATAATTGATGGTGTACCAAAGGCAGCATAGATTGGGAATGCAAATAAGTTTCAAAATGTTGGATACACCTATCCTGTTTCACTCGTCTCAGCATATCCCTGTGACTGTGTTGGAGAAGTCTCAGAAGTCTCAATTTGAGGTTTTTGAGAATATAAAGCTTGGGATACATGGCACCCCTATCTGTTCTGGTATAGATTAAAAAAATTGAGACCTTATTTTAACAGACCAGTTTTCAATTGATAAAAAGGCAGAAAATGGATTTTAATCTTCAAACCTCAGTTGTGAAAAATTAGTCAGGGTCAGGCAAGTGTCTATTTTGTTTCTGCCTGTGGTCTCTGTTGTTGTTTGTGTTTTTCTTGTTTTTTTCCATTATATTAGTTGACATTTGTCTAGTTGTTTTCTTGGATTGGTTTTGACTGCTAATTAAGAGACTACTCCATTGTTTAATATTTCATCTTAAAATAAATACACCTGCTTCATTTCTGTTGCTTCACTATGTATCCATTTCCCTACTGAGCTATGAATCACAATATATGTGGGGATTATATACACACAGACTTTTCCAGTGGTTAGATAAACAGATAGATAGATAGACAGATAATGCAGTTTGCAGATATGTCAGACGCTACCACTGCATAACTACCTTCCTGTGGCAGAACAGGTATTATAAATAGCTGCAGCTCTGGGGGAAAGAGAACATCTAGGTGGATTGAATGTCGATTGGAAAAATCTCCCTTCTTTTTACAAGTACTTTAGGTATGTTCCTTTTGCCTTAAGTTCAAATTGCCTCACTCTCCTGCCCCTTTCGCCCTCCTTGGACTCTCTTAGTTTCCATCCTGCTCCATGCATTCATCTCGGTTTTAACCTTATATTGCTACTTCCAAGGGATGTTGCTGTTTATCTGCTTTTGCCCCTTAATGTGCGTTGCAGTGGAAACTGGGAATCTTCAGTCATTAAGCTGCAGTGGTCTTGAAATACTGGTGAAATATTAGTACTTTGATAAGAAAAACTGCAGAACAGAGTTTGGACATTTTAAACATATACTAAATATCTGAACAGATGTAGATTTGTTTGAGATATATTTATCTTTCATGCTTAATCTTCACTGCATGGATACATTGCCTATTTGTTTAGATAAGAACATGCTATTTATAGCAAATATGAATGGAGAAATCATGCAAGTTATTTTTAACTTATCTAAGTTTAGTATTTTTATTGTGTGTCTTAGATGCTATCAACATTTAGTAAATCTTGAAAATATTAACAAAGGACAAAGTGTTTGATATGCTTTATAATTTCAGTGATAATAATTAAGAGAGCACATGAAATTATATTAAAATGAAAATTCTTAGGAGATATCGATGACTGCTCCCTAGCATAATATCGATTAAATTTTGGGGAAAGGTATTCCCGTGAGAAACTGGTTGAATGAAATCACTTGAAGGCAGCTACAGGGATATTACAAACTTTTCATAAACAGGAATTGTTCATCTCCTATAGTGTTTACATGTTTCTGAAAATTAACATTTTGCAAAGTTTTAAACTGGAATTAAGGGCACATAAGGGACCACTTGGGGGCATGGGTGTGTGAAGGACTCTGGCTGCAAATGACTGAATACATACCTAATTACAAGCTTCTTTTGTGTAAATCTAAGATTTTGGGGGACACTAAACAGTGTAACATGAAAAACATGGTTTTATTGTTATGTTTGGCATCAAATGAACTCTAATTGCTTGCTACCACGTAATACAGATATATTGATTATCCAATTATTTAAAGAATACCTATATACACTAAATAACAGAATGTAAAGGACATAAAAAAGTGTGAATATACCTCAAGTTAAATAATATAAATTGCCCAATATGAACAACAGATAGACATAAACTGCAAAAATAAAAACATTTCTGGGACAATATCAAAAACTTAACATGTGTGTCATCAGAATTCCAAAAGATAAATAAAAGGGTTGTATTGAAAAAGTATTGGAAGAAATTGTGATTGAAAAATTTCTGATTATTGCAGAAAACTTAAGCCAACAAATTAACAAAGTTGAATGAACCCAAAATAACACATACCCAACTATATCCACCACAAAACATATCCTTGTCAAACTTCTGAACACCAAACCCAAAGAAAGTTTTGAAAAGAGCCAGAGAGAAATGATCCATTACCCATAAAGAAATAGCAATTGGAATGGCAGCATATTTCAAAACAAATGCCATAGAACCCAAAAGGAAGTAGTACAATATCTTTCAACTGTTAGAAAAGAAAAGCAAGAAGAAAGAAAGAAAGACAGAAAAATAAAGAAAGAAAGAAAGAAAGAAAGAAAGAAAGAGAAAGAAAAAGAAAGGAAGGAAGGAAGGAAAAAGGAAGGAAGGAAGGAAGGAAGTGAGGGAGGGAGGGAGGGAGGGAGGGAGGATGGGAGGGAGGGAGGGAGGAGAACTGCCAACCTAGAATTCTATATAATTCAGAAATTAAGGAGAAATTCTATTTCATTCCAGAACATACACATCATACCAATGTCAAATACAAACTTGTGATATTGTACTATAGTTAAGATATAACGATTGGGGGAAACTGGGTAAAGTGTAAGTGAAAACTATGGTATCATCTTTGCAATTTCCTACGACTCCATGACTACTTCAGTTTTTAAGTTTTTTGTATTAAATCAATTAGATTTGGCCCCAAATTAGGTTTTAGAGGTATTGCCACCATGTCATATGGGATCGACTACTGTGGTTAGCAAAAGTACAGTTTCCAAATCCATAAGTCTTATGTATTTTCTTAAGTGCCCAACCTCCCCAGGAATATTTCTAAGAAAAATTGCTTTTTGCTTATTAAAAAGGATTATACATAATTGGTCCCCTAAACACTATCAAGACTGATTACTAGGTAAAATCTAAAATCCAGCTTATAAAAATTGCTCATGCAAAGTACTAATTTTTACTTTTTAAGTGTATATTTGAAAAGCAAGTGCTAATCTTTGCATAGTCATTTTAATTGTATTTTGAAAACAGGGTAGATTTGAAATAGCCATAGCTATTCCCAACCTAATAATTTTAGAAACTAATAATATTTAGTCTGAATTTAGTACTATAAACGTGCATTTTTTCAAAAATAGTGGATTATTTAATACTGCTCCTGACAGTACTGTATTGCTGTATCACAGCCAGTATGCAACAAACCTGTGACTGATCAAAATGCTGCACAGCTATGGTGACCATTTCACAGACTTAAGACCACTTTATATTGAGGGGTGGTCCCCAAGGTACCCACAGAAGAAGATTCCTAAAGCATCTCTTGGAGAGAATGTGTATCAAGTGAAAGACCAGAGACAAAGTGGTATCATGAAAGAGTGTTTAATGGAATAGTGGTTTCCTGAATGTTAAAACAACAACAAAAAACCTGAGTAGGAAAGCTGGAAAACACAAATAAATGCTTTTCTGATCTTAGATGCATTTTCTAACTTCAATTATTGGAGTATTCGGTGGATCATTGCAATAAGGAGCTAATTGTCTTACATAGCTGTAACTGAACGTCTGATATACAAGAACCTCAGGGACGCAACTCAGTGCAAATACATGAATGAAGTATATTTGCTTCCTTCATCCCTGTCCATGTGATTTTATCTAATACAGATGTTAGTACTTTTGTTACTACTATGGTAGAACCCAATTAAAGAATATGTTATTCAGATTACAATCTGATTTAATGAAGTGGAGGAAATAATTGGTGCACCTATTTTAAAATACATTTTGTAGAATGCTATATATTCTTATTATCATGTGGAAGTCAGTGGCAAATAGCTTATGTGAGCCTACTGAATTTTTAAATGGTCTGTTAATAAAGCATTTTTGACTGATATACATGTATATGTTTAGCAAAAATATACAGAGATATATTTAAAATCCTTAGATCAAAGGGCTGACCACTTTCATAAATGTTGAGCATAGAACATTATGATTTCTTAAGACTAAATTTCAGTGAAAATAGCATAGTCAGTGAACTTGACCTCCTTTAAATATTTAATATTTGTCTTAATTCACTGCAAAAGAAATCGACAGCATATTTAGGACACATTTAGAAACCACATTTAAATATGGTGAGAGAGTTGAAATATTTTGCAAAGCCAAATGCCAAACCAAGGAAGGACTGGGAAATAATTTGACATTACCTTCCAAGTTAAAATACTGTATTGTACCATCCAGCTTTTGTGTGAGAAATGCATATGAGTATAGTCTTCTTTGAGAAATAGCTGTATATCAAAGTGCAGGTTGGATATAAACATATATAACTCTCTGTAGGGTGTTATGAGAGACTTCCAGGCAAGCTGCTACACTGGCACTGAGGTTTTCCCTCTAGTGGGAATCAGATAGTATTAACACTCAAACTGTTTCCCCAAGTTCACTTTTAAGTCAGTTAAAAAAAATGTGTTTAACTTAGCAATACATAGATATAGTTTAAAAATAAAGCAACAAAATGTATAATGTAAAACACAAGTCTTCTCTACCTCTACAGCCAAGATGTATACCCCAAAGAAGCAATAACTTAACTCCTTTAGTTTACTTTCATTTTCTAAATAGCTTGTGTAAAATGTTTTTTCCTACGTTTGTTTCTCCAGTTGTGGGTGTAATAAACTGACTTTCTGATCAGAATATGGGAATTCGGCTGTCTTATACATGCCCCCTCTCTTTTCCCCTCCTCTCCTTCCAACATAGTTATTTTACTTTTACATTTAAATAAATATTCAGTATTAAGAGTATTAAAATAAATAAGTTTTCACAGTTGAGACATACTAGATGTTCACTTCATTATGTGCAACTTTTAAATTTCTATTCTAGTTAACAATACCCTATTTTTTCTGTTGCCTTCCTTTCCTATGAAGTTATCAATAATTCCCAAACCCTATGACAGTGCTCCAAATGTGATCTAGCATATTAAAAGCATAAGAACATCATATTTGAAAACTAAAATCAGTCCAAAACTCAAAGTAAAAGACAAAACTACAAAACCTCTAGAATAAAATGGGGTAATTTTCATGACCTCAGATATGGCAATAATTTCTTAGGTATGACACCAGAAGTATGTGACAAAAAAGAAAAATAGATAAATTAGACTTCATCAAAACTTAAACGTTTTTCACTTCAAATGACATCATAAGTAAACTGAAAAATCAACCCAGTGAATGTCAACAAATAATTGTGTATTATATATGTGATAAGGGAGATGTTTTTAATATACACCATCTTACAACTCAATAAGACAAATAGTAAAATTTTTTAAATTGACAAAGAATATTATGCTTCGAAGCAGATACATAAATGCCAATGAGCACATGAAAATATACTCAGCATCATTAGTCATCAGGGATACGCACATCTAAATCACACCAAGATACCACTTCATATTCTCTGGAATGGCAATAATAAAAAAGGCAGACTATAGCAAATATTGATGAGATATGGAAACATTAGAACCCTCTTTTACTGTTAACGGAAATGTAAAATGGTACAGTCACGTTGGAAAACAGTCTGACAGTTCCTCAAAGTTTAAACATGGAGTTACCATTTGACCCAGCAATTCTACTCCTAGGTATGTACCCAAAAGAAATGAAAATACATGTAAGCGAAGATTTATACACAAATGTTCCTAGCAAGATTATTAATAATAGGCAGGAGGTGGAAATAATCCAAATATTCATCAACGGATGAATGGATTAACAAAACGTGGTATGGAATATCTATAAAATGAAATATTATTTAGCCAAAAAATTTCTTTTACATGCTACAACATAAACCTTGAAAACATTATTCTTGGACCCCACCTTTTCCTGTTTTGACACATCCTCCACTGTTTTGATGAAGCATAATCTTGGGTAGATTGCTGAGAATGAATACATGGAAGATACATTTTAAAAACATTTGTATATTTTTAAAATGGTTCATTTTATCCTAATATTTAATGGACAGTTTAGCTGAGAATAAAATTATAGGTTTGGTGCCATTCTTATTCAAAATTGTGAGACAAATTGCTTCATTGTATTTCAGTTTTCAATGATATGATTGAAACTTTCAATTATGGTTTTAACCTGGTATACATTATTATTTTCCTGGGCTGGAAACTTTCAGAATCTTCCTTTATTCCTTGTATTGAAAAATATATTATGCTTTCTGTGCGTTTTATCATTCATTGGTGTGATTATTCTGGCCTTTATTGGCTTTTCTGTATATGAACTATGTCCTTCAATTCTGGGAAATATCCTTACAATTTTTCTTTGATGTTTATTCTCAATAATGACCTAACATTATTAGTTGGGATATTTTAATTTAGCAGAAATAAAATGCAAGAAGAAATATTAACTGAAACCTGCACAACACCTCAAGCTATCTATTAAAACTCTAGATATAGATTCGCTATAGGAATCTAGATATAGATTCTTTTTTTATTTTGTTTTAGGTTTTAAGTTCAGGGGCAGGTTTGTTACATAGGTAAACTTGTGTCATGTGTATGTGTTATACAGATTATTTCATCGCCCGGTATAATATTAAGCCTAGTATTCATTAGTTGTTTGTTTTCATCCTCTTCCTTCTCTCACCTTACACCCTCCAAAAGGCCCCAGTGTGTTTTGTTCCCCTCGATGTGCCCATGTGTTCTCATCATTTAGCTCCCACTTATAAGTGAGCACATGCAGTATTTGGTTTTCTGTCCCCGTGTTAGTTTGCTAAGGATAATAATGGCCTCCAGCTCCACTTATGTTCCTGCAAAAGACATGATCTGGTTCTTTTTTATGGCTGCATAGGTAGACTGGATAAGGAAAATGTGGTAGATATACACCATAGATAAAGATTCTTCAAATAATTTTATAGAAACTTCAAATAATTTTATTATTTTCTTTGATGTGAAGAGTGCTATTTTCAGAAATATTGTTATAATCATTTAAAATGTTAACTAAATCCGTCTTCTGTGGCTTTTTGTTTGTTTGAGACGGAGTCTTTTGCTCTGTCACCCAGGCTGGAGTGCAGTGGCGCGATCTCGGCTCACTGCAAGCTCTACTTCCGGGTTCACGTCATTCTCCTGCCTCAGCCTCCCAAGTAGCTGTTCTGTGACTTTTCTTAAGGAATATTAATTGGTCTGTGGATGTTTTAAGTTTGAGAAGCATTGCCATAACCAATGTTTCACTTTTTTCCAGGGATTGCGATGACCTTTAAATAAACGACAAGATATTGTTTTGCCTTTGACTTGTGGTAAGAATTACGTTTACATTTTAATAATGACTATTTGTCATTGAGAATGTTCCCAGGAGCTAAAATTAACATGTGTGGTGGACATAATCTCAGATGTAAATTAAATTCTTATCTAATTCCTAATACGACCAGCAAGTACATATCATGGAGTCACTGAATCGCAACAAAGAATTCTAAAATGCCAGCATCTGAGCCCTATATTTGATGCTGCTTAAACAGAAGATTAAACCCTCCCTCTCTGATACCATCTGATAATAGCTCACCTGGCTGGCTGACATTCTACTAAACCACAAAATTTCCTTCACTTTTTTTCTTGTTGACCTCATTCACATCCTGTATAAGAAGCAAAACGGTCACATCCTATTTGCCTCATAGTTTAAAAAAATACCATAAAATTCAACTAACAAAGGAATTCCAAATAGTCCAAAGACAATGTGAGATTTAGAAATTATTCTGTTTATTTTCTCATTACTGACATCCAGATCTTTCAGGTCAAATTATAGCCCTCCAAGAGCCTGTTTTGGTGACGGCATCTCAGAAAACTTGAATGTCCTACTGTAGATTTGGCTTGACCCTAATAGGGCCCAGAATTTGGAGTAAAAATGGGAGATCAGGAAGAACTCAAGATGCTGCAGAAGGCTTCAAGTTTTCCCAAAAAGGGAAAGTCATATGAAAAAGTTTAGCATTTCGAGTATCTGGAATAATTTATTCTAACCCCAGTACTGCACCAAGATGCAGCACAAGTTGCAAAACTTAACAAATTACATTATAACATGAGAAATAAAGATAGGGCATTATTCTTTCCCCTAATAGTAGTTATTTGTGGTCATTTTTCTTAATGCAATATGAGCTTCTGAACCTATTTTTTCTTGTAGAGTGGATCCTGACTCTAATAACCAATTAGAAAGCAATGGGACCCTTGCTGCTGTACGGCAATGACTAATGAATTCATGATCTGACTTCGTTTAACCATAGGGTATGCTGCAGTGCGTTCGGGATATGATAAAGTACATCTTTGCTGCTACATGCTTATGAGCACTCTCCAGCTTTTGTAGCCACTGAGAATGTTGGCAACGAAAATGCTTGAGATATACAGCTGCCAAACAAAGCCTTGCTGCTGGCCTGCACTGAGATAGGTTTCCTCCAGATGACAAACACTTACAGCTTGCTATTTAAATGTTGAATCAATAACTTAAAATCTAGTAAACACATACCATCTTTAGAAATATTGGGTCTGCACTGCCTTAGATGACAACAGGCTATCAAGCATCAGAAAACAAAAAGTGGCCATTATACAGAGGCTTTTCTTTCTCCCAACTCTTTGGCAGAAAGGAAAAGATGATGGAGGTTTGTCTCTCATTAGTCTCTTCATTTCCTTCTGACAAGATGGCTAATGGAAGTGGAAGTATGAGGGTAAAAAGCTTTCAAAGGCAGGTGGACTAGGGCTCATATTTTTTTAACTTGAGCCAGTCCCTTAACTTTTCTAAGCCTGTTTGTTCAGTTACAAAACTGATATGAAATTGCTGTTAAAGTACACCATGAGATAATGTAGGAAAAGAGACACTTCGGAGGGGCTCAACAAATGGTGGATTTTACAAGGAAAAGAAACAGGAGGATGGGGTGCAAAAAGCACTACACTAAGAATCAGAGGGTGCCCTGCTTTGTCAACGACCAGCTATGACACTGTATTTAGGTCACTTTACATCTCTGGCTTTTATTTGTCTTCTAATTAAGAAATTTAGGTGGTAAAGAAGAAAAATCCATCTAAACTAGTTCAACCCCAAAGGAATAACTATTATGCTTCCCTTTCTGAAGGATGGTAGGTACTACTATAACTTCACATTGATCTCATATTAAAGATGTGGCTACAATTTACCTGGCTGACATTCATATATAAAAATTATTTCAGTCATTGCAGGGCAAGAAATGTATATAACCAAGCCTTATATGGGGCTGGAAGTTGAAGGCCAGAAAGTCCAACAATTTATCTTATCCTGAGCTATTATGATGTCTTTATCGCCTCTACTTTCCTTTACATTTTTGCCTCATTCTTCCTCCTGTTCCTCCCTGCAGATTATTTTTCTTTGCTTACTCATCATGGGCATGTACACTCCATTATACCTTACTACTCCATACATTCACAGCATTTCAACTGCATCACCCAGTACAGACTGACCACAGTGCCAGTGTCTCTTTCTTCAGATTATTACAGGAGAAAAAACAGTTTATTCTTCTGTGTGTACTGGTTTCCCTTGAGTCAGCTGTTCATCTTTAATTTAATCAGCTATTGACAAAATGGAGATGATTTGTAGTATAGCGGTTTGCCTTGTAGGTGGAGTGAGTTAAACTAGAAAGAAAATTTGAATGCAAACGTTTATGTCTAGAACATTTTCTTCATATACATAATGAAAGAGATAGAGCCTTTAATGTCTAACATTGTTTATGGGTGACAACCCCAATTAAACCACATTGATTTTGTTGTTCTGCTGCTGCTACAACTTTTACTATAAAATTTGTAGCTCACAGGCTGGACATGGTGGCTTATGCCTGTAATCCCAGCACTTTGGGAGGGCGAGGTGGGTGGATCACTTGAGGTCAGGAGTTCTAGACCAGCCTGGCTAACATGGCAAAACCCCATCTCTACTAAAAATACAAAAATTAGCCAGGCATGTTGGTGGGCGCCTGTAATCCCAGCTACTTGAAAGGCTGAGGCAGGAGGAATCGTTTGAACCCAGGAGGTGGAGGTTGCATTGAGCCAAGATCACGCCACTGCACTCCAGCCTAGGCAAAATAGTGAGACTCAGGCTCAAAAAAAAAAAAAAAAAAAAAATTGAAGCTCACAAATTGAGTATTAGAAGAACATATTCACCTTGAAAAAAGTAAAACAACAAATAAAGTTAAATTTTACATTGACCACCATCCCTAATTTTCTTCTTCAGTGGTAACCACTATAATCATTTGCTATTTCTTCCCAGAACTTTTTCTACGCTTTTCCATACATATGTCTCTACCCAGGAAAAAAATGCATTAATTTTAAATTATTTTAAAATAGTGACATTATTATACTGTTTTGTAATTATCGTTTTTTACTGCTGTGTCTTGAAGGTATTCCATTGTAATAAATATACATTGTTTATTCCTCTTAAATTAGGCATATTATTCAGATTTAAGGTTGTACTCTAATTTATTTAACCTTTACCATAAAATCATATAATTTGTTTACAATTTTAAATGCTGCTGAAAATAATTTTCTCATATTAGCTTCTTTATGGCATGAATAAAAATTTCCCTAGAGTATATACTTCTGGGTGAAGTGGCTGGATTGATGTTTGTGTGCAATCCTCAAAATTGGTGGATATTGCCGTTTTGATCTCCAGTATGGCAGTATCAGTTTACACTCCCAAAAGCTGTATATGGAAGTTTCTGTTGCTCTACATCTTTACCAATACTTGGTGTTGTCCAATTTGTTAATTTCTTGCCTTTCGATGGGTTTGTAATAGCTTTTCATGGTTATTATATGCATTTGTATGGTGACCAGCAGGTAGCGAAGCACTTTCCCAATTAGAAAGGTAATCTCTGGACTGTGACAGAGTTGTCTTTTTCATCTAGCCACAGTCTAGCCAAGTCTATCCTACAGTCTGTTCTACTATACTGTGAGTCATTTAATATCCAATATAAACCCCTTTCTACTTAAATCGGTAGCTATAAATTCTGTTTTTTTGCATGTGAATACTGAACCACATCATTAATAAGGAAGTATGTGAGAATGGACATCTTTAGCACCTTGATGCTCAGACATAAACCTGTTCTATCTCTTTATTTTGGTCTTCTTTTAAAATTTTAATAAAGTACTTTTGGTTTCTCCATAAAATTCTTACACATACATTTATAATTATAAGTGTAATTATAGAACATATATATTGCTTATTACTCGGTGTATTAAAAGTTTGGTTCCAATGTGAATGAGGCTATTTTTATGTTCCCTTATATTTACTGATTAGATGCTGTTGTGCAGTAATGAGGATCTTTTGTTTGTTAGTGACAGAACCTACTCTCAAATTGGCCTCAACAAAAATAAGAAATGTATTAGTTTACTTTGCAAACATTGGATTCAGGACTGAAACAATGACATCAGGACTCAGAATCTTTCTATTGCTTGCATCAGTTTTCCATTATGTCATCTGTTTCAAGCAGGCTCTATGCTTGAGATAATAAAATGCCCATCAGTAGCTTCAGGGCAATATCTCAGCAGCAGAGGAAAACCAGCTGAAGGGAAGTTTCTCTTTCCCATCAGTCCTAGAGTAACTAGAAAGGCTTGCATGCTCCAGAGGCAGGTAGGGCAGGTAGATAGACCTGGGCAGGTAGATAGAGCACTGTGATTGGTCAGGTTCGACTTGATGACTGCCAGCACAGGGACTGGGGTAGGCTACTGTGAAAGGCCTAGAGGCCTGGAGTAACAGCAAAAGGAAATCGAGGTAAGGATTCTAAAAGTAGAAGAAATGGATGCCATGCAGGCAAAAAGTGTAGATGTCAACTACTAGCTATATAAGAATTCTGTTCATTTTTGATTGTTGATCTCTTCTACACCCATATTCCAAACTCTCTAATAGTTTTAGTATTTTTAGTTTCTTGAATGATTTTAGACAGATTATTATACCAATAAATAATACACTAATCTTTCCTTTTGAAAGCTTTTCCTTCATTTACTTTTATGGCATTATTCATTTGTCTAGGATCTCCAGTACGATGTAGAATAGCAAGGATATCAGTAGTGATATTTACTAGTAGTTTTAATGGGGATGCTTTTTATGATTATGATAATTGTTAACTTGATATTTGCTTTAACTCTTTGGTAGACATCTTTATTAAGATAAAAAAAACTCCTTAGATTAAAAGTTTTGTTTTTAAATGAATGATTGTTAGATTTTATCAGATGTTTTCTTTCTGATTTTTTTTTCTGCCTTCGAACATAAAACAAATTAAAGTGCTACCAGACTGCTACAACAAATCTTAACTTTTTGTAACATTTGCCTCAGATTTTTTTTTCAAGTGAAACATTGAAGATATAGTTAAAATCCTTGTGTAACTCTTCAAGTGCATAGCTATCTTTCTCTGATCATCAGTACAGTGGCTGGCTATAAAGAGAATTTACTGACCTTCTAAGCAGGGGGATTTTGCCCTTCTGATTGCTATAGTTAGGACCGGTTAATATTAGGGTACTGAGAATGCTTTGAAGAACTGCAGAGGACAAGTGATAATGAGATCTCAGACCGAACTACGTTTTATTTTACTTTTACAAAAGCCACGTCACATTGTCCCCCAAAGTTATATTTGTAAAACTAGTTAAACCTGCTTGTTTTGCAGTGAAGTGTCTTTATAGCCTCTTTTGTTTGTGTGAATTCACATCTTTTTAAAGTCTCTTGTTGATCCAATTGCTATTTTGTGTCTCTTCTTTCCTATATAGTATATCAGAATTAGCTCAGTACATCACAAGTTTTGTTTTCAAAAACATAATGAACAACATATATTATTATACTGCCAGGACCAAATACAGGATCTTAAAAATAGCATTTCATTTAGACTTTGTGTTATTCAGAAATAAAATAATAACGTTATAATTTATGTCAAAAGGAACCATTTTCAAATACTTTTTTTTCCATAACAGTTACTAGGCAAAGGCTAAGTTGGTGTTTTACTTTGGGGCTGGACTATTTTCATATCAATTACTTAATCTCATTCATTGGTTCACTGCTCATTTGCTGTCTACAATCAACACAGATGCTATGAATACTTGTGAAAGAACTACATATGCAAAGCAAAAGTTAAAAGCTTATGGCTAGATTCTGTGGGTCAGAAAAAGCTAGAAGCCTATTGGTTTTCCAGCATTAAGCTTTCAGCTCTAAAAATTTCATTCAATCTACTCTAAGGAAGAGGTAAGGATGCCTATATCAAAGCAGGCTCCCATGTGTAGAGCAGAGATATTTCCAGAGTATTTGGTCGATGCCAGTGAAAAGTTAACAGAAAACTATCATTCTGGTAATTCTCCTTCATCAGTAAATTACCCTTAACATGATGTACAAAGGAGGATATTTTGCTTAGTTGCCCAGTGAAAGGCATGATAAAAATGTTTTGTGCCCTTCTGAAGATAGCTACTCTAAAATCAGAAGAACCTGGGTTTCAACCTGACTCTCACAGGTTTTGTAAAATGGTACTTAATGCTTATTAGACTTAGTGTCGTTATTAGTAAAGTGAGAATTAAGCCACTCCACATATTTGTGCAGTGTTCAATATGTTTGCTGTCACAAAATACTTATTCAAAATAGGTATGCTCCCTATTTTTAATTATTCCAGAATCATTCTGCTGTAATCTTTCCTAAAATATTATAAGATGCTACCACAGAAACTCAAAAGGAACATAAATATTATCAATATAATATGGGGGTCTGGCATATCAGTTTTGTTCCTTCAACTTAGCTATTAAGAGATCATTTTTGAATCATTTACTGTAATTCCAGTGCTATATTAAGCACTTTATATATAGTACATCATGAAAGCTTCTAGACAATACTGTGAAGTTGTTGGTATTATGACAGGTGCACAACTAAGAAAACAGGTGTGGGAGATTTAAATAAACATTTTCACGTCACACAACATAGGTGACATGTCCGTCATTGGGACTCAAGCCTGGCTAGTCACAAAGCAACCTGTGCTTTTATCCAACATTCTCTCTTACGTCTTCTTATTGGCGAATAATCCATCACCCAACAAAGACTGTCTTTTTCAGAGGCTGTCCCAGTGCAGCACTAGAGGCAGCCTCTGTCTGTTGCTTTTGCAAGTGGTGGGCTCTCTCCTAAAAGGGTCCCTTTCCCTCAGAAGACACATTATTTGAGACATGAGGGAGAGATATGCTGATGGACAAGCACATATGGGTAAGTAGAATGTGCCTCCAATTCCTCTTTTCAGATACTGTCTGTGGTCATGTGACCAAGTGAGGTCTATGCTTGCTATTTCATAATAGCCCTCAAATTCCAGTTTCTATTAAAATGGTTCCTGTACTTAGAACCCTTTTTATCCATCTACAATTGCCTTTTGTTATAATGCTGCTTAATATTTCAAGTTTCTTTCTGATTCCATCCAGGTTTTTGAAGGAAGCTCTCATAGGTAGTGAAATTAGCGCTCCCCTGAAACCATCACCTGCCTCATCCATTGCCAGCCACTTCTGTAGCATGAACAAGTCCCATCCTATCCCTTAGCTGTTGCCAATCCTGGTTTCCATATGGGTTTGAACTTTTCAGGACAATATTCACAACTTTAAGTCACCAAGAAAAAGAGTGGTTTTTAACCAAGTAATCCTGTACAGATCAGTAAACATTCTGTGGTTTGCTTTGTCTGTGTCCTTTTAACCTTGTTAGGAAGAGCTCAATGGCTCTGGAGTCAGAGAGTGCTCACAAATAGCATTCTATTACATGTCATTTTTTCACATTTACGATACATACTGACATAAACTGACTTGCTGAAATATTCTCTTGGTTTCATAAGGTCAAATATGGTTCAATCAAGAGGTGCTATTGAATAGCTTTATTATTAACATTATCGCATGGTGGAAAAGTGTACCAGAACAGAAGAGCAATGACCCATTGCAGATGTGCGCAAGGTAAAAAGAGATGCCTTCAATAGGCTATTGAGTTCACCTAGGGCATTTAAATCTCAATAACAAGCACTACTACAAAAGTCCCTTATTATTCCAAATACAACAAATGCCCCCGTGCACATGAATCACAGAAATAAAGTAGTTAATAAACAATAGTGCTTCAAGCCCATTTTATCTACAAAAGTCACTTTAAGTATCAGGATGCATGTCATATTCAGATGCCCCTCATCATTAATTGAAGTAATGCGCTATTTCTTCCCACTCTTATCCTGAATTCTTCTGTTTATTATCCCAGGCTGTGGTAAATATAAACAAGCTGGAGATGTGCAAGAACAGTCATCACAAATCTTTTTTTTTCCCCATTTAGTCATCTACAAACCTTTTTGAGAAGCGGCAGTGTGTCAGACATATTTCTGAGTGCTGTTAGAAACAATGTTGAATAATGCATGACTTCTGCCTTTACGAATCTTACATTCTAATGAGTGACAGACAGATATTACAGAACTGTCAAGTACTATAAGTACAATTACAGAGATATTCTCAATGCAGTATATGCTAAACCACCAGAAAACTGTAAAGGCTCCAATTCAAATAGGAGGAGATTTGGGAAATCTGAGAAAACATGATCCTTGAACTGACGTTTGCAGTATGCTGTTGGTTGGATAAAAGAAAAACTGGAAAAGAATGGGCCAAGAGAAGAGAGTAGGATGAGGAAAACTGCTGTGCCATAAACATCAGTTTATTAGTTTGTAGATATTTGATGTGAAAGGAGCAAATGTTCATGTGGGTAATGGGGAAAGATGAAGCAAAAGAGGTTGGAAACAGCCATAGCATAGATGGCTTTGAGTAATAAGGTATGATATTTATTCTAAAGGATAAAATAAAATTCAAAATAGCCTAATATCATATTGTTGTGCTTTTATAAATATTATTTGGGAATGATTTAGAAAAACAGGAATTTGAGACAGAAAGATCAGTTAGACAGTCATTGCGGAAAGGAGTTTATAACCATAATTTATGCAAAAGGTGTTAATAACTTGCACTTAGACAGAGACTATATTCGAAAAATGGAATGAATTGGAGACATTTTTAAAAAGTACAATCTAGAGTACTGTAAAACAGTAGATATAAAGGGTAAAATGAAAAAGGAGACTAAGGCAATTTACAGATTCTTGGCTTAGGTGTTGAGGTGAGGTTGAGCTGGAAAGGTAATAAATAATGAATCCAATATTTTACTTGTATAATAGAATAAGATGTATCCGTGGAGCATCTGCATAGCTACGCAAAAGTATTGATTTGGAAGTCATTAGTATTTCAGTAAAATCTGAAGTTTTAGATGTGAATGGTAAAACTTAAGGGTTATGTAAGGAGCAATAAGAGCTTTCTGCCAAGACTTGATCCTTGCAGTACATCAATATTTAAGAGAATAATAAGAACTTGGGAAGAAGATTGATGCATAACTTCCAAAGAAGTAGGAAGAGCAGGAGAAAAGCCAGGAATGAGGAGAATCTTAAACAAATTAAAAAAAGAACTCAAAATAAACAAGGCTGTGATCGATATTAACATGGAAGTGTCACAAAAAAAGTATGTGTGTATATAATGATGTGACAGAAAAGGGACAAACATACACTGAGATACAGAAGACCAATCACTGGATATTACAGAATTGCACTTATGGAAATCAGTAACGATGTCTGCAAAAAGTTTAAGTAGAATGATGGGGGAGAAATTAGATTGTAGGGCTTTGAGTTATTAATGGAAAACAGGAAGTTGGAGAGAATTATAAGAAACTAGATTAGACGAGTCATCCAGGAAGCTTGATTTTGAATGGAAAGAGTTATGGACTGAGACATAGGTGGAAATAAAGGACAATTTTTAAAATAACATTAATATATTTTGAATGCACCAAATATTCACAGGGTATGAAATTTAAGAAGTACAAAATGTAACATAGTAAAAAATGAGATGTATCATTTACCTTAATTCCATCCATTAATTTCTTCTACTCAAAGCTAATCTTGTGACTAGTTTCTTTCTCTTTCTTTTTCTTTCTTTCCTTCTTTCTTTCCTTCTTTCTTTCTGTCTCTCTTCCTCTCTCTCTCTCTTTCTTTCTCTTTTTTTTTTGAGACTGAGTCTCACTTTGTCACCCAGGCTCTAGTTCAGCGGCACAATCATAGCTCACTGCAATCTTGAACTCCTGGGTTCAACCCGTCCTGCCACCTTAGCCTCACGAGTAGCTAGGACTACAGCAGTATGACAGCACTCCTGTTTATTGTTACTTTTTACATTTCTGCAGAGACAGGGTCTTGCTTTGTCGCCCAGGCTACTAGTTTCTTTCTTGTGTATCCTCAGAATAAATGTTTTGATGCTTATACATTTGTATAGGTGTGTATCTGTTTATATTCATTTTTTAACACAAATGATAGCATACCATACATACTATTCTATACTTTTCTTAATGCAGTTAGCATTATATCTTCAATATTTTTCTATTTTAGCATGTATCAACCTGCTTCAGGGCTTTTAATGACTGCTTGATTTTTAATTTTATAAATAACTTAAATAATTTGTATATTTACTTTTCAATTAAAAATGCAAAACACAAAAAGAAACATGAACGTATGGCTAATATGCAAGAAAAAAGTAGTATAAGGAAACTATCCCCGAGGGGGCCAGATGTTGGACTTACTAGGAAAATATTTTAATTCAGTCATTATTAAACTTTTATTATATAAAAGAATGTAGGTAAACTATGTCTAAAGAATTGAAGGGAAGTATAAGAAGGATATATCATCAAATGGAGGATATTGCTCAAGAGATAGATATTACAAAAGGTAACCAAAGAGAAAATATTATATTGGAAAATACAATAACTGTAATTAAGAAATCACTTAAGGAGCTTAACAGCAGCTTTGTTAAAATTTGTTCAGCATTTTTGCATCTATTTTTAGTTCTTCCTTATAAGGAATAATGGTCTGTGTTTCAGGTAACATTTTTGTCTGGTTTGGATTACAAGGAAATACTCACCTATAGAACGAGTGGGGAAGTAGTCCCCCCTTCTCTTTTTTGAAAGAGTTTGTGAGGAATTGGTATAGGTTATTTTTAAGTGTTTTATAGAATTTATTTGTGAAGACTTCTAGGTATGGGTTTTTCTTTGTGAGTTTTTTGATATGTAATTCCCTTCCTCCCTCCTTCCCATCTGTCCTCCCTTCCTCCCTTCCTCCCTTCCTTCCCTTCTTCCCTCCTTCCTTCCTTCCTAAAGGTCAATTTATATTTTTCTGTGGCTTCTTAGGTCAATTTCAGTTGTTTGTGTCCTTGTAGAAATGGTCCATTTCATCTAAGCTGTATCATTTATTGGCATACAATTATTAACAGTATTCTTTTCAATCAATTTTATTTTTGTAAGGTGAGTAGTTATGTCGTTTATTTTATTTCTAATTTTAGTAATCTGAGTTTTCTCTTTTCACCTTGATCACTCTGTCTAAAGATTTGTCAATTTTGTTAACATTTGGAAAGAACTAACACTTGGTTCTTTTCGTTTTTTTTCTATTGCTTTTCTATTCTCTTTTTCATTTGTTTCCACTGTATTTTCTACTATTTTCTTCATTCTGGTTGCTTTGGATTTACTCTCCTTTATTTCAGTGCCCTAAGATGGAAAGCTATGTTATTTATTTGAGCTCTTTCTTCTTTGTTAATATAGGTAACTACATGTGCAATTTTTTTTCTAAGCTCTGCTTTAGCTTCTTCCCATAAGTTTTAGTGTGTTGCATTTTATTTTGCATTCATCTCAAACTATTTTGTAATTTGCCTTTTATGGCTTTTTTGAGCCATTTATTATTTAAAAGTTTGTTGATTAACTTTTCAGATTTGTTTCTCAAATTTCTTTCCAATATAAATTTCTAATTTTCTTGCATTGTGCTTAGAGAACATATTTTGTATTATTTCAATTCTATACATGTATTAAGATTTTTTAAATGACCTAGTATATGTTCTATGGTGGAGAATGTTCCATATGTACTTGAAAAGAATGTGCATTCTGCTGTTTTTGGAGCGATGTTCTATAAATGACTGTTAGGTCTAGTTGGCTTATAATGTTATTTAAATCTTCTACTTATTGTTAATCTTCTGCTTAGTTGATGTATCCGATATTTCAAGTGAGGCCTTAAAGTATCTAACTGTTATTATTGAATTGCCCATTTCTCCATTTTTGTCATATTTTTCTTCATGCATTTGATGTTCTATTGTTTGGTGCAAGTAAGTCTATAATTTTGAATCTCCCTGATTAATGTTTAATTATAAATGTTGCTCTTTATTTCCATAATATTTTAATGTCTATGTTATGGTATTTCATATAGCCACTCTAGTTTCATAATTGTTATTTGCATGACACATTTTTTCAATTCTTTTGCTTTCAATCTATTTGCATTTTTGAATCTCAACTGTGTCTATTGTAGACAGCACATAGTTGGAGCTTTTATTTTTAATTATATCTTATTCTCTCTGACTTCTGATTAGAAGCTATTATCCATTGCAATTTAATGTTTTTATGGATATAGTTGGATTTAAGCCTGAAATTTTACTTTTTGTTTCTATATGACTTCCGTCAGATTTTCTTTCTCGATCTCCTTTATTGCTTTCTTGCATTAAGTGAATATTTATTTCATAATCTGATGTCTTACTTATTTTAATTTTTTTTACTGATTTTTTGAGTTGGGAGCTGAAGGAAGTGGAAGCCCTGTGTTCTTGACTGCCCTCCCCTGGACTGGAATTTGTCACTCTGCTTTAGAAGGTGGAGGGAGGCAGTGGATTGCAGTTCATATGCCAAGACTTTTATTGTCCTTACTGAGTATTAGTAGATTTTCAATTGTTTGTGATAGCAGAAAACTGGAGGCCATGTAGGAGCCTATCACTAGTGAATGGATAAGCAAAATATTATTGATGCGTGCTGTGGGATACAATTCGGTTATTAGAATTAACTGATTGTATTCTCAGCAATATGGATAAATCTTGAAAATACTGCCAATGGAAATAAAAACAGATTAAGATTGATGGCAAAATGGCATTCACTTAAATTTAAAAATATTCATAAAATAATATCATGTATTTTGCAAAGATGTACGAATATCTAAGGAGACATCTATTTAACACAGTAGAGTAGAAGTATATGGGAGAAGAAAGAAGAAGGGGATCTGAAAGAAGTGAGGAAGAAAAACTCCAGCGATAATGTGTTATGAACTGAGATGTAGAATGGACTATTTGTACCTGAATTCCATCCCTCAAAAAAGAGCAACAACAACAAAAATAAACCAACTAAGTTATATTGAAAATTGCTATTTGTTACATGCGACATCAGATATATCATCCATTTATTCCACAAATAGTTTTCAGCACCAGCTGTGTGTTCCACAGTTCTAAATACTTAGAACACGGTTGAATATCATATGTGATGTCCCAGCTTGCATGATATATAGTCTCCTGGAGGTGACAGACAATAAGCAAGCACATACCTAACTAAATAAGCTTACTACCTGATTGCTAATGTAGTAAAGCTATGATATTGCAAGTGCTGTAGAGAAAAATAAAACAGAGGATGGCTCACGTCTGTAATCCCAGCACTTTGGGAGGCTGAGGTGGGCAGATCACTTGAGGACAGGAGTTCGAGACCAGCCTAGCCAACATGGTGAAACCCCGTCTCTACTAAAAATACAAAAATTAGCCAGGCATGGTGGTGCACACCTGTAATCCCAGCTACTCGGGAGGCTGAAGCACAAGAATCCCTTGAACCTGGGAGGTGGAGGTTTCAGTGAGTCAAGATCACACCACTGCACTCCAGCCTGGGTGATAAAGTGAGGCTGTCTCAAAAAACAAATGAACAAACAAACAAACAAAACAGAATGAAAGGATCAAGAGTAATGGGAGAAGGACTCTTTTAAGTCTTTGCCAGGCAAAGTGTGCCACTGGGACCATCAATATAGGCATCACCTGGGAATTTGACCCCACTTTTCCCAGATTTACTGAAAGAAACTGCATATTAAATAAAAACCCAGGTGATTCACACACATGTTAAAGTTTGAGATGTATTGCTTTAAACAAAGTGGTCAGGAAGTACCTTTGAGGAGTGGATACTTGAGGCCAGAATGTCATGCATGGATGGTGAGGGATGGGTCCTGGGGAGGCAAAACCTTTCCAGCAGAGAAGAGGGAGTTCTACTGAGGTCTCCTAGGGAGTGTTGGCTCATTTAGAGAAGAGTATGACCGCCAGTTTGCCTAGAACAGAAAAGAAAGGAAAAGAGTGTTAATATATAATTCAAGTCTTGTTACTGCAAATACGTGTGTGTGTGTAGATAAATTTTCCAAATAAATTGCTTGTTTGTATATAATCATTTAATTTATTATACTCTTTATTGTATTTCAGTACAATAGTTCTGGCCATGTGGTGGTTACTCAAACATATGCTTCGTTCAGTTATACAGCTATTCTTATTAAAAAATAAAATTGAATTATGGTTTATTGCATGCATAATTCAGCACAATTCTTAATTATTTTTATTTCATCAATACTTCTAAAGGAATAAGTATGGGGAAAAAAGGCATGGTTCTGTGGTGTTTGTTAACTACAGTCAACAAAGGAGGCAGAATCTAAACCCAAGACTTCTGAATCCTTTCCAGGAATAGATGATTACTTCTTTCACGTGGTGTTTTTTTATTATAAATACCTAATGCAGTTGCTTACTTTTTAACAGCTATATAATTATTAAGAGGAAGTAGCTGGAACTATGGAAAATATTAAACCAAACCCCAGAACTAATAAATGATAAATATTACTGGCTTCAAGATGAGCCAGCCATGCAAAAAATCATTAAAATTATTAAGTACTAGATGTTGATAACAAAATACTAGCTGGCTCCATGAAAGCTTGTCATATGCCTTCTAAATACATAATGAAGTAATTCTTCTTTTGTCCTTATTAAATTATTTTAACCATTTTAATTTTGACACATTTATAAACATACATCCACACAAATATGTACACGCATATATAAGTTTGTGTGTGGTGTTGCCATTTCTTACAACTAAGTTAAACTTTTCTTTCTTATTTTTTCTCACCCTTTCCTTTCTCTCTCATATATATACACACACACAGTTACATATGTATATGTATGAGTATATATATACATAATCACATGCTGAAACTACCACTTCATCCTCTTCCTGCACACCCATGGGCTCCAACTCAGTGGTAAGCAGCCCTTCTTTTTCCTCATGGTGTGAGTCATGTGTTTATAGGCTTGGTGGGTCTCAACATCATCTTGTGTGACCCCTCATGGTGAAAGTTTGCAGCATAATCCACTGAATCCACATCACCACCTCAACACATCACCTAATATAACTATGCTTCCTCTTCCAAAGTCTTCAGTATGTCATCCAAGATTAGCTCCAAGATCAGCTCCAAGGTCAGCTCCAAGATAGCAGAGAAGGGTAAGGTTGAACCAGAGCAAATCTTGAGGAAGAGGTCATTGACCTGAGCCTTTTGACACCTCAGCTCCCACCCACCCTCATCCCTCTGCCTAGACCTGGCCATCTACTGGGCCATCTTACCACATGCATCTTAGAAATGCAGCCTGTCACTCAACTCAGGTATTATTTTTGATTTGCTTAAATTTTCACTTTATAGTCACACACAAAGACTCATTTCAGAACTTGAATACATAAGTAAATGCAGTGTGTATCTTACATTGTCTTTTATTTTGGTATCTATAGAAGTTTTTATTTTAATAGTCAACTGTACCATTTTTTCTTTAATGGTCAGGACTTTTTTTGTCCTATTAAGAAATTATATTTTTTCTTAGATTTTTTCCTGGAAATCAGTTTTCATTATAATGGAATCATGTTTGAATGTCCCAGGAACCTTTTGTGTTTAACTCAAACCTCTTCTAATCACTTCTCAAAGATTCACACCTGATTTTCATCTCCGAATTTTTTTCTGTAAGAATTTTACTTGACATATAATTCACAGACATATATTTTGTTTTTCCTAGTAGACACACAATCTAGAATTTTATGGTTGGTGTGAACTCTTTTGGTGTGTAATCTTTATTCCTTTTAATGTTTTTATTTACATTTTTAATGACCAAATCTCAAATATTCAATGAATTTTTGTATATGTAACCATCATCAAGATCAAGATATAGTGTATTTCAAGCTTGCCTTGGGCTCCTTCCCAGGTGATACGCATCAGTACTACTCTAAACTTCTATCATCATCAATTAATTTTGCCTGTTTTTGAAATTCATATAAGTAGAAACAAAGAATACTCACTTCTGGACTTGCACATTTTTTTCCACATGAATTTTTTTAGATTAATTTATGTTGTTGCATGTAGCAGCAATTTTTTAAATTACTTTGGTGGTATTATGTGGTAAAAATATACCAAAAATTATATGTCTATTCTTACGTGAAGGGAAACTGGATGTTTTGAAATTTTGAGTTATTATAAGTAAAGGTTCCGTGCAAATTTTTGTATATGCCTTTTGGTGGTCATGCACACATTATTTGGATGTACACATAGCAGGAGTGTACATAGTACCCTTACTATGTGTACATAGAAAAGTTGGATAGGGCATATACTTTAGTAAGTAATATACAATTTTCTGAAGTAGTTGTACAAATTTATACTCCCTCCAAGTATGGTATTTATAGTTGCTCAACCTATTTAAGATCACCTGAAAATTGCTACCTTGTTCATTACAATTTTGGTAGCTGTGTAGTGTTATTTGATTTGGATTTAATTTGCATATCTATTATGACTAATATCTATCTTTTAATGTGTTCATTGGCATCTAGGAATCTATTTTTTTAAAATACTTCACTATTTATGCTGATTTTTTATAGTTTCTTGTCTCTTCCTTGAATACAAGTCATTCAGCAAATAGATTGAAAATATTCTTCCAATATGTTTGCATTTTCATTCTTTTATTGCTCTACTCAAATGAACAGAAGCTTTTAGTTTTAATAAACTCAACTATTTTATTTTTCTCTGATAACCAGGATTTTTATGTACTAATTGGGAATTTTTTCTAATATGCAGAAAAGATAAATTTTTGAGGTGATAGATATCCTAAATACTCTAATTTGATCATTACACATTATATACAGGTATCAAAATATCACATGAACTCCCAAAATATAGAAAACTATTATACATAAATAAAAAAGAAATCACTGTCAAAGGCAAGATTATGAAAACATATGTAGATGTATTTTTCTAGTCTTTATGTTTTCCCTTTCATATTTAGGTTTATAACCACTTGAAACTTATTTTTTGTATGGTGTAACAGAGGGAATCAAGGGTCACTTTTTGTTTCCCTCAGATATCCAATTAATTCAGCACAGCTTATCAAAAAAGACAATTATTTTCCCCACTGATTTATAGGCGTGCCTTTGTTGCATATCAGATGACTGTATATAACATTCAATTCTGTTTCATTGGTCACATACATTGACCTATATTACCCTGTCTTCAAAACTGTAGCTACATGGTAAATCTTGGTAGGCAGTAGTTTAAAACCTTCAATTATTATTCTTAAGAATAGCTATTCTATTCTGTATTCTGTATGCTTCTATATAAACATAAAATATGTCTGCTTATCAGTTTTCCTCAAAAAATCTGCTTGGGTTTTGATATGAATAAATTTATATGATTCAATCTAAAAATATTTGAGAAATAAACAAATTCAGAAAAATATAACTGATCAAAACTAACCTGAGAAATTACAGAGAATCTACAGCTCAAATCTAATATAAACACTGATTAACAGTTAAAAATGTCACATAAATACAAATACATTCCCACACAGTTTTGAAGATGAGTTTTACTAATCAATTCCACTCTTATATTTCAGAATGTAGAAAAAAAGATTTTTTTAAACTTATTTAATTATGCTAGCATAACCTTGATACCAAAATTCAAAAAGAACAGTAAATAAAAAATTACAGGACAAATTTACTTATGGATATAAATGCACATACCCTTACCAAAATCTTAATGAGTCTGAGAAAGCAATGTATAAAATTATAGCATTACCTACATTGAGTTTATTTAGGAAGTTCAAGGCTGTTTTGCATAAAAGTCCAATATATTTATCATTTTAATAATTAAAGTAGAATAGTGTTATAATCACATTAATACATACACAAAGAGCATATGATAAAATTCAACATCAGTTTATGGTTCAAAAATTAAAATAAAGAAGATTCTTTTCAGTTTAAGGAGACATCCTTAACCTGGTAAAGCTACAAAAGTATTTTTAAAATTAAAACTATATTGTGATATTGAAAGTAATATCTCCAAGATTAGAAATAAAGATGTGTACCTATTATAATCATTTTAATTCACCATTAGTGAAGAACCAAATGACTAATGCGGGAAAGATAAATATACACATAAATAAAATAAAAGGATTAGGAAGTAAGAAATTAAACTCATTATTTGTGGATTATATGATTATCTACCTAGAGAATCATACTGACTCAATCAATCTATGTGTGTATTTAGGTATGTATCTATGTTATTAGAATACAAAATTTCTGGATAAAAAAATCAATGAACAAAATTCAATTGCATTTCAAAATATCAGGAAAAAAACCTTTTAAATGGAATAAAATAGATTCTTTTTACTATAACATAAAATTCTAAAGTATTTAGAAATAAATCTAAGAACAGGAAAAGACCTTGGGGAGACAATTGTAAAATGCTTGCCAGTTTTTAAAATCAAAATAGCAAGATTTACTGTGTATCTTCACTGTAATATTCAATACCATAGACACATCAGTATACTTCAAGTGGAAAATTTAAAGGAATATGAACATATGAATATTCAATATAATTCAAATGTAATTGCCAAGAGTTTTTTTTTTTCCTCCCTCCTTGACAAAGTAATTCTAAAAGCATCGGGGAATAAGAGATCTATTAAAAAGCAAGGCACTCTCAAAACTCTCGGTGAAGAAATTACCTTAAGAGGCATTAAGAATTATTATAAAGCTAAAATAATTAAGACATTGTACAATGGGGACAGAGTTAAAGAAACTAATAGAATACAGTAGAGATTTTAGTCCTAGATGTATCCATACACAGCAGTTTAATTTATGACAGTTAGAAAATTTAATGAGAAAAGCAGTTTTCAAATAAATGATGCTGAGCCAATTAGCCATTCATATTAAAAAATCGAAATTGTATTTTCCTTTGTCTCATTTTCAAACCATCATTTCTACGTGGAATACAGATATATAAACTTTAGAATATAATATAGAATGCTATCTTTAGGATGTCATGGTAAGAAAAGATTTCCTGAATTGAACTCAAACAGAAAGCATAACCAAAAAAGTATATATTGATAAATTTGGGTACATTAAAATGAAAAAATATTTTGTGTACCAAAAATGTTATTAAGGTAACAAAAATGGAAGCTACAAACATAATAGACTATATATTCCATGCCTATAACAAATAATGTTTTTTATCTACAATATATAAAGAAACATGAATCAATAAAAACAAACAATGAGGCCAGACGCGGTGGCTCATGCCTGTAATCCCAGCACTTTGGGAGGCCAAGGCGGGCGGATCACGAGGTCAGGAGATCGAGAACATCCTGGCTAACACAGTGAAACCCCGTCTCTACTAAAAATACAAAAAATTAGCCGGGTGTGGTGGTGGGCGCCTGTAGTCCCAGCTACTCAGGAGGCTGAGGCAGAAGAATGGCGTGAACCTGGGAGGCGGAGCTTGCAGTGAGCCGAGATCCCGCCACTGCACTCCAGCCTAAGCGACAGAGTGAGACTCCGTCTCAGAAAAAAAAAAAAAAAAAAAAAAAAAAAGAAAATGGAAATATTACAGGAAAGAGAGTGCATGTGCCAAAAAATATTTAATCTTATTGTAATTATGTAAATAACCATAAAAGTACAGTTAGATGCTTTTTACTAAAGACAAAACATTATGTTTAAAAGTTTTAAATTATTACCAATTGTTGATAGAGTATGAAAAACATGATAAATATTCTTGGACATTTAAATTGGTATGTTTAATT
This sequence comes from Homo sapiens, assembly GCF_000001405.40. NCBI lineage: Eukaryota > Metazoa > Chordata > Mammalia > Primates > Hominidae > Homo > Homo sapiens. The sequence continues at coordinate 40,843,144 of NC_000002.12, forward strand.
GAAAAGCAATTTAACATTTAACTTTTTTTTTTTTTTTTTTTTTTTTGAGACAGAGTCTCACTCTGTTGCCCAGGCTGGAGTGCAGTGATGCGACCTCGGCTCACTGCAACCTCCGCCTCCCAGGTTCAAGCGATCTTCCTGCCTTTGCTTCCCGAGTGGCTGGAATTACAGGCACCTGTCGCACGCCCAGCTAATTGTTTGTATTTTTTAGTAGATACTGGGTTTCACCATGTTGGCCAGGCTAATCTCAAACTCCTGACTTCAGGTGATCTGCCCGCCTCAGCCTCCTAAAGTGCCGGGATTACAGGCGTGAGCCACCGCGCCCGACCTTAAGGTATCTTCTAAAGTTAACCATTCATATGTTGAATTATGCTATTTTTTCACCATTCTGAAACTCTTGCACACTTTACTAAGAGAAATGGACAAGAATGCATAAAATGAAACCTTGCTTACAACAGCAAAACAAAATTAAACAAAAGAATAAACAGACAAAAGACCAAATAAATAACACTGTTATGCACTGACATAAATTGAGAAAAGCCTAATGCCGAATGAAAGAAGGTATCATAATTGATATAATATGACTCCATTTATATGTTAAAAAACAGATAAAATTATATAATATTCCAAGGATTCACGTAAATGTAGCAAAAGTGTTAAAAGGCAACATTCAAAGCAGTTATAGAATCTGAGAAAAGGGGAGGATCAAACAGGGGCAGGCCACAAGGGTGTTTTCGTATTTTGCTACTATTGAACTTCCTGGATTGGGTGGTGTTTATACATAAAATTGTTCTTTAAACTTTACATATCTATTGCATATATTACTTTAGAGTTAGTGTCTTTTCACACTCATATCCATGCACAAAACATTATAAAAATAACGATATACTAAAATATCTTTTAGAAAGTTGGTATGTCTCAAGAGGAACTTACCAATTAGCGGGACTCACAGTGAAATGATCATACAGGGATTGGTAAATTTCCTCAAATATCAATTTCTGCTTGTCTTTTTCTAATGTCAGATATTTTTCCAGAGGAAAATCCATTCAATGTATAGTTTAATTAAGGCAGGAGTACAGGGTCTGGAGGCAGGGAACCTAAGGCCAATTCATGCTGACTTCTTAGGACTTCTTAGAACTAAATCAAAAAGAAAACCTCAACTTTCCACGCCCACATAACCAAAGGACCAGTGTTTACTCCCTTTGCAATCCCCGACCCCTTTTCTGCATAGCAGATAAAAAATTGAAAGCACCTCTGATTAGTCACCTCCCACAACCAATCAGACTGGTCAGGAGCCTAGTCTTCATTTGCACAGGAGTATAACTTTGTAACTTCACTTCAGCCTCTCATGGGTCACCTTCCGCAACCAGACTGGTAGTGAGCCACTCCTTCATTTGCATAAGGTGTAAACCAAGTAACCAACAGGAAACCTGTAGAGGGCGTTTAAATACCAGAAAATTCTGTAACCAGGGCTGGTGAGCTACTTCCTGGAGCTCATTCCCACTCTGTGGAGGCTACTTTCATTTCAATAAATGTCCGCTTTTGTTGCTTCATATTTTCATTGCTTTGTTTGTGCATTATGTCCAATTCTTTGTTCAAAACTCCAGGAACCTGGACGACTCATAGTCAAGACCCTCCACCGGTAACGCAATGTCTTAAGCCCAGTTGGCAATAGTACTCTAAATGCTGAGTGAGAAAATTGGAGTTGAGAAAACAACTTCCCAGCTGAGTCTCTCCTTTATCAGTGCACCACTGAGCCTTAATTCAGTGTCTCTCTGATTTAAATCTCCCAATGAGTAAATCCCAGTAATTACTTTTTATTGTGGTAAAAAAGCATATAACACAGTTTACTTTCTCAGCCATTTTTAAATGTAAGGTTCGGTAGTGTTAAGTATATTTCCATTGTTGTGAAACAGATCTCCAGAACTGTTTCATCATGCAAAACTGAAACTCTATAGCCATTCAACAACAACTTCCCCAGTTTTTCCCTCTTCCCAGCCATTGGTAACCACTGTTCTACTTTATGTTTCTATGAATTTGACTATTTTAGATTCTACTTTAGATATAAGTGGGATCATATAGTATTTGTCTTATTTGGCTTACTTGTCCCATAATTATTTTAGATGTTTGACTTTTTAAAATTAAACTCTTCATTTTGAGATACTTATAAATTCACATTCAGTTGTAAAAATAATAAAGAGAGAGCCTGTGCCCTTTGCCGACTTACCCTCAATGGTAACAACTTTCAAAACTCTAGTCAATATCACAGCCAGGATATTGGCATCAACACCTTCAAGATACAGAATATTTCCAGCACCACAAGCATCCCATGTGTTGCCCTTTTATTACCACACCCACTTTCCTCACACCCACACCTGTCCCTTAGCTCTTGTCAACAATGAATCTAGTCTTTATTTCTCTAATTTTGTTATTTAAAGAATGTTATAGGCATGGAATTATAAAGCATGCAACCTTTTGGAATTGGCTTTTTTTCCCATTAATTCTCTGTAGATTTATCCAGATTGTTACATGTTTCAAGATTATGTTCCTTTTCATTTCTGAGAATAATTCAATGGTAGGGAGATACCACAGTTTGTTTAATCATTCAACCATTGCAGTTCAATTTGTTTGTTTCCAGTTTTTGACACTTATGAATAAAGCTGCTATATATATTCAGTACACGTTTTTGTGTTAACATAGCTTCACTTCTATGGGAAAAATGTCAATTAAGAGTGTGATAGCTGACTCCTATGGCAATTGCATGTTTAGTAAATACACTATTGAACTATTTTCCAGAGTGGCTGTATCATTTTTCATTCCCACCGCAAAGTCTGAGTGGTACAGTTGTTCTGCGTCTTTGTCAAATTTTATTATGGTCACTATTTTATGTTTCATCCATTCTAGATATGTAAGAATATCTTATTGAGGGAATTATTTGTATTTCACTAATAGTGATATTGAACATCTTTTCATGTACTAACTTACCATCTATATATCTTTGGTGAAATATTTCTTCTTTTGCCAGGTTCTAATTGGACAGACTGTTTTTTGTTTTTGTTTTTGTTTTGAGACAGAGTTTCACTCTTGTTGCCCAGGCTGGAGTGCAATGGCGTGATCATGGTGATCACGGCTCACCACAACCTCCAGCTCCCGAGTTCTAGGGATTCTGGTGCCTCAGCCTCCCGAGTAGCTGGGATTACAGGCACGAGCCACCACACCCAGCTAATTTTGTATTTTTATATTTTTAGTAGAGATGGGGTTTCTCCATGTTGGCCAGGCTGGTCTCAAAGTCACAAACTCAGGTGATCTGCCCTCCTCGGCCTCCCAAAGTGCTGGGATTACAGGTGTGAGCCACCGCATCTGACCTGTTTGAGTTTTTACTGTTGAATTTTGAGGTTCTTCCTATATTGTAGATACTAGCCTTTTATCAAATATGGGGTTTGCAAATATTTTCTTCCAGTCTGTAGCTTTAAATAGAGCCTTTCATAATACAAAAGTTTACGTTCTAATAAAGTCCAATTTATCAATTTTTCTTTTGATTGATTATACATTCTGCATCAAGTCTAAGAACTCTGCCTAGTCCTAGGTTAAAAAATATCTCCTATGCTTTTTTCTAAAGATTTTATACTTTTATGTTTTACACTTAAGTCCATAATTAATTTTAGATCAATTTCTGTATAAGATACGTAACTTAACTGAAGGTTCTTTTCTCTCTTGCTTGCTTGCTTCCTTGCTCATTGCTCCCTCATCGTTTGTTGAAAAGACCATCTTTCCTCCATTGAATTCGATTAGTTATGTCATGTTATCAAAAATCAGTCTGGCATATTTTTATGCATCTATTTCTGAATTTTTTACTTAATTGTGTTGCTCTATGAGTTTATTCCTCTGCTGTTACCATAGTCTTGATTAATGTAGCTATGTAAATATCTTGAAATGTAGTAGACTGATTTCCCTTTTACTTTATCCAACCTTTTATTTGCAGTTTTCTGCCATTTTATCCTTCAACTTGTATTTTAATGAAAAGTCATGTAGAAGCAGATATAAATGCACATATTAGTTATAACTTTATATATAATTAAACCTGGCATTCTCAGATTGCTAAGAATTAAAAGCTGAAGTTGGCCGGGCATGGTGGCTCACACTTGGGGAGACCGAAGTGGAAGGAGGACTGCTTAAACCCAAGAGTTTGAGACAAGCCTGGGCAACATGGTGAAACCCCATCTCTACAAAAAATACAAAAGTTAAGTGGGCACAGTGGCATACATATGTAGTCCCAAATACTTAGGAAGCTGAGGTGGAAGAATCTATTGAACCCAGGAGGTCAATGCTACAGTGAGCCATGATTGCACCACTGCACTCCAGCCTGGGTGACAAAACCAGACCCTTTCTCAAAAAAAAAAAAATATATATATATATACACACACACATATATATATACATATATATATGTTATAAAACAACAACAAACAACAAAATTTAACAAAGACATAGGTCTCAAGAACAAATATTATAAAGAGTATTAGACAACTTTGTGACTTATCTCTGAGTTGATCAGGACTTAATAGCAAATATTGAAATTATTTTGCTTAAAGCAGAAAATAAATTTATTAAAGGATAATAATTAATAAGGGGTCACATAATATTTGGGTGGGTCAAACAGCCAGCCTCAAAGATTTTATTTTTAACCACTCATTGGGGCTGCCATAGTAAAAATACCCCTGTCACCTCCACATGGCATTAATAGCATCCAGGACTGGACACCAGGACTTTCACCACTGCCCTTGTGTCCAGTCAAATACCTTATGATCATGCTTGCCAGATAATCAATTCCCCTATGTGATCACCACCTTGCGTAGGTCATGTTTAACTAAAAAACAGCTGAGGATAAGTAAATCTGGAAATAAGAGGGTTTTTTGTCTGCTCTTATTTTGTGAGGATGAAACACAAATGCGGGAAATTACCATCACATATAGAGAGTATTTTAAAATGTTGGGTGGTCCTTTGTGTTAAATGCACATAAAATTTTAGTCTAGTTTATTGCCTTAATCTTCATACTTCTATTACATTTCATTTTTTAAAGTTTTTTTAAGATGGGAATTATAGAATAATGATCAATTTTGACAGATATAAAGAGATTGTTGATATAATCAGTTTCTGTTACATGCATGAGATGAATTTGAGGGGGAGGAGAGATGGGAAGTAAACAATCATTTCTGGTCACTGTGATAATAATATTATAAATGCAATTCCATATATTACTAATTAGTGTACATTCTCTCATTATGCTATCTCATTCAGCTCATGGCTTTAAATGCCATTCATTTGTTGACCCATTCCCAGATTTATATCCCTAGCCCTCATTCTTAGAGCTAAGATCCAGACTCATATACCCAGTTGCCTACTTGCTAAACACTCTTAGAAGTTTGTATATATCTTAGCCTTAACAAGGTAAATGCAAATATTTTTATTTTTCTATAAAAATCTGTGCTTCCATCAAGCTTTCCAATTTCAGTAAAAGAAGTCACTGGTCAGATGCTACCCAGAAATAAAAATAATCTTTAATTTCCACTATAAATTAATTCATCCACAATCCATCAACAAGACTAAAATATACTCTGAATTTGCCCATTTTCTGGCATCTGTTAATTTTTGTGGGGGTAGTTACCACACCAACAAAATTTGACAAAATATCTTGCTTGCACTATTCCAAAAGCATACTAAGATTTCCTCTTTCAACTCTCACCCTACTATCATCCATTCTTCATATCACAGTATTTTAAACACAGAAATAAGACTTCATTCTTAACACCTTATAGTGGCTTCTTATTGTTTTTAAAGTATAAGACAAATATTGGTCTTCAAGCATTGGTCTAACGAACTCTGCATGGCTCCTGCCAACTTCTCTACATTGATCTCCTGCCCCCTCACTGGCCTTTAATAATTCTAATAATTCTAGACTTCAAAACTAAGATTTCTATTCCTCCCATATTCATGTATAACTAGTGGGCTTTTTACTTATTATTTTCACTGCCTGGAATATTTTCCTCCCATGTCTGCTTATCAAACTCCTTCTTTTGATTCAAGTATAACTTTCTTCCTATCTATTCAGTCTAAATTACTGAGGAAAACTCTGCCCCCTTAATGAATACACACATCTCTCTTCCGGTTCTTTTATTTACTATAGTCTGTGCTTCCACGCTGAGAAAAATAGCAAACTACTGAATTTCCTGGTAAATTCTAGCATGATCAATAAAATCCTCCTCCTCTGTTTCAAAGGTAGTTTGTCCAATAAAGTTTTCCTTTAATGTTTACAATCATGATTTAACATGCCAATCTGTGAAAATGTAATAAAACATATCATTTGAATTATCACTAAAGAGAATCTTGAGTCACGATAATTTTCTCACACCTATTATCTATAGCTTGTTTGAATCTCTGCATATAGCCTAGTCCATTGTGATTTTTCAGCAAGTACATTTGACACATATTTCCTATCTCTTACCAGGGCTTTCTGATGCTTCCTTATCCAGCTATTGTCATAATAATAATGTGTAGCAAGCAACCCCCAAATTTAGTGGGTTCTTAAAACAAGTATTTATTTCTCAGTCACTGGTTTGCTGGAGATTATGCTTCTGGTGGATGTGTCTAAGGTTAACCAGACTTGACTCAGTCTGTGGCTTGGGTTCACATCTTTTCCATATCATTTCTCCCCCTTCTGGAACCATGTTTCTCTCCTATTCAGTGACACAAGCACAAGAGGGCTGAGTGAAAACACATGATGTCTCTTAAGCCTTTATCTCAGAACTAGCTCATTATCATTTCATCCCATATACTATTTTCTTTTTTTCTTTTTCTTTTTTTTTTCTTTTTTTCTTTTTTTTTTTTTTTGAGATAGAGTCTCACTCTGTCACCCAGGCTGGAGTGCAGTGGTGTTCACTGCAATTTCCACCTCCTAGGTTCAAGCGATTCTCAAGTCTCAGCCTCCCAAGTAGCTGGGATTACAGGAGTGTGCCACCACGTCTGGCCAATTTTTGTATTTTTAGTACAGACACGGTTTCGCCATGTTGGCCAAGCTGGTTTTGAACTCCAGGCTGGTTTTGAACAAGTGATCCGCAGTCCTCAGCCTCGCAAATTGCTGGGATTACAGGTGTGAGCCACCACACCCAGCCTTCTTATTCTATTTTCCAAAACAAATCTCAGAGGCCAAACCTATTACTGAAGAGGTAGGTAAGTATACCCTGCCATAGGGGAACCATTAGAATATGGGAGGGAATAAATAATTGTGAACAAATTGAGCTTACTGCAGATTCTCTGTCCTTAATTTGACTAATGAGACTGTTCGCCATGCATTGCAAAGGTAATACTCCACTCACTTATTTATGCAGAAATATCTATTGAATGTTTGTAATGTATCAGACACTGGAGTTTCATCACTGAGTAAGAAATTATCTCTGTTCTCATCAAGTTCAAAAATCTCCTGAGAAAGTCAAAAAGGTAAAAGGACAATTATGTCATACATGCTGCAGTATCATTGTACATATAAGGTGCTCTGAACTCTTAACTCAGTCTCAGTGGTTACAGAAAGCTCTGTAGATGAGCAGTTTTCCCACAAATATTCATCTTCTCCCAAGTTTTAAAAATCCTCCCTGGGTTTATTTAATCCCAATATTTCCTACTTTCCTACTTAGGCCTGTCTCTCTCCGTTTGCTGAGTTCTCAGTTCTTATTTAATAAAAAAGGATTTGATTTTATTCATAAAATTCATAACAAATTTATGTTGAGATAATATATGCTTTGAGGATAATTATCTTCAATAAATTAAAATATGGCAATAAGTAGAATATTAGTCTAGAAAGATTGTTGGAACAATATTTTGAAATCTGCCCCACTGTGTCATTCAGAGTTCTGTAGAAAGCCAAAACCAATAGTCTATGTACACGTATACACATGTATACACACACACATACTCACACACACACATACTCATGAAAGGAGATTTATTAAGGGAATTAGCTCATGCAATTATGGAGGCTGAGAAGTCCCATGACAAGCCATCTGAAAACCTCAAAACCAGGGAAGCTGATGGTAATGTCTGAAGCCAAAAGCCTGAGAACCTGACAGTCCAGTGGTGCAGGTCCTGGTGTCCAAAGTCTAGGCAAGCTAGGGTTCTCATGTCCAAGGGCAGGAGAAAATGGGTCTCCCACATCCAGAAGAGATAAAGTAAATTTGCCTTTCCTCTGCCTTTGTGTTCTATCTGAGACCTTAGCAGATTGAATGGTGCACATCCACACTGATTGTGGAGCTATCTTACTCTGGCCACTGATTCAAATGACATTCTCTAAGGAATCATTCTCACAGGCATACCCAGAAATAATGCTTATCAGCTATCTGTGCTACTTCAATCCAGTTGACACTTAAAATTAACTGTCACATTCACCTTATAGGAGATTAAATTATTTCTATAATGATATTTTAGAATATATAAATATTATAATTATTTATATTATAGCAATAATAGCACTAACTTCACTACATGTGGTTACTTTTTATATCCTATTATAATCACATATAAAAATACTTTTTATATATATTTCATGATTTAAAATTTTTGACATAGACTTGTTACTATCTTCAATGCTGCACTTCTAAATTCTCACTAATATTACTTTCTGTTCACAGTTGACTAACTTCACAGATGACTCAAGGAGGAACTAACAAGAAATGCACCCAGAAGCATTTCTTGTCATTCCAACTCACCTCACACTTAAGAGAGCCAATGTGAAGGTTACAGAGAGTTTAATATGAGAGACATCTGATTCTAATCACAGGCCCTCCACTCACCAACTGAATAACTATGAATTTGTTACTGAAACTTTCTAAACTTCTATTTTCTCACTTATGAAATGCAATAATAATTTTTAAGTAGCTATAATATCACAACTGATAGAGTTGTTAGGGAAATTAAATCTGATGTGGCATATGCTTCACAGCACCATTTTGCAGATATTTATCATTCAAAACTATCAGCTTTCATTACTGTGAAAGGAATGGTGAGCCTGTATTCACTACTGGTTGGTGATTGGCTGTCTTTGGTGTCATGAATAACTTTCTAAAGGTCAGCCACTGCTTGTTCATTAGCTTAAAGTCAGTATGCAAGCATAACTCTTTGTTCCTTAGGGTCTTCAGGGACTAAAAACTGTGTGTGTGTGTGTGTGTGTGTGTGTGTGTGTGTGTGTGTCTTTGTGTGTGTAGAATATACAATTTATAGTAACATAAATTGGAAAAAAAAACAAGAAACAATCAAATTTTTACTAACCAGTCACACATATATATACAAACAATATAACCTTATTTTATAAAAAGTCATTTTTGAAAGTCCCTTTCAGTTTTACAGTAGTTTATTAAAGCTACCCTACACAATAATTTATTTCATGAATATTCTTATTTGTTTAATAACATCTAGTACTTTAATTTTAAGATGCTCTAGTGCTGCCCTCTGTACTATCCCAACATTAGTAACCCCTGACATGGAAGGAAGATAAGGATTATTAGTTATTAAATATTGTTCTCACTGGAGTAAATGAAAATCAAGTGATCTCTAAAAAGTCAGGTGGGGCTGGCAGCTTGAATGTGCGGATGGTAACATGAAACACTATGAAGGCTCTTAGATGACCAGATTTGGAGTCTGAAGAAAGGGGACGATATGTATGTCTACTCTGGACTAACAGGGGGTCTATGTCTTTATCTTCTGAGCATTAAAAAATTAGATTTAGTCAAATTATTGGAACAGATAAATCCTATATTCAATGATTTCCTGTGTCCCTTTACTATGCTTTCTAATCCCCATGCTTGGTACTTTCATGATACCCACTAACTTGCAAATATCACCCAGACTCAGAGAATGTTAGAACTTTAGTGAACCTTGAGAAAATTTAATCCAATCTCCGCACATTATGTGTGAGGAAGTTTCCTGATGATTATCACTCAGAAATGTCTTCTAAAGCCACATTCTTCTCTTGGTCTGCCTCATGAAGCTCTCGTTTTATTAAACTATTAAAACAATGATCTACGCAGCATCTCTGCACTAGTTTTTCCCTATTGTAGCCAATTCCTGTTTCTAGGATTCCCTCGCAAAGGGTTCCTCCTTTTCCCATCATATCATGTTATGATAGGTATGCTTCCCAAACTCCAGGCGGGGTCAAAGAAGATACCAGTCTACTTAGCTTGGATTATCTTGGGGAAATTTACTGATCTCATGATGTCCGTTGAGATGATGTAAGCAGGCAGTGCACCAAGTGAGTTCTCTGCTATAAACATTGATAAGGATCATACAAGCTATTCCCTTCGTTACATTGAACAGCCCCTTCCTAGTTCAACTCTCTTCCATCACTGTGACAGGCCACATCATATTCCAAGCAGAGAAGCATTATATAGAGAAGTAATTCTGGAAATGTGACTGACTCTGAGCTCTGACTTTTACTTTCTGTCTCATCCATTAATTTCAGCAATGCTTCTTCACCAATCAACATTTGAGATTCCTCATCTGATTCTATATTTGAACTTTGGACATCAGAACTACAATTCAGAATCACAAGAGTTGACTCTTATAAATAGAAATAAAACACTTAATTTCCATTCCTTCCATTTATGCATCCTAGAATCAGACATAATATCAACAATATATGAATGAATACAAAAGAAAAGAAAAAAACAAAGGCTAAAATATTCCACACTTCAATGTAGAAAAGGTCAGAGTAGAGTTAGAATATGAGAAATTGGCATTCACCGACTAATGGGTAAATAACGAAATGAAGGCAGAAATAAAGATGTTCTTTGAAACCAATGAGAACAAAGACACAATGTACCAGAATCTCTGGGACACATTTAAAGCAGTGTGTAGAGGGGAATTTATAGCATTAAATGCCCACAAAAGAAAGCAGGAAAGATCTAAAATCAATACCCTAACATCACAATGAAAAGAACTAGAGGAGCAAGAGCAAACAAATTCAATAGCTAGCAGAAGGCAATAAATAACTAAGATCAGAGCAGAACTGAAGAGATAGAGACAAAAATCCCTTCAAAATATCAATGAATCTAGGAGCTGGTTTTCTGAACAAAATTGATAGACTGCTAGCAAAACTAATAAAGAAGAAAAGAGAGAAGAATCAAATAGACACAATAAAAAATGATAAAGGGGATATCACCACCGATCCTGCAGAAATACAAACTACCATTAGAGAATACTATAAACACCTCTATGCAAATAAACTAGAAAATCTAGAAGAAATGGACAAATTCCTGGACACATACACCATCCCAAGACTAAACCAGGAAGAAGCCGAATCTCTGAATAGACCAATAACAGGCTCTGAAATTGAGGCAATAATTAATAGCCTACCAACCAAAAAAAGTCCAGGACCAGACAGATTCACAGCTGAATTCTACTGGAGGTACAAAGAGGAGCTGAAAGTATTCCAATCAATAGAAAAAGAGGGAATCCTCCCTAACTCATTTTATGAGGCCAGCATCATCCTGACACCAAAGCCTGGCAGAGACACAACAAAAAACAGAATTTTAGACCAATATCCCTGATGAATATCGATGCAAAAATCCTCAATAAAATACTGGCAAACCGAATCCACCAGCACATCAAAAAGCTTATCCACCACGATTAAATCAGCTTCATCCCTGGGATGCAAGGCCGGTTCAACATATGCAAATCAATAAATGTAATCCATCACATAAACAGAACCAATGACAAAAAAAAAAAACCACGATTCTCTCAATAGATGCAGAAAAGGCCTTTGATAAAATTCCACAGCCCTTCATGCTAAAAACTCTCAATAAACTAGGTATTGATGGAATGTATCTCAAAATAATAAGACCTGTTTATGAAAAACTTGCAGCCAATATCATACTGAATGGGCAAAATCTGGAAGCATTCCCTTTGAAAACCGGCATAAGACAAGGATGCCCTGTGTCACCACTCCTATTCAACATAATGTTGGAAGTTCTGGCCAAGGCAATCAGGCAAGAGAAAGAAATAAAAGGTATTCAATTAGGAAATTAGGAAGTCAAATTGTCCCTGTTTGCAGATAACATGATTTTATATTTAGAAAACCCCATCGTCTCAGCCCAACATCTCCTTAAGTTGATAAGCAACTTCAGCAAAGTCTCAGGATACAAAAACCAACATGCAAAAATCACAAGCATTCCTATACACCAATAACAGACAAACAGAGAGCCAAATCATGAGTGAACTCCCATTCACAATTGCTTCAAAGAGAATAAAATACCTAGGAATCCAACTTACAAGGGATATGAAGGACCTCTTCAAGGAGAATTACAAACCACTGCTCAAGGAAATAAAAGAGGACACAAGCAAATGGAAGAACATTCCTTGCTCATGGATAGGAAGAATCAATACCATGAACATGGCCATACTGCCCAAGGTAATTTATAGATTCAATGCCATCCCCATCAAGCTACCAATGACTTTCTTCACAGAATTGGAAAAAAATACTTTAAAGTTCATATGGAAGCAAAAAAGAGTCCGCATTGCCAAGACAATCCTAAGCAAAAGGAACAAAGCTGGAGTCATCACACTACCTGACTTCAAACTATACTACAAGGCTACAGTAACCAAAACAGCATGGTACTGGTACCAAAACAGTGATATAGACCAATGGAACAGAACAGAGGCCTCAGAAATAACACCACACATATACAACCATCTGATCTTTGAGAAACCTGACAAAAACAAGAAATGGAGAAAGGATTCCCTATTTAATAAATGGTGCTTGGAAAACTGGCTAGCCATATGTAGAAAGCTGAAACTGGATCCCTTCCTTACACCTTATACAAAAATTAATTCAAGATGGATGAAAGATTTTAATGTTAGACCTAAAAACCCTAGAAGAAAACCTAGGCATTACCATGCAGGACATAGGCATGGGCAAGGACTTCATGTCTAAAACACCAAAAGCAATGGCAACAAAAGCCAAAATCGACAAATGGCATCTAATTAAACTAAAGAGCTTCTGCACAGCATAAGAAACTACCATCAGAGTGAACAGGCAACCTACAGAATGGGAGAAAATTTTTGCAATCTACCCATCTGACAAAGGGCTAATATCCAGAATTTACAAAGAACTTAAACAAATTTACAAGAAAAAACAAACAACCCCATCAAAAAGCGGGCAAAGTATATGAACAGATACTTCTCAAAAGAAGACATTTATGCAGCCAACAGACACATGAAAAGTGCTCGTCATCACTGGCCATCAGAGAAATGCAAATCGAAACCACAATGAGATAACATCTCACACCAGTTAGAATGGGGATCACTAAAAAGTCAGGAAACAACAGATGTTGGAGAGGATGTGGAGAAATAGGAACACTTTTACACTGTTGGTGGGAATGTAAATTAGTCCAACCATTGTGGAAGACAGTGTTGCAATTCCTCAAGGATCTAGCACTAGAAATACCATTTGATCCAGTGATCCCATTACTGGGTATATACCCAAAAGATTATAAATCATGCTACTACAAAGATACATGCACACATATGTTTACTGCGGCACTATTCACAATAGCAAAGACTTGGAACCAACCCAAATGTCCATCAATGATAGACTAGATTAAGAAAATGTGGCACATATACACCATGGAATACTATGCAGCCATAAAAAAGGATGAGTTCATGTCCTTTGCAGGGACATGGATGAAGCTGGAAGCCATCATTCTCAGCAAACTATCACAAGGACAGAAAACGAAACACCTCATGTTCTCACTCATAGGTGGGAATTAAACAATGAGAACACTTGGACATATGGTGAGGAACATCACACACTGGGGCCTGTCAGGGGGTGGGGACATTCCATGCTCATGGATGGAGCTGGGGAAGGAACAGCATTAGGAGAAATACCTAATGTAAATGATGAGTTGATGGATGCAGGAAATCAACATGGCACACGTATACCTATGTAACAAACCTACACGTTGTGCACATGTACCCTAGAACTTAAAAGTATTATAATTTATAATAAAGTATAAAAACGTAAAGAATAATAAAAAAGATTAAACATAGTTATCATATGACCAGCAATTCTACTCTTTGTTGTATACCAAAGATAAATGAAAGCATTTGTCCATACAAAATCTTGAACATGAATGTTTATAAGCAGCATTATTCATAATAACCAACAAGTGGAAAAAAACAAAATATCCATCAACCAATGAATGAATATACAAAATACATAGCCATACAATGGCATATTATTTGGCAATAAAAAGGAAGGAAGTACTGATACATGCTGCAACATGAATGAACCTTAATATCATTCTCATGAAGTCACACCAAAAGGGACACATATTGTATGATTCCATTTATATGAAATGTCCAGAACATGCAAATATGTGGAGGCAGAAAGTAGAGTCATGGTTGCCAGGGCTCAGTCGGATGGGGTAAAAATGTGCCAAAATTAAATGTGGTGATGCTTGCACAACTCTGTGAATATAATAAAAACCATTGAATTGTACACTTTAAATAGGTAGATAGTAGGGTATGTGAATTATATCTCAATAAAGCTGTTACCAAAAAAAGGAGAAATTGGCATTCACAAAACTAATTTGTCTCCATTAATATGAATTGAGTTCTGAAATATTTTTTGATTTCTTCATACTCATATAACCAAATTCAGAAACTTAAATTTTACAAGTCAGTCTTCCCAAGTTTATTCTCAAGGTTATTTTTAACTTTTTTTAAAAAAATCCTTGTACTTTATAAATTTGTTTTGTAATTTAATATTTTAAAATACTGTCCCTCATTAAAATTTATTATTCAAAAGCAAAATTAAAATAATGTACTTTTTGGAAAACATCCTGCTATTTTTAAAGCTTGCCTTCACTTTATTAAAATTTGTTTCATTGCTCTCTCCCTGTCTGTTTCAATGAGGAATAAAGTTCTTAGCATAATGTCTGGCAAAAATTAGATGCTGAAATATTAGTTGAATGGGTTCTATGTATAATCTAAGTTTTGTCTTCTGAGACAACAGGGGAAGGAACTTATGTAATAGCAACATGTTGGTAGTCTATACTTTATAGAGTTTCATAATCTAGTTTAATTCTCAGATAATCATATAAAGTGCTGCCATTATTGTGTTTATTTACAAAACTAGGAAACTGAATTTCTTGTTTGCCTAAGAGGAAAGAACCAAAACATGGGTCTATGTCACATGGCTCTCAACAATAAAATATTTCAAGAATTGTGTCAGTACTTCAAGGTATTTATCTTATTAATGTCACATGACAGCCTTATTATTAATATGTAGAAAGTAATTTGAGTTGTATTAGTCAAGGTTCTCCAGAAAAACAGAACCAATAGGATAGAAATATACATGTGGATATAGACACAGGAGAGGAAATTTATGAGGGGCATTGGCTCACATGATTATGGAGGCTAAGAAGTCCCAGGATATGCTGTTTGCAAGCTGGAGAATTTGGGAAGCTGATAGCATAACTCAAAGTCTGAGAAAGTCTTAATCAGGCTTGGGAACCTGAGGGACACTGGTGCAAGTCTCAAAGGCTGGAGAACCTGGAGTTCTGATGCCCAAGGGTAGAAGAAGACGGGTGCCTCCACTCCAGAAAAGTGAGAGAGGGCACATTTGCCTTTGCTCTACCTTTTTGTTTTATCCAGGCCCTCAGCTTATTGAATCATGCCCACCCACATTGGGTAAGAATGAATCTTCTTTGGTCTACTGATTCAAATGCCAATCTCTTCTGAAAATGCTGTCACAGATATTGCCAGGAATAATGTTTTACCAGCTGTCTTGGAATCCCTTAATCCAGTCAAGTTGACATGTAAAATTAATCATCACAGAGGTTTATATAGGTTAAGTGATATGTCCTGAGTGATACAGGTCCAAGTATAGGGGCTGGGTTTCTAACAGTTCTGTTCAGAACCCACAGCACTCTTAATCATTCTGATGTCTTCATAATAGAGATGATGGCAGTGGCATGTAGCTTGGGGGGAGTGTCTTCAAATCTAGCTACTCTGATGCTCAAGAAGTTAGAAAGAGATTTTCTTTTAGAAACATATGAGTAATGCGGTACCTTTTTTGGAAATATATATTCATTGTGTTATTCCTTATGCATTCCTTATTACTTTATTTTAAGCAGTCCCCAAATGACTTTTATTTGGTCATGAAATAAAGACCATGTTCCTCATCCTGGTAATTAAGCATAGGTTCAATGTGCTTCCATAAATTTTACTACTCTTTATTCTCAACTGTATGCTTTGGCCTTTTTTTCCTCAAATACTCAGAGCTTTTCCCACTCAATTGTTAGGTGGTTTATGCCATTGTCGTGCCTGGAATGCCTTAATTTATCAATTGGAGCTTCTCCTATTCTCCAAGATCAGACAAATGCTATGCTAATAAATATCTCATAGAATTTGACATTGTTTCATAATTACAAGATTTTAGGTAGAATTATAGTTTCTTTGAATGGCAGGTCACGACACAAAAGATATTGGATAAATGAAAGTCAGAACTCCTTGTTACTTCCAATTGCAAATGAGAGAAGGCTGAGTCACACAAGGGGTTGCTCCCAGGGACAAGGTAACAGACAGCTAGAGGCAGCTTAAGTATGGCAAGCCAGGTGGGGTTAGCTAGGTTTTTCTGGCTTCCTGTGGATAGGTGAAATTGAATCATCTTGTGGGCCCCAGTGACACAGAGGCTATCCCTTAATTGTCTGTACCTAGCCCTAGGGCATAGCAGCCCCAGAGTGAGAGAACTTGAGAAGGGATTTAGTTGGAGTGTAGGCTTAATAAAGAAGGGAAACTGACCTGCCTCTGGCCAGAGACTCAAGACTGGGTCAAACAGCATTAAAAACAAATAAGGAAATACAAACTCTATTAAGGTATATTCTGAGTCTATGTCTGGTCTAGCAGTGGGTTTGGGAAATGCTGTTTGAGTTTCATTTCACATAGTATCCATTTTATATGATAAAATTCATATGACATCTGAATTTTATGGACCATTACTGGGTGGTGTATCTTCCTGTCCTCCTACACCTGGAACATCTAAAATACTAGAAGAGATTTTCTTCAGTCCCTGCTGGTACTGGCTCTCTCGCACTAGATCAGTTACGACCTTCCAAAAAGCTATCTAGACTACTCAGGATAAGAGGCCCATGAATGAGAGGACAATTGCACGGATTCTGCAGTTTCCTCGGCATTAGAGAATTATCACTCCTTTTCTGTGGGTCACTGTCATAAGTTTCTCTTTCGCTGGTTTTCTCTCTCAACCACTGTCATTTCTCCTTCTCACTAAATCCTCCTGGGGCCTGTGTGTGCCTCTGCCTGTCAAAGACTTTTTTTAGTACACTCTCAAATTGGGATCTTATGCAAGAGGAAAAAAGGAATAGGAATATGGAGAAGTCTAGCAAGGAAGGAAGATTCCAGTGTTATCATTGCATTTATTCAGGTTTCTGGGCAATTTAGCAGGTTCTCTCTGGCAAGATTTTATAGTGATTGAAGTTCCATTATGCAAAGTTACCAGTACGTTACCAAAATGACAGTTCTAAGAGTAAATAATTAAATTTCTGATTCTAATTAAGATTCTGAATCTTCCAAAGATTTACATTTTATTTTTGACATAAAGTAGATTTTATTTTTAAATTCAATTTTACTTACCATATGAGGATATGTTAATAGATGCCAAACAGTTTTTGGTTTGGTATATAATGATGGAATACTATGTGATAAAAAAAATTCCAGCAGACTTGGTAATTAAAAAAAAGTTATTAAAAAAAAAAGCCTAACCTTGCTCAATTTTGCATTCTATGAAGCAATACTTTTGTTCTCTTTTTCCCTCCATATCACTTCTATGTCCTCCAAGGACTACTAGATAATCCTTAATGGATTTCAACTCAGATATTCCCCACTAGCATCCAAAGGGAGTTTTCAAAATGATTTGTCCTTCTTGGTCCTAAATTCAGAATCCATTGAAATAGTGTGAATATTTCTCTGGCATTGACTCAGTCTTATTATTTAAAAATCTGAGAAGCCAAATTTCTGACTGACTATAAAGCAGGTAAAATGAAGGGAAGAGCATCTGGTGAATGAAGAGAGCTATTGTAGAAACTCAATTTACTCCTACCAGACAGATTCACTCTCATTCCTTCCACATTGACTGTTGCCCACAGTACAAGAAAGGAGCTAAACTGACATGCCAACTCTCAGTCCACATCTTTCCCCAGTGACAAGTTGTGTTCTTCACCTGTGCCAACTGGATTTGTTTTCAAACAGTTTTAGATTAGTAATATCCGTTATTATAAATACAAACTAATAAAATAAAATGTAAACTAATGAAATATTAGTGCAATAGACTATACACTTAAGTTGTTTTCTAGAAAGTTATCTTGGATATGGGAAAAACTCAATACATCTGAGTTAGTTAAAATAAAATAAATGTGATAAACATTGCTACCATATTGGGTAGATTAAAGGCACCTGAAAAAGATAATAGGAAATGATAAAAATTTATAAGGATTCTGTATTCAGATTGCTTAACAAATGCCTTTAACTTTTCACTCCACTTTGAAGAAACCAAAACTAGATATCATACATTATGCATGACAAGTGTGGTTTATGACAGAAAATAATGTAGGACTCTATTTAGAGGACTTAAATAGAAAATGACTTCAACTAAATTGGCAGGTGATTATATATTTACATCATTCACATAAAAATGCATTGTGACATTATATATTTTTCATTCTATGTGTGTATATATATACATATGTATATGTGTTATATACTTTTTTTATGATACCCAACTTCAGTTGATGATTTTTTTCTATTTGCAGAGCAACTACTGGCCCTGATCATGTCAGGTAACAATTAATAAAAGGTATCTTTTTTTGAGCACACACTCTGTGATATACAAGACGCTCACTGGCACATATCAACTCATATAATTCTCATAGCAACCCTGTTATTGCCACCTTTTACACATGAGGAAACTGAGGCATAGAGAAGTTAAGTAATCAGCTCAATGTCTTATGGCTATCAAATGCTGAAGCTTTGATTCAAACATAGGCAGTATGATCCCACAGTTCATGAACTAAACCTGCATCTATAGTTTATGTTTTCCTATATAAATATATTGATAAATCACTGTCCTTTTAATCCATTTATGCCGGAGGTTGCAAATTTTATTTGTGAAAAATCAGACTTTGGTGATGACCTTGAACAGTAGGATATAAATAACTGCCACAAGCTTAGCGTTCCAATAATGGAACACTAGGCATAAACAAGTCAAGTTGAACAAATGAATGAATCAGCATGTGAAATTGCATCTATAGTTAGTAAATTATCCCAGTGCTGCCCACTGAAAATTAGCCCTAAGTTCATATTCTCCTACAAAATAATTTGCATTAACTTCTAAGTGCATTCCATTTGCTCAGGATAATTTTTATCTTTTAAAAAATGTCCTAGCGTATTTTGACTAACATCTTACTCTTAATTTCTAATTCCTTAGCCTCGGACACTTCTTTAAGGCTTCTTCTGAAGTGTTAGAAGGTCTCTGGCATATCTAAACTCTTTTCTTTCTCCATAAAACTCAACTGTATTTACAGCAAAGTTCAACTGAGCTCCCCAGCACTAGGAGCCACACACTGTCCAAGAGAAGAAATGGGATAACAGCATCTTGGGCCAAAATACACCATCAAAGTTAGCCCAGCTCAGGAAAGCTTGGTGTGTCCCTGATCTCCATTACTGCATCCTCAGTACATGGATTCAGGATGCCACTGGGGCCACCAGCCTGCTGACATGCCTGCCATAAATTGATTAGACAAAAAGTAGACAAAAGATAATTTTTATCTTCTGTTTTTAAAATCTAAATGTATTCTTTCAAAACTCCCAGGAGTAGACCCTGTATGTACTACCCTATATGTAACTCCGTTAAATTCAAAATATCTACTGACTAACAGTTCTCCTGTGTTTGTTCCAGTCAGCTCTAGGAATGGGTTTTCTAAAAACTTGCAAATATATTTTGATTATGAACAGAGGGAAAAGTGCAGGCAATTCTCCTAAGTCAAGAGGTTTCATTAATGAGTACTAAACTTTAAAATGCAAGATCATGTCATTTTCAGGGACATGGATGAAGCTGAAGGCCATTATCCTTAGCAAACTGGCACAGGAACAGAAAACCAAATACCGCATATGCTCAGTTATAAGTGGGAGCTAAATGATAAGAACACTTGGACACATAGAGGGGAACAACACACACTGGGGCCTTTTGGAGGGTGGAGGGTGGAGGGTGGAGAGAACCAGGAAAAACAGCTACTGGGTACTAGGCTTAGTACCTGGGTGATGAATTAATCTGTACAACCAACCCCCATGACACAAGTTTACCTCTGTAACAAACCTGCACTTGTATGCCTGAACTTAACATAAAAGTTAAAAATATATTACTTTTAATAATCTGAAGTGTAGCCTTAAGTAGATATAAGAAAACTACTTTTCTTCATTACCTATAGGTGTTCTGTTAATTTGATACACTTAATAAACCAAGAGAAAAAGAGTCACAGCATTAGCGATTTATGTAGTCATGATAAACCTCTCTCAATTTTTGCCTGCTGAAACATGAATGTAATATGTTAAGGAGTGTGTTTTTGTAAGAAAATTACATGAACAATAGCAAGATATATTGATTATATTCTTTTTTTTTTTTTTTTTTTTTGAGACAAAGTCACTCTTGTTACCTAGGCTGGAGTTCTGTGGCGTGATCTCGGCTCACTGCAACCTCCACCTCCCGGTTGAAGTGATTCTCCTGCCTCAGCCTCCTGAGTAGCTGGGATTACAGGCACCCGCCACCACACCTGGCTAATTTTTGTACTTTTACTAGAGATGAGGTTTCGCCATGTTGGCCAGGCTGTTCTCGAACTCCTGACCTCAGGTGATCCACCCTCCTCTCCCTCATGCTGATCTCTGATTCTAATAGAGTTGGGCATATCCCATTGTTTTTTCTTTCTTTGTATTCCTACCCTTAACTTCAGGCACTGACTCTGTTATAGAAGTTTATAGCAGAGTGGGATAACTAAAACCCCAACTTTTCCACCAGAGGACCAAAAAGAACTCCAGGGAACTCAAAAGTACTAAGAAAATCATGGAGAGGGAGGAATGCAAGGAAATGAACCCATAAAGATTTTTTGAACTCCTGAACATTCCCAACCTGCTCCTGCATGAATCAGATCCTATTCACTATACCAAAGCCATTGAGGACTGAATTGACAGACTATCAGCTAGTCTTCACTGGGTGTAAAGAAGACCTAGATTCTCATAACATGATACTCAAAATGTCCAGATACGATCAAAAATCACTTGGCATACAAAATAATTAGGGAACTCTCAACTCATATGGGTAAAGACAAAGAGACAATCAGTAGACTTCAGCACCAAAGTGGCACAGATGTTGAAATATTCTGACAAAGACTATAAAGTAGGTATTATAAAAATGCATCAGGAAGCAAATGTGAACACTGTTGAAGCCAACAGATATATTAAAAATCTCATCAAATAAATATAAGAGGAAAGACCAAATGAAAATTTTAGAACCAATAAACACAATGACCAAAATAAAAAAAATTCACTTGATAAGCATAACCGTAGAAGTGAGACGATAGAAAAAGAGTCAATGAACTTGAAGATACATAAATAGATGTAAATAATCCAACCTGAAAAACAGTGAGAACAAAACGAAAAATAACTCCGATGTTCCTTTGATAAGTTTAGTAAATGTAATATAAATTCCTTCTTATTTCAGGAAGTCAACTGAAAGATCTCAGAGGCTTGTATCATGCCTATAATATAAGGAAAGGGACTCTAACCTTGTT
This sequence comes from Homo sapiens, assembly GCF_000001405.40. Taxonomy (NCBI): domain Eukaryota; kingdom Metazoa; phylum Chordata; class Mammalia; order Primates; family Hominidae; genus Homo; species Homo sapiens. Next base: position 40,865,043 of record NC_000002.12, read on the forward strand.
GATTTTCTTAGTGGTAAATGATGGCCAAGCCACCTGGCCTTATCCCAGTCTGCCCTACTGACCTCTTCTGACATTTTCCCTTTCCCTGGCCTGTTAACCAGAGATGATCTCATCTACACAGCATGTTGCTGGTGGTGTATAAAAATCCCCAAGACCCTTCATTTATGTTCATGTCTCTAGCTCTCAAGCTCCCAGCTTTGATAGGTGTTTTTAGATTATTAGGCATTTGAATAGTGTGAGTACTCTTTGTTTGTTGCTTTCTGTTCCCCAGTTTTCAGCACTGCAAAACCTATTGCTGTCTCAGAGGATAGAATCCTTCTTATAGTAGTGATCTCACAATCCCACTGGCTATATTCATGATTTGCTAGCCAGAAGCAACAGTGTTCAATTCCAAGATACAATCAGTTTCCTGAGGCCAAGCCTTAGAAGGGTCTATTCAACCCAAGTCTCACTTAGGTTTTGATATCTTAGAATTTTGTTTGGCTCTTTGTCTGGGCAAGGTGCTTTGAAGAAATTCTTTGCTGATCTTGTAGCTTTAGAAAGCAGTCGTTTAGGCTGGGCGCGGTGGCTCACGCCTGTAATCCCAGCACTTTGGGAGGCCGAGGTGGGCTGATCACGAGGTCAGGAGATCGAGACCATCCTGGCTAACACAGTGAAACCCCGTTTCTATCAAAAAATACAAAAAAAATTAGCTGGGCATGGTAGCGGGTGCCTGTAGTCCCAGCTACTCAGGAGGCTGAGGCAGGAGAATGGCGTGAACCCGGGCGGCAGAGGTTGCGGTGAGCCGAGATCTCACCACTGCACTCCAGCCTGGGTGACAGAGTGAGATTCTGCCTCAAAAAAAAAAAAAAAAGAAAGAAAGAAAGTAGTTGTTTAAGCATTTCATATCGTAGTATTTTATTACTGATCTGAAGGAATCATACTTCAGCACAAATCCATATAGAATGACAAAATAGAAGTCGTTTAGTATTTTCTAATGCAGATGATGGGTTGATGGGTGCACCATGAAATGTGTATACTTACGTAACAAACCTGCACGTTCTGAACGTGTATCCCAGAACTTAAAGTATAATAATAATAATAATAAAATCATTTCGTATTTTAAGGAGATATTCTTGCTGACAATAGTTATCTTGTTCCTCTCTCTGTAAGTTTTAGTTAAAGCTCCTTTTTAAATATCAGATAAGCATTTCCCATGGATCCTGTTGGTACCTCAGCCTTACACTTTAGGTGTATATTTTCTCAGATTCTCTCTTATTTGTTAATCAAGAGGTTTCCAGGGACTTTTGTAATGAATCTTTACATAATGACACTCTCAAATGTGAACTGAGGAGTAAGTTATAAATTCTTCTTTTAAAATTTTTTGAGTATTTAAACATTTTGTGGGTACATAGTAGGTGTATATATTTATGGACTACATGAGATATTTTGATAAAGGCATGCAATGTGAAATAAGCACATCATAAATTCTGATCACCCCAAAATAACGTCACATTAAGCAGCTTATTTTTCCATGTTTTCTGATTATTCTTTATTCTCTGCAGGTTTTGTCAACTAAGAACAGTCCAGCTGAAAACTAAAACTTTGCTCATGCTGCATAAAATTCTTTAGGATTTACATGGCTAGATTACTGAAGTGGTACTTGAAGAGCTTTTAATATTTTCCTGCTGTAAAACACATACAAAATCTATGTGCTTTTTTTGGCTACACTTCCCTGCTTCTGCAATTAATGCAACAAAGCATAGCCATAGTTGCTTGGTGGAAAGTGCTGCAGTTGCAGGAATCTGCAGATTTTCACCATGTTTTGCAGTGCACTCAGGAAGTCTCGTTATGTCAAGATGAGAAATGGTACAAGCATTTGTAAGGCCACAGTCTTATGCAGAAATTAGGCTTAAATTTTAATTTTGTACTTATTTTGCTAGAAAAAATTTAATTTGGGTTTTTTATTTTTTAAAAACACTAGCAGCATCAACAACATCCCATCTTGCTTACAGTTCCTGCTATTCTCGAATACAGTGGCACCCCATTAATTTTAGTTCTTTAGTGCAGTGTTTCTCAAACTGTTGTCTTCAGACCACAGGCGTCAGAATCATCTGGACTTCACCACTCATCGATTGAATCAGAATTTTTGTAGGTTATAAAACACATTTTACACACTCCAAGGTGATTCTTAAGCCAATAGCTACAGAATCCCTACCCCTGAGTAAGAAAAATATTATGTTTCAGGGCCACAGAAACAATGACCAATCTCATCAAAGCTATGCAAGTAATGTCTGAAAAACAAGACATTATATACAAGAATATCCATCAGAGACAAAGAAAAGGCAATCAATGTCCTAAAAACTGGTAAATATTTTGCCTCCTGTATGAAAAATAATATAGTAGAATCAAAAGTGACCTTAGATATCACACAGTCCAAACCTGGCATTATATGACTGAGGCAACTGATAGCAGCAGCTGTCGTTTATTGAACACTTACTGTGTGCAAGGCATTGTAGTAAGCACTTTAGAGAAAAATATTTGATTTAATCTCTGTTGCTCAAAGAGTTGAAGAGGATTTAAAGTTATTAAGTATGTTATCAGCAAAGATGGGGTCAGACTCCAGATCTCAAAAAAATAGTTGCATTCTTATTTCACCTCATAGCTTCTTCCCAAAGATAGATGGATCCTAACCCATTATATGTGCCCCTTAAAATGGGTTGCAAGTACTTACATTACAAGTCAGTTTTACAAAATACTTGCCATCTATTTACTCGCTCATTTTCTAGTGAAAGAAGAAAGATATAGGATTCTGTAAAATGTCATACTTTCACCTTATTCACAGTCCAACCACAAAGAACATTATATTGCATTAAAATAAAATGACCAGAAAACTCCAGATGTAAAGTTTTATGTGAAGAGTGCCAAGGATATTGGAATCCATTTCTTTCTCCATGATTTATGCTTAATTTTGTAATGAAATATTTACATCATGATCTCAAGCAGTAATTTAATTGTACATTCAGTACCGTGTGGGATTCCGGAGCAGGCGATGTGCTTGCTCATTATCTCTAGTGATCTGTTTGTGTGTGGGCTGTGTACCTATGCTTCATCCCGTCATTTGTCCAGCATCCTTGTATTTTCTATTTTCTACAAAACTTGTCACTTATTTAAGTTTGCATGAATGTGTAAGATCAAAAAGCTACGTCATTCCTTTATATTCTCTTGTGGCAGACTCCAGACATGGAGATAAAGTAATTCTGTCTAGCTCCTCATCGCTTTCAGAAAATATGCCATATAAAAGGATTTTGGGAGAAGGAGAATGTACAATATTTTAAAAATATAACGTTTTTTGAAAAAAGAAAAGAATATGGGGATAAATCTCATTAAAAAATAAATTCCTTATACAAATACACATAGATGACTTATTTTCATTTGATACATTTTTAAAATAAAAATTTAAATCTGGTTTATATGTTGGAATGTTGATTAATAGTCATTTTAGAAATGGTTATATTATTATAGCTGAATAGTGTCCTCTGCTATTTCAGTAAGAAAGAAGAGACATATTCTCTACCATGTATTCACTCGATATATTGTTTGAACCAAAGTAAGTTTTATTAAATTATGAACAGCTTTAGCGCTCATATCTGCTGTTTTTTTTCCTCTACCTATTTCCTCATTTTTTTCCGTAAATATTCTATGAATTTAAGGTGCTTGACTGCTTTTAACAGCATCTAATCACTTGCCCACATTGCAACCATATATACTATTGTGAAGGTTCTGGCCAGAGTTGTATTTTTTAATAGTCATTGAAGCAAACTATGAAATAAGAATCATTTAATGCAATTAATTTTATTATTATTACTAAACCTGTACAGAGAAGTAACACGAAAACCTAAATGAATATAACAAATATTTGTTGTGTTTTTCCTGGTGATTTAAAATTGATACAATTTGAAAAGGAGGAAGTTCAGCTTTCTCAGGTATCTGTTTAGTGCTCCAGGGCATTTCATTGAGACAGTAATTTCTACTGTCCATTTTTCTTCTGAAACCATATTTTTCTATGTTGAATTATGATGTCCCCAAGAATCCTGGAAGAATGTAAGACAGGTATGCACAAGGAAGATGACCTACCTGTACCTTCCTGCTTTCTGTTTCATCGCCATCACTGCCTTGTCATTGGGATCAAAATAATGAAATGAAAATGGCTCATTCATTCTGAGGATGGTTTCTGTTTCTTGTTTGTCATTGTTGTTTGTTTGTTTGGTTTTGGTTTTTAATTTAATGTCATGTATATTTTTCCCTATTTAAATAGACTTTGTTTCTTAAAGCAGTTTTATGTTCACAGCAAAATTGAGCAGAAAGTGCAGGGTAACCTCTCTTCCCTGACTCTCCACATAGCCTCTCCCATTATCAACATCCCGCACAAGAGTTGATCATTTGTTAAAACTGATGAACCTAAGTTGCCACATTGCCAGTCAAAGCCCATAGTTTACATTAAGGTTCACTCTTGGTATTGTACATTCTATGAGTTTTAACAAATGTAAAACAACATAGCCACCATTATAGTGTCATATAGAATATTTTCACTGCCCTAAAAATCCTCTGTGCTTCATCTATTCATCCATTCTTCAGTCTCAACCCCTGGCAGTTACTTATATTTTTACCGCATCCATAGTTTTGCTTTTTCCAGAATATCATATAATTGGAAACATACTGTATGTCTTCTCATGGCTTAACAGCTAATTTCTTTTGATATTGAATAATATTTAATTTTCTGGATGCATCATAGTTTTGTTTTTCATTCACCTACTGGAGAACATCTGGATTGCTTCCAAATTCTGGCCATTATGAATAAAGCTAAGATAAACATCTGTGTACAGTTTTTTTTGTTTGTTTGTTTTGTTTTTGTTTTTTTGTAAACATATGCTCCTTGGTAAATGCCAAAGAACGTTAAAAGGAGCATGTTTTCTGGATCATATGGTCAGAGTATCTTTAGTTTTACAAAAAATGGGGCCAAAATAGCTATGCCACTTAGCATTCCCATCAGCAAATAATGAGAGTTTCTGTTGCTTCATATTCTTGTCAGCATTTGTTGTCAGTGTTCTGGGTTTGGGTCATTCTAATAGCTGTGTAGTAGTATCTAACTGTTTTAGTTTGCATTTCCCTAATGACATACGACATGATGCATCTTTTCAGATGCTTCTTTACCATCTGTATAACTTCTTTGGTGAGGTGTCTGTTCAGATGGCTTCAGTTTTTTCTTTCCTGTTCCCAGTGTTATCACCGTAGTTCAGGCCCTGAGCTTTTTCCATCTGGACACTATGATCACATAAACATAATATTGTTTCTTTCTCATAATTATTATTAAAAATTATTATTATGGAAAAAGTATTAAAGGGAAGAAAATAAAATTCACCCACAATCTCACCTACTATCCCATGTATCTCAGATTTTACCAGCTCATCACTACTAGTTATGTCACAATGCTTTTTATATCAAATTATTATAGCTCAGGCCTCATTGTCCCATTTTTTGATATTAGCTACCATCTCACTTTCTTCTAGATATTTCTCCATGAAGTTGCCTGGTATGGCTTGGCTGTGCTCCCACCCAAATCTCATCTTGAATTGTAGCTCCCACAATTCCCCTGTGTCATGGGAGGGATCAAGCAGGAGATAACTGAATCATGTGGGAGGTTTTCCCCATACTGTTCTCCTGGTAGTGAATAAGTCCCATGAGGTCTGGTCATTTTATAAGGAGCTCCCCTTTCATTTGGTTCATTCATCCTCTCTTGTCTGCTGCCATATAAAACATGCCTTTTGCCTTCCGCCATGATGGTGAGGCCTCCCCAGCCATGTGGAACTGTGAGTCCATTAAACCTCTTTTCTTTGTAAAATAAATCTTGGGTATGTCTTTATCAGCAGCATGAGAACAGACTAATACACTGCCACCTTGCAGAGAAGTCTTCCATTCCCTTCTGATGCTGCTCTTGACCCCAGGCCTGTGTGAAGGAATTTTGCTGTCACCTGTGCTGTTTTTGGCAATGCCTTATTCCCCACTCCATATCCAAAGCATGGACACAAAAACTGAGACCAAATATTGTATATTTAAAGGGGCTTCCCTGGACGTCAGGAAATAATGTAAGGGAAATGGAATTCAAATAGTAACTGAGAGCTACTCTATTTCCTTCTATAAGCTAATTCCTTGAAAAGAGTCTCAGCTCTATCCCTCCCAAATTTCCTCTATTCCCTGCCATTAGAACCACTTACTACCCCTCTACAACTCAGAAAATGACCTATTACAGTGTTAAAGCACAGTAAGCTTTTATTTTGTTTTATGTGTCATGGGACAGGGTGGATTTTTTGTTTGTTTTTGTTTAAAGAAGGACCGTAATGGTGTGATATTAATCATATTTCTCTTCTAATAAGTCTATAATCCTATTTCTAGTGCTTTATCCAAGATACAGAATATATGAATATTTTCTAAACAATCAGATATAAAATAGTATTGACACTGTCTTGAAGAAGTTCATCTTAAGTTTTCATCCAAGGACAGATTTTGTGTTTATTCCTCTCTGTAATTCAATTGTTAACAAGACACCATGGAAGTAAAACCAAATGAACCAGGCTTTCTGTACTCAATTGGTCTCCCTATAAAGATTCTTGTATTTTCTGGTGCATTCTAAATTAGACACTACACTCAAACTTTAGAGTTATGGAAAAATCAATTATTAATTAAAAGATATATGCAGAAAAACAGAAATCTAATTTTTTAGGTAAACTTTTTCTTCCAAAAATACAATTTTGTAATGACCTAAATAGTACTACTTGAACTACCTAATTTACTTATGTGGGTATTGAGGGGATTCAAAATCAGTATAAAATACGAGTGCTTGGTTATTGAATGGGAGAACAATTACTGTTTCTTTTTGCTGTTCAGAAGAAAATAAAAGGTGCCGTTCTGTCTGATCAAACACGTGAGTCACATAGGTAATGATACACTGAAGAAGTTTAAAAAAACACAATTTTAAAAAGATTCCTAAAAGTGCCCTCTGAAGTTACATAAATGCCTATTTAGGAACTGAAACATCAAGATTAAATAGCAGCAAACTGTTTTATCCTAGTAGCAACCCAATCTTCATTGTTTGCTGCTTTCAGCGTTGTTTTTAACAAGTTGGTGTGTATATGTGCAAATGATCCAAGTGACCTAGTGAATTAACAAGTGGTAACTCCTTGGATAAAAGTCCCCCCAAAAGACAGTATATTATATATACAAAGGGCAAGGCTGTGTTGTTCACCAGCCTCAGGTCTTTCTTTCCCTTCCCTCCTTAAAGAAGCATAACAAAATTGTCCACAATGCAATATGTTCGTGATGACTATATATTCAATTACTTCTGAAAAGCCTTTGTGTAAGCGGAAGCCTAATCATTTCATGAGTGTGGAGATTCACTAAGCAAAAATAAATTCACTCAAAGCATGCCGTGTTAAGAAAAAGGAAGCCAATTTAGCAAAACAACACAAGAAGGAAAGGCAGTAAGGAGAAAATAAAAAGAGGAGTGAAGATCAAGTGGATCGTTAGAACAGTTCCACTTCCTTTAAAAAGATGTCCTTCAAAAGTACAAATGAATCTTCTTAAAAAAGAAAACAAGTAAGAGCTTTCTGCAAATGTTGAATCATATTATAGACGGGACTCCAACTGAGAATATATTTATACAGTTTAAGTGTATGTAATGACCTCATCTGCTAAAGGTGCTTTCATTTTTAAAACTCCTTCTGTCCCCTGGTGATACTGAGCTATCCTATACATTATTCAAAGCTTAGTAGAGGGATATTAATCACATTCTCTGCAATGTTTTGAATTAACAGGAAAATAAAATAAACTCTTTATGTAAAGAGTTTTCACCCAAGGACAAATTTTGTTTTTATTCCTTTCTATAATTCAATTGTTAACAAGACATCACTGAACTAAAACCAAATGAACCAGGTATTTTGTACTCAACTGATTTCCTTATGAAACTTCTTATGTTTTTATAGTTCATTAAAAATTACAAATTGTAGTCAAACTTTAGAGTTATTGAAAAATCAATCATTAATTAAAAGATATGCACAGAAAATACTCATACCCCCTGAAGGTTTAAGTAAAACAATGATACAGCCATTATTATAGTGACTACAAATATAGCGACTACAAAATAAACAAATATGGGTGAAGCCTGAAGGCTGGACCCTATTCTGACTCCCCAAATGCATGTCTGTGGCTTTTGTGACTGAAGACAAGGTAATGGCACAGTCTTAAGCCTCAGAGGACTGGTGTAGGGCCTCCTTGAGAGTGGAATTCAGGTCCCAGAGTAGTTTTCTCATCACTAGGCAGGTATTAGGTGAATAAGAAGGAGAAAATGCCTGTCTTAATAACTGAGAAAATGTTTTCAGCCTACTCTGCTGAAGGAAATTGAGGGCAGTGAATTCTGGAGGGTTCGTAAAGAAATTCCACACCTTGAAAATAACTGAGAACAATGACAATGACATTTTTTCTTAATATCTCTATTTCCAGCAAAGAGTTTTGATTATACGAAATCAATAAATATGTATTAATAGAATATGTGTGCTGTTGTTATCCATGGACCCTAAGCTGTGTTATAATTATTCAGCTAGGCACAGTTCATTCATGTGTTCTGCCATTGACTTGACGTTATTTTTTACTGCATTATCCTGCATCTCCTCCAAACTTCATCTCTTGTTTTCCCTTTTCTCCTTCTCATTTTTGATACCTCAATTAATCATGTAATTTAATCAATTTGATCCAAAATCTGTTATCAGTAATTTATATTAGCTGAATAATTGACAGATTTTACTTTGGCAATAAATCTGTATGTATGGAGAGACTGAATAAACAAATGGACAATGACCAGTTCAACATGAAAACAGAACTCTGACCAACAACCTCTAGAACAACCACTTTGGGAAATCAAACCACAACCTCTGCAGCGTGTGGCTCAGAATAGTCAGGACTTGATCAAAAACTTCCAGCTTCCCTAATTTTTGCCCCAGCTTTCTGCTTCCAATTTAGTATGAACTAGAGAAAGCCAAAAATGCTCCCAAAACAATCTCAGAGGATGCTCCACTCCTTTCAGCCTGCCTCTAGTTTCCCCATGCCAGCAACCTCCACTATGAGCATATCTGAAGCCTTCCATTAAAAACAAACGAAAACTCTAACCTTTTCACACTTTCCTACTTGCCTGTATATCTCTCCCAAATGCAACTGATGGTGGCTGCCTTCCTTCTTATTGCAAGCTTTGCATAAATCGCCTCTGCTTGCCCTCATTTAGGTGGTCTTCATTTACTTATACAATATTATTTCTATTAGTATTTATATTGCAAACTTATTTCTTATTTACAAAATAATGCTTTGCTTCTGTTTAAAAAATAAGTCAAGTATGGACGAACAGTGAAGAGATAATCAGATTCTTGACAGATGCTTCAGCCAGGTGATACTGTAACTCTAATTTCTACAGACAATTTACCAGGACTGACTGACACAGATCTTTTCAAACTTATGATGGTATTTGACAGCTGTCGGAGCTCGGTTTACTGAAAGGGCACTTTGCTAAATAGCTGCTTTTCATCTCCTGTCTATCTATCTATCATAAATAAAAGACATTTTCTTTTCCTGTTCCTCCCTCTGCTCCAAGACTTCAAAATGTACACCAATTTCTTTTAAGAATTATTTTATCTCCTAATTAAGACAATATGTGAATTTTTACTCCCTTTATATAACATTTTAGGATGTAGCCATGAGTGAAGAAATTGAAGCTTAGAGAATGTAAGTGATTTAATCAATAGCTAGATTTGGTAAGTACCAGATGCTTGCTCTGATTTTAAAGGCCATTTTCTTTCCTCTGTCTCACTCTACTACTCATATAGCTACCCCTTCTTTTTTGTCTCTCATTTATATGTAATTATTGTTTCCTAGTGCCCACTCTTTGAAGGATACAGATTGAAGATGCTCAATATAGGTTTAATGGATGACTAAAAGAGGTATCTTTGCCTTATTTTGTTCTTAGATTTAAAACACTTTAAGGACAGAAAGCATCTTCTTACTTTATAAAACCCTGAAACAATTCAGAGTCTATGCCCTGACTTTCTAATGTAATTTTCATTCTAGCAGTTTAACACAATGAAAGTCAAGATGTGGTGTTCATCATAAATCATATATAAAAGTACACATTGCCAAAAACTACATATCCACAGTACAACTCAGTAAGACATACTAAGTCCTTACTTAATGTTATTGATAGATTCTTGGAAACTGTGACTTTAAGTAAATCAATGTGTAACAGCTCTTCAAATAACATCCTTAGTTGATGAGAAAAAATTTGGTTTCATTATATGTGTGTTGCTTAAAGTCATAATTTCCACATACTTATCAATGATTTTAAATGAGGGCTTACTATGCTTTGGTGACAGTGAAGTAATAGGGTAATTGCCTATATGCATTTTTGTTTATTCTTATTTTAGAATGAATAAGAAAAATTTAGACATTATTATGTCATTGATTATTATTGGGACTCTCTATTCAAGAGGGTTCTTGAGGCAGTACAGCCTCAACATAAACTAGAAATATGAGAGAATACTCTTCCTTGAGAAATTTAGAAAAGGGAAAACACACATCACTTATTTAACAGGTACAATATTTTAAATGTATAATACTTTAAAATGGAGGAGATAAGAGGGCATGTACGAGCAAAAAAATTGAAAGATAAACAAGCTCTAGAAAAAAATTGTGGCTGTGTTGGTAGGTTTTTGCCCACTGAGGATTTTGAAATAAAATTAAAATTGCAGAGTTGGTTATGTATTAGAGCACACAGAAGACCTTTACTTATTTACTTGCTCAAAATATGTAATGACCACCCACAGTTTTGTTAAATGTCAAGTGAAGTTGGTCCATAGATTGCCCTCATCAATACAAAGGCCTAGATTTAATAACAGTTTCCTTCTGCCCTGAGGACTCAGTAAAACTGACAGACGTTTTACAAATAATTAGTTGTATGTTTGTCTCTAGTTCTAACGCAGGAGATGATGTACATAATAATATCAGCATTCTTGGTACCAGTTGGTCTAGAATCTTTCTTAAGAAAAGAATGTGCATAAAATGACAATGCCAAACATTTCTAATAAGAGAATAAACTAGAAAACTCTTTATTTTAATCGATTCATTATGCCTTAGATAATCTGTAGAAGTGTTATTGATAGTTTAAAATTATAATAAGCTTGATTTTCTACAGATTATTATCCCATTACACATATATAGCTACCTTGTTTCATTTTACCCTCCCCAAAATTCTATGAAATGTATACAAAAGCTTTTTTTTTTTTTTTTTTTTTATAGATCACTGAAGTGAGGCTAAGAGAAATTCGGTATCTGGTCCAAGGTTACATAGCCAGTCAATGAAAGAGTCAGACTGGACCTTTTGGTTCTCCAAGGATCTTGCCCCTACCGCCTACTGAGTTAGATGTGGCCACTCTGAAATATTTGGTTCAGCATTAACTTAAATCTCATGTTTTAATATCCAAAATCAGGGAAGGGATTTAAACATATGGCATCATTATCACTAATAATTAATATAATTGTATTTATAATATACTATACCAATGTTTTGCAAACTTTTTTAAAGAAAAGAAACACTACCTGAGTATTTATTTCAAAATAAAAACACAAGTAGGTTTGCCAGGTTCAACCCAGACCTACTGAATGAAAATATTCAAAGGTGAGATTTGGTGATTTGTACTCTACTAATAACATCCCCCCAAGAGATTCTTATCTCTAGGACAACATGGGGATCAAAGGTTAAGATCAATTACAAAATAATCCAGTAGCTCAACTTAGTACATTTCTCAGTGTGGAATTATAAAATATGTTTTAAGATAATGTCATAGCAAGATATAATTTAAATAACAAAAGGCAAGAACTTTCACTCAATTGTAATCATGACTTGTTAGAGATACAAATATTTTGGGATTAGGATGGTGAAGAAAGACAAAAGTTTATAGAGTGATAAAGTAAAATGTAATTATGATGCTTAAGAGGTAAAGTCAGAGTTTCATAGTTGTCTTAAAGTATTTTAAGTATTTTCCAGGGGAAGAGAGATAGAATTGTGCTCTTTAACTAATGATGGACACATATTATATGTTCATTAGACATTAGAGAGGAATGAACGAATGGCTGATTGAATTAATAGAACCAGTGAGCAGAAGGAAAATCAAATTTATAGAGAAATAAATTCTACCTCAACTCTTGGCCAGAGCTGTTCACAGAGGTTTGAGCATCAGCAAATTGGCTTGGCTGGATTGAAAAATCAGTTAATTTTTTTTTAATATCATTGAAAAAAGTGATGGTTCTTACCAAATTTATACATCTTGCAACTAGTCTTCAAACAAAAGCTGGCCTTCAAACTAGTATTCTTACTTCTCATAAAAAGGTGAACCTAATTTTTAACATACAGATGCAATTTCAGGATGCAAGTGGTTCTGGACAGGAAAATGTCAAATATTTTACAATTAGCTATATATTTCCAAAAGTTTTTAGCATGCAGAAAACAATATTCAAAATAATGCTAATAGTTATGGCTTATTGTGTGTCTATTCTCATTTAGTAAGTATGCTGGGAGTTTCACGTGTCTCTACTACCAATAGCAAATCAGATTCTGGACGACCAAGAAATGTGGAGCTTAGAGAGTTTAGGTAGTTTGCCCACTGTCACACATATGTTAATTTGTGGTGCAGGGATTTAAAACTGTATCTGTCTTTTTTTATCATGTGTTTTTTTACTTATATGACTTTTTTTCCCTGCAGAAAGTCTTCTACTGTTACTACTCTTGGATTCATTTAGTATCATGACTCAGTATTGACTAATCAACATCCTCTAATAGGGAAATATTACACAATTTACAGCAGAATAATTATCAGTAGTTTCATTTGAGTAAAATGATATCTGAACATAGTAAATATTGAGCAAGTACTTTATTAGGGAAACACTTTACTAAAATGCCATTGTCATTCTTGGAAAATGCATACTGGCAGAAAGTCCTAAAATTCAATAGCAGACATTCTTTAAGAAGAGCTTTATTTAGAGTAAGAATATGAACTCACAATGGAATCCATGCAAGAAAGAATCAGTGAAGCAGTAAGTTTGGTGTGATGGAGAGAGAGATTTGTAGATAGCTAACACACTTTATAACAGCAACACTTTATCTGATAATCTATAAAATTATTGAAAAGGAAGAAAAGAAAGTATGCTAGTTATACAACATAGAAAATCCTACAGAAGTCAGGGGTCACTTAAGTATTTGCTTTTTATGATGTAGAAAAGATTTATTCACATATGAGCACTTCCACTCTCCTCTACCTGCAACTAAAGAGAATTTTCCTTTGGCAAGTAAATTGCTCTATCTTATCCTCTAATCTCTTTGAAAAGTTTGAACCCCTCTGTTCCTCCTGAATTGCACTCACCCTCCCAAATATATCTATCCTGAATATTATCATTTTTTTTTTGCTTGCCATTTTACTTGGACTTCTGCTATGATCTTAATGTATCCCCACCAAAATTTAGGTGTTGCCAATGTGATAGTATTGAGGCAGGGCCTGTAAGAGGTGATCAGGTCATGGAGGTGCATCCCTTGTGAATAGGATTAGGTGCTCTTATAAAAGGGCTTAACAGAGGGAGTTCTCTCCCATTTGCCCTTCTGCCTTTGGCCATATGAGGACAAAGTGTTCCTCCCGTCCAGATGATGCAACCCTCACCAGACTCCAAATACCAGTGCCTTGATCTTGAACTTGCAGCCTCCAGAACATGAGAAATTCCTGTTCTTTATAAATGACCACTCTGTGGTGTTGTTATAGCACCACAAATAAACTAAAATAACCTCATATGAATGGATCCCCAATAATTTTACTTTTTATGAAATTTATATAAAATGCATAAAAACGTCCATATTCTTTCATGGCTTGCTTGTTTTTCTTAGCATATTATTTAAGACCCCTACATATTAGTGTGTATTTCTGTAGTTCACTCATTTTCATTGCTATGTAGGGACCAATAATACACCACCAAATTGAACTACAATGCAATGTTACCAACTAAAAGCATTCCCACCAAGAGCATACGGGAGTTGATTAGCCATTTACTCTCTAAAACTATTGAAATCAATTTTTCTGTATTCAGTATGGTAGTTGTGAGATAATTCCTATCTTTTTAAAATTGCATTTCCCTGATGGGATTGAAACTTTTTAAATGAGTTTATTTCCTTCTCTTTAAAATTTCTTTAAATACCATTTGCCTATTATTCTATTTGGTTATGTGAATTTTCCTTATAAAATTTTAGGCTTTCTTTATCTAAAGTATAAACCTTATTTATAGCTTTGCTGACAATAAATGTATGAGTACACTCTCGAAGTTCTGTACCCTATTTTGCCATACCTTTAATGAATGGAATTTTTAGATTCCAATATAATTCCTCATTTGTTAGGTTTGTGAATCATATATTTTGTGTCTCAGTTAAAAAAACATTTCATATGAGAAGGTGATAAAAATATTTTTGTCTGTTTCCTATTTCCTTCCAAAATTTTAAAGATTGGTCTTTTACATGCAATTCTTTAACCATTTGGATTTACTTTTTATGTACAGTATAAATCTATGTCACAAATACCAGTTATTGAATGGTGTCCATATTTCCCCATTAATCTGAGATAACTTCTGCCATATATAAGCAATATATATGTAATATATATGTGTGTGTGTGTGTGTGTGTGTGTGTATATATATATACCTCATTTTACCTACCTTTATACCTGTGCCACGCTGCATTAATTGTAACTTTATAATAAATCTGTATATCAGGTAGAACAAGCTTATATCTTGGTCATTTTCAGTCATGCTATAGTTATTTCTGGCCATTTGGTCTTCCTTATAAACTCTGGAATCTGATTATTAAGTCCTATAATTAGTATATATTGGAATTTTGATGGGAAAGCATTGTAATCTATATATTACTAGAGAAATAGCTGATAAGCTGAAGATATTGATATAATGTTTTACAATCATGTTTGATAATTTTTTCATAAAGGTCTCTATACATTTTATTGTATGTTTTATTTCTAGTCCTATTTTAGTTGCTATTATAAATTACAAAAATCACATTTAGTTGCTATTATAAATTTGATAAATTAAAATGTTTGATGGTTGCTAGCATACAGAAATAAGGTTTACATTTCTTTACTAACATATGATAAAATTCATAAGCTCCTTAATTATCCGAAGGAAAATTCTGTGTATTTTGGGAAATTTTCTATACAGACGAACCACTGAATCATACATTTAGAATGGGTGGGTTTTATGGCATGTGAAATGCACCTTGATAAAATGGTTTTGCTGTTTTTTTATTTTTATTATTTTTATTTTTTGTTATTATTATTACTTTTTTTTTTTTTTTATACAGGATCTTGTTTTGTCACCCAGCCTGGAGTGCAGTGGTGCTAGCTCATCTCACAGCAACCTCTGCCTCCTGGACTCAAACGATCCTCCCATCTCAGCCTCTCAACCTGTATGCCACCATGTGCAGCTAATTTTTGTATTTTTCTTCTTTTCGTAGGGACTGGCTATTACCATGTTGCCCAGGCTGACCTCGAACTCCTGGGCTCAGGCAATCTGCCCACCTTAGCCTCCCAAAGTGCTTGGATTACAGGTGTGAGCCACTGTGCCTGGCCTAGCTATTTCTTTTATAAAAGACAATATTATTGATTACCTGCCATGTATGAAACTAAGATTTGTGTACTAGGATTTGAGTTTCAAAGCAAAGGAGGGAAGGTAATAAATGGCAACCAAGCACATTATGAGGGCCAGGTACTGTACTAGCTTCCCAGAGCACATGAATATGATCAGCACCTATAAGATAGACTCTGCTATTGCTATTACACTGTGGCGAAAGCAAAGTTTCAGAAATGAAATTTCTCTCATACTTTGTTGGTGGAGAAACTGGCTTTTAATACATATATGGGTTTGATTTATTCTCAGTATATGATGTTTCTTTGAATGATTGTCAAGGAACAGTCTAGATCTTCAAGAAACTTATGACTTGAAGTTCAATTCTCAGTGTTATGAATCAAACATGTTTCAACAATGCACATAATATGCATATTTATGACAAAGAACATCTGTATGCACATCATGTCTTTATATTGAATAGCCACATCCATCAATGTGATTCTACCATCATTATACCAAATGAGGTGGAATGCAGTGTACTTCACTTCTTAATACATAGCGTTAATGTTCAGTAACAAAGACAATATTTTGTTTATTTTTGGCTCTCCTTAGATGTATCTTAGAAACTACATTTCTCATATTAAAATTTGAGAACCAGGGATTTGATTTGTGATCTCAATAAGTTATTAAGTATAAGTAACCAGTATAATCTAACTTTCACACTTGATTGTTCTCATGGCTTTCCCCAAGAAAGACAGGATACAATTCTAATATATTTTTTTCCTCTCGCAAGAACTAAATTTGTGATTCTGATACTGCTATTAACTCACCTCAAATTGATAATAATTCTAAGAGCATTAAATGAACATGCTCCAATTAAAAGAATACTATTTTTAAAAAGGGAAGGAAACAGCCTGTTCTACATTCTTATTCTATTTTATCAGTGTGTCTGGGAAAAAAAAAAGCCATTTTGTTTCTTTGCCATTTTAGCTCAATGTGCTAGAAATACTGCTTCATAGTTCAAAGCTTTGGTCCTTTACTTCACACTTTACTGAGTGTGCTGCAGACTTCATAGAAAATAAGAGAATTGGCCTATCTGAGACTGTTGGAGATGAAAACTTCCTCAAGCACATATCAGATATCAGGCACAAATGTCATCAAGACCATGCATCTTTTTATATTTGTAAAATCATACCAGGATTAAAATAGAAGTTATACAAGTTACTGTTAGGCAGCTCCAGATCAGAAACATCAACTGCATACATTATTCTTCTCCACTGACTCAACAAGCTGTGTAATACTGTTCCCTAATTTTTCCAAGTATTTTGCATTGCTAAATGCATTATATAAAATAATGACAGGAACCCTCATGTCATTTTAAACCATTCTTCTATTGAGCACTCCCACTCACGAATCAGTGTTCTCATCTCTTTTAAATGAAAATGTAAATTCTCTCCAGTTCCTGAATTTATTGTGCATCAGTCTGTCTCTCAATAATCATAAATAAATCTCACTGTTCCTCCTGTTTACATCATATACTACTGTTATACTATGACCAACAGTGTATGGTAAATATGTGGATGATGTGCTCATATGTTCTAATTCAGAAAAGTAGATATTTTGAGTCCCTCAGCTCTAAGTTTGAAAGCCATATCTGCCAATTAGAATTATGAAACCTGGGCCAATATTTAACCTCTTTGTGTCAATTTGTGTTCCCATCTCCATAGTAGGGAAATACCTATCACAAAGATTATTGCAAGCATGGGGTAAGATAAAGCATGAAACCTGGTATATAGTAACAGTTCAATAAGTTATAGTTACCTTAGTCATCAATAACACCCTTCTGGTTAGTAGATTTTTTGTGTGCTGACTGGAGTACTAATACTAGTTAATGACTAAGATATTACCATGTCTTCATTTATAAAATAGATAGTCAAAGCATAGTACCAGGCCTGCCTTACTCCTGCCTTATCCTTCTGTCAGATATAATTGATCAGGAACTTCCTCCCTCACTGAGCTGAGATATGCTCTCCAGCTCCTTTTCAATACTACAACTCAAACAAACTCTTCCAAGTTATTTTGGGTTTAGCTTATCTTTGAATTTAGAATCTGAGATTAATTTCACTGGGAAGAAGCAAAAACTAGATTTCAGAATATAGGACATTATTGAGGAAGTATTAATCTATTTGGGCAATAGAAGAAGAGCAGAAATGGGCAGCAAAAGATTTGCATGACAAGGTCATATGTTGGGTAAGCAACATTTGAATAAGATGTGAAGATTCCTACAATTATCTGACTGAACCCCTTATGACTCAGAAATGCCAAATCATGTGCTATTTAAAATGCAACTAAGCCAATAAAGATTCTACTTGAACAGAGTGAAAAGGCAGCCCATAGAATGGGAGAAAATATTTGCAAATCATGTATCTGATAAGGGATTAATATCCAGAACATATAAAGAACTTCTACAACTCAATGATAATAAAACAAATAACACAACTGAAAATGGGCAAAGGACTTTAATTGAAAATTCTCTAAAGAAGAATACAAATGGCCAGCAAAGATATGAAAATATGTTCTACATCACTAATCATAAGATAAATGCAAATCAAAACTGCAAGGAGATATCACCTCATATCCACTAGGATGGCCACTATAAAAAGAATCAAAAATAATGTGTTGGCAAAAATGTGGAGAAATTGGCACCATTGTGCACTGTTGGTGAGAATGTAAAATAGGGTAGCCATTGTAGAAAACAATATGGAGGTTTCTCAAAGTATTAAAATTAGAACTACCATATGACCCAGCAATCCCACATCCGGGTATATATCCAAAATAATTTAAAGGAGAATTTAAAGAGATATTTGCATACCCATGTTTGTTACTGCATTATTTACAATAATCAAGAAGTGGAAGCAACCCAAATGTCCATTGACGGTGGAATAGATAAATGGTATAGCCCTAAAAAAGAAGGAAATACTGTCACGTGCTACAACATGCATAAATTTGGAGGATATTATGCTAAGCAAAACAAATCAGTCACAAAAGGACATTTACTATGTTATTCCATTCATGAAATATCTAAAGTACTTCAAATCATAAAACGTAAAGGTGGTTGTCAGGGGCTAGGGCTGGCGGAAAGAGGAATTAGTGTTTAACAAGTATGGAGTGTAGAGTTTCAGTTTTGCAAGATGAAAATGTTCTAGTGTTCTGTTGCACAACAATATTAATATATTTAACACTACTGAGTTGTCCATTTACCAATGGCTATGATGGTAAATTTAATGTTATGCATTTTTACCATAACAAGAAATTTGTTTTCTTATTAGTTCTACTAGAACTAAGTAGTGTTCTTAGCAATTTTTTTAACAAGCGTAAAAAATACAATTCCCATCCTCCTACTTACATGTATCTTCTTTTTTCAAGACAAAGGAGTGTAAAAGACACAAAACTTCTCTCTCCTCCTTTTGAAATCCCAGGGAATTTGTCCTTGTGGCCTGATGTGTTTCTTGACTATTTCCAAAAGGTATGATCTGTCTATATTCTCAGAGAGAGGCAGCACTACACCTTCAACTACAGGACTTCTTTTTTTCTTTAAGAAGAAAGTAGGACCATACCCTTCAGCTTTTTACCCAAGGTTAGAAAGGTTATATAGTTATATCAAGTTACATAGCTAAAGATTATATAGTTGATGTGGTTTGGCTGTGTCCCCACCCAAATCTCATCTTGAATTGTAGCTCCCATAATCCCCACATGTCATGAGAGGGACCCGGTGGGAGGTAATTGAATCATGGGGGTCCTTTTTTCCCGTGCTGTTCTTGTGACAGTGAATAAGTCTCATGAGATCTGATGGTTTTATAAAGGGCAGTTCCCCTGCCTCATGCTCTCTTGCCTGCCATCATGTAAGATGTGCCTTTGCTATTCCTTTGTCTTCCACTATGGTTGTGAGGCCTCCCCAGCCATGTGGAACTATGAATCCATTAAGCCTCTTTTTATTTATAAATTACCCAGTCTCAGGTATGTCTTTAGCAGTGTGAGAACAGGCTAATATAGTAGTTAAAGGTTATATAAGATTATATCAGTTTTCCCATTCTGCAATTCAGGTGTTAATTTATTACCATCTGATAAAGAAAAATATAAGAAAATGACCTTTTTCTGTCGTAGGGCCAATACTGGTAAATGATTGAATGTGGATGAGAAAGAACAGAAGTGAATCTATAACACCTCAAAGATGAGCATATGATGAGTTACATAGGTGACACAAATGTAGTTGAGTCTGACAAGTCCAAAGGGACTTCCACTACCATTACAGCAAACTGGGGGCTAGTGAGCCTTATTAAAGTCCTCAAAGCCTCTTAGATAAAACAGAATTTCAGGATAAGAGCTACCTCAGGCATGAAGACAGGAGAGAAGCATATAAATAGGTATCGGTAATGTAATTATAAGTACAGTGGGGAATTCATATGTGTTCATTTTGTTTTTCTTCATAACAAATAATTATGTGTTTGTCAAATATTACATGTGTATTTTCAAGAGTCTTCCTCTATCATTTACATAAAAGTTAAACAACATGTTTCCCTAATTCCCTTTAACAGTCATTTTCTCAGAGGCAAAGGACCTGAGGCTTTCTTTTCTAATGTTTTTCTTACCTAAAAGATGCAAAATATTGCATTTACTAGTAAAATCCTGTCCAAATGCCCATTATTTTTTCCCTAGTTAACAGATGATGCACCAAATACAATTTTATTGCTAAATTTTTTCCTAATATATGCTTCCCTTCTGTTATCCGCAATACTAGCAAGGCTTTCATTATCTCTTGTCAAGATTACTAAAATAGTTTTTTAAGTGCTCTTTTGCCATACTTATTTCTTTAAAACCTATCCTTTCTACAGCCAAAGAAAGACTTATCTAAACACAAAACTTAGCTATGGCACCTTGAATTGTATTTTCACTTTCTGTGTTGTAGGTTAAAAATTTTTAAATTTCGGCCGGGCACGGTGGCTCACGCCTGTAATCCCAGCACTTTGGGAGGCAGAGGCAGGCGGATCATGAGGTCAGGAGATCCAGACCATCCTGGCTAACACAGTGAAACCCCGCCTCTACTAAAAATACAAAAAATTAGCCGGGCATGGTGTTGGGCGCCTGTAGTCCCAGCTACTCGGGAGGCTGAGGCAGGAGAATGGCGTGAACCCAGGAGGCGGAGCTTGCAGTGAGCCGAGATCACGCCACTGCACTCCAGCCCGGGTGACAGAGCGAGACTCCGTCTCAAAAAAAAAAAAAATTTTTTTTAATTTCTGCAATTGAATTTTACAAGCGTCCTTATTAGGCAACTTCAGGAGTTGAAGATAGTTAACAAAATTCCTAGTAAATAGTAAAAGCTTTGTACATATGAGTATATCTTATATCTTCTACTAAGTATACATTTGAAGACATTAATTGAATGTCTTCTACATAGAAAAATACATGTAGTAAAAAAATACATTTTTACTGTTACTGCTTGCATTGGCAATTTAGAACGTATCTTAAGCTAAGAATGCCACTAAACAAAATGTTGGAGAACTATAAATAAATCACATTTTGGAAAAAAAAATGATTTGTATAATAAAAACTAATGTCCTGGTATCAGCAAAAGATCAATATGAAGCAGATTATGGAGATTATTTTGATAAATTAAAGATGGAGAAGTAATGAGAAAAATGTAAGGGAAACATTAGTAAACATTTGGAATTAAATTACTGGTGGTTCAAAATTGCTTTCAACAGGAGAACATTAAAGTGCCTTCTTTATATTTAAGAATATTAGTCTAATACCCTGTGGAATATCGAATATGTCATTTAATTAATCAATAAATAATAAGACAAGAACAAAATTTGATGGATTCGGTGGAGTGTCTTGATGAGGCTGAGAAAGAATGGGGCTAATAATTCTGTGACATGGATTTCCTGGCACTAGAACTAGGCCTGCAATTCCCACATAATATCCTCAAAATGTTAAACAATCCCTTTGTCCATTTTGCCCAGCTCCAACAAAACTCATATTTGCATGACATTGGAAAGCCAGAAAATTCTAAGGTCAATGGAAATGTAAAGTAAACAATACATAGGAAGGGCATTCAGCAAGAAAGGTGGAATGATACTGCCTCATTTTAAACTCAATTGCTGTTGATACTGCTCCAGGCTTTAACTAAAAATTAAATAAACATATGAGCATTGCAAATGTAGTATTCAAAAAGAAAGAATCATCAATAGCTAAAAAATCAAGAAGGTTATAACTAATTTCTGTAATCTCAGGAGATGAAGAAGGGAATTATTTGTCTGGTCACCCAGACATTTTACTCTAAGCAGCAAGAAGAAAATAGGCAATTTTTTTTTTTTTTATGTGACGGAGTTTCGCTCTTTGGCCCAGGCCGGAGTGCAGTGGCGCTATCTCAGCTCACTGCAAGCTCTGCCTCCTGGGGTCACGCCATTCTCCTGCCTCAGCCTCCTGAGTAGCTGGGACTACAGGGGCCCGCCACCGCACCTGGCTAATTTTTTGTATTTTTAGTAGAGACAGGGTTTCACCGTGTTAGCCAGCATGGTCTTGCTCTCCTGACCTTGTGATCCACCTGCCTTGGCCTCCCAAAGTGCTGGGATTACAGGCATGAGCCACTGCGCCCGGCCAAACAGGCAATATTTTTTACATTTGTCTAGAAATCTCTTAAACTAGATCAGGGGTTCCCAACCCCTGGGCCATGGACCAGTATGGGTCCCACTGCCTTTTAGAGACTGGACTGCACAGCAGGGGGTGAGTGCTGGTTGAGCCAGAGTTACTGCCTGAACTCTGCCTCCTGTCAGATCAGCGGTGGCATTAGATTCTCATAGGAGCATGAACCCTTTTGTGAGCCGCACATGAGAGAGATCTAGGTTGTGCACTCCTTATAAAAATCTAATGCCTGATGATCTGAGGTGATCAGTTTCTTCCCCAAACCATCCCCCCCCACCCCCGACTCTGTCTGTAGAAAACTTGTCTTCCGGGAAACAATTAGTGCCAAAAAGTTGAGGATGCTAAGCTAGATCACCCAGTTACTATAAGCAACAATGTTGCCAAAAACTTGTGCTGCTACATAGCATAGATTCCCTTTCCTTAAATTTCCAAAGATATTTACCTACCCTCCTTCAAGCTTTGGCTGGGATCCTTATTAAAGACAACAAGGTCTTGTAATAGCTCCTTCAAGGACAAGATGCCAATAGGGATCTGAAGGAAGTAACGGAGAGAACCATACAGATATTTGGATGAAGAATATTCCAACTAGGGGAAGCAGAATGCACAAATTCACTGAAGTAAGGGTGCTTAGCATGTTCAAGAAATAGCACAAAGGCCAGTATGGATGCAGCTGAATGAACAAGGGAAAAATAGTAAGAGCAGAAGGTAAGAGCTGTAGCAAGTAGCCAGGCCATTTAGGGGCTTTCAGATTGTTGTAAAGACATTGGCTTCTCTCTGATTGAGGTAGGGAATTATTGGATGTAATGACATGTGGTGTAAATGATAAAATATTCACCACAGCTGCTATATGGAGTATAACTGTATAGGTGAGAGGATAGATGGCCGTGGTGGTATAAAGGTGAAATAGGATGCCACTTAGGAAACTTACCATAGTCTATATGAGAGATGATGGTGTCCTAAGATTGGTTCATGACAGTGAAATTACAGAGAAATTGTTGGATTTTGAGTATATTCTAAAGGAAGAGTAACAAGGTTGGCTATTCCAAGGAATTGATGGTCTATCCAAATTTCAAAACATATCTTGATGAGCTATTCAAACTTGCAGATAAACTTAATAATACTAAGTTTGGAATGCATGCTAGGCAATAAAACATTAATAAAGACAGTACATGTTACAGATAAATTAATTCATCATAACTATTAGCTTGAGTATTATGTATGAGAAGAAACCAAAAATACATTGGAGTTTGAAATGAGAGGGCAACAAAAACAACTGGAGAGTATCTTTTCTTAATCTATGAAGATTATTTTAATAACCCAGGCACAGTAACTTGTGTCTGTAATCCCAGCTACCTGGGAGACTGAGATGGGAATATCACTTGAGTCAAGGAATTTGAGGCTGCAGTCAGCTCTGATATGCCATTACACTCTAACCTTGTGATAGAGCAAGACCCCATATCTTTTTTAAAAAATCACATTTTACCTCATAAATATACACAATAATAACTTGTCAATTAAAATTAAATAAAAGTAATTTTCATATTGAATAAAGCAATATATGTTTGAAGAATTAATTCTTTACTCACCAGGCCCACTGCTATCACTGCCAGCATCTGTATCAATTTTTTAGTCAAACATTAGCTTGATACTTCCAGAGACCATTCCAACAGAGCCCTGGAGGCCACTCCTTCATTTTTTTTTGTGAGAAACTACAGAAGGTCAGATACTCTTCTTGGTTCTTGGGAAATGGAGTAGCAAAAAACCTTTCCCTCTTGGAGATTTTCTTCCTGTGGATCTATACCACATACTACTGGTCAGTTAATCACAAACCATAATTGTATAACTCTGAAGGCTTGAAATCATAAACATTTGATTGTAAGACCAAAGTTATACATTTGTAGAATATCAGGTTTTAATCCTGATAAACAGGCTATTTTGTGGTATAGCTATAGTTTGAGGTTAGAGAATACATCAACAAAAGGTACGTGCACTTTTTAAATAATTCAACTTCAAAATCAGGTTTGAAAGTTGAGAGTTACATTGTACCTTTCTTTACTCATATTTATACAAATACATTTGTTCTCACTTATCACAAAATGTATAGAACTGAAGGAACATTTGACAGAGAAACCAGATGACACCTGATAAATGATGGAGTGGTAAAGCATGAGCGCATGGTGGCTGCATTTATTAGATAAAGAATGACTAAGTCACTGAAAATTGTGCATCAGTAGTCAATTTCCAGTGGTTGTTAGTGCATACATCACCTTACTATTGACTATGATTTATAAATGCATTTTTTCGGTGGATAAAGACAAACTAATTCTAGAGTTTCTGTGGGGGACTAGAGGGGTGGGGCTTCAAGATGGCTGACTAGAGGCATCTGGTACTCACCTCCCCAACAAAGAAGAACCAAAATAGCAAGTAGATAATCACACTTTGACTAGATTGCCTAACAGAGAACACTAGAATTCAGCTGAGAATTAACAGGAAACACCTAAGGCAAGGAAGGAGAGTGAAGCGAGGCAGCCTGTTGGTCTGGGACCACTGGGAGCCTGCAAAAGCTCCCTAATGCAGGGAAAGGGTAAGGGAGTGACTCCCAATGGTCCACATTCCCACTGCAAACTCCTGCAATCCTAGACGCAGGAGAGCCCCTTAACCCACAGGGGCCCTGGGACTATTATAGGGAGCTGCCTGGAGACCGCACAATGGCATTGCTTCAGAGAGGAAACTCACGCTGGGTCTCACACACTACTGAGTCTTAAGTAGTTCCAGCATGGCACCATTTTGAGAACACAGCTCCCACCAGACTGCATACTACTCAGAGGCCCAAAGTCCCTGAATGTCCACATCCCTAGATCCCCACTGACATCCCTTGCCCACAGCTTGGTGTTGCTTCAGACTGCTACCACAAACATGGGGCACTGGTAGCAACCCCTCTTCCCCCAGCATCGGGACCACCACACACCTACAAGCACCTTGAGGAAAGAGTACTCCACTTGCAGCAGCCACCCTGGGCAAAGGGCTTCCTCCCAAGCCACCTGCTTATAGCTGCTGCCACTGTAAGAAAACTGGCCCTCCCCGGCTGCAGGGCCACACTGCAGCCACTGCTGTCCTTACCTGAGCATTCCACCAGAAACCTTACTACTGCCTCTTTGAGCCAGCACCCACACACAACCAGGGAGCCTGAGGCCAGACCCACGCAATCTGCCATTAAAACCACAGCTAGCACCCACCCACACGTACCACCTGTGGGCCTAGGAACTGGTCTGTACAACCCATCACAGCCCCGCTAACATTAGCGCAGAATGCCTGGAAGCCAGAGGGTTGTCCTACCACTGCTATTTCTATTGCCCATGCCATACCTACTGCAGAAGAACCTTAGAGCCTGTGCACCCACCAGGCTCACTGCTGTCACTGCTGGCACCTGAGCAGGCTGCCCAGAGGTCCCAGAATTGGCCCACCTGGACCCACTAACAAGCATATATCACCCTGGAGGTGAAGGATAGGCATGCTCAGTCCACCACTACCATCACAGGGGCCCAAAGACTGGTGCAACTGATGTCCCCATCTCCAGAGAAGCATCACCACAGTGTCTACTAACAACTCCACCTTAAGCCACTGAAGAAATCACAGACACTAGTCATGCTGTTTACAGCCCAATAAATCACACAGAGAGTAGACTACTGCACCCACCTGGAATCAAAACCATAAATCACACAGAGAGTAGACTACTGCACCCACCTGGAATCAAAACCAAAGTGCCCTACCCAACCAACACCATAGATAACTCCTCAGAAAAAATTCCTTCCACATAAAAGCAAATCCAAGAAGTTGAAAGAAGTGACTATTACACCAGATGCACAGATATCAACATAAAGACAAAAGAAACATGAAAAATCAAGGAAATATAATCCCTACAAAGGAACACAATAATTCTCCAGCAAGATTCCAATAAAAAAGTTATGAAATCTTATAAAATTTCAAATAATGATATTAAAGAATCTCAGTGAGATACAAGAAAACTCAGATAAATAATACAAAAAACAAAACAAAAACAGAAAAACATTTCAGGATATGAATGAGAAACTTACCAAAGAGATAGATATCATCAAAAAGAACTCAAAAGAAATTCTGGAATGAAGGAATTCATTGAATGAAATACAAAATGCATTTTATAA
Organism: Homo sapiens; assembly: GCF_000001405.40. Classification (NCBI taxonomy): domain Eukaryota; kingdom Metazoa; phylum Chordata; class Mammalia; order Primates; family Hominidae; genus Homo; species Homo sapiens. Next base: position 40,891,667 of record NC_000002.12, read on the forward strand.
CTTTGATAATAGACTAGGTCAAGAAGAAAAAAAGTATTTTAGAAGTTGAAAATAGGTCTTTTGAAGTAACATGGTCAGACAAAAATAATAATAAAAAAACAGTGAAAAAGAGTGAGTAAAGATTACATGACATAGGAGGCACCATAGATATTTAAATTTTTGGTGTCCTAGAATGTGAAGTGACAATGAAAGGATAGAAAATTGACTACAGAGCTATAGTAATCAAGATAGTATGGTATTAAGAAAGAATAGACAAATAGATCAATCGAACAGTATAAAGAGCCCAGAAAAAAATACATATAAATATAATCAGCTGATTTCGACAAGTCTACAGAGGCAATGCAATGGAGGAGAGTCTTTTCCAGAAATTCTGCTTTAACAAGTGGATATGCACATGTAAGAAAGTGAATCTCTAGACAGATCTCATGCCCTTCACAAAAATTAATTCAAAATAGATTACAGATTTAAATGTAAAATGAAAAACTACAACATTCATAGAAAATAGCAGAGAAAACATAGATGACCTTGGGCATGACAATGATATGTAAAATATAACACCAAAGGCATGATCCATCAGAGAAATAATTGAGAAGCTGACTTCATGGAAATTAGAAACGTCTTCTCTACAAAAGACACATCAAGAGTGTAAAAAGAGAAGCCACAGATGGGGAGAAATAGTTGTAAAAGACATCTGAAAAATTATTGTTATCCAAAAATATACAAAGAACTCTTAAAATTCAACAACAAGAAAACTAACAACCTGATTAAAAATAAGCTAAAGATCTGAAGAAACACCTCACCAAAGAAGATATATACATGGCATATATGCATATTAATAGATGCTTCCCATACTATGTCATTAGAGAACTGCAAAGTAAGACAATGAGATGATACTGCACACCTATTAGAATACCCAAAATTCAGAACACTGGCAACACCAAATGCTGGCAAGAATACGGAGTAACAGAAGCTCTCATTCATTGTTGCTAGGAATGTAAAATGGTACAGTCACTTTGGAAGACAGTTTAACAATTTTTTATAAACTAACATGCTCTTACCATATAATCCAGCATTTGTGCTCATTGATATTTACCCAAATGTTCACAAGTTTTAATAAATATAGCAGCTTTATTCATAATTGCCAAACTTAGAAGCAATCAAGATGTTCCTCTGTAGGTGAGTAAATAATCTGTGGTATATCCAGACAGTGGCAGACTATTCAGCATCAAAAATAAATGAGCTATCAAGCCATGAAAATATATGGAAGAAGCTCAATGTATATTACTAAATTAAAGAAGCCAATCTGAAAAGAATACAAACTGTATGATTCCAACACTATGACATTCTGGAAAAGGTGAAGTGATAGAGACAGTAAATAGATCAGTGGTGGCTAGGTAATAGCAGTCAGAGAGAGTTGAACAAGCAAGTTAAAATGTTACACATTGAGGTTTCATTTTTTTCAATAATATAATTAGTAGTTCATGATAAGGTTGTTTATAAAATTTAAAAACTGGAAATAAGCTAAATGTTCACAAATACAGAATTGAGTAAATATATTTTAGTCTAAAAGTTGTATTTGGAAGCAGCTGCATTAAAAGGTGTAAAGGCAAAAAAAATGTGTGAACTCTGAAAGATTCTGACTAGGAAACCTCTCAGTTTGAGATTAGTATTTTGAAGATAAATGCAAAGTATAGTTCCTATCATTTAATCATTTTTATACTGAATATCCAATTGAAGGGTGCTTTAAATCTGTCTTAAGGTAAAGGGGCATAGGAGATACTGCACATATGAAGAGGTCCTCAGTTTCTTTTAGGTGTGGTCCATAATCACTGACCCTCATCTGTAACATCAGTCTACTCTGACTCTATTTATGCCTTACCTGCTGTGTTAGAAGAGGCTCTCCTATTTAATCACTGAAGATTACTTCCTGGCACCTCCAGTCATCCTTCACCGATGAGTAGTTCTCTCATTTGTTCCTTTTGGATAGTCCTATGGTGTCTAGCCTTGGAATGGATTTCTTTTGTCCATGATGAACTATCATCCATGTTGTTAGAGTATTTGTTAGATAATCATTAAGTTTGCAAGGGATATTTTCACCTGGAATTGTAAATATAATCTGAGTATTATTGGAGGCAGTTCTGAGAATGAAGTAGAACTTGATAGAGTGTTTTTTAATGAGCAGCATCATCCTATTATGAAATATATCTTCATTATGAATCTTGTTCCAATGTCTGAAGTGGGTTCTATGTTTATTCCTTTTACAGAAGCAGCACTAGTGTTGCAGTATGCGCTTTAAGAATCGCTAGATGATAATTATATTTAAGAGAATGCATTGCTTATAGGTGAAAGATAATTTTTAAAATAGGAGATCAGAGTATTTTTTTTCTTCTCCTATTATAATACCTCAGTCATTAGCTGCTGACTTAACACTCAATGTTTGGGACAGAGTTATAATGGTATCTTGTAATAGTTGATTTTGGGCGTCAACTTGGCTGAATTAAGGGATACCCAGATAGCTGGTAAAGGATTATTCTCAATCATTGTATTATTCTCAGTGCTTCAGTAGACACTGAGCATATCCCTCTTCTGTTGAAAGGGAAACAAGATGGTTTGACATCTGATTAGAATTAGTGGGCTGTTTCAGGTGTGTCCGTGAGAGTGTTTCTGGAGGAGACTGGTATGTGAGTTGTTGGACTGAGTGGGGAAGACTCTGTTTTCAATCTTTTCTTGGTGGATGTGCACCATGCAATTGGCTGGGGACCTGGATGGAACAAAAAGGAGAAAGAGCCAATTACTGCTCTCTCTCTCTCTTTCTCCTGCTTCTAGAACTGGGATGCCCTTCTTTTGCCTTTGGACTTTGAAACCCCAGGTTCTCCCGCTGTTGGACTCACACCAGTGATTCCCTGGATTCTCAGGTATATATAATATACCTCCTATTGTTTGTGCCTCTCCGGAGAACACTGACTAAAATAGATTTTTGTACTGAGAGTGGCTCCAGAGAAACAGAATTTTCAGGATGAGTTTCCTTAATTGTTTTTCAGGTTTCTCAAATTGGTCCTTTAATCTGATTGGATTTAAACATACTAAGAATTCTACTTCCAATAGTACAGAGAGCACAGATAGTCTATGGCATGAACTGTTTATAGAGATATGCAAAATAGCTGCACTAGATACTCCTAATTAACCACTTATACGAGGCAAGAAACTTAGTAACTATATGGGATACTTTCAAACATTTTTGGACAACTAAGAAATATGATGTTGGTTGGTTGCTCCTATTGTCATTGGACAAAGTAATTAGAGAATGATCTCAGAGATTCAAATTCCTGTCTTCACATACTTATAAATAGCCTAAAAGCTTCTAAGTACTTCCTGAAGGAGAATTTTCCCTCCTCTAGCCACAGGGCTAAAATTGCTGAAAAAAGTCAAACACAAATCCTCATCATGTAATTGACTGAATTACAATAAAAGTTGAACTTCCGGCCTTGCAAAGTATCTACTGCTGAAGTGACAACATTGATTGGGAAATAATGGAATCTTGCAAATTGGGATGGAGATGTGTGGGTAGACCCTATTGAAGCTAAGGATATTGGACTCCTACATTTGGATGAGTCTTTTTTGTCTCCCTCACCCCAGAGGCAGGGGCACCCCTACCCACAGTGATATTGGCCCTCATACTGCACTGCCTGAGAAAATGGTAATGGTCTCCCCTGAGGCAACTGCCAAGAAAGACAACGCTGATTTCCCTCAGGATCCACTCTCACCATTCTACTCAGTACCAATTTCTGTCTTAGTACATTTTTTGTGCTGTTTTAACAGAATATCTGAAACTGGCAAAGTATAAAGAATAGGAATTTATTTCTCACAGTTACAGAAGCTGGGATATAGTTCAAGGCACCAGCAGGTTCCATGTCTGGTTACGGTACGGTCTACATCCAAGATGGTACTGAGGACGCTGCAAACTCTGCAGGGGAGAAATGCTATATTCTACCATGGTAGAAGGTGGAAGGGCAACAAAGGGAGACAACTCCTTCAATCAAACCCCTTTATAAGGCCACCTAATCCCATTCACAAGGAATGAGACCTCATGACCTAATCACCTCTTAAAGATCCCACCTCTTATCCATCATATTGGCAACACCTGCGTTTTGGAGAAAACACATTCAAACCACAGCAAATCTTTTGAGTAGTATGATAGTGTTAGTGGGAGCATCAGATTTATGTTTAGTTAATAATAATAGTCCAATTAATACATTTGTCTGGCATCATCCTAGGTCTTTTCTCATATTCCGTAACTTAATCCAAACAAGCAGGCATAATTTAGTCCTATTATTCAAAAAGGAAAACAAACATGGAGAGATAAAATAGCTTGCTTGCAGCATGACAGACTCAGTGCATAGATTCAGGTTTTTATTCTTAGCTCTGAATTTTCTGTCATACCACACAGACTCACTTACTATTCTGTGAGGAGGATTCATACCCTTAACCTTTAGTCTTAAACATCTGTGACAGTTAACACCAGAGACGACCTGTTAATCTTATTGTATTCTGTGTCATTATTTGTAGAATGCCATTTAATCTGAGGATTAAGGGGACAAAAGTAAGCACCCAGATACGTTTCACAATTAATGATTCAAAATCTTTGACATTCTTACATACTGAGCTTTATTTTTAAATGATGGATTTTTGTATCAGTTTCCTAGGGGTTTGAACAAAAGCCCAGAGAGGAGTTTGGTTTGCTCCAAATTGAGCTAGATTAAATTATATCTTGTCTTCTGCCATGCAGTGGCCTGGAATTATAAATAGTACTAATATGATTGCCCTTGTTCACTTTGATATACATATGACTACTAAAACCAACTTAAATTAATTAAACAAGTTTTAATTTGATTTTTAACCTTTTAAGCAGCCTAAAATAAGAGAGAAGATCTAATTTGGAAACCAGAGCTTCCCAAGATAGAAAATCAAATTTAACCCATATAAAGAGTCAGATATTAACTTGACTGGAAACACATTTCTATGGACTAATTTATGCCCTAAAGAAAGATCAAAAATGTTAATCCTGTACCTTGGGGACTTGGAATTAGGAAATATTTATTGATAGACCGAAGAACCTGGGTTCAGGCTCAATGGATAATTCTGCTCCAGGATGAGCCCTTATTTTTCATGGCAAGCCACTTTGCTTTGGTTTCTTTTTCTTTCATTCTTTATTATTCGTATGCCTTTTTCCTACACCCCATGTGGTAGGAATATTTTATTATAGGTAGTGCTGGGGTTGGAATAGGACTTGACAAAGTGTTTTAAATTACTCAAAAAGGAAATACATGATCTATTAATAAAAGTGCTACTGATAACAGCAACAATAATAATAATGCCAGGATTTATTGAGTGTTTGCTATGTCCAAGACCCTATTCTAAGTGCTTTAAATCTGGTAATTTGTTTAGTACTTTAACAGATAAGTTACTATTATCACCCCGATTGTAACAATGAGGAAACTAAGGAACAGAGAGTTTCGGTATCTTCACCAAGGAACACCAGCTGGTTCATAGTGGAATGAAAATTTAAACCCAAAATGTCTGGCTCAGGAAATGCTAGGAACACTCTACTGTTTATGTAAGATTATCTATGATTTATGGTTTAATCTATTATCTATGATTTTCTAAGTCAGTATTGAGAGGGTTGCTAAAAAACTCCTTTGAAACCAGGCAGGATCATTTATGTTTAACTATTTTCCTAAACCTAATTAGCAGCAGAGTAATTGCCTTCTTTTCTTATTTTATCTGCTATTATCTAGTAGATCCATGCATTCAATAAATACCTATTGAGAACTGATTCTACAGGTACACAGATTAACATGACATGTTCCTTTACATCAAGTAGCTTAAAATTAAACAGGCAGAAAAAAAAAAAGCAAATGGCAAGTTCTAGCTAAGGACAAATTGAAGGGTACCGTGAGAGTCCGTAGGAAAGACTCATAACATGGTCTTAGTAGGGATGAAGAAAGGCTGCCCTGAGCCCTTCAACAGCATGGACTCACGCATATATACTACTCCTTCCTCATTGTGCCATTGACTTCTTTCATTCAGTCAACAAGAATTTATTGGGGTCCTGCTATGTGCTAAGCATTCCTCTGGGCACTGGTGCAACTTAGCATTTACAGAGGGAGACAAACATACTTTAAGTTAAAAAACATTATATGTCAGATGATAATAAGTGATATATAGGAAACTAAAATAGAAGGGGTAATAGAAAGGTCCTGGGTGAGTAATGGGGCAATTTTAAATAGAAAGACCATATTTTATATGGAAGAAAATCCATGAAAATAAAAATATTGGAGTAAAGAGCAAATATTGATGAAGAAGAGACATTCAAATTCTTGTGGAAATGCCAGTTTCAGCAGTAAGAAAGAGAGAACAAATACAAAGGCCCTGAGGCAGAGAATTTCTGATATGGTGCTAGTTCACCAATGAGGCTACTGTAGTTGAAGGGGCATAAGTAAGGAAGAGAGTAGTAAAAGTTGAAGTCAGAGTAGCAATAGAGGCACCAGAGGCAGGGGCATTCCTGGTGGGGTGGGGAGGTGGGGGGCTCTCCTGCGCTGCTCATGTCTAACTACCTATTGTAAGGATAAGACTATCTGGAGGCAAAACATACAAGAAATGTTATATTCTACGATGAAACATCAATACATTCCTTATAAAATCCATGTGCCTATCATGATCATTTCTATTCAAAATTATTCTGGATATTCTTGTGCTTCCTATACTTTAATAAGCACATGGATCACCTAGGGATATTTTCAAATTTCACATTCTGATTCAGTTCACCTGAATGTGCATGAGATTCTGTATTTCTAGCGACCTCCACAGTGATGACAATGTGCTAGTCTGAGGACTTCATTTAGGTAGAAATACCCTACCTAGTGCAGAAAGTCAAGAAGAAAAAAGAAGAAAATAAGAAAATTAATAAGATAATAAAAAGACCCTAGTTCTCCAGAGTTAATATACATTTTTACATATATCAACACATGTAAAAATCAACAGACTGTATAGAAAAATTATTAGAACTAGTAAGAGGGTCTAGAAATATTCCTAGACACAACTACAATAATTAAATCTAGTGACATTTTCATATAAAACCTACAGATTTATAAAAACTTAATTCTAAAAGAAAATATTTATTCTTGCAACAAAATATAACATATTAGGATTAAAACACACAAATGTGTAAGAACATTATGTAGGAAAGTATACAGTTTTTGAAAAAAAAACAAATATCTAAAAAGTTTGAGAAACTTAACATGTTTATGGATAGGAAGTCATTAATATAAAGATGTCATTCTCTCCAAAATGATCTCAATATTCAACGTATTTCCAGTTAAAACACCAAAAATACATATATTTTAAAAATAGAAGATGATAGGACGATTCTAAAATTAGCAGAAAAAGGAAAGGAGCTAATAATAGGCAAGGTTATTCTGAAGAAAGAAAGCAAGGTGAAAAGATTGTTTTCAAACAATGTCAACGTGATAAAAAATATAATAACTAAAACAATATTGACTCGTGGTAGATTAATAGAAAAATGGAACAAAATAGGAAGTCCACAAAGCAAAATCACATGTATTTTTGAAAAACTAATATAGAGATGATTCTCTATATCAAAGGTAATTAATGAAGTTTTGACAAATTGTATTGGGACAGTGTTTATATATTAAAAAAAGAGTCGGTTCTATTATTTCACAATTGACCAAGATAATTTGCTTAGCCAAACTTTAATCAGGCTTCTAAACTTTCTATTAGGCCCATCTGTGCACATCTTATAAAATCTAGTTTTAGCAAAGAATCCTGCTAAGTCACTTTAGCAAGAAACCCTCATCCTCAATATCTGATCATTCTTAGTATCTGATCAGGTTCCTCATCCTCCACCATTTCCTAGGTGATGTTTGATCACCAAGGCCTGTCTTAAGCAAGAATTCTGTTTAGTTGTTTTAGCTGTAATCTCCCTTACCCCTGATGCTTCTCCTTAGTAATTTTCCAACCACTGACCCCCACATTGCTCCTTGTCTATAAATCCCCACTTGCCTAGGCTGCATTTGCAGTTGAGGTCAATCTCTCTTCCATACTGCAAGACCCCCTCACAGTGGCCCCTATGCCTATTGCAGTGGTCTTGAATACAGTCTTCCTTACTGTGCTTTAACAAGCATTGCTGAATAATTTTTCTGTAACACAGTACAAAAATTAATTCCAGGGAGATGAAAGTTGTTGATATGAAAGAGAGAAATTCAAAGCTATTAAAAGGCAATATAAAAATATCTTTATAGTTTCAAAGGGGGTGTAGATGTCTAAAGATGCTAAATAAAGAAACGATTTCAACAAAAAAAAAATCTAAAAGTTTGCAGAAGCCTAAATTACTATATATAAACATTAATCAGGAGATAATGTTTGTACTACAAATAACTGGCAAAGGATTAGTATCTAGAACATACAATACTCATAGTATCCAATGAGATGAAAAAAATCAACCTAATAAAAAAACAAAAATGCAGGAACAGAACCTCCACGGAGGAAAAAGCTATTATGTAAATCAACATGTGAGTCACATTGTAATTGGAGGCATAGAAATTCAAAACATAAGGAGAAAAAAATTATGCCCACCAACTTGGTAAAAATTAAACTATCTGAATCTTTCATGTGTTGATGAGGATGTGCTTTTATATGTTGAAAGATTTAGGACTACTTATATACACTACTAATGGGAGTGTATGACTATACTTGGGAAATCACATTAGAAAGCAATTTAGAGTTGTCTTGTAAAGCTGAAGATAATAATCCATTATTTAATCTCAGTAATTTTACTCTTTGGTACATATCATGGAGAAACTCTTACATGTATGCACTGTGACAAATACATACAACGCGAAAGCAGTGTGGCTTTAATCGGAAAAAAAAACTGAATCAACTCAAATGTCTTAAATAATTAAAAGTAAAAATGACATATAAGATAACAGTATACAACATTTACACTGAATGAATTCCACTTTCACTTATCAACCTGGGTGAATGTCCACAGGAAAAGTAAAACGTACATTCACAAAGGAATATGTATTTTTTCTACTTACATAAAAAGTAAAAAATAAACAAAAATAGAATGTTATATGCTGGGGAGATTTGTAAATGTAAGGCAAATCTAAAACAAAAAGTAAAGATATGGCAAATCTTGAGTACTAATAATGCCAGTTTCGTAAGTTGGGTGTTGCGTACAAAGTTCATAAATTATTCTCCATCTGACATATGTACATTATAAACATCTACACATATATTTATACATATATAGTTTATTTAAATGCATGATACATTTCATATAAATTATGTTTTAAAGTGGTCAAGTATTTTAATGCCATTTTTCTTGACCAGAAAACAATCAAATAACAACATTTTTTACCGTGTAGTACTCCTATCTGGTATGAATATAGTTCTTAGTTATCTTTGTTGCTCTGCCACTGAGACTGGATGTGACATAGGTAAAATACACCATTTCTCTCTCCTGTGGCTTTGTGGAGGTATGCCATGGGACCCAAAATGTAACTGCTTTAAAAACAAATCTAATTATCATCTATTCACTACAGGGCACTAACTACCCGAGGAAAGTTCTTAGCTTACTCATAGTTGTTTATTATGTTTTTACAATAAATCAAATATTTTCATTTGTTAAGCATTCACTACCATTATTTTATAAAGATAGCATCCGTTATGCACGTTAGTTTTTCAAAGCTATATCATTTCATCTTACCCTCATTTTACACTTACCCTGTGAAACAGTGAAGAATGTTTAACACCATTTAAAAAATGGCCACAGGGCTAGTAACATCCAAGTTTAATCAACTATGCAGTGCTAACATATTGTTCTTTATAACACAATACGCACCATAATTTAGTTACTAAATGTCTTGAAGATATTAAAGCAAAATGTTCTCCTTTATTCAGCTTACATTTATTTTTTTAAGCAACAATTTTCTAATGACTGGCATTCTTTCTTCATCGAAGTCTAAGTATTTCTAAATCCATCAATTGTGTTGTTAAATATTGCATTTGCCATTTTTAGAATTTCCATTGTCAATTATGTGTTTGCTTTTTAAAGAACACAAACTCTGTCAATGAAAGAAGCTGTGTCTCTCATCTTGTACACAATCAAGATCTACAAAGATATTAAAATTTATTTACAGTCCAAAATAATAGGAGAGCCTTTAAAACAGTCATTGCAGTTTTACTGTTTTATTTTTTAAAGAGTTGTTTCCTAGAGAGTAGAATTAAATCACGGAGCATTTTAGGGAACTGGAAATAGTATTAAAGTCTAACGTAAAACTTCATTTACTGAATTTCCTTAATTAGCAGCTTAAAGAGATAAGTGTGGCCCATATATTCCTGGAAATGTAGCCCCTAAGCAAGAGTAGCTCTAGACTTATGCTTTTTTTACTCTTCATCCATTTACCAATCTTATTAATTAAAGAGACCCCATTTTTTTCTCATCATTGGGAAAAAATGTTTAATTAGCTAATGTCTGTCCACCATCTGTATCTGAATCTGCCTTCTCAAGATTTAATTATATTTTTGCAGTAGTTGTGGTTCTTCAGAGAAAAAGAAGCAATAGGATGTGTCTTTGTAATATATATGTAATATACACCTGTTATATATATAATATGTATATGTGCTATACACACATACATTAAATATATATGTGTGTGTGTATATATACACATATATACATACATATACATATATGTATTTGTGTGTATATATATGTGTGTGTGTGTGTATATATATATATATATATATATATATATATATATATGTAGAGAGAGAGAGAGAGATTTTAAGGAAATGGCTATGTAATTGTATTACACAGGCTTGGAAAATCCAAATTATGATGGGGTAGTCTGGCAGGCTGGAGAATCGGAGAACAGTTGCAGCCTGCTGACAGAATTCCTTCTTATTGGGGGAAGTCAGTCTTTGTTCTGTTAAGGCCTTCAGCGGATTAGATAAAGCTCACCCACATTGTGAGTGCATTACTCAAAGTCCACCTATTAAATGCTGATCTCCTGCAAAAATAAATCTTCACAGAAACATCCAGAATAATGTTTGACCAAATATCTGGGCACCATGGCTCAGCCAAGCTGACACATATAAGTAACCATCACAATTTTGAATCCTCTAGACTCCAAATGGTACACCAAATATTCTACACGCTTTATGTATAATTAGTTTCAAATTTATACTTTATAATTGCAATAATTCATCTAATATGTAAATCCTATATTGTCTACTTTTGATCATATTTTACCCAGACAATTAGAAAAGCTCTACAAGTTATTTTTTAAATGCCTGAAGACATTTAAAGAAATCTAAAGAAATAAGAAAGAATCTTAGGAAAATGTTGAAGAGAGTGGAATTCTGTCTAAGCAGTTAAGCCTGACATTTGGGTTTCTTGTTTTTATTTTTTTTTCATTGTGGAGGAAGCCAAACCCTGAGGTGGAAGCTAAGAGGCAGGGAGGCTAAGTGGTGATTTTCTCAACACTTCAGGATTAAGAAGAAATATGATACTCCCCAGATCATACGAGAAAATAGAAGCACTCAAGTGAACCCCTCATGTTAGGTTTGGGCTGTGTCCTAGGAATAATGGTGAATTGGAATAGGTCCCTTCATGGACTACAGCTCAGCTATTGTCAGCTGAAACTGTGACATTTGATTTGTTGATCTGGAAGGGATTGTGCCCAACACTGACTTTCAAAATCAATTAAATCTTATATGGAAGATAATATCATTTCAGACCTCAAATTAATTGAAAAATGTTTCATATGTAATGCTTGACACACTATCATAAACTACAAAACACAAAGGAATAATACAATATGGACACCAATCACCCTAAACTGTAAACTATAGAAAGAGAACCACCGAAGATTTGAGATTACTGGCATAGACTGCAAAATAGCTATATTTACTATGTGCCAGAAGATAAAATGTAAAATTAGGAAAGTTAGCAGACAATTGAATAATGTAAAAAATAGTGGAAATTTTTAAAAATGATAAATGCAGTATTTAACAACACAATTGATAGATTAGAAATAATTAGACTGATAAAGAGATAATTAGTATTCTAAGATTGGTTTAAAGAAAAAAGCAGAATTTAGCAGAGTGGAAAAAGAATAGCAATTAGAAGATGAAGGAATATAAATGATGCAGTAATAAAGATATAACATATATTTAATTGTTATGACAGAGAATGGAACAAAAATAATATTTTAAAGAAATAATGATTTACAATTTTACAGTGCTAATGAAAGATAATAATCTATAGATTCAACAAATGCAAACCCAAACAGGGTAAATAAAAATAAATATATACCAAGAAGCATCACAGTAAAAGTGCAAAAAAGAAAAAATATAGACAAATTTCAAATATTAAGAAATGAGATATTCCGTTAACAAAATCAAAACCAAAACAAATTGACAAGTGACTTTTCAACAGTAACAATGTCAGTGGATAGAAGTCTTTTATTGGTTTTATTGGCTTTATAATTTGTAAATATTTTATCTCAATCAGTGATTGCCTTCTCATTTTTTTGATGGTGTCTCTGGAAACAACAAAAACATTTACCTATTTTTGTTGTTGTTGCTGTTGCTTATGCTTTGAGTGTTGTATCTGACAAGGCTATGCTTAACCCACGGTCATTAATATTTACTTCTATGTTTATGGTTTTAGCTCTTACATGTATGACTGTGATCTATTCGAAGGTAATTTTTGTATGTGGTGTACGCATATGTCCAACTCAATTCTTTTTTTTTTTTTTTTTTTTTTTTGAGATAGAGTCTCGTTCTTTTGCCAGGCTGGAGTGCAAAGGCGCGATCTCAGCTCACTGCAACCTCCACCTCCCAGGTTCAAGCGATTCTTCTGCCTCAGCCTCCTGAGTAACTGGGATTACAGGTGTGCACCACCATGCCCAGAAAATTTTTGTATTTTTTAGTAGAGATGTGGTTTCACCATGTTGCTGGGATGGTCTTGATCTCTTGACCTTGTGATACACCTGCCTCAGCTTCCCAAAGTGCTGGGATTACAGGTGTGAGCCCCCGTGCCCGGCCTAACTCAATTTTTTTTACGTATGGATGTCTGACTGTCCCAGCACCGTTTGTTGAATAGAGAATTATTTCCCCATTAAATTACCTTGATACCCTTATTGGAAATCAATTAACCATAAATGTTAAGGTTTCCTTTGGGACTTCTAATTCTATTCCATTGACCTATATGTTTATCCCTAAGTGAGTAACAGTGTCTTGATTACTGTAGCATTGTCATAAGTTTTGAAATTGAAAAGTGTGAGTTCTCCAACTTTATTCTTTTTCATGATTGGTTTGTCTATATCAAATCATTTGCATTTTCCTATTAATTTAAAGATTAGCCTGCCAATTTCTGCAAAAAAGCAAGTTAGGAATTTGATAGGAAATTAATTGCATAATTTAATTGAATCAATCAACCAATGTATCCATCTACCTAGTATTTTATAACTGCCTTAGTTAGAACCTCCAGTACAATATTGAATACAAGTAGTAATAGCATGCTTGTCCTGTTCCTGATTGTAGACGGGAAAGCATTCAGTCTTTCATGATTAAGTATGTTAGTGAGATATTAGAGATTTCTCATTGATAATGTTTAACAAGTTGGTGAAGTTTCCCTCTATTCCTAATTTGTTAAGTATTTTATGACAAAGGAATGCTAGAGTTCATACTTATTTCTGAATATTTTGAGGTAATTATGTAGGCTTTTCCCCTTTTTATAAATATGGCAAATTATATTAATTGTGTTTTTGATGTTACACCAATCTTGCATTCTTGGTATTAACCTTAGTTGATCATGTTAATCCTATCTTGAATTTGATTTACTGGTATTTTCCTATGAATTTGTGCATCTACATTCATAAGAAATATTGACCCTTAGAGGTTTTTTTCTTGTAATGTCTGGCTATATACCTAAATAAAATAAAAAAAAAGAAAGGAAATCAGTATTTAAATTAATTCTTTCTGTTAGTATTTCACCAGGCACTACTTCCAGAAAAAAAATAAATATTTGTTTTAATTTATATAGGTCAGTTCTCATTTTACCATCATTTTTGAAAAACAGTTTTGCTGGGCACAGATTCTTGGTTGGCAGTGTTTTTTTTCTTTTTCTTTTCCTTTTTTTTTCCTAAAGATGGAGTTTCACTCTTGTTGCCCAGGCTGGAGTGCAATGGTATGATCTCATCTCACTGCAACCTCCACCTCCCAGGTTCAAGCGATTCTTCTGCCTCATCCTCCCATGTAGCTGGGATTACAGGTGCCCACCACCATGCCCGGCTAACTTTGGTATTTTTAGCAAAGACGGGGTTTTGCCGTGTTGACCAGCCTGGTCTTGAACTCCTGACCTCAGGTGATCGACCCGCCTTGGCCTCCCAAAGTGCTGGGATTGCAGGCATAAGCCACCGTGCCAGGCTGGCAATGTTTTATCTCATGGCTTTTTGAATATCTCATCCCACTGCCTCTGGCCTCTAGTATTGCTGATAAGAAATCAGCTATTAATATTACTGAGCTTCTCTTGTGTATAATGAGTGATTTTCCTCTTGTTTATTTCAAATTGTTTCTTCGCCTTTAGCTTTTAACATTTTTACTATGATCTGTTGGGAGTGAGATCTCTGTTTACCCTACTTGGAATTCACTGATACTTTTGGTTTGTTGATTAATGATTTTAAATGAAATTTGGAAAGATTTAGCCATAATTTCTTTATGTACTTTTTTCTTTCCTTTTAGTTATTTCTGATAGTCCCAGTATACATTTGTTGACACACTTAATGGTGTCCATATTTCTATTTTTATTTATCTTTATTCTTTTTATTTTCTGTCCCTTTGACTGCATAATCTTTACTATCCTATTTTCACATTCACTTATTCCATATTCTGCCATCTTAAATCTACAATTGCACCAATCTAGTGACTATTTCACCTTAGTTATTCTACTTTTCAACTCCAAAGTTTTCACTGGTTCTATTTTTGAAAATTTCTATACCTTTACTTATAGTTACTACATGATGAGGCATTGTGATATTAGGTATTAGTTTGCTAGGACTGCCTTGACCAAATACTGTAGTTTGGAAACAACAGAAATTAATTTTCTTGAACTACTGAAGTCTAGAAGTCCAAGGTTAAGGTTTTTGCAGGGCTTTTTACTTTTCTTTTTTTTTGAGACATCATCTTGATCTGTTGCCAGACTGGAGTGCAGTGGCGCAATCTCGGCTCACTGCAACCTCTGTCTCCCAGGTTCAAGTGATTCCCCTGCCTCCGCCTCCCAAGTAGCTGGGACTACAGGTGCAAGCCACCACGGCTGGCTAATTTTTTTCTTTTTTCCTTTTAGTAGAGTGGATTGCACCATGTTGGCCATGATGGTCTTGATCTCCTGACCTCATGACCCACCCACCTCAGCTTCCCAAAGTTCTGGGATTACAGGCGTGAGCCACCACGCCAAGCTGGCTGATTACTTTCAAGGTCTTTTGTTTTAGCTTGCAGATGGATGCCTTCTTCTGTATGTATATTCCTGGTGCCTCTCTGGGTGTCTAAATTTCCTCTTCTTATAAGGACACAAGTCAAATTGGAGTAGGGCCTATTCATATGACCTCATTTAAACTTAAATACCAATTTAAAGACCCTATATCAAAATACAATATCATTCTGAGATACTGGGTTTAAGAACTTCAACTTACAAATTTTAGAGAAACATGATTTATTCCATAACATCTTATCTTACTTTAATAATTATTTCCTTTAATTCTTTGAGCCTGTTTTAATAACTGCTTAATAGTATTTATCTCTAAGTCCAATATCTGGGCCCCCTTAAGGCAGTTTTTTTTGTCTGTTTCTGTTTTTTTCCCTGTGTATGTGTCACATTTTCTTATTTCTTTGAATGTTTTATTCTATTACTTTAAAAACTGGACACTTTAGGTTATATACTATACTAATTCTTAATACTAATCCCCCTAGTACTATGCTTGTTACTGTTTATGCTATTAACATTGTTTGCTTGTTTATTTTTGTAGTAACTTAGTTAGACTATTTCAACGAAGTTTAATTCCTCCACAGTGTGCAGCTTCTAATGTTGCTCCTTAGAGGGCACATTTTGGGACTCAGTCACATTTGGATGACAGCAGATTTAGCAAAACTCTCTTTAAGTGTGCTTTCCCTGATCTCTGTTAAGCCACGTTCCTTGGTTAATATCACACTCAGCTGTTAGCCTCTGCTAATTGACCATCTGATTATTGTCTCCAAAATCACCTTTGAAAATGAATGGCTTCACAGTCTGATTCAATTAAATTTGGCCTCCCTGCAGCAGTAGTCTTCCAAGCTTGTTTGTACCCTATAAAGACTATTTAGACTATTTATCTGTCCCTTTTCCTGATTTCCTCTGTTAAACTTCTAGCTGGTCTCTTATTTACCTTGTGGCTCTTTTAGTTGCTCATTCCCCAAGTCTCCTTTTCTTTTCTTTTTTTTTTTCTATAGTACCTTTAGGGATAAACTTCCCCAACTTCTGTTCCAAATAAATTAGTTCCCTTGGAGAGAGCTGCATAGCTCTTTATTCTTATGGCCTGCCTCTCCTGCTGAGCAAAACCTCTGGAACACTACTCAGGAGCTCAGGTGGGAATGGTGTACTGCTTCACGTGGTATGATATCTACATTGTATGAGCAAGATGCTGGGTAGCTATAATAGGTGCTAGTTTTCTCAGTTTGCCTCTCCTGGTTTGGAGCATCTTTCCTATGAGTGAGCATGAGTAAGGGTGATTGGGGTCTAATATTCTTGGCCTGTTGTACTGGGGTTAGAGCTTTACCTTTCAACCGGAGGCCAGATGGATAAAGGGAGTCCCAGACCTCTCAGCTGCTTTTGTCTGAAATAGAATTTTTACATGATAGACCTACGTGGAAAAGGTGGGTAATGAGAAATGCTGGTGACTTGCATTTCTCTTTCAGGGAAATACCATGGTCCTAAACTTGGAGCTTATGGGAGAGGGTCTTCTATGTTTTTGCTGTACATATATGGAGCAGAGATTATGTCACACTGAGATGGCAGAGGGTGGGGATGGTCATTCTTCAAATACCACAGATCCTATCTTTCCTCTGGAAATTTAGCAGATTATTTGAATTTTTTCTCATTTTTTTGTATGCACTTCGGACAATTATCAGAGATTTTAATTGTTGCTTTTTAATAGTTTTCACCATCTATTTTTGCTTCACTGGTGAGAATGTTAATGTAGCTCCTCATACTGTTATTCTGAAAGTGGCTAAGGGTGGCTTCTCAAGTGTTTGCCATTCTTTTTCTCCATCTGGGTGATTGCTACATGGGTATTATTTGCAACAATTTATTGGGCTGTACATCTTTTTATTTCATACACTTTTCTGAGTATGTTTTTTTTTTCCCAATAAAGTCATACAATTTCTTTTTTTTTATTATTATACTTTAAGTTTTAGGGTACATGTGCACATTGTGCAGGTTAGTTACATATGTATACATGTACCATGCTGGTGCGCTGCACCCACTACAACCATTCAGTAGCTTCTTATGTCAGGTATGTAGTTTCGGTCAAGACACTTAAGCTTTCTGTATCTCTCTTCGTTTATAAAATGGATATCATAATAATTCATTACTCATAGGGCACTTAGAAAAGATAAATGCATTTATTAAGAAAAAAATTATTTAATTTTTTTTAATTTTCACATAATTGTACATATTTAAGGGGTATATAAGTGACGCTGCAATGCATGTAATGTATAGTGATCAGATAAGGGTAATTATATCCACCATCTCAAACAGTTAATTGAAATTATATACTATATTCTTGCTAACTATAGTCATCCTACAGTGCTATAGAACACAAGAATGTATTTCTTGTTTCTAGCTGTAGTTTTATATCTTGTAACAAATCTCACCATATTTTCCCCATCCCCCTACTCTTCCCAGCCGCCGGCATTCTCTGTTCTACTTTTTACTTCTCTGAGAGATCGATGTTTTGTTTTCTTTTGGTTTTTTAGCTTTCACATATGAGTGAAAACATGTGGTGTTTAACTTTCTATTCTTGGCTTATTTCACTTAATATAACATCCTCCAGTTCTATTCATGTTTCCATCAATGACAGGATTTTATCGTTTTTATGGCTGAATAGTATTCCATTGTGTATATATATCACATTTTCTTTATTCATTCATCTGTTGTAGAATACCTACATTGAATCCATGCAACTAGTTAAAATAATGACTGTGATAAACATGGTACAGATTTCTCTTTGATATACCCATTTTCTTACATTTGGATAAACTCCCAGTAGTGGGATTGGTGGAACATATGGTAGTTTTATTTGGAGTTTTTTTTTTGTTTTTTGTTTTAAAGGATCTTCTATACTGTTCTCCTAGTGGTCCTACTAATTTACATTCCCACCAACAGTGTGTGAGAGTTCTGTTTTTTCTTCAGCATCCGTGCCAACATTTGTTAGTTTTTGTTTTTTTGATATTATTCATCCTAACTGGGTTAAGATGATGCATCACTGCAGCTTTAATTTTTATTTCTCTGATGATTAGTGTTGTTGAACATTTTTCCATATATTTGTTGGCCATTTGTATTTCTTCTTTTGGGAAACATTTAATCTGACTGTTTTTTTGCTGTAGAGAAGTTTAGTTCCTTGTTGAATGAATAGTTGGTAAATATTTTCTCCCATTCTGTATGTTGTCTTTTCACTCTGTTGACTAATTATTTTGCTGTGCAGAGACTTTTTAGTTTAATATAATCATATTTATTTATTTTTGCTTTGTTGCCCATGTTTTTGAGATCTTATTTATAAAATCTGTTTCCAGACCACTATCCTAAAGCATTTCCTTTATGTTTTCTTTGAGTAGTTTTTGTTTCAGGTCTTACATAAGTCTCTGATCTATTTTGAGTTGATATTAGTATAGACTGACGGGGAGGAGTCTAGTTTTATTCTTCTGCATATGGATATCCAGTTTTTTCAGTACTATTTATACTACAGATTTGTAGTATATTTTGAAGTCTGGTAGTGTGATACCTCCAACTTTGTTATTTTTGCTGAGAATTTCTTTAGCTATTCAGGGTCTTTTGTGGTTCAAACAAATTTTAGGGTTTTTAAAATAATTCTGTGAAGAATGTCATTGGTATTTAGATAGAGATTGCATCAGATCTGTAGCTTGCTTTCGGTAGTATGATCATTTTAACAATATTAATTATTTTGATTCATGTACATGGGATGTCTTTCAGTTTGTTTGTATTCCCTTCTATTTTGTACTTGTATTTTTTTATAAATTTATACGGTATAAGTGCGATTTCATTACATGTATGTATTTCGTAACGGTCAAGTCAGAAGTTTTAAGGTATCCATCACCCAAGTAATATACATTGTACCCATTAAGTAATTTCTCATTCTCTACCAACCTTGCTATGCCCTTACCTTTCCCAGTCTTCAATGTCTATCATTCTACCATCTACCTCCATGTGCAAGCATTTTTTAGCACCCACTTGTCAATAAGAACATGCAGTATTTATCTTTCTGTGTCTGGCTTATTTCACTTAAGATCATGACCTCCAATTCCATCCTTGTTGCTATATAAAAAACATGATTTCATATTTTATGGTTGAAAAGTATTCCATTCTGTATATATGTCACATTTTTTGTCCATTCATCTATTTGTGGATACTTTGGTTTATTCCATATCTTTTGTGTTGTGAATAATGCTATAATAAACATATTAATGCAGGTGATTTTTTTATATATTGATTTCTTTTCCTTTGGGTAGATACCCACTAGTGGGATTGCTGGATCACTATTTTTAATTCTGTGAGAGATCTCCATGCTGTTTTTCAAACAGGTTGTCATAATTTACACCCCCAACAACAGTTCATAAGCATTCCACTTTCTCTGCATCCTCACAAACAAACTGTTATTTTTTTCTCTTTAAGATTACATTTCATTGTGGTTTTAATTTGCATTTCTTTTAGTAGTAATGTTGAGCATTTTTTCATATGCTTGTCATCCATTAAGGTGTCTTTTGAAAAATGTCTATCTGTGTCCTTTGCCCACTTTAAATGAAATTATGGCTTTTATTGTTGTAGTTGTTGAGTTGAGTTCCTCGTAATTCTGGATATTAGTCTCCTGTCAGAGGAATAGTTTGCAAATTTTCTCCCATTCTGCAGGTTGTCTGTTCACTTTGTTGATTCTTTCTTTTGTCGTGCAGAAGTTTTTTTAGTTTAACTAAGTCCCATTTGTCTATTTTTCCTTTCATCAGTGTTGTATAGTTTTACTTGTAGAGGCCTTTCACCTCCTTGGTTAAATTTTTTCCTAGATGTTTCATTTTTTTGTAGCTACTGTAAATAAAATTGCCTTCTTGATTTCTTTTTCTGCCAGTTTGTTGTTTGTGTATAGAAACACTACTAATTTTTTATGTTGATTTTGTATTCTGCAACTTCACTCACTTCATGCATCTATTCTAAGAGTTTTTGGTAGAGTCGTCAGATTTTTCTATAGATAAAATCATGTTTTCTGGAAACAGGGACAATTTGACTTCATCCTTTCCAATTTTTATTCCCTTTATTTCTTTCTTTTGCTTAATTTATGTGGCTAGGACTTCCAGTGCTACATTGAATAAGAGTGCTGAGCATGGGCATCTTTGTCTTGTTCCAATTCTTACAGAAAAATATTTCAGCTCTTCCCCATTTGGTATAATATAATGTTAGCTATGGATTTTCCTGGTTGAGGTACTGTCCTTCTATACTTAATTTACTGAGAGTGTTTTTAATTATAAAGAGATATTGAATTTTATTAAAAGTTTTTCTGCATCTATTGAGATAATTATATGGTTTTTGTCATTCATTCTGTTGATATGATATATCATGTTTATTAATTTGTGTATGTTGAGTGATCATTGCATTCCTGAGATAAATCCCACTTGATTACAGTGGGATTTATAATTTGGATTTGTTTTTTGTTGTGGTTAAGTTTTATGTGTCCAGGAATTGTAGCATTTTTTGAGGATTTTTGCAACTAAATTCATTGGGGATATTAGTCTGTCATTTTCCTTTTTTGTTGTATTCTTGTCTGATTTTGGTCTCAGGGTTATTCTGACCTCACTAAGTTACTTAGGAAGAATTCCCTCCATTTCATTTTTTAATACTTGGAGAAAAATTGGTATTAGTTATTCTTTAAAGGTTCAGTGGAATTCAGCAAAGAAGCCATTCAGTCTTAGAGTTTCTTTCTTGGAGGCCTTCTTATTATGGATTCAGTCTCATTGCTGGTTATTGGTCTGTTTAGCTTTTCTATTTCTTCTTAGTCTAATCTTTGTCAGTTGTACATGTTCAGTAATGTATCCATTTCCTCTAAGTCTTGAATTTATTGGTGTATAGTTGTTCATAGTAGTCTCCAATTATCCTTTTTATTTCTTTGATATTTGTTGTAATGTTTCCCTTTTCATTTCTGATTTTATTTATTTGGTTCCTTTCTCTTTTTTATTCTAGCTAACGGTGTGTCTATTTTGTTTATCTTTTCAAAAAAAGAACTTTTTGTTTCTTTGTCCTTTTGTATTACTTTTTTAGTCTCAATTTTATTTATTTCTGCTCTGATTTTTATTTTTCTCTTTCTACTAATTTTTGGGTTTGTTTTGTTTTTGCTTTCCAGTTCCTTGAGATGCATCACTAGGTTATTTGAAATCTTTTTAGTTTTTTGGTGTAGGCATTTATTGCTATGAACTCCTCTTATAATACTGCTTTTGCTGTGCCTCATACATTTGAATATATTGTGTTTTTATTTTCATTGGTTTCAGGGAATTCTTAATTTTATTCCTAATTTCTTCTTTCTCTCAGTTGTCATCCAGGAGCATGTTGTTTGATTTCTATTCATTTGTATAGTTTCAAATGTTCTACTTGTTATTGATTTCTAGTTTTATTCTGTTGTGCTTCGATAAGATGCTTGGTATAATTTTGATTTTTTTAAAAAAATTTGACACTGGCTTTGTATCGTAATATATGGTCAATTATGCAGTGTTCCATGTGCCAATGAAAAGATTGTGTAGTCTGCAGCTGTTGGGTGAAATGTTCTGTCAATGTGTTAGGTCCATTTTGTCTATGGTTCAGTTTAAACCCAATGTTTCCTTGTTGATTTTCTGTCTAGATGATGTGTCCAATGCTGAAAGTATGGTGTTGATGTTTCCAACTTTTATTGTATTGGAGTTCATTTTTCCCTTTAAATCTAATAATATTTCCCTTATATGTCTGGGTTTTCTGGTGTTGGTTGTACATACATTTAGAGTTGTTACATTCTTTTACTAAATTAATACCTGTATTATTATATAATGTTCTTCATAGTTTCTTTTTACAGCTTTTGACTTGAAATCTGTTTTGTTGGCTGGAAGTATAGCTATTCTTACTAGCTTAATGTTTCCATTTGCATGGAATACTTTTTATCCTTCACTTTAATTCTATGTGAAAGGATTTACAGGTCAGGTAAGTTTCTTGTAGGCAGCATATAGTAAGGTGTTGTTTTTGTTCTACATTCAGCCAATCTTTATATTTTAAATGGGGTATTTAATCCATTTACATTTAGGACTATTATTGATAAATGAGGACTTACTCTTGTCATTTATTTGATGGTTCTCTGGTTGTTTTGTAAATCCTTTGTATCTTACTTCCTCTTTTATTGTTTATTTTTTGTGGTTTGGCAATTTTCTGCAGTGATAAGGTTTGATTCCTTTTCCTTTTTAATTTGTATATTGGTTTTACCAGTGATTTTTATAGTTTTACATACTTTTATGATAGTGATTGTTTTCTTATCACTTCCAGATGTAAGACACCCTTGAGCATTTCTTGTAAGGCCTGTCTGTTGGTGATAAACTCCAAGGCAGGGGGCGAGGAGAGACTGAAAGTTTGTTGGCAGCCAGGCTGCAACTGGGCCTTAATTGGAAGGTCCAAGACCCTCCAAAGAAGGAAGCTATGCAACCCACACCCCTATCCCAAATTGATCTTTTTTCTTGCTATGTCTCCTTGTACCAATTTGCATTTGGTGCTCACTCTGCTTGTCAGTTAACTTGGAATGAAGTGAACTAGTCCTGTCACTATGGTAGCTGAATATTTGGAATCCAGCCTGCATTTTCCACTGCTGTACTCCTCTCATGCCTGAGAAAGTCAGAGTCCAGGGTCAAAAAAAAACAAAAAACAAACAAAAAAAAAACACTTTAAAAGTGCTTACTGTGTAGTAATAATAAATTAGTACCATTGTTCTTACAATTATTTTTATTTTTAGTACTGCTGTTATTAAAGTTTTTAAAATATATAGCCCCTGGCTAACTTTGTATTCTCATGTCTCACCATTTCCTTTCACATATATTTTGTCCCAATAAAATCAAACTGTATAAAATTTCTTACATCAACCATTATGTTTCTTTCTTATACTGTAACTCTGTTATTTTTATCTCCTCAATATGGAATATATCAAATACTAATCCCCTAATTTCCCTTCTGTTCAGATCCCCGCCACTAAGCTTTTGCCAGGTCTGTTTTCTATTTCTTTTGGACAGACCTTAGCATTGTTTCTTCCACAGAGTTTTCCTTGTTCTCTTCAAAATTTTCTAGATGTCCTTTTATGTACTCATTGTCCTCTGCACACATTTCTTACTGCAGTTATTTGACTGCACTGAAGTGTCTGTTTATGTGTTTGTCTCTTCTGATGGACAGAAGCTTCCTCAAGGTCAGGGATGGGGTGTATTATTCACCTTTGACCCCTAGCACCAAACATAGGTAGTAGCACATTAGTATGCAGTAGATCTTAGTAAATGTTTTTTTCATTAAGCAATACCTATATTAAAATGTGTTATGGGGAGCATATATTCAGGGCAACTGAAATATATGTCTCTCAGGTTACAGTTTTCAAACTTGGCCTAAATAAACTCTGTACTTCTATTAAACAAAATGTGTTATATGCCATGAGGAAATCAACAGAGTACTGCAATCATAAACAAGACAGGGTTAATCTTCTTATTTAGAATCACCAGGAATTGTGTTGCTAAAATGTCAATTTGCAAGCTGAAGTATAACATCCAACTATTCTTAGGGTTGTTGGCAGGAACTGGAGATGGTGGTTCAGGCAAAATATGACAAGCAGAGAGAATAGCATAAGCAAAATCTTGGAGGCAGAAATAAGCTTATGTTTAAGGAAATGAAATAAAACTGGAGTTATTTAAGCACAGAGTCAGAAAAGGCAACTGATAAGAATGGAATTTGGAGATGTAGACAAAAACAAAATCAGAAAGAGTATGGTTCACCAGGGTAAAGAATGCATGTTTTCTTTAAGGCACACTAGTATGTCTACTAAATGCTTGAATTCAGAGGATTTATTAGGTTGGCTTTATATTTTGAAAGGGCTTATCTGCCTGATAGGTAAAAAATAGATTAGAGGGTGCAATGGTCTTAATGTTTGTGCCTCTCCACAATCCATATGCTGAAACATTAATTCCAATATAATGGTATTTGGAGATGGGGCCTTTGAGAGGTAATTAGTTCATTAGGGTAGAGCCCTCGTGAATGGAATTAGTCCCTCCATAAGAAGAAATAAGAAAGTAACTAGCTCTCTTTTGCCATGCAAGGATACAACAAGGGGGCTATAGTGTGTGATAAGGAAGAGAGCCCTTATGAGATCCTAGCATCCTGACACTCTGATCTTGGACTTATAGAACTGTGAGACAAATTTATACAGCCAATCAGCCTACAGCGTTTTGTTATAGCAGCCTAGGCTGACTAAGCCACAGAGAAATAACAGAAAAGCAGTATAAGAACTATTTTACCCATCTAGGAGAGAGATGATGGTGGTATTACCTAAGAAGTAGCAATGAAGATAGAAAAAAGTGAGCATATCTTAAAGATATTTAGCAGGTTAAAATAATAAAGAACCAGGAAAAGTGAAACAAAAAAATGAGGCAACCAATGATATAGTCATGATTTCCAAACTTATCAAAAAATGATAAAGAGAGTGCCTGGCCATCTCTTGATTGGGTCAAAAGTAAATTCTTGTCATCTTAATTTTGGTATTTCTATGAAATATTCAAATTGTGATGTCAAATATATATATATATATATATACACACACACAGAGAACTACCTCAGCAAACTCATTTATACATCAAAAATAATGTGAAACAAATGTCTAGATATATGTTACACTATTTATATCAGGAATTACTTTAGATTAATTATATAACAGAACTGGTTCATTTCAGGTGAAGTGTTAGATGTGCTTTATATTTAATATACTTAGTAGGCAAAGCCACTCTTGCTAAACCTTTGAGAAATAGGTTTAGTAAGAGCTAAATAAGAATTTTCAGGCATTATTTTCTAAAAACAATGAGCAGTGACTTTAAATATTAAAGAAGAAACTATTGGCATTAACACCTAATGCTCAAAAGAGCACAAGTTGTCAACTGTGTGAAGTGATTATACTTTCTTCTGCTTGACTCCTGATGTCTATGACTATGATCGTATTTACAATGCTTTGTGATCAATTATACTTGTATCATTTTAGCACTATGGAGGTCTTTCCTTAAATTCTACATTAATTATCAGCATTTAGGGGTCTGAGAGTCTTGTAATTCTAAAACTTCCCATCATATGTATTTCATCTGGACACTGTCTTACTCCATTTTGGCTATTATAACAAAATACCATAAACTGGGTAGCTTATAAATAACAGAAATTTACATCCCACAGATCTGGAGGCTAAGTTCACAATCAAGTCACTGGCAGATGTGATGTTTGGTGAAGGCCTGATTTCACATAGATGGGGACTTCTAGCTGTGTTCTGATATGGTTGAAGAGGTTATCTCACTCTCTATTGTCTCTTTTATAAAGGCAATTAGCCTAATCGTGAGGGCCCCATACTCATGATCTAATCACCTTCCACGGGCTGCACCTCCTAATACTGTCACCTTGGGCTTAGGTTTTCAACCTGTGGACTTTGAATGGACATAAACATTCAGACCATAGCAGAAACGATTTGTATAGTCACCTTACAAAACAAGCATGTATATTACTTAATAAAACCAGCATGTCTTATTTGTCAATTCAGACATTTGTAAAAATCATATGCTATTCCTGCTGCTTCTAATAATTCCATGATACATCAAGTGGAAGTGGGTATAAAATGTGTCATTACATATTGGTGTAATTTCAAGAAAGGAATATTTCTCCAAGTTATTATTTTTCAATTTCTCCTTTCTACCAGGGTTTTTGGTGTGTGTGTGTGTGTGTGTGCCTGTGCACACATGCATGTGTGCCCACATGTCCACATGTATAAAGTGTGTATTTTGGGGGGGAATCTTATTAAAAGCAAATGGCTATGACCACTGTGGGTTCAGTGACAGGAGGAGTTTTCGATGTCATGATATTATGGTTTAGTGCCCAGGAAAAGTAGGCATGTGTAGGCATGTGTTTTTGTGTAAAAACATTAATTTTATAACACATTTGATGTGTTACTCTTTGGAGAAAAGACTACAAAATTCATTCTCAGAATATTTATGCATTTATTTATATACTCATTTATCCATTTATTTTATGTAGTTTGGGTTCTATCAAAGTAATAGTAAGTACTTAAAACCTAGGAGGGGGGAAATGCTTACTTTGATGATTCTACGTTATCCATTAAAACCTCCCAGTGCACTCTCTGCTACAGTTCACATACAACAATAGCTATCAGTTTCCAACTGAGGCAGTTTAGATTCAGCAGTAGAAATTGCAAATTGCATATTAAAGGCTGTGATTTCTAATCACACATACCAGAATCAGAATTGGAAGGAAAAGAGGTTGTCTAATCCCAGCCCCTGCCATTAGATAAGGCTTTACCTAAATCTTTTAAGGCAAAAAACCAATCATGTAATTCTTAAAGATAGCCAGCTGCTGAGTTTTAAAGGTGCCTTTCTTTGGTATTTTCCATCAGAAAGTTAAGCCTAATATTTGGACTAAACATTTGGTTGCAGTTTACCTTTTTTTTCTTTATACAGTTCAGAAAAAACTCATTTTCACTCTTCATATACTCAAAGGTAATCATTATCATTTTTTCTATGTTGTCTTTTTGATTACATTGGCCACCTTCAACTTTTTCCTGTTAATATGTGGGAAGTGATTTTTCCTTCACTATAACTGTGGTCTCAGTCCTTGTTTCCTACGTCCTGATCTGAGGTACTTTATAGGTAGCCCCTCATCTCTCTCAGATCTGTGGCTCACTTGCTTGTGATTTTCCTGTACTTACATGTTTTTAAATACAAGATGACACTAGTATATTTCACAGGCTGATTGGGTTAATTATCCATCTTTATTCCAGTTGACCCCACTTTTTCACTATATTCCATTTATCCCATACCTAGAGTTTGGATGATTTTATTCCTTCCCTGAGACAAAATCTGAAAAATAGTGTTTGTGTTATCTATTGCTCAGTAACAAAAGCCCGAAGTTAAGGGCTTAAAAAAAGCTATTTTGTATTATTTCTCACAATTTTGTGGGTTGATCGGAGTAGGGTCACCAAACTATGACCCAAGCAACAAATCTCTTCTGTCATATGTTTTCGTGTTGCCTAAGAGCTGAGAATAGATTTATTTAATTTTTAAATACTTGAAAAGTAAATTTTAAAAGAAGAATATTTTGTGATATGCAAAATTATATACAATTAAAATTTCAATATCCTTAAATGAAGTTTTATTGGAACACAGTTACAGTCATTTGTTTATGTGTTGACTGTGCCTGCTTTTGCACTACAACAAAAGAGTAGTTGCTAGGAAGACCATAGACCTGTAAGGCCAAAAATATTTCCTATCTGACTCTTTATAGAAAAAGTTTGCTGGCAGATTCCTGTGATAGAATTCAGCTGGGTGGCTTTTCTGATCATCTGGCTTGGACTCTCACGTGGCTACTATCAAGTTTTACATCAGGTTAAGGAGAGCTGGAAGGCTTACCTGGGGTGATGGGATGACTGGGCCTCTTTCTCTCTATGTGCCCTCTTCATGAGGTCTTTCCTCATGGTCTCTATGGCAGCATAGGCAGAATTCTTACATGATGGGCCCAAGCTCCCAGTAGCTTAAAAACAGAACTTGCCATGCTTCTGCTAGGCCCAGAACTGGCACAGTATCACCATACTCTTCTTGTGAAAGCAAATCAAAGAGTCAACTAAGATTCAATGGCAGGAAATAATACAGGTACATAAATACTAAGGAGGGGATTACATTCAGTAGAGAGAGAGAAATGAGAAAAGTACTAATTATAAGTAATGTTATTAACTTTAATATATAAGTGAAAGAAAAAAAAGGAATCCTTAGAAAAGGGAAATTTGCTTTGAACCTTAGAGCTCACTTCATTTTGAATGTTTAAGTAAGAAATGACTTGACAGGAAAAGCAGACGAAAGCGTTGTTGAACAAAACAGCATTATGAACATTGTTCCCAAAGAAATGCCAGAAAACATTGGTATTAAGACTGGCCTTATTAACAACCATAACACCACAAAAAGTTCTTTAGCATGTGAAGAAGTTAAGAAACTAAAGAAAAAAGTAATTTTATAATCAAATATACATTTCCTCTACATTCTTTGTGTCTTCTCCGGAAGTAAGAAAGGAACTTTCTTCTTCACATTGGAGTCTCTGTATAGATCTGGCCTTGCTAAACTTCTTGAACTGTTGAATCCCTAGCTCTATGAATGCTGCCAAATTTTCTACTTGTTTCCTATTACATATATACATACATGGATAATATATATTTATACAGCTATACATATCTATACTTATGTGTATATATGGGTACATCTGTATGTATATATATGAAGATTAACGTCTGAAATTTTGTTTTAAAACTCAATAGGATTACCCATATTTCTTATCCTTATTATTAAATAACTTCTGTTTTTAACATGTTAATTGTTCTATACAATCACATGAAAAATTGTGTTTTCTAAAGTTTGTTTTACATTCTGATTTCCAATTCTATTGACCTTCCCTAAATCACCAAGCTGAAAATTTGGCTTGTCACCTTGTAGTTAACAAATAGGAGATTTAAGCAGACTTGACATCTTCTTATGCCTTAAATTCAGATCCTTGCTTCCAGTTATCAACCTCAAGCAAGATATTGAACAGTGATCAAATATGTTTGTCAAATCAATTTTTAGTGAAATATATATTTTTTGACATCTACTTTCTTGCCTAGGAAATTAAAACGTTATGGTGAAACAAAGTCCTCAAATGGGAATCATAGGCTGATGAAGGTTGGGATGAGGGTGGAAGTTTCAGGAGACTGGAGGAGTCTGGGAATTCTACCACAGAACAGGGAGAAATATGGTCGGAAGTGGTTATTGTCAAGAAATGAGAAATTTGTCCAATCTATTATCCTCTGCTACACCTTACGGCCTGTGCTCCTATCTTTTCTCTGATAATCGTCTGTCCCTTTGCTCTTATTCAGAAACAGAACATAAAAGAATGGAATGTTTTTCCAGTTTCAGTGGCAAAAGCCACTCTCTACGAGTGTTACAGGGCTTTGAGCCCTGCTCAATATTTTAATTCTATTAATTATGCATTATCTATTGAGAGGTTACTCTTTTTACCTTTCAGAATAAAAGATAATCAAGTAATTACTCAGAGGACTAGAGCTTCCTGTGGTGTAATGAGAGATTTAGCTGTGTAATTTATAGTACTCAAACAAATGAGCCAATTTATATTCCCAAAGTAGAAAACAGTAGAACATTCAGCTCAGACGTCTTCCTTCCACTTTCCAACTTATTAGATTGAAAATAGGTCCTATAGGCTATGATTTGCTAGAAATACTCTGAAGAACACTCATTAAACTATTCATATCAGCATTTAGCTTTGGGGTAAACAATCTTATAGATGGTTAATAACCGGTATTTACAAAGTGTTGATGTTTTATGCATTTTGGTGTTACAGTCCAAGTGGATCTTGTATTGATGTATTTATAATAGAAGAAACTGGAAATGATTACTAACAGTGTTAAATTTGATAACAAAATAATTTTAGCTCTTAATTAGCTTACATAGTCAAGCAAGAAAGTGCAGGTTAAAATCTTCACATCAAGGACAAAAAGGAAAGATTTGAAAGTTTTCTATGTTATGTTCATATGTAACCAAGTAGCCCAGACCAACACAGCTTTTAGAAATTAAAATCCCTTAGAAGAAACTTTAAAATAGGGAGAGGAGGGATATTATTGGTTGCTATTAGCAAAATTAGTTTTTGTTCCAAAAAGAAATAAAAAACTTGGGCAATAAATGAAGGAATCTACCATGACTTCACTGGTTAGAAAGGGAAAGCAGCAGAACTCACTGAATACCTCTAATGTGCAGGGCACTTTAACATAAAATTTTCATTGTGATACTCCAAATTAATAATTCTGTGAGGCATTACTCTACCCATTTCCAGACAGCTATTATGAGAAACAAAGGCATTTTACTAAGTTAATTCAGGTAACAACTAATGGAGTTAGATTCTGAATCTAATGGAGTATTATCTGAAACATGTTCTCTTTGGAAAATATTACAACCTTACTAAACAATCACTTGGAAATTTCTGTGCAGTTGAATATTATTTCCCTATGGCTTCCTTTGTCTACAAGAAATCTTCATTTTTTAAAAATTTTAGAAATAATTCATGTTAGCCCAGCAATAACTTTCGGGCAACATAGTTTTTGCTAACATGGATTTGGGGACAAAGGACAAAATACCAGAAAGTAGTTAATAGTCACAGCCACTGAATGACAAGTCAAAATTATCCAGCAAATCTTATCTAACTTTCTACCAATTTTCTATTTCTCCAAATACTTAGTGAAATTGGAGAGTTTTTAGAAAGTGTATTTATATACAGTGCTATGTTAAATAGTTTAGATGTTAAAAAGCTATTAAAAGTAATTAACCCTACTGTATACACAATCATTGTGTTAACCCATTAAAGTCAATTGATGTATTTTTCTTATCATGTTACATTTCCTGCCACCTCCATCCCCAAACATAGAATATACATATAATAAATTTAATATTTATCATCTACTTTCTGATTTTTAAGTTGTTACTGTGTGTGTTCTTCAGCAGTACTTGTATAGTTTTGCATATATTAAAAATGTTTATAAACATCATTTATACTAGGTAATTTGCTTATTCTTTCAAAATTATGTTTGTGACCTATATCTATATAAATTTATACCATTTTTTCACTGCTATGAAAAATATTCTACTGTATGGTTATATACCAAACATCACATTATCCACTCTACTGGCATAAAAAATTATAATGCTTTTACTCTTATTACTGCAAATAATGCTATCGTATATTGTCCCCAGTCTGTCTCCCGGGGCATATGTGCAAACTGTTCCTCTAGTCTGCAGTCATAGGAGCTCCGTGAGTCCATTCTTGAGTTATACAGATTTACCGTTTTACTATCTTTAATTGTGATCACTTGTCTAAAATTTAGTATTATCAAACTTTTAAATATTTTTAATTCTGTATGAAAGTTCATATCTTTATTTTAGTTTGCGTTTCTCTAATTCCTAATGAAGATGCTCACATTTTCATATGGTTACTGGACATTACCATATACTCTTCTGTTGATTACATTTATATTATTTGGGCATTATTTTATTGAATTGTTTTCATTATTGATTTCTAGGAGTTCTTTATATACTCTTTACTCACAAGTTACATGCTTAAAATATCATTTTTCCCATTAAATATCTTGTTTTTTTATTTCTCACGGTTAAGACATTGCTCCATCTGGAGTTGTGTATAATATGAGGTAGTCATCCCACTTTATAGATATACGTAGATAGATAGAGATCTAATTAACTAGATGTGAATAACAAATAGTGTCAGCATAATTTATTGAATGATCTGCCATTACCAGCTATTGTGTAATTCTATCTCTGACATATAAGTACATTTCTATAATCTATATAAATTTTTCACATTTCCACATATGCATAGACCTCATTCTGGGCACTCTTTTTGCTTGTATTGATCTATTTCTCTGTTAATAAAACAATATCAAAATTGCTATGATATTATAATAAGGCCTAATATCTCACAGCTTATGCTACATTTGGTTTTCAAAATTCTATTGGATTTTCTTAACCATTAGTTTTTTCTTTAAATTTTTGAATTAATGTGCTAATTTTAATGAAAAACTTACTTATGTTTTATTGTAATTTAATTAAATTTAGGAGAATTTACCATTTTTATCAGGTATTTCTGTGGATGAACATGGTATATGTTGTATTATTTTAATCTATTTTGTTCTCAGTAAAATTTATCACTTTATAAAGTTACTATTCATTGTTTTCAAAATGTCTTTGGTACCTTATAGTATTTGTTTACATTTATACAATATTATTTTAAAATAACATTTTGAATGCTTGTCACTAATGTATATGAATATGGTATTTTTTAGGTTAGTAAAAAATGTTGCTAAATTTAATTTCTTCAAGTAATGTAATTCAATTACTGTCTCTGAGGGATTTCTGTTGTGTTTTTAAATTTTCAGCTATAATGAGAAGCATATGTATTTTATTTAGCATTTCTACTTGGTTTATATCAAAGTGCTTTACAGAACATGTAGCCCGAGATGATTTTTTCTCAAGTGGTTTAAGTTAATGTCCTTAGTGGAAGAAAAGCAACTTTAATCCTAATTGTTAACCTTAGTGTTTTAGATATGAAAATCAATTTTAAATATTGTACATTGTTCCACAATGGTTGAACTAGTTTACAGTCCGACCAACAGTGTAAAAGTGTTCCTATTTCTCCACAACCTCTCCAGCACCTGTTGTTTCCTGACTTTTTAATGACTGCCATTCTAACTGGTGTGAGATGGTATCTCAATGTGGTTTTGATTTGCATTTCTCTGATGGCCAGTGATGATGAGCATTTTTTCATGTGTTTTTTGGCTGCATAAATGTCTTCTTTTGAGAAGTGTCTGTTCATGTCCTTTGCCCACTTTTTGATGGGGTTGTTTGTCTTTTTCTTGTAAATTTGTCAGTGTGGCGATTCCTCAGGGATCTAGAACTAGAAATGCCATTTGACCCAGCCATCCCATTACTGGGTATATACCCAAAGGACTATAAATCATGCTGCTATAAAGACACATGCACACGTATGTTTATTGCGGCATTATTCACAATAGCAAAGACTTGGAACCAACCCAAATGTCCAACAATGATAGACTGGATTAAGAAAATGTGGGACATATACACCATGGAATACTATGCAGCCATAAAAAATGATGAGTTCATGTCCTTTGTAGGGACATGGATGAAATTGGAAATCATCATTCTCAGTAAACTATCGCAAGAACAAAAAACCAAACACCGCATATTCTCACTCATAGGTGGGAATTGAACAATGAGAACACATGGACACAGGAAGGGGAACATCACACTCTGGGGACTGTTGTGGGGTGGGGGGAGGGGGGAGGGTTAGCATTGGGAGATATACCCAATGCTAGATGACGAGTTAGTGGGTGCAGCGCACCAGCATTGTACATGTATACGTATGTAACTAACCTGCACATTGTGCACATGTACCCTAAAACTTAAAGTATAATAATAATAATAAATAAATAAAATAAAAATAAATAAATATTGTACATTGTTAATATATTACTTTCTAAAATATATGTAATTATGTAATTACCTTAAGCATAAAAACAAAATAAGCAGTTTAATCAGCATAAGCAGTAAAAGTCAGTAAAAATTCCAGAGTTTACGGTGCAATGAGCTGAGGCCTCTGTTGCAAGTGCATCGCAGTCCAGTTTCTCCCTGTATCCAATCTTGCTTTCCTCACTCCCTCCTCAACAGGTATTATCAAAAAGAATAGCCCTCAATAAGCATTCTGTATGCTAACTTCAATCTCAATGTTTCCCAAATAATCCAAGAGAAGACATCAGGGTTGAGTTCCAGTTCTACAGTGAGTCAGAAGAATGTTACAGATGACCCAGTCAATGCTACAAAGAGAATCCAGAAGGGCCCAATCCATGGACAAGGTTACTACTTAGGAATTCTGGATCATCCCCAGAGCACCCGTATCTGAAGGGCTAGGAAGGGGATGTGTGTGGAAAATCAGCAGGGAAAAGGAGAGTCAGTCAATCTTGCCCGCTCCTTAAAGTCATATATTTCTTGGAGTTCCAAAAATTTGAGCTCTAAACATGACTTTGCTTCTTGCTAATGATGTGAGATAAAGTGACTTCTATAAGTGCTCGCTTTCTCCTCTGCAATATGAGAATACAACAGGGTGATTTTGAATATTATATGAGGAAATATTTGTGAAGTGCTTAGCACTGTGCCTAGCACATTTTTTAAATGAGCACCTCCTTATATCTGCAAATATTATCTACTTTAATTCCTCACATAATTAGGAAAGATATCAGGTTTTTCCTGCAAGTAAGTAGCATCAGAGTGACAAAAAGAAAACAAAAAGCAAAAGATATGGAATAGAAGATTTCAGTCTGGAAGGAAGGAGAGATCAAATGACACAGAAAGACAAGTAGCTTTAAGGAAAGAAGAGGAACTAGAACAGTGTTGCCTTCAGGATGTTACCATACTCCTTGCCCCAGTATTTAATAAATACTTGATACACCTAAAACTTCAACATATCAGGCAAAAAAAACAAACAAACAAAAAAAACAAAAAACACCTCTTGAGCGATATTGAGCGATAGATTTAAACTCCATTTAAAGAAAATGGTTTAAGATAAATGAAATTTAAAACTCAAAGAAAATCATTTGTATAACTGGGGACTTGGAACTTTGGCACCATGTTCTCATGAAGGTTCTACCTCTTAATTCCATACTTAAAATAAATGTATTAGTCACCATAGCCATACTTTGAAAAATGTGATACTCTGCAGGAAGTGTTGTTTTTGTCTAATGACATATTCTCTTTGCTTGAGTGGTCATTAACAGAAAATGACATAGAAGTTCTTATCAATTTTCATTTAGATAGCATGGAAAAGCAAGGAATTCAACATTCTTCAGTTTTTACATGAATAGTGTCCTACTTGGTACTTTATTAACAACGTATTTTATAATTGTACTGTATTAATGGAATTGATCGATAAAAGATGATACATAATTTTTTAAAATTATTCCTTTATGGCTAGTTACCAACAACTTTTTTTCACATTTTCATCCTAATATATTTTAAAAACTGGGATATATTGGGAGTTAACTAGGTCAGCTCCTTCTTCCCACCTTGTTTTCCTCTAGCCAATTATCTTTGTTTGTCATTAGAGTAATAGGAAGTGATATAAGAAGGTTGCTACCTGGTTATTCTGACAATGCCCCTGACAATACTTCAGTGATACTGTTTCAACTCTCAACACAGTCTTCAGTTTCACAGATTTGTAGCATCTCTCAGTATCCCTAAGATGCTCAGAGTCAGGGATATAGACTCACACTAATCAAAATCTCAAGGGAACAAAATGTACATGTGGTAATTTCCATTGAAAAATATAATGATCAAGTAGAATGAAATGTTTAAATGGCCCTAATACTTTTATTCTCTCTCAGAAAGCTGTATATGATTATAATTAGAAAGTTGTTTATAATTAAAATAATGTTATGGAGTTACATAGTTTCAATGGATTTTGAGATCAAGCTTAAATGGTTTGTTGCAGCTGTCTCCACAGCGGGTGTGTATGTTAAGCAGACCATAATGCTAAGGATCATTGTCTGGAGGACTCCCACTGTGGGATATTGAGGGATGAACTGCCAGCTTCTCTTTTTGACTCTAACATTTCTATATTTCTGATAAACCATGTACCTTCGGTGGCTATACGTACCCTTTTAATATATTAATAGCATTGTCTTAGTCATGATTTAAGTATGCTAATGTAGTCATATTTTGATAGAAAATACACCCTCATCTCTTGATTGGGACCACCCATTTCTAAGAAATAATTACTTAGGTGGGTGTTTTTCCATATGGCTGACTTCATCCATTTACATATTGATTTTCCGTAATCGAGTCTCAAAAGTTTAACAAATGTCTAAGTTCTGAGGAAAACTTGTGCACTTATATCACTCTTCAGAGTGTGTTTGGCAATTCAATTCTTTTAACTGTACCCCTTTTGTGGGTAATTTTATTTACTGCCTTGTGATAGTTTTACATTCAGTTTATTTATGTTTTAAATAGGTCATATTTAACATGATTAAAAAATCTTTTTAAAAGTATGGATAAAAATATCTTCCTCTTACTTTTATTTTCCTCCTTTCCTTTTCCTACTCCCCTCTTCTGTAAACACCAATTGGTTTTTTCTGTATCCCTCCAGTGTTTCCATATATGTATATAAGTCTTATGAATATATATTTGCTTGGTGTCCCTCTTTACACAAATGCTAGATGTCTGTACACACTGCTCTGTGCCTTGCCTTTTAAATTTAACAAGTTACTTTGGAAAGCTTTCCACATCATTGCATAGAGAACTACTCATTATTTTTCCTAGTTGTATAGTATTCCACTGGGTTAATGTACCATGATTTATTAAACCAGTTTCCAATTAACTTTTCATTGTTTTCTATTCCTTTACTGTAACAAGAAGATAACAACGTATAACCTGAATATAAGTTATTTCATCCATGTATAAATACAAAAACTTGCTAAACCAAAAGACACATACCAATTATTTCAGCAGATGTTGCACAATTGCTTTCCATATGCCTCATACCATACTATACTCTTATCAGTAATTTGCAAAGTATGTTTAGCCAGAGTGTGTTACCAGCTTTTGGGTTTTGCCAGTTAAGTGAAAACTAGCATCTTATTGGAATTTTAATTTGCCTTTCTCTGTAAGACTGGGAATATAACTAAATTTATTTATTGAACAAATATTTATTAAGTGCCTCTATGTACCATTATTATTATAGGTGATAGGAATATAAAAATGAACCAAACAGAAAGAAATCATATATACGTATATAATTATACATGTAATGATATGTGTACAGTAAATTCTATAGTATGTTAGATTATGATGATTGTTAAGAAGAAATATAAAACAGACTAAGGTAGAGGGGAGATGATAACCAAGGTAGGCTTCTTGATATGATGACATTTGGGCAAAAACTTGAAGAAGATGAGGAAATGGGCTAAACAGGTATCTTAGGAAATGAGTTCCAGGCAGAAAGAGCAACTAGTGCAAAATTCTCAAAATGGGAGAATTTCTAGCATCTTGGAATAATCCCAAGGAATTCAGTGTGGTCAGAGCAGAAATGGAGAGGGGAAGAGTGGTAGAAGTTGTCAGAGAGATGACAAGAAGCCAGAATGCACAGGGCCTTGTAGATAACTTAAAGGGCTTTGGGTTGGCTTTGCTTTTCTTCTTCTTCTTTTTTTTTCCTTCCTTCCTCCCTCCCTCTCTCCCTCCTTCCCTCCCTCCATTTCCTCCTTCCTTCCTTCTTTCTTTCTTTCTTTTCTTTTTTTGACAGGGTCTTGCTTTGTCCCCCATGCTGGAGTCCAGTGGCACGATCTCAGCTCACTGCAACCTCTGCCTCCTGGGTTCAAGCTATTCTCCTGCCTCGGCCTCCTGAGTAGCTGGGATTACAGGTGTCTGCCACCACGCCTGGCTAATTTTTGTATTTTTAGTAGAGACAGTTTCCCCAGTTTGGCCAGGCTGGTCTTGAACTCCTAACCTCCAGTAATTCACCCGCTTTGGCCTCCCAAAGTGGTGGGATTACAGGCATGAGCCACTGCACCGGACCGGGCTTTTGTTTTCAATGAAATGGAAAACCAATGAGTAATTTGAGCAAAAGAAGGACATAATATGACATATATTTTAAAAAGATTTCTCTAATTGCTGTTAAGATTAGGCCATACAAAGAAAGAGTGAAAGAAGAAAGACAGTTAGAGGGCTGATGCCGCAATCCCATTAAGAGGTGATGGCAGCTTGACCAGGGTGGTAGTAGTAAAAGTAGGTTGTCAGATTATAGATGTAGCAAATAAGACTTCATGAAGGATTGAACATGTGGTATAAGATAAATGAAGTAAATTGTAACTCCAAGTTTTCTGGCCTTAACAACTAGAAAGATGAAACTGCCAGTACCTGAATTGTTTTTAGGACTTATTTTTATTTCCTTTATTTGAACTCTCTATATTATTTGTTTTTCTATTGTGACTGTGATATTTTTCTTAAAGCTTTCTAGATTTCCTATCACCTAAGAAAAATTATCCTTTTATAGTGCTATAAATTAGAAATATAATAATTTACATATATATTTTTCTCATGTTACATTTGTTGTGTTTGTTTGTACATGTTCTTTCCTATCGAATTGATCCATTTTAATGACTCTGGAGTGTTTAGTCAGAATTAGACATATTATTTTTCCTCCAAGATTTGGGATGTATTATTTTATGGTCTTGTTTTATACTTTTATATTTTACATTTGTACTTTTAATCCATTAGAAACTTACTTTGGTAACAAATGGAAAGTAGGAATTTAACTATGTCTGACTAAGTAACCGGTTGTCCTAACATCACTTATTGACTTACCTATATTTTCTTCACTGATACTATATATTGCCTTTCATAACCTATATTCCTAGATGTACTTGAGTCCAATTCTGGCATTTCTTTTCTATTCCTTTGGTCTCCATGTCTGTTTATGAGACATGACCATAAAGTCTTATTTACTAAGGCTTTATAATTATTTTAATAAATGGTAGGGCTAAGCCTATCTCTCTGATTTTCATTTTTATAATTTCCTAGGTATTTCTGTTATTTTCTCAGTTGGTAAAACACTGTGGAAGCATTTTTATTAGTTGCAATCTTTTAAAAAGGCAAGAACAATGTAATTAATAGTATTTTATTGAGATCATGTTAAAACTAAACTTACAGAGAGAACTGGCATTTTACTTTTTGAGACTTCCTATCAGAATATGATCTGTGTTTCTATTTGTTTCAGCTCTCCTTTTTCTATTTTTCTAGGGTATTTTAAATGTTTCTTCAAATGGGTCTCTTGCTTTTCTTGTTAAGCATATTCCTAGTTATTTTATCATTCTGTCGCTATTGTAAATGTGGTTATTTTAACTTTGCCCTATACCTTCTAAGTGTTTTCTATTTTACATAAAAATTTTATTAATTTCTGTAGGGTATTGATTTATACCCCAATAATTTATCACATTTTCATATTATTTGTGTGTTTTTTCAATGATTTCTATTATGAGTTTCTGTCTTGGAATCATTTAAGCTACTGAGAGACAGTTTAATCTCTTCCTTTCCTAATTCATGTCTAATTTATTGCCTAACGTATTCAGTAATTATTTTCAAACCCAACAGTTGCAACAGTGAGCACAGCCATCTTGTTTCTGGTTCAATGTGATTTCCTTCTCTGAGGCCTAGTGAAGCCTCATACTGACATTAGTGCTGACACAGATACAGTCATCATGATAGAGGAATGTACAGCTACTAGTATTTCCTTAAGAACAGTCGATTTTTAAAAAATAGACTTTTCAGCATTGTTGGAGATAATCACACATTTCCTCCATAGTTCTCACTGCTCTGGAGAAGAGTGAATCTCTCCTGGCTTTTGCACCTTCATCTTCTGGCCTAGAGCAGGTGCCCAGGAGCTACTCCCTCTCTGTGTGCAGTGACCTTGGTTGGCTTCTTCACCTCCAACAGCAAGAGCAAAAAGATGGACCCTAGAGCTGTATGTGCTCCTGGAAACCTTCCCCCACTCTCCTAACATTCACACATTTGCCACCCTATTTGCCTTGAGATAATCAGAACAAATCTCATCATATCTATATCACTGAATTCTGATTTCCACAAGGTTCAAATGTGTCACCTAACCTTTGAGAACTTCCCTTGCACTCCATTTAACGTTGCAACTCTTCTCGTCTATTTCCAGTACACACTATTCCCCATTCCCCTTCCCTGCATCAGGATTTCTTTAGCATGTATCACCAAATAGAAAACTCTATAATTACTTATTATTATAAAAATTTACTTCTCATTCAACCACCCCACTTGATTATAAATCCATATGGCAGAGAATTTGTCTCTCATTTATTGATGTATCTCTGGTGAAGAATATATCTATTGCAGACTCAATGGTCAATGATTTTGTTTTAATGAATCTAATAATGGAATGAAATATACTAATAAATTTAGTAATATCTTATCATCCTGGAATGAAATCCACTGCTCATGATGTCATGTTTTTTATTTTGTGACTGAATTTATATACTAATATCCTATTTTGGCTTTTTGCATTGATGTTTATGAGTAAGTTTGGTCTATAGATTTCATTATTATGCAAACTTGGTCAGGTTTTGGAGTTAATTGATATAGCTGCTTTAAAAAAGAAATACTTTAGAAGTTTTCTCTGTTTTTCCAGTAGTTTTAGAAGTTATTGTATTATCTATTTCTAAAGACTTGGTTGAATCCTCAGAAATTATACAGCTCTAATTATTCATTTTCTAATTGGAGTATTAAACTCTTTGACAATTTTAAGTTTTGTCCTATGAAAATCAATCTGTATAGAATTCTATCTGTCCTGGAATTAGTTTTTCCATTTACATTTGCATAGATAATATCCATATCATGTAATTTTTCTAAATTATTTAGTGTTGAGAAAATTGGTTTTTTAATATTTTATTATTTTTTTAAATTTTATGATTTTTCCTATGCATATGTGTATTTGTGCCTATATATATGTGTATGTGTGTCTATATACATTGGTGTGTTCGTGTGTGTGTAATTTTTCTTGGGTATTAATACTTTCTTCCTTTTTCTTAATTTAGTTTAGGTATGGATTTATGTATTTTATTGAATTGTTTGTTTTTACAAGGAATCAGCCTTTGTATTCCTTTATGATCCCTAGAATTGTTCTGTTTTAAAACATTAATTTTTAATTTTACATTAATTTTTAATTAATGTTTTTTTTCCTTCATAATACTTTCCATTTTCATCAGTTTGTTTTGTGAATCTTCAACTCTTGGATTTATTCACTGCCTGTATATTTTTAAAATAGATTTAGTGTTTTTAAAGCTATTAATTTTTTGAGCACTGTTTTAGCTATAATTATTCCATTAGATCTGATAGGTCACATTTTCATTATAATTTTTATTATATATTCTACAGTCTCAGTTTGTAGTTCTTAATATATTCAATAGTTTTTTTTAGATAATTTTGTAATTTAAAAACGGAAGGTGCTTTTTTCTTTTTTTAAAAAAAATTGGTTGTGTTGCATTATGATGAAATGTTTCCAGCCATATTTGTATTTTTGAGGGTTTTTTTTTTTTTTAGCCTAAGATATGGTCATTTTCTTTAACTATTTTTGGGGCATTGAAAAGAGGCCATATTCTCTAGACTCAGAATATAAAGTTTGATATATAAATCTGTATAATATCACATTGTGTGTATGTTATTTAGATTTTCCTCTGCACCAATACTTTTTGTTTCACTTTCTCAAGGACTGGGAGATATTAATTAAACTTTCCTTTAAGTATATTCTAATTCCGAATCTACCAAAGTTTCGTTTTTATAGACATTGACACTATATTATTTGTTCTTTAATAACCATTACTATAGTTTCCTTGTGAATTACATGATTTAGCTGTATAAACTTCTGTATCCAGTGTAATGGTTTGGGCCTACCTTTTCTGATAACATAATTGGCATATCTGTTTCCTTTTTGTTTATATTTGCTTCCTCTAACTGTGTTTATCCTTTTTATTTTTAACTTTTCTGTGTCACTTTAATTTAGGTTTGTTCTTGGTTTATAGAATAAAGTTGTATCTTGCTGTGTAATACCATCTGAATAATATTTTTAATTGGTCTGTGAACCTCATTTCCCCCATCACTGTCATATTTTAGTTAATAACACTACCTTTGTTTTTTACTTTTATATCATTAAATATGCTTTTAAATATATTTTTTAATTTTTTAAGTATGAGGTTGATTTTAAATAATATCTGTTCCTCCCAGATCTTACAGATGAAACAACCAACAAATGTAATTACACATACCTTCTTTCTAAAATTCCTTTCCAATTTGCGTAAGTTGTTGAATTTCTAGCTTCTTAGAAACTTAATGTTTTCATTCTGCTATACAGTTTCAATCCACATTTTCCTCTTTCAGTTCTATTGTTAAATAAATGTACTGTTTTCTCCAGTTTTTTAATTTTCCACTTATCTCTTGAAAAGCATAGAGATCAGCAGTTTCTTCAAAAAAGGCCCAAGGGAACAATTTTCTTTGGGTTCTTGACTGTTCAAAATTGTTTGATATTAATATGAAGAAAAGCTTGGCAGAATATAAAATTTATTGGACATAACTTTCTTCTTGTGAATATTTAAGATGCTCATGTTTGGGCACAGAAAGTTGCTATGAATAAATGAGACCGACCTGATTTTTCTTCCATATAAATAACTTGATATTTTTGATAGGCTGCCCAACTATTTTTCCTTTGTCTTTGAAATCCAATAACTAAACAATGACATATCTTAGTTTTGATCAAACTGAATTAATTTTCTTATCCATTGTTTACTCTTATTTTAGGGAAATTTTCTGGAATTATATTTTCAATTATTTGTTTTGACACATTATTGAAGTTATAGGCTGTGTTTCGGCTCTCTACAAGAAGCATCTTGGTTCGTTGTTCTCTACAGCCCCTGAATCCACCATTTGAGAAGTCATTTCTTTCCATTATTTTCCTTGGCTATATCTATAATGACTCAAAAGTCCAGGTTTTCTTCTCTTAAGATATTACTTGAGTCTGATGGTTTTCAAAAAGACATGCTGGCTTATAAATGCCTTAGCCTGGTATGGCTTACATCAGTTCTATGAACAGCCCACTGGGCAGAGTAAGTCACACTGCCCCAGTCAAACTGTAACGCAGACTGGAAAACATAATAGAGCACATGGAAGCCAGGCATAGTGGTGCATGCCTGTAGTCAGGACCACTCAGGAGATTGAGGTGTTCCAGACCAACCTGGGCAACATAGCAAGACTTGTGTCTTAAGAATATTTAATGAAAAATATGACAATAATGAAAGAGCAAATGGGTATTCAGTAAGTAATGCCTTAAACACTCAACTTT
Source organism: Homo sapiens (assembly GCF_000001405.40). Taxonomy (NCBI): domain Eukaryota; kingdom Metazoa; phylum Chordata; class Mammalia; order Primates; family Hominidae; genus Homo; species Homo sapiens. The sequence goes on from NC_000002.12 coordinate 40,934,832, forward strand.
GGTCTAGATTTTCCTGGAAGAGCTATTTGCATAAGGTTCCTTTGTCGGGGTGGGCTGCAAAAGTAGTCTTACATGCTAGAGAGCTTTCAGAACTCTTAAGCTATTGTTTATGCAACTACAAGCACTAAATGCATTCTTTAACTCCCCTTTGCAGAATTCTTTATTGATACTTAATTCTTCTGTTTATCTGAACCAGAACAGTTCTAGTATGTTTTTGCTCACTGCAGCTTCTCCACCTGTGATTACAAACAAAGGCTATAGTATTACTTCAGAATATGGGGTTGGGATACTTCAGGGTAGTAGACAAACATTAAAAGACCTACAGTGATTCTTGACTCCTAGTATTCTGTCTTAATAATCCTATCCCTTGAAATATAGGTAAGACCTGTGACTTCCTTCCAAACAATTCAATTGAATATAACAAAGGTAACGTTCACTCCCATGATTATGTTGTGTTATGTAAGACTGAGTCTTAGCACACTGGAAAGAGAGATGTGTTCTTGTTGAATTGATGAAATAAGAAGCCTTGTTGAGGAAGTCCAAGTAACAAAGAACCGTGGACAGCCTCTATAAATTGTGAATAGAGTCTAGGACCTGAAGCTCACATTCAGCCAACAGCCAGCAAAACATAACTCTTCAGCTTTCGTCCAGACCCCCTAAGGATATGGATTCTCCTCAATCTGAATGAGCTGGAAAGCAGATTCTTCCCCTAGAGCCTCCAGATGAGAATGCAGCCTGGCTGACAATTTCACTGCAACCTTGTGGTACCCTGAGCAGAACACCCAGCTAAACTCTGCCCAGACTCCTGTGAAATAATAGAAGTATATGTTGCTTTACTTCATTAAATTTGTGGCAATCTGCTATTAAGCAAAATAAAACTAATACTTTCAGGAAGTATAATTTACTGGTGTTTTCCAAGATGCCGCTATTTGGCATTCTTGCAGTGTTCCATACATTTTCTCTTTACTTCCTTCTATGTGGTTTCTAACTGATTATCACATTTCACAACAATTAAAGAGATTTTGGAGTCTGCAGATTATTTATGCCTCCAAGGTCTACTGAAAGTTGAGGTTTTCTTCTTTAAGTTTTTTCTTCCCTTGTTGCTTTAGGATAATTTTCAGAAGAAAAAGTAAAAGTTCTAACTTGCCTGTTCATGATAATGGCTGAATTATCCTGCCTTATATAATTCTTATTTGTGTATCTATTATTTTGGCTGCTTTATTAGACTGTAAGGGCTTTGATGACCAGAACATAAATAATTTTGACTCATTTTTAGGCCTGATCTTAATGGCTTACACACAAGTTTCTCTGCAAATATTATTGAGTTATAATTAGTGTGAAATGTTAATCTATTAATTCCGATTTGGAGGGTTTTTTTTTTTGGCACACAGTACCCACTAACTCTCTAGTGTTAAATGTAGACCAGTTGGTCTCTGGATAATCTAATCTTCATTTTTAACTAATAGGGTAAGCCAATCAGTACCTTCTGTCTCCAAACACAGTGATTTATTGTATGTGGTCTAATGACCCAAGAGAGTATACTAATGTCAGTTGAGAATCAGTTGTGTGACTTTTGTTTTAGGTCTCCTTTGACAAACTTCTATTCTAGCTATGTGATTCTTGGGAAAAGTCTTAATCTCTTTCATTCTCAATGATCAGCTCATAATGATATGAGCCTCAAGTTGCGTGTTGTCAGAATGGAGCCAAAACAGAGGAAGTAGAACTCAGAGATAAATCCTTGTGACACATTTTAGGCCTTAAATCAATTCATGTTTGGAACACAAATAACCTTGAAGTGTGATCACTATGATTAGTCAATTAATTTCCTTTTATCCTAAACCAGTTTAAATTGTGTTTTCTCTCATTTTCTAATGGAATGATCTTATCGAATAGATCTTACCACCATCTTCTGGGTTATTCACATAGGTGAATTCCTCTAGGTGATTTGTTAATATCATCCTCTCCTTCCCCTGTTAAAAAGCCTATAAATTTACCTAGATGGAGCATTTTTACTTCTATAGCATCCAGGAATGTTCTTTTAGAACATTCATCACACTAACGATTATTTGTTTACTATTTTTCCTTCTATACTGTGAGTTTCTTAAATGCCATACTTTGTCTACTTTTTATTACTACATCCCCATGCTCATAGTACATCTGATAAATATATCTTACATTAACGATTAAACAACTTAACAAAGATTATAACTCTCTGCTTAAATAATTTATATAGCAACAATTTGAACATGTTTTTGTCTCCACACTTAACCTCTTCTCAGTTAGAGACAGTGTGCTATAGTAGACAGAGCAATGGGTTCATAGCCCAACAAATCTCATCCCTCCATCCTCTGGCTATGTGCTTTGAGAGAGCTGTCTTAATCTTTCCATTACTAGGTATATGAAATGCAAATAGAATATCTTCCAGAGGTGCTATGAAAAGCAACTGAGATGTTGTACGTAGTACTTCTCAAAGACACAAGATATTCACTAAGTTCTAATTCTTCCTCTCCTCTTCAAGCATACATTCCGAAGGGGAATATTCATTGTGTTTTATTGTACTTTCCCTGCAGAAATTAATTGCTGGCCTTTGGTCAGTGTTTAGGCAAACTCTACCCTCTGTATCTCACCCTTCATTGTGAGAAGAGCTGCTCTTTCCTCCTATTTTGAGTATGCACTTCAGATTTCTCCTCTGGTGCATAAGTGTACTTGTCATACTCAAATTTCTATTTGTTCTGCACTCTTGCTTCTATTTATTGACATCATTAATAATAAATCTTTCCTCACAAAAAGGAAGAAAAGAAAAGAATTAGTTCTCCCTGATTCATTTAGCTTGAATACCACCATTCGGGGTTCAAAGGAAACCTCAATATGAGGAGCCCCTTGCACCCCACTGGTTGGGGAAAGGTGGATGGAAAATACCAAAGAAGCAGTGTCTTGACTTATAGTCAGTGCTATCAGTGACCAGAGACTTCACTTTCCTGAGGCATTTCTTTTTCATTTCAATAAAGTTTAAGACAGAAATAAGGAAAAGCAATGCTAATGTAACCATATTTCAGCAGGCTCACTTTCAGGAGAGAAAACAGCTCATCCTGCATGGCAGTTTCTCACCTAGCTTCTCACCCAACTCTTATCCAAAGGTTAACAGACACGATAATTATTTCTTCATAGGAGGCATTTCTACCTATTGCTACCAATTGCTCTCTGAGAATTGGAAATAACAACCCCACTATCATCCCTCAAAGAGTGAACATAAAACTGAATTGATTTAAGAGAAGCATAGCTACATGAAGTCTGAGATATAAAAGATGGTCATTGTTCCTCTCAGCAAATTGCTGATTGCTCAGTAAAACTTACAAGGGGTGAAAGGTGATATTTCCAGGCTACAGTAATTAGGGTAGAATGTTTGGGGAACCTACTGGAAAGCTATGATGAAAGGCTGAGAGCGTTGTGGCTTTATTAGGAAAATGGCAAACAGTGCTAACAGTGTCTGGAAAACAAGATTAACATTTTTATTCTGGGCTCCAGAGGGAGAAAGTATCCAATTAAAACATTCAGTACAAAGAGTATCATGCTGGGCATTTAGTTAAAAGATATGCTCAGAGATTATTTCATCATTCAGTACATTGCCCTTGAACCAGCCTAATGTCCTAATAACCACAGTGAGGGAAAAAAGAACACAACTTTTTCTTCTGAAAAAAGGACCCGCTCACAGTTTGAATTAAAGTCCAAAATTTATATTTTAGTATTTTTATATTGTATAGTTTAGGCAAGGTATATTTTATTTTAAAGTGAATAGGTCAACAAATTATGGAAAGAAATAACAGGGTACATAGGATGGAAAGAAGGAAGAAAGGAATGGAGAAAGGAAAATGGGGAGGGAGGAATATTTCAAGTCGTGTCACTCAGGAAATAGGTATGGTGACGTTTCATCACCTTTCCTTTTAATCAAGGCTAAGTGGCTTTTTATTTGAGTATCTGCTGTACAATCCTTTGCAAAAATGTCAAAACTCTCCCTTGTATAATTTGACCTTTAGAGACCCTTAATGAAGAATTTAACAGTTTTCTTTCTGCTATTTGTTTCCCTTGTTCTATATTCTAAATCAGGCAGACTGAGTTATGTGAGAAGAGATAATACAGGATATTAAGAGAGCTGGGTTATGTTCCCAGTGAGTGAATGACTTTTTGTTTTTGTTTTTTTTTTTTTCATTTCTTCATAAAATATTTCTATGATAATATTAATCGTGAAGATTTGTCACAAGGGTTGCCTCCTCCAACAAACACCTCTCCTTGCCCTTGTTCACCCACTAGGTCTAGTTTGGGTTTTGTTCCTCTTTGCCTCACCTCATACCATCCCAGTTACCCAATTCTGCTATTATCTTCCCACGTTATAAATGCAAATAATTAATACGTTCCATAGTTAACCCCATATAAATTTTAATTCCCAATATACTAATGCAATATCCTGCAAATTCATATACCATGGTCATAAAATAAATTGGCATGAGGTGCAGTATTTCAGATGAATGAACACACTTTCTCAGAGCTTCCACTTCCACTATCTAATTGAAGTTCCAGTCCTGTTGTTGTACAAACTCTTTAGAAAGAATACTCAACTGTGTTTTGTTTGCATGTAAGTTAGAAAAACCATTGATATGATGTGGCCCAAAGCATGTTTTGCTTCCTAACACTTCGTTTAAAGTATCTACATTTGTGTTGAGAGAAGTTTAAAAACACCTGCAAGCAAAGATCAAAGTGACCAAAACAACATCTAGATATGAGTGACTTAGATGTCTTGGAGCATGCTGAGGATCCAATATAAAGATCAACAGCTCCTGGTGACTGCAGTGACTGTTTTAATTGCTGGTAAAACCCCGTCTCTACTAAAAACACAAAAAAATAGCCAGGCATGGCGGCACACACCTGTAGTCCCAGTTATTCAGGAGGCTGAGGCAGGAGAATCGTTGGAACCTGGGAGGCAGAGGTTGCAGTGAGCTGAGATCACACTACTGCACTCCAGCCTGGGCAACAGAGCGAGACTCCATCTCAAAAAAAAAAAAAAATCAACATCAAACGTTAGGGGGTTTTGAGTACCCAGAATATTTTAGACTCCAGAAATGTCAGCCTTTCTTCCCCTCCTCCTTACCGCTTTTAGCCTCCTGGACTTTGCACCTCCTACTTACTTTCCCTCACTCAACTACGTTAGGAAGTATGTTAATGGCATCTAACATAAATTACAAAACATTACCCTTACTGTTTCCCAGTCCTTCACTCTACACACATTTCATTAGAAAATCCCTCTGCTCATATTAGCAGCATTTAATTTTCATGAGGCTATGAAAGTTCCAAGTGAATTAGCATCAAATTAAATAATAGTATCTTAGAAGTGAAAGTGATGTTAGTTAAGTTCAACTTATTGCAAATGTTCAATCCTAGTCCCTTTTGTATGGTTTGAAATCTGGCCACCCAGCCTCTGTGAGGATCTCTGGTCATCAGAATCTGCTTTCCCACATGACCATCTACCCAATTCTTAGTCAGTTTTACTATTAAATAGCTTTCTATGTCATTAAACTAAATTTCATTTCTATTTTCTTTAGATATGACATTATTTTAAATATTTAAACATTGCTATCATGAATTCTCTAAGATTTCCCTTCTTCAGGCTAAAAGTCCAGGTTTTCTCTATTCATATGTAACACATCACCATATATATTCTCCTCCAATGCTATTCCTAAAAATAGGGTCATGGCAAATCAACACAAACTCCTGCTGTTGTATTACAGCGAAATGTAGTTGAATTATTATATCTCACAATCTGAGCACTAAAGCTCTGTAAACTCCACCTGAGACTGGGTAACAAGATTAGGAGACAATTGCATATGAGGTAGGTTTATTTATAAAATCCCCAATTATGAAAAATATTTACAGATAAAAGATTAATGTTTTTCTTTTGTCATTCTATTTTTCTGATAAATAAAACAATATTCCATTGAAAAAGACTTCCTTAGATTGAAAGAATGTTTTCCTCATGAAAATTTTATTTACTTTTGCCTGTTTACTTGAAGAAAAAAAAGGTTAATACTCTACTTCTTAACAAATTCACAAATTGCTGATATGATAAATATATATATATTTAAAATTCTGTAAAATAGTAGCAGAAGATATAGGAAGATGTGTTTATGATTTGGCAATAGGAAACAGAGGGCTTCTTAATGATAAAGAATAAAACCATTAACAAAAGGATGAATAAATATAACAACATCACTTTTAAAAAACATGTAACACAGAAGGAAATTAAACTTTAAAAGTCAAAAAGTCAATTATTACATACATATACATACATACATACACTTACTGACTCATACATGCATGTAACAGATTATATTTCATATGCAAAATACAAGGATTAATGTTGACAATACTGTTGCGGGAAGTCAGGGACCCCGAATGGAGGGACTGGCTGGAGCCGCGGTAGAGGAACAAAAATTTTGAAGATTTCATGGACATTTATCAGTTCCCAAATAATACTCTTATGATTTCTTATGCCTGTCTTACTTTAATCTCTTAATCCTGTTATCTTCGTAAGCTGAGGATGTACATCACCTCAGGACCACTGTGATATTTGTGTTAACTGTACAAATTGATTGTAAAACATGTGTGTTTGAACAATATGAAATCAGTGCACCTTGAAAAAGAACAGAATAACAGCAATTTTAGGGAATAAGGGAAGACAACATAAGGTCTGACTGCCTGCAGGGTCGGGCAAAAAGAGCCATATTTTTCTTCTTGCAGAGAGCCTATAAATGGATGTGCAAGTAGGGAAGATATCGCTAAATTCTTTTCCTAACAAGGAATATTGATATTAATACTCTGGGAAAGGAATTCATTCCTGGGGGGAGGTCTATAAATGGCTGCTCTGGGAATGTCTGTCCTATGCAGTTGAAATAAGGACTGAGATACGCCCTGATCTCCTGCAGTACCCTCAGGCTTACTAGGGTGGGGAAAAACCTGCCCTGGTAAATTTGAGGTCAGACTGGTTCTCTGCTCTCGAACCCTGTTTTCTGTTGTTTAAGATGTTTATCAAGACAATACATGACCACTGAACATAGACCCTTATCAGTAATTCTGCTTTCGCCCTTTGCCTTGTGATCTTTGCTTTTGCCTGCCTTGTGATCTTTGTTGGACCCTTATCAGGAGTTTCTGATTTTGCCCTTGTCCTGTTTCCTCAGAAGCATGTGATCTTTGTTCTCTTTTTGCACTTCGAAGCATGTGACCTTTGTGACCTACTCCCTGTTCATACACCCTCTCCCCTTTTGAAATCCTTAATAAAAACGTGCTGATTTTGCGGCTCAGGTGGGCATCATGGTCCTACTGATATGTGTTGTCACCCCCAGCAGCCCAGCTGTAAAATTCCTCTCTTTGTACTCTTTCTCTTTATTTCTCAGCCGGCCAACACTTATGGAAAATAGAACCTACGTTGAAATACTGGGGACGCGTTCCCCTGATACAATACATAAAGAGCTCCCATAAATCAATAATTTAAAAAGATAATACAATAGAAAAATGGGCATATGAACAAGAAATTCACAGAAAAAGAAATAACAGCCTATAAATATATAATAAACCAATTGGTATTATTGGTAATTAAGATAATACAAATTAATACAAAATTTGAATATCACTTTATACTCCTCAGTACTGGGAAAAAGTTTGATAGCAGATGTGGGCAAGAGTAAGGGGACATGGTAACCTTTTTTATGGTTAGTGCAATGTGAATTGAGATGGTAATTTTGGATAGCAAGTCACAATAGGTAGTAAAATTTTAAATTATCATAGTCCATGGACCAGACACTAAATTTCTTATTAGTTATCATAAAAAAACTCACTCATATGGACTAAGAGAATGTACATTAGAATACTTTTTTGTTGACAATGTGACAGAAAGAGAGAACAATAGTGGTTGAAATAGGAGGAAGCAGAGAAGATTCATCATAATGTTTTATCATGTGATCCAAAAACAAAAAACAAAATAATGAGAACAAAATATAGTAGTATAATCTATAAAAGTTTTGCAAAAATAAAAGAAGACCTAAATCTACCAAAATCTACATACTATAATAGTCAGTTGTGTACCTCAGAATATTAACCCCAAATGAAGATATACTCTAGCCAATTGACCCATGATCAAGTTGTAGCCCAGCAAAACTATTACTTTAAAGATAAAAGAAATCTTCATGGATAAGAAGAAAGTGGAAGGACCAAATTACTTGCAAGAGCAAAAAAATTAAGCTAATACCAAGCTTCTGAAGAACAACATAAACACAAGAAAAGAATGGAACCACGTTTTTCAGAAACTCAAAGAAAGAAAGTACAAACCAAAGTTTTCATACAGAAAAATATTTTTAAACATGGATATAAACTTGAAATCAGGAAGTACTGTACTCATGTGCCATGCTTGAAGAATTTACTGGAGGATAAACTGCATCCAACCAAATTGGGGAAATTTGGGCCAAAGATTTATAGTGAGCATTATCTAGTCAATTTTGCATTCAGAGAAAAGCAAAAAGATATACATCAATAAACTGGAGATGAAGCTATACTACAAAAATTAGTAGGAGACCAAGAAACTACTCCTTGAAAAGCACCAGGTCCATTAAAATACAAATTAGAAATAACACTACTTTGACTAAGACAGGGGCAACAAAAGGAAGACAAAATAATTCTTTTATTATTGAATAGTTGGTTGATGGTAGTCAACCCATCACCTAAATAGTTGGCAGGATACTATTTAAAACTGACAACTTAGATAGTAAAAGGTAATTTTTTAAAAAGTGGTACTAGGGCATTATAAAAGCATAAAACAAACATAATTACTAAAATAATATAAATACAAATATTCCAAGCTTCCCCAAATGATATAGGTAAAAAGAAACACAGTAGATATTATATATATATATATTATTTATAAGATAAGATAATATGGATAGCATTGAGACTAAACAATACCTATATCAATAAACTAAATGGTCTTATCCTATCAACTGAAATACCAAATTGCCTCATAAGGCAACACCCATCCCTGTGTGTTCAAAAGACAACCATCTGAAAGAAAGGCTAAATATAATGAAATGAATAGGAAAGGAAAACGGTATGAAAGCAGAGGCTGTGATCTTGATGTTAAATCAAATACAATTCAGGCCAAGATCTATTAAATGTGACAAAAACCTAGAAGTCACAATTCGAAATACTGATATAACAATTGAGAAGGTTTCTACAACAAATAACACCACCATTATGTTTACAAAGCAGGAACAACAGATAATGCAAGAGGAATCACAGTAATAATAGAAAATATTAACACACTAATTTCAAAATAAGATATATCAAGTATACAAAGCAAGTTACAGTATATGTGAATATTTAGCCTTATGAATATACATCAAAGAAACCTTCTTAATTGTACATAGCAATATCACAAAATGATCATCGCTTTGGTTTCAGGGAAACAACTGATAAGTTCTTTAAGAAGAAATAAGACACAGAATAATCTGGGCACAATGAAAGCAACTAGAAGCTAATAGAAAAATACATACTGAAAAGATTGTCCCTCATGGAAACTTAAAAACAAAGAAATAATACGGCTATTATGTTAATTAAGTCTTTGAAGAAGGCAAAAGGAAAAATCTAAAATAAAACATTACATGACAGAAAATTGTCAAATATTTCTAGCAGTATTATTATTATTATTATTATTGAAAAGACTCTTGCTCTGTCACCCAGACTGGAGTGCAGTGGTGCAATCTCAGCTCACTGCACTAACAGTAATTTAAAAAATTTTTTATATCCATAGCCTAAACAACTTTTATCAGTAAAAAAGAATGCATAAAAATGACATTTCCCTTGAAGAAGCTAGACAAAGAACAATGGAAAACAAGAAAACAATGACAAAATAATGGAATAGAAAACAACAAAGAGTAGTTTTGATTAGTGACTAGAAACCTCGGTTCATTGGTTCGTCAGACAAAATATAAATATAATAAACTAGACAACCCACCAACCAACAAAATCAAGAAAATTCGGAAGAAAGCACGAATTTCCAAATAAAAAATGAAAAGGAGGAATGACTATGAAACCAAAACTTAACATTTGTATATAATGAAGAATTTCTTTGCATGTCTCTATAAAATTACATTTTCAAAGCTAGGTAAAATGGGTAATTCATAAAAATATAGAGTTTGCCAAAATTGAAAGCAGTAGAAATAAAAAACTTACTGGATAATTTCCATTGATGAAATAGAGAAAGATATCAAGAAACTACTCTTTGAAAAGCACCAGGTCCATTAATAGCTATTCATTAATATTTAATATAGTCCATAAATATTCATTAATAAATATTGTTATAAAAGTAAAGGATAAGAATTAGAAGAGTTCAACACCACATTAAGAAAATGATGCACCATAATCAAATGGTATTTATTTCAGAAATGCAAGGCTAAGTTTAACATTACAAATCAATTGATATAATATGTCATATTAATAGAGCAGAAAACATGATGTATAACATTATACTCTCAGAATCCAAAAGGGCATTTGACAAAATTTGGTTCCCATTTCTGATGTAAAGGACTCAATAAATATGAACTGATAAATACTCCTTAATATATCATTATATGATAAATATGCATACCTCATTATGAAAGCTAGAAACTTTTTAAATATGAAAGCATGAGACATATTTCCACTAAAATCCTAAGCAAGTGAAGGATCCTCACCATCTTCACTATTTTTTAATGGAGATAAAACAATCACAGGGAGAAGAATTAGGAAAAACAGGAAGTAAATATATCTCTATTCACGGATGATGTAATAATAAATCTAGAAAATCCTAGAAAATCATTGATAAAGCTAAGTCAGGAGGATATATAATTAGCATAAAGAAATAAGCAGTGGTTCTATATGTAGTCATTTATATAATGTATAAAATGTGTGACATATTTTATAACAGGTAATTTATATATAGTATACACTATATAACTTATATAAAATATAAATATATATCATTATTTACAAGATGTAGTAGAAGTGAAACCACCATTTGTAATAACAAAAAAAAATTTTTTAAAAATACCTCGGAAATAATGAACAAATAAAGCAGAATTCAGAATAAAAATGTCAGTGCTAAAAGTCACACCTGTGAATGAAAGTATAGTATTTATACATATGTTTACTCATATGATATTTTAAAATAGTAAAATATTAAAAATTTAATATATTACAAATAAAAAGTATTACATATAAAAATAGTATAAACTGTTTAATAATAGTAAGCATTCACACAACACTGTGTAGCAGATTTCAAGTGGACAAAAGTAAGAGTATAGAAAACCTAAAATATGTTAACTTCAGTGTTAAACCACTTTACTTGTGACAATATATATGATTTGGTTTAAATCGACCATATTTCTACTTATTTTCTGTTTATTCTTTCTGTTCTTTGTTCTTTTCTCTTCTTATCATTCCATCTTTTGGATTGAATATTTTTTACAATTTCATTTTATCTCTTTTATTGACTTATTAGCTAAAACTCTGGTTTTTATAGATGCTTATTTGAGGTTTCTGGTATATACATTTAATTTATTATAGTGTCCCTCCAAACAGTACGATATCACTTCTTAATCGTATAAATCTTATGACAGTAAACTTCCATGTCTGCTTACTAGCATTTGTGGTATTATTTTCCTACATTTTATTTTTAAACATGTTTTAAACCCCACCACAGGTTGTAATTTGTATTTAATGTCAATTAACTTTGACGATATTTTAAAATTAAGCATTTTTACATACGTACACATTTACAATTAGTGTAGATAAATACTGTCTTCTTCCATCTGTGCTACTGTAAAAGGATATCACAGACTGCATAATTTATAAAAAATGAAACATTATTTTCTCAGAATTCTGGAGAAGGGGAATTCCAGGATCAAAGTGCCAGCAGGTGTGGTCTCTGGTGAGGACCTGTTTCAATGATGATGCCATCTCATCGTCTCATCCTCACATAGTGAAGGGTGGGAGAGCAAAACAGGAATGAGTGCTGTGTTCTCATGTGGTGGAAGAGGAAAGGAGATTAACACTCAAGCACTTTTATAAGACAAACCCATTCTGGCTAATCACATTTTAAAGACCCCAGTTCTTAATACCATCACAGTGGGGATTAAGTTTCAACACATGAATTTTGAAAAGGACACATTCAAACTATAGCAGATCCAAAATTGTATATATCTGTTTCATTTTTCTAAAGACTTTTTGAAAATTGTTTTAGTGCTGGTCTACTAAAGATAAATTCTTTAAATTTTTTGCATCCTCTTGAAGAATTCATTTTATTTATCATAAGTGAACTTTTTTTATTCCTGATGATATTCTAGCCCTGTAATCAATTTTATCTGATGTTGATTTAGCCACTCCAGCTTTCTTCTGACTAATAAAAACATGGATTTCTTTTTGCATCCTTTTACTTTCAACTTGTGTGTGTGTGTGTGTGTGTGTGTGTGTGTGTGTGTTTGTGTGTGTTGTAGGCAGTGTTTAGTTGGGTCATGCTTTTCTTTATTAGAACTTACAATCTTTGTCTTTTAATTGGTATATTTAGATCACTTGTATTTAATTGCGGTTCTTGAAATGGTCAGAATTAAATCTTCCATTTGTCCATTTAATTTATATTTTTCCCATCTATTCTTTGTTTTATGTTTCTCTCTTTTCTGCCTTTACTTTATTGAGAAGTTTCATTACTAATTTTATGTCACTTGTTGAATTATTAGCTACAATACTTTGTTTCATTTTATTATATATACTATATATAATACTATATATAATATATGGTGTTCATATAATTGTATTTAACTTATTACAGTCCACCTTCAAGTAATGCTATCACACTTAATGTAAAAGAAACTTACAATAGGATACTTGCATTTCTGACTGTCCCAGCCTGTGTGCCATTGTTGTCATACATTGTATTTCTACATGTTTTAAACACAACAGTACATTTATATCATTTTTGTTTTAATAAGTCAATTATCTATTAAAGACATCAAACATTAGAAAAAGTCTTTTTATATACAAATATATTTATCATTTCTGATGCTCTTTATTGTTGTACGTAAGTCTCAATTTCCATCTGTTATGATTTTGCTTCTGCCTGGAGAATGTTTTTTGTTTTTTTTGTTTTTTTTTGAGATGGAGTCTTGCTCTCTCTCCCAGGTAGGAGTGCAGTGGCGCGATCTTGGCTCACTTCAACCTCTGCCTCCCAGGTTCAAGCGATTCTCCTACCTCAGTATCCAGACTAGCTGGGATTACAGGCACGCAGCACCACACCCAGCTAATTTTTGTATTTTTAGTAGAGACAGGGTTTTGCCATGTTGGCCAGGCTGGTCTCAAACTCCTGACCTCAGGTGATCCACCCACCTCAATCTCCCAAAGTGCTGGCATCACAGGTGCGAGCCACCCACACCCAGCTGAATTTTTTTAACCTTTATCATAATGTACATCTTCCGTCAATGTATTCTTTAGCTTTTGTATGTCTAAGAAACTCTTATTTTGCTTTTGCTCGTGCAACATATTTTTACCTATTGAATTCTAACATGATAGTTTACTTTTCTCCCAGTACTTTAATGATATGACTCCACTGCATTTTGGCCTCATTTTTTTCTAATGAAAGATCTGTTGCCATTCTTATCGCTGCTCCTCAATGCGATTTTTTTATTCTGTCCAATTTTAAGATTTTCTCTTTATCACTGGTTTGAAGCAATTTGATTATGATGTGCCTTGATGTAATTATACTTATGTTTCTCATTTTCTTCATGTCTCGTAGGCTTCTTTATGTTTGAACAATTGTTATTACCTATTAATAATTTACCATCCCATACATATGTAATGTTTATTAGGAATAAATATAAATTGGTTATGAGTTATTGCTTGCTCCTAATTTATCCCTGATTATCTCTTCTAACTAGTTCTGCCATTCAGGAGTATGTGCTTTTGTTTTCCAAATACACTGTCCTAGCTTTGGAGATAAGTGGTACGTTTGCAAAGATTTTAAAAAGACACTTCTAAATTCACGAATCGTTTTACTCTGCCAGTGCTTTTTAGACAGTGCTCCTGGGTCTGTTTGGGAGCTTGCAATGGACAAACTAAAAGAGAGAAAAAGGAAGATGGAAAGAGAGTAAACAGGAAGAGGTCTACATTCAGCCTTCGTGATTTTCTATCTCCTCCTTTAACCAGAGCAATTTTTATTTGTTTTGTTTTTTGGGTAATTTGTGAGTTGTATGTGCATGTGTGTATGAATGTCTTTTAATATATTAAACTTCTTCATATTTGCTCATTTTATTAGTGTGATTCTGTGCTAAAATTTTTAAAAAGAAATCTGAAAAACAGTCGGAAAATTTTATACTCTTCTTTTAATACCTATATAGACAACGTTTTAAAAATATTGCTTTGTACTAAAGAGAGAGTTATAGATTTTCGGTAACTTTGTTATCAAAGTAAGAAATTTGTTCTTGTTCTCACTGGAATATAAAGAAAAACATTTTTTTCCTTGTTAAACAGCTTTCTAGTAAGGCTACTGAAATTACTCTTTGTTTTGTTTTGCTTTGCTGGTTGGATTGTTTTACTTGTTTCCTTATTACTGCTAAGGGTAAAGCATGGCTTCTCACCTATTTTACTGAAACAGATTGCAATGGTATCTACACTTACTTTATTCCATTGAGCACAGAATATGAATGATAGTGAAGTCTTAAATATCTTGCTGAAACTAATTACATTTCATCCTCCCAAACGTCTCCATATGAATATGAAACGTTAAATGCCTTTGGGGAGATTTTATGTTTGGAAATCTGAACTTAATTCAATTCCCACTTCTCAGTTACTTCATTCACCAGCATGATCAGAATAATCAAATCCAAAATAAATGATGCAGAAAGGTCATCCCAGAATCATGTTAGTATGGATATTACCATCACATTTATTCACATCTCCAGTGAAGTAGGTAGTGGTTTCTGAGCAAAAGAGTGTGGATGTTAATAGGGTAAGTATATAAACAGAATTAGAATGAACACATCGGCCGGGCACAGGGTCTCACGCCTGTAATCCCAGCACTTTGGGAGGCTGAGGCAGATGGATCACGTGAGGTCTGGAGTTTGACAGCTGCCTGGCCAAAACAGCGAAACCCCGTCTCTACTAAATATACAAAAAATTAGCGGTGTAGTGGCACGTGCCTGTAAGTCCCAGCTACTCAGGAGGCTGAGGCAGGAGAATCCCTAGATCCGGAGGTTGCAGAGAGCCGAGATCATGCCACTGCACTCCAGCATGGGCCACAGAGCAATACTGCAACTCAAAAAAAAAAAAAAAAAAGCACACATCACTGCTCACTTATCAAGGAAAATTTCACATTCTAAGAAGAGACAAAGATGTTTCAAGATGATTAGAGGTCTTTCTGCTTCCACTGTGTTCCCCTATGAAGATATTCTGTCTTTACCTTGGAAGAAAACAAATATATGTGCAAATAATCTGTTCTTTATTTTGCTTTAATATATATTCCAGATAAATTATTCTCAGTGATAGTTTAATTTGCCTTCCAAAGATTTGCATTAAAAAGTGCATGAATCCATTGAAAATGCTTTCTTCGTCTTCATCACAGATGATTAACATTCATTAGATGTGTTCTTATATAGTGTATGCACACACATAGACATGATAATGGGACTTCATCAGTTTTCTAGCCAGCATGTACATTGTATGTATGGATGTGTCTGTGCGACTATAAAACTGTGAGTAGCATGGGCATTGCCTCTGCCATTCTCCATCACACTCCCAAGAGACGTATTTTATAGCTTTTTGTTAACAAATGGCTTAATATAGTTAAGATAATTAAGACTTAAGATGTTTGTCTTTTGAGTCATTTGCATTCTAATAGAAAAATCTTACAGGTCAACAAACTTTTACATTCAAATAATTATCCTCCTGGAATATTGGACACAAAAAATGAATAGGGGGAATGGAAACATACTTTTAACCAGATGTTGTTTCCCTTTTAGTTTTTCAATCAGAAGGCATTATTATTTGCTTGCTGAGATGTCCAGATTCATTTAAAAGAGTCAAGAATTTTAAATAATATCTACTGTATCATTAAGTCACTACAATTAATGGCAATGTCTTACTTCAGATTCCTTTGAACACTGATAGTAAACTGTTTGAACTATAGTCCTTTAAGCAGCATGGAGAATAGACCCGTGTATGTAGCAAATGTCCTGAGGTTCTAAAGGAAATAAAATTAAAATGAAAAAATAAAGGTTATTAGAAAATGTTGAGTGTCTACCATTGGGCTAGTTGCTCTCTTTGTAAAATCTTAAACTCTGTATTATTAAACCCCAGTTTCAGAGATGTAAATTGAGGCATTAGTCACTTCAGTGTAAAAGTAGTATATTTCCAACCTTCACTTTTAGTTTTGTTCTTGGAAGTGTCACACAGAAACTTACAAAGTAGAATTTTTTTAAGAAATATCCATTTTTTAGGCTACTTTAAAAGTCTGCTTACACACATACTCAAAAACATACTCTTAAACTTCAGAGAAATGTTCATCATGAGAATAAAATAGTGAGTTTCACCATTATTTTGCTTACTTGACACCTCTGAGAGACAAAATAAAAAAATGAAAGACAAAATTAGCAGAAATACTGTCACAACAAAGAAATTAACACAACAGAATAATTTAAAAATCATGTTCTGTACTCTCATTCCTCCATGTAGATATTAATATTATGATCATTTAAAACATTCTTCATATATTTTTCTTAAATGATTTGTAAAATGATAGTTTTTAAGATAATTGTAAGAGTGTTCACTAAAATTTTGAACTCTGAAGCAATAAATGAGAAGTTTAAATTTTACAGATATTCTCCATTGTTTACTAATAACTACAAAAGAAAAAAGAAACTCTTCTGTTAATGGAATCGAGAGAGGGTGTAAGTCATGCAGCAGTGAAGAGAAGAAACTGTTATTTTGTTTTTATGTTTAAGGTAATCACATATATAAAAAGGAATGTACAAACTCTAAAATTAATTTTCATTTTCATAACACTAAGGTTAACAATTAAGACTAAAATTTTCTTTCTTCTGATAAGTACATTAATTTTAATTTGTTTAAGAAAAAAATTCATTTCGGGCTACATGTTCTGTGAACACCTTGATATAAACAAAGTAGAAATGCTGAATAAATTATACGTGCTTCTCATTATAGACAAAAATTTAAAAACTTTTATAAAATAAACCCCAGAGATAGTAAATCAAGAACAAGCTAATAACCGCAGAGGAAATTTGAATGTCTCACAGACCTGAGGGCACTGGACAGCTCAGAAAATAGGAGGAGGGCACATTAAAGGCATCACTTAGAAAAAAAAAAAAAAGAAGGCATCACTTTGACTACACAGTGATGCTAACTTTCCTAAGGTGGGCATTTAGAATTGAAATCCCTAAATAAAAACCAGAACCATTAAAAGTCTCCACCTTTAATGAATATGTAAAATTGAAAAAAAAATACATACAACCCTTTTGTAAAAGATTACAAAACAAACATGTGGTTTTGGCCTGAGCTTAGGTGAAAAATAAGGGTTTTGCTAAATATTATAACATCAGGCTTGTCTTATGTTGTTTTGAGGTTTAAGGTTATTCTACATTTATGGCACAGGAAACCCAGACTCAAGGAAAGAATGTCAAGTGTTCTCATTATGGTAGTTCCTGGGCCATTTCAAGTCCTCTTCAGAGAGACTTCTCCCAACCCAGATCCTGTAGATTTTCCATAAAAGGTATGCTCTCAATCTAAAGTACAAAAATATATTAGGGATGAAGCTGACTTGATAGTGCACAATGAGAGAGAATATACAAGCAAAAAAACAAACAAAAGCCCACAAACAACATTTAGGCTCTTAAAAATGTAATAATAAAATAATTAAATACTGGTTATGAAATAAATATGTTTGAGTAAATAAATGAGATGGAAATGAATAAACAAAAAAGTAAAATATATACTTTCTTTAAAAAAAAAATTAAGACCAAGAAAAGTTTGAGAAAAGAATCTGTATTAGTCAGGGTTCTCCAGAAAAGAGAATCAATAAAATGGTTGTGCATGTGTACATTTGTGTACATATATTCTCTCTATATATAAGTCTGTGTGTGTGTATGAGCTACAGAATGCATGTGTATGTGTACATAGCTATAGATGTACATAGATATAAATATTACATCTATCTATATCAATATACCTATTTCTATATATATCTAGATCTCTCTGCTAAAAGTATCAATCTTTCTATTGAGAGAGAGAAAGTTTACTATAAGATATTGTTTTGCACAATTGTGGGGCCTGGCAAGTCTGAAATTTGCAGGGCAGCCTGGCAGGCTGGAGACCCAGGGAAGAGTCAATGTTGCAGTTTGAGTGAGAAAACAGTCTGGAAGCTTCCTTGGGGGACTAGTTTTTTATTGTTGTTGTTCTTAAAACCTTCAACTGATAGGATGAGGCCCACACACATTATGGAAAGTAACCCGTTGTACTCAAAGTCTACTAATTTGAGTGTCAATTACTTTTCAAAAATAGCTGCACAGCAATATCAAGGCTGGTGTCTGACCAAAGACTGGTACCATGGCCTATCCAACCTGGCACGTAAAATTAACTATTGCGAAACCTAACAGCTTTTAGAAATCAAAAAGAGTCATAGATATTTCAAAAATTAGAAATAAACTAATTATGACCAAGTTGAAAATAAGGGGTTACAAAGAGATATACTAGAAAAAAATCAATCAAAAATGAAGTTGATATAATAAAATGTATTAAGGCAAAAGGAAGAGGCAGTATAAAGGAGGTTCATTATATGATAATAACATGAATACTCAACGGGAGGACTTTAAAATCTGTACTTGAATACTTACAATAAAGCAGTTTCATAATATATGAAGCACATATTAACACAACTAAACAGATTTAAAATCCACAGTAAGAGAGAAAAAATATTCTCAAATATTCATTCAAGAAGCAGATAAAAGTTTGTACGGACACATAAGACTTGAACGAAACAATAAGATTGACCTACTAAAGATGATAGCAACTTGTTTTCACTAAGAAAAGTTTGAAGTAAACATGACTACTTGATCTATCTAATTGACTCACGTCCTACAGGTTGGTGATACCTTTTTTTGAAGGAAGTCTGTGAGGCCTGTCCATCGAGTAGTGATACGCACTGGGTTTCTCAGAGCAATTCTCTCAGTTATAAAAATATTAAAAGCAGCTAGGGCCAATGGCTCATGCCTGTAATCCCAGCACTTTGGGAGGTCGAGACAGGAGGATAGTTTGAGTCTTTGAGTTTGAGACCAGCCTTGGCAATACGACAAAACTCTCTCTCTGAAAAAAAAAAAAAAAAAAAATACAAAAAACTAGCCGGGCATGGTGGCACACACCTGTGATCCCAGCTACTCCAGAGGCTGAGCTAGGAGGATTGCTTGAGCCAGGGAGGTTGAGGCTGCAGTAAGCTGTGACTGTGCCACTACAGTCCAACTTGAGTGACAGAGTGAGATTCTATTTCAAAGAAAAAAATTAAAAAGAGTTGGGTAGGTGTTCTAAAATTTACTGGAAGAGCTCATTTATTATGCAACTCTCAACAAAGACTCTCAGTGTTGTCAATGTTGAAGTCTCCATCTCATGTTTTATTGAGCTTCGACCCAGTCCACATTTCTATGAACTTTGTGGATGAGTATTTCAACTTTGGCTACAAGACTTGTAAATCATCATTTTCCTTTCTAAAACTCACGTGCTTCCTCTACTGTGGGTATAGGAAAGGAGTATTACAATTGTCAGAAGTCTGTGGTGCTGCACATAAAAACTTTTTTAAAGAAGTTTTCTTAACACGGGCTACAAGAACATGAAGCTCTAGAAAAATCACCTTGACTGGTAAACCACAGGCAAGTTTATTGTGCCCATGTGGGGCAATGGAAGCTGACACAGGGTTCTGGATTTAACTAGCAAGTTTTTCTTTATTTGCCTTCTTTCCTATTTAAATTTAATTGCTTCTTAGTTATTTCCTTGAAAAATCTGACTTTCCTCTTTAATTTCCTTTTTTATTTTTTAGAGATAGGGTCTTGCTTTGTCACCTATGCAGGAAACCAGTGGCATGATTATGGCTCACTATAGCCTTCAACTCCTAGACTTCCCTCTTTTAAATCTGGAATTTCATAGAATATTTCAGACATAACTACTGACATTTTAAAGACTGATTTAATTGGTTATGGGTTATTATCACCAATGAGAGAATTGCAGAGAGCTGCAGAGAGAGTTGGGTCGAGTAAGAAGGATAAAAAAGATGATTCATGTACTGTAAATAGCTGTGAAGAATGTGACCAGAAGGCATAGTAGAAGGGTTGAAGCATTGTTTTTCAACATATTTTTGGCTTTAATAATTAGGTCTTTTGAGTAGAAAATTACTGGGGAGGAAAGTCAGATTTTAGAGGCTAAGGACAAAGTCAGTGGAGATAAAACGGTAACAGCTAGTAGAGATCACTTATGTATGAACCCACTCTGCTAAGTTGAAAACAAAGGATTAAAGGGAAAGAACAGAGAGAGAAAAATGTTGAGATAAGGGACAGAGACAAAGGACATATAAGTGGTACATGTAACAGCATTGAAAGAGGAGGTAGACTCAACTTTTGAGACTGAAAGATGAATGAAAGATGAAAGAAGGTTATGGGAATAAGAAGAATGGATGAATTTTTTCTCCAAAATGGAAATGCAGTCTTTTGCTTTATTCAATTATATATTTGACAACTTTGATAAAAATTGATTTTGATCTAGTAAATCTCAATATATTAAAAGAGACTTAAGTTTTGTGTTGCCAAAGTGTCAATTAAGTCATCTGAGAATTGATTCTTCAGTTTGAATCTTAAGTACTGTGAATCTTGAGTAACCAGCAAGGGGAGCTCTAATTATGGGCATATTTCTACTTAAGTCTCTGACTGAGTGAGGTCTGACTGTACATGTGTGGGACAGGTAGCAAACAACCTTTCTAAAGGAGAAAAAAAATTCAAAATAAGATTTCACATGTGGAGTCCAGTAAAATTAATTGCATGCTAATACCAAAAAAAAAAAAGCAGCACTTTGGAATAATATAAACTAATTCAAAGTCTCTATGGTACTACATTAGCAAAATGCAGGATACAAAAATAAAAATTATTTGACATATATAAAACAGGAGAAGGTAACGCATTTTCAGGGTGAAATGCAATCAACAAAGGCCAACTATGAGATGACCCAGATGTTGGAATGATCAAAAAAGGCTTTAGATTTTAAATAGTTAGTCTAAACCCTTTCAGGGTGGTAAGAGCTAACATACACATCATAAATAAAAAGATCAGAAATGTCAATAGAGAACTAGAATCTATTAACAATAGCTACATAAAAAAATCTAGAAATAAAATCATACAATATGTGTTATTTAAAATTCACTGAATGGTTTACTAGAAGAATATAGATGACAGACTCGATAAACATAGTTTACAAAATGAAAAATAAATTTCCAATCTTAAAAAAACAGAAAATTTGTTTTAATGTATAGGATGTTAAGGACTTGTTGGACAATATGTAAATGCCAAATATATGTGTAAATGGAGGCCCTGAAGAAGAGAAGATAGTAAATGGACCAGAAAAACTATTTGAGGAAGTAATGACTGAAACAATTCACAATTAGGTGAATGATATAAATTTAGAAGTTCTTGATGTTCAATGAGCCCCAGAAAGTATAAATATGGAGAAAAATACAACTAGGGGCCAGGTGGCTCACACTTATAATCTAAGCACTTTGGGAAACCAAGATGGGAGCATTATTTGATCCCACGAGCTTGAGACCAACCTGGGCAACATAGCGAGATCCTGTCTCAACAACAGCAAAATGTTTTTAAATTAGCCAGGTGTGGTGACACGCAACTGTAGTCCCAGCTACTCAGAAGGCTGAGGTGGGAGGATTGCTTGAGTCTAGGAGGTAGAGGCTTCAGTAAGCTGGGTTATCACAATGAACTCTAGCCAGGGTAACAGAGAAAGACCTTGTCTTAAAAAAAAAGAAAAAAAAGAAAAGAAAAGAAAGAAAGAAAAAAAATACAATTAGGTACTTTATAGTCAAACAGCTGAAATTCACAGTAGCTTAAAATCAAGGAAGAGAGCTATGCAAACATGGTTTTAATAATATGCGATGCATTAGCTATGCAGATGTGCTATGGAAGCTCTAAGTTTTCATTTTTTATTAAAAACTGAAGGGTTCTGGCAAGGTTCTAGAAATTATGCTCTAGCTAACTCGACATTTAGCAAGAGAAAATGAGATAGAAAGTTGTTTGTTTTTCAGGCCAAATGAGTAATAAATGCATAAATATTTGAAACAAGAACTGTAATCAGTTCACGTTGCCTTGTATTAGTCTGTTCTCATACTCTATAAAGAAATACCTGAGACTTGGTAATTTATAAAGAAAAGAGCTTTGGCCGGGCGCAGTGGCTCATGCCTGTAATCCCAGCACTTTGGGAGGCCAAGGCAGGTGGATCACAAGGTCAAGAGATCGAGACCATCCTGACCAACATGGTGAAACCCCATCTCTACTAAAAACAAAAAAAATTAGCCAGGCGTGGTAGTGGAGGCCTGTAGTCCCAGCTACTCAGGAGGCTGAGGCAGAAGAATCACTTGAACCCTGGGACGGAGGTTGCAGTGAGCTGAGATTGCGCCACTCCAGCCTGACCAGAGAGCGAGACTCCATCTAAAAAAAAAAAAAAAAAAAAGCTTTAACTGGCTCTCAGTTCCGCAGGCTGTACAGGAAGCACGGTTGGGAAGCCTCAGGAAACTGAATCATGGAGGAAGGGGAAGCTGACACATCTTACGTGACCAGAGCAAGAGGAAGAGAGAGAAGGGGGAGGTGCTACATGCTTCTAAACAACCGGATCTCAAGAGAAGTCACTCACTATCACAAGAACAGCAAGGGGGAAATTCGTCCCCATGATCCAATCACCTTCCCCCAAACCCCTCCTCCAACATTGGGGATTACAATTCGACATGAGATTTGGGCAGCAACACAGATCCAAACCGTATCATTCCTCTTGCAGGTTGAATGGAGCGTGTTGAGATAGAACACTGGGAAGATAGCTAGAGATTACTAGTACTCGATTTCCATTTTTAGCTCAGTTCAAGCATTTTATTAATATATGGTTCTCATATTTCACATACTGGTCAATATATTGAAGTCTTTAGAGCACATAAGCCTCCAGGGAAAAAAAAGAAACCCAAGAAGTATGAGATGTGATTCCTGCCTTAAGAGGAAACACTGTGAAGAGAGTTATATCGCAGCACTATTTAAATAACAATGTATGGCTTTTTTGACACTTTATTTAGATTCAATATTACACCCATGTCCTAGGAGTTCTTTTTTAGGCTAAGCCATCATGGATTGGCAAAGAAAGACTGCTATAATTAAATAAAATCTTTCACCACTTTTGCAGCACTAGAATGTGAGATTCACTTACAGATGAAGTTTTTGAGACTTAAAGAAAAGCTATTCTGCAGTCGTTTTGAATGGTTATTCAAACTCAGTTGTATTATTAATTTATAATATGAATATTACCATTTCAAGATAATTTTTCTCGAAGAATAATTTATTTTGTAATAGATTATGTTACAAAATGTGAAACAATAAGCCCATATGCTTTTTAAGATCGTCAGGTAACCATTGTAATTTTTGTAATCTTTTTAATAAATTTTTAAATTTTTGCAACTTTTTCTGTAGAATTGTATCTTCCTGACACATCTAAACCACTCTTGAACTCACATTTAATTTAGTTTCATATTGAAATATGTTGTCCCTGGAGAACATAGAAAGGCAAAAGTTAGTTAATTCAATATCTCCCTGGCATTTTAGATGCCCTTACCTCTAATTTGTAACTATCAATTATTAAAACTAATACAAAATTCTCATAAAAATGGTGAGAAATGAGCATTGCCTACATAATCCATTTTCACAGCTCTTTTAATACTATCTCACAGGAAAGATTATATTTCTTTGGAATTCCCATTCCCTTTTCCAAAAGTGGATAAACTAATAATTTGTTAAGTCTTACACAAACTAAAATAAATAACTCATTTCTTTAACTATAATTTCCACTGATGTTCTTAGTCAAGATTTACTACGTAGTTACCAAATTGGTTTTCTACACACAGAAAACTCGTGTTGTTAAATCTTGATCAACAGCAACTTTTGACATATTTAAGTGAGGACATGACTCTCTTTCCCTGAACGGTATGCATCATATGAGAGCTACTGTCTGAATATTATAGGGCTGGAAAACAGAGTGAGCATGATAGACAGAGAATGTTTAATAAGAACATGATTCTCAAATGGCTTATAAAATGTGAGAAGGCATTTGATTTAGAACCTCCATAAGGAAGGGACAAGTGTAGTCTAGTATATTGGGCTCAGGTGTGCACCAAACTGTCGAGGCAAATATTCGCACTACAAATACAATAGATAATCTGTTTATGGTATAGGTATTTTTGTCCAAACTTAGTTGAAATAAAGTTAGAGGCCTTTGATTTTATACTGAGAACAACATGCAACCATTCAAAGATTCATCCAGCACCCAGAACTATAGATCTTCAGAAAAATACAAAAAGGCAAGGCATGGTGGTTTATGCCTATAATTCCAGCATTTTGGGAGGTCAAGGTAGGAGGCTCACTTGAGGCCAGGAGTTTAAGATCAACCTGGACAACATAACAAGACCCTGTCTCTAAAAAAAAAAAAAAAATTAGCTGGGTTTGGTGGTGCGCAGCTATACCCATGTAGTTCCAGCTACACAGGAGATTGAGGCAGGAGGATCAATAGAGCCCAGGAAGTAGAGGCTACAGTGAGCCGTGATCTTGTCTGTGTACTCCAGCTTGGGTGACAGAGTGATACCCTGTCTTAAAACAAACATAGAAAAAAGCAAATGATAGGAAGAAAATGTGTTAAATTTTTTGAAACCCTAATAAGAAAACCACATTTTTCCTGTCAGAGTGAAAGAAGCTAACTTAAATGAAGGAAATTTTGACTTAAAGACAAAGCTTGTCTACAAAAAGACTAAAACTTAATTAGTGCTATTTGAATCATAGAAGTAGACCCATCATTCATTCTCTCTGGTGATCTCCAGGAAGATGACATTTATAAGAATGATGGAAATTACCAGTGGTATGTGGCGCCAAAATAAAACCAGGTGCAAAACTTCTTTCCGCAAGAGGATCTGCTGCTTAGCATGTGGTGTCCTTGTACATTTGTCCTAGGAGAACCACAGTTGAACTGATACTTTTGGAAACCAACTGCATTTTACCATTGCTATTTAAATAGGCTATAGCTCAATGTGGAAATGAGATATAGTTTTTACTTAGTTTCTAAGCCTCTCTGAAATATTAACATACAATCTGATAGGCAAATCTGTTTATAATGCCATGTTTTTCTTTAGATATTTCTACTTTTGAACCAGAGATGTTCAAGTAATAATTTTAAGCAATTGCCAAATAAGAATATATCATAGGGAGATATTCCCACATCATAAACGTTACCTTTCAGAGTTTAGCATGCCTTAATACTGCTTGTCTCAAATTGTGCTCTAAGAACCCTCAGGAATTTTAATGAAGTCCTTCACAGCTTCCCTGGAGGGAGACCGAGGGACTTGTGGGTAGGATGAGAGGCCTCCAGCTTTCTCTTAAATCCATTTTGGCTAGAAAAGTCAGGACACCTTTCATGGAGCCCATACTTCTGATTTCTTGCGAAGAAACAGTACTCCTTAAGATAGTACTGCCTTAAGAAGAAAAAATTACTTTTTCTGCTTTATAAATGTTTTTCTGAACTAACGAGACAGAACCATTGACATAGTGTGCTTTTTAAACATACCTCATTTTATTTCAGGTATTCTCTGGAGAGTCAGTAAAAACAAAGACTGCAATGTTTCTTTTCTTATTGTTCTTTTTCACAATACTATGAAATTCATCTTCTCCAAACCTGTCACCACTTCTTATAAACACTAACTTTTTTTTTTTGAGAGAGTGAGAAAGGGGACAGACACAATAAAAAAGATGGTCAGTATGAAAAGAAGTTCACTATAGTTGGCTGTAACTCTAACGTAATAACACTGCATTTGAATTAAGAAAATGATCTTTTCATCTAAGGCCCTTGTCCTAGTGATAAAACTGGCAATGTCTCGAAGAGGTAGATGATTCTTAAGTGACATTAGGTGGGGGGTACGGGATGGCAAAAGAAAAGGGTAGCAAAAAAGAAAAAAAAATTGGAAGATCCAGAGAATGGATTCTTAAGGAATAAAATGCAAACGCAAGAAGAGAGTCACTGAGAAGATGAAGGTTTATAAACATTTAGAAAAAGAGAGAGTTGGCAGATTGGTAACAGTTCCAATAAATGAGAGTCCTGTCATGTGGGGGTGGAGGGAGGTAATATCTGAGACTTCTTATTAAAGTGTTACAGTTCCAATACAATTTGGTTTATGTGCTTGGCAAGATATTCAGAACTCTTAATACGTGAGTAGAACATTGAATGCCATTCAAAAATTCAACTTTTTTTTAAAAAAATGTACTTCATCTGTGAAGGAAAATGGGTTATTTGGAAGTTAATTTGTGTGTATGTGTTTGTGTGTGTGTGTGTTTGGCATCTGTTCTTCTCTCAAGTAATAACTTTGAAGATAGCGTAATTTGGGGATAAGCATAATGTGCCTTAGCAAAGCAGAGAGAGTCCTTTGAAAGTGAGTTTAGGGAATCAGAGAGGATTTTCAGCTTTAGAAGGACATAAACCATGCAAATTAGACTTGTGTTCTTCTTTCCACAATAGCCCCAACTTTATCTCTCCATCTAAAAAGTTTCAGGATCCTTCTATCAGTTAACTCTTGTACATCTGTTCCAGTTGGTATATACTACACACATATGTAGACACAAACATGCATACATACCTGCATCATGTTATAAAAGCAATGGCCTGTATCCTTTAAAAACTCCGGTTGAAAATTACATGCATTATGAATAATGTGTAAGTTATTGCTATGGACCATGTCAGTATCTCCCAAAATAGTCAGAACCAATTTTACCTTCTTTCATTTCAAAGATTACCCTAGGCCTGCTTTCATGTAGTAATCTCTCCTAGAAAATCTTTCGCTTCTGCTACATATCTTCTCTATCAAATGCATTTGAATTTCCTGAATTTTCTATATTCACTGGAAGCACATTCACACAAAACCACACATTTCCCCTGACGTCCCGTGGTGAAAATCATGATGTTCTGCACATGTTTGGCATGTCACCAAGGGTTTTGACCCACCGGCTGGCACTCCAAGCTAGTGAGCTTCTTGGGTAGTTCTTCCTGGAGCAGAAGCATGACTGTTAAACTGATACTGTAAAATAATTTTTCTAAGGAAGTCTGTAGTGCCATAAATATATTCTACTTGAACTGGCTAAATTGTGCTTCTGACAGTGTTTTTCCGCAAGATTTATTGTTTTGTTTTTGTTATTGCTGAGGGTGGGGAAGAAATGAAGACGTGGGAATATGTCTTGTGAAAATATTCTGAGAACTCATAATTTCTCTATGGGTATGGCCCTTAGGCATATAACTTTTCCCTAAAAGAAGGTTCAAAATGTAATAATTTAATTTTCTCTTTCTGCATCAAAAGGGCCCTCTGAGCTAAAGAATAGAAAAATCTCATCAAATGATGGAAAAAGTATATCTAATTCATCAAATTATTTCATGACCCATTTTGGGTAGGTGAAATCACAATTAAAACTTAATGTGGAAAAAGTAGATTTGTAGCTGTAAAAAATAAAAATTCTTAATGATAGCCTTTTGGCATTGGCCTTTTAAACCATGTAACACTTTCCGTCACCTAGGAAATTTAGATCTGTCAGCAAACTCCTTTGGCTTTTCATGAAAATAATTTTGCTAATATCCATGGACTCATTAAAAAGCCTTATTGAAAGCACAAATGATCTTTTTAATAAATCAGTGCATTATCCTAAATGTAACTTATGGTCTTCCTTTTTTGGGGCTAAGACATTAGTTTTAAAAAGAAAAAGAAAAAACGTAAAATGAAAAGGCTTGTAGGTCAAATCTTTTTGTAAAGTCTCTATATTACTGTATCCATGTAAGACATATTTACGTTCTTCATATGCATAGTACTTTTTCAAAAAGAGTGAAGTCATTGGCCTGACTTGTTTTAGACACATTTGTGTTACTCATTTTTCTTAATGGATTCACAGAATGTTTGTTACCTTTTTCTATGCTGTCTCATATAAAGAAACATAGTATTGCCTATGCTTAGGTTAATTCTACAGATATTTTTTACTTTTTAGTTTTTGGATACATTATATTTGTACATATTTATAGGGTACATGTGAAATTTTGTTACATGCATAGAATGGACAATGATCAAATCAGCATATTTAGGGTACCCATCACCTGACTATCATTTCTATGCATTGGGTATACTTCTGGTCACCTCTTCTAGCTATCTGGAAGAACACAATACCTTTTTGTTAATAATAATTACTCCACTCTGCTATCAAACCTTAGGATGCATTCCTTTTATTTAACTGTATGTTTGTACCCATCAACCTGTCTGTCTTCATCGCCCCCATCCCTAGTTCATATACCCTTCTAAACCTCCAGTATCCATCATTCCATTCTCTACCTCCATGTGATCTACTTTTTAAACTCCCACATATGAATAACAACATGCAATGTTTGCCTTTCTATGCCTGGCTTATTTTACTGAAAATAATGACTTCCAGTTGCATCCATGTCACTGCAAATGACACGATTTCATCATTTTTGATGGTTGACTAATATTCCATTGTGTATATACACACACAGAGACACACAACATTTTCTTTATCGATTTATCGGTTGATGGGCACTTAGCTTGATTCCATATCTTGGCTATTGTGAATAGTGCTGCAGTAAACATAGGAGTATATGTATCTCTTTGATATATTCATTTATTTTCATTTGGATAAACACTCAATAGTGGTATTGTTAGATCATATGGTAGTTCTATTTTTAGTTTTTTGAAAAATCTCCATACTGTTTTTCATAGTGGGTAACCAAATTTACATTCCCACCAACAGTATATAAGGGGTCCCTTTTCTCCACATCCTCATCAGCATCTGTTATTTTTTGCCTTTTTAAAAATGGCCTTTATAACTTGGGTAAGATGATATCTCATTACGGTTTTGATTTGCATTTCTCTGATGACTTGTGATGTTAAGTATTAAACCTGTTGCCTGTTTGTATGTCTTCTTTTGAGCAATGTCTGTTCAGTCCTTTGCCCACTTTTTAATGGGATTTTTCTTTTTTCTCTTTTTCTTTTTTTTTCACTGCTAGGTTGTTTGAGTACCTTGTGTATTATAGGTTTTATTCCCCTGTCAGATAAGTAGTTTGCAAATATTTTCTCCCATTCAAGAGACTATCTCTTCACTCTGTTGATTGTTTATTTTTATTTTTATTTTTTTGCTGTGCAGAAGCCTTTCATTTTAATATAGTTCTATTTGTCTATTTTTGTTTCTGTTGCCTGTACAGGTATTCTTTCCTAAGGTCAGCCATGCCATAGCAGCCAAATTAGGGAGATTGCCCTTTTTAAGGTATTACTCAGGCAGTGCAGGAAAGGTAGAGAGATAAAATAATTTTCAAGTTGAAACAAAAGGTTCTATGTGATCAGATTATCTAGTCTACTATAAGGTTCATATTAGCAGCACCATGTTTATCTTGTTAGCGATTTATCACCAGTGCCTTCCCATTGCCTGGGGATGGATGCTGGGTTAATGTTTGTTAAGTATATAAATGAATAAAAATCTACTGGGTATGCACCCTTCAGGGAAAGTACTGTGAGCAGTTTAAAAGGACACAGATACCATGATCCTTAAACTCAGCAATCAATTGGCATGAAGACAAACACAGTGTGACTTAGGGGCTGGTGTTCTTTCGTTTGGCATCAGGAGTGGACAGTTTGGGGCTTAAGAAGAAAGATAATCTCTGAATGTATACAGTTTTACTATTATAATTTTTTTTTTTGCATTTCCAACCATTTGTTTGTCTGGCATTCTTCCAGTTGCTTGAGCCAAAATCCTTAGAATGATACATAATTCCTCTTTTTTGCTCTTCTGATTCATAAACAAATTATATTGGTTCCATTTTCGAAATATTTCTAGAATATTCACACCAGATGGTCTGCTGCCATCCTAATCTGAGCAGTCATTTTTCTCTCCATATTATTGTCAAGTCTTCTAGTCTTCTGATTTATCCCCTGCTACTACCCTTGCCACACTCCAGTTGCACCCAGCAAATACAGTAATTCATTTAAAAAGTAAGCCTGATCATGTCACTCCAATGGCTTCCCATTCCACTCCTAGGAAGGGACAAAAATCCAACACATGGCCACAAGGCCCTCCCTGCTCCAATCTTTGCTTTCTCCCAGACCTCCTCTCTGCTCACCTCCACTTGCTCACCATCCAACAGCCGCACTGGCCACCATGATGGTTTTCAAATACTAATGACATGCTCCTACTTTATAGGCTTTATTTTCTTTGTTCCCTTTCTTTGTTCTTGATGCAGTCACCTTCTTGGCTCACTCCCTCACCTCCTTCTAGCTGCTGCTGAAATCTCACCTTCACGCTGAGGCTTATACTATCAACACTATTTAGTGTTGCAAGTGGCCCATCCACTTCCTTTCCCATCCTCCCTAATCCTGATTCTCTTTACCCTGCCTACTCTTTGTTTTCTATAATACATACAACTCTCAAATATAATACATGTATTTTGCTTTTATGTATGTTGCTTATTTTCTGCCTCTTCCACCAGGGAGTTATCTCTTCTAGAGCAAAAATTCTTGTCTATTTTGTTCACTGAGGTATTCGCAGGATCTATTATACCTGGCACATAGTTGCACACTTAGTGAATAGTTGTTGAATAAATGAATGGCAAGGTTTTATCTGTGTCTATTCACTTCTGATGCTGCATAAAACACGACACATAAGAGACAAAGGGCTCTGTACAGGATGAACATAAACAGTGTCTTCATCAACTTGGACTACTGCTACAAATACCATAGATTGAGTGGCTTTAACACAAAACATGCATTTCTCATGGTTACGGAGGCTGAGAAATTCAAATTCAAGGTGCTGGCAGACTCAGTGTCTGGTGAAGGCCAACTTCCAGATCTGCAGAAGGCTACACCCTTGCTCTACCCTCACATGGGGGAGAGAGAGAGAGATCTGGTCTCTTCATCTCCATATTAGAATATCAATTTTATCCAAATCCAGATACCTCCCAAAAATATTATTTCTAAATGCCATCACATTTGGGATTAAAATATCAACATATGAATTTGGAGGGGGGAAAACAAATGTTCAGTCCACAGCAATCAGTATTCTGTCATTTTAGGCATAAAAATCTTTAAATACAAAGGAGCAAATTAATCAGCATATATTTATTGATAACTTAATGTATGTTTCACACATTTATCTACATTTCAGGTGAATACAGGAGAAACATAGAATATGGTTCTTGTCTCCAAGACATCCTCTTGGTTGCGACTGATTAACGAACAAGTCTGATTCATATTCATCAGTAGAAGAATTACAGCTCTTTATATGACATTATGACATTGTTCACAAACTTGAATATTACTAAAAATTACTGGGGGCTCTTCCCCCAGAGTATTTGATCCAGAAGGTCAAGGTTGGACCAGAGAACCTGCAGTTCCAATAAGTTTCCAGGAGATACAAATGTGGCCATACTACACTTTGAGAACCACTGCTTTATGATGGTGTTTCTCAATCCTGAAAGCACATTAAAATCATCTGACTTTTTTAGAGAAATGCAAATCAAAACCACAAATACCATCTCATGCCAGTTAGAATGGTGATCATTAAAAAGTCAGGAAACAACAGATGCTGGAGAGGATGTGGAGAAATAGGAAAGTTTTTACACTGTTGGTGGGAGTGTAAATTAGTTCAACCATTGTGGAAGACAGTGTGGTGATTCCTCAAGGATCTAGAACTAGAAATACCATTTGACCCAGCAATCCCATTACTGGGTACATACCCAAAGGATTATAAATCATTCTACTATAAAGACAGATGCATACGTATGTTTATTGCGGCACTGTTCACAATAGCAAAGACTTGGAACCAACCCACATGCCCAATAATGATAGAACGGATAAAGAAAATGTGGCACAGGTATACCATGGAATACTATGCAGCCATAAAAAAGGATGAGTTCATGTCCTTTGCAGGGATGTGGATGAAGCTGGAAACCATCATTCTCAGAAAACTAACACAAGAACAGAAAACCAAACACTGCATGTTCTCACTCATAAGTGAGAGTTGAACAATGAGAACACATGGACACAGGGAGGGGAACGTCACACACCAGGGCCTGTCAGTGGGTGGGGGTCTAGGGAAGGGATAGCATCAGGAAAAAAATACCTAATGTAGATGACGGGTTGACGAGTGCAGCAAACCACCACAGCACGTGTATACCTATGTAACTAATCTGCACATTCTGCACATGTACCTCAGAACTTAAAGTATAATAAAAAAAATCCGTGTTCCTTTGCATAGGGATAAGGAACATCTTGAGAAAAAGTAATCCAGATTTCTGCCTCACTAAAGATTCACCCTGTTAAAACCTCTGTCAAAAAGTGAAGGTTTCCAGATAAAACAAATCCCGAAGAGTCATACTAGGGTTTACATGTTCTTAGATGAGGGCTGGTTCTACATGAGCCTGATGTTTACTCCGAAAAACCTGTCTGACCCAGCCACTTTGACGGAACAGTTCTGCTTTAAGTAAAATGTTTGAGCATGTCAGCATAATCCAGAAGAACTATAATCTTGAGATGCTGATCTTCCTGATATTTGTTGGAATTATTATTCACAAATGAAATAAAAATGACATTTGCTGGAAAGGTGATTTATTTCCAAAGAGAGTATACCTGAATTTGTAGATATATGCCTTTTCCTTTTCAATCTTGTCTATTACATGTTACAGTAGTGATGGGAGCTGAGAAAAAGACAATAATGCTCAAACTTATTCTCTTAATTAAAGTCTAAAAATGATGCTGATATATAAGATCAATTAACAGATAGAATGCATTTATTCACCATAAAAAAACCTTCTCACCTAGAATAGTATTTCTATGCTCAATTGTTTTAATATGAAAACTAACTTCACATAATAATAGAATAATCATTCTTTGGTGGATGGACATTATCAAATTGACTATGTCCCACCCCATACTAACTAAATATAAGTTTATGCATTTAGTGCCTTATAATAAATATATATGTTTTAATTAAAAAAAAATATATATATATATATATATACACACAACTTCCCTTAACTCAAAAACTTCCTTAAGGGAAGTTTGCTTTTTGAGCTGGAACTTTCCTCTCTAAACATCCTGAAGAGACCCTGTTTTATTCATCTGATATTTACATTCACACTCCCAGTCTAGCATACCATTTGGAAAGCACCGATTGAATGCAGAATTAAATTCCTACCATTCATCCTATTTCTACTTACACAAAATATGTCCCTATGGTGTTTTTGTTTGTCTCATTGGAGATACATAGAACAAATGTAATAACTCTTGAACATGAAAATTCTTCACATATTTTACGGCATCTATTTTGTTCCTATATTCTTAGTGCTCTTTACTCCAGACTAAACATCTCCAATTTTTATATATTAGGGAATCAATAATCCATACCACCTTGCCATTTGGACTTAGATCAGAGGTTCTTAAGCTGAAGTCCATAAACATGTAGGAAATTGATCGATGACTTTCAAGGAATGCCTGACATTATATAGAAAATTTATGTGTATGTAATTAAGCATTTTTACTGGGTAAATATCTATAGCTTCTTATATACTACCAAATGGGAGACTATCTGTGATTTCTCAAGGATTAAGGTTTACTTCTGGAAAGGTTAAACAGTTTGTCACTGATGATCTTCAAATGTGGTCCCCAAACTCATATATAATATTGCAGTACAACCTGAGAGAGAACAAAGGAGCTAGTATATACTGGAGTGCGAAGACTTTAGTCAAGACATTTTTCTATCAATGCAAATCTAGCTTCTAGGTGCCTGTATCATTTGATATTTTGAGTTAACACTAAATTTATTTATAAATGAAATCACTAAGTCTTCCACCATCCTACACATTGACACCTACATATACATATACACATATACTTGTTATCAAACTGGTTTCCACTGATACTTTTATATCGCTTTTAGTGAGGAAAACTTTATAAAATTTTATATTTGCACCTGTCAAATTCAATCATGTTAGCCTGAGCCTATCATAGTCATCAACATTTTCCTGCATCTCTTATTTATTTATTTATTCATTTTTTGAGACAGAGTTTCTCTCTGTCACTCAGGCTGGAATGCAATGGCCCAATCTCAGCTCACTGCAACTTCCAGCTCCCTTCAAGGGATTCTCGTACCTCAGACTCCCTAGTAGCTGGGATTACAGGCATCCATTACCATGCCTGGTTTAATTTTTCTATTTTTAGTAGAGACGGGGTTTTGCCATGTTGGTCAGATTGGTCTCGAACTCCTGACCTCAAGTGATCCACCCGCCTCGGCCTCCCAATCTTGCATCTTATACCTCACATTAATTAACCTTCGGGTTTCCAGTCATTTATAAATGTAATAACCATTACTTCTCTCTCATCTTCAAAGGTGTTGGCAAAAATGTGGACAGTTCTGCACTGCTTCATAAGAGGCCTCCCTTCAGGTTTCATGAACCCATTAATCCACATTCTTTGGGGGTTTATCAGTCAGGTGCACTGGTGTGTCATACAATGGATATCTCCCCAATGTTTTATAAGACGTACCATAAAAGACTATAACACCTAAATGAAATTAGAGCTTACAGCATACATTTTCAGCAACATACAATTTGGCTGTCAACACCGAAACTAACATTAGTTTGGACAAAACTATACTTACACACTATAATCAATTAGCATACAGTTACCAACTTTTCAAAATTTTGGGTATTCCAGAATATTGACAGCTTGAGATAATCATTAAAAGGAAATCATCAATGCAAACAATACATTAATCCATAAGAACTACATGCTTAAAAGTGAGTATTGTAGAATACTCTAAAGTTTATTGTCTTTTAAAATAGAATATCTACAGAAATTAGTTTTTAAAGCAACACACCTTCTCCTCTATGACATGGAAACATGCATTTTAAGAAGAAAGAAAAATTTACCCACCTTGATACAATGAGAGCTTGCTGTGATTCTTTCAATTGCAGAATGAAGTTATTTTCTGTTAAAAAAAAAAACGCAACATATAATTCCTACATAATTATAGGGATATTGGATTATTTATAAAAAAAACCAAAGTTTTATGAATTTCTCAACAGAAACTTATTTTCCTTGTTGAATGATGCATGACTAGAATAAAAAATGATGTTGAAGAAAGAAGCACTTACAAATTGATCAAATCAAATATTTTAACTATTAAATTTAATATCACAGATAGTGAAACAATATTTATAAAACTTCAAGCGTGATAATATATAATTCATAGATGCCTTATTAATTTTAATAAGATACAGTTTGACTTTTTTTTGTGTAAACTGATGATAAATTTATCCATAAATGTCAAGGATTTTCTAGAGCTACAAATAAGAGAGTAGTTTGAATTTTAAGGGGTGGTTCAAGCAAAATAAAAGTGAATAATTCAATAAATAACAAATAGGCAAAATGGGACACATCATTCAAAATGTCCGTTTATTAAAAATAAATATGTTGCATGAAGAAAATTTCTTGCCATTTTAGAATTATAAAAGGACACAAAAAAACAAGTTTTAAAGAATAAAATAAACTTATTTTGAATACGTTTTATCTAAGTTTTCACGTTTTGTAAAACATGCCTATAATCAAATTAACTTTAATTGCTGTAGAAAAGAGAACATAAATTACTTCAAAAACGACCTTGGTCTTGCATAGTATATAATTTTATTTGCTGAGATGCAAAACATACATCAGGTGAAAGGGCTGTCATCCAGGTCCTTAACAAAAGAGAGAGTTGGAGGTACTAAGATAATAGGAAATAAACGGTGACGATCTAATTACATAGAATATGCTTCACATAGTTTTAGTCTGAGAAATCACTTGAACTGTTTGGAAAAGCCAAGGACATGTTTTTAGATCAAATAACACCCTTAGAGACATCCTTTTCAAGTCACATCCATCAATATGTGACTGCCTGCTTGCGTGTTCCCAAATGCATGTGTCCTGCCACCTGAAGAATGGCTAAAATATCTCCATTACCAGAGAGTCCCTTCTCTCTTCCTATTCTTTTGTCCACAGCTGTCAGAGGTGATGTATGTATATCTGTTGTTGAATCCTGCTATTACGTTAAGGGTGGAAAAGAGTGGTTCTCTGTAGGTTTTGATATCTGAGGTCATTGGTTTAATTTATTCATCATTGGATGTGAAGAAAAAAGTCATTGAAATGTGAAGAAAAAATGTGAAGAAAAAAGAGGTAATATATTCTACTGCATAAAAGTTGGGAATCTTCTGCTTTTGGTCTCACCACTGTTTTTTGTCCTTTGGAGATCAGAGGTGGCAAAAGAGACTGGAGGACATGCTTGAATAACCTGTGTAGTGGGAATGAGAGGTTTGCACCGCCCCTTACCATTAGCATGCTTATATAAGTAATTTGTGGTGGACCTAAACAATAGCACGCTACTTAGAAATAAATAATGAACTACTGTTACACTCAATAGCATGGATAAATAAGATGTGATATTTATAACAGATATAAAGACAAGAAAAAGAAGACGGGTACACAAAAATACATACTGTATAATTTTGTATATATGAGGTTCAAGAAATGGCAGAATGACTGTAATAGGTAAGAGAGAATCAGGGTTACCATGGGTGAGGAGGATATTCGCTGAGATGGGCAAGAGAGAACATTTTGCAATGTCTTATATCTTAATTTTGTGGTTATCAGCGTGCGTATACATATAGAAGCTCCTTAAGCTGCACTTTACTATATCATACTTTAATAAAACAGTTTCCTAAAAGAAATATTAAAATGTTGTAGTACTGTTAAATTTAATATTGTTAAATTTAGTATTGTTATATTGTTATATTTAAAATGTTATATAAATGTAGGTAGATACAAATCTGCTATTTTACAACTGCTTGTGGATGTATATACCTGTCTAAAGCAGGAGTGTCCAATCTTTTGGCTTCCCTGGGCCACGCTGGAAGAAAAATTATCTTGGATCACACATAAAATACACTAACACTAATGATAGCTGATGAGCTAAAAAAAAAAAAAAAAGAGAGAAAAAAGAAAAAAGAAAAAAAAGAAAAACAGGCAAAAAATTTTCATAATGTTTTAAGAAAGTTTATGAATTTGTTGAGCCACATTCAAAGCTGTCCAGGGCCTCATGCAGCCCATGGACCATGGGTTGGACAAGCTTGGTGTAAAGGTTCCTGGTTTTGTTTAAGCTTCTCTTGTTACCTACCTACTTAGTTAAACTACTACCTGAAATGTTTTATATCTTATTTCTGGTTTCTCATTCATGTCCTGAATATTGTCTGTCTCTTATTTTTCACTTTACTTTTAACTTAAGCTCCCTTTTTTATATTTTGTTACCTAACTTAAATATCTTTCTTGACATTTCTTAATTTTTGCATTTAACCGAAACTCCACGTCAGTTCAGTTCTAAAAAATGTTATGGAGATTCTGGTTAAGATTCCAGAAACAGAATTTTAAAATTCTTTCAAAGCCCTCTATTTAAAAACTGGATTAATTTCTATATGCTACAAAAGCCTGTTATGTGGCCTTTGGGTTTCTAGAAACCAGTATTTTAATGATTGGGAAACCCACGACTAATAATTAAGAAACAGTCTATAGCATATCTTATAACCTTAAGAAGAAAATTAATAAAACATTTTTATAAAAGTATAATTTTTAAGAATCTTGGCATTTTAAAATTTATTTTATAGTAAACAATTTTCCTGGCTAGGTGTGTAATTTCTTCATACATGTGAGATGCAGATAATGAGCAAGAAAGCAAGGGGAGTGGAATTTCTGCTGAAGAACCCTATAATGTACAGTACATTTCTCCCTCCCCTTCAATCACTTTCAGCTTTCACAGAGGGAGAAAAAATATATAGAAGGAAGACAAGATCCAACCATATGCTGACATTGTTGAAAGACTGTGCTGACATTTTGGTAAGAAAAGTAAGACTTCACCTCTCAGTTTTATCTTCCCAGAAGGAGAAATCATTTTTCTTTCCTTATGAAATTTATGTTTCCAAGAAGCTATAGTGTTACTTGAAATTTAAAAAAAAATCAAATCAAGCTATAATTTTCATATGCCATAATGCATATGTATATTTTTTGTGATGCCAATCTACCCCAAATGACACAGAATTACTGTGTGAGATGTATGTCATGTTCATGTCAAAATGGAACCTCTGCCTGGAGAAGTACATACTACCTTTCTAAAAATAATTACCTAAGAAGCAGACTTCTTCTCATGTTTAAAATCTCATGGTATATGTTCATTCAACCTTCAAATTTCTTGTTTATAAAATCTCTGATGCCATAGGGGAAGTGGGAAATTGGAAAGATATTTTTCTTCTGTTATTTTGAGTATACACTGCTCATCCCCATCACAAAGAAGCAAAGGGAATTTCGTGTATTTGTGATAATGAAAGAGGTCCTATACTAGTGCTCAAAACGTAAGGCTAGAAAAAATTTTCATTTTAATGATAATAATAGAGATTATTTTTCTTCACAATTACAACATTTTAAAATATATACAGAGTATCCACTGTGTACTAACTTTTAGGTCAGAATGATCATATAACTTTGACTATGATAAGTACAATCTTGGGATGTAATAATATGGAATATTCATTTCCCACAATCACGGAAACAAAAATTTTAGGGTGATGCCCAACTATTCTAGTATTGGAAGGTCAAAAAGTACATGATACTTGCAAAATGTATAAACATCCAAGAACTAAGATTGGTGAACCTAGAGTTTTATATGAATTGTTATGATCACTTTTGATGGGTGTCTCATTTACTGGTTATATTGCACAATTTATTAATGCACTGTGTATTCTGAACCATACTTTCCCATTACAATATTTAGCCTGAAAATATTCCAGCATAGGTGAAATGGATTTTTCTATTAAGTACTGGAACCCTTTAAAACGAAAAATAGCTTAAGTAGAATTAATTGCATTCACAATATCTAGATATTTATATTCCTGTTGAGAATAATATATTACCTAGATATTTAGATTCTCTTAAGTTTTATTTTTCTGGATATCCATTTACTAATCTTTTTAACAAGATTTGCACCTGAGGGAAGATTTTGAAAACACAGAAACATTCCATCAGTTTTAGTGGAGCAACTCTCTATCAACATCTTCTGATTAAAAACCTGTATATTTAAACAAAGGTAGAAATAGATGGTAAAAGCTATTAGTGCTGCTTTTTTCCCCTCTACCACTAACACAAGGTCTTTAGGTTTAGCTTGAAGAGGGATATAAAGATTTAAATGGGATTAAGCAAACCTCTCATTCTGAATAAATTGAAGTGGGCATTGACTTTTTAATTTAATTTAAATTTTGAAATCTCAGTCACCATATCAACATCAGGAAAGAGCTGTCTCTCTAATCATGTCACTTTGGATAACTTCT
The DNA here is from genome assembly GCF_000001405.40 of Homo sapiens. Taxonomy (NCBI): domain Eukaryota; kingdom Metazoa; phylum Chordata; class Mammalia; order Primates; family Hominidae; genus Homo; species Homo sapiens. Next base: position 40,974,681 of record NC_000002.12, read on the forward strand.
AAAACCAAAAGGATATTAAAATAAGTGTTGTGTTTCTAAAAACATTTGTCTTCAAACATTAAAGTTTAAAAACCTCAAAATATAATACTGCTTTCTTCTTAAATTTTAACTGCATCTTTTGTGAGAGTATTTTTTCTCACTCCTATTTATTAAAAACAGACTGATTTTACTGTGGCAGTTAAATTAGCTTGTTTTGTTATTATTAATAATTATTATTATTTTTGACTACTCTAACCACTTCGCCTTAAAAACTGGTTCTCTGGAAAAATGCTTTTCATCTCCCAAATACCTAACTTACAAATAAATTTGTGCCTCAAATTCTGGTTTTAAATCGGGAGCAAATTGTATTACAAATGCCTGTCTTTTAGCGGCCTGCTGGTGTCATTATTAACAGTAATAACAAGTTCTGAGCACCAATTTCCATTGCTATTAGGCTTAATTATAGATGTTGGATGGAACCATAGAGATAATCCATTCTAATAGTTGCAAGCACTTAAAAACGGACCTCTAGGTCCATTTTTTTCTCTTAAAAACAACAGCAACAATAACACTAAACCCAGTATATAAATAAATAATTACAGTATTTTCCTGCTGAATGAGCACGGGAGATGGGGAGACAGACACCTGATCAGTCCAGTCCCTAGGGGTCTCTGATGCATATACAGGGAAGCTTTGATATGAAAATGTCACACGTAGTCAATCTGCTTCATTGAAAGATATGAGACAGATTCTAAGAGGGAAAATAACTTGCAGAAGTCAACACACAAGTCAATGAAAATAAAAATGAGTCTGGTGTCCTGAATCATTACGCTATCTTGCCCTGAATAGTATTGGCTTCTACACAATTTAAACTGTTAAGTCATGAATGAAGCTTGGACATTAGCCCATTATCTGTTCTTTTCCTCCAAAATCATTAAAAATGAATCTTAGGTAGATTTCAGTGTGTAAAAATAACTGGCTACTCCAAAGATGTCATTGAATATTTCCAGTTTAAGTTTTAAATAGTTTTGATTAGCTTCCCATTAAAAAAATTGTTCTTCACTGAGCCTATCATTATAAGGTGTTGCTTTTGTAAACTTTATCTTCTAAAACAAAGGAATGCCATCCTTGTGTGGCTATATAGCAGAAGTATTCCAAGATTTCAAGGCTTAGTGTTCAGTTGGTTGTTGGGTAGGGGCAAAAAGGTAGCAGAAGCTGGCATAGCATATATTATTACGTATTTTTTTCAATTAAAGTTTCAGCTTTCTCTAATGGGCATTCTTTTTTATATATAATTTCTACTTTTATTTTAGTTACAAGGGTGCATGTGCAGGTTTGTTACCTGGGTATATTACATGATGCTGAAGTTTGGGATATGGATCCTATCACTCAGGTAGTGAGCATAGTACCCGATAGGTAATTTGTCACCCCACACCCCTCTTATTCTCTCCCCACTCTAGTAGTCTGCAGTCTCTATTGTTCCCATCTTTATGCCCATGTGTACTCAATATTTACCTCCCACATATAAGTGAAAACATGCTATATTTGGTTTTCTGTTTCTACATTAATTAGCTTAGGATTATGACCTCCAGCTGTATCCATGTTGGAAAAGACAAGATTTCGTTCCTTTTCATGGCTGCGTAGTATGCTATAGTGTAAATGTACAACATTTTTATCATACAAGAGGCCAACAAACATACATCATTATTAATCATCAGAGAAATACAAATCAAAACCACAATAAGATACCATCTCACACAAGTCAGAATGGGCTTTCTTGTTGGTGTTATTTTTCCCATTTTTTTAAGATTGGAAGAATCCCACCTGGCTGGCTTGCTTCCACTGGAGGCATGAGCAACATCTTTTAGGTTTATTGGAATAAAAAGGTATGAAAAATCATCAGGACATTCCTTTATACTGGTGTAGCAGTGGCTATCACAAATTGACTAACCTGGCATTTTTCTCAATCTTCATTTTTCTCAGTGCCCTACTTGCTAAGGAGAGCAAGTTTGCTTTTAACATAACCAACAAAAAAAAAAACACAGAATTTTTAAAAAATTTAGTTTAAAAAAATGTATATTGATGCTGCCAGCTCTTCAAAAACCATGCCATACATATCGGTAATACCCATTTGTGAAATGCTTATATTCTAATGCATTTGACAAGTTGCTATTTACAAACAGAAATGAGTTCTTCAGTTTCTGAATTCATAGATATTTATCAAGCAAGCAAATAAACCTTGTTTAATTTAAAATATCGTTAGAATATTATATATTTATAATAAAAAACTGGAGGGAATATTATGACTTCAAAAGAATAATAATCTGAATTGCATTTTAATGTCATGCTATTTTTGACAGAAACATTATTACCAGATGTAGAGTTAAAACGAAATTATCAGTGTTTTCAAAGTGATATTGGGAGATAGTTCTCAAACTGTAATAATTTTTAAAAATTCATTTTAAAGGAAAAATGACTTATAGCTATTTTCATTATAATTTCTATGCATATAAACTATGTATATGACATTATAACTACAGCTATTACACACTTTCAAGAAAGACTACAAAACCAAAAGTAAAATTAAATTAAAACTTTAAAACTGTTTTTGCCCTCACTGTATGAACATTGCAAGGACTTTTGAGTTGAGATGTAAACAACATACCTGCTTTGCAGAACTTTAATGACTTTGATGACTTTTCTTTTCTCTGAGCTTTCAAATCTTTGCTTGACAGAGATTTATATTCACTTAATAGAAATCCATAATGTATATATAAAAACATCCACTTCTTAATTTTTGAGCATATAACAATGATTACAATATCATGGCAGTACTATGTAGCAGCAAAAGTGTACACACAAATGAACACATGTTCCCACAGCTCATGGGCATTCCATATTGAAAAAGATGTCATTCATGAATAATGCTTACATTAGCCTTTTTTAGGTTTTCTTTGTGATTGTAAACACAGAAGTGAAAGATTATTGTGGAAAAGCTATAAAATCCAAAGAATACGTTTTGTCTCCTCTGGGGCTTGACATAATCTAGTCTGATCTTGTTCAAATCTTGAACTGTATGACTTTTTCATGACTTTACTATCATATAATTTACACCCAAAAAACTGCACTCATTTATAAACACTTTGATGAGTTTTGATGATGTATATACCTGAGAAACCACCATCGCAATTACAATACAAAACATTTCTATCAACTGTAAATGTTTCCTCATGTCCCTTCGTGGTCAATCCCTCCCTCACACCATGTTCTAGACACCTGTTGATCTGCTTTCTATGACTATTGATCAGTTTGCACTTTCTAGAGTTTCATATAAGTAGAATCATTCCATGTGTCCCATTTTGTATCTGACTTCTTTCACTAAGAATAATCATTTTGAGATGTTGTGTATTGTTCCTTTCTTTTTGCTGCATGGTTTGAATCCCTATGATTTTATCTCTGTTGTACATCTAAAAACACTAGAGCTTGAGACTCTAATTTGAGATTATTTGAGAAACTCTACCTTTGATGGATGATTCATTGGCAGATGACCTGAAGACACATGATTCGCAGGTTGTTAAAAATGACCATTAATTGCTGAGTTTACAGAGAGAAGTACACGAAAATCTTTCATTTTAATGTTGTTAAGTCATCAGATGGCATGGGGGACTTTTTCCTCCATCAATTCTGTCCTTAAAGAAGCACTTTCCTTTTGACATAGTTTTTTACTCAGGATTCATACTAGGATCAGAATGGTGAAGAGTTTTCTTCTCAGTTGAATGAAAAAAATCTCTCATCAGAAATATTTTCTTTTTATTATTGATCAGTTGAGGTCTACAATGGTGAAATTACTCTTAGATGAAGATACACACATCTATTTCAAATGAGAGGTTAAAATTGCAACCTCATTACATATATGTATGTATATATACATATGTGTATATATGTATATGCATGCCTATATGTGTATATATGTATGTATATATGTATATATGTTTTTATACATGTATACATATATACACACAGAGACATATATATGTGTAATTTTGTATGGCTTTTCAGGACTGCAAAAAGACTAAAACTTGAAACTGTATAAAGTCACCTTAATAGTAGATAAGAGAAATTATGATTTTTCCATCATATTTAAAACTTTTGTCAAAATATTCAACGTTTTCTTATTGTCAGTCATATATGTATAGGAGAATGCAAAAACAGTGAAACTAATATTACTTATTGCATGGTGTCTTATTCTTTTTGTGCTGCTATAACAACATACGACAGATTGGGTAATTCATATAAAATATAAATTTATTTCTCACAGTTCTGGAGGCTTGGAAGTTCAAGATCAAGACACCAGCAAATTTGTGTCTGGTGAAGACGGTTTTCCTGCTTTCATGATGGCACCATGTTACTGTGTCCTCAACACAGCAGAAGGCAGAAGGGTAAAAAGGGCCGAATGTTGTCAGATGCCTATTTACAAGGGCCTAAATCTCAATCATGAGGGAAGAGCCTGCATGAATAAATTACCTCCTAAAGGATCTATCTCTTAATAATATTGCATTGCGAATTAAGTTTCAACATGAATTTTGGAAAGAACACAAAATTCAAACCATAGCACATCAGTTTACAATATTCAAACCATTGAGAATTGATGTATTTTATCTCTTAGTAAAAAACTAATTAAGGGTAATTTGAACAGTGCTTGCTTTGTGCATTAACTAACAATATGAAGCAAGTATTTTTTCAATGCCTTAGTGAATTGTCATACTTCTCTGTAAATTTAGATCAGCTTCTAACATTTTAGTCTTTGTTCTTTCTATGCTGTAAAATACCTTTGGGAGTTTCTTTAATGTGGGATGTTTCATTGACATCATTTGCTCCGGAACATCTTCATTACTTTTTTTTTTTTTTGTCACAACCACTTTCCTCATTTATTTCAGTAAGTTTGCAGGTATTAAGTTCCACTGCTTGTATATTTGCAGTCTTTGAAATAACCCCTGTCAACATTTCTATAGTCACTTACTTCTTCAGACATCCATTTATATTTGTTTTGAATTTTACTTCTAGCATTATCATTTTTAGTTTCTTTGTTGAACTTTTATCTTTATTGTCCAATTCCCTCATTCCAAAGATCAAGTTATGTAAAATGGCATGTGGTTTAATCACTGGGAAATAGGGAGGTAACACCTCTACATGTTTGCTGTCAGAATAGGAACTAAATAGCAGATGGGCAGTGACCACTTACGGACAGATCTAAAATAAGTGACACTACCGTTCATTCATTTATCATGATAGGAATCTGTTATTTATGCAGTGATTTGTAGAATAAAGAGCTAATAGTAATTTTTTTTTACTTTATACAATTACTGACAGTTAATAAATTGTGGTAATTGAAGTCTGAACTGTATTTATGGGGACTGGTATTCTCTAAATCATGATATCTGAATTTCATGAATGTTGAAACTGTGCAAAAACAAGCACTGCCTCTACGTATGTGTTAAATTTTGCCTATAGTTAGGTAACAACCAAAATTAGGACTTAAGAATCTCTCCACATTTGATAAACGATTTAGTACTGGCCAGTTACTTCATTTAAAATACATACCTACTGGATACCATGCTAAATGTTTATCAGATTGAGTTAGTTTTCATTTTTCTACTTTAAGATTAGGTATGTAGTCTTCAACATGCTTTTGGTATTATATATGGTATTTGAGATAATACGAAATTGAGATTGTCCAACATGTATTTAAGTAAAAACTCCTCAAACTCAAATTTAATAAATTAAACCATAAAATGATATGCAGAATAAACCACTTACTTTGCAGTTAATTTTATTCACAGCTAGGCCATTAACTATTTTTGAAGTCCATTTTGGTGTTCCTCCACCTTTGAATAGTGATGGAAATATTTTAATACCTTAGATTCCATGAAATCAGTAAAGAGGTGAGTCCTGGAACTGATCAACAAACAACTACATTTGCCTTGTTAAAAATATACTTATGTTTGTTCAATTTTTAGTTCAATGTAAGGCTATTGTCTCTCTTTACTTTTGTAAAAAAGGTGAATGTAAAATCTATATGTTCTATGAACTGTAAAGTGAAAAAATCTTATCAGCAGTTTTCACTCATTCATAGATTTTTTTAAATTGCTGAATAAAACAGCTTTCTAAAACATGTCCTTTTTCGTTATTATTATGCCAAATGGAAAATGAGATTAATTAATTTCATGCCAGAATTATTAATTCAGCAATAATAGCAATTGAGTTAGTAAATACTCAAAACTTTCATCTTGAATGGCAGAAACCTATAAATTCTCCACAAATAAAACCTAAAAGCCTTTTTTTTCAGCGTCCAGTTTAAGAAGAAGCATAAGTTTTCTCTCTTTCATTCCCTTTTTCTTTCTTTCTTTCTTTTTTAATCTAAAGGTGATAAATGAATAAAGCAGAAAGCCTCAGGGCAAAACAGGAAAGTACATTTCTGAATGAATGTTCAAATAAAACTTTTTACTTTTAATTGAAAATCTAAGTCTGTCTGGATGACTCTGTTTTCCAGGTAGGTTTATACAACTTTATGATGATCATGTACGTGGTAGTACTCCAGAGAAGGAGAATTGAGGATTTACCAATAACCAGGAGAAGTCTCTCATTCTGAAATCAAGGAATTATATATTTTACCCTCTTAGTCAGTAATAATCCACAATGAAACATTTTGAATGAAAATTCTACTTCCAGCCAGGCACAATTGCTTACGCCTGTAATCCCAGCACTTTGGGAGGCTGAGGCAGGAGAATTACCTGAGCCCAGGAGTTTGAGATCAGCCCTGGCAACATAGTCTGACCCCCTACTGTAAAAAAATTACAAAATCAGCTGGGTGTGGTGGTGCACGCCCGTAGTCCCTAGCTGCTATGGAGGCTGAGGTTGAGCCTTGGAAGTTGAAGCTGCGGTGAATTGTGATCATGGCACTGCACTCCAGCCTGGGCAACAAAAACTCTGCCTGCCCCCAGTTAAAACAGAAAAGAAAATTCTACTGCATTGAAAGGCAACAAATGTTACACTCCAATTTTTAAAATTAGAATTTGTTGTAAGTTCACTGCATATTACAGTTCAAAATTATTTATAGCATTGGCTTTCAATTCTTTACATGTAGTTCACTTCCTGGTATTTGAATTCTATTAAACAGGATATAATTTTTTTTTCAAGTAATAGAATGCTTTTCTGGCTATGAGGAACAGTACACCTCTCACTAATTTTTTTTTAAATTGAAACTACATAAAAAATAAAAGATATGACCTCTCAATAATATCGAGATGTAATGCTTAAATTTAAGCATATTTAAAAACATATTCCAACCATTTCTACTTTTAATAGGTACCATTCAGCTTCACAGGAGATCACTGTAGAAAGTACATAGTTTATTAAATTTTTAGTCATAACAATCTTTAATTAAAAATAATAAATAAATTGATCAGAAGGTTGTCCCTAATAAGCAAAGTCCTCATTCTTGCAAAGCCTTTTGATTTATATTCTGTTTTCAAATGCTGCAGACAGATTTTGGCACCTATTCATTTTAACCTGCAGCTATTAGATTGGTGCAAAAGTAATTGTGGTTTTTGTCATCAAAAGTAAAATATATTTAACCATTAAAGATGTGCCTTGACTTCAGTCTAGTATTAATAATTTTTAAAGTCTTCACTAGAAATTCAGAAGTTTCCTCAACCTGCTCTCAAGGCATGCTTTGTGTTTCTACAGTAACAAAGTTTGACACTTTCTTCGGCATGGGAGACACTGTAAAATGGGTAAAACTTTTATCTTTCAAACATTGAGTTGGATGAGGTAATAGAGTACAGTCATTAAGTATGTGAACTCTGCAACCCAAATACATGGATCTAAATTCCAGCTCCACCATTTGGTATCTGTGAGATCATGGATAGTTATCTACCCTGTCAACGCTTTGGTCTATTCATCTGTAAAATATAAATAATACAAGTATCCACCACATGTAATTTTTAAAAGGTGATAAGAAAGTGTTCCACACACATGTTCAATATATGCTAGCTATTATTCTTGTGAAACATTTTTCATCTGTGTTTCATTTTAAATCTTTTAGAGAATCCATAGTTTTGGGTTTCTTCATCCTTGACCAATATCGCTCATAAAACAAATACTTGATAACAAATGTGGCTACACTCAGGATTCTAGACCTTACCTATGAAAATGAATACGGTTGGAAAGAACTTTAGTGTTCTATAAGGTACAATATACTATATTTACACAACCTATATGTGACAATTCTTCTAAAAATAGTAGAAGTTATAAAAAATATCTTTACAGTCTCTACAACATGGAGTCTCAGGAAAGAGTGCTCTTATTTCAGATAGTCACTTCGTGTTAAAAATTCTAAGTTCCCTGCTTGTAAGAACATAAAATGAACTGTTTTAATAAAAAATATTGTGGCCAGGCACAGTGGCTCACACCCATAATCCCAACACTTTGGGAGGCTGGAGGCAGGCGGATCACAAGATCGGGAGTTTGAGACCAGCCTGGCCAATATGGTGAAACCCCGTCTCTAATAAAAATACAAAAAAATTAGCCAAGCGTGGTGGCACGCGCCTGTAGCCCCAGCTACTTGGGAGGCTGAGGCAGGAGAATTGCTTGAACCCAGGAAGCGGAGGTTGCAGTGAGCAGAAATCATGCCAATGCACTCCAGCCTGGGGGACAGAGTAAGACCCCACCTCAAAAAAAAAAAAAAAAAAAAAAAAGAGAGAGAGAGAGAGAGAAACAGGAAGATCACCATTTCTCCCTTATATAGAAAGCAGTTCTCTCAAGTAGAATTCTAAAAGGTAATGTGTTGAATGAGTGACCAAAAAGAAAAAAAAAATCAGAATGAGGCACAATCACTTGAAGTAACAATCAGTTTTTCCTTTCCATAAATCTCGGCTGTGAAGGCATGTATCATAGTTTTCCATTCCATTATGTTGAGCATATAAAAACTGACCCTTATTCTTCTCAAATTTATATTGGCTGAATGAGGGCACCTGCCAGCTAAAGATAAAACAATGCATGATTTAAAGATAAAATGCAATTATTTAAAGGTAACACAGAGCATTTTAAACGTAGACAAAATGTTATTTTGACTACACTTTTTATTTTTTTAATTTAATTTTATTTATTTATTATTATTATTTTTTGAGATGGAGTCTTGCTTTCTCACCCAGGCTTGAGGGCAGTGGCGCAATCTTGGCTCACTGCAAGCTCTGCCTCCTGGGTTCACACCATTTTCCTGCCTCAGCCTCCTGAGTAGCTGGGACTACAGGCATCCGCCATCATGCCCGGCTAATTTTTTTTTTTTTTTTATTTTTAGTAGAGACCAGGTTTCACCGTGTTAGCCAGGATGGTCTTGATCTCCTGACCTCGTGCTGGGATTATAGGTGTGAGCCACCACACCCGGCCTTGATTTCTTCTTTGACCTATAGATTGTTCAAGAGTGTGCTGTTTAATTTCCACATATTTTTAAATTTTCTAATTTTCCTTCAGCTACTCATTTGTAGTTTTATGCCATTATGGTCAGAAACAATGCTTGATATAATCAGTCTTCTTAAACTTGTTAAAATCTTTTTTTGGCCAAACATATCATCTTTCTTGAAGAATGTTTTGTATACACTTGAGAAGAATGTGTATTATGCTACTATTGAATGGCATGTTCTATACACGTCTGTTAGGTCCATTTGTTCTAAAGTGTAATCCAAAGTCAGGCACAGTGACATGCATCTGTGGTCCCAGCTACTTGGGGGCTGAAGTGGGAGGATCACTTGGGCCCAGAAGTTTGAGTCCAGCCTGGGCAATATAGTGTGACCCCCTTCTTTAAAAATAAATAAATAAATACAAATTTTAAAAAGGTTAAGTCCAGTCTGATGTGTTCTTATTGATTTTCTGATTGAATATTCTGTCTAGTGCTGAAAGAGGGGTATTGAATTCTCGTATTATTATTGTATTACAGTCTATCTCTCCCTTCAGATCTGTTACCATTTGTTTTATATATCTAAGTGCTCTGATGTTGAGTCCATATATATTTACAACTCTTATATCCTCTTGATGAATTGACCCTTTATCATTATATAATGCCCCTCTTTGTTTCTTGTTTCAGATTTTAACTGAAAGTCTATTTTGTCTCATATAAGTAGTGCTACCCTTGCTCTCTTTTGATTGACATTTGCATAGATTTTTTTCCTAAAACCTTTACTTTAAGTCTATATATGTCTTTAAAGCTGATATTGGGCTCTTGTAGACAGCATACAGTTTGGTCTTGTTTTTTATTTACTCCATTCAGCCACTTTACATCTTTTCATTGAAGAATTCAATTCATTTACATTTAAAGTAATTGTTGATAGGTAAGAACTTCCTATTGCCAGTTTGTGAAATATTTTGGGGCTGTTTATAGATTCTTTGTTCTCTTTTTTCTCTCTTGCTGTCTTCCTTTGTGATTTGATGATTTTCTGTAGTGATATGTTTTGATTCCTTTCTCTGTATCTTTTGCATATCTAATATAGATTTTTGTTTTGTGGTTACCATGAGGCTTGCAAATAAAAATTTTGACAGTCTATTTTAAGCCAACAACAACTTAACTTTGATAGCATATAAAAACTCTATACTTTTATTCCATGCCCCCCACATTTTGTTTTTATGTCATGATTTATACCTTTTTATTTTATGTATCTATTATCAAATTATTTTAGTTATTTTTAATACTTTCATCTTTTAACCTATATACTAGAGTTATAAGTGATTTACACACAATCATTGAAGTATTAAAATATTCTGAATTTGACTACATACTTTTATCAGTGAGTTTTATACTTTCATTTATTTTCACTTTACTAATTAGTGATCTTTCATTTCAGCTCGAAGAACATCTTTAGTATTTTTTCTGAGGCAGGTCTAGTATGATAAGCCCCATTAGCATTTGTTTACCTGAGAAAGTCTAATTTTCTGTTATTTCTGAAGGATAGCTTTCTGAGTTCAGTATTCTTGGTTGGTGGGTTTTTTCTTCAGCACTTTGTATATACCATCCCATTCTCTCCTAGCCTTCAAATTTCTGGTGATAAATTTTCTGATAGTGTTATTGAGCTGGAAATTACCTGGCCCTATCTGTACTTACTAAATGGGAAACTCTAACTTGTCTGATGTTTTTATGCACAGTAAGATGTTTTGCTCCACAGTTAAATAACATTTTAAAGAATTGTTGTGTATAAAAATAAAGAATATCTGAAGTCTCAAGTGTCATAAAGTGATATCAACCAAGAAATTAGACTCCTCCATTTATTTTCCTTATAATAGCTAATATTTATAGAGAAGTTAGCATGCTCCAGTTGGCAAATAGCAAGATCACATCAGAAAATGAATACTACTCACCAAAATTCAAAAAATATAGAAAAGAGAGATGTATTAAAACATTTCTCTGTATTTGTTAACCCTTCTCTGAAGTTGTAAATATTAATGGTTTAAAACAGTTTTTAAAGGGCTCTGGCTTAAGAGTAAAAAGACCAGAAAGCTGCTTATTAACATATACATCATAACATTTTTTTCAGAAAACCATTAAATCTATAGATTTCAATATCTTTTTAAAGGACAATAAATATATAATATAAACCCCCAGTAGAAGGAATAATAGATAGCTTTTACACATTTCTAAGATCACATCCATCAACTTACCTATATCTCTGCTACTATGGACAAAATGTCCATATTTCTATGGATCACATTTACTCTCCCCTTGTCTACTCAAATTTCCCCTTTCTTTGCTACATCATCAACTCTTCCATCCATGCTAGGTCTTTTTAATAATAAAAAAAATCTGCCATAATAGATGCCATATTTAAAATATATATTGGTGCCCACATTCTGCTCCAGTTAATGCTCCATTTATTTGCACTTTTACACAATAAAACTCCTTAAGAATACTGCCTCCACTTACTCCCCTTCACTGACCTTTTAACCTACTATAAATAGACCTTCTTTTTCAAAACTTGAATAAACAGGTATTGCCAGGGCCAACAGTGACCTATTCATTGCTAAATCCAGTGGTCTTAGACAGTTAATGACTTACTACATTGTACTTTTTTTTTTTTCTCTTAGCTTTCAAGATATCAATCTCTCTAGATTCTCGTACATCCATTGCTGCTACTTCCTTTGTGTGTGTTTTTTTTTCTTTTTCGTCTAACTTATAAATATTGGAATGCCCCAAATCTTTGGCCTAAGGCATCTTCCTTTTTTAATTCAGAATTACTACCTGGAAGATCTCACCCAGTCTTGTAGTTGCAAATATTGTTTATACATTTAAGTTTCCTCATTTCATATCTTAAGCTCTGACTATTCCTCTAAATTCCAGATTTTAATACACAACTAGTTAGTCAATATTTACTCTTGGATATTTAATACTCATCTCAAATTTAATATTAATAAAACTAATCTCTTCATTCCTTAACTCTCTCAACATTTTCTCTTCCTCATTCTCCCTTTCTCATTTAGATTCTTCTGTTTCCTGTTTCTTTCATATGCCACACCCACTCTATCAGTAAATTATCTTGTCTTGAGTATAGACCTAGAATTTTAATACCTTCAGAATATCTACTGCTACAAGCAAACTTCAGACAATAAATACCTCTTGCTTGGATTATTTCAATGGTTTATAACTTGTATCACTATTTTTGTCTTCACCTCCCAATCTGCCCCCATAATGGTCCTTTCAGAATGTTAAAAAATAATAATAATAATAAAAAGACACTCATATAAAAACACTTTAATAAATTCCCTTCTATCTCTGAGTAAATGCAAAAATCCAAACAGTGCCTTATAAGACTCTCCATGTTCTAGCCTCCCCAGCTACCTCCTGAATACTCGTGTGTTGTCACTCCCTTCTCTCTCATACTCCATTTCATCACACACTCCAAGAACACTCGGGGTGATCAAACATTCCAGCAAAGTTTCAGCTAACTTATTTGTAGCGTCTCTTCCCTTTGCCTGAAATGCTAACCTGCAGATAAGCTTTCTACTCAGTTTCTCATGCCTTTCAGATCTCTGCTCAAATATTCTGTTTGCAATGTACCTCCCCACTCCAAACTTGCTCCTTCCTCTTCCCATTTTATTGCATTTATCAGAATTTTGTTATTGCCTTATTTGTTTGTCTGTTGAATGTTTCCATCCTAATGAAATAAAATTCACTGGAGAAAAGGAGTATCTTCACTGCTGTATGTAATCTTAGAACCTACAAGTGTTTCTGGCACTTAGGAGGCATTTTACACGTACCTGCTGAATGACTGAAAAAAAAAAAAAAACAAAACTCCAGGTTTACTTTCTCCTCAAAACTTTTCCCATTATATGTTGTCTAATACATTTTAGCCAAAAACCTCAACTTTTCTGTAAAGATTATACACCTACATTCTTCTAATTCTTCTCCTTTTGAGATTGATAACTGTTCATTGTAGGTAAGATTTTACATGTAATCACTAAACGGACATTTTCAAATTTAGTTTTAAAATAAAATAACAGTAAAAAAGTTGATTGGAAACTGCAATTGTTATGAAACTGTCATATTTTAAATTTAAATTAAATTTATTTTTAAACTAACACAATTAGAATGTAATGTAGCTTAGCTGAGCCACTTTTAAACATGATGCTGTGTTGGAGAATGTGTTCTTCCTAGAATAAGCTGAGGAATTCACAAGTCTAAACCATAATTTTGATTTGGTTACTCTTCTGTTTAAAATTTTTGTTGGCTCCCCACTGAGTACAGTGTAAAATGTAAGTTCCTATATTGATATTTATGGTTTTCTTTAAATTGGAGAGTCAAATTACAGGCTGCTATGTAAGTCCAACTCCGCTATGGCCTCATAACCCAAACTCCTGCCACAGTCCCATTACCCCAACACATTATGATATTTCATATCTTACTGTGGCTTTGCTCATACAATAGTATCAGGTACAGTAAGAAGTGGATAGGTTTTGGAGTCACATGTATGAGTTTGTATCAATGTCAAGGTGCTCTGAATTTCCCAAGTAAACCTCACAGAAGTATTTTAACATATTAGCTGTGTGGTCTTGGGAAAGAACATCACTTGTCCAGTTTCCTCAACTGTAATAATATGATATTTATTCTATCAACCTGTCACTATTATGAAGAATAGATGGTATCTTTAAAAACGCCTGAAACATGTAGATGCTCAGTATATGTTTTTTCTATTTCTTTCTTCCATCCCAAATTACCCAAATCCACTGCCTCAGTCTATACCACAGCTTTTTTTCTATCATACCACTTAAAATTTATGTTTTAACCAGCCAAACCTTTTTTTGGAAGTTTCTTCTCTACATTACTTCTATATTATTATAGCTATTACCAAGGCATGCACTATATTACTGTTTCTGAGTTTTAAACATGTGATTTGAAATTTCAAATATTTATAATGATAATGAATTGGAAAGAATAAGATATTCTCCCATGAGCCTGGTCTATCAAAACACGTATTTAGATGAAATCTTTCAGTGCATGAGCTTGGTAAACCATAAATCATTGATTAATTTTCTGGCTAACATTACTAAAAATAATCTGGGGTATAGCAATGAGATGTTAATAACTTTAGTGCAATTAAGCTGTTGATATTCACAAAAACATTAAACAGCTTGTATACTTTTTTTTATTTAAACAGTTTTTAAATAGCATAACCCTACTCAAAAGAATGGTGCCTTTTCTTCAAAACTGAGTTGCATATCTTATATTGCAAAACAACTTTTATATCAGCCGATCTATAGAAGTAACTTATAATTCAAAACTAAGTGAGAGCATTATGTTAAATTACAACAAGATTTCCTCTGAAGAAGTGGAAATCAACAATGTGGAGAAAGTTAGCTTTGATTAGGTAAAAGTTTCTTCTCAATGATGTTATTTCTTTCACAATATCCCAAATTGCAAATTTTCTTTCAGCTTATAAATTGTACTTTTAGTCTTTGTTGAGATATATTACCCATTAAATACTTCCCTTCAAGTTACTGAGTAACTATTTCTTTTAAACACAATATATCAAATAATTGCTGTTTTTTATTTATTTTTTCTAAGTATTATACTTTTTTGTATCAATTGAATTTGCAATCAGTACAATTCATTCAGGAGAAAAATAGCCTCAGGTTCGAAAAATAGACCAATTTAAAGAAAATTCATTTTGACATTTAAACCTCAAGTAAAAAAATCAAACTTTGCCAATAGTATTGAATTAGAAACGTGATATTTTTATTAAAAAGGTAATGTTGGCAGGCTACAAGCAACCGTAAATCAGATAAAATTTGTGTTCTTTCTCATTTTACCTTTATTTCCTACTATTTTATTTCCATTATTTTAAATACATATTTTGCAATTTGTCTGTATGTTACATCGTCAAGACAAATTTTGAAACCACCATTGCAAAACTGTCATTGAGACAGTGACAGAGATCTGACCTAACCAACTCCATCTTGCTTCTAACTTCCAAACTGTCCTTGTTCATGTCCTGGTTGTAGGCGGATTTAGCTTTGGGAGGAACTTAGTGTATAGTTTATAGTTTAAAACAAAGATGATAACAGCCCTTTACCAAAACAAACCTCCTTCTCCCTGGGGACTAGGCTGCCTTTGTAGGACTAACAAAGTTAGTTACAAGACTAGAAATTATGGCTTAGGAGTTATGCAGCTAGAGGCTACAAGATTCTGACCTTCGCTAAACTGCTCCTAAGATCAGTGCTTGAGATGTTTTACAAACCCTGCACTTGATGGATCAGCTTGTTACAGGAAACATGCCCCCATCCAGACCCCGAGAGAGATGCAAAATTAAGTTTATTAAGGAAGTAAAGTAGTGAAAGGACCGTAACTCCATAGACAGAGTACGACTTTCCAGAAAGTAAGAAAAGGAATGTGTCCAGCCCAGGTACACTACTCCTATATATGAGGAGATGTGCTCTGCTATAAAGGTTTGTGATAAAGGATTAATTTTCTTAATGACTGTGTTTTGCAAGAATCGATACTATTATCTTTAAAGCAAAATAAGGAATGCCTTTGTTCTCCAGATATCGGGATATCTGGACACTCCCAAGTCTGGGTCCATTTAGTAAATATTATTAATTTGTCTCCTTATCTGTAAACATCTAGAGGCTATGAATGCCTAATTTTCTGAGAATGCAGCCCAGCAAGTCTCAGACTCATTTTCCTAGCCCTTATTCAAAATGGAGTTGCTCTGGTTCTAAGGCCTCTGACAAGCTGGCACCACTCAGATCGATAAGCTGGCTCATCTGGTCTTGTGGCCTCCACCCAGGAACTGACCCAGCATAAGAAGACAGCTTTGATTCCCTCTGATTTCATCTCTGACCTAACCAATCAGCACTCCTGGCTAGCTGGCTTCCCCCTAGCCACCAAGTTGTGTTTATGTTCTCACTCATAAGTGGGAGTTGAACAATGAGAACACATGGACACAGGGAGGAGAACATCACACACCGGGGCCTGTCAGGGGCTGGGGGGCTAGAGGAGGGATAGCATTAGGAGAAATACCTAATATAGATGATGGGTTGATGGGTGCAGCAAACCACCACCTATGTAACAAACTTGCACGTTCTGCACATGTATCCCAGAACTTAAAGTAAAATAAAAAATAAAAAATAAAAAAATTAACAAAATAAACTCTGATCCTCAAATTATGGGGAGACTGATTTGAATAATAATAAAACTCTGGAATCCCGCACAACTGGCTCTGTATGAATTACTCTTTCTCTAGTGCAATTCCCATGTCTTAATAAATTGGCTCTGTCTAGGTAGTAGGCAAGGTGAACCCACTGGGCAATTACAATTTCAACTATGCCTCAGGTCTGAAAGAAACATTGTTTTGAATACACTGAAAATTCTGAGAATATGTTATTAATTTTATTTTTATTACAATGGTTCTGCCAAAATTCTTTTTTTCTAAAAGTGTCAATTTTCTTGAGAACTTTTCATATATTTGAAAACACTATTAAACATATTGTTATAAAAAAGAAGTCCTTTGGGAATGTTAGAAAAATGTTAAAATGATTAATAAAATTAATAAATCAACATCTTTAGTGTCGGGTCTATATTTTCAAGATTAAAAGCCATTTAAATCCACACACACAAACAAATATATGTGAATTTATGGATATACACTGTATATACTGTATATGTATACTGTACATGTATACTGTAAATATATATATACTGCATATATGTATATATACACACTTAATATACATAGTGTATATGCATAGACTTTTATATGATGTATGAATGTATATCCATATATCCTAGAATGAGTCCAAATGTTTAAACAACTTTAAAACAAAGAGCACCATTTTTAAAATCAAATTTAATAGGAGAGGAAATAGCATTAGTTTGTAGGTAAAGATACTTGGTCATAAAAAGACCTGTTCATACTAGGTATATAAACACTTTTCTCCACCAATAGTTTTGTTTTGTTTTTACAATGGGAAACTCCCTCAAAACCATATTGAGTTTTCAAAAAGCCCTGCTTTAAAAGAATGATGTTATCTGCCTTCTTAAAAGACGTTGAAGAAATCTTTTCTGAAGGACATAGCTGGTCAGGAAAATATACTTCTGTCTAACAGCCTCTGAACTTCTCTCTATTTCTCATTCCCTTATTAACAGTAATCACTTACCAGAGTGCTTTTCCTGTCTTTTCAATTAGAGCTGCACTCACAGGAGGAACTTCTAAATTAAGACTTTGGAAACCAAGAAGACATTGAACAGATCCATCCCAGGACTCCTGAGGGGGCATTTCACCTGGTAACTACTTCATATAACAATATTTTCCTTCCCAGGGATCTCCATGTTCTGAGAGTAATTTATAGTGACTAGATCCTATATGCTTTGGTTTTAAATTCAGAACTAAATTCTATGGAACCAGTGAATGTAATTATTCCATGATGCATATAACTAGATAAACACAATCTATAAATATAGATAAATATTTATCCTGCATATTCCCACAAAATGGTCAAATTTGTTTGGTTTATTTCATATATATTTCAAAACTGACCACTGTGAACATATAATCACTGCTACGGATAGTTCCCACCGCGTCTTACTGGGGTCTAATTAAGGACAGTTGATCAGAATGGAGTACCTTCAAGTTTCCAAAATGTTCTGGAAACTGCATATCCTAATAAAAATCCAGTCAACTCTTCTTCAAAAGACTTTTTACTTATGGAAAGGATTTCACAGCATGACTCCGAACCTATTCAATATTTCTTTTAGCATAGATAAATTTCTTATTTATTTATCTATGAAGAGCACTGTTTCATCTTGGATGGGATTTTTCATTAAAAAGTCTTTCCTTGAAATGAAGAGACGCAAATATTATTTGAATTAATTGACTTAATTATTGATTATTTTCTGTAATTAAAGTAATTGTTTACATAGATATCTATGCTGGTCTATCCATCTAAAAGAAATATATTCTTTTACTTGATTGTTATCCATTGAGAGAAACTAGTATTTCTAAAGAAAAATATAGCTTGATGAAATGAGAAGGGATCACCTGACATTCTAATCTTCTATGTAATTAAATAATACATTATTTGGAACATAAATAGGAAATAAAAGGTTACCAGAAAACAATGTGATAGTGAGTCTTTTCCCTAAATCTTTGGTTTATATAAAATCATTGACAGAACAGAGTAGAATTTGTGCAAATGATAAATTGTTGAGAGACTTATTAAATAAACAAAGAATCTGCCTGCATTACTATCAACAGATAATAACAGAGTAACAAATACCCCAAAACATAGAGGTTTAAAGCAACAAGCATTTGCTATCTCAGTCTCTGTGGATCTGGGATTAGGCTTCAGCTGGGTGCTTTTGGCTCACACTTTTCGCAATGCCATATCCAAGTTGTTGGCCAGGGCCACAGTCATTTTAAGGCCTACCTGTAAGTCCTAGACATATCCACTCTAGAGCTCACTCACGTGTCTATTGGCAGGCCCCAGGTCCTCAATGGTTATTGCCTAGAAACATTAGTTCCTTGCCATGTGGCTCTTTCCATGAGGAAGCTCATGACATGGCAGCTGACTTTTCACAGAGCAAGTGAGTCAGAGAATGACAGAAGTCAGCCCAAGAGTTTTTTTTTAAAAAAAAGGCAACAGTATTTTTGTAGCTTAATTACAAAAGTGGCATCACGTTAATGTCCGGTTTTATTATTCAGAAGCCAACCATCGAGTAAAGCCCACACTCAACAGAAGTCATTGATATTAGAGGTGGGAATCATTGGGGACCATCCTAGAGGCTTTTAAGAAAAGTAAAGGTGCATAATGACCATCAAATAAGTGTTAAAAGGGTATAACTATTCAAATTTAACATTCCTAGAAACATTACTAGCTGTATTAGGTAATATAGGCACATGGATATTGATATATTTAGCTATATCTTTTTCATCATCCAATCAAGAAAATGTAATGCATAGATATGGAAAATGTGCTATCATTGTTAATTGCTAAATATTAGTCATTTAGTACCAAAGCTGAACATAAAAGAATGACTATATTGACTTTCTCAAAATCTAATACGAACTATCTGTTTTAGAGAAACGACATGAAAGAGTGTTGATTTCTTGAATTCTAAGCCCATGTATTATTTTCTTATATAGGAACCTGTTGTTTGGAGGAAATAAAAATAGTGTGTTTTATTCTCTTTTTGTACTTGAAATTCAGTTAGGGGCACTTGATCTTCTTGTGAAATATTTTTTAGTCATACTTAAAAACTTACTTAGCTACAACATAATGTGAGTGGCATTAGAGTCGGACATGTTCTTTGTATTTTTAAAATCCCATGAAGAGACACACACACACACACACACACACACACACACACACACACGCACACACACACACAGGAATGCTGAGAGTGCATGGTATTGATAGCTGAGATGATCTTCAATACAACGGTTCCCCCAAGAAAATCATAAAAGACAATAAAGGAAATGAGAAAAAAAAAACAAAACCTAGCTATGCTTTCTTATTATCTATAAGCTAGAGAATTGAAAGAAAGTGCTGTTGGCCGGGCACGGTGGCTCACACCTGTAATCCCAGCACTTTGAGAGGCCAAGGCAGGAGGATCACCTGAGATCAGGAGTTCGAGACCAGCCTGACCAACATGGTGAAACCCTGTCTCTACTAAAAATACAAAAATTAGCTTGGAGTGGTGACACATGCCTGTAATCCCAGCTACTCAGGAGGCTGAGGCAGGTGAATCACTTGAACCCAGGAGGCAGAGGTTGCAGTAAGCCGAGATTGTGCCATTGCACTCCAGCCTGGGCAACAGAGTAAGACTCGGTCTCAAAAAAAAAAACAAAAAAAGAAAGAAAGTGCTGTTACTGATATTCCTTGTTCAAGTGGGGAAGGAGAATGTAGACATTTGACGAACTAAAAGGATGTCTTCTCAAACATTTATGTTTGAAAATTAAATAAAAATGTCCCTGGATGACTAATAAAATACAACATTCATAAAATTAACACTAAAATCAGTAATTTAAAAAGTTGAACAAATTTATAAACTTTCACTTTGTTTCTGGTTATTTTAAATTCAATAATTAAAATGAGGGCTAACTTGGAGGTGGAGTTTGCAGTGAGCTGAGATCCCACCACTGCACTTCAGCCTGGGTGACAGAGCAATACTCTGTCGAAAAAAATTTAAAAATAAAAATAAATAAATAATGGCTACCATGAAATCATTGGGCTTTTTAGGAACCTGGAACATTCATATTAGAAGGGATTTTCGTTTTTAAACACCCTCTAATCTCTGCCAAATCAATGAAATTGTTTAAAATAATATAAAACTGCTCTCTCTTTCAGGAAGATAGAAACATTAGGAACATCCTTAAGAAAGGAGTAAGTTTTTGATCATCATTAGAATAATCAGGGGTTCTGGAAAAGAGAATGATATGATAAGGTACATTTTTTTATCCATAAGAAACACTAATAGCTTTACAGAGGGAAAGTTAAGATAGGTACACAAAGGAATCTAAGGGCTTGGGTTGAAATAGTCCGTGAAATTAGAAACGTGGCACGAACAATGTGAGAGAGATTATGTAAAAGGCAGAGGGATCAGTGATTGCAGAGGGACCAAAAGAAAAAAGTATGCTTCTCTAATGTTAGTTTACTGTCAGGGAGCATAGCTTTGTTCCCATCAAGTAGGGAACTGTCATAAAAGACAGTGATATACAGTATGTGGTAAATTAATGATGACCTCTCAATACATACAGTTGTTTTGTGCCGAGTAGGGAAATTGTTGCATGCGAGGAGCCTAAGAAGAACATTTTCCAAAAAGGGAAAATCTCACAAAAGTCAAATGAGATCGATAGCTAAACTTTATTAAACACTTGATACTTTCCAGCCACACTACAGAACCCTGGTAAGTAAGGAATATTATTCTGCATATTTTACAGATAAAGAAACAGAGAGACAGAGAACTTAAATACCTTGCCTAAAGCAAAAAATAAAAAATAGCCGGAGAGGCCAAGATGTAAAAGCTGGTAGTTGACCTTCAGAGAATGCTGCACTTCAAGGCAGTGACCTCTTCTGCCTCTCAGGTGGATAACTGCCTTTTTAATGTATTAAACATTTAACTGTACTCCAAAAATGTGGGTTTCTTGAAACCATGCCTCCTAGGGTAAGTGCAAAAATCTTCCCAATTTATCAAATGCTAAGGTGATATATGAACATGACCAATGATAAAGGAAGTTATTTCAACTGCTATTTAAGAAATACTAATCGTTCTGAAACTAAAACTATGTCTTGTCCACCCATCAAAACCCTTAGTTTAATTGCTGCCTCTTCCTTCTATTTAGATTTTCCAGTGGTACGTTGGAGTTACCTTGTATTGGCCTATCAGAACCAATTATTATATTTTCAGGAATTTTTGAGCTAGTTGTTTAAGGTTAATATTATTTGAAATTAAATCATATTAATGTACAATTAAATAATTCACACTAAAAACAAGTTAATATACTCGCAATATATTACTGCCTACGTTTTACCATTTATCCTCATGAAGTGATTTACATCCATCGTATCCTCTATTGCAGCGATCACCAACCTTTTTGGCGCTGGGGACCAATTTTTTGGAACACAATTTTTCCACGGACCAGGGAGCTGGGCGGATGGTTTCGGGATGAAACCGTTTCACCTCCGATCATCAGGCATTCGAGTTTCATAAGAGGTGCGCTACCTAGATTCCTCGCATGTGCAGTTCATAATAGGGTTCAGGCTTCTGTGAGAATCTAATGGTGGAGGCTCATCTGAAGGGAGGCGGGGCTCAGGCTGTAATGCTGCCGCCCAGTCCGCAGCCTTGAAGATGGGGACCCCTGCTCTGTTGGATGTGCTACTCTACATCTCCTCCCAACTCCTTATTCAATGACACCATATTAGTAGCTAGAAGTGGAAGTATTTACACCACAAACATTAACAAGTGGTACTTTTTTTATCTCTGAGATGTCTCCTTGTTAAACATTTTCCAGCGGACTACAGCCAGAAGTCATTTAAGGCACTTTTTATCTATCCTCTTTCTGTCTATCTACCTACCTGTCTATTTAATCTATCTGTCTATCTATCTATCTATCTATCTACCTATCATCTATCTATCTATCATCTATCTTTCATTTCATTTTTCTTTTTGTTTTGCCTCCGGAATTTTTGAAGTATGATTGACAAATAAAAAATACACATTTAAGGTGTATGTATATATCACTGTTAAAATACAAGTTACTCCTAATATCTGCACTGATTTCAAAGCATCTATTTTAAAAGTGACAGCAATTCAGCCAAAGAACAGAGAGATACTGTTAACGGCAGCATGCGGGAAGCAAGTCCAAAGATCATTATTATGTCAGGACCTTGTTTCAATAGGAGAGAGGAGAGAAATGTGAGAAAAACGCAGAGTATGTAGGTTTTACATATCCATTTGATTAGATGCTGCTTAAGGAAATGGAAGGTCTGAATTCACATTGTCTCTAAACCTACTTCCTTTCAGCTTAAATCCTTTAATTTTCAATGTTATTGCCCAAAGTTAAACTGCATTTGTAAAACATATGACTTGGAAAAAGATTAAACTTTACTTTTGTGCAATCAGTTCTGCCATCAAAGGGGGTAGAAATTAAGACTCTGAAGAGTAATCATTTCAAATAGCGCCAATAACTACGTAAAATAATCAACAGTGTCTATTCCCCACATTACAGCTTCAAGTAAAATTATTTTTTAAATTTTATAATGTGATTCTTTTTGAGCCTCCAGGTGCATCTACCCAATTTAACATTCTTGCAAATGTAGCTTTCCTCTACATGAAATTATTTTGATTTGATGGCATATTACTTATTCTGGGGAGAAAATCCTCAGGCTACATGAGGTATAGGCTACATTCTAATCACATAAGCATATGAAACTCTTTTGTGAATGTGGGGAACTTCATTGACTATAAAAAAGGATGCATACGGTATTGTGTCATTAATTATACTTATTTATCTCCCCAATTCAATTGTTCACGCCTTGCTTTTTGCCTTTTGATACAGGAAGATTTCCAGCCATGCTTATGCAAGTGTTCCAAGCAGAATTAAACAAAACTTTACTTTTACATATTATAAAAGATAATAAAGAGATTAAGAAAAAAACTTAGTCATGCTTTCATATCAAATTGTTAGTAATTCAGGCTCCTGCTACTAGGACTCCTGACTTCCAGTCAGTCGTATTTTTCTTTGTAATAAGTATAGTCAGCACTGAGTGAACAGCAAGGAAGCGCATTTACCCTGAAAATGACAAAAGCAAGTGAATAAAACTAAATGCCTAG
This sequence comes from Homo sapiens, assembly GCF_000001405.40. NCBI lineage: Eukaryota > Metazoa > Chordata > Mammalia > Primates > Hominidae > Homo > Homo sapiens. Next base: position 40,998,529 of record NC_000002.12, read on the forward strand.
GACAGGACAAAGAAAAATTTTCTAAGTCTTATAAGATCTTGGGTTTATATAGCTTAATATATCTCTATAATTTTAATTTTTTCTTTGCATGAGTCATTTTTGGATAGGAAACCCATTTAAACATTCTGTTAAGTAAAAACCCTCTTAAAACCCTTTGCATTAAAAATCTGTTCACGGAAAACATTCTGAATACAATTTCTAGTACAATGTAGCTTAAAAGAGTACACAAAGCTTTCCTTCAGAAATTAAAGTTGTTTTCCAGGTTATAATCCACTATGTTTAAGTTTCATAAGTCAACATCCCAGCCCAAACTCTCTTTTTCCCACCATCCCTTACTTTGCCTTCCACACTTCCACACACAAAACATGTACCCAATAGCTAAGGCCTCTTTCATTTTTCTGCTTTAAAATCTTTAAATGCTTGGCAAAGGTATGTTAATTTGTAATACAGCTCAGTGTGAATAAAGTACAGATTTTCTTCTTAGAAGAAGCATTTTTCAGAAGTGATGGGGAGCACTGAGCCACTACACAAAGATAAAGTGGTTCCGAAGGGGAAATTGAGCGGTAATGAAGCTAAATCCCTCACTTTCCAGTTTTGAGTAGGATCAGGAGACCAAGAGTGACTTTAAGCTATTCCTTCTAAAGATCCCAATTTATTTTAGAATTACTGCAGTTCTTTGAAGAGTGATTCATGTTTTGAGTGCCCACTATGTGCCAATCTTGTTCTTCATATTAATTGATTTAATTATCACGTATTTAAGATATGTGTTGTAGTTAAACTACAAATATGAGCAAAATGGAGGCCCTAAGAGGTTCAATAATTTATATTCAGTTATTCTGCTAGGAAGAGACAATATTGAGATTCAAAACTAAGTACATCTGTTTCAAAAATGTTTGGCAGCCAGGTGCGGTGGCTCACGCTTATAATCCCAGCACTTTGAGAGGCTGAAATGGGCAGATCATTTGAGGTCAGAAGTTCAACACCAGCCTGGCCAACATGGTGAAACCCCCATCTCTACTAAAAGTACAAAAATTAGCTGGGTGTCATGATGCATGCCTGTAATCACAGCTATTCAGGAGGCTGAGGCACAAGAATCGCTTGAAACCGAGAGGCGGAGGTTGCAGAGAGACGAGATTGTGCCACTGCACTCCAGACTGGGCAACAGAGAGAGACTCTGTCTCAAAAAAAAAAAAAAAAATTGCTCTTTACACGTTATTTGCAATTGTTCATTCAGGTGGCATCAGTAGGATTTATATTCAGTCAAGAACAAAAGATGAATTTCTCTATCACTTTTGATACATTCTAGCAATAAGCTTAAAGAACACACTATAGAATTGATTTTCTGAGACCTTCACAGAATTGTGCTGAAGTAGTATGTCTGGATTTTCTATGGGCTAAATAGGTTTGAAGCCATATTAATACCCTTCTTTTGGTTTAGGCATTTGTTCCTTCTCTGTGTCAGTAATATCACATGAATGTGGTTCATTGGACACGAAGCCAACACCCTGTGGATCATTCCTTCCTCATGTTGAGGCAATCATTCACACCACAGAACTTGTGACAGCAATTATCTCTTATCCTGAAAAGCCCACTACATGATGCTTGAATTATGTGTGGATCACATGGGGTATATTAATAAACTGATAATTACTAGAGATTCATGGCATTATTCATATAGATATGACTTCTCAAATCCAAGTAGCATTAGCCACTTCATAAATTGAATCATATGTATTAAAAGATTTAAAAAGCATTTCCATATACATGTTATCCATAAATGGCATTTGCTGAAAGCAATTTAGTAATTTTTATTCCATTTTATTAATTTTAAGATTATAGGAAGTGTAGATATTTTAAGAACTGTGATAAGTTGGTGTTCCTGTTACTGCCACGAGTGCTTCTTATCAATGATCTGTTAGAAATTCCACTTGGCCTTTAAAAAATCTGAGCATTTGTAAAAACAAAAAGCACAGTAAACCACAGGTGAGCTGAATGCAATTTAACAGTGTGTGTTCAGCTTTTATGTTCTTTGCAAGCTAGAATTGATTTCAGTAATTATACCAATTTTCCAGGATCCCTGGCCTGTGGGCTCTTTCTGCTTCTACAACTGGCTTTTTTTTTTTTTTTTTTTTTTTTGTATTCTTAGAACCCTGGCTATAAAATGTCAATAATCTGCCCCCTGCTTCAAAGTGATGTTGCCTGGATACAGAGGTATATGCTCATAAGCATCATATATTTCTCTAGGTCATTTTTGAGATAAAAATCAAAGTTCACATCTGCATCTCAAATATCCCATCAGAAAGATGCTTGCTTTTGGGAATGAGCATCATTCAGACCCTTTTTTAATCGATTACCTGATCAAATGTATTTTTTTTAATTAAAATCAGAAAATTATAATGCCTCACATTAATGAAGTAATTTTTCAGGGGAACCAACTACTTCCAAATTCACTGCTTCATTCATCACGTACTGCACAAAGACCTTCAATCATCTCTCATCTGAGAAGCATGCCTCTTTCCTCCGTGCTTTGCTGTTTTTAATTGCCCATTCAGCCTTCTTGTGTTTGGTGCCAACCCTATCAATCATTCTTACAACTACCTTTGTGTAGGTTGGGCAGCAGTTACATATTGTGTTTGATTGCTTTGTTTTTGTTCTCTTTTGTAAGTTATCTGGTCTCCAAAGTTACAGTCAAAATTTATTTATGAGAATAGCTGAGAGTTTTAAAATGTAAGTTTTATTATTATTTAGGTATAGCAAGGCCAACATATGAGGAGATAGTCGAAATTGTGAAATGACAGTTTGTTATACTCACAGACTTCAAGAGAAGGGGATACACCATGCTACAGGCAAGTCAGATGGGAAATACTAGGGTCAGGAAGGAGGCAGAGGAAACAAGGTGGGGGTGCGGAGAACTATGGGCAAGTACCATTTTTGTGATTTCCATGGAAAGGAGCAAGACAGTCAGCATACACACAGTTCTAGGATTGGCTAGTTTTAATAATTTCAGTGGGACCTGGGGCATAGGAGCTGTTTATAATTGCTGGTAACTGGCCCTGGGGTGATGAGGGCAGGGAAATTGTGACCCAGAGCCTGAGAGACTGAAAAAAGAGAGCACTGGGGGCATGGACTCTGGCTTGCTTGGTTTGAATGAATGGCACACACACAGGGAGTTGTTTGCTATTTCTAGGAATAAGCTAACCCTTCCAGGGACAATCCCTTTAGAGCCGGCAAGGCTTCAACATGTCAAAACATCAGAAAATAAAATATCACGATTAATACAGTAAAGTTTCCACATTTTAACTCTTTGCAGTACTATGCAAAACAATAAAGAACCTGCAACACACTCATGACAAAAAAATTAACTGTCTATGAGGGAACTACACCCTGCAAATTGCTTTTGTTATTCCATTTGGGATGGTTATCAGATGGAAAAATGTATCTATAATGTCAACACCACCACTATTACCTGCTAATTACATCTGTTGTTAATGCCCTCCAGTCAAAGACCACCAGGAACACACACAGGGTGTAAACAAATGGCTTTATTTCTCACTGCAGTGAGGGAGAATACATGGCATAGGTAACTGACTTGTCTCAGTAAGAGGGTGTTCAAAAGAACTAATTAGAGCATTTGTCCTCTGTCTGGTGATTTTGGAGAGGGGTCCAAAAAAAGTAAGAGTTTGATGTGGATTTGGTGCTGTCAGAGAGTGGAGCCATCCTATAACTGGATATCTTACTAAATCGTATCAATAGAGAGGGCAGAAAAGAGCAAGTATTATAATAACAGGTAAACGGGTAAAGAATCAGCAGTCATTTATATTACTTGTGAGGGGAGTGTTATGTATGTATTCCATGGCTTGGACAATGTTCATGTTTTGTCTGTGCCCAGGCATCATTACAGAATAGCCTTATTTTTGTCATAATCCATCCGGGTCACAGAGATCCCTTTTCTGTAAAACTGTTTATGCTCAGCAGGAGAACACCAAGACCTAACTGACAGGCCAGCTCCTGGACTCCTGGATGTCAGTGGCTGCTTCTTTCCCGCTATACTGATACTGTAGCAAGTACTAAACTTTACACACACACACACACACACACATACACACTTGTTTCTCATTGTTAATGAATATTCACATATTCATGAAGTCACTGTGAACACTGAATGAATGAATACTTAAGCACTGCTCCTACTAGACACACAAGGTTAGGTTCCTATAAGCCTTTGGTCTGAACATTTTTGTAAACTGATCGATATATAAAATTGTCTTATGTGTGTTTCTGTGGGACTGACTAGACCATACTACTTATAGTAGGCAAAGTCAAACAAGAAGGCAGAGCACAGACAGCCTTGTTCAGCCTCAGCTGGGAACATGCATGTTAGGTGACTCCAAATTTTGCTGCTTTGTACATATCCATGAATGACCATGAAAGGAACACAATATTTATTTTGGTGTTACAAATGCATATGAATGAGTAGGCAAATTTGCAAATACAGAATCCACATATAATGAAGATCAACTCTCTATATTATATCTAATCCTTTGAAGATTTTTCAAGGTAGTATTTTACTGAAAAAAAAAAAAAAAAACCTGAAGCAAAGTCAGGTAGGTCATTTGCTCATGGTCACACAAATAGCTTCTGACAGAGGCAGAAGTTGAACCTAGGTCTGTTTGATTTAAAATCTTGTTCGTTCCTTCATACCACACTGTTCCTTGTTGGAATGAGGATGTATTCCTTTTACATATTAAAGCCCTTTTCTTTAAATTTAAGGATTGTGTAGGTAATACCTCTAACATATTAGCAGCATATGAATACAATCAACTAATTGTTAAATACAGTATTACTTTTTAATCATTGTTAAGTAAATGTGAGTTATTGCAACTCAATTAGCATGTAATATAATACCTACATGTGTCTGACAATATTTTGTAATTACAGGACACTGAAAGGAATGGATCAGACTCTCATTTTAGAAGCTGCAGGAAGTCACTACCACTTATTTATCTAAGAGTTTATTTACTGAATTTGGAAGCAATGTTAGATTTTGAATATTGCTTATGAGCTTTCCACATGAAATGGGGTGAATTCTGATTCAACTATGAATCAGAACACTATAGCTCTCTATTGTTTTTTTGTCTACCAGTGGTTGAAAATGAAAATTCCAGACATTTGACTAGATTCTGAAAATCCTGTGATCTTGAAGTGCACAAAGAACTGCCCTATCCTATATGATTTAGATATGACATGGGATGCCCCTCTGTTCACCTAGGATAAGGCCAGACATAGACCCACCAACTTGCATTATTTGCTTTATAAAAGATTAGATAAACTGTTTGTCCCCACCAATCAATCCAAATAAAAGCCTTGCTAACTTGACTTAAAGCTTTAGCTAAGCTTTTCTCTACACAGGACTCAGAACTTTGAGAACCACCTTCAGCCTGAGCTATCAGAATGAGAAACAACCTCTCATTAATCTTCAAAATTACTGATCATAAAGAAAGACATCCCCTTATCAATTATCTGACACCTGTTCTTTCTAGCCTTGTTTACTCCCACCTATGAAAGAAAACTTATTTTCTGTCTGACCTTTGACATGCTTGTGGATACTATGGTTAGAGCATGCTTCCTATTGCAATGGTCCTCTTTTCACTACTTCAATAATCTTTTTGAATAAAGCCTTTTCTCACCTAAGTTTGGATTTATCTTTTAGTTGACAATTTCTCTCTCATAAAACTCTGCTAATAAAATAGGATTCAAACAAAAATGCAGGTGCAGCTTTTGAAATACTATATTTTCCAGTTATGGCCATGTGTAAACCATAAGACAAATGACATTTTCTTGCAGTTTATTTTATTCACCCTAGTAAATCTGAAATCGAGAATTAAATGCATTCTCTGAAGTGACCTTATATAAATCTAAGCACGTTTTTAACCTTGGATTATAAACTTGAATTTATTACTTGTTATAAGTAATCTCAGAAAAGTAGATAGATTCTTTCAGTTTCTAAACCTCTTAAAGAGGAATGAACATAGGACACCAAACAAACTGTTGAAAATCTTTGGGTGAAAAACATACAGTGAAGCTTTTTAATGTGAACATTAGTGTGAATTGCATTTGGCATAAAATGAGTCTAAATATAATCCCATTCTAAATTATTAAACTGACCTGAATATTGCTTTATTCTTGCTAGTAGCAAGAATAATAGACCTACGCATGGTCCAAATTAAGCCTTTGCTCATGAGAGAGAAATGACATTAGAATAAGCATGATAGCTTTTATCTTTTTTACAAGGAAGAAAGGTAATGTTTATGAAGAGTCAGCAAAGTTGTAGATGCCATGTTGACTGTTTTCACATACGTCATTTAATGCTCTTATTCTTATGAGGTAGTAATATTATGTCCCAAATTACTGGAACACTGAGACTAAAACCTTGTGACTAGACTTTCCAAGTAGAAACTGTCAGAAACAGACTATGAACACAAGGGTTCTTTGTACTATATGAAACTTTTGCTATAACTTGGATGAAATACACCTAGAATTTTCCACAGTGCCTTATGATTAGACAAGTTAATGCTTTACTCACTCAAGAATGGATTTTAAGGCAGAAATTATACAAATCAGAGGGAGCTAAGGTCAACAATTAAAACTGGAGTTTTGTTTACTTTAAGAAATGAGTGTGGTAAGCACAAATACTCTGTAAAGGAAAGCTTTCTCCATTATTGAAGTGATGAAAAAAAGGCTGGCTCTCTACATAAGGAAAAATTTTCATTAGGGCCTTCTTCCTTGTCATTTATTTGGTTCAAGATTCCAAGTCAGCTCCATGATGTATACTCTGGTTCAAGAGAAGAGTGTTGTCCTTATTGATTGTAAAGAAAATTTTATCTGTTTGATCATCATGAGAGCTGTTACTTTATTTAATGAAATTTATGACTATGATAATGCTAATTATTTACAAAACTTATCTTACAAATATCTTCTCATAATAGGAGTTATAAAAGAAATATACTAAGGTAAAATTTTAAAGTATATAAAAAGCCCTTAGACGAATCTGATAAAACATTAAGATACCTGATGCACAGACACATATTTACCATAAAACATTAAGGTACCTGATGCACAGACACATATTTACCTATGTTAAAATGTATTAAAGTATTTGAAATCTTTCTACAATGTCCTCTAAATATGACATTTTCTTTCTCATTCCTAAACTTGTTTTCTGGTAAGGACTTTGTTGTAGAAAATTGTATTACTTTAAAAAGACATCTTATGGGCCTGGCGCGGTGGCTCACGCCTGTAATCCCAGCACTTTGGGAGGCTGAGGTGGGCGGATCACGAGGTCAGGGAATCGAGACCTTCCTGGCTAACACAGTGAAACTCCGTCTCTACTAAAAATACAAAAAATTAGCCGGGCGTTATGACGGGCGCCTGTAGTCCCAGCTACTCAGGAGGCTGAGGCAGGAGAATGGCGTGATCACGGGAGGTGGAGCTTGCTGTGAGCCGAGATCGCGCCATCGCACTCCAGCCTGGGCGACAGAGCGAGACTCCATCTCAAAAAAAAAGAAAAAAAAAAAAAGGCATCTTATGAAATTATAAGTAGTAAAGGCAGAATACTGGCTAATAGACATAAAGGGGAATGAAAAAAAGCACATTTCATTGAGGGAGAAATAAATTTTTTATAAATCAGCCTTTTGGTCATACCAAACCCAAGTAGAAAGGTTGGTCAAATATGGCCAGTTCTAGTCATATTCTAAGCTTCAGAAAAGTGGTCCCTTTTTTAGAAAGACAGTTTCAGGAAATATAACGTGAATTAATGAATACCAGAAAATCATTAATTAGTGAAATACAAAATGAATGAACTACCCGCAAAATTATATTATGTCATGCTGCTTTAAAATAAATAAAATAAAATATCAAGAACACTTTGTACTTATAATGTTAAAAAATCAATGTGTAATGCATTGTTCATTTTTTAAATCATAACTGACTTAAGCATGTTCCAGGTAGTTCTAATGTTAAAAATTCTCTCGTCCATAATGCTAAGATGCATGTGAGTTGTATACACCAAAATAATTTTAGTTGATTTTTTTCTCATGTATCTGTCCTCTTAAGATTTTTACTCAAAATAAATTCCCAACAGCAAACGAAAGCTCAAACATTGAAAGTTTTAATGGGAATAAAAAGTGTTTTTTCATTTATACATTGATGTTTTTGAATACTTGGTTATCCATTCTGTGAGAATAATACTTGCTTTTTTCATGCTACCAATAATATATCTTACCTAAACTAAGGATATTTTTTATTTTATTCCATCTTTTCTTTCATTCTCACAATTTGGTGTCCTGATAATTACCTGCCACAAAATTCTTTAAGAAACAAAATAAAACATGCAAATATCAGTGGATGAATTTTTCTCTAACAAGATTGTTTTGGTTTTCAACAATTCAAATTCACTGAATTTTCTACTTTCATCCTTAATTGAGTATACCCCAAAATATTTGGGGTAATCAAATAAGAACATAAAGCATACTTAAATTATAATTTTATTCTTTATTCACTTACTTTAGGAGAGTTCAGGTTTTTCTGGTCTTCATTCTATTGTATTAATTGACATACAGCTATGACACCCAACATGAGGAAGAAAGCTTATTTACCTAACAGCTGCGCTTCCTCCATATTGTACTATTTTTGTATGAAAAGAAAGGGGTACGTTCTTGTTCAAGTCTTTTGCCCGTTGTTTAAATTTCGCTGGCCTTTTCATTTATTGTTTTGTAAGAGTTTTAATATTTTGATTTCATGTCCATCATTGGAATTTTATATCACAACTATGGTCTAGCTTGATTTCACATTATCTTAATAGTATCAATTGATGACAATTTTTGCCTTTTACAGTTAGGCCTACATAATGCCTGGAATTGATTTCTACGTATAATATCACATAGGAAATAAAAAATCTATTTATTTCTCACCTATGAATATACAATTAACATTGTTTTTAAAAAAATCCGCACTCCATTTATGACATCATTGTCAGAAATCAAATGGTTATATGTTAAGTGTTCTGGACTTCCTATATGGTCCCTTTAGCCTATTTATGTATTTTTGTGCCAATAGCAAACTGTTATTAGTTACTGTGGTTTTATAATGTCTCAATTTATTGTAGTAAAACTCCTTCAAATTATTCTTATTCTTCAACATTATATTGGCTAGCTTTGGATCTTCGTATTTTCATATGAAAAGTTTGGAAATCAGCTTGTTATATTCCACAAAAATAATACTAAGACTGGTTTAAACTGAAACTGGAGATTAATTTGGGGGAAGTTGATATCTTTACAATATTTAGTTTTCCAAACCATTACAACATATAATCCTTCAGTTAATTAAAGGTCTTTTATAATTTATCTTAGTAATAGTTTGTAGATTTTTGAGATGCTTGAACACCTTACATTCAATTGGTTACTTGATATTTTAAATACTGATATAAATAGTATCACTTTATACTTTCTGGTGATTTGTTCCATGTATGGAATTAAATGGAATATCAAAATTATTTTTGTAATTTTTTGTATATTTAACAGGATGCTAAAAATCACCCATTAATTCTAAACTTTTATCTCTGAATATTTTGTTTTCTCTATGTATACAATTATGCTGTTCATAACAATTAAGTTTTATTTCTTACTTTTCATTTCTTCTGGCTTTTTGTTGTTGCTTTTTTTTTTGCACTGAGGACCTGAATACAAATGTTGACCACAAGCATACTTTCTTTTATTCCATTTTCAGTGGAAAGCTGTCATAATTCACCATGAAGTATAATATTTGGTATAGGAATTTCTAAATATGGTTAATTAAATTAAATAATTTTACTTTTATTTTTAGTTTTCAGTTAAAATGATTCTTACTACATTTTTCTCTATTTAAGTGTTGTGTATATGCCAATCAAGTCATGTTTATTTTTTCTGTTGTTCAAATCTCCTATATTCTTGCTATTTCTTCCATCAGTAATTGAGGGAGATGTGTTAATATCTTCCACTAATATTGTGGAATTGTTTATTTCTTCCTGAAGTTCTTCACCTTTTAATTAATATATTTTCAAGCTAAGTTTTTGGATTCATATAGATTTAAAATGATATCTTTCAAGTATAAATGTCTTTGGTTCTATCAAATAATGTTTTAAAAACTACTTTGATATACAGTATTTACTTTGTTTAGTATTTTCAAAATGTTTTTCAATTCTTTTACTTTCAAATATTCTGGATTATATTCCTTTTGTAAACAGCATATGGTGAGGTTTTCAAAAAATATATACAGTCTGACAGCCTTTGTTCTCTAATTGGATACTTGATACTTAGTCTAATATATATGGATTTATTATTTTTGTTGATTGAAAAATTATAATTTTACCATTTATGGAACGCAATGTGATATTTCAGTATATGCCTACAGTGTGGAATTATTAAATCAAGCTAATTAACATATTGATCACCTATCATTTTATAAGACATTTAAAATTTACTCCTTTCATTATTTTAAAATATACATTATTATTTACTGTAGTTACTCTGCTACGCAATAAATTTCAATACCTATTTCTTCTGTCTTAAACTTGCTACCCTTTAGTCAACTCACCATTCCCTCTCTTCCAACCCTCCCAGCCTCAGGTAGTCATCATTCAACCCTCTGCTTCTGTGAATTCAACTTTTTCAGATTCTACATGTAAGTAAGATGATGTGGTTTTTGTCCTTCTGTGCCTGGTTTATTTTACCTAGCATGATTTCCACCAGAGTCATCTCTGTTGTCAAAAATGTCAAGATTTCTCCTCTTTTAAAAGCTGAATAGTATTCCATTATTTATATATACCACATTTTAAACATTCATCCATCTACTGACAGGCACTTAGGTTCTATGCCTTGAACATTGTGAATAATGCTGCAATGAATATGGGAGTGCAGGTATTCCTACAACATGCTGATTTCAGTTCCTTTGGATCTGTACCCAGAAGTGGGATTACTGGATCATATAGTAGCTATATTTTTAGTTTTTGGGGGGAATCTATACACCATTTTCTATGATGACTGTACTAATTTACATGTCTACCAGCAATATACAAGAGTTTCTTTTTATCTGCATCCTTTACAAACTTCTTATCTTTTATCTTTTTCATAAAAGCCATTCAAACATGTGTGAGGTGATGTCGCATTGCGGTTTTATTTTACCTTTCCCTAATGATTAGTGATGCTGAGCATTTTTTGTGTACCCGTTGGCCATTTGTATGTATTCTTTTGAGAAATGTCTGTTCTAGTCCTTTGCCCATCTTAATCTGGTTATTTGTTTTCTTGCTATTAAGTTGTTTTAGTTCCTCATATGTTTTGGAAATTAACCTCTTATCAGATGTATAGTTTGCAAATATTTTCTCGCATTCTATGGATGGTCCTTTCACTTTCTTGTTTTCTATGCTGTGGAGACACTTTTTAGTTTGATGCCAAACCATTTGTCTAGTTTTACTCTTGTTGCCTGTGTGTAGGACTTTTTAGAAAGGTATATCATTATATCCCTCACATTACAATAATTTTTATATTTCAGTTTTTCTTAACTATCTAATCATTAGTTTCCCTTTTGTCTCATTTATACTTTGAAATGAATAATACATTATTTCATTTTCCCTTTTTTTAGTTTGTGAGATGAAAAGTCTTATATTTTTATTATGCAGTTCATCCCAGAGTGTGTATCCTTTCCTTATTAGAATCTAATATTCTACATTTATTTTAAATCCACATAATATTATTTTGTTTTATACAGTGAATATTTAGACTTACATATACATTTACCCTTTTCTTTACTTTTCAGTCCCTCCTACCTTTCAGTTCTCTATAAGATTATTTTCCCTCAGCTGAAAGAGTGGTCTTTAGCATTTCCATTGGTGCAGGCATGCTGGCAATTAATTTGTTCAGCTTTTGTTTTCACTGGCAATATCTTTACCCTTTCAAATATCTTAAATTTTAGAAAAACTTTATAAGTTTATAAAAATGTTTTAAAGGTAATACAGAGAGTTTCCATATATCCCTTACTCCTTACCCAGTTTCTATAATGTTAACATCTTCTATTGCCTCACTATGTTTATCAAAAATAAGAAATCAAAATTGGTACATTACTATTAACTAATCTCCAGATTTTATTTGGATTTCGCCAGTTTTTACATCAATGTCAACAAAGAAAATGAAATATCCAATTTGTAATTAATCCCAAAAAGTCAGAAAAAGAGGAAACATGGAGAAAAGGAGAGCTAAACCAATAGAAAACAATTAGTGAGATGATAAACTTAAACCTATCCGTGTCAATATACCCTCAATGTAAATGTTAATGCAAGTCTTCCTCATTGCAATGGCCATGTGCATAACAAAGACACTGAGAATCAAGGGATGATTTGAGATATTAATATATTGCATGCACTTTATTACAGGAGGCTATTCAACATTACCGAGCCTCATATTTTTTTATTTTTAAGTTATTTTTATTAAGTTCCTAACTCGTGGAGTTTGTCTGACTACCAGAAATGCTCGCCTAATGCTATGCCTGCTCTATGGGTAGCCTTTCTTCTGATAGAAATTATTATCTTTAATTTTAAAATTTTTCTATTTTAGAAAATACACAGAGTACTAGTTTTAATTCTAGTGAAATTGGAATTTAATCGTGAATTTAGAATTCACAATTCTCAACTGTGACCCGCAGCCATCTAAAAAAAATTCACCTACCCCACAAGATTCATCATTGAGGAAACTGGACAACCAACATTCAGTGTATTCAGCACTCTGCATGTTATTTCATTAACTCTTTGCAATGTCATGAAGCAGAACTTATTATTTACATTTTTATACATAAAGAAAATTAAAATAAGTGCTGATAAATAATTTGTGTTAAGCCACAGAGTAAGTACAAAGGTGAAATTCACATCCTCTTTTGTCTGATTTTAAGCCTATGTTCTTTATATTTCAACTGCTTGACAAGATGAAATTCATAATTATTATCAGAAGAAATTGAGTAGAAAAGGAAATAGAGGATGCAATTATTATAATTTTTTTGGTCTTATTGAATATCTCAGCTAAAAGTTTCTGAAGATAAGTTAGAGATAATGACCTTTCATTCTGCCTGTGATAGTATGATCTTTCACCTTATTTGTGTTTCATTTTTAATTCTTTTACATAAGGGTACTGAGAAATGTACAATACAGTGAGAAATAGAGACCAACTTTAATTTATGCATTGCTATCTTTCTAGAAAATAAAACTAGACCAGAAATTATTCACTTTAATCTAGGAGAACACACACACACACATACACACATATCACTTAGCTATTATAGAATAGAAATGCCTCTGGAAATAAAACTTTATTTAAAATAACATGTAGCACCTGACGATAAACCATTTTCTCGTCTGAAAAAATTGCACATAGTGTTCATTCTCAGATGTGAGCTTGTAATCTTTTTTTTGAGACTATGTTTTCCACCCAGATAACATCTTTAGAAGTAAATAGAGTGCTAGAATTTTTCTTTTTTTTGAATCAAGTAAATAATGTATAAATATTGTAGCTATTTTAACTTATTTAGTAACTTAATTTCACAACTTTATGCCAATAGAAGTATTATGCTGTAGACTATGCTATTCAATTCAGTTTAATTAAGCATATATTTCTAGAAACCTTGTTTTGTAAAAGGCATTCTCATAGTCGAAGGAAAAATGGTATTACTTATCAATATTTAATGATTCATGTAATTGGTAAAGTACCATTGGTATTTTTTCCTCATATTAGATATGATGTGGTTGTAACCAGTCATAGAACTATCTCTGGAAAACATTTATTTGCACATTGGTTTTGCATAGATATATGCAACCTAATAAAAATTTAATTACATTAATCAAGAAATATTACTGTCAAGTCTGTCCTCACAGCAACTTCACCAACACCCATCTTTTAACCCTGAAGATAAATTACATCAAAAAACAAATTGCAATCAGAATGACACTTGGCAAGCTTGAAATCAGAGGAAGAATTAAATTGGTAGTGAAACAATTAATGGCTTTGGAATCTGATAACCTAAAATTTATATGATTTCATTTTATTATCACCCAAACAGAATTAGATAAGCTTATAAATATTGTTATATGTAATAGTAAGAATTGTTTGTGCTTCAAAATATACATTAAATGTGTGTGTATGTGTATATATATATATATATATGTATACTCACATATCTATGATGGTTTTAATATTCTTAGTGTTTTTCATCTTTGAGGTCTTAAACACTTCTTTAGGGATGATAAAGCATAAGTATCAACAATGATTATATTTTATCACAATATATATGAGGGAAAATCGGTCAATAAAATGTATTCGATTGGACATTTCAAACATGTTCTAGAAAGAATCTCATACTGCTTCCAATCAAATAGAATTTCCTTAAATTTTCATCATTTTATTATAAAACCTAACAAAAGAGGAGACTATTATTTAATATTTTAGAAATCTACAGGGCTTAATATGTCTAACTGTAGTAGAAAGTAAATTCCATAAGGTAGCAACATTAGCTGTCATATCCACCCTATATTCTTAGTGCTTAGAACCTTGCCTGGCACAGAATTGCTGCTTAATAAATGTTTATAGAATTCTGAGAATAAATAAAAGTACTTTTGAAGCACTTTGCTGGAAGTTAAAACTGATCATAAGACCTTCACATTGAAATAGCATTTTAGACACTTATTTTATGCAAATTGATTACACATCTGCTATATGCATGATGTTATGTTGGACAGTGTCAAGAATATAACTGTTAAGAAGGTATGATAGTATGTAGTTAATAAATACTGGTTTTATTTATTTTAAAATAAATCTTTCATTTCATGGTTCTAAAATATTAAAAATTAATGTATGTTGGCTTACAAATTTGATGATATGAAGACAAAATGTAAATTAGACATTTTAGTCTCAAACTGAGCTAAAATCACTGTCAATATTTTGATGCACTCATTAATATTTAATATATCTACGTGTAATTAAACATTATGAAGAATTGGGCTTTAAAAAAATGTTTTGCCCGATTTTGTCAAACAGGGTTTTCTATTGTTTTAACAACTTAACATTGTATCTTAGACATTTTCTCTTTTCATCAAAAGTTTTGGATGCAAATAATTTTAAAAAGTGTACACAAGTAAGTCATATTTATTAAATCCCCTATTTATTCATTAAATAAATATTAATTGAGAACTTACAAGGTACCACATACTATTTATGCAAAACAAAGATCCTGCTAAAGTTTACATTCTATTGAAAATTCATAGACAACAAACAAAGATGCAAAAGCATGTACATATGTGTTAAGTGGCAGTGCAATGGTGCAGGATATGCAGGGCAAGAGGACAAAGAATAATTGGAGTGAGGGCTGCATTACACACAGTGGTCAAGGAAGACTTCTTTCCAAGGGTGACATTTGATTAGAGAACTAAAGAAGTGAAGGAGCCACTGAGGGGAGGATCTGAAGGAAATGCCTGTTAGGCAGAAAAGTTATTGCAAATGCTGAAGCAGAACCTTGCTTGAAATATTTGAAGGATGACAAAAGAATAAGGCAGAAGTGGAAGAAAGAAACCCTTAATAGGATAAAGTGGCCAGGTGACGTAGGGCTCTGAAGGCTATATTGGATTTCGACTTTTATTATTAGTGATCAGCCAGTCATGTAAAGTGATGGGACCTGGTTGCTTTATGAAATGATGGCTTTGGCAGCTCTGTGGAGGATAGACCATAGAGAGTCCAGAGTGACCACAGGAAGAACATCCAGGAAAGTATGGCCTGGGTAAGAAATTATAGTGGCTTGACCAACTGTGATTACGGAAGTGAGAAATAGTCAAATTCTGCATATTATCTTTTGTAGAGCTAAAAGGATTTTATGGCTGACCACTGTGGGGTGTCCATGAAAGAGAAATCAAGCATGATGCCAAATATGTTATTTGCACCAATGAAAACTAGGGAGTTACCTTGATAGGAGGAACAGGTTGGAAATCAGCAGTTTGGTTTTGAACTTGTTAAATTTTAGATAAGTACTTGAGATTCAAGTCAAAATGTCAAGAATTTGAGAATTTGGACCTCAGCGAAGTAATCTGGGCCAAAGACAAAACTTTGGGAGTTAACAGTTAATGGATGGTGTTTTCATATTGGAGGGGATCCAAGGGACTGTATGAAGAGAGAGAGGATTGCCAATGCCCACACTCTGAATAATTCTACAGGTAGAGTGTAGGAACCCAAGGAGGATGCAGGGTAGGGAACAAAAGTAAGAGGCTGGAAAATTTTGAGATATGAAGAAAGAGTGGTATCCCAAAGGAAGAAAATTAAGGGTGTTTAAAGACGAATGAGGCAATCAAGAGTTTCAGATGCAGCTGTCAGATCAACTAATAGGAGAGCTAAGTAATAACCCCTGAAGTGACCTCTAAAGGGCATAGTCACTGTGAGAAGGGTTTTGGTAGATTGGCAAGGTGGATGTCTGATTGGAGTGTGTTTAAGATAGAGTGAGGCTAGAGAAAACGGGGAAAGAAAATATAGCCTAAAATTTGAGAAGCTTTTCTGAAAATGGGGGGTTGGACAGATTGGGCATTACCTGGTGGGAAATGTGCTTTTATCAGAAGGGTTTGTTCAAAGACAGGCAATATGATTTTATGTTTGCATGATAATATAATTATAAAGGAGAGAGAGCGCTACTCATGGTGAAAAGGGAGAAGCCAAGGCAAGTATGAGTTTCTGGAATAAAGAGCAGGTATATGATCTTGTGTGTAGCATTGGGGTTGGCTCTACATGAGAATGTGGAAAGTTTAATTCATTATAATTGAAAAAATGCTCAAGGTACATGTGTTATGCTAAAGTTTATATAAAAAGCACCAGGAAATTTCTTGTTATTCTATTTACCCAATAAAATAAGATATAAGCTCATCAACTGCATTTGACAGAAAAAAAAAGAAAATTTGGAGGTATGAGGAAAAGTAGATTATGTGAAATAATCATCTAGGAGAGTGAGAGAGTAAATAATAGCAGTAATGTCAGGCAGCACTAAGAGATTAATTTTTTTTCTTCAACTTTTATTTTAAGTTCTGGGGTGCATGCACAGGATGTGCAGGTTTGTTACGCTGGTAAACATATGCCATGATTGTTTGCTGCACACCATCACCTAGGTATTAAGCCCAGCATCCATTAGCTATTCTTCTTGATGCTCTCCCTCCCCTTCCTCCAACAGGCTCCAGTATGTGTTTTTCCCCCAGTGTGTCCATGCGTTCTCATCATTCAGCTACCCCTTTTTTTTTTTTTTTTTTTTTTTTAGATGGAGTCTCGCTCTATCGCTCAGGCTGGAGTGCAGTGGCGTGATCTCAGCTCACTGCAAACTCCGCCTCCCAGGTTCACGCCATTCTCCTGCCTCAGCCTCCCGAGTAGCTGGAACTACAGGCACCCCCCACAACATCCGGCTAATTTTTTTGTCTTTTTAGTAGAGATGGGGTTTCACCGTGTTAGCCAGGATGGTCTCGATCTCCTGACCTCATGATCCACCCGCCTCGGCCTCCCAAAGTGCTGGGATTACAGGCGTGAGCCACCGCGCCCGGCCTCAGCTACCACTTTTCAGTGAGAACATGCTAGCTCTTGGTTTTCTGTTCCTGTGTTAGTTTGCTAAGGACAACGGCTTCCAGCTCCATCCATGTCCCTGCAAAGGATATAATCTTGTTCTTTTTACAGCTGCATAGTATTCCATGGTATATGAGTACCACATTTTCCTTATCCAGTCTATCATTGATGGGCATTTGGGTTGGTTCCATGTCTCTGCTATTGTGAATAGTGCTGCCAATGAACATATGTGTGCATGTATCTTTATAACAGAATAATTTATATTTCTTTAGGTATATACCCAGTAATGGGATTGCTGGGTCAAATGGTATTTCTGCTTCTCGATCCTTGAGGAATCTCCACACTGTCTTCCACAATGGTTGAACTAATTTACATTCCCACCAACAGTATAAAAGCATTCCTTTTTCTCCACATCATCGCCAGCAACTGTTGTTTCTTGACTTTTTAGTAATAGACACTCTGAACTGCATGAGATGGTATCTCATTATGGTTTTGATTTGTATTTCTCTAATAATCAGTGATGATGAGCTTTTTTTCATATGCTTGTTGGCCACATGAATGTCTTCTTTTGAAAATTGTCTGTTCGTGTCCTTTGCTCACTTTTTAATGGAGTTGTTTGCTTTTTTCTTGTAAATTTGTTTAAGTTCCTTGTGGACTCTGGATATTAGATCTTCATCAGATGGATAGACTGCAAACATTTTCTCCCATTAGGTAAGTTGTCTGCTCACTCTGATGACAGTTTCTTTCACTGTGCAGAAGCTCTTTAGTTCAATTAAATCCCATTTGTCAATTTTGGCTTTTGTTGCAATTGCTTTTGGTTTTTTGTCAGGAAATCTTTGCCCATGCCTATTGTCCTGAATGTCATTGCCTAGATTTTCTTCTAGGGTTTTTATAGTTTTGGGTTTTACATTTAAGTATTTAAAAATCCATTTTGAGTTAATTTTTGTATAAGGTATAAGGAAGGGGTCCAGCTGCAATTTTCTGCGTATGTCTAGCCAGTTTTCCTAGCACCATTTATTAAATAGGGACTCCTTTCCCCATTGTTTGTTTTTGTCAGATGTGTCGAAGATCAGATGGTTGTAGGTGTGTGGTTATGTTTCTGAGTTCTCTATTCGGTTCCATTGGTCTATGTGTCTGTCTTTTTGTACCAGTATCATGCTATTTTGGTTATCGTAACCTTGTAGTATAGTTTGAAGTCAGGTATTGTGATGCCTCCAGTTTTGTTCCTTTTGCATAGGACTGCCTTGGCTATATGGGGTCTTTTTGGTTTAGTGTTCAAGTTTAGTGTTCATGATTAAAACTGAGATGATTCAGCATGGTTTTGTGTTTTTCTCCATATTCTAAGCCACCTCCAACTACTCAAATGTCAGGCTCAGAGTAGGTAGAGATGTACATTTAACCTGGATGGAGATTGGAAGAAGAGAAAGAAAAGGAAGTAGAGAAGGTTTACAAAGAAGTAATGATAATGACAGGGTTCTAATCCAACTGGAATAAAGGAAGAAAATTAGGAAAAGTAAAAAGGCATTAGTGTACATTGTTCGAAAATAGTAAGGTGCCAAAACATTGCTGGAGTCAAGATACAATACAGAATAAATTTTAAAGATAGGTGGTGTTCATCTGAAAGTGAGTGCTTGATATGGAAAATTTGAAGGTTATAGCAAAGGTTTGAGGATGACAGTGGTAGTGTGTGGATGAGGTAGATGAGAAACAAGATCATTGGAGGTGAGAAGATAAAGTTCAAGATATTTGAAGGATAATCTTCATTCATATTAAAAATATCTTGAATGATGCTATACGGTGGCAGTAGAATATAGTGGTAAGAAAGGCCTTGGAGCTAGAAATCTGAATTCAAATTATGGCTTTGACAATACTATTTGTAAAATCTTAGGCTACTCATGTGAACTGTGCCTTATTCCTTTATCCAGAAAATGGGCATACTATAATTGACTATCATACAGGATTATTTTGAGAACTTAATGAGATAATATGTGTAAAGCTCTAAAACTATTCTGGAATATTCTAAGCAAGTTCTAGCACATGCTAAGTATGTGTTATTACTATTATGTTTCAAATATGTGGCTATTATATAATACTTTTATATTTAAGTTGTTTACAATTTTTCAGTTACAAATAATTGCAATGTGAATTCTTACATATAAATCATGTTTTGCAACATTGATTACTTTTCTTAAGGTTTCTAGCTGTTCAATTACTTCATCAGATGGCATATGTTATTTGTACCTTGAAATGTACTGCAATTTTTTTTTTTTTTTTTTTTTTTAATATAAGACGGAGTCTCACACTCTCGCCCAGGCTGGAGTGCAGTGGCGTGATCTTGGCTCACTGCAACCTCTGCCTCCCAGGTTCAAGCAATTCTCCTGCCTCAGCCTCCCAATTAGCTGGGATTACAGGCACCCACCACCATGCCCAGCTAATTTTTTGTATTTTTAGTAGAAATGAGGTTTCACTATGTTGGCCAGGCTGATCTCAAACTCCTGACCTCGTGATCCGCCTGCATTGGCCTCCCAAAGTGCTGGGACTATAGGTGTGAGCCACCGTGCCTGTCCACAAAATGTTTTCAAAAGTGTACATGCATTTTGATCTTTACTAGTCATGTGTGCAAATTCTTGCAATGTGAATAAAAGACAAATAAAAATTTGTCTCTTAATAATTTTGGATACATGCAATATCGAAATTATACAACTGCATTTTAACATTGGATTAACAACTGTGAAGTTTACTCACAAGTAATTCAATATCTATTTTATCATCATAAAAAGTTAGATAAAAATGTGGTTTATAGGCTGAGTGTGGTGGCTTACATCTATAATCCCAGCACTTTGGGAGGCCGAGGTGGGAGGATTGGTTGAGGCTCAGAGTTCAAGACCAGCCTGGGCAACCTAGTGATAACCTGTATCAAAAAAAAAAAAAAAAAAAAAAAAAAGAAGAAAAAGAAAAAAAAACTAAAAAAATAACTAAAGAAATCATATATTAATAGTAATTCTATGTAAATGGTAGAATTATGAATGACAATTTCTTCTTTACACGTTTCTAAATTTGTAAAATTTTCTGATAGAAAATGTGCTACCTTATAAAAAGAAAATAAACATTGCCATTTTAAAGAGAACATATATTTCTTATCCTACAGTATAATGAAGGTAGGAAATGTAGAAGTGTGTATATACACATACATACACAGGAACGACATAATTTTAAAATCATCAGTTCCACTAGACAAGTGTAATAAAAGTCCTCTTGAGAACAAAGAAAATGGAAAGATGGTTTCATATTGAGAGTGGGTTACCAGGTGGAACTTTACTAAGTATAAGATATTTGGGTAAAAAAGGATAAGAGGATTTTAAGAGATTAGGAAGTTCATTTTGGACAAAGAAAATATGGGAAATGAAGGCACACAGCCCATTAGAAAACATGGACCATCTAGGGACGATATAAGCAGCCAAGTGCAAAGGCAATGGGAATATGTTGGAATCTAGGTGGAGGCTTGAGAGCTCATGGTTTTGGATAACGAGCCTAAGAGACAATCATTTAGAATGCAGGGATTTAATGATGCCAATAATGATTGGTAATTGAATCTCAGATATACTAAATGCCACATATGACCCATATTCTAATCAGTGGCATCATCTATATCACACATCTGCATATAGGACAAATAAAATTTGTAAAGATGCAGATAAAGTGCTTAGCACAAAGTGTGGCACATAGTCATACTCACCGTATAATAACTGTCATTATTGTTGCTATTGGCAATAAAAGCACTAAGAAATGAAAAGGCTACAGTAAAAAGACTAGCGATATTTGAGAAAGGCAGACTACATTACAATCCTCAACTAAACACTTGCTAGTTGTGTTGACGTGGTAACTAATTTAACTCTTCTGAACTAACTGCCTTTTCTTAATCTGTAATGCAGAGACAATAAAGGTTATTTATATATTTTTTTTAAAGAATAGAGATAGAGATAATTCATATAAAAAACTAACATGGAAATCAGCAGGTATCAAATGTTTACAGAATAGCAACTATGTTATTATTATTACTGATTCTGATTCTGCATTAATAGAAATTCAGGTACTTTATGTTCTTCTTTAGTTCCCATGAGACCATCTGAGGCCCAACGTATACTTTGCTACAACTGAGAAATAAATAAAAAGAGGTGTCTGGTAGACTATTTTTCATATTTAAGAGAGAGTAGTTGGAAAAAAGAGCTCAGAGTCTCTGCAAGTGATTAATTTTGGTACAAGTAATACTGTTTCTGGCAGAGGAAGCTGAATATTCAGCATTGTGACTAAGCCAGTCCCAAGACATTATGGAACAGAACAAAGAAGGGTCTGTCACATCAGGAAATGAAGAGACCCAGCATCTTACTGAAGGAAAAAAAGAGACAAAGGGAATTGAACAAGAGATCGGTTTTAGTGACATAAGCTTGTTTATGTCCTTGTCCTTTACACAGTTGTGAAGCTTCAGTACAAACTTGCATAACTCACAGCCATTAAGGCTATACATTTCCAGGAATTCTCAGAGACTTGACTCACTTATTACTAGAGTGATAATAAGTTGTTTTCTTGAATATATGTACATAATCTCTAACCCCCAAACTGACTTTTTCTAAATGTAGAATTTGAAGAAAAAGATAACTAAGATCTATTACAGCTCTATAATATTATGATTCTTTTAAATTATATCCACTTATATCCTAGTAATAAAAAACATTCTGATGTTGGCATTCAGAGATAGTTTTATTTTGTTTTGTTTATTCTATTTGAGACCTGGCTAGCAAAAGAATCGTATCTAAATTCCACCCTCATAAAAACTAATGTCATGTGACTATATGGATTAACCCTAATAGCATCTGGCCATTCAAGTATAAATTTTTATTCTCTTAAATGAAGGCATAAATCAAATAACTAAGTTTGTATGTTACTATAGACTGTGTTTTCTTTTCTTTTCTTTACTCAGTAGTCACATACCCATTTTTCATGTAATAGAATATCTTGATGGAAGCTGTAAAGATATTCAGGGTTTAGGTAACAAAATACTAAATAAGAAATTACAAAATTATTCTTCTACAAGAGCACTTTAGCGTAAAGTTCCTGGAATATCCACTCATGCTCAGGGATATTTCCATGAGACTCTGCCATATACACTCATTTGCATGGGGTTTGTTAAGCCTGTGATCAATAAAGTCATCTGTGTCAACATTTGGAGTATGTTTATAAATTGTGATTCATTTGAAAATTGGTGTTCATTTTTAAAGATATGGCCAATACAATCAGTGGCCAATAACAGATACTGTACCATGATTAATAAAACGGACCCACTGTGAAAAATGCCATGACATGTAAGGCACAAGTCTGCTACCACTGAAGATAAGCTTGACTTGGCAGCTGGTCCTGGGTACAGAGGGGCAGTAGAGTGGATCTTTACGTAAGGGGAGCCTGTGCTCAGCTTCTTCATGTAGGAGAGTCTTCTCCCTCCTCACTGAATGCCTCCATATCCTGAGAAATACCTTTTTAACTGGTACTGAAAATGCAGCTTTTATGTTGGTACAGGATTGCTATGAGAAAGCCATACCTGTAGGCTAATATGATTTGAGAAAAAGCAAAATCAGGATATGAAAAAATCATAAGATAAAAGAAGGTAAAGGACCTAAAGCTGTAGAATTTTGTTTTTAATTTCAATAGATTTCGGGAAGCGTGTAAATTTGTTTATATAGATAAGTTCTTTAGTGGTGATTTCTGAGATTTTGGTGAACCCAACAGCAGAGCAGTGTACCCTCTACCCAATGTGTAGTTTTTTCTCCCTCACCCCATTCCACCCTTTTCTGAGTCCCCAAAGTCCATTATATCATTCTCATCTCTTTGCATCCTCATAGCTTAACTCCTCCTTATAAGTGCAAACATATGATATTTGCTTTTCTATTCCTCAGTTATGAATTTAACATCAGTAAGGGATAGTTTGATAATTTTAGAAGGAGGTTTGGCTTTTGAAATATCAACTGGAGAAGGAGGTTCTGCCTACTAAAAGGCAGCAGAGTTCCCAAAACCGTTAAGAAAATTATTGAGGTGGAAGGATACCTACCTGAACAGATTTTTAATGGAGATGAAAGTACTGGATTTTGGGAGAAAATGCCACAAAGGACATTTATTACTAAGGAAGAGAAGTCAACACCAGTATTTAAGGCAGAAAGAGATAGGCTAACTCTACTGTATTTTTGCAAATGCAGTTGGGTTTATGGTCAGGGCTGCCCTTATCTATAAAGCTCAAGCCTTGAAGGGGCAAAGTAAATACCAGCTGCCAGTTTTTCTGTTGTACAACAATAAGGTCTGGACAATGAAATCCCTTTTCTGGATTGCTTCCATTGATGCATTGTCCCCGAAGTCAATAAGTACCTTCCCAGTAAGAGACTGCCTTTTAAAGTTCTTTTGATATTGGACAATGCCATCCAGAACCCCAGGACTTTAATACCAAAGGTGTCGAAGTGGTCCACTTGCCTCCAAATACAACGTCTCTAACTCAGTCTCTAATCAGGGGGTCATAAGAGTCTTAAAGTCTTGTCATACACATTATCAAAAGGATTATCATAATATAGAAGAGAACTACAGAAAGAACATCATAAAAGTATGGAAGGATTACACAGCTGAAAATGCCATTATAGTTACAGAAAAAGCCATGAAAGTTATCAAACCAAAAAACAAAGCAAAAAAAAAACCCTGCTGGAGAAATCTGTGTTCTGATATTGTGCATGACTTTACAGCACTGACAGAATCAATCAGGGAAATCATGAAAGCATTTGCGGATACGGCAAAAAAAAAAAAAAAAAAAAAAAAAAAAAAGAGGAGGACGAAGTGTTTCAAGATATGGATCTTGGAGAAATTCAAGAGTTAACGGACACCACACCACAGGAATGAACAGAAGATGACTTGATGGAGATGAGTGCTTCTGAACCAGTGCCAGATGATGAAGAAGACATGGAAGGAGCAGTGACAGAAAACAAATCGGCATTAGACAATCTGGCAGAAGGGCTCAGATTATTCAAGCCTGCTTTCGACTCTACTGCAAAATGAACCCTTTATGATACACGAACTGAAACTAAAACAAATGGTGGAAAAAGCATTGGTACCATATAGAAATATTTTTAGAGAAATGAAAAGGCCAAAAAGTCAGACAGAAATTATGATTTATTTCCATAAAGTTACACCGAGTATGCCTGCCTCTCCTGCCTCCCCTTTCACCTCCTTCACCTCTTCAACCTCTACCATTCTCCTTTTCCTCTTCAGACTACTCAATGTAAAGACACCTAGGATGAAAACCTTTATAGTGATTCACTTCCATTTAATAAAGAGCAAATATATTTTTTCTTTCTTATAATATCCTTAACATTTTCTTTTCTCAGCTTCCTATATTGTAATACAGTACATAGTACATATAACATACAAAACATGTGTTAATTAACTTTATGCTATCAGTAAGTCTTCCAGACAACAGTAAACTGTTAGTAGTTCAAGTTTTTGGTAAGTCAAAGTTTTATGCAGATTTTCAACTTTGTAGGAAGTTGGCACCCTTAACCCCTGCATGGTTCAGGTCTCACTTATGTATGTTCATATACATTTCACATGCAGTATTTCTTACATTAAAATTGCCATATTTCTGTAATATAAAATCATATAATCCTAACCTTTCTATTATCTATTTCATTATTTCTATTCCCATTATGCCTCACTTTCCACCATTACCACCAGAATCATTGTGCCAAATAAAAGAGGGGTCAGATAAACTTGTAAAATTCACTGGAAATTATTCCTTATGCATTACAATGATTTTCACTTTTAGGCAATTCTTGAAAATCTAAACTCACATATAAGAAATATGTATCTTAACAGATACCGCCTGCTGACTACACAATATCAATAAATAGAGTCATGCTGGCAGGCTTGTCTGTATAATGCTTAAGGGAATCACATTTCTGAATAATCAGAAGCCTATCTCTGATATCAGAAGATATGTTTTAAATGTACAAAGAAAACATGGAAAAATAATTCAGATAAACACATTAAACCTTTAAGGTTCCATTATTTTAAGATAAATGGCCCAATTCTGATTAAAACCTTTTCCTGTCTAATTAACCATATATTTCATTACGTAATTTTTTATTCAAAGGATGCTTTGTATTTTTTAAAATTATTTTATATTTGTTATTTTACTGTCCCCAAACAGTGGCTTTGCCCACTATAAGGGATAATTACTAGTTTTACAAACTCATCTTATTGACAGAATTCCCAAAAATTAGCTGGTTTTATTTTAGTGAGTGACCAGATACTTATAGCTACAAAACAATTTAAAGGCAAAGTAATGATTACGTCTAACTCCTAACTCCTCAGTAGTTCAGTGTGTTCTTTTGCTGGCACATATATTCCCAGATCTTTCATCTTTTCACATGTATCCTTTCACTCCTTACTTATGTGCAGCCCATTTCTGTCTCAACGGTCACCTAAAACCTGCCTAAACATTGAATCCACCCTCACATCCCGGAGAGAAATCACTTCTTATTATGTATTTTGTGTTCTGAATTTTTGCTCTGTTTCCCTTTGACCCAAACATTGAGTTAGATGATTAGATTATTTAGTGCTTATTGCATAATGAAAGATGACTGCTGTGTCATTTAGGACTGAATTCAACTGCTAGCAACAGAAAATTCAACTCAATCGAGTTTGAATTCAGTTTAGGGATTTATTTAACTCACATGCATTGAAGTCCAGAGCTGGGCGGGTGCTAGACATGGAGCAGGTGCTCCACGAGATCATTTGGACCTGTGGCAATTCTGCTTTCTGCTCCACCACCCTCACATTTGTCTCCTTAGGATTACCAGATGGCTGCTCAATCACAGGCACCAGGCCTGCTTTTAATGCAGGGACAGGGAAGAAGGAAGAAAGGCTATACCAGCTGTGCAAGTCCCTCTTTTTCAGGAAAGCAAAAGCTTTTGAAATAAAATGCTGTAAATTTACATTTATGTTTTGTTTTACTCTGCTTTGTGTTGATATAACAGAATACTACAGAGTGGGCAATGTATAAAGGAAACAAATATATATCTCACAGTTCTGAAGGCTGAGAAGTCCAATATCAAGGTGCTGGCAGCTTGCAAGGGTCTTCTTCCTGTGTCATTCCGTGGAGGGAGGTGTAAGAGCAAAAGAGCATGTGCAAGAGGGAGAGGAAGGGAGCCAAATTCATCCTTTACCTGGAATCAGCTCCCATGATAACTAACCCACTCCCATGATAATGGCATTAATATATTCATGAGGGCAGAGCGCTCATGAACTCCACTTCTTAAAGATTCCACCTCTCAACACTGTTGCACTGGGGATTAAGCTTCCAGCACAGGAATTTGGAGGGACACATTCAAACCATAGCATGTTTCATTGTTGAAATTATGTTTCATGGCCACACCTACTACCAAGGAAAGCTGGGAAAATGGCTTCTTATCTTAGGCACATTGCTTCCCTGAATATAACCAAGGAGGAAATCTGTTAAAGGATACAAAACTACAGCTAGATAGGAGGAATAAGCTCTAGTGTTCTATACCACTCTAGCATGACTATAATTAGCTATGATATATAGTTTCAAATAACTAGAAGGAGGATATTAGATGTCCCCAATACAAAGAAATAATAAATATTGGCTAATTACCCTGGTCTGATCACTTTACATTATGTGGTGAAATATCGCTACTTACTCCACAAATATCTACAATTATTATACGTCAATTTACAAGTAAATACAATTTTTGAACAGATAATTTAAATAAACTGAAAAGAAAAGATTCTATTAACAAGGAAGAAAGAATAAATGTATATTAAGAGACAACTAACGGTGTGGTGTAAACCCTCGTGTAAAGTCAGATATTGTGCTTAATCATATGCAGATTTCCTTCTAAGGATCATTGTTACTAATACTCAATAGGGAGTACTTTTTGTTCTCCTTCTCACTGTACTTGTTTACTCTACCCAGTTTTTGATTTTGGGATTGCATTACCAGTTTCAGATTTTGTCTTAAAGGGAATTTGAGTTTGGATTTACAGATGCTAGAACCATGTAAAGGCAATTATGAATGTCAATGACTTCCAGTTACCACTGCTCTTAGAGAACCTGTGCCACTTCTAATTGTTTTAGCTTCGTCTCAGCTGCCTATGAAGAGCTGCGAGAGCTTGGGGTGCCAGTGATTTTTCCAGGTCTTAAATTGATCATTTAAGATGCACTGTAATATCATTTAAACATATAGTTCTAAAGGGTGTCTCAAGGTCAGAGAAATGCCCCACAACCTTAGCTAACCATACATGGGGCAGATAGCAATTCTATAAGCCAAACTCTATTTCCCGTAAACTTTGATGCAGAACAGGTGATTCTATCTGTGTGGGGTTATGGGGGTAAAAAATGTGCTCAGGTTGTTTTTCACAGGGGCAAAATGAAGAAAAAAGAATTTCCATAGGGTAATTCTACCTAAAGAGGAAACAGCTCTACCGAACCTTTGCCAATGTAGAATTCTCAAACTGGTACACTTACTCAGAACAAGAAATAAATAAGTTACCTTTAAAGAGAAAATTTCTAAAAATAGTTGCATTTTTACTCATATTAATATTTCTTAGTCTCTCAGTTTATGTACATCACTTCTCAGAATAGGAGCATTTTGGTGAGCAAGAGAGGATGAGTGTATTCAAATGTAATCACTCTGTGCTCTTAAAAAGACAGAAATGTTTTCCTGAAAGGGACATTGCATCAACATCACTGTTTCTGTGCTCAGTCTCAGAATATTTCTGCATACACTGTACACTCTGGACCTAGAATTTTCCTTGTGATGAGTAAAGAAAATCTTTGGCCTCGTCCAGAGCTTGCCCTGGGCTTTCATTTTTATTATTTCAAACAAATTTTATAAACTGCCTACGCTGTATCATGTTTCTCATAAACCAGGAATAAAAAAGCAGGAAAGATGGTGGCCCCACCATAAATGTCAACTTTTGAAGACAGTGACAAGGTAAGCAGGAGATGGATGCTCAGGGGAAAGGATTATGGAGAGGACGGTAGGTAAGAACTTAATCAGGGGATAAACAGGAAGTCATGTGTGGGTTTAAAAAAATTACAGTTAGAACCTCAACACAGACATCACAGACCGCAAACACATAATTTCTTTTTTTTCTCTTTGTTGTACCATCTATTTCAATGTAAACTTATAGTTTTAAGGCTCAGTTAAGGAGCCAAATAATACATCTGTGAAACTACTCTCCATTTTAACTATAAGACAAATAATTTGTCGGCCGGGCACGGTGGCTTACGCCTGTAATCCTAGCACTCTGGGAGTCCCAGGTGGGCAGATCACAATGTCAAGAGATCGAGACCATCCTGGTCAACATGGTGAAACCCCGTCTCCACTAAAAATACAAAAAATTAGTGGGGTGTGGTGGCACGCACCTGTAGTCCCAGCTACTTGGGAGGCTGAGGCAGGAGAATCACTTGAACCTGGGAGGCGGAGGTTGCAGTGAGCCGAGATCACACCACTGCACTCCAGCCCGGTGACAGAGTGAGACTCTGGCTCAAAAAAAAAAAAAAAAAAAAAATATATATATATATATATATCTATATACATATATATATATATAAAATTTGCATTATTTAACCTTTATTATAATCTTGTGCAGTTTAATATTTCTTGTTTTCAATTTGTGTAGGCTTCCTTTCTAGTTAGAGTGATGTCTTATATGTTCTTGTAGCCCATGGTGCCTTACCACAGGTACTCAATATCAGTTATCTTTCATGGATCCCTCTTGGTCTCATCTTCCACCCTCCACTCTATAGAATACTTGATGGTCTTTTGGCAAACTCCCTCCAAAATACTATTCCAGCTGCATATTGACTATTTCCAACTCTCCTTATTTTATGCACCTTCCAAGGCTTCTTTTGTTCATGATTATTAGAATTCCAGTGATGCACATATTTTGATTTGCTGAAATCCTATGGAATTATGAAATTAATTACTTCAATCTAAGAATACCAATTCTAAAAATACCTGCATTATAGGGGAAAAGGATCTCTCCTCTAACTATGTGGTTATTTTGCTGTTTACAACGTAATAGCAAAGACTTATTTGGGGATGTTCACATTTGAGGTTATGTTTGGGTTTTTAAACTCTCATTCTGACATGCGTTTTAGTGTTTACGATGAGAATTTATAGGCTGATGTTCCTGATGTTTTCCATGAAGAATTGATTTTGACATGGATAACTTCTAGATCTGAAGTTGTGAATTTTGCTTTGGGTGATTTCAGAGATTATAAACTTCTTATTAATTTGATATTGCAAATTTGTAATTTGCTTCATACAGGGAGAAGTCTCAAGCAATAGCTTCAGATAAATCATTAAATCTTTGCAGAAAGAGTTGTGTCCACTATGTGTTCATACTAAAATTACCTGTGTATGTGGATGTAAACATTTGTGCATGTATATGGGTGCATATATATGCATGTATAGGTATGTCTAGAAATGAATGCATGCATATATATATGCATATGCATGTTTACAATTGGGTATACATGTAAATTCTGGTACACTTGTGTTGCTGGAGACAAATAATTTTGACTTTGTTGTATTATTCTTATTCCCTAATAAGGTTTATTATCCTCAGAAGAATAGGTGAGAAGTTATATAATAATTATAAAATAGAATAGTCTTCAGACATTTCCCCTTGAATGTGGAAATAGCAACCTTCACCTTCTCCTACTTCCTAAAAAGGCAAGGGGCCCAATCTCCCAAAATTGCAAAAGGTGCAGTATATTGGGACAGGTAGAAACTCCCTAAGATTAACATTTTTTAATTACCTATAAACTTTGATCCAGGTGTATGCTACCTGGATCAAAAGTCCTTTAGGGTTGGATTATTCTGCTTTGTGGTGTGTGTGTGTGCGTGTGTGTGTGTGGAGGGGGCTGGGGATGGGGGCAGGGGCTTCCCTGTGTATTTTAAGATGTTTAGCAGCATACTGTCACTTACCAACTGGATGCCAATTGCATCATACTTTCAATCTTTGACAAATGTCCCTAGACATTGTCAAATGTCCCCTAGTAGGCAAAATCACTCAGGTTCTATTTATTACCACATATGATCAGACTGATGCTTTGGTCAGGTCTATCTATGCTCCTAACTATTAAATGACCTTAGGGAAGTCATTGAAACTCTTATGTTTTTATATTTTAAAATGAGCATTACCTTACATCTTAATGTGGAAGTGAGAATTAAAAATAAATGGCTGGCACAGTGGCTCATGCCTATAATCCCAGCAATTTGGGAGGCCAAGGCTGGTGGATTGCTTGAGGCCAGGAGTTTGAGACCAGCCTGGCCAACATGACAAAACCCCATCTCTACTAAAATACAAAAAAAATAGCCGGGCGTGATGGCCCATGCCTGTAATCCTAGCTACTTGAGAGGCTGAGGCAGGAGGATCGCTTGAACCTGGGAGGTGAAGGTTGCGTTGACCTGAGATTGTGCCACTGCACTCCAGCCTGGGTGGCAGAGCGACACTCTGTCTCAAATAAATAAATAAATTAACTTCACAGTAGAAAGGCATGTAGCTAAAAAAAATCATTATTCATGTTTTTTCCTATAACAAAATAAATATTTAAATCAGACATTAAAACATATTTCAAACAGGTAATTTAAGTGAAAGGGTTAATTTTGTCTGGAATATGTGTGTAATTGGAGTGTATTTTTTACTTAAGCCTTCTAG
Source organism: Homo sapiens (assembly GCF_000001405.40). Classification (NCBI taxonomy): domain Eukaryota; kingdom Metazoa; phylum Chordata; class Mammalia; order Primates; family Hominidae; genus Homo; species Homo sapiens. The sequence continues at coordinate 41,029,961 of NC_000002.12, forward strand.
CTCCATAATGTTAAGATACTGTAACATTGCTGACATCCTGCCCTTGTGGAGTGGATATCCACAGCCCAGCAATGGACTGCTGCAGCTGCCCTTATTTCAAAGCAGGAAAAGGAAAAGCGGTGCAACATGTATAAAGCCACATAGAGTTCAGCCTGGAAGAGTTCTAAGTTGTCAGCCCACCTCCCAGGGTACTGAGATCCCCTTCACCTCCTATTCTTAGTATGCTTAGCAGTCACTGGATTAAGTTAACAAATCAATTTCAAGCTATAAATGCTCTTGGTAAATAGAACAAACTGCTGCCAGTTGACTGGCTCTATGACACATCACAACATGACAGGCATGGAAATTTCACCATCAGTGAGACAGGACAAAATTATCCCATTGGAACATTGATTATACCTGACCTCAACTGCAGAAAATTTCTCTTCTATGTATTATATTAGCTCTACTGACCATCATGCTTTAGCCCAAAAGGCCAGTAAACAAAAACAAAAAAACCTTCAAGCCTTTCTACAAAACTTCTCAAAGTTTCCACTTTATCGTTCAGAAAAATAATTAAAATGAGTAATAATCTTCTCAAAAAGACAAAAGAAAAAGCTTTGCTCTCCGCTGAATTCCTTATAAGATCATCCTCATCATCCTGGGTACTCAAGTAAGAAATCCAAGCACCTCCCTCAACTTTCTGTCATTCCCCTTATCAAACAGCTCAACATCCATTAAGGACTTCTTATTACAACATTTAAATATCTACAAATTTACCCTCTTTCCCCTATCTCTATTCGCATTCCTCTCCTCATCACTCTTTACTATCACCAGGATTGTTACAATATCATCCTGGCATGCACTCAGCTTTACATCAAGCCATGCACCAGTCTATGCTCTAAAGAGCAGGCATAACTCACTTTCTGTGATACAAATCCGATAATTTCTCTACATGCTCAAGACCCTTCTCAAATGGGAAGCTAGAAAAGTCAAGGTAACTTTTCTCCCTTTACTCAATATATGTATTAGTCTGTTCTCATGCTCCTAATAAAGACATATCCAAGACTGGGTAACTTATAAAGGAAAGAGGTTTAGTTGACTCACAGTTCTATGTGGCTGGGGAGGCCTCACAATCATGGCAGAAGGCAAAGGAGGAGCCAAGTCATGTCTTACACGGCAGAAGGCAAAGAGAGCATGGGCAGGGGAACTCCCATTTATAAAACCGTCAGATCTTGTGAGACTTATTCACTCTCATGAGGACAGCATGGGAAAGACTGGCCCCCATGATTCAATTACCTCCCACTGGGTCCCCACCATGACACATGGGAATTATGGGAGCTATAATTCAAGATGAGATTTGAGTGGGGACACAGCCAAACCATATCAATATATTAATATTCAAGGTACAAATTCAATAAATAGCTGCTAAGTGAAGTCCTTTTGGACCATTCACCATATTATGATTGCATTCCAGAAGAGGGCAGATTCTCACCCAGAAACTTCTCCCAGATGAGCATTGAATGTCTGGGTTTAAATGCTGACTCTGCTTAGTTAGTCCATTATTCAAATAGACATTATTCAAATAAGGCTGAAAGGAAATAATGACAAAGAACATTAGAATTTATACATAGAGATCTTATAGATAACTGAGGCTTTCTTCTCTGTCTTTGAAATTACAAAAAGCATAGATTCAAATAGAGTTGTGTGTCTGTAATTTTGAGTGTATATCCAGTATACTGTAAAGAGCAGAGAACTGGAATCATGAAAACTGGGTTCTGAGCCTGAAAGTCCAGTTCAAATACTTTGTCATCGGCCTTTAGTTTCTTTATAAAATGAGAATGATGACCCCTACTTATGTTACTAAGGGAAAAACCAATATACAAAAAAGCACAACTCAAATACAAAGCATTAAATACAAACATCCACAAATAAATTTTTCACATAATCCTGATTATTTTCAATTTTCTAAAAATCATCCAGGACCCTGACAGCTTTGATAGTAACAATTTATATAACAAAACTATATCAGATTATTTATCTTCTACTTTTTTAAAAAAAGAAAAGATGATTAGAAACAAATCATGTTGAGAATCCATTTTTATTCCCACAAACACTTCTGAAAAATATTAGCATTGGAAAATGGTTTACCTTGAATGGAAATAACAAAAAAAATTGATTTTCCTTTTTTCTACTGACACTATTACCTCAAATTGCCACTACATTTCAGCAAGTCTATGTGGAGATTAGAGGGCTTATTTAAACAGAAAAGAGAAACTACAGTCCAGGATTAAATGCAGGAAGTGCAGCATTTTTTGGAGCTGTGCAAATCACACCAGCACAAAAGTTTCGTTCAGGAGTAGAAAAATCTTTCAGATCTTTCTCTAATATTCAGTGCAGTTTTACACTTTGAACTGGTTGTTCTGACATAAGATTCCCTGTATTCTAGGTAGTAATAAGAGCTATCAGAACAACCATTATATTCCAGCTTTTTCCTGGGTATTTTTGTTACTGTGGTTTTGCATACAGTATGTTTGTATATACTATGTCTGCTCTTTGGGGCTAAGTATTAAAGATTTGAAAGTCAGGTAGCTGAGTTCTGGAATCATTTCTGAATTTAGAAAAGAAAATTGTTTCTTTGATGACTTGTACATTTGCTCTTTTTTCTCCCTTAAATAAAAAATTGGAGTAACATTTACAGACATCCCAAAATTATTTAATGTATCATATAGAAGGACAAAATTTCCAGTGTTACGTAAATTGTAAAATATCATATATAAATCCAAGGTAGTGTTTTTAACATTAAAGAAAGTAGTGCTAAAACAGAATTAAAGAAAGCTCCTAGGATGAGCTGACAGAAGGGTCGAGGATAGTGAATAAGCGATTTGCCTGTGATGAAATAAAAGTACCTCTGTGTGACACAGTCGCTAAAACAAGGGAATTCCAAGGATGTCTTAACCTACACTAAACATGGCTTGATTTAACTGTATCTGTCACTACACATCTACGTATACTGTCTATCCTGACATATCCTCTCATTTTTTGGACATGTAAAACACACAACATGCAATTGTTTGGATCTTGGTGATATGCTGCTGTAGGGGGAGCACAGAAACAATAAATAGAAGGGGAGAGCTGCCCTCCTAAAGCTGTCTTTTCAGAGTGGAAATTTCCTAAGGCCATAGTCAAGAAATATTACAAATGTTATATGAAAGTTACAACTCTTCCATCCTCAGTCCATTTAATGACACTTATATAAGGCCCAACCAAGGACTTTTTTTATCATGATAATCTAGGCAGCCACCACTAAGCAACTGGGAGATGGTATGCAAACAGAAATTCCTTTGTCATTCCAGGTGAAAGCTACAACGTAAGCCTAACATTTCTTCACAGGCACTTGTAACTTTTTGCATTAGAAGAGAAATATCGCCCTGTAATCTCAGCATTTTGAGAGGTGAGGCAGGCCAATCGCCTGAGGTCAGGAGCTCGAGATCAGACTGGCCAACATGGTGAAAGTCGTCTGTACTAAAAACACAAAAATTAGCTGGCATGGTGACGAAGGCTTGTAATCCCAGCTACTCAAGAGGCTGAGGCAGGAGAATCACTTGAACCCAGGAGGCAGAAGTTGCAGTGAGCTGAGATCGCACCACTGCACTCCAGCCTGGGTGACAAAAGCAAAACTCCGTCTCAAAAAATAAATAAATTAATTAATTAAAAAAGAAAAAAAAAAGAAGAGAAATATCATTATCATTTTATCTCTTGAATTATATATACTACAAAATATTTAAGATTGACCACTGATTGCTAACTTTCAGATGTAGACTTTTAATGACCATTTACTACATACCACTGATGTGAGAATCCAAATGTAATAGATTGCTACTGTCATTCTTTTATATTAATATTTGGGATAATCTTTGTTTTAGTTGTGGCTCTTTATATATATCAATACAAATAACATCTCTTGTCCTATGTGGAACTCATCTTGCATTTTCTTTTTATTTTTTATTTTTATAACACAAAATTCTCATGGTGATAAATTATGTTCCTCTTCAAAATGGGCCAACCAATATCATTGGAATATGAGCAAGAAAACTAGAGACACTTCTATCATAGAAACATAGTCACATATAATTGAGTAGTTGAATAAATCCAACATGTGATCTGTGGCAACCAGAGTCATAAAAAATAGGTAATGTGCAAGTCATATTAGCAGAGCTTTCAAGTCAGAAGCTGCTATGAACTGAATATGTCCTTTCAAAATGCGTATGTTAAAGCCTAAGTTCCCAATATGTTGACATTTGGAGGTGACAACTGTGGGAGAATGGATTCATGAGGGTGGGGATTTCATGAATAGGATTAGTGCCCTCACAATAAGAGACATGAAAAAGTTAATTTCTCTCTCCCCACATTGAGAAGATACCAGGATAAAACAGTTGTCTGCAAACCTGGAGTAGTACCCTCACCAGATTTACCAGATCTGCCAGTGCCTTGATCTTGGACTTCCCAGTTTCCATCAAATTGTAATAGAAAGCACAACAGATATGCATTTACCTTTAGTAGAAATTGCCACAATTCACCAAAGTAGTTACACAGTTTTGTATTCACATCAACACCATGTGGCAGGTTCACTTGTTGACATTATTGCTATTCTTTTACATTGTCACTTTTTTTTATTTTATAGCTTCTAATTTGTTGAAATGACCTTACATGGTGGGTTTTCATTTGCATTACCCTGATGGCCAATAATGCTGATCACCTTGTCATGAGATTATTGACCATCCATGTATCTTCTTTGGTGAACTGTCTGTTCAAGTCTTCTGCCAATTGTTAAATCACATTGTCTATCTTTATTGTTCATTGGAAAGAGTTTATTGTATACTCAAGACATAAGTCTTTTTCTAAGGATATATGGATTGCAATTTTATCCCAGTTCATGGTTTTCCTTGTAATTTTCTTAATGGTATCTTTTGATGAACAGGAAATTTAACTTTTTCATGGGTTCAGTTTGTCAATTTTTTTTTTAAGTTTTATTTTGTTTTTGATTGGCACATGATATTGGTATATATTTATGGATACAGTGTGATGTTTCAATACATGTGTGCATTGTGTAATAATCAAATCAAGGTAATTAGCATATACATAACCTCAAATACTTATCACTTCTCTGTGGTGAGAACATTCAAAATCCTCCCTTCTAGCCATTTTGAAATTACAAGACATTATTGTTAAAAATTAGTTCTTGAGAATCAATGTCAGCAGGTCTAGCAAACTACTGCCTTTGACCACTGTGATTCTCTTATTAGTTTCATTATTATTTATGGAGTTTTTTGTAGTTGTTGTTATTTGTTTGTTCATTATATTCAACATAATGATCACATTATCTGTAAATAATAACATATTTACTTTTTCCTCTTTAAATTTGATGTCTTTTATTTCTTCTTCTCGGTTAGGATTTGTAACAAAAATATTTAATAGAAGTGGTGGTAGCAAGCACATTTTTCTTCTCTCTCACCTTTAAGACTGCACAGATCTTTTATCTTCTACAGCCTTGTTAGTAGCTTTCTGATAATTAGATCTACCTCTGTTTCATAGTCTGGCATCCAGTTGCACCGTCAGTTTTCTGAACTTTGAAAGGTCCCTCTCTATCCCAGGTAAAGTTTTTATACACAGTCTTATCATTTCAGAGTGGAGCAAATACCATCCCACAAAGAAGTCAGCCGTAAAGCAGTAAAGGTCTCTTCATGTAAAAATTGTTATATATTTAGAAAGACATAGCGCTTGTTTCTAATTCTGGCTCAGGTCCTTAATAGCTGAGTGATTTTTTTTCAATTCAGTTAACCTTTCTGGTCTTTAATAAAACAAACTGCAGATGGTCATAGTGAAAATTAAAAGGAAATAAGGTATGGAAATGTACATGGCAGGCAACCTTTTTTTTTTCTTTTCATTTAAATAGCCAATAAATCTGAGTAGGATATAACGATGGAATAAAAATACAGTTTTCATCCAGGCGTGGTAGCTCACACCTGTAATCCCAGCACTTTGGGAGGCTAAGGAGGGTGGATTGCCTGAGGTCAGGAGTTCAAGACCAGCCTGGCGAACATGATGAAACCCCAACTCTACTAAAAACACAAAAAATTAGCTGGGTGTGATGGTGGCCACCTGTAATCCCATCTACTCAGGAGGCTGACGCAGGAGAATCACTTGAACCTGGGATGCGGAGGTTATGGCAAGCATAGTTTGCACCATTGCATTCCAGCCTGGGTGACAAGAACGAAACTCCGTCTCAAAAACAAAACAAAACAAAACAAAACAAACAGTTTTCAACTCCTAGTTGTGTCATTAATTTATTTAAAAATATTCTAAGTATTTGTTAAATATGCTTTGCACATCTCCAATGTAAGTTCTGACGTAATAATTGTACAAAGACAGATCACCATGGAAATTTGAAATCTATTTATTGGCTTAGATTTAATAAATCTACTTTCATTTCACACATAATCTCTTTTCTGTGAAAACTATTTTTTTTTTTTGCTTTAAAATGAAGTATTCTGAAAATCACTAAAATTATTACAAGCCTTATTTGCTTGTACAACACATTATTACATAGACTATGTGGTAACATATTTCTCATCCACACATTTTGGGTACAATGTAACTGATCCAAGAAATGGAAATACTTACTTACATTTTCCTTCCAGGATAGTCATAGGTGGTAACTCTCACAGTGAATGTAAAACGCTGCATATAGTAAAGAATTAGCACAAGTCCCTGGAAACTTTATTTTAAGTCCAACTTCTTGGGAAGTTTCTGTTTCAGATCTCCAGTCTTCCCAAAATATTGAACAGAATAAGATCCCCTATTTCTAATAATGACATTGCTTTCTACAGCTGAGCAGTGCGCTGCTAAATTTCTAAAGCAATCATAACTTAAATTCCCCCAGCTTTGTCATTCTTCTAGTCAAGCTAAATTACAAGGTGATAACAGTACCTATAAAAATGATATTTCCAAAAGCTCTTTATAAACTAGGCAAGATGCTATGGAAAGAATCAAAGTACCTGAAAGGAGAGAAAGAAAACAAAAATTATTTTAAATTTTAAGAGAAGGAAAAAGCTGGTGATCTGTCTCTAACTTCGCCGTAGGGCTTCTCCCATCTTTTTAGTTTTAACTGTTTTTCTTTTCTCTCCTTCAGAGCCTCCTTACTTGGTGGTTTTTAATGACACCACCACTTATCTAATGGAACCCGGGGTGTAAAAGAAGCAGCACAATTAATAATAGTTGCCTCCAAATACCTCAGATGAAGGTTGAAAGATGTTTACTATCCTTGGGTAAAAAAACAGTTTTTTCCTCAAAAATTCTAGACCTGAACTCTTTCTGATAATATAAATATGAAAACCTTTTAATTAAACTCTTCTTTTCCAGTGTTTAGAAGATCAAAAAGTCATATCGATTTTAAAATATATTGAGGTGATTATAATGACAATGTACACACGCTCTTCTCTTCCCAGCTTGCGATCACATAACACCTTCCCCAGACTGTTCTCAAGAGACAGAGGTACAGAAATTCCTCTCTTAACTCCTCTCCTCCTGTAGGAGTCCAAACGTGCTTTGAAGTTGGAGATGGGAGATTCAGTGAGGCATTCTTACTGGGTGGTTCAATAATGTAATACCCAAAGGGTGACAAAGTGGTAGTTTTTTTTTTTTCTTTTCCCCACTTGCATGAATGTGCAAGTCACAGATCAAGTTTCTCATTTCAGCCAATGTGTTCTCAATTATGATTAAATAATGGAAGAAAAGATCAATTCTCCCACTGCCCTAAGGAGTTTTGTCAGGCAGGAAGGGCTAAGGTTGCCTCTCTGATCTAACACTATTCCTTGGAAGCTTCCAGGTATCTGAGAGTTTTTCTCTACACCCATTCACCCACTGTCTGGGTAGCATACCCTCTAGAGAACCTTTCTTAAAATGTGGCTCTGGGATCCAAACCCCTGTACAAGGGCCTCACCACTTTCTCCTTGCTTCCAGTGTCTTCTGGGTGTTCAAACCCTTAACGCTCATAACAACAACAACAACAACAACAACAAAAATCCATCCATTCCTTTCTCCCTTTAGACAATTTAGCTTCAATGACTTCATGAGCATTGAAACAAAAGTTTAAGGAAAGACTTCAGGTCAATACCAATGCTGACTGTCAATGGCTCCTTTCCAACCCAGAAACATAAAAATGATAATCAATTCTCTTGAGGAAAGATAAGTTCACTTCTTAAGAACATGAACTACTTACCCTTCTGGGGGTGGGATTAAGAGTGGCTACCATCTTGGAGGCCTCTATGGTGGTGAAAACAAGATGTGGTTTAGCTTATCAATAGATTATCTAGCTACTCCAGTTAATACATTACTCCAATCACTAACCAGATCTAAAATTTACTGAACAGTAGTGGCTTTATTGACATTAATAAATTCAGCTTCAAACACAATAATGGGTTTTCTACTTTGTCATAACTGAGAAATTGAAGTTCAGTGAGGTTACATGCACAAGGTCACACAACTAATAAACAACATAACCAAAATTCAAACTAGTTTCTCCAATTTCAGGCCTTTTATGCAACTACTACACTCTAACACTTCTGAATTTACCCAGATTCCTGAAGGATGGCTGCTTCATGACTCACCAGTCACATGCAACACAGCATTACCATTGCCTCAACTGATAAGCATAAACCTATGGACAAATATAATATGTCAGATATGCCTAAACTTATCTTTAAGAAAAAAAGAATTCTCCACCTGTGAGGCAGACCAATAGTTGTTAAAAACTAACAGAAATGATATTGCATGGTTATGATTTTTAATACAATGTATTAGTTTTCTTATAATGTGTGTGTTTTTGAACTGGATAGGTACCATGATATATTATCTCAGCGTTGCTTGGCAAGCCTGTACCCTGGATCATCAGTCCCCATTTAACTTTAAAGCTATTGTTAGGACAGGTCTGGAGTACTCAATTTCTGATTCAACTCAGAACACCTGGATTCAACAACTTGAGGTCGTTTTTTTTTGCTTCTTCTTCCAGAATTACTTCTGTAATTATTGCTCTTTACTGTGGGACATAGAATAGATAGCTTTTTACTCAGAATTACAGGAGAATTTCCACAAGGTCACCAGGAACGTGATTTAAGAAGTAAGTACTAACTTCATTTTCTTCTTTTGTCCATACTCCTTAAGAAAATGTGTTCAGATGAAGTAATGTGATTGGTTTTACCAGAATCAGTCCTGTTTCTCAACCATATTTTATGCTCAGATTTTATACACAGTGAATTATTTTAAATTTCACACTCAGGCAAAAGGTAGAAGAAAAAAATCTGGAATATTTAATTGATGAGACCTAGTTTTCCATCCTAGCGCTCTGTTAATAACTCAAAAACAATTAAAATACTTGAACTATAACAGAATTATTTCTATAGTAAGGCTATGGCTTTAAATTTGAAAATAACTGACTGACATGAAAACCATTTGGCTATCGTGTTGCCACTGTAAATCTTTCACTGAGCAGAGCTAAACATTATTAAATTGTGCCACTCAAATTTAATATTACACTTTGGTGTATGAAAAACCCTCCCAAGCCTCAATGCTTCTCTTCCATTTAATGAAAGCATGCACAGCTCAGAAAAACAAAAAAGGCATTTCTGTTTCAATGCTATATATACGCACTTCTGAAAAATCTCAGCTCAGCAAAATCACAGTTTACAGGGAAAAATAAGATTGTAGAAGACCACTTAAAATTTATGGAATTTTGCAACTGGAACATTGACAAAAACTGTAATAATCTTGAGAAAAATTTTAGTAAGGGAGGAGACCACCCCTCATATTGTCTTATGACCAATTTCTGCCTCAAAGGAAAAGTAGGAGTTAAAGAAAAGACACAAGTGAAATCAGTAGTCAGACAGCCCGGCGCTGCATTCCAGGCCTGGTAGTTGAAGACTGACCCCTGACCTAACTGGTTATGTTACCTATAGATTCCAGACATTGTATAGAAAAGCGCTGTGAAAATTCCTGTCCTGTTCTGTTCCGTTCTAATTACCGGTGCATGCAGCTCCCAGTCACGTACCCACTGCTTGCTCAATCGATCACGACTCTCTCACGCAGACCCCCTTAGAGTTGTAAGCCCTTAAAAGGGACAGGAATTGCTCACTTGAGGAGCTCGGTTTTTGGAGACAAGAGTCCGCCGATGCTCCCAGCTGAATAAAGCCCTTCCTTCTTTAACTTGGTGTCTGAGGGGTTTTGTCTGCGGCTCATCCTGCTACACTAGCATAGTGAAATGCTAATTTTTTTTATTTTGTAATTTACGATTTCTTTAAGAGAGGACAAAATTTTAAAGCTGACTATAGTCCCTTTGGGAAACAGGTAAAACATATTTTTTCCCTTATTTTTGCCACGTCAGGCCTAAGTGGCAGAGATAATTTATATCCTAGGAATATTTTTATCAGGACTTTGTTTTTGAATAACATTTCAGAAAGAACAGAGCTGTTTGGAAGGCAATGGCTTCCAGACATACTAAATGTATGCTGTCTGGGGAAACTTGGGGAAATTTGAGTTTTCTGGGTTTTTTTTCTTGCTTGTTTTTTTTTTTTTTTTTTTGTTTGAGTCAAGGAGTCAAGGTACATAATTCACAGAAAAACAGTAACAGTGAATTATTTTTTAGGAAAAGGATACAAATAGCCATTAAATGGGTCTTGAAACAACCACTTATAAATAAGGGCATCCTCTCTCCATCCAAACATTTTAGTGGTAAAAACAACTTTTCAGGAATTTGCTTCATCTCTTTTGGGGGATTTACATATACCGTATAGAGCAAGATATGGGGGTGGTGATTAAAAACTTTTGAGGGATTTGTGTTCATTTGTTTGTTTGTTTAAGATGGAGTCTTGCTTTGTCACTCAGTCTGGAGTGCATTGGCACTATCACAGCTCTCTGTAGCCTCGAACTCCTGGACTCAGGCCATCCTCTCTCCTCAGCCTCCTGAGTAGCCATGACCACAGGTATGCACCACCACGCCCAGTTAATTTTTTAATTTTTTGTAGAGATGGGGTCTCACAATTTCGAGGTTTTGATTGAGGTTTACTATTCTCATAAATCTATTTACTTTCTGAATCATACAGAATGCTCACTTTTTAAATCTTAAATTATTGCTAACTAAAATAATCAGGGTGTTTTCTTTTTCTCACTCAGCTTGTTTAATGTGTAAGAAAGGAAAATGAGGTTGACGTTTTAATTTATGCCACCTCTCATCATACTCTCTAAAGCTACATAAAATGAGAAACATCCTGGCCTATAAAGCAAATGTCTGCCCTGTGGAGCAATCTCTCTTGTTAATCAGCGGGGGGTTAACTGAAGACATCTGGTGGATCCCGACAGAACAGGAAGAGAGCCATCCTGAAGGACACATGAAGCAGGAGAGGGCAGAGCCCACTCCACAAAAGACAAGAGAGATGAGTGTGCATGCATGGCTTTTGAAGGAAGTGTGAGGAGGGTACTGGGCAGGTGAATGCAGCCATGAGGTCTCCATCTGCTCTGAAAAGAGGAATACATGACGATACCAACAGTAGGAGAGAATCAGTTATATGGTGTCTGTGAACAAGTAGGGCCCATTGAGTATATACTGCAATTCAAGGTCCAACAAATACCAAACACAAGAAATGCTGGGTATAGTAAAGAAAATTAATTGAAAGATCTTAACCTTCCACTCATTTGCAAAAAACCTATCACCTTAATCCATATTTGAGTCAGCGGCTTGTCCTAGTTGGGCTTTCAAAACAAACCACTCCTTAGCCCCGTGACAATTTAGAGCCTGAATCATATAAAGAGCCTCTACCTTGGATGTACTTCACATCAAAGTCAAGTGTGTTTGCTGCCATTCACTTACAGACCTTCAGTAGTCACTGGTATGGGGCAGAGATTATCTCTTCTCTCTTGGCAGAGAGCAGATACCTCTTGGCTGAGATTCTACCTCTATTCCTAGTTCCTGAAGACCTGGGTTGCCACATGGCTCAGATTTCCCATTGTGTATATGAAAGCCCATCTTTCTCAACTGAATCCTTGAAATCTGTCACTCCCAGATGCTGAATTCTGCATGCACACTCATGAGCACAATGTTTCTAAAGCCAGTACCATTCTCCCCATCTTTCTCCAAAAGCAGTATCAATTCATCTTCTAGCATCAGGATAGTTGCCATCCTTCTGGCCAACCATCAAACTGCTAAGCCCTCCCTCTCTGTCAACCAGGGCCACTCTGTTTCACACTAATGCTCCTGTCTTTTACAGTTATTTGAAGATAAACTCTCTTTAGACTCTTGGAGTCAAGACATCAGGACTTACACGTTAGAATTTGTCTTTGTTACCTCTGAAATCATTAGCTTCTTGAAATAATGCTCCTGGGAAATTGAACAGATGGAAAGCTTCCCAATAGATCATCCACATATACATTTATTTTTGCCTATGGTAAAAATAATAGGGATAATAATAGTAATAAGAGTGATTACTTGGTGCTAGGTGCTCTTTGACTCACTACATGTATTGAGCAATTTAATCTGTAGAAGAATGCTATGAGAAAGCTGAATCATAGAGTGGTTAAATATGTTGTCTAAAGTTACATAATTAGTAATTGTCAGAGTAGAAATTTAAACCCAAGCTTTCTAGCTAAGAGCTCATGCTCTCAATCACCACATTTAATACAGGCATCTGATGAGAAAGCCATCCATTGGTTAAAAGAAAAAGAAAGAGGAGGAACACACAGATATAGGTACAAACGTGACTTACATATCATTTTTAGAAAGATAATATGAACATTTGAAGGAAAAGATAAATGTAAACCAAGATCATTGATATGGAATAGCAAATGAAGTAAAAACTTCCAATGAGACTGTTTTGATCTTGGTTTCTGATTCTACTAAAAATCAAACTGATAGTTGTAAGTATGCAGTCTAATTTCTGGGCTCTTCATTCTGTTCCATCGGTCTGTATGTCTTTTTATGTACTAGTACCATGCTATTATGGTTACTGTAGCCCTGTAGTATAGTTTGAAGTTACGTACCTGATGCCTCTAGCTTTGTTGTTTTGCTTAGGATTGCACTGGCTATTCGGACTCCTTTTTGGTTCCATATGAATTTTAAAATATCTTTTCCTAGTTCTGTGAAGAATGTCATTGGCAGTTTAATAGAAATATCATTGAATCTATAAATTACTTTGGGCAGTCTGGTCATTTTAACGATATTCATTCTCCCTATCCATGAATATGAAAAGTTTTTTTCCAGTTGCTTGTGTCATCTCTGATTTCTTTGAGCAGTGTTTTGTAGTTATCCTTGTAGAGCTCTTTCACCTCCCTGGTTAGCTGTATTCCTAGGTGTTTTATTCTGGTTGTGGCAATTGTGAGTAGGATTGCCTTCCTAATTTGACTCTCAGCTTGACCATTGTTGGTATATAGGAATGCTGATAATTTTTGTACATGGATTTTGTATCCTGAAACAATGCTGAAGTTGTTTATCAGCTAAGGAGTTTTTGGGCTGAGGCCATGGGGTTTTCTAGATATGGGATCATGCCATCTGCAAACAGGAATAGTTTGGCTTCCTCTCTTTCTATTTGGATGCCCTTTATTTCTTTCTCTTGCCTGATTGCTTTGGGGATAGGAATTCCTATTCAATAAATGGGCTGGGATAACTGGATAGCCATATGCAGAAGATTGAAACTGGACCTCTTCTTTACACCATATACAATAATTAACTCAAAGATTAATTGAAGATTTAGATGCAAAACCCAAAACTATGAAAACCTTGGAAGACAACCTAAGCAATACCATGTTGGTCACAGGAATAAGCAAAGATTCAATGACAAGGATGCCAACAACAATTGCAACAAAAGCAAAAATTGACAAATGGGATCTAATTAAACTAAATATCTTTACAGCAAAATAATCTATGCATCTGGCAAAGATCGAATATCCAACATCTATAAGAAACTTAAACAAATTCATAAGAAAAAACAAAGAGCCCCATTAAAAAGGGAGCCACAGATATAAACAGACACTTTTCAAAAGAAGACATACAGGCAGCCGACAAGCATATGGAAAAAAGGCCAACACCACGGATCGTTAGAGAAATGCTAATCAAAACCACAATGAGGTACCATCTCACACAAGTAAGAATGGCTATTATTAAAGAGTCAAAAATTAACAGATGCTGTGGAGGTTGTAGAGAAGAAGGAATGCTTATACACTGCTGGTGGAAGTGTAAATTTGTTCATCCATTGTGTAAAACAGTGTGGCAATTCCTCAAAAACCTAAAAATAGAACTACCATTCGACTCGGAAATTCCATTACTGGGTGCCCAAAAGAATATAAGTTGCTCTATCATAAAGACACATGCATGAATATGTTCACTGCTGCACAAAACATAATAGCAAAGACATGGAATCAACCTAAATGCCCAGCAATGGTAGAATAAATAAAGAAAATGTGGTACATATACACCGTGGAATACTAAGCAGCCATAAAAAAGAACAAGATGATGTTCTTTGCAGGAACATTCATTGAGCTGGAGGCCATTATCCTTAGCAAACTAACGCAGGAGGAGAAATCACCACATGTTATCACTAATAAGTGGGAGCTAAATGATGAAAACACATGGACACACAGAAGGCAACAAAACACACTGAGGCCTATTGGAGGGTGGAGGGTGAATAGAGGGAGAGAATTGGGAGAAGTAACGAATGGGTTACACCAGGCTTAATATCTGAGTGATGAAATAATCTGTACAACAAACCCCCATGATACAAGTTTACCTTTGTAACAAACCAGCACATGTACCCCTAAACTTAAAATAAAAAATAAAGGAAAAAAGAAACTGAAAGTTTATTATATGACTGTAAAAAACTGTTCTGTCATTCAGGAAAATAAGAACAATGTGAGGATATAGACCTAGCTCTAATTCTTTTGTACAAATTTTGGGGAAGACTATCTTAAACATACATCAATTTCCCCCCAACCCAATCGAAAGATATGTGTATATAATGTTAGTGTCATTTTAGAAAACTCCTAGTCCCTAAAATCCTACAGCTTAATTTTCTAAAATCACAATTTTTTTTTTTTTTTTGAGACAGAGTCTCGCTCAGTCGGCCAAGCTAGAGTGCAGTGGTTTGATCTCCACTCACTGCAAGCTCCGCCTCCTGGGTTCACGCCATTCTCCTGCCTCAGCCTCCGGAGTAGCTGCGACTGCAGGCGCCCGCCACCACGCCCAGCTAATTTTTTTGTATTTTTTTAGTAGAGACGGGGTTTCACCATGTTAGCCAGGATGGTCTCCATCTCCTGACCTCGTGATCCGCCCGCCTCGGCCTCCCAAAGTGCTGGGATTACAGGCGTGAGCCACCGTGCCCGGCCTAAAATCACAATTCTTTTTGGACTATCGGCTTAACAAAAGTTTTAGAGTTACATATAAGATTAAAATGATCACATGAGTAGATTTTTAAGATAACTGACTGGGTGCAGCGACTCATGCCTGTAATCCCAGCATTTTGGGAGGCTGAGGCAGGCAGATCAGTTGAGGTCAGGAATTAGAGACCAACCTGGCCAACGTGGTGAAACCCGGTCTCTACTAAAAATACAACAAATTAGCTGGGTGTGGTGGCAGGTGCCTGTAATCCCAGCTACTCGGGAGGCTGAGGCAGGAGAATCGCTTGAACCTGGGAGGCGGAGGTTGCAGTGAACCAAGATCGCGCCATTGCGCTCCAGCCTTGGCAAGAAGATCGAAACTCCATCTCAAAAAAAAAAAAAAAAAACATCAGACAGGCATGGTGGCACTCGCCTATAATCCCAGCTACACCAGAGGCTAAGGCAGTAGAATCGCTTGAACATGGGAGGTGGAGACTGCAGTGAGATGAGATCATGCTACTGCACTCCAGCCTGGGAGACAGAGCGAGACTCTGTCTCGAATGAATGAATGAATGAATGAATGAATGAATAAATAAATAAATAAATGGTAATTGATGTTCATCTTTCTGCTGCTTAGGAGAACCAAAGAGAGCTTTCTCTTGAATTGTGGGAAACCACATATAAATCCTAGTGTTTATTCCTGTGCTCTATGGCCTGCTGATACTTACTAATGCTTGATCTATAACTGAATTTAATGACTTGTAAAAAGCTACTAATTCATGGTCTTTAATAGCATTTCTGCTTGGTCAGCTAGGTGAGTTGTATAAATTTATAAACCTAAAATCATTAATTGGATAGAAAGTTATAAAGAACACTGCAGAACTATAGCATTAAAACAGCCTGAAATTTCAGCTTTTTAATTTATATACAAATTCTTATTTCATTTTGCTTGAAGTTTTTGTGTGAGGTTATGAGATAATAAATTCCCATTTTTCTCTAGCCTGTTAGTTCCCCCTAGTTTTAATTATTGATGAGAGACTGGCTCAATAACCTTATTTTTCTTTCCACGGAACATGTTTAGGTAATCACAGACAGTGGTGGCTGAAGAGACAAGCTCCATCACTTGACCAAAGAAACTAGAAGAGATTCGCAGTTTATATCTCAGTCAATTTATTTATTACCTATAATAGATGATTTTTTAAGGTAGTTGTTCTATTGACAGTTGTCATTTAAATCCATGCCTCATAAATCAGAGGCATTTCTAATAATATGGTGTTAGAAGCTATAAGTCCTACACCACTTACAAATACCAAGTTTGAAACATGTTAAACTGGCTATTTTCCTAGAACTAATCACAGAATTATGTAGAACATATAAAGTCTGGTTATGAATGCAACTAGAACGTTCTAGGTATATCTCCAATATAGAAGTAAGTGCTTTCACTACCATTGCAGCCAATTGTTTTACTATAGCACACTCTGTGCAAAGAATTGGTTATTTTAACAAATAAAATTTTCCCAAGCTACCCACATTAAAAACATTTTAGTTCCAAAATGGGATTAAATGAGGAAAGCATACTTACATCACAGTATTAATAAAGAACTGAGTAACAATACAGACACCCAAATAATGTAGAACTTCGGCAAATGCTGAAAAGTAGACAGCATTGATTTTACTTTCAGATCATCTTGAATTGGAGTCTTCAAATGCAATTTTGAAATTACAGAATTGTTCTCTAACAAACAACTTTTTAATTAAAGTCTACAGAAACGTAGTTTATTTAGTTTATTTCTTAGAGAGTAAAAGATTCATTCTACTTAGATTTGTACATTTTCTGATGCTATAGGTAATGTGTATTTATTTATTCCTTTCAAAAAATTTCCCAATAGTTTTACATGCCTTTTCTTATAAAGCTTTGCAGAATGTTGTGAACAAAAGAGCTAATACAGCCACAAGGAATACAACTGCATTTAAAATAGAAAACTCAAAAACAAAATTCAGAATTAAAAAATTTTTATTAATATCATTATTCCCAAATCATTATTCAGCTTGCCTTTTCTGAGCATCCTGTTCCCCTTAATTGGTAATGTAATTAAGAACACTATATTTGTAGCAGAAGCAATGACATAATTGAGGAACCAAGAGAGGTTAAGCAAGGTCTATATCTTTGAATGTCAAGACAGCTCTGTATGGGTTTCTCACTCTTAAAATAACATTGCTTATTATTTGGGTCAATATTTTAACAATATTTGCAGAGCAGTTTAAACACTCAGAGTACATTTGCAAATCTGTGAAGTAAGCATGAAATTCATGTTGTCTTCATTTAATTGAATGTGAAAAATTAGAATGAAATTTAATAATTCTTCTCAACTTCTTCTGCAAATTACAAGGTCTGTTAAAATTATTGATACATAATAGTTGTACATATTTATTGGGTACATGTGCTATTTTGATACAAGCATACAATGTGTAATGATCAAATTGATTATTTGGAATTCAAGATTTCATGTCCTCTTCATAATACTTATCTTTTTCCTTGTGCTTATTGTAATCAAGACCATTTTTGACATATTTCAGCCCCAAATACCACT
This sequence comes from Homo sapiens, assembly GCF_000001405.40. NCBI lineage: Eukaryota > Metazoa > Chordata > Mammalia > Primates > Hominidae > Homo > Homo sapiens. The sequence continues at coordinate 41,047,945 of NC_000002.12, forward strand.
ATTTTTACAAAAGGTTCTGGTAAATAATTAGTTCAAGAGCCAATGAAACTTCCTTGTGAGATTTTCCACTCAGAAAAAATGAATTATAGAGTGCTTTCTGGGGCTGTGAACGATCAAAAGATAATGGTCATTTTTAAGACAACAGTGCAGTCTTTATTAATGAGGAAATCTAGCCTAAGGGATCCCAGTTAAAAGATGGGTTCATTATTCACAGACCAGTTTGTTTCCCAAATTTTAATTGACAGGCCTTAAAAGGTCCTTTTGGCAATGTAAACTGTCCACATTGCTGATACATTATGCCAATACGGAAAAATTTACATTTGTCTAAATAGTTAAATAAAGATGGATAGATGAGGAGGTAGCCTATGGATTTTAATCATAATATTCTGATAGGAAGGACAGACAGTGTTCAAATAAATGGCTGAAAACTACTCTTCCAATGTGAACCATCGCAAGTTCTTTAAGGTTTCTTACTATTTTGCACAACATATCTAAAGGAATGTCGCTAAGTACTACCTGGTCGAGTAACTCTTTTCTTCTTAAAGAGTCAATGGAACAGAAACAGCATAACAAAGGGAAAGAACGTGGGTTTATGTTTAAGGCTAACAATAAAAAACTGGCAATTTATTTGCTAACTAAACTTATGAAAATTATTTAATTGATTTTCTTTGCCTAACCTGACATTTCCTGATTATGTCTTATCTTCAACTATCTCAAGCTTTTGCTGGTGCATTCCTTTTTCTGAAATGTCTACTCCTTTATTTCTACATACCCAAAGCCACTTACTCTCCAAGACTCAACTCAGTTATCTCCTTCTCTGGATCAAGCTAGATGAAAAATATTTCTTCCTATTCTGATCTTCAATATCTCTAAATTTGTACCTGTCATGTAATCTTGACCATATAAAACACATTATTCAACATATTCATACCTCTTTAGCCAAATTACAGTTTTCTTGAGGGCAGGAATCAAGTTTCTACTATCTTTCTAAAACCATCATAATACAGACATTCTTGTAGTAAAATATTATAAATACAGCATGAAGTCAATGATGGAAATCTAAGAACACCTTCCTGGTGAATATTTTTCATTATTGCCTTGAACAACTACAGTAATGAAGTGTTCTTTAACTCTACCAATAGCATCAAATAGAAATAACATATAATACATTAGAAGACAAAATCAGCACCCTATTCTATGCCAAGACTTTTATACTCACATGCAAATAAAATTGGATTCATTTTATTAAGAATGTTCCTCACACAATCACTCAACTATTTAACATAGATTGCATGTATTCTATTGCATCTACAATAAATTCTCAGAATAATGACAGATTCTTAAAAAAATAAAAGCTATTGAAGAAAGAAGCCAAAGAAGTTTATTTTTACAACCTTTTTTTCCTTCGGTATTCAGACTAACTCCTTCTCTTTCTTTTACCCTTAAATTAATTGTATGATTCTTAATCATTTCCACTAAGTCCAAGGTTGCAAGACTGTCTCTTCTCTTCCCCTACTGCCTTCTTTCCCCCCTCCCCTTTCCTTTCCTCTTTTCAGCCCTCCCCTCTCTTCCCTTCCATTTTTTTTCTCTTCCCTTCCTTTCATATGTCTTCTTCTCTTAACACACACACACGCACACACACACACAGAGAGATATGGTTTCCTGTGTCCCCACCCAAATCTCATCTTGAATTGTAACTCCCACAATTCCCATGTGTCATGGGAGGAACCCGGTGGTAGGTGATTGAATTATGAGGGCAGGTCTTTCCTATGCTGTTCTCATGATAGTGAATGAGACTTATGAGATCTGAAGGTTTTAAAAATGGGAGTTTCCCTGCACAAGCTCTCGCTTGTCTGCTGCCATGTGAGACATGCCTTTTACCTTCTGCCATGATTGTGAGGCCTCCCCAGCCACGTGGAATGGTAAGTTCAATAAACCTCTTCCTTTTGTAAATTGCCCAGTCTCAGGTATGTCTTTATTAGCAGCGTGAAAACAAACAAATACAGTAAATTGGTACCAGGAGAGTGGGGTACTGCTGAAAAGATGCCCAAAAATGTGGAAACAACTTTGGAACTGGGGAACAGGCAACGGTTGGAACAGTTTGGAGAGCTCAAAAGAAGACAGGAAAATGTAGGAAGGTATGGAACTTCCTAGAGACTTGTTGAATGGCTTCACCCAAAATGCTGATAGTAGTAAGGACAATAAAGTCCAGGCTGAGGTGGTCTCAGACGGGAATAAGGAACTTGTTGGGAACTGGAGCAAAAGTGACTCTTGTTATGTTTTAGCAAAGAGACTGGTGGCATTTTACCCCTGCCCTAGAGATTTGTGGAACTTTGAACTTGAGAGAGATGATTTAGGGTAGCTGGCAGAAGAACTTTCTAGGCAGCAAAGCTTTCAAGAGGTGACTCAGGTGCCGTTAAAGGCATTCAGTTTCAAAAGGGAAACAGAGCATAAAAGTTCAGAAAATTTGCAGCCTACAATGCAAAAGAAAATAAAATCTCACTTTCTGAGGGTAAATTCAAGATGGCTGCAGAAATTTGCGTAAGTAACAAGGAGCCAAATGTTAATCCTCAAGATGATGGGGAAAATATTTCCAGTGCATATCAGACGCCTTCATGGCAGCCCCTCCCATCACAGGCCTGGAGGCCTAAGAGGAAGATGTGGTCTCATGGGCTGGCCCCAGGACCTCCATGCTGTGTGGGGCCTAGGGACTTGGGGCCCTGCATCCCAGCTGCTCCAGCCGTGGAAGGGAAAATATAGTGTGTGAAAGGGGCCAATATAGAGCCAGGCCGCAACTTCATGGGGTGCAAGTGTCAAGCCTTGGCAGCTTCCATGTGGTGTTAAGCCTGTGACTCCACAGAAGTCAAGAATGTGGCCTGGGAACCTCTGCCTAGATTTCAGAAGATGTATGGAAATGCCTGAATGCCCAAGCAGAAGTTTGCTGCAGGGGCAGGGTCCTCATAGAGAACCTCTGCTAGGGCAATGTGTAAGGGAAATGTGGGGTGGGAGTCCCACACAGAGTCCCTACTGGAGCACTGCCTAGTGGAGCTGTGAGCTCCAGACCCCAGAATGATAGATCCACTGACAGCTTGCACGGTATGCCTGTAAAAGCCACAGGTACTCAATGCCAGCCTGGAAAATCAGCTGGGAGGGAGGCTGTACCCTGCAAAACCACAGGGGCAGAGCTGCCCAAGACCATGGGAACCCACCCCTTGCATCAGTGTGACCTGGATATTAGACATGGAGTCAAAGGAGATCATTTTGGAGCTTTCAGATTTGACTGCCCTCCCTGGATTTTGGACTTTCATAGGGCCTGTAGCCCCTTTGTTTTGACCAATTTCTCCCATTTAGAATGGTTGTATTTACCCAATGCCTGTACCCGCATTGTATCTAGGAAGTAACTAACTTGCTTTTGATTTTACAGGCTTATAGGCAGAAGGCACTTGCTGTATCTCCGATGAGACTTGGGACTATTGACTTTTGAGTTAATGCTGAAATGACATGAGATTTGGGAGGGACCAGGGGCAGAATCTTATGGTTTGGCTATGTCCCCACCCAAATGTCATCTTGAATTGTAACTCCCACAATTCCCCCATGTTGTGGGAGGAACCCAGTGGGAGGTGATTGAATTATGGGAGTGGGTCTTTCCTGTGCTGTTCTCATAATTGTGAATGAGTCTCAGGAGATCTGATGACTGCAAAAATGGGAGTTTCCCTGCACAAGTTCTCTCTTGTCTGCCTCCATGTGAAACATGCCTTTCACCTGCCATGATTGTGAGGCCTACCCAGGCACATGGAACTGTAAATAAACGTCTTCCTTTTGTAAATTGCCCAGTCTCAGGTATGTCTTTATTAGCAGCATGAAAACAAACTAATACACACACACACACACACGTACATACAAGTCTTAGTTGGTAGAGCAAGCCAGAAAAGGAACTAACTAATTCAGGACAGGGGAGGCTCTCTCCCTTTCTTAAAATCAAAAATCACAACACTTAGATGTTAATCCTCTGATTTCCCAGGAAGTTCCCATATCATTACATTTTATTTTATTTTTTTAAAGAACACTTATGAATACAGCAAATACCACAGGCTGGGTTATCTAGTATCCAAAGATACTCTCACTAGACTGTTATATTTTTTGTGATTTGACTTCTTTCTATTCACTAGCCTTTTCTTATTTTCCCACTCAGAATCCTCAATGACAATGTGCTGTTCTTTAAAATTAGAATCAATTTAAAGAAAAAGCATTAAAATAAAAGTAAATAATATATCTTTGATCTATCAAAATATTTACATACAGCATTTTATGTTTTATAAAATATAATTTATTTCCTGCTAGTTTCCAAAGAATAAGCCATTTGAGATGACAAAGAAAACACAAAATAACAAAATAAATAAATGAGTAAATTAAACTGTTACAAGAAAAATTTGAGGTCATGTAGGATTAATCCTTTTTATTTTCTCTTATAATAAAAGTAAAACTACTCAACTTATTGAATAAAGATGAGAAGAAAAACACCAATTATCTCATTATTCAAGCACAACCTCTATTAACATTTTGCTAATTCTTTTTTTCTATGTATCTTTTTGTAGTTATAAATATGGTCTATATATAATTGTGCTTTTTTTTAACTGAGCATTGTCATACAAATTTTACAAACAAAATCCTACAAAGGACTCCAACAACACAGTTACTTTACTTAATGTTTTGCTTAGTTTTGAATTTTCTATAAGAAAAGACAAAACACACACACACACACACACACACACACAAAAGCACAACTCTGTGTGATCTATTTTTGTCAATGTACTATAAAAGAAATCATATGATATCAACAGGAGCAGTAAGGTTTTCCTGGCACTAATTTCCAATGGAGATTTATATGGTGTCTTCTAAGAGGCCAAATATGAAAGCACACTGAGTAATCATGCTGATTTCTGTGCTGTAATGATTTCCTATGAAAAAAGTAAACAAAGACCCAGTACATAATTTAACCTGACCACATTCCAAATATTGATTAGACTAGATTACCTTGCTTGTGGAAAGGAATTGTTGCCCAGTTATACAGAAGCCCACTCATGCATCTCCTGATGGGTTATCATTGTCGTATCAGAGAACACCAATGCAAGTCCCCACATTCACACCACTGCACACTAGGCCACCAATTAATATTACAAAGCTAAGAAGTTAGTCAAGCTGCATAAATCTAATAATGCTTCGTATTTGAGAGGGATTTCTGAGATACTGTATTCTTTCTTAGCAGAGGTTTCAGAACTGACTAGAAAGAGGCAGAGATAGAGCCAATGACACTCTGAAGAACTTAAAGGAGATCAGAGACTCTTTTATCCCCTCATCTGACATTTTCTAATGGTATCTCATTCTCACCATTATGGAATTACTCTATGAGTTTACTTAAGGAGCTACACACAATATAAATCTTTGGCTGAATGTTAACTCTTCCACTTAGCCTCTGGATTTCAATCCATCTCAGTCTCCTTAAAAACCAACATGTCGGCTGGGTGTGGCCAAGGTGAGAGGATCACCTGAAGTAGGAGTTCAAGACCAGGCTGACCAACATGGAGAAACCCTGTCTCTACTAAAAATACAAAATTAGCTGGGTGAGGTGGTGCATGCCTGTATTCCCAGCTACTCAGGAGGCCGAGGCAGGAAAATCGCTTGAACCCAAGAGGCAGAGGTTGCAGTGAGCCGAGATCGTGCCACTGCACTCCAACCTGGGCAACAAGAGACAGACTCTGTCTCAAAAAAAAAAAAAAAAAAAAAAAAAACACTCAACATCTCCATTACTTGTCACCATTACTGCCCATTCTCTTCCATCAAGTCCTTTTCTTTCAGCATTTAAATCCTCTAGTGCTAATGATATCTAATATTTTTATACTTTATCCTTACAACAACATTAATTAATTATTATGGCCCTATTTTTCAGATGGGAAACTGCAGTCCAAATAGTTATTAAATGGCCACAGTTATGTCTATTAAATTGCAGAAGCAAAGTTCTCTCTCATATATGTTTAACTCCAGTGTTGGTTTTTTATATAGCACCAACAGATGCTCTTCTTTTATTCTAATTGCTATTCATTCTCTTTCCTTTCCTTCAGTGCTTTCATTTTTGGCATTGAGATTGTTTTTTATTTCTATCTTCATTTCCTATCACCCTTGATCTCCCTGCATTTTGCCATCTGACTCATCATAATACCAATACCCCTGTCTTGTAGATGGATCAACACTAATTAAGTGATCTTATAATCCTTAATTCTTCCCTTTCTCTTCCACAAATGCAATGTTGATCACTCTATCCTCAAGACTTGCATTGCCCTAATTAACATGGCATTGTTGTTTTCTTTTTATTTATTTAATTTTTTTATTATTATACTTTAAGTTCTAGGGTACACGTGCACAATGTGCAGGTTTGATACATAGGTATACATGTGCCATGTTGGTTTGCTGCACCCATTAACTTGTCATTTACATTAGGTATTTCTCCTAATGCTATCCCTCCCCCGTCCCCTCAGCCCACAACAGGCCCCGGGGTGTGATGTTCCCCAACCTGTGTCCAAGAGTTCTCATTGTTCGATTCCCACCTATGAGTGAGAACATGCGGTGTTTCATTTTCTGTCCTTGTGATAGTTTGCTCATAATGATGGTTTCCAGCTGCATCCATGTCACTGCAAAGGACATGAACTCATCTTTTTTATGGCTGCATAGTATTCCATGGTGTATATGTGCCACATTTTCTTAATCCAGTCTATCACTGATGGACATTTGGGTTGGTTCCAAGTCTTTGCTATTGTGAATAGTGCCGCAATAAACATACATGTGCATGTGTCTTTATAGTAGCATGATTTATAATCCTTTGGGTATATACCCAGTAATGGGATCACTGGGTCAAACGGTATTTCTAGTTCTAGATCCTTGAGGAATCGCCACACTGTCTTCCACAATGGTTGAACTAGTTTGCATTCCCGCCAACAGTGTCAAAGCGTTCCTACTTCTCCACATGCTCTCCAGCATCTGTTGTTTCCTGACTTTTTAATGATCGCCATTCTAACTGGTGTGAGATGGTATCTCATTGTGGTTTTGATTTGCATTTCTCTGATGACCGATGATGATGAGCATTTTTTCATATGTCTGATGGCTGCATAAATGTCTTCTTTTGAGAAGTGTCTGTACATATCCTTCACCCACTTTTTGATGGGGTTGTTTTTTTCTTGTAAATTTGTTTAAGTTCTTTGCAGATTCTGGATATTAGCCCTTTGTCGGATGGATAGATTGCAAAATTTTCTCCCATTCTGTAGGTTGCCTGTTCACTCTGATAATAGTTTCTTTTGCTGTGCAATAGCTCTTTAGTTTAATTAGATCCCATTTGTCTATTTTGGCTTTTATTGCCATTCCTTTTGGTGTTTTAGTCATGAAGTCCTTGCCCATGCCTATGTCCTGAATGGTATTGCCCAGGTTTTCTTCTAGGGTTTTTATGGTTTTAGGTCTAACATTTAAGTCTTTAATCCATCTTGAATTAATTTTTGTATAAGGTGTAAGGAAAGGATCCAGTTTCAGCTTTCTACATATGGCTAGCCAGTTTTCCCAGCACCATTTATTAAATAGGGAATCCTATCCCTATTTCTTTTTTTGTCAGGTTCGTCAAAGATCAGATGGTTGTAGATGTGTGATGTTATTTCTGAGGCCTCTGTTCTGTTCCATTGGTCTATATCTCTGTTTTGGTACCAGCACCATGCTGTTTTGGTTACTGTAGCCTTGCAGTATAGTTTGAAGTCAGGTAGCATGATGCCTCCAGCTTTGTTCTTTTGACTTAGGATTGTCTTGGAAACGCGGGCTCTTTTTTGGTTTCACATGAACTTTAAAGTAGTTTTTTCCAATTCTGTGAAGAAAGTCATTGGTAGCTTGATGGGGATGGCATTGAATCTATAAATTACCTTGGGCAGTATGGTCATTTTCATGGTATTGATTTTTCCTATCCATGAGCATGGAATGTTCTTCCATTTGTTTGTGTCCTCTTTCATTTCATTGAGCAGTGGTTTGTAGTTCTCCATGAAGAGGTCCCTCACATCCCAGGTAAGTTGGATTCCTAGGTAGTTTATTCTCTTTGTAGCAATTATGAATGGGAGTTCACTCATGATTTGGCTCTCTGTTTGTCTGTTATTGGTGTATAGGAATGCTGGTGATTTTTGCACACTGATTTTGTATCTGGAGACTTTGCTGAAGTTGCTTATCAGCTTAAGGAGATTTTGGGCTGAGATAATGGGGTTTTCTAAATATGCAATCATGTCATCTGCAAACAGGGACAATTTGACTTCCTCTTTTCCTAATTGAATACCCTTTATTTCTTTCTCTTGCCTGATTGCCCTGGCCAGAACTTCCAAAACTATGTTAAATAGAAGTGGAGGGAGAGGGCATCCCTGTTTTGTGCCAGTTTTCAAAGGGAATGCTTCCAGTTTTCGCCCATTCAGTATGATATTGGCTGTGGGATAGCCGATTTGATCAAGTGGAAGAAAGGGTATCAGTGATTGAAGATCAAATTAATGAAACGAAGCGAGAAGAGAAGTTTGGAGAAAAAAGAGTGAAAAGAAATCAGCAAAGCCTCCGAGAAATATCAGACTATGTGAAAAGACCAAATCTATGTTTGATTGGTGTACCTGAAAGTGACCAGGAGAGTAGAACCAAGCTGGAAAACATTCTTCAGGATATTATCCAGGAGAACTTCCCCAACCTAGTAAGGCAGGCCAACATTCAAATTCAGGAAATACAGAGAACACCACAAAGATACTCCTCGAGAAGAGCAACCCCCAAGACACATAATTGTCAGAATCTCCAAGGTTGAAATTAAGCAAAAAATGTTAAGGGCAGCCAGAGAGAAAGGTTGGGTTACCCACAAAGAGAAGCCCATCAGACTAACAGCAGATCTCTCAGCAGAAACTCTACAAGCCAGAAGAGAGTGAGGGTCAATATTCAACATTCTTAAAGAAAAGAATTTTCAACCCAGAATTTCATATCCAGCCAACTAAGCTTCACAAATGAAGGAGAAATAAAATCCTTTATGGACAAGCAAATGTTGAGAGATTTTGTCACCACCAGGCCTGCCTTACAAGAGCTCCTGGAGGAAGCACTAAACATGGAAAGGAACAACCAGTACCAGCTACTGCAAAAACATGCCAAATTGTAAAGTCCATTGATACTAAGAAGAAACTGCATCAACTAATGGGCAAAATAACCAGCTAACATCATAATGACAGGATCAAATTCACACATAACAATATTAACCTTAAATGTAAATGGGTTAAATGTACATGGGTTGAATTAAAGACACAGACTGAAAAGTTGGTTAAAGAGTCAAGACCCATCAATGGGCTGTATTCAGGTGACCCATCTCATTTGTTGAGACACACGTAGGCTCAAAATTAAGAGATAGAGGAAGATCTACCAATCAAATGGAAAGCAAAAGGAAAGCAGGGGTTGCAATCCTAGTCTCTGATAAAACAGACTTTAAACCAACAAAGATCAAAAGAGACAAAGAAGGCCATTACATAACGGAAAAGGGATCAATTCAACAAGAGGAGCTAACTGTCCTAAATATGTATGCACCCAATACAGGAACATCCAGATTCATAAAGCAAGTTCTTACAGACCTACAAAGAGACTTAGAGTCCCACACAATAATAATGGGAGACTTTAACACACCACTGTCAATATTAGACAGATCAACAAGACAGAAGGTTGACAGGGATATCTAGGACTTGAACTCAGCTCTGCACCAAGCAGACCTAATAGACATCTATAGAACTCTCCACTCCAAATCAACAGAATATATATTATTCTCAGCACTACATTGCACTTGTTCCAAAATTGACCACATAGTTGGAAGTAAAGCACTCCTCAGCAAATGTAAAAGAACAGAAATCACAACAAACTGTGTCTCAGACAACAATGCAATCAAACTAGAACTCAGGATTAAGAAACTCTCTCAAAACCACACAACTACATGGAAACTGAACAACCTGCTCCTGAATGACTACTGGGTAAATAACGAAATGAATGCAGAAATAAAGATCTTCTTTGAAACCGATGAGAACGAAGACACAACATACCAGAATCTCTGGGACACATTCAAAGCAGTGTGTAGAGGAAAACTAGTAACACTAAATGCCCACAGACAAAGCAGGAAAGATCTAAAATCGAAACCCTAACATCACAATGAAAAGAACTAGAGAAGCAGAGCAAACAAATTCAAAAGCTAGCAGAAGGCAAGAAATAACTAAGATCAGAGCAGAACTGAAGGAGATAGAGACACAAAAAACCCTTCAAAAAATCAACGAATCCAGGAGCTGCTTTTTTCGAAAAGATTAACAAAATTGATAGACTGCTAGGAAGACTAATAAAAAAGAAAAGACAGAAGAATCAAATAGATGCAATAAAAAATGATAAAGGGGATATCACCACTGATCCCACAGAAATACAAACTACCATCAGAAAATACTATAAACACCTCTATGGAAATAAACTAGAAAATCTAGAAGAAATGGATAAATTTCTGGACACATACACCCTCCAAAGACTAAACCAGGAAGAAGTTGAATCTCTGAATAGACCAGTAACAGGTTCTGAAATTGAGGCAATAATTAATAGCTTACCAACCAAAAAAAGTCCAGGACGAGACAGATTCATAACTGAATTCTACCAGAGGTAAAAAGAGGAGCTGGCACCATTCCTTCTGAAACTATTCCAATCAATAGAAAAAGAGGGAATCCTCCCTAACTCCTTTTATGAGGCCAACAACATCCTGATACCAAAGCCTGGCAGAGACACAGCAAAAAAAAAAGATAATTTTAGACCAATATCCATGATGAACATCGACGTGAAAATCCTCAGTAAAATACTGGCAAACCGAATCCAGCAGCACATCAAAAAGCTTATCCACCACGATCAAGTTGGCTTCATCACTGCGATGCAAGGCTGGTTCAACATACGCAAATCAATAAACATAATCCATTACATAAACAGAACCAACAACAAAACCACATGATTATCTCAATAGATGCAGAAAAGGCCTTGGACAAAATTCCACAGCCCTTCATGCTAAAAACTCTTAATAAACTAGGTATTGATGGAACGTTTCTCAAAATAATAACAGCTATTTATGACAAATCCACAGCCAATATCATACTGAATGAGCTATTTTCTTTTTTTACTCCTATGTATAACTATAGTTATATTTTAAAATGCCCCTCCTTAGTTTTTGTTACGGTGTATTATTAGTTAAGTAATTACATCAGACAGAACCAAATTTGAATCTCAACTCCGCCAGATATTGGCTGTGTGATCTTGTTTATGTTTTCTGGGCAAGGTCAGAAAACTGAGCCCCAACTTCACCATCTATGAAAGGTGGTTTCAAGGGATAAATAAAAGTTGCTCATTAAACACACCCGACACGACGGACACTCAAGACATGTCAGTTCACAAACCCAAAGTTAGCACAACAAAACATTTCAAATGTATTAATTTTTTCTGCATTGTTGAGATATGTGCCACATCACTTCAGGAGGGTCCCTAAGGAGGCAGGCAGCCTGCCATGCAATAGTTCCTTTTGGCAGCACCTTGAACTTGCCAAGTAGATATTGAAATTGCAACAACAATATCAAAAGTAAGGCACTTCAAACAAGCAGAATATAAAGAACCCACTTAATCTGTTTGTCTAATACTTTTTGGGTAGTCTCAAGAAGTTAAAAAATAATAATAATTAATATGTTATGTCTCTGAAGAACTGTAACCCTCAAACAGGGAATTGCAACTGAAATGGAACATCCAACCCATATCCCCATGAGGTATGAAGACAGTGAAGTCAAAGGATGTGAGCATTCGAGAGAATTCAGGTATGACTGTTGTCTCTGGAAGTAACCATATTACTACTATTTTCTTGATTAATTATTATGCTAGTAGGAATAATCATCTCACTTCATTCCCCTCCACCCAAAGATACCCATGTCCTAATTTCTGTAAACTTTGAATATCTTATTCCTATACGATGGGGAAATTATGTTTTCAGATGGGAAAAGTTGTTAATCAGCTGACTTTTAGGTGGGGAGTTTATCTTGGGTTATCCGAGTGTGCCCAACTTAATCAAAGAGATTCTAATAAGTGAAAGAAGGAGTCAGAAGAGTGAGCATCGGACTCAGAGAGCAATTAAAAGATGCTGACTTTGAGCTGGAAGAAGCTATGAGCCAAGGAATGCAAGCAGCTCTAGAAGCTGAAAAAGTCAAGGAAATAGAGTCTTCCCTAGAGCCTCTAGAATGCCCTGTACACATTTTGATTTTAGGCCATTAAGTTCTATTTTGGACTCTGACCTCCATAACTATCAGAGAAGAGAATATGTTTGTATTGTTTAAGTCACTAAGTTTATTGTAATTTTTATGATGGTAATAACAAAATTAAGACAAGTATTATTTCAAGTTATCCTTGTGGTAAATCTTTCTGTGTAAAATAAGCAGAAAAAAATGGTAGTTGAATTTTCTACAGGGAATAATAATGGTTCCTTGAGAGTACTGCCCTTCCAAAAAAAAAACTATTTAAAATTAAAATTTTAAGTAGTTTTATAAGGAACTAAGATCAAATTTGAGTGAATATATTCCTGAGAAAATTGTTTTTTTAAAAAATAAAAAATACCCCCTTCCAACACACACACACACACACACACACACACACACACAATTATAAATGGGTCCTGATGCTCATGGAATGTTTTAGACAATAATACATCCTGAAAGTTGGAAACAGCAGAAAAGTAATGCCCTTTTCACTTTGCCCCTTACTGTCAACTTATTGCAATAAGGGAAAAATCCTAGAAAAAATATATATCTTCAAAAAAAGTAATACATCATGTTAATCTATAATTTCTGACCATGTCTATACCTTTAATGATGCCAAACCTAAATCAAAACAAAAAATAGTAAATTGACTCATGTACAATGATAATAGTCAGAATATTTGTAGAAAAGAGATACTTGATTACACTTGGTAATTTAAAACAGCCATACCATTAAACCTAGCTCCTAGTTCATTTTGGCAGTACCTCCTCAACTCAGATCACTTAGAAATAAGAGGGCATTATAGAATTCCATAAAGTGGAATCTGGTTGAGTATCTGTCAAAGAAGGAGATGGCATAGACTATGTCATTCGATTTAAATGTCTTGAATGAAATAATCGGAAAAATATTGTCTTATACCTAATTAGACCACCCCTTAGCTGAAGGTGGTTATAGGCAGCTGACCTGCTTCTTTCGCCAGACAGCAAATTGCACTGGTTTTAGCATTAGCTTCATTTTGTGGTTCCAAGAAGTTTCATCCCACTATTCCTAAGAGATTCGAAGTTTAAGTGAGAAAAGAATGATTTATACACCTAAACATCTATCTTTGAGAAAAGTCTCTAAAATAAAATGTTATTCTTTTCCCAGTTAGAACTGCTATAAACAATTAACTGGGAGACCACATGAAAACATTAGTAAAGGAAATGTGCACATCATCTGAACATCTGGAGATTGTTTATTTTCTTCTGGCTTGAGGAAAGCTCTATGTGAAAACCTCAAGCAACATTTTACTATCATTTTTCATCCAGCCTCAATTAAGTAGGACATGGTTTTATACCTTTGGTGGTTTTGAGGTTTTGGCACTCCTTGCACACTTGGGGCTGGATATTTCTTCCACATTACAGCTGTTTTTAATATAGACAATGAAAACTAGAGGAAATGTACTAACTTTATTGCTTTATTGAGTGTTGTTGCTTTTTGACCTTTTTTAGCACTCGCTTTAGGTGACCTGCTCTAGATTAATCCAAAATCATTATTTCAATACGTTGAGTTTCCTGTCAAAACAGATACATTATGAGTTGTCTGTGCATCTAGTAGTCCCTTTCCTCTTGCGAAAATATATTGAATCTTCACCCACAGATGAGTGTGGTCATCATTTTTCCATGATGACCTTTAAAGAATGAGAATAATAAATTTTAGTGGGTCTATCAAAAATGATGATAGTCACATTTATAATGTATACATTATCAGTTTGGCAAGATTTGATCTCTTATACCTCCCCTAATCTCAGCATAATATTAATATCAGAGAACATTTTTGTGTGTATGAAAAAAATCTATAGTTACATAGTCCCAGCTAGTCTTAAGTTACAAATTTCACCAAATTTAGATTATTTCTTAAAATATCTATAATATTTCAGAGTTTTTTTTAAAGGCCTAAATGACAATACCCCACATGAGGATTTAAATAATAAAATCCAAAGAATAGTGATAGCAATGGTGGTGATCATAACTGAACAAAGTGATTTAAACTTTTATTAAAATTGCAAAGGACTTTTATGCATGGATTTTATTTTGTAATCTATGAGGCGGCCTATACAGGATTATTCAATATTTTGGAAAACAAGTAAAATGAAGTCCAAGGAAATTAAATATCTTGTGTGAGATGACACTTCCATGAAGTGAAAATCCAGGTTTCTTGGACTTAGCCCTGCAGTCTTTACTGTCAGCAGTTTTCTTTATTAGTTTCTCTTGTGACTAAAAGAATGATCTGGACACTTTTCTACCAAGCTTTTCTGGAAAATACATTAATGAACTTGTAAGGAATTTCTGAACACAGTATTACTCAGGGACTCAATTAGAGTGTGATATTCCTGTTATTTAAAGAGCAAAACTATACTTGGTAAAAGAACCTAATATTATGCAGTAATCATTGTAAAAACTTGCTTTCAATTTGCTTCCGCTAGTCTATGCTTGCATAATCTGGAAAACATAAAAAAAATTATTGTGGAGACACAATACAGGCAATTATTTAGGGGCAATAAACGTTCTGGGGATTTAGTGCTTCCAAATTCACCAGTAATCTTTTATTTCTTCAGGACAAGGTCTTTATTTAGCCTATCTCTAACTATCCACTCAGTCCTTACAAAGCAATCATAATAATGAGTAAGTAGAAGAATGTTAGCAAAAAGTTCTACAATTATAAACATTAGTAAAATGCAAAGTGCTATTCTTCATATTTCGGACCACTTCTACAACTACACAGGGTAAGAATAATGCCATAGCATTCCTAGATATTTTTGTGCACTGATTTCTAGCCCAATCAGTGATTAATCTAAGAACTTTGTGCAAGAGTGATCTATCAAATGAAATTAGTTGTGACCAAGTACTCTCCTTATTTGTGCAATGATAACATCAAGCTTAATGTAACACAATGTAAAATGGAAGTTGTAGTTGAAGTACTGTGGCAATACATACCACATTTTAAAGAGAAGTGAAAAGGTATGATACCAGGAATGCATATTAACCAGTTATAAACAATTTATGACTTTTAAACTATTCATCCCCTTTGAGGAGATAAGAGGGCTTCACGTGGTTACAGATTAGAATATACTTTGGCTAACAGATATTAGTGGATGACCATCACAACTTCTATAAAGAAGGATTACAGGAAGCCTGTTTCTCACTTCCAGACTAAGAAAAGAAGCTTTACTTGGGAACTCAGAACATCTTACATGGCTCTAACCTAGTTTGTGAGACACAATGGACTGCTCTCTGACATACTATATATATATATATATATATATATATATATATATATATATATATATATATATATATATATATACACACATATCTGAAGGTAGACTAGGTGATTGGTTAATTGCTCTGATGGTGGAAAAGATAAGCAATTGTTATTCCCTCAAATTTTCCAGCATTCACAAATTTTTCAGGGTTTTCAGGGTAGTGGAAGCATGAGAATTTCCTTTGGCACTTCTGCGTGAAAACAAACAAACAGAAGCCAACATTGGGTGCCTTTGAACATATCCAACTTCACAGCAGAAAGAAGCTGAGCATAATGGTGATGCCTAGAGGCTGTGAAAGGAATCACAAGGGAAAAGTTAGAATAGAGATAAGTTCAACACTTACGGAACCTCAGTTGCATTTGTCAGAGTGATGTCGAGATTTCTGAGAATGAATGGAAACATCTGCCAAGCTCAGAGGGTGCTAGATCTTCACAATGGCACCAATCACTGGAAATTTCCTGCTTCTATTTCCTCTCCTCCTCCTACTGCTCCAATCATAGGGGGCCGAAAGTCATAATTAACAAAATGGGTAAAGTAGGAATAAAGGCATGTGGCAGAAATGGAGTAAGGAACTGTAAGCCCTTTCTCTATCTTCAGATTCTCATTTATGGTAAGCAAGTCAGGGAAGAAGTTGGACTTGAAAGTGATACTGAAGTTATCACTATTACATAGACCTAAACAATTGGTTACTAAACTGAAACTATGTTGTGTGAATCAAAGAGACTGGATAATGATTTGCACTACTTAGGATTAAAGAGAAACACCCTGAAGATTTGTTTCATTTTTCTTCCAGGGGCAAGGGAAAGCTTAAACCCACAGGGTAAATTTAAAGGGACTGTGGGAGACAAGTTGTTTTCTGATGATACTCCATTGAGTTTTGCATGTTCAATGTTAGAGTAGACTGTTGTACAATTAGTAATAATAATCACTATGATTATGGCAGTTATTGGAATTGGCTACAACCTAATTAATGTGTCTTTTTAAAAATTTCTTTCCAACTCTAAACATTCAACTTATTTTTGACTTAGAACATTGCTTTTCTTTGACATATATTCTTCACCTCTATTACCAAGTTTCCATCATGTTTCTAAATTTATTCTGATATAAATCAAGAGTTTCTGTTTTGCCTACCAGGCTGAGAACACCGGACAATGTCACAGGAAAATTGTAATTTAAATAGCTTTTGTGCTACAACATTATATATTTGCATTTCCCTGTCTTTTTAAGAAAGAAGAGGTAGTGATAGAACAACTAAGGGGAAATTCATATTAGAATGGAGGCTGAGCTAGTTTAACATTACTTTGGCTGTCCTTTCAAGCTAATAATAAAGGAGCAGCAGTATTATGTAGTAATGCCTTTTCTCCCCATTGTTTTTCAAAAATGCACTCATTAAACCAAAGCTTTCCTATAATCCTTTAATAAACAACTATATAGTTAGCAGCAATATAAAAGCACTTCTATATTTTATAGTAACTAAGAATCCCTGCTATCTATAATTACAGCCAATACTTGGACAAAAGGGGAAAGACTTAATTTTCTTAATGTTTTCCTGCATGGAAAAACAATCAAGCTTTCCTTCTTATATGTAATTGCCTTGACTGGCCCTAGCTGGGTTTCCTTTTCCAAATTATAAGCCAGTCAGATCACTGGAGTGTTAAAATAAAGTCTTTAAAGAGCCAGATATTATTTGATTGTCTGTAGGTCTAATGGCAGTGATAAGAATTTTCTAAGTCACATTTGTCCTTTGCTCTCATTCATTCTCTCAAGGGCCAGACTGACTCTATTCATTGACCTTAAATCTTGATTAAGTTCTGGCTGGAAACGAATAAAGCTGAACACTGGAAAATGGAATAGTCCATCATTGATGGAACTTTGCCTTAAGAAGCAGTGAGGGAAAGAATAAGAAATGTTCTTTCATTAAAGACTGTGCTAAGCTAATGGGTCTGACTTTGTCAAGTTACTAACAGAATTCAGGAAAGTTGAACCCAGAGTGAACAAGTGTGGAAAGGATGGAAGAAGGGGTGATGTCTCAAAAGACTTCATTTTCAGGCCTGTTAGCTCATCTTACTGAATGATGCATAGCTACTCCAAACTAGGCATCGATACTTGTTTTTCTTGCGTATTGCATTTGTATTATGTTGACTTTTCCATCTTGCTCTATAAAATATTGAAAGGAGCTGGTTCAAATTTCCCACTATAACTGTAAGTTGATTTATTTTCTCCCCATAGATTTGTCTTTTTCTGCTTTCTACATTTTGTGGCTATGTTATTGAGTGTACTCAAATTTTAAATAGTTCTTGCCCTGTGAATCTTTATCACAGGAATGCGTCTTCTTATCTCTAGTAGTTTTCTTGCATTAAAGTTTGGTGTGCCTGATATTAGCATGGCTCCACAGACTTTCTTTTGGATATAGTGGTAAAGTGTTTCTTTTTCCCTCAACTTATTTCTAATATTTTTGTAGCACTATGTTCATATGTGCCTTTTGTAAAAGACTATAATTTGATTTTAAATCTTTAAATCTAGTCTGAAAATACTGGTATTTTAATTGGAACATTTAGTATAGTTACATTTATTGTAATTATCCAAATATTTGGGTTCATATCTACCATCTTATTTTGTGCTCTGTGGCCTCCCTCTTCTGTTCCTTTTTTTTTTTTTTTTTTTACTGTCCTTTCTTGGTTTGTCTCAGATTTTTCGAATATTTTTATTATTGCATTTTCCCTTTGATGATTAAGTCATATTAACACAATTTTATGTTTAAGGAAACTGAGTCATAGGAAATGTTGCTCATAGAAAACGTCATTCAATATCTGAAAACCTGCTGCATGCCTCCAAAAAGCATATTTTTATCTATTATGCTGCTGTTCAAGGAACCAAACTGAGATTATCATTAATTCCTCTATATCTAACACAGTGTTATATCTGTAAGATTAGTATCTTTGTATTCCTACCCATAAATTTTCTCTCTTTTTGTTTCTATGCTGTGATTGTAACTTCAGGCTCCCAATTCACCATTAGAAGTAAAGCACAAAAACATGACTCCAAGCATAGGCTATACATATATTCAACACTGTGAGTTCCAAATGGTCCTTGAAGATCCACATTTCCAAGGAACATATTTGGAAAGCCACAGCAGTGAATTAAACTATCTTTCTAACTACCCCTCTACAATATTGAGGAAACAAAAATATTTATTATCATTAATTTCCAGTAAAGTTGTGTTTGATTCTGTGAACAAAACCAAGCAGATCAGTATCAAAGAATGGTTTGCATGTTGACACATATCTCTGAATTAAGATATTTTTACAGGCAATTTTAAGGATTCTTTTGATCACAGTTTTGTTAAGCACTCTCAGTTGAGTTTCTTAGTTTGGATGTATACATATAACTATAAAAGGAAGATTAGAAAGTAGCAAAGCAACATCAAAGAAGACAGTCATACAGGCTCCCAGTTAGTTGCCATAAAAAATCAACAGTAAGAAAAGTTTTAATTTTATGAAAAGCACAGATCACCTAATTATAATGAATCGAAGAATAATTTGAATTAATTGCTTTTTCAATATTTATAATTCACATTTCATTGGGCTTTTCATTTTCTGTAAGGTTAATTTCCCTTCACTTTTTAAGTCATTATTTAGTATGTGCTTTAGAGAGTTGAGTTTTCCAAACAGAACTGTAAATAAAAGACTGAGAAAACATTCCACAATCAATGAGTGACAAGTGTTTGCTATAATTTGGGTATAAAATCAAATATAGTTTAGACAATTAATCTAACAAATGTGTGTGTGTGTGTGTGTGTGTGTGTGTGTGTGTGTGTGTGTGTGTGTGGCTGTTACTTTTGACTTCCCTCACAGAAAAACTTTAAAGAGAGGTTGACTCAATCTTAGTATGGTTTTGATTTTTTTTTTTACTTTCTTGTATTTATTTTCTTTTTAAACTAGTAAATGTAGTAGACTTAACATTAACCAAATAAAAGTGTTGAAAGGAGAGTCTTCTGAGGCAAACTCTCATTTAAGTCACTCTATTTGTGCAAAACATTTGCAACATGATAAAACTCTTTAACAAGCTTGGATTCCTTCCTGGGTGTTATAAATATTTTAAACTCAGATTGGTTTGGATGTTTTACTCAACAAGTACCAACATTATTCTATTGGTTCAATTATATCAGAAGACATTCTCTTTGTAGAGCTGGCTTTGTGGTTCTTATTTTAAAATCTGGGAGTAATTCCAATGCTATTAAATGAGCTCTTGAAAAGATGAAAGAGGGAGAAGGGACATCACAAGGACTACAAATACATAATAAGTGATTCTGACATAGAATCTTATATATCAAGGTGAGAAATAATATGTTAAGGTGTTTTTACTTCTCAAAATATTTTTTATATATGCTATTTTTGGCGTTGTTAAAAAATCAATGTACAAGGCCTGAAAAAACATAAGCCTCAACACTATAATCATATATCGATTTTTGACCAAATATAACAGTATGCATATTGATCACCCATTCTTTTTGCCAGACCAAGTTCTTGTTGCCATCTTCAAATTAGAAGGATAGTCCGCTACAGAGAATATTTGTACATCCAGAAGACAGGCTGATCTTTCTATTCTTTCTATTAACAATAGCATCTAGAAGGCTGTTTATAACCTAGGAAGCAATCTAAGACCCAGAAACATTAGTTTAACTGAATTGAAAGTACCAGCGATTCCAAGTGAAAATTTCAAAAACTGAACTCAAATTGGTACTGCTTTGTGACAGTATATGTGATTATGTCCAAATTTTAATGCACGATTCTACATTTTTAGCATAGGTAGCTCCAGTTGAGTTATACAACTCTCCTCTGTGATGCACAGGACTCTGGATGCCTTTCTTTTACAGCCTGCCTCATGCTGTAATCCCATTGCCTATGCATTTGTCTTCTTCACAAATATAGGCTATAACCTCCTTGATTGCAGAGCCTATATCCTGTTTACACTGTGTTCCCACTACCTCTTCCAGTTATTGCAACAAAACAGAAACTTGGTATTTGCTAAAAAATTAAATTATATGTTTTAAAGACAAATAGAAAAGTTAATACATTTCTGAAAGATGTTGGCCCATTCAGCCAAATCTTTGAACTTGCTAGCATCAATAATCCTGTGTAATGGGAATTACTGCTCAAAACAATAAGCCTAAAGTCCTGTAAGATTCGAAAGTGTAACAATACAAAATATATAAAATAATATACTTAACATAATTACCTAGTACAATATCTGTGTCACAGTGGTGGTAGATGATGTGAATACAAACACTATACATGCACTTTTTACATTTACGGAAATGAATCATGTAACTGGATAGCTCTTTAACCATAACCCTATTCACCCAAAGTGGCCATAATGATGTTGACATAACTAACTGTAAGTAAAAAATATATAAGTAATATTGACTTTAAAGCTATGTACAGAAACACTTCACAACATAAAATGTATACTTTGTGATTCAGAAAACTTGCAAAGACATACTGATATTCCAACTGCTTTGGAATTGTAGTCGACACAAAAGGAGAAGTAGGTCTTGCTCTGAAAGTGTTTATAATCTCACGAGCCTTATCTATAACCAGTAAACAAGGGTTAAATATTAAGTGCTGATTATAAACATCAAATGCATTCGAAAAGGAGGATATGAGTATGGATTACAGGATCCAGAATAGAATCCATGAAGCAAATAGAGTTTGATTTCAGTAAAAAAGAAAGGAGGAGATTCAAATACTGTAAAATAAGTTGAGTGGAAGTCCTTATTGGAGAGAGCAATTGAACTCAGACACTGGCCTGAGAATATGTATGTCACATGCTAGTGACAAGAGTTGTGTATATGTAAAATTACAAGTGATAATATGTAACTGGCAGGCAGTGATGGGGAATTTTGTGAAGTTTGAATAGGATTTTGAATCACAGGGTTATTCTAAGATCCTGAAAAGGCAGGTGACCTATGGAAACTAGTGTATCATGACAGTAGTTCTGGAAATGGTCAGCAAGATCTTTGCGGAGAGGATGAAACAACGTCAGAGAGATTAAATGCTACTGCAGCCACCTTGTGCTTCAGTACAGAACTGATCAATTCCAGGGGTGATGGAGGTTGCAGGAGGAAAAAGAAAGAAGTGTGAATTACACATTTGACCATTTCTTTTAGTCTTAAAACTGATTTTAACATTGATATTAGAGCAAAATATCAGTATTAGCTGGATAAAGTAGGTGATAAGAGTATGGATCCTGAAGACTATAGATCCTGAAATCAGACTGTCCAAGCTTGAATTCTGGTCCTGCAAAAAACTCGCTCTGTTACACTGAGTAACTTACACAGTCATTTTCACCTCTGTTTTCCCTTGTATGGAATAGACATAATAATTGTATTTTCATGGTAATGCATGTCATAAATATGAAAGAAGATCTTTCATATAATGCTTTTGATACAAAGCCTGACACATAGTAAATGATCAACTCTGAAACATTTTTTAAAAGAGGGAACTAATTTTTCCAAATTATTCAAATGAATTATGATTGAATGTTTTCATTAATAAATGTGTATAAACTTGTAAAACCATTGTCACAATCAAGATATTGAATATATCAATCAACTCCAATGCTTTCCTTCTGCCATCTTGTAATCTATCCCTGCTTTCCTAGGTCCTTGTCTATCATCCTTAGGCAACCATTGATCTCCTCCTATCACCATAGATTAGTTTGCATTTTCCATAATTTTTAAGTAAATGGAATTATGAATTATGTAAACTTATCATGCACTAGCTTCTAAACATATTGTAAATCTTCATGCATGGTGCAGTAAAATTATAACAGTACACTACTGTTTTCCACTATTAAACTCTGTGCTCTTTTAGTAAAATATTTTATTTCTATATATATTCTAAAACCCACAATGTCATTTTTCAGCTTTACATGGTCACTTATAATTAAAAGAAGATTTTAAAAGATATTTTAACAAACTTTTATAGATACCCACTTATTTCCATTGTTCTTCATTCCTTTGTATAAATCCATATTTCCATCTGGTATTTTTCTTCTTGCTGAAATAATTCTTTTAAAATTTCTTGTATAGTAGGTCTAAGGGTAATATATTATTTTAGCTTTCGCATGTCTGAAAAGAAGTTCATATAGTTTTGGGGTTTTTTTTTTGTTGTTGTTTTTCTTTTTTTTAGATGGAGTTTCACTGTTGTTGCACAGGCTGGAGTGCAATGGCACAATCTCGGTTAACTGCAACCTCCGTCTCCCGCATTCAAGCGATTCTCCTGCCTCAGCCTCCCAAGTAGCTAGAATTATAGGCGCCCACCACCACACCCTGCTAATTTATATACATATATATACACATATATATGCATATATGTGTGTATATATATGTATATGTATGTAAATTGGTCAGGCTAGTTTTGAACTCCTGACCTCAAGTGATCTGCCTGCCTCGGCCTCCCAAAGCACTAGGATTATAGGCATGAGCCACCGTGCTGGGCCAGACTTTGTTTTTAAAATATATTTTTACTTGCTACAGATTTCGAGCTAAGAGATTTTTCTCTTATGCTTTAAAGATGTGCTTCACTGTCATGTAGTGTGTTTTTTAAAAGAAGTTTGCTGTCATTGTTTTCTCTGCTCCTCTGCATATACTATGTTTTTCTGTTCTGGCTATTTATAAAATTTTCAGTTTACCATTTATTTAACCAATTTGGTCATGACACGCTTTAACAGAACTTTATTCATTTTTCTTGTACTTGGGATTTGTCAGACTTATTGGATCTGAGAGTGTATAGTTTCTATTAAATTTGGAAAGCTTTTAGCCTTATTTCTTCAAATATTTTTTCTGCCCCCCTCTTCAGAGACTTTACTTACATGTATTTTTGTCTACTTGGAGTTGTCCCACAGCTCACTGATGCTCTGTTTATTATTACCATTATTTATTGTTACTATTACTAGCATTAATATTTGTGTTTCACTTGGTATAATTTCTACTGATATACCTTCATGTTTACTAATTGTTTTTTTTTTCCTGCAGTGTCTAATTGTCTGTTAAACCCATCCAATGCATTATTTTCATATTAAATTTTAGATTTTTTAATCACTATAAATTCAATGGATCTTTATTATATTTTGCATCTGTCTCCTTAACTGGCTTATGCTTTTCTCTACCTTCTGTAACATATCCAACCTAGCTCTCGTAACTCATTTAATGTATTTGTGCATGAATGTTACTGTCTCATATATGAGTCTGTTACTATTGGTTTGATTCTATTTTTCATCATAGGTTGTATTTTTATGCTTCTTTACATGCCTTGTACTTTTTTCTTGATTGCCAAGTATTGTGAATTGTATTTTGTTAGAGGCTGGACATGTTTGAATTCTTATAAATAAACTTGAGGTTTATTCTGAGATGCAGTTAACTTATATAGAAACTGTTGTGTCCTTTAGAGTCTTTCTTTTAAACCTTATTAGACAGAACAATAGCAACTTCTCATCTATGACCATTTTTGAACTGCTACAGAAGGAATACCATTTCTTTGGATAATTTTAATGTATTTTTACATGAATTTGTCTCCCAACACTTCATTATAAATTTTCAAACATATAGAAAAATTGAAAACATGTTTGTAGTGAATAACCATATATCTACCACCTGTAATTAGCATTTACTGTACTTGATTTATAACATATATGTACATTTCTTCATGCTCCACATCCATGGATTCAATCAACTCCAGATTGAAAATTTTCAAAAAATAAAATTGTATCTATACTGAATAACTACATCTTTTCATTCTTTTCATAATTCTTTAAACAATGCAGTATAAAAACTATTCACATAGCATTTACATTGTATTCGATATTAGATAGCTAGCCTAGAGATGATTTAAAGTATACAGGAGGATGTGCATAGGTTATATGCAAATCCTATGTCGTTTTATATCTTGAACTTGAACACCCAAGGACTTTGGTATTAGCGGGAGATCTTGTAAAGAGCCCTCATAAATACCAAGGAACAACCATATTTTTTTTCTTCCTTTTACTAGCAACCTATATATAGAGAGAGTTGTATTTAAAGTCAGTTTCTTGTAAGCAGCAATCTGTTCAGTCATTTAAAACAATTAACTCTGTTAATCTCTGTCATTTAATTTATTTGCCATTTATATCAAAGGCAATTTTAGATATATGTCTTAAGTCTGCTATTTTATTTTTTGGTTTTGATTTGTTTTCTGTTTTTCTGATTCTTTGTTTTCTTTTTCCCATATTCCTATGAGTTAGTTGAATATTATTTGGATTTCCATTCTGATTCATATGTAATTTTTTGACTGTATCTTTTTGTATAGCCTTTTAGTTGTTGTTATGCGTATTTTATTATATATACATTATTTATCTCAGTCTACTGGAGTCAAAATTTTACCAGTTCAATTGAAATTGAGAAACCTTTTATGTTCCTTAACCTTCCCTTGTTTATCATTCATTTTCTTAAATATTTCTTCTCCATACATTGAGAACCACACAAAAGAGCATTATATTTTTTGCTTCAACTATAGCCCATAATTTAGAAAATACAAGAGAAAGAAATATGGAAAAATTTATTGTATCTCACCGTATTTTTGCTCATTCTGTTCTTTCTTACTTTCAGATGTTTCAATATATTTTTCTGTATCATGTTTGTGTATCATTAGAAAATTTCCTTTTGCCATTCTTTTAGAATAGATCTGAAGGTGACAAATTCTGTTAGTTATTCACTTGAATTTTTTAGTGCTAATTCATTTGATTTTTCTGTTTATTCCTGAAGAATATTTTCTCTGGATCATTTTGATTTAACAATTATCTTCTTTCAACACTTGAAAAATATGGTGCTGCCATGGTTTACTCCAACAAATTTGCTGTCATTTGAATTCTTTTCCTCTACAGTTAGTCAGGTTGTCATTTTTCATTTCTCAATCATGGCTTTATTTATTACTAGTTTTCAGGATTTTTTTAATTAGCTTATCCTGTTTGGGGTTTACTCAGCTTCTTGAGTCTGTGGGTTTAAATCTTTTGACAAGTTTTTTTAAAAAAATTCTGTCATTTTTTAAAAATACTTTTTAAATGCCATACAACTTTCTACTCTCTTTCTGGAATTCCAATGAAACAAATGTGAGATTCCTTTGTTATGATCCCACAGTTCCTTGATGGGTATTTTTTTCTCCTGTCACTTTTCTTTTTGTTAATCAGACTAAGTAATTTCTATTGTTCTATCTTCAACTTCACTAATTATTTTCTCTGTTGCCTCTATCCTTATAATGAGCACTTCCATGGAGGATTTTTTCTATTATTGCATTTTTATTACAAAAATTTCTATTTTTATGTCATTTCTGGGAATTTGTATTTCTTTTCTAAGACTATATATTTTCATTTATTTCAAGTGTGTTCAAAATTGCTAATTGAACCATTTTTATAATGGCTGTTTGAAAATTCATTTCTGATTACTCCTACAGCTGTGTGGTCTCTTTGATTGCCTTTTGTCACTTGAGTTTGAATTTTTCTGGTTCTTGGTGTGAAGGGTGATTTTCAAATGAAATCTAGGCATTTTAGGTATTATTTTGTGAGACTCTGGATCTTATTTAAATATTTTGCTTTATTTACCTTATCCTCTGATACCACAGCAGCAAGGGAAGGCGATGCCCTCTCATTTCTGCCATATGTTTAAAAAAATGTGGAAATACAGATTCCCTCTAGTTATGCATTGATACCATGGGGCTTCCACTCACATGACCTATACTGACATTGTAGGGGGATGGCCTCATTCCTGCTGGGTGGTGGTGGAGGTTCTGAATCTCCACTAGCCTCCTTTTTACAACCCCCCTAGCAGGGAGATAATGGGATGCTTCCACCACCATATGGTGTGGATGTCCAGGCTCCCTCTATGGTCTCTATTAACATCAGGGAGAAGAGGCCTTACCACCTGCTGGACAACCGATATCCCAGCTCTCTATGCAGCCCTCTCTGACAACATCCCAGTAGAGTGTTGTAGCACATCGTTATATCCTGATGAAGGCAGAAGTCTAGACTCTCCATTCAGCCTTTACTGGGAGAGATGGGGATGGGGCCATAGTTTTTCTGTGGTTTGTGGTTGGAGTAGAACAGTTATTATCTGTCCTATTAGGATGTCCTTTTTTTGGTCTCTTAAGTGAAGAGAACAGGTTTCTTTTGGGGCTCTGTTTTGTCTGTGTCCGTTGATGTTTCCAGGGTGCTGCCTTCTCTAGCATTCAGCCCAGGATCTAAGATGCTGAAAGAAGAAAACTCAGAGAACTTACCACTATGTCATTCCTTAAATCCTGAGGTCTTTGATTTAATATATAATGCACAGCATTTTAATCTGTTCTTACAAGGAAGAGTAGGAAAAAGTACCAGCAACAGTATTTGTTTACTGTACCTGGGACTCCAAGTACTGTATTATAAGGTTTGCCCATGTTGACTGTGAGAGAAGAAACTATTCTTGGCTTTATGTGAGCTCCTGAGATTGTTTTACCTGTTCCTATCAAGTGGCTTTTTTCTCAGTCTCAAACACATTTGGTAATCAGAACTCAGCTACAGGCATAAGGAACCCTGTGCAGACCTCTGGAATTTCTCTCTGTGCATGGCTCTCACCTCCACACAGCTCCCACCTCTGCAGCTGCTTTTGTTCTCCCTACTTTTCAATTTTTTTTGTCTCCTTGTTCTGTGTCCAAGAAACTGCCCTGAAAGTACAAGATGAGGCAATCAAAGGGATCATCTCATTTGTTTCCCTTCTCTTGAGGATCACAATCCTTTACTGACCTTTCTCCAGTGTCTAAAAATCAGTTTCATATATTTTTTCCTGATGGAATGGTGGAGACAAATAGGTTTCAGTTAATTTCTGATGGCCAGGAGTGTAATTTATGTTCCCGGCTTTTTTACTTCCTTCTTAGTCATTAGTATTGATTAAAACATGATATTAATTTACTACAATGTTCTCATTTAAGGTTCCTGAAAATACACTTTTTCAATGGAAAATATTTGTTCTAATACCATAGGATTTGTATCACATTCACAGGCTAAGTTGGTATTCTTCTGTTGTTTTACACAGTTTCAAATAAAAAGGACAACAGAACATTAATCTAGAAAAAAGAGAAGATAACAAAAATCTTCTAACCTCATATCTAACTTCTAACTCATATCTAACTGAAGTTAGATATGAGTTAGATATCTAACCTCATCTGTAGATGAACTGATGCCTTTCTACTTTAGAGTCCCTCAATTACATTCTAATTACAATCTGGATCCTGTACATTGCTAAGGTACCAGACTTTATTTTACCTTATCAGCAAACTCATAAATCTTATTTTATTCAGTAGAAAAATTAAATCTTATACAGTGTGCCTGGATTACAAAAGATCTCAAATTGATGACACCTATTAAAGGCAATACAAGCTTTCTCCAAAAAAATTATTCTTCCGATTAAGAGAAAAAAATGAGGACTTGCTCCCATTTTATGACATGTTATTGTACAATATGGTACTGTGTAGCTAGTAATAATATAACATAAAATGGAGCAAGTCCATTTTATGTTGTCAAGGTAATATTCTAAGACTTACATAGGATGCAAAATGCAAGATGTAATTATTAGGACTCATTTGTTACATTTATGGAAGACTGAGCAGTCACCAATGTGTACTTGTATTTCAATAGCATTATAGATGCCATCTACCCTAGCAAAGTTACTCCATTGCTAAACTCACATTTACTTTATATCTCAGATATTTTATGTATGAAAATGGAAACAATGGTTAACTGTGATATTGCTTTGAAACTGGCATGAGAAAATTTATTATTTTGATGAATTACCAACCTTTCTAATTTATCGTGAATATGAACACTTTCGAAAAGCCTATGGGGAATACAGCAGAGGAAAAATGTCTCTTCCGCATATAGATCAAATTTTTAAATAATTTAGAAGATTTTGGCACTACCAATTGCTATACATGCTGTCACAAAGTTGGTTTGAGATAAATTAGTATAGCAGGGTCTTTTAACTCATTGAACCCTCTTCAGTTACTTTATCCAAATATCACAAACAGATGATGAAACAAAAGCAGGCAGAGGATGTTCCCATTCTGGCAGGAAGCAGTAGAAAATCTGTACTTTGTATAATTAATTTATTGTTATGCCTATAATTATTAGCACTTGATTATTTTTCCATTACTGACCAGGGAGATAATAATTGTGCTATTGTTTATCAATTTGTGTGAGGATTTCCTGTTCATTTATTCCAACATTTTTCAAACCAGAATACTCTTTCTGCCAGAATTCTTAAAGGGTAATGGCTAGTAACAAGTGCCACTTCTCAAATACTGAGTTAAGCAAAGTTCAATAGTTTCCCTTTTCTAGCCTTTAATTTAGAACCTTTGTTTTACTAATGTCCATAATCTCCGAGTGGAATATAACATGTAGCTTATCTCAACCACATTGACACAGAGAACACATTTTGTAACTTTCCTGTGAATATCTTAAAAAATTGCACTTCTTAGAACACTTGTTGAGAAATACTATCCTCAACTATCCCGGAATTATAGCAAACATAACCCAGAATGATATTTGATCTTCATTCCAAACTAAGCAGTGATTTTTATGGTTATACCACAAAGTTGACATTCATGGATTCCTTAATGGTCACAAATTCCTCCTATTCAAGTATACATGTCCCTTTGCAACTATGCTTTACCACATCTCCCATCCAAAGAGGGAGTCTATTTCTCTACCTTCTTAGATCTGGGCTGTCCATGTCACTCATTTTGACCACTAGAATAACGTGGCATTAGTAATGGTGTATGAGTTATGGAGCATAGGTTTTAAGACATCTTGCAGCCTTCTCCCTCACCTGCTTGGAACATTGCCCTGAAATTAACAGACAGGGAAGCCAATATAGCCTAGTAGTATGTGAGTGAGGCTATCTTGGACCTTCCAATCCAGTTGATTCTCCACGTGAAAGCAGCTATGTGTGTCCAGGTGAATACAGCAAGAAACCACCCAGCCAACTGACAGAATCATAAGAAAGAATAGTTAGATATTTTAAGACACTAAGCCGTGGTGAAGTTTGTTTTTGGTTTTTGTTTTTGTTTTCCTGAGGACAACTGACACAGTAGTTATACTAGAAAAACATTCATAATATTTTGGTCCCTCACATTCGAAGGTCTGCCAGTTTTGGAGAAGAGCACTGTGTCTCGTCAGAATCATTTGGGTGTTATTGACTTTTTAAACAAGTGACAGAAAGTTGTGAAGTGTCCCATTATTGTAAACTATCTACATCTCCTCATTCCCATTGGCACACATATACTACCCTTCTAAGAACAACAATAAAATGGAGGGCCACCAAAAAGAATGCGTACCCTCCTTAGGGAGCAGTCTTAGGATAATCTGGGATCACATGTGAATGCAGTAAAGAAAGAAAGTCTCATTTTGCGAATCAGATGGGGCGGTGGAGGAAAAGCATGCCCTGTAGGAGTCTACAAGCTCCTACACACTGCAGAGTTCTCATGCAGATGAGCACCTTGCCTTTTATTTGTGATTCTATTCTGGGATAAAATGTTAGTTGGGCCTGCAAGAGCTCCAGAATTAACATTTATTGCCAAGTGAAGATGCGCCTTGTGTTTCCTTTTTCTATGTGTAGGAAAAGAAGAATTGTTCATATCTTATAAGAACATTACCTATGCAGTAGCTTGAGCATCATTAGTACTTACCGTAAGAACTGTTATGAGATATGGGAATTAATGGCCCTCCAAATGGTCAGAAATTTCATCTCTTTACTAACAGTTAGTAATATAACACCAAGTAATGACAAATGCCAGTGAAGTGAAGACCATATTGTACAGACTACTAAGTTTTGCTGCCACCCAGAAATGTTATGAATTACTGTAGTAATATAAGCCAATGTGGCATATGGTACATGGCATATTTTTAAATGTTACACATTTTAAATTTGGGCAAAAGTTCATTGCAGTGCCTGTTTCTTCATTCCTTTTTTATCCCTTTTAAAAGAAACCTTCTCTCAGTAGCTGAAGAATGTCAGTTAAAGGATGTCAATACAATGTTACATTAATTGGTATTCTTTATAAAATATCTCGATTTATTTATACAACTGAGATATACATTAAAGAGTTATAAAATTATGTAGACTGTGAGTGTGCTTGTTATTTAAATATGTATCCCACACACACACATGCACACACACTCACACACATAAACATACATGTGAATATGCCAATGTATTATATATGTGTTCCAAGTGATAGAACTGTAGCCATTATATCAGTTAGTTTTGGATACCTAACAAACCATGACACAAGTAAATAATAAAAAAAATTTCTCATGGTTCTACAGGTCAGCTGCCCCATTTATCTGGTCTGTGCCAGCTCAACTGATATTTATGGTTAATAAGAGTCTAAACTGGGATTGAATGACTTAAGATGGTCTCACTCATACATCTGTTGTTAGCAGACTGATTAATCTAGGGAGTCTCAGCTGTGCTGTCTAATTTCTGTTCCACATGATCTCTTATTCTTCAGCAGGCTGTCCTGGACTTCTTCACAGGATGCTCTCTGCACCCTGAATAGCAGCCAGAAAGTTCAGGACCCAATACTTAAGAACATTTCCAAGTCTCTGCTTTCATTACAGTTGTCAATGTGCTGTTGTCAGAGCAAATCACATGGCTTGATTCGAGGGGTGGGAAATCAACACTGCCTCTTGATTGGGGGAGCTGCCAAATATTGTGACAATTATTGCAATCTACCACAGCTGAGGACTTTGAGAGCCTATTTATTTTACGCATTCCATAATGTTCATCCTACTCATTTTGCATGTGAATACAAATATTATATCTTTTTAAACTTGTTAACTTTAATTTTTTTTTAATTTTTATGGGTACATAGTAGGTGTGTATATATAAAGAATGAATTTTTATTCCAATTTGGAAAGAGATTTTGCTATATTCTTCTTTGTTATCTTGGCACAAGATTTAGCATTTGGGACTTGATTGTCACTTTATAAGTATTTGTTGGATAAATAAATATGTAAACAAATCAAGACATGTACAGAAAGAAGTTAACCATTTTACTTATTTATAATTAAATGGTGGTAGTGCATTAAAATGCTATATATCTCAGACACTTGATATCAAATTTATAACATTTATATTACCTTCAGAAGTACCAAATAAGCATATAATAGTCTATCTCAGGATTCAGCAAACATGCACTGGCCACTTTTCTGTAAAGTTTACTTAAAACACAACCATACCCATCCCATTCATTTATGTATTCTCCATGACTGCTTTTATGCTGCAGTGGTAGATTTGAGTTCCTGGTGACCTCTGCCATATGGCCTGCAAGGTAAAAAATATTTAATATCTGACCTTTCAAGAAAATATTTGCTGAGCATTGTAATATCTGAATATTTGAAACCATGAATTAGTGTAGCCCTTTCATTCATTGTTACATTTATTGGCATATCAAAGCAAATATATATATATTTAAATATATATATATAAAGTATATATATTTAAATATATATATAAAGTATATATAAAGTATATATATTTAAAGTATATATACATTTATTTAAAGTATGCATGGGTGTACATATATGTGTGTACATATATATTTATATTATATATAATTTGCACTGACTAAATCATGTATTACTTGTTCTCAAATATCCAGGGTTCTATAAAATGACACCTCCATTAACTTCACCATCATCTTCCTCATCATCACAGGCAACATCCTTGTTGTCATCCATCACTGACATTTGATTGCTTTCTATGTACAAAGCATTGTGCTAAGAGTTTCATATACATGGTATAAAATTCAATATCTATAATAACTCCAGGAGATATAGGTATTTTTAAAATGATTTTACAGTTATTAAATAGCATAACTTGGTATCTAAATCTGTTCTCTAGGTTTCTAAAATCTTTGTTCTCAGCCTTTATCCTAAACTTGTTATTGGTATGTGGAAAATAACAAGTGGACAGCAAGATGCATTAAATGATTCCTCCAAAAAGGGTCAAGATCAAACGGATAAGTGACAAGCAGTGCACTAGCAGCTCTTCATTTTGCAAAAGACCCTCTTCAATTGAGTAGAGAGTTCTGAAACAAATACAGATAAACTAATCAGAGTAGAGGAGGATAGTTGCCTCTGAAATCACATGAAGACTTGTAGTAAATAGGATGAGAGGGGTTACATCCTTATAATAAACCAAAACATTGTGATCAACTGGGCTGACCTTGAGTATTGAGTACCTGACTCACGGTGTTGACACATATGTTCCCACAGCCTTTCCTGAGTCTCTTGACATTATGAGTGAGGAGGGAAGGATGTCTTGGCAGACTCCTCACCTGTTCAATGAAATCAATGTGTGAGACTGATCTTCACAAGAGTAGTTTTAAGCACTCATGGAAGCCCCCATATCTTAACCTAATCATGTCAGTGGATTAAATAAAAACTTTGCTTTCTGAAAAACAAAGACTGGGGAGAAAAGATAGAGATAAAATGAAATAAATGAAATATAAGCAAAATATAAGGATAAAAATACATAAATAATCAGTGTTAAATTGGCATTAAATAATTCATACAGCTTTATAATATACCTGTGTTAATTTTATAGCTTTTTAGAAATGAGTGAAGAATAATTGACAACACATAAAAGTGAGATGTTTATATGGGTAGAATTTTCCCTTGCACATAGTTATTTTATCAAAATAAGATGAAACAGAAATATTAATTTGTTCAATTATATCTTTGGGTAATAAATTTTCATACAACATACACCAGCTATAATATATCTAGCTGTCAATTGAAAATCATACATTTTTATGTGGATATATGGCAGGTAAGCTTAATCTTTTACTACTTTCCTTGTGACTTTTTTTTTTTTTTACAGTATGTATCCATTGGATCAAACAAGGTAAAAGAGTGAAAGAATCCTGGAGGGATCATGCTACCTGACTTGAAACTATACTACAAGCCTACAGTAATCAAAACAGCATGGTACTGGTACCAAAACAAAGATACATACCAATGGAACAGAACAGAGCCCTCAAAAATAAAGCCACATATCTACAACTATCTGATCTTTGACAAACCTGACAAAAACAAGAAATGGGGAAAGGATTCCCTATTTCATAAATGGTGCTGGGAAAACTGGCTAGCCATATGTAGAAAGCTGAACCTGGATCCCTTCCTTACACCTTATACAAAAATTAATTCAAGATGGATTGAAGACTTAAATGTTAGACCTAAAACCATAAAAACCCTAGAATAAAACCTAGGCAATACCATTTAGGACATAGGCATGAGCAAGGACTTCATGACTAAAACACCAAAAGCAACGGCAACAAAAGCCAAAATAGACAAATGGGATCTAATTAAACTAAAGAGCTTCTGCACAGCAAAAGAAACTATTATCAGAGTGAACATGCAACCTACAGAATGAGAGAAAATTTTGCAATCTATCCATCTGACAAAGGGCTAATATCCAGAATCTACAATGAACTCAAACAAATTTATCAGAAAAAAACAAACAACCCCATCGACAAGTGGGTGAAGGACATGAACAGCCACTTCTCAAAAGAAGATATTTATGTAGCCAAAAGACACATGAAAAAATGCTCATCATCAGTGGCCATCAGAGAAATGCAAATCAAAACCACAATGAGATACCATCTCACACCAGTTAGAATGGCGATCATTAAAAAGTCAGGAAACAACAGGTGCTGGAGAGGATGTGGAGAAATAGGAACACTTTTATACTGTTGGTGGGACTGTAAACTAGTTCAACCCTTGTGGAAGTCGGTGTGGCGATTCCTCAGGGATCTAGGACTAGAAATACCATTTGACCCAGCCATCCCATTACTGGGTATATACCCAGAGTATTATAAATCATGCTGCTATAAAGACACATGCACACGTATGTTTATTACGGCACTATTCACAATAGCAAAGACTTGGAACAAACCCAAATGTCCAACAGTGATAGACTGGATTAAGAAAATGTGGCATATATACACCATGGAATACTATGCAGCCATAAAAAATGATGAGTTCATGTCCTTTGTAGGGACATGGATGATGCTGGAAACCATCATTCTTAGCAAACTATCAGAAGGACAGAAAACCAAACACCACATGTTCTCACTCACAGGTGGGAATTGAACAATAAGAACACATGGACACAGGAAGGGGAACATCACACACTGGGGCCTGTTGTGGGGTTGGGGGAGGTGGGAGGGACTGCATTAGGAGAAATACCTAATGTTAAATGATGAATTAATAGGTGCAGCACACCAACATGGCACATATATATATACGTAACAAACCTGAACGTTGTGCACATGTACCCTAAAACTTAAAGTATAATTAAAAAAAAGTAAGATGGTCATATTGCCTCTTTCGTTCTATTTTTAATATTGTAAGCACATTAGTAAACTTAAAAATTGTCATTTATTTAATGTTTATTAGGTTCTAGACATTGTTAAGTGTTCAAAGTATATTCACACATTAAACTACAAAAATGAAAGCCTAGAGAGGCAAATGACTGACCAACCTCACAGATATTGGAGATAAATAAGCCCAAATCTTTTTGAGCCCAAGTTCACTCCCAGATATAAATTTAACATCTCTGATTTAGAAGAGCATTGTTTTATCACATCTTAAAATCTCTCCTTAGATACAGAAAGATTAGTTTTGTAACACTAGGCATGAGCATCATCTTACTTGTGTTCAATGTTCTTTCTGTGTTTTGTGCTCCCCAACTATTTGACAAGCTCAGTAATTTTTGATTTCTTATTTCTTTGTTCCCATGAATCCTCCACAAACACTACTTAATCCAAGAATTTAGCATATAGCCCTGGACATACAATTGGTATTTGATTACTTAACATTTTTTCAATGAAATGAGAAGATATTGTGAGACTAACATACATTTTTTTCCATTCAAAGGCAGTAAGTTGGCTTTCCTAATATGTACATTCTTTGTTATTATCCAAAGTCGTTTTCAAGTGCATATATCCTAATCCTTGGTTCTCCTTTAGTAAGGTGAGTTTGTTCCCAAGTTTTTGTATTTACTATATTTCATGATCGTATATTCACCTGCAAGTTTGCTCAGCAGAATATTTACTTTTCATTTGGTATCATTCTCTTCTTAATTGCATTTTAAACTATTCCCTTTTTCAATGGGAATCATATTTCTTTGACAACAAAGCTTATATTTATATTATTTCCAAGTAAATGTTAGTTCTGACCTCAAATGCTGCTCTAAATTCATCCATAACCTTCATCCCTATCCTATCGATAACTGTATATCCTATTTGCTAACTGTACCTTGCCAAACATCCTTGCGAGCCTGACCCAACCCACACCCTGATTAACCTCTCTTAGTCTTAATCATTCTATCACTGTTACAGTCAGTTCAGAGCATAAGATTACTTAATGTTCCCTTTAGTTAGAATGAAATAATCTAAAATTTAAAAAATTAATGCTTAAAGTATCCTTAGATATGCTGTCAAATCTGAAATCTGATTTCTCTGTTTTTCATCCATGTTCCTCTATCAAAGCAAGGGCATAGTAAAGCTTGATTTTGTGATTGTTGTTGTTGTTATTGTCTTCATATTCATTGTTACGAGTTTCTTCCTTTCCATCAGTTACACAGTCCATGCACTGTGAATGTGTCACCTTCCAAGAACATCCTGCCACACTTTGCAACCTGAAGAGATTGAGCCTCTTGCACCATTTCCTATACTTTGCTAGAAAATCATATTATTACATTCCGATAAAAATTCCCA
Organism: Homo sapiens; assembly: GCF_000001405.40. NCBI lineage: Eukaryota > Metazoa > Chordata > Mammalia > Primates > Hominidae > Homo > Homo sapiens. The sequence goes on from NC_000002.12 coordinate 41,084,430, forward strand.
CATATCCTCTTGCTAACAGCTGTTCTGTGAATGGAGCAATACTGAGTAGAATGAAATATCAATTCTTGTAAAATAAAGCCGCTTTCCTAATCCAAGAACAAACTGCACTTGGTTTGAGAGGCCCCATGAGGACCAAAAGAAATACTTGAGTAATGCATCTTTTTTGCTTGAACTGTATAACTAAATTTAAGTTTATATAGATAGCATACCCTAAAAAGCTTCTTTGTATGACATAAGTTGTATAACTTACAGAACAATTGTCAAGATGGGAAGTTTGTTTCAGTTTCGATAACTTATGCAAGTTAGCATATGAAGCTAGGACCCCCACCGAGGTCAACAGCTGGATTTAAATTTTCTCTGAATAACTTACCTCAAAACAGTTAAGTTTAGAGGGACAGGGTTGATAACTTAGTGTCAGCATAGTAAAAGAAGGTTCAAGGGGCAGTGGGAGAACTCTGCTCTAAAGCACAGCCCTTGTTAATATGTGTTACAATAAACAGTGTGGAGAATAATATAAAAGATATAGAAGGGAGTCTTTTAAAAGTTCATATGGACAATGTGTATTATAAATAAAAAACTATGCATGGATTTGAAAAGTACTTTGCACCAAAATAAACTTGTAAACATATTTGAACAAGATTTAGGTTGGGGAGAAACTAAGAAGGATAATGCATCAGTTTGAAAAGAGCTCCTATCAGAGCAAAACAAATTCTGCTAAAATTGAAGCAAAACAAACATCAATTTTATCGTGAAGCTTGGGTAGAAGAATGGTGAGATCATTGATGCTTTAAGAGATGTTTATGGTGATGATGCTCCAAATAAAATGACAGTTTACAAATGGATAACTCATTTTAAGAAGGGATGAGATGATGTTGAAATGAAGTCTGTAGTAGCAGACCATACACATCAATTTGTGAGAAAAAATTAATCTTGTTTATGCCCTAATTGAAGAGGACTGACAAATAACCACACAAATAGCCAACACTATAGACATCTCAACTGTTCTAGCATACACAATTCTGAATGAAAAATTGAAGTTGAACAAACTTTCCCATTTGGTAAGTGCCCAAAACCATTGTGATCAGATTGGCTATAAACAAGAGCAGAACTTTCAATTGAAGTTTTAAACAAGTGGGATCAATATCCTGAAGCTTTTTTTTTTTTTTGAAGAAGAAGAATTGTAGCAGGAAATGAAACATAGATTTACCAGTATGGTTCTGAAGACAAAGCACAATCAAAGCAATGGCTACCAAGAGGCGGAAACAGTGCAGTCAAACCAAAAACAAACCACCAGTCAAGAGCAAAAGTCATGGCAACATTTTGGGGAAAATGTTCAAGATATCTGCTTGTTGACTTCCTGGAGGGTCAAAGAATAATAACATCTGCTTATTATGAGAATGTTTTGAGAAATTTAGCCAAAGCTTCAGCAGAGAAATGCCCGAGAAAGCTTAATCAGACAGTCTTTCTCCATCACGACAATAATCCTATTCCTTTCCCTCATCAAACAAGGGCATTTTTGCAATAGTTTCAGTGAGAAATCAACAGGCATACACCTTGCAGTCCTGATTTGGCCTCTTTTGACTTCTTTTTGTTTCCTTATCTTAAGAAAATATTTAAAACTTCCCCATTTTTTTTTTCAGTTAATAATGTAAAAAAAGACTACATTGACATGGTTAAACTCCCAGGGTCCTTAGGTCTTTGGATGAACAAAATGGCTGGTATCATTGCTTAGAAAAGTGTCTTGACTTTCATGAAGGTTATGTTGAGAAATAAAGTTTATGCTTTTAATTTGTATCTTTTGATTTTGTGTTTTCAGAAACTTTTTGAAGTCCCCTTATAATTGTCAAAGCTCCAGATGACATAAAATGTCAGGATATGTTGTATGTGGTAGATCAAGATCACTTGTGAGGTTTAATTATTCTGCATTCTTCTATGTAGACCTATCAGGTGGACAGCCTAAAGCCACCATCACTGCCTCAACATTTGCCAGTTTAGCAAACATGTTAGCACAGCTCAATTAATTCTACATTTTGATTATCCTCATAATGGCTTATGTCATTGCTCAATTGAAAAGTTGCCTTAAAGTTGTTTACACATATCTTTAAAATTCTTGTATATTTTATTTAATTAACAGAAGACCTTATTTTTATCAGATGCATACCCCTTCGTTGAATGCAAATTTATTGAACTATGAGAATGTAATCTTCTACTAATTAATGAGTTACAAGTGATTGGAAATATGGTATGATGATGAAACACTGTGTTCAAAATGCAGATTATTCTAAAGAATCAGAGTAACAATGCCTTAATATTATTTTAACAACAGTGTCTGGAACATAATCGGTGTTAGACACTTTACCACATTGCATTATCAGGCATAAAGTTTAGCTATCATTTCAGGAAACTGATGATAACTCAAAATTAAACATTAAAATTGACATAGTATCTGATATTGTAGGCTGATTCCAACTATAAGATAAAAAGTGACTTATTTTTGAGAACTTATTGGGCATTTTTTTTCCCAATATGTTGTTTCATACAAGGAAGCAAATAATCTGAGAATTAGTGACACTATCTGTGGCTATGTGTTGATTTGTCCATTTGAAGTATTCCCAAGGTTTCATGGAATTGAATTTTTCTAGTGTTTAGCACATGCTGGTTCCTTTCTCTTGCACAAATAAAGTCAGCCAAATCATAAATAAATTATTCTCTCCCAAACCACTCAAGTTCACCTAAACATAAAGACACTTCTAGTAGGTTGATAGCATTTGTGAGGTTGAGTTAGGCATAATAAGGTAATTCAGCAATGACCTTAACAATATTCGTTAAAAAATAAAGCAACTGGCATTTCAGATGTTTACTATGTGACAGATAATGTTCTAGATGTTATAAAATATTACTTATAATTCTCATCCCATGCAAATTTAGAATTATTATCCTCATTTTATTTATGTAGGGACTGAAGAGTAAAGAACTGGATAAACTTGCCCAAAGTTATGCCACTATCTTATGCAACCATAATATTCAAACACAATCTTTCTGAGTCAAATCCTGTCTCTTTTTACTATAAACACTCATTGAGCAATAACCAAATGCAAGATAGTTGTTAAGTATTACAGGAATCAAATATGCCCCTAATTATTTATAAAATAGGAGAAATTTTACAAAGAGAACCAAAAATTATATTCTAGGTAAGAACATAATACTATTCAAAAGAGAAATATAATCAAGAGACTCAGATTGCAAAGAAACAGAAGGTATAGTCCTTACTCTCAAAGGAGATCTTGGAAAAGTATGACTCTAGGATTGCTATCCATAAGCCATGAATGTGGCAGATGATGAGTGCAGACTGATCTTCTGTCACTGCAAAATGTGTGCTCCAAAAACACTACTGCAGAAATTGCCTTTCTGCATCTTCAGATACTTATGACTTCTGTAAACGAAGTCTGTAGTAGCAGACCATGACTGCCTACTCGGCATACCTTAATAACCTTAAAAATTTCACAGGGAAAAGTCATAGGTGATACCCCTGTAACTGTTTGAAAGGAACATTTTGAACAATGATGAATACATGGAAGCTATTAGATGCAGACAAAATTATATCCTCCAGAAAACAATGGATTGGTTTATAATAGCTGTTTCCAAGAGTTTAATCAACAGAGGAAAGTCTGACTACAATTCTCTGTCCCTCATGATTTCTACTGGCATCACTCAATGCTACTTGCTGGGTGTGACCTTTCATCACTATACATTGTTTTATTTGGTTGGACTCATTTCCAAAGGTCTGTTTCTATAAGGCCTCTTGGAGGCAGGCACTTCTTCAGGGTGAGGTATATCAGATTTGGGGAATTCTCTAAAAGTCTCAGGAAACTAAGGCAGAGCTCATTCTGACATCAAAATACATGCATCATTAATTCACTTTCAGTTCCAACAGACCAGCTTTTTTCTTTTTTTATTATTATTATTATTATACTTTAAGTTTTAGGGTACATGTGCACAACGTGCAGGTTAGTTACATATGTATTCCTGTGCTATGCTGGTGTGCTGCACCCATTAACTCGTCATTTAGTATTAGATATATCTCCTAATGCTATCCCTCCCCCCTCCCCCCACCCCACAACAGTCCCCAGAGTGTGATGTTCCCCTTCCTGTGTCCATGTGTTCTCATTGTTCAATTCCCATCTATGAGTGAGAACATGCAGTGTTTGGTTTTTTGTCCTTGCGATAGTTTACTGAGAATGATGATTTCCAATTTCATCCATGTCCCTACAAAGGACATGAACTCATCATTTGTTATGGCTGCATAGTATTCCGTGGTGTATATATGTCACATTTTCTTAATCCAGTCTATCACTATTGGACATTTGGTTCCAAGTCTTTGCTATTGTGAATAGTGCCGCAATAAACATACGTGTGCATGTGTCTTTATAGCAGCATGATTTATAATACTTGGGTATATATCCAGTAATGGGATGGCCATGTCAAATGGTATTTCTAGTTCTAGATCCCTGAGGAATCGCCACACTGACTTCCACAAGGGTTGAACTAGTTTACAGTCCCAACAGTATAAAAGTGTTCCTATTTCTCCACATCCTCTCCAGCACCTGTGGTTTCCTGACTTTTTAATGATCGCCATTCTAACTGGTGTGAGATGGTATTTCATTGTGGTTTTGATTTGCATTTCTCTGATGGCCACTGATGATGAGCATTTTTTCATGTGTCTTTTGGCTACATAAATGTCTTCTTTTGAGAAGTGTCTGTTCATGTCCTTCACCCACTTGTCGATGGGGTTGTTTGTTTTTTTCTCGTAAATTTGTTTGAGTTCTTTGTAGATTCTGGATATTAGCCCTTTGTCAGATGAGTAGGTTGCGAAAATTTTCTCCCATTTTGTAGGTTGCCTGTTCACTCTGATGGTAGTTTCTTTTGCTGTGCAGAAGCTCTTTAGTTTAATTAGATCCCATTTGTCAATTTTGACTTTTGTTGCCATTGCTTTTGGTGTTTTAGACATGAAGTCCTTGCCCATGTCTATGTCCTGAATGGTAATGCCTAGGTTTTCTTCTAGGGTTCTTATGGTTTTAGGTCTAAGTTTAAGTCTTTAATCCATCTTGAATTAATTTTTGTATAAGGTGTAAGGAAGGGATCCAGTTTCAGCTTTCTACATATGGCTAACCAGTTTTCCCAGCAGCATTTACGAAATAGGGAATCCTTTCCCCATTGCTTGTTTCTCTCAGGTTTGTCAAAGATCAGATAGTTGTAGATATGCGGCGTTATTTCTGAGGGCTCTGTTCTGTTCCATTGATCTATATCTCTGTTTTGGTACCAGTACCATGCTGTTTTGGTTACTGTAGCCTTGTAGTATAGTTTGAAGTCAGGTAGCATGACGCCTCCAGCTTTGTTCTTTTGGCTTAGGATTGACTTGGCGATGCGTGCTCTTTTTTGGTTCCGTATGAACTTCAAAGTAGTTTTTTCCAATTCTGTGAAGAAAGTCATTGGTAGCTTGATGGGGATGGCATTGAATCTATAAATTACCTTGGGCAGTATGGCCATTTTCACGATATTGATTCTTCCTACCCATGAGCATGGAATGTTCTTCCATTTGTTTGTATCCTCTTTTATCTAATTGACATAAATTAAACTAATAAGAACCCAAAAGCTTGTGACAAGCCCAACATGATTTATTACTTTCAAATAAATTAAGCTTTTGATAGATGAATAATCTTTAGGAAAGGAAAAAACAAATCATTCTTTTTTTTCTCATCAGTATTTTAATGTAATACATTTACAGTACAGTGCGTTACATAGCTAGAAAGGGAAAGGGGAACTTATGAAAAATAGCTTGATGACTAACTTTTTTGTTTATATATTTATTAACAAAGTAATTTAAGTGAAGTATTATTCTTTTCCCTTTTTACAAGGAAAAGCTATGTTGGGTCTATTTTTTAATCACATAAAGATTTGAGGAATATTCTCACAACTTTGGGTCCAAAATTGAGAGGAAGTAAATTTCTATTTATTTCAGAACAAAAAGGGATCAGTAAGACTAGGACTGGAACTGACAACATCAGCCTCACAAGTACTGGTGGACATAAGATAAAACTGTAGGTTTGGGTATAGATGTAGGGCTTCCTTTGGCCTATTCCATGGGCAGAGAAGAATAACTAGGTGGAGACCATCTTTGCATCCCACTTGTCACAGCACTGCCTCACAGATGACATAGGAATATAATTTAGATGTGGATTTGTGATTTGTGAAGTTTTTACAGAAGTCCACAAGTCGGTACTAGCAGATTGGTCTTCTCAAGATAAGCTTAACATCCCTGTAGCCACTTTATAATATCCTGATCTTATAAGATAGGTCTTGATCTCCAGTAAGTGGGGTTCTACATGAGTCAAAAAAGAAGGTCAGAAATCATAAGCACTTTTGTCAGATGATAATATTATATTATATGAGTGGATTAGGGTTCATCTTGGAAAAGATTATTTGGTTCTTTGTGGGCTTTGTCTAGAGTTCAGACATTCTTCCTTCATCCTTCCTATATCCCATATCTTGGTTTCTTCAGTTAGGGAATCAATGAAATTCTGAAGATCTAATATGTGTCATGGATGAGAGCTTTTAATTTCAACACTGCATTAACAGGCCAATGAATGATTGGTGAATGAGAAGAAAAACATGGTGGTCTTTTATTCTATTGGTTCTTTCTCCAACTCTCTATGCCATTGGCCATTTGTATTATGGTTACTCTTACACATGATTTTAAATATAATACAATTCTATTTAAAGAAATACCATTTGGCATTGTTAAATATAAATGAGTATGACCTAATAAAACTTTTGTTGTCATTTATACCTTTAAATAGCTATGTTTATGAATATTGGGACAAAAGATGCCAAGCAAATCAATCATTTGTGATACCAACACAGTTGCATCTACATATTTTATTTTTACTGCCTCGAATAAACAATAAGTGTATGATTTTCAGAAGTGGACTTTTTAGCTTAATGTATGAAATAACTCAAAATGTTAAAATAATATTATTATAAGAACAAAACTGACTAATATGTAGGTGTTTTACATTTCTAGAATTACTCAGGGCTGAAATAATTTCAATGTTTGTCAAAAATGTAAATGCATTGCATATTTTACCTTGAAGTAGGGAACAGTTCTGTATCTTCATTGTGTTGGTAATTAGATCAGTCTATACTTGTGCCAGAACTGCACAAAAGTATACAAACACAAGTACAAATAAAACTGGTGAAATTTGAATAGACTTTGTAAATTATACCAATGTAAATGTCCTTTTATAGGCTTTGATATTATTTTAAGGTAATTAAGTTATCATCAGAGAAAACTGGATGAAGGGCACTGAGGACCTGCCTGTACATTTTTTGCAACTTCTGATGAATCTAGGCTTATTCAAAGTAAAATGTAGAAAGAGAAGATAAAGGAGAATAACAGGTTAAGTGTTAAAGTGAAAAAGTAAGGCACAGACTGGAAAAGGTATGATATATATGGATATGAATATATATATGATATATATTATATATAATATATAAATACATATCATTATATATCATATATATCATTATTATTAGATATATATACATATCATTATATACCTTATTATATATCTTATATATAATATCAATATACATATCATTATATACCTCATATATCATAATTATTAGATATATGTCATATATATTTTATATATGATATCTAATCCATAATCATATATATATCTATATATAGAAACCAGAAACAGACCTACACACAAATGGTCACCAGCTTAATGACAATGGTACAATTACAAGACCATAAATATGTCCATATCCATATATATCCTCTATCAGATAAAAAGGATAAAGAATGATAAAGACTAAACAATACAAATAAAACTCTTTAAAAATGCTTGAAAAGAACGTTCACAAAAGTTGATATCTGAGAGGCCAATTATTGTATGAAAAGATGATCAGAAACAATCACTAGGATAATTCAAAATAAAACCACAATGAACAGCACTACATACTCAGCAAAATGGCCGTAATTAAAAGACTGATGATGAAACATGCTGGCAAGACTTTGGAGTCACTTGAACTCTCATACATTGCTGAGAGAAATGTAAAATAATGAAACACTTTGGAAAATTGTTTGGGAATTTCTAATAAATATAAACATACAACTACCCTATGACCCACCAATTCCACTCTTAGACATTTACCAAAATTAAGTGAAAACTTGTACCTACAAGAAGACTAGTAGAGATACAACAAAAAAAGAAAATTTCAGGCCAAATCCCTGAGGAACGCTGATGCAAAAATCTTCAATAAGATACTGGCAAACCAAGTCCAGTAGCACATCAAAAAGCATATCCACCACGATCAAGTCAGCTTCATCCCTGGGATTCAAGGCTGGTTCAACATATGCAAATCAACAAACGTAATTTATCACATAAACAGAACCAATGACAAAAACCACGTGATTATCTTAATAGGTGCAGAAAAGGCTTTCGATAAAATTCAATACCCCTTCATGCTAAAAACTCTCAGTAAACTAGGTATCGATAGAACGTATCTCAAAATCCTAAGAGCTATTTACGACAAACACACAGCCAATATCCTACTGAATGTGCAAAACCTGGAAGCATTCCCTTTGAAAACTGGCACAAGACAAGGATGCCCTCTCTCACCACTCCTATTCAACATAGTATCAGAAGTTCTGGCTAGGGCAATCAGGCAAGAGAAAGAAATAAAAAGGTATTCAAATAGGAAGAAAGGAAGTCAAACTGTCTCAATTTGAAGATGACATGATTGTATATTTAGAAAACCCCATTGTCTCAGCTCAGAATCTCCTTAAGCTGATAAGCAACATCAGCAAAGTCTCAGGATACAAAATCAATGTGCAAAAATCAAAAGTATTCCTATACACCAATAGTAGACAAACAAAGAGCCAAATCATGAGTGAATTCCCACTCACAATTGCTACAAAGAGAATAAAATACCTAGGAATACAACTTAAAAGGGATGTGAAAGACATCTTCAATGAGAACTACAAACCAGTCCTCAAGGAAATAAGAGAGGACAAAAACAAATGGAAAAACATTCCATGCTCACGGTTAGGAAGAATCAGTATCGCGAAAATGGCCATACTGTCCAAAGTAATTTACACATTCAATGCTATCCCCACCAAGCTACCATAAACTTTCTTCAAATAATTAGAAAAAAACTACTTTAAAGTTCATGTGGAACCAAAAGAGAGCCCATATAGCCAAGACAATCCTAAGCAAAAAGAACAAAGCTGGAGGCATCACGCTACCTGACTTCAAACTATACAACAAGGCTACAGTAACAAAAGCAGCATGGTACTGGTACCAAAACAGATATATAGACCAATGCAACAGAACAGAGGCCTCAGAAATAATGCCACACATCTACAACCATCTGATCTGTGACAAACCTGAAAAAAACAAGCAATGGGGAAAGGATTCCCTATTTAACAAATGCTGTTGGGAAAACTGGCTAACCATATGCAGAAAACTGAAACTGGGTCCCTTCCTTATGCCTTATACAAAAATTAACTGAAGATGGATTAAAGACTTCAACATAAGACCTAAAACCATAAAAACCCTAGAAGAAAACCTAGGCAATACCATTCAGTACATAGGCATGGGCAAAGATTTCATGATGAAAACACCAAAAGCAATGGCAACAAAAGCCAAAATTGACAAATGGGATCTAATTAAACTAAAGAGCTTCTGCACAGCAAAAGAAACTATTATCAGAGTGAACAGGCAACCTACAGAATGGGAGACAATTTTTGCAATCTATCCGTCTGAAAAAGGGCTAATATCCAGAATCTGCAATCTACTTAAACAAATTCACAAGGAAAAAAGAAACAACTCCATCAAAAATTGGGCAAAGGTTATCAACAGACACTGCTCAAAAGAAGACATTTAAGTGGCCAACAAACATGAAAAAAAAGCTCATCATCACTGATCATTAGAGAAATGCAAATCAAAACCACAATGAGATATGATCTCACACCAGTTAGAATGGCTATCATTAAAAAGTCAGGAAAGAACAGATGCTGGCGAGGGAGTTGAGAAATAGGAATACTTTTAGACTGTTGGTGGGAGTGTAAATTAGTTCAACTATTGTGGAAGATGGTGTGGTGATTCCTCAAGGATCTAGAACCAGAAATACCATTTGACCCAGCAATCCCATTACTGAGTATATACCCAAAGGATTATAAATCATTTTACTATAAAGACACATGCACACATATGTTTACTGCACCACTATTCACAATAGCAAAGACTTGGAACCAACCCAAATGCCCCTCAATAATAGACTGGATAAAGCAAATACAGCACATATACACCATGGAATACTATGCAGTCATAAAAAAGCATGAGTTCATCTCCTTTGCAGGGACGTGGATGAAGCTGAAAACCATCTTTCTCAGCAAGCTAATACAGGAACAGAAAACCAAACACTGCATGTTCTCACTCAGAAGTGGGAGTTGAACAATGACTAGAATATAGGGAGGGGAACATCACACACCAGGGCCTGTCAAGGACTGGGGGACGAGGGGAGGGATGGCATTAGGAGGAATACCTAATGTACATGATGGGTTGGTGGGTGCAGCAAACCACCATGACACGTGTATACATATGTAACAAACCTGCACGTTCTGCACATGTATCCCAGAACTTAAAGTAAAATTAAAAGAAAAAAAAAAAAAGAAGGAGAGGTCCCGAAGAACAGAGGCCTTCTTACCTCAATGTCTCCCACGCCTGATAAAATAACTGGCAAAGGGTAACAATAAATAAATGCGCATTAAATGGTTTTAAAAAAAGAAGACTTATAAAGGAATACTCAAATATGTTCTATTCCTAATAATTAAAAAACTGTAAGTAAACCAAATATTAATCAGTAAGAGAATGAATAAACAAATTATAGTGTATTCAAACAAAATATTACTCAGTAGTATAAAGGAAAAAAATTATATATGCTACAACATGATTGATTCTCAAAAATAGTAAGTGAATGAGGAAGCCAGACACAACAGAGTACATATGATTCTATTTATATGAGGTTCATGAACAGACAAAACTATTATATGATGACAGAAATTAAAAAAAATATTTTATCTGGTTGTAGGGGTCGAGATTGGGAAGAGTCACAAGGGAACTTAGCGGATTTATGTAAATGGTTTTTAAAATTTCAGTATAAAACAATATAATTAAAAGGAGAAAAACTGAATAAGCCAGCAGCAATGACAGTGGATGATAATTATAAAAATTGGAAATCATTCTGGTAGTTACATAAAAAGTACTTCCATACAGGAAATTACAAATCATTGTGGAGAAAAAGCAAAAACTTAAATTAAAAACTTAGAAACCAGCCCATTGTGGTGGCTCATGTGCGTGATCTTGGCACTTTGGGAGGCCGAGGTGGGCAGATTGCCTGAGGTCAGGAGTTTGAGACCAGCCTAGACAACATGGTGAAACCCCATATCTACGAAAAAATACAAAAAAATTAGCCAGCAATGGTGGTGCATGTCTGTAGTCCCAGCTACTCAGGAGGCTGAGGCAGGGGAATTGCTTGAACCTGGGACGTGGAGGTTGCAGTGAACCGAGATGGCGCCAGTGCACTCCAGCCTGGATGACAGAGAGATTCTGTCTCAAAATAATAATAATAGTAATAATAACAATAAGAAGTAACAAACCATGGTCACAAAATGGAAACTTCAAAATTCACTAGAGCAATAATATCAATTATCTGAAATTATCTATAGATTCAATTAAAGCCTAGTCAAATGCTAGAAGTTTTTCTTTTGTGGAGATTAGCAATATCTAATTTAAAGATATATAAATATAACATTTTGAGGATAGAAAAATGTAACAGAATAGAAACCAGATACAGACCTTCACATAAATGGTCACCAGCTTAATGACAATTGTACTACTAATACAATACCATAAGAGAAAAGAAGATCTTTTCATTAAAAGATGCTGACTCCATTAGATATTTACTTTGGGAGAAAAACCTTGATCAGTATCACACAGTACCCATGAAATTATCTAATGGACTAAAGAGTTGGATAGATTAAGAAAACTTTCTTTGCCTTTCTTCATAGTCTCCCAGTATATCTCAGTTTTAGTTCAGATTTCAGTTTGTTTCTAAAGTTTGATTCAATATCTCAGCTGCTACCCTATTCCTTGCTGTGACACTTGACATTCTCCTTTTCTTCTCTTCCTTTTTGCTGGTTATTGGATATATCCAAAAAACTTTAGTTAAATTTATCTTATTAATCTTCTTTACTGTGTTTGTATAAACTACTGGCTTTATTTAAAATAAAACTACAGCCTTTATTTAAAATAAACACATTTAAAACAACAGAATAAAAACAAGTTATTTCCCTTGCCTACACCTAACCTATGAAGACAGTGTGGAATTTAAAACCTTGAAGTAAACAGTTATTATGTAAACTAAACAGTTTGTAATAAATAAAACATCATGAGTAAGATAAAATACTCAGTAACCTAGTGTAAGTCAAGAACTATTTAAAAAATGAACAGTAAGGTAAAAAACGTATGCAGACATCTAGAAATGTGAAAAGGGATATTAATTCTTTTATCACAAGATTTTAAAATATAATGAAACTAATAAAGCATAATAGAATATCATAAACCACTAAATTTGTTTTTTATGTCATAAATTCTACAAATTTTAAAACCTAGAGCTGTTTGGAAGGCTTTCTTGTAAGGGTAGGGCTTAAACTAATCTTATACGATTGAGTGGAATTTGGAGAAGGAAAATTCAGAATAAACAAAACTAAGAAAATAGCATGAGTAAAAAGCCTCTTGGGACTGAGTTTATTTATAATGTTTTCATGTCTAATATTTCTAATATTTTTATCAGTAACACTTCTTCCTGTTACCTTGACTTCATATCAGATTTGGGGAAATTATGATGACTATCCATGAGTCTTCTCTTTAAATGTTAAAGTCAGTAAGACAAATTGAGAGTAAAGAGACATTTTTCAGAAAACAAAATTCATGTTTCAATAAAGCTCCTATCTATCCTAGACCTCCTTTTTCTTCCATCTTTTTAACAGTTATTTCTAAAATGTAAATTTTGTTAAACATTTTCTATCTTCTGTCTTAAGTTCTCTCTGGTTTATTAGAAAGAAACTAATTAAAATGAAGGCAGGAGGGAGAATTCCAGTTCCTTTCAAAATGGGGTAATAAGGACTAGATTTGCCATCCCACTTGAAATAACCAGAAAAACAATTATAGAACAACATTTTGCAAGCACTGTGTATCAGGCAACAAAAAACAGTGATCCCTGTGAACTGGGAAACAAGGTGAACCCTAAGGTTGCCATAAATTGATGTCTTAATGCCTTAGAACTGACAGCCCGAGGAGACTAAGGCAGCTAAAGTTCTCAGGACAAAGTACAAAATAAGGAGGAGGTTTAAAGAGAGCAACCTGAAGATTCGCAGAGGGCACTTATCTGGTATTCCGCTCAGCACTGATTGATTAGTGCTAGTGTCTGGGGAATCCGGCTGAGGCCAGATAAATAACTTACAAAGAGAAACAGTAGTGCCTAGAGCTCACACAGGGCAAGGAATAGGACCTGTTTCACCAAACTTACTAGAATTCTTTGGCAATTGGAATAGAATACGCAGTAGGTTCCTTAGATTCCTGTCTCACAAGTGGGAAATCATTAGCCTTAGACTGAACACAGCTCTGGTCTCACCTGAAAAAAATCTTAATCTTAAAAGCAAAACCCAGCATGATCACATAATTTTCAAGTAACTTAATTGCGACTCAGAAAGAAGCCTAAGAATACTTAGGAAAAACAAAAATACACAGTGCTCAACATAGTAAAATTCACAATGCCTGGCATCCAATTAAAAAAACTTACAAACACATAAAAAAATTACAGCATAAAAGGAAGCTGGAAAATATCACCCACAAGAGGAGAAAAATCACACAAACAACACTGACCCCTAACTAAAACAGATGTTCAAATTAGCATGCAATCTATTCCTCCCTGTCTCCTCTGTCATAGACTCCAGATACACATATACCAGTTTACTTAAAGTTATCCCGTAGATCACTGACTGATATTCCCTCCTCCTCATTCATTTTCTCTGCTTTCTCCTTTTCCTCATTTAAAAAAATTTTTTCTAATCTTTTACTTTGGATTTGAGTTTATTAATCTTCCTTTCCACAATGCCTAATCTGTATACAACTGTACACAAACTGAGCTGCTTAAAACAAAGTATGCAAACTGATTGGCTTAAAACAATAGAAATGTATTTTCTCATGAGTCTTAGAGGCTTGAAGTCTGAAATGAAAGTGTTGGCAGGGCCATTTCTCTCTGAAGGCCCGAGGGAGAACTGGCTCCACGTCATTGTCTTAGAGACATCATTCCACTCTTTGCCCTCACTATCACATGGCATTCTCCCTGTGTGCCTCTGTCTGTCTCCTCTTCTTATAAGGATACCAGTTATCTTGGATTAGCGCCTGGCCTAAGGATCTGATTTTAACTTGCTTGCATCTGAAAGACTCTATTTCTAAATAAAATTCAAAAGAATGAGTGTTTAAGACTTCAACATATATTTTGGAGGGACATGAATGATTTTACCCACTATAATCATGATTACAGGAACGTTGGCCTCATATTATTAGAACGTAATATGTGGATGCAGAAATACAAGAGTCACACAAAGCATTATCATTTCAATGTATCTATTCCTTTTCCTTATTTTTGGCATAATAACAATAGAAAAATTTTCATCTTTGTCTACTGAGTTAACAAAGAACTCTAAGAGTTAAATATTCTGTTCCATAATGCAAGCATGATCAGCATTATCATCAGGGTCGCAACCTCCATTCCTACAACAAAAAGGCAGGTTAGCAAGAAAAAACATAACAAATTTATTTAATCATAATTTTGTATGGCATAGGAGCCTTCAGAAAGAAGCCTGAAGAAACAGGGGAAACAATCTGACTTCATGCTTTGGTTTGATAAAGCAGGGATGGCCACGTAGAAATGTGATTGGGCAAAAACAGTACGAGCTAATGAAAATAGACTGAGTGGGGAAACCTAGCAAGGCCTGTCTGTTCAAGTTCTTTTTGGCCTCTTGTGCAGCTTTCCTACTTTCCAGGTATGGGGAATGACCCTCTCTGGAATGAGGGTCTTATTGCCTACAATCAAAAAAGATAGAGAATTTCTTTCTTGGCCAGTTCTTACATAGAAAGGAGGGGGAAAGTTAGAGTAACATTTTTAGATTTTATGACTGGCTTTAGAGAAAACGGTTTTTGGTTTCTATGACTCCCCTTGGAGAGAAGGATTCTAGATCCTATGGCTTGCAGTGCAGGAAAGTGACGGATGAGAGAAACGAAGGCAGAGAAGGTCAGAGAGAAACTGCCTTTGAGTCTGTTTCGTAGCCTTTACTCTGAGGCTGTTTTCTGAGTCCCAAATCATCAACAGAACCCAGTGGAATAATTTTTTTGTGTGTCTAATACGTTTTTGGTTTATTAAAGAGGTTTATATCTCATTATCTCAGTCACAAAATATCATAAAGAAATTTATGGCAGCACAAAACATGCTTGATACTCTTTTTCTAAGTGTTTTAAGCCCTCCAGGTTTTCCTTATCTAACTTTCTTAGCTGTGAATTTTTGACAATATTAATAATACATATGAAGATGTGAAAAGACTAATACAAAAGGCAACCTTTTCCATAATGAAATCTGTGTAGAGTCTTTTCTCTGGTGTAGCTGATGCTCCTGCTTCTGTTCAGTGTCTACCATGTTGTTTATAGATTTTGGGCCTCTGTTTAATTAAACTACTAATTCCATAGAAATGCTCATAATGCTTTCTCATGACATGATGGTCTGGATTTAACCCCTATCCCCATTCCTGCACTTCACACAACATGGAATGATTTTGCTAATTCATCTTCCAAATGCACAAAGTGTCATGAAAAGTGCAACAAAAGGTCATTTAAGGATAAATCCTTTCAAAGAGAATAACAATGGATAACAGTTAGAAGTTGATAATCAACAGAGACAGAGCAATTACCTGTCAGCTCTGACTTTATGATGCTATGTTAGCAGATTTCCACTTTTCGGAAAATAGCAAAGCAGATAACAATAAAACAAAATTCCCTTCAAAATTTCTAGATGCTAGATACAACATAAAGAATGTATTTCTAAATACACATGTTGGGACTCAGGACACACCAGCCCAAACTATGACTGCAGGAGTCTAGAATATGCTACTCCAAATATACCTCTTTGGCATATTGATTATTTGGAGTTGGTTATTTTGAGAAACTGCAGACACAGGAGTAGCTCTTAAAAACCTCCCATTTGTAAAGGAAACATATCTATAAAGGAAATTTACATTAGTAAAAATATCTATACCAGGAAGAGAGCTACTCTAACACAACTTTTATCACCTGAGAGGCTTTTATCTGCATAATAAGGTAACGTTTATTCACCATACATTTCCTCCCCTCACTGGCTCATAATTTGGCTCAGCCCTTCCTCCACCACCAAAGAAGCCCCAATCCCCTATGTCTTTCTGTAACTCAGGATGCTATATAAGCTTCAATCATCCGGCCCTTCGAGTCTCATATTTTTGTGAGACTGCCTTGCATATATAGATATGCACGTAACTAAAATGGTTTTTAAATTATCCTTTTAATCTGTCTTATGATAGCCCATAGTTACCTTGGCCCAGCCAAAAAACCCAGGCGTGTGCAGGGAAGCTGAAACCCCCTTTGCAAAAATTATGGCACTGAGAAAAAAACTGATATAGAAAAATTATGGCAGTGAAGGAAATCTGACCTGACCAACTCTATCTTGTTTATAACCTCCAGGCTGCCCTTGTTCATTCCTGGCATGGCTGAGCTAACTATGGGGGGACCTTAGTTTATAGTTTAACTTTTAAACAAAGATGACAAATCTCCCAAACAAATCTCCTCCTTGCTTGGGGCCTAAAGTGCCTAGCCAATTTACCACAAGAAGAGAAATTATTGCTCAGAAGTCATGAAGCCAGAGACCACAGATTCGTAACCTCCCCAGTTGCTCCTATTGGGTAACATCACTATTGTAAAACCTAAGATTGGTATTCAAGATGTTTTTCAGACTCTGCTTTCTGATGTACCAGCTAGTGCCATTCAGACCAGTAAACTGGCTTAAGTACTTCTGCAATCCCACCTAGAAACTGAGGTGACCAAGAAGACCCCGCTTCAACCCCCTGTGATTTCATCCCCAACCCAATCAATCAGCATTCCCCATTCTGTAGCCCCCTGTCAAATTATCCTTAAAAACTCTGGTTTCCAATTTTTTGGGAAACTGATTTGAGTAATAAACTCCAGTCTTACACTTAGCTGGCTCAGCATTTATTAAATTCTTTCTCTATTACAGTTCTGTTGTCCTGGTAAATCGGCTCTATCTGGGTAGCAGGCAAGAAGAACACTTTGGGTGATGACAAATTCATGATTCCCTCCCCTATACAAATTACAAGGCATAATGAAGTAAGAAAATCCTCAGGACTCAAAAAAAATGTATAGTGCAGTAAAAATTAGGACTAAAACACATAAGCTAACAATTCACTGATTTAAAAAAAAATTAAACTTACAGATTATAATTCTATGCCAAGTTAAACTATCATTCATAAATGAGCATTCCGAAAAGGGTTGATAGATAACTACTAAAAGAACCTCACTACAAAATTAATAAAGGATATTTTGTCAAGCAAATGAACTTGCCACCCAATGCACATAAAGCCAACACTATGGCAATGGCTTATTGGGAAAGGAAGGGTTTTATTGTTTTCTGCCTCTTCAGCAAGGAGACAGAAAACAAGCTCAATGAGGTCTGAAGCAAGTTTTAAGGGATCAGAGGGCAAGGAAAAGGACTTAAGAATGTTTGCTTGGCAGGGTCTTATTGGAGGGCTTCAAATTTGACCATTGACAGTAAGGTATGTTGAGACAGATTTTAGCCCTGAATCTTTCAGACCAATAGACCCCTTGCTTTTGAAAGAGTTCTATCATTTATGTTGTGGTCATGTCCCAGTCTTCTTGGTTCTGAGAGGAGGAATCATTTGTTCCAGATGTTGTGAAAAGTCTAAGCTTTTTCTATTGTGCATGCCTGTGCTACGTGAGCCAGTTTTTCATACTGTTATATCTACAAGATAACTCTACATTTTGTTACCAGCATAGCAGGTCCAGTTTGGGCTGGTCCCATGGTTACAGATATATTTGAAAAAAAAGTAAATAGGTCTCAGAAGTGAAGATTAGAGACAAAAACAATGATAAAGAAACTGATAAAGAGGTAGTACAATAAAAAATTTATTGACTATGTGAAAAAATAATCATAATCTTGTCTAGTTTTGGGCGTTGTGGGAGACCAGATATTGCCACCCGAAGTTATGAATAATTGCTGAGCTGAAGATAATTAAGAAATAGTTGATGTAAGAAAGTTATCTCCCTTTCCTCTACTAGCATTAAAGCAAGACGTCAATTTGCAAAGACAAAAGATACTCTGACACTCCCAACCAGGAAAGACAAAGGTTAACCGTGGAAGACAATTTAGATCCTATCATCCTGGAAATGGTATCAGAACAAACTACATTAATAAGCCTTGTTAATCTGCCTTTCCTGCCATTTATTTGCCTTCCCCCAAGTTGACACCCCTAGAGACTCAATGTCCTTTTGTATTGTCACTTTTCTAAAAATTCCCTGTTCTTTGTTGAAGATGCGATATAAGCTGAAATTCAAGGCCATGTCTTTGAACACTATTGATTCCCAGGGTTTCTTCCAAGTATAAATAAAATATGCATGTTAATAAATTTCTATTTGTTTTTCTCTTGTTAATCTTTCTCTTTTTAGAGGGGTTCCTTCCAACTAAGAACCTACACAGGGTTCTTCTGTCCATACAGAACAAGTTGTAGCTTGTTTTAAGGTAAAAACAAGCTACAACTAAAATGGTGCATAGCAATATCATGGA
Organism: Homo sapiens; assembly: GCF_000001405.40. Lineage (NCBI taxonomy): Eukaryota > Metazoa > Chordata > Mammalia > Primates > Hominidae > Homo > Homo sapiens. Next base: position 41,103,465 of record NC_000002.12, read on the forward strand.
TGACAGAAGGGACTGATTAGCATTGAGTTGAATAAAGATATCAGCTTTCTTCATGCATATTAAGAGTAATGACTTTTAAAATAAAAGAATAAAAATAAAAACTTCGAAGGGGGTAAAGAGAAGGAATTAAACATAAACACAATCATTTCAGTTGAAAGGAGGAAAGGAAGAAAATATATTCAAATATCATTGAGGGAAATAAAAACCACAAAATAAAATGATAGAAATAAATTTAGGCTGGGCATGGTGACTCGCACCTGTAACCCCAGGACTCTGGGAGGTCAAGGCAAGAGGATCATCTGAACCCGGAATTTCAAGACCAGCCTGGGCAACATAGTGAGTCCTTGTCTCTATGAAAAAACAAGAAAGTTTAGCTGGGCATGGGGACATGTTTCTGTGGTCCCAGCTACTCAGGAGGCTGAGGTGGGAGGATTGTGTGAGCCCTGGAGATTGATGCTGCAGTGAGCTGTGATCACACCACTGCACTCCAGCCTGGGCCACAGAGCAAGATCCTGTCTCAAAGGAAAAAAAATGAAATAAATAAATGTAAATATATCAATAAATATCAATACACCAGGCTTGACTTTTAAAAGCCAGATGTTATCATATTGGATACAAAAATTAAAAGTATGTTTTTATTAGAAAAGAGTTCTAAGACATATAGGGATACAGTTTTATATCCATTCAGTTTTGTCTGAGCATGACAGGTCGTGACCTCTTTAGGCCTATTCCTGAGGGACTGGATATTCTTCACTGACCTAATATAAACTTTCTTAGAAATACTCAGCAGTCTGAATCTCCTCCTGCCCAATCTTCCTTCTTTCTTTTCCTTCTCCTGTCAGAGGTGTCAAACCTGCATGAGTATTTGAAGGCTTTCCCTGACTATTGCTCTATCAATCACAGGTATTCCATTCCTCAAATCTCCTGGACATTTATTTCTATTTTGGCATCTGCTTCTCAGAAGACTCTAACTAAAATAAAGGATCCCACATACAGTAAATAAGACTGATAGGAAAAAGGAATAAAAGAAGGAAAGAAAGGAGTGGAAGGAGAAAGGAAGGTAGGGAAGGGAAGGAAGAAGGAGAAGGGAAGAAGACAGAAAGCTAATATGTATAATACAAAGAAGACTAAAGTTAATATGTAAATAAATTATCTAATTAAGGAGCTGCATTATACTCTGAGCACTGTAATATTTTTCTGATATCTTAAACAGAGCCTTGAGCTTATGAGTAAACATGCTGTTGAATGAGCATTTGCTCAGAGAAGCCTGCCTCCAGACTCCAGAGTAGTATAATAGACAAGTGGTGTGAAGGGACAAGTTAATAAGATGATTTGTAATAAAAAAAATTATCTCTTTCCACCTCTCTCTGATTCTCTCTCTCTCTTCCCTTGCTTCCTGAACTCCAGATTCAGTGAAATATTAAAATGAATCACAACTGTTTATATAGTGAGAGGATTACATTAAACAGTATCTATATTTGGTTAATTATAAGATTCTTAAATTAAATATACTGACAGTATTCCATGTCCTGGCTTTTCAAACATGAGAGGGAAATTTGATGAATATAACATCAGACACTTTTCTTACTCAACTTTCAGAAGGCTATCATGAAGACAGAGGTCATCAGTTTTAGTCTGACCATTGTACTAACGGAGAAGAATTCTATTTCTTGTAGCATCTGAATTACCAGAAGTCATTGTGCTCATTTTACTTTTGATATTGCAACTAAATTCAGATTTTTTTGAGGATCAAAATATCAAGCTCTCTACTTGGATTGCTAGATTGGAATTAGGTGCCAAATATATTATGCTTTATAAAGAAAATGTATCTAAACTCTTCAAATTTTTAAATAGATAATTTATGATCTTTAAAATTATCATAAAACAAAAAAGAAAAAGAATGAGGATTGACCAAATTAGTGATTTGACAAAAGAATATCTTACCATTTATTTAGCTCAGCTCCCTACCTATATGTAGTAAATATGTGTATGCTCTATGATTGCATTCTAAACAAAATGACTTTATTCCTCACTAATTTTATCCAGCTCTGTACAGGAATGTTATATCAACAACCTGGCTATGTGTTACTTCAGTTGGCCCCATGGCCCTCCCAGACCTCAGACAAGTATTATGTTTCTAGGCAGTAGTAACCTCAAAGGTAGCACGCACCAGCCATAATAAAGTAACCAGGGATTAAAATCTCCATCACTGCCTCATCTCCTAATGCTACTGATGTTTTAGGCTCTTCCAGCTCATGATTGGAAACAGGCAGGGCCACCATTTCATTAATCACAGCAGAACCTGCAGTAAGTTCAGTACCTAGATGTCACATGACTAGATTCACAGAAATGGAAGATTCTATTTTGCTAAACCAATTATCCACAAGTCAAACTATAAATTCAGTACAATCTCAGTATTAATCATAGAAATTAATGCAATTCCTATGTTTATACAGATATGCAAAGTGGGAATAATTTCCAAAACAACTTCAAAATGAAGAAGAAAGAGAACTTATACCACCATATTTCAAGTATAATTCAAATGTTACAGAAGCCAAGAGAGTGTGGAATTAAAATAAGACCAGTTAAATAAATAGATAAATAAACAGTCCAGAAATATGTGCACTGTTATAAAATCATTGTCAGCAAAGTCACCAAATCTATTCATGGGAAATGACCACCTTTTAACAAAGAATTCTAGAACAACTGGATATACTTATAGAAAATAATGAACATCTGCCCCTACATTGCACAATACTCAAAATTAATTCAAGATGAATCACATAAATAAAAGTGAATGGTAAAAATACAATGCTTTTAAAAATATTAAAGAGAATATCTTCATGGCCTAGAAGTCGGTAAATTTTTTTAGTTAAGACAGAAAAAATAATAATGAAAGAAAAATTGATAATTTAGATTTTACTAAAAACAAAAGCATGTGCTTAACAAACTACTCCATTAAACAAATGAATAGACAAGCCACCAAAAATGTTTTCAAGTTTTATATCTGATAGTGATATTATAGTAAAACATAAAAAAAACTATTACAATAATTAAAACAAATCAACCACAGTCAGAACAAGCCAATAAAATAATCACAAACAACAACAAAAAAACACAATTGTCTTGAATGGACATTTTACAAAGCAAGAAATAAAATGTTCAAAAGGCATCTGATAAAGTCTTCAACAATATGTTTCAGAAAAATGTAAATTAAACTACAATGAGATATCACTAAACAACACTAGAATGACTAAAACAAAAAAGACTAGGGAAACAGAATTTACTACATGAATATCAATTTCTTAATTTTGATTGTACTACAGTCGTGTAATAGACTGTCCTTGTTCTTAGGAAATAACACTAGACTGTTCATCTCCAACTTACTCTCGTCAGCTCAGAAAATTATATATGAATATACAAAATCAGCATGTGTATATAGTAATATTATGTATATATACGATAAGGGAGAAGGACAATTCAGGGGATGATTAAGCAATAGTATTACAAATGACAACATAAAGCAAATAAGACAACAAATAGTGAATCTAGAAAAAGTGTTTATGAATGTTCCTTATACTATTCTTGCACCTTTTAAGTAAACGTTAAATTAACATCAACATAAAAATTACAGAAAAATTTAAAATAATAAACACTAATCAGAAAAAAATTCCTTTAGCTATATTAATATTTTAAAAACAGATGTTAAGGCAAAATATTACTAAGAATATAGAGAGTAACCACCTGCTGACAAAGTACTGAATTCTTCAGGAAGATAAAACATTAATCACTTAAGCATTTAATAAATATTTGAAAGAAATAGTATTAATCCATACAAAATCACAGTGTAGTACTTTAATATCCATCAATTATTGATAAATCAAACAGGCTAAAAAAATCAATCAATAATATTTGAGCAAAATAATAAAGTTCATCTAATTCACATATTTAGAGTTCTAAATAAAATAATTTGAAAGTACACATTATTCTCAGTCATGATACATTTATAAAGTTGATTAACTTCTGAGTATTAATAATTCTTTTAAAAAATGTAAAGATTAGTTATGTAGGTCAGAAGCTTTGACCATGGAATTATCAAATTAGAAGTTAGTAAAAAATAAAAATTTCTAAAATCTCAATATATTTACAAATTAAGAATTTATTTCTAATTAACTCATGGGCCAAAGAAGTTAACATAAGAGGTATTTTAAAAAGTTAGAACTCCATGTGAAACTTGAACATGGAAACATGAAAGAACAGAAAAGAAAAATAGATTCCGTAATTCATTCTTTCTGGTTAAACTAACATATCCAAACAAATAAAGATAATAAGGAAAAATAATACTATAAGACTACAAATAATTCTAAATAATATATTAGAAAAAAATTCAAGAGGATATTAAAATTATAATGTAATATGACAAAGTTGGGATTATCCTAAGAAAAGCAAATGATCTAATATGAGTATACATGTACAATGTGTGTGTGAGTCATTGCATTCATATATTAAGGAAGAAAACTATTTTATATTCTCAGCAAATATAGAAAAGGCATTCCATAAATGTCAGCATCTCTCCTTGACCAAACTTCTATTAGACTGGGTTTTAAGGGAACATTCGTAATCTGAAAAGTTATCATAAGAATCAAATGAGAATACATCAAAAGCCTTTAAACCAGGAACAAGAAAAGTAGACCCACTACCACCACTCCAATGCAGCATTGTAGTGGATGCCCTAAATGTTGCAATTACAGTATACAATTCTGAAAGCATAAGAAATAGAAAGAAGAAAAATGAATCTCATTATTGGCATATTTTCTGATGATTTACACTAAAATATCTTCAAATTATTAGAAACAAGATAATTTAGTTACACAGCTAAAAATAGTATCAAAATAAAATTCATTTGCACTTTTAAGCAGGAGCAAAGACACAAGAAAATATAATTTTTAAAATATATGCATAAATTAATGTCATCTTTCTTGATTTGATGCTGGTTACAGAATCATGTTCAGTTAAACTGTGTTAAGCTGTACCCTTCTAATAAGCACAGTTTCTGTATATATACTTCAAATAAAACTTTTTTAAAAAATGGGCACCATTTTCAATCATAAAAAGCAAAAACTAAAAAACACCTGGGAAAATTCCACCAAAATGCTGTGGAAAACCTACATAAAAATATAAAAGCTTTACAAAAACCTATAGAACCATAAAGAAGGCCATGGTACTTGCCTTCCTCATTAGAGAATATGTTCTAGGTTCTTCAATAAGTTAATAGTTGTAGATATAGCAATACTCCCCTAAATGCTATAGATTCTATGGAACTCTAACAAAAATTTACTAACATTTTTTTCATAAACTATAACACAGTTTACCTCAAGATACTTCTGAAAGAAAGAATAAAAAGGTGGAAGAGTATTGCCATACCAAATATTAGCACTCATTATAAAAAATTCTAGATGTTAAGGATATTTAGTACATTTATTTGGTGAATACTTTTATTAACATAATGAATAGGCAACTTAAAAACATGTTTAGGCCTGGGCGCAGTAGCTCACGCTTGTAATTCCAGCACTTTGGGAGGCCGAGGCAGGTGGATCATTTGAGGTCAGGAGTTCAAGACCATCCTGACCAACATAGTGAAACCCCATCTCAACTAAAAAATACAAAAATTAGCCGGGCAGTGATGGCATGCGCCTGTAACCCCAGCTACTTGGGAGGCTGAGGAAGGAGAATCACTTGAGCCTGGGAGGTAGAGGTTGTGGTGAACCGAGATCGCACCAAAGCACTGCAGTCTGTGTGACAGAGTAAGACCCTGTCTCAAAAAAAAAAAAAAAAAAAAAAAAAAAAAAAAAAAAAAAGTCTAAACATTTATGGAATTTTTATATATGTGTCACTGCAGATCATAAAGAGATGGTGGATTACCCATATGGAAGAAAAATGAAATTAGATCTCACTCTTTTATCAGGCATAGAAATTAACTTCGATGGATTAAGAACTTTCATATATAAAACAAGACTTTTAGAAGGAAATACAAACAACTTTCTACCATGTGGTCAAGGGAATTATTTATTAAACAAGAAACAAATCACTAACTACTTAAATTTAAGGACTCTTGTTCATCAAATTCCATCTTAAAGAAAGTATAAAGACCCCCGGGCGCGGTGGCTCATGCCTGTAATCCCAGCACTTTGGGAGGCTGAGGTGGGCGGATCACGAGGTCCGGAGATCCAGACCATCCTGGCCAACATGGTGAAACCCGTCTCTACTAAATATACAAAAAAAATATACAAAAATTAGCTCGGTGTGGTGGCTTGTGCCTGCAGTCCCAGGCACAAGCTGAGAGGAGGCTGAGGCAGGAGAATTGCTTGAACCCTGGAGGCGGAAGTTGCAGTGAGCCCAGATCGCACCACTGCACTCCAGCCTGGTGACAAGGCCAGACTCAGTCTCAAAAATAAATAAATAAATAAAAAGTATAAAGACAAGCTATAAACTGGGAAAAGGTATTTCGCAATATATAAAATTGGCACAATTGATACCCAGAATGTATAAATAACTCCTAAAAGTGAAGGGACATGGAAAAACTATATATTGGAAAATTGTGCAAAAGACATAAGCAGGCATTTCTCAAAAGGCAAAATGGGTGATTCTGATAAATATGAAAAAAATTTCATTACTAGTCAAAAATTGTAAATCAGAAACAGAAGACAATATCGGCCCCATTTAATTCCTACATTTTAATGTCTAATCAGACCAAATTTAGCAAACATATGTATGGATCAATATGCACATTTGATAGGAATGTAATTTCTATAACCTCTCTGTAAACAATTTTCTAATATTTTAAAAATTGAATATTTACATACTCATATAGCAATTTTACTTTTGCATATACCCAGGAGATACTCTTGCATAAGTGCAGAAAGAAACATTGTTGTCCATAAAAATTATTTCTAAATGACCCAAGCTGGAAACAAATAAAGTGTTGATCAACAAGAGAATGAACAATTTCTGTTAGATAAATAAAATGTTATGCACAAGTAAAAAGGAGTTAATAAAAGCAAGTTTCACAGGAGTATATAAAATATATTCCCTTTATACAAAATTCAAAATCATTTAAAAGTAACCAACATATAGTTTGGTAATAAAAATATGTAATGAAACTATTATGGAAGAGAAAGAGAATGTTAAAATAAATTTAGGAGGGCTTAAGGACCAGAGAGAAGCACATAGTTATTGTTAATTTTTTGGTTCTCAGGTTTGATAATATGTTCACAATGTTCACTATACCATTAGCATAAATAAAGTAAAATAGCTTTCCACTAATTAAAACAGTACATCATAAACTAGGGATTGTGATTAGAACAACTATTTGCACCCAAGAGTTCAAAGGAGGAAAAGGAAAAAGGAGAAATAATGATTGCAGAGACTATTAAAATGGAAATGAGAAGGAAATAAATGAGTTGCATTTTATAAGTAAAAATGAATTATTGAAGAACTAGGTATATGGTATGAAGTGTGGGGGGGGTCACAATTAAAGATGTTTTATGTTGTAATTAGGAGGATAAAATAGACAATGCAGGTGTGAGAAGGATACACACACTTAGATGAAATTCTGGTCATGTTGATTTAGAGGAGTTTACTCTATACAGGTAGTGAGAATAAAAAATGATTTGAAATTCAAGCCTGGAATTTCTAAAGAGGGCAAGGCTAGTTATTTAGATATGAGAATTGTCTGCTTACCAATCAATAGATAAAGTGACCTATGGAGAAAGTAAATTAATTTTACTCGATAAAAGAATTACATTTCTAACCACGAGAACTGTCAGATACTGACATTTATTGCCTTGAGAGGTACTGAGCTTTCAGTTAGCTGATGCAGTAACAGTCATTGACATATTTATTTTAGGAAATATCAAGTCAGATATTAAACCACTATGTGAACTAATGGTTAATGCTAAAATTTCATGGCTTATAGTTTTTGCTGTTCATATATGTTACTGTAAGTTCTACTACATTATATTTCTCTTTATATATATGCACATTTATTATTTTATATAAATAAAAGTTTAGTTATAAATTATATTGGCTGCCAAGGGAACTGAGTATATTTTGTATCTGAAAAGATAATTCTCATCATAAAGCAGAAGTTATTTTTAGAGCATTAATATTTGCATTAAGTATTCAATTCATATTGTATGATGAAATTGAATTCCAGGCCAAAATTAAGTCAAGATATGTCTTTGATTCATACTCATAGCAAATTTTATTTTAACTTTTATTTTAGGCTCAAGGGTACATATGCAGGTTTGTTACATACACAGGTTTGTTACATAGATAAACTTGTGTCACAGGGATTTGTTGTATAGATTACTTTGTCACCCAGAAACTAAGCCTAGTAACCAAGAGTTATTTTTTTCTGATTCTCTCCTGCCTCCCACCTTCCACCCTTAAGTAGGCCCCAGTGTCTATTGTTCCTCTGTTTGTGTGCATGCGTTCTCACCATTTAGCCGCCACTTATAAGTAAGAGAATGTAGTATTTGGTTTTCTGTTCTTGCATTAGTTTGCTAAGGATAATGGCCTGCAGCTCCATCTATGTTCCCACAAAGGACATGATCTCATTATTTTTTTATGTCACCAAAGTATTCCGTGGTGTATATGTACCACATTTTTTAAATCCAATCTGTCATTGACGGGCACTTAGGTTGATTCCATGTCTTTGCTATTGTGACCAGTGCTGCAGTGAACACACATGTGTATTATTGTAGAATGATTTACATTCCTTTGGGTATACACTCAGTAATGGGATTGCTGGGTCAAATAGTAGTTCTGTTTTTAGCCCTTTGAGGAATTTCTACACTGCTTTCCAAAATGGTTGAGCTAATTTACACTCCCACAAACAGTGTATTCCCTTTTCTCCACAACATCATCATCTCCTCGCCAGCATCTGTTAATTTTTGGCTTTTAGTAATAGCCATTCTGACTGGTGTGAGATAGTATCTTGCTGTGGTTTTACTTTGAATTTCTGTTATGATCAGTGAAACTGAGCTCATAGCAAAACTGACTCTAATATTTACTTAGCTGTACACCACAAAAGTAGAGACAATCTGGTAATTAAATGCAAAAGTTTATTATTAAAGAATACATATTTAAAAGTGAATGTTTTAACGTTTCTCTAAGTAACTTTTTATAAGGAATATTTCACAATTATGGGTGATAATCTCTAAAGCTATGATTTTCAGACACTTTTTTCCCCTTCCTCTTTCATCCCCCCCATTTTTTTTTTGCCTTTTTGTCTTGCTTTTATTCTCTTCTTCTTGTTGAGAAGGAGGTATAACTTTTTTCAAATAGAAGAATAAAAATACGTATTTTCAGAATCTTTACATGTTTTTTAAAAAATAAAAAGCTGAAATAAACATTATTTAATTGTACTTCTAGAATTCTTGTATGCTTATACTTTAAAAAAATAGAAGCATACTATACATATGCGTCTTTACATACTTTTTATACTTAACAATACATCCTGGAAACCTTTCCCTTTCATATCAAAGAGCATTCTGTTTGTTTTACAGACATCACCTCATTTCCTTGGGTAGTTCATGCCTAATAGACCATTTATTTTACTTTGGTAAAATTTCTGGAAAGAAGCACTAGAACAACTTTATTCCATATGGTTATTTTATGTAAAATGTACAGAATAAAATAAAACAAAGGAAAAATATACCACACATGTGAAGAGACGGAAAAATGTAACTGAATAATAAAGAGGAAAAGGATACAAACATGTGCCTAAGGTATTGGAGTTGGTAAATGATGACCTTAAAATAATTTTGATAATTGTATATGAGAAAATATGACAACAGCATGAAAAAGATGGCCAATGTCAACAGAAAATTGAAATCTATAAAACTAATCTAGAGTGCATTCTAGACATGCAAATTAAAATTTCTAAAACTAATTATCGGGGAACCTGCCCCCGATAATCACGTAGGTTCTTTTCTATTTTCCCTAAGCATTGGCCGGTTTGAGAAATAAAGGGACAGAGTACAAAAGAGAGAAATTTTAAAGCTGGGCCTCTGGGTGAGACATCACATGTTGGTAGGTTCCGTGATGCCCTCTGAGCCATAAAACCACCAAGTTTTTATTAGCGATTTTCAAAAGGGGAAGGAGTGTACGAATAGGGTGTGGGTCACAGAGATCACGTACTTCACAAGTTAATAGAATATCGCAAGGCAAATGGAGGCAGGGCAAGATCACAGGACCACAGGACCGGGGCGAAATTAAAATTGCTAATGAAGTTTCGGGCACCACTGTCATTGATAACATCTTATCAGGAGACAGGGTTTGAGAGCAACCGGTCTGACCAAAATTTATTAGGTGGGAATTTCCTCATCCTAATAAGCCTGGGACTTCTATGGGAGACTGGGGCTTATTTCATCCCTACAGTCTTGACCATAGAAGATGGCCACACCCAAGGGGTCCATTTTAGAGGCCCACTCTCAGGGTCGCATTCTCTTTCTCAGGGATGTTCCTTGCTGAGAAAAAGAATTCAGCGATATTTCTCCCATTTGCTTTTGAAAGAAGAGAAATATGGCTCTGTTCCGCCCGGCTCACCAGCGGTCAGAGTTTAAGGTTTTCTGTCTTATTCCCTGAACATTGCTGTTATGCTGTTCTTTTTTCAAGGTGCCCAGATTTCATATTGTTAAAACGTACATGCTCTACAAAAAATGTGTGCACTTAAGGCAATCATCACAGGGTCCTGAGGCGACATACATCCTCCTCAGCTGACAGGATTAAGAGATTAAAGTAAAGACAGGCATAGGAAATCACAAGGGTATTGATTGGGGAAGTGATAAGTGTCCATGAAATCTTCACAATTTATGTTCAGAGATTGCAGTAAAGACAGGCATAAGAAATTATAAAAGTATTAATTTGAGGAACTAATAAATGTCCATGAAATCTTCACAATCCACATTCTTCTGCCATGGCTTCAGCCAATCCCTCCGTTCGGGGTCCCTGACTTCCCACAACAATTAATAACTTACTTCATAGGTTTAATATACTGGGCACAGAAGAAGAAAAATAGTGAATTCAAATATAGGACAATAGAAAATTACCAAATTAAAGCACAGACTGGTGAATAAAGAATGAAAATAGCCAAGCAGAAGAAAGATGCAGATCAAATAGTCAAAAATGCATGAAATCAAACTCTCCCCTCAAAAAACCAGAAATATAATTTTGCCAAAGCAATATTTTAAGAGATAAAATATTTTTCCAAAAATGAAGACAGATGTAAACACATTAATTTACTGTGCTCTGCACACCCTAAGTAGAAAAACAAACAAAACAACACACTCACACACTCTCATACATACAATGTTTGGAATAGTAACAATTCCATAAGCCCAAGCTAAATAGAAAATTTTAAAAGCAGCCCTGCAAAGAAGAGACTTTACATTCAAAGGAAAAAAATCATAAAACCAACCTCTGATATTTTAACTAAAATTGTGAAACCCTGAAGACAATGGAATGACACATTTAATGTGCTGCTAAAAGGAATAGAAAGAAAAAAGGAAAAAGGAAAAGAGTGTTAAACTAAAATTTATACTCAATAAAAATGTCTTTCAAATATAAAAACAAAATCAACATGGTTTAGACAAGAAAAAGCTGAGACAAATCATTACTAAAGTAAGATGCACTAAAAGAAATGACTGCAGATGTAAGAATGGAATTGTGAAGAAATAAAAAATAAAAATATGTAAGAAAATGAATATTAATCCTTTAAAATAACAGTAACAACCATCTTGTATAATATATATAAAACATGTAAAGAAGTAAAATATTGATAACATTAAACCAAGGCAGGTGAGAGAAAACATAAATTAGAACACTTTTGAGCTGAGTGATAATAAAAATATCACAAATTGTGAGATATAGCTAAATGGAAGGTTTTAAATATATATTTATAGTGAAATCTATATATTTACATGTATATATTTTTAAAAGAACACTTTGGAACATTAATCGATTCCTTTACAGGGAGCTAAAAAATAGAATGACAAAGTAAATCCAAGGGAAGTAGAAAGAAAAACTATATACAATATATAGATAAGAATATAAATGGATGAAATTAAATGCAGACCTACAATAGAAAATCAATAAATATAATATCAATTCTTCAAAACCAGTATCAGAAATTGAAAGAAAGGTGTCTCCAGAGTTTTACAATGTGCAACACAACTTTGTGTGGTAATAGATTCTGTTTAACATCCGTGCTGTCCAGTAGGGTTAGTCAACTTAACCTTGTGACTCTAGTCACATGCAACTATTGTGCACCTTAAATGTGTTCAGTTGGACTAAGAAAAATATTTTTTCTTTGTTTACATTTATTTAATATTTATGAATATGTTATGACAAATTTTTTATTAATATATTTGACAAACTTCATTTTTAACAAACTTTTCATTTTATAATAGTTTTTTTATAAAAAGCTGCAAAAATAGTACAGAGAATTCCTACATAATCTACACTATTTCTCCTACCATTAACATCTTATGGTAGTATATTTGTCACATCTGCTGATTAATATTGATACATTATTAAGTCCATACTCTATTCAGATTCCTTAGTTTTTCCCCAGTGTTCTTTTTTTCTATTTAAAGATATTGTCTAGTATACCACATTACATTTAGTCAGCAAGTCTCCTCAGGCTCTTCTTGGCTGTCACAGTTTCTCAGGTTTTCCTTGTTTTTAACCGAACAAATTTAACAGTTGTGAGTCATGCTGGTCAGGAATTTTGTGGAACATTCTACAGTTTGCGGTAGACAGGGGTTACACATATTTGGAAGGAAGATTGTAAAGGTAAATTACAATTCTCATCATATCATATCAAGGATGCGTTCTATCAGCATGACTTACCAACATGACAACATGTTGGTATTAACTTTGATTGCATGGTTGAGATGTTTGTCTGATTTGCCGGCCGTAACATTATAGAGATCAAGTCTTCATCCAAAAAGATTGCATAACCAGTCCATCTCTACAGACAAATTCTTTTGTCAGTGAAAATGGAAGTGCTCCTGTATACATTGGTATGATCTAATATCTATAGCTGAATTCTACTGAATTCTAAATTTACTGATTTTATCGATTACGTCACAAGTTCTCAGAGAAAATGTGAGCAATAAACTTGGTCATTGAGTCTGAAAATTCACTTAAATCAGGAAAGCCTTGATACTATTTCTATCAAAGAATTTTCATTAAATAATGTTTAATCACTATTTGTGTTATATTATTATCTTCTGGAGGGAAAGAAAACTTAGCACGCCTCACACTATGCGGGTTATAAAAAACTTACTCTCTTACCTCCACAAATTTGCCACTCTAAGTGCTTAGTGTTTTAACTGAGCAAAAGAGATGATTTTGAGATAAGCAGGAAACCAACAAAAGATAAAAGAAGTATAATTATTTAGCACCTTTAAAAGGATCTCTGGCCTGCTGTGGTGGCTCACGCCTGTAATCCCAGCACTTTGGGAGGTCAAGGTGGGCGGATCAACTGAGGTCAGGAGTTTGAGACCAACCTGATCAACACAGTGAAACCCCATCTCTACTAAAAATACAAACTTAGCCAGGCATAATGGCACATGCCTGTAATCCCAGCTACTTGGGAGGCTGAGGCAGGAGAATCACTTGAACTTGGGAGACGGAGGTTGCAATGAGCTGAGATCACGCCGCTGCACTCCAGCCTAGGTGACAGAGGGAGACTAAAGAAGAAGAAGAAGAAAAATAACGATCTTAGAGGAACACCAGTATATATACATTGTGATATCTGATGAAAATATCTAAGAAATATTATTTATCTGTCCCATATTGACTCCCAAATTTAGGAAACTTAAAAACTCTTATCCCCCCTTGTTAATGGATGACAGTTAAAAAAAAATATGGTTTATGTGTATGCTTTGAGCACCAGGAACAAAAGAGGTAGACCTAGAATAAAAATCAGAAAAAAATCCACCAATCGCCCCTCATATTATTATCTCAGTATATATGATAGTCTAAAGACTAGGAAGCAGAAGATAGCCAGAGGTTCGTTAATGGATAGAAAATTACAGCTAGATAGGAGGAATAAGTGTGACTGTTCTATAGCACTATAGGATGACTATAATTAACAACAATTTATTGTATCAAATAGCTAAAGGGCAAATTTTTGATATTCTCAAAACAAAGAAATAAGTGTTTGAAATGATTGCTGTGCTAATTACCCTGACTTGATCATTGCACATTGTATACATGTATCAAAATATCACACTGTAGCCCATAAATATGTACAGTTATTTTGTGTCAATTAAAAAAATAATGAAGCAAGTAAGAAAAAGGAAGTTTCTAGATTTCTTTTGCTTTTTAAAAAAATATAGGTTGGTGTTGGTATGTGGGAAATATAAAAATATAGAAAATATGATTTGCATTGAGCAAGGCAGTTCAATATTAGAGAAGTCTTTAAACAGTAGTACTACCTGAGAGGTAATATAAAGCATTGCTATATTAGAGCTGTTTTTATGTGAAAGGCTACCAACAGGCAAGAGGTTGGCTTGCCAAAGGTCACTGAACTGCCTATAATTAAACCAAAGCAACTTTAAGTATTCTATTCTGGAGCATGATTTTTAAAAAAACACCTATATTTTCTGCTTAAGCCATCAAGATTTTGGCTGAATTTATTCAGTGACCATTTTGCCAGAATTTCCTCCCACACACCATGCTTGTTCTCAGAAGGAAATAGTATTTTCTTGATATTTATGGTTCCTCTTTGGCTTAAGCCTCCCTATCCTGAATACAGTTGAAATACTTGAAATGAAAGTAAGCATAGGTAATTCTCTCTTATTAGGAAAGGACTTAACTCTCTAACTAATTATCTGTTCTCTGAAAATACTCACCATGGTAAATGCATCCCATTTTATAAATTGTTGCATAAGATCAAAGAGGCCTCAGACTGAGAAGCTGTTCTATGACAACAGATTTCTTTAAAGTTAGCCACAATTTTCACCATTCCTTTTAGAGGTGCTATAAAATATAACTAAATTCAACAAACATTTCAGTGGACACTTTTTTTTCAGGTACTGTGGAATTGCAAGGCAATAACAAAACAAAAAAAGCATGAGAGAAAGAGAGAGAGAGAGAGAGGCAGATCCTATACAAGAGATCCTAGCCTTAAGAACTCACTGTCTAGTAATGTATTCAAGCTACTCATTGGAGCTCTGGAATCAGATTAGGTGACCTTGAATCCATTCCTTTGACAAATATTTATTAAGTGCTTAAAATGTTCTACAACCTGGGGGTACAGCCCTGGACAAAATAATCAAACTTCTTCTGCCTCAAGGGCTTAAGTTCTGGCACACAAGACAGATGATACAGATAATAAATAATATTACAGAGAAAAGACTTAAAAAGGAAAAGGAGACAGAATTTGAGGTAGAGAGGGGTTTGAAGTGTGGCCAGAATATACCTTGAGGAGGTAGCACATAACTAATGTTGTGAAAGAGCTGGGGAGTAACGCAGGTAGAAAGAGCGACAGAACAAAAGAAGAGGAAGTGAAAAAATGCCAAGATGAGTGGATGGCTGTTGTGTTTAAAAGACAGCGAGGAAGCCAATCTGGTTGGAATGAAATGGGAAGGCAGCCGTAGTAGCAGATGAAGTCAGAAAGGAAATAGGAGCTCCACACCATTAGAATATGATTTCCAAATTGTTACTTTCAAGTCCTCTCTTGGAAAGAGGTACCATATTATAAATGGCATTTCTTAGCATTTTCTTTTTTTTCTGTTGTGTCCTCAAATAAGTGGACTGAGACACATGTACCTTGGCTTATGACCAGAAAAAAAAAATGATGTTTACAGAAACATTTTCTGATTGAATAGATCAGTCGTTGTCATCAAAAATCAACTTGGCAAGTATTCTTATCAACTTGCTGGAAATACTGTTTACAAATTACTTGTTATGATTCTCTCACTCAAAGGAATTTTTAAACCAGTGGGGCGAATTGGCTAGTTCTCTTGTTTTCTCTGAATGTAGAAAAAAGTATGATAAAATTCAGTGGGGGAGTGTGATGGTTAATTTTAGGTGTCAACTTGACTAGATTAAAGGATACTCAAATAGCTGGTAGAGCATTATTTCTGGGTATGTCTGTGAGGCTGTTTCCAGAAGAGGTTGGCATTTGAATCAGTGGGCTGAGTAAGGAAGATCCGCCCTCACCCATCGTGGGCGGGCATGAGCCAATTGGCTGAGGGCCGGGATAGAACAAAAAGGCAGGGGAAAGGCAAATTACCTTTTTTTCTCCTAGAGCTAAGACACCTTTTTCTCCTAACATTGGACATTAGAATTTCAGGTTCTCTGACCTTTGGATTCCAGGACTTTCACCAGCAGCCCATCAAGGTTTTAGACCTTTGACCTTGGACTGTTATGCCATTGGCTTCCCTGGTCCTGAGGCTGTGGGATTTGGACTGAGCCACTCTACCAGCTTCTCTGGTTGTCCAGCTTGCAGACAGCCCACCATGAGACTTCCAAGCCTCCATAATTACGTGAGCCAACTCCTCTAATAAATGCTACCTCATATCTTTGCATCTCTATATTATCTCCTATTGGTTCTGTCCCCTTGGAAAATTCTGACTAATATGGTGGGGCATTCTTAAGAAATCTTTAGAGGTCACATTAAAGTGAATTTGTACTGATTCTCTCCCTCCCCTCCCTGCCCCTTGTATCCCACTTAACATGATGTCTGGTTCATAGAAAGCCACTGTTAAATATTTGTGGACTAATGGCTAATAGGACCTAAGAAGTTTTAAATTAGGTGCCTACGAATGACTGTTATCATTATTAAAGGAAGTAATGACTAGGAAATAGTTTACTCTGGTGAAACAGGTAGAGCTAGGTCAGTATCATTTATAGTTTAAAAAAACACATAGTAAAAGTGTTTCTAGGCCCACAAACCTTTCACTATTTACCTCAATGTAAGTATAAACCTGTACCTATGCTTATACCTCCACCTAGGTGATGTAGATGTTAAAATAGATATCCACATGTCAGACTGACTGTTTGATCATTGGTTTCTTCCTCCTGTTTCATAAGTAACAGTGCCATAAAGCAAGATCACTGGATCACCCTCAGTGCAGAGAAGACACTCTCGCCTCTCTTGGTTTCCATAGCTCTACACCATCTTCAGTCTTTTCACTGCTTTGCCTTCTTTCAGAGTCAGTGTGGAGCAGAGAAGAAGTTAGGTGATGTTGTTGTAAGTGCTATGGGGAACAGCAGTGAACACCAACTGCAACAACAAAATATCTGCCTCACGGACTTTATTTACTAGTGGGACAAAAATAGATTCCATACAAAAATAAATAATCTTATATATGAAATCATAGAGTGTAGGAGAACAGAAACAAGGCAAAACATTAACAGTAAGAATTAGAATCCTCAAATGTAATTAACTAGGCAAATAAACTAAAGATATGAAGACAGTTTTTTTCAATGTGCATGTTAAGATTAAAATAATATCTACTTCATTCATTATAAGAAATAAAATAATGGGAAAGAATACAATATCCACCTTGTGTTTTATGTTCAGGAATTTTCAGAAGCACGTTTATTTAATTCAAACTTTTGGTACATAGCAGCAGCAAAGAGAAAGCAATTTAAAAGTCAGTAATTTCAATTACTAGATGCTTCATTGAGGTTTCTAGAATGCCAAATATATTTCCAGTTGGGAAAAAAATCTGAAAAAAATTAATGTTCATTATAAATTTACTTAAATCTGAAGTGATAATATAGTCTTCATGGGAAGTATGCAAATTAAGCCCCCTCCCCACCTTCAAACCAAAGATGTCACTAGAACCTGCGAACGTGGCAAAAGAGAATGAGTTAAAGACGCAATTAAGTTTGCTAATCAGCTAACGTTGAGATAGGGCAATTATTGTGGATTATTCAGGCAGACCCAATATAATCACATGGATCCTTAAGAGCAAGAACCTTTCCCAGCTGTGTCCAGAGAGACTGACAGCGCAGAAAGGATCAGAAAATAATGGTTGCTAGTTGATGAAGAAATGGAGCCACTATCCAAGGGAGGCATGTGGCCTCTAGAAGCTGGAAAAAGTAAGGAAATTGATTTTAACTATGTACCCTCCAGAGGAATCAGCCTTGCTGACATCATCACAGTGAGACCTGTGTCAGCCTTCTTACTTTATAAAATTGTAAGATAATAAGAGTGGGGGGGGGGGTTTTGTTTGCTTTGGATTTTTTTTTTTTTTTTTTGAGATGGAGTCTGGCTCGGTTGCCCAGGCTGGAGTACAGTGGCATGATCTTGGTTCACTGCAACCTCCGCCTCCCAGGTTCAAGCAATCCTCCCACCTCAGCCTCCCAAGTAGCTGGGATTACAAGCATGCACCACCATGCCTAGCTAATTTTTGTATTTTTAACAGAGACAGGGTTTTACCATGTTGGCCAGGCTGGTCTTGAACTCCTAACCTCAGGTGATCCACCCACCTCAGCTTCCCAAAGTGCTGGGATTACAGGTGTGAGCCACCGTGCTTGGCCAAGTTTGCATTGTTTTTAATCCACAAATTACCACAAAGTTTGTAGTGATTTGTTATATCAACAAAATAGAAAACAAATATACCATTATTTATGACTTTCCGAAATTACTTACAGCAAGTTTCATGAACATTGATGTCTATGATGATACAATATTTAAATTTTTGGCTGGATAGAAAGAAGCTCAGAAGCAAAACAATTTGGCAGCAAAAAACATATCTCTTTGCAAAAAAAAAAAATAATAACATGAGATGAAACCTATTACTTTGAAAGAGCTAGAAATATGAACAAAATTATTCTTGAGACAGAGGTCTCAAATGAGATTTATTTGTTTTCATGGTTCATAAATATTCTGTATAATTTGTCTTTTTGGTCAAGAGAAAGGATTTTTAGCTTATTGGATAGTCTCTGAACATTGAAAAAAGTATTTTTAGGTTCACGTAAGTTGACTCATTGCTTCATATTAACTAAATAGGGTTTCTTTTTAAAATGAGACTTTTTTTCTGATTTTATATTTCTGTTTCCCTGGGAAGAAGCTTATACTACTGTTTTCACAGTTCATAAAATATTTCACATTGTATGTGGTTCATCTGAGATACAAAATATAGAGTATTTGCCTCTTTTTTTTTTAACTCTAGCTCTTGTTTTGGGGTATTTCTTAAAACTGGTCTTTGGCTTTTTATTTATTTTCTTTATATACTCTCTTTGTGATCCCATTGACTACTGAAAAATATTAACTCTATACAAATGATTTAACCAGTATATTTTCAATATTGCATTTCTCATTTAATAAAACAACAAAGCACAATTACCCAGTATATCCCATGTGCAAAATACTGATAATAACATAAAAAATGTCTGCTTGGATTTTCTGCAATCATCTGAAATCATTAGACCACCTTTCCTTCTAAGTCAGGTTTTCCTCTTTGCTCCTGGTTTCTGTGAAAGCCAGAATCATTTTCCCAGAAATGTTTCAGAAACATAATACAATCTTAAAATCATCTTCTACAAACTTCATTTAAAATCAGTCACTATGTGTTCTTAACTGTTACTTCGTAATGAGTTTTCAATATTTCCTTTCTAATGAAATTTCTTTCCTGTTGAATGCATTTCATTCCCACTACTTTAATTCAATACAGACTCCCGTCACCTCATCCCTCAAAGATTCCAAATGCTTTTAATTCTCCTTGATTTTATTCTGTTGTAATTCCAACCATGATGGTACCAGTTATTTGGCTCTTTGCTCACAGCTCTGTTTGCAGTGATTTGAGTGCCCTGTCCAGACCCTCTTGAATGGGCAGTGCACCCATGCCCCACTTACTGTGAGTGTGGCTGATGACCCACTATTTACCCCCTTTCTGGAAACTCCCCTCAGTCAAGTGGAAGGTATCCCAACACCCACACAAACTTCAGTGAGTGCTGGATTGGCAGGGACAAAAGGTATGCCCCTGGCCTTGAGATGGGCCTAACTGCACTTCCTGAACTTTTCTATGGATTCAGAGGAAAGCCAGGATACAGCTGTGACCATAGTGTTGCTTAGGTAACACTGCCCTTTGCTCGATCCTATTTTTATCAATCTTCTTTTAAAAGCACTCTTCACATAAATCACCTGGACAAGAATTCCCATCCAGGCCTTGTTTCTACAGTACCAGACACATGATACTCATTATTCATCTGTTCTTTTCCATAACACAAGTTGACTGACTCCTCCAAGCTGAATTTCTCAAGCTCCTCTGTCATCTGGATTATAAGTGAGTTTGACATGGGAAAAATTACAGTAGTTGAAAGGGTGGGAAGGAGTAGGGGTCAGTGCGTCTAGTCTCCTTTCTCTATCTTTGGAAGAACCTCCTGCAGCAGCTACATCACCTCCTGTGGGCTCTACATCTCCAATAATAAACATTCTTATCTCCAGGCTGTCTCTTCCTCATACCTTACATTTTGCTCTCATAGGCCATGTCATTTGTTGGGTGACTGGTTCTATACTTGCCACGAGATGGTGAGATTTTTAGTTTTTCCAAAGCCATATTCCTGACACTTTGTAGCAATAAATAGACTGGGCCTGAAAGATCCACCCTCTGCTGGACTATCCTAGCTGCTAGGCTCAAATACCATCAACTCTTCCCTTTTACCACCAGCTTTAGAGTGCTAGTGACTTTGTGACGATATTAATTGCCATTTATCTTTCTAGCCCATATTTGCCTTCTTAGCTCTTCAATCCTATGTAACCAATTATCAGCATTAAATTCCCTCACTTAAAAATACCTAAAGTGTTTTCAGTCACTTTCAGGGCACAAATGGATATGGGTGGAGCAAAATAACGAAGCAGTCTTCCCCCATGAATTTTCACATTGATCTTTTCTACAATTTTGTCTTTAAATGTTCACTCACAAATGCTTCATTTTCACAAAATGGAAATATGTTTTCATTTTTCTCATTATAAAACTAATTTTACTCACAAAATTTCCATATACTACATAAAGTAGAAAGTAAAAATAGAGATGCTCTTTGATCTAAACATCAAACACTATGGCAGAGACAGTAACTCAAAAAATGGTGACTAGAAACTGAAGGGCTAAATTTGACAGAATAGACAGGAGAATGATGAATTGGAGAACTGCAGTAAAGGATAGCGATTACAAGGGATAAAAATAGGTGTCAGCAACAGACGAAGGAGGACCTCCAAGGAAGTTTTCTCATTTCATACTTGTCTTCAGAATGTGTGTCCTCTTTGGGTTATTGAAAGAGTGTCCTGTGATCACATGTTTGGTCACTCCTCTCTGTTCTTTTTAGTGTACGTGGAACAAAATGCCAACACCAAGCAAGAAAGATAGTCAAGACAAAAACTCTGTTGTCTACTAGAAAATGGAATGTCTGACAGGCAGCAAGACACGCCGAATTTAGTTGAATTGTTATCCACCCACCCCCAATGCCTTTTTAATGTATACTTGATAATTTAGTTTTGGTAATACAGATACCTGGTCATCATTTCCATTGAACACACATGAGAAATAAACATTATTAGTTTTCTGTTTGAAGTAATATTTATATTTAAAATTATCCCACTTAGTGGGATATTTCTTAGTGCAATTTGTATGCTATACTGCCAATGACTGAAAACTTGAAAATTCCAAACTTCAACTTTCAATATTATGACAGCCTCTCCTTTTATTGTCAAGAAAAGACCATGTTTTTATTAAATATCCTCGTCTAACAGGACATAATATACCATGCCTCAGTTTACAAAAGCTAATGATTTTTAAATGAAATTTTATGATCTTCTTCTATGAGAAGACCCAAAACCACTGGAGAGGGACTGAGACACAAGAATGATATGATGTGGGAAATGATCTTTAGACATGGAATTTTAGAGACATGGTTGGTATCCAACCTCCAATTTGTCCTTGGTCTATTAATAAACAGAAGTCATTTAAAGGTGCTTAGTCTCACTTCCCCTTCTCCTAAATGATTGTGATAACATTATCTATCTGACACAGCTAATAAGAAATGCCATTTGAGTTAACAAGGACTACTTATTAGAAGCTCACAGTAAAAATATGGGCTAGTCCTAGGAAAAGGAATGAAGACATTTCTAAATTTCAAAAGACTATATCAATGTGAGTTATTATGAGGATGCAGCAGAACTGTGGCAGCACATTCGCCAAAGATGGCCGAGTTAAGATATCATAGGGATGGGGTGTAGTTATCCAGACTCTGAAAATGCTACTAATTTCACTTCATATTCGCCATTGACTGAACCGGGAATGTATACCTCCTAGTGAACTGTAATGTTACTTATTTTCTGAAAGATTTGTAACCACAAAGAGAAGAAGTTCATTGCTAGCCTGACTCAGACATGAAGTGGAGGAGAATTTTCTTCTCTCAATGATAAATAACACAAGGCCCTTTGGGATCTTCCCCTTCTTTTCCTTTCTAGTGTCTGTCTTATCTGTCTTTCTTATTCACTCAGTACAACCATACTGAACATCACTCCCTCAAATATTCTAGACATCTTTTGCTTCTGGGCTTCCATACATAGTTATTATCTGTCTGGAGCTATCTCTTCACTTCTCATTTTCCCTGGCTGTTACCCAAACTTCACATCCCAGTTTGTACAATATTTCTCCCAGGAAGTCATGCACTGGATGCTGAGTTAGATAACTGCAATGTGCTACTGCAAACCTTCTGCTTTTACTATTACAAAGCCTATAACAATTATAATTACTAAATTAGTGTTCTATTATGTCCTCCAAGATAATTTAATATAACTTCTATTACTGGAAGGTATATTCATCAGCTCTCACATTGCTGTAAATAAATTTCTGAAACTGGGTAATTTATAAAGAAAAGATTCTTAGTTGACTCACAGTTCCACAGGCTGTACAGGCAGCATGGCTGGGGAGGCCTCAGGAAACTTACAATCATGGCAGAAGGCAAAGAGGAAGACAGCACATATTACATGGCTGGAAGAGGAGGAAGAGAGAGAGAAAGCAAATGTGCTACACACTTTTAAAAAACCAGATCTCATGAGAACTCACTATCACAAGAACAGGAAGGGGGAAGTCCACCCCACGATCCAATCACCTCCCACTAGGCCCCTCTTTCAACACTGGGGATTACAATTCAACATGAGATTTGGGTGGAGACAAAAACCATTTTTCCTTCCTAGGCCTCTGGGCCTGTGATGGGAGGGGCTTCCACAAACGTCCCTGACATGCCCTGGAGACATTTTCCCCATTGTTTTGGTGATTAAGATTCAGCCTCTTGTTACTTGTGCAAATTTCTGCAGCAGGCATGGGCTTGAATTTCTCCCCACCAAGTGCGTTTTTCTTCTCTATCACATCATCAGCCTACAAACTTTCCAAACTTTTATGCTCTGCTTCCTCTTGAACACTTTGCCACTTAGAAATTTCTTCTGACAGATATCCTAAATTATCTTTCTCAAGTTCAAAATTCCACAGATCTTTAGGGCAGGAGCAAAATGCCACCAGTTTTTTTGCTAAAGCATAGCAAGAATCACCTTTGTTCCAGTTCACAGCAAGTTCCTCATCTCCATCTGAGACCACCTCATCGTGGACTTCATTGTCCATATCAGTATCAGCATTTTGGTCAAAGCCATTCAACAAGTCTCTAGGAAGTTAGAAAGTTTCCCACATATTCCTATCTTCTTCTGAGCCCTTCAAACTGTTCCAACCTCTGCCTGTTACTCAGTTCCAAATTTGTTTCCACATTTTCGGGTATCCTTATAGCAGTGCCCCACTACCTTGGTACCAATTTACTGTATTAGTCTGCTGTCACACTGCTATGAGAAAGCACTCAAAACTGGGTAATTTATAAAGGAAAGAGGTTTATTTGACTCACAGTTCCACATTGCTGGAGATGTCTCAGGAAACTTATAATCATGGCAAAAGGCAAAAGAGAAGCAGGCTTCTTCTTCACAGGGTGGCAGGACAGAGTGAGTGCCAGCAGGCGAAATGCCAGACAATCGTGAAACTATCAGATTTCATGAGACTCACTCACTTTCATGAGAACAGCACGGGGGAGACCATCCCCATGATCTAATTACCTCCAGCTGGTCCTGTCCTTGATACATGGGGATTATGGGGATTACAGCTCAAGTTGAGATTTGTGGGGACACAGAGCCTAACCATATCAGGAGGTTCCCCCAAAAATTAAAAATAGAATTACCAGATGATCCACCAATTCTACCCACTACTGGGTATATATCCAGACCAATGTCAGAAAATATGAGTGCATTGTATATATAAGATACTTTTATATATACATTACATAATTTGTAAAACCATAAGACATTTAATATAAAATAGGGAAGTAGTAAATGTGTATCACTTATAACTATTTTATTTTCCATAATATCTCATATTTCATATAGTCTTTATTTCCTGTAGACTCTAAGATGAAATCAATTATAACATTTACAATTTTGTATATCATTATGAAAGAAAAAATGCTGTTGGAAAAAAATCTTATGATAACCTGCTTTTTAAAAAAGAGTCCAGAATGACACATATATTGATCACAAGAGACTCTTGTTTTAGAATTCCCTTCATTTACTCTATGGTATTCCATTGTTTGTCATCAGTTGCATTACTTGGTGTTTGATAATTTAAAAATGGTAATGAACTTTTACTTACTTGTGGATATCTTCTTTTTTTAGGATACATGATGTATTTTCTTCCTTTGCAAAAAAACTACAAAATGGAAGCCATTCTTTCAAAGACAAATGTTTGATGCACATAGATTGAATTTATGCTCTGCCACCCTGTTTTTATGCCAGGCCGATTATACAAGGTCACTTTCTTTCAATGTCCAATTATTCAAAGTAATCATTTAGAAGACTTTTAAATGACAAACTCAAAATGTACAGAACCGTCGAGGTACATAACTTGAAATCATTACACTATCCGTAACTGTCAGACTATAAGTATGAAATGTATCCTTATTTAAGAAATATTAAAATGTGAAAAATGTGCATTTTAGCACTGGTGTAATGTATGTTAAGTTTGTATGTTAAATTTTTATTAACAAATGGATATGCACAATAAAAAATGTTTGGAGAACATTGGCTTATATTGCCAGCAGATTATTTAATGAAAATAATAAATGGATTCATTTATTAGTATACTTCTCTAGTTCATGTTAAAGATTACTTAAAAGAACCTACACTTTGGGAAGCCAAGGCAGGTGGATAGCTTAAGCCTCAGGAGTTTGAGACCAACCTGGGGAACATGGTGAAACCTGGTGTCTCTACAACAAATTTAAAAAATTAGCTCGGAGTGGAGGTGTACATCTGCAGTCCCAGCTGCTCATGAGGTTGAGGTGGGAGGATCAACTAAGACCAGGGAGGTTGAGGCTGCAGTGAGCTGTGATTGCACCACTGCTCTCCAGCCTGGGTGACAAAGTGAGACTTTGTCTCAAGAAAAAAAAAAAAGAAAAAAAAAAGACCCAAATATGAGGTAAAATAAGGCAGACCTAACTAACAGGGAGCCCAGATGTTATTAAATGCCATTTGTGAAAGAATTCCACATATCTTGTTGAGTCTGAATAATTCTTACAGACCATTATGGCTTGGTCTCATAATCTACCCACTCTTTAACAAAACTTTCACCACAAAATATTATCTACTTGCCTATTTGTTCTATTTATTGTTTTTCCTGCCTTTGGTATATTCTTAATATCAAATTATATACAAATAAGAAATTCTATTGCCACTTTAAAGCACCACAGTTATGTAAGACCCAAAATCTTATGGTCAAACCGTCTTTATGTCAATTGATTAACATATATATCATTTTTTTCTTTTTTGAGATGGAGTCTCACTCTGTCACCAGGCTGGAGTGCAGTGGCACAATCTTGGCTCACTGCAACCTACACCTCCCTGGTTCAAGTGATTCTTCTGCCTCAGCCTCCCGAGTAGCTGGGACTACAGGCGCTGGCCACCACGCCTGGCTAATTTTTTTTTTTTTTTTTTTTTTTTTAGTAGAGACAGGGTTTCACCATGTTAGCCAGGATGGTCTCGATCTCTAGACCTTGTGATCCACCCACCTCAGCCTCCCAAAGTGCTGGGATTACAGGTGTGAGCCACTGCACCCGGCCACATATATTTCATTTTTAACTTGAGTTATGTTTTTCTTTTGTCACTGGCCTAATTTTTAAATAAATACAAAAAACGTAAGTAAGAAAAATATGTAAGAGGGAATTATTACGTTTTAGTATTTTTACACTCATTAAGCAAAAAATAACTTTTTTGATTCATAAAAAAGTGGCCTGCAAAACAACTTTCCTACCTTGCTTGTCATTAAATATGTTAAATATAAATAGCTCTGTTAGTGATAGAAATTCCTTAGAGAGGATCTACATTTTTCTTGAACTCAAATTTTACTCAAATATATTTTACCTAAAACCTACTTAGCAACGGTTTTTGTTTTTAGTTTTTTTTTCTCAGAATGTTTAAGTGAATTCTAATGTGAGTTAGGAACTCTTTTATAAATCATACTCTCACCCTGACAATGAAATAAACAAACTACATGCTTTTCATCTCAACTGGCACCTTCAAGTACTGAGCTCAGAAACTGTAATTAAAAATCATTTAAAACACTCATTTCACAGTTTACTCGTGGGAAGAAGCACATATTGTTCCAATTCCATTCCTAAAAAAGCCTCCCACACTATCACTGAGAAATTTTCAAAGGTCATGATTGAAGTAAGCACCTACCTTGTTTTGCACGTGACTTATGTCACATGTACTTCTAAATTATATCATCAGTCTCATTTCTGTTTCCTAGAGACAGGCGCATGTTACTTCCTGAATTCCAGTGCAGATTTTAAACCTTATCTCTTTGAAAGTTCTCCCCAAATTAAACAGTAAAAAGTAAAGACTCTGAACTTCAGTATATGGCTTGGCAATCCATTCTTCCCCCTACATGGTTATTAATCTCATCCAAAGGTATGTCACTAACTCTTTGGGTATTTTCAATACTAATATAATGATTGCAATCATGGTGAGCAGTAAAAGTATACACCATGTTAGACAGCAAAACTCTAAGGAAATAAACTAGGTGGAGAGACACTGATTATATTTTTTTCTACAAGAAGAATGAAATCATGCCAAAATCCAAAGGCCAAAGCAGCAGGATTAATACATATATTACTATAATTCTAAGAATCAGAAAACAAAAGTTGCAAATATCACACAGGTAAAAGTGCATGGACTTGATAATACAAAAACCTTCAAGTCTTAAGGTTTTCTGTATTTGCTTTTATTTCCTCTATAAAAGGAGCAGCTGTCTCATAGTCCTGATGATGGATTAGCTCTACCAGCAGTCACCTTCCTTACTGATGGCTGATGATTTATGTGCATATTAACCAAACTCAGTAGATTGACTGGAACTAGAATGCCTTTATGATCCTAAGAGATTGAAAAATTAAAGTGTTATAAACAAGGAAGATTATAGGAGGCTCTCTCTTTGTGGCTAAAAGTGAGAAAACTGTTAGTAGATTAGTCTTATATAATCAACTACACCGATCCAGAAGACACATTTAAAGGCCCATTTCTCCTTTCAGCCCATTATGTTGTTAGTAGTATGTTGCAACACTTCTTTGTAAATGGTATCTTAGTGACTAAAAAGGTTTATGTATCTAAATTATTTACTCAAAGTAATTTGTGTAGGAGAAACAAAAAGTCTATCCCGAAATGCCACAGTATAACTATTACCATCTATATTAAACTTGAGCCTGATAACAAACACTACCATTTATTTCTTTGGCATTTGATTTTTGCCAATTGTTTTATTAAATACTTTATATAGTTAACTCATTTATTATATATACAGCATATATCCTATTACTATTTCCATTTTACAGATGAGGAAATAGAGCCTCTGGTGAACAAAGAAACTTGCCTAGCATCATACAGCCAGTAAGTGGCAGGTCATTTCTAATCCTGATCTGTATGTTTCCAAAACATGTGGTGCTAACCAGAAAGCTATACTTTTCTATATCAAGTCATTCTTAAATTGAGCATTGTATGATAGGCCTACAGAAATAAGCCAGAGTTCAGATTTTAAATTGCTATCTTTAAGACTAGTTTTTAAGTTTCTTAGCAGCTAGATTAAATGTGACACTCTGTGTGTCATCAGAATATGTACACCGTTATGGAAATAAAAGAGAAACTGTGGCAGAATTTACTAACCTTATACCCAACTACTTCAAAGGACTTTTCAAATGTATTCAAATAGCTCCTAGTCTTTCAACTGCCAAGCAAATATAAATGGAATTTTGTTATCAACTCTCTATGGCCATGTAAATGTCTTTGTGTGAATTTATTGTTTCAGATTAGCTCTGGTATTTAGAGCACAATGCAGTCTGGTTCAATCTGGTGGCTGTCATGCTGAACCTCTTTCATGGGGTATTTCTCCAATCCTGGGAGAGAGAAAAAGGCAGCTGGGGTAATAAGCAATATGATTAAAGATTTTTTTCTATTCAATTTCTCTATATTAAAGTATCCCTGAGCAGATCAATGTCTATTCTGGACAGAACATATAAATGTGCATTTTGGTGCAGATGTCAGAAGCAATACATGTCAGAGAATAAATTAAGTTGACTACAGACTTAGCTCTATTTCTGAAAGTCCTCAAATCCATGGAGTATCTTCTAAGGCTGAAGCACATGAGTGGATTTTGAAGGACCAATAGAATTTCTTCTGATTTTTTCTTATTCTGTTCCTAGTTGTTAGTAGTGTGTTGCAATATTTCTTTGCAGATGGCATCCTAGTGACATCAAGAAACAATACTGAAATATGTTGATATAGTCTTCTAATTTCAAATTCAGGAGACCCCAGATAGCCTTGGTTGATTTAATCAGATACTAGCATTGAAAAGACAAATAGATGTTTAAATGAAACTTTTTAAAAGAGAAAACCCACATATAAATTTTTGTTGAAGTTTTAAATGTTTTTCAGATCAGGTTGCTTCATCACTAATGAGGTATACCAAGGCATAATTGGTAAAAAGAAAATAGCTAACAGGAAATAAAACTCAATGGGATATATATTAGTCTCCAAATAAAGAGACCATACTATATTTAATTCCATTTTCTTTCTTAAATTACCACATAGATTTGGATAAACCATTTCACTTTAGTTTCTCCTCTATGAGAGAACAGAAGTGCTTGAGAAAAATGAGGGGAGGTATGAGTCATCAAAACAATCACAAAGTTTTTGGATGCCTAAAAATTGCTAATGTGAAAATAGACAATGGTAAATCCATATTTGGGTAGACCAAGAAGCTTTTTAATAACTTGTTTTAAATTAGAAAAATGTGTAGATTCAATCAATACAAAGAGATTGTCTTGGCAGTGATGTTCACATTGGAAATGCCTCTATTCTCAGCTGGCCAAAATGAGAGTTGTTAATTAAAATATGTATTTTCGTGGAACTACAGCCATAGCAAATAACTTGCATTTATTAAACTGAAAATACTCCCTTTCTTTTGAGGATATACCCCTTCATTTTCTGCTTTGTTATCTTCTACTTATTCTTACTATAATTCTTGTATAATCTCAGCCAAGCATAACTTGATACTCTGAGTAGAGTCAGGTTTCGGTTTGGTTTTCATAGCTCTCTCTGTGACTATCTCTTATAACTTATCCTATAATGAACTATTAATTTGCTTTTCTGTCTACTTCAGACTGGAAGTCTTTGGGGTCCAAAATTTTGTTTTAATTGTCTTTGTTCCTAGTACCTAGTGTAATTCTTCATATGTGATAGGTAGTGAAAAACATACGGAAGGAGGGTTGAGGTGGTAGGGGAGAAGCAGGAATTGAAATGAAAGAAAAGAAACATCTTAAAATATACCTGAAGAGTGAAAAACAATAACCCTATTATCATATTTTTTAACAGATATAGTCTTTCTGAAATAAGACAGTTGTCTTATGGAAACTTCTCTCCTTAGGCTTATATTTAATGTAGTTTGTATATTTAATGTGTTATATGACATAAAATGACATAATATCATAAAATATAGTAATCTTATCATAAAATTACCTACTCTACATGGAAAAATACTTAGTCGTCCAGTAAGCACGCAGTAGATCAATTTATTCTTTGTGTCATACAGAAAGTATACTGATAGACTAATAACTTTTGTGGTACTTTTCAATTAAAATATCTAGATTAAACATCTAAGGTTGAGAAATGAAAATATGATGGATATCAGTATAGCATATATTCAAATGAAAATCTTTGTTATTAGTATGAATCAAGATAGCTAAGTAAAATGTTTGTGTGTATGTGCAAAAATCATATGAAAATATATTTGCGGGAGTGCATATATTTTTGTTGAAGTGGAAACTGTGAAATGATAGTACTATACTACACTATACTCCAACTTTTACATTTAGAGAACTTAAGAAAAAGGTTATTTAGCTCTCATAGTAGAGATAGTTTCATGTCCAAATAACTTTTCCCTTTTTCTTAACTCAAAAAGAGAGAAAATAATTAGAATCGGTTAGTGCTTAACAGAAACTAAAATCCATCTCAGTCTTGCTGTTGGAAAGAAGAAGTTCTGTTTAATTGCACCCAGACATTTTTCAGCTGAACTATTAGTTTTCTGTGGATACCACTGAAATATGTGTTCCAACAATTTTATGCTCCCTTTAGAAGGATCCAAATGGTTAGCTGCATAGTTTTTGCAATTTAAAACTGTTCTTTCAAAGAACTCCATTACCTTCGATTGTACCATAGAGTAGAAAATGTTGAAAAATATCTATGTACCTATAGAAAATGTGGTATGTATCCTCTGTGTCTGGATCCAGATTCACATGAAAATATCAGCTATTTTTCAGGATACAGTAAATTGCATCATGTTAGTTCCTAAAGTTTGTTCATTTCATCTTTGCGTTTGTATGCTATGTTGACTAATCAGAGACTGTTCTCTGGGGATATTTTTCAGCCTCTGATTTTTCAGTTACATAGCAAACTGACTTACCTGGTCCTGGTAGAGTAGGAGTTCAGGCTCTAAATGGTGGACCTTTCTCTGGGAGAATGCCTTATAACCACATGCCAGGATTTCAATATTTATCCCTGGTGTACTGCCAAAATCTACCAGAGAAGTGGTATCAAGCCCTGGGGGAGAAAGACCCATCTATAGCCAAAAAGTTCTTAAATGTATTAGGAAAGCAGCAAGGGTCACCTTAGGGAGAAAATTGCAAACATATACAAATCTTGAAAATTACATCCCTTGGCACCTACACCCTTATATTCTACCACTAATTGTCTAAAACTGCTCATCACCCTATTTTATCCTTCTAGCTTCCAATTAGTTCCTCTCCTCCTTTTGCCTGGTTGGGTTGTTTGTATCTGATGGGCCAGCAGAATATCTTTGAGCCTTAGCTTAAGACTGCATGTTTTATAGCCCTGACAGCTGTGGCTCTAAATTCCAAGGGTTATCCCTTCCTGCTTAGTTCTGTTACGATACAGAAAAGGTGGGGAAAATGGGTAGATGTTGGCCCAAGAGTATAAAATTTCAGTTATACAGGATGAATGAATTCTGGAGATCTAATATATAGCATGATGACAATAATTAATAATACTCCATTGTGAACTTAAAATGTGCTAAGAGAATAGAACTTAAATGTTCTCACCACATGCAGAAAAAATGGTAACTATGTGAGATGATGAATATGTTTATTAGCTTCATAGTGGTAACCATTTAACAATGTATACGTACCATCGTGCATTGCTTAATTTTGGGGATACATTCTGAGAAATGCATCATTAGGCAATTTCATCATTGTGCAAACATCACAGGGTATACTTACATGTATCTAAATGGTATATTCTACTACATTCCTAGGCTATATGGTATAGAGTCTAGATAAAGATAGATACATATAGATAAATAGATCAAAAAAAGTATAATAAAGAGTCTCTCTTGCTTTTCAAGAGTTATTGAAGCTGATTTAGATATCTCTCAGCAAGGAAAATGGACAGAAAAATCCACCTGGAAACAACATACACTCTAAAAATCATTTCTGAATTTCAACAATATCTTTCTGACCCTGACCAAGCATCTGGCATTGACAAGGTGGTACGGGCAACCATTGAGGAATTCTGATGAATGTTAAAAATCTTTTGAAAGTAAATCAGATAAGGTTGTGCATTATCATATGTCTGAGAGACATGTGATCCTCTCTGCTCTCAGTTTGTATAGCTTCCCACTTTTTCTAGCTCCATCTCCATCTCTTCTGTCAGGAATCCCAGGTTTTCACCACTTGACTTAACACCTCATCCCCAGATCTTTATATGCTTTGACAGTGTATTAACCAACTACTGTTCCTGTGAGCAGTCTCTGTTCTATTCACACTTTTACTTTTGAAGAATGGCCCTCATTCAATTAATGTTTTAGAAAGCAACACTCCTCAAAGCTGGGCCTTAAGGTTTGTTTGTCATTAAGTGCCTTTCACACTTTTAATGTCATAAAATTTCAAAAATTGTCATTCATATGCCAATATCTATATACTTCATGATAGGATCCCCAAATGTCATCTTCATAAATGCAGTATGACAATTTGAAAATAAATATATTTCTGAATCGTTAGACGTCTTTTAATTCTAGGTTGAATTCTCAGAATGTTTGATCCATCCTGGTGACGGTTTTATCTTATCCTTACATTATGTTTCTTTGGTTTGGAACGAAAAATGGCTAATAGGTAAGCTGGTTAATATATAGTATTTGCTCTCAGTTATGAATGCATTATGCACATGTGGTTATTTTCCTAATCTCTGATAAGTAAATCTATTTTATTAAAGGGATTCATTCACCTTACATCAGTAGTTAATCTTATTTATTCTCACAGTTAGCCTTCTCAAACTGACTAGCCTTTTGATTGAACTGCTAATCTGATCTCATCTAACCTCTATACTTTCTTACATAAAATTTCTATAGCAATTATGAAAACAAAAGTTCTATTTTAGTGGTCTATTTTAGATCCTGAAGCAAAACATTTACTTTGAAAAGAATTCTTCTAATTATGATATAAACATAGAAGCCCACTGTCTAACAATAACATTTAAACCCAAGAAAGCCCAGTCAAAATAATCGAAGTAGGGCACTCATACGAGGAGGAGGCTGGGCACAGTGGCTCATGCCTATAATCTCAGCACCTTGCGAGGCCAAGGCCAGAGGATTGCTTGAGTCCCAGGGGCTTGAGACCAGCCTGAACAACATAGCAAGACGTCATCTCTACTTAAAAAAAAAAAAATTGCCAGGCATGGTGGCTTGTGCCTTCAGTCCCAGTTACTTGGGAGGCTAAAAAGGGAGGATCGCTTGAGCCCAGGAGTTTGAGGTTTAAGTGAGCCATGTAATACAACTGCACTCCAGCCTAGGCGACAAAGCAAGACCCTGTCTCAAAATAAAATAAAATAATTAAAAAAGGAGAGGATAGGTGTTTTGAAGGCAGATTTCTATTTGTATTTACAAAAATACCTTCAAGATCAAAATCCTAATGGATACATTGTGTGTCAATTAAACATGGACTGTTCCCCACAGAAGAATCAGTGGCAAAACTGCTTTCAGAGAAAACAGTTCTTATCAATTTAATTTGATGACTCATTCCAGGAGGCATTCACTCCACAAGAGCAGCAAATAATTCAGTATGAACAAAATACAGTTTTTCACTCCTGACAAAAATACATATATATATATTTTCCTAAACAGAAAGTGAAAGCATCTGCAAACTAACAAGAATTCAGTCATAATCAAAGCTTTGACCCTCAAGCAAAGAATATCTTGCCTCAAAATATGTAAACAACTCGTGTAATTTCTACTGACAATAAAATTACAACACTGTACAGATTTTAGTCAGCAATTGTCACAGTTTCTTCAAATGTGAAGGTCATAACACAAAATACAAGCTG
Organism: Homo sapiens; assembly: GCF_000001405.40. Classification (NCBI taxonomy): domain Eukaryota; kingdom Metazoa; phylum Chordata; class Mammalia; order Primates; family Hominidae; genus Homo; species Homo sapiens. Next base: position 41,137,465 of record NC_000002.12, read on the forward strand.
ACAAATTAACTAAAACTCTTTTTATAAACTTTTCTCACAGTACTTCACCAAGATATGAATACTCATCAAAATATTGCTACATTCATATTAGAACCATCAAAATTTAAATATATTTTCTAAAAAGAATACCTTGAACCATTCATTATGAACACAATTTAATTTGTGTGAATTAAGTAGTACATATTTTTCTTTTTAACAATTTAAATTCTTCAGCTGTAGTTAACATCAAAATGAAATGGAATTTCTAATCTTAATCAGAGAAACAAGAAAGTGAATTTAAGTCCTCTCTGGGATAATTATGGCTTGTGAGTGTATGTGTGTTTGTTATCATCACTGGTGAGAAATCAAGACTGAGTTAGGCCAGGCATGGTGGCTCACTCCTGTAATCCCAGCACTTTGGGAGGCTAGTGCAGATGGTTCACCTGAGGTCAGGAGTTTGAGTCCAGCCTGACCAACATGGTGAAACCTCGTCTCTACTAAAAATACAAAATTAGCTGGGTGTGGTGGCGTATGCCTGTAATCCCAGCTACTTGGGAGGCTGAGGCAAGAGAATCACTTGAAGCCAGGAGGCAGAGGTTGGAGTGAGCTGAGATGGCACCATTGCACTACAGTCTGGGCAACATGAGTGAAACTCCATCTAAAAAATAAAAATAAAATAAAAAATAAAGGACTGATTTATACTCTCCACTCAGTATGCATCCTAATTAGTAAGGCAAACTCACTCCTTTATGGTCCAAACACATATGCAAATGCAGTTTAATTCAGCTACTATAAAAAGACATACACCAAAGGTACAGATATTTAATTTTGTCTTCAGAACATGATTCTTCCAACATTTACTATGGAGAATAGAAAATTGTTTCAGTTTGTGTTTGTTTGTATTTATGTATTCATGTGCCAAGAAAGGCTCACTAACAAGTAACTAAATTGCTATTCCTAATAGAAATTTAAATATTTATGAAGAAAATTTAATCAGACTCAAAGCTAGTACATATCACTTAGGCATAACATGGGCACACTTATTAACTTAAATACTTCTAATCAGCATTAATAAATGAATCCAGTGAACACCCACAGAAAAGAATACCTCTGCTTGATTTTTTTGGATGAAGTAACAACTTCATTTATCTTAATATCAATACTTTTCCATTATGTAGTGATACCGGTAGTTAATAACTCAAGAATAGCAACAGTGCCACCAAAATGTCTCTCCAAGTTAATCTGGCAACACTAATTGCTGCCTAGTTTCTAAGGTAGTTTGAAGATAAAAGTCATCATTTTTTCCTGAGTCTTTTTTTTTCCCAGAAAATGTATCTAATGGCACAGTTCTTAAAAAGAACCAAGCAAGGCAAAATCAAATGGTTACTAAATTATTAAGAAGTCTGCAGTTTTGAAGTATTCTTTCAGTACTTTTAAGAGGAAAACTTAATTTGTTCTAAATCCTAAGTGATCCCTTCACACTTACTGAACCTTGCTATAAGCCTGTGTTTTCTCATATGTACATCAACCACTCTTATCAGTGAGTTTCAGCTTTACCTCTTCAGTCAATTTTTTAAATTTCATTCCAGAAATTAAAGAGATTAAAGTTTAAAAACAAAGAAAATTTAGATAAGATTAGTAGGGAAGAGAAACTGGGGGGTGGATTAAGATGGCCAGCTTAAGCCATACTGGAATTTCTTATAGGTAGAGGTGGCCATATAATCAAGGTATGACAATGAAATACAAAAGAAAATTTCTGAGTGGGCCTCCTGGGAAAGCTTTATAAATGGGATGAACTCAGCTGTCACTTAAATTTGAATTTTTCTCCTTCGCACTTACTTTACCTACTTGTTCCAGGGAAGTAGACACAATGCCTGCAGGAGCAGCAGCCAACTTGTGATGATGAGAACAAAGGCTACATGCTTAGAAAATGATAGAACAGAAAACTAGAAGACACGAGGTCCTTGGGTAGTTGTGGCCATCTTGGAACCCAGCTCCTAATATCTTATTACTTAAGAAAATAAGTCTCTATCCATTTAGGCCATCAAGTTAAACTATCAATTTAAACTTTTTTTCTCTCTAAATATGAATATATGTTTAAATTATACAAAAATGTGTGTCTGTCCCCAATATATTTAAAGAATTATTGCAAAGCTTTGAAGAGTAACTTCTACCATCATTCTTGTTCTCATTTCAAAGTCAAATTTGCTTTATCTGTTGTTCTTACCCAACTGAGACATCAGAAATTCTTAATATGTATATTTGTCAAAAAGGGCCCCAACTCAGGAAACAAAATGATTATGAAGTTAACAACAAAGTCAGTCAGAACCCAGGCTTTGAGGAGGACCAAGAAGGCGTGTGTGAAGTAATATGCTAAAGGCCCTCAAGATCACAGCATAAAGTTCAGATACTTGTGGGCATGTTTGTGTACGGGTGTGAAATGTAACTGCAAACTGTGAAATAGACATTGGGTAATTTGTTTTTCTGTGACTGTATAAACAACACAAGTACTTCATCAAAGTAAAAATGATAAGCAAAAGTCATAAGCAAAATTATAGAATACAAACATAAAAATTATGAATAGCATTATAGAAAGTATACCATAAGCCTGTGATTTATAATTAAATCTGTATTATAAAATTATAAATAAGTAATAATAGTACTTCCTTTTCATGGAAAGATCTATCACTTCCATATCAGATTATTCTTCCAGAGTTTGGAAGAGGGCATTTGATATAGGATCTATATTATTAATAGTATGATGACAAAATGAAGATGAGAAAGATTTATAATTTCAAGTTTCTTTAACTTCCATCTCTTTTCATTCCACTCCTCACCTTCACTTTCAAGCCCTAGAGTACTTATATTTTTTTCTCTCACCTTTCCTTTCCCTCTCCTATCTCCAAAATCACATCAAAGATCAATGGAATATTTCCACTGGCTTGCCTGGTACTACTCAAGAGTCTTTATCAAGAAGTGAGAAGATTGCTTGAGGCAAGCAGTTAGAGAGGAGCCTGGGAAACACAGCAGGACCAAATCCCCAGAAAAAAAATTTTGAAATTAGCCAGGCATGGTGGCACATGTCTATAATCCCAGAGACTCAGAAGGCTGAGATGAAAGGATCACTTGAGCCCAGGAGTTCAAGGCTGAGTGAGCCATGATTGGGCCACTGCAGTCCAGCCTGGGTGATCCTGTCTCATAATAAAAATTTTTTTAAAAAAAAGGAAAGAAAAAAAAAAAGAGACCTTCTAAGTCAATGAAGGGTAGAACATCACTGACTTGCCTCAAATCAGCCCCTGAGTAAGTTACAAACTCAGATTATTTCTTCCTATATCACAATAAAACTACAGCTCCCCAAATTAGCTATCCATCTGTAGCTTCACATCTGAATTTCTGATGCCTAGTTCTTCCAAGTCATGAAAGGAAGAAAACAGAATCATGATTTGCAAACATGACTGGATATTAGAATCAGCTGGAGGTACTCCTTTTTAAAAAATGATGCATTAGCCTCCAATCCACACCAAAAAATCAGAATAAATACATGGCCTAGATTTCAATATTTTTTATGTGCTCTGCAGGTGATTTTCATAAGTAGATAAGGTTGAAAACCACTGGGATAGAAGTTAGAAATGGAGTTAAACAGGCCAGGATTCTCAGCCCTAGGCTAGAATTATAGGTACATATAATAATGACTTTTGAAGTATTAGATTGCATATCTTTTTATAAGTGTTTCTTGTCACTGTTTAAAAGTGATCTAAGATATGCCCATTGCTTTCAAGATAATCAAAAATCTAAGCATAATTTTCCAGTCTTATCATTCTCTCATAGGCAATGTATGATGCAGTCATTCCACATTGTTTCTTATCTTATCCACTTTTTCCACTAGACTGTTAACTCCTGGATGGCATGGACTATGGCTGTTCACGTCTGTAGACCTGGATATAGACCAATGTCAAACACAAATAGGGGACACAAAATAATTCTGGAATTGTTTGAGTTTATAAGGTCATCTCAGTTGGTCAGTATGCCAGTCCAGTCTGAAAGGAGATATATATATATTTTCACGGACAAGTGTCAACTTTAATGTTTGGGTAGATATATGGATTTACTCATTCAACATTGATTGTGAAACTCTCATAGAGCGGACCTTGTGCTAAGACCGGAGGACACACAGTGAAGCTGATATGTGCCTTCGGGAAGCTCAGATTTTAGTGACTGTTATTTACAAAAACAGGAAAAGATGCAAAAAGGTGAGAAAAACATGCTTTGGTTCAGTGTAAGAAATACTAAATACAGACATTAGATTAACTGTTTCTTTTATACTTATTATGCAACACAATAATATAGACATTGTTAAACATGGATCAGATTGACTTTGTTGTGAGACTTATATAATTACCACCCATATCCCGATAACATGTGTTTAGTGTTTTATTCCCCATGTACGCACGGTTGTTTGCTGACAAATTAATTCAACTGCTTACTCATGGGGACTCATTCATGATCTATACAAAGAATTTTATTACTTGTTTAAGAAAGGATATTTCAGAGGGGTTAAGTAAATAAGGAAGATAAATTAAATGTAGTATTCTAGGAAGAAAGATGTAGGAATTAATGCTAATTAAATATAGGTATAAAGAACATAGATTTAGGCAGATTAGAAATGGGGGGGTAGGATTTATGTGAACATTTATAGTAAACTTTAGTTATATATAAAGGCATCCCACGCACTATTTAAAAAGGAATATTAAATATTTTTCTCTATATATTTGTTACTCATTTTCTCCTCTTTCTAGCCAGTATCCCATAAAGTTTACAGTGAAGATGACTCTGACTGAGTTATGAGAAAAGGGGAGGGATGGTTAAATGTAATACTAAAATATTAAAGCAGGTATAAGAGACGCAGCTAAATGTCACAATGTCTCCAGCAATAAAATAGTTTACAGCTATTCAGAGCCATACTATGTTTAATAGTATGATAAATATGAGGCAATGTCCCCTGAGCAAAAAAGATCCTCTAATATTCTGTGATTAGAAATATCTCTTTTGGTCTAGAATGTGGTTTATTTTTCAAAGTTATGTAAAATCACACCAGGCCTCAGGGTTAACATCTCACCAAATCACAGTTCTGGATTAATGAGGAGACTGTAGGACAGAAGAGACCCTGGGCACCAGAGGCAGTCAAGGACAATCCAAGGACAAATGTGCTTCTCTGTTTGGACAAGGATCAGACTCTCCCTGGAGGGAGAGCTGACCTGTCCACAACAGAGGGGCAGCTACAGGAGCTGTTTGCTGCACTTTTACAGATTAAAATCATTAACCAAACATTCTGTAATGAACCACTCCAAGCTAGCACTGTGCCCTCTGAGGGCTGCTTTTGATGAAAATGAGTTGCATTTCAAGAAAAATGGTAATGTACAATGCAAACGTTTTTGTCATTGGTGTTGACAGGGTGGCACTAAAATTTGGGCTTGATCCGGGTCTGGCATCTTTTGAAACAAATACAAAAGAATGAGTGTGCGAACAAAGAAGGCCCCATTTCACTTTGCGCAGTATAATTTACTCTGTGGGAATCATGAAAGTAAAATTAGAAAGACATGAAGGCTTTGGTTAGCCTACAAGGCCTGCCTATCCTTCTGTTTGATTTGCTTGCTTTTCATTTTCTGAAATATAACCTGGGGCCTTATAACCAACTTGCTGCTTCAGTTGAAATATGCTCTTATCACTAGAAAATGTATTTTCTATTCCCAAACAGAACTTGCTAGACAGTAGTACAATACATTCCAAAGCAACATACATATTTGACATGTTACAAGTTGGAAGAGATAAGGAGTTTACACTTTTTGTGTTAAAATATAATTGAAGGAAAACATGACCAAAGGCTTGTATATAGCTACAAGGAAGTACATTTTAAAACTCCTGTTCTTCCCACAACATTTATCTGAGAGAAAAGAACTCATAAATTACTTCATTTTATGAAAGAGCTGGGTTGATTTATGAAATTGATGCATTTCAGCACAAAGTACAAAACAGATTCCAGGAATATGTATTTAATGGATGTAGATTTCCTTACCCAGGAGGTGGATTCAACAAATATCATCAAGTATCATGGGGCTAGATTTTAGTTTTAGGTCTCTATAAAACTCACTGTTAAGTGTGAAGGTTTTGGAGAAACCTGACAGACAATACCTCAGTCAGCTGATCAAGATTAACATCAACAGCTTATAAGTCACATTGACAGTGTGTGCCCTGGATACAATATGATGAGCCTGGCACTTTACCTCAGTAACCTTCTTCCCCAAAACCTGTAAGTTTGGTTGGATCATGAGAAAAAGATCAAATGATTCCCAGTGGAGGGATGTTTTACAAAATACCTGATCATTACTCCTCAAAACTGTCAAGGTCAAGAAAAACATGGAATGTCTGAAAAATTTTCACAGCCAAGAGGAGTCCCAGAGGACATGAACTAAATGTAATATAGTATCCTGGATGGAATAACCTGTACTGAAGATTAGGTAAGAACTAAGGATATTTGAATAAAATCTTGACTTTGGTTAACATTAATGAATCAATATAGGTCGGCTAATTGTGGCAAATATATTATTGTAAGACATTAATAACAGGGGAAACTGGGTGTAGGATATATGGGAATTTTCTGTATTGTCTTCCTAAGTTTTCTGTAAATCTAAATCAATTCTAAATTTTAAAAGGTTATTAAATATAAAACTTTTTCATTTTTTCCTGTACTGTGACATTAATACTACTATACTTCTTTTACAAATGAAGAAATTGAGAGTTAATAGAATATCAATGATTTGAGCAGCATAACTCTATATGTAAGTAGAGGAATCCTGTCTTCACATTTCCTGGGCCAAATATCCTCCTACCAGATTTAATGCCTGAGTTTCTCACAGGGATTTGGAAATGTATTCTGACTGGCAATCCAACGACAGCTTGGCTCTCCATCCCACTTAGTTTAAGTCTTTCCTCAAACTTCACTTCCCCAGTGAATCTACTCTGACCACTGCATTAATACAGCACAGAGCTCCTGCTGCTTCTTAACCTGAACTACTTTATTTTCCCATAACACTTTCACTTCCTAATACGCCATATCATTTACTTATTTATTATCATGCTCGTTGCTTATTATCTGTTTTCTCTCATTACAATATAAGCTCCAGGAGGTCAGAGATCTTTGTTTATTGTATTCACTGGCCTATCCTGAGCACATAAAACAATGGCTAGCACACAGAAGAGTAAATAAATATCTGTTGAATGACTGAATCAACCAACCTCTGCCCAGTCATAATTTCTGGAGAAATATTTTCTGTTCTTCTTCTAGTAAGAACTTTACATAATCTCAATTCTTTTGATTCATTCTACAGAAATAGTACATTGATCCAACAGCTTTCGTAAAATTTTCCTGATTAAGCAAAGTGTGGTGCCAGAGTTCCTCCTTCCCACCCAATTCAAAACTTCCCTTCTTTCTTCTGCAGAAATAATGAACAAGATAGCTAGTACATGAGGTAAATATTGTTTAATCCCTTTAGAAATATAGATTTTACAACATATTTGACTTTCCTCATGTATGGTGTTCTGATATGTATGCATCAAGACAAAAGGAACACAGGTAGGGATCACATGTTACTGGGAAATGTTCTTTAATTTCCAAAGCCTCTGAATTTTAACTTACCTGTTTTAGATTAGGGCATGTGCCCCTGACCATCTTTCTTATATCTTAGTTTTTCATTGTATTTAATGCTTCACTCCTCAGAGTCTTTCTCCTGTACTTGTATTGCTAAAACTAACTGCAGAGTCAGCAATCACTGGTGCTCAATTAGCTCAGCTTACGATTATTATTCTGCAATTAATTTCTGTAATATCAAATGTCCCTAATTTTTCAAAAAGCCTATGAAATTAGGAAAACAGCTCTAATTTGCTCTATGTATTTTTAAAATATTTGTGTACAGGAACTGATATTATCACAGGATTACTGAGTAACCCAAAAGGGGATCCCATTTCTCTTCCTTCACTCATACTGGTTTGTCTTTCTTCTGCTCTTGAAATTAAAGAACATTTCCCAGTAACATGTGATCCCTACCTGTGTTCCTTTTGTCTTGATGCATACATATCAGAAAACCATACATGAGGAAAGTCAAACATGTTGTAAAAACTATATTTCTAAAGGGATTAAACAATATTTACCTCATGTACTAGCTATCTTGTTCATTATCTCTGCAGAAGAAAGAAGGGAAGTTTTGAATTGGGAGGGAAGGAGGAACACTGGCACCACACTTTGCTTAATCAGGGAAATTTTATGAAAGCTGTTGGATCTATATGCTACAACAAAAATATTTCAGGAACTAATGAGGCTCTTTTGAGCACAGGATATTAGGTTATAAGATGCCCCACCCCAAGTCTGACCATTTGCTATCAGAACAAAATCTGATTATCTGTAAGATATTTTGCAATTTTAATATTTATTTTTCACACATTCAACAAATGCTTATTGAGAAATTACTATACAGAAAACTGTGAAAAGCACTGATATGCAGCTAAAAAACAAGAACATTATTCTCAGGTAGCACACATTTCCACATCGCTGCAGATAAAGCAAGGTAGAAAGTAATGTATCACAAGAAGGACACAAAAAACACAATATAGGATATCTCAGGAGGGAGGGAAAGAAGCAAGGATCATATATACTGGAAGATTTTGAATAAGACTCTGAAAGATAGATAGCATCAAATCACGCATATTGTGGCATGGAAAGGCAGGGGAGAAGAACTTTCATGAGAAAGTAGTGGTTAGAGCTATGAATGTTTAGGTGTAAGGGAAAATCATAAGAGTATAGACCACATATGTAGCATATGTTACCAAGAGGAGAAGCATATATAAACGAAGAGGCAAATGGGTAGTTAGAGCTCCGTGAAAAATATCAACATTTTAGGGAACGATGATGAAACAGCCATAAGTAATCAGGTCAAAAGATAGAAAGGAAACCAGAAAAAATGAGTTTCCTATCAATCCAAGGAAGAAAGAGTCTAAAGAATGACATCAGTAATGTTAAATCCTAGAGGGGGTCTATCTAGTGAGCAGTGAAGTGAGGCATTGGATTAATAATTTTTAGATCCCTGATGATCTTATCAAGGTCAATTTTCAAATTAATAAAAAACCTGAATTGAAATTATTTGAAGAGTAAAAGGTGCTGAATAAGTGGAAAAGAATTAGAGGCTTGGCTTCAGTAATGTGTCAGCGAAGGAAAGGAATAATGGTGGTTTGAGTGCAAGGTAAGGCTGAAGTAAGCTTTTCAAAAGATGAAGGCAGCTTCAACAATTTTACAGAGAGAAGGAAGGGGTTCACAGAAAGGGAAAGTACGAAGACAAAATATGAAAGGGAACTTGTGAATCATGGACCTCAGGAAATTAAGAGGGATGAGCTGGAGTGCCTACGTGGAGTTCGCACTTCGGAAAGAAGACGCATGGATTCCTCTGAAGTAAGAATGTACTCCACGTACATTTAGAGGAGGGCAGGGGATGAGCAAATTGCAAGGTCTCATGCAGATTACTTCCATTTTCTTTTGTGTGAAGATAACAATAAAGGCCCTTCCCCAAGTTTTTGAGAATGAGAGGTTTAAAGGAACTAAGAAAGCCATAAAAATATAATGAAGTTTTACAGCAGCCCCTGTGGAAAAGATGAAGAAGGCAGGCTAAAGTAGTTCTGAATTTCTGTAATCACCGAGTACTAATAGAAGTGGCAGACTTAGAACTGTTCTTTTGGAAGAGTGTCTCTCAGGATGATGGGCCCTGCATTACATAGAGTAAAGCTGAAGGGTAGTGGACAAGTTAGAAACTACTTAAATGGTTCACACAAAATGCAATAGTATTTTATTTGGGAGTATTAGTAATATTAAAAAGGAACAAAAGTGAAACATAGAGCACTGAGAGAGTATTCTCTTATGCAAAGTTTGACACCTAAAATTTCTTTCATTTTTATTATCAATTTGAGAAATTGACAGAATCAGTTTTGTATTACTCCATAACACAAATACAAATAAGTATGAGAAGTTAAATAACTTTCTAAGAAAATACAGAATTGATTTAAACCAGAGCTGGGACAAGTTGCTTTCACTTTTTGTCTGTAAATTTTAGTATTAAACCACATTACAGTCAATATCTATACTATAAAATCAGTTACACAAGACTAAAATAGGAGGTTTTTGATCTTTATAACACTCATTTAATAGCATCTAGTTGCAAATAGCTCAAAGTTAACTTTAACCTGATCCAATTTTATATATTGTGCCAACCGTCTGAATTTTAACATATAAATTTGGGCAATTTTACTTATTTTTTTTCTTAACACTTGTCACTATTTCCAAATATTATTTAGTAAGCATTGCTTTCTTAATCAAAGAGAATAAAAGCCTCATTGGTTAAATCCTACTTTCCCCTTTAATTTCCGAGTTGAAAGTCATTGACTTATAAGCACTTTTGAATCGGATAATAAATTGTGTCCTCAGCTTACACTACTGTTATCAGTTTCTGCTTGAAAAACATATTATTAGTAAGTGTACTTTGGTTACAGTTAGAAGCATCTGTAGGTATTGATTGCATTTTTCCTTGTCAAACACTTGCAGTCAGTAGAAATCTTATAACTGATCCTAAATACTTTGATTCAATGATCTGTCTTTCAGGGTATCTCTAACGTTAGAAAAACTGCCAAATGAACCTTTGCATTAGAATTCACTGATTAGGAAAAGCAGTGGTAAATCTGCTAAAATTTGGAAGGGAATTTACTATAACTCGTTACTGCATTGCACATTGCTTAAGAGCATGTTCTCCAGGGGCATGCTGGCAATTTGAATTTAACTCCATCTCCCATTAGTGCTTAGGTTTTGGAAAAATTATTTAACATCTTTAGCTCCAATGTCCTTTTCTGTAAAAGAGGAGAAATAATAATAATTCCAATCCTACATGCTTATTGCATGAAATGAGATAATGATCTAGAATTCTTATTAGAGTTTTCTGTATTTAATAAGTATTCAATAAAATGCACCTATTATTTTCGACTAACATTTATGGAGTTTGTCACTAGTTTTATTAATAAATAAGGAAAAAACTAATCATTCAAGAACTCACATTACCATTGCCATAATAAAGTTGGTGCAGCTTTTTTTAGGAGTTGTGCTAAAGAGCAACCTTTGAATCACTAGTATTTTGCAGAAAAGACATATTATTGAACATTTCAGCTTGCACCTGTTTAAAATAATCTGAACTATAAGTAAAAAAAGAAATCTAGCCAGCTGAACTTCCACATAACTTTTTACGAAAAATCATGTGTGTATTCAATAATTCTGTCCATTTTAAAATATTGTTATCTTTTTAAAATTGATTTTATGCGTTCTCTCTATATATTCAATATGAGCACTTTTTCAAAAACTTTTATAGCAAATATCTCTTCCATTCTATATATTTTTTCTATCTTAATGCTGTCTTTTGATGAAGGAAAGCTCATAATTTTATTGAGTACAATTCTTCAATTTCTCCCTTTATTGCTATTGCTGTCCCTTGTTTACAAAAATCTTTACCTACCATAAAGACATGAAGAATTATACTTGTTACCTTATAGAAGCTGTGTTTATCTTTTTAATTTTTCACCCTTTTTCTACCATCCAACTAAACTGATTTTTGTGTGAAGTGAAAGATAGGGTTGAAAGTTTATTTTTTGTTATACTGATACTGAGTAAACTCCTCACTATTTACTGAGAAGACATTATTTCCTCAATGTTTTATGATGGAACTTTGGTTGTAAATTGTAAATCACGTGATTGTGTAAATATGGGCCTATTTTTGAAGTCTCTATTTAGTTATTCTATTTGTCTTTCTTTGTGCTAATAAAATTCTATACTGTCTTAATACAGATGTATAATAAATTCTGATTTCTGATAGTTTCTGTCATTTAGCCTTGTTCTTCAAAACAATGCCTCCAATCTAGAAGCCTAGTAGTTATCTGTGACTCTTATTTCTCTCATTTTCTATATTCAACCACTAAAATCTATAGATTTTAGGATAAAGTTATCAATAATAAACTTTAAAATGACATTCTAATTATTCTGTTGTAGCTAGTGTCTTGATTTACACCTAACTCAAAATTATCCCTTCCACCTTTTCCCCACACTCCTGCTTGATTTACTTTAGATTCTCATCATCTCTTGCCAGGACGCTTACAAGATGCTTCAAATTAATGTCCTATTTTCTCCTTCCTCATGAAAATCTTGTCATGACCTTCTCCTGTTGGTAGAAAAGATATTAAAATTTGGCTTTTGAGTGTATAAATCTGAATGCATATTCCTAGATAATAACTTGTTTCCTCACTTAGGAACCATTTCCTGCAAGTCTTTGTTGAAGGGCTACTGACCCATGCTATATCCACATAAAAAAGTTGTCACTATTTTGATTTTCTCTGCTTTACACAGCAAATTGTTGAAACTAAGCACTGACAAGCAAAAGATCCAGTGCTTTTGATTAAATTGGACTTTTGGCCACAATCAAGTTTGAATAATGTAGTTAATATGTTCAGGCTAGATTTCTTTTCAAAGTTGAAGTTTGCATTCTTTTTCTCACTTTTGTTATTTTTTGTTTTGTGATATAATTGGTCTTCATAACCTCTGGAGTGCCCAGAGAGAGGATAAAGTTATCAATAAGAAGCTTTTTTTTTTTGGAGGAGGAGCCTCTGTCACACAGGCTGGGGCTCAATGACGCTATCTCTGCTTACTGCAACCTCAGCCTCCCAGCTTCAAGCGATTCTCCTGCTTCAGCCTCCTGAGCAGGTGGCACTATAGGCGTGTGCCACCACACCTGGCTAATTTTTGTATTTCTAGTAGAGATGGGTTTTCATCATGATGGCCAGGCTGGTCTTGAGCTCCTAACCTCAAGTGATCTGCCTGCTGTGGCCTCCCAAAGTACTAGGATTACAAGCATGAGCCACCATGCCTGGCCAATAATAAACTTTAAAATGACATTCTAATTATTCTATTGTCGTTAGCAATAAATTCCTGAGCCAGTAAATTGAGCAATGTAAAGATTTTCAGTCATTACATCAATTAACCTGCTTGAAAGCCTTTCACTAAACTTATCCTAGAGTATAGATGTTTGATATTCTAGTTCCAGAAATATAAGTGACCTAAGAATGCTAAACTGATAAATATAGCTTAATCTCTTTCCTGCATTGACAATAATATTATTAATGTCCTTGGTATTTATGTGGAGGAAGGATATTGAAAAGAGGTAATTTTTTTTTTTTAAGGGAGCGTTTCTCCTCAGTGAGCACATTCCTAATTCATGGATTCTAAAGTGTCACTCAAGGCAATCTGACCTGAAGGAGATCTGAAAGATGTTCATTAGCAGTGTTTACTAGCAGCTAAATGAAAAATACTTTATGGTCATTAGCACAAAGCATTAATGTGACCTAAATAAAGTAATCTTGATGGTCTTTGCTGTATTTGTGGAAATATTTATGACTTTTCCCTTTATGACCTTTGCTAGAATAAATGAGTAACAAAACTGACATTGATTAAAATCTTTTTTCCAATTGGCAGAGTTTCCAAATTTATTTGATGGAAAGAAAACCAGTATATTTATGGGAACATCAATTTTCATTGCTTCACTCCCTCTTAATTGAGGAAAATTCCTGAGATGACACAGTGAACCCTCTTTGTATTCCAGCTGCAGGTATTTGTGTTAAATTAGTCTTACCTTACTCTTCCTCAAAGAAGAATAAATGAGCCAGATCATAGCTAAAGGCACTCAAGAAAACCAGTGTTGCAAATTAAAAAAAAAAATCTCATTCACTATTTCTTTGATCATAGTCTTTAAGTGGAAAGCAGAAGTCTCTTCTGCTCCTGTCAAATCAGTTGGAACTGGTTTGAAAGCCCCAAATTGAAGTTAATATACCCAAAACATCAAAGGCTAAATGAACTGTCTGAAAGTCTAACAGAATGTGATGATCAGCAGTGTCATTTTTCAGGTCAGTCAGTCAAGTTACCTCTGCATGATACGCTGCAATGGCTGGAGTGCTTTATACTATCCTCCCACTCTTACCTGGTGACTATAAAATGTGTTATGGCACCTTTGGTAATGGTGGAACTTACAGAAGAAGTACACCCTTTATTTGCATGAATACATATGCTTATAAATATATCCTATAATGTTTATAAATAGGTAGAAACCCTAATTGTTTTCCTCTGTTAAAGCTTTTATTGGAGCTACATTCTCTCAGTGTGGTAGTCCTAAGTGGTTTATTGTATTGTTATTTTGCTTTATCCAGAAGTACTTCATGTTGCTTTGTAGAGTCATTCAGAGATCTGGTCTATCCAGTAAGTGTGCATGAGTTCAAATCTTGTATATCCGCTAACTCTCTGGATTTAGAAATGTTCATTTGTAAGATTAGGTCATCTGTTGTTATAAGTATCTTCCAAACAGAAATTTGGGACTTTTCCTGTAAGAACTCACTTTAAAAATAACAATAAATACATAAAGAATGTGATAAACGTCCTGTGGTCATAATTACTCATGCTCCGTAAGAGTCTCCTTAGTTTGTCCGTACACTTCTTTAGGAGCCACAGGACCTACTAAACACAGTAGTCTAGATATGATCTGATCAAAGAGGAACAGAATGGGACAAATATCCTTTTGGTCTGAAACTTTCAATGCAGCCTAAAATTTAAGATTATATTAGCTTCATTAGCAGCTCAATAAAATTCTTCACTCATATAAAAAAAATCTTCTATTAGAAAATAGGTATTTTAAATTCAAGTTGCCCCTTTCCATACTCAGGAAAATGACTCAGTATCTAAATGTAGGGGTTTGCATTTATCCCTATTAAATTTCCTACTCATAAATTTTATAAACTTTAGCATAGGAATGGTATAGCATGAGCTCTTGAGTAAGACAGAGCTGAGATAAAAATTGCTTTTCAACCAATCAGTATGTGATTTAATTTTTATATTTCTTATGTATAAATGAGGATAACATCTACTTTGCTGAGTAGTTGTAATAATCAAATGAGATGCAGTGTATAAAGGTGCCTATTCAGCATATAACAGGTACTCCAATATGTGGTAATTAAAATTATGATTATCATTTCTGCTCAATGTCATTGAAACCTTGATTCTGTCATCTTATATTTAAATAGCCATATTATATAGCCTCAGCCTCAAATTTCATAACTGTGCTTTATTTTGATCTACATTCAGGTCATTGACACAAATGTTAAAAAGGAAAAAATAAATGAGACAAGGTAGAAAACTTGCTGCAGTATAGACTATTCTAAGTTGAAACCTATTCATTAATCAATAATTGATGTATAAATGTTCAGCCAGCTATGAACCAGCAAAATGTGGTGATTATTTAACTCCATATGGCCTACAACAAAAGAAACTTTGTCAAATACCTTTCTCAAATTCATACAAATGTGCATGCACATACACAAATACACACATAACAAATATGGGCACCATCATACTGACTTTTTTTTTTTCTTTTTTTTTTTGTTTTTCAAGAGAGAGTTTCACTCTTGTCACCCAGGCTGGAGTGCAATGGCGTGATCTTGGCTCACTGCAACCTCTGCCTCCTGGGTTCAAGTGATTTTCCTGCCTCAGCCTCCTGAGTAGCTGGGATTACAGGTACCTGCCACAATCCCTTGCTAATTTTTGTGTTTTTAGTAGAGATGGGGTTTCACCATCTTGGCCAGGCTGGTCTCGAACTTCTGACCTCAGATGATCCACCTACCTCGGCCATACTAACTTTAAGATGCAATATCAAACCATTATAGCAAGTCTTGTTATCATTAAGCCTATGCTAACTCCTTATAACTGCCAATTCTGCCACTAATTGCTCATGAAAGCTTTGTTTAGCTAGTTTATTCAGTATTTTTAGTTCTGTCATCCACTATTTTTATCTTTTTGAAAATTGAAAGAACATTTTCTCACCTGATTTCCATGATGACATCTGGAGTTCATCTGTGATCACATCTTCAATGTGTAGTATCTGGAAGGATTTCAATTCTCTAAAGCCTAAAGACTTAAATTAATTCAAGGGAGCTTCTCACTCTCTTTTATCATCTTCCCAAACTATATCTACTCTACTTCCACAACTTTGGTTATATTATACCTCATTTCATTATTTTTTATTCACTCATCTTTCAGTTCATTGAATTATGCCATAATAATTCTAGAGCACAGAGATTTCTGAACTACTCCAGCATTATTTGTTGTTTATTGTTATTGTTGTTTTTGCTCTAAAGAGAGGAAGTCTTGCTATGTTACTCAGATCGAATTTGAACTCATGTTCAAGAGATCTTCCCATCTCATGTCCAGAGTAGTTGGGACTACAGGCATGCATCACTGCACTCAGCTCCATTACTTGTTTATACCACTTATTCAGCAGCATAAATAATATAATGTGTAATATTGTACATTGGCTTCTCCCCTATATGTCTTATATTTAATTTTTATAACACGTGCTGTACTTTGATTGCAAACTATGATAAAAGGTAATTGTTAAGCGTAGTATGTAGTAAAAACACTGCTGCATTATGAATCAGATAATTGAATTCTGAAACCTCTAGTGTTATTGAAAAGCCCCATAACTGGGCCTCAGTTTCTTGATCTATAAAATGTTGAAGTTGGAATATGTGCACTTTAAATATCTCTTCAAGTTTTAAGTGCTACAACTAGGGCAATAGCCTGTAAGCTCCGTTAAGCAGGAGGCATGTGTCCTGTTCACTATCGGCTTCCTGGGTACTTACTATAGTGAATAGCACATATTCATTCATTCACTCAAGAAATTTTCATTGTGTGTAAGCCACACCTCGAGGGACTTGGGCTAAAGAAATAAACAAATTCCTTCCCTCGTGGATTTTCTAGTGAGGGGAAATATGTAAACTGTATAATAGGTTAGAAGTTTATTAGTGTTACAGACAAAAATCAAGCAGGGAAGGGGAGCAAGAATACCAGGGTTTGTTTTGCAAGCTTCAGTATGGTGGTCAGTACAGGCCTCTCTGTGGAGGTTACATGTGAGCAAAGATTGGAAAGATAGGAGGGATGAGCCACCAGACATATGGAGAAAGAATATTCCTGGAATCAGGAAGAACCAATACAATTCCTGATGTTGTAATTAACCAAGAAGGAGCCAGAATGGCTGGAGCTGAAGAATATGTCAGAGAAGTAGCAGGGAGCTAGTGTGATGGGCCTCACAGCCATTGTGAAGAGGCTGGCCTTCACTTTATGTAAGATGGGGAGCCCTTGGACATATGAACTAAGAGATGGCATGATCTATACTTAGGGGGATAACACTGGCTGCTAGGTTGAAATTAGACTGTAAGGGGAACAAGGATAGGAGTTAGAGATGATGATGGCTTCGACAAGCAGCAGAGGCGGTGGGAAGTGGTAGTATTCTGGAAATATTTCAGGATAACAGGATTTTTTGAGTGAAAGAGAGAAATCAAGGGTAACTCCAAGTTTTTTTTATATATACTTTAAGTTTTAGGGTACATGTGCACAACGTGCAGGTTTGTTACATATGTATACATGTGCCATGTTGGTGTGCTGCACCCATGAACTCAGCATTTAACATTAGGTATATCTCCTAATGCTATCCCTCCCCCCTCCCCCCACCCCGCAACAGGCCCCAGTGTGTGATGTTCCCCTTCCTGTGTCCATGTGAAGCTGGAAACCATCATTCTCAGCAAACTATCACAAGGACAAAAAACCAAACACCACATGTTCTCACTCACAGATAGGAATTGAACAATGAGAACACATGGGTAACTCCAAGATTTTAAGACTAACTGAAAGGATAGAATTACTACTATTTACAATGTGGTAGAGCAAGTTTTTAGGGGAAGACCAGGAATTTAGTTAGAATATATTCAGTTTGACATGTCTATTAGGCATCAATAATTGTTCAGTAAATGTATGTAGACTGATTATATCTAATGTACATTATATACTTTTTGCACATATCATATATAATAATAAAACTAAGAACTGGTCCTCACTCTAGAAAATTTCTCCTCCCAGTGTACCAATATTGGAACTTCCAGAGTACAATGGGTTGAAAAAAGAATTTCAGAATCTAGAGGAGTAGAGTATTTGATATGTAGTGATTGTCTATTATCATCACCCCAATACGCAAAGTTAAGGCAAATTTCCATTATATTTTCACAGTATAGATTGGCATCCACTTGAGACCAATAGTAATTAGAATGTACAATCTGCATATATTTCTTTCTTTAGAATTACAATGGGTAAAATAACTGCTGTTTGTGAAAGATTTTGAGAACTTTTCAAATGTTTGAAAACATCTTACAATTTCAAAAAGGACAAAAGCTGTTATAAATAGTAAAAAATAATTATTATTGTTTTTCATTATTGAATTAAACATAATAATTTTTAGTAAAGAGATGTTTTCCTAGACCTAGGTCTTCAGTCATTAGATGGTCATGTTCATACACGATCTCAAATCATCTCAGTATTGGTAATGACAGTTGATATGTTTGTATGTAAGTTAGCACAAATATATATATAAATAAACACAATGTAGAATTATACACATGTGCATGTATGTATGTATGTATATGGAATCAGTGCATTACAGAAGCTTTTTAAAGTAGGTTTTAGGTTTTATTTATTTTGTGTATGTCTGTGCTAAATATTTCCTTGAAAGAAAACATTATAGAAGTTCAGGCTGTTTTCATCCAGAAAGTGTGTGGGGGAAGAGGGTATTATAAAAATTATAAATAAAATCAAACTTTTATAGTGTATCTCAATAGAAATTGCCCAAAATACATTATCGCAAAGTTACCAAGAAAAAACATTGTATTGTCACTCAACCTTAGTAAGTTTTGACAGTTAATATTTTTGTTTCTTCAACTTTTTCTTGGGATACTTTACTGTGCTTTCTTTATTCAAATGAAATGATCATATCATGTCTATTTAATATATTTTTCACATCCTCTGATAATAGTAAAAATTCTTGTGTTGTGTAAATATTTATAATACATTTATTTGCTTAAAATACTTTCATAGCCTTTCTGTCCATGGATGCCGCCGAAGAAGCATGGTTAAAATCTCTCTTCTCTCTGCCATCAGGTCTAAGTCTGAGTCTCCTAAAGAGCCTGAACAGCTGAGGAAGCTCTTCATTGGAGAGTTAAGCTTTGAAACAGCTGATGAGAGCCTGAGGAGCCATTTTGAGCAGTGGGGAATGCTCATGGACTGTGTGGTCATGAGAGATCCAAACACCAAGTGCTCCAGGGGCTTTGGGTTTGTCACATATGCCACTGTGGAGGAGGTAGATGCAGCCATGAACGCAAGGCCACACAAGGTGGATGGAAGAGTTGTGGAACCAAAGAGCGATCTCAAGAGAAGATTCTCAAAGAACAGGTGCCCATTTAACTATGAAAAAGATATTTGTTGGTGGCATTAATGAAAACACTGAAGAACATCATCTAAGAGATTATTTTGAACAGTTTGGAAATATTGAAGTGACTGAAATCATAACTGACCAAGGCAGTGACAAAAAAAAGGGGCTTTGCCTTTGTAACCTTTGATGACCATGACTCCATGGATAAGACTGTCATTCAGAAATACCATACTGTGAATGGCCACAACTGTGAAGTTAGGAAAGCCCTGTCAAAGTGAGAGATGGCTAGTGTTCATCCAGCCAAAGAGGTCGAAGTTGTTCCGGAAACTTTGGTGGTGGTCATGGAGGTCTTTTCAGTGGGAATGACAACTTTGGTCATGGAGGAAACTTCAATGGTTGTGGTGGCTTTGGTGGCAGCCATAGTGGTAGTGGATACGGTGGCAGTGGGGATGGCTATAATGGATTTGGTAATGATGGAAGCAATTTTGGAGGTGGTGGAAGCTACAATGATTTTGGCAATTGCAACAATCACTCTTCAAATTTTGGACCCATGAAGGGAGGAAACTTTGGATGCAGAAGCTCTGGCCCTTATGGTGGTGGAGGCCAATACTTTGCCAAACCATGAAACAAAGGTGGTGATGGCGGTTCCAGTAGAAGCAGTAGCTATGGCAGTGGCAGAAAATTTTAATTAGGAAACAAAGCTTAGCAAGAGAGGAGAGCCAGAGAAGTGACAGGGAAGCTACCGGTTGTAATAGATTTGTAACCTTAGCCAAGCACAGTGGTGGCAGGGCCTAGCTGTTAAAAAGAAGAAATGTTTTAGAAAAACACTCATGTGTATGGGCAAAAAACTCGAGGACTGTATTTGCGACTAACTGTATAACAGGTTATTTTAGTTTCTGTTCTGTGGAAAGTGTAAAGCATTCCAACAAAGGGTTTTAATGTAGTTTTTTTTTTTTTTTGCACCCATGCTGTTGATTGCTAAATGTAATAGTCTGATTGTGGTGCTGAATAAATGTCTTTTTTTTTTTTTTTTTTTTTTTTGAGACGGAGTCTCGCTCTGTCGCCCAGGCTGGAGTGCAGTGGTGGGATCTCGGCTCACTGCAAGCTCCGCCTCCCGGGTTCACACCATTCTCCTGCCTCAGCCTCCCAAGTAGCTGGGACTACAGGCGCCCGCCACTACGCCCGGCTAATTTTTTGTATTTTTAGTAGAGACAGGGTTTCACCGTTTTAGCCGGGATGGTCTCGATCTCCTGACCTCGTGATCCGCCCGCCTCGGCCTCCCAAAGTGCTGGGATTACAGGCGTGAGCCACCGCGCCCGGCCAAATGTCTTCTTTTAAAAAAAATTTTTTCATAGTATACTTGGTCTTTTGGAAATGTTTAAGAATATTAATTATTATATTATTAACTATATGGTATTACAATATTTTGCAAGACAGACACTGGATATATTTTATTAAACTATGAGAATTCATTTCCATGGTTTTCCACTCTTATAAAATATGTCACTCTTCATAAGAAGGAACACTGTATGAATGCTTACCTAATGCCAGCACAATGCAAATATATAGTAAACATACTGATATTTACCCAAAGCAGTAAGATTCAATTTTAAATAATGAATTCAACAGACAGAAACTTTCTAGAGAAGGCATTTTAGCAATAGAACAAAATTTATTTTAAAAATAATGCGCAGGCTAATTTACCAAGTAAGTATAATAGAGGGCAGTTGAAATGTGTTTTCACTTATGTCCTGGAATTACTTAGTTTCTAAAGTCAGAACCCAAGAGTAAGGGAGGTGGAAAGGATTCGAACACTACTACATTTCTTGGCTTCATATCACTTAGTGTTATCAAATAATCATCTTTACTCAAGAACTGTAATGTATTAAAAATACACTCTGTAGCTCTGTGCTAGACGTTTTACGGAAGTCATTTCTTTTAATCCTATATGCAAATATGTACCCTTCTGTTTCTATGCACCTGCTTATAGGAACTGTGCATCTCCAAATGTTCACATAGACAGGCCAGAGGAACTATTCAAGGTTACATGGACCTGGCATTTGCACATAATACGGTGCAAGCGTTCTCAACTTTTTTGAACCCTCTCCCTTTACTTCAAATTCTATTTTACACAGATTGGTATTGCTTTGGTTTAAATCGAGTGTGGGTAAGGAGTAAATTAGTTCACCACCCAACCTCTCCCTTCCTTCAACCTTTGCCTATCTCAACCAAGCTTCCCACCAAAATTAATGGCAGAGGGCTTTTTTTTTTTTTTTTGATGGAGTCTCATTCTGCTACCCAGGCTGGAGTACAGTGGTGCGATCTCAGCTCACTGCAACCTCTGCCTCCTGGGTTCAAGAGATTCTCCTGCCTCAGCCTCCTGAGTAGCTGGGACTACAGGCGCCAGCCACCATGCCCGGCTAATTTTTTGTATTTTTAATAGAGACGGGGTTCCACCATGTTAGCCAGGATGGTCTCGATCTCCTGACTTCTTGATCCGACTGCCTCGGCCTCCCAAAGTGCTGGGATTACAGGCGAGAGCCACCGCAACCGGCCTAGTGGCAGAGTTTTAAAAACAGTGGTATAGGGCAAATATCTCCTGCTAAGCTAGTCAGCTTCTAAATAGTATTCCCTTTCAGTCTTAATGTCTATCATTGTAAATTAAGAAAACAAGTTGATTATCTTAATTATGTATCATTCTCCAATTTGAACTTCAAAACATCCTATGTGTCAGGTCAGTTACGTACAGCTGAGTAAACATAGTGGTTTAGGAAATTGATAGTCTTTAAAACAAATTGATTAGAGAACTCAG
This sequence comes from Homo sapiens, assembly GCF_000001405.40. Classification (NCBI taxonomy): domain Eukaryota; kingdom Metazoa; phylum Chordata; class Mammalia; order Primates; family Hominidae; genus Homo; species Homo sapiens. The sequence goes on from NC_000002.12 coordinate 41,159,680, forward strand.
AACCATCAAGTGAAAAACCAGAGTTGGAACTCCAACTATTTTACTCCATATCCCATGCTTTTGTTGTCAATATATAGAAAACTACAGTAAGGTAAGTCATCAATAAGTTGGTCTTCATTATAGACAACTCACACTGGATGAAATTCTCAGTGGTAAAAACCCCTTTAAAATACAAGATATTTCCTAAGACAAAAGTAAAGCAACAGGACATAATAATATGCCCATGCTATTGGCTGCTGTAACAAGTGACCCCAAGTTGGGCAGCTTGAAACAACACAAATTTGTTATCTCACAGTTCTCAGTGTCAAAAGTCTGAAATGGGTCTCACTAGACTAAAACTGAGGTGTTAGCAGGGCAGATTTCTTTCTGGAGGTTCGAGGGATGGATTCATTTACTCGCCTTTTTCAGCTTCTTGAAGCTGCTAGCATTTCTAGGCTCCTGGTCCCCTACCACCTCCAAAGCCAGTGATGGCCAGTCTAGTCACCTCATACTGCCTCACTCTGAGACTAACTCTTCTGCCTCCCCTTTCCACATTTAAGAACCCTTGTGATCACATTCATCCTACTTGGATAACCTAGAATCTAGAATAGTCCTTATCTTAAAGTTGGTTAATTAGCAACCTTAATTCCATCTGTGACTTTACCTTCCCTTTGCTACTGAGCATTGCATATTTTCAGGTTCCAGGAGAGAGGATGTGGGCATCTTTAGGGGCCATTTCTTTTCTGCCTACCACAGTGCCTGAAGAAAAAAATGAGTGAACAGGAGGAAGGTGCTTGGTCTGCGTGGAGATCAGCAACATGAAGCAAAGGCAGTGGAAGAATCATCAGTGTTTATCTAACAAAGTCTATAGGTAGAGACACCAGATTAGGGTAATGCAAACTTTACTACACAGCCCTCTAATCACTACACAGGCACATCCTGTGATGACAGACATCACCAGGATTTTCCATGGCCTAACATACCCTTTAGCCCAGTTTCCTGTGCTCTGAGTTCATGCAGTAAGTCATCTTAAGGCTCTGAATTCAGGTTCTTAGAAATCATGATTCCAGGAAAGGCATGTGCCACATCAGACAGTGAAATACATTCAGGAGGAAAAAACATCTACCATCTCTATGTTTTAATATTCTGCTTTGTGCACACATATCCTACAAAATTGAGGGCCTGATTAATTTGGAGTCTGCTTATAAAGGTGATTTTCTGGAACTTCAGTCCTCAGACCACACTCTGAATTAAATCCACTGTCCAAGAAATTAGCATGCTGCAAAAGCCAAGTAGCTATTTTATGATGCTCTGTGATATAATTGGTTACTTTTTGTCTGCTATTTTATCTTAGTAAATTTCTAAGGTTTTTCAAGCAACATTATCCTAACTTAGATGTCGGTGCTTATTTACAATTAATCAGAATAGAATGCAAAATATTACTGAAATAAAAATATAAATCAAAGAGAAAATAGTTTGATCTGTACATGCTTTATGCTGAGCTTTAGAGACACACAGTGTTAATATGAGGCAAAACACACTTTGTATTGACTGTGCAGCTTTTAAATGAGAAAAGTACCTTAGTTGTAATTTTGAAGATTAACTATTTTTGAAGACTAGTGACTCTCTTTTAACGTTGTCAAATTACATTTTTTCACTAAAATGACATAGCCTAAAAGATTATTATAGCAAGAAAAATTTTACACTTGATTTTTTTCCCGCAAATCAAGGGCCCTTTTAAATGTGATCTTTACTTAATTGTATTATTTTTGCTATTTTTAGTATTTTTTTTGAAAATTTACCTCCATTATTAAAAGGGAGAAAAAACAAAAAGAGGTACAGGTTTCCATTATACCCATTATCAAAGTTATATCATAGCTTCTCTTCTAGCTTAGGTATCTTCACCCTTCTGGCTTGGAATCAGTAGGATCCAGTTCAAGAAGGATGCATGAAGCTTGTGAAGTAGTGTATTTTGTGGATTTTTTGTTTACGTGTTTTTAGAATTTTATTTTCATTTCTCTCCAAGTAATACGTAGATTCTTCTCCTTGTACCCAGGTGCCTGTTACAACCTGGTGACCATTCAAATACTTATAAAGTCAATATCCCATGTCTTTGGTGCTCCTTCCCTGGATTCCAGATCAAAGCAAACTGTCCTTTATGCTTACAAATTCATTCAATACACAAAAGGATTGTAAGAGCATAGTGGATATCTCTTCTCATATAGTATAGTTACTTTATCAGCATCAGTATCAAATGGGAGTTTGTTACAAATGCACCATCTTGAGTCTCACTCTAGAACTCTGAATAAAAATCTGCATTTTAACAAGAACCTCAGAGTGATTTTTGAGCTCACTAATGTTTCAGAAGGAATAGAGATAAAGCCTTGGTCCTGAGATTTGTTTTCAATATTTTATCCAAATTTTCTAATTTTTGACACTAAGTGGTTTATACTCCTTATCACCATTTTAATATAAGAAAGCTTTCTAATTATACCCATTTCTTTAATTCTAGATATTGTCATTTTGTATTTTCTTGCTAGTTTTTTTTCTCTTTCTCTTTAACTTTGATCAGTTTCTCTAGAAGTTTATCAATCTTTTTCAGGAACCAATATTCCATTTAAAAAAATGTTTCTTCATTATTGGCCTTAGCATTAATTTTGTTCGTTATTTTTCTTCATCATTGACCTATAGATTGATTTTGTTCTTTTTTATGTGTATTTTAGTTTTCATTGACATATACTAATTGGGCATGTTATGGGGTACAGTATGATGAGATCTTATTGTTTATTATTATTTTTCTACCTGCTTAAAAAAATTCACACATTTCTACCTTCTTATGGTGGATATTTAGATCACTGCTTTTCTACCCAGGCATTTTCCTTTCTACTACAGGCACTTAAATCTAAAAATTTTACTCTAAACACCATTTTAGCAGAACACTAAAAAGATCTTCTAATTTTTCTTTAGATTTCTTCATTGAGCCATGGATTATTACAGATACTCAGAGTATATGTCTTTTCTACTGATTTCTAAATCAATGTTGTTGTGCTCAGAGAATATACTCTGTATTATTTTGATTCTTTGATCTTATGTTTTATGACAAAGCATTTTGTCTATTTTGGTGAATGTTTAATGCACACTCGAAAATAATATATATTCTTCAACTGTTAGATGTAGTGTTCTATCAATGTCAATTAAGATTTATAGCTGTTCAAAAATATCATGTCTGCATTGATTTTTATGAGTCCTATCCATTTTTGAGAGGGTAGTGTTAATATTTCCAGTTGTTTGGGCATTTTAATTTTTCTTTTACGTTTATTAATTTTGCTTTTGTATTTTGAAAGTCTATTATTGTGAGCACACAGATTTTTGACAATATTTTTGGTCATGAAGTACACTAGACTTTGATGTTAATATACTTACTTCTACTTTCTTATGCTTAGGGTTCTCAAAGTGAAGTTTCCTCAAGCTCTTATTTTAACGCAGTCTTTGTCTTTTTTATTTAATATTCCTTTTAGATGGCATATAGGCAGACCTTGTTTTTTTAATTCAGTCTTATAATCAAAGTCTTTTAATTGGAGTGTTTCTTTTCTTTCCATTTATTCTAAGTATTGATATTTGTTCCAAATACTAATATATATTTTGTTCTGCAGATCTTTATCTGCCCTTTTTTGATGAGTAATATGTTTTTCTAGTATTTTATTTGTATTTCCTTTACAAATTCTTGAGATACCCTTTTTATAACATTTCTCTCTTTGACTTCCCTAGAGATTACTGTATGCATATTTTGCTTATCTACAGTGAAACAATGTGTAAAATTTGCAACAGCGTAATCCCATTTAACATTTTCCTGTCCTTTGTGCTCTTCTTACGTCTTCTAAATATGTTTTTAATGCTACAATACAATATTGTTCCTTTTTTGCTTTAAATGATAACCCTTTAGAGAAATTTTAAATTTTAAACATTTCATAGTGTGTTTGTGTACATGTGTGTAATCTTCCCTTCCGCCTAGTATTCTTTCAGAAAATTTAGGTCCATTAAAAATTAAGGGCTTTTAAAAACACATTTATATACTATCCACAGTGTTCCATGCCTTGATACTTTTAATTTTATATGTGCCAGAAACTTTGCATATATTGCACTAGCCTGTTGTCACACTGCAAATAAAGACATACTCAAGACTGGGTAATTTATATAGGAAAGAGGTTTAATGGACTCACAGTTCAGCATGGCTGGGTAGGCATCATAATCATGGCAGAAGGCAAAGGAGTTGCATAAGCTCTGCATCAGTTTTAAATTCAAGAGAGACTTGTAATTCAAAGTTAAGAAAATATGTTATATTTTGATTAACCTATAGAAGAGGGAAATCTCTTCGTGAAACATGATTGGGAATTACAGCACATTGTTAAAAAACAGTTAAGAATACGAAGATAAAGTGTACCCTAGATATTTACTTTGCTCAGTATATATCCTCTCTTAAATGGGTTTTTAAATTTTTTTTTAAAAATGTATCTATTTATTTATTTTGCCCAATCTGGAGTGCAGTGTCAAGATCATACCTCACTGCAACCTTGAGCTCCTTGGCTCAATTGATCCACCTGCCTTGGCTTCCCAAAGTACTGGGATTACAGGCATGAGCCACCATGCCTGACCTGGTGTTCTTTACATTGATAAGCCTTGATATTTTAATAAAGATTACTATTCTGATAAAAAAGTGTAATTAAATGGAACTATAAGAATTTCTCTACCTAACAATTAAATTTAGTTATTTGGATCATGAAGCGTAATATACATAGAAATTTTAACTAAATGATTAATTTTAAAAAATGCATGGCTGTTGATGGGTCATAAAGTTTGAATTTTACCCCACTGTAGAGTGGGAAGAACATTCTAAAGATAGGCCTCCACAACATGTGGCATATGATATCTAGCAAACACCCTCCTAGCATGATGTCTGTAGCATGCAAAAAGACCAATAATTATTTTGTTAAGTAAACAAATGGATACTTAATACTACCACTACAGTTATACAGTCATCTGCCAGAGATGTTATTGAAAAGATTCCTAAGGGAGTAGAAAATTGGGGATGACCTTTAAAGTGCATTGAACCTCTAAAAGTATTTGATTCTATACCTTCAATATATTGGCACTTGTATGTCACAATACCTTGCTGATTTTCACTTGTGTAGGAAAATGATGCAGTTTCAACAGAATAACATTCTGACCCAGTTATTCTCTCATTCTGAAGAATTCTTATTTTATTATTACTAGTACTAGTATAGGTAGGTGTGTGTGGAGACATACAGCTTTGAAAACTGAATTGATGACACTTGACAGAAAGTGAAGTCTACTTCATTGCAAAAATACAATTAAAATAAGCGTTACTAAATTAGAGCACAATCCCAAACAAGTCTCAGACAATGAAATTTTAGTTGCGGAAAATGACACATATTATTATTTTGTGTAACCAGACCCCTTCTTCCTGACTATTAAAGTTGTGTGAGTTGGAGTCACGTATTGCCTGTTGCCTCAAAACTATTTTTATTAGCTTTCTATCACCCCATTAAATGAGAGTCCAGTTAAATTTGATATCGCTCTAATAATTTTTTTATCATGCTGGCAACTTGATTTATTACTTTATCCTTTGTTATTACATTTTCCATACTTTATTGTAAAAATAATAAAACAATATTCTGGACAAGTGTTATTAAATTTTAAATGACATCTTTGCTTTCACAGAAATGATTTAAATGGCAACATTTATTTTTCGATTGCTTATGAAAAAGCATTTTTTCCTTTTGTTCATAACTAAAGGAGAATTTGTGGATCATAAACAAGTTTTTCTTATTATTTCCTCTTTCCTATTACCTACCTTCTCTCTTCTCATCTGATTGTTCTACTTCCTCCCTCAAGGCACTTTCAGTCCACTAAGTTCTAAGGCAATATTTTCTACTTATGATAAATTTAATGCTGCTTTGCCCTCAAGCACTTGACACAGATAATTTGCTTTATATCATAAGGTTTGAATAAGAGAGTTTATATATTCAGTATTTATTGAGTATCCACCATATGAAAGGTAATGGTTGATGATTAAACAAGGAGAGTAGAAAATAGATTAAAGCAATGGTTGGCATATAAGGGAAAACATCTGCTATGCTTCTTTCTATTAACAGCTACATGGGATATCAAAATAAGAATTGAAAGTCAGTGTTTGAAAGTTTGGTTATCTCTTAGTGCTGGTTTTACAAGAATATCCACTTTAGCTATATATAATGTCATATATATATATATATGGATAGAGGCAGCTCACTGAGCCTCTGCAAGGACTCAAGACTTTTTAAGACTAGAGATTCCAGTTCCTAGATTAGACTGCAGGCTACTCCAGTGGAGACCTTCCAGCAGCCACCTCCAAGCTCAAACCCTGGGACTCCCAAAGCCAGCTCCAGCCATAGGATGCTCTGACAGCCAGACCTCTCTTCATCATAACTTGTATCTTCCCAGATAAATTCTACCCAGCATCCTTTTTCTCACATCACTGTCACCTGAATCAGACTCTTATGTGCATTTGTCTAATTGAAAGAGCCTTGGACCTTTTTCTAAAATCTGTTTTGAAGGACATTATGAAAAGAAGGGCTTCTAGCTTGTGTAGGCAGGACGTCTAATGTACCAAATTCCTCTAATGCAACATTAGTGTTCAAAAGATGTCAAGCCAAGCACAAATATTTAAATAGCCACTGGAGATCCCAAAACACACTTTCGAGAGCATGCTTAAAGAACTTATTGGCCAGGCGCAGTGGTTCGTACCTGTAATCCCAACACTTTGGGATGCTGAGATGGGAGGATCACTTGAGGTTAGGAGTTCAAGACCAGCCTGGGCAACGTAGTGAGATCTCACTTCTACAAAAAAAAAATAATAAAAACTAATTTAATATCAATATTGTGACTAAATAATATCACAAACCTGTCACCTAGCAATCACATAAAAAGCAATTAGTGATAAGAGAGAATTTTTAATCAAGGAAGAAAATAATACCATCTAAGAAAAAAATAACTTCAGGAAAGGAAGTGGGAGCCAAGATAAAGTAGTGCCAGTAGAGAATACTTTGTCAAAACTATTTTTTTTCTGCAACAGAAATATCAAGCATATTGTTTGGTCATAATGCCTTAACCTCTTCTTAGTGAAATGCATTCAACTAAAACTTTAGGTTATATATCATAAAACTTGACTTCACTTCTGTAATGGAATTCTGTGGGAAGAAATCATTAACCTGATTGGCATTTGCTTTATAGTTCATGATTTCGGGAATTTGAGGTGTGTCTGAAAACGCAAGCCATTTTCAACACATATCCAAGTGTGCCACACAGCTCTTTACTACCTGTCAACAGTTTTACATAAAGGAAGCAAGGCTAAGGGTTCTTTTAATTGCTGCTGCAAAGTGACTAGGCACTGAATATATTCTATTCAGCAGCAGAAACTAAAAACCTTGTCAAAATCATGCTGTTTTGGAGACAGGCTGAATGACTTCCACAGCATCAACAAAAGCCACAGCATGAGGGCAGCGGATCTACTGTGCTTAAGAAAGCCCAATCCACCTGACCTGGGAGATGCCATAAAGACCCATCATCCCCTGGTAATCACTGGATATATTGGCATGGCATGCTGCTCCCCTCCAGAACACTTATCAAAGGGGGTCCAAGTAGGCACTCTGCTGGCGTAGTTTCTAAATACTGCAGGAAGCAGAGTACAAAATAAAAAACAAACAAAAAACAGTGCTATAGCATGGATAGAAGCAAGGAAACAAAGGAAAAGGCACATTTGAGAAATCTGTGATTTTCAACCACCATCATTACAACTAGGGTTTGACTTTGCTATTAATTAATGTTTGCTCGTAAGCTTTTATCTTTTCTTCTACTGCCGACATTCTATTATTCTCTTTTTGATGGTTGATATTTGTCATGAAAAGTTCTCAGAAAGCAATATGAAGGATTTTGTCCTAATTGTTTTTTTTTTTAAACCAGGATTTCACCAGTCTTATTATCAATATAGATGTCAGCAAACCAGGTCAGAATCAGCATGGACTTAGCTTGGTAAGATCTTTGTTCTTATTCTATTTAGACATCTAAAGCCAGGAGAAGGGTTTGAAAGCTGGCTCTGTTGCCTTTTTATTCTATTTTTAGTGTATGCTTTGTATTTCTGAGCTTCAGTTTCCCAACTACTTAATGGAAACAAACAAAATAAAATAAGTAGTTAGTGTTCAAGGCTGTTGTCAGTATTAAATAGGGAAATAGTTCTGAAGGCACCACCGGTAATGCTTGAAACAGTGTAATGAGTCAGCACACATCAGCTAGATCTAGGTGCATTTCATTATGGAATCTGCATAAATAGCAGACATAATATGTATTGAAATTAGAAAACTCCATCAAACTGTACTTCTCACATAAGCCAAAAGTATATTTTAAATTTTCTATTCCCATGTTGCATTTTCTGTTTGAAAATCAATTTTCTATTTGAAACTGAGTGGCCATTATCTTTTTACTACATTCTCTGGGCCTTCATCATAATATGCATAGTAGAGTTGAATTTAAATGAATTCTGATTTCAATCACATTCAAAAGGACTTTCATGAAGGAATCATTTTGAATATGTATGATAAAAACATTCTAAGAAGAACATATATCCCTTTTTTAGGTGAGAATTCTCATTATGCTTTAAATTATTTTTAAAATATATATGATACACAGTTATATAATGTGTTTTGCTATTCTTGAGATGGTAATATAATGAAGATCTGTATAAAATTTTATTCATCATATGGCAAAACAATTTCATTGGAGAAGGAAGGAATAATGATTTCTGAGAGGTTTTAGTTTGACTTCTGACAGTTCTAAAGCTCCCGGTAATAACAAACGATTGCTAGTTTAAATATTGAATTAATGCTTAAGGATAATGTTTGCCAAATGAAAACTTAAGTGACTGAAATGAATTGAGTTTCTTCTGACTAATTTTTGTCCATTGTCAGTTAAGATGTGAATCTGTAGACCTGAATGCCTGTTGAGATAAAATGATCATGGGCACTCACACCAAGACAGAGGTAAGCTGGGTGCCACGGGCTGCGATCTATTATGTAATTACATTTTTTAACATAAAATATTCATGTTACTTCAATTAAATATTATATTTGTCATTTTCATTTTCCTGCACTATTTTTGCCTTCTGTTTCCATTTTCATTTTAGGTTTGACATGAAAATGAAATAGCTACTGATTTATGCAGTAAGAGTGGCATCATTTTAGCAGTAGGAGAAACAAGGTCTATGGTGTTTGATATGAAATTTACAAATAGATGGCAAAGCTGGAATATTGATTTTTCAAAAGGTAAATAAAAAATGGAATCAGGAACTCTGAGCAAGATGATAAGAGCTGGGCTTTAAAAAATATTTGAATCAAAAAAGGTTGAAGCTGAAGAAAGCCTGTAGTACATCTAGTCCAGCGGTCAGCTAACCTTTTTTGTTAAGGGCTAGATAATAAAAATAATGGCCTTGTAGGCCATATGGTCTCTGTCACAACTCCTCAACTCTGCCATTGTAGAGGAAAAACAGCCATAAACAATATATCAATGAATAAATGTGGCTGCGTTCTAATAAAAGTGTGTTTACAAAAACAAGTGGTAGACCAGATTTGGCCTGTGAGCTACAGTTTGTGGACTCTTGGTCTAATCTGCTCTATTTTAGAAGAGGAAAATCAGGTTCACAGGAATTACGTGACTTATTTAACTAAAATCCCTAAAAACAGTATCAGAGCTCAAGTTGCAGCCAACCTTCCATGTATAATCACCTATTTTTTTTCTCTTATATCATTGTTACATAAATGAGCCAAAAATTGTCTCTGTGTATTGGCCCCCTATGTTGTTTATTCCTTCATTGCAGGCTTAGAGCTGTTAGCTTAAAAGCCTACTGGCATGAGATTCATATCTTTGCACATTTAGCGTTTTAAAAATAAATAGGCAAATGTTTTGCCTTACAGAGACTGCTTTGCATAGCCCAGGAACCTTACCCAACAATTGTTACCTGTTGATAAAATAGGTCTTTTCAGTGGAAAGGCCCCAGATCACTGCTACCTTTCAGAGTCCTCTGACCCATAGACTTCCTGCTTCCTTAAATATCACGAGGACATTTAAGCCCGTCCTCAGGTTCCTCTCTCCTATAGGAGTTATCTTACCTCTCTGAGCCACCTCCATTTCTGAGTAGCAGACCCCTACACCTCAGCCTCTGGAAACATTCCTTCTGAAAGCAGCTCCCCCTACTTGTCAACCTGCCAGGCATTGCCCAATAGAGCTTGGTGTGCTACAGCCTGTCATTGTCATATTTTCACCTTGGCCAGCCCCCAAGTCCATCAAACCCCTATAATCTTGATTCATAAAAAGCAAACAAAACAAGAAAACAAAAACATTTAAATTATCTTTAGATTTTTTTTAAATTTCCCCAATAGACATTTTTTTAACTAAGGGAGATTACTTCTATATTTTGCTATAAATTAAAAATAAAAACTAGCTGAGTAGATTAGGATTAGCGTTCAGAAAATTTTCATTCTTCATGACCACCATTACATAGGATGACTATATTTCCTATCACATTTACTTAGAGCTTAGTCATGTGGCTTGCTCTGGTCAATAGAATGTTAGTACAGGTAACATGAACAGAGGCTTGAAACATGCTTGCACAATTTAGCCAGGTATTTTGACTCCTGCCTTTCACCATGAAAGGAACATGCCTTGGGCAGTCACTGGGTAAGAAGTCTGAGACTAATAGATAGAACTGGACCTAAAGCAAACAAAGCACCGCCGAGATCACCTGAATCAAAGCTAACCCACCAATGGTTGGATAGTAAATGGATGTTTATGGTTGAATGCCTCAAACTTTTGTGGTTATATATTATGAAACATTATTATATCAATAGCTAACTGCATAAAAATTGCTACCAAGAAGTATAGTGCTGCTATAACAAAAATCTAAAACATATGGTATTGACTTGAGACCGTAGAGAGGTGAAGAAACATAGAAGGTTGAAAAATAGTGACTCATGTTACATGGTGGTGAAATATTTGGTAAAAGTGCTACCTAAAATAATCTGAAAACAGGAAATGTACCCAATACTTTCATAAAGTCAGATGATGAGGCTTTGAAAGTATGTTGATAGTGTGAGGTTTGAGAGGCTACAGCTTGTTGCATTTGTTAAAGTGATCCAAAAAAGTGATGAAGCTCAGAATAATATTGACTGACAAGATAATTTAGAAGGAAAATAAAGAGCTTATAAATTTTAGTGTCAGAATATGAAAGTGTTTTTCACAAAATCAAAGGCATGTCATTTAAACATAGCTACAGGGAAAAGATGAAACCCAGGATACAAACAGTAAGAAATGGGCTCAAGGTAAAGACCAAATCAAGAGCGTGGCTGCAACTCCATCTGTTAACACTCTTGGAAATATTTAGTTAGTGTCTAGTAGACCTTTCTCCTAGACGTAAATGCGCTCAGAAAGATTAAATACCTGTTACTCAGAAACTTGCACCCAAATCACCTGAAATTAAGTATATAGAGAGTTTTATCTAAAAAAGATTTATGGAGGTGGCTTTTGCCAAAGAAATTGATCAATATTTGAAAAAGAGATGTACTAGCAAAAGCACTGCCAACCAGGTCTAAAAAACCAAAATGTTTGAGATTCAAAAATATATCTGTTTTTCAATGTTGTAAAGGAAGGGAACAGATTGGAAACTTTTTTTTTGGCTGCCAAAAAGGTCATACTTTTCCATTTTAACTCTGCAGATGTGGCCAAGGAGGATAATGGAAAAGGAAGTACATCCCAAAAGTGGGGTCAAAAGCTAGAGAGAGCAATGGACTTGGGTACCATCCTCAGGTAGCAAAACTAGAGCTAGTTAAGGCTTATCCCTGGGGCAGGAGGACCTGGCAGCATCTTCACAGCGGAATTTCAGAATTCATATGGTCATCTGGCTCCTATGTGTGTCCCACTTTTCATCATTTTTTAAATTAAGCATTAAAAAAGGATAACTGGAAAACACGTAGACTTGAATATGAACATAAGAACTACATGTCAAAATTTCTAGAATGCAGATGCAGCCACAGAAGTGAGAACTGAAATTATACTCTTAAAAATATTCAATAAAACAAGATGAAAAATAAATGATTTTAGCAATCAGCCTACAAAACTATCCTTAGAACAAAAGGCTTGTTTTGCTCAGCTTGCCTATGAGATCAGTTCAGGTTGTAGTTCTTTCATTTACATTTCTGTGCTGAATTCCATTGAAGAATAAGCCACAATTAGTTTACCAGTTCTTCTGTGGATGGGAACATGAATTGCTTCTAATATTTAGTTACATATAAAGCTGCTATGAAAATCCAGACACAATTATTTTCGTGACTGTGTTTTTTTTCTCTAGTATTTATAAAAATTGTATTACTGGGTCAAATGGTAGGTAGAGTTTTAACTTTGTAAGAAATTGTCAACCCTTTTGTCAAAAGTACCATTTACATTCCAAGCAGCTTCAAGTATTTGAAAGGAGAAACAACCTCAATACTTTTTGGTGAAGGGTATGATTGCATGCCAATAACATAATCAGAAAATGTTTTAAAACCAGTAAAAGTTTACAGTTTTAAGTTCAACATCTTAAAATGCAGCTTTTCTATATACCAGGATCTATTAATTATAAAAATATAATGAAAGCATTCCATTACAAAAATAATAAAACCACATATTTTAAAGTATAATAAAAGCATTTAACAAGAAATATGTAAGTATCATATGAGTGAAATCATGAAACTTTAGTGAAGAACATAAAAAGATATAATTTGTGGTAAAATGTGCCATATATTTCTAGTTAGTGAAAATGTAAGCTCTCCTCAATTAAATCTATGAATTCAGTAAAATTGTAATCAGAAGTGTAATAGATATATAATAGAAAATTATAGACATATTAAAATGTATATGAAAGATTACAAATTAATTTGAATTATATTCATTATATATACATAAAAGGAATAAACTATTTCAGAAAGGAAAATACAAAAAATGTGAAATTAATTCAATAAGGATATTTGTATGAAGGCATGTAATGGGATGGTATTAGTGTAATAATTCACAAATATATGAGAATAATACATTTATTTAAAGAATTGCATTGATTACCCATTTATAAGCAAATAAAGTTAGAATTTAATTCAAACCAGTCACTATAATGCACATATTTCAGAGGGAGAGGGAGAGGGAGAGAAATATTAATCTTAAATTTATATTTATTTTAAGAGTTTATTCCTTTTGTTTAATCACTGAGTCTAAGAGCATAAGGAAAACCAAGAAATCATCTGGTCCAGTTTTTTTTTTTCAAATTGTTTTGTAATATAATAATATTGTAAAAATATGACTTAGGAAGAAAAAAGAGCCTAAAGGAAGGTAAGGGATACTGATAGCTCTTTGAAAGGAAAAAGGAAAGAAACTGAGCCTGTGAAGTGAACCCCTAGCTTCAACAAGAAAAACTCAGTTTTCACTTGTTTTACAATTAGTGATTGCATGTGAGCTTTCATTATGAAAAAGGTTCCATACTGACAGGCCAGTATATAGTATGCAGTTGACAGATTAGTTAGATGATGATGATGATGATGATAGATAGATAGATAGATAGATAGATAGATAGATAGATAGACAGACAGACTAAACATTTCTGATCTCATATACCATTCTGATTTTTCCATTTGCAGAAACAGAGATCCAAAGGATTAAATTCCTTTCTTATAGACATTCAGCTAGAAATCAGCAGCATCTGAATTTGAACATACAACTTTTTTTCCTAAGGAAAATGATCAGAGGCTAGTCACCCTGTTTCTCAGCTTGCCTTCCATTTTCTTTTTAATCAACATATATATTTACACGTGGCTTACTGTATGGATGAATACATCTGTGTGCCAGTCTGAATACAAAATCACCTGATCTCCAATACATACACACACATACACACACTCACAAATGTGCATATAGTAATATAAATAAATAAATATACTACCACAAGACAATAATTTCCTCCATGCCAGGCCTATCACTTTCTACTCCTTTCTGTATTATTTTAGCTTGGATTCAAATAAATCTTCAGCTGCAATGAAATCGTTTTTTTATAGTGTAACTAGATATTGGAAATGCATGGATGTTTCTAAGTGAATTGGTATATCATCTGCAAAACAAAACCGTAGAGAATTAATGCAGTTAGCCAGGTGTGGTGGCTCACGTCTGTAACCCCAGAACTTTGGGAGGCCAAGGCAGGCGGACTACTTGAGCTCAGGAGTTCAAGACCAGCCTGGGAAACACGGTGAGATCCCATCTCTTCTAAAAATACAAAAAAGTGGCCGGACATGGTGACGCATGCCTGTAATCCCAGCTACTGGGCTGGCTGAGGCATGAGAATTGTTTGAATGTGGGAGGCAGAGGTTGCAGTGAGTGCCACTGCACTCCAGCCTGGGCAACAGAATGAGACTCTGTCTCAAACAAACAAACAAAACAAAACAAACAAACAAAAAACAAAAACAAAAACACAGGATTAATGCAATTATGCTTTTATCTGTATGGAAATGTGGAAACCAATGAAATATGATTCAGTATCTATATATATCCAGTAATAATTTAAGATGACCACAAAACTAATGTATTTGAATTTCTTACAAATACGATGCCAGCACTAATCCTGAGATAATAATAACAAATCCATCACGTGTGTCATGATTAGTCTGCCTGCTCATTGAGTACATTTTCTGTAACTCTGGTAATTTAAGAAGAACTCCAAATTTATGAAACAAAGTTTTACCACCCACTTGCATTTTCATTTGAGAAAAAGGCAGCAGGTCTCTCTACAGAACACCAATTGATAGTACATTCGCTATGAAAATACACTCTGATTTCCTCAACAGTCCTGTAATATAAAGTGTCATTCTTAAATTTGCCGAAAAGAAAACCTAGAATCGAATCCCCTGCTTGAGAACTGACTAGCAGTGTGCCTTCAGGGAAGTCATTTTTTTCCTCTGGTTATATTTGCCCTTTATAAAAGTAGTTGAGACTTTTGAATGAGAAACTGTACAAAAATGTACTATGTAAATCAGAAAACACACCACAGATTTTGGTTGTTGGTGTTGCAATCACTGGGCACAATAAAAAGATATATAGAAATATTCCTAATGGTAGCTTGTGATTTGCTCTTGACATGTAACCCAGAAAAAGATTCTAACAGCAATCCCAAAGAACATTTCAACCTGGCAAACATATTTTGAACTCAAACTATGATTGAGTAGCTAAAAATATATTTTAGTAGCTGGTGTTGTAGGGAATCTTACCATGCTAAAAGTGATTTGATAATAAAATACAATGATAGTGTGATAACTGTGCAGATTCAGACACTGCCCAT
Organism: Homo sapiens; assembly: GCF_000001405.40. Classification (NCBI taxonomy): domain Eukaryota; kingdom Metazoa; phylum Chordata; class Mammalia; order Primates; family Hominidae; genus Homo; species Homo sapiens. Next base: position 41,175,113 of record NC_000002.12, read on the forward strand.
GAAAGTAAGTGAAAAATAAAAGTCTAAGGGCAAAGCATGTAGAGTTCCTGAAGAAATAGGATTGAAAGCATTTATGCTTTCCATGAGGGTATATATGTGTGACAGAAGACTTTTATAAAAGGGAGTTATTTTTCCTACCTACAATGCATTAATAATAATAATAGCACTCAGTCTGTCCAGCATGGAAAGACAAGAGCATTGAACTAGGACTTAGAAGAACTACATAGTAGGCCGGGCATGTTGGCTCACACCTGTAATCCTAGCACTTTGGGAGGCCAAGGCAGGTGAATCACCTGAGGTCAGGAGTTCAAGACCAGCCTGGCCAACACGGCAGAACCCCATCTCTACTAAAAATACAAAAAAAAAAAAATAGCTGTATGTGGCATGTGCCTGTAATACCAGCTACTCAGGAGGCCGAGGCAGGAGAATCACTTGCACCGGGGAGGCAGGGGTTGCAGTGAGCCAAGATCACACTGCTGCACTCAAGCCTGGACAATAAAGCATGACTCCATCTCAAAAAAAAAAAAAAAAAAAAAGGAAGAAGGAGAAAGGAGGAAGAGGAGGAGGAGGAGGAATAGGAAGAAGAGGAAGAGGAGGAAGAGGAAGAAAGAAGAAAGAAGAAGAAAAGAGGAAGAGGAAGAAGAAGAAAGAAGAAGAAGAAGAACTACATAGTAGTGTCTTGGCCATGCCTCTATATGTCTCCATTTATCATTCCCTTAACTGAAAATGTGGGTTTCGAGTATAAAAGCTGCCTAAGACTCCTTTCAGTTTTAAAAAAAATGATGGTGGGGATAGGGTGAGGAACAAAGCGGTAAACTATGCCAAGAGTTCTTCTATGTGTCTCTAAGAATCACTTTATACAACTACATGGAGATCTTGATTGACTGTAAATGTGGTCTACCCGTGATTTTTAAGTCTTATGCATATCATCATTAACTGGAAAGCTTCTAGAATTTGTACTGATGGAGCTCACTAGTCAGGATTTCTAATTTAATATATTTTTCTGTCTTTTCCCTCATTGGATGGTGAACACATTGACATTCACTTGTACCCCAGGACCTAGCATTTTTAGGTCCACCAAAGATTTGCAGAACAAGTGAATAATGAGTTCTAAGTTTTATGGGGCAACAATATGTAACATTTGTGGGGGAGAAGGCAAGTGCACATTTGTCAAAGAAATGTCTAACACACAATGTCTTCAAGGAGTACAGGGACTAGACCAAGGGAGAGGCAGAGGGATGAACTATTACCTTAATCTAAAGGTGGACAATTTAGATCTCTAAGCCATCAAATTTAGGAAACAATGAGTTGTTTTTTATTGCATGCAAGTGCAATTCAGATAGCGTGATGAATTAATGCCGGGCAGGAAAAGATGCTAAGTTAATACAAGGTCTTGAATGTCACTCCAGAGACTAACATATTTGCTCAGGGCTTTCAATTTTAAAAAACAATTTGGGTTATAAAATGCTATTTTTCTAATAAATTGTTGCAAAGATGTTTCGTGCATAAATCATATTTTTAAATAAGCATAGTAATGCTGAAGTAAGGCTTAGGTCCCCAGAGCTCTACAGATGTGGGGAGCTAGCCCAGCCTTTAAGACCCTTTCATGAAGTAAACACAGGGCCCCACCAAAAGCACCATGAAGCACAGTAGAAGAATTACGTTTTTCGGAGTTCTTACAGTATATCTGAGTGTATCTCTATATTATCTGTGTATCTAAAGTGTTTTGATGTCATTACTTTTTAAAAATCTAACCAGAAGGCATCAATGAAATCTTTCACATAACTATGTCACAACAGCCATATAACTCCTCCAGTTTGAGAGATTAAAAAGCGAAAATAATGTCCATTTACTTATCTTCTACAGTTGACTGCTTCTGTATCATTATTTGGTAACATTTTCATTTGTTTATTTGTTGTGTTTTTTTTCCTTCAACTTTTATTTTAAGTTCAGGGGTACACGTGCAGAATGTGCAGGTTTGTTACATAGGTAAATCTGTGCCACAGTGGTGTGCTGTAAAGATCATCCCATCACCTAGCTATTAAGCCCAGCATCTCTTACCTATACTCCCTGATGGTCTCCCTACCCCCACCCCCCACACAGGCCCCAGTGTGTGTTTTTCTCCCACCATATGTTCTCATGATTCAGCTCCTACTCACAAGCGAGAACATGCAGTGTTTGTTTTTCTGTTCCTGTGTTAGTTTGCTGAGAATAATGGCTTTCAGCTCCATCCAAGTCCTTGCAAAGGACATGATTTCATTCCTTTTTATGGCTGCAAAGTATTCCATGGTGTATATGCACCACATTTTCTTTATCCAGTCCATCATTGATGGGCATTTAGGTTGATTCCATGTCTTTGCTATTGTGAATAGCACTGTAATGAACATACAGGTGCATGTATCTTTATAATACAATAATTTATATTCCTTTGTATACACCCAATAATGGAATTGCTGGATCAAATGATATTTCTGCCTCTGGGTTTTTGAAAAATTGCCACACTTTCTTCCAGAATAGTTGAACTAATTTACACTCACACCAACAGTATAAAAGTGGTCCATTTTCTGCACAACCTCACCAGCATATTTGGTTTTTTCACTTTTTAATAATAGCCATTCTGACTTCCATGAGATGGTATCTTATTATGGTTTTTATTTGCATCTCTCTAATGATTAGTGATGTTGAGCTTTTTTTCATATGCCTGTTGGCTGCGTGTATGTCTTCTTTTGAGAAGTGCCTGTTCATATCCTTTGCCCACTCTTTAATTTTTTTTGTTTGTTTGTTTCTTGTAAATTCCTTTAAGTTCCTTATGGATTCTAGATACTAGACTTTCATCAGATGGATAGATTGCAAAATTTTCTTCCATTGTGTAGATTGTCTGTTCACTCTGATGATAGTTTCTTTTGCTGTGCAGAAGCTCTTTGATTTAATTAGATCCCATTTGTAAATTTTTCTTTCACTGCAATTGTTTTTGCCATTTTCATCATGAAATATTTGCCTGTGCCTATGTCCTGAATGGTATTGCTTAGATTTTCTTCTAGAGTTTTTATAGTTTTGGGTTTTACATTTAAGTCTTTAATCCACCTTGAGTTGATTTTTGTATATGGTGTAAGGAAACTGCACCATAGTTTCAATTTTCTGCATATGGCTAGCTAGTTTCCCCAGCACCATTTTTTAAATAGGGAATCCTTTCCCCATTGCTTGTTTTGATAAGGTTTTCCAAAGATCAGATGGATATAGTTGTGTGGTTTTATTGGTCTATGTGTCTGTTCTTGTACCAGTGCCATGCTGTTTTTCTTACTGTAGCCTTATAGTATAATTTGAAGTCAGGTAGTGTGATGCCTTCAGCTATGTTCTTTTTGCTCAGGATTCTCTTGGCTACCCGGGCTGTTTTTTGGTTCTATATGCATTTCAAATAGTTTTTTCTAATTCTTTGAAGAATGCCAATGTTAGTTTGATGGGAATAGCATTGAATCTATAAATTACTTTGGGCAGTATGGCCTTTTTCACAATATTGATTCTTCCTATCCATGAACATGGAATGTTTCTGCATTTGTTTGTGTCATCTCTGATTTCTTTGAGCATTTCTTTGTAGTGCTCCTTGAAGAGGTCCTTCACGTCCCTTGTTAGCTGTATTCCTAGGTATTTTATTCTTTTTGTAGCAATTATGAATGGGAGTTAATTCATGATTTGGGTCTCTGCCTGCATGGTGTTGGTATATAGGAAGGCTAGTGATTTTTGCAAGTTGATTTTGTATCCTGAGACTTTACTGAAGTTGCTTATCAGCTTAAGAAGCTTTTGGGCAGAGATGATGAAGTTTTTAGATATAGGATCATGTCATCTGCAAAAAAAGATAATTTGAATTCCTCTCTTCCTATTTGGATACCTTTATTACTTTCTCCTGTCTGATTTCCCTGGCCAGAACTTCCAATACCGTGTTGAGTAGGAGTGGTGAGAGAGGGCGTCTTTGTTTTCTGCTTGTTTTCAAGGGGAATGCTTCCAGCTTTTTCCCATTTAGTATGATATTGGTTGTGGGCTTGTCATATATGGCTCTTATTTTGAGGTATGTGCCTTCAATACCTAGTTTATGGAGACTTTGTAGCATGAGGGGGCGTTGAATTTGATCGGAATTTGATCAGAAAACATGCAGGACTTTTCTGCATCTATTGATATAATCTTGTAGTTTCTGTCTTTAGTTCTGTTTATGTGATCAATCACATTTATTGATTTGCGTATATTGAACCAAACTTGCATACTGGGGATGAAGCCAACTTCATTGTAGTGGATAAGGAAAGCACAATTTTTAAAGCAACATCTTGTGTGGACACAAAAATATGATACGTTCATTTTAATATTTTCTAACAGCATGGAAAAAATCACACAAAATGCAAATAATCCCAGGGTTTGCACTTAGGATGTAAAATTTCTGCATATGAAGTTGATATATTTTCAACCATGTATTCAATAAGAATTTTATAAAACCAGTACATTAGATTTAACAATTAAATATCTGTTTTAAGCCTGTACTTTTGAAAACTATTTTTGCAAATATATTAAATCAAATTGACTGTTAATTCATACATAATGGTATAAGACTAATTAAATATACACATAGTATTCATATGACTCCATACAGAAGAATTTACTATAGAAAGGTATGTATTATCATGTATTAGTCTCCAGTCATCACCTTACACACTGCTGTTATGCTTTCTCTGGCAAAGATAAAATATTAGATAATTTTTATAAACCAAGAATGCTCAACTTCCATGTGTTTGTGGATCACCTGTGGATTGTGTAAATGTAGATTCTGCTTCACTAAGTCTGGGAGGAGACATGAATTCTTCATTTCTTACAAGCTCCCAGGTGATTCAGAAACTCTGGCTTACAGAGTGCTGTTGGAATAGGAAGTAGCTAAACAATATATGAGAGGACATTCAAGATGACAACCTCGTACCCTGTTCCTCATTTAAAACAATACCTCTTCTTTGTTTCTTCCACAGTTTGCCCTTGTGATTCTGAAATGAAAAAAATAACTTGAGGGATACACAGGCAGATATGAGCAGATAGAAAGAAGAATCAACAAACTTGAAGATAGGACAATTGAAATTATCATGTCTGAGGAACAGAAATTTTAAATATATAATAATAATGAACAATATCTAAAGAACCTATGGAAAAACTACATACCAATATCCCTAATTAATATTTGATATGGCTTGGCTCTCTGTCTCCATCCAAATCTCATGTAAAATTGTAATCCTCATGTGTTGAAGGAGGGGTATGGTGGGAGGTGATTGGATCATGGGGATGGATTTCCTCCATGCTATTCTCATGATCATGAGTCCTCACAAGATCTGACGGTTTAAAAGTGTGGCACTTCTTTGCTCACTCTCTTTTTCTCCTGCTCCACTATGGTAAGACATGCTTGCTTCCCCTTTGCCTTCCGCCATGATTGTAAGTTTCCTGGTGCCTCATAACCACTCTTCCTGTATAGCTGGTGGAACTGAGAGTTCCTCTTTTTTTTTCATAAATTACCCAGTCTCAGGTAGTTCTTTATAGCAATGTGAGCAATACTGATGCAAAAATTCTCAGTAAAATACTAGCAAAACAAATTCAACAGCATATTAAAAGAATTATACACCATGACCAAAGTGGGATCTATTATTAGTATGAAAAGATTGTTCAACATACAAAAAGCAATCAATGTAATATACCACATTAACAGAATAATGGAAATAAACAGTCATCTCCATTGGTGAAGAAAAAGTATTTAACAACATTCAATGCCCTTCCATGGTGAAAAAAAAAAAAGCTTTTCATGAGTGTTCACTCAACATACTAGCACTAGAATGAAACTACCGTAATGTAATAAAAGTCAAATATAAAAAACCCCACAGAAAAATCATATTCAATTTCAGACTAAATGGTGAAAGACTGAAAAATTAGGAACAAGGCCAGGAAGCTTGCTTTTGTCATGTATATTCATCATAGTCCTGGAAGTCCTAGACAGAGCAAGAAGGCCAGCAAAATAAAAGGCTTAATACTGGAAAGGAAGAAATGACATTATATATGTTCACACATAAGATCTTATGTATAGTTCATGCTTGGGACCGCTGAACCTCTATAGAGGGGTAATTAGTGTCATATGACAGCTATGGGTGCTGTACAATTTGTGTGCTGAACATATATTAATCTCCTTCTAATTAAACCAAATTTGGTTATATTTCTTGAAAATATAAATAATATCTATTTAGTTTACATAGGTGAAAAGTTCTGATTAAAGTAAGTAGGAACATAATATTAGCAGAAAGTCTCCACAACTGGAGGGAGAGATCTAAAAAACAAAATTTTATAAAAGTAATTACCTAAAATCTTCAATTAAGAAATATTAAGGGTTTTAAAAGTCATAAATGGTGTTACTTTGGGAATAAGATTTTTTAAATCCAAATTCCACCATTATGATAATTTGAAATCATTTAAAGCATTGGCACTATGGTTAATCATACACAAGTAAATATAATGTAGCTTTAGAGTGTAACAGGTTATATCCAAAAATGAAACGAGAAGGATTTCTATCATTTGTACCTTTGATAGTTAGGAGAGTCAAATAATTTCTTCCAAATAACTTTTTTTCATTTTTTAAATAATTTCAACTTTTATTTTTCATTCAGGTTGTACATGTGCAGGTTTGCTGCCTAGCTACACATGTTGCGTGATGCTGAGGTTTGAGATACAATTGATCCTATCACCCAGGCACTGAGCATAGTACCAAATAGCTATTTTTTCATTCCTTGCCCCACTCCCTTCCTCCCTTCTTTAGTAGTCCCCAGTGTCTATTGCTCCCATCTTTATGTCCATGAGTACCCAATGTTTAGCTCTCACTTATAAGTGATAACATGTGGTATTCAGTTTTCTGTTTTGTGGTACTTCACTTAGGATAATGGTCTCCAACTGCATCCATGTTGCTGCAAAAAAACCAGATTTCATTCTTTTTTTTTTTTGTCTGCATCGTATTCCATCGTGTACATGTACTGATGAGCATGAAGGCTCATTTCATGTCTTTGTTACTGTGAATAGTGCTCTGATGAACATATAACTACATGTGTCTTTTTGGCGGAATGATTTATTTTCTTTTGGATATATACCCCCAGAGTGGGATTGCTGGGTTGAGTTTTAGTTCTGTTTTAAGTACTATGAGAAATCTCTAAACTACTTTCCACAGTGGCTGAACTAATTTACATTTCCACCAACAGTGTGTAAGCATTCCTTTTTCACCACAGCCTTGCTAGCATCTGTTGTTTTTCAACTTTTTGGTAATAGCCAAATAACATCTGTATTACAGAATTCCTTTTCCACTTTCTTCACATTTATTTTATTCTCCATGTACACACATAGTTATAAAAAATGTCCTGATGAAGAGGAATAAAGACTTCACCTGACAAGAAACCAGAGATGCAGCAATTTGGTTTAAAACCAAAAGTCTAAGATTTAGACTAAAAGAGTTGAGTTTGTTCCACAAGTTGCTAGCTGTACAAACCTGGCCAATACTCTTAATCTCTCCAAGCCTACAACCCATCACTTATAAAGTAGGATACTCTACCTAGTTTTAAAGTCACAGGGTTAAATAAACCATGAGGATTAAGTAATATAAAATGTGAAAGCATATAGAGACTAGCTCAGTGTCTTGCTTGGGGTGATCCCAGAGTGGGTCAGATACAAGGATTTTAGGGCAATAATTTATTTGGGAAATTATTTCAGGAAGCCCTAGCAGAAGAAATGAGAGAGGCAAAGAAGAAAGTCAATTAAGGGGCATCATAAAGCAAGTTACCACTGTGGGAAACTGGAGTTTAATCCTTCTGATAAACTCTAAGAGACAATGTACAATACATCCCTCTGATGTTTAAAAAGCTGAAGTATTTATCTTTGCCTGTTACTAGTTGAGAGCTGCTTCTGGGAGCATTAACTGTGCAGCGCTTCTAGCTTGCCCTATGTGTAGACTGAGCAGTCTTCCATAGACAGAAAAACGCCCTTAGGCAGAGAGTCACAGGTATCAACGTAAGCAGCCTTGTGCTTATAATGATGAGTGCCTAGCAGATATGAATGGGCCAATTATGGCATTTGCCACACTCGTAAGTACTCAGAATGCAAGTCAGTTTCTTCCCACATTTCTCCCTCCACTTGGTGAAGCTATTTCAAAATGTGTTCTTCAACCATTCTACAATTTTTATTAAGTATCTACGAAGTGAAATCAGTACAAGTTTTATACGACGTAGTTTTATAAGACATAGTCTCCCAGAGAAAAATATTACAGAAAGCTTCATGTCGTTACTATATTCTTTAAATAAAATCCCCCACAACACATCCTCTACCTAGAATTATTGCCGTTCTTCTAGCTGGTAAAATCCTCCTCACCTATTTATCTCTTCCACCTTAACTAACTAATTTAAACTTTTGTAGCCACCACATTTCATGGTCATTAACTATCACCTTATTAAATCTAATAGATATTTGACAGTACACATCACCATTTAGAAACACCATCTTCTTGAAATTGTTTCTATACTTGACTCACAAGTCTTCTCGCAGCTTTCCTATGTCCCTGGCTTCTCCTTCAGCCTGTTTCTCAAGACTTTATTCTTTTCTGAGATCCTTTAATTATTAGGTAATTCAAGGTTTTTCTCTGGGTCCTCTTTCCCTGAAAGTCTATACTCCCTGCTCACACATGCTCATGACTTCCATTGTTCCGTTCATGATTCCCAAATTGGTGGAGTCTGTACACATGGCTTCTCAGAGCTATAGATATACACTCATTTAATTATCAACCAGGTTTATGTAAATGTTACTCAATGCAAACAAATTCTACTTCAATTTGTCAAAATTTTACCCATCATGTTAGTCAAAGCCTGTTCCTATAGAGGCCATCCCAATAAAAATCACACTGTTCTTCTGGGTGTTTTCTCTTGGGTTTGTGGAGGTAAAATTGTTCAGGCAAGGACCTGCTATGAGGAGAGCACTAAGTAAGAGCTTATCAGACACCTATGTGTTTGACCATGTCATCACAAAACTAGCATAATTACCTTATATGGTTTCAAGTACTGCCTTTTACATACAATATCAACTGCATCTAACATCCAGGTTCTAGTCTAGTGATGCTAACTTACTCTGTTGTCCCCAGGCTATAACATGGGAAGCATATGTAATCTCATTGCATCTAGGCAATTATAACCATTGTGCTCATGTATGCAATTGTTATGGTTTGCATCATAATGTGTAGAGAAGTATGACCTTGATAACAAGTTACAACATTCTACAAACTGATCAGGCACCAGGAAGTCTATTCCTTGTTCTCCAGCAAACAGCAAGTTACTATGGAATGGTTAAAGACTGGTGGTAATTCTTTCTACCCGATTGTAACAGCATTGAATTTTTAGTTTAACAACTATACAACTAATACTATAACAACTAAACACACAGCCTCATTTTCAATAACTGCCAAGGATGTGTAAGAAAACACACACACAAACACACACACACACAAACACACACACACACATACACAGAGAAAGAAAGAGAAAGAGAGAGAGAGAGAGAAGATAAATCAAAACCAAAATTTCTCCCTCAAGTTGGGCAGACAAACCAATATTAAAAAATACCTGAAGAAATCTAAAGCTAAATGAGGAATTCAACAACAGCCATTAGAATAGGAACTTATTGCAGATAAATTAATATTATAGAAAAATTTTAGTCAGATGTTATTTGCTTAAAATAGATAATTTAGAATACTCAAAGACAGACATAGCAAAAAATATTCATAAATGAGAAAATTTGGGAACAAAAATAGGGATGAATGAAACATCACACAAATTTAAATTAACCACTTAGCAATCAGAGAAATAAAAATATTAAAATATAAAATATAAATAATTCAAAAGGTAAGATAAACTCTATGCTAAGTATAGCCAGAGAGATAATTCATGAACCCAGTATTGAGGAATTTAATCTAAACACAACATAGTAAGGCAGTGAAGGATATATATGTATGTATACACACAGAGACAGAGACAAAGAAATAAAGGAGTTATCTGAAGCATAGTGAAAAGTCAGACTGATTTGATGATTGGAAATTACTATTTGGAAACTGAATACAGTAAATTTGCAAAGAGAAGGGAATGGAAGATACACACAGAAATTGGTGACTGAGTCAGGTATCCCACTTTTTTAGTTCTTGTGATACCTAACTGGTTTGCAATTCCTGCCCTGTGAGTCTTTGTATCCTTAAAATAAAACCCCACATTTATTGCACTGGTTTGAGTGGGTCTCTTATTCTTGATACCCAAAGAACATTGACTAGAACATGCAGCAAGGTTGATATTCGAAAATCTACCCTTCAATCTGTCTTATTAGCTAAGAGTGCAAGCTAATTTACAGTTGACCAAGAACGGCTTCTTTATAGCACAACCTCATGAAAACTTATTAACCTGGCTTTTTATCTGTATATATACTATACTACAAAATATCTGAAAATACATAGTTATTTCCTACAGGCATTGTAATTTCTTTCTCCTTTGAATTTCAGCTAAAACTCTTTAATGTGCTTGCACTATAGGTTGGTTTCTTCTTATATGTAGGTATTTTTCTGCCACGTCATTGTTTTTATTTGATTGCTTTTATTTTGATATTCCAAACATCCTATTTACCAATTTTTCACACTTGTGATATTAAGATGCATTTTAATATATTTTAGAAAGTATATATAGACATACGTACATCACTATTTCCTGTCTGTTTCCTTGTTAATTTCTCCAACAGTGACATGAAACCCTTTAACAACAGATTTTCTTATGTCCTACCTAGCGTTCTTCATATTAGCTATTTCCTTCTCTTTCCTCCTCGAATTTCAGGTAAACACTGCCAGTGACCTGCCCAAAACATTTTTCCTTGATTTTGCAAGCTGTGCTATATTCGTTGCTCATGAGTCTTAAAACCATAAACCAAGACCACAAATAATGAAACACTGCTTCAATTATTGGCTTTTCGAATTTCTTTCTCCTCTTAAAGCATGATCTTAAACTGAAAAACAAAATAGAGGAAACTCTTCTGCTCCTTTAGTTTTTTCCCTGGACTTCATAATCATAAATGAGGTATTTTTATGTTGTGATTTACTACTATGAAACTGAGGGAAAGCAGGTACTATTATAAAGGATTGGTGAGTTTTAATGGACCCTATATTACATCTCCATCCAGGAAAACAGCATACCATTTCAGTAAACATAATGTTTATTAAACAATAAGCAATGTTTATTAAATAATAAGCAATGTTTATGCAGTCCATTCCTTGTAGAGAGCCTCTATTAATGCATCCCTCTTCCTAAGATACCAACAATTTTCGTTGAACTATTTTGCCTGTAAACCATCCTCATCATTCTGTTAAAAAATATTAAATTGTATACCTTCATATAATTTGAAATCAGCATCCAGGAATGCAATTTCATAGCTTTTCCATAACTTCTTGCCTTGATCTATTTTTCCATACCAGTTGTCATCTCCTAATGTTCTATATTATTAATGCATTATTATTATTATTTTCTGTATCCTCTTGCTAAAATTCAAGGTCCATAAAAACTGTAACTTTAATGTGTTTTATCTCATTGATATATTTATTTCAAGCATCTAAGATACATCTAAGGCATGGTAGGGGCTTAATATACATTTTTTAAATGAATTAATGAACAAATAAAATAATGCAGTGGTACATAGTTTCCTTTCCTTTTCTCTTTCTCCTGTATACTATCTTATCCTATTTGACAAATTCTAGTCCTGAGTTTGCTTTTTGCATTTTTCACGTCCCCATTTTCTAGACGAAAATAGTAACGTATGCTTATCTAACACTCACATAAATTTTAACACTCCCCAAACCCTTTATTCTCCTATTTATGGCTACCTTATGGATTATTTTCTGTCATCCTCTCAAATAAGCTAGAGTATCCAGATAGCAGCATAGAGTATCCAGAAAGGTGAACTTGCATGTAAAGAACTTATTGATGACCATGTCAATGAGACAGATACATAGCATACATATTATGCTGACCTCTAGGACAATTTTTGTTGTTGTTGTTGTGTGTGTTTTTTTCTTTGCCAGAAACCGAAATGTAGTGCTCTGTGTTTCCAATCACCTCCAAAATGCCCATTGCAAAATATTATTTTTTATTCTGTTCACGGGAACTGGTAGGATTTTAGTATTTAAGCCTTTATGACTGCAGTACTAAAATAAATGGTCCTATAAAGAACTGAAAGAATAAGTTATCTCTAGGTTCTTAGCTCATTGCCAAGAGAGACTTGGAATCAAAGAAACACAGCATGAGACTTGCATATCCTTAAGGACTCAACAGTTGAGATGAGATTCCAGATTCCGCTGCTCCTGACTCTTTTGGTTGATCCCTAGACCATGCTTCATGGTATGATAGAAGTAGGAATTAACTTTTATCTATAGGGAAATAATATTTTTATAGCTGTTCACAATCTTCCCTGTAAAACTGCCAATTTTACAAATGTTGTTGGCAACAGAAACATAAGTTACACTGCCTCATAATAACCCTAAATGCAGCACAATAAAAACAAACACCCATGCCCTGTTCTTTACAGAGATTATTATTTCTTGATTCAAACTGGCATAGGCTAATATTTTTATTGGTTAGATTTATGTTCTTCCCCTTGTCTGCCTGCCTTCTTGCCTCTTGCGAGCACATAAGAACATCTATCTTCATGACCATCAGAGCATTAATAACATTGCCGGTATGACCCCAAAGGAGCATCCAGCTGTAACATCTGCTTCCCTGTTTATTTTCATACTTATTTAATTGCAAATCCCCCCCAGCACACACACATCTTTAAAGAGTATCCCCCAAAGAGTAAACACACTAAGTATGTGCACGTGCCACTGATGAGTAAGAACTTTCCCATTTAAGAACCATCTCAGTTTTCAAAGACGTTTTCAAATATTAGCCTTAGTGAGTATATTATTTATGGTAATGCTATTTATAGGACCATTTCACCCATTATGAAACTAGGAACATGTCTATTAACACCTAAGCATTTTACCTTCTGAGATATCAGATGAGGCATGTAAATAAAGTCTGGAGCCAAACTCTCTGGGTTCAGGGCATGATGCTGAAACTTACTAGTCTTATGACGCGTAGGTAGGTTACTGAAACTCAGGATATCTTCAGCTTCACAGACTAATTTATAAAAATGGTTGTGGTGATTAGATATATTATTATCTGTAAAGATCTTGACAACAGCTCTGATGCTATTTTCAATACTAGGCCTTGACTGATCCAGTGTCCTAGGAATATGGCAATGGTGACATATAGTGCTCCTCTAGTTCTTCTCTCCAAGCCTTAGGAAACTCCACCTGCCTTTGTCCTTATTCTAGCTCTGGGGAACTAGAAATGCTAAATGAATAAGCAAAGGCCAGGAAGGAACCTAATTTATTTTTAACATTAATTTGTAAAAGTTAAAAGTTAGAGCTTATGATACAGCAAAAGTTTTACAACGGTCATTTCTAAAACCTGAAAGACAGCAAATCATTTTTCTATATGGAAGAAAAATACATAGAAATATAGGGCTTAACTATTATAGGGCTTAACTATTTTTACATATGAAAGTCAAGTTGATATTTTTAAAAATAGTAATGTGGCAGGAGCAGAGCTTTTCTATGGCTCTATTTGGAGCAACACCTTCCTTTTCGTTTAGGCTGTTGCCTAGCAAGATGGAGCCCAAGCAGGCACTTAGCGGGTTTTGCAAGACAACCATTTACTGCATAGATATGCGATGCCAACAGGGTGGAGGATTTACCTAGAGATATTTTTTTTAATTCCAAAGAAATTTTCAAGCTTCTTTCTCAAAACTACCTGATTGACAAAGTTTTACTGAATATCTTTTGTAAAAAAGAGTTTCTTTCTTTAGACTTCATTCACAGCCTTTTGACATGAAAATAACATATGAATATAGCTTCTGTTTTTTTGAAAAACAAGACTTCTGTTATAAAAATGATATGTGCTTAATACTAAAAAATGAAATCATGCATGACAGGACAGTCAAGAGAAGAAAGCTTAAGCCAAAATCAAGTCACCCTGAAGGAAGTGCTGTTAGCGTTTGGTGTCCATGGCCTCAGACATGCCCATATGCCTAAAAACAAAGCCAAAAATATGAGAAAGAAGAAAGAAAAAGGGTAGAAAAACAGACTGTGGAATCATTTTTATAAGAGATTAACTTATTTCTCTCATGCTTAGATGAAGAAATTAAACTATCCCCATGACACAAGTTTATGTATGTAACAAGCCTGCACTTGTACCCTTGAACTTAAAATAAGAGTTAAATTAAAAAATAAAACAATAAAAAAAAGCTGCTGTAAACAAACAAAAAAAAAGAAACTAGAATTTGGGGTAAATTTTAGATAATATTTCTTTACCATAGACATATTATTTGCTGAAATATTGATCAAATCACCCTGAAGGTAGTGCTGTTAGCATTTGTTGTAGATGGTCTCAGACACGCCCATATACCTAGGGACAAAGTCAAGAATAAGAGAAAGAAGAAAGAAAAAGGGTAGAAAAACAGATTCAGACTACGACATTATTTTATGAGATATTAACTTATTTCTCTCATGTTTAGATGAAGAAAATAAACTACCCCATGACACAAGCTTACTTATGTAACAAACCTGCACTTGTACTCCTGAACTTAAAAGTTAAAATAAAAAATTAAAAAATAAACAAAGCTGCTATAAACAAATAAAAAAAGGAATGAAACTAACATTTGCAGTAATTTTTAGATAATATTTCTTTACTATACATATTGTTTTCTGAAATATTGGTCAAGAGTCATAAAAATTAATAAAATGAAAATATTGGAATGATTAAAAAACTGGTTCTCCATTTCAATGGGTTAAATACTTAGCTCCCAACTCTTTTCCTCAAAGTTCCTCTTGCCCTGAGCATTTTGTAGAGATTCAGATCTGCTTTTACGCTGCATTTTATCATCCAGTAGTTTTATTACTTTTAAAAATGACTGGACTTTTTCTATAATGCATTTAAGAATGTATTTTGCTTCCTTTCCAGATGAATGGCAGCTGGGAGAATATGATCTTCTTGGGCCATCCTTGTAGACGTTATTCCAGAAGTCTATTATATAGGCCTCTAGAATTGTGGTTTATTGTGAAGAAGACTGAGACCAGCTTGATTTTTCCTCATATGTGATTTTCTCTTCTACCTGAGTGCATGTTTTATTTCATTCCTGAGATTCAGAGACAAGGGGCCTTATAACAACCTTTACCAAAGAATCTCCAGCATCCCTCTTAGCTTTGCAGCTCTGTTCTCACCTTTACTTCTCCTTTGTTTCTGTAATTTCATTTATGCAATATTTCTCTTTTTTCTACAAGTCTTCTGCTCCTTTTCAGCTTGTTGTTGTTATTCCTATTTGAGGCATAGTGACGAGTTCAAATCACTTGCTTGATTTGCACATATATGAGATAATGAGTATTCACTGGACTGTATTTAGTGTTTCTGGATGTAATCATGTGTTTCCTGTTTACTTCACAATATTGGCACTTCTAGGTGAAAAGGTGCTATGAGAGGCAACGGATAAATAAAGAAACATTAGAAGCCAGTACTTACTGTACAAAACCAGAGTCACTTGAATAATTGTCAGAAACACATGCTACGTAAAATGAGGTCAGTTTGAAGAGCATCACTTGCCAAAGACAACTTCTTTGATAACATCTCTTCTTCAGCAAACCCTCCCCACAACATAATTTCTGTGATTTTGAAAATTCCTCCATGGTTATCTCCAAGGGCTCTTTCCCAGTTCACCACAAAAGGAAAATTGGTCTTTTCCTCTCATTCATCCAGCTCAGTACTTTTACCCCTGCTATTGTCTAAGAATAATTCATTTTCTTAGAAAAGATGCCAATTCAGGTCATCCATAATTTGAGAGCTCAGCAATAGGCTGAATAGAATAGTCAATGGCAGAGGCATTTGAGCTTCCAAAGGCTTTATATAAAATAATAGTTTTCTTAGAAAAAGAAACATGTCCATCTTCTTTTTATTTACCTACTATTGTTTCCCATTTTCTTCAGACAAAAGCAGTTTTATTTGTAACATGCAGTCATTTTTAAAACAGGAACTTGCAGAAGTTATAGGTCAAATTTAGAGGCTGTATTCACAAAACAGACAAACAACATATTATGGGACCCTTATAAAAACTTAATTCTCTACTCAGCATATGCTTATAGATTGCTAAATATTTATGGTGCACGCACACACACACACACACACACACACACAGAGTCCCCATCAATGACCTAAATGTGACACAAATAATAATACAAGAATATCTGTGATAAGAGTCAAAGTAAAGCACAGATGCAATTCTCTAAGAGCTTCAACAAGAGCCCACTTTTGTTTACAAGGAATTATAAAAGGCTTCATCAAAGACTTGACAGATGGAGAGTGGAAGACAGAATCAGAGACTAACAGAAGCAAAGACCTAGAGGCAGGCTATTGCACTGGATGTATACCCAGTCTCCCAGGAAATATTCTATTTGATGATAGCTGTGACCCCTTAAAGTTCTTGAAGGTACAGCAATTGCACACACATCAGTAGTTTTACAAGTCTTGCCAGTAACAAATAATACAAAGTTGAATTGCAGTAGCTATATTTTACCAGGTCACTGATTTAGAGGAGAAGGTCAAGATCAACCATGGACTACACATATAGAACAGTCAAGTGTATGTTCAGAGATCCTCCAGTCACTCATCTTTTATAAGCACCACACAACATATGCTTGTCTATAATCCTAAACTTTAAGGTTATTTTCCAGCAACTTCATACGCCATCTCACCTCCCAGACACCCAATGTCCCAAATTATGGTTGATCTCCATCAAGGGGCTCCCTCTATAAATTTGCTATGTCCCAAAGCTACTTTTTAAGCACTATGTGACTTCATTATTGCTGTGTTCCTAGAGCCTGAAAGACAGTGAATACGCCAATAAATAGTTGTTGAATGAATAAAAAATTAATAGATTGATTGGCAGCCTATATGGCAAACAGAAAAGGAATTATCATGTCCATTTTATAGATAAGGTTTCAGAGACAAAGCGGGGTTAAATGGATTACCCAATATCATAAAGTCAACCCTTCTGATTATCTAACCTTCCATGAGGCATGGCTTTTACCCAAATAATGATTAAATAGGCCCGGGGTGGAGGTTGCTTTCAGATAATGTTGGATAAGGAGGGCTTCTTTGTTATCAAGATTCCAGTTCCTCCCCACTGTTCATAGACTGTATCCTCCTCCATGTGTCAGTTTCATCCTGGGGTTTGGTTTCTCCATTGCAGCAAAAATGGGCTGTAATAGTTTTATTTTATATTTATATAAACACAAGGCCACCCTGAAATGGAGGGCTTCTCTACTTCAGAGTATCAAGCAAAAGTCCTTGGCTTCACACTCATCAAAAGTATTTAAGTTATATACCCTGCTGGAATCAATCCCTGTGGCGAGGGAGTTGAACTAGGCAATTCGTTGTCCACCCAGGATGCACACATCACGGGGTACATGTGAGGAGGTAACTAACTAGGGTGAGCAACTCTTCCCAGTTTTCCTGCTGCTTAAACAGCTTTAGCACTGATAGTTCTATGTCCTAGAAACCCCTCATCTGGGGAAACTCCTCAGTCTCAGGCAAACCAATATGTTTGGTCACCATAAAACCACTATCATAGACATGAAAATCAGCTGTCCCTCAAACCCATTCTCAGGTCTAGCTATCAGGAAGTTGATTTAAATAAATGAATATATATATTAATGAAAACATATATATATATATATATATATTTCTACTTTTTCACAATATACATCCTTCACAGAAACCATTGAGTTTTTTTCTATTGTAAAATTTCAAGCTCTATAAAGAATTTTGTTTTAATTTTTTAATCTCTCTTAAATGTGCAATTTATAGTTTTCATGATTTCTAATATTATTGGACAGAATTTTCCGTTCTATCAGTGGTATTCCTAACCCTTCTTTAGAGTCAGAGCTTTTCGATAGTCATCCCCCAAAACATGAGATCCTATAGAGGGTGTTGGTACATTTCAAAGCTTTAGAGATGCTTTCTAAGCTACTCCTCAAATCTTTAGTGAGGTGAGAGCTAGAAGAATCTGTCTCCTGAGAAGAATCAGTTTTTACCTGTAAGAAAGAAAGAAGGCCTTTAATAACAATTTTATTTAGAGCAACGTGTTTTATTATTTTTTGTTCATATTGATGTATGGCAGATAACATCCTGGTTAGTTTCTTAATCCCTTTCAGTTTATTCTTCGTACTGTTTGCAAATATTTAACTAGTACCCCAGATGGATTTATAAAACAACAAGTTTTACCATAACTTTAACTTCTCTTCTATTATCTATTTGGCTTTCACTGTGTCTAAATTTGTGATAGTAAGACTCAGAATTTGCACAACTGTGTCAAAACAACAAATAATGTCAGTGTAAATGTTAAGCTATTTGGTTATTATAGTGTAAAACAGAAAGGAATAATTTAGTGTATTTGACAGCTTTCACTTGTTAATTTTAAGGATGGTTTGTAGAATCTCTAGGAAGTCCTGTTATAAAGGAAGATTTTGGGGTCCTGACCTAGACTTTTAAACTAAGTAGCTTAGAGTGGTAAAGATCGTGCCATCTGCTTTGAACAAAGATCCAGAAACTAATTGATCATCGAAATCATCTTTAATGCATTTTAAAATGCAGATAACAGGCCCTAGCTCCAGAGACTCGATTCTAAAATTTGTAGAAAGACCAGGAAATATATAGTTTTGAAAGAGTCTGAAATGAAACTAGTGAAATACCACCATAGTAGAAGCTTGAATTAAATTCGTTTGGTAAACAAAAACAGTGGGCAACATTAGACAGCTGGCTGCTTATGGGATCTCATTGTGGCATATTGTGAAAAAAATAGCAAAAATATTGCTTTTGGAATATAGTTACAAAGCTGTTATCAATGAGTGTTAATATGATAAGTGGCATGGCAGCTTCTTTTGCAATACATTTTTGTCAGAGTAGATTATTTCTCCTCGAAGCCCAAAGTCATTGGAAGTAAATCCCATTATAACACAGGGTTTGTTTTCCCCCTGGTACATATCGGCCAAGGACATTTTCTGGTCAAGAATTCATGCAGTAGCTTTGCTATATCCACACAGGAAATGGCTGTGACCTTTCTGGCCCATAAGGTTATACATTTTGACAGGCGGCACAGAGCCAATCCCTCCAACCACACAGCACAGACGACTGCACACTGTTCTCCTGAGGCATGCTGTTAGTCATGTTGTCTAATCACATTCAGCAGGTCTGGAGCGGAACATTGTTCAGAATATCAGAAAGGCAGAAATGCTATGTTGCTGATTCAATGGAAATTGCCAGCAAGAAGCAATGTTCATAGCTGCCTGGTTATTTAATGTATCTGAAATCACTTCTAGAAATGTCATCCCTTTCTGTCTCTGTCACCTTCCACCACATCCAACTCCAGCCCAAATATTTTATTTGTCAAAAACTAAGAGACTCATATTAAAAAATTAGATGCCTTCTCTGGTCCACATTAAATACATAAAAGTGAATCACAGTCCCTATCTTAAGAAGCTTATAGTCTTACAGTCTTACTTGGAGTACCAACACTAATTTATTTCATATAGATGATGACTGTAGCCTCCAGATGCCACTGGCTTCTTTATTTACTAATATTATCTCTTTTTTCCCAATGTCAGAGACAAAGCATCTCTCCTTCACCAGAAACTCTCTTTCTCTCTTTCTACCTAACACACAAACACACACACACACACACACACAAAACCTACTTGTAATTGCCTCATAAATTACAGTAGTTCAGCTACAATCCTGATGATTCAAAGAGTGATATAGAGGGACCACATCACAGATTGAAAAACTTCTCTTTCTCAAATTGTCCCCCTTATTATCTCTGTCCTCTCTTTGTCTCCCTCTCCCTCTTTATTTTTCAGGAACAATATAAGTTCATTTCCTGATCAAAGCCATTTAGTTAGACATGGGTTCTATCAAATTTCAACCTCTTTTCTAAGTTACTTATAAAAATATTTATTAGAAAGAAATACAGTTTTCTTCCCAGGGGAAATCTAGTAAATAAAACTGATTTACTTTCTATTTACGAAACAACACTGAAAAACATGAGAATATGCTTCAGTGCTAAACTGTGAAGTAGAATAAAAGTGTGATGTAGTGTTAAGAGACTGAAAAGAAGAGAGATGTTTGGAGTATTTAAGGATTTGATGAAGTGCCCTTCCAATGGGGTCCTGAGCACTTTGTGGTTCAAGAAATCAAGACTTATATTATATAATAACTGTAGGTTTACTTGGTTTTCTCTCCATTAAAATATATGTTCACTGAAGACAGACTCTGCCTAGAGAGTTAGTATTTTATATCACCAACAATCCTAAACCTTATATGTAGTATAAGCGTCATTTCTGGCACTTGCCCATTCAGAGTGTCATAAAGTACCTAGGTTTCTCATATTAAAGCATAGTTGCTCTCTCATTTACTTTTTTCCGTTTTTTTCTTTTGTTTCTTTGTCTTTCTGAGTTTCTTACCCCATTTTCTACCAAACAAGGCATTATATATTGCATAGGCCTATTAAATCAAGTGCAAATATTTGAAAAACTACTTAGAAAAAGGTACTAGGGTCCTAAAACATAGACCTTCCTGGGGTGATTTGCAAAAGCATTAGAACTGAAACAATTTCAGTAATGACAGTAAGATTAAAATACTGTAGAGAGTTGTGAATGTTCACTGCAGCACTATTTACTATAGCAAAGACATGGAATCAACCTATATGCCCATCAATGACAGATTGGTTAAAGAAAATGTGGTTCATATGCACCATGGAATATTATGCAGCCATAATAAAAGAATGAGACCATGTCTTTTTCAGGAACATGGATGTAGCTGGAGGCTATCACTCTTAGTAAACTAATGCAGGAACAGAAAACTAAACACTGCATGTTCTTACTTATGAGTGGGAGCTAAATGATAGGAACTTATGAACACAAAGAAGGAAACAACAGACACAGGGATCCACTTGAGCAGGGACGGTGAGAGGAGGAACAGGAGCAGAAGAGATAAAAAAAAAAAAAGATAAAAATGGTCAGAAATTAGAAACAGGCATGTGATGGTAACCTGACCATTGAGACTCAAGGGGGAGCCTACTAGGGAATGCCAGGTAGGTTTCTCCTCACTCCAAAAAAAAAAAACAAAACGAAAAGATATTCTATTTCTTTCTCTGATAGTTGTCAAGCATAAAAGTGCTACCTGAAACCACTGAAGTCAAAACATTCCGATTGTTACACTTTGTATTAGTCCATTCTCCCACTGCTATAAAGAAATACCGAAAACTGGTTAATTTATAAAGAAAAGAGGTTTAATTGGCTCATGGTTCTTCAGGCTGTACAGGAGGCCTCATGGCATCTGCTTCTGAGGAGTCCTCAGGGAGATTTTACTTATGGCGGAAGACAAAGCGGGACCAGATGCCTTACATGGTGGGAGCAGGAGCAAGGAAGTGAGAGGAGGTGCTATGCACTTTTAAACAACCAGATCTCATGAGAACTCTATCACCATACCACACCAAGGCGGGTGTTGCTAAACTATTCATGAGAACTGTCCCCATGATCCAATCACCTCCTACCAGGACCCACCTCCAACAATGGGGATTGCAATTTGATGTGAGATTTGGGTGAGGACACAGATCCAAACCATATCATACCTCTTATATAAAAACACTTTGGGCTAAAAACTGCTAGGCTACAAACCAATCATGATGTGCTCAATCATCCCTTTAAATGAACAAGATGCTCCTAAGGCAATGTGCACAGTGTTAGCCATGGGGATGAAGAGATCTGTGTTCTATTTACCAGTAATATGACCTTGAGTGAATAATTTAGTCATTTTGACCATCAGTTTTCTCACCTGTAAATAATGAATACTAATATTCAGGAGATATGCTTTGTAGAGTTATTGAGGTAACTACATGCATTAATGTTTCACTTTGCTACTTAATTCATTAATTAAAATATACTTCATGAAATTCTGCAATAGACAAATATTCTGCTAGGAGCTCAGAGAAGATTGATGAATAAAATAAAGAGAATCTCTGCTTTCACATTGTTTGTCATCTAGTTCAAGCAAATTTCTCCACATGTTGCCATGTCCTGAATACATAAAAATGTCTTTGTATGTATTTTGTATCCATTTTATTCACCTAAATATATGTGACTATGATATATATAATACACACACATATCTGTATATGTGTGTATATATATGTGTGTGTGTGTATATATATATGCACTTGCCAGATGGAAAGCATTATTTTGGGTGATGGGAATTATAAACAAAAACATGCAGGTCCCATTAAGGATTACTCCAGTTATATTTATATTATACATAACTTAAGAATCCCTTCAACAACAAGAAGCTAAATAATGGATGAACAGAAATTTAGTAATAATGACATTTAATTATTACATCAAGAAGCCCACATGTAGGCTTAATAGTGTCAACAAAGGCATAACCCTTTTTCTTTTTTCAGAGCTGATGCCTGTGCAACCTAATATTATGCAGTTCCTAGTCTGTAAACTTTCATATTTATATATCTGCAATTTTTGTGTTTATGTTTGGATATTTTATCTAAATGGATTTAACATAAGTTAAACAGAAATCTAATTTACAACCACTCTAGATTTAACTCCTATTGTCTTAAGATTAATACCAGAGTCCTGAAGGACCTATCCATGGTGCTGGTTGGATGAAGCAGTTACAACATGATGGTGTATCCACTCAGTTGGTACGCTGCATCTTAGAGATGATCTCGGGAATGGAGATGCATGTAATCTAAATCCATGAGAGCTCAGTATCAAAAACAAAACCATTTTGCATTTGCGTGGACATTTATAGGTTTTTTAAAAAATATTTTACATTTCATTTTACCCGCAAAATGTTTCTATGAGGCCAAATGGGAAATGTGTTCCTCATTTTATGAGTGAGATAACTGAAACAGAGTTTTCTGAATATCATTTCCAAAATATACAATATAGTGTCAGTAGAATACTATATTAATTATGGGGATGAGGGAATTTCTTATCACCCCAAGATTGCAATTATATTTGGTCAGCTTGGAAGTTAGCATTTAAGGAGTTGAGATAACAAGTATTTTTCAGAATTAGAGAGCCATAAAATGAAGTATGATGTATCCGTTCAAAAGGAGTTTTACCCAAATACTAAAATGGCAAGAGATAGCTCATAAAAAGGCAAGTGTTTTAAAAATAGAAAATATAGCCCAACGCACTCTATTAATTCATATCTGTGAATGCCTATAATACAGACAAATATATCAAAGACTAAAAATATAATCACCAAAATGTTAAGAGTGATCATCTCTGAGTAGGATTATGAGAAATCCTTTTTTTCCTTTTTGTGTGTATTTTCCAATTTTTCCATACTGAAAAATATTTGTTTATACAAATGACCTTTATAAAATAAAAATGAGTGGCATCATGAGGCAAAAATTAAGCAAGTCTCACTATTACCATATATGCCAATGCACTGTCTTGCTTCATCTCATCTTTGATTGTATCTTCAAAGTCTGAAGGGACTCTTACCCTTCAGAAAACTCCTAGAACAAGGAAAGGGTACCTCCATTTTGTTTATAGTTTAGCTGGAAAATATTACACATAGGCCTCTTCTTTGTTCTCTAGCTCTCAGGTTTCACTAGATTTGCCAAAGATTTTAAGCCAGTAAGCAAAATATGTCCATTGGCCAAGGCAATGTTCTGTGTTTCTACATCAGGAAAGACTATTAGAAATGATAGATTTCCAAACCATTTCCCAGAATATAGTTATTTCCTTCTGACTCAAAATTGCTACTACTGAAAATAAAATCAAAGTATGCTCTACAAAACAGACATGCCAATAATGTCTCTCGGAAAAAAACCCATTCTTGGGAAATTTAGAAGATCACTCTTTAATGATATCAGAGTTGTTAGTTTAAAAAAATCTATGATTAACATTTCCTCTGAATAGTCTTTCTTTATTTAAAGATATGGTTTAATAGTCTTATCTAGTTTTCATTGTAAAATAATCATACAAAATATTCTTTTTATTTAAGATCCTCAAGAAACAAATGTAGTTTCTCTAACAAAGCTAGGGGGTGATATAAAGTCACAGAAAATTAAATACATATGCAAACAGAGCAGGTGGCTATAATGGAAATAGACATGGACATTGCCCTTCATTCCTATAATAGCTTTGGCTGAGCTAGCACTTTTCTGCACTGTACAAGGTCTTCACATGTGTGATCCTTATGAATCACTCCAATTTGGAATGAGTGCATGGCAGCTGTTCTCTTTATTTTACATGCAGGAAAACCCCGCAGAGAAGCACCAAAAAGCTGTCCATTTTTTCCAGTGTCAAGTAAAAGTCAATAGCCTAGAGATGTGTAAAGAGACCCACCTATTTATAGCTAGATATACCTAGATTTCAAATTTACTTTCTGTTAACAATGGCCTTAAAAGGAATGATTTTCTAATAGACACAAATTTTGTATTTAAACGAAAGAAAATATTATAGCTCTGCAAGTCACCAAAATAAAATAATTAATGATGTGAGTTTCTTTGCAGAAAATAGCAAGAGCCTGAATAAACATCTAAAACAGGAACCTCACTAGGTGCCATACCAGTGCATACTAGAACTGTATTTAGTGATGGAATGGCAACAAATAAATTTCTATGCCAAGTAGAAAGATGCCCCTGCTTTTTTCTCATATGTTTTATGCCACTAACAGGATAATAGGATGTGCAGGCTTGAGGTTTATCTTGTAGCATTTGGGACTAAAAATTCATATTTCTGATGATCTTAGGGAAAGTAAAGCCTCACATAAGAGGTTATTTTCTTGACCATTCTAAAAATTTTGATTAGCTTATCTTTGTGAGAATTATTAAGGCAAATAAAAGAAAAATTATCTTTTATTTAAACTAGCAAAAATAACAAGTTATGAGTTTTGAGATCATTAAATCAATATTTTGTCAAAAAACGTGTAGTTAATTAGAATTAAAACTTACCTAGAGCCCTCAAACATACAGCATGTCCAACATCTATAGCCTTCTTTGCAGAAACATGATACCACTATATTGGTGCTTTTTTCCCTCATTGGCTGTCACAGATTTCAGAGATCCATTAACAAATAATGTGGCCATTTACCTTCAAAGAAATCCTGCATTTTAAATGCCTTATATTTCTTTTAAAGGAAAATAGTTTATTTATAAAATCCCTCAAGTTTACACTGGGCTTATCCTGATGCCACTGTAGGCACATGGGCATAATTTTTTAAACCAAATGAAATCTACAGTCTCAGACTAAGCAACACCAAATACCGTATACACGTGTTTTCTAATTATTGTTTCATGAAAAATTTATTATGACAATTGCTTAATACTGATATGTAGTTTTAATGTAGAGTCTAAAGTTTGAGCTCTGTATAATCATATTAGTTAATAGCTATGGGATTTCAAAATAGTCTATCTTATATTGAAATGTAAAAAAATTTAAACTTTCTATCCTATGCTGAAGTGCAACCTACACATGGCAATTGATTCCATCTCCTCACCTCTACCACCAGAACCACCACTAAAATCAACAGGAGTAGAAGTTTTCCTTAAATATCTTCTATGGCATTCACCAACATTGGGATGATGCCCATTATAGCCATTCACTTCTGTGATGCCAGAAATTTCAGTTTAATTTGCCAAAGAAAATTAGCCTTCCAGAAATAAGTAGAGGAATTTTAAAAAATATTTTTATTATTAAAGTTAGATTCAGTGTAAAACCTTTTATTTATCAAAAATAAAAAAAAATTATAGGGCAAAATTTTGCATTATTAGCCATGAGGAATTTTATTGTTTATCTCCTATGATTCAAATATATTATGATTTCTGTAATGGGAACTATCAAATGAAAGACCAAACTAAACGAGAGTAAAGCTTCTCCCCCCTTTTTTGCAAGGCTAAAGTAATCATGCTAGATTTAAAAGGGCAAAGTAAAGAAGATAAAAGGCAAACAGTGAATTGTTTGACACAATGAATATATAGCTGATTCCATGCTGCTTCATGAAAATGCCACCATACTAAGGAGGTTTACTATTTTCTTCAATAAATGAAGCACACGCCAAAAAGCCAAATGCTACTGTTATTCCCATTCAACGATGGCCAGCAAATCCTACATACGTAACATATATCATACATTTTAAAGATATATCTACATCTTCTCAACACTCACCATGGTTTTATTAGTGGCCTAAAAGTTAGTAAGCCAAGGCAAAACAAAAAATTAGGGAAGGTCAGATGGAAGAAAGAACTGAAGGAAATAAACTGATTTTTGAAACATCACCCATTAAATACTCTAAGAAGAAAAAGAAGCATGTGAAATCTTGGAAGAATTTCCTTATCCAAAATTCAAGCCTAAGGATAAATGCCTGTGACCAGCTATTTTATTTTGACTTGAGCTACGGTTTTAGATCAATATGGCCAGTTACTTGTTCAGCTGTGCTCAATTACATTGCATATGAAATAACAAAGTTCAATATCAAACAAGGATTTTTTTTGTCCTCCTCCAGTAAAACAATATCACACTAACTACATGATATAAACATCCATAGTAAACAAATGTAACTTTACGGAGGGAAGAAAACTCCTTAAGCATCTCTTCCTACTCCCCCATCTGCACGTTATGTATTAGGAATCAGAAAAAAATTCACACCTCTGACTTTGAGTCATAAGCAGATTGCTACAAGAAATGTGTCTCATCACTGGCTTCAGGAAGAACTTTAAATTCCTGGGGCAAAATATAGCACTTCTGTCAGTTTCAAATACCTCATATCTGCATGTTAATTTCAAAGGGTTCAAGGAGGCTTTGCCAGGTCCATGTAACTAATCCTCCCGGTTGGACAACTGTCATAGCTGAATTTTTCATTTACAGTCCAGAGGGGTTAGCTGACTTGAGGAAGAGAAGATCAGGTTTCCTACTCTGTTCAGTTACTGAATTGGGGCACCTGGGAACAGGAGTCAGGTGCACTCTGTGGAGATCAGGCAATGTTTTAAATCGTGGATGTTTGCCATTATACCTCTACCAGCCACCTTCTACCCTACTCCCATGCTGTGACTCTCATCGACCTCTCTCTCAGACAACAGTCTTACTTTTCAGAGTCTCAAACATTCTCAAAGTTCCAGTTCCCATCTTTGAGAGGAAAAGAGTCTTGTGTAATAAATGTACAGTACAAGCAAAGAAGATTAAGAACAAAAAACTCCATGTAAGAAAGAATAGCAATTTTGGTTCTCCCTCCCATCCTCTCTTCTCAGGACTCTGACCCATTCTAATTCTCCAACTTTACTGCCATCCATGCCTTCATAGTTGTAATCATTGTCTCAATCACTCTGGACCATTATTTTTTAAAAATGGACCTCAAATTTTGCAGCTTTGCAGACCAAACTATTAGAAGTGTGTCATGAAAATAGGCTTTTTAAAAATAAACACAGACTCCTGTTTTGTAAGTTGTTAATGACCAGAAAATGACTTAGTGGGAATGATAGACCAGCTACAGCTTATCTGTTCCCCTTCCTAGAACCAATATTGTTGGGGTAACATTGAAAATCTCTTTTTATAATTAATTTTTATTTCAATTGCTTTCCTTTTCACTTACTGGAGGGGCTGCAGTAGAATAAAGATAACCTTCCGAGAGAAAGGTGTTTAGTAAGTGTGAAATGGAAGCTTCATCTTTCCCTGCGGGCAGGAAAACACAGCAGATCATTTCACAGAAGATACTATATTATTCCAAGGAAGAACAGGACACTAGCTGGTAAAAGAATGAATGTAGAAAAAGAATAGATAACAATATATAACTGTATTTCCCCCTTAGGAAAGTTTGAGTTAAGCAATCACTCTCAGACTAAAATAATTTGCTGAATATAATAGCTATAAAATGGCAGGGTAGGTATTTGAACCTAGAATATCTGAGTCCCAAATTCTATCTCCTTCTGATATGCCACATTGTGTCATTCACAAAACCAATTATCCTCCAAATAACGTTCTCATTCACTCACTCATTAACCAACAAATAGTTATCAAGTGCCCTCCAGGCAGTCCGTAGGATTTAGGAAGAGGTGTATAAATGACAAAATCAAGGACCAGACACCAAGATTTTATACTTTAGTAGAACTCACAACACAACAGTATGATTGATATTCCTACTGACAGCATTTTCTGTTAACTAGACCAAGCTATTGGGCATTCACGGAATGGATTAAACAAATTAAAGAAGGAAGTAGATATTATAGACCCCTAATACTTCATTGATGATAGTCAAATTTTACATACGTTTGACAGAGTTAGTCTCACTCTCTCTCTTTCTTTCTCTCCGGCCCTCTCTCTCAGTGTGATAGTAAACCCCTGCTGTTGATGGTGCCTCAGCTGGTGCAGTAAGATAGTAAAGTAGTAGCTTGAGAATTGCTAATTAGTGTATTCAGACCAGTTATTTTGAATATATTGGAAAAAGAAAAAAAGAAAGACGAATGAAGCAATGACCTCGAGAAGAGCAGTGACAAAACTTTAATGAGGACAATGACTAAGGCTAGATTTCAGTGCCACTTAAAAAACACAAACTACGTGCAAATCTGGGAGTATGCTTCTGGAAAAATCCTTGCGGAAGCTACAATTGTAGAACACTTGAAATGGAGACTTTAGACAGCTGTAACACTTTCAGGACCATAATCTATTACAGTATATCCAAGAAGTTTTCTGCCATGGCATGAAATTCTATGTGGGTACTGAATTGGTATTACATTAACTCGCCCATTTAAACAATATTGCTTCTAATAATAAGTTATTAGAATTGAAAGATAAATCCCCCCCTATAAGTATACCTTTAAAATTATTTTTCCTGTACTAAATCTAGAATTGTGATGCCAAGTGTGAAAAGAAGTAATTACTTAAGTAAAACAAGTAGCTTCAGAAAACTGGGTGAAATTGTCAATATTAGGTTTTATATTCAGTTAGTATATGAATCATTCAGGCAAATATTTACTATGGAGAATTCAGGAAACAAAATATGGTTTCAGTCATTATCACACAAGCAAGTTTGTCAGTGAACTTGAAATACATTCTAAACTATGGGGTGTCTAAGCACAATAAACTTTTCTGAGAACAGAGGGACATTCTTTGACTATCCAAGGCTAGGAAATCTTCATGGGTAAGGCTGACCACAAACCTCATCTTAAAGGATGTGAGAAGACAAGAGAAGGACGACCTGGGGAAGGGCTGGCAGTAGCGTGAACATGAATCAACTGGCAAAGACACAGAAGCAGACAGAGATGGTTTTGACATTGTGAGACACAGGAGGAAAACAGCATGCCTGGCAGTCTGCACAGGATAAGCTGATAAGTTTACATTAGCTTTCTGAAGATTGAACAACTCTCCCAAACGATGCCACATCAAGGAGAGTATCCTAGTTCCACAATCCACCATAACCAGGATTAGTGCAAACAAGCAAACATGTTATTTTAATCTGCTTATGGGCCACAGTGCTACAGGCCTAGCAGGAATGCATGTGTGCACATGTGTGTGTACGTGCGTGTATGTGGGGGGTGTGTGTTTGTGTGTGTGTCAGGGGATATAATACTGTGATTTGAAAGATATTGAAAGCGGATAAATCAGAGAGCAATCTGTCTTTAGAAGAATGTAATAGATGGCCATTTTTTTCCAGTTTTAGTCCCAGGCATAAATATCTCTAATTATGTACTGGGAATCTTCTTTGACAAAAATAACATTTTAATAATAACTTCTCTGCCCTAATTATAGACCAAATCTTCTTCAGAATAACTAACCTTGATTATTGATCACATATAAAAGTGCTATGTTACCGGAAAATAGACTGATTCTGCAAATTTGGCCAAATGTCAGTTATTGCATAGAGCTCTGTATATGGTGATTTGGTGGATTTTTATTACAGGTGTATAATGGAGATGTACAGAAGTAAAATTTTCTAGCTTTGGATGGTCGCTCACCTAGTGATATATTAATCAACATAGGGATGATGTGTGTATGAAATCATTAATTGAACTACATTTCAAAAATGGCAGCATTATCACCTTAAAAAACAAATCCTGATTCAAAATGTAAATGTAAAAATCTACATTGTTCAGTGCTCTGGTATTTCAAATATTCCAAGGCCTTCTTATATACATTGCCTTCATTTAGTTAGGTATTTTTTGTTTTACCAGTTAAGAAACTGAGGATCAAAATGGTGAAATAAAGTCTCCTATTACCCAGAGTCTTAAGTTAAAAAGTAGGAGAACTATGACATAAACCAAAAAAGGTATCCTGATGATAATCTCCCTGCTAGTCTCATGATTCCTCAATGTTTCTCAGAAGCAAACATCCTGTGAAATATTGTCTAGGCAGATAAAAAATATGAAAAATTAAACTTTGATTTGGTCTCTCACAAATATGATGCATATTCATATGAAAATGTTCATTGAGTACTTTCTGTGTGCTAAATTGGTGTTTTAGGCATGAGAGATTTTATAATGACAAAAACAATGGTGCTTTTCTTACACAGCTTCTAAGAAAGGAGAAATATTTAAGGCAAAAATAAAATATATCAGATTGTGTGATACATGCTATGGAAAGTAAAATAATAAATAGGCTAAAGAAGACCAGGCACACTAGGTATGGTAGAGAAAGAAGTATTGCAATTTCATACAGTGTAATCAGTAAAGACTCCCCTGATCAAGTGATATTTGGAAGAAAACAAAAGGAAATGAGGGACTGAACTAACCAGAATTCTTAGGGAAAAGAACGCCATGTTGAGGGAACAATAAGTACAGTTTATGTTTGTTGTGTTTGGCCATCACAACAGGCTTGATGTAGCTGGAGTCAAGGGAGCAAGGAGCAGGCTGGTAGGAGACAGATTAAGGAGGTTCAGAGAGCCAGAAAATACAAGGCCTTGAAGGCCACTGTTGACTTTGGCCTTTATTCTGGTTAAGATAGAAAGCTTTTATGAAGCAACAACATTTGACTTACATGTTAAAGGATCTCTTTTGCTGGTGAATTAAAAAAAAATAAAACTGCAAGGGAAAGTGGCAAGGAAGTAAGCATGGAAATTAGTTAAGAGGGAATTGCAGTAATCTAAGAGACAGCTGATGGCTTAGATGAGAGTAGTAGCATTAAAGACAATACAAAATATTCAAATCCTCATGTATTTGAGGCTAGAGCCAGATGTGGGGTATGAAAGAAAGTCTACTCAAGTCTCCTCAAATGCCCCTTTCTCTCCAACGCTTCGGCCTCTCCTTTCATTTCCTCCACCTTAGTATTAGGTATGGGATTGTTTCTGGGCTCACTAAGAAAATAGAAACAACTGGAGAAGAATCTCCACAGGCATCTATTGCCACATCTACTATCTACCTGCTTTGTTATCCATTGAATCTGCATTCCTTTCTGGGAGTTTGGATGACATCTCAATTTTCCTATCTAAGACATTTGAGCAAATGTAAAAATGAAGTGGGCAAGTGATGAGATTAAAATAATATTAAAGCAATAATTTTGAAATAGGAGAAAAGTTAATAGAAATTTGACTTGGGACATATTAAGTCTGATGTGCCTTACACACAATTAAGTGAGGATGTCACATGGACAGCTAGATACATAGGTTTGACACTTAGGGATAATGAGTTGGAAATACAAATTTGGGAATAATCAACATATACATAATATTTAAAGCTTGAAAATTGATAAAATTACCAAGGTTACAGTGCATACCTAAAAGACAAGAAGTATAAGGTTTGGACTGAGAGTATGTCAGTATTTAGAAGTCATCAACTTGATGAAAAAAATCACAGAAAGAAATGGAAAAGGAAGGACCTGTTAGGTAGAAAGGTAACTGAAATAGATTGGTATCTAGAAACAAAGAAATAAACAAATATGTAAAATCTTGCTGAAAAACAAGTTCTGATAATTGATTGCTGAATAGAGTGGACGTCAATGAAAAGCTCTGCAAGAGCAATTTTAGTAAAGTGGCGAGGGCAAAAGCCTGATTAAAATAGGCTCAAGGGGGAAGAAATTGGAAACAGCGAACACTGGCATCCAGGATCAAGGATGGGGCAGGAAAAGCTGGAATTTTCAGGTTTGAGAAGACCACTGACAAAACGTTATCTAGAGGAGTGGGATCCAAGAATAAATCAAGACAGCCATCACTTGCAGCCCGCAGTATGGAAAAAGCAAATGAAATGTCTCTTATAAGTCATAAAAATGGTCATCTAGAAGAGAGGCATGGGGAATGGACCAGGTAAATAAAATGGGCAGCACAAAGGGCCTACTTGAGGAGAGTGATCATGAACTGAAAGCAAGGTGAGTCAGTGTGTGTGGGTTTTATTCTCCAACCTCCACAACTTAATAGATTAGGAAGTATCACACAAGTACATCACAAGCCAGGATTTGAATGCAAACAGTGGTCAAAAGCCTGTGTTCTTAATTACTATTCCACCACGCCTCACGTGTCCTATTTCATCCTGTGTACAGCAACCCAATGCCTTTTCTAAGTCTGGTTACTGAATAAGCCTTCTCATGCCCCACCTGTACTTCCTCCTTTGAATTTCAGGCCCAAATATTTAATGACTCACCAGTCTTTCCTACCAGATCCCTAATTTAAAATTAACCTGACTCAAACAACTATTTATCTCCTCTCCCCAAACCTGCTCCTTTCCTATTCATTCCCATCTTCTGATATTATAATTAACATATTCAAAAGTCCAAAAGTTTTCATGGTTAAATTGGATATAACGATGAAAAAAGCAAATAAAAAAGTCACTGGAGTCAAAATTGTAAAGACTACAGACTCATAAAAAATGAATTAAGAGAATATGGAATGAATTTTAAAACTGCTAAATTTTATATATATACTATAATATGTAGTATATATTATACATACACACACACACACACACACACACACACAGTGGCTGTATTCAAGTTGATAAGTTGGTGGTAATTTGTTATACAGCAATAGAACACTTATAAAGGAGGTGTAATAAGGAGCCCTGGTCTCAAAATTTTGGCGATGGGGGTTACGTAGCCCCTGGAAGAAAACAAACTGAATCCTCTTCTTATTGCCCCCATATCTTGATTGTGTGACTTTTAAAAGATTACTAACCAGTCTGAGTCTCTATGCCATCACCTATAAAATGATTCTGGTAACATTTAACTACACAATTATTTATGACATGCAATTATTGGAAAGTGACTAGCATTTCATTAGATCTGTCATTTGGTTACATGCATGTGTGCAAAGAAAATATTGAGGCAAAATCTAGTGTGGGGGCTGGGGGAATAAAGAAGTTTTGCCACAGTGAAGATCAATACACAGATAAAGGAAAAAATTGGTATCAGTTACTGATAGGTACTATCAGCTGACTGTGGAGAAAATCAAATAATTCTAACTCTATATTTTCCTATCTTTCTTTGTTTTTTCTGGCCATAATTTTTAAGTCTTATATATGGGATACCAAAGGAAATCTTGTTCTGAATTCTACTTTTTCTGATATTAATGGAGCCTCTTTAGTATTCTTTTTCTTCATATTTTCATAGATTATCTTTTCTTCCATATTTTAACCTATCTATGACTTTAGTGGGTTTCTTGTATAAAGCATATAATTTATGTTTTCAGTGTGATGTTTTGATACATGAATATATTGCATATTTATCAAAGCAGGGCAATTAGCAATTCCATTACCTCAAAACATTTATCATTTCTTTGAGATGAGACAATTTAAATTCCTCTCTTCTAGCTTTTTGGATATATACAATACATTATTGTTAACTATGTGTAGGTAACTATTATTATAGTTATAGGATGACAATTGTTAACTATAAATTTATTTCTCCTAACTGTAACATTGTACATATTGTTCACGCTCCATCATCTCTTTCTCTTACTTTCCCCAGCCTCTGGTAACCTCTATTCTACTCTCTAATTATATTTATTTAAATTGCACATATGAGTGAGATCATGTGGCATTTATCTTTCTGTGACTGGTTTGTTTCACTTAACATAATCCTGTCCAAGTTCATGTTACAAATGCAAAAAATTTATTCTTTTTTATGGCTGAATAGTATTCCATTGTGTATATATACCACTTCTTTATCCATTCGTCTGTTGATGTACACTTAGGTTGACTCCATATCTTGGTTACTGTGAATAGTGCTGTGGGAGTGCAGATATCTCTTTGACATACTGACTTCATTTCCTTTGAATATATACCCAGGAATTGGATCATATAATGGTACAATTTTTAAATTTTTTGAGGAACTTTCATACTGTTTCCATAATAGATATACTAGTTTACATTCCACGAACAGTGTGTGAATATCCTTTTCTCCATAGTCTCACCAGCATTTGTTATATTTTCACATTTTTAACAATAACCATTCTAACTGAAATAAGGTGTTATCTAATTGTGGTTTTGATTTGTATTTCCCTGATGATTAGTGATATTAGCATTTTTTCATATATCTGTTGGCCATTTATATGTCTTCTTCTGAGAAGTGGCTATTTAGGTTTTTTGCACATTTTATATTCATTTATTTGATTTTGCTATTAAGTTGAGTTCCTTATATATTTTTATAGTAACCTCTTATAACATTTATAGTTTGCAAATATATTCTCCTATTCTGTAGATTGTCTTGTTGGGAGAAAAGCTGAGTGTTGGGAGAGAAGCTGAGGCAGGGCTTGCATGTCTGACAAAATGTAAAAGAGTCTTCAAACATGTCCAGGGTTCAGGGTCTAAAACCCCTCGTGGCCTTTGGAACACCAAGCTCTGTGCTAAAGGGTGGAAGGCTACCCTGACGCACCATAATCTAAGCCCAGGACATAAAACCCCTCTTGGCTTAGATAGAATCCAGGGCTCAGGGCGTAAAACCCCTCATGGCCCCTGGAATGTGTCTAGACTTGCTGGCTCCTTGCTCCTTGCTCTCCCAGGACCGATTGTTATCTTGAGTTAAAAGAACTTGCTCTCCATTATCTCAAGTAGCAGAGCATATGCTAAACTGTCACAGCTGTAAATCATGTGCTTAATGCAACTCTCCCTTTTGACCCCCACATTTTCACCACCTGTTTCTTTGATCACCAATAAATAGTCTGGGAATTCACAGCCTCCAAACTTGCATTGTCCCCCTGAACCCACTTACTCTCTCAAACTGTCTTTTCTCATTCCTTTGATTCCACCAGACTTTGTCACCCCCATGACCTGGTGTTGGGTCCGATCACCCCAACATTGTCTCTTTACTTTGTTGATTGTTTTCTTTGACATCTTTGAAACCTTTGTACCTGAAAATGTGTACTAGCTATTTTACGAAGCTCTTCACTACCCTTTCAATCTTCTAAGAAGACAGCCTTTCAAACTGGTGACATGCTTTGAAGCATGTTTCCTTGGACCATGAAAAGGAATATCTATGGAAATAAAGCATACACACATACATATTTAATATCTATGAAGGATATTCCTTCATAGATATATATGGAATATCTATGAAGGATATTTATGTATTATTTATACATATATGTATACATTATATATATATACACACATAGATATTGGATATATATATATAAATTATATACATACACACATAGATTCCAATATCTATGTGAATAATTATAATATGTATTATTAATTTATATACATATAATTTACCTTCATAAACTAGGAAATAGCAAGCCATCTTACAATTTGAGCTGGCTAAGATCATCTTATTTAAAATAATAAAATCCTAAAACCAGAGCAACTTCCAAGTTTTCTGGTTCATACCTCTTCCCTCAGATAGGCAGATATCCCAATAAGCTAACCAAAAGCCTGATTATGTTATATTTCAAATTCTTCAGGGAAGAGATTTCATAGTTTCCTTTGTAGCACCTTCTGGAATTTATTTTCTCACTTATGGGTTTAAGAGTTTATACTTTAGCTTCATATCTTGGCTAAAGATAAGAAAAAGTGAACTGTAGCATTTTGTCTAAAACATTATGGTCAGAAATAAGAGCATCTGACTTATATTTAGTAGTATTTATAAATATTCACTTTAATGCAAATACCACAGCAACACTGTCCTTGTTCTTTCCCATGCCTGCCACAAAATAGGTGGATCAAGCAGCTATTGTAACAATGTAAAAAAATCCTCCTAAGCTCACATCACAATTAGTTTGGCTCATCTAATCTGGGCTTGGTTGGTGGCTCTGCTTTAGGCTACTCAGGTAAAGGGGCAGTGGCTACCTGGAGCTTGCTTTGCTAATGATGAATCACTGCTGCACAAAAGGTAAGTCAGATATTGCCACTAAAATGCTGTGTAATAAACCACCTAAAAACTCAGTGGCTTAAAATATAAGCATTTTTTTCTTACCTAGTGTGTAGAGGTCAGCCAGGTCAGCTTGGACAGCTGCTATTTAAGCTGTGCATTGGCTGGGCTAAGCTTCAGGCTTCAGATAGGGTTCAAATAAGTTGTACATGTCTTCATGCTCTCCGTGAACCAGCACTAACTGAGGCATATTTTTCTCAAGGCACGTCTCCCAGCAAAAGAACAAACTAAAGCATGTAGGTACATTTAAACACTCTCTTCCCGTTAAACCAACCAAATAAGTAAAATCAAAGTGAATCACAATATCAAGCCAAAGTTGATCATGTAAAGAAGTATAGTCTGCCCCAAAGATGAGGCTGAGAGAATATTTGCTAACCAATGTACCAATATATTACAGCAGGCACTTATATATTTGTTGTTGAAGGTAATAATCGCAACAGGTAACATAAACCTTTTATTGATCATTTACCAGAGCCAAGCACTGGGCTAAGACACTTGTCATTTAATTTGATTCTGAAAAGACCCCTTTGAGGAAATACTATAATTATCCACAGTGTACATATAAGGAAATTGAGATACAGGGGATGTAAGTCATTTCCCAATTACATGCAGGTTCTAAGTGTCCAAGACGATATTTGGACCCAGATGGTCTCACTCCAGAACAGTGTACAAACCACTAGGATGATAACATGTGCGATTTAGGTATCTCCACAACCAGACTGAGCAATAATACTTTCTGACTGAACAAGTTTTGAGTCTTTACTCACTAATACATCTTTGGGGTTGTAGGTAAGTATAGAACATATATACTTTAAATCTTCAGGGAAATATACCGCACTCCCATTAATTGGATTTTTCTGGCTTCGTGTCTACTTAGACCCAGGTTTGGCATCCAGCTTTTGTTTAGCTCATTCGCCAAATGGCTGATCTCTGAATATCCATTTATCAGCTAATATTCTGCTTGTTCTGGTCAGTGATTATGACCCACAAATATTACCCACTATGAATTAGGATGTGCAGTTCAATCAATTATTTATCCGCTCTCCTAACAGTATCAACAAATCCGCAGTAACAGGACAATGTTGTAAGAGAAGAGAAAGATTCTGACAAAGGGAGAAAGTGTAGACCACAGAACGGTAGAGATACTGATGAGGTTATTTTTTCTACACTGGAGAAGAAAAAGGTAAAATTCAAAAAAGTTGTTTAACTCATCCAGTGTTGCTCAGATGACAAGTTGCACAATCAAGTCTCACTCTTGGGTTTATCTGATTCCTAAAATGATCCCTCATATAATATTCTGGATAGCCTTCCATAAAAGCCATAATCCCACCTGACTGTAGCAAACCTCAAATCTAACAAAGCTCATACATACTATATTAGAGTGACAGAGGACTTCTCTAAATTCATATTCTTTCTACAGGAAAGCATCCAGAACACCCTGCCCATTAATGTTTCTAATTTATTATTTACACTTCATGTTCAAAAATGAACATTTTATCCTGAATTTATCCTGAATTTCAAGCTCTTCATTAGCTAACTCCATTTCCCTAAACTGATATTAAAGGTGATATGAATCTCAAATGCTTTCCAATTCTGCCTCCCAAAGATCATGTTCCTTCTTCAACAACACTGATGGGTCATTATTTGTTGTTTACTTGACTCTGTCCAGGACCCACATAAAATGACTCATAACATTGTAGGGCAATTTTGATTGTACTAAGGCAGTTCTTCAAAATAAGTTCGAAAAATATTTTATTAGTCCTTATTTTGATTTTCACAATGATACTTACGTTCTCTCTGTCTCTCTACACATAATTTCCACCCACATATTTGAATGAAACCACCTTTTTCTATCTACGTCTTCTACCTAGTCACTCTAACAATTCCCCATAGCTTCTCCCGTGACCAAAATGTCTACTTTGCCTATATGATAAACTCCAGTTAAATAATCCCAAACATCAGCCAAGTAGCACCATGAAAATTCTTTTTTTCTTTTACTTAAGTAGTCACACATATCAAAAATCTGTTTCTTTAAATGCAAAGATAGGTCAAAAAACCTATAAAGAGTTTACTAGGGGGGGTGCTACAATCATTCTCTCTTTTTCTATCTCCTAAGAAATAAACAGGAAAACAAACATAAAGAGGGAATCATAATGTGGTATAAATTACATGAGTTTAAATATAAGGGATTTGCATTCTGCCAATAAATAAGTTAACTATGATTTTGGGAAAATTACATTGATTATTTTGGAGGATCTCCTATTGACTTTACTACGTCGTAAATATCTTAGTTGTAATTTTTCTCCTTGCTCACAAATCTATTGTTCTTCATGTGTTTCCTTTCCTAGTGCAGGTAAATGGTATTACCACCATCTACTTATTGCCTAAGCCAGAAACCTAGGAATTCTCTTAGCCACCTTCTCTCTTTTTTCTACCATATACAATTAATTCCCAAGTCCTATCTAATCTACCTTCAAATACACTTAAAATGTGTACCCTAAAACTTAAAGTATAATAATAATAATAATAATAATAATAATAATAATAATAAATGTCCTCTTTATTCTCCATCAATAGTCACAAACTGGTTCAAATCTTAAGCATCAGGCAACAAGTTTTAACCTCTGTCCCTATACACACTGCAGACAGTATGTTTGTTTTCATGCTTTTTTTTTCCTTGTTAACAATTTAAATTTTTTTTAATTTTTTAAAATTTCAATAGTTTTGGTGGAAGAGGTGGTATTTGGTTGCATAGAAAGGTTCTTTAGTGGTTATTTCTGAGACTTTGGTGCACCCATCACCAGAGAAGTGTAAATTGTACCCAATGTGTAGTCTTTTATACCTCACCACTCTCCCACCCTTCCCCCTGAGTCACCCAAGTCCATTATATCATTCTTATGCCTTTGGGTCCTCATAGCTTAACTACCACTTCTAAGTGAGAACGTACAATGTTTGGTTTTCCATTCCTGAGTTACTTCACTTAGAATACTGGTCTCTAACTCCATCCACGTTTCTGTGAATGCCATTGTTTCATTCTTTTTATGGCTGAGTAGTATTCCATGGTGTGTGTGTGTGTGTGTGTGTGTGTGTGTGTAGATAGATAGATAAATAGATAGATAGATAGATAGATAGATAGATATAGATATAGATCACATTTTATCCACTCATTGGTTGAAGGTCATTTAGACTGGTTTCACATTTTTGCAATTGTAAATTGTGCTGCTATAAACATGTGTGTGCAAATGTCTTTTTCATATAATGACTTCTTTTCCTCTGGGTAGATACCCAGTAGTGGGATTGCTGGATTCAATGGTAGTTCTACTTTTAGTTCTTTAAGGAATCTCCATACTGTTTTCCATATTGTTTGAACTAGTTTACATTCCCATCAGCAGTGTAAAAGTGTTCCCTTTTCACCACATCCACACCAATATGTTCTTTATTTTTTAATCATGATCATTCTTGCAGGAGTAAGGTGGTATCTCATTGTGGTTTGGATTTACATTTCCCTGATCATTAGTGATGTTGAGCATTTTGTCATGTTTCTTGGTCATTTGTATATCTTCTTTTGAGAATTGTCTATTCATGTCCTTTGCCCACTTTTTAATGGGGTTGTTTTTTCTTGCTGATTTTTTTTAGTTCTTTATAGATTCTACACATTAGTCCTTTGTCAAATGCACAATTTGTGAATATTTTCTCCCACTC
This sequence comes from Homo sapiens, assembly GCF_000001405.40. Taxonomy (NCBI): domain Eukaryota; kingdom Metazoa; phylum Chordata; class Mammalia; order Primates; family Hominidae; genus Homo; species Homo sapiens. The sequence goes on from NC_000002.12 coordinate 41,215,332, forward strand.
TGTGGGTTGTCTGTTTACTCCACTGATTATTTCTTTTGCTGTGGAGAAGCATTTAGTTTAATTAGGTCCCATCTATTTATCTTTGTTTTTGTTGCATTTGCTTTTGGGTTCTTGTTCATGAACACTTTGACTAAGACAATGTCTAGAAGAATTTTTCCGATGTTGTCTTCTAGAATTTTACGGTTTCAGGTCTTAGATTTAAGTCTTTGATCCATATTGAGTTGATTTTTGTATAAGGTGAGAGATGGGAATCCAGCTTCATTCTTCTGCATGTGGCTTGCCAATTATCCCAGAACCATTTATTGAATAGGGTATCCTTTTCCCACTTTATGTTTTTGTTTGCTTTGTCAAAGATCAGTTGGCTGTAAGTATTTGGCTTTATTTCTAGGTTTTTTATTCTGTTCCATTAGTCTACATACCTATTTTTATATCAGTACAATGCTGTTTTGATAACTATAGCTCTGTAGTATAGTTTGGAGTCAGGTAGTGTGATGCCTCCAGATTGGTTATTGTTACTTAGTCTTGCTTAGGTTATGCAGGCTCTTTTTGGGTTCCCTGTGAATTTTAGGATTGTTCTTTCTAGTTCTGAAAAGAATGATGATGGTATTTTGATGGGAATTACATTGAATCTGTAGATTTGTGCATTGATTTGTAGATTGCTCTTGGCAGAATCATTTTCACAATATTGATTCTACCAATCCTTGAGCATGGAATGTGTTTCCATTTGTTTGTTTCATCTATGGTTTCTTTCAGCAGTGTTTTGTACTTTTCTTTGCAGAGATCTTTCACCTCCTCGGTAGGTATATTTCTAAGTATTTTATTTTATTTTTTGCAGCTATTGTAAAAGGGGTTGAGTTCTTGATTTGATTCTCAGCTTGGTCATCATTGGTGTATAGCAGTGCTACTGATTTGTGTACATTGATCATGTATCCTGAAACTTCACTGAACTCATTTATTAGATCTAAGAGCTTTCTGGATGAGTCTTTAGGGTTTTCTAAGTATACAATCATATCATTGGTGAACAGCAACAGTTTGACTTCCTCTTTATTGATTTGGATGTCCTTTATTTCTTTCTCTTCACAGACGGAATATTGTATCTTGTTGGTAAGCTGGTGACTTAATTGTGCCCAACCCTCAACCCGACCCCCACCCTCTTACTTGAAAACCTTTAAAGCCTTCACGTTGCCTTAGAATGAAGGACAAAATTCTTAAACTGATCTGCAGACTCTATATATCTTCCCTCTTCATTCCTGCCCCACTCCAGCCTCAACTCGCAACTCTTTTTTTCACTTTTGTCTCTACAGCTACACCAGCCTTTGTTTTTCTTGTTCTTCCTTCCTTCCCTCCTTCCTTCATTTTTCCTTCTTCTCTTTTCCTTTCTCTCTCTCTCTCTTTGTTTCTTTCTCATGACTTCTTCCGTTTTATGACATTTGTGTATGTTTCCTATGTCTGGAACTATTTTAATCTTTCACCCTTCATTTGTTATATAGCAATAAGTTTTAAATTCATCTTTCAATTATTTGTATAGTGTATCCTATAAGAAACAGGTTTTTATGTCTCATATTAAGAAAGATAAATATAGTAACATTAAATTATATCCACAAATTATTTGCTTCTCTCCTTTTTAAAAGGTAGAGCCTAATTACATTTCTTGCCCCTTGAATGTAGGTTGTGCTTAGTGACTTGTTTCTAACAAACAGAATCTGGTGAAAGTGACATTATGTAACTTACAAGATGAGGCCATAAGAGATATTTTAACTTCCTGCTTGCTATCTCTCTTGGATTATTCATTCCAAGGGAAGCCAAGGACCGTATTATGAGGATATTCAAGCAGTTCTCTGGAAACATCAGTGTGTGAAGAACTGAGACTCCTGCCAATAGCCAAGTGAGCAAGCCATGTCTAAACTGGATCATTCAGTCCTAGTCAAGCCTCTCATTAACAACCTCACCAGTTGATATCTTGACTGCAATCTCATGAAAGACTCTGAGCCAGAACCAAGCTAGAGAATTCTCAAATTTCTGGCACACAGAAATTACAAGATAATAAAAATGTGTTGTTTTAGGCCGCTAAGTTTTAGAATACTTTGTTATGAATGTAGATAACTATTGCAGTGTACCTAGCTAGCATGTGTGTCATTAGGCATGTTCATAATGTATTCATAATATATTTTAATATATTTTGCAAGTATAACTAAATTACTACTGGTATAATAATTTAACTAATAAATTATCACCCCGCTTACTAGTAAACTCCATGAAGATTATAAACTATATACATTTTTGCTTATCATTTTATCCTTCTTCATCTCCCCCAAGCCAGAGATTATGAAAACATGGGTTTTCAATAAATATGCTTAATTATATTAATATATCTGAATTAATATGCATCCTAATGCTACAAGGAGAGGCAGAAACCTTCTGGTTATTTAATGAGTGCTATTTAAATGATTGATTAATTCATTATGCAAAATTAGAAAAATAGATATCCTTATGGCAGAATGATTAAAACTTATCTTTCAATGATGCCCTCTGGCAATGAAACAAACCAGTACATCCCTATGAATATCTAAGAAATGATACATTCAGCAATAAACAGAAGCATCAGAACTAACTCAGAATTTTGAAAAAGAATTATATTTAGAGTAACAAAAGCATTTAAAGAATAAATAGTTGTCATGATGAACTATAGGGTGTCAGAAACTTTAAATTCCTAGTTATATAATAAAGTAACCCAATAAACATGTCGTTGTCCTCTAGAGAAATCACATAGCAATTGTTCACAGATTTTGGTTTCACAATGTGCATTGTGCTATTTAAATTAATATATCCAGGAACCTGCTCTTTAAGCCAAGGGCCCAACACATTTATTGTTTTAAAGCAGTACTAGGTTTTATTGCATTTGATAATTCTGTCATGTACTTTGAAGATGAAAAGTCAGTCTGAAGCACTACAACTTAATTAGAACAAATTAATAAGAACTCATTAATTTTTATTAATTATATTCACAACTGTCGCTATAAAATTTCTCATTACAATTTTCCTGCTAAGATGTTCAAACTCCTCCATTAAAACATTACATTCTAGTATTACACTTTCTTCTCATCAGTATTATCTTTACATGGCCCCTTCTAAAATTTTGCTCCATATCCCACAGGGACTTGGGCACCTGTATTATATCTATCAATACTGATCATATCAAAATACTCATTGTATTTCCCTCATTCTTGTTCACTCTCATTATCTCAGGTGAGTTCAAAGCCTCTTTGTCTATTTTATTAGTCAATAAATATTTATTGCACTTCTATTTCGTACCTCATCACAGGATTAAAAATTAGAATTGCATCATTGATGGGGTTTCTAATCTAGTAGGAGAAATTGTCCACGAATAAATAAGGATTTTATGGCCACTCTGAAAAGAACATACTACGAAGGAGAAAAAAAAGTTATATAGTGTATATATAGGAGAACCTACCCTAGTATACTGGTTAGGGACAGCTTCTCTATGAAGTTACATTAAGCCAGGGTTTCTTGACCCTCAGCACTACTGGCATTGTAAGCTATATTATTCTTTGCTGTGATGGGTGGGAGTGGTCTTGTGCTTTGTGGAATGTTTAGCAGCATCCCTGGCCTCAAACTAGTTTCCAGTAACATCCCTTCTCACAATATGACAACTGAAATTTCTCAGTATGTCCCAGGGCATGGTTGTTAGGTTTAGCAAATAAACATAAAGAACACAATGAAATCTGAATTTCAGATAAACAACAATTTTTTGTATAAATATGTCCCACATATTTCATAAGATATAATGATGCTTAAAAATTTATTTGTGCTTATCTGACATTCAAATTTTACTAGATGTTGTGTATTTTACCTGACAGTCCTATCTAGGGAATGAGATTGTCCCCAGTTGAGAACCACTGCATTAAGCACATGTTGATAAGACCTGAGACCTTCAGTCTTCACATACCATTGATCTCCTAAACACCTCTGAATTTTATGTCATCTCTACTTTATCAAGTCAAATTACCACGAAGTTCACCAACTCAAAGCATAAAAATCTCAAATACTTTTCTCTTACTACAATACCTTATGTTTCAAGTTTTCAAATTTCTTTACTTTTTTGTGACTTTCAGTAAGTAGTTCATTAGCGTGTTACATACTGGGTTCAAATTCTTCAACCAATACCCTCAATAAGAGAAAAGCAAGCACACTGACCTTCTCTATCACCAGTCTCATTTATTCCCTAACCTGGATTAACCCAGTTCATCATTGTCTTCATTATTTTTGTAGAATGTTGAATAATATAACCAGACCAAACTGATTAGCTCCTTTATGAATCCTGTCATACTTTATTCTTCCACAGTTGAGTCCCCACCTCAGCTTCTAAACTTGCCCTCATGACTATTCTAAGCACTCTTCATGTTCCTCACTCTCCCAATTTTTTCCTCTATCTTACCAGACATCTTGCCTTGTGTATCACAAAGCCTGTCTTTATGAACTCTTTCATGTTCTCCAGACTTTCTCTTAAAGTAGCCATGTTCCTTGAGCCATTTGTTTCTTATTTTTTTGTTTCCCAAGAATTTAATGCATCACAATTTCTTTCTCATGGTAATTTACTACCACAATCCCATTCCTGTAAATGTCTTCTAAGATTTTATTCTGTGCTGAGGATTTTAAAATTCAGTCCTAATTTTGAACTCTAGACCTGTCTTATTCAACTGACTATTACACATGTTTTCTCAAATGTTCTGTAAGTATCTCAAAATGTCCCAGGCAGAATCATTACTTTAACCCTAAAACCTACTTATGTGCCAGTGTTGTCTATCCCAAGATTTGCAATCAAGCCACAACCTGAGAGTCTTCCTAACAGCATCTCCTTCTCATATCTCCTATATTCAGTGAGTCAGTAACTCCTGAATACCTACTTATGTTTAAAATGTCCATCCCTACCATATCTTTTGCTGCTTTGGACCTTATTCTATCCCATACAGTGTTTCACAACTCATTCCCACCTACCCCTATCCTCTATATTTTCACCATAGCCTGTAGGGCGTGCATGTGTGCATGTGTACTTTTGTGTGTGTGTGTGTGCATGTGTGTGCAGGACAAGGGTACAGTTGAGAGACACTGATGACTGCACAGTGGAAATAATTTCATGACCCAGATGCTTTGCTCTCTGGTGATATTTCAATTAAAAAAACCATGTGTTTCTCAAAATAGGTAGCGCTTCCACCTCCCAACACTGTCAATGTCACCTAGACAGCGTGCACTCAAAATATTTGCTACTGAATATTTACCCTGTCTTCAACACATTAGCTAACTAGCCCATCCTTTTGCCTAAAACAAGATCTGAGCCCATTATATAGAGTTAAAAGAAAAAAATGCCAGTATTATCAGATAAAATGACTCTGGTGAGGAGGGATCATACACTATTTAGCTATTAATATTTTTAAAAAATTAATTTGAAGTCCAGTTTAAATGGTTTATACTACTGGCAGAGTAGCATTGTTATGTTGATTCCAATATAAATACAAGGTTAAAATAGTTTCTCTAAGCCATTCTTTACTCTAGAGACGTTTCCACTTTCCTTTTAAGTATATTTATCACTGAGTCATCAAACGGCATACATAATTATCATGTATTTCTCCAACCTGAACTGCAGGAACAGTGAGAAATTTAATGCCTTATTGTCATTTTACTCTCAAAAAATTAAAAATACTTCCAGGAAGTTACTTTTTTCTCTTTATTTGAAAGCAATGAAATGGTTTTCTATTTATCTAAAAAGGCCATGACGTAACACCAACAGTGAACCCTAACATAAACTATGGACTTGGGGTGGTTATGCTGTACCAGTGTAGGTTTATAAATTATAACAAGTGTACCACTCCGATGGGGAACATTGATTAAGGTGGAAGCTGTGGAGGTGAAGGGTAGGGGAAATGTGAGAAATCTCTGTACTTTTCTCTAAATTTTACTGTGAACCTAAAAGTGCTATTTAAAAAATAGTCTTAAAAAAGATTATCACAACTTCACAGTCCATTGTAGTTTGACAAAAGGGAGTCCAACTCTAATCAACAGTATCTTTCTATTAGCCAAACCTTCTCTATTAGTTGAAAAGGAGTGTATATATTTTTGGGCTCTGTCAATGATAGAAATATTAGATGTCATCAACTTAATGAAATTGTCAAATATTAATATGGCCTTAGGACACAAGAACTTCCCCAACCTAGCAAAACAGGCCAACATGCAATTTCAGGAAATACAGAGAACACCATTAAGATACTCCACAAGAAGATCAACCCCAAAACACATAATCATCAGATTCTCCAAGGTTGAAATGAAGGAAAAGCTGTTAAGGGCAGGCAGAAAGGAAGGCCAGGTCACCTACAAAGGGAAGCCCATCAGACTAACAGTAGACCTCTCTCAGCAGAAGCTCTACAAGTCAGAAGAGATTGGGGAGCAATATTCAACATTCTTAAAGGAAAGAATTTTTGGCTGGGCATGGTGGCTCATGCCTGTAATCCCAGCACTTTGGGAGACTGACGTGGGTAGATCACCAGAGGTCAGGAGTTCAAGATCAGTCTGGGTAACACGGTGAAACCCCGTCTCTACTAAATATACAAAATTAGCTGGGCATGGTGGCACATGCCTGTAATCCCAGCTACTCGGGAGGCTGAGGCAGGAGAATCACTTGAACCCAGGAGGTGGAGGTTGCAGTGAGCCGGAATCAAGCCACTGCACTCCAGCCTCTGTGACAGAGTGAGACTTGGCCTCAAAAAAAAAAAAGAAAAAAAAAAAAAGAAAAGAAAAGAATTTTCAACGCAGAATTTCATATCCAGCCAAACTAAGCTTCATAAGTGAAGGAGAAATAAAATCCTTTCCAAACAAGCAAATGCTGAGGAATTTTGTTACCATCAGGCCTGCCTTGCAAGAGCTCCTGAAAGAACCACTCACTAAATATGGAAAAGAAAAACTGGTACCAGCCACTGCAAAAACACACCAAAATATGAAGACCAATGACACTGCAAAGAAGCTGCATCAACTAGTGCACAAAATAACCAAAGAGCATCATGATGACAGGATCAAATTCACACATAACAATACTAACCTTAAATGTAAATGGACTAAGTGTGCCATTAAAAGACACAGACTGGCAAATTGGATGAAGAGTCAAGACCCATCGGTGTGCTGTATTCAGGAGACCCATTTTATTTGCAAAGATATACACAGGCTCAAAATAAAAGGAGGCAGTGAGTGAGCATGCTACCCAGCCAGGGAAACTGTGCTTTTCCCATGGAACTGGGCAACCCATAGATCTAAAGATCCCACTGGCAAAGTCATGCCAGTGGGGCCTGACATCCCAACCCCAAGAAGAGCAGATTCTTACAGCCTCTCAGCTGGAATCTGCTTAAGCCTACCAAACTCCCAGTGGGAGGGGCAACCAGCACCAGTTGCAGCTGCCTGCTGTCTAAGCCATCTGACCTCCTTGGGGGACCTGCAGGAGCCAGCACTGGGACTCACAACTGCCTAAAATGCTAAGCTCGGTGGGCAGGGGAAGAGTGGAACCCATTTCTGTAGCTCCAGGCTGCACTTTTACCCTGCTGGAGCCAGGGAGGCTGAATGGCTTGGTTCTAAGACTTGTACTCACAGCCCAAAATACACCAGCTGTGGCAGTCTGTGGTGAGAGTGCCTCTTCAGGTCTAACCCTGACCCATCCTTTCTCAGTGGGTGGGGTTTCCCTACAGGATCTCCAATAACTCCAGCCAGTCTCAGAAATAGAATTCAGATCTCCCTGGGCCTGAGCCACTAGCGGGAGGAGCAGCTGCAGTCTCTGCAGACCAGCAGACTTAGCCTCTCCTCCTGATAGTTCTCAGGAATCCAGGCAGCCCAGACAAGTGGGCTTCCCTCCAGCAAAACACACCCTTTCCACCAAGGGACAAAGTGCTTCATTAAACGGGTCCCACTCCCTGTGCCACCCAACTGGGTGAGACCCTCCAACAAGGGTTGTCAGACACCCTATACAGGAGTGATCCTATTGGCATCAGGTTGGTGCCCCTCAAGGTCAGAGGTCTCAGAAGAAGGAAAAGGCACCCATCTTTTCTGTTTTCTAGCCTCCTGGAGTGACATCTGTAGGCACAGGAGCAAGACAGATGAACAGGGGCTGAAGTGAACCCCAGAAAACTGCAATAGCCCTATCTATAGAAGAAGGACCTGACTATTGAAAAAAACAAACAAACAAGCTGAAAGTGTCAACAACAGCATCACCACCACCAACAACAAAAGGCCGCACAAAAACGCCATTCAAGGGTCAGCAGCCTCAAAGACCAAAACTAGACAAACTCACGAGAAGAGAAAGAATCAATGAAAAAATGGTGAAAACCCAAAAGGCCAGAGTGCCTCTTCTCCGCCAAATGATTGTAATATCTCTCCATCAAGGACACAAAAATGGACAGAGAATCAGATGGACAAATTGACAGAAATCAGCTGCAGAAGATGGGTAATAAAAAACTATGATGAGCTAAAGGAATATGTTCTAACCCAATGCAAAGAAGCCAACAACCTTGATAAATGATTTTGCTAACTTTTGATAAAAGGTTTTCCTTGATAAGAGGAATTGCTAACTAGAATGACCTACATGGCTCTCAAGTGGGCTGCAGGACCACACTGCTCTTCTTTCCATGGGTCACACCAGCCTTCTAGTCAATTTTGATGAGAGAACCTGGATACCTTGGTTGCCAGTGAAGGATTCACATGTTTACTGTGTTTCATTTATTGTTTTTTTTTTTTTTTGATGGGAGCCTTGGAACGCCACTGCTTCTAGTCGGCCATCTTGGCCTTGGGATGCAAGACTGGTTCAATATACAGAAATCAACCAACGTAATCCATCACATAAACAGAACCAAAGACAAAAGCCACTTGATTATCTCAAGAGATGCAGAAAAAGCCTTTAATAAAATTCAACATGACTTCATGTTAAAAAACATTCAGTAAACTAGTTACTGATGGAACACATCTCAAAATAATAAGAGGTATTTATGACAAAACCACAGTCAATATCATATTGAATGAGCAAATGCTGGAAGCAATCCCTTTGAAAACATGTACAAGATAAGGATGCCCTCTCTCACCACTCCTATTCAGCATAGTATTGGAAGTTCTGGCCAGGGCAATCAGGCAAGAGAAAAATATACAGGGTATTCAAATAGGAAGAGAGGAAGTCAAGTTGTGTCTGTTTGCAGATGACATGATTTTATATTTAGAAAATGCCATCATCTCAGCCCAAAAACTTCCTGAACTGATAAACAACTTCAGAAAACTCTCAGGATACAAAATCGATGTGCAAAATCACAAGCATTCCTTTACACCAACAATAGGCAAGCAGAGAGCCAAATCACGAATGAACTCCTGTTCACAATTGCTACAAAGAGAATAAAATACCTAGGAATACAGCTTACAAGGGATGTGAAGGACCTCTTCAAGGAGAACTATAAACCACTGCTCAAGGAAATAAGAAAGACACAAACAAATGGAAAAGCATTCCATGCTCATGGATAGGAAGAATCAATATCGTGAACATGGCCATAATGCCCAAAGTAATTTACAGATTCAATGTTATTTCCATCAAACTACCATTGACATTCTTCACAGAATTAGAAAAAGCTATTTTAAATATCATGTGGAATCAAAGAAGACCCCATAGAGCCAAAACAATCCTAAGCAAAAATAACAAAGCTAGAGGCATCATGCTACCTGACTTTATACTACAAGGCTACAGTAACAAAAACAGCATGGCACTGGTACCAAAACAGACATATAGACCAATGGAGCAGAACAGAGACCTCAGAAATAACACCACATATCTACAACCATCTGATCTTCGACAAACCTGACAAGAACAAACAATGGGGAAAGGACCTCCTATTCAGTAAATGGTGCTGGAAAAACTGGCTAGTCATATGCAGAAAACTGAAACTGGACCCCTTCCTTACACCTTATACAAAAATTAACTCAAGATGGATTAAAAAGTTAAATGGAAAACCCAAGACCATAAAAACCCTAGAAGAAAACCTAGGCAATACCATTCAGGACATAGGCATGGACAAAGACTTCATGACAAAATGTCAAAAGCAATTGCCACATAAGCCAAAATTGACAAATGGTACCTAATTAAACTAAAGAGCTTCTGCACAGCAAAAGAAACTATCATGAGAGTTAACAGGCAACCTACAGAATGGGAGAAAATTTTTGCAAAGTACCCATCAGAGAAAGGTCTAATATCCAGAATTTACAAGGAACTTAAACATATTTACAAGAAAAAAACAAGCAACTCCATCAAAAAGTGGGCAAAGAATATGAACAGACACTTCTCAAAAGAAGACATTTATGCAGCCAACAAACATAAGTAAAAAAACTCACCATCACCAATCATCAAAGAAATGCAAATCCAAACCACAGTGAGATATCATCCCATGTCTGTCAGAACAGATTATTAAACAGTGAGGAAACAATAGATGCTGGCAAGGCTATGGAGAAATAGGAACACTTTTACACTGTTGGTGGGAATGTGAATTAGTTCAACCATTGTGGAAGCCAGTGTGGTGATTCCTCAGGATTCCTAAAGGATCTAGAACCAGAAATACCATTTGACCCAGCAATCCCATTACTGGGTATATACACAAAGAATATAAATCATTCTACAATAAAGATACATGCACACATATGTTTATTGCAGCACTATTTACAATAGCAAAGACATGGAACCAACCTAAATGCCCATCAATGATAGACTGGATTAAAAAAATGTTGTACATATACACCATGAAATCCTATGCAGCCATAAAAAGAATGAGATCAAGTCCTTTTCAAGGACATGGATGGAAGCCTGAGGATGGAAGCTGGAAGCCACCATCCTCAGCAAACTTACACAGGAACGGAAAACCAAACACCTCTTGTTCTCACTCATAAGTGGGAGGTGAATATTGAGAACACCTGGACACAGAGAGGGGAACAACACACACCAGGGTCTGTTGGGGATGGGAGATGTGGGGAGGGAACTTAGAGGATGGGTCGTTAGGTGGAGCAAACCACCATGGCACACATATACCTAGGTAACAAACCTGCACATTATGCATATGTATCCCATTTTTTTAGAAGAAATAAAGAAAAAAAGAATTTTCTTATTGATGTGTACATTTTACTTTACAATTACAGAAGCATATATAACAAAGTCGAGTAAATTTGTTTTCAGTTTTACTATTTAATCCAAATAACCACAAAACTATCCAGATAGCCACATTCCATAAAGTTCAAGTGTATTGTTCCATATCACTGTAGACATTTGTGTTGGTTATAGAAAACATATACAGATGGTAGCCTTAAACATATACAGATGGTAGCCTTTTTGAAGATGCATAACCAATTAAAACTCCATCTAAACATTTGTTCTGGTGATTGAGAATTAAACTCTATTTCTCACTAAAGGTAAAGCAAAATAATTATCTGCTTTTTTTCTGGCTGACTAGGATTGTAATTATTTCAAATCATTGCAGAACCAGATGATAAACACAACATAGGGCAGCATCTTTCCAACTTCTTTGTTCATCCTTAACCTTTCTCTTCTATGCTACATTCACCACTCATCATCAATTTCCTCATTAACTACTTACTTTCTACTGAGATAACAGATGGCAAAGAAGCCATAGTCCTGGTACTCAAGGTTTAGTCAGTCTTAAAATGGAGATAAGCATATACAACCGAATTCATCTTGCATGCAAATATATGTTAAATTATTTCTGTGGAACACATTAATTCAAACATCTCATATACAAGAATCAATTCTTAGGCATTTTCTTTTCTCCTTCTTTACTTTTTATATAGGCTAATCTTATACAGTCCCACAGCTTTAACTCAGGCTATACGCTGATAACCGTCAAATAGATATCGTGATTCTTCAGATATTATCTATTACCTGTTTATCCAGATATTATCATAAAAATATCAATTGATAAGGAAGAACAGAGAAAAAAGAAGGTTGTTGAATGATAAGGGAGAAATGTAAGTGAGGAAACTATATAAAGGAATGGTTTGACAATGGTTAAGGAATATGCATTGGATACTATCATTTCAAATCAAGATGGAGTAAAGAGATAAGATTTATTTTCTTCCCTGAATTAATAAAAAATTTTGACAAAATATGTAAAACAGTTGTCTTAAGACACTGAACATTACATAATGAAGTACAGTGATCCCTGAGAGATGGTGGGAAATGAACAAGGTAAGGCTTACAAAGATGCACACTTTCTGCTTTGAGAGAATTTCTGGGCTGTGGTACAAAGAAAGGGTACCTATCAGATACTATGACTTGAAGAGACAGAACTGAGAATAAGAGGAGACCAAGCAGCTAGAATTTACAAGAAAAAATGCTGGAGAGGAGACATGGCCCCCACAAGCATTTGGCATAATACTGATTGGCACATGGATGTAAAGAAACAACCTGAAAAAGCTGAGGAAAGAACCATCTCAAAGGACCGGGAGAGGAGTGGCTAACACTTCACACATTTGAGAACATTCCCACCAGCCAGAAGAAAAAAACCTGTAATCCAGGGAGACCAGGTAGCATATTCAGAATGGTCTTGCCTCAGGAGTATGTAGTAATTAGTTCTCAACCAGTGATTCTCAACCAGAGGTGATTTTGAACCCCATGGAACATTTAGAAATGTGTAGAAAAATGTTTGCTTGTCCAACTAAAGGTGGAGGGTGCTATTGGCATTAGGCAGGTAGATCTACGAATCATGCCAAACATCCTATTCGCACAGGACAATGATCTATGCTAAAAAATTATCCAACCCCAAATGTCAATAATGCTGAAGTTGAACAACCCTGTCCTAGAATAAGACAGCTCTGTTCCCATCTAACAAATTTAAAAGGATCAAACTTTCCTAAAATAACATAACTGAGCCCCAGAAGAAAGTTCAAATATGAATACAAAAATATCTAGCACTCACAAGTTAATATTTACAATATTAGGCATCAAAGAAATTAGCAGGCCTGCAAAGGTGGAGAAAACATTAACTGAAAATAAAAAGAAAAAAAGTATTTAATCAAAGCCAACTCAGGTTTAGCAAAGATGTTAGCATTGTCAGACCAAAAACTTTAAAATAAAAGTTATTATAATTCTATTTCACTTGATCAATAGATAAGTATAGAAATGTTTTAAATCTCACAAAGACCAAACTTCTCAAGATGAAAACTACAACACATGAGATAAAAAAAAATTTGATGGGGCTGGGTGTGGTAGCTCATGCCTGTAATCCCAGCACTTTGGGAGGCCAAGGCAGGTGGATCATGAGGTCAGGAGTTTGAGACCAGCCTGGCCAACATAGTTAAACCCTGTCTCTACTAAAAATAGAAAAATAGCCAGGCATGGTGGCGTGAGCCTTTAGTTCCAGCTATTCAGGAGGCTGAGGCAGGAGAATAGCTTGAACCTGGGAGGCAGAGGTTGTGCTGAGCCGAGATCATACCACTGCACTCCAGCCTGGGCAACAGAGTGAGACTCCATCTCAAAAACAAAACAAACAAACAAAAAAAACTTGATGGGATTAATGGAAGGTTAGGTACTGCAGTAGAAAAGTTAATGAACTTGAATTCACAGCCACAGAAATGAACCAAAATGAGAGACACAAACTTTTTTTTTTAATAGAAAAAGAACCTGTCATCAGGGAGCTGCAGACAATTTCAAATAGCTACATATTCATGGAACAGAAGCAGCATTCATGTGATTCCATACAGAAAAGTTATATAGAGGTGAGAATAGTTAAAACATTAAAACTGGAGCAGCCTAATGAAGATGTATTTGGAGACCCCATAGGATAGGAGAGGATGAGTCAGAGACATAAAAAAAATTTAATATTAAATATTAATATTTCATATCTAATGAGGCAGACAGAAAAATATCTCAGAACTTAAAAAATATAATGAAATCCCAAACCAAAGATATAAGAAGCTCAAGTCCAAGAAATATGAAGAAAACTACACCAAGGAATATCATAATCAAATCACCTAAAATCAATGGTAAAGGGAAAAATTTAACATCAAGAGGTGTGCAAGGGTGCGTGTATGGTGTACACTGAATCAAAAGTAAGGATGACAGCAGATTTCTTATCATAAACAATGCAAGAGATAAAACAGCAGTATCATTAAAGTGCTGACATGAATTTTAAAAAAAAAACCCTGTCCACCTGGAATTCTATAACCAGCAAAAATATCTTCCAAAAATTAACATGAGGTAGGGGTATTTTAAGACATACAAATATTTCCTGTAATTCTGTGTGTTGCCTCTTCACTTTGTTAATTGTTTCAATCGCTGCGCAAAAGCTTTTTAGCTTGATGTAATCCCATTTGCCTATTTTATTTTTGGTTTTGTTGTCTGTGCTTTTGTGGTCTTGCCTAAAAACTCTTGGCCCAGATCAATGTCCTGTAGCAATTAATTCCCCAATATTTTCTTCTAGAAGTTTCATAGTTTTATGTCTTATGTGTAAGTCTTTAATCCATTTTGAGTTAATTTTTGTATATGGTAAAAGATGGGGTCTAGCTTCATTCTTCTGCATGGATATACAGTTTTCCTAGTACCATTGATTTAAGACTGTTCTTTCCCCAATGTATATTTTTGATGACTTTGTCAAACATGAGTTGGCTGTAAGTGCATGAATTTATATCTTGTTTCTCTATTCTTTTCCACTGTTCTGTGTATTCGCTTGTTGCCAGTACCATATTGTTCTGGTTACTATAACTCTGTATTATAATTGGAAATCTGTTAGTGTGATGCCTCCAGCTTTTTTCCTTTTCCTCAAGATTGCTTTAGCTATTTAGGGTCTTCCATGGTGCCATACTAATTTTAGGACCATTTTTCTTATTTCTCTGAAGAACGTCATTGGTATTTTCATAGGGAACCTGTAGATTGCTTTAAGTGGCATGGACATTTTAAAAATATTAAATCTATCAATGAGAATGAAATATTTTTCCATTTCTTGGTGTCCTCTTCAATTTATTTCATCACTGTTTTATAGTTTTCCTTGTAGAGATCTTTCATTTCTTTGATTAAATTTGTTGCTTTGTATAAATTGTTTCGTAGCTATTTTAAATGGGATTGCTTTCCTGATGTATTTTTCAGATTGATGGCTGTTAGTGTATAGAAACACACTAATTTTATATGCGGACAATGTATCCTGCAACTTTATGACATTCTTTTATCAACTGTAAAAATTTTTTGACGGAGTCTTTAGGGATTTTTAAATATAAAATCATGTCTTCCGCATAAAAAGCTAATTTGAATACTTCTTTTCCAGTTTGGATGCCCTTTATATTTTTCTCTTGCCTAGTTGCTCTGGCTAGACATTCCCATACCATATTGAATAAAAGTGGTGAAAGTGAGCATACTTGTTTTCTTCTACATCTTAGTGGAAAGGCTTTCAATTTTTCCCATTTAGTATATTATCTATTTGCTGTGGTCTT
Source organism: Homo sapiens (assembly GCF_000001405.40). Taxonomy (NCBI): domain Eukaryota; kingdom Metazoa; phylum Chordata; class Mammalia; order Primates; family Hominidae; genus Homo; species Homo sapiens. The sequence continues at coordinate 41,230,842 of NC_000002.12, forward strand.
GTCATACTATATATGGCCTTTATTGTGTTGAGGTATGTTTCTTCTATTCACAATTTGTTGAGACTTTTCATAATGAAGGGATGTTGAATTTTATTGAATGCTTTTCCAGCATCCATTGAAATAATCATGTAATTTTTGTCCTTGATTCTGCTGATGTGATAAATCACATTTATTGATTTGTGTATGTTAAACTGTTTTTGCATCCTTAGGATGACTCCCACTTGATCACGGTGGATAATCTCTTTAACGTATTTTTGAATTCTGTTTGCTAATATTCTGTTGAAAATTGTTTTAACTTATTTTCACCTGGAATATAGGCCTGTAGTTGTTATTTCGTTGAGTCCTTGCTAGTTTTGTAACAAAGGTAATGCCAGTCTCATAGAATTATTTCATAAGTATTCCCTCCTCTTCAATTTTTTGAAATAGTTCGAGTAGATTTCATATTAGTTCTTCTTTATATGTTTGGTAGAAATCAGCAGTGAATTAATCAGGTCCTGAGCTTTCTATTATGACTTCAATCTAATTACTCATTATTTGTCTATTCATATATTCTATTTCTTCATGGTTCAACCTTGGTATGCTGTATTGTTCAGATATTCATCCATTTCTTCTAGGTTTCCATTTTGCTGGCATATAGTTGTTCATAATAGTCTCTAATGATCCTTTGTGTTCCTATGCTATGAGTCGTAATATTTCCTTTTTCATCTCTTTTTTATGTGTTTTTGTTAGATAGTCTAGTCAAAGGTTTGTCAGTTTTGTTAATATTTTATTTTTCTAGTATTAATTTCATATATTTCTGCTCTGACCTTTATTATGTCTGTCTTTCTACCAATTTGGGGCTTGGTTTATTCTTGCTTTTTTAGTTCCTTGAGGTGCATCATTTAGTTAGTTATATGGAATCTATTTTTTTAATATAGATATTTATTGCTTTAAACCTCCCTCTTAGTACTACTTTTGCTGTATCTTATAGGTTCTGGTATGTTTTGTTTCCATTTTTATTTGTTTCAGGAAATATTTCAATTTTCTTCTTAATTTCTTTTTTGACCCACTTGTCATTGAGGAGCATGTTGTTTAATTTCCAGGTAGTTGTACAGTATCCAAAGTTCCTCTTTTGATTTATTTCTAGTTTTATTCCATTGTCATCAGAAAAAATACTTCATACGATTTCAATGTTTCTTGAATTTATGTGAGGATTGTTTTGTGGCCCCACATATAGATTAATCACCAGAATATATACAAACTCAATCAATTGAATAGCTTAAAAAAGAATAATCCAATTTAAGAATTGGCAAAATAACTGAATAGATATTTCTCAAAAGGAGACGTACTAATGGCAAACAGGTATATGAAAAAAATGTTCAGCATCACTAATCATCAAGAAATACAAATCAAAACCACAGTGAGATAGCATCTCAGCCCAGTTAGAACTGCTGTTATTAAAAAGACCACAAAAATGGATGCATAAAAAAGAGAACAGTTGTACACTGTTGATGAGAATATAAAGTAATACAGCCATATGGAAATCAGCACAGAGGTTCCTAAAGAAACTAAAAATAGAAACACCATATGATTCAGCTATACCACTGCTCGCTATATATCCAGAAAGAGGAAATCAGTATATGGAAGCAGTGTCTGCACTCCCATGATTATCACAGCACTATTCATAATAGCCAAGATTTGGAATCAACCTAAGTGTCCACCAACGGATGAATGAATAAAGAAATGTGGAATATATACAGAATAAAATATTCAATCATAAAAATGAAATCCTGTCATTTGCAGCGACATGAATGAAACTGAAAGTCATCATGTTAAGTAAATTAACCCAGGCACAGTAAAATAAATATTAAATGCTCTCACTTATATGTGGAAATTACAAAGTGAACCTCATGGAAGTAGAGAGTAGAATGGCAAGGGAGAGTAGATGGCAAGGGAAGGGGTTGGTGGGGAATAAAGAGAGTTGGTTGGGGGGTATAAAAATACAGTTAAATAGAAGGAATAAGTTCTAGTATTTGATACTACAGTAGGGAAATTATAGTTAACAATAAATTAGTGTGCATTCCAAAACAGCTAGGAGAGAAGAATTGTAATGTTTCCACCACAAAGAAAAAAAATCAACGTTCAATGTGTTAGAAATCTCAATTACCCTGACTTGATCATTAAACATGATACATATGTATCAAAATATCACATGTACCGCTAAAATATGTGCAACTATATTAATTACAAAACTATACAATAATAAAAATTAAAGAAAACACATGTAAAAGCTGAAAAAAGTTGTCATAAGGAGATACACATTAAACAAGTGTTAAAGGAAGTCTTTCAAGAAAAAGGAAACATATCAGATGGAAAGATGGATTTATACAAGGTTATAAAGAACTGCTCAGCAAAAGAAAATATCATCAGAGTTAACAGGCAACCTACAGAATGAGAGAAAATTTTTGCAATCTATCCATCTGACAAAGGTGTAATATCCAAAATCTACAAGGAACTTAAACAAATTTACAAGAAAAACAAACAACCCCAAATATTGAGAAAATCGGTGAAAACAAAAGCTGAATCTTTCAGAAGAAAGAAAATCAGTGAAACCAAAAGCTGAGTCTTTGAGAAGATCAATAATATCAATAAATCTCTAGTTAGACAGATCAATGACAGAGAGACAGAATTACTAATGTCAAAAATAAAAGAGGTAACATTACAGAGTCTCCATGTATTAAATGGCCGTTAATGGAGGAGTAACATCAGCAAAATGAAAAAGTTGTTAGTTCTAAGCTTCTGTTCCTCCACAGAAACATTTTTTTTTAAATAGCAAAAACAAACAGAAACAATGTTGTCAGACCTTGCAAAAACAGTCAAAAGTTTACAGCGACCAAGTAAACACAAAAGCAAGAAAAAGGAAATTTAAAAAATGATAGAAAAGTTTTGTGGCATTTTCAATACCCCCCTATTCTACACCCTTCCCAGCACAGTGCCCACTTTGCAGTGAACAGTCATTGTCCCCAGTGTGGGACTTTGGCTCCTGCTGAGCCAATTTTATTCACAAATGTTTGTCTGTTTTAACCATCTGAAGACTATCTGAAGAACTGATCCCAAGTGTTCTTTCTATTTCACTGAACACAGACTGCAGTCAGGTTGGAATAGCAGCAGCAGGCATTGTCCTAAAATACTATAAGGATAGCAACAACTTACAATCACCTAGAGGAAAATTATATTACAGTTGAGACATGCAATTGACTACCTAAATCCTGGAATGAAAAGCTGTAGAGAATTTCTCTGGAAAAGTAGGACAGACAAAAGCACCCACCTACACTGGAGTATTTAGGCAGACATTTGCACACCTAAAACAAGATGCACACTCAGGGAAGAACTGAGAAGATTGTAAACTTTCACCTCTTGCTAATATAAAGGCCCAGTACAAGCCCGGATAACTGTGGAAGAAGTGCCCCTGCAGAGAGCTAATCTACATAGACTGGAAGAGGTTTGGTTTTTGGTTTTTGTTTTGTAACTACTGGCACTCAAGGAGATCTCTGACAAAACACTGGCTAAACACAACATAAATAATCAGAAACTTCAGTGATCACACTCAATGAGGAACACAGGCTTTGCAAAAATTGTTTTCAAAGGTCACTAAACAAATGGACAGATACAGATTTTACCAATCAAAACCCAGCAAACTTCAGGGAAGGATGAGAATCTAATTTCTAGAGTTACACCATTATATTATTCAAATGTCCAGTTTTGTTTTGTCTTTTTAAACAAATAATCATGAGGCATACAGAAAAAAAAAGAACAACAACAACAAAAACACCACACACAGGAAAGTATGCCCATCCAAAACAACTGAATTAATTGATAGAAAACATCCTTGAGGAATTCTAGATAGTGTACATAGCAAAGACTCTAAAACAACTGTCTTAAATGTGTTTTAAAAGCTAAAGAAGAACTGGGCATGGTGGCTGACACCTTTAATCTCAGCACTTTGGAAGGCTGAGGTGGTTGAATCACCTCAGGAATTCAAGACCCACCTGGGCAATATGGCAAAACCCCATCTCTACAAAAGATACAAAAATTACCTCAGTGTGGTGGCATGTGCCTATAGTCCCAGCTACTTGGGAAGCTAAGGTGGGTGGATGGCTTGAGCCCAAAACATGGAGGTTGCAGTGAGCTGAGTTTGTGTCACTGCACTCCAGCCTGAGTGACAGAGCCAGACCCTATCTCAAATAAAAATAAAAATAAACTAAAGGAAATCGTGAACAAAGAATCTAAGAAATCAGGAAAGAATATATGAACAAAATTAGAATCTCAAGAAAAAATAGAAATTATAAAATGAACCAAACAAAAGTTCTGGAGCTAACAAACACAAAAACTAAATTTATTACCGAGAATCAAGAGCAAATTTGAACAGGGAGAAGACAGAATTCATGAACTTTGAATGAGACGATTGAAATTATCTAGTATGACAAACAGAAAGAAAAAGTAATTAAAGTAGAGAGAGCAAAATTACTTGTGGGTACCATCAAATGGATTGACAGTTACATTATGGAACTTCCAAAGGAAGAGAGGGAGAACAAGATGAAAAGAATAGTTGAAGGAAAAATGAGACAAACTTCCAAAATTTGACTACATCTTCATATCCAAAAATCTCAACAAACTCTACGTAGGAAAAACTCAAAGAGATCCACACCAAGACATGTTATAATTAAACTGTCAAAAGACAAAGAGAATGTTAAAAGCAGCAAGGGAAAACTACTCATCATGGGAAAGCAGCAAGGGAATAACTACTCATCATTAGGTCCTCACTACGATTAACTGCCAATTACTCAATGGAAATCATTGAGCCAGAAACAGTGGGATGATATACTTAAAATACTGAAAGAAAAATAACTCTAAGCCAAGAATACTTTATCCAGTAAAATCCAGTAAAAATTATACTTTAAAAATAAGAAATTAATAAATTTCCAAATAAACAAAAGCTAAGAGAATTTGTTATAAATAGACCGATCCTTACAAGAATCCTAGAGTCCTTCAGTTTGAAATGAAAGCTATTAGACAGTAACTCAAAGTCTTTTGCAAAAGTAACTAGGGTAAGTACAAAAGCCAATATTACTGAATTTTTGGTTTGAAACTCTACTTTTATTTCCACATGATTTAATAGACAAATGCATAAAAGTAATTATATATTTATGTTATTAAGTACAAAAATGTATTTTGCACAACAACATAAAATGAAGGGAAATAACTGTGTAGAACCAGAGTTTTATATGTTATTCTAATTAAATTTTTAAAATTTTAGAATATTAATCATAATCCCAATGGAACCTACAAGGAAAATAACTCAAAAACATACACAAGAAAATGCATTTTGGGAGGCCAAGGCAGGAGCATCACTTGAGGTCAGGAATACAAGACCAGCCTAGCCAACATGGCAAAACCTCATCTCTACTAAAAACACAAAAATTAGCCAGGCATGGTCGCCCGCTCCTGTAACCCTAGCTACTCAGGAGGCTGAGGCAGGAGAATCGCTTGAACCTGGGAGGCGGAGGTTGCAGGGAGCTGAGATCGCATCACTGCACTCCAGCCTGGGTGACACAGTGAGACTCCGTCTCAAAAAAAAGAAAGAAAATGGACAACCTGACTAAAAAATAGGTCAAAGGACTTAACAGACACCTCATTAAAGGAGATATACAGATGGCAAATATATGAAAAGATGAGAAGAGGCACTACTTCACACCTATTAAGATGGTGTATTAGTGCATGTTCATACTGCTATGAAGAAATACCTGAGACTAGATATTTTATAAAGAAAAAGAGGTTTAATGGACTCATATTTCCACATGGCTAGGGAGGCCTCACAGTCATGGCAATAGCCAAAGGAGGAGCAAGGGCCTGTCTTACATGGTGGCAGGCAACAGAGCATGTGCAGGGGAACTGCCCTTTATAAAACCATCAGATCTCAGTAAGACTTATTCACTATCACAAGAACAGCATGAGTGGGAAAAATCCGCCCCCATGATTCAACTACCTCCCACCAGGTCCCTCCCATGACACATGGGGATTGTGGGAGCTACAATTCAAGATGAGATTTGGGTGGGGACACAGCCAAACCATATCAGATGGCTATAATTTTTAAAATGGAATACAAGTATTAGTGAAGGTGTGGAGAAATTGAAATCTTCACACATGTAAAATGGTGTACCTGCTATGCAAAACAGTTTGGAAGTTCCTCAAAAAGTTAAACACGGAATTTCCATATGACTCATAAATTCTACTTTTAGATATACTATACCCCAAGAATTTAAGACAGGTACTCAAAGAGGTACCTGTTTGTGAATGCTTATTGCAGTATTACTTATAGTAACTGGAAGGTGGAAACAACCCAACTGTTCCTCAACAGATAAATGGTTAAACACCATGTCAAATGCTTTTCTGCATCTACTGAAATAATCATATGATTTTTATTCTTCGTTCTGTTAATGCAAATCATTACATTGATTAATTTATGTATGTTGAATCAACCTTGTATTTCAGGGATAAATCCTACTTGATCATGGTGTATGATTCTTTCAATGCAGTTTGCTAGCATTTTGTTGAGAAATCTTGCGTCTATGCTCATCAGGGAAATTGGCCTGTATTTTTCTTTTCTTCTGGTGTCCTTATCTGGCTTTGCTGTGAGGGTAATGCTAGCTTCATGAAACGAGTTCTCTCTTATTTAATCTCTTGGAAGTTTGAGAGGTATTGGTGTTAGTTCTTTAAATGCTTGGTATAATTCATCTATAAAGCCATCTGGTCTTGAGCTTTTCTTAGGATTTTTGTTTTAAGTTTAGTTTCCTTATTCATTATTGGTCTGCTTAGATTTTCTATTTCTTCATGATTTAGTCTTTGTAGGTTGTATGTTTCTGGGAATTTATTCATTTCTTCTAGGTTAGCCAATTTGTTGGTGTATGATTGTTCATGGTGGCCTTTTATAATCCTTTGCATTTCTATGTTATGAGCTATAATGTATCCTCTTTCATTTATTTGAGTCCTTTCCCTTATTTTCTTGGTGAATTTTTCTAAAAGTGTGTTGATTTCATTTGTCTTTTTAAAAACCAACTCAGTTTCATTGATCATTTCGACTGCCTTTCTAGTCTCTAGTTTATTCATTTCTGCTCAAAATCTTTATTATTTCCTTTGTTCTGCTAACTTTGGGTTTAGTTTGTTCTTCTTTTTCTAGTTCGTTGAGGTGTAAAGTTATGTATTTGTGTTTTTGAATTTTTTTTCTTAAGTAGGAATTTATTGCTATAAATTTTCCTTTTAGAACTGCTTTTACAGCATCTCATAAGTTTTGGTGTGTTGTGTTTCCATTTCCACTTGTGTAAAAATATTTTTTTAGGCCATGCACAGTAGCTCATGCCTGTAATCCCAGCACTTTGGGAGGCCGAGATGAGCACATCACTTGAGGTCAGGAGTTGGAAACCAGCCTGGCCAACGTGGCGAAATCCCGTCTCTACTAAAAATACAAAAATCAGCTGAGCATGGTGTCACATGCCAGTAATCCCAGCTACTCAGGAGGCTGAGGCAGGAGAATTGCTTGAACCTAGGAGATGGAGGTTGTAGTGAGCCAAGATTGCACCACTGCATTCAGACTCCGTCACAAAAATATATATATATTTCTAACATGTATCTCTCACTTTTGAATTCTCTTTTGACTTGCTTGTTTAGGACTGCATTGTTTAATTTCCACATATGTGTGAATTTTCCAAAATTCCTTCTGTTATTGATTTCCAGTTTCATGCTATTGTAGTGATAAAAGATAATTAATATTATTTCAATCTTCTGTAGTTGGTTAAGGTTTATTCTGTGGTCCAAAATATAGTATATCTTGGAGAATTTTCTATGTGCACTTGAGTAGAATGTGTAATCTGTTGCTGGTTGGTGGAAAGTTCTGTGTATGTCTGTTAGATACATTGGTCTCCAGTGGTATTCAGGTCCACTGTTTCCTCATTGATTCTGTCTGGATGATCTATTCATTGCTGAAAGTGGAGTACTGAAGTCCCACACTATTGTTGTATTGCTATCTATTTCTCCTTTTAGTTCTGTTAATATTTCTTTATATATTTAGGTACTTCAATGTTGAGTGGATATATGTTTACTATTGTTTTATTCTTTTGATGAATTGACCCTGTTATCATTATATAATGACATTATCTCTTATGACAGATTTGATTCAAAGTCTATTTTTTCTGACATAAATATTGCTTACCCATTCTCTCTTTGTTTTCATTTGCATGGAATATTTTTTATTTCTCTTCACTTGCAGTCAATATGTCTTCTTAAGGCTAAATTGAGTCCCCAGCAGGAATCATACTGTTTGATCTTGTTTTTTATTATCCATTCAGCCATGCTGTGTCCTTTGACTAGAGCATTTAATCCATTACATTTAAAGAAATTATTGATAGGTAAGAATTTACTATTGATATTATTTTCAATTGTTTTCTAATTGTTTTGTAGTTCCTTATTTCCTCTCTTTCTGATTTGCTTTGTGATTGGTTGATTTTCTGTAGTGGTATGCTTTTTTTTTTTTTCTTTAAGTTCTGGGATACATGTGCAGAACACGCAGGTTTGTTACATAGGTACACATGTGCCATGGTGGTTTGCTCCACCTATCAACCCGTCATCTAGGTTTTAAGCCCCGCATGCATTAGGTATTTGATTTCTTTTTCGTCATGTTTTGTGCACTGACTAGAGGTTTTTTGTGGTTACCATGAATCTTATATAAAAATCTTATCATTATAACATTCTATTTTAAAGTGATAACTTCAATCACATACAAAAATTATACTTTACTTTTCTCAAACAATAATTTTATGTGATTGACATCACACTTTATATCCTTTTATATTATGTCTACATTAACAAATTATTGTAGCTATAGTTATTTCTATTATATATGTCTTTTAAATTTAATAGTAGAGTTAAAAGAGATTAAATACAACCACTACTATATTAGTGCATTCTGAATTTGACTATATATCTATCTTTACCTGTGTATATCTGTGTATATATACTTTCATACATTTTCATGTTGCTGGTTTTTGTCTTTTTGTTTCAACTTGAAGAACCTCCTTTAGCATTTATTGTAAGGTAGGTCTTATGGTGATGAATTCCCACATTTTTTTTGTCTGGGAATGTCTTTATCTCTTTCTTACTTCTGAAGGACAGTTTTTCGTAATATTGTTTCATAGTTATTTTTTCTTTCAGCATTTTGAATATATAATCTCAGTGCCTCCTGGTCTATAAAATTTCCTCTGAGAAGTCCATTGATAGACTCATTGGGGTGCCCTCATATGTGAAGAGACTCTTTTACTAGTTTCAGGATTTCTCTTTGTCTTTAACTTTTGAGAATTTCATTATAATATGTCTTGGGATAATTTTGATTTTAACTTATTGTCATCCTTTGAGCTTCATAAGTCTGGATGTGCATATCTTTCACCTAATTTTGGAAGTTTTCAGTCATTTCTCTAAATAAGCTGCCTTTTTTTTTTTCTTTTTTTTTTAAAGACATACGTAACTCACTCTGTCACCCAGGCTGGAGTGCAGTGGCACATTGATAGTTCACTGCAACCTTGATCTCCTGGAGTCAAGAGATCATCCTACCTCAGCTTCCTGAATAGTGAGGACTACAGGTATGTATCATCACACCTGGCTGATTTTTTTTTTTTTTTTTTTTTTGGAAGATGGTGGTCTTAGTATGTTGCCCAGGCTGGTTTTAAATTCCTATCCTCAAGCAAACCATCTGCTTTGCCTTCCCAAAGCACTGGGATGACAGACATGAGCCACTGAGCCCAGCCCTCTAAATAAGCTTTCTGTCTCATTTTCCCTTTCTTCTCATTCTAGAAATCCTATAATTCATATATTTCTATGCTTGATGGTGTCCCATAGGTCCCTTATGCTTTCTTCAATCTTTTATTTTATTCCTCTAATTGGCTAATTTCAAATGACTAATCTTTGAGTTCCCTAATTCTGTTTTATAATTGAGTCTATCAAATTTTGCAGTTCTATCATTATGTTCTTCGGCTCCAGGATTTTTGTTTGCTTCCTTTTTATGGATTCCATTTCTTTGTTAAACTTCTCATTTTGTTCATGCATTGCTTTCCTAATTTTGTTTCGTTTTCAGTATGTGTTCTCTTGAATCTCATTGAGCTTCAAGATGATTTTTTTGTCAGGCAATTTGTAGATCTCTATTTCTATAGGATTGATTACTGGAGCCTTTCTAGTTTCATTTGGTTGTTTTATTGTCCATAAAGCCTCACATTATTGCCTGTGCAACTAAAGGAGCAAACACCTCTTTCAGTTTTTATAAGCTGGTTTTAGCATATAAAGACTTTCTCTTTTGGAGTCCTTGCAAAGACATGACTACCTTCAGGATCACAGATGAATGGGGTTGAAGCCAGGTCACCTAACTGCTGCCGGGTTTGCAGTGGAGCCTGTAGTTGGCAGATCTATTACCAAGTGCTTGAATGGGCATGGATTCTATCTAGTCTCTTGGTGCACTTAACTGCCTCCACAGCCTTGGTCAGTAGGGGTTGCACCTGGACCAGCGTCTTATTCAGTGTCTGCCAACAGAAAGACTGTTACCAAATATACAGATGCTCAGATGGGTATCACTTCCTCTGGGTTTCGGGACGGCTTCCTGCTGTGTCACTGGTTAAATACCTGGGCAGGCAATACTGGCCCATGACTGCAACTGAGCTAGAATGGAGTTCTAGCTGGGAAAGAACTGAGTTACAGGGTTCTGTCAATTTCCACAGCTGAGACTCATGTCTGTAGGGTTGCCCCTAGGGGCACAGATGGATGTCTCTGTTTTCAGGCTCAACTCTTAATTAAAAGTTACTTCCAAAATTCAAAAAATCCATTAAAAACCAGGCTTTCTGGGCTGCTTTCAGACTGCAGCTGACAAGGACTGGAGCCAGGTTCCATCTGAGGATCTGTTGTGAGACTGAGTTCAGCTGTTCTTCCAGTTGGGGGACAGATGTGTGTTTCTCTCCCTCAGTCCCTGGACAGGCACAACTGCTCTCAGACCAGAACTGAGTGAGGTTAGAACTGAGTTACAAGGCTGTTTCAGGGTGCATAGCAGGTACCGAGGCCAGCAGGCCTGCTATCCAAGGCATGAGTAGGCATGAATGCTGCTGGGTTCCTTGTCAGATGGTTCTGGCAATAGGACCCATGCCAAATGGAAATGAACTCAATCCACAAGGGAATGGAGATATTTCGGGGTTTAGAGGCGGGACCACGGTTGGCAAGTCTGCAACCTGGGAATACTTCTGCCCTCTCAAATCAACCTTCCTAGGTCTTGGGTAGCAACAAGTTTTAGTAACTTCCTGCCTGAATCCCAAAGCTCCCACAAAGGCACTTTTGTTCGTGAATGGCTGCAAAACCAGTGTTTCTATGGAAAGAATATGAGCCAGAAGAACTCCTATTCTACCATCTTGCTGATGTCACTCTAGAAATAATCATTACTGTGCTCACTAACACTGTTCCCTTTTCAGTTTCTTGACCTCCATAAATTTTCTGTCTCTTTTGAACTCTGTAAATAAAATTATTAATTCATTATATATATATCACTATTCTGTATTTAATAGCCTCCCATTTTCTGAGATTAATTTCTCACATTATTTTTATTGACCTGGAGACTATGAATTAACAAAATGTTCAAAATAAAAGTTTAAAGAAAATTAGCACGCATATTTTCTTTTTTTTCTTTATCTTTCTAGAGATGTGTAATTCCTACATTACACAAAGAGAATTTGTAGGAGAAACCAGGAAAGGAAAACAGGAAGGAAAAGACTTTTCTGATAAATACATGGTTTCATTTTCCTCTCCCTTCTTTGATGCAGAAGAGACCTTGATGTGTCCAAGAGTATATGAGGAGGTTAGATGTGCAGTCTCATTGACTGGAGAAGTGTCAGGAAGGAGGGGTTTATTTTTGCTTAGCTTTGCCCTGTATTCATTTTTCTTGTTGCATAAGCTTCTTATCGACATTAATTTTAGACTCCCAAGATGTTTTGCATAACATAGAATTATAATCTAGTGTCTAAAATAGTTGCAAACCATAGTTTCAAATACATTAGGAAGATGAATCATTTCCTTAACATGAACCACTGTGTTATTTGAAATGATTACTTACAAGGGAGAAGTGATACATAATTAAAGTATCATGTGACATACAAAAAAGAAATCAATGAAATTCAAACAATAAATGCTTCTTCTGTTTCTCGTGAAAGATAGATGAAATATGCAGCTCCTTCTCATATCCATTTTGAAATGAATGGGTCTTGAATACCATAACTATGTTATTTCAGTAGTAAGTAGAAATATTTCAGTATCAGAAGGGAAGAAATGAAATGAAATCAATCTACATCACTTTGGATTTTTAACTCCTCTAAAAACGTCTTACTGGGTATACATTATTGTTGTCAAATCCATTTTAATTTGAATTTTACTGTGTTTGTGTATGTGTATGCATGCACTTACTTTTGTTTTTAACTCTCTTAAATAGCTTCAAAATGAAAGTTTTGTAACCAAATTTGAGCAGCAAAGAAAAAGGAGAAAGGGATCAAATATCTCTAACATATTCTACTTCATACAGTTCTTGGGTTTCTTTTTGCCAAGCTTTCACTCATAGCAGCTACACCAGTACCATCATGAATACTAATGAAATGTAATAGAAGGCATCAGTCATGATCCATCCAGGCTAGGGACATAACCATATACAAAGTGATAGTTCTTCCAGCTTAATGAAGCCTTCTTAAAGAAAAACTGTTTACATTCAAATTTGGATAAGCTATGAGAGCTTGTAAGCTATGAGAGCTAGACTGTACAGTTTTTAGGGGCAGGCATTGGTACAGGGAAACTCTATTATCTTCTTTATTTTCCTTCCAAAATTGTGCCTCATCAAAGTCCTGGGCATAAAATGTTTACTGAACAAAGTTTCAAAGAAATGCCATAGGAAATAAAGCTTAAAACTGTAGAAATCGAAAGTAAAAGATTTTAAACAGATAGACAACAGTGTTTAGATAAGCAAATACTTTTTCTGCAATCCTTAAGGTTTGCTGCCAACCTATGGAGTTCAAATTAACATTTCTCTCAGAAGTAAGCCTCATCTTTCTACTATCTTTTTAGACTATGTTTCTACATTCTATATATTCCTCCTTTCCAATAACAAGTCTCAGGAGTGGTTTTGGAACTCACTGATTTTTGGATCAAGCTAATATAGGATGGCATTAATGTAAAGTAATGCTATTACTCAAATATCAGGGATACTATCGTGACAGCTATATCCCTGGAATCACTGAATAAGCTTACAAAACTTACTCTGCAAGAAGCTCCTGCTGAAACTTGAAAAGCATGTCAACAGAGGCTCCAAATGACAGAAAATTGCAATTTGTTATAACATTAAAAGAGAACTTATAACTTATTCTGACATATAATACTTCCCATAACCTGGTCAGGCCTCTTTTATTATTCAAGGTTTTCTAAAACCTCACTCTCATTATGAAGCTTTTCCAGACTCACTGCAAATAAAATTATCAGAGAAGAGACACATTCATATCTTACATGGCAATGTACTTGGCCACGAGTGCAAAGGTGCTTTGGCCTTGTATAAATTTAGTTACTAAATTTGTTCCACATGCATGTAAGTTTTTGTTTAATTTTATTTTGTTTTCCTTACCATATATGATTTAAATTATGAACTTCTACAGTCAAAATAATTTTAACTAAATTTTTATATCTATCTTTGGGGAGGGAGTACAAAGAAGTATACTAGTCAAATAATGTTGCAATATTGCTGCATGACAAATAGCCAGAAAATCTCAGTGGTACCCAACTATGAGGATCTTATCTCACTCAGTCCAAATGTCAGCTAGCATGGTGCCACCTCAGCATATGCATCTTCAGAGTTGCTGAATTTTGTTTCTCCTGGTTCATGCTGGACCTAAGGCTGAAGAAACAGTAGCTACCTGGGGTACCTTCTTCTTATAGAGGAGATATGAAGGTCCCAGAGAGTGCAAGCCAAACTGTGTGATGTCTCTTAAGATCTATGCTTAATATTTGATCCCTACTGCATTCCTTCTGCACGTCCTACTGTAAAATCATGTCCCTTGACCTAACACAATTTCTATGGATTAGAGACATGTACTATTGACATGGAATGGGAAGATCACAAGAGGTGAATATACCCTGATAAATATTCTAAATATACCATAGTGTACCCTCTTATTTAAAAATGTTCACATCTCTGGTCGGGTGAGGTGGCTCACATCTGTAATCCCAGCACTTTGGGAGGCCGACGCAGGCAGATCACAAGGTCAGGGGATCGAGACCACCTTGGCCAACATGGTGAAACCCCATCTTTACTAAAATACAAAAAATTAACCGGGTGTGGTGGTGGGTGCTTGTAATCCCAGCTACTTGGGAGGCTGAGGCAGGGGTATCACGTGAACCCAGGAGGGAGAGTTTGCAGTGAGCTGAGATCGCATCACTGCACTCCAGCCTAGCAACAGAGCAAGACTCCATTATTAATAATAATTAATTTATTAATTCATGTAAAACATAGAAAATGTGCAGCCATATAGGCTTATTTGCCTTCTTTTCCAGTCTTCTATGCTATAATTTTCCAGTCTTTTATGCTATAATTGTCATATGTATTACACATACATAAATTAAAATATATTATAATTTTTACATTAAAAAACTATATGTAAACACAATAAACAAAATAATCAAACAAAATAAAAAATTTGTCTTCTATGTTTACTCATATATCTTTCATTTCTAATCCTCCATATTTCTTCCTAAAATTCCATTTCTCCATCTGGTATCATTTTCCTTCAACCTGCAAGACTTTCTTGGTTTTGGCTTACCTGAAAATGGCTTTATTTTGCCTATGTTATTAAACAATGTTTCTGAATTTTGAAATTAACCCTTTATTTCTTGAATAATTAGAGATGGGGAAGTCTTCTGGTAGGGTAGTTTTGAGGGAATAAATCAGGAGATTGATGTCGGGCATACTGAATTCAAGATACTAAAACCTCCAAGAAGATACATAAACCTGGTGTTTGAGAAAACAGTCAGAATTGGACATAAAGAATTATGGGTTGTCAACATATATTACAGATAGTATTTAGAGCTATGAGATGATAGGACTCACATCTAGGACTATCATCAAGGGAGTGAGTGTAGTTAATGAAGTGAAGGAGGCTCTGAACTGTGTCTTAGAGCACTCCAACAATGTGAAGCTAGAGAAGAGGAGGAAACAGCAACAGAAAGTGAGGAGCAACTAATGAGTTAGGAGAAAACAAACCGTAGTGTATGGTTTTCTACAAGCTATATAAATAATGAAAATGAAGAAGGAAAAAACAATAATATCAAGGGCTACAGACTGGAAAGATTGGGACAGAAAATTAACCATTAGAATTAATTGAACGCAGGTCACCGGCAACCTTGAAGTTTTGGTGAACTGGTGGAAGTAAAAGTGTGATTGGAGTGGGTCATTAATTTTTAATAATGACAGTAGTGAATAGGTAAACATCCTATAGTGGTCACAAGAACATAATTGTGAATATAAATAACATTACATTCTTATTTATAACATTGTTTTATGATTTTCACATTATCCTGTTGGATTTATACCCAATAAGCAACCACTACTTTTTTGAGAACTGCCCTCTACCCTAGCCCCTGAAAATATATTATATGAAAATTCTCTCCCAGCTCTAATTGGTTTAACAAAATATATGACCCAACCCAACCCTATCACATCATCCTCCTATTAAATCTGAAATTGGTATTTGGAGACATTAATTAGGTTACATTGGTTATTTGGACTCGGGAGTAGTCCTTAGAACTACATAGAATTGCTAGGTAGGAAAGAAAAAGGAAACATGCACCGTAGAAAGAGAGAAAGCTCTTATTTCCTAATGTATTTCTAGTTCCCAATTTTAGTTCCTAATGAACTTCAACTGTACTTTCTTTTCTCAGGTTTGATGAAGTATTCTTGTCTCCTTATGGTATAACTCCCTCTCTCTCTCTTTCTCTCTCTCTGCCCCTCATCTTGATTTCATTATTTGCAACCTAAAAATGTTTAGCAAAGCCACATTAATAGAGAGATTTACAGTTTCCAATCCACTTTCACATGCAAATCTAATTTGATACTCACAAAATTCTCTGGTTTGAACTAGTAATTAAGTCACTCATTGAAAACAGTACATCTGGTAAGTGGTGATTCCAGAGTTCTACAGAAGGAGCAAGTTCTTGCCAACATATGCATTGCTTCCTGAGTACGTTGGTGGAAAGGCCCAAATATTCCAGGGTTCTATGTCTCCTAGAGGCACTGGTGACACATAGAAATGTGGCACTCTTATATCTTTAACATCATTCTATACAATTAGGTATATGTGCAATATATGCCTCAGTTTATAAATATTTCCATTTCTTTAAGCCTTTTGGCAGCTACCTACGCCTGCAGCCAGAATATACCAAGGAGTTATTTCATTACAGATTATTTTCCTTTCATATAAACAAATAGAGAGAAGGTCATAAATACTAAAAAGCATACAAAATAATAATTTATGATAAAAAATAAAACAGAGGATATTTATTTACAGAGTATCGTGACCAAAGGTGCTCCCCAACCAGCTGATCTTAATACACCAATAGACAACGAAAAGCAGTGTCTTCCCTGTATTAGTCAGAGCCTTGAACTTTAGTTCATTTTTCTTCCTAGTTTTTTTCCTCAGTGATCTCAGGTCAACAAGGAAGAGGGAAAAAGCAACTGTATCAACACCCTGGGGTCTTCTGACCTAAAGTCCAGTTTCGCACAGACGAGCCAGGGAAAACAATTGACATGTTCACATTCCCTTATTATCAATTTGATGAAATCCAATATAATCTATTTTAATCACTAAGATAAATGCCGTATGCATGTTTATCACCAACAGAGTGTTTCTTATTTTGAAGACAATCTCTATTTTTTGAAAAATTAAACAGTTGGAAGCCAGATCTGACAGAGAAAGTCACAAACCAACTTGATAATGGCAAAATGACTGTGGCATTTTCTAGTGGATTTTACAGTTCCTTAAAGTGCTAATTTCCTAGAGAATAGTAAGACTAGAGGAGTAAAGAAATCATGTAGCTAGGTTTTAATTAGGAAATAAGTGTTAGTTTACTTACTCTCCAACTAGCTTAATTCTAATTTATTGAAGCATAATCTTTCCTATTTGCAAAATAATAGCACAAATATTTGTAAAAAAAATTCTTTTTATGATTTAACCAAACTACTGGAAGCAACACCCTATAATGTTCAAAGATATAAGAAAAAAATAACCCATGCCAATAAACTAGACAGAAAAAGCAAAATTGTGAATACATGTATGCATGTATGTGTGTGTGCATGTGCACGCATGTGTGTGTGTAAATTCTAATTCAAGGAGGTACAACGCTTTGAACCTTCCTCAATTCTTGATACTTTAGAATAAATGAGTCTAAAATCATCACTATATTTTTTCACCCGAAGAAAGTATTTTAAATGGTATGTGTTACTATTAGGATTTATTTTACTAAAGACAAATATTTATAAGTAATACTGCAGTGTTTTTAGAATTTGACTTCACTTATTAGATTGTTTTGTTCCTGGGATACTCCCCCAATATGGTAGATACTACATTTAAACCAAAGTTTTGGTATTACTATATCATCACTTCTAATGAAATCATAGAACTTTAGAGGCAGAAGACATTTTGGAGAACATGTTGTCCAATTCATTCGTTATATAGGTAAAGATTCTATGATCTCTGCAGAGAGGTCATGTGACAACTCAAAGTTTTATAGATATTTAATGTTACTTCTAGATCTCCTACTTTTAGGTTCAACCTCCCTATGATTCCTTTTTATTTTCTGGGTGGTGTGCAGATACACTTGCGGCTCTTTTTATATCACTAAAATCACCTTTAAAAAAAACTAATGCAATAAACGAGGTATGTAATTTCAGAATGCTTAGGTACATTTTGGTTGAAATCAGGTCCTTAGAGAAACCTAGGAAAAGTGATGAAGGCAAAGGAACGCTTCTTAGGGATGAGTAGAGCAGAAAGTTGGCATTGCTGACTATTCAGCATCAATTCACTTCCTTCGGTTTACACAGCACTGATCTTTCCCTGAATACCATCCAACTCTCACTCCCAACCAATTTCATGTACTTTGTGTAGAGTTAATTCCAATACTGGCTTCAGGGATGAGCATGTTGCTGAATCTACTAGAATTTTATAGTCATCAGCCATGGCTCTTTACTACAAAAGAGTATGTGACACAATCGAGGCCAGAATAATAATTAGACATTTGTTTTGCTGGTTAGATTGGAGGCATGATCTCCTTTCCATTGAAACTACTAGAGTAAAGCCAATGGAGCAGAAGATAAAGAAAAAGAGATGAGGAAAATGAGACAAACTATAAGGTCAGAGCTAGAGTGTAGGAAAAAGAAAATAAACTCTATCTTCTCAATCTTTACTAATACAGGAAATTCAGAGTTGATCCTGAAATTCACACAGCTAGCAATAACAAAGTTGATGTACTTTTTCCAAAAGTATGAAATAAGGATATTATTCACCAATCAATGGTGCTTTGCTAGTTTAATGAAATCTGGGATGTTTATAATCACATCCATGAAATAGTTATTTCTTTCATACATTAAGTCTTATACAGTCTACTTCTTTTTACAGTTAGTTACACTGGTTACTGCTAGAAAGAGGGAGGGAGGGAAGGAGGGAGGGAAAGAAGGAAGGGAGGGAGGGAAAGAAGGATGGATGGATGGATGGATGGATGGATGGATGGATGGATGGATGGATGGAAGGAAGAGAGGGAGGGAGGGAGGGAGGGAGGAAGGGAGGGAGGGAGGGAGGGTCTATGAAGAGTTTGTTTTTCCCTGCAAATTCATATGTTAAAGTCCTAAATGCCAGTACCTTAAAATGTGGCCTTATTAGGAAGTAAGGTTTTTACAGAAGTAATCAAGTTAAAATGAAGTCATTCAAGAGGGTCCTAATCTGATAGAAGTGATATCCTTATAAGAAGAAAAAATATGGATATAGAGATACACATAGAGGGGAAGTCAACGAGAAGAGACAAGGGGGGAAGATGGCCAACTGCAATCCAAGGAGAGAGGCCTGGGAGAGATCCTTCCCTTATAGCCCTCACAAGGAACCACACTGCTGACATCTTGATTTTGGACTACCAGCCTCCTGAACTGTAAGACAATAAATTTCTGTTATTTAAGCCACTCTGCTTGTTTTGGTATGGTAGCCCTAGCAAACTAATACAAGAAAAAAAAAAAAAAAAAGAAAGAAAGATCATTTGAAAACTGCTGAGTAGTCTCCTGGGGTTGCTGTAACAAATTACCACTAATTAGGTGGCTAACAATAAAAATGTATTCTTTCACAGTACTAGAGGTCAGAAATGTTAGAGCAAGGTGTTAGCAGAGCCATATTCCCTCCAGACGCTCCTGGAGAGACTCCTTTCCTTTCCCTTTCTTGTTTCTGGTGCGTGTCAGCTTTCTTGGCTTACGGTCACATTGCTGTGAGCTCAGGCTCTGTCTCTACATCACCTTCTCCTTTGTGTTTGATTTTTCCTCATATAAGAACCCCTGTCACTGGATTTAGGGCCCACCCAGATAATCCAAGATTATCTCCTCACCTCAAAATCCTTAATTACATCTGCAAAGACCTCTTTTTGAAATAAAGTAAAATTCATAGCTTCTGGGGATTACGACATATATACCATGGGGACCCACCATTTAGCTCACTACTGGTGCTGTTTTTTAAGTGAAGATTTAAAAATAAAAGGCAGATTAAAATTATTTACAACTGAATTATTTTAATGTGTTCCAATGGTTCTGTGATGAGCATTTACTCAAACAAGTGTAGGTGACAAAGTTTGAGCATCTTGATATATTTGTTTTCTATCTCAAAATGTTCTGACCCATTATGAAATCCCCAGATATTATCTCCCAATATTATCTCCCTTGCCAAAAGAACTCTTCAACCAATTAAAGGAAATTTCTTTTCTTCTTTAAGTTCCAACTTTTATGTTAGATATGGGGACATATGTGTAGGTTTGTTACATTGGTATATTGCACTCAGGTAGTGAGCATAGTACCCAATAGGTAATTTTGCAACCCATGTTTTCCCCCAGTTCTTCTCAGCTTTCGTAATCCACAGTGCCTATAGCTTCCATGTTTATGTCCATGTCTGCTCAATGTTCACCTCCCACTTATAAGTGAAAACATATATTATTTGGTTTTCTATTCCTACTTAATTCACTTAGGATTATGACCTCCAGCTTCATTCATATTGCTGCAAAGGACATGATTTTATTCCTCTTTATAGCTGCATAGTATTCCATAGTGTATATGTACCACATTTTTTTTATCCATTCCACCATGATGGGCACCTAAGTTGATCCCATCTCTTTGCTACTGTGGATAGTGTGGTGATGAACATACCCACACATGTGTCTTTTTGGTATAACGACATCTTTTTCTTTATGTATGTAGTCAGTAATGGGATTATTGGGTGGATGTTAGCTCTGTTTTAAGTTCTTTGAGAAATTCCCAAACTGCTTTTCACAGTGGCTGAACTAGTTTACATTCCCACCAATGGTGTATTAAGCATCAAAGGAAATTTCTGACTGTTAATACATTTTGCAGTCATGTAAGTATGGGCATGTTCATCTGTGGGTTGACTCTGTGGAATTATAGACACATTACTTACAGCCTTGTCCTGATTTCTATGACAGAAAAATATAATGACCTCCACTTAACTTTAAGAGTTGTCATTTGAAATATATTTCATTAAATTATAAAAGAAAGCATTAATTAATAGAATATTTAAAATTGTCTTTAAGTGAATTAATAACAACAAACCTCAGGCAAGTTTGTAAATTAATCTAATTATGACAAATTTTGTCTATGAATAGATTATTATAATTTTCCCTGTGGTAGCCATGTCCCTTTTTTGTGAGTGTAAACAAACTTGCGAAATACACAAAATGACAGTAGCTTGCATTGATACCAGAGACTCACATATTTTCAAAGTTTAGGATACGTAGACAACTGATTTGTCCACTGGACAAAATTTATTCCAAATATCAGCCAGACTGTATGTTCCCTCCATTTTTAACTAAATGTACTACTTGTTTAACTGACATGTTTTTGCACTTTAGTAAGAAAGATAATGCTAACACTTTAAAAATACTGTCTAGTTTATATTCTCCATTATACATATTATAAATGAATATGCTGAGTGTTCATGAAATGAAATGCTCAGGGTCCACATAATTGGCAAGTACCAATTTACTTGGCCTGGGAGATCTACGGACTGCAAGAGGAATCTGTGAATGGTATTTATAATATGTGAATGGGGTGTATTTTTTAGGGTTCTATAGTTCACCTAAAATTATTTTTAAAATGTGTTTTAAAACGAATATGTGAATTTTCCAAACGCAGATATTCCTGGCCAGGGCTTTTGTTGGATTTGTAACGAGTTTGTGATTCAAAAAATTCCCCAAAACTCCAGCCTAAGCTTCCTGTCTACTAGAGTAATGCACTGAAAACATTAATCTGTTCTTTATACAAAACTAAACAAGACCCTTTAGAAAGAGAATATTTGTTCATATATCTTGGAAGATTGCTATTTGCAAATTTTCATGCTTGGTCATGAATCACCTTTAAAATTTGTACTTAGGCAAAGCAATCACCAATCAAAATGCAAGCAGAAAGGCAAGGCTAAAAAGTATGACTCTCAAGCCATTTCAATTCACTTGAAGGTCATCAGTTATATGAAATATAAACCTCCCTCTCTGGGACAAAATATTTAACCAACTGTTTGAGTAAGATATGCCTTTGTTCCTGCTGGTTCCGTGAGTAAATAACACCAGCCCACATCTGTATGCATTTGGTCTTTTCTAAAATATTTGTGTGCCATTGTGTGGACACATTCTTACTAGACTGCTTTGGGTGTCACGATTCACAATTTGATGTGGAACTCAGAGCCAAAAGAGCCCTACGTGATTATTTTAAATGAAAAAATTACATTTAATGCAAATGCCATTCTTTATTATATTTTCTGAGTTCTAGGTATAAGTCCCTAGATGAAACAGAACTAAAGGCAGCTATAAAATATCTACAGCTCTTTTAATTCGTTAGGAAATTGTCTAGAAACAAAACTCAATTTCTTTTTTTTTCTTTTCTTTTCTTTTTTTTTTTTTTTTTTTAGATGGAGTCTTGCTCTGTTGCCCAGGCTGGAGCACAGTGGCACAATCCCGGCTCATTGCAAGCTCTACCTCCTGGGTTCACACCATTCTCCTGCCTCAGCCTCCCGAGTAGCTCGGACTACAGGCGCCCACCACCACGCCTGGCTAATTTTTTGTATTTTTAGTAGAGACGGGGTTTCACCATGTTAGCCAGGATGGTCTCGATCTCCTGACCTCATGATCCGCCCGCCTTGGCCTCTCAAAGTGCTGGGATTACAGACGTGAGCCACTGCGCCCGGCCACAAAATTCAATTTCTAAGCATTTATACCTCAAAATCAAATTAGTCTCCTCTCATTTGTACTTTTAAAGTATTAACAGGAATTTTATTCACATAGTTCTGTTAGAAGTTGCCAGAATCACTACTAACTACTAGATTTCTGGAGGCTAGTCATTTGATTGCTTCGGGAGATATGGAATTACCTAACACTGGAAAAGAAAGAAAATGAAGATTATATCAAAACTGCAGCATGGAACTCTATCAGAATTTTATAGCAGAAATGAAAGGAAGTTTGTCCCAACACCCTTCCAGCAGAAGACATATGATAAGTTAGATTCATCCTCTTTACCAGGGACCGGGGTATATAAATGAAAAGAAAACAGAGTAGTCATAAGTCAACAGACCTGTCAACAAATCTGTGAGAATTACCTATGACTGCATAAAAGGGAAAAAAAGTTAAAATCAAATTAAGTCAAATGTGATGGATACAAACTAAGGAACAGAAGTTAGAAGGAATGAACTGTATATGTAGATGCAATATAAGTATATCACAGAAAAAAAAATAGTGATGGATGAAAATATATTTAAAGATACCTACCTACGGAAACATTTATTGAAGTGGCAACCTATGAAGCAAAAGAAAATGGTGGAGACTGAGAATAAAAGGAAAAAGACAATAGCTAGGTGCAAGCTAGACAGATGACACATAGACAACAATCAGGGAGAGACTTTTTTTAAAAAGCACATTGGCAATGTCTCAAAACCAGAAATATATGGATAACCTTCTACGTGAGCTCTGCAAAGAATGGTAACATTCTAATACAAAAGGAATGGAACTGCCAAGGGAGACACAAAGAAGAAGGGAGGTAAAGAATAAATTCTGTAATTCTTTTTTGCTTCTAAGGTCACTTACAAGGGCCATGGGAGGAACCTAAAATAGAGGTAAAATGATATATTCAGCAACTGTGAAGTAAAAACATTGCTTTTAGTAAATGATCTGTTATGAGAGATGACACATTGAGTGAGTTAATTACAAAAACTCCTTAATACTTTGCATGTATTAGATAAGATATATATATAGAGAGAGACAGAGAGAAGAAAGTGGAGCCCCAATTATGAAATAAATTCAGATAAGCCTGAAAGACATATTTACAGCAATGTAACTCCCTACAATCAAGAATATCTTCAAGAGCTCCAGATTATTGCAAACTAAGTATCTGAACAAAACTGGGGCCTGGCAAACTGAATAGAGATACAATTTCAACCCCAGCTCCTCAGGAATAAAAATAGACACAAAATAGACTGACTCTTAGTTCAAGCAAACAAGTAAGAAAATGCTTTCTGATTAATTTATTGTCTTGAGGATTGTGATCAAATCAGTTAAAATTAAACCTACATAATATAAGTTTAAGATGTACACACCCCTACAACCATCTGATCTTTGACAAAGTTGACGAAAATAAATAATGAGGAAAGAACTCCCTATTCAATAAATGATGCTGGGATAACTGGCTATCCCTATGTAGAAAAATTAAATGGGACCTCCTGTCTTTCACCATACACACACACACACACACAAAAAAAACCTCAAGATGGATTAGAGATTAAATACAAGGCCTTAAACTATACAAATCCTAGGGGAAAAAAAAAACAGGAATTACTCTTTGTGACATCAGCATTGGCAAAGAATTGGTGGCTAAGTTCTCAAAAGCAACTGCAACAAAAGCAAAAATTGACAAGTGGGACCTAATTAAAGAGCTTCTGCACAGGAAAAGAAACTATCAACAGAGTAAACAGACGACCTACCAAATGTCAGAAAATATCCCAAACTATGCATCCGACAAAGGTCTAAAATCCAGAATCTATAAGGAGCTTAAACAAATCAACAATCAAAACCCAAATAACTCCACTAAAAATAAGCAAAGAACATAAACACACATTTCTCAAAAGAAGGCATACATGTGGCCAACAAACATATGAACAAATGCCAAATGCTCATCATCACTAATCATCAGAAAAATGCAAATCAAAGCCACAATGAGATACCGTCTCACACCAGTCAGAATGGCTATTATTAAAAAGTCAAAAAATAACAGATTCTGGCAAGGCTGCAGAGAAAGAGGAATGTTTCTACACTGCTGGTGAGAATGTAAAGTAGTTCAGCCACTGTGGGAAACAGTTTCGAGATTTCTCAAATAACTTAAAATAGAACTACCACATGACCCAGCAATCTTATTACTGGATATATACCCAAAGGAAAATAAAGCATTCTACAAAAAAGACACACACAGCCTAATATTCATCACAGCGCTATTCACAATAGTGCTATTCACAATAGGAAAGACATGGAATCAATCTAGATACCCATCAACAGTGAATTGGATAAAGAAAATGTGGTACATATACACCATGGAATACTATGCAGCCATAAAAAGAATGAAATCATATCCTTTGAAGCAACATGGATAGAGCTGGAGGCCATAATCCTAAGGGAATTAACACAGGAACAGAAAACTGAATACTGCATGTTCTTACTTATAAGTAGGAGTTAAACGTTAAGCACACACGGACATAGATGGGAATAACAGACACTGGGGGCTAGTACAGGAGGAAGGGAGGGAGTAGGGGGAAAGGGCTGAAAAACTACCTATTGGGTGCTATGATCACTACCTGGGTGACAGGATCATCCATACCCAATATCTCAGCATCATGTAATATTCCTATGTAACAAAACTGCACATGTACCCCCTGACTCTAAAATAAAAGTCAAAATTATTTAAATAAATAAACAAAACTCAACTCTTTTTTCAATTTAATTCCCATCCTGTCATTGGAAAAATGTGGTTAACAATTTTTCAGAAGGGTTCTATGGAGCAGAGAATATTTACAATTATTTTAGGGAAAAGGACAACTCTCTGCCTAAATACAGCTGTTCTAGAGTATAACATATTATTAAGAACTATTTTAGGAGTAGAAGAAAAGACCCTTGCAGTGCCTGCTGCTAACTGGTATGCATTCCAAGTTAATTAAGTGGAGAAGCAGATCTACCAGATTTATGGAAATATCCCAGGGATAAACCATAATAACAACATGCACACGCACAAACACAGAGCCTGATAAAACTCTTCCATGGTTCAGTTGATAACGGAGGCATTCAGAATGCCCAAGTTAATATAAGACAGTAGCCTAAATCTTTAAAAATAAAATGGAAAGAAAGAAAGTGAAAGGGAAAGTACAGATTCTGATGACAGAGTTGGGAAGTAAAGCAGGAATTTAAAATATGAATTTGCATTGATAGCAGGGATAAGAATGAAGTGACACAGAAAGTATTGAACCTACTCATCAGATCTACCATTTGACTTTTGTGCTGGGCACTTTCGTTTTCTACTCACCAGAGATAAAGAAATTACCAATTATGGCAGACAGAATTCTAAAAGTGAGCCCCCAAGATTTCCTGCCCTAATCTCCAGGAAATATGCTGAGATGCCTCACCGTGAGTATGTCACTTTACACAGCCAAGGATATAATTAAGTTACTAATCAGTTGACCTGAAAATAGGGAAATTACATGGATTATTACATGTAATATGTAAATTACATATATTATACAAATATAATCACATGAGTCCTTTAAATTCAGACTTTTTTCTGGCTGGTGGCATAAAATTAAGTCAGAGAGATTCGAAATACAAGCAGGATTTGACAAGCTATTGATGCCTGGAAGACGGACGGGTCCCCATGGCAAGAAATACAGGTAGCCTCTAGAAACTGAGAGCACCTACAACTGACAGCCAGCAAGCAAATGGGAACCTCTGTCTTACCACCCCAAAGAAATTAATTCTTCCAACAACCAGAAGGAGCTGAGAAGGGAATTCTTTCTCAGAGCCTCTGAATAAAAACTCAGGCTGGTTTATACCTTTATTTCAGCCTTATGATTCCCTGAGCATAGACCCAGCCAAGCCCATCTGTACTTCTGAACCTTAGAACTATGAGCTAATAATTCGATTTTGTTTTAAGTCATTAAGTTTGTGGTACTTTTAAAATGCAGCAATAGAAAACTAGTACACCATGATTATATCACCGCAGTCTTACTGTGGAATTTTTTCAGGCAATATAGTAGCATACATCTGTGTCTCATGAGTAAAAGGAGAGTTACATATCAAATGAATAATTTTAGTTATCATTTTGAGTACAAAGGACACGATGGTCCCGGCCAGTTCAGTGGTGGAACTGTTAAATAATGCCTTATAGTATTCTTATGAGAATATAGTATTCTTATGAAAAACAATGAAAACTGACCAGTTTTCAATGACTATCAATGTAAAAGTCCCTCAAAGTGGCTAAATTATATATTTCTTCCATTGAATTTTGCTAAAGATAACCATTTTGATGCCAGTTAATTTTTAAATTAATTCAAAAATAATTAAAAATATTTATTAGATATATCAATAAGTTTCATCAAAAGCAGCATAGTGTGGTAGGAAGCACATTTGAGTATAAGTAGATACCAGTTTTGGTGCTAATTATGTAAGTAAGCAACTTATGTGATCTTAGAGAAGGCATCTAACATTTTGACCTCAGTTTTCTTATTTCTATAGTAAGTGTAAACTAAATTTGCTTCTCAGGTACCTATGAGTTAAATTTTAATATTTATATTAGAAAAAAACAGGCTAACAGGTAAGATATATTATTGAAAACAAGAAAATATCAGAAAAATTAAATATATTACTGTAGAAGACTTAACATGTATATTTGAGCAACTTTTCAAAATAAAACACTGTAATAACTGTTTTGAGAAAATCAGATCATTAAGAAAGCTTAGTGACAACATTTAAAATATGATTTTATAGAATCATTGGAACTCCTTGCACATTTTCAATTTCAGGTGAAATATTTATGGGAAACAATAAGAATGTAGGAACATGAGGTAGAGTGAAAGGAAGGAAAAGAATCAAAGGGGGAAATAAGACCCTACTTTGAGATTATCTAAGATCTCAAATCAGAGAAGACCAGTTCAGAAGGGGAACGAGAAGAAAATCCTAGGGGAGGGATGAGAAAGAATTTAGGATAAAACACTGAATTAAAAGCAGGAAGGATGAGAATATTTTCTATACAAGAGAATGAGATATCAGAAAATAGGAAAGGCTTGTTGGGATATAAATAATAGTCTAGATTACCATCCTCAGGAAAGGATTTTCCAGACTTCAATGGGCAATGAGAACCTTATCTTTTATAACTCTATCTCTCCTAGGCCAACCATCTAGAAAATATTGACATCGACAGATTTCCTTGAGCAAATAACAACTACCATAGATCTGTCAACCTGGTGCTAGGATTCAGACAAAAAAAATTTAAAAATGAAGTGCTTCTGAGGGAGCTTCCTGGAAAGAATGAATTTCTCAGAAGAATAAATGTCAATCACCTGCTATTGGCAGGGTCTGCCTATTTTGGAGAGCACTCTGACGTCTGTCAAAAGTTCTGACATTAACCTCTCTTTTTCCAATGGGAGGAAGAATATCTGTTGCCCTGCCACTCCTGAAAGTCCTGCCTCAATGACAGGGGTCATAAGAAGGAGGCTGCTGCTTCATACAAACATCTTTTACCAATAAGAACCCCAAAGAAAGAAAAGGGTTGACAGACGACAGCCTCTGATCCTGATTTAGAGAAGAGCAGAGTATACATTTCTAGGGGATACAATTTGCTAATTTCCTCCTGCTGGACATTACTGATTAACATGATAGAAGAAATAGCCTCAAAAAAATGTGATATGTTGTGTTCATACCTATTACACAGATTAGTCAACACAGCAGCATGTAGAAAGGTAATAAAGAAACATACATTATTAACATTTCTACATTGTAAAAAAAAATTTCTGCAAGTCTGGAATTTCCCAGTAACCTCAGGAAATTTAATGGTTTTTTTTAACAGGATTAAGTGCAGACACGGCATTCACCTAAATATAAAATTTAGATTTAACAACTGTTCAAAAGTGGGGTCACAGAAAGTAAATGCTATCCATTTTGTAATAATATGACAAAAATTTTTCAGAAGAAGGGGGAGGCAAATAAGGATAAGAATATAGTAAGAACATTAATTGTATTTCCTTAGGATGGCATCAATAGATGAAGTTTAATGCAGATACATTAATAAACAGGATTTAAAGTTTATTATGTAAGGTCATAAAGAGAACTTCAAGAAGGACTAAAAATGCGAAGACAACAATGAAATCTGGAAGATAGAAAGATGGAATAAAATATGTGTGTTCCTTACTTCATTTTTTAAAGGAATGTATAAGTACATGCAAAATGTTTATATGATACTTTCTACTGTTTTTTAACCCCTTCCTTAAAAATAAAATACTGATATGACTCTTTATAAAAGGCTAAGAAATAAGTATTACATTGTTTATATACAATTTTGTCAATACTGTTCCTAAGAATAAGATTAATTTTGAAGAAAGACTTTGAGGAAAGATGACATAAAATTGACTCTAAACAACCTTCTTGCACCCTGACTGAACTATTTGAAGAGAAGGAAAATAAAGAGGAAAAAAAGTCTTTTAACAGTCCTAAAAACAAGGGTTGATGCTAGAAGCATACCACAAACTTAAAAACAAGAAAAATATAAATGAGGAGATGCAATGATGTGGGAGAAGGCAAGAATTCAGGGAAAACTTACTGACGTCCCGGGAGACATGTCCACTGTGGTCATGAGGGAGCCATTGGAGGGCCCCAACTACCACAATTGAGTTCGCCTTCCCATAGCAAGCGGACCATATTCTAAATTTACAATAGTAGGGATAGAAAAATGGCTGTGACCATTTCTATCTACAGGACAACTTATAATGAGGAGTACAGGATTACTCTGAGTTTGGGAAACCTCTCTGTGAAAAATGTCGCTAAGATAGTTCTAGAAATTAAATATAAACTACCTAATGGCCTTGCCTCTTGTTAGAAGCCCTATGGAAACAAAATTTGGTTTTTTACTGGTGTGTGTGGAGGGAATTAAAGATGCAAGCTTAATTGGATCAGTTATATTAGTTTTAAATATTTGCCTACACGTGATAAAACGCTACTCCTTTGTTCCAACATAAAGTCAGAAAACAGGTACTTCATGGTCAGTGATGCTCTCTGAGTAGGTGATGAAGCTCCTTGCTGCTCTGCCAAACTGAGTGCATGGTTTTCATCCTCATGATCTAAGATGGTAGATCTGCTTCCAGTTTCCCTATATATATTCCAACTAAGAAGGAGGAAATGTACACGAACAAAGGGAAAGTCATATCTCCTAAAACTAAGAAAAAAAAAATCTTAGAAAACCCCAGAATTCTCGGTTTATTTCCTTTTGGCTGTAGTGATAAGGAACCCTGAGACATGGCATTTCTCTTTTTTTTTTTTTTTTTTTTTTGGTAGGGGAGGGGGAGAGCATGGGAAAGGGGATATATTCCACCCTGATCGACAACTTAAAATCAATATTGTTAGTAAATAAGAGCTGGAGGAAAAGATATTTGATAGAAAAATTAGAACTATCTTCTTCAGGCTATCTCTTGCTATACCACAATCAATCATTTACATACTTCCTTTCATTCCCATTCACTCCTTCCCAAGCTAGTCTCATCCAGTGACTCTCTCCAGTCAAAGGTTAGTGATTACTGAAGCTCTGTCAGGTCCAGGAATAGCTTCTTAAAGGTCTGAAGACCTGTCAATTTAAGCCTTAAAGCTTGTCTGACACCAACACTATTGTCGATGTTATACAATATATAATAGTTTAGAAAAAGCAGGAAATTACAGTTTTAAAAATAATTCCCATTCAGAAAGGAAGGAATAGGGAATAAACAGCATTGGCTAACTTCTAGAATATATCGAATCCTGAGGGATCAGATGGGGAAGAACTTTCTAATCTGAAAGTAGAAGATGTTCTTGGGGAATGAAGCTGGCAGTTCCTGGTTCTGCTGAGGGGAAAGATACCTCTTGCCATCTCTGCTATGAACATAGTGGCATCGTGGAACATGCCGACTTTCATAGCCCACTTCCCCTTGGTGTTGGTTGGATGTCTCAGGAAATACCCCAAGATTTGAAGAGTCACAAGCTATTTCAGGCAAGGTCAGGGGTTTCTTCGGCAAAAGAATGGGCTTCTGATGATGTTGTGGTTGAAAACATAGACTTTTGAAGCTGGAGTTACCATATATCAAATCATGGCTCTGCTTCTTACTCTCTGTAATCTCACTTTATCTCTTACAAAATGAGAGCAACAATAGTAGCCTCCTAAACAGTCAAAGGATTAAATTAATTAATACATGACAAGCAGTCACAACAGTGCCTGAATTAGAGTGCTATCTAAACTTTAGCTGTTATTTTTATTCTAGTTACATTACAACTATCATTATTATTGTATTATGGGTAAATAATCACAGAAAATGTTCTGTGACATAGTCTTTAAGATATTTGCCTTTTACATGTTGGTTTAATTTTTTCTGTTCGGCCCTTTGTCCTTTCAGCACAATGCCATTGCCTTACGTTAATTTGAAACAACAGGCTGAATGAGGAAAATCTTATGGCAGGCTCACAGTAATTGAATGACAAAATATGTTTAGTGAAATGTACTTAAGAAAGACTTGGCACCACTATCTCACCTCCTACCTGTATTTCTACTTTGTAAATGCTGATCACAGAATTTAAAAAGGAGTTCTTTCTGAGCTTTCTAAGAATCCAAATCATGTAACTTTTGATCAATTTAAATGTCAGGTGAAACATGAAAGCATCTCCTTCCACAATGCAGAAGTTCTTTCTATGTCTGCTTGACAATCCAATAGTTCTATTCTGACTTTATCCCTTTCTTCCAGAACTTTGCTCATTATATCAAGAAATAACCAGAATTTTATCACATTTTGGTTTTTTCCCACCATTCACCCCAAAAGCCAAAATCTCTATATACACATTAAATATGCCAAACATTACATCATTAAATGTTTTGATGCCATACAATAAGTTATTCATTTTCCAGCTTACAATTTCAAACATATGGAAATTCAGGAAAATAATCTCATCTAGGGCCAAAAAATAGGCAATGGAAGAAAAGCAGATAACAAAATAATTGGAGAAGCCAGGATAACAAGTGGATCATATACAAAGATGTTGACATTACCCAGGACTATGGATCTCTTGAAAATTACTGGACCCCATATACAAAGAAAAGGAATGTTGAAGTCTATAACCTTTACAGAGTGTCACATAGCAACAGGAGTGACCCATTCAATCATTAATTCAAATTTCTACTTCTATAATTCTTTTTTTAGTAGTCATATGATAGAATACGTCTTCCCAGGATTGGTATTTATTTGGCCTTCGTTACTGATCATAATTTTCTTCTTTCTCTTCTTTCTCTCCTTCCTTTCCTCCTTCCTTTATTCATTTTCTTCCTTGTTTCCTTCATGTCCTCCCTTTCAGTCTCCCACTCTTTTCTTCTATCTTTGTGTTTTGCTTTTTCTCTATTTTGTTAGGGGGCATCAGGTAGAAGGACTCAAAATAAATTAATATCCATAAGCTCGTTCTGAGCAATCCTTACTTCTTCTTCTTCTTCTTCTCAATTTCCCAGGTGCCTTGGTCAAACCAAAGGTAAAAATTTCTCAGATCTTATATTTCCCAGATGCGACACTTGTTTATATTTGAAAATATTCTGTTTATTTTATACAGACATTTGTTTGATTCTTTTGCAAATGCCTCTGACAGGATTTAAAAGGAAATCTAAAATACAGCAAAGAAAACATTAAACAAACATAGAAAAATGTGGGGAAAGAAACACAATAAATGAATATATCATAGATCCAGAAAGTAAGATGAATTTACTGCGTTAATCCATACCACAGTTATTTATAGATTACCTACAGTGGAGATGGAGTAGAAAACAAACCAGAAAAAATATCTTTCTTTCATGGAATGTACTTTATGGCAGGGGTAATCTGATCATATAAGGTAGTTATAAGTATAATGAATAAAGCCAAATAATATAAAAAATGACAAAGGAAGGCATCATGTTAGACGGAGTTCTCAAATAAGTCTCTTCTGTTGTAAAGTCATTTGAGATGAGACCTGAATGAAGTGAGAAGAGGTCACCTTTTGGGGAAACAGTGTTCCACGCAGAAGGAGACACATTTGGAAAAGGGCCTGGGATGAGGCCACATTTTGTGTGTTTCCATGGACAGCAAGAAAGCTAGAGTGAATGTAGCACAGTAAACATGGCATAAGATGAAATGAGAGAAAAAGGCAAGGTCTAATTCACCTTGTAGGCCACCATGAAGATGTTCAGTTTTGCTGCGAGAACGATAGGAAGCCAAAAAGGTTTGAAACATGGGAAAGACAGGATGTTACTTAAGGTTTTCAAAGTTCATTTTGGATACTGTGTGAAAAAAAATAACAGTAGAGGAAGGGTGAATTTGAAATTCATAGCAGCCAATTTAAGAAAGGAAAGCCAAACCAATTTTGTTTTTAATATTGACAAAAAAGATAAAGATAGACTAAAAGCTCAAGAGAAAGATGGTTTCCTGAGCCTTCAAGCAGACAAGCATGTTTTAGAGGTTCTTATTATGTAAGAACTGTATCTTAAAACACAGCTGTATCATTATTTTCTAAATGTCTCTGTGAATTCATTTTGTCTAGGCCTTGAGCTGTTTAGAAGACAGAATATTAAAACTTTTTATCTCTCACCACCTCCACCCCTCACCAATTGTTTGGGTTATTTTCACTTTACCAAAATGTTGGAGAGATACATGGATTTTTACTGAAGATTTTCCAGGGGAGACAGAAGATTTTAGATTATATGCAACATAGCACTAAATCTCATAAATATACATTTAACAAATCTTCCCAGATGCACCAGCACTTAGAATGCCCTCCTTCTATACCATTCCTGCAAAAAATCTAACATCATTGCCTAATGCTTTGAATTTCCAACAAATTTTATTATGCAGAACAAGTGAACTTGATTCCAGTGCCCTCAAATTGGATAGCCTCTTATGAGCACCTAGTCAGCAAAAGAACTTTCAGATACCAAAGTGCACTCTCTTTAAAAAGTAGTATAGTGATTTAAAGCATGTATTCCTGATTTAGATTTCATGGTTCAAATGAAAGATTTCCTCTTTACATGCTCTGTGCATTACAATCCCTCTCTATGTCTTAATTTCTTCACTTTTAAAATGGATATTGAGATAATGGATATAATCTTAAAAGTGTAACAAAATATAATACATGCAAAGTACTTGACAGAGCAGCTGGCATATGCTAATGTAATGAATACATATTAGTTATATTTATTACTATTTTTTAACATTTAGTTCATTTAGTTTCTTGTAAATAAGTATAATTTATTTATATTTATAAAATTGAGAAGTTTCTCTGAAAATGCCAGTGCAAAAGTTCCTCTTATCATGAAAATTTTTATTTTTTGATACTTTGTTAAGATTAGAAGATGTATCAACCTTCAGGATCAGTAGAAGACTCAATGCTGTTCTGCTAATTGCCTTTGCTCATAAATACCTATTTGATATAAGATTATTTGAAGTTAAGATATAATAAGGAATATAGGGCTAAAGATAGCAAGCTGCTTCATACTATAAACTCTACAAAGGATGCCTAAAAGGTAGGTGAGCCATAAAACTAAGTTCAAATTTCAGCTGTGTCACTTACTATGCAGTTTTAGTCATGTTACTTAACCTTCAAAAGCCCTCAGTTTCATCATTTGTAAGATGTGGTTACCATGAGTAAATATCTTCCAAAAACTAAGAGTTCAATACATGTATTTTCCAAACTAAATTGAATGTTATCTTTTAAGACACTATCCACTCAGAAGTTTTCACATTCTTGAAAAGCAATTTAAATTCTTTTTGTTAAAATTATTTTCTCTTATAAGTTGACAATAGTTTCTAAAATAAGGATTTTAGATTATACTTATTTACAAGAAACTAAATGTTAAGGATTTTAGCTATTTTTACTTAAAATCTTTGAGAACAAGAAGACATCCTGAACCAAAACCCTGCAGACATCTAAGATTGCAAAGAGAGAAGCTTGTCCTTTGAGCTTCTTATTTTTCATTTCTTTCTCTAGGCCCAAGTGGGATATTTCCAGATTTTGCAAACAAACCATATGTTCCCAATGCCTTAATATTAAAAGCTGCCTCATCTTTCTTTTTTAAAGGTGATATTTATAGTCCTCTCTGTTCTATATGTGAGTTGTTAAGAATTTATCCATGATCATTAGCATTTATTAAAATATTTCTACCAGGTTTCATATAGCAAATTCTATTTGTAAGTTAGTGCTCCTAGCTGCCATGGGTTAAAGCTGAAATTTCTGGGGACAGCAGGAATTTCAGTAATCTTGATTTTGATTTTTTTCTTATTCTATGTGGTTCTTCATTAAATAATAGTACTATTTAGATTTTCAGAATATGACTATGAACATGAGAGGAAGAAAGGAGAGTAGAATTGGTTTACTGGATGACATGGGATATTGGTAGAAGACAAATTAAGGGAGGTACACATAGCAATTGCAAAAGATATAAACTGCCATGCTAATTTATGTTTTTGTTTGAAACCCAAAGAAGTATACATTTTATCTTGTAATTTTTTCTACATGTTAATATTAAAATAAAATTATATCTCCTGGGCAAGTGACAACTCTTAGTTGAGGAATTTTGAAGTGTCAAGCTCTGAAAATTTGTTACAAATATTCCATTAAATAAATATTCTTTATACAAATAACTAACAATTTGGTTGTAATTCATTATGCACTTAGTATATTACACACTTAACTTATGACAGTAATAGTCCAAGGGTCTTTGAAGCATCAACAATATTTTATTTATGGACGGTACACTAAATTTTTTCAAAGTACTTCACTTACAGTTTCTCATTAGTTCCTAGATTTTACCAAATTACCTATGACATGATTTCTATGTTAACCCTTATCCTTACACAGGTCATTTCATAAGCTATATTTATCAAAACTGAGCACTTAATTAAATATTGAAAACTATGCTATTGTATAGCTTTAGGAAAATGATAATGTCTGCAAGGTAAGTAAATATATGACTGCATTTTTTAAAATTTGAATGTTAGTTGGTTTAAAACAGAAGTTGGCAAACTATGGCCATTGGGCAAAATTTGGCCTCTGTACCTGTTTTTTTAAATAAGGATTCATTGGAACACAGCCATGCTCATTCATTGACATATTGTCTATTGTTGCTTTTATGCTACAATGTCAACCATGAGTAGTTATGGAATAGGAGGTATGATCCACAAAATTTAAATACTGTTTGTTCCTTTACACAGCAAGTTTGTTGAGCCCCAATTTAGAGGTTGCTGGATAGAATGAAAAGCGAATGACTTGGCAAAGAAAATGCTTTATACTCTTCAGCTCAAATAAAGATGAAGTATAGAACTATTGAGTATCCTAGCAAGAAACAGAATAATTTGACCCAAACTTCAAATGAACTGAGCTTAATAAATAAACTATTAGTAAAGGTCAATCAACAAAGGATATTGAAGCAACCTTCCAGCAATTGTAGAAACCCATCACCACCACTAGTCCTTCAGGGGCAAGGGGAGGAAAGAATGTTTCAGGAGTCCAATGAGCATGGGAGATAGAAAATAAGGGATTCCCAGCAGGAACTGTCATCATGAGGAGATCTAACCACTGCCAAAACTGAAGAGAGTGGGAAATAAATACTCCTATGTCTCTTTTCTTCTGCTTCACTCTTCAGCTGGTGTCATCTACTTGCCGAATGGACGGTGAGACAGCCTAGGAGGCAGTGCCCAGGGTTCAGCCTACTGGATCACAGCTTATGTACAAAAGGACAGAAAACGATTTGAAGTGAGGCAGAGAGAACCAGAAACTAGCACAAGTGACCAGTTGCTAAACTAGATTAATAGATCTTACTGGATTAATGTGATCTCTCAATTTCTTCTTTGTTTTGATTTAATCACTTTAAAAAAGAGTAAAATAATGCATAAGAATATTGGATTAGAATAAAAATTTTAAAAGGAAGTGTTAAGAGTGAAAAGAACTTGGGAAATGACAATAGTGACAGATTAATGACAAAGAGCACATTTTAAAACCTGACTGCCATGAACAGACATTTCTATCATTTTAAATGAAATTGTATTTATATGTTCAGTTTGGCTTGTTTTTAAATGTACTTTTCATAGAAAATTTTAATTATACACTTATTAGATACCTTTACTTGGATGATTCAATAAATCCAGGCATGTCCTTTTCTATTGTGTGCTATCAGTCCATAGTACCAACAACAGTAAAGTTACATAAGCCAGAAATAGAAGAGGCATTTTTGACATCTTCATCTCTCTTACAATTTGTCAGCAATATTTGTTGGTTTTATTTTCTAAATATATCTTATATTTCTCCACTTCTGTCCATCTCCACTGCCAATAATCTAGAGCGACTTTCATCTCTTACCAGGATTGCTTATTAACTGATCCCCATTTATCAACTCAGACCTGCACAAATTGTAGAACATTTATTTTAAAACTGTCAAAAGTGAAATGTCTCCCTTAAAATTCTTCAGCAAGATTTGCTGCTTAGAATCTGAACCAAAATCTTATAAAATTCTGGGTCTAAATCCTGCCTTCCTGGCAAGCTTCATCTCCCATAAATTGCATTTAAACCTTTGCAGCCCAGACACTCAGCTCCCTTAGTTCTTCACAGTTATACCACATTCACGCCCACCATAAGGCCTTTGCACAGGTTGTTCCTTTCATCTGAAATGATCTGTTCCCAACACAGCCACCTTCTACTTGATTGAGTTAACTCTTTCTAATCCTTTAGCTTTCAGCTAGGTGAAGCTTCCTCAGGGTAATACTTCTTTAATTACTTCCAGATTATTTGTAATATTTTTTCATAGACCCATGTTACTTTCAGTTTGCAGTTATGCATAACCAAGGGGACGATTTGGTTAATATCTAGGAAGATAATGTAAGTTTCACAGAGCCCAGACATGTTTTTGATCACCAATTTATCCTTAGCACCTAGCACAAAGTATAAATTGAACAGGTTCTCAGTAATTACGTAATACTTGAATAGGTGTTTTTATGCAAGTGGAATATAAATGCTGAGTTGCTAAGAGATGGAATGTTCTGGTTTAAAACTAGATTTGCGAATTCAAATCTACTCTTCTATAGCCAGCTTTGTGTTGCTGTTGGGGTTAGACGGCAAACGACTTTTCCTTTGTAAACTGGCTTCCTGCCAATACGGAGAACTAGAGGAAAAATTGGAAGCTAGGAGAAAGGAAAGAGGGATTTCCCCCTTTCTCTTAACTTTTATTTTTACTTTTAGCGGCTTGAGATATGACTGATATACAAAAAGCTGTTTAATGCATACAACTTGATGTGTTTTCAGTTAAATATACACTGTCAAACTATCAATGCCATAAATGTATCCATCTTCTCCTAAAGTTTTCTTTTATTCTTCCCATTTTTCTCCTTTTATGGTAAAGGCATTTAATATAAGTTCTATCCTGTTAGAAAATGTTTAAATATTTGCTTTAAACTGGGCCAATGGGAGAGCAGTGAATTGTGGGTATGGATGCTTTCCCTGTCAATATTACCATCTGTAAACTTGTGGAATGACTTACTCCACACATATATCATGCGATATTTTTCATCACCAAAGAACTCATTTTACTGTGAAAGAGGTAGAGCAATGGTCATTCCCATAGAATCAATGGTCTTACCACAAAACCTACCACTCTGAAGAAGCTGGTCTGAGAGTATGGTTTTTTTCAAAAGCCTATTAAAGACTCGGTTATGGTGCCAGTTTGAAAATAAATGCCTTGAAATATTGGGCACTGTGGTGATTAATATTAGGTGGCAACTTGATTGGATTGAAGGATGCCTAGGTAGGTAATTAAATATTGTCTCTGGATATGTCTGTGAGGGTGCTGCCAGGGAGATTAACATTTGAGTCAGTGCACTGGGAGAGGAAGACCCACCCTTAGTGTAGGTGGGCACCATCCAATCGGCTGCCAGCGCAACTAGAACAAAGCAGGCGGAAGAAGGTAGGATAACCTGGCTTGCTGGGTCTTCTGGCTTTCATCTTTCTCCCGTGCTGGATACTTCCATCCGTTCCTCTTGCCCCTGGATATCAGACTCCAGGTTCTTTGGCCTTTGGACTGTTGGACTTAACAGTGGTTTGCCGGGGGTTTCTCGGGCCCTTTGGCCTCAGACTGAGGGCTGCACTGTTGGCTTCCCTACTTTTGAGGCTTTCGGATTCAGACTGAGCCACTACTGGTTTCTTTCTTCCTCTGCTTGCAGATGGCCTATAGTGGGACTTCGCCTTGTGATCCTGTGAGCCAATCCTCCTTAATAAACTCCCTTTTATATATCCATATATCCTTTAATTCTGTCCCCCTGGAGAATCCTAATACAGGCACTATCTTATATATTATAGATTGTATATTTAATCGGCAATCAATACATAGTGCTCTTTTTTCCGGAAGAAGTAAAAATGACTCTTCTTGCTATTACACCTAATAATTCATTCAGAGAATTTTTATTCCTGACGCAGGAATTTGGGGACTACAGCTTTGAGGTCTTAATTATTAGGGGAGGAAAGCTTTTATCAGAACACATAACAACGGCTCCATTGATCTCAAAGTTAAGATCATCACTTGACCATTTTGGGCTCTATGTCAATTAGCCAATACATAAAGAAGAAGATAATAGAAATAATGGCTCCTGATTATTAACAATAAAATAGATTTTTGCTATATGATGACTTTGTCTGAAACACTGGGAATTCTATCAGATGATTATTACTCCCATATCCGAAGATAAAAGTTAATGGAAAACCACTGTGGGGGAAAGGTGATTTTTTTTTCTAGTTAATCATCAGGTAAAGAATCACAACAATAGAAAATGTTGACTTAAGGGAAAATGGAATGACCTATGGAATGAGTTATAAATATCAACTACAACTTTATGGCCATTTGTAGAAAAAAAGGACAGTAGTAGCTGTACATACCATCTCTTTGGTTATTATATACACATATATTTGTCTATGTTAACTAATTTGATTTTTCCTTTCCCTTTCCTCTTATCATTTCATATAAGGATTATTGGAAATTGTTAATGTTAGAATTTATTCTTTAGCTTTCCATACATTCAAGTAGAACTGTGACTGAATTAGAGGAGTATTATCATTGCTTGCGGATGGAGACAGGTACTGTTGGAATTTTGTGTCTATCCTTTTTGGAATGAGGATGAGTAGTACATCTTTGTTTGCACAAAGGCTAGTTGATTCTTGTTAAAGAGAAGCATATAATGTTGTTCAAATAAATGTATATAAATGCTTAATAACTAAAACAGTGAAATGTGCTTGTTTTTAAGCTCTTGTCTCTGGTCCAAATCTATTCTTCTGTCCTCACTTTGCGATGTTGAGCTGAGATCCAGTAGTGTGATAGAGCCAAATCATACCAACACACAAGACCCAATTGTCAAATTTTCAGGAACTTTGAGAGCTAGCTGTTAAATAGTTATTATTTTAAAAATATGTAAACCTAATATTAAATAAATACTAAATATAAAAAATGAATACTCAAAACATCACTACTTAAGTAATACATCTTCTTATTATCTACTTTGAAGGAATTTACATCAACTGTATTTGTATTGTATCTGAGTAATATCTTTGTACTGTTTCTTCATGTTGGTATATTGAAATCAATTATGATGGAAATATGTACACCATAAAAATAGGCAAGCTCTAAAAATAAGGGCTTTTTCAGAATCTGTTAAACATATAGCAGTATACCACTAATTGGGACACTGTAATAAAATTTTATTTATCAGTTAATCATCTTAATAGGTTGTGACAATAGATGCCACCATCACAGGGAGATTAAAAGGCGGGATGATAAGAGAAATTTCCTTCTTCTTGTTTGATTGCTATTCTTGTTAATAATTTAATGCCAATATAAGCACTTCACCCTGGCAGCAGCAGTTGGCTCTAATCTTCGCTTATTTCAACACTGCTAGTACCACACTGGATTCCAAAGAGTAATAGTTTGAAATCTTAGAGATAGGATGATAAAATGTAGTTACATCTCAGTGATATTGTGGGTTCAGTTCCAGGATACCATAATGAAGTGAATATCACAATTAAGTGAGTCACACAACTTTTTATTTCTCAGTGCATATAAAATTTATATTTACACTATGGTTTAGCTATTAAATGTGCAATGGTATTTTGTCTAAAATATGTGTATTCCTTAATTTAAAAATACTTTATTGCTAAAAAATGTTAACAGTCATCTGAGTCTTCACTGAGTCATAATCTTTTTCTTTGATGGAGAGCCTTCCTCAGTGATGTTGGCTGCAGACTGATTAGGGTGTGCTTGCTGAAGGTTGTTGTGGCTATGGCATTTCTTAAAATAAGATAACAATGAAGTTTCCCATGTCAATTGACTCTTATTTTCACAAAAGATTCCTCTACAGCATGCAAATGCTGTTTGACAGTAGAACTTCTTTCAAAATTGGAGTCAATCATCTCAAATTCTCCACTGTTTTATCAACTAAGTTGATGTAATACCCTACATCCTTTGTTATTTCAACAATGGTCACAGCATTTTCCTCAGAAGTAGATTCTATCTCAAGAAACCACTTTCTTTGCTCATGCATATGAAGCAACTTTTAATCCATTCAAGTTTTTATCTTGATTTATAGCAATGCAACCATACCTTCAGGCTCTACTTTTAGTTCTAGTTTTCTTGCTATTTTCACTTCATCTGCAGTTACTTCCTACACTGAAGCCTTGAACCTCTCAAAGTCATCTATGAGAGTTGGAATCAACTTCTTCCAAGGTCCTGTTGATGATGGTACTTTAGCTTCTTCCCATGAATCACAAATGTTGTTAATGGCATCTAGAAGGGTCAGTACTTTCCAGAAGATTTTTTGCTTACTTTGCCCAGATCCATCAGAGAAATCACTATCTACTCCAGATACAGCCTTAAAAAAATGTATTTCTTCAATAATAAGACTTGAAAGTCAAAATTACTCCTTTATCCACGGGCTGCACAATGGATATTGTGCTAACAGGCATATCACATCGATCTTCTTGTACATCTCCATCAGAACTCTTGAATTACCATGTACATTGTCAAGGAGATGTAATATGTTGAAAGAAATATTTTTGCCCATGCCTATGTCCTGAATGGTAATGCCTAGGTATTCTTCTAGGGTTTTTATGGTTTTAGGTCTAACGTTTAAGTCTTTAGTCCATCTTGAATTAGTTTTTGTATAAGGTGTAAGGAAGGGATCCAGTTTCAGCTTTCTACATATGGCTAGCCAGTTTTCCCAGCACCATTTATTAAATAGGGAATCCTTTCCCCATTGCTTGTTTCTCTCAGGTTTGTCAAAGATCAGATAGTTGTAGATATGCAGTGTTATTTCTGAGGGCTCTGTTCTGTACCATTGATCTATATCTCTGTTTTGGTACCAGT
Organism: Homo sapiens; assembly: GCF_000001405.40. NCBI lineage: Eukaryota > Metazoa > Chordata > Mammalia > Primates > Hominidae > Homo > Homo sapiens. The sequence continues at coordinate 41,272,897 of NC_000002.12, forward strand.
ACCCTGCTGTTTTGGTGACTGCAGCCTTGTAGTATAGTTTGAAGTCAGGTACTGTGATGCCTCCAGCTTTGTTCTTTTGGCTTAGGATTGACTTGGTGATGCGGGCTCTTTTTTGGTTCCATATGAACTTTAAAACAGTTTTTTCCAATTCTGTGAAGAAAGTCATTGGTAGCTTGATGGGGATGGCATTGAATCTGTAAATTACCTTGGGCAGTATGGCCATTTTCACGATATTGATTCTTCCTACCCATGAGCATGGAATGTTCTTCCATTTGATTGTATCCTCTTTTATTTCATTGAGCAGTGGTTTGTAGTTCTCCTTGAAGAGGTCCTTTGTGTCCCTTGTAAGTTGGATTCCTAGGTATTTTATTCTCTTTGAAGCAATTGTGAATGGGAGTTCACTCATGATTTGGCTCTCTGTTTGTCTGTTATTGGTGTATAAGAATGCTTGTGATTTTTGTACATTGATTTTGTATCCTGAGACTTTGCTGAAGTTGCTTATCAGCTTAAGGAGATTTTGGGCTGAGACAATGGGGTTTTCTAGATATACTATCATGTCATCTGCAAACAGGGACAATTTGACTTCCTCTTTTCCTAATTGAATACCCTTTATTTCCTTCTCCTGCCTAATTGCCCTGGCCAGAACTTCCAACACTATGTTGAATAGGAGTGGTGAGAGAAGGCATCCCTGTCTTGTGCCAGTTTTCAAAGGGAATGCTTCCAGTTTTTGCCCATTCAGTATGATATTGGCTGTGGGTTTGTCATAGATAGCTCTTATTATTTTGAGATACGTCCCATCAATACCTAATTTATTGAGAGTTTTCAGCATGAAGGGTTGTTGAATTTTGTCAAAGGCCTTTTCTGCATCTATTGAGATAATCATGTGGTTTTTGTCTTTGGTTCTGTTTATATGCTGGATTACATTTATTGATTTGCATATATTGAACCAGCCTTGCATCCCAGGGATGAAGCCCACTTGATCATGGTGGATAAGCTTTTTGATGTGCTGCTGGATTCGGTTTGCCAGTATTTTATTGAGGATTTTTGCATCAATGTTCATCAAGGAGATTGGTCTAAAATTCTCTTTTTTGGTTGTGTCTCTGCCCAGCTTTGGTATCAGGATGATGCTGGCCTCATAAAATGAGTTAGGGAGGGTTCCCTCTTCTTCTATTGATTGGAATAGCTTCAGAAGGAAGGGTACCAGTTCCTCCTTGTACCTCTGGTAGAATTTGGCTGTGAATCCATCTGGTCCTGGACTCTTTTTGGTTGGTAAGCTATTGATTATTGCCACAATTTCACAGCCTGTTATTGGCCTATTCAGAGATTCAACTTCTTCCTAGTTTAGTCTGACTTCATGTCTAAAACACCAAAAGCAATGGCAACAAAAGCCAAAATTGACAAATGGGACCTAACTAAACTAAAGAGCTTCTGCACAGCAAAAGAAACTGCCATCAGAGTGAACAGGCAACCTACAAAATGGGAGAAAATTTTTGCAACCTACTCGTCTGACAAAGGGCTAATATCCAGAATCTACAATGAAGTCAAACAAATTTACAAGAAAAAAACAAACAACCCCATCAAAAAGTGGGTGAAGGACATGAACAGACACTTCTGAAAAGAAGACATTTATGCAGCCAAAAAACACATGAAAAAATGCTCACCATCACTGGCCATCAGAGAAATGCAAATCAAAACCACAATGAGATACCATCTCACACCAGTTAGAATGGTGATCATTAAAAAGTCAAGAAACAACAGGTGCTGGAGAGGATGTGGAGAAATAGGAACACTTTTACACTGTTGGTGGGACTGTAAACTAGTTCAACCATTGTGGAAGTCAGTGTGGCCATTCCTCAGGGATCTAGAACTAGAAATGCCATTTGACCCAGCCATCCCATTACTGGGTACATACCCAAAGGATTATAAATCATGCTGTTATAAAGACACATGCACACGCATGTTTCTTGCGGCACTATTCACAATAGCAAAGACTTGGAAACAACCCAAATGTCCAACAATGATAGACTGGATTAAGAAAATGTGGCACATATCCACCACGGAATACTATGCAGCCATAAAAAATGATGAGTTCATGTCCTTTGTAGGGACATGGATGAAGATGGAAACCATCATTCTGAGCAAACTGTCACAAGGACAGAAAACCAAACACCACATGTCCTCACTCATAGGTGGGAATTGAACAACGAGAACACTTGGACACAGGAAGGGGAACATCACACACCAGGGCCTGTCGTGGGGTTGGGGGAGGGGGGAGGGATAGCATTAGGAGTTATACCTAATGTAAATTAGTTCATAGGTGCAGCACACCAACATGGCACATGTATACATATGTAACTAACCTGCACATTGTGCACATGTACCCTAAAACTTAAAGTATAATAATAATAAAATAAAAATAAAAATAAAAGAAATATTTTTTTCCTGAGCAGTAGGTCTCAACAGCAAGCTTAAAGTGTTCAATAAACCATGCTGTAAAGAGATATACTGTCATTCGGGCTTCATTGTACCATTATGGAGCATGGGCAGAACAGATTTAGCATAATTGTTAAGGGCCCTAGAGTATTCAGAATGGTAAACGAGAATTTGCCTCAACTTAAAGTTACCAGCTGCATTAGCCCCTAACAAGAGAGTCAGCCTGTTCTTTCAAGCTTTAAAGCCAGGTATTGACTTCTCCTTTCCAGCTAAGAAAGTCCTAGATGGCATTCTCTTCCAATAGAAGGTTTTTTTGGTCTATATTGAAAATCTGTTATATAGTGTAGCCACCTTCATCAGTGGTCTTAGCTAGATCTTATGGATAACTTTGCTGCAGCTTCTACGTCAGCATTTGCTGCTTCACCTTATGCTTTTATGTTATGGAGATGATCACTTTCCTTAAGCCTTATGAACCCACCTCTGCTAGCTTCAGACTTTTCTTCTGCAGCTTTCTCACATTCATAAAATTGAAGAGCGAGTTAGGGCCTTGCTCTGGATTAGGCTTTGTTGTGGTTGATTTAATCTTCTATCCAGACTACTAAAACTTTCTCCATATTAGCAGTAAGGCTATTTTGCTTTCTTATCAGGCATGTGTTCACTGGAGTAGCACTTTTAATTTCTTTCAAGAACTTTTTCTTTATATGCACAACCTGACTAACTGTTTGGCTCTAGAGGACTACCTTTTGGCCTGTCTCAGCTTTCAACATGCCTTCCTCACTAATCTTAATTATTTCTAGTATATTACTTCAAGTGAGAAATGTGTGACTATTCCTTTCACTTGAACACTTAGAGGCCTTTGTAGCATTATTAAGTAGCCTAATATCAATGTTGTTTTGTTTCTGGGAATACGGAGGCCCAAGAGAAGGAGGGAAATGAAGGAATGGCCAGTTGGTGGAGCAGTCAGAACATACACATTTACTGATTAAGTTTACCATCTTATATGCGTGCGGTTCACAGTGCCCCAAAACAATTACGTTAGTAACATCAAAAATCACTAATCAAAGATCACTATAACAGATAAAATAATAATGAAAAAGCTTGAAATATTATGGTAATTAATAAAATGTGACACAGAGTTACAAAGTGAGCACATGCTGTTGAAAAAATGGTACCCATAGACTTGTTTAATGCAGGGTTGCCACAAACCTTCGATTTGTAAAATACACAATATCTGCGAAACATAATAGAATGACATATGACTATATGCCTAATTCCTATTGAATTTTTCACCTTTGACCCTATTCAAAAAGAGACCCAGCCTGGTTTTGACAGTTCTTAAATTGGATTCTATTTAATCGTGTTATATTTTTATTATTCATTGTAATTTGATATTTAGTATATGATATCTGACAGACGTTATATGCTAAATATACTCATGTCACAAATTTCTCAAATCTTTTTGGTCCTACATGTTTCCTTCTCTTCTCCTCCTGAAGTTACTTCTTAAAACTCATGGAATTATTCTTTCTGTAGCTAAAAACAAATAATGTTATCTTTTAAATTATTTATTATTTTCCTCATATTCAAAATAGAGTCTATGAACACCTCTCCTTCATTTACATGAAGAACTACTTAAAAATTAATTATAACAATGTCAACAGATTTATATAAATGTTTAATTATTTTTTCATGAGCGAATATTTTAAATTACTGACAATTGAATCACACACCCACACAGTGAAACAATCACATCATTCTTATTGTGAAGTATAATAGTGAAAGTTAGGCCAGATGGTCTTGTCTTATTTTATTCTGTTTTTTCTTTTTTTTTTTTTTTTTTTTGGTAAGATTCATACCTAGTTAGAGAAGCCTTTTGTGAACTCTTATATCTTATATGATGACCTAATTTATCTGTTAATGATCAACAATACAAAGTTAACAATAATCCTTTATTTTTGTCATACATGATGCCTTGCTCATATAATATTTATTCACATTTTTTCTGCTATAATATCTTCCAGTAACAGTGTGTTAGTGTGTATACATCCAACGTGTGTAAGCAAAGCTTTCTTCTTTTTCATATTGCTATTTATTACATTTAGTGATTAGCTATTCAGTGGGAAGCACTAGTAATAGTTACTAAATTTTCATATTTTACAAGTGACTACTGTTAAATATAATGTAAATATACTCTTTACAAATATAAAAAAATGCCAGCTTTCAGCAATATCTTGGATTTGTAAACATGTCATGTAATTTACCCTTGTTTTCCTTATACTTCATTTTGTAGTATTATTTTCCACCTTCTGAAATATAGAGCTTTGTTAATGTGATGGAAGCCTCACTAATACAGCCATTCATCTCTTAATGACGGAGTCATGTTCTGAGAAGTGTATTATTCAGCAATTTCATCCTTGTGCAAACATCGTAGAGTGTACTTACACAAACCTATGGTATAGCATACCACACACTTGGGCTTTGTGGACTAGCCTATTGCTCCTAAGCTACAAACGTATACATGTTACTGTACTGAATTCTGAAGGCAATTGTAACACAATGGTATCTGTGTATCTAAACATCTCTTAACAAAGAAAAGGTACTGTAAAAATAGGATATCATAATCTTATGGGACCACCTTCCTGTATGCGGTCCATCATTGACTGAAATGTCATTATGTGACACATGGCTTAAAATAATTTAGCACCCATTCTTCTGCCTTCAGAAAGATCTTAAACAAAATTACCCCATATACACAAAACACTAATGTACCAAGGGACTGAAATTTTAACTCTCTAAAAAGGAAAATGGCTTATTACTGGCAGTTCAGGTAGATCAGGAGAGAGCTGGTTAAGTGCCTATAATTGATTTAAGAGGGGACTACAAAATCAAGAAGTTTCAATAATGTCTTCTCATATATTATGTTAAGAATCATAAGAAGTGACTGTGAAATACAATTAAACTAAGGTAATTAAATAATCAAGTGACCTGGTCCACTTGTGTTTGTTCAGGTTATTTAGAGATTCCCCAGGCATATCACATTAACTTGATCATACTTAATATTCATCAATAAAATAATTTATCTCTAGAAAAATTTTTTTCTTAAAGATATAAGAAAAAATCAGGATATTATGAATTTATGGGTCTTTGTGTTTTCTCTTAATATTTTTAAATATGAAAACCCTCCTAGAATTCATAGAGTAGATGGATTTATCATTGCTAGTATTTTAATCATTTTTTGCCTATTGCATTATTTTTAAGAAAATCTCATTGAGGTAAATTACATATTATATACTATGTAAATTTCCATGCAATAAATTCACAGCAGATGTACACCAAAATTGGTATACAATTTTTCAGGCTTCGATAAATGGGTGTGGTTGGATAACACTACATTCAGCATGTTGCATTTCATCATCCTCAAACTCTTTGCTCATGTCCCTATGCAGACAATCTTCCTCCCAACTCCAGCTGCTGGCAATGTTTAATCAGTAATCTGTCCCCGTAGTTTTTCCTGTTTCCTAGTGTCACATCAATGGAGTTTGAAATTAATCCATGTTGTTGCAAATATCACTAGTATATTTCTTTAAATTACTGAAAAATAGTTCACTGTGTGGATGTGCCACAGTTTATTTCATTCTTCAGTTGAATGAGTTGAATGGCATTTGGATATTTTCCAGTTTTGGTTAAGTTTACATAAAACATCTCTAACATTTATGTGTAAGTTTTTCTGCGTGAACCCATGTTTATTCTGTTAGGTAAATACTTAAGAGCAGACTCGCTGGTTGGGTGGTAACGTAGGTTTAACTTTAGAAGAAATTGTCAAACTGATTTCCAAATAGCTATGATGTTTTGCATCCCAACCAGCAATGTATGAAAGATACAGCTTCTACAATTTTTTTAGCACATCTTATTGTCAGTTTTAATTTTTGTTTTTGTTTTTTTTAAATGACCAGCCTAAATATGTTTGTAATTTATCTCACTGTGGTATTAATTTATATTCCCTCAATAACTAATGTTCATCATTTTCTCATATGTTTATTTCCCCTTTCTCATACATTTATCATCTGATCAAGCACTCATTAAAACTCTTGCCTATTATTTTATTGGGTTATTTGTTTTCTTAGTATTGAGTTGTGAAAGGTTTTTAATATGTTCATAATGCAAGTTTTTTTATTAGATTACTATGTGGAAATTTTTCTCTTACTCCATAGCTGATATTTTCACTCTCTTAACAGTCTTTCAAAGAACAGATGTTTTTAATTTTCATAAAATTAATTCATCAACAAAATTCCTATAGATTGTGTTTTTGGTGTCATATCTAAGAAATATGGGTCACAACAATGTTTGTGTATTGTTTTCCCACCCATATCATGGTCTTATATTTAACAGATCTATGATGTATGTATTTCGAGTTATTTCCTTATATGGTATAAGTAATGGGTTGAGGTTCATTTTGTTGGATGGATGCCTAATTATTCAATTATTTTTTGAAAAGACTATATTTTTTCATTTACTTAGCTTGCATTTTTGTCAACAGTCAATTTATCATATGTGTATGGTTCTATCTATAGTCTCTCATATTGGCCTTGTATACTGTGCCATTGCTTATTTACTTAATACTTCCAGTAGCTTTTTTGTAGATACTTTGAGATTTTTTTCATAGATGTAGTGTTTAATTTTATGTGTCAACTTGAGTGGGCTATAGAGTACCCAGATATTGGGTCAAACATTGGTGTTGCTGGGTGTTTGTGGATGAGTTTAACATTAAATTGATAGGCTGAGTAAAGCATGTTGTCCTCCATAATGTGAGTTTGTCTCATCCAATCAGTTGAAAGCTTGAATAGAACAAAAAAAAGGTGACCCTCCTCTGAATAAGAGGCAATTCTTCCTGCCTGATACCCTCGAAACTGAGATATTGGGTTGTTTTCCCATCTTCATACTCAAACTGACACGTTAGTTCTTCCTAAGTTTAAAGCCTGCCAGTCTGGAACTACACCATCAGCTCTTCTGCTTCTGAGGCTCTTGGACTCAAACTGGAACTCTACTATTGGCTTTTCTGGGTTCCCACCTTTCTATTGCAGTTCTTGGGACTTATTAGCCTCCATAATTGTGTGAGCCAATTCTTCATAATAAATCTTTTTCTATATACACACAAGTCCTATTAGTTCGATATCTCTGGAGACCCCTGACTAATACAGATTGTGGAATCAATAGTAGTTCTAGAAGAACAGAATATTAAGGTTGGGTTTTCTGAATTGATTGTGGGGTTTCTAGAATTGTCTCTGTAATCTGATTAAATTTAAAGACACTAATAATTCTATTCCCAGTAGTAAAGAGAGCACTGATACCTCATCTGGCAAGAGATATCCCTAATGTCACTATTGAACACTCAACAATGACAAATTATGAATCAATTACTTATAAGAAGCAAGGATGTGGGTGACTGTGTAGCATCTGATAATTCGAAACGTTAATGAGATGGACTGGTTGGTCATAATGTCACTGGACAAAGTGAGCAAAGAAAAGCATACGGTCAGGGATTCAAATTTTTAGCTCAGGTGTTGGATAAATTACCTGAAAGCTGCCAAGTACGCCCTGAAAGAGAGAGACCTTATCGCCTCAGTAGAGAGTAGAATGGTGGTTCCCAGAGGCTGGGGGTAGGGGGAGTAGATGGGGAAAGGGAGATGTTCGTCAAAGGGTACAAAGTTTCACTTGGAGAGGAGGAGTAAGTTCTGGTTATCCACTGCACAGCATGGTGACTATCATTAATAGTAATGTATATTTTTTAAATGGCTAAAGAGAGGATTGTATTCATTCCATATTAAACCTAGGAATATGTTGTTGAGGATTTTCTGAGGGATACGTTCATGAGGTATATTGATCTCTAGTTTTCTTATGCTAGTCTGATTTTATTTAATAATATTGGCTTGTAAAATTTGTTGGGAAATATTTGCCTTTTATATTTTCTGGAATATTTCATGTAGACTTGGTATTTTTTCTTTCTTAAATGTTTAGGGTAATAACGTGTAACAAAAACATGCATATATATTCCCTTAAACTAAAATAAAAGTTGAAATTATTTTAAAAATAGGTCAGAAGAGAAGGGTATAAATGCGTATCACTGTGGTTGGTAATTGTGTGTACTCAGTCTTATAGCTGTGGTTATAGAAGTGTTAGGGATTTTAGACTTTAGGAATTTAGACATTAGCAATTTTGATCTATAGGGATTTCAACATTCAAGATTATGGCATTTGGGATTGTGTGTTTTGGGATTATGATCCAAAACCGGATGGCCCTCTCCTGCCTGCCCCAGGAATGTGAAATTATCCAGCCTTTCTGGACATTTCAGCAAAATACAGCAAGGGAATTGAAAATGCTCAATCTTTGACAAAGTATTTTTAGTTCTGGGACTTTATGTTAAGAATGTTCCAACATAAGGGCCGGGTGCAGTGGCTCACGCCTGTAATCCTGGCACTCTGGGAGGTCGAGGCGGGCAGATCACCTGAGGTTTGGAGTTCGAGATCAGCCTGATTAACATGGAGAAACTCCGTCTCTACTAAAAATATATATATATACAAAATTAGCCGGCCGTGGTGGTGCATGCCTGTAATCCCAGCTACTTGGGAGGCTGAGGCAGGAGAATCACTTGAACCCAGGAGGCGGAGGTTGCAGTGAGTTGAGATCTTGCCATTGCACTCTAGCCTGGGCAACAAGAGCGAAACTCCACCCCAAAAGAAAGAAAGAATATTCCAAAGTATACAAAGAGACTTATGTATACAGATACTTAATTTAGGATTATTTATCATAGGAAAAAAGTTATACACTATAACTTTTATGTTCTGTAAAATGAAAGAACACTTACACAAATCATGACTCTAAGGTAACTTCAGTGTTGTGTACAGAACTTCAGGAACATATTCAATTAAAGTTGTTGCACGTGAACCTCAGCTTCCTCTACTGTACATTGGGGATCAGGTGGGGGCCAAGTGAAATTACTGAAGTGCAGGCCCAGCGTGCAGGGCACAGGTGGGCACCAGTGGAGGGGCATTGCATGGCCCCATGCTCCCCACCAAAACTGTGCAGAATGATTCAGAAGGAAACATTTCCAACAGTTAATAAAGACCAACAGCCTCCAGTCTTAAGTAAATAAATAAATATATATAATAAATATATATATATGTATATAGTAATTAAACAGTGAAGCTAGAGTTAATTTGGATAAAAAAAGACTTTAACTAAAATTTAATTTATTTAATTGATTAGGATTATTTGAGTTCACCATTTCTTATTGACTGAGGTTTGAAAGTTATGTCTCTTAAGGAATATGTTCATTCATTTAATTTTGTGGGCCTAAAGTTTTTAATACATTTTATCCTTATTCTTTTAATGTGTGTGGGTCTTCATTTAGATTATTTCTATCATTCCTGATATTGCTAATATGGTTCCCTCCTCCATCTTTTTTAGTGGAGATAGAGGTTTATCTTTGTTTAAATCTTTGACAAACAACTTTTGGTATTACTTTTTTTTCCTATAGTTTTAGATCTATGGTATAATGTATTTTATTATTTTGGAGAGTTGTAAATCACTATTCTTTTAAAATATTTTTTTTCTCTGTTCTTTCTTCTCCTTCTGAGATTCCAAACACATTTATTTTAAAACATTTGATATTATCCCATAGCTCTTAGATGCTCTAATCTGGGTTCTTTGCTACTGTTTTTTTTTTTAAGGTTTCATTAGAACATTTCTATTGAACTTCTTTCAAATTCAATACTTTTTTGTCAGCTAAATTGAGTCTACTGATGAGCACACCAAAGTATTATTTATTTCTATTGTCTTGATTTCCTTTTTCTAGTGTTGGGGTTCCAAATATGATACCCTCAAATGCAGTCGACAGAAGCAGCCTGAGAAGCAAAAGGTTTTCTCTGAGCTTCTCCCGCCCTCTTGTGTCCTTCATTGTCCCCTATGCTGGCCCTTCATTCTCCCCTATGCTTCCCATAGAAACTAGAATCCCATAGCAGGTCATAGAAGCCAGAACTCCTTTTCTCCAAAGTAAGCCATAACACCTAAAAATATTACTCTAACTTTCCCCCTGCCTTTCTGTGTAAAAACTGGCCATTAAGAAATTATCTGGCCTAAGTGGTTTAACTGTAGGTCATAAGATCCCCATTCCAGAAAGGGTCCTGTTCCATACTCAGAAGGAAGGAATGCTGCTCGGAGAGACCAGGAGAATCTATGCAGACAGGACTTGCTGGGACCCCACTCATTCTATTAGCATTAGATCATAGCCTTTTTGACCAATCATATTTCTACACGGCTGTCTATACTTTGTTGAACCTAAGCATAAAAATGCAGTTTCCCTTATATCTTTGGCTCTTCATTTTGAAGGCTTGTGTGTCACACAAAACTATGATCAAATAAATTTGTATGCCTCTTCTCCTATTAATATGCTTCTTCTCAGTGATTTTCAGCAAACCTTCAGAGGGCAAAGGAGAAATTTTCCCTTGGCCTCTACATCGATTTCATTTTATTTTTTCTTATACATTCTACCTTTCTGCTCAAATTCCTCATATAATCATGTACATTTGTACATCATCCTTTTTACTACATTCTTATTTCCTGAGAGTTTTAATGGCTGGATCATATTTGATTCTGATTCTGTTGATATATTGGTCACTGGACAAAGGGGTTTTTTCCCTTGCTTTTTCAGGTGTTTTATTATTTTTTGGTTAACAAGCAGCATTTTAGGATAGAATAAACTGAAGTAAATAGGACATATGACTAGAAATAGGTGAGCTTTCTCTTCTACTACATCTTCATTGCAGGAGTTTGAATCTGTCTATTCAAGAGTTGAACTATGTTTGGGTTTTGTCATTTCTATGATTATCCTTAATAAGCCAAATCTTAAAATTCCTGTAATTTTCCATCATGCTGACTGCAGGGATTCTGTTCTATAACAAGGTTTTTTTCTTTGAATTTGTGCCTTAGAGTCAGTTGGTCTCTCTCTCTCTCTCTCTCTCCCCCTCCCTGCCACCCAGAGGTATATCACTGTATTTAATACATAAAACTTGCATCCTGCTGGTTGTGAGTGGGGGTTATTTTTTGTTGTCCTGGTGCAGCCTTGGATTCTGGCACACCTGTGTCCCTGAGTTTCAGGGATGTTCCTTCTCCTGCTCGTCATGATAACCAAACTATGCCTTTTGTGTTTTGCAGAGCTTGTGCTAGATAGGTATTACTGCCCCTGCTTCATTGGTAGAAATCTTGAATGGCTAGACCATTAGATTTTTTTCTACCTCTCCCAAAGACTGGAAGATATTGCCTTTCATTTTCTTTTTCCCCTGCTGTAATGAGTCTTCATTTGTAAACTGAGGGATTTAGATAGGCTTGTCTGTCCTTTGCTGGGCAGCTTCCTTTTTTTTCTTTTTTCAGAGGAGGAAGAGTTGTTTCATTTTCCCCATAAAGAAGATAGGGACCCTGGGGTGGCTGGTTCTCCTCATCAAGGTCTCGCCACTAAGGTGTACCTTCTGCATTCTCCCACCCTGTCTCCAATCTTTTGAGCACATGGTGAGGTCTGTGGAGCAGAGCCTTCCCCGCAAGTGGATGCAAACTTCCTTTGTGTGTGTGTATCGCAAGGGTTCTATAGTTTATTATAGCCCACATTTAGCTTTAGAAATTAATTTAAAATGCTAGCTGAAATACTCTTAATTACTTCTCTGTCAGATTGATCTTCCTCCCATGCTCTGCTTCAAGCCAGTGTTGATTTCTCTACTTCTTCTTGGAGGTGATTATTTTTCTTTAAATTTCTGGAGATATTTTTGCTCTAAAACCTCTTTATTAGATTCAAGATAGGCTACACATTTGTAGAACATGTAACTTTTGTTATTATCATTGTTATAATGACAGCAAAGCTCTTTCCAACTTTCTGTTTCCAAAACAGAGCCAGGAGTCAATTGATTTGTTTTTAATGTCCAAAAAATGACACTTAACATTTAGAAACTAGAGAATTTTCTTTTATATAAAGATACGCTAAGTGTATGCTCTGTTCTTCTAGTGAAGCATTAGAAAAAAAGACACATTTAAAACCAGTTTCCAATGGCTTCTAGAAAATACATGAACTCAAAGTTAATGCCATGTTAGTCAAGTAATCCTATAATGGGAAGTAATGCACATGTTAATTAATTAGCTTGATTTAGCCATTTCACAATGTATACAAATATCAAATCATCATGTGGTACATCATAAATATGTATAATTTTTGTCATTTTTTAATTAAAAATCTAAAAATTAAATAACTGTATAAACATGTAAAAAAGTATTTTTTTTCTAACAAAAAACTCATTAATTTGTTTGTGGTATTTTAAGTTCAAATCCTAATTCAGCTAATAACATATTAGCACTTTTATTCTTTCAGTTATTCCAGAATTTCTAGAGACAAGGCAATTTAATGGTGGTAATTTATGCTATTAGACCTAGTTAAATTAAATAATTAGCACATTGTTTACACAAACAATTAGCAATTCTGAGTGCTCCAAAACCTTCAAGCATCACTGTCACTTGATCCATATGGTATAATATCCTTGAGGGTATGGGAGGTAGATAAGGATGCCAAATGGAGTGCTTAGGAGACTGCAGTAGGTGAAATTCAGTGCATTAATTCTATACTTCTGGATAAGGCCATCCTCTCCACAGCAGAGAATTATTATTCATTAGAAATATGATATCTACTGTGCCTTTGAGCCCTGGGAAAGATTGAGTGTGTCTAAACTGTTACAGTAGGTAACTATGAATTTTAGCTACCTATTAGGACATGTATGATTAAATCTACCAAATTTTATGACAAGCAAGGGCAGCACCAGTCTTTTGAGGGAAGTGATATGTATCACCCAAGTTTTTGCTGTAATAATGCTACATAACAAGTAACAAGAAAATCTCAGTACCTTACAAGAGCAAACATCTATTTTTCTTGACCATGGGTTTTTTAGTTGGCAAAAATAACTCCAGGCTGCCAGTTAGATTTAGTTCTGCTTGACATGTCACTCATTTTGAGACCAGTAACTATCCATGACTTGCTTCTCTCACGATAAATAGCAGAAGTTCAAGGGGAAGGAGGGACAAATGGAAACACACAATGCCTCTTAAACCTTCAGCTCATAATTGACACAATGTCACTTCTGCCTCTATTCCACCTCTGCTTCTGCCAAAGCAACTCATAGGGCTAAGTCCAAAGATATAGGATAAAGAAGCATATACTGCTGTGGGGTGCTAGAAGCAGAGCTTATGAAGAATTGAGAGAGGAAAAAAGAAATGTAGATGAATAAATACCTCATGATACATGTAAGACTGGGCTAAACAAGATACAAAAGACATGACTACATTTCATGAAGTGGTTCAGTCTCCCAGGTCAAATCCTTTGAATGCACCAATGCTTGTCTCTCACAGTCCACACTTTGTGTTCTCATGAGACAGTTCTCCATGAGTAACTGGCAGAAAATACACAGATTTTGGCCTAATTCACAAATAAGTTACTGTGACTTATTACTACTATCTGGAAATAAATTGCTGCCACATTATAGCCATACACGGGGTTGGCTATAAAAATTTATTCAACTTCTATCATCCCTACGAGGGAAACAGTGAGAACATCTTATTCTCACAAAAACTAAGGTCTCATATTTGCATATGAGAACTAAATATATAATCTCAGGCACAGTTACATGTGAGTGCCACACAAGGTGGACTACATCAAACATATCTTACATGCCCTCTCAGATGCTCTTGGCCATTTTTTCTTCTCGACTCTTGATCGTTTGCTCCACTTCAGCCACTAATACGGCAACTGGTTGCATGTTGGCCTGCTCAGTTTTACCATTTGTCTGACAAGATACAAACCAGGAGCCCCTAGATTATCCCCCACCACTTCCAGACTTGGATAAAGTGCTACACTGCAGACCATGACACTTAAATCCTGCCTCTGTTTCCGTTTTCTAGGGATCCTTAGCTAAGACACCTTTCTTATACTGAATAAAATTAAAAATTTACCTCACACAGATATATCTTACCTTCCCCACAGTTTGAGGGAGGTCTTCTCTACCAAAGAAAAGTGAGAAAAGAATAGTTAATAGTGACATTTTGGGGAAATAAGTAGAAAATTGTGGGGAGGGGATAGATCATTTTAGATAAATTACACCAAATCATTATTCTCTCCAAGAAATTGACACGTTTTATGAATAACTCTATTGTGGCCCTACGTACATTCCCTCTTCTACATTGAAATTGTTATTTCAAACAAAATTCTAGTTTTAAAAAATGTTGCTAATTATTAGTGAACTATTTTGTGGCACTACAGTATAGTACACACCAATAATACTGATGAATAGAAATCATGATTAGACTTTAAATAGTATTTTAACCAACATAAATGTATATGTACATTGCCTTCTATTGTGCAGCAATTAATATTTAAATAGCAGAATTCAATGGAATAACAATTTTTTTTTTACTTTCAAGCACTGTAGGATATCTTAGAGGGTGTCCTTCTTCTGACCCCAATCCTTTCAAAAGAGTTTATATAGAAATTGATGAAGTACTACAATATTAGGGGAAAATCATGAGCTTTGGAGTCTACCAAAATGAACAAGCTATGTGACTTTGCTTAAGTCCTAGTTTATTCGATTTTAGTAACTCCTTCACATTAGTTTATTGTGATATTTAAATGAGATAACACAAGTAAAATACCTAGAAGGTGTAATTGCTTTTGTAAACCACTGAACGTTAACACCATAACTATGGTTAGTCTAAGAAATTCTTAAGATGCTATATTCGTCTGTTTTCACACTGCTGATAAAGACATACCTGAGACTGGGCAATTTACAGAGGAAAGAGGTTTAATTGGACTTACAGTTCCACATGGCTAGGGAAGCCTTATAATCATGGCAGAAGGCAAGGAGGAGCCAGTCACATCTTTCATGGATAGCGGCAGGCAAAGAGAGAGCTTGTACAGGGAGACTCCCGTTTTTCAAAACCATCAGATCTCATGAGACTTATTCACTATCATGAGAACAGCACAGGAAAGACCTGTCCCCGTGATTCAATTACCTCCCACCAGGTCCCTTCAACAACATGTGGGAATTCAAGATGAAATTTGGGTGAAGACACAGCCAAACCATATCATTCCACCCCGGCCCCTGCCAAATCTCATGTCCTCACATTTCAAAATCAGTCATGCCTTCCTGACAGTCCTCCAGAGTCTTAACTCATTTCAGCATTAAATCAAAAGTCCACTGTCCAACATCTCATCTGAGAAAAGGCAAGTCCCTTCTGCCTATAGGCCTGTAAAGTCTAAAGCAAGCTAATTACTTCCTAGATACAATGGGGGTACAGGCATTGGGTAAATACAACCGTTCCAAATGGAAGAAATTGGCCAAAACAAAGGGGCTACAGGCCCCATGCAAGTCAAAAATTCAGAGGGGCAGTCAAATCTTAAAGCTCCAAAATGATCTCTTTTGACTCCATGTCTCACATCCAGGTGACACTGATATGCGAGAGGTGGGTTCCCTTGGTCTTGGGCAACTCCATCCCTTTGGCTCTGCAGGGTACAGCCTCCCTCCCTGCTGCTTTCACAAGCTGATGTTGAGTGTCTGTGGCTTTTCCAGACACACTGTGAAAGCTGTAAGTGGTTCTACCATTCTGAGGTTGGAGGACAGAGGCCCTCTTCTCACAGCTCCACAAGGTGGTGCCCCAATAGATACTCTGTGTGGGGGGCTCTGATCCCACATTTCCCTTCCACACTGCCTTATCTGAGGTTCTCCATGAGAACCCCACCCCTGCAGCAAACTTCTGCCTGTACATCCAGGGGTTTCCACACACCCTCTGAAATCTAGGTGAAGGTGCCCAAACCTCAATTCTTGACTTCTGTGCACCCGCAGGCTCAACACCACATGGATGCTGCCAAGGTTTGGGACTTGCACCTTCTGAAGTCATGGCCCAAGCTATACTCTGGCCCCTTTTAGACATGGCTGGAGCAGCTGGGACACAGGGCACCAAGTATCTAGACTGCATACAGCATGGGGACTCTGGGCCTGGCACAAGAAACAATTTTTTCCTTCTAGCCCTCTAGGCCTATGATGGGAAGGGCTGTCTTGAAGACCTCTGAAATACCCTGGAGACATTTATGCCATTGTCTTGGGGATTAACATTCAGCTTCTCATTACTTATGCAAATTTCTGCATCCAGCTTGGATTTCTCCTCAGAAAATGGGATTTTCTTTTCTATCACATTGTCAGCCTGCAAATTTTCCAAACTTTTTTGCTCTGCTTCCCTTATAAAACTGAATGCCTTTAACAGCACCCAAGTCACATCTTGAATGCTTTGCTGCTTAGAAATTTCTTCCACCAGATACCAGACACCCTAAATCATCTCTCTCAAGTTCAAAGTTCCACAAATCTCTAGGGCAGAGGCAATATGCTGCCAGTCTCTTTGCTCCAACATAACAAGAGTCACCTTTGCTCCAGTTCTCAACAAGTTCTTCATTTCCATCTAAGACTACCTCAGCCTGAACCTTATTGTTCATATCACTGTTAGCACTTTTGTCAAAGCCATTCAACGATTATCTAGGAAGTTCCAAATTTTCCCACATTTTTCTATCTTCCTCTGAGCCCTCCAAACTGTTCCAGACCCTGCCTGTTACCTAGTTCCAAAGTCACTTCCACATTTTCAGGTATATTTTCAGCAACACCCCACTCTACTGGTACAAACTTACTGTATTAGTCTGTTTTCACACTGCTGATAAAAACATACCTGAGACTGGGCAATTTACAAAGAAAAGAGGTTTATTTGGACTTACAGTTCCACATGGCTGGGGAAGCCTCAGAATCATGGCAGAAGGCAAGGAGAAGCCAGTCACATCTTACGTGGATGGTGGCAGGCAAAAAGAGAGCTTGTGCCGGAACAATCCCGTTTTTCAAAACCAGCAGATCTTGTGAGACTTACTCACTCTCGTGAGAACAGCACGGGAAAGACCTGCTCCCATGATTCAATTACTTCCCACTGGGTCCCTCTCACAACTGTGGGAGGGGAGTTCAAGATGAGATTTGGGTGGGGACATGGCTAAACCATATCAGATGCACTATAGAACCTAAAATTTCCAATGGCTTTTCAGAGTCTATATGTTTATTTATAAAGCAAAGATGTGGTCTTCTGAAGATAAATAAAAGTGGTTTGAAGTTATAAACGATGGCCGGGTGCAGTGGCTCACGCCTGTAATCCCAGCACTTTGGGAGGCCAAGATGGGCAGATCACGAGGTCAGGAGTTCCAGACCGGCCTGGCCAACATGGTGAAACCCCGTATCTACTAAAAATACAAAAATTAGCCATTGTGGCAGGCACTTATAATTCCAGCTACTTGGGAGGCTGAGGCGGGAGAATTGCTTGAACCCAGGAGTTGAAGGTTGCAGTGAGCTGAGATTGCTGGAGATGCATTCTAGCCTGGGCAAAAGAGCAAGACTCCATCTCAGAAAAAAAAAAAAAATTATAAACAGAGATCCAATATATTGAGAAAATAAGTATCTTTAATTTAGGAAGATAGACAATTAGATTCCTGCATCCCACCATAAGATATGTACCATGAAGTTTTTCGAATATAATAGTTAAGAGCAAATTCCTCAGAACCATACTGTCCAGTTTCAAGTCCTGGCCCCACTACTTTCTAGCTGTGGAACTTTACAGTTAGGTAACCTCTCTTAGCTAGTTGTGTCCTCCACAATATGGTACAGTTCTGAATGGCCGACTTAAGACCATTCAAAAGCCTCCTGGCATGACTCCCTGCACAATGAAAATTGAAAAGTAAAGTCTCCATTTTTCAGACTCTCTTGAAGCTAAACATTTTGCACTTGGCCCAGCTTCCATCATAAGTCTGGGCAGGCTGAGATGGGCATTGTGGAATAGCAGTAGGATAACTTCTCCGGAACTACAAATACGCAGTCCGGAACCATAGACCTCACTGGAAGGTGAAGCAACTTTCCAGTGGCACCCATGGCACAATCTCTAGGGGACAGTCAGCCCAAACTTTTCTGAGTAATCTAAAAAAAGAGACTGATGCATCCTGGTTCATCAGCTCTTCTGAATAAGACAGGGAGAGTTGTTCTTGAGCCAGCCAAGATGGTGGTGGCAGCAGCAGTTCCCTTGCCAGCTCATTTCTGCAGTGTGGCTCTTGGATTGTTCCCAGAAGCTTCTGAGAAGCAGTCTGTGTAAGCTGTATTATTAGCTGCAATAAATCCTGCAAAACTGAACTCGGACCAGTAAAGAAGAAGATGTAATAGTTAACATGTGAGGGTTAATTAAGATATTATAGAGAAAGCAATTAATCAAGTTTCTGGCCATAAAATGCATTCTGTCAATATTGGCTATCATTATTATTAGCCAAACAACTTTGGGATTCATTAAATATCTCAACATATGCAATAAAAGTATAGTATTGCAAAAACAGATTAATATCAACTTAATCTTCAGATAGTTTAGTTTAAGTGTAATATAAAGATTCATAAATTTCATTGCACAGCATTTACTATTATTTCTTGGGAGAAAAACATTAAATGATGTATAGTCACAAATGGCAAACTAGAAAAATGCATCAAAAGAATAAGGAGCTTAGTATATAGACCTATTAAGTTCTTTGCAAAGAACTAAAGTCCCATAAAAATTTAAAATGTATAATAATGTAATTAGTAATCTGAAAATTATGTGTTGTTTTATACCTGTTAAATTAAAAAGGGTAATACAGAATAATACCCAAAGTTGGCAAGGTACAAAGAAATATACACTTTTATATATCTAAGTAAATTTATAAGTTGATACAACCTCTACACAGAATTACCAAAGGCTTAAAAACATGCATATATTTTATCCCAGCAATTCTGTGCCCAGAAATTTATCTTCAAGAAAGTAGGTCAGGCATGGTGGCTCATGCCTATAAGCCCAGCATTTTGAGAGGCCTAGGAGTGTGGATCACTTGAGGCCAGGAGTTCGAGACCAGCCTGGCCAACATGATGAAAACCCGTCTCTACTAAAAATACAAAAAATAATAATAACAATAGCTGGATGTGGTGGTGCATGCCAGTAGTCCAAGCTACTTGGGAGGCTGAGACAGGAGACTCCCTTGAACTTGGGAGGCACAGGCTTCAGTGAGCCGATATTGCACCACTGCACTGCGCCTAGGCGACAGAGCACGACTCTGTCTCAAAAAAAAAAAAAAAAAGAAAAGAAAAGAAACACAGTTATGTGCAATGGTTCAATCCTAATAAAGTTCACTGTAGCATGAGTAACAAAAGTAAATTTTAATAAAAGTCTAATTGACTATCAGTACAAGATTGATTAAGAAAATGGGGAGAAAAATCTATCAAGTAGAATACTATGTAGCCATTGAAATTTGACATATATATAACTATTGACATGTGTATTGGAGTAATAACAGCAAATAGGAGTGCTTATATCCTTTCATTATACTTTTCATATGTATCATTATACATTTGATTTATAAAATTAAAAGAAATTATAACTATAAAGTGGGGCAGGCAAGAGAGATGTTTAGCTCCATATGTCATGTTTAGCTTCATGGTTTTCATTTTCAGGTGTAAATAAAATAGATTAGTTCTTTTGAAGCGAAAAATATCTTTACATCACTAATATCTAAAAGATATATGTCATATTAATCATTACATAGAGGAAACTATGCTATCAATGCACAATGCATTTAGCAGATTTAGAAAGGATGCAAAATGTCCCCTGACAAATTCTCTTTTCAATTGCCTTTGAAATCCAAGTAGGTAACATTAAATTATAAAGTAGTGTGGCCTTAGCCAGATTCTTAAATTTACATTCTCCCAACCCTTGCTTGTCTTGTGGAGATTTTCCTACTCTGACCCTTTATTTATAGGAAAGATAAGAGATAGAGTCTCCACTCTGAATTTGCAAAATAGGCCAAGAGATATGATGAAACGATTTCTGTAAGGCAGATTTATTGACAGCATAAAATTTAAATAACACTTTTTACTTGTCTTCCTTCTAATTTGACTGATAGTTGAAAAAAATTTATTGAAATTTATTTAACATCATTTTTTCTATTTCTTAAAAATTAGAAACTTTATTATGATTATATCCTATTCAGCTCACAAATGTATTAAAGACAAAATACTAAAATTTCTTGCTGATAATCACATTATTTTCTAGGAAATTATTAAAATAACAATTTTCTTACCAGATATTCTTTTTTTTTTTTTTTGGTAATAATTCACTGCTAACACTTAATAGCAGACATCATGACTGAGCAAGCTGCATTATCAACAGCAAGAAAGCTACCAGATACCCCTCACAGCATCTGTGTGTTGAGTTCTCAGCTCTGAGTAATTGTCTAAAGAATTAAGCAATGCTAGGGCTAGATATATAATGTCTAAATATGTAGAGTAGCTGCTATTATGATAACAGAAAGCTGCCTAGTTATTAAGTTTTGAGATTAGCATTTCTAATAAGGGATTATGCCGCAGTGTTAGGAAAAAGAAGAGAAGTTATGTTTTAAAATGTCATCAAACAGAATTAAAAACATTTTCCAATGAATAATTGCCAAGTAGATTTTGAGCAAAGCATGCTCAGTAGCACGGTATAATTAGCTAACTTTATTAGCCACCCAATATCTAAATGCAAAAGAATATGCCAGCTACCAAAACAAGAGGGAGGAAAGTTAGTGAATGCATCACATGGGCAATTATAAAATTGATTCCTACAAATAACACACATAGATACATGTAATAGTTATTGTTACCCAACATGTCTTCACACTGAATTATATGTTCTGCTTCTTTCCTAAATTCTCTCTAGGACAATGTTGGTTAGGTAGAAATAAAAAACTGAAAACTATGCCCTATATACATAAATACTTTCCCTGACTTAAAACCAAATCTTTCCCAACTGCAACATAAACTGTCACTAACCTAAAAATATGGAGCACATCTCATGTTTTAAAAAAGAAAATCTGGTTATAATAACCACCCCAATATAATACACATTTCATATATAACTCATACTAACTTGAGTTTGTACTCAATCTTCTACAGCATGACATTTCCAATGACTGCTGTCCTTCTGAGAAAAAGGGAGAGGACTCACAGAAAGACACACAGGGAAGAAGGCCATGTGATTACAGAGGCAGAGACTGGAGTGACGCAGCTTCAAGCTGAGGAATGCCACGTATTGCTGCTAAAGCAGCAGAAGGTCAGAGACTCACGGAGCAGATTCTCCCTCTACTTACCTCTACTTATTTGGCTTCAACATGCTCTTTCTTTAATTTCTTAAAGTGATAACTGAAGGGTAATTAGATAATTGAAGTGTAAAAATCTTTCTCAATATATACATTTAAAGGTGTATATTTTTCTCTAAGCACAGCTTTAAGTGCATCCCACAAAATTTGTTATGTCATGTTTTCATTATCATTCAGTTTTAAATATTTTCTGAATTATCTTTTAAATTCTTCTTTACCTGGGCAATATTTAGAAGTGTGTTGTCTAATTTCCAAATATTTGAGGATTTTTCTAGGTATCTCATTTTTATTTAGTCTAATGTAATACCAATACATTTAGAGAATATACTCTTCCAATTCTGATCCTTTGAAGTTTCTTGAGGGATATTTTGTTGTCCAGAAAATATTCTATCTCAATGAATGTTCTAGGTACTGTGATTTCCATTCTCTACCACTGCAAATAAGGAAGAAACCATTTGTCTGTCATAATGGGCATAGAGTCATCCTCTATGGTGCTTAATTTCTATTTTACAACCAAACTCAGAAAAATATATCCAGTGATCCTGCAATAAAGACTTAATAGACAGGATATTTTCTGAGTTTTAAATGAACATTTTATAAAATATAATAAGACAGAACAAACTAGGAATAAATATTTCAATCAGAAGTTTTTCTTTTTAGTCTTTTGTTTTCCAAAACATTTGACTTTGACGAATACACTTTGTGGCACAACTCTGCATCTTTGCATTTCTTTCAAGACACATATAATTTGTCCTTATTGCAAGTTTTTAATTGGCCTAGTTTCCCCAAAATAAAGTGATTTGATTCTATAAGTATGAGATAGTTTGTTAAAATAATATTTACATCAAGAAAGATTACTTAAGAATTCCTCAGTACCTTTATTATTATTAAATTATGGTGTTCGGGCCTGATGTGTTTTGCTGCAACTGATGATGTCAAATTTGCCCTTTTTTTCTATTATATGTTCGGCCCACATGTAAGATACTTCGGTGGCAGGCAGACTCTTGCACAGTGGGTCTTTTATAAGAATTGAGGCTGAGCAACTTCCTACTTTACCTCAAGGCAAGGTGGCTGGCTCTTTGTATAATTATAAAAATGTATATTTGAGAATGAAAACTTCTTATTTACAATAATATAGACTAGTAACAATAATATAAACATGCTCATTCTTACCGTGTTCTTAGAATATCAAATTATTTAGATGTGGTAAGGCAACTAATTGCATATTGAATGGCAGGCAGACGGGGTAGAAATCATCACAGCTCATTTACCATGTGATGGCATACCCAAATACAAGAGACTACATGTGCCAACTTCATAAGCTTCTTCCTACCTGGTGAAAATGATTAAGAAATGTATCTGT
Source organism: Homo sapiens (assembly GCF_000001405.40). NCBI lineage: Eukaryota > Metazoa > Chordata > Mammalia > Primates > Hominidae > Homo > Homo sapiens. Next base: position 41,295,996 of record NC_000002.12, read on the forward strand.
ACTAGGGGATTCTGATTATGTAAATGATGCACATGTAAACCACCAAACAACACTCTTGAGGCTACAATAAGAGTAAATTACTTACACCATATAAATCCTGTTTCTGTAGAAATTTTTAAGGAATCCCTATTTTTCTTCCCATAGGGAATACACTGTGTTCCTAACTTCCAATTCATTTCTCCTAATTACCCTCAAAGGAAATTAATGTCACTATTTTACTTTTATAAATGGTGGGAAAGAGAATTTGACCAGGTTAACTTACCCTTTAGGATCCAGCAATCGTTCCAGTGGGATCAGCTGAATGGGAGGAAAAAAGAGCAAGCATCCAGGACACTAGCCTTTGAAAAGGGCTAAATGAGGTAAAGGAAAGAACCAAGCAAGAACCACGCAAAGGCTTTCAGTGCAGTGGCGGCAGGAGCTAATTTGCTTCGTTCCCTTCTATGCCTGCAGTCTGCCCCTTAATGTTGCCCAGTCATTCCCAAATCCATTCTGAAAGTCAAAGAAGATGAGCCAAAATATAGGAAAGTGACTCAATGTATAAGAGTGTTTTGTCAGAGTATGTCTTTATTTAGAAGAGAAAGACTGAATTGGTGGGGGCAGACTGAAATAATAAAGAAATCACCGGACCTTGGGATCAAACCTTCTCCTAGCAGCTTGAATCTTAGTTCTGCCATTTACAGATGTGTTCTATAAGCAGTACTCCATCCCTCTTTGTTCAGAAACCTTATCTCTGAAAAAAATACCTACTTCAAAGGCTTTGTTTAAAAATTTAATAATTTAAGTAAACCTTCTTATACATTTCATAAAACAGAATAGATATCATTAGTCATTTCTATAGTCTTTGCTGTCAATCAAAAAAGGTCTGTGAATCTGCCCACATACATATGGGATGTCTCTTCACCTGAAACATTTACCTCCTGCTGTCATCATCATTTTACCAAAAAGAAAAAACTGCAAGCTTTTGCCATTGTATAGAATTCTGTTTCTCAATGCTATTCCTTCTCAGTTGTGTATTATTTGGCAACGAAATATCATATAAGAAAAGTGGATATGAGGATTTCAGTGACAACAAGAGTAATAATCATGATAAACAATCTGGCCTGTCCAAAATTGCCACCCAACCATGCAAAAACTTATCTGAGCCCAGTGGTATGCACCAAATCACCTATGTGATGCATAAAAAAGAATAACCTCAATTTATGCTTCATTTTGCACGGAGTAATTTTAATAATTCATGCACCTAAGTTATGTCACCTGTGTTCATTGCATTTATGTTCCTGTTGTTTACACTCCACAGTATTTATAGTTACCGGGGAACAGCAGTGCTAACCCAATTATATTTACCCTCATATATACCTGTGAGATTTACAGCTTTTCAGTTATGCTCTCAAAATTACCTGTGATTTCCAAAGCATACTGTTAAGAATTTCGTGTTTTGGAACATGCATATATGAAAGTTTGAGCTTTTGATTTTTTCGCACATGCTTTCTGATTTCAAAATTACAAATACCCTTTGAATGTCCTCAAATCCACTTTTCTTACATGCTATTATCAAATAATAATGGTATTCCATATTTTTGTATGGTATTAGCAATTAATGACAGTCTCTGAAAGGCAGGTATTTGTTTTCATTGTAGTACACAGAATGAGAAACAGATGACATAAACTTTTTTTTTAAGCTCGAGAAAAGAGAGCAGATGTCAGCAAATGGCCTTCAACTCTGTAAATCCTAAACCAATTTCTCGTTCAAATTATCCCTTTTTTACAGACTTCACCATCGAGGAAAAGGACCTACAAATGTCCAAGGCTGACTGGGGAATCTCATCTGCATCTTTTTTTATTGGCTCTTGGGTACATTTTGGTACTTGTGACAGGTTATTTCCTTGTTTTAATTAATTTTTATTAGAGCATTGTGATGTAATATGCTTTGGGCTGTTTATATGTTGCAAGATGTTCATTTACAATGTAATTGAACTCATATTTTTCTCTATCCCCTGGGCAAAGGTTAGGCTTTGAAATGTTGTGTATTAATATACTTCCACTGGTTGCCTCACAACTTAAACATGTAAATTGTATATATTTCAAAATATGGTAATAACTGTTGTATAAATATTTTACAGGGCAATTCCCCTAGTAAAATCTACAATTTCTTCCTAAACATACTTTTATGGATGTCTACTATGGTGAATATCTCCCATTCATAGTGAGATAAAACAGGAAAACTATCACAAAGAAATCAAGTGGAAAGAAGGGCCCTAGAAAGCTAAGGCTATGTTCTGACTGTCCAGTTTGCTAGCTGTGGTTTAGGGCTAATCTCACTAAGCCTGAATTACCTCATATGTATAACAGAAATAACACAGGGTCATTTCGAGAACCAAGAGAATCCAGGACTATGAAGATCTTTGAAATGTTAAAGTATCATTCATGTGTGAGTACTTATTGAATATCTTCAAAGACTATCCAAATGTGAGATGCCAAACAAAGCAAATCCAAAAATCTTCTTTTTGGCAGCTTTTGCTTAATGATCATGTAAAACATAGCATATTTTAAAGTGGACTTTAAAATATTCTCCATGGCCAGTACTTTTTAAAATGTCTTCTATACCAGTTTTAAAACGTCATACACATATGGATCAACCTCAGATTCTGGTTCAGTAAGCCTGGGATAGGGCCCCAGATTCAGTGTCACTCAAAGTGCGAACCAGGATCAGTGCTTGTCCTCAAACACGCCTCCCAGTCCATAACAATGAGATGAGGGGCTGGTACCAGAATGTCAATCAACACACTGATTCCTTCCCAAAAAAAATGTCTGACTATGAAAAAATGTCAGCTGTATAAAACAGGGTATTTGGTGATGCGGTTAATTTCCATCTGGCTGAAGCTCCTTATCCCTGTGTGAACTGGGAAACAATTAGTTCTGTCAGACACTTTGAGTAGCACTGTTCTAGACTGATGGTGGGAGGAAAGGATTTAAAATATCTGTTTTTTATTTGTTGTGATATCACTGCCTAACTAAAGTAATGATGTTTGGGGGAAAGAGTGCTATTGGGGAATATTAACTAGCATTGCCATTGGTCAATCAGCAAAATGTTGACGCTGATATATCTGAGTCAAAATTCCTGTTCTGGACTTATTAGCAACATGAGTTTTAGGCAAATTATCGTCTTCATTTGGGCCATTTGGAGTTGAATTGTGAAGGGTAATTACAATGTTTTCCATGTCACTTTCTTTACCCGCTTCTTTCCTTTATTCAGGGCCCATTGGGCTGAGGACCTCTCAGGAGGCCCCTGGTAGGGGCATTGCCCCTCCACCTCCTGCACATACACAGCCTCTGTCACCTGCTTCCTCCCTCCCTGATGGAGTGCCATACACTGAATCCTCTCCCCTGAGAAAACCCCTTCATAAAATCTGGCCCATTCTTCCTGATTTCACCTCCCGAAATAAACTTTGAGGTGACAAATCTATTATTAAACAAGATATTTATATTTTAACCAAATTATTTTGAAATCTTAAGAATCTTAGAGACACAAACTGCTTATCACGATGACCATTGTTGCCAAATACACAATCCTATTTTCTTGTTTGTTTCAAAACAATCTTCATATGACTTTATGTTCAAAATCACAAAAACCAAAATGTGGCCAGGCGCAGTGGCTCACGCCTGTAATCCCAGCACTTTGGGAGGCCAAGGAGGGCGGATCACAAAGTCAGGAGATCGAGACCATCCTGGCCAACATGGTGAAACTCCGCCTCTACTAAAAATACAAAAAAATTAGCCAGCATGGTGGCGGGCGCCTGTGGTCCCAGCTACTCGGGAGGCTGAGGCAGGAGAATGGCGTGAACCCGGGAGGCAGATCTTGCAGTGAGCCGAGATTGCACCACTGCACTCCAGCCTGGGCGACAGAGCAAGACTCCATCTCAAAAACAAACAAACAAACAAACAAAATGCAGTTAAATGCCATAAGAGAAGTCCAAACATAATGCTATGGAAGTTGAACAGAGAAAGAGGTTATTCCTGGCTGGAAAAATCAGGAAGAATCCTTGGAAAAGTTAATATATGCACAAGATATAATATGATGCTTATTGTCATAATATTATTTCCTCAAAGGAAAAAGTGTAATATATTTTGTAAATGCATTGTGAAAAATATTTAACCAAAATCTAGACTTTTTAAGAAACCCAGGGTTATTGTATATGCAGCTTTAGATAAGGGAAAGGGAAAAAGAGCAGTGAAGAGGAAGATTAACTTTTACTCTAAATCATTGGAACTCCAATGTAAAATTTGAGAAAATGTACTTTAGCACGCGGACATTTCTTATGTATAAAAGTAGATATATTTAGAAGAAGATGGGGGAAACAAAGTGAATGCTATTGCTGAGACCATTGATTTTATATGTCTCCTACCCAATGCAGCAAAATTATAGCTCTTGGAAATCTGATTGTCCTCCGTTAAACACTATAATTTCTAATATAATTGGCCAATAAATAACAACATAAATTAATTGTTATATTTAAATACTAATGAGATTCATTTCTATTGAGCTTTAGCATATTTCACATAGACATTAATGTGCCTCAAATCAGGGGAATAAACTAAACCACAGCAGCCTTGTGGACATTTTTCGCTTGTAAAGAGCATGTATGTGTAGTAATATTTAAATAAGCCTGCTTTATAGAGAAACTTGGGTGTGTTCAAACTACTGAGTAATTTTTTTAGTAAGTTTGGATTTTATATAATTGGGTTGCTCATTAGGCTGTGATTAATGCTGTGCTTATTTTGTATGCAATCAGAAAGCTAACATTTACATGGACAAAGAAAAAAGGAGAGAAGCAGTAAAGGAGATAGAAAAGGCTAACAATGGAAAGCTAACAATGAAACCGCCTACAGAATTGTTTTAAGCTTCTCCATTAGGGAGGGGGACAAAAAACTATTTAATTATCATATTTAAGACTGAGAAAGTTTTTTAATAAAACAGTTTTGTTAATCACAAATGTGATTTTGATAAATTCTAGGGTATGCATACAGAACGTGAGTCTGAATCTGGTTATTCTACATTTATTTATATTTAAATGTTTGAAAACTCCCTTAAAAAGTCACCAGAAAATGAGAAACTCATCGCATGCAACTTAATCTATATCTTCATTTTCATAAGAACCTTCAAAAGACTAGAGTCTATGAAATTTTAACTCCTCTTTTCCAAAAGTAAGTCAGAGAGAGCACAGAAAAGACATTAAGATGTACGCAATTACAGTATAAGAAACACTTTGGTCTAGAAAAGGTTTTTTTTGCCTTTTATGCAGCACTCAGCTACATCTCCAATTTCTTGCTATTATTGTTTTATTTACAAAATACGTATTAGCATTTTTATTGACTACGAGTACAATGTAAGTGTAACTGGAAGCCAAAACTGTATCTTTTCAAGGTCAAACACTAAGTTAGAGGCTGCCAAGTCAAGACAAAACTTCTTTTCATCAAAGTAACCTAATTTAACTTATTCATTGAGTTATTAGAAAGATTTATTATCATAGCCATGAAACACACCATCTTAGGCTTGTGGTGAATATTATTGTTCTCCAGTAGTCCACACCTTTCCAATATAAGCAACTTGCTATTGAATAACTGACAAATTATGAGTCAGATTTTGCTTGAACTCTCCCAGTGAAAAGAAACTCACAAATCACAAAAAGAAAATTCTTACCCATTAATCTTAATTTGAAGAGGGGAGGGGAGCAACCAAACAAAAGAAGACAAGTTTTTTACTTCTAGATCATAAAATCAACTTTGTAAAGACTACTTGATAGGATCTTAGAGAAGGATGCTTACAAGTTCAACATAACAATAGGTGAGATTATATAATCAAGCATTCCCAAAGTGTTTATTAAAGATGGCAATGAAAGAGAATGTTCATGTATATGAAGCTAATTCCAGGCGTTCATATTATCAATCCATTTTTTAAGTGCTTGCCATATACCATGCTTAGAGCATGAGCACCCACATACATGCTCTTTGCCTTCACAGAGCTTTTGGCATGAGAGGCAGACACTTACACACTTAAATCCACGTTGGATATGTACTACTAAGGAATTTTATTGTCACCAGCTTTCTCAATGACTACAATAAAACCCAAGCCCCTTCCCATGTCCAGCCTCACCTTGTGTCATGCTCCATACTGTAACAACAGTGACCTTTTTGTCCTGCTTGAGGAATTTTGTAAAAGTTCCTTCACCTTTCTGGAATATCTTGTTCCCTGACATTTATATGTCTGGGTCTTTTTCATGGTTCAGATCTCAGCTTAAAAGAGGTTCTCTCCAATTGCTTGTCTAAAAGTAAACCATCTCTTCAGTTACTGTCTTATGGGGCATCCTGTTTATCTTATTCATAGTACTTACCTGAAGTCTATAAGAACTTTAATTTTTAATTGGATTCTTATTTATTTTACCCCAAACTAGAATTCATTCTTTCATTCAAAAATATTTGTAATGACACTACTATGTACCAGATACTGTTCTGGGTCTTGGGATATAGTAGTGAACAAATAGACTTAAGTTTCCATCACTCTCAGTATATATATTTTAGAGATAGGAGATAAATAGTAAACAAATGAAAAAAATAATGTACAATATGTCAAGAAAGTAGAATTAGAGAAGCACAAAAAAGTGTAGTGATATTCTGCATAAGATAGCCAAGAATGCGCTCTTTGGTGAGATGACATTGTATCCATGAAGTCCATGAAGGCAGAATCCTAGTTCATCCAAGCAACCTCAGTGCCTGGCACAGTGGCTGGTCCATAGGAGATACTCAAAAAATATTTGATAATTGAATGAATGAATAAGCGAATTAATAAAAAATATAATCCCTAGCACATAGTGGGTTATATCCTTACATGAATCTCCCATCAGAAATACAGGATTCGCTAGGCTGTAAAGTGTGGAGAGTTGACTAGAAAATACAGAGTAGAGACAGAGAGACTCAATACGCAGTAGGTGAAGTAATACAAACGAGAAATTAATATGGCCCGTATTTGTGGCTGTGGGGATAAAAGGTAAAAATGGCAAAGCACAATGAATGCAAATGCTGGGGCAGAGTAGAGGAAGTAGGAAATAATGAAATAATCACCCCAATACTCCTCACTTAAAACACTGCATATATGATTGCACTGATTGCTTATTTAAGAAACACAGAGGGAGTGTACAGATGGAAAAGAAGGTAAGTTTAGTTCTGGATATGTTAATTTTGTGGTACCTTTGACTATCCAAGTAAATGTATTCATTTGGCTATAAGGTCCAAAGTTTGGGGAGGGACTTACACTTTAAAATCAGCAGTTTATAAATGACAGTGGATCTATGCGAGTGGATGAGATACACTGATGCAATGAGGAGAGAAGAGGGATCATTAAAAAAAATCCTAAGGGACACCAACATCTAAGGGTTGACCAGAGAAAAACTAGTTATTATCATCTAAAAAAGGAGCAGAGAGGTAATAGAAGAATCAAAAGAATATCATGTCAAGAAATGCAACAAAAAAACCATACATATAGAATATGAAGAATATGTGTAGATGCCATCTTAAAGGAGTGATCAGTGATAATATCACCAGCAATACATATCAACATTATGTAACTCCTAATCTCATGCACCAAGAGGAAAAGGGAATATTATTTCTGTGGTATCATTCCCAACAATATATAGCATCAATCATATCACAAAAACATCAAACCAGTCCAAATTGAATACAATCTACAAAATAGCTGATCAAGACTCTTCAAAGTTATCAAGGTCATCATGAAACACAAAGGATGAACTGTCAGATTGGATGAGAGCATGGAGACAGGACAATTAAATGCACTGTGGCATCCTGGACTGGATCTTGGAACAGAAAAAGGACTTAGTTGAAAAACTGCAAAAATCTGAATAAATTTTGTTGTGTTGTTAATAGCACTGTACCAAGGTTAATTTATTAATTTTGATAATTGTTCAATGCTTATATTAGATGTTAAAATAAGGGGAAGCTGGGTGGAAGGTGTACAGGTATTTTTTGTCCTATATTTGCAAATATTCTCTAAAACTATCTCTAGAATAGGATTGCTGTAACTTGAAACCCAACTCTATGATCCAACTGTGTGACCTCGGGCAAGTTAACTTACCTAGCCTCAGTTTCTACATCTAAAAATGAGAATAATAATCTTTTTTATATGGTCTTATGAGGATTCATTAGGGCAATATGTATTTATCTTTATGTTGTCTGACTTTAGGGGTTCTGTTTTCTAGAGCTGAGCTGATTAAAAATGTTAGCCAAATGTTTAATGAACAAATACTAAAAAACTAGTACTCAACTGAGCCAAGGTTTTTCTGGAGAAAAGCAAATCTGAAACATTCTTCAATGCTTAATTATTATTAACATTTTAATATTATTAAAAATGTTAAAAATCAAATTTTAATTTTTTGATCTGGAAGGCAAAAACAATAATTTCTCAGCAATTTTGGTTTCTAGATTGCTTCTGCAGTCCTTATATTACACATTTACAATATTAAATGCATATTCATTTTTAACAGAGGTTGTAGGGAAGAATTTTTTGCCTGACTGTCCATACAGAGGGTCCCATTGAGGAGATATTGCCATCAACTTATTAAGTTTTTCTTCCTCTCTAGTAGACAATGGCTAAAGAAATACCTCCTCTTCAACTCCAAAACTTGAAGATTGTATTGGATTTTATGACATGATAATATTTTCATAATCTTCTAAATTAAAGCTTAAAGATACTGTCTAAACATTTTCAGAAGGAAACTTAAAATTGTTCCCTTCACTTTCTTTAATGAAACATTTTAGGATACATTTTTGTTTTCAGGAATCAATCACATACAAAGACAAAAGACTGTTGTGGTGATTTCCAATCAGCAAAAGTTACATACAAGTTATATTTTATCAGGGTTTTCTCACCCATTATTTTTATAGGCAAAGTTACATTTGCGGAGGAGAGATGATGTGTCTGGGGAAGCATACACTGAGACATTATGATTAACTTGCATTTTAAAGAAATGTGTAGTGTCTACATTGTAACAATTTGAAAGAGATTTGTATTCTACAATTTTAACTGCGATAATTAATAAACTCTGATTCTGACATACTATTGGTTAGTACAACATAACATTTTTATTTCCAACGTTTGTTCACGTACTTGCTACTTCACAAAATCCCTTGAGGGTAAAAATATATTCTTCACCTTGGATCTAGAAATGTGATAGCCAAGCAAAGCAATTGGCTTTCAAGATAACATAATCATCGCTCCATTTCTATAAGCTTTTTGCTCTCATTATTCCTACTACAACTTCAGAATTTAGCCTAGAGTAGAATGACGGGAGGATTTTTCAGCAGATAACATGTAAGAATACTTGCTTTCTCAAAGCACTTTAATTTGGTTGCTTCTTCAACAGATTTCTGGAAACACACTTATGCTTTCTCTGTAAGGTACTATTTGTTGTAAGTCCTGCTACGTTGGCTGGCATTATTATCTGCAAAGTTCATTTCGTTCAAGCAGAATGTTAATTTGTAATAGTAGTTAAACATCTGGTCTAAGCACATGACACACTGATTGCTAAATGTCTTATACATCTTATAGTTTGTTCCTAGCTGAAGAAGAATGATAAAAGAAGCCCACAATCTTTCTGCTTGTGGCATGTAATCCCATTACATTATGTGATGCTATAATTACTTTCAGAGCACACAACTGTGGGATTGGGATAAAATATCATATGCTTATAATTCATAAATCATTCAAAATCCTCACCATTTTTGTTCAATGGCAATGAAACTGCATGACACTTTTCTTATATTCTCTTCTATAAATATTTCTTCAGTTAAATTAACTGTGTTGCTAGCTGTTTGAGACCAAGAAGTCACTCAGCAAGCAAGTCAAGTAGATGCAAGATTAAATTCATCATTCCCACTGAGCTGTGAGATTTATAGGTGATTTCGCATTGTTTTGACATGTTCAAATGTGCACTTCACAAGAAACAGAAATAGTTAAATGACTAACATCACTAATTTTCAGGTATACAGCAAAATGTAATTCAAGAAGTTTTTCAGTGGTAAGATTCTAAATTGAACATTGTACCTAGAATTCATACTTTGAGCAGATCTCAGAAACCTTCATGTTTATTAAAAATGTTTGATAGCTACAGCAATCATTTCAACTTGTCATTTTTTAAATTGTAGCCACTCCACATGTAAAACTACAAGGAATTGCCTTCTTAAAGCACTCTTGTAAAATCTGTTATCTTATAATTTGATTGATGAGAACAAAACTGTTTTTGAATACTTCATTTTTCTCCAATGACTATTTTGCTTCACATTCTTTAAATTCTTTATAATTCTTGGATCAAAGATGACTTAAAATGAAATTTTTCATCTAGTATCATTTTGAAGGACTTTTTTCTCCTCATAAAATTTGGGCTAGAATTTCTATTTCTAATGCATTTTTGAATGGCAGAAGAAATTCAAAAGAATATTTTTGACAGCAAAATTGAAAGAAGAAAAAAACAGTTTATACATATTATTTTTAAGTTATTAATTGTAAAACACAAAACAATTTCATAAGATTGCATGTAGGATATAATATAATCTCCAGTATTTTGCTTTGAATTGTATATTGTTAGCATTTTTGGTTCAAGAGCTGTGTATGCTTTAAAATTTTACCTAGCTAATTATCAGTCTTGTGCTGATTAACCATGTAAAAGCCCTTAAAAATTATTTCTGTACACAAAATTAATCACTTTCATTATGAATTAATGATATTTTTGCAATAACAAATACCTTTATGCTTAAACTGACAGAGTACATTTCAGCATAAAAAGCACACAAGAAAAATTTCAACCCAATTTACACATAGAATGCTTACTTATACTTGAAAGTGAATGTTGGCCGGGCGCAGTGGCTCACACCTGTATTCTTACCGCTTTAGGGAGCTGAGGCAAGAGGATTACTTGAGCCCAGGAGTTCAAGACCAGCCTGGAGAACATGGAAAGACCTTGTCTCTACAAATAATACAAAAAATTAGCTAGGCATGGTGGCATACCTGTAGCCCCAGCTACTTAGGAGGCTGAGGTGGGAGAATTGCCTGAACCTGTGAGGTCGAAGCTTCAGTAAGCCATGAATGCACCACTGTGCTCCACCCTGGACAACATAGTGAGACTCTGTCTCAAAAAAAGAAAGTGAATATTCAGATATTTAACTTATATCCTAATTTATTTTTGTCAGTTGTGAATTTTAGTAAGATACACTACTTAGATAAGATGGTGAGAGTGTTATTATTTTTCCTCTGCTCACCAGTGATGATGTGAACAGTGGAAGTCAGCAAACTACAGCTCCAGAGCCAAATCTGCCCCATCTTCTGTATTGCATTTCCCTTCAGCTAAGAATGGTTTTAATTTTTTTCTTGTTTGTATTTTAAATGATTATGTTAGTATTGACATATTATCCTTGATTTTATCTATTTGCCAAAAAACCTAAAATAATTACTATCTTACATTTTACAGGAAAGTTTGCTGAGCAGCACCCACCACTGCCCCTCCCCGCCCCATCACCAACCACCATTTTCAAAATCACAGGATATCAGTAATTACGTTACAGTGACCTTTCAGTTATCTGGCCTTATGAAGGCCAAAACCAAAAATATGCAAACTTTACCCTAATATCTAAAAAGAGATGCCAAATCTAATTTGAGATGTGGGCTACTTTGATCTCTCTGATATCGTATGCATGTTATACTGTTTTTTACCTAAGGAGAGGGTCAGTAGCTTTTATCAGTTTCTAAAACGGATCTCTGTCTACCCCTCATATCAAGGCTCTTCACTATACATATAGCCTTTCCAGAGACATACAGAGCATGACATTCCCAAATCAATATTTTCATATATTCAAGAATGGTTCTTAAAGGTAAAATACTATTTCGCCTTAAAATACTAGGTGAAATACTGTGCTAAAACTAATGACTTTATCAGCAGTAATTAGGAATCCTAAGAATCTGTTCCACACTGTGAAACCATCAATTTCCAAAGAACAATTGAAGAAACATGTAACGCCTTTCCCAAACACAGTCGTTTTCACTTGGGCCTTGCCTACATGGCACAGGCAAATGAAAAGGAAGCCAAGTCTATAAGGACCATCCACAGCCTTAAAACACTACTCTAATGTAGAAATAGACTTGCCCATTTGTACCTGCATTACTACATCAGAGCCTGATCTCAAGGTCACATATACAAGAAAATATATGTGTCTCATATGTATTTAATTAAATAATCTGCTCCTTTATTTGGCACCAGTTAAACTGGAACCAGCCCTTTGCTTCTTGTGAGATCACTCATCTATTCCAAGTACTTGTTTTGCCAATTACTAACTTGCACGCTGTTATGCTCAATGTCCTGGAAATGCAGTGAGTGATGCTGAACGCAAAGAGGGAAGGACTTGGGCATCATCATTCAGAGACCCCAATACTTTGCTCCTTACCATATCATACAGAGTAGTAGCCAGTAAGTCATTTGCTTATAACAAAGAAAATGTCTTAAAATGAAGAATCAGAAGAGCAATTTAAAATTATATTTGTGGACAACTTAAATTTTAGTTCAAGGCTTGTATGCTAAAAATTATTAATAATAAAGACCTTTATTTTCATGCTGAAATAGGTTTGATGCCAAGTCCTGTATGGGTAGTCGTTATACAATTTATACAGGTCCTAATGTCTGGATTTGAAGTTTTATTTTTTATAACAAAAGCTGATAATCTCTATGATTGATTGTGTGTTCATTACTATGCCAGGCACCAATAATTGACTTATGTACATTACTTCCCTGAATTCTTACATTTTCCTTTGTTCCTGCCCTTCTGTTTGCTTAGGATGCTCTATACCCTTCTTTCAATTCCTACACACCCTAGGTCCCAGTGCAAGCATAATTTTCTCAGAGAAATTTCTCAGATTAGGTCATGTTCACCTATTTTAAGATATTTTAGCACTTTTTCTAATCAATGTTGTAGCCACGATTCAGACTTCTATAATTATCCTGTCATTTATAGAGGCAGTGTTTTATGTGAGAAGGACTTAGGCTTTGCCACAGGTATGTTCGGCATATAACAGTTCTATACCAAAGCACCTTTGACCATCAAGTCTTTGGCCTTCAAGGGAAGAAAATGTAGAGAGACTGTCAGGAGCTTAAGTGAGATTTCTCCCCGCATTGGCAGAAGATAAGCCAACCTGCAGGGAAGCTCTAGAAAACTAACTACACTACTCACAAATGGACATGCACACACACTCACACAAACAAACACACACACCCATTCATATAACCCCACTACAAATGCTACATACATACACCTCTACATTTCTCTGGACATCCACTCTAGCTCAAGAGAATTAGTGACATTCCTATCACCAATATTTGGCATTGGCTAGTGTTATCCCATCTGGGAAGAGGCAAAATTACACAATGGGAAAAACCCTGGGTCAAAAGACCTAAATTCTTCATTCTTGCTTGTCACCCAGGCAATTTCCTTACCACATGCTTCCCATCTTCTCTTCTGGAATTTCCTTATATATTGGAGGGAGACAATAGTTTCTGCCCTGCCTAGGTCACAGTGTGTTTTAAGGATCTAGAAATACATTTAAAATGAAGTCTGAAAACTGTAGAATAATATGCAAATTTGAGTGTCATTATTACTCCCACTATAATTCCATTCTCAGTCTTCTTTCTCAATAGTTATAACAATTTGTTTTACCTGCATATTTCAATGATATGCTTCCAGAAGATATGGAAAAATAAGACTTTAGATATTTGCAGATGTTTTGTGTATGTAGAAGCATATAAAATTGACAGCCAACCAATTGGCCTTAAATTAAGGTATCAGTCTTTACTGATAGTATTAGTCATAAGCATAAGTGATGTCATTCTTGTATTCTGAAAACGGTTCTCTGAGAGCAGATACTAAACACAAAATGCTGTTAAAGTATTAATTCTTAGGTAAACCAAACTTCTAGATGGTGGACACTTCTCTGTAATTTCTGTCTAGATATTTGCCCCCCAACCCAAAACTGGGAACGGGAATATGAATTATCAAAATTTTTGATAATGCATATCAAAAAATTTTTTAAATCTGTATTTCTTTAAACTAAGAAATCCCAGCTGCAATAATTTATCCTAAGTAAAAAATTAAGGATGTAAACTGGATGCAAATAAAGACACAGTACTCTCTGTAACAGGAAAAATAAGAAAAAACATAACAGCGTAGCAATAGCAGGATGGTTAAATACATCAGCATATATTCAAATAATGAAGACAAAGGAAAAATCTATATTTTTACTTTAATCTTATATTTTTAACATGAATCATATTAAAAATAAAAAGCAACTAGTCTAGATATTTCAACTGTATTGAAATATAATTGATATATAATAAACTGTACATATTTAAATGTAAATTTTATGTTTTTTTATATATATAGTTGTGAAACCAACAAGCAGTGTCAAGATAATGAACATATCTATTATGCCCCAAAGTATCCTTGTCCCTTTTGTAACTACTCCTACTCTCCCATCTTATCTTCAGTCCTAAAACTTACTTTCTGTTTTAGATTCACTGTCATTTTTTGTTTGTTTGTTTTGTTTTGTTTTTTTGAGACGGAGTTTCACTCTGTCGCCCAGGCTGGAGTGCAGTGGCGCGATCTCGGCTTACTGCAAACTCCGCCTCCCGGCTTCAAGCCATTCTCCTGCCTCAGCCTCCTGAGTAGCTGGGACTACAAGCACCTGCCACCACGCCCAGCTAATTTTTTTGTGTGTATTTTTAGTAGAGACAGGGTTTCACCGTGTTAGCTAGGATGGTCTTGATTTCCTGACCTAGTGATCCACCCACCTCGGCCTCCCAAAGTGCTGGGATTACAGGCGTGAGCCACTGCGCCTGGCCGATTCACTGTCATTTTTTTTAGAATTTTATATAAATAGAATCATATAGTATATACCTTTTGCCTAGTTTAATTTAGAAAAACATATTCTGAGTTTTATTCATCTTTTCGTATGTTCATTTCTTTTTATTTCTGAAGAGCATTCTTAATATGTTTATCTGGCCACCTATTAATGAATATTTAGGTCATTTCCAGTTTGGAGTTACTACATAATGAGTTTCTACAAATATTCATGTACAGAATTTGTATCGAATATGACTTCATTTTTCTTGGGTCAATGGCTAAGAAAAGATTGGCTGGATCATATGGTAAGTGTACATTTAACGTATTAAGAAATGTCCATACTGTTTTCCAAAGTAGTTGTACCTTTTTACATTCCTACGAGCAGTACATGAGAGTTCTTATGGCTCTATGTCTTCTCCAATGCTTGGTACAGTAGTAAATTATAGCTCTTCATTGGCATTTCATGGTTTTCATTTACATTTATATAATGATTAATAATAATGGACATCTTTCCAGATACAGACTTGCTATCTATACATCTTCTATGATGAGGTGTCTTTTGAATATTTTTCCCATTTATATTGAAATGTGTGTCTCTTATTATAGAGTTGGGAGGGTCCTATATATATTTCAAATACACATCTTCTGTCCAACATATAATTGTCAAATATTTTCTTCCTATGACTTGCATTTACATTTTCCTAACAATGTTTTTGAAGAGCAAGTTTTTTACTTTTTATGAAGTCCAATTTACCAAATTTTCCTTCATGCCTTTTATGTTATAGTTTAAAACCCAGGGTCACTAAAATATTTGTTTTATTCTAGAATATTTTATTTTTAGCTCTTACATTTACCTCTATATCCATTTTGAGTTAATTTTACATATGATGTGATATGTGGGTTGAAGATTATTTTATTGAATATGGCCATATTCAATAAAAAAGGACAATATTCACCTTTTCCTCTTGAATTACTTTAGTACCTTCGTCAAATATCAATTGACCATATATGTGTGGTTCCATTCTATGTCTCCTTCACTGTTTCATTGATCTGCTTGTCTAAATCCATTCCAACACCACAGAGTCTTATTACTGCAGCTTTGTAATAAATCTTATAATCGGGTAGTGCAATTCCTCCAACTCTGTTTTTCGTCTTCAGAGATGTTTTGGTTATTCCAGGTTCTTTTAAATTTTATATGCACTTAGAATTAGCTTGTCAATTACTACAAAAATCCATGCTGCAATTGCGATTGAGGTTGACGTGTTGAATCTACAGATCACATGGGTGAGAATTAACATCTTTAAAATATTGTCTTTTGATGCATGAATATAGCATATCCCTCCATTAAGAGTTCTGCAATTTCTGTCAGCAACATTTTATTTAAATTTTACTATCTATCTACATTTTCCATCAAATGTATCTCTAAGTATTTTTTATTATTGGTATTATTTTTAATGCTTATAATTTCCATTATTTGATGCAAATATATAGAAATGCAACTTACTTTTGTATATTAAACTAGTATTATAAGTTGTAGTTGCTTTTTTGTATATAAGGTAGAATTTTCTACAGAAACAATCAGTTTGTCCTTAAATAATGGCAGTTTCCCTTTATCCTCAGACATCAGTCTTCAGGACTCTAATTAAGACAGGAGGTGGAAAGAAAGGAGGAAAGAAAATATTCCCCAGTGACTCAGAAATAGGAATAATACCTCACTTTTCCAATTTGCCTTTATTACAAATGGCCAGCCCCATTCTCTGAGAATCAGATCTTACTTAGCTCATTGGTATGTAATAAATTTAAGTTTGCTGAAGAGATTAGCTGAGATCAATTGATATAACATATGTGAAAGCATTTTTGTACATAATAAAAGTTACCTATTATTAATAGTATTTTTTAAGTTAGAGATTCCCTGTGATTATTCTGTTTAGTGTTTTATTATTTGCATGTTATTTTTAAGTTGCAAATTTGGTGCATTTTCTTCGTCGAGATTTTTGTTAATCATATTTCACACCATGAAGTTGGAAATACTGCCATAAAAATGTCATACCATTTTATTATGTTTATTTCATTAATAGAAAGTGAAAAGATTTTAATGAGTTAAAAGTTGAAAATCATCTTTTGCTTCCTTATACAGTTCATATTTTCAATAAGAAAAAGCAATTCTTGAAAAGTTTTAGTACTTAAAAATGCCTAAATGGGACTACTGACTGAATGCTGACAACCTAATGAAACTCCCAAGAAATAGTAAACCATGTGGATTCTTTCTCTTGCTCAGAGAAGTTCCATACACTTCAGGACAGGCTTTAGGTAAACACTGCATGAAGTCTCTCAAACGCCAGGGCTGCAGCTTTAATTTCATGTGGCCAGTTCCCAAACAGGAAGGTAACAAGACATTAAGAAAACAAAGATAAGGGATGGAAGGAGAAAGTGAAAGGGAGATGGGCAGAATGAGAGAAGAGAGATTGAGTTTAATGGGGACTTTTGTATGTGGTTGTATCTATACTTTTACTAGTTTCACCTCTTTCAGAACTTCATTTCTTTTTTTTTTTTTTTTTTTTCTTTTTTTTGAGACGGAGTCTTGCTCTGTCTCCCAGGCTGGAGTGCAGTGGCGCGATTTTGGCTCACTGCAAGCTCCGCCTCCCGGGTTCACGCCATTCTCCTGCCTCAGCCTCCTGAGTAGCTGGGACTACAGGCACCCACCACCGCGCCCGGCTAATTTTTTTTGTATTTTTAGTAGAGACGGGGTTTCACCGTGGTCTCCATCTGACCTCGTGATCTACCCGCCTCGGCCTCCCGAAGTGCTGGGATTACAGGCGTGAGCCACCGCGCCTGGCCAGAACTTCACTTCTGTAAAAGCAGGAAGCATGGCTGATTCTATGTAGGCTTTATTGATTTTTGTAAAATAATAAATGATAAGAGAGAGATTTATTGCAACTTTAGCAAAATACACTCTTTGGAAAACAAGACTGATGTCAATGTGATGGTACACAAAATATGAGCTGCCTTCACGGGAGCTCATTTTATATCATGATTCAAAGAAATACATAGCTTTTTCCCATTGGCTTTAATAATTTATACAAATCTTTGGTAACTTAAGTGAATGTTTTGGTTTTCACTGTGTGGAGCAGTTATATTTCATAATGAATGGACTAACAAATCCTACAGAGTCAGATGGGCTTAGTGCCCTCTCCCTTTGCTGATTGAATTAATTTACTGCTCTAAGCCTCCTATGCCCACTCAGCACCACCCCACAAGCACTTTCTAAAGCAACTGTGCTTTCATTTAAAGCCTCTACTGAAACAAACTTTGGTGATAAAAATAATAATTTCCTTTAGTTCAGCATCCTGAGTTGTTTTCATCTTTAGCAAACAACTCTCCAAAACCACTTTTACTCTCTAATTTGTTCTGTTCCATTCTTATTGGAAAGCAAAGGACAGAGACATTGTGATAGCTTGTTCTGAAGCTTCTAAGTAAGATCTCTTTTTGAAGGGATTGATTTGGAAACCACTCTAACTCAACTAGGGAGGCCTTCACTGCATTTACTTGAAACCGTTTCTAAGATGACCTTAAAAATAATTCTTTAAATTTTCCACAGTAGGAAAACAATTACAAATTCTCTGAATACCATTTTTTTCCATTTTCATTAGAGAAAAAACAGCTCTCTATTCAACTCCTCTTTTTTCTTAGCAGTTTTCTGTATTGTCAACAAAATTCTAATTGTGATATAAGTCTGGAATATTTTTAAGAAATGTAAAAATTCACATTGTCTGGAGAGCTTCCAAAAGAAAATAAAACTTCTCCAG
This sequence comes from Homo sapiens, assembly GCF_000001405.40. Classification (NCBI taxonomy): domain Eukaryota; kingdom Metazoa; phylum Chordata; class Mammalia; order Primates; family Hominidae; genus Homo; species Homo sapiens. Next base: position 41,314,748 of record NC_000002.12, read on the forward strand.
TTTGGAAAATGGCCAGCAGAATGTAGTCAAAATTTCAGAAAACACTTTAGGAAGATTTATTTTTTCAGAAAGTCTTATACTGAAAAGTTGGAATATATAGCCTAATTAATGTTTAATGCTGGCAGACAAATGCAAAGGGGAAAGCAGCCAAGCTTCAATGGCCACTTCCGTAAAGAGAAATAGAAACTTCATAATCAATCAACATGATGCATTTATTGTGCAATCTATTATATGTCTATCACTATTCTACGTGTTGTGGGGAATACAGAAGAATGAGAAACCAGAAGCTTTGACTCGTTGGAATGACAACACCAAATGATCCAGAGAACTTCTCTTTTTTAATTATTGCTTTTAACTGACATGCAATAATTGCGCATATGTATGGAGTACAGTGTGATATTTCAGTATATGATAATGTGTAATGATCAAATCAGGCTAATTAGCATGTCTAACACCTCAAACATTTGTATTTTTTTTGGTGTTAGAAACATTCAAAATCCTCTCTTCTAGCTATTTAAACAATACAATAAATTATTTTTAACTGTAGTTACCCCTCAGTGCTATAGAACACTAGAATTTATTTCTCCTTTCTAGCTGTAATTTTGTATCTGTTAACCAGCTTATCTTTACACCAGTTTCTACTGGCTTCAACTGGCTCTGAATCTCAGATGTAATTGAGTCACTTCTATGAAAAGATAAAATTTGAACAGACCTTTGAAGAATAATTAGGGTCTGGATAGATGGAGGAGACAATAGGAGAGCATTCAATGAAGGAGGGACAATAGGCTGACTCTTAGGATCATTAATGCAGTCTGGTTAGAGTTCTGCATGTTTGCCATGCAGTAGTGGGATGTTAGGTTGTATCCATTACATTGAATCCAGAAGACACAGACATTGTGCTAAGACTCACAAAGTTATTAAATTTTTTGGAGTGGGAAATGGGCAATAATATGGATCATTTAAGGACAATTGCAATAGAGAATTATTGTAGACAGAGAATAACTGAAACAACTTTGTAGTAATCCAAGCATGAGGGAATACAAACATAACTAGGGCTATGACTGCAGAAAGAAAGAGAAAAAAGATACAAATGAATGATATTTTGAATAAGAATATGATTTTTGACCCATTAGGTATGAAGAATTAAATAAAAAAATTATTTCGAGATGATTTCATGGAATGTAGCCTAGAGAAAAAGGTAATTCTTTTGGCAGAATCAGGAAAGTTTGGATGAAGAATTGTTTTTTGGATGACAGGAATTGTTATCTTTAGGATGAAGAGTTCCCCCAAGCCAGTGAGAAGGTGGGAATAAGGGGAGATGGATGTAGTTGAGGTGGTAGGAGAGAGGGAATAGACACTGTGATGGATTACCACTTGTAACAATGATTTTAGGGTGCTAGAAAGACATTCAAAGGACAATATCAAAGTGACAGTTGGGAAAGATACAGGATAAGAGCAAGAAACAATGGAATATTCCAGGGAGCATGAAGCCAACCAGCTGCCATAAAGTGGATTTTTCTTTTCTTTTTTTTTTTTTTCTTTGAAACAGAGTCTCACTCTATCCCCCAGGCTGGAGTGCAATGGCACCATCTCAGCTCACTGCAACCTCCGCCTCCCAGGTTCAAGCGATTCTCCTGCCTCAGCCTCCTGAGTCGCTGGGATTACAAGCGCATGCTACCATGCCCAGCTCATTTTTTGTATTTTTAGTAAAGACGGGGTTTCACCATGTTGGCCAGGATGGCCTCGATCTCCTGACCTCATGATCCGCCCACCTTGGCCTCCCAAAGTGCTGGGATTACAGGCATGAGCCACCGCGCCTGGCCATAGTGGATTTTTCTAAAAGGAGAACTCTATACCATTCCTTTTTGTTTTTTCATCTACTGACACTTTATCAATTATTCTTACTCCTATGATTTCTTCCATGCCTACCACAAAGGGTTGATGACTAGGTCATATATAAATAAGTTTACTTTGTAAATTGTAAAGGGCTATATAAGTTTGTATACCACCACTATATCCTATGTTATCCTCATACTATTTTTTTAAAGCCACTATATCTCTACTCCTTAAGCATGAGTTGCACAAAGTGACTTTGTCACAAAGGGTAGTGTATGGAAAAGAAAAAAAGAAGAGTAAATTTGCAGTGGAGTGCTGACAAACACTGCTTCAGCCAGGTAATCAAGGTAAGCATCAACAGTAATATGTTATTTTGATAGCACATACCCTCAATAACCTTGATACAATGTAATGAAAACAACACTTTACCTCTGTTGTCTTCCACTCAGAAACTTATAACCCCAGTCTAATCATAAGGAAAAAAAAAAAAGACAATTCCCAGGTAAGAGACATTCTAGAATATTCTTGACCTGTACTCCTCAAAATTCTCAAGGTCATCAAAAACAAAGAAAGTCTGAGAAAGAGTCACAGTCAATATTGTGAATACTAAATGCAATGTTGTATCCTGGATGGGATCTTGGAAGGAAAAAAAAGGCCAGTAACTGAAAACTAAGAAAATCTCATCACTGAAGTATAGAATTTAGTTTAATAGCAATGTTTTCACATCAGTTCATCCATTCTGACAAATGTACATACCAACATAAGATGACATATGTAACAAACCTGCACTTTGTGTACATGTACCCTAGAACTTAAAGTATAATTAAAAATAAAAAATAAGGGAAACTAGGTGTGGGGCACAAGGGAACTCTACTGTTTTTGCAATTTTTCTGAAATCTGAAGTATTATAAACTAAGAATTTTAGTTAACTTTTAAAAATAATATACAAAAACAGCATAAGGGGCTGGGCACAGTGGCTCACACCTGTAATCCCAGCACTTTGGGAGGCTGAGGTGGGTGGTCACCTGAGGTCAGCAGTTCGAGACCAGTCTGGCCAACATGGTGAAACTCCGTCTCTACTAAAATACAAAACTAGCAGGACGTGGTGGCACGTGTCTGTAATCCCAGCTACTCAGGAGACTGAAGAAGGAGAATCGCTTGAACTCAGAAGGTGGAGGTTGCAGTGAGCCAAGATCATGCCATTGCACTCCAGCCTGGGCAACAGAGTAAGACTCCATCTCAAAAAAAAAAAAAAAAAGAAAAAAAGAAAAAAGAAAAGAAGAAGAGTAAGAGTAGAGGGAAATTTAACATTTTTCCTAATTAACATAAATTTCCTAATTAAGAAATTCTATTCATGCTCATTTGGGTCAATAAATCTCACCCACTTCTTAACATAGACCTCTCAGGTAAGCCATAAATGTTGGGAACGTGAAGTCAAATATAGTGGATATTTTGAAAATATGATTTGGAAAAATGAAATAGAGGTTCTTACATTTAGATGACTTAAAGTAGTTGCTCTAAAATCACATCAGCTTTAGAATTTGATCATATAGTTTACTATATATTTATTAGAATGATACTTACATTGTAAATGCCATTATGATATTTTTCCCCTACAATGTTGATAAATGAGATGGGAAAGGCATTTTTCAAAATCTAACATTTGAATACATAATTACAGTTTACTATTTTCTACCTTACTGTTGGATTTGAGATAATTCATTTGTGTTTAATTGATCTATTATTCAGAATAACCATAATTTTAGTTAATAAAAGTAACTTGTCTGAGAATAATTTCTAGGAATTAGCCCAAATAGTTAAATAATCCATCTAGAAAGTATTCCTTTCCTAGTTACTATTTTAATCTTTTGTTTCACCTTGGAATATCTGACTCATTAATGATAACTTATCTATCACTTGGAATGTTGTCTGAATTTTGGATCCTGATTCCTCAAGGTCTGGGTAAGCAAATGGAAATAACTGCAAAACTTGGATGAGCATATTTCTATCCTGTCAAAGTTTGCAACTAAGTCTGGGTGCCACAAATTAGATGTCTGTGTAGTCCCAGCTACTCGGGAGGCTGAGGCAGGAGAATCGCTTGACCCCGGGAGGCAGAGCTTGCAGTGAGGCCAGATGACGCCACTGCACTCCAGCCTGGGTGACGAAGTGAGACTCCGTCTCAAAAACAAATAAAAATAAAAATAAATAGATGTCTGTGGCCTCAACCCTAAATCACTATAAGTAGGGGGTTTCCTTGAGTTTGAAACGAACATTAGGGCATATGCAAAGTTTTCCTTCCTAACAGAGTGGAACTGTGACTGTTGAATACAAAGGCTGAGAGTGAGAAGCCACAGCCTGTAAGACATTATTTAAAGTCTTGTAACCCAGTTACAAGTTAAAGCCTTGTAACCCAGTTCATCAGCAACACTTTGCTTCCACATCTCTTTTGGGAACTTGCCAAGCTCTTCACCTCTTAAACTGTAAGAGATCTTAGTGATTATTACTTCTGTCTTTTAACTTTACATATAAAAATATTGAGAAATGGAAAGGTCAGGTATTCTACCTGAAGGGCACACTGAGGTGGGATGAAATCTCTAGACCTCCAGCTACTGCCTCAATGTATCCTCTTTCCATCCACAACCACAATAGTGTTCAGTTGTATTTGGAAGACGACTATTCCATGACTGGCTCTGAACCACCATGTAGAGACTCATAATACATGTTAGCACAGTAAAGACTTGGAAAAACCTTTTAGTTAAGAAATTCACTTTTTTTAAACTTAAATTTTCCAAAATTATTTAATATTATGAAATACCTTTTTTGAAATATTACCTTTTGCCACTTTGAAAAAGACTCTTGGGGAAAACTTAATCCTACATTGTTCAAAATAATGAAATTAACCCAAGTAATGAAAATTATTGCGTTTGTAATAGAAATATCCAACCTTGCCTTCTTTCCAAACGTTTCTCATTTCTTTGGCTTTCAGCGGCCATGACATTTCAAATTGGCTAACCGAGAGTTTAAATTTTTAAACATGGATGAACACGTGAAAAGGATTAGGTGGCATGTGCTATGCAGAGTGGAGGAGGGATGAAACACTGAATCGGTGGGAAAATAATAAAAATTACATGATCTACAAAATATTTTTTCATACACATTTTTTTCTAACCTCCCTAAGTAAAGTTCATACTGACTGCCAGTTAATAAAATCAGCAACTGCTCTTGGGAGAAACTTCAGGAATGTCACATTTTGTGCAGTACAAGAATATAATAAAACATAGAACCCATGACCCCTTTATGGGTAGCAAAAAATATTATTTTAAATATAAGTAGAAATGAATACAGTAGAACAGACTAGAAAATAGAGAATATCTATTTTCTAGTATTACTTAATAGTAATAACTTGAATACATGCATTATGTCTTGTTATTAAATTTCTTACTGTATATTGGGGTAAAACAATGCTTGTAAAACAGTTATTAGAGCACCATTCAGATACAAAACAAATATTTTAAAACCTTTGTATAGCTTAAATTATTGTGAAAAAGCACAAATATTGAAGTATTTCTATGGAGAAGAACACTACCCTATGTACTAAGAAAAACAGTTGCACAATATTACATCTGGCTGGGTTGTCCATTCTTTATACTACATGCCACAAAAACAGAAATCACAGGAATACTAAGTAGGGCATGTTCAGCAGTGTGTAAGAGAAAGCAATAAACCAAAGGACTGAGCTAGCAGTAGAGAATATCTTAAACACCAAAATCTGCAGATGGAGCTGGGCTAACTAGAAGGAATGTCTTAATGAATACAGAAGTTTGACTAAAGTAGGGGATTCAGAAAGTGTCCGAAGATCTAGTTCATGCTATTTGTATAAACTACAGTACAGAATTCAGGATTAATGCTAAGATCTAAATTTAAGGAGAAACTTTATGAGAACAGGGGACTGAAGTAACACAAAACAGACTTATACACTACTTCAATGTAATTCCAAATGTGAGTAGATTTTAAGGAAACCAAAATTACAAGGAAAATCGGTGGAACTAAAGAGAGCTCAAGCTAAAAACATAAAAAAGCAAATGAATTAAACATAGCTGAAGCTTGGGTGGCATTCAGCCAACTAGGAAGAAAGGGTCTGGAAGAAATCAGGAGACTTCTGAAATTGCATCTGAAAGTAAACAGGGGCAACAGCAAGCATTTATTGATTGCTTAATTCCGTTCATGCATTTATTTGTTAATATCTTAACTCACTAATTTAAAAAATACGTATTGGCGGGGCACGGTGGCAGACACCTGTAATCCCAGCACTTTGGAAGGCCAAGGTGGGCGGACCACAAGGTCAGGAGATCGAGACCATCCTGGCTAACACGGTGAAACCCCGTCTCTACCAAAAATACAAAAAAAAAATTAGCTGGGCATGGTAGCGGGGGCGCCTGTAGTCCCAGCTACTAAGGAGGCTGAGGCAGGAGAATGGCGTGAACCTGGGAAGTGGAGCTTGCAGGGAGCCGAGATCGCGCCACTACACTCCAGCCTGGGCGACAGCGAGACTCTGTCTCCAAAAAAAAAAAAAAGTATTGTCCCTAGTGTGTGCCAGGCACAAGTTCAAGGCCAGGATTCTTAACACCAAAACTACTATTTCTTAAAATAGGCATTATAAAATCAGCAAAGGTTTCAGGGAAAATCCTAGCATTGTTGCGTATAACATTAGAAGCAAAAAAAAGAATGACATGCTTCTTGATATAGGCATATTGATATCAAAGAAAGAATAAAACCAATAGCTTAAAGTTGAGGGCAAAAACAAAAAATGTAAAGAACAGATAAATAAATAACTAAAGTAAGTATAACATTTGGGGGTAATTTGTGGAAGATTTATGCAGTCCTATACATTTCACCATGACTCAGTTCAAAAATGATATTCCTAAAGATAACACTGACTCATTTAAAAGGTGTGGTATTATAAGAGTAACTAGCATATCTTAACTATGTATCATGCATATCATATGCATTATCTTATTTAATCCTGACTGTAAACTTGCTATTCTTAATTTATGCCTACATTGCTTCTTATTTGCAAAATAAACAAATAAACTGAGTGTTAGAGATGTTAAGTAACTCATCCAACTATCTCATTAATAAATAGAAGGAGTTGACATTTGAATCTAGGTTTGTTTGACCACAGTCTGTTTACTTAATAACTTCTTTACCTTTAACATAATCTATTTTAAGGAACAAAATTAAATTATATACTTTTAAAATATTACACTTGGGGGCCAGATATGGTGACTTATCCTGCAATCCCAACACTTTGGTAGGCTAAGGTGGGAAGAGCACTTAAGACCAGGAGCTATACAAATATTACACATAGTACTATTCTCAAGGGGGATTATAGTCCATCTGGCTCTACAAGGTATGAAAACAAAAACAAAGTAATTTTAGAGAGTATTTGAAGTCACAGTTAATGTGTCGTGAGAGCTGAAAGGTAACAATCACTGTGAACTGACATAACTGGAGAAATATGGAACATTTGGACTTGACTCAGGTTTTGAGGACATGTTTGAATGGATGGAGAGGTAGAAGGTGAACATATTTGGATTGAGGAAAATGTGGAGGTCATGTGGAAGTCGGAAGCAAAAGCAAAATCTCACCAGAGAAAACAATAATCATCCTGAATTGATTGTGGAGGGAAGACCGTGAAAAAGCAGCCTATCTTGTGAATAGATGCTAGCAGGGAATACTGAACTTGGAATTTAGAGAGGTAGAGAGGATCATATTACAAACCCCATAAAACCCAATCAAGAAGCTTGAACATCTGCTTGTAAATAATGGAAGACTAATAAAATCTTATGTGAGAATGTCTTCATACTTCTAACTCAATCAAGGCTTCTCCAGTCTCCAAGCTCAGACAAATGTATGTTGTTATTAAGGGGCATTAAATTTCACTTCTCAATGATTAAAAATATCACCTGTATATAACAAGTCAGAGAGGTACTCTCAGTTTTTCATAGAATCTGTTGATAAGAGGTCTTACAGGCAAAATAAAAGCCATCTAGGTCCAAAGTTTTGTTCCCTTTTCTAATGCAGCCTTCCAGCAAAATGAAATTTTGAATCTCAGTAAAAGATTGGTCCTATTGACCTCAGTTTGTAATAGCTGCCCTGATTTCGTGAGTAAAATCAGAACGTATTATCTTCAATCCTGATCCAGCATTCTGGTAAGACTGATTTCTCTACCCTAATAGTTATATCCTTCTTGATACAAATGCTGATCCCTCAGATCTCTAAAAACTGTCAGCCTCTGAGGTCAGTAATTATTTCCTAATCATCAGCTCAAAAATATTTTTAAGGTACTTTAATGTCAGGAATAGCTATAATCCTGCTATACTTTCATTAAAAGAAAATTTGGCAGAGCATTGCTTTTCTAAGTACCATTTGCCCAGAGATAGTTGCCTGAATAGAAAGAAAAAACAACCTGATGACATTCATTTTATATATTATCATAATCTAATAATATTTTAGTTAGCAGGCATCCATTATCAGCCTAATACTGTGTTTGACACTAAGGATTCCACTATGAAAAAAAACAAAAGACACAAAGACAAACACTAATTAAATAATAAGTACATGTCATTTTTAAATTGTGATAAAATTAAAGTTGATTATTTGAAAAGGGATGAAATTTGATAAATTTCTGGTCAGACTGATCAAAAAAGAGATAAAATATAAATCACCAAGATTTAAATACATTTAAAATTAATCAAATATAATGAACAACTTATGACTTAGCAAGCTACTGCACAATGAAATAGAAAATATGAATAAACATATCTGTTTTTAAAACTGAATTTGTTGAGGAATCATCCCACAAACAACATTCTTGTGAATTCTATCACATCTTTAAGAAAGAAATGACATTAATCTTATTCAATCTCCTTCAGAAAATAGATGGGAAGGAACATTTTCCAACATGCGTTATTGATGTCAGCATGCCACTGATACCAAAACAAAATTGTTACCAAAAAAAGATTACAGACTAATACATTTTATAAATACAGGCACAAAATACCAAACACAAAATATTAAAAACTTGAATCCAGCAATTTACAAAAAGGATAATGCATCATAAACAAGTAGTGTTTATTCTATAGTTAATATTTCTAAAAAACATTGTAATTTGCCATATTAACAGGTTAAAAGAGATCTGTGATCATCTTAATAAAAAGAAGAAAAGCCCTTGACAAAATTTAACACCGATTTATGATTACTTATATAAGTTGTGAAAATCAATTTGATAAAGTGCACCTATGAAAATTTATAGCTACTATCACTTATAGCTAATATCATTTATTGTGAAATATTGAAACATTTCCCATATTGGGAACAAGGAAAGGATGTTTTACTCTCATCACCTTATCATTGTGCTGGAGCTCCTAGCCATTGCAATGAGATAAGATAAATAAATAAAAAGCAGGCCGGGCGCGGTGGCTCACGCCTGTAATCCCAGCACTTTGGGAGGCCGAGGCGGGTGGATCACGAGGTCAGCAGATTGAGACCATCCTGCCTAACACGGTGAAGCCCCATCTCTACTAAAAATACAAAATGTTAGCGGGGCGTGGTGGCAGGCGCCTGTAGTCCCAGCTACTCGGGAGGCTGAGGCAGGAGAATGGCATGAACCCGGGAGGCGGAGCTTGCAGTGTGCCGAGATCGTGCCACTGCACTCCAGCCTGGAGGACAGAGAGACTCAGTCTCAAAAAAAATAAATAAAATAAAAAATAAAAATAAAAAAAAACAAAGATCTTTTTAAATGTAAAAATATTTCCATTCACAGATAAAATGAATGTTTATTTAGACAATATTAGAAACTCTACCAAAATGCTGCAAGAACTGTGTTAGACTGTATTTCCAAAAATAATCACTCCAAAATTTCCAGTGTCATATGCTCTTCTAGAGTCTTGCTACTCCCCCATCTGGAGGTGGAGTCTTTTCCCCATTCCTTAAAACTGGACAATTTTGTGACTGTCTTCAAGAATAGAATGCAGAGGAAGGGATTTCTGAAATTGGGTCCTAACAGATAATACATCTTCCACTCAGTACACTGGCATGTTCTCTCTCTCTCTCTCTCTCTCTCTCTCTCTCTCAGTTTTACCCTTAGGACCAAGCCACTACAAAATGAAGAATTCAAGCAGCCATTTGAATGGCCATGTCTTGGTGTTCCAACCACATGCCTAGTTATGTACCCAGCCTACAATCAGCATCAATCACCAGAAATTAATGAGTGAGCCTTCCAATTATTCCAGTTGCTAGTCCTTGAGGTGCCCCAGCTAACACTGAGTGGAGCAGAGACAAGCTGCCCCACACCCAGAGAGCTCTGCCTAAATTGCAGGATTATGACAAAACATTCTTTTGTTTTAAGTTGCTAAGTTGGGATCAGAACAAGAACTACTACCAGAACAAGAACTACTAAGTGATTTTAGTGAAATAACAAAATCAACATACAAAATCAACATACAGTCAATTGGATTTTCATCCATACTAGTGGTAAATGGTAAGTAAGTTTTTCAATAATCCACTTACAATAGTATCCCCAAAAATATACACAAAAATCTTTAGAAATAAATTTAACAAAAGAAATATAGACCTCTGCACTACATATTAGTCACCTCAGACTGTCATAGATACAAGAAACTTAGGTGGCTTAAACAACAGAAATGTATTTTCTCACAGTTCTGAAGGCTGGAAGTTTGAGATCAGCACAGATAGTCTATGTGCTGCACAGTCAGGCTCTTGTCAGGGTTCTCTTCCTGGCTTAGAAATAGCCACCTTCTCAATCTCTTTACTCCATAAGGGCACTTCGGTGAGAGAGATCAAGCCCTCTGGTGCCTCTCCTTATAAAAACAGTTGTGCACATGTACCCTAAAACTTAAAGTATAATTTAAAAAAATAATACTATCAGACCAAGGTCTCACTCTAATCACCTAATTACCTCCCAAAGTCCTATCTCCAAATTCCGTTGAAGATTAGAGCTTCAGCATATGAGTTGTGGTGGGATATAAACATTCAGTCTGAAACACAGTAAAAAATACAAAAATTGAAGAGAAAAATAAAAGAAAACATACATATTAATGTTCAAGGATTAAGACTCTATTATGCTAAGATTTTATTAATTCTGCCCATACTTATGTGTTAATTTAATGCAATCCAAATCAGAATATTATCAGGACTTTTTGTAGGAACTAACAATTAAAAATGCATAAATGCAAACAAAATAAAATGGCAAAATCTATTTTTAAAAAGAAGAATCAAGTTGGAGTGCCTACACTAATAACAAAACCACTATAAAAATATAGTAATCAAGACTGTGGTCTAAATACAGACAAAAAGAATAGCAACAGAATGAAATCAAGGGCCCAGAAATAGACCCACATGGTCATTTAATTTCTGATAAAGGTGCCAAAGCAATTCAATGGGAAAGAGAAAGACTTTTCAACAAATAGTGCTGAGCAATCACTCAATATCCCTGTGGGGAAAAAAACAAACTTCAACCCTTGTCACACAACATACAAAAAAATAATTTGTTGTGGATCATAGACCTAAACATAAAACCTAAAACTATACAATTTTTAGAAGAACGCATAAAAGAATATCTTCACTACTTAAAAGCAGTTTAATGTTTCTTAAGCAGGTCACAGAAATGAATAATCCTAAAAGAAAAAAGGGATCAATTAGATTTTATCAAAATAAAAACTTCCCCTTAAAACCACCATCTATAAATCAATGATCAAGCCACAAACTGGGAGAAAATAGAATTACAATTAAATAATTAAACAAGCAAGCCATTTTAAAAAAAAGAAAGTCAAAAGAATTAGACAGACATCTCACAACTAAACTCATCCTAATAACCGATAGTACATGACAAAGTGGTGAACATCTCATTAATCTTTAGGGAAATGTGAATCAAAACCATAACGATATGTCATTATATATCCCAGAAGGGCTAAAATTAAAGACTCAGAAGCCCAGAAGTAGCTAGGATATGGAACAACTGGAAGTCTCATGTATGCTTATGTGGATGGTAAGTACAACCACAAAAAAAATTAACAGTTTCTTATAACTTACACCTTACTTAACATATCCACATGGTATTTAAACATATCTACTCTATGATTCAGCAATTTCATCTCTAGGAATTTATACATGAGAAATGAAAGTGTTAAGTCTACAAAAAATAACTTAGATAAGAATGTTCATAGAAGCTTTATTCATAATACCTCTGCTACAGTTTGAATGTTTGTTCCCCCAAAACTTCATGTTGAAATTTAATCCCCAGGGTTGGAGGTGGGGCCTAATGGGAGGTATTTGGGTCACGGGGGCAGATTCCTCAGGAATGTCTTAGCGCCATCCTCCTGTAATGAATGAGTCCTCACTATATTGGCTCCCACAAAAGCTGGTTGTTAAAAGAGCCTGGCTCTTTCTCTTGCCTCCTTTCTCACTGTGTGATCTCTGCTCCTGCCAGCCCCCCTTCTCCTTCTGCCATGAGTAGAAGCAGCTTGAGCAGATGCTGGTGCCATGCTTCTTGTACAGCCTGCTGAACTGTGAGCCAAATAAACTTCTTTTCTTTATAAATCACACTGCCTCAGGTGTTTCTTTATAGCAACACTAAAGGAACTAAGACAATTTCTAAACTGGAAAGAGCCCAGAATTCCATCATCAGAAAAACAGTTAAAGCAGCTGCTATGTATTTATATAATGTTCATTCCTTGGCAATTAAAAGGAACAAACTACTAATACATGCAACATAGATAACTCTCAAAATTAATTGCTAAGTTACCTTATACAAGAGTTGTACTCTATGAACCAATTTAATATAACATTCTAAAATAGGTAAAATTAATATATACTAAAAATAAGTGAGAGTGATTGCCTCTGGAGTGACAGATCAGGGATTACGTAGGAAGGGGCACAAGGGCAGTTACTGGAGTAGGAGTGATGCTCTATATCTTGATAGGAGTTTGGGTTTCATAAGTCTATGCATTGTTCAAGACTCACTGAATAGCATAACTACATTTTGTACATTTCATCATGTATACGCTAAACTTCAAATATAAAAATGTGTTATATACATACATTCTCAGACAAATTTATCACTCAGTTAATGATGTGCATGCTGTAAGTTTTAGTGTACTGATGTCTACAACTAATTATGAATTTTATTAAAAACTGGATTGATCAATGCTAAACAAAGCAATGGATAAATTGATATGTGAAAAAGCAATTGATATGAATTGATATGTGAAAAAGCAAACAGAAAAATGTTAATTGTAGAATCTTAGTTTCAAGTCTGTGTGTTCACTGTACAATTCTATCAACTTTTCCATATGTTTAAAATTTTTCAGAATAACATTTTGGAAAAAATTAAAATTATGTAAGCAATTTTATTTATTTATTTATTTATTTATTTTTTATTATTATTATACTTTAAGCTTTAGGGTACATGTGCACAACGTGCAGGTTTGTTACATATGTTTTAAAAGACAAATAGTGAGCTAGAGAAGTATATAATAATGAGATTTGATGGAATCAGGAATGAGTGTTTTTTTAAAAGGATGAAATTTGCCATCTTTCTTAAGTAATCTGCTGAGGACTACAAAATACATAGCTTCTAGAAGTGGTTATTTTCTTACTATATTAGGTCTTTCTATTCTTTGTGAAGCAACTCTAAAATATATGAACTTATCAGTTCTACTCACTTCCCGGGCTTCAGCTTAGATGCTGTGCTCTCAGAGCAGCCGTCTCCACCACAGAAGACATTCTTGGTGTCCTGTTCTCTCTGCATTCATCATCCCTTACTTTGATTTACTTCCACAGTACCTGCATTCCCCAATAGCCTCAAAAACCCAGAAGAGCAAAGCTCATGTAAGTCTTGGTCATCACTGTATTCCAAGTTCCTAGAAGAGTGCTTTTGCATAGCAGGTATTAAATAAATGTAGATCAGATGAATGAATGATGAATTAAGTATTAAAAGAAAATAGTGTATTATGCAAAAAGTATAGATTATTCACAATGAAATTTTCACTTTATCTCAGAAAGTTCTTGGACTGTTGAAGATAAGGTCATCCAAACTAACTGGTAACCTGAGTCCATAAAGTAATTTAGGGACTTCTCCAGTGAGATCTTTTTTCCCATGAAAGAAAAGTTATGTGTTCAAACTGAGTAATTTACAACATTAAAAAATTCAACACTAGTCATTGTTTCCAATTCACTCTTTACCATTTTTCTAGTTTCTTTTTTGACATACCCTGTATTGTATCAAGGCACATCACAGCTTTTGGTCACAAAGTTCAGCATGATGTTAATATAATCCTTCCTAGAAAAAAAAATAGCCCCAAAGGAATAAACAAAATCAACAATGATGATATGGTGGCTTTCAACATCAGGGAACTAAAGAAAATCAGCACATAGGATACAGAAAGAAACTGAATTACTTTGGACCATATTCACAGCATGGGGTTAGAAAGACAACTGCAGGATGTCTACCTGGGGAAAGTCAAGAAAAGAAATGCCTTGCAACAAAAGAAGGCAATGGTTACAAAACCAAATAAATTCTTTGCTGCAATAATTACATAGAAAGATTGATGTTGGAAGCAGACATATGGCTCACAGGGGAAGAGTAATGAGATAAAGGCACATGCTGGTGGAGCAGGTGATCTACTAATTAGATTTCCGCGATGTGGTTCATACCATGTTCAGATGGAAATTATCTTAAAATATACAAAAGAAACAAAACAGAGTTGCAGGAGAAATGACTTAGAGCCATGATCATAATGAAATCAGGATGACGGGGCTGAAATAAGGTTTTTATAAGACTTTTGTTGGCAAATAAAAGCAATTTGTCACGTAATATCAAAATCTTATTGGATTGAGTAGAGCCATTCAAGAAATAGAAATATCACTTCGTCATACATTCTTTTCATATTCTTTCATAAAGGTAGATACAATTACATTGAGGACCCACCAAATGACACATTTGTATTGTAATATTTTTTATTCTCCATAACAATTTCTTGAGATAATTTTATCCTAGAAAAGAGGGCTCAGAGAGGCTAGATAACTTGCCCAAGGACACACACTTTTAAGCAACAAAACTGGGATCCAAATTTAAGGTTCCTGATTACAAAGATAATCTCGTTAATTCTGTGCAATGTGTTCCATCTTGTTCTATAGCACCGAGAAAGTCAAATGCAACTTGAAACAATCAATGTAAGGAAATAAAAACCAATGTACATAATTGTTTTATAACACATACTTACTTCTATACCATTACACAGAGAAAGGTTGGGTTACGGTCTTGACCATCAAAACCATTTATACTGGGTTAGTTACTTGTGGTGAGACCTTGCATTGTACTTTGAATATTGCACTCAAGGAGACTTTCCTCCTCTTGGCCATCATTTGCTGTCCTCACAACTAAAAGGCTATATTACCACTATAGTTTATAGTTTTAAACTAAACCACTGATACTAGCTCTTACAATTTTGAGATACAATGGAAATGTTTGAGGGTTGAGGAAGGAAGTGGGAAAACTATCAAATTGTTCTTGAATAACCCTTCAAATTGTAGATGTCGAGACATTTAGAAAGCATACTGACAAGAATAATTCCTAAGGAATTGCATTAGAATAATTTGGGTGGCTAAAATACATTTATACCTATACCAAATTAAAATCATTCATTCATTCTGTCATGATATTACTAAAAAGCTACAATCAATTTTTCTGAATTATAGTGGCTTTTGCGTTGTGGCTAGTTAACATACTAAAATTTTACTTCAACCTCAGAAAAAGCACTCATTATGCAAAGTAAAATTAATTAGTTTACTTGGCAATAAACAAAACTTTTAAAAGTACTCCTTTCATTGAAGAATCAATTCATATAATTTCAAGGATTAGTGAAAGAAAATCAGCTCATTAGCAGGATGCTTACATGGAAACTGTAGTCAAAAGACTTTTGATAGAATTCATTCATTTTAAATTTGGTATCAGCATGCCTAAGTCAAAAACATGTGGCAGAGTAAAAACCAGCCCTACCTTTGAAGCCTGCTAAGTCCTAACACAGACAAACATTTGTAATAATAATTACCATGTATTCAGTGTCAACTATGTACCAAGCGCTATCTCACTTTTCATCTAGCATCTCATTTGAAAAAATAGAGACATTATAAAAAATAGTTGGGTCCAGGATGAGTTAAGTGGTAAAAGACCTCTGAAGCCAGAAGGATGTGCAACAGAGAGCTCAATCCTTAAACCATCTGTCCAAGAAGGTAGAGGAAACCTGGGGGGTAGAGAAAGTAGAGAGAAAACGCCTTAGGAGTTGTCTCAAGTATAGCTGAAGGGAAGATCTCTGGCTCTTGCTGGCAAGGGAAATTACAAAGTCAACAAGTTCTTGTTACAAGGTGAACACTAAAAATCTGACTGTCTAGAAAAAAAGAAAACAATTTATCTGCATGGATAGATTTCTGTAAAAAATTAAAATTTCTTTTAAAAGGAATTTATTGGATGGAATTTATTGGAATTTTGTGGATGGTTTGTCACCCTTTCTCCTACCACCTCCCCTTTTTCCCTCTTTATACTTCAGGTATGTCGGTGCTCCTGTGGACCTCATTTAAATCTATTGGGGATATTTAAGACTCAAGATATTTCCTTAAAATGTACCTAAAAGTTCCTTGGTTTGCTCATTTTTTTCCCTGAAATAAAATAGACATCAATTTCCAAACACTTTATCTTAAAATAAACACCTCTATCTTCTGAGCAGTTGAAAGCATCTTCCTCCTTCTTTGGAGCCCATATTTGAATGACATTTACCTGACGTATCACAGAAATCTAATAAGCATTTCTTAAAGACCTGCAATGCACCAGACACTGTATTAGATGCCGTGAAAACAAGTTTACTTGTCGGATCAGCTTCAAAACAAGCTTTCTCTAGCTCTTTTCCTATTTTCTGTGACCTTAGATGTTGGTCCACATCAGTAAAAGCTGTCTGCAATGGAAAAGATAAATAGAACAGAACTTGTGGCAGTAAATCCTTTCAAAAAGCTCAAAACATATGGGCATTTAGTAAACTAAATGCCTTTTTTTATGAGGCTGCCTCAAGTCAAGACAAGGTCAAACCAGTTGTCCCTGAGCTAAGAAAGCAGTTGCCCAACCTGACTTTGACTTTGAGACAGTATGTATTTCCATTCATATATTTATTTCCAGGCAACCATTATTAGAGAAGCTATGTTCAAGGCACCAAGGAAACTGCTGAGACTAGAACTAACATTACGGATAGGGTATGGATCTCTCTCAAGAGGATATAGCATCTACTTATAAAAGATTATGATAAAAAGTGGAAAGAAACCAGTGTTGTGAGAGATGAAAATATGTAGGTTTGATCTGAGTGTATATACACACAAAAGATCAATGTATATATTTCTATATGAATAATTCTCCCTCTTGTTTGTCAATGCGTTATCTCAGCGTTCCTCTGTAAATTTTTGTTCTTATTTCAGGAATGAGTTGTAATTTAATCTGATGCCTAGAACTCAAGGTAGAAATAGGAGAATGTAAATTTATATTCTTAGCTGCCACAGATGCAGTATGATGAGGGGCTTACTTTACCATGGGCTGAAATACAAATAGCTGCTAATAGGAGACAGAGGAGGAGAGAGTTTAGTGCAATAAACAGAGAAGCCCTTTAAGAGCTGAGAATCTGACTAAATGGTCTAATGCACCGTAAGAACATCAGTCATTCACAACCTCTCAGTCTTAGAGTTCTTACCTGTAAATCAGAGGAAATTAGTTTTTACTACAAGCTATTTAGGTTCCTTCACACTTCTAGTCTCTCAGATTCTATTAGCCAGCGGACTTTGTGGACTGTGTGCACCATGAGGCTTAGTCCTCATTGTAGTCCCCGTGCCTAGCACAGTTCTTGGCCCATAGTAAATGCTTGGAAAACACTGACACAATGAGTGATGAAGTAATAGAATTGCTTGTGAGTGGCACGCTAATAACATCCACCACATTCTTTTCTTCTCGGATCCCTTTCTAGGGTGACCAACCATTCTGGTTTGCCTAGGACTTTCCCTGAGTTTTTTGTTCTAAAAGTCCCACTTCCTGGGAAAACCTTTAGTCTCAGGCAAACCTGGATGGCTGGTCACCCTTCCCTCTATTATCTCCCCTCTTTCCCTCTTTATGTTCCAGGTATGTCGGTGCCCCTGTGGATCTTACTTAAATCTGTTGGGGATATTTAGGATTCAAGACATTTCTTTTAAATGTACCTAAAAGTTTGGAAAATTATTTCCTTGGTTTGTTCATCTTCCCCTGAAATAAAATAGACATCAATTTTCAATGTCTTTCCATAGTCATATGGCAAGTGCATGAATGACTCACAAACAAAAACGTCCTTCTATTTGCCAAAAGCTATCATCCACCTGAATAAATTGTGATGCGATAAAAACACAGAGCATAAGGCTTCAAATAATTCTTGGAATATTTTTCTTGGACACCAAGCCAAACAGATGTGATACACAAAAATCTAAATTGATGGTGAACTGTGAATATCTGGTGACTTCCAGAGAAAATATTCCAGGAGAGCAGGAATCACCAACCTGGAAGTGGGATAGCAAATCCACAAGAGAAATCCAAAAGTGTTTAGAAATCTGAGAGGGCATTATTTCTTTCATTAAAATTTTCACATGTATCTTGACTGTCAGCTGAACTGAGAGTGATTAGGGCAGTGTCATTCTGCAAGGAATTACAAAATAAATTCTATGCCACTGCCATCCATTTTCCAGCTCTGAAAAATGCAAGATGGCACTGCCATCAACTCCCAAGCCTCACTCAAAGCTACAGGCCATTCCCGTGGAACATGAAGTGGTACCCCGGAATGAAATCTAGTTTTTAAAATAGTCCAGATTTTATGCTTCACTAGCAAGGATGATGCAGTCTAATGCCATCACACACAGTACCTGATTGAATGCAGGCATCGAAAATAAAGCTTTTATTTATTATACCCATAAAATAAATGTGATGATTTATTTCTAATCTATTCCCTTGAGTCACTATAAACTATTAGTTGATAATACTGGTGGATGTATATATTTGAGTTGTTTCCTTTTTCTTTCTTTTTTTAAGAGATACGGTCTCCCTCTGCTATGCAGGCTGGAGTACAATGGCACAATCACAGCTCACTGCAGCCTCAAACTCCTAGGTTCAAGCAATCCTCCCACCTCAACCTCCCAAGTAGCTAGAACTATAGGTGTGTGCCACCATGCCCAGCTTTTGAGTTTTTTTAAGTTGTAACCAATGTCCCATTAAGAAATGACTATTACGGAACCCTAAGCACAGGCTATAAATATGGAACAATAAGAGACAGTGGTAGCATGTGAAATTAAGAAGTGGTCAATACATAGAATGAACAAAACTATCCAGGAAATCAACAAAAACAACAACAACAGCAAAAACAAAAGGAGCTCAATAAACACAATAGACAAATGGGTAAAGGATTTTCAAGGGTAATCCACAAAAATATAAAGAAATGCTCATATTCACTGGTAATGAGAGGAATGAAACTCAAGATAGTAACATACTACTTTATACCTTATGGATCAGTGTAAATGAGAATGTCATGTGTTGGTGAGAACATGAAGCAAGAATGCTCATGCACTGCTGGTTGGAAGTAGGCTGATGCAGGCATCCTGGAAAGCTCGCAGGGGGTACTTTCTTGAGTCAAAATTGCTGACCTAGCAATATTAATCCAGAATTTCTATCAAAAAGAAATCCTCGCAAGAAATCCACAGTCACCAGATTATTAATGGTATGCATCACTGTGTTGTTTATATAAACAGATAAAGGCAATTATGTGAGCTCATAGCTAATAAATAAATAAGGAAAACAGAGTGGACTTACACTATACAGTACTATACTATCCAACTATTAGAAACAAACTAGATGTGCTCTCTGCAACATGGAGAACTATCTAAAAAGCCAGTGCTTTAGTGAGAAGAGGAAAAATACAGTATTTTATGTAAGTTATGTTTGTGGACAAAAACATGCTAAACTGTAATGACAATGTAAGAGAATACATAAAAATTCAAAAGTACATATTAAACAGATTAGAGTGATAGGCCACAGGGGAGGAAACTGGGAATGAAGAGTGAGAATAAAAGTGAATCAATCAATAAAGAAAGAATAAGCTTTGCACAGGGAAGTGACAAGAGTGAGCTGTGGAATAACTTAACCTTCTGCCCTTAAAGACTGAAATAAACAAAGACATACATTCATAAACAAATAAAATTAGTCATAAATTTTTTTAGAATACCTAGCACATAGAGAGTATTAACTGCTGCAACTATTTATCTGAGCTCCAATAAGTACTATATTATACCACAGAACTCATGACATTTTCTAGTTTTGTAGTTACTTGGCCTCAAGGACAATCTGAGCTTTCAGATAAAAGGGAGTTTCTGGTTAGATTCCAAAAGCGGCATGTTGGAAAATGAAATACATAGCTTTAATTATTGAAAAGAAAAGTTAAATAAAGTAGCATGAAGATAGAACATATGAAAGCTTTATAATCATAATTTTAATTTAATGTCTTGCAGTTTGTAATTTAAAAATCATGGTACAAAACTATGGGGAAGGAACGCCTGTGAAACAGAAAATAGGGCAGAATCAAGAATAAGAGGAATGCCAGGATTATTGGCATCATTCTCTTTAAAATAGAGCTCTTCTGTTGAGTATACCAAATATGATGACATTTCACATTTTATTTCCTACAGGACAACTGCATTATTGAGAGGTGACAGCGTGCTGGCAGTCCTCACAGCCCTCGCTCGCTCTCGGCGCCTCCTCTGCCTGGGCTCCCACTTTGGCGGCACTTGAGGAGCCCTTCAGCCCACCGCTGCACTATGGGAGCCCCTTTCTGGGCTGGCCAAGGCCAGAGCCGGCTCCCTCAGCTTGCAGGGAGGTGTGGAGGGAGAAGTGCGAGCGGGAACCGGGGCTGCGTGCAGCGCTTGCGGGCCAGCTGGAGTTCCAGGTGGGCGTGGGCTTGGCGGGCCCCGCACTCGGAGCAGCAGGCCGGCCCTGCCGGCCCCAGGCAGTGAGGGACTTGGCACCCGGGCCAGCGGCTGCGGAGGGTGTACTGCGTCCCCCAGCAGTGCCGGCCCACTGGCGCTGCGCTCGATTTCTCACTGGCCCTTAGCTGCCTTCCCGCGGGGCAGGGCTCGGGACCTGCAGCCCGCCATGCCTGAGCCTCCCACCCCCTCCATGGGCTCCTGTGCGGCAGGAGCCTCCCTGACGAGCGCCGCCCCCTGCTCCACGGCGCCCAGTCCCATCGACCACCCAAGGGCTGAGGAGTGCCAGCGCATGGCACAGGACGGGCAGGCAGCTCCACCTGCAGCCCTGGTGCGGGATCCACTGGGTGAAGCCAGCTGGGCTCCTGAGTCTGGTGGGGACGTGGAGAGTCTTTATGTCTAGCTCAGGGATTGTAAACACACCAATCAGCACCCTGTGTCTAGCTCAGGGTTTGTGAGTGCACCAATGGACACTCTGTATCTAGCTGCTCTGGTGGGGCCTTGGAGAACCTTTGTGTCCATACTCTGTATCTAACTGATCTGATGGGGATGTGGAGAACCTTTGTATCTAGCTCAGGGATTGTAAACGCACCAATCAGCACCCTGTCAAAACAGACCACTGGGCTCTACCATTCAGCAGGATGTGGGTGGGGCCAGATAAGAGAATAAAAGCAGGCTGGCCGAGCTAGCAGTGGCAACTCGCTGGGGTCACCTTCCATAGTGTGGAAGCTTTGTTGTTTTGCTCTTTGCAATAAATCTTGCTACTGCTCACTCTTTGGGTCCACACTGCTTTTATGAGCTGTAACACTCACCGCGAAGATCTGCAGCTTGACTCCTGAAGCCAGCCAGAGCACGAGCCCACCAGAAGGAAGAAACTCGGAACACATCCGAACATCAGAAGGAACAAACTCCAGACGCTCCACCTTAAGAGCTGTAACACTCACCGCGAGGGTCCACGGCTTCATTCTTGAAGTCAGTGAGACCAAGAACCCACCAATTCCGGACACATTATGAGCTATCTGAGCTTCTTCACAAAGTGGAGTTACCACCCCTAAAAGAGTTTTGTATCCAATGACACTATTGGCCCCTGAAACTCTTTATTGTATTGAAAATATTGTAATTTGGAAAGGTAACTAATTGGGTAAAATGTTACATCATACTTTTATAATTTTGTCATTTGGCACTGTATTAACAGGCCTTTTTATGTATTAACTTACTAAATGTTCACTGAACATCTACAATATATCACATTTGATCAGACCTTAGATTTCATTCAAAAATTAACATGCTGGCCACGTGTGGTGGCTCATGCCTGTAATCCCAGCACTTTGGGAGGCCGAGGTGGGCGGATCACGAGGTCAGGAGTTAGAGACCAGCCTTGCCAGCATGGTGAAACCCTGTCTCTACTAAAAATACAAAAAATTAGCTGAGCATGGTGGCGCGTTCCTGTAGTCGCAGCTACTCAAGAGGCTGAGGCAAGATAATTGCTTGAATCTGGCAGGTGGAGGTTGCAGTGAGCCGAGATCACACCATTGCACTCCAGTCTAGGTGACAGAGTGAGACTGTCTCAAAAAAAATAAAAAAAAAATAAAAAAACACGCTACTTAGGGTCAGTAGAATAACACCCTCTCCAAAGATGTTCACATCCTAATCCCTGGACTCTGTGAATGTGTTACTTTGCAGATGTGATTAGGGCTTTGAAGTGGAGACATTGTTTGAGATTATCTAGGGGGCTCCAATATAATCACAAAAGTCCTTATAAAGAAAAGCAGGAGGCAGTATAGTCAGAGAAAGAGATGTGAAAACAAAAGCAGGGACCACAGTGAATCAGAAATTAGATGATGCTACTGGCTTTGAAAATGGAGAAAGAGGTATGAGAAAGGCACACAGGCAGCTTCTAATGGATTCTTCTCTGGAGCCTCCAGGAGGAATGAAGCTCTGCCAATACCTTGATTTTGGACCAATGAGGCACATTTCTGACTTCTCACCTTCAGAACTCCAAGATGATAAACATGTTTTATTTAAAGCCACTAAATCTGTGGTAATATGTTACAGTAACAACAGGGAATTAATACGAATTTGAGAAACTTCTGACACAGTGAGGGACATTAACAAGTAAACCCTGGGGATACACAGTATTAAGTTTATTAATTAAGTTATGCACCAGATATTATAAAATGACTTAACTCAATGGGCATTCTGAGAAAGCTCCTCTGAGGAGACACATAGGCTAAAATCTGAAAGAGAGTCAGAATAAGGAAGGGAAGGAAGGGGAAGGGAGGGGAGCGGAAGGAAGGGGAGGGGAGGGGAAGGAAGGGGAGGGGAGGGGGGAAGAAAGGAGGGAGGGAAAGAGGAACAGAGGGAAGGAGGGAGAGGAGAGGGGATCAGGAATAGGTGATTCAACTAAGCAGGAGAGCAAAAACATGACACTTCTAAAACAGCAAAAATCCCAGGAATCTCATTAGTCGTTCCAACTCCCATCGTAGTCTTTACACCTCACACCTGCCAGCTCCAAGGAATGTAGCTATTTTTTGGCCCTGATGTTAGGAGTGCTGATAATTCTCCCCATTATGAAAGAACAGCTAAGAGGCAGTAACAAATAGGCATGCACTGATTAAGGAAAAAAAGCATCCCTGCACTGAAGCTGATACAAAGTGTCGTTTATAAGCTGCTATGAAGTCTCAAATAACTAAATAACTTAAATGTGTGGAAGATTTTCCTGATTTGTAATTTTTAATTTTTTTCAAAGATATTGTTATTTTTTACTATGATTAATTGGAAAACCATGTAATCTGCCTTCTGGTAATAAGTAGATAACAGGGTAACTTTTGAGTGAATATTTGTGGAGATATGGGTACTGTAACAAAGTACATTCAATTTTTAACCAATTCCTGGGAAAATAAACACCACTGAGCTACCTAAACAGTTTCTGTTACCCCTATGCCATATCAGGAACACAGGCAGCTCTATCTGGTAGATTTCTAAAGGGAAAGCCACTGTAGATTAAAACTATATGGTATGAGTTTTTCTTCCATGAGAATGGTGAAATTGAGTTGAAGAGCCAATTTGGATGGGATTTAAAACTAAAATCACACATGTATTTTTGTAGCAATAAAATCCATAAATTAATAAGCTAATTTAAAGGGTTTCTTACTATTCAAGATAATACAAATAATCTTGTTGTCTAGGATGACTAAGGACGTTTATATGACCCTTTAAAGATTCCCAAAGGTCTAATATGAAGCAAAACGAAATGTCTTAGTTGTAAAAGTTTTATTTCATAATTGTCAAAGAAAGCTTTCTCAGTTAAAAACTGAATTGTATAATGACTCAGTATCAAGAAGAACATTGCCAAAGTGGGCTATTTATTTTCTATCAAAAGACTTCTTAAGCTGTCTTCCCAAAAGAAGTAATCTTGGATGCCTGTATTATTTCATCATCCAGTGTATTCTTTTAGGAAGGACAATAATGGCCATTGTAATTTCATAGCTACTCTGATAAATAATTATTTTTTCCTTGAGCTTTTTTTATTGATCAGAGTTGTAAAAGGGCTGAGAACGTGGGCAGCAGTTCAGAGCATCAGGAGTTTTGTGTAGGTGAGAATTAGTTGCATTAGTTAGAATGTCCAGTCCCTATGCAGAGAAATATGTTTATGCTGCTGAATTTGGATTTGTCCATAATTTCCTGATGTTAAATACGATTGATGTCAGACACAGAAATACCCTTTGTGTGGGGTTAGCTGATGTCACTCCTTGATGAGACAGACCATAATATTATAGAAATATTATTTCTATATTATTATTTCCATAATATTATATAACATAACGTGGCATATTTCACCTTTCACTGCACAATGTGTTCTTGTGAAATCAAAAGAAATATTATTTCCATAATATTATAGACCATTATATATATATAGAAAAACTAAGCCACTTAGTCTTATCCTTTGCTCCCGAACAAAGACTCTCAAAGACATCTGATGCTTTATAAATAAATATTGCAGCTCTCAAATAACATCCAGGAGTTTCTGAAATTGAACACATTTCTTATTTGTCATATACAATCAATTAAATTTCTTGAATTCTCACTTGTTCATAATTCATTACATTCCCTTTTAATCTTCTTTTAAATAACAATTTTGTAACTAGGTAACTAGGTTATTTTTGGCTTAGACTTGCCCAGGATTTTACATGAATAATAAATATTTTAAAATTTAAAGATCAGCCTCTATAATTCTAAAAGATTTTAAAAGAATCTTGACATACAGGATCTATTTCTGAAGCCCAAATATTAGTTGTAACATTCCAAATTAGCACGATATATTTCTTCACAGAATTCCGTTAATGAATTGTCTAACGTCACTGTCACTTAAATGAGTGACATTCTTCAGATCATTTTCTCATTATTGATTTCTCTCAAATTTCATCTTAATATAAATGTCCTCTTTTTGAAATTTCTGGAATTTTGAAGCTTAAAAACGAGGCGTGAATTTAATGTGGAGAAAGAAGCAGTGGCATGTCTCTATCTTGACAGTAGTTCACACACATTGTGGTTCTGGTGTGTACTGTAAGGAATGTTATTAATAACAGAGTATTAAAAAGATATTAGTCCTTCTGGTCAACATCGTTTCTTCATTTACAGTGCCCTTCTACTCTTTGACCTTTAAAGATTTTGAGAATTGCTCAGGACCTACCTGTAGCAGGATGTGAAATTTTAGTACAGGGAGTCACCTAGAAATGGGCTCTAAAATTAACTTGAAAGGTGGAAATTATGCATGGCCAAAAGGACCCTTGGCAACCTTTTAATAAAGCATCTGTGAGAGATATACATCTTTCATTAAGTCTGACACTGCCATCTTTTCTCCTGCATTAGATCTGACTGATTTTTTTCTTCAAATAAACAATAGATGAGCAAGTTGACTGGCATTTGGGATTTATCTGATACAAAAACGATGTATCTTGAAAGACTAGAACCACCCTCAGCCTGAGATGTTCACACTTTGAGAGAGAGAACTGAAACCAACAGAAGGAAAGATGAATTCCTCATCTCACAGTCACTCCAGAGCACACGTGATTTAAATAGAATAGCAAGCTGAATCTATTATCGTGTTTAACATATTATTCTTCCATCTGTGTGTTTTCACTCCTTAAGTTAATTTCACTCAAGGTGAGTCCCTTGTGATGCAACTTTATTTGTGTTTGTCATTATAAATCATTGGATTCCCTGTATTCAAGACACAACGGGCCACTCCAATTAAGCTTGTACCAGGATCTTCTTTGAAAACAATGTGTATAAAACATTTGCCTGAAGATTGAGTATATGCTTCAGAGATCTTGAGAAGGTGAATGTTGTCAAGGCAGAACAGTGTATACACCTTGAACTCTAGTGGAACCATGTACTTCCTGGCCATGATAAGTGATTTTATGTCACTCGTGATAAAGTAAATTTCATTTACACGTGGCATATTTCACCTTTCACTGCGCAATGTGTTCTTGTGAAATCCAAAAAATTATGTCTGTAAGTCCTGCTCTGTCATTTCTATCTCTATGTCTAATCACTTCTTCAGTCAGAAAAGAAAGAAAAATATACAATTAGGTTTAGGAGCGATATCTCCAGTTCCCAGAGATTAACTGTCACAGAAATGTTACAGCAACTTTGTAATATTTGTAATATTTTTTGCTCAGCATTTCAACAAAATTCTCTTTCCTATTTGACTTTTTAACCTTTTCCGTGTCTAAAGTTCTAAAGTCTGGGGCCCTTGACTTGCCTGTATATTAGAAGATGAATGCATTATCCATTGTCTTTGCCAATCAAAGGGGACCTATCTTTCCACAAAACACCCTGTATTCTATTTTTTGCATTTATTCCCAGCAATAAAGAATATTGTTTACATTAGAGGTTGATAATGGCAAAAAAATTAAATAAAGAATGGATGAGTTTCTTCTACTTAGGAAACATAGTTATATCGTCAGCAAGAATAAAGAATTCATGTGCCTGGCAGCCCAAAGGAACTGTGCGAGAAGAAATAGATACTAAGAGACTAAGACATTAATTAAGACAGAAATAATGAACCACAGTACATCTTTCAAAGACTGAAATAAGCTCTGCACAGAAACCTTTTTTTTTTTTCCAGAAACTGACACACTCAGAACTGGAATCTAGTTATGATAATGGAACATATTTGTCATTAGTAAAAAAAAAAAAAAGTAATGGACTAACTTGGATGGATAGGTAAGCAGTTTTCTCTCTAATTAAAATTAACTTTTGTATAAGGTGTAAGTTAGGGGTCCACTTTCTGTTTTCTGCATATGGTTAGCCAGTTTTCCCAGTACCATTTATTAAATAGTGAATCTTTTCCCCAGTGTAAATTAGTTCATCCATCGTGGAATACAGTGTGGCGATTCCTCAAGGATCTAGAACTAGGAATACCATTTGACCCAGCAATCCCATTACTGGGTATATACCCAAAGGATTATAAATCATTCTACTATAAAGACACATGCACATGTATGTTTACTGCAGCACTATTTACAATAGCAAAGACTTGGAACCAGCACAAAAGCCCATCAATGAGAGACTGGATAAAGAAAATGTGGCACATATACACCATGGAATACTATGCAGCCATAATGCAACCATAAAAAAGAATGAGTTCATGTCTTTTGCGGGCACATGGATGAAGTTGGAAACCATCATCCTCAGCAAACTAGCACAGGAACAGAAAACCAAATACCATATGTTCTCACTCATAAGTGAGAGCTGAACAATGAGAACACATGCACACAGGGAGGGGAACATCACACACAGGGGCCTGTTTGGGGGTGGGGGAAAGGGGAGGGAGAGCATTAGGACAAATACCTAATGCATGCGGGGCTGAAAACCTAGATGACCGGTTGATAGGTGCAGCAAACCACCATGGCACATCTATACCTATGTAACAAACCTGCACATTCAGCACATGTATCCCAAACTTTAAATTTAAAAATAAAATAAAGAAAGAAGAAAACAATTAACTTTTATTTACGTAGTAAAGTTCTTATTTTCTTTATAGGCTTCCCGTATTTCAAATTCCATGAACTGTAATTAAAGCATAAAAAGCAAGTAAATTTAATCAAAGGCTAATGAAACTTTCTAATTTTACTTTATTTTATTACTTTTATTCACCTGGAATTGCCTTTATTTCACCCGCATTTTGTTTTCTTTTTCTTTTACTTTTTAATCGACATATAATAATTGTATATATTTTTATGGGGCCCATAGTAATGTTTCAATACGTATAACGTATAGCAATCAGATCAGGATTTAGCATATCCATCATCTCAAACATGTATTATTTCTCTGTGTAGGGACATTCAATATCCTCCTTCTTGCTATTTGAAACTCTATGATATATTTTGATAACTATAGTCATCCTACAGTGGCCTAGAACACTGGAAATTATTCCTCCTATCTAGCTCTAACTTTGCATCCTTTAACAAATCTCTCCCTACTCCCCTCTTCCCTCTACCCTTTTCAGCTTTGAGTATCCTTTCTTCTACTTTTCAACTCTATGAGATCAACTTTCTTTAGCTTCCACATGAGTGAAAACATACAGTGTTTAATTTTATGTTTCTGGCTTATTTCACTTAACATTATGTCATCCAATTCTATCCATGTTGCCACGAATGACAGGATTTCACACATTTTTTTTCACACATTTTTATGGCTGAATAGTATTCCATCATGAACATATCCCACATTTTCTTTATCCATTCATCTGTTAGTGGACCCCTAGGGTGATTCCATATCTTGGCTATTGTGAATAGCGCTGCAATAAACATGAGGATGCAGATGTCTCTTTGAAATAGTGATTTCTTTTCCTTTGGATAAATGCCAGTAGTGGGACTACTGGATCATATGGTATTTCTATTTGCGGTTTTTTGATAAACCACCATACTGTTCTCCAAAGTGGCTTTTACATTCCCACCAACAGTGTATAAAAGTTCTTTTTTCTCCATATCCTCTCTCCAGCATTTGTTATTTTTTTGTCTTTTTGATAATAACCATCCTAACCGGGGTGTCATGATAACCTCATTGTGTTTTTGAATTGCACTTCCCTGGGACTGTGCTAATTAATTAGACAATACTTTTTACAAAAAATGAAATAATATCTTGCCTTTTTAAAGTATCCACTTACCTAAATCATATGGTCATAAAAGGATCAACTGTGACAACTGCAGTTAAGTAGCCACATAATTAAATTCTGTCCTTTACAGACATTAATTCTGATTTCAATGTTCTCCATTACTAATTTCCATATATAACAAAGGTGTTTACACAGTAGTGATAACTAAAAAGACAAATGCTGAGTTTAAG
Source organism: Homo sapiens (assembly GCF_000001405.40). Classification (NCBI taxonomy): domain Eukaryota; kingdom Metazoa; phylum Chordata; class Mammalia; order Primates; family Hominidae; genus Homo; species Homo sapiens. The sequence continues at coordinate 41,344,043 of NC_000002.12, forward strand.
GTTATGAAATCAGTGTTTCACTTGCTATTGCCTAGAAATATTAAAATGGAAACCTCTATTTGCTGCAGATTAAAATCTCTATTTCTCTTCAGGGTTCACATATACTTTAAAACACAACTAGGGAACTAAATTGTTATTCCTCTACGGTCTCCAGAATTGAAATTATGTGAAAGTGTACTTTAAAATCAATCAAGTAAATACCATTTGTTTATAGTACTAATGCTGTAAGCATTATAAAATGCTGATAGAATTATAAGAAAATCTCTAAAAACCAGATTAAATTGAGACATGCTCAGTAAAAAGCAAACAGAATTCTTAAGCCCTAAATTTAGGGAATCTTTTCTTTGTAGACCTAATAATTTAGAAACACTTTCATCTTGAGTTTTTGTAGACTGTGGAATTGTTTTCTCTCTGGAAAAATAAAATTGTTTTTGTTCAGAGGATTCTTGATGTCCAGTGTCATTTTTGACAACCTGTAAGTTTTTTGTTATTGTTTTTTGTTTCTTGTTTTATTTTGGTTTGGTTTCTCCATGTGACAGGTTTCCAAATCCCTAGATTCTTGAGCATTGCCACACATTTCTTTACAAAAGAAGAGGTGAAAAGGCCCAACATCACAGACACTATAGTCTCTGCTTCATTTCTGAAGTCAACAAATGTGTCCTTTCCCTCAGCTGTGGCATCTGTCAACTAGATGCATTTGAACTCTTCTGAGAGCTTCCCTTGGGTTGAAGGATTCCTGAGTAAGCTTGACAATTGCAAGACTTTTAAAAACCATTATTCTAATGTACTGTATTATAGAGATCTGGTGTTACAGATAACAACAAGATAATGTACAAGACTTATATTTGTTAGTATTGCACAGAATGTAAATCAGTTGATCATATTGCCTTAAGTCATTTCATATTCAACTTTTGATCTTACAGATTAATTTCTATTTCCCTTTCCAGGAAAGCTGCTTTTTTAATTTTCCCATCTAGGATCAAGGATTCTCAATCACTATTAAGTTTAATGGAGTCATATTTGAATCTTCATTTTATTTACAACCTTTAGGCAGAGCTGTATTGGCTGTCTTTGTACCTTATTTTTCTAACTAAAAACTAGATGGGTTTTAAATAAAAATTTAAAGTTTGGCAATTCATACCACAGCAACAAGAACATTAACTATAATCAGTAGAATTGTACGTGATTTTAAGAATTACTTATGTTATCATTAATTATGTTCTTTTCTGTTGAATGTTTCTACCTTATTCCACAATTACAAAGCATGACTTTGCTTACAATAACTTTTAAATAATTACGAATTTTTGCAGAAAAGAGCAATTTCCAGTATGTTACTTAAAAACAATACCTCAAGATTGTACTGTTAAGTAGTATCATTGCAATATTTGAGAAGGAAAAGATAATGCCTGAAATGTGCTCTTACTGTGAAATAAGATGGATAATCAGTACAAACAATGAGATTGCTACTTCTGTTAGGAAAAGAGGGACCTTCCTTTCAGTGGACAAGGTAATTTTTTATTCTGTTTATATTCAAACACTAAATAACGACAACATTTTTCTCACAGGTGTGTGTGTGAATTTGCATAAACTGGATGAAATACCAAATAATTTAATAATTTGAAAATTAGGACATAAGAAAATTAAGGTTGTGTATATAATTATCATGTTTACAATATTTTTGATGACATGAAGCACACAACTATGTTTAGATGTGCGTCTGTTTCACATAACAAAAAAATAGTGCTATAGCTAAAAATATTATTTTAAGAACATAATTGTCTGTTAGATTTCTCAATGCAGCCATCTGTCTCAGGTGTAATGATCTGTCACTCTGACTTTATAAAACAAAACAAAACCTTTAAATCCGATATATCTTTGTTTTTCTTAGTATTGCTTTATTAAAACTGGGGGAAATTTTTCTTCATGCTTTCTCAAGCATGATAATTAATGATGTAAGTTGTTTCTTTTTCTTAATTGCTTTGTCTACAAGGAAAAGAAAAATTAATTACTTTTGCATCATTAAAATTGTTCCTAAGCTTGTTTTATGATTCTCTGCTTTAAATGTCAATCCGAAACTCAGCTATTTGAGAAGTCCAGAAGAATAAGATTATCCCAAATTCTAAATTATCATATCCCTGACTAGTCACTTTGGGGTTCACTGGCTTCCACATTGACCTAGCAAAGTTTGTACTAACTACTCCCATGTAAAATTGGCTGCCTTTCATTCTCAGGGGTCTGCTTGGATCATGTGGTTTTGGTTTGAGGTATATGGAGACTGTGTCATCTTTATTCAAGAAAATATGTGGATAGTGGAATTCTAACCTCTGTTTACAAATAAACAGTAACCTACCACTTTAGCAAAAAACTCATTTTGAACCTAAATTCTTCAAGATTCTTTAGAAGATACCAATTTGTATATTTTTAGCAGCCAGAGAAGCCATAAACCAGCCCTTAAAGTTCATCCTTAGACAAAAGTAAAAACGGCTTGTCATACTTCTCTATTCATTGGCTGATTTTTTTATGCTTACTAAATTCTCTTTTCAAACCAGATTTTTCTTAATCTTCCAAATATTTTAATGAGTTTGTAATCCTTTAAGAAATGCATCCCTCTGTCTAATAGGTCTTACCATCTAATTTATCTGTAGCACGGAGGAGGAAGAGGAGTATGGAAAATGAGCCCTTCCCTTATATGCCCTTCTGAAGCATATTAACTTTTATAAGTTTCATGTAATTGTGTAAAGGGCATATAAATGAGAAGAAAATTGTTATTGTTAAATGTTGACTAAATTCAAATCAGTAGTTAAAAAATCTGCGTAGAGGAAAAAGCAAAGAGCAACATGGCACCCATATACTACTTTAAGTGGAGGATATTATCTTTGCTTTAGAAGAGTACTGAATACCCTTATCCACTCAGTCTAAACTTATCTTTGTTACCCCCTTGCTTTTAAAAATAGTTTTACAACATTTCTGAATCCCTAAAGCAGATATTATTTAATTCTGAATGTGTTTTATAATATAAATATTTAGTGGTTATTTTACAATTTACACTTTAAATATTTTGTTCCTGAGCTATTTATCCATGTTGTTAAAAAATGTCGCTTATTATTTTTCCTGCATTATACCATGCTATTGTTATAAATCATGCTGCTATAAATCTTATACAAATTCCTAGTACACATATGCAAGGATTCTTAAAATATTTCATGTTATGAAGCCCTTTGGCAGTTTATAGAAACTTATGATGCCTTTTCATAATAATTTTATGAAGAATTGAACATTTGGCCCATTTTAAATAAGTAAAATGAAACACATAGGTTTAAAATTACACCAATTTTTTGAAAATACAATTAAAATATGTTTTGTTTCTTGAATATGTGTTATACTCATAAATGCTCTTCTTTATTATTCCACTAAATAATAAAATCTAGCAACGGTGTAATTACTGCCATAATTTCTAAGAAATGATTAACATAAGTGATGTTTGAGAATATTGCAATAACTGTAAAGTGATTTGACTACATCTGTGATTTCTGTGCTATTAAAACCTAGATATTTCTAATACTATAGGTTTTTCCTTTTACTCATAATTGAAGGAAATGGTAAATTTCAGTTAGAAATTAAAGATGCAGTAAAAATGAAGACAAATGTTTTTCCCATATAATGCACAGATCCTCTGAAATCTATCCATGCAGACCTTGGTCAAAAACCCCTAATTAGGAAAAGAATTATACTAAATGATTACAAATTATTTTCCAAAAATTATTTTTTCAATTCATGCTCTCACAAAATACTATAGGTTGGTGCAAAAGTAATTATGGTTTTTCCAATTAAATGTAATTGCAAAATTTGCAATTACTTTTAACTGCAAAAGCTGCAGTTACTTTTGCACCAACCTAATATAGAAGAGTTTTCATTGTTTCACATTCTTTCAACACTTGATATTGTCAGACTTTAAATTTTTGTCTATCTTGTTGAAGGAAAATGGCATCTTGTTATGGTTTTCATTTGCATTTCTGTGACTTTTATGATATTGCAATTCTTATTACCTATTATTAACCATTTGTATTTCTGTTTCTGGGAAATATCTGTTTATGTTTTTGCCCATATTTCTAATGATTTATAAGAGTTCTCAATACTTTCTGGAAAAAATAATTTGTTGTTCACATCTCTTGAAAAAGTTTGTTTTCATTATTGTGGTGCCTTATGATAAATAAAAGTTGTTTTTCAGTGTAATCAAAATTGTCAATAATTTATGGTTCTTTTTCATCTTAAAATATACATCCCAACTTTAAAGACATAAATGTAAATCTTTGTATTGTCTTCTATTAGTTTCTCCTTTCATATTTAAACCTTGGTAATCAGTGGTGTGACTAAGACAGCACATGCTGACTTACAAGGGCCAATTATCACTTTTTCAGAAATTTGGGGAGCTGGTTGACATCACATTAGTAGCTTAAAATGGGCCACTATGGGAATATTTACAACATGGAAATTGGCTAGCGCTAAAATAATGAGAGTTTGGTTGATTGGTTGTGGTTTTCTTAGGCGGGGCAGGGTAGGAGAATGTATCTTGTTTTTAAACATTTATCAGCACATTACTGTCTTTATTCCATCTGGAATTGCTTTTCAGATATAGTCAACATTTGCTAAGGAATCTATCCTTTTCCATTCAACTGAAATGCCAACTCTATCATAAATCAATATTTCATACATACATGGGTCTCTTACTGAACTCTTTCACTCTTACAATGATCTATATTTTATATATTCATCATGTCATGCAGATTTAGTTCCTATAACCATAAAATAATGTTGGATATTTGATAAGGCAAGGAACCCCAAATTGTTCTTCTTTCTTAGGAATGTTTTGACCAATTTTACTTCTCCTCTTCCACATAAAGTTAAAAATCATCTCTCAAGTTTCACAAAACACCCTGTTAGAATCTTGATTGACATTACATTTCCCATATAGGTCAACTGGTGATAACTGAATAGTTTCTATCGTTAGCATAATAACATGATATAGATCTTTTCAAAAATAATAAATTTTATAATTTCCTTATAAAAGTCTTGTATATATTTTTTAGATTTATTAGCCACATTTTATTTGTAATGTTATTGGTATATTAGCTTTTATTAAATTTTTCTCACCAATGATTTTTTCTAGCATATACAAATGCAATTAATTTTATATTATTGATTTTATAACCATCAAAATCGCCATGCCCTCTTATTACATCTAATGCATTTCTTGGGTGCTCTTTGAGGTTTTCTATTTAATAATAATCATCTGAAATAATAAAGCTAGGAATCTTATTTTCCAATTCATATATCCTTTATTTTTTTTTCTTCTCTTCCTGTTTAGGAAAGGATAGTGTTGAAAAAAATAGCCATTTCAGGCACCCAATGTCTTATACAAATCTTAAAAGGTATGATGTTTTCGGTAGGTTACATAATGGTAAATATCTTTTAACAGATATTAAAAGGAACCTTATCTTACTAATTTGTTAAGAAATACATACTATATTTTGTCATATTAATATATTTAAATTGCCATATGATAAATCCTCCAATTTCCTTAAATTTGGTAAATGGCATAAAATGATTTTCTAATAACAAACTTTGTGCAGCTGAGATAAATTGATATTAGTAGTGACATGTTACTTTTCTATAGGTGACTAGTTTTAATTTGCTAAAATGTTATTTAGAATTTTTCTCATGTATATAATGTATTTGATTTACAGTTTTCTTTTTCTGCCCTTGACAGGTTTTTGTGACTATGTTTTGCTAGCATTATGAAATATGTTAGCCAGTGTTATCACTTTTTCTATTCCTGGGAATATTTTGTCAATGATTAAAATTATTTGTTCCATATATGACTGGATTAGTTCCATATAAAACCATCTGTATGGAAAATTATATTTGCAGGATGATTTTTAACTACTGAGGTAATTCTATCCTTGATTTGCAACTATTTTTTTCACCTTGGCACACTTTTGATAAATTATATTTTTATGGATTTGTCATTTCATCTAAGTTTTCAAATGTGTTGATTTAAATTTCTCAGTACAACTCTGATTATTCTTTTTATAATTTTTATTATTTCTAGTTATATCTTTTTGACTTTTTTCTTTTTAAATCAATCTTGGTATTTATAAGTCAGTTAAACTCAATCTTAGGTTTGGTTGATCATCTCTAGTGTATGTTTATTTCATTTGTTCCATATTACTTTCATTTAGTTCATTTATGCTTTACTTTTTTTTCATTTCAATACTTACGTTGTTATTTTCAGCCTTGCTTTTTTCTATAAGCATTTAATGCTATGTGGCAGACAGAATAATGGCTCCTCAAAGATGTCCACATTCTACTTCTTAGGACCTATGAACATGTTATGCTACATGGCAAGAAAGAGTTAAGATTGCATCTGGAATTAAAGCTGTTAATCATCTCATCTTCAGAGAGTTTATCCTAGATTATCTGATAGCATCCAGTCTAATCACATGAGCTCTTACAAATGGAGGAGAAGCAGAAGAGTGGGTCAGAGAGATGTGGCGTGAGAAGTCTCACTGGCATCTTAATTTTAGCTTAGTGAGACCACACGATATTTCTAACCTACAGAACTGTAAGATCATAAATTTCTGTTGGTTTAAACCACTAAGATTGTGCTAATTCATAATAGTAGCAATAGAAAATTAATACAGCCTATAAATTCCTCTCTAATGTATAATATAGCTAAGTCATTACTGACATTTATTTTGTAAAATTTAGTGTTTTTTTGTTACTGTCTAGTTACATAATTTAAAATTTTTATTTATGGTTTCTTGTTTATATATACATTATTTAGAAGTTTTTGCATTCTAAATGTATCAGGTTTATTCTACATAGCTTTTAGATTGAGTTCCTACATTTTGATCAGATTTTTATTGTAAATGATATAATCTTTCATGGCTTAGTATATGAGCATTTTTTAAATGCCCTGTGTGCGTTTCTTTGAAAATACTATATACTTAACTTTTTGAGTGCAGTACTCTATTGCTACCTATTTGATGAATTTTATTAACTGGGCTTTAAGTCTTCTGTATCCTAATTTTTTAGGAGGGCATCTAGATATATAAGTTAATGAGAGGTTGTTAAAGACTCCACTATAACATATATTTATTTCTATTTAAAGTTCTATTGGTCAGATAGATAGATAGATAGATAGATAGATAGATAGATAGATAGATAGATAGATAGATAAAGGTTATAGTCTTTCTTGGATTCAAATTTTAGTTATTATACTTTCTTGGTGAACTGAAATTAAATGAAATCATATTATCTCCAGAATGTTTTTCACCTACAGTCTATCTTTATATATCAACAAAGCTTTCTTTTTTTGTTGGAGTCTCACTGTGTTGCCTAGGCTGGAGTGCAGTGGCACTATCTCAGCTCACTGTAGCCTCTGCCTCCCCAGTTCAAGTGATTCTCCTGCCTTACCCTCCCAAGTAGCTGGGACCACAGATGTGTACCACGGCACCTGGCTAATTTTTGTATTTTTAGTAGGACAGGGTTTTACCATTTCGGCCAGGTTGGTCTCAAACTCCTGGCCTCAAGTGATCCACCCACCTCAGCCTCCCAAAGTGTTGAATTACAGGTGTGAGCCACTGCACCCAGACTTCAAAGCTTTCTTTTAAGTATGATTTGCCCAGTGTACATTTCCTATTCTCTCATGTTCAAACTTTCTTTATCCTAATGTTTTAGGTGGGTTTCTTATGAACGTTGAACACCTGAATTTTGTATTTTTATTCAATTTGGCCATTTTTTCTTTAACTGCTAGATTCAGTCTATTTATATTTATTTCAATTCCTGATATATTTTCACTTTTGTACTCTTATTTTTGTGTTCTCAAGGTTCCTCCCAGCTTAGTAAAGTAGGATTTTCTATTAGACTCCCTACCCCTGTCTCCTACATCACTCAATGCCCACAAACTGACTCAAGTCCACTAGATTTTGCAAATGTTTTCTATGAAAACAGGCCTTGTTGCGCAGATCACCTCTCTTTGTTCCCTCTTTTACTCAGTTATTCAGCCTTTGGCTATTTTTACTTGCTTGCCAGCACCGACCTATTTAAAAATGTGTCTACCCTACATTTTGTTGTGTCCATGGGGAGGGCGGGTCTGGGTTTCTGTCCTGCCTTACTGCCAGAAAAAGAGATTTTTTTAGCAATGTAAACTTACAGATTGTCAACGAAGATAATAAAATCCTATCATTATTATAGTTAAGTAATCCTTCTACCTGACCCTTAAAAAATTGGGTACGACACCCTCAACAGGTCCAGCATTGTAAACATCATCACTCTAGTATAAATGAAGCTATGTTGTCTCTCTGAAGGGATTTATTCTAAGAACTATAGAAGGCTAAAATCTGTGAACGTCTCAAAATTGCAATCTTTCTCACTTAACACAAAACAATATTTTCCATAAAAACACATGGCATGTCATCAGTGATCAATAAATTGTTATTGAATAAATAGTTAATGAATAAGTACATTATGCCTTTACTGATATTGTAAGATGACTACTTTCTTTCAAGTCATTTTCCTATGTATTTCTCTAATTCCTTTTTAAATGTGGCCTTAGTCTTTTTTGTGGATATTATTTAACAAAAAATTATTTTTCTCCCTAAAGATTACTCTCCCTGAAAATTTATTGTAGTGGTGTATATAAGTGTGGTTTCTTTTAATAGAAAATAAATAATGAGTTCAATGTTAGTGGCCTTATTGTATAGTATTTCAAAAATGATAGGTAAGCATGCTAAATAATACAGGATGTTAGTTACACTGCATCTTAGAGCAGTGTAAAAAAATTTCACTGAGCAAGAGCTTAATTCTCAAATATTAACATTTTCCAACATTGTAACAGCATTTGTTTGTTTTATCCCCGACAGTTCCTTTTGTCAAAGAACTGTTACCCAGTTTTGTCACCCAGCATTCCCTTTAAATGTATGGCACATTTCCTCCATAATGATTAGTCTGGAAATTTATAAGACTACAGAAACAAGGTAACTTTAACTACTTCAAGTAGTATTATCACAGATGACGTCTTGCGATGTCATTACCATATGTTGCACTATTTCACAAGTTCTAAACTAAGCCATTTAGGATAATATTGACAGTATATTCTATACTTAGTATAATCTGCCCTCAAACATTCTCCAGCTATGAGACTTCTGGAGCAACATATTCTTGCTAAAAAAAGCAATGCCCTTGTATCAGGTTGGTAAAGGCATTCTGACAGTCTGTAACAGGCAGAATTCCTTTCTTGCACACTATTCCCAATAGTCTCATTTTACTTTGTACAAAATGTAATAAGGAAAGATATCCTTTGCACAGAACACTTGGTGATATTTCCCGTGTTTAAAAATTACCTTCAGTACTTGAATTACATAAAAACTAAGAAGACTCACGACTTGCTATATCTGTTCATTGCTGCATTTTTGGTATATATTATATTGATTTTCCTACTTTAAGATTAGGAAATTGTTAAGAATACTTCACTTTTCAAAGATAATTGTGACATCGTATGCACTATCAAATGCAGAAGTGCCCTCATGGAAGGTTTTATTTGTATGCAAACATTTTCGTTGTCCCCAATTGGTCATATGCCTTTGCTGTCACTATTGCATATGCGTGTTTATTAATATAAACGTGGTTACATGATGGAATGTGTACATTCATTTAAATCTTGATTTCCAGGAGTTAGCTCCTAGAATGTACCCCCAGATTCCCATAAAGTAGATACTGCCATTGTTCTTTTTGTTTTTTAAATGAGAAAAAATAAAAAGAGAAGTAAAAAAAAAAATCCCAATTTATGCAGATAAAATGAAAGAAACTTGATTCAAAACCAGCTTTCTTGGATTCCAGAGCCAGGGCTGGTTTTATCATACAACCATATCAGTACAACCATATTATAACTATAATACGACCATTTACTGTCTATCTAGCATTAATTTAAGGTTTTAAAAAGAGCTTTATGCAAATGATCAAATTCATTAATAGTACCGACCCTTTAATCCTTTCATCATCCCTAAATGGAAGAGAGTTGTTATCCCAATTTTACAATTTAAGATATTGGCCATAAAAGAAGGTCTAAATCTCATAGGTGGGAAACTGGAAAGTGAACACAGTTCTGGCCAGACCTTTAGCCACTATACTCCCTCTGCAGTAACCTCTCTCACTACCAACCCCTTTTAATATACGGTGGCAGAACAGAAATGAGAGAGGTCAGCCCCTTAGCTTCTTAACCCTCAGTTTCTTGTCTTCTTTGTCTGTGAACTGAGGGCAGACTAGAAATCTCTAAACACCAGTCTAACACAATACTTTATGCTTCCAGGTTTAGATCACTCCAATAAAAATTAAATATTTTATGAGTCTGTTCTCAATTGCTATTGCATTATAGAAAATAGTTTTACTTTTCATTTTTCCTTGTTTCAGCTATGATGATTATTTCAGATCACATCCACCATCAAATTTGAAGTTTTTCATCATATTAAAACATTCTATCTAAATTAAATAATATGTTTGGATTACAAAAGGCTAGACAGAAATTGAAGCAAGCACACACTTTACTATTATAAGTATTGCACATGCCCTTTAAAATAGATAAAACTGTTCATTTATGGTTTGTTTCAATTTCCAGATTGAATTCATGTCTATAATAACGTTTCATTTATATTGTTTAATTGTTTAAAAGATGAATTGAGTCTTTAGTGGCTTTCTAATCCCGACAAAAGGAATTTGGGATTAACACCTATGAGAACCTATACTGTACCTCTCAATGTTGTATGTTAGAAATAACCAGATAAAAATTTATCTTGCTTTAAGCCGTCAAATCTGTGGCAATTTGTTATGGGATCTCCTGGGAAACTAGTATAGCCTAAGTTATATTTTCTTTCCTACACATCTGTAGTTGTATTTCCCCAAAATACAAACAAATAAAAAAAGAAATCTAAGAAAGTAAAATATCTCTGCCCCAAATGCAGCGTGGCACATTGATTCTGCAGCAAAAAGAGGAACATTACTGGGGGAGAAAAAAACTAGAAAAATCTAAAAGCAGCCTGTACTTAACAGTAGCGTACCAGTGTTAATTTTTTTTGTTTAACAAATGCAGCATAGTTGTGTAAGATGCTTAGCATTAGGCAAATCTGAGCGAAGAACGTACAGGAAACGTCTGTTCTATCTTTGAAACTTCTAAACTATCTAAAATTATTCCAAAATTTCAAAAAATAGATTCAAAAATAACTTTGCCACACTTAGAACTAGGATGGAAACTTACCTATTTCTTTTCTTTTTTTTTTTTTTTTTTCTTTTTTTGAGACTGAGTCTCGCTCAGTTGCCCAGGCTGGAGTGCAGTGGCGCAATCTTGACTCACTGCAATTTCCTCCTCCCGGGTTCAAGTGATTCTCCCGTCTCAGCCTCCCAAGTAGCTGGGACTACAGGCATGCAACACCATGCCCAGCTAATTTTTGTATTTTTAGCAGAGACAGGGTTTCACCATATTGGCCATGCTGGTCGTGAACTCCTGATCTCGTGATCTGCCCACCTCGTCCTCCCAAAGTGTTGGGATTACAGGCGTGAGCCACCATTCCCACCCAGAAACTTACCTATTTCAAAGTCAATCAGACAAAAGTTGTTTTTATTATTCCTACCAATCAGTCCTTCTAAGTCTGAAAAAATATTAAGGTGGTTTATGACTTAGAAGACGCAGGCATTTCAAAATATACAATCGTGAACCATGAAATCAGCATAACCACAGTGTGGAAATACCACCAGCCTCCCCACATTGGCCCATAAAGCGGTAGCTGGCATGAACTCCACACCCAGCTACACTATTTTTATTAGGGAAGCCAAATGACCTATTTTGATATAGCAACCAGTTTATTTTTAAAAAACATACTCTCAGGATTAAAGTTAGGAAAATAATGACATCATTAATAACCTCACATCTTTAAGAATACCTAATAATTATTGATAAATTTATATATACCTTAATTTACATAGAGTGCCACATCTAATTCTTTCAAACAACTTATCACCATTTTATCCCTTAGAAACCAATACTCAGAGAGATCTAGTAAGTGCCCAAGTTTATACAGTACTTAGTATGTGACAGAGCCTGGCCATGACCTCAAAACTTTCTCATCTCTCATCCATCAAAACCTACTAACTTTACATCATAGAATAAAAGTGGAAAAGAGATGATCCAATACTCTGGCCACATCTACCGGCAGAACTTACTTCTATGGTTTGCATGGCATTTTCATTCTTCATTTTAGCGATGGTGATTTGAACTTTGCTAATATGCAAATATTGGTTAACTCCCATATAAAAAAGTCAAATGTACATTAATTTTAGCAAAAGCAAGTGATCCAAGTGTGCTCTCCTCCTTTGCCCCTGTCCATCCATTGTATGCCCTTGTCTACTCTATATCTTAGGAGCTTGATCTCAGGCAACTGCGTTGCCTGGCTTCTGATTAGTTTTAGCCATCAAAAGGCACAAACAGAAGATGAAGTTTGGGTTCTACTTCCTCTCTGTTCCTTCTCTGACAGGCTGCTGTACCTGGTCTGAATAATTTGGATAGTATGTTTGATCACTGATTCCATACAGCAAGCTCTCTTATGATCACAGCGTTTACTAGGTTTTGGTAATAGCTTCTTCCTCCCCCAATATCTTATGCGAATAGTTACTTTATTAAATTCTTTTGAGTACCTTTTATTTATTGTGATATATGCTTCTTGATAAGACTCTGATATATTTATTTAATATCAGGTTTATGCATAATAATTCTTGATGTTTTTCCTGGGTGTTAAAGCTCTCTACATTTTACAATTGTATTCATCTTTAAAAAGAAAGATAAGCCTTTCTTCAAGTTTTTCTCATCCAATCCTTCTCCTTTACCCTCTGCCAGAACACACACACACACACAAACCCACATGCTCACACCCACACTCACAGTCAAGGAATTTATTTAAATCAAATTATCTTCAAAAAGACAGAATAAATATTGTGAATGCAGTTAAGTCCCAAATTTAGATAAGTTCTTCTTTTAATAATTCAATCTGCTACTACTGTACAATAACATAGGAAATGACCATGAAATTTTTTTGTATTGCATAGATGTACACTAGTTATATCATAGGAGAGTACAGAAAGGTGATGTTAAACCCAAAGAGATATTTGGTGTATTATATATATTTTTTTTTTGAGATGGAGTCTCGCTCTATTGCCAGGCTGGAGTGCAGTGGTGTGATCTCGGCTCACTGCAACCTCCAACTCCTGGGTTCAAGTGATTCTCCTGTCTCAGCCTCCCGAGTAGCTGGGACTACAGACACGCGCCACCACGCTCAGCTAATTTTTGTATTTTTAGTAGACACAGGGTTTCACCATGTTGGCCAGGATGGTCTCGATCTCCTGACTTCATGATCCGCCTGCTTTGGCCTCCCAAAGTGCTGGGATTACAGGTGTGAGCCACTGCACCCAGCCAATGTATGATTTTTATGAAAGAGAAAAAATTACAAATTTGCTGATTTTTCTGTGACCTCAGGTGGGAAAGTTGTGATACCCAGCAGATAAACTGGTTATAATAAACACATTCATTCTGTTCCTTCAACATAATATAAGCATTTTGACAATTAATTTTTTAAAGACTATTGGTTTCCACTTCTCCTAAGAATAGACCAAATCTACCATAATAATTCACCATTATAAAACAACTATAAAATATTCCCATAATGCCAAAACCAGCAATCTAAAGGCATTCTTTTGAGGAGCAGCATTGTACAAAGTGAATTCCATTTTTGTAGCTTTTAACCTATGGTCAGTTGCTGTGGGTGAAACATGTCAGTTGGTAAGTGTACCAAAGGAAAAACTGAACTTAGAGAAATCATGATCGTAGAAGAAAGTGGAGTGATCAAAGAAAAGAAAGAGACAGAAATTCCCAAATTCTGTACATCCACATCCCTGACTAGGGACAGAACCACTCATGTAAGAAACAGATTCAAATAAGCTCAACCAATGACCAAAAAACTGAACTTAGACTGGAGCTGCTTGCCCCCAAAAATAGAGTTTTCAGTTCAAATATAAATAAGAGAATTGCTAGGCAAATAAAAGAATAACAATAATTTTCAATACATAATGATCTATATTCTCCACAACTTAATTTTCTCACTATCTAGGATATCATACAAAATTACCAAACTTGAAATAATCAAAGAAATAAACCACATTCTAGAATAAAGAAAATTGTCTGCACCTCAAAATGAATGATATTGGAACTAGGAGACAAGGATCTTAAACTGGTTAAGATAACTCTTCCCTATTAAAAAAAGTAAATGTGTATTTGGCAAATATACAAAATCTTGGCAGACAAATAATGATATGAAAGTAAAGAAATAGAGGTGGAGCCAAGATGGCTGAATAGGAACAGCTCCAGTCTACAGCTCCCAGCATGACCGACGCAGAAGACAGGTGATTTCTGCATTTCCAACTGAGGTACCAGGTTCATCTCACTGGGCAGTGTTGGACAGTGTGTGCAGGACAGTGGGTGCAGCACATCGAGCATGAGCTGAAGCAGGGCAAGGCATCGCCTCACCCAGGAAGTACAAGGGGTCAGGGAATTCCCTTTCCTAGTCAAAGAAAGGAGTGACAAATGGCAACTGGAAAATTGGGTCACTCTCACCCTAATACTGTGCTTTTCCAATGGTCTTAGCAAACGGCACACCAAGGGATTATATCCCGCTCCTGGCTCAGAGGGTCCTACGCCCACAGAGCCTCACTCATTGCTAGCACAGCAGTCTGAGATCAAACTGCAAGGTGGCAGTGAGGCTGGGGGAGGGTTGCCCGCCATTGCCGAGGCTTGAGTAGGTAAACAAAGCAGCCGGGAAGTTCAAACAGGGTTCCTTGAGCCCACCGCAGCTCAAGGAGGCCTGCCTGCCTCTGTAGACTCCAACTCTGGGGACAGGGCATAGCCAAATAAAAGGCAGCAGAAACCTCTGCAGACTTAAATGTCCCTGTCTGACAGCTTTGAAGAGAGGAGTGATTCTCCCAGCACACAGCTTGAGATCTGAGAACGCACAGACTGCCTCCTCAAGTGGGTCCCTGACCCCTGAGTAGCCAAACTGGGAGGCACCCCCCAGTAGGGGCAGATGGACACCTCACATGGCCGGGTACTCCTCTGAGACAAAACATCCAGAGGAACAATTAGGCAGCAACATTTGCTGTTCACCAATATCTGCTGTTCTGCAGCCTCTGCTGCTTTTACCCAGGCAAACAGGGTCTGGAGTGGACCTCCAGCAAACTCCAACAGACCTGCAGCTGAGGGTCCTGACTGTTAGAAGGAAAACTAACAAACAGAAAGGACATCCACACCAAAACCCCATGTGTACATCACCATCATCAAAGACCAAAGGTAGATAAAACCACAAAGATGGGGAAAAAACAGAGCAGAAAAACTGGAAACTCTAAAAATCAGAGTGCCTCTCCTCCTCCAAAGGAATGCAGCTCCTCACCAGCATTGGAACAAAGCTGGATGGAGAATGACTTTGACAAGTTGAGAGAAGAAGTCTTCAGACGATCAAACTGCTCTGAGCTAAAGAAGGAAGTTTGAACCCATGGCAAAGAAGTTAAAAACCTTGAAAAAAAAATTAGACAAATAGATAACTAGAATAAGCAATGCAGAGAAGTCCTTAAAGGACCTGATGGAGCTGAAAACCACGACACGAGAACTACGTGACAAATGCATAAGCCTCAGTAGCCGATTCCATCGGCTGGAAGAA
Source organism: Homo sapiens (assembly GCF_000001405.40). Lineage (NCBI taxonomy): Eukaryota > Metazoa > Chordata > Mammalia > Primates > Hominidae > Homo > Homo sapiens. The sequence continues at coordinate 41,359,852 of NC_000002.12, forward strand.
AGGGTATCAGTGATGGAAGATCAAATGAATGAAATGAAGCGAGAAGAGAAGTTTAGAGAAAAAAGAATAAAAAGAAATGAACAAAGCCTCCAAGAAATATGGGATTATGTGAAAAGACCAAATCTACATCTGATTGGTGCACCTGAAAGTGACAGGGAGAATGGAAGCAAGTTAGAAAACACTCTGCAGGACAGCTTCCCCAATCTAGCAAGGCAGGCCAACATCCAAATTCAGGAAATACAGAGAATGCCACAAAGATACTCCTTGAGAAGAGCAACTCCAAGACACATAATTGTCAGATTCACCAAAGTTGAAATGAAGGAAAAAATGTTAAGGTCAGCCAGAGAGAAAGGTCGGGTTACCCACAAATGGAAGCCCATCAGACTAACAGCTGATCTCTTGGCAGAAACTCTACAAGCCAGAAGAGAGTGGGGGCCAATATTCAACATTCTTAAGAAAAGAATTTTCAACCCAGAATTTCATATCCAGCCAAACTAAGTTTCATAAGTGAAGGAGAAATAAAATCCTTTACAGACAAGCAAATGCTGAGTGATTTTGTCACCACCAGGCCTGCCCTAAAAGAGCTCCTGAAGGAAGCACTAAACATGGAAAGGAACAACTGGTACCAGCCACTGCAAAAACATGCCAAATTGTAAAGACCATCAAGGCTAGGAAGAAACTGCATCAACTAACGAGGAAAATAACCAGCTAACATCATAATGACAGGATCAAATTCACACATAAAATATTAACCTTAAATGTAAATGGGCTAAATGCTCCAATTAAAAGGCACAGACTGGCAAACTGGATAAAGAGTCAAGACCCATCAGTGTGCTGTATTCAGGAAACCCATCTCACGTGCAGAGACACACATAGGCTCAAAGTAAAGGGATGGAGGAAGAGCTACCAAGCAAATGGAAAACAAAAAAAGGCAGGGGTTGTAATCCTAGTCTTGGATAAAACAGACTTTAAACTGACAAAGATCAAAAGAGACAAAGAAGTCCATTACATAATGGTAAAGGGATCAATTCAACAAGAAGAGCTAACTATCCTAAATGTATATGCACCCAATACAGGAGCACCCACATTCATAAAGCAAGTCCTTAGAGACCTACAAAGAGACTTACACTCCCACACAATAATAATGGGAGACTTTAACTTCCCATTGTCAACATTAGACAGATCAACGACACAGAAAGTTAACAAGGATATCCAGGAATTAAACTCAGCTCTGCACCAAGCAGACCTAATAGACATCTACAGAACTCTCCACCCCAAATCAACAGAATAAACATTCTTCTCGGCACCACACTACACCTATTCCAAAATTGACCACATAGTTGGAAGTAAAGCTCTCCTCAGCAAATGTAAAAGAACAGAAATTATAACAAACTGTCTCTCAGACCACAGTGCAATCAAACTAGAATTCAGGATTAAGAAACTCACTCAAAACTGCTCAACTACATGGAAATTGAACAACCTGCTCCTGAATGACTACTGGGTACATAACGAAATGAATGCAGAAATAAACATGTTCTTTGAAACCAACGAGAACAAAGACACAATATACCAGAATCTCTGGGACACATTCAAAGCAGTGTGTAGAGGGAAATTTATAGCACTAAATGCCCACAAAAGAAAGCAGGAAAGATCTAAAATGGACACCCTAACATCACAATTAAAAGAACTAGAGAAGCAAGAGCAAACACATTCAAAAGCTAGCAGAAGGCAAGAAATAACTAAGATCAGAGCAGAACTGAAGGAAATAGAGACACAAAAAACCCTTCAAAAAATTAATGAATCCAGGAGCTGGTTTTTGGAAAAGATCAACAAAATTGATAGACTGCTAGCAAGACTAATAAAGAAGAACAAAGAGAAGAATCAAATAGATGCAATAAAAAATGATAAAAGGGATATCACCACCGATCCCACAGAAATACAAACTACCATCAGAGAATACTATAAACACCTCTATGCAAATAAACTAGAAAATCTAGAAGAAATGGATACATTCCTCGACACATACACTCTCCCAAGACTAAATCAGGAAGAACTTGAATCTCTGAATAAACCAATAACAGGCTCTGAAATTGAGGCAATAATTAATAGCTTACCAACCAAAAAAAGTCCAGGACCAGATGGATTCACAGCCGAATTCTACCAGAGGCACAAGGAGGAGCTGGTACCATTCCTTCTGAAACTATTCCAATCAATAGAAAAAGAGGGAATCTGCCCTAACTCATTTTATGAGGCCAGCATCATCCTGATACCAAAGCCTGGCAGAGACACAACAGAAAAAGAGAATTTTAGACCAATATCCCTGATGAACATCGATGCAAAAATCCTCAATAAAATACTGGCAAACCACATCCAGCAACACATCAAAAAGCTTATCCACCATGATCAAGTGGGCTTCATCCCTGGGTATATACCCAAACAATTATAAATCATGCTGCTATAAACACACATGCACACGTATGTTTATTGCGGCACTATTCACAATAGCAAAGACTTGGAACCAACCCAAATGTCCAACAATGATAGACTGGATTAAGAAAATGTGGCACATATACATCATGGAATACTATGCAGCCATAAAAAAGGATGAGTTCATGTCCTTTGTAGGAACATGGATGAAGCTGGAAACCATCATTCTCAGCAAACTATCGCAAGGACAAATAACCAAACACTGCATGTTCTCACTCATAGGTGGGAATTGAACAATGAGAACACATGGACACAGGAAGGGGAACATCACACACCGGGGCCTGTTGTGGGATGGGGGGAGGGGTGAGGGATAGCATTAGGAGATATACCTAATGTTAAATGATGAGTTAATGGGTGCAGCACACCAACGTGGCACATGTATACATATGTAACAAGCCTGCACGTTGTGCACATGTAACCTAAAACTTAAAGTATAATAATAAAAAAAGAAGAAATAAATGAAAATCTAGAAAGGAAAATACAACATCTGAAATTTAAAATTTCTTGTAAGAACTGCACATCTTAATATAGGCGACAGAGGAAAGAGTAAGTTAATTTGAATATAGGTGGAAAAAATTATTTAATATGAAAACAAAGAGAAAAAAGATAGTGAAACATGAACAGAATCTCAGAGCCTATTAGATAATATCAAATAGTTCAACAAATGTGTAATTGGTACCCTAGAAAATGAAGAAAAAGAGAATGGCTGGGGGAGAATATTTAATAAAATAATACCCCCCAATCCTAAATTTGCTAAAATACAAATTTTGAATACCCATTCTCATAAAACAGCAAATGAACAAACATATAAATAAATCATACTGAGCCATATCATAGTAAAACTGTTGAACGTAAAAGATCAAGATCAGAGCTTAAAACAGCAAGAAACACATACATGCACACACACACACACACACACATTTACATGCACAAATTACATACTGTCAAGAAAAGTTTCAATTAAAGGCTAAATTATCATCAGCAAAGGCCAAAACTGAGTGGAATCTCTTTAATGTTTTGGAAAAACTTTATTTAAAAAAAAAATCAGTGTTTTATGTTGCTGTTTGACTTTGCAACATCTTGAAAGTCCTAAAAGTAGTTTTTAAAACCATCAGTGCTGCATGCTGCTGCTGCTTGACTTTTAAAATAAAAACACACTGCCTGCATTTCACCTCTATTCAGGTACACAGTACAGTGGGACACTTGAGGAGAAGACCGAAATACTGTTGCATAAGAAATCTGGTCAATATTCTTTATGCATACCTTGTTAGATGACAAGGCTTAATATTTGTAGACAAGGTTAGCTAATTGTAGAGCTTTTCCATTACCTTCTGCTCACTCTTGCTTTCTCTCAGCCTCAGGAAAGTCTAATGGCAGATATTCACATTTTGATGTGAATGAATATAAGATATTATATAGCTGGTGTCAAAGTTATTGCCTTTAAACCTGTATTTCTGTGTGGAATACCTTATTTTATCCATTATAATGGAAATTTTAGGCATCACTGTCAAAGAGAGGAAGTTTGAGAATAGAAAATGGTCTTTCCTTGAGCCACTGAAATCACTGACAGCAATTACATTTTACACATATATGAAAACTACTGTATTCAATAACATTAAAAGAATGAAGCATTATAGAAACAGTAGAATGTGTTTTAAAGAGCACCTATAACTACTGGTATTGTCTATCATTAGTCCAGTGAATTAAAAGTTTGGTGCCTCATACACAGTTACATATGCATATATACACAAACTTGTGTCTTGGAAGTGTGAGCAGTTGAATATATCTTGCAAATCAAATCAAACCAATGCATATTCTAGAGGAAATGAATCTCAGGTATGTGCTGCCAGTATTTATTAAGTAGTTGCATAATGGCCTTTAACCTCTGGCAAACACAACAGGGAACCTGCTCAGAGCTGCCATGCACTGGGACTCATTCCTGACCCCCAACGATTCCCAGGGGAATGGATGTTTTGAACTGGCAGGGAGAGCAACCCATTCTCACAATGGACCTCTGGAATCCTGGCAGGAGGAGATCCCTCAACCACCACAGGTACTAAGTTGCAAGGGAGAGCTGCTTAAGGGAATGGTAGGGGCATCCTACCCCTCCTCTATCAGGAGCTAGCTGATATGAAGCCCAGAGGGTTTGGTGCAGAAGTGTCTGTAACAGGACATGGCCAGGGATGACTATCCTCTATGTTTTACTTGCTTCCAAAGAAGACTTTAACCCTAGGGGAACTGTCAGACCTGAACTCTGCAGGACAGTCTTGGCCATCCTATGGGGCCAATCTGATCTGAGATCCCCTTGGTCTGCTGGTCTCTCCCAGGACCCCAGCCAAACAGCAATTACTTGCAGGCAGCCTCAAGTGCCCTGGGGCCAGCATCATAGCTCCTGTGCCGGCAGACCGTGCCTGATCAGTGAAGAGCTCCAGGAAGGTGGCCCTCACGGCTATGCACCAGTTCACCATTCTCTCCCTACACTGCAGCAACCCCTGGGCCCACAGAAATTCCCCACATTATTTTCTCAGTGTGTGTGTTTGAAGGCGGGTTTTGACTTCCTTGCCCCGCAAGTGAATATGTGTGCAGGCATCCTGCCCTGCCACTGCTGCAGCAGGAGTGCAGTCTGCCCTCCCTCCCCTACCAACCACATTGCAGTCTGAGCCTTGACAGGCACAGAGCCAGCCAGCCCTTCCCCCACCAGTGCCCCATCCTTGCACCAACACTGCTGCAGGAGTGTTGATCCTCAGCAGAGAGGCACAGAGAACAGCAGACCCTCCCCTCCTCTGAGCAACCACCCCTGCCTAGGCACACAGAGAGGGCACACAGACCTGTGCCCACCAGCACCCCATCCCCATGCAAATACCACCACTAGCACCACCACATGCAATGACCATCATTCTCCCACTCCCAGCCAAGATGCTGAATGTCGTGAATGCCCACATGGAGGCAAGCACCCTGGCACCCAGTAGCAACCTGCCACAGCCAATGAGCATGTCCCCACTAGGCGGTCACTGACACGGCTGCTGGCACATGTAAACAAGGATGTATCCCATTGTCACCGTACTACAAAACGTTTTGGCTGACACCACCCAACAGAGTGTGGTGAGAAGCTGTCTGGGAGCACCTAAGGCTGCTTACAGAGCAGGTTATTCCTAACTTTGAGGAGACAGAGAACAAATTCGGGGCCCAATACAGGTACCCAAGAGTTAGAGCACACAGTCCAGGAGTTGGGAGCTGAGCACTGGCCCTGTAAAATCTTCAGAAATGAAGCCAGTTTGGATGAATCAACCTCATGCCACAATCAAACCCTCAAGGTCATTAGGTAGGATAAAAGAAAAAAATTATCCAAAGACCAGCAACTTCAAAGACTGAAGGAACATCACCCAAAAACATAAGGAAGAATGAGGGCAAGAACCCTAACAACCCAAAAGCCAGACTGCCTTCTTTCCTCCAAATGACCACAACACTTCTCCGCCAAGAATTCTGAACCAAGCTGAGACAGGTGAAATGACAGAAATAGATTTCAGAATATGGATAGGAACAAAGATCATTGTGATGAGGAGTATGTTGAAACCAAATTTCAGGAAGCTAAGAATCATAATAAAGCAATGCAGGAGCTTACAGACAAAATAGCATAGAAAAGAATGTAACTGACCTGACAGAGCTGAAAAACACACTACAAGAATTTCATAATGCAATCACAAGAATTAATAGCAGAATAGACCCAGTGGAGGAAAGACTCTCAGAGCTTGAAGACTGGTTTTCTGAAATAAGACATTCAGACAAGAATAGAGAAAAAAGAATAACAAGGAATAAGCAAAACCTTCAAGAAATATGGAATTAAGCTGGGCGTGGTAGCTCACAGCTGAAATCCCAACATTTTGGGAGGCCAAGGCAGGCAGATTATGAGGCCAAGAGATCGAGACCATCCTGGCCAACATGGTGAAACCCTGTCTCTACTAAAAATACAAAAAAAAATTAGCTGGGCACAGTGGCACATGCCTGTAGTCCCAGCTACTTGGGAGGCTAAGGCAGGAGAATCACTTGAACCTGGGAGGCAGAGGTTGCAGTGAGCCGAGATCATGCCACTGCACTCCAGCCTAGTGACACAGCAAGACTCAGTCTCAAAAAACAAAAAAAAAAAAGAGAAAAGAAATATGGGATTATGTAAAGAAACCAAATCTACAGTTCATTGTTGTTCCTGAAAGACATGGGGAGAATGTAAGCAAATTGGAAAATATATTTCAGGATGGCACCCACGAGAACTTTCCCAACCTAGCTAGAGAGACTAACTTTCAAATTCAGGAAATTCAGAGAAGCCCAGTAGAATACTTCATGAAAAGATTATCCCCAAGATAAATAAGCATCAGATTTTCCAAGGTTGAAATGAAAGAAAAAAATGTTAAAGGCAGCTAGAGAGAAAGGTGAGTTCACCTACAAATGGAAGTCCATCAGACTAATAGCAGACCTCTCAGCAGAAACCCTACAAGCCAGAAGAGATTGGAGGCCAATATTCAACATTCTTAAAGAAAACAGATTCTATATCCAGTGAAATCAAGCTTCATAAGCAAAGGAAAACAAGATCATTTTCAGACAAGCAAATACTGAGGAAATTTGCTACCACCAAACCTGTCTTACAAGAGCTCCTGAAGGAAGCACTAAATATGGAAAACAAAAACCACTACCAGCCACTACAAACACAGTACACAGGCCACTGACACTATAAAGCAACCACATAAACAAACCTGTATAATAACCAGCTAACTCATGATGAAAGTACTAGATCCACACATATCAATACTAACCTTGAATGTAAATAGGCTAAATGTCCCAATTGAAAGACACAGAGTGACAAGACCCACGGGTATGCTGTCTTCAAGAAATCCATCTCACCTGCAATGACACACAGAAGTTCAAAATAAAGACATGGAGAAAAATATATCAAGCAAATGGAAAACAGAAGAAAGCAGGGGTTGCAATCCTAATTTCAGACAAAACAGACTGTAAATCAACAAAGATAACAAAAGACACAAAAGGACATTACATAATGGTAAAGAGTTCAATTCAACAAGAAGATCTAACAATCCTAAATATACACACACCCAATACAGAAGGAACTAGATTCATGAAGCAAGTTCCTAGAGACCTTCAAAGAGATTTAGACTTCCACACAATAATAGTGGGAAACTTAACACTTCACTGCCAGTATTAGACAGATTATCAAGGGAGAAAGATAACAAAGATAGTTAAGATTTGAACTCAGCACTGGATCAAATAGACTTTGTATTAGTTTGTTCTCATGCTGCTATAAAGAACTGCTCAAGACTGGGTAATTAATAAAGGAAAGAGGTTTAATTAACTTACAGTTCTGCATGGCTGGAGAGGACTCAAAAAACTTACAATGAGGCTAGGTGTGGTGGCTCATGCCTGTAATCCCAGCACTTTGGGAGCCCAAAGTGGGTGGATCACCTGGAGATCAGGAGTTTAAAACCAGCCTGGCCAACTTGGTGAAACCCCGTCTCTACTAAAAATACCAAAATTAGCCAGGCCTGGTGGCACACGCTTGCAATCCCAGCTACTTGGGAGGCTAAGACAGGAGGATCACTTGAACCTGGGAGGCAGAGATTGCAGTGAGCAGAGATTATGCCACTGCACTCCAGCATGGGTGACAGAGTGAGACTCCATCTCGAAAAAAAAAAAAGAAAAAGAAAAAAGAAACTGACAATCATTGCAGAAGGGGAAGCAAACATATCCTTCCTCACATGACAGCAGATGGACAAGTGCTGAGTAAAGAGGAAAAAGACCCTTAAAAGACCATCAGATCTCATGAGAGCTCACTCACTATCACAAGAACAGCAGCTTTAGGGTTACCACCCCCATGATTTATTTACCTCCCACTGGGTCCCTGCCACAATACATGGAGATTATGGGAACTATAATTCAATAAAAGATTTGGGTGGGGATAGAGCCAAACCATATTGTTTCACCCCTGGCCCCTCCCAAATCTCATAGCCTCACATTTCAAAACACAGTCATGCCCTTCCAACAGTCCCCCAAAGTCTTAACTCATTCCAGCATTAACCCAAAAGTCCAAGTCCAAAGTCTCATCTGAGACCTGGCAAGTCTCTTCTACCTATGAACCTGTAAAATCTGAGACATGGGAAGTCTCTTCTACCTATGAACCCGTAAAATCAGAAACAAGTTAATTACTTCTGAGATACAATAGGGGTACAGGCGTTGGGTAAATACGCTTACTCTAAATGGGAAAAAATGGCCAAAACTAAGGGACTAGAGGACCTAAAAAGTCCAAAATCCAGCAGGGCAGTCAAACCATAAAGCTCCAAAATGATCTCTGTTGACTTCATGTCTCACATCCAGGTAATGCTGATGCAAAAGGTGGGCTCCCATAGCCTTGGGAAGCTCTGCTCCTCTGACTTTGCAAGGTACAGCTCCTCTCCTGGCTCCCTCACAGGATGCCATTGAGTGTCTTATGGCTTTTCCAGGTGCACGATGCAAGCTGTCAGTGGATCTGCCATTCTGAGGTCTGGAGAATGGTTTGTCCTCTTCTCACAGCTCCATTAGGCAGTGCCCCAGTGAAAACTCTGTGTGGGAGATTGCACCCCACATTTCCCTTCTGCACTGCCCTAGCAGTGGTTCTCCATGAGGGCTTTGCCCCTGCAGCAAACTTCTGCCTTGACATCCAGGTGTTTCCATACATCCTCTGAAATGTAGGCCAACGTTCCCAAACCTCAATTCTTGATTTCTGTGCACCCAGAGGCCCCACACCATGTGAAAGCTGCCAAGGCTTGGAGCTTGCACCCTCTGAAGCTACAGCTCAAGATGGACCTTGGCCCCTTTGAGTCACAGCTGGGACACAGGATATCAAGTTCAGAGACTGCACAAAGCAGCAAAGCCCTGGGCCAGGCCCACGAAACCATTTTTTCCTCCTAGGCCTCTGGACCTGTGATTGGAGGGGCTGCTGGAAGACCTCTGACATGCTCTGGAGACATTTTCCCCATTGACTTGGTGCTTAACATTTGACTCCTAGTTTCTTATGCAAATTTCTGCAGCTGGTTTGAAAATGGGTTTTTCTTTTCTGTCACATCACTAGGCTGCAAATTTTCTGAACGTTTATGCTCTGCTTTCCTTTTAAACATAAGTTCCAATTCCATACCCTATCTTTGTAAATACATAAAACTGAATGCTTTTAAAAGCACCCAAGTCATCTCTTGAACACTTGGTTGTTTAGAAATTTCTTCTGCTGGATACCCTAAATCATCTTTCTCAAATTCAAAGTTCCACAGATCTCTGGGCCAGTTGCAAAATGCCTGCAGTCTCTTTGCTAAACCATAGTAAGAATCGCTGGGTGTGGTGGCTCATGCCTGTAATCCCAGCACTTTGGGAGGCCAAGGTGGGCAGATCACAAGGTCAGGAGATCGAGACCATCCTAGCTAACATGGTGAAACTCTGTCTCTGCTAAAAATACAAAAATTAGCCGGGCATAGTGGCAGGTGCCTGTAGTCCCAGCTACTTGGGAGGCTGAGGCAGGAGAATGGCGTGAACCTGGGAAGCAGAGCTTGCAGTGAGCCGAGATCATGCCACTGCACTCCAGCCTGGGTGACAGAGCGAGACTCCGTCTCAAAAAAGAAAAAAGTAAGAATCACCTTTACTCCAGTTCCCAACAAGTTTCTCATCTCCAGAGCTGAATTTAAGGAGTTTAAGACACAAAAAATCATTCAAAAGATTAACAAATCCAGGAGTTGTTATTTTGAAAAAAACTAAACTAAAAATAGATACACTACTAGCTAGACTAAGAAAGAAAAAAAAGAGAGAAGAGAAGTGACAAAGGAGATATTACCATTGACCCCACAGAAATACAAATAACCTTCAGAGAATATTATGAACAACTCTATGTACGTAAACTAGAAAATCTAGAAGAAATGGATAAATTACTGGATGCATACACTCTCCCAAGGCTGAGTCAGGAAGAAATTGATTCCCTGAACAGACCAGTAATGAGCTCTGAAATTGAATCAATAATAAATAATCTACAAACCAAAAAGAAGCTTAGGACTAGATAGATTCACAGCTGAATTTTGCAGATATATAAAGAAAAGCTGGTACCATTCCTACTAAAACTATTCCTAAAAATTGAGGAGGAGGGACTCCTTCCTAACTCATCCTATGAGGTCAGCATCCCCCTGATATCAAAACCTGGCAAACACACGACAAAGAAAGAAAACTTTGAGCCAATATCCTTGATGAACATCAATGCAAATTCCTCAACAAAATACTGGCAGACTGAAACCAGCAGCACATCACAAGCTTATCCACCACAATCAAGTAGGCTTTATCCCTGGGATACAAGGTTGGTTCCAAATACGCAAACCAATAAATGTGATTTGTCACATAAACAGAAGTAAAGACAAAAAAATTACACGATTAAATCAATAGATACAGAAAAGGCTTTCAGTAAAATTTAACATTCCTTCATGTTAAAAACTCTCAATAAACTAGGTATTGAAAAAATCGTACTTATAAATGATAAGCGCCATCTATGAAAAACCCACAGCCAATATCATACTGAATGAGCAAAACCTGGAAGCATTCTTCTTTGAAACTTGCACAAGACAAGGATGCCCTCTCTCATCACTCCTATTCAACATAGTATTAGAAGTCCTAGCCAGAGCAATTAGGCAAGGGAAAGAAATAAAGGGCACCCAAATAGGAAGAGAGAAAGTAAAACACTCCCTTTTTGCAGATGACATGATCCTACATCAACAAAACCCCATATTCTCAGCTCCAAAGCTCCTTAAACTGATAAACAGCTTCACCAAAGTCTCAGGATACAAAAATAATATACAACAGTTACTAGCATGCCTATACACCAATAATAGTCAAACCATGAGCCAAATTACAAATACAATCACATTCACAGTTGTCACAAAAAGTATAAAACACCTAGGAGTACAGCTAACTAGGGAGGTGAAAGATCTCTAAAAGGAGATCTACAAACTCCTGCTCAAAGAAATCAGAAATGACACAAACAAATGAAAAACCATTCCATGCTCGTGGATAGAAAGAATCTATATCATTAAAATGGCCATACTGCCCAAAGAAACTTATAGATTCAATGCTATTCCTCTTAAACTACCAATGATATTCTTCACAGAACTAGAAAAATTTAAAATTCATATGGAACCAAAAAAGAGCCCAACTAGCCAAGGCAATCCTAAGTAAAAGGAACAAAGCTGGAGGCATCATACTACCCAACTTCGAACTATAATACAAGGCTACAGTAACCAAAACAGCATGGTACTAGTACAAAAATAGACACATAGACCAATGGAACAGAATAGAAAACCCAGAAATAAGTCCACACAACTACAACTATGTGATCTTCAAAAAAGTTGACAAACTCAAGCAATGGGGAAAGATGCCCTATTCAATAAATGGTGCTGGGATAACTGGCTAGCCACATGTATAAGATGGAAACTGGACCCTTTCATTACACCATATGCAAAAATCAACTCAAGATGGATTAAAAGACTTAATTGTAAAACCCAAAACTGTAAAAACTTTGGAAGATAACCTAGGTATCACCATTATGGGCATAGGACCAGGCAAAGATTTCATGACAAAGATGCCAAAAGCAACTACAACAAAAGCAAAAATTCACAAGTGGGATCTAATTAAACTAAAGAGCTTGTGCACAGCAAAAGAACCTATCACGAGACTAAACAGATGACCTACAGAATGGGAGAAAATTTTTGCAAACCATGCATCTGACAAAGGTCTATTACACAGTTTCTATAAGGAACTTAAACAAATTTACAAGAAAAAACAACCCCATTAATAAATGGGGAAACAACAAGAATAGTCACTTTTTGAAAGAAGACATAAATGTAGCCAACAAGCATATGAAAAAAAAGCTCAACATCACTGATCATTAGTGAAATGCAAATCAAAATCACAATGAGATACCACCTCACGCCAGTCAGAGTAGGTATTATTAAAAAGTCAAAAAATAACAGATGCTGGTGAGGTTGTGGACAAAAGGGAACACTTATATACACTATTTGTGGGAGTATAAATTAGTTCAACCATTGTGGAAAACAAGGTGGCAATTCTTCAAAGACCTACAAACAGAACTACCATTCAACCCAGCAGTCCAATTACTGGGTATATACCCGACGGAATATAAATTATTCTATCATAAATACACATGCACATGTATGTTCATTGCAGCACTATTCATAATAGCAAACATGGAATCAACTTAAGTGCCCATCAGTGGTAGACTGGATAAAGAAAATGTGATACATACACACCATGAAATACTATGCAGCCATTAAAAAGAATAAGATCATGTCCTTTACAGGAACATGGATAGAGCTGGAGGACATTATCCTTAGCAAACTAACACAGGAACAGAAAACCAAATACTGCATGTTCTCACTTATAAGTGAGAGTCAAATGATGATAACACATGGACACATAGAGGGGAACAACACACGCTGGGGCCATCAGAGGACAGAGGGTGAGAGGAGGGAGAGGATCAGGAAAAATATCTATTGCATACTAGGCTTAATACCTGGGTGATAAAATAATCTGTACAACAACCCCCATGATATGGGTTTACAAATCTGCACATGTATCCCTTGAACTTAAAGTAAAAGTTATAAAAAGGAATAAATCTAAAAATATATTATTTTATAAAGTAGTGAGCATATTCTCTGTATTTTTCTCTCTCTAAAGTATTTAATGTTAAACCATAATTAAATTTTTGTGGTTGTTAAGAAGTTTCCATTTAACCTAATTCCCTTTCTTGGAATTTTTCACTGGATTAAATTGACAGAACCTTTCGAATATCCCCTTCAATATCCTTGAAGTTCAAATGATCTGATGTTATAACTAACTTCCATGAAATTAATATTTAAGGAGAAATCTCTAGGCATGTTGCTGAGTTTAAGACAATGAAGATGTGTCATCTTAATTGGAATTCATTTTCATTTAATATTTCATCACAAATACAAGTTCTCAAAGCTACTTAAATGTAAATCGCCATTGTTATTCTCAATTTCCACAGAAGTCCTTCATATTGGCCTTTTCTGTTCCTGTCTACTAAATGCTGTACAATTCAACCTTGACAAGTTTTAAACACATCAAAACATTTGTATTTCCCCAATAGCATAAGTTATTTTTTTTCTTTTCTTTTCCTTTTTTTTTTTTTTTTTTTTAGAAGAAGTCTTGCTCCATTGCCCAGGCTGGAGTGCAGTGGCACGATCTTAGCTCACTGCAACCTCTGCGTCCCAGATTCAAGCAATTTTCCTGTCTCAGCCTCCCAAGTAGCTGGGACTACAGGCGCCTGCCACCACGCCCAGCTAATTTTTTTGTATTTTTAGTAGAGACAGGGTTTCACCTTGTTGGTCAGGCTGGTCTCGAACTCCTGACCTCAGGTGATCCACCTGCCTCGGCCTCCCAAAGTGCTGGGATTACAGGCGTGAACCACCATGCCTGGCCAAGTTATTTTTTAAATAGATATTTCTCCTCAAAATTCAACACATTTCAGAATTATTTCTGATCACCTATAATGTTCCAAACATGTGCTAGATACTAGGTATACTGAAATAAATAAAAACTAATGCTGGCCATCAAGAAGCTGATTGTAATGTGAAGTAAGGAATTTAATATATAATCACAACCAAATCCACACATGTGGAGTAAATCATACAAAGAAGGAGGGGGAAAAATGTCAGGCAAGGGAATTAGCGATGTGTAGGCCCAAAAGCAAGGCAAACCTGATGCCCTCCAAGCAGTAAGTAGCTCAAAGTAACTGGACAAGAGTTTAAGGAAGGGAGTGGTCAGTCTGACATGACTAACAGAATGTGAACTTTATCTTGAACTTTATCTTGAAAATAATGTAGAGATATTGAAGGAGATTAAACAAAGGAAAGCTATGAGCACCTTCACATAAAAGATGACTCTGAAAATAGTATTGAGACTACATTAGAGAAGAACATTGCATAAAAGGACAGTATAGGAAGAAAGCTAGTCTAGTTAGCACACTCAATCAGAATGAGATTGGTTATAGAATACTGTTCAAGTTTTGGGTGTATATATATCTTGGGTATATTTTATAGCTCTTTCATCACTATCATATAAAAAAATCTAGTCCAGTCTCTTTCAACCCTTCTCACTACTTTAAATTCCTCAGACTTTGGCATGCATAGTGATAAGGAATATTCATGGACATACACACATACACACATAATTGAATTTGTGTGTATGTGTATGTATGTATATATGTCGAAGAATATTTTAGTAAATGTTTAGCAACTAGATATCCAGAAAAGAAAGAAAAGGCCTGATTTTCATTTGCCACCATGGACAGTTTCAAACTACCAATATGTCATTAAAAATATGACAATATGAAAAATATGACCAATAGCATGTGCACACACATTCACCCACAATTTTCACCTTCTGAGGGTATCATTTGCAGCACTAAGTTCTTAATTTTGAGAAGTCCAATTATTCATTCTTTTGTTACTTGTGCTTTTGGTGTCCTATTTTAAAAAGTATTGCCTAATCCAAGGTTATAGAGATTTACACTTAGGTTTTTGTCTAAGATTTTTAATTTCAGTTCCTACATTCGGGTCTTTGATTCATTTTGAGTTAATTTTTGTAGATGATGTGAGGTAGACGGGGGTCTCAATTTCCAAAACAATTGAGGATAAAATAACACATTCAGGGAAAAGTAAGAGAAGTAAAAGGTAGACCAATCTTTCTCACTACTTTAAATTCCTCAGGCCAAAGAGCTATGAAATACACCTAAGATGCATTACAGTATACCTTTCAAAAAAGGTAAAATCATTAGTTTATTCAAATATAAAATGTGACAGTTTTTATACAGCATATTAATTAATGAAGGAATCAGTAAAATGTTGTAACCAGTTTAAAGAACGGTTTAGAAGCTAGGGTAGTTACAGAATAATAAGAAGTTAAGTTCGATACAAAAGTGATCAATATACAACAGGACCATATATCTTCAAGATTATGTGTTTCATTAGAGATTAATTATTTATATTGCTTCTGTACAAAGCAAGAAGTTTCACTATGTTTGGGAACTTTAATCAATTGTAAATACTGAAATGAATGAAGTTACATCTCTAGATAATCCCTGAGTGGCCTTTGCCTCTGTACAACATTGAAGGGATATGTATAAGTGTTTTGACTAAAGTTACAACACATTGACTAACAAAGTAGAGGCTAGACAATGGGGCTTTTGCCTTCTACTGCCATACATATTACTCTCATTCAGTTATCTGTCTTAAAAGGGAACAGTAAACTTTAGAAGCAAATACATCTATTGTGAGTTTGTTTCATCTCCACAGTAGTTCCTTTCTTATTGTTAATTATTGGTGTTTCAATAAACAAACATAAAACATTCTATGCCGTTACATTTTCATACCAACTGTGACAAGTGGAAGTATTTATTCCTCAAGGTTTCATAACCAAACAATTGCATGTGCTCTCATCTCTCTTTGGATCTGATGTTTTATTTCTGGGTTAATGGGGAGCATACTAAATTGTCCTCCACTTAGAACACTTAGTAATATGTGGCAAATCTCAGATTTTTGTTTCTGCCATGAAGGGTATTCTACATGTCAATAGTCACCAGTGAATTCACTGTTAAAAGAACTTAAAGGATTTGCTTTGATCTTGGAAGCCTGTCATTAAAACTCCTGCCAATTGGCAAAAACTTGAAAGGTTTGCTTTTCAGCAAGGAGTCATAGGAAAGTTTAATCAATTAGACTTGGCTTGATTTTTTCCCTCAGAGTGTTTTCTTCTTTGAAAGACTCCCCAGAAGGATAAATTAATATGTCAAAGAAAAATCCAGATCTGAAGTTAAAATGGACAAAGGTATCATTATACATTATCATGTATAAAAGAGACATAAGCTTCTATGTCACAGCTTTGCATCTCAATGCTCAGGCACCATGCCTGACTTCCCCAAGAAGAGGAATGTTTTTGGCATATAAACAAGCTTAACTGCTAAAACCATCTTAATCCACTTCCTTTCTCTTTGCCTATTCTCCTTGCATGTGGTGTGCAAACCAAACACGAGTCTTTTTTCCATTAACTTTAATATCCATTGGGAAGAATATCACCCCATTATGGAACACCTATTTTATTGCCAATAGTTCTCATGACTCTTAACCCTGGCAGGATTGAAGACTTGTGGGAAATTTCCAGCCTTGGTTTAGGGTCCTTTATGTTTTCACAGCCTTTCTTCCTTGGAAAGGTAGGCTAACCTTTTCATATTATTTTCTGTTTTGGAAACTAGAAACCTTTCTCAATTGTATAAAATAAACAGAAAAATCAGTGAGTATGAATACGGAATCATTTATTCATTTTTATTTTAATTTCTCCTTGATTATTAAAGATATATTTTAATATACTCTTTTTTATTTAATTTTTTAATTGGCTGACAAAATTATATGTGTTTTTCACATACAATTTAATGTTTTGAAGTATATATACATTGTAAAATAGTTCAATCTAGCTAATTAACAATTGCATTACTTAACACAGTTATCATTTTTGAGGTAAGAACACTTAACATCCATTCTCTGGGTTTTTCAAGAATACAATATACTGTCATTAACTATAGTCACCATGCTCTACAATAGATCTCTTGAACTTATTTCTCCTATCTAGTTGTATTTATGTTTCCTTTTACCATCATCTCCCAACCCCTCTTCCACCTAACCATGTAGCCCCTGGAAACCATCAGTCTGCTATCTACTTCTACAAGATTAACTTTTTTAAATTCCACATATGAGTGAAATCATGTGATATTTGTCTTACTGTGCCTGGATTATTTCACCTGATATAATGTTATCCAGGTTCATCCATGTTATCACAAATGATAGTATTTCCTTCTTTTTCTCACTAAATAGCATTTCATTGTGTGTGTGTGTGTGTGTGTGTGTGTGTGTACACACATTATATATGTCACATCTCTGTATTCATCCATCTGTTAAATATACTAATAAAGAAGAAAAATAAAGATTACGCTGAAATATAATATTATGATTTAGTATATATATGGTTATATTTCTTTGGGTTTACTCTAGCATGGTTATTAAACTCTCAAAGTTAAAGAGCATATTCAAAATGTAATGCCTTCCCTGAACATGCTTTATGTTCACATTATCTTATTTACTTTTACTTATCCACTACATTTAATCAGACGTGAAATCCTCTGGTTTCATCCTTTTAAGGTGTTCCAAATTTTTCTCTTAGGTTTTATTACACAGCCATACACTAAAAATTGTACTTGGATTGCCGCAGCTACATCCTAGTTTATCTCCCTTATTTTCATCTGTGACTTCATCTCCACCAGATGAATATAGTTAACATACTGGAAGAAAGTGATTCTTTTCTGTTAATGCCACTCCAGAATGTTTTAAGATTTGACGTTATCTTGTCAGGCCTCTGAGCCCAAGCCTGCACATATACATCCAGATGGCCAGAGGCAACCGAAAACTACAAAAGAAGTAAAACAGCCAGCTCCTGTCTTAAATGATTGACCAACCTTACGACATTCCATTATGACTTGTTCCTGCCCTGCCCCAACTGATAGATTGATCGACCTCGTGACATTCTTCTTCTGGACAATGAGTCTTATGATCTCCCCACCATGCACCTTGTGACCTCCTCTTCTGCTGACAATAGATAACCACCTTTCACTGTAACTTTCCACTGCTTACCCCAGTCCTGTAAAACTGCCCCACCCCTATCTCCCTTTGCTGACTCTCTTTTCAGACTAAGCCCACTTTTACCCAAGTGAAATAAACAGCCTTGCTGCTCACACAAAGTCTATTGGTGGACTCTCTTCACATGGACACGCTTGACATTTGGTGCCTTGACTCAGATCAGGGGACCTCCCTTGGGAGATCAATCCCCTGTCCTGCTGCTGTTTGCTCTGTCAGAATATCCACCTATGACCTTGGGTCCTCAGACCAGCCCAAGAAACACCTCACCAATTTTAAATCGGGTAAGAGGCCTCTTTTTACTCTCTTCTCCAACCTCTTTCACTATCCCTCAACCTCTTTGCCCTTTCAATTTCAGCACCACCCTTCAATCTCTCCCTTCCCTTAATTTCATTTCCTTTGCTTTTTCTGGTAGAGACAGAGGAGACGCGTTTTATCCGTAAACCCAAAACTCCAGCGCCGGTCACGGACTTGGGAAGACATTCTTCCCTTGGTGTTTGATCACCGCGGGGATGCCTGCCTGATTATTCACCCACATTTCAGAGGTGTTCCGTCACCGCAGGGATGCCTGCCTTGATCCTCCACCTTGGTGGCAAGTACCACCTCCTCTGGGTAGCAAGTACCACACCCCCACCCCCACCCCCGCCACCATGTCTCTACCCCTCTTTTCTCTAAACTTACCTTTTTACTATGGGCAGCTTCTGCCCTCCATTACTCCTTCTTCCCCCTTAGCCTGTGTTCTTAAAAACTTGAAACCTCCTCAACTCTCACCTGATCTAAAACCTAAGTGTCTTATTTTCTTCTGCAACACCACTCGGCCCCAGTACAAACTTGATAATGGCTCTAAATGGCCAGAGAATGGCACTTTTGATTTCTCCATCCTACAAGACCTAAATAATTTTTGTCATAAGATGGGCAAATAGTCTGTGGTGCCTTACGTCTAGGCATTTTTTACACTTCGCTCCCTCCCTAGGCTCTGCTCCCAAAGTGACTCATCCCAAATCTTCCTTCTTTCCCTCCTGTCTGTCCCTTCAGTCCCAACCCCTTAGAGTGCTGCTAACTCTTCTGAATCCCACTTTTCTGCAGACCCCTCTGACCTCTCTCTCCCACCCCAGGCCACGCCTCGGCAGGCTGAATCAAGTCCCAATTCTTCCTCAGCCTCTGCTCTCCCACCCTATAACCCTTCTGTCACCTTCCCTCCCCACACCTGGTCCAGCTTACAATTTCGTTCTGCAGCAAATACTCCCCCACCTGCCCAAAAATTTCCTCTCCGAGAGGTGGCTGGAGCTGAGCGCATCGTCAGAGTGCATGTACCATTTTCTCTATCAGACCTTTCCCAAATTAATCAGTGCTTAGGCCCCTTCTCATCAGACCCCACTAAATATATACAGGAATTCCAGTATTTAACCCAGTCCTACAATTTAACCTCGAGTGATCTAAATGTCATCCTAACTTCTACCCTTTCCCCAGATAAGCGGAATAGAGTTTATACCCTAGCCCAATCTCACACTGACACATGCTGGCATCATGAGCCAGACTTTCAAGAAGGTATCAGGGCAGTTCCTCGAAAAGATCCCAGATGGGAACACCAGACAGGTTCGCCAGGTATAGCTAAGCGAGATTATATGATTTCCTGCCTAGTTGAAGGGCTTAAAAAGGCAGCTTACAAAACTGTTAATTATGACAGACTTAAAGAAACTACCCAAGGTAAAGATGAAAACCCAGCCCAGTTCATGGCTCATTTGGCAGCAACCCTGAGACGCTTTACAGCCCCAGACCTGAAAGGGCAGAAGGCCGTCTCATTCTCAATATGCATTTTATCATCCAGTCAGCTCTTGACATTAGAAAAAAGCTTCGGACATTGGAATCTGGCCCTCAAACCCCACAACAGGAATTAATCAACCTCGCCTTCAAGGCGTACAATAATAGAGAGAAGGCAGCCAAGCGGCAATGCATTTCTGAGTTACAATTACTTGCCTCTGCTGTGAGACAAAACCCAGCTGCACCTCCAGCACACAAGAACTTCAAAACGCCTAAACCGCAGTGGTCAGGCATTCCTACAGGACCTCCTCCCTCAGGATCTTGCTTCAAGTGTCAGAAATATGGCCACTGGACCAAGGAATGCCCACAGCCTGGGATTCCTCCCAAGCCATGTCCCATCTGTGCAGGGACCCACTGGAAATCAGACTGCCCAGCTCGCCTGGCAGCCACTCCTATAGCCCCTAAAACTCTGGCCCAAGGCTCTCTGAATGACTCCTTCCCAGATCTGCTCGGCTTAGCGGCTCAAGGCTGATGCTGCCCAATCGCTTTAGAAGCCCCCTGGACCATCATGGATGCCGAGCTTCCAGTAACTCTCACAGTGGAGGGTAAGTCCATCACCTGTTTAATCCATATGGGAGCTACCCACTCCACATTACCTTCTTTTCAAGGGCCTGTTTCCCTTGCCCCCATAACTGTTATGGGTATTGATAGCCAGGCTGCTAGACCCCTTAAAACTCCCCAACTTTGGTGCCAATTTGAACAACATTCTTTTATGCACTCCTTTTTAGTTATCCCCACCTGCCCAGTTACCTTACTAGGCTGAGACATTTTAACCAAATTATCTGCTTCCCTGACTATTCCTGGACTACAGCCACATCTCATTGCCGCCATTCTTCCTAACCCAAAGCCTCCTTCACGTCTTCCTCTTGTATCCCCCCACCTTAACCACAGGTATGGGACACCTCTACTCCCTCCCTGGCAACTAATCACATGCCCATTACTATTTCATTAAACCTAATCACCCTTACCCCGCTCAATGCCCGTATCCCATCCCACAAAAGGATTTAAGGGGATTAAAGCCTGTTATCACTCGCCTGCTACAGCATGGGCTTCTAAAGCCTACAAACTCTCCTTACAATTCCCCCATGTTTACTTGTCCAAAAACTGGACAAGTCTTACAGGTTGGTCCAGGATCTGCACCTTATCAATCTAATTGTTTTGCCTATCCACCCTGTGGTGCCCAAGCCCGTACACTCTTTTGTCCTCAATATCTCCCTCCACAACTCACTATTCCATTCTTGATCTTAAAGATGCTTTTTTCACTATTCCCCTGCACCCCTTGTCCATGCCTCTCTTTGCTTTTACCTGGACTGACCCTGACACTCATCAGTCCCAGCAACTTACCTGGGCTGTACTGCCGCAAGGCTTCCAGGACAGCCCTCATTACTTCAGCCAAGCTCTTTCTCATGATTTGCTTTCTTTCCACCCTCTGCTTCCCACCTTATTCAATATATTGATGACCTTCTAAGACTCCTTTGAGTCTTCTCAACAAGATACCCTCCTGCTCCTTCGACATTTATTCTCCAAAGTATATCGGGTATCCCCCTCCAAAGCTCAAATTTCTTCCCCATTTGTTACCTACCTCGGCATAATTCTTCATGAAAACACACGTGCTCTCCCTGCCGATCGTGTCCAGCTGATCTCTCAAACCCCAACCCCTTCTACAAAACAACAACTCCTTTCCTTCCTGGGCATGGTTGGATACTTTTGCCTTTGGATACCTGGTTTTGCTGTCCTAACAAAACCATTATATAAACTCACAAAGGGAAACCTAGCTGACTTCATAGATCCTAAATCCTTTCCCCACTCCTCTTTCTGTTCCTCGAAGACAGCTCTAGAGACTGCACCCACACTAGCTCTCCCTAACTCATCCCAACCCTTTTTCATTACACATAGCTGAAGTGCAGGGCTGTGCAGTCGAAATTCTTACAGGAGAGCTGGGGCCACACCCAGTAGCCTTTCTGTCCAAACAACTTGACCTTACTGTTCTGGGCTAGCCCTTATGTCTCTGTGCAGCAGCTGTCACCACTTTAATACTTTTAGAGGCCCTCAAAATCACAAGCTATGCTCCACTTACTCTCTACAGTTCCCGTAACTTTCAAAATCTACTTTCCTCCTCACACTTGACACATATACTTTCTGCCTCCTGGCTCCTTCAGCTGTACTCACTCTTTGTCGAGTCTCCCACAGTTACCACTGTTCCTGGCCCAGACTTCAATCTGGCCTCCCACATTATTCCTGATACCACACCTGACCCCCATGACTGTATCTCTCTGATCCCCCTGACATTCACTCCATTTCCCCATATTTCCTTCTTTGCTGTTCCCCACCCTGATCACACTTGTTTTATTGATGGCAGTTCCACCAGGCCCAATCGCCAATCACTAGCAAAGGCAGGCTACGCTATAGTGTCTTCCACATCTATCATTGAAGCTATGGCACTGCCTCCCACTTCCGCTACCTCTCAACAAGCTGAACTCATTGCCTTAACTCGAGCCCTCACTCTTGCAAATGGACTACACGTCAATATTTATACTGACTCTAAATATGCCTTCCATATCCTGCATCACCATACTGTTGTATTGGCAGAAAGAGGTTTCCTCACTGCACAGGGGTCCTCCATCATTAATGCCTCTTTAATAAAAATGCTTCTTAAAGCTGCTTTACTTCCTAAAAGAGCTGGAGCCATTCACTGTAAAGGACATCAAAGGGCCTCAGACCCCATTGCTCAAGGCAACAATTATGCTGATAAGACAGCTAAAGAAGCAGCCAGTATTCCTACTTCTGTCCCTCATGGATAGTTTTTCCCCTTCTCATCGGTCACTCCCACCTACTCTCCCACTGAAACTTCCACCTATCAGTCTCTTCCCACGCAAGGCAAATGGTTCTTAGACCAAGGAAGATATCTCCTTCCAGCCTCACAGGCCCATTCTATTCTGTCGTCATTTCATAACCTCTTCCATAAAGGTTACAAGCCTCTAGCCCACCTCTTAGAACCTCAAATTTCCTTTCCATCATGGAAATCTATCCTCAAGGAAATCACTTCTCAGTGTTCCATCTGCTATTCTACTACTACTCATGGATTTCTCAGGCCCCTTCCCTTCCCTACACATCAAGCTCAAGGATTTGCTCCTGCCCAGGACTGGCAAATTGACTTTACCCACATGCCCCAAGTCAAAAAACTAAAATACCTCTTGTTCTGGGTAGACACTTTCACTGGATGGGTAGAGGCCTTTCCCCCAGGGTCTGAGAAGGCCACCGCAGTCATCTCCTCCCTTCTGTCAGATATAATTCCTCAGTTTGGCCTTCCTACCTCTATATGGTCCAATAACGGACCGGCCTTGATTAGTCAAGTCACTCAGGCAGTCTCCCGTGTCCTGGGCATTCAATGAAAGCTTCATGCTCATTATCGCCCTCAATCCTCAGGAAAGGTAGAAAGAAGTAATGGTCTTTTAAAGACACAACTCACCAAACTCAGCCTCCAATTTAAAAAGGACTGAACAGTACTTTTACCACTGGCCCTTCTCAGAATTCGGACCTGTCCTCAGGATGCTACAGGGTACAGCCCATTTAAGCTCCTGTGTGGATGCTCCTTTTTATTAGGCCCCAGTCTTATTCCAGACACCACCTCTCTAGGTTATTATCTTCCAGTCCTCCAGCAAGCTAGAAAGGAAATTTGCCAAGCTGCTAATCTTTTGCCTACCCCGTGTTCCCAGCCATATGAAGACCTCTAGCAGTTCTTGTTAAGAATCTGACCCATCAGACTCTACAACCTCGGTGGACTGGACCCCACTCAGTCATCTATAGTACCCCAACGGCTGTTCCTCTGCAGGACCAACCCCCAATTGGGTTCACCATTCCAGAGCATAGCTGTGCCCGTCAGCCAGCCAGCCTGATTTCTCTTCCTTCTGGAAGTCACAAGTACTCTCTCCTACTTCCCTTAAACTCACTCACATTTCTGAAGAACAGTAATAACCCTTATGAGCCTAATACATCCCTTCATCCTATTAGGTCTATTCATCCTTACCCTACTTTTTGCAACAGGACTTTATGCTGTCACCCCCACTACTTGGACTGCGCCCTGAAAACTTGTCTTCCCTACTATCTTCTGTATAATCATACTCCTATTCACCATTCTCAACTACTCATAAATGCCCTGCTCTTGTTTACACTGACGGTTTACGCTGTTTCTCCAAACCATCGTAGCGGATATCTCCTGGTGCTATCCCCAAACTGCCTTGCTTGCCTCTCTCTTGGAGTAGATACATGATCTTTGCTGGCAGGGCACCCTCTAATACTTTCACCCGGATGAAGTCCTATTCTTTACTTTTATACTCACTCTTATTCTCAATCCCATTCCTAGGCCACCCTCTACCTCTCCCCAGCTATCTCCACCACACTATCAATCTCACTTACTCTCTCCTAGCCATTTCTAATTCCTCCTTAGCAAACAATTGCTGGCTTTGCATTTCCCTTTCTTCCTGTGCTTACACAGCTGTCCCCACCTTAGATACAAACTGGGCAACATCTCCTGTTTCCCTACATCTCTGAACAACTTCCTGCCCCCTTCATGACATCAATCAGACAAAAAAGAGTTATTCCTCTAATCCCTCTACTTATAGGGTTAGGACTTTCTGCTTCCACTATTGCCCTTGGAGCAGGAATAGGGGTTTCAACTTCAGTCACAACCTTCCGTAGCCTTTCTAATGACTTTTCCACTAGCATTACAGATATATCACAAACTTTATCAGTCCTTCAGGCCCAGGTCGACTCCTTAGCCATAGTTGTCCTCCAAAATCGCTGAGGCGTCGACTTACTAACTGCTGAAAAAGGAGCACTCCGTATATTTTTAAATGAAGAGTGTTGTTTTTACATAAATCAATCTGGCCTGGTACATGACAACATAAAAAAACTCAAGGATAGAGCCCAAAAACTCACCAACCAAGCAAATAATTATGCTGAACCCCCTTGGGCACTCTCTAATTGGATGTCCTTGGTCCCCCCAATTCTTAGTCCTTTAATACCTGTTTTTCTCCTTCTCTTATTCAGACCTTGTGTCTTCTATTTAGTTGCTCAGTTAATGCAAAACAGCTTCCAGGCCATCACCAATCGTTCTATATGAAAAATGCTCCTTCTAACAACCCCACAATATCACCCTTTACCCCAAAATCTTTCTTCAGTTTAGTCTCTCCCAGTCTAGGTTCCCATGCCGCCCCTAATCCTGCGCAAAGCAGCTATGAGAAACATCACCCATTATCTCTCCATACCACCCCCCAAAATTTTTGCCACCCCAAGACTTCGCCACTATTTTGTTTTATTTTTCTTATTGGTATAAGAAGACAGGAATGTCAGGCCTCTGAGCCCAAGCCTGCATATATACATCCAGATGGTCTGAGGCAACCAAAAAGTACAAAAGAAGTGAAACAGCCAGCTCCTGTCTTAACTGATTGACCAACCTTACGACATTCTATTATGACTTCTTCCTGCCCTACCCCAACTGATCGATCGATTGACCTCGTGATATTCTTCCTCTGGACAATGAGTCTTATGATCTCCCCACCATGCACTTTGTGACCTCCTCTTCTGCTGACAATAGTAACCATCTTTAACTGTAAGTTTCCACTGCTTACCCCAGTCCTATAAAACTGCCCCACCCCTACCTCCCTTTGCTGACTCTCTTTTCAGACTCAGCCCACTTGCACCCAAGTGACATTAACTTGTTGCTCACACAAAGCCTGTTGGTGGACTCTTTTCACACAGACACACTTGACATATCTGACCCTATGTAGTTCAATGTTTTCTGCTATCTAATTCTGCTCTACTTAGATTCCTCATGAACGGGTATCCTTGCCCTCCCTATTTTGTCTTGGTCAAGCTCTTTGCTGAAGATGTTAAGTGTTCCTGTCTACTATGTAAGTTATTATTAGCCCTGAAATTCCAGGGACTTCATGAACCTCTCTTTAAACACATCTTCGAACATTTCACTGAA
This sequence comes from Homo sapiens, assembly GCF_000001405.40. Lineage (NCBI taxonomy): Eukaryota > Metazoa > Chordata > Mammalia > Primates > Hominidae > Homo > Homo sapiens. The sequence continues at coordinate 41,385,931 of NC_000002.12, forward strand.
CTCTAATTTTAGTTACAGTAAATAAGTTGCCATCATTTCCATCATATTTTAAAATATTTGTTGTTTCATTTATAGTTGTTGAGCCCTAACTACTAAGATTTTTGAAGGTTTAAATGCAAGAACCTTTTTTGGAAACTTCACTCTTAGTGATCAGATTTATCCTTCCATCTTAAACAACTGAAAACACTGAAAAATATTAAAAACAACAAGTATCCCCCATTGGACAATAAACAACACAGGATTGCGATCTCTAAGAAAAGAAAAACAAATAAGGTTTGTCCTAAGATTGCCCCACCTTACAGCCTAGAGAAAATTTGTAAGCTGCAACAGCAACATGGAGTGGAGAAAGTCATATAGAGCCTGGTAGTCTTTCTGAGTAAAGGGAACAGAGTGAAGAATCTGGGGAGGCAAGGCAGCTAGAATCAATAAGCTGGAGTATCAGACAGAAATGAGCTGCATAGGAAAGTTTGGAGATCTTCAGAGAGTTAACTTTGAGTCTTCAGCTGAACACTGCCCATATTTGTTAAAAAACTACTCAAGGCCAGAGAAAAAACCACCACATAGGAACAGACAGAACAAAACCAGGAAAAGTAATTCAAACTGTGTTATAGGTCCAAATGTAAGGGTTAAAACAATAAAATTATAAAACTACTAAAAGAAAAATTTAGTAGAGGATCTAAGTGATATTGGGTTAAGTAAAAATTTCTTCAATAAAATAGAAATTACAAACTATAAGAAAAAAGATCAAGTTGTACTTCAAATTTATAAACTTTACACTTCAAAACACACTACTACAAAATAAAAAGGCAAGACACAATCTGAAAGTAGAGTTGGAAAACATATATTTGATGAAACAATTCTATCCAAAATACATAAAGAATTCTTCAACTCAAGAATAAGAAGAAAAACAAGCAACTTTATTTAAAATGGCAAAAAGATTTGAAGACACTCTACTAAAGGAGATATGAATGGGAAATTAGCACATGAAGAAGTTCTCACAAATTTGTGATTAAGGAGATGCTAATTAAAACCACAACGAAATACTATTACACACGAACTAAAATGACTAAAATTGAGAAGACCGACCATACCAACTCCAACTCTAATACAATGCAGTAGGAATATAACATGCAAAAACAACTTTGGAAAATCATCTGGCAGTTTCTTAAAGCTAGAAATATAACTAAATATGCCCCAGCCATTTCACTTCTAGGTATTTGCCAAACAGAAAAAAACCAAAAACCTATTTCTTCCCCTATGAAAAAATCCTGAATGTTCACAGCAGCTAAATTTATAAATTTCAAAAAATTAAAACAACTCAAAAGTTCAACTAGTGAATAAACAAATACATCCATATAATGGAATACTACTAACAATAAAAAATAAATGACTGATACATGTTACAGTGCATGCAATATATGCTATGTAACATACGTTACAATGCATACAATATATTAAACTGACACCAAAGTCTATCTACTGTATGAGAGTATTTATATGTCATACTAGAAAAGCCAAAACTGCAAGAAATGAAATCAAATCAGTAGTTTTCAGGGACTGGGGTTGGGAAAAGGGTTAACAGCGAAGGGGAATGAAGAAATTTCCTGAAGTAACAGAAATACTATTTTTCTCGATTGTGATAGAAATTACATGACTACAACTTTGTCAAGACTCATCAAATTGTATACTTTAAAAGGGTGAGTTTTACTGAATTTAAGGTGTTTTTCAATAAAACTAATTTCTAAAAGACTGTTTTAGCTTACATATCTCCTACAGCAGGTTCTAAACAAAAATGCTTACGTCATATACTTTTGGGAACAAAATCCTAAGGAGTATATGTGAGTTACAGAAAGAGTAAAACAGGGAAGAAAAAGAAAATCTACTGACAAGATGAATTATTATTTTACTTTAAAATATAACTCTATACTCCTTTCTGTTTTTAAAAAAAAATCTTTGACTTATGATATCATAAGATGTACCTTTTATAAGTATACAAATAAATAACTCTTAGTAATTTTACAATTGTAAAACTATTAACACAATCCAGTTTTAGGACATTTCCATCTTCCCTAAAATACCTTCATGCATGTGTTCTGACGCCAATTTGTGATTGCAGTCCTAGCCCCAGGCAACCCCGACCTGTTTTATACATCTATGGAATTGCCTTTTTAGGAAATTTCATATAAATGGAATCAAAATGTCCTGTATAACTACAATACAGTATCAAAACCAGGAAATGTACAGTACAACCCACAGATACATTTAAATTTCACCGGTTTTGCATGCACTCATTCGTGTGTATCTGTGTGTGTATGTAGTTACTTTATCTTCATTTTTGAAGGAGAAATTTATAGACTATAACATTCTTGCCTGACAGTTTTATTTCTTTCTTTCAGCATATTTAACACATCATTTGACTACCTCTGGATTCCATTTTTTTATGAAAAGCAACCTATTAATAACGCTGTTGTTACCCTAAACATAATGATTCCTTTTTCTCTTGCTGACTTCAAGATTTTTCTTTTTCTTTGAATTTCAACCATTTGTTCAAAAACTTCTGAAGAATCTTGTGAACTGTGTCTCAAGATTACCTACTGGGGAATGGAAGACAGAAGTATTTGTCCTTTAACCTTTGGCTGTCATTGATCCAAGGTGATTCCATTGGACATTTCTTTCCCAATACTTTTGGGTGCACATGCATAAGGGCTGGCATGTTCAAAAGAGCAGGAAGTGAGAAGTATGTTTTAAAATCCCAAAGAAGGTATTGATGCACCTGTATCAAGCCAATCAAAACTTTATAACTTGTCACCACAACAATGGCTGGAGTAAGAGGTAAAATCTGAAAGACTTGAAAAGCTGCACAAGAGTCTTCTGATATAAAGACATAATGAAAACTTAAACAGAATAATATACCATATTCATGGATAGGAATATCACAAATATGTTATTTTTTTCCAAATGAATTCATAGATTTGAATAAAATACCATAACACTTCTATAGTATGCTTTGCTGAATTGACAAGCTGACTTTTTTTATTTATAAGAAGGAAAAAATATCACCACAAAGAAAAGGAATTCTCCTAAAGAAAAACAACAAACTGGAGAGACTATAGGCATAAAGAATAAGTAAAAGTCTTTGGGGAATTCATATATGGATAAATTCAATACTTGAACAAAATTAATGGCCCAAAAAGTAGACTCATACATGTAGAGGTTATAATATAATTTGTTTACAACATAATTGGCATTTCAGGCCCATTAATATAACATAACGTCTACGTTAGTGTATAATAAACACAGTACAGTCACCTGTACATAAATGGTGTGGGGACAATAGATTTTCCATATGAAAGCAATGAAATGAGATCTTATACCCTAAATAATTAAATTATAATTGGATTAGAGACTCAAATATTAAAGGAAAAATTAAAAATCATGTCATTATAAGAAAATATATGGTTGACAGTGACAAAAGAAAGAATTATGTAAACTGAATTTAAAAACAACAGCAACGACATAGACCATCAAGAAAAATATACGTATGTATGCAATTACATTAAAATTAAGGAGTTCTGTTTATTAAAAGGCTTCATAAAAAAGTGGAAAGTCAAGCCACAGACCTGAAGGGAAACCTTAGAAAACAGATGAATTACCAAAAGACTACTATACAGAATTCGTAACTCCCATGGATCAATAAGAAAAAGGCAAACAAACCAATAGAAACATTGTCAAAAAACATGAAGGAAACAAAAATGGTCCATTATATTGACTTAAAAATCTACTAACAAATTTTGATTCAGAGTTTGAAAAACACTAGTCTAGACCAGATAACTCACAGATTTGAAGAATTAGTGTCAACAGAAACATGCTGTTTCTTTATACTGTATATTGTTTATTTGCAATGCCAGAATATAGATAGCATTTCCAAAATATTTTTTTAGTTTCAAAAATCACAAAATTGATAGATGTATTTAAGAAATTCAAACAATAAAAATATATGTAATAAAATGTTCACCCCTTGCTTTATTCTTTTTTGCCTTCACCCCCTCCCCAGAAGTAACTTTGGTATATTTATTGAGGTGTGTTTCTTAAATACTTTTCTACTCACTTACAAACACATATGTAGTGTGTTTTAAAAAATAATTATAATATCATGATTGCTATTCTGCAACCTTCTTTACTCACTTACTGACACATTACCAACCTCTTTTAACAGTAGTATATTTACTGATGTCATCAAACCTGAGGTGTTTTGATGGTATTGCATTCATATTTTACTGGAAAGGGTCAGCACAAGATTTACCCAATTGCATCATTTTTTAAAGTGAGTCTTTATCTTATTTGTATTTGCATATTCAAATCTTTATGCAAATCTATTAGATATCTGTCTCAGCAATAATTTGAGGCATATGTTCCAGCGAATTCTGCAATACCCTAGAAAGCAGGTTTTCCAAAGCTGGAAAATTTTCAGACGGTATTGTTAGAGAAAGACAGCATTTTCTAGAGGTGTATTTGATTATTTGATTTTCTTTTTCTTAAACAACAACTATTCAAATTAAATTCACAGATACATAATTTGTCATGCAGATGATAAAAACTATATTGCCTAGAGCTTGGATATGTGAATCAGGAGCTAAACCAATATGTGAAAACACATTAGAGAGGCTATTTGATGGACTTCTGAACTGCGAAATTCAACAACTGTGCTGAACTATTAGCTTGAAACATGCACTTATTCAATTTTGCCTTGAAATGAATAAAGAGCCATCTCCTTATATATGTACAATAAGAGACTGAAGCTACTTGTACTTATTTCTAAAACTTAATTTCACTTGAGAAGGAAAATAAAGAATGAATCAACTCTTTCAACAAGAACACATCTGCTTTTGTGGTACTTACTAAATGTATAACCTACCTTTTCTATAAATTTGAATATTTCACTTTTTGCAACTTCCTGAAAAATAGCAATCTGATCTATCTATGCTGACTTTAATGTTGCCTCTTGACACTTGATACTTTGTCAAAATTCAGCTAATATGTATAATAAAAATACTTTTAGACCTGGATAGCGATAAAGGGTTACAAAACTGCCTAGCATAAGAGTTGAAACCACCTCTCCCATCCTTTCATTTGGCAGATGTGGATGATGACAGCTGAGTGCAGATATGCCTCAAATTCTTCTCAAGGCAGCACTTCAGGAGGCCCCAACTGATCCATCAGAGTTAGCCTGTGAGATAAGATTTACTGGCCATCCCCGAAGCTGCTAAAACTCTGCTATCAAGTGACCTGTGACCTTGGGAAAATATATTTTTTGTACTTTTATTTTTCTTCAAAGAGCAATGTAGCTAATTATAGCTACCTCCCATGATTGATGTGAAGAACACATGAAATAAATTGCAAGAAACAGCCCAATTTGTTATACCATAGTTGGAAAAGGCTTGTGGAATGAATCCATTGAAACATGCCTAAATGGTACTTGAATTTAAAAACAAAAAACTTTTAAATTTTAACTTAAAACTTGATAATATTATAATTTTAGGATTTCTCTTTTTCTTTTAATTGTGGCAAAATATGCATATAAAATTTACTGTCTTAACCATCTTTAAGTACACAGTTCAGTGACATTAACTATATTTACATTGCTAAGTAACCAATCTCTAGGAATTTTTCATCTTGAAAAACTAAAACTCTATATTCATTAAACAAACCTGTATTAACCCCTCTTTTCAGCCCCTGGAAACTAGCATTCTACTTTCTATTTCTGTGAATTAGATTACTTTAGACACTTATGTAACTGGAGTCATACAGTATGTGTCTTTTCATGACTGACTTATTTCACTTAGCATAATGTCTTCGGGTTTTATCCATGTTGTAGTAGGTGACGGGATTTCCTTCCCTTTTAAGGCTGAATAACATTCCACTGAATGTACATACCATATTTTCTTTATCTTTATTCCACTGAATATACATCCCACATTTTCTTTATCTTTATTCCACTGATTAATATTCTACTGAATGTACATACCACATTTTCTTCATCTTTATTCATTAGTCAGTGAATATTTGTGCTGCTTCTACCTCTTCACTATTGTGAATAATGCTGCTATTAACATGGCTGTACAAATATCTCTTTGAGACCCTGCTTTCAAGTATTTTGGATGTATACCTGGAAGTGGAATTGCTAAATCATTTGGTAATTCTACTTTTAATTTTTTAAGGAAACACCACACTTTTTTTATCTCTAGTAGCTGCACTATTTTACATTCCTACCAGTAGTACATAAAGATACCAATGTTTCCACATCCTCACCAACACGTGTTATATTCTGAGATTTTTCTCATTTTTTTTGTTTTGTTTTGTTTGATAATAACCATCCTGTTAAGTACAAAGTCATATCTAATTATGGGCTTGATTTGCATTTCCACAAAGATTAGTGATGTTGAGCATCTTTCATACGTATTCAGGCCACTCATATATCCTCTTTGAAGAAACGTCTATATTAAGTTCTTGTCCCATTTTTTATTTGGGTTGTTTTATTGTTGTTGAGTTGTTGAAGTTCTTTATACATGATATTTTGGTTTTTAACCCTTTATCAGATATATAATTGCAAATATTGTCTCCCACCCCATAGGTTGCCTTTTCACAGTGTTAATTGTGATCTTGGATGAACAGAAAGTTTTAATTTTGATGTGGTTAAATTTACCTAGTTTTACTTCTGCTGCCTGTGCTTCCAAAAAATCATTGCCCAGACCAATGTCATGGAGATTTTCCCATATGTTTTCTTCTAGTAGTTTTAAAGTTTCATGTCTCATAGTTAACTCTCAAATGGATTTTGAGTTGATTTGCATATATAGTATGAGATAAGGTTCTAATCTCATTCTTCTGCATGTGGATATCCAGTTTTCCCAACACCATTTGTTGGACAAACTACACTTTCCCCCTTGAATGATCTTGGCACCCTTGTCAAAAATAAGTTGACTGTATACGCAAGGGCTTATTCCTGATATCTATTATATTCTACTGGTCTAGATGTCTATCTTTATGCCAGTATCACACTGTTTTGATTATTGTAGCTTTGTTATAAGTTTTGAAATAAGGAAATATGAGACCTGCAAATGTGTTCCTTTTCTTTAAGACTGCTTTGGCTATTCAGGGTCTCTTGCAAACTTACATAAATTTTTGAGTGAATATTTTCTGGAATTTTTATTTGAATTATAAATTTCCAAAACAAAAATCAAAACAAAAGCAAAAGGTTTTTTTGGTTTTTTGGTCTCAATTAAGGAATTAGTTGGGGTGGCTTGTAATTCTCAAAGTAAAAAGATATACATTTTAATTACTGTATAAACATTTTTTAAAATCCAAATGTTAAATACAATTAAACTATTAGGAAGATTTGTTCTCTTTCCCAGGTTTCTGATTTTTTTCCTTTTCCTGTACCTCAAGCTCTATATTATGACACAAAAATATGTAATGCTAACTGCATCCTTTCTGCTTCATTAAAAAAGAAAAGAGAGAAATGTAAATGTTCTAAAGTACTGTCAATTCAGATGTATCAATTAGGTTTGGAAATGTGAAAGGAGTTAAATCTTAAAATAGAGGAAAAAATAAAAATAAGGAAACCCCTTTAATAATAAAAATCTAAAAGCTAAATTTTCTCAGTGAAAGATTTACTTAAAGTAAAATATGTATGTGTTACTAAGATGAACTCTGATTTATTACTGAATGCTGTATATGATTTCCCTTTGCATTTTACCATTGTATATATATTAGCATTGTTTTCTATGCATTATTTATGTATCACCTGTGTGATTACTTAAAATATTAAAGAGGAAGGACATGAGAGATCCTGGCAATGTAACATTATGCTTCAGTATCATCTTAACAGAGCGGAAAGGATTATGCAAATATTCATTTCCCAAGAAGGGCTCTTATTTCATTTGTAAAATAAGTTTCTCAGTCAAAAGAAATGTGGGGAGGGGCAAAGAAATGGCTAAGACTTAACTGTATGTATTTCACCTGCCAGTCAAATCTAATTCTTTTATTCTTACACAGACACATAAATGAAGAGCCTTTGCTTAGTGCTGCCACTGTTAAGAGTGCTTGCGCCTTAACAGAAACCAAAGGCAAGAATTACAGGAAGGATCATATTTCAGCACTAGAATTTAGAAGAGACAAAATAAAATAATCTTATCTTTGGAAATATAAGGTTCCTTACAGCCTGAACCATACATAAAACATGAATCCCCTCTACCTCACTTTATCTAAGGAATAAGAAGGAATACATGATAAAACAAGCTCTGTTTCCTTTTAGCATGGAAACTTTAGAAAACATAATAAAGTACAAATTGGTGCTAAGATTTTTGACACTTTTATAAACATTCAATCTGCCAAGGATACCAACTACTGTGATTTACATGACCCCAAGACATTAGCCCAAAAATGCACAGTACATAGGAGTTGGGGAAGGAGACTGAATGACCTCAAAGAAATAGTCACTGGCTGACATCCCAAGAATCAAAAAGCCAAGCAGTGAGGATCAGAGGGTGTCCCAAATTAGTCTGGTTTTTAAGAGGAATCATCAATCAGAGCTATTAATAAGATACAGCCCTATTAAGCCATCCCATGAATAGGACCAGGAACAATGATACCATCGTCATTTTTCAGATAATCTGAGTTGATCATGTTAAACTATTCTAGTCCCTGACCCTCAACAGTAAAGGCCTGCTCCACCTGATTCTTCCTCCACATTCAAACTCTATTCCAAGAATAGGTGAAAATAGCTCTTTCTAGGCCAAGCATTACATCAGGCTCAATGGAATGTGGGGGGCTAGGGTAGAAGGTAAAGTCTTTGTGTGTGAGTGGAGGGAAAGAAATGTAGAGGTAGAAGAAGTTCTGCTTATTAAAAGACATCATTAAAAAAGTGAAAATTTGAGGAGGGGGGAGGGAGAAAGAAAAGAGGAAGAAGAAGGGAGAAAGTGTGGGGAAAGAAAGAAAAAAAGAGAGAGAGAGGAATGGGGTCCATGGAGGAGACAGAGAATGATAGAGAGATACTTGAGAAAGGTTAGAAAGTTAGAGAAATCTTTTATTTTATTTTTTAAATTGACATGTAATAATTGTACATATTTTTGAGGGTATATCATGATGTTTCAACACCTACAATGGGTAGTGATTAGATCAGGATAGTTAGCATATCTATCATCTCAAACATTTATTTGCATTAGAAACATTCCACAACCTCTTTATAGTCATTCAAAATTATACGATATATTAACTACCATCATTTTACAGTTTTATAGAAAACTAGCACTTATTCCTCCTGTAGGTAATTTTGTATATTTTAATAAATCTCTTTCTACTATCCCCTTTCCTCTACCCTCTTCACCCTCTACTATCCCCTCACCTACTTTTTACTTTTATGAGATAAGCTTTTTTTTAGCTTCCACATATGAGTAAAAACATGGTCTTTAACTTTCTTTTTCTAGCTTATTTCACTTAATGTAATGTCCTCCAGTTTCATTCATGTTGCTGTGAATAACAGGATTACATTTTTTATGGCTAAATAGTACTCCATTGTGTATGTATGCCACATTTCCTTTATATATTTGAGATTGGGTAATTTATAAATAAAAGAGGTTTAATTGACTCACAGTTTCACATGCCTGGAGAGGCCTCTGGAAACCTATAATTATAGTGGAAGGTGAAAGAAAGCAAGCACCTTCTTCACAAGGTGGCAGGAGAGAAAGAAAGAGCAAGGAAATGCCACACTTAAAACCATCAGCTCTCATGAGGACTCCCTCACTATCACAAGAACAGCATGGAGGAAACCACCCCCATGATCAAATCACCTCCCACCAGGTCCCTCCCTTAACACGTGAGGATTAAAATTTGAGATGAGATTTGGGTGGGGACACAGAGCCAAACCATACCAAACCCCTAGGTTAATTCCATATGTTGGCTATTGTGAATAATGATGCAATAATTACAAGGCGGTGCTGATATTTCTTCAATGTACGGATTTCCTTTCCTTTGGATAAATACTCAGTGTTGGATCATATGGTTGTTCTATTTGTAGTTTTTTGGAGGATCCTCCATGCTGTCTTCATCCTTTTAGTGTTGCTGAAAAGGAATAACTCAGGCTGGGTAATTGATGAATAAAAGAGGTTTATTTGGCTCATGGTTCTGCAGGCCATACAAGAAGCATGGCACCAACATCCACACCTGATGAAGACCTCAGGAGTCTTCCAATCATGGCAGAAGGGAAGGGGAGCCAGGCATGTGCAGATATCACATGACGAGACAGAAATCGAGAGAGAGAGAAGGGAAGTGCCAAACATTTTAACAACCAGTTCTCGTGTGAAATAATAGAATGTTAACTCTATAATAATAGAATGTTAACTCATTTAACCTCCAACCCCCATAAATCCCTATTTATGAGGGATCCACCCCATGATCCAAACACCTTCCACTAGACCCCCACCTCCAACATTGAGATCAAATTTCAACATGAGGTTTGAGGAAACAAACATCCAAACTACAGCACATAAAATCCCCCAAGTGGCTGTACTAGTTTATATTCTGATCAACAGTGTATAAGATTTTTTTCTTCTACATTTTCACTAACATCTGTTTTTATTTGTTTGTTTCTTTGTTTTGTTTTTGTTTTTGTTTTTGTCTTTTTGGTAATAGCCATCCTAACTGGGGTGAGATAATATCTCATTGTGGTTTTGGTCTTCATTTCCCTGATGATTAGTTATGTTGAACTTTTTTTTATATTTCATGACCATTTTTATGTTTTCTTTTCAGAAATGCTGTTCAGGTCATTTGCTCATTTTTTAATCTTTTTTTTTTTTTTTTTTGCTGTTGAGATGTTTGAGTTCCTTGCATATTCTGGATATTAATCTCCTGTCAGATAAATAGTTTGCAAGAGAGAGCAAGAAGATATTTTCCCCAATTCTGTCAGTTACCTTTCCATCCTGTTGTTTCCTTTGTTGTGCAGAAACTTTTTAGTTTAATATAATTTCATTTGTTTATTTTGACTTTTTTGCTGTGATTTTGAGGTCTTGTTTATAAAATCTTTTCCCAATGTCCTAAAGTGTTTCCTCTATGTTTTCTTCTAGTAGTTTTATAGTTTTAGGTCTTACATTTAGGTCTTTATTTTGAGTTGATTTTTGTATAGGTTGAAAGACGAGGGTCTAGTTTTATTCTTCTGCTATGGATATCCAGTTTTCCCAGCACCATGTATTTAAGGTGGCGTCCTTTCCCCCAATGAATCTTCTTGATGTCTTTGTCAAAAGTAAGTTGGCAGTAGATAGATGGATTAATTTCTGCATTCTCTATTCTGTTCTATTTGGTCTATGTGTCTGTTTTTATGCCAGAACCATGCTGTTTTGTATACTATGGCCTTGCAGTGTATTTTGAAGTCTGGTAGTGATGCCTCCAGCTTTGTTCTTTTTGCTCAGGAAGTCAAAAATTGTCTCTGTTGCAGATGACATAAGCTTATATACAGAAAACATGAAGACTCTATCACAAAACTCTTAGATAAAGAAATTCCATAATGTTAAGGATACTAAATCAACATACAAAAATCAGTAGCATGTATATACACTGACAGTGAACTAGCTGAAAAAGGAATCAAGAAAGCAATCCCATTTACAATAGCTACAACAAATAAATGAATAAAATATACATCAAGGAGATGAAAGACCTATACAAGGAAAGCTACAAAACACTTACGAAAGAAATTGAAGTGGATATAAACAAATCTAATGACATCACATGCTCGTGAATTGTAAGAATTAAAATTGTTAAAATGATCATACTACCTAAAGAAATGTATAAAGTCAATGCAATCACTATCAAAATATCAATGACATTCTTCTTAGACATAGAAAAAAATCCTAAATTTCAAATGGAGCCATAGAAGACCTTAAATAGTCATAGCAATCAGGATGTGGGAGAAATCTTTAAAAGTCGGCTTTCAAGAAGTCTTTTACCCTTAGCTGAGCGCTGGCCAGAAAAAAAAAAAAAAGTTTTATTTTCTTTCATATTTGTTTACAGCTTTGTACTTTTTACAACACTTTAAGAAAAAGATTGGGGGTGGGTAGATTCAGGGTGCAAAAAATTGACAGTATGTGTTTGGCTCTCTCCAACTGAATAATGGAATCTTAGACCCCATCTGTTTTTCTCCTGCATTTTTCAGCAGATATTTCAGAACTGTCAGCCATTCTTTTGTATCTTGGAGTATAGTACAGTGGTATCAACAAACCATCCCACCCAGTCACTCAGGCTGCCCAGAGTCTCTGTTGATGGTGCCACATGGCAGGTGCTTAGCTGAATATTGAAACTGGGCAGGCCTGTCCTTGTAGTCCAAGTCTGAAAATGATATCTTTCTTTTTCCTCACCTGATTTCCTATTAAGATCTAATAGCTAGCAAGACTCCTAGTCTCTCTGGGAGATAGACTCAGTCACATTACTGAAGTCCGCTGGAAATGTGACACTAATGACAAGCAGGAACTTTATAGCTCCCATTTTCCTTTGCTGACATTACAAATGTAAATACAGAAAATGCTTCCCAGGGTCTCAAGCCTGGCTGTTAAACACAGTTTGGTTGATGCCTCTCTCCAATTTCTAGCATTCTACCACACTTACGGGGGGTGTTCAAGCATTCTCCACCCTTGCACTGTCACACAGAGCCCTAGAGGCTTATGTAGGCCACTCTTGGGAGTCTTACTCTCTCTTGGAAACTGGTCTTCTCCCTTTATCTTCCAATCTTTCAGTGTTCTCTGAATCCCACTTGCAGCCTCAACTTCATTTCTCTTAAACTGGTGTTGCTATTGTTGTTTGGGTTTAAGGACATCCTTTTGCTAGGTCCATGCCATTTGATTCCCTTAAGAAATTTGTGGAAGAGCTGAATTACTAGTATTATTGCCCTCTTATAGAGTTGAAAACTGAAACATCAAAAGACCAAGTAATCTATGTAAGGCACATTAAATGGCTTACAAAATGAGATAGCAAATGAATGGATGAATAAATAATAGAATAACTGTCTAAAGTGGTAGGGAGACACAACCAGATCTCCGATTTCCTAGCACCTAGCCCACTCACTTCCCACTGATGTACAGAATTAAAATATCCTCTTACAGCACCTGTGGATTCCAATAACATCTCAAAGGACTGTGCAAGTGAAGGAAAAAAAGAATCTGTACAGCACTGTCAAGATAATAAAATGTTTTGCTATTATATATCCTATACCCTTTTACTATTACGGCACTTCCTGGGCACATTAGATCCATTTTAAAACAAGAAACTGAGGCCTAGAGAGGTTAAGTAGTCTGCCTAAGTGAACACAGATGACTGTGATAGAGCTGAGATTTGAACACAGATCTTCTGATTCTAGGTCCAGTATTTTTTCAGTAATTAAAATAAAAATGTGGGTGTTCTCAACTCACTCATCTTCAAGACAAAACACATATTTTGTGGCTAATAAATAATTTAAATGCTTCAAATGACTTTGAATCTCTTGGAAAATCAGACATACACACTTTTACCACAGTAGTCATATTGATTCCCCTGTAGGTCTTCTCTGTGCCCATCCTACAGACATTGTTGCTGGATCAGCCAGCATGAAGAATTTAGCATGAAAATGTAAAATCTAATAGCTAGCAAGACTCCTAGTCTCCCTGGGAGATAAACTCAGTCACATTACTGAAGTCTGCTGGAAATGTGACACTAATGACAAGCAGGAACTTTATAGCTCCCATTTTCCTTTGCTGACATTACAAATGTAAAACCTCTCATTTCCCCAGAAGTTCATCTACTTGATCTATGCTGCTGAGCCTACATATTTTGTATCTCTTTGACAGCAGGAAAGATTCTGGCGAGACCAGTGGGCCTGTTCACCTTGCACAGGAATAACTTATTCCAGGACATAGAAGCCACCCTAATCTCCCCACCCCTTTTCCATCCAACACCCCATTCAGCATGCACTCACTTGCAAAGTCCAAAGACACTGTCAGCTGTAAGTGAGTCACTTATTATATCATCAAGAATGTAAGAGGATAAACAAGCATCCTCTGAAACAAAAAAAGAAATTGGGCTGGAATATATTTAATGCATATGCTTAAAATTGGGAAAAACATGAGGTATTAGAAATAAAAAATACCATGGAAAGAAACTGCCACAACTCATAAAACTTAACTAACTGAGAACTTAATTGTCCATGAGAACTAACTCAGCCTGTATGCCCACCACTATTATAAATATTACTGGGGAAATAGCTACACTGAGTGAGAGGTGGGACAAAGGAGGGTGCTCTCTCGTTTGTCTCTTCTTTCCTGCCCCCTGCTGGCCCAGACGGAGTCTATTTAAGTTTGGGGAAAAAAAAAAAAAAAAAGCTACTTGTTTGCTGTAGTCTTCCCCAAATAGGGATGGGACAATATATATCCCGCTTTATCCTGTACACTTAATAAAGTACCAGGCACATGGTAGGAGCTCAATAATTACAACTGAATTAATGATATTTTCAGTTAGTCTCCCCTCTATGTTTTCATAACAGTTTGTATCAGAGCAGGCCATTCATATATCTCTGCTCTGGGTTTTGTTCTTTCTAATTCAATGGATTGATAACTCTTAGAGCCATGTGAGGAATTCGTGTCTACTCATCTTGGTAACCCAGCATTTATCACGGCATTCTTAAAAAAAAAAATCTACACCTATTTCTTAAATGGAACGGAAATAAATGACCTCTAAAGTAATTCAATTCTAACATTCTATTATATAAAGAAAACAAGTTCTTACAAAACACAATGCTTGAAAAGTACATAATCTAGTTGAGAAGCAAGAGGAATACTGATTAGACGATTAGAGATGTTATGCAATTGCAACAACTGAATTGTAATTAGGCACTTGGTAATTTCAAAATTTTGTACCCTGCCATATTTAAACAAAGTCAATGGGAAACGAGATTCAGGAAGCTAACTATTTTAAATAAATTGAACACAGTATGTGTCCTAGAAAGGGATATTTGATACGCAGTCTTTATGTCCCATTCACCTCACTCCCCAATCTTTCGTCTGATTAAAAATCCAAGTACACTTTTATTTTAAATTAGCTCTGAAGTTAACAGGAATTTTTCTATTACTGCAGGGGTCAGCTGGCAAGCAGCCATCAAAATTAAGAAGAGAGAACTGCAACTTATAGCTAATAGCAGCTAGTTGCATTGCCCTTGAAAATGGACCCTGAGGATCAGCAAAATTAAAGGGAGTGGAAGGTTTCAAGCCGTCAGCAATTTATACACTTCTCTATCCAGCTTGTTGGGTTACTGTATTTCTACCTGTCATTAAAAATACGCTATTAAGCCACATCCCTCAAAGTGACAAACCTTCCCAAACAACCTGGGGTATCAGAACAATGGAAGAGAAGCGATGCACTTAATTGAAAGAGGTTTACTGTAGCCAATAATCCCAAGGATTGATGTGATGCCTGTTCTCAGCAGACAGTTCCCAGAAGGTACTGGCGTTGGCATTTAACCCCAAATTTACAGGCAGGCTCTTCATCTGGATCTCAACATTTCCTCATGTACAATTGAGACTCATGTGACATCTGTGGAATATGTAACTTGCCAAGAACAGGGAGAGGGACAGCTTCATGAGCATGCGACAGGTGCAGTTGCACAGTGTACCACGTTTGGTTTAAAGTTCTACTGTCAC
The DNA here is from genome assembly GCF_000001405.40 of Homo sapiens. Classification (NCBI taxonomy): domain Eukaryota; kingdom Metazoa; phylum Chordata; class Mammalia; order Primates; family Hominidae; genus Homo; species Homo sapiens. The sequence goes on from NC_000002.12 coordinate 41,401,638, forward strand.
CGTCTTAAAGATCTGAATACATTTTGAACAAGAGGCACCACATTTTTATTTTGTACTGGGCCCCCAAAATTATGTAGCTGATCCTGGACAGGGAAAAGAGCCAACCATCTTGACTTTTTTTTGGAAGACTATTCAAGCTCCTTAGTATCTGGTCAGTAAGGGTTAAAGGTCCTAACAGCAAATAATTCAAACCTGAGACATTGTGCTGGTCTCAGAAAGGAAACTAACCTCAGCAAACTTCTGGATGAGCTGCAGGGGACTTTCACAAACTCTCCTCTTGTACTCTGCTCCTGTACTCTCCCCCTGGGAAAACTGCATTTATTAGGATGGCTAATACTGTAACCTTGGGATGGTTGCTTTTGGTCACTAGGGTTTGTTAGTTCACTATTGCATTCAGAACACTTAAAGGCAAAGTTGTGATATTGATAGGGTGTGTTTGGATCCCCACTTCTCTTCCTATGCCCTGCCATCCCACTACTCCACCAAATCCCTATTCTTCCTTCTATTCCTTTTACTCTAATTGTCCACTGTTCTCAACTTCTTTAGCCATCCAAGTCAAAGTGTGCTTTCAGTAAAGGGTCTGATTATTTCAAACAGAATCAGTTAATTAGTTAATACATGCAAAGTACATATAATAGTGCCTGAAATACAGTCACCATTTCGTAAGTGTTAGCTGTTGTTTTTATTGTCATTACTATATTATGTTAGTCTTATAAGGAATACACATTGTTTCTAGAAGTGTAGTGAGTATAAGGTAGCAGAAAAAGTGATGGAAATCAGGCAGTACTTGTTTAGATCATGTATCAGTAAATTCACACCTAAGCCTCGGTTTTTTCAACTGTACAAAAGAGGATAGTAACCACCTTGTGGAATTTCCATGAAGTTTAAATGAAGACTATGAACAAGGTGGGTAGCACACTTTGACTCATGGGAGGTGCTCAACTAAAGTACATTTCTATGAAGAATTGCTACCATCTACAAGCATTAGCACTTTTACAAGGGTCAGAATTATAAACTTCAAGGTTATGAGTAGAAATATATCCCAATGATGAAGAAACCATTAAAACATTTTTCCGTCACTGAAGTGGCCACATTTTCTGGGGTATGTACCCTGGGGTTCGTTGTCACGTGCCAGGAAAATTTAGGACACAGACACACACGAGGAGTTTAGAAGCGGAGGTTTAATAGGTAGAAGAGAAGAGAAAGAGAAACAATTCTCTCCGTAAACAAAGGGGTCTCCGATGGGAAAAGACCAGCTCCTGGTGAATGCTCCAAATTTTATAGTCCAGTTTGAGGCGGAGGCGTCTGATTTACATAGGGCTCATAGATTGGTTCCATCAGGTATGACGTTTAGATAGCCTTCAGGGAAGGCTGGTCACCCCACCCTAATCTTATTATGCAAATGGACTTTCCAGTTGATTGGACCATCTTCTCCATCCCTTATAGTAAACGTGGCTAGCGGAGAAGGAAAGATGGAGCTGCCATCTTGAAAATATCCAGTCCTTAGTTCCTGCCACATTTACTTGTGCAAGCTCCCAGCTTGCTTGTCTGTCTGCAGCTCCACTTTACAGGCTGTTCTTTGTTAGAAAATGATTTGGGGCTACTTTTCGTTAAAAAGAAAAGTCTTACCAAGGACTCCCATACCCTTACTATCTGCCTAAGTAATTTCTTCTTAACTCTTGTATCATCGACACTCAAACCTGGACTTCTCCTGACTTGTACTCATCCTTTAGATCCCAGTTTGGCAGGCACTTCCCCCAGGAAGTCTTCAGTGCTAGGAGTCCATGGAACCCTGTTGTACTCCTGCCATAGAAGAGCACAGCATTGTGGGTGATTTTTCACTTGCCTAACACCCTTTTTGATAATTAGCTCTTGGAGTTAGAAAATGTTCCTGCCTCTGTAGTACATATAGTCACAGCAATGTTTCCTATCCCACATGTTCTTCAAGAATGTTTCCATCTCCTCATCCAGAAGTCAAGTCTTTGTCTTCCTTTCTTAATGGGTGAGCTTTTTTGACTGCTCCAACTAATAGAATACAATGGAACTTACTTCTATGTGGATGAGAGGAAGGGGAAAGAGGATGGAGGGAGAAAAGGAAAGGGGAAGGAAGAGAGGAAGGAAGGGAGGAAGGAAGGGAGGAAGGGAGGGAGGGTAAATGTTTTTGGAGACCTAGAAACTTCACCATTTACTGACCATAATGTCAGCACTGTTGGTTTCAAATGGATTGAGGCAATACATACGGCCTTCAGGTAGTTTCTATATTTTGACTATTGTGAATAATGCTGCAATGAACATGGGAGTACAAATATCTCTTCAATATAGTGGTTTCATGTCTTTTCAATGTAAACCCAGAAGGAGCATTGCTGGATTATATGGTAGTTCTATTTTTTGTGTCTGGGAACTCTATATTGTTTTCCATAATGGTTGCCCAAATTTACATTCCTACCAACAGTGTGCAAGGGTACCCTTTTCTCCACACCTTCGCCAACTCTTGCTATCTCTTGTCTTTTTTGATAACAGCTATCCTAACACGGGTGGTTTTAATTTGCATTTCTCTGATGATTAGTGATCCTGAGCACCTTTTCATATACCTGTTAGCCATTTGTACATCTTCTTTGTTTTTTCTTAGCCTACACATCATGTGTGTTCAAGATACCACCCCTATAGTAGGAATGAGGATCTGCAGCAAAATGAGCAGAGAGTTTAGGGAAAGAGCAAAGGCAGTTTATAGAGTGAGGTGACCTTTAGATCTCAGTCTCAGACAACCTAGAGGTGTTACAAAGCAAACAGAAGCAAATATGAGCCTCCAAATACTTTTCATTCCCTCTTACTCTCTCAATCTTTTTGGTGCTACTATCAGAGACAACAGGCCTGTTGAGGAAATGTTAACTGTTAAGCAGGCATGAATTTCTGTGAAGGGCTGATTCATTTTGTCATGGGATCTTTTATCCATGAATATGTTTATGGTTCCTGCCTGCTTCCATTAAAATACTTACATGCTGTCCTCTTTATAGGCAAAGAGGAGGAACCTGCTATAATTTTAATTGTTGTTTTTGTTTTTCTCAGAGTTCTGATTTTTTTGTTTGTTTGTTTTGGAAAATGTGTTGTGGTATTTAATACTCACGTAGCTAATATTTTTAGGTATCTGAGAAATTTAAGGAGAAAATTAATGGATTGAGTAAACTGTCTCCTGGGCTGTGAGTTTCTGGAAGTCCCAGGAAGGCCTGGAACATTCATTCAGCTTTATATTTCTGTGAGCTTTCTACTTTCTAGATACTTCATAAATGCTTATTGAATTATTGGGAAAAAAGACATTTAGAATGATATCAACAGCTAGTATCTTGGACAAAAGATATTTTGGAAACTTTATTCATATGGAGTAAGGAGATACCTATTTCTCTAAAACTGTACAACATAATGAAAGACTATGTTTTCCATAGTCTGAGATTTCCAGAGCAATTCCAAGACTGAGATTTCCAGAGCAATCTCAGCTTCTTGACTGTGTAGGCTTATGCTCTATAGGTGATCAATCAAGGGTGTCAGTGGAATTAACACAAATTTAAATATATAAATCCATCTTTTTTTTTTTTGCATACCCGAACCTTATCATTGCAATAGCAACAGCAGTAAATCAGAACTTATTAATTACTATTATTTGCAGTTCTTTAGTCTGTTTTTAACAATGTATTTTATTTTGTATTTTCATACTAAAAATTAAAATATGAGAAAAGTATTCAGAGGATAATTTCACTTGCTTTTTTCTAGTTTTAAGAAAACTATATATGTGACTATAAACATACAAATTTTAAGTATAAATAAATATGTATGATTATATATGTAATATATGTATATAATCTTTGGGTAGAAGAGGATAGAAAATATCATTTATCATGTCAGTGTTTATCATGTTAAACACTGACAAACATATGCTTCTAAACCTACCAGTTCTAGAACATACTGTTTCTTCCCTTGAAGTCACTCCAGGCTCTTGGCTAGACGTATATTCACAAGATATTTTTAGACTTACCCTTGCTTCAAAATGAGGTGTAATTTCAGACTGGCTTTCAGGGTAAGCATGCTGAATATCAAAACATGCCTTTTTGCTTATCTACTAAACAAGTGAGCATTTTTTCTACCCTGGTTGAAGTTCACTTTCATAGCCTGCTTAACACGGCTATTTACATGAACATTTTGGTGGCCTTTATTTTTTCTTAAGAAATTTTATTTCATAAGGGTCTAATACAGCATATTTAGAAAACATGAAATTAACAATCACTAAAACACTGTGCACTGAGATATAGACAGTTCCACCAGAATACAGGCTGTTAAGCCAGAGAAAAATAAGTTTGCCCAAGACAGCAATTAAGTAGAAATGAATTTAAACAACTCTAGTTTTTGTTGTTGCTGTTTTTTGAGTTTTTTAGCAGGGGGAGGGAACATTATGAATCAATTAACTGTGGAAAGACTACTTGGAGACCTGACACAGGAGACATATTTCTGAGGTACTCCTGGAAGATTATTCCATCACACAGCCCTGAAATTTCCTAGAACATTCTTCAGATGCCTCACAGAGTGGCCTTAAAGTTGATGCTTACGGCAGCTTAACTGTCCCCTCATGACCGAATCTCAGATACTTCTTGGGTAAAGCAAAAATTTTAATGATAATTTATAGATTTTGGTTAAAGAAACTGGATGAGTGGTTCTTTCCCGGATTTATTAGCATTATCACATGCTTGAGCTAATAAAATAATTCTGGGAAACAGCTTCTACCCTGACCCTTTCCCCACCCTGACCCTTTCCCAGTACTATAGAACAACAACTCTGGATTCTTTCCAGTAGTGAAACATCACAGTGTGGTGGATCAGGAACAAGGACCTATCTCCAAGAGAACTGCATGGCCCCTGGTTTGCATCTTCGATGGCAGTAATTGCTTTACTACTTTATGAAAATCTTCCTCTCCTCACATCCTTAGGTGATATAGAGTATTGGAAAAAACAAAACAAAGGTCAAGTTGTGTAATGTTTTAACACAAATGTAATTTTGTTTTATTAAATGTAAGTTAGCTGATAATTGAACTAAGAATATTGTTCTCACAGATAAAACAAGATAAATAACAGGGATATTCATAATTGAAAAACTCACATAATATAGTCAAGAAATGTATAAAATACTGACCCCAAACAATATTTCCAACTTTAACTCAATAACTAACGATAAATTATCTGATATTTTGTCAGCAAAATTAATATTGCTGAGATTACACTTTAAAATTCTATGTTCTCTGTTATACTTTTCTTAATAAAAGAAACAATGAACACACAGATATACATCTATTACTATATTCATGTGGCCAGTTTCTTGAGCTGTCTAAACTATGCAGTGTAAACATGAAATCCTTTTTTAATTTTTAATTTTTGTGGGTACATAGTAGGTGTATGTATTTATGGGGTATATGAAATGTTTTGATACAGGCATGTAATGCATAATAATCATGTCATGGAAAAGGTCCTAGGTCTCTATGATCAGTGGTTAGCAAATCAATCCAGGTTTTGTGCCCTTCCCTTTAGGGTAGCAAGTTCGCCCAAGTCCCAGGTGGGTCTGAAGATCCTATCTGAAAGCCAGGGACTGGAGTCAAAAGCCTTATAAATTTACCGGTATTCTATTCTGCTGCAACTAAGCTGGCACTCAAACCAAAATACAAAGTCCTTTCAGCCCTCTATAGTTGTTTTCATCAACTATAATCTCTTTTGGTCAAGTACCCAAATCTTTAGTCAATTTTTCAAATTGGTTTGTTTCGTTTTTATTATTGAATTTTGAAAGTTCTGTATTGTTCTGAATGTAAGTTCTCTATCAGATATGTAATTTTTAAACATTTTTTTCCAAATCTGTGGCTTGCCTTTTCGTTCTGTTAAAAGTATATTTCAAGGAGCAGATGTTCTTAACTCTGATGAAACCCAGTTTATCAAATTTTTCTTTTTTGGTTTATGCATTTGGTGGTGTATCTAAGGAATTTTTTTTCTAACTGAACATATTTCCTGTGCTTTTCTGTTTGCCATTTTATGTTTGTAATTTAGGTTTATGGTTCATTTTGAGTTAATTTTTATATATAGTATGACATGTAGATTGAAATGCTTTTGGAGGGATTTTGTTACTGTTTTTGTTGTGTTATTTGGTTAGGTTTGGATTTTTCTGCAGACAGTACACAATTATTTCACAATTTCTTGAAAATGTCATCCTTTTTCCATTGAATTACGTTGGAATCTCTGTAGAAAGATTAGACCATGTATGGCCGAGTCTATTTCTGAATTCTCAGTTCTTTGCTGTTGACCTATTTTTCTGTCTTGACACTAATATCACGCCATCTTGATTGGTGTAGTTTATAATAAGTCTCCGAGTCAGGTAGTGCAAGTCCTCCAATTTTGCTCTTTTTTCAAAGTTATTTGGGTGATTCTAAGTATTTGCATTTCCATTTGCATTTTAGAATGAGATTGCTAAGTTTTGCTGGAATTTTTATTGGGATTACATTCAATCTACTGATGAATTTGAGGGAAATCAACACATTAACAATATTAATTCTTTCAACCCATGGACAAGTCATATGTCTCCCTTATTTAGTCTTTAATTTTTCTCATTTGAAATAAGCATTTCATCATTTTCATGCAGTTGTAGCTTTTAATTTTATTTCTGATCATTTTTTGCTATTGGATAGAAATACAATTGAATTTTGTATATTAATCTCATATCTTGCAACTTTGCTAAATTCACTAGTTCTAGTAGCTTTTGAATATATTCTATAGTATTTTCTATGTAGACTATTATGTCATCTGCAAATAAAGACACTTTTATTTCTTATTAATATGAAAAAGAGATAGGATATACTATTATACATGTTAGATTAGACATAGGGATTTTCCCTCCGAAATCCCATTAAAATGAGAATTAAGAAGTAAAATATGCATGACCCACAAGAACAAGGAAGCCACTAGAAGTGACAGTCAATAAAAAAATCAGCCAACTAAGAGAAGATGGGAATGTGATGTGATGTAAGGCCTTACATTAATATTATATGCTGTCTTGGCATCTGGTAAAATCAAGAGGACCTCAAATGGCCTAACTGCAAGTCCCTGTTTCCACGCTGCTTCCTCAGGTAAGGTCCTGTAGTCAAACTATTCTCTTTATCATGGCAACCAGGCAGAATGCCTGCTTATCTCTGAGTAGTGGGGCTTCAGTTTGCTACCAGCCCTCAGAGAATTATTCAAATAAGACAAAAGTGAACCATTGGTCACTGCACTCTCTTGTTATGAGAAAGTCTAACTCCCAATCCATTGCCTGTTCACTCTATTCCCAAGTGCAACCCCTGTGTGGTCCAGTGTGACTCAGTGTCAACAACCCTGGGCTACGCATATACAACAAGTAAACTGCTATAGAGCTCATCTGTCTGGTATTGGATGGCATGTATTCAGCCATCTCCACAATCTTAGGATAGGAAACTCTTTCTCACCAATGGGGTGAAGAGAAGGTGTCTCAAACAAGGAAGCAGATGGAGGCATTATCAAGACCTATGTCCAAGTATGAGCTACAACAGGCTCATACTGGAGGTGCTGATCACTGCAGACACTGAGGAAAGGTGTGGAACTGAAAAGAGAGGGATTTATTGAATGTTTACATAAAGAGAATTTAGAATACTAAGTCTCCTCCACATCCAAATGATTATCCATCCTCTACCCTTGCAGTAAATTGGAGGATCATTCTCAGGATATGGAGAACCTGAGTTCCAGACATAGGCACATCAGGCACAATAAAGAGGAAGGAAGACATAGACCTGCCTTAGGGAGAAAGGGAAACTGCCGAAAACTGTACCTCCCACCACTGACTCCAAGAATTTTCACAGTCAAGCGTATGCTGCCCCTAGGAGGAGACTGGAGGATTTTCCTTGAAAAAACTGAAAGGCTGGTTAATTTTATGTGACCATTTTGTCTAGGCCACAATACCAGATATTTGATTAAATATTATTCCAGATATTTTCGTAAAAGTTTTCTTTAGATTAGATTAACACTTAAGTCAGTAGACCTCGAGTAAAGCAGACTTCTCTCCATAATATGCATGGGCATCATCTAATCAGCTAATGGCCTAAATAAAAAATTACTGACCTCTTTTAATGAAAAGAGAATTCTACCAGCAGACAGCCTTTAGATTCAAACTGCAGTATCACCTCTTCCCTGGGTCTCTAGCCTACTGGTTTACCCTGCAGATTTTGAACTTGCCAGATGTCACAATTACGTGAACCCATTTCCTAAATCTCAATCTCAATCTCTCTCTCTCTCTCTCTCTGCCTCAAACACACAGACACACATGCACACACACAGCCTAGTGGTTCGATTTCTATGGAGAATCCTGAATAATACAATTACAAAAGCTACCATTTGGACATCACCCCAAAAAATGGCCAGGTGGGCAAAATGACAAGGTCCCTACTTCATCACTGCATAGCAATAATTCTCAGTTGCAGCGATGCGGTCCTATAGAAAACATTTGGCAATATCTGGAGACATTCTTGGTTGTCATAACTGGGAGGGGTGCTACTGGCATCTAGTGGATAGAGGCCAGGAATGCTGTGAAACTTCCAATAATGCAGAGTATAGACAACAAACTATTATTCAGCCCAAGATGTTAATATTGCTGAAAATATTGACTGTCAATATTAATACAATTTCTCAATCTTGAGAAACTAAGATTGAGATACCCTGATCTATAGTGAAACCCACTATTTAGCAAATTAGTGCTTCTCTCTTGATTATGAATAAACCACCAAGGGCATTAGACACTTAAGAAGTTTTCAACATTGAAGATATTTAAACCAACAAAAATAGCACAAAAACCAAAATAAAATTTCAACACAGATGCTGTTAATATGCTAAGGGAGAATAACGTTAAGACATTGTGTTTAATAAGAATATGTTCTATTGAAAAGAGGATATTAGAACATTTCAGAAAATGACAAAGAATTTTTAAAACTGCACATAAAAGATTGGAAAGATGGAGGACTGAGGTAAGGAGTTAAGGCAGATTATTTATAAAGCTGTAAAGACATCTCAACAGAAAACCTAAACAATAGAAGTCTGTAAAAATGATTTCAAATTCAGAAAAAAACATTCTGTTCAATTGAGAATTAAATCCAGGCAACCATCAACTGGTTTAAGATTAGGATAAAAGTATTTTCAGATCAGTAAAGTTCTATGTGTCCTTTCTCAGAAAGCTACTGAAGGATGTGCTTCATCAGCTCAGGAGACAGAGGCAAAAAAAAAACAAAAAAAACATGTAGGATCAATGTGCAGAGGCTAGCAGGCAAGCAGACCAGATTGACGTGGGAAGATGGGGTGCTCCAGAAGGAATGTTTTCACAAAAAATTGAACTAATTGATTATTTACATGGCCATTTAAAAAATAATATTCTGTTGGAGAGACTGGGAAGAATTACTGATAAGCAAATAAAGGAAGATGAAATCAAGTATAAAAAGACAGTATTAAATCCAGGAAAAACAGAAAATTATTTAAGATACAAAGATTAGGCCGGGCGCGGTGGCTCACGCCTGTAATCCCAGCACTTTGGGAGGCCGAGGCAGGTGAATCGCAAGGTCAGCAGATAGAGACCATCCTGACTAACATGGTGAAACCCCGTCTCTACTAAAAATACAAAAAATTAGCCTGGCGTGATGGCTGGCGCTTGTAGTCCCAGCTACTCGGGAGGCTGAGGCAGGAGAATGGCATGAACCCTGGAGGCGGAGCTTGCAGTGAGCCGAGATCGTGCCACTGCACTCCAGCCTGGGCAACAGAGCGAGATTCCATCTCAAAAAAAAAAAAAAACAACCACAATAAAAAGATATAAATATTAGCATAGTACATTACTTGGCTCAGGACTGAATAAAACTGCTATTATCCTTTGTTATGTAATAAATCACTAAAACCTAATATGAACAAATACTATAAGTAAAAATATTGAAAACAATGGAATAAATGAGTGTATTGTGGTGGGATAAAATAATAGAACCAAATGCTCCAAATTAGGAACTAAATAATAGATCTCTATCTTTTCTCTCTCTCTCCCTCTCTCTTTCCCTTTCACCTGCCATGTGTTGATGCAGCAAGAATGCCCTCCTAAGATGCCAGAACCTTGATATTGAACTTTCCAGCCTCCAGAACTGGGTGACAATACATTCCTATTCATTATAAATTACCCAGTCTTGGATACTCTGCTATAGCAGCACGAAACAGACTAAAGGAGTATACACAATAAAAGTCTCACAAAACTTCAAATAACACAAAGAGGCAAGACAACTGAGTCAACCCAAAACATGTAAGTACCCTGAATATAAAAGAACAGAACCGTTAGAAGTCAATATCATATTCTCATTGCAGAGAGCAACTTTATTTTCACAAAATAAATCTAGCACATTATCTAGTATGTTTTTGTTTTTGTTTTGAGACGGAGTCTCGCTGTTTTGACAGGCTGGAGTGCAGTGGCGCGATCTCAGCTCACTGCGACCTCCGCCTCCAGGGTCCAAGTGATTCTCCTGCCTCAGCCTCCCAAGTAGCTGGGACTACAGATGTGCGCCACCATGCCCAGTTGCTTTTTTTGTATTTTTAGTAGACAGGGGGTTTCACCATGTTGGCCAGGATGGTCTCGATCTCCTGACCTCATGATGCGCTGCCTCCCGCAGTACTGGGATTACAGGCGTGAGCCACTGCGCCAGGCCTAGCTAGTGTTTCTAAACTAGATGTTATTGGTTTGTAATGCTGTTAATACTTAATTTATAAGTATTAATTAATTTGGTTTTAAGTGGCATAAAAACCATAAACATAAGAAACATACCTAGTTTTATCTTTGTGCTTTTATAATGTTATAAAAAATTTAAATTAACATTGGAATTTCATAAGTTTTTTCTTAAAATCTGTATATTATTTCAGTTAGAGAATTACTGTCCTATAATTATTGCCTTAACAAAGGGCAATTCCTTCCCACTGAATACAACATATTATTTCTACTCCTGTTATTTTACAATTGTAATCACTGCTTTTTATATTTAAAGATAGCAGGGTAAAAGAAGCATGGTTAAAGACAGATCTGGATGTGATTTTTGTAATTATGCCACTGTACACAAAGTGCTAGCCTGCACCTAGCACTTTGCTATAATTATGGACATAATTATATCTTCCTCAAATATTTGTGAAGATTAAAACATCAAGCTCAAAGCAGGAGCTGGACAAATAGGTTGTGGTTCACAAAAGATAGAGCCATTAACCTTATATATAGTTACACATGAAAAGTATACTATGAAATCTATTTTGAAGATGAAAAGTTGATAATCCTTTGGTTGACATGAAAATGGGGTGTTCACAAATACGTGTACATCTCTTTTCTTCATTTCAGTGTCAATCGATGGCAGTTGGAACTAGCTACTAGTAATTTTCCTCATCAATAGTTCTTGGATCTATTAAATTATACCTTTTCTCATTTGCTTTGTCATTTTAAAATCAATATAAACATATTCCAACTGTTTTATTAAATTGGAAAATTACTGAAATTGAGTCTCCAAAGTTGACCCAGAAACCAGCTGTTCTAAAATAGTATTTTCTGTTTTAGGTAGATCCCACAAAAATGCCATGAATGACATAGCACAGAAAAGCCAAGGGGAGAAGAGCTAAGAGAAAGTCTGAGATATTCTTCCTAGGAAGCAGAAAGTATAAGTTTAACATGGACATTCTCTAGAAAATGTTGAACAAGAGGGGGCTTCCCCACTGTATCCGTAAATATCCTAGCCCTCAGAATCATCACTACCACCCTCAAAATAATTATGCAGTATTCCTGTATATTTTTACAATTTAATTGTTACAATTGTGCAAAGTATTTTCACATACATAAACTGTCCCTCAGTTTACAGAAAATAGCACTATTAGCCTAGTGTAGCTCCAGGATTCAAGCCCATTCTTTCACTTCACAGCAACCTAGTGTCTCCTCCACAGTGAGAGAGTAGGAAGTCTTGCACCTACAAGGCTAACGAAATCAAATTTGCACATGAACTCAAAGGCACGTTAAAATGAGTTCAGTAAAAAACAAAAAGGTATTCATATCTCCTATTAAATAAGTTCCTAAGGAATAAGCATTTCTTACACTTTTAAAAAGAAAAGACTAAAAATCACATTTTATACTGATTGGGATGACCTGTTTTAATGAGCAGTGGACATGTTCAAATTTATAAAACATCTTGATCAGATATACAAAGTAAAAAAATCAGAATAGATCTGAGAAGAAAGGACCGGATGTTCTCGCTAAAGCTTAAAAAGAAATAAGACCATGTGCCTCAAAGGAATAGAAATATGAGGTCATGGGAAAGTCCTGAAATGTTTCAGCCTGCCATGGGAGCATGCTTGCTTATTGACAAGGGAAGAACAATAGATTTGTTAGGAGAGATTAAGAAAGAGACAAAACATCAATAAACAAGAGTTTTAAAATTTTTACCACCCACAAAAAGACTATCTAAATGATTCAAATGCATTTTTGATGTCAAATCCTGCAAATACAATTTCTTTCTGCTCTGGAATAAACCAATACATAAAATGATGCTAAATACATTTAAAGTATGCTCCCATGAATAAGACTTGGGTCTATATTCAAATGCTGACTCAGCGATTGTCACATGACTCAATTATTACAAAGTGAAGCAAAAATTGCTTATTCCTGGTTAATCAGCTGGGAACCCCATTCCTTATAAAAGAAGGTTATAACTTCTTCACACGAAATACAACAGGAGAAAATTTTATCTTAATCAGACAAGCTAATTGGTATTATAGACTGTGTGCCACTTATCAATTTATTGCTTCTTATTTCTGAATTCACCCTTCACTATATGCTCTGTACCAAATCAAGGATTCCTTTAAAACTTTTCACTTTAATGAGCACAATGTTAAGATTTCTCAGTAGAGGGCGCTGGAGAGACATTGCAGGAGGAAGAGATTAGCTGTATGGGTGTGCAGACATCCAGTGGAATGTGCCCCAGCCACCAGCTTAGAACATGATTCCATTGAGACCTCGTTGCATCCTAGACGTATCAATAACCTTTCTTCAGTCCTCTAGACATGGAAACCAGAACCCTCCACACATGTAGGTGTTGCTCTGATGGCCTCCTGCCACACCAACACCTGGACTCTCTGAGTGGATTTCCAACATCTGCTTCTGACCTGGAGCATCAAACACCAAGCACTGTTTCAAAACCCCACTCTCATGCCAGGCTGCATGTGCTACAGGCCTTCTACCATGGCTGGCACCAGACTCTCACTGCAAAACCATGCCACCACGTGCTAACCTACCTAACCTACCCTGCTTGCCCAGGAACTCTAGACCTGCTCAGGCCTGGCCTAACCAGTAAACACCTCTGCTATCCATTGGGCTAAACTATACCTTCCCCAACAAGGTCTGAAACACGCCCCTTCTGAGTTTGTCCTCCCTTAGGCACTCTTCCTCAGCCCTAGGCTACTATATAGTTTCCTTATATAGTTTCTCTTTTATCACAGTTAATAATTCTTTACATTAACTTCCCTTATATAACCTGCTGTCTGGTTTCTGTCTCCCAATTGGACCCAGACTACTACAGCTTGGAAATAGAGAAAATAAATCAAATCTAAAATCAAGAAATATGCTTTAATTTATTAAGTACTATATGCCAGACCATAGACAATTTAAGTATTTTATATCATTTAATCTTCAAAATAATTCAGCAGGATTAAATATTTGAGGCTCAGAAAGATTAAATAATGTGTCCATGTTTGTTCAGCTTAGTTGGAGGCATAAACAGATTTCAAACCATTGTCCATCTGAATACAAATAATTTTAACTTATGAAATTAAATATGCATATTGATAAAGTTATATATTTTTATTTATACATTTATCTTTCTATGAATATATCTATCTAAATAATGTCTTTTCTGCATGGAGTAAATTGTATTGAGAGAAGATATATTTGGGGAGTATAATTAGTGAAGCTTGGTGGTTGACTAGGTGGAGTCATGAGATATTGACAGGTATGGAAAGTAGAATTGATTATAAACATTCCTTGAAAGTTGAATGACGTTGAGCTCTCATTAGAATCACGGCAGGATTTATCACCAAAGGTGTGACAGAAAATAAAAGCAAGACTTAGAGGAAATTCATTGGAATAATGAGTGTGAAGCATGGATGTGTAGTGGGAAAATCAGAACTAGAGGATGTTCTGAGCATTTGCTGCAGAATCCTGGTAGAATGTGCTGAGAGTCCTGCATATAAAGGCAGCAGTGGGGATGCAGGGAATCCATAGGATGGATTCATTTCCAAAGGTACATCATTTCTATGATGGATTTGGCATCAGAATTGGTAAGATGGTTGAACAAGAGACAAATCTGAAGACTGGGAACATGTTATAGGAGAATCTCTGGAAATCCTTCACAAAGGAATGAGCCCTCTTAAAGCATCATAAAACAATCTTTTTCTTCTCATGGGAAACAAGTAACCAACAGTAAGATAAAGCCTTATCAACTATTCATAAGCCAAATATACCAAGATAAGATAAAATTGCTATTTGGTACCAATATGTGTTCACTATTTTTATATATATATATATAAAACAATAAAAAGGGCTGGAAAGGTTTTCTTCTCCTTAGCAGAGATGCAAATGAGTAGTCTCTACAAAGACCTGCCTGGAAGGCTGCAGCAACCCTATGGTTATAAACCGCATTGCCTAGACGTGGAAGTCAGCTCTAGAACCCAGAACTGTTCAGATAACTGAAGAATTCTGGGTCTGTAGCAGTTCTGTGTTACTTGGTATTGTACTTCATAGAGAAATGAGAGAGTGCAAAACCCTGTGATATGCTTCTTTCTTTAGTCTTATGCAGTATTTGTTTGATTGCCATCACAAATAATCAGAGTACTACCTTTCTCAGAGAGAAGAGACAATCTCAAATTTGGTCATTCCTAAAAAACGAAAACCTGGTGCCTTAGAAAATAACAGAAGAGAGGAAATGGCTTTCTTAACAGGCATGGTCAATTTGGGACATACTGAGCATACTGTAACTTTAGGAAAAATAAAAAATAAGCAGAGTGAAAAATAGAACCTAAGCTCAGGAGAGAAACTGAGAGACCATCTATAGGGAAATAACTGTATGACACAGAAGGCTACAGTTAAAAGGAAACATGTAGTTGTTCCAGTTTAATTCCCTTATTTTTTAGAGAGTAAGCTGAACCACTGAGAGGTAGGTGTTACCTCTGTTACTTTGGTACTTTTCCAAAGTGTATTAGGGTTCTCCAGCAAAACAGAGCCAACAGAAGATGTGGGGTGTGTGTGTGTGTGTGTGTGTGTGTGTGTGTGTGTGTATCCTATTGTTATATATACATACCAACATATAGACCAATAGGATATATATATTAGAAACAGATTTATTATAAGGAATTCGTTTGCTTCATTATGACAAATCCCAAGATATGCAATCAGAAAGCTGGAGACCAAAGAGAGTCAATAATGTAACATAATAAGGAAATAAAAGAAAGGAGTACATCTCTATAAATAAATATGTGCATATATATGCATATATATACTGATATATTCCTAGCAAAATAAAGAGTAAATACTCATGGGAATTAAAATCCTCATTTCTGTAAATGATCATGTGGTTGTAACTGGTATTTATAACTCCCTTCTTCCATCACCCATTCTGTATTCCTTTTGTCTTCAGCAAGCACCTCAGTTGGTCATGCTTCTTTATATCGTGGAGTGATCCAAACTTTCATTTCTGAAGGATTTTGGTCATTCATAGTCATTACTGGATTGCATTGTTGTAGTTTCCCATTGACCTTAATCACAGGACATGGTAAAACTAAGAGACATCTTAAGGTGTCTTCTGTATTCCAGACCTACTCTTTCTTACCAGTGTTGTGGAGCAGTAGTCAAATTTCCCCTTGGTATTCAGATCAATCAACCTACCCAGCACAGTAACTCTTCTTTTCCTGTTGATTCAGAGGCATGAGGAGCCCAGATTGGCCAGATGGTAGTCTTAACTTCCAATTCGAACAGTAAACTATCTTACATGCCATTCTATCCTTTTTGGTTTTGTTTTCATTTTTAACTTTAAGAAATATCCTGGAGATGTTTTCTTACTGGTACACATAAAGCTGCTTAGCTTTTCATTTTGTGCTGTTGCAACAATTTATTTAACTGATCTCTTGCTACAAAAATTATTCTTATACATAAATTACTTTATGCATATGCTGGCATATCTATACTGTTTATTATATACATTAAGGTTCTAATGTAGAAGTGGACTTGAAGGATTCAAAAAGTGCATTTCTATTTATGAGAGACAACGTACAATTGCTCTCAGTACTGAGTTTACCGATTTACCTTCCCAGAAACAATGAGAAGTGTTTGTTTTCCCAGACCATTGCCAACATAGTTTGTAATCAAGCATTCTGGTCTTTGCTACCCCAATAATTTTTAAATGTGATCACATGATAATTTTGATTATATTTATCTTATTAAGAGAAAACTGGCATCATTTTAAATATTTGACATTATTTATATTTTCTTTGCTATAAATTATCTGAACATACCATTTGCCCATTTTTTCTTAAATATTTATAGTAGTTCTCTATTAAGGAAATTAACACTTTGGTGTACAAATTTTTTTATATAATCAAATTCTACTATCTCTTTAACTCAGTATTTTTAGACATCCAAGTGATATTGTGAGAATTAGATTTTGATTGCATTCTTTTCTTCAGAGAATGAACCAAAATGGATTATTGGGCACAGGAGGAATTGATAGGAGTCAGGAATGAATCAAGTGACCATGTTTCCAGTAAACCAAGGTAGCACAGAGAGTAAGCCCATCCCTCTCCTGTCATCAGAACGATTTGTCTAGGAAGAAAATTCTATATTACTCACTTTCTACTAAATGACTAAATGGAGAATTCCTAAGGTAAGAAATTAGAAGATTCAAGTCTCAGATAAACAGCTAAGAAGATAGGCTTTGTTGTCAGGGTGTTTGAGAAACCTGGAAAACATTGCCTTAACCAAGTAATTATGGTTAAGATCACCAGCAATGAATCTTGTTGCTATCATGTACCTCCTGATACAATAAGATGAGAATGGCACTAAACCTCTGTAGTGTTGTTCTGTGAAACGCATCACACCTGCCTAATGATGAGAAAAACATCAGACAAATCACAGTTGAGACAACTGAGAGAAAATCTGAAAAACATCTCACCACTTCTCTTCAAAGGCATCAAGGTCATGAAAAGCAGGAAAGACTGAGAAACCGTCACAAATCAGAGGCGTTTAAGAAGATATGTCAATTAAGTGTAGTATCCTGGCTTGTAGCCTGAAAAATAAAGAGGACATAAGTGAAAACACTGGTGAAATCAGAACAAAATCTGCAGTTCACTTTTTACAACTTGTATATCCTTCTAGATATTTTCAACTGATTCATAATAGTTTATAGCATGCTTTTTGTTAATATTATATGAACATATTTCTATGTCATTATCATCTCCATAATTTTAATACTTGAGTAGATTTGCATTTTCTGTATATGCATTATATATATAAGAATTAATTTAGACAATCATTACTATGAGAAATGTTGTATTTTTCAGTAATATAAATAATACTGTAATGAAGTATTATCACACGTTTTAGTCCAAGAATGAAATATGATAGCAAAATATTATTGCATATTGTAAACATTTCTTTGGGATACATTTCTTTAAGGAGGATTTTTGAGCCTAAGATTAGGCACATTTCTAAAGCTTTGGTCAAATTGCCATTCAGAACATTTTGAAGGTGTCCATTTTCCTTCCCCCACAAAAAATAGGTAGCATTTTGATTTATGTCTTTATGAAAGCAGTATTTCCAAAATATTTTTCTGTGATTATTGAGATAATAAATACTTTTTCGTGATGCCCATGACTTCTCTAAAACTTCGTTTTTATTGTCTATATTTAAGGTGTACCGTATGGTGTTTTGATATACATATACATGGTAAAACTACTACTACAGTCAAACAAATTAACATCTCTATCATCTCACATTGTGTGTGTGTGTATGTGTTGTGTGTCTGTGTGTGGTTACAGCACCAAAAATCTACTCTCTTAGCAACGTTCTAGCATACAATATTATTAATTATAGTCCTCGTGATGTAAATTACATGTGTAGACTTTTTCTTATTCAGCATTTATTCTGTCTTCTGAATATTTTCCATCCACCTACTTTCAAAGTTATTGTAACTTTAGTGTCAATATATATAAAAGGTACCTCAAGGAAATCCCTGCTGTCTCTAAAAATAACAGGAGGCACCTTCTTAAGTTTCCTTAAATAGTGATGTAAGATATTCCACAGAAAACCGACAAAATGCATCTAACTTAGCAAAGAATACAGATCTGCAATCCAACCTCATTTATCATTGAGCACTTGGAAGCACAGGGCAATTATTTTTAAAGCTATATCAAAACTCTTCGTGAGAAAAGCAACCATTGTTTTAGAGGTGGAATTGTAAACGTTCTGTGCAAAAGATATATTTAGGCAGAGAGGTGACTTCTGGCCGGCATATTTCCTTTATCAAATAGCTTCTCATGGTGAAGTAGGTATGAGTTGCTTATTAAGCAAATATAGCAATACTTCAAGCCATGAATTTTAGCTAAAACCTTTTTGTTGAAGTCTAGCAGACTGGCTCTGAACTTAATACCGTGTATCTTGCCAAGTCCAAGAATACTGCAGAGCAAACCAAGCTCCCTTTAGTTTCTGCCTTGGAGTCACTTCTGCTTTTATTAGTTGTAAAAGGTCAAGTGTTACATGGTTAGACATGTAGATAACCTGGCCCAAATTATGTACAAATACTTTATTTGAGGCTTTAATTCCGTACTTTTTAAATGCTGATCAACTGTAAACCATATCTCATTTTTTCGTACTGTTCTGCTTTAAACTTTCTGTTAGTAATAATTTTTATCGAGCAATATTTGACAAAGATTGTATAAATTTAAGGGGTACAGTTTGATGAGTTGTCAGAGACATACCCTGCAAAATAATCATTTCATACTAATTAACATATCTGTAACCTCAGACAGTACTTTCCTTCTTTTTCTGTGTGTGTGTGGCGTAGACACTTAAGATCTACTCTATTAGTAAATTTCAAGTATACGATAAAGTCTTGTTAATTATAGTCACATGGTTGTACATTACATCTCCAGAACTTATTCATCATGCATAACTGAAACTCTGAGCCCCTTGACCAACATCTCCCTATTTTCCCTTCCCCATTCCCTGGCAAGCACCATTCTATTCTCTGCTTCCATGACTTTGACATTTTTAGATTCCACATATAAATGATAACAGCAGTATTTGTCTTTCTGCATCTGGCTTATTTCACTTAGCATATTGTCCTGGAAGCATAATATCTTCCAGGTTTAATTATACAGTCACAAATGGAAGGTTTCAGATTTGGTTTGGCTGTGCCCCACACAAATCTCATCTTGAATTGTAGTTTCCGAAATCCCCAAGTGTCAAGGGAGGGACCAAGTGAAAGGTAATTTAATCATGGGGATGGTTACCCTCATGCTGTTTTCATGGTAGTGAGTTTTCACAGAATCTGATAGTCTTGTAATGGATGCTCCCCCTTTTGCTGGGTACTTCTCCTTCCTGCTGCCATGTGAAGAAGATGTTTGCTTCCCCTTCCACCTGACTGTAAGTTTCCGGAGGCCTCCCCAGTCATGCTGAACTGTGAGTCAATTAAACCTCTTTATTTTATAATTTACCCAGTCTCAGGTATGTCTTTATTAGCAGCTTGAGAACGGACTAGTACAATTTTCTTCCTTTTTAATGACTGCATTGTGTGTGTGTGTGTGTGTGTGTGTGTATATATATATATATATAAAATATATCATATATATGATATTCTGTTGTATATATTATATATGATATTCCATTGTATATACATCATATATATTATTCCATTATATATATATTATATATATATATATAACATTTCCTTTATCTATTCATCATCAATAAATGTTTAGGTTGTTTCTATATCTTGGCTATTAGAAATCATTTTGTATGAACATGGAAGTGCAGATATCTCTTCAACATACTGATTTCATTTCCTTTGGATATATGATCATAAGTGGAATTCCTAGATCACAGGATAGTTATATTCATAATCATTTGAGGAAGCTTCATACTATTTTCCAAAATGGCAATACCAAGTTACATTCCCACCAAGATTGCACAAGAGTTTCCTCTTCTCCACATCCTCAACAACATTTGTATCTTCAGTCTTTCTAATAATAGCTATTTTAATAGGTATTAGGTGATAGCCCATTGTGGTTTTGATTTACATTTCTCTGATGATTAGGGATTATGAGCACCTTTTCATATACTTGTTGACTATTTGTATATCAACTTTTGAGAAACGTTTAATCAGGTCCTTTGCCAATTTTTTAAACAGGTTTTTTGCTATTGACTTGTATGAGCTTCTTATGTATTTTGCGGATTAACCCCCTATCAGGTATGGTCTGCAAATATTTCGTTGCCTTTTCACTGTGTGGATTGTCCCTGTTGAAATGCATAAGCTTTTCAGCTTGATGTAATCCCATTTCTCTATTTTTGCTTCCGTTTTCTGTGCTTTTGGTGTTATATCCAAAAATCCACTGCCCAGACAAATGTCAAGAAGCTCTTCCCATGTGTTTTCTTCTAGTATTTTTATAGTTTCAGGTATTACTTTTAAGTTTTTAAATCCATTTTTAGTTGATTTTTATATATGGTATAATCCAAGGGTCAAATTTCATTCTTCTGCATGTGGACATCCAGTTTTCCCAACACCATTAAAAAGATTATCCTTCTCCCATTTTGTGTTCATGGCACCTTTACAGATCAGTTGACTATAGATGAGTGGGTTTATTTCTGGGTTCTCTATTCTGTTCCATTGGTCTGTGTCTCTTTTTTTTATGCCAGTACCACACTGCTTTGATTGCTATCATTTTGTAGTATATTTTGAAGACAGATAATTTGATTCTTGCACTTCATTGTTCTTTCTGAAGATTGCTTTGGCTACTGGGATTCTTCTGTGGTTCTACATGAATTTCCAGATTTTTTTTTCTACTGCCATAGCAAATGCCACTGGGGTTTTCATAAGGATTGCAATCAATATGTAGATCACTTTGGCCATTCTTGCAGGAGTAAGGTGGTATCACATTGTGGTTTTGATTTGCATTTCTCTGATCATTGGTGATGTTGAGCATTTTTTTCTTGTTTGTTGGCCATTTGTATATCTTCCTTTGAGAATTTTCTCTTCATGTCTTTAGCCCACTTTTTGATGGGATTTTTTTCTTGCTAATTAGAGTTCTTTGTAGATTCTGGATATCAGTCCTTTGTCAGATGTATAGATTGTGAAGATTTTTCTCCCACTCTGTGGGTTGTTTACTCTGCAGACTGTTCCTTTTGCTGTGCAGAAGCTCTTTAGTTTAATTAAGTCCCACCTATTTATCTTTGCTTTTGTTGCATTTGCCTTGGAGTTCTTGGTCATGAAATCTTTGTGTAAGCCAATTTCTAGAAGGGTTTTTCTGATATTATCTTCTAGAATTTTTATAGTTTCAGGTTTTAGATTTAAGTCCTTTATCCATCATGAGTTGATTTTTGTATAAGATAAGAGATGAGGATCCAGTTTCATTCTCCTACATGTGGCTTGCCAGTTATCCCAGCACCATTTGTTGAATATGGTGTCCTTTCCCCACTTTATGTTTTTGTTTGCTTTGTCTAAGATCAGTTGGAATTACATATTTGGGTTTATATCTGGGTTCTCTATTCTGTTCCATTGGTCTAGGTACCTGTTTTTATACCAGTACCATGCTGTTTTGGCCATAATCAAAAAATAATAAATGTTGGTGTAGATGTGGTGAAAAGGGAACATTTCTAGACTGCTAGTGGGAATGTAAACTAGTACAACAACTATGGAAAACAGTGTGGAGATTCCTTAAAGATTAAAAGCAGATCTACTATTTGATCCAGCAATCCCATTACCGGGTATCTACTCAGAGGAAAAGAAGTAACTATATGAAAAAGATACTTTCACACACATGATTACAGCGGCACAATTTGCAAATTCAAAAGTATGGAACAAGCCCAAATGCCCATCAATCAATGAGTGGATAAAAAAAATGTGGTACATATATATGGTGGAATACTACTCAGCCATAAAAAGGAATGAATGAATGGCATTTGCAGCAACCTGGATGGAATTGGAGACTATTATTCTAAGTGAACTAACTCAGGAATGGAAAACCAAACACTGTATGTTCTCACTTATAAGTGGGAGCTAAGCTAGGAGAATGAAAAGGCATAAGAATGATACAATGCATTTTGGGAACTTGTGGAAAGGGTGGGAGGGGGCTGAAGGATAAAAAGCTACAAACTGGGTTTAGTGTATACTGCTCAGATGATGGGTGCACCAAAATCTCACAAATCACTAATAAAGAACTTACTCATGTAACCAAATACCACTTGTTCCCTCAAAACCTATGGGAATTTAAAAATAAAAGCTTATTTCCTGGACACAATCAGGACCATAATACCCAACTTGCTGAATCATGATAAGGATTAACAATTTTATTAACAATAAAAATATGCAAAGAAAGGTATAAAATCCTAAATCCATATGAGGGATAGGCTGTGGTTACGTGCTCTGAGAGACAAACAAGGCCCACAAGCGCTGCTTTTTTTTGTTTGTTTTTTTTAAGACATAATCTCATTCTGTTGCCCAGGCTGGAGCTGGAATCAGTGGCCTGATGTCGGCTCACTGCAACCTCCGTCTCCCATGTTCAAGCGATCCTCCTCCCTTAGCCTCCTGAATAGCTGGGACTACAGGCACGTACCACCATGCTCAGCTATTTTTTTGTCTTTTCAGTAGAGACAGGGTTTCGCTATGTTGGCCAGGCTGGTCTCAAACTCCTGAATTCAAGTGATCCACCCACCTTGGCCTCCCAAAGTGCTAGAATTATAGGCCTGAGCCACCGCGTCCAGACTGGCTTCCTTATTTTCATCCTGGGCCCACAGTGGATTTTTTTTCTAGTCCAGCCTTTCACCAAGGATGTAGGCCTTCGGTGATCTCAGGAATGTAGGGCAGTCTCATTCCAGAATCCTACCCTGTAAGGGCCAGGTTTTTGTCCACAAGTGACTGTCAAAACCAAAGCTCCTTGCTAAAGGGTCTAGCAACCTCTCTCCATTCCTCAAGGGAAGCCCAAACCATACACTTTAGAGGATGGCTGTAATAGCTATTCATCATTTCTAAATGTTTTGCAGTGAAAAGATCAGTTTTTCTAGTCCACTGTATGGCTAGAAACAGAAACCATAGAGACACACATTGCTTTTGTCAATAAGTTGGATTCTCCTCTCTCCACTTTTTTGGTACAACTTTATTGATGTAAATTTGAATGCACATATTTGAAGTTTGAATTTGAATTTGATCAGTTTTGACACATATACACACCTATGTAATTATCACAATCAATACAGCAAACATTTCCATGATTCTTAATAGTTTCCTTGAGACCCTTTGTAATCTATGTCTTTTTTTACTCCACCCTCTAGGTAAACACTGGTCTGCTTTCTGTCACTATAGATTATTTTTGTCTTTTCTAGAATTCTATATAAATTGGAATAAACAGTGTGTACTCTTTTTTGCCTGAATTCTCATTCAGCATAATATTTAGATCCATTCATGTTGTTTCCCGTATCAGTGGTTCATTCCTTTTAATTGCCGAGTTATGTTCTTTTCCATGGATATACAACAATTTATTTATCCTTTACTTGTTGTTGGATGTCTGGGTTATTTCCAGTTTGGGACTATTACAAATAAAGGTGTGATAAACATTCATGCCAAAAAAAAAAAACACGTAGACCACTTTTGGGTAGTATGAACATTTTAATGCTATTAATTCTTCAACTATATAAACATACAATGTTTCCATTTACCTGTGTCTTCTTTAATTTCATCAATATTTTATAATTTTCATCATCAACTATTATAATATTTTGATAAATTTCATCATCAAAATTTTATAATTTTTGTAAGTGTACAAGTGTTTCACTTCTTTGGTTAAGTTTATTCCTGAAAATTTTATTCTTTTTGTTGCTATTGTGAATGGCATTGTTTTCTTAACTTCCTTTTTGGATAGTTTGTTTTGTATGAATGGAAGCATGATTGATTTTTATAAGTTGGCTTCTAAAAAAGATAAATAAAATCAACAAACCCTTACTTAGACTAACTAAGAAAAGATAGAGAAGACTCAAAAATCAGAAATAAAACAGGAGGCTTTAAAATAAATGCTTCAGAAATAAAAAGGATCACAAAGGAAAATTCTGAACAATTATATGGCCACAAGCTGAATAATCTACAAGGAATGAATAAGTTATTAGAAACATATACACTACAAATACCAAATCAAGAAGAAATAGAAAGCCTGAACAGACTAATAAGAAATATGAAGACTGGATCAGTAATCAAAAATGTCCCAGCAAAGAAAAGCCCAGGACCTGACAGCTGTATGAGTGAATTCTAACAATTATTCAAAGAAGAGTTTATACCAATCCTTCTTAACTTCTTCCAAAAACTGAAGAGAGAACACTTCCAAACTCATTTTATGAGGCCAGCATCATCCTGACACCAAAACCAGGCAGACACTTCAAAAAAGAAAGCTACAGGCCAATTTCCCTAATATATACACATGCAAACATTTTTACTAAAATACTAGCAAACTGAGTTCAACAGGACTTTAAAAGGATCAAACACCATGACCAAGTGGGATTTATCCCAGGGATGGAAGCAGGTCTCGACATACACAAATCAATCAATACGATACACCATGTTAACAAAACGAAAGAAAAAACTACCTGATCATCTTAACAGATGCAGAAAATGTTATTAGGAATAATCTTCATCCACAACTATCCTGTAAAAAGCAATCTTATACTGACATAATGCCATTTAAAAATTTGGCTTATTATTTTCCTGGATTTGAATGACAGTGAAACGCTTTATAAAAACACAATAAAAATGATATTGAAATAGGCTTGTTCTGCTCGTCCCACAGAAAGTCAATCACTAAGACAGTGAGTTTTACAGTAGAGAAAATATTTGTTCACAGGGCAACCCAATAAGGAGACAGGAGAAAAGTTATCAAATCTGTCTTTCCGAAGATAAGTCTTAGGGAATTTATGGGGTAAAGAACTGGAGTGGTCTAAGGCATGGGGAAAGGTGACTGGCAGTGAGGAAGAATGAAGTAGTCGGTGATCTGAGCAAGCATAGTCATGGTTCACGGGTCCACATAGGGCTCATGTACAGAAAACAGCAGCATTAGCACAACCTGAGGAGGAGTTTTTGATTCTCTGACATCAAAAAAATCACCTCTTGGGCATTTTCCCAAGCCCAGTTGAAGGGTCACTGGTCTGAAATGGTTCAAGCTGGACAAGAGCTGCCCCAACGTTCCTGAAAAACAACTTGAGCCATTGTAACTGACTTGATGTATACACCAGAGGTGACATCTGTAAGGAAGCTAGAGAAGGCTAAGTCAACAAGAAACAAGCAACTAAAAGCATTAGCCCTCAGTTTCAAAAACAGACCATTTTATACATGTAATAATAAAGGCTGATTTAATCATAGTTTGTATTTATTTTGAGATGATGTATGACCATCTTATTGCATATAGGTAGAATGTTAATGAACTTAATTCCTAAGAAAATGCTGCAGCTGCTGCTTAGAATAGAATCTAGGAGGACTGTTGGGTTCAGTATCCAGTGACACTTATATTAAAGCCAGCATGTGTTGCTACCAGAGCCAGTAAGAAGTGGTACCTAGGGGAGAGAATGAGGTCTTCCATAATTTCTATCAGTTCTTTCAATGCCAAGCAATTCTAAATCTGTATAAAATCTAAGTTATTGATACACCTGAAGGGTAGCTCTCTAAACACTCTTAACCAGATTGTCACTCTGAAGCTCCTCCTGTTTAAAAATTGTAAGGTTTCCCCTACTCTCAACCAGAGGCAATCCAGTGGGTATCCCTAAAGGACTCTCCAAGAAGCCAAGCAATCTGACAGCTGCTCTATATACAGTATCTTTAAACACAGAGTAAATTCACATATTCTCACCACTCACTAGATCAGGATTCTAATAAACAGAACCACAGTTCTCCAGGAAGTCCCTAAAATTAATGAAGATCCATCAGTTTATCAAGCTCCAAGGAATCAAGCCTAGTGACAACTAGAATTATTAAAAGGCATCAACTGATAAACATGTCCTTAACTGAACTAGAGATTTCTCAGAAGATCTTCAAAATTTTCTCGGCTTCCTTAGTATACAAAGTAAGGTCAGAAGACTTCATCTGGTGTCATGACTCCAACACTAGCTGAGTCATCTGAAGACAATGACCATCTTTTCTACACTTCAATTTCTCATCTGGAAAAAAAAAATTAAGAGCTGGGCTTGATCATTTCTAAGTTCTTTTTTGCTCTAAAATTCTATGAATCTACAAATATATAAATCACTTTCATTTTATATCAGTTTTTCCTTCTGAAGAGAAAAACAGAAGGAACCAAGCCTTCCTAACTTCAGGGGATTGAGCTGTTATTAGTTTAGAATGTAGCTGTTCTTTGCTAGGACAATTGCAGTCTAAACAGTGGTTTCTTCATCAAAGAGAACAGAGCTTACGCACAGGAGGACTAATAAATGAAGGAGGTTAGCTCTCCATGAAGAATGGGAAAGTTTGCTTCTGAAGGTTACCCACTTTCTAGTGAACCTGTGAGTTAAAATGCAATTTTTTGCTGCTTCATGTAGAATGTCAGGGTGATCACTGAGTAGAATGTTCAGAATGTGACAAAGCAGGAAGTCTGGGTCAAAATTTCGGGCTACCGTAGGTCAAGACTTTTGGGCAATGGTAGATTGAAGTAATTCAATAGGCATTCTCTTTTGTTATTGCAAAGATATATTTATAAAATGACTTTTTTGATGAAGTCATGTAAGGTTATTTTACCACTGATATTTCACAACTGAGTCTTAAAAGATTCATTGTCTCCACAGTGGATTTTCTTCATTCAACTCTCAAAGTTTCTTTTTTAATTAAAGTTATTTTATCAAATAATAAAAATGTACATATCTTTGCAATGCAGTTGTTCATTGGAAGCGTTAAACCTTGAGAACAATGACAAGTAAATAAGCCAATTTGGTGAGCCTCTCAATCACTAAGTTAAACAGAGAACATTAATGCTTACATATGGTTGTGGCTGCTCCTTCGGTATTTAGTTCAACTATATGAAATTGCTGATATTCATTTATCTTTGAACTATAAATTTTTATCTTTTATCATGATACTTCTTTCCCATCATGAAAAAATATTATAAAAGTCAACTTTGAAAATTCTGAACAGCAAATATACCCAGCTATGCTGGCATATGATTGAGTAGACAAATTTGCAGAATCATTATACATTTCATTATAATTTTTAATCACCTTTATTTGACCATCAGAATCACACTGAGGAGCTCAAATGGCAAGCAGCTTAAGACAAGAAGGTCCCACAGAAGCAAGCAGTGGCTGCTGATGTGTTCAGCATTGTAATACCCTTTATAAAATGTTGTCTTTCCTGTAGTTTTACATACCATAGGTGCAGCTGAAACTGTTCATTTCCAAATATCTTTTTAACTGATGACCTTCTTGCTGAAAATGCAGGTCTTATTGGACAATTCTTTGCAAACTATTTACATCATCAAGCAGGTTGAAAATTAATATGCTTTGCATTGGTAAGTAAAATAGCAATCAATAAACATGACCACATTCTTACTAAAAGCTTTAAAACTGGTTTAACCCAAATCTTTCAACCAGTTAGCTTTTCAAGTATGAAAAACACATTTTACTATGGTGATTTATTATTTTAATCTATAGGAGTTCCTTCTGTCTCTTAGCTGCCTATTTTCTAACAAAACTGATTTTCCCAGATGTATCATTTAGTACTTCACTAAATTATTTTCTATTATGAGAGCTTTACTTCTTCATTAATTCTGATAATAACCTTAAACAACAAATATTTTCTATTTGCTTTTTTTACTATGCTTTATTTTGTTTTATAGTTTTATTGTCTTTAGCCAGTCACTTTGGTTTTTTGTTGCTCTTTCTATAAAATATACTTCAAAGTGTGCATACTTAGAATTTAAATATCACTAAGAGAATCATAATAACACCCAGACTTTATGAATAGTTTTCTATATACCAGAACTATGTTAATGGCATAAATATGCTATTGCACTTAAGTGCTTAATTTGTGCTTAATATTTTATCATACAAATAATAACAAAGTTTAAACTCAGTTGACTAGAAAATCAAATAAAATGCACATTATCATAAAATTCTAACTAGAAATATACCCTATACTGATTAAAGTCATTTAAGTTATTGATAGATGGATAGATAGATAGATAGAGAGTTTTCATTGGAATTGCACTAAATCTGTATATTGGTTTGGAAGAAACAACACTTTTATAATATGAAGCCACTTCAAGAAAGCCCACTGAGTGTATTTTTAAAATCATATAAAATTTTGTAACTTTTTTCATAAATATTTCTTTTAAAGTTTTATCTGTATATTGTTATATTTATTGCTATTTGTAAATTGAATGCTTCTACCATAATTTTTATTATAATTAATAAAATTTTATAGTTTTTTTTACCCCCTGAGTACTGTATTAAGGGCCTTAGAGTAATTATCTATTTTGCTTTTAAAAACTAAGTATTGGCCAGGTGCGGTGGCCCACACTTGTAATCCCAGCACTTTGGGAGGCCAAGGCAGGCGGATTACCTGAGGTCAGGATTTCCAGACCAGCCTGGACAACATGGTGAAACACTGTCTCTACAAACAAAATACAAAAACTAGCCGGGCATGATGGCACACGCCTGTTATCCCAGCTACTCGGGACACTGAGGCACAAGAATGGCTTGAGCCTGGGAGACAGAGGTTGTAGTGAGCCAAAATCATGCCACTGCACTCCAGCCTGGCTGACAGAGTGAGACTCTGTCTGAAAACAAACAAAAAAAAAAACCCAAGTGTTGTATATGTTATTAACCTCACTTTACAAGTAAGAAAAAAGTCTTGAAGAATTTGAATAGCTTTTGAAGATCATACAACTATTATGACACTCCGTTTCTAGTCATATTTTATTTTAGCTTAGCAATTTCACAAAAGACATATCCAAACAATACCCAGAACTGGATACATAGCCAATAATTGGATGAAACTTATCTTTGGGTAAAAATTATTTGGGGAGGTATCATTTTCTTTCAGATTGGTCAGTGTCCTTTAGCCACATGGACAAACCATTTAGACAAGGCAGGTATCTGATAACATACACACAGAAAAAAGTTTATGGCCTAAAGAAGCTGGACATCTTAAAACCTTATTTATATAATCAAAACTAGGATTTTTATTTTGAAATCATGGCATTATTTTCAAACAAAAACTCTGTAGTTCTTCAAACTTGGCGTAGTGGGGGAAGTGTTCATTGTTATCAGCTCGATTCCTGTTTTGATTCTTAATTTCTGCACATTCTGGAGATCAACAATGTTCTAAATTTTTGCTGTTTAGTAAGTACGTATGTTTTGGCAGAGTAGTATGAATCCATTATCCTGCAAATCACAGGAGATCTAATGATTTTAGTCTCCCAGAGCTTTATCTTTTCAAAGCCTTAAGTTAGAGAAAGCAGCTCTGTAAGTCATCCCCCTGTTTTATGGACTATATGAAATTAAAGTAGCTTCCCACTTTGGTTAAGTTTCTTCCAAATAACCCAGAAGCTGACCATGGCTGAAAAATAAATAAAATATAAAGGAAGAAGAAGGAAATTCACATTTGCAATCACTGTTACTATCACATTTTTTAAAAAGCCTCATTGCAGATTTTACAACCTTTTTTAGATAAATAATGCAGCAGGATAGGATAGAAAGCCACAACAGTCTTTCTATCCTAGCTTAAATAAACTCTTGAAATATTTTTATCCTTCTTTATTTGTTGGTTTCGTTTTGTATTGGTACCATACTATCCATTATAGTTAAATAATAGATTTTAAGTACCAGGAGTTTTCTGTATATAAATTGCTCAAGATGACCACATTAGTTCCATGTAATTTCCATTTCTGCCTTGTTGGTCTCTCTCAATAATGCATCACACACATAAAAGGGGCTGAGGAACAATCATTAGGTAAATAATCAGCCCACATCACTGGCAGGTTGCCCATGCCTTGAGCTGCAATATATATTCTGCAGGCCTGAAACCTGGAAGCCTATTCTTTCTTTCTATTACATATAATACAAAGGAGTTCATTTTCATCACTCAGAAGAATAATGCTTTTACTTGGAAGCTTTGTTCTGATTTATAGCATAAGCTACCCTTCTTCAGGATAAAATGACGGTTTTAAACGGCACGTCTGAAAATTCTTCTCTATGCAGGTCACTGAAGGTGGAAAAATATCATTCTGTTCACACCTAGACCATGAAAAAAACCAAAATTGTTTGGGATATAGTTTCTCTTAAACCTCTTTCTCACATATAAAAAGCATAAGGAGAAATTGCACTTCATGTAATTCCTATTGCTTATGCACTTAATAGGCCATGCACTTATATTAGTGTGGGGCAAAATATGTGAAATGTTAGACAAGGTAATCGAGGGGTAATATGTATGTGTGTGCGGTAAAGTAAAATATAGACACAAAACTACTCTGTATTGGCAGAGAAGTGGGTAGTAGAATGTAGAGATGAGTTAAAGGGCAAAAGGGATTATGATATCTCATGTCTACAGTAGGTTTGAGAGAAATTTAAAAAGTAATTTTGCTACAAAGAAATTAGAATGAGAAGCAATAAATGAGACAATAAAATGAGACAATAAAATAAAATAAATGAGACAATAAAATAAAATAAAAATAAATGAGACAATAAAAAAATGAGCAATAAAAAGACACTCTTTTTTTTCTCTTTCTTATTTGAGGCTTCCGTTGTCTTAAAACCTTGTTTTCCTGCTCTTACCAAAATGTGACTTAGTTGAGTCTTGTGGATATATGCTACATTTGTGGATGTATGCTACCCTTTTGTGCTATGTGTATGCTACAGATTTGTGGATGTATGCTACACTTGTGGATATATGCTACATTTGTGGATATATGCTACATTATGGATATATGCTACATTTGTATCACTAAAAAGAAGAGAGTTTTTGTCTGATTATCATTGTTTTAAAAAGGAAAAAGAATATCAAAACACAATTATTTTATTTTATTATTATACTTTAAGTTTTAGGGTACATGTGCACAATGTGCAGGTTAGTTACATATGTATACATGTGCCATACTGGTGCGCTGCACCCATTAACTCGTCATCTAGCATTAGGTATATCTCCTAATGCTATCCCTCCCCCCTCCCCCCACCCCACAACAGTCCCCAGAGTGTGATGTTCCCCTTCTTGTGTCCATGTGTTCTCATTGTTCAATTCCCACCTATGAGTGAGAATATGCGGTGTTGGTTTTTTGTTCTTGCGATAGTTTACTGAGAATGATGATTTCCAATTTCATCCATGTCCCTACAAAAGACATGAACTCATCATTTTTTAGGGCTGCATAGTATTCCATGGTGTATATGTGCCACATTTTCTTAATCCAGTCTATCATTGTTGGACATTTGGGTTGGTTCCAAGTCTTTGCTATTGTGAATAGTGCCGCAATAAACATACGTGTGCATGTGTCTTTATAGCAGCATGATTTATAGTCCTTTGGGTATATACCCAGTAATGGGATGGCTGGGTCAAATGGTATTTGGGAAAAAGGTAAAACTGAGACAGGGAAACGTTAAGGAATAAACAGAGTCCTTTTACAAGTGATCAGAAAAGGACTCTCCTTATTCCTTAACGTTTCCCTGTCTCAATTTTACCTTTTTCTTTCTTCTTTGGGGTTAATACACTTTTTTAAAAAATTGTGTCTTGAGCCACCCATTTGACCCAAAACACAATTTTTTAAAAAAGTGTATTAACCCCAGAGAAAGAGGAAAAAGGTAAAATTGAAACAGGGAAACGTTAAGGAATAAGCAGAGTCCCTTTCTGATCACTTGTAAGCTGCCCATTGACCTCTGTTACAGAGCTTTAAAGGGCTTCACTCTGCCCTGAAATTCTCAAAAACAAGAGCCAGGCTCTCATAGCCCACCTAAAGGCTTTTGACTGATTCATGAAAGATTTCTTCTGCTTAAGACTAAGAGGAAACTAAGTTAGTTTAATCATCAAGGTGCTTAACTATGTCATAGATTTATTTCATTATATCCTTGCTCTAAACTGTGTCCCTCATTTAGATAGAGTGATCTTTAATATTTTCCACCCGGCTGCTTTAGTAAAGACCTACACTTAGGTTGAAAAAATTTTAATTGGAGAAATGCAAAGGAGCAGTGTGAATAGTAAAAGAGGGCAAAATTTTATATTTAATTAGCATAGAAAGAAGATGTAGGCAGGTACAATATCTGTGGGAGGTGAATCTGAAGCCAGGGGTCAATAATTTGCATCAAACATTGGAGACAAGCACAAGGTGCAATCTTTAGCAAAGATAGAAGGGATTAAAATGACTAAAAGCAGAATTACACTGGCTATATGGATACAAGCTCCAAGTGAGAGGCACAGGTTTCAGAAACAGAAGACATCAATGAATCCACCAAGGGATTATTCGTTAAAGCTTCTAAGCAAAACCAGTTGTGACATTGGTGCTGAACCCAGGAACTTTCTAAGTTTTCTAGGTGGGTTGATCATTCTGAAGGTAATTATAAAATTACCTGCCTTTCTAAGCCTGAACCAGATCAGAAATCAAAATCAAGGTAGTATGCCATATTCATGCCTTTGCTTTGTGTTTCATCAGTTTTGAGTTCTAGCTTGCATAGATCCAGAAATGTTTTCTGAATGAAGCTCATGGATCAGGCTATCCAAGGAAAAGTTTCAGAATTTATAACTGCACTGAAGTGAGGTCCTTTAAGGCGGAACTCAGAACATCAGACACATGGCTCCTGGCCCAGAAAACAGTTTCAATCACTGAAAGATATCTATATACATATCATTTCTCCTTCAATTCCAGGCTTCATCAGATGTGCCTATTCCCTCTCTTACTTAAATAGTAGTCTAGTCCCACAATGTGGCATTAATAAAGCCTGGGCCTTAACCCACACTGCAGATTGTGAGCACTGCTCAGCCTGAGTAGTGAGCTTCCTACTTTCTTCATTTTCCAGTGGTCTCCATGCCAAAGGCTCCACTTGTGTCCAGATCAAAGTAGATGTGGAGCCATGCTCAAGGAAACTCTACTCTCAGCCTCCCTCCCCAGTTTTTACCCCTTAGCCCAGCGTCAGTGTCTGAATGATACAGTTAAAACCACAGAAGAGTTCAGAAATAGATGAATTGAAGTTCAGATACGAAACTAGACAAGCATCCAGAGAAAAATGAGAGAGGCATTGTGTATGCTCACATACACAAGAGTAGGTCTGTGTCCAGAGCATGAGAAAATCAGCATGACATGTAACCTTGAGAAGAAAATGAGGACCTATGTTTTTGCATCTCTTACAATGGGTTAGATCCGCATAATGTTTCCAATAGTGTTCAACCCTTGTTCCTACAATCAGTGTTGCTATTTTTTAGGCATTCCTCTTGATATAGATGAATAAGAGCTAGTAGACATGTTTTTTAATCTGGAAGTAAACAACTGTTCTGACTTATCTTTAAATCTGTCTGTGGATACCTAAGCATTGGAAACACATAGTCATATTGAGGTCTTGTTTCTCTAAATTAAGCACCATTTTTTTTAACTACTTGATATGTGTTAAATCCCTAGACCATCTTGATTAGCTTCTTCTTTTTAATCATAATTTGGAATCCTTTTTCACAGCTGTAACGACTTCAAGGTCTTCTAGTTGTCTGATCCCAGAAGTTGAAGATGGAAAGGCAGGGAGAAGAGGCAGGTGGCAAAGGCTCAGGCTTAACTTGCTCTACCCTGGTGTAAATCTGTCCTGCAGGTCTTGGAGAGTGTTTCAATGTAATTTGGTTCTGTTTGTTCTACTCCTCATCCTCTAAAATTCTCCTCTTCTAACATTTTGCTATTCTTTTTAAAAAGTTTTAATTATTTTTTAAAATTTTTTGTGGGTACATAGTGGGTGTATTTATAGGGTACATGAGATGTTTTAATACAGTCAAGCAGTGCGAAATAAGTACATGGTAGAGAATAGGGTATCTATCCCCTCAAGAATTTGTCCTTTGAGCTACAAACAATCCAATTAAATTCTTATTTTAAAATATACAATTAAGTTATTGTGACTATAGTCACCCTATTGGGCTATCAAATAGTAGGTCTTATTCATTCTATTTTTTTTAACCCCCCATCTCTACCTCTCCCCCAACCCTCACTATCAGGCAACCATCCTTCTACTCTCTATATCCATAATTTCAAATGATTTGATTTTTAGATCCCATGAATAAGTGAGAACATGTGATGTCTGTCCTTCTGTGCCTGGCTTATTTCACTTAACATAATGATTTCCAGTTCCATCCATGTTGTTGCAAATTGCTAAATCTCATTCTATTTATGGCTGAATAGTACTCCATTGTGTATGTATAACACATTTTCTTTATCCATTCATCTGTTGATGAACACTTAGGTTGCTTCCAAATCTTAGCCATTGTAGACAGTGCTGCAATAAACACGGGAGTGCAGATATTTCTTTGATATACCGATTTCCTTTCCTTTGACTATATACCCAGCAGTGAAATTGCTGGATCATATAGGAGTTGAATTTTTAGTTTTTTTAAGGAACCTCCAAACTGTTCTCCAGAGTGGTTGTACTAATTTACATTATTACCAACAGTGTATGAGGTTTCCCTTTTCTCCACATCCTTGCCAGAATTTGCTATTGCCTATCTTTTGGATATAAGCCATTTTAACTGGGATGAGATGATATCTCATTGTAGTTTTGATTTGCATTTCTCTGATGATCAATGATGTTGAGCACTTTTTCATAGGTCTGTTTGCCATTTGTATGTCTTTTTTTAAAAAAAAAAAAAGTCTATTTAAGTCTTTTGCCCATCTTTTGATCAAACAATTAGATTTTTTTTCTATAGAATTGTTTGAGCTCCTTATATATTCTGGTTATTAATCCCTTGTCAGATGGATAGTTTACAAATATTTTCTCCCATTAGGTGAGTTTTCTCTTCACTTTGTTGACTGTATCCTTTGCTATTCAAAAGTTTTTTTTATTTAATGTGATCTTATTTGTTCATTGTTGCTTTGGTTGCCAGTGCCTGTGGCATGTTTCTCAAGAAATCTTTGCCCATACCAATGTCTTAGAGAGTTTCCTTAATGTTTTCCCATAGTATTTTCATGGTTTGAGGTCTTAGATTTAAGTCTTCAATACATTTTGATTTTATTTTTGTATATGGCAAGAGATAGGGACCTAGTTTCATTCTTCTGTGTATGGATAGCCAGTTTTCCAAGCACCATTTATTATTGAAGAGACTGTCTTTTTCCCAGTGTATGTTCTTGGCATCTTTACTGTAAATGAGTTCAATGTAGGTGTGTGGATTTCTTTCTGAGTTGTCTATTCTGTTCCATTGGACTTTGTGTCTGTTTTTATGCCAGCACCATGCTGTTTTGGTTACTATAGCTCGGTCATATAATTTGAAGTCAAGTAATGTGATTTCCTGCTGTTTTGTTCTTTTTGCTTAGGATAGCTTTGGCTATTTGGGGTCTTTTGTGGTTCCATATAAATTTTAGGATTGTTTTTGCTACTTCTGTGGAGAATGTCATTGGTATTTTTATACTAATTGCATTGAATCTATAGACTGCTTTGGGTAGTATGGACATTTTAACAATATTGATTCTTCCAATCCGTAAACATGGAATATTTTTTCTTTTTTTTTTTTTTTTGGTGTCCTCTTCAATTTCCTTCATCAGTGTTTGTAGTTGTGATTACAGAGATCTTTCATTTCTTTGAATAAGCTAATTCATACGTATTTAATTTTATGAGTGGCTATTGTAAATGGGATTTTTTTTTCATGTTGTTCACTGTTGACATATAGAAATGCTACTGATTTTTGTATGTTGATTTTGTATACCTCAATTTTACTGACTCTGTTTAACAGTTCTAATAGTTTTCTTGTGGAATTTTTAGGTTTTTCAGAAAACAAGGATAATTTGACTTCATTTCCAACTTGGATGCCATTTATGTCTTTCTCCTGACTGATTGCTCTAGCTAGGACTTCCAGTGCTATGCCGAACAACTGTGGTGACAGTGAGCATCCTTGCCATATTCCAGCTCTTACAGGAAAGCTTTCAGTTTCTCCCCATTCAATATACTTGCTGTTGGTCCGTCATATGTGGCTTTTATCATGTTGGAGTATGTTCCTTCTATAGATAGTATTTTGAGGGTTTTTATCATGAAGGGATGTTGAATTTTATCAAATGCTTTTTCAGCACCAATTGAAATGACCATATCATCTTTATACTTCATTCTTTTGATGTGATGTTTACATGTATACATTGATTGATTTGCACATGTTGAATCATTCTTGCCTCCTGGGATAAATCTCACTTGGTAATGATGAATAATCTTTCTAACGTATTGTTGAATTGGGTTTGCTAGTATTTTGTGGAGGATTTTTGTATATATATCCATCAGACATATTAGCCTGTAGTTTTCTTTTGCTGATGTGTCTTTGCCTGGTTTTTGGTATCAGGGTAATACTGGCCTCATAGAATGAGTTTGGAAATATTCCTTCCTCCTCTATTTTCCAGAATAGTTTGAATAAGATTGGCATTAGTTCTTCTTTAAGTGTTTGGTAGAAATTAGTAGTGAAACCATTAAGTCCTAGAATTTTCTTTAGTGGGAGACATTTTATTATGACTTCAATCTCATTATTTGGTATTAGTCTTTTCAGGTTTTGGATTTATTTCTGGTTCAATCTTGGTAGGTTGTATATATCTAGGAATTTGTTCATTTCTCCTAGATTTTCCAATTTATTGGCATAAGGTTGCTCATGGCAGCCACTAATAGTCGTTTGATTTTCTGCAGTATCAGTTGTAATGTCTCCTTTTTCATTTCTGATTTTATTTATTTGGATCTTCTTTTTTCTTAGTTTGGCTAAAGTTTTGTCGATTTTGCTTCACTTTTCAGAAAACCAACTTTTTGTTTCATTGATCTTTTGTATTTTTTTATTTCAATTTTATTTGTTTCTGCTCTAATCTTTATTATTTCTTCTACTAATTTCGGGTTTGGTTTGTTCTTGCTCTTCTAATTCTTTAATATGCATAACTAGATTATTTACTGAAGTTTTTCCTCTTTTTAATGTAGATATTTATAGCTATAAACTTCCCTTCTCGTACTGCTTTTGTTATATCCCATAGGTTTTAGTATGTTGTGTTTTCATTATCATTTGTTTCAAGAAGTTTTTCAATTGTTTTCTAAATTTCGCCATTGACCCACTGGTCCGTCAGGAGCATATTGTCTGATTTCCATGTATTTGTATAGTTTCCAAAATTCTTCTTGTTACTAATTTTGTGGTCAGGGAAGATGGTTGATATTATTTCAATTTTTTGAATGTTTTAAGGCTTGTTTTGTGACCAAACATATGGTCTAGACTTGAGAATAATCCATGTGCTGAGGAGAAGAATGTACATTCTGTAGGCTTTGGATGAAATGTTTTGTAAATATTTATTATATCCATTTGGTCTATTGTGAAGATTAATTGTGATGTTTCTTTATTGTTTTCTGTCTGGAAGATCAGTCCAATGATAAAAGTGAGACGTTGAAGTCTTCAGGTAGTATTGTGTTGAGGCCTCTCTATTTAGCTCTAATAGCATTTCCTTGATATGACTGGGTACTCTCGTGTCCAATGCATATATATTTTAAATTGTTATATTCCCTTGCTGAATTGACACCTTTATTATTATATAGTGACCTTCTTTGTCTCGTTTTTGTCTTGAAATATATTTTATTAATATGTGATATAGTATAGCAACCCTTGCTCTTTTTTGGCATCCATTGGCATGGAATATAGTCTTCCATCTTTTTATTTTTGGTCTATGTGTGTCTTTATAGGTGAAGTGTGTTTCTTGTAGGCAAGAGATCAATGGGTTTTGTTTTTACATCCATTCAGTCAATGTCTTTTGATTGGAGAGTTTAGTCCATTTACAGTCAATGTTATTATTGATAAGTAATGACTTACTCCTGCCATTTTGTTATTTGTTTTCTGATTATTTTGTGGTTTTCTCTTCCTCCTTTCTTTTAATTCCTATCTTCCAGTAGTGAAAATTATTTTCTCTGGTGATATGATTTATTCTCTTGCTTTTTATTTTTTGTGTGTCCATTGTATGCTTTTTTGTTTGAGATTACCATAAGGCTTGCAAATACTATCTTATAATCCATTATTTTAACCTGATAACAACACTACTTGCATAAACAAACAAATGCAAGAGAAAAGAAAACTAATAAAAACTCACCTTGACTTTGTCCCACTGCTTTTTAACTTTTTATTGTTTTTACTTATATCTTATTGTGCTGACTATGTCTGGAAAAATTGTTGTAGTTATTATTTTTGATTGGTTCTTTCTTTAGTCTTTCTACTTAGAATAAGAGTTATTTACAAACCACAGTTACAGAGTTACAATATTCTGTATTTTTTCTGTGTTCTTACTATTACCAGTAAGTTTTCTACCTTCAGGTAATTATTTATTGCTCATTAATGTCTTTTTCTTTCTGAATGAAGTACTCCCTTTAGCATTTCTTGTAGGACAGGTCTGGTATTAACGAAATCCCTCAGCATTTTTTTTGTCTGGAGAAGTCTTTATTTCTCCTGCATGTTTGAAGGATATTTTCACCACATACACTATTCTAGGGTAAAAGGTTTTTTTCCTTCAGCACTTTAAATACGTTATGCCACTCTCTCCTGGCCTGTAAGGTTCCCACTGAAAACTCTGCTGCCAGATATATTGGAGCTCCATTGTATGTTATTTGCTTCTTTTCTCTTGATGCTTTTTGGATCCTTTCTTTATCACTGACTTTGGGAGTCTGATTATTAAATGCATTGAGGTATTCTTCTTTGGGTTAAATCTGCCTGGTATTCTATGACCTTTTCATACCTGAGTATTTATATCTTTCTCTAAGTTTAGGAAGTTCTCTATTATTATCCCTTTGAATAAACTTTCTCCCCTTATCTCTTTCTTCACCTCCCTTTTAAGACCAGTAAGTCTTAGATTTGCCCTGTTGAGGCTATTTTCTAGATCCTGTAGGCATGTTTTATTGTTTTTTAAATTCTTTTTTCTTTTGTCTCCTCTGTGCATTTTCAAGTAGTCTGTCTTTAAGCTCATTAATTCTTTCTTCTTGATCAATTCTGCTATTAAAGGACTCTGACGCTGTTTTCAGCATGCCAATTGCATTTTTCGGCTCCAGAGTTTCTGCTTATTTTTAATTATTTCAATCTCTTTGTTAAATTTATCTTCTCTGTGTTATATTGAATTTCTTTGAGTTTCCTCAACATAGCTATTTTGAATTCTCTGTCTGAAAGCTCATATATCTCTGTTTCTCCAGGATTGGTCCCTGGTGCCTTATTTAGTTCATTTGGTAAAGCCATGTTTTCCTGAATGGTGCTGATGCTAATAGATGTTATTCAGTGTCTGGGCATTGAAGAGTTAGGTATTTATTGTAGTCTTCATTGTCTGGGCTTACTTGAAGCCACCTTCTTGGGAAGACTTTCCAGATATTTTAAAGGACTTGGGTATTGTGGTTTAAGCTGTTTTTGCTGTAGGGGGCATCCCAAGCCCAGTATCACTGTGGTTCTTGCAGCCTCATAGAGGTACCACCTTGATTGTCTTAAACAAGATCTGAAATAATTTTCTGGATTACCAGGTGAAGACTCTTAGTCTCTTCCTTTACTTTCTCCCAAACATACAGAGTCTCTCTCTTTCTGTTCTGAGCCACCTAAAGCTGGGGATTGAGTGACACAAGCATGTTGTGGCCACCACCACTATGACTGTGCTGGGTCAGACTTGAAGCCAGCACAGCACTGGGTCTCTCCCAAGCCCTGCTATAATCACTCCCTGTCTACTGCCTATGTTCACTCAAGGCCCTGGGGCTATATAATCAGCAGGTGGCAAAGCCAGCCACGCCTGTGTTCTTCCCTTCATGGTAGCAAGGTCCCCAGGCCTCAGGTAGGTCTGGAGGTGCCTTCTGGGAGTCAAGGACTAGAGTCAAAAACCTTAGAAATCTTCATGATATTCTATTGTATTGCAGCTGGCATTCAAATCACAAGACTTTTCCCTCTCTTCCCTCTCTTTCCCTCTCTTTCCACTCTTCCCTCCTCTTTCCAAAGGCAGAGGAGCCTCACCCCATAATGACTACCACCCCTGGCCACAAGGAGTACTGTCAGACTGCCACCAATGTTCCCTTAAGGCTCAAGGTCTCTTAAGCCAGTGTGTGGTAAATGCTGCCTGGCCTGGGACTCACCCTTCAGGGCAGTGGTTTCTCCCTGGCCCAGTGAAGGTCCAGAAATGCCATCCAAAAGTCAAGTCCTGGAACCAGGGACTCTAAGAGCCTACTTGGTGCTCTACCCTACTGTGGTTGTGCTGGTATCTAAGGTGCAAAACAAAGTCCCCTTTACTTTTCCCTCCACTTTTCTCAAGCAGAAGGAGTTTTGTCCCATAGCCACCACAGCTGGTAATATGCTGAGTCTCCCTTGAAGCCAGCTAGTCTCATAGGCTCACCCAAGGTTCTTAATGTAGTATAAGGGTATCGCTGCTGGTTTTTCAAGACCCAAGGGCTCTTCAGTTAGCAGGTAATGAATGCTGGAAAGACTGGGTCCTTTTCTTCAAGGCAGCATGTTCCCTTCTGGCCTAGCATGTGTCTAGAAACATCATCTGGGAGCTAGGGCCTGGAATGGGGGCCTCATGACTCTGACCACTGCCCTATCCTGCTGTGGCTGAGCTGGTATCCAAGATGTAAGACAAAGTCTTCCCCACACTTTTTTCTCCTCTCCTCAAGCAGAAAGGTATCTCTCTTGAGCTCTCAGGAGCTCTGCAGCCTGAGATTAGGGGAGGAGCAATGCCAGCACTCCCTTAGCTGCCCCAGCTAGTGTCTCAGTATATTACATCACTCCCCCAACCATCCCTCCACCTCCAGCCCCTCCAGTCCACTGTCTCTGGGCCTAGTTAAGCCCTAGGACTTGCCTATGAGTTGCAGTCCTTATGGCCTACACTGCCTTTCAAGTTTACTTAGAAACTGAGAGCACTTTGGCCCTTGGTGGCAAGGTTTGTAGGCACTCAAGTTCACACTGCTGGGATGGATGATTCCCCTCTGGCTAGGGCTGATTTAAATGCCCCCTCCATGTGTGGGCATCAGCTGAGTCTGGTCAGGTTATTCTTTCTGCTGCAACAGAACAGTCCTGAGTTCCATGCCACACAATTGCTGTGTTATCCTTCCCCCAAAGCCCAGATACTCTCTCTGCACCATCCCACAGCTGTTGAGGGTGGCGGGGGGTGGCATCAGAGATTCAGGACTGTTTCTCCTATCTCCTCATTGCCTCTTTCGGCGATATGAAGCTGAAACCAGGTACCATGAGTGTTTATCTGATTTTTGGTTCTTACGCAGGTGTTTTTTCGGTGTTGATACTTGTTAACTTGGTGTCCTTGTGGGGACAACTGGTGAAGCTTTCTATTCTGCCATCTTGCTCCACCTCTTCCCCTATAAGCACATTTTGCTTTACTTCCTAGCCTCATTGATACACAAGATCTATGATGACACTAACCACACTATAGGAGATGCTGATTTTCTTGTGCTGGTTTTTAATTTAATTTAATTATAGCTTTACTGCAATAATTGCTGCTTGCCTTCTCCCAGAATACTATTGTTGATTCTGTGGAATTTATAGAGGACCTTGAGCCTCTCAGAAGAAATTCATTTTTATTACCTTAAAAATATTTAAGAAAATTCAACCAATATCTATAAAAGTTAAAAATATATAGAATCTTTTACAGAATTTGTACTTCTAGGGAATTATCCTTGAACTATTTTAGCACATGTGTAAAGTGGATATAATATGGAGACACTCACTGAAGCTTTAGTTTCAATAGCAAAGGAAAAAATGCAGCAATATAAATGTTGATCAACAGTGGACTGGCTAAATAATTATGGTTCAACGACAAAGTAGCAACTTATATAGCTGTTAAAGCAATAAAGCAGCATTGTATGTACTGATACGGAAAAAACAGCTAAGATATTTTAAGTGAAACAACTACATGAAATACGTCCTTATATTTTCGGAGGATGTCTATGGAAAAATATAATCCAAATTAATAATAGTAGCTACTCCTGGAGAGGAAGAATAGGTGGCTGGGCATAAGAATGGGAAGATTTCTTTCACACACTCTCATATGTACTGGATTTTGTACTATATGCGTACTTAAGCTTTTTAAAAATAGTTTATTTTAAAATCATTTTTTAAAAACTTAGCTCCCTATTAGTTTTACCTAAAAAAGTGACACAGTTGGAAAAGCTAAATGTTTGAAAAATATTTTAATAATTTTATTGCAAATAATATTTTAAGATACGGGAAGGAGATAGTATTTTGGTGCCAGACAAACCTGGATACTAATGTTGACCAAATTTCCTGCCAAATTAAATAACTTCTCTGCTCTTCAGTTGCTCCTCCTATTGAAAAACAGCAGATGTAAAAGCATAAACTTATTCATATGAAATAATGAATGCCAAGTACCTGGTACAGCAGCTGGATCCATAGAAATGCTGAACAAACTCAATTATTATCATCTTTAAAATTTTAGTTCTTTCTCCAGATTCAGAATCACTTAGTGCATCAGCCTTGATAAAGTATGTTGCTTAAGTTATGTTATATGCATAAATAGGATGGCAAAAATTCTACCAGCTAAAAAGCATCTACAGTCATGCACTGCATAATGACATTTTGGCCAAAGACAGACCACATATACAATGGCGATCCCATTAAATTATAAATGGAGCTGCCCTATATAGGTGTGTATCTTTTTTTATCTTTTACATACTATTTTTACTGTACCTTTTCTATGTTTAGATAGACAAATACTATTGCGTTAAAATTGCCTACAGTATTCAGTACTGTAACACGTGTACAGGTTTGCAGCCTAGGAGCAATAGTCCACACAATATAGCCTAGGTGTGTAGTAGGCTCTACCATCTAGGTTTGGACATGTAACCTCTATAATGTTCATACAAGGACAAAATCACCCAACAAGGTATTTCTCAGAAGGGACCCCTATCATTAAGTGACATAAGACTGTGTTGATAGGCTAATTAATTTCATTTAAAGCACTTACAAGGTTGCCCTACGAGACTGGCAAATAGGACCTGTCATCTACTAAATTTTTATACCACAGTAACAAAGAAAGCTGTTAACCAACTCATTGATTCAGGATGAAACTTAAATGTTCTATCTTTCAAATTTGTACCTATAACATGTATATCATTGTCTACTATTTTTAATAGTTTCAAAATGTAGTTTATACGATTGAATGAATGGTTGGTCTGGAGGAGTTCCGTTTTCCTCCTTTTTCTGAGAATGCTTAAAGTAAATTGGAGACTCAGGAGAGAAGCAGAGGGGTTTATCTGTGATCATTATTGAAAGGATGTGATTTATTTTTTCTTCTTGTTGATGATGATAGTTATGTCCAAATCTGGATTATGTCCAAAATCTAGGGTTTATCTGAGATGCATTTACCAATTCAACTGATAGCATGTAACACCTATTATGTCTAAAAAGTGTTCAGTTGCTATGGGCTTATGAATACAAAACCATCAAGGATTCTCAAGAAGCGTATAATTTGCCACGTAAGAAATATTATGATCATAAGTAAATATAATGCAGAAAGTGAAGTCTAAAATAGAAGCAAGAAAATAATCTACTCCAAGAGTTTTTAGCAGTATTATTCACAATAGCCAAAAGGTGGAAACAACCCAAATCTCTATCAATAAATAAATGAATAAAATGTGGTATGTACATACAATGGAATATTATTCAGCCTTTAAAAGGAATGAAATTCTGGTACATTCTATAATGTGAATGAAGCTTGAGAACATTACGTTAGGTGGAATGTCAGTCTCAAAGAATAAATATTGCATAATTCCACTTACATGAGGTATCTGGAGTAGTCAAATTCATAGAGACAAAGTAGAATGGTGGCTGCCAAG
The DNA here is from genome assembly GCF_000001405.40 of Homo sapiens. Lineage (NCBI taxonomy): Eukaryota > Metazoa > Chordata > Mammalia > Primates > Hominidae > Homo > Homo sapiens. Next base: position 41,445,975 of record NC_000002.12, read on the forward strand.
AACTGTGGGTATGGGGAAATGGAGAAACATTGTTTAATGTGTACAGAGTTTCAATAAGGGATGATTAAAACGTCCTGGATATGGACAGTGATGATGATTGCACAACAATGTGAATGTACTGAATGCCACTGAACTATAGGCTTTAAAATGGTTAAAATGGTAAATATTATGTTACGTATATTTTACCACAACAAATGACAGACAGAAATGATGAACAGTTTGATATAAATTTAAATGTTGCAATATTGAAGATGTTGCCTACGAAGATAAGGATTATCCAGAGACATCCTGAAAAATGCACAGAATATCTGTATGCTTCAGAACGGAATTTTAAATGTTAAATTTTAAATGATGAAAGTGGTATGGAAACAAAACTATGTATAATATTTTATTGCACATAAAGAAGAATATGGAAAGATAGTCATTTGTTAAAATAAATAAAATGTTTCAGACTTTCCTATATGATGTCATTCCATTGAGGCAATGCCATCTGGAATCCACCATGTGTATTACTTTTCTTTGCTTATTGATGTCCTAATAGCAGTAAGCCTTTGCCAAAGTTATTTTTCACAAGGGTTTATATTAGAAAGCTATGCTCTTCATGTCAAATAATATAATGCATCTAGTCACCTCCTTCAACTATATGTATATATTTAATTACTGATGCCTGATGCCTTTAAAATATAAATATAAATAGCTTAAATAGGACATTTCCTCCCCATTTGACTTGCTTATGGAACTGAGATTCTGGAAGGGAGCACTGCCTTTCAATAAGTTAGTCACAGAATATATTTAGCAGTTTGAAAGCTCATACACTTTCCGGTGAACTGAGTGAAAGTTGGTACATGGTGGACAACTGACTCCTCACTCCAGATGCCCTTGTTATTTGTATATGAGACAGTAAATCACACTGCTTTAAAAAGCTAGGAGTATTTATGTGTAAGAATAGCATAGAAGATTCTGCTTATATACTGACAGTCTTGTGTTGATTAAACTAAAGCCTACTATTATTTTGCCAGTATATCTTGTGCTAGAAAGTCCTTTTGGTAGAAAAAGAGCCTTTTAAAAACAATAACTGCTCCTAGCAGCATTTAGTACAATCTGTGAAAAACTATCAGTTTTTCTGATCCATTTATAACTGCCAGAGGTAGAATGATGTCAATTAAAATTGAATCCATTACAGTCAACATGCTGGTATAATTTATCAATGCAACAATTATTTAACTACACTTTTGTGATGTGGTATAGAGCTCTGACAACATAATCTTAGAGATGGTGGATCACTCCATGTCCAGCTAAGCATAAGCAAGAACTTGCTTCTTCCTTTAGAAGCCCCAAATTCATATGCTCAAGGACATTATTAAATAATCATTAGATGTGTGCAAATGAAAACATGCTTTCTTATTCTTTCTGCTACCAGTTTTCTTTCCCACTATTTCCCCTAGACTATTCAGACCACAATTTGCTTTTGGAATGTTACTACCCTAAAATGTATATTTGTATTCAAGGCCTTCCACCTAAAAAGAGAAAAACCAGGTCACATGTTTGTATAGCCCTGAGGAAACAACATTGGTAGTCATCAACACTTCCTTGAATTTGTCTCTTCATTCATTACATTCCTCCTCCCTGATTTATGATCATGCAGAATGAGTGAGGTTAAAATATTTAAGTACTCAAAAATTTACTTTCATACATTTCTGATAACTAAACTCAATTACAAAGTGTGTCCCCAAAAGAAGGATTAAAATAAGCTTTTCTTTCTATCAAGTAAGGTGATGTATGAGTCTATACATACTGCGCATTCATGATTAAAACAAATATCTTAATGTACTGAGGGTGGAAAAAGACATTGAAAGATTTTATATACATTTAAGTGTGTGAATCCTCTCTTAGAAATAGTCTTTAAAAATATTCACTGGCAGAAGGATAATTCATAGTTCAGGAAAATATTATATAATCAGTTATTAATTTCTTAACATTTCATATATATATATTACCTTGGTGACATATTCCACCGCATTCCTCTAATATCAAAAGAATATCATACCCAAAGGGCCATTCCTGTTTTTATTTATTCAATTATCCATATTTCTTTGTCATTTTTACATTTCACCCTTAAAAACTCCTTGAGATTTGCCTTATTCTTATTGTGTCATCAAATATCTTCAGATATTTCTCCAGAAAAACCTTCAGAGATTACCATATTATAGTTTATGGGTCTGACTAAAAGATATTCCAATTGTGTCAATAAAATTCTATCACAATTTTTTCTGCAGGAAATAGTCCCCTTAGTGACAGAATATCTGGACATCTAAGGAACATGATGAGGCTGGCAGAGATAGATAATGCAGGTAGGTTTGATTTATCTCAGGAAGTTATAAAACCTGTCTGCAATGAAGGAGGTTAAAGCTATAATGATTCTTCATAATGAACTCTGATAGTGAGGAGCAAGCAAGCAATGAGCCACTCTTCATGGCAGCTAATGGTTCAGGCAGCAATGAGGAAGAATTACTGCTCACCTGGCCCTGTGATTCCAGCATAAAAACACAACACAATGAAGAAGCACACCGTTACCCTGAATTTCAGAGGAAGCACTGAAAGTGTCTTTCAATGTAAATAAATTAATCATTGTTTTACATTCAGTAACTCGTCCTATTCTTCTGTTTTTATTTCCTGGTCCAGCTTCCTTATGTAGAAGTTATGTTGCCCAAACTTTTTTTCTTTTTCATATCCAACATATTTTTATAGTAATCAAATAGCGTCTGCACAAAAGAAATTGAGTTTATATCTATATATGAAAAACTAATAGGACTCAGTGATCCTGGATATTGACACGCTCACCCTCTGTCATCAATCTAGAACACTGCATAATAAATGTTATTGTCACATCTGTGCAATAAACGTTCATAACCAAAAGAATTGGCTGGATTTCCTACAGTGTGCTATCTGCAAAAATTATCTATCAAAAAAGTTGTAACAAACTTTGGCACTAATACTGCATATAACACTATGAAATTTATTACTGTTTTTACAGACACATACAGCAATGAAACAGAATAGAGAACCCAGGAATAAGGCTACACCCCTACAACCGTCTGATCTTCAACAAAGCTGACAAAAACAAGAAATGGGGAAAGAACTCTCTATTCAATAAATGGTGCTGGGATAACTGGCTAGCCATATGCACAAGATTGAAACTGCACCCCTTCCCTAAACCATAGACAAAAATCAGCTTCAGATGGAGTAAGACTAAAATTTAAAACCCAAATCTATAAAAATCCTAGAAAACTACCTAGGCAATACTATTCTGGACATAAGAATGGGCAAAGATTTCATAATGAATATGCCAAAAGCAATTGCAACAAAAGCAAAACTTGGCAAATAGGAACCAATTAAACTTAAGAGCCTTTGCACAGCAAAAGAAGCTATAAGCAGAGTAAACAGACGACCTACAGAATGGGAGACAAATTTTGCAAACTATGCATCTCACAAAGCCCTAATATCCAGCATCTATAAGGACCTTAAACAAACTTACAGAGGCCGGGGACGGTGGCTCATGCCTGTAATCCCAGCACTTTGGGAGGCTGAGGCGGGTGGATCACGAGGTCAGGAGTTCAAGACCAGCCAGGCCAAGATGGTGAAACCCCATCTCTACTAAAAATACAAAAAAATTAGCCAGGCATGATGGCAGACACCTGTAATCCCAGCTACTCAGGAGGCTGAGGCAGAGAATTGCTTGAACCCGGGAGGTGGAGGTTGCAGTGAGCCAACATCGCACCACTGCACTCCAGCCTGGGCGACAGAGTGAGACTCCGTCTAAAAAAAAAGACAGAAAAAAAAATTTACAGGAAAAAACAAACTTTATTAAAAAGTGGACAAAGGACATGTACAGACACTTTTCAAAAGAAGACATACCTGTGGCCAATAAGCATATGTAAAAAAGTTCAACATCACTGATCGTTAAAGAAATGCAAATTAAAATCTCAAAGAGATAATATCTCACATCCGTCAGACAGGCTATTATTAAAGAGTAAAAAAATAACAGGTGCTGGTGAGATTGTGGAGAAAAAGTAACATTTATATATTGTTGGTGGAAGTGTAAATTAGTTCAACCATTGTGGAAAGCAGGGTGGTGATTCCTCAAATACCTAAAAACAGAATTACCATTTAACCTAGCAATCCCATTACTAGATATATACCCAAAGGAATGTAAATTTTTCTGTCATAAAGACACATGCACATGTAGTTCATTGAAGGAGCAATAGTGCTCTTTATTGTAGCACTATTCACAATAACAAAGACATAAAATCAGCCTAAATGTTTATCAATGGTAGGCTGGATAAAGAAAATGAGGTACATATATACCATGGGATACTATGCAGCCATAAAAAAAGAATGAAATCATGTCCTTTGCAGGAACATGGTTGAAGCTAGAGGCCATTATCCTTAACAAACTAACACAAGAACAGAAAACCAAATACCACATGTTCTCATTTGTAAGTGGGATCTAAATGATGAGAACACATGGACACGGAAGTAATAGACTTTTCTATGAAAATGAAGAAAATAATAAACATATCCTTTTGTTTCTCAATTGTGTTTCCCTAGGAAGGTCATGTCGAATGAAACAGCATGGGTCTTCATTTGTTGATAACAGGAGTGCAAATTCTGGCCTCCAAAGACTGAGACATCAGTAATATGGAGTCTCCAAAAAGTTCATGGAAAATGTGTATTATGAAAAAACTATTCATGTATGTCAAAAATTTATGCACCAAAATAAATTCATACTAACTTATTATAACATGCCTGAACAGGATCTAGTTTGAGGCTAGAGGGATAAGACATCAGTATTAAAATATCCTCTATCAGAGTAACATTAATTCTGCAAAAACTGAAGCAAGAACAAGCACAAAATTTATGGTGAAGTATAGGTAAAAGAATGATGAAATGACTGATGTTTTATTAAAAGTTTATGCAGACAATGCTCCAAAGAAATCAGCATTTTACAAATGGACAACTCATTTCAAGATGGGAAAAAATAATGTTGAAGATGAAGCTCCCAGCAACAGATCATCTACATCAATTTGCAAGAAAAATAATTAATCTTATTTATGCTATAATTGAAGAGGGCCAACGATTAACAACACAAACAGTAGCCTATACCATAGACATCTCAACTGGTTCAGTTTACACAATTCTGAAAAATTAAAGTTAAGAAGACCTTTCACTCAATGAGTGACAAAACCATGGCACCCAAATCAGTACAGACAGGAGCAGAGCTTTCAGGGAAATTTTAAATAACTGGGATCAAGATCCTGAAGAATTTCTTTGAAGAATTGTAAAAGAAGATGAAACATGGCTTTACCAGTATGATCCTGGAGACAAAGCACAATCAAAGCAATGGCTACCAAGAGGTGGAAGTGGTCCAGGCAAAGCAAAAGCAGGCTGGTCAAGAGCAAATCTCATGGCAATAGTTTTGAAGGCATTTTGCTTGTTGACTTTCCACAGGGCCAAAGAACAATTACATCTGCTTGTTATGAGAGTATTCTGAGAAAGTTAACCACAGCGTTAGCAGAAAAAATGCCCAGGAAAGATTCACCAGAGAGTTATTCTCCACCACAATAATGTTCCTGCTCATTCTTTTTGTCAAACAAGAGTAATTTTTTGAGAGTTTGATGGGGAATCATTAGGCATCCACCTTACAATTCGAATTTGGTTTCTTCTGACTTCCTTTTGTTTTATAACCCTAAAAAAATCTTTAAAAGGCACTTGCTTTTCTTTAGCCAATAATGTAAAAAAGAATGCATTGATATGGCTAAACCCCAGGAACTGCCATTCTTTAGGAATGGATTAAATGGCTGGTAACATCACTTACAAAAGTGTCTTCAATTTGATGGAACTTATATTGAGAAATCAAGTTTATGTTTTTATTTTTATCTATTAATTTTATTTTTCGATGAACTTTTTGAAGTCCCCTGTATAACTAGTAGAATAAGCAAATACAGCAGAAGCCATGATAATAGATTTATTTTTCCCTTTATATGAAATTTAGATGTTTCAAAAAGAGGATAGGGACAGTATTTTCAGATAGGAAAAAATAATTGTAGATTCATCTGCTATCTTAAAGAGCTCTGCTCATTTTCATAGTGAAAGACATTTTTAATAGAGATTAAGATACAGCCCTAACTAAATTTCTGAATACTCTTTAAATCTGTAAGAGAGATTGCATGAGTCAGGATTTTTTATGCACCATTGTCTGCTTCAGTTATTCTTAACAGGCCACTCAAGGAAGATAAAGAGCCATGGGTTGTATATACTACGCATGCCTGAGACCATAAAGTAGTTCATCTCTTACAGGCTCATTGACTTTGCAAGTCAACTGGTAAATGAAAAAATTCTTAACTTTCCCAATCATAAAGTTGTGATTAGCTCAACTCTTCTGCTATAAATGTGCCAAAATGATGCCATTAATGGATTTCATGAATAAGAAGGTTGCGGCTTTATTTTTTCCCACATATTCTTCACCTTGAGTTCTCATATTGTAATTATATACAAAGAAGAACATTTTATACACTGACAATATGTAAAATAAAATGCATGAACTTATTGTTTATGTTTAATTAGAGGAAAAGATCTGTCAAATAACTCATATTGTAAAGACTACTGTAATTTTAACGACATTTTAAAATGAGGAAGAAGAAAGATCTGAATAAACAAACCAAAATGTTAAATCATTTAGAGTATCAGCCTTTTTTTTTTTTTTTTTTTTTTTTTTGAGACAGAGTCTTACTCTGTCATCGAGGCTGCAGTGCAATGGCATGATCTCGGCTCACTGCAACGTCTGTCTCCTGGGTTCAAACAATTCTCCTGCCTCAGCCTCCCAAGTAGCTGAGATTACAGGCGTGTGCCACCATGCCCAGCTAATTTTTGTATTTTTAGTAGAAACACGGTTTTGCCATGTTGGCCAGGCTGGTCTTGAACTCCTGACCTCTGGTGATCTGCCTACCTCAGCCTCCCAAATGGCTGGGATTACAGGCATGAGCCACCATGTCCGGCCCAGCCCAGACTCTTATTTTGTATCGTGAATCTGAGGGAGGTAGCTCAAGCTATTCTTCCAATTGGTGTTTGTGAGTCTAGATGACTCCTACTCCATCCCCACCAACCTCTGTGTTACAAAAGGAAAAGGATGTTCCTAGCAGAACTCCCTTGAACCCTAGATTAAGTCTAGTATTGTGCTAGTTCTGCTGCTACGGTTCTTAATGTTTTTACTCAATAATATCACAGAAAAGTCTCACAAAACAAATTCAGAAATCTCACTTTTTAAAGGATCATCAAAACCCTGTCATTTGCAACAACATGGATGGAACTGGAGGTTATTATGTTAAGTGAAACAAGCCAGGTGCAGAAAGACAAACACTGCTGATCTCACTGATATGTGAAAGCTAAAAAAGCCAAACTTAACAGAAGCAGAGAGTAGAACTGTAGTTACCAGGGCCTGAAGGTTATAAGGGGTTAAAGAAACATTGGTCTAAAGGTACAAAATTTCAGTTAAATAGGAGGAACAAGTTCAAGAGATCTAGTTCACATGGTGACTATAATAAATAACAATAAATTACATTATTGAAAATTCTAATAGAGTAAATTTAAGTGTTCTCACCACACGAAAAAAGATAAATATGTGAGGTAATGTATACGCTAATTAGTTCAGTTTAGCCATTCTACAATGTACGCATTTATCAAGACATTATGTTGTACATGACAAATACGTACAATTTTGATTTATCAGTTAGTTAATAAATTTAAAAGAAAAACGCTGTTCTAGCTATATTTTAAAAGGCATGCCCCAATCTTTCAGAACCTTAGCAAGCCCAACTATCTGTAAAATGGTCAACTAATTCCTCCCTCACTGACCTCACAGGGATATGGAGAGGGTCTAGTCACAGTGGGAACATACATAAAAACAATGTAAACTATAAACCATGGAAATAATGTGCAATAACTACATACTATTATGGAATTTGAATATGATGGCTTTAAACTGACCTTGTCCAACCCATGGCTCACGGGTTGGACTACTTGCAGCCCAGGATGGCTTTGAATGCTGCCTAACACAAATTCATAAACTTTCTTAAGACATCAGGAAATTTTTTAGTGATTTTTTTTTAGCTCAGCAGCTATCATTAATGTTAGCGTATTTTATGTGTGGCCAAGACAATTCTTCTTCCAGTGTGGCCCAGGGAAGCCAAAAAGTTGGACACCCCTACTTCAAACCATTTGAAATAATGATTTAAAGGAAACAGAAAAGCATTCATCTCCTATATAAATGTTCTATATAAAGAATCATATAATTCTCTCTTTAAAGTTATAATTATACTTCCCTTATTGTAAATGTGTTTCTGAGAAGTTGTTTATAAATCAAATTTTATTTTAAGCACATTAAGGGAACAAGCTATTTGAAGAAACTCCCCGTTGAACCTTTTGTGAAGTGAAGAATGCTTCTAAAATGCAAATAGATAATTTTTAACTACTCATTTTTTCAAGTTTGGGATTTGTATATGATGTTTTCTGGAAGTGAGCCACAGCTATATTGCCATCAGCAACATCTGGTAGTTTCTCTATGGAACTGCTCATGCCTTTCTTGGGTCACACTCACAACAGCACTACAACTGGCCTCATAGTAAGGATGAAACATTCAGGTCCTTCCAGTTGCCCATCAAGTGCTAAGAAACAAACACAAGTGTTACCACCCCTTAGACTCCATTCACGGCTGGATTCCCTCATTTCCCACAATAAACACTTAACTCAAACAGAGGATTCCTTATCAAAAAAAGAAAAAAAGTACCCTTAATGAAATTAATCACACATCCTTAATGCTCAGGACTGATTATTTCTTACACACCTAGAAATGTCACTGTCTCCCAAATAGTCCAAAAATCTTATATGAGGATGTTTTTATAAGATCACCTACATTTCTTGGCTTCACCTAGATTGACAATATATCTGGTGTTAAAAATAAAAAGTTTTCATAAAATTTAGTTTCTTGGAAACTCAGGAAAAGATTCGTTTCTTCATAATGAGTTTCGTCAAAAGTTTTTGTGATTCAAGATCAAGATTCAAGTCACTTCCCATTTAACTTAAATCTGTTTCAGAATTCAGTTTTGCTAAGGCTCACCTTCCCATTTGCTGATTGGCTGCCAGTGTGCACGTTAGCCACAAGAGAGGCTGAAAGGGTAATGGAGAGATTTGATTGAAGTGCTTCAACCACAGAATTTCTACAAGCATAGCTTTGCACTTATCAAATTGGAATTGCCCAAAAAGAATCTTCTGAAAATTGTTCAATATTGTCACTAAGAACACACAAGGCTAACCAAAGAATTCAATGATCTTTTTCATCATTAATCCAAATGTATTTTATAATTAATCTGGCAGAATAAATCTCAAAACACTGGTACGTAAGAAAAAGGAAGACCTCCTAAACAACAAATTAAGAAATCGAAAGCTGTGAGGACTTAGGCGAGGGCAATGTCATGATGAAGACTACAGTGATCAAAAGCATGAATTTTGGAGCCAGGTCGGGTTCCAGTGGCAACTCTGACACTCACTAGCTGTGTGACTTTGAACAATGTAATGTGTAGACTTCAGTTTCCTCATCTATAAATACGGTGACAACAGTACTTACCTATAGTAGGGTTGTTATACAAATAAATGTTAACATGTATAAAGTTCTTAGAACAGCACCTAAATAATACGTAACGTAGAATGTGGAATAGAATAAAAAATCTGGTTCTCTAAGGAATCTTAGAAATGAGAAGGCGAGACACAGAGACGTTGCAAGAACTAAACTATATGGCCCATCAATGATACACACATAATGGTTCTAACAACCTCTCTCTGTTTGTTACTGGCTTATTGGATACTCTGGGATACTCATTCAAATGATTACTGCCAAACTGAAATGATAATAACACTGAGGACATTTAACACCAAAGGATGTTTCATCTTTCCTATGAGGCCAGTGGTAGTGCTCTTGTGTGACCCAGGAAAGGCATGAGCAGTTCCACAGAGAAACTACCAGATGTTGCTCATGGCAGTAAAGCTGTGTCTCACTTCCAGAAAACATCAGATAGAAATCCCAATGTTATTAATACTAATAGCATTTGTATTAGAGGTGTGAGAAACGATGAACAGTAAAAACAACAACAACAAAAAAACACTCTTAACTGTTTTGCTGGTGGAAAAGCACCAGAGTTTAAGAGCATATTATCAGTTCCCAAAAGCACATTTCCATTTTTAATCACACGTTCTGAGGCTGCTGTCTAGAGAGAAATGTGGACTATAGCCAGAGGGCTCTTTGAAATGGAGGGTTTTTTTAATAACACAGAAAGTGAAATACTCTGAAAATCACATTTGGCTTCAGAAGTAAGTTCAGGCTAGCTTATTCAATAGTGTGCTAAACAGGAAGTAAAAGCTCAAGCACTTGATGGCTGCTCACATCCTGTGTGACCTTGAGAAATTACAGAATCTTTCTAGGTTTTTTTTTTTTTTCTTTTTGAGACAGAGTCTCACTCTGTCACCCAGGCTGGAGTGCAGTGGCGCGACCCTGGCTTACTGCAACCCCCAGGTTCAAGCAATTCTCCTGCCTCAGCCTCCCGAGTAGCTGGGATTACAGGCCTGTGCCACCACGCCTAATTTTTGTATTTTTAGTAGAGGCTGGGTTTCACCATGTTGGCCAGGCTGGTCTCGAACTCCCAACCTCAGGTGATCCCCCTGCCTTGGCCTCCCAAATTGCTGAGATTACAAGCATGACCCACCGCACCCAGGCTGAATCTTCCTAGACTTCATGTTCCCTATAGATGAGGAAGACTTCCGTTTTCCTATCACTAGATTTCCTATCATCTTTCCTATCACTAGAGAAGCAAATCTTATTGCTTCTCTAGTGATAATTATGTTAATGATGACTGATTCAAGGGTAAAGCCCTTCCCAATTATTAAAAAGTTTGCGAATGAAAGGCAGGCCACTAATAATGGACCCCTTAAAAGTTGGTAATACTAGATTCATATCCTTCAGCACATGAATTGTTCCACATGGATATAAACCAGGATGCAAACTTTGGTTTCATAACTCATTATTCGGGTATGAGTGATTTAGGAATCTGATAAGCCCCAGCTTAGCCAAGGACCAGAATGAAGTTTGGCCTGTTTTTCCACAGTGCCACATCAAGGGTAGGCTCAGATCCTTTTTCGAGATTCTATGAGATTCTGAAAGCATGGGAGATTTTATCCATCCCAACGAGGAAACCAGGCCTCAGGGAAAAGATGACATCACAGATCAAAGGTAAAGCTTGACCTAGGCTTGAGTGGTTACCTATATTTCTAACACTTTTTTTGACCACTAGAGATTGACTTAGGCATTTAATGATTTCAACAGACCCCAGGCAGAGAGACAGAAAGAAAATAAATGATTACTGTAATAGGAAACCAGTGACTCAAGGTATAGCACACCATATGCCATTAATTGAAGAAACATTCTTTTCTCAAATGGGTTCAAACAGCATTATTTTTTAAAAATTAAGTGTGTTTGGTGGTAATATGCTTTCCCATAGGCCAATCCATTAAAGAACATTTAGGCCTGCAGCTCCCATTGATGGAAATATTGAAGAGCAAAGTCAAGCTGAAGGACTTACAAGACCAGACAATGAAAGGAATCACTACCCATCTAGCTGAAGTCCATGTCACACTCCAAGGCTTCAGGACATTGTAAGAGACAGAGAAAGGAAAAGGATACAAGGAATGAGAGTCTTTTTGTTTGGGATAAGAGATATAGGAGAGATGTTTAGGAAGCGCAGGTAAAAAACTCAGATCGAGAGAGCAAAGTTACCACTAGGCAGAAAGGTCTACTTTACTTGTGAAAGTGCAGGCATTAGGCACTTTTCTATGGCTACTCAAGGAACAATGATAATTTAGATAGCACTTTAGCCTTTTTCCTCCTTTCTAAAAGTATCCTAACCCTCTAATAAACTCTAACTCCAACCATCTTTCATCAGTTTTTCATGTTAGTTTAGAGAAAATCGCATGGAAGAAAGGAAAGAGAACAACACACCACCCCATATTTTATCAGATCCAGTGGACTGAAAGTGTCAGCATTTTTTAAAGAACTTAGATTCATGTTTCTAGGTGACTGTCAGCAAAACCAGGAAGCACATTCTGACAGTGGCATAGAAACTCACAAAACCAGAAGAATGTTACAGAAAGGACAAATGCTACTGAGCCTGAACTATTTTCATAGGTTTGAGAGGTGAAATCCTGCAGAAAGAGAGAAAGAGAGAACTTCATTTGTCCTCTCTATAACATTCTTCTGGTTTGTGAGTTTCTATACCACTGTCAGAATGTGCTTCCTGGGTTTACAGTGAAAATCTGCTCAGCTGACTTCTCACCTCACTTTGGGTCAGCAGATGGCCTGGCACTTTTTATTTAGACAGTGTTCATGATAATGCAAGCAAAAATATGTAGAGACTTTAATAAAAGGGATCAGAAAGGAGAAACTCTGGGTCCAGTGGGAAGGAGTCTGAGGAGGGAATACTCTGGGTGAAATGCCTTGCCCCTCAAAGTGTGGTTCCTGGACCAGCAGCATCATCAGATCACAGGCCCCACCCTAGACCTACTAATCAGAATCTATGCAGTAACACGATCTCCACATGTTGCATATACAATTTAAGTTTGAGAAGAGTCAGTGTGGAGGACACCCCTGGGCAAGCAAATAAGACTCAGATGGGAATCAGGATCCCTGGGGATTTTCTGGGTGATTTGGAATCACCCAGAGGATGAGATACAGCAGGAGGCAGTCCATATCAGATCCGGCTGGCGATGGCATCATGAACCCAAGGAATGATGAATCAATGCCATAGGGGGAAGACAGGGGAAGTAATCTCTCCTCAGGGTCCAGTCCTCTGTAAGAACTGGCCAATGCCATTAATATTATCAGAATCCCAGGCATGAAGAGTAAAATTTAAAAAACGGCTCTAGTTCCTTCAAGGAACAGAAGTCCTTAGAAGGTAAACCAAGGCTGGGCGCGGTGGCTCACACCTGTAATCCCAGCACTTTGGGAAGCCGAGGCGGGAGGATCACGAGGTCAGGAGATCTAGACCATCCTGGCTAACAAGGAGAAACCCCGTCTCTACTAAAAATACAAAAAATTAGCTGGGCGTGGTGGCGGGCACCTGTAGTCCCAGCTACTCGGGAGGTTGAGGCAGGAGAATGGCGTGAACCTGGGAAGCGGAGCTTGCAGCAAGCTGAGATCGCGCCATTGCACTCTAGCCTGGGCAACAGAGCAAGACTCCATCTCAAAAAAAAAAATGGTAAACCAAGACAAAAGTGTGATTCTACAGACTGATTCAGCATTGGAAAGGTAGGCAAATGGCATGACTTGGAGATTACATGGGCAACCTCCCTGGCACACTGATGTCTCAATCTCCCACCAGAAAATCCCACTAGCCATAGGGGCTGGGGCTCTCAGTGTCTTCTGCCCTGTTTGGGTGGCTTTATGAACTAGACTGAGCAGTAGTTTTAGTTGTTTGGGACTGAGAAATGCAAGGAGCTAACATGACTTGTGCAAATTTGGTGAAAACCAGTTAAACTGAGTTGAGATAGATATATATATATATATATATATTTACATAAAATGTGTTTTATGAAAATACCGTGGGTTTAAATTTACAGATTTAGCTGAAGTGTTTATATCCTTAATCTTGAAAAACTTTGTTATGAAATACTGTACTTAAAATTGGGTTCCAGGCAAAATCAGCTCGCCTTCAATGCACTTGGAAGTTTACATCACCAAAATATCTCAAAGCCCCACCAGATTTTGGAACAAATGAAAATGCATTAGCATTAGCATGAAAACTCAAATGCCACTGCCTAAATGCCTCTATATACTGATGTGAACCTCAGCCTCTTCGAGAACATTTCTATGTATTCCAGGCATCTCACACAGCACTCAGAAAAATCAGTGCTCACCAGGTGCTGCCATTTGCCCACCAGGCCTCAGCTTGGCATCAAACATGCACCTTGGGCATCTGCCATGCCCCACTGGGCATCAAGGTCTCCTCAGTGTCTTGCACTGCTCCTTTAGGAGATAACCACCTTTTCCGGGATGCTGTTTCCTGGTGTGCATGAATTACAAAATCTATAGGATACCCAAGACAAGATGATCTTCCTTTAGTCCCGGTTTGACCAAAACTAGGATATATGTGAAGCAGAGCTAGAAAGAGGTACAGACTTAGACCCATGCAATCCTCATGGACTCAGGAAAGACTCCCCTATAATTTTACTGTTCTTACTTTAGACACACATGCATAACATTTCTCTCCTCATAGACTGTCTTTCCCAGTCCAATTATGTGGGTAAATATATATTTGGGGGATGGTGTGTTTATGTGCATGGGTAGGGTTGGTATGGTCCTTTGGCCCTATCAGATAAATTTCCACTGAGAACTAGGCAAGATCAGTCTGTTATGTTTGTATGAAAGGGAAAAATAGGACATTCATCACCTAGAAACAAAAATAGTGGTTCCCTCTTTCACACAGAGTATTTAATGGATATCTTACTCTAAAGAGACCAAACATATGTTAGAGCTCTGATCATGATGTCTCTACTTTTAGTTTGTATGAATGTGAAAAAAGACTTTTAAAAAGAATTTTAATACCATTAGTCTTTAAATGAGGACTCTCTTACTAATATTACAAACTAAGAGCTTTACTTTTTAAAATTTTACTTACATTGGCACCTAAAATGGCAGGTGACTAACCACACATGATCGTCCATCAAAGTGCCCAAGGGAAATAGTGCAAGGGAAATAGGGCAAGGGAAATATTTTTCTCATACAGAGGTTACTGCTACATTGTCAGCCAGCCAAGAAATTCTTATACTACTTGATTTAAGTGACTTAACACATTACAGCAGCCTTTTATGATGCATACATGTTAAACCCATTTATCTTTAGCCTATTTTTGATCTAAGATCTGTGTTGTTAACAATGGAAAGTAATAAATGTCAGGTAAAAAGAAAGATAAATAAATGAGGTACTTTGGAAATTCAATGGTAAAAAGAAACCCAGGACATCCCCCAATGACAAGTCAGTATTTTCCGACAAGGACAAATTAGAAGCATCATTTACTGAGAGGTTTTTTGTGGTTTTTGTTTTTTTCTTTTAACCTCCGTTGGGCTGGAGGCTAAGGAATGATTAAAGGATTTTAAAATTATGAGTTTGTTGTCATTTTTTTCTTCAGGCAACACTCTAGTGCTTTCCTTGTTTTTTTTTTTTTTTTTTTAAAAAGTCCCAAATTCTGCAACAGAGAATAATTCCCTTTGCAGAAAAAAACAGATTTGAGCTGGGCGTGATGGCTTATGCCTGTAATCCCAGCACTTTGGGAGGCCAAGACGGGCAGATCATGAGGGTCAGGAGTTCGAGACCAGCCTGGCCAACAGGATGAAACCCTGTCTCTACTAAAAATACAAAAATTAGCCAGGTGTGGTGGTGGGCACCTGTAATCCCAGCTACTCGGGACACTGAGGCAGGAGAATCACTTGAACCCAGGAGGTGGAGATTGTAGTGAGCCAACATCGCACCATTGCACTCCAGCCTGGGTGACAGAGTGAGACTCCATCTCAAGAAAAAAAAAAAAAAAAAAAAACAGGTTCGATATATAACACATATTGTAGAATACTTGGGGGTGTTGAAAGTTTCAAGGGGAGTAGTGGAAGTGGGATAGGGAAAGAGCAGTAGAATCCAGAGGGAAGGTTGAAAATAAATTCTCCAAGCATTTGAAATAAAACAAGCTAGTCCTGAATATTTAAAAGGCACAAGTATTTAAGTATTAAGACTGTATGCCAGCAGTCCCCAACCTTTTTGGCACCAGGGATCAATTTCGTGGAAGACAATTTTTCCACAGATGGGGGGTTGAGGGGGATGGTCTCAGGATGATTCAAGCTTATTACATCTATTGTGCACTTTATTTCTATTATTATTACATTGTAATATATAACGAAATAATTATAACTCACCATAGTATCAAATCATCGGGACCCCTGAGCTTGTTTTCCTGCAACTAGGCAGTCCCATCTGGGAGTGATGGAAGACAGTGACAAATCAGGCATTAGATTCTCATAAGGAGTGAGCAACCAAGATCACTCACATGTTCAGTTCACAATAGGGTTCGCGCTCCTAAGAGAATCTAATGCCTCTGTTGATCTGACAGAAGGTGGAGTTTTGGTGGTAATGTGAGCAATGGGGAGTGGCTGTAAATACAGATGAAGCTATGCTTTCTCACCTGCCGCTCACCTCCTGCTGTGTGGCCCAGTTCCTAACAGGCCATGAATAAATACTGGTATGGGTCCCTGGCTCAGGGGTTGGGGACCTCTGCTGTATGCTATAGAGTGCTGATATTAACATATCTACAGATACTGGATAGAGACTCTGAGAGTCATGGAAATATTGACTTGGCACAATAGTGCTACAAAAATAATAATTGTCCCAAGGATGAACAAAGGTGAAAATTCACTAGAGGGGTAGATCCTTTGCCCTCCAAGAGCCACAAGCTACTATCATGGAGAAGGAGGCCCACACCACAGAAAGCAAGGGGAAATCTCAGTGCTGGGGAGGAAATTTGGGGAATTTCCTACCGTCTCCATGATACACCTTTCAAGGCCAAGTTACTAGCTGCTCTTTTATTTCTGTTATTTTGATATGGAATAGAAGTGAAAATTTTGCCTTCAACTGTATTAAACTAATTAACTTATTTGTCAATATTTACATTATACAAATATTATGGGGCCCTCAATGGCAAAAGCATTAAATGTCTCAAAGTGCATTGCTTCTCCTTTTTCCTAGAGGTCTCTTAGATTCAGAATCACATTTTTAAATGTCAGACATAAGTATCAACATAATTATCATTGCCTATAAAGGAGTCAGGAAATGGGTCCAATATGAAATATACCTGATTTTTAAAAAGTAGAATGAACCACATTCTCAGCCTATGCCATATGGTTTAATTTTTTTTCTAGGACTCTCAGCTGAAAAGAGACTTGATATTTTTGAGTATCACATATAGTTTTCCTTACTTCATTGAGCTAAGATAGCTAGACCAGGGGGCAGAAATGAGTGCATCCATTCAAAAGCCCCCTACACCCAGCTATCTAATGCATAAACTTCCCATATTCCAAGTATTAAAAACACTGGAAAATTGGTTAGGCATTTAAAGAGAAAACACAATCTTTGTTCTTCCTCCTCCTTCTTTGCCAGGAAAAGACATTCCATAATCAACATTGTGAATCCATTACCATAAATAATAGAATTATCACCAATCTGTGAACAGATTCAGCAAATAAAAATGAGCAAGCTTGCTATTTACCCTTGTTGCAAATATGTCCCTCTAAATAAAGTAGACATTTCATAATCAAGTGCATCTTTCACTTCCCGTGGTGTACTGCATTTTGTTGATGCAGATGATAGCTCATTCAGAAAATCTTTGATTCTTACATAGCTTTTCAATTACAGAAACAAAGACTCCCATAGGCTATCTGGCCTGAACCAGTAATATTAGTTTGCAATGTGACTTACTGGGCTTTATATTATAGCAGAAAGTTAAATTAAATATAAACAGAAATCCTGTTCCTCTGACTGTCCTCCTCTTTGTTACCGAAGATGACCTACTCTGTTCTGCCTGATAAAATGTATTTTACATCTTTCCTTTAACTTCAGGAGTTATCTGTTCCCATCTTTCCACAAATTTACTTCACAGCACTGAGCTTTCTCCTTGCTTTCTGTGATGTAGACCTCCTTCTCCATGATACTAAAAAGCCTACTGTCCTCCATAAAATTTTCCTCAGCCATTTAACAATAATAGCCATCTTATAGCTATAGATGAAAATGTTTTGACTTCAGATCTCTTGTGTTTTCTGTTTTATTTATCTATTATCTATCATCTATCTACCTATCTTCATAAGTGGAAAGCCCTCTCTAAGATTCTGTATGTCTCTGAGGCCAGCATTCTCTACATAGTGACTTCTCAACAAATGATGTGTGCCATGTGGAAGCAGTGGAACTGCATAGAGGGAAAGCAGAAAACAATGTCATTCTTTCCTCCTGCTTCCCAGGTCTGTGGGACTAATTCTTCCTTACAGTGCAAACTGCAATAAGAAAAGAGGTCTGACTCTCCACATCCCCACCTATACTTGACTCCTCTCCCACCCCACCCCACCCCTACCTAGGCCGCACTCTTACTCCTCCAGAGAAGGGGAGGTGTGGGGGAGGGAAGGGAGGTAAAGGGCAGGAAATTGTATCTTCCTCTGGTACTGTGGTAATGTAGACATGGTCACCTACTAACTAGCTGCATGAATTGGGCAATTTACTTAACTTTTCTGAGATTTAATTTCTGCATGCTGTGAGAAGTGAGTTATTAATAAATGTAAGGTTATTTGCAATTTTGACACTCTAAGCTTCTGTATTTAACAATCCTCCTCCAACCTCTACCTGAAGTTCCCTTGGATGTCCCCCAGCATCTGACCCTCTTGAGGCACTCAAAAAGTAAGGAAAGCTATATGTGATACTGACCCTGCAGTCCTCATCTGACCCTCTTGAGGCACTCACCTCTGCCCTGTCTGCCACTGGCACCTAACATATTATCTATTTTTTTCTGTAGTACAACTAGGCAGCTACCTTGATATAGGTTCACCTTACATTTTCAGTCCCTCACAGGACCATATCAAGCTGTGCATGTCATCTCTTTTTGCTGGGCTTTGCTTAAGGGGAGGCAATTTCTCCATTTCATAACTCTCTAACAGCTTTTTCCAAAGACTTCTGATTTCTCTCTCCTAACATCTTTACCCTCATTCTTTGTATGCCCATGAGTGAGTATTGGGCTAAGGATCATATGACCTGTTTATGGTCTTCTTGTTTGCAAGTGACTAAGGGGATCTAGCTACTGAGCCTGGTGTACAGAATGTACACCTGCTATTGTTCGGTCTGGGCCTTTTAGTATTCTCACATCTTTGGTGTAGCAGCAGGTTTTGAGACTCTTCCCCCTGTGGCTATTTCCCTCTTATTTCAGATTCACATTTTTTTTTCTTTTTTTTTTGAGACTAAGTCTCACTCTTGTCCCCCAGGCTGGAGTGCAATGGTGCAATCTCAGCTCACTGCAACTTCTGCTTCCCAGGTTCAAGCGATTCTCCTGCCTCAGCCTCCTGAGTAGCTGGGACTACAGGCACGTGCCACCACACCAGCTAATTTTTGTATGTTTAGTAGAGAAGGGTTTTCACCATGTTAGCCAGGCTGGTCTCAAACTCCTGACCTCAGATGATCCGCCTGCCTCGGCCTCCCAAAGTGCTGGGATTACAGGCGCAAGCCACCACATGCAGCCCAGATTCACATCTTCTAAACTTTACCTTACTCATGAAAACATACCTGGGCAATAGAAAACTTTTAGATCCTAAGAATGAATACAAAGTTCAGCCTTCCTAGGCATATTCAGTTCTCTTTGCCTCCTGACTAAATTCATGCTATTCCCAATTACTCCTCACTTCCCATTCTGTACTAGATGTTTGCATTCTCTTTCTAATTTCACGTTAAATGTATGTCTTATCTAGGATGAGTTTCTGCCAGGTTTCCCAGTCCACATAAGAAGTAGTGGATCTTTTCCAGGCTGCAGTTTTTTTTTCCCTGGCCCAGGCCTAGGACCTAACCATAGTACTTGGAACATAGCGGTGTCCAGTAAATATCTCCTATTACGGTTTTTTAATCCCTGGCTTCCAGAAGACCAGCTTCCTTCTACCCCTTTTTAACTGCAATTTGCTTCATATTTATGGGAGACAATGCTGTCTGTATATGCAAGAATGAATCATACCTTCCATTAGAACGTTTATTCCTATATGTATATGAGGAAATAAATATATTAATAAATGTTTAAAACAGTATTAGGAAGCCAATAACTTAGGATACTCACAGATAGTGATGGGAGGGAAACATCTCTTAGCAATGATTACCATCAAGGGCCTCTGAGGAGGGACCAAAATCTGAAAGATGATAATAGCTAACATTTATATGAGTATTCAATACACTGTTCTGACTGCTTGACATGTAATTACCTATGTAAGCCTCATAACAACACTGCAAAAGAACTATCATTATACCCATTTTGCAGTTCTAGAAATGGAGACACAGGCAATGTCAATGTCTTAGTCCATAGACTGGGAGGCTTACAAACAACAGAAATTTACCTCTCAAAGTCCTGGAGCCTGGGAAGTCCAAGATCAAGGTACTGGAAGATTTGGTGTCTGGTGATGGCCCATTTCCTGGTTCATATATGGCACCTTCTTATCGTGCCCTCACATGGTGGTAGGGATGACCTAGCTCTCTGGGGTCTCTTTCATAAGGGCACTAATCCCATTTATGAGGGCTCTACACTCACGACCTAATCACCTCCAAAAAGCCCATCTCTCAATATCATTGCCATGGGAGTTACGTTTCAATATATGAACTTTGAGAGAACACAAATATTCAAACCGTAGCACTGAAGATATGAATCTTGAGCCTGAGGTCACAGATATGCTGATGGATAAAAGTGGGATTTGGAGGCAGACTGTCTCCAGATTTCATGTTCTCAACTATTATTTAATACTGCCTCTGACAGGAGGGGAGCCAGCAGCATAAAGCTTTTGGGAAGAGCTTTTCTTGAATTAAGCTCAAAGGCCTAAGACAAAAATAAACATGCCCTCACCATGACAGCAGACACAGCTCCTTTTAAACTTTTTTTTTACCTTTCCTTTTTTAAATAACCTTCCAGTTGTGCTTCAGATGTGACAAGCAACCCAACGCTTTTTCTGCCATTATCCTATAATTTCCTTTGCCTTGGAGCCAACCTAAATTTATTCCTTTCATTTTCTGAGTTTGACCCAAGCAAAGTTCTTCTATAATGAAACTCCAGGTCTCTGTCCGGTTTTAACCCAGATAAACCATCAACTCTTGTAACAGAATACAATCCTCCTTTTCTTTAAGACCTTTCCAAGAACTGATCTACCCAGGAAACAGTAACAACAAAGCTTCTGGATCCTATGCCAGGCCCCAAAGCCCCATGACAAAGAACCGTAGGTGTAAGGACGGCCCTATATATCTTTAGCCTCAGCCATATATGCCAAGATAACAGGACTGAGTCTGTCAATTTCTAACATATTCTAAAAGATCTTAAATCATCCCTCTGTAATGAAGGCTGCAGAATCCATAGAGGTGGGTTGCTTTGACTGATGTGGCAGTAGCTGCTACAATCATTGAAGAGTGAACAAATAAGAGGTGGGAGCAAGAAAGGAAGGCAATGATGGATTTAGGATTCTCTAATGACCATATCAAAGGAGACTGGAGGATGAATAGCCAGCTTACTCAGTATATCGAAGGCTGCTAGCCAGGGGTAGGTTTAATAGTTCAGGGTGTTCTATGATGAATTCTATGGCTTAGGAACATGAAGAGACCACACACCAAATTTTCGAGGTATTTTCCCTAGTATATTTTATCAGTTAGGGTTCCATTTCTGAAAAGAGAACTAACTCTAGCCACTCTAAGAATAAAGAGATTTAATAGAGAAAGCTAATTGTTCATCCGCTCCAAGGCTGACTCCCAGAACACCCCAGAACTGGCCCACCAGGGGAACAGCTACATCTACTATAGCCAGGAAATTTCAGAGGTACGAAGCCACTGTGCCAACTACTGGTTCTAGCATCACATCACCTGGGTCATAGTCTGGATGTCCAGAAGTTTCTGCCAGAACTGCTGACCCTAGTGCCATGCCACTCATGCTAGGATAATATTTGCAAAATGGATCTCTGCACATCGTTGCCTCTTTCTCCATTTAATTCAGTTTTGAATGTATAACTTCATCTGTGTGTCTGATTGGAGAGCCCAAATTATATCGAGAACCTGAGCCACAGTGATATCTGAGAAATGTTTTTAGCTTTCCAACATGTGCACTATGGAAGAGAATACCAAGAAGAGTTGGGATAGATGCTCTATGATCCAGGTTATTATATCTGCCACTGATACGTTCATTTGCTATTCAAGAAGGATGATGTTTTAAAACTGGTTCTCTTTTTTAGAAGCTTGATCATTAGATACAATAACCATTTGCCTCATGAACAAATTTGTCTAAGAAATAATGTCTACCCACATTAGATACAGGTATCTCTTATGTAGGGACATGTGTTCCTCAACACAATTGTGTCTAGGTGCATTTTTGTAGATTAAATACTATATTCTTCTTGATTTATAGCCTTTAAGAAGATGAGTTTTAAACTGATATTCAAGTTTTAGAGCCCCTTAATGATTTAAATTTAAATTTCTCCGGTCACCATCTTCAAGCAATTAGTAATTTGTTAGTAAACAGTTTAAAGGACTAGGTTAGGGGATGGGAGAAAAATACACAGAAAATAGTAAATAGCATATTATATTCACTCCTTTTGCTTTTTTGTACTTTAACCTAAGATATCCTGGAATTAACTCCACATCAGCGCATAAAATTCTTCTACATTTTTTCAAAGCTGTCCAACATGCCACTTTGTAGATAGTGTCTGTTACATAAAAATTTAATATTTTTATGAGCTAATCAGAAAATATTTCCTTTTAATTGATGAGTTTAGCCCAGTTACAGTTCATCATATAACTTTAATGTAGAGTTTCCACCCCATATTTGTTTGTATTATATTTAATTTGTTTCTGCTAATATGTTTATAGGTTTATTTTCTTTGCTTTCATGTATTTATTTTTATATTTAGAAAACTTTATATTTTTATTATAAAGGTGACCTTTATACCAGTATTTTTTGTAATGCTCGTAGGCCTTCTTCCTTATCCTTAACCTTCTGCTGTGGCTTTAATTCCTCCTATTTCCTATGTGGCAATTAATAAGCTTATTCTATTTTCTACTTTCTCTCTTGCTTGTCCTCATCTGTTTTTTCAGTTGTGTTACTTCTATTTTATCGTAACGGGTAATATTCAAACACTATTCCTCCCATTTTGCTGCAACCTTCGTTTTGGTCTTAAATCTACAATTAAATATATTCAACACTCAACATCATTCCTTTTACTGAGCTAGCTCCAGTCACGTCTTGGTTTAATGAGGCAGATCTTCTAATGGGTTACACAGGAAGGTCTGTAAATTCAGCATTCCTTGAGCTCTTCCTGCTTAAAATTATTTTTCTATAGTTTTGACACTTAAAGAATAACATCAATGTTTATAAAACCTTTAAATTATGTTTCCTTGAGTTTTATGACAATGCTCCTCCACTGTTGCCTTGCTTCATGCTGTTTTGCTGTCAAAAGTCTAAAGTTAGTCTAATTTCCTTTGTTCTATAAATAACTTGATCTTTTTGCTTATCTCAAGTCTGTTCATTAAGTTTAATAATTTTACTAAAATATGCCTCAGAGGTGACAATTTATAATCAATTTTCCAGGTACACAATAGATCCTTTCCATATGAGAGTGTAAATATATTTTTGAATTGCCATTTTTATTGAATATTATTTACATATTTTATTACTTTCTTTTTACTTGTGGACTACAAGACATGTATGTTAGATTTTTTTGCCTAGGTTCTACATCTAAAACCTACTGATACATTCAGTTTTTTAACTTGTTTTTTCTATTCTTGGCTATTTCTATTCCTTTCCTTTATGTTTTTAGTCCATTTACCTATTCTTTCTTGAGTATGTCATAATTTCATCTACATTTCTGAAATGAGCTTTAAAATTTTTCTCTTCTTTCTTCCCTGAGTTTGTTTGATCATTTTTCTCACATCTTCCTCTTTCTTGTTGTTGTTGTTGTTGTTCATTTCCATTCTGTTGTTGAATTTCTGATTCAAAATTCTCTGTCATATGTGAAAATGCTTGTTTTGTGATACTTAATGAATGCTGAGATGTATTTCAGTCGTCTTCTGCTTCTTGGTTGTTTTCCAGGTGATGAGAAAGGTGAAAAGTGTTTTTACCATGTGAAAAATTTTGATTTCCACTTTTTATTTCATTCTTGAATAAATTTGGTGTGGGTGTTGCCTGACATACTGTGTTCATTTTTAAATGTTTTGGATTTTTCCAAACCTTAAATAACAGGTGTTTTTCCATGGGAAGAAATTAAGGTGAAGGTTTTGGTGGATTAATGGTTTCTTAGCTCAAGATCACCCTCTTAGTTGGTAGAGCAAATTGCAGTGTCTTTAATAGATGTACCTTTTTGGGACATTTGGTATTTCTTATTATTCAGTACTAATTTTATTTAGGGCATTTATGATATGATTTTGCTCTGTGTCCCCACCCAAATCTCATCTTGAATTGTAATTCCCATGTGTTGAGAAAGGGATCTAGTGGGAGGTAAATAGATCATGGGGGCAGTTTCCCCCATGTTGTTCTCATGATAGTGAGGGATTTCTCACAAGATCTGATGCTTTCAAAGTGGCAGTTTCCCCTGTGCTTTCTCTCTCTTGCCACCTTGTGAAGATGGTTCCTGCTTTTCCTTCACCTTCCACCATGATTGTAAGTTTCCTGAGGACTCCCCAGCCATGTGGAACTGTAAGTCAACTAAGTCTCTTTGTTTATAAATTATCCAGTCTCAGGGAGTATTTTCATAGCAGTATGAAAACAGACTAATTCAGAAAATTGGTAGTGGGTGTGGGGCACTGCTATAAAGATAACCTTAAAATGTGGAAGTGACTTGGAACTGGGTAATGGGCATAGGTTGGAACAGTTTGGAGGGCTCACAATAAGACACTACGATGTGGGAAAGTTTGGAACTTCCTAGAGACTTGTTGAATGGTTTTGAGCAAAATGCTGATAGTGTTATGGACAATGAAGTCCAGGCTGACGTGGTTTCAGATGGAGATCAGGAACTTATTTGGAACTGGAGCAAAGGTCACTCTTGCTATGCTTTAGCAAAGAGTCTGGTGGCATTTTCTGCCTTAAGATCTGTGGAACTTTGAACTTGAGAGAGGTAATTTAGAGTATCTGGCAAAAAAAATTTATAAGCAGCTAAGCATTCAAGATATAACCTAGCTGATTCTGAAAGCATTCAGTCATATGTGTTCACAAAGAGATGGTTTGAAATTGGAACTTATGTTTAAAATGGAAACAGAGCATTAAGGTTTAGAAAATTTGCAGCCTGACAATGTGCTAGAAAAGAAAAACCCATTTTCTGGGGAGGAATTCAAGCTGGCTGAAAAAATTTGCATAAATAACAAGGAGGTGAATGTTAACAGCCAAGACAATGAGAAAAATGTCTCCAGGGCATTTCAGAGATATTCATGGCATTTCCTTCCATCACAGGCTGGGAGGCCTAGCAGAAAGAAATGGTTTTGTGGACTGGGCCCGGGGCACTACTGCTCTGTCCATACTTGGAACTTGATGCCCTGCATCCTAGCTGCTCTAGCTCCAGCTGTGGCTAAAAGGGGCCAAGGTACAGCTCAGGCCATTGCTTCACAGGATGTAAGCCCCAAGCCTTGGCAGCTTCCATGTGGTATCAGGCCTGTGAGTATACAAAAGATAAGAGTTGAGCTTTGGAGCCTCCACCTAGATTTCAGATGATGTATGGAAACTCCTGGACGTCCAGGCAAAAGTCTGCTACATGAGTGGAACCCTCATGGAGAACCTCTGCTGGAGCAGTATGGAAGAGAAATGTGGGGTTGGAGCCCCCACACACAGTCCCCACTGGGGCACTGCCTAGTGTAGCTATGAGAAGAGGGCCACCATCCTCCAGACCCCAAAATAGTAGATCCACCTACAGTTTGCACCATGTGCCTGGAAAAGCCACAGACATTCAACACCATCTGGTGAAAGCAGCTACAGGGGCTGTACCCTGCAGAGCCATGGGGTGGTGCTGGCCAAGGCTGAGGGAGCCCACCCCTTGCATCAGTATGCCCTGGATGTCAGACATGGAGTCAAAGGAGATTCTGGAGCTTTAAGATGTAAGGACTGCCAGGCTGAGTCGCGGATTTGCATGGAGCCTGTAGCCCTGTTGTTTTAGTCAATTTCTCCCATTTGGAATGGGAACATTAACCCAATGCCTGTACCCCCATTATATCTTGGACTGTTGAGGAAGGCATGATTAGTTTTGAAATGTGAAAAGAACATGAGATTTGGGAGCAGCCAGGGGCAGAATAATATGGTTTGACTTTGGCTCTGTGTCCCCACCCAAATCTCATCGCTAATGGTAATCCTCACATGTCAAGGGAGGGACCTGGTGGAAGATGATTGGATCATGGGGGTAGTTTTCCCCATGCTGTTCTCATTATAGTGAGTGAGTTCTCATGAGGTCTCATGAGGTCTGATGATTTAAAAGTGACAGTTTCCCTGTGCTTGCTCTATCTCCTGTCACCTTGTGAAGAAGGTTCCTGTTTTCCCTTCCCTTTCCACCATGATTGTAAGTTTACTGAGGCCTCCCCAGCCATGCAGAACTGTGAGTCAATTAAATCTCTTTTGTTTATAAATTACCCAGTCTCAGGTAGTTTCTTTATAGCAGTGTGAAAACAGACTTATTTTTTATATTTTGCTTGCTTCTTTATTTTCCTCCATCAGTTATCCTTCAGAGATAAACCTCTGTTCTTTTAAGTTACCTCCTGGGACCCCATAATTGATGCCTCCTGTAGTTATTCACTTCTGGTCCCATAAACTTTCAAGCCCCTTCCTTTTGATTCCCCAGTTTCTGGTAGTCTACTACACAAGGGCTCCAGTTGATTCTCAGTATTTCCACTCCACCCTCAGAGTAAGAACCTTTGTTCAGGGGATAATTTAATCTTTGTTCCAAGCCTTCTAGTACCTGGCTGCCCTCTACTGTTTTCTGCACAGTCTCTGACTCTTTATGGGATTGGGACCCAGAGATGACTCCTGGTTGTCAATATTTCCTCATGAGTTAATATAAAGTTGTAGTATTCTCTGTCTCCTAGTTATGCTAAATGGTGCATTTCTTCTTTTCTTTTTAATATTTTCAGAAGATATGGGAAGAAATTCAAATTTGGGTGGTCACCATAATCCTATAGGAACCTATAATTACTACTTAATATTTTTAAAGCTATTTAAATGGTATCAGTCTCTAACAACTATAAATTTCTAATAAAGATAGTCATTGTAGTTTTGTACATTAACTGCCATCTTTGCTAAACTCTTATTCTAATAATTTATATATAGATTTGGGAAGATTTTTGTATATAAAATTATGTCATCTGTGAATAATGAAAATTTATATATCTTCATTTCCAATCCTTATATCTTTTATTCTTATGGGCTAATGCCCTCAATAAAATGCTGCAGAGAAGGTTTGATTAATGGAATTTTTTTTATCATTCCTATTAACAATGAGAAAACTTTTAAAATGTCACTATTAAGTAGGATGTTTGTCCTTCATGTATTTGTCTAGTGTGTTGTTAAGTGTAGCAGGACGGCGTGCGATTT
Source organism: Homo sapiens (assembly GCF_000001405.40). Classification (NCBI taxonomy): domain Eukaryota; kingdom Metazoa; phylum Chordata; class Mammalia; order Primates; family Hominidae; genus Homo; species Homo sapiens. The sequence goes on from NC_000002.12 coordinate 41,473,436, forward strand.
TTGGCGAAATATATGCTGATTTCCTTGAGTTAATCATTAAAGCTCACAGCAAAGGATGAAAGATTCCAAGAATCACCAGCTGTTGGGGCTATCCACCTCCTGCAGGGCTCACTGAGCAGAACTGTAATTCTTGAAATTGAGCAATCTCAAATCACACAGTATAAATGTAAAACAAATTTTACATTCACCGTAACCATCACCAACCATGTTGTATTGAGTTTCTTTATCCTCTGGGCCGTGAGTTTCATTATGACACATTAATCTGATTTTTTATCAGTCTTAACATGCACTAGTTAAAGCTTTCCATGTGTGTTTTTAAGAATTCATTGTACTCACTTAAAATATTAAATTATACAATTAGAGAAAATTGTTTAAATACACAATAGGTGAGAATGCTCTTGCATTAGCACTATTTCTAGTCTCTGGTCCCCAACCCTTTCATTTGGGTTATTTTTGATACTGATATATGTAAAGAAAAAAGAAATCAGACATTTTTCTATGTGTTTGCAAGCTTATTCCACCCTTGTTTTAAGTATCCCCCAAGTGCTTACATTCTGATGTATGACCATTTGCTCCCTGTTACAGCAGTCCCCAGCAAACTTACAACCCCAGTCTCATATACCCACCATGGCCCTCAACTCTGGAGCCTATGGCATAGATAAGCCTATTTCCCATACCTCTAGAAACTGGGAACTTGAGGAGCTGCACCACCATACCAAATCCCCTCAGTGCTCTTTGCCAATCCAGTATCAACAGAGCAGGTCAGCAAAGCCTAGCTGCTTGGCAGAAATCCTGCAGGAAACTGGACATCATTTTTCCCTCTAGCAGAGAAGTCTAAGGTTTATGAGTGATCCTCTTAGCCCCTTCCCTTACCTTGACAGAAAGCAACAAGTTGAGTGCCCCACTCTTCAGCCACAGGAAGGAGAATGCAGAAGATGGCCTCTCTTCATGAAGAATGCACTCCCTGCAAAAGGCATACCAGCTTACTACCAGCCTTTCTCTAACATCAACCAAGAGGGATGGGGCTAGGTTGCAAGGGTCACCTCTGATGAACAGGCACTTCTTAGTCATCACTGTGGAAAAGTGGCTGGCCCAGCATCTGTGAGTTCTCTAAACTTAGAACATGGAGTAAGTAAAGCCTTTGCTTCTCAAAAGCTATGGCCTTGAGTTCTCAATTTCTGAAAAAAAAAAAAAATGAAGCTCCTACTTGAACTTGTAAGTTCATGCATAACATCCTGCTTCACCATCATGGGGTAACATTGTAGCTTTAACTTATGGGCTTTGTCTCTATCCCAGGCTTACTTCAAACCATCAACACATGAAAAGGATAGCTGTCACTGAACTGTTTCCTTCAGATCCACTTGACTATCTGACCGAAATTAGTGGTTTAAAAGAAGCATGCATCAGATATCTGAAAAGGGTCAAATCAAACAACAGCAATAAGCAACTAGAGTTGTTACATTAGTGGTACACTTATGAATAATGTCATCATGTCTGGTTCTTTATATCCAAGATGAAGTAGCTAGCTGAAGCAACCACTCAGTTATTTCTGGGCCAAAATACATAATCCAAAGAAAAGTGATAGGCATTGGCTCATATATTTAAAGCAAACTATAATATTCACATTCATTAGATTGTGACTGCACTCCAATTCATTAGCAGTTTATTGATACAACCCAAGATAATGACAAAATTCATATGGAGATATATCCTCTGAGAACCAAAACCAAGTTTCTTTTTCTTCTTCCTTTTCCCCCCTTCCAGCCTTTCCTTCTTTGCTCTCTTTTATTTATTTACTTTATCTTTCCTTCCTTTCTTCCTTTCTTTCTCTCTTTCTAGTATCTCTAATACATGGCATAGCCAAGTCTATTGTAAGTGCTCAGGAAATATTTGTCAAGTTAAACAAAAAATTAAAATGTAATATTTTATTTATTAGAAATGAATATTGTACAATAAACTTTCTAGACTTAGAACTGTCCTCAACCTCCTGTTAACTGCCTGGGCATTTGCACTGAAATTTACAGTGGCATCTTTCAAAATCTGTGCTGCTTTGGTGCATGCTAACATGGCAAGCAATTTCTTTATTGGTTCTACCACACTAATCCCTCTTCAATTCAATAGGCATAATGGAGACAAAATAAGTCAACCCGACAAAATCTTTACATTTTTCCCTTTCCTTCATGTTTAATCTTTCTCTCTCAAGGCAAAAGAATTAGATCTTTGAAGTCTTCCCAACCCCAGAAATCCCCTAATTCTTCTCCTTTCCCAGACACACTTTTTATTTTACAATCATGTAACCCATATTACACTTCTGTCCAGCATTGGTTGTACTCTCCTCTCTCTATTCCCCATACACACATCATAAGTTACTTACTAATACTATTGTTGGCACTGCAGACCTCCGTCTAGATATTAATTTACTTTATGGTTTGAAGGGAATTTGGATTTTGAAGGGAGTAGTGCCAAAGGCATAATTAGGTCAAGAAGCATGAAACTGTAGAAAAAAGATTATCATGTGTTTTAATTCAATGTGAAGAATGACTCTCTGGGCACTTGAGGACTGATAAGAAACTGAGACCCAATCATGTGAGAATTAGAGAAGAAGTGACATCTAGTGACAGCAATAAATACATCTAGTACCAGGGGTAAGGAGAAGAAAGAGAAGGAACTGACTAGGATTGAAACCCAGAGACAAGGAAATTTCGTGAAGAAAAGAGGAAGTGACAAGGAAGATTCTTAGCAAACCAGAATAGTTTGAAACACGATTGAACAAGAATCTATGAAACACAAAAGAGAGAAACTGTAGAGAAATGAGTCTCAGACATTGAAGCACAACATCTCAGTATCCTAGCTGAGTCATCCTATGGGAGTTCCATCTGCTGGTGACAAACTCTGCTATCGCAGGCTCTCTGCCATTATTTGATAAGGCCCCAGCATCAATTCTCCACTTCCACCTACAGGCCTTGGGTTGCCATTCTGTCCTGGTTTGATCTTCCTTATGTTCTTAGAAAACAGCTTTGCTGTGATGACAGGCTGGGATAATAGGCATTTTGTAGCCATAGAGCTAATTGATCCCCTAACTATTTATCAAATGTATATACTTGGCTGAATGCCTCTCTGCCCATCTATAGGACTTAACTAAAAATCACCAAGTTTTATACACATTAAAGCACAATTTTTTAAATCTAAAAACTGGTGCTTAGAAAAGCAAAAAAAAAAAGTTACTTGGTATTGATGTTTTATGTGCAAACATTATTATTTTTAATGAAAATGAATGGTATAATTACAAACAACTATCACTTGTCATTATAACAAATGAGCTTTGTTTGATGGTTAGTTGTCATTATGTTTTCTTAGTTTTGTGAAAGAAAGATAAAGCAAAAAGGAAATGGCTAAAACTACATAAAATTAACCTTCAAAGTTATAAAATCACCCAGTCAAGATATCTGTAGTAAAATTAGTTCCATAACACTCAAGGTGCAAATCTAAATTCTGGCACTCAAATAGATGTGCATGACTGTCTTCCAAATAGTTGGGAAAAAACTCTATACATCCCTAAATGGCCAAGCTACTCATAACTCCCTACTTCCCTGTTCATTTCATCATCTTGACTGAAATTGAGGTTTGAGTTCCAATTCTGGTTTATCAACTCATTTTAGTTATGGACTCCAACTAAAAAGTGACTTATTATAAAATACCTATTTCTATTTCTAAAATTTTATGAAATTCACTCAAGGACATGTGTTTCTTTCTTAACATTGATGAGGTCCTTGTACTTATAATTTTTAAAGTGTCATGAATAAACAGAAAGCATTTCTGAGCACCTGTTTATAAATTAGAAGCAAAAGCATTTTTTCTTTTCAGAGAAGTTTCCTCTGGTAAGAAAAACCAGACAAGTACATTTGATAAACCAGTTATATTATTAAAAAATGAATTACCTGGTAAAGAGTGTATACATTTTAATGTCCACAAAAAAACAGCATTTAAGATTTGTAGTAATGTATGGAGCATTCATGTAGCTACAGAACTTAAATTAGACCTCAAAAGTTGTACAGAACTTGTTTGGGGTACATATTACTAGATATGTCTGATTGCATCATGTTTTATCACAAAGGAAAATAATAGGTTACCTACATGAGAGAAAGAAATAATGTAAAGACAACCTGTGTCATTACTGAACAAATCTAGGAGCCATGGCAATTGGGATAAGTTAGATTTGACAATTTTCTTCTCCCTGTTTAATCTTCAGTGACTTGATCTCTAAGGCTTTGTAAAACCATCGGTACAACTGTGCTCTCTACCAGTTGAGAGAGAGCTGTCAGAAAGAAAGATTATCTATAAAGCCCCTAAACAAAAACCATTAGCATGCCAGTATGATCTAATGCAGAACTATTCTGCCAGTCAAAAAGTTTCAGAATTCTCAACTGTTTTTAGAGCTCTACTTCCTGAAGAGGTATCTTTATTATTTCTGCAAATCTCATCCTTAAGTTTTCTGTACACCATGTTGTATAGTTTTTCCAAAGAAGACTGACTAGTTTGGTCCAATTCTGAATGAGAAAACCCCTACAACTTCAGCTAAGCAGAAATTTAAAGTGAATATGAGGATAATTCCATTGCAATTGTGAGGTAGTCAGTCACCCAGCCAAGTCTGGGTGGTGATGGGAATGAAGTCACCAGGATGCTTACTCTCTCCAAAGGAGATAATCAAGTTGTTAGAACGTAATAAATTTTGTTTAATATGCATTAGGACCTTATTAGCTCTTAATGCCATGCAAAAGATGTTATTATTCTGTACTTAATCCTGTTGTAAGTGCCTGTACCAGAGCTCCCAAACAAATCTTTATCCTATCATTCACAGAAGGAAGAGGGGGAAGAAGACCATAATCTGTCTTCATTACTAACCACTGTAAAGGTGGCCTAACTAAGAAGAAAGCCCTCAGGAGGCCGTTTCATAACCAGTCTAAACATTCCTAAGAATTTCAGATTAAGGCAATTTTTTGATAATCCCAGAGGCAAATTTGAACTACTCAGATAGGTGAAAAGGGAGAGAGATAAGGCATAAATAAATAAGGAGAGTTGAGGATGAAAGATTCTAATAAAAGAAATTTTCCTTGCCTGATTGAAAACATTCTCTAACCTCTGCAAAAATGCACGCCATCTTCCCTTCTATCCTACAGGAGTGGAGCTGCTCCTGATACCTGTACAGCAACTTCATCCCTACTCATCTTCTCAGAGTAGCATCTCATGAAATTCCTCCTCTCCCTCCCCTCTACTGGCAGCTTCCCTTCAACATACAAATAGGGGCAAGCATTTGTCCTCATTGATTTTCAATTAAAAGTACCTTCTCCTAATTTTACCTTTTTTATTACCCTACTAATACTAGCAAATATCCACAGAGCAATCCTAAAGACCTAAAATATTTTCATACTGACAACCAGTGTTTTCCTAATTTTTATTTTTTATGGTGACCTGCTAACCATGCAATAATAGAGTACAAGCATGAGTCATGAAAAAAATAACCTGTTGTTTATTCAGTGATCAAAATTCTAACTTGCTGATAAACAAGGTTGAGTTGTGGATAAATACTGAATTATGGTTTGTGAGTTTTGCCACAGTTCTCAGAAATTGGGAAAATAAATTCATTTTGGTGAAAATAAAAAATCGAGTTTGGGTGGAGACAATCCAGTGTGTTTTGGTTTAAGGCAAGGGTAATTGGGGACCTATGGAAAGCTAAATAGAATTTTTTAGTAGAAAGTTAGAAATGTAGGTCTGGAGTTGCCTAAGAAAGCTGAACTGGAGTTATAAATTGGGAGTCATCAGTCGGCAGGTGAAAATTAAAACTTCGGGGTGAAGATATTATCCATTCACCAATTTCAAATGATGTATCCAAGTCAGTTTTAATTTCTCCTGCTCCATTATGAGCTATAATTTGTTCAAGCGGGAAAACTAAATAAATTAAATATACTTCAATAATGAATACAGAAATAAAGCTAAAAGAAAGTCAAAGGAATAAATTTTCAAATAGATAAAATATCCTTGAAAGAATCAAACAACGGCTTGTTTGAGTGAAACTTCATTTTGTGTGGGTAAATGTGCTAGCTGGTGGAAGCAGTCAGTCTGCAGTAGTACACAGCATGGGGAGTGGTGTGGCAAATGTGTAAGATGTGCAATTCACTGTCATCATGCTAACTTTCATAGCCTATAGCTTACACAACATTTCTAGATAAAGAAAGCAAGAAAAATGAGTCTCAATAGCAAATATGGGTCACAGGTATCTAAAAAAAATTTAGATTAGAGAAATCATATCCTATACTAGTTTATTCTGGGTTTTTTGAGTATACAACACAACTGTAGACTATCTGATAGCACTTCTTATTCTAATCAGCCTCTTCTGAATGCATGTATTACTTGTTTAAATACAGATACATTTACTGGATATATACAGACTGACACAACTGATTTGAATATGTCAATCCCAGTAATATTTCCCGGATTTATCTCATCTATAAGAAACTGTTCCAGTAATTGAGACTAGAGCTAATTTCCTGACAGACAAGATCCCTGCCTCCATGGAGTTTCTATTCTACTGAATTAGTTATGTTCACGAGTCAATTGAGTTTCAACATTCTGTATCTCTGTAGCATTTACTCCAAGCTTCACCAGAATTGTTTAAAAGCACATTTTTAAAAATTTTAACTACATACTAATAGTGATCAAGTAGAGCAATCAAGAAAATTTTAAAAATACTTTGCTCTTTAAGAGCTCTGGAACAAAATGATAACCATTAATTTTATTTGGGGAGGGAGGGGATGTCTTTTGAAATTTTCTGGGGATAAGTAAGATTTAATGAAATAATATTTTCAATCTTGACAACTCTTCCTATTCCAAGAAAGGGTGTTCCAACACATTTCTCTTAGTTGTATCTCTTTAACAGAACCTTGAAAATTTTGTCACGTATAATTACATGACATATTCTTTTCCTTAGAAGAATCTACTCAAGCTGACCAAAAAAAAAAGCAACCCTTAGGAGAATTTATATTTGAAAACAAGTTGGATCTCCTAATGAAAACAAAACATTATTGTAATTTTTTTCCTTTTTTTATTCATTGCTCTACATTTTCCTCCCTAAAGAACATACTAAAACTCATATACTCGTGTCAATGGTATCTTATTTTATTCCAAAATCAAAGAAAAACATTTAGGACTTTTTAGTAACTTAAGTTATTTAATGTATCTTGGTTGCCTAACTTATTTGACACAGAATGAAGAGACATTGTCCTAGATCAGAAATTCTCAACCATGGCACTACTGGCACTTTGGACTAGATGATTCCTTTTTGTAAGGGGCTGTCCTATGCATTGTAGGATGTTTAGCCCTATTCCTAGCCTCTGTTCTCTTGTTGCCAATAGCACCCCCACTGTGTGACAAACAAAAATGTCTCCAGACATTGCCAAATGTCTTCTGGGAAAGGGAGCAAAACTGTCTCCAATTGAGAACCATTGTCCTAATCAAGAGTCTCACTTGAAAGTAGTGGTATAGTTTACAAAAACCTAGTAACAGAAGAACTTTGATTTTAGGGACATAGAAAAAGTCTTACCTCAATTTCAAAGCAGTTTGAGTGTCATCTTATTTACCATTATATTTTTTAAATTTATGTTGTATATTAATTATAGACTATAGCATTGCAGAAGCAGCCTGGGAACAGTATTTAATTATAATTTATGGTTACTAATGTTCTGTAAGGCATTAGGCTGTGAAAATGGTGCACAAACAGAATGTTGAACACACGCTTTTTTTTTAACGTTTCCAAGCAAAGAAAGAAATATTAGTTAGAATGAAGATCCAAATATGAATAGCATGATTGGAGAATTAACATTAGGCGTATTCATTTGCTAACTAGTTGATTAAATTTTAATGTGTTATATTGTGAGTAGAAAGCAATATTATGTGACTATTAATGAAAACCATTTATGTTCCTTCTTGCTTAAGAGCTTTTCTCTTGTTTAATGTAGGAAACACAACGTGTAACTATAGAAACCTGCCATTTCCATTATTGGAATTTTCTCATAAAAAGCAAAACTGATTAAACTTTTATTTTCTGGAAAGGTTCTTAAAACCCAGCAAAGAAACCAAATCTTGCCTTCATAACATTTGTTTTGCCAAGAATAGATGGGTAGTAATAGGAACAGGGGAAAGAGAATGAGGCAGGCATGTTACAGGAAAGGGGTCCCAATTCAGACCCTAAGAGAGGGTTCTTGGATCTTGCACAGGAAGGAATTCAGGGTGAGTCCACAGTGCAAAGCAAAAGGAAGTTTATTAGGAAAGTACAGTGGTGAAAGGACAGCTACTCCATAGACAAAGTAGGACATTCCCGAAAGTAAGAGGAGGAACACATCCACCCAAGTACGATACTCATATATGACTCATATATGGGGAGATGTGCTCTGCTACAAGGGTTTGTGATAAAGGATTTTTTTAATTACTATATTTTGCAAGAATCAACATCATGATCTTTAAAGCAAAATTAGGAATGCCTTTGTTCTCCAGATATTGGCATATATGGACACTCCCAACTCTGGGTCTGTTTAGTAAATATTACTAATTTGTTCCCCATAATCATAAACATCTAGAGGCGAGGAATGCCTAATTTTCTGAGAATGCAATCCAACAAGTCTCAGGCTCATTTTCTTAGCCCTCACACAAAATGGAGTCACTCTGGTTCGAACACCTCTAACTGGAGCTGGAAAATATGATCCATGGTCCCAAGATTACTCTCATCAGCATCCTCATCAATACCCAAAAATTCCTTAAAAATTCCAAGTTTATTTTTCAGATTCTATTTTCTTTCTTTACACATCTGACTCCCACAGTGTTGACTTATAGTCCATGATAACAATAATAATGACAAAATGCCCAGGAGTAAAAATAATTGATGTACTAAATATTATATATTAAAAACAATATATATTATATATTATATTATGCTTATAATATATAATGCTTATATATATATACATTTGTATACATATATATTGCTTTTAATCCATCAGAATAAAAATGATACTCCAAAGCAAGTGCAAAACACTTTGCAAATGGGCTAAACCCTATCCTGCTCAAAAAGTGCAAGTAAACATTTTAATAAAGTAAACTGGTGAGACTCCAAGACCAGAGGTTCTGTGTGAGCTCCCTACATATGGAAATATTATTTAATAATGCTCCAAAGTTAACTGTGACTGAGTTTATTTGACACCCAAACTGAGGAACTTGATAAGGCTTAACAGTAAGAGAAGAGGGGCGGCAGGGGGAGTGCAAATTAAAAACCATCAATTTGCTTGGTTGTTACATTTTCTAACAAACTGGACAAAAGTAGAGAACATGAACTGCTTGTCTCACAATATTCTGGACCTGACCTTTTTCTAAGGCCGGTTCTCATCTCTCGTTTTATTGCGTTAAGCATTCTGCCAAGAAATTCTTTCATTATCTAGTTCCCTGTGTGCATTAAACAATGTGGCATTTGTTTTAGAATTATTAAATAATCCATGTCCCTTTATTTCTCAAAAAATTACTACTTTGGGCTATTTTCCCTCTAATCTATAAGATGTGAAAACCCTAAAGTATTTCTTAATTTGCTTCTTTAATTGACAAATAACTTTTTTATATTTATCTTTTACAACATATTGTTTTGAAATATGTTCACATTGTGTATTGGCTAACTCGAGGTAATTAATATCTTATTTTTAAAGTAATAAAATGATGTGATCAGTGATTTGTTATTATTTAAACATCCAAAATATTTTTGTTAAAGCAGACACATTGCTTGGGGTGTTTTTCCCTTTGGGCTATTTTATTCTTTTGCTACTGCTTGTTTAGGGACTTGAACAGCTTAAAAGGTTTGGTGATGAAAACAGAGATCCCCTTCATATTTACCAGGAAACACTTAATGGAGGACACTGATGTCTTTGAAAGTGCTCTGTTTATGCTATATACTTCAGTACCGGAAAGTAAAACAACACCCTTGGGACACTAAGCCTTTCCCTTGTCCAGGTTAATGTGATCTCCAAATTTGACGTTGCAAATTAAAGCCAATCAAAGATGTTGAAATAGACCCTGAGAAACATCTTTTTGCTGCATCTAAATGGGAAGATTTGTCCCAAATTATTGCACTGGTGGCTCCCCAGCTATGCAAAACACAATTAATATTTCCTCTACTCAGAGAGAGAACTCAAATCACTAAATTATCTGTCTCTTATTTCGTTTGAAAGCTTATCAAGGTAGCAAAGTGAATGAATGTTTATCTGTGGAAGCCACCACAGTTTGTTTTCTTTCTAATATCTCAGAGAGATGCAGAATCATCTATATGCTCCTTGTCCCTCAAAGGAATACAAAAGAACGTACTTCATATTTCATTTGGGTTTCTCTAATATATCCAGAACACACATTCTCTAAATCCTACTTCAACAGAAATCTCCTTTAAAAAAAAATCCACTTTGTATCTTTCAAATATAAGGTTAAAATAGTTTTTTCCAAATGTTCAGTTAATGAAAAGCATTTTTTTTTGAGGAAGTGGCACAAAATACCCAATTATATTTTACATGACATCAGTATAGCGTAGACTCTCAGTGACTCATCTGACCCCAGAGAAAGGGGACTCTAGCATAAATGTGGGATGGAGAGATTGGATATTTTTTCAATATCATATTTAGAGCATGGTTTCCATCCCTTCTATCTGACCAGCCCATTTCCCTGGGGCCTGCCAGTGGGCTGCACGGTGGGTCAGTCACATGATAGGGATGACTTTATATTTGTCCTTCAGTATTGTTCAGAGGAACAGTAATTAAAGAATGATTGATCTAAGTTCTGAAGCAATCCTAGAGAGTGGAATTTTCAAACCCCGGAAATATATACTTAAATATTCTGAATTTAATCATACTGAGATTAATGTTGGCAGCAGATGAAATCAGTCCATATCGTTTTCCTTAGAGGGAATAAAACATTGGCATTGCTAGTCAAACTAATACATCTTTGGTCCTGAGTCACTGATTTACTTGAAGTCTGGAATATTTACATTGGATGAATGAACAATATAAATGAAAACGCAGCTGTACATATGGGCCAACAAACATCAATAATTTAATTATTTTCCTCCATAGCAGATAGAGAGAAATAACTTATGGGGCCAATGGGAACATTAAAATAAACTTGTCTCTCTTGGCTAGTAAATCTGAAGAAAATACTTTACCTCTGCCAGGGCAATATTCCTAGAAAAGCTTTCTTAAGCCCAAGTAAGTTTAACACTCCTTCAAATGTCATGGTCTAATCATGTGCAAAGACTCCTCTATAATTCCGTGATTCTCTAGCGAGGGACAGGGAAAAATACTTTCCTTTGGTTTGTAAAGAATGGAGGTTTAACACAAATTAAGGAATATTGATGGAAGATAATCTTCCAGTTCTTCCACTTTACTATTTATACACCACTGTACAAAGTTTGTAATATTACCTTTGTCCTTGGGAATAGCTAAATGACTTTCCAAAGTCCATAAATACCAGTTGGGGAAATTTGTATTCAGAGGAGTAAAAGAAAAAAATGGAAATGGATTTGACAAGCATAATAACATCTGCTAGGTTTGGAAAATATGATTTTCCTCAAGTCATTTTATGTAATTTACATCCAAGCTTAGAATAATGTTCCAATTTATTAGGCTGTGTTGTAGTTCCAGTTATATTTTATTTTTTAACAGTAGGATCAGTTTTACATATAATCTTACTAATCTGCACAGAACTTTTTATTTTAATAAAAATTAAATAATTTTACTTTGGCACTTTTTATAGAAAATAGCAAAAATTTTAATTGCAAAAGAGCAAAGAGCTATAAACTAGCACATGGTTAAAATATGACTGGGGAGCTCATGTGACTTTGAAGCTGAGCATTCATTAGTACTTGGGATTACCTCCCAAGAACACAGTACCTTACACCACCACCAAAAATATATACCACATACATGTATTTGATGGGAATGATTCGTGAATGGTCTACTCACAAGGCTTTCTGCTCTCCCAAACTGTGACCAGATGGATTATATGCAGATAATGGAATAAATTTAACTTGCAAGTTGTTTTGGGATCATGAAAAGGATATGGAAAAGAGGATAATACCACATTGCTGGTTTCCAGTTCTAGTTCATCCACCTACGAATCTGGACAAGTCCTGGTCTCTCTGACCCCTTTGGTTTTCTTATCTGTGACTTGTGAGTAGTAATACCTGAGAGGATTTTTGTAAGAATCAAGTGTACAAGTTATAATTAAGGTACAGTCTACCAAAACCAGAAAGATTAATTTTTCGCTACACAAACAGATATTTAGGGAGAAGAAGTAAGCATTCTTTCATAATCCAAAATATTAACAGATATACAGGTAACATTTTTCAATATAAGAAGCCTAATCCATTGTCTGCATTGATACCAATGTCAGAGCTTTCAACTTGTTAACTGTGAAGAACACTTGAAACTCAATAGTAAGAAAATAACCCAATTAAAAAATGAACAAAAGAAAAAATATAGGCAAAAGACTTGAACATTTTACCAAAGAAGGTATACAGATAGATGGCAAATAAGCACATGAAAAGATGTTCAACATCATCAGTCATTAGAGAAGCACAAATTAAAATCACAATGAGGTATTACTATACACCTATAAAAATGGTTAACCCTCTTTAGAATTCAAATACCAAGTACTGAGGCGAATGCAGATCAACTGGGACTCTCATACATTGCTGGTGAAATGCAAGGTAGAACAACTACTCTGGAAAAGAGTTTTGCAGTTTCTTAATAATGTTTTACTAAAAGTTATATATACACTTACCAGAAGTCCACCTCTGGGATTTACCCCAGAGAAATGAAAATTGATGTTCACACAAAAATCTATACATGAATGTTTATAGCAGTTCTATTCATAATTGCTAAAACTCAAAATATTCTATATGTGCTTTAGTGAGTAAATGAATAAACAGTGGTACATCCATTCATACCATGGAATACTACTCACCAATAACAAGAAAAGAACTATTGATACACAAAACAAAGGATTTATGCTGAGTGAAAGAAACTAGTCCCTAAAGGTTACATGCTGTAAAATTCCATGTGTATGACATTACCCAAAATAAAAAACTATAATGTTTGAGAACGAGTAAGTGGTTACCAGGCCTTAAGAGTGGATGACATTGTGTCTCTAAGGGGGAAGCACAAGGAAGTTTGTGGGGTGGTGGAACTGTTCTGTATCCTAATCGTGGTAGTGGTTACACAAATCTAGACATGTGTTAAGATCAATAGTGCTGTACACAAGAAAAACTGAATTTTACTCTATGAAAAATTTCAAAGTAAAATTTAAAAGGGACACTGTATATCAGTCTACTATTGAAGAATGTTTAGGATTCTTCACTTTGTACTGAATAAAATTCAAACTTCAAGGCAATTTTTCCTCCTCCACCTTCTACCACTTCTCTCATCTTCCCTCAGTACATAATGATCAACAGGCAGTTAATTAATACTTGTGTATTTAAGTCTCAGATTTTACATTTACATAATGATGAAATGTATCTAACATGAAATTTTAAACAGATGTCTTCTCTATACAATTCTAATTATTCAAATATTTGCAAACATCTGGATGGACAATTTTTTTCACTGTCTCTAGATATTTGGCACTTTTCCAACATTGAAGTTTTTGCATATTAATATTTCCAGTCCCTAAAGGAAAAGTAGTTTTTCATGTCAAATGAATTATTGCATTTATGTCTCAATGTCTACAAAGTTGGTCAATATCCTCAGTTCAATGTTTCTGAATCATTACCTATATTTGCATGCTCAGAACCAGGAAAGTCACACTGTTAGAATTCATATTGATAACTCTCTCTCTCTCTTTCTATACATATATGTATACATACACACACATATATACATATATACATATATATACACACACATATATACATATATACACACATATATACATATATACATATATACACATATATACACATATATACATATATACATATATACGCATATATATATACACTGTATATATATATGTGTGTGTGTATATATATACATACACATATATCACCCTATATTAAACTATTGAAAATCTGGTATAAGTTAACATTTGGGGGTATTCCTAGCCTCCTACCCTGTGCCTTTCTTTCCTGTGAACTATCACCTTCACCCATAAATTTAATTTCTAGCAGGTAGCCATCTGTATATCTTCCAACTGACTTTTCAAAGTTATGTTCAAGAGCGATAACTAAGAAGTAATGTGTTGATTGGACCCGAGTGATTACCAAAGAATCTTGACTAGAAAAACTGACAACTGAACAAAAAATTCAGTACTCTTTCAATTCCACATAACATGATCACAATAATCTTGCCAAAAGCAAAACTACATTTTAAAATAATGTGGATTGTCTTAGAAAGCAGTCAAGGGGAAATGTTCAAGGGTAATAGCAGGGTCCAGCAGGACAAATGGGATGTGGGCAGGTAGGGAGTTCTCCCTATGTCCCTGTGGAAATCACGCACCCATGTGTAATTTTATCCTTGAGAAGTTATTCAAGGGAACTGGACACATATCCTGACCCCAAAATATCCATTTTGCTAACTTCCCAAGGCCTAAAATACAACCACAAATTACTTGTCACTTTTAGTCTAGAGAAAATAATGAAGTAAAAAAGGCATGGGCCCTGACTCCAATGGGTCTGATAAGTTAGAAAACGAAAACTCTTCTGTTTGAAATAATTCATGAACAAATAAAGGTACAGTTCCACAGGAAAAGATCCACAAACAGGAGGAAATCAGAGATAATGGAAGAGTGGAAAGTATTCAAAAGCTTTTGATAAGAACCTAGGCTTGGTCTGTGCCTTGAGTAACTAACATACAGAGAGGAAACAGCAGTTCATTCTGGAAAAATGGATTGAACACAGGGTGCCAACAGGTATGGCACCACAACTTCATTAGCTTTGAGTATAGCCCATCATTACAATATATGTTTTTACTTACAAAATTTTTAACAAAATATTTTCAATATTTTTCTCTGATGCTATCCAAGAAAGGAGCAATGAGAAGGGAAGGCAGATTTTCTTCCTCTCAAATCTAATTTATGCATTTGACCTTTCTCCTTGAGAGTTGAAGCAGACTTCATAACCCAGGAAAAGAGGCAGGACATTGATGTTCTAAACAAATGACTAACTTATCCCTGTTTCCTTTACCTGAAATACCGGAATATAATGTTAAATACAAAAGTATATTACCAGCAAAGCTTAAACAAATGTTATGTGCATTTTAAAACCAAGAGTAAATGGTTCTTGTCTTAAATACAGTCTAAATACTGTCAAATTGTCTAGAAGACGTAGTTTTTCCTTACAGCCCTAGGATGCTGGGAAAATTGCTATACTATCTTACATATATATTCTTGAATTAACAGACAGAAACACAAACATACACACACAAAACACACAACTGAAATAAAACACAAGAAAGCTAGAACCCTTGATTTAAAAAAAGAAAAAAATGTATTTCCTGCCTGCTGTATGCAGTAGTAATTTTAAATATAGATACATGGTATCTAGAGCAAGGGAAACATTTATAGCAGAACTGAAACTGGGAGAATTTCCAGGAGACTAAGTGTGGGACTTTTTTGGTTTTTATTTTTTTTTTTTCTTTTCTCAGAAAGGACAGTGTATTTTAGAATTCCCAAGAAGAAAGGTCAAATGAGAAAATTACTTTCAAGAGGGGGGAAATCTGCTTTCCCTTCTAATCTTGTTTCTTTTTTGGACAGCATCAGAGAAAAAAATGTTGAAAATATTTTATTAAAAGTGTTGTAAGTAAAAACATATATTGTAATTATGGGCTACATTCAAAGCCAATTTGGGGTTAAAGTCTGGTAATCTCAAGGAAGTCATGGGCCTTTAAAGTAAAACAAAGTTTGTACTAGTCTAACTTGCCATCTAGCAAACTATTGAGACTTGCCATCAAAGAAGTCAAAAGTAAAAAAGTTACATATCCTTTTATCTTTACAGAAAGATTTTATTTGCTAAACAAGAAAACTGAGAAGAATAAACTTAAAGTTTCTAAAAGAAATTCAAGAATCCCAAAGAAATAAGCTTAAACTATTGTTATAGAATTGCTGAATATTAGATTAATATGTATGAAATATTTATATTTGTACTTATAATCCAAAATATTTATACCCCTGCAAAGTAATTGCAGATATGAAGTGAAGTGGCAGAGTATAATAGTTTCCTATTTCTGTGTAACAACCCCCCAAATTTAGTGGCTTATAACACTTATTTTCTAACCATTTTTGAGTCAGAAATCCTGGTACTACTTGACTGGAACCCAGTTTCAGATTATCTCACAGGCTGCAATCAAGGTACTGCAGTGGGCTGCAGTCATCTCAAGGCTTGACTGGGGAAGGATCCTTTTCATAGCTCACTTACATCACTGTTGGCAGGAATTACTTCCTCAAGGCTGTTGGCTAGAGGCTGCCCTCTGTCCCTTGCCATGTGGACCTTTCTAGAGGGCAGCTCACACATAGAAGCTTGTTTCATCAAAGCAAGCAAGTAAGAAGATACAAGGAGAGAGTCAAAACATGATGGAAGCTCCAGGCTTTTATAATCTAATCCCTCAAGCAACACCCATCACTTCTGCCATATGCTATTTATCAGATGTGAGTTACCGGGTCCAGTTAACACAAAGAGAGGGTATTACACACAAGGGCCTGAATGAGAGACTCAGGGCAGAGATCAATGGGAACTACCTTGAATGCTGTATGCAATACAAGGTTTGATAAAGTACTTAAAAATGGATAACCATAAGTTGGTTGCAGATATATATATATAAATATATATATATACACACACATAAAATGGAGGAATACTTTTCTTCTCGTAACCATTAATGTTTCTGCTTTTAACAGAGTCAATTTTAAATATAAATGACATGAAATGTCAAACTGAATTAATCTTATCAACCTAACATTTAAATAATGCTTCTTTGCTTGAAATGTTATCTCATACTGAAAGTATAGTCATCCCTCTCAGCATTCATTGTGTATTGGTTCTAGGACTCCTATAGATACCAAAATTCATGCTCAAGTCCCTTATCACTTGGCTAAGTATTTGCATGTAACCTATGCACATCCTCTGGAATACTTGAAATCATGTCTATATTATGTACAATACCAAATTCAATGTAAATGGTATGTTAATAGTTGTTATACTGTATTGATTAGGGGATATGGCAAGGAAAAAAGATCTGTACACATTCAGTACAGACACAGCCATCCATTTTTTTTCCAAATATTTTTGATCTATAGTGAGTTGAATCCATGGATGCAGAACCCACATATATGGAGGGCTGACTGTATAAGAGTTCTTACAAATGTTGCAGATTATTAGATCAATATTCACTTTTTTGAAAAGAAATAATGATATTTTGGCCTCATAATTATGAAAAAAATGATTTTTATGTTTATGTAGTAGGCTGTGTGTTTTGTTCAGTTTGTTGTTCACTCCTCATGCTTGCCATGCCTTGGGAGTGTAATATTATTCCCAACTCTACTACCTTGAGCTTGGCCTTATGATTTGCTTTGACTAGTGAAACGACAGCAGGCTGGCTCCAAGCACATGCCGTAAGGGGTATTGCAAAATTTTACTTCCCTTTAAGTATCTACCCTCCAGCCTGAAAACATGTTCTATGCTCCTTGAGACCTGTTCCCAGAATGAGAACACTTGGAGCAGACTGGAACTTCTCCTGAATCCTGGAACTAAATAAATCCAGCTTAGGCCAGACAACGTATGCCCAGCCACAAGCAATAGTCAGGCCGTATGCAAGAAGGAAATGCTCCTTGTTAGACACTGAGATTTGAGGTTCCTTATTTTACAGCAAAAGCTTACTAAAACGCTTGATTGATTTAAAAAAAGAAAGTAAGGCCACAACCTTTAGAAGCAGATCATCAACAATTTCTAAACCATCCATACTGGGATTAAGTCTTCCATTCTAACATTATCACTTACGGCACAAAGTGCTATCTGACCTTCAACAAGTTAGTCTCAACTTCTCTGAGTCACAGTTTCCTTAAAAGAATTCAATGAAATAGATCTGAAAGCATCTAACAGAGCCCTGGAATATAGTAGGTACCAACTGATGCTTGTTTTATTTTCTGATAATTAAGTCCAACACAACACATTGAAAATAAATGTAGAAATTTGAAAGGAGTTAAAGCAGAAAATATTACTATAAATAATTAAACTGATTTGGCCAGAAATTTCAGAAATCCAAAAATTTTAATTGTAATTAAATAGGTGTCTGACTCATTTGTAGAGGTGATAAAAACTTAAGATCAAGAAAATGAGCTCAATAAGAATTCTTCCTACAGAGATTAATGCTATTTCCAACCTAGTAAATTCTCATTTAATAAAAACTCTACACATTAAGAATTTGTGCTAATCTAATTTGGATAAGGGTAAAATTTACGTTTCTTTCTTTTTGTCTACTTTCATTTTAGGTTTCCGTGGTTCACGTGCAGGTTTGTTACATGGGAAAGTTGTGTGTCACTGGGATTTGATGTACAAATGATCCTGTCACCTAGGTAGGGAGGATAGTACCCTATAGGTAGCCTTCTAATTCACATCTTTCTTTTTAAACTGAATATTTAAAAGCATCCAAAAAGAGTGTAATCAAGCTTAGAGGGTTTGCTGAATCTACTAACATTATTTAGTTTTTTGTTAAAATATGCTATGGCAACAGACAACTAGTAGCTTAGAAAATCAAAAATGTATTTGCCACTGTTACTTATCAGATGTGAGTTGGCTGCAGCTCTTTCTGTGCATATATTTTATGTCCTTATCTGAGAATGCTGTTCTTGTGATAGAGAAGTAAAAAGCAATGGTGAAACCCCAGGATGCTTCCTAAAGTTTCCGCAGGAGCAAGGATTATATCACTCATACTTACACTGCATTGAGCAGAGCAAGTCATGCAATCAAAACCTGACACCAGTGAAGTGAGTGACCCCCAAAGACAAGCCCTGTATGGCTGGGCCTAGTATAGAGGGAAAGCAAGTAATTAGGAACAATAATGCAATCCACTAAACCAATTAAGAGAATCTGTATTTTAAAAGATTTAGCACACCAATTATCTATATGCAAATAGATGCTGCTAATCATGACAGCTTTTTATTAGTAACTAATAAAAAGGATCTCTACCTAAAACACTTTAATAATAAATTCAAGTAATTGAAAATGTTTGAAATAATAAAACCATAGTTAACTGAAATATAATTTCTACTTTTCATTAATTTGGACTGGTCAGATCATCAATTGGCCTGACTTTGTGATGCTTTATTACATAAAGTTCAAAAAATAGAATATCACTATTGACTTAAAATAAAATTAGCTTAAGTAATATCCCCAAATCAAAACATTTCTGGTAAAACTGAAACTAGAATAAGTGAATTTTTTGAAGTTAGGCAACTCCCTCTATTTTATCATGAGCAAGTACATGTGTGCATCAACCATTCTCTGTTCTGTCTTTTTTGTAATCACTGTGCTCTGGTGCTTTGGGGGGAAGGAACCGTGATGTGCTGGAGCAGTTTGTAACAGCTTGTGAGAGTTATTTTGTTAATTTTTCAGGAAATATACAAAGTGGTGATGAAGCATATTTTTTAAAAATTATATAAATTTTAATTAAATTATATTGAAAGCAAAGGCAATGAATCCTCAAAAGTCATCACTTCCTAATTATTTTATTATAAATGTATATTTTCACATTATACTCTAATCTGTGCTCCAGATTATTTACATCTGTTGTAGTTGTATACAGAAAAGTTATATAATGATGATTCAGGAGACAGAAACTATTTAGGCAGAGAGTAAGGGCAACATAGTCCTCAGTGGAACTTCCCTTTTAACAAAAATCAGCCCCCAAATTACTTCTTTTCTAACAAAGAGCAGCCTGAAAATTCAAGCTTCAAACAGATAAGCAAGCTGGAAGCTTGTATGGATTAATGCTGGGAGCTGTGCCAACAGAAAGGCACTATCTGGGGGCCAGGTAAGTTCAACATGGTGGCTCTATTTTCCCCTTTCTTTGTCACCATGTGTACAGTAAAGGAACAGGAAACATGGCACAAGCCAGGCAGAGAACCTATCTGCATAATAAAAGATTAGGATGGGGCAAGCCAGATTTATGTGCTCTATGCAAATGGCACACCTAGCCCTAACGAGTTTTTCCTGCCCTATGCAAATGACACACCTGGTCCAAGCAATCTTTCATGCCCTGGGTAAATCAGACACCACCTCTTCAAGCTCATCTATAAAGCCTGCTACATTTCACCATGGAACCAGCAACCCATTTCTCCAGGACTCCTCTCTGTGGTAGAGAGCTCTTCTCTTTCTTTTGCCTATTAAGCTTCCACTCTGGACCTCACTCTTTGTATGTCTGTGTCATATTTTCCATGGCCATAAAACAATGAATCTTGGTTATTTATCCCAGACAATGACCCCACTTCATTTTAGAGGCCTGTCCAGGATCCAAAGTAGATTCACTGGAAGGGTGAGTATAGGAGCAAACCCCAACCCTTTCCTGTCATTTTGAGGCCTCTATCCTCCATTTTAAAATCAAATCACACACTTGGCCCCCTTCAGCCATTTAAAAATGGTTAGTGTGGCTGCCAACCTTACAAGACTCAGGGGACAGGCTTGCCAGGGAGAAATTAGCAAACCCCTCAGTGCCCTAAGGATACTGGGAATGTTGGCTTTGTTTTGAACCAGTTTTCTTTCATGGAGAGCCTAGCCATCACATGGGGCTGGAAGAGGTGCAGGGGCAACTGAGGGTTCCTGGCCAGGGCCACACCATGGTGTTACCTGAAGGTTCCTGGACTAACCCCAGCCTCCAGCAGCCTGATGGGTGTCAGCAACAGGATCTCCAAGCTTCTTCTATCATAAATTTCCTCCTTTCCTATCAACTAATGCCATGTGTCCTATCCCCTTTCCATATGCAATGCTATGGGAATTTTTACAGTTCAGGAAAGTAATCTTGCTAGGCAAGATCAACAAACGCTGTAATAACCAGAAATATAGCTCAAAGGATTGCCATTTTTGTGATTTTCTAGGAACAGAGGACTTGCCCAACCCAAAAGTGAGGGTCTCTCTCTCTACCCTTGGTCTTGATAGCCCATGGTATTTCAAGACCTACCCCACCACCTAGTGGAATAGGAATCCTCTCCATGAGGCACATTGTCGGTTCCTTTGCCAGAACAATCTAGTTTCCCAATTCTCCTCCCTTTTTGTGCCCCTCTACAAGAGACCAGGCTTTATGCTTCTTCTGAGAATAAGAAAACTCAACAATGAGGAGGAAAATGTCCTCCCAAACCAAATTTTAATCTCAATACTGTCCCATCAGCAGGAAAACTGCCATTCAGTACCTATGTTCTTTAAGGCACCCCTTCTGCCTCCAATTAAAATAGTACTTAAACAGTAAGGCAATTTTATGTCCAGAAGTTAACCAGAGCCACTGCCTAAGAATAAATACTTTAGTCCAGGCCATAATAGCAGATTATACAGCTCAACCCAGTACAGTGCCTCCATTAAAGGGCCTTGCCCAAATGCAACTATTGCATAGTCTTTCCCGAGATCCATCTATCAGGGAGCTATGCAGATCACACAAGTCTAGGAAGTCAAAGGGAAATCACCAAGGGAGAACTGTTGTTGCATGGGTGAGTGCGACACATCCCAAATACTTAGCTCCTCTGGATCCATGATGGAGGTTCATGCCTGCGTCTATGGGCAGCACCTTTAACAGATGACAGGGCTCGGGGAACCAAGGAGGGAAAACAGTTGGGGGGACGTCCCCACTGTCTTCCCCTCCACACTAAGCCACTCCAAAGGAAAGGAAGGAGACTAAAGGGGAGGCTTTTTCTTGCTTCTCTTTCTAGGTGTAATAGACCATCTTCAGCCTGAAGCCTTCTGAAATGTATTCTGAAGCACTCAGACTCCTGTGAACCTGAAACTCTGCTTTTGGACAAGGGTATGGCCTTCTTACTAGACCTTTGCTAGTGTTTCACAATCAACTCAGCTCTTTAAGCAATCATAACAAGCAGGCCCATAGGGAAGGATTCCCCAAAACTAGAGAAGCAACTTCTGGGAAAACCATCTGAGGTAGCTATTGAGTGTCCAGGCCCTTCTTGACCCTTTTATCTGAGGCCTCCTCCAACCATATCATCAGCTTCTCTAGCTCCACCATCTCCAAAACTCTCCGCTCCCCAACATCACTCTTACCCCAACAGGAAATGCCCAATGGAAAGTGATGCCACTAGGGTTCAAGTTCCCTTCTCATTGTAGGACCTTAGGAAAATAAAGGGAAACTTACGCTGATTTTCTGATGACTCCAATATGATATAGAAGATTTCCAAAATTTAACTCAGGTGTTTGACCTCTCATGATGTGGTGTTACACTGCTCCTAAGCCAAAACCTACTCATAGCTGAAAACAGGCATTTCTTCAAGTAGCAGAGAAATTCAGAGATGAGCAGTATGTCCCCTATAGCATGCAAAAAAAAAAAAAAAAGAGAAAATAGGGAAAACGAAGAAATAGGGGAACCATCATTCCCAATAGGAAGGAGAGGCAGTACCTCTTGACCCTGATTGGAAACCCCAATGACTCCACAGAAGAATGGAAAGGGAAAAATGTTTTAATGTGCATATTGCAGGGCCTACAAAGTACTAGGTCCAAACCTCTTAACTATTTTAAACTGTCCAAGATAGACCAAAAGCCAAATGAGAATCCCATGGACTTAATGGAAAGGCTGAAAGAGACACTAATAAAACACACCTCCTTATCCCCTGATTCAGTCAAGGGACAGTTCATCCTAAAGAACAAGTTAATTACATACAGCTCCTGATATTAGAAGGAGACTGCAAAAGTAGGCCATAGGACCAGATAGGACCTTGGAAAATCTCCTGAGGGTGGCCACCTTTGTCTTTTATTATACAGACCAGGAGGAGGCCCAGGAAAAAGAGAGGAAACACGAGAGAAAGACAGAGGCTCCAGTAGGGCTTTGCAGGCTTGCAAACTACAGGATGGCCGAGGTAGATCCACTAGTTGCTACCAGTTTGGCAAGTCAGGTCACCTTAAGAAGGACTCTTGCACTCCAGGCAGCAAGAGGAAGCCATCTTGACCCTGTCCAGCCTGTGGCAGGGACCACTGGAGATCAGACTGCCCCTGGAGATGTAGGTCACTGGGTTCAGAAACAGTCTCATAGATGGTCCAATAGAACTGATGGGTCCTGGCTTGAGCAGCTCAATCTGCCATTACTGCAGGGAGCCCAGGGTGATTCTGGAAATTGAAGGAAGGAGGGTGGGCCTCTATCTGGACATTGGAGACAGCCTCTCTCGTCTCCCTAATCCAGGCCTACCCTCTTCCTGTAGCACAAGAGTAATGGGAATCTCGGGAAAGTTTCAACCCAATATTTTTCTCAACCCCTTAGTTGTAGTTGCAGGGGCCTATTATTTACATATGCCTTCTTAATCATGCCTGAAAATCTCACTCCTTTATTTGTTAGAGACATTTTAGCTCACATAGGAGCCAACATCCTTTTAGCCCCAGGACAAACTCTTTGTCTCCCCCTGGTGGAAGCTAATACTAATCCAGAAGTGTGGGAAACTCAAGGAAGAATAGGTCAATCTCTAAGCACTAGGCCAGTCTGGATCCATCTTAAGGATCCCACTTCTTTTCCTAATCAGAAACAATATCCCCTAAAGGCAAAGGCTGGGAAAGGGCTAGACGCCATTAGTAATAACCGGAATATGCAGGGCCTCCTCAAACCCTGTAACAGTCCCTGAAACACCCCAATATTAGGAGTGCAGAAACCAAAGGGGGAATACAGACTAGTTCAGGACCTCCACCTCAGTAATCAGGCCACAGTCCCAATTCATCTGGTGGTCCCTAATCCCTATACGTTGCTAATGTCTGAGGGAACTAAATGGTTCACAGTCCTAGATCTAGAGGATGCCTTTTTCTGCATAACATTATATCCTGACTCTCAATACCTGTTTGCCGTCAAAGATTCCTCCAGCCGAATTGCCCAGTTAACACTGAGAGTTCTGTCTCAGGGATTTTGAGACAGTCGTCACTTATTTGGACAGGCACTGTCAGAGGATCTCTCTGAGTTTTCTCATCCTCAGATCAGGGTCTTGCAGTATGTAGATGACATACTTCTCTGTGCCCCAATTGAGGAAGCTTCTCAGGAAGGCACTGAAGCTCTTCTTAATTTCTTAACTGACAGAGGATATAAGGTTTCAAAATCAAGGCCTAGCTTTGCCAAACCTCAGTGAAGTACCTAGGTTTGTTGCTGTCTGAAGGGACCAGAGCATTAGGGGAAAGATTAAGCCCATTTCCTCCTTCCACCTCCCTAACACCATCAAGATGGATACCTGGGTACAGTGAGATAGCTTGTCCCTTATATCACCTCATAAAAGAAACTCAAGTGGCTAAAACTCATTTCCTACCGTGGGAACCTGAAGTTCAAAAGGCCTTTAACCAGCTAAAACAAGCCTGATCTTTATGTATCAGAAAGGAAGGGAATGGATCTGGGAGTTTTAACTCAAGCTTCAGAACCAACTCAACAGCCACTGGCTACCTGAGTAAGGAACTTTATTTGGTGGCTAAAGGATGGCCATCATGCCTCTAACCAGTTGCCACAGTGGCCCTACTTGTACCAGAGGCCAACCAAATTAACCCTAGGAAATAGCTTAACGGTTTATACCCCCACATAATGTACCAGGATTACTGTCTTCAGGGGGAGCCTTTGTCTAATAGACAGGCTCTGCTCTTAGAAGGGTTTACAATTATACTGAAGGGTTTACAATTATATCAAAAACTTCTTGTTGCCTAAACCCAGCCACTTTCCTCCCCAAGGAAACTGGGGAACCTAAGTATGACTGTAAAACAAGTTGTGGCACAGATTTATGCAGCCAGGGAGGATGTCAGAGAAACTCCTCTAGAAAGTCCAGACTGGAACCTCTTCATTGGGTGGATGTTTCTTTTTTTTCTTTTTCTTTTTTTTTTTTTTTTGAGATGGAGTCTCACTTTGTTGCCCAGGCTGGAGTGCAGTGGCGTGATCTCGGCTCACTGCAAGGTCTGCCTCCCGGGTTCATGCCATTTTCCTGCCTCGGCCTCCCAAGTAGCTGGGACTACAGGCACTTTCCACCACAATGAGCTAATTTTTTGTATTTTTAGTAGAGATGGGGTTTCACCGTGTTAGCCAGGATGGTCTCGATCTCCTTACCTCGTGATCTGCCCACCTCGGCCTCTCAGTGCTGGGATTACAAGTCTGAGCCACCATGCCCGGCCATGAATGGATGTTTCTTTGTGGAACAAGGATCCCATAAAGCAGGATATGCAGTAGTCACTCTGAATGATGTTACTGAAAGTGTGCCCCTCCCTCCAGGCACAAGCACTCAACTAGCTGAACTGATAGCTCTTACAAGCTACAAGATTTCAAAATCTTGAATTAAGCAAGAGAAAGTTGGCTAACATTTACGCTGACTCAAAGTATGCTTTCTTAGTTCTTCACACTCATGCTGCCATTTGGAAGGAAAGACTTTTTTTTTTTTTTTACCACTAATGGATCCCCTATAAAATATCACCAGGAAATTAACAGGTTATTATCCTCAGTTTTCCTTCCATGAGAGGTAGCAGTGACACATTGTAAGGGACATCAGAAAGGAACAGGTGAAATAGATGAAGGTAACAGGCAGTCAAGTCAGTGGCAAGGAAGTCTCAGGGGCTCAACACACTCAAAGCCCCTCTATTCTGGGAAGGCTCCATAAGAGAAATTAAGCCCCATTACTCCTCTACAGAGACTGAATGGGCCATCTCTCAAGGGTACACTTTTCAGCCCTCCAGATGGCTACAGTTAGAGGATGGCAAGCTCCACTTTTACTTGCAAAAGGATAAAACTTATCAGTGTGCCCAGACATTGTTTTCAACAGAGAACTTATAAGCAGTCAAAGAGGTTGTTATTGCCTCTGAAGTCTGTCTTAAAAATAATCCCCTCAACAGGTGGCTCCTTCCTCTTCAAACCCAAAGGATGGGAAGCTATCCAGGGGAGGACTGGCAGATAAAACTCAGCCATATGCCAAAGATGAAGGGCATCCAATACATCCTGGTATGGGTAGATACTTTCACTAACTGGGTAGAAATAGAAGCATTTCCATGCCATACAGAAAAAGCTTCTGAGGTAATAAAAGTATTAATGAAATAGCTCCCCACTTTGGTCTACTTAATTACCTCCAAAGTGACAATGGCCTCTCATTTAAGGCAGCCATCACACAGGGAGTTTCAAAGGCACTAGGCATACAGTATCATCTCCATTGTGCTTGGAGACCTCAGTCCTCAGGAAAGCTAGAGAAAACAAATGATATTATCAAAAGGTACCTCAGAAAACTGTCCCAAGAAATTGAACTTCCTCGGGTCACACTTTCCTCCCATGGCTTTACTGCAAGTAAGAAATACCCCTACAAAATTAGGTCTGAGCCCTTTCAAGATTCTGTATGGATGGCCTTTCATTACAAATAATTTCCTATTAAACCAGGAAACCTCTGAATTGGTTAAGCGTGTAACCTCTCTGGCTCACTTTCCACAGGAACTAATACAACTACCAGAAGCCCAACCCCAAGGAATAGGACCACCATTATTTAACCCAGAAGATTTGGTATTTGTAAAAGTTCTCCCTTCTCTCTCCTTCCATAAGCCCAGGCTAGGAAAGGCCCTACACTGTTCTCCTTTCAACCCTCTCAGTGACAAAAGTTACAGGAATCAAGGAATCAACTCCTGGATACATCACACTCAAGTCAAAGCCTGGAAAGCTGAGGGAGCAAACCCTGATAGCCTAAAAAAAGTCCTGGCTATCAATGCAAAAAAAAAAATAGAGCTTAAGCTGAAAATCATAAAAGATAAGTAAATGAGTGAGGGCTACTCATCCTACTGAGTGCCACCCCCATGTTACCAGATACTGTCAATCATGTTTACTTTTCCTCTTGAGATTCACCATCAGATATTAGAACTTCTTTATTACACATACTTTCAGGGAGATTTTGATTATCCATGGGATTACATTTGTAACTTCATAAACTCCCAAAGGGAAATTCTGTATCTTGGCAAGTAAAATTTTACATGGAAATGATTTACTATGCCACACTTGAGGGAACTGTTAAACTCACTCTACTATTTGCTATATACTGTAGCACCCCCAGAATGGAATATCAGAAAAAGAATGTCAATTGCTATAGTATTTTGCTTAATTATTATCCTTATAGCAGAGATAATAGTTACAGACAAGAAGTAAACATGAAAGTTTTACTATCACTGAGTCTGCTATGATTTTTTATTGAGTTTGGTAATATGTCACACTCTAGCTTTGCAAGGAAGTTATAAGGAAAAGAAATTTTATATACTAAAGGATCTTCTTTGGTAAATTCTTGTCCTAAAGAAAATGACTGGTTGTTTAAAAAGAGGAATGTTTAGGACAAGTCAGAAAGTTTAAGCATGTTGTAGATGGTCTGTGTAAGTCATGAAAGGATTAATAATTACAGGAAATATTTAGCCAAAGTTAACACTAAAATTACTCTAGCCACCCAACCCAATGCCATTTATCCTATAAAGAATGTTATTTCTGTATTAACGCTTCTGGTAAAGTACAGCAACATCTGGTGGAGGCAAACCAGTATCTAACAGGTATCAAACAAATTCTACTGTCATGGTTGTGGCCTATAGTACCCCGACCAATAATGGTAATCTTAATACTCATATTTGAACCCTATATTCAAAACCTTCTTGTAAGATTCATCTCTTCTCACCTAGAAGTGATTAAATTCCAAGTGGTGCTGCAGATGGAACCACACGTGGACATGCCATTCTTCTGAGGACCCTTAGATCAACACCAGAAGGAACCCTAACTGCTGTTCCCTACACAATGCCCCCTTCAGCAGGAAGTAACCACAAAGAGTCATTGTCCAACACCCCCTAACAGCAGTTAGGGTTACCACTTCTGAGGGGGGACATATGATACAGGAGATAGAAAGGAATTATTTAGGTAGATAGTAAGGGCAACAGAGTCCTCAGTGGAATTTCCCTTTAAAAAAAAAACAGCCCCCAAATAATTTCCTTCCTAACAAAGAGCAGCCTGAAAAATCAAGTTTCAAACATAGATAAGCAAGCTGGAAGTTTGCACAGGTGAATGCTGGCAGCTATGCCAATAGAAAAGGGCTACCTGGGGTCAGGTATATTCAACATGGAGGCTCCATCTTCCCTTTTCTGTGTTACCACATGTACAGTAAAGAAAGCAAGTGACATGTCACCAGCCAGGCAGAGAATCCATCTGTATAATAAAAGATTAGGGTTGGGGCAGCCAGATTTTCATGCCCTATGCAAATGGCACACCTAGCCCTAACCTGTTTTTCATGCCCTATGAAAATTATACACCTGGTCCAACCAATCTTTCATGCACTGTGTAAATTAGACAACACTTCCTCAAGCTTATCTATAAAACCCGCAGCATTTCCCCACAGAACCAGCAACCCATTTCTCTAGGGCCCTTCTCTGCTGTAGAGCTCTTTTTTTGTGTGAGACAGAGTCTCACTCTGTCACCCTGGCTGGAGTGCAGTGATGTGATCTCAGCTCACTGCAAGCTCCACCTCCCCAGTTCACGCCATTCTCCTGCCTCAGCCTCCCGAGTAGCTGGGACTACAGGCACCCACCACTACGCCCAGCTAATTTTTTGTATTTTAAGTAGAGACAGGGTTTCACTGTGTTAGCCAGGATAGTCTTGATCTCCTGACATCGTGATCTGCCCACCTCACCCTCCCAAAGTGCTGGGATTACAGGCTTGAGCCACTGTGCCTGTCTGAGCTCATCTCTTTCTTTCACCTATTTAACTTCAGCTTTGAACCTTACTCTTTGTGTGTCCACATCCTACTTTTCCATGGCCATGAGACAACAAATCTCAGGTATTTACCCCAGACAATGATACCGCTTCAATGGTGTGCTACTGCACATCTCTTCCCCACTTCCCCATACAATGACATCATGTTGGTAGCCTAAACTTGGCCACAATTGGCAAATGCTACAAATTAAGGCTTGATTTACTGCCTTCTTGATTGAAAAGACTTTAAAATGTGATGGAGAATAAGCTAATAATGCACAGTACTTTAAATGCATGCTAGGTTGGTAGCATTTATAGGTTATTGCAATGTAATAACCATTCAATGCTTATTACATTGTGAATAAGACAAAAAAAGAGGTAATATCTTTTCAGTATTTGAAAACTATTATTGAATTCAGGAAAGCCACTCATGAAATTCTGACACATCTTTGTGTTCACTTTCTCTTAACTCAATAACATAAATAAAAATAAGAACCAAAATTTATCTTGGTTATATGCCCACTTTTGAATGACATTAGCAACATTTTTGCTGAATCAGATAGTAAGCAAACATTTATTCACAGTCTCATTTTGTCAAATCATAGATAAATTACAATCTTGAGTTGGCTATGGATAGAAGAGTTTGGCAAAAATTAGTTGAAAGCATTTTGTGAGAATCAATGACCTATAATTGAATTTACAATAAAGAGTATCGTATATTATTAGTTGTAAGTTGTGTGCTACACATCCTTTATGTCAATAATAGTTATAATAAACTTACTTTTTTTCAGATAGTCAGTTATTAAACATTTACCAACACACCACTGGAAAGGAAGAAGAAAATTAACCAGAAAAAGAGGGAATTTTTTTCAGTGCCATATCTGCTCTCCTTAATTTTCTAGATATACAGTGAAGCAATGATACCTGTGAATACTTGAGATCCTTCTTCTCTCAGCCCAAGCATTCTTCTATTCTGCTAAGTCAAACCCAGCAAACAAAATGATTTTATGGAAAGTCTGAAGCAGTAGAAACAGGGCCCTGACAGCATAGATACCCCTTTCCCCCCAAACAGGTAGGTTTATTATTTTTCCCCTAAAAAATTATAAAGAACATCACAGTACTGAGTGAGAAGTCATGTTATTTGTGCTCTGACTCTCATCCTAATTCCACACTTTAACCTGCCTTTGCTTTGTATAGATGTTATGTTATTCGTGGTTTCTTTTACATCAAACTACATATTCTCAATTCTGTAGCCATTTTTTCTTTCATCTAACTTATTCATTCTTGCCATCTTAGTCATTCCCCTTATATCACATTCCGGTGTGACAGTATTTTACTAGCAGAACTCTTAATGTAGACTGACCATCAGAAAAATGATTTCTGGGTTTGGAAACTACATGTCTGTAAAGGCAGTCTAGGACCACGTTGGCCACATTAGCAGTCACCGAACACTGCTGGCTCATTGCAAACTTGAAGTTAACTAAACTATTCCACACAACCTGTTCAGAAGCTGGGTCTCCTCCCTTTTATACTTTGAGAGCTAAGACAAAAATACTAAAATTGAAACGATGAAGTTTATTAAGAACATTAAAAGAGCAAATATAAAAACCAGATAATAGGACTCAAGAAGTATAACAAGAAACAAAGATCCATTCACACCTAAATAATGCCTGAGAAATCATGGCAGTGCAACTCAGTACATACCAATGATTATAGTAATGACCCTGCATTGTTAATATTTCAGAAAACAAGAAAATGCACCATACTTTTTAGAAAAGTGACCCAGCAAAATTATTTTAAGATTTATGTGTGGTAGGCTGATCATTTTCATGAAGGCAAAACATTCTCTTAAATGGTTTTAGAAGCCTCTGAACCTTTAACATGACAGATTCTCTTCAGTGTTTATTGAATAAATTAAAATAGTGTACATCCCACGTTCTGGGAAAATAGCATAAACAAAACCTCAGAAGTAGTGATTTCCCCACATTACACTTATGAGCAATCTTTCATTGAACTCCTTCTATAATCTTGTGATATGCAGATGTCATTTCCAATGAACAACACTAAAAAATAGTGTTATGCCTATTTTACAGATGAGGAAACCTAGACATTGAGAATTTATGCTAATTGCCAAGTTCACACAACATGTAATTGGCAGAGCTAGGATTCAAGTCCAGGCCTGTGTTATCTGAAAGCTTGAGTATTACCCCCAATTCCATAATTCTTCAACCATTATAAGTATGTATATCAATAACTATTAATTTTGGAATCAGTTTGATATAATTGCTTTTCAATTTTAAACGTTATGCATGCAGGTTTGAAATTTGCAGCATCAGCTAATATTCCTATCTTTACAAAAAACAGAAAGACAAAAATGTGTGTCTTAAAATCTATTTCCTATAACTAATAACTAGAATGATTACATCAGTTGAAAATAAAGGGTAATAAAGCCTGGTAATACGTGTACTGTTTATAAATTCATCTGGGGAAAACCTGAAAGCACACACACAGACACAGACACACACCAAATACTGAAGTGGTCCCTTTGTATGATACTGACTCCCCTAACCCTCCATTTAGCATCATTGTTAATTTGATTGTCCACTGTCCAAGCAGCCAAAACTAGAATGGACGAGAAAGTTGGTTTTTGCAGGCCCCAACTCCCATTTCAGCACCTTCAGCTATTTCTGGCACCCTTGGCTTCCCACTTATCTTCTACCTCTGAAGGCTTATGGTGCTTTCTGCACACTGTCTAATTTCCAATGAGTGATGAAGAAGTGAGGACTTGATTCTGTCTCCCAGGAATATTTGCATACTATGGAGTATGGAAACATAAAATCATTAGTGGCAATGCCATTTCCTTTAAGGCATCAATGTTGTAATGGTCAACCAAGTTACCAATGATCTGACCCCCAAAATAATATTACATGTGATTCCAATAAAGCTTTCTCCAAGGTATCATAAAGGTAGAAGCTTTTAGTAACGATAATAAAAGCAGCCCAGGAAAGCACTTAGAGAAATTCCGGTAATTCAATTCTCCTGAGGTAATTTATATTAATAACCATAAGTAAAATTCAAAAACAAAAGTATAGCTATTTATATAAAGCCTCTGAATTACACAAATATGTGTGCGTGTGTATGTGTGTGTAACAGTTTTAATAGCAAATAAGTTCTTAAACAACCTGTTTCAACCCAAACTCAATGTTGAATGGGATGTTTTCCTAAAGTCCTGAAACTGGCAATAGGGACAAAATCTGAGAACTAATAATACGTGGATTTATTAAATCCACATATTATTTAATATGCAATTTGCATATCCTTAAGAAAACATTACTGGGATCTCTGTGACAGGAAGCTAAAGGGATTTGAGCCCTTGGTGGCTTAACAACTGAATTATGAATCGGATGGAGGGACTAGTTCATTCACTCTCTTAAAGGACTATAACCTTTGTCTTTTCTATTTAAATAAGTTTATGTCTGAAGACCAATTTATTTATTTCAAAAATATTTAAAACTATGCAAAACATAATTATGCAACAACACCTACTATGTGCCTAGTACTGTGCTAGGCACTGTGGGTATATAAAAAATAAAGTCAAACGCACAAAAATAGTGAACAAAACAAAACAAGTATGCAATCTAGTGCTAAAAGTAACAGAAGAGAGTTTATTAAGGATCATGCATCCAAGCATGCTTCATAGAGAAAATTTAGACGTGCTATGAGAATTAATGTTATCTTTAAGCTAACACATACCTTGATAAATTATTTTTAAAACTAACCTTGGTATATTATATATTTCTGCTGATTGTATTTCACCTTATCCCAACATCCTTATCAATCATTTAAAATGCAAAGAATGGAGATCCAGCTTACCCAATGGGATGAGTATTTTATGAGGTCATTTCTACTGGAGAAAAATTATCTGGGACTCCAAATCATGGCATTTTAATTATTTTATTTACTAGCTAAGTTCAACCAAGAAAAGCATTTTATTACGCAATGCATTTCAACATTAGTAAGGCTCTAGGTTTGTATTCCAAAGGAGAAAACGTAACCAATGAAACAGGGGAGTAGTTACAGCTCTAGTCCTAAAGTTATTTTTATTGATTAAATATATCAGGACAGATTACTACTGACGAACAATTTGTAATATTAAGAAGTCTTTGAGTGGGCATGTCAGTTCAATATATTCTGACTTTTGTTGCAAGTTGATTATTGCTCATGATATAGTAAAGCTTCATGAATCGGCTATTTCTTTTATATTTATTATGGGTAAAAGGTCTTTTACTAAAATGTGCTTAGTCATAAATGATGCATATTATTTCATGTGTTTTTGAAATTTATACAAATGTTATTGTGCTAAGTATCCTTTTTCAACTTGACTTTGCACCCCACATCATGGTTTTGAGATACACACAATCTTCTGGGAAAGGAGAGATAAAAAGAAGGAAGAGGGATGGGGCTTTAGCTGTATTTGTAATATGTATTTAAGAAAGGAGGTGGAAAGACAGGAAGAGGGGAAGGGCAGCGGAGATACACAGAAAGAGAGATTTAAAGCAAATATGGGCAAGTAATAATTCTTCAAATTGAGTGGGGGATGTATACATATCAGTTATATATTTTAAAACATTCTATATGTTCAAAATATCTCAATCCAATATTAGCATATCCTTTAAACTAAGTAATGTCGCACGTCACAGAAAATGTTTTAAATGCATTCCCAAACCCATGTAAAGAAATAGTGTTCAAGTATGCCAGAATATTTAAGACAGGTCTCCTAAAGCTTTGTAATAGTTGATCTTTATTATCCATGTACTTATCAAGTTCAAGGTATTGAACTTGAAGACAATAAAACTCTACCCTTTAAAAAGTGCTTCTGGGCTGGGCGCAGTGGCTCACGCCTGTAATCCCAGCACTTTGGGAGGCCGAGAAGGGCGGATCACGAGGTCAGGAGATGGAGACCATCCTGGCTAACACAGTGAAACCCCGTCTCTACTAAAAATACAAAAAAGTAGCTGGGTGTGGTGGCGGGCACCTGTAGTCCCAGCTACTCGGGAGACAGAGGCAGGAGAATGGCGTGAATCCGGGAGGTGGAGCTTACAGTGAGCGGAGATCGCGCCACTGCACTCCAGCCTGAGCGACAGAGTGAGACTGTCTCCAAAAAAAAAAAAAAAAAAAAAGTGCTTCTGGAGATTTCCTCATTAACAGACTTAGCTGGACCACAGTGAGTTAGAATGTCCCAATCTTTTCCACATATTTAATTTGATGGTCACTGTGACAATAAAATCCAACAACATCCTAAGTGGAATGACAAGCTTTTCTAAAGTGGAATGTCCCAGGCTAAAGCTTTGGAATATTTTCTAGGACTTTTTACAAGGACAATGACCGATAATTGCTATTTATTTCTGTTATTGATGAACAGATTAGACATCTGGATATATATTAATGAACTGACAGGCAATAATTGGATTAGTCCCTTGGGGACCAAGTAAAGTATGGCTCCCCATGGCTCCAAACCATGAGAACAACAAAAGTAACACGGAAAAGAAGAGCTCACTTTTCCTACAGACCGAGACTCCATTGCTGCCAAAGCTTCTGGAGTCCACAGACCACCACTATTGCAAGCCATGGCCACACAACAGCCTTACTTCAGATTCAATGTACTGCGTTCTTTGTTCATAAGGATTAAAAATGCCTCAACCTAATTTGTTGGCAGGCTCTTGTTTTCAATTCATTACTGTCCTGTAAATATCCCTTTGCTGTCTCTCTAACAATTACAGGCTCCTCTGAACATCTTACGCCAATTTCTAGTTTGGCCTCAGGGTAGCAGTCAGGCGGAAGCATTTCCAGTGCTTTTCCTGCCGTGTAACTCCAAGGCAGCCACAGTCTGACCTAGAGGCATGCTCTATGCTTCTTTCTCCCTATCATCTTCACCATCTTCATGCACAAGTGTGTCAGAATTTCTATAGGGCTTGGAAAAATTCAAGAGAATAACAAGTTAAGGAGGAACTTAAATATTAAATATGACAAGTATTGTTTGCCATCTGGCAGGAGGTAAAAAGAAGGATCCCAGAAGTTAAAATTATCTCAAGCAATTCCTTTATGGAGGACATCTCTTGTCTTAGGTGAGCACTTTCCTATCGGGCCTTAGACTCCCTCAATCTTCTAACCTTCCCCAGGAGAATTCCCATTCTTTTTCTATATCCAGAGAGATTAATCTCTCCCCAGGATCCACCTATCCTTCTCCCTGAAGTACATTTCTGCAGTGGCAGGGCGTCCACCAGTGATACCTATCAACAAGCACCCAAAGAGTGTAAGTCCAGTATGCCTTTAGAATCATACACACACACACACACACACACACACACACACAGAAAGAGAGAGGAAGAGAGAAAACTGACAAGCATTAATTCTGAAAATCAATACTGTCTAAAGCCATAAAGAAGATAAAAAATTCCTATAACTACTTCATAATTTGTGGTATTCTTCTCCCACAAAATAGCCATTATTATGTTTCTTGTCTATCATCGCTCCAATTGTGCCTAAATAAGAGAGGTGCTCTTACCAATCCATATACCTTATTACAACTGATCTCTTAGCTACACAAAGTTGGAGGAGTTTTCAGAAATGCTTAGTGAAGGGCCTGACATTCTTCTAAGGAAAGTAAAAGTACTACATTTCTGGTAGAAAATGATTATGTATAAACTCTGGGTAAAGATACTATCTAGACACATATTTTTTTCTCTTAATGTCATCACCACAAGAAAAGATTATATCCAAAAGTTTAACTATAAGATCTGTATTACTCATTATATCTATAAGGTATTTAGCATTTTGATATAAGATTTGCAGACAACTGAGAAAAGAAAAAAATATCTCTTCCTGAGGCATCTTAAGATTGTTTTCCATTACTTTGTCAGAACTGGATGTTATCAGGCTTCTATTACTGTATTCCTCCTATGGAACACT
This sequence comes from Homo sapiens, assembly GCF_000001405.40. NCBI lineage: Eukaryota > Metazoa > Chordata > Mammalia > Primates > Hominidae > Homo > Homo sapiens. Next base: position 41,509,369 of record NC_000002.12, read on the forward strand.
AAGAGTAACGTGATGCGAAGATTAGGTATATGTCACGCACAAAAAAAACTGGACTTGAATGTTGTTGACTAGTGTGGATCAGAAGAGTGGAAATCAGGTAGGGCTGGCCAATATGGCCAAAAAAAAAAAAAAGCCCTCCCAGGTGTGTAAGTCATCACCTTTACAAAAGTTAAAAAGAAAACTGATCACCAGGCACAGGAAAATCAATGATGGATCAATGCCTATAAGAAGCCAGACCAGCCCTGACTATCTCTCCTCCACCTCAACCACCACTGTCTTCTATCTAAAGCCAGTGTCTGCATTTGCTCTCCATCTTTACCAAAAAGCATCACACCTGGGATTCTCCTCTCTCTCACACACCATCAAATTTACACTCTCCACTAGATTACTGGGTTATTCCCATTAAAAACTTAGCAAATATCATACTACATACTGTTATTTCTCATATCCCAAAATAGATTTGCTTGACTCCACTTCCCCTGTCCACTCTTGCCTCATTTGCAGCAAACTCCTCCAAAGAATCTCCTTCCTCTTCCAGTTCTCTCCTCCCACTCCACCTAAGTATTTCAGCATTTTAACTTTCAGCATTCCACCTAAGTATTTCAGTCACAGTCACCAATGACCTCCATGCTTATGCCAGTTATTAAGCTAGTGTCTCTTTTTTCCACATCCATCCCTGCCTTCTATACTCCGCTTCTGTGATGCTGGGGCTAGAACACTGAAAACCATATTTTCTGTTTACCAGCTATTCCCTGTCAGACGCTGCTAGTAGGAGCATCAGAGGAAAGCTGTAAGGCTGTACGGCTGTGGGAGGAAGAATAGACTTGCTCCTTCATATCCTGCCAGCAGTGCCAACAAAAGCTGTCTGCCCTGGCAGCAGACAGTTGGTTCCAGATTTTACGATTATTACACTCTCCAGACCAGCCTCATCATATCTCCTCAGAGGTGCCTGCAGCAGGAAGAAGTCAGCACTTCCTCCTGTGAGGCCCATGCCCCAGCTCTAAAAGGTTCTTCCTGCAAACTTCGAGGTTCTGACACCAAGATCTTCCCTTTGTCTCCCCACCCTATGGAGGGCAGATGCTTCCTGAAGTTACTGCCTCTGTGAAACTGAAGTTTTCCCTTTTTACTTTGTACATCCCCTGCAGCTCTTTAGCCCATTCCCTATGTTATTTCTGTCAAACAACTGATGCCCTTTCCTTTTTTAAGCGTTATTGAAGTATAACTGACAAAACTGTATATACTAAAGATCTACAATGTGATTATTAGATATACATAAATGCATTGTGAAATTGCTATTGAAACAGCAGGGGTTTGGTCTAGGTCCTGCTGCTCACCGCACAGAAAGCCAATGACTGAGACAAGGAGTATTGCCAAGAAAGATGACTTTAATCAGGTGCTGCAGCCAAGGAGATAGGAGATCAGTCTGAAATCTATCTCCCTGACCAATTAAAACTAGAGGTTTACATTACAGGCAAGAAATGTAACAATGTGTGAAAAAAAAAAACCAGGAACCAAGGAGAAGCAATCATGATAAATGAGGGGTTTGGCATCTCATTGCCTGGCTGTGGTAATCTGGTGAGCTTCAGTTCTTTGACACTTTTTTTGAGAGGCCTGAAGGTCTTTTCCTAAGGAAGGAATTCAGACAAAACAAATTTCTTTTTTTTATTTTTATTTTATTATTATTATACTTTAAGTTTTAGGGTACATGCGCACAATGTGCAGGTTAGTTACATATGTATACACCTGCCATGCTGGTGCGCTGCACCCATTAACTCGTCATTTAGCATTAGTCATATCTCCTAAAGCTATCCCTCCCCCCTCCCCCCACCCCACAATCGTCCCCAGAGTGTGATGTTCCCCTTCCTGTGTCCATGTGTTCTCACTGTTCAATTCCCACCTATGAGTGAGAATATGCGGTGTTTGGTTTTTTGTTCTTGCAACAGTTTACTGAGAATGATGATTTCCAATTTCATCCATGTCCCTACAAAGGACATAAACTCATCATTTTTTATGGCTGCATAGTATTCCACGGTATATATGTGTCACATTTTCTTAATCCAGTCTATCATTGTTGGACATTTGGGTTTAAGACCAGAAGGGTCAATTTCTATATTTATCCAAAAAAAACTATCTATGGGACTATTGGGTTGGTTTCAAATGATTACCACAATCAAGTTAATTAACACATCCATCACATCACATAGTTACCCTTTTTGTGTGTGTGTGTGTGTGTGTGTTGAAGACACTGAAGATCTACTTTCTTAGCAAATTTCAAGTATACAATACAATGTTATTAACTGTAATGGCCACACTATGCATTAGCTCCTCAGAGCTTATTCATCTTAGAATTGAAAGTTTATACCCTTTGACCAATATCTTCCTAGTTTCTCTACTCCCCAGCTCCTGGAAACCACCTTTCTAATCTCTGTTCCTATGAGTTTAACTTTTTTAGATTCCATGTATAAATTAGATCATGCAGTATTTGTATATCTGTGTCTGGCTTGTTTTACTTAGCATAATCTCCTCCAAGCTTATCCATGTTGTTGTAAATGTCACAATGTCTTTCTTTTTATGGCTGAATAATATTCTATTGCATGGATACCATATTTTCTTTATCCATTAATCTACTGACATACACTAAAAAGATCATTTCTATGTCTTGGCCATTATGAATAATGGCTGCAACGTATGTGCGGGTGCAGATATCTCTTCAGGATACTTATTTCCTTTCCTTTAGATATATACACAGAAATGGGATTGCTGTATCTTATGGTAGCTCTGTTTTTAATCTTTTAAGGAATCTCCACACTGTTTTTTATAATGGCTGTACCAATTCACATTACCACCAAGTGTACAAAGGCTCCCTTTTCTTCATACCCTTGCCGACACTTGTTATCTCTTATCTTTTTGATAGTAGCTGTTGTAAAACACATGAGGTTATATCATTGTGGTTTTGATTTGCATTTCCCTGATGATTAGTGATATTGATCTCCTATTAATAATACCTGCTGGCCATTTTCTCCTGCTTTTCAGACTTGACCTTGTTTGATATAATGCTACTAAATCCATGAGTCAGTTTTCTCTCATCATCTACTTTAGACCTTCAAATAGCATTAGACACAGTTAATCACTCTTCCTCAACTCTTCGTCAGTTGACTCCAGGACACTACAATCTCGGTTTCCCGCCTATCTTACCAATCACTGTTTCTCAGATCCCTGTGCTAATTCATCCTATTTTATCTGAGGCTACAGATCCTCAGTGCTCACTTCCTGGTCCTCCTCTCTCTAGCTCATTATCATGACCTCATATAGGTCCATGCCTTAAAAAGCCAACTATGACTCCCAAATTTATATCTTTAGTCAGATTCTCTCCAATTCCAAATGTATAAATCAAATTTCCACTTGACATCTATAATTTTATATATGCAAGACATACAAAACTGAACTCCTGATCTTCCTTTACCCCAAAATCTTTTCCATCCCCAACCATCCCCATCTGGAGTGATGGAGTGAAAACTCCATTAAACCAACTGCTCTAGCTATAAGCTTGTCATTTTCCTTAGCATTTCTCTCTGATTCCACATTCAGTCCTGTTGCCACTACCTTCAAAGTATACCCAGAATCTGACCACTTTGCACTGTTTTCCTGCCCTGATCTAGTCTGAACCACTATCATCTGTCACCTGAATTATTCCAATAGTCTCCTTGCTGTTCTCTCAGCTTCTGCCCTCAGCTAAGTAGCAAGAATAATCCCTTCAACCACAAACTAGATCATTTCACTCTTCTGCTTAAAACCCTCCAATAGCTACCCAGTTCACTCACAGTAAAGGCTGCAGTCTTTACAGGGGCTTATGATATGGCCCCACTTTCATCCCATACTTCTACCTCCTAATATTCCCCAGCCCACCCATTTCCGCACCCCAATCCAATGGTTCACTGGCTGTTTCTCAAACACTTCAGGTGTGCTCTCACCTAGGGCCTTTGTTCTAGCTGATGCTTCCCCTAGATGCTCTTCCCCAGGGTTGCCTAAGTCCCTACCCCCCCCTTTCAGACTTTATTCAAATCTTGCTTTTTCAGTGATCACCCAATTAATATTACAAACTGCCTACCCTCCACTCTACCTCTTAATCTTGGAACACTTTTAATTCCTTTTACCATGTTCTTTTTTTTTTTAATGTTATCACTGCCTACCCCCACTAAGTAAGCTCCAAAAAGACAGGAAATCCTGTATAATTTACTCACTAATGTACCTGAAGCACTAAAACAGTGCCTGGCTCAGAATAAGCACGGAAGGAAAAAAATGTTGAATAAAAGAAGGAATTGATAGCCATGAGGCTGATCAATCTAGTACCTTGGACTACCAAAGAAAAGAAAAATAGACTCTAAAAGGAGCTTCCCCCATATTTTTCTCACCTTTTCAGAAACATCTCTAATTGAGTGAAGAGAAGAAAATAGGGTACCTCCACAATTACATTATTCCAACTATTGAAACCAAATATAGCAATTAATCATCTCTCTTCAGTGCTTGTAGATTCATTGTGGAAATCTGATTTCCAGCTCATTTGATGAGCTTAGACATTTTAGCAAACCACCTTAGGTGGTGGCAGGACAGGTCAGAACAGGAGATAAAAATTTGGAGCCAGGCGCAGGGGCTCACGCCTGTAATCCCAGCACTTTGAGAGGTCAAGGCAGGCAGATCTCTTGAGAACAGGAGTTTGAGACTAGCCTGGCTAACATGGCAACACCCTGTCTCTACTAAAAATACAAAAATTAGCAAGGTGTGGTGGCACATGCCTGTAATCCCAGCTACTGAGGAGGCTGAAGCATGAGAATCTCTTGAACCTGGGAGATGAAGGTTGCAGTGAGCTGAGATCGCACTACTGCACTCCAACCTGGGCAACAGAGCGAGACACCACCTCAAAAAAAAAAGAAAAAGAAGAAAGAATACAGGAATTTGGTTTGGATGGATCAGGTGTAGCAAGAATGCTATGACAACCTTTTCATGGGGAAAACAGAATGTAGAGTTAGAAGTCTTATCAGTGACTTGGTACCATGAGAGATATGATGAGGGAAGAACAGGCTATATTTAGTTGCTAGAGTATTTGAAATTAGACATGATCTCAGGAAAGTCACATAATCTCCCAAGACCCCTGTTTCTACACCAGGAAAATTTAAAAATTAGACTAGAAAGTCTGTAAGGCTTCTAATAGCTCTGTAAGAACTAAGATTGGGCTCCATTAGGCCAGTGGAATAATGATAATACTGAACAAGTGAATTACCAATCCGTGCCACAGGTCGGTTCCTGGAATACAAATTGAGTGGATGTGAGCATGCGTGGGGTAATAACGGAGGTTTTGTGGATCAACATCTATGAAAGGGAAATGGCAGTACTAGAAAAAAGGAGAAGTTAAGCTGTGATGCAGGACTCGTGAAGGCTCAGCCATCCTCTTGGAGAACCGTGAAGATAGAATGACACTTCAATTGTGAATGGGAGTTCACTCATGATTTGGCTTTCTGTTTGTCTGTTATTGGTGTATAAGAATGCTTGTGATTTTTGTACATTGATTTTGTATCCTGAGACTTTGCTGAAGTTGCTTATCAGCTTAAGGAGATTTTGGGCTGAGATAATGGGGTTTTCTAGATATACAATCATGTCGTCTGCAAACAGGGACAATTTGACTTCCTCTTTTCCTAATTGAATACCCTTTATTTCCTTCTCCTGCCTCATTGCCCTGGCCAGAACTTCCAACACTGTGTTGAATAGGAGTGGTGAGAGAGGGCATCCCTGTCTTGTGCCAGTTTTCAAAGGGAATGCTTCCAGTTTTTGCCCATTCAGTATGATATTGGCTGTGGGTTTGTCATAGATAGCTCTTATTATTTTGAGATACGTCCCATCAATACCTAATTTATTGAGAGTTTTTAGCATGAAGCGTTGTTGAATTTTGTCAAAGGCCTTTTCTGCATCTATTGAGATAATCATGTGGTTTTTGTCTTTGGTTCTGTTTATATGCTGGATTACATTTATTGATTTGCATATATTGAACCAGCCTTGCATCCCAGGGATGAAGCCCACTTGATCATGGTGGATAAGCTTTTTGATGTGCTGCTGGATTCGGTTTGCCAGTATTTTATTGAGGATTTTTGCATCAATGTTCATCAAGGATATTGGTCTAAAATTCTCTTTTTTGGTTGTGTCTCTGCCCAGTTTTGGTATCAGGATGATGCTGGCCTCATAAAATGAGTTAGGGAGGATTCCCTCTTTTTCTATTGATTGGAATAGTTTCAGAAGGAATGGTACCAGTTCTTCCTTGTACCTCTGGTAGAATTCGACTGTGAATCCATCTGGTCCTGGACTCTTTTTGGTTGGTAAACTATTGATTATTGCCACAATTTCAGCTCCTGTTATTGGTCTATTCAGAGATTCAACTTCTTCCTGGTTTAGTCTTGGGAGAGTGTATGTGTCGAGGAATTTATCCATTTTTTCTAGATTTTCTAGTTTATTTGCGTAGAGTTGTTTATAGTATTCTCTGATGGTAGTTTGTATTTCTGTGGGATCAGTGGTGATATCCCCTTTACCATTTTTTATTGCATCTATTTGATTCTTCTCGGTTTTTTTCTTTATTAGTCTTGGTAGTGGTCTATCAATTTTGTTGCTCCTTTCAAAAAACCAGCTCCTGGATTCATTAATTTTTTGAAGGGTTTTTTGTGTCTCTATTTCCTTCAGTTCTGCTCTGATTTTAGTTATTTCTTGCCTTCTGCTAGCTTTTGAATGTGTTTGCTCTTGCTTTTCTAGTTCTTTTAATTGTGATGTTAGGGTGTCAATTTTGGATCTTTCCTGCTTTCTCTTGTGGGCATTTACTGCTATAAATTTCCCTCTACACACTGCTTTGAATGTGTCCCAGAGATTCTGGTATGTTGTGTCTTTGTTCTCGTTGGTTTCAAAAAACATCTTTATTTCTGCCTTCATTTCGTTATGTAACCAGTAGTCATTTACGAGCAGGTTGTTCAGTTTCCATGTAGTTGAGTGGTTTTGAGTGAGTTTCTTAATCCTGAGTTCTAGTTTGATTGCACTGTGGTCTGAGAGATAGTTCGTTATAATTTCTGTTCTTTTACATTTGCTGAGGAGTGCTTTACTTCCAACTATGTGGTCAATTTTGGAATAGGTGTTGTGTGGTGCTGAAAAAAATGTATATTTTGTTGATTTGGGGTGGAGAGTTCTGTAGATGTCTATTAGGTCTGCTTGGTGCAGAGCTGAGTTCAATTCCTGGGTATCCTTGTTAACTTTCTGTCTCGCTGATCTGTCTAATGTTGACAGTGGGGTGTTAAAGTCTCCCATTATTAATGTGTGGGAGTCTAAGTCTCTTTGTAGGTCACTTAGGGCTTGCTTTATGAATCTGAGTGCTCCTGTATTGGGTGCATATATATTTAGGTTAGTTAGCTCTTCTTGTTGAATTGATCCCTTTACCATTATGTAATGGTCTTCTTTGTCTCTTTTGATCTTTGTTGGTTTAAAGTCTGTTTTATCAGAGACTAGGATTAAAACCCCTGCCTTTTCTTGTTTTCCATTTGCTTGATAAAATACCTAGGAATCCAACTTACAAGGGATGTGAAGGACCTCTTCAAGGAGAACTACAAACCACTGCTCAAGGAAATAAAAGAGGATACAAACAAATGGAAGAACATTCCATGCTCATGGGTAGGAAGAATCAATATCGTGAAAATGGCCATACTGCCCAAGGTAATTTATAGATTCAATGCCATCCCTATTAAGCTACCAATGACTTTCTTCACAGAATTGGAAAAAACTACTTTAAAGTTCATATGGAACCAAAAAAGAGCCTGCATCACCAAGTCAATCCTAAGCCAAAAGAACAAAGCTGGAGGCATCACACTACCTGACTTCAAACTATACTACAAGGCTACAGTAACCAAAACAGCATGGTACTGGTACCAAAACAGAGATATAGATCAATGGAACAGAATAGAGTCCTCAGAAATAACGCCGCATATCTACAACTATCTGATCTTTGACAAACCTGAGAAAAACAAGCAATAGGGAAAGGATTCCCTATTTAATAAATGGTGCTGGGAAAAACTGGCTAGCCATATGTAGAAAGCTGAAACTGGATCCCTTCCTTACACCTTATACAAAAATCAATTCAAGATGGATTAAAGACTTAAACGTTAGACCTAAAACCATAAAAACCCTAGAAGAAAACCTAGGCATTACCATTCAGGACACAGGCATGGGCAAGGACTTCATGTCTAAAACACCAAAAGCAATGGCAACACAAGCCAAAATTGACAAATGGGGCCTAATTAAACTAAAGAGCTTCTGCACAGCAAAAGAAATTACCATCAGAGTGAACAGGCAACCTACAAAATGGGAGAAAATTTTCGCAACCTACTCATCTGACAAAGGGCTAATATCCAGAATCTACAATGAACTCAAACAAATTTACAAGAAAAAAACAAACAACCTCATCAAAAAGTGGGCAAAAGACATGAACAGACACTCCTCAAAAGAAGACATTTATGCAGCCAAAAAACACATGAAAAAATGCTCATCATCACTGGTCATCAGAGAAATGCAAATCAAAACCACAATGAGATACCATCTCACACCAGTTAGAATGGCAATCATTAAAAAGTCAGGAAACAACAGGTGCTGGAGAGGATGTGGAGAAATAGGAACACTTTTGCACTGTTGGTGGGACTGTAAACTAGTTCAACCATTGTGGAAGTCAGTGTGGCCATTCCTCAGGGATCTAGAACTAGAAATACCATTTGACCCGGCCATCCCATTACTGGGTATATACCCAAAGGACTATAAATCATGCTGCTATAAAGACACATGCACACGTATGTTTATTGCGGCACTATTCGCAATAGCAAAGACTTGGAACCAACCCAAATATCCAACAATGATAGACTGGATTAAGAAAATGTGGCACATATACACCATGGAATACTATGCATCCCTAAAAAATGATGAGTTCATGTCCTTTGTAGGGACATGGAGGAAGCTGGAAACCATCATTCTCAGCAAACTATCGCAAGAACAAAAAACCAAACACCGCATATTCTCACTCATAGGTGGGAATTGAACAATGAGAACACATGGACACAGGAAGGGGAACATCACTCTGGGGACTGTTGTGGGGTGGGGGAAGGGGCGAGGGATAGCATTGGGAGATACACCTAATGCTAGATGATGAGTTAGTGGGTGCAGCGCACCAGCATGGCACATGTATACATATGTAACTAACCTGCACGTTGTGCACATGTACCCTAAAACTTAAAGTATAATAATAAAAAAAAAGAATGACCCTTCAAAACTGTCTCGAATTGGAGCAAAAAAGCTGGGGATTTATATCCCCCTGACAGTCAGTCATCAGATGTGGTTCTCCTGGGAAGGAGGTGTGACCTTGGGTAAGGCAGGTCTCTTCCCCTGATGCAATCTTCATAGAAGGCTGATAGGTAAGGAGTGTCTGCCACAGCACTAACAGCAAGTGAAGGGGGTCAGAGTGGTGTCTCAGTAGTCACCATGGGCCGCTTGTGGACCTGCTAACCAGAGATCAAATTGGCCTCAAGTTCTGAAACAGTGTCCAACTTATCAGTCACGGTTAAATGACATCAGCTCTGATGATTACAGGCACAAAGGATAAGAAGCTAGACATGTTATTAAATTTTCAAAAAAAATCCATTTTCCAAGCTCTAAAATATATTAACATTAAAATAGGTATGGGATATATTGTTATATTATCTCTTAAGGTGATTACTTGAGGTAAGAAGTTGTCATAATGCATTGTGGTTTCTTCCACTCTGCATTAATCAAAGTCACCAGTGATCTCATTCTGAGCACTACTGCAGACGTTGTTGCCCAGCCACAACAATATCTACGAATGCAAATATAAACCTAAAGCCTTGATTACAGCTGAAATCATTTAAATGTAATCTACATCTATACACTCCATGGCAAAATCATTAGGGCATCACCCTAACTCATGTATGCTCACTCAGAAAATATTTTTTAACAATGTGGTATATGCCAAGCACTGCTGAAGGCCCAGGGGCTATAAACAAACATACATTTCATGGAGCTAAGTGGATTCCACTGTAGTCACACTAATAAGCCATGGTCATTTATACACAGCCAGAGCAGTGGAGACCTGGATACAGGGTGAACTCTATGCAGAGCTGAAACTGAGAAAATTTGTAATTTATCTTCCGGACTGTCATTATCCTGCCTACCTACCTCTGCACCAAAATACATTACATACATACCCAAGACTCTTATGTTCTTCAGACAGAAATTCCATGTACTGGATTCCAACTGTTTCCTCCACCTCCTTTCCATGACTCCTCCCTCATCAACATCCATAAGTTACCTCAGCTCATCACTTCCAGGAAAGACCCAATAAATTCATTGTCACCTAAGGCTTAAGAACTAACTGAAGCTTAATTTTGTTATCCCTCCTCAGAGACCATTGGTCCAACATGCAACATGAATGGGAGAATTTCAGGCACCAGTGACATGCTAATGCAAAAGAAATCTTCGTATCCCCAAATCTTACTAAATAGAGAATTCCTGCTCAGTCCAGGCAGAAAAATAATCCTGTCTGGTTCTCTGGCAAAAGCATTTTGATAAGATATGACTCGATAGCTTGACTAAAGATTAACATCTGGGGCTGGGCTCAGTGGCTCACGCCTGTAATCCCAGCACTTTGGGAGGCTGAGGCGGGTGGATCATGAGGTCAGGAGTTTGGACCAGCCTAGCAAATATGATGAAAACCCATCTCTACTGAAAATACAAAAATTAGCTGGGCGTGGTGGTGGGCACCTGTAATCTCAGCTACTCAGGAGGCTGAGGCAGGAGAATGGCTTGAACCTGAGAGGCAGAAGTTACAGTGAGCCGAGATCACTCCACAGCACTCCAGCCTGGGCCACAGAGTGAGACTCTGTCTCAAAAATAATAATAATAATAATAATATCTGGAAATTTGTAAAACTCTCAGAAGATTTATGTAGATTTGCTGTCTCTACTCTCTCAGATGTCCACCACTTTGCAATCCGGTGCTGTTTTCGGCTTTTACAATAATGGCTGCGTTGGAACTATTCTCATCAAAGTTACCCAATTCTTTATTGCTAAATCACTGGAGAATTTTCTGACTTCAGATTGACTTCTCTGTAACTCTTGACACTTTTGACCATTTTTTTCTTAAAACTCAGTGGCTTTCCTCATGTTTCTCCTACTTCTCTATTTCATCCTTCTCAGTATCCTTGTGGAATCTTCTTCTCTAGCCATCCCTTAAATGTCAGAGTTTTCTTCAGCTCTCATTTTACTCTAAAACCCTTCCTAGTATAAACTTAACCATTTCCTTTAACTATTATATACATATATATGCCAATAGTTCTCAAGTCTGTATTTCCCAGCCTAATCTCTTAGCTTCCTGCCCATATTTCCAACATCCTGCTGAACATTTCCACTATGATGTTCCACAGAGATCTCAAACTTAGCACACACAAAATTCTTCTCCTCTTCTATGTTCTTCCCAAGAAAATCAGCCACCTTCTTGAGATCTCAATTTCAAAAAATGGAATTTCTACCCACCAAATTGCCCAGGCCGAAAACATAAGAGTGTAATGATACTTTTCTTTCTGGTAGCCTCGTAATCTAATCAGGCACCAAACCCTACTGATTGTAGTTCCTTAGTATCTTTCCAAGCATCCGCTCATTTCTATGCTACTTCTTTTTCAATGCTACTTCTTTCACATCATTCATCTTTCTAGATTATTTTGTCAAATAGCAACATATTATCATGGTTTAGAGCACGGATTCTGGAGCCAGATTGAATGCAAATCCCAGCTCTGCCTCTCATTGACTTATGATCTTGGGCAACTACTTAATCTCTCTGTATCTTATCTATAAATCAAGATAATAAAAGGAAATAGCACCCCACCTCATAAGATTGCTGTGAGGATTAAATGGATTAACATATGTAAAGTGCTTGGGAGTATGCCTGGCTTATAGTGAGCACTCAGGAAGTGTGAACTGTTTATTAGCAGGAAGCAGCCACCTAGCTGGTTTCCCTTCCTCCAGCCTCACTCCTTCCCAATCTGTTCCCTAGCTGGCAGCAAAAGTGAACTTAAATAAAACTCAGTTCATGTCACTCCCTGGCTTTAAATATTCTGTGTCTCACTCACTCATACACCATTCCCAAGCTCTTCAAGACTGATGGTTCCCCTATGAGTTTCTACAACATCTTTTGCATACCTATATTATAGCACTTATCAGACTGAATTTTATTTGTCTGTTTACTTATTGATCTGTCCTGTAAGACTTTATAACACTCAAGGTTTTCTTTTTATTATTGGGTCTACTTATCTATATTGCCCAGCACACAACAGGTATTCAATAAAAGCTCAATGAATGAATACAGTCTATCACCTACTTTGATTCTCAACTAAGAAAAAGATGCAAAAACCTTGTACTCTTCCATGTGTAGTCAACCAACTGAAACCCAGAAACTATGGATAACAAAGCTTTTTGCATTAAAATCACCCACTAACTACATCAGCATTTTCTCCAGGTTTAGAGGATTTGTGTGGGGAATACTTACGAAAGTTCCGTTCTCTCATATATTATCTCAGGAATACATAATTAGAGCTAAAACTTGTCTGGATTTCTAATTAAAAATACTGATTTTTTCTTGTTGTTAAATTGATTTGGGATTTTTCTGTTAAATATGGAGCCAAAAGGGGCGAAATCTTGATGTGAACGTTGAAACTTAAATATCCCTTCATTTCTCCCAACAAAAGTAATAGTCAATACAGTAAAAAGAAGATGACTTACAAAACCAAGGTTATTCCCCAGTTCAAACATCTGGGCAGAAAATGCAATACATTTTTCCGTACTCAGGCAGCCCAAAATCATTTTGAATTGAGAGTAAGAAGGTATGACTTTAACTTTCTGGGCAAACTAACCAAATTTAAGGTAAAGGATATAAAAATTCAGTCCCCAACAAATTATCCAAAATATTAATACCTGTAAAGGGAAAGGGCAGGACATGCCTCTGAGATGCACCAGGACATCAAATATATATAGAGCCAGGAAAGAGTCCGCATGGTCAGAAAGTATATTTTGACCTTGAGTAGCAGATTATATATAGAGAGAGGGGGAGACGTGATTTCAGCTTTTGAAATGCTCTCCCATTAATGATAATAATAGCAATAATAATAATAGCTAACCTTAAATAGTGTTGACAATGTGCTAGGCAGGCCCTGTTCCAACCCTGACACATCAACTCATTTAATCTTAACAGGAAATCCATGCAATAGGGGTTTATACCAACTATTCCATTACAGTTGGGGGAACTCAGGCATGAAGAGTATAGTAACTTGCCCAAGGTTTCAGTTTGTGAGTGGCTGACACTGAACTCAGGCTCACTCTGTATGACACCATGCAAAATAGTCTCTCACTAAGCAATTTTGAGTCTCTTGACTAACATTCCCTTCAACAAATTGCAAGATCTCCTATTACATGGAGAGGTCGTGAATAGGATAACAGGGATATCATAATGGAGAAGATGAAAAAATAACAAGTAATAACACCAAAGAGTCAGGAGTGTTTTTGACATGAAAAGTTTGGGGAACTGGAGGAGCAGAGCAGGGCCTCGTCTGGTCCAGTAATATGGAAAGCCTTCTCATAGAAAGGAAGGTGATGGTGAACCCAGAAAGATGAGTAGGAATTTTTCTGTTATAAAGGGGGAAGATGAATTCATATGTGTGTGAGGAACTAGAAGAAATCTTATAAAGCAAGCTTGTCCAACCCATGGGCTGTGAGCTGCATGTGGCCTAGGATGGCTTTGAATGAGGCCCAACAAAATTCATAAACTTTCTTAAAACATTATGAGATTTATGCCCTGACTCATTTTTTTATTAGTTCATCAGCTATCGTTAGTGTTAGTGTATTTTATGTGTGGCTCATGACAATTCTTCTTCCAATATGGCCCGGGAAAGCCAAAAGATTGGACACACCTGTAAAAGCTGGAGCAGAGAGAACAAAGTAAATAACAGATGAGGCTGCTGACAGAATTGGCCATATTAAAGCTCTTGAGCATGGTGGGAAAGGCAATGAAAAGCCACTGGAGAGTTTTCTGCAAAGGAAATCTTCTAATTGCTGCAGTATGGTGATTGTATTGGAGAACAGCAAGAGACTAAATAGGAAGGAAACTATTTCAGTATTCTATGCATGAGTGCTAGTGTGCAATGGTGGGGATGGAGAGAACTAGATATATCTGAGAAACATTTAAGAGATAGGTTTCACAGGACTTAGCAATGTACTGGGTGTGGTGGATAAGAAAGACAAACCAAGGGTGACATTCAAGAGGCAGCATAAAGAGGGCAATGGAGTATCCAAGACAATGAGCCTTTGCCATCAGCATCTGATGGAAAATGACAAATGAAAATATAAAATGTGCTAATGTTTTGCAGCCAATACACAATCAAGTCAATGCAGAAGAGAACAGATTGGTAGAGCTATCAGAAAAATATTAACATTTGAGACGCAGAACATTAAAAGATTAAAAACAGAGAAACAACTGCTGAAATTGTGAGTATATGCACACAGGAAGTATCTAAACATTTCTCAGTATTCAGAGAGGGTAGCACAGAAAAGCAGGAATTCCAGTATTTAAATGCAGAATGTGAATAAAAGCCAGTACTAATGAGTCTTACAGAGGCATCTCTTTTAGCTTAACAATGTTTTTAAACATGGAAGAGGGAGTTAGAATAAATGAGCAAGGATCAGCAACTAATCAGAAAAGAATCAAGTCATCCACCCCTTTGCAATTCTGAAAATGAAGAATCAGGATCTATCAGTGGCATCATCAAAATGAGCATTATAAAGAATCTACCTTTTAAAGGAAATGAATTCAGGATAGAAGATTGTCAAGATTTTTTTCCTATAATTCACTATTGCCCTTAAGAACCTGATTTTCTGGGATTTTAAATAGAGGCTCTAAATGGCTTTTGTAGGAACTTTTACCTACTAAAATGTCAATTACTTAAAATTACTTTAAAGATGCCATTGAACTCAATGATGAATATCAAGTGTATATTCACATAAAAATGTCTTTAAAAATTTTTTTAAACCGAGTTTCTATCTCTCTATCACCCAGGCTGGAGTGAAGTGGCAAGATCACAGCTCATTGTAACCTTGACCTCCCAGGCTCCAGTAGTCCTCCCACCTCAGCCTCCCAAAGTGCTGGGATTACAGGTATGAGCCACTGTGGCCAGCCAAAAACGTCTTAAATATCCTCTAGAGGTAGGACAAAGGTAGAAAAGCAGAGACCTATTAAGAGACCAAAATATTATAAATATTTTAAATAGACAAAGTTGTGATTCTTATGATTCTCATATAAGGGAAGCTGTATTACCTATAGAGATAATTGTCTATTAATATTGTATTCATTAAATATTTAGTCACTCTTTCTCTATCTTTATTTTTCAAAGGCTTATGTTGCTGCCAATCAGAACTTCTGGTGACCATGAATAAACACACTGAGTTACCATAACTCCATACAAAAGCAAAGAAATTGCTTGGCATTTTTGTCAGCTTGTGCAAGTTTACAAATGTTCAGTTTCCATGAGGCTCTCTAACATATTGAAAGTAGATTAAAAATTTCTGTTACTGACTTCAAGGACCCCAACTGGGACATGCAGTAATAAACTTGGTACAAACATTATCCATTAACTATGTTACTGTGCAGTGGATATAAGCAGTGATGAACTTCCCTAGGAGACAATGGGGAAAGGAGCTCCCGTGTGGTTTTCCAAAAATGATGTGACATTCTGCAAATATTGAAGAGAAAAATCTGCATTACAGCACACTAGGGTATCACTAAATAATATATGAGCTAATAATTTTTAATTGGTAATTTGTATAGTTACCTGTCAGAAGAAAGTAGCACTTTCTTGAGCAATTAATACCATTGCTCCATTCTTCCAACTACCTAAATGAAAAAAAGTCTGGCATTTTAAAATGCTGTATTCTTGTGTAACGTTGTTTTCTTTAATGTCTCTATCATTATAGAGACAGTAGAGTCATGGGTTTTGAAAAGCTTGTTTGAAATTTGTCTAACAGGAAATGATCCTGATAATTCAGAACAATAGAAATAAATTTACCTGGAATACAAGGTTGCCTAGATTTGTCATCACAGCTGCCTCATTTTTCCCTTTGTAAATTAAATTGTTTCTTCACCTTGGATGACGGTATGGCACCATGGTGTGGTTCTAGAAGAACCAGAGCAATTGTTTCCAGTTCAAGTTCTGTTATCAGATAGCTGTATTACCTTAAACAAGACACTGAAGCTCACTTGGCTTTAGTCTTCTCATCCATTAAATGTAACATCAACTGATTGCTATATTCCTTTTAATTCGAAAGTACTAACTATGCTTACTCAGATAGACAAAAAGTTATTCAAATTGTAGCAATTAAGCATATTTAAAAGCAAATCTTGGCCAGGCGTGGTGGCTCATGCCTGTAATCCCAGCACTTTGGGAGGCCAAGGCAGGCAGATCACCAGAAGTCAGGAGTTCAAGACCAGCGTGGTCAACATGGTGAAACCCCATATCTACTAAAAATACAGAAATTAGCTGGGAGTGGTGGCACATGCCTGTAATCCCAGCTGCTTGGGAGGCTGAGGCAGGAGAATCGCTTGAACCCAGGAGGTGGAGGTTGCAGTGAGCCGAGGTTGTGCCACTGCACTACAGCCTGGGCAACAGAGTGAGACTCTGTCTCAAAGAAAAAAAAAACAAAAAAAAACAAAAAACAAATCTCATCCTGAATGTCACCTCAGGAACTCAGATATTTTAGTCTCCCATCATTCACCACTTTTTATCCAAGCCTGTATTTCTCCTACAAGAATTATATTCCATGTATATTCCATGAAGATGGGCTCACTGGGTGTTTTATAAATAAAAAGAGTAGTGACTAGTGTTCTGGGCCCAAAATTCAGGTAAACAATTGCATTTCCACTTGGAATACAAATACTTCATAACTTCAGAATTCATTACCTCTTGTACCTAGTACATGTTTACTCTGTCAGTTACAACCTTTTGAAAATTTAATTCAAAAATTTTCTGTTAGAACTGAAATTCATGGACTTTCCGTGTCTTTGGATTAATTTTACTCAAACTTTAGAAAGTCTTTTTACTCTTTTTAGATATCTCTACGAATGCAAAAACATAAATCTGTTTTATAGGCAATATTCTACAAGAGCTCAAAGTGTCAATAGGCTGAACCTAGGACTACATTACATATCACTTACATACCATTAATTTCAAATTCTTGAGTGGTCATCTGCTAGCACTGTCTCAAAAAAATGAATTTACTGTTGATAAAACTATAATTGAACTTAGAAAATAGAGCATTAAAAATATGACTCCTAAACAAAGGTCTTGATAATCTGAAAGTAAGATGACAGCAACTTAAAAGTCATAACCCTCTCTGGGGCTTCTCATGTTGTAATATAGTCTCTGACGTCCTTTCTCTCTCTTTCTCTCTCTGTCTCTCCTACTGATGAAGAGTAATGACCTTAGATGACTAAAGGAAACAGGGCACTGCCTCTTTTTCTGATGATCCAAAGTTAAATCTCTGTTATTTACTTCCCCAGCAGGCTCAACTGTCCCTCTTGGCCAGCCAAGCTTGGAGATCAGCACCTGTTTTCATAGGAATCAGTTCCTGTGATGAGAAAAAATTTGGATCCCTAGTGAGATGCTTCTTCCTGATGAAATACATGTCTTTTATTTAGCTTTTTCATTCTGATCCCAGATACCCAGACCTTGCCTGGGTTCCAATTGCTTGGATCTGAAACCTATTTTTATACCCCTGCTTCTTAAATACATAGAGTAACTATCTCTAGAATATAAGAATTAAACAAACAAACAAACAAAAATATGTATAGCCATGGGATAAATGTGATGCAAGTGCCTGGAATATCAATCTTTGTCTTGGTAGCAATATGAAATATTTTATTTAAATAAACATGGATGCATAAAGTATAGTATACTGAAAAATATAAATATGTTTGAAAAATTAAGCTTTAGACTTCAATGTATTTCATTGTTGTATCAAGCAAGTTTCTCTGCTGGTGTTTGTTGATTCACTTCTATCAGGAATACTTTAGTAGAAATCTTGGAGGAGAAAATGACAATATATTAGCGCCCCCTTCTACTATGTTTCAATAATTCTTTGGGGACACCACTGGCATTATGTCGTAATGATTTGATTGCATGCCAGCCCCCTTCACTTTGCTGGCTGAAGACAGAAAAAGTCAAAGTCCCTGACAGCAAATTCCCAAGTGACAAAATGAATTGCTGATATTTACAAAATAGATTCAATTTAAGCTAATGTAAGTGTCATTTTTACTAAACCAGCTCACTTTGACATCATGTAGAATTATGAAATGCAATTTATATACATTGCAAAAGACTGTACTGTCTTCTTTATAATGATCTGGTCCTATCAGACAATATATTAAAATTTCTTTAAGCCCACGAATTTGAGATCAGCCTGAGTAACATAGTGAGACCCTAACTCTGCAAAAAATTTTTAAAATTAGCCAGGTGTGGTGGTGCATGCCTGTGGTCCCACTTACTCAGGAGGCGGAGAATGACAAAGTGAGACACCATCTGAAAAATGAAAAGTTTTAAATAATGTGGTTTTAAATAATGCTGACATTACGGAAATTACGGATTCTTAAAAACAGAAAATTATTTTAGAAAAGCAAGCATAAATGTAAAATCAAAATTATTTAGGCAAGCACATGCCATTGATAATGATTAAGTTCACAAAAATCTTTGGTTTGTTTTCTAGTTCAAAAAATCACTCTGAAGGAAGATACTGAAATTCTTTACTGAGAGTCTATAAAAAATAAAATATTAGTTTACATTGTACCATTAGGAGAAAAAAATTTTCCATATCCAAATTGAAACAATTTTAAATATGTGAACCATAGCATGCAAATTGGAGCTGGGTAGTCCAATGATAGCCTCTTATTTAAGCAGGTATTTTGCCCTTCCAATTGACTCATTTTTGATATAAGTAATCAACGCCTCAGTTAAAGGAAGGATTGTCCCATAAGAGAATCTGACCTGCTGCTACTTCTTTCTACTTAGTGCAGAACTATAGGAAATGCAAGTTAGATATAAGAAAAAGCTTTTGGAGAGTAGCCATTATTGGGCACTAAAACATGTGACTAAATGGCAATTAAGCCCTCTCCAAGCCATAGTGTTTAAGTTCTTATCGAGTTACAGGAGAAGGGCTGGGATTTGTGGGGTTTCAAGTCCAACCAAGACCTATAATGTAATCATGTTTTGTTTTTATGTATTAGCATTTTCTTAAACTTACACATGTTCTCAGCGGACGCTGGCTAAATGTTCCCAAGCTGCTTCCATATTATCTCTCTCTATTATAACAATGACACTTTGGCACAGCGTATTTGCCAGTGGGTATTTGACGTCTACATAATCTGGGTCACATTCTGCTTTTTACTCTCCTGTATTCTGATTCTTTAAGGCCCAAACAACTATATTTAGTTTATGGTGAGATAACTAATGCTCATTTTCATGGCTACTCTTGGGGATTTCGGGAACTTCATCTGCTGTTTATCATCATTTTAGTGATGCCAGATTTATTTTGTGCAGGTGTCAAGGTAAAAGTTAACAAATAACCCAGAGTATTCTTACTTACTTGAAAAGCTGCAACTGGCACACTACTGACTCTGAATGTCACATTCAACATTTCACCTTTAGGGGATTCTCAGTTGGGATGATTTGGATTTATTTGAATAAGTTCAAATCATCCCAACTTAGAATCCCCTAAAGCTGAAAAGTAACATTAACAGAAATTCTTTTTACACCTACACTGAAAAGGTACAATCAATGTATCAAGCTCATCAGTTTGTCATCATGTATTTGGAACATCCTATCCCCCTAGAAAGAACACAGTGATGACCTTATCAATTTTTTCACTAGCCTAATTGGAGCACAGGAAGACAGAAGTAAAGTGAAGAAGGAAAGGTAATAATATCCTTATGGAACAAAACTGGTAGACAGAAAGTATGTGTTTTTTTTTTCACACACAGTTTCTCAACTGCTAACATTTTTCCCTTTCTTGTTGGACCTATTTAAAACAGAAATTCAGTGTTACTAAAGCAGAGAAAGTACAAGTCAATTTGGCACCTGGCGGAAAGTTTTCAAAGTAAAATGCCAAGGATATCAAGAACTAGTTTTTCAAAAATTGCATAAGATGCTAGCAGCAATTGGCATAAAGTATACTGCACTGGGAATACCTCTGTATAGTTTAAAGCTAAAAATGTACTCTTTACAAGTTTCCTTACATCTATACTGAGTCATTCAATGAGAAACTTATTAAACAGTCTAGAAGCAATATTTCGTAAAAGAAAAAGAGTGTGGGCCTATCTCTTCTTTCAAGGGCCCTCGATGTGGGAAGTAAGTTTATAATACCAGAAGTGTCCCACTGTATCTTTTCAGAAAGCTGACCTTGGTAACAGTTTGCATCACTAATTCCATAAAGTAAAGAAGCAGGCTGCTTTACTTCACAATGTATACTGTGAGTAAAATCACATAGTTAAGACAAAGTTAACAAAAATAATTACCAGGATTTTCATAACCTACAAACCTTGCCATTTGCAATAATCATGACTTCCAATCCAGTTGGTTTATCAAAAATGTCTTTTCCAATTTTTAGATCTTTCCTAGCTGGCAACTGGCGGTCTTTTTCTTCCATTATGTGGAAATTTCCAAACGGTGGTGGCCAGTTTTTTAACCAGTGCATAGCTGCCTCATTATTCTGTTCACTAATGCAAGAAGATTTGTTGACCAGATGTCTCTTCCTAGCTGCCAAAGGTGTACACTGGTCCTCAGGATGAGCCTAATAAAATTAAGTCTAGCAAGTGAGTCATCCATTAATACACTCCCAAGTCATGGTAGTGCACCCCAGAGTAAAATGCAAGAAGTTAAATGTTTTCACAGTGTTTGTAACATGGTAAACAAAGAATGATGGATTGGAGTGGTAAAGAAAGAGAAAAGAGTAACAGCAAACAGAACCAAAAATACTAAAACATATGTCAAAGTGACAAATCATAGAAATAAGTGCAAACATAGAAAATGCATAACATTGTCTTTGTTCTAGCCATAGAATTTCTGCCAGTGAATAAAGTGATTCTTTGAAGCATTCTGTGTGCATCATAGTAAGGCTCCTTCCACCCTTGAATATATGAGTTCAGGTATTGAGAGGGGCCTGAGCTTATGATGATCTCTTAAAATGGAAGTAAAAACAGACGTTTGCCTCATAAACAAGTGGGTTTTTTAACCATTAGATTTTCACCAACTGAAGCCCTTAAAATTAAAATTAATAGGATAGCTGCAGTTCAACCTAGCAAGCAGAAAAGAAGCAAGAAATGTAAAAGTAATAGAAAGAGGAGGAGGGGCAATCAAATATTATGTCTAGGCTAAGATTTGACCAAAGGGGAGAGCAAGACCAGCTCCAGAATCTGTGGAATCCAGTGTAAAATAAAAATTCAAAGCCCCTTATCCAATAACTAGTAAGACTCAAGATGGCAAGAGTAGAGCATTAAAGCAAGTGAGGAGCCCTTCTAAGTGCAGCACCTTATGCCACTGCACACAGGCGAAGCCCTAGAAGAGGGCATCCTCGGTGTACACATGGCATATGTACAGGCTCGGAATCCAAAAAGAGTGAATGGAAGGAAAGAAGAATACCCCTGACAGGGAAGAATCTCAACCCCGTAGCAGATGGCAAGGAGTAACAAGATTCCAGAGGACATGAGAAAGCACACAAGGAGGTTGGTATGGCCATAACTTCATAGTTGCTGAAACTAGATGATGAGACTCAGTGGATCAGAGAAAGACAGTTTGTAACTCACAGCACAGCAGATATTGGGACTGTCAGCATGGTAGCACCCATTCCTCTGCCCTCAAGGTCCCCGGTGTATTAGTTCATTTTATACTACTATAATAAAATGTCTGAGACTGAATAATTTTTTTAAAAAAATATTTCTCACAGTTCTGGAGGCTGGGAAGTCCAAGAACATGGCATCAATATTTCCTTGGCATCTAGTGAGGACCTCCTTGCTGCAACATAACATGGCAGATGATATCACAGGATAAGAGGACAAGAGCCTGCCAGCTCAGGCCTCTCTTTCTCTTGTTCTGAAGCTACCATTCTCATTATGGGGCCTCCACTCTGATCACCTTATGTAATCCTAATTACCTCCCAAAGGCCCCACTTCCAAATACCATCAACATATGAATTTGGGGATTAATTTTCTAACATGTGAATTTTGAAAGACAAATTGAAACCATAGCACCCAGAGTGATGGAAAGGGCCCAGATCTCAGCTGTACATGCAGTGGGTTGCACTGCAGTTGAGTAACTCAGAGGTAATGGCACAGCCAACTTTTATGGTAAGCAGTAAACAAGCCAGTCCCCCACCCCAGGTAGGGGGCAATCATATGACAGTCATGGCACGGATGTCACCCTCAACTAGCTACAGAAATGGCTAAGGATCAGAGCCATTTATCAGAGACTTAGGCCTTGTATGTAGCATATTCAGCAAAGATGTGCACTTGGGACCTTGGTGGACTGCCTCACCCAACACAAAGTAAGGGGACTGTTAAGTGCCCTTGAAAGAAGGTCTCTTGAGTGGAATGAATTGTGTCTCCAAAAAAGATGTGCAGAGGTCCTAACCTCTGGTATTTGTGAATATGACTTATTTGAAATCAGATCTTTGCAGATATCATCAAGTGGAGATCATACTGAATTAAGATAAGCCCTTACCCAATGACGAGTATCCTTATAAGAGGAGAGTTTAGACACAGACACAAACACATATTATATGACGATAAATACAGATATTAGAGTGATATAACTATAAATCAACAAACACTAAGGCTTGCTGGCAAATGCCAAAAGCTAGGAGAGGTAGTGAACACATTCTCGCTATATTAGCTTGAGCTGTCATGACAAAAATCATAGATAAGGTGGCTTAAACAACAAAAATTTATTTTCTCACAGTTCTAGAGGTGAGGAAGTCCAAGATGAAGGTGCCAGAAAATTCAGTTTCTGCTTAAGGGTCTTTTCCTGACTTGTAGAAAGCCACCTTCTCACAGTGTCATCACGTGGCCTTCCTTCTGCATGCATGCACACACACACGCACGCGGGCACAAACACATGCTCAGAGAGAAAGAGAAGGAAATCAATGTTTTTCTCTTAAAAGGCCACTTGTACTATTGGATGTGGTCCCCACCCTTGTTACCTCATTTAACTATAATTATCTCCTGAAGGCCCTATCTCCAAACACAGTCACATTGGCAATTAGGGTTTCAAGATATGAATTTTGGAAAGGGACAAAATTCAGCCCGTGGCATTCCCTTGGCACTTCTAGAAGAAACCAGTCCTGCCAACACTTTGATTTTAGACTTCTAGCCTTCCTTCAGAACTGTGAAATGATAAATGTTTACTGTTTTAAGCCACAGTTTCTGGTACTTTGTTACAGTAGCCGTAGGAATCAAATATGGAATTTGGTACTGGAAAGTGGAGTACTGCTGAAACAAATGTCTAAGAATGTGAAAGTGGTCTTGAAATTGGGTAATGGCTAGAAGCTGGAAAAGTTTTGAAGGACATGATAGAAAAAGCCTAGATTTTCTTGGACGAGTATGTTGCTACAAACTTGAATGCTAAAGGTGCTTTTGGCAAGAACTCAGATGGGTATGAGGGGCATGTTATTGGACACTGAAAGAAAGGAATCTCTGTTACAACGTGGCAGAGAGATTGCCTTCATTTTGATCTATTGTTGGGTGGGAAGTAGAAATTTTAAGTGCTAAAATTGGTTATTTCCCAAGGCAATTTCCAAGCAAAGTGTGGAAAGTGTGGCCTGATTTCTCCTTGCTGCTTATACTAACATGTAAGAGAAAAGAATAGGCTGGGTGCGGTGGCTCACAACTGTAATCCCAGCACGTTGGGAGGCTGAGGTGGGTGGATCATTTGAGGTCAAGAGTTTGAGACCAGCCTGGCTAACATGGTGAAACCCTGTCTCTACTAAAAATACAAAAATGAGCCAGGCATGTTGGCCCGCACCTGTAGTCCCAGCTACCCAGAAGGCTAAGGCAGGAGAAATGCTTGAACCCAGGAGGCAGAGGTTGCAGTGAGTTGAGGTTGCACCACTGCACTCCAGCCTGGGTGACAGAGCGAGACTCCATCTCCAAAAAAAAAAAAAAAAGGGAAAAAATGAGTAAAATGAGGAAGGAATTATTAAGCAAAAAAGAACCATACTTGAACATTTGAAAAATTCTCAGCTCATCCATATTGCAGAAAATGAGAAAGCATGCTCTGGATAAAACACCAAGGTTATGGCTGGATGCACTTTTGCTGGAGAGATGAGGCATGTGACTCATCTTAGATCCATTCAACCACCTCTGCAGAAATACTGCAGGCTTGGACTGCAGAGGACAGAGACAGTGCAAAATGAAGAAAGGCTGTGAGACTTCTGGGATTCTGCAGGTAAGAAACAGGCTAATAGAGATACCCAGCTATAAATATGTTATTTTTCAAGAAAAGGGGAGAATTGTACCCCAAGTGTGGCTTGAGGCTAGTGGGGCGGCTGCTGTCACCGCTGGCCCAGGTGACATAGGCCCAGAAGGGGCAGGGCTTTGGGGTGGGGCTATCATTAAGAGAAGAGAGGGCAGGGCTACCAAAGGAGCAGAGCATCAAGCCACACAGAATTGTTTCCAGAAAGGGCAGGGCTCTGGGATGGGACTATCATCAAGAGAAGAGAGGGCAGAGCTACCTAAGGAGCAGAGCATCAAGCCATACAGAATTGTTCTCATGCCTGGAAAACTAATGGAATTGGCCCTGTTAGGTTGCAATCTTTCTTTGGGCCAGTAACCCCTTCATTCCCTTTTATTTTTTCCCTTTTTGGATGAAAATGTCTATCCTATACCTATCATACCATTGTATTTTGGAAGCAAGTCACTTGTTTTCTAGGTTTTACAGGTCCACAAATGGAGAGGAATTTTGCCCCAGGATAGAATATACCCAGAGTCTCATCCATACCTTATTTACATAATTCAAAGGATGAGATTTGGGACTTTTTCAGCTGATTATTTTGGGATAAAATTTTAGACTTAGATTTAATGCTGGAATAGATTATGACGTTGGGGGATGCTGGAATGGGATGCCAGGTTGCAACTGAAGTGGACTTTGGAGTGATGACTTTGCAAGCCAAAGAACACCAAGTATTGCCAGCAACTGCCAAAGAATGGAACAGATTCTCCCTCAGTGCCTCCGGAAGGAATCAATCCTGCTAACAGCTTGATTTTGGTCTTCTAACCTCAACAGCTGTGATACAATAAATTTCTGTTGTTTCAAGGCTTCCAGTTTCTGGTACTTTGTTATGGCAGCCCTAGGAAATTAATATAATTTTCTTCAATATACTCAGAAGAAGATAATAATTATTTTCCTAGTATATTGAGATGGAGAATCTTATGTTAAACTTTCTGATTACAACATTCTTACAACCCTAACATGAGTGTTTATTAGAATTCAGTTTGCCTATTTCTTCTAGAACACCCTAACCTTAATTGGTGAGTGTCTTTGTACCCTATGGATTGAATGTTTCAAGAGAAATTTGGAGCTGTGGCCAAGATCTCTTCATATCCAAATAACGGAAGGATGAGAACAATTTAGCATCTTTCACTGGTTAGGAATACTCTTGAAGGCAAGAGAAGCTCATTAGATATGTCTCCTTCTTTGAAATAAAGGAGTTAAAAAGCACAAAGGATCAGAGCACTAGATTGTATTTAAAGTACACACTAAGTAGCCAGCCTGTTTATCCTACATTTTCTTTTTTGTAAACTGCCACCCACATTGACAGCCTCAAATAATAGAGTTAGACCCTGTTGCCATCTTTCTATCACATTTTATCAACCTGACCACATTGGATGGAGCTAAGGTTTGGACCTCTCACCTATGAAACAAATTCTCTCTCAGGATTCTAAACTAAGACATACTGAAACAGGCCCAATAATCCCATAGACAGTTGTTTTTGGATAAACATAGAAATTTACCCTTCTGCTGTTAAAGCTTGAAATTTGTATTTGCTTTATGGGTTCCTTCCTCAAGAAAGGACCTTCAGGCCTCTCAAAAAAGTATCAAAAAACTGAAACTCACCAGATGCCTCCTTGCCTCCCCCTAGTTCTTGTCTTCTTACACATTGTTACATTTCTTCATAAACCCCTAGTTTTAGTCAGTCAGGGAAATGGATTTGAGACTGAGCTCCCATCTCTTTGGCTGCAGCACCCGATTAAAGTCTTCTTCCTTGGCAATACACATCATCTCAGTGACTGGCTTTCTGTGTGGCAAGCAGCAGGACCTAGACCGAAACCTATATCAACTGGGAAACAGTTGGAAATAGCCTCAGGTCTAGATGTTCCCACAAACTTAAAAGCGGGAGCAATGTATACTGATGACCAATGAGATTACACCTATGGCAAAAGGAAGGAGACTTGTGAACATGGAGGAGTTGAATAGGCAAGTTCCTTGTTTTCTGCTGGCACTCCTGCCCCCATGTCTGATTGTTCTTAATGTTCGGTTGTAGTTTCTGCCTTTGTAAACTGCAACGCACACTGACAGTCTCAGATAATAGAGTCAGAACCTTTCTATGAAATACCTGTTTCTTTATAATAAACACACTTACACTATTCTGTGTAGAATTTCAATTTATTTTAATCGGATATCTCATTTCCTTGATCTATAGATATGTTTCCCTAATGCAATTCAAGAAAGTATGGAATGATGTTGTTGTTTTTTTGTTTGTTTTTGAGATAGAGTTTCAGTCTTGTTGCCCAGGCTGGAGCATAATGGTGTGGTCTTGGCTCACCACAACCTCTGCCTCCCAGGTTCAAGCGATTCTCCTACCTCAGCCTCCTGAGTAGCTGGGATGCACCACTATGCCCAGCTAATTTTGTATTTTTAGTAGAGGTGGGATTTCTCAGTGTTGGTCAGGCTGGTCTCAAACTCCTGACCTCAGGTGATCCACCCACCTCAGCCTCCCAAAGTGCTGGTATTATAGGCGTTAGCCACCGGAGCTGCCCAGAATGATGATGGTTTTAAGAAATGACTCCTCAAAAGGAGCACCACTATAAATGGCTTTCTAGTGGTCCCTCTACTCTTGGCCACTCTGAGGCCCTTAGACTCATCAGAAGTCTAAATTAAACACCAAGAATAAGGAAATGTTCTAGTGTTAGAACTTGAAAGATGAGATGAGACACAAAGTAGAAACCCAGGACTCAGAAATTCATAATTCTATTGTCTACTGGAGTAAGAACAATTTGAAATAAATTAAAAGTAAAGTAAAATTCATGATTTTCTGTTTTAACCAAGAATCCATTCATTTCCTTGCTTCTGGTCCCATAATATTTATAAGCATACAGTTCTCTTGGAAATTTGAGCCCTGGGTGGGATCAGTTCAGAGGGGCATAATATCTGTCTGCTTCATCACTCTTTCAGCAGAAACAATGTTTACTTTCTGCTTTTTTTCCTAGAAAGAGAAAAATAAACCCTTCATAAGAATTCTCTTTAGTTTTTTATGTAAGATGTTTGCTGAACACAGCATAAATTCTGTTTTCTTTCTTTCTTTTTTTTTTTTTTTGAGATGGAGTGTCACTTTGTCGCCCAGGCTGGAGTGCAGTGGCACGATCTCAGCTCACAATCTCCACCTCCCAGGTTGAAGCAATTCTCCTGCCTCAGCCTCCCCAGTCTCTGGGACTACAGGCACGTGCCACCTTGCTCTGGCTAATTGTTGCATTTTTAGTAGAGATGGGGTTTCACCATGTTGGCCAGGCTGGTGTCAAACTCCTGACCTCAGGCAATCCACCCGCCTTGGCCTCCCAAAACTCTGGGATTACAGGCATGAGCCACCACACCTGGCCTATTCTGTTTTTCAAGGAGAACCCCATCCAGAAATGTTAGGAAATAAATATGCATAAATGCTTTTCCACAATGAGAGCCACAGAACAAACCTGAAAATCAAATAGTTCTATGGATCTCTACATTTGAGTCTTTGCAGTGTAAAAGCTCTAAATAAAACAAATAACTTTTTCACATCAAATCTGTATTCATCAGCCACATGCAATTAATAGTATTATTTGACATTCTCCTGCTGTAGCTCCATCTTATGAGAAGGGCATTCATTTATCAGCTGCTTTATCAGAATAAGAGAGAGGAAAGAACCAAAGTAGAGAAATGTTTACTTACCCTCACATACCATGGCTTTTGACTCTCCGAATCAAAACCATCATCCAAATAACCATACTAAAGAGTCCACTTGAAGGAAAAAAAAAAAAAGAAACAAAAAGAAAGAGGCTTTGAGAATAAACAGTAAGTTTGTATTAAATATTTACTTTATAAAATTAGCATAAACATGAAATTGCAAAATACTATGATACTTTTGAGATAAAAGAAGATCAATTACAGATAGTAAAGATAGAATACCTGGCCTTTTACATTTTTTTCCTAATACATCAAATTAATGCATCTTTCAAATCAAATTATGTCTGTGAGTTCCACTGTTTAACTGTTGTTCTGAAAATATAAATCCTACTGGAATGAAATAAAAGTAGGTTGGAAAATTTCAATTTCTCAAATGGTGAAAAAGAAAATAGCAGTGGAATGTAAATGAAAATTAAGAACCCACAACTCTTAATGCAGGATAACATTTAAAATTTAACTAATCCCCAAATAGCTTTCAGAGTCATCTGACCTAAATATATTAGAACGACAGCACCTGATCTTACATTAAAATGCATTACCAAAATCCTGATATTTTGAAAAGAAAAAAAGAGATTGATATTTATCCCTTACAGTTCACACAAAGTTCATAATAATCATGGTGGTATGTGAAACATCCCTAAAGAATTAATTGTCCTTTATATTGTAGTTTGGATTTCAATGATCTTGACATGAGCATAAATCAGTCACGAGCAAATGTTATGTGCTATCAAATGCTCATTTCAGATTCTTCATCTATTTTAAGAAGTCAGTTTTTTAAAATCGCAATCTCATTTTTGTTAAATTAAACCCTCTGAAAAGGAATGGCAAGTCTCTATACATACCATTTTCTTTATGCTCTATGAAGGCTACAGAATAAAGTTAATTCTATTTCTACAGTCAGCAAATATCAAATGAGATTTTCTGTTGTTCTTTTCTTATAATGAATTTTAATCTTTCCTGCTTCTGTTAGAATCATGAAAGAATATGAATACCTCTTTTATGTCATTTCTGTAAAACCAAAAGTAAAGAGGCAGGCTAAGAAGGCTGAGAACCCAGGAGGTCTATGGCATTGGTGTTCCACTGTGGTCACAGCAGTTGTCTGCCTACTCCCTTCACTGCCACCCCTAAAGGCTAAGTGACAGCAACCTTGTGAATGAGGGTCTCTTTCATTTCCTTTACCCCTTTTCAGAATAAATCAAATTCTAGCAACTTATGCCCAGGATAGTTATTTTGGCTGAAATAGTCTACAGCTTACTGAGGACATGCTTTTTTTTTTTTTCTGAGACAGAGTCTCACTCCATCACCCAGGCTGGAGTGCAGTGGTGTGATCTCGGCTCATTGCAACATCTGCCTCCTGGGTTCAAGCAATTGTCTTGTCTCAGCCTCCCAAGTAGCTGGGGTTACACGTGCATGCCACCACACCCAACTAATTTTTGTGTTTTTAGTAGAGACGAGGTTTCACCTTATTGGTCAGGCTGGTCTCTAACTCCTGAACTCAAGTGATCCACCCACTTTGGCCTCCCAAAGTGCTGGGATTACAGGCGTGAGCCATCACACCTGGCTGACATGCTTTTTTTTTTTAATTAACGCAGTTCTGATTCATAAAATTGATTTAGAGCTCTTCTTTGAAAAGATGTTGTTGACACACAGTTGAAGATTTAAACATTTATCACCATAATCAAGTCCTAATTATTTTAAGAAACAACTGCAAGTCTTAACAGTAATAAAATTTTTATTTGGGGTTCCTAATTCAAGTTCATTTGCCCAGAATTTTCTGGAGGCCTGGTCTACACCACCGTGATATGGATACCGAAAGTAGTATCTAAACTACTTGGAAATTAGGCATAGCCATACACATGTAAAATCTTATTTTGCAGCATTGGTCAGTGTTCCTATACACTGAAAGAGAAAGTAAACTTGAAGTCTTCCTGTGTATATAATTGGAATGTTGCTTTTATTCCTAAATCATTAGTAACTGAGGAAACACAATGTATTACATATGTACAAATATAATCATGATCAGCTCAAACATCATTTCTGACTGTTTCACATTTCTATTTTATTTCCAAAACTCATGTATTTGAATATCTATTGTGTACCTGACTGTGGGCCAGGCACTTTCGGAGGCAAGAGATGCAATAGTAAACACGATAGATGGGTGCCCTACTATCACAGAGCTTACAGTCTGGAGTGGAGACACTGATAATAAGAAAGTAAAAGCAAAAATAATTTCATTTTAGAAAGTGATCAGTGCTGTGAACAAAATAAAACACAGGGACATACTGGAGAATGAAGGGGTAAGAGCAGGCTAGCGGGTAGATGAAGGCATCAAAAACAGCTCTCAAAGGAGATGGCATTGAACCGAGATTGAATAACGGGAAGTGGGCAATCATGGATTCAAAGTGTTCTAGGCAGCAAGAACAGGAAGATGGAATACATTTGGCACATTTAAGGAAGAGAAAGAAGCTTAGAGTGACTGGATATGGTGAGGGAGGGAGAGAATGGTAAGGAATGACATAAGAAACACAGCAAGGACAGAGTAGCTAGAGTCATGTAAGCCATTGTAAGGATTAGGATTTTATTCTAAGCATAAAGAGAAGCCACTGAAGAAATGTAATCAAGGGGATTACATGATCTGATTTTGTTTTTAAAATTCCATGTTGACTTCTGGAACCAGAGTGGTGATTCACACCAGGATGTCTGCTCTGGTGAGCTGAGTGCTAAAGGGAACTGGAAGTTCCCTGGACTGAGGTGACCTAGGACTACCTCTGCCAAGTAGACTGTGTGAGGGTCCCTCAGTCATTATGGGTGAGGTTGGCCGTAGCCTGCTTTCCAGGCTGGGGAGAGGTTTCACCTCCACTCTTCCTGTCACCTCCAGCCATGTCATTTCATGAAATAAAGTACCAACAATTGAAGGAAATCCACCAATTGGAAAGGCTGTAGCTGGACTGTAACAGAAGCTCAACTTTAACAGGCATCTATAAAATGCTGAAGAAACCCAGTGTGTACAGAGCAGAAGGATAATAAATCCTGGTTTGTAGCATTCAGCAACCAAACTAAGTAGCGAGTCTATTTATACTGAATGTAAATGTAAAACATAATGGAGTGTTGCCTAGCAAAGGGGAAAAATGCTTTGTCCCACACAGTATTTCTGACTGCTGCTTGGTTAGAACATAAAAATGATTGCTATTTCCTAATGAGTATTGTTTAAAAGGCACATTTTTATGGGCTTTAGTCCTGTAAATAATATTTGTAATGATCACGAATTCTCAACAAGCTGAGGCGGGAAAGGAAAACAAATCTCTAATGAAATAAGTCTATAGAGGCCAATGTTGAGAAGGGGAAAAGAAAAACAGTAATAATTATATGTAGCAGGCTCTTACCATAGCTGTATCATTTCACCCATATAAAAGCCTACCAGTGAAGGGCACTGTTATTTTAATAAAGATGAAGAAACTGAGGCCCAAAGACATTAGGAGCTTGCCCATTATCATGAAACAAGTCGGCATCAGAGCTGTCTCTATAGTCACAGCTAAACCTGAGTACAGACTCTGAGTTTTTTCCATTGCACCAAGCAAGGTCAAAGCCAACAATAAAGTAACTGGATATTACATTCAGAAGGAATGAAGCCAATGATCTCTGAGAAAGCTACGTACAAAATAACCTATGTGTCCTTCCCAGTGACCTTCCATTTCCAACACTGCTGACCCTTGCTGCTACCAAGGTCTCAAGACAGGACTGCTGTAAAGGAGGCAATTTGTGTATTTGTCCCTCAACCTTCTTATTGGACCTTTTCTCTACCCAGCAATGCCTTCATGTTTCCTTTATTCTCATGTTCTTTTTGATCCCCACGATTATCAGCCGCTGCTCCCAAATTCTTCAGTCACTTTAGAGTGAAAATGATTTATGTCAAGCAGACAAATCTAAAAGAGATATTCACGTTATGAGGATAAGATAGTTAAGTTGTTAAAATTAATCACTGTATTTTTTTTTTTTTTTTTTTTTAGAAATCAGTCAGTAGATAGGGGAGCTTTAAGAGAACGAGGGCTTGTCTTAGTCCTCAAGTCAATCTTCACAGAAGGTACTCTAGTGTGCCTGACATAGATTCGGGTCCAATAATGGCCACATCAAAGCCTACCCACCTTATCTCCTACTTTCTTCCCTCCAGACGGACATTCCAAACATGTTTTGTCCTTTTTCATTTCTGCAATTTGCCGACTGCCATGCACCCCACCTGAAACTCACTCCTTTTCTTTATCCAAACCCTACTCACCCTTACAACAGCTCTTGTTGAGGGCCAGCATTTTTTAAGTAATCATTTTTACTAGCATTAAATGTAAGTTCCATGTTGAAACTTTTAAAATTCAGAATCATTTAAAGAAGAAAGTTTTTAACTCAAGGTGCTTCTATTACAGAGATAACAATTTTTAATAAGCTTTACCTTTTCCTTAAGCAGGTAAAGACCTAATCATTCCAACTCTCTCTCAATCTCCCCCTTCCCCCACTCCTTTGAATTCCTTCAGTTTACCTACTGTAACATTCAGTTGCCCAGACACTTATTCAATTACTCCTTTAATAAATGTTTGTTCAGTCCACCTACTCTGCATCAGCATCATGCTAGATTCCACGATGGTAAACAAGACAGATATGATTTCTACCTGCGTGAAATTTACAATTTAGTGTCTCTAATTAAGACATAACATATATAACTTCCTAATGTAATAATCCGTGCATTACAGAAGTGAGTATTTTCTCCCAAGTGAACTGAACATCCCTGGGGTCAGAAAACACATAATGCAGTATAATCAAATACTTAGCCAGTTATTACAACGCCCTGAGGATACACAAAGGCATAAAAGCAGCCTTATGTCTTCATATCAAAAACTGGCTTTATACATATTCATCTAAGAGTTTCAATTATATAGAAAAGAGCCTTATCAATGAGACATTGTTGATTTATTAACATTCTGTTCTATTCTTTTCTATTCCATACTACTTCATTTTGATTTATAATGTATAATAACATAGTCAAATTTTTGTTTCAGGATTACAGTTTATCGTCTGTCCAAGCAGAAATTAAGTCCAGTTTTTATTAGCATAGTTTCTGATCAAAATAAAACTAAAAATTATTATCTGATCAGACACAATCAAAAGATGGGAAATTACAGTGAAATAAGTAGCATATGTTAACTCAAGAATATGTAACTATAATAACTGTGACTAACTGCATGGTATCTGGCACACGGTACATGCTAAAAAATATTTGCGACCAGGCGCAGTGGCTCACGCCTGTAATCTCAGCACTTTGGGAGGCCGAGGTGGGCGGATCGCCATGAGGTCAGGAGATCGAGACCATCCTGGCTAACATGGTGAAACCCTGTCTCTACTAAAAATACAAAAAAAAAAGTAGCCGGGTGTGGTGGCAGGCACCTGTAGTCCCAGCTACCCAGGAGGCTGAGGCAAGAGAATGGCGTGAACCCAGGAGGTGGAGCTTGCAGTGAGCTGAGACTGCGCCACTGCACTCCAGCCTGGGCAACAGAGTGAGAATCCATGTCCAAAAAAAAAAAAAAAATTGCTAGATGAGTAAGTGGTATCAAGAGATCTTGGATAAGAAAAGCAGGTGTGCAATGAAGAAGCACCAGACTGTATGTCAAGTGTCCTGGTTTCTACTTCTTCAGATAACTTCCTTTTCCTTCAGAGGCCTTGGTCTCTTCACATCCAAAGAAGGGCTTAGATTATCCAGTATTCAGTGCTTTTATAGAAGATGTAAAGCAGTTACCGCAAGTAATATTTATTGTGACATGTTTTGTTAGACTTTTCCTAACAACTGAACATAGATAAATACACATTCCATATATGACTTCCAATCAAAAGCTGTTCCTTGCAGTTTTGTTCATAAATTAACACTCAGTATATATAGAAATATACCATATCCTATAAGATTATGATATACAGCCAGGCACAGTGGCTCATGTCTGTTATCCCAGCACTTTGGGAGGCCAAGGCAGGAGGATCACTTGGCCCCAGAAGTTTGAGACCTGCCTGAGCAACATAGCAAGACCCTCTCTCTATAAAAAATGTTTTAAAAATAGCCAGATATGGTGGCCCATGCCTGTAATTCCAGTTACTTGGGAGGCCAAGTGGGAGGATCACCTGATTCCAGGAAGTCAAGGCTTCAATGAGCTGTCATTACGCCACTGCATTCCAGCCCAGGCAACAGAATGCGACTGTCTCAAAAAAAAAAGTTATGATGTACAAAGTTTAGCATCTGTTGGGCAAAACTTTGATTACCTATGATCTTTTCTGTTCATCTGAAGTTATCAAGTTATCAGCTCATTGCTCATTTCATAAACTAAAAAATAAATTCCATATTTCTATCAGAAAGAACATTCCTTATGTTTTTTAGGAGACTTTTCCTTTGATGACCTTTTAGTTTTTCTTTTTCTTTTTTTTTTTTTTTGAGATGGAGTCTTCCTCAGTGACCCAGGCTGAAGTGTAGTGGCTTGGTATCTGCTCACTGCAACCTCCACCTCCTGGGTTCAAGCAATTCTCCTGCCTCAGCCTCCTGAGTAGCTGGGATTAAAGGTGTGTGCCACCACACCCGGCTACTTTTTTTTTTTTTTTTTTTAAGTAGAGGTGGGGTTTCGTCATGTTGGTCAAGCTGGTCTCAAACTCCTGATCTCGTGATCCACCCGCCTTAGCCTCCCAAAGTGCTGGGATTACAGGCATAAGCCACCGCACCCAGCCTTATATTCTCTTTCTTATATCTCCCTGGTAATTGTCACTTTAAACCACCCACAATCCTTTATTAAGTACTAGGGAAATACCAAAACTAGACATATCTTTGCCTTTTCACATTTACAGATGAGCTAATGAGCACAGAGTAATAAGAGGACCTGCCTACAGAAAAAGCAGATATCAGGCCACAGAAATCTCAAACATACATTTATTTTTATACAACAAAATCTTCTTAGTTCTGATATCAGGGTTACTTCTACCCCAGATCACCCTCCAGCCTTGACTCATCAAACCGCCTCATGTACATTAAGTTTCAAGCATATTGAACTGTGGTTTCGTAAACATCTAATGCATGTTCTTACCCACGGTGACCTTTCTGCAAAAATTCCCTTTCAGCCTGGCCTCTCTTGTTTACATTGCTCCTGCTCATTCTTCAGAACTCAACTCAGGCATCACCTTCTCTGAGAAGTGATTCTTGGTACCACCCTTACCCAACGGTGCATTTGGATCTCCTCCCACAGCCCTTGTGCAAATCTCTATAGTTGTCTCTCTTTTATGTTTCTCTCATTGAACTATAAGCTCTTCGAAGGTAAAAACCATCTCTTATTCATCTTTCTTATCTCAATAAGAAAGCACCCAGTAGGTACACAGGAAATGCTCATTGTTGAGTGAATAAATGTGTCAATAGTGAATTTAAAAAAACAAAAAAAAAAACAACCTTTCTGTATCAGAGCTGTAAAAAAGGAACTTAAGAGAACAAACCAAAGACAGGGTCTCAGAATCTTTTTTCCCTCATAGCATATTCTCCAAATAGTAGATTTACTTCAGTGAATCCATTACACTGTAGGCTTCAGGAGAGCAGAAATCCAGCCCTGCCTTTGCAATTTCTTCTGATAGGCCCACATAGAATAAAGAGCTTAAAATTGGTTTTTTGTTGGAAATTACTTCCATTTAGGTCCCCTTATGGACATTTAAAATTGCTTATATTGTAGGCTTTGAACCATGTATGTAAGACTGCTTAGAAGTTAACCTAAGGTAGGAGGATAATTTATCTAAATGCTCCCTGCAAATTTGATGCAAGTGCCTCAAGACCACACTTGCAGAAACACATAGATCTTTAAAACAGATGGATCCTCGTGGAGCTTGCATTCCATCCTCTTCATTTCATTGATGAGGCCACTGAGACACAGAGCTTAGGTGAGTTGTCCAAAACTGTGCAGCCAGTTGGTTAGAGGGCTCAAGGAGAAGTAGCCAGGGGATTAGCAGATTTCCCCAATCTACTTGTAAACAGGCCCCTTAAGATATCTCAAGCCAGGAACCCTGAAAGCCTTTTAATTTCCCTGCTTGATGTTTATGCATTGGTTTCTTAAAAATCCTCGTTTTTCCTCCCAATATTTTCCAAATTAAACATTCAGAGAAAAAGAATAATAATAATAATTTAGATAAAGATTGGGTCTTAAGTATCAATGACATTAGATGATACTTGAAGTTGATGAGTTGTCTGGCAATATTAAGTAGTAATATGTGAGAAGGGTTCACAGAGAGACTCTAGGAGCATTTGAGGAGCATTAGTAGCACTTACCATTCTTAGAGGGACTGCAGAAAACAAAACAGGGGTCCAAAGTGTCTGAAGCTTCTTTTATTACGAGAGAGTGATATCAAGGCATTACTCTTTTAGTTATTGCCTCACTGACACTAAATAACAACCCATCGCAAAACTCAGTGGAATACAACAAGCTTTTGTTTCCATGCTCATGAGTCTGTAGGTTGACTGTAAATCAGCTGGTCCAGGCTGGGAGCAGCTGAGCAATTCTGTTTCAGACTACAGATTCAGCTGGGCTTGGCTCCTTAATGCAGGTTGAGTTCACATCTGCGATATGTGTGTGTACGTGTGTGTGTGTGTGTGTGTGTGTGTAAATTCTGGAAACTAAGCTAAAGAAGGAGCAGCTACCTGGAAGAAGCTCTTCTCATCACGATGGCAAAAACCAAGCTCTACCACACACCTTTGCTCACTTTATGTCTACAAATATCCCACTGCCCAGGTCAAGTCACATGGCCCAGGCAAAAACCAGTGAAAGGGGGAATATACTCTACCCACAGAAAGATATATAAGAGAGTGAATTTTTGCTGATCAGAAGGCTATGCTATCATAACTACAAACCCGGCTTAAAATTTGAATCCCTCTAACCAATATTTGGAAAGAAGTACATTATTTAATTAAACTTTACATTAACATATTTAAATATTATCACTTGCCTTCCTATTTCATGCAAAGATATAGGGAGATAAAGGCAGATAATGGCAAAGAGGACGCCAGGAACTCAACTGACCTATTTGGTTACTAATGATCAAATACATTGGTAAACCCAAAACAGTACTCAGCCAAGTTCAAACAGTCCACACAGGTCACCTAAAATTGCATCTGGGTGAAAGTTTTGGAGGAAATACTATTTATACATGTAACAAGGGGATAGAAACAGGGATATGAGGTTTTATTCTAATATGTTTTGGTTCTAACCAGCCAATGGTAGAAAAGTCTATTTATTGCCCTCTTCTCATTTTAGTCCAGTATCTCAACTCAGCCTAGCTCTCATCATTCCCCCAGGCCTACCTGCCTCCCATTTTAGACAATGTACGTCTTTGACTGTGAGATTATGTATGGGATTATCATATTTTATTATTAAAACTAATTTCTCATAAATATAGGACTAAAATATCAGCACTATCAATGACGTTCAGATTAGGAAGTATGGAGTCGCCATATTTATTTTAAAAGTATATAATTAAATATTTCTCTAGGGTAGTCCCGATGTATATTTGATGTC
This sequence comes from Homo sapiens, assembly GCF_000001405.40. NCBI lineage: Eukaryota > Metazoa > Chordata > Mammalia > Primates > Hominidae > Homo > Homo sapiens. The sequence goes on from NC_000002.12 coordinate 41,547,304, forward strand.
CCAGCATAATTTCTAAAGAATTTTTTTATTTTTAATTTTTGTGGGTACCTAGTAGGTGTATGGTCATTATGTTAAGTGAAATAAGACAGGCATAGAAAGACAAACATTGCATGTGATCACTTATTTGTGGGATGTAAAAATCAAAACAATTGAACACCCAGAGGTAGTATAAGGAGGATTACCAGTGGCTGGGAAGCTCACCATAATTATTTATAATGGCCCCTTTCACTCTCAAAATCATCCTGATTTGGCTAATAAATTATATGGTGAACCCAATTATAAAAGATCACATAATGATCTAGAGACCATCACATTAGCTGCTTAGCCCCACCTAATCTTTGGTGAAAATCAGTTAAATTATTTCAAATAGTTCTGAAATCACTGGTAGCTGTATAATCGGGCTAATTTTCATTTATATTTGTCCAACTCTAATGCCTTTTCTCTCAATATTCTATAAACATATTTCAACTGTGTTTTGTCAGAATCCACTATAATAATACGTTACGTTTATTACAGCTGGTTTTCTGGTCAATTTTCTGAAATTCCAGAGATGTAAGTATATGCTAAAGTGAGAAGCTATAATCTCTCTAGTGGTTCAGAGAAGCAATAATCTCTCAAGTGCCTTCATTTGGCAAGAGGACAAAGCCTTCAAATTATTATTATTTTTCATAAGACAATTCCTTTCATTGTTACCCATCCTAGGGCCAGAATTGTTTTAATCCACAGATTCTTGTTGGTTTAGAAATATTTAGACATTTTGTTTCCTGTATTATAGGTTCTATATGCAAAGTCTTCCTCAATGTTTTTGGACCAACATAGTTATTGATATTTGGGCCAATGCAATATAGAACAAAATCCACCACTATCCTTATACCCCAAGACTGATCTGATTTTTTGATGTCAAGGTCAGTTCATGAACAATCAGTTACTACATCTGTGCTACCAATCAGATCAAACCAATGATATGGCTAATAATTTTTAAACAATGGATTATTCAACAAAGAGAGTATAGACTCAATGCAGAAACTATAAAAATAGGTCAGAAATATCCACAATAAGATAAATACTATTTGCAAACCATCTTCTTTTGAGACAGCTAACTGCCCAGTGAAAACATTTTTTTATTTTCTTGTTGGCCTTTCAACAGTGGGGGTTGCTTCTATCCTCTTTCTGTTGAAACTTCCAGAATTCTTATTTCATTTCCAACCCATTCTTTATTAGTAACCACACTTTAATTTTAGATGCTAAATTCCATCTGGTGCTCTTAACCCTGGTTTGTCTGACTGCTTGATGTGCTTGCACATCAGAACACCATTCAGAACCCTGAAAAATCATCAGGTGTCATTGTATCATATGAGAAATGATGGCTAGGTCTAGGAAATGGATAACAAAGGATCTTGTCACTTAAACAAGTAAACAATCTGTCTGTTTGATCAAAGGAAAAAAATCAGTCTTACCAATTTTATTTCCATGATAGGAAAAATAAACTAATGCTTACCCTTGCAGCTGCTTCTGATGATTATAAAGCTAGAAAAAACAGCTCAATAATCAGGCTTCACGAGAATTCCTGTTTAAATACTACCTTATAATTAATAGACTAACCCTTCTAATTTTCATTTGAAAATTAATTCTCAATTTGGCTGGAGTGCACATGACAAGGTAACGCATATAGTAGATATCCAAATAGATATTAACTGACCGATAAGCAATGACTGATATGGTCATTTTCCTCCATTCCACAAAATACTAAGTACCTAACGTGGATTACAGAAGCCTGATAGATTACTCTCTTTCCTGACAATCACAGACAAAATAAAATATCCCAGAAAAAGGCTTTTGTATCTGTTGTTCTTAAACCTTTCTACAATATCATTTTTGAATAAGACTGTAGGCCATGCACACCAATTTGAGTCACAAGGCACTATGGAGTCCCATATTATACCAGGAAAGCACAAAACAGTATTCTGTGATGTCACAGAATAGAGAATGTTACATCAGCAAATATTTTAACAAAGTACAATATATATCTATAAAAAAGCATATATGTATAAGTACATAAGTATACAGGCATTTTATACTTGAATTTAACACTAAACATATAGCGAACATCCTCATTTTTCTTTAACTATTTATAAAACATATCAAAATTTTCCAAAATTTTTAGGTTATCTTGTGAAGATGAGCAGATTCACAGAAATGCTAGATAGATATTCAGTAAACTGAATATAACAGCTTTTGCTAAGTGATACTATAGCAACCTTTATTTTTACTCTAGAAATTATCCTCACACACAAAAAACACTCTGCTATTTCATGGATTCAGTGAAATTTTATAAAGAAGTCTAATGGGTATAGTGTTTCTTGTTGTGATGATGAAGATGTGCCAGAATTAAATCATAGTGTCAGTTGCACTATCTTGTGAATATACTAAAAAACTACCAATAACTTACTTCCAAAGGATGAATCTTATTGTATGTGAATTATAGTTCAATAATACAGAAGAAATAACTCTTCTATTTGATAAAAAATCTGTCCTATTTAATGTTATACATTAAAGCTATATAATTAACACAATATTCTGATTAACAATCACATATAATTTGAAAAACTTCCTTCAGGGTTAATAGCAAAGAAGATAATAATATGAAGTTTTATTTTATTTGTGAGGGTGGGCAAGAGAAATAGTGTTCATTTCTTTTTTTTTTTTTTTTTTTTTTTTTATTATACTCTAAGTTTTAGGGTACATGTGCACATTGTGCAGGTTAGTTACATATGTATACATGTGCCATGCTGGTGCGCTGCACCCACTAATGTGTCATCTAGCATTAGGTATATCTCCCAATGCTATCCCTCCCCCCTCCCCCGACCCCACCACTGTCCCCAGAGTGCGATATTCCCCTTCCTGTGTCCATGTGATCTCATTGTTCAATTCCCACCTATGAGTGAGAATATGCGGTGTTTGGTTTTTTGTTCTTGCGATAGTTTACTGAGAATGATGGTTTCCAATTTCATCCATGTCCCTACAAAGGATATGAACTCATCATTTTTTATGGCTGCATAGTATTCCATGGTGTATATGTGCCACATTTTCTTAATCCAGGCTATCATTGTTGGACATTTGGGTTGGTTCCAAGTCTTTGCTATTGTGAATAGTGCCGCAATAAACATACGTGTGCATGTGTCTTTATAGCAGCATGATTTATACTCATTTGGGTATATACCCAGTAATGGGATGGCTCGGTCAAATGGTATTTCTAGTTCTAGATCCCTGAGGAATCGCCACACTGACTTCCACAATGGTTGAACTAGTTTACAGTCCCACCAACAGTGTAGAAGTGTTCCTATTTCTCCGCATCCTCTCCAGCACCTGTTGTTTCCTGACTTTTTAATGATTGCCATTCTAACTGGTGTGAGATGATATCTCATAGTGGTTTTGATTTGCATTTCTCTGATGGCCAGTGATGATGAGCATTTCTTCATGTGTTTTTTGGCTGCATAAATGTCTTCTTTTGAGAAGTGTCTGTTCATGTCCTTCGCCCACTTTTTGATGGGGTTGTTTGTTTTTTTCTTGTAAATTTGTTTGAGTTCATTGTAGATTCTGGATATTAGCCCTTTGTCAGATGAGTAGGTTGCGAAAATTTTCTCCCATGTTGTAGGTTGCCTGTTCACTCTGATGGTAGTTTCTTTTGCTGTGCAGAAGCTCTTTAGTTTAATTAGATCCCATTTGTCAATTTTGTCTTTTGTTGCCATTGCTTTTGGTGTTTTGGACATGAAGTCCTTGCCCACGCCTATGTCCTGAATGGTAATGCCTAGGTTTTCTTCTAGGGTTTTTATGGTTTTAGGTTTAACGTTTAAATCTTTAATCCATCTTGAATTGATTTTTCTATAAGGTGTAAGGAAGGGATCCAGTTTCAGCTTTCTACATATGGCTAGCCAGTTTTCCCAGCACCATTTATTAAATAGGGAATCCTTTCCCTATTGCTTGTTTTTCTCAGGTTTGTCAAAGATCAGATAGTTGTAGATATGCAGCGTTATTGCTGAGGGCTCTGTTCTGTTCCATTGATCTATATCTCTGTTTTGGTACCAGTACCATGCTGTTTTGGTTACTGTAGCCTTGTAGTATAGTTTGAAGTCAGGTAGTGTGATGCCTCCAGCTTTGTTCTTTTGGCTTAGGATTGACTTGGCGATGCGGGCTCTTTTTTGGTTCCATATGAACTTTAAAGTAGTTTTTTCCAATTCTGTGAAGAAAGTCATTGGTAGCTTGATGGGGATGGCATTGAATCTGTAAATTACCTTGGGCAGTATGGCCATTTTCACGATATTGATTCTTCCTACCCATGAGCATGGAATGTTCTTCCATTTGTTTGTGTCCTCTTTTATTTCCTTGAGCAGTGGTTTGTAGTTCTCCTTGAAGAGGTCCTTCACATCCCTTGTAAGTTGGATTCCTAGGTATTTTATTCTCTTTGAAGCAATTGTGAATGGGAGTTCACCCATGATTTGGCTCTCTGTTTGTCTGTTGTTGGTGTATAAGAATGCTTGTGATTTTTGTACATTGATTTTGTATCCTGAGACTTTGCTGAAGTTGCTTATCAGCTTAAGGAGATTTTGGGCTGAGACGATGGGGTTTTCTAGATAAACAATCATGTCGTCTGCAAACAGGGACAATACAGGAGCACCCAGATTCATAAAGCAAGTCCTCAGTGACCTACAAAGAGACTTAGACTCCCACACATTAATAATGGGAGACTTTAACACCCCACTGTCAACATTAGACAGATCAACGAGACAGAAAGTCAACAAGGATACCCAGGAATTGAACTCAGCTCTGCACCAAGCAGACCTAATAGACATCTACAGAACTCTCCACCCCAAATCAACAGAATATACATTTTTTTCAGCACCACACCACACCTATTCCAAAATTGACCACATACTTGGAAGTAAAGCTCTCCTCAGCAAATGTAAAAGAACAGAAATTATAACAAACTATCTCTCAGACCACAGTGCAATCAAACTAGAACTCAGGATTAAGAATCTCACTCAAAGCCGCTCAACTACATGGAAACTGAACAACCTGCTCCTGAATGACTACTGGGTACATAACGAAATGAAGGCAGAAATAAAGATGTTCTTTGAAACCAATGAGAACAAAGACACCACATACCAGAATCTCTGGGACGCATTCAAAGCAGTGTGTAGAGGGAAATTTATAGCAGTAAATGCCCACAAGAGAAAGCAGGAAAGATCCAAAATTGACACCCTAACATCACAATTAAAAGAACTAGAAAAGCAAGAGCAAACACATTCAAAAGCTAGCAGAAGGCAAGAAATAACTAAAATCAGAGCAGAACTGAAGGAAATAGAGACACAAAAAACCCTTCAAAAAATCAATGAATCCAGGAGCTGGTTTTTTGAAAGGATCAACAAAATTGATAGACCGCTAGCAAGACTAATAAAGAAAAAAAGAGAGAAGAATCAAATAGACACAATAAAAAATGATAAAGGGGATATCACCACCGATCCCACAGAAATACAAACTACCATCAGAGAATACTACAAACACCTCTACGCAAATAAACTAGAAAATCTAGAAGAAATGGATACATTCCTCGACACATACACTCTCCCAAGACTAAACCAGGAAGAAGTTGAATCTCTGAATAGACCAATAACAGGCTCTGAAATTGTGGCAATAATCAATAGTTTACCAACCAAAAAGAGTCCAGGACCAGATGGATTCACAGCCGAATTGTACCAGAGGTACAAGGAGGAACTGATACCATTCCTTCTGAAACTATTCCAATCAATAGAAAAAGAGGGAATCCTCCCTAACTCATTTTATGAGGCCAGCATCATTCTGATACCAAAGCCGGGCAGAGACACAACCAAAAAAGAGAATTTTAGACCAATATCCTTGATGAACATTGATGCAAAAATCCTCAATAAAATACTGGCAAACCGAATCCAGCAGCACATCAAAAAGCTTATCCACCATGATCAAGTGGGCTTCATCCCTGGGATGCAAGGCTGGTTCAACATACGCAAATCAATAAATGTAATCCAGCATATAAACAGAGCCAAAGACAAAAACCACATGATTATCTCAATAGATGCAGAAAAAGCCTTTGACAAAATTCAACAACCCTTCATGCTAAAAACTCTCAATAAATTAGGTATTGATGGGACGTATTTCAAAATAATAAGAGCTATCTATGACAAACCCACAGCCAATATCATACTGAATGGGCAAAAACTGGAAGCATTCCCTTTGAAAACTGGCACAAGGCAGGGATGCCCTCTCTCACCGCTCCTATTCAACATAGTGTTGGAAGTTCTGGCCAGGGCAATCAGGCAGGAGAAGGAAATAAAGGGTATTCAATTAGGAAAAGAGGAAGTCAAATAGTGTTCATTTCTAATTCAGGGACTAACTTTCATAGAGGTTGTAATAATCTACAATCTCATCAACAATATAAGCATTCCCTTTTCTCTGCATCATTGCCAAAATCTGTTATTTTACTTGTTCACAATAGACATTCTACTGTATAAGATGATATCTCATTGTTGTTTTAATTTGTATATCTCTGATGATTAGTGACATTGATCAATTTTTCATATGCTTATGGGCCATTTGTACGTCTTCTTTTTAAAAATGTCTGTTCTTTTCCTTTGCCCACTTTTCAATGGAGTTGTTTTTCTCTTGCAAATTTGTTTAAGTTTCTTATGATGCTAGATATCAGGCCTTTGTTGGGTGCATAGTTTGCAAATATTTTCTCCCATTCTGTAGGTTGCCTGTTTATTCTGTTGATAGTTTCTTTGACTGTACAGAAGCTCTTAAATTTAATTAGATCCCATTTGTCAATTTGTGCTTTTGTTGCTATTGCTTTTGGTGTTTTTCTCATGAAATTTTTGGTCATTCTCTATGTTCAGGATGGCATTGCCTAAGTTGTCTTCTAGAGTTTTTATAGTTTTGGGTTTTACATTTAAGTCTTTAATCACTCTTGAGTTGATTTTTGTATACGGTGTAAGGAAGGGGTGCAGCTTCAATCTTCTGCTTATGGTTAGCCAGTTATTCCAGCACCATTTATTGAATAAGGAGTCTTTTCCCCATTGCTTGTTTTTGTCAGGTTTGTCAAAGATCAGGTGGTTGTACGTGTGTACCCTTATTTTTGGGCTCTCCATTCTGTTTCATTGCTCTATGTCCCAGTTTTTGTACCAGTACCATGCTGTTTTGGTTACTGTAACACTGTAGTATATAATTTGAAGTCAGGTAATGTGATGCTCCCAGCTTTGTTCTTTTTGCTTAGGATTGCCTTTGCTATTTGTGATCTTCTCTGGTTCTATATAAAGGATGTCATTGGTTGTTTGATAGGAATAGCATTGAATCTGTAAATTGCTTTGGGCACTATGGCCATTTTAATTATAATGATTCTTCCTATCCAGGAGCATGAGATGTTTTTCCATTTGTTTGTGTCATCTGATTTCTTTGAGCAGTGTTTTGTAATTCTTATTGTAGAGATCTTTCACCTCCCTGTTTATGTGTATTCCTAGGCATTTTATTCTTTTTGTGGCAATTGTGAATGGGATTGCCTTCCTGACTTGGCTCTCAGCTTGGCTGCTGTTGGTGTATAGGAATGCTAGTGATTTTTGTACACTGATTTTGTATCCTGAAACAATTCTAAAGTTGTTTATCAGCTGAAGGAGATTTTTGGCCAAGACTATAGAGTTTTCTAGATACAGAATCATGTTGTCTGCAAACAGGGATAGCCTGACTTCCTCTCTTCCTACTTGGATAACTTTTATTTTTTTCTTTTGCTTGATTTCTCTGATTAGGACTTGCAATACTATGTTGAATAGGACTGGTGAGAGAGAGCATCCTTGCCTTTTGCCAGTTTTCAAGCGGAGTGCTTTTAGCTTTTGCCCATTTAGTATGATGTTTACTGTGGGTTTGTCATAGATGGCTTTTATTATTTTGAGATATGTTTCTTCAATACCTAGTTTATTGAGAGTTTTTAACATGAATGGGCATCAAATTCCGTTGAAAGTTTTTTCTGCATCTATTGAGACAATCATGTGGATTTTGTATTTAGTTCTGTTTATGTGATGAATCACATTTATTGATGTGTGTATGTTGAACCAACCTTGCATCCTGGGGATGAAGCCTACTTGATTGCGATGAATTATCTTTTTGATGTGTTGCTGGATTCAGTTTGCAAGTCTTTTATTGAGGGTTTTTGTGTCAATGTTCATCAAGAATATTGTCCTGAAGTTTTCTTTTTTTGCTGTATCTCTGCCTGATTTTGGTGTCAGTATGAAGCTGGCGTCACATAATGAGTTGGGGAGAAGTTCCTCCTCCTCGATTTTTTGGAATAGTTTCAGTAGAAATAGTACATCTGGTAGAATTTGGCTATGAATCCACCAGGTCATAAGCATTTTTTGGTTGGCAGGCTATTTATTACTGATTCAATTTTGGAGCTCATTATTGGTCATTTCAGGGAATTAATTTCTTTCTGGGTCAGTCTTGGGAGGGTGTGTCCAGGAATTTACCCATCTCTTCTAGGTTCTCAGACCCTGAGAAAAATGCCCCAGTGAGGAGCAGATTAACAACTGCTGTGCCACAATCACAACACAGGGAAATACAGGTGGTTCTGCTTCCATGGCCAAATGATTGGGAGTGGGACCTGCTTACATTTGAGGGAATAATTGAGGAAAACTTCCCCAGCCTTGCTGGAAACCTAGACACCCAAATATAAGAAGCTCAAAGAACACCTGGGAAATTCATTGCAAAAAGATCATTGCCTAGCCACATAGTCATCAAGTTAGCTAAAGTCAAGACAAATGAAAGAATCTCAAGAGCTGTGAGGCAAAAGCATCTGGTAACCTACAAACGAAAACCTATCATAGTAACAGCAGATGTCTCAGCAGAAAATCTACAAGCTAGAAGAGATGGGGGTCCTAGTTTTAGCCTCCTTAAAACAATTATCAGCCAAGAATTATGTATCTAGTGAAACTAAGCTTCATAAATGAAGAAAAGATACAGTCTTTTCCAGACAAATGCTGAGAGAACTCACCCTACCAAGCCAGCTCTACAAGAACTGCTAAAAGGAGTTCTAAATCTTGAAACAAATTCTTGAAATACACTAAAATAGACACTCCTTAAAGCATAAATCTCACAGGACCTATATAACAATAACACAACGAAAAAAAGATACTCAGGCAACAAACAGCACGATGAATAGATTAGTACCTCACATCTCAATACTAACGTTGAGTGTAAATGGCCTAAACGCTCCTCTTAAAAGATACAGAACGGCAGAAGGGATAGGAATTCACCAACCAAGTTCATACTGTCTTCAGGAGACTCTCTTAACACATAAGGACACACATAAACTTAAGGTAAAAAGGTGGAAATAGATATTCCATGTAAATGGACATCAAAAGGGCAGGAGTAGCTATTTTTATATCAGACAAAACAAACTTTAAATTGGCAGCAGTTTAAAAAGACAAAGATATAATGATAAATGGACAAGTCCAACAGGTAAATATCACAATCCTAAATATATATGCCCCTAACACTGGAGCTCCTAAATATATAAAACAATTACTACTAGACCTAAGAAATGAGATAGAAAACAACAAAATAATAGTGGGGAACTTTAGTACTCCACTGACAGCCCTAGACAGGTCATCAAGAAAGAAAGTCAACAAAGAAACAATGGACTTAAACTATACCCTACAACAAATGAACTTAACAGATATTTATAGAACATTCTACCCAACAACTGCAGAATATACATTCTATTCATCAGCACATGGAACATTCTCCAAGATAGACCATATGATAGGCCACAAAACAAGTCTCAGTAAATTTAAGAAAACTGAAATTATATCAAGTACTCTCTCAGACCACAGTGGAATAAAAATGGAAATCAACTCCAAAAGGAATCCTCAAAACCATGCACATACCTGGAAATTAAATAAGCTACTCCTGAATGATCATTGGATCAACAATGAAATAAAAATAAAAATTTAAAAATTATTTGAACTGGATAACAGTGATACAACCTATCAAAATCTCTGGGATACAGCAATGCTAAGAGGAAAGTTCATAGCATTAAATGTCTATATCAAAAAGTTTGAAAGAGCACAAGCAGACAATCTAAGGTCACACCTCATGAAACTGGAGGAACAAGAACAATCCAAACACAAATCCAGCAGAAGAAAATAAATAGTGAAGATCAGTGCAGAACTACATGAAATTGAAACAAAAAAAGATAAATGAAACAGAAGCTGGTTCTCTGAAAATACAAATAAAATTGATAGATCATTGCAAGATTAGCCAAGAAAAAAGAGAGAATGAGCTCAATTAGAAATAATATGGAAGATATTACTACTAATACCACAGAAATACAAAAGATTATTCAAGCTACTATGAACACCTTTATGCACATAAACCAGAAAACCTGGAGGTAATGAATAAACTCCTGGAAATATGCAACCCTCCCAGATTAAACCAGGAAGATACAGAAACTCTGAATAGACCAATAACAAGCAGAGAGATTGAAATGGTAATTTCAAATTTGCCAACAAAAAAAGTCCAGGACCAGACGGATTCACAGCTGAATTCTATCAGACATTCAAAGAAGAATTGATACCAATCCTATTGACACTATTCCACACAATAGAGAAAGAAGGAATCATCCCTAAGTCATTCTATGAAGCCAGTATCACCCTAATACCAAAACCAAGGAAGGACATAACAAAAAAAAGAAAACTACAGACCAATATCCCTGATGAACATAAATGCAAATATCCTCAACAAAATACTAACTAAACAAATGCAATAGTATATTAAAAAGATAATCCACCATGATCAAGTAGGTTTCATACCAGGGATGCAGAGTTGGTTTAACATATCCAAGTCAATAAATTTGATACACCACATAAACAGAATTAAAAAAACAAAAATCACATGATCATCTCAATAGATGCAGAAAAAAGCATTTGACAAAATCCAGCATCCCGTTATAATTAAAACCCTCAGAAAAATTGGCATAGAAAGGACATACCTTAAAGTAACAAAAGCCATCTATGACAAACCCACAGCCAACATTACACTGAATGGGGAAAAGTTGAAAGAATTCCCCTCTGAGAACTGAAACAAGACAAGGATGCTCACTTTCACCACTTCTATTCAACACAATACTGGAAGACTCCTCCAGAAAACTCCTAGAACTGGTAAATGAATTCAGTAAAGTTTCAGGATACAAAATTAATGTACACAAATAAGTAGCTCTGCTATACGATAACAGCAACCAAGCTGACAATCAAATCAAGAACTCAACCTCTTTTACAATACCTGCAAAAAAAAATTAAATGCTTAGGAATATAACTAATCAAGGACCTGAAAGACTTCTACAAGGAAAACTATAAAACACTGCTGAAAAAAATCACAGACAACACAAACAAATGGAAACATCCCATGCTTATGGATGGGTAGAATCAATATTATGAAAATTATCATACTGCCAAAAGCATTTTACAAATTCAATGCAATTCCCATCAAAATACCACCATCATTTTTCACAGAACTAGAAAAAATAATCCTAAAATTCATATGGAACCAAAAAAGAGACCACATAGCCAAAGCAATACTAAGCAAAAGGAACAAATCTGGAGGCATCACATTACCTGACTTCAAACTATGCTATAAGGCCATAGTCACCAAAACACCATGATACTGGCATAAAAATGGGCACATACACCAATGGAACAGAATAGAGAAAGCAGAAATAAACCCAAATATTTACAGCCAACTGATCTTCAACAAAGCAAGCAAAAACATTAAGTGGGGAAATGACAACCTATTCAACAAATGGTGCTGGTATAATTGGCAAGCCACATGTAGAAGAATGAAACTGGATCCTCATCTCTCACCTTATACAAAAAGCAACTCAAAATGAATCAAAGACTTAAATCTAAGACCTGAAACTATACAAATTCTAGAAGATAACATGAGAAAAACCCTTCTAGACAGTGGCTTAGGCAGACTTCATGACCAAGAACCCAAAAGCAAATGCAATAAAAACAAAGATAAATAGATGTGACTTAATTAAACTAAAAAGCTTCTGCACAGCAAAACAAATAATCAGCAGAGTTAACAGACAAGCCATAAAGTGTGGGAAAATTTTCACAACTTATACATCTGACATAGGGCTAATATCCAGAAACTGCAAAGAACTCAAACAAATGTCACAGTCAAATTTCATCTTCATAGGAGATACTAATGAAATATCCAGTGTGCTACCCTCTTGCTACACAAATACCACAGTAATTTGGGCCTTCTCTGTATTTACTTGACATAAGGAGAATTCAATTTTGCTTCTATTTCCAGACATTTAATTAGGCTGAAGGTACTATTTTCTAAGTTAGCAAGCAGTTATAAAGGCTTATGATTTTACCTAGTGATTTATAATGCAGTAAACACAAATCTATTATTTAACAGGATCCACACGGTCCCCTGTAAATTGATCTTGTTAAACATTTATTAATATTTTAAATGAAAAGGTTTGTTAATAAAATTAAGTAGAACTTTCACAGGCTTGGTTGGTACAGATGGCTCAAGAATTAATCCAGGCTGGGCGTGGTGGCTCACGCCTGTAATCCCAGCACTTTGGGAGGCCGAGGAGGGCGGATCACGAGGTCAGGAGATTGAGACCATCCTGGCTAACATGGTGAAACCCCGTCTCTACTAAAAATACAAAAAATTAGCCGGGTGTGGTGGCGGGTGCCGGTAGTCCCAGCTACTCAGGAGGCTGAGGCAGGAGAATGGCATGAACCTGGGAGGCAGAGCTTGCAGTGAGCCGAGATCACACCACTGCACTCCAGCCTGGGTGACAGAGCGAGACTCCATGTCAAAAAAAAAAAAAAAAAAGACTACACATTAGGTACAGTGTACACTGCTTGGGTGATGGGTGCACCAAAAGTCTCAGAAATCACCACTAAATAACTTATTCATCTAACCAAACACCACCTGTTCCCCAAAAACCTATTGAAATAAAAAGCCTGGAGCCACCTTCCAAGGTTATGCTTTAGTTAGTCTAGTGAGAACCCTAATCATAGTCTTTGAAAACTCTCCAGGTGATTCTGTAATTAATCAAGATTGAGAACCACCATTCCTAAATCTCACTCCCTGTACAGCTCAAACTTTACCTCTTCTTTAAGTTTCTCTGTGTACTTTTGCTTGAGGTAATGTTCTTTTCTCCAAACTACCATAACCACCTGAACCTTTCCTATGGCCCCTTCTTGGTCTATCTGGCATTCCAGTTACTTATGAACATGGGATATATCTCATACTCAGCTATGGCTGTCTTTAGAGATGACATTTGTTTGCAAATATTAAGTCCTCAATACCTATTTGTCGTATGAATTAATGAATGCACATGCTTGCACACATTCCCTACACTTGATCTCATACCCCATCCCACACCCTTATGGATCCCCTGCTACCTTGTTTCCCTTCCCCACAAATTCACAATCAGTTCAGGGCCCCAATCATTTTATGCAACTATTAAGCTTAAAACACACAGAGAAGACAAGAGTTGGGTAAATTAAAAGGTCTGTTATGTTCCTAACAGACTGTTTGTAACCAGCAAAGTTAGAACTGTAAATATCCAACTTACCTTTAATTGACTAACACTGCCAGCTTCCTGGTGTTTAATCCATACCTATACATTTTGTCTTTGAATATAAAAAGAACTACTCACCATTGTATTGTCTTTCACTTTGCACGGTGTGCACTATTCTTAAATTCAATTTAATGCCTATGTCCTATTTTCTATTTTATGTAATGCTGTGATACCACATGACAGCTAAGTTCTAAGTATCTTCAGATATTGTAGATTTGTCATAATATGAGATAAATAGTTTTTGCCTCTCTTATAGATAATAAGTTGAGTGATTGCTTTAAGACCCTACGGGAATATATAAGACCATGTTTGGAAAGACTCAAGTAACTTAGTCTAGAGAAAGAACTATCAGATTATTGCAACATTTTAGGATGGGTGAAGAGTCAACTATTGTTTCTTTGGGGTAAATCAGATGAGGAGTAGGAAGAAAACAAGAACAAAAATAGGTTTTTTAACCGCCAGTTGTAACCATAATGCCCAGCTCAGAATGCAGAGTTCAAAAGTTAAAGAGTGCCTAGAGCAGTACCCATTACCACTGCCTTCCTTCCAATTCCATCTGCTTGTCCCTATGCTCTTGAGATATAATGACTTCAGGTTTGATGCGGCTTTCTCTTATTGTCTGCAATTGAATCTTTTCCCAGTGTCTTGAGATTCCTTGTGCTTTCACTTATGACAGTAACACCCTTCTGGACTCAGTTCTTCCAGACTGTTTCATCCCAAACATGCTCAAATTCTCATTCTGACTAGTGAGGGCACCATAGAAGGAAAATGAAATCAGATAATCTCAAGATTATCTGTCATCCTTTCCACACCCCTACCCTGAACTCACAGCCTTTGCTGAACTCAAGTCTATCTATACACTCTGGCTGCTTTTTCCATTCTTCCTCCCATCCGATGTCCCTCCCAAGCTGTTATGCTTTGTTTCCTTATAAACAAACACCCTCTCTCCAAATATGCACCCCTCCTTGCCTCACTCATGAAACACTTCCTCTATGTTAAACCCTGTCTGTACTTAAACACTGCTTTCTTCAGTCACCCTTAGGATACACTTTGCTCTTTGTCCCTTACTTTCTCATAACTTTGGGGCAGCACACAGGGTCATGATTTTTCTACTTCCTACAGCCACTTTCACATTATTAGTTTCTCAAACTCTTAGGAAATTCACTTAGAAAATAACATTTATAAACTTACATGTCATCCAGCCAGTCCACATCAAGCTCCTGCAGCTGATTACTCTGGCATGTTGATTCATATCTGATTGACAACCATCATCTCTAACACGATTTTCAGTGACTTCAAAAACAATGTGAAAGACACATCAATCCTTAACCTCACTGACTTCAGTGAGTCTCACTTCTTGTTTGCTCTAGCCATCTGCTCCCAGATCCTTGCCTGAATCTGCCATTCTCCCAGGATGGCTCTGAAATCTTAAACTCCAGTGCCTCACTCTTAACTCCAACTTCTTCCTCCAGCTTTCTCATCCATTAGTCCACATCTATTTTTAACCTTGTCAGAACCTCTTACCTGACTCCCATTTTCTCTCAATCTACCATCCCCTTCTATTCTTCTAGTTATGCTTTCTCCTTTTCTTTCCTAGATCTTTTTTTTTTTTTTTTTTTTTTTTTTCTGGAGATGGAGTCTCACTTTGTCTCCCAGGCTGGAGTGCTGGAGTGCGGTGGCACAATCACAGCTCACTGCAACCTCCGCCTCCCGGGTTCAAGCGATTCTCTTACCTCAGCCTCCCTGGTAGCTGGGATTACAGGCGTGCACCACCACACCCAGCTAATTTTTGTATTTTTAGTAGAGACAGTGGTTCGCCACGTTGGACAGGCTGGTCTCTCCAACTCCTGACCTCAGGTGATCCACCCGCCTCAGCCTCCACCCAAAGAGCTGGGATTATAGGCGTGAGCTACCATGCGCAGCCTCTTTCCTAGTTAGTTCATTCTCTCTCTCTCTCTTTCTCTGCTAACACATAACCACACATCCTTCTGCCAAAAGGAAATAGAAGCCATCAATGAAGTTCAGTCATTTCTTACTCACTAATTATAAACATGCATCTGCTCCTTTTCCCTTATCTCCCTTTCTCCCTTTACCTCTCTAAGGCTATTCTACTCACCAGTGCTGCCAATCTTAGCTCCTTGGCTTTCCATAAAGGTTGCCCTATCACTCACTCGTATATCATCTGCATTTTCAGTCAATGTCCTACTCAGCTCTTTGCATTTTAATGCACTCAGGTCTCTCTCTTTTTGAAAAAAATAATGAAAATTCTTTAACCCTACATTGTCCCGAGAATACCATCCTCTCTCCCTTTACTCTGATAATCTAGCTTTGGGAATTAGTACATCATCCTTGCTGACTCCTCTTCCTTGCTCCCATTCACTCAGTGGGCCACAACAATCTGGCCTCCTAAAAAGCACTCTGTTGAAACTGCCCTGAAAAAAAGTCACCAATGACTCTTTTGTTGCTGAATCCAATGGACAACTTTGTCCTTTTTTGACTTCTCTGCACCATTAACACTGTTCTACCCTATAGCCTGCTTTACCATAATTCTACCTTTTTACCTCTCTAATGACCCTTTCCTATCCATCTTTCTCTTCTCAGCCTTAATATGTTTTACGAAAAATTCTACCCTCAGTGCTCTCTTCTTCGCATTACTTAGACTGTCCCTTGAAGGGATCCTTTCCTTTTTTTCTTATTGATAAACTTCCCAAAATAAGTATTGAATCATTCTTGATCCAAAGCTCTTGATCTGTAATGCAACTAACCTTTGGGCATCTCTAACTGGTTATCAAATATGACATATCCAGGTATAAACTTGTCATTTCATCCCCAAACAAATTTCTTTTCCTGTATCCTCTTTCTCAGTGAACAGCAAACTCTACTGTCTACAGATAGCTTAAGGCAGGAACATGGGGGTCATCACACATGACTCCACCTCCTCACTCACAACCCTGTATCAGTCAACATACCCTGGCAATGAATTGTCCTTAGTATCCCAAGAAGCTGACTGCTTCTCTCATAATTCTTGCTGCCACTGTCATCACTTATCTCTTACAAGTGTTAATTTCCCTCCAAAATTATCTATCAAAAATATATCTAATCACATCTCTCCCTGTTAAAATCCCCCGCCCAGGCCATAGTTTTAAAACAAACTAAAATGGCACGCAAATATCTATGTGACCTGGCTTTTGCTTACCACTCACCTTGCAGCAATTATCTCAAGAATTAATTATTCCTTCAGGAAGTTTACCCTGACCCCTCAATCTAAGAGCCCCACTTGGGTTTCTAGAATATGCTGTGCTCCTAGGATCAGAGCATGGATTGCCATGTCCTGTATCATTAATGGTTTACTTGACCTTCTGCCATTTAAAAAGTGAGCTCCTTGAAGTCAGGGGCTGAATCCTCATTAAATTTTAAATACCCGACATTTGATATAATAGCTAACAAAGAGTAGGCAACTAAGAAATGTTTGGTAAATAGATGAGGTGAATCAATGCTTGGTAAACAAATAAAAATGAAATTACATATTTTCCTACATAAAGAAAGTGTTGGGAAACAAAAGGAAAATGTAACAGGAAAAGTAAAAGAAAGACTCCTAAAAAGAAAAGAATAGACATACTAATGGATGGGGAAAAGAACAACCTTCTCCTCCAGTCTACATGGGTTTACACTGCCACAGTGGCAACTCATATGAAGACTTTATAGTCATAACCCATTTTGCTCTTTGCTTCTGAACCCTGAATGGTTGATCAGAGCATGGAATTCTCTTTAAATTCTGACCTTGGTAGCAGAATGATCTGGAAGAAGCATGAAATCTTTCTTTCTCTTCTTCAACACTAAGAATTGTTTGCATTATGCTGAAAGACAAAGCCATTTTGCAGATGTAGTCTTCATAAATATGTGCCTGAGAGACTTGCTGAACACAGCAAAAATACACTTTTTTCACTGCTTTTCTCTAGAGAAGTAAGAAAGCACATTTTAAATGAAGGATTTTTAATAGGTGCAGAAATTTTTGGCTTGAAATCAAAGTATCAGAAAGTATGCAAGAAATTAAATCCAGTCCAAAAGCCAGAGATTAAAAGTTGTCAGGGCCACCTTTTTTGTGGGCATGTAAGTTATCAATTATGACATCTATAAACGTGGAGGCAAGAGACTTTGATTTCAAGTCCTTGATTGTCACTCAAATTTTCAGGGCCCCCATTTCTACATGGTAAAATGGGGATGTCCACCCAGTCTGACACACAGGATAATGAAATTCATATATTCAAGCATTTATTTTAGCAAATGCTTTTTGAATGTCATTTTTCTATTCATCAATGATACAGTTGTACACAAAGCAGACAAGTTTCAGCCCTGCTAGATCTTGCATTCTATTGAGAGAGACAAACAGAAATCAAACAAGTAGATGGAAGTATACCTTAAGGAGGTAGTAAGTACTCACAAGAAAAATAAACCAGGGTAAGGGGTTAGAGAATGGCAATACAGTTGTGCATTTGTTGAGGGGGATGAAGGCAGGGAGGTTCTCTCTCAGAAACTGATTTCTTAGAGGTGACCCGAGCAAGGTGAGGCACTTATATCAACATCTGGAAGAAGAACATTCCAGGCAGAGGAGCTGAAAAGGAAAGGCCCTGAGGTAGGCACATACTTAGTACATTCTAGGAGCAGTAAGGAATCCAGGGTTGTTAAAGCCAAACTACAGAAAGGACAGGAAAGAGGAGAAAATGAAGTTGGAAAGATAATTTTGGCCCAGATACCATGTATGAATGAAAATATTTTGTAAACCATTACTGGTTGTAAAACTGTAAGGCCGATCCACTCTAAAGGGCATGGGAGACTGAAACCAGTCATCATATATTTTAAACGGTTTGTATTTAAAGTCCCATCTCATGAGACTTTGAAATGGTGTCATTCATTGCATTGGCATGGCTTATTTCACCAGGTGATCTAATTTCACTCACATGTGAGCATACTCAAACACACATATACACAGGGAGTTTGTCTTTACCCTCTCTGTTTCATTATTTGAACACCCTTGGATTTCTTCCTTTTCTTATATAGCAATAATAAAGCCAGTAAGAGAAAATAGTATCATATTGACCCTCCAAAAGTTGTCTTTTATTGATTTTAAAGCAATAGTCAGGCCCTTGTAACTGAAGCTTGACCCTTGGTTCTACTATGAGACAGAAACATTGACAACTTAGAGAGAGTCATAACAAAGCCACAGACATAATCACAAGATTAAGATAGGAAACCATAAATGACAAATTATCTAAGGCAGTCATGGAGAATATAAAAGGAATCACAAAAAGAAAGAAGACACAAAAATTTCAATTTGTTAAATAACAGCCAGGGTTGAACTACTCAAGGAGTCAATTGATTGTATGACCAGGTCCCTAGAGAACATTTGGTTCCAAGGGATCCCAAAAATATTCAGCCCAAAGGGAGTTGTAAAAAAAGAGAGCTTCAGTATAAGGAAGTTCATAGCTACAATCTCAGGATTTCTTTTCCCTGACCCCCTCCTTTGTACTTCCATCTGCCCCTCTAGTTGGCTCTTTTGCCACCTCCAACCTGCCTCTTCTGCAGTTCTTTCATTATCTTTCTACATTCTCTCCTCTGAAAATATTTCTTCTGAAGCTTGTTCTCTCTCCCACACTTAATACCTACATGCTTTTTTGATAGACATCTCTACTGCACGTCTTTTTGTCCTAGTTTTTCAAACTCAATGTATCAATGAATAAGGTAATCTTCCTCCCTCTCCCCAAAATCTCTTTTCCTTTATGACTCCACAATTTCTGTTTGGGGCCTCACAATTCTTAGTTACTCAGACTCAAACCTCAAAGCCTTCTTTGTGGCCTTGCCTCTCATTTTCTCCCAAGTTCAGTCAATAAACTCTAGCAATCCCCCTTGAGTTCTCATTTGTTCTCTTTCCCTGCCTCCTCCCTGTCTCCCTACCTCTTGCCTAGATAGACATAGTGGCCTCTCAACATATCTTTCCCTCTAGTCCGTCTTCCTTTGCTGTATTTAACAAAATGCTATCAGGGGATTTTCCAAAGTAGACTCTGATCAGGTCATTGCCCTCCTCAAAGATTCTTCAAAGTCTCCGTGTAATTCAAAGGATAAAAGCCACACCTCTGCCCCTGACAGTCAAGGTTCTCCATGCTGGGAACCAACTCCATCTTCCTAGATTTTTTTTTTTTTTTTTTTTTTTTTTTTTTTTTTTTTTGTGAGACGGAGTCTCCCTCTGTCGCCCAGGCTGGAGTGAAGTGGTGCGATCTCCCCTCACTGCAAGCTCCGCCTCCCGGGTTCACGCCGTTCTCCTGCCTCAGCCTCCCGAGTAGCTGGGACTACAGGCGCCCGCCACCACGCCTGGCTAATTTTTTTTGTATTTTTAGTAGAGACGGGGTTTCACCGTGTTAGCCAGGATGGTCTCGATCTCCTGACCTCGTGATCCGCCTGCCTCAGACTCCCAAAGTGCTGGGATTACAGGCGTGAGCCACCACGCCAGACCTTTCTAGACTTTTTCATCTTCCACTCTTCCCCCTACCACACAGTCTGCTCCAGCCGGAGAAATGGCCCACTGCCCTTGAACAGTTCCCAGTACTTCCTCACTGCTCTTCACGTGTGCCACATCCTGCATTCAGATAACCACTACCATATCCACCTTTTAAGGTCCTTCTTCTGTTTTAAAGTCCATTTCAGAATACCGCCTCAGGGAGTGATTTGAAGTGGTATTCTAATCATGCATCCATCTGTTCATTCACCCAGCAAGTATTTAGTGAGTACCTACTATGCATTTTACCTCAGTTGTGACTAGTTGTGCGCCTCTCTTTTCTCTCATTTCCCATCTTCCTCACACCCTAGTAAATGAAATGTAAGCTCGCTGGAGACAAGTATTGTTGAGGCTTCTTATTTTTTTTAAACCTACCACAATGGCTGACAGCTAGGAGACTAAATACATACCAGCCAAATGAAGAAATGTTTACTTGCTGTACCCTAAATGAGAGGCACTATCTCAGTTCTTTTAGAAAGGAAAGAAATGGAGAGCAGCTGCCCCACATTCTCCCATTCCATCCATCCTTTTCTCTCTCAAAATCACATGTCCTGTAGAAGGACTGTGGTCTCCCTCACATTTATTCTCATTTCCCTCCATTGGGGTCTATTAGTTGGTCAAGGGGCACAGGTTTGTAGCATTCTTGCATCTAGTCTGCAGGTCATGTCTTAGAACCAAGGCAAGCCGAGGGGATGCAGGATATACTTTGGTTACCTAGTAGGCTTAGACATGACAAGGAAGGCAGAATGAAAACTGTTGACTTTTAGCTCATCACCATGGAGGCTTACCTACCACAAGGTCCATGAGAGTCTGGGGAAGCCATGGCTGGGGACCCAAGTCCTGGCTCTGACTATTTAACTTTTAACTCCTGACCTAAGATACTTGAAATCAATGAAGACAAGAGAAATAGCACTGAGATATAGAGATAATGTGAATGTAAAACAAAGAGATGTCCCCCCAAAAAGGAGAAAAGAGATGTTCATCAGGAATTGAGGATGTTTCATTACCTTTTTGAGCAAGCATCAAGCTGTTCCATCTGTGAGGCCAAAACTACCTCAATCATGTGTTCAAGGGTGCTAGAGCTACAAAAATATCAAAGAGAAAGTTTTAAAGGAAATTGGACAAAATTAGAAATCAATACCAGTACTAGTTTGCTGAGTGATCATGGAGTACTCTAATACCTTACTTAGCAGAATTCTACAAAAACTCAAAATGTGAATAATTCTTGGTCTCCAGATTTATGAACATTTGATCTTGAAGAATACACGAATATTTTCCCTCTACAGCTCATCATGTTAAAAATATGCTGTATTGACAGTTCCTGGTATAAAGGAAGGTTATTTCTGTTTTTGGTGTTGCTCCCTGACTTTAGGTAACAACTAAGAGTTACATCTAATGGCACATTCATTTAGAATTTCATGTGCATTTCACTGATGTCAGTAGATTGACATTAATTATACTGGAAAATAATATCTTATGTATCAGAAAAAAAATCAGTCATGTGGAACAGTGCACAGCCTCAAATTTTAGATATGAATTCTGAATCTTAATTCAGAAAGCCTGATACTCATATAACTCCAACTGTGTAAACTTTCTGACCTTCAGATGAAGCCTCACTAATGTTTTACACTTATTCGAGAAAGCACTGGAAAGAGAAACAGTGTAGACTTGCTTCCCCGAGGCCTTCATCATTCTCCAGAGTTTTATGGGAATATCTGTTTCAATTTCTGACCTACAGAGTCAAGTGCTATGGGTCATATTTTCTTTGTATTAGCGAAGATCTGGATTGATCATCTTTTTGTGTACAGTATGTATCCGCATGGTAGGGCATGTTTTTCCATTGTATAAAACTTCCTCCAACAAACACCTCTAGCAATATATATTTTTAATACCTAACCCAAACACAACTCACACAGATAATTTCTTGCATAGTCTAACAATCCATAAAGCTCAAAGTGTTCTAGAATTTTTCAGGACTATAGTCTGAAACTACAGTTCAACATGCACACATAAATGTACATACAGACACACACACACACATACACACAAACATATAAAACATTAACATTAAACACTCATTCAGCCACTCCACCAACGGATCCCGTGAGAAGCAAGAGAACCAGGATAGACACGATAGATCTGTGATTGTGAAGTGAGGAGCAAAGGAGATCAAGACAGAATATCGTAGAATGGAGGTGATTTGGGAGCCAAAGGGGCTATCCAGAGAAACTTCCAAGAAAAGGGGGATCAGGTTAAAAAAAAAAAACACATCCCAAAAGAAAGATCTTTGCCTGGGAAAAGCATGAGTGATTATGCAAGTTTTAAAGGGTGAATTAAAGGATCAGGCCTGAGTTTCCTGAAGCACCAATATATAAGGCAGAACCATGTTCTGCAAGAGCCTGGGCCTTGCCTGTTGGGAAGACAGGCACTCATACGGCCATAAAGCTAGTCAGACGCAGATGTTCATTAGCACAGCATAAGTGTCGACTATGGAGAAAGTGGTTAAAAAATTGTCATACTCCCAACAGACTGGGATGCTGTTATTGAACGAATAAAAACCTTCCTTATTACATAAGGGAAAGTATATATATTAATAATAAATGTACAAAAAAATCAAAATAGAAATCCAAATAGATAGAATATAGCTCTGCTAAAAACAAAACTATATATTAAAAAGAGGGCTGATAGATTGTGCCAAAATTTTAATTAAACTGTTGTGAAGGGTTGTGCTGAATGTTTTTCATTTGTTGTTTTATTGTTTCACTTTCTGCATATGTGCATTTTCCTAATTTTCAAACGCACATGAATTACTTTAGTAATGAAAAAAGTACAAATAAGCCTTGTTTATTTTCTGAGGTATGATACCCAGGATTACACTGTCATACAAGGAGCTCAGAAATGGGAATCAGAATACCTGAGTTTTAGTACAAATCTGTTGTTCTGCAACTGTGTGAATTTAGGCAAGTCACTGGACCTCTCTGACAATAATCATAATTTATTGAACGGTTGAATGTGTACTCTGTATCAGGCACTTCCCTAAATACTTTGCCCATGTTATCTCATCTACTACTCCCATTAATGAAATAGATAGGTCTTGCTCTACTACTGTGCAGATGAGAAACCTGAGTCTTAAAGAAATGAAATAATTGCCCAAGACTATACAGTTAGCAAGCAATTGAACTAGGAATAGAACTTAGGACTAGCTATATGCCTTCTCACCTTTTCATCTGTAAAATTAAGGATAAGGTGTGCTTCTTGAACTTTTCTACTCATAATATGAGTTCCCATGAAGCCAGGACTCTGTATTAGTTTTGTTCACTGATATATCCCAAGCACTTAGCCCAGTGCCTAGCACTGACTAGATACTCAGTAAATATTTGTTGAATTAAAGTACCTGCAGAAGAGACAGAACCCATGATTTCCAGAGTTCTGAAAGCAATTTTCAAAATTACCATCTGCAAGTGGAGATTTTTCAGAAGTCTCATATTTTAACATAGAACTTTATATGGTCTTTGTATTCTACTTTATAATATAATATGTGTTTTAACTTTGAAACTGTTTTTCAATAGTTTCCAACTATTCAACCTGTTAGTAACTTTAATCCGCTTTCCCTCCTTGAATACTCAAGCAAAATCGGTGTTCATGGAAGTTTTGACATATTTATCCTATGTCTCCTGGTACACCTGGCATACCTTGCATACTACCATGAGCACATGCACCCAGGCAAAGAAGCATGAATCTAAATGGTCTCTAATATTCTCACTGATTCTTAAAATGCTAATCTTTCAGGATGGAGCACAATCCACTAAATACAATTGAATAGTAAGACATAGAGTAGAACCTCGTTGTTCTGGACATATGATTTTACATCTTCAGTCTGAAATTGCTTTAGGGTTTCTGGCCCCTTAAATAAATTGGCTTGTTTTAAGCTTGCAATGAACTAAAAGCCCTAGATTTTTCTTTATACACTATTGTAAACCAAGTACTCCTCGTCTCAAAGCTGGCATATTTTTTTAACCTATATGCAAGAGCTTATATTTCTACCCTAATAAAACCAATCATTAATTTCAGTTAATCATTCCAGGCTGTTGAGAGCTTTACTGAACCCATCTGTGTCACCTACCACAGTAGCTATTTATCCCTGATGGAAAATTTACAGACTTGCCTTCCCTGTCTTCATCCATAGCGTTTATAAAAATAAACAGGACAGGACAGAGCTTTTGAGGATACTATTATAAACCTTCGTGTGGGCCACAGACACTCATAGCCAAGAGGGAAGACATGGCCCCACTAAAGTAACACATCAAAATCCATGCAAGGGTATGAGATATTTTCATATTTTTCAAAAGAAAATGAATTGGCTTTAAAGGACTAGACACACTTAATTTGAATGACAAGTAATCATTCATCAACATGCTAGATCCTGTTGAGCAATTACCTATAAATTTGCCTATCTGCAGCTTCATTCATTTAATCTACAAGATATAGAAAAAATGTTGATTACATGTGCTTCTAAAATCAAAGTTTCTGATAAACAACTCTAATAATGTGTTTTTCTTAAATGAGGCTATATTGACATTTTTTTGGTATGTGTGTACTCGTTGATTGCTTTCTTCCTAACATTTAAAAAATAGGCTTTTTTTCTGGAAATTAAAATTCACTTCGTGAATATAAAGGTTCTACAGTTTACATTTTCTCCATATCTGAAAATTAGGTTCACTTTTATTACTCTGTGGCAGGTGCAGTCAGAACCCCCACCCATATCACCTCAGCCTTCCCTGAAGGTCACTGCCTAGTCCCTGCACACGCTTCTGTCATATCTGCCAGAGGGCATTCTCTGACACAAGGGAGCCTGCTAGACACGTCAGCAGGCCAGGATTTTTCCCAGGGCATCCTAATGAGGAATTCAGTTTGGTCAATAGGCACCCCTGCTGACTCTCCCTCTGTGAGACAATTTTGAGACATATTCTATAGTCTCTCAGAAGGACCTTAGATGAAATGAGCCAAACTTCCAATAGGAATAATTCACTAATTGATGCAGCTTCATTTGCTTTCCTCCCTTCCAGGCTCATTTCTTCATTCCCACCTTGTGCTTTCTGGGATCACTTCCCAAAAACCTACTTGCACCCAAATTTTGATCTCTGAATCTGCTTTGGGAAGAATCAAAGCTGACCCAATCTACAATCTCCTGTACTGCTCCAATGTGTGATCTTTGTAAAACCACTAAAATTGTTTCCCAATCATATCAACTGTTGTTTCACTACCCATAGATGCAATCCACTTCCACTTGTGCTTACAGACTAGCCATTATTGACAATCTAGGTGTGGGTGCTTTCTTACCACTGCTCCATCTCTCTTGTGCCTTGATGTCCCTCAGTCATGTTTATTCTACCATTTACAGTATGAAAGCCATTCTTTTCATTGGAGAAAAGAAAACAAAACAGAAGCTAAGCATTACTGTCTTTTTTTCTCTCAAGACACTTCAAGGTCATATTCAAAGCCTTCAAAAGAAGAACTTGAGGTTAAAAAAAATGCTGTGCTAAGACTGGAAAATACCCACATAATTAGTTGAAAAGTTACATTAACCGTCTACACCATGATAGTTATCATCTATCTATAAGATATCAAGAGAGTAGGCAGAGGCGTTGAGAAGAATATGATGAGTCTGAGTAAAATAACTGGTCCTCCTGGGGAACCTGCCAGATTATCACATTATCTCAAAAATGACCACGTTGTGGTCAAGAACATCAGCTTTAGGAAATATAACACCAAAGGCTCCTTCTTTGAAGCTGCCACAATGTAGATCTATTCAAAATGTGCCTGGCAGTAAGCTTCATTAAGCCTTGGTAAGTAACAGAAACAGAGTTCTCACCACAGTGTTTGTGTGATAGCTCCAAAGGCAGATTTAAAGAGAAGTCAATGCTGAATTGTTTGCCTTTGCAAGAAGCCTTTTCAGCCTGAACACAAAAATGTTCACTATAAACTCATTGTACGTGATATTGTGCGCCCATTTATAACGACCTTTTTTAAAAAAATGTGCTGCTTAAATGACTCATTCTTTTTTACAGACTAGTATAACAATTACTTTTAGAAAACTCAACTATTAAAATACCTGAGTTTAAGAGAAGAAAATGTACTTCCTGTTATATTTTCTTTCATTAAAGTAAGCCAGCTGTACTGTTGCGTTTAAGTGTAATTGTTTAACAAATTTTTTTTTGAAAGAAAAACACTTCAGAAAACACAGTAAGAGGTCTTCAAGACCATGCTATGGAAAAAAAAATCTTGCTAATAATGTCCCATTTTCCTTCCTCCAACTGAGTAAGCCTGTGGTAATTATGACATGATAATCTACGGAGACAGAGACACGGTGGTTGCCCGATCCTTTACTAGCTTTGTGGCATTAAGAGAATCACTTAATCTTCCTGAGACCCAGTTTCCTCCTTTCCTAAATGGATTCTTTAAAGGTTAAAAGAGATGATATGTTTATAATGCCTGACATGTAGCTGGTCTTCAGAAGTAATTGATGGTAAGTAGAGTAAGAATTGCAATAGTGGCAGGTGCACCCAGAGACAACTCGGGATTCAGGCCACTGCTCTAGTGCTCTTGCAAGTTTTGTTCCCTGGTTCTCCCTCAGGTTTGGGAGATTTCTTATTAGCTTTCATTTCTTGGGTTCGTGTTGTGAGACATGATAGTGGTACCTCATAGTTCCCTCTTGCATTTGGAGGTTATAGATGGGGACTTTCATGGAATGGTCACGTTTAAAACCTATTTGCTCTCCAAAGCTTGTCCATGAGATGTTGTAGGCCTTTTCTCATCTTACTTGGCATGTACTTAACTGAAGATAGCAGCGGTGTTAAGTTGCTGGTTCAGTCATTTTGGGTTATGTTCTCTAGGTGATGCATTATGCATTTTTGCCTATCTTTAGTCCTCCATTCTCACCCTGGTAGTCTGCAAGCTCCATGATGACAGAAAGTGCTTCTGAGTTGTTCACCTCTGTACCTTAGCCTGGTAGCACTCAACAAAAATATGTTGAAGAAATAACTAAAGAAAGAATAAATGTAGTGGTTGTCACCTCCCACCTCAAAAGAAAGAAAAACCTTTCATTTCTAATTGTACCTTACACAACTGAAGTTTTCATACACACATAAGGACTCTGGGTCAAGGACAATACTAGCCTAATGCAGTTTGTGAGATTGCTGTCCTAATTACTCCAGCATACATACATGTAATTTATTATTCATGCAGATGTTTTGCTCCTTATAATATAGGACAAAAGAAAAAGAACACTGTCTATCCCAGAAAAGGCTACTCAGGGCATGAACTTGTCCACTAAATATTGTTTATGCTGACTTCAACTCTTGCTTTTTAAATTTTATTATTATTCAGAGTCTTATTAAAGTAGAATTTATTTTACATGTAAACTCTTGTGATGTGGTTATTTTCTAACAACATTAAATGCTGACAAATAAAAACCTGTCTTGTATGACATACACAATGTTTGAGAAACTGAGTAATGACAAAATATGTGACTATTCTAAAACAAGAACTTAATGGTTAGTAGACTGTTTTGCTTTCCAACCACATTACTGCATAGTAAAATGCATTGTCAAAAAGCATGTCTTTGAAAGGGCATTTCTTTTGTTGGTTTGCCTACTTTTACTGTAAGGCTAATTAGCCATGACAATTAACATAGATGTAGGTCCTAAAAGAAATAGGATTAACTGAAATGAAACCATCTCATCTCATCGTAATAAAGATGAAACATGAGACACAGCACAGGCAAAATGCTGTACTTCCTCAGGTTCACAGCCATCAAATATATCCTTTTGACACATGTCAGGGTGATAAACATTTTATGGGCTAGTAGATTTCTGTTTTTTATTTTGTAAGAAAGCTTGCACAATGGCATTTTAATGCAGAAAATCTAAATGTGTAAATTTTATACATTTCAAGGAAAACATTCAGGTGCTATAAAAGAATTCATAGACAAAAAAATCTCAGTACGCAAAATTCAAAATTTATAACAAGAAAATTAGCATGGAATCTTATTTCTGGACCACATGGATATTGCTGTACCACTCTGAAAGCAAACCAGAATTTCTCATTCATCGTCAAAAAACATAGATAGATCCTAAACATGTAACAGAAGCATTTCTACGCACTGGTTTCTATGGCCTAGTCTGTGTAGAAATCATCCACGAAATACATAAAGTACTACTTGAAAGAAGTGACAATTTGTCCTTCGGCACTTTGGATCTCTGCATTTCTTTAAAGGGCTTTCCTTTAGGGGGTTGTGTAATCGGTTTCTTCAGAATATGTATGTTTTGATTAATGAACACACTGGATTTTTGAAGGGAATAAACAGCAAAAGACAATGTTGCATTTGTTGCAAAAGTCATGATCGCACCCATGAGAATAAGTTTCTTCTTTTTAATCAAGAATTAGGATGAATTCACAATGACCTAAGGGCATCATGTCACATCTCATAGATTAGACTAGGCCCAAGAAAGATGTTAATGCTCAAGGCAGGACCATTTTATGAATTCTCAAACCATCTTGGTATTTCATGCTCATACAAATTTTTTTCCTTTCAGTTAAAGAAATCCATTTTTCCATGCTCTGTGGTATTTTTAGCTATATAAAAATGAGAAATTAATTTCTGCTGTTTGCCTCTAGAGCAAGATGAATGTTTTAAAAATTACATTTAACTTCCATGCATGCAAAACATTTTTTTCTGAAGAGAAAAGCATTGTTAATGATGCTATAACTACAATCTTCTCCTCACCTGAGAAGGTCATTTCAAGAAGGATCACTTGCTATTAAAAAAAAATGCTTAATGAAGGCAGAACAGTCTAAATTACCTCTTGAGCATACTACTCTAATGACTGATAAATCTAGGGAAATTTACTGAAAAAAAACTTCATTTCACGAGATTCCAATGATCAGTTTTACTGACTCATCAATGCCCTAATTATTCAATACACACACTCACTACTAACCCCCACTCCTACCCTATTTCTACTGGGAATAATCTCTATCATCAATCTGGTGAGTGGTTTCGTTATCTTAATGTATTTAAAAAGGAACATTTCCAGAAACCATTACATTTTAGATAAATTGCACTGGTTTCAAAAAGATAAGATAAAACTCTGAGAACATCAAAATTTAGGAAATGGGCATAAATACACACCACAAGTACACTGTTTTCAGTATCTACATTTTCAAAAAATTTTCATAAGACCCTGAAAGTCTGTGGGGTCCCATGTTTTATTTTACTGATTGGTTGAGATAGCCTGCGTCCATGAAGTGAAGAAAACTACGAAAATCATCAGCCTGCGTGCCAACAGACAGGGATTGCATTATTAACCACATTTATGACTGGCACCAATATTTAACCCCTTTGCTATTCAAGTGTCATCATGGTAAAATGAAACAGTTGAACTAAATTATTTCTAATGTCATTCTCTGTAGTACTTAAAACTAATAGCTATTAGAAGGATTCTTATCAAAAATTTCTTAATGTGACAACTAATTTTTCTATGAATATTTTTCAAGATAAAGCAAGAGGATAGTCACATATTTGCATATATATTAAAGAAAACTTCAGAAGTCTGAATTAATGAACAGTCCATGGGAGGAAGTATTGTGTATGTATGGAAAAAGGGAAGTGTGTATTCTCTTTATTTTTATCTTCTGAATGTAAGAATGTTTATAACATGAGCATATGAACGTGGCAATGAAAAAAGTTAAACTAACTTCTAGTTTTTAGCTCTGTGTGTAAGGAGCTTGGAGGTCACCACTCTTGTCTGGACAACAAATAAAAATGTGGAGTACAAAATCAACAACTCTTCTTGGATGCAAAAGAGAGATGAGGACACAGGGCAAACTGTTGTCCCCAAAATTAGAGAGACAAACAAGTGAATAACAGGGAGTTGTAGCTTACCAGAGTAGACTCACAAGCAGAAACCACTCTGGGAACCACAAAATATAGTTCTGTTTCCACGCTTTTCCTGGCTTTTGACTCTCTAATATTCAATTTACTGTGTACCACTGTGTTAATCATTTTGGCCCATAGCCAAACACTGCTTCCATTATGGGGGAAAGATTAATAATAAACATCCACAAGTGTAGTAGCCTACATTTAAAAGAAAAAATTGTTTCTATACATTTTATTTTCAATAACTTCATTTTATACAGGTAGCCATAAACTCTACTCAAGGCTGGTCCCAAGCCAGCAAGTTTTAGGAGGAACCTTACCTATGTTGTTGCAATGTTAACACACACGCACACACACACCTCATCATAACCACTACAACTGGGCCAAGTGCACAATTTGGAACATAAAATACCAAATTCTGTTACTTACAAGAAAGCTAAAAAACAGATTGGAGAGAAATTCATTTAAAAGAATAAACCACAATAAACAAACATCATCAAATGTTTTATTTGTTTGTTTTTGAGACGGAGTCTCGCTCTGTCGCCCAGGCTGGAGTGCAGTGGCAGGATCCAGCTCACTGCAAGCTCCGCCTCCCGGGTTCACGCCATTCTCCTGCCTCAGCCTCCCGAGTAGCTGAGACTACAGGCGCCCGCCACCGTGCCCGGCTAATTTTTTGTATTTTTAGTATTAACGGGGTTTCACTGTGTTAGCCAGGATGGTTTCGATCTCCTGACCTCGTGATCTGCCCGCCTCAGCCTCCCAAAGTGCTGGAATTACAGGCGTGAGCCACTGAACCCGGCCCCAGCTGTGAAATTTTAAGTTTACTACTTCTCTAAACCTCCATTATTTAATCAGCAAGATATACTAGTATGATCCCATCTTTCAGAGTATTGTATTGACTATAAGTAATATATGGGGAAGAGCTAGAACATAATAGTTTTTTAAATAAATGCTTTGCATGAAAATGTGTAGCTCTTAAACTGAGAAGCAGTTTCTGGACATATTTTAATTACATAATACTTAATGTCATTCAAATCTGTTATATAAGTGCTTTGGCTCAGTAGGTCTTATAAAATAGCTAAATGAAACATCATCATCTTTGCCCTTCTTTTTGATTTTCAATTATTTACCCTTTTCATTTTGGCTACCAGTGGCTAAGTTTTTATTAGCCTCTAAAATCATCTGAGGAAACAACAAGAGGATTTTTTTGTACATACTTCAAAATGTAATCGAGATTCTGATAATCTGCTCTGCTGAGAATCCCAAGACAACATAAGAAAAAAGGTGATGAATAAGGCATTGTTTCCCTGTTTGATCACATTTTCAACAAAACAGCAAATTTCAACATTGCTTAGCAGCTTAAAATTTTTAACAGTTTATATTTGTAATAGAAACAGGGAACTATTTCCAGAGACCTCTTTTTTCCTCGTTGAAACAAAGTCTGCATTTCTAGCCAGCTACATGGAAATCACATTTGGCCAGGCAGCAGTCAAGGAGGTATTAAATAATAAGCCTGGTTACAACAAAAGCTTTCAAGGGGTAGTCACTATCTGATTGCAATAGAATTGTTGATTTAGGAATTCGAACAGATTTTGATGACCCTGTAGTCTAGCCACTTTTTCCATGGAGAAATTTCTCCTGTAACGTACCCAAAGAGTCCCAATGAAGGAACCAATTAACTTCCTTCCAGGCAACCCATTCTATCTTGTTATGGCTTTGCAGCTCAGGTGAAGCTCAGGAAAACCAGTCACTAAAAATTTTATAACAATAGAGTGACTTCACAAAATCTAGATATGCAGCTACTTAAAGACACAAGTGTAAGAAGTGGATTTCTAGAACTGTACTGTGTCTCAGTTAAGGTGCCTATTGCTGAAGCCTATGTTAGCGGTGATTCTACCACAACTACATAGTGAATCCTCCGAAGATGCTCATTCTTAGCAGACAAGCATGCCAAGTGCTGAGAATGACTAGGATTTCCATTGGCTTTAGGGGCTCCAAGAGATGGTTCAGCCTGCTATTTGAGCCTGGATTTCAATGAAAAAGAGAGATTCCTGCTCTTCTTTCTTTTACTTTGTCTAGCTTAGCCAATACCTAATTACCCAGTTGGGACATGAAGTTTGTGGAGCCCAGTCCTACACCAAGAGGTATGTGAGAGGTGAAGCAAGGCAGACCTCTCCCTAGGTCTCCAATTCTGTAAAGGGAAGAACCATTTAGGTGTCGTCTTCATCCCCAACAAAGAAAAAACTGGAAAATGTACCATGACACAGATTTTCCTGCCTGTTGGCTTAAGAATTGGAAGATTGGTGACTTTGTTATTGTCTAGTGTGCATCCAACATACATATGAGGATGTATAGCCACGTTATTGGTTGGTTGAGCCTAAGGAGTTGATGAAAATGAAGAGTGGAATAATTCCTAGCACCAAACATATTTCTATTAAGTTGAGTAAACAATGTCTGCAGGAAGCTCTGCATAACTCTGTAAGTAGATTTTCTATTTTTTTCATTGCTATTATTATATGGATGGTTTCATATGAGTCATTTTCACACAGCTGGATTCCAGATTGTCAGGGGCGAAGAATCTGCCTTATAAATCTTTCTGACCAAAATATGATCTAGTTACAATATGTAGCATATAGTAGCTATCCAATAAGTTTATAATTTTTTAATTGAATGAAATCACATTTTTCTTTAAAATCTACCTTGAAATACACCTTGGTATTGCTCTTTTTTATTACTTCTCATCTATTCTTTTAACATTTTTCTTGTATGTTTCACCATAATAATTTGAATTTACTTTAGTGTTCTTTTGCATATCTGAAGGTTCTTGCCTATCAGATCTTGTCATCTTAAATTATCATAAGGAACATGGCTGGGCACAGTGGCTCATGCCTGTAATCCCAGCACTTTGGGAGGCCGAGGTGGGCAGATCACAAGGTCAGGAGATAGAGACCATCCTGGCTAACACTGTGAAACCCCGTCTCTATTAAAAATACAAAAAGTAGCCGGACATGGTGGCATGGGCCTATAGTCCCAGCTATTCAGGAGGCTGAGGCAGGAGAATCCCTTGAACCTGGGAGACGGAGGTTGCAGTGAGCCGAGATCACGCCACTGCACTCTAGCCTAGGTGACAGAGGGAGACTTTGTCTCAAAAAAAAAAAAAAAGAAAAGAAAAAAAACAACAACAGAGAACATACAGTTTAAAGACAGGGAATATATCTTCTTTTTCTTTTTATAACCCATTAGTTTAGGTAAGACCCTTCTCTTAAAAGATGATAAAGTTTGCAGAGTATAAAACTGATTGGCAAACCCCCTTCCCTCATTTCAACTCTACACTTCCAGTACTGCATCCCTGTTCTTACACAGTTCTACCTGCCATGGTTCACTGTTCTAATATGCGCTGAATTCCAGCTGGGCTAACCTGAAACTTTCCCCTTGGATTTTTGGTTTTACTACTAGAGAGAGTTTTTGTTCAATACAAAACCTGGGACATGTAAACATAAACGTTCCATGTGACCAAGTTTCCAGCCACAACAATGACGTGGTCTGAAAGAATTAAGCCAAAACACAAAAAGTCAGATAACGAAATGCTAACAAAGAGTATCTTGAGAGCATTCACATCCTTAGCTGCCATCTTCACACAGGTCCAGCTAAGTCCCTGACATTCCTGTGATTAGTTTATTTCATTCATTGAATGAATAGTCAGTGAGCACCTACTATATGCAAGGCACTTTGCTAAGCATTGGAGATTTAACGGTGATCAAGACAAATATGATCCTTACCCTCACAGGGTTTGTGAGCCATTAAATCTGCTTCCTCCCACCAATGTCACCACTTTTTTGCTGAAATTAGTTTGAATGGAACCCAAAAAAATTCTAACTTATGCTTCATTATGAGATAAACTTCTGTGGACTAACTTGTGAAATTAATCATCTTAATTTTTATGACAAAATCTACTTTCTAAACAACTAGGTTATCAAAAATTTTGGATCCTGATTTATGCCCAAATTGCTTAAAATTCTCCTAGAGAAAACTAGAACATCAATTTCTGACTTGCTCAAGGCCTAAGCAATCTCAAATTTTGCTTTTACTAATTCTCAAGAAAATCCTATGTTTATGTATAATGTGATACAACACATAGTTTTGCTTCAAGCAATTCTATTTTATTTCCCTACACAAACTATTCAGGAAGCTAATATAGAATTTAATTCTTTTTCCAACCTGGGCTCTTTTAAAACAAAACATAAAAGCTCTATGCCTGTAGGTGATATTAGATCACATCTCCAAGGCCCTCCTACATTGGAAGATGATAATAATAATGACGTCTGTTTTTACCATATAATAATGTTAGGCAAGGAAAACTGGTTCATCTTTTACAATGTAACCTTTCCAAAGTCAGATATGAGGAAGTAATTCCCTTGCTTACTATTTCATTAGAATCCCATTGCCTACAAGATAAAGTTTCAACCCTTTACAATGGCATAATGTCATTTTGCCTAGCCATTGCCTTCATTTTTAGCCTCTTCTCAATTATTCACCCATCTTCACTCATTCTTTACACATCGCTTGTCAACTTTACATTGGCCACACTGAGCCTATCAGTTTCCACAAACTCACAGTAGTAACTCACATACAAGCAAATTGACAACTGTTTTTTCTGCTTGCAATAACATCCCTCCATTCTTGAAGGTCTGGAGTACTGTAATTCAAATATCCCTCCTTCTGTGAAATCTTCCATAAGCCGTCTTACTGGTATACCAAGAAAAATTCATTCATCTTGTTTAACCATTATCAGACTTTGGTCATAATTATCATGGAACTTATTCCATTATATTAGATCTTGTCTACTGTATTAGGCTGGGCATCCTTGAGGGGAAGAACTGTGTTTTGTTTTGCTGAGGCATGGTCAGACTGCTTCTTTAAGCAGGACCCCAGTTCACTCCTTCTCATGGGGTGAGTTTTCCCAGCCAGGGCTTCTGGCCACCCCCACCCATATTCTGCAACAGAGTTTTAATTTCTTCCTGGGATGGAGTACCTGGAGGTAGGATGGGACAGGCTGCCACCTTGGCTGTTTGGGCATCTCAGCTGGTCCAGCCTGTGGGCCTTGGAGAGCCCAAACTGATTGGGAACTGAAGGGATCACAACACAGCAGAACTGCTCTACCAAAAAGCAGCCACACTTCTTCTTTAAGCGAGTCCCTGATCCCATTCCTCCTGACCGGATACGACCTCCTAAATAGGGTCTCTAGCCACCTCCTAGAGACACATTCGGAATGACAGGTCACTACTCCCCTGAGATGGAGCTTCCAAAGGAAGGGGCAGGTTGCCATCTTTGCTGTTTTGCAGTCTTCACTGGTGATACCTCCAGGTACTGGAAAAACTGAAGTGACTAAGGTCTAGAGTGGACCCCCGGCAAACCACAGCAGCCCTATGGAAAACTGGCCAGACTGTTAAAGAAAAATAAACTAACAGAAAACACAACAACAAAATCATGAAAACCCCATCCAAAGGTCAGCAACCTTAACGATCAAAGGTAGATAAGCCCACAAAGATGAGAAAGAATCAATGCAGAAATGCTGAAGACTCAAAAAGCCAAAGTGCCCCTTTTCCTCCAAATGCCTGCAACACCTCTCTAGCAAGGGCTCCGAACTGGGCTGAGACTGAGATGGCAGAAATGACCAAAATAAGCTTCAGAACGTGAATAAAAATGAACTTCACTGAGCTAAAGAAGCATGTTGTAACCTAATGCAAAGAAGCTAAGAATAAAAATAAAACAATACAGAAGCTAACAGCCAAAATAGCTATTATATAGAGGAACATAACCAACCTGACAGAGCAGAAAAACACACTACAAGAACTTCTCAATGCAATCACAAGGATTAATAGCAGAATAGACCAAGTAGAAGAAAGAACCTCAGAGCTTGAAGACTATCTTTCTGAAGTAAGACAGGCAGACAAGAATAGAGAAAAGAAGAATGAAAAGGAATGAACAAAACCTCTGAGAAATATGGGCTTATGTAAAGAGATCAAATCTATGACTGACTAGGGTACCTGAAAGAAATGGGGAGAATGAAACCAATTAGGAAAACATACTTCAGGACATCATCCAGAAGAACTTCCCCAACCTAGCAAGACAGGCCAACATTCAAATTCAGGAAATGCAGAGAACCCCAGTAAGATATTTCATGAGAAAAATCATCACCAAAACATAATCACCAGATGATTCTCCAAGGTCAACATGAAAGAAAAAATGTTAAGATCAGCCAGAAGGAAAGGTCAGGTCATGGACAAATGTAAGTCTATCAGACTAACAGTAGAAACTCTACAAGCCAGAAGAGATTGGGGGCCAATATTCAACATTCTTAAAGAAAAGAATTTCCAACCCAGAATTTCATAACCTGCCAAACTAAGCTTCATAAGTAAAAGAGAAATTCAGACATGCAAATGCTGAGGGAATTCGTAACCACCAAACCTGCCTTACAAGAGCTCCTGAAGAAGCTCTAAATATTGAAAGGAAAAGCTATTACCAGCCACTACAAAAACACACCAAAGAACAAAGCGACACTATGAAACAAACACATAAATAAGTCTGCAAAATAACCAGCTAACATCATGATGACAGGATCAAATCCACATATAACAATACTAACCTTAAATATAAATGGGCTAAATGTCCCAATTAAAAGTCACAGAATGGCAAGATGGATAAAGAACCAAGACATATAGGTATGCTGTCTTCAAGACACCCATCTCACGTGCAAAGACACACGTAAGCTCAAAATAAAGGGATAGAGGAAATTTACCAAGCAAATGGAAAACAGAAAAAATTATTGGTTGCAATCTTAGTTTCTGACAAAACAGACTTTAAAACCAAGAAAGATCAAAAAAGACAAAGACGGGCATTACATAATGGTAAAGGATTCAATTCAACAAGAAGAGATAACTATCCTAAATATATATGCACCCAATAGAGGAGCACCCAGATTCATAAAGCAAGTTCTTAGAGCCCTACAGAAAGACTTAGACTCCCACACGATAATAGTGGGAGACTTTCACACTCCACTGACAATATTAGACAGACCATTGAGACAGAAAATTAACAAAGATACTCAGGTCCAGAACTCAGCTCTGGATCAAGTGGATCTGACAGATATCTACAGAACTTTCCACCTCAAAACAACAAAATATACAGTTTTCTCATCGTCACATGGCACTTACTCTAAAATTGATCACATAATCAGAAGACACTCCTCAGCAAATGCAAAAGAACTGAAATCACAACAGTTTCTTGGACCACAGTACAATAAAATTAGAACTCAAGATAAGGAAACTAACTCAAAACCATACAACTACATGGAAATTGAACAATGTGTTCCTGAATGACTTTTGAGTAAATAATGAAATTAAGGCAGAAATCAAAAAGTTGTTTGAAACTAATGAGAACAAAGACACAATATACCGGAATCTCTGGGATGCTGCTAAAGCAGTGTTAAGAGGAAAATTAATAGCACTAACTGTTCAGATCAAAAAGCTAGAAAGATATCAAGTTAACAACCTAACATCACACTGAAGGAACTAGAGATCCAAGAGCAAACGAACCCCAAAGCTAGCAGAAGACAAGAAACATCAAGATCAGAGCTGAACTGAAGGAGATAAAGACAAGACAATCCCTTTAAAAAAATCCAGGAGCTGATTTTTTGAAAAAATTAATAAAATAGATAGACTGCTTGCTAGACAGTAAAGAAGAAAAAAGAGAAGATTCAAATAAACACAATCAGAAATGATAACACGGATATCACCACTGACCCCATAGAAATATAAACAACAATCTGAGAATACTGTAAACACCTCTATGCACATAAACTAGAAAATCTAGAAGAAATGGATGAATTCCTGGACACATACTCCTCCCAAGACTGAATCAGGAAGGAATTGATTCCCTGAATAGACCAATAATGAGTTCTGAAATTGAGGCAGTAATAAATAGCCTACAAACGAAAATAAGCCCAGGAACAGATGGATTCACAGCTGGATTCTACCAGAGGTACAAAAAAAGAGCTGGAATGATTCCTATTGAAACTATACCAAAAAATTGGGAAGAGGGACTCCTCCCTAATCATTCTATAAAACCAGCATCATCCTGATACCAAAACCTGGCAGAGACACAACAGAAAAAGAAAACTTCAGGCCAATATCCTTGATGAACATTGATGCAAATATCCTTAACGAATAGGAAGAGAGAAAGTCAAACTATTTTTATTTGTAGATGGCATAATCCTATGTCTGGAAAACCCCACCATCTCATCCCAAAAGCTTCTTAAGCTGATAAACAACTTCAGCAAAGTCTCAGATACCAAATCAATGTGCAAAAATCACTAGTATTCCTACACACCAACAACAGGCAAGCCAAGAGCCAAGTCACAAATGAACTTCCATTCACAATTGCTACAAAAAGAATAAAATGCCTAGGAATACAGCCAACAAGAGAAGTGAAGGACCTCTTCAAAGAGAGCTACAAACCACTGCTCAAAGAAATCAGAGAGGACACAAACAAATGGAAAAACATTCCATGCTCATGGATAGGAAGAATCAATATCATAAAAATGGCCATACTGCCCAAAGCAATTTATAGATTCAGTGCTATTCCCGTTATCTACCATTTACATTCTTCACAGAATTAGAAAAAACTATTTTAAAATTCATACGGAACCAAGGAAGAGTCCAAATAGCCAGGGCAATCCTAAGCAAAAAGAACAAAGATGGAGGCATCCCACTATCCAACTTCAAACTATACTACAGGGCTACAGTAATCAAAAAAGTATGGTACTGGTATGAGAACAAACATGTAAACCAATGGAACAGAACAGAGAACCCAGAAGTAAGAATACACACCTACAACCACCTGATCTTCGACAAACATGACAAAAACAGGCAATGGGGAAAGGGCTTCCAGTTCAATAAAGTGCTGGGAGAACTGGCCAGCCACATGCAGAAAATTGAAACTGGACCCTTTCTTTACACCATATACAAAAATCAACTCAAGACGGATTGAGTACACATTCAGTACTGCACATGTATCCCTGAACTTAAAAGTTAGAAAGAATAAATAAATAAAAAATAAAAGTTAAAAAAAGAACTATGCTTCATTAATCTTTGAATTACCATCGTCTAACCCAGTGTCATGAATATTGATACCCACTAAAGAGAAGGAAAAAAAACAAGGGAATTTTTGATGTGATT
The DNA here is from genome assembly GCF_000001405.40 of Homo sapiens. Taxonomy (NCBI): domain Eukaryota; kingdom Metazoa; phylum Chordata; class Mammalia; order Primates; family Hominidae; genus Homo; species Homo sapiens. The sequence goes on from NC_000002.12 coordinate 41,586,711, forward strand.
CCAGATAAGACACTAGCTGGCTGGCTTAAGCTATTCTGGATGAGAGTAGGAGGCAAACTAAAGTTTAACCAATTAAGATGCAGTGTAGATTTGAAGTGTGACAAACTATCACCACAGGCCCAGATAGAAATAGAGTCATCATTCTGTTTGACCTACAACCATAACCATGAGATCTGGAAGGAAGTGCCACGATTCTCAAAGATGTAGCATCTTATAAGAGTTGAAAATATATACTCTACATTCAGATAGTTCAAGTCAATCCTTGGGGCTTCAGAAGAGCCCCACGATCTTGCATAAGTTATTTAACACTCTGTGACTCTCTATGACTATTAATAATGGAAGTAATATGAGAATCTACCATACAATGTTTGGTGAAGACTAATGAAATAATATATGTACATTGTTTAACATATTGCTTGACACTTGGCAAGTGCTTAAATGTTAACTGTAATCATCATTATTATTATCATCAGCATTATCGTACTCCTCACATGAGACAGTCCCTCACTTTATAAATGAATAAATTAAGTTTTAGAGCAACTTTTCTCAGCACTAGTGCTAGAATATTGCTATCACTTAGAACATGCAATAAGTAATTTATTTCTAATGTCAACTATTAGATTAGTGGTATCTAATATTTACAAAATGTAAAATAATTTATTTTAGGCAAACAATATTTTCTTTTTAAACTTTAGATTCAGGGGGTACATATGCTTGTTTATTACATGGGCATATTGCATACTGCTGAGGCCTGGGCTTCTGAGTGTACCTGTTACCCAAATAGTGAGCTTTGTAACCAACAGGAAATTTTTCAACCCTCACCCCCACCTCCTTTTGGAGTCCCTAGTATCTATTTTTCCATCTTTATGTTCATGTGTCCCCATTGTTTAGTTCTCACTTATAGGTGAGAACATGTGGTATTTGGTTTTCTGTTTCTGAGTTAATTCAATTGGGATAATGGCCTCCAGCTCCATCCATGTTACTGCAAAGGGCATGGTTTCATTCCTTTTAATGACTACATAGTATTCCATGGTGTGTATGTACCACAGTCTTTATCCAGTCAACCAATGATGGACGCTTAACGTTGGTTTCATGTATTTGCTATTGTGAATAGTGCTCCAATGAACATACAAGTAGAGGTGCCTTTTTGATATAATGATTCTTTTTCTTTTAAGTAAATACCAAGTAGTGGGATTGCTAGGTCAAGTGGTAAACCAATGTTTAGTTCTTTGATAAATCTCCATACTGTTTTGCATAGAAGTTGAACTAATTTAAATTCCCATCAACAGTGTATAAGCATTCCCTTTTCTCTGTATCCATGCCAAACTCTGTTGTTTTTTGACTTTTTTATAATAGACATTCTGACTGGTATAAGATGATATCACATTATGGTTTTAATTTCCATTTCTCTGTTCATTAGTAATGTTGAGCATGTTTTCGCACTTATTTCTTCTTTTGAGAAATGTCTGCTCATGTCTTTGCCCAGCTTTTAACTGGAATGACAAACATTTTCAAATGGTTCAACTTAATACTAGTTTCCAGATAATTAACTTTAAAATACAAATTAAACTACATTTAGGATTAAACCTATGATAATATCATTCTTTCATTCTCGGATTTATTATGATAAAATAAAAATAAATTTAGGCTCTACCCTGGGGCCCAACAGTATGTGTAAAGCACCTCAGGTGATTTCAGTGTGGAAATATCTTATACTTCCTTATATTTAAGAGAGCCACTGCTTTCTGCTTTCTCACGTGGAAAAGAAGTGAAGACAGTCAAATGGCATCTGAGGTGCCACGACTGGTTTAGCTCAGTGATTTGCAATCGTCATGTGGGGAGGATGTCAACACACAAATTCCAGCCCCCAACCCAGACCATGTAAATCATATTGATAGTGAAGTATTAAGTTTGTCAACTAGCTCACTTCTAAGGCAAAAACATTTTTTCTTTTTGCCACTGTTGGCAAAATGAGGTACTATTAGGCTGACATTACTAAATAAATGTATTTCATGGTTTCTGTACATTTAAAACGTGTTTTTCCACATATCTTCAAATCTGTCAAAAGCAATTGGATGGACCATGTTTAAAATAGTTACAAAGGTAACCTTGCAACTACTTAGGATGAATAATTTTATCTTCTATGTACAAATAAGAGTTCATTATTAAGCGGGCTATATAAATTCATTACCTATTCCATAAGTGTCTGATAACAATTAGCTCTGTGGTGAGGCTGAAGAAATATATCCCTATCATATTTATAGGATTATTAATATGGCTATTGTCCTTTAAAAATCTAATTTGCCCACAATGCATTTCAAACATCTAGTTAAACAAAATTATTTTTTCTGAATCCTGGATAAAATTCTTATCTTTCACAATTACACAGCAGTTTCAAAACGTGGTGTTTATTCAGTTGTTTATTGCTTTAAACAGGAGTTCATTAAGAAAAATGTGTACATAAATGTATTTTTAAAGTTCTCTAGAGGTCAGACTGTAGCATAATCAATGCTTACACCTCTTGAGAGCTAACTAAGCCTTTATGAACTTATCAAATGGGTGCTGGTTTCAGATATTGACAACTGTGCAAACCATCATGAAGATTAGGATTTGCTAACAGGCAGTTTTTCATTTACTTGTCGTAAGACAACACTTTTCTCCATGCTTTTTATAGTAATAAAATGTCTCCTAATGTAAGGTCAGAGGAAGGAGAAGATTTGGGACTGGTGAGGAAGGCAGTAGATTCTGGACGATGGTATTTTTAGATGGCAGCAACTAATTTTCTCCATTGTTCTCATCCCACACTCTGATTCAGTCGGAATATTGCTATTAGACTTGTTATTGATCCAATTGGCATTCTATTTCAACTTTGGAATGAAGAAAATGGACATAAATTATTTGTCTTTTAACCTAAATGATACTTGGTAACTACTGGAGTGGGACACTTATTTTCAAGAATCTTTAAACTCCATGATTTTAGTCATTCAGCCAAAGTTTGTAGGTACTAGAAGATAATCTATGGCTATTTATGTACTTATTTATTTATTTTGCATGGAAAGAAATGAATACCAAAGTCGTTCTCCATATATTTCTGTTGGTCAAGTAAGCATATTCTATTTTATTCATATTAAAATGTGACTTGTTTCATACATTTCCTTGGCTTGAAAGTTAGGAATCAAAAAGCACAAGATCAGAAAACATTAGAGGTACAGGAATTGGAATTGAAATGATTGCTATCAGGCAGTCCAGAAATAAAGCAAATAATGTCTTGGATTTTAAAATCTAATTCAACTTTTACTCACTGCTTCATGATTAAAATGTTCCTTTGAAACTAAAATTTACTTCTCCATATTTGCAAGGTACTTAATGGTTAGGGTTTTATTTTCAGTCTGCCAAATTATACATGTTCATGGCACTGACAACCCTCTAAATAGTGACACTTTTATTAATGAAGTTCAATTTTCTCTTAAGAACTAAAAGTAGATGCAAGGATTAACCAGAAAGGAGACAAGAAGCACCAGAAGGAAGGAAGGAGAGGGTTCGAGGCAGTTCACCCAGCCAGGGACTAAGAGCCAGGAAAGCCTGGATGCAGAAAAACGTAAAGAGAGAAACCCCCAGGGCTCCAAAACAGGCTTTTATAATCTTGGCTATGGGAAAGACCCACTAGAGCCTCGGGCAAGACATATGGAGCTGCCTAAAGATTGGACAGAGATGTTGCTCCAGAAAGAGAACCCATGCAGATTCCCACAGGCATACAAGCCTGCAGTAGCCTTAGCCAGGCACCATTTGAGAGCCTAGACACTAGGGATCTACAGACACAGGTGCTGCTGTGTTACTCCAAGGAGGGAGAGGGGAGAGGAAGAGGGGAAACTGGGCATTCCCACATACCCCTGGGATGGTGCCAACTACCCTGCTGTGGGAACTAGAAAAACAAGAACAAACCAAACCCAATGTTAGCAGAAGAAAAGAAATAACAAAGATCACAGCAGAACTGAATGAAATTTAGACTGAAAAACAATACAAAGAATCAATGAAACAAAAAGTTGATTCTTCAAAAATATAAATATTGACAAACCACTAGCTAGACTAACCAAGAAGAGAGAAGAAAGAAACACAATCAGAAATAAAAAAGGAGATATTAAAACTGATGCCACAGAAATACAAAAGATCATCAGAGACAATTATGAACAACTGCACACTCACAAACTAGAAAACCTAGAGGAAATGGATAAATTCTTGGAAACATACAACCATCATTTTTAATTGCTTTCAGCAGGAGTTTTATTTAGGGTAACTGGTCCTCAATGCTTGCCAGCAACAGAAAAGCAAGTCATAAAAATCATTAAATATTTGTAAAACAGGATCTAAAGAAGTAAACTGGGAAAAGTAGATATTTTATAATAATAATTGTCTTTTTTACATAAAAAGATGATCCACAATTAGTAGAGCTTGTTTAGTTAGAAATATTTGTACATCTCTATCCTAATTGTATGCCATGTTTCCCAGGTGGCCACTGGCACATAATCCTGAGTTAGAAACAGAAAATTATTATCCAGGCCTTGAAAGAGAGCCCAGGTAATTGGCCCCATCTGAACACTGAAGCCATAGCCTTGGCTTTCTCAGCAGCATGTGTTGACCAACTAAGCCAATCAGCCAAATTGAGCACCACTGGCAGGTTATTTCCACTGAAGAAAAAGGGCTAATTTTTATCCCTAACTTCAACCAAAACAAAGTTACATGCACCAAAGATGCATACGCACAATGCTCACTGATAAATGTAGGTGAAAGGACTGAATTAGAAAAATTTATTTTCCTCATCAGCATAATAAATTACTCAGACAAGGCTCACTATTGAATGCCAAAACCACTGGGTGAAAGGTTTGGAAGTAACAAGATATTTACATGATATTCATATCATCCTACAGAGTACATATAAAATGCAAAGAGAAAATTCCACTTTAAAATTCAGTGATTTTTACATTTAAAACCTTAATCAGGTATGCAAACTTAGCATCACCAATAGTGGGACAACCTGATATCAGCTGTCTCAGTGTGATACACTAAGGAATATCAATATCATCTATGTGGTATCTTGCCAAAAATGTTGCTTGATTCTAATCATGAGAAAACAATTTAAAATTTTCAAATTGTAGGACATTCTACACAACAATGGGTCTGTGCTCTTCAAAAAAAAGAGTCATCATTGAAAACAAACAAGAAAAAACCACCAGAGTATTCTGTGTTAGAGAGACTGGAATGACATAACCAAATATAATTCAAGAACTTTGATCTTAGATTTTTAAAAATAGCAATAAAAGACACACATAGACATAGTACATTAAATCATGTTATTGAATTAACATTATATTTTAGGTGTAAGAATGACATTGTAGTTATGTAGGATAATATCTTTATTGTTAGAATTTGTAAGCAGAAATAGTTAAAGGTAAAGTGCCATGATGTTTGCAACTCAGAATAAAGATTGGGGAGGGCAGGATGGGAGAGAGGGAGGAAAAAAGAGAGGGAGGGAGGGAAGGAGGAAGGGAGAAGGAAAACGTGGTGAAAAAACAATTGAATGAAGGATATATTAATGTCCATTTTCTTTAGTCTTAAAATTTTTCAAAATAAAACATTTAAGGTTGGGGGTATAATGTAGATGACCTATTCTCATCTCTTGCCTCACTGAAACAAGAAATCGAATCCTGAAATTTAGTCTAAGAGATTTAGACTGGCCACCTTTCATAATAAAGGCTGATAAATATGAACAAATATCTCAATAAATTGTTGCATCTCCTTGTGGAGATACCTTAAAATTTAGTATGTGATTGTCCAGAATGACTCAACATCACAATCATTCAAGGTGAATTGCTGAAAGCTAACATCTGAATGTTTTCCTCTGCTGAGGAATTCCTGATCATTAATTCACTTCAAGGATACTTGTTATCTTATTATTGAGGATTCAAAAGAATAATGCAACAAAATAATATATTATTGATGATCTGTGAAACTGTATTCAAGCTTCAAAATATGGTTCAGCACACTGGTACAGTAGACTTCCAGGAGACACATTGTTAGTATTTAACACACTCAGAGTAATTTAAATAGAAGCCAACTGTAGTAACAATTAGTTAGGGAAATAAAATTTTCCCAAAGCCTAAAATCAATTTCTAGCCACTCTATATTGTTGAGCCATTTTACACTAAATACATTGTTAACTGAGAATGTGTGTTTTAGTATATACATTGTTCCCTCTTGGAAGAACTTGAGAATTTTAAGGTTGATAATGAGGTTAATTTTTATCCTGAATATAGGAAATATGTTAGAAGCTATCAAAGAAATACATATTTTAAAGGCAGGTGGTTGGTTACAACGGAAATTATGAAACAGAATGCATATTTAAATGAATGTCAATTTCTAATTTTGTAAATTATTTCTCATTTGTATTAAATACAAACATAAAATAAGTCATTTCTATAACTACCTCAAATAGCTGTTGTGATTAAAACAGCTAATGTTTTAAACAAACTATCTACCAAAGAGTACCATTAGGGTACACAGCTTGAAAATATGAAAATTTAAAAAGTAATCTTGCTGAAATATGGAATAATTTCACATAGTAAAGAAAATGCAATTGTTGTACTAAGTGATAATTTATCTGTGACACCTCTTAAATGGCCTATAGAAATGTATACTGATGGCTCAAAAAGAGCATTTTAAACGCCTAAGTCACCTAAAGAATTTTGATTTTGTTTTTAAAGATTTCCAGGGTTGAAAATTTGTCTTGTTAATTAACACTTTTATTATCAAGAGTTTTTTTCTGTTTACACAAGTTGTCTCTTGTTACATTTACTATCATTTTTATTGTTGCTGTTGTTTAAAATGAATAGGTCAAAGTATGTACTTATATAGCACGGTTAAACAAATCAAGTTATTGCCACTTGCTCTAAAAGGACTTGGGGTTCTGTTTTCTTGCTTCTCTATATCTCTCTTGCAATTGAATGACTGACTAGGAGAGTTGGAAGGGACTTTTAGACCATAGAGTTCAGTAGTTTTCAATATGGGCTCTAAGAAGTCTGCAAAGTTTTCTCAGACACACTCTCTCTCTCTCCCAATCAGCAACCCAGGAAGCTTCCCAAAAAAACTGACATTTCTAGTAAAAATTTGAGATACATATTTGCAGCTCATGCACTTAGCTATCCTTTTTTATTCAATTCTTAAATCTCTTCTATTTTTTTCTTTTTCTCTGTAGACTATCAATGCCAATGTTTCTTTTAAAAAAAAGCCATCAAATTTATAGACTATAAAATCTGACATACGGATATTCTGAAAATTCACAGTTTTCAAGTAAACTGCTGACCAGAAGGTCATTACATTGAAATTTATTTGTAATTTATGTCCCAGATGTTGTATTTTGGCTATTAAAAATGCCGTGAGTAAAAATAGCATGAATAAAGAGTGTTAAAAGAAGGAAATTACAGTTACGTTGCTTACAAAAAAAAGATTTCACAAGAGTAATAATTTATTTTGAAACCAAAAATCTAATCATTTTTATTTTAATTAATTTTGAGTAAATAACATAGTCCCAAAATTCAAAAATTAAAAAAAACACAAACACCTCCCTCCCAGCCTGGTCTCTGTCCATATAATACCCCATCCTTTCCACAACTTCAAACAGATAACTGCCATTATTGTGGCTGTGTATTTTTCCAAAGAATTTTTATACATTAAAAAAGCAAATAGAAACATGTACGTATCCCTGTCCATTTTGCACAAAAGGAAGTATTCTATACATGCTGTTCAGAAATTTGTTCTATTAACTTAATATACCTTGGAAACTTTATTGACCATCTTGTATGCCTAGCACCCTTACAGGCAGATATAAGAAAACCACACAAGTGTTATACTTCTAATTTTCATCACGATAGTCTCCTAGAAATTCACATAAACTAAATCATTGTTCGATGGACCATATCTCTTCAATTGAACAATACTGCAACTGGGAATTATACTCTTGACCAAAGACCAACATCAAATAAGTTATAGTTATGACCAAAATATACTAAGTAAAAGACAGGGAAAAGAACCTTTAAATTAGCATTAGTCAAAATAATTACTTCCCAAATGTCATACATTATATACATAAATGAAAATTTTCAAATGATTCTATAAGCTACAATGTGTATAAACAGCTATATGCTTTTACCATAAACTTTACCTATCTAAAACTATGATCACACAAAACACATTTGATGATATTTTTCTTGTCTTTTTAGAATTTGTAAGTTTTTCCCCACTTTGGCATGATTTTGAAGCCCAAAATCTCCTTTTTACAAAGTCACCTGCTTTTTTCTCTTGGCAAATGTACCTATAATATGCAGAATAATTCAAAATCATTTCATTATATCATTCTTTTCAACAATAATCATTGAGACATATGAATATTTGAAGTCGTTTCAATTAGGATAAGGGCTTACAGAAAACTTTGAAACGGATTTATTTGTTCTTATTTTTGTCATCACAGTCTAATAGTATCATTGAATGCTTTCAAGGAAGAGAGGAGCCACATTAAAGTCAAACAGGCAGAGGACGTGAAAGGGAAACAGCCAGGTTCATGATCACCTACTATGGCCAAGTGCAGAAGAAGGACAGCAAATAGGAAGGGAGCTGTGTGGTCTCCACTGGTGAAAGATGTCTTTCTCTCCATTTTTTCAAACTACATGAATCACTGTGTAGCAACTTAACCTAGGTGAAAACTGCCAAAGAAATGAATAAATATGAATGAGTCATAAAGAAAAGTCTCTGGCAAAATGGAATCAATGAAGTTGTACTCAACAGTAATTGCCTGTTTTAAATATGACTCTTGGCCACAAATTACTTGCAGTTCTGATTTATTTTTGTCATTATTGTGGAAAATAACCCCATATTGAGAGACCTGGTGACATTAATTTTCAGTCAAGAATAATCATTTATTTAATAATTTTGTGTGGCCTGAGGTGATTTTTAAGAGTACACAGATTCACCACAACTGGGGTCATGATAAAAATTTTCTTGTTTCATATGCTCTCATCTCCCACTCTGCTCCTCTTTCCCATAGATCTCAGATCTTGCTCCCCAAAAGGTTCAGCACCTTCACATTGCTTCTGGTCCTCTGTGGCTCCTTACCCAGGACCACCACCTTCCTGAAAATTAAGAGCCTCTGAAATGGCCAGCCCATTCCTCAACGTCCAATCATAACCCCTGTACTCCTGAGGAAGCTCATGAATTGAGGGCAATGAGTATTGATGGAAGACTTCCGAGCAGCAAAAGGTGCAGAATGTGGAGCAAGTGAATGAGCCCGAGAGAAGAATGACAATAGGATAACATTTGTATTATTTCTACAATTATAGGCTACCATTAATTATAGAACATACCAATGATTTGTTTGCAAGGTTGAGCTCCTAACACAAAATTTAAAGGGATATTGATGGCCATGATGGTGGCAATAAACTTGAATTTCTGGCACTTTATCTTTATTGGGATAGCAGCACAAATGCAGTCTCTTCACTGTGCCAGTTCTGTGGATTAGGGTTGGGGGGGTGTTGTGGCTAGATGGTTAGCCTAGAGCCTGATCCTCATCCCTGTCAGTGATCCTCTCTGAGACTGTTCTATACGTGTGAGGTTTTGGTAAACTAACCAAGATGAATTCATAGTTGTTCGTATTAGGTTGGTGCAAAAGTAATTGCAGTTTTTGCCATTAAAAGTAACTGCAAAAATAGCATTACTTTCGTACCAACCTAATAACTAAGACCTCTGACTGATAAACTCTACCTCACAGGGCTGTTGTAAGGCTCAAATAAGATGCTGTACATCATCAACTAATGTAGGTGGTATTATTATAAACTTTTAAGCTTGCATTCATAAGAAAGGATAATATTTTATGATATTAAGCACAGCTTACTCAATAATTCATTCCACTTTTACTAAATGGCCTCTTTGAACATCACTTCTTATAATTCATAGCCATTTGGGAATACTGAACAGTAGCTACACATATATTACATTACTGATTTTACCATGAATCCTAACCTAAAAAATACTTAAAACTCTTCAAGAAAGAAAATTTCTAATCAAAGTAATTTTGTGATGGATTTATTAACACTCAGCAATTCTTGCTTTGTTATCCATCTCTGAGTTCCTGAGATAAAAGACCATGAGGATCCTAACAGCAGGCACCATGTACCATTCATTATTGTACTTTTTACAATGAAATATAGAATGATGTCCAGCAACTCTAACTTCTTGGTAGCAATTTCAATATTCTAGTTTAATGTAGAACTGGCTTTTATGGAGTCAGAATAAAAAAGTCAAATTCAATGCAAACTCAGCTTATTTTTTTCATTTACATGAAACATTTTTAATTCTATTAGTTTTGTGTTTAAAAAAAATTGAAAACTATTAAATGACCCCTAGTCATTTAAATCACAGATAATTGAATGCTTTTCTTTTTTAGTGTTTGATAACGCCACAATTTTTATACTTTTAGATGCACCTACTGGTACAACAAAGAGTAACTTTTGCTGGAAATTTGAAATTGACAGTCATAGATAGTCATCTAAATGATTATTTCTAGACTCCAGTTTTGTTTCAATGTAATTGTACTGCATTAAGGCATAGCCAGTACAAATGAACAAAAGAGCTATCCTGCAGAATATGGCCCAATCTTCTTTATTATGATATTAAAAGGGATTTGGATTTAGATACTCACATGTCTGCATTTAGAGCCTCAGAATAAGTCTTTTAAAGTCACCATGCCCTCTTTATCACTACATGCCCCAAATTACCCTTTTCTACTCCTATCAAAATTTATTAGAGATTTTTAAAAATTAACTTCTATTTTATATTCTAGGTCTCTTGTGTGGGTAAAAAATGCACTAGCCATTTATTTGCAGAACAATAGCAGCGATATTTGATGAATGGAAGAGACCTAAAATCTACTTTAATATTTCTCAGCCTTATTTATCTAATGGAAAGTAGCTGAGTTCCATTGTCCTGAGGACTGCTCCACCTCTGAGATCTTACGATTCAATGTTCATATACAAAAGGTCCCTGTCCTGCACGTGTCAGGACATCAACTAAGCCTGCAGCACTATGGAAATCCTCCTCTTGGCATATCAGTCATTGGCATGCTTTGTTGTTGTTGTTGTCAGTTTTAAAAATGGTTCTGCAAGAACAGACCTGTTAACTGGGACAAGTAGAAGTGACAGCTGAGAGAGGCTTTATTATTTTTCTTCTCTGCCAAGGAAGAATCATAGCCAATGCCCATTGGAATGGTGTGAATATGGGGTTCTTTCTCATTTGCAATTCATGTTTTAAGTAGAGAACATAAAATTTCTGCACACATGAGTACTGAGTTTATGGTTGTCCACAGTTATCAAATATACCACAAGCTATGTGAAACTTTCAATAGACTATAGTTCAACTTCCTTCCTTTATTCAGCTCCTTAGACTCCCAGTTTCTAGGCCTTTGGTAGAGGCTGAACTGTTGTAATTATGTGTTACGCAGTTGTCCTGGCTTCCTAAGACATCAATAGTTTTCTATGCCTTCAAGTTAGAACACAGTTATTGGGTCTGAAAGCAGTTTTGCCTACAAGTGTTAAAATCTGTCCATTGGTTATCTCTTGTGTAGAGATTTTCTTAAGAAGTATTCATTTTGGATACTTTGACATTTAATAAAGAAAAGAATGTCCTGGGAAGTCTGCCATATCCTGAGTGTGATTGTAGTTACCTCAAATAACCTCTCTGAACAATGAGTACAGTGATTCCTGCCCTATCACTATGTACTGATTATTTGTCATAATTGTGCTAAATGTATTTTGTTTACTCTTTCTATATTTGGAGAAATCCCCAAGTAAACGGCATAGCTTTACTATTATATAAGTCAGGACTCCAGCTGCCAGCCACCTTCCTTGCACCTAGGATGCATCTGGCCTTCACCAGTCAAATGCCCATGGGGGCCTTTGCTTCGGTCATAAGCAATAGGAAGAAAGAGCTTGGTGCTTGGTTCTCTTTTTTTGGTAGGAGCGACAGTGGAAGCATCCAGTTGTTGGAGAAAAAAAAAAAAACGCTGCTCATTAAAAGTACATACAAATTACAAAATGTACACTGATTTCAGAAGTTCAAAATATGAGAAAATTTTGCATCTTAGAATAAAGGAAACACAGTAGTTTGCATTGTAGTGTGAATGCTTAATGATTGCAACTCTACCCTGGGACCGATTCTGATTTTAAAAGGGAGTCTGCCAGCTCCAATCAATCTGCATTTTTAGTAGAACAGATAAAGGAAAGATTATTGAGGAGGAAGTTCTCACCAGAACCTTTTGTCCGTCTCTCAACTGTATTAAAGTTATGTATTCCTTATTTGTCCAAAACCTTTGAGTTTATAATGAAAACACACTGGGTTAGTACTGTCACATTTGGAGGCCTGATCTGTATTAACTTACGTGATTTTATTCATTTTAGAAAAACCTGCTTTTAAGCTTTTATCTTTTCAGAGGGAAAAATCCTAATCTTTAATCTGTCCTTATACATAAAGTATTCCTGCCTTTGATGAATTTAGTCAGAAATATTCTGCATCCTGCTGGCTGCCTTATGGAAGTAAATACCAGAATCCTCATGTTATTTGAGATGTTAAAGATAGCAAGTGTTTACATATACCAGCAGCACACTAGGAAGTGTAATTTTACTTGGAAAAAAATTGCAAAAGGTAAAAGTTTGAAATAAAGTTAAGCTTTCTTCTTCCGCCTCATGATCAGATCTAATAATCCTTAAAGTAAAGCATTTAACTGAAATCTATGTAGGACAGCTCATTAGTTTTGGATCAGTTTCCATGACTAAATGAGGGCATCAAGCGAGAGAATCATAATACATTCCCACTCAATGGCTTGGTGGTTTCATGGTTCAGATCATCAAGAAGCATCTAGGTAGAATTTCATTCAAATGCTCTTCCATAAAATTCACACAGAAGGACCCTTGGAACAAGAATTACTATGTAAGCGATGATTTTTTACAGACGAGTCGGCTTTCCTCCTTCTCTTCCAACTTCATCAGCCTTGTAACTACCTCACAACCCTTAAATCAGCAAGCAGCAATGCTAGAAAATAAACCTGATTTCTCGGTAAGGATCACAAGGGCATCTTGTCTTCCTGATGTTCTGTCTAGGTAGGTGCAAATAACAATGGTCCACACAATAAAGACCTTGTTCTTTGGTTGCTACACGTACTGCACATGTATAATTTCCCCTTAATTAGTCTTCCACGTCTGTCATCCTAGATTTTTATTTCACTACAGGCACCCTACTCAGAAAAACAACAGTGGCAATGATTTATTGAAAATATTATGAAGAAATTTAAAAGTGAAGTGAAACAGCAGATGAGAAGGGCAAATGCTATTTCTCTATTCTACCAATAGGTAACCTGATTTAACTTATATTTTGGGGTTTTATTAAACATAAATTGTACTAGATGCCTGAGCAAAAACCCATAAAATAGCTTTAAATTCTGTAAGTGAAATTTATCTGAAATCTATGCAGGATTTCCCTGAGCCCTGAAATTTGAGGTAGCACAAACTAATACCTTGGTATTATGACCTTCTATATACGCATTGGCAACGCAGTAAATTCCAGATGCCTTGAAGTTAAGAAACTCTTTATTATCATTTATTTATTTTGGTAAAATAATAATAATCCCACCGTTCACAGAGTTCAGGATGGGGATTTGGGCTGGAGAAAGAACATAGAGTTTGTCCATTATCACTAACTTGTTACAACTGAATAACATTAAGACCTAAACCAAAGAAGCAAAGAATTGCCAAGCACCATTGATTTTCTTTTGTTTCTACAGGGTTTCTAATGCTCTTACATTTCATTTTTGTACTTTATGATCACTAAAAATGTTGGGCTAAGCCCTACTGGCAAACCACAATCTAGGCATTGTGCCACTCAAAGATTTAATGGAAAGACCATATCTTACTCACAGTAGAAAAAAAAAATCACCTTTTCCCACTATTTATTGTATGGAAATACTGTTACTAGTTTGCAAAAATTTTATAACAAGTCAATAACAAATTGCATTAGATGATATTCAGAACACTGATAGTGGAAGAATATATGCCAAGAAGTTAACAGTAATTATATATGAGTGGGTAAAATATATTTTTTATTTCCTTTATATTAGTAGGAATTTATAACTTTTCAACAAAGAAGTATATATTGCTTTTGTAAATATAATAAACAATGAAAGAAAGCCATGTTTAATTTTAAAAACATACAACCAGAACTTAGTCCACAACAGAGTTGCAGAGGTTCCTATTTTTTTATTCAATCCTACAGTCTTGCAGAATAATCACAATTTAGGAGAAGCTCTTCATAAATACAGAAAAATCAGCTAGAAGTTAATACACTGCCATGGAAAATGGCATGCATTTTGAGGTCAGACGGAATTATTTTGAAAGTGTATTTCTGCGTCTCTTTTTTTGCCTGTTTGAATATGATTTATTAAGCAGCTCATTTTTACTCACTACATTTTGAAAGTTTTATTTTAAATTGACAAATAATAATTCTATATATTTATGGGGTACAATGTGATGTTTCCATACATGTATACTGTGGAATTATCAAAACAGGCTAATTAGCATATCCATCACCTCAAATATTTATCATTTCTTTGTGGTGAGAACATTTAAAATCCTCCTTTTCAGCTGTTTTGAAATATACATCTTATTACTACCTGCAGTTACTGTGGTGTGCAATACAACCTCCTCCTGTCTAACTGAACTCAAGGAATATTCTTACCCCACCTACCCCACTCCTAGCCTCAGGTAACCACCATTCTACTGCTATGAGTTTGACTTTTCTAGATTCCACAAAGAAGTGAAAACATATGATACTTGTCTTTATGTGCCTGGCTTATTTCACTTCACATAATGCCCTCTAGTTTCATCCATGTTATTGCAAATGACAGAACTTCCCATTTTGTAAGGCTGAATAGTATTCCATTGAATGTATATGCCACATTTTTTAATCCATTCATCCATCGATGGGCATTTAAGCTGTGTCCATATCTTGACTATTGGGAATATCTGCCTCTTATTCTACATTTTTAGTCAAGTCTCCTAAGCACTCTCAACTTTGTTCTGCTCTGCTGTAACATGGGACTAACGACACCTACCTACAAAGTCCAAGGTTGCTATGAGGATTAAATTAGGAAAATAGCACAGTGACTGCAACATAATATTGATTTAATAAACATAATAATCTAATAGTAATAACAATGATAAACACAATGACATTATCTAAAATTTACCATTCACACTGCATGTCAGGGCCTATTCTAAGTGCATCTATGATTTACCTCATTCAATTGTAACAACCACCCTCTACTAAGTAGATCATGCTGTTTTCCCTCTTTGTAGTTGAGGTAACTGGGGTACAGAGATGCCCAAGTGCACAAAATCCCCAAATTCATAGTCACTATGCTGCACAGTGTCTCATAGAATTTTCATCTTGGGGTATTGGATAATACTGATTGTGTTTATTGATTTTGTTCATAAGAACCATTTTGGATAGTGTGTATAGTATTTTAGATGCTCAGTAGTACAGAAATCTGGCTCTGAATTTTATGTTAATTGAAATGTACTTCAAAGTCTATCAATGAGAAATAATAAAAAGGGAAGTTAATTGGAAAGTATGAAGCTGTGATTGATTCCCTAGGGCATATGTTGGCTTTTCTTCCTGGCACATTTGGGAGTGGGGTTTGCCCTAATTAGAAAAACAAGCATCTCGGAGCTATTCCATGGCTCCTCCACATGGCCTGGCAGAAGACCAGCATTGTTTTAGTCTTGGTCCTTTAAAAATGTTTTCCTTCTCTTCAGCATTCAAAAATGCTTTGATAGCTTTAAAAGTAGTTCTTCTTTTAAGAGACATCGTGGGAAAGATGGGTGAAAAGCTGCCAGAAAAATCTGTTCTTAAGGATAAATGACAATGGTCTGTTTTCTTTTATATTTATATATACATATATATATATACATAAATTTTATTATTATTATACTTTAAGTTATAGGGTACCTGTGCAAAACGTGCAGGTTTCTTATGTATGTATACATGTGCCATGTTGGTGTGCTGTACCCATTAACTCGTCATTTACATTAGGTAGATCTCCTAATGCTATCCCTCCCCACTCCTCCAACCCCCCAGCCCACAACAGGCCCTGGTGTGTGATGTTCCCCTTCCTGTGTCCAAGTGTTCTCATTGTTCAATTCCCACCTACGAATGAGAACATGCGGTGTTTGGTTTTCTGTCCTTGCAATAGTTTGCTGAGAATGATGGTTACCAGCTGCATCCATGTCCCTACAAAGGACGTGAACTCATCTTTTTTTATGGCTGCATAGTATTCCATGGTGTATATGTGCCACATTTTCTTAATCCAGTCTAGCATTGTTGGATATTTGGGCTGGTTCCAAGTCTTTGCTATTGTGAGTAGTGCCACAATAAACATACCTGTGCATGCGTCTTTATAGCAGCATGATTTATATTCCTTTGGGTATATACCCAGTAATGGGATGGCTGGGTCAAATGGTATTTCTTGTTCTAGATCCCTGAGGAATCACTACACTGTCTTCCACAATGGTTGAACTAGTTTACAGTCCCACCAATAGTGTAAAAGTGTTCCGATTTCTCCACATCCTCTCCAGCACCTGTTGTTTCCTGACTTTTTAGTGATGGCCATTCTAACTGGTGTGAGATGATATCTCATTGTGGTTTTGATTTGCATTTCTCTGATGGCCAGTGAGGATGAGCATTTTTTCAGGTGTCTGTTGGCTGCATAAATGTCTTCTTTTGAGAAGTTTCTGTTCATATCCTTTGCCCACTTTTTGATTGGGTTGTTTTTTTCTTGTAAATTTGTTTGAGTTCTTTGTAGATTCTGGATATTAGCCCTTTGTCAGATAAGTAGGTTGCAAAAATTTTCTCCCATTCTGTAGGTTGCCTGTTCACTCTGATGGTAGTTTCTTTTGCTGTGCAGAAGCTCTTTAGTTTAATTAGATCCCATTTATCAATTTTGGCTTTTGTTGCCATTGCTTTTGGTGTTTTAGACATGAAGTCCTTGCCCATGCCTATGTCTTGAATGGTAATGCCTAGGTTTTCTTCTAGGGTTTTTAAGGTTTTAGGTCTAACGTTTAAGTCTTTAATCCATCTTGAATTAATTTTTGTATACGGTGTAAGGAAGGGATCCAGTTTCAGCTTTCTACATATGGCTAGCCAGTTTTCCCAGCACCATTTATGAAATAGGGAATCCTTTCCCCATTTCTTGTTTTTGTCAGGTTTGTCAAAGTTCAGATAGTTGTAGATGTGTGGTATTATTTCTGAGGGCTCTGTTCTGTTCCATTGGTCTATATCTCTGTTTTGGTACCAGTACCATGCTGTAGCCTTGTAGTATAGTTTGAAGTCAGGTAGTGTGATGCCTCCAGCTTTGTTCTTTTGGCTTAGGATTGAATTCACGATGCGGGCTCTTTTTTGGTTCCATATGAACTTTAAAGTAGTTTATTCCAATTCTGTGAAGACAGTCATTGGTAGCTTAATGGAGATGGCACTGAATCTATAAATTACCTTGGGCAGTATGGCCATGTTCATGGTATTGATTCTTCCTATCCATGAGCATGGAATGTTCTTCCATTTGTTTGTATCCTCTTTTGTTTCGTTGAGCAGTGGTTTGTAGTTCTCCTTGAAGAGGTCCTTCACATCCCTTGTAAGTTGGATTCCTAGGTATTTTATTCTCTTTGAAGCAACTGTGAATGGGAATTCACTCATGATTTTGCTCTCTGTTTGTCTGTTATTGGTGTATAGGAATGCTTGTGATTTTTGCACATTGATTTTGTATCCTGAGACTTTGCTGAAGTTGCCTATCAGCTTAAGGAGATTTTGGGCTGAGATGATGGGGTTTTCTAGATATACAATTCATGTCATCTGCAAACAGGGACAATTTGACTTCCTCTTTTCCTAACTGAATACACTTTATTTCTTTCTCCTGCCTGATTGCCCTGGCCAGAACTTCCAACACTAAGTTGAATAGGAGTGGTGAGAGACGGCATCCCTGTCTTGTGCCAGTTTTCAAAGGGAATGCTTCCAGTTTTTGACAATGTTCTGTTTTCTTTAGGAATAAATAAGCTCTCACATAACATTCTAAATCATGGTATCTGAGCTTTATTAGGTAAATTCTGATGAGATATTAAAGAAAATAACCTTACCATATTAATGAACACTTAAATGAGTTGCATTTTAATGTGAATACAGTTAGCCAGTTTATTTTTCGTAGTCATGGGAGGACTACAGTCATCCTTTGTATCAAGTGGTAGCATTTATCTACTGCTTTTCTGTATAATGGAGAGCCTAACTTCAAGTTTTCTAGAAGTATACATAATTTATTTATAAGAGCCTCAAGACAGTTTGTATCCATCAGAGAGCACTATAATGATGATCATGTATGACAAAAGTTTCTTTTATAAAGTACAAAGTGTTAATGCTTTGTTTTAATTTACTCTTCTCTCCCAGAATCTAGATGGTGATTGAATTCATAAGCTTATTCTATCCTCTGGGCAAGTTTCATGCTGATTTATAAGGTGTGGAACTTTTAGTCAGTTCTGTTCTTAGGATATTATTAATCAAAATCTAGAAGGGGACTGCTCAGACTGAGGCTGGAACTCCTGGATTCAAGTTGTAGCTCAGCCAGTCTCAAGGTCATTAGCTTTGGATGAGTTTACATTTCTGGGCCTCAGTTTTCTCAACTGCAAAATAAGAAGCTTAAACAGATTTTTTTCCATGGATCATTTCCAGTTCTAGAGTTCTGTGATTATTAAGAGATATTTAGTTTTACATATTTTAAGTTCATAAAATAAGAGAATTGAAAAATCCTGACTCATCAAACACATGTAAACATTTAATTTTAACTTCCGAACACAATAACTAAGCATTATTAGCAATGATTATTTTGTTTTTTTCATGTATATTGCTCGTCCCAGAAAATGTTGATTGCTTATATAATTGCCTTAGGGCAACATATTATTCAGTGAGATATTTATCAAAAATTGTGTATATGGTATATAAATTGTAAAAGGAAACCACTTCCTAGCCTCTACTTTCACCCGTCTTTTATTTTTAATTACTCTTGTAGTCATTTACTCAATAAACATTTAATAAGTGTTTCTTGGGCATTCATGTGTCCAGTGATACAGCAGACATTTTACCATTTGCATTGCACATTTAATTCTCCCAGAAATCCTGAGAGGTAGAAAACAATATTAAAGAAGTTAGGTCTGGTTCAAAGATAAAGATCTGATAAGTAGTGGGGCTAGAATTTGAATTCATATTTGGCTCTGTGCCAAATATTTTTGTTTGTCCTCTTTTTGTTTGTCATCATTGCTTTCCACTCTGCCCCTTGTCTCAGGAGGTTGACCTGTATGGATTACATCAATGGGCCAAAAGCAGATCCCAGAAAGTGATGGCAGGGAAGGAACAAAGTGAGTAAAAATAAGATCCCTGTGTCCCTGCCTCACTCCCCTCAGGTTCACCTGGGGCAGGCTGTGTCCCTTAAGCATAGCTCAGTGCTGCACTCAAGTTGGCCCTCCGTAAGCAATTCTTTCCTTCCAGGTATGGTCATACCTCTTACGCTAGTAGACCTACTAGTGATAACAGCTCTGAGGCCCTGTGCTTCTCTTATGGTTTCCGACATTCTGCCCTTGCTTTCAGAAATAGTTCCTTTTTAATTCCTTCTCAGATTATCCTAATTTAAATGTTCCATCTCTTTCTTGCTGGGATAACTTACATTTAGATATGTTTAGATATACAAATACTTACCACTACGTTACAATGGCCTACAGCACTCAGTACAGTAACATATTGTACAGATTTGTAGCCCGGGAGCAGTAGGCCATACTGTAGAGGTGGATGTGTGGTAGTTTATATCATCTAGGTTTGTGTAAGTACACTCTGATGTCTGCATGATGATAAAATCGCCTAACAATGCATTTCTCAGAACATATCCCCATCATCAAGTGACATATGGACTATATTTAAGACAAAGATCTTTTCCACTAGTAACAACAAGAGCTCATATTTCAAAGACATTACCATTGTTCTCTTCCTATATTTCTCTTACCAATTAAAAACTTCAAATGAAATCAGTAAGGATCTAAGATTCAAGGATCATCAAAATTCTATAATTGCATTAATATGTTTTGCATCAGAATGATTATGATAAACAAATCTAACCCACAATAGGACTTAACAGCAACCCATCATCAGCTCCTGCCAGTAGAGGAAAATATCCTTGACATGTTATCCCTGCAACTGCCCACACTTCAAGGTACTACCTAGGACTAAGTTTGAAAAAACATACCATTAGACGGACTATGTGATCTCATAAAATAAGCACAGTAAGTTTTAATATTGTTATTTATGTTGCCTGGGGATTGACATTAACTCTAAACTTTTGTCCCAGAACCTCTTCCATACAAAAAAAAAAAAAGTAGTGATAGGAATTTCTATTGATTCCACCCAAATAGGCAGAATTCTAGGACTATGAGTGTTCTTACATCTTGGCTGAGGTAGATACCAGTACACCAATTTCCTTGTTTGAGTCAATTAAGCAGTGAGCCATAAGTGCTAGAATTTATTGGCCTGATAAAAGCAAGGAATACTTAATCTAAATATTGGTCCGGTAACTGAAAAGACATGCTTGCATATTGGAGAAAAAAAGTCTCTAGACTGTGCATTCCTAACTTGGGTTTTTTGTGTTTTTTTTTTTTTACTTGGAATTTCGAGTCTGAGTTCTTGGGAGTCTTTGGAACCAGTGAAATACATGAAAAGGCCAGCGTACATGTACCTTGTACTGGAGAGAGATCCCAAAACATTAATCAGAGACTCAAAGAGGCCTAAAAACAAAAGTTAGTAGGGGAAAATGGGCAACATGTCGGCTTCACTGGCTGGACCAAGGAATACAGATTCGTAGACAAGATTACTCAGATATTATTCTGATTCCACACACTCGTGAAGAAATTTTATGATTTTTGCTTTAATTTTCTGCATAGACTTTTGGGAAGATACATATCTTAGCAACAATTATTTTGTCAAAAATCAGGTTCATTGATTGGAAATAGACACTTTATGTCCTTTTTTCTCAAGGCTTGAATTCCCTTGAATAAGTTATTGATTGAATGTCCAGACCTGTAAGACTGAAAGACTGTACCTGTATAGCAACAACAAAAAAATTAATCTCTTAATGTCTTTGAGATCTTTCCTGACAAACCATAACCTCACAATCACAGGGCCTCTGACTACCACAGGTTTAACCTGGAGATTTTAATATGACAATACTAAATATTGAAAATCTCACATATTCTGGTACCTTTTTTCTTAATATGTTCATTACTTTTTTCTCACCAGGGAACCAGCAATGAGCAACTCAGTGAGTATAAATTCAACTTTTTGTTTGAAAAATAGAGGTCCTGAGGATATAATAAAGAGTAACATTTGTTTAGAGGGAACAAGGTAATAATTGCTCCTCTCTATCCAGATCAGTGGACTTCATTTTTTTATGCTATGTGGTAGGATGTAATAATATATTTGATCAGCTTTGTCCCCAAAGAGTTATTGATGTAATTCTTAAGAAGTTATATTTTTCCATTATCATGTTCACATAAAGGAGTTCTCTCTTCAAATGAAATATGCTGGAAAAAATCTATTATGATGCTGTAATGAATGTCCTTCACCACATGCAGGATAGAGGGTCAAGGCTACAACTTTGCTTCTCTTATATATACTAGAAAAAGATTTTGTATCTCTAATTCCCATTACAATGTGTTCAGGAGGGCTGCCTTTCAGCACTACTTTATCCAAAAGAGGTATTCCTTCTATAGTCCCCTCTATAGCCCTAAAGTTTTTTTTTCAAACTTCCTCCCCAAACTGTTACCCATGCCTTTCTATTGGCCAAAGCCGTAAGTCACTTACTGATCTTTAACATCCTTGAGCTGCTTCTATAATTTAACATTGGTCACTCCCCCTTCAAACACTCTAACTCCTTGGTCACTGTTTAACTACTGACACTAACTTTTCTTGGTCTCCTCATACCTCTCCACTGATTCTCACCCATCATGACAGAGTACTCTGCCTTGATCCTCTTAAAAGTGTATACTCTAAGGTTCTATCCTTGAGAATTTTCTCACTTAAAAATCTCATCTGCCACCTTTATGTGACAGCATCTAGATCAGTATATTCATGCCAGTATCTAGATCCAGTGCACCTAATACCCAACAGTCATCCCTATACGGGTATTTCAGACTTACTTACAAAAATGGAGCTAATTATCCTCCCTAACTTCCCGATAGCCAAACTAGTTTTTCCTTCTATAATATCTTCTTAGCTTAATACTATCATCATCTATCCAGGCATTCAAACCAGGGGTAACTAACTCTCCCTAAGACCTTTACACAAGTAATAACATTTGAGCTTGATCCTAATGAATAATAAAAATACACCAGTTTGAAAAGAGCATTCCAAGAAAGAAATTTGATTTTCAAAAACTCTTTGAGCTGAGAATTTTGTGTATGTGTTCTTTAATTTAAAGTTTGTTTCTAATAAATAAAGGACAAGGATGGGAAAAAATCATTGAATCTTGAAACAGCATGATATATTTAGACTGATAAGAAACTATGTTGGGCTGGATTATAAAGAGTACAGTAGACGGTGGGAGAAGATGAAATAGAAGTAAACTGAGGTCTGGGTGTAAAGGATTTTATGTGTCATGCTGAGGCTTTGTACTTTATAATATAAACAACGGGAGGTCTCTCATGATCCTCAGAAAACTCTCTCTTTTAGCAATGCCTGTGGCCTTCGTCTTGCCTCTATTGTTTCCAAAAATCTCGTCATGTCTTTCCTAAACCATTTTTGGAAAACATCTAACTCTTGAAAAGTCATGCAGTATTTGTTGCTCAAGGTTCAGAGGGGCTGTAAGACCACAGCACTACCCTTATAGTCATTCTTGATAAGAACACTGTAGTGAGTATTTGTAGTATTAGATAGCTAGCATCTATTTACCCATCTTTTGAAAACAGAAACTCAGTTTTCTCTTGAGGATCACTCCTCTCCCACTGAAGCCTGTGTGCTTCAAGTGGAGGTGAGTCTTTGTTCAATTCTTGCTCCCTTTCCTACACTAACTGGGCCATTTTCTCCTTCTGGTCACAGTAATTATTCAGGGATAGACACGACTCCATTGAGGAAAATAATTGTTGGCTCCAAATATTTTGTTTGAACTATTTAGGGAGATGTTACCTTTTCTATTGAACTTAAACTAGAGGGGTTGTAAGAGGGGAGCAACTAGCAACGAGTTTATCCCCACCAGAAGCCTGAGGATGAAGTTAGTATGAAGTAAAATAAAAGCAAGAGACATTCATAGCTCTG
This sequence comes from Homo sapiens, assembly GCF_000001405.40. Lineage (NCBI taxonomy): Eukaryota > Metazoa > Chordata > Mammalia > Primates > Hominidae > Homo > Homo sapiens. The sequence continues at coordinate 41,610,192 of NC_000002.12, forward strand.
TGTTTGGTGCTGTGGCAAATACCATGCAGTAAATGCATGGCATCCACTTTAAATAAGTTCAAAATATATCTGAGGATATATAATAAAGACTATAGAAGTAATAATTAAAGAAAGAAAATTGGGAAGCTACCATCTCCTATCCACACTATAAGGAGTCTTCAAGGTAACACAACAGGAGTATTTTTTTCTCCCCTATTGAGACAAGCAGGGGAGCCTACTGAGCTGCCTGAACTTAAAAATGGGGGTTCTGAAGGAGTATAAATTAGGCATTTAGGCTTTCATTTGTCTCTCATTTCATTTCTTTTCTTTCTCCACGATCTGAAATTCTTGAATATTAGTGAGTCAAAATATTCCTACCAACTCTGCCCTGGCTTTATTCTGAATTGTCTTATAACCATGTTTTTCTGTAGAAAAGGAGACGTGATGGCATACTAATTTTAGAACAGTTTGACATGCAATGGAAAGTTAGTCTGAGAAACACTCACATGATCAGAATGCAATCCAGGGTTGATGATGGCAAAAATATGCTTAAGAAAACTGAAACTCAGGAGACAGGCTGACTGAGATTGAATAACTGAGAAAGAACTTAAGGGGATTTGAGCATATTAGAGTGAAAAAAAACACCAGCAAGTAAAACCGTCCAGGCATACAAAAAGAAACCACAGGAGATATTTTATTTATATTTTTATCATGCTGAGTGGAAAAAAATATGAAATAGAGGCTACAAAGAGAGTTGTTTTGAACGACACCTAAGGAGAGGACCTGAAACCAAGGTACCAAGCTGAAGATCAGAGGACCTTAACTGGCTCATCCTGTAAAAGCCCCAGCACTGTTTCTGTCTGGCTCGTGCTGAAGCTAGTAATGAGGCCATCTGTTTGTAATGCTCACTCTGTGTGTGGCTTACACCCAGAAATCTCCACGCCTTCCAGCAAAGTCATTTTTACACTGTACCTGACAGACAGAGCATGTGTTTGTGCTAAAAACACTGCAGGAAAGGGGTACTGGGAGGAATCAGAAAAGCCCTGACCTTGAAAGAAGTCATCCATGAGCCCTGAGCTAGAATTAAAAAGCCAGAGGCAGTGGAATGCTGAAGAACAGACTAGTAGCAATTTGTTAGACCCACATGACACCATAGTAGGAAAGAACACCTGTTTTGGGTTGCTTTGGAGGAAGACAAGCATGGTAGCCTTAATCTTTTTCAAATAACTTCATTCTCTTCAGGATATAGCTAAAAGAAATGGAGCCAACAATGACTTTGAAAATCTTACCAGGGGCCAGGCACGGTGGCTCACACCTGTAACCCCAGCACTTTGGGAGGCTAAGGTGGGCGGATCATGAGGTCAGGAGATAGAGACCAGCCCGACTAACATGGTGAAACCCCATCTTTACTAAAAATACAAAAATTAGCCAGGTGTGGTGGTGTGCACCTGTAATCCCAGCTACTCGGGAGGCTGAGGCAGGAGAATCGCTTGAACCCAGGAGGTGGAGATTACAGTGAGCCAAGGTCATGCCACTGCACTCCAGCCTGGGTGACAGAGCAAGACTCCATCTCAAAAAAAAAATAAATAAATAAGAAAAGGAAAGAAAATGAAAGTTTTAGTGGGGACACCATAACCAACCGATAAAGACCAGAACACTTATCATGATCCTTTACAACCTGATTTCAACTTACTTTCTCACCAACCCCATTTCATGCCATTTATTCGCGTATACACCCAAATTTTTATAATCCTCAAATGCGCCATTCACTTCAATTCCTCTGCACCATTAAAAATATAGTTTGTGCTGCTCATAATTTAGCTTTCGCCCTTTTCCAAATGGATCCAGAAAGGATGAAGTAATTTGCCCATGATCAGACACAATTTAAGAGTATGAAATGTTAATAGTACACTGGAAATGAAAGAAGAGTCAAAAGTAATGGTCATAACATTTGAATAGAGATGTTTATACAAGAGATCACACTCTGTGGCTCCCCACAATATGTCCTACATTTAGAGAACTGGACCTCAGTGTGATAACATCAGCCTAAATGCAGGGATATTTTAAGAAATATCCTAACAGAATTAGTCCTTCATCTCATTTAGTCTGAGGATTTTACAAAGGACACTACATGTTACATTATTCAAGGTTCTTCTGCTAAGGATCCTCGGCAGAAATTTCTTTCTGGTCTTCAACATTAGTTGTTCTTCAACTGGAAAGCTGATGGGCATGAGCAACTAGAATGGTTAGAAGCAAATTTGGGGCCCACCCATTCCAAGTATATAGGACTCCATGGTGGCAAACTTTTTGGTAAAGGGACAGATGGTAAATACTGTCTTTTAATCTTTGCAGCCTATACTAACTCTATCACTCCTACTGAACTCTGCTGTTGTAGTGTGAAAGCAGCCATAGATAGTGTCACAGGGCCAACCCCAAAATTAGGGCTCAGCCTGGGAGGCCAAGTGCATGGGTTCTTAGCTTCACGTGGGAAAGAATTCAAGAGCAAGCCAACAGAATAAAGCAAAAGCAAGTTTATTAAGGAGCAAAAGGAAGGCTACCCTGCAGGCAGAGCAGTTCCCTGGGCTGCTCGCTGGTTATATTTATGATTATTTGTTGATTATTTGCTGAATAAGGGATGTACTATATATGAATGTTCTGGGAAAAGGGCAGAAAGCTCCCAGAACTCGGTTTTCTCCCACATCCAGACCACACAGGTTAATTTTCTGGCATTACCATTCCAATTGTACACTGTCATGGCGCTGGTGGGAGTGTTTTTAGCAGGCTAACGCATTATATTTGCATATAATGAGCAGTGAAGGTAAACAGAGGTCACTTTCCTCACCATCTTGCTTCTAGCTGGTTTTGGCTAGTTTCTTTTGCTGTCTCCTGTCCTGTCATCGGGGTCATGTGACTTATTGTCTTGGAAACTAGTCCTGCTGAATTCCTATCTCAATAGTGCACAAAGGAATGAGCAGAACTGTGTTCCAATAAAACTTTATTGATAAAAATAGGCAGGATGCTGGATTTAATCCACAGGCTATAATTTGCTGACCCTGCTCTATGGCATATTTTTGTAACGAAGTCTCAGTCATGGTTCTCTGGTCATTCTTTTCACTTTTCTCCTTGTTCCTTCTTACTCCTGTATTTATGTTATATGACTGTGTTTTATATCATTGTGCTGACTTTCTAGTATTTTATGACACTAAGTAAGTAAGAAATATCTAAACAAATATTTTTTAATTAGCTGTCCAGGCCTTACTTTGTGGTTATGTGCAAATAAGAAAAGACATTTGCCAAAGTTAATAGGGCAACAAAACCTTTCATATAGGATAGATATTAAGATATCTAGAAATTAGAATGTAGGATTTTATTGTTAATTTTTCCTCTGGGTGTACACCTAAAGAAAAATGAAGAGAAGGCCCAAGTTGTTTAGGAGGTCAAACAAAGAGCGGTGATTAGGTAAGGAGGTAGGAAGACACTGGTTGCTGGTAGTAGACCATTTATTCTTCTGATTTCTTATTTGTAATATAGTGATATTTATAGCTTCCTGGCTTCTATTAATACATGTTTATATTTCATGAAAGCCATTTATAATAGTGCTACATGCCATATGTTTAATCCTACTGTGTAATTGTTCACTCATCTCTGACTTAAACACCTTATAAATTAATTCATTCTATACAGGTTATCGAATAAACACTAATATTATATGCCAAGTGCTGTTCCAGCCACCATGTATACAAACAGTAAAGAGACCATGTCTCTACCCTCATGGCATTCGTTTCTCAGTGAAGACAGACAATGAATGAATGAATGAATGAATATGGAGAAGCAAGGGGTGCAGAGGGAGAAAAGCAGAGGATAGAGAGTGATAGAGAGCTATTTTATGTTGGGGAGAGACATAAATGAAGCCTTGGAGCAGGCCATGCAGGTATTTGAGGGAAGAGAGTCACAAGGGAAAAAACACAAAATACAAAGTTTAAAGGCTCTGAGGGTGGGAACCTGTCTAGCCTTTTGAGCAATAACAAGGAAACCATTTTTAGCAATAACAAGAAGTAGAGTGAGTGAGCGGCAGTGTAGCAGGCAATGAGCAAAGAGGGAAAATAGAGGATGAGATCTCACTGGGGCTCAAAAAAACTCTCTTAGGCTGTGGACTTTATTCTGTAGGAAATGGAAACTTTTGACCAAAAGAGTAACATTATTGACTTACATTTTAAAGGAGCTCAGTGACTGCTACATAGAGAGTATATAATAGGGACAAAGATGAAAACAGAAAGACCAGTTAAGAGACTTGAATCTCCAGGCAAGAGGGCATGGTGACCTGGACCAGAGTGATAGAGAAAGAAGTAGTAAGAAGCAGTCACGTGTATTCGTCTGAAAGAGCTATTCTGATAGCGTTTCATGACTAGTTTGATGTGAAGATATGAGAAAAAAAAAGCAGTCAATAAAGACTCCAAGATTTTTTATGAGGGAAAATGGAAGAATGAATTTTCCATAATCAACATGGGGAATATTAGTAAGTAACAGGATTGGGAAGAAAAATCATGTATTTATTTTGAGCATGTTAAATTTGAGATGGCTAATCAGACATCCATGTAGATATGTTCATTACATAGTCATTTACTGGAGTCCAGAGATTCAGGAAAGAGGTCAGGATGAGGAATGTAAATGTGGGGTGGTCAAGATAACATAGTATTTAAAGCCATACGCTGGAGAAGGCAGCCAAGGGAGTGAGAGCAGTTAGAGAAATTGAGAAGTCTAAAGACTGAACTCTGCAGTACTCCAACTTTAAAAGATGTGGAAAAAATAGGAGGAATTTGGCAAGAGAGAATGAAATTGACGGTAGCCAGTGATGTAGGAAGAACATGAGGAAAGCGTAGACTCCGGGAAATTAAATGTAGAAAGAGTTTCAAAAATAAAGGAGACATCACCTGTGTCAAGTGCTGCTGATTGATAGGTAGAGGAAGGTAAGAACTGAAAGGTGGCCTTTGCTTTTGTCAACATAAAGGTCACTGATCTGTTTCATGAGAATGGTGAGGTTAAATGCCGATTTGAAGTGGATCCAAGAATAGGAAAAGATATGTTGGAGGTCATGGGCATGAAAATTTTTTGAGATTTTGCTCCTTAAAAGGGGAAGAGAGAAATAGACAGTAGCTGGAGAGGGACAAAAATCACAGAACTCAACATAAAGGCAGGTTATATAGGGTCCATATGAAAGTAGGTCACATGGGAAAAATTATTTACCATCTTATATGTCTAACCTCCTCCTGTTTTTTCACTCTTTCTTTCCTTCCATGATATGAATCCCATCCTCCTCCATACCTGCCTGGACATCTGAGGTCCTGAACAGCCTATCTATGCTCCACTACCTCAAAGCTCTCAGGAATAGAAAAATGAACTCATTTCTCTGGGCGGCTGATAAGAATCACAGATATTCTCCTCTTCTGTTATGGTATCATGTTATGTTTTGTTCTGAAAAGTGTATCAACAATAAGTGACACAAGAGGAATAATGTTGACTTTGGGTTTAACTTCATGTGTATTTATTTACTAAATATTACTGGCACCTATGATAGTGACTGTTCTAAGCGCTGTGGAAAGGAAGGAGAAAACAAGAAAGGATGAGACTAGAGTGACTACATTCAAAAGAGACTATTTTACTTTCCTTAATTTTACTCACAGATAACAGTTAATTTTAGAACTTTAGATATATCTAAATCATAATTGTTCACATAACTAAGTATCTTTAAACTTTAATAAACGTATGAATATGAAAAAAACAGAAGGCAATTCTCTGCAATTATTTTTGGGATCAGTGCAGGTATAATAATAAAACAGGTGCCCAAAAGTAGAGTTGAATATTTTTTCACTGCTGCTATTCTACCTGATTTTGTAGTAATATTTGAATTTGTATCATGGTATTTAAACTGATGATCCAGAGAAGAATCAAGTAGAATTTACACCTCTGTAATATCTATTATATAAAAATAGAAAGGTTCTCCTAAGGTCAGATTCACCCTAAAATGGAGGAAAATGCTGAAAGTACACTATACAGCACCAAAATAAAAACACTCTACTGTTTTTACTTTCATATGTCAAGCTTTCTATAATACCAAAAAAAAAAAAATTTAAACCTAACGCAGTCATTTGCAAAATGTTAATATGAACTTTTGTTACCTTTTCCTCTTGATTGTGGTGTCTTCTTTATTATGCGTGTGTATATAAAATCAAGAAACTTTAAATGCCTGATTTAAATTAGGTAAATGCAATCTCAAACAAGTCTCACTTCCCCAGTCAGAATTGGAGTGTTCTAATACACCTTAAAATGAAAGAAAAAATGGAAAATAAAAAAGTCTTGTTGAAGTAAAACTTTATCACAGTTACACAGAAAAGGCCTACCTCCAATAGAGGGAGTGTGTGCCTTGTCAATTTTAATTTTTTTAAAATTAAACGATTAACTTTTACAGAGAAAAAGCATTAGGTAAGCTCTGCCTAATTTTTTGGTCTGAAGTTATTCACTCCTTCAGGTTCTTACAGAGAAAGACAGAAAATAAGATGGGAAAACTAATGTGTAATATTTCCTAACAGATAAAGTTATCCTAAAGTAGAAAATTTAAGAACTACCTCATTCTCAATTGGCCAATATTTACTGAGTAATTAGGACCTCAGGCTTCCTAGGAGACCCCAGAGAGCATAAGGAAGAGCCCCTGCCTTCAGGGAGATTACATTCTGATCCAGATGACAAAACTTTCCTAGCCAGACTGCTACTTTCCAGTAAAACATAAATAACATTGTTATTTATATATATTATATATATTAATATATAATAGATAACATTGTGATGAAATTATATTTGTTACATCACTTTTCTGCCCTGCATCTTTCAGTAACTACCTACTTTCTATCACAAAAAAATGCATATGTCATTTCTTAACCTTCAAAGACCTGTCTAGTTCTTCCACTCTTAATTCACAATCCTGACTGATGTTAGTACCGTTCTCTTAATTAATCAAATCTTCTTGTGCTCTCTCTCATGCACACTCTCTCTCTCCCAATCTCTCTCTCTCTCACACACACATACACACACACACACAAAATGCTTGCCTGACTGGAAGGTACCAGGCAGCAGGGTGGGAACAGGTCTGAGTGAAGCCTAAACAACCACACCAACATAGCTGACAGAGAACCAGAACCAAACCCCAGGCAATGGCCGGCAACCAAGAAGGGGAAGATGTAAATAAGTAGGCTTTGAAGGGATAAAGCCTTTTAAACATTAATATGTTAACATTTAACAACCAAGCTCATGTTAGGGAAAAAACCATAAAGATTACCCAGTTTTTAAATGTGGAAACACTGCCATCCCTTTAGATTCCTATTTCTCATTGTCCTTGCCATTGCATGTGATGCTCAGAACTCACCACCTCCAGGAACCTCCCCAACTCCACTGAGTCTCCACTGAGTCTCTTGCACATAGATCAGTGTCAGCCACTTCAAGGGATACATGTGTGCCCCCATTACAACGAGACTGTAAGCAATCAAAGAACAATGCCACAATCCTACGTAAAACTTTCACATCTTCCTGATATAAAGGAACAGTTTGTGCTGAAAGAATGACTGTTGAAGGTATGAATTAAAGGCATTTTAGTCCCCTAACACCCATCTTATAATTGTTATGTATGTGAATTGCATGGAGATAGTTATTTTATTTACTTCTTTTGCTGTTCAGAGATGTGATCTTTTTCCATATATCATAACATCATCAGTTTTATAAAGTTAAATGTATTTCCTTGTTTCTGCAGCACCTAAATGTATTTCATAGGTTCTCTGGCCAGTAGTTTTAAATATTCGGTCATACAATTCATGTTTGCAAGTAACTGGTTTTTTAATATGTGTACAGTTTCATCTTGGTGTTAATTTTACAATGTGAGAAGATTTTGTTTTTGCTTTTTTTTTTTTTTCTATTTGAAACCCCATAATAAATGAGCTTTAATTTTATGTTTTTTCCTAATCTGGACAAGTTCACAAAACATCATTTTTCATTATATTGTCTTTATTATATGGTACTGTCCTCTATGGGTCCTGCTCATAAAATAATTTTGATTTGGGGTTTAAAGAAATTTAGGATTTTAAACCTAAAATACTAGTTCTTGCCTCCTATTTATAGATAGGAAATTCAAGATTTCAGCTATATAACTTCAATATAGGCACATGTCTGGTCACTAACTGGGTTGAATTATTACCTATACTTAATATTTTATACTTGTACAAATGATTTTAAATTTACATTTTTGCCACTTTTACAATTTGAATAAGAAAAAGTACCTGATTCCTAAATATGTATTGTTTTTATAAGTGAAGTAATGATGAACTATTTTAAATATACGAACAGTTAACCAATTAAGCATACTTGTTTTATTTAATTAATTTGCATATTTGTTCTGGGGATTTTTTTAAAGAATAAAGCAAGATCTCTGTCTTTAAGAAAGTTTAAAATCTCATTACATTCATAAGATATTTACATATTGTTTTATGCTTTGGTGTTATTTAGAGGTCCAAGGAATAAGAATTTGATGTAACCTTCCACTTCTCTGTAGTAATCTCCAAACATAAGTGAATCAAGAGAAGAAAACAAAAGTGTGACTGCTACTTCTGACAATAACTGCAAAAATATTTTAAAGTTTAATAGCAAGAAATTCTAGTGGAAAGTTTAAAAATGTTTATATTTATTTCAAAAAAGTTCACATGTAGTGAAACACACTGCAGTCTAATAATTTTTGAATCTTGAAGACAACATTCTCACTTCCTTTTTCTGACACCAATACTCTTTCCCTATTTGCCAATTGTGTTAACTTAGCATGACGATTCTGAGATATAAGCATTTCCAAAAATCATGACATATAATCATTATTTAATAACAAACGCTATAATTTAAGGTCTATATTTTAGAAAATGAAATCGATAGTGTATCAGTCCACACTCTTCCACCTACTTACCACCTTCCCATGACCTATTTTTGCATAACTCTCTGAGTTCATTGTGAAACAAGGCCATTATATGGTAGATAAATGTATATTCAAAGAAAATAATAAACTAAGTTAACTTGAGCTGTTAACTCATAATAAAAAGTACTTTATTTCTTTTTACATTTATCGTCTAAGGAAATGGACAGTTATTTTAATGATTTTTGTAGGTTGCAGAGAGAATTAATTTATTTCAAGGAATATCTTTACCTAAACAGTCTATATGGAAATTAACTCTGTGCAAATAATTGATCTTACTACCCCCTCTTAAAAAAGTTTATAATGAATGTTCATTGTAAATATAAAAATAAACCATTTCTCAATAATCTCTGCGTAGAATTTGTTTTTTTCATTTAGTAATCACTTTACAAACAAGGTATAAAAGAATGTGAAACTGTTTTCAAGGAAATGTGATCCCATTTTACTAGAATTGAAGGTTTGGTAATAACAAAAATAGTTACAATTAACATTTATGATATACTTACTATATGGCAGAGAGTTTGACTTCTGAGTTCAAACTCTTTAAAAAATATTATAAATTTACTCTATGCTGAGTTCTGGGTTAGATGCTACAGAGAATTACAGATATGAGTAACATCTAGTTTTGATTACCTAAAAAGTTACGGTCCATCATTGAAGAAATAATTTTACAGATCACTGGAACACAAAGCAAATGTATGTACAAGAGAGATGCAAACTAAATGCTAACAAAGTTACTGGAAGAGATATGTTTTGAGATTAAACTTAAAAAGCACAAGTAGCATCTCAACATAAGTTGAGGTAAGGGATATATTCTAGACAGAATAAAAGCAAGTTAAGACAAGTAAGTGGGAAATTTTAGATATGTTAAAATAATATTAAGTTATCTATTTTGAAGGGAACTTCCGTTAACATTAACTTTTATAAGATAACCTCAAAAAGTTCAGTTAGAAACATATTGTGAAAAGTCTTGTATATCAGACAAATTTGTGATTGATTTAGACCCAGAGGGTTACTAGAAAGGTCTATGAGTTCCGATCTAGAAAACATGGGGACAAGTGAGAAGCCAGAAGGCAGAGAAGAATGAAGGAGGCTATTTCTTACTTTAAGTGGTTGGGATGGAATGAAGATATAAACTAGAATAATGGCAGGAAGAAATAAGAGGATAGATATGGGAAACATTGTGATGTTGGAATATCCTATGACTTAGCATTCATTGATTGGATATTGGAAGGAAGGGTCAAATACAACTCATAGTTCTGAGTCACAATGACCTAGAAAATGACACTGCTATTAGTAACAGGGACATCAGAAGGGATACATTTAGGTGGAAAGCTGACAAGTTTCTAGTGACAAAATTGAATTTAAGTTCCAAAAATCATTCAAATAGAAGTTTCAGAAGGTAGATGCAAGTACAATTCTAGAAGTCAGGACTGAAAAAGCTCATTTGAGTTGTTTCCACAATGAAGAGATCGTTTAAATCATAGGAGTAGTTGGAATTAGGATGGCTTAGCAATAAGAGGGCCAATGAGATAACCGTTAGAAAATTCTCATTTTCAGGGCTCTAAGAAGAAAGAAAATGAAAGAAAGCCCACAGAGGTATTCAGACAGGTAAGAAAAGAACCATGAATACCATAGGAGCAAAAAGAGGAGAAAGATTCAAGGAAGAAATTATCAAAACTTAAATGCTTCGAGGAAAGGGATGACAATAAAGACAGAATAAACTGTAGATTATCCCTCAAGAATATTATCAACAATCTTTGACAGAAGGTTTTTACTAGAGAGACGTTCGAAAAATATTAAAAACCTGCCTCTTACTAACGGTATTAGATTGCATTATTTGTTCTCCATTTTTCATTTCTTCCTCGTTTTTGCAATTTTTCTCAGGAGAAGGAACATACGTCCAACTCCAGTGACTTTGGGCTTGGCCTTGTGACTTGTTTTGACCAACAAAGTATGAGCAGACTTGACTCAAGCCACCTTCCAGGGGAGGCATAAGCTGTGCTTGCATGCTTCGGCTCTACCTCTCATGTTCTGCCCACTCTCATGAGAACAGCATGACACAGATGAAAGATGCTCCTTCAGTCTGAAACCTGAAGAGAGAAGCTACATAGAGCTAAGCCCAGCTGAGCCCAGCCCAGCCAATACAGTGCATTGACCTGCAGCTATCTTACAATATGAGTCGGAAATAGACATTTGTTCTTGTAAGCTCTTGAGATAATATGGTTGTTTGTTACCACAGCAAAAGCTAATAAACCACCGTTAGAAAACAGATAAAGTGTTTTAAATTTTTAGAATATTTGGAAATGATGCTAAGTTTGTGAAGTTCCTTAAGGTATGCAAATGAAAAATAATTTACCTTAATCATTGTCATAAACCTGAATCAAAGTTTGAAATAAAAATCATGCCTACTAGCCCTTACTTAAGTGATTTATAGACAATGTAAATCTTTGTAAACTACCTCAAATAATGTGATAAACAAGATATAAAGCAGGCTTTCTTTTCATTTGTCTCTGTGGGTTCTTTAACAGCTATACAGCCATACTCCCTGTACTTGGATTTACCATGGAAAACATTTTCCCTCTCCGTTATTGTTGGCAAAAGCTGCATCTTTCTGGTCTGTTCAGTACTCGACAATTTGTACTGCCAATTATGCTATTACAATGTCTCTTAAGGTTTCCTCCACTGCTCCTTTATTCTTGGTACCTCCTTTGTGATTTCAGAGTCGTTTTATGGAATTGTAATGTGGCTCTTGACATATAATTGAAGCATGTTAAATTACCCTGGCTTAAATAAACAACTTACCATGTGAATATGTTTAGGCATCTTTTAATGTGGTATTTTTCCCTTGACTTGTCTAAAAAAAATCAATGGCATAAAATAAAACTTGGTACCTTAGCTTCTAAAGTGCACAATTTTCCCTTTCCTATTCCTATTCATGATATGATTAGAAAATAAAATTGTATGTTTTTGAAGAAAGTGTATAGCTTTCCAACATTACAGTTTCTGTCATTTGTCATTTATTATCAAAATGTTTCCCAAATCGTATGGATGCTTAGTTACCTATATAAGAATATTGATAAATCAGTTCTTTATGTACCGTATAAAATAATAAGAATGCAAAAGATAAAGTAAATAACCAACAGCTGTACACTATTTTTCTTTTAAATATTATGAGGGCAGTGCGGTCTGGTCAGAAGCACGGCGCTTATAGTAATCTGTTACATCCAAAAAAAAATGAGATTGAAGACATGCCCCTGAATGTGCTATTATTTTGAATGAAGAAGTCTCATCTGTTACCACTGTTGACTCAAGTAGGAGACAGCAGATGGCACAATGGGGGGAGCTGTTAAGTCCAGGAGGATACAAAGAGACTGGTATAGAAACATGAGTGAAAAGAAGATAGAGATAAAAAAAAAAAAAAAATGAAAACGCAACAGCTTCCAAGACAAGGCAGATTGGGGAGGGAAAGTTCTCAACGGGAAACACATAAGGAGATTTGCTTTGAGAAATATTTTTAATAAAAGGAAATTTGGATTCTTAGAACACAGTACCTGCCCAAAGGCTCTTTCCCCTGCTCTCATTACACATTAAAAAGCAGTACTACTTACATAATTATGTTCTCCAGAGGATATTTAATTACAGTTTCTGTGTTTGGTTTCTATATTTATTTGGTCATTAAATTAATATAATATGACATCACGATGTTTCTATTGGAGGACACTCAGAAAGTATAACGCACTCAGCCGTTGGATTTTCCTTTTTTCCCCCCTTAGAACGTTCCCTTTGGATACATATGGGAAAATATGGCATTTCAATTCCACTGTAATTTCTTCCTTCAGCGATGGAGGACCTGTAAGTTTGCCTTTCACTGTGAGCCTACTTGCCCTCACTGAGCCTTCACAGTTGCAGTCCTGAGCTCTGAAACCCAGCTGACTGAATGGGAGTGGTGCTCCTTGAGCATTTATCTCAACTCAAACTTCAGAATCACTCCTTAGATTCACTGTGGAAGCTGAAGGAGATGAGAAATTTCTTAGCTTAGAGGTTCATTTTCTCAAATATCTCCACATCATTAAAGCTAATGCTTTATTTCTCCCTTCTGTTTTTTTTCTGGAAATCTTGTAGTCCAGATATCACAAGAAACCAAAAATAAAACTGCTTAACAGAAATCATCAAAAGGGACAATGCAATGTATTTTCTAGCATTTTCTCCAATAAAATTTTAGAAAACGTTAACAATAAAACACCAAAAATCCTCATCTCCTGAAATTCCCCAAGGCTCCAACTCAGAATGTAGTAAGGTAAATAAAAGATCAGGGTAAAGATGTCAACCCATTTCAGGAGGTTAGATAAAATTTTATTCATTAATTTTAACACATCATCCTTAGTGAAAATGTATCCTAAAATGACAAAATGTACATTTTATCCCTCCTTAATGAGTTTAAATGTGTTTAAGCTCAAATATTAAGTATAAGCATATTTGAATGATCAAATATCATTGCATAAATCAAATTGAAACTGTTTAATTTATTTAACCCTGTTCCCATATGCCTGGAGAATTGTCACTGGTGGTGCTTGCGGCTGCAGCATTTACCCCAAGATAATGATGCCAGGAAATACCTCACTTTTATTATTATTTTTTTTTTGCATCACCCTAGTATACCAACTTTAACTTTGGAAACAAAAGACATCATTCTAATTACACCATTCTGGTTTTAGTGGTGGTATTTCCATTTACAAAATATAGCAATTCTCAATCACTGAAAACATCAACTCCTAGAAAAACAGCATTCCTGTGTGTGATGTTAACATCGTTCTCAAACAGTTGTTAGCTAAAGATTCATTTGATGAATCTGATTTTTCTGAAATAGACAATTCTGATGATTCAGACGATTCTGATCTTAGTTTTGTTTGGAAATAACTCCAAGAACAGTTTTTATATTTTATTTTCACAGTGAAAACCAGTCAGATTGGCTTCAGCCTCAAAGAGCATGTTTATGTAAAATTAAATGAGTGCTGGCAGCAAGCTGCACATTTTTTTTAAAAGGGAAAAGGGTTAAGTGACAGAATTAGGGCAACTTACATAACACAACTCCTCACATCCTTCTATGCTTTTATTCTGCTTTTCTTATGTCCTAAGATTCATAATTTCCTTTCTTGAAGACACAGCTTTAATGTTTATAAGACTTAACAGAAAAATATTGCTTCTGATTAGACATGTTACATTTTCAGGTCCCTAAGATGCTGATAAATAGTGGCTTATTTAACATTAATATTTTAATAAAATTTATAAGCAGAGGATATATTTCAGCTTAAAGTCAACAAGGTAGCATGTGTGTTAGGCATTGCCATTGCCACTTTACAAATGAGAAATTATAACTCAAGTTGTTTAAAAATAATTTCCCTTATGTTTAAATTATTAGGTGGAAATAACACCCAGGTTTGGCTCTTTTTGCCACATGGCCTTTCCCTCCTGATCTGATTCTGTCTAAAGATCCAAGTTTATCCCCTGGCCTTCTCTCACTCCCTGCCTCACCTCTGTTCTCCAAACACACATTACCATCAGGCCATACAAACTCTGTTTTGCACCACTGAGCCTGTTCCCTCATACAATCTTTGTCCTTCCCCCTTTCTCTTCCTCTCTTCCCCTGTCTGCTTCTGAAACTCCTCCCAGATTGTGAGTTCCATGAGGACAAGGACTAAGATTATTCACCTCTGCCCACAATACTTAACTATGGAACACATCATTGACCCTCACTAAAGTTTGTTAAGTTAGACCTTTGACTGTGAACAACAATCATTAGTGGCTACACTCCAGAGTCAACCTGGACAGCTAGTGAGACAGTCTTTTTTTTTTTTTTTTTTTTTTTTTTTGTGACAGAGTCTCACTCTCTCACCCAGGCTGGAGTGCAGTGATGCGACCTTAGCTCACCACAACCTCCACCTCCCGGGTACAAGCAATTCTCCTGCCTCAGCCTCCCGAGTAGCTGGGATTACAGGCACCTGCCACTATATCTGGCTAATTTTTGTATTTTTAGTAGAGACAGGGTTTCACCACGTTGGCCAGGCTGGTCTTGAACTCCTGACCTTAAGTGATCCACCCTCCTCAGCCTCCCAAAGTGCTGGGATTACAGGCGTGAGCCACCACACCTCGCCAAGTCAGTCCTATTTTGAAGCAAGTTCCACAAATAGTAGTTCCATATGACAGAGGATGAGAATTCCAGAAGGGGAAAATTTGACTTGTGCCCTATATCCTTAATGATTTCGTAGCATTTTTAAATGAACAGTTCTCCGATGACAGGTAAGAGAAAAATGTGTATCCTCTTAAGCTTTTCTATTCTTACAAAATAGGAATGGTGTCAGTAGATGACTAGCCTTGTTATCTAATGGCTCCCAGAAAAAATAATTACAGGTCACTTGTTCCAAACAAAGTCAATATTTCAACCAATCTATAATGTATGCTCTCACATGGCAAGCAATCTCAGTTGTTTATATGTTCATGTTTGTATTAGTTATCTATTACAGCCTATCAAATTACCCCCAAAATTTAGTGGCTTAAAACAGCAGTTTCTGAGGATCAGGAATCCAGAAGCAGCTGACTTGGGTAGACATGGGGTCTCACGAGGTTGTGGTTAAGCTATTGGCCAATGACGCAGTCATCTCAAGACTCAACTGGAACTGGAAGATTGACTTCCAAACTCATTCACAGATGGTTGGCTTGCCTCTGTTCCTCACCAGCTGTTGATCAGAGGCTTCAGTTCCTTGCCATGTGGGCCTCTCCACAGGGCTGCTGACATGTCAACTTCTTCCCCCCCAGAGAGAGAGAGAGAGAAAGCAGGAAAGTACATCCAAAATGGAAGCTACAGTCTTTTTATAACCCAGTCTTAAAAATGAAATCCTGACTGGGCGCAGTGGCTCATGCCTGTAATCCCAGCACTTTGGGAGGCTTGAAGCGGGTGGATCATCTGAGGTCAGGAGTTCAAGACCAGCTTGGCCAATATGGCGAAACCCCTCTCTACTAAAAATACAAAAATTAACTGGGCGTGCTGGTGGGCACCTGTAATTCCAGCTACTCAGGAGGCTGAGGCAGGAGAATTGCTTTCACCCGGGAGGCAGATGTTGCAGCAAGCCAAGATCACGCCACTGCACTCCATCTTGGATGACAGAGTGAGACTCCGTCTCAAAAAAAAAAAAAGAAAAAAAAAAGAAAGAAATCCCATTATTTCTGCCACATTCAATTTGTTAAAACTGTCCATAAATTCAACAAATACTCAGCGGGAGGGGATTAAACAAAGACATGAACACAAGGAAGCAGGGATTCTTGGGAGCCATCTTAAATACTACAATGGTGCAACAAGTTTATCCTGAAGGATTCTCTCGGAGGAATCAATGCTTAAAGCTGGATGTATTTTAGAGGTATAAAAATTTCTCATTGCCAAGGATACATCTATTTTATTTATTCTGGTTACATCTATTTTACATTTTTTGAGGCTAAAATTAGTTCAGTCATGTTTTATGTTATTGAAACTTGAGTTCCAAATCATTAGTTGATGCATGTTTCTGAGTAGGTCCCTTGTTTGCTTATTTAAATACTCACTACTGACTCTAGGGGCTTCAATTTTAGTAAAACTTTGTTTTATGCTATCTTGTAAATATTAAGAAACTTATTTTATAAATATTAAACTTAGTTTACTAATAGCTTGGTTAAATTATTAAACATATAGTTTTACTATTAACTGGCATATAGGCCAACTATACCCCAAGTATTGGCCAGGAAATACAATCTCAAATTATCTGTACACAACATTTTAGCTCAGTTTAGACAAACCAAATATTCAAATGGTTGGCTAAAGTATATGCAGTCCACTTGTTCCTCTAAATACTCAAAAATCAGCATTAAGTGTGATTCTTATACCTGTTGTCTAATAACCCAGGGTGATTACCTAAAACAAAAATTCTAGGAATCTACTTCCAAACTGCTGAGTCAAAATCTCTAGGGGGATGAGAAGCGGTAGAGATGGGAGAGATTCATGAATCTACACTTAAGTGAACAATCCAGAGGCTTTGCTACATTGGATCATATCAAAGAATGATCATATTTGTCACCTAGAGAACACATCCATTGAATTATTCTCTCATCGGTCTATTTTCCTACATTGATGAACATTAAGGGAAATTGATCTATGAAACTCAATGTTGTATATATTTAAGAATGTTGATAAGCATGTATTTTATCACATTGTGCCATCTCTTTTCCCTAAGGATCCATAGGAAAAATTTCTCACTGATCTTAGTAGATACAATTCCCAAATAAATTATCTGATTCTATATTACAGTCATCATGCGTCTTATCACCAATCACTTTTCCCTCTCTGATTGATCACTAGAAATGTCAAAGTCAAATCTATGGCTCCCCTCTGGCGAGTACATAGAACCTCATAGCTTAAACTTGATGTATTCATATGAATCCTGCCTTTGTCTTACTTAGTTGGCTTTTTCTTTAGCCTCATTTTCTCTAAAATAATTTTAATTTACTTAGTCTTTCTAGATTTTATCCTTCATCACAAGCTTACTTAAAGCCTTGCTGAAACAAAGTGAGGTATAAATGATTTAAAGAGCATTTGAATAGATAAACATTTTAAATAAATGAATGAATGAATGAAAAAAATGTATGTAATGTGGTGGTGAATATTAAGTGTCAACTTGATTTGATTGAAGCATGCAAACTATTGTTCCTGGGTGTGTCTGTGAGGCTGTCGCCAAAGGAGATTAACATTTGAGTCAGTGGAATGGGAGAGGCAGACCCACCCTCAATCTGAGTGGGCACAATTTAATCAGCTGCCAGCATGGCTAGAATAATGCAGGCAGAAGAAAGTGGAAGGACTAGACTTGGTGAGTCTTCCGGCCTTCATCTTTCTCCCTAGCTGGATCGTTCCTGACCTCGAACATCAGACTCCAAGCTCTTCAGTTTTGGACTTTTGGATTTACACCAGTGGTTTGCCAGGGGCTCTTGGGCGTTTGGCCACAGACTGAAGGCTGCACTGTTGGCTTCCGTACTTTTGAGGTTTTGGGACTCAGACTGATCCACCACTGGCTTTCTTGCTCCTCAAGTTGCAGATGGCCTATCTTGAAACTTTACCTTGTGATTGTGTGAGTCAATTCTCCTGAATAAAGTCCCTCTCATATATACATGTATTCTATTAGTTCTGGCCCTCTAGAGAACCTTAATACATATAGAATAATTTTTAAATTTTACCCTTTTTAGCTTTATTCTTTCTCTCTTCTTTTTTTTACTCAGTCTCCAAGCCCAACGTCTAAGTAACTTACTTATCTTGAGCCATTCTTGAAAAATGTTAACTTTGAAGCACATTCATCATTGAGTTTCTCCTGCTATATCATTTTTCTTCAAATTGTGCACCTCTTTTCATTATAAAAATGATTTTACCAAATTATAGAGGAAAAATTTTTCAGTCACTCTAGATCCTATCAGTTGCACACACCTATTATTTTTAATTTGGTATATTCCCTTCCAGTTGTATTTTGTCAATCTATAGCATTTTTCAATCTTATTTGGCAAAAAATTTCTGAGTGCTGACTATGTGCTAGTCACCATGTTACATACTGGATAAAAAGACAAAGTGATAGCTTCAGGCAGTTCTCAGTCTAGGAAATTATATCAACACATAAATAAATAATGCAATATAATGTGATAAGGCCTTACTAAGTAGGTGACCCTTCAGCTAGGACTTAAAGGTTGCAGAAGAATTGTGTTGGTAAATATTGGGAGGAAGGCATTTCACAAAGCCACGGTGTGATGGCTCGAGTGAGGCAGTCATGGGAGAAGAGCAGAAAAGTAGGCAGGGACAGGATTGTGGAGAATATTACATACCATGAAAAGGAATCTGGACATTCATCCTAGATACAACGCAAAACTGGAAAGAGTTCTAAATGGGAGAGCAACGTGATCAGATTTGCATTTCAAAAATTATTTCTGTAGCATTAGGAAGGAAATTATGAAGACAGGCAGACACTTAAGGCAGATAAGCCATTTAGGATGTAATGGCAATGGTGTAGGCAAGAGACAGAGGCCTGAACCGGGCCATGATAGTAAAGGTAAAGAGCAGGGGGACAAAACTGAGGAATGCTTAGAGAAAATCAACTTGACTCCGTGAGTGCACAATAGGAGGGGGCCGCATGGGAGGGTAGAAGAGAGGAGAACTAAATCTAGAGTGACTTCAAAGTTTCTGGTTTAGGATGCTGAAATGACAAGGCTGCCATTAACTGAGATAGAAAACACATGTTTAAAGGGGTGGGAAGAGGATGGGGAGGAAAGGTAGAGACTAGAGAGGATGTAAGAATTCTGCTTGGCACATCATCATGTTTGACAATTTGGTGGGGCTCAGATGGACAGCCTGTATTCCCCTTGTACACAAACAGTTGGGAGAAATGTAGAGAAAGAGATTTCAGAGCATTTCCTAGACACCTGGTAATAAAAACCATGTGAGTAGACCATTTTAGGATTGATTTAGTATGTATTGGGGTGTGAGGGAGGCAGAAAAACCTGATGGAAATAAAAGTGAATGTGGGACAACGAGGCAGAGAACTAGGACAGACTGAAACCAAGGTTTGGCTGTAGCTAGAGAGCTGCATGGAGCCAAGGAAAAAAAAACTTTTTAAATTCAAAATGAGAGAGATTTGAGTCTGTTTTTAGTCCACAAAATAGGCACTGATAGAGCAGGCAATGATGGGAGAAAAGAGAGAGGAACTGATGAATCCAGTAAGAACACAAGGGAAATAAAAGGGTAGGATCAAAAGACAAATGAAGAAATTGACCTAGACCCCCAACCTGGGGATAGGGGATATGCTTCTCCTAAGATGAGAGGGAAGACAGAGAAGATACGCAATGATAGAATAACATTATAGGTGTGGGGTAGAGATTTAAGAGTCTTCATGCTCATTTGCTTCTTGATGTTCAGGAAACGATGTCATCTGATGGTCTTGGCCAGGGCAGGGTAGGCAAGGCTCTGAGAAGAGTCAGGGAGTGTAAGTGGAGCTGCCAAAAGGAGCTAAAGAAAGCATTCCTCAATGGCAAGGGAAGGACTTCTCAGCACCATCCAGGGTCCACTACGAATTTACAATACCAGTGAATAGTACTGATTTATTATTTCCTTCTAGTGGCATTTGGCCAGTTGAGTAAAGAAATCAAGAATTGGTATTTAAGGATTGACTGAGACTTAGTGGCTATTTTTAATTTTTGGTAGAAAAGGGAGTAATACAAAACAACCCTTAATGACAAAGGCTGATTTGCAGAATGACCCAAAAGTTAGGCAGTGCTAAATGTGAGGTCTCCCTCTTTACATCAAGGAGGAATAGAGTGAAATGCACTTCCTCTGCAAGCAGGCAAATTCCAAAGAAGATCCAGAAGGACCATCTAAGCATACTTAGATCTTCTTCTAAAATTTAACAATCAGATAGGTCATTCCTCCTCTCCTGAAAGGGGCAAGTGCAGGAACAGGAGCCAGGGATTTTCTTCTACTGGAGGTCTGGCCATAGTGGGGAGGATTTGGGAGAGTGTCTCTGCTGCCTTAAGAGAAGCAGGAAAAGAACAGAGGTAACAGAAATTTGTTTGCTAGTAAGAGAGTGATTGTCCAGGCTACGAAAGTAAGGGAGTGTGGTCCAAAGAGTCTGACGGATGTAAAGAAAAGAATTGGTAAGGGTGATGACAGCTAAGAACAGATTTAATGGCCATGAAGTAGATTTGGTGAAAAAAAGAGAGCTTGACAGACAGATTGTTATCAGAGAGTAAAGGAGCTTAAAACTTCAGAAAGTAAGAGTTCCAGTGTGGTCACTGAAATAGGAGGATTAAGTGAATTAGGCAGCACATCATACTGTAGTTCAAGGCATCTGAGAGGCCAGGCTGCCTGTGTGGACACTCAGGTAACTACTGAGGTTTGCAAGATGAAGTGCGGGAAGAAAGATCATGAGTCAAATGCCACAGTTCCCAAATAATGTGAAGCAATAAGCTTTTTAAATGTGTTCCTTAGAGTAAGGTGCTGATGAGATACCTCAGACACCACAAATGAGCAAAGGGGAAGAGTGAGCAGGCCAGGCTCCAGATACACTCCACCTTTTCAATCAAAACAGCTTTGCTTGTAGCTGTTATAATTGGTGTCCCATTTCTGATTTGGATTTTTTAATACTTTAAAAGAGTATACTAGGCACATGCAAAAGTCTAAAAATAGAAATGGTATTTTGGTATAGCTAGTAGCTAGGGGACTTTCTTTGGACCAAAAGCTCTAGACATCTGATATAGTTTGGATGTTTATCCCCTCTAAGTCTCATGATAAAATGTGATTCTCAGTGTTGGAGATGGGGCCTAGTTGGGGGTGATTGGATCATGGCAGAAGATCTCTCCTAAATGATTTAGCAACATCCCCTTGTTGATAAGTGAGTTCTTGCCCATTTAGTTCACATGAGATACCCCTTCTTTCTTGCTCCCACTCTCACTGTATGACATGCTGGCTCCCCTTCACCTTCTTACATGACTGTAAGCTTCCTGAGGCCTCACCAGAAGCTGAGCGGATGGTGCCATGCCTGTACAGCCTGTAGAACCATGAGCCAAATTAAACCTCTTTTTTTATAATTGTCTAGTCTCAGGTATTTCTTTATAGCAACACAAAAACAGACTAATACACCTCTCAAATAAATTGTAGATTCCTTGAAGGTCAGAACCTTGTCTTAAAACTCTAAATCTTGTGCCTCCTATCAAGATGCTCTACACAAAATAGGTAACCAGAAAAATATGACAAATTTGACCCCTGGACCATTTGTTATTCATTTATTATCCCAAATGTTTCTACTAACAGACAGAAGTGGGGAAAAGTCTCATACTAAGAAGCAACATTTCTTCTAAGGTGTGAGTACAGCCTGGAGCCCTCAAAAACAGAGCAAGTCTCATTTATCATCCATGTGTCTGGCACCTGAGCATGGCAGAAAGGAAGTGTGAGCTGGGAATAGCAGTTGGCAGGTCAGAGCTCAGCGCCTTCAATACAGGCTTAGGTATTAGATCCCTTGAATGTGGACAGAGAGAAATTACATCAGAGTGGCTAAGGAATTTCTCATAGTCTCTTGGGATGGGTTCCAAAGAATTCGCATTTTTAAAACACTCCAGGTGATTCTATGTGGCCCATTTAAAAAGCACTGTTGTCTCAGGTGTATGTGAAGACAAGCCACAGACTAGGAGAAGACATTTGTGAAAGACATATTTGATAGAAGAAGGAAATATTCAGAATATACCAAAATTACCCAAATGAAATGAAGATATACAGATTATACAGAAGCCTAAGAAAAGATGCTCAACATCATATATAATTAAGAAATTACAAATTAAAACAACAATGAAATGCCACTGCATACCTAGTAGGATGGCCAAAAGCCAAATCACTGACAATACTACATGCTGGTGAGGACATGGAGCAACAGGAACTCTTGTTCATGGCTGGTGAGAATACAAAATGGTACAGCCACTTTGGAAGATAGTTTGGCAGTTTTTTATAAAACACACTCTTACCATCATAAATGCAGCAGTTATTCTCTTTGGTATTTACCCAAAAGAATCAAACACTTATGTCCACACAGAAATCTGCACATGGATGTGTACAGCAGCTTTATTCATAACTGACAAAACTTGGCAACAAGCAAGAAGTCTTTCAGTAGATGAATGGATAAACTGTGGTACATCAAGATAATGGAATATGATTTAGTGCTAAAAAAATTGTTGAGCGCTGGAATATTACTCAGCAATGGAATATTATTCAGTGCTTGAGCTATCAAGTCATGACAAGATATGGAGGAACTTTAAATGCATACTACTAAGTGAAAAATGCCAATCTGAGAAAGCTACTATGTGATTTCAACTATATGATACTCTGGAAAAGGCAAAACTTTGTAGACAGTAAGAAGATCAGTGATTGCCAGGGTATGGAGGGAAAGAGACTGAATAGATAGAGCACTACTTAAATTAACTGAAGTTTAAATAGAGGCTTTTTAGGGCATTGAAACTATTCTATACGATATTATAATAGTGGATATATGTCAAAACCCACAAAATGTACAGCACCAAGAGTGAACCCTAATGTAAACTGTCAACTTTGGGTGAAAATGATCTGTCAATGTAGGTTTATCAATTGTAACAAAGATACCACTCTGAGGCAGGATATTGATAGTGGGGAGGCTGTGTGTGTTGTGTGGATGCAGCTGGGGATACATGAAAACTCTGTGCTTTCTGTTCTACTTTTCTGTAAACCTAAAACTTCTTTTAAAAATAAATTCTTTTTTAAAAAAAGAAGCTTTGTTCTCCACCTCATTACTCAAAGTGTGCAATGGCATTGTAAACCTAATCTGGAGCTTATTGGTACAGATTCATCAGCCCCACCTATTGAACCAGATTCTCTGGAATATGTGTTTGAACAAGCGTTACACCCTCCAGGTGATTCTAAGCTAAAAAAAATTGAGAAGTGCTATCCTAGAACAGTACTTTACAAACCCTAATATGCAAGAATGACTGTTACCTTGTTAAAATGAAGATTCTTCTGATTAGTACATCTTGGATGAGGCCAGGTGATGCCCAGAGGCTGCTGGTCCAAATATTATCCTCTGAGTAGCAAGGCTACAGCAAAGCAATGGAGTAAAGCCTTCTCTTCCTGCTCCATTCCCCTTTTGCCTTCCCTCTACCCTCAAGCACAGACACCCTACAATATGCCTCAAAAGTGGAGTACCATGTACCATGGGAGGAGGAAATGAAGCTGTCCACCCTGGATGCCGGCAATAAGAGGGTCCGCTGTCTAAAATAAATTTTAAAACAATCAGAAAACTGATTAAAATGGATTTCTACTTTTTATCACCACGTGTCATCAATTCTAAACAACATCGGGGTAAAATATTCCTTCCCACCAGGAGTTTATGTCTCACCTACACTACTCAATCCTGCTCCTTGTTATATGTGCTTTCTAAATGGGGATACAGATCTGGAGAAATGGAGCCACACAAACTCAGAAAGCTTGACATCTCCTAATCTCAGTGAAGCCAGGTTTCTCCTTCTACCAGAATAGGTCTCTTAAACATTTACTTTGTCCACTTTCTCAATAACTTGCAAAAAATGTGTATTAAGAAAATTGTTAATGCTGTGCATTTGTCTTATATGAATAAAAAAATCTCAGTTCTAACTAGAGATAATTCTCAACCTACCTCCAAAACCAGCAATTATTTAAACTGTAGGGGACTAGAGGAGAAGCACGAAGACGCAAAAGCAGAGAACAAAATGAAACTTCCCAGAAAGGCTTTCGTTGAAGCATATCTGTACCACCCTTAAAGGGTCAAATGATAAACATCCCTTCCAAAAAAAGACTGTCCAGCATTTCTCAAAGTGTGACTCTTTACACCTGCATCACATGCGGATTCCTGAGTCCCATCCTCCTGAATCTGAATAAGTAAGCATGAGCCCACAGAAATCTAAATTACTAACAAGCATCTCAGAAAAGTCACATGCCCAAAATATTTGTAAAACACCGATTTTGATTAAAGCTGAGCTCCTGGAAATCCCATGTTACAACATAATATCTCTCTTTTCAACCACCTGGAATAACAAAGTTTGAGTCTTGGATGATGGAATAAAAAAGAAGTCCCAGCTGTCCTGCCAGGAACTCAACATACCAGTGTCCTTCCCAGGAAGTCCCAGCTGACGGAGAAGGGTTCAGATCATTCTGGGAGAAGCTTTTACTGAATTGCACCCAGGTGAGATACAATCAACTGTGGTGAGAAACCACACACACACACAGTAAGAAATCACACACACACACACACACACACATACACACACACATCCTAAGAATCTGTTCTCCATCTCCTATAATGAAGTCTTTAAAAATGTTTGAAGATATTCTCCCCTAGTAGAGCTCTCAGAAGACATTTCTTTCTTGTATTGTAAATAGTGGTCCATCTTCTGAACAATTGGGTGGTTTTATCTTTGGAGTAATTGAATTGCTTAACCGGATTTCCTTCTATACATTGATCAGTAAAACGTTTAAGGTCCAATCTGTGGCTTATCCTCATCAAAAGCCTAGGATTTAAGGGTGTGCTTCTTTTGTGAGCTAGTTTCAGTCCTGACTCATTTTATGATCCTGCTCTTTTCTTTTTCTTGACTTTTTCACCTACTTCCAATTTGTGCTTTCTGTCATTTATGTGTTCTTGAAAACCACTTCATAATACTTTCTGGAACAAAGCATATTCTAGTGGATAGATGGATAGAAAGATCAATCTTTAAGAACTTCATTTTCCTTGCCTATAAAATGAAAGATTCAGACTAGGTGATCACTAATGTATCTTCTAGGTCTAAAGCCTAAAATTCCATCATAAGTTCTGGTTCAGCAATGAAATCTCCTCTTAAACATATCATATTTCTGATGTGTTATTGGAACATTTTTCTAACCAAGATCTTAGCCATAAAAGTGAAGAAATATATATTTCAAAAAGCATTTTATATACATATAATGTAATTGCTTTTCATTCCATCTCATTTTAGGATGGTGTTCTATGACTTTACGAAATCAATAGAAAAACAAAAAAAATTACAGTGTCAGTAAAAGAAAAAAATCACCTGCATTTTCATCAACTTTATCTATCCTTCAGTCTTCCATCCAGTTTTGTTTTGTTTAGTTTTTTAATGTTGTTTCTCTATCTTTTCCTCTTGCCAATAGATAGGGACATGAGATTTTGATTTGGAGGCAATGGTTACAAATCTTTCATTTTCAAAATTTAATAATATCAAACATTGTAAATGTATTTAATTCCACTGAATTGTACACTTAAAATGGTAAAAATAAATAATTGTGTTTTGTATATTTCACAATTTTTAAAAGGAAAAAACTTAATGACACCCATCACAAAAATGTACTACCTTTAAACTTGACCCTGGACATTAGTACTTTCATACTAACTATTCGTATTTATCCTTGAGTATATTCAGAAAACTGTAAAATGGTAGAGTTGATTTATAGATTCCAATGTCCTTTCAATACTATTACTATTTAAAGAAACATAAACAGTAGTTCACTGAACACAGCTATCACAGAATTACCAGGGAGCTATTGTTGTCTCCTGAAGAATTTAAAGTTTCCTTTCTTTATAACCCTTAACTACTTTGGAAAAGTTTTAGAATGTTTGTTTCCTAGGGTATACTTTCACCCAAAAATATTTCTGTGATACTTCCAATAGAGCATCATTCCTGCATCAATATCATAGTAGGTGTTTTTCAGCCCTTCTGTCCAAACATAAGATCCAATCACTTTCCCTAATAACAGGTCTCCTTTGTTTTCCCTTTAAAAAAACAAAATTGTATGTATGTGGAGATACAGATGTAGGTAGAGATAGAGATAGCATAGACATAGACACAGAGATAACTGTTACTGCCAAACTGAAACGCTGATTTGGTAGGGACAAGAAACATTGAAAAGAAAACTTGAAGAGGGGAGAGGAAGTAGGAGAGAATTTAACCTCAATTTTATCAAGACCTGTGTTTTTGTCAAGTGTTTGAAATAGATTGTCTTGTTGAATTCTCACCCTCCAACCCCCAAGAAAACCCTCAGGTTTGAGACAAATCAGGGCGGGGCCAAGATGGCCAACTAGAAGCAGCAGCGATCCGAGGCCCCCATCAAAAAGATCCAAAGCAGCGTGCGAATCCTGCACGGGCAACCGAGGTATCCAGGCTCTGTCATTAGGGCTGGCTAGGTGGCTGGCATGACCCATAGAGAGTAAGGAAGAGCAGTGTGGTGTGGAGGCCCACCTGAGAGCCACATGGTGAGGAGGAGCCCCCACCCCCAGCCAACAGAGGCGGTGAGTGAGCGTGCTACCTAGCTTGGGAAACCATGCTTTTTCCACAGAACTAGGCAACCCACAGATCAGAAGATCCCACTCAGGAGCCCGTGGCACCAGGGCCTTGGGTTCGAACCACGGAGCCATGCAGATTCTCAACAGCCACTTGGCTAGAATCAGCCTAAGCCAGCTGAGTTCCCGGGGGAGGGACACCCATCACCACTGCTGCGGCCGCCTGCTGTCTAAGCCATCAGAGCTCCTTTGGGGAGGGGCGGCAGCTAACACTATAGCTGCAGGGCCTCCCTGCAGGATCTCCAACTCCAGCCAAGGGCTCAGGGACAGAACTCTGATCTCCCTGAGCCTGAGCCCATAGTGGGAGGGATGGCCATTGTCTCTGCAGACCAGCAGACTGTCTTTCCTCCTGCTAGCTCTGAGGAATCCAGGCAGCCCAGATGAGTGGGTTTCCCCCAGTGCAGCACACCCCCTCCAGCAAGGGACGGCCAAAGTGCCTTGTTAAATGGGTCCAGCTTCCCATGCCACCCAACTGGGTAAGACCCCCAAACAAGTGTTCTCACTGGCATCAGTTGGGTGCCCCTTGAGGCCAGAGATCCCAGAGGAAGGAGCAGGCACCCATCTTTGCTGTTCTCCATCCTCCTCAAGTGACATCTCCAGGTGCAGGAAAAAACAAGATGAATAGGGCCTGAAGTGAACCCCCATCAAACTGCAGCAGCCCTACAGAACTGATTATTGAAAGAAAAACAAATAGAAAGCAACAACATCATCAACAAAAAAAGTCCCCAAAAAAACTTCACCCAAGGGTCAGCAGCCTTAAAGATCGAAACCAGACAAACTCATGAAGATGAGAAAGAATCTATGAAAAAATGCTGAAAACCCAAAAGGCCAGAGTGTCTCTTCTTCTCCAAATGATCACAACACCTCTCTAGCAAGGGTGCAGAACCGGACAGAGGGTGAGATGGATGAATTGACAGAATTAGGCTTCAGAAGATGGGTAATAACAAACTTTGCTGAGGTAAAGGATCATGTTCTAACACAATTCAAAGAAGTTAAGAACCTTGATAAAAGGTTTAGAGGAGCTGCTGACTAGAATAACCAGTTTAGAGAGGAACATAAATGACCTGATGGAGCTGAAAAACACAACACGAGAACTTCATGAAGCATACACAAGTATAAATAGCTGAATCAATCAAGTGCAAGAAATAATATCAGAGATGGAAGATTATCTTGCTGAAGTAAGGCAGGCAGACAAGATTTGAGAAAAAAATAATGAAAACGAACAAATAAAACTTCCAAAAAATATGGGACTATGTAAAAAGACTGAACCTATGGCTGATTGGAGTACCTGAAAGAGACCAGGAGAATGGAACCAAGTTGGAAAACACACTTCACTATATTATCCAGGAGAACTTCCCCAACCTAGCAAGACAAGCCAACATGCAAATTCAGGAAATACAGAGAACACCAATAAGATGCTCCACAAGAAGGCCAGGCACGATGGCTCACGCCTTTAATACCAGCACTTTCGGAGGCTGAGGCCGGTGGATCATCTGAGGTCAGGAGTTCAAGACTAGCCTGGCCAACATGATGAAACCCTGCCTCTACTAAAAATACAAAAATTAGCCGGGTGTGGTGATGCAAGCCTGTAATCCCAGCTACTCAGGAGGCTGAGGCAGGAGAATTGCTTTAACCCGGGAGGCAGAGGTTGCAGTGAGCCAAGGTCATGCCACTGCATTCCAGCTGGGCAACAGAGTGAGACTCCATCTCAAAAAAGAAAAAAAAAAAAGACACTCCACAAGAAGATCAACCCCAAGACACATAATCGCCACATTCTCAAAGGTCAAAATGAAGGAAAAAATGTTAAGGGCAGCCAGAGAGAAAGCCCAGGCCACCTACAAAGGGAAGCCCATCAGACTAAAGGCGGATCTCTCTGCAGAAACCCCATAAGCCAGAAGATAGTGGGGGCCAATATTCAACGTTCTTAAAGAAAAGAATTTTCAACCCAGGTTTTCATATCTGGCCAAACTAAGCTTCATAAGCAAAGAAGAAATAAAATCCTTTTCAGACAAGCAAATGCTAAGGAAATTCTTCACCATCAGACCTGCCTTGCAAGAGCTTCTGAAGGAAGCATTAAATATGGAAAGGAGAAACCAGTACCAGCCACTGAAAAACACATGAAAATATAAAGACCAATGACACGATGAAGACATGAAATCAACTACTCTGCAAAATAACCATCTACCATCATAATGACAGGATCAAATTCACACATAATAATGTAAATCTAAATACCCCAAAGACACAGACTGGCAAATTAGATAAAGAGTCAAGACCCATTGTTGTGCTGTATTCAAGAGACCCATCTCACATGCAAAGACACACATAGGCTCAAAATAAAGGGATGGAGGAATATTTATCAAGCAAATGGAAAGCAAAAAAAAAAAAAAAAGCAGGGGTTGCAATCCTAGTCTCTGATAAGACAGACTTTAAACCAACAAAGATCAAAAAAGACAAAGAAGGACATTACATCATGGTAAAGGTAATGATTCAACAAGAAGAGCTAACTATCCTAAATATATATGTACCCAATACAGGAGCACCCAGATTCATAAAACAAGTTCTTAGAGACCTATAAGGAGAGACTTAGACTCCCACACAGTAACAGTGGGCAACTTTAACACCCCACTGTCAATAGTAAACAGATCAACAAGACAGAAAATTAACAAGGATATTCAGGACTTGAACTCAGCTCTGGATCAAGTGGACCTAACAGATATCTACAGAACTCTCCATCCAACAGAACAGCATATACATTCTTCTCAGTGCCACATGGCACTTACTGTAAAATTGACCACATAATTGGAAGTAAAACACTGTATAGCAAATGCAAAAGAACTGAAATCGTAACAGCCTGTCAGACCACAGTACAATCAAATTAGACCTCAGGATTAAGAAATTTACTCAAAACCACACAACTACATGGACATTGAACAACCTGCTCCTGAATGACTCCTTAGTAAATAATGAAATTAAGGCAGAAATCAAGAAATTCTTTGAAACCAATGAGAACAAAGAGACAATATACCAGAATCTCTGGGACGCAGCTAAAGAAAGACTTACTCCTCTCTCCCTCACACCTTCTTCCTACTTACTGGAACTTTAATATCATCTTCCTGGCTCTAAATTTTTGGTTCCATGACTTTACTTCAGGCCAGATATTTGACCTCTCCTGATATAGCATTTGGACCTACTCTGTAACACAGTTAGAGAGAAATCAGCACAACTCAGACTCATTACCTGCTTTCTGATGACACCCAAATGGTGAACACACTCTTGAGTCCACCTGCCATGCTGGTGTCTGAAGCAGGCTTCTTTCTTCATGTGTGAATGCTAACAGAAAGTATCACCCTGGCCCACAAAACAGCCACCCTAATGGCAAAGAAGAACCAGCCCTTCTCTGTACCTGAAAAAAAAAAAAAAAAACCTTGCCTACTGGAATATTTTGGGAAACAATAGAACGAGGAGTAGCAGTCACTGGTCTCCCAGTCCGTATCACAGTAAATTCAAGGATAATGAGAAGCTTTGCAGACTTCACTGTGATCCATCCCCAAATGGCCCTGTGCAAGTGTACAGAGTAGATGGAGGTTCTTTCTAGGGGACCAGCTACACGAGAAACTCTTTATGCACATTACCCATCTCTCCCCTTGGCCTTCTACCTCTCATGGCTGGAACCCCATGCATCACTGTTAATCAATGGCCCCCACCCCTCACTTTATCCTGGGGCCTGCTCATTAGCCCAGTTTTGAAATATAAAGAATGTGAGCACTTTTAAGAACTTTCAACCCATACTTTGAATAAATTTAACTTTCTGTCAAAAGTTACTTTATCAACTATCACAGTTAGTGATATCATTTCATATAACTCACGGTTATCAACAAATCCTTATATTAAAGCAAACACCCAAAACAGAGAAAATATAAAGAAACAACCATTGTGGGAGTCAGTGTGGCAATTCCCCAGGGATCTAGAACTAGAAATACCATTTGACCCAGCCATCCCATTACTGGGCATATACTCAAAGGATTATAAATCATGCTGCTATAAAGACACATGCACACATATGTTTATAGTGGCACTATTCACAATAGCAAAGACTTGGAACCAACCTAAATGTCCAACAACAATAGACTGGATT
Source organism: Homo sapiens (assembly GCF_000001405.40). NCBI lineage: Eukaryota > Metazoa > Chordata > Mammalia > Primates > Hominidae > Homo > Homo sapiens. The sequence continues at coordinate 41,641,246 of NC_000002.12, forward strand.
AAGAAAATGTGGCACATATACACCACGGAATACTATGCAGCCATAAAAAATGATGAGTTCATGTCCTTTGTAGGGACATGGATGAAACTGGAAACCATCATTCTCAGCAAACTATCGCGAGGACAAAAAACCAAACAATGCATGTTCTTACTCTTAGGTGGGAATTGAACAATGAGAACACATGGACACAGGAAGGGGAACATCACACACCAGGGACTGTTGCGGGGTGGGGGGAGGGGGTAGGGATAGCATCAGGAGATATACCTAATGCTAAATGGCGAGTTAATGGGTGCAGCACACCAGCATGGCACATGTATACATATGTAACAAATCTGCATGTTGTGCACATGTACCCTAAAACTTAAAGTATAATAATAATAAATTTAAAAAAAGAAATAATAGATGGATTTTAAATATATTGAACAGAACAACCTCTTTTACAGTTCTTTTGCAGTCTTTCATTGAAATAATCTTTAATTGATACAGTTTAATTCACTAGTATAATGGCAATTAAAAGTTGTTACAAATAGGAAAGATGGAGCAAGTCACATTGTTACAAATATTTGTTGTTGTCCCTTCTAAAGATTTGTGAAATACAAGGCTGAATACAGTAATTCAATGCCTTTTAAACTATCACCTGTATATAATGTTCCTTTTAAAATTACAACCTCTCTTAAGTTTAATGAGTCATATATCCATTACTGTAAAACTCATGACTCCAATTCCAGGTTAAAGAGTACCACGTAGTCGATTTACATTTACTTATATCCCATTAAATTGCTTTTGCTGTGTTCTGTCAGATTTTTTAAAGTGTGTCTTTTTCTTAATATATAATTTTATATAGTTAGAAAGAAGAGCCAATTTTTATACTAAAAGTTTAAGTTCTATTTTAGAATATGCAGAATTTGCCTTACTCATCTTTATAAGGTTGATGCCTAGTATTGTGCCTGGGACATGGATGGCATCTAATAAATGCTGGTTTGAATTTTTAAAAAATGGCTTTTAACACAATCAATTCCTTCCTATTGCTACATTAAAGCTTTATTTTTATCATGATGCTCTTTTCTAGTCCTGTTTATACAGGACTTGAAATTTCTAAATTTCAAGTCCTGTAAAAATTTTACTATAAGTATACATTTTACTAAATGTATTTCTAAATTTTACTATAAGTATACATATATAGGAAAAAACATAGTATATTTAGGATTTGGTACTATCTGTGGTTTCAGGCATCCACTGGGGACTTAGAATGTATACCTTGGGGACAAGGCAGGAATATTGTAGAATGGCTTTGTTTGTAGTAAAAATCATTCTCAAAAGTTAATCTTCTGTAACTAGAGCAATAATATTTGAATAATAACCATAGACCCATTAAGATAATTCCTAATTTTTTATTCCAATTAATGATTTTTGCAATACAAAAATGATGGGTTTTATGAGCAGAGCCCTGATCCACTAATAACAATACAATGTATCAATGAAAAAATTACATATTCATGGAAGTATAAACCAGCTGATAATCATTTCATCCATTCCATGGGTATCTACGTAACTGATGCAAAACAAATTATAGTTGGTGTTGCTTTTTAAAGTCACCAGTGGAGATTCCACTTTCTTGAATAATATTTAGTTCTAGCGACTAATTTCTGAAAATTCTTAAAGTAAAATAATAAAACCGTTTGTTTCATGCTTGTTTGCTTGCTTCTCCTTGTTTGCTTCTTTGTATTTTTAAGATCCCATATTTTTTTCAATTCTAAAATTCCATGGATTATTAAGGAAACATCAATTTAATTATAGCTCTTTAGGTGAAAGAAGGGGAAAAAACCTACCAAAGTAAACATATATATCAATTTGATAATACATTACAATATTATAAATGTTAAAATTTTTTTAAATGATATTTTGGAAACAAGTAAATGGACTATAATGATAGTGACTTGTTATTACAACTTGTCTTTGTTCTATTTTCCAGCCAATCAAATAAACTTAGGATAGGATGTGTACTTTGATGAAGGATGGTGAGTTTTTGTATCCATGATTTCTGTCTGGGGGAAGTCTGCACAGCATCAGATCAGGACCCACGTCTTCCTATGGTATTTTGTTTGGGGTCCATTGTACTGCAGATTCCTAACAAACAGGAAGTAGCAAATATCTCACGTCATAAGGTAAAGGGTAATACTTTCTACCAAACATGAGTCCCAAGGGTAGCTTAAAAGAAAAAACTTTGGTATGTGTACATTGAAATTTATATAATGAACACGTTTTCATCTGAGTAATTATGAGATGTATAACTTAAGTTTTAAATTGTTCTAATTTTTTCTCTCCTGTATCCTAGTCTGAATGAAGCTATTTTGAAAACCTAAAAGGTTCAAGCAATTATCAGGTTTACAAAGGCAAGTAAAAACAGCCTGTAATGATAATAAGAAAAAAAATAGAGGGAAGGAAATAAAAGAAAGGAGAAACAAAGGTAAAAGACACGCAAAAAAGTTCTTGAGAACTCTAGAATACCGTAATCCAAATCATCAATTGTACTTGTCTAGTGCAAAAATGCCTGTCCTGCATTTATTTCTGAAATTTTAAGTGCCCCGAAGTTAACATCTTAACTAGACCCACAAAACAAAACAAAAAAATTGTATCACTGAGTTTTCTAAACAAGATGTTTGATTATGCCCAGATGATTTTTAATTCAACATTTAATTCTTCCCTGTCATTTAGCAAACTTCTGAGTTATTTCTCCCTAGTAAGAGTTTTCATATATCCAGAAAATGCAAGTTAATTTTTTCATCTAAGGAAGTCAAAGAGGAAGATAAATATGATCCTACAAATAAAATAATGTATTCCAAATTCCCATCAAAACAATATAAGGCTGCCACTACTGTTATCTGTGAATATGAATAAGCAAAAATTGATTACACAACAATTAGAAATAAACAGATATTGTTTAACCCCCATCATATATTCATTTAATGCCAGTCCACAGATATGTTTCAAAATGATCAGTTACAGTATTTTCCCCTTATTTGTGGCTTTGCTTTTTCTTTTATCCGGTGTCAGTTACCTGCAGTAAAATAAAAGATATTTTGATACAGAAAGAGAGAGACCACATTCACATAACTTTTATTACAGTTATTGTTATAACTGGTCTACTTGATGATTAGATTTTGTTGTTAATCTCTTACCATGCATAATTTATAAGTTAAATTTTACTGTAAGTATACATATATGGGAAAAAACATAGTATATTTAGGATTTGGTACTATCTGTGGTTTCAGGCATCCACTGGGGCCTTAGAATGTACACCTTGGGGACAAGGCAGGAATATTGTAGAATGGCTTTGTTTGTAGTAAAAATCATTCTCAAAAGCTTATCTTCTGTAACTAGAGCAATAATATTTCAATAACAATCATAGTCCCATTAAGATAATTCCTAATTTTTTATTCTAATTAATGATTTTTGCAATACAAAAATGATGGGTTTTATGAGCAGAGCCCTGATCCACTAATAACAATACTTAGTGTATCAATGAAGAAATTACATATTCATGGAAGTATAAACCAGCTGATGATCATTTCATCCATTCCATGGGCTTCTACATAACTGATGCAAAACAGATTATAGTTGATGTTGTTTTTTAAAGTCACCAGTGGAGATTCCACTTTCTTGAATAATATTTAGTTCTGGTGACTAATTCCTGAAAATTCTTAAAGTAAAATAATTCCTACCTCTGTGTAATCTGAATTCATTCTAAAATGGTAATCCTTTTTTCTCTTTAGTTTCTAAAAGAGCTTAGCTGGCAGAACTCTGAAATTTTACTTATATTCTTCAATATGCGCCAAAAAGTATTGTAATATGAGGAAGTAAAGTAGCATTTTGTGTGTGTTAGCTTCGAAGGAAGGATATGATGTGTAATTACATCCTGTCTATATTCTTGCATGATCCTATGAGTATGTGATGTTCATATTTATATACAATACTTATATTCTGAGTTGTTTTTCATGGATTCTTCACTTTTAAGATCATTTTCTGAGTGCTTTGAGTGTACTTGTTGGGTAAAGTGGTAAAGAGCTGCTAAACCTTTAACTCTGTTATCATCCACCAAATACATCAAACAAGAGTTGAAAGGATTTGGAGTGAATCATTCTCAGAACTTCTGCTCCACCAGAATTATTCTCAGATGTTTTTAAAAAAAAAAAAAAAATTTACATCTCTAATTGGACAAAAGTTAGATCACGAGGGTTTTCGTGACAGTCAGAAATTAGAGAATATACCACAATTTCTTTGGAAGCAGTAAGACAGATTATTTCCTAAGGTTAAAGAAACCAACATCCAGAACTGAGCATGGAAGGCAAAGCTGCCTGGGATTTGAAACCAAATTTAGATTAGTAGAGTGTAAAGGAGAAAAGAAAGTTTTTAATGTCTGTAATCGAAAGGACGAGTGAAAAGAATGCCAAATATCACATGAGAAAGAATACCTGTACATACCAGAAACTTTGCTTTAACTCAGCAGGTTGCTTTAAAATACTTAAAGCTTTTGAAATTAATTTAATGTTTACTTAAGTTTTAGCAATTTTTTAGAAGTCAGCATAATGTTTTGTTGAAAGCAGTCTGTGGTTAATTTTTACCTCAAATTTGCTCCAGTAGGAACATGACACTGAACATGGACAATAATAATTGCTCCAACAAAGGGAAATTAACCACTAAGATACAGAAACTGCTAGATAACATATAACTTGGAGATGGCACGTAAGAACTATAATGATCCCCCAATCATTATAAGGGGATAGGTGAGTACGTGTATACATATACATACAGGGAAAGATATATATGTACCTGTATATAAACTTATATATGCATATACATATATTCAGATATAAATACATAAAAACAGTTAAATCATAAATTGTTCCCATCCCCCATGTTCTATGCTACTATTAGGGTCATTTTTTTAAACATTCACAAAAACATGACTGAAAATAATGTGAAAAAGTTTTTATGACACAACTGAAATGACATTGCTAGTCATAAATTTTGACATTGAATTCTATAGTGCTTATGCATCTAAGTTCCCAACCATTATACTTAGATAATCTATTTCTGTATTTGTTTCTGCTGTAAAACCATGTTTTTCTTGATATGGGAATTTACTAGTTTTTTTTAATGTTTGTCATCTGAACTCATTTCTTCAGATTAAAAAAGGGTCTTTATCTCTTTCATTCTCTTTTGTAAGAGACAATGATTGGTCTGTTTATACTATAGAGTCAAAGAGATGCCGGCTTGTGTACAAATTAAGCACCTTCCATGTGCTGGCTTGTGAACAAATTAAGCACCTTCCATAAGTCCAGTGACTTATTCTCTTGTCTCCACTCCAATTATATCACATATCACTTCAAATTTCAAACCCATATAAAAGCAGCCCACCAAGAAATCTTCAGAAAGTTCCCACCAAAAAATGTCAGAATGTATGGTAACAAACTGACAGAGCAGTTATTCACAAAAATATGTTAGGAGTCAGAGTGGTAAGAATTCTGATCTTGGTTCTCCCTCCAATTTAGACAAAACAATGTCATTCCATTTTTTATGTGATTTCAAATGGAGATGTGTGGCAGAGACTAATAGCTCTCCACTTTCTTCATTATTGCCCTGTGTCACCCGTGGCAATAATGTACCAACTAAACAATGGTGTTCCTAGATTCCTCACACTCAGTGACATGAAGAGACTAATTGTGGAACATTGAGACATAACAGGATGTGCCACATGGAGCTACATGAAGATTCCAAAGGGGCACTGACTGAGCTAAGAAGTGCTCCCCTCTTGTCCTCCTCCCTTTTTTTCTATTGCTTAGAACACAAACAAGATGGCACCTGCAGCCATCTTAAACCATGAAGTGAGGATGGAAACCAGGTTCCCAGATGGTGGTGCAGAATCACTGAAGTTCCTGGCTCCCTGATGATGGCGGAGTGGCCACTCTAGCCCTGTATATCATACCTCCAGACATCTTGCACTGGAGAAAGAAAGAAACTCCTACTTTGTCTAAGCCTCTATTGCTTCAGGTTTTCTGTTATATATACCTCAATTTTATCCTATCTGAAACAGTGTTATGCTTCTTTTCTGACTTGAAATGATATTAAGCCCCTAAGTGATGACTTATTGATCTAACTATTGCCCAGAAAGATTATATTCACTATAAAGGTATACAATTATTCAATAAAAGATTGAGTAGTGCTTTCTGCAAAAATCACAGAAGACTGGAGCAGTAACTTTAGACATATGATTGGTAGTTCTTTATAAACATTGCTAAGAGACATTACAAAAGAAACAGACATTCAGAACTCTAGGTCTTCACATGAAATTATTTAAATGAGGCCCAAAGCAGACAGACATACTATGAGAAAATATGAGCTTAGTTCATTTGTTAATGCATTGTCAGCATCTTCCTCATTATTTAACACCTATATTTTCTACTCATTTTAATAGTTAACTTTTCCATTTTGATCTCTCCATCCACTATCTACATTTTCTTGTTAGAGGCCTTTTCTGCTAACATTCTGAAGTGATGTATGAGTCACACAGACCTAACTCTGTTAACTCAGCTATGCCAGGAGAAGGAACACACTGCTCACATACCAATTAGTCTGCCTGGGTTTAAATCCTGAGCCCCACTCAATAACATTCTTCTCCTAGGCGAAAAGGGACATTGAGATGTCTCTCCATGAAAAGAATGTGATAAAAGCTGAGATTTGAACAGAAAGCAAGAGGCTGAAGAAAGGAAGTAGCTTGTTGGAAAGTGCTTTGATAAATAGGATTGATTATTATCAATATCTTCAGAAGTACTTCTTGCCTTCTAAATGAGGTCTCCAGTATAACAACAATGAATGTCACCCACCTCTATCTCAGGCCTCTCAAATGTGTAATTGCTTCACACTTTGTCCTTAACATCCAAAACTGGTAATTGAGCTTGGTTTAACTTGAGAAACCTCAGTTGTTGAATTCTGAAGACTATAAAACCTGTATCATCTTAGAGAGTTGGAACAAGGGACATGCTTATTACCCTATCAAAAATTTTATTTGCCATTACTTGAGTAATCAGTATGAGCCACTTTCTCTGAGGTAGAAAATTTTCACTGATTTTATACAGGCACCTGGACTAAGATCTGGCATCTGGGGTGTCCATAACTTCTACTCTGGTACTCAGCCCTGGCATCTTCAAGATGCCATTGCTGTACGCAACATAGTACCCTCCAGATGTCTCTCTACTTTCGCCCCTTGTCAGTCAAGATCCAACCAGCAAACCAGATCACTGGGAGATACATGTTAAGATATTTATTGCAAGGAATGGGCTTACATGATTATGGATGCTGTCTAGCCAAGTCCAAAATCCATAGGGCAAGCTGTCAGGAAAGGCAGGCTGGAACTCTCAGGCAGGGAGTGAAGCTACTGTCCACAGGCAGAATGTCTTCTCATTCAGAGAAGCCTGAGGTCTGTTCTTAAGGCCTTTTGACTGAGTGAATCGGGACCATACAAATTATCTACGATAATCTCCTTAAAGTTAACTGATTATAAATTTTTATCACATAAAAATACCTTCACAGCAATACCTAGATTAGTATTTGAATAATGGGGAGCTCTTCTAGTAGCCTACCCAAAGTGACATTAAAAAGAGCATCACCTCCCTCCTGTACAAGCTCTTTGTCACAAACTCAGGCAGTAACATACGCGGCCACACTCAGCCCTGGATTTCTATCCCTATTAAGAATATTGACTGTATAGAGGCCACAACTATTTGAAGTTTTCATCCCCATCTTCCATATTTTATGTTGGAGAGTTTCAAGAACCTCTCATCGCACTAGTCATCTCTCACTTTTTTATCCTTTCACGGTTCAGTCTCCGTTATTAAAATGGAAGTTTAGAAAGTGCCCAGTATAGCATCACCCCCACTGAGACCTACGGCAAGGGAAAGAAAACCCTCCAAGTCTGATGCAATAATTTCCTCAACTGTTACCTTAAGAGGAAATAGGAGAAGGAAGTCAAACTGTGGCCTGGTTTTAGTCCAGGTACCTGGTTTGAGTTTCGCCTGGACAAAGGCCACCCAGAGTTGTGTAAAAGAGTGCACCTCCTCCTTCCTATTTTTTTTTTTTTCCTCCTCTTTTGCCACTCATCACAGCAAAAGCATACCCACTCTTGTAACAGCTATCTCTGGGGCTCTTACTCGGCCCTCTTTACAGCATCCCTGCACTTTTGGCCAAGATTTCTGCATACTGGGGCAAGAGACAAAGCCCCAAACAAAGATGATTTTACCAGAAGTCAAAATTTGCCACAACAATGGTTTGGCTGTTGGATTGACCTTCCAGAGTTAGGAGACAGGAAAGGAGGATTCACTAAAAAAAATTAATAAAGGGAGTTAAAGTAGTGAAGTTTATCTTCAAAGGCACAGGCTTTGGCATAATTTGTTTTATTAAATAATCATATGACCTGTAACAAGTCTCCTACCCTTCTTGTGTTTCAGTTTTCTTGCCTGTAAGTAGGAGGAAAGACTGAAGAATCACTAACTTTGCTTAATAGTTCCACCCTTCTTGGAACCTCTGGACTTGGAAGCAACAGGAACAGCCAGCCAGGAAAAGGACAGAAGAGAAATTTAAGAAATTTAAAGAATAAAGTAGAATTAAATGGAAAAGGAGGAAGAGAGGGAGTGAGGGAGGAAAGGAGCAAGAGAAAAGGAATAAGGAATGAGAGAAGAGGTGGGGTGCATGAATAATGTTCAGGAACATGTGGGTATGGATCAAGATGGAATGGTGGGAACTGTGGCAAACTGGAGAGTTTGTGGCCGACTAAAGAAGGTAGCTACTCTACCCAACTACTGTCATGGCAAATACAGATCTGGTCTTGCCAGGTGTTCGAATTTTTCAAGAGAACTCTGAAATCTGGATTCTTATGTGATGTCAGCCCATTTTTAAGTGTGGGCAAACTAATTGACATTTGAAAGAACAATATGCAGAACAAGCATAATATGTCTGCAGGGAGAGCATCACTTCCAGGTGAGGCATTCACCTGGTGCACAACATTTAAGGAGGCACCAAAACCTCAGTAATCAACATAAATGATATTTTATGCAATATTTTTAAATGAAAATTAATGCAAAATGCATTAAGAACAAGATATCAAAATTTTAAATAAAAACAGGATACAACTCTACACTTCCAAAACTCCCATCCCTCATTTTACCTTAATTCTGTCTCTGCACCCTTTATAGCCTCTGGATTAAAGGCTCACTGATTCAGAGCACGGTGATGCCATAAATGCAAGTAGGAAACCGGAAGAAAAGCAGGCTTGGAAGTGAAGATAATTAATTCAACAGTAGGCATTTGATCTGAGATATTATGTGGGCCTCTAGGCAAATAAGCCTCTAAGCATTTCAAAATGGGAAAGTAATATCCATAAGTAGAAAAAAATTAATACTTATTCCGTGTCTATCCTATGCCAGACGGTCGACATGTATCACCTCTTCTACTGACAATTCTCAGCATGACGTGATAATTATGAGATTTAATCTCCAGTTAAGAGATTTTCTAAGGGATATTAAAGTCACTGCACCAAGGTCACACAAATGGACAGTGGTGCAACTGACTTCTAGGTCTGTCTTACTCCAAAATCCATTATTTCCTGTAAACTATGCTATTTGGAGCAAGTCATATGCATTTGCATATCATCCATAAGAGGGAATGTTGGATGCTTTGTGGTTGGCTGAGATTCTCAGGAAGTTAAAATGACCCTTGCTGTTAATCAAGCCTATGTCATTGTCCTGATGACTTACTCAAGGACGGGAACTCTGCCAATCCTACTCTGGGGCCTGGGATCTTCAGTTTGGAGCCTAGAATCTTTGGTTTGGAACCTTTCCACACACCAACAAACTTTCCCTGCAGTCACCTGGTCTTCTACTATTATAAGCACTGAATTCTGTGCTCCACTTACATATCAAGATGCTGGTTTCCTTCCATATTTACTCACCATTGCAACCTTGTTAAAACTATGCTGGTTTCCATACTCTTTGGAGCCTGTCTGTGCCCTGAACTTGCATGTACGTCCACAGCAGCAACCCTATCGCTTTGATAGTGTAGCATCAGGAAGGTCATTACTCTTCCTAATGTGCCCTATTCAGAAATCTGTTAATCAAGGCAAACCTAGGTATGTCTCAAGGTATGACATTCCCAAACCTCTTGTTTAGTCTTATTTTCCTAGCACGTCTTACATAGATGATCTACCAAAAAGCAGGGGGACAAGGTAATTTGTTTCTGAAATAAACTTTATATCTTTCCCCCTCCACACATTTCCTGCAGTTTTGTCCTTCCCTTAGATCACCGTCCTCTCTTTATTCCACCAGCATGAATCCTATTATACTTCTAAGAAGAGCTTATATTTCACCATCGCCAAGAAATTTTTTTCACAAGCCCAGCCTGAATCAATCACTCTGTCCATGAACTATGATAGTGTGATTCCTTAAACGTTTGTTTTTCATCTTTAATTAATAGCAGGTCACCCTTATCTCCCTAACTAGAGGGAAGTTTCTTAAGGACAGGGCCTACCAATGTCTTATGCTTTGAAGATCTCCCCAAAGCTTCAAGCATAATGTAAAAGAATCAATAAATATTCACTAATCAATGTGTTTCTATAGCAGGGAAACCTCAAGTTACAGGCCCATTTCCTCCTAAATGTCCTTAATTTTGCTCACTATCTTTTTATTTCTAAAATACAAATAGCATTCCATGACATTTCAGGGGTATTATCAAGAAAAAGGTAGCAGAGGTATTTTTGAGATACCTACTGATATATTTTGCTTTTTGTTTCTTCCTTTGCAATCCTTAAGCATTCTCTGCCCCTGGTAAGGTAAGGGCAGACGCAGCTAAGAAAGTGGAATTTGAATAAAGGAAGTCACAGCCAGACATGAAAAGGAAAAATAAAACCCTTCTGACCAAGGGACAAGAAACTAAGTAGAGAAAGAAAGGAGTAGGAAGTTATTCATGAATATCCTCTGTCTCTTGCTATTCTCCCAGCATATTCTCAACACCAGGACTAAACCTTGGAGAAAGTGAGTGGTAGAAAGAACCCAGAGAGGCCAGAGAGACTAAAAGATGAGGTGTTTGTCATCATTCCCATTTGGGACTTTAGTTGGAGACCTCCTTGGAAAAGGCCCTGCATTAACATAGGGCGAATGTGGTAGTCAGGATGGTGTGTTTTGGTCTATGTTGGGTATGTAGAGAATACAGAACTTCCAGCAGGTCCCAAGGAGGATGTAAAAAGTGGTAAAGAGGTCTAGCAGGTGAGCTCACTAATAAGGTTTACTGCAGAGAGAGGACCAGTGATCCTGTGGTAGAATGTTTAAAGAAGAGACCATCCAAGAAAACAAGCAAATTTGTCTCAGCCGGAATTTGGGAAAACCACTGCCAGCAAGAGCTGAAGACAGGCTGTGGTCATCGGGCATCAGGAGGGATGACAGAGTCAACCAAGAGAAGGGTCATCATTACATCTTGACTACGCCAAAGAACAAACAAAAATCACATCAGTCATCTTCCATCAGCAGCAGAGGATACACAGCAATAAGGACAGACTTTGCTGCCCAGAAACCATCAAAATAAACCCCTCAATGGGAATCCAAGAAATGTACATGGGGCACTCCTTTAACACCATGTGGAAACAAGGTCTTCATCCAAGGCTGAGAACCATCTCAGGGAGGGTGGGAAAGGAAGGAGAAGATACTTGAACTAATTACCAATTCCCTCTTTTAAAATTTTGGTTTAAACTGGGGGAAAAATTAAATTAGTTTCGATTGACAAATTTTGTGTTTCCACAAGAATAAGGGCTTGAGAACAAATAAGTTACAAAACTAAAAAAAGATAGTTTTCTTCACACATCTGAGTTAAAGTGTGCCAATTTTGACTCATAACTCTCCTCACAATAAATTTGCAGTGAATATTTTGCACATAACTTTAGAAAGCAACTTACGCTACAAAACTAAGGACAGTGCACCACTAGATGTGCTTTAATCCCTCGTTTTCCTGACTTAACGTAGGTTAAGAAAAAAATTTTCCTCAACTAAGGAAAGAAAAAAGATTATCATTATAACATGAAATGCAGTGAAATTCCGCTCTATTAGATTTTGCTAAGAAGAAGAAAATGTCAGACGAGGAGATTTCAGGGATGAGTTATTATATTTGCAAATTAGTATAATGAAAATTACCGAGGCAGGTGCCGTGAATTTAAATGAACTGTGTACTTTCTTGTTAAGTTTTAATATATAATAATTGTTCATTTCTCCCAAGAAATAGGTAAAATTGCTGATTCTTTTACATAAATCAATATGCTCTGAAAAATAAAGCTAATAGCCCAATAAAGTTGATAAAATATAGCTGTATAAGCCTTAGAGTTCTATGTGTCCAGGGCTTTATTCTAGGACTAAATAGCAGTTTTTATTTCTAGTCAACTACTGTATTTATCAAATTATGTCCTTGACTCAGGAAAGCTTTAATGTCTCAATTTTGTCCTTTTTTTTTTTTTTTTTTTTTTTTTGAGAGTCTCACTCTGTCACTGAGGCTGGAGTTCAGTGGCACTGTGTCGGCTCACTGCAACTTCTGTCTCCTGGGTTCAAGCAATTCTTCTGCCTCAGCCTCCCGAGTACCTGGGATTACAGGTGCCCACCACCATGCCCAGCTAGTTTTTATATTTTTAGTAGAGATAGGGTTTCACCATGTTGGCCAGGCTGGTCCTGAACTCCTGACCTCAGGTGATCCACCCACCTCGGCCTCCCAAAGTGCTGGGATTACAGGCATAAGCCACCGTGCCCAGCCTCAACTTTGTCCTTTGAGTTTAAGAATTTAATTTTTAAAGCAGTAAGACTGACCATTATTATATTTTTGAGAGTGTTTTGTAATATTGCAAGCAATTACATGTGTGGAAAACTAGTTATAAAAAAACAGTACTCTTATGACTATTCATTGCAGAAACATACATGGGTTGCTCTATCTTCACTAAGATTATGCTATCATACTTCAATAGTTACAATGTTAAGTTCTAACATATGTAAAAAAAAGGATATTTTTATCCAATAATTCCAATAATGAGAACTTTTTTAACCATTTTGCTCTTAATCATACAGCCTTTCCAAAAAGACGTCCAAAGAAATACAGCTAAGCATAATTAAAGAAAAGGCTTCTATTAGGGATGAGGGATAACAGTTCTGCAATTTTAGATTATTATGTTAAATATATTTTATTAAATATTAGATGGTAATGCTAATGGATGTTCACCCCCCAGCTTCTGCTGTGTAGCAAAATTACAAAATGTGTTTTTAATGACTCTAGCACACTGGTTATGTTTATCTGATATCTATTTGAAATTAAAATGACTTAAAATATTACATAGAAAGTTTTAACTCTAATAATCCAAAAGCACTTTAATCAGAAAATTATCTTCTATCTAATTATGGTACAGTGTTGCTTATTTTTATCCTAACTCTTTAAAAATTTGGCAGAACAAATTGCTCATTATGTATTCTGATGCCATTATAATCTAAAGTAAAAACTTAAACCAGATTTATTTTGCTGTTCTGTAAATAAGAAAATTAAACTAGATAATTTCCACGATTTCCCAGATTCTCAGATTATCTACTCTGTTTACCTAATTTTTCATGCTAGAATTCAGCCATAAGGACATCTATCTTGAAAATCTCTTAAATTGCAAAACAATCATGGCAGACACACAGATTATAAGAGCTCAGAGGGATCTGAGGTTTGGACTGTTCCTCTGGCATTACATGCATATATTAAAGAAATGTATCTTCTATTTATGTAGGCCAATGAATATTTTTCTCCTTGTAGATTTCAGGGTGTGAGCCACTTTCAGATAATAGTAATGATGATGATGGTGGTGATGATGATAGTAAGCTATACAGTTTGTGTTCAGTACTTTACAAATTTTTTTAACTTTTTTTATTTCAATAGGTTTTTGGGGAACAGGTGGTGTTTGGTTACATGCTTAAGTTCTTTAGTGGTGATTTCTCAGATTTTGATGCACCTGTGACCCAAGCAGTGTACACTGTACCCAATGTGTAGTCTTTTATCCCTCACCCCCTCCCACCATTTCCCCTGAGTCTGCAAAGTCCACTGTATTTGGCATCACATTTCTTTCTGTCCTAACTACAGGGTGCTTTGATAATCTCTTCAGTTTCTAAACTGTAGGATGTTTCTCTGAAAAAGGCCTGATTTAATTCTCACCCTAGAAAAAGCCTGAGAGCTGTCCCTTAGAGAATGTGAGTCAAAATGAGCATCAGTGCTCATTCAAACCCCAGCGCAGTCGGACCCATCTCCGGTTCTGCCTGGGCATCCCAAGATATTGACTGGGAACTCACCCAAGCCTGACTTCAAGGGAGTGTGACATGTGACGAAAAATTTTTAACAACTTAAGACGCTGTGTGTGTGTGTGCGCACACACGCACATGTATATACATACAAAGAACTTAGGGCAAGTTTTCAACTCTGTACAGGTATTCCATTTTTCACCTGTAAAATTAAAGAAATGCAGTAAATGATCTCTAAGCCCCTGCCAGTTCAAAAATTCTATGATTCTTCAAGTCATATTTCTTTGTCCCCACCACCCTTCAAAATGGTCATGGATGCAACATAAAATTTTTCAATAAAATGGGAGTACAATTTCACTTTAAATGAGAGGTTACACATCTAAATGGCATATTGTAAAAATAATCAAATTTATACTAGCCCTGAAGTTTAAAAAAATTAATATTCGTTGTTAAAACAGAAAAAAATCAATATGAACCCAAGGCCTTAAGTAGGAATATTTTCTTTTATTTCTGTCATTAAAAGTAACCCAACTAAAAATATTTGTCATTTTGTCAATGTCAAGTCATGCACACACCCTTGCATCAAAAGGAACAATGAAAGAAATTATCATGATAGGAACGTAGCATCACAGTGTAATTAAAAAGTAAGGACACTTTCAAAATGTATATGATACTGGGGGGACTAAAAAAGTTTACAAACTCTCATTGGCCACCCTGCAACAATTTGAGTATTCAAAAAAGAGGAAAAATGACAGTCAATTAAGTTTAAAATCAAACCAATTGGTACAAAATGAGCAATTAAATGTCCATTATCATATTTTAAAAAGAGAAACAATGAACATAAAACTACAAAAGAGAAGTGGTCTAATGAGTTTAGATGTCCCCACCAAATCTCATGTTGAGATGTAATCCCCAGTGTTGGAGGTGTTTGGGTCATGGGGGCGGATCCCTCATGGCTTCCTGCTGTCCTTGCGATAAAGAGGAGATCTGGTTGTTTAAAACTGTGTAGCACCTCCTCCATTCTCTCTCTCTCTCTGCTTTCGCCATGTGACATGCCCACCCCTACTTCACCTTCCTTCATGAGTAAAAGCTCCCTGAGGCCTCCCTAGAAGCCAAGCAGATGCTGGCACCATGCTTGTACAGCCTGTAGAACCATGAGCCAATTAAACCTCTTTTCTTTATAAATTACCTGGTCTCACATATTCCGTTATAGCAACACAAGAAGAGCCTAACGCGTGGTCCTAGCAAATTAAAATCACTTTGCATTAATTTTAATATGGAGAAGAATGTTAATATACGTGAGGATTCTGCTCTATTAAATATATAACTTATGCAAATGTATTCTTCTCATCCTATATAAACAGAGTGGATGCAAGGAATTGGAATAAGCCAAACAGTCTCAGTAATGCCAGAAACTGTTCCAAGAATAGGAAAGATTAGCCATCACTAGTGGTCACATACAACAACCCAGTGGAAGATGACCCAAAGCCAATCAGCACCACTGGCCACGCACAACACAACTGGGTTCCACTTGGATGGATCAGCAAAGTATTCTCAAAAGAAAATTTTCCCATGCAGGCTTCATCCCTTGTCTCCTAGGAGACAAAACCTCAATGGCTTTACTAATTAAAATAAGGTATTAAGATATAATAGGTATAATTTTCCAGTAAAGCTTGTCAAGCAGGTCAAAATATAATAATTTCAGGACAATGTATATAACATTACCTCTAAGGAGAAATTAACATATCATCTGGAGGAAAACACCAAGTTCCAAACAACTGCATCCCACATCTGACTAACAGGGAAGCTGGGAAAGGAGGTCAGTTTGTGGCTGTGTGCCCAGCTATAACTTGAGCCAAAAGGGCTGTGCTTTCTAAAAAGAAGAATGGGAGAATGGTTATTGGAGAACCACTGGAGCACTCTGCCATGGGGGGGAATATTATTTAACAGATTTATGGAGAAAAAGTAGAGATTAAAGCACATTTAAACAATATGGAACATTCTTCTCCCCACTTAATAGTCCTTAAAAAAGAAAATTTCAATCAACATCCCTTCTACTGCTTATATGCATTCTAATGTTTGTCCTTGCTGAACAAGTAAAAATTAGTTAACTGTCAACTTATAGTTTCATTTCTAAAACTCATTAAAAAGAAAATTTTGCTTTCTCACCTATTTAAAAATAAATATTAGTTTATTTGTAACTTACTTAATTTCTTAATAGGGAAAAAATATGTAAAGCATAGTGCTACCCATAAAATATGTAAAATAATGTACTCAAGACAACGCTACATAATTATTAGGTCATAGAACACCCTAGTGAAAACAATAGTTAAAATAGAAAAAAAATAAGCTTTAAAAAACTACTGGCATGTTTTAAAAATTAAGCTGAAGCTACAAAGTAAACGTTTTATTTAATATTTATTTTATACATGAGGACTAAAAAGAATATTACTAAAGTATGCTAAAAGTGCTTCTTCTTTAATATAAGATGGTTTGCTATTGAACTTCAAGCTAAAACACATTTAACCTGTCAATGAAAATGGTATTATATAATAAGGTTTATATACTGCTATGGCCTGGATGTTTGTCCCTCCAAACCCCAAGTTGAAATTTGATCCTCAATGTTGGAAGTGGGGCCTAATGGAAAGTATTGGGTCATGGGGGTGGATGCTTCAGGAATGGCTTGGTGCTGCTCCCTCTGGTAGTGAGTGAGTTCTCTCTCACACAAAGCTGGATTGGTTCCGAGGAAATGGATTAGCTCCTACAAGAGCGGTTGTTATAAAGACAGCACCCTTGGGTTTGGTCCCTCTTCACCCATGCCCACCTTCCCTTAGACCTTCTCTGCCATGCTTTGAGGCAGCACAAAAGCCCTTACCAAAACCTGAGCAGACACCAGTCCATACTTCTTGTACAGACTGCTGAACCATGAGCTAAATAAACCTCTTTTCTTTATAAATTACCCAGCCTCTGGTATTCCTTTACAGCAACACAAAACAGACTAAGACGTACATTTACCTTCCACTTGTGCAAAATCATTTCTTAGGAATCACAAATATAGTAAATTAAATATTTAAATATTTATGTATTTTAAACAATGGAAATTAGTAAAGGACAATCAAAATGATAATATTTTAGTAATATTATATTTTAGTAATTAAAACTGGAAATTTGAAAATATGCTTTATAATTATTGGCCATAATCACATACTGATATGCTTTTGCTCAGATGAAAATGTGTGAAGAATTTTATTTACTTACAGATGTTCTTTTAAAAACATGAATAAATTTCAAGTGTTGGTGTAAAACATTTCAAAAATCAAAATTAATGATTTTACATTAATAATAGACATTTTGGGGCCAATAATTTCTATGTGGTGTTAAATTATTTATATTACAAACCTATTGCAAGTCAACATCCATATGTTAGTCAAAAGTGTCTGTAAAACAAATGTGTACATTGTATTATTTGTTAAGTTGACCTTAAGTAATATGTTACATGCACTATTTCTTTTTGGGTTTTTTTTTTTTTTTTTTTTGGACACAGAGTCTCGCTCTGTCGCCCAGGCTGGAGTGTGGTAGCGCGATCTCAGCTCACTGCAATCTCCGCCTCCTGGGTTGAAGCAATTCTCCTGCCTTGGCCTCCCGAGTAGCTGGGACTAGAGGCACACACCACCACACTCAGCTAATTTTTTTGTATTTTAGTAGAGACAGGGTTTCACCATGTTGCCCAGACTGATCAAAAAACTCCTGAGCTCAGGCAATCTGCCCACCTCGGCCTTCCAAAGTGCTAGGATTACAGGCGTGAGCCACCGCGTCCAGCCTAAATGCACTATTTCTAAGGAAAATGAATTCTGGTTTCCTCAATCATCAGTCAGGTAGTTTGTGAAATGACTTTCATTTGCAATCAAAATATTTTCCTTTCTTAGCCCCTCTTATCAACAACTAGGAGTAAATGTACAATATGAAGGTAGGATCCTCTCAACTGGCTTCCATCGTTGCCCATTATTAGTTTTCAAATATTTTCTCCTCTGGCCCCTATGGCCCCCTCACTCGGGCATTTCTAATCTGCTAGGATTAACCCCAACAATTTCCATGCCATTCAAGAAATACATAAAGCAAGGGAGAATGAAATTTTATAGTGACTACATTGAATCTACTCTACAACTTACTTAAGAAAAATAAAGGACTTCACTTGTTTTTCTACAATATGGTGCACTGGGCATCATGAAAAATACTCATCATACAGCACACTTTAAAAACCTGGATTCAGTAGTGGGGGAAGAGAGAAGACAAGGAGATGGAAAGGAAAGGAAAAGAGAAGGGAAGGGAAGGAAAAAGGGAAAGGAAGGAAAGGAAAGGGAAGGGAAAGGGAAAGAAAAGAGAAGTGAAAGAGAAAGGAAATGAGAAAGGGCAAAGAAAAGGAAAATGAAAAAAGAAAAGCAAATAAACTTCTATAACTGCATAGAAGAACTGAAAAGAAATTGAGAACAATCCTCAGAGGCCAAAAAATGACAAGTGTAATCCAGAGGGGTAATAAATGCTGATGTTGGTATCTGTCATGGGAATATCCACTAATCCCTAGAGGTCCATAGCTTCATAGCTGGATATACCTGGGCCCACAGCTGGCTGTACATTGCCAATTTTCTGTCCCTTGTACCAACCTCTTGGCCTGAGTCTCCTTCTGCATTCTCCAGTCCTACTGCCGCTTGATAACCGAGCATTGACCCACACCCTGCAAATGACCCAACACTTCAAAGCCCAAATTTCAGCTAACTCAATTATTTCAAGGCACCAGGAAGCCAGAAACAGCAGGATTGCTGCTAAGAACAGAGAGAAGGAAGCCAGAGTTTACTTTATCCTAAAACAAGGATAAGCCCCAATCTCACCCACAGTGACTCAAGTAGCCCAGAAGTCTCCTCCTGACTTTGAGAAGAGGGCATTTATTCTAATCACCTCTTTTTCTTTTTGTAAATATTAGGGGCTATTACTGTGTGCCATGGACTATTGAAGTTAGCAGTACCT
Organism: Homo sapiens; assembly: GCF_000001405.40. Classification (NCBI taxonomy): domain Eukaryota; kingdom Metazoa; phylum Chordata; class Mammalia; order Primates; family Hominidae; genus Homo; species Homo sapiens. The sequence continues at coordinate 41,660,613 of NC_000002.12, forward strand.
CCTTTCCTTGAGACTGGATTCTTTTTTTTTTTTTTTGAGATGGAGTCTTGCTCTGTCACCCAGGCTGGGGTGCAGTGGTGCGATCTTGGCTCACTGCAAGCTCCGCCTCCCGGGTTCACGCCATTCTCCTGCCTCAGCCTCCCGAGTAGCTGGGACTACAGGCACCTGCCAACCACGCCCAGCTAATTTTTTGTATTTTTAGTAGAGACAGGGTTTCACCGTGTTAGCCAGGATGGTCTCGATCTCCTGACCTCATGATCCGCCCTCCTCGGCCTCCCAAAGTGCTGGGATTACAGGCGTGAGCCACCGCGCCCGGCCTGGATTAATTTTTGAGCCATCTGTACCAACCAAGCCTGTGAAAGTTCTACTTAATTTTATTAACAAACCTTTTCATTAAAAATATTAATAAATGTTTAATAAGATCAATTTACAGGGGACCGTGTGGATCCTGTTAAATAACGGATTTGTGTTTACTGCATTATAAATCACTAGGTAAAATCATAAGCCTTTATAACTGCTTGCTAACTTAGAAAACAGTACCTTCAGCCTAATTAAATGTCTGGAAACAGAAGCAAAATTGAATTCTCTTTATGTCAAGTAAATACAGAGAAGGCCCAAATTACTTTGGTATTTGTGTAGCAAGAGGGTAGCACACTGGATAGTTCATTAGTATCTCCTATGAAGATGAAATTTGACTGTGACATTTAGGAAAGAGATTACCTACTTAAGAACACTTTGACATGTTTAATCTGAAGGAATTCAAAGAAAAATGAAACTATCTCATCAGTGGGCTGCTTTCATTTAAACAGCATCGTACTAGGGAGTTTAACCCAGTCTAATTTTCAAATTCTCTCTTCAATATTAAGGCCCACAAAGATCAGACATGCCCTACATTGAAAGCGATGCTCATTGCAAATGGAATGAAATGGCCCAGTTTACAAAGTCACGATGTTTTGTGATTGTCTTACACAGGAGATATCCACATCAGAAAGGAATACAGTTCTGAGGGCTTCTCACAGAAAGGAAAGGTCTATAATAGTTGTTGCTAACATAAAATTATTTGAACATTATACTCTCTCTTCAATCACTCTGTGCTCCAGTGCTGTTTTAGTATTTCTGATATGTCAGGAATAAAATCTTAGCATCATCTAATCTTACTTTTATCAAGGAAGGCATAATGCCAGCTGAATGGATTTGAGGAACCTAGGGTGATAAGTAGGACTAGACGTAGAACCTATATGAGGACACACAGAAAATCCCGCGCCCTCAAACCTATTTTTTACGTTGAGATAGGTGGATAGATAGACATACAGACACATACATAGAGAATTAAGAATATAAGATCAGTTCATTTATTTATCCAGTAAAGATGTAATGAGTGTCTCAATACTAAAAAGCCGGTATTATTCTGAGCACTTGGGATATATAAATGAACCAATCAAAAATCCCTTTCCTCATGTAGCTTACATCTAGCTGAAGGAAGCAGATAATAAATAATAAGCATAACATATAAGTAAACCCCATAGAATGTAATACAGTGCTTTGTGCTTATTGAGGAATAAAAGCAGAGTAGGGTTAAGATGATACATTCAGAGGTTGGGTGGGAATAAGAATGGCGATCAGAGTAGAGCCCATTGTGAAGGTTACTGTTTAGTGAAGACTTGATCAAAGTTTTAGTCCTTAGTAGAAGATCATTCATTAGATGACTAAAAAGAAATGAAAGTTTTAAGGTAAGTGATGATCATAAAAATCATGCTGATAAATATATATGTGTATATTTATTTTCTCTCAACAGAAACATAGCTTTTGAGAAAAGCATGTTCATATAAATGCTCTTTTGGGGCTATACTTTCAATCTGATGTTTGAAACCTGACTTTTTGTTAACAGATACTGGTCACATCATGAATTAGCAGAAAATATGAAATTTTAATATGAGTTATTAACATTTGAGTCTTAGAAAATGTGCTACACAGAAGGCAATGTCCACATTCAACCTATTCACTGAATTGCTACTGTGTAGTGGGTACCTTGTTAGATATTGCAGACACAGCAATTTTAAACATACAGTCAATGACCTCAAAGAGTTTGCACTCTAGTACTATTAATTGCTGATATTAATGTTCCATATTTATTATTGTGTCAGGCACTGATCCAAGTGCTTTACACATATTAACTCACCAAGACTTCATGAGAAGATTATGAGGTTGGTACTATCATTGCCTCCTTTAGATAGATGAGAAAGCTGAAGCCCAGAGTAGTTCAGTGACTTGCTTCAGGCAACAGAACGAGTTAGCTGAAGAGCCAAGATTTGAACCCAGGCAATGTGACCCTAGAGTTTGTTCTAGGATGACACTCCTCTAAGAGGGTATAGATAAGTGAACAGTCACATTCAATAAGACAGTACAAAATCCTTTGAAAATGCAGCTTAGATCTACCTACAGTGGGGCTGTTGTCAGCATCCTCTTTTGAGCTCATGTGCCAGTTTTCAATGGAAGCCTATATACCAGCATTCTATTTAGCACTGCTTCTGCAGCAGAGGCGGTAGAAGCTGGAAAAAACTTCAAGCAACGTAAGGAAGGAGAAATAAACCTGGCTCAGTTGGGATCAAAAGCTTAAGAGTCTTATCTGCCACCCCTCCCTCCAGACACGGTTCACACAGGCTAGGAACAGGTCACCTCCAGTGCCCCCGCCCCCCTCCACCATTCAACAACAGGCAAATTCCCCTCAGAACTTGCTATCTGCCCTGGATCATATTTAAATTACAGAATCCTGTTTCGCTGAATAGTAGTACTTTTGCTTTCTTTGCACATTTACATTGTTTTTATTTTATTTTTTAAAAATGTTTTCATTTAAAATTCTCCTGGGCATTATAAGTACTTTAGGTATTTAATGAACTATGTCATATAGTGTTAAGAAATTTCCCCCAGTAATATTGTTTCAGCATTTTTAATGAGAATTGGTAAAGTGGCTACAAAGTTTCAAAAGCTTTAGAGAAAAATACATATATATATTCCAATTGGTGTTCTAAGACTAATATATAAACATATTGGTGCAGTTGCCAAGTAGCAAATTAGTACATCTTTATAATGGCAGAGAAGAGCCTGATTGAAGAATATTAAGCCTTAGATAGGGAATTTACAGAAATAATAAGTTAAGACAATCTATTAAGTTGACATTATTCTGTTCTTTTTTGTAACATGCTGTTTAAACTCTTTGACTTGGTTGCTGCTACATGGAAGAAAATCTCATATAAGAACAGATTCCAAGGTGTGATACTCATCATATATGTTTGTATGCTATTCAACATTTGTCATCAGATTGATATAACACTTTAGGCGATACTTTCCAAAATAAGCTCCACAGACTATTTTGAGGTGTATTATTTATATTTGTATAGTGATATACAATGTGTTTAGGAGTCAGATTTTTGATAACCTGAACCATTCAGGATACATGAAATTCAACAAGGGAAGCTGTGACAAAGCCCATGCACTTTGCTCCATAGGTGAGATATGTTCCCCTAGCAACTTTTGAGGTGGAAGAAGCAAGGGAATGGTAGAAGCCAGTGTCCCAAGGAGAAAAAAACAACAGAAGATAACAGACAATAAACTTTAAAAGGCTGGCTATATAGAATCACACTGGATAGGTGCCAACAACCTAATATTTCTTAAGGCTCTCACAATAATTAAGATTCAAAACAAAATATACCCTAACCATCAAGAAGTGGTTCAGTTGTACTCACTAGTCACTGGGTACCAAGTGGGGTGGGAAATATGATCTCTTTGAATGATTGGAAATATTTCAACACTAGAAAGTGTTAACAATACTAAGCTCCTACGGATCATTTCCCCCCAGGAGACCACACAAACACAATGAAGCTTTTTTATTATGTCAGGGGCAAGTGGTTAAAATGCTAATTAGAAACCCAACAACCTGGGTTCTAGTTTTTGCCACTTACTTTGGGCAGGTCCAGTAACCTTACAAATTTTCTTGCTTGTCGTCTGAAGGAGAGTTCACTAACACCTGTCCTTCCTATCAAACAAGGCGTTTTTTGAGAATTAAATGAGTTTTTCATATGAGAACACTGTCAAAATTATAAAGAGCATCCTCTATACAAAACATTACTGAATAAATCATAATGAATAATTTATCCTTAATGTTTTTCATTAGATCAAATGATATTCTTCATAAATAAAAATGAAAATATCTCATTTGTACTTGAATACCATATGGCAAGTACTGTACTTAAGTAACAATGACCTAGACAATGGTAACACAACACAAAGAAGTTGGCTCCAGTACTGCCTGGATATTTATAGAATTCATTAAAAGTTATTTGCTCAGCCCCATATTTGAATTTAGACAAATTAAACCATTTTCATTTCTTATGACAACCTGGACTGAATTAATCACCAACTCTCCATCATCTAATGCTAGCAGCTATGAGATAATCTACCTGCTTTACCATATGAATGAAAATAAACAAGTAAAAGAAACCAGTTGCAATTCTCCTTCAACCTCAGTTCCCCTCCTCACATTTCTTCAACTTAAATCTATATCCCTTTTTGACAACAAAAGATCTCTGGTTGAGTGTGCCTAAACTGCTAGACTTTCCCACTGGGAATAACTAGAAAAAGAGTCCTGGGATTAAGAATGGAAACTAGATGTAAAGCAGATAGCAGGTAGGAGCAGAGGATTCTGCAAGGAAGCCACGGGACAGTGAGGGCAGCTGAGGGGAATTACCGAGACCTCATGTCAGCACTTTGAAGAGGTCTGTAAGGAATATGTGAGTTTGTTTTCCACTGCCACAACAGAAGACCACAGACTGTGTACTTTATAAACAAAAGAAGTTTATTTGGCTCATGATTCTGGAGACTAGGAAATCCAAGACTGAGGGATATCTGATGAGGGCTTTATTGCTGCTTTATCCCATGGTAGAAGGCAGAAGACAGACGTGAGCACAAGAGACAGAGAGGAAGGGGGCCAAACTCATCTTTTTTATCAGGGACCCCCCTCCCACAATAACTAACCCACTCTCAAGACAATGGCATTAATCCATTCATGAGGGCAGAGCCCTCATGACCTAATCACCTCTTAAAGATCCCACCTCTTGGCCGGGCACGGTGGCTCACGCCTGTAATCCCAGCACTTCTGGAGGCCGATGCTGGCAGAACACGAGGTCAGGAGTTTGAGACTAGCCTGGCCAATACGGTGAAAACCTGTCTGTACTAAAAATACAAAAATTAGCTGGGCGTGGTGGCGTGCACCTGTAGTCCCAGCTACTTGGGAGGCTGAGGCAGAAGAATCACTTGAACCCGGGAGGCAGAGGTTGCAGTTAGCCAAGATCGCACCACTGCACTCCAGCCTGAGTGACAGAGAGAGACTCTGTCAAAAAAAAAAAAAAAGTCCCACCTCTTAATACCAAACAAATGGCAATTCAATTTCAACATGAGTTTTGAAGGGGACATTCAAGCCATAGCAAAGAGGAAGGATATGAAGACAGGTTTAAAAGGCAACATGTTTGTATCGGTTTTCTATCGCTGCCATAACAAATTACCAAAAATGTTCAGGCTTAAAAAACACACACGTCACATTGTACCCCATAAATATATACAATTATTATTTGTCCATTAAAAATAAAACAAAACTTCTTTAAAGTTAAAACATCACAAAACGCATGCACTTTATAACCTTACAATTCTGTAAATCGGAAACTTGACACAGATCTCACCAGGCTAACTAAAAGGTATCAGGGCTATTTATTCCTTTCTGTAAGATATAGGATTCATCGGCCCGGCCTGGTGGCTCACGCCTGTAATCCCAGCACTTTGGGAGGCCGAGGCAGCCAGATCACGAGGTCAGGAAATCGAGACCATCCTGGCTAACACGGTGAAACCCCGTCTCTACTAAAAATACAAAAAATTAGCCGGGCATGGTGGCGGGCGCCTGCAGTCCCAGCTACTCGCGAGGCTAAGGCAGGAGAACGGCGTGAACCCGGGAGGCGGAGCTTGCAGTGAGGGGAGATCGCACCACTGCACTCCAGCCTGGGTGACAGAGCAAGACTCTGTCTCAAAAAAAAAAAAAAAAAAGAAAGTTAAGATTCATTTCCCTGCCTTCCCCAGCTTCCAGAGACTACCTACATTCAATGTCTCAGACCCCTTTTCTCCATCTTCAAAGCCAGCAATGACAGGTCAAGTGCATTCTCACTCTGAGTACTACTTCTGCCTCCCTGTGCCACATTTAAGGACTCTTGTAATTAGACCAGGTCCGGTCAGCTAATCCAGGATAACCTCGCATGTCGATTTTGATCATCTGCAAAGCCCCTTTTGCCATGTAGCATAACACATTTACAGGTTTCACAGATTAGGACATGGATGTCTTTGTGGGAGGGGGCGTTATTCTGCCTACTGCAAGGCTATAGGTAAGAGGTGATTTGGCAAGAGGTTTTCATTGCTCTCTTTCCCTTCACTCCCCTCAGTCAGCTTTCCACATAGCTATCAAAGAGCTTAAAAACAATGATCATATTATGGCACTCCTCTGCTCAAACTCCTTCACTGGCTTCTTGACCTGCAGAATAAAGCACACACTCTTTGTAACTGTCCACAAGGGTCTATGTAATCTATCCCAGTGTATTGGAACCTTCTTTTTCTCTTCTTTTTTGAGATGAAGTTTTGCTCTTGTTGCCCAAGCTCAATTGCAGTGATGCGATATCAGCTCACTGCAACCTCCGCCTCCCACATTCAAGCGATTCTTCTCCCTCAGCCTCCTGAGTAGCTGGGATTACAGGCATGCACCCCCAGTGCCCGGCTAATTTTGTATTTTTAGTAGAGATGGGGTTTCACCATGCTGGTCAGGTTTGTCTCGAACTCCTGACCTCAAGTGATCCACCAGCCTTGGCCTCCCAAAATGTTGGGATTACAGGGCGTGAGCCACTGCACCCAGCCTGGAACCTTTTTTGTACTGGTATCCATAGTAAAAAATTTATTTTTAAAGCATAACCTAGGACATACACATGTGTGCGTCTATATATCTCTTTCTATGATACAAACCAGTACTCATCCTTGGTATCTACTATGTGCTCTGGTATTTTTAATTCTGATCAGCTCTTTTGTTTTTAATGCTGATTGCAACTCACTAATGAACTGTAACTCTTAGTTTAGAAAACACTCATCTGGCCCTGCCTTTCTCTCAAACTCCAGCTGCTAGCATTATCCTGAGTTCCCTCAGAACTAGATACATTGACCTCCTGCTTCAGGAGAAACTGTGATGGAAATATTCTCCCCAGAACGTCTCAGGGCCTGCTTCCTCACTCATCTGGGTGTCTACTCAACTGTCCCTTTCCCCTGACAACCTCACATCTAATCATCCTACTCTCCCACCCCAGCATCATTTTCTGTTTATCTTGCTTTACCTTTCTCCACACCACTTATTACTGCTTTGCAAATTGTTTCTTTGTTTCTTCTCTCCCACGAAAATAAAAGCTCACTAAGACTGCCTTATTTCCTGAGGTAATCCCAGTGTTTAAATCAGGCTTCCTAAGACACAGGAAAAACCCTAGAATTAGTTATTCAACGAATGAGTAAAATCTGAGTGAGAGTTACTGAATAAATGAATCAGCAGAGCTAAGACTATATAAGTACTTGGAAAAAATAGTTAATATTAGTATATTATAATTTATATAGTAACTGTAATCATTGATAATTATCATTTATTATCTATAACATACCAGATACTGTGCAGAGTGTCCTACATAAGTTACTTCTAGTTGTTGCAACAACCCTGTGATGTAGTTATTTTTACAGATGGGGAAATTGAAATCCAGAAATGTTAGGTTTCTGGTACGGGGTTGCTACAGTCTGTAAAAATAGCCAGTTTTTGTTATGTTTAATATTTGTTGTCAGGCATTATTCTAAGCATTTGACAGGGCAGTACTCTTATAATTTCCCAAATTTACAGATTGGAAAATTCAGTCATAGGGCTTACTTAAAGTCACACAGCTTGTAAGTGGTGGCACCAGAAATACAATTAGGCAGCCTGGCACTAGAGTGCTGCCCATAGCCCGCACACTCTTGCTGCTCCAAGTGAGGCCCATGGGCAGCAGCAGCAGCCAAGAGCTCATTAGAAATGCCAAGTCCCACACCCCACCCCAGGCCTGCATTCCAGTGAGATCCCCAAGCCATTCGCATGCACAAACACAGTTGAAAAGCTCTGCTCTAAACCATACTGCCTCTTAGGCAGGCAAGCAGAGATGGACAGAAATAATTTTATAACATTAAGTGTATACTATAAATAGCATTTTAACTAGAACTATTCAATATAACTTTACATGAATTTAACAGAAGTAAAATAATCTAAAGTAAAACTAAAAGAATTGCTGAACTTCAGTTAACAATGGCTATTCACCCCAAAATGTCACATTCCTTTTAAGCAAGAAAAAAGATTATGAAGTACATTCAGAGGATGAAACCATTATATTTTTCTTATCTTAACGTCATGTTTCAGATTTAGATTATATCCACTGACTCCCTGCTATGAAAGATGAGGATGCTAAAATTGCTCCTTTCCTCCTTCCTCCTCCTTTCCCTACCTCCATATTTATCATCCTACTTACTGTTTTCCTTCACTAAGACGTGTACTACCTCCTCTTTATTTTGTCACAATCTCTGGGTTAGTCTTTTTTCAATATTTCTTTGGATTTAGTGTTCCTCCGTGTGCCTTTACTACCTTTTCTCCATTTCTGAGCTCAATGTTTTAATTCATCCTTTGATTGGCTTTTCGTGGTTGTTGCTGTTGTCATTGTCAGGTAGCACTTTTTTTTTTTTTTTGAGACGGAGTCTTGCACTGTCGCCCGGGCTGGAGTGCAATGGCATAATCTCGGCTCACTGCAACCTCCGCCTCCCAGGTTTAAGGGATTCTCCTGCCTCAGCCTTCCAAGTAGCTGGGATTACAGGAGCGTGACTGCATGTCTGGCTAATTTTTTGTATTTTTAGTAGAGATGGGATTTCACTATGATGGCCAGGCTAGTCTCAAACGCCTGACCTCGTGATCCACCTGCCTCAGACTCCCAAGGTGCTGGGATTACAGGTGTAAGCCACCGCACCCAGACAGTCAGGTAGCACTTTTTAAAAGAGATTACGGGTCCCACATTCCATAAATACTTCCATCGCTAAGAATTTTTACCTATTGCCCTTATAAATAAATGAGAAATGTGGCTGACTACATTTTTCGGGGGCTGCACATTCCTTCAGAGCTCTGTAGACATTGCTGTCTTATCTCTAAGATCACTGCTGGGAAAAAGTTTGAAGCCATTTCCTAACACTGACCTCTTGTAGGTGCATTACTTTTGCCCAGAACTACTTCTTGTTTTATTTCCTTTTTGTTATCTTTACTATTTCAACATAATTTGTAACTTAAATAAAATTTACCTTGATATAGATAGCTATATATTTTTCCCCCTGGTATACTGTCTCTTCAACATTTTCATTTAGTTCTTTTTTCATTTAGGGAGATTCTTCTTGAATTACCGCTTAGAACAGTTCTTCTTTTCCATTTATTGGTTTCTGTATCTTAAGGACACATTCTCCTTTTAGGAATTCTTTGTCTACCGTATAAAGCACCACCTCTCTAATTGTTTTTCTCCTTTTTCCTTTACTTCATATTCACTGAAACTAACTCGACCCTCTCCTTCATGCTAGTGATTCAATTTTAAGCTTTGTCTGTTCTGTCACTTGCTGTTTGGGGTTTATTTTTTATCTCCAACAGAACTGTATTGGCTGTACAATTATTCTTGCTTCTAATTCTATTGTTTTATTATAATACCTTGGGGCTCTTGTTTTATCAAATTCATAATCTTATTAGATTTTTCCAGAGCATAAAATTCTTTTCTTTGTATTATGTTTAATTTCAGACTCTTTTCAGCATGTAATGTTCTTGTCTGTTTGTTTCCTTTCGGCTATGTTATAATGGCATAGTCATCCTGATGTTTCTTCTCCTCTGCTTAAACCCTGATAATTCAGTGTAGAAATCTCTTAACACTCACCCTTTCATATCTAAACTAGAGCTTTTTCCCATCTCCAAGCTATAATTGGAGGGTGGGGTGTTTATTTGTTTTTCTGTCGGGTGCAGAGGAGTTGTGGGGTGGGAGTGCTAACTCAAGCTGAATGCAGTCCTTGATGGCAGACTAGCACTCAGCTCTTGAGAATGTCTGCACAAGAGTGAGACAATGAGCCATGAAAGATGAGCCATGGGATTTTAATTCCTCTCCATACATAGATACACTTCTAATGTAAGTGGCCTCGGTTCCCCACCGGATCCCCCTTTCTGATGGTTTCTATACCTTACTTTGTTATGAAATAGCCTGCCTACATAGCTGCATTGGATTGGATTCGAGGCCACGGAATTACCAACTCATTCTGCTTTGAGGTATCTTCAGAGAAAACTGCCTGATAGGCAGGTACAAAGCTAACAATATATCACAACTAATCTCATTATCTCTCTGAAAAAGGATAAAAAGTGGTTACTTGAACAGATTATTATTCTCAGTAATGTCTATCAATTTGTCTCTTTTTCTGTGAAGCCCATGGTACAACCTACCATCAATTTTGGATGCTACGGCATGTTTTCTTGTATTCTTACATTCAACCTCCATTGTTAAGAACAAGGACATTAGAGTCATGACTTCCTGGGTTTCAATCTCAGTGCAACTGCTTACTCCCTCTGTTACTCCAAGCCAGATAAAACCTTTCAAAGTCTCAGTTCTCTTGCCTACAGTCTTACTTGATCATACTTACTTTGTAGAGTTATTATGGAGATTATATGAAATAACATATATAAGGCACTTGGAATATACCCAAATATAGTAAGCACACAATATATTTTCACAATTATTGTTCTTGTCTCAGTCAGTTCAGACTGTTACAATAAAATACCATATACAGAGTAGCTTAAATAACAAACTTTTATTTCTCATAGTTCTAGATGTGAGGAGGTCCAAGATGAAGTTGTCAACAGATTCACTATCTGGTGAGGACCCTCTATCTGGTTTGCAGATGGCCACCTTTTTGCTGTATCCTCTCATGACAGAGAAAGGAGGGCCCTGGTCTCTCCCTCTTTGAATAAGGGCATCCCACCATGAGGGTGCCAACCTCGTGACCTCATCTAAATCTAATTACTTCCCAAAGGCCCCACCTACACATACCATCACAATGGGGACTCAGGCTTCAACATATGAATTTTGGGTGCACATAAACATTCAGCTGTAGCAATTCCTCTTACACATGTTCAAGGCATCACAGAGGTGCTGAGGTGGGGCACCTTAGATGGATTCTATTAGGGGGACACTGTAATTAGAGAGGCTTTCTGCAAGAGGTGACGCGTAAGCTAAAGATTGCTGATTAGAGAGGGGTGAACCAGGAAGGAGAATGTAATCTCAGAGGGAACAGATTTCATTCATTCACTTATTAATTTATTCAATAAATATTTATTAACTACCTATTCTATGCCAGGTCCCATTCTAGGCACTGGGGAAGACAGCAGTGAGCAAGGAAGACAAAACTTTCTTTCCACTGGTGGAGACAAACAATAAATAAACGCACAGTATAATGGCAGATGCTGGAAAGGGTTAAGAAAAAACTATAAGGCAAAGTAAAGAAACAGAATAAGAGGAAGGAAGTACTTTTCTGAATAGGGTGGTTAGGAATGACCTCTCTGAAGAAACAGCATTTGAGAAGGGGCCAAAAGGAAGAACGAGTAGCGCCTTGAAGATAAGATACAACATGGGGGAGAAAAAACCCTCAGCATTTCGGGAAACAACAATCAGTTTAGCGTGGTTGGATTTTGAGACAGAAAACTGGAGGACAGGTAGGTATACACTATGCTAAGCTATTCGCCCAGAGTAAAGACTCTGGACTGACCAGAAGCCATTGAAAGGTTTTAGGCAAAAGGATGACGGGTACTAATTGTGCTTTAAATAGATTACACTAGAAGTAATGTGCAGGTTAGATCTGAAACCATCAAAGCTGGTGGTTAGAAGAAAGTATTGGTATTTTTTTAAGCCTCCCTTCTGGAGAAGAAATGAATAATTCAGAAGTTATTTAGAGGTAAAACAAGGACTGGGTAGATGAATTAGCTCAGAGTATCAGGAGCCTAACTCTGAGAAGAAATGTTTAGGGTTGGGATATGGCCATTCCCAAAGAAAAAACTTGGGGGAAACATGTAAGTCCAAGAAATTCATTCCAGGTATGACTGAAAGGAGGAAAACAATATAGGCGCCAAATAGCAAGTAATAAGTGAAACATAAAATCTCAAGTCAAGGAAAATGTAATTCCCAATTCTGCCAGAAAACAAATCACAATTATTAATAGCCTGCCTTCCAGTTCCCAGGACTCGTTTGTCTCTAAAGTCTACTATTTGATTTTGTTTCCATGGATGAAACCAGAAAACACAGAAAATGACAAAAATCTTATTTCACGATCGTCTAATATGTGTCCCTTAGTTAACATCTAATTTTTGTATGTATCATGATGTCATTTTGCCATTTACCCGGAGACTCCATGGTAGAATTTATTCTTCCCCAAGAGGTTCTCGTTTTTGTTTCCTGGCAACATGCTAGTGGAAAGAACGTGGGCTCTCGGGTTCAGAAGACCTGGCATCCAGTCCTGCCTCTACCACAGATGAGCCACATGACCCTGAGGTCACACTCCTTCTCTCCTCTATATCTCTGTTTTCTCCCTAGGAAAATATACACTTGGGATGGCTTCTGAGAATTAATTGAGGTTATGTATATCACAGTACCTAGTTCAGAGGCTGGCACATGGTAGGTGCTCTATGAATGTTTGTTCAATTTAGCTAGAGCCTGGGGTACATGTGGAATAGAGGAGAAAAGGGAAATGAGAAACGATCACAAAAACTATGCATGTCAAACTAAGGCATTAATGGGAAGTCATTTAATGATGTGCTAATTTAAGCAAGAAGTAATGAGCTCAGGCAGTTCAGTAAGGATGATTTCCTAAGATATTTAGGAAGGTGCTTGATTAACAGTAGAAATGAAAGAGCAAGACTCCATCTCAAAAAAAAAAAAAGAAAAGAAAGAGAGAGAGGATATTCAATTTCTAGCCTGAAAGACTGGATCCATGAGACTATTCAAAAAAAAGCAAGGAACACAGGAGGGGCAGCAAGTGTGAAAAATAAGAACAGGAACTCATTCAGTGGGCATTTACTCTTGAATGATTCCTATCACTCAAGAAATATCTGCGAATGCTTACTGCATCAGAATATGGAAAATACAGAGATGACCTCTCCCCCTCACAGAGCTGACATTCCAATCAGAGAATTATTTAAATAAAAGGATTCAAAGAAAGTGATCTAAGGAGAAAGAACAGAGTATTCGAAGGTCTTGAGGCTGAAAGTAGTATCTCCTTCAAGGAAGTAAAAGACACGCAGACCAAACTGAGTGGACAAGATGAGGTGAGAAGTCAAGATCATGCAGGATCTCATAGGTCATTTTAAGGATATCGGCTTTATCATAATAACTAAAGCCATTGATGAATTTCAAACAGTAAACTAATCAATGAGTAAAGGGATCAAATTCACATTTGGAAATTCACTCTAACTGCATGTAGAGAATGATTTGAGGATATTCGCTTGTCAGACTGGAAATTCTGACAAGCTCACCTGCCACAGAGCATCTGGATGTCAGATAAAATAATGCAAGTATATGTTTATATGCACTGCATTAACTAACAAAAAAAAGGGGAGAGAAATGCCCAAAGACCATGAAGAATAAAAATAAGGTGAAATGAGAATGGTACTCAAACTATTAACCCAGAGCTTCCCTAGGAGTAAACGTTAATACTACTTAAACGTAGAGATTTGGAGATTAATGGCTGCAGGAGAGAACAGGAGCTTAAACTTCAGGCCCATTCCAAGGAGGGGATTAAGATATCTCTTTGAAACTCAAATTTCAATGTTTTTGGCTATATACCCAGAAATGAAATTGCTCAATTGTATGGCAAGAACTACCATATGCTATTTTCAGTTTTTCTGAGGCACCTCCATACTGTTTTCCATAGCTGCTATACCACTTTACATGTCCACCAATGGTGCACAAGGGTTCCAATTTCTCCGCATTCTTGTCAACACTTAACTTTCGTTTTTTCGATAATAGCATTCCTAACAGGTAGTAGGAGATATTTAATTGTAGTTTTGATTTGTATTTCTCTGATAAATAATAATTTGTATCTCTGATAATGTTGAGCATTTTATATACATATATTGTGTATATATACATATATACACATATACATATATACACATATATATACATATATATACACATATATATATCTGTTGGCCTTTTGTATATCTTGTTCTTTGGACAAATGTCTGTTCAAGTCATTTGCACATTTTTTAATTATTTGCTTTCTTGCTTTTGTGTTATCTATTTTAGACATTAACCCCTTATCAGACATATGGTTTACAGAACTTTCTCCCATTCCAGAGGTTGCCTTTTCATTCTGTTGTTTCCTTTATTATGCAAAAGCTTCCTAGTTTGATATAGTCTCACTTGTCTATTTACGCTTTTGTTGCCTGTGCTTTTGGTGTCACATCCAAGAAACCATTGCCAAGATCAATACGAAGAAGTGTTTCCTATGTATTTTCTCCTAGGGATTTTATAGTTTCAGGTCTTACCTGTAAGTCTTTAATCCATTTTTAGGTAGGAGATCAATTTCATTTTTTGCACGTGGATACCTGGTTTTTCCAATACCAATTTCCTGAAGAGACTATTTTTCCCATTGCATATTTTTTGTATCCTTGTCAGATATCCTTGCATATTTTGGTCAGTTGACCATATATGCATGGGTTTGTTTCTGGGTTCTTTGTTCCATTGATCTAATATGTCTACCTTTATGCCAGTATCATACTGTTTAATTACTGTAGTTTTATATTTTATTTACAATAGCCAAGATACAGAAACAGCCCAAGTGTCCATCAACAGACTCATGGATAAAGAAAATGTGCTATATACATACAGTGGAATATATTCTGCCTTCAAAAAAAAACAAGGAAATTCTGCCATTTGTGACAAACTGTAGGACATTATGCTAAGTGAAGTAAGTTGATCACAGAAAGACAATACTGCATGATTCAGCTTATGTGAGGTGTAATAGTAATATAAATAGTCAAACTCATAAAAGTAGAGTATTTGACAGTGGTTGCCAGGAGCTGGGGATGGGAGAAATGGACAGTTGTTCAATGGGTAGTTTCAATTATGCTAGATGAATACATTGTAGAACTCTGCTGTACAACGTAGTGCCTATGGTTAACAATATTGTGTACTTTAAAATTGTTAAAAGGGTAGATCTTACGTTCAATGATCTTACCACAAAAAAAGAAAAATTAGGGACACAAGGAACCTTGGGAAGTGCTGTATATGTCTACTACCTTGATTGTGGTAATGGTATCACAGTGTTTACATATGTCCAAACTCATCAAATTGTACACATTAAATATGTGTCACTATCTGTGTATCAATTATATCTTAATAAAGCTGTTTGAAAAAATAAAGGGAGGGCATTGAGTTAGGATGTTTAGAATCTCTGCACTTCCTGAAAATGTGAGCTAGGAGAAAATCAATTTGCCAGATGGGCACAGGGGCTCATGCCAGTAATCCCAGCAGTTTGGGAGGCTGCGGCGGGCAGATCATGAAGCCAGGAGATCAAAACCATCTTGGCCAACATGGTGAAACCTCGTCACTACTAAAATACAAAAAATTAGCCAGGCCTGGTGGCACATGCCTGGAATCCCAGCTACTTGGGAGGCTGAGGCAGTGGAATCATTTGAACCCAGGAGATGGAGTTTGCGGTGAGCTGAGATCGCACCACTGCACTCCAGCCTGGTGACAGAGCAAGACTCTGTGTATAAAAAAAAAAAAAAAAAAATTTGCCTTCAAAGGAAGAGCTAAGGAAACTTATTTATCTTTGCTCCAGCACTAGGTGGGGTTTAAATAGTTTTCAAAAAAGGTAAAAACTATGATTCTCCATAAATATAAATTGAATATGTATCAAGGATTATATAATTTAAAATGATAGAACCAGCAGGATGGAGCCAGCAGGTATAAAATAGCTATGTTAGATACTGGTTAGCGTCCTACAGTGCAAAAAAACTATAACTTGTAGGGTTATTTTTTTCTACCAGACAGAAATCATTTGCCTTTCTAACAGTAAGTCTTTTTCATCTAATCAATTTTCTACAAATAAACATGTAGTTTTGCAGAATCTGGCCTCTAATCGATAGTAAATAGTAAATTAAGCAAAGGTACATTCCCCTAAAATTCAGTTCCTCAGTTTCATTAGCCACATTTCAAATGTCCAATAGCCATGTGGATACTGGCTATTAGATAGACAATGCAGATTTATAGAACATTTTTATCACCACAGAAAAGTTCTTTTGGTATGTGCTGCCTTCAAGAATTAAAATGTCGGCCGGGCGCGTGGCTCACGCCTGTAACCCCAGCACTTTGGGAGGCCAAGGAGGGCGGATCATGAGGTCAGGAGATCGAGACCATCCTGGCTGAAATGGTGAAACCCCGTCTCTACTAAAAATACAAAAAATTAGCCGGGCATGGTGGCGGGCGCCTGTAGTCCCAGCTACTCAGGAGGCTGAGGCAGGAGAATGCCGTGAACCCCGGAGGCGGAGCTTGCAGTGAGCCTAGATCGCACCACTGCACTCCAACCTGGGTGACAGAGCGAGACTCCGTCTCAAAAAAAAAAAAAAAAAAAAAAAAAAATTAAAATGTCCTTAGGTGGCCCTCTTTTTTTTTTTTTTTTTTTTTTTTTTTTTAAGACGGAGTCTCACTCTGTCGCCCAGGCTGGAGTGCAGTGGTGCGATCTCGGCTTACTGCAGCCTCTGCCTCCCAGGTTCATGCGATTCTTCCGCCTCAGTCTCCTGAGCTGCTGGGACTACAGGCACACGCCACCACGCCTGGCTAATTTTTGTATTTTTAGTAGAGACGGGGCATCACCATATTGGCCAGGCTGGTTTCGAACTCCTGACCTCGTGATCCGCTCGCCTCGGCCTCCCAAAGTGCTGGGATTACAGGTGTGAGCCACAGCACCTAGCCGGGTGGACCTCTTAGACAATGTTCCACTATAACATTGAAAGGACATCATTTAGTCATCCAGTCATCCTTTTGTGTTATTTTCAGGTTTTGGATAATTTTTTAACAGTAGAAATATTAATAATGATAATCATAGACTCCCTAAGAGTTTTTAGTAGTATACTTGTTTCTGCATTTTTTCAGGTTTTAAGCTCAATTTCACATCACCCTCACTGTAGGTAATACCCTAATCTGAGAAATTAAAATGATTCCAGGTTGGTAGCACACAGTGGGGTCTGGAAGAAGCCACATAAATTATTGGTTTAAAGTTTGATGTGTGTCACCTTATTTTATTCTGTAGTCCAGAAACACCATGCAAATCTCCTAGTAAAGTTCTTATGCTACTCTTTTGGCATAAATTATCTTACCTGAACATTTATTACTAAAATAATCTAAATTTTTTCATTAAGATTCTAGGAGGCACAAGGACTTCCAGGCAACATATAACAATCATAATACCTAACATTTGTTATGTGGTTTTTGATTTACAAAATGCTCCTGTAAAAAAGGGATAGAGCTATTCTGTCTTCTGGGGAAGCCTGATTATCCAACATCAACTCCTCAACCTCCTATACATGTGGCCTCCCGGAACAGTTGACCTTCCACTGACAAAGTCAACTACACATCCTTCCCTTGGATTTGTCTCTTGGATTTGCCTCCCTTCTCCTTAGAGGCAATTTCCTTTTGTATGTGTATCTATCTCCCTAGTCTAGTGTGAAAGAAAATGGATGTGAATTCTGTTTCCATGCTGGTAAATTGTGGGACTCTGAAAGTTATTTAATTATCTAACCTTCAGTTTCTTCATCTGCAAACCTGGGAACAGAAACATCTACTTCAAGATTGCCCTGAGGGCCAAATAACATAAAGATTTGGTTATCAGAGGTTAGGAAAGTTGGGAGTGGATAGGGAGAGGCTGGTTAATGGATACCAAGTTACAGCTGGATAGGAGGGATAAGTTCTAGTGTTCTATTGCACTGTAGGGTGAATATAGCTGACGATAATTTATTATATGTATTCAAACAACTAGAAGAGAAGATTTTGAATAGGCCCAGCACAAAGGAATGATAAATGTTCGGGGTGATGGATATGCTAATTGCCGTGCTTTGATCATCACGCATTGCAGACACGTATTGCAGTATCATTCCGTACCTTATAAATATGTACAATTACATGTCAACTAAAAATGAAAAGAAAAAAATGATCTGTTTGTTCTCACGTGGATTTTATTATGCTCTTTGCATTCCTTAGTGTCTTTGACCTTATCTATCACTCAAAGACAAAAACAGCCTTCCCATGGGATTACCATTTTAGTTTTAGGCACATTATTCTGAGATCTTTTTGTCATTAATACCTAATATGGATTATATTATGGTCAAAGGCATTATATGGTCAATAGCCATTCTTTGGAATACATTAAAACTTCACTTTTGATTTAGTATGTGGTTGGTATTTATAAATAGTTCTGTGCTTGGAAAAAATATGTATTCTCTGTATTTTTAAGGGACAGGGACTTAACTATGTTTCTGCATCTTCATATCTATCCATACTAGATCAAGCATATTTGATATCCTAAATTTTTTTTTACATATTTGTTTCACAGAGAGGTCTAGTAAGTCTCCCACTATGGCTACAGACTATCAATTTATTCTTGTAATTCACCTTTACTTTATATATTTTGAACCTATATTAGTAAGTGCACCTAACAATATAGTGCATTTGCCATACCTGTATTGCTACAGCCTCCAGTGAACAGTTTTATCTGCAATTACCCTTTTATTCCTAATATTGTTCTATGACTTAAAACTATTCAGTTTGATATTAATATTGTTTTACAAGTTTTCCTTTGGTTAGTGTTGTCTAATATGTGTTTTTTCCAATTCTTTATGCTTAAGCTTTCAGGTTTTAGCCAGGTCTTTTCTAAATAGAAAAAAATGTTTCCTTTCAGTCTGAGATTTTGTGTCTTTTAACAGCCAAGTTTAATCTATTTATATGAGTTATGATTGTTGATATATTTGCATTTATTTCTTTCATCTTATCTTATGTTTTCCACAATTTAAATTGGATTTCAAGTGCAAAGAGTTGAGTTAATCATATTTTTCGATTTACAGCAAACTATTTCTAGTTTTTCACACTTTAGTTTTGTGATTTTCCCATTTCCCTCCTTCATATATTACCCATGCTCATGTCATCAGAATACATCTTTTTTTATTATTCTTTTTGAGACAGGGTCTCACTCTGTCTCCCTGGCTGGAGTGCAGAGGCATGATCACAGCTCAGCTCACTGCATGCTTGACCTCCTGGGCTCCGGTGATCTTCCCATTTCAGCCTCCCTAGTATCTGGGACTACAGGCACACACCATCACACCCGGCTAATGTTATTGTTGTTGTTGTTTGTAGAGATGGGGTTTCACCATGTTGCCCAAGCTGGTCTCAAACTCCTGAACTCAAGCAATCTGCCTGCCTTGGCCTCCCAAAGTGCTGGGATTACAGGCATGCGCCACCACACCTGGACTCTGGAATACATCTTTAAGATGCCTAGTGAGGTGATGAAATACGTAGATGTGTTTCGAATATGTACTTTTCTATTTACATAAATAGCATTTTACTCTAAATCTCATTGTTTTGCATTTTTCATCCAACATTGTTTGTAAGATCTACTCATGTTGCTGTATGTACATATATCTAGTTTTGTTTTATCCTATGTTACGTCATCTCATAGTTTACAACCACTGCATTTTACGTAGCCATTCTCCACAATTAGCGACACCAAGGTTCGCTCCACTTCCACAAACAGTACTGTGAAGAACGTTCTCGTAAGTCCTCTTGTGAATTAGAATAATTTTTCTGAGTAGTGGCATTGCTAAATAATAAAATATTTGTGTGTTTAATTTCACTAACCACTAGTTGTAAATTAGTTCCAGAACCAATGGAAACGTTGAACGTTTACCACCAGATACACAAGAGTCTCTGTCTCCCCACATCCTTGTTAACACTTTATGTTACCCACCTGTAGTTTTTGCAATCTCATTGATTTAAAACGATACCTCATTATTGTCTTTAGTTAGAATTCTCTGATTATTAGTGATTTTGAGCCTTCTTTCTTCATATATTTATTAGTCATTCAGGATTCTCCTTCTGTGAGTTGCTTACCCATGCATTTTGCCTTCTTTTCTATTGAATTTCCTATTTTCCCAGTGATTTTTAATGCACTCTGGATACTAACCTCTTGACAATTTTAGACATTGCAAATTTTTCCAGTCACAGTTTTTTGTTAACTTTATCTATAAAGTCTTTGGCAGAACAATCTATCAATCTTTATCTTATAGTTTTTGTTTTCAGAAAATTTTCTAAGTGGTCTTTTTTACTCTAGACCACAGAGTTATTCTCTACGTTTTCATCCATTAGTTTAATGGTTATACCTTTCCCTTGAGTTTTAAGCCATCTAGAGTACAGATATTCAGCTTTATTTTTCATGTGGTTTACTAGTTTTCCTGACATATCTATACAACAAATAAAAACCTCCCTGGAATTCTGATTAGGATTGCACTGAATATATAGAATAATTTTAGGAAAGTTGACATCTTTACTAAATTAGGCTGAACTCTTGTTGAGCATACCATGTCTTTATTTAGATCTCACTCTATGCCTTTCAAAACTCCTTTTCTCTATTAAAATCTTGTGTATACTTTTATAAGTTAATTTTAGGTAATTCATAAATTTAGCTGCTATTGTAAATAGCATATATTTTCTCTTATATTTTATAATTATTGCTGCTGTATCACAGTAATACTATTGATGTTTGTAAGTTAATGCTATATATGGCAACTTTGCTGAATTCTACTTTTTAAAGATATGTTTATACCAGATTTAGGCTCATAGCAAAATTAAGAGGAAAGAACAAAGATTTCCCATATATACCCTGCTCCCTCATAAGCATAGCTTCCCCCAATTATCAACATTCTCCACCAAGAGTGTTACATTTGTTATAAATGATGAACATACATTGACACATCATTGGCACCCCAAAGTCCACAGTTTACATTTAGGGTTCACTCTTGGTGTTGAACATTCTGTGAGTTTGGACAAATGTATAATCACACATATCCACTATAGAGTATCATACAGAGTATTTCCACTGACAAAAAAATCCTCTGTGCTTCACCTATTCATCTTCCCTCCCTCCTAACCCCTGTCAACCACTGATCTTTTTCCTGTCTCCATAGTTTTGCCGTTTACAGAAAAGTCAGATAATTGCAATCACACGCTCTGTAGCCTTTTCAGATTGGCTTCTTTCACTTAGTAATATGTATTTAAGTTTCCTCCATGTTTTTTCAGAGAATAGTTTATTTCTTTTTAGCACTGAAAATTATTCTATTTTCTGAATGTACTACAGTTTATTTATCCATTCACCTACTAAAGGACATCTTGGTTACTTCCAAGTTTTGGGAATTGTGAATAAAGCTGCTATAAACATCTACGTGCAGGTACTTTTCGGGACATATATTTTCAACTCCTTTAGGTAGATACCAAGGAAAACAATTGCTGGATCATATGATAAGAGTGTGTTTAGTTTTGTAAGAAACTGTCAAACTTTTCCAAAGTGGCTGTACCATTTTGCATTCTCACCAGCAATGAATGAGAGTTCCTTTGCTCCACATCCTCACCAGCATCTGGTGGTGTTAATGTTCTGTATTTTGGCCACTCAAATATATATGTACTGGTATCTCATTGTTGTAATTTGCATTTCCATAATGACATAGGATGTGGAGCACCTTTTTGCATGTTTATTTGCCATCTGTTTATTTTCTGTGGTAGTGTCTGTTGAGGTTTTTGGCCCCTTTTCTAATCATGTTGTTCGTTTTCTTATTGTTGAGTTTTAAGAGTTCCTTTTATATTTTGGATAACAGGCCTTATATGGTTTTTGCAAATATGTTCTTCTAGTCTCTGACTTGTCTTTTTATTCCTTCACAGCATATTTAACACCACAGAAATATTTACTTTTAATGAAGTCCAGCTTATCAATTATTTCTTTCATAGATCATGCCATTGGTGTCATACCCAAAAAGTCATTGCCAAACTCAAGATCACCTCAATTGTCTCTTGTTTTCTTCTAGGAGCTTGTGTTTTACATGCAGGTCTGTGATCCATTTTGAGATAATCTTTGTAATGGTCTGTGTCTGGATTTATTTCTTTACATGTGGATGTTCAGTTGTTCCAGCACCACTGTCAAAAAGACTATCTTTTCTCCACTGTGTTGTCTTTGCTCCTTTGTCTATTAGTTGACTGTATTTATGTGGGTTCATTTGGGAGCTCTTTACTTTGTTCTACTGATTTGTCCATTCTTTCACTAATACCACACTGTCTTTATTATTGTAATTTTATAGTAAGTCGAAGTCTGACAGTGTCAGTCCTCCAATTTTGTTCTCCTTCAATATTATGTTGGCTATTCTGGATCATTTTGCCTCTCCATATAAACACTAGAATTTGTTTGTCAGTATTCACAAGATAACTGGCTGAGATTGTGACTGAGATTGCATTGGATCTATAGATCAAGTTGGAAAGAACTCATATGTTTACAGTATTGGGTCTTCCTATTCATAAACGTGGAATGGCTCTCCGTTTATCTAGTTCTTCACTGATTTCTTTCACCAGAGTTTTGTTATTTTCCACATATAGGTCTTGTATATATTTTGGACATATAAACTTTATTAAGGATATTCCCTTCTATTCCAGTTCATCTGAGAGTTTTAATCATAAATAGTTGAACTCTATCAAAAATATTTGTCTATTAAGATAATTAGATGATTATTGTTAGTCTATGAAAAGAGTAAGTTGCCTTGAGTGATATTCTACGATTGAACCATCCTTACACTCCTCATATAAATTCTACTGTAAGCACACATTATTCATATTTTTAAAATATATTTTGTTTTGAATTTGTACAGTAGTGATCATAAGGGAGTATTTTCTTTCACTGCACTATTATTTCCTAATCTTAAAATCAAAGTTTTACTAAGTTCAAAAAAGGTGGTAAATAGTTTTTACTCATTTTCTGGTTTCATTGTAATTTGAATAACCTAGGATTATCTATTTGCAAGTTTAGTAAAACTCGCCCATGTAAACAGCTAATCCCTTTATTTTAATTTTTTTCCTTTCTTTCCTGTAATTGTCTACTAAAATTCCTTAATTCCCTTTTGTCATGGTTTGGTGAGGTAAGTCCATTTTAACTTTTTTAGTTATTACCTCTATAGTTTCTTTCTCTCTCTCTCTCTTTTTAATTGAGATGGCGTCTCGCTCTGTTACCCAGGTGGGAGTGCAGTGGTACAGTCTCGGCTCACTGCATCCTCCACCTCCCAGGTTCAAGCGATTCTCATGCCTCAGCCCCCTGAGTAGCTGGGACTACAGGTGGATGCCACCATGCCCGGCTAATTTTTTTGTATATTCAGTAGACGGGGTTTTGCCATATTGGCCAGGCTGGTTCTCAAACTCCTGACCTCTACATGACTTAACTTAGTCTGAAATTAATATTTATGTTATCTTCCGGAACCGTATAGCCTTTAATCTTCCTTTACACCAAGGGTGCCCAACCCCTGGGCAGTGGACCACTAACTAGTCCATGACCTTTTAGGAACGGGGACATACAGCAGGAGGTGACCTGCAGGCTGGTGAGTGAGTGAGCATTGCCACCTGAGCTCCACCTCCCGTCAGATCAGTGGCAGCATTAGATTCTCACAGGAGCGTGAACCCTATTGTGAACTGCACATGCGAGGGATCTGGGTTCTGTGCTCCTTATGAGAATCTAATGCCTGATGATCCAACATGGAATAGTTTCATCCTGAAACCATCCCCTCCACCCCACACACTGGCCCATCCATGGAAAAACTGTCTTCCACAAAACCAGTCCCAGGTGTCAAAAAGTATGGGAACCACGGCTTAACACCAAACCCTCAACTTCCATCATGATCACTACAAAATATTTTGCTTCCACCTTAATTTTAACTGTCACTCAAATGAGCTTCATCTTTACAGTCAATGCTTTACTTTACAGTCAAATTTACCAGTGTATTTAGCAACATCTTAGTTCTCCCAATGCCTCTTGATTCTAACTCCTTCTTTTGGAGTTCAATTTCCTCTCTCCTGAAGTACATTCTTTAGTAGTTCTTACAGCAAGGGTCTTTTATAGGCAAAAATTCTCTGTTCTTGTTAATCTGAAAAATGTATTTTACTTTTCTTGTGTTATATTTATCTTGGAATATAATTCTAAGTTAACTGGTATTTTCCCTGAAAACTTTCAAAATATTATTCCATTTTCCTCTGCAGTCTCCTGCTGATGCAATATCAATCAACAGGCAATTGGCCTTTTCTCTCTGCTTGCTGTTATAGTTTTGTCTATGCTCTATACTGTTCTGCAGTTTTCACCACAGTGTACATATTTAAATATTTTTTTATTCTTTAAAACATGTGCTCCTTCAATATGAGGATTGATATATTTCTCCAATTCTGTAAAAATATCAGACATTGGCCCAGGCACGGTGGCTCATGCCAGTAATCCCAGCACTCTGGGAGGCCAAGGCGGACTGATATCCTGAGGACGGAAATTCGATACTGGGCTGGCCAACCTGGTGAAACCCCATGCCTACTAAAAATACAAAAATTAGCAGGGCATGGTGATAGATGCCTGTAATCTCAGCTACTCAGGAGGCTAAATAAAGCAGGAGAATTGCTTGAACCCGGGGGGCAGATGTTGCAGTAAGCCAAGATCGCGCAACTGCACTCCAGACTGGACCACAGAACAAGACTCTGTCTCAAAGATAAATAAATATCAAATATTATCACTATTCATTGTGTGTTGGGCCATCTCATACTCTCCTCCATGTTCTTAGCCTCTCTTGCATACTCTTTGTTTCTCTATCCTTTTATCTTTTGGGTGAGCACCCCGGGTAACTTCCTCAATTCCATTTTTTAGTTTGTTATTCATCTCTTAATCGTAACTAATATGCTATTTAAGCAATTTATTAAGTTTACAATTTTTATAACATTTTTATTTCTAGAAGCTTTACTTGCTTTTTTCACATCTACATCTTTTCTATACTGTCAGATTATTATGATTTCTATTCCTTCGTTAAGCTCTATAAGCCTTTTAAATATATTTATTGTGTAAAATCTTTCAGATTATTCTGTCTACTTAATGAGGTACTAACTCTCCTATATCTTGCATCAGATAATTTTTTCTCCTAATGCATTTAATTTTCTCACATAATTTTCATTGTGAGCTCATTTTCAGAGAGGGTAGCATTTTCCAGGATGTCTCAAGGCCTCTGATTTATGTAAGTACCTATATAGAATGGTTTAACATTTGCATCTCTGAGGACCTGAAAAGTATCTGAACCAGTTTTATCAATAATTTCTTGACTTATGGCTCCAATATTATAATAGTAAAATAAGCTAAATTCAGGGATTTGATTTCTTGCGACTGACTTTTTACCTCACAAAAACTCTAGATACCCAGAAAGCTTCTTTGCTGCATCCTTGGTTTTCCTAAATCTCCTTTCTGTAAATGAGACAGCTGTCCAAGCCTCTGCTTTATGAAAGAGCTCCCCGCAAGCTCCCTGCAGCCTAAGCCCATATTTCCTGTTCTCCTGTAACTCTGGCTTTATTTTGCACTTAGATATCTTGTTTTTTAAGTTCAGTTTTTATAATGTTGTTGTTGTTGTTTTTATTCAGAGAGTGTGTGTGTGTGTGTGTGTGTGTGTTTATGGCAACAATTTGGTTCACTTTGTTGCTTTAAGTTTCCATTTCTATGCCTTGTTAAATACAGCAGTTAAGATGCTTTAAGTCCTAGTTCTCTAGTTATGAACTTTAGGTGTCAAACCCAGTCTTGATAGGAAATATCCCACTTAGTCATTCCTCACATTTACTCATCTAATTTGAAGACACAGAGAAAAGCAAAGCCAAGTACTCCAGGTGACGGCTGTAATGTTCCTTGACTTCTTTGAATCTCATATTCTTTGTACTCTTCTGTGCCTATGTTTTTCAATACCTTTAAGAAATTAATGTTTTACAAAGAGTTACTGTTCTTTTTTCATTCAGAAATATATCTTTGTTGCCTCATTCGGTCTGATGCACAATCACTGGACATTTCCATTTCCCTTTTGTATGGTTACCTGACTAATTAAGAGCACTTCAAGACCCAGAAGACAGGACATGTGCTTCACAGAGGGACCAATTAAATGATGATTTTTAGTGTTTCATTGAAAATACCATCAAAAATTAAAATGACGATCTAACCTCATATCCAAAAGAAGGTTCTATTTTCAATATTCCACTAAAGTATGATGCCCTTTGGTCACATTTAGGGGAAAAAGGCCTTTGTTAATATCAAATAAGCAAGAAAAAACTATGTATTACATATACTATATATTATGGATGCATACATATATAATACCTTGTTTTGAAAATCAAGTTGCTGTGTAGTCTACCCAAAGAAAGAAGTAAGCTGGGTTGTGAAGTAAGGTATATAAGAAAAAGATCCGTGTGAAATAGACAGATCACTCTACAAATCTGTCTATTACTCTTCAGTATGGTAGTGGAAAACTTTGTATTTCAGAAAAAAATTCAGTGGCTTCATCAGTTGTTTTATTATTTGTTTATCTTTAACCTTTAATATTTGAATGAGGTCATTTCTTGGTAAAATATAAATTATTTGGTTCATCTTTGGCAAATGAATAATCACTATGTACTACGGTAAGATCAGATAAGATCTTTTCTTTAAAAAATATGTCTTTTTAGTGCTCTTTAAGCATTCATTTCCCCCTGCCATCACCACATCAGCATAGAAAGTGCAAACTGCACAGGTACATAGGTTGTCCTGACTCACATATCCTTCTATCTGCCCACCTACATTTCCTTTTACTAAAATATCAAGTTCTTGCTCAGAAAACCTTAGTATTACTACTGCCATCAAAGACTTCTAACATCATCCCTTGGCCCATGCTTTGTTCTAGACAAAGTAGAAAAGGAATTAAATTTAAAGGCATAGTCAAATGGATGTTGCGAGACAGGGTGGGCAAAGGAGAAAATCGGTCACCTCTCTCATCCTCTACTCATTCATTTGCCTCTCCAACTCCATTTCTATTTGTCTTTGTCTCTCTCCTATTTTTTATGGGACTACAGGTTTATTAACAGTGACTTTAAAGATTAAAAATAGACTGACTTTGGCTCTCTAGATATACTTCACTTACAAGCTTTTAACGTTTGCAAAGAAAACACAGATCCTTTACCTAAACATAGCAAAAACTATATTGCTATAATATAACCCTATTGTTTAATTATTCAACCATTATACTCTTTCCAAAAAAGTAGCTCCTTGCATATATTTTCTAGTAGCAAAGAAATTCTCATTGTTGATTTAGCAGGTGAAAAGCATGACAGTTATTATAAATAATATAGAAATCTTATATCCCAGATAGATAAGCATACAAGGTAATCAAATTCCTAGTTTGAGCAACATGTCAGAACTCAACATCCAAATGATGTTTTTATCTCCTTCGAAGTAGTCAGCTTGGAATGTGCATTCACCTATTCTCACAGCTAATGCTGTCTTTCTTCAGAACATTTTTGGAGCTTCTGTTTCAGAACTCTTCTCAGGCCTGGTACACCCTATTTTGAGTAGCCTCTGTGGTTGCATATCACCACCACAGAAGAGTGGTTCTTGTTCCTTCTTGTTTTTAAGATATAAAAGTTCACTTTGGGAGGCCGAGGCAGGCAGATCACGAGGTCAGGAGATCAAGACCATCCTGGCTAACACGGAGAAACCCCGTCTCTACTAAAAATACAAAAAATTAGCCAGGCGTGGTGGTGGGCGCCTGTAGTCCCAGCTACTCGGGAGGCTGAGGCGGGAGAATGTTGTGAACCTGGGAGGTGGAGCTTCCAGTGAGCCAAGATGGGGCCACTGCACTCCAGCCTGGGTGACACAGCGAGACTCTGTCTCAAAAAATAAAAAATAAAGATATAAAAGTTATTTTGAGCCAACTAAGATAGGTGTTCAAGTTAAATAATATATTTGGTTTTGCTCAAATACCAGATAGTGAGGCTACGAAGTAACGGGAACATTTCCCTAATGTACCTTATAAATTAATCCTGATGTTACAATGAATTTCAGATTTAGTTGAGGCAACAACAGCCTCATAGCAACAAAAACAGATCCTTCCCTAGCAACCCCTCTGAAGGGCAATACTCCTCTTATTTAGCAGCTTAAGTACGGTTGTATTTCTTGTGTGAAATTACTTTTTGTACATGGCTCATATGTTCTTTCTCTTTAAAAAAAATGTTTCAAGAAATTTGCTGAAGATATTTTTATGTTTGAGTTGTATAGGATTTTTTTTTTTTAGATTGCTTTCAAAACAGGCTTGGGCACTATTCAGGGAAGTTAAATGTTTTCTGAGGGAAATACAGAATGTAATTATTAGAGTTTTATTTATTTGACAGTAGGTTTCCTTGGTCTCATAAAGCATGCAACTTTTTTTTAAGTCTTTCATTACACTCTTCCAAAGCTTATTAGCATATCAGAAGTCCTATGGAAACTTCAAAATTATTACTCTGATGAATACTGAACATGTTTTCTAAGTTCTCCTATTTAAGATCTGTAATTCCACATAAGCCTATTTTGATCAAATTCAGCATTTCTAATTCATATTTGGGGAGCCGTGAACACCTTTTTTCAGCTTTCTTGAAGTATCATTGACAAATAAAAACTGTATAGATTCAAGATGTATAATATGATATATACATACACATTGGGAAATGATTTTCACATTCAAACTAATTAATGTATCCATTGCCTCACATAGTTACCTTTTTGAGTGGTGAGAATACGTAAGATGGATTCACTTAGTGAATTTCCAGTATATAATACATTATTATTAACTATGGTCACTGTCCTGTACGTTAGGTCTCCAGAATGTATAGCTGCAAATTTACATCCCTGGATTAGGCAAATATTTGTATAATACTCCCTTGCTGCAGGCAGAGAGGTGGAGTGAAGTAACAGGAGGGAGAGTGGTCTTGGAGTTAAGGGTATCAATTCTAGTCTTGACTGATCTTTTGGGTAACTGGCTTAACCAACCTCAGTCCATTTTTCTATCAGTGATGCTTAACAGCCTGTGAAGATTGTGGAAATTAAGTAAAGTGACTTTTGAAAGCATTGTAGAATCAGGTTGTAGCAGGAGACAGACCCCTAGAGCTCTGAATGGGGAAATCTAAAAATACCATGATGAACCAATAATTAGAGTCTACCTGCCTTTTAGCCTTTGACTAATATATGCATATATGTTGTATACATTATATATGTCTATATATATATACACACACACATATGCACACATATATCATAGTATTATTTACACATGCATTTTTAAAATCTGAAAGACTGTGTGTGTGTGCGTGTGCGTGTGTCTGTGTGTGTAATGAGAAAAAATAAAAGAAAGCTATCAGTGAGTTGGAATTGTTTTCATCTTTTTTGTTTATCTGTATTTTCTAAAATGAACCCATAGGACCATGAGTAACTAATTCTCATAACAATAAAACACCCACTGTAAATAGGATGACTGTGCAGAAGTGACACCAGAATGTAAGTCTATTTCCAATATCTACTTGCCCCTTAATGGGCTGCAAAAACTGTCTGGCATATATGGTCCTGGGCAGCACATGACGCTTAGCAAAGTTTTCAAATCAGTCAATTTTCCATATAAAATTTGATTAAAAGGTTCATCTATTACGCTGAATTCAAGGTCATTTATCCCTGTGTAACTGGAAAACAATGAAAACAAAATACACAGACTGAATTGCTCCCATCATTCATATCTGTCTAATTAAAAATACATTTTTCCCATTGCTTTGTACTCAGAAAAATTAAGACTCTTGTTTGTTCTCCATGCATATAAAGGTTACCAACCTTTAAAAAATGGTGAACTTAAATCTTAGAAAGCCTGGAACTAGATTTAGTGTCTCATTTTTCCATCCTTATTGTCATTGTTCAATGGTAAAATGTTCTTTGGAGAGCACACAGAATGAAAGACCACATCCATTTCCAATAACCTACAGGAGAGTGGGAATTACGATGTGTTTTTGCAAAGGGCACCGTGAAAGAGAAGTACTTTTGAGTGAATTACTGTAAAAAAATATTGCAGTATGTGAGGATTTTGGTTTGACAATTTTTGACTGGAAAATTATAAGGTATCCATGTTATTTCTTAAGGTATTTATTTTCTTCAAATTATACATTGGTTCAAATACTCTATAAATGACCCTGCTTGGAGGTATGCTTTTTCTGGGGGGAAAAAAAATACTAAAATGTGGCCTGGCATTATGACTGTCCTAATGGTGTCCATTAGCTTTGCACTCCAGAGTTTAATAAAAAAGAAAAAAAGATTTTTCAAAAACTTTCAAACAACATAATGTGCAAGGAGGTGGGAGGGTGGTTGAATGATGGGGAAGAATAAATGGCTCATGCTGTTTCTCGATATTATTTTAGCAGATTTTCCTAAAGACATTATTTGAGCTTATTCTTAGCCTTCAAGTCATCATTTGGAAAATACATGTTGCGTTTTAATGGGGCACAGAATTCCAGACTAATATATAACTCCTTATATTACAGAAAGTTTTTTTTAAATCTTAGTTTCTGTATATATCATACATCTATAAAACTAGTGTTTTGGGGGCCACTAAGTCCAAGAGATCTTGCCTAACGCCACTGTGTTAGGCAGAATTTTTGCTCCCATGACCTCTTCCCTTGGTATTACTCCTGTGAATTTATCTGCATTGTTACAAAATTACATGGCAGATGTACTTAATGTTATTAATCCATTGAACTTAAAATACAGAGATTGTCTTGCATAATCTGGTGAGCCTAAATCTATTCACATGAGCCCTTTAAAGCAGAGATGTTTTCCTGGCCAATAGCAGAAGAGGAAGTCAGAGACTCAAGGAACTCAAGGAACTTGCCCTTTGTGGTCTGAAGAAGAGGACACATGTCAAGTAAACAAGGGCGTCAGTCCAACAATGGTAAAGAACTGAATTCAGCCAACAACCTGAATGAGGCTGCAAGTGGATTTTTCCCCTAAGCCTCTGATAACTGCCCAGCCTTGCCAACCTCTGAGTATAGGATGCTGCTGAGCCACACTGTCCCTTAATGTCTGACCCACAGAACTATGAGATCACAAATGGAGGTAAATTTATACAAACTGCTGCAGCATCAACAGAAGATAAGTACAGTTACACAGTGAACAAGGGGTTGATTCAGCCACATGGGTCAACCCTAGGCTGTGTGACTCTCGAGCCCACACTCTAAGCCACCATGCAACACCACGAGCCGCTCTCCTCTCTAAGTGGGTCGGCACACACCACCACCCACATCACTGCCCATGGGTGTCTCTCACAGCCAGTGTCACTGTCCCCTGTTATATGGCCAAAGGCATCAGTGCAACTGGCTTCTCAGGGAGCCCCACAGTGTCTTATACCAAGGCACAGTCACATGCTCATGAGCCTCCAAGTCACTGCTTTTGACTACCAAGGAAGCCCTAGTGCCCTGGATGTTGAACAGTACCCACAGTGCCTTTGCAGGTAGCTACTATTGCAGCTGGGGAAGGATTCTGAACTCCTCACTTAACCCCAGTGTTGGACATTGTAGCTTCTCCAGGATTAGGTGATAGTTCAGTCTTTGGAGCACAGAGGAAAAAACATGGGGCTCTCATATCCTGCTGTCTTGGTTCCAATCTGGACTCTACCCTTTACCAGCTGTGCGACTTGAAAAAGTTACTTAACATCCCTGACACTATGTTCCCACCTAAATGGGAATTTTTTACCTCTAAAGCGGGGATAAAAATGGTTCTTCCTCAAAGATCTGTGGGGAGCACTAAATGAAACACACAGAGGTGCTTAGTGCAGCTACTGGTACATAATAAATGCAGTTACATGGCTTTATTTTCTTCCTGCCACTCACCATTAGGAACATTATAAAAACTGTATAGATTCAAGATGTATAATATGATATATACATACACATATTATATTGTGTATGTATATATCATATACATATATATACATATTATACATATTATATATATACATCATATATATACATATTATATATTGCTCTTTTGCTCTCTATTCAATTAGTTAACCAGGTAAAAACTCACACCCCCTGATTACCTTAGAATGTGTTTCACCTTTCCTTTGGTTCAGTGATTCCCAAACTAACTTGATTTTGAGAAACATCTAATGAACTTGTTACAAGTACAAATCCACAGGCTCCCCTGGAGCTTCTGTTTCAGGAGGGCTAGAATAAGCTCGAGAAATCTGCATTTTATCAAGGCCCCACATTACTCTTACAAGCTGTCATAGTTAGGGAATAGGATCTACATAATCCTGACCATCTGTAGTCGCTGATGCTGACTGTAGGGAAAGACCCATGTGCCAGGGTATCCAAGAAAGCCAGGAACTTTCTGGTGCCACCGTGGAATGGGCGCTGTCACAGGATGGCGAGATCTCATAAGAAAAAGACAAGCATCCGCCAGCCGAGGGCAGAGTTTGCAGCAGCAAATTTATATGACCCTCTTCTTAAGGAATTGTTCTCTCCACCCCACTCCCTGTCATATAAAGTCATTAAAGTTAAGGTTCACATTATGTTGGGAAGAACATAAAGCAACAAAGCACTAGCCATGGCACAAAGTGAATGCTCAGTAAATGGCCACTGGCTTATGTAAGTCTTGATCAAATGTCAACTTAGTGAGTGACAGTCTAGAGGTGCTGCTCTACTCGTCTGCCATGTGGTTTGTTGGCTGCATGAGGTTGATAAAAATCGCAATGCTACACATCTTGGAAGTGTGTAGGCCCCCAGGGTCACAGATAAAGGTGAATTTTTGTGAAACTAATTAAACATAAGCCCCAGCAAGGTATTCACACAGTCATTCATCTTTATAAAATTTGCAAAAAAAAAAAAAAAACAATGTTTTGTAACTCTTTTCCCAAAATTCTACAAGCTTCAATTTACATAAAAACCTGGATTTACCACTGCAGCTCTTCAAAAGGGGGCTTGGAACTGCCAAGAGCACCGGGAAGTAGAATGCTTTGCTTCCAACAGCCAATGCCCTCCTTGCAGTAGTGGAGCCTTTCAACACCAACAGGTTATGTTCCGAGGGAGACAACAAGCTGTGATCCCCGGCCTCAGGCCCAGCTGGTGCCCTCTCCCCTCTGTGCCTGGCTGCCAGTACAGAGCTCCCCTCTCTTGCCAGGGCCCTGAAGCATGGAGGAGTCAAGGAAGACCTTCTGCCAGCCCTGCAAATCAAGCAGACCCCTTTACATGGCCCCAGGGGTTGGGATTTCTCATTTCCAGCCCCTCCCACACACTCCAGTTCCATTTCAGGCCCAGTCTGGGCTCCGCCACTCCATCCCCAACTCAGTGACATGCTACTTAACCGTTAACAGCAAAGTGGCAATAAAACTTGCTGATGCCTTTTGCCCAACACATGCTCCACAAACACTCTGATTTAATTTGAAATATTTGTTTTAAGTAATTTGTGGATTTTAGCTATTGGACTAATATCACTCACAGAAATGGATTATAATTTACTGCTGTTTCTTCATTTTTTTATTACTACATAATTAAAACCTACTGTTAGCTAGCACTGTGGAAAAATGTTGGTGTTATGCAGTATGCATTTCAGTTGGCTGCACAACCACCATCTCTTCTTCCAGTGACCCCGCTTCTCTGTAGTGATGTGGGTGCATAATTCTCAGACTCCATTAGGTGGCTGTAATCCACGGCCTCTCAATGAATCTTACATTCTGATTCTCAGAATGTAGCCAATTGTCAGCCTTGCCGATGCCTCAGAGTGAAGGACCATGAACTAAGGGCATGAGGGCTTGGGGAAGCTGGGCATAAGTGTGAGCAGGAAATGTAAAGGAAACGCAGAGGGGGGCTGGGGTCTTTCTCCTCTATTTGTATTCCCTGCAGCTATTGTGGCTGATGACTCTATTACAAAGATGTAGACATGGGAAGGCAGCTGTCCCCTTGTGATGCTTTCCAGAGGAAAAGACAGAGCAGTCACATGGGCAATGGAATGAAAGAGGACTTCAGATTCTTAATAGGAGGACTGCCATCCCATTTGATAGTTTCTTTTAGTCAACAAACTCACACTTACAGGGCTTGGCACTGGGGCACAGGGTGGCAATGAATTATACACGGTCATTTTCTTCAATAAGCTCACATTCTCATGGGGCAGTCAAATATCATATAAATCACTGTATTTCACCACCATGGGTTTTACTAGAGACAGAAGGAACTATTTGATATAATGGAAAAGGCTTGAATTTGGGAATGAGAGATATGACAGTTCGAATCCCACTTTTGCAATGTGTTCAGCTCTGTCACCTTTGGAAAAGCTACTTCATCAAAGAATTTTAGTTTCTTTATTGAAAAATAGCAACAAAACACAACTTTGCAGGTGCTGGGAGGCTCCATGGCTGCAAGGAGGAGTGGCTGCCAGAAGCATTCTGCTCCCCCTGTGCTCACTCATACCAGTTCCAATCCCTGCTTTGAGGAACTGTGATGGAAAATCCAGGGAGGAAGATTAGAAGTGACGGAGGTCACATGTTTGGTACAGCAGCAGCACGTGATAGGAATTTGATAAATGATAGCTATCATGGTTGACAACTATTAGGAAAACAAAACACCATTTTTCATGTCCCTGGACTATTTCAATAACCACAGAACTCCAGTCTCTTCTCCCTCTGTGCCTTAGAGGATTCCAAGAGAGCTCTTTCTACAAAGCAGAGCTGATTTCATAAGCTCTATTTCAAACACTTAGTAGCTCTGCCCCTCGAGAAAGATCCCATCTCCTAGGCAAAGACTGTGCGCACCAACACATGTCCCCTGCAACCCCCTCTGGCTCACTGACCAGCACTCTCCTGTAAACCTCTGCCCCTTTCAAAGCCAGTCCCCCTACCACATCGTCTTTTCTCTTGCCTCTTGGTTTTGGACATTCTGTTCCCTTGGCCTGGACTTTCCAATCCAACCATGATCACTTGTGCAAATCCCTCTGAGGAGCCACACCCCAACAACCTTCACACCCCACTCGGATCCTAACTGAATCCCCAACTGCCCTCTCCTGTCTATTCTCTAGACTGCAGCAAGGCTGCTTTGCACACACAAAGCCCATCATTGGCACTCTCTTTCTTAAAACCTTCAGGGGCTCTCCTGCCATCACACTTGAATCAAAACCAACCCTCGACCAAGGCCTCCAACACCTGCCTGATCTGACCCTTCACATCCTCCCGACTTGCTCCCTGTGCTCCAGCCACACTGACCGGCCTGCAGCAACTTGAACCCTGAGCTCTTTCTCACTTCATGGGCACCAGCCCCTGCTGTAGGGAAATGCCGTCTTCCACTCCGATCCTCTGCAGAACACCCCCTGGTCAGTCTCCTGGCTTGGCTCAAGGCTACCTCCTCTGGGGACCCTTATCCAATTCCCCAAACAAAATCATGGCCCTTTTATTCTTGCTTATGTAACCTGTTCTTTCCCTTCACAGTATTAATCACAATCTGTAATTATTCTTTATGTGTTTAGGTATTTGTACGTTTTTTACTTAATGACCTTCTTTCTCTCTAGACTGTAAATTCCATGACAGGGCCTTTGCTCCAAGCAGGGAGCCCAGATCCCTTCACAAATATCCATGAAGGAGAAGCTTCCATGCAGACCTCCTGAAGGCCTCTTTTCCCTCTACCTACAAGTCAGCTAGGCCTGCTGGCCTCCTTCTGTACCCAGCAATATGATACACTGTTTTGTAGCATTTTATTTATATGGCCAAATCTCTCCAGGAATGTGAGCTTTTTCCCAACACCCCCCCGCCAAGATGGAGTCTTGCTCTGTCACCAAGGCTGGAGTGCAGTGGTGTGATCTTGGCTCACTGCAACCTCCACCTCCTGGGTTCAAGCAATTCTCCTGCTTTGGCCTCCCAAGTAGCTGTGATTACAGGCACCCACCCTACACTTGGCTAATTTTTGTATTTTTAGTAGAGATGGGGTTTCACCATGTTGGCCCGGCTGGTCTTGAACTCCTGACCTTGTGATCCACCTGCCTTGGCCTCCCAAAGTGCTGGGATTACAGGCGTCAGCCACCGCACCCAGCTGAATGTGAGCTTTTTGACACTAGAGTGATTCTTCTGTGTGTTGCCAGCATAGCAAGACCTATTCCCCCAACTCATGTCCAGCATAAGAAATAGCTAGTAAAGGTAAAGTGCTCCTAAACTTACAGAGAAAAACATTAACAGCCCTGCCTTCAGATAGCATCGTGGCTAAAACTTCACTCTAATTTCAGAGTGGAAAAGATAATAAGGAAGGGATAGAGTGAATGCAGGTATACCAAATGGAAGGTCCCTGTAAAAATCCAGAAGAAATTCAGTTAACACAGACAAAAGAGTGCTGATACAGATAATAATAAAATATGAGACAGATTTGAGAGACGTTTTGGAGAAAAAACTGACAATATTTGGGCAAAACACAGAGAGAAATGAGATGTCAAGCGTGGCTCCTCAGGACCTGGCTTGTAAACTTGGAGGATGGTGGAACCACCCACGGAGATCAGGCACCATGCAGGTCTTCATGAGGCACCGTGCAGGTCTTCAGGAGGCGGCGTGCAGGTCTTCACGGGGCGGCGTGCAGGTCTTCACGGGGCACCGTGCAGGTCTTCACGGGGCAGCGTGCAGGTCTTCACGGGGCACCGTGCAGGTCTTCACGAGGCAGCGTGCAGGTCTTCACGGGGCAGCGTGCAGGTCTTCACGGGGTACCGTGCAGGTCTTCACGAGGCAGCGTGCAGGTCTTCACGGGGCACCGTGCAGGTCTTCACGGGGCGGCGTGCAGGTCTTCACGGGGCGGCGTCCAGGTCTTCACGGGGCACCGTGCAGATCTTCACGGGGCAGCTTGCAGGTCTTCACGGGGCAGCGTGCAGGTCTTCACGAGGCACCGTGCAGGTCTTCACGAGGCAGCGTGCAGGTCTTTGAGAGGCACCGTGCAGGTCTTCATGGGGCAGCATGGAATCAATCACAAGGTGGGGGTGCCATCTAAATAACCATGTGTGTGAATGATGAAGGGAAGGGACTCTTGGGGATCTTCTCTTGGAAAAGTCATTTCACCTATCTATCTCCCATTGTTCTGAGGCAGACAAGGGGAACAGCTGATCATTCAAAAGTCATCTCTATTTGGCTATGAAAAGCAGTGATTTGAGAACAATGTATACTTAAGCTGTTCTTTCTATCCCAAACACTCCTCTGTCTCTCTCCCTTCTCTGCAGCCTGAGACCAGCATGGAGATAAGGAATAAGGTTCTAAACTAGATGATCCACTGAAGCAAAGAGTTAAATGTACTTTCAAAGGAACATAAGGACAAAACCAGATTCTCCTTGGTGTACAAAGAATCCAGGTGAATTGTCATGGGAACAGTAAATGGATGTTAGATTATTTCTAGCTACCTTTGGTTGAGTACTTGCTGTGTGCCTGGCATTTCATGTACATTGTCTATCACCTTCACACAGAACCTACAGGGATGGGAAGAAAGATTCCAAGAGAGTAACTTACCCGAGGCTGCCCAGCTAGTGAGTGATAGAGCAGGGATTTGGACTCAAGTCTGCATGACTCTGAAGCTAATCTTTTTTTAACCCTAGTGAATTTCTAGGTATTGAGTGAGCAGTACTTCAGCATTGACCCCCATATGCAAAACAAGCATTTCCAGGTGGTTAAACTTATTTAAGGTGAGGCCCTCGGGCACACTATAGAACAAAGCTAATTGGGCTCAGCAGAGATCAAAACCACGACCTTGTCCTTATTTTATCTTTCTGCCACTGGCGTGCTTAAGGCAGACAAACACTTGCCATCAAACGGCTATAAAGCGTTTTATTTCCCTTCATATTGTGTAGGTTGCTCATTTATTCAAAGAACTCAGCCTTTCAAAATAAGCCACTGGCAAGAAGAGAGAAAAGGGATGTTCCTATAAATTATCCAGTGGAAAAGCTTTTACGGCATTCGACCAGGACTTGAAATGTGGGAGGTAGGACGCTGGAAATCTACCTTGAAGATGTGCAGAACCAGCGGCAGGTCCTGGTCCCCAGGAATGGGGGGTCGGCGCGGGGAAGGGGGGAACGGTCTCTGTTTGTCTTGCTGCGTGCTCACACTG
Source organism: Homo sapiens (assembly GCF_000001405.40). Classification (NCBI taxonomy): domain Eukaryota; kingdom Metazoa; phylum Chordata; class Mammalia; order Primates; family Hominidae; genus Homo; species Homo sapiens. The sequence continues at coordinate 41,698,991 of NC_000002.12, forward strand.
CCACCTGCTGGCATAGCCCACATCTCCGCTTCCCCAGCTCCTGTCCACCTGGAGACCCTGAGAGATTGCCCACATTTTAGCATCTCCTTTCCTCCTTGGAAGGTGTCATACTCAAGAGAAATTTTTATTTCTAGCCAAACACTCTTTTTAGCCTGACAGCAAACGGCTAGTGGGAATCCATGTGCAAGGGAACTCTGTGTGAGGAAAACAGAGAGGGAGGGGAGCGAGGAGGAGTCTATGAGCTGGTGGCTGGGAAAATCTGCTGCACCGGTGAATCCAGTTGTCATTGTCAGGACCTTCAAGGCTTTTTGGCCATGACTCTAAGAACAAAACCTCCCCAAATCCCTTTTAAATACAGTGGGGTCCATTCCTCCCTACATATTTTCTTTTCCTACAAGCACAGCGAGCGTATCTAAGGGCGGGGAGGGCTTCCAGCTTGAGCACATAGCGCCATTATTTGACGAGAGCACAGGAAGCAGCCTTCATTTTAAAAGAATTTCAGTCTTTAACTTTCATTCACTCACAGCATGAAAATAAATCACTGTGCTTGAGCATTTTAAAAATTAAAGGCTTAGATATTACATGTTACTCAAAGGCTCCTATCTTCAAATACCTATTTCCATTAGCTATTACGGTTTTTAACTTTTCTTTTTCATTATCTTGTATTCGCTTCATGAGGCATTATGTAGATGCAGCAGACTGAAATGATTTTCTCTCATTCCAAACTAAAGATGATGATGAACTCCATTCCTCTGGGGTAAGTTTGGAATAAAAAGATGGGTTACAGAATACTGGAGGTAAAAGTCAGGGATCGATCTGGTGACTTGACTCTCATATATATAAGGTTCAACAACTCAATAATAAATAAATTTAAATCATTCCCTGATTCTACTTTCCAAAGGAAGACACTGAATGATTCACTGAAAGATTCTCACTTGCCCAAATCTCCAGTTTCTTAGTAAGGGAAGGTAACATGGAATTTCTTAACCTTTGTCTAGTTTTCAGATTGTCTACATCATTCACTGCATCGACCTCCTGTCTTCTGCTTTCTCATGCAGAATTGAAACATATATACCTCATCCCCAGGAGGTCTCGTTTACTTCCGTGACTTCAAGCACACCTGAGGGCCAATGATGCCCAGGTCTGCATCCTCAGTTCTGAACACTCACCCGAGGTCTAGACCCACCTCTCTAGCTGCACACTAAATATTTTCTCCCTGAATGTCCCATAAGCACCGGAAGCTCATTGTGTCTAATCTCAAGTCTTGGCCACCCTGGCCCCAACTTCCAAACATGCTCTTCTCTCATATAATGGCCCCAGTTAATGGGAAGACTATTCACACAATTGTGTAAATCCAAACCCCAAATGTCACCTGACACCCCAATGCTTCCTGTATGATATTGATCACGAAGTTCTCTCAGGTCTACTACCTTTGTCTCCAGCTATACTGACACTTCAGCCCTTTCCAAATGGACTGCTGAAATAGTATTGCAACTATCTACTTTTCCCCATATTCAATGATCTCTTTTTCATCCTTCACATGCAAAAATGTAAAACGGATCATATCCTTGACAGCAAAATTCTGTATGCTAAATTGGACTTCATCAAAATTTAAAACTTCTGCCCTGCAAAAGACCCTGTTAAGAGAATGAAAAGATAAACCATAGACTGGGAGAAAGTATTCACAAATCACACATCTGACAGAGGGCTTGTATCTAGAATATATAAATAACTCTCAATGCTTACAATTATAAAAACAAACAATCCAACCTAAAAACGGCCAAAGGACATTCACAGGCATTGCAGAGAAGAAGATACACAGATGGCAAAGAAGCACATGAAAAGGTGTTTAACACCATTTGCCATCAGAAAAATGCAAATTAAGACTACCATGAGATATAACTACACCTATCAGAATGACTAAAATTAAGAAAAAATTGGTAACATCAAGTTCAGGAGAGGATGTAGAGAAACCGAATCACAGGTGAGAATGTAAAATGGTAGAACCACTCTGGAAAATAGTTTGGCATTTTCTTTTAAAACTAAAAATAGACTTACCATACAACCCAGCAATTGAACTCTTGAGCATACGTCCCAGAGTAATGAAAATGCATTTTCACAAAGAAATTTGCACATGGATGTCATAACTTTATTTGTAATAGCCAAAAACTACCCAAATGCCCTTCAATATGTGACTGGTTAAACTGTAGAGCATCCGTGCCATGAAATACAACTCAGCAATAAAAAGGAATGAACTCTTGATCCACACAACAACCTGGATGAGCCTCAAGGAAGTTATGCTAAGTGGAAAATGCCACTGTCAAAGAATATATACTGCATGATTCCATTTATGTAACATTTTTGAAATGACCTAATTATAGAGGTAAAGAACCATTAGTGGTTGACAGGGGTTAAGGATGGGGCAGGAAATGGGTGTAGCTATAAGAGGGTAACACAAGCGAGTCTTGTGGTGACGAAAGAGTTACATAACCTGATTATGATAGTGGTTATATGATACTACACATATAAGAAAATTGCATGGAGTCCAGGCACAGTGGCTCACGCCTGTAATCCCAGCACTTTGAGAGGTCATGTTAGGAGGATGGCTTGAGGCCAGGAGTTCAAGACCAGCCTGGGCAACATAGCAAGACCCTATCTCTACAAAAAAATTATATAAAAAAGAAAAAGAGAATTGCACGAAGCTGCACACACACATACACATGATATAAATGAGTGCATATATTTACCTGCCAGATCTAAATAAGCCCTATGGATTATATCAAAGTTAATTTCCTGTTTTTTACATACTACAGTTATGCAACATGTTCACATTAAGAAAGGTTGGGTAAAGAGTGCATGACACCTCCTTGTGCATTTCCTTACATCTTCCTGTAAATGTGTAATTATTTTTAAATAAAGTTCTTAACTGATCATGCCACTCCTTTCTTGCAGTTATTTTTAGCTCTCATTATTCATAGAATAAAACACATTCATCTACTCATAACATAAAGTGTCCTCCATTCTGGTTAATAGTCTTTATCGACTATGCTAAAATGTCCACCATTTTTTAGACAATGTTGGCCTTTACTTCTAGGATTATAGAAAATATATCCATGCAACCTGAAATTTCTCAAATTTGCCAGAGTTGGACATTCTAAGCATATTCAACAGTCATTTAGTAAATCATTGCCTGTCGAAGCCAGATTAATCTATCAAATAGTTATCCTTTCTGGATACCATAGTTTTTATACAATTTCTCTAAAAGGAAAGGAAAGATGAGGTACTGTGGTAGGGGCAATAGCTGAGTAAGAGCTGTGATAGCACACAAAGCAAAAGAAAGGGTAAAAGGAGTCCACAGATGTAGAAAATCCCCCTTTGCTGATGAATTTGCTCATTTTATAAGCCCAGTGTATTCGCTTCCTAAAGCTGCAGTAACAAGTACCACAAGCTAGGTAGCTAAAACAACAGAACTGTATCACAACCCTGAAGTCCAAATCAAGGTGTCGGCATAGGTTGTTCCTTCTGGGGGCTGTGGGAAAGAATCCGTTCCATGGCCCTCTCCTAGCTTCCAGTAGTTTGCTGGCAATCTTTGGCATTTCCTGGCTTGTAGAAGCATCGTCCCAACCTCCACCTTCTTCTTCACATGTTATCCCTCCCTGTGTGTGTCTCTCTGTCCAAATTTCTCCTTTTTAGAAGGATGCCAGTCATTTTGGATTAGGGGCCACCCTGCTATGGTATGACCTCACCTTAATTACATCTGCAACAACTGTATTTCCAAATATGATTACATTCTAAGGTTCGGAGAGTTAGGATGTCAACATAACATCCTAATTATGATGGAAATTTTGGGGGGATGTAATTCAACCCATAACACCCAGGGAGCTCTAGTAGCCAAGAAAACTCCCATCCTTCTTCTGTTTGAATGAATACAATAGCTAAACGTCAATACCATTACCTGTATTAGAGGGCGCACAGGGCCTGATGTGGAAACTGGCTAGGAATTACTGTGAAGATCCTTATGCTCATCATGTGAGAAGACATTTAACAAGCATCTGAGTGTGCCTGACACTCTAGTAGCAGATATTTGACAGCTTGCCAAATACGCAGGTCAGATCATTCTACAATCAAGCTGCTAATCATATTCTAGTGTATACAGTTGACTCTCCTTGGCTCAGAGTCATAAATTATCTATAAGATTTTTCATGGTGAAAAAAATACTTTTGCAAACAAATCGTAGTTGGTGAATAATTAATTTAACTTTTATAAGAGCCAACTTGCTTAATCCAGACATTGTAACCAATTGTGACCAGGTGTTGTGATAAGTAAGGAATGTGGCTATTCACACACTGCCTAGGAATTGTTTAGCGACTCTTTGGGGTGGCAAGGTGTCATGCCAGACTCCTATTAGCTTCAATAGGGGTGGCACCAGGTTCAAGTGGGCAAAGAAGAGACCTGGAGCCAGTAAATGAGACCTAGAGTTTTATCAGGGGTAATTTACATAGAGGGGTGGTCCAGTGGCAGCAGGCTGAACAGGAGAACCATAGCCACTTGCAAAAAGCATGCAGTTGATATAGCATTTTCACTTAACACCCTTCCCCTAACAACTTCCACCTGGCAACCTTCATTTAACCCAAAACAAAGGGCCTCAATCCACTATACGGCCCTCATTCCATGAGACAGGGGCTCAGATATTCCTCGTACGTGAGGAATAAATATCTGCCTTAGCCACCCCCAGATTCCTTAGCTCAGAACTCTGAACACTCATTCAGTTGCATCTGCCATACAGGGTCCTTCTCAAGGTATGCTTAAGTTATTGCTGTCAGGTGTTGTCTGCCATGCAAAAGGGAGAATAAAATAGACTCTCTCCAAAGTAATCCTCTGTACAATCCTTCATTCCAACAACCTAACCCTTTCAAAGTAGGTGAATCAATCTAAACAGTTCCTGGGCACCCTATTTGAAATTATTATCAGATAATTCCTGATATCTGATACCTTCTGGAACTTGGCACATCAGTCTGAACCTCCAATTTAATATCCTGTCTGTGTGTAAGCATGCATATAAAATGTATGCATATAAAATGTATACATATATGTATCACATTACAGTGATAACATAGAATCTCATGGTTAAGAGACACAAAGTATACAGAATTATCACTTACATGCCCACATTATATCAACAAGAACAAGAACAAGGCCTAGATTCCCTTCAATACCTGCCTTCCTCCATTTCTGCGCATACAAATATATGCATATATGTATATGTATGCCTATAAAATGGATACGTACAGATAAAATTATGCAAACACACATATAAACATGGCCATTGCATTTTCATTTAATCTATGAAGCAAATGTAAATCTTTTTTTAATTAATTAGCACTCAAATTTTGTGTCAATATTTGATGGGAGACTGACTGGTTCCCATCTCTGTCTTTTCGCTGAATTCTTCTTTATCCTTCTGTCAGCTTTATGGTTCTAGAAGAATGCACTCCATATTCACTAACCATAAAGTTTGGTAACTTAACAAGGTATAAGTTTCTCCCAAAAGCCAGGTCAATTAAAAGCTGCAATGTGTTATTGTATCAGCCAGAAAACTTTATGTAAACTGGAATTTCTGATCTTTCTAATAAATACTGCGAATCTAGAAGCACTTGGCCAAAATATATTACCCTTAGCAAACTAACGCAGGAACAGAAAAGCAAATACTGCATGTTCTCACTTATACGTGGAAGCTAAAAAAGAACTTATGAACACAAAGAAGGAAACAACAGACACTGGGGGCTACATGAGGGTGAAAGTGGGAGGGGAGAGGGGAGCAGAAAAGGGAACTATTGGGTACTGGGCTTAATACCTGGGTGACGAAATAATACGTACAACAAACCCCCCATAACACGTGTTTACCTATGTAACAAACCTTCACATGTACCCCCAAACCTAAAATACAAGTTTAAAAAAAGAAAGAAACCACTTAGCCAGAATAGACCTTCATGGATTTTTCTTTAGTAACAATGCTTTAATTGAGAAAAAAAAAAGGTTTCTGATTGCAATTATAACACTACTTTTTATATTGTGAAGGTCTTAAGAAGAGGGAAGGAGAGATTGCAAGCCAGGTTGATGGGGCTGGTAAGGGCTTCACAATGAACCCAGTCAACTGCAAGATCAGTCCAGCCTCCTGCCCACCACTCCTGCTTTCCCCACCTGGGTATGCTGGTAGCAAACATAACTTGTGCTATTGATCTCTACAGTCGTTTTAAAGTTCTTTTTAACTTTCAAAATTTCAATCCTGATTGATGTTTTATAAAACCATTGGTTTTAATCACTGTGATTCGAAACACTTCTGTATGTTCCTTGCCCTTGCTTAAGTACTTCAATGATGGTTGAAATGAGCAAAACTAAAAAGGAAGACACTAAAAGAATCTAGAACAGGCTTCTTCAAATAGAGGAAATGATAATGTCGTTCCTCATTTAGCTATTTCTCTTGGTTCTACTTAAGACCACATTATTAAGCCTACTTAAATAAATGAGATTTGGCATGAAATTTATAAAATACTTAAAACAGTAGAAGAAGTTGTATAAATTTAAAAAGAACCAGAAAGCATCTCTTAAGGTTACAATTAAATATTTGAAATTCAAATGCATCTTGATATACCCCAAAAAAGCAATCGCTTTCTAATTATGCACATTACTGTGATTACATAGAATCTCGTGGTTAACAGGCACAAAGCACTCAGAATAATCACTTACATACTTACATTATATAAACAAGAACAAGCACAAGACCTAGATTCCTTTCTATACCTGTCCTCCTCCTTATCTCAGCCAGTGATTAACGCAGCACTCTGAGCTTGTGCTCATAATAGATACTTGCAATGGTTACGTGCTTCTCTCTCTCTGCCCCTCATAGTCAGGAGGCAAATGTTAAAGTCATGTCTTGACCAGAAGAGTTCTACAACCAAATTAGTGTTGTTGTAATAGAAAACATTTTGCCAGATCTAAAGCATTGGGTGAGGAAGATAAAAATGTACTTTCATAAACTTTTTTTTTAATTCAACAAACATCTGAGCTCCAATTGCACGCCAGGTCTTTTACTGGGTTCCGGAATTATAAAAATAAATAGGACATGACCTCATATATGGAGAAATACCATTGTCATGGTCATGAAATTCAGAAGGCATCAATGAAGGTAGTTTTGTAAACATCTAAGAGAATGGCTTTTTATTAAAAAAACTGATTAAGAGAGATCTGTTTTACCATTTATTTCTTTCCATGCAGATTTCTCTGTAGCAATCATGGGCTGCAGACTGAGTCATCTATTTTCCACTGCATTTGATATAGAATTATCTGTGCTTTTTAGAAACACCCTTCACCTACTCCAGAAGTTTAAATTTGTATCAAGATGTTACATAAAACATCCATTCATTTAGGACAGAGTACGAGTGAAAAATTAGAATACAGGGAGGTTTTGTGGGAAGGTGTCATATGAGAAAGAACTTGGCTGATATACAGTAAACAGACTCCAGAGATGACAGGAAGTTACATTCCAAGGAAAGGAAAGAGAATCATGTGAATTACATCATTGTGTCATGCATGGTATAGCCCTGTCATGGATCCCGGAGCCCACTGAGAGCTCCTTGAGGAAAGAAGGAAGCAAACAGGCCCAAGTTAGGAAAGGGATTGAAAAACCATCAGGAAAGAAGGGATTGCCAAGTGAGGGGCTCAAGTCCAAATCTTAATTCTGCAGAGCAGGCTGGCATTAATGCCCAAGCGATCCAATCTGAGGGAAGTGACATGGATTCTTTGCACCTATGTGGATGTCCAAGTCACAGAGGAAGATGGTCTAAGTCTGTGAAAAAGATAATGAGTGGGAACAATTTTGTATTTTAGCCATGGAAACCCACACACATTCCAGATTATGAGAATCAGGAAGAGTTTCCCTCCTCTGAGTGGGATTGAACCACTCAGTGGAGGGGCGGACCCAAGTTGCTCAAGCTGTTCGAGATGAAACCAAGAAAAAGTTTAGGAAAGGGGCATGACGGCATTAGTATGTACAAGTAATTGACCAAGTACGTGTGAAAAAAACAGCAGCCATTGTCGAAGTGATGATGTTATCACTAACATCATCATCATCATCATCATCACTAATGCTTACAGAACATCTACTAGTTCTTAGGCACTGCTGAAACCACTTTACATAATACAACTCACTTAAACCTCACAACTCTATTAATATCTTTTTCACAGAGGAGGAGACTGAGGCACACACAGGTTAAGTAACTTGCTCAGGATCACTACCGAAAACATAGTAGATCAGGATTCAAACCTCAGCCGTCTCACTCCACAGTCTCTGTGTGAAACCCCATAACCTGCCATGGTCCCCCCATATACTAACAGCATCATTTGTCTTGACTTCACTGTCACATCCTTCCTCTAATCTTTATGCCTGTATCCCCTGGATCTCTGCCTCCTGCTGCCACTTAGGCTAGCAAACAGTACTTTGCACACATTAATGAAACCGTATAACTTGTATTCTGCAGCCAAAGGAACCAGAAGGGGCCCAAGGCAGGGCTGCAAAAGTATTGTCAGCTAGACTGAGAGTCCACCAGCTGAATGACTAGCACAAGCCCAGTTTTTCTTTCTATGTGCTATAGATGCAGTAAAATTGCAACAAGGGAGGTAAACAGGGTCTGCAATCAAACAGATGAACACTTTGTCAGTGAACATACCACACTCTCTTCAACACTGTCAAACTACTGTCCTACTTGCTAGATGTAGTAGTCTACTAGGGATGCCGTAACAAAATACCCAACTGGGAGACTGAAACAATGGACATTTATTTCTTACAGTTCTGGAGGCTGGAAGTCCAAGATCAAGATGTCAGAAGGTTTGGTTTTTCTTGAGACCTCTCTCCTCGGCTTGCAGATGGCCATGTTTTCACCGTGTCCTTACATGGTCTTTCCCCTGCGTGCGTGCCTCTCTGGTGTTTCTTCCTCTTCTTCGAGGGACACCAGCTCTATCAGATGACAGCCCACCCACAAGACCTCTTTAAGTATCTCTTTAAGGCCTTATCTCCAAATACAGTTACACTGGGGGCTAGGGCTTCAATGTATCAATTTTGAGTAAAGACAATTCAGTCCGTAACACTGGAGTTAAGCTGTGCGACTTCAGAGCTTATAAACCGAAGGCTGCTTTTCACGGATGGTTGAAGACTTCTCTAGAGAGAGAGCCCTGGGTGAGTCTGTTCTGCATCAAGGAACTCAGAGGCTGAGATACTCACACAGGCTCTCCAGCCATACTCATAGATCCAGGACACAGGGTAAGTCTGGGGCCTAGGAGTACACTTCTGCCACAAATCCAAATACAATATAAGAGCTCTCCAGCAATCTCCTGCGTGCCTTTCCATATAAATAAACTACATTATAATACTACTCTAGTGATGCAAGTATTCCTTACAGGGAAAGGAATACTAGTTTCCGTCTCTTACAACAGCACTGACTGTTATATTTTATAAAATGGTACAGGAATGTAGCATAAAAATATGGGGAAAAATCTGGTCCCCACACTCATGAATTTTATAGTTTATCAGGGAATATGGTCATAGTGATCTTCTCTAGCACATCCTCTTGCAACTAGCAGAGGAAAAAAGCATACATCTGGTGCTTGATCCAAAACAATATCAAAGAAATTGTACTGCTCGCAAATGCAAAGCACTTTTTTTAACGCCTATTTTAGGTTCAGGGGTAAATGTGCAGGTTTGTTATATAGGTAAACTCACGTTACGGGGGCTGTTGTACAGATTATTTCATCACCCAGGTACTAAGCCTCATACCTAATAGATGCTTTTTCTGCTCCTTTCCCTCCTCCCACACTCTACCCTCAAGTAGGCCCCAGGGTCTGTTGTTCCCGTCTGTATGCATCCGTGTGTTCTCATCATTTAGCACCCACTTATAAGAGAGAACAAGCAGTATTTGGTTTTCTGTTCCTGTGTTAGTTTGCTAAGGACAATGGCCTCCAACTCCATCCATGTTGCTGCAAGGAACATGATATCATCCTTTTTGAGCTGCAGATTATGCCACAATGTATATGTACCACATTTGCTTTATCCAGTCTATATTCATGGGCATTTAGGTTGATTCCATGTCTTTGCTATTGTGAACAGTGCTGCAATGAACATTCACATCATATGTCTTTATGGTAGAATGATTTATATTCTTTTGGGTAAATACTCAGTAATGAGATTGCTGGGTCGAATGGTAGTTCTGTTTTTATCTCTTTGAAGAATCACCACACAGTTTTCCACAATGGATGAATTAATTTGCACTCCCACCAACAGTGTATAAGTGTTCCCTTTTCTCTGCAACCTTGCCAGCATCTGTTATTTTTTGACTTTTTATTAATAGCCATTCTGACTGGTGTGAGATGAGTATCTCATTGCGGCTTTGATTTGCATTTCTCTAATGATCAGTGATATTGAGCTTTTTGTCATATGCTTGTATGTCTTTTTTTGAAAAGTGCCTGTGTCCTTTGTCCACTTTTTAATCGGGTTGTTTGTATTTTTCTTGAAAATTTGTTTAAGCTCCTTATAGATGCTGGATATTAGACCTTTATCAGATGCACAGTTTGCAAATATTTTCTCCCATTCTTAGGTTTTCTGTTTACTCTGCTGATAGTTTCTTTTGCTAGCAAAGCACATTTTTCTCTTTGCACAATAAAGGTAAACTTTTTGATAGGCTTCCACTTTTATAAGCCTAGAAAAGGAGCAGAGATTTTTAAATGTCATTTAATTGTTTAAAATGGCATGCTCCCTGTATTTTACAGGTTTTCTACTTTGGCTTTTTCTCACAAGGGTTCCTTAAAACCTAGCTGCAGTGGACAGCAGCTTGACACAGGAAGGATGGCAGAGAGCGCACACAAGGTACCCTACAAAGCCAAGCATGCAATGCAAACAAGCCTCTTATCGTGAGGAATATGCAGCTCGCTCTCCATTTTCATTTATCCGAGATCAATCACCGAGCCCTTGAAGGTCACTGGAGATAAGTGGTGGCAATGCTGTGGCATGTTTTCCTTTGAGCAGGACACCGAAACAAGCAAAATGTCTTTAAGATTCAAGAGTAGACCTAAAGCACAAAAAGTCCCTTAGGGCCAACAGCAAATAGGTTAGCCATGGGGAAAATGTTGGTAATAAATTATACATGTAGTTAAATGAAAAAGCTAAAGGGTAATGCAAATTTAAGGTTGAAAAACGGAACTCAGAATTGTTAGGGAATTCCCAACTTTACATTCCATATTAGTTTAGCAATGTGACTAACCTGTAGGAAATATTTAGCAATACAGCCCATTTTATAAAAGTGAATCATCCTAACTAATTTAATTTTTCTGAGCCAGATTCCTTTTAACTCACCTGCTCGGCGCTAGCCTGTGGAGTTTGGAGTCTCCCCTTTTCAAACCATTCGTCACACACTTCTGCCAGAGCAGTCTTTCAAAAGAGTGTGACCAATCACATTACTTCAGAGATGCCACTGACACATACAACACTTTTGAGCAAATTAGAAAAATGGCACCTCCTTCTCAAGCTAAAAGGAAAAAATACACATCCATGTATATGTGTGTGTATGAGTTAGTGTATGAATGCACAACTTGAACAGCCCTGCCTTTCTCACCTAGTCACACATCCTTAGCACGCTTAGAAGCAAACATCGCTGGTGGCATGCACAGAAGATGTCTTTATGCATGTGCATGCACACACACAAACACACAAACACACACACACACACACACTCCAACCCCAAGGTGAGATGCCATGGGAGATTCACAGTGGGGTAGGGGTGGAAATTAGACCACCAACAGCAGCAGAAAGAGCAACCTCAGGGAATGCAGAGCACTGGCAGTACTGGGAGTACTGGGCATGTGAGTGGGTGTGTGAGGGCTTCTATTGGGAGAGTCTCTCCTGCAACTGTAGTACTCGCCTGAAACCCCTGAATCTTCACCCCTGCTCACCTGCTCTTGAATCAGTTACTACAGTGGCTCTCAAAATGTGGTAAGGGGCCTTAGCGATTCTCCATTGTGCTTTTAAGATACCTCAAGGTCAAAACTATTTTCAGAATATTTAGACATGTTTTTCCACTGTCTCTCCTGAGTGTACAGTAAAAATTTTTTGATGTTACACAATGTGCGATGACCTCATCACTCTAAGGGCTAATGGAATGCATGCTCCTATGTTATAAAATTTTCAGTGTTAATTCTAATACAGTAAATAGCAAAAGATATAACCTATCTAAACAAAAGCTCTTGGAAATCCTCAATCATTTCTAGGAATGTAAAGGAGTCTTGATATCAAAAAGTGTGTGAACCACTGAGTTAGCGTATGTCTACACTGCAACTGGCACCCCCTGAGATGCAGCAGCCACATGTGGTGGTCATGATCACTCCCCTGCTCAAAGCTTGTACTGGTTCAGAAGTAGGGAGGCAATGTGGAATCATTCTGGTTTTAGAGACAGACCTATGTGCAAACCCCAGTTGGACCGCTTACTAGTTATGTGACTAAGACAAGTTACTTAATCTTTCTACATATGGAAACCTATCAGAGCTGAGAACCGGATTTTACATCCTCCCCATTCTTCATCTATAACTATTGATTCTCAACCAAAAGAAACATACCCACAAAAAAATCAATAGTCAAATGAGAAATAAGTACTAATTTTATCAATAGTTGGGCAAATGCCCAAAACCCAACTCTTGAATTGGAAAATGAGGCCATGAGTTCAAGCTAGGCTTCCTCCTCCTGATTCTCTGAAATCTAGAATGATCAGCTTTCTGAGTAGACTCCTAGTCTATTTACAAGCTGCCTGGACAGCAAGCCCAACTGGTCTTACCCACGCAAGTACAGAGAAGACACACATGGTTGCACACTGCAGTCAGAAAAGGCGCAAAGGTCAGCAGAAAGAATTTCAGAGTCCTGCAATTCTGTCCCCTGGAGAAGTATGACACAAGGAACACTTCAGATACTGACCTATGATATTAGCTATGTTCCAACTGGGAGTGATGAGTAACTGGTTAGTGGCAAAAATATCACCATAGCAATGGAAGGATCTTTTATTCTCTTTAACTATAACAACTACAGGACCTGGCACACATCAGTCACTCAGGAAGTCATCATCAGTAGGTGCATATGCTGGAATTAATAAGAAAAGAGTCTGAAAAATCAGAGACCCAAAAGTTTTATAGTCTCTGTTTTCTGCTCTTATTTATGGGAGCATAGGAGACATTGGAAGCTATGAAGACCACCTTCTTCCAAAGCAAGTTTCCCTCTGTAGCATTCCTCCAGCCTCGGTGCACTCGAAGACATGGGGTGCTCAGCAGTCTTGGAGGCTTCCAATTCAGTTGAATGACAGTTCTTTTTTACTTGAAAGTTCTACCACAATATCCAACACCATGGTCACTTTCATGATATGCAAAGAAAATCATGGCTTCCAAATTGTTTGGCTAAGAAAAGGGATTACTGTCTTCTGTTATTAGCATGGTCTTAGGATTGTCACTGAAGAGTCAGGAAAAGAGGGGAAATATATAGAATTCATTCAAATACATGTAAGTCCCAGCCCTGTCAGTAAGAGAAGAGGAGAAAAAGAATTAAGGATGGACTCTAACCTTAAATTAGTTCACTGACTACCATCTCATCATAAAACAACTTGGGTAGGAGTTACAGAATTTTATTTACCAAGATCAAGCAATAAAGGTGCAATACGTCACACAAGAATTAAGAAGGCCTTAATTTGAACTCCTGGGACCTAGGTTGCAAAACAATTGGAATTTACATATCAGATCCTTGGGCAAATAATATATTTAATCATATATTTTATTTAATCTAGTATATCCAACATATTATCATTTCAACACAGCCGTAAAGATAAACCTCCCTTAACGTCTGCAGCTCCTACTCTTGCCCCAACCCCAAATCTCTGGTCAATTAGCCCTCTCAGCCAGTTGAAAAGTAACCCTAATTCACTCAGGATGGTAACCCTGTCCTCAGTGGGTGAAGGCCTTTTAATGCCAAGAATATTGGGAGATAAATAGAGGTGATAAAATAAATAAATCCATGGTATCAATATTTTTAAGTGGCTTAAGGAATCTGATACATCAAAGCATCTGGCAGATTAGTCTGATCATCCCAATTTATATATAAATAATTGATTTTTAGATATGATTTTAAGTTAAAAGATATAAATGATTTGCTTATGTTTGTATATACTATTAGAATATATCAAAGAACTTGAGATTTACAATATTTATAAACGTACTAAATTAACTAGAGCATTTTAGGTACTTACAGATGAATAACTTGTTAAGTGTTTGGCTCTTCAGAAAAGCAAGTCCATTAAAGTTTAAAATGTTTAAGGGAGCAAAATTAATCAAGTTAATTAATAAACTCTTTTAAAGTGATTGGTAACATTTACTGGATTTATAAATAGTAATTATGAGTTGAGTAATCATTGTTCAATTGAAAATATTTTTAGTTGGTAATTTTAATACACCAAATTCTGATTTAGAAAACAAAAATAACTGCAAATACACTTCTCTGTGAACGTCAGCCCCAGTGCCACTAAAATTCACATGACCTCTCTGACCCTGTGTTTCCTTTGATTCTGGGGTCTCAGCATTTGATCTCTGCAGAACAATAATCCTGATCCGTAAGAGTTAGCTTTTCAGAAGGAGGAAAAATCATTTACACATCAAATGTGAATCTACTTCCTTACTATATTTAATCTCCAGGAATGGACTCATAAAATAATAAAAGCCCCAGTTCAAATTAGTATCTGGTATTTCATTCCATTATCAAAAACCATGACCACATAATCTACTGGTTGGTAGAAAGGGAAGTCCTTCTCTGTTTAGACTTGAGCTCTGTGTAGATCAAGTTATGGTTGTCTGGATTGCCATCTGTATTAATCAAAATTAATACACAGAGGTTCTCTCACTCCATGTACATTTAATTTTTTAGAAAGGCTAAAACACATGGTTGCAGAATCAAATATAAATATTTACAACTGGAGTCCAATATAATCAGAGCTGATGGAAGATGGAACTTAGACAGAGGAAGGAAATGTATAGAATGTGGTAGGAATGGTAACATCCTAAAATGAGGGGTTAAGACATATAATTGAGATATTATTGAAGCTAAAGAACCAGAAACAAAGCTTCAAGGACATTATTTAAAGTTATAAAAGTAACTGGCTGGGTGCAGTGGCTCGCACCTGTAATACCAGCACTTTGGGAGGCAGAGGCATGCGGATCACCTGATGTCAGGAGTTCGAGACCAGCCTGGCCAACATGGTGAAACCCAGTCTCTACTAAAAATACAAAAAATTACCCAGGCTTTGTGGCAGGCACCTGTAATCCCAGCTACTTGGGAGGCTGAGACAGGAGAATCTCTTGAATCTGGAGGCAGAGGTTGTAGTAAGCCAAGATCACGCCATTGCACTCCAGCCTGGGCAACAAGAGTCAAACTCCGCCTCAAAAAAATAAATAAATAAATAAATAAATAAAAATAAAGTTATAAAAGTAGCCAATAAAAGAACTAAAATTATAAGTATAAATTATGTATAATACAAATACATGTATATATCTAAAAGCATTAGAAAGAAAACATGAGGAGAGAGCTGTGTGTAAGCAACCTTTTTTTCCTATCAAAGACGAAATACATGTTATTACATAATATATATCTAAATAACTACACACTATATATTATAAATCAAGAAATATTACCTGGAGGGCCACTGTGCAATATAGTGGCCACCAATCACATGTGGGTGTTGGGCACTTAAATTGTCATCTGCTGCAAGTTTAAAATATACAACCAATTTCAAAAACAACATAAAAATGAAAACTATCTCATTAATAATCTTTATATTATGTGTTGAAATAATATATTGGATATACTAGGTTAAATTAAATATATTATTAAAATTCGTTTTATATGTGTACTTTTACTTTTTTGGTGTGCCTGTAATTTAAAATGGTATATATGGCTCACATTAGATTTCCATTGGACAGGACTAATCTAGAGTTTTGGCACTAAACATCAGCACTAAAAATACAAGTAGTTACAAGAAGTGGCCTCCAGGAACCAGAACTGAGGGAAGAAGCTACACGGGACTGGAGCCAGTTGCTTTTCTCAGAAACCCTTCTGTAATATTTGAATCATTATCTTAAGCATACCTTTCTTTGCAAATTTAAAAAGATTAAAATGTCATAAATGTAGAAAGCAAATAAGGCCATAAAGGTAAAAATAATAATAATAATAATTGTGATGAGAGGGCAGGAGACGGGGTGGGAGGGAATATGGCTGTGATGGACATCATCCACGTGCAGGACAGAATCACAGAGGCCACCCTGTAGGTCAGCCTGGCAGCATTCAGCGTCCTTGTGGGCTGGCCCATGTCAGTAGCTTTCACGAACAAAACACAGTCACCCAGGCCAGGTGCAGTGGCTCACACCTGTAATCCCAGCACTTTGGGAGGCCGAGGCGGGCGGATCACGAGGTCAGGAGATCAAGACCATCCCGGCTAAAACGGTGAAACCCCGTCTGTACTAAAAATACAAAAAATTAGCCGGGCGTAGTGGCGGGCGCCTGTAGTCCCAGCTACTCGGGAGGCTGAGGCAGTAGAATGGCGTGAACCTGGGAGGCGGAGCTTGCAGTGAGCCGAGATCCCGCCACTGCACTCCAGCCTGGGCGACAGAGCGACACTCTGTCTCAAAAAAAAAAAAAAAAAAAAAAAACCACACACACAGAGTCACCCAGTCTCATTTCAGTTTCAGTTTCATCTTTGTCAGGCCCAGCCTTGGTCTCCAGTCCTGACTCTTATAATGACCTTTCTCTCCACCCCACGGCCCAATAGTCACATCTTCCACATTGTCCTAGAAATCATGTCATTTCCAATTTCTAGAAGGTCCTTGGCATCCAAAGCAATTCTGGGGTCCTGAGTCAACATCTTCCTCCTATAACCTCTTTCTCTTTTTCCTGTTTTTCCAAAAGGAAACCAATGCTCCTAAAAGTATTTTCTTAAGCAAGCTCTCAGTTGCAGAGAGCTCTGAGTCCCTAACATTTGGACCTTTTACTGTTTTCTCACATGTTAAACACTGTATCCCAATGTCTAAAATAGTAAGAAGGTCAATCCACACAGAAAATGCATTCGTGCAGTAAAAATTTATGAATGCCTACGGGTGCTGAGCACTGATCCAGGGAGCGGTACTCCAGGTAATATTTCTTGATTTATAATACATAGTGTGTAGTTATTAGATATATTATGTAATAACATGTATTTTCCTCTTTGACAAGGGATGGCAATGAACAAGACATCATCTGCTCTCTTAGAACTTACCTTTAGTGGGAGAGACAGATAAAAAGTAAACAAATATATACATAACTTTAAGTAATACATGCTTTTTATATTTTTATAATTTCATCAGAAAAATATGTAGATTAATGAGAGAGAGGGTGACGGGGTGAGGGGCAGAGGTGTCTATTTTAGAGATTTCTTACTGAGAAAGTGTGATTGGAGGGGACACTGAATGGAAAGGACCTAGCTACGCAAAAACCTGTAAGGAAGGTAAGTAACATTCCAAGTAAAGGGTGGCAGTGTCACAGGGCTTCAGATGGGAACGGACTCAGAGTATACAAAAGCTGCACGAAGGCAGGTGGGGCTGAGAAGAGCAGGTGAGGAGCAGAGCGGAGCCAGAGAGGCACAGAGGCAGCCTGCAACTGAGGGAGGGCTCTGTGGGCCCTGGTGAGGACTAGATTTTATTCCAAATACCACGGACTCTAGCAGGTTTGGAGCAAGGAGTGAATTGGCAGGACTTTTGATTTACTGACTGGTTTTCTTTCAGAACTATAAGTAATTAGTAAAATAAGTAAATTTTTTTTAAAAACCCTCCCCTTTTTTCCTTCTTTACTTTCAAAGTTAATTAAATAACAAGCATTAAGCCAGGCACAGTGGCTCATGTCTGTAATCCCAGAGTTTTGGGAGGCCAAAGTGGGATAATCACTTGAGGCCAGGAGTTCAAGACCACCCTGGGCAACATAGCGAAACCCTGTCTCTACAAAAATAAAAATTAGCTGGGCATGGTGATGTGCACCTGTAGTCCCAGCTACTCAGGAGGCTACAGTGGGAGGATGCTTGAGCCCAGGAGTTCAAGGCTGCAGTGAGCTAGGATTGTGCCACTGAGACCCTATCTCTAAAACAAAAAGTAGTAAAAAATAGGAATTATTAAATCAGAATTCATTATTCAGAATAAATTTTGAATTACCCTGGATCAACAAACAGACAGCTGACACTTATAGGACTGTCATTTTTCACTGCTGTATGCCCTTTGCAGGGGAACTTGGGTTTCGTACCTAATGTTTTCCAACTTAAGTTTTTACTGAGCCCTTTCTACAGAGCAGTACTGTGCTAGGCACTTGTTTACATGACCCCATCTCATTCGCAAAACATCCCTGTGATTAGTAAAATTACCCCAGTCCATATTTGAAGAAACAAATGCAGAGATGAAACTACTTGTCTCAGATTTTATGTCAATAAATGGCAGAGCCTAGATGCACACAGCTTTTCTGATGCAAAGCTCCACGCCACACTGTTTTTTATAGCCCTCTTATCAGCCATAATAGGTTTTTCTAGCATTTTAAAGGACAAATATCGAAATGAATCATCTATTTCGAGTTAAATAGTGGTTAATTGTCATCAGTTCCTGACAGTAAGTTAGAGATTCAGCAACGTAGGATAATTTGCTTGCAATTATGCAATTTGGTAGTGGCCAAGCTGGGATAATTATTAGATTTTCCCAAATGCTCCCATTGTTATTCAAGCCCATCTTTGAAAATTCAAAAGCAGAAAGACATAAATTAAACCTAAGGAGGAACCTGAGTTTCAAAGGAATAAAGGTTAATGAAGCTGTAGATATGCTCACACAAAAAGCAGTTGCATCCACAAAAATAAGAATATTCAAAGTGTGAGGCTAAAGCAGAGATGTGGGAGAGCGTATTATGAAGTAGAGGCAGCAACTGGGTGGGTGGATGGACATGCATGAACAGGAAGCCTGGTACCATGCCAGGCTAGTACCTCAATTCAACTGAGTAATCAAGGTTCCTACAGATTAGTCATTACAAACTGTTCACCAGGACAAACTGTGCTTTAAATTGATTGCATGCTTATCTTGTGTTTTACCTGTAATTTTTCAACAAGATTTGTGTCATATTGACCAGAGTATATCAATCTTGAAAAAGCTGATAAAAAAGTGTATTTTTATTAAGATTTATAAAAATAATATATTGCATATCACGACTGCTCATACAACTCTGTTGAAGCATTGCCACTGAGGTAAATGGAGAGAAAAATTCTATTACAATACTACATGCTTTACTGCACTAATATTTTCCCGTTGATTTTAAGCTGTATTGAAAAGCAAACTGGACCCTTCAGGAGTCATTTGTTGTAGCATTTGAAAAAAGCATTGATTTTAACATGGGGGCATATAATCAAGTTTCAGAAACATTCACATTGAGATGAGCTTTGAAAGGTTATTTGTCAGTGTTTCATTTGTCCAACCTCTGAATATTAAATTTTTAAGTCTTTCTCCCTTATCCTCTATCTCATGTCTAAAGTAATTTCCTTTAGAATTATGTCATTATTTTAAAATTGCCAACTTACCATGTTTCTTATTTCATCTTTCACATACAGAATTAAAATAACTAATAAGGTGAAGAAATATGGAGAATTTTTTAATTGCTTAAATTATAATGGTTTTGATGACAAAAATAATTATGGAATAATTAAGAATTTTAAATGACCCAAGGATTAAGTCTCCATGCATCTTTTGACATTGTCGTCATCAACACAAAGGGAAAGCAAGTGTGAAAGATTGCACAATGGGTTTTGTGACATGGCCTCAAACCAACTGCAAAGAATGAGAACTGCAGTCTTCCTCTTGCCCAGGAAAAGGAAATGGAATTTATTAATATCTAGCAAGTTTCTAACACAAAAACTAAATTAATAGAATTTACACAATAGTAAAGTGCTCAGATTCCCTTTTATTACTTATAAAAGTAGTTCAATGTTTCATCCCACAATCCATTTGTCTGTGTATAGTTTATTTTAACCTTATGAAGAAAACTCAGGGACAATGGCACAAAAGAAAAGTCTTTGCTAATGACATTCTGAGAGAAAAGTAAACCTCTCAATCTATGGTTCAACTCATCTCAGGAAGCAGTTTTTTAAAAGCCGATGAAGGCCAGGCACAGTGGCTCACACCTGTAATCCCAGCACTTTGGGAGGCCAAGACAGGCAGATCACTTGAGCTCAGTCACTTGAGACCAGCCCGGGCAACATGGTGAGAACCTGTCTCTACAAAAAATTCAAAAATTATTGGGCATGGTGACACATACCTGTAGTCCCAGCTACTTGGTGGGCTGAGGTGGGAGTATGGCTTGAGCCCTGGGGGTGGAGGTTTCAGTGAGCCAAGAATGTGCCACTGTACTCCAGCCTGGACAGAAGAGCGAGACCCTATCTCAAAAAAAAGAAAAAAAGCTGATGAAGATAAGGTTCTGGACACACTAAACTTACCTAGTACCAAGTCAAGTCCAACCACAGACAGACAGTCCCCACCCCTATCCACAACTCCCATTCTATAGTTAAATTTAGGGAACAGCATCCTCAATGTTCACCTATGCTGCTGCAGCCAAGTCCAAGGCCAATTGGAACATCTAGGAAAAAAACTAAAATATATGCTGACCATTTCCTCAAATCTATCATATCCCTGGATTCACTTAGCAGAAAGCAGAGGCAGCACAACCTGGTACCAACAACAAGACTGTGCATGGTATGCACAAAAGAGCTTCTAATTTCTACCCTGGGGCCTACTTTCAGATCACGTCAGTGCCTTTGCCCACACTATAACACTGCACTGTGAAGAATGGAATTCAGTAGTTAATTACAACTTTTATAATAAAATGTGCAATGCCATAATGGGCATGCTGCCTCTTCAAGTAATGCGTCCCCCCTCACCAGAAGCGTCCAAATCGAGAGAGCGTGACTGTCTGATAGAACGCTATAAAGGGCCTCATTATGGTGTGTGAAGGTTAAATGATACCCAGAGTACCATTCAATGCTCAGATTTCAAGGCTCCGTGCATTTAAATTTATCTGCTGTAAAAAAAAAAAAAAAGAAAATTAAGGGTGCTTATTTACCAAGCCATACCTCCAGCTCTGCACCATCAGTATCCTTGGTTCAACAATTACGTAGGAAAAGCACAAAACAAACAAATCAAAACTTGATTATAAACTACAAATTAAATGAGTGTTTTGTTTCTCTTTCTTCAGATTGTTTGACCAGCTACCACTTTCTTGTAAATAAACAAATCCAGAATATTCCATTTAAGTTATTTTCAACTCAAAATAACATTCTATTTTGCCACCCAAGGGGAAGTAGAAGGTTAGTTATAGAGAGACATGGAAATGAAAACTGAAAGTACAAGTGTGGTGAGCTATAGTTCTGAAGGCATGGTTTTTTAAATTATGCTTAAACTTGCAAAATTACTGATTTTTTTAAACCTGTGTATATAATTATACCTAGAGTACGATAGATTGAATCATCAGGTTTTTAATGATTAAACCAGGTTAAAACTAGAAATAATAGAAAAGCTTGATCTGAAATAAAAGGACCAGCAGCCTCAGAAGGCTAGGGACTACATCTTGTTAGCATTATTGGAGTTAATAATTCCAGGAGGACAAAACATAACCATGACTCTCAAACTTAATGTTTCTTGCTGACTATACTCTGCATGTTGCAGTTTAAAATGCTTGTTTCTTATCTAGCAAAACATCTGCTTTTTGGTGCTAAAAGCAGGATCCTGAGGGACGTAGTGATCTTTCCCAAGGCAACTTGATTAATAGTGGCTTCCAAATTTTGGTTAGAAGACATTTTGATGAAAGCAGCAGTACTGAGTAATTGTTTCCACAAATTATCTTGATATACATTTCCTTTCTCTCCAGAATCTTAGGCAGTGGGATCTGGAGATGCACTGTTTTTCTTCTCCATAGCTCCTGCTCCTGTAGTTATCTACAAAGTTAGCGGTGTTTGCTGAACACCCACACATCTGAGCTCTGTGCTGCAAAACATCCGCATCCACTGGTCCCTGGGAGTTTGTGAAGAAAAATCATCGGAATGTGGAGAAATAATAAACAAATGAACAAAATGTGTAAAACGAGGACTAAAATGTTTACCCCGAGGAGTTAATCTTATTGCAATAAAGTAGAAGAGAAAGAATAAAACTGTGTTCTCAAATACACAGATGTGGGCGATTGGGGGCTGGACAAGAATAATAAGCATAATAAAAATTATCATTGAGGGTGAATAATCTTTATGCAAGATGAGTAGAAAGTGCTTCAAGGACAAACAGGGTTACTGGTTTGTTTTATAAATATTAAAATTTAAGGATGAGCATGGTGGCTCATGCCTGTAATCCCAGCACTTTGGGAGGCCAAGGCAGGCAGATCACTTGAGGCCAGGAGTTTGAGACCAACCTGGCCAACACGATGAAACCCCATCTCTACTAAAAATGCAAAAATTAGCTGGGTGTGGAGGCAGGCACCTGTAATCCCAGACACTCGGGAGGCTGAGGCACAAGAATCACTTGAACCCGGGAGGTGGAGATTGCAGTGAGCTGAGATCATGCCACTGCACTCCAGCCTGGGCAATAGAGGGAGACTCTGTCTGAAACATAAACAAATAAATATTAAAATTTTATTAAAGTTTTATTAAGAAAATAAATGTAAACTATCCTATGGCCCTTATTTGTGGAACTTTTCAGGAGGTCATAGTGCTTATTATATACTTCTTACTTCTCTTGTGTATTTGGTGTTTCCTTAACTCAGCTGCTCAGATTCCTATGTTCAGTGAGTTTTCTTCAATTCTCATAACTAAGGTGTCTATGGATACTCAAAACAGGATACTCTCTGTTTTGTAGGGTGGCTGTAAGGTAGCAGACATTATTGATTGCCTGTATGGTAGGCACTCCCTTCTTTCTTCCTGACAAACCTTGAACCAGAAAAGTTCCTGTTGCCAGTGGAAGATCTTCAATCCACTCTAGTTCAAAGTAAAGTTTTTTTCAATTACAGCTGATACTGGCTTGAAAATATAAAATAAATTATTAAAACACATCAGAGGAGGTGCGTAAAGAAAACAGGGAAATGGAAAGCAAAGGGAAAAGGAAATGGAGAGAAACAAAGGAAAAAGAAAATATAGAAGTCTGATGAATTTGGGAATTAAAAGGCCTGAATTCCTGTCCCTGACACCTCCTGGCTGTGTAATCAAGCAATGCTCATCACCATCAACATCATTATCAGAGCTACGATTTATACAGTGTTTACCATGAACTCATTCCTTTACACAATCCTCATAGCAACTTTAAAAGTAAGATCCTATTACCCCACTTTATGGATGGAGAAACAGATTCAAAAAACAAATAATCAGCCCTGGGTTTTACAACTAGGAGATCTCAGAATGAGGGGTTTCCCTGGTTTGAAAGTACGTACATGATTTGAAAGCATCCCTCCTTTCCACAATGGTGGGATAGCTCCTAAATGTAACCTCTCAGAACATCAGTCTCTTCATCTAGAAAGGAATTATTATAATTACTTCTATAGTCACATGAGGATGTGTATTAATTGTCTTTTGCCACAATAACTTAATGGCATAAAACAACTCTTATTTGCTATTTCTCCACAGTCTGTGAGAAGGCTAGGCAGTCTGTTGATCTTGGCAGGACTTGATGGGGTGGTTCTAATGGTCTGAGCATGAGTCTGGTGGTCAGCTGGATATTGGCTGACCTAGGATGGCCTTGCTGGAATGACTGGCTATGTTTCACATGGCCTCTCATCTCTAACAAGCAAGCCTAGACTTGTTCCTGTAACACAGGCAAGGCTTGTAAGAGAGGAAAGAATGCAAGTTCTCTTGAGTTCTAGGGTCAAAACTGGCACATCACTTACACTATATTCTGTTTGTTAAAATAAGTCTCAAGGCCAGCCCAGATTCCAGGGCTAGGGAAACTGACTTCAAAATTACCTTGTAAACGGCATGTATAGAGGGAGGAGTGTAGAATTGGGGCCATTTTGCAATCGCTCTACCATAGGAGGTATGTCAATATGCTTTATAAACTGTCAACTGCCACTCCACTGGCTCTCTAAAATCCACTCTTACTGAAAAGCACCACTGCTACTAATCCAACGACAGCTCGTTTTCATTGCTGTTGTCTCTTCTAGCTGAGCTTGTGAAAAAGAGCTAGAGAAAGCCATGTAATGAAGATCAGTGTATCGGGCTTTTCTCACGCACCCTGAATTCAGATGAGATTTTCCCCCTATGCCCTTACCCTGAGACTTTATCCACACTTGCATTCCACTAAATTAGGAACTCTTCTAGAAATAAAAATTAAGAAGAAAAATTTCCAGCTTGGTGTTATTTATTCTCAGCCTTTCTGAAATTGTACATTCCATCATTATCATTATCATGCTTCCTTACTAAAGCAAAGTTCTAAATGCTAGATCCCAAATTCATAGTTTAAAATGCTTTAAAATCACACTCTAAGTCCCTAAGAAAGATGGTCTGAAAGGGAATCAAATGAGTATCAGCATTCAGAGTAAGCCGTGAAAGTTAATGTGATTTGGACAAAAGGCTGCTGTAACCTGAAACTCCAGGGATCATGTCTTTCCTGTCTCAGAAATATTTGTCTGTATTTTTCAAGTCCTCCATTAACCGTATTCAGATGAACTTGCAAGAGGACATCAACCCTTTATCAGGACATCATAAAAGCTCCTTAGGCCAGTTGATCTCAACCTTGGCTGGCTGCACACTAGAATTACCTGATCAGCTTTTAAAAATCCCTATGCTACGTTGCACCCCAGGATAATTCATTCAGAATCACTGGGAATGAGACATAGCATGAGCATTTTTCAAGCACCCCAAATGATTCCAATGTGGCCCCAAGACTGAGAAACACCACATGGGGCCCTTGCCTCCCTGCCTATAAATGGAAGGCTTCATACTGGATTCCAATTTGTACTAGGTTTCAACTCTATTTCTCTCTTTGAATTGCTGACAAAATAGCTTGACTATTTTTCATTAAACTCTTTCAGGCAGCATATAGTAGAAAGAACCTCTGCAGTCAGAGCTGCAGCTAAATCCCTGATTAGTTATTTATTAGTTATATGATTTGGAGCAAGTGACTTAACCTACTTAGTTTCTCTTATCCTTAATTTCCTCCTGGGTCAAATGGTATAATAATTTCTACCAAACAGGGTAAGTTATAGAGAGTAAGTGAGATAAAGTGTCTAAAATGCTCCATAGTAGACAATCAATAAGTACCCATTTCTTTTCCCTTAAGGATTCTTAATTAAGCGGTTTAGCACCCTCAGGTGACCTGCTGTTGACTGTTCAGGAGGAAGGAAGGGCACTCAATGTGTATTACATGCATCTGAACATAGTGACAGAGTCCAGTTGTCTGCTTTTACAAGCATCAGAAAATCCTGCCACGAATTTTCTTGGGGCAAAATATCATTATATATCTGCTTGCTAGGTCTCACTCCACAGGGAGTCAAAATGTTACTTGCTCTTTGTCCAGACACGTCAACGATGGGGTCTTTTTTTTTCTCAATCAGCCCAACAGGCCTGATGCAGATAAGGTATGGGGCAAAGACCACATGAGGATTTATGGCCAAGGACTCAGCCAGCCTCCCTGTGCACCAGACCAGCTTGCCACAAAAACAAAAGAACCAAAAATGACTGCAGAGAAAGGCAATGTCACTATTTCAGCAACAAGAGCAGCAAAATCATCTCTGGGTAGTGGAATTATTTTCATTGCTAATCGTAAGTCTCCTGGACAGATCCGTAAGTACACTTCTGCACAAAGGAGTATCCTCAAATTGCTGTCGTTTTTTAGCGACAGCAAAAAACCCACAAAGCAGATCAGCCTTTTTTTTCCAGTCTTTACATTGGTAACAAAGAGATAAATTTAGATTTTCCTAAAATATGCTAGTGGATGTTGTGTCTCACATTGATCTTATATCTCAGGGAATTTGGCACTTATCTCCACTTAAAGATTATGTATCTATTTGTTTATGTTTATCGAATGTCTTCACCATCTTACTTAGAGATCGGCAAACTATAGCCCATTGGCCAAAGCAGGCCCACCACCTGTTTTTGTAAATAAAGTGCTGTCTTAAATACTAACACTCACTCATTTACACATTATCAGTGGCTGCTTGCCCACTGCAATGACAGAGTTGAGTAGTAGTTTTGATAGACCGGCCTGGAAAGCCAAAAGTATTTACTATCTGGATTTTTACAGAAAAATTTTGCCAACCCCTGCTGTAGACTATAAGCTTCATAAGGACAGGGACTTTGTGTAAACTCAGTGACCTGCACACAGTAAAGATGCATTCAATAAACATTCATTGCATAAATAAATAATGTTAAATAAGTTAATCAATTCAGCCACAAAGCTACTTTTCTGGTACAGGTCTTCATAAAAAGGAAAAGCAGACATGTGTGCCCAATTTAACGATATATAAAGCTGAAAAGATCCTAAAGATGGACAAAGACAGACCCCTAATATTTCAGCTGAGGAAACTGAGTCCCAGAAAGCTGAAGTGATTCTGCCAAGGTGAACCCAAGGAGAAGAAAGAACTATTCCAACAGCAGATTTGTTTTCCCTTCAATTAATAAGGCATTCTGTGAAGTCAACCTATTCCCAGGAAGGCCAAGACTTTAAACACGACATGCATGCAATAATAATTACCCTTGTTTCAAACTTTCATTTCTGGCTTATTCCCTGAAGTTCTTTAAATGCTCACCATCCCAATCCATTTTCATAAATTTGGTTAGGAAATGACATGCACGCATTAAAGAACAGAAAGCACAGCTTTAAAATAAACTTTGTTAATTAAACAGGCACCCAGAGAAAGTTCCAGTGCACACTGAATGATTCCTCCAGCTACCACTATCAGTTTGGAGAAAAATTTATCCAGATCTGATATCCCAAACAGGGCCCTGGTTTAAATTTTAAACTATCCACCTATTCCCCAAAGGGCAAGATAGAGAATAACTTAATTCTGCCAAATCATAGTAAAAGGTAGATAAGGATTGCCCAAGTCAGCTTAACTTCTCTGTCATTTGCCAGCACTAGCCGAGAAAGAAACGCTGGTTGACTTGGTGTCTCCAATGCTCTAAGGCAATTTCTCTTATGTCATAATTTATTTTTCCTTAGAAAGGTTTTTATAATTCAGTCCTGTACAGAAAGCGTCAGGGACAGAAATAAATCAGGGAACAGATGCATGTTAGGACTGCAAGCCCTAAAGCCCTCAGTTGCAGCTCATTTTACTCATTTAACAATCATAGATTAGGCCCCTAGTGTTGCCAGGCTCTGTGGTAGAAACCGGGAGAAATGAAGAGGCAATAGCCACTATCCCTAGACCCTAGAAGAGCCATGCTTCATATGAGAGAGAGACAAGGAAGCAGTTACAGCACCACGAGTCATGAGTCCTCTGAGACACACGCATGCCCAGAGTGCCTTGGAGCACGCTCGGGGGACACCCAGGCCAGACTATCCTGATAATGGAGTTAAGAGTTCGCCATATGAAAAAGCAGGGGAAAAAACTTAACCATGAAGTCACATGTTCAAAGACCAGGAAGTGAGAGAGAATAGGAATTAGTAAAGGGAGTGAAAACACTTCTGTATGTCTGGAGTCTTGAGTGAGAAGTGAGCTTGGAACAGAAGGCCCAGACATTTAAGGTTCAACAATGTACTCCCTAAAGCAAGCACTCACTCTAAGCCCCGTCTGTCTTGGGTGCTGGGCTAGGCACCAAGAAATGCCTTTTATCTTTAAAAAAAAAAAAAAAAAAAAAAAAAAAAAGTAAACAGATACCCTGAGTTTAATCTTCCATAGAACAGGGACCTCAGTGGTTTTCTACTCTAATTGTCCTTTCAATGCAGAAATCTGATTCCAATACCCTAAATAAAAGAGTATCTGGTCTTAGCTTGAACACTTTCAATGACAGGGAACTTAATGGCCTCA
Organism: Homo sapiens; assembly: GCF_000001405.40. Classification (NCBI taxonomy): domain Eukaryota; kingdom Metazoa; phylum Chordata; class Mammalia; order Primates; family Hominidae; genus Homo; species Homo sapiens. The sequence continues at coordinate 41,727,102 of NC_000002.12, forward strand.
GAAATCAGCTTATTCAAAAGTTCTTCAAGTCGAATTGGAAATTGCCTCCCTCTAACTACTTCCTGACTTCAATAACACATTGGCTATCAACTCTCTCTGAAGAAAGGCCCAAATCATGGTAAACAGAGCCCAGAGATCAGATTCCAAAATGTATATGGTCTCAACTTCATGATCACAGTGTTGAATATACCACCAACTCCATTCCAAGATGGAGTTTCCTTCTATCTCTCTATGGGACCCAGGCCATACCAGGACCAAAGATCTCCTGAATGAGGATGCATCCCTAGGGAAGCTAGGCATCTGAACGCTGAATTTCATCATGCAGTGGGGCAAGGAAGGCCAGGGGAGCAAATAAAAAACAGATCTTGAACAAAACAAAATATGGAAGCCAAAGCACATAACACCACAAGTAGGAGCTAAACGGGGAAAGTCCTAGAAGAAGCACAGTCATGACACAGCAGTCCAGCTTCATAACTCAGATCTGCAGAGCATCAGGAAAGCCTTGTACAGCATGACAGAGACAATCATAAGGCCACTGTAAGTTATATACCAGAAGGGAATAGGTACAACCCTTGAGTCAGAAAATATAAAGTTATCCAGTAGCAGAGAGAAGGCAGAATTACGCAAATCCTGCTTACTTTCCTCTTCACCATTAAGAAAAATGAAGATGACTCTGCAGAGAGTAGAATACACACTGTCAACAAAGAATGGAAGCCAGGGATGGATGAGAAGACACAAGATCCCATAACAGCTGCTTTATGTGAGTTCAAGGCCCTAACCCAGATAAATTGATTCTAAGACACTGAAAGAACCTGCAGATGTTATCAGAGCCCCAGAGCTGCAAATCTCTGTGAAATTATAAACAGTGAGGGCAGAGTCAAAGACTGGAGCTAGGTTAATACTGTCTCAGTTACCAAAAAGAGAAGCATCTGCAGTCTGTGGAAATGGGAAATTATAGACTGAGAGGCTGTAGTAAGAATAGGTCAATGAAAACAGTTTAGAAGCTAGTATTGGAGTGAGAGGGGCAAGGAGTCATGATTAACACGTACAAGTAGTTAACAGTGGGACAAACAAGTTACTGCCAAGAGCAGATTGTGCTCTCCATGCCAGGCACTCTTTTAAGCACTTACTCCTCAACCCTAAGAGGTAGATGCTATTATTACCCCATTTGACAGACAAGACAACTGAGACACAGACGTTAAGTCTTCATATTGCATAGCTAGTAACTGACAGAGTCAGGATTTGAACCACTATAAAGTGCTGCCTCCCAGAGCAGTTCAGAGGTTGGTGTGGAGATGACCTTGAGGAGGAAGCAGAAATTGGACAAAGTTGAAGAACTAATAAAAATTGGAGGATGAGATTGAGGTAGGAATTGGCAAGGCAGGTAGAGGACCTATAGGAGAAGCTCCTGGCTGGAGCTCAGGGGCACGTTGAGGACAGAGAGGAATATGGTGGGAAACCTGAAGCCAGACTCAGAGCACCTTGAATGGGACAAAGAAGGGATTGGCTTTCAGTTTCATCCTCAGGCACTTTACCATTTCATTTAAGCCTTTCAATACAGAATCATGGTGTGGAGAAAGAAAAAACAAAGTAAGTCTTTCAAATTTGCTCCTTATACGCAAGATCTCTCTTCTTATCTCATTTAAGTTATTTTTTGTTGCAAAGAATATAAATCTCTTCAAGGTATTTTTGGTTGCAAGGAATATAAATCTCTTCACACATGCAGATGAAAAAAAAAGATGCTGAGAGAGAGGAAACTTATTGGGAAAGATCCAAGGTCGGGAAGAGCAGTTGAGACTCATGATGGCCTTGAAATGAAGGCTCTCTGTCAACAGACGAAGCCCTGTGACCTTTGATTTGGCAGTGCTCGTGTAACCTGTTATCTAGAACTTGAAAGCTCAAGTTACATGTGTGTATATCATCTCTCCATCTAGACAAGTGTTTTCCAACTTCTTTGACCATGACCCACAGAAAGAAATACGTTTTGCATCACCACCTAATCTACACACGTATATAATCATAAGCACCACATGATCCCCAGTAACATACAGTCTAGGACCTTTACTCATAACCACTGCTGGCTCACTGCCTGGCCTGTTGATTGGTGACTATACTGACTTCCTAACACCTTAGAATAAAATAATAAAAGTTCAGAGAAAATAATATATAGAGATTACCTTGTCCAGTGACTTTCAATATATTCTTTTAGCAAATAACCCTTTTTTCCAAATGAAATGTTCAGGGTCATAGATTTACTTATGACCCTTTCAAGGTCTTGCTAAGAAAATGTTGGAAGTCACTGAACAAGGTAATCTCTACAGGTTATTATACTCAGTGCAAAGAAGACATAATTGTTTTATTTTCTGTAGTGGGTTTGAATGTCTGTAGCCCTCAGACCACCAAACTCACCCCTACTCCCCCCAACACACACACACACACACACACACATTTCACACTGGGTAGATGGGCAGGAAATAGGAAAAGACGAAAATCAAGATACATTTCAATTCAGTAAACTCAGTGTGATTTTGACGACTGAGCCCTTTTTGTTTTCTCCTTATTCCCAGGGCCTCTCCAAGATGGTCTCTGTGTGTACAGGGCATACATGTGGTCTTGGCATCGGAGTTGGGATGGTGAAGAAAGAAGCCCCTCCTTTCCACCAGCAACTTATCTAGTTCTGGGGTGTGTACTGGCCGGGGTCCACACGAGGTATGGTTGGTCAGCCCTGCAACCCCACCCTGGGCATTCTGCTGCTTCCACTGCCGCTGTCTACGTGAGATAGAGTTCACAGACTGTGCTTTCTTGACCTGTTCAGGCTCAGGATCATCCCTTCTATCTTGGCGCCACCTCAGTTCTCACCAGCTCTGCAGTGACCTAGCGTTGGGCAGCAACTCCTCTGCAGTCCTGATCCCAATGCCCTACCCTGCAGCCTCGGCTACACAGCCACCCACACGGCCCCATCCCCTCCCAGTGGATGACACCTTCTGGCACGTTTCGCAACCAGGCTCCCTACAGAAAAGGTCCTTCAGTCTATAAGATAAGGGAACAACAGTCAGGCCCCCACTGTGCCAAAACAATCAGCCATGCAGTCAAGCTATGGATACAAGTTAGTCTCCCAGGCCTCACACAGGAAGCGACAACAAAGCCCAGTTTGCCTCAATCTACTACCTCCATCCCCTTCCATGGCTTTAGCCAGGGCGCTAAAGGGAAGCATATGTGCCTCACTGCCTCCTTCCCATTCCCCTCTCTCCCCTCTTCTTCCTACAGTTCTTCAGGCTGGAAGGGGCAGGTTTTCTTCTTTCCTCTTTCTCCTTGGTTAGAACATTGCCCTATTCTTTCCTCCCCTCCTCCTCTAGAGTTATAATGGTGAACACAGTGCAAAGAGACAGTAAAGAAGAAGGTGAGAGAAGGAGAGAGAGGGAGAGAGGCCAGGTTTAGGTCCATAAGGAGACCTACATTTTAAAGTGTTTCAAAAACACAGTATCCATTTTATTCAAAACAGATGAAAATGGAGGTCCTTCTGTTGAAGCCAGGATAAGGGACTCAGAACCCCATCTGCTTGTTGGGGTCCCCTTGCTCTTCTCAGGGCCCCTAAGGAACATCTAAGGAATCCTGATAATTTATTAAAACACATCAGGACAACCACTGATATCATCTCGGCAAACGTTTTCCAAAGGAACTTTCTGTGGTGGTGAAAATGTTTTATATCTACACTGTCTGCTATGGCAGCCACTAGCCACATGTGTCTATCAAGCACTTGAAATGGCACCAGTGTGACTAAGGAACTGAATTTTTAATTTTAATTAAGTACCATATTGGACAGTGCAGCCTAGCCCATTTATTTTACAAATAGGACCTTGAGGCCCAATATCATTCCACAGGCTAGTGACAGAGTTAGCATGAAGATGTAGTTTCCATGTTCTCTGTTGCTTTCTTCCTCAGCTCTCAGGCCCAGCTCACTGTTAGCCCAGTGCCCATCTGGCTGCTTCCACATTTAGTGAAGTGCACCAGGATTTAGTTATAACTTGCACTATTGTGCCATGAAACTCAGTTTGGCTCCAAACTGTGTTTTGTGTGTGTGTTTTGTTTTTTCTTGTTTTTGTTTTTTTTTTAGAAAGAAACTTGACCCCACTAGAACCTCATCCAGGTATAAAGACTTGAAGAACACTCCTATAAAAATTCCAAAATAGTATGGTCTCAGATATAACAATATCTGGAGTAGTGCCCTCATAGATACAGTGTTTTGAGTTTCCGTAAGTACAGGTGAATTTCTTCAACTCAAAATGTGCCTTCCTGACATGGCTTGATGACCACAGCAAAACGGCGCAACCTATTGAGAGAACATTAGGTTAGGAGACATGGGAGAGCAAGGAAAGCCTTTTCACTAACCAGCTGTGCATTCTTACTTGGGGACTTTACCTGTACGGGGCCTCAATTTCATTTTCTATTAAACACACTGCAATAACGCCTCCTCCCTTCTCTCAATGATGTTAGGAAGATAAATCAGCAAAATATATGAAATGTTCCATGTTCCTAAGAATAAAAGCACTCTATAAATTTTCTAGCATCTCATTATTTAACACAAAAACCAAGCTCCCCTGAATGTAAAGTAGTTAAAGTCAAGCTTCTTGTATCACTTTATACCAAAAATTATTACACCATTAACACACCATTAACCACGGGACTACACTGGTGTCCATTTTAACTAGAAATTCCATGTTGGAGTCATTCTTTTACTGTTATTCGGTAGAAGAACAATGATTCAAAATGACAGAACCCAAATTTCTATGCGATTTTCCGTTTCGGGGAGTGAGTGAAAGCATTAGATTTTTAAAGGACACTGTCATAATGTGTGCAGATGCTGACTTGCCAGCTAATAAGTTGAAAAGCTTAAAGGAAATAGGTATGGTATAGGATATCAGGAAAACTCAAATATAAACTCAATTATCTTTAATTTTTGCTGATACAGTAACAACAATAACAATGACACTCTGTCCTGTTATATCCAAAGATGAAACTGCAGAAACTCAGCTTTGGGGCATGTTGGTCTCACCCCAGATAACATTCCTTTGAGCTATGGGCACACCCGTGTCTGCGAGGGGGCTGAAGAGCAGGGCACCATTGCCATATGGAACAGAACAATGAAGTCTATCACCCCAGTATTCATCAGCATTATCTTCCTCCATACTGAGATTTAATCCGCAAGTGTCCTGATTATTTTTATCTAGTTTGCAGACTGAATTCATTTATAAGAGCTTTCTAATTGGATGCTGGTTTCTCAGAAGCAAAGAAGTAAAGACACAAAAGGTAAATTCCAATAATAAGATGCCTTTTAACCACAAAGTGTCAATACTGATAGAGACTTTCAGGATTATTTGGTGTACCTCTTCATTTTATCAGTAAAGTGATTTGGCCAATGTTACATGGCTATGTAGTGGCAGAGAAAGGACATGACCTTGGAGTTAAGGGAACCAACTGTCCTGGTTTGCCCAAAACCAAGGGAGTCTTGAGACATGAAACTTTTTGTTTTTAAAGCAGGACAAGCCGAGGCAATCTGTCTATATTTGCCTGGGACTGAGATGTTTCCTAGGATATGGGACTTTTGTGCTAAGATAGGGAAAGTCCCAAAGTGGGAGCAGTTGATCACCCTAAATCCAGTGCTCTCTTCACTACGTAAATCTTCTCCTTTTTTACCAGTCCCATAAAATGTTACAACTTCTACCCTCAAATTAATCCCAGCAAGAGCCCAGTGATAAGAAATGCAGTTTGATAGTTATTGCATTGCTGCATCCCCTCTAATAGGATAAAATTTTATCCATTAATTATAACACATAAATTATCAAAATCAGAGCCTCAAGAATCACTATATATTTTTAAAAATGAATTTGGGGGTCTTTAAATAATTACACTTTAAGAAAAACTCAAAAGGAGGCAAATGAGTATCATGAAAATGAGCATTAGGAAGCCAGTCCTTGTTTAAGTAGCAAATTATTATTATATGTCCGAACTAATCAAGTTGTCACTGCTAAGAACAGAAGGCCACAGTAGGCTCACAAAGTTATGCTAATTATCCTAAGAGTCAATTCAGAATGCAACCATTACTCAGGAAGCACTCCTCTGACTCTGTAATTGGCCTACAATTCCTGTGATTCCAGGGAAGACTTCAGAGTCTGTGTTTAAAACTCTTACAGCACTTCCCACAAAAGGGAGCTGGAACTGCTATTTCAGGTGCTTTGAGGGGCTTTGGGATTCTGGGTACATGAGATCTCCATTAATAACTAAGTTAGTTTTCTTCCCTTGAACATCCATCAACAACCTCTCAAAACCAGGCTATTAGGGATATTTGGCAGGAAATTGTTGCTGGATTAGACCAATCCTGTATCTGTGAAGTAATAGATTGATAGATTAACTAACCAGACACTTTGTCGGACACTTCATACACAGACATTCATATCCTCACGACCATTCTTCAAGGTGATTGTCATTATCCCACATTTATAAGTGAGGAAGCTGAAGCTCTGTGCACCCACTCACTGGCTCCAAGACCACAGAGCTAGTGGGTAGGACAGCCAGTTTGAGTTTGGGTCTCTCTAGTCTCTTTCTGTGAGTTGATGTCTTCCCTGACATACTCATCATCCGACAAGCTGCTCAGCTCCCATGCTCTGAGAAGGTTGGGTTTGTACAGGATAACTTGTATCATACTGAGCGTGTGGACGCAACTCTCATGGGCAAAGGGAAAAGGCAAATTGCCCTACTAAAAGGAAAGGAAATTGCACCTTACAGTTAAAGAGAGAAAAGGTTAACATATTTGCCAAAACCTTACACACTCACTAAAAAAAAAAAAAAAGAATAAATCAATTAAGGCATTTTGCAATATAGCTACAGTTAACAAACTATAAAATACAATGAACTTAATTTGATCTGCCATTTAAAAATCTCTTCCCCAGTTATGGGTGGCTAATGTCCCCAGACAAATTCCTACAGTCCAAAAGAACAAGTACCTGCAGTCCAAGGAACAAAATCTCTTGTCCCACTTAAAGTGGTTCTCTGGACATTTAGACTTTTAGGGGAAATATAATAAGAGACAACAAGCAAATTATAACTCACCAGGTGACAGGAATGGAAACCTGGAATATATGCTTTCCTGAAAACAACTGACAACCTTTGGCATTCCTCCTTTTTTATTTTCTCCCTTCAAAAACGCAACAAAATAAAGCCAAAAAAAAACTTCCAGTAATTTCAGCTGGAAAATGAACACTCCAGATCGCTCTCCTTCTCAAGGATGATGATGATATGATTCACCACCTCCTTACCTGGTTTGTATGAGTAAAATCATCAAGTACATGTTCTCGATATTTATAAAGACAAATTTACGATTCAATGGGCGATGCTGCACACAGCCAAAGGTTTCAATGCCCTAGCTCTTAATAAATCCCCTTGAGTCTTTGAAGCTTTTACAGCATGAGCATCTAAATAGCAAGTCCTCAGCCTCATGGGATTAAGCACTATTCATTTCCAACCCCGAGTTCTTGTCCTGCCGACTTTTCCATTTGTGCGTTGGCCAGGTGTTTCTGCCTCCTTTGTCCCAGCAGAGCTCTCGGGATAGACTTCTCTGTCATCATTCAGTATCTCCCTCCCTGCAGCAGGTCCACTGGTGAAGACAGGGCCTTTGAGAAAGCCAGGAAGCATGTCCAGAATTCCTACAAATTCTACCATTTTGTACAGAAATTACATGACTATTTTTAAAAACAAGATTTGAGAATTACAAATTCAGAATTATCAGGAGTTCTCACCGGACAAAATTGAAAGCAGGACAGTGGAGGGAAATTTCCTACACTCTAAATAATTGGAAGTGTAATCTTATAAAAAGATAATTTAAAAATGATTCATCTTACTTCTAAAAGGGCTCACAGAAAAGCTCTTAAAAAGCAATTCTCCCCAGTCCATTGCAAATACAATTCACATCTCAATTCAGTTAATACAGGAAGCTTTAGAAATTTGAGTCTTACAATGGAATATTGTGCTTCTACAAACTTCAAAAGGTTTGCACCAAGATGGAAAGTTCTTTGTGTAAGGGAATTCATCTGACCGAAATGACCAGAGACAAGGGGGCCTGTGTAGCTTTGAGGATGGGAAGGAGGTGTATGAGCAGTTCCCATGCCTCTGTGTGGTACCAGCTGCTCCTCCACCTCAAACCCAGGGCCCTGGTCAAGAAGCTCCTCTCTCCTACTTTGCCAGCTTGTTTTTAAGCTCATCCCCTAGTTTATTTGCAGTTCCCCTCAAGGTAGGTAGAGGAAACAGCACAAGATAAAATCAAAGCAATCATTGCTGCTGCTTTTGAGTAACTCTGATGAAAGACTTACTACATGAGAGAGGCTGTGGTCACCACTATCTACAATAGGGACTTAGGATTATATATGAATTTCAATTATTCATACTAAACCTATCTTCCTCTAGTCTGACTGCTAAGTCTCCAAAAAAGATAACCTGTTCCCTTCAGAGTCATGATCTCTGACGCTCTCAGCTTTTCTCTTTCTGCTAACGAGAAAACTGCTGAATCACTGGCTTGTTTTCTAGGCAACAAGACAATCTGGTTGCAAAATTCCTAAATCCTGTGAGTGCATCCCTTCTATCCCAGCCCAACAAAATGGTGGTTCTTACCTCCTTCTTTGTCCAGAGAGAGAGGACACTTATTCTTTTAAGCACCTTATTAACTTTCTCAACATTTTTTTGTCACTAAGGAGTCACTCTACACCCCTGGTACTAGCACTTCTCCAAAAAATAGTCAGAGCCAAGGAATGCTAGGGCTTCCTGGAACCATGCAGGGCCAGGATTCTTCTGTTTAGAAGCTGGCCAAATGATCATCAATTATTCCCAGGCCCTGCATTGATGATCAACCCTTTATTCACATCCAGCAATTTCCAATTGTCTGTCCAAGGGGCTGTCTAGGTCCATATCTGAAAACATGAAAAGCAAGATGTGGAGAGGAAGCAGAGAGAATTGCCACAAGCACTAGGCTGGCAGTCAGAAAATGACATGCCGTTTGTCAAATGGTAAGGCAAAAATCTGAACTCAAGTCCGTTTCGCCCTAAACCCCATGATCTTAACCACAATTATCCTACTTCCTATATTAGTAACATGCTAACGTTATCACACATGAACTGTACACTGAGTGCATGACTGGGCATTGCTATACCCAATTTTTAGAGAAACTGACTTAGTTAAGTGCCAGTAAGTGGTGATACCGATATTTGAGCCCAGTCTGGTCAGACTCCAAAACCAGCTGTGGTGCCATTCAAACATCCAATGAGCAGAGGCAGACTGTAATGAGAGAAGGGAAATGAGACTCCAAACAGCACCCAGGGCTCTAGAGGATCAGTGATGACTAAGCCAGAGCACAACTGACTATGCTGGGAGAGGTATGGAGACAATGGTGGTGGTGGCAGCTGCAGGCTGGGAGCAGATCAGCAGTGCTTCTGTATTCTATGGCATGCCTTGGAAACTTCAAAAAGCAAAGAGATATTCCACACTCTCAAGGAGCTACAGTGGGAAGAAGCTAGAGCAGACTCAATTGGCATCAACAGCAGGAGACTATGCCTAGGCAGCAGCCTGAAGCCAGGAGGAGGGTCAAAGCAAAGCCAGAGAGGCAGCTCTTCTGGAACACATGGGGCATGTCGAGTGGACAGGAAGTTGGTGTAGCACCAGGCAGTGTCTAGACCCAGCAGCCACAAGGTAGTGGACCATAAACTTCATGGCATTCAAAGTCAGCCTCCAACAAAACACAAACCAGTTAGCCTGGTTAAAAGCAGAGGCTAGAGGAGAAGGAAAGTGTAAAGACCCAGGAAATCTGAGTAGGAGCTCAAACGAAGGGGGCTCTCGACAAGAACATAACCCCTGACTCCCAACAGCAAGCATGGCCTGACAGAAAGAGGCTCCCTGGCCCCAGGGAGGCCTCCAAGCAGGCAAGAAGCCAGTGATGAGATGTGTCTAACTTAAAATCAGATGTGTCACCAGGAAGCTCCAAAAAAAAAAAGGGCATGCCTGTTTTCAGCAACTCATTCTCTTAAAGGTCATTATCTTGGATATAATTGAAAATTTTAAATACCAAATTATACATAAAAGCCTGCCTCGGATGCAAATCAGAATAGCGTAGAAGGTTAATCTCAGTCCTTTTGCCAAAAATCACATTATTAATGGTGATGTGTATAAAGCATTGCGGTGCGTGACCTAGAGCCCAGGAGACCCGCAGAGTCTGGGAATAAGCCCTAGAATAAACCTCTGCTTTGTTTTCCCTACTTTAGCCCAGCCTCCATTTCATTCCCTACTAACTCCAGCCCCTAACCCTCAGACTCTCCACTTAATTCTGATCAGAGATCGTAATGTGAATACACGGGTATGCAAAAAAAAAAAAAAAAAAAAAAAAAAAAAGGGCAGTATAGGAACTTACATATAAGAGGGAAAAGAGAAAAGAGAAGGAAGGCACTATCTCACGTCCCAAGGCAATGACCTGAAACGCAATGAGAGGGGTGCAGGTAAAGATTGAGTGCACGGACAATGGCTCAGACAGGAGCTGATAGCCACCTTCTTCAGCAGCAGACATGGAATTTCTGAATCATAAATCAGCATTTATCCCGACCCCCTTGGATGTGTGGGGAATTAATTGGACAGAGAAAAAAAGATGCTTTCACTGGCATTGAGGAAACTTCACTTTTGTAAACCTTTATGGGCATTTATAGTTTTAAAAGCTTGTCTCAGAACTGAAGTCCAATGTCAGGGCAAGGCAGAAGAGGACTCTTCATTCCTAGGGGTATAAGTCTCAAAAATCTCTCTTCTCCCATTGGCTCCACACTGTGCCCCTTCTCAAATGGTACAAGAAAGTTCAAGGGAGCTGCAAGGAAGGTCTTAGACTAGCGCTTACACTTGTGACCAGGACACTACCCAGCACTTCTGAGGTTACAGACTTTATCCCAATCATGAGTCATGGTCTCTTAGGATCACTTGAGGCCAAGCATCTGGGAAGAATAGCAATAATAACATGTTATCATAAAGCCTAAAATACCACCAACTATGAAATGCATTCTGGTTTCAGAGATAAAATATGAAAGAATGGCCTATGGTCATTATAAAATGATATTCATCGTAAAACTCATCCCAATTTCAGAGATACTAAAATGGAAGAAAGTGCATCTTAGCATCTATGAAATTCAGCAATACCACCTATGGTTGGTACTATTAAAGTTAAAGATGTTCTTGTGAAACACCTTCATACCTTCTAAAATTAGGTAAGACCATGTGACGGGTTTCAGCCAATGAATATGGGCAGAAGTGAATGTCACTTTTAGCCAACGTATGTAATTGTCAATGTTTGACTCTCCAGAACCCTCCTCTCCTGCTGCAGTAATCATGGAAGCACATGGTGGGTGGACACGGATCACAAATCACTAGAGAAAGATGGAAACTTCATCAGCTTGGATCTCTTAGAAACTTCAACGAGAAGAGTCCCCCTGCCAATCCAACACTGCTATTTTTTGTTTAATGGAGTCTCACTCACTCTGTCACCCAGGCTGGAGTGCAGTGGTGCAATCTCAGCTTACTGCAATCTCCGCCTCCCGGGTTCAAGTGATCCTCCTGCCTCAGCCTCCCGAGTAGCACCTGCCACCACACCTGGCTAGTTTTTGTATTTTTAGTAGGCAAGGCTGGTCTCGAACTCCTGACCTCAAGAGATCCATTCACCTTGGCCTCCCAAAGTGCTGGGATTACAGGCGTGAGCCACCACGCATAGCCAACATTGCCATTTTTTAATAGTGGTAACAAAAAATACAATTTGGTTATTTTGGCCAAGCACTGTAGCTCATACCAATAATCATAGCACTTTGGGAGGCAGAGGCAGGAGGATCACTTGAGGCCAGGAGTTCAAGAACAGCCTGGTCAACATAGGGAGAACCCATCTATTAAAAATTAAAAGTTAAAAATTGTTGCTACATTAAGCACCTAAACTTCTGAAGCTGTTTGTCACCACAGCATAACCTAGCCTCTCCTGACTGAAATTGCATCTTGCATTTAAATAAGTCATTATCTCATTTGTCTTTAAAACTATACATTTGGGCAGGCAAGGCATGCCCTATTCTCATTTTAAAGATAAAGAAGTTCTTCCACTTGTTTGTATCCTCTTTTATTTCATTGAGCAGTGGTTTGTAGTTCTCTTTGAAGAGGTCCTTCACATCCCTTGTAAGTTGGATTCCTAGGTATTTTATTCTCTTTGAAACAATTGTGAATGGGAGTTCACTCATGATTTGGCTCTCTGTTTGTCTGTTATTGGTGTATAAGAATGCTTGTGGTTTTTGCACATTAATTTTGTATCCTGAGACTTTGCTGAAGTTGCTTATCAGCTTAAGGAGATTTTGGGCTGAGACGATGGGGTTTTCTAGATATACAATCATGTCGTCTGCAAACAGCGACAATTTGACTTCCTCTTTTCCTAATTGAATACCCTTTATTTCCTTCTCCTGCCTGATTGCCCTGGCCAGAACTTCCAACACTATGTTGAATAGGAGTGGTGAGAGAGGGCATCCCTGTCTTGTCCCCTTTTTCAAAGGGAATGCTTCCAGTTTTTGTCCATTCAGTATGATATTGGCTGTGGGTTTGTCATAGATAGCTCTTATTATTTTGAGATAGGTCCCAAACCTGACAAAAACAAGAAATGGGGAAAGGATTCCCTATTTAATAAATGCTGATGGGAAAACTGGCTAGCCATATGTGGAAAACTGGCTAGCCATATGTGGAAAGCTGAAACTGGATCCCTTCCTCACACCTTATACAAAAATTAATTCAAGATGGATTAAAGACTTAAATGTTAGACCTAAAACCATAAAAAACCCTAGAAGAAAACCTAGGCAATACCATTCAGGACATAGGCAAGGGCAATGACTTCATGTCTAAAACAGCAAAAGCAATGGCAACAAAAGCCAAAATTGACAAATGGGATCTAATTAAACTAAAGAGCTTCTGCACAGCAAAAGAAACTACCATCAGAGTGAACAGGCAACCTACAGAATGAGAGAAAATTTTTGCAATCTACTCATCTGACAAAGGGCTAATATCCAGAATCCACAATGAACTCAAACAAATTTACAAGAAAAAAACAAACCCATCAACAAGGGGGCAAAGGGTATGAACAGACACTTCTCAAAAGAAGATATTTATGCAGCCAAAAAACACATGAAAAAATGCTCACCATCACTGGCTATCAGAGAAATGCAAATCAAACCCACAATGAGATAACATCTCACACCAGTTAGAATGGCGATCATTAAAAACTCAGGAAACAACAAGTGCTGGAGAGGATGTGGAGAAATAGGAACAATTTTATACTGTTGGTGGGGCTGTCAACTAGTTCAACCACTGTGGAAATCAGTGTGGCGATTCCTCAGGGATCTAGAACTAGAAATACCATTTGATCCAGCCATCCCATTACTGGGTATATACCCAAAGGATTATAAATCATGCTGCTATAAAGACACACCCACACATATGATTATTGCGGCACTATTCACAATAGCAAAGACTTGGAACCAACTCAAAATGTCCAACAATGATAGACTGGATTAAGAAAATGTGGCACATATACACCATGGAATACTATGCAGCCCTAAAAAATGATGAGTTCATGTCCTTTGTAGGGACATGGATGAAGCTGGAAACCATCATTCTCAGCAAACTATCGCAAGGATAAAAAACCAAACACCACATATTCTCACTCACAGGTGGGAATTGAACGATGAGAACACATGGACACAGGAAGGGGAACATCACACTCTGGGGACTGTTGTGGGGTTGGGGGAGGGGGGAGGGATAGCATTAGGAGATATACCAGTGCTAAATGACGAGTTAATGGGTGCAGCACACCAACATGGCAAATGTATACATATGTAACAAACCTGCACGTTGTGCACATGTACCCTAAAACTTAAAGAAGTTGAGACTCAAAAAGATTGACTGAATTGACCAAAGTCACATAGCTAGCATGGACTAATGTTTTTGGCACTAGGATTCATGTTCTCTAACTAAAAGAATCAGCCTCACAGTGTCCCATCTGTCTCTATCCTCTCTTCTGCAGCTCCAACTACTTGCTCCACTGCTCGGATGAATTGATATATAAACATACTTACCTTCTTTGGGCAAATGGATTTTGAATCTCAATCTCTTTCCTTTAAGCAGCAGAAAAACATTGAAGAACCTGGCCAACAATTGGATTTAAGACTTAGAATAAGGCTGGGCTTGGTGGCTCATGCCTGTAATCCCAGCACTTTGGGAGGCCAAGGCAGGCAAATCACCTGAGGTCAGGAGTTCAAGATCAGCCTGGCCAACATGGTGAAACCCTGTCTCTACCAGAAATACAAAAAATTAGCTGGGCGCGGTGCCAGTCACCTGTATTCCCAGCTACTTGGGAAGCTGAGGCAGGAGGATCACTTGAACCCAGGATACAGAGGTTGCAGTGAGACCAGATCATGCCACTGCACTCCACCCCAGGTGAAAAAAAAAAAAAAAAGAATAAGAGTGACATCTCAGGCATGGCTGTGAATGCCAAAGTAATATATGTGTAGCTGACCCAAGAATTGATAAGTTCTAGAAAGGCAGAGATAAATGTCAAGATGAAGAGTATTTTCACAATCAGTGGGTATAGTAAGGGATGAAGGGAATGAGAGAGAATATAAAGAAGATATATTCTTCATGTTCTTCATTTCACCTCGCTTTCTTGAAGATGCTTTACATTCTGAGTGGAAAACTTGATCCAGTCTCTAGTTGCTATAAAGTTGGCAGCAATCACATGATCACACCTAGGAAATTCTAATCTCTTGTGAAGACACATAAGGCAGGAGACTCCCTCAATATGAATAGGCAGCCTCCTGGGGCTCCTGACCCCATCACTCACTCAGATTACATTCTGTGCCTAGAACTCCAAATTATACAGATGGAAATGATTTCCCTGAATCAACAATGTTACTTCATTTCTCAACTAGAGAAAGGAGCTTACCTAGAGTCAATTCCTGAGGCCAAAATACAAAACCACCAGCTGGTGTCAACAACTGGCTTCCGCAGTTTGCCCTTAGTGAGTGCCTCCAAGTAGTCTAATGTTTACATTCAAGAAAAGAAAATGAACTTCATCATTTTTATAATGCTCTTTTTTATCACACTCTCTCTATCAAAAGGCTCTGAGCCCTGAGCATAATGCCCTCCCACAGCAGTGGTTTTGCTTAGAGTCCATGCTTGGTTAAGCACCAATTGTGCTTATGAAACTGTCAGTGTGAAACTGTCCACAGGACAAGCATATCAGGAGCCAGAGTTGTGAGCATGACTCTGGCAGCCCTCTGAAATTCTAAGCAAAGAAATGCTTATAAAATTACTATGTTTCCATTTCCCTTGTCTGATACCCCAGCAACTGTGGCTGCCTTCAGTAACTCTGCTCTATAGACATCCGTATACAAAAAGAATGCTTTCTGAGTTGTATACAGCTTCCCTGGGATGAGACCACAGGATTTTGTTAATGCTACGCATTTTCTTCTTAGAATGGCAGTCTTTCCCCTTATTATTTTTTTGGCAAGATAGTAAATCTGATCACCATAGAGCCTAGGGGATTCTCTAGGTGTATAAGAATGGATATTTATGTTGTTTTTTGTAGTAAATGTCCAGTAAGGCAGAAACCAAAGTACTATTTCCACAGCAAAGCTTTGGCTATCAATTCCATAGGTAGAGTGCAAGATGATCTACAGCTGTAGAATCCTTGAACACTGGTGTTTAACCACTTAGGAGTCTTCAGCCCCTTCAAAAACTGGACCTCTCTCCAGTAAAATGTACACAGGCACACACAAAGGCTGTTTGTAATTTCAGGATCTTTACATTCCCCTAAAGCCACCCATGTCTTCCCTGCTTTGACCCTACTCTTACCTCCCCTTCCCCAAGAAAGGGGAATACTCACGCAGAAGATGCCAGCTCACTCCATCTGATGGTTCTGCCCCCTTTCTCCAGGTAATTCATTACCTACCACAACCAAGGGCACTCTCCTTAATTCCTCTGAAACTCAGCTCCCTCAAAAAAGGGGAACCATAATATGTGTCCATCTACCTTATGGGATATTGTGCAAACCAAAAATGGGAAGAAGCATAAATATACTGTGAATTATAGATTAAACATTGCATATCTGCAATATTGGTGAAGAGTACATGTGTCAGCTATAATGGGCTCTGATCCATCCTGTTTCCAGCCTCTTCCATCTACATTTTTCTGAACATACCAAATTGCTGATATGGTTTTTTTTTCCTAAAGGCTTCTGGATTCACAGTGCATGCCTTTGAAAATGAGGATATGTGTGAGGGAAACTACAAGACTGTCAATTCTTTAATGACAGTGTATTGGCACCCAGGGAACAGCAAACGCTGCTGCAATCCCAATAATTCAGAAGCCTCCATAAATCATCCTGATGAGGAAGAAAAGCTAAAGCAGCGATAGTGCTTTCTGCCTTCTAGAAG
This sequence comes from Homo sapiens, assembly GCF_000001405.40. Taxonomy (NCBI): domain Eukaryota; kingdom Metazoa; phylum Chordata; class Mammalia; order Primates; family Hominidae; genus Homo; species Homo sapiens. The sequence goes on from NC_000002.12 coordinate 41,743,628, forward strand.
ACATAATGAATGGTTTAAAGGTTTCTTTAAGGGTGGCTTAGTTTTCCAATAACCCATCCCTCAATACCACCATCCCAAGCTGTCAAGTATAAACAGAGACCTCAAAGTTAGGACATAGAGAAAAATAAAGATGATAAAATATTATTCTGCACATAATAGAGAACCCAGAAATAAAGCCAAATACTTATAACCAACTAATATTCTACAAAGCATACAAGAACATAAATTGGGGAAAGGATACCCTATTTAATAAATGGTAGTAGGGAAACTGGCTACCCACATGCAAAAGGATGAAACTGGATCCCTATCCCTCACCCTATACAAAAATCAACTCAAGATGGATCAAAGACTTAAATCTAAGGCCTGAAGCCATAATAATTCTAGAGGATAACTGATAGGCTTTGGCTCTGTGTCCCCATGCAAATCTCATCTCGAACCCTACATGTCGAGGGAGGGAGCTGGTGGGAGGCGATTAGATCATGGGGGAGGTTTTCCCCATTTGTTCTGGTGATAGTGAACGAGTTCTTATGAGATCTGATGATTTTATAAGTGGTGGTTTCCCTGCTCTCTCTCTCCTGTCACTTTGTGAAGAAGTTGCCTGCTTCCCCTTTGCCTTCTGCCATGATTATAAGTTTCCTGAGGCCTCCCCAGCCATGTGGAACTGTGAGTCAATTAAACCTCTTTTGTTTACAAAATATCCAGTCTCAGATATTTCTTTACAGCAGTGTGTAAACGAACTAATACAGTAACCTTGGAAAAACTCTTCTGGATGTTGACCAAGGGAAAGAATTCATGACTAAAACCCCAACAGAAAATGAAACATAAATAAAAACAAACAAACAGGACCTGACTAAACTAAAAAGCTTCTGCACAGCAAAAGAAATAATTGTCACAGTAAACAGACAATTCACAGAATGGAAGAAAATATTTGCAAACTATGCATTCAACAAAGGACTGCTACCTATAATCTATAAGGAACTCAAACAAATTAGCAAGAAAAAAATAATAATCTCATCAAAGGTGGGCAAATGACATGAATAGACATTTCTCAAAATAAGGCCAGGAAACATATGAAAAAAATGCTCAGTGTCACTAATCATCAGGTGATACGGCTTAGCTGTGTCCCCACCCAAATCTCATCTTGAATTCATGTGTGTCGTAGGAAGGACACAGTGGGAGGTAATTGAATCATGGGGGCAGGTCTTTCCCGGGCTGTTCTCATGATAGCGAATAAGTCTCACCAAATCTGATGGTATTATAAAGGGGAGTTTCCCTGCCCAATCTCTCTCTTTTTGCCTGCTGCCATCCACGCAAGACATGACTTGCTCCTCCCTGCCTTCTGCCATGATTGTGAGGCTTCCCCAGCCACGTGGAACTGTAAGTCCAATTACACCTCTTTTTTTTTTTTTTTTTTTTGTAAATTGCCCAGTCTCTGGTATATCTTTATCAGCAGCGTGAAAATGGACTAATAAATCAGGAAAATGCAAATTCAAACCACGATGACATACAACCTTACTCCTGCAAAAATGATCATTATTAAAAAGTCAAAAAAAAAAAACAACAACAGATGTTGGCTTGGATGTGGTGAAATGGGGACACTTATACACTGCTGGTGGGGATGTAAATTAGTACACCCTCTATAGAAAACAGTATGGAGATTCCTTAAAGAACTAAAAGTAAATCTATCATCCAATCCAGCAATCCCACTACTGGGTATCTACCCAAAGGAAAATGCATTATGTGAAAAAGACACAGGCACACATATGTTTATTGCAGCACAATTTGCAATTGCAAAGATGTGGAACCAACCTAAGTGCCCATAAACCAATGAGTGGATAAAGAAAGTGTGGTATATATATACACCATGGAATACTACTCTGCCATAAAAAAGGAATAAAATAATGTATTTTTCAGCAACTTAAAAGGAGCTAGAGGCCATCATTCTAAGTGAACTAACCCAGGAAAGGAAAACCAAATACCATATGTTTTCACTTATAAGTGAACGCTAAGCTATAAGTACACAAAGGCATACGGAGTGATATAATGAATTTTGGAGACTGAGATGGGAAGGAAGGGATAGGAGTGTGAGATAAAAAAAAAAACTACATATTGGGTACAACATACACTGCTCAGGTGATGGGTGCGCTAAAATCTCATAATTCACCACTATATAATTCACCCATATAACCAAAAACCACTTGTACTCCAAAAGCTATCCAAATTTTTAAAAATATTTTAAATAAAAAATTATCCTGCATTTGTCTTATCCTTTTTGCATATGAACTGCTTTAATAGATTAAGAGTATTTATTTGTACCAATTTTTTATTTGTTAGGGTAGGCTAACTGCTACAACGAATATACCCCAAGATGTGTAAAAACCTCACATGCGCTCTCCCTCTCCCTCTCCCTCTCCCTCTCCCTCTCCCTCTCCCTCTCCCTCTCCGTCCCTCCCTCTCCGTCTCCGTCTCCGTCTCCGTCTCCCTCTCCCCACGGTCTCCCTCTCATGCGGAGCCGAAGCTGGACTGTACTGCTGCCATCTCGGCTCACTGCAACCTCCCTGCCTGATTCTCCTGCCTCAGCCTGCCGAGTGCCTGCGATTGCAGGCACGCGCCGCCACGCCTGACTGGTTTTGGTGGAGACGGGGTTTCGCTGTGTTGGCCGGACCGGTCTCCAGCCCCTAACCGCGAGTGATCCGCCAACCTCGGCCTCCCGAGGTGCCGGGATTGCAGACGGAGTCTCGTTCACTCAGTGCTCAATGGTGCCCAGGCTGGAGTGCAGTGGCGTGATCTCGGCTCACTACAACCTCCACCTCCCAGCCGCCTGCCTTGGCCTCCCAAAGTGCCGAGATTGCAGCCTCTGCCCGGCCGCCACCCCGTCTGGGAAGTGAGGAGTGTCTCTGCCTGGCCGCCCATCGTCTGGGATGTGAGGAGCCCCTCTGCCCGGCCGCCCAGTCTGGGAAGTGAGGAGCGTCTCCGCCCGGCCGCCATCCCATCTAGGAAGTGAGGAGCGCCTCTTCCCAGCCGCCATCACATCTAGGAAGTGAGGAGCGTCTCTGCCCGGCCGCCCATCGTCTGAGATGTGGGGAGCGCCTCTGCCTCACCGCCCCATCTGGGATGTGAGGAGCGCCTCTGCCCGGCCGAGACCCCGTCTGGGAGGTGAGGAGCGTCTCTGCCCGGCCGCCCCGTCTGAGAAGTGAGGAGACCCTCTGCCTGGCAACCACCCCGTCTGAGAAGTGAGGAGCCCCTCCGCCCGGCAGCTGCCCCGTCTGAGAAGTGAGGAGCCTCTCCGCCCAGCAGCCACCCCATCTGGGAAGTGAGGAGCATCTCCGCCCGGCAGCCACCCCATCCGGGAGGGAGGTGAGGGGGGGTCAGCCCCCGCCCGGCCAGCCGCCCCATCCGGGAGGGAGGTGGGGGGTCAGCCCCCCGCCCGGCCAGCCGTGCCATCCGGGAGGGAGGTGGGGGGGTCAGCCCCCCGCCCGGCCAGCCGCCCGGTCCGGGAGGTGAGGGGCGCCTCTGCCCGGCCGCCCCTACTGGGAAGTGAGGAGCCCCTCTGCCCGGCCAGCCGCCCCGTCCGGGAGGGAGGTGGGGGGGGTCAGCCCTCCGCCCGGCCAGCCGCCCCGTCTGGGAGGTGAGGGGCGCCTCTGCCCGGCCGCCCCTACTGGGAAGTGAGGAGCCCCTCTGCCCGGCCAGCCGCCCCGTCCGGGAGGGAGGTGGGGGGGTCGGCCCCCCGCCCGGCCAGCCGCCCCGTCCGGGAGGGAGGTGGGGGTGTCGGCCCCCCGCCCGGCCAGCCGCCCCGTCCGGGAGGGAGGTGGGGGGGGTCAGCCCCCCTGCCCGGCCAGCCGCCCCGTCCGGGAGGTGAGGGGCGCCTCTGCCCGGCCACCCCTACTGGGAAGTGAGGAGCCCCTCTGCCCGGCCAGCCGCCCCGTCCGCAAGGGAGGTGGGGGGGTCAGCCCCCCGCCCGGCCAGCCGCCCCGTCCGGGAGGGAGGTGGGGGGGGTCAGCCCCCCTGCCCGGCCAGCCGCCCCGTCCGGGAGGGAGGTGGGGGGGGTCAGCCCCCCTGCCCGGCCAGCCGCCCCGTCCGGGAGGTGAGGGGCGCCTCTGCCCAGCCGCCCCTACTGGGAAGTGAGGAGCCCCTCTGCCCGGCCAGCTGCCCCGTCCGCGAGGGAGGTGGGGGGGTCAGCCCCCCACCCGGCCAGCCGCCCCGTCCGGGAGGGAGGTGGGGGGGGTCAGCCCCCCTGCCCGGCCAGCCGCCCCGTCCGGGAGGGAGGTGGGGGGGGTCAGCCCCCCTGCCCGGCCAGCCGCCCCGTCCGGGAGGTGAGGGGCGCCTCTGCCCGGCCGCCCCTACTGGGAAGTGAGGAGCCCCTCTGCCTGGCCAGCCGCCCCGTCCGGGAGGGAGGTGGGGGGTCAGCCCCCCGACCGGCCAGCCGCCCCGTCCGGGAGGGAGGTGGGGGGGTCAGCCCCCCGCCCGGCCAGCCGCCCCATCCGGGAGGTGAGGGGCGCCTCTGCCCGGCCGCCCCTACTGGGAAGTGAGGAGCCCCTCTGCCCGGCCACCACCCCGTCTGGGAGGTGTGCCCAACAGCTCATTGAGAACGGGCCAGGATGACAATGGCGGCTTTGTGGAATAGAAAGGCGGGAAAGGTGGGGAAAAGATTGAGAAATCGGATGGTTGCCGTGTCTGTGTAGAAAGAAGTAGACATGGGAGACTTTTCATTTTGTTCTGCACTAAGAAAAATTCCTCTGCCTTGGGATCCTGTTGATCTGTGACCTTACCCCCAACCCTGTGCTCTCTGAAACATGTGCTGTGTCCACTCAGGGTTAAATGGATTAAGGGCGGTGCAAGATGTGCTTTGTTAAACAGATGCTTGAAGGCAGCATGCTCGTTAAGAGTCATCACCAATCCCTAATCTCAAGTAATCAGGGACACAAACACTGCGGAAGGCCGCAGGGTCCTCTGCCTAGGAAAACCAGAGACCTTTGTTCACTTGTTTATCTGCTGACCTTCCCTCCACTATTGTCCCATGACCCTGCCAAATCCCCCTCTGTGAGAAACACCCAAGAATTATCAATAAAAAAATAAATTAAAAAAAAAAAAAAAAAAAAAAAACCTCACATGCAATTAGAGTCCATTTCCCTCTCAGATAAAAAGTTCAGGGTATTTCCTGTTTGGTTCCACAGAATTGTATGGGGCTTCAGAATGATGGAGGCTCTGCCATCCTCACCATATGGTATTTTGTCCTAGCGTCAATATGTTGTAGGCAAGGAGGAAAAGGGCAGATAGAATTAGGTTTAGGAGATTTAATGGGGCAGACCTGGGAGGGAGGCATAGCTCTTCCTCTCACATTCCATTAGCTACACTGAACTTTAGGAGAAACTCAGAAATGTAATCTAGCTATATATCTCGGAAAAAGAGGGAATGGATTTTCATAGCATCTAAGTCTTTCTTCCCAGAAGTCATTTAAAATTAATTATTTTGAAATCAATTTCTGACCATTATTGGGGGCCATTATTCAGCCTGCCATAGGGCACTTGAAGAAACTCCAGCCAAGAGAGCTACTTTTCCTAAAAGATATACTGTGAATCTTGAAGATGTTACTAGTTGTTATATGAGTGGGAAAGTTTTCTTGAAAAAGTTAGCTTGGGAAAATTGGATTAAGCAAAATTAAGCAGTTTTTCTTTACTTCTCAGAGCCTCAAGTGAGACTCTAAGATAAAACATAGTTGCAACTTATAGGAGCCCTGAATCATTTGTTTCCACAGAGTATCTTGCAAAACTGATATTGTATGTGACAAGTTCTAAGTGGCACTGCATCTGAGGTATTTGAAAAACTGTCATGTAAAAAAATAAAGTGGACTTGTGCAAGTCTTTGGATGTGAAACCGGGAACAAATGACAAAGAAAATGTGGTATATATACATCATGGAATACTATGCAGTCATAAAAAAGAATGAAGTCCTATCTTTTGCAGTAACATATGGAGGTAAAGGCCATTATCTTAAGCGAACTAACTCAGCAGAAAGTCAAATATCACATGTTCTCACTTATAAATGGGAGCTAAATAATGGGTACACAAGAACATAAAGATTGTGTGAAAAAAAAAGAAAGTGACGAAAGGTCAGGTTTTGGCTCAGTAATCAGCACTCTAAGAATCTGCTAAAACAAGATAAACTTCTCCAAAATGCAGCGAATTTCAAAAAGTATTCATTTCAGAAAGTAATCATGATGGTCTGTATCAGCATTTCTCAGATTTTCCTATGAATATGCATCATCTTGGGGTCTTGGTAAAATGCAGATTTTTACTCCACATATCTGGGTTAAGGCCTGTGATTCAGTGACAGTGATGTTTCTGGAGGATGAAGAGAGATGCAAGCATTGGATACATGGTTAGACCGAAGAATCTTTATTTTTTTTTAAATCCTTCTTCCAATTCTGAGGTCTCTGAACTATTAGATTAGCAGAGCCTTCCTGATTATTGAGAATTTATCCTTAACACGGAGCATAAAATAATAAAACAGTAAACTATGGGATGCTTGATATTACAACATAAAAAGTATAACCAAGTCAGTAAGTTTTGTGTGATAGAAGAGATTTCTTTCCAGATTTGTTAATACAAATTTGTGAAGCTTATTATTCATTCAGTACCTGGGATTCAGACACAGACACACAGATACATATGCACAAAAACATAGGCATATAGATAGGGACATATAGACACAGACACGTAGACATAGCCATATAGACAAAGACATAGACACAGACATAGATGTAGATATAGAATATAGATGTAGTCACAGACACACAGATATAGACATATAGACATACATGTGTATGTAGACATGTGTGTATATAGACATACATAGACATATAGATAGGGACATATATACTCAGATATACAGACACAGACACATAGAAATAGACACAGAGGCATAGAAATAGACACAGACATAGACACACAGACATAGGCATATAAAAACATAGACATATAGATATATAGACACAGACATATAAACATAGACATGGATATATAGACATATAAACATAGAAATATAGGCATAGATATGTAGACACAGACACAGACATATAGACATAGGCATGGACATACAGACATAGACATATAAACAAAGACATAGATATAGACATATAGACATAGGTACAGACATAGCATAGACATATAGAGATAGATATATAACTTATACATCTGTTTTAATTTTGATCAGTTATATACTTGGAAACCGGGTAAATGAGCTTCTTAGAATTGTGTATGGAATGAGGATAAATCCATTTTGAATTGCAGCATAATACTGGCCGATTTTATTGGGTCAGACTAATGATAAGCTAATATTGATTAATTCAATAAACATTATAGTATCTACTATGTGCCAGATAAGGCACTGGGCACTGCAGAGTCAGAAGTGGGCAAAACAGCCATGATCTCAGCTTTCATGGAACTTAGACCCTAAACAAATAATCACCAAGTTAAACAATAACAACCGTGAAAAGTATTATGGACTGGATTTAGTAGGGACACCTAAGAGTATAGGAAGCATGGGAATAAAAAAAATTAGGCTATATCATATTAGACTAGGGAATGTCTTAGAACTAGCTACGAAAGCTCAGTTCTACTTGCCTTTCAGAAATTTCTCCAGAAGGAATGGCAAAAAATCAAACTATTTTTCTTAAGTGGGTGAATGTCAAGAGACTGGCAAAAAGCCCCAGAAAAGAAAATGCAATGCCTCTGCCCAATATGTTGATTCTTTACAGGGCCGTAAGAGAGGGGAATTCTTCCCTTCTACTTTCAAATCTTCTGAACACTGAAGAGACATTTTTAAAGTAATAATAATAACGATGACGCAGAAGCATTTCTGCCTAGAGCACCTACTCCCTACCTAAAGGACCCACCCAGAGGGATAAAATGACAGTAAGTAGAAGGCTTGTTCTAGTTTCTTCCTGGTGTCCAAAGGACACTTTTTTGTTGCCACCATTTGTGGTATATATGTTTCCTAGTGAATTATTGACCCATTACTATTCAATAGAAATTTACAAACTTGTGATTAGTCTTAACTGCTTTTGTGTGGGAATGAAGGAATCACTATTCCTTAATTTTTATTAGTGTATAGTATTATATATCACAATTTATTTATTCATTCTATTGATGGACATTTGGGTTGTTTCAGATTTGATGCTATTAAGAATAAGATAGCACCAAACATTCTGGAACATTTAGTGTACGATTATACACAATTGTTTGGGGCATATATACAGAGAAGTAGAATTGCTCTGTCATAGGGTATACATATATGTTCAGCTTTTATAGACATTGCTACTTTTTCCAAGGTGATATTACCAATTTATGCCTCCAAACAGTAGCATGTGAAAGTTCCACTTGTTCCACATTTTCACTTAGTATGGTCTTTTTCACTTTAGTCTGGCAAGTAAGTAGAAATATAACATTATGATGTGAATTTGCATTTCCCTGTTGATTAACGAGTTTGAGCAACTTTTCTTCTTTCTTGGGTGTTGGATATCCTTTTTGGGAAAGGAGTATTTTCATGTATTTTTGTTACTTTCTTTTGGGTTCTCTGTTTTTTATGGATTTGTAGGAGTATTTTGGTTTTGGTCAATATGAGTTATTTGCAGTCATATATATTGCAAGTACATTTTATCACTCAATAGCTTGCTTTCTGTCTTTCTTAATGGTTTCATTTAATGAATAAAGGATCCTAATTTTGTATGGTTAGTGCTCTTTTTTCCCACATGGTTATAGTGATATTCTCCTATACTTCCAGAAACTTAATTTTATCTTTCACATTTAAAACTATAATACACCTAGGGTTGGTTTTTTCACTTGTATGTTTATGGAAAATTTCAAACTTATAAGAAATTTAAAGAATATAATAAATTCCAGTGAATCTCAGACCCATCCAAATTGTCAATTGATAGCCAATCTTGTTTCATTTATACCCACATTTACTTCTCTCTTACTCTGGGTTATTTTGAAGCAAATCTCAGACATATACTTCAGTATTTACATCTAATATATAAGGACTCTTTTTAACCAAATAATATAATCATATCAACTTTTTAAATTTTTTTAAGTTTTGTTATTATTACATATTCAGGAAATATTAAAATTTCTCCAATTGTCTCACAATTGTTTTTTGCTATAGTTGCTTTTCTCAAATCAGAAGTTGGATAAGGTATACACATTTCATTGGGTTGATATGCCTCTAAAAATTATTTTTACTCTATACATTTCCCTGTTTTTTTTTCTTAAAAAAGCATTTATTTAAGAAACTACGTCATTTGTCCTGTAGAATTCCTTTCATTCAGATTTGATAATTTGCTAACGTCATTTAATATGTCTCTGTCCCTGTATTTTCTGCAAATTGTAGTTAGACCCAGAGGCCTGATTAGATTTAGTTGATTTGGGGAGACAAGAATATTTCACAGGTGGTGCTGTGTGCTTCCTACTGTACAGCATTGACACACCTAGATGTCTGCGTGCCTATTTTTGTGTGCCATTGAGATTGATCAATGGGTTTAGCTGTTTACAGCCTGATCCATCAATTATAGGAGTCCCCACTTATGATGGGTTTTCCTATCAGCTTTTCATTTAATTGTTTTAGCCATGATCATTTCTGAGATTCATTATTTCATTAGAGGTTGAAAGTAGTGATATTCTAAGGCTATCTTTCCTTCTTAATTTGTTAACTCAACTTATTCTGAAAGAAAAACTTTTTAGCAACTATTTTGTTACCCAAATAGAGTTCTTACCAGAAATGTGGGACAAATGCTTGATTCTTTTCCTTTATATACCAGCTTACAGAACAAGGAGTTGGAGGCCTAGCATCCTCCAAGATAATGGATGAGGTAATTGGTGTGCTGTTGTTGTGTTGGATTTTTTTAATCTTTAGAAATTCATGGTTTTTAGTACTATTTTATGTTTGAAACAAATGTCATCTCGTTCCATCTCTGGCCAGTGGAAGCCTATTCAAGTTGGTTCCTGAGTCCTTACCATAACCCCAGCAACTTTCATTAGTTTTCCTGCTTTCTCTTCGTAGTTGTTCCAAGTTCATATTATGTGCTTTCTATCTTGAGTAGATGCTATTGGTGCCCTATCCAGATCTCTTTTATAGGACTATGTAAAAGAGAATGTTGCTGGTGGGAGTGTTGTCTGCTAATGGCTCACAGCTTCTGTCCTTCCCTGGAGAACTGCCCTTGGCTGATAGGAGCCACCTACCATAGAAAATTATGGACCTCACCCCCAACACACACAGAAGCCTATGGCCAGAAGCTGACCACAGGGTGTCAAATTCAGAGGTATCAAAAGCTGCCCCTCTTGTCTCAAAGGGGTTGACACTGACTACCACGAGATTTATGCTCTAGAACCAGCCCACACGCCCCCCCAACAACCCTCACCCCCACGATACACACACACACACACACACACACACACACGTCAGTGGACTTTTCCTGAGATTACATCATTTTTCAACTCTTTCCTCTGCCCATCCTGATTCACTTTCTCCCTGATAGGTTTTCTTAAGACCACAATCTCAATAAATCACAAGCACCAAAACCTCTTTCTTAGGCTCTGCGTCTGGAAAACCTGATATGCGACACTGCCCCTGACCTAAAGTTATTCATATTTATTTCTTCAGAATTGTAGGCTTCTCTTAATAGGAACTGGCTTCTCAGGGTTATAATCTGGATTCTAGAAGGTTTCACGAGTATATGGGCATCTCAGAAGTGAAAGAACACCAAGATGAGAAAGAGATACAGAAACAGAAGCTATCTGGCTGGATTAAAGGGGAAAAGTTGAACTAGTTCAGTTTTCCCTTTTTTTTGAGATGGAGTCTCGTTCTGTCGCCCAGGCTGGAGTGCAGTGGCACGATCTCGGCTCACTGCAAGCTCCGCCTTCCGGGTTCACACCATTCTCCTGCTTCAGCCTCCCGAATAGCTAGGACTACAGGCGCCTGCCACCACACCCAGCTAATTTTTTTGTATTTTTAGTAGAGACGGGGTTTCACCGTGTTCGCCAGGATGGTCTCGATCTCCTGACCTTGTGATCCACCCACCTCGGCCTCCCAAAGTGCTGAGATTACAGGCGTGAGGCACCACACCCAGCCTTTTTTTTTTTTTTTTTTTTTTTCCGAGACAGATTCTTGCTCTGTCACCCAGGCTGGAACTGGAATGCAGCAGCTCAATCTTGGCTCACTGCAACCTCCACCTCCCGAGTTCAAGTGATTCTCCTGCCTCAGCCTCCCAAGTAGCTGGGACTACAGGCGTGCACCACCATGCTCAACTAATTTTTGTATTTTTAGTAGAGACAAGGTTTCACCATGTTGGCCAGGCTGGTCTTGAACTCCTGGCCTGATGTGATTCACCCACCTCAGCCTCCCAAAGTGCTGGGATTACAGAGTTTTTCTTTTAATATTAATCTTTTCTCACTGGATATTTCTGAATTCATACAATTTTCTACACAAACTTCTAAAATTGCCCCAAGGCACAATGCTGATTTTCTATGAACTGAAAACCTGCATCTACAGAGAACAGGCTTCAATAAAGAATGTGTGTTGGAGCTTCTGTGAAGGAGCCCCTGGTAAATGGGATTTGCATGTTCACCTTAAAGCAAACTGTTAGGCACTGACCGAGGTTAGGCGCTGCTCCAACTCCCTGAGGCCATTCCAGGATTGCCCAGGTACCCTGACATTGAACTCTACTTGAAGAGAAAATGCTTATTTTCCACTGGAGAAGATATCCAGCCCATCTCCAAGAATATGATTTCCACTTTCTTTCCTCCTTTTCCAAACAGCTCACAAAACCATGAAATGCCTAATAATTTTTGAGTTTAGGGAGATAAATTTGTTAAACAAACACTCCCCCAGAGGAACTAGTAAGAGTTTTCTTTCCCTGAAGCTCCTGACAAATGCCCTACTTGTACCTGGGGATTACCACAATAAGAACCTTCTAAGAACAGGATCAAAGATGTTCCCAGAGGACTGAGAATGCTTTGAATCACCTCTCTGGCACCCTCACAGGCCCAGGAAATTTCATTGTCCCTCTAAGCACCCATCCTCAGCACTCTATGTTTCAAAACCCTATTTACAATTCCTACAGGATTTTATGGGATTAATCTACAAGTCTCTGGCTCAATCAGTACTGTTTGGTACCTGGTGTGATAAAACTGTAAGAAAGTTCCATGAGAATAGGGACATGGTTTATTCCCTGATGCAATCATGTCTGACACACAGCATGTGCTCAATAAACAACTGTTGAATGAATTGAGTGAATGGTACTTTTGAAATATTAATAACAGCTTTCAAGTCTCATCCACAGGAAATCATGGAGCTGAGTTTCAAGCCCAGATCTGTCTTGCTCCAAAGCCACTGTGACACAGCACCCAAATGTAAGTACCTGAGGCTCTAAAAGTTGCAAAGAAGTGGTGAGTGTGTGCTGGGCCCAGGTGATAATTCCTTGTTCAGTAGGACAGGCCCTTTTCAAAATTCCTTCAGTAATGGATAAGGCAGGGGTCACGTTTTCAGAGAGCTGGGAATTTTTTTTTTGGTGATGGGTGGGTAGAGGAGCTAGTCAAAATTCATTCTTACTAACTTCTGGTTTAAGCTCCAACATGTTGAGGTTGAATGTCATCATACTCCTCCTTGCAACAAGAAAGAAAACTGAACAAACTAAATATCAGTGACTTTTCTTGGACCCCTCAAAGAATTGAGCTCTTAGGGCAAACCACTACCCTGAAGTCTAGAGAGAGAGATAAATACAGACATCACAATTAAGATCTGCTTACCTGAAGCAGAAGCTATAAACTAGTAGGAACACTCTAATGGTCATTTTGATAAATTGCTGGAGGCTGAGTGTGTACTAGCTTGACAGTGAAAAACTCCAAGGAGCTATAGTCTTAAAGGGCCCCACACTTTCATGGTTTTACCTCCAGGAACCCAGCAAGTTTCTCATTTTAAAGAACCAAGAAAGAGCTCCTCATGGGTCTGTTAGGGGAAGAGAAAAAGCAACGGTTGTGAAATATACCATATACTTTAGAGCACAGAGAGAGAACTTTAAAGTATGCAAATGATAAATGAGTTAAAACTCATGGAGAAGGTTGACATATCCCAGGATGAAATGTAGACTATGTTAAAAGAATCTAAGTGTATTATTATGAAACAACCTCACTGAAGAGGGTGGAGGAAAAATAAGTAACAAACTTTGGAAATGAATGAAGTCTGTAAGACAAAATGTAAAAACTTTACTAAGCACTGCATAAGTCCTGCACTGTAGTTCAGTGTCCCCAAACTTTTTGACACCAGGGGCCAGTTTCCTGAAAGACTATTTTTCCACAGACTGGAGGGGGGGATGGTTTCAGGCTGATTCAAGTGCATTACATTTATTGTGTACTTTATTTCTATTATTATTACATTGTAATACATAATGAAATAATTATACCACTCACCATAATGCAGAATCAGTGGAGCCCTGAGCTTGTTTTTCTGCAACTAGATGGTCCCATCTTGGCGTGATGGGAGACAGTGACAGATCACCACGCATTAGATTCTCATAAGGAGTGCACAACCTAGGTCCTTCACATGCTCAGTTCACAGTGGGGTTCGTTCTCTTATGAGGATCTAATGCAGCCGCTGATCTGACAGGATGGGGAGCTCAGGCAAAAATGCTTGCTTGCCTGCCGCTCACCTCCTGCTATGTGGCCCGGTTCGTAACGGGTCACGGACCGGTACCAAGTGTTGGGGACCCTGCTCCAGTTGGTAAAATGGTTTCACATAGGGGTATGGGTTAACAATTCTGACACTGCTATATATGTACACTGGGATTGAAAAATTAAGTAAATGAGTGGTGCGTGGTAAGAGAAGTTTCTCACTGTTGGAGTGGAAGGTTACAGACAAGAAAGAGAAGGAGGCTAGAATGATCTATGTGGATTAGAGTTGGAGACACGTACATACAGATGATTATATACAGAAATATTTGCATAAGCACTACACTCTAGTTCAGCAGTCCCCAACCTTTTTTGCACCAGGGACCGGTTTCGTGAAAGACAATATTTATAGATATGTGTGCATAGGCAAAGTAGCATACATACATATATTTCCTTGCTCTGCCATCTGAGAGGAGCTAGAAGCAACACAAACCCAGTAGCAACCAGCTACCAGCACCTAGACCTTTGTCTCTAATACCATTCTCCAATAAAAGTCTCCTTGGAGAAATGGGTAATTCTAGGACAAGGGAAGGAAATATAGAAGATGAGCCTGGAATATTTTGTTGTGCTAGAAATAAGAAAGTTTGAAAATAACAAAACACATATGTACGGGGGTATGTCAAAGACTCAGAAGCCAAATGAAAAAACTCCCAATGGCCAAAGCGGGAACAATTCAAGCAAGAAAATAAATAAAATAGCAGTATCAGGTTATAAACAAAAGTATAAAATGAATATTCATTAGTCTACACTAACATAAAGAAATTAATAAACAGAGGAGAAGAAGTCAATCTCCCATGCAAAAGAATTCCAAGTAACTTATGTAGCTGCTGCTCTCTCAAGGAAGTAAAGTATAATTTCTCATTCTATCATTTATATCTGGGCTGCATTTAGTACCTTCCTTTGAAAGAGTACAATATGGAAGTGAGAGAAAAAAGTAACTTTCTAGAAGAGACCTGACTAACACTACCTCAACCAGGAGATCAAGGTTAATATCAACAGTAATCATTCATATTGATAGTTTGTATCCTTGACATGATGTTACGAGGATGATACTTGACCTCTGAGGTCTTTCTCCCCCACCCCCCAAAAAAAATTAAAATTCAAAAATAAAATTTTTTTAAAAACCAGTCATGAGAAAAATATTAGACAAATTCCAATACAGGCACATTGTACAAAATACCTGACCAAAATTTTGACAGTCCTCCAAACTGTCAGAGTCATCAAAAACAAGGAAAGTCTGAGAAACTATCACAGTCAAGAAGAGCCTGAGGAGACACGAATACTAAACATAATGTGAAATAGCCCATGTCACATGGGATCCTAGGACAGAAAAAAAAAGATATTTGCAAAAACCTAAGTAAATTTGAATAAACTATGGACTTTAGTTAATAATGTATCAGTATTGGTTCACTAGTTGTAACAAATTGTACCATACTGCATTAGTCAATTTTCACGCTGCTAATAAAGACATACCTGAGACTGGGTAATTTATACAGGAAAGAGGTTTAATGGACTCACAATTCCACATGACTGGGGAGGTCTCACAATCGTGGCGGAAGTCAAGGAAGAGCAAGTCACGTCCCACTGGATCCCTCCCAAAACATATGGGAATTCAAGATGAGATTTGGGTGGGGACACAGCAAAATCATATCGCATACTAATGTGAGGTATTAATAAAAGGGAAAACTGAGTGTGGGGTACATAAGGATTCTTTACAATTTTCCTGTAAATCTAAAACCATTTTAAAGGGTAAAATGTTATTATTAAAAAATAATAATTCTAATTCATCCTGGGTTACCTATGTCTACTCTGTTTGTTTGACAAGGTTTTCATTTTGCGCATTGTTAAATGGCATAAGGTGGGGAAGAAGGGATGGAAGAATCTGAAATCTGTGAACACAGCTAGGGCTTATTCATTATATTCAATTTTTAACATATCACAGAATTAACTCTTGCTCTTTTGACTATGTAGCAAGCATCCACTGTAGCGAGCAGTAGCTCACAGTTGGACAAGTACTATATCTGAAGGCCAGGCTCTTGCCTCTAGTTTATTTTGATGAAGCCCTGGTTTTCTGTATACCACTGGGGAGGCAGCTTCCCACTGACATCTACTTTGGCAAAATATATTGATGCCTCGCTCTTTTTAAATAGCAAAAATAAAATTCCATAAGGTGAAGCAGCTGGCAGACACCAGATCTTTTACTTTTTGTAATTTTGTTATATTGTTTTATCAGTTATCAGCAACTGTAACTCACATAATCCCAAGTTCAAGTTCAACACCTAGAGAGCTTGATTCTCATCTCACAGTTATAGAAAATATATTTTCCTGGCTCCAAATGGAACATAAGTCCATCTCAAAAGCAATTACTGTGCCCAAGAATATGGTGACTGGTTGAATCTATACCTCCCAAAAGCTGGAGCTGAGGGGCAAAAGTGATTCCCACCCAAAGCACATGAACTGAGATTCAGGGAGAAAGTAGTTCCCCCTGAAGAAAGACAGAATAAAACTAACCGGAGTACGGAGAATGGATGCAGAGTAGCCAACAGCAGAGCAAAGCACGTTCATTCTAGGAAAATTAACAATTACATAAGATGAACATGAAGAATCCTCCTAACACCACTCACTTTCAGAGCCAGTCATTTTCTTCGAGCACATCCTCCCAGAGACCATCCTGTCTGCAGGCTTCAGGGGTGTATCTGATGGATCTGCCACATTCAAAGCCCTTCTGCCTTGTTTCTGCCTCACCCACACATGTGCTGCTCCATCCTCCTCATCTGTTTCATCCCACACTTCTGTCTCATTCGCACTATGTGCACTGATGGGGAGTGAGAAGAAAGATTATCCCTCACCATTAAGAATTTATGCTAGGATATTTTTGTGAAGGCTTATTCTGGGTTTTTAGCATTAAAGAGACAAAAGATAATTTAAAAAGACATATGCTGGAAAACATGAGTTCCAAACCCAGTTTAGAATTCTTTACTTGTGTGACCTTTGAAGTCACTTGACCTCCTCTCAGAGTTTGTTGCTTGTCTGTAAAACGAGAGAGTTAGACTATATTTATAAAGACCTGCAGACTGTATCCAGAAATAATGCTGTGATCAACTGAGTTAAAAAGCAAGCCCACTCACCTAAAACTCTCTATTAAATTTCCCAAGGCAGTTCTCTTTTTTACTAACAAAGAGAAAATGGTACATCCAACACAAATGTCTAGGATAAGCTCCTCAAGGGCAATGTCTAATTCATATTATAATAGTGCCCTCACTCCAGCACCAAGCTCAGTGCCATGCACATAATGGGCATTCAATAACTGTTTGTTCAAGAATTAAATAATGATAGGAAGGGGAACCAAAGGAAAGGGATAAAAAGAATCATAATTTTAAAATTACTTTTTTGAGTTCTATATGCCAACCTCTGGCTGACAGATGTGTATGCTCCCTGAGTTTGGCAGCTGGACCAATGGCTGGGACTCTGGGGCCGGCCTCATAGCAGATACTTAGAAAGGCATCCTCCCCTTGGTTATGGGAGCTGACTTCCTTACAGAATGCTGAAGGTAGGCTGCTAGGAAGGAAAGGGAAGACTAAACAGAGTCAGACCTCAGTGCCTACCATGAACAACAGACAGGAGGGTTGGACACTGAGGCTGCAACTGCCAGAGTACCTGCACAGTGTGGGTGCTAGGACTTCTGCCTTCCATCCAGACTTAGAGATCCAGGGGCCTTCGGTTGGGCCTGTGGTGGTTTCCCGTTTCACCCAGTTGTCCCCACCTCTTCCCAACACGGATCTAGAAGTGATACTAATTAGTCATTTAACAACCATAAGTTTGTCTCCTGTCATCTTCCTGGTCACCCAGGCTCCCAAGCAGTTTCAAGGCTAACCTATTCTTGGCTTTAGCCTCAGCCTCAACCATTACATACATTAAGCTGCCAAATTCTCTTCTAGAGTATTTTAGTCTTCCTTCCCATAAGCCCTCAGATATACAAAGGCCAGAATTCTCTTCCTCAAGCACAGACCTAATCATTGTCACTCACCTGCTGATACAGTGTGAATATTTGTCCCCTCCAAATCTCATGTTGTAATTTGATCCCCAATATTGGAGGTGGAGCCTAGTGGGAAGAGTTTGGGTCATGGAGGCAGATGCCTCTTGAATGGCTAAGTGCCATTCAATCCTGTGGGATTGAGTGAGTTCTCACTCTTAGTTCCCATGAGATCTGGCTGTTAAAGAGTCTCCCCTCTTTCTTTCCTCCTCACCATGAGATGCCAGCTCCTCTTCCCCTTCTGCCATGACTGGAAGCTTCCTGAAGCCCTCACCAGAAGCAGATGCTGGTGTTATGCTTCTTGTACAGCCTGCAGAACAGTGAGCCAGATAAACCTCTTTTCTTTATAAATTACCCAGCCTCAGGTATTCCTTTACAGCAACATAAATGAACTAAGATACCTGCTTTAAAAAAAATGGCTACCAATATTTTATAGAATAAAACCTAAACAACTCATCCAGCATTCAGGCTCAACCTACTTGGACTTCGGGCTTCTGTTCTAATGCCCCCCATACAGCCTGTTCCTGGAAAGCCATCCTGATAATGTGATCCCACTGTTCCCTGTGTTCTCCAGTCCCTAGGCCTGGACAATTGCTCTCTCCTCCCCCTGGAAAGTCTCCCCACCTCCCCACCACTAACTCTATCCACCCATCACAACTTCAACCAAGTATCCAGATTTCTCCCTAGTCAAAATTCCTCACATTCTCTTGTTTTTTTAATCACTTTGCTTTATAGCACATTAAACCATTTGCATTATATTTATAGTAATTATTCGTCTACTTACTTCACTGCCAAACCTAAGGGGAAAGAGACTTTGTTATCATGATCTTGTATGGCCATCTCACCCTTTGATGGTCCTGAAGGCGCACAGGAACAAAGAATCTAACTCCATTCCAATTAGTTTCACATTTATTATCTCATTTAACTCCCACAATGACCCTACAAAGTATTATTATCATTACTATCATATTATTCATTTTATAAAGGAGGAAACTGAGGCATGAAGAAATTCAACATCTAGCCCAAGGGCCATGCAGCTGGTGTGATGAAGCTAGCCCACAGAGCCCATGCTGCTGCCACATCATACTGCTGAGTGCAAGGCATAGCAGATGGCCTAGACTCCAAAAATAGGTCCTAAGATAAATTTCCATCCAAATATCGCATGCACGGTATGCACGGTTATAACTGTTCAATTGCTTAATGTCATACAGACCAACTCTATAAGGTATCTGACAGTGGCTCTAACCTCTATTGCACCAGATTTTATTTGTGTTATTCACATTTCCTGGTTTTCTACTCATATTTAAAATAGGAAACTAATGAGACATTAGTCTGACTTATCCCTGTAGAGAACTGGCTTTGCCTTGCTTCTTTCCAGAACCTCTTCCCCCTTCTTCTCCCAGCCTAAGTTGTCCAGTTCCATCAATACAGACTATCCTATACAGACAAAGATGCAGACGTAAGATTAAAAGGAGCAAAGTTCTCACATCAAAAGCCTTGCAGTACTCAGAAGATGGGTGCAAGGCCCATTTACCAAGTTCTAGGCCAGAGTCCTTCATCTCTCCAGGTCCATCCATCTGCTTAACTCAAACATTACATCAGATATTCTTCAAAATGACTGAACAATGGCATATTTTTTTTCTTTTGTCACAACTTGCATTGAAATGATTGTGCTTTGGACCTACAGGTGAGTGTATACTCTCGGAAATCCAAAAAGCTGACCTTGTTTGTTTTGTGTGGGAAGCATTTCAATGAAATGAGAGAAACAAGCCCCATCAACTTCAAACACTAAGAAGAATACACAATGAATGGTGCTTCTTTTCTGCTGGAACATTCATTAATCAGAGTTGACAAGGATATGTGGGCTCACAAGGCGGGGTAAGCAAGGGTCCCTGCTGTTTTCTAATCTGTCAAATCAAGTGCCTCGCCCTGCAGCCTGTTAAGGGGCAGTACTTAGTTGCTTTGAGTACTGACTCCCTTTCTAATGTTGTCATAGCAACATAAATGTTTGTTATTTTCAGGTCTCCAGGTGAAACATTTGAGGGAAAATCACCTTGTTGTCATTTCTGCAGAGACAAGAAAAAAGGAGCTTTTAGTCCTTAGAAGTACGAAGACAGTATCTTCTAGTTCGATAGCCCCTTCTACAATAAAGGACTTGGATGTGCAGTATCTTATGCAGCCTCACAACAAACCTGTGAGCAAGGGTGTGGCTTACATCCATGTTACCATGTTTACAAGCAGTAAAACTGAGAAACAGAGAGGGACAACCATTAGAAAGGCAGTATAAGGAAAGATTGGAAAAAATGTAAACAGCCTCTCATTCTAAGCTAAGAGCATTAAACTTAACAATATTATTTTATCATTCCTAATGATATTGAAAAAATAATGGCTCATTTTACGATTACATGTATTTTTACTATTACATGCATTATCTTACAGGATTGTTACGAGGATACCAATTGTTATATCCTTATAGCAATTGTGTGAGGTAAGAATTATACCATGCTCCATTTTAAAAGAGGAAACTAGAACATAGAGGAGTTAAGTTGCACAGCCAAGATCACAGAAGTGACAGGAGCCTAATCATGCAGGCCATGTCAAGGACTATAATGTGAAATGTGGAGCTTCTGGAATTTTTTAAGATGCAACATCATCTTTAAAAACTGTCAGGCTGGCTGCTGTGTTGGAAATAAATTGTGGAGATGCAAGGGTAGAAGCCAGGAGACCATGGAGGCTAGAGCAGGAGTCCAAGCAAGACATGATGGTGGTGGCTTAGATCTAGATGGCAGCGAAGAGGTGATGAAAGTGGTCAGATTCTGGATAGATCTTCAAGCCAGCAATAGTTCCTGCCTGTTTAGACATGGGATGTGAAAGAAAGAAAGAATCAAGGACAACTTCAAGTTTTTTGGCTTAAGAAATGGAATAATGGATTGCTGTCAACTAAGATCAGTGAAGTTTGCAGCTGTTATAGCTTTGGCAGGAATCAGGGGGACAGGAATTCAGTTTTGGACAGTTTCAGTTTGAGAAGACAGTCATCCAAGTGGAGATGCCAAGTACACAGTTGGATATAGAAATCTGGAGTGTAAAAGAAAAGTCTGGACTGGACATCAAAATTTTGAAAGTGTTGGCATATAGAAGGCAGTTATAGCCATAGGACTGGATGAGATAACCAAGAAGGTGAGTATAAACAGCAAAGAGGAAAGGACCAAGGACTGTGCCCTGGGATATGGCAACATTAATAGATTAGTGAGAAGAGAAGGAACCCACAAAGGAGTCTAAGGAGGAGGCACCAGGAGAGTATGGCCTACAGGAAGCCAAGCAGGGACAGTGTATCAAAGAGTGGGGAATAAATGACTGTGTCAAATGCCTCTCACCATTCAAGTAAGATAAAGACTGATAACTATGAACTATAACACTGTGGAGGTCATAGGTAACCTTGATAAGAGCCATTTCTGTGGAGCGATTTAAAAACAGAACTGATTAAGTAACTCAAGAGAAATCATGAGAAAATAAATATTGGAGACAGTGAGCATAGATAGCTCTCTGGGGATTTTGTTGTAACCAGTGCAAAGAAATGGGGTGGCAGCTGGTAGAGAAAGTGAGAGAAAAATTCTCCATTTTAAGGTGGGAAATTAATAATATGTTCATAACAATGATCCAGGAAAGAACAAAAATGTCAATGATGTAAGAGAGGAGAGAGTTGCTGTAGTCATGTCCTGAAAGAGGAAGAGGAGAATGCCACCTAGTGCACACGTGGCAGAGGATCTCACCTTAGCTAGAAAAGGTAGAGTGTGCAGGTGCTGATGCTGACAGGGGAGAAGCCTGTGGCAGCTTCTTCCAAACACTCTGATGCTCTCAATAAAGTAGAATTCAAGGGGACCAACTTACAGCAATGTTAAAGAAGGCGCTGGAGGTTTGAGGAGAGAGAGGGTCTGAGATCATTGTCATTTTTGAGCAGGGAGGAAGAGGAGTATTTTACTGATATTTTAGTTTAAACAATAAGTACCTAAAATTCAAATGTAATATAATTACTTCTGGAAGTACTGGAAGTGTGGAAGGAGAGACAAGTATATATGATTTTGTTAAAAGGGGTAGCTATGCAATTATAAGATATCATCTCATGTAGCAACATTTTTAGCAGATAGACTTCTGTATCTAAGAACATACTGAAATACCTCCAAGTAAGGAGCTTCCTAACCATTGCCTATCTATGGTACAATAAAAGGATAGGACATCAGCCTTGACAGAGAACAACATTAAACCTCTTCTCCCCATGCTTTTAAGGCCAATTCCTGCCTTTTTTTTCTCTTGTGCCACTAGGATAGAGGTAGCTGGAGTCAGGATAGAGATGAAAAAGAATTTTAAGGAAAACTGTCAGTGTAAAAAGCAATTAAAAAGTGAAGTCAGCTTAGGCCTGGTGTGATGGTTCATGCCTGTAATCCCAGCACTTTGGGAGGCCAAGGCAGGTGAATGAATTGCATGAGGCTAGGAGTTCAAGACTACCCTGGCCAACACAGCAAAACCCCGTCTCTACTAAAAATACAAAAATTAATTGGGTGTGGTGGAGCATGTCTGTAATCCCAGCTATTCAGGAGGCTGAGGCACAAGAATTGGTTGAACCCAGGAGGCAGTGGTTGTAGTGAGCTGAGATCACACCACCACACTCCAGCCTGGATGACAGCGTGAGATTCTGTCTCAAAAAAAAACAAAAACAAAAAAACAAAAAAAAAGGTAGGGTGGGAGGGAGTTAGCTTAAAAGTCTGGTGTCAGAAAACACTTCGTCAGGATCTAGGGCTACTGAAAAGCAATATGGCTAACACTTCAAAAAACTGAGCACAGTTTGCTATAGTAAGGACATGAACAGCAGAAGACATTGTCTGGAATGGAAGGAGTTGCCCCACCATCTGTAACAGAGTGGTAGATCACTATACAGAGTACCCTATTGACCAGGGCTTGCCTCTACTTTACCGTGGCCTAAAACTTGACCTTTTCACCACTAACTAACCTGTCCATTTCCTCAGTGGGTTCTAAACCACAAACCAGGGAATTCTCACAGCCTTTTACACGTAGGGGCTCAGGCAGTCTAATAGGCACCATCAAGACACTGAAATGTTGACTTCTTCAGTTCTCTTTCCAGAGGTCATCAACATTCTTGACAAGCAGGCATTGGGGTGTTACATACTCAGGAGCAGCAACATCAAATAGGCCAGGAGCAGCTGTCTGTAACACCCCAGTGTTACAGGGGTCTTTCCAGGAAGAGCCTCTTTTACTCCTAAGGAGTATGAATAGTGATGTGGAAATTAGTATAGTTGCATTAGTTATCTATTTTTGTGCAGTAAATTGCCCCAAAACATATCTTTTTTTTAAAGAGATAGGGTCTCATGGCCAGGAACAGTGGCTCATGCCTGCAATCCCAGCACTTTGGGAGGCTGAGGTGGGCAGATCACTGAGGTCAGGAGTTCAAGACCAACCTGGCCAACGCGGTGAAACCCCATCTCTACCAAAAATGCAAAAATTAGCTGGGTGTGGTGGCAGGCGCCTGTAATCCCAGCTACTCATGAGGCTGAAGCAGGAAAATCACTTGAACCTGGGAGGCGGAGGTTGCAGTGAGCCAAGATCATGCCACTGCACTCCAGCCTGGGTGACAAAAGCAAAACCCCCTCTCAAAAAAAAAAAAGAAAGAAAGAAAAGGAAAATAAAAGAAAAGAAAGAGGGTCTCAGTTGCCCAGGCTGAAATGCAGTGGTCCAATCACAGCTCACTGCACTCTCAAACTCCTAGGATCAAGCATCCTCCCACCTCAGCCTCCCCAATAGCTGGAACTACAGGTGTGTGCCACTGCATCAGGCCAATTTTTTAATTTTTTGTAGAGGTAGGATCTCACTATATTGCCCAGGCTGTTCTTGAACTCCTGGCCTCAAGCAATCCTCCCACAGCACTGGGATTACAGGCATGAGCCACCATGCCTCGTCCAAAACTTAACATCTTAAACACACATTTTTTTCTATGTCACATTATCTGAGGGTCAGGAATCAGGGTGCTACTTAGATGGTTTTGTTTTGTTTTGTTTTGTTTTTGAGATGGAGTCTCACTCTGTTGCCCAGGCTAGAGTGCCAGGGCTTGATCTCAGCTCACTGCAACCTCTGCCACCCAGGTTGAAGGGATTCTCCTGCCTCAGCCTCCCGAGTAGCTGGGATTATAGCCTCCTGCCATTGTGCCCAGCTAACTGTTGCATTTTTAGTAGAGATGGGGTTTCACCACCTTGGCCAGGCTAGTCTTGAACTCCTGACCTCGTGATCCACCTGCCTTGGCCTCCCAAAGTGCTGGGATTACAGGTGTGCGCCACCACACCCAGCTAGATGGGTTCTCTTAAAGTCACAACACTCCGGTCAAGATCAACTAGGGATGTAATCATGGAAAGGCTCAACTGGGCAGGATTCTCTTCTAAGCTCCTGTGGTTGCAGCACTCAGATCTTTGAGGATTGTTGGCCTCAGTTCCTGAGTCCTTCACTGACTGTTGACTGGAGGCTTCCCTCAGTTCCTTCCCATGTGGACCTCCATAGGGCAGCTCACAGCATGGCAGCTGATACTATCAGAGAAAGCAAGTGAGAGGGAAAGAGCAAGCAAGACAGAAGTCATAGTCTTTTTTGCAACTTTATCTTGGAAGTGATATCCCCTTCACCCCATTCTATTTGTTGAATCAAATGACTAGGTCTAGCCCACATTCAAGGCTGGTGTGAGGTGAAGTGTGGATTGCAATGGATGTGAATATTAGTGGGTGCGGATCGTTGGGGGCCACTTTAGAGGCTGCCTTACCATCACAGTGAACTTAAAAACTAACCAAACATGGCTCCTGGAAGTCTTTCCTTCAGATCATTTGCCCTCATTCCCAGCTGTGAACAAAATAAAGCTCTGACATGAAAAGAGGCTGGCTGTTGTCTTCTAAAAGGTTGCTTTGCTGAGGAGTAGTTTAGCCCGTGGGGCAGGGGGCTGTTTTTGTTTCCTAAGCACATGAGGCTCTAGCTGTAGCCCTTGAGCCTGCTTTTGGCTCCAGGCTTTGCCTCCTCACACTACTTAAGCTCGCAGCTTTCCTCAGCTCACATGGTCCCTGGGGATGCATCCTTTTTTGGGTTGTTCACACATTGTCAGCCGCCATCATACTTCCCTCTCTGAGGGCCTTTCTCACTGCCAGCGACAGGATGCATTTTGTCTCCTGTCAAGAGATTTCCCCAGGAAGGTGAGCAAATGACTCATACTTCTCTCGCCTAAATTCTAGCCCATTCTGCTTCCACCAAGAGGGAAATGGATGGTAGAATTCAGCAGGCGAGAGATACTTCGGAATGTTTCAGACTTCAGTTTAAATACAAATTTCCAAACTTAAGTGTAGAGGACTGAAAGGTCAAATGATGAAGCATTCTTCCAAGAAAGGAACCATGAGGAATTACACCACACCAGGAATAATCACCTCCCTGGGTATTGTTCACACTGCACCCCTCCGGAGAGCTGGGAACCTGGGGATGAAGCCAACCAGCCACTTTCCTTCCCGGTGCCTTCTACAGCTGAGGAAGCTGGTGATACAGGGTAGAGATTGGCTCCTGCAGTTCAGCACCTCACAAACCTCAACTTGAATCCCAGCTCATTTTATTCACTGGGCAACCCTGGGCACATGTCTGAGCCTTCTGTGCTTACTCTGTGGCCTCAGAGAAAGAATTAAATGATGCAATTATTGACATAGATCAGGGGCCAAGGAGCTACCCTGCCCTCTGGGAGATTTCTGTCCTCCCAGGGTCCTCACTGTCTCTAAATGCTACGACTGTCCTAACCCTCTCAGCTGTATTTCCCATTTTTCCTCATTGCTTCCTATTAAAACTCATTTTTGAAAGATACCCTACCAGAAAACCCCTCCTCCGAGAGGCTCTCTGGTAAAAGAAAGCTAGTGAGGTCATTCGTCCTGTGGCATTCAAGGCTACAGTTACCCATCAAGGGGGGCTTTATGGTCAAATAGGGACACTAGAAACACCTTGAAGTCCCCCTTCCAGATCTAATCCCAGCCTTTAATCATTTAATTTTGCCAATTCCAGCTCCAGTTAAATTCAATCCTTTTTATCCTCTCCTGTTCCCAAGCTGTTGAAAATTATAAAAGTTTACTGACCAGTTCCCATTATAAATCTATGCCATTCAACATCATTGCTCACTAATCCTTTTCTTCATCCTTATTAACTATCTATCCCACACCATATGGCAGCAATTTCAATCTATTTTACTCTTCTCTGATCCCCAAATAACCTATCCACTTCTTTCTGAGCCTCCTCCTTCACTGAAAAACTTAATGTTCTCTTCTTCACCTCCTGTTTCCTTCATCTCAAAGTAACTTCATTGCTTCATCTGGTTCCCTGGACTCCCTCAGTCTGTAAAAAGGAAGGACCCCAACCCTTTTCCCATATTAACAGTAAACTTTTGATCCCATGTTGTGTGCCTCCTCCTAGATTTTATCACCTTAACCATCTCCTCTCCTTCTCCTGCAGGTTGAACACCTCCCTTTACGCTTTAGGGTAAGACGCCCTTTCCATTCATCCTCACCCTTGTCCCCACATCAGCAACTCTGCTTCCATCCACCAAGCTCATACGCAAATCACACTCGCCACCCACAGTTCTACGTCACTCAGGCACCTCTTAACTCCCTAGAATCAGACTTCCATCTCCAATATTTTACTAAAAATTCTTTCTCAAATGTCTCTAAGTGCTAAATCCTATGGCCTCATCTCAGTCCTTTTCCAATCTGACCTTTCTGCAACATTTAATGTAGCTATCCTCTCCTTAAACTTTTTCTGTGTCCTCTGCTCCTGCTTTTTCTACAGTTCCTTTTCAATCGTCATTGCCTGTGCATCTTTTTCCTGTTAGCTCTTAAATATAAAGATTTCAGATGTGGGCTACAAGTCTCTTTTCTTTTTATGCACATCCTTCTGTGTGCAATCATACCAACTTCCTTGGGTCTATTACCGGGTCAACACCAAAGACCCAAACCTGCCTCGCTGATGCTAAGCTCACTGTGAATCTCAGTGCCTTCTGAGATTTCCAATTTCATGCCGAACATTAACCAAAAAATGTCCTGCTGTCACTACCAGCTCACCTATTCTAGAACTGTTTAAGAACAGAATCAATCACCTTCCCCACCAGACCACAAAAAATCTCCTTCACCTGTGTTTCCTCTTCCCACTATTCCTTTAATTATTTTCTCTTCTTTCCCTGTGTATGCACTTAGGATTCTCCTTAGTTTACCTGCGTAGAACTCCAATCCCCCACATGACTGAATGCCGTGAAATCACTAAGTCTGTTGATTCTTTTGCATTTCCATTGGTACCATCTTTATCATTTTTCACTGGGATTTTTCTGCTAGTGATTCATCTTAAATCTCTCACCTCCCCCAAATGATGTGTATTACATAGCAGTAACAGAGTCAAAGTGATGGCCACGAGGAGTGAGACCAAATCACTGGACATGCACAGAGAGTAGATATTCAGGGTGACTGCCACAGAGCACAGAGACATGTCCCCCAGGGTCTGGTTCCAAAGGGATCACAAGTCCCAAACACATCTACTTTTCAATTATTGGGGATGTGAGAATAAAGGTTATACTTCAAGGACACTAAATAATGCCTTATCCAAAGGAAGGAGGGTTTCATGCCTTTAAGAAGAGTCATGATGAAAGAAGAGATCCCTCCAAAACAGGGATGAGAGGTCTCATCAATGAGCACAATTGTCTTTTTTAATTTTCCAGAGCCATGACTGTGGCAGTAGACACAGCATTTCAGGGACCCTTTTCAGTTGAAAATCAGAGCGTCCCTTGCTGTTCCCCATCTGGTCAAGAAAGAAGATCCCTGTCTTAGTCTTATTACGGTGGAACCAGCCTACCAAGGGACACTGATGCAGGATAGAATGAAGAGACACCTTCTCCAGTCACCTTCAGCTGATTCAAAGGTTCTTGTGGTTTATCAAAACAGCATGCGATATTCCCATTCATAGGTGGGAATTGAACAATGAGAACACTTGGACACAGGGTGAGGAACATCACACACTGGGGTGGGGGGAGGGGAGGGATAGCCTTAGGAGATATACCTAATGTAAACGACGAGTTAACGGGTGCAGCACACCAACATGGCACATATATACATATGTAACAAACCTGCATGTTGTGCACATGTACCCTAGAACTTAAAGTATAATTTTAAAAAAAATCATGTGAGATAGGAACATGGTTCTAAGCTAAGCGTGTTTCTCTACTGGCAATGAACTGGTGAAGCAGATGGGAAAGGGCAGAATCCATCAAACGGCCATCAGCCAAGCAAGGCCAGCTTTGCTAACCAAATGATTCAGACACATTTGTCATTCCCCGCCTTCCATGTGCAGGTGCTGCATCTTAAAAACTTAGGGCTCCCATTTCAGCCATCCCATGTAGAAATATGCAGCCTATTTCCACTTCCCATCATGTTGCATATATCATTTCTCTTTCTAGTTTCATTGTAATTCATAGGGATTGCAGGCAACAATGAGTCAGCAATGATTAACTGGAGGAGATACCTCTAAGTCACAGATCAATTCACTTACTTCTTTAGCAATCTGAAGAAGGCATCTCATTTCTTTGTGGTTATTTTAGTAACATTGAACCTCAGTAATAAATGAGACTTCAGAGCTCATCTTTCTGTCTGAGGTTGAGTTTAAATCTTAGCAGATGGGGTAGGGAACGGGGGCAGAGAGGAAATTTTGCAAGGGGCCTCTCCTACCAGGCCACACATCCAGATAGCCTCACCCTGCACCATAAAGACTCATCTCATTTTATGACCACCAAAGGCTCTGCAGAAACTTCCCAAGTGTTAGGCAAAGATGTAGGTTCAAGGTGATTATTTCATGACTTACAGAATAAATACTTGGGAAAGAGTACTCAACCCTGAAGTCGACACTCACCAAATTACCTTTTCCAGCTAAGGTAGAGAACAATCTGATTTTTTTAGTGCTAACTATAGACTATTCTCCTAAGAAATTTTTCGGTCCTCTCCACCAGTCTGAGAGCAGGCGCTAGAAAATCGGACTGATTTACTTGATTTTCTTTCCCTGATACAACAGTGCAGTTAGCAAGAAAATGGTCAAAAAGGCAAGCAAACAGATCAGCTGAAAGAAATTAAATTAGGAAAGAGGCACAGTGAGCCCATGGACTCTTTTTCCCAGGCCTCCAGAACGTCACCACACCTTGATTTGACTCCATTAACAAACTTATCTAGAGAGAGCTGGATTGCTTGCTAGGTATTTTAGTATGTATTAAGTATAAATTCAAAAATAAAAATGCAATCCATTTTTGTGCTAGTTCCAAGAGGTGGATATAACCATCACACACAGTACTTCCTAGGATGTATTAGTTATTTACATCACTAAATAAAGCGCAAGACAGTAAAATGCGTATCCAATTTTCTGGCTATGGAGGACCTTTGGTCCATTATTTAACTTCTCAGTTTACCCATCTGTAAAATGGGTATAACAATACTTCCTACTATTCTATATAGCAGGGTTTCACAACCTCAGCATTATCAACTTTTGGGGCCAGATAATCCTTTGTCGTGGAGGGCTGCCCTGTGCATCTTAGGATGTTTAACAACATCCCTAGCCTCCACCCAGTAAATTCCTGTAGTATTCCCCCACCTCACTTATGACAATTTAAAAAGTCTCCGGATATTGCTAGATGCCCCCTGGGGGCAGAAATCATCCATAGTTTAAAATCACTGCTGTAGAGGAATAAATGAACCGATATATATTTAACTCTTAGACCTATTCCAGGCACACAGCAAATGCTCATGACTTGACCCAAAGGATAACAAGTCTGGAGAATAGAGAGACAATTTGTTCTTTAACAAAGAAGAACTTCACTTTCCTTGTAGAGCTCCTAATAAAGTTAAAAATCATTCTCTGATACATTTCTCAATCATTCTCCATCCTTCAAAGACCTTGGTGAAAGGATCCAGGTGGTACTGACTACCTGACAAACTTACAAGCACTTGCGTTATCCCCCTCTTCTCTATTGAATGATACAAGCAATTTGTTGAAAATTGTGTTTATTATCCCCGTTGATACTTGAACACCTGCCCAGCCGAAGACATTGTATACTATAGAGAATATTTTTATTGGATTTAACCAACAATAAAAATAACCCTTCTGGTCTCACTCTTTTTATCTTCGTTTAAAAACCATTTTGTTATCACATCAAAAATGCGGTTTCTCTACTACACTAAGGGAACTGTTATCGCAACTCACTGCCTCTTTGATGCCCAGCACTATCCCAGTGATAAATAATGAGCACAGCCATTCCATTAATGGACAGCTCTCAACGAGAAAGTTTGTCCTTACCCCAAGCCTAACTCTCTCTCCTTGTAATCTCTCTGCACACTGTTCAGTCAAGTACTAATTATGCAGCTGCTGTGTGCAAGGGCCCATGGCCTTGGTCCACACAGGGGTTCTATTCCCTTTCATGACAAAAATCCAGACACATGATGATAATGATGACTTCTTATTTTGGGCCTCTCTTCCCTAGCTAAACGTACCGAGTTCCGTTCACTATTTCTCATAAATTGTGGTATCCTGGCCCCTAACCATTGTGGTCTCCTTCTTTTAGATAAATTTGAATTTGTCAATGGACTCTCTAAATGAGGTATCTGCATTGCACGCCACACTCCAGCTGTTATCTAACCCAGGAAAGAACCCAGCAGGGTTATTACATCTCTGAGCTACAACCATTAGACCTGCAATGCAGCCCAAGATGGGCTATCTCTTTAGCAGGCAAAGCCTCTCAGACTCTTAAGCTTTAAGACAAAGTAAGAGCTCAGATTTTTATCATGCAAATTCCCTCCCAGCAAGTTAACCCCCACTCTGTGTACTCACAGGCCATATTTTGAACCAAAGATAATCATCTATTTATCCCTACTGTATTTAATCTTGGAGTCTTGAGCAGAGGCCAGAATGTCAAGATAGCTTTGCATGTTGGTTCTATAAATCATGGCATCAGCTACTTCTTCCTCCCCCAGTTTTTCCCAGCAGCTTTAGGCCCTCGTAAATTTTAACTTGAATAAATTGTTATATGTGTTTCTAAAAAAGAGTATGCAAATTGTAGCCCACAGCCCAAATTCAGCCACTACCTGTTTTGCAAATAAACTTTTATTG
The DNA here is from genome assembly GCF_000001405.40 of Homo sapiens. NCBI lineage: Eukaryota > Metazoa > Chordata > Mammalia > Primates > Hominidae > Homo > Homo sapiens. Next base: position 41,774,579 of record NC_000002.12, read on the forward strand.
GCGCACAGCCATGCTCATTTACTATTGTCTATGACCGCTTTCCTATTACGACAGCAAAGTTAAGAATTTGCAATGGGCTGGGCACGGTGGCTCATGCCTGTAATCCCAGCACTTTGGGAGGGCAAGGTGGGTGGATCACCTGAGGTCAGTAGTTCAAGATTAGCCTGACCCACATGGAGAAACCTCATCTCTACTAAAAATACAAAATTAGCCAGGCATGGTGGTGCATGCTTGTAATCTCACCTACTTGGGAAGCTGAGGCAGGAGAATTGCTTGAACCCAGGAGGTGGAGATTGCAGTGAGCCGAGATCGTGCCATTGCACTCCAGCCTGGGCAACAAGAGTGAAACTCCATCGCAAAAAAGAAAAAAAGAAAAAAAAAAAAAGAAGTTGTAGTGGAAACCATATAGTCCACAAACCAAACATATTTACTATCTGGCCCTTTATGAAAAAATTTTATGATCCCCCAACCTAAAGCCTTGAAATATATGTAATAGACTTAAGCCAAAATCAGGGTGCTATGGACCTCCAGTTTATTTAAAATGACAAACCAGCACATTTAGGAACAGTGGCTCACACAGCTTTGAATTCATTTAAAAACAAGGCCGTTCCCAGGGCCTGTGCAGAACTCAAAATATACTCTCTGCTATTGGCATTACTTCATCCTAATAATCCCATCCAAGTAAAAATAGGATTAATGAATTAACTGTGCATTAATTCAAAATTTGTTCTCTTATGATAGAAGTAGATGAGGTGAGGGAATGGGAAACAGAACATGTAAATCTTGAAGAAAACAACAGGAGTCTGAAGAGAAAACTGATTCTCAGAAGCCCCTGGAGAAAACTGATTCTCAGAAGCCCCTGGAAACCAAGAACCAAGAGGGGTTTTTGTAGAGATATATGGATTTGTTTTTTTGAGGATTAATGTTTCCTCTCACGCTGGCCTTTGTTGGGGTTAACATTGCTCCTGAGGCAGGCAACTTGGAAAATTACCACAGCTGCTGCTTAAAACCTGCCAGATGGGCTTCCTCATTGTTTCCCCCATAGACAGGTGATTACTAACTAAACCCAACACTGTAATGGAATCCAATGTTCTCATAGGGTAGTAAATTCTCATAGCCTTAAATCCAGGCAACCCAAAGCCATTTTTCCCCCTTTAAACTCCATGCCCTTTGCTTATTTCCAACTAACAGTTCCCACAGCAGGTTCTAGAGCCTAAATACCGCAGGCTAGATTGTGCAATGTCAGGCTGACGGCTCAGGGGAAAAAATAATATTTGCATTTGAAAACACACACTGATACAGCATGGATGCCTGTCCCCTCCAAATCTCATGTTGAAATATGATCCCCAATGATGGAGACGGGCATTTAGGTCATGAGGTTTAGGCATTTAGGCTTAGGTCATGAGGGCAGATCCCTCATGAATGGCTTGGTGCCCTCCCCACAGTAATAAGTGAGTTCTCACTCTATGAGTTCATGTGAGATCTAATTGTTAAAAAGAGCTTGGCACCTCTTCCTCTATCTCTTGCTCCCTCTCTTGCCATGTCACACTCCAGCTCTCCTTCCCCTCCACCATGACTAAAAGCTTCCTGAGGCCTCACCAGAACCCAAGCAGATGCTGGTGTCATGCTTGTACAGTCTGAAGAACCATGAGCCAAATAAACCTGTTTTCTTTATAAACTACCCAGTCTCAGGTATTCCTTCATAACAATGCAAAACAGAATAGCCAAACCCTATTGTTAAAAAATGTTAGGCCCAATGCACTGAGTCTGAAAATGATCGTGCAAATGGGTCATTTGCCAGGAGGAGAGAATATTGCCAAGTAGTTCAGGCCATGGGCAGGCCTGGAATGGATTCTTGACCTGCTTGTTTCCTCCAAATCTCAGTTTCTTCATTTGCAAAATAGAAATAATAGTAACATTTCTTCACAGGGCTGTTGAGAGAATTAATGATATAATGCATATAGAGTACATAGTATGTGGTATCTAGGAAACATTCAGGAAATGTTTAAATTTACAAGAATTTCTAAGACGATACCCAAAGTACCCCTCTCTGGACAACAACACTAAAGTCACACACACCACTTAACAAATGAGAACACAAGAACATGCAAGTTTTTAGATTTTTCCCAAGGCAAGAAAACAAGCACTGGTGCAGATGTGGAAAGAATGTTTTCAGTCTACTGCCTACCTGTGATAACCCAAAAAAGAAGTCATTATTAAACAAGCAATTGCCTTTGTTTTATTGTTTTTCCAAATAAATTCACCCATGTTGAACCTAAAAGCCAGCCACATGTGACTCCCCACGTCCTCCAGCCTTGCTGTATAACCCTTACCTGTAATATGTGCATTAAGAGACAGGTTCAGCTCCAAAGCAGAGAGACACACAAATACCATGGCTCAAAATAAATAGACATTTACTCCACCCTCATGGCAACAGTCTGGAGGTGACACAAGAGGTTAGGTAGCTCAGCTCGACAGGAGCATCCAGGGACTCAGGCTCTTTCTGCTTTGTTGTTCTGCCATCTCCTGAGCTCCCTGAACCAGCAGGACCAGCATCACTCAAGAACTAGTTAAATATGCACATTTCTGGGATTCTACCTCAGACTTACTGAATCAGAAATTCTGGGGGCCCAGCCATCTGTGCTTTAACAAGCCTTCTAAGTACTGTCGTTACCCAAGTAGTCAAAATGAACTTACCGCCATTTCCATGTTCTAGATCATGGAAAGGTAGAAAAGAAGAAATGAAAGACAAATCATTTCCTTTCAAGGAAGTAAAAGGGAAACTGCACATGTTGCTCATTCTGTTCACTCTTCCTTGGCAAGATGCATGGTCAAAACGATACATCCAGCTGCAAGGCAAATGCAGTCCCCAGCAGCATAGTTATGGCAAACTGGAGGAATTGGGCGGGGGGCGGGTTCTATTAAAACCAAGAATAGATATTGGGGAAGGGGGACAATTAGAAGTCTCTACAACAGTATTTAAATGGAAATGGGTACAGTCTCCCACCCCCGCACACAGAGGAAACTCAGTATCACTGGTACCTCTCAGAGGTTGCATTATTCCCTTGACACTTCTAGATTTGATTTCCTCCTTCCCCTGAATAATTATCTTACTTAAGTCAATCCTCCCCTCGTATCTTTCCTTCATTTTCCCCAAAATCCTTACATGAGAGTACTTACCTGGAACAATGATGGTGAAGGGATATTACTGCCCAGCAGATCATTTAAAATCAAATCTGAGACCCCTTTGTTCTAAAGACCTCCTTACCCTTTCCAACAAGAACCTCACCCTGCTCAACTTTCTTACCCTTCCCATCTCTCAGCTCCTTACCCCTCACTTCTGAACTGCCCATGGGAATCTAAAATGGCTGCCAGCTCCTTTTAAAGAGAAATAATTCTTATCTCCACTATGCCAGCAGGGGCAAGGAGGCAGGGTGAGCAGGAACACCCTCTCATACCTGAAGAAGTTAATAGCAAAATTTTCTAAACAAAGGCAAATCTCATCCTCTCTTACCAGGTTTAAAACAATACAATTTTTTCCTCCACCCAGAAACAGGCCATGGTGCCACCCTGCATTGAAGTCAATCAAATCAAAAAGTCTTAGAAGAAGGGATTATGTAATTGTTTCAGAGGTTAGTTTTCTATTATTTAAAATGGGTTCTTCAAAACTAAATCTTAAGTATGAAATGGCACTGATGTACTGAAGCATCATTTCTAGACAAGAATTCTCTCTCCTGCTCTTAATTAAGGTTTTTTTCCCTTAATTACCAGAGGGGAGAAATGTTTAGTTATTTGAAATCTTAAAAGTAGATGGTTAAAAAGTTGAAACAGTACAATTAAGTACAAAATCAAAAGGAAAAATCTCCCTCCCTATTCTATTTCTTCCCAAAGGTTACTTTGTTAGCAACTGCTTGTGTATCCTTCTGGGGGGGAAAAAGTTCTTATTATAATGATGAATATGTCTAAGAAGGTACTGAATGCTTAACCCATGCTAGGCACACTGTACTAAGCGTTTTGCATAATAAGCCTGTAATCCTCCCAACAACCCTATGACATGAGTACTATTATTCTTAGCCCTGATTTTACAGGTGAAGAATCTGAGGCACAGCGAGAGACGTAGGCAACTCACCCAATGTCACACACTAAGCAGTAGAGATAAGAATCAGCCCATCCAGGCAGACTCCAGAGCCCAACCTCTTCAGCACCATGCTTAGTGGGATCTTCTCCACCCAGTGAACCATACATTTCTCAAAGTAAAGCCATTGAGCCACTTACTCAAGGGATCCCAAGGTATCTGTTTAAGAGATGTTCTCCCTCTCATCTATGCATAGCATTCCTAATTTGTTCCCTGCCCAAGAATTTAAAATATATATTTAAAAGAAAAATACAAAATGGAAAGAAGCTTATGGAAATAGAGATCAGACCCAAGGAACAGCAAGAGATGGGCTGGAGTAGCCCTTTCCCTCACTTTCCCTGTGTCATCTCTCCTAAGGAAGCACTGGTATGAGCATTTCCAGGGAAACAGATGGAAGAGGGAGGGAACAGAAGTGGGAAGTGGGTTCTTTCAGCCTAGAAGAGAAGCTGGTGGGGCATCTCCCAGGGAAGTTCCATCTAGGGAGAAAAGGTGGCTCCACAGAGGTGTCCTGATTCCAGATCCCAGAGAAAGGACTTGGAATGAGCAGAGTCAAAGCAAAGTTGCACCAGTGTTTAAAAGGCAAGGAAGACTTTATTCAAGACTATTGCAAGAAGGAGAACGATGACCTCAACTGCTGAAACAAAAGGCAGGAGAGGTGTTGAGTACTGGGGTGAATTCATGCAAATGTATGGGAGGGGCTTGAAGCAGGTTAGTGATGAGATTAATCTGAGTTTGTTAACTGACACTTATCATAGTTAGTCTCCTATGTTCCCACCAAGACTGGGAGATGGGGCACTATCTTTCTTGATGACTATATAGCAAAGGGATGGTATCATCAGTCCCAGAAAAAGACATCTGGATTGAGCAAATAAGTAATTAGAAGCAAATTACTGGCTTATAAAACTGGCAGCAGGGACAAGAGTTACATCTCAAAGGAGCAGAGAAAGAATTTACATTAAGTTTTCTAAAGTAAGTCCTCTAAGAAAATGCAAATCTGGGGCCTAGAATCCTCAGGAAAAAGGTTGTTTATAACAAACTGAGAGGACCTTAAACCCACCTTGGTTGGCAGGCTCCTGTTCAGTGACTAGGGTCCTCTGGATGTTTTGCAGGCTAGCCCTGAAGCCCAGATCTGCAGCAACTTTCCCTCTGTGCCCACTGAAGCAGTTCAAAGTTGATTTTTTCCTTTTGTTGTAAAATTAGCCCCTGTTTTTGGAATGTGATTTTTTCCCCCTTTAGCTTTGGCTTTCTTCCCTCTCCTTTGGCATCTAAACTTTTAGGTTTTGAAAATCATTTCATTTAAAGAGACAGAATGGAATAGTGAAGCTTTCATAATCAGTTCTCTGTACTGCACCAACTTAGCTGACTTTGCATTTTTTAAACGCTGCTTGGCTTCCTGCAGAGGCAAGATAGCAACCATTTAAACAAGGCTGTTGCTAGTGGGCTTTTTTCTACTTAATTCCAGGCAGCTTTCACCTGGATGGTTTAGGTATCGTTCTACTCGGAGACAAGACTCTCCAATGGGTGACCCTCAGCTACAAAGATGCTGCAACAGTGTCAACAGCAATTCATGCAGAAAGGAGAAGAAATTCTACTTAAAGCAATACTAGGAGCACAGTTCACAGCCTTGACAATAGACAGTGCCTGTGTCTACCTCTGGAAAAGAAAGTCATTCATCTAAGCATCTTCAAGGGAGACTTCGTCAAAGCTTATTAAATTCCTTTCTGCTGGGATAGAAAGTTCTGAAACTGTCCCCAAGAAAATTTTATAAAATCAATGGATAAAATACAAAATAAAATTCAACTAGGCTTGTAACACAACCCACAGTTATCATGAAGCCAGTATGCACTTCGGCCCACCTGTGGCTTGTCACTGCTTACTACCCCGGGATGTGTAGCCCTTGTCACAAGACTGTTCTCTTTCTGTTCTACAGATGAAACCTAAGACGTTGTGAGATAATAAGCTTTCCACTGAGTTTCTCCATTAGGCTCTGCATACCCACAAAACTACCCATGCCAGCTGATCCGAAGGGCCCAGCAAAAAGCCAGCTCGTTAAAAAAAATAATAATAATGATTTCACCCTCCTTACTCTGACCAATCGATGACCTCAAATTTTCCAGACTCTCACCCTCCATGATCCCCTTAAAAACTCCTGCCCAGCACTTTGCAAGGCCAAGCAGGCAGATCAGTTGAGGTCAGGAGTTCAAGACCAGTCTGGTCAACGTGGTGAACCTTCATCTCTACTAAAAATACAAAAATTAGCCAGGCATTGTGGCACACACCTGTAGTCCCAGCTACTCAGGAGGCTGAGGCAGGAGAATTGCTTGGACCTGGCAGGTGAAGGTTGCAGTGAGCTGAGATTGCGTCACTGCACTCCAGTCTGAGCAACAGAGCAAGACTCCAAAAAAAAAAAAAAAAAAAAACCTCTTGCCCAGAATCCTTTGACAAAATGGATTTGAGGCTGCAGCAATCTGTGGCGAGTCAGCCAGGAACCACATGCCTTCTGGGCATTTGCCTACATCTCTGGGCCCCCTTGCCTTTAGGGCAGACCCAGAGACAGCCCAGGCAGCCACTTGTTTCTCCTGAACTAAGAGCTATCCCCAGGGGCTGCCCTATTGGCAGGGTGGTGTCGACCTTCAACGCAGAACCTTGCCTGCAGCAGAAAAACAGTTTCTGGTCTCTGGAGACATCTCTGGTGAGCTTTCTGTGTGCAACCAGCACCCCCTTTTCTTCTCCTGATTTGTAGGCCTCTTTGGAGGTCTCATTGACCATCTTACCAGTACAAAAACTGAAAACTAAGGAATATATGTTTATACAGGATTTAAGGGCCATTAACCAAACCCTCAAAGACATCCATCTGGCAGTCCCCAATCCTCACACACTACTCACAACTCTCATCAGTGAGTTTTGCTGGTTTTCAGTCTTAACACCTAAAAAGGTGCCTTCTTGTATATTCCTCGAGTCCAGAATCCCAAGAACTATTTGCCTGTAAATAATAAGACCTTGACACACAAGCTAAACAGTATTGCTACACAATACTTCCCCGAGGCTTTAAAAACTCACCAATCATTTTGAGAAAAATACTTGTTAAAGACCTTCAAGAAGTCAATTTAAAAATGAGATTTTGTTACAGTGTGTTGAGGACATATTAGTAAACAACAGAAACTCTGACCAGAATACTACAGCTGACTAGATGCAGATGTAAGGTATCCAAGAAAAGACCCAGATCTCAAAACCCTTCAGTTAGGTATCTTAGACTTAAACTTTCTCAGGCACAGAAAAAAATCTACTTCAAGATGGAGAAAAGCTCTTTTCATTGTGGCCAGACCCACAACACGGTGACATGGTGACACTGTGAGGGTTTTTAAGTATGACTGGATTTTGCCCATATTTAGATTCCCAATTTTGGCCTTACAGCAAAACTTCTCTATAAAACCACCCCCTGCCACCAAAAAAAAGATACTGAACCCCTGGAGTAGACTGGAAAATGTCAAAAGATCTTTCTAACCATTAAAAATATATATATTAACAACTCCAGCGTTGAGAGTCCCTAACCTAAGAAAACTGTTTGACTTGTTCATACACAAGACACAAGAAATGAGTTTAGGGATGTTAATGACTTAAAAAATATCAAGAGCCCTGTAGCCTACTTTTCAAAACAACTAGACATTGTCACAAGGGATTGACCTTCTTGCCTCCGAGCCATTGCCACCATTTGTCATCTTCTCCAAGGAGACAGTAAAGTCCACACTGGGTCAACCTACCCCAGTACACACCACACGACCTGTACCCCCTTTGTTAGAACAGAAGGTGGGGCCACTGGTTTACTTCTAAACGGTTAGACATCTGTCAGGCCATCCTCCTGAAAAATCCCAATGTTACTTTAAAAATTATCTTCACTCCAAACCCCACTACCTTACCTCCCCAAACCATGGCTGAACCTATACATGATTACTTAAAAATTATTAAGCAAGTTGTATATTTCTCCTTCAGATCCTCCTTACCTGAAAATGCAGGGTGGTTTTTACCAACACTGTGGGGCACCCCTGCCATCTAGTGGTAACACTAAAAATGACAATCATACTTTTCTAACCGGAATTCGGCACATGTGTTTGATATTCAGTCTTAGGAAAAGATTCAATTTTCATTTAGTAGTGATAAGTAATTAAGTCAATTTCATGAAAGCCACTTGACCTGTGGCAAGTTTGTTTCAAATTTTTCCCCAACCCAACCAACACCATTCAAGATTATTGACATTTTTCACTCTCTTAGGTTCATAGACTCACTTTCTGGTATCATTGCCAGAAAGAACATTAGGCACTCATGGAATTTTCCCTCCTCATTTTATAGAAAAGGAAATCTGTCTTTGGACTGAGGCCACTTTTTTTCATCAACAATACCGTTCTACTTTCTAGAAATGTCCTACCAAGAGGCTCTGAAGCTAGCATCCAGATCTACATTAAGAGACAAGTCAAACCAAGCAACATTTGAGATCAGAATCTTCGAAAGTCATCTTTGGCATGGTTTAATAGTGCAATGCCATTAAACTTCCCCATATAACTGGTAAAGTGTAAACTGAGTCCACTCCTGCCATAAGAAACTCCTTGCTTTAAGATTTCAAATACCGCTCACCAGATCCATCCTGTATCTGTGGGTGTTCTTACAAGCTGCATTACAGATTGACAGGCCATGCCTGACACCAGTCAGCCATCAGTCATCTGAAGTTGGACATCACAGTCAGTTGAAGTTCTGAATTAACAACTGTTGAATCTGAGTGATGGGTACATGCAGGTTCATTGCTCTACTCAACCTACTTTTGTGTATATATCAAACTCTCTCTAGTAAAAATTTTAAAAGAAAAAAAGAGGGGGCCTTTGCCACCAAGAAAAGGAAAAAGATGAATTTCCCCCAGCCCCAACAATCAATACTAATCAGAGGTACTGATTGTTTCAAACTCAGGCTACACATTAACATCTTTTAAAATATATCAATCAGAGGTGCAGTAGCTCATACCTGTAATCCCAATACTTTGGGAGGCCAAGGAGAGAGGATCTCTTGAGGTCAGGAGTTTGAGACTAGCCTAAACAACATAGCGAGACCCTGTCTCTGCAGAAAATTAAAAAGTTAGCTGGATGTGGTGGCTCCCACCTGTAGTCCCAGCTACTCAGGAGGCTGAGGCAGGAGGATCCTGGAGCCCAGGTGTTTGAGGCTGCAGTGAGCTGTGATTGCACCACTGCACTCCAGCCTGGGCAACACAGTGAGATTCTGTTTCAAAAAATAAGTAAATAAATAAAATTTAAAAATTGTAACCATCAATCCCAATCATAGGCCCTGCTCTAGACTGATCAAATCTGAATTTGTAGGAATTGAGCCCAAACACAGGATTTTTAAAGGTCTCTAAGGGATTCTAATATGGAGCCATGGTTGACAACCACAGATAAATATAATCTTAACTCCTTGTTGCTTTTCATGCCCTGTTTGGATGTTTTAACAGTTAGAAATGTGGCAAGAAACAGAACTCACCCTGTATGGGACTAACCATAGAAATGTAGACAGGATAAAAGAATGAACAGGCACCCAACAGGAAGCCATTAATTTCCCTAGAGATGAAGGGCTCAGCGATAGTAGCATTACCAGAGTGTAGTGAGGGCAGAAGTTGTGAAAAAACCCTAGTCCTGGATGTGACAAGGGGCCAAAGCAGAGAGGCAGCAGTGACAAGTGCCCTGACCTCCCTCTCCTCCACCACCCAGGCTGCCAGGGAAGCCTGGAGTGACACACTCTCTGGGAGTAGACCCTCCAGGACAGCACAGAGCAGGGTAGAAACTGGCCGAGTGTACACAAGGGGCGGTGTCACACAGTATGCAAGGGGCAGTGTCCCACAGGCTTAACAAAGAGTTGGTGCAAGTGTCAACAATTCCAACCATTTCCTGCTGCCCGCCTGGCCTGGCCTAATGCCTACCTTCGCCACCTCCTCCTTGCCCGCTGGTGATTGGAGAAACCACTGAGTCACTTGCTAGGACCCACCAATGAGGAAGCACTCAGAGGCTGATCTCAGAGATGGCCTTTCCGTTCTGCAGAAACTATGCATCAATCACAATGAATTTAAGTCAGCAGTCTAGAGGAAATGTAGAATCACATGTCATTTCACCAGCAGAGGATCAGCCTCTGATTTCCCTTTTCTGGACATTCTTTTAAAAAATAAATAAATAAATAAATAACAGGTTGGGCAGTATTGTTTTCAAAGCATGTATCTATAAATGCTGTATGAAATCTCATTATTTGATCTGGAACAGTCGAGGGACATCATCTAGCCTATCCCACTCATTTTACAATAAACATACTAAGACCAGAGAGATGGAGTGACTTGCCTACAGTAACCCATCTGCTGAGGAGCACAGTCCAAATGTTCTGACTCCCAGCCCAGAGCTTTCCTCCCTGTACCATGCTGCTCCTTAAGGTGTTGCCTTCTCCACTGGTCAAAATTGGACCATTATACCCTAGAGCAGCAAGAGAATGTGAGTGCCTGCAACTTACATTTACCCTTCATCTCTAGATGTGACTTCCCAGATTATTTCATAGCAATTACTTGGTCTGTCTCAGATGACAGAGTTTTTAAAGCTGAGAAAGCAAATAAGTGCCAGAAAGCTTCCGCTGGCTCGCCTGAGAGACACCGGATCCAGAAGGCAGGTGCTGAGTGGGCCACCTAAAGCAGCACTAAGTTGTCCCAGGCAGTCGTGCATGGGAAGGAAGCAGGCTTCATTAGCTTCCTGATAAAAATCCAGCTCGCCCCCGAAATCATTGCTTCTGGAATTCACTCAGCCTGCAGGCCCGGGAGCTGCATCCCAGCAGCTGGCCTGACTACTGCAGAAACTGGCAAAGTCGGCTATAGTCTTCTCTGCCTCTATCCCTTCCCTCACCCCTGCATACCCCTGATAGGACCCCTGTGGCAGGATGAGGGCTTATACAAGGGCCTGTTCCCCCTTGAATTGGGAGCCTCTGTCTTCAGTTGGGCACAGGTGGTGGGAGACACAGAAGTGGCAGATCCCATGGCCCAGAGATGCTTTCCCCAGCTCGGGTGAAAGGCAGGCAGGGGCGGGCCAATGACTCAGGGCAGCTCTTCTAAAATAAGATGGGCTGGGACACTTGAGTGGGATGTCCAACCACAGATGAGAGGGAAGACCAGAGATGCCACTGAGTTCCTTGCAGCTCAAGACAGCCATATCCTAGAGAAGGCCACCAAAGACAGCTCCCTGCAGCCCACATCACTGAATTGTCTACCACAATCCTGTCAGCTCCCTTCTAAGCACATCACAATTTGGAATTATGAATTCAGTTGTTTGTGTACTTATTTATTATCTGTCTCCCTCAGCTGACTTCTTTCCAGGAGGTCAAGGATTGCTGTGCCTGGTGCCCAGGACAGGACCTTATACTTAGTAAGCACTCAAATAAAGATCTGTTGGAATTGTTAAATAAATGGTTGGCTCTATAAAACATCCTTATGCCTAAAGAGGAGCAAACACTTGCAGAGGCAAACAAACTCTTGCATTTGTAAGATGTACAGATTGTAGTACATTCTTATACCTCCACCTCTTGCCTAACTGGGATCCCACTCTGCCCTATAAGATAATAACAACAGTTAACATCTGTATAGAGCCTTACTGATCTGAAAGCCCTTCCATAGCCATTATTTCATACTCATAAATACTCTCCTAGTTTTTTTTAACTATTACTTCTTTTAAAAATGGAGAAATCATTGCTTATATAAGGTAAATGACTTACCCAAAATAACTGCATTAGTAAGTAAGAAACGCTTATTCTACTTCCAAATCCAGTGCTCTTCCTGCTACCCCTATCATAATCCTAGTTCTGAACATACACCCAGGAATGTAATATTGTTCCGTTTTTGCAGAAGCTAAATAGGGGCTTTGAGAAAATACTTTGCTAGTCACAGTGGCCTAGAGCAAGAACCAACACTCCTCCTTAGATCAAAGGATTCGAAAGGAGAAAAAAGGAAATTGAAGACTAAAGAGGCACGTCATCTTCCTCCTGGTAGAGAAAGAGGAGAAAAGCAAAGGAGAGAAAAGAAAGAGAGAGAGGAAAAGGGAGGGTTTCTGGCCTTGTAATTAAACAATAACTCAAATGGCAACCAATCCTCCATGTTGCCCCAGATAAAGAAGGTGTGCGCTGGTCACTGGGAAATGGCAGTGCCCTCCACTGGGAACCCACTTTTGCTGCTACTATGCTTCTTTGTACTCGCAGAACCTTTTTCTTTTGAAGGGCAAAGTGCTTGACGTATAATAAAACTATTGTTGTCATTAATAATGCCAACACTCTGATTTGCATAGTTACATTCTTCCTAAGAGTTTAAAGTCTTCCTCACATATCGTCTAATACTCCCTTAGAATTCACATAAGCAAAACACTCCCAAGGTGCTCTGTAAATACATAAAGACACATGCACATGTATGTTTATTGTGGCACTATTCACAGTAGCAAAGACTTGGAACTAACCCAAATGTCCAACAATGATAGACTGGATTAAGAAAATGTGGCACATATACACCATGGAATACTATGCAACCATAAAAAATGATGAGTTCATGTTCTTTGTAGGGACATGGATGAAGCCATCCATAGGAAACCATCAAATAGGAAACCATCCATAGGAAGCCATCCAATAGGAAACCATCATTCTCAGCAAACTATCGCAAGGACAAAAAACCAAACACCGCATGTTCTCACTCACAGGTGGGAATTGAACAATGAGAACACATGGACACAGGAAGGGGAACATCACACACTGGGGACTGTTGTGGGGTTGGGGGAGGGGGGAGGGATAGCATCAGGAGATATACCTAATGCTAAATGACGAGTTAATGGGTGCAGCACACCAGCATGGCACATGTATACATATGTAACAAACCTGCATGTTGTGCACATGTACCCTAAAACTTAAAGTATGATAATAAAATTTAAAAAAAACATATTTCTGCCTTATCTGTACCCTCTTCGCACATTTCCATTTTGATTATCTGTCTTTGAAACACCAGTTTTCCAAACAGAAATCTAAAAAAGCAACTGTAAACCTCCCATCTCTGGCAAAATTCTTGCTTCCTTTTCATGCCTTTGTTACAAGTGTCATCTTCTCTCCCCAGGGCTTCAAAAGTGGCACAGGACTCACTCTACCCCACCCCACCCTCTCTTTGCTATCCTTTCCCTTTCTGATGTAAGTAAAGGGTGGAAACAATGGTTGACATACATCAAGTACCTGCTCTACCCTGACACTGTGCTCATTGCTTTACCTACATTGTCTTATTTATTCCTTGTGGTAGAGACTTCTAGTTGTCTCCCACTATCCACAGTAATCGAAATTTTAGCTGGGCATACAGCCATCCAGAGTAAAAACTATATTTCTCAGCCTGCCTCACAGCTAGGTGTGGCCCGTAAGTAAAAGTATCCTGTGGAAGTTTCCAGGAAAACAATGCCATCCTTAAGCATGTTTTTCCTCTCTCCTGCTTTCACAGAGATTCTCACAAATCTTTATAGTTAAAGAATCTAAAGCATAATCCATTGATAACCTCCACTTTGATTTTTTTCCAGTGATGGTTCAAGGATTACTCACTATTCCTTGATTTCTCTATCTCACCCTTTATACATTGATGGTCTTTGTTCTCTCCTTCTTAGGTAAGCCAATCTTAAAGGAAAGAAGTTTACCAATTTCAAACAGGCTAGAATAATTTTCCTCTTCCCCTCTTCTTTCTGGACACTGCAGATCCTCCCCTTCTCTCTCCTTTTTCTAAGTCATATATAACACCACTATTCACCAGGACCCTTCAGCCTCCTGGAAGAGACAGCCAGGATAGAATCCCTGTGAGTCCTCCCACATCTGCATCTGCTGACACCACCCACACATCCCCTCTCCTCGTTTCCATTTCTTCTCAGAACTTACCTCCTGGCCTACATTATTTTAACTACTTCACACGTCCTCTTCTCTCATGACTGCTATAGCAATATTGGCTTCTTCCATAACCCTCATCAGATTAAGACAAATATTTATTATTATTACCGTCTTACCAATGGGAAAATGGAAGAAGAAAGATATGTGGGGATTTGCCCAAGGTTACACAAAAGGTGGCAGGTGACACCATATTTTTGGATTCCACTCCAGGATCCTACATCTTCCCCTGCATTCCTTTTTTCTCACAAACAGCCTCCTAGGTTACCCAAAGGCCATCCAAAAGGTAGAAACTCTGACTTTCACTTATGCACACATATATAGTGACTTATCCATGGTCCCTCCCCAAGTTTGCACTAAAATGGTGGTCTTCACTATACCAGCCCTATGCTCTATTGCAGCCTGATAGCAGAGAGCCAAGTCTATTTATATAGACTGCAGCTTACGGAATTCCAGGTGTGAGGAGGAGATGGATACAGTTTTAAACAGTGGGTCCCTCAATACTAGAGAAGATGCACCCATGAAAATTCATGAGAACTCATGTGTTGGAGAAAAAAGAGCCTTGGCCTGAGCTTTACCAGTCACCAAATCAGCAGAAGACAAAGAGCTCAGAACATGATACTAAATCATCTGTGTGGCCTTGAACAAGGCCCTTCCCTTCTCTGGAGAGTGCTTTCAACCTCAACATCACAATCCACTCAAACCAAGCACTCAGGCACTCAAGGGATGCTGAGTATCATTCAGAAGCTGCAACAGCAGCAAGAAGGCATCCTTTAGACATGGAGGCGGAGACTCAGGGGCTACGTTATTTCATTTTACTCAACCTAGATTTGTGAAGTAACAAGAAGTGGATGGAGACAGAGAAGTTGCTACTTCATAAGGCCAAGTGTCTTAAATGTCTTTGAACCCCTGGTTTTTGTCACCCACAATAGGTCCTAAATATTTGATAATCAAAAGAAGAAAATCAGTAAAATGGGAATGGGGCCAGGAAGAATTTGACCAGATATCCCATATTAGGTAAGATGGCTCCAGATTCAATCTTGATATTTGTGGCTACATCATCAGTTCCAGACACTCGAAAGGCTGAAACTGGAGAACAGCAGATTTTCTTTATTTCACATGGTTTCACACATTGCATTTTAAGTGCATTTTCATGCATTATCCTATTTATTGTTATACCAAAAAGTAACCAACAAAGAAGGTCACAAAAATCACTGTTGTACTATGAAAGACCTGATGCTCAGAAATATTCAAGTAGCAGATTCCACATATTCTGACCCCAAACCTGTGCTTGTGCCAGGATCAGATACACAAGAAATTGGACACTGTAGGGCAGTCACCTATAGAGGGATTGAACTACCCAACATCACATAGTGAAGAGGTGCATAACACACCATTGATTTCCATTTTTTGGACAGTGATGCTAGACGTATAACCCTCCCTATTGGCCCCCTGGATGGCCCAACGCAGCCCAGCAATGCAGTTGAAAATGGGACACGCAAATGAGTGTGTCTAAGAGCTGGCCAAGAGTGGTGACGATACGAAGTCAATAGGTAGTTATATTCCCAACTTGTTAAGGCAGGGGAGAAGAAAGAGCTGAAAACTAACATTTCTTGAGTAGCTACTAGGTGCCCGGTTCTGAGAACATACTTTATATACATTATGTCTTAAATACCCACAACAATGCTCCATAGTCAATAGCATTAATCTATTTAACAGATAAGGAAACAGAAGCTCAGGGAGGTGACCTCACTTTTCTGAAGAAGACAGCAAAGCCATTGGTGAAATTCATGTCCATAGGGCTCCCAAACCCATCCTCTTTGAACTCTTTACTCTGCCAAATTGTAAGAGTATTACCAAAGTTGTTACAAGGTTATTGCCAAAGTACTAGGTCCATCACAGAGATAGAGAAATAGCATAAAATGGAGTTATTTTTGTAGGGAACTCTGTCAGTTGTCTACCTGGCCTCCATTCCCTTCTTCCTCTTTCCTAAAGGAGTCCCAATTTTGTTCAACTATCAATCATTTTCTCATGTAGCACATGTGACTCAGGGAAGTTTACTCCATTTCCAACTCTGAGTTTGATTCTGATTAGTCTAAACAAATCAACGACTGCATTTTCCTGGTGATTCTTACTGATCAGAGTGAGCATATGACCAAAATTGACCCAGTAAGATTAAATGGAAGAAATTACATTTGTATTTGAGGAATAATTTCTCCCTTCCTCTTCCCTCTCTCTTCCCTCATGTCTCTATCTTCCTCTTCCTCTCTGGTTCTCCTAATGGATTAAATCAAGGGCACAAGTTTTCCCAATCTCTTTTGGCACCTATCTGTGACTAGAAGAATTAGAAGGTGAAATCATGTACGGATGATATGACACAGATGTGGAGATAATCTGGCTTCTTGCTATTTCTGATCCACTGAGCCAATCAACTCTAAAGTTTGCCCTATTTATGGACTTGCTGCTCTATAAGATGATAAATGTCCTACTTGCTTAAGCCAGTTTGGATAATAATTTATGTTACTTGCAGCCAAAATCCTTCTAACTGATAGCTCGTTTTACATCTTATATCTTTACAAAAAAACATGATTCAAGCTGGATGGGGGTGGCTAATGAGGAAATGAGAGTTTGACTCACTAATACTTGCCCTATAATTGAGTACAGATGCTTCTCAATTTACAATCGAGTTATGTGCCAATAAACCCATTGTAAGGTGAAAATATTCTAAGTCAAAAATGAATTTAATACACCTGAACACTAAACATTATAGCTTAGCCTAGCCTAACTTAAACATGCTCAAATTTGGGCTCAAGTTGGGCAAAATCATCTAACGTGAAGACTATTTTATAGTTAAGTATTGAATATTTCATGTAATTTACTGAATACTGTACTGAAAATGAAAAAGGAGAATGGCTGTAATGGTACTTAAAGTATGGTTTCTACTGTATGTGTATTGCTTTTGCACCATCATAAAGTCGAAAAATTGGAAGTGAAACCATCCTAAGTCAGGGACTGTCTGTACTTTAAAGTTGTACTCCAACCACTGCTGCAGCACCATGGACAGCATCTCTCTGACCTCTTGCTTTCTGTCCTGATGTCTTCCTAGTAATTTTGGATTTGACACACACACAAAAGCCAAGACTCATGCCATATAGTCATGGGGGCTATGAGTGGTTCAATTAAGCAATTGGAGGCTGAGATGAAGCCCATGGTGAGTTTGGAAAATCCTCCCACTTCATGGTTGTGTAAGACAGTGGTTTGGCTCAGCAGAAAAGAAGCTTCTGAGTGAGTGTATAAGAGGAGTAAGACCACACCCCCCCTCCATGGTGTGGGTTAGTGTGCATGGGGATTTTTTGTTATCTGCTTTGTAGGTTCAGGAATGCTTTTGAATAAGTAAAAGAGCGAGAAAAGAATAATGGAAGAAAAAGCCTTCCGGTATAGGAAGAGTGCAACTGAGTGTGTCTAAGAACTGGCCAAGAGTGCTGAAGGGAGCCCAGAAGCTAAAGCACTTTGTGACTCTGAGCATTTTTAATAACCTGAAGGCTTTGGAATCTCCCAGAAGAGAAAAACTATCCCCACGAAAGCAACAGAGAGGCAAGGTCTGGGAGTGGGCCAGCGTTTTACGGACACTTCCAACAACAGTGGCCGTATAGAGGCACTTCTTTAGGCAGTTTGTAGACTGCAAGCCACGGCCAGGAAGTTAAAGAGGAAGGAAAGGAAAAAGAAAACAGAGAGAGAAAAGCCCTCCTTTATGGATACGAATGAGTCACTCTCTGGAGACTCCTACAAAAATCTGAGAGAATTTCAGGACACTAAGTGCTTACCATTGTAAGATGGGAGAGGAGACCCAGGGCTATCGATTTTTAGGTATTGATGGCTGTGTGGTCATATTTGAGTTCACATGCTGCCAAATCCCAAGACATCTGGATCGCAATAGTATTCCTAGGGTGACCAACTCATCCCAGTTTTCCTGGAACTTTCCTGATTTTAGCAATAAAAGCCCCATGTCCTGGAAAGCCCCTCAGTCCCAGGCAAGCTAAAATGATTGGCCACCCACTGAGCATCCCCCTACCCACCCAACCCTTAGACTCAATACGCCCCACATTGGTCGTTCTCTTAGTCTACTTGAAAGTGGTTCAACAAGATCCAACAAAAAATAAAAACTAATGATTCTCACTGCCCTGAGCCTCACTTGAGCTCCTAAAGTTATGTTGTTAGTGTTAGAAATCAAAGTACATTCTCAGAGGAAGAGACCTGGACCCAGAGAAGTGAGAGAAGGAATGGATATCAAGGAGAGGCAAAAATCCTCCGTAAACTAAGTCAACCCTTGCTTACCTTGGGAAGCTGCCAAACAACTACTGAGCAAAAAAAAAGGCAAGTTCAAATGTCTCTTAAAAAGAAATGAGCCAAGGAACAATTAAAGCCCTTGAATGAGCAATCAGCCCGACTGGCAACGATGTGTAAATCCTTCCTTGATCAAAGCAGTTAATTGAAATTATCAGGCTTTGGAGGCAAATTACTTTTTTTGAATTAGTGAAAGTGTCATTAGAGTGATGAAGAGCTACAAGAAAAATGTTGGTAAAGCACTTATTCAGAAAGAAGAGGTCTAAATTTTTTATTCAAAACCACAGTAATTAAATCAACAATATATTTAGTCAACATGGGTATCCTTGAACTATTATGTTGAATATTACAGTCTGTTCCAAGTTATCCTGGAGCAGACAGGTTATACACCAAACCCAGCCAAGGAAACTAAAAGTTTATGTGAACCAAATAGTTTGCTATGGTCACCCAAATTCAGTCCTTGGAATGAGCACTAGGTAACATCAAATTTGGTCTATTTACACACTGACTCTGATTTAAAAGCATCCTTTCTTCCATGTTCATTGTAGAATATATGTTCAGTAAGACTTGGTTATTTTAACTGCTCTGTTTTGGATATTCCTATAATTTAGACCACTGGTTGTCAAACAGAAGCAAATTTGCCTTCCAGGGGATATGTAGCAATGCCTGCAGACATTTTTATTTGTCATACCTGGAGCGGGGGATGCTATTGGCATCTAGCACTTAGAGACCAAGGATACTACTAAATATCCTGCAATGTGCAGAATAGCTCCCCACAATAAAGAATTGCCCGAACTAAAATGTCGATAGTGCCACTGTTAAGAAACTGATTTAGACATACGCTAATTTGAAGTTCAAATTTGAAAAGCTTTCTTGACAAATAAATGGCACTAGCATAGTAAACAAAAATGTTATTTTAATTGATTAATCAGATAACAGTATTTGAGAAACGTTCTGGCCTGCTAACTTTGAGTGTAACAATGACAATATATTTTTTCTATTCCTTAAAGCCAATCTGTCAGGATTTTTAATTGGCTATTTGTCATTATTATGTCTTCAAAGTATTTACATTATGTATTCATTCCATTTCTTTTTTTTTTTTTTTTTTTTTTTTTTTTTTGAGACAGAATCTCGCTCTGTTGCCCAGGCTGGAGTGCAGTGGTGTGATCTCAGCTCACTGAAACTTCTACCTCCCGGGCTCAGGTGATCCTGCCATCTCAGCCTCCCCAGAAGCTGGAACCACAGGCACACACCACCAAACTTGGCTACTTTTTTGTGTGTTTTTTGTAGAGACAGGGTTTTGCTGTGTTGCCCAAGCTGGTCTCAAACTCCTGGGCTCAAGCAATCTACCCAACTTGGCCTAATTTTTTCATAAACATCTTTAGCTGTTAACTGGATTTCCCCATGCCATTGAGCCAATTACTCAATTAGTGAGGTTATTTCTTACTGTAATATATTTACATTAAACTCCAAGTAGAAAAAGAAATAAAGATATATGATGCAGTTATCCTAAGTGCTCGCTTCAGCAGCACATATACTAAAATTGGAGTAATACAGTTATCCTAAAATGAGTTAATATACTCATTTTTTTATTTTTAAGCAAATTTCTCTTTAATGAGAACTCAACTAAAAAGATATAATTTTAATATATGTGTATTTTATTTTTTATCTAGTTAACTAACCATCTAGAGTTTTGAAAAAAAAATAACAAAATAGCCACTGTCTCTTTACTGAAAGCTTGGCTTTAGGAGCTAATTTTCTGACTGAGGTATAAATATATTCCCTATTTCCAAGCATTCAACATGTATTACCTGGGAGACTCCTTTGTCAACAGAGCACATACCAAATCAGTTACTGGAAGTATATTAAGATTATATATGTTAATTTGCATTTGACAAACATGCCTGCTGAGACACTAGCTAAATGCTCAGCCTGACTTGCATTATCAAAACTCCCATAAGCAGAAAAGCCGAATCCCCATATGGGGCACAACAACACGAATTACACGATCCAGTGAGGGTTCCTGAGGGAAACGGCAGCTTCCAAGAAAAAAAAAAAATTCTTCCAGGGCAAGTCACAACCTTTGATAAGTCATGTGTTTTTATCTTGTTGGCTTTCTCCAAAGGCGTAAAGGAGTGCCCTTAGAAACAACAAGAATCATATGTAACTAAAAGCCTAGAGTGTCATTGTCAGAACTTTAATTTGAGTTTTGGCATGGCTACTTAATTTGTAGTACATAATCTTCCTTTCACCCCCTGAAAGCAAAAAAATAACTTCAAGAGAGCAAGCCTGGTGTGTGTTAAAGTCCCAGATTCTAGTGCCACTCTGTCATGGTGGCTGGGATGTTAAGTGAGACCCGCCATCCCAACTCCCCCCACCTCCCCCACTCCACCCCTCATCCCCGCTTCTCAAAGTTCCTATTTCAAGGCCCATCACAGACTGGGTCCAGGAGGGCAGTTTGGCCCAAACTAAAGATCCACAAGTCTCTGTAGCATATTCTTATAGACTTTATTTTGGGAGGGGTTTTAGGTTTCCAGAAAAACTGAGCAGAAAGTACAGAGAGTACCCACACTCTCTTCCCTGACTCTCGTTTCCCCCAAATATTAACATTTTCTACTGGTGTGGTGCATCTGTTACAATTGATGAACCAATCTTGGTACATTATTATTAATTAAGGACCACAGGTACATTACTATTAATTAAAGACCACAGTTTACTAGGGTTCACTATGTTGTAATTTTTGCCAAATGCATAACATCGTGTATCCGCTATTGCCATATCACACAGAATAGTTTCACCGCCCTAACAATGCCCTGTAATCCACCTATTATTCCTTCCTCAAACCCTGGCAACCACTGACATTTTTACTGTTTTTATAGTGTTGCATTTTCTTAAATGTTATATAGTTGAATTTATACTATATGTTGTCTTTTCAGGCTGGATTCTTTTACTTTACAATATGTATTTAAGTTTCTTTCATGTCTTTTTGTGGCTTCATAGTTTTTAAAGCATTGAATAATATTCCATTGTATAGATTCATACAATGGAATAATACAATGGAATATTAGTGATTTTAAAATGTATCCATTGTATAGATATTGTTTCTCCATTCAACTGTTGAAGAATACCTTGTTTGCTTCCAAATTGTCACAATCATGAATAAAACTACTATTAACATTTGTATGCAGTTTTTTGTGTAAACGTAAATGTTCAAGTCACTTGAGTAACTACCTAGAAGCCCAATTGCTGAGTCATATGGTAAGACTATGTTTAGTTTTATAAGAAACTGCCAAGGTGTCTTTCAAAATGGCTTTATTATTTTGCATCCCCACCAGCAGTAAATGAGAGTTCCTGTTGCTCTACGTCTTCACCAGCATTTTGGTATCGTCAGTCTTTTGGATTTCAGCCATTCTCATAGGTGTGTGGTGGTACCTCATTGTTGTTTTAATTTTCAGTTTCCTGATGACTATAATGCTAAGCTTTTTTTCATATGCTTATTTGCCATCTGTATATTTTCTTTGGTGAAGCATCTACTGGGTTGTTTTCTTATTGTTGAATTTTCAGAATTATTTGCATATTTTGGATACAAGCTGTTATCAGATATGTGTTTTGCAAATATCCCCTCTCAGTCTGTGACCTGTCTTTTGAATCTCTTAACAGTGCATGAAATTAATTTTTGCAGAGCCAAAATTTTTAATTTGAATGAAAATTAACTGGCCAGTTACAGTGGTTCACACCTGTAATCCTAGCATTTTGGGAGGCCGAGGTGGGCAGACTGCCTGAGCTCAGGAGTTCAAGACCACTCCCTGGACAACATGGTGAAATCTCATCTCTAGTAAAATACAAAAAATTGGCCAGGCATGGGTGTGGACGCCTGTAGACCCAGCTACTCAGGAGGGTGAGGCGCAAGAATCACTTGAGCCTGGGAGTCGGAGGTTTCAGTGGGCTAGGATCACACCACTGCACTCCAGCCTGGGTGACAGAACGAGATCCTGCCTCAGAAAAAATAATAATAATAAAGAAAACTAACTCAATGTTTTCTTCCATTGATTAATTATGCTTTTGGTGTTTTATCTAAAAACTCATTGCCAAACTCAAAGTCAACTAAATTTTCTGTTACTTTCCAGAAGTTTTATAATTTTGCATTTTAAATTAGGCCTGTGATCCATTTTAATTTTTGTGAAAGCTGTAAGGTCTGTATCTAGATTTTTTTTTTTTTTTTTTTGCATTTAGATATCCAGTTGTTTCAGCACCATTTGCTGAAAGGACTATTCTTTCTCCTTTGTATTGCCTTTCCTTCTTTGTCAAAGACCAGTGACTGTATTTTGTGGATCTATTTCTAGGCTCTCTATTTTGTCCCATCAATCTGTCTATTCTTTTACCAATAAAAAAGAAGCATGCCTAATCCAAAAATTCAAATTTGAAATGCCTCAAAATCTGAAACTTTTTAAGACTAACAAAATGCTCGAAGTTCATGCTCAAAGAAAATGCTCCTTGGAGCACTTCAAATTTCAGATTTTCAGATTAGGTCTCAATGTACCTATATGCAAATATTTCAAACTCCAAAAAAAATCCAAAACTCCAAACACTTCTGGTTACAAGCATTTGGCATAAGGCACACTCAACCTGTACCACACTGTCTTGATTACTGAAGCTTTATAGTAAGACTTGAAGCCATGTAGTGTCAGTCTTCTGACTTTGCTCTTCCTCTTCAATATTTTATTGAATATTCTGGGTCTTTTGTCTTTCCATATAAAACTTTAGAATCAGTTTGTTGATATCCACAAAATAATTTGCAAGGATTTTTACTGGGATTGTGTTGCAGGTATAGATCAATTTAGGAAGAGTTGACATCTCAACAAGATTGAGCCTTCCTGTCCATGAACATGAAATGTCTTTCCATTTACTTAAATTTTTTTATTTCTTCTATCAGAATTTTGTAGTTTTCCTCATATAGATCTTATACACACTTTGTTATATCTATACCTAAGATTATTTTGGTTCTAATGTCAATGATTTTGTGTTAATTTCAAATTTCAGCTGCTGATATATAAGAAAGCAATTACTTTTTATATATTAACTTTATACCAGTAGCCTTGCTATAATCCCTTATTAGTTCCAGGAGGGTTTTTTTTTTCTTCTTTTTTGAGATGGAGTCTCACTCTGTCGCCCAGGCTGGAGTGCAGTGGCTCTATCTTGGCTCACTGGAAGCCCCGCCTCCTGGGTTCACGCCATTCTCCTGCCTCAGCCTCCTGAGTAGCTGGAACTACAGGCACCTGCCACCAAGCCCAGCTAATTTTTTGTATTTTTAGTAGAGACAGGGTTTCACCATGTTAGCCAGGATCGTCTCGATCTCCTGACCTTGTGATCTGCCCACCTCAGCCTCCCAAAGTGCTGGGATTACAGGCGTGAGCCACCACACCCGGCCTCCAGGAAGGTTTTTTGTTTATTCATTGGTATTTTCTGAATAGACAATTATGTTGTCTTCAAACAAACATAGTTTTATTTCTTTCTTCCCAAGATGCATACCTTTTATTTCCTTTTATCTTATTTCATTAGCTAGGACTTCTAGTACAATGTTGAACAGAGATGGTGAGAAGGGACATCCTGGCCTTTTTCCCAATCTTAGAAGAAAAGTGCCCAGTTTCTCACCATTAATTATGATGTCAGCTCTGTATTTGTTACACATGCTCTTTATCAAGTTGAGCAAGTTCTTCTCTGTCTTGGTCTGTTTTTTGTTGCTAAAACAGAACATCTGAGACTGGGAAATTTATTAAAGAAAAGAGATTTATTTAGCTCATGATTCGGGTGGCTGGAAAGCTCAAGATTGAGCATCTGCACCTGGTGAGGAGCTCGGGATGCATCAACTCATGGCAGAAAGTGGAAAAGGAGCCAGCATATGCAAAGAGATCACATGCTGAGAGAGGAAACAAGATAGCAAAACCAAAGAAGTCAAAAAGTTTAACAACTTACTTTCTCAGGAACTAATCCATTTATGTGAGAACTAATCCAGTCTCACCAAAGTGAGAACTCACTTGCTACTGTGGAGAATGACACAAAGCCATTCATGAGGGATCTACTCCCATGACCCAAACACCTCCCACTAGGTCCCAGTTCACAACATTGGGGATCAAATTTAACATGAGTTTTGGTGAGAACAAACTAACCATATCCAAACCATAGCACCTTCTGTTGCTACTTTGCTGAAAGTTTTTTATTATGAATGAGGTGTTGGAGTTTGTCTAATGTTTTTTCTCCATCTATTAATATGATTATATAATTTTTCTTTAGTATGTTGATGTGATTTTTCCAATGTTAAACCATACTTGTACACCTAGAATAAGTTCTACTTGGCATTATATATAATTCTTTGTATACATTGTTAGATTTAATTTCCTAAGAGGGGGTCTTTAAAGGTTCATGGAAAATATTTATTATGAAAAAAACTATTCAGGCATTTCAAAAACTTTTACATCAAAATCAACTCATGCTAACTTCTTACAACATACTTAAACAGGAGCTAATTTAAGGAACCATTAACAAAAAGGATAAGACATCTGTTTGAAAAGAGCCCCTATCAGAGCAACATGAATTCTGATAAAATTGAAACAAGAACAAACATCAAATTTATGGTGAAACTTGGGTGGAGGAATAGTGAAATCATTGATGCTTTCTGAAAAGTTTATGGGGACAATGACCCAAAGAAATCAGCAGTTTACAAACGGATGACTCATTTTAAGAAATGATAAGACCATGTTAAGGGTGAAGCCCACAGTGACTAGACCACCCACATCAACTTGTGAGAAAAAAACTTAATCTTATTCACATCCTAATTGAAGAGGACCAACAATTAACAGCAGAAACAATTGCCACACTATAAACATTTCAATTGATTCAGCAAACACAATTCTGACGAAAAATTAAACAAACTTTTCACTTAATGAGTGCCAAAACTATTGTACCCACATCAGCAGCAAACAAGATTAAAGCTTTTGATGGAAAATCTAAACTTGTGGGATCAATATCCTGAAGCATTTCTTTGAAAAATTGTAACAGAAAATGAAGTATGGCTTTACCAGTGCAATCCTGAAGACAAAGCACAATCAAAGGAATGGATACCAAGAGGTGGAATTGATCCAGTGAAAGCAAAAGCAGACCAATCCAGAGCAAAGGTCATGGCAACAGTTTTTTGGGATGCTTAAGGCATTATGTTTGACTTCCTTGAGGGCAAAAGGGTAGTATCTGTTTATGTGACAGTGTTTTGAGAAAGTTAACCAAAGCTTTAGCAAAAAAAAAGCCCGGGAAATCTTCACCAGAGAGTCCTTCTTCACCACAACAATGCTCCTACTCATTCCTCTGATCCAACAAAGGCAATTTTGCAAGAATTTCTATGGGAACTTATTAAGCATCCACTTTACAGTCCTGTTTTGACTCCTGACTTCTTTTTGTTTTCTAATTTTAAAAATATATTTAAAGGGCACTCATTTTTCTTCATTGAATAATGTAAAAAATATTGAATTGACATGGTTAAATCTCTGGGACCCTCAGTTCTTTAGAAATAGACTAAATGGCTAGTATCATTGCTTACAAAGGTATCTTGAACTTGATGGAGTTTATGTTAATAAAGTTTATATTTCTCGTTTTCATCTTTTAGTTCCGTTTATTCCATGAACTTTTGAAGTTCCCCCATATTTTCCTGAGGTTTTTTCCATCTATATTCGTGATGAATATTGGTCTGTAGACTTTCTTTCTTGAAACGTCTTTACCTGGTCTTGGCATAAGGGTAATCCTAGCCACATAGAATAAACTAGAATGTGTTCCCTCTGCTTCTTTTTCTCAAATAGATTATAGAGTATTCCTATGTTTTCTTTCTTAAATGTTTGGTAGAATTCACCAGTGAAACAATCTGAGCATTGTGCTTTTATTTGGAAGATTATTAATTACTAATTCAATTTCTTTAATATATATAGACCTATTCAGATTATCTGTTTCTCCTTGTGTGAATTTTGGTAGATTGTGTCTTTCAAGGAATTGACCCATTTTATGTAACATCAAATTTGTGGACATAAAGTTGTTCATAATTTTCTTTCATTATTCTAATGTCCATGGAATCAGCAGTGATGGCTCCTCTTTCATTTATGATTAATAATTTGTGTCTTCTCTCTTATTTTCTTCATTAGCCTGGCTAGGTAGTTATGAATTTTCCTGATCTTTTGTAAGAACCAACATGTGGATGTTGGTTTTCTCTATTGTTTTCCGGTTTTTAATTTCACTATTTCTGATCTGATTTTTACTATTTCTTTTCTTCTGCTTAGTTTGGATTTAATTTGTCCTTTTTTTTAGTCTACAAGGTGGAGGCTTAATTTATTGGATTCTTTTCTAATACATGCACTCAATGCTATAAATTTGCCTCTGAGCACTGCTTTTGCTGCATCCCACGAATTTTGATGGGTTGTAAATGAAAATGTTTTTATTTAGTTCAATATATTTTTTAATTTCTCTTCACACTTCTTTGATCATGTGTTACTTAGAGCTTTTTTTGTATACAAGTATTTTGGGATTTTCTAGCCATCTTTCTGTTAGAGATTCCTACTTTAATGCCATTATGGCCTGAGAGCATACTTATATGATGTCTATTCTTTTAAATTGGTCAAGGTTTTTTTATGATTCAAAACGCGGTCTACCTTGTGAATGTTCCCTGTGTGCGTCGGAAACATATGTATTCTGCTGTTGTTGTATGAAGTATTTTCTAAAATGTCAATTAGATTCATTTGACTGATGGTGGTGTTCAGTTCAACTATGTCCTTACTGATTTTCTGCCTGCTGGATCTGTCAATTACTGGCATAGTGGTGTTGAAATCTCCAACTATAATAGAGGACTCATCTAGTTCTCCTTGCAGTTCTATCATTTTTGCCTAATGTATATTGATATTCTGTTGTTAGACACATACACATTTAAAATGATTATGTCTTCTTAGGGAATAGATCCCTTTTATCATTATGTAATGCCCCTCTTTATCCATAATTTTTCTTGCTCTGAAGTCTGAAATTAATATAGCTACTTCAGCTTGCTTTTGATTAGTGTTAGTATATCTTCATCCCTTTATTTTTAATCTATCTGTGTTATTATATTTAAAGTGGGTTTCTGGCAGATAACATATAGTGGGGTTTTTTATCCACTCTGACATCTTTGTCTTTTAACTGATAAATTTAGACCTTTCCTATTTTAAGTAACTATTATTATCATTGGATTATTATCAACCACATTTGTAACTCTTTTTTACTTGTTGCCCTTGTTCTTTCTTTTTTGTCTCTTTCTGCCTTCTCC
Organism: Homo sapiens; assembly: GCF_000001405.40. NCBI lineage: Eukaryota > Metazoa > Chordata > Mammalia > Primates > Hominidae > Homo > Homo sapiens. The sequence continues at coordinate 41,802,337 of NC_000002.12, forward strand.
AGTTTTAATTGAGCATTTTGTATAATTCCATTTTCTCTTATCTCTTAAAAAATCATTTATACTTTAAAAAAACATTTTTGGTTATTGCTCTAGAGTTTGCAAAATATGTTTATGACTAATTTCAGTTCCCTTTCAAATAAAACCATACCACCTCATGTGTAGTACAAGTAACGTATAACAGAGTATTACCAATTCCTTCTTCCCATCTCTTACACCAGTGTTGTTATTCCTTGCACTATTCCACAAACTACAAACGTTTCTTTTTCTGTTGGCATTTTAGTCTAGGAAACTTCTACTCACATATTTTCAAGCTCATTAATTCTTTCTTTGCCATGTCCAATTTTCTGATGGATAAGCCCAAAGGCATTCTTCATTTCTGTTACTATGGTTTTTATTTCTAACATTTCTTTTTGATTCTTAGAGTTTTTCTCTCTCTCTCTGCTTATATTACCCATTTGTCCTTGTATGTTGTACACTTTACTGGTGCCCTTATCATATTCATCACAGTTATTTTAAATTCCCGGATAAAATAATTATTTAGTTAATTGCTGGCTGAAACTTCAAAATCTCTCATATTTGACTGTTTCTAATGCTTGATTTGTCCCTTCAAACTCTGATTTTTGCCTTTTAGCATGCCTTGTAATTGTTTATTAAAGCAAACATGATATATCAGATAAAAGGAACTGAGGCAAATAGGCCTTTAGTGTGAGGTTTTATGTTTATCTGGCTAGCAATTAGACAGTGTTTACTGTTTGCTGCAGCTGTGGTGTCAAATGCTAACACTTTCTCTAGTGTCTTTTTTTTTTTTTCTCCATGTTGTCCTTGGGTGTCCCTGTAAACTCCTTAATTAGGATCCGAAGTTTGCAGTTCTTTCAGCTATAATACCCTGTTGTTATACAGAAGCCTTCTTGATATGGTGGTAAGATATGGAGGAGAGGAAGAATTCTATAGTCATATGATTACGTGTCAGTCTTTTAGTGCATCTGGGATGGATATTCCTCTTCCCTACCCCATCCATCCCACCCACTATTCTTTGGTCAGGTAGGCTTTGGTAAAGCTCCAATCAGGCTCTGACAAATTAGTTTTCCCTGACAGCAGGACAAAAAAAGAGTTTTTGTATATTTCAGAAGCGTTGTTTTTCCATTCTGAAAATCTCTTGAAACAAGATTTTTTTTTTTTTTTTTTTTTTTTTTTTTTGCAGTCCTCACAGTGAAAACTTGGCAGGGCTCCTGAGGGTGAAATTGGAAAAACTGGAGAGGTCCTCTTAAACCTGTAAGTCCTTGGAGTTTTTAACTCTCAATGACCCTCCAGCAATTGGTCAATTACAGTTTAAATTGCTCCTACCAATAGTGGCTTCAACTGTGGATTCTGTTTCTGGTCTTCTGCTACTAGTAAGCTGTGATTAACTGTATCTGCCAGATTATCTCTCCATTTTAGAAAGCAGTTTGCCCTGTGATCTCCATTCTGTGAGGGATCCAAGAAGAGTTTTTGATTTTCAGTTTGTTCAGCTTTTTTTCTTGTTGTCAAGATGCAAGTGATGACTTCTGAGCTCTTTACATGTCAAACTAGAAAGCACTTTTGGCATTTTTAAGAGTAATGCATATAATTAGAGAAATATACTCAAAGCACTGAGAGAAAAAACATTCAAACTAGTGTCTTTCCAGGGCCACATCACTTGTCATGCAATTTCATATAAATCTTGTGGTTAACACAATTATATTAAGAATTTGGCAGCTTTTAAAACCATTACTTAGTTAAATATAATCATGTAAGTATGTCACAACTGTTTCTTCTTTTTTAACCTGTGAACTTGCCCCCAGTTAGAAGTAGTCAGAGCTTCTCTGGGTATCTGCAAGGTTTTGCCTCTATTCAAACTCACCCTCTCACCTCTCAAAGCCCATCTCCCTTGATATTTGTACGAGACATAAAAGATAATGGTCACTTGAAAGCAGAAAGCACAATAACTCATGTGAAGCACATGAACCCCCATACAAACATGGTTTACCTATAATCTATAACATGTATAATAAAAATAACAAGAATAAATGCATTATTTCAATTTATTCATTCATAAATCAGAACACATGCTATATTGTTTGACTTCAAATCTCCAGAAAATTTTGGATTGAAGATACTAAGGATATTTAGATTCATTATTAATCATGATTAAACTATCCATTTTACATTTTAAAAAGCAGGAGAATTTGTCCCATTCAATATAGTCTCTGTTGTAATCTTGAGAGGTTTTGTATTGTGTTGCCATAATCTGCTCTGCTCTCAGTAAAGTGCAGTGAGGGACTAGCAACAACAAAACACTGAAAAAAGCACCTACGAAACAGAGTCCCACCCTAGTGGGGAAACACTGAGATCTGGTGGATCTAAGATCTACTGAGGAATAGAAAGGCAGTAGCTTGAAAGTGCTTCAGACAAGAGTGGGCAGCCTTGAGAAGGCACTAATCCCAAGGGAACGTGAGGCATCCTTTGGAGACTTTGTGATGAAGGAAAATAAGCACTGAAGTTTGAAAATTAGAAAAAACTATTTTAAAATTCATATGGAACCAAAACAGAGCCTGAATAGCCAAGACAATCCTAAGCAAAAAGAACACAGCTGGAGGCATCATGCTACCTGACTTCAAACTATGCTACAAGGCTACAGTAACCAAAACAGCATGGTACTGGTACCAAAACAGACACACAGACCAATGGAACAGAATAGAGACCTCAGAAATAAGACTGCACACCTACAGCCATCTGATCTTCAATAAACATGACAAAAACAAGCAATGGGTAAAGGATTCCCTATTTAATAAACAGAGCTGGGAGAACTGGCTAGCCATATGTAGAAAATTGAAACTAGACCCATTCCTTACACCTCATACAAAAATTAATTCAAGATGGATTAAAGATTCATATGTAAAGCCCAAAACTGTAAAAACCCTAGAAGAAAATCTAGGCAATGCCATTCAGGACATAGGCACAGGCAAACATTTCATGATGAAAACACCAAAAGCAACTACAGCAAAAGCAAAAATCGGCAAATGGGATCTAATTAAAGCACTTCTGCACAGCAAAAGAAACTATCAACAGAGTAAACAGACATCATACAGAATAGGAGAAAATATTTGCAATCTATCCATCTGACAAAGGTCTAATATCTAGAGCCTACAAGGAACTTAAATTTACAAGGAAAAAACAACCCCCATTAAAAAGTAGGCAAAGAACATGAACAGACACTTCTCAAAAGACATATATGAAGCCAACAAATACATGAAAAAAAGCTCAACAGCACTGATATTTAGAGAGATGCAAATCAAAACCACAATGAGATACCATCTCATGCCAGTCAGAATGGTGATTATTAAAAAGTCAAAAAACAAGAGATGCTGGCGAGGTTGTGGAGAAAAAGGAACGCTTCTACACTGTTGGTGGGAGTGTAAATTAGTTCAACCATTGTGGAAAATGGTATAGCAATTCTTCGACGATCTAGAGGCAGTAATACCATTTGACCCAGAAATCTCATTACTGGGTATATACCTAAAGGAATGTAAATCATTCTATTATAAAGTTACACTCAAGTGTATGTTCATTGCAGCACTATTCACAATAGCAAAGACATGAAATCAACCCAAATGCCCATCGATGACAGTCTAGATAAAGAAAATATAATACATATACACCATGGAATACTATGCAGCCATAAAAAGGAATGAGATCATATCCTTTGCAGCGACACAGATGGAGCTAGAAGCCATTATCCTCAGCAAACTAATGCAGGAACAGAAAACCAAACACCACGTGTTCTCATTTATATGGGAGCTGAACAATGAGACATGGGGAGGAACAACACGCACTGGGGCCTATTGGGGTGGGTGGAGGGAGAGCATCAGGAAGAAAGGCTAGTGGATGCTGGGCTTAATACCTAGGTGATGGGATGATCTATGCAGCAAACCACCATGGCACACATTTACCTAGGTAACTAACCCGCACATCCTGCACATGTACCCCTGAATGTAAAAGTTGCAAATTTTTAAAAAAGAGTTCTAAAAGAGAATTATAAAGTCAAATGACATACCAATGCTCTCACCCACCACCAAAAAAAGGGCCTTCTAATGAAGAAAATGTATTTCATTATGCCAACCAAAGAGGGCACTCCTGTACCACATAAGCCACTCAAACCTCTCACCCTCACTTACATAGAACCATTTGCTATAGCTGGCCCAGGAAAGTATAACATTTCAAAATGAACAGAATACAGCAGTAAAATCATATTTTTAAAAAAGCATACAAAAAATGCAACATTTCAGCTGACGATCTTTTAAAAACTCCCAAAAAACTGACTTTACACAGTGGAACATTCTATCACAATGCCTCAACCCAACATGAACTATATAGCCTTTAAAATTTTTTGTATGGTTTAAAAAAAAAAGACACTCCAAATTAGAAATTCATAAATTCCCCAGACCTGAGATCCTGGACCCTGGAATGAGCATGGATGAGACCAGAGAAGGTGTGGGTGGAAACAAGCTCTATGGAAAATAAAGCATAAGGTACGATGGTGAAGAAAAAAAGGAATTCATAAATTCAGAAAGGGAAAAAAAAACAGGAAGATGTGAAATAAGAATTAACTGAAATCAGAAAATAAATTGGAGGAAAAAAATCAAAAAATCAAGCCAGAAATTGTGCTGAGTTGTACTACTGTCATTTTAGTGGGTGCTACATTTTCCAGAATCCCTTTCCCTGAGTGCTTCCATATTAATTTATCAAAAGATGAGCCTGCATGATATATGGAAGGTAGAGGAGAAGCAGCAGCCATTATTCTCTGAAGGTCTTTGTGGTCAAACACAGTGGCAGACGCAAGACTGAGTTCTAATTTGTCTTTGATCTCCTTTACTCCACCTCAACCTCATTTCCTAACCCTGGTCCCTGCTGACCAACAGTACCCCTAAGCACACCACCAGATACTTGGCTATAGACTATCAGTGCCAGTGGCTACACAGAGGCAATAAATTTTCATAAAGTGGTCTATGACCTCCAGCTTTTGGTCCCACTTCACTGGATGGATATGCTTGGCTTTTCAGATTTCTCTGCAAGTTCTGAGTTGTCTACCCACACAAGTGCCTTCAGGAAAAATGGTAAGTAACTCCTGATCATCCCATAGTCACCCCTTCCAAACCAACTTACAAAGTACTCAATAGAGAATAAATTAAGTTGGAAATACTACGAGAGGAATGAATGATGTACTGGAGCCAACTCATACCAACGTGGCAGAGCAAATTCTGTGTGTATCTTCTCAACGCTGTGTTCAGTGACATCCCATTGGTAGGTGGACATTAGTCATAATGGGAGTATTTACACCACTGGAATTTGCAAATGCTATAAATCAGGGATTTTATTCCATAGGTGTTATTAAACATTTACCAGCACATGATTGGAAAGGAAGGAGAAAAATTCAAATGTCCAAGATTAAAAAAATACAAATTAGAGAGAAAAAAGATCCCACAGATATAAGCGTGGCCTTGAAATAAGAAATAAACCAATTTTAACACAGTAAAACCAATATTTAAAAGTGGGATCCAATAATACTTTTCAGAAATAAAAGATGTGAATCAACACATTGAAATGGCCCACTGTGTAACTAGGAAAATGTACCTCAAACAGTCATCTCTAAGATATTACATATCCAATTAAAATCAGCAATAAAAAAGAATGAGATCCTGTCATTTGCAACGTGGATGGACCTGAAAATCATTGTTAAGTAAAATAAGCCAGGCACAGAAAGACAAACATTACATGTTCTCACTTATTTGTGGGATCTAAAACTCAAAAAAAAAAAAAGAAAATAAATAAAACCTCTGTCCCTTCATGTAAAAAAAAGACCAAATATTTTACAAAGGAAAGAAAAGCCAGGTTGGCATTGAACTTCTAAATAGCAACATTCAAATCTTGGCAACTTCAAAGCAACATTTTAAAGATTTTTGATGAAAAAAGTATCTGACCTCAAATTTTTCTATTTAACCAAGACATTTTCTATGCAATAACTACAGAATACTGCCCTCAAGAGCTCATTTTGAAGAATCTAGAGGACGAACTTCTTTCAATCAAGAGATGACTGGGGAAATTTGACCAAATTCAATTGCAGTATTGCATATAATTAATTATAAATCTAAGACTAAAACAAAGATGAGGCAAGCTTAAAAAAATACTTTGCAAATGTTATATATCCTAACAAAGAAAAAATAACACAACTTTATAAGTTAAAGCAAACTGGAAACAGAGAAGAAAAAATAGAATAAGTCTATTGATTGCCACACAGAGAACTGACAAAACAGTAGTTGCTTAAAGACGGGGAATATTTTGATATTTTGAGTATAAAAGGCATTGATACACAAATAATTACTAGAATGAAAATACAAACACTGTGTGTGTGTGTGTGTGTGTGTGTGTGTGTGTGTGTGTGTGTTTGGTGGAGTTTCATTCTTGTTGCCCAGGCTGGAGCGCAATAGTGCGGTCTGGGCCCACTGCAACTTCAGCCTCCCAGGTTCAAGAGATTCTCCTGCCTCAGCTTCCCAAGTATCTGGGATTACAGGTGCCTGCCACCACATCCAGCTAAGAAACATAGCAAATATAACAAAACACACAGTAAATATAATAGAAAATAATATCACAGAGTTGAGACTAAATATATCAGTCATACCAGTAAATGTAAATAAACTTTTTATTGCCTTAGGTTATGTTCCTCTAAAATAATGGTATGGGAATTCTTGTTAAAGTGAATTCATGAAGATGTGCTCTCAAGAGAAATCTATTAAGAAGAAAGGGAAGCAAGATAGAGCAGAAGCAGCAGCTAAGCAAATATGTGGATTCGTAAAAAGTCTAGCTTCAGTCCATCCATACCACAGGAAGTTCTACATCATGGACTGCACCACAGGGTTTGTCCCACCTAGAAACAAGAGTGCTGGGTTGTTATATATCAACATCAGTGAGTCACTGTCTGGTATTGGAGGCAGGGGTCATAATTTCAAGGCATCTCCCAACTAGGTGACTCCCATCCATCAAAGGCAATCCTCCAAAGAAAGGTGAAGGTATGAACCAGTATTAGGCAAGACTTGGAGTAGCTGGAAGATAAGTGCACTGGCCCAGTTAAGGGAATTAGGTCCAGGCACAAATATCAATTCCTATGCTTACCACTTAAAGGAAAAACATTTCAGATTGGATCACAAAGCAAAACTGAACTCTATGTTGTATACTCAAGAGACAACCTAACACTGACACGAAGACAGATGAATAGACCAATAAAACGGAATAGAGAGCCAAGATACAAACTCATATATATATATATATATATATATATATACACACACACACACACACACACATATATATACGTATATATGTATATTTTGGTCAACTGGTCTTCAGCAAGGGTACCAAAAATACACAATGCAGAAAAAAAATAGTCTTTTCAGCAAAGAAAACTGGGAAAACTGGATATTCACACACAAAAAAAATGAAACTCGATCCCCTATCTTACACAAAAAAATCAACTCAAAATGAATTAAGGTTTTAAATGTAAGACCTAAAACTATAAAACTCCTAGAAGAAAACATAGGGGAAAAACTTTTTGACATTGGCTTTGGCAATGATTTATTGCATAGACACAAGAAATGCAAGCAACAAAAGCAAAAGTAGACAAGTGGAATTGCATCAAATTAAAAAGCTTCTGCACAGCAAAGGAGACAATTAGCAGAGTGAAAAGGCAACCCATGGAATGGGAGAATATATACGCAATATATATTTCATAAGTGATTAATATTCAAAATTCATAAGGAACTCATAGAACTCAATAGCAAGGAAACAACCCAATTTTTAAAATGGGAAAAGGACTTGAATAGACATTTCTCCAAAGAAGATGTATGAGTGGCCGATAAGTATATGAAAAGATTCTCAATATCACCAATCATCAGGAAAAGGCAAATCAAAACCCCAAAGAGATCGATATCATCTCATATCTGTTAGAGTGGCTATTATTACAAATATATATAAGTGATGCTGAGGATGTAGAGAAACTGGAACGCTTGTGAACTGTTAGCAAGAATGTAAAATGATGTAGCTACGATGGAAAACAGTATGGAGGTTCCTCAAAAAAAATAAAACTGCCATATGATCCAACAACCCCACTTCTGAGTATATATTCAAAAGAATTGAAATCAGGATTTCAAAGAGATACCTGTTCTCTCGTGTTCACTGCAGTGTTATTCACAATAGCCAAGATATGGAAAAAATCCAAATACTCATCAACAGATGAATAAAGAAAATCTGATATATTTATAAAATGGAAACTCAATCAGCCTTTAAGAAGGAAATCTTGTCATTTGCAAAAATGTGGATGAACCTGGAAAATATTTTGCTAAGTGAAGTTAAGCCAGTCACAGAGGGAAAAATATTGCATGATTCCACTTATATGAGGTAACTAAAATAGTCAAACTCATAAAAATGTTAAGTAGAATGGTGGCTTCCAGGGGTTGGAAGGAAGGGAAAATGGGGAGTTGCTGTTTAACAGGTATAAAGTTTCAGTTATGCAAGATGAATAAATTCTAAAGATCTATTGTTCAACATAGTGTCTATAGTTAATACTACTATATTATGCACTGAAAAATTGTTAAAAGAGGATCTCATCTCAAGAGTTTTTACAACAACAATAATGAAGAAAAAGGAAAATTTAAAGGTGACTGATAATGTCTATCACTTTTATTGTGAATGAAGCTTTCATAAGTATATTCATATGTCCAAATTCATCAAGTTGTAGCCATTAAATATGTAAAGTTTAACGATTACACCTAAATAAAGCTATTTTTAAAGGAAACAACCTAAACCAAAATTATTTGAAAAGACTAAAATTAAAGAGATAGGCAAATGTATACAAGGCAAATGAAAAATACTAGAAACAGTGATTGCCATCTTGATATCACATAGTGAAACCTCAAAAACAAAACACTGTGTGAAATAATAAAGGCCATTTTAAAATTCAAGCAATGCATTACAGTAAAAATACAGTTAATAATATCTTTGTCCCAAATAATATAACAACCATATTTATAAAGGAGAAACTACAAGAAATTCAGGGAGAAATGGTCAGAAAAACATTAACAATAGGATACATTAACCATTCTCAGTTAAAAGCAGGTCAAATAGACAAAAAAAATAGTAAGGATATAGAAGATCTAAACAAAATAATTAGTAAAATATAGATTAAAATGTATATTAAGCTCCCAAATACAACAATAGAGAATGTAATTTTTTTCAAGTGTACATGGAACATTCACAAAATTGACCATACATTAAGTTACAAAGAAAACCTCAATAAGTTTCATTTAAAAACAGAGACATACTAAAGGATATGTGGCAGACATATTCTAATGATCCCTAATGATCCATGCCCTTGTACAATCCCCTCTTCGTGAGTATGGACAGAACCTACAATGTGCTTCTAGTCAACAGAATATGACTTGGGGATGGGATGTCACTCCCATGAGTATACTATGTTATGTAAGACTCCATATTAGCAGACTAGAGTGAGAGATTCTTCTGCTGGTGATATGGTTCAGAAGCATGTTTCCTCCAAATCTAATTTTGAAATGTGATCCCCAGTGTTAGAGGTGGTGCCTAGTGGGAACTGTTTGGGTCATGTGGGTGGATCCCTCATGAATGCCTTGGTGCCCTCACGATGGTAATGAGTACATTCTCACTCTGTTAGTTCAGACAAGAGCTGGTTCTTTAAAGGAGGCTGGCACCTCCTCCTCTCTCTCTTGCTCCTTCTCTCACCATGTGACACGCAGGCTCCTCCTCTTTGCCTTCCACCATGATTGTAAGCTTCCTGAGGTCCTCTCCAGAAGCAGATGCTGGCACTACGCTTTGTGTACAGCCTACAGAACCATAAGTCAAATAAAACACTTCTTTATCAATTACCCAGTCTTGGGTATTCCTTTATAGAAATGCAAACAGACTAACATAGCTGGCCTTGAAGTACACAGCCATGTATGAATTGCCTATGGAGAAGATCATGTGTCAGGGAACTGTGCAACCTCCAGGACCTCCCACCAACAGCCAGTAAGAAACTGGGGACTGCCATCATACAGTCACAGTAAACAAATTCTACCAACAACCTGCAAGAGCTTGAAACAGATTCTTTTCTAGTTGAGCCTCCAGATGAGAATGCAACCCAGGTCACACCTTGCATGCAGCTTTGTGAGACTCTGAGTAGACGCTCCAGCTAAGCCATGTTTACATAGCCTCCTAACCCATAGAAACTGAGATAACATGTGCTGACTTTGTAATGAGGTATTACAAAGCAACAGAAAACTAATACAGAAATAGGATGGTGCTATAACAAATACCTAAAAAGTTGGGAATGGCTTTAAAACTGGGCAGTACACAGAGGCAGAAAGAATTGAGTGGCATGATAGAGAACACTTAATTGCCTTGAACAGACTGTTAGTAGAAATCCAGACTTGAATCTGCTGGTGTGGACTCAGAACGAAGCGTAGAACATGTTATTTCAAACTAAAGGCACAATGATTCTTGCTATGTAAGGCATAGAGCTTAGTAAAATTATTCTTTGCATTTATGTGGAAAGCAAAACGAGCAAGTGGTGAAGTTCAGTTATATAGCTAAGATTTCTAAGCAAAATATTGAAGATTCTACCTGGTTCTTCTTGCTGCTTATAATAAAATTCAATATGAAAGGGATAAATTGAGACTTGAACTGTTAAACAAAAATGGACCAGAATTTGATGATTTTGAAATTTCTCAGCATCTTCAGACACTAAAATTAAGAGATTCAATATCAGGAAAGCAAGCCCTAGAGAAAAGACCAAGAGTATGGTTATACAATCTTTTGCTAAAGCCTCAGAAGGAGCAAAAAAATTATATTACTCAGTCATGAGAGGACCCTTTCAAGAAATTAAAGCTGTGCCTCACAGATCTTCTCAATCAACCAGAAGCTTAAGTGTAGTCCCTTAGCCATCTCAGCAGAAGTCAAGAGACAGAAGGGTTTATCTCAAAAAGATCTGTCAATATGGCTTTTGTAGAGTGGAATGAACCCCAGGGAAATCTACAGGAGATACACAAAGTTCTTACGGAAACTGTTTCAGCAGAAATACTACCGGCTTGAACAAAAAAGAAATAGAAAGAGTACAAAATACATAAAGACTGTCAGACTCCCAAAATTCTACTGGCAGTGGAAAGGCTGGGAAAACTACTCACCTGCATACTTGTGCTGGCTTTCATAAAAAGGAAGAGTGGCTCAGAAGGCAGAACCAAGAGCTAAAAGGACAGAGAGAGGGAGCTATAGAGAACTTTTCCATTTTCCGTAGATTTGAAGTGTTTCAAAAAAAGTGTTGAGAAGAAAAAGAGAAATAGAGACAGGCTTAAGAGTCAACAATTAAATGTAATAGATTTGAATCCTGGTTTGAAAACAAACAACTGTTGAAGACATTTTTGAAATAATCAGGGAAAACTGCAGCTAGTATTACATGATATTAAATAGTTATTTTAATCAGGTAGAATGTGCTAATTATATATGGTTATATATTAGAAAATATGTATATATGCATATAGATTTTATATGTGTATACATAATATATCCACAGAGTAAGAGAATAATAAAGCAAAAGTGGTTACATTTTAATTTTGTGTGAGTCTGGACAAAGGGATATGTAAATTCAGTGTACTACTATTCTTGCAACTTTTCTGTAAGTCTGAAAATATTTCTAAATAAAAAGTCAAAAATAAACATATGCAGTGTTTTGCAATTATAAACTTAGAGGCTATTTTGTTTTCAAACCACATGTAGATTTTGTGTCACGTTGAAAACTAAAATTTAAATTACAAAAAAGTAAATACTTCTGAAAAAAACGTTTGGAAGTAAATGGAACAAGAGTAGCAAATGTTGATAATTGAAGCTACATGAAAGGCACATGGAGTTCATTATACTGTCTTCTTTTGTGTATTTGAACTTTTCCATAATAAAATATTAAAACAGGCCAGGCACAGTGGCTTTTGCCTGTAATCCCAGCACTTTGGGAGGCCAAGGTGGGCGGATCACCTGAAGTCAAGAGTTCAAGACCAGCCCGGCCAACATGGTGAAACTCCATCTCTACTAAATACAAAAAATTAGCCAGGTGTGGTGGTGCATGCCTATAATCCCAGCTACTCAGAAGGCTGAGGCAGGAGAATCGCTTAAACCATGGAGGCGGAGGTTTCAGTGAGCCGAGATTGCGCCACTGCACTCTAGCCTAGGTGACAAAGCAAGACTCTGTCTAAAAAAAAAAATTAAAATTAAAACATAAATTGTAGCTCAGAAGTTAGCAGCAGAAAACAATGTAATACACAGATCACCTGGAAATCAAAACAATGGCATCTCCCTCAAATGTTCTCTGTAAACTGGTGTTATTGTCCCCATTTTACAAGTGAGCAGACTGAGAATTTAAGATGACAGGACCAAACTGCCTTGCTAGCTTGTGCTGTCAGTGGTAATCTAAGCTGCCACCAGCTTGATGCACTGCGATAATAAATACTCCACAGCCTGGCTGTCCAAGGTGAAAGTGGTAAAACAGCAGCTCATTGGAGGGGTTTTAAATGATTTGTCCAGCCACGCAGATACCCTGACAATCCAGAGGGGATTAAAAGCCCATCAAACCTAACGGGGTTACTCTTTTGGAGTAACCTCCCACGGTGACACGTTCTCACACTCCCCCTTACATCTTCTCTTACCCAGCCTGCTCCAATATCTGTGTGATCAAGATAGCCAGAGGCAGCTTGCCTTTTATAGACACTTTCCACAGGAGCAGCTGTGCCTTCCAGCTAATACAGAGGGTGGTTAACCAGAAAACAGAGGTAGCTGAATTTCTTATTGGTCTTGGCTCTGAGATACCAAACCAAAATTAAACACGAACCAAAGTCTCTGGCCCCCACCCCATAAAATGTAGGTAACACATTTTCCTATAAGTGCAGAGTCACCGAGGTAGAGCATGACCTATCAAAGTCACCTACAGAGATTCAAAATATAAATGACCACACCTGAATCTTCTCTTTGTCCTCCCTAAGGCATAGGAGAGGCCCAGACATGTATATTGCACATTTATAGGCCCCCAAAATAATTCTGAAATTTTCCACATATCAAAGTGGCCTCAATGGCTCTTGGAAAAAGTTCAGAATATAAGATGGAGGATATCATCCTGGGATGAGCTGTGAAATTCCTGGTTGGAAAGTTTTAGAACCTCATCTATAATGGATTTGGTGATGGTTCCAAAGGCCATCTAAGAACCAGCACCAGGATGTCTGCGTAAGAATCACTCAGAACTTATCAAACTGCAAAATAATGGTAGGTAAGAGCTAGGAATACGGATTTTAACTGACTTCCCAGGTGATTCTGATGTGCAGTCAGGTTTAGGACTATATGTATATAGTACTTAAAATACCATGTTGGAGCCCTTTATGCGTTCACTCATTCATTCAACAAACAATTTACTGTGCACCAACTGTGTGCCAAGCACTAAAGATTAAATAATGAATACAACTGAATGTCTGCCCTTGAGAGGTTCACAAGTCTAATGAGGGACACCAATCCTTTTGACATGGACCTTATAACACAGTGTGGCAAGTGCCTTCACAGACTACGCGCAAATGGCTGTGGAGAGAAATTATTTAATTCTACCTAGCGAACCAAGAATGGGCTTCACAAAAAAGGTGACATTTGGGAGAAGCGAGGAGTTGCCAGTTGAAAAGGGAAAGGGAAGTTCCAGGTAGAGGTCCAGAGAATGAAAGCGCATGGCATGTCTGGTGACAAGCATGGCCAGAGCAGAGGGAGTATGGGGAAAGTGCGCAATGGGCTGGCGGGGACAGGTGAGAACCAGATGGGGAAGGGTGTGGTTTCATGCTAAGGGGGTCATCTCTTGTTTTTAAGCATAACATGGTCAGATCTTTATTTTAGATAATTTTGGTGTCGTTGCGCACAGGAGAGAGATATAGACAAAAAAAATTAATTAGGATGATATGAAAAAGTGTCCATGACAGATGAGGAGGTCCTGAAATTGGAAAGTGGCCATGGGAATAGATTTGAAAGATATTCCATAGGTAGAATCTACAGAATAAGTAAGTGTTGCTTGAAAAAAAAACCCACATATATATACACACACAAAAACAAGAACAACCAAAACAAACCTATTACAGAAAGATATCCTTTCTCAGTAGATCTTTCTCTCTTCTCTGCTTCATTCTCACATTATCCTGTCTTCTCACCCTGAAGAAAGGAAGTCAAGTTTCATTTGCCCTCAGTCCTCTCACAATTTATGAAAAATGAAACCAAATTTCCACTGTCATAATCCTTTCAAATGAGCTCAGGAATGAAAACTGTCGATTGCTGTCTACTGAGATGGGAGGGCCCTTAAGTGATCCTCTTTAGCCCCACAACCTCCTCATTGTACACAATGAAGAAATGAGGCTCAGAAAAAAATATGTGAATTTCCATCATCACACAAATGGTTTTTAAAAAGTACATACTATATCTTCCGTTAGTACCATTTGAACTTTTCAAAAGGCATGACATTCACCCCCTGTGTAGTGTTCCTGTCTGCCTTTCTTTAAAGATTCTAAGGTAAGCTAAAATCTATTATTATCTCTGTTCGCTGTTCTTTTTGATAATCAAGAAATGCCATGGATTCTTTCACAATGAAAAGGAGTCCAATGGACATCTAGTGGTTCATTTAGATAACTGAATATTTCTTTAATAGTATTATCTATCATTGTATTTAATGGGTTAAATTTAATTAGCATATTGACTAATTGCTTTAGATTAGTGATCTCAACACTTTCAGATCTAATGATCTCTTTTTGTAGCTATTTTGAATCACCCCCTTTTTCTATCCTGAAGTAAAATTCATGTAAAATACAATCTAGACACGTAATTGCAAAATTTCAATATAGTGCCCATTTATTTTCCTTTTACTTTTATAGAAAATAAAAGGAAATTAATTGCTAATAAAATAATACATCTTTCATATTTAAGTACTTGGCATGGTCACACCTGAAAACACGATGAAGTAGTCAGATGCTTATACTTACATGTGGAATTTCTGTGAATACAACACTTGCAAATGTAGACAGATACAAGTGTGTGAAGTCAACAACTACAATACTGTGTGATGTTGTTTTCTGAAATGGTGACCAACTTTTAGTAAAATTTAGAACAAAACAAAGTACATTCTTTCCCTTGTTTTATGCAGCATTGTATTTTTAGAAAATTACTAAAAATAATTTGTGACAGATGTAAAGCAGAATTGGAGTCTAGGTCCTGTTCACTGCAGTTTTTTCACTACAAGAATGTCTGCTAAGATACTGAAAGCCATAAGTATACTGAACCTTATATATAAAACAAGCATAAAGCTACTTTGAAAGGTGGAAAGAAGAAAAGGATACCAATTAAAGCCCTTGAAGCCTAAAGAATGACATGGTGGTAAGTTATCTGGGTTTTCCTTTTGCCTCATATATCCCAGACTGGATGCTGGAGTAGCTGGCAACATGGAAATGCCAGTAAGTGCAGAAAATAAAGTCTCAACAAAAGCCTGCTCTCTCTAGCTAAAGGACTGGGAAATGAGAAAGCTAGCAATCCATAAAACTTTAGATCAGGAGTTTGAGACCAGCCTGACCACCATGGTAAAACCCCGCCTCTACTAAAAAAAAAAAATACAAAAAATTAGCCAGGCGTGGTGGTGGGTGCCTGTAATCCCAGCTACTTGGGAGGCTGAGGCAGGAGAATCGCTTGAGCCTGGGAGACTGAGGCTGCAGTGAGTCGACATCGTGCCATTGCACTCCAGCCTGGGCAACAAGAGTTGCACTGTGTCTCAAAAAAAAAAAAAAAAGAATATAGCCATTTTACTGCATTTAAACATCACAGAAAAAAACTATGATCCCACCTCAATTCATACCAGCAAAGGCCAAGTGGGGAGCCAAGACTTTCACTCTCACCAGACTATAATGAAGTACCCCAAACCCTTCATGGGAGTAGTCAGGGAAATCCACACCAAAACAGATCTTGGTCAAAGGTCTGAAAACTAAAGACAAAAAACTCTTGAAAGCAGCAAGAGACAAATGACAACTTACCTGTAGAAGAAAAATAATTAAAATCACAGTGGATTTCTCATCAGAAACCATGGAAACCAAAAGAAAGTGACACAACATTTTTCAAGTTCTGAAAGAAAATAATTGTCAACCCAGAATGCTTTATGCAGCAAAAATATCCTTCAGAAATGAAGATCAAAAATTTCTCAAATGAAGGAAAATAAAGAGCATTTGTCACCAGCAGACCTACCCTAAAAGAATGACTAAAGTAAGTGTTATAAATAGAAAGGAAGTGGTTAAAGAAGTTTCTTAAAATATTAGAAAAATGGAAAGCTACTTGGGAGGCTAAGGCAGGGGAATCGCTTGAACCTGGGAGGTGGAGGTGTGAGTGGATATCGCACTACTGCACTCCAGCCTGGTGACAAAGCAAGACTCTGTTGAAAGGAAGGAAGGAAGGGAGGAAGGAAGGAAGGAAGGAGAGAGAGAGAGGAGGAGAGGAGGGGAGGAGGGGTGGAGGGGGGAGGAAGGGAGGAAGGAAGGAAGGAAGGAACGAACGAATGAAAGAAAGGAAGGAAGGAAGGAAGGAAGGAAGGAAGGAAAGAAAGAAAAAGGAAGGAAGGAGAAGAAAGAAAAGAAAGAAGAAAAATGAAAAGAACAAAGTAAGCAAATATATAGGTAGATATAATAGATTTTCCTTATCTTCTTGAGTCTTCTGAATTATGTTGACGGTTGGAGCAAAAAATGTAGTAATATTTAATATGGTCTTGAAAGTATGTAGAGAAAATATTTAAGACAATTTTGTTATAAATAGGGAAGGGAAAGGCACATAAAAAGAGGTAAGCCTCCTACACTTCATGTGAAACTTGTAAAATGATGACACCAACAGACATTTGTGTGTGTGATAAGATGCATGTGTGTGTTGGGGTGAGTGGCTATGAGGTAATACCTAAAGCAACTACTAAGACTCAAAACACTATAAACTAATAGACTCGAAACACTATAGGAAAATCAAAATGAAGTTTTACAAAATGTTCAAGCAGCCCACATTTTGAACAGGAAAAAGGGAAAAGAAAATTGAGAAATAAAAGAGAGAAAACACAGCAAAATATATAATGGCAGACTTAAACTTTAATGTATCAATAATCATATTAAATGCAAATAATATGGTTTAAAATAAATGGTTAAAAATACATGGAAGTGCTAGAGCCGTTGTCACCAAGTCCAGGTCTCATTGCCACACGCCCCCAATGCTTGCCTGACATGCATTCCCAGTTCCTTTTTGTTCCAAGTCCAATATTGCAACTCTTAAGGATCAGCTGATTCATAATCTTCTAAAAGAAGAACAGACCCCCCCCATAAGATTACAGTTGTTGGGGTTTGTGCTGTTGGCATGGTCTGTGCCATCAGTATCTTAATTAAGGACTTGGCAGATGAACTTGCCCTTGCTGATGTCGTGGAAGACAAATTGAAAGGAGAGATAACGGATCTCCAACATGGCAGCCTTTTCCTTAGAACACTAAAGATTATCTCTGGCAAAGACTATAATGTAACTGCAAACTCCAAGCTGGTCATTATCATGTCTGGGGCAGGTCAGCAAGAGGGAGAAAGCCATCTTAAATAGGACCAGCATAACGTGAACATCTTTAAATTCATCATTCCTAATGCTGTAAAATACAGCCCGAACTGCAAGTTGCTTATTGTTTCAAATCCAGTGGATATCTTGACCTATGTGGCTTGGAAGATAAGTGGCTTTCCCAAAAACCGTGTTATTGGAAGTGGTTGCAATCTGGATTCAGCCCAATTCGGTTACCTGATGGGGGAAAGCTGGGAGTTCACCCATTAAGCTGTCATGGGTGGGTCCTTGGGGAACATGGAGATTCTAGTGTGCCTTTATGGAGTGGAGTGAATGTTGCTGGTGTTTCCCTGAAGACTCTGCACTCACATTTAGGGACTGATACAGATAAGGAACAGTGGAAAGGGGTTCACAAGCAGGTAGTTCAGAGTCCTTACAAGGTGATCAAACTGAAAGGCTACACATCCTGGGCCACTGGACTCTCACCATTGGACTCTGTGTGGCAGATTTGGCAGAGAGTATAATGAAGAATCTTAGGCGGGTGCACCCAATTTCCACCATGATTAAGGGTTTCTGTGGAATAAAGGATGATGTCTTCCTTAGTGTTGCTTGCATCTTGGGACAGAATGGAATCTCAGACCTTGTGAAGGTGACTCTGACTCCTGAGGAAGAGGCCCTTTTGAGGAAGAGCGCAGATACACTTTGGGGGATCCAAAAAGAGCTGCAATTTTTTTTATTTTTTTTATTAATTTTTTTAGATGGAATTTTGCTCTTGTTGCCCAGGCTGGAGTGCAATGGCAAGATCTCAGCTCACTGCAACCTCCACCTCCTGGGTTCAAGCGATTCTCCTCCCTCAGCCTCCCAAGTAGCTGGGATTACAGGTGCCCACCACCACGCCCAGCTATATTTTTGTATTTTTAGTAGAGAAGGGGTTTCACTATGTTGGCCAGGCCTGTCTTGAACTCCTGACCTCAGGTGATCTGCCCACCTCAGCCTTCCAAAGTGCTGGGATTAGAGGCGTGAGCCACCACGCACAGCTAGAGCTGCAATTTTAAAGTCTTCTGATGTCATCCATTTCACTGTCTAGGCTACAACAGGATTTTAGTTGGAGGTTGTGCATGTTGTCCTTTTTTCTGGTCTGTGATTATAGCAGTAATATTAAGATGGACTGGGAAAAACATCAATTCCTAAAGTTAGAAACAGAAATGGTTTGTAAAATCCTGCAGCTATATCCTAATGTTGGATGGTACTAATCCTGTGTAGTCCCAAACTGGTTAGTCTGAAATCGTTCTATGACCTCTGAGGCACCACTGCCAATGCTGCACATGCTGCAGTTGCCCCTTGAGTCAGATGGATGTTTACCGTGTGTTTTATAACTTCCTGGCTCCCTCACTGAACAATGACTAGTCCAATATTTTTTCCCAGTCAGTCACATCCTGGGATCCAGTGTATAAATCCAATATTGCATGTCTTGTACATAATTGTTCCAAAGGATCTTATTTTGTGAACTAGATATATCAGTAGTGTACATTACAATGTAATGTAAAAGGACCAACATATAAACAGTGCAACCAACTATCCAAGTGTCGTACCAACTAAAACCCCCAATAAACCTTGAACAGTGAAAAAAAATAAAATAAAAATAGAAGAATGGAAAAAGATATATCACACAATCAAAAGAAAGTAGAAATGGCCATATTGGTATCAGATAAAGTCGATTTCAGAACAAAGAAAATTACCAGAGACAGGGAAACATCATACAATGATAAAAGAATCAATCCACCAATAAAATGTAGTAATCTTAAATGTGTATGTACCAAACAATAGAGCTGCAAAATATGCAAAGCAAAAATTGATAGAACTGAAGGAGAAATAGACAAATCCACAATTATAGCAAGAGATTACAACACCCCTCTGTCACAACTGATAGAACAACTAGACAGAAAACCAGCAAGGATATAAAAACTCCGCAATCCATCAACCAACAGAATTTAGTCAGTGTTTATAGAACACTCTAGCCAACAACAGCAAAATATGCATTATTTTCAAGTGCCCATGGAATATATGCCAAGATTACCAGGTTACCCTGGGTCACAGACCAAATTTAACACAATTTAAAAGAATTAAAATCATGTAGACTGTGTTCTCCAACCAAAACGGAATCAAACTGGAAATGAATAACAGAAAGATAGCAGGAAAATCTCCATGCACTTGGAAACTAAATAACATTCTTTTAAATAATCATAGGGCAAAGAGGAATTCTTCAAGGGAAATTTTTTAATACATTTAACTGAATGAAATAAAAATGCAGCATATCAAAATTTGTGGAATGCATTCAAGGCAGTACTGAGACAGAAATGCACAGCACTAAATGCATGCATTAGATAGGAAAGATAATAGATCAATACTACAAGCTTTCACTTCAAGAATCTAGAAAAGAAAAACAGCAAAACAACCTCGAAGCAAGCAGAAAGAAGGAAATAATAAAGAGCAGAAATGAAATCTCCAGGCCCTGATGGCTTCACTGGAGAATTCTCCCAAACATTCATTTTAAAAAGAACTAAAACCAATTCACGCATTCTCTTCTAGAAAATAAAAAAGAACTGTTTCCAACTCATTTTATGAAGACACTATTACCCGAAAAACAAAACGAGACAAAGACTTTACAAAAAAGACAACTAAAGACCAATAACCCTCATGAATATAAAAGCAATAATTCATAATATTAGCAAGTAGAATTCGACAATATAATAAAAGAAGTACACACCATGATCAAGTGGGGCTTATTCTAGGGATGCAAGGTTGGTTCAGTATTCTAACATCAAAGACTGTAATCCACTATATTAACTGGCTAAAGAAGAAAAATCACAGGATCATATCAATCAGTACAGAAAAATACTGGACAGAATTCAACACCCATTTATGATTTTTAAAAAAACTCAAAAAAATAGGAATAAGAGAGAACATCCTCAACTTAACAAGGAACAAAACACCTACAGTAATATCATACTTTAGTAAAAGACTGAATGTCTTCTCTCTAAGATGAGGAATGAGGCAAAAAATATCCACCCTCACACTCTTATTCAACATAGTGCTGAAAGCTCTAGCCAACGCAATATGCCAGCAGATGAAAATAAAAGAAATAGATATCAGAAACAAAAAAATAAGACTGTTCCTATTTGCAGTAGACATAACTGTCTTTACAGAAAACCCCAAGGAATCTGCAAAAGAAAAACTCCTAGAATGTGAGTTCAGAAAGGTTGTAGGATATAAGACAAACATATAAAAATCAACTGTATTTCCACACAGTAGCAATGAATACATGAATATCAAAAATTAAAAATGCAATGTCACTTAAAATCACTCAAAAAATTGAATGCTTAGATGTAAAACATGTATTATAACTCGTATGTCAAAAACTATTCAATGCCAATTAAAGAAATCAATTATTTAAATAGAGAAACATATCATGTTCATGGACTGAAAGATCCAACATAGTAAAGATGTCAATTCTCCCCAAACTGACATACAGATTTGACCTAACTATCAAAAATCCAGCAAGACTGTTTTATAGATATGGACAAGAATATTCTAAAACGAATACATGGAAAGACAAAAGAACTAGAATAGCTAAAATAAAAATAAAGTGATAGGAATCTGTCTTATTTTCAAGACTTATAATATTGCTACCATAATCAAGACTCTGTGGTACTGGTGGAAGGAGAGACATATAGATCAATGGGACAGAATAAAGACTGCAGAAATAGAACCACGCAAATATACCCAACTCATTTTTGACAAAGGAACAAAAGCAATTCAATAAAGAAAAGACAGCCTTTTCAGCAAATGGTGCTGGAAGAATTGGACATCTATAGGCCAAAAAAAGATCCTTGACCTAATCCTCACATCTTATACTGACTCAAAATGGAACAAAGACCCTTAAATATAAACCATAAAACTATAAAACTTTTAGAAAATAAAACTTGGGAGAAAATCTTCAGGATCCAGGGATAGGCAAAGAATGTTTAGACTTGTCACCAAAAGCATGATCCATTAAAGGAAAAAATGATAAATTGGACTTCATCAAAATTTAAAATTTGCTCTGCGAAAGACTGTTGCTGAGGGGATGAAAAGACAAGCTACATAATGGGAGAAAATATTTGCAAACCATAATCAAACCAATAGTCAACAAACGACTGTTATCTAGAATGTGAAAAGAACTCTCAAAATGTGACAATTAAGAAACATCAGATAAGAAAATGAGAAAATTACATAGACATTTCATCAAAAAGGATATACAGATGACAAATAAGCACATAAAAATATTTTCACATCAGTAGCCATTAAGGAAATGAAAAATTAACACCACACTGAGATATCTCTATACACGTATCAGAATGCCTAAAATAAAAAACTGTGACAACACCTATCTGGGTGTGGTGGCTCACGCCTCTAATCCCAGCACTTTGGGAAGCCAAGGCAGGTGGATCACTTGAGGTCAGGAGTTCGAGACCAGCCTGGGCAACATAGTGAAACCCTGTCTCTACTAAAAATACAAAAATTAGTCAGGTGTGGTGATTCATGCCTGTAGTCACAGCTACTCAGAAGGCTGAGGTATAAGAATCACTTGAACCCGGGAGGCAGAGGTTGCAGTGGGCAAAGATCATGCCACTATACTCCAGCCTGGGTGACAGAGTGAGACTCCATCTCAAAAAAAAAAAAAAAATAGTGAAAACACCAAATGCTGGCAATGTTATGAAGGAACTAGATCAAGGTTATGAAGAAACCTTCAAGGTTATGAAGAAACCGGATCACTCATACATTGTTGGTGAGAATATAAAATGAGTACAAGCCACTCTGGAATACAGTTCCTCTAAAAACTAAACGTACAACTACCTTGTGACCCAGCAATTGCATTACCAGGCATTTATCCCAGAGAAATGAAGAGCTGTGTTCACACAAGAATCCATATATGACTGTTTATAGCAGCTTTATTTGTTATAACCCGGAACTGAAAACAACCTAGATGTCCTTCAATGAGTGAATAGCGAAACAACTTTCAAATATTCATACCATGGAATACTACTCAGCAATAATATTGATACATACAACAACTTCGATGAATTTCAAAAAAAAATGAACTGAGTAAAAAAAAAAAAGCCAATCTCAAAAGATTGCACATTAACCTTTTATAAAACATTCTTGAAAGGACAAAATTATAGTAATGGAGAACAGATCAATTGTTGCCACGTATTAAGGAGGGAGGAGAGAAGGGAAGTGGGTGTGGCTAAAAAAAGGCAGCAGGAAGGATCGTTGTAGTGATGGAAATGTACTGTATCTTGACTGTGTCAATGTCAGTATCTTGGTTGCGATATTATACTCTAGTTTTGCAAGATGTTACTATTGGAGGAAACTGAGTAAAAAGTGCATGGACCGCTCAGTATTATTTCATGTGAATATACAATTAACTGAAAATGAAAAGCTTAATTGTTTAAAGAAGTAGTACTATTTAGGGCAGGGGGAGTCATGTGGTGTGGAGATGGGAAAAATCTGTGAGATTGTCAAGTGGATTGTGAGATGTCCAGAATTCCTGAATCTCCTTCTGCTCACCAAATGCCACCCTTTCCTCATTGTTACCACTACTAAAACTTGCCCTACCCATCCCACATCACCCTTTATGGACAATACTCATACAACCCACACTGATAGCCACTGCACTGGAAGATAACAATAACTCTATAGAGCTGGTAGGAAGAGGCTACTTTATAAATGAAAACTGAGGAATCTGAGTGAGGTGAAGGCGCCCTCCCAAAATCACACAACAAGTAAATTTCATAGCCAGTTTTTCCACCATTTCACACCACTTCACATAATCATTTCACTTCACTACATTTCTAATCATCTACCATTTTCAAAGCTCTTTTAAAAATATTATTTTAATTGGTCTTAAGCTGTCCCAGCTGAAAGGAAATGGCAGAGGGCTAGAATAGTGGGAGTGGTTGAAGTCTCTTAGCCAATGTGGGTTGCTGTGGCAAATTCCGACCTCCACATCTGCAAGATGCCTACATTTGTGCTCATATTTGCCCCCTTTGCACTCAACAAATTAAAGCTCCTCCTACTTAAGCCTAATTCCTCCCCTCAGTTTTCGGATCCCACTCCCCATCGCCTCATTTTATTGATTATGCCATCTGTTTCTTGCATCTTCAAACTTACTCACTCTACTGCCTCTTTCCCATCAGGAGATGGGAAAGTTTCCTTAGCCTCATGTCCTTTTCAGAACATAGCCCTTCTCCTTTTGAAGGAGACTGATTAAATGCTCTGCCTTCTTTTCCTCTTCTTTCCACTCCAGTGTAATTTGGTTTCTGGCCCACAACTGCTCTTAAACTTCTCTTACCATAGATTCCAAGGTCTACCTTGTACTAGCTCCAACAGACACTCTTCAGTCCTTATCTTACTTAGCCTGTGCTCAGCATTTGATACATTAACCTCTCCCTTTTTGAAACGGTCTCTTCCTTGGCCCAGGCTTCCCTGGTTTTCCTCCTCCTCTCTGGCCATAGGACATTTCTCTTCTCCCTGTCACTCAAATGCTGATGTTTCAGTATTCTGTCCTAGTCTCCCTTCTCTTTTCCCTTTATACCTTCTCCCAGGTTTCATTTACCATCTATATTACCAGCTCATACAAGTCTCTCAAGCTCCAGACCCATGTAACTCACATCCTGCTAAATTCAACAAGCCCAAAATGGACCAAAATTCAACGAGTCCAAAACTGAACATCATCCTCCCCATCTCAAATCTATTCCTGAATAGCTCAATCTGTGGCATTTTCATACACCAGCCACACTAGATTCTTCTTCTTCCTCATATCCACATTGAATTTTTCACCAAGCCTATTTACCTTCTCAATGCCCTCCTACCTATCTGCATTTCCAATGACACTGCCTTAGTCCAGACTCTCAAAATCTGTCAACTGAAAATCTGCAATAGCTACCTAACTGGTCTCACTGCCCCTAATTGTGTCTCCTTCCAATCTCTTCTTTCAATCACAATGAGTTATTTTCCTAAAAACAACTAAAGTCCTAAAATATGACTCACCACATCATGTTCTATCTTTAAGCCTTTCAGTGGCTTCTCAGTGCCTTTTAGCTAAACTCTCACCTCACCATGGCCTGTCTAGTGGAGCCCTACCTATCTTTCCAGCCTACTCTCCCGCTTGCTTCTCACACCCTGCAACTACCTCCTCTCCTCCCACAGTAAATTTCTTTCAATTCCCAATGCACTGCATTATCTTTTGCTCCTAGGACTTCACACAAGAAGAACTCCCATCTGGAACCTCATTCCTAAACTCCTCCCTCTACTGGCTTCCCCTACTCATCCTTCAGACCTCGGAAAAGGCCACTTTCCGACCTCCACTTGATGAGGCTGGGTCCCCCCTGCTGTGTTCTCCCAACACCCTAATCTTTCCCTGTTGTGAAACTTATCACACCCTTTCACAATTACTTATTTACCTATTTGTTTTCCCCATGAAGCTGTAAGTCACTTGAGAATACTAGTCTATCTTGCTTACCTTAATAGCTATAATGCTGGCACAGTGCTTTGAAGACTCAATAGATATAGTTTTTAACAGACTATACAAGAATAGATAAAAAATTAAGAAATCCAAGCCTGTATGGCAGCTCTCCTGGGACTCAGCAGTCCCCTCTGGCTCATTTTCTGGCTTATGCAACCTTACGGTGACCCCTGTGTGGCACCCTCCCTTATATGAACCAGCGTTCTTTGTTCACATATAGGAGAGTGCTCTGTTTGCTGTAACCTCAGCTTCGAGAAAACAATGCCCATATTGCATTAACCTGCTAGGCCAGCTTCAGAAAGGATCTCTGAATGTCATGATTTCAGAAACCGTAAAGTTACTCCTTGTTCCACTGCAGAAAAAAATACTTTTCCTTGAGCAATTCTTAAAATTCCTTTATCTGTGGGTCAAAGATATTATTTGTCAACTAGAGGCAAGTCAAATGCAAATGGCTTTTAAATTTATACTATGGAAATTAAAATTACAAACCCTAAATTTTTAAATTAACTTTTAATTAAAATTACAGTTAAAAACCAGAAGTCACAAGTTTCTCATAGAGCAGTCTTGAGAGATTAAGAAACTGACCTATTGACATGAGGCTTTGAGAATACTCTGCACTAAGCTAATAATTACACCTTGTTATACAGATAAGAACTGGAAAATATTTACCAGTCAGTTAACTTAAACCCACTAAGAATACAAACATTAGATAGCTTGGAGGGGTAGAATGCTTTTTTGTCAGATTTACATTTTTTCTGTATCTTGTCATCATAAAATTCAGTAGTTTGTACAGAGGTCCCTTGTAGGATTTTTCTCTAACTATAATGGTTAAATATTATACAATCTTTAACCTTGAGACTATAAAACTCACCTACTTATCCGTTGTAGGAAATTGCATTCCCCAATCATTGTTTATTTGTTATAGGAAATTGGATTTTGTAATGTTTAACCCACTGTTAACTGTTTTACTGTTTAACAGAGTGACTTCACTGAGTTTGTTATAATTAAATTAACCAGTATAAAAACAATTCAGATCCTCTTGGGGTTAATGAAAAATCACCCATCTTTTTCCTGGTACTGATTTTGACACAAGTAAATATAAAGAGTGATTACAGCAGAAACATTTTTAAACAATATGAAAAATAACTCAACTTTTTCCTCTACAGCCTTAAAGCATACATGATTGAAGTAGGGCCATTCCTTGGGTAATAACTGGGGAGAAGAGCTGGGGGGAGCACTGGACCCCAGTGACTTTGGGAGGGAGAAATAAAGGGACCCCATGCAGAGGAAGAGGGGAGATGGAGGTAGATTCAAAATGGGGAGGAGAGGGCACGAAACAGAGTGTCAATCTAGAGAGGTAACGTGGGCTAGTCGTTCTCCATGCACTAGTTTGAGTCCCATTTGACCCGGGCTCAAATTCTGGCTCTGCCTGCCACTCATGCACTTTATCATCAAACAACTTGCATAGTCTCCCTGAGCCTTAGTTGTAACATAAGGATCCTAACAGTGAACTCATGGAGGTGAGAGGATTAAAAGAGATGTTTATAAAGCCTTCAGCTCAGTCCTGAGCATGAAAATATCCAGTAACAATGCTGCATAAATAGCCTATTTTGTGGTTGTGGTTGTTGTTAATATCTTCCATCTCACTATTTCACTTAGGCTCAGTCTTGATGACTCAGCTGAGGCACTTTCTGCATGTCCCAGCCATGGGGCAGCCAGCCACAGAGCCTCCACGCATGTAAAGGTGCTGCAGTCTCTTGTCCTGGTCCTCATTCTCACTGCAGTTCTAACCTCAGGGCCCTGACATGGCAGCTCTCTGAGGACAGCTGCATCTTCTCTGGGCATCCTATCAGAAATGGCCAAAAAGCCATTCTAAAATGTCTCCTGCCATTATGTTGAGGTATAATGGAATGAGTATAAACTCTAGAATCAGATGTATTTGCAGACAACTTGCTCACCATGTAATCTTGACAAATTTGCTTCTTTCCAGATTCTTTACCTTAATTTGGGTTTACTGCCACCAATCTTGAAGATTCATGGTAACAAACTCAACAAACTATATATATCACTATTACATTTGTGAATGTTTTGTTGAATCCTTTCTCGGGTTGAAAAATATTGGAGATTAGAGCTAGAATTGAGTTCGAAGATCATGCCCCAGCCATATCCTCCCACATGGAAGCTGAATGTCTCAATCTACATAATCTCAAGGCTTTCTGTTTTCTGCTGACAAGAAAGAAGTCTTGTCTTTTACACATTACCCTTCTTCTCCATGTCCTTTCTTTGTAATCCCCAGGATGCATACATGTACTCATGGCTTAAATCTGTAATCATAGCCAATGCCATGGTCCCCATCCCATGGTGGTGCCATGGAGTTGTGAGTTGGCCCTGCACGATAAGATCAAACCCTCCTTTCAGAATGAGAAGGATAATGTTATTTCTGTCTCATTTCCAGCCATGGGAGGAAGGGTCCTCAGCATGTGTTTATTGGTATGGCAGTTTAGATTCACAAACAAAACTCTTTTCTCCTAGGATGGCTGGATCTAGATGAGTTCAAGATTCTGCTGCCACATTGTACCCCAACATTTGTCTCATTCTAAAATCAAGTTCCCCTTGCCCAAGACCTTTTTCTCTTCTTTGAAGTTCTCTCTCAGTGGCCTCCATCACCCTCCCTCAAATAGGACTTCAGACACACATACACACACATGCATCAGTTCATCAGACATGGCTATAGCTATTTTATTCTCTGGCACCACTGTGGACAGCGAAGAAGTCTTTTTCCCCTATGCCCTTTGTAAATTAATGGTTACAAATAGGTACACAGAGATAGCAATGTCTCCTCATTCTATTCACCAAGAGTCCCAGTCAGCCCAGCCAAGACACACTCATAACAGGTGAGGAAAATGTAAGGTTCAGGGACTGAGCCAGGACCCACAGGCATCTGGTAGCCGAGTCCTGGTTCAGGACTCATTCTCCTGTACCACACTGCCCCCTCTCACTGTGCAGGCTCCTTTCTCAATGTTGATGCCTTTGAGTTAGCCAGGTGGTGTTAACAATTTTTTTTTTTTTTTTGGCCAAAAAGATAATTTGCTTTCCAAAAATTTCAAACTAAGCAGCTCATGACTGCTTCTTAAGATAAACAGAAAGGAATTCTAACACAACATGGTAGAAACAACTTGACAGGACCCTGTTGCTTCTGTTTCTTATCTCTGGATGCCAGAAGCCTGCTGCTTTCCCTGTCCACCCACAAGGGATTTGTGATTGGGTTTGCATTCTCCAACTCTTTCCTGGAAAAGGCCCCAGAGCCACTGATGTGTCTGCAAGAAAGGAAAAACATTTTGCCCACCGGGTATTGATGGGTCCTAAGGCACTGTGGAGTCCTGAACTTAGCTTTGGGCAGTAAAAAAGCATATTGGCAATTACTGAGTTTCAGAAGCAATTTTTTGGGGAAAAAAAAAAAAAGATAGGTAGTCCAAGACTCCACATTGGCTGTGCCGACCACAATGCCACCAAATTGCTGACTTTCAGAAGCAATTTTTTGCAAAAAAAAAATAAATAAAATAAAATAAAAATTAAAATATAGGTAGTCCAATGCTCCAGACTGACTGTGCTGACCACAATGCCACCAAATGAAAACTTAAAACTTAATCATCCAGTTATGTATCGATAGCTAAGTGTTGGATATCATTTAGGGCAAGAATATTTTAACTAATGTTTAACCAGAATGTTTATTTTCCATTGTTAAAGCGTTTTACAGAAATCTTCCACTTCTTAAATGTAAATTAAGAAAAATCAGTCCACAAAACACAAATGGAAACAAGCACAAATTTATTTCACCACCTTTTGGAGAGGCCGACTCAAAGCTGACAATGCATATTCACCATTTGAGGAAACATTTAGCAGATTACATCCTTGGCTTCTCAAAGAGATGTTAGTGCCCACTTACTCGATATTGGTAAGCTCCTTCACTAATCTCTGATTATTTTACAGTCAAGGCTCCATTCTCCCATCCCTTCTCATAGCCCCCTTTCATACTTTAAAGCATTGATCTAAATACAAAATGGGAGAACCTGTGTATTAGTTTACTAGGGCTGCCACAACAGAACACCACAGATTGGATGGCTTACACAAGAAAAATTTATTTTCTCACAGTTCTGGAAGCTGGAAGTCCAAGGTCAAGGTATCAGCAGGCTTGGTTTCCTCTGAGGCCTCTCTCCTTGGCTTGCAGTTGGTCACCTTCTTGCTGCCTCTTCACATGGTCTCTGTGCACAAGTGCCACTGATATTCCCCTGTACATCCAGATTTCCTCTTTTTAGAAAGACACCAGTCATATTTGATTGGAGCCACTCTATGGGTCTCATTTTAACTTACTCACCCATTTAGAGGCTCTATTTCCAAATACACTCGTGTGCTGAGGTACTGAGAGTTCAGGCTCCAACATAACAGCCGGGGAGCACAATTTAGCCCATAACAACCTCTCTTTAAGGAAAGTTTCCAAATTGTATCAGACAGTGAAGAAATCTGCTCCTAACTTAAGAGTCCTGTTGTTTTGGGCTGTGTAGAAAGATACAGCTAGACCCAACATGTGGTTTAATTTTAGGGACTGCATGCTTCCTGTTCCCCAAAAATACTTCATATGCCTTCAAATTCTCTCATCAGAAATTCGTATCTTCTCAGAGGCTTTCTTCTGTTAAAATGAACAGAGCCTTAGGTTGAGCCTCATCTGTCACTAGACTTCGGTGCAACCATTGCTTCCTTTCTGAGGGCAGTTTTTGATGAAGAGCAGAGGACTGGGTGCCAATAGGGCCATGGAGGAAGTAAGGGGAGGATCATAAATAGAGACAAAGGGAAGAGAAACAAGAAGCTGGAGGCGTGAGAAGACAGACCTTACTGGCTTTACCATTTCACCCAAATAGTGGCAGAGGATGAGTATTCATGCTCCAGTCCATAATTGTTGCTAGAGAGCGACTGCTTCACCCAGACGCCATATTCCCTGCCTGGCTCCTCTTGCCTCTAGGTAGGGCCATGGGACAGACTTCTGGACAATGGATTGTGAACCAGGAAGAACTCCATTGCCAGACCTGATCTATAGGAATTTCCCACACATTTTCTACCTTCTCTGTTTTCCATCTACCAGGGGAAGCAAAAGATTCTGAAGCCCTAAAAAATGGCAGAACCACAAAACGGAATAGAGGCTGGATCCGTGAATCACCACATGGAAGGCCTCTCACTGAACACTTGCACTAAACTGTCACTGTGTGAGCAATAACTCCTGTCAATTAAACCACTGAGATTTTCAGGGTTTGTCCTTTTTAGCAACTATTAATGTTATAATAATAAGTTAATACAGTCAATATAGGCTGAGTTTGGCAGAAAACTAATAATCACTTCAATGCTGATGGTTTTGTGCTGGTTTATTTCAAGAGTGAATGCTGATAGTAAGAAGAGTATAGGCTGGGCACAGTGGCTCATGCCAGTAATTCCAGCACTTCAGGAGGCCAAGGCAGGAGTTGAGCTCAGGAGTTTGAGGCTACAGTGAGCTATGATCAGGCCACTTCACTCCAGCCTGGGTGACAGAGTAAAATCCAATCTCAAAAAAAGAAGAAAAAGGAGACAACGAAGAAGAGGATTACTTGATTTGTAACGTAAAATGACATTTAGATATTAGTATTCAATTGGGTTGACCTGTAATAGTAGTGATAATAATCACACACAGTTACAGTTTGCAACTATCATTGCATTTCAAAATACCAGCCATAATGAGAAGTACGCAATAAAATAAGAAAACTCTGATAAGGTAAAAAGAGTGCTGGACTGAAAGCCAAGCATCTTGAATTCTAGTTTCACCGCAACACAAACCATTTCTGACCAGGAGTCTCACCTCTCCAGTCACTACCAGCTCTAAAAGCCAGACTGGAAGTGTCTGTTTAGAGGAAATAGTGCCTCCTATGAGTGAAAAACAAACTACAGGAGAACTGGTCACAGTGCTTTGTGCAGAGAAGATGCTCAATACAGATTTACTCAATTAATAAAAGTTTTAAAAGGGACTCTGATAAAGTAATTCAACTAAAATGACAGAGGGTGAATACAGATTTAGACACCCACCCCTGTCCCCTCCCACTAAGCTAGAAGAAGTGTCTCTATGTATTCATGTGTATAGAGAAATTGGCTCCATTTCTGAACAGTGAGAGCAGGGCAGAAAAATGAATAAATCTGGGGATGACATAAAATCAAAAATATAGCCATCTGTTTAAGTCCTGCATCTAAAATTTAAAAAACAGAAGAGAAGCCACCTGCCTTGCAATATTGAAGTAAAATGCAAATCTATTTAATTGAAAACAATAATGTAATGTAAACTTTAGTCACAAGCAGAGAGCTTTCTCTATATAGTTATATTAAAGGGCTTAGACCAGTGCCTGGAGCATGATAGACACATAATTGTTTGTTGAACGAAAACATTCTGGGTGCAAAGCATAGGGCAGGCAGAGTGAGAGATGCTGAGATGGACAGAAAGTTATCCCTGCTCTCCAGAGACTTGCAGGCTGGGAAGAGAGAACCATGTCATCAACCCACTTGAACACAAGACAGAATGAAATACATGCTAAGCAGAGGTAAAAGAAACATGCTAGGAGACGAAGAAACATTTCATTCTGATTGGAAGGAATCAAAAATGAGGTAGAATTTAGGCTGAGCCTTAAAATGAACAATCTCCAGGCTGAGAGGATGGCATGACTCAGGTAATAAAAAGATTGGAAGTGGTAGGCTGGCCGGGTCCATGCAGAGAACTTTGGGAGACAGCCTTGGAAAAGAGCGTTGGAGCCACATATAAGAGTCCGGTTGTGACTTGGGAACAAAACTCTAACAGCCACAAAATTGGGCGCCTAGGAAAAGAAGTAGATCCCCTTTCTTTTCTTTCTCTCTCCAAGTTTATAAAGCATTTACCTCTCTTAAACCATATAACATGTCATTTAATTAAGTCATTTAAATATGTGTAAGATGACTGTCAGGCCCAAACTATTTTAATGCTACAGAAGTTAAAATAAGGTGAAAAAAAAATGTGTTATAGAATAAAGCATGTGTATATTTGAGTTCTGTCTTAAGTTATTTTAATTTCTGGATAACAGAGACTCCCTTAAGGGGAGTCTGCATTAGCAATCCATGTGTATCCTCTGGTATACCATTTTGCTTCAGAAAAGGAATTGAGCTCAGTATAGAAAGTATTTATATGATGGTGTCTAAAGAGAGGATCTGCTAAGAGTTCCCCAAATGTCAGCACTGTCCTGTTGGTAATCCATGGTCATTCAAAGAATTTTAAGAGGAACAGAAGAAAAGGCCTTGTTTCAGTAATTGAAAGAAGGCCAATGTGGCTGGTGCAGAGCAGCAAGATAGAGTGTGAGATGAGTCAGGGTTATGGACCCAACCATATCATGTAGGGTTCTAAAGGCCACAGAGAGAACAAAGAATAAAGAAGTTTGAATCTTGTACAAAATACAATAAGAAGCCATTGGTGAGTGTTAAGAAGGGTGATATGATGTCATTTATCCTTTATTTTGGCTGCTGTTTGGAGAAAGAATTGGAGTGGGACAGAAACGGAAGCTGAGAAAATAGTTAAAAGACCATTAAAATAGTCCACAGGAGAAAAGTTGATTTTTCAAACTGAAGGTGATAGTTGTAGAAATGGAAATAAGCTAACATACTGGGGATGTATGTTAAAGACAAAACAGATTAACTGGATGTTAAATGCAAGGAAAAGAACAGTGACTCCCAGGTTTTTATCTTAAGAAACTCGGAAGAAATGGTGCTATTTTCCAAGTAAGAGGCCAGAGACCAGGAGAGCAGTTTAGGGAGAGGGAAAAGCAGAGGATAAAGAGTTCTGTGTAGGGCCCTTTACATTTAAGATGCCTGTTTGACATCCAAGTCAGGTAGGCAGTCTGACATCAAGTAGACAGTTTGATTTATGAGCCTGCAGGCTCAAGGGAAGGTCAATGGAGATTTACACTTGTGAGTCATCTGCATATAGATGGTATTGAAATTATGGGACTAAATGAAATCTACCAGGGAGATGGCATACATAAGAGCCAGGAAGGTGCCTAGGAGATCAAGCAAGGAAGATAGACCCAGTAAAGAGACTGAAAGGGAGCATCAAGGAGATTGGAAGTGGGGAATGAAGCATGACAAGCTGGTGTCGTAGAAGCCAAGAAAATAAAGTATCTGCTTTGAAATTAGCATAGATAATTTACAAGGTTTTCTGAGTTGCTTAGAGCCTTGAGCCAATAATTTCTACCTCACTATTCCTCATAGAAAGAAAAATATCAGGGTTGTTGAGACAATCTGCCTCCCAAATGCATAGCTGTAGTCTCTTGTGGAGTTAATGAGCATGTTAATAGCCCTGCTTCCTCCTATCACTGGAATAGTTCATGTCTTTGGGGCACTGACTAGAGAATTTTCTTCATAGTCAAAGAACAACACGTTCAAGACAGAAGTTCAAATCAGCTATGCCTTTAAGAGAATAAATTTATCTTTACAGATATATTACACATATTAGAATATTAAGCTATGGCTTACCACCAGACAGGTCACAGATGATGAATGTGAGATGGTTTGCTTGCTATTAAATGGGTTGCCTTTGAGAATGTATTCTAAGTGAAATATTGTTAATGGCTATCACCTTGTCTATGGAAATAGTTTGACCTGCTGCAGATGTTACCTAATTCAATACCCCATGATCACTGACTTGTCTTTTGGTAAGGCTGTCAAAAATAAGAACATTTAACAATCAAATAATATGTGAAGAAAATTCCTTAGTCATCCGAATAACCTCATTTCTTACATTAACTGTGGCTTATAATAAGACAGTTATTTTAGTAATATAAAGATTCTAGATTAGCCACGGTGAGATATATCCAATTCTGTACCAACTTTAACAGACCCCAATCACAATACTTGAGAGTTTTTCAAATTATAGCTTGAAATGTCAGAGTTGGACACCTTCAGAGATCGTTTGCTTGTTTTCATTGATATGGTTATATTTGAAAGGATACATATACTTTTTAGTTGCTTGAGTAACATGGAAGAAATAAAATTTTCTCATCACACACACAAATCTTAAGAGGTCCATCAAAGTACATAAGTTGTACCTAAAAGCATGTACATTGGTGTATCCAGAATATTTCCACCCTCAAGTGGAGAAAAATTTCCCCATCCACGAAAATATATGTGAATAAGCTTCCTCACAAATTTACATACAATTTCAGGAGGGTCTCAGATCCTTTGAAAACTACGTGCACCCTCACAGCATCAGTTTCCAAGCTAAGCACTCTAGGTTTAGACTATTTTCTCCTATGATAAAATATGATGCACCATGTGTGCCTTCTCCTTATTGGCCATCAGAAATCAGAAATTTCAGTTTCCAAAAGTATGGATTTAAGGAATGCTGGTGGTGGTGGTGGTGTTTCTAGGAAAATGAGCATGCTTCCTTGAGAATTAAAGTAAATTTCCCGCAAGGTATGGAGTTGGAAATTCTGGGCTCTGTCTCGGGTCCTGAAACCTTGGTCCAAGGTCACGAGGAGCTGTCCAAGGTCCCAATGTCTTAGACCAGTGCTTCTCCAAGTGTGGTTTGCAGATAACCTGCATTAAAATCAACTGAGGGCGTCCATTACACTGCAGATTCCTGAGCCATCCAAGAGCCATTGAATCAGAGACTTTGAAGGTAGGTCCCACAAATCTGCATTTTAAGGAGTGCCTCATGAGATTCTTCTGTCTGACACTAAGATAATGTCTACCAAATGTTGGTACCACTTTGTTAATGGCTGGAAGCCATTTAATCCCATTTAAATTCACTGATCATTATAAATGCACCTGCTACCTTTAATATCATCTATATTAACAATCATAATGAGTTGCTATGTTGCTGTAGAAGACACTCACCAACTGTCTTCCAGATGGTTTCTGTCACAATTTAGCATTAAACAAACACATAAATCCAAGCCCCATCAAATCTCAAGAAAAGCAAACTCTTTTGGAAATCAGCTTCCTTGATCTTTTAGCAAATCTTTCCTCCTCATCCACTTTAATAATGAAAATAATTACAATTACATGTAACCAATATTTACTGATTATTCACTCCATGCCTTCCATCAAACCCATCATAACAATAGTAGTAAATGCAATAAAAAACAATTAACAAGTACTTACTATATGCCCAGAAATGTTCAAAGTTCTTTATGTGATTGCATCATTTAATCTTTATAATACTGTACCTATGATACCAAGAAAGACAGGAAAATGTGTATTCTATATTACTTAAGCTATTGGTGCCACTTATAGGCTTTGTCATATAAATATTATGCTAAAGTTAATTCCCTAGTGTTCTTTTTTAAAGTATGAAAATGGGAAAGAAGTGAGTGCCCATTATTGATCGCCTGCTGTATTTCTGGCACTTTAACATGTTTTCTTCATTAAAACATCACCAACTATTTATGAATACATTTTATTATCCCCATTTTAACAGTTTATTGAAAGACTGATGTCATAAACTGCACATATTTAAAATGTGCAATTTAATAAGTTTAGATATATGTATATACCTGGGAAGCCATATTGCAATCAAGGTAATGAACATATCTATCAGCTCCCAAAGTTTTCCTCTCTCTCTTTGTAATCCTTCCTCCTGCCCCTCCACTTGCTCGTCCCCAGGCAACCACTGACCTGCTTTCTGACACTACAGATAAGTTTGCATTTTCTAGAACTTTATATAAACATAATCTCGGTATGTAATCTTTTTGTCTTGCATCTTATATCCAACATGATTATTTTAAGATTCATCTACGTTATTCTATTTATCAAAAGTTCACTCCTTTTTACTACTGTTATTCCAATTGTCCCCATTCTATAGATAAGCAAACTGTGAAAATAAGCAACTAGTTCTAAGATCACATAGTAAAGGACCAGATTCAAATTTAAATCTGCCCAACACAAAAGCCCCATATTTTCCCACTAAAAATTATGCCTGTCTTCATTTTTAACTGAGAAATAACTCTACATATATCTTCAGAATGGAAGAATGTGGCCTCCAAAGTAACCAGGCTATAGTAACCGCACCAAAATTATTGCTGGATGATTAATTGGAGAGGGTGTCAGCTGTCCTACCCACTTACCTCCACAGTATGTGCTCAGCAGTACCAGCCTTAAACTTTGGGCTTCAATTACAAGGTCATTCATCCAAAGAAGAACCCTGGAATCCTGGGGCTGCCAAGATACATGAGACCACTGTACACAGGGCCTAAGCTCTAGCTAGAGTCCTCTCCTATAGGCCAGAAGAGAAGGAAATGGGTGGGGCAGATGATGGGAGGTGGTCAAACGTATGGTACAGCAGGGAGGCATCCAAAGAACCATGAAGGTCCTCACTGAACTGGGTCACTTGTGTGACTTGAAGGATAGACTTTTAATTAAGGACAGAAGAGAAGATAAGAACTACAAAATGGAAAAGAAAGGAAAGGTAGACTAACCCTTGCCAAACTCCCAAACTGTTAATTTGGTGATCTTAGGCACTCATCACTCTTGAAATATAAAAACAGATCAGATTTCTCCATGATTCTCGCAACATACGTTTGAGGAGGAATTATTTGTGATACTATGAATAACAACAAATAACTAGCAGTTATAGAGTACTTATTACGCACTACACACAAGAATCATATTCTATTTTCATTTTACTACAAAGAAATCAGTTCTCAGAAAATATAAGTGACTTGTCCAAGATCACACAGCCAGAGAGTGAATTCGTTTTAGCCAGAATTCAAGTCTCCAAGTCTGTCCAGTAATCTTCCCATGACTCAGAAACACTCCAGACTTCCCTGCTCCCAACCAATCACCCAACCACCGCTACACACTTCACCATCATTGGTCCCAACCCAGGCTCACCCTAGAGTATATGCTGACTTATGTCCTTTGATTTCAAACCCCTGAAACCCTTGTCTTCATCAGTACATGTCCTTCTATGTACACTGCCCTCAGAATACTGTTGAACACTACAGCCAACTTAAAAGATACTCTAATAAACCAATTCTACTCCAATAAGTTAATCATTATAATGTTATGCTTTCGTCAGGTGCCAACGGGGCTTAAGAAAACAGTGCCTAAAAGAATAATGTAAACTGTGGGCAAGAGTGTGATATAGAGATTTTCCAAGTCCTATGTTCATACGTGTGAGTGTGATAGGTTTACAGACTAACTCCAGACAAAGCAAGCCACTATTCCTCTTTCAGAAGGGCCAACTCAGGCTGAAGTAGCCTATTGCCTGGGGGAGGAAGAAGGGAAATAATAATCATTATTCCCTTCCTCATAAATGATATGAATAATAGGGGCCAACATTTACTGATTGCTTTGTATTGGGTATTTTATCAGTACCACAATTAAACCACAATTCCATGAAGTAGGTGTTATTGTTAGTCTCATTTCCAGATGAGGAAACTGCGACAGGGAGGCTATGTAATCTCACCATGCTAGTGCTATGCAGGCTTGGGACTCAACAGGTATTCTTTCAAACGGCAAAATTCTCATTCTTTTTGTTTTTTTCTTTTTTTTTTTTTTTGAGACAAGGTCTCACTCTGTCACCCAGGCTATAGTGCTGTGGTGCAATCTCATCTCATTGCAGCCTCGACCTCCCAGGCTCAAGTGATCCTCCCACCTCAGCCACCCAAGTAGCTGGGACTACAGGCACACATCACACGTCTAGATAATTTTATTTTTTGTAGAGAGAGGGTCACACTATGTTTCCCAGGCTGCTCTCAAACTCTTGGACTCAAGCAATCCTCCTGCCTCAGCCTCACAAAATGCTGAGATTATAGGTGTGAGTCACGGCACTGACCCAGAATGCTCACTCTTAACCAGTGCACTGATCCCCACCAGTTATTGCTTATCGTGTACCTATTATGCGCATGGCACTGTGCGAACCTTAAACATATTAATTTCATTGAAACCTCATGGCAAGCCTTGGAGATAGGTATTATCATTATCCCCATCTGACAGATGAGGCTCAGGAAAGAAAGGAAACTGAGTTAATGTGGAGCTGGAACCGACGACACGCATTCTGACTAAGAGCTCTCTTATTCAGCACGACTGATTCCTATTCAAGTTTAGGTATTTCTCTTTCTACTTCATTTAGGTTAAAAGGCTTTCCTCTCCAGGAGCCTGGCAAGCCAAGCCCGCCCTCTGCGGGGCAACAGCACGAGGCATTACCCCTACAGACCACTTGGCGGCGCCGTCCGTCCTGAGTTGGAGAGAACGGTGGGCAAGTAGGGCTCCTTCCGCACGCTGCACGGTTCTTCTCCGGGCCCGCCCCCTTCCAGCAACAGCCAATCAGAAACTCGCTGACAGCGCTAGGCTCTCCACGGTAATGGCCGTGGATGATAATTGGCTAAGTCTCTTAAGGGACGTCTGGTTTCCGGGGACGCAGTGATAAGCGCAGAACGGGAGGTCTCTGAAGCAAGATGGGGCTCCAGACATAATCTTTACCTGAATAAGTCCCAACGCTGGGAGTGTCAGCCCGATCCTCCTACGGTGGAAAAGGCGGCAGCCAATTGCTACAGTCCCTTTAGGCTTTTCTCTCCCGCCAATCCTCACTCTGCCCTACGGGAGGGTTCTTGGCCGCTTCAGCTCGGTTTGCTGCTTACCAACCCCGCGGCCCAAGGGGAGCACGGCTCCCTGGCCCGATGCCCCCGGGGTATGCAGAAGGGCCCAGCCGGGACAGCAGCCACTGCATTTCTTTGGCTTGCGCTGCAGTCCGGATGGAGCTCGGTTCTGACCCAGAACATGAGATCGGGTTCTCATTAATTCAGCCCAGGGCCTTGCACACGCGCCCCGCCCCTGCTTGAAGTGGCTCACCCCGGACTTTCAGGATCTCACACGAAGTGCTTCGCTTTCCCCTGCAGGGATGGTACTCTCTGAGCGCCCTTGGAACTTTGTAAATAGCTGCATTGCAGCACTTCTCCATTGTTTTATTTCACGCATATTGGACTCAGGGTAGAGACCATATCTTAAACGTCTTTGCTTTGAGCAAGATATTTAAACTCTCTGTGCAGCATTTTTCTCAACTGTAAAGTGGGGATAGTAGTACCTCTTGCATAAAGTTGTGCGCACTAATACATGTAAAGCGCTTAGAAGACGGTCTTGCACACAGCAGATGATCAGAAAATGTTAGCCACTTGTTATTCCTACAATGCCTAGCACAAACACATCATAAATACTCTACAGTGCTTAGAATCAGTTTCATATATTTGTTCTTGGAGGTTTAAATCTCAGCTTTGTCAGAACTGCTCCAAGAAGGAAACGGTAAATATATATACACATGGCTGTAAATGTGTCCGAGTGCTTCAACATGCAGTGGCAGTTGAGAACAGCAGGGAGCCTGGGTTCAAGTTCTGACTGCAGCTGAACAGCCGAATGACCAATAGAAAATTAACTAAAACTTAACTCCTCAGCTGGGGAATGGAGATGATCATAATAATATCTACTTCATCGGGTTGTGGTGCTTGCATTCTTATCCCACTTTCACTTTGGGAGCTAGTACAAGAATGTAATGACACAGTATAGTATTTCTACCTTATATGTGTCTCCCACTTTAACTTTTGCAAAGCACATTCATATATTATCTCATTTAATACTCACAGCAACCCTGTGAAGCTCAGAGCACTTCCTGGTTGGAATCCTACAACATGTCCATGGTGAGCTGCAGCTCGGTTTCTTTGAGTGCAATTTCAATGTCAGTGCCATTGCTCTGCATCAGGACTGAACCAGTGACCACCTGGGTCTCAGATAAGCAGAAGGATTTGCATCCTAGATTTTCAAGCCAGTTGTTCTATTTTTTTTATTTCTGATTACAGCAGAAAGACGTAGTTACATTATCTTTTAAAATGTGAACAAAACAAAGTGCAAGGTCTGGTCGACCTTCACACACACTCCCCAGAGGCAGCCACTGTCATCCATTGAGTGTGGCATCTTCCTAACCTCCTGGGTATGGTTTCATGCATGTACCTGTGGCGGGGAGAAAGCTAGGTTTTTTTGTTGTTGTTCTTTTGCATAAACATGATTGTATTTTAAAATTTATTCTACAACTTGTTTTCTTCAATTAACAGTACATCTCAAAGATCTTTTTATGTCTGTATCCTTATTTCTTTTTAACTATTGCAGTCTTTTATACCTGAACTCATTTAACCATTCTCTTGTTGTTAATTCTAATTTTTAAAGCCAAGTTTTTCTTAATCCCCCTCAAGTCCCAATTTTGTTGTAGCTGGTTAGATTCTGAACAGCCTCTGGGCCTAAAGATTCAAGTCACCAGGAAATGAAATCCTTATGGTCAAGAGTTCCACCTAGCTCCATATTCTTCCCATACTACAAGCCCAAAGCCCTGGCAAGCTGTGAAACTGGAGTCCCTCCTCCCAAGAGGAAAGAGTGGGAAAGAGGATGCCCACATAGGGCCAAAATGGGCTGATGACGACTTTACTCCTCAGAACATTGCTCAGAGCTGAGGACATCTCTGTAACTTTAAAAGCCTCCTAATTCCCTCCAAGAATCTGCATGGCTGAGATCCCTTCTGAAGAGGTGAAGCTGGTGAAACTTTCTCTTCCTTGAGGCCCTGGTGACCCTCATGACTCAGTCCTTCCCCAGGCCCACCCCTCACTTCCAACACCCACAAGTATCTCCCAGGGTTGAAACCTCTACTTCAGAACGCAGACTTGGAATTGAATTGCAGGGAAATGGTGGGCACATCCTGTGGGTACTTGTGAAACACATGGACCTCAGATCCTCAGATAACCCTAAAAGAAATGATGTGGGCTGGCCACGGACTGGTCTAGGGACAGTGTCACTTCAGGCAAAATGAGAGGTAGAGAATCAGGGTAGAAATCAGCAGATTACAGGCACAATTCCACAAGGGAATGTGCTGACTTCGTGACCCTTAACTCCATGCCCTTTCTACCCAGCTCCAAAAGGAATTCACTTGCCTTTTCTCCAGCTACAACTAAAGAGTCTGTGGAAGGAGAAATAGGTAAAAGTCTCATCCCATGAATTTCAGACACATCTCTGGCGCACCCAGCATTTTGTACATTAGCCAAAAAGCACATATTCCTAGTTGAATACAATCACACACATATAACACAAATGGAGTCATGTTCACAATCAGGACACCAAACTGAATCTATGTTGAAGATGTTCTGTATTCTAACACCCAACAGAATAATGCACTGGAGCCATACCGGACAAACAACTTACAAAAATGGATCTCAGACTGGAAAATACATTTGAAAAAAATGCAATCTCACTAGTCATAAAAAAACATACAAAATTTTAAACCGGGATTTTATTTTTCACCTATAAAATTGTCATGTTACAAATTATAATATGCATTTCTTTTTTTTTTAAGAGGAAGTTTCGCTCTTGTTGCCCAGGCTGGAGTATGAATATGGCTTATGACATACTTAAGAATGACAAAAATTGCTCTGTCCTCTGTTGCTGGTGGTGGAATAAATTAGTTAAAGCCTTTTGGAAAAATAATTTGGCAATATGTATCCAAATCTCCTTAACCCAGCAATTTAATTTCTGAAAATCTAGTTAAATGAATAATTTCAAAGATTTTTGCATCAAGAAAACCTGGAAGCCAATATCCAACTTCAATATTCAAAAATAGGAAAATGGTTAAATGAATATCGACACTGTAAAGATGTGTAATAACATGGAAAATATGTATGATGGGGCATTGAATAAAGAAAATAAGATTCAAAAGAAACAGTTTGATATTATTACAACTACGTTGAAACCCGTATTGTATACACACACAAACCCACACACAAATGATTTCGTTTACTCCTTTCAACAATCAGTGAGGAAACTGAGACACAGGAGGGTTCAGGAACTGGCAGCTGGCCACATAGCGAGTGGTAGAGCCAAGTTTTATGCCCATGTTCTTCCCAAAATACCACAAAAGCAACCACTAACTGTGAACAATGCTTGTTGAACTTGCAATCTGAAAGCTCCTATTTACATGTTTTAAGCCCATGAAGAGATTTTATAACTCAAGTAATGCTACTCCATGAGATCTCAAAGAGCACTTTTATCTCATCCAACTAGTCCTGCTCCAGGAAGAAGCCTCCAGAAGTCAAGTCAGGCTTCAGAAGCAAACAGAAGAATCTGGTGTGTTGCTGACGGAACTCCCAGGGAATCCACCCATCTTTGGGCAGAAGGCCCTTGCAAAATTACTTAGTAGGCCAACTTCAGTGATTTACACACAACCTGTGATGGTTAATACAGGTTCAATCAAATCAACTTGATTTGATTGAAGGATGCAAAGTATTGATCCTGGGTGTGTCTGTGAGGGTGATGCCAAAGAAGATGAACATTTGAGTCAGTGGACTGGGGGAAGACAGACCCAACCTTAATCTCGTGGGCACAATCTAATCAGCTGCCAATGAATATAAAGCAGGCAGAAAAATGAAGAGGTGAGGCTGGCCTAACCTCCCAGCCTTCATCCTTCTCCCACGCTGGATGCTTCCTGCCCTCAAACATTGGACTCCCAGCTCTTCAGTTTTGAGACTCGGACTCCCAAGTCTCTCCTTGCTCCTCAAGCTTGCAGACAGCCTATTGTGGGACCTTGTGATCATATAAGTTAATACTTAATAAATGCACTCACACTCTAGATAGATAAGATAGATAGATAGATGATTGATAGATAGATAGATAGATAGATAGATAGATAGATAGATAGATAGAGATTAGATATAGATATCTCCATCCATCCATCCGTCCTATTAGTTCTGTCCCTCTAAGGAACCCTGACTAATACACAGTGCATTTCAGCTCTCCCTGGCCTAACTTTATTTGTTACAATCCATTTCAAGAACTTTTTAACACTAGGGGCTTAAAAGGGGGAGAGAGGATTTGCCAAATGCAAATCAAAAAGGAAAAAGAAATCTCACAAGTCATTGAGATACACAAACACCCCACACACCTGTTCTTGCCCTGATCCTCCATGTCCCTACTTCTTCCCCAAGACAGAAGGCTCCATGCCCTGCACTCTTCCCCTTGGAATGGATGGAGATGCTCCTGGAACACAGCTCAGCTATGGGGAGCCCCATCTCGTCTTTTCTGGAAGAAGCTGAAAAACAGGACTTTGTCTGATGATATCAGCTCAGTGCTATTCCTTGAGGCTGTCAGCAGGTCTTAGCCTTTATAAAGTGCTCTCTCTCTCTCTGTCTCTCTGTCTCTCTGTCACCTTGATGATCCTGTACATGGACAGAAACAGTCTTACATAGGCACAGGTTATTATCTGCTCACTTCACTCCCAGTGGTCTTTCTTCCTTGGTAATAACAGAACCCTGACTTTTAGAGAGGAACATTGCCTTTTGGAATAAGACTACACTTCCCAGCTTCTTCCCAGCTAGTTTACTGGCCAATTAGATGTAAGAAAAAACTGGGAGGCACAGTAAAGGGAGCCCCAGCCCCCCTTTCCCTTTGCCCCTTCCCACCTCCAATTTTCTGGGAATGAGATGGCCTTCACCAAAGATGGCAGTCAGAAACTAGGATGGCAGGGCAGAAATGTAAAAGGACACCGAGTCTTGACAAACAGAGACCTTGAACTGCCTACATGCGGACTTCTTTGACGTGAGAAAATCAAACCCTTATGTGTATAAGTCACTGTCATTTTAGGCTGTTATATAGAGTCTGGTCTAATTCCTAAATGACTAGCCTCTCTTTCCCAAGGCTTAAAAGTATCTTAACTTACATAGAAAGACACATTTATAAATTAGAACCTTCTTATAACTGGGCCAGGTTCACCAGCACACAATTAACATTGCACTCATGAAACATTTTGGACCAAAACATATACTTTATCTAAACCACACATTGGCATAGCCTTGACATTCTATTTTCATGCTGAAAGAAAACATTCTGCCAAAGAGATCTTTTTTTTTTTTTTTTTCCTATCACCCAGGCTGGAGTGCAGTGAGGTGATCTCGGCTCACTGTAACCTCCGCCTCCCGGGCTCAAGCGATTCTACCACCTCAGCCTCCCAAGTAGTTGGGACAACAGGCACATGCCACCACACCCAGCTAATTTTTGTATTTTTAGTAGAGACAAGACTTCACCACGTTGGCCAGGCTGGTCTCGAACTCCTGAGCTCAAGCAATCTGCCCGCCTCAGCCTCCCAAACTGCTGGGATTACAGGCATGAGTCACCGCACCCAGCCCCAGAGAAGATCCTTAACACACAGGCAAACACCTGTACATTTTTATTGGTGGTCATTGTTCAATCCAAGCTCCAAACTGAACTCTAAGTAACAGCTTCTTTTGAACCTAATCCAGATATGTTAGAGGTCTTTGAAAAGTGGTCAAATGTTCACAGCTGAATTCTGGTTGAAAGCCTTCTACACTTCCAATCTGTTTCTCCTTAGGAGAAACTCCAGCTGGCCCCTCTCTTAGCAAGTTCTCATTCTCCTTTAAGACCTTTAGAGAAATGTCCTCCAGTGTGGTCAGAAGTAGCTGGACCCTAGTGGTGGCCTCTGCATAGCCACCCTGAGAGTCAACCTGCCAGGACCTCTCTCTGTTCCCCTGCCACAGGGC
The DNA here is from genome assembly GCF_000001405.40 of Homo sapiens. Taxonomy (NCBI): domain Eukaryota; kingdom Metazoa; phylum Chordata; class Mammalia; order Primates; family Hominidae; genus Homo; species Homo sapiens. The sequence goes on from NC_000002.12 coordinate 41,847,205, forward strand.
TGCCTTCCAGTCCCTCAGGGAGTCCTTCTCCTCCTCACCGGGCCAGTTCCATGTCCCTTATGGTGTGGGGAATTGGAGAGGGGGTGGACATAAATAACTTACTTTTATAATAACTAAATATGTTAAAATATGTTATAGGAAAAGAAAAATGTTAAGGATTACCCTCTTTTGGAAATGTTTGTTAGTAGCTAACATTTATTAAATACTATGTTCTGGGCACGGTACTAAATGCCTATTTAAATACTGTCACCATGTTTGAGATCTAAAACAGGCTTAGAGAGGCGAAGTAGCTCTACCTGATGTGACACATCTACTCAATGACAGCAAGGATTTAATTCCAGGTCTACCCAATTCCAAAGCCCGATCCTGTTTTGTTTTGTTGTTTTGTTTTGTTTTGTTTGAGACAGGGTCTCACTCTGTCACCTAGGCTGGAGTGCAGTGTCACGATCATGGCTCACTGCAGCATCAAAGTCCTGAGGAATTCTCTGACCTCAGCCTCCCAAGTAGCTGGGACTACAGGCATGAGCCACCACACCCAGCTAATTTTTGTATTTGTTGTAGAGATGGTGTTTCACCATGTTGCCCAGGCTGGTCTTGAACTCCTGAGCTCAAGCAATCTGCCTGCCTTGGCCTCCCAAAGTGCTGAGATTACAGGCATGAGCCACTGTACCCGGCTAAGCCACTGCACCCGGCACCTGATCGTTTAATGCTTAGGCAGCACTGCAGTTTGAAAATGCTGCCAATGTTCTAATGCCACTAGAACACACATTCTCAGCAAGGGCGATATTGCCCTCAAGAGAGCAAAAGCTAGTTCTTGGTGGCCAATTGAAAAAAAAAAAAAAGTATTTACTCCTTCTAGGTATAAAGGACAGATATACATATAGTGCCCAATGGATTTGCAGTTTACTCGTAGTATCAAATTTCCATGAGAGGAGGGGGCAATTAGGGAAAAAAATCTAAAAAGGCTCCTTACAGGGACAATCATCAATAATGAAAACAAGGTTGAGCAACAGTGTGTTAGGACATTTTGGCAAAGAGCATGTTTACTGAAAGCAAGCAGTGTCTTACACAACTCCCAGGGTTTTCTCAGGGCACAGAAGACAGCGTCAACACCTGAGCTTTGTTCACTGAAAGCTTTTAGTCATTATGCCATGTGATGCTCCCAAGAACCCCCTCATGAAATCGCTAAGGAAGATATTTACTCTCCACTTTTAACAGATGAGGAAATTGAACTTTAGAGACGGTAACCACTACCTAGATTTAGTACCAAATAAAACTACCCTTTAAGAATAAAAAGTGATATAAAGAAATTTGTAAACAAAGCAAAATAGTTTGTTATAAACAGATCTTCAGTAAGAGAACTCAAAAGTCTGAGATGTACGAAAGAATGAAAGAAAGAAAGCAAAGTGGTTAACATGTGAACAAATCTATATGAATGTTGGTATATAAAACAATAGTTGTAATGTCTACTGTAGGGGCTTCCAGACATAAGACACAACTAAAACACTGGGCAATAATGGCATATAAGTCAGTGGGGAGTGGTTAGAGTTTAAGCATACTTAGGTCGTTGAATTGGTCAGGAGAAGGGTAAAGATATTAACTTGAGAAATTAAGCTAAATATACATGTTAAATTTCCAGGTTAAAAAAAATAGAAGACATCGAGAATTAACTGCCACATCAGAAGAATGAAAAGTGGAAGGAGGCTGGGTGCGGTGGCTCATACCTGCAATCCCAGCACTTTGGGAGGCTGAGGTGGGTGGATCACCTGAGGTCAGGGGTTCAAAACCAGCCTGGCCAACATGGTGAAACCCCATGTCTACTAAAAATATAAAAATTAGCTGGGAATGGTGGCTCACGCCTATAATCCCAGCTACTCAGGAGGCTGAGGCAGGAGAATCGCTTGAAACGGGGAGGCAAAAGTTGCAGTGAGCTGAGATAGCACCACTGCACTCCAGCCTGGGTGACAGAGTGAGACTGTCTCAAAAATAAAATAAAGTATAAATATAAATGGAAGGAGCAAATCCTATACTTCTCATGACAAATGTTACGAATCATTGAAAAACTATCAAATTGAGTCTTTAAATTCACTTAAAATCATCCTTCAATATAGTTGAATGTTGCTTAAAATCAATTGCATGGGTGTAAAATTTTTTATACTAAAAATAAGAAAATATTTTTCTTTATGGCTTAAAAATTGCCTATAGCTTACATAGTGTTTCCTCAGGGGTGGTCCATAACTCCAGCCTCCTGAGATGCTACACTCCAAGGGAAAGCATCCGTGATCCAGCCATCTGAGGGATGCTGCACAACACAGCCTCACCTGTAGACTCACAAAGCTGTATGGCCCTAAGACTTATACTTAGTAAAGAAACCTGCCTGCCTTGATTAACCCTAGTGTTTTCCAACCATTTTTTCCCCAATGAGGGTACTTCTCATTGTTTTCCTTCATTCATTGGTTACCCACCATCTTCTTCCTCTCCAGTCTAGCTTTGGAAGGTTGAAAGTAGTTGAGACTGAAGAGATATTTCTGAGATAGTCTCCTGGCTCCCTGGGATAAAGTGCATGGATTAAAGTACACCAGAATAGTCACTTTCTTTCCCTATGTGGGCCTCAGTTTCCCCAGTGGTCCAAGGAAGGAGTAGATGGCATGGCTTCTGAACCCCTTCTAATCTCTAATTATACATCTGTAAAATGAAGGGATGGAAGATGATGCCTGACTTTTCTTCCAGCTCCTACATTCTTTGATCTCAAGAATCATCTCACTTCACTCTCTCTCAGAGAAGGCAACTATAGCTCAGAGAGATGAAGTGACTTGCCCAAGGCTACGCAGCAGGGCCTAGACCTGCCGGGCCCCTGAGTCCTACCTAGCTCAGCATTCATGTGTTTTTACATGTGTGCTGTGTGTGTATATGTGAGCACATATATGTGAATACATGACAAGGTGGCATATTCTAAAGATTCTTTGTGTGTGTGTGTGTGAGTCAAAGATTTATTTTGTCATTTCTTGCATTTGAAGTACTCTTCAATGACATCCTTGGCCTGGGACTCCGTGCCATAGTCCTTAACTACTACACAACTGCGACCAACCACTTTACGGGGTTTCCCCTCTCTGTCAGTTTTACAGAGACCTACCCATTCCCCTAGTTTCTTGTTGTCATCAACCTTAATTAGGTCGATTTGGTGTTCAGCACAAAGGGCCTCCACCAACTTGACATCCATAGGCTCATCACAGTTGGATGCCAGCACACAAAGATGGGCTTGGCGCTTGTCTAAGGCTTTGGCAGCTTTGCAAATTCCACATGCTAGGCCATTGTGGATGAGGGCGGTCTTCAGCACCTCTTGTAAAGCAGTATTAACGTCCATTACACCTCCAACAGCAATGCGTTCCTCGGCCATGGCAGTGGGTTATGGGTGAAGCCCAATCTTGAACACACCAAAGCCTTTGCGTCCGCACGACCTGGCGGTGGCAGGGAAAGAGCATATTCTAAAGATTCTTGTTAAGCTCAGACATTTCCTAAGGCATCCATGCAGGTCAGGGGTGCTGTGTATCCAAGTCCTGGATGTGAAGCAGGAGGAAGCAGATGTAAAGAGGTAGGAGCTACAGGAATGCTCAAAGGATCACATCTCCCTCCTCCTCCCCAGTCTCTGCATCACAGGGGCTCATGCTCCTTGCTTAGCCTGATGAGGCTACATCCAGCCAGCCCAGCCCGGTGAAGCTGCTTCCTGCTCCCAGCTCAGGAGCTCCAGGCAGGACTGAGCACAGCCAGCCATCAAATTTTGCCTGATCTAGCCCAGTGCAGTTATCAGCATTTTGTTTCTACCTCCATGTTTTGACCCTGGGTTCATCAGCTTGACCTTTAGCCCTAAAAGACACTGTCAAATTTGCTGAGTTTGGGGGCATTTCCACAGCTGCTTCTGTCTTTACCCCCTGCAGCTCCTCCTCTGCCATTCCACTCAGCCCTTCTCTCTCCCAAAATCCACAGGTGCCTAGCCCCACAGTGGCTGCTCCGGCAAGTCTCCCTGCTTTGATCAGATTCCCATGCTGTCTGACCACCATTTTTTTAAATTTTTGCACCCTACTTCTAGTCATCCACTCAAAGGAGGCCAAAACTACAATTCCTCTTTCCTCTTTTCCATCCACGCTGATATCACATCTCTAAGGCTCACTTAGACTTTTATTATCTTCTCCACTGAGGTAGAGATTATAAATCAATACATGTCATAACCTCAGTGTACGGGATGGCTGTGTGTGGGTGTAAGAGACAGAGAGAAAACACCAATGTTGGTATAGTAGAAATTGCAACTGATGTGTTACAATATGAAGAGGGAATATTGCATATCTTCCAATTCCTATTTTCAAAGTCGACTCATCTTTCCAGAACTGTCACTCCCAGCCATGGGAATAAAGTTCAGGAGCTCAGATTGCATTAGCTTCCTCCTTCTCACTCCAATGGGTAGTTTGTACCAGCTCCACCTCCCATCCCCAGGAGGAGCTCCTTCCAGGTTCCTCGACACCTGCCGCATCATACGGCTTACCCCATGGTGAGCAGAAGCTCCAGCTCAGCCCCAGGGACAACTGGCCTAGAGTGAATCATTTCTCAGGATCTCACTGGAGGTGGGAGGAGGTGGGTGGAGGAAGGTTTTGGTGGGTGAGCAAGGGGCAGAGGGACATGGTAGCACTGCTCCAGTTGTTGTTGCTTTGGGATGGAGGCGTTGAAAGATAAATTCATGAAAGAGAGACTGGAAGGCTTTCCTCTCCTGAGATTCAACCCTGGCCACACCACAGAATCCCTGTGACGCTTTCAAATAACGTGAATGTGCGGAGCACATCCCAGACCAAGGAAACTGAAACTCCAGGTGCGTAGCCAAAGAACTTGTGTCTGAAAAAAGCTCCCCAGGTCATTCAGATTCACAGCAACATAACCTGACCTCCTGATACAACAAGAAGCATACAACATCACCAATAAAGCATTCTTGATAAAAATGTCTAACCTGAATCCAACCATGAGAATGCAATCTGACAAATCCAGCTGTGGGACATTCTATAACACAACAGGCCTGAATTATTTTAAAAAGTCAGTATCATTTAAAAAGAAAGAAAGAAAGAAAGAAAGAAAGAAAGAAAGAAAGAAAGAAAGAAAGAGAGAGAGAGAAAGAGAAGAAAGAAAAGAAAAGAAAATTTGACCAGGTGCAGTGGCTCACGCCTGTAATCCTAGCACTTTGGGAGGCCGAGGCAGGCAGATCACCTGAGGTCAGGAGTTGGAGACCAGCCTGGCCAACATGATGAAACCCTATCTCTACTAAAAATACAAAAATTAGCCAGGCGTGGCAGGTGCCTGTAATCCGAGCTACTAGAGAGGCTAAAGCAGGAGAATCACTTGAACCCGGGAGGCAGAGGTTGCAGTGAGCCAAGATCATGCCACTGCACTCCAGCCTGGGCAACAGAGTGAGATCCTGTCTCAAAAAAAAAAAAAAAAAAAAAAAAGGAAAAGAAAAGTCAAGGACAATGGGCTGTTTTAGATTAAAAGTTACTAAAAAAAGACATAAAACAATACATAATACAATGCATAAATTTGAATTAGATCTTGGATTTAAAACACATGCAAATATAAAAAATATTTTGGAGCCAGTTGGAGAAATTTGAATATAGAATGTAAATTAATTATAAAATTATTAATTTTCTTAGTTGTAATGATAATGTTGTGGCCATATAGAAGTTTCTTACTTTTACAAAATGCTGCTAAATATGTGAGAGTGAAGTGCTGTGATTTCCACAGCTTTCTTTGAAACGGATCAGCATAAAAGAAATGTAGGAAACGAGATTAATGAAATGTGGCAAACTGATGACAACTGGTAAATCTAGTGAAGGATATTTGTGTATTTATTCTGACTTTTTTTCTTTCTTGAGATAGGGCCTCGCTCTTTCACCCAGGCTGGAGTGCAGTGGCACGATCATAGCTGACTGCATCCTCAAACTCCTGGGCTCTAGTGATCCTCCCACCTCAGCCTCCTAAGTTACTAGGATTACAGGTGGCCACCACCCTGCCTAGCTAATTTTTCTTTAGTTTTTTTGTAGAGGCAGGGTCTTGCTATGTTGCTCAGGCCGGTCTTGAACTCCGCAATTCAAGTGATCCTCCCGCCTTGGCCTCCCAAATTCCTGGGAATATAGGCGTAAGCCACTGCATGCAGCCAGTTCTACCATTCTTTTCAATCTGCAGTTTTAATATTTTTCACACCCCAGATAGCTATATGACTGCACACAATCAAAGTCACTGCCCTTCCCAGCTCTTCTCCAGCCCCTCCCTTCCAATTCTGAGGTCCTGGAGTCCCTAGAACAGTGATTCTCAAACCTCTGCACACAAGAGCCTGGAGGTCACATTAAAGCACAGACTGCTGGGCCCCACCCCTAGGGTTTCTGCTTCATTGGTCAGCTGTAGGGCCGAGTGTGTGCACTTCTATCAAACACCCAGGTGATGCTGATGCTGATCAGAGGCCTCACTCCAAGAACTACTCCCCCGGAGGGCTAGAAGATAGGCCAACGCTCCTATTCATAGCTCATCCTCCCAGATGTGCTATAGCCTCCAGCCCGTAAAGGCAAGATGCTTAATCTTTTCCAGGAAAAGTTTGTGCAATATGGCAATAACACCCACCAGAGGGCAGCAAACTCTTGCGGAAAGAAATTTTCAGGAAAAGAAAGGAATTTGACTGAACTCTTGGGACCCCTTCCTGAGGATTCTGACATCCCACAGAGGACTGAGGTGGTTGAGGCCATCGGGATCCGACTATAATAATTCTCTACATTTGGTTAACACTTCATGCACGTCAAACTTTCCCATATATTATCTCATCCAAACTCTACAATGGTCCTGAGGCAACAGAGCTTCAACATCTCTGTGTGATAGATAAGATAACAAGGCTCAGAAAGACAAAGTGGAGGTGACTTGTCCAAGATGAGAGGGCTGGTGATTTATCAGATCAGGAACTTGGATGCAGGCTGCCTGACGCCTCATTTCTTGTTTTCCCTCACACCTATCTGCAGTAATAGCCGCTGGGATTTCTTGATGATTTTTTATGTATTTCCTCTTTTAATTTTCACAGCAACCTATAAGGCATGCTCTCCAGTTGTCTCCACTTTACAGACAAGGTAAGGGAGGTGGGAGGAAACTGACTCGCACAATTAATAAGTAGTGAAGCTAGGATTTGAGTCAGGCCTGTCTGACTCAAGAATCTACAAACACCTACTGATTCCCTGTAGTCATGTGTAGTCAGCAGCCATTTGTCAAGCAGCACTTGCAGTAAGTCTGGGACTACGCAAGTCACTGGTGATACAGTCCTGGCCCTCCAGCAGCAGCCAGTCTAGAAAAATCTAAGATGAAGGTGCCCGTGCCAAGTGTCACAGGAAGCCCACCAGGTGAGTTCTATCATCCCCATTTTACAGATGAGGCAATGGGACCTAGAGAGGTCAATTAACTTGCCTCTGACTGCAAGACAATAAGTGATGGATCAGGGACTCACACTTGGGCCATGTACTATACCGGCAGCTTTTGTGCATCTCACCCCAAATTTTCTGAGATGCCATGTGGGAAATAGAAAATGTCCCAAAACATGTGGAACATTCATTCAGCTGCAGTGGACATTCATTCCATTGCAGTTGTCATCCCATCAGCTCTCTGCTGCCCCTCAGCTCAGCCTGCAGCTCAGACTCCTGCTGGGCCAGGCCCTCCTCCCCTGTAGAACCTCCCTTCCCCTTCCCATTGCCAAGTCAGGGTTTTCTTCTAGAATGGCCCAGAAAAATAAAGTCAGACCATTTTGCATATTGAGGACCCCTGATGAAGAGCTGCTGTTGAGAGTCAAAGAAGCTTCCCTGGGACCCTCACCTGTCAGCCTCCACTACCACCAACAGACATAAAGTAAGGGCAGTGCCTGACAGCAGATCTTGGGCTGGGGACGTGCAGGTGTTTTCCTATTTGGGCCTCAGAGTCCCCTGACCCAAGCCAGGCCCCCTCCCCTGGGCAGCCAGTTTGTTATTCCCGCAGATTCCAGTCATCACACCGGTTCTCCCATCCTTGTGGTTCTCCCTCCTTACTTCCTACAGGTACACTTGGGGATTCTGATTCTTTCCCTTCAAGACTCAGTAGAATAACATGTTCTTCTCTGTGCTGCCTCCTAAAGCAAACTCACATGCCCACTCCAAGAGAAGTCATTTAGTATGTAGAAAAGAATATTGGATTTTGAAATCTGACTTTAAATATCTGGGTATAAGATCCAGTTCCAGCACTCACAAGCAGGAGACTAGAACAAATCTCTTAATTTCTCTTGGCTGGGCATCATTTTACTGTGCTTACTATGGGAATCACAGCCTCTGGGGCCATCTAACAAAATACAGGGTTACCGTGGCGTTAAAGTAATATATAATGGAAGGCACTTTTTTTATTCTTAAGTTCTTTATAGTAAGTATGAATGTCGAAAACAAAAATTATATCATCTGGTGGCATTTTCAATGATGTAGATGTAACATGCAGGACAACAAAAATGGAGGATTAATGAAGCTATGTCGTTAAGCCTTTCACATTTTGCTTAGTTGCCAGAGTGGAGGGGTTAGCGACGGATAAATGTTAACTCTAAGTAGGATTAGGAGTCAACAATAGGAAACATGTGTAAGATACAAAACCAGAAGGCAGGCTTGGGCTCCTTGATTAACAGTAAAGGAGATCTCTGAAACTGGTATTTCTCATCTTTTCATTTGGTGCCTCCGAGATAGCACCACAGAGTAGCAGATTACAGGAAGATCCTGAAAGAGGAGGAGCACTGCTGACCTGTGCAAAGCATAGAGTATAATCGCGGGAGGACAAACAGCTTGAAGCTGCTGAGACAATGGCTCTGGCACCTGCTTTGGGGCAGGGAAATTTTAGGAAAAATACCTGTGGAAGTTAAGGATCTGGAAATAGATTCCCTTCCCATGCCATCAAACCTCCTGAAAAGTGCTGCTGTAAACCCTGTTTGAAGATCCTCTGAGATGTTGCTCAAAAAGCACACTCAAGGCCTATATAAAATTGGCTCCAGACCAAAGAGAAGTTGGCCACTCAACCTAGCAATGCCTTCTGATATGATTTTGTTGTGTCCGCACCCAAATTTCATCTTTAACCGTAGCTCCCATAATTCCTACATATCATGGTAAGGGACCTGGTAGGAGGTAACTGAATCATGGAGCCGGGTCTTTCCCATGCTGTTGTCCTGATAGTGAATAAGTCTCACAAGATCTGCTGGTTTTATAAAGGGTAGTTCCCTACACACATTCTTCTTGGCTGCTGCCATGTAAGATGTGCCTTGCTCTTCCTTCACCTTCCACCATGATTGTGAGACCTTCCCAGCCATGTGAAACTGTGGGTGCATTAAACCTCTTTCCTTTATAAATTACCCAGTCTGAGGTATGTCTTCATTAGCAGTGTGAGAACAGACTAATACACCTTCCCACGTTCCTGCCTCTCTCTACTGCGTCTGTTCCCAAGGGCCTCATCTTGCTCTCAGATATACCTGGGTTTCCTGTGCTGCCCAATTCAAGAAGTCTCCCTATAAACTCCTGGTCTTCAGCCCCAAACACACCCAGATAACCCCACATCTTTCAAGATTAAGACTGCCTCCACCTATCCTTCCTTCCTATATGGAATTGTGCCTCTATTGTGCCCCATATACACTTTTACCATAATATTTGTAATACTTTATTGATTTTGTTTACACATCTGTTCCCCATTTTTGGAATTAATATTTTATTGCTTTCTGTACCCTCAGTTCAGGAAACACTGTAGAAGTGCATTAAATGTCAATTGAATGGATGAAACCAAGGCCTACGTGCTCTTTCTTTGCAATGACAGCCTCTTTCAATCTTGCCAACCTTAGTTTGACCCAGACCTGACATAATGTAACCACAATCTAGCCATGGCATGACCTGGCTTCAAAGTTCTTTCAACCCTGTCAGGATGCTGTTTGCTATCCAAGTTACTGATAGCTAGTCTCAGGGCTGACTGCACATTAGAATCACCTGGGAAGATTTTTTGTTGTTGTTTTTTAAGGCTAGTCAAGTGAAGCAAAGGAGATAGAGAAGAAACAAAGAAGTCTATAGCTGGTTGTGATCAATTATTTGTAAACACCACTGCACTCGGCCCAACCCTGGGAAGTTTTTTGAAGTGCTGATGCTCAGGCCTCAACCTAGACCACTAAATCAAAAGCTCTACAGAGTGGGGAGCCTGGGCATCAGCATCTGTAAAGCCTCCCAGGTGATTCTAATGGGTAACCAAGGTTGAGAACTGCCATCTTAACAGAAGGGGCTTTGGGTTTGCATTATCTTCAGATGTGGAAGAATTCTCAATTCAACCTCAAATTTGTTTCCTAATCTTCCCTCCAAGTGTGGGCTCCCAAATTTTTTCCTCAAAGCTGAATGCACTTTCACCTGGATGTCAGCCCAGCATTTAAGCCCAAAATATCATATATCTAAATATTTAAAAGTTATAGATTAAGCTAAAAATTGTTAAATACAGTATGTCATTTCCTCCTTCCTGACAAATACAACTTTTGTAACACAAAAATTGAAAAAATGTGTACAAAACTAAGCTTTTACATGACTAAAAGTTGGCAAAATATCAAAGAGAACTGGTTGCATACCTTGATGCACTGATGTTTATGTGGGTAATACAATAAAGGTATACTATAATTACACTTGGCCCTTGAACAACAAGAGGGTTAGAGGTACCACCCTCCCCACCCTACACAGTTGAAAATCCAAAACTTTTCGCTCCCCCAAACTTTACTAATAGCCTACTATTGACTGGGAACCTTACAGGCAACATAAACAGTCAATTAACACACATTTTGTATGTTATATGTATTATATACTGTATTCTTACAATACAGTAAGCTAGAGAAAAGAAAATCATATCGAAGTCATAAAGAAGAAAAAATGTATTTACTATTCCTTGAGTGGATCATCATAAGGGTCTTCATGCTTGTCATTTTCACAATGAGTAGGCAGAGGAAGAGGAGGGATTGGTTTTGCTATCTCAGGGGTGGAAGAGGTGGAAGAAAATTCACATATAAGTGGACCCACACAGTTCAAACCTGTGTTTCTCAAGGGTCAACTGTAATTAGTTAGTATAATTTATTTCATAGAATGTATATTTCTTGTTCATTTCAGTGAATCACTAATAATGTTGCTATGATCAAAATTGTTCACAGTCATGCCAAATTGGCACTTTCGTTTAAGGGAAACACTGCTAATCTAGTAGCCATTGGAATTGTCAATAAATTTATTAAAATGATACTTAGATTGGAAATGAACCATAATTTTCAAACCAATCTCAAACATTGTAATGAGGTCATCTATGGTTAATTAGTGTTATCACTGGAAATGTAGCCAAATATATTAATTTCATGGTAGAAATTACTATTGCTTATTGTACTAGTCTGTTTTCACACTGCTGTGAAGATACTACCCCAGACTGGGTAATTTATAAAGGAAAGAGTTTTAATTGACTCACAGTTCTGCATGGCTGGAGAGGCCTCAGGAAACTTACAATTATGGAAGTGGAATTGTAATTATTATAATTCCAATTATGGAATTGTAATTATTATAATTCCAATTATGGAATTGTAATTATTATAATTCCAATTATGGAATTGTATGGAATAGTGGAAGGGGAAGCAGGCACCTTCTTCACAAGGCAGCAGGAGAGAGAGAGAAAGCACAGGGGAAATTGCGACTTATAAAACCATCAGGTCTCATGAGAACTCACTCACTATCACGAGAACAGCATGGGGGAAACTGCCCCCATGATCCAATCACCTCCCACATGTCCGTCCCCCAACATGTGGGGATTACAATTCAGGATGAGATTTGGGTGGGGACATAGCCAAAACATATCATTTCTATAGTTATTTTTGGCTTCTCTTAAAACAATATCTAGATTGATACTCTAATCCATAAGTTCTTTTAACTTTTTCTGGACTGGATTATTACAAATAAAGAAATACCAATATATTGGTTTGTTTAGATTGCTCTTCAATCAATACAATACCTTAATCTAGAATGGCCACAAAACAGTCGTAGAAGTCAGTTTTCAGATTGTATATGTGTGAACCTTCTCCTTCATAGTCATGCAAATGTTTTTGTTTTGTTGTTCAAATTTCCTTGTATTTTGCTGGAATTTTACTTTTGTTTCATATTTATCATGCATCTTTTTTATTTAGAATAACAATTTTCTTTAAATCTTTAGATATATTTGTAGAATCCATTTAAAAGTGAAATAAAACTTAGATCATGGTTTTGTTTTTTTATTTTTCAGTTAACATTGTTTACAGCAAGCTGTAGTTCATAACAAGTAACTGAATGATGAGATTTAAAATTAATTTCACATTCTGCCAAAGACTGAGATTTGCTCTTTGAGGATTTTCTATGGTTTTGCTTAGCTCTATTAATGTATTTCATATCTTGCTTAATTAAATCTAATTGCTTTGACAGTGTTTCATTAGAATTTCCATTGTGTACCTAAGCGTGTTGTAAGGTCAGATTTGGTGTGTGTTTCATCATGTTCCACCTTTAGAGAGATATAGAAAACAATGTAAATAATACTTGAATTGTTCCAAGGAATACCATTGCTATCAGCACAGGTAAAGCTGACATTTCCTTGTTAAAATTCAAACTACAGTTCAAAGAATGCTTCTATATTTTCAACCAGAATTCTGGATTGCATACCTTTTTCTTTAACAACCTTATTAACATCATTATCATAGGCTTACCCTCAATAATCTTTTAAATCAATGGCTAAAATTTAAAGCTGTGTCTTTAAGACAAAAGCTGCATTTTTCGAAAGTGTAAAACCAATAAAATACTTATTAATTTCAAGTTCCTTGTTTGCCTCTCCAGATAGTTTAACAATGAGTATCATAAATGTGAGTCATTCAGGCTGGGCATAGTGGCTCATGCCTATAATCCCAGCACTTTGGGACCCTGAGGCAGGAGGATCACTTGAGGCCAGGAGTTGGAGACCAGCCTGGACAACATGATGTAACCCCGTCTTTACTAAACTACAAAAAGATTAGCTGGGCATGGTGGCACACGCCTGTAATCCCACCTACTCGGGAGGCTGAGGCAGGAGAATTTCTTGAACCTGGGAGGTGGAGGCTGCAGTGAGCTGAGATCGTGCCACTGCACTCCAGCCTGAGCGACGTGGCAAGACTGTCTTACACACACACAAAAAAGTGAGTCACCCAACTTGACTTTTGACCGCTGCTAGCTAGTTGAACTGAATAATATTTGCTTTTTTAAATGTTAAATATTGTTATCATTTTATTATCCTTTAATTTAATAATCTCTTTTAATTCTCAATCCTCAATAGAGATCATTTGTGTGTGTTTTTAATCTCTTTCATGTTTGATCACCCTAGCAGCAAATTTTTAAGTCATTCATACAAAACCCAGAAAACTTCATTGTTTTCCATAAAGAATGTATTATTAAGGCTATAAAAGCATCATTTTGTTTGGCTAAATAACATGTTTCTTTTAGGAATATTATGGCAGATGTTCTTTATTGGTGTTTACTTGTCTTTGCTGACTACTACTCATTGTCTGCTGTTTATTAACCTTTTTTTCTCAAACAATTGATTGTGTGCTTTTTGTGTGTGCACAGGGATTTCCTCTTCTGGCCATAATACATTATTTAACCAAAGCTAATCTTCAAGATTGGTGATAATTGGTATAGAATTCACAAAATATTTTGTATTGAACTTAGCATATAAAAGCCAGTTTCTATGACATCTTTCCCAGTTAGAAGAGTTTTGATGTAAAATGGAATACTGGATGTCCTACCATGTTCATCCAATAATTGTAACCATTCACTTGGATGGGACTGTGTTTTGAGGACACAGTCTCCTGCTATAAGAAGGCCATTTTGGTTGGGTGTAGTGGCTTACACCCGTAATCCCAGCACTTTGGGAGGCTGAGGCAGGAGGATCACCTGAGGCTAGGAGTTCGAGACCAGTCTGGCCAACATGGTGAAATCCCATCTCTACTAAAAATGTAAAAATTAGCTGGGCGTGGTGGCACATGCCTGTAATCCCAGCTACTCAGGAGGCTGAGGCTGGAGAATCGCTTGAACCTGGGAGGCGGAGGTTGCACCACTACACTCCAGCCTGGGTAACTGAGCGAGACTCCATCTCAAAAAGAAAAAAAAAAAAAAAGCAGGCCATTTTCCTGAATCAGCCTCCCACAGGTACAGTAAAGCCCCCAAGGTTTCAGTTTCATCTTTCTCCTCCCATTGGGCTAATTTCACGAATGTAGCTTCCTTTGTGTCTCCCAGGCAGGCACAAGTTGCATCCATCTGTGGCTTCTGAATTGTGAATTTGATATGAATAATTCCCCTTTACATTCTCATTGTTTTGATCACTAATTAGATCTACATTAAGTAAACAATTTGTAAGGTCCTGTGTAAAGATTTTTTGTGGGCTAGTCCAACAAATGCCTACTCACTTTTACTATTTCTCCAGTGTTTGCAGTGTTAAGCAGATTACCTCACTGATTTTGTTTCTTTTCAGCTTCTGAACTTCACCCTATTTTATCTTTTTATCCCAATCTTGACTTATATCCATTTCTCAATAATAAAGAGGATTAAAATGTGATTGAAATTTGTCAATATAAGTATATTTCATCAAATACATAAAATTTTTACATATATGTATTAGTCCATTTTCACACTGCTGTTAAAGACATACCCAAGTCTGGGAAGAAAAATAAGTTTAATGGACATACAGTTCCACGTGGCTGGGGAGGCCTCACAATCATGGTGGAAGGCAAGGAGGAACAAGTCACTTCTTATGGATGGCAACAGGCAAAAAGAGAGAGCTTGTGCACGGGAGCTCCTCTTTATAAAACCATCAGATCTCATGAGACTTATTCACTATCACGAGAACAGCACGGGAAAGACTTGCCCCATGATCCAATAACCTCCCACAGGGTCCCTTTCACAACATGTGGGAATTCAAGATGAGATTTGGGTGGAGACACAGCCAAACTATATCACAATATATTTTTAATTTATTTTAATAGTCTTTTAATACTTAAAATTATCTATGAAAATTAAAAGGCAGATACAAATTATAATTAATGAATATAACTTTTAAATAATGGTGACATTTTAATTTAATTTCCTGGAAATTTAATTAGGTCATATTTAACGTTTTTATAAAAATAAAACACACTTTTTTTTCGAGATGGAGTCTCACTCTGTCACCCAGGTTGGAATGCAGTGGCATGATCTCCACTCACTGCAACCTCCACCTCCCGGGTTCAAGCAATTCTCCTGCTTCAGCCTCCCCAGTTGCTGGGATTACAGGCACCTGACACCATGCCTGGTTAATTTTTGTATTTTTTTTTTTAGTAAAGACAGGGTTTCACCATGATGGCCAGGCTGGTTTCCACTCCTGATCTCAAGCAATCCGCCTGCCTTGGCCTCCCAAAGTCCTGGGATTACAGGTGCATCCTTTAATTTTAAGTTGCAATACAGCATTGCAATTCTAGCATCCAAAATCTAACTGGTTGGTTGCCTTCTGAAGTAAAGAATGGATGCTATGCCTCACACATGTTATATGGAGATGTACATAGATACAAATTAAGAGTAACATCAGTTGTTTGGTGTTGCAAATATTCGTCAGCCCTTGGATGCATTTGTTGCAAATATCACACAGGTTCCTGAATAACTCCAGCACCAAGAATTTGAAGTTGGAGAAAAGTAGGAAATGGGATACTTAGCACTTCTGGAAAATATTTAGTAAGAATCTATAGCATTTATATTACCTGAGATGAAAGTTTTCAAAAGTTTATTGGTAGTTTTCTTTTCCCTACCTGTGTTTCTAGCACTGAAATCCTCCCTGAACTTGGATCAGTGTCATCTGATAACTGTAGCAACACAGCCCACAAACATACTTCACATGGGAACACAGATACCTTTCATTTCTAGGACATACCACTCGGGACAAGTGGAGAAGCATTTACTGGAGTCTGAATGGTGTTACAGAGCAAAAGTTTAGGGTTGCAGGTCACTCCACACCATTGCGAAGTGCCACACACCTGAATGGCATTTTCTGCATGCTCATCACAAGTGGGCCTTCTAGAGCCCTCCTGCCCTAGCCCCTGGCCTCACCTCCTTGACAAGAAAGGCACTTTCTTATCTTTCCCAAGAGAGCCCCTTCCTAGGCTTCATCCCTCCATGCCCTAACACAGCATTTTTCAAGACACCTCCCCTGGGAGTCAGAGGCTCTGAGGATCCACTTGAAAACCCTACCTACCCATCCCTATCTGCAGCCTGAGCCTCTCTGCCCTATTTACTTTACCTCAAGAATATTCACCCTTCCATATCAATTAAGAGGTTGTCACTGCACCAAGGTTCTGCTCTGGCATTTTGGCCAAATGGAGCCAGACCAAGCAACACATGCAGACTGACAGCCAGGTAGGCTAAAGATTTCATGACTCTTCATCCAATGTTGTGTTGTTGTTTTAATATTCAGAATCAGTGTAGCACAAAGCTTAAAAAATGGAACCCTGTTGCTCCACTGCCTGGGTTGGAATTCCGACCCGGACCCAAGCTGTGTGACCTGAAGTCAGGTTCCGTATCCTTTCTCAACCTTAACTTTCTCCTCTGTAAAGTGGGAATACCACACAGCGTTGTTGTGAGTCATATAAGCAATGACATACATAAACTACCTGGGCTCTGCCAGGCGTGGTAGCTCACACCTGTAATCCCAGCACTTTGGGAGGCCGAGGCGGGCAAATAACGAGGTCAAGAGATGGAGACCATCCTGGCCAACATGGTGAAACCCCATCTCCACTAAAAATGGAAAAATTAGCTGGGCATGGTGGTGTGTGCCTATAATCCCAGCTACTCAGTAGGCTGAGGCCAGAGAATCCCTTGAACCTGGGAGGCGGAGGTTGCAGTGAACGGAGATCATGGCGTTGCACTCCAGCCCAGGTGACAGAGTAAGCAAGAATCCGTCTCAAAAAAAAAAAAAAAAAAAAAACTACTACCTGGGATCTACTAACACTCCATAGCTACTCTTTTTTTTCTTTTGTGAGACAGGTCTCATTCTGTCACCCAGGCTGGAGTGCAGTGGCACCATTCTCAGCTCACTGCAGCCTTGACTTCCCAGACTCAAGCAATCCTCCCACTTCAGCCTCCTAAGTAGCTGGAACTACAGGCGCACCCCACCATGCCCGGCTAATTTTATTTTTTGTAGATACAAGCTCTCATTATGTTTCCCAGGCTGATCTTGAATTCCTGGACTCAAGAAATCCTCCCATTTCTGGGCCTCCCAAAGGGCTGGGATTACAGGTGTAAGCCACCATGTCCAGCCTCCTTTCATTATTTGTTTGACATTTGGTTACATATTTAGAAACAATCTTATTTTACAATAAAATGTTATACTTCTTTCTTTAGGCTTAGAACATGATATTTATCATAGGTAATTTTCCAAACCAATTTACTGGGGAAAGTGGGGAGCATAATAAAAGGTCTTAATTTTGCATAATAAAGTATATCATTTGTAACTAGCATATATATTGGGCCAACTTGTCACAGAATTGCAGCAACTGCAAAAGCCAGCATCAAGCAAATAGCAGCAGCTGGACTCAGAGTTACCAGAGTGGCCTATAAACGTGTCATGCAAAAAAAAAAAAAAAAAGTCATATTTGCATGTATAAGTCAACTGGCAGTATATTCCTGATGTGGTCCACCAATGTCTGGATGCCCCCTATAGACTGGCACTCCAGCTGATTGAGACTGCCAGCCACTCACCTTGCCTGGTACCTGGTTTTTCTCATGGCCGCTGCCCTGGGCAGCAGCTGCCCACAACCCAGGGGCTGGCATTGACCACACCAGTATCGTCTAACAGCCTACAGCACCTACATGTCTTTTTCTTCAGAGCTGTGTGCCTCCTGAGTCCTGTCACTAAATCCCAGTTTCTAGCGCCTCCGGTCTAGGTTTGCTTTGGCTGGTTGTTGTTTTTTCCAGACCTACTCTGAAGCCACTGAGAACATATGCTTACAGGTCTACAATATCAAAATACCTCAAGTGTACAGTAACACTCAAACTTGCCTTCAAGAAAAGGGAGCCTTGTTCTCTCAGCAAGCCCTGGGCCCCAGTGCTGGGATTTGTCTCCACAGGACGTCAAATAGGTCAGTCTCATCCATTTAGTGCAACAAAAACCAGTCAAACCAGTTGTTTGGCATCATGTCGACCAAGCACAAATAAACTAGAAAACAGATGGTGACCAAAAGAAAGAGAAGCTACACATTTGCGTAAACTGTGGGTCCTATTATCTCTGAGAGACATGGGGCACATTAAAATTTAGGCTATGTCTAACCAGTTTCCCCAATCAAGATTACAGTGGTTTCAACCTTGTATGGGGGTGATGAGGGCTAAGCTCTGTATTCTACGCGCAGCGTAGGAGTTCACTCAGCCCCAGCCACACAGCTAGTGCCTTCCCTCTGCAAACATTCCACAAATGACCATAAACATCCCACAAATGACCATTTCCATGTGAGCTTTTTAACATTTGGCCTCTCAAGCCTTAAGAAATTCTCCACTCTTCAATTTCTAAAAGTAAATCACATTTGGGCATTTTACAGAAGGTCAAGAAGTTTTGCCACCTACATCAAAGACATACATCTTTCCTTCCCTCCTCTTACTTTTGAAATGATAGCCAAATTGAGAGGAGCCCTTCAAAGTCTTCACAATAAGTCTTGCACAATAAGAAAAGGTTCTCTGTGTGATCACTTAGCAAACAATTATCCATTTCCTTCTCTTTGTCCCAGATTTAGAGCCTAAAAATTCATCTTTTGTTTGATATTTATTTTGAGATGAAAGAATACTAGATAAAGATGTATTCTCTGATTTGCTAACATGCAGACAAAGTTTTCCCCATATTCGTCCAGTTACTGAAAGGGAACCCTAATCCACATGCTATTATTTTCCATCAGTGGACTTTGTCCTTCATCTATCTCCTTCTTCCCTTCTTCCTCCCACTTAGTCTAGACATGCCTCTTTTAAATGATCGACATGGTTGACAAATTTCCATGTTATTTCTTTGAAAAAGAATTGTTTCTCTTTGTTATATACGTAGAAGAAGATTAAAGTGTACAACTTATCAATGTTTCCTACTGTATTATTTCGTTTTCATGCTGCGGATAAAGACATACGCAAAACTGGGAACAAAAAGAGGTTTAATTGGACTTATAGTTCCACATGGCTGGGGAGGCCTCAGAATCATGGCAAGAGGCAAAAGGCACTTCTTACATGGCAGTCGCAAGAGAAAATGAGGAAAATGCAAAAGCAGAAACCCTTGATAAACCCATCAGATCTGGTGAGACTTATTCACTATAAGGAGAATAGCAGGGGAAAGACCAGCTGCCATGATTCAATTACCTTCCCCTGGCTCCCTCCCACCACACGTGGAAATTCTGGGAGATACAATTCAAGTTGAGATTTGGGTGCGGACACAGCCAAATCATATCACCTACTGAATTGCTATTATTGCATGCAGTTTTTTTTTAGTAGTTATCACATTCCAAGAGGAAACACTGTCACTATTCATAAATTTACCACACACTCAATTTATTTCTCCCATATTTATTCTACTAAATCTTGAATAAGTGACATTAACTTTTTGCCTAATTTTTCTCCCTTGAAAACAAATTGTGTCTAGCTTGAGTTTTGTCTTCCAAATCTCCACATTCTAAATCCTCATCCATCTGCCTATAATGAATAGTACTTATGCTCCCCCCACTTTTTGAGTGTCTCTTTCAAAAAATCTTACCAGAGATACAAAACATTAACACAATGTTTAAACCTGCTGATGTGGAACAAGCATGAACTTTCTGTTCAAACGCACTGCACAGAACGAGCCTCAGTCTTCTCACATTTAAAGCAGTCAGATTCATTAGACTTGAGAGACAGTCTCTGAGTTCCTCTGCTACTCAAATTTTTATTTATCCTTAGTCATTCTCACAGGACAAAGGCTGCAGGAACCTTCTGGTAGAAAGAAACAAAGACAGGAGAAATCAACAGAGACAGAAATGGAACAGTAGCAAAAAGGAAGCTGTCCCAGATCCAGGCAAGAAAGATGTCTCAGCCAGGGCAAGCCCCATCTGGGGAAAGGAGCTCTTGTCCTGTTGGTTCCTCCCAGCCACAAATACCAGCACACGTGTACACTCCACATAGACAAACCCCACTCTGCAGATACACACACACCGCACACATACACAGCATCAACATCCACACAAAGAGCTGGCTATGGCTCCTTCTCTCGAGTTGAGCCTGTATTTGACAACTGTTGAGGAGGCGGAAGCTGGGGGTGGCCAATGAATAAGAAAACAAAAAATGAGCTTTGTGTGAGAGTTCACTGGGATCTTACAAAATGTCTTTTTAATCCTGGAACTATTTTCTGTTGTGTGGGAGGAGAGGAGCAAGGGTGATGCCTGGAGATGGAGGTCTTGAGGAGGACGTGTGCAAGTTCCTAGGGAGGGCAGAAATCAAAAATGAAAGTCAAGGTCGGGTGGATGACACAGGGTAGAGAGCCAGTGAGTCTTCACAGCACCCTGGAGTCAGAAGGATCTGCTGGTTCTGCTCAAGGCTGGGATGCACTTTACCTAGATCCTGGAAAGCAACATAAATCACTGCCTTGACTGGCCACAGCTGACCATGGGGATGGGGGTGATGAGGGCTAAGCTCTGTATTCTATGCACAGCATAGGAGTTCACTCAGCCCCAGCCGCGCAGCTAGTGCCTTCCCTCTGCAAACATTCCACAAATGACCATAAACATCCCACATATGACCATTTCCATTTGAGTTTTTTAACACTTGGGCTCTCAAGGCTTAAGAAATTCTCCACTCTTCAATTTATAAAAGTAAATCACATTTGGGCATTTTACAGAAGGTCAAGAAGTTTTGACACCTACATCAGAGACATACATCTTTCCTTCCCTCCTCTTACTTTTGAAATGATAGCCAAACCCCAGCGGTTTCATTGCCTGGGAGAATGCTGTGCCACACACAACATCTGTAAGTAGTTAATTTTCCAAATGGGAGATGGTCACCACAGATGCAGAACTTTTAAAAATAAACATCAGAAAAATATTACTCCAGCAAAAATGAAAGCCTAGAATCCACGTGAGTGGGTGGGAGGTAGCTGGCGCAAGGTAGATCAAAGCTGCATCCTAGTCTGCCTGGCCATGCAAAAGCAAGAAAAATAGAACCACAGAACTTCAGAGCAAAAAAAAAGAAGGACCTTTGGGGGGTATCCTAGCTCCCATATAATAGGGAAATTAAGGCCTGGGCCAGGAAGTGAGTGCCTATCTGTGTTGGACTGGAGCTCAGGCTGAGAGCTTTCTGCTCTAGAATAAGCCTCATTTTTATTAGGGTATCTTAGCTTTTTCCCTTTTAAGAAAAATAAAAATCCTCTGACTTAACCACGGCCTTTAGCCCCTACATGGGGCCCTTTTGAGGTGGGCGGGGGACTCTGGTCCTGGCCTCCTGAGATGGGTGTATCCCCTACCTACACCCCTCATCATGCATGCCCTGCATCTGGATGGCAAGCCATGAGAACCCAGGACACTGCAGAGGCCAAGGCTAGAGCAAGACTGACAAAGGCCTAAGAGAGGGAACTCCACTTGGGCAGCTACTTCTTATCTATTTTATGGAATGAGGTGGCCAAGCTTGAGAATCTTGTGCCCTGAGACTAAAGAAAGCCTGATCACTGTGACCAGCATGAGTTATAGAGAGGTTGGGGCAGGGCAAGCTGGACATCCAACTGCACCCACATCCTCCCACAACCATTCCTCTCCTGCCTCAACATGAGACTGGTGCCTCTGGACAGGAGCAAAGTGAGGCACAAAGTATGTCCCCTACACACAGACAGGCACAGAATAGGCATTCAGTAAACCATAGTTCAGCCAGGCAGGATGGCTCATGCCTGGAATCCCAGCACTTTGGGAGGCCAAGGCAGGCGGACCACCTAAGGTCAGGAGTTCAAGACCAGCCAGGCCAACATGGCGAAACCCCATCTCTACTAAAAATACAAAAATTAGCCGGGTATAGTGGTGGGCACCTGTAATCCCAGCTACTCAGGAGGCTGGGGCAGGGAGAACTGCTTGAACTCGGAAGGTGGGGGTTGCAGTGATCCGAGATCACACCACTGCACTCCAGCCTGGATGACAGAGTGAGACTCCATCTCAAAATAATAATAAAATAATAAACTGTAGTTGTTTCGGCTTGGAGTGAAATGGAAGAAATATGAGGGACAGATAGCACATTTAAAGGGATCTATTGTTCCAGCCCAGATGAGCCCCTGGACATTCCTGTGTGTTATGCTTTACCAGGTGCCTTATCACTGCTTTATCCATCTCTTCCCTACAGGTGGTTTTCTGCAGGGAGGCTCCAAAAGACAGAAGCTGAGTTCTGCCAGAAGAAAAAGGGAATGGAATATGTAAAAGAAAAGGATAAAAGAAAACTGGGGACAGACAGGCAAGGCTAGTAGGGAAGGGGGAGTGGGGTCTCTGGGGAGAAGAGAATCCTCAACCTGGGAAGAAGGGGAGGCTTGAAAGCAGAGGGGAAAGCTATGGAGGTCTGGAGGGCAGAGGAAATCCCAGATGTGGTGGCCAGCAGGGGTCGCTGATGCCCCACCAACAGCCTTAGGGCTGGGGAAGACTCAAAGGGAGGAAGATTTTCAAAAGCTCAAGTGGGCTTCACTCCCTCCCCTACCCTCCACCGTCCCCTCTGCCCCAGACTCTTCCTTATGGCATTGAGGTCTCTCTTCTAGGGTTCTGGAGGTTCCTTTCCCTGTGATCCTTTTCCTGAAAGTGAGCAAGATAGCCTGGCCAGGCAGCCCTGGGGGTGATGGAGGCAGCAGGTGGGGAGAGGCCTCCTGGATTTGCCCTCCAATGCTGCTCCCATGGGCACCCATGGAAATGGGGGTAGGAGGGCACCTCTGACCACAGGCTGCTGATGGGGTTGGCGCAGGCAGAGGAAGGGAGGGAACTGCTCTTCCTGGCTATCCTTGTCAAATAGCAAATTCAGAGCAGAGCCACAGCGAAGCCTGGAGGTAGAGGAATGCCCCCCGGCCAGCAGTGGTTCAGGGCCGTGCTTAGGAGCACCAAACCTGAGCCTGGGCGCTGCATGCTCCGAGGGCCAATCCCAGCACACACTGTTCCCCCACTGTCTGAGGCCCAGCACCTGTTGTCTAGAATCAGCGTCTACTTGCCTCTAGGCAGACACCCTGACCAATTCTCTACCCTCCTTGGCTTCTCCATTTTCAGTTCTGCTCCTCAGACACCAAAAGCTCCTATCACTACAACCTTCCTCATATTACCTTTTCCAAGATTCTGGCTTAGCCAGTATTAGTTACAGTTCAGGTCAATCAATGTCCTTCAAGAAGAGTTTAGGAAGACCTGTGTGTCCCAAGTCCTAATCACATCTCAGAATGGTTCTGCCACAAACTCTGAGATTCTTTCAAAAAGCATGTATTGATCTGCTCTTGCTTTCCTAGGGCCATA
The DNA here is from genome assembly GCF_000001405.40 of Homo sapiens. NCBI lineage: Eukaryota > Metazoa > Chordata > Mammalia > Primates > Hominidae > Homo > Homo sapiens. Next base: position 41,870,792 of record NC_000002.12, read on the forward strand.
AAAGAGGCAGGCTTATGGAACCAAGTATGTTGCGCCTCTGAGCTAATGGTTCCATCTTTGGAGGCCACTCCTCAGGGTAGTTCTTAACTGACAGATGACCCCCGACATTAGAAGAGATGCCAGCAGAGTCCAGACCTGGGGTAGGACCCTGAGCTGTTTATCCCCAACAGTCAGAAGGAAGGCTGCACTGTCCCAGGGGCACCCAGCCTCCAAATGAGCCTCAAGGAAGGGTCTGGAAGGCCAGACAATACTATGGTCAGATTATGGACTTGGGAATTGCTGCAGATGCCATTGGGGGTAAGGAAGATTAGGAAATTCTGGAACTCAGGAGCTGCCCAGGCAGCCAGACTGCCTCTGACACACCCAGTCCTCATTTGGATTTGAGGAAAGGAGACTTGAGCGCAGGAGAAAGGCACCCAGGAGCCTGTGAGTCGTGCCTAAGCCTCTGGATCCCACATCTGAGGAAACAACTTAATGTAAGCTTTGAGTGGTGCTACCACCGTCGCCTCTGAGGTTTAACCGAGGCGCGATTGTTGCTGATTGAAAACATGAGACCTAATTCCAGCCCCCTCCTCCCTCCAGTGGCAGGCGGAGGCTCCACATCCATTTCCTGCCTTGGTCAGAACTGGCTCCGGAATGGGACAGGGCTGCCTGTGGCTCCAGCTGGGGGAGGCTGAGGTGAATAAAGACAGTGATGGAGAGGGATCCAAGGGAAACCAAGGATGGATGTGAAGAGCTGATGCCACCTGCCACCCATCCAGGTGGAGTCCTCCCAGACTCCAGGCTCATGCCAAGGGAGGGTGTAGGTGGTTGCTAGTGTAAGCTAATCCTGTGTCTGTGATGCCGAAAAAACTATATAAATGCCCATCACCTCTCTGGGGACAGCCCTGCTCCCCAGCCATTCCCTATAAGAAGCTGCCCTTATACAACCACTTTCCCCCAGTCTTGGAGATGGTCAGCTCTGCAGAGCTCACAGAGAAATCAAAGATATATAGGGTGTTATTAGACGGATCCTAGCAAAGGGCAGGTTTAACCAATGCCCTCACATTTTATAACTGAAATTCAGAGCGGTTAAGCAACCTCACAGAACAAGATCTAGTCTGCAACTCTTTGCTTCTTATTTTTTGGGAAAGGGTCTCACTCTGTCATTCAGGCCAGAGTGCAGTAATGCAATGATAGCTCACTGTAACCTCTAACTCCTGTGCTCAAGTGATCCTCCCACCTCAGCCTCCCAAGTAGCTGGGACTACAGGTACATGTCTAGCTAATTTTTTTTTTTTTTAAGAGACATAGTCTCACTATGTTGCCCGGGCTGGTATTGAACTCCTGGCCTGGTCCCCAAGGGATCTTCTCGCCTTGGCCTCCCAAACTACTGGGAATATACACTTGAGCCACCGCACCCAGCCTAGTTTGCAACTCTTGACTCCTGATTCCTGAGTGCTCCTTCTCTGACACCAGAATTTTCCAGAAGGTCTCCGAAAGAGGTCAAGAAATAAGCAGCTCTGATCAAACTATTAAAAAATCAGCTTCAGGCCAGGCACAGTGGCTCATGCCTTTAATCCCAGCACTTTGGAAGGCCGAGGCAGGCAGATCTCTTCAGCTCAGGAGTTCAAGACCAGCCTGGCCAATGTGGTGAAACTCTGTCTCTATTAGAAATACAAAAACTAGCTGGGTATGGTGGCACATGCCTGTAATCCCAGCATGCGCCACCACACCCGGAGTTCTGAGAATTGCTTGAACCCAGGAGGCGGAGGTTGTAGTGAGCTGAGATCATGCCCCTGCACTCCAGCCTGGGCAACACAGCAAGACTCTGTATTTTTTGTTTTAATAAGCTTCAAAATTGTAATAAGTGAGTAGTCAATGTGGCTGTTTGCAGATAAACACACCAACATGTCATTTCATTTAGCATGATCCTGAGGGCCATGCCTCATGGAAAGCCATCCTCACACTTTTCTGTTTCCCCCTCAGTCTACTCCCCTGAGAAATGAAACCACATCCTGGCCTCAGAGGAATGCCTTGAGGTTGCCATGGTAAGACATATGTGCGGTAGTGTCTCACCAATCCTGAAATCACCTCTCCAGCTGACAGTCAAGGACAGGGAAGTGGAAAAGACCCCCAGACAGCCACTGTAGACCTCACAATGTCCGGGTTCCAAAGTTCATGCCAAGCAGTCACAGAAAGGCCTTTCAGACTCATTTGGATTCTTTTCATTCTTGCTTCACAAACAGCTCTAACAGACTTACCCTTCCGAATTTTTGTTGTTGTTATTATTACTTCTTTTGTTTAGTCCCTGGAATATTGGAAGCAGGCAACAAATTAGAAGAAAGATACTGAACTGCTAGTGAGAGGCATACTGGGAATCAAAAAAGTGAGGTTAGCTGAAAGACACAAGATAGCAACAAAAGCACAAATAGGAATCCCAAAAGCATAGAAAGCTGGAGTCATTTTAGTATAGAGATAAATAGCCATGTACATTTCAGTAGACCTGAAGGTATCACAGTGTTCCTGAGTCATCAAAAATAATTTCTATAAAAGGAGTCTTTCCATCCATCTTTCATCCCAAGAATAATAGCACAGCCTCATCCAGTTCATAGGATTTTCACTCCTATAAGTCAAGTAAGTTGTTCTCAATATCAAGAATGAGATTCTCCCTAGGGAATCTAGCCTGTGTTGACTCTTTCTCTTCACATGCACTGCACACATTCAGAGGCAACAGACAGAAGCTCTCTGCATTCCCACCCCCGTTAGCAGAGAAGAATATGACCGTAAATTAGCATAAAGATTCTTCAGAGACAAGGCACAGAAACAATGTATGCAGAATATTGGGGGAATGTCCAAAACACTTGAGCACGAACTGTTTCCAAGCTCCCATAAGCAGTTGAGCTGCTTCTATGTATCTACAAATAACCAACATGCTCCAGATAATCTTTCTTATTTATTAAAGGACACCCAAAGAGCCCCTCTGGGCCACTGTTGACTGATTACATCAATGGGTGGATGGATGGTAAATAAATAAACCTGGTGACATAGCTGGAGTTATTTGAAAACAACAAATCACTTTCCTTAAATACAGCCCTATGCAGACTTTCACTGATTTACACATTCCCCCCAAGGAATCTGCATCAGTGAGACCTGTGTTCATATTTATGTTTCACGTCATTTTAGCTGCTTATATTTTAAGATGACATCCAATATTTAGATGAAAAGTCAAGAACCCATCATGTTGAAGCATTTGAGTATCCAGATGGTTGGCATCAGTAGATATAAGCATTGTGTATCCATTCGTTGAACAAATATTTATTAAGTGTCTGCTCCATGCCCGGCTCTCTGCTAGGCCCTAAAGATCCCAAACTGAGTAAGATTGATGACTCAGTCAACTTCACAAAACCAAATCATCTTGAAGCAGAAGGAAGAAAGCAACTGTAACCTGTGCCATGGCTGCCACTGTTTTAGACACTTTTATATAATATCTCTTTTTGTTTCATGACAAATCTCCAAAAGTCAACCCTTAAACTGATGAAGAAACAAACTCAGAGAGGTCAGATAACTTGTTGAAGCCACACATCTAGCGAGGGTCACAGCAAGAACTGGAGCCCATTTCTCCACACAGCCCGATAGAGGGGCCTGTGGTGGAAGGCAGAAAGCAGACTACACTGACTCTGCCCCCCGCTGCTTGCATCTTTTCAAAAAAAAAAAAAAAAATGACAAGCTCTTCTGAGCCTCAGTTTCTCCATCTAGCCACTGGGATCACATGCCTCTGTCAGAGGCTAGTTGTGGAAATCAAAAGAAATCATATATGTGGGGGCTTCTGACTTTGGATCCAACATGCATTAGGTGCTCAGCAGATGTTTATTACATGGATGGATAGGATCGTCGAACCTTCCTCCACTCTCACCTCCCACCCGCAGTGGTCCTCTACACCAGCATCTGCTGACAGCAGCATCACCACACACTTCCAGAAGTAGGCAGCTCACGACTTCCTGAAGCACCCTGTTTTAGAACTGAAAGGCCTCACTCACCTGGCATCATTGCATTTCTGTGTGCCCAGACTGTACTAAGTGTGGAGAAGACAGAAGACATAGGCCACCCCTGGAAGGTGACAGTGTAGCTCTGGAGACAGTCTGTCCATTCTTGAAATATTAAAAAGCATTAAGAGGGCCAAGCATGGTGGCTCACACCTGTAATTCCAGCACTTTGGGAGGCCGAGGCGGGCGAATCACCTGAGGTCAGGAGTTCGAGAGCAGCCTGACCAACATGGTGAAACCCTGTCTCTACTAAAAATACAAAAATTAGCTGGGTATGGTGGTAGGTGCCTGAAGTCCCAGCTACTCAGAAGGGTGAGGCAGGAGAATCACTTGAACCTGGAAGGTGGAGGGTGCGGTGAGCTGAGATCTTGCCACTGCACTCCAGCCTGGGCAACGCAGCGAGACTCTGTCTCAAAAAAAAAAAAAAAAAAAAAAGGCAAGCATCAGAGAACTTTCCAAGATGCATCATCTTCAAGAACAAGAATGGGAGGCAGTGGAGGTGTGGCATCTCCTCCTTAGGATGCAGAAGCTGAGCCAGCCCCCAGGCCAAACAAGGGTGGCCAGGCCTCTCCCTGGATCCTGGTACTCACAGAACTCTTTGGTTTCTTCATCTCACTCCTCCCTCCTGCTCAGTCACATTTTGAGTTATTGTCCCATGTAATTTCTAAGCCAGCCAGGTATCCCGGCCTTGTGAGACACCAATCTTGCTCTAATGTTTTGAATGTGAACCATCATGAAAAAGTAAGAATGATTAAAAAGGAGATTTTGTAACTATTTATCAATGTCAGAGGGAGCAAAGTCTTTCACATTCTATCACTCTAGCTGGATATCCCTAAAGGGTAGGTGTTTAAGCTCTTGAATCTGGCTTTTCTTTTTTTTTTTTTTTTCTTTTGAGACAAGATCTTGCTGTCACCCAAGCTGGAGGGGGTCAAGGACATGATCACGGCTTACTGCAGCCCCAAAATCCTGGGCTCAAGTTATCCTCCCACCTCAGTCTCCCAAGTAGATGGGATTACAGATATGCACCACCATGCCTGCTTTTTTTTTTTTAAATATATAAAAACAGAGTCTCATTATGTTGCCCAGGCTGGTCTCGAACTCCTGGCCTCAAGTAATCCTCCTGCCTTGGCCTCCCAAAGTGCTGGGATTACAGGCATGAGCCACCATGCCCGGCCTGAACCTGGCCTTTTAGATTACCTTCCAGCTCTTTTGCTTCTAACTGGTAAACCTAGGCAAGTTATTTAACCCCATTAAGCCTTGATTTTTCTCATCGGTAAAATACTTCCTCCCTTAAAGGACTGTAATAAAGAAAAGAGGTCAGCGATCTGTGGTTATGGGGCCAAATCTGGCTCACCGACCGTTTTTGTGAAGGCCTATGAACTAAGAATGGTTTTTACATTATAAATGGTTGAAAAAAATCAAGAAAATATTTTGTGACACCTGAAAAGGATATGACATTCAAATGTCAGGGTCATAAAGTTTAATTGGAATATAGCCACACACATTTGTTTACATCTTACCTGTGACTGCTTTTCTGCTACTACAGCAAAGTTGAATTGCTAAAACCAAGATGTTATAGCCCACAAAGCCTAAAATATTTACTGTCTGGCTCTTTACAGAAAATGTTTGCCAACCTCTGGTAAAGAGAAAATGAAGGAATGCCTAGATGTGCCTATAATAGGGCAAAAACCTTTAAAATGTCAGCTCCGATTTTCTTTTATTCATGTCTAGCTCCTGTCCAGCCATGGTATTTATGCCACTCTGTATTTGCATTAGGATAATTTTTCAGATCATTGCAAAATATGCATTCTCCTACAGAACATATAGGGATATCTATTTCTTAAATGGCATTGCTAACACACAATGCACTGACCTGACCTCACAGAAAGAAAATGGAACAACAGAGGTCCCATCCTTCCAAATGTCATCCACTGGTCTTATCCTTATGGAAATAGACAGTACACGGATCTGGAATGGAAGCAAATAATAACCGGGTCTCCAGATTCCATCGTATCACAGAACATAGAACCAAGAAAGTACCTTAGAAGTCATCTGATCCAGTCACCCCTGTTTTACCAATGAGGAATCTAGACCCAGAAGAAGTTAAAGGACTTACCCAAGAGTACCCAACAACTCTCTCACCACCCCAGGCTCCCATCTTTGTGTCTCTCCTGTGTGAGCTGTTCCCTGAAGTTCTTCCTGAACTTGCACATTGCCTTTCCCTTTGATTTTAAATCCTTGGCTCAAATGACATGCCCGGACTATATCGTGTGATATGAGCTTGAAAAGTAATTTACGTACAAGTCTTGAAAGCAAATCAAGTTTTAAAACAAAGTAGCATCTACTCTGCCCCAGCCTTGACATCTTATTACATAGCAAATGCTGGCTTTTTAATTTCCCTAATCAAGACTGGTCCTATTTAGCCCACCTCCTCAAGGGGTCCCAGCACTAGCCCCACTCCGACGCCTGATGAAGTTCCAGAACAGGTGAGAAAAATGAGAGGGCCCTGCCCAGGGCTCTGGGAGTCGGCCCTCACTGCCTGCCCTTCAGACAGCAAGACAGAAAAGGCATTCATTTTCTTCCTCCACGTCATGATACCAACCGAAATTACCTTTAAATGAGGAAGAAGGTCATTATTTAATCAATAGGATTGCGTCAATTGAGGAAAATTTGTCTCCAGTGTAAACAAGCGGAACGTCTTTGCGCTCTATAAAAACAAGGTTAAATTACTTGCAGATCCGGGCAACGTGGAGAGATGTAGGAAGTGAACCTGAAGCCTGACACACTCAAGGTCTCGGAACCGAAAATAATAGGAATTGTTCTTATTTTTCCAGTGGAATCAAGCACAGAGATGGGCACGCCTCTTTACAGAACCAAAGATTCAGAACTGTGCCTTACCCTTTGCTTATGAGGCGGAGGAGGAGGAAGAGAAAGAACCACCGCAAAGAGAGATGGCAACAAAGGTAAAATGAAGGCCGGGCAGCCGATCCCACTCAGGCTGACCACAGTGAGGGAGCAGCATTAAAATGAGAAAGGATCAGGTCTCGAAGCCCAGCCCTTCCCGCTGAATCTCGTCCTTTGCTTCATCCATTCCATTAAATAAGTCATATTGAAAATAAATTATTATTAATACAACAGTAGCTAACATTATGGGGTCTCACTCCATGCCAAGCATGCCAAACCCAGGTCATGCACGGTGCTACTCGATGTTCACAGCAGCTCTAGAGGTGGGTGCCAGTCATGCCCACTTAGCAGATGCAGAGGAGGGCAGTCGCAGCTGGAGAACGGCGGGCAGTTCTGCCTGTTTCTGAGGCCCCACTGCTTGAACTGCCAGCCTCAGAGCCATCTGCTCACTGGGTGCTCAGCCCCGTGCTGCACGCTGTGGACTCACAGGGGGAAGTACAAGCTAGGCCTGCCCCTAGGGCATCCCCATATCCCTGGCAAGAAGGGGATTTGGGGCATTTACTCCTGTTTAGGGAGAGGCTCAGCTCGTCTGGGAATCCCTGGATGAGCAGACTCTGTGCCTGCTCCTCTCCCGTACCCCTTCCCCATCCATGTCAAGGGCTTTGGCCACAGCACATAATGGGTCCAGCGAGTCACAGTCTCTCCCGGAGGCGGCCCCAAAGACCCCTTACCCACACCTCCTCGATCGCTGCTAGGGTATGAGCTGGAGGCTGTCGGTGGTGAATGGGATCTCTGTCACTCCACAGGCATCTGATGAGGTCTAAATTCCCTGCTCCCTGACAGAACTTCTTGGTGGGGTTATGGCTTCCAGGTTCTCCTCACCTACTCAGGAGACTGGGCTAACACTGAGTGAGGTTCGCTGACACCCTCTGTTCATTAACAACAGGACCAAAACCAAATAAATTTTAGCTCTGGGCTTTTGGACAGCCAGATTCCAACACTTTGGTGGTGGATCCTGACTAATGTTCCTTCCCCATCCCTCCTCCTCCCATCCCCCAACCCACCCCGCCCAGCTCCAATTCTGAAGTGTCTGAATGCGGAGTTCATAAGCTACCTTCCTTCCATGACCATGTTGCCCACACGGCCTCTGCTGAGGATCCGGGCAACACAGTCACCACGGGAGGAGGCCCTCAGTTACCCTAGCAGCGATCTGAGGAGTGTGGGCCAAGGGCTTTGGGGCCTCCTCCGGGAAAACTGTGGCAGCCCAGCCAAGACAGCAAGAGTGTGGCCTGGCCAAAAAAAAAAAAGGAAGCTTTAAAAAAAATTTTTTTAAGTGAAATGAAACATATTTGACCTGGGAAGAAATAAAAGACCTTTCAAGTTGTCAAAGTGACAAATTAGACAAAGAGGCCGAGCAAATGTGAGCTCCTGGGGAGTCCGTCAGAAGGAGCCCAGATGGAATGGACGAGGCTGGGGGTGACCAGAGGGATGCAGACAGAGGATTTATCCAGGTCGGGGTGGGAGACCAGTCAGAAGGCTGCACAAAGCTACACACAGTCTACCCTTTGTACTAGTATTTATCTAACTTGTCAATTTTATAGCCACGTTACCTTCCGAGTGTTCAGGAAGGCAGATATTGGTGCTGTCAAGAGGCCTGGCTGTGGTTTGCACAGCATAATGACAGATGCAAAAAACAAAGGGGAGGGGAGAGGGGCCTTCAGAAACCACAAAAGAGCCTTTGTAATTATGCCTCTGCCTCCCTCGGGAGCGTGCCTTTCCCTCGCTGCAGAGGTGCTCGCTCCAGGGGTGCTCTCTCCCCCTATATGCAGCTGTGCCGGGCAGCTGCACCGGGCAGCTGCCTAGCACACGTCTACCAGTCACCCTGCATGGACTTGAAGGGAGCTGTTACATGACTACCTCTCTTCCCCAGGCTAAATAGCTGCAGTCCTTTAACCTCTCTTCATGGGCCTGATTTTCCATCCCTTTAATCATCCCTGTCACTTTCTGCTGCAGCCTGTACTCACCACAGCCCTCCCCGAGAGTGGAGACACAGCCAACAAGGATCATGGGCCCAAGGGCCTCCAAGAGCTGCTCCTTTCAGACCACCCCCACCATGGGCCCACCCTGCAGCCACAGGTCCTGGGAAGCCCATGGTCATGGAGCCCCCACAGCTGAGTTACTGTGGCTCATGACCCAATTGGAGCTCTTCCCTCCCTGCTCTTGGATATTCCCCATGACCAGAAAGTCATTAAAATCCCACAGTCTCCTCTGAGCTGATTCTCACCATTTTTCTCTTCCTCTTCATTCTCAGTGCCTCACTCTTACACACTAGACCCCTGGACTATCATTTGGACCATGGAGCCAGCCCCCCAGCCAGCTTCCCTGCCACCAACTTCCCCTCCAAGACACTTAAAGGCCAGCTTTGGAAATATTTTTTTAAATTGAATGTCATTTTTATCAAGTCCTTCCCCTACTCAAGAGCCTTTAGTAGTTCCCTATTTCTTCTTGTTATAGCAGACATAAATAACTCACCAGATTTTGAGAATACTCTCACCACTCCCCCAACCCCTCTTCTGCCTATGTCCAGATCTACACTCAAAAACAGCCTTCCCTAGTTAATCTCCTCCCCTCTCTGTCCACCCCTTTACCCATCCCCATGGTTTATTGGATACTGTTTTGGGTGTCTTGAGATATTAGGTTAGGGTTCTTTGACAGCAAGCAACAGAAACCAACTCTGACTAGTTTAAGGAACAGAAAGGGATAGATTGGAAACGAATGGCATAGTTTGGAGATTAAAAGCAAGCCTGAACTACAGTCCTGGGAAAGATAGAACTGGGCAGCTCTGAAGATCTTTCTGGAACATTGCCATCAGATGATCAGCTCCAACTGCCTTCTCTCCTTATTTCTCTCTGCTTAAGATTCAGAGTTGCAGGACTGAACATCAACAAGCTCCGTGATCAGGGAGCAGAGTCCTGTGATTGGTTGCCCTACCAAAACCACTCAGGGTGGGGGAAGGTTGCAACATTTAGCAAATAAAAATACAGGATGCCCAGCTAAGTTGAATTCCAGATAAACAATGTTTAATTGCCCATATAAACACATCCCAGGCAGTAGTTCCTGATTTGTCTTCTCATTCTTCCCTTCCCTCAGTCCCACTCTGTTGCTCCCAGGTGGGTCAGCACACCCTCAGACCTGTACCTCTACCCACTCTGACTGTACCTCACTGTTAATGAATCTGTTCAGTCCTTTCAAGGTGGCTGTGAATTTTATTTCTTCCTCTTTAATTTTAATAACCGAGCTTCCATTGACTGGAAACTACACATTAACTGACACAAATAAAAGGGTGCACATGCCCTTTGGCAACCTTTATTGTTTATTTTCTCTTTAGCCTCATTGGAGAAAAAAATCAACTTTCTCCGTCTTCTCTCTTTTGCCAAATATTACAAAACAGACCTAATAACACTTTGCATTTGCATAACTCTTTAGATCTTAATGTACATTTTCACACTCATTTCATTCAGTGTCTTCACTCCTCAGTGAGTGAAGTGGTTAGTGGGCACAGGTAACATAGTCCCCCATTTTACAGATGAGAAATTCAGACGTTGAAAGGTGGGTTACAAAAGCTAGTATGCATCCAAAGTTGTGGATCCAGGACTCGGAACAATGTGTCCTTGCCTCTTTTCTGTAAAGGGCCAGATAGTAAATATTTCAGGCTTTGTATGCCAGATGGTCTCTGTTGCAACTCCTCAACTCTGCCATTGCAACACAAAAGCAGCCATACGTAATACATAAATGAGTAGATGGATGTTCCAATAAACTGCATTTGTAGAAACAGGCCAGTGGGCCATATCTGGCCCACAGGCTATACTTTGCAAACTAACCCCTGCTTTACACCACACAACAAACACTTTCCAATCTTTTTAAGTCTATCATGGTTTGCCTCCAATTGGGATGCCATAATTTTGACCTCAATCAATTTTAGATGACTAATTTTTTCTCTCCTCTTTACTTCTTATGCATCCGGATTGCTGCGACAATGACCAACTTGGCTTCCCACACCCACTTGGTTCTTCCTACACTGTGGCAAAGTTTCCTCTCATACGTGTGAATGTGCTCAGCTAAGCCCATTCTTCCTCCGCTGGGTCCTTCTTTACCCGCATATGAGATCAGTACCGACAGACCTTGTGGGGAGGCAACTTTCTAGGATGGGTCATCTTCTGAGGCCCCCAGGATTAACCAGCATACCCAGAATTAACCATTAAACAGGATTAACCATCATCCTTCTCTCTTTCCTTTACTCTGGGCTCCACACGTTTCCTCTCTTGGGCCTTTTCCATGGCAAGTTTGTCCCAGGGAAACTCATGCCTGGAATGGTAGCTCTACGACCTGGTCTTTCTGTGGCGTTTTCCTGTTGCCCACGGAAGTTGGGGACTGGGTTCAGTTTCTTCTTGAGCCTACAGAGTGAAAAGACTGGCTCAAGGGCCCTCCCTAAGAAGGGCAGGAGCTCCTTGAAGGCAAACTAGTTTAGTTTATACCCGTCACTGTTTATATATCCTGAGCTATAATGAGGGCTGGAGGCTGTAGGTGGACAGCAGCCTCCTGGGTGAAGAGGCCAGCTGCTTAGATGACTGGACTTACAAATCCTCAGCCATGCTGATGGCCACCTGGAACCTGAATTCTACATTTTGGGAGCCAGTGGGCCATGACTGATGCCTCATGAAGGGGATGCCAGGTCTTTAAGTGGGCTTCACATGTGTGTATGTCCGTGTGCACACCAGAGTGTAAAGGCAAGAGACTGTAGAGATCAAGCTGCCCAAATCGTTCATTTACAAATAAACCAAAGCCCAGTGATATCACCTTGGTTTACCATGATGCCAAGAGGTAAAAATCCATATTATCTTTATAAATAGTATCCATAAAGGTGATGATAAACTTGATCAATGAAACAGATATTTGTAACTATAAAGCTTTCTTTGGATTTTTTGTTTTGTTTGTTTTTTGAGAAGGAGTCTTGCTCGGTTGCCCATGCTGGAGTGCAGTGGTGCGATCTCGGCTCACTGCAACCTCCACCTTCTGGGTTCAAGTGATTCTCATGCCTCAGCCTGTGAGTCTCATGCCTCAGCCTCTCAAGTATCTGGGATTACAGGCACACGCCACCACACCCAGCTGGTTTTTTAATTTTTTTTTTAGTAGAGACAGGTTCTCACCATGTTGGCCAGGCTAGTCTCAAACTCCTGACCTCAGGTGATCAACCCACCTCAGCCTCCCAAAGTGCTGGGATTACAGGCATGAGCCACAGCACCCGGACGAATATCAACATAATTTAAATAAGGGGCAGAGAATATGTCCATCCCAGCACAGCCCAAAAGCCATACATGAGATCAACTTTTTCAGAAATAGTTAAGATTTGTTATCAAGATTTCCATGTGTCCAAAGGTGGAATTCTATAGAAACACCAAGAGCCTCCTCCAAATATTTTTGTAAAGCCTCTAAAAGGATCAAGAGAGACAACAAAGAGTAGAGGGCACAAGGAATACTTCAGCTTTGAATGCCCTGGCTCTGCCACTTTAAAGTTGTGTGACCTTGAGCAAATTATTTAATTCGCTAAGCCCCAGTTTTCTCATCTGTAAAATGAGCACAGTGATAGTACTTACCTCACAGAGGTAATGTAATAATTAAATGAGATAACGTATACAGACCACCTAACATAGGGCTGACAATAACTACTTAATATTCACTATTATCGTGGTGGTTGTTGTTGACACCTCAGACTTTTTGCCTTAAGTTCAACTCTAATTTTGAGTTGCCTCCTTTTTCAACTGTGAAAAAGGGATAATCATTTAACAGGAGAGACAGGCAACTAGAAGTTAGTTATGACCTGGACAGAGTGCTCTGGCCCCCTACCCAGAGCCACGGTCTGCCCCAAATAATCTCCAGGCTAAGAGACAAAGTGGCTTTTCGGAGCAGGCTTTCCTCTGCGGGGGTGGCCTCCAGGCAGGACACAGGCCGTCTGGAAGAGGTCATGATCTCAGGTAAGAGGTGCAAGGAATCAGGGGAACAGACCAGGAAATGTGAAAAAGGCTAGTGCACAGTTTTCTTTGTGGACAATCTTTTTGGCATTACGATGTTTTAGTCAAATTGTGCCCTGCTTGGAAGTCCTACAGGTTGAAGGCAAGGGAAGTCAGAATTTCTACAACAAAAAAACAAAGGGCCCAGGATAGCTCCTAGATAAACGTCATCCTTCAAGGACATCTTGGTAGGGCAGACTACCAGCGTTTGCATCAACTCATGCCATTAAAAAAAAAAAAAAAGACAAAAAAAGCAGCCCACCTAGAACTTGATTTTTCCGGGGATAGAAGAAACACACTAGACAAAACAACTCTCTCCTTTTCCCTGGGTTACTTGGCAGCAGCAGAAAACACTTGACAAAAAGTTCCAGAAGGGCTTGATATTGAGTTTGAAAAGTACAATTCCCACAACAATCACTGACTAAAGTAGCAATATTTTAGCCCTTCACAGGAATCTGGTTATTATTACCATTTATGCCAAGTATCTTGTTTCTATTCTCTTTGATTTAAGGTCATTTTCTCTGTAAAAGGCCTGCTTTGTTGAGCCCTACACACTGACGTTGGTTTCAGGAGAAAGAGGACTGGGCAAGTTGGGAAAGTATCGTATCGTGCCGAAACATTAGATGCCCTGGTTGTAAAGAAACCCTTTGTTTTTGCTCTGAACCTGATGCATTTCTCTGGTCTTCATTTCCTAGTTCGGTGCACTAATTTCAGCATTGTCCACCCTGACAATGATAATACCTCTGCTTGAGCGTGGCAGGTTCCAAGGAGAGAATCCAAGAGGTTTTACCTACCTGGACAGGCCGGGGTACAACCTGGCCAAAGGAGATCCAAGTCAATACCCATGTCTAGAAAGTCACCCTGTGACTCAGGGTCCATTGTGTAGACATCTTGTGAGAAAGGATACCAAGAGAGTGAAATATCTTGCTCAGTGATGTACTACCAGGGACAATTTTTCACCTTGGGAGATACTTGACAATACCTGGAGACATTTTTGGTTGTCACGACTCAGAGCAAGAATACTATTGCACCTACTGGGTAGAGGCCAGGGTTGTTGCTCAACATCCTACACTGCACAGGGTGGTCCCCACAACGAAGACTAACTCAGCCCCAAATGCCAATTGTGGTAAGGGTGAGAAACCCTGAGAAACACAGAGGCACCGAAAGCCCTGCATGGGCAGGCCCCTGCCCACCTGCCCAGCCTTATTTTGCCCCACGCCCCCTATTCTCTAAACCCCAAGTGCGTAGATACCTTCCAGTTCCTGACTTCACTGTGTTCCCTCAGCATATCCAACCCCTCTGCCTGCCAGGCTCTTCCTTGGCATGCCTAGTTAACACCTTCTTATTCCCTAGAGCTCACCTCAATACATACTTTCTTGAGATGCCTTCCCATCAAGACTAAGTCGAATCCCCCATTCTATGCTGTCTCCCCTTTATTCTTTCTTTTTTTCCAGGGCTTTTAAAGTATCTTCATGGGGCCAGGTGTGGCGTCTCACACCTGTAATCCTAGCACTTTGGGAGGCCCACATGAGCAGATTGCCTGAGTCAGGAGTTTGAGACCAGCCTGGGCAACATGGTGAAGTCCCGTCCCTGCTAAAATACAAAAAATTAGCTAGTTATGGTGGCGTGTGACAGAGTGAGACTCCGTCTCAAAAACAAACAAAGAAAAAAGTATCTTCATGGCTTTTCTGAATTTCCCCAAGCTCCCTACCTCTCAGCTCTTAACATCTGTGGGCTAACAGCACTAAATCTAGAGTCCCATGACTTGTGTTTCAATCCCAGTTCTGGCATACTCTAGTTGTGTGACCTTGGACAAGTTACTTTTCTGTGTCTTTGTTTTCTTACCTCCAGCATGAAGATAGTAGCAGTACCTAGCTCATGCGGATATTGTGAGGATTAAACGAGACAGGCTGATAAAGTGCTTAGGACAGTGTCAGGCCCACTGTGAGCACTGTAGAAAATTCTGCTATTATTATTACTTCGAGAATTTAAAACTGCCATTCTGAGACATGTAGCTACAAGATAAGCAAGATATGCGGCTGGGGGCGGTGGTTCATACCTGTAATCCCAGCACTTTGGGAGGCCGAGGCAGGTAGATCATCTGAGGTCAGGTGTTCGAGACCAGACTGGTTAACATGGTAAAACTCTGTCTCTACTAAAAATACAAAAATTAGCCAGGCGTGGTGGCAGGTGCCTATAATCCCAGCTACTCAGGAGGCTGAGGCAGGAGAATTGCTTGAACCCGGGAGGCGAAGGTTGCAGTGAGCCAAGATCACGCCACTGCACTCCAGCCTGGGCGACAGAGCAAGCCTCCATCAAAAGAAAAGAAAGAGAGAAAGAGTAAGAAAGAAAGATATGCAGCATATTTTCTTCCCAGCAGCACAAACCTACATCACTGTCTTTTTTTTTTTTTTTCTACCAGAGAAATCAGAGCTCAGATCATCTGAGGCAGGGGAGTCAATGTCAAATGCTTTCTATTTACAGACAGAGAAATTGAGACTCAGAGTTTAAGGGATTTAGAAAGGTCACATAGCAGGTTTTCTCTACCTGATAACTCTCTCTCTCTCCTTCCCCCTCTCTCCATCTCCCTCTGTCCTTCCCTTTTGAGATGATAACTGGCGTGATTCCTAATCTACACTAAATGAATTATTCCTTAGCAACTATCTTCATCAGACTACAGGTCCCTGCTTCCAGCCATTCTACAAAAGACCTGGCAGTTATAAAATCCAGGCTTATCAGAACAAAACACACCAAACAGAACACAGCGAGGTTTCTAAACAGAGATTTAAGGTGCTTGCACAGTATCCTGAAAAAAGAAAATCTAAGCCTGAAAAAAGTAGACCAAATGCAAATAATAACCTAAATAATAAAGAAAACACTGAAGCTGTCTCCTGCAGCTTTCTGCCATGAAATGATTCGTCCTGAGAAAGGACTAGGAATGTCCCTGCAGGGCCCCACAGGCTGGGCCACATCTCTTTAACCTTAACTCCTCCAAATCCTAGTTACCTTTTAAAACCTCCCAGCTTCTTATGACAGTTCTTACTCTTTTTCCACCCACTACGGGTTTTGGAAGCTGACTCTTTGCCAACACTGTGATGTTTTAGCCCAAAGACTTCTTGGAACCTAAGACCTCATGGGGAAGAGTGTGGAATCCAGAATGTACAGTGACAGTGGCTTCTGACCTCTTAGTCTGACCATAGCTGAGGAATGCAGCTTTGGCTGGGGTCCCACTCTTCAGGAAGCACATGAACAAACTGGACAGCAGAATAAAAGTCCAGTCGAGATAACACACCTCATCATGTAAAGGGCAACTGGTTAGAGAAGTCTTAGGGAGGAACATGAAAGCTGTTTTCAACAATCTGAAAACCCGGTAAGATTTTCAGTTTCCAGAAACATTACACGCTGAGCTAACATCGACTTCCACTCCCTCTACTAACCCATTAAAATACTGGTAATACATAGCAAAAAAAAGAAAAAGAAACAATTTTGTAAATATAGCTAAGCTCATAAAAATCAAGTAAAATTGGCTGGGTGTGGTGGTTCACACCTGTAATCCCAGCACTCTGGGAGGCCAAGGCAGGTGGATCACTTGAGGCCAAGAGTTCAAGACCAGCCTGGTCAACATGGTGAAACCCCATCTCTACTATAAACACAAAAAAATTAGTCAGGCGTGGTGGAGTGCACCTGTAATCCCAGCTACTCAGGAGGCTAAGGCACAAGAATCGCTTGAACCCAGGAGGTGGAGGTTGCAGTGAACCAAGATCATGCCACTGCACTCCAGCCTGAGCAACAGAGTGAGACTCTGTCCTCAAATAAATAAACAAAGTAAAATCTCTAGGAGCCAGAAATTAAAACTCCTATTCAGAGTGGAAAACCTCAGCTGATGTCTTGATGGTCCAAGATTATATTTATCCAAATATAAGTCCTAATGTCTAGAGGCTAGAGTTTTGATGGCCCACAAAACTTCAAATCCATACCAAACACAGATGTGTTCTACAAATTTACACTGCTTACCTGTTATATTGGTCAGGGTTCTCCAGAGAAATACAACCAACTGGACAATGAGATGAGGGGAGGGAGGGGTGGGGGTAGAGGGATGGGGAGAGAGATTGATTTTAAGGAATTAGCTCATGGAATTATCAGGGCTGGCAAATCCACAATCTTCAGGACAAGCCATCAAATTAGAGACCCAGGGAAGAGATAATGTCATAGCTCAAGTCCAAAGGCAGCCTAGAGACAGAATTCCTTCTTTTCCTTTTCAGGCCTTCAAGTGACTGGATGAGGCTCATCCACATTATGGGTGGTAATCTGCTCTACTCAATGCTAACTGATTTGAATGTTAATCACACCTTTAAAAAATTGTCTTCACAGCAACACCTAGCTAGGTGTTTGACCAAAAACTGGGTACCATGGCCTAGCCAAGTTGATGCATAAAATTAGCCCTCACAACCTAGTGTTTGAATCCCAAATCAAAAAATTCTTCTTATATTCTTAATATAAGAATTTGTCCTCAACAGTCTCCCTGGGGCACATAGAGAAATTCTAGAAGAATAGAAAACTTCTCTACAGAAGATCCTCTCTATCCCAAGGGGAAAAGCAGCTAAAGATGAATTCACAACCAAAAATTACAACCCACCTGAGGAAAGGAACCACCATAAAAAAGACTAGAAGATGAATAAGAGGATTTTCACCTGAAGAATTTAAAATAAAATAATCTGAAATAAAGAACAGAAACCATAAAGTACAAATAGAATATTGTTTCTAAAAAAAGATAAACTTGAAAAAGTAACTTCTAGAGCTTCTGTAAATAAAAGATACAGTCAAAGCATCGATTAAATAGCAGATTAGACAAAACTGAAGGAGAGGCTCAGTAAACCAAAAACGGATCTTGGAAAATTTTCCAGAATGTAACATTAAACAATTAAAAGAGAAAAAAAATACAGAGAAAATACAGGACGTAAAGGATAGAATGTGAATGTCCAACCTACATCTAATATGAATGCTAGAGGGAGAAATTGGAGAGAAGGAAGGGGAAGAAATATTCAGAGGTAATGGCTGAGAATCCTTACATTAATGAAAAGTGTAGAGCTTCAACTGAAGAAGCTCGTGGAATTCTGAGCAAGATAAATGAGTAGAAAATTACACCGAGGCTCATTATAGTGAAACTTCAGAACATGACTGACAGAAAAATTATAAAAGCATCAGGAGGCCGGGTGTGGTAGCTCACGCCTGTAATCGCAGCACTTAGGGAGGCTGAGGTGGGCGGATCACGAGGTCAGGAGATTAACACCATCCTGGCTAACACGGTGAAACCCCATCTCTACTAAAAATACAAAAATTTAGCCAGCCATGGTGGCGGCGCCTGTAGTCCTAGCTACCCAGGAGGCTGAGGCAAGAGAATGGCGTGAACCCAGGAGGTGAAGCTTGCAATGAGCCAAGACCACGCCACTGCACTCCACTCCAGCCTGGGTGACAGAGCAAGACTCAGTCTCAAAAAAAGAAAAAAAAAAAAAAAGCATCAGGAATTAAAGAGAGATATCATTCATAAGAAAAAAATAGCAGACTTAGCATCAGCAAACAGAGACCAATGGAATAATTTTTCTGTGCTGAAGAAAACAACAACTATCATTGTAGAATGCCCAGCCAAGGTTAACTATCATTCAAGAGTGGGGATTTTTAAAAAATCACATCTTCAGAAAAAGACAAGAGAATTTATCACTTCTAGAAGAAAATTGAGCTGAGAGGAAGGAGTAGGGTGGAAGAATCAGTGGTAAGTGAAGAAATGGATAAACATGTGGGTAAATCTAAACAAGAATTGACTGCAAAATAGCAATAACAATACTATCGTCTGATTTTTGTGGCATTTAAAGACAAAGCGGGGAGTGGCTCATGCCTGTAATCCCAACACTTGGGGAGGCCAAAGGAGGAGGATCGCTTGAGGCCAAAAGTTGGAGAACAGCCCTGGCAATATAAAAAGACCCTGTCACTACAAAAATAAAAAAATAAAAATAAAATATCAAAATTAGCCAGGTGTGGTGGTGTGTGCCTGTAGTCCCAGCTACTCAGGAGGCTGAGGCAGGAGGATCACTTGAGCCCAGGAATTCGAGGCTGCAATGAACTATGATCATGCCACTGCAAACCAGCCTGGGCAACAGAACAAGACCCTATCTCATAAATCAAAACAAACAAACAAGACAAAGTGGACCTAAAGTGCCAAACACTAATAACATAAAACTTAGGATGGAGTAATTAGAATAAGAGCATCCTAAGGATATACAGAGTCTAATTAACTGTAAAATTGTTACAGTAATATGCATGAATTATATATACTTATAGCAGCTAACACAGTATATAGTCTCTCTTTAATAGAATCTTGATTTTTCACAGGGCAGCACAGTGCTCAACTAAAAATACACACCTTCCCAGATTCCCTTGAGGCTGAGGTAGCAATGTATTGCAGTTCTGGCCAATGAAATAAAAACAGAAGCCTACTGGTCAACTTCCAGAAAGAATGCTTTGCCCTTTACCAATTACCCTTTTCTCTTCTTCCTACCTAAAATAAGGACAAAATGCTTGGAGGAGCAACAGACACCCTGAGACCATGAAGACAGGACGAAGTCACACACTAAGAGTAAGAGAAAAGGATAATTAAATTTTAAAACCCTGGGTGCTTAATGATATCCTTAAAGATGTGTACTAGCTCTGAACTTTTTACTCCAGTCTTCTCGTTGCGAAATAAACCCCTAAATGTTTAATCCACTGTTTTCTATGATGTACAGCCAAGTGTAAACCTAAATTGCACAGTGTGATATAGTAAAAATAAGTATTTGATCTTTGTTCCTCCTGACACACATCCCCTAAAATCCTTAGCATCTATGGAGTGGTGAGTATCTTTTGTATGTTAATAAGAGCACTGGTAGTTGAGGGCATGTGGATAGATTCAGGAGTCTTGGTCACCTGAAAGACCAAGGCATGATTAGAGGTTTGAAACTTTCAGCCCCACTCCACCCACAGCCTCCAGGGAGGGGAGAGGGGCTGAAGGTTGAGTTCAACCACCAATGGCCAATAATTTCATTAATCCTGCCTACATCATTAAACTCCCATTAAAAACTCCTACACGGAGGGGTTCAGCGAGTTTCAGAGTTGGCAAACACATCCATGTGTTGGGAAGGTGGCAGACCCCGACTTCACATGGACAGAAGTCTTGTGCTTGGGACCCTGCTGAACATTGTCCTATGTGCCTCTTCATCTGGCCATTCATCTGCTCCTCTACACAAAAGAAAACTAAGAGTCAGCAAAGTATCTTCCAGAGTTCTGTAAGCCCTTCCAGACAATTACTGAACCTGAAATGGGAGGGTGGTGGGAACTCACAACTTTGTAGCCATGTCAGACAGAAGTGGTAGTATCTTGGGCACCAAATTTGTAATAGGCATCTGAAGTGAAGGGAGGCTTGTGAGACTGAGCCTGTAAACCTGTGGAGTCTGACATTAACTTCCGTCAGTAAGTGTCAGAATTGAACTGAATTGTAGGACACCCAGCTGGTGCCCAGAGAGTTGGAAACAGTTGTGAGCATGGGGAAAAAAACCACCCATTTGGTGTCAGAAGTGTTGTAAGTAAAAACAGTTTAAAATTGGTAGCATTCAAAGAATGTTAAAAAATTTAAGGATAACCTCTCAAAGGAGAGAATTCAAATGTATGTAACTGTTAAAACAGTAGGAGAAAAAAACAGAAAATTGTCAATATACTAACAGAAAGAAAAAAGGAAACAAAAGAAGCTAAGAGATTAAAACAAAAACATAAAGATATCAATATACACCAGTCATAACTGTGTTCTAATAATAAATGTAGTAAATGTAAAGAATTAAAATTACTTGTTAAAAGAAACACTAAGATCAAATAAGAAATCCGGCCTTTTGTTTTTTCTAGTAAACACACTTAAAATATAATAACACAGAATTATTGAAATGAAATCAGAAGAAATATACCAAGTGATCATTATCCAAAAAAAATGATAGTAAGTAAAGTATCTCCCAAAGTTCTGTGAGCCTTTCTAGCCAATTATTCAACCTGAAATGGGAGGGTGGTAGGAACCCACAACTTTGAAGCCAAGCAGTGAAACAATATTAAAGTCAGAAAAAATAAAGAAAACAATTACAAAATGATAAAAAGAATTCTCCAGAAAAATAAAACAACCCTAAACATGAATATACCTAATAACATAGCCAAAAATAAAACAAAAGAAAAACTAACAGATTTGCCACCATGGTGAGGGATTTCCAGGCGGAAGGGAACAGGCTTATTGTCCTGGGTAGATGTGAAAGTAGGCTGAGACAAGTGAGTGGAAGTTATGAAGTGGAAGGACTTTGACTACATCTATGGAGGGACTTCTATAACTTTCAGAGCTGTCCAAATTGAAATTGGCTGCCTTGGGAGGGAGGGAGAACTCCAAAAACATGGTTTTCTAAGTACAATCTGTATGGCTACTTAATGAGACTATTGTCCAAATATTCAGATATCAGACACTTAGCCCCATGAGGGCAGGAACCATGACTGCTTTGTCCACCACTATGTACCTGGTGTCTGAAGCAGAGACTGGCACAGAACAGGTGTTCTTAAGTGTCCACTGTATGAATTTACTTTCCAGACAAGAAAATGGAGAAAACCACCTCTAGAGTGGCTTCTAATTCAGAGATTCAGTGATTCTTATCTACCCATTCCTCTGCTATTTGTCCTCATTCCAGTCTGAGGCCCAGGGTCACCACAAACCCGGGAGACATGAGGCCAGGCCTGAGAGGCACAGGCAGGCTGAGGAATGGACAGAAGAGCAACAGAGAAGCCTGGAGGATGAAAGCCAACTCTGCAAAGAGCTTCCAAGAGTCTTCCTGCCACAGAAATTCCACTTGGCCACAGAAATGGCCCTGGCCCTGGGCCAGGAGAGAGGTGGCGACGAGCTGCTCATGGCAATGACTTTCAGTCAGCATGTCTTACCTGTGCTTCCAAGGGTGGAGATGCCACTTTGAGTAGGTCACTGGGTCAGGCAGGTCACAAACCAAGCTCCTCCTACACAGTGAGTTCACGGAGACAGAGAGAAGGAAGGGAAGGAGGTTCTCAGCTCTACTGATTCCTTAGGTCAAGGAGGGACAGGGTCCCTGTACTTGGGGACCCTCCAGTCTGATGGGAAGATACAAGGCAACCCTCTTAGAGCCGTAGAATGAATGCCACCTATAGTTCCTCCCTTCAGGAAGGAAATCCAGTCTGATGGAAGAGACACGGCCCCTGTTGTATCATTCTTGCCTTCTTACCCATGTCACACAAGGGAGTGAAGGAGGTGGCAGGCCCAGGGATAGGTCCATTTCTGTGGTGAATGGAGGCTTTCAGAGGACATTCCCACAGCCCTGCTGTCAAGGGCCCCTTCCCCTTCCTCCCTCCCCGGCACGATGCCTTACCCACTGGAATGAATCCTGAGCTCTGAGCCTATTCCTAACACATGAATGCTGACCCCTTTGTCACGTCCCGCTTTCCCTCCAACTCTGTTTTTTGTTCTTTTTCCCACCCAGACTCGCCCTCCCCCACTTGCCATTTCCCAAGCTCATCCCGGGGAGACCAGACTCAATGGCCCACTGGTGATCTTGTTTTACATGAGACATTTCCAAAAAAGACCAAAAAATCCTTTCCAGGAAAATGCCATTTTTAAAATTCAGCTCCAGACACTGCGGCAACATTAGGAAAACAAAGGACTTGGCAGAAAGGTTTTCTGCGTGGGGACTTTCTCTCGAAAATACCTTCTCCAAATTGCCTCCAGTGGGGATGACTCCAAGGGTCAGTTCTGGAGCACCCAGGCAATTGCAGACAGAGTGACTTCGGGTTTGTACACTGTCCCAGGTCTTTCCTTACCTGATATCACCCTGGGATCTTCCAGGCTTAAACAAGGAGCCCCTTCCAAGGGTCCCCAAAGGAAGCAGCTGTCTCTGAGGGTCAAGAAATAATGCTGCTTCCTTCCTCCAGAGGGGACTCCTCAACCCCTCTCTTGCCACCATCACTAAGCCAGGGGCCCAGGTTAGGAGGTGGAGGGACATAGTGTGCTTAGTAGAGAGCTTGTCTTCTCTTATCATCCAAGTGAGAGGAATACACAGCTTCCCCTGGGGCATACATAGTGGTGTTCCCCTTTTTTGCATGTATCAGGTATAATTAATCAGGTTGACATCACATATGTAATAATAATGGCCATTATTTATTAAACACTTCCAATGTGTCCACGAGTAACCTGTTCTTTATGTTTGTTTTACCTCATTTAATCCTGGTAACGATTGTCATGGGCTGAATTGTATCTACCCACTCCCCACCACTCAACAAGACTCGTACGTTGAAGTCCTAACCCCCAGTACCTCTGAATGACTGTGTTTGGAGACACATCCTTAAAACAGGTAATTAAGTTAAAGTGAATCATAATTAGGGTGGGCCCTAATCCAATAGGATTGGTGACCTTACAGAAGAGGAAATGTGAACATTGTTAGGCACATGCTGGGAGGCAAGGACATAGCGAGAAGGCAGCCATCCGCAAGCCAAGGAGAGGGGCCTCGGAAGAAACCAAACCTACCGGTACCTTGATACTGGACTTCCGGCCTCCAGAACTATGAGAAAATTAATTTCTGTTGTTTAAGCCATCCAGTCCATAGTATCTTGTTATGGCAGCCTTAGCAAACTAATACAACACCCATACAATCAATCTTACCATCTTACCATTTTACAGAGGACAAAACAGTCTCGAGAGGGTATATAACTTTCCCAGCAAGCATATAGCAGAGCTGAAAATGCATAATCAACTGCGTGACTCTGGAACACAAGCTCTTAGAACTGGATCCTGCTGCTTCTCCTCTGTGCTCTACTATGCAAGTTCATGATCCATTTACTTATTGCTACAAAATAAACCATCCACAACTTATTGGCTGAAAACAACAACTTTTATTTTGCTCATGAATCAGCAATTTAGGCAGGGCTTGTTGAGAACAGCTCATCCCTGCTCCACTTGGTATCAGCTGGGACAACTTCAAGGATGATCTGACAATTGATGCTGGCTGTTAGCTGGGACCTTAGGT
Source organism: Homo sapiens (assembly GCF_000001405.40). Lineage (NCBI taxonomy): Eukaryota > Metazoa > Chordata > Mammalia > Primates > Hominidae > Homo > Homo sapiens. Next base: position 41,894,884 of record NC_000002.12, read on the forward strand.
GGGGCTGCTGGTCCAAAATTTCATGTGGACTCTCTATGTAGCCTGAGCTTTCTCCTAACATAACAACTGGTTTCAAAGGCAAGCATCCCGGGAGACAGAGCCAGGCAGAAGCTTCTCTAAACAGCCGTAGCAGACACACAGCATCACTTTCGCCACATTCTCTTCCTTTGAAGCAAGTCACTGAGGCTGGTCCATGTTCAAGGGGAGAGGAATTCAATGCCACCTCTCAGTGGGAGGAACATCAAGGAATTTGCAGACATGTTTCAAAACCATTACAATGCATGTGCCATTGACATGCCTGAACATATTTTATGTCAAGTGTTTATTTACCACCAGCACAGTATCATCGAAAGGACATCAGACTGGAAGTCCAAAGTCCTGAACAAGAGCCTGTCAGCTGTGTGGGGCTGGGATTTCAACACCCATCTATGAAAAAACCAGTACCTGCTTGTCCACTCAGTTCAGCCACCCTCTATATGGAAATGAGGTCACTTAACCCCATTCCAGTCTCTAAAACCAATACTAATCCCAGTCAGCAGGTTAGTTAGAATGCTGCTCCTGGGGCACTTTATTTGACTCTCAGTTATGATAGCCTGGGTTCTCCCTGTCTCTGTGCCTGAGCCTGTCTTAGAAACGTAGCAGTCTATGTGTGGAGCACATCCTCAGGACTAGGCACTGTCACTGGTGCTTTATGTTTGCTATCTCATTCAGCTATTTCAACCCTATGAAGGAGGTTTCTTTATGCCCATTTTACAAATGAAGAAACTGAAATTCAGGGCAGGTAAGTCATTTGCCCAAAAGTTAGTAAAGGGCAGAGCCAGAACTATGAGTTGTGCTGTGGCCAGCTCTGTCTCCTCCAGGATCTGCTGTCCTGCCCCTGGACTGCCTGCCAGGACATCTGATGGCTTCTGGGTTGTCTGTACCTCTGCTCCTCTTGCCTTTTAGGGCCTCACCATACTTCTTGTTGAACCTTATCCCTGTCTCCTTCATGAACGACTCACTGGACTTCTACCATCCTGCATTCATCCTCCTGATCTAACTCCATATCCCAGCCCTCTGCATCTGCCCCAGCCTATCGTGCCCAACTGCACAGTGTCCTGGCATGGCTAGAGAGCAAGATCAAGCAAGAGAGCATCACCAGTGAAAAAACAAAAGCTCTGGAGTCAGACCGATCTAGATCCAAATGGTGGAGTGAGCTCCACCGTTTATTATTTGTGTATAAAAATAATGACACCCATGTTGCCTCGTTGTGAGGATTCTCGGTGAGTTAATACAAGTATAGGGCTTGGCATAGTGCCTGGCACCTAGCAAATGCTTAGTAAATATTAGTTATCTTTGCTGTTATTATCAATAATACTTGTAAAAGATCCACTAGAGAGCCTAGCATATGGTAGGCATTCAAAAAATGATAGCTGTTAATCTCATTGTTTAAGTCCTGGAAAAGCTACAGGAATTCAGAGAAGAGCCAGATAACAAGGTAGCAGAGACAGAAAACAGGCTGCCCAAGTAACTGCGCAGATCTGCAGATCTGTCTAATCCTAGAGCTTGGGTATGACTGGCCTTGATTAAGTGGAAACGCCTCCCTACAGAACTCCCATCTTCATCTGCCTCGATTAGGAGATGACAAGAGCTTCCTGAGCTTGGAAGCCCCTGGGAAGAGGAATTTCAAGAAGGAAAATCAGAAACACCCTGTCTGTGCTACGACTGCCCAGGATCCTCTGCTGTGGCAACATATATCACTGGCCACCCCACTGTGCCGTGTTCATCTAGTTGTCCTATATAGGTCTGTGGTTTCACAGGCTTCATCTGAGCCTGCAAGTTCTCAGAAAGTGGGTGAATGTGGTCAGAGTATGTTTCAGCCTCCCAGCCTCAAACCCACTCCAGGTTGAGATGTCAACAAAAACAGCAAGCAGGTGGGTAGAAAGCAACCATCAGATTTATAAAAGAGCTGTCAGATAACCACACACAGGCACTCACACTTGTGAGCATTTGAGAGCTGTGGTGCTGGTGCCCTCTTTTACCTTATTTTTCCTGCTGCTACCCTCCCAGGATCCTCACAACTAGATCCACCGATGCTCACAGCTCCTGAGTCAATGCTAACCAAGCTGGAGAGTATGTAAAGTTTGAGCAGATACAACGGCTTGGAATAATGTCACCAGCTCAGTTACAACTACTTGGCTCCTGTGTTCCTCCTGATTTTCCTTCAAGCCAGATGATCAATGAGGTGACAGGTATTTCCCCCAGACCACTCTCATTTCCCTTTTCCAATCATACATGGATCTGGTGCCCTCAGGGATGACCTCTAAGAACCCACATTCCTGCACCACGTTGCCTCTGAGCCTGAGCTCTCCTCTCCCCTCTCCTGGGCCCATTGTGATACAATCAGGCTCTTCTGTCCCTAATTTTGCCTAGGACCCAGTTCTTCTCTGTATAAGTCAGACATTGCTGTGATAATACTATGTAATAAACCATCCCATAATCTTAGTGGCTTACAAAAACAAACATTTATTTTCCTCACTCACAATCTGTGGGTTGGGTAGAAGGGCTGTGATTCAGGTGGTGAGTTGGGTACAGATCAGTTCCATATCTCTCTCCTGGAACCAGCAGCTACCTGGGATAGGCTCTTCTCATTACATATGGAAGCAGCACACAAAGGGGCTAGTGGAAGCCTCCCATGACTCTTAAGGCCTCAATTCAGAACTGTCTCGTTGTCACGTCCATCCATATTTCCATTAGCCAAAGCAAGGTAACTGGCCAAGCCCACAGCTGACAGCATGGGAATATAGGCTCTACCTCCTCTAGTAGGGTGCATGTAAAGCCATATGGCAAAGGGCATGGGTATATAATTCTATTGCAGGGAGGGAGTGGAGAATTGGAAATAATCATTCAGTCTCCAACATTTCTTAATCTAGAACTCAGTTACAAGCTCACCTGAGGGAATATACATCTTTTACTTGCCTGCTGGGCCTTCTACCCCTGATCCCAGCCCACTGGCCTAGGATGTGACTCTGAGTGAAGAAGTGTCTCACATGGAGACCCCGCCCACTTGGCTGCCAGTCCTTGGCTGTCACCAGCATCATTTACTCTGATCCACCCACCTGACTGTTCCTCTGGAATTCTTGAAGAAGCCTACCAGCCTAATTGGCTCCTCAGCCCTTATCTATACTGGCCTCAGGAGGGGCTAGAACCAAGAACTCAAAAACTGGAAAAACATTGGGGAACCAAGCAGTTTCTCCCACTCTCTCACTCTGCACTTCTGCTTCCTTCTCGCTGTGGGCATCAGCTTTCTCTGCTCCTCAATGGATGGTGGAATAGGGCCTGCTCTAGGCCTGGAGCCACTTTTGGCACCATCACCAGGATAAAGAGAATTCCAGTGTCCCATTTCCAGAGTCCCAGAGAAAGACCCCGGTCAACCATGGCTGGTATCATGACATAGAAACATGGTTGCCTACCCCTCTAGATGGAGGAGAAGAGAGGTGTGAGCTGCCAGACAGTAAGAAAAGCATGGAAACCAGAGGTTTCAGGCTGTAGTCTTCTGAGCTGACTCTGGCCAGAGATGTGTTTTGTTTGGCCCAAGGGATTTTTTTAATGTTTTCAATTACTTGACAAAAGTTAGAAATTGAGAGTTCACATATGAATCCAAATACTTTTTTCTTAAAAAAACTGAAAGGTCTCAATTGGAAAGGAGTGTGAGGGGCCTTATGGGTCCTGATGCTGTTCTGTTCCTCAATCTATGATCTATTCATGGAAAATTTATCAAGCCATATACTTAAAATAGATCCACTTTTCTATTTGTATATTACACCTTCTTTAAGTTTTAAGAATTTAGAAGGTCTATAATGAAATCACATTCCAGCAAGGAATAAGTCCTCTGGAGCTGAGTAGTTTTCCATACCACCATACCCCTCACTACTCCCCATTCTCTTCCTATCACTGAGGCCGAGGGTCAGTAGTCACTCATCATCGTCCTAGACTATGATTTTCTTATAACAGAGTTGGGAAGAAAGTAACTTTTATATGGACATTCATACATACATATCCATAACTCAAGCAAAAGGACAGACACAAAAGAGCATCAACGAGAGCTATGTGTTTGCATGTTTGCAAAAAAAAAAAAAAAAAAAAAAACGGAAAATAGCTTTTTATTTTTGGAGAAGTTAAAATCATTCTTCCAAGTTTGACATGCAAATGAAATGTGTCAGTATCAAAAGAATTCAAACAAAAAAGCTGTGAGGCTGGTAGGGAAACTTAACGATCTAAAAGAAAGTACTGATGTTTTAACATGTTTTATTTTTCAAAGCAAATAAAACAAATGACACAACTGTGAAATGAAGTTATGGAGAAGGAGAAAATATTGCTCATGCATTGAAACCTTTTATTAATGGTGAGTTTACAAAAGAGAATCTACTGAGGATAGAGAAATTCATACCTTGAACAAAAACAAGTATTTGCAAATGGAAGACTAAACAGAAACGCTGGTTGCTCAACAAGATGACGACATGGCTGAGAACTTACAGGACAGGTTGTGTGAAAAAGTTAAATCATTTGTGGCATTTCCTAGTGAAGCTTATGAGAGCCCAGTTAAAATAATACCACCCAGTCAGCTATATTTATTTATGGTTCCAAAGAGACTTCAATGTGATTGGAGAACTTTTGGTCATGGTGTCCATCACAGGCACAATTTCAGGAAATTACTTAGCTTTGTGTGTTGAGAAGCCTTGAAAAACTTAAAGCAGACAGGTCAAAATTAGTAAGCCTGGCTACAAAACAGAGCTCCTGAAATGATCAGCATTAACACTGACCTTGTTATGAATCTTAAATCTAAGGTGGCCAATTTTGCACAATTAGGGAAACTAAATAATTCACCAGGAATTGCCTTGTGCTAAAAAGTTAAAATAGAACACATATCATGGGCCTAGTGAATGGGACTTACTCCCATGGCTAAAAGCATAAAGAGTTCAGTGCTTTGCCTGATAAAGTGGATATGCAGTAGTCATAACACTCGTCTGTTCTAATAAATAAAGGGTAGTTAGTGTGTAATGTCGGGGTCTTTCATGGGTGGGAGGGGAGGAACAGCTGAAAAGTTATTAACTTGTTCATATCATCCAACAAAAATACCCCAGCTCACCAGCAAAGATTGGATCAAAGTATATGCCTTTTCAGTAAATATCACAAGCCATTTAACCCTTTTGGGTATCTCTTTAAGAATTATCACAAATATGCAAATGGCTATTCAGTTTTCTCATTCTTAGTGAAATTATATCTTAGGGAAACTCATTTGGCAAAGAATCATCTGGCTTATTTTCCTATGCTGAAATCAGTTTTCCAAAATGAAAGAGGTCTCTTCAACTGCTCTCTAAAAATTCTGGAGCTGAAGACAGGATGAGATTCCAAAAAAGTTGCTAGTTTTATGAAAATGATCTTTCTCAATATTGTGCCACAAATGCAATTTTTTGAACTCACCTTTCTCAGTATTGTAATATAAATGGAATTTTTTGAACCACAATTCATTCCCTAAAACTAAATTTTGCAACATTGGAATGCCAGAATTCTACAAATATCTCAGGAGTGGTTACCCTAAATATAAAAACCATCATACAAATATTCTATCAATGCTCAGCCATGAACAGCTGTTTTCCATTATGAAACTAAATAAAACGATTGCTCTCAGTTAAAAGATTCAAGGTTGAATTCTATACAGCACATCACAACATGAAATGCAAGACTCAACATTGACATGTTGGGGTAAAAGAAAAAGTGTCACATTTCTGGTTGTAAAGCAAAGAAGTAATGAGGTATGAAAGAAAAAAATTAATAATTACATATTTCTTTTTTTAATGTTACATTTTTCAATTTCAAACTTAATATATAATCCCCAATATCACACGTTTATATTATATTATGTACTTATGCCCTAGTCAAGTAAAAATGAAAGTTTGATTACATTTCTGGCTGTTGATTTTTCTTAAACCCAGTCCACTTTACTCATTTTTGTTGCCATTCTGAATTCTGTAAGAATCTGAGTTTACAACCTCTGGTGTACACTCTACATGTATGTTATTTTCTAGGAAAAAAATTCTCATTGAAAAATAACACATGCTCAGTTGCTCAATGATGAAAACAGAAAATCTAGAATAGAAAGAGAAGACTGTCTTACCATATGAGAGTGTTTATCCAAAAAATTCATTTATAGAATATATAATTTTTTTTTGAGACAGTCTTACTCTTATCACCCAGGCTGAAGTGCAGTGGTGCAATCTCAGCTCACTGCAACCTCTGCCTCCAGGGTTCAAGCGATTCTCCTGCCTCAACTTCCTGAGTAGCTGAGATTACAGGCGCACGCCAACACACCCAGCTAATTTTTTTGTATTTTTAGTAGAGACAAGGTTTCACCATGTTGGCCAGGCCAGTCTGGAACTCCTGACCTCAGATGATCCGCCCACTTCGGCCTCCCAAAGTGTTGGTATTACAGGAATGAGCCACCACGCCTGGCCTAGAATATGTAAATGTTTAATTAAACATGGGATAATACTATACAGAAAGTTTCATAGATTTCTAGTTTTAAGTGTTCTAGGAGTAGAAATGTTAGTGGTAACATGTTATTCTGTAATGCACTTGTAATATAACTATCTTAGCTTGTTTGCTATTATTGCCTATGTATGTTATTTCCCATTTTTAAATGGTTAGTCTTGATACCTAGCCTGGCTCCATCTTTTTCTTTCCTGTAGCCATGTTATTACTCATAAAGTCTTGTGCCCAGTAGCTGAGTTTCTTTCCATTACACCTTCCAGTAAAGGCTGCCATTGGTTCAAATTGGAGTTTGGTAATCCTCTGAGGCAACTGAAAATGGTTCAAACATGTGGGCCCTTCTTGAGCCCAACCTCCTCTAGCACTTCCATTTTTCTGGACCCTTAGTCCTTGTTGCTCAGAGAGTGACAGGTTTATTCTGTTTGATGAGAGGGGTCTCTGACTGGTTCATTCGCCTATATGGACCTCCTTGAAGGGAAAACAGAGCTATTCCAGAAAGATAAAATCTAATCTAAGTCAGGAATTCTTAAATATGGTTAGAGAGAGCACCTCATTGAGGTTTAGACGAACAGCCAACTGCAGCCCAACCAGCCCAGATATCACTGTATTTTCCTTGAGCTTGTATCTCCTGACTACCCCCATCGCCAACCCCCTGCTCAGCATTATTTGTGCTCATCACATATGTCTAGAAATCCTCCTGGTCCTAAAAGAAATAGAGGTATAGATAGGGGGCCTCCAATCTGATGAGGGAAGAAATCCCATTTGGGGAGGCAGTCCCATTTGTGTAATTAGGAAGTCATTTACATCCATGGGGATCCCTAGTTTGACAGGGAGGTAGACCCCACCATTTGGGAGCCTCTGGTTTGATGAAAGAAACCCAGTTTGCTGCTGTGATCAAAGGCTCTCAGAGAACTTGCTGATGGCTTCAAGTGGGCAGGTCAGCATGTGGAAATAAGCAAGAATTTGCAAAGGGAGACGGAAAACCTTCAGACTAACTGCTTAGGCTGGGGCTCCAGGACTGCAGAATGAAGAGATGAAGAAAAATGTATCTTATCGCAGCTGAACAAAGGATGTCATGAGCTTACCAGGGCAAAACTCTGTAGAATTATCTTTTCTAAAAAATGATAGACCAGGCATGGTGGCTCACATCTGTAATCCCAGCACTTTGGGAGGCTGAGGCAGATGGATCTCTTGAGCCCAGGAGTTCAAGAGCAGCTTGGGCAACATGACAAAACCCCATCTCCACCAAAAAAAAATACAAAATTTAGCTGGGCATGGTGACGTGCGCCTGCACTCCCAGCTACTCAAGAGGCTGAGGTGGGAAGACCGCTTGAGCCCGAGAGGTGGAGGTTGCTGTAAGCCAAGATTGTGCCACGGCACTCCAGCCTGGGCAACAGAGTGAGACCTTGTCTTGAAAAAAAATTAAACAGATTAAATAATTTAAAAATGATAAAGATCCAAATTAAACAGCATAACAGTACATTTTTAAGTGAAAGAAAAGTCAAGACTGTCCCATGGCAAAAGAGCAGATGCATTCACTTTCTTTTCCTCTTGAGACTTTACCAAAATGCATTTTTAAAAGGTATAAATCCTTAATAGGGAAGAAAATGGAAGGAGTCCTTCAGCAGAAGAAAAGTTTCAACCCATTTCTAGAAATCTTAACGCCAATAAAAGAGAATTCGCTGACAAAGCAAAGTAGCTGGCAGGATAGAAATCCTGATCTCCTAGAAGCTTCCTAGAAGGAGCTGTAGCTGCCCCACCTGGCCCTACCCTGGAGAGGGTCTGACTCAAAGACAATAGACAAGGTGGGTGATGAAAGTAAGAATAAGTGGGAGATTAATTCAAAATATGTATACAGCATGGTAAGGGCACTCTAACCATATCCACGACCTCAGCTGTCAGAATGGTTTGCAACCAGGCTCTGAATCCTAAGGCCAGAGAAGGGAGCCGCAAAGAGAGAAAAGGACAGAGGGGAGGGGAAGAAGGGAAGAAGTCTCCTCCAAGGAAATTTCAGCGTCTTGGAGAACAGGGACAACAAGGGTTATTGGTGGTACACCAGAGTAAAGAAAGCCCCAATATCCTGGATTTCAGAAGCCCACAGCAAGATGGCCAGCCCCTCAGCCCCAGCCCCCATCTTCCTCTCACCAAAGCCTTCCAGTGACCACCCATAAACACAGAGCTCCCAAATGTATTTCCCAGTCCCTCATTCTCAACAACCCAGGACCCCAGACACTGAGGAAAGCCTGCAACATAAAAGAGATCTAGAGAGCTAGCTCCTCATCCATCAGAGCCAAAATCAGCAGATAATGCCTGAACTGGATAAAAGAAGGAAGAATGGTATACACACATTATTTAGATATGTTTTAGAACTAAAAACAGAAACAGATAAAAGCAGATGTCTCTTAGTAGCAGAACAGGAGGTGGAGGGGTGGGATTGGAAGGGAAGGTGACTGTTGCTTTGCATTATAAGCTCTTCAGTAGTATTTGGTTAGATTTTTTTAACTTTTAAAATATTTTTAAGGAAAGGTCACACTGTAAAACTATTGCCAAAAAAGGAATCATGAAAATAACTCATTGCTATGTAATCTTAACTTTTTGTTCCTGAATTTTTTCAAGCAACCAATGCAAACAGAGATTCTCTAGCAGTTTCTTCATGCATGTCCACATCAGGCAGTAAGTGCCTTATGTTTTAGGGAATTGTTATAGAGAAGGAACCAGATTAAATTACCCCTAAAGTTTTCCTTTTTGTTTGCCAATTAGATCAAGGAGAAAGATTAAGATCTGAAAGATCAGGTAAGTCTTCCATCGCCTCCAATATTTCTTGAGCATACACTGTGTATTAAGCAATGTTCTAGATGCTCGAAGACCAGGACAAGGTACTGTCCCGGAACTAACATTCTAGTGGGAAATAAGAGGCAGAAGACTATAGACAAAAAACAAGGCAATATTAGATAGTATCAAGAGTTAAGCCGAGGATTGAACTGGTTTAGTGATAGAAAATGGCTTAGTGTAGATGATCAGGTTGGTTGGCCTCTTTGAAGGATAACAGTGACATTTAAGCTGAAGTCTAAATGAAAAGAAAGAACCAGGCTTATAGAGACTAGGGTGGGAGGGTGAGTGGTATTTCAAGTAGAAAAGTTCCAAGTGGGCCAGGCACGGTTGTTCACACCTATAATCCCAACACTAAGGTCTCTGCAGAAAGCCTTGGGAGTATAGATAAAACATTGTCTCAGGAGTTTGAGATCAGCCGGGGCAACATAGCAAGACCCCATCTCTACTAAAAATTTAAGAATTAGCTGGCTGTGGTGGTGCATGCCTGTAGTCCCAGCTACTTGGAAGGCTGAGGTGGGAGGATCACTTGAGCCCTTGGAGGTTAAGGCTGCAGTAAGCTGTGATTGCACCACTGCACTCCAGCCTGGGTAACAGAGAGAGACCCTGTCTCAAAGAAAAAAAAAAAAAAAATCCAAGTGAAAGTGCTCCTGCAAGTGAAAAAAGGAAAAACCTCCATTTCCTATGATACGTATTTATGTATTCTAAGAACTGAAAGAAGGCTATCATGACTGACCTTAGTAGCTAAGAGGGTATAAGAAGAAATAATGATAAGGCAGATAATACAAAGACCAGATCATGTTGACTTTCTAAGCCATAGCAAGGAGCTGGGTTTTATTATAAACATAACAAAGTCTTTGAAGACATTTACACCACAGAGGGACTTGATCTGATCTGTTTTTAAACTACTTCTGGGATGGTTTGAGTCCAGTTATTTGATATGTCTTTAATTATTAAGCAAATAAAGAGGGTTAAGGTAAACTCAAATCAAGTTAGAATGACTTCTGTATTAGGAAGACAAGCTTTCATTCATTGATCATTCATTCATTTGAAACTATTTCTTGATCATTTGCTAGTTGCCCAGCATTATGCTGAGAGTCAGAGATAACGCAAGTCCTTGTCCTCAGGGAGGTTGCAGGGACAACTGGCATGGAAAAACCTTATTGAATCTGATACTCAGCTGGGATAAAGTTTGGGATGAGGAAATGCAAGATTTTCCTTCTCTGAGAAAGTTATCAGGCCATCTGGATTTGATAGGACTCAAGAAGGGATGCCTCCTTTCTCTGTCCTCAAGAAGAAATGTAGTAAGCTTGCAAAGATGACCTCCCTCTATCCATGACTTTTGATACATTCTCCTACCCTGACTCGGGGCTGGCCTTGTGACTCTCTTTGGCTGATGGAACAATGGCAAACATTACCTAAACAGAGACTTGAAAAGCACTTGCACATTGAGGCTTGCTCTTTTTTGATACTCTTGGGAAGCTTGCAACTACTGCCCTGTGAACAAGCCCAAGCTAGCCTGAACAATGAGAACACGTGGCCAAGTGTTCTCCGTTGCTCCAGGTGACATAGAGCAAACCACCAGACGTGAGTGTGAGGCCACTCTAGACTGTCCATCCCCAGCCAGGACAGTCTGTACCAGACAATCTACCTAGCCTATCCCCAGAATAGTAAGACCATATTCTGTTAAGTCAGTACATTTTGGGAGTAGTTTATTATACAGCAAAAGCTAGCTGATACAAGAATGCAGAAAAGTCCATTCATTTCTCCCAAAAAACGCCTCTCAAATCACATATTTCAGGCAAAGGACTGGCTCCTCTTTGTCAATGACTTCTGAAAACTGTCCATTTTTTTTCTAACATTTCATAACATCTATTGATTCTTCCTTTGGACACTCACCTACCTTAGGAGAAAAAAAAAATTCACAGCTCTGGCCAAGATAGGAGCTGGTCCTATCAGAGCTATGTACAAAGGAATCGGAACAGGTACAGTGGAACCCAAGATAAGCATGTGATGGCAAAGTCAGAGGGGCTGCACTGCCAATGTTGAACCGGGATAGACAAGAGCATAACAAAGAAGACACCAGGGCAGAAAACACCCTAAGCAGCTTTGCTCTGAACTCTCCCCTCTGCAAGAACCCTTCACCCAGCCCAGGGATCGGAAACTCAATGGAGAGCCGGTAAGCACAGTAAGAAAGAGTTTACAGCTTCCTTCCTCAAAAGCTTCCAAGATAAACAAAATAAACACCAGTTGGTCTCAGCTGGTCGCACATTGGCCTGCCTGGAGGAGGGGGATGCCAGAGATAGCTTCTTGAGGTTGCTTCCAGCATTGCATTCTAGGAAATAGACAATTATGAACAACATGGATTTTATTATCGTGACATCTCTAAGGTCTCTGCATAAAGCCTAGATTTAAAAATATAAACATGTAAGTGAAAAAATGTCAGGGGAATAAATATTTGTCTTAAAAGAGACCATCTGTTTCAAATTTTTATTTAAAAAAAAAAAACCCAACATGTGTTTTATTTTAAACTTGTATGTGTGTTGTTATCCTTGGGTTAAGTATTAGGTAAATAGACAGAAGCATTGAGAATCCATTTTCCAGCAAATTTTGGTTAGAAATCCTCACACACGTGACTCAGGAGATAATTTGGGGGCTAATTGGAGCTTTGTGGGCAGCCAACTCCTTGCAGACCTCTCCCCCATGCAGTCCCTGTTTGATACGGATGAGGATTTCCCTGGCACTAGTGTTTGTTTTGGACAAGACGGTATGTTACACCTCCGGGGACTCAGTCAACACAACACAACACAACAACACAACACACTGCAGGCTGCTCCAAGGCCAGCCCAGTTGCACACCCAGATGTAGGTGCAGCCAGTGGGGCAGAACCACAGAGCCCACTTCTGTTTGGGCCTCAGTTGTGGCCTCAAAGTTCAGTCCCTTTGGGTAAAAATCCTGTTTGATGGTGATAGCTAGGCTGGCAGGGGTGGGGTGTCAAGAAAATCTTCCTAAGGAAATGACTGAGAGCTGGTCCTGGTGGGTGAACAGGGGAGACGCATGGAGGAGGCCGGTCCTGAAAGAGGGTGCAGCTTGGAATAATGATGGGGTCTGGGGTATTTGGGGAAAGGCATCAAGCTCAGTGACTGTGGAGCAGGACATGAGATGGAGAATGGCGGCAGATGAAGCTGAGTGGTGGCTGGGAACAGGGAACGGCTCTCACTTTTTTTGACTGTTCTTCATCGCTTCCCCATTGGTTCCAGGCAATTCTGGTGGTGCCGTCAAGCTCTCCATTCAGAGCACCATCCTACCCCACCCCTGACACAGCCTTCGGCCCAAGAGTGCTCATGACCTGGTTAGGGCCACAAGGAGCCCTTTTCAGGGAGATTAATGGATCTGCAAGAAACTGCTTTCCCTTTCCTTCTGTGGTCATGGGCTGAAAGCATCCAGTAAGGCATCTTTCTCTTTCCCACCTTGTGGAGCGTTCCTGTTCGTGGATTAAAACTAGCATAGTAAAAACAAAGGGGAGGGAAAGGGGGAGGGAGAAAAGGAGCGGAAGTGGGGGAGGGATTAATTATATTCTTTGAGGTCCTAGGTCCAGCTTCACCTAACCAGGATGTTTCTGGTTTTACTAAAGCTGGTCAGGGTTGGTTTTCCAAGAAATGATTGACTAACACAGTTGGAGTCAAAGTTAAACTTGCAATAAAAGGCAGACAACTTTATCTGCAGGCAACAGTCCAGGGGTTCCCTGCAGTTGAAAGAGATAACTGCTCACCAAAATATATGCTCCCACCTCCTAACTAGGAAAGAGAAGCCCAGCTAAGAATTACATTACCAGCCCCCGACGCTCCCTTGCAACTATATGTGGCCTGTGACTGTCGCTCACCAGTGGAATGTGAGCAGAAGTTCTATGAGTCATTTCCAGACCAAGACTTTAAAAGTGGCCCTGCCTTCTCCATACTCTCTTTACCTTCTGCCTGCATGGGGAGGATGATGAGAGGTCCTGCAGGATAAGGACACGACAGCAAAATTTCCATCAAATTTCCATCGAAAAGGAAATAAACTTCTTTTGCATTTGAGCCACTAATGCAGTATTGGATCTAGTCATTACAGCAGCCAGGTTTAGCCTAAGTGGTACATCCCCTTCAACATTCTGGAAGTTGCTTGCAGTTCCAGAAGTCCACTGCCTACCATATTGCTCTCCATTGCCAGTTATCCAGATCAGTGACCCCTACTGCTGAAATCCACCACCACAAAATCTGTTAGTTTCATGTATTTATTGGGCACCTACTACATTCTAGGTTAGGTAGTAGTGTTTGTGGTTATGATGATGAATTAGATAAGCCACATTTCTCTGACTTTAAGTCACCATCAATTGTGAGACATATCATTATTTTATGTACCACTAAAACAAAAATTATGGAACCCTGAGAAATATATTGCCAATTGAACTATGATGACAGGCCATCAAAAGCTATAGTAATTTCAGAAATGTAAACATGTGGAGGGAAAATAAGTATCTTAAAACTGATAAAATACAGGATTTCTTACCTTCAGGTAGCTGAAGGTCTTGTGGAATAGGCAGATAGGCAAATAAATACAAAGCACACAATACAAATACTTTAGCAAGTATATAGATGGTTCATCTAGAAAGAAGTAATCAACTTGGCTTTAGAAATGGAGACAGCTTCACAAGGTGATGTTTGCACTGAATTTTGAAAGAGGAAGAGGGAAGGCAATTGCCAGGAGACGTTTTCCCCTTTGCAAGCAGGTCTTCTATGTTCCCTCTCCACACCTTCAGAGAGGCATACGTGCATCCCCAGGAACTACGATGTTTTAGCAGAAACTCAAAACACTATAGCAATAAATGCCAACCAGACGGCTTCATTTTCTGGATAAATGGAAGCTAATCCTTTAGGTGCCAAGACATCATTTTAATGGGATATATTTTAATGGAAAACCTTCCAAAGTGTACCATAGTAAACCTTTGGCATCTGCAAGGAGTACATCAGGGGGTCTTGGTGAACCTCCAAATTCACGAATACAGCTAAACCTGGACAGACTCCTGGCTTGCTCAAGGATCACATTTACAGGAAAAGCCACAGGTGTCCACTGTGTAGCCTGGCACCACACACCATCCCCCTTTTCCCCTGACTCTACACTTTTGCCTCTTCCTTGATGAGCAATTATATGTAACCGATATATTGACCACGCATGACTTATGATGTAATCAAAGCACAATTTTATTTTCATCTTCCATTATCCCTTTAAACCTGATTCCACATGGGTAGTCTTTCTCTACTGCTGAATAAAACCTCCTGCAGGTCCAGAAGATCCTGCAGGGGGTTTTATTCAGCAGTAGAGAAAGATGGAACTTTTTGGTTCAGTCTTGTGTGGTTGACACGCTAAGCCACTTGAAGTGAAAAACAACAGTCCCAATGTGGTGACCTGAATGGCCATTCTGTGCAATAATTAAACTTTCCTACTTGATTGAACAACATGCCCTTCTCCCTACCCACAGCTGCACTTTGCTTTAGGCTGGAAGCCTGTGGTGAGAAGGGAGGAGGGAGTTGACCCGTCTGCCTCGTGTCTTTTACCACACACAGACCCCGTGGGGAGGGAGTCACAGCTCTGTAACAGCTCTCAGCAGAGAAATCTCATTTCTAATCCATTCTCCCTTTTCAGTGCCTCAAACATTTTATTTTCTCAAGGTGGATACAGCAGTGTTGAGTTCACTTTCCTTTGTACATTCTGCAAGGGGTGATCTAACTTTGTAATTTCACATCTATTGTACCTTGGTGTCTCTGTCCACTATCTTTTTTAACATCCCATGAAATGTATTATGATGGACTGAATGTTTGTGTTCCCTCAAAATTTATATGTTGAACCCCAATGAGATGGTATTTGGAGATGGGTCCTTTGGGAGGTAATTAGGGTTAAACGGGGGTGGGGCTTTTGTGATGGGATTAGTACCCTTATAAGTGATCCCTCCCTCCCTCCCTCCCATGTGAGCACACAGTGAGAATGTGGTCACCTGCAGTACAGGAGAGGACTCTCACCAGAACCAGACCAGGCCAGCACCCTGACCTCAGTCTTCCAGCCTCCTACACAGTGAGAACATAGATTTCTGTTGTTAGCCATCCAGTCTATCATAGTTTATTATGGCAACCACAGGTGACTAATACAATTACTAAGCAGAGCCTGCAGTGAAATAATTTTACAGATCTTTCTCTCTATTCTTTCTCTAGTTTTTGTGCTGGGCACATAGTAGGCATTCAAAAATATTTATTAAATGAATGAATAAGTGAATATATGGCACAATGACAGAATCACTCACTTCTAAAGTCCAAGCCACTGCAAAATGCCACATTCCATTTTCTGCATGTGTGTGTGATTTTGTTTTTTAAATATGTAAGTAATACATAGGCCGGACACAGTGGCTCACACTTGTAATCCCAGCACTTTGGGAGGCCAAGGCGGGAGGATTGCTCAAGCTCAGGAGTTGAAGACCAGCCTCGGCAGCATGGCAAAACCCCACATCTACAAAAAATACCAAAAAATTAGCCAGGTGTGGTGGTGTGCGCCTATAGTTCCAGCTACTCAGGAGGCTGAGGTGGGAGGATCACTTGAGCCCAGGAGGCTAAGGGAGCAGTAAACTGTAATCACATCACCGCACTGCAGCCTGGGCAATAGAGCCAGACCCCATCTCAAAAAAAAGTAATACATGAACACATTCTTGTGTGTTTTAAGTTAAACAACATACAAGCAATACACGAATCCATTCTTGTATATGTGTGCGTGTGTGTTAAGTTAAACAACATAGAACTAGGTAGAAGAAAGTTCCCATTGACCATTATCTTCCCCAGACCACCATACTTCCCTACCAAGAAAGGACACACATACAGTTAATGTGACCTGTTTCTTACAGACCTTTGTCTTTGCAGTTCTGTGCCTGTAGACCTGTATTACATGGTGTCATGCCAGGCGTATGCTACTGCAACTTGCACTTTGCACTTCCTCTTATATCTCACAGATATCTCTATGCCAGGGTATCCCCCATTCTTTCAAGTGCAGAGAGACAAACCATGCCTATTTAAATCTATCCCCATGGATGAGTATTTCAGGTGTTTCTGCATTTCCTCTCATATAACATTGCAAAATATATCCTTCCCCATGCCTCCTGGGCACCTGTACGAGTGCTTCACTAAAACCAACATTTCTAAGTTAATACCTAGCTTTAGATGATTTGCACATTGACATTTTTTATAGCTTCTGCCGCGTGGCCATCCTGGAGGCAGGGTCAGTTTACTCTTTACCAAGAATTGTCCCCAACTCATGGGATATTTTAAACCTTCCTAAATTCTTACCAATATGTTATTAGGAAAACATCTCATTGTTAACTTTCAGTTCACCAATCACTAGTTATCTATTTCTACTATGACTTGCCCATTGCTATTCTGTGTCTGCTGTTTTAATCTGGTTGGTTGTCTTAACTGTCCATTTCTAGAAACTCATTTTGTAGTTATTATTCCTTTGTCTGTTATATATGTTACAAATGCTCTCTTCCAGATACTCATTTGCCTTGTAATTTTGTTTGTGGTATTTTTCTTTTTGTACAGAAGTTTTTATTTTTCTGTAGTCAAAAATAACAAATATTTCTTTTGTGGTTTCCTTTGCTACTTCCAAGATTAATGCAATATTCATCTATATTTTCTTCAGATCTTTTGAAGTTGTTTTTTAAATTTAGCACTTTATTCCATCTGGAATGCATTTTTATATATGGGAAAATAGGAAGCCAACCATTTTTTCTAAATTTCCAGTAGTCCCAATCTCATTTATGGAATAACCTATTCTTTCCTCCACTTATTGGCAATGCCACATCATATACTAAATTGCTATATGTACATACATGTGAGTAATATTTCACTCTAATTTATCCAAAATATCTCTTCTTTAATTCTTTCACTAGCACCAGGAATTGGCTTTTAGGGAGGATCTATTTCTCACATACACACACACATAGAAAATTGTTTTTACTTCCATGATGAAAGACAGAACGCAAGTGCTGGAGGCCATTAATAAAGGGTTCTTTCCCCACCCTGGGTTTGCACTGTTACCAAATCAAATCCATTTTGCAGCAGAGTGTCAAATTCTTACCCGTCAAGGAGCATGCAAGCTTCAGATGCAGCTATCCCACCTCAGACTACTATTACACTCAACTCTAAGAGCATATTGGATGATGTGCAACAGTTGTTGACCTGAAGTGAACCCTGACTCAGGCCGCTACTTAGAACTTGGACCATTAATGTCTGGCCAGAACCAGTTCTGAAAAATAGCAATGATCATTCATGTCAGTAGCATTTGGCTTCTAACTATAAAATATGTCCAGACACATATTACAGGGATGTGTTCTGGAATCATTTCTTTCTAGGTTGTCTCCTAATGATGTTTTGGACATCCTGGATGCCAATCCCGACCTCCCCTGCAAAGCAAAAAGACAGACATTCTTGTATAGAGAGATGACGTCTTATTATCTTAAATTAGAACTGATCTGAAAATAAATTTGCCATGTTAGCCAATTATTTTCAGAAGGAAAGCCCATAGATCTGTCCTAAAACTAAATATGTTCTCTCTGATAGGCTCCACATTTTAACTGATTTATAAATAATGACCCAATACAAGTTACTTCATTCAGTTACTTGGCGCTAACATGGAGTTTGTCTTGGACGGGGTCCTGACAGTAGCACTGCCCAAAGCCAGGCCTTCTTGGGTGCTTTGCCAAGAATGTATTTGGCTGTGGCAAGGGTCTAATTATGCCAATCTTAAATATTCTGAGGCATGGGCACTACTTCAGCCATGTTAAATGAGGTAGACTTTGGGGGCCTGATTTGCTCATTCATTTACACACTGGAGTGGACCAAAGCAACTTCAGAAGAGAATCCTTGTCTTGCTGGTGGACAGTGATGGAGGGCTCAGCTCCAAAAGGCATATCAACCTCACCCCAGCTTGATTGTCATAGGCACAACTGATTGATGTGGTATTCAAATGGCAACAAAGAACACCATCCTTCGAGTTCATCTAGAGAGAACAGTTGTATGCCCCACTACTAAATATTTACGTAAAAACCCTGCTTAAAAATAACACTATTTCAGAGAAGACCACTTGAAGGACAAGCAGTTCATCTGTTCTTCCAGATTTTCTAACACCGTCCAAGGATCCCACCAGAGCAAGGGAAACACGGATATCTGGAGTACATCATATCGGCCCCAGAAGAATTACTGTTGCTGAACTGTTTTTGGTGTGACGCAATCAGCATTTTTTAAAATGTCATTACAAGAAACAGTCCCACGAAAAGCATCGTTATATGTGGGGCCACATCACAGTGCTATCACAGTGTTTTCAGTACCCTCAGGGGTAATTCCATCTGAATTTAGTACTAAAAATAGTAGCGTTTATTCTGGGCAACTGGCTTACCTGTCTGTGGCATGGTTTTCTAGAGGGTGCTCTGAGGAACACTGGGATAAAAGGTATGCCCCATGAAAGGGGCATTCCATAATCAAAAATAATTTTAAATCTCTAGGGAAAAACCAGTCATTGTTTGGTTATTTACTATAGGACTTCTCTGAGTTGCTAATATGCATTATGTAATATTACTAAGTGTAACGTTTACTTGGGGACTAGGGATATTCACAACAAACCACTATCTTTGTGTTGGGCCCTAACCATTGAAGCTGATGTAAGTATCTCTATGCCAAAATTGGCCTTCTCTCCCCAACCCTGAGACCCCTGACTTGTCCTGGCCAGTTCCCCTTCAGCCTGGTACTGAGGTCTTAGAGGTCCTGAAAGGTGACACTGTGACTGGTGGGTCTACTCTCTTGCTCCCACCCCCATCCTCCTCCACTCACCTCTACCCTGTCCTGGGCACATACCCCAGGAGAAATATCCGGGTCTTCGGCAGCTTTGCTACTCACCCAAACTGCTTTTGCTCTCATCTCACAGAACGTCTGCTGCCAGCCCTCTTTCCACCGCTCTCACTCTTTGGGGCTCTCCAATTCTCTTTTCTCTTTTGTTGCCTGCTCTTGAGAAATTTGCCTGTTTATTTCTGGAAAATTTCTCAAGACCTTGAAGAAAAACACTAGGGTTTTGTAGTTATCACTATATAGTCACGATTCTGCTTTCCTTCTGTTCAAGGAATAAACTACTCAGAGGTGACATGGTTTGGCCCTGTGTCCTCACCCAAATCTCACCTCGAATTGTAATTCCCACATGTCAAGGGAGGGACCTGGTGGGAGGTGACTGGATCATGGGGGCAGTTTTCTCCATGCTGTTCTTGTGAGTTCTCACGAGATCTGATGGTTTTATAAGTGGCAGTTTCCCCTGCTCTTCTCTCTCCTGCCACCTTGTGAAGAAATTGTCTGCTTCCCCTTCTGCCATGATTGTAAGATTCCTGAGGCCTCCCAAGCCATGTGGAACTATGAGTCAATTAAACCTCTTTCCTTTATAAATTACCCAGTCTCAGGAAAGTTCTTTACAGCAGTGTGAAAACGGACTAATACAGAGGGCATACTGTCCTCTCTGAGTATTTATCTTTTTTGTGTGTGTGGGCCTCTGTGTCTCTTGGTTGCTGGTTGCTAGAGCTCCATGGCTGCCACTGTGCAGATGAAGAGGCTATCTGTTCCTGCTCCCACCAACCCATCCTCTTCTGGATCCATGGCTAAGGCAGATGCCTTAAGTTTCTAGAAAACTGCATTCTGGTTATGGCAGAGACTATTGCTTACCAATTCCCCTCTTTCTTAGCAAAAGCAGCCCTAGTTTTCAGCATCTGACTACCCAGAATAAATATTGCATTTCCCAGACTCTTTTGCAATCAGGAGTGAACATGTGACTAAGTTTTAGCAATGAAATGAAGTGGGGCTGGTATTTGTAACTTCCAGCAAGTGTCCTCTAAGATTTGCCTTTCTTAATCTGTCCTTTCTGCTGGTTGGAAGGTGAATATGATGGCTGGAGCTCTTGTAGTCACATTAAACCATGAGGTAGCTCACCATGGATGACAGAGCAGCAAAATGCAAGAAGCCTAGGTCCTTGGCAATTGTGGACAAACCACACAGCCCTAGAGTTCCTAACTATGAATACTTTTATGTGACACCTTGTTTAAGCCTCTGTTATTTGGGGCTTTTCTCTATCTCACACAGCCATACTTCATCCTAAAATACCAGGTAACTGGGGTTTTACTAGAACTGGAAAGAATCTAGGATTCAGAGTCTCAGGTTGAAGGGACCCTCAAGAGAGGAAACCTTTCAGTTGTCAAAAACAAAGGTAACATGTAGAACAGAGTGGAAGGTAGAGCCAATGGAAGCCCAGGAGTACCTGGCCAGAGATATGCTTGAGGACTCTGCTACTCCAAGCACAGTCCCTGCATCGGCAGTATTGGGATCTCCTGGGAGTTTGTTAAAAAGGCAGAATCTCAGGCCCCACCCCAGACTTAATGAATCAGAACCTTCATTTTAACAAGTTCCCCAGGTGATTCATATGCACATTGAAGTGTAAGAAGCACTGCTTTAGAGGGGCTTTAATATCATATAGAAACACAAGTCAAAGCCACAGTTCCTATTCATCACAGAGAACTGGATCTACGCAGAAATTTTGGAAAGAATGATGCCATTAGAAAAACTCTTTCCATACTCAAAGTTATAGCAGAGAAGCTGGCTGACCACCCCAAGGTGTGGGTAGGGGGGAAAAGAAAGAGAGCTAATGAAATAAATTAGAGGACCTAGTTTGCATATGCTAGTATAAAACCCAAATTCTCATGCTTTTTACCAGGAATAGAAGCCCACAGCCTAAATCTAAAGAAAAATTGGTCTACGGTACAGTAATATGCACCTGTAGTCCCAGCTACTTGGGAGACTGAGACAGGAGGATCACTTAAGCCCAGGAGTTTGAGGCTAGCCTGGGCATCATAATGAGATCCCATCTCTTTTTTAAGATGGTCTAGAAAAGAGACTTTTATAATGCAGAATCTACAGCAGAGGGAGGCCTCATGTCCTGGAGAATATACAGGACTCCACATAAGATAATTCCCACTGAGGA
This sequence comes from Homo sapiens, assembly GCF_000001405.40. Lineage (NCBI taxonomy): Eukaryota > Metazoa > Chordata > Mammalia > Primates > Hominidae > Homo > Homo sapiens. Next base: position 41,916,325 of record NC_000002.12, read on the forward strand.
TGAGACAGAAGTTACAAAGCACATAAGGACATGATACTGCTAATGTCAGCAAATGTTACAAATGGGAGAATTCATTCCTAAGGAATCGCCAATAATTGAGAATTCTGAAAAGGAACTTAAAATCAGTATGTCTAAAATGTTCTAAAATTAGAAGACCATAATCTATATTGCAAGCACGGAACATTATAATAAAAGCTGGTTTGCAAAAGAACTAAAATCAAGTTGTAAAAATAAAAAACATGATTATCCAATTTTTTTTAAATCCTCAACAGGCTGTTTAAATAGCCTAATGATACAGAAGTGGAGAAAAATGGTGACTTGAAAAACAGATCTGAGAAAATCATCTAGAACACAGCAAAAAGATAGTAAAGACTTTTTTAATGAGAAAGAAATTGAAAAACATGAACTATTTTTTTTGAGATGAAGTCTCACTCTTGTCCCCCAGGCTAGAGGGCAGTGGCACGATCTCAGCTCACTACAACCTCCACCTCCCGGGTTCAAGCGATTCTCCGGCCACAGCCTCTAGTAGCTGGGATTACAGGTGCCTGCCACCACGCCCAGTTAATTTTTGTATTATTAGTAGAGACGGGGGTTTCACCATGTTGGCCAGGCTGGTCTCGAACTCCTGACCTCAGGCTATCCACCCGCCTCGGCTTCCCAAAGTGCTGGGATTACAGGCGTGAGCCACCGCTTCTGGCAAAGAACATGTTTTAATAGCCCTGTATCTGTCAATAAGTGCTACAGAGAGACAAAGGAGAATAAGGGTGAGAGGAAATATTTGAAGAGAAGATGGCTAAGAATTTTCCAGATTTGAGAAAAGCTGATGGGCCTTGAGTTGAAAAAGCATATGGAATAAGTAAAAACAAACACACATTTAGACACATGAATGTGAAACCACAAAACATCAAGGAAAAAGATAATAGTTTTAGGCTAGGCATGGTGGCTCACACCTGTAATCTTTGCACTTTGGGAGGCCAAGGCAGGTGGATCACCTGAGGTCAGGAGGAGTTCGAGACCAGCCTAGCCAACATGATGAAACCCAATCACTACTAAAAAATACAAAAAATTAGCCAGGCGTAGTGGCGGATGCCTGTAATCCCAGCTACTCCAGAGGCTGAGGCAGGAGAATCACTTTAACCCAGGAGACAGAGGCAGGAGAATCACTTTAACCCGGGAGGCTGAGGCAGGAGAATTGCTTTAACCCAGGAGGCGGAGGTTGCAGTGAGTCGAGATCGTGTTACCGCACTCCAGCCTGGGCAACAAGTGCAAAACTCTATCTCAAAAAAATAAATAAATAAAACAAAAGACAAAACAAAATAAATAAAAAATAATAATAGTTTTAAAGATACTAGAGAGTAAAGACAGGTTATCTTCAAAGAAATATCAGATTGAAGTAGCCTTTTTATTGGCATCAACAGCTGCTAAAAGATGATGGAATAATATCTTAAAAGTGCTAGCGAAGGAAGAAGTCAATCTGTTGTTCTATCTTCAGCTGGCCCACAGCTGAGACCGCAGACAAAGGAAAGATAATTTCAGAAAAAGATTAAGAGTTAATTAAACACAGATCTTCACTGAAATAACAACTAAAGGATTACTTCAGAAAAAAGAAGATAGAGACAGGAATGCAAGATGCAATTGTGTACCAAGAAAAGTATAAATACTTTGTTAAATCTAAACAGGTACAGATTCTAGAAAATAATGATAAACAGTGGGTAAAACCATGGTAGAACTAAATATTAGACTGTGGTAACACGAAAGATAGAAGCAAAAGTCAAAGCATTCTAAATTCTATATCTCGTTTAGGAAGAGAATAGAAATATCAATTAATTTAAAATTTGTTCGAAAAATATGGCTATTAAAAATGCTAGAGAAACTACAAAAACAATAGAAATACCATGTATAACTTCCACAGTGGAAGAGTCAAGGGAAGAAATATAAAATCTCGACATGGATACATAGTCATAGGGTGAATGTAAAAATCATGGACTGAAGGGACACACGTCAAAATCATGACAGAGGTTGCCTCCAGTCAGGCTTGGAAAGCAGTTCAATGAAGATTTCAGCATTATTAATAGTGGTTTCATTGGAAAACATAATCTAAGGCAAACAATCAAAGCAAAATGTTAACATTTATTTATACCTAGCAGTGAGATACTACTGTTTTTTCTATATCTTTCTATAAGTTAAATTTCTTTTTCAATTAAAAAGTTTTTAAAGGAAAGGGATACCAATCCAAAAGGATTTTGTGTTTGGTAAAGAGGTGATGGAGGAGGGAGTAGAGAGCTGGCCTCTGCTCCATCACCCCTGCTGTGCTGGAAGGGCGATGGCCAGTGGGAAGCATCTAGATGTCACAGGGAGAGGACAGGCTTGAAGAGCAGCCTGCTGATAGAAGACTCCCAGGCCCCATGCCTACCATGCCTCGGTCTTTGCATCCGGTTGCTTTTATACAGAGCTCTAACCATGTGGATAGAACTTTCTACAACAGCTTGTGCTCACCCTACATGAAACCATCCAGTCTCACAAGGCTCCTTGAAGGCACTTGCCTCAGACACCTGCAGGTGGCATTCAGGGACCCCCAAGAGCACACGCCAGTGTGGCAAACTCATTAGAGGCAAGGATTTGTTGGTATAGATGGAGGATGGTGTTGGAGAAAGGGGCCTATGCTATGTGCCATACATCTTTTCTATAAAGTATCTCGTCTGATATGAGCCTCAAAAACAGCTCTTTAAGATGAGTATTATTGTCTTCACAGAGATTACTACTTTTCCTGTGGCCACTCACCTGGTAAATTGCAAAGTTGGACCTGCCACACAAGAAAAAGGCAGTTATCTCTTGAAGAGGGCAGAGGACAGCCCTCATCCCCACCCCATCTCCTCTAAGGCCCCCAACACCACTGTTAGACCTTGCCCATCTTCCCTCCACCCCCCAAACCTCTGCCCTCTACCCTTGTCACTGAGACACCCCCTGCCACTCAAGGCCACGGAGCCTGCAGGCCCAAGTCTTCAAGGTTGGGTTGCACAACTCTGCCCAGGGTAAGGCCACCGGCCCTTCACCAGCTGCGTTCACCTGCAGCCACCAAGCTGCCAGAGTTAACTTGCAATTTACCCAGCCTAGGAGTACAGTGTAAAATGCAAGGCAAGGGGGTCCCCACATTTATCTCCACAATGTGAAAAGAAGTATCAAAAGATGAAGAGATAAGAACTAACATTTGTGGAATGTATGCTTTGTGCATTGTATGGGCTGCTTCGCATATATTTTCTCATTTAATTTTCCCAACAAGGCACAAATATCATTAGCTGCACTTTAGATGTGGAAGGGAGAGAAAGTGCCTTCTCTGAACGTATGAGTTGTTTCTCTTATGGAAAAAGATTGAGGGATAGACCCCCAGGATCCTAAACACATGACTCCTACCCTCCTTATAGCTACCCCCAAAAAGTTCTCCAAGGTTATAAAATGCCCCAGGATGATGACAACAATAACAGTAACAACAACATAACAGTAAATATTTAGTGAGCGCTGAACATGTACCATTCATTATACCATGCCTATAAACACAATGATAACCCCCATTTCACAGAAAAAAAAAACTGGAGATTTATAGGGGTTATGAAATTTTCCCAAATTGAAGCCCATAGAATGACAGAGTTGAAACTGCAACCTACGTAATTTGACTTTAGAACCCAAAAGTGTGACCACCAGATTAATTAGGGTTGGATCCCATGTGACAGAAAAACCTAACAGTGACTTAAATAAGACAGAAGTTTCTTTCTTTCTGAATTAAAATAATGCTAGAAGCTGATGATCTAGGGCTATTTGGCAGTTTCTCAATCCTCTGGATCCAGCTTATCACTCTGTCTAATGTATGTACCTCATCCTCCTGTTCTAAGATGGATGCTAGAGTACCAGCCATCACAACTGCATTAGCAAGATAGAGAAAAAGACAAGTGATCAAACATTACCTGTCTTCTAAGGAGGTTCCCTAAAAACCACCAGTGCTAGGCAAAGAAAAACTTTATTCTAGCTGGGCCTTTGTCCCCACACTCTTATCTCGGTGAGCTGGGCTCGACCAAGTATGAACCCAGGACAGACAGGCCTCAGGCCTAGATTAGGACAAAACAGGCCAATGATCTCACTGTCCCCTTTCCACGAGACCTATATCTTGCCACAGATGCAACAAGGGAAAATAAACAAGTTTCTAGAAGGGATGGGAAACAGAGAGGAAATGGACCTAACTCAGGGGCCCAGCAAACATCTCCTCCCTCTCCCACAGTGTTTTTTGTTTTTGTCTTTTTTTAACAGATGAAGTCTCACTGGGTTGCCCAGGCTGGCCTCGAACTCTTGGGCCCAAGGAATTCTCCCACCTCAGCTTCCTGAGTAGCTGGGACTACAGGCTTGTGCCACCATGCCCAGCTACCCCCAAGTGTTAAATATGTCTTTTACTAAAGGTGGGAAGACTTTGGGATTTGAACCACGGTTGACTGACCCCAAATCCGATGTTCTTTCCAGTATACCACATCATCTTTTTTTTTTTTTAATCAACATTATCCTCCAGTAGTTATTCAAATAAATACAGGGGCCCATGAGGTCAAGTGGCACAGATGTTTCCAGAGCTAGGGAACTGCTCCCAGGGCCCCTGCCACCCAAGCCAAGAGCCACTCTGCATGGCAATGAGAGCTCATGTCCTGAGTCACTCAGTGATGGAGGGAAGCCTGTAGGACTTGATAGACAAGGATCACTTCACGATGAGTCACATTTGATCCTCACTTGGGCCATGAGAAGAGGGGGACTGCTGAAGTGGGTTTTCTAATTCACTGATGTCTGCATTTTCCTATTAACTATATCCTGTGACAGCACAACAGCCCACAAAATGATGGCAACTTCTTTTTACTCTATAAGGGGCTTGCTTCCTCCTGCCCCAAGATCTTTTCCTGCCAGAGACAGTGAAGCAGGTTGTTTGGACCTCATCACTTGACCTCACGGACATTTGTCCCAGAAAGACATTCGAGCTCACACCTAGTAAAGATGCCCTTCAGGTTTCGTCTTTCCTTCTGTCATTCTACATCATAGCCCCCTACAAAATGTCCTATGGCCAATACGATAATTGGTATGAAAGTCAATTCTTTTTTTTTTTCTGTAATAAAACGTAACTGCTCAATGAATCTTCTCTTCCTATAACATTTACACAAAGCTGAGTTGATTCAGGTAGAAATAATTCCAATAAAATGAAAATGGGAAAAAAAAAAGAAATGTTCTAATGGTATCATTAGAACAACATTAGAAGAAGTAAAAAGCACACTGGTCCCTTTAGAGGAGGCAAAACTTATCCTAGCACTTACCTCTAAAGGAAGTTTCTCACATGGAAGTTCCATGTTCACCTCTAGTGCTTTCGAGTCACCAGCTTCTTTGTGAATGTGATAAAATCTGTTAACCCATTCCCCAGAAAAAAGCACACACAACAATCCAACTACATTTTTCAATTTCTAGAAATTCACAGGCTCCAGAAACCCATCCATAAATCCCAAGTTAAGAATCCCAATCTAGATTACGTGTATGAGAGGTACACTTGCCTCAAACCGTTTCCAGGTGAGAAGGAGGCAGAGAAGGGACTAAGGACTGATGGGGAACAACGTTGGCAGGAATTCCTGAGAAGTGTCTGTGTTGAAATGGGAGCCATCATATGCCTTTAAGCCTTGCCAAACATTCACAATTAGAAATGTATAAACTCTTTCAATGTTTAGTTCTCTCCCTCCTCTGCTTTTTAAATTAAAGACCTATTTTAATATAGCGAACTAATACCAAGGGCTGGTGACAAAGGGAACTTTACCTTGACGCCGATTATTCTTACAGGCTTAGAGTTGGGGTATGAACCACCAAGAAAGCGAGCCTAGAAGTACTGGGCTGCAGGCAAGATGACAAAGACTGAGAATCAAAGCACTCTAATCCTCTGAGTTCATGAACCCCTGGTACGAGGAATGAGAAGGTGCTTGGCTATCAGACAGACATGCATGTGGATATCACTTACTGCCTCCATGATTTCAGCAAGTCATTCCATCTAAGTCATGTGCTCAGTGTCTGGCACATTGTAGATACCAAATAAACAAGGGTTCCCTTAGAGAATTGACACGCCTACTGATGCAATTACCTCAGTGCCCCGGGGCGATAAGGAGGCAGAATGCCCATCCTTGGGGTTCTCAAGGGTGTGCTTTGAGATTCATTAGATGCAGGGGGTTGGGGGGCAAGGTAGAAATCTCAGACTCACTCATAAAGACACAGAACCCAGCAGCACAGCTGAGAACCGCTCTCTGAGGAGAAATTCAAGGCTGAAATGGAGGCAGTGCTTTTGTGGAAAAGGGTGAAAGAAAAGATTTTTAAATAGCCATCAAAGATGGAACAGACAGCACCAAAGACAAGGCATGGTGCCTGGGGAAGGGTTAGAGGTGATGCTGCTATTGACATTTCGACCAAAGAACAATTCCTGAGTCCCATCTCCACTGCCAGGAGTCAAACCAAGTTCTGCCTGGGGGTTCTAGAGACCTCTTCAACCCACCCTTCCTCATGCCCGGTCTCACCATCCAGAAGCAGCGGTAGCTGGCTCTGCCTACCCTCAAGGATAGCAACTACCACCCAAAGTGAAATAGGTCAGCCCAGCCTTTTCCCCATATGAAATTATTTCCAGAAAGAAAAATCTGCCAAGAGACAAGTGCTGCCAAAAGTAGGGAGAAGAGATGGTGTGTTGGAGCCACATGGGACACTTCTGACACTGCCCATACCCAAAAGATAACAGAGGAATCATATGCATGAGGAAGGGACATCTTCCTTCACAGTCTCCATCCCCAGACATTTATTTGGAGAGAGCATGTCTCTGTCCTCTAGAACCGAAAGGTGCTGTACTGGTCTTGCCGGTCTTCCTGAGAGGAGCCACGCAGAGACAAGCCTCTCCCCAGTTCCACCCCTCCTCCTTTGGGCACCCCTTCTCCCCACACATCAAATTAGCCTGAGAGACCAATCCAGAATACAAGGAAAGGAATGCAGGCAGGGAATCTCAGAGCCTCTCCCCGCCGAGCTTATCTCCCTTCTCCGCCACCCGCCATCTCAGGCTTGCTCCCCCTTGGTGGAGTTCAAGGCAGGCTTATTTCCTCCAAGGTTGTCACAGACCAATTTTCTAAACTGCATGAAAACAGAAAACAAACAGAAAACCAAACCTACCAAAGCTCAAGTCTCAAGAACAGCTTGGCAGGCCTGAGCAACGTGCTAACAATTTCATGCTGTTTTAAGAGTTTCTAACTAAGCAACGTGTACCAATAACCAGATGTGCCCCAACACTGGAAGAGGAGAACATGGGCTTCTAGGGACAGAGATTTAGAAAACAGGAAAATACTCATCAAGAAACACAGCTTCCAAGCATGCTGGGCCTGGGGTTAGAAGGGAGGCTGTCTCCATTGGCCTGGACATGCCAAACTCACACTCATTCAGTTAAGTTGCAGATATTTTGATCAATGCCTGCTTTGTGCAAGTCACTATGCTGGGTACTTGGGATACCAAATAGATGCTCAGAGCCTGTGCAGGACAAAGTCAAGGGAATAAATATAATCACAACACAATGTTATGCTCTGAAATGGAGAAGAGAAGCCCAGGAGAAAAGGGCTGATTCAGGGTGCTTCTTAGAGAAAATTTGATTTCATTTCTTTCAATATATACATGGAACACTTATTATATGCTTAGGATACAGAAGGGAAAAGTCAGGCATAATTCCATCTAATAGGGAAAGCAGTAGTCATCAAATAAGTGAATAAGAACTGCAGACTGTGCTTGCAGCTGGTGACTTGAGTATTTACTCAGCACCCACTGCATGCAGGCCACTGGAGCTGGGCTCAGCATAAATGCTCACCAGCCAAGAGCCATACAACGTCTGAAGAAAGCCAGACCCACCTCTTGTTTACAGGCATATTATGGCTTGTGAATGGGTCTAAATTTCCCCATGAGATGAATCATCTCCAGGTCTCTGTCACCAGGGCCCCCACCCAACTCTGAGATGACCACCGACCACTGAGGCCGGCAGAGGCCAGAGCCCTGGGCTGTAAGCTGCCCCGTGGGACCGTCCCCCATAGAGTGGGGTGAGGGGTAACCCAGGACAGAAGGGTCCTTTAGACTTATATCCCATTAGTTTATCTTACCACCTGCTTGCAGTACACAACAATATTTTTTAAAGCCTTGAAATTATTGTGAAGTAACATTCATATTGCATTTGAGGTTTAAACTTGTTAACTTGATAAATATAAACATGTAAGTTATAACACAATTTTGTAATGTAACACTCTATTTTGGCAATTCTTCTTTTTTTAAATATACTTGGAAGTAAAAAATAAAAAGTAGCTAGCCTGGGTTGGCCTCTCCTGGCCTGAGAGGTCGCTCCAAGTCAGGAGTCCTCCTATGCCTCAGGAAGTCCCTGGTTCCTAGCAAAAAGTCCATTAGCTCAGGCTTAATGCTATCCTAAAGCCAGTGGCCTTCTTTATGAGGGCTGTTTTTGTCACCTGTTAACTTGTTTATTGCACCAGTAGTAGAGTGGGGAGGGGAGGATGGGCATGAAGGTCACAAGTAGGTGGCAATTGCACACCTCAGGCCTGAGCCTCTCCTTGGTCATTATTTTCCCAGAATGACCTCTGGGTGGATAGAGGCTGAGGGTACAAAGCCCTCCTTGAACTAACACATGACAAGCCAGCACAAAAGAACTGCAAACAGGCCCCTAATTAATGGGTTTGCTTAGAGCTGTTTCCCTGTTTAGGGACTTCATCCCAATAATTGCAGGCTCCATAATCATTAATCAGTCACCACTACTTTTCTGGGTGCCGACCACAAGCCCAGCCCTGTTCCAACAACCATGAGGAGACAAGAGCAGAGAACAGGAACTCAGATTTATTAAGTGCCTGCCCTACGCTAGGCACTGTGCCAGGGGCTTAGTTTGCATAAGCTCGTAAATCCTCACAATGATCTGGAGAGGAAAGCATTATTATCCCCCTTGTACAGATGAGGAAACTGAGTCTCAAAAAAATTAACTAGCTCAAAGTCATCAGCTTGTAAGTGAGAAGCACAGTTTGAACCTGGGTCAGGCCAACTCACAAGACTTGGTTCTTGCACTCTGGAAGGTAAGAGACTAACTGTATTAGTCTGTTCTCATCCTGTTATAAAGAACTGCCCAAGACTGGGTAATTTATAAAGGAAGAAGTCTAATTGAGTCACAGTTCCACTGGGCTGGGAGGCCTCAGGAAACTTACAAACATGGCAGAAGAGGAAGCAAACATGTCCTCCTTCACATGGCGGCAGGAAGGAGAAGTGCCAAAGCAAAGGGGGAAAAGCCCCTTATAAAACCATCAGATCTCGTGAGAACTCATTATCCTGAGAACAGCATGGGGGTAACCACCCCCATTATTTAATTACCTCCCACTGGGTCCCTCCCATAACATGTGGGGATAATGGGAGCTACAATTCAAGATGAGATTTGGGTGGGGACACAGCCAAACCATATCACTGTTCAAAAATGACACAAAGGGACAACAGCTCAAGCCGGGTTGTGCAAGCACACTCTCTGGACCACAGGAGCCTAGAGAGGGCAGGGGACAACAGGGCTGAGGTCCCAAGAGAAGACTTCTCAAAGGAAAGGCAGCACACACTAGGCTCTGAACGGTGGAGAGGATGGCACACATTTAATAAACTGTGCTCAGCACTTTCTCCAACCACTAAGTTCAGGTTTGGAAATGACTGTGGAATTTGTGCCTCACTTGGGGCCAATAAACATTTAGTAAAATGTCCAAGGAGGACATGTAGAGACACACACACACACACACACACACACACACACACACACACACACACACGCAGATCCACCTCGGCAGCTCCAGATAGCGCCTGGAACTGGCACAATGAGAAAGGACTTCAGCAGGCAGCAAGTTACTGGCATCAGACACCAGCAGGGATTAGGGCGAGGGCCAAACTGAGAGGAGGAGATGTGGAGCCAGCGGGTCCTGTGACCACCCTGGACCTGGAAGGCTGGCAGCTCCCTGGGAAAGTCTCATCCAAGTGCCCAATTTAGACCTTGCCCCAGAACTTGAGAAATGCCAGGTAAGAGGAAAGGAGCCAGGAAATGATGATGAAGAGCAGGGACTTAACGAGAACTGGACCCTCTCTCCTTTCCCAGTCATTCCAGCCACACCCCCAGCTCTGAGCTCCCACTTCTCGACCCCCTAAACACACACTAGTTGGGTATTCAGACCCCTCAGCTTCACGGGAAGTAATGCATACATCACAATCCTGTCAGGATTCACCTATCAGTCTCTCCTGGGTGCTGGCTCTGTCCACATGAATGTCTCCACCAGGCAGAGACTCAGGGCCCTCAGGCCAAGCTTGGGCCTGGTTAGAGGTAAACATATGAGAGCCAGCCAAGATCTGGCCAAAGGGGCTCATGCCAGCCCAGCCCCAACTGCGGTATATGTGCCGGCCTGGAGGAATCCCACAGGACAAGCTGTTCTTTCCTAGAGCTGGGATAAGGAAGTGAGCCTGACCCCAGGGGTCACCCAAGCCCATCTTCCATGACTCACAGGGCCTAACACATTGTCTGTATGACAGTCCACAGCACATTGACTTTGCCAATAGGCTGTGACTCTGGATTAGGTTCCAGAGTGAACTGCTGGCCTGGAGGCCCAAGTCAGCTCTTTTTCACCAGTGAGGCCGCCCAGCCTTCTGGAAAAGAGCATTGTGGTCCTGGAGAAAAGGCATGGAGGTCTGGGCCCTGGCTGAGAACCTACAAGCTAAACCCCAAAGAGTCAGCAAGGCCCAGACCCATTACCAGTCAGGATGCCTCACCTGGAGACCCATCTCTCACTCAGATGCCCCAGCCCTAAGCAAAATCTGCATGAGAACCAACCCTCTTGGACTAGGGGACCCTGCAAATAAGAGTCGAGGAGGCCTGTCCTGTCCTGGAGCTGTCCCTGCCTTCACCTGGCTTCTCTCCCAATCTTCCACAGAGCCTCTCACTGTTCCTGACCTAAATGAAGTGGCCAGAGAGGCAAAAGGCCCATTTATCATTTTAATTAACCACCAGATACCGACGTTCTCTGGAGAGCCCTCCCACACCACATCTAGGCTGCCTGTGGGAGAAGATGTTCTGGAAAGACCATCAGGAAGGAGGCACGGGAAGACAGAAAACAGAGAAGGAGACAGAAGAGCCTGGATTTCCCGAGCTAGAATCCCAGAAGGAACACAAAAACCAAGTCTGTGACCTTCATTTAAACGGCAGCACTGTATTATTCTGGGAAGACGGTAGTGTCAGGAGGGAAGTGGGGAGGACTTCCAACAGTAGATATTCTAAGTGAGAGCTCCCCTGGGAGGCCTGCCAGCTCTCCCAAGCCTCACCATGCCTGCGGGGCCTGACCAGCAGAGGAGCCTCACGAAGGGGTCACTCACCCTCTAGAACATCCAGAGAAAATTGGCCATGGCTCCAGAACCTGGCCCAGCCCATTTTCCAGCCTTCACGTGCCCTCCTGAGCTTTTCTTAAGGCTAATTGGTTCGGATACTGCTTCAGGACACACAAGCACCAGCTTAGACCTTTAGAAGGATAGGCTGGAGGGACAAGCCAAGGGTACCCTTCCTGATCATCCTGCGTCTGGCTGCACATCCCCAGCTAAGTAACCAGCAGTGGTGACCTCTCCCTCCCTCCTTCTCTCATCTTGCACTTCTCTCTGGCTGCAGCTGTGCATCTCTTGCTGGCAGCTGGCTCTTCCCCACTCTCTGCCTCCCTTTCTCCAAGCCCCTTCACACTCTGAAGCCTGTGAACCCAGAAAATCTGAGACAGGTCTCAGTTAATTTAGAAAGTTTATTTTGCCAAGGTTGAGGACGCGCCTGTGACACAGCCTCAGAAGTCCTGACGACATGTGCCCAAGGTGATCAGGGCACAGCCGGGTTTTATACATTTTAGGGAGGCATGAGACAGCAATCGACATATGTAAGAAGTACATTGGTTTGGTCTGGAAAGGCGGGACAACTAGAAGCAAAGGCTGGAAGACTCTTCCAGGTCACAGATAGGTGATACACAAATGGTTACATTCTTTTGAGTTTCTGATTAGCCTTTCCAAAGTAGGCAAATCAGATATGCATCTATCTCAGTGAGCAGAGGAGTGACTTTGAATAGAATGGGAGGCAGGTTTGCCCTAAGCAGTTTCCAGCTTGAGTTTTCCTCAGTGATTCTGGGGGCCCAAGATATTTTCCTTTCACAAGCCAGCAGGGAATGAGCTGTTCTGAGTTGAACAGAACGGGAAACTGCACTTTTGACTCTGAATGTATTTCAATGGAGCAGCCTCTGCTGAAAGCCGGGCTCAGACACTGAACAGCCGCTTCAGGGAGATGCAATGGTTGCAACTTGTGAACCGTGCTTTCCTTTCCACCGCCTTTTCTCTACATTTGTCTGATTCACCAGCAGCTCAACACGTTGCCTCCAGCCCAATTCCCTCTGAAGAAAGTATGCAGATGATTCATCTTCTCTGAAAAAACTACCCATCCCAGGGTAGTGCCCAGCCTCCTTTCTCTTGGGCATATACAGCCTAAATTCCCCGGCATCCCAGGGTAGTGCCAGCCTCCTTTCTCTTGGACATATACAGCCTAAACTCGGCAAGCAACAACAGGAGAGGAGGGTATTCTAGAGGAACTCCCAGAAACCACCTCATCACCAAGGACTGCAGGTGAGCCCGGCAGAGTGAAGTTCAAGGACATTGTCCATAGGCACGGAGTCACACACGTGCACACACACTGGGGCTAGTTTGGGGACCCTGAGCAACACCTGTAGAACACAGGTGAAGTCCATGGGTAGCTATTAGAATCCTGTTCTCAGCAGGGCACGGTGGCTCACACCTGTAATCCCAGCACTTTGGGAAGCCAAGGCAGGCAGATCACCTGAGGTCAGGAGTTCAAGACCAGCCTGGCCAACATGGCAAAACCCCGTCTCTACTAAAAATACAAAAAATTAGTCAGGCGTGGTGGCAGGCACCTGTAATCCTAGCTACTCGGGAGGCTTAGGCAAGAGAATCACTTGAACTCAGGAGGCAGAAGTTGCAGTGAGCCAAGATCACAACAGTACACTCCAGCCTGGGCGACAGAGCGAGACTCCGTTTCAAAAAAAAAAAAATCCTGTTAGAATCCTGTTCCCTGTTCTACCTGGGAACAGGACTCTAACAATCACCCATAGACATAACATCACCCCAAGACGGCAAGAGCCAGCTCAAGGCCTGGAGAAAGCCCCACTCACAGGGCAGATTTTTTAACACTGAGAATTTAGGGTTGTGTATGGAAGAGGGTTGTCAGATAAAATACAGGATACCAGGATAAAACTGAATTTCAGATAAACAAATAATTTTTCTAGAATAAGTACGTCTCAAATATTACATGAGTCATACTTATGCTAAAAATTATTTACCTGAAATTTGAATGTAACTGGGTGCTATGGGTTTTTATTTGCTAAATCCAGCAATTCTATAACTACTCGACTCCACAGTCATGTTAGAAATGATGACAGTATCACAGAGTAAATAGAACAAGAAAATTGCAATCAGCTCACCTTTTGCTTATCCCTCGGGGTCTTTCTCTGGGTCCCGGTGCACCCAAATTCTCCACCATAACCTCTCTTGCCTCCATCCCACCTGACCCCTTAGCTGCTCAGAGATCCTGTGGCCCCAGGTGTAGGCCAGTGCTTTTATCTCTTAACTCAGCTGCATTGAGGTTGAATTTTTCAAAAGGAACTTTATTAGAAAACTAGAGGAGCATATAAATATCTGAATTCATAAAAAAAAAAAAAAAGAATCGTAGTTATCACATGTAAGGAGATCAAATATCAAAGCCCTGGAAACTAAGTCTAGCCATGGCCTGCTCATTCTTTTTCTCCAACTGTTACTGGATCCACTGACTTGCAGTGAGGGTTTTTAAGCTGGTTGTACCTTCAGTGAAGCTGAACCAACATTCTGGAAGGGAGGCTCCACTGGCTGCATATTACAATCACCTAGGAATCGTTTTGCCGCCTATCCTAGACCAATTAAATCAGAATTTCTGAGAGTAGGGTTTGGGCATTGGGAGATTTAAAAGCTCCCCAGGTGATTCTAATATGTATCCACGGCTGAGAACTCATGCACGTTGGAATCACCTGAAAACCTATTAAAAAGCTGCTTGTCTCCCACCCTCAGAAATTCGGATTTAATTGGTATGAGGTGTGGCCTGAGCATTGGGATTTTTAAAAGCTCTCCAGATGATTTTAATGTGCAGTCAAGTTTGAAAACCCCAGCTACGCACACTTTAATAGAGTCCAAATCTCCTGGGGATTTTTAAACTGGAGATGCTGGGGTGGGGCCTGAGATTCTACGTGTCTAACAATTCTCACAAGTCCCAGGTGATACGATGCTGCTGGTCTTCATACAACGCTTTGATTAGTAAGGTCCTAGATCAATGGGTCTCAAGACGGGATAGACAGTGGAATTACCCGGGGAGCCTTAACAACTACCTCAGCCTGGGTCCCACCCCAGAGATTCTGATGTAATCTGGCTGAGGTGGGGCCTGGACATCAGGATTGTAAGAGCTCCCCAGGTGATTCTGATACGCAGCCAAGGTTGAGAACCTTGGCTGTAGACCAACATCTAGGCGTCATTTCACAAGTGGCCCTGTGACCCCCAGTGGGGAATACCACTCTCCACAAGCCTTTCTGACTCACCTCCGTTCCCTGCCCCAGCTGGCAGAAGATGCTTTCTTCCCCTGCCTCAGAAGGCCATGCCCTCTAGTAAAAATTCCCTTTCTCCCACTCCCGGCTGAAGAAAGACTCTAATTCCCAGCTCGGCTGCAGAAGAGAGATGATTGCCACAATACCCTGAAAGCGTTTCTGATCAGGCCTGCCCACTTGGCCTTCCTCAACTTTACCTCTGATTACCAACTGTTCCCCCTGCTCAAGTGGCCTTCTCTAAGGCTGCCTCTGCCAGAGGAGCCACGTAAGGCCACCTCTGCCAGAGGAGCCGTGGGCCACAGAGAAGTACACGTCACCTGCCAGTCAGTCACAAGCAAAGAAGAGAAGTTCCGTGCTTTGACAGAACACTATCAATCACAGGTGCCGAGCCGTTTTCATTACTTAGCCGTTCCCAGGCCAGTTAACATACAACCTCTCCCCTCTCCTACCTCACCCCTTTAAAATGGAGTTGTGGTGACGCATGAAACAAGAAGTGGCCTGCAGAGAACCAAAAGGAAAACGTGAAATTGAGGAAATTATGACTCTATTTTGGGTGTAATTTCCATGAAATTATTTATGAATCTTTTTTTCCCTAAGGGGTGGCCATAAATATCATCTTTAATGCATCTTCATTAGTAGCTTTCATCTTCTGATGGGCCTGCATCTTTTGTTGGAAGTTGGATGTTGTTGGTAGAAATGTTAAGTCCACATCTTAGGTGTACGGAGTTTGTATAAAATATGAACTCTAATGTGTAGAATTTGCAGGTCGCTGAAGTGTCACAGTCTGCTGAAATGGGTCTGGAATCAATAAGGTACACATCAAACTCAATTGTATTTAATTTTCATTGCTACCTAGAGGAAAGCCTTGCATGGCCCTACAAGCATGAAATTAAACATGAAAGCCCATCTGAAGTGTAGAAGCGATACTTAAAATGACCTGTAAATAGAGCAAAACATGGCAGCCCGGCCCATCGCAATATTATCATTCATTTCTCTTTCCATAGTGGAGGTGACAGCCCCCCTAAGAAAATCAGAAGAGACACGAGCACATTGCAGATCTAAAGGAGAGCTAAGTGTTTTCGGTTACACACCAGCAGGGCTTCCCTCTCTGCAGAGCCCTGGAGTCTCTTCCAAGTAGAAAATCACACTCTGTCCTTCAGCCTGAGAGTGAAGAGAGAAGGCAAGTAAAACAAGGACCTCCTGAACTTGGCCAACACCCCACTCCTGCTGCCTCCCACCCCACCCAGCTCCGTTCCTTGGCCAGTGAGATAATGGAAGGTTCAGCCCTTGCAGCTGACGTGGGGTGGGGAGCAGACGCCCACTCTGGGCACTTCCAGCCGACACTGACCTTTCAGTCATGGAAACATTCCCCAGACTGACACTAATCGGGGGCACATCTGGCGTTTGGACTGCATCCAGATGGGGGTTTGTGTTAGTCGAGTCAGCATGATAACCCGCTGGGGAGGGAGGGAGGGAGGGGAGAGGACACAGCAGCTGAGAGCAATCCCCATCCTTGGCTGCGTGAGGGAGAGGTGGTCATGCTGCGGCCAGTGAGTCATAGACTAGAGACCACCTAATTCCTGTCCACCCCTGCTCTCCCTGCTCCCTCCAACAGAGGACAAACTGGATCCACCCAGAGAGCCAACTCGCCAGAGTTCCACAACTGGTCAGCAGCAGACTACAATCTCAGTGTCCCGGCTCCCATTCTATCGCACTGCCCACTTTCTACACTCTCTCAAAGTGTAGTGTGTTATTTCAGGATAAAATATGTGCCAAGGTGATGAAAAGAATCCAGCTGTTTCTTCTCTTTCACTTCCTGTGATTTGTAAAAGCATAAGACGATTTTCCAAGACAGTGACAAACCACCATCGCTCACACCCATTCCACCCACCCCAATTCTTTCATCGTAGCTTCTTTTCTGGATTTGGAAGAAGAGACCGCCCTTTGTGACTGGTTCATGGACTTTGTCAGAAATCAACACAATGTCTTATTCTCCCATCCCTAGAACAAGCGACTGCAATTGGGAATAAGACTTCATAGTATAGAAGTTCCAGCCATACAGGTCAGGAATGACAAAGTGTCTTGGCCAGCTCTCAGCCTCTGCCTTTACAAAGTCTGACACCTGTTGCAGTCACGAATTGCACTGCTAAAGAGGTAATCAAGCAAACCAAAGCCAGGATAAAAGGGATTATGTCTCCACTCACCCACACAGAAGGCTGTCTCCAACTGCAGAAGGAAGTTCTTTCCATGGCCGCTGGAGCACCCTCCCCACTTGTGGGCACCATGGTTCAAGTCTGCCCCAGTGATCCTCTCCTGTATAAACCTCCAGGTACAGATTATGGAAATCAGGAATCTCATCCAGCTGCTCA
This sequence comes from Homo sapiens, assembly GCF_000001405.40. Lineage (NCBI taxonomy): Eukaryota > Metazoa > Chordata > Mammalia > Primates > Hominidae > Homo > Homo sapiens. The sequence goes on from NC_000002.12 coordinate 41,933,441, forward strand.
AATAACAAAGAGGTTAGCAGTATCTTCTAGTATGAATAATTGTAACTGCAGAGATCTGTTCAGCCTTTATCCTTTCTTAAAAACCTAAAGAGAAACAAGGAAGCAACCCAGGTAAAAGCAAGACAATGGTCAATGGTCAGCTTCCCAAGGCAGGTTTCAGCTTCCACATTAACTAATCAGCTTGCAGAGCTTGCAGCACCTTCTACATCCAGCCTCCATACAAAGGACAACTATCATCCACCAACCAATTTAGTCCTCTTCTGGAAGAATCAGAAAGAAAAAATGTCTTCACTCCACTTCTCCTACCCTCCTCAAGATCACCTCCCTCCCCAAAGCCCTCGCTTCTGTGGTCCTCTCTAAGAAATATGCTTTATCCACTCCGACGGGCACAACAGTAGTAACTGAGACAGGAGAATGACCCTCTTCCTTGCTTTAGGGAAGTTATCAGTTCCACCCTCCTTGGGAAGCTCTGTGATCTCTGAGAAGAAGCTCACAGACACCATCACTCTACCTAAGCCAGTTAGGGTCTCTGCTCGTGCCAGCCCCTTTTTTCCCCACCAATGAGTTGGTACAAAGCCATTTCATGTTCCATGCCAAACCAGTAATTCGCAATACTCATCAAAATCTGCCTCCGTCCACTGACTCAGCACTCCTGCTTTCCTAGCATAGCCAACCTCCCTAACACCCTGACATCCCGGCCTTCAGTTTCACTATTTACATCACATGAGAGATTTGGGTTTCGAAAGCCAATTCCCTCTGAAGAGAGTATGCAGATGATTCATCTTCTCTGAAAAAACTACCCATTTTTGCCTTGATATCCATGCCAAAAATCTCCTGAGATGGGGCTCAGAGAGGACAGAGTGGGGGAGTCCTGTTACAATAGGAGACCACTGTCTCAGTTTCCAAATGAAAAAGATGACACACTGTTCTTGGGACACTGCTTTGCCAGGGTGTCCTGCAGAAACCAAGGAAGCTTCCATCTCAGAGCCACTGTGGACACAGCCTTGGATCACCGTGGAGCCTCAGACCACACTGACTCCTCCCTGTCTCCGCGTCTAACCCCCTCTCACACTGAGAGATCTGACCCACCACAGACATCCCCTCTGGCCTCCTGAGTGGTTTCTTCAGCACAGCTTCCAGAGCCAAATTAAACGTTCACTCTATGTCTATAGACAAAAAGGGTTTTGACTAAACTCTGTGTTTTAGAGAGGGAGTTAAATGCTGTTAACTTTTTAGGGGTGGGCGAGAGGGATGACAAATAACAACTTGTCTGAATGTTTTACATTTCTCCCCACTGCCTCAAGAAGGTTCACAACGAGGTCATCCATGATAAGGAGTAAGACCTCCCAGCCGGACTGTCCCTCGGCCCCCAGAGGACACTCCACAGAGATATGCTAACTGGACTTGGAGACTGGCTCACACTCCAGAGAAAAGCATGGAGCACGAGCGCACAGAGCAGGGCCAAGGTCCCAGGGACAGAATGTCTAGGAGGGAGATTGGGGTGAGGGTAATCTGATGCAATTACTGTGGCAGCTCAACATTCAAGGGAGGGGGAAGAAAGAAACAGTCCCTGTCAAGTAAGTTGTGCAGCAGAGATGGTAAGCTCCAAAATTTGAAACTTTGGCTGCTGGAAAGTTTTAGGGGGCAGAGATAAGAAGACATAAGAGACTTTGAGGGTTTACTACACACTAGACGCTCTATGCATTTATTTATTTATTATCTCTTATTTATTACTTTGTATAACTCTTATAATAATCTTATGAAAACGGAAACCCTCATATACCCATTTTACAGATGAGAAAAGTGACAATTTTGAGAGCATAGCTAAGAATAGCTAGTAAGTAAAGGAGCTGGGACCTAAACCAAACCCTATCTCACCAGAGTACACACTCTTTTTTTTTTTCCAGTGTAATTTTTTTTAATTTTTATTTTACTTTAAGTTCTGGGATACATGTGCAGAAGGTATGGTTTGTTACATAGGTATATGTGTGCCATAGTGGATTGCTGCACCTATCAACCCGTCATCTAGGTTTAAGCCCCACATGCATTAGCTATTTGTCCTGATGCTCTCCCTCCCCTCCCCACACCAGACAGGCCTTGGTGTGTGATGTTCCCCTCCCTGTGTCCATGTGTTCTCACTGTTCAGCTCCCACTTATGAGTGAGAACGTGTGGTATTTGGTTTTCTGTTCCTGTGTTAGTTTGCTGAGGATGATGGCTTCCAGCTTCATCCATGTCCCTGCAAAGGACACGATCTCATTCCTTCTTAGGGCTGCATAGTATTCCATGGTATATATGTACAATATTTTCTTCATCCAGTCTATCATTGATGGGCATTTGGGTTGGTTCCATGTCTTTGCTATTGTAAATAGGAGTGTACACTCTTGACCACTACACTGGAGCAACAGGCCCTAGAAATAGTGACCATATTCATTAACCAATTAGAAACTAGTATGTGGAGGGTATTGGGAGGAGGCTTAAGACTCTGAAAGATAGTCTGGCTTCATTTTAACCAGGGAATTAATCATCCATTCCATGCAGCATCATTTTCAGAAAAGGCATTCCCTGCTGCTCACCCTAAGTGTTTGTATTCTATAGCTAGATAGGCCAGTGTATAACCACTCCTTTTTTCAACACTTCTTCCAACAAAAACAAAACAGAGCATGGCGAGCTGAGCTTATTATACTCCTTACCACGGGCCTCTGATGTTCCATCTGTTAGTAGGATACCAATCCATGGCTCCTCACTTTCTAGGAGTCTCAGAGGAGACAGTAGGCCCTGGAGACACCCATGATACAAAACCAGAGCGAGATGAAGACGCTCCACTCACCTCTCCCCTCATTCTTGCCCAGAAAATTTGCTCTATCTTCCCCATTTTTTACCCTGCCCACATTACCCACCACAATTAGACAAAAGGCCTCAAGAAGTCTGCAGAGGGGCAGGATGAGGGCAGGGGTCAGCTTTCCTCTTTCAGTTGTTTTCTGATTACTTTAGACTTGGTCCAGCCAGGAAGAATCCGTCACTCTCAGCAGGCAGTGGGTGGGGAGAGGTACCAGCAGACTTAGAAGTATATATGGAATGTATTAAACCGTGGTGCAAAAAGAAAGGCCTGAGAAGCTAAACCAAAGAGGGAGATGCAGTTGCACAAAGTTAGGGGATTGAAAGAGCCCCCAAGGTAACAGAAGGTGCAACATAGTAAGAATTTTAAGAGGTGATAAAGGTAACTTGCTGTCAAAAGAGGCAGATATTACTAAAGAAACAAGTGAAATTGATTCCTTTCTCAAGCCACCATAAAGGTGAATGGCTACCAGATGGTCAGACAGAAATACCTGTCCACAGGCTGCCGGAGAGAAAAATAAATGCAAGAAGAAATCAGATCCTCCTCTGAGCAGGTGAGCAGGAAATTAAAATATCTGTACACTGACCACAAAGTAAGACCACACATGGTCATGAAGAGGCTGTTCGGAAGACAGCAAGAGTGTAAGTTAGCGTCTATCCTGTCTGCTGGCCCACACCCAGAGAGCCTAGTCACAAACCTCCCAGTGTCAGAGGAAAAAGCCTTTGCTGAAAACCCAGCAGTGCCAACAGGAATAAAGATGGGACAGCAGAGACCCAGGCCACTATGGGAAAACCTAGATCACATCCTAGAAGAGTCACTGGTCCAAGTAACAATTCCTTGAGCACTTGCTATGTGCCAGGCCCTTGGCCGGGAGCTCTTGAAGTGTTTTTCTAAGTGTAGGCAGTTTCCGAAATGGCTCTCAGTGATTCTTGCCTCCCATGTAATCCCTTCCTCTAAGCGTGGGCTGGACTTAGGGACTTGGTTCTAATGAATAGAATATGTTAAGAGTGATGGGTTGTCACTTATTCCCATCAAAAAATCTCCCTGGATTTGTGCTTCATAGACTCCCATCTCTCCACTCCAGACATGCCTTTCAGATTCTGGGCATCGGTGAGTAAATCTTCTTCCTCTCTTTGAATAATCATCTCTTCTGTGGGCTTGTTGCTACATTTCTCCCAGAAGACACACACGTACACACACGTACACACACACACACACACACACACACACACACAGCATGCAAGCACACCATTACACCAGGAGGAGGAGGGAGCTCAGCCTCCTCTTGCCATTGTCCTGCTCCTTCCCAATCAATCTCCTGCCAACCACAAATTAGCATTACACAGGCATTTACAGTGCAGCCTCCAGGGATAGATAGAAGCTGCTAATCCTTAAGAAGGGGAGCTGGTACAATAGCAAGTGGCCTGTAGCCTCATCCCCGCTCATGGGGTGTTCCTGTGAAGCACATCTTGCTCCTTTGTGAGCTGGCCAAGTCAACCACAGATGGTGGAGTCACTGGGCCTTGGGCAAAGAGGCGACACTGGAAATCTAAGGAGCACCAAGCTTTGCAAATGCCTGCATGACACACTGTTCGATGACTCTATTTATCCCCAGCAGATGATCCCTTTGGGATAGATTCCTTCTCAGAGCTTCCAGCCTGGTCTTTTGTCAGTGCACCCTTCCATTTTCCATTTCTACTGGTTAACATTAATGAATGGCTCCAACTGGGACCAATCCAGCGCATGAAATCCCCTGGGGGGTCAAGTCTGTACTTCCCACCCTCTCAGCAACTTGGATTAACAAAGCTGGGGTTTGTTTTGTTTTATTTTTCTTAAGGGATTGATTTGGCCCTCTGAAGTATGATTGAAAATCCCTGATCCCAAAGGAAGGCAGCCCTGGCTGGGTTCCCAGGGTCGTTTCTATCCCCAGGCATGGTCTTCAGGGACCCCAGGGGCCTCTGATTGCAACTCTGCCTGCTGAAATCCCAAGAGCTGGCTCTTGCAGCAGCCTCCTCTGAGGCTCCCTGCTCAGCTCCTGGGCCCTTATCCTGCAGCTGGGTCTGGAAACCAGAGGAGCTTGCAAGAGGCGAAGCCTCTTATCACAAACATTTCCTGCCTATTCCCGCCTGACCCCGCATACCATAGCCCTTCCCTGGCTAGTTGGGCCACCAACGCAGCCCTCACACAAACGACTTGAAAGGCAGGGTCCCCAGACTCCTCTCTACTCCAGATTCTTCTCCATCCACACTGTCTCCTTTCTCCAGGGAGCTCACAGGCTCTTCCAGGCCACCCAAATGGTTCAGTCGCTGAAAAGCATGGAAGGAATTCAGGTGGAACCTGCAAGAAAGAGGACAAAAGGCAGGTAGGATTTCTAGTTCAAATAGAAGGTATGACTCACAGCTGGAGTTGGGCCCACCTCCCCGAGGACTCCACTGTGCTATCTCTGACAAAGAGATGGAGACAGAGTTGAGAGAAAGGCCTGCACACCTGTGCGTGTGTGTGTGTGTGTGCATGTCCCTGGCATCCCCATATTGTGGCCTCCCCTTGTTGTGCTGCAAGTGGGGCTGAAGCCGTATGGACTATTGATGGTGTGTGCTGAAGGACCAGGAGCCAGGGCCAGAGGGTCTAGCCAGCCCAACCCAGCTGTGCTCAGCAGGTCACTGAATTCCACAGCCTCTCTCCCCTCCCCACACCTGGGGCACCCTAGTCCCACCCCTTCCCCCAGCCTACACTGGCCTTCTCTCTGCCTCCTGCCCCCAGCTCACTGTGTGGTCCAAGCCCTCTGCCACAAGAAGAGCCAGGGAGGGAGGGATGGGCCTGCGTGTTTACAGTCAAGCATAACTGAGCCTTTATTTTAAATAAATAAAACTTTAGCTAGTTTTTATTTTCCCTTTCTTTCCAAAAGCAGTTTTGTCCCTCCTCCTCTTCCTCATCATCATCATGGCTAAGCCTTTATCTGTGGGGCCACCCAGGGAGGGGCTGTGGGAGGAGGGAGGAACAGAGGCCAGACTGACCCTGATGTTTCACATCTTCTCAAGCCGTGTGAAGTTCTCTCTCTCTCTCTCTCTCTCTCTCTCTCTCTCTCTCTCTCTCATCCTCACAGAGCCCCAAAGTTCTTATGAATTCAGGGATGTCCAGGCCTGAGGAATAGAGACTAAACAGGAAGCCCGGGCTTCGTCGTCAGCATGTTGTCCATCTGTTCTCCCCCAATCACAGGGTTGCCCACCCCCCATATAAAACTGCCATCCATCTGCCTTCCTGTTTGGTCTGTCATCTCTCTGTCTCCCCTGTTGGACCCTCATCCATCTGTCCTTCCTATGGGACACCATCTTTCAAGGTCTCTTTTGGGTTGTCATAAATCCGCCTTCCCCATGGGATGTTCCATCTGCCTGTTACCCCATTGACCTGTCATTCCATCCGATCCCCTTGATCACTCTTTTTTGTCCATCTGTCTCCTCCCATAGGACTTACTTTTGCCCATCTGTCTCCCTGAATGGGGCCAGCAATGGTGAGTCTCTGAGGCATGGGAAGAGTTGGGATTCTCTTCTGGTTTTGATCCCAGCAACCACAATAGTAGCTACCATCAATCAAGTGTCTACGTGCCATACAGTCTACATACATTATTCCCTTTTGCCCTCCAACAGCCCTGTATGTGCTTATTTCCCTATTTTACCAGAAGGAAACTGAGGCTCAGAAGGGTTAAGTGTCTGGCCCAAGGTCACACAGCTCCTAATGGGAGACACAGGGTAAAAAACCAGCTCTGCCCGTATGGAGTGGGGGTGAGGACACAGTCTTACTCCACCCCCAGAATGTAAGACTCCCCTTCCCCTGGCCTCTCTGCACATTTAATTTACACTTTGCTGCTGGATGTTTTCAGACTGATGAAGTTTCCTCCCTGCCCTGGCTGTGCACAAAAAAGTGAGAGAAGAAAAGCAGCCAGATGTGAGAGCATTTTGAAGGTCTTTTTGGGGGGATGGAGAGTGATGTTAAATAAACATCCAATGGTATTCTTTCTGCAAAACGATCCATTTTCATGGCACCCAGGAGTTCGTCCAAGGGTCTCTGGGTCACTGGGGAAAAGTATTCCGTGTGTTTTGGCTCCATATACTTCTATTGGCCACAAAGAGCTAATTCTTCCAATTAATGAAATCAGCACCACTGATGGAGATGTACTGACAAATTATTTTCAAGATGAATATATTAACACCCATGGTGGAACTGATTGGCCTGAAGGATTTGGAGGCTACAGAATGAAGGTCCCCCTGCCCACCGAAGACACTGAGGTCATTCACGGTGGCCGGGATGTTGGCCACCACCTCAAGGGACGCCTCTCTCCGCTGGAGCCATGGAGACTGGACTGGGTTGTCTGTGTGGAAGGGCTGCCTATCAATGGGCTTCTGTATGGCCTCAGCAGGTCCCCAGCACCCCCCACCCCCCACTGCCCCAGCTAAGTCCCCTTCAGGGCCTGGTCTGAAGGGCCTATTCAGCATTTAGGACTCCCTGATGGGAAGTAAAAGAGAGACAGACAGATGCTTCCGTGGAGCTGGGGAAAAGCTAGAAGCCTGGAGACAGGAAGGGAAGCTTGAAGCCACCAGGAAGGAGCCCAGAGAGAAGAAAAAAGGCAGGCCGGAGGTCCTATAGGATAAGAAAGAGAAGAGGAGGAGGAGGGGAGGCCGTGGGAGGGAAGACAGCGGGTGGGAGAACCAGAGGAGGGGGAGGAGGCCGGAAGGAGGCCTCCGGGCCAAGGGAGAGATCCCAGTTGGGAGACAGACCAGAGCCAGAAAGCAGTGTGGGATTTTTAAGCCACAGATTTAATTTCCTGATGATATTTTTTTCAGGCTGATATTAGCAGCATTTTTCATTCCCCAAGCAGATCTGCCAATCGTGAAAAAGTGATCCAGAGTGAGCTGGGTGATGGGCCAGTTTGAACCTGAACAGACCCATCAGGATAGCCCAAAGTCAAGGCAATATGTCCTCTCTTTTTCTAACCACTAGAGACTAAGGACAAATTTTGCTTCTGGCTGGTCTTGGAGGAGAGAGAAAGAACAGTTTCTAGGCAGCTCTGGTGAATAAATGACAATCCAAATTCAAGGGCTAAATGATCTCTGTTAATCATCTCTTTGGTTTCTGTTTTCCTGTGTGGACCCTGACTGAATCAGTATTCTGAGCTTTGAGAGTTGTAAGTTAGGAGCTAAAGAAACCGGCCGGGCGCGGTGGCTCACGCCTGTAATCCCAGCACTTTGGGAGGTCGAGGCGGGCAGATCACGAGGTCAGGAGATCGAGACCATGGTGAAACCCCGTCTCTACTAAAAATACAAAAGATTAGCCAGTGACAGTGGCAGGAGCCTGTAGTCCCAGCTACTCGGGAGGCTGAGGCAAGAGAATGGCGTGAACCTGGTAGGCAGAGCTTGTAGTGAGCCGAGATCACGCCACTGCACTCCAGCCTGGGCAACAGAGCGAGACTCCGTCTCAAAAAAAAAAAAAAAGAAACCAAAGCCCAACTTTCTCCAGGGCATCTTATACCACTACCACCAAGCCATCTTTCTAAAGCCTTATTTTCCTGCTTTAAAATCCATCTGTGCAGCCCTTTGCTTACCAAATAAAGTCTACACCCTTGAGCCAGAAAAGCAAAGCCCTCTAGAACCCAGCTGCTCCAAGTGTGGTCCAAGACCAGCTGCCTTGGCATCACCAGGGTCCACGCCATGGACCTGCTGAATCACCAGGCAACCCTTGTGCGGTGACAGCACAAGAAGCCCTGCTCCTTACCACTTCCGGCCCACTCCAGATAATCTCCTGCTGCTGCCATGGAGGAGGGCTGCTTCCCCAGCAAACTGGAAGTATAAAAGTCTTCAAATATACCTTTCACTTATCCAGTTCTGAGTGCTGGTTCCTGACTTTCCTTCATCTTAAAGATGCTTCCCCTTGTACCCCCTTGAGAAAATCTCACCCACATTTTAAGACCCAACTCAAATGCCATCTCTTCCAAGGATCCTCCCCTTCTCACTGTCCCCTTTCCTTGCCAGAGTCTAGAACTTCTAAGGCAGTTTGTTTGAGTCTCCCTTGGAGTGCTTTCTACCTTCTGTCTTGCATTTTGATTACTCATGTACTTATCAAGGGGCAGCATTGTGTAGTGTTTTGCAGTGTTTCCTGGGTTCAAATCCTTGTCCCATGGCTTCCTAACTATGACACCAAACAAGTGCTTAATCTCTTTGCACCTCAGTCTTCTCATCTGTAAAATGGGAGTAATAATGATACCTACTCATAGAGTTGCTGTAAGGATTTTAAAAATATATTTATTGAATACCTATGTGCCAAGCAATGGAGATACAAATGTGACCAAAACCATATAGTTCTGTTCTCATAGTGGATTATAGTGCTTGTAAAGTGTTTAAAACATAGGGAGTGCTCAGTAAATTTTAGCTATTATTATGCCTTATCACATTCACCATACCACGGGCATTTGTGTAAGGCAGGGAGCATGCTTTACGTCTCTATAAAGATACGTAGGTGTTATAGCCGCAACATCTAACACAGAGCTTGGCATACAGTGTGCGCTCAAAAAGTGATTGTCAACTGACTGAGATGACCCAAAGAACAATGTTCTTAATTGCACAGGAAATGAGAGCTGTCATGCCTAAAACTCAGAGCTTACCCAACATGGCAGTCTTCCCAAGGCTGACTGTTTTGTGCCCCTTTTCCTAGAACCATAATTTGTTTAATCAATGATTGCTGTTGTTTTTCTAATAATCATTGGTTAAAAGTTCTATTTCCTCAGTGTGGTTTCCATGCTGTTCCCTTATTGGTTTCTTTCTGTGTCCCACTCCCTGCTTCCCCTCTGAAAGCTCAATGTTATGTTTTGGGCTGGGTTTTTAGGGGAGCATGTGAAATATTTCAACTGGACATAGTATTTATTTTATTTTTAACTTCTTTGTATAACTTAATCAATTGTCTCATTAACATTCTTTTGACTCCCCCAAAAAATGGTTTCTTAAAATTCTTATTCTGTGTTTTCATCTCCAGGGGAACACTTTGGCTAGGTTTTCTACCAAGAATGACACAATTCTTTCCATAGCTAATAGAGGTGGAATTTGAAAAACAAGACAGTTGTATTGGTCCAGCTCTATTGCCTTAGTCCTATGCCCCAAAGAATTCTTCATACACGCAAGCCCCCAACTCTCCCACTGGCCACATTTCCCAATGCTGCCTTTATTAAAAATGTTCTCTTTCTGGTTAAATCCTAATGGAAAGTGAAATAAACACAATTTAAAAAGCTCTTTCAAGATGAGGGTCATTCCAGAGTCCAGTTGCCTTGAATTACTACGATCCCTGACATATCACTGTTTCCTTCAGACTCAGTTGTCGTATTCTTTTTATTTCAATCAATAAGCATTTTAAATTTCCTTTCACATTTCCTTGTGGTGACCTGGTTTGGTTTATTTCTCCTTTCGTTTTTTCAAGATGGGGTCTCACTCTGTCACCCAGACTGGAGTACAGTGGCGCAATCATAGCTCACTGCAGCCTTGAATCCTGAGGTCAAGCGATCCTCCCACCTCAGCCATTCAAGCAGTTGGGATTGCAGGTGCAGACCACCATGCCTGCTTCTTGTTTGGTTTAGAGGCAATTCAAATATCATATGTCTCCTATGGTTCTGTCCCATCTACAATGTGCATGTCTTTTTTATTATCCACAGGCAAAATATTATTCAGTGCAAAGCTCCTTCCACCCTGATAGAAAAAGATTTTCCCCTGCATTGTCTTAGCTTTAAGAAAGGGAGAAAAAGACAAGTAAAGTCACTTGTTTGGGATTTCAAGGAACTGGGAAAAAATGGAACCTCCGGCAAGTGGGAATGTGATCTACATGGGAAAATCTCTGAGAAGACACCTGCTCTTCCACTGGTCTTTGTCTCTGAGGCTCCTGGAGCTGCAGCCTCATAGGAGTGGCTTCTTGTTGGAAACTGGGGCAAAAAAAGCACAGCATTGGTAAGGACAGAGGGCTCTGTCGGTGGAAAAAGGACAATCAGTGAACTTTTGAGCCCAGGAGCAGGGCAAGGCTTCCAATGTGAGCTAGACGTCTGGAAACTCAATCTCAACTAGAGTATCAGTTACCTCACAGACTCAGACCCTCTCCTGCATAAAGGGCGGCAGTAGCCGGGCGGGCCTCTGACATGAAACTCTCTGTTCACTTCTTAATTAACTCTAAGAAATGTACCTCAGAGTCTCTTAGAAAGGGAAATTGTTCTGCCCGGTAGAAGGACAGAGGTGACATCAAGATAAGAGTTTGAGTATGACAAAAATATCAAGAGCTTCCCAAGTCTGCCTTGGCCCAGAGAATTAAACATCCGTGGGGTCACCCTTTAGATCATGGGACCATTGCTCCCTGCCAAATTTCTGCTCACGGCTTGTTTTCCAAAGAGAGTCATAAGAGCTACCCTCGCCCTGCCTACTGTTTTGGTATCAAACACCCTTGGTACTCAAGCATGAAAATATGAGGAACTCTCAGATCCTGATTCTACACACTTTGGTAATTCCAGATATGCACCTGAATTACAGAATCCTATTTAACATCTGGGTGTGAATTCTCTCCCCATTCACTCTGAGCCTGCCACCAGACTAGCCCTCTCTAAGCCTTCATTCATGTATTCTCCATCAGCATTTAGTATAAAACTACCAGTATGCTTGACACTACTCTAGGGACTTGAGGTACAAACAGGCCCAAGACATGATCTATGCCCTCAAAGGGTTTATTTTCTAGCAGGGAATACAAATGTATGGATTAATAATAGCAGCTACTGTTTATTAAGCCCTTATGAAATGCTTTTTCTTTTAGTGACAACATCTCACTATGTTACCCAAGCTGGAGAGCAATGACCATGATCATAGCTCACTATAGCCTCAAACTGCTTGGCTCAAGCAACACTCCTGCGTCAGCCTCTTGGGTAGCTGGGACTACAGGCACACACCACTGCACCCTGCATATGATATGCTTTTGATAAACATCGAGCTAAGTAGTTGTAGTAGACAGCCTCTAAAATAGGCCATAATGATCTTCTCCTGAAATTCACATGCTTGTGTAGCACCCTTCCACATTGACTAGGGCTGGTATAAATAATAGGATCTATGGAAATAACAGTACATGACCTCTGAGGCCAGGACATAAATGATAATGCAGCTTCCACCTAGGTCTCTCTTGGATCATTCACTCTAGGGGACTCCAGATGCTATGTGGTAAAGACACTTAGGAAGCCCTATCCTGTGGGAAGGTCCACATGGAGAGGAACTGAGGCTGCCCACCAATAGCCAGCGAGGAATTGAAACCTTCTGCCCATAGCCATATCATTGAGTCATCTTGGAAACAGTGCCTCCAGCCACAGACAAGCCTTCAGATGACTGTAGTCCCATCTAACATTGCAACTGCATCCTCATGAGAAACCTCAAGGCAGAACCACCCAGCTAAGCGGCTCCCAAATTCCTGACCCACAGACAGGAAACAGTGTTTATTGTTGGTTTAAGCCACTAGATTTGAGGGTAATTTGCCATGCAGCAATAGATAACTAATACAGTGCTTTGCATTCATTTTCTATTGACTCTTCATGCCAGTCCTAGTGGGTATTTATTATTATCCCAACTTTACAAATGAGGACACTGAGATTTAGAAAGGTTATAGTAAGAGGCAAAGTCACAGCTAAATAGCTAAGTCTTCTGAACTTCAAGCTCTGTGACCTTAACCTCTATGTAATAAAATGATTTTGGTGCAAATGCAGAAGTCTGTACAGGGAAAAAAAGGTCACAGTGGGAGTAGTGAGCTCTACCTGGGAAGTCTGGAACTGGAGGGGAGGAGGAGACAGGGAAGACTTGTTAGAGGATATCAGACTTGCAATGAAAAGGAAGGATGAGCAGATGTTCACCAGGTGGGCAGCAAGGAAAAGGATTCCAGATGGAGGAGCAACATGAGCAGGGGCACGGAGGCACCAAACAGCCTGTGTTCAGAACCTCTGGAGTTTCCAGACCTGGAAGAACTGAGGCCTTGTGGCTTGTACATAAGGGGATACTCTTGGTTCTTGCCCAAGGTTTATTCTTGCAGTCACAGGACAGAACCCTGTGCCCGCCAAATAGTTAGCACCTTTCCTACAAACTACTGTCCCAATCTCTTCTCTTGATTAACTTAAATCCCCATTCGTTCCCCATTTCTTTCCTAGGTCAGTTCTTTTTTTCTTTTTTTTCTTTTTTTTCTTTTCTTTTTTTTTTTTTTTTTTTTTTTTTTGAGACGGAGTCTCACTCTGTCACCAGGCTGGAGGACAGTGGTGTGATCTCGGCTCACTGCAACCTCTGCCTCCTGGGTTCAAGCGATTCTCTTGTCTCAGCCTCCCAAGTAGCTGGAACTACAGGCACGTGCCACCACACCCAGCTAATTTTTTTATTTTTAGTAGAGATGGGGTTTCACCATGTTGGCCAGGATGGTCTCGATCTCTTGACCTTGTGATCCGCCCGCCTTGGCCTCCCAAAGTGCTGGGATTACAGGGATGAGCCACTGCGCCTGGCCGGTCAGTTCTCTTTTAAAGACCCAGCTTTCTGGCATCCCCATCATGCATACCACTGTTCTTCTTGGCAGGCAACTCTTGCTCCTTACAAAAATGCGGTTATGATGCTTATACTTGAATTCACATCTCTTATCTACTGCAAAATACCATGTAAACTTTACTTTCTTCTTTAGCAGGGTCACAAGAATGGCAAATTAGGGAGATTCATGGGACCAAGTGTATTGGATTATAGAAAGGTGCTTTTAACTTTTATTAGGTTAGTGTAAAAGTAATTGCGGTTTTTGCCATTATTTTCATTGAAAATAAACAATTACTTTTGCACCAACTAATACCTTTTCTCATAGCAGCCTTCTGGATCCTTGGTGGATTATAAATTAGAGACGCACAATATAAGGAATTAGTAGTTGGTTTAATAACAGTATCCACACCCCAAAAATATTAAACATGGGTTGATGTCAAGGTCTAGAGGACAATCTATATTGGCATGACCAATAGTTCTGCCCTCAGCCCTCTCCCAGGCAACATCGTTTAAACCCATAACTTGAATGAAGATATAGAAAGCAGGTTTACTAAATTACCTAATGGTTGAAAGGGGTAGGTAGCAACCGCATGAGATGGCAGAACTAAAACTATGTCTCCCAAAAGGCTAACATGGGTCAAGTCTTACCAAGACATCTTTACCTGACATGTAAACTCCTTTACTTGAGTTCCAAAAGTAACTGCACAAATACACAATGAAGGTTTCTGACTCAGGGTAACTGTAAAAGGGAAGAACATTAAAGAGTTTTAGCTCTAGTTGAATGAAAGCAAAGACACAACCTGCACTAGGGGAGAGGACGAGGGACAGTTGGATTCTGAGGGTTTACTACTGAGATTCGACAGCCTCACCACCAACCCCGGGCTGTATTTAGTAACTCACACTCTACTCCATTAAATGTGTTTGGGTTTCCAGCCCCCTCCCCGTGGCCCTCACCCCAGACTGAGCCAGGAGCCCTTAGAAGGTAATGAGAACACTGAGAGCTTGGGAGTCTGGGAAGAGCTTGGAAACGAGAGCGCTCAGAGCCTCTCCCAGCGCGGCCCTATCCCTGCTGATAAGGCTGAGAGCAAAGCTGGCTGACAAGTGATTGGAAACAGGAGTTCCCAAACCCTTTAACTCTTTCCTACCCTGCTCGTGTGCTGGAGTCTCCATCTCCCGTGGCTTTCCCCTCTCTGTATCAGGGCTCTCTGCTCCCCCTACCAGGCTTTCCATCTACTCCTCCTTTTGTCCTGATGCACACTGAACGCTGTCCTTCTGCCTGAAAAGCAGTCACTTCCACCACCAAAGATGCAAGCTGCCCAGAGCAGTCAGCCAGTCCCTCTGGTCCAGACCCTACCAAGCTCACTTAAACGACCACATCCGTGCTTGTCCAGAGCTGCTGTTCAGCAAGCAGCAGGAACCTACCAGGGGAATGTTGGTCCTGTTTGGTGTTTGGGGTTTCTGGGAGTGGAGACCCCAGGAAAAGTCTCAGTAGCCTAAGTCCAGAGCCATTCTCAGCTGCCCCTGCTGGCTGGGGAACCCTATCAAAGGACTTCAGGGGTCACCCCCTTAAGCCAGACCTGATTTTGCTGGGTGATCCTAAAGGCCATCCAGTCACTTAGATATTGCCTGCTTCACGGACAGGCCTCTTATAGGCATAGATGACGAGGGGTCTGTCCGTGACAGTGGCCAGCATGACTGAAGCTAAGAGGTAAGCTTCCCTCCTTGCCCTGGGGAGGGGCATTAAGGAAAAGCCAGGCTTAAGAGCCACAGTAATTAAGTGTAAAAGAAGCTTCCTTCAGTAGAATGGAATTCACATAAACTGCCATTATCATGCAAAGCAGCTTTGCACCTAAAAGCCCTTACTCAAACAGGCAGTTTAATTAAATCCCTAATCTCCTCTGGCCTATTTGACCCCTTCTCTCCTCCTCTTATCCCCTTACCACCCCAACCCCCTGCCTCAGCCCCACTCTCACCTTCAAGATTCCATTTAAAACACCCCACCTGTAAGTGTGCAAAATCTACCCAAAAAAAGGTGGGTCTGGGGTCCTCTTTAGGGTTTGGTTGCTGTGTCTTAGGGGTTAGCTCCCTGAGGCTCAGACAGCTCTGACTTGGGTGCTAGATGCTAGCAGCAAGGGTGAGCATGATGGTGGTGATTCCCACAATGGCCATGGTCAAATGAAGTCAGGGGAGTCAGCATCACACTCCCACCCACTGGTTCCTGCTCAGCCGCAGGAAGCTGATGCCCATTTATAACCCACCCCATGCCATGAAAAGTCTGCAGTCTCCCTCTCCATAGTAAGTGTGAAGAAGCCCTAACAGGCTTGGATGTTAGGACCCTGCTGTTAAACCAGAAGAGACAGGGATGGAGAAATTGACCTGTCTGTGGGCATCTCCATTTCTGAGGCTGCACTGGCGGCTGCTATGAAGCCTAGGAGGGATGCTAAACCTGTTAGTGAGATTTGCAGGCAAAAGCCTGGAGCTATGATTTGGAGTTCAGACTACCTGCTGTAGGCAGGGGGAGAGGTTAAGAGAAGGAAGACTGGAATGGGGTGGGAGGGTGACGAGGCTGAAGTGCACTGATAAGAAAAACCTAATAGTACCTTCTGACGTCTGCAAAGTGTTTTAGAAGTTTGTGCCTTCATTCAGGAAAAGAAAGAAAGAAAATCACGTATAGAATGCCAGGCACCATGGCATGCTTCTCTCTTCAATTTGAACCTTGTAAAGTAAGTCTCCCTCCCTCCCCACTCCACACACAGGAGAAAAAAACTGTGATGCAAGGAGGTGAAGTGACTTTCCCAGTGGCACACAACTCATGACTGGCAGAGCGAGGATTCAAACACTGGCCTGCCTTCCTGAAAATCGATGCTCTTTCTGCTAAACCACAGATCACCCACAAGGATTACAATGTTGGAGCAGGGATTAACCACCCAAGAATACTCATGGCATCGTAGGCCAAACTCCATCTCTTCTCCCTCATGCAGCAAGAAAGTTTCCATCTCAAAACAAGCCATTTCCTCTGAGCAGGGGTCTCAGCAGGGATGAGAAAATCAGGCCCTCAGCCCTGTGGATGCAGGCCAAGGGAGCTGGGCTTGTGGAAGGCTTCTTGGGGTTCAAACCCAGGGGAATAAAGAGTCCCAGAGGAAACTTTTCTTTGCAGGAAAGAAGTGTCCAGGGCCGTGGTGGGGGAGGGGGCATCTGTAGGTCATATAACAAACACCAGACCTCTCCATTTTATACCTCATTCCTTTGGTGGGGGCAAGCAGTGGAGCCATCTCTATTTGGGAAACAGTGAAACTCAAATCACCATGAACCCTGCACTTTTTCTGTTAATTGTGTGAACTTCACTGTGCCTGGAGAATGCATGGACCTGCATTAGAGGAAGTTATATTTCTGGAATATTACATATATATCTGTGTAATATATCAATTATATGGAATATATATTTTGAATATATTATACATAATAATATATGGGAATATATATTATTCCCATATATTAGGAATATATAATATAATATAATCCTAATATATATTATAATGTATATCTTATATTTCCTTGCATTATGGGTTTTCTTTGCAAAGAGTAGATACCCTTTTGGGAGGTTCCAATAAATCTTATGAATAAATGACTGAAGCTGGCAGCACAATACCCAGCCCCTGAGGGAGCTCCTAAGCCTTTCAATTCTCCAGCCCTGAGCTGGTTCTGCCCAGCCGGCACTGTCAATTTGTGGCCACCTCGCTCCAAGCCAGGTATTTCCAAAGGTCGTGGACTTGGAATAACAGGTGCTACTGTTTTGACTTCAGAAAGACAGCCTGGGACCAAAGAATCCTCCATAGCTTCAGGGCTGATGTGGGTGCGTTAAGAAAGTAGGATTTTGGATGAGATCTGTTACAGGGTCCTTTGTCTCTCTTATAGCAAAGAAAACTGAGAAGAATTTTAAAAGGCTGCCTTGGTCTCCAGAATCCCTCTGGAAGCAGATGGCATGTCAACAGGTTCCAGGGCAGGCTCCAGAGGCCCCAGACCTGGGAGCCTTATTGGAATGTAATTAACCTAAGTGCTGTCTGTTAGGATGAAAAGGCAGGAATGCAATTATGGAAGGAGCATGAGGTGAGCTTTCATTGATTAACCTGTCCTGTCTGATTCCATTCCCTACTGAGGTGATTTTGGGGGCCCTGAGGGTTGCCTTGTGCCCTCAGGGTTATGAGAAAGGAAAACAGTCACTGCAGAAAGTGAATACCTAAAACAGAGTTCAGGATGCCTGTGTGGCCCCCCAAAATTGCCTGGAAAATGCACTTGTGCAAAATGTAAAATGTACATTTTCGAGGAAGAGGCCGGACACTCTTATCACTTGCTTGAAGGGGTCTGCAGCCCCCAAAGCGTTAAGAATCTCTGTGCTAGAGGAGCGAAAGCTCAGCACAGTTGCTAGAGTAGGACCTCAGGAAAAGTCCCTTCAGTTTTCAGCTCCAAATGGCCATCATCCATTTGGCTGATGCTAAGGCTAAGCAAGTCACTTAGCCTTTCTGTGCCTCAGTTTCATCTGTAAAATGAGGGACATCCCAGGGTTCATAAGATAATTGAATGATATGCAAATACAAAACTTTTTTTTTTTTTTTTGGACAGAGTCTCGCTCTGTCACCGAGGCTGGAGTGCAGTGGCGCGATCTCGGCTCACTGCAACCTCTGCCTCCTGAGTTCAAGTGATTCTCCTGCTTCAGCTTCCCAAGTAGCTAGGATTATAGGTGCCTGCCACGATGCCCGGCTAATTTTTGTATTTTTAGTAGAGACGGGTTTCACTATGTTGGCCAGGCTGGTCTCGAACTTCTGACATCAGGTGATCTGCCTGTCTTGGCCTCCCAAAGTACTGAGAATACAGGCGTGAGCCACCATGCCGGTCA
Organism: Homo sapiens; assembly: GCF_000001405.40. Classification (NCBI taxonomy): domain Eukaryota; kingdom Metazoa; phylum Chordata; class Mammalia; order Primates; family Hominidae; genus Homo; species Homo sapiens. Next base: position 41,951,727 of record NC_000002.12, read on the forward strand.
GAATGCAAAACTCTGTTTATCCGTCTTGCTCTGTCACCAGGCTGGAGTGCAGTGGCATGATCTTGGCTCGCTGCAACCTCTGCCTCCCAAGTTCAAGCGATTCTCCCACCTTAGCCTCTTGAGTAGCTGGGATTGCAGGTGCCCACCAGCAGGTATGGCTAATTTTGGTATTTTTAGCAGAGACGGGGGTTTCACCATGTTGGCCAGGTTGGTCTCGAACTCCTGACCTCAGGTGATCTGCCCACCTCTGCCTCCCAAAGTGCTGGGATTACAGGCATGAGCCACTTTGCCCAGCCAAAACTCTTAACCCAACATCGAACACTTGGTAAGCACTCAATAAATGGAAGCCATTTTGATTATGATTATCAAAGTCTAGAACATAAAGTGGACTGTGTACATGCACTCTTTAGGAGCAGTCTTTTGGCCCCAAACTAGATTCTATGGGAATTCCCAGGTAAGATGCTTCTCCAAAATGAAGTGAAGCCATGTGACCCAGGGTCTTTAAACATTGCTTCCTCAAACCCTCCCCCAGTAGGGTACTTCTCCCCCAGAGGCATGGGGATCTGGCCACACTATAAGACAAACTTCTGGAAGTGGGGGCACATCAAGCGTCTGGGTGGTGCCAGTGCCTGGGCCTGAGCTAAAGTCTTCACCAGCCTGCCCCTTTTGGGGAAGCTTCTGACAATTTCGATTACCGAAATCTTCCTGCCTTTTGGGATAATACAGTCAAATGCTCCATTGAGACAGACTTCTGTATCTTTACAGGCCCTAGAATGAGACCAACCCAAGGCCCAGCATCTGCAGAATGTCCCGTGTAGAACCAGGAAGGAAAAACTAAACCACTCCTTTTCCCCTCTTCCCAACACACCCTTCTCTCCTCTCAGATCCTTGGAGTTCTCCGCACTCAGAACCTACAAGCTGCCCAGGGGTCTTCCAGACCAGCCCCAGTTGCTTCCAGCCTCCTTCCGCCAGCACATCTCTGCAGCCTTGGGCCACCGATCCTAAGCCAAAGCCTCCCCAACCTCTGGGCTCAGAAGCAGGTGTAATCCCAACTCCAGCAGGGAATTCCAGAGGTGAAGGTCACGGGAGCATCTTTAATCTTCGGTTCCCAGTAGAGAAGATACCCAAAGAGCAGGGAGCAGGAGCCAGCTCCAGGCTATACATTTGTTTATTCATCAATCATTCATTTATGCATTAATCATTCATTCCCCCCACCCATCAGTCATTCATCTGCTTATTTATTCATTCAATGTGTTTGTACCTTGTCCTTGCTTTGGTTACCGCAGATGTTGGTCCTCTCCTGCTTTGATCTGTCCCCTGTTTCTCTGGCAGCTGCACAGCAGAAGCCTTCTCATGTCCCTTGTTGGGTACTTGGCTGAGAGTGTGTCTCCCTCTCAGAGGTGCCTGAGGAAAATCAAAGGGACAGTGCAGAGCTGTCTGCTGCCTGCAAGTTCCCTTCCATTGCAAAATCCAGCCTTCTGGTCCGTAGGTCAGTGGGAGAGATTGGGAGGGGCTGCAGAGGGGTCTCCAGGCCCAATCGAGGAATAATGGTCTGGACATCCTCACCATGTGTGAGCTCTGGCTGTTTAAAAAATAAAAAAAATAAAAAAATAAATATACTGGTCCTTCTGGGAGAAAGGGGACTGCAGGAGACTCTAAGCCTCTGTGCCTGGTTCTGAGGCCTGAGCTCAGCACTTTGGCAGGCCCAGAGAACATGGTATGGGAAAACCTGGGGCTGGAGTTTCAGAGGCCTAAGCTGTGAGCCTTCTGACAGGTCTCCCACCTTCCATCCTTCCATCTACCTGACCCTGTAAAGTCTGTTCTCAGCCAGCAGCCAGAGATCCTTTAGTAAAAGACCACGTCCTGCCTGTGCTCAGAACCCTGCCCTGACTTTCAGTTCTCTCGGAGAAAAACCCAAGGCCCCACTTGATGGGGTCCCCCTCATCTCCCACTCACTCCCTCCATTCAGCCCCCACTGGCCCCATCCTTCCCGAACTCACCAGCCACACTCCAACCTTAGGGCTTTTGCTATAGTTGTTTCTTCTAGAACAGGCTTGACCTGGGTGACTTGCTTGAAAGTGACTCACTTTCTCACTTCCTTCAAGTCTTCGCTCAATTGAAACCTTCCCCATAAGCCTACCATGACCCATCCTATTTAAAACTGCAAAGCACACAGGCACGCGCGCACACACACACACACACACACACACACACACCACTCTCAACCCCCCTTCCTCTTTAGCACTCATCACCTTCTAACATAATACATAATTTACTTATTATTTTTACCATTTATTGTCTGTCTCTGCCTGCTCAAGTATAACTTCCAAAAGGGTAGGGGTCTTTGTATGTTTTCTTCCCTGATGTATCCCGAGGGTGGGCCATCCCATGGATGCCTGGTGTATAGCAGGAGCTAGTAAAACATTCCTTGGATGAAAGAATGAATGAGTGAATGGGCTGTAGGAAGCTCTGAGGATGAAGCTTGTGAAGCCACAGGCTGTGGAGTTTGGGGCTTCCTGGGGGTAGAATTTAGGAGGTCCACAGTGGCTTCTATCAGCTGTGCTGAGGAGAGAAGAGCCAGGCAAATTGCCCGCTGCCAGCCTTCTCGGGGAGGAAAGGTAGGCAGCAGCATCGGTGGGGATTGCGCTAACTCAAGGTGCCAGCTCCATGCTGCTCTGGGGCTGGCCAGCGCTCTGGATGTCATTAGCTGATTTGTTCTGCTCTGCAGAATGTACTTTTCATATTTAGGCAGAAAAAAACAGCTTTCGATCCTTGTGCCCTTTCTTCTGTGAGCTGTAGCACATGGCCTGCTAATTATGAATTAATCCTCTAAAGAGCATGTTCATTATTCTAATTTAATTGTGCTTCGTTTCAGAAAATAACTAAACCCAGCGTGGAATAAACTCCAATGCTGATCAGTTTTCAAGAAGTTAACATAAGACAAAATTCTGCTAGAGGGCAGCAGCAATTTGGAATCATTAAAGGGAACCCATGTAAATAATAAAAACAAAACTAAAATGCAGAATTAAATTAAGGAATAGGAAATTAAATTTGGGAATCTAATCTAAAATTGAGGCCTTATATGCACAGGCTTACCCTGGCTTGGCTCTTCGCTCAGGAGTGCTCAGGAGAGGAGGTTCTGCAGAGTTTCCCACGACCAGGGAAGCGGCAGTCCCTCCTGGGTGGCAGTTTGCTGTTCTGGGAAGAGAGATGTGGGCTGAAGTGGGAGAAAGGGGGCTTTCCTCCCACGGGGTCAACTGTGATGAAGATGAAAGCCACATTGTCACAGATGCATCTGGATAGCTCATCCTGAGCCCTGGTGACCGGTTCAGGAGAACTGCCTGCAGCCAAGAGTCCAAGCTGCCACTCACTAGGAGGAAGCACAGGAAATGAGGCAGATGGTGCTGGGTGGCTGCTGGCCTGAGATGCTGGGAGTGGTCAGCCCTGGGCAAAGAAGCCGCGCCAGCCCTCCTTCACCTTTGGGCCCTGGGCACCCTTCCACAGGTGACCCAGCTCAGGACAGAGGCTGAGGGAGTTTCCTCCTGCCCGGGCAGTGGCCCCTAAGCAGGGTCCTGGCCTCCCCACCATCACCGTGAGAGCCCAGTTACAGATGGAGGAGACCCGGACTCCAGCAGCATCATGACAGGTCAGGCCTCCACCAGGCAAAATGAGAAAGGGAGGATGGGAAGGACGGGGTGTGGGGAGGAGGAGAGAGCCAACTTATAAAGTGTCTGCAAGTCAGATGTACAGTCAGGGGCAGAGTTAGCACCATGGCTCAGGCTTCATTATGTATTGATTTTTTAGACCCTGTCCCTGGGGTATTCTTTTTCTCTCCATATTCCTACCTCCTCTGGCTCTCTTCCTCTCTCTCTCCCACCTCCCTCCTCAAAATGAAAAGAGCTCAACCTTCTGAGTCAGACAGACTGATTTGGAGCCACAGTTCTTCCTCTTACTTGGTACTGGAGCTTCAACAAACTATTTTGCCTTCCTTAACCTCAGTTTCCTCATATGCAATGCTAATAATATCTGTCTCCTTGGTTTGTTACAAGGGCTAAATGCAAGAAAGCACTTGGCACAGAGCAGGTACTCAGGCACTTCTGCTTTTTTATTCTCTGTTTCACCAGTGCTTCTTCACATGCCACTCTCTACACACACATGCACACACGTGCACACATATGCACGCACAGGCTCCATCCTCTGCCAAAGGCCTTAGGCTGTGTTTCTAGAGCACCACAAGTAGTTAGAAAAAAAATAGTCCAGTCAATCAAATGCAATCAACTGCTTGCTTTGATTCACAAAGGCAAACATTCAAACAGATGGCCTTATCCCAGTATCAAAGTGAAGTTTTCCATTGCCATTTTCATTTGGAGTTCTACATGGATAAATTAGCCACCTTAAAATAGATCTCTTTTTTGAAAAAAGAAGAGAATACAAACAAGCAAAAAAAGTCTTAACTTGTTCTCATTTAATTCACATTTTGATCAAGAAACTAATGCACAAAATTGAGGCCACAATACTGATTGGTTAGTTAAACAGTGATTGCGTCTAAAACTATCAAAGATGGAGACCACAAGGACAAAAAAGGCTAAGAGTTCTGTCTTGAATTCCCTGGCTACTTTACCTTATCTTACTTTGCTAACTGCCTGCAGAGAGTATGTCAGTCTCTTGCCTGTCCCCTGATTTATACCTGTAAATTGAGGCACTATGAGGCACAACCAATCTCTGTTCTCCCAGAACAAACCCAGAAACCTCAGAGCAGCCACATGGTGTGGATCCAAAATCCATGGAAGATCCACCTTCAGTGTCAATGGAAAGGAAGCAGGAGAGCCACGCCCTGGCCTGAGGCTACCAGGGAGAAGGAAGGGTTACCCTGAAGGTGAGGATCAGGGCCAAGTAAGCCACAAGGTTGGCCTACACTTAGGTCCAGGGGCAAATGCTGGAAAATGACCCCTCAGCCTTTAAAAATTAAAGAAAAAGGCATGCAAATTTCTTAGACACATAAAACTCATAACATAAGACTTATCCAGGGAGCCCACCTGTTGAGGAGCTCAGCTGATGAGGGGTTAATTTCTAGAAGACTGGAGTAAGCGTGGTCAGTTAAACGGTATTATGGACTGCACGTTTCTATCCCCCGAAATTCATATGTTGAAACCCTAATTCGGAATAGGATGATATTAGGAGGTGGGGCGTTTGGGAGGTGATTCAGTTTAAATGAGGTCATGAGGATAGAGCTCCCATGATGGCATTAATGACCTTACAAGAAGAGAAAGAGACTAGAGTCATGTGAGGACACAGAGAAAAGACAGCCATCTGTCTTCTCTCCATGAAGAGGACCCTCACCAGATACCAGATCTGCTGGTGCCTTCATCTTAGACTTTCCAGCTTCCAAAACTGTGAGAAACAAGTGTTTGTTGTTTAAACTACCCAGTTTATGGTATTCTGTTGTAGCAGCCTGAACCGATAATGACAGATGGTTTCTGTATTTCTGATCTTCAATGAAAAACTCTGTTTCCAGAATATGAAACTGCCTGCCTGGGAGGGCTTTTGTGTGGAGGCAGTTCCCCCATCTTACCATGAAACCTGAAGTCATGTCTACCCAACAGAAGAGCTTTCAAGGTGGCTACACCCGAGAGGGAAACTAATTTGTTTCCCTAAAACAACTAAATTCCCTTCTATATGAAGTCCATATAGTTTGAGTTTGTGCAACCCATCCACCCAGGGATCCTTTCCCTGTTGGTAACTCTAATATTATTGCTGATAACACTAGTGAAAATAGTCAACATTCATGGAGAGCTTACTCGATGCCACACATTTGTTCTAAGTACTTCATAAGAATTATTTCATTTAATCCTTGCAACAACCATACGAGGTAGATATTATTATCCCCATTCTATAGATGAGGCAACTGAGGCCCAGAGAAACAGAGCAGCTAGCCCATTATAACAACAAAACACAGCAGCACCGGGGTTTGAATCCAGGCAATGCTCCAGATTCTGGAGTCTCCTAACCACTAAACAGCACTCCCTGTTGGTCACCAGCTCCCCCTGTCCACAAATCTATCTACAGTGACCCTAAATATAGGCCACATGGAAAAGAGAGTTCACCAGGCCTTTGGGAACTCATATCTGGAAAGCAGACTTGTGTTTACAAAATACCTTCCCACAGCTTTTCTCCCCTGGTCCTTGTGGAACATGGTGGCTAGGTCTTCATGGTCATCCTTGCCTTTCAGCAAACGCTGTGTCCTGGGCTCTGTGGGGTGTACGGTATAGAGACAAGACCATGCTTTATTCTGTCTCATGGATTAGCTTCTCACAGCCCATAAGGGCAACACAAGCTTGGCACCCAGCAGAACATTCCTGGAGGAAACAGCCTTGTCAGTGTGCAGGTACTCATTTAAATTCCAGACCCTGGTTTTTAAGACACCGATCTGCAATGGGCATATGTACTGTGATAGATGAAAACAGAAATGGTTTTCCACTGTATCTGTATTATTAGATTTGACCTACTATCGAAAGAGCAAAGAAAGAGTGGAAAATTAAAGGTGATTTGATATTAGCCTCCTATTCATATTAGAAAAAGTGACTGCTCTTGCGGTTTTCCTCACAGAGGTGTCTTTATTCATTTGACATGCCTTTAATAACTAATTCTAGTTGTCTGGTTGCCAGGAAAGATTTCCTACGGGCAGACTTGAAAGTGACTCGGAACTCTTTGCATGCCCGGCTTCAAATGATCCCAGAACAGCAAACATTCAGCTTCCCTCCAGACTTCTGAAGTGTGGGAATAACATGAAAGAATGAACAAGAATCATTCTGCAGCCTGCATATGCTATGAGCAGAGCTGCCTGGCAGAGGTTATGGCTCTGTCTACATGGACCAGGCATAGTGAGATTTGGAAATAATCTCATGCATTTGATCCATGGAGTCAGCCAAACCAAATGATTTATTTCAGGAAAATAAATCTACTTTGGGACCAGAATGGGGTAGGTCAGTCATAAACAGACTGAACTTTCCTCTCTCTGCATAGACCTGGAGTGGGCAGAGAAAGGCTGGGAAAACCACCACAATTGCTCTCATAGGGTCACAACCAAATAACTCATGCTATGAATATGTACACATATTTGCTACAATGGTCATTCATCTACTTACGGCAGGCTAAGTGGACGACATACATACATAAACTAATTCTCACAAGAATCCTACTTATGAGGTAATAGTATCATTATTCCCATTTTACAGATGGGAAAACTGAGCCTCTGAGATGTTCAATAATTTGCCCAGGACTCATAGTTTTGGAAGCAGAAGTTGGCTAGGTGTTCATCAGACATTTCTTTTTTTTCCTCCTGGGTACACAACAAGATGTCACTTTCCCTCCTGTGAAGTTAGATGCAGCCATCTGACTGAATTCTGACCCATAGAAAGTGGATAGAAGTGACATACATTATTTCCAGTTTCTGCCCATACATGATTCTCTCTTTTCCTATTCAGTGACTGAATGGAGAGGATTCTGAGGGCCTAGAAAGGGTAGAACCTGAATATGGAAGAATACAGGATTCTAAACAACTGTTTTCACCAGAGCCCCTTCATCAACCTGCATTGGATGGTGATATGAGCTAGAAATAACCTATTGCGTTAGCCACTGAAATGTGATGATTGCTGGTTCCAGCTGAAAACCTAAACTGATTAATGCAACTCATAAGGTGTTTCCAAACTCAAAAACTCTAACGTTCATGCTCTTAACCTTTTGCTTGTCTGTAACCACACTGGTTCTGATCAACTTATCCCCAGGGGACATTAGGAGATGTCCCCTTTTTTTGAGTACCAGTCTCCTTTCTGCTCTAGAGGTCCTGAGGTGGTGGTGTTTTCGCTTTCTGCTTTCCTACCTACGCAGACACATTTCCGTTGTTGTTGCTTTTTTTTTTTTTTAAGAAAATGTTAAAAGCTACACCTCCTATTTCTTAGTTAGTCTATCCCCGTTGTGGGGCTCTGCATATCCAAGCTGTCTTTGATTTCTCCTCTGCCATGTTATTAGTAACATCTGATCAATTACTTGTGTCTCTCCCATCCTTGCCCTTCACTCTATTTCCCCTTATCGGTCTCACCTGGTTTAATCACAGCACTCTCCAAACTTGCCTCTTCTCCTGCCCATCATCCAAAAGGACCTTCCTAAAACAGACCTGGTCCCATTATCCCCTGAATGAAATTTTTTCATGTAAAGTTTATTATATCATAATGCAAATACCCTTTAATCAAGCAATTCCACTTCTATGAATTTATAGATACATGCACAAAATGATGTACATACAAAGGTATTCACTCCATCATTGTTTGAAGGGGCAAAAGATTGGAAACACCAAATGTCCGTTAATAGAGTCTTATTACATCAACTATAGAATGCAGTGAACTCCACCTAAAAATCTCCAAGATTTATGGTTAAGTATAATGTGCAAGGTACAGGACGGTGTATATAATATACTAATATTGGTGTTTAAAAAGTAACAGGGAGATATATTTTCATATATGTTTACAAAGATATGGAATACCTTTGAAAGAACGCACAAGAAACTGGTAATAACAGCTGCTTCTGGAAAGGGAACTGAGTGACTAGGGCTCAGGGATGAGAAGGAGAAACACTTTTCAGTGAATATACAATTTGTGTTGTTTGAAGACTTCATGCATGTATTAACTTTAAAAAAAAATAAAATAAAACTGTGCTTCCTAGTGCTTCTTTGATGAAATCCGAATCCTGCAGGAAGAAAGAAAAGACTCTTCGAGTTCTGGCTCCAACACGTTTTTTCTGCTTGCTCTCTCACTCGACCACACTGTTCTCTGAACATTCCTGGTACTCCCTCATCTCTATGCCTTTGTTTAGGTCTCTCCCTCCCCTGGAAAGTCCCATCCCTATTCAGCAGAAACTAATCCATGTTATCTCCTTCGTTTTCTTTATAACTCTATATGATGGCCCTTTATCCCAGTTTGCTCTGTACGAGAGATGTGTCTTTCTTTCCTACAAGATGATATGTTGTCTTACACACAGAAAGTGTTCAAAATATGCCTGTGCCTTGAACCAAAGCTATAATTCTACATGTCTCAGCAATAGCTTCTAGAAATGGCTGGGAAGGGGGAAAGGGATGGGCTTACCCTTCCCCACAAAGAAGGAGTCAGATCTGAAATCTATCCCATTAGGTTGGAGGCTGGACTAGGTAAGTAATATATCTCAGCCTGGGACACTGGAACATTCTGCAAGAATGGACCTCCTTCCTCTGGTTCACTCCCAAGGCCACTTCCCCATCCCCAGTCTCTTTGCCCAAAGACCAACAAGTCAATGGTGCCGCTATGCTCAAGACTGAAATTGTCTCTTTGGCATCAGGATGACTGCATGATGCTTTCTGGAGAGAGACATCCATTGCCCTAGACCACAGTCTGGGGTTTAAACTCAGTTGTCACAATTATTTGAAGCCTATTAAGTTTATTTATGTTCCAAAGCAGGTCCACTAGAGAAGGACCATCATAGTCGTAAATATCAGGGCTGCTGTTCTCCAGACCCAGCTGTGCCTCTATGCCCCTCCCCTTCTCAGTGCTACAGGCCCTGCTTACAGACTGGAGCCAGGTGCTCAGATTCGGTAAAGTACCCATGCCCTGTTCAATCAATTCTGCAGGCCCAGCTAGTCAACACACACTTCTACACATTCTGTGCAGCGGGAGTATATTTGAACAAGACTCGGATATCCATGGGAGTGATGGCATCTTCTAGTCCTGTCCATGTTGAATACATAAGGTTCAGGAGTCCACGCTTTTACCTCCAAGACTCATGCGGACCTAAGGACTGGTGCTGAACCCTGGGCAGAGTTAGGAACCCTTCTAATGCAACTAGAATCTTTAAGAAAACAAAGGACTGATTGCATGTCTGCTGAAAGATGCTTTCAGAGTTCTTGGCTGCGTGAGGGTTTCATCATTTTGCCCATCAGTGTGGTTTAAAGGAGACCACTTAATCCCAAGAGCAGTGTTTTCCAAAGCATATCCCATTGTACACTGGTCTTGTAAAATGAGAAAGTAAAGATGATTGTGTAGTCAAAAAGTTTATGAAACACTGGATACTAGATCCTCATCTGGGGAGATTCACAGTGCACTTTGCATATTAGAGGGCCTGAGAAGTCCTGCAATAAAGAAATTTGTTTAACTCAGTGTGATCTAAACATGTTTCACAAAAGAATCATTTTTTGGTGACAGCGATGGGTATCCCTTGATAGCAGTGTTACATTGAGTGCCTTTGGGGAAAGCTGCCTTTAGAAATGTGTGTGTGTGTGTGTGTGTGTGTGTGTGTGTGTGTGTGTGTGTGTGTGTCCCTTACCTGCAGAGCTTCCTGAGGCTTGGTCTAGGGGGAGGAACACTTCTCTACCTTCTGCCTCCCTGTCTTCCAGTTCCCAAGTCTTAAGCTGGCCAACACACCTGCCCAGGTACAGGTGTTCTTCCTTTCTCTGCTGGCTCTTTTTTCTCTGTCCCAGCCCAGGATGTTGGAGGGAGGAAGAGGAAATGTCAGCTTCAACTTCAACCAACTGGCCCATTGCTCACCCACCTGTAGTTTGGCCCACAGTCTGATTTAATATCCACTGTTTCTTGTTTTTAAAGAATGAGACTGAAAAATTACTCTTTACTCTTCTTCCCAAACTGTTCTCCAAGTTTTCTTCTCCCAGGAAGCCTCACCTGTGAGCATGCACTGTTGGTTTAGGGCAGTGGTTGTCAAATTTTGGTCCCTGGATCAGCAGCGAAGCAACAGCATCACCTAGGAACTTGCTAGAATTGCAAATTCTCAGACTCCCACTGAATTAGACACTCTAGAGGTAGAGCCCAGCAATTTTTGTTTTAACAAGCCCTCCAGGTGATTCTGACGCAAACCATTAGCCTAGGGTGTTGGAAATCTCTTTCACTGAGCAGGTTCTATTTTACCTCATTCGTTTTCTGCATATGTTTTTATTTATACCACACCAAATTCCGAAAAGGATGAGGACAACCAATACTGAAATACTTAGGTGCTAGCACAATTAAAACAAGTGTACAAACACTCTTCCTCCCAATAACTGTCTGGCTCACTCCCTCACCTCCTCCAGGTCTCAGACAGGCCCTCCTTGATCATTTCCGAAATGTCAATCTCCTCTCACTGCCCTCCTACTCCCTATCCTCCTCTACTTTATCTTTCTCCTTAGCATTGATTATTATGTAATATCTATACAATTTATACGTTTTTATTTTTTCTCTCCTCCCTTGAATATAAGCTCCATGGGGCAGGGCTTTTCATCTATTTTGTTCCCTACTTCATCCCCAGCACTAGAATGCTTCCTGCTTCAATAAACATTTGTTCAGTAGACAACCCTTATCATAAGGAGGCAGGAGAGGTCTGCTGTGGTGATGAAACAGAATTTTACTCTGAGCTTGCTAGCAGTCAAAGAGTTACAAAGATCTCTTTATCAAATAACAGGAAATCAGAAAGTCCTTTTGGGAAAGACAGAATCAGCCCAGACCCCCATTTTGCCCTGTGTGCTCCCTGGGTGGGTAACAGCTATTTCTGATAATGTCCCTGGGAAGCTCTGTGCTCATCTCAGAGCAGCCTGGAAGCCTCAACCAGCTTCTATCTCCACCGATTCAATCCCAGGGAAGTTTTTCTTTTTTCTCCAGTGAGAAATGGGCAGACTCCTCCCAAAGATGTCCGTGCTGAACTTGTCTCCTGGCAGGACATGCAAAAGGGCACACAAATTACAGGAAAATGTCTGCTTGTTGAATCAGTTTTGTAGGTTAAATACGGTGGGACAGGAGGGAAGGGGCAGGAGAGCGTTCAACCATACTGAGTTCTTTTTTAAACTGCCTGGAAGGGTAGCCCCCACCTGGGGAGAATGTATCTAGCACTGATAAATTTATAAAGTATTTGACCTTTAATCAATCCTAATATTTTCAATCCGCAGAGCCTTCTTAAACGCCTACAGCCCTGCCCCTAGGCCCCTATTCATCACAATTACTGCTCCAACTGTCGGAGGCAGGGCATGAAATGGCGCACGCTGACGTCCAATATTTTATCACTAATAAAGAGAAACATCCCAAGTATTTGCACAGTTCTGATACTTTCCAGCCCCGAGCCCAGGAAAAGGGGGAGTGTGGTGATTTATGCTCACTGCCAGGCATTGTTAATTGGGCTCTGGGCTAGAGGCCCTGGAGCTGCTTTTCTTTGCTTCCCAACCATGAACCAGGATGTGCAGAGAGCAGTGGGTCAGGGGTGTAGGAGAGGCCTGCAGAGCACAGTGTAGGCCCTCACTTGGTATCTGGGAAGTGCTAGAAAACACTAGAAAGGGCAGTTTTTCAAAATCAAGGCTTGGCAAGTGCTTGCCTCCACTGGTGGCTTTGTAAACAGATCCAATGTTTATGAGCAATCTCCTTCCACTTGTTGCCACTGCTGGGCTGCAATCCTCCCCACCTTCCTTGTCGCGCCTTCCTGCCCCTCCCCCACCCCATCCCCAGTCAGGGTCTGGAGTCCAGCCCCATTTCCTTCTCAGTTCAAAGTCCCTCCCTCTCTGCCTCCCTGCTCCAAGCAGAGGGAAGCTCAGTTTCCAGTCACGGCATTCAGACAACCCACAGGCTGCATCTATATGGCACCCAAACATCTGGATGAAATGTAAACAAAACAAGCAGATGTTTCTCTTTCATTACAGCAGGTGCCTCTGCAGTGCCCTCAGCCTGGGGCTGAAAGGGAAGGGCTCCCTCTGGGGTCCAAGATCCCAGAGGGAGTTTGGGAGGGCTGCATACCCTTGACCTATCAAGGAGCTAGTCCCTTGGGTGTCATAGACAGAGATGAGCAAACAAAGCCAGATACTCCTAGGGAAAAGAGGCTGGTAAAACTGACAATGGAGGATGGTGTTTGTGAGGACAGAATGAAAGGTTCAGGAACTGGGGGCAAAAGAAGGAGATGCCAATGGAAATCAGTGGAGGAAGACATTGATTTCAAATCCCTCTCTAATTTCATTATGATGAAGAGTTTCCTGAGCCTCCACATTCCACACCACTGCCTTCTAGGAAAAAAAGCAAGACATGGCCTGCACAAACCTCCGTCTTAGTCCAGGGTCTCCTGTGCAAGAGGAGTTGGGATCCAGAAAGAGAGGATGTCCTGGGGCTTGGATGACCGGGGGTTTCAAAAACAGCACAAACCTCCCCTTTCTCAGGCCATCTTCCACCTAACAGGAGACAAATGGATGCATCACATTGAACTAATAAAGGTGGGTTGAGAGGTTCATGAAAGGGATAATTGAGGAAGGACAGCGGGACAACAGACCATGAAGAACAGAGTGATAACAGCCACAGAGAACCAGAGGCAAAAACAGATGAATTGGTTTCCATTTGCCTTCCCTTCACTCCTGCCAGACCCTCTATCCTGACTCTGTGTGGTCCACTAACATACTCCCCCAGTGCAGTCCCTGAACACTTACCCTGATCCTCTCCTCTGCTCCCCAAGCCCTGTGTGTGACACTCACACTCCCCCAGGTCTCTCCTCTACTCCTCAAACCCCAGGTGCACTGACACACTCTCCAATCCTGTCCCCCACTTCCCTAGCCCCTGGGTGTAACACTCAACACACTCCCAGTCCTGTCCCCCTCCCCCAGTCCTGTGTGACACTGAACACACTCCCCCAGTCTTCTCGCCCATTCCCTAGTCTCTGTGTGTGACACTGAATACACTCAATCATGACCCCTACCTCCCCAGCCTCTAGGTATAATGCTAAACACACTCCTAGTCCTGTTCCTTACTCCCCCAGCCTCTGGGCATTGTGTTAAACACAGTCCTCCAGTCCTCTCCCCCACTCCTCTAGCCCCGCGTGTAACACTGGGCACACTCTTCTGGCCGTCTGCCCTTTCTCAGTCTTGGGTGCAACACTAACACGCCCTCCAGTCCTATCCCCCATGCTCCCAACCCTTGGGTAAGGCACTGCTCCCACACTCAATGGGGAGCCAAGGAACAGTTACACTCCCTTGGCTCCTCCACTGTCTGTCACAACAAACACATTCCTCAGGGCCACCTTCCTTGGTGGCAGCTGTTTTACCCTACTATCTGCAGAAAGACTCTCAGGTCCCTACTGTGATCCTGTGTGCCAGCCCAGCACAACAAGTATTGTGGAGACAAGGGGAGAGAGAGAGAAATGGGAGACAGAGGAGAGAGAGTGGGGATGGCAGCACTGGTGAGGATTGCAGCTCCTCATCCATCCATTGATACTGGATTTTGTGTCAAAGGCAAACATTTTCCTTTGACCTCAGTGTTCCTGTCTGCAACGCTGAGCTGCAATCTGGCATCAAGCACCCTGGGAAAAGGGCTGATTGCCACAGAGAGTTGAGAATTCAAGAACTGGACTCTGGTTAGGACCGGGTCAGACACAACATGGAGAAAGAGGATTATATCTTGGTAGGGAGGTAGCATTTTTGTTTGGTTTTTCTTGCTTTTCTTATGAAACAGGAAGTGCCAAGCAATGCCCCCAGGTTTTGGGGTTTCCAAGTGAAGAATTTTACCCCTGATAACCACAGTAACCCCTGAAAGAAGTGGAGGCTTTCCTTTCATATTTCGGGGGGCTGGGAGGGGCAAGGAGTAGGAATCAGACACAAAGAAAACTGAAGTATGGGTGATCCAATTCCCCTTCCCCCAAGTAGCCTTGCTTTTTAGCTCCATGGGTTAGAAGTTTATGGGAATTCTGGATCCATGGTTTCCTATGGTCTCTTTTACAGATCTTGTTAATTTATTACCCTTGGTTACACTTTTAATGGAAATCATGAAGAAATGGCAAAGGAAACATGAGCTAATTTTTTTTCCAGTGACACATTTCACTGCTATTTAAATAGCTGTTTTGCCAAACCAAACACAGCGCTTACAGCCAGCGGTGACACATGAAGGAGATCACTGTGGCCGATCCTGCCTGCGGCATCCAGAACAGGCGAGACTTTCTCTCAGCTTCCCCAAGGGCCGGACGCCAAGGGGGGCGGGTAGGAGAGCTGGAGCCTGGGGCACAGCTGGAGCCCCAGAGCTGGGTGCGTGCAGCTTCCACCCACCCTGGGCACGGCTGCTTCTCTGTTGCCTCCTGTCCACTCCTTACCCCTGAGGAGCCCTGGGGTAACTGTTTTCTCCCAGCAGCCTGGGGGACCCCCCAGAGTGGGCCACAGCAAGAGCACCAGCAGGGCCTCCTGGCCCTCACTGCAGGATGATCTGCTCAGGCCTTTAGTGGGGAACATTACTGGGTTGCATAAAACCAGAGACAGACTTTGGGGAAGCCCTGGCCATCTCGGTTCCAGTTCTGTGGTGGCGGCAACAGTGGTACTGTGACCACGCTCACACAGGGTGCCTTTGTTAGGCAATCCCAGAGCCTGTGACTTCTCCTCCTCAGAAATGTTGGCCTCTGATGCACTCTTGCTCCCCAACTTGGGGACCGTGATGTCACCAAGCATTTATGAGCTTCTCAAGAAGCCAATTGAGACTTGCGGCATTTGGCGAGAGAAACTCCGGGGCCTGGGATGTTGGAGAAGAGGAAGAGGCCACAATCTGTGGCGATGGCTGGTGCAGGAGGAATGGAGGGGAAACTGTTCACAGCAGCCAAGTCAGAGCCTCCCCAGGGTTAAAAAATGCAGTGGGATTGAGGGAGGCAAAGCGCTTAGGGTCTGACATGAGGGCTGTGGAGACCTTGATTCATTTGTCCAATCTCGGCAGCCCTGTGACAGACAGCCCAGTGGCACCAACATTCTCCCCATGAGCTCTGCTAATGAACAGCAGGAAGGGGCAATCCAAGAAGCAGGCACGAAATGGGGAGAGAATGTTCTGGAGGGAGGAGCCCGAGCCAGCAGGAACTAGGATTTCAGCCCCACCCAGGCCCTGCTGGGTCCTGAACAAGTCTAGCTACTTCTCCAATTCCCCCTCCGTGGGATGCTCTGTGGCCCCCAAAGCCCTCTGCCAGTGTCAAGGTGGCAGAGCCGAGGGGCCATGACAGAATCTGGGCAGCAGGCCTGCTGGCACCCTGGGAGAAACCACTCTCCGTCCTCTGCTTTTCAGGGAGAAAACCCACATTAGCGAGACTGGGGAGAGAAGTTAACTGTCATCTTCCCTTTGCCAAAAATTATATTAAATTCACTGACCACATTTTTCCAAACCCAAGTGCAGAGGACATTAGATCAACGCACACTGGCTGGGCTCTGGTGCGCCGGGCACCCCACACATTTCATTTTGCATTATTAATATTTAAACCAAAGCAGCTGTTTGCACACACAGAGCCCAGAGCCTGCCCAAGACTCCTGTGGAGACTTCTTTCTGGGATCAGACGCACCAGCTAGGAAGCACGTTGTTGACCCTAAGGACTTTGAATTTCCCCAAGCAGACATTCATTGGTCAGCGATGGATGAGATTTCTGGGATATTTCCGAGCAAGGGGAACTGCTGGTTTATTGGCAAGTGCAGATTCTGATGATCTGGCTTCACTGAAATTCCTTGAGGAACTAAGTAGTAGGGCCCACCCGGAGCAGATTTTTGAGAGGGGTGAAAGTATCTCTTTAGGCACCAACCTCCCCTCTGAGCCCTATTCTGCCAAGCATTTTGCACCATAGAGCCTGGAGTCCTCCTCCTGGGCATTTGCAAGTTAAAGCCTCATCTCTAAGCCTGGCTGGGAGACTCTTGCCTGAGTCCTGCCCTGCAACCTGATGCACCACAGCCCCTTCCCAAGCTGCCTCAACTCTCACCTTCAGCCTTGTGCTCCAGCCACCACAGTCTGCTCTGTTTTCCAGACACACTAAATTCTGTCTTTCCACAGACGATCTGCTATTTCTGCTTGCCTTTGAAATCTCAGGACAAAATTCACCTCTTCTCTGCTACCCCCTCTTCCCTCTAGGACAAATTAATTACTCTTCTCTCCTTCCATCATACTTTGTCCCCCTTTATTTTGACATATATCTCAGTACATTGCAAATCTTTGTTTCTATACCTGCACTTTCAGCGCACACCACGCTTTAAATAGAGTATATTATGTAATTCTTTTTTTTTTTTTTTTTTTTTTGAGGTGGAGTCTCATTCTGTCACCCAGGCTGGAGTGCAATGTGCAATGGCGTGATCTCGGCTCACTGCAACCTCTGCTTCCCAGGTTCAAGCGATTCTCCTGCCTCAGCCTTCCGAGTAGCTGGGATTCCAGGTGTGTGCCACCATGCCCGGCTAATTTTTGTATTTTTAGTAGAGACGGGGTTTCACCATGTTGGTCAGGCTAGTCTCGAGTTCCTGACCCCATGATCCTCCCACCTCAGCCTCCCAAAGTGCTAGGATTACAAGTGTGAGCCACCATGCCTGGCATATTTATGTAATTCTTACAACAACCCTCTGACGTAGGTACTATAATTATCCCCATTTTACAGATGACAAATCTGAGACTTGGAGATTCTGAATAGCTTATCTAAGGTTACATAGTTAGAAAGTATCCGTTTTCCCCACCACCCCAAAACTATGAGCTCCTCAAAGAAGGGGTCATTGCCTTATGCATCCAGGGCCTACGTAACATATTGTCTCATTATAAGTGCTCAGTAAGTGTTTGTCAAAATAATTTTCTTTTTTTTTTTTTTGAGAGGGAGTTTCGCTCTCGTAGCCCAGGCTGTAGTGCAGTGGAGCAATCTTGGCTCACTGCAACCTCTGCATCCTGGGTTCAAGTGATTCTCCTCCCTCAGCCTCCCAAGTAGCTGGGATTACAGGCATGTGCCACCACCCCTAGCCAATTGTTGCATTTTTAGTAGAGACAGGGTTTCGCCATGTTGGTCAGGCTGGTTTTGAACTCCTGACCTCAGGTGATCCACCCACTGCAGCCTCCCAAAGTGCTGGGATTACAGGTGTGAGCCACCATGCCCAGCCTCAAAATAAAATTAAATAGAGTAAACGGAAGTATTTTCTCAGGTCGGGACCTGCTGAGATGCCCTCATGTCACCATTTTCTTTAGGCTACAGCCCCAACCCTGGCTCCTGGAGAAAGAGGAGTATAAATGCAGCAGTAAGCCAGACCGGGATTCAAATTCCCATTCCACCTGAATTTAAACTAACCGCGTCTCTGTTTTTCCATTTGCAAACTGGTGAAAATAATAGTACCAACCTTAATTTAATTATTACAATAACCAATTCAGTCCTGCCTGAGCCAGATTAGAGAAGAGAGGAGGAGGTCATGGCCCACAGGAAAATTGTAAGGATTAAATGAAGTGATATGTGGGGAGCATCTAGCCCATTTTGCCACATTTATAGACATACACGTTGATGTCTTGGGACACCGAAGTGCTTTGACGGCAACGATGATGACAATGTGTTAGACTGCCATATAGTGCCTTATAGGGCTCCACATGGATATCTTCAATTAGCCCTCACAATTATTATAAGCCTAGTATTACTGTCATGATCCTGTTCTAGACATCTGGAGCTGTGGAACAAACCACCCCCCCAAAAAGTAGTGCCTTAAGACAGTAACATTTGTTTTGCTCACAAATCTGCAATTTGAGCAGGGCTCAGTGGGGAAGCCCCTTCTCCCTCCTCGGTTCAGCACCAGCTGGGCCAGTAGAAGACTGAGGGCCAGAATCATCTGATGACTCTCATGTGTCTGGCCATTGATACTGGTTGTCGGCTGAGACTTGAGCTGGGACCCTCAGCCAGAACCTACATATACCCTCTCTGCATGGCCTGGGCTTCCTCACAGTATGGCGGGCAATTTCCAGTTCTGGCGTGGGGGTGAAAGAGAGAGCATGCCAGCGGAAGCCACATGCGTTTTGTAACCTAGCCTAGGCGGTCACATGAAGTCACCTCTGATGCATTTATTTGTTAAGGCAGTCACAAAGACCTGTCCAGATTCAAGGGAAGGGGACATGGCCTCCACCTCTCAATGGAAAGTGACAAGGTTCTGGAAGAGCATGTGGGACTGGAAATACTGCTGTGGTCTTTTATGAAAAACACACAGGGGAGAACATTGAGGCTCAGGGGGACCGGGGAAGGGACTGGCACAAGAGCACAGCGCCCACGAGTGACAAGACCAGAACCTGAACCCGGGTCTTCTGACTCCAAACCCTGTGCTTTTCCCACTGCACAATGGGATGACCGATCCCACTGACTGGGGCTTCAGAAGGGTCTGGCCCCTCTCCATATCACAGGGCCTTTCAAAGCACCCACCCCCTCACACACACACCTGCCCACAGCCTGAATTACTTCCACCATCCTTCTCCTTGCTGGGCCTGGTGAGAAGAGCTCCTGAATGGGCTGGACCCACTCTGCTGCTTCACTGCCCAGGCCAAGCTGAGGGAAGCCAGTGGGAAGTGGGGCCCACCAGGAGCTAGAAACAGGGAGGCCCAGTACTCGGGGGTGAGGGCGGGAGGGAATGACAGTGAGAGCAGTGTGTGGGATGTGTAATTCCAGACGACAGCAGGAGCTAAGAAGACTGGGTAATTTGGGGAATTTTTGGAAAATGTGAGTGTGATGTCAGCCTCAGTGAAAGAGAGAGGAAGACTGGAAGGGGGCCGGGGGCTGTCCTGGGGGGCCGGCAGGGGAAGGTGAGGGGAGTCGAGTTGTAATGGAAGGAACAGTTTATTAGTCTAGAAAAGTTTAACTTGAAGCACACAACCCCCACCCCGCACCACCCCTCTGCCCAGTGCCAGCAAATCACACAGATGTGGTTACAACCCATACTGGTGAGCCCTGGTTGAATCCAGGGGAAGAGATGGGAATGCACTGATTTCTTCACAGATTGTTAAGTGACTGAGCACAAAGCCATTTGCCAGTCCAGAGCCAGAGCACTGAGGATCATCAAGGAGCCCTGAGAAATCCATGCCCAGGGCAGGGAGCAAGAAGGAAGAGGCCATAGAGGTCAGAGTTGGGGCAGTCTGAGCCTCAACAGATTCTTTGGGGAATTTGGTCGGTGCCTCCAGGAGCGTTTTGTATTGACCTG
Organism: Homo sapiens; assembly: GCF_000001405.40. NCBI lineage: Eukaryota > Metazoa > Chordata > Mammalia > Primates > Hominidae > Homo > Homo sapiens. The sequence goes on from NC_000002.12 coordinate 41,971,681, forward strand.
TTAAGCTCCATCCTCAGAACTGTGTGCCATCCACACAACCTGCCCAGAGGTCACCTCAGGCCTGGAGTTCAGATTCATGTCTGAAGGCTCCGAGGCCAGACCAGCTGTGATCACACTCTCCACTCTATTCTCTACAGTTTTGTAACCTCACGCAAGTCACTGGACCTCATAAAGACTCAGTTTCCCGCCAGGCGCAGTGGCTCACGCCTGTAATCCCAGCACTTTGGGAGGCCGAGGTGGGCGGATCACGAGGTCAGGAGATCGAGACCATCCTGGCTAACACAGTGAAACCCCGTCTCTACTAAAAATACAAAAAATTAGCCGGGCGTGGTGGCGGGCACCTGTACTCCCAGCTACTCGGGAGGCTGAGGCAGGAGAATGGCATGAACCTGGGAGGTAGAGCTTGCAGTGAGCCAAGATCACGCCACAGCACTCCAGCCTGAGCGACAGAGCGAGACTCCGTCTTAAAAAAAAAAAAAGGGGGGGACTCAGTTTCCTCAGCTCTAAAATGGGAGCGATAATACCTACTCCAAAGAGCTGCCATGAGCCTGAAATAAGATGGTAGAGGTTAAGTGCCTACCACAGGGTCCAGCACATAAGGATTCAGTAAATGCTCATTCTCTCTCCTACTTCTTTTTCTCTTCCATTCCTTTACATAAACCAAGATCATGATTCATCCTAACCCTTGTTCAGTCCAGACTTACAAAGCCAAAGAGAGGCAAAGCTGATAAAGCACTGGGGCAGGGAGGATGGACAAGAGGATGTTCATACTCTTCAATCTTATAGCCACTTTTTGCCTTTAGGAGTCCATGGTATAGGGGCCCTGGTAGAGCAATGGGAAAGCCCCTAGACCTGAGTGCCAACCCCCACTGAGGGGACGGAAGCTGGAGCTGGAGAGCTCCTCTCGTCACCTTGTGCTGTCTGTCCTTAGGGTCCAGTCAGTCCCAAAATCTGTTCTTCAAACCTGCTACTCCATTAGGCCCCAGCAGGGTACGGGCAAGAAAGACAGAAGAACAGGGGAGGGGCTGCTTTGTCCCACTGCTGGAGACCATCCTGGCTAACACGGTGAAACCCCGTCTCTACTAAAAACACAAAAAATTAGCCGGGCGTGGTGGCGGGCACCTGGGCGTGAGCCCAGGGCTCTCTATGCCTCTGTCACCTCGCCCAGAAACTCGGAAGGGCGGGGGGGTGGGTGTTGAATGGAGGGTGCTCTGCCTGCCTGACATCCTGGAGTCACATTATCTCCCCACATCCCTCCCTATCCTCTTGCAACTCCCCTCCCAGCCCTTTCGATAAGGCCTCACACAGAGAAGCCATGCTCGTCACAAGGGAAGTCCTGGGCTGCGGCCTAGGAGGACTCCTCTAAAATCCTTTCTGTGGCTCTGACTTAGGCCTCCAAGTTCCTCTTTCCTGAGCCAGGGCTGGGGTTTGAGTAGAGGGGACTGCAGCCTCTGACTTTCCTGGAGGACTCTGATGCTATTCTTACTCTTGTCTCTCGTGGGTTTCTGTCCCTCAGGGGTTCTCGGAAGTCTTAAGCCACCTCTCAGAGTTCCTGTGTTAAAAATACTTTCCCTAGAACCTTAGGAATGAGGGTGAAAAATAAACAACCTCAAATCTTACCTGTGGCTTTATTTTGAGACTTCCAGCAACCTGAAACACCCCACCCGCACCCCAGACACCCCCCAGCCCCTTCTTCTCTCCCGGAAGCTCCGGCATCCTCCATTTCAGACCTGCCTGAGCCGGACTGGGGAAGGGAGGAGGTTATGGTCCATGGAAGAGTCATACCCTGAACTTTATGGAGTTTGCAGCGCCCAGGTGTGGGGCCAGGTCTCGCCTTTCTCAACAACATCCAGAGAAATGAAATTCTGGCTCCACAAGGCAAGGAGGAAAGGAGGATGGAAAGACAAAAGGAAGAAAGAGGATAAAAGAGCTTTTGTAGAGGAGACAGAAGGTAGCCTCCAGGTAAGAGGAGAGGTAATGGAGAGGTTAGTCATGTCATATCCAATGAGTGGTGGGTGATAGAAAGTTTCTGTGGGTTGACAGAGGGTTACTGACGATGAAAGCAGGTTTTAGGCAAATGTTAGGAGCTCAGTTGCATCTGAGAAGAGCCCATGGACCTTACAGGGGCCACAGCTCACGATCATCCATCCACAGGGGACTCATGGCCAAAATCTTCCTTGGGAAACCCACTCCTGTCTTCCTTAACTCCAGATCTTTTGCTCCAGGGAGGAGCCTCTGGGCAGCTAGAGCCAAACATTCTCTGGGCCCTTCCAGCCCCAGCATTTATCTTAGGGTTATTTTCACTCCCAAGAACAACGAAGCTTTCTATTCAAGTGGTGAGAAACCACACCTCTGAAAAGCCATAGATCACCCAGGGAGGGCCAGAGGGGCTGGTCCAGCACGTGGCGCTGCTTCTCCCTCCCATCCAGACCCTCAGAGCAGGTGTCTGGCTCACCACAGCTTACAGTGGGATCCCAGGCAGAGGGCAGAAATTGTGTAGGACAAATTGGTTCTGAAAGCCGGAAGCCAAGACAGGGCAGGGAGAGGAGGAGAGGGAGGATGACCAACTGGAAGAGTGAGGGCACCAAGGAGCCCCAAGCAATCCCTGCTTGGATCCAAACTCTATAGACTCAGTCCCCTTATATGAGATATATGACAATCATCCACATCAACTAGGGAGCTTTCAAAAAAGGTAATAAATGAACATGGTATATAAGGGTCAACTGTACTAGAAAGATGTATAGCAGACTCAGCACTCCCAGTGACACACACTGTAGCCAAGTTTCTCTTTCCTTCAATAAATATATTTGAATACACTAGCATAGATATAGATATACATGCATATAGATAGAAGTGTATATATATATTATATATATGCATATGTATAAACTCTTTCCATTTGTACATATCTGGTAAGACATTAAACATTGTTCTACAATGTCATTTTTATACTTAACCATATAATTTGTAAGCCATTCCGTATGTGTATGTATAGAACTGTCTCCTTTTTACTGACTTCTTAATATTCCATTGCATGGCTATTGTAGGTATGTAGGTAATTTCCCATCTTTTTCTATTCCAAATAATGCTGCAGTAAATAGAGTGCAGTAACACACTCTTTCATGCACATTCATGAATACTAATAGGGTATATTCCTAGAAGTAGAACTGCCAGACAGATCAAAGGACATGTGCATGGGGTTTTTTTGTTTTGATTAATATGCTAAATTGCTCTCTATAGGTGTAGTATTTATTTACACAGACAGCAACAATATGAGACTGCCAGTCTCTGCACATCTTAGGCCAACATGATGTTATACAACTTTTTCATCCACATTAATCTGATAATTAAGAAAATAGCATTTTATGCCAGGCACGGTGGCTCATGCCTATAATCCCAGCACTTTGGGAGGCTGAGGGGGGAGCTGATAACTTGAGGCCAGGAGTTCAAGATCAGCCTGGCCTATATGGCAAAACCCAATCTCTATTAAAAATACAAAAATTAGCCAGATGTGGCCAGCCTGGCCTACATGGCAAAACCCAATCTCTATTAAAAATACAAAAATTAGCCAGATGTGGTGGCGCATGCCTATGGTCCCAGCTACTTGGTGGGCTGAGGTGGGAAGATTGCTTGTGCCTGGGAGGCAGAGGTTGCAGTGAGTGGAGATCACACTACTGCACTCCAGCCTGGGTGACAGAGCAAGACCCTGTCTCAAAAAAAATAAATAAAAGAAAATAGCATTTTATTTTGGTTAAAACTTACATTTCACTTATTACAAAAAAGGTTGAGAAACTTTTAAGGTGTCTAAAAGTCATTTATACTTGCATTAGCTTCAAAAATATACAGATCCCTGGGTCTTATACTCAAAAGCCTGATTCAGTAAACCCCCAGATCAGTAATTTTTAAAAATATTCAAGTGATTGGGGTAAATATTTCTTAAACAAAATATAAACAGCACAAACCAAAAAGAAATGATCGATAAATTGTACTTTCATTAAAATTTTAAATGTCTGTTCATTAAAATAAAGTACAAAGTCAAGCAATAGAGTGGGAGAAAATCTTTGTTAAATGTACATCCCACAAAGAACTCATAACCAGAATATATGAAGAAAGCTCCTACAACTCAACAAGAAAGAGAAAAAATATAACAACATATCATTTTAGGTAGACCAAAGACATAAATAGACAATTTATAAATGAAGATATATGAATAACCAATACACATATGAAAAGATGTTTCTTTCATAACTCATCAGGAAAAGGCAAGTCAAAACCACAGTAAGATACCACTACCAATGGTACACTGGTAAATATTTAATAACTGATACTTCAGGGGAAAAAGCCTGATTTGCGGTTTTCTTGTTTTTTTTTTTTGGTGTGAAAACTCCCACCATGGCCAATTTCAAGCCACCAATGCGACATCACTGAATGCAGAATTGGGAAGAGGTGTATACAATTGACTCTCACAAGCCCCACAAGCTGGCTCCAGCACATCACTGAGATCACCGCAAACCCACCATGAAGGCTAAAATGAAAAAGATTGAACATATCAAGTTTTGACAAAAATATAGAGCAAGGAGAATGCTAACACACGGCTAGTGGGAGTGTAATCAGTTTAATCACATTGGAACGCTGTTTGGCAGTATCTACTAAGGCTATGATCCTATGTCTGATCCTATGATCCTGGAGGCTCCATAGAAATGAATGCATATGTGATGGTTTTTTTATGTGTCAACTTGACTGGGCCACGAGGTACCCAGACATTTGTCCAAACATTATTCTGGGTGTGTCTGTGAGGGGATATCTGGACAAGATTAACATTAGAATTGGTAGATTGAATAAAACAGATTGCCCTCCATGGTGTGGGTGTTCCTCATCGAATCATTTGAAGACCTGAATAGAACAAAAAGACTGAATGAGAGGGAACTCCTTCTGCCTGACTGTCTTGAGCAGGAACATCAGTTCTCTCTTACCTTTGGATTCAAACTGAAACATCAGCTCTCTCTGGGTCTTGAGCCTGCAGGCATTCAGACTGAAACTACACCATCATCTCTCCTGGGTCTCCGGCTTGCTGACTACAGGTCTTGGGATTTGTCAGCCTCCATACCCACATGATTCAATTCCTTATTTCATATATATATATATATATATATATATATATATATACACATATATATATTTTTTTTAAGTACTGATTTTTAAAAATATAGATGATAGATAGATAGATAGATAGATAGATAGATAGATAGATAGATAGTTAGACAGACAGACAGATAGATAGATCCTATTGGTTCTATCTCTCTGGAGAACCCTGACTAATACCACCAGGTAGCCACCAAAAAACATGCACATGAATGTTTATAGCAGCTTTATTTGTAATAGTCAACAAACTGGAAGCAATCCAAATGCCCATCAACAGTGCTACACAGTGCTAGATTTCTACCATGGAATACTATATAGCAATAAAGAAAACAAACTACAGATACACACAGCAACATGGATGAATCTCACAGACAAAAACATTGAAAGAAAAGGGCCAGACACAAAAGACTATATATATATATACACAAAAGACTATATATATATATACACAAAAGACTATATATATATATATATATATATACACACAAACTTTTAGAATAGATGAAATTGTTTTATTATGAGATAAGTTAGAATAGCAATTACCTTGAGGAGATTGATATAAACTAGGAGTACACATGAGGGAATGTTCTCCATATTGGAAATATTCTGCATTTTGATATCGATAGTAGTTACAAAAGTGTAAAATTTCACCCAGCTACACACTTAAGATTTGTACTCCTTTACTGCTTATACTATATATACCAATATATTTGGTTGGGTTTTTTGTATTTTGGGGATTTTTTTTGGAGACAAGGTCTTGCTCTGTTGCCCATGCTGGAGTGCAGTGGCGCAATCATATCATAGCTCACTGAAGCCTTGAACTCCTGGACTCAAGTGATCCTCCCACCTCAGCCTTCAAAGTAGCTGGGACTATAGGCATGTGCCACCATACCTGGCTAGTTTTTTGTTGTTGTTGTTTGTTTGGTTGGTTGGTTGTTGTTGAGACAGGATCTTTTTGGTGTTACCCAGGCTGGTCTCAAATTCCTGGGCTCAGGTGATCGTCCCACCTTCGCCTCCCAAAGTGCCAGGATTTACAGGCATGAACCATTGCGCCCAGCCCTCCAATATAATTTTTTACATAAAAATAAGTTTTAAAAACTACCAGGTATTTCTGATGATCAGCCTAGTACAGGAAACATTCGACTTGGGAATCTGTAAGTTCTCTTAAAGCTAACATTCTGTGAAGATGAGATGAAACAGAAATAATGGCGCCAGAGCAAAGGCAAGAAGAAGAACCAGAGAGTAGACACAGAGCTAAATAGGAAAGAAAGGGAGACCTACAGAAAATACATTAACTCGCCAACATTTGTTTAGCACCTGCTATGGGCAAGGCACAATGCTCGATAGCCAGAAGGTCAAAAATGAGCAAAGAGAAGCCCCTACCTGCAAGGAGCTTGCCTTCTTGTAGGGGACATAATTCTACATTACAAAGTACAGTGCAGTAATTGCTGAAAACCAGAGGCACCAACAGAAAGCTCCACAAGTGGAAAATGGCATTCAGTTGGGCATGGGGATGATCTGGAAAGAATCCACAGTGGAGCAGGTACTTGAACAGAGCCTTGAAGGATAGGTAGAATTCTGCTGGAGAGAGACAGCTGGAGGTAGACATGTATTAATTCTCTCTCATACTGTCATAAAGAAATACATGAGACTGGGTAATTTATAAAGGAAGGAGGTTTAATTGACTCACAGTTCCACCTGGCTGGGGAGGCCTCAGGAAACTTACTATCATGGTGGAAGGCAAAGGGGAAGCAAGGACTTCCTTCACATGGTGGCAGGAGAGAGAAGACAGAGCAAAGGGGAAAGAGTCCCTTTTAAAACCATCAGACCTCATGACAACTCATTCATTACCACAAGAATATCATGGAGGAAACCACCCCCATGATCCATCCATCCTCCCACCAGTTCCCTCCCTCGACACCTGGGGATTATGGGGATTACAACTCAAGATGAGATTTGGGTGGGGACACAGTCAGACCATATCAACGTCGATTGAGGATCCTTTATAAATGCAATTTAGACTGGCCAATGCCTAGGGCCAGTGTAACCTTTAAAATGGAAACTCACCAGACTCACCATAAGATGGATAAATAATCCACCCTAGAAGTGGCTAGCAGACGCAGAATGAACTCCAAATCATACCAAGGGACTAGAAGTTTCCCAAGGAACCATAAAAGAGACAATGTCCTCAGCACAGAGGGTAAAATATAATCATTTGTTGTTATCCTTAAAGAATAGGAAGGAAACTGCATGGAGACCATAGGCAATAAGACCAGGCCAACCAGAACGTGAACAAGGAAAATAGCAGTGACAAGGCAAAGGATGGGACACAGTAGAGTTGGTATCAATTGACTATGACTAGAATATTGCTCCCTGAGGATTAAGACTCTGTCTTGCTCATCAGTGAATTTCTGGGGCCCAGCATAGTGCAGGGCACAGAATACCTACACAATAATGTTTGTTGAATGAACTAAATAGGTGAGGAACAGACAAAGGTGACACCCATTCCCCAGGTTTAAAGTATGTGTGACTGGGAAAATGGGAACTCAGGAGCAGATGGTTTGGAGAGGAGAGAAGATTATGGGTGGACAGTTACAGAAGAAAGACTGGAGCTTGGACCGGAAATCTTACCAGCAATTTTTTTTTTTTTTTTTTTGAGATGAAGTCTCTGTCACCAGGCTGGAGTACAGTGGCGTGATCTCAGCTCACTGCAACCTCCGCCTCGCGGGTTCAAGCGATTCTCCTGCCTCAGCCTCCTGAGTAGCTGGGACTACAGATGCATGCCACCAGGCCCAGATAATTTTTGTATTTTTAGTAGAGATGGGGTTTCACCATGTTGGCCAGGATGGTCTCGATCTCTTGACCTCACGATCTGCCTGCCTCAGCCTCCCAAAGTGCTGGGATTACAGGCGTGAGCCACCGCGCCTGGCGCCTACTAGCAATTCTGCAGTTGAAGTCATCCTCCAAGAAATGACTGCTGAAGCTATCTGAGTAGACAGCAGAGGCATGGGGGAGAATGGACAGAAGAGAGCTGAATTTGAGAGTAAGAAACTACAGAAGGCAGCAAGAAATGAGAGACAGAAGAATCAGGAAAGTATAGCATCAGCAAAGTCAGTGGACGAGCTTTAAGAGGACGGCCCTGTCAGTTAATTCTATTTGAAAAATGATAGTTGTGTCCCTGCTCCCCAAGCAATCCAGAGACAGAAAAGCTTAGCAGACAAAGTGTGGACTTGAAAGTGAAACAGGCAGGCCTTGAATCCAAACACGGCCCTATGTCATTTAATAGTGAAATCCTAAGCAAGTTACTGAAACTTCTATTTCCCAATTGGTTGGGTCTTCTGTTTTCCAACTGGTTAAAAGTGGGAATTAATATGATCTATATCCAGGTTGCTGCAAGGATTAAGTGAAGGTATATGAAAATCAACAAAATATATGAAAATGCCAAGCACAGGGATTGGAACATAGTGGGCACTTGGTTCTTATTTATTCCTCTTTCCTTCCGTGCTGTGTGCTAGGATCTGGTGTTTGGGGAAAATGATGCTGAACAAGTAACACTTGAAATGCAATGAAGGGGAGGAGATCTAAGAGTATGCATGGACCCCGAATGAGGAGTGAGCGAACCATTGCACGCTGGTCAACCCAACCTGACAAAGCTGTCCCAGGTGCTTCAATTAGTAAGGAGATGTGAGTGACCCTGCAAAGAGCAGTTTTAATAGGATGGGGACAGGGTGGGATGAGAGAGCAGAGGCAGCGACTGTCTTTCTTGGGCAGCAAGAGGAATAGCCAACGAAGAAGTAACTGCAAAGACAGAAATGTGCGTGGGTTGGGAGCAAGCTGAATGTGTATATGTGCAAAGGAACCAGGAGGGAAGGAAAGATGGAGGAGGCAAGGGAGAAAAGGGCTAGTTGATGAAGGGCAAGTCACCCACAGAGGCAGTGAAATAAAATCAAGGAAGCATTCAAACCCAAGGCTGCTCCAGGTTTCATGACTTGGGCCTGTTGTTGGTATAACCTGATGGGTGGTCTTTAAGAAAAAGAAGGCAAGTTTACAAATACAAAATTAGATATGACTGTGTATTTTTTTAGAATAAGGAAATCATTCACAACATTTTTAAATTACATTTTTTAAATGTTTAAGCTGATAAATATCACAAAACCCAGAAAAATGGCATGTTTATTAATTAACTTCCTGACATACCTCTATAATACTTTCAGGGAAAAATGTATTTGTTTTGCTGTGTACTCTTTTATGGATTCCTCTTACATCAAAGGTTTTGTGGTATCGTTTTTTATAGAGGGTATAGAAAAATAACTCGGGCCAGGCACAGTGGCTTATGCCTGTAATCCAAGCACTTTGGGAGGCCAAGGTGGGTGGATCACCTGAGGTCAGGAGTTCAAGACCAGCCTGGCCAACATAGTGAAACCTTGTCTCTACTGAAAATACAAAAACTAGCAGGGCATGGTGGCGCTTGCCTGTAATCCCAGCTACTCTGGAGGCTGAGGCAGAAGCATCGCTTGAACCCAGGAAGCGGAGGTTGCAGTGAGCCGATATCGCACCATTGCACTCTAGCCTGGGCAATAAGAGTGAAACTCTGTCTCCAAAAAAAAAAAAGAAGAAGAAAGGAAGGAAGGAAGGAAGGAAGGAAGGAAGGAAGGAAGGAAGGAAGGAAGGAAGGAAGGAAGGAAAGAAAAATAACTTTCTTCTAGCATGCTTGGACAAAATTTGTTTTCTATTATTGATGGTTGAGAAGAATTTCTTTCAGCTTCATAACTTAATATTGGTAATACATACGTTTTTAGGATTGTCATATTTGGGAAAACCACTATTGAGGTCCTTTCATGTATGAGCTATAATATTTCAGGGCATGTCAAGTTTTCTTGCACAGTGACTCATCCTAAAAATTATTTAATTGACAATAGTCATTAGTTTGTTGATGTTCTCATTGTAGTTTATTATGAGTTTTATATTGTCTTACTGTCAGTATTTCATCTCAAACCAGCACAAAATTTAATATTGTTCATATGATTCAGTGATAACTTGAAAATCATAAACATGTGACCTTATAGGTAAGCATTCTAGCTGTGTGCAGGATTGTTGTAAATTTTTACCCTACAAACACATGAATTCTGATGAAATCATATTTCACATCAAGAAAAAAAATGTTTGATGCATTTATAATTGACTATATTCCTGGAAGGAAAGAATTTTTATTTTGACTTGGCATTGTTAAGAACCAATAACTTACAGTTTTACATTTCTAATGAAAAAAAAAAATTCCTGGACTAGCTTATGGTTCTGAAGTGAGTTGACTGATAGCCCCCAAAATGGTATGTCCACATCTTAACTCCATCAACATGTGAATTTGATCTCATTTGGAAAAGGAGTCTCTGCAGATGTAATTAAGGATCTTGGGATCATCCTGGATTACCAGGTGAGCCCTAAATCTAATGACCAGCATCTTTAGAAGAAACAGAAGAGAAGGCACGAACGTGGAGGAGACAGCTATGTGAAGACGGAGGCAGAGATTGGAGCTACACAGCCACGAACCAATGAACTCCTAGAGCCACTAAATGCTGAACGAGAAGAGGAAGGATTCTTCTCCAGAGCCTTTGAGAGGAGTGCAGCCCTGTCGACACATTGATTTCAGACTCTTGGACTCCAGAACCATGAGAGATTGTATTTCCGTTGTTTTAAGTCACTCAGTTTGTGGTAATTTGTTACAATGGCCCTAGGAAAGAAACTCATACCAGTTCTATACATTCCAAACCTGGTCTCCCTTTTACTACCCAAATATTGGGTAAATGGGGTTGCAAAAAGACACACTCATGATGTGAAATGCCCTCCAGCCATGCACCTCTCCATGCCAGGTAGTGCAGAGAAGGCCCCACGAGCCCTTCCCATTGTGGATGGCCAGCAACAACTTAAATACCCATTAAAGTGACTGCAGGCCACATAAATACATCTCACTAAACCCAGACTAAAAGCATCCCACACTCAACTTCCGCTTAGCTGGATCCCAGCAAATCTCCAAGGCCCTCCAAGGCCACTCAGCACAAACAGAAATGTGAAGGCAAGGAAATCAGAGTGGAAAGAGACAGACATCTTAGCGGTCATGGTTAAAATATCTGACTTCTGGGCCAGGCGTGGTGGCTCATGCCTGTACCCTTTGGGAGGCCAAGGCTGGTGGATCACTTGAGGTCAGGAGTTTGAGACCAGCCTGGCCAACATGGCAAAACCCTGTCTCTACTAAAAAAACAAAAATTAGCCAGGCGTGGTGGTGCACATCTGTAATCTCAGCTACTTGGGAGGCTGAGGCACAAGAATCGCTTGAACCCAGGAGACGGAGGTTGCAGTGAGCTGAGATCATGCCACTGTACTCTAGCCTGGGCAACAGAGAGAGACTGTCTCCAAAAATATATATAAATAAATAAATAAATATATATATATATATATATATATAAATAAATATATATATATATATATATATATATATATATATATATATATATTTTATCTGATTTCTGTAACTTTGCTAAAATATATCGCCCCTAGGACACAATACTAGGGTTCTTACCCTCAGGTCCTTGAGGGGATTTAAACAAGGGAGGGGCTCTGAGCTTAAACTCCTTGGCTTCATGAAAATAATCTCTGAGTCAGTCTCCAGCAAGAAAGACCACATCTTTCCCTGGGATCTCAAGTTTTATGGCTAACCGGGAGGCTTTCCAATGGACTCATTTTCTAGAAGGAAAATGATACTGACCTGTATGAATAGTTCCACGGAGACAAGAGCACAGGAAAAGTTGGGACAAGAAAAAAAAATCTGAAGGCGGCACAAAGGGCCTCTTTAATTACACTTAGAAGAAGGAAGGTGTGGATCCACTCTTGAGGCTGTAATTGGAGCAGAGGAGTGATATCAGTGGTCATGGAAGGAAGGGGACGATGTCAAATCCGATTTTGCTTCCATATTCTAGGAAAGATATAAAATCAGAAAGAGCAAATATTGTCAGTTGGTTCAGAAGCTGGAGTTACGTAACAAGGTTGCTTGAGTCTGAGGCTTTTCTAAACATGGATCCCTTGGCTCATGTCTTACATTCCAGGGACCCCCGAGAACCTGTAGATGAAATAGATCGGTAACTTCAATGCATCAGGAAGGTTGAGAGAGATGCTGGAATTCTATAGCTGAGCAGACATGGTTAGGACTTGTCCAAACAGAAGAGGCAGTTACTGGTAACTGTAGGCTATCAATCTCAGGCAAGATTCTAGAATAGATTGTGTGTGTGTGTGTGTGTGTGTGTGTGCATGTGTGTGTGTTTGGGTATTTTCAGGGCAAGATTCCACAGTATCATCAGGTTCCTAGAGAAGTTTGTGACCCCTAAAATGGCTAAAACCCACAGGCAGAAGATTTTATTTGCGGAAAAAAACATTCAATCCTTGGGAAAGCTCTTCTAATTCCTTCCTTTCACAGGTGGTGAAACTGAGGACAGAGGGTGATAAGGGCTTGCTCAAGGTCATACAGCAAGGTGGTGCAAGAGTCAGAACCAACACACAGATCTTCAGACTCCCAGTTCAAGGTTTGCTCTTTCCTCAATCTCTCACTGTTTCCTATCACACCACCTTCCCTTTACATATAAACCATCGCTAGCTTTTTCCAAAACGCTTTTCACTCTTCATCAAAAGGTATCAAGAGATGCCCATGGGAGCAGGGTGTGATTCATGAGCTCTTCGTGCACAGCTGTCCCATTCCTGAGAAGGGTCTGACAGATTCTGAGCACGGCACTCAAGCCAAAAGGAATCCCTCTCGATTTAGAAATCTTCAGCCACTCCCTGGAAAATGAGGAATAGAGCCTAGGTATGTGGGAAAACCATGACAGGCACCTGAGCCTCAACAGATTTAAAAATTTTTAAACAGTATAAAAAAATTTTAAAACAGATTTAAAAATCATTTGGGGTTCTTAGAAAGGAACAACAGGGTCTTTGAACACAGAGTGGGTTCTTTAAAGGCTCCTCTGTCCTGCCAAGTTCATTTCACTTTTTTTCATAGACTGTTTATACTGCTGGATTAGGAGAAGAGAGTGGACATGGTTCATCTGAATTTCTGCTCTTGATAAAATTTCTTAGAATAGGAAAGAAGAAATGACAGGGATTATTTGAAGATTCAAAGATGCTTCCGTGTTCACATTTGTCCTACTCTGTTCAAACTTTTTTTTTTTTTTTTTTTGAGACGGAGTCTCACTCTGTCACCCAGGCTGGAGTGCAGTGGCACCATCTCGGCTCACTGCAAGCTCCGCCTCCCAGGTTCACGCCATTCTCCTGCCTCAGCCTCCTGAGTAGCTGGGACTACAGGCGCCCACCACCACACCCAACTAATTTTTTGTACTTTTTAGTAGAGACGGGGTTTCACCGTGTTAGCCAGGATGGTCTCGATCTCCTTACCTCGTGATTCGCCCTCCTCGGCCTCCCAAAGTGCTGGGATTACAGGTGTGAACCAGCGTGCCCGGCCCTGTTCAAACTTTGTATCAGTGATGAGGATGAAACTGATGGCATGTTTACTAAATTTGTATACAATATCAAGCTGGAATTATTGGCCTTTCCATTTATAAACTTTTGTCAAAAGCTTCTAAAGGAAGAAGCTAAGGGGATAAAAGGCACTTCTTCCTACAAGAGCTCAGAGTCCAAAGATAATCAACAAGGACACAATTATGATGCACCTGTGGCTTACGCTACCACAGAGGGATGCATGGGGACTATGGGAGCCCAGATAAATAGGCCCCCAGCGCCACTGGACTTGCCATGTGGGAGGCGACAGCTGAGAAGTCTGAGAAAACATAGAGGTTAGCCAAGCAACACTAGAAGAAGGGCAACCCACCAGAGGAAAGAGACATGCAGAGGCCCAGGTGCAGGTGGACATTGGTCTGTTCAGGAAGCTGATGTGGTTCTGGATAGCAGAAGCGCCAAGAGTTGGAAGGGAGATGTCTGGGAACAAGGCCACAGAGTTAGACATGGGGCAGATCCTGAAGGAACTGGTTAATGTTACTTTAATATGTGTATTTTTTGTTGTTGTTCTAGAATGAGGTATCACTTAAAACTTTGGAACAGGGCCTCAAGGAGCTCCCATGTGGTAGGGAACACAGATGTGGAGCTCTTTCAATGCAGCATGGAGAGTTGTGCACCAGAGTCAGCCACATGTCCCTCACGTCAAGCCTCATTTCTGGCTACTTCTCCTCACTCTACTCCAGCCACATGGGCCCCAAAGCATCGAGCAACTTCCAGCCTTTAGGACCATCATACCAGCTCTTCCCTCAGCCCAGAATGCTCTCCTACCCCTTTCCCCAGTCCTATATCCAACTAAATCCTTCAAGTCTCAGCTCAACTATTACTGCCTTACGGAAACCTAATTTGACTCCCCATTAATGTTTCTCTTGGCACTTTTTACTTTGGCAGCACTGATGACTTATACCTTTTAAAGAATATATTTATTTGTATTATTGTTTAATGCCAGAGCCCCTGAGGGCAAGGTTGAATATGTTTTGCTCATGACTGTATCCCTTGTGATGATATCAAAAACTTGTATCAGTTAGAAAGAAAGAAAGAGAGAGAGAGAAAGAGAGAAAGAAAAAATAATGAAGTTCCAGTTATCTACCACTGCACAACAAACCATCTCAACATTTTACAACTTGAAACAGTAACCATTGTATTTTATCCCCCAACTTTGTGGGCTGGTAATTTGTGAAGGGATCAGCTAGGCAATTCATGTCTTCTATGGTCTCCATGAAGGTCATTCGATGGCATCAGATGGTAAATGGTCTAGTTTGGAGGGTCGAAGCTGGCTTTGCTTACATTTCTGGTGCCTTGATGGCTGGGGGGCCAGACTCATTTAGAACTACTGATGTGAATGGCTTCTCCAGTATGTTGCTATAAATAGGTTAGTCAAACTTTCTACGAGGTGGCTCAGAGGGAGGATCCCAAGAGACCCGGGTGGAAGCTTCAAAGTCATGTATGACCTACCTTGAAAGTTCCAGACATTGACTTCCACTGCGTGCTACTGGCCAAGCGAGTCAGTAAGGCGATCCCGGATCAAGGGAGGGAATTAGAACCCAACTCCCATGTGTAGAATGTCGAAGATGTTGCAGGCATCATCTCTAAGCCACCACAATGGGGCGGGGGACAGGGGAATGACATTTATCCTTTCACAGTGGTCATCCTGACTATAGTGCCCAGAAAGAAAGAAAAAGGATGGAATATGCCTAGGGAGATCAATTCAGAACATAATAGAAATAAAAATACAAAAAAAGAGGGTTTAAATGGTATCTACTGGAAGAGAAAAGGAGGCATGAATTTGAGAGATATTTTAGGAAGCAGTAGAAAGGAACAGTAAGAGCATGGACTATGGAGCCACATCATCTAGCTTTGAATCCTTGTTCTGCCACATACCAATGGTGAGAGCTCTGGAAAACTAGTTGTTTTCTCTGGTCCTCAGTTTCCTCATCTGTAAAATAGGTATAATAATTGTACTTATTTCACAGGGTTGTTGAACAGATTATATGAATTAATACATGGGGGAAAAGAGCCTAAAACAGTTTCTAGGTATACTAAGGGTACAATAAATATTAGCTCTTAAAGGAAAATAAATAAATAAAACTTACTAGGAGTCAAGTTTCGTCAGAAAGCCAAGGCATGGCTAGGGGAAATAGGAAAGGTTCCCTCTATCTATGTGTTCTGTTTGTCAGTGATGTTGAGGAGGCATTTTAAGCTTCCAACTTTGCAGCTGTAATGTACTTTGGAGTGTTGCATACTCCCACACCACCTAGATATGGTTACTTGCTAGGTTTACTGAATTCAATACTAGTGAAAAAACGGGAGCAAATAAAAATGCATAGAGATGTTTGAAGTATGGAGGAGCTGAAGATGCTCTATAAAAAGACCTAAGTCCTAATAAAATACATGTAACTGCATTAGCCTGAGGGCCTGGTCTTTCCTGCTCTTCCATCTTTTAACTGACATTGACCTTGCATCCACTCTCTTCCAGTCCCTGTGCCAGGTTCTGGGGATACGGTATGAACAAGACACTGTCCCTACATTTAATCCATAAACAAAGACATGCAATGCAGTGTCACAAGGGCTGGATCTGGGAGATGAGGGGACCCTGTAGATGCATGTGAGGGGACATTCCAGGCTGATGAGTGGCATCCACAAAGCTATGGAGGCATCTGGGGTTGGTGCTTAGGGTAGCATCGGTGTGACTAGAGTGTGGGGAACAGTGGGCTTGGCAAGAGCAGAAGCCCAAGGGGCAGCATTCAGGCCATGGCGATGTCTGCAGTGGTAGGCAATGGGCTGCGGGCATGTGGGCTCTTTATCTGGGTCTGCCTGCTGTCCTTCTGCAGAAATAGCCCATAAAGGCACTGAGATGCTGCCTGTCTAGCCCTTCACAGAGACAGAGGACCGGAATCAGTTTATTGCCATTCTCAGCTACTTCTTCAAAGTGCTTGAAGAGAGCAAACTGGTCATCCGGGCACCAGGTACAAGGACAGGAGGAGTTTGTGTCTGGCCATTAACGCTCACGGGGACCCAGCAGGCCCACTGTGTGCCTCAGATCCTGAGACTAAGTCCTTTAGTCTTACCCTAACTTCCTGGCAGTGGAGGAGGATAGACAAACATCTGAACCCTCTGCTGCCTTCACCCGCCTGCCTGCCTCTGTGGGAGCCAGAAGAGATGAACCCCAAGGATGGGTCTTGCCAAGCTTCCCACGAGTTAATACGTGGCACCTAAACCCCAAACCCCAGAGGGAAAACAGCATGCCCTTGCCTCATTCAGCCTAAAACTGCATGGCAGGACCAAGGGTTTGGCTCCATGAGAATGTACATTGAGGAGTGGTGTGTTAGTCCTTTCTCATGCTGCTATAAAGAACTGCCCGAGACTGGGTAATTTATAAAGGAAAGAGGCTTAATTGACTCACAGTTCCACAGGGCTAGGGAGGCCTCAGGAAACTTACAATCATGGGGGAAGGGGAAGCAAACACCTCCTTGTTCACATGGTAGCAGGAAGGAGAATGCCAAGCAAAATGGGGGAAAGCACCTTATAAAATCATCGGATCTTGTGAGAACTCACTATCCCGAGAACAGCATGAGGGTAACAGCTTCCATGATTAAATTACCCCCCACCAGATCCCTCCCACAAGACTTGGGGATTATGGGAACTACAGTTCAAGGTGAGATTTAGGTGGGGACACAGCCAAACCCTATCAGGTGGCAAAATCCCCAGATGGAGTTTCCCCACCAATGAGCATCCAACAGTCCAGCAAAGCACCTGATCCAGCCCTAATGCTGACCCCAACAGCAACCACACACTGACCCCAGCCTTGCATGGAACCCTAATCCAACCTAACCCTAACCTTACCGGACCCTTACCCACTGTGCTTTAATACCATAGCAATCTGAATCCAAGTCCCCAGCCTCCCTAACCCGATGCTCACCCTGAATAAAATAACTAAAATAACTTCAACACCAACATCCACTCCAATAAATCCTAGATTGCCTCTCAGCCCTAATTTTAGCTCCGATTCCAACTTCACCCCAGGTCAAAGGAAACACAGAAAGGAATGGTCTCTGGGGAGAGAAGTGCTGCTGCCCCACAGTCTGGTGGTCTTGACCGACAGCTGTCTGCCATATGTAGCTTGAAATGTACCTGGAACAATTGTCCTTTGGGTTTAAAATCTGATAGAAGACTACTGCCATTATGAAAGGATTTAATACACAGAAATCTCTTTGGAAAGAACCAGACCTTAGAAGTTCATAGTTGAGAAATAGAGGCATTTGAGTTATTTCCTCTGTGAATAGTAGACAGGGATGGAAGTTCTTAAGAAACTCTTCTCCTCCAACCCCTGATCTGCAGGAGTCATCAGGAAATGGGATTATCTTCAATTTATAAATGATGAATAATTGCCAGTTCTAAGCAGAGAGAGGAAGGGGGTACTGTGTCACAGACAGGAGAATACAAAGGGAGAAGCTAGATTTTTAAAAGAGACACCAGCATGTTTAATTCTTACTGTTCAGCCTCCTCCTGAGCCTGGAAGGCTGGTGCTGGGTGCCCAGCCTGTGGCCCGTAGGGTAAATGAGGGCTCCTGAGCCTGGCTCAGAGCGTGAGGCCCCAGGGTAAGTCCCAGAGTTGCACTCTGCTGGAGAAGGCAGAGGTCAGCCTAGAAATGTGACACCAAAATGGGCTGTCAATCAAACAGAAGAGAAATAACAGAGGCTGAGACACAAAGCCCAAAGGCAGAATGGCAGGAGCCATCAGGGCCAGAAGGAGAAACAGCGGGTTGGGACAGGAAAATGGGGTGGGGGTGGGGGAAGGCAAGCAGTCTGAATTCAACCCAAGGGTCCAAGGCAGCACCTCAAGAGCTTTTACACAATTACAGCACAAGTGCACATGGAAAAGTCAGATTCCTTTTTTAATAACTCCTTTCTCAGACTCAAAAAATTTAGAAGATTTAGAAAGTACAAAAAGTGTATAGACGCCAAGTAAAACGAACTACAACCCTTGACTTGAGTGACGCTCATTTAAAGAGGCAGGACATTACTAGGACTTAAATTGTTTCAAGAATTTATCCCTTTACCCTCAAGTTTCAGCTACTAACATCTGAAAGAAAAAAAAAATACGGCTCTCTTACTTTGTCCAAGAGGACAAAGCCTCCTGAAAGGAAGTCAAGGCCACAGCTGATGGTAACAGAACAGATTCTGTTTCCTGCACTCCAGAAAAGGGGAGGCAGCTGTTCATTCAGAAAAGGGTTATTGATCATCTCCTATGTCTGGCACTGTGTTAGGCCCTGGGTTCCAGCACAGCAGATGCCATCCCTTCCCTTGGGGCACTTACACCTTCTGCAAAGGCTGCTGTGGTCCCTGAGGTCATTCCTACAACACATCCCTGAAACATACCCACATGCACTCTCACACACCCCCACACGCACTCTCACACACCCCCACACACCACAGCATCACGCACAACTTGCAAACTGGAATACACAATCATCCACAGATACTCCCACTCACACACCCATATATCCACATCACATCACACTGACATATACTTACACAGACTACACACTCACATGCAATGCACTCACCACACACACACACATTCCTACAACACGCTGTCACACATGCAGTAACTGCTAAACACACACGAAGCAGTTATCTCCTCCTTCCTTTGTACTCCCTTAGCTCCTGTGTAAAGTTAGCTGTGGCATTTACCATACTGTAATGTGATTAATTACATCATGCCTCTCCTCCACCTCTGCCTCAACCTGGAAACTTCCTAAGTTCATTTCTGTAAGCCCATCTTCCTGCTCAGTGCCTGGCACATAGCAGGTGCTCAGTAATGTTCACTGCATGAACTTTGAATGCCTCCACTATGGACTTCGGTCCAAGGAGCAAGTCTCACCCTCTCCTCCACTGGCTAGAGTTGGAGTTAAGGGGGAAAAACATCTAAGGGAGCCCCTCAGCAAATGTTCTAATACAAGGCTCTCCCAGCTCAGCTCTACAGCACCCAGTGATCCTTTCTGCTTGTCCCACTTGTTGGAGGGAAGCCAACGACCTTGTGAGAAGAGGCAGGAGAGACTTTGTCAGATCTGCATGGTGGTCTCAAGGTCCCTGCCCGATTCTCCCATTTCTCCCTTTTTCTTTTCACAATATTACTCCCCAGTAAACCTTTTGCACACAACTCCAAAAGGAGGAGTGGGAGGGAAAGGAGGAAGAGGAGCATGAAAGACTAGCTGCATCTCCACGGCATGCACCCATTAGTGAGAGCCACAAGCCTAGGTCTGACCTTTGGCTTCAAGGAGCCAGAAATCTGATTTCTCAGCCCTCTGAAGGTTGAGCAGGTGTCAGGAGACTGAGATGTGCTCACCAGTTCCATGCAGAATGGTAGGTAGACTGAGCAGCTGATAAATCTCAGGAGAGGGAGGGGAGGGGAGGGGAGGGGAAGAGAGGGAAGGGGAGGGGAGGGGCCGAGGAGGGGGAAGGGGGTGAGGAGGGGAAGGAGGGAGGAGGAGGGCAGATAAGCAGAGGGGAGGAGCAAGGGGGAAAGGAGGGAGAAGGGGAAGGGGAGGGGAGAGGAGGAGGGGAAGGGAGGGAGGGGAGGGAGAAGAGGAGGGGGAGGGCAGGGTAGGGGAGGGGAAGAGGAAGGCAGGAGAGGGGAGGGGAGAGGGGAGGGGAGGGGAAGGGAGGAGGTTGGCAGGGGAGGGGAGGAGAGGGGAGGAGTTGGGCAGGGGAGGGAAAGTGGGGGAGAAGGGGAGTGGAGGAGAGGAGAGAGGAAGGGGCAAGAAGGGAAGGGGAGGGCAGGAGAAAGGAATAAGGGAGAAGGGGAGGGCAGGGGAGGAGAGGGTAGGGGAGAGGAGGGGAAGGGAGGGAAAGGGAGGGAAAGAGAGGGGAAGGGAGGGGAAGGGATGGCCCCAGATGCACCCTAGAGCACTCACTCCAACATCTGTAAGGTGCACTCTGAAGCAGCAGCCCAATCCTTGGGGCTGCTAAAGCCCCACTATTCCCACAACCTTCTAGTGTCAGGTCAGCTCCAGGCCATGCCCAGGCCAAATGGAATACCAGCATAACTTCAGAGCCACCCACCCCTTCCCTGTCACAATACCTGTTGGGTTTGGCCATCGTTAGTCATCCCTGATGCTCTGCTGAGGTTGTGTGACACCCCCACACACAAACTCCCACCCCTCCCAGGCACCTTCACACACAAGCACAGCCCTGGGGGCAGCTCCCATTCCAATATCATGCTTAGGAACTTGACTCTGTCCCCAGGCTAAGCTTCCAGAGACCAGGACTTGCCCACGTCCCCCTCCCCCACCATAATACACCAATACTGAGTCCTCCCTTCTCTTTCTGCAAGAAGGCAGCAGCAAGCAAGACCTTCTACTCTTTGGGGCTGTTTCCCCACCACCAGGCTGAGAGCTGTGCTCCACCTTGGGACGCATTAGCATTTTTAAGGTTCTTATTCCCATACACATCGTGCCCTGGGATTGTCCTCTTCCTTGAGGCATTAGCACCTTCCCTTCCTCTTTCTCACCCCAGCCCCGCCTGCCTGGGGTCAGCCTTCAATCCACACAGTGTCTGGGGAAGAGCCTAGAGGCCATGTCACACTTCCCCAGCATGTTTCACGGCCCATCTCTTCCTGTCGGAGGCACGTCCTGAAGTCCTGAGCCCCCTCCCATCTTTTCTCCCTCCCCGCACAAGAGGTGTTCCCATAATCAGTAGGCATCAGTCGGCTCTAATCAACCCCCTATTTTGACTATTTTAGCAGCAATAAAAGGGCCATAAAGACCAAGTCAGTGGGCCCTCTAGGAGCATGGCGCTCCTTCACTGTGATATAATGAAAAACACCAAGTGCTTCCTCGGAGCCCTAAGTGACAGCCCTGGCAGCAGAGCTATTGGGCGAAGCCTAATTATGCTATAAATTAAAGGGCTTTTTTCTTACCCTACATTATGACCTTTAATAAGATTGTTTTTACAACCAGCTGTCAATAAATCATCCAGGAGCACCAGTGAGAAGCATTCTCTGAGAACTTCTGCGAATTTCATTAGCTGCAGTTTATTTGGTTTTGGTGAGCTATGATGTTTTTTAAATCTCAAATTAAAGGCTCTGAACCATAAAAGCTAATTCAGAAAAGTTCCTGTTTCAGCCTCTGAAAACAAGCCCCCCTAATTGCAGAAATTAGCTGAGATGTGGCCAGGCCAGGAGGTCATTACTTGGGAAGCAATGACAAGTGCCTGAGGCTTCCCCAGGCTTGGCAGCCGTGGGCCCCCACAGAACCTGAAGGTGACAGTCCCAGGGTGGACAGCTGGCCCTACCATGGCAAGGCCCTGGGAGGTCACAGCCCTGAAGACTGCTGAACTCAGGAGAGACAGGCCAGCTCACAAGCTTGGGCTGAAAGGAGCTAGCCCTGCCACCTGAGCCCAAGTCCTTGGCCAACTGATTCAGGAATCCCGCAAAACTGTTTAACCTATTCCTTGGAATGTCCCGCCTCCAGCTTTCTTAGAGTCCATTTCGTGTCCTCAGAACAGTGACACTTCATGTATGTGACTGTCTTTCTGAAATACATAACCAGCGATAAATGAATACAATGTAAAAATGGTATATTCAGAGGTGTTGGCGATGACGATAAAGTCCACGGAGTCCACGCAGACATGGTCAATAGAAGCAGAGAAGATGATGTGAGGGTGGTCGCCCACTTTCTAAGAGAGCAAGCAGGCCTGGTACATGCGATGCAGCAGCTAATGTGCTGGTGCAGGCCAATATCAGGAGGCCTGGATTTAATTTCCAGCCCTACTATGAATTCTGGAAACTTGGGAAAGCACAGATTATGAAGCCAGACAGACCTAGTTCAAATACTGGCTTCAACCCTTGCTAGCTGAGTGGCCTAAGGCAGGTTACTTCATCTTTCTGGACCTCAGTTTCCTCATCTGAAAAATGGGGACATTAGTACTTCCCCCAGAGGGTTGTGGTGAGGGTGAGTGAGCTGAGGCATATGAATCACCAGGCACAGTGCTGGCGTCTGTAAGCTCTCAATTAACATCAGCTGGTAACAATTGTAGTAAGAGGCGTGACTGTATTTACCTCCCTGGGCCTCAACTTTATCATCTGATTTCAACTTTATCAAATGATTTCTCAAGCCACTTGCATCACTGTACGGAAGTGATTCCAAGAGTTGTAAACTCCGCTGCTTAAACCTGCCAGAGGCCTCGCATTGCCCACAGGATTCAGTCTAAGCTCCTTGGAAACAGGCTGCCTGGTTGGGTCCCTGACTACCCCCTCCAGGTCCATCTCCTGCCAGTTGCAGTCAACAGAACATGTGTTCACAATACCCTCTACCTCTGGGCCCAAGCACAGTCTCCCCACTGGCTGGAATCATTCCTTCCAGAGCCTCTTCACCTAGCTCATTCCTACTCTTTCTGCCAGCACCTAAAGTCACTTCTCCTAGGTACCCTTCCTAGCCCCCTCGTCCCCACCCCTCCACTCCTACATGTGCCGCTCTAATACCTGCTACTCCTGCTATCAGAGACCTCGTCACTTTGCACTGACCACTGTATCTAACCTGCTGTCCCCACCAAAGTAGGCAGCATAGACCGTGTCTGTTTTGGTCTCCTTGGATCCCCTAAGTCAATACTGTCCTTGGCGCTCCCTCTCCCTCTCCCTCTCCCCACGATCTCCCACTCCCCACGGTCTCCCACTCCCCACGGTCTCCCTCTCCCTCTCTTTACAGGGTCTCCCTCTGATGCCGAGCCAAAGCTGGACTATACTGCTGCCATCTCGGCTCACTGCAACCTCCCTGCCTGATTCTCCTGCCTCAGCCTGCCGAGTGCCTGCGATTGCAGGCGCGCGCCGCCACGCCTGACTGGTTTTCGTATTTTTTTGGTGGAGACGGGGTTTCGCTGTGTTGGCCGGGCTGGTCTCCAGCTCCTAACCGCGAGTGATCCGCCAGCCTCGGCCTCCCGAGGTGCCGGGATTGCAGACGGTGTCTGGTTCACTCAGTGCTCAATGGTGCCCAGGCTGGAGGGCAGTGGCGTGATCTCGGCTCGCTACAACCTCCACCTCCCAGACGCCTGCCTTGGCCTCCCAAAGTGCCCAGAGTGCAGCCTCTACCCGGCCGCCACCCCGTCTAGGAAGTGAGGAGCATCTCTGCCCGGCTGCCCATCGTCTGAGATGTGGGGAGCGCCTTTGCCCCGCCGCCCCGTCTGGGATGTGAGGAGCGTCTCTGCCCGGCCGCGACCCCGTCCGGGAGGTGAGGGGCGCCTCTGCCCGGCCGCCCCTACTGGGAAGTGAGGAGCCCCTCTGCCCGGCCACCACCCCGTCTGGGAGGTGTGCCCAACAGCTCATTGAGAACGGGCCATGATGACAATGGTGGTTTTGTGGAATAGAAAGGGGGGAAAGGTGGGGAAAAGATTGAGAAATCGGATGGTTGCCGTGTCTGTGTGGAAAGGAGTAGACATGGGAGACTTTTCATTTTGTTCTGTACTAAGAAAAATTATTCTGCCTTGGGATCCTGTTGATCTGTGACCTTACACCCCAACCCTGTGCTCTCTGAAACATGTGCTGTGTCCACTCAGGGTTAAATGGATTAAGGGCAGTGCAAGACGTGCTTTGTTAAACAGATGCTTGAAGGCAGCATGCTGGTTAAGAGTCATCACCACTCCCTAATCTCAAGTACCCAGGGACACAAACACTGCGGAAGGCCTCAGGGTCCTCTGCCTAGGAAAACCAGAGACCTTTGTTCACTTGTTTATCTGCTGACCTTCCCTCCACTATTGTCCTATGACCCTGCCAAATCCCCCTCTGTGAGAAACACCCAAGAATGATCAATAAAAATAAATAAATAAATTTTAAAAAGCTTGTATCTCAACATATAAAAATATACTTTTTTATAGAATGGAAAAAAAAAATACTGTCCTTGGCATATGGTATGTGCTTAAAATATCTGCCAAAGGAATGTTAAATGATGCAGCATTTAGAGACATATTATATGGGGAAAA
The DNA here is from genome assembly GCF_000001405.40 of Homo sapiens. Taxonomy (NCBI): domain Eukaryota; kingdom Metazoa; phylum Chordata; class Mammalia; order Primates; family Hominidae; genus Homo; species Homo sapiens. The sequence continues at coordinate 41,996,346 of NC_000002.12, forward strand.
AAAACTATATGCAGAAGTAGAATAAGTTATTTTGTAAGCAATTATTTGATTTGTAATTAGAAGTTGGGTCTTTCTTTTAATTGATTATCTTAGAAGGTTGTCAGAAAATAAAACTGTTAATACATCTTACTGTGGCCTTAACCATTTGACCCTCATCTCCTTTTTTCTCAGAGAATGCGGCAGAGAAAAAGAGGAGAAACTGAAGAAGGGACTAAATAAGGCAAGGCTGGATCAGAAAAGATTGACTCTGAGGACTAAGAGAAACTGAAGCTGGGACCCAGCAGGGTGCTATTGACCTCCAAGTCCTTTCTCCACATTCCCCCATCTGCCCAACTTCCACAGCTCAGGGGTCTTTTCTCCTAGGGTTGAAATATGAATGGCTCTAAAATTTCCCAGTGAAAACCATCCATGAAGTTGTGTGTGGGAAATGAAATGCCAGCCCGTGGGTGTCAGCAACTGTGAAGAAAGCGTGGCATCCACGCTCACCTGGGCTTCCTTTGGTTTGCCTCATTAATCAGCTCCCCAGGTCATCGGCACGTCTCGCCTCAGGCTCACAGGTCTGGTTTTTGTATAATACACATTTCCCCCAGTTTTTATTTCATCTGTTTTTTTCAAGCAGCCTTTCCATTATTTCTGAACATTTGAGTTAAAAAAATGTAAATTACAGACGCCTGCGGATTGACGTAATGTGAAAAGAAGGCGGCTGTTTCCCCTTCCTCCAAACAGGGGACATGGCTTTTCAAACTAATAAACCCCTTAAACCTCATGAAGCCCATTTCGACCTTTTTAAATGGCTACTTTCAGAAGGGGAAGGGAAAAAGCAGCAGCGGGAGAAAGTGTTGGGGCCCGTGTCATGGCGGGAGAGGGAATGATCCCAGCTCGTGCAGATGGAGTCTGTCCCTTCCCTCAGTCGGAGGTCGTAGCCACCAAGAGACTGGCCATGCTGAACCTTGGAGGGGAAAGCCCACAGCATGGGGACAGGCCTCTGAAGTCCTGGTCGGAGGAGAGACTGAGCAGATGCAAGAGAGAGGAATTTTGTGGTACGGGGGGTTCTGGAAAAGGTGAGAGCAGAGGGATCAAGAGGGAAATAGGAGGGATCCACTTTGACACTGTGGCTGGGATTGTGGGTGGGAGGGCATTGGTGGGAGCAGGGGGGTTGAAGCTACCGGGGAGGCGGAGCCAACATTGCCTGCCTTCTCTAAAAGCAGGGATTGAATATGGAGGAGATCATGGAGTTGGAGTTATGGACAGTAGGGAGATCTGAAATAGAGCAGTGAAAAACTCAAGGGGACAACCAAAGCCGAAGGACTAATCGACCTCTAACGTGCAAGACTCTTCTGTTTTGAACACTCAGAGAGGACAGGCCCACTTAGTAATCTCTAGGGTTAGAGTCAAGGATTACTTTTCTCATTCCAGAGGGCTCTGGCTGTCTACCCAGGCATTGGGTCCTGTTCTGCCTACAGCCCTGAACCAAGCAGAGAGTAAGACACATAGGAAGTATCCAGAAATATTTATTGAATGAATGAATGAGCTAATATATGAATGGATGAATGAACAAATGGAATGAGCAGTTTCTAAACAACTGTAATCCTTCTGACAGGAAGTGCGGGTGCCTTTTCTCCAAGAACACCAAGATTATTCCCCCAAAAAACAGCACTGCCATGTACAGTTCCACAGGTACTAGGGATCCAAATAAAATTTTTTCCTTTCAAAGCAGCCTATCATTCAGGAAGCAAAGCATTCTAATAATAATTGAGGAGTCTGTCTCTTGCTTTGTCTCTCTCCAGAGTTCAACCATCTGGGATTTGAAAATTAGAGAAGGCAGAAGGGACAGCAAAGTCCGCTTGGAAACTCCCTGGGGAGAAGCTGGCAGGGACCACCCTGTGCCTCCCCCACGTGTTGAATATCCTTGCTGTTTAGAGGCTGAAAACAGGTCTTTGAAGTTTCTGGCTTTGCCTCCAGCAAATCGGCCACAGCTTCCCTTATATTCCAGGCTGGTTTGAAAATAACTCTTCCAGTGCCTCCACCTCCCAATCCATGGAGGAGACTTAAAATTTAGCAAGCTTAGCCCTTCCCTGTCACACTCACATCAAAGGACAATGCTAGGGACCTCCAAGGGAAATACTTCCGCACCCCAGAACCCTGGGAGTCACATTTCCATCTAGGCAGCTGCAGGGGAATGGAGGAAATGTATCATACGAGCAGAGGCAACTCTGGAATCAGCCCTTCCTCTACTGAGGCCAGGGAGACGGGTTGCTACTCAAAAGGAAAATGTAGGTGTCCCCTGCAATTTGAACAGGCTGTGGATGTGCTTTACCATCGTCATGCTACTCTGGCTTCTAATTTAGGGAGCAGAGGGTAAGGCCTCTAAGAGCACAAAATCTTTGAGCTAAACGGCTTTGAGTGAAAAGTACAATCACTTAAAAAAAAATACAACCGCTTATCAACTTTATTCAGCTCCTATTTAGACGTGAAAAATGCTCCAGAGGGAGGTTTCCTGAGCAAAGGCCAGGATTTACTGTGTATTTCCCACAAACAGGGCTCACTGGTTCCTTCTGTGAGAAATGAAACCCAGCGGACCCACCCAGCAGGCCTCACGGGCAAAAAGGAGTCTACACCAGATTAAAAAAATCCACTTCAGGACTTTTTTACTACTGGAGTGGGCTGGAGAGCTGTCAATGGGCAGGAAAATAGCACATCTGGAATGCGGCTCTGTCCCCGTGCTGGCTGGTATAACTCAACATGTACGTCAGATCTTTTTTTTTTTTTTTTCTTTAATGGCCAAGATTTATCTGGCTTCTATTCATTTTTTAAGTCCAGGGTGAATATGATTGTTAACTTCTATACTTTTACATTTGTGTAAATTAAAAGCCATATTTCACTACTGGGCAGATGGCTTGCTGCTTGCTTGCCTTAAATGTAAAAATGGCAAAGCTAAGCACTATAATCCAAGACATGGATTACCCAACTCACCCAGAAGATACTAAAAGAGAAAGATCTTGTGATTTCTTCACCAAAGCTATATCCCCTTTGTGCCTTTATAAAATCTAGTTCTAGAAAAGTTGGCGCCAAGATGCTCAAACTGCAAGTAGACTTTTGGATTAATTTAGTCAGTCATGTTCTGACTGTGGCAACGAGAGGCTATTACAGGCTTTTTTTATTATTATTATTTGATTTTATTTTTTTGTAGCAAGCAAATTGGTTTGTAAAACAGATATAGCCGTTTTAACTCCTAAAGAGATTTGGAGGAAAGTGAGTGGATCCTTCCGGAAACAGCCACCTCTTGCTTTTTTTGGTTGGGGTTTGACATCCGTTTTTGAGCACAAGGGAATGTCTTTTTCATGGAAGTCCGTACTTGCCATTTTCTCTTAAGTTAAAAGCAAGAGCAATATAATAAACGTTTGCTAACAACCCCCCACATACTTAGATTTATTGGCTAGTTAAATCTTTAATGGTTAAAGTTAAAAACCTTTTATTTTAAGGGCTTGGGGATTTGCACAGCTGGAATGTTGCATTTTAATATATTCATATTGGAATGGAAAAGCCAAAGTGACCAGCACATTGACTTCTTTCTTGGATGTCCCAAGCTGATAACAGGCATAGCCTTGCCCCACGGCCTCCCTCCTCACCCCGAGCCAAGTCCAAAGAGGGGATGGGAGAAGGGGAGAGCAAGCATGCTACAGGGGCCATTTTGGGTGGCTCCCTTCCTACTTTCACTCTCCTGTTCTTGATCTGCCCTCGAAACACTGAGAAATCAAGGAGTCTCTACATTCTGATTCTGCCACTCAACTGACCCATCTTGGCAGGGTCACACTCTGCTGGTCTCACCCTTCTGGGAACTCCCTAATTTGGTCGTCTAGATTAGAAAGGCGGTGTGCAGCAGCAGTGGTGAAGGTGCTAGGGTCATTAACTTGATGAGGGTTGATAATGTGATGAAGGGAGATGGGAGAGAATGGAAGACTACCAAAGCACAATGGAAGGACATGATTTGAGATAAGAGGTAGGAGTGACAGAAGTGACAAAGGGTGGTACTGATGACATCTAACCAAATGCTTACTCTGTGCCAGGCAATTTCAAGTTGCTTTACATGAATTATTTCATGGATTCTCCAATCTAGTACTATGTTGCCCTTATACAAATAAGGAAACTAAGGTGTAGAGAGCTAAGCAACTCGCCAAGTCTAGAAAGAGATAGACCCAGGCAATCTGACTGGACAGACTATAATTTTGATGGAGGCTTCAAAGAGATGGGGATGGGAATATGAGAGGCCTTGAAAATTGAGAGGCATGAGTGTTCAATCACTGCTAAAGCAGAACCAGGAAGGATAGTTCCATCACTTTCAGGAAACATGATTATGAGGAAATGCGCGTTCTCATGCACATCCCACAAGTGCACACCGCCACTTCGTCCCAGTGGTTCCTCATGCACCTTAACACACAGAAGCATGTTCTGACAAAGATATTTTATGCACTCATCTACTCACTTCACAGACACATGCTTCAGAAACACTATGGCACCAATGCATTCACACAGATGCGCCAACATTCACACTCACATCTTCTGGCACCACATGTACACACACATGCACACACACACGTGCACGCTGAGGGGGATATGAGATGCAGTTATCTCTTGATGATCCCTTGGGATTCTGCCATGCCTTTGTTTCTCAAATACTGACTGTTGTCTGTCCTACTGACAATGATCCACCTAGCCAAGGGTGGATCCTAAAGGATGCAGGATAAAGCACATGGATCAGATGGCCAGGAACACAAGATGATCCAAAGGCTCCCAGAAACAGTAGAGATAAAAGAATCTTCCACCCATCACTTTCAGTCTCCCATCCTAAGGGTCTTGGGCTCTCACCTTGAGAAGAGCCAACCCAGCCTTTGCTAGTGGCTTCTGCCATTAGGGCTTAAAGGTCAAAGTTGGGGTCTTTGATCACCAAACAGGATGAACGCTGCAGACAGCAGGCATGTGGGTCATTCTTGCTAAGGAAACTTGACTGCTGAGCCCAGGAAGAGAACACTCAATGGAACACAACAGGCTTCCCGTGAATTTTCTAGCTCAGAAACGTTAATATTTCTCAGATGGAGGCTCACAACGTTCACAGGGTTTTCAATTTCAAGGCCATTTTTGCTTTTTTTAAAATGGGGTTTGATGTTCTCTGCACAAACATAGGTTTAACAATTGACAAAGCACCAGACATCCTACCTTGGCACTTGTACGTCTGTCCTGCAGGACAGTGATGCCACTCAGCTGGTATTGTCTGCAAAACCATGACTCTCTGTTCCCTGGCACAGAGACCTTGCCAATTGCAGGAAGTTGGGAAATAAAAGAAACTTTTCAAATAAAAAGATGTCAATTTAACAGCCAGGGACCTGGAAACAGATGTTCCTTGCCTAGACCAAGAGCCGCCCACCCGCCCATCCGTCCTCCGGGTTTTCAAAGTCACTTCTTGTCAGGTGCCCTGGTTAAGAGGGAGAATTAACGAGCTGTGCTCCATTTTACGGCTGCCGTCTGATGTGGGAGCTGTGTGCGGAGCACTCCGCGGACAGGCCAGCTCAGCCCCAGCCCTTCCTCCAGCAGTTCAGCCTGGATCAAAGCGGAGAGCAGCTCAGCTTTTATAGCAAAATGATTAAAACCACGTGGGGCTTGTTTCCTCACACGTGACCTCCCGACAAAGTGCAGAGCGGGGAGCCAAGGAAAGGTGAACCCAGGGGTCTGTAGGCCCAGGGAAGAGTAGGACCCACGATGCAGACACATACCAAGTAAGCACAGACGCGCATGCGCACTTGCTGCTTTACACGGACTAAAATAACACACCCTCACACGCATAAATAAATGCTCTTTCCCTGCAGGTGGAAACGGCCCAGAATGAGCAGCCAGAGGCCTAATGGGCCAGGTTAGCTAGGACCACAAAGATAAGTAAATAAATACATAGTTCCTAGTTATTCAATTACGCCTAACACTTGTAGAAAGTACTACTGAATTATACTTGCAAAGTAAGGCCCAAATATCCCTCCAGCATATGGACAAATAATCTCTCACCTATCTGTAGTCTTCGGCAACTTCACCACACCTGAAAATTACAGCTCCCTGATGGCAGGCAACTTTGCCTCTAAATTAATTGATTTGATCAAATGATCACCTGGTTGGTTCCCTTCCCCTGGTATTCCTGCTTAATCTCCTCCGCCCAGCAAGGACTGGGTTTACTGGCAGAGGCAATGAGATGTCGCTTCCAAGATTAAGTCACCAAAGGACTGTGGCTTCCTTCTTAGGCACTCTCTGGCTTTGGGGGAAGCCAGATGCCATTTTGTGAGCTGAATGAACTAGGAGAGCACCACATGGCAAAGAACCAAGGGAGACCTCCAGCCAACAGCCTGCGGGGAATGGAATCCTGCCAACAGCCCCTGGAGCCAGAGTAGAAGCCGACCTTTCCCATCACGACAGGATAACTGGGCCGGGCGCGGTGGCTCACGCCTGTAATCCCAGCACTTTGGGAGGCCGAGGCGGGCGGATCACAAGGTCAGGAGATCGAGACCATCCTGGCCAACATAGTGAAACCCCATCTCTACTAAAAATACAAAAAAATTAGCCGGGCATGGTGGCGCATGCCTGTAATCCCAGCTACTCGGGAGGCAGAGGCAGGAGAATCCCTTGAACCAAGGAGTTGGAGGTTGCAGTGAGTCGAGATCGCGCCACAGCACTCTTGACTGGCGACAGAGCGAGACTCCCTCTCAAAAATAAAAAAAAGGCAGGATAACTGCAGCCCCAGGTCACACTTCAGTTGTAGTCTTAAGAAAAGACCTAAGCTGTGCCTAAATTCCTGATCCCATAGAAATAGTGAGATAATATTTGCTGTTTTAAACTGCTACGTTTGGGGGCTGCTACGTGATTTCTTGGGTAGCCATAGGTAAGTAATACACCCACCTGGCTCCTTTTCCACCACTGAAAATTACAGCTTCTTCAATCTTTTCTCCTTTCATGGGCTATTCCTGTGCAGTCAGATAGAATTTACAACAAGCTTTAAGCACTTACACCATCAGCCTCACTGCTGCCTTTACGTCTCTGAGCTCATCTCAGCCACTCTGGCCTCTTTGCTGTGCCTTGAACACACCAGGTATGACCCGACTCAAGGCCTTTGCACTTCCCAGGGCTTGCTCTCCCACTTCCTTCAGGTCTTTGCTCAAACATCACCTCTTCAAAAGGCTTTCCCAGACCACTCTGCTTAAATAAATAAATAACCTCCATCTCACCCCTAGGGCTCCCTATTCCCCTTTCCTGCTCAGTTTTTGCCATAGCCTTTATCATCATCTCGCATACTGTCCCTCTTACTCATTTTATTTCTTGTTTGATTCTCTCCTCCCCAGGCCAAAGGACAGGAATTTTTAGGGTTGTGTCTGTTTTGTTCACTGCTCCCTTCTGTGTCTAGAACCCTGTCTGGCACAATGTAGGGATTTTTCTTAGTCCATTCAAGCTCTATAATAACATTCCATAGAAATTTTTACTTCTTACAGTTCTGGAGCCTGGGAAGTCCAAGATCCAGGTGCTGGCAGATTTGGTGTCTGGTGAGGGCCCACTTTCTGGTTGATAGGTGGCACCTTTTAGCTGTGTGCTCACATGGGAAGGGGCAAGGTAGCTCTCTGGGGCCTTTTTATATGGCCACTAATCCCATTCCTAAGGCCTCCACCTCCATGATTAAATGACTTCCCAAAGGCCCCCACCTCCTAACACTGTTACGGAAACACCAGGGGTTCCATCTAGGTCCTGCTGCTCACCACACACAAAGCCAGTCACTGAGGCAATGAGTATTGCCAGGGAAGAAGGCTTTAATCAGGGGCTGCAGCTGGGGAGATAGGAGATCAGTGTAAAATCCATCTCCCTGACAAACTAAAATCAGGGGTTTATATAGCAGGGAAGAAATGTAACTACATGCAGGGAAACAGGAATTAGAGAAGGATAAAGAAGAGGAGTTGGTCAACAGGAAGCAGGTGGTTAGTTAGGCAGTCATGATGGCTAAAGGGTCTGGCCTCTCATGGTCCAGATGCAGTGATCTGGTTTCAGTTCCTTGATACTATCTAGCAGTCCTGATGGCTGGTTTCCTGAGAAAGGAACTCAGATAAAACTATTGTAACTTTCATAAGTTTTAAGACAGAGAGGGTCTATTTCTATGTTCATTCAAAGGAAACCTTAAACATCAGTTCTATGGGACAATTGTGCCAGTTTCAACACCAACACTTTGGGGGTTAGGATTTCAACATATGAATTTGGGGGGACACATATATTCAGCAGCATTCAATAAGCACTCATTTAATAAATTAATGAATGAAGATACAGAGCTCCCATGTTCTCAAACACCTACTATTTGGTTGGTGCAAAGTACTTGTGGTTTTTCCCATTATGTGTGTGTGTGTGTGTGTGTGTGTGTGTGTGTGTGTGTGTGTGTGTGTTTGAGACAGAGTTTTGCTCTTGTTGCCTAGGCTGGAACGCAGTGGCATGATCTGGGCTGACTGCAACCTCCGCCTCCCGGGTTCAAGCGATTCTCCTGCCTCAGCCTCCCGAGTAGCTGGGATTACAGGTGCCTGCCACCACGCCCAGCTAATTTTTTGTATTTTAAGTAGAGACAGCGTTTCACCATGTTGGCCAGGCTGGTCTCAAACTCCTGACCTCAGGTGATCAGCCTGCCTGGGCCACCACATGCATCCAGCCATTACTTTTAATGACTATTACAAAGCAAATACGTTGCCTGCATTGTTGTTAATCCTCATAAAAACTCTGCAAGGTTGACACTGTTGTTTCTCAATTTACAGAATTTAAAATCTGAGACTAGGAGATGCTATCTTTTTCAAGGCCTCGCAAGGCTGTGCTGGGATTCAAGCCCCCAACATCCTTCTTCTACACTTTCTCCATTGTTTTGGATAGCTCTTTACAGTTAACAAAATGCCTTCAATGCAATGATCTCATCTGACCTTAACAATAACCCTGGGAAAGAAGAATTGTAATTATCATCTCCATTTTGACATATATGAGAATCAAAGCTCAGAGAGGCAAAAGTATTTGCCCTGGTTGACACAGCTAGTGAACAGCAGAACCATTCTTCATTTCATTCAAAAGACATTTGCTGAACAACTCCCAGGTACCAGACACAATAGCTAATAGGATGTAATGCCTCAAGCTTTCTGGCTGCCCAGTCTTGTGGGGCTGAACCTTGGCCACTGCTGTGTGTTGAGTACTCATCCAGGGTAAAATGTGGATAATGTAAATGTTAACTTGTGTTGTCCAGACATGGCCTGAGAGTGGCTGGTCTGAAAGGAGATTGACAAGTGAGGGCTGAGATCACTGGGAAGCAGAACTGGAAGAGATGATGGAAGAAGGAGCTTTTTAAACACTGAGCCAGAAGATGTAGTAAGCAAGAGAAGGTTGAGGGTCAGAGCTTTTTAAAATCCCTTTTTATCCTCATTCCTCACTCCCATCCCCCGACTGGCAACCTTCTCAATGTGTTTGATGAGTATCATTTTGTTTCTTTGTGCTTTTGCAAAGTGCTTATTTTTCTTTTGTGCATAAGTGTTTTGATTCATGCAAATAATATTATGTTGTGTATTTAATTTTTCCACCCAGCATTGTGTCAGAGATTCATGTGTGTTACTGCATGGACACTTAATCCATCGCTTCTAATTATTACATAACATGGTGTGTACCTACCACATCTTACCCATCTGCTTCCCCAGGGATGACACCCAGACAATGCTGTGATGCACATGCCTGCCATGTCCCCTCCTGGGCCTGTGTGAGTTAGACTGCTGGTTCATAGGATATAGTCGTAATTCAGTAGTGCCTGCATGCTCTGCTCCCTGAGATATTCCCAGAAGCAGAGGATGAGCAGTCATATACCCTCATATCCCTGCCAGTACTTGGTGTTATCCAGCTTTCTTATGCCTGCCAGTCTAATAGATGTAAAGTGGTATCTCATTATTGCTTTAATTTGCAACTATCTAATTATTCATGTGTTGGAGCAACTCTTTATATATTTGTTGGCCTTTTAGATTCTCTGGAGTAAGCTAATCAGATTTAAAATGGAAGAGGGAAGAGCTGTCTGTTTAATTAATCTTGATTCCTGGGAAAGTCCAAAGGGTTGGGAGGTTTCCAGGCATAGGAACCAGGGGTGCTCAAGCTTACAAATGGAAAATGTTTCCAGGAGAACCACTGGACCTGAACTGGGAGGTTTTCCTTGGAAATCATCTTTTTGTTTCCCCCAAAATACAAGACAGCATGGAAAACTGGATTTAACCAGTATGACTAGATATAACCAGCCAAAACATACTTCCTGGAAACATAAATAAGTTGAATTACATTAAAAGGAAGAACTTCTGCTCTTTGAAAGACATGATTAAGAGATTGAACAGGCAATCCACAGCGTGGGATGAGATATTTGCAAATATATATGGCAAAGGACTCAGATCCAGAATATATGAAGAACTTCTACAAATTAATAAGAAAAAGACAAACTACTCAATATGGGCAAAAGACTTGAAAAAGCACTTCATAAAAGAGCATCTCTATATGGCAAAAATCATATAAAAATGTGCTCAACTTTTTAAATAATAAGAAATACAAATGAAAACATCAATAAGATGCCACTACACACCCACCAGAATGACTAAAATGAAAAAGACAGACAATACCAAACATTGGCTGGAAAGTAAATTGGCGCATCCTCTTTGGAAAACTACTTGGCAATATCTTTAAAGATGCGCCTGTGCATACCCTTTGACCCAACAGTTCCATCCTAGGAATTCATCCAAAAGAAATGTGTTCGTTAAAATACATGTACAAGAGTTTCATACACTCTAGCCTGGGCGACACAGTGATACTCTGTCTCCTAAAAAAGGAGTGTTCATAGCAGCATTATTCACAATACAAAACTTGAAAGCTACCCAAAGACTCATCAACAATATGGATAAATAATGGTGTTATATTCATGTAATGAAATACTACACAGCAACAAATATAAAAGAACTGCAGTTTTACTTTACACAAAGTACAAAACCAGGTGGAACTAATCTATGGTGAAGTCAAGACAGTGATCACCCTCGAGCAGATATCAACTGGGAAGAAGTGGGAGAAATTTTCAGGGTGCTGGTCCCATGGGTGTGTTCACTTTGTGAAATTTCATCAAGGTGTAGTCTTATGATTTTTTAACTTTTCTGTATATGTTTATACTTCAATGAAACATTCAGAAATATTACGTGGGTACCTACTTTCCAGCCCCAGTCCCATAGTGACAAATCAGGAATAGGAGACAGCCCTGAAGGGAGAGAGAGTAGTTGGCAACGGGCTGCAGAATCATCGCCCACATACAAGAACAAATCCTCACCCTGCCTTGCTTTGCCAGTGGAGTACAAGGGAGTTCACAGCCAATATGTGCTTCGTGAGATTTCAGAGGAGGCAAGATAGCAGTGTCTTAAATGTGGGTAGGGTTTTATTAAGAACCAAGTACTTTGGCTAGGCACGGTGGCTCACACCTCTGATCACAGCACTTTGAGATGCCGAGGCAGGCGGATCACTTGAGATCAGGAGTTTGAGACCAGCCTGGCCAACATGGTGAAGCTCCGTTTCTACTAAAAATACAAAACTGAGCTGGGCGTGGTGGCGGGCGCCTGTAGTCCCAGCTACTCAGGAGGCTGAGGCAGGAGAATCACTTGAACCCGGGAGGCAGAGGTTGCAGTGAGCCAAGATCACGCCACTGTACTCCAGCCTGGGTGACAGAGCAAGACTGCGTCTCAAAAAAAAATTTAAAATAAAATTTAAAAAAAAAACAAGTACTTTCCATGCATACCCCTTTGCAGCAGAGGGAGCAGAGATCTCTAAAGTCAATGTGACTTCCTTAAGTCCACACTGCCAGTAAATACCAGAGCTAGATCTAGTTCCCAGGTCTTCTAGTTTAGGGATCTCCCTCGCATGACACACTGCCAGCTGCATCTGGGCTGAGGCAATCAGGAGGCTCTACAGGGGAGGAACAAGTTACACTGGAGGTTGAAGGATGGAGGCAATGCCCAAGGGCAGACAAAAGCAAATGCTATGGCAAGAAAGTGCCAGGGCCGTGAGCTCACAGCTTCAGTGGGATCTCAGCTTCCTGAAGTGGAGCTGTCAGAGGTGTTGCTAAAAGACAGGCAGGAGTGGCTAGGGAAGTGCAGAAGGGCCCCTCCGGCCATGCTCTCTTGCCCCTTCTCTAGAAGCCCTAGGAGACTCTCCTCCCAACAGCTCCCTGTGCCCCCAGATTTATTTTGCTTTCTTTCGCTAAATCAAACTTTATCAGACAGTTTTACTGTCAGCCATTAAACCAAAATGTGTTTGTGCAACAGTAAACACCTTGTTACTGCAGGGAAGGATTACATAAACAAAGGTGGGGACGAGACCTAACTCACTGTACCCAAGAGCTGTGCGGCCCTCAGTGGGGGATGGAGAAGGGCAAATGGAAGGGCACTTCAGGGGCGTCTGGAGGCCTGAGGCGAGGGGATAGGACACGCTCCAGCCTGAGGCTTCTGCCCTCGCCAGAATGGAATGAATGGCAAGTATTCCTCCAGTCAGAAGGGCACTGTCCTCTAGAGATCTCAGAGGGGGCCCAGGAACCTTGTCAGAGCCCTGAAGGGGGCAGAGGGGGAGGCAGAAAGGCTATTCTGAGGATGGGGTGGTCGGTTTGGATTAGAATGTGGTGTGATGGTGGTGGGTTGGGAGCTAAATAGGTGTGGGAAAAACTTGAAGCCTGGGATGAATCAAGAGAGGAGAGGGTTACGGTCAGATTGAGAAGACATGCAGGTAAGGAAGACCATGGCGGGGGGCTGCCCGCTTGGGCCTGAATTATTGGCCAAGGAGTGGAGAGACAAGGCCCCTTTTTGGGGTCAGTGGGGCAGAGAGGTTTAGACTGGCTTTGGGTGGGTGGCAGATACAGACATTGGGGTGTCAGACTAGAGGCAGGACCAGTGGGCAAAGCAGCCAGATAGACCACCCCTCTGAGTACACCCAAGGTCTCAAGGCCTCCCCTCAGGGCATGTTTTCCTGCCCTTCCTCTGACCTTCTTCCACTCATCCTTGCTCAAAACCCTCTAATCAGGGCTGCTCGCTGAGCCAGGCTGCCACATGACATAAGCTGTCTAGGGACAAGCCTGAAAGACAGGCTCCAAGGGGACCCCAAGTGCTATGCAGAACAGAGGGGACATTCAGAGAGGAGGTGAACAAATAGATTAAATGTGTGCCCCCACTGGGCACTGCGCTAGGAGCTTCTGCACCACAGGTACTTACTTTCTTTTTTTTTTTTTGAAATGGAGTCTTGCTCTGTCGCCCAGGCTGGAGTCCAGTGGCACGATCTCGGCTCATTGCAACCTCTGCCTCCCGGGTTCAAGCAATCCTCCTGCCTCAGACTCCCGAGTAGCTGGGGCTAAAGGCGCCCACCACCACGCCTGACTAATTTTTGTATTTTCAGTAGAGACAGGGTTTTGCAATGTTGGCCAGGCTGGTAATCCATCCACCTCAGCCTCCCAAAGTGCTGAGATTACAGCTGAAAGCCACCGTGCCTGGCCACAAGCACTTTCATTTTCAATCTCACACCCACACTTTGGGATAGAAAGTTCTGCTTAAGCTGGAAAAGTGAAGGCTGCAAAGAGCCATGATCATGCCACTGCATTCCAGCCTAGGTAACAGAGTGAGACCCTGTCAAAAGAAAGAGAGAAAGAGAGAAGAAAGGAAGGAAGGGAGAGAGGGAGAGAAAGAAAAAATTAGCCCCACACACCAGGCTGCCTTTGGCATCAATTGTCTTATATCGCCTACACTGAGCATTTCCTGTATGGCAGTCATTCTGGTTCTATTATTTCATTTAATCCTCACACTCATATGAGACAGGTTCTTTTATTATTCCCTTTTATAAATGGGGAAACCAAGACTCAGAGAGGTTAAATTATTTAGCTAGGGTCTTACAGCTAGCAAATGGCTGAGTCAGAATTGGAGTCCAGATCTCTCTAATGCCAAAGGCTGTGCTCTTCCTGTCTGAGTCTGGGCTAAGAGGGTCTGGAGGAAGGGGTTGGGACATTGTGGGTGGAGGTTAGTAAAAGGGGTGGCCCACACACTAAAGGCTTTGCCCTGAACACTAGGCATGCAGAGGTCCCTACTGAAGAAGAAAGGGCAGTTATCAACCTCCCTCATGGTCCAAAGGGGCCGGCATGTCCCTAAACCCCTTCCTCAAACACTAGGATGTGCCTCCAGAGCCCTGGAAGTCTCTGGCCATTCTAAGCTAAGAGTCTGTAGGGCAACAGCCCCAGCTTTCTGAAGTCCTGGCCTGTGGCATTCTTAACCCTGGAGGCCACAGCTCCCTCTTTTTTCCAAATCCCAGATCCCAAGCACCCCTTCAGCCCCACCATTAGCCTTCTAATCTACTACTCAGGTACTTCGTCTCCCCATCACTACCCCAACCATCCATCCCTCTAATACCCCCACCTCGACCACAAAGTGGCTCCATCAGCCGGCCACAGCCCTAAAGCCTGAGGCCACACTGCAGAGGCTTTACCCTAGAGGTCAGCATGACCTAAGAGCCTTAGATCACTGGGGCTGCAAGTCCCCAGGTCACTGCAATCTTTCTGTTCAGGCCCTAAGCACTCACAGGCCACTGACTTCATTAACAACCTAGTCCCTTCTGAGACTAGGGAATCAAACAAGCATGGATTCTGTGGTCTGGACCAGGGCCCAGGGCCACAAGTCTCAGGATTCCATTTGGCAAAATCACAAGATAGGACTCAAAGGGGCAGGCCCAAGGTCCCAAGCTCAGAAGGGCTCGTGCCTGGTTATGGGTTTTTTTGTTTGTTTGTTTTTTGAGACGAAGTCTCGCTCTTGTCCCCGAGGCTGGAGTGCAATGGCGCGATCTCGGCTCACTGCAACCTCCGCCTCCTGGGTTTAAGTGATTCTGCTGCCTCAGCCTCCTGAGTAGCTGGGATTACAGGCCCCTGCCACCACACCCGGCTGCTTCTTATATTTTTAGTAGAGACGGGGTTTCACCATACTGGCCAGGCTGGTCTCGAACTCCTGACCTCAGATGATCTGCCCCTCTCAGCCTCCCAAAGTGCTGGGATTACAGGCGTGAGCCACCATGCCCGGCCAAAATTCTTTTTTTTTTAACAAGGAGCCCTGCATTTTTATTTCATACCAGGTCATGCAGATTGTGTGGTTGGTCCTACCCAACAGTGCTGCTGTTTCTATGGCCTAGACTTTCTTCTTGGGTCTTGCAGGAGCCAATTACAGATCTTGGAGGCCTGGTCTGGGCAGAAGTGCTCCCTGCCGTCACTCCCCACCCACAGAGCTGAACACTGCTGTCCTAAGGGGCAACTCAGGGCTGGCCCAGGGAAGGGCACAGTTCAATTCTCTGGATCCCTGGCATCTAGGACTCTGGGGACAGAGGGAGGGCAGAAAGAGGTTGTGATTTAGGGAGGAAGGTGGAAGAGAAGAGAAATGGGCTTTCAGGGCCTACAGCCAGGGGAGCTGGGAAATGAAACAATCAGGGATCCAGGAGAGATTCTACTCCATTCATCCCCCAGGGTCCCTGGAACCATATCGGTGTGGCCAGCTGCAGGTGCAGAGGCAGTATAGCAGAAGGGTTGGACACTTGAGCTCAGGGCTGGTAGGGTTCAAATCCTGCCCTGTCACTCAGTAGTTATAATCTTGCTTCAAAAATCTTGGTTTCCTCCTTTGCAAAATAGAAATATTGCCTACTATGTAGGATTATCATTGGAGGTGATATAAGTAAAGAACAACTCCTCAAACACCTGCCATTTTGTGTTTAGCATTTTACTAGGCACAAATCCCTGGGGAGGCCTCATGTAATTCCCAGTGTCAACCTGTGAGGTGGAGATTGAGTATCAGGGAGAGTTCCCTGCCCTAGGTCACAGAACAGGTGAGAAGTAGAGCTGAGGTTTGAATCCAGATCTGTGGTATCACAAGCCTTCTGGGTGCCACTGCCCCACCCTATCTGGTGGTATGGTGCTGGGCTGGAAATGTGTGTACAGGTTTAGTCACACAGAATGCAGGGATTTGTTGGTTAAAAAAAGGATTTCACGAGTAGATGACACCAAGGAGGTTATTTCATGAACTATCATTTAAAGTCACTCTTTTAGAAGAAAAAAAAATTCTTTTTCTAAAAAGAAAAGTATAATTAGAGATCACTCATGCTGTCTCCAGAGAGCTTCTTCCTCCTCCACCATCCACCATTCAGTCTGAGACAGAATTGTATGCAGGCTGCCATCATGTCTGGAGTGAAGGATGCTGGGATGTCTGCCAGAGACCCAGGCTCTCCCATAAGTCCATTGCACTTACTGGCTTTTCTTCCCCCAATATTTTATGAAAGTATAACTTACAACACTGAAAGTGCACAAATTGTATATGGAGCTTGATAAATTTTCACAATCAAACATATCCAAGAAACCAATATTAAAACTGAACATTCCCAGCATTCCAGGAGCCCCTCTACTGTCCCCTTTGAGTAACTACACTACCCAACCCCCAAAAAGCTGACTTCCAACACCACTGGTTAGTTTTACCTGTTTCAAAACTTTATATAAATGGAATCAAAGGGCATGTACTCTTTTGCATCTGGCCTTTTTGTTCAGCATAAAGTTTTTGCTCAACATTATGTTACAAATATAGTTATCTCACATATACCTATGTAACAAACCTGCACGTTCTGCACTTGTATCCTGGAACCTAAAGTAACATGTTAAAATATATATATTATATATATTATATATATACATATACATATATGTATATATATTATATATTATATATATACATATACATATATGTATATATATTATATATAATATATACATATACATATAATATATGTATATATATTATATATTATATATATACATATACATATATGTATATTATATATGTGTATATATATTATATGTATATATATAGATATAGTCATCTATATTTTCCATGTACACAATTGCAGTTCATTTACTTATATTGCTGTATAGTATTCCTTTGTATGAACATGCCACAGGCTTCCTATTCTGGACATTTGAGTAGTTTCCAATCACTTGTAAGTTTTTAATGTCTTGTAATTTTTTATGACTAAAGGACAGTCTCTCCAAAAAAAAAAAAAAATTGTTTCTAAAAACTAAGATTGGGGCTGGGTATGGTGACATACAACTGCAGTCCCAAGCTACTTGGGAGGCTGAGGCAGGAGGATTGCTTCAGCCTGGGGGAGTCGAGGCTGCAGTGACTCATGATTGCACCACTGCACTCCAACCTGGATGACAAAGTGAGAGCCTGTCGCAATTTAAAAAAAAAAAAAAAAACCTAAGATGATGTTTCATTACTGATGGACTTTTTTTTTTTTTTTTTTTTTTATTGATCATTCTTGGGTGTTTCTCACAGAGGGGGATTTGGCAGGGTCATAGGACAATAGTGGAGGGAAGGTCAGCAGATAAACAAGTGAACAAAGGTCTCTGGTTTTCCTAGGCAGAGGACCCTGCGGCCTTCCGCAGCGTTTGTGTCCCTGGGTACTTGAGATTAGGGAGTGGTGATGACTCTTAATGAGCATGCTGCCTTCAAGCATCTGTTTAACAAAGCACATCTTGCACTGCCCTTAATCCATTTAACTCTGAGTGGACACAGCACATGTTTCAGAGAGTACAGGGTTGGGGGTAAGGTCACAGATCAACAGGATCCCAAGGCAGAAGAATTTTTCTTAGTACAGAACAAAATGAAAAGTCTCCCATGTCTACTTCTTTCTACACAGACACAGCAACCATCCGATTTCTCAATCTTTTCCCCACCTTTCCCCCCTTTCTATTCCACAAAGCCGCCATTGTCATCCTGGCCCGTTCTCAATGAGCTGTTGGGCACACCTCCCAGACGGGGTGGTGGCCGGACAGAGGGGCTCCTCACTTCCCAGTAGGGACGGCCGGGCAGAGGCGCCCCTCACCTCCCGGATGGGGCGGCTGGCCGGGCGGGGGGCTGACCCCCCCACCTCCCTCCCGGACTGGGCGGCTGGCCGGGCGGGGGGCTGACCCCCCAACCTCCCTCCCGGACGGGGCAGCTGGCCAGGCAGAGGGGCTCCTCACTTCCCAGTAGGGGCGTCCGGGCAGAGGCGCCCCTCACCTCCCGGACGGGGCGGCTGGCCAGGCGGGGGGCTGACACCCCCACCTCCCTCCCGGACGGGGCGGCTGGCCTGGCGGGGGGCTGACCCCCCCACCTCCCTCCCGGACGGGGCGGCTGGCCGGGCGGGGGGCTGACCCCCCAACCTCCCTCCCGGACGGGGCGGCTGGCCGGGCTGGGGGCTGACCCCCCAACCTCCCTCCGGGACGGGGCGGCTGGCCGGGCGGGGGGCTGACCCCCCCCACCTCCCTCCCAGACGGGGCGGCTGGTCTGGCGGGGGCTGACCCCCCCACCTCCCTCCCGGACGGGGTGGCTGCCGGGCGGAGACGCTCCTCACTTCCCAGACGGGGTGGCTGCCGGGCGGAGAGGCTCCTCACTTCTCAGACGGGGCAGCTGCCGGGCGGAGAGGCTCCTCACTTCTCATATGGGGCGGCTGCCGGGCGGAGGGTCTCCTCACTTCTCAGACGGGGCGGCCGGGCAGAGACGCTCCTCACCTCCCAGACGGGGTGGTGGCTGGGCAGAGGCGCTCCTCACTTCCTAGATGTGATGGCGGCCGGGAAGAGGCACTCTTCACTTCCCAGATGGGATGGCGGCCGGGCAGAGACGCTCCTCACTTTCCAGACTGGGCAGCCAGGCAGAGGGGCTCCTCACATCCCAGACGATGGGCGGCCAGGCAGAGACGCTCCTCACTTCCCAGACGGGGTGGCGGCCAGGCAGAGGCTGCACTCTGGGCACTTTGGGAGGCCAAGGCAGGCGGCTGGGAGGTGGAGGTTGTAGCGAGCCGAGATCACGCCACTGCACTCCAGCCTGTGCGCCATTGAGCACTGAGTGAACCAGACTCCGTCTGCAATCCCGGCACCTCGGGAGGCCGAGGCTGGCGGATCACTCGCGGTTAGGAGCTGGAGACCAGCCCGGCCAACACAGCAAAACCCAGTCTCCACCAAAAAAATACGAAAACCAGTCAGGCGTGGCGGCGCGCGCCCGCAATTGCAGGCACTCCGCAGGCTGAGGCAGGAGAATCAGGCAGGGAGGTTGCAGTGAGCCGAGATGGCAGCAGTATAGTCCAGCTTCGGCTCGGCATGAGAGGGAGACCCTGGAAAGAGAGGGAGAGGGAGACCATGGGGAGAGGGAGAGGGAGAGGGAGAACTGATGGACTTTTTAAACAAGGATGATTATTTTTCTTCTCTGAAGCTAAGGCATCACAGTCAGTTGGTGTGATATTTTCACCTCCAATGGAAGTCCTAAAGAAATATTAATATCACCTTAAAAAAGTTACTTCAAACAAATACAAAGGTGAATTCTAAAGGCATCTGTCTTAGTCTACTCTGGCTGCTATAACAAAATACTATAAACTTATAAACAACAGAAATTTATTTCTTGCCATTTTGGAGGCTGGAAGTCCAAGATCAAGGTGCCAACAGATTTAGTGTCTAACAACGTCCCACTTTCTGATTCACAGACAGCACCTTCTAGCTGTGTCCTCCCTCACATGTGCAAGGGGCAATGCAGCTCTCTCAAGCCTCATTTCTTTTCTTTTTCTTTTTTTTTTTTTTCAGACACAGTCTCCCTCTGTTGCCAAGGCAGGAGGGCAGTGGCACAATCTCAGCTCACTGCAACCTCCACCTCCCAGGTTCAAGCAATTCTCCTGCCTCAGCCTCCCAAGTAGCTGGGATTACAGGTGCCTGCCAACAAGCCCAGCTAATTTTTGTATATTTTTTTAGTAGAGACAGGGTTTCGCCATGTTGGCCAGGCTGGTCTTGAACTCCTGATAGATGATCCACCCGCCTCAGCCTCCCAGAGTGCTGGGATTACAGGCGTGAGCTACCATGCCCGGCCTCAGGTCTCATTTCTAAGGGCACTAATCCTATTCATGAGGGCTGTGCCCCTATTACCTAATCACCTCCCAAAGTCCCACCTCCTAATACCATCACCTTGGGGGTTAGGATTTTGACATATAAATTTGGAGGGGACACAGACATTGAGATCATGGCGGCATCCCACTGAGTCTTCTCTTAGAACCAATTACTGTTTCAAGAAAATGTTGGCACTTTTCCTGTTAGCAAATTACTTTATGAGAGAGCAAGACAAAAAAAGCATGATACCAAAAAAGGTTTGCATAAAATGTCCCTCATGTGGAAGAAGAGGTGGAAAGACCCTTTCAGCTAGCAAATGCTTGTCTTTTTTCCTAAACATACTAAGACACAAATGTAACTTAAACGCAACCAACAAACATATGAAAAAAAGCTCATCATCACCGGTTATTAGAGAAATGCAAATCAAAACCATAAAGAGATACCATCTCAATCTCACACCAGTTAGAATGGCGATCATTAAAAAGTCAGGAAATATGCTGGGCACGGTGGCTCATGCCTGTAATCCCAGCACTTTGGGAGGCCAAGGTGGGCAGATCATGAGGTCAAGAGATCAAGACCATCCTGGCCAACATGGTGAAACCCCATCTCTACTAAAAATACAAAAATTAGCTGGGCATGGTGGCACAAACTTGTAATCCCAGCTACTCGAGAGGCTGAGGCAGGAGAATTGCTTGAACTTGGGAGGCGGAGGTTGCAGTGAGTCAAGATCACACCACTGCACTCCAGCCTGGTGACAGAGCAAGACTTTGTCTAAAAAAAAAAAAAAGTCAGGAAACAACAGATGCTAGAAAGGATGTAGAGAAATGGGAATACTTTTACACCGTTGGTGGGAGTGTAAATTAGATCAACCATTGTGGAATACATTGTGGCTATTCCTCAAGGATCTAGAACCAGAAATACCATTTGACCCAGCAATCCCATTACTGAGTATATACCCAAAGGATTATAAGTCATTCTACTATAAAGACACATGCACACGTATTGTTTATTGCAGCACTGTCCACAGTAGCAAAGACTTGGAACCAACCCAAATGCCCATCAATGATAGACTGGATAAAGAAAATGTGATACATATACACCATGGAATACTATGCAGCCATAAAAAAGGATGAGTTCATATCCTTTGCAGGGACATGGATGAAGCTGGAAACCATCATTCTCAGCAAACTAACACAGGAACAGAAAATCAAACACCACATGTTCTCACTCATAAGTGGGAGTTGAACAATGAGAGCACATGGACACAGGGAGGGGAACATCACACACACCAGGGCCTGTCTTGGGGTGGGGGACTAGGGGAGGGATAGCATTAGGAGAAATACCTAATGTAGATGACAGATTGATGGGTGCAGCAAACCACCATGGCACTTATATACCTATGTAACAAACCTGCACGTTCTGCACATGTATCCCAGAGCTTAAAGTATAATAAAAAAAGAAAAGAAAGAAAAAAAAAAAGAAGGGGGGAGAGAGTAAGTGACATACATAACCACAGTCAGTAATTTTGCTATGAATTTCTCAGCTGTTATAATGAGAGTCCTTATATTACTGAAAATGCCTGAGAACTCATTTGAGCCCAAAGTATCACTGAAGCTTTCATGGTTAATTTATTTTTCTTTTCTTTTTTTTTTTTTTTTTTGCAAACTTTCAACTATGGGGGCTGATATTTTTTTGATTGTTAAAGAGATATATTGAGAACACTTAAAACAAGTCATAAATGTCACTGGAAACACTTGGGTAAAACACCCACCTCATGGAGTTCTTAAGAAAGAGAAAAAGACAGTGGATGTTACTATATCCACTATGTACTAGCTGTATTATCTGTACCCAGGTCACTTCACTTCTCTGGGCTCAGTTTTCTCATCAGTAAAATGGGGACAATAATGACCATCTCCCAGGGTCTTGTACTAGCTGTATTATCTGTACCCAGGTCACTTCACTTCTCTGGGCTCAGTTTTCTCATCAGTAAAATGGGGACAATAATGACCATCTCCCAGGGTCTTGTACAGATTAAATGAGTTAAACTGTGTAAAAAGCTCTTTAGTCCAAAGCTTGGCCCATAGTAGATGTTCACGCTATAATAAGTATGAACGGTAGTAGCAGAGGGAATATTCCATTTATAAAGCTATATTTTAAGAAAAGGTTAAATATTACTGCTATGCCATTGTACTTGTTATGTGCTGTGTTGATGAGTTTCAGTAAGGACACTTGATCCCAGGGAGTACTACAAATCCTTCCATGAAAAAAGATTAAGAAATAAATTGATATAGAAAATGGTGGCTACTTTGGCCGGGTGAGATAATCCCAGCACTTTGGGAGGCCAAGGCAGGCAGATCACTTGAGGTCAAGGGTTCAAGACCGACCTGGCCAACATGGCAAAACCCCGTCTCTACTAAAAATACAAAAATTAGCCAGGCCTGGTGGTGCAAGCCTGTAATCCCAGCTACTCCAGAGGCTGAGGCAGAAGAAGTGCTTGAACACGGGAGGTGGAGGTTAGCCGAGATCCAGTCACTGCACTCCAGCCTGGGTGACAGAGCAAGACTCTGTCTCAAAAAAAAAAAAGAAAAGAAAAGAAAAGAAAAGAAAAGAAAAGAAAAGAAAAGAAAATGACTGCTACTTTGGTTTGTCACTTAAGTTTCTCACAATCCAAGCATTGATTCAATAAATATTTATTGAACATCCCAAATGGTCCTTCCTCCCAATCTAGTTGTGTTGAAAGACAATAAACAAGAAAATAAGCAATCAATATGATTACAAATATTGTAAATTCTATAGATGCTATGAAGAAAATAATCAGAGTGCAACAAGAGACAATTATGGAAGGAATATTTAGATTAAATTGCTGGGAAGCTCTCAGCAGTTGACATTTAAGATGAAATAAGAAGGTTGAGCAGAGCTAGCCAAGCAAAGAATGAAGGGAAAGTGTCCTAAACAGATGGACTAGGATTTAGGAAAGAAAAAAAGAGAGGACACCAGTGTGGCTGGAACATGGAGACGGAGGAGGAGAGGGTAGGGGAGAGAAGGAAGAGAAGGAAGAGATGAGGCTGGACCAGTGGCCTTGGCTCAGATTCTACAGAACCTTCTAAGCCATGGTAAGCAGCTGGGATGTTCCCTGACCTCTGACTATGAACCAATTTCTACTTTTTTTAAGAAAAGAAATAAAATTCTAAAATATATTTTAAACTTCTTCAAATTAGATTATTAAACAAAAATAATTTTTTCCCTCATTGTCCAAATCAATGTGTTCTTTCAAGTGTATATCCAAAATAGTTTTCTGAAAGCTTGTCACAGAAGGGCCTGGCCCACTTTTACATTTTCTCTATTCAATTAAAAATAATAATATCCAAGATATTACCACTGAGGGAAATTGAGTGATAGGTACATGAGCCCTTGTACATTTTTCTGCAACTTCCTTTGACTCTATAATTATTTCAAAATTTAAAAGTTCAAAAATAATAACACTAAAATAGCAAGTAGCCCTGTCGACTTGGAGTTCCCCTTCATCTCATTCTGTCTTTCAACATCATCTGAAGACTCTGAATGGCATTTTGAAGACACCAAAGCTGAAAAACCACCACTTTCCATAACTTTGTTATCATTCCCGAGGAGAGTATAGAAATACAGCCTCCAAAAAAATGATTCAAAATTATAGACATTTGCAGCCATTCAAGGCTTACGAGTTTACAAAACATCTACTTTTCTTCTATTTGAAACCTCGAGGAGGGGATGGCTTTTGGAAACTTTTCTCCACAAAAGGATTACATTGAAAGTCCTCACTGTGCTCTACATTTTCTGCACATTTTTGGCTCTATTTATATCTGAAAGTAAATTTTTTTTTCTTCCATAGCTATGTTTAAAATACAAGGATGGAGTTGTGTTAACAAATGTACATTTAGGCAGCCTGAGTTTGCAAAAAAAAAAAACAGGAAAAAAATTTTTAATATTGGAAATTTGCTAAAAATGATCAAAGAGAGTATCATCTTTTTGGCTGGGGGCCGCTAATGGAATACTGCCCAGGGACTCTTCAAAGTCCTCTGGGCTATGCCTTTACTTGATTCAGTCCCACAACCCACAAAAAAAAAAAAAAAAAAAAAAAAAAAAAAAATATATATATATATATATATATATATATATATATATACACACACACATATAATCCAGAGCCGTTCACACACTAGGCACTGGATTAACTGCCAGGAATGGCAACTAGGTTGAGACACCACGTTCTAATGTCTGGCCCACACCCCTCAGGACAGAAATTGGTTAGTCTTTTAACAGTCTCTCAGCAACAGACTCAGGCTATCAAAATTCATGGAAGCAGCTATGGAAACAAGCGTTCCAATGTGCTAAATTGACTGACTCCTCACTCCAGCACCAAAAACCAGTCAAAGCCACCACCTGAGTATGCAAGGAAGTGGTTAAGAGTGAAGACCTAGGCCAGGCATGGTGGCTCATGCCTGTAATCCCAGCACTTTGGGAGGCCAAGACCGGCAGATGGTTTGAGTTCATGAGTTCAAGACCAGCCTGGGCAACATGGAGAAATTCCATTACAAAAATAATAATAATAACAAAAAAATTAGCCGGGCATGGTGGTATGTGCCTGTAGTCCCAGCTACTCGGGAGGCTGAGGTGGGAGAATGGCTTGAACCCGGGAGGTGGAGGTTGTAGTGAGCCGAGATCGCGCCACTGCACTCCAGCCTGGGTGACAGAGCCAGACCTTGTTTCAAAAAAAAAGAAAAAGTGGAGGAGACCTGAGGGCCCAGCTACCCAAGTCTGAATCCCAGCTCTCTCACTTAACTATCTGTGTGACCTTGGGCAAATTAACTAACCTCTCTGTGCCTCAATTCCATCATCTGTAAAATCCAGATCATCATAACCACCTATATCATTGGTTATTGTGAAGATTAAATGAGATAATGCATGTACCAGACTGAGCAGAATGTTCTCTGCTGTTTCCTATGTGCTTGGAAAGTGTTCTCTATTATTAAGTCAAATTCACCAGAAGGCTGCTTGGCAAGCCCAGAATCAGAACAAAGAGGCCTTGAGGGGATAATTTCCCTTCACTTGGGAGACATCAGTGAAATATCCCTCGTTCCCCACAGCAATGAACACCCTCTCGTCACCAGACTGCTCTTCATGTCCTATGCACCCCCCTCCGAGGCCAGGCTGCACATCCTGCTCCTCTGAAGCCCTTTTTCTGTGTGAACCACCTCTTGTCTGGGGACCCATTTTTTTCTTTCTGTTTAAAGTGCAGCGTCTTCCCACAGTCCTAGTAAGCATTCTCTCTCCACCCCACCCCCACCCAGTTCAGTGTGGATTCACTCTCCAAGCTTTGGCTGGGGCACCCAAGGTCAGAGCCCATGTGCAGAAATCACATTACCTTCCCTGTGAATCACAACCCATCATTTCATATTGGTGTCAACAAGATTTAAATCTTGCAGTAAGAGCTACACATGCATTTTACAATTGTAACATTCCTGCTTTTTTTCTTTCTTTTTTTTAGTTTAGAGCACATGTAATTTCTAGGTTCATTGCTCTATTTGCCTCTCGCAATGGAAACTATACATGCTTGCATATTTTTTCACATGACAAGTACATATGCCGAGATAGTCCATGCTAATTCCTTTGATCTCAGTTTTTTTTGCTTAGCTGAAAGTTGTCTTCTTCCATTTTGACCATCATATTTTTGGAGAACTGGCTTTGAAAATCTCCTAGCCTGGGCATATATCTGTTGACTTTACATTTCCCCTTTTGATTTCCAGAAACACCTTAAGCTTAATATGTCTAAAAACAAATTTATATCTTACCTGTCAAACTAGGTCTTCTTCCAGAGTAGCTTCATTTGAGTGATGGCCCCTCCTTCTACACATCTGGACAAGCTAGAATATAGTGGTCCTTCTTGACACCTTCTCTCCCTTGCCTGGCATATGCAATCCGTCCTCAAGATTTTAGCTCCTGAACATCCCCTGAATCCATTCACTTCTCTCCATCTCTAATGCCTCAACCCTACCTAGTCCAAGCCCCCTTGTTTTCTGACCTAGACTATAACAAGAGCCTCCTGACTGGTCTCAAAACCTGAGGCTCCATTCTCTTATTGACCATTACTGAGAAAGGAAGCTTATTCTGTCGTTCAGATTGTCTAGCTGTGGTTTCTAACCTTCTTGCACATCAAATCACCAGGCATCCTTGCTAAAATGCATCATTCACCTGTGGAAATTCTAATTCATTAGGTCTTGAGTAGGATTCCAGGATCTGTATATTTAATAAACACCCTATTCTGATACAGCAAGTCTATGAAATTTGCACTTGAGAGTCATTGGCTACAGCTCACCAGCACCACACTTGGCCCATTTTACAGATAGCCAAACATGTTTCCTACATGAATCAAGGAGTCAGTACCAATCTGACAAATTATTGAGCCCCCACTATGTGCCAGGCTGTTCAGGCACTAGCGATGGAGCAAAGAGTGAAACAGACAAAAATCCCTTTCTTCACTGTGCTTATGTTCTAGTGGTAGGAGACAAATAAAACAAAAAATAAAATGTAAGGAACACTAGAAGGCAATAAGTGCTATGGAGAAAAATTAAGCAAGTCAAAGGATTTGCAGGGAGCAGGGGTATGGAATAGAGCTATGGAGGGAGTGATATGGTTTGGCTTTGTGTCCACACCCAAATCTCATCTTGAATAATGTAATAGTTCCTATAATCTCCACCTGTTGAGGGAGGGACCTGGTGGGAGGTAACTGAATCTTGGGGATGGGTTTTTCCCATGCTGTTCTCGTGATAGTGAATAAGTCTCAAAGATCTGATGGTTTTATAAAGGGTAGTTCCCCTTCACACACTCTCTTGCCTGCTGCCATGTAAGACTTGCCTTTGCTCCTCCTTTGCCTTCCACCATGATCGTGAGGCCTCCCCAGCCATGTGGAACTGTGAGTCCATTAAACCTCTTTTTCTTTACAAATTACCCGATCTTGGGTATGTCTTTACAAGCAGCATGAGAATGGACTAACAGAGAGGCAAGTTGCAGTTCCCAGACGGTCATGAAAGACCTCACTGGGAAAGTGGCAATTGAGTAAAGACTAGAAGGAGAAGAGGAGCAAGCCATAAGGTAACTGGAAGAAGAGCTTTCCCAGATGAATTCTAGAGGGAGCAAGCAAACTTAGCTCTTCTAACATTCTCCAGAAGAAAAATATATTCTACAGATCCCATGTTCATGCTCAGTCTTCAACTCCAAGCTGGAAAACATATTCCCAATAAAATATGGTATTTCTCACCTTCTTGTTATTGCTCTGCCTGAAAACCTGCCCTGAACCCCTCAGCTTTTAAGCTTTACTAACTCAGGTTTTTTATGCTCCACCCTATCTGGGTGTCCTTTTACTATAGGTAGCTAGAACACCACATTGTATTTTCCGGCTTACATGCTTGTCTCCCCATCTCCAAGACCAGACTTCAGGTTGTTTGTCTCTTTCTTATCTATTATCATTTACTTGGTGCATAGCAAAGTATTGGGCCAGATTAGATTCTTAATAAGTATTAAGTGCAGAAAAGAAAGAATGAGGAAGGAAAGAGGAATGGAAGGGAAGAATCAAGATAGGAGGGAGGAAGAAAGGAAGGAGGGAGGGAAGAAGGAAGATGGAAGCAAAGAAGGCAGCCCTAATTTTGTGTTAAATGCAAAGACAGGCATTACACGCTGGTAGATTTGCAAACCCAGGACTCCTGCCAGGAGTCCTGCCTCAGTCCTATAAAAAGGAACCCTGAGGCTGGGTACAGTGGCTCATGCCTGTAATCCCAGCACTTTGGGAGGCCGAGGCAGGTAGATCATGAGGCCAGGAGTTTGAGACCAGCCTGACCAACATGCTGAAACCCCATCTGTACTAAAAATACAAAAAAAATTAGCCTGGCATGGTGGCGCATGCCTGTAATCCCAGCTACTCAGGAGGCTGAGGCAGGAGAATTGCTTGAACCCAGGAGGCAGAGGTTGCAATGAGCTGAGATCGTGCCACTGCACTCCAGCCTGGGCGACAGGGAGAGACTTTGTCTCAAAAATAAAAAATAAAATAAAGGAACCCTGATTCTTCTATCATCCTTGAACAGTCTCTGTGGAATTGCCTGCAGGTGCAGGTGGGTGATCATAAGATATGGTAACAGTAATAATAATCTCCATAAGCAGTCCTCTCTTCTGGCTCCCCCAGACTGTCCTTCATCTTCTCTTTTTGTACTTACTCTGCTCTTGCTTCCTCCTCTCTCTTTTTCTTGCTTTCTCAGCAGGGGTAGGAAATGTCCAGGGCTTCAGAGGCTCCATAATTCCCAGGAGTTCAGGCTCTTTGACAAAGTGCCTCCTGAGCTGGCCACAAATGAACCTGGGGCCTCTTGTCCCTCTGGTGCTACTGGAGGGTCTTTTAAGGATGCCCACTGGCCAGGGTCACCATGTTGCACAGCACCAGGGAGGCCATTCTTACTGGGCTGCAAGAAGGAGCTTTTTTCCCACATGATCAGCAGGCCTAAAGGGAAGTGTGTTTGATCCCTGTGTCCACATGACTCTTTCTTATCCGCTGCACAGATACCCCTTCTCCATAGCAGCTATCTGTCCTCCTTTACCCCACCATCATCCTACGTGCCCGACACTCCCAAGGAAACCTTCCTTCCATTGGATTTTTTCCACCATCTGAAAAATAAAACTTTACTACAGGGAGTGGAGACTGGGCTAAACAGCCTTGGAATGAGAGAGAAAAGTCATGAAAAAGGTGAAATTGAAAGAGGTGAGGGGTCTACCTTGAGTGCATGCAGGGCCTCTGATTCTGGAAGCTCTGGAGAAACTTGACACCAAGGCCAGGTCCTGAGCCAGGGCAGGGGAGGGAGTAAACCATCTTCCCCAGCAGGAAGTGAGGGAGAGAGGGAGAGTGAGCTAGGGAAGCGCTCTGTTTTCTTTGGCCTCCTCTAGCCCTGGAGGGAACTCAGAGAGAGGGAGAGGGGCTGGAGGGAGGAGGATGGGGCTGTCAGGGAGATCCGGCTTTTGTGTCCTACCCTCCCCCAGGAACTGGAGACTGGAGCAGGGGCATTGGAGCAGGCACCCAGGCCAGGCCAAGGTTTCTCCCTGCTGCTCCCTGTAAAGCATGGAAGGGAGCTATCAGATCGGAGTTGTGTCAGATCAGACTCTCTGGGGACACAGAGTCCTGGAATCAGAGGCCAGTCCAGGGAGAATGTGGAGTCTGTTAGGGAGAAAGCCGGCTGGAGGTGGGAGGCCTGGGGCTTAGGTGTAGGACGAATGAACCTACCAGAACTGAAACAGCTGGGCAGCCACAGTGAGTTCCCTACATTCTCTCCAGCCTTGATCTTCTAGGCTTTTCCACAAGGGAGGCCTTGACCTTGTACACTGCTCTGTCCCCCAAAACAGAGCCTGGAGGAGTTATCCTGGCAATAGCTCAGGCTGAGGTAGACAAGTTCAGCCCCTGAGGAAGCCAGAATTTTAGAGCCCCCGTGTGTCTCCTGAGTGTATGCTGAGATATAGACAGATGTAGGCATTCTATTTCTAACAGAAAGAACTTCCTTAAAGCCAACTCCCCCTCTAACCCTAATTCTCCCAGAGATTTGCATCCCACATATGATCCTGACCCCAAGCTCAATCCTAAAACCATCCCTCACAGGAACTCCACACCAGTCTCAACCCAAACACTTCAAAATCACTGAATTTAATCCCACACATTTATCCTCATCCAAATTCTAAACCTTACTCTCACCCCAAATCCGGACTGTCACCTTGATCTGCATCACAAACCTGACTACTATAGGTATCTGTTGTGAGGTGAGAATTAACAAAAAGGAAAAGTTAACATGTATTGTACAGTTATAAGGTGTTTGCAGTATATAAGGCTTTTTCTATTTATTGCCATATTTACTTAATAGCAACCCTATGAGTTAGACATTACTATTATCACCATTTTACAGATTAGAAAACCAAGGCTTAAAAAGATTAAGCTAGTTACTCAGGTAAGGCGCCTCTAGCCTGGGAGGTGACTGCTGGAATGATCTACTCCCACCAGCAGTATCTTGCAGAGTGAATAAGAGGCTTCGGCTAGGAGAACTTCAATCTGCATAGGGAATATTATGGCTGCCGTAGAAGCCACACCAAGCCCTGTCAGATGAGATCCAGATGGGGTCTCTGCTCAGATATCAAGTGAGAGTTGGCCCTGAGGATTCAGAGCCCGGAAACACACTGCAGAGTGACACAAGAATCATAGCACAGATAGGCAGGATCGAATCCAGAAAAATCACCCCAAAGCTAGTTAGCCCCCAGCTCCACAGAACCACCAAGGATCCCACAACTGCAGTCCCCATTCCACCACTTTGGGGGTCCTCTTTCTAATCTAACTGGGCTCAGCTAATTTTCCAAACCTCCCTGGAAAAGCAGCCAGATAAAATGGCATTCTAAATCACAAGTTCCCCAAGCCTTCCAGTACACAGTGAGGAGAGTCCTTAATCAGGACAAGGATGACAACCTTCTAAGCACAGTGTTTACCCCATGCACACATGCACAGATGGGCTTGTTCATACATTCATACACTGTCCTGGTCGGGTCCTCTCCAGTGTCTTTTCTCTGCCCCAAACCTTATGGTTTCTCTAGTACAATGAGGAAAGCCCACAGCAGGTCTACCTCCTTCATCCTAGAAGACCTCACTCAGGGGCATGCTGGCCTGCAAGAATCCATGGACATCAGCAGGTCTGGCCAGACTAGAAGAAAGGCATCTACTCTCTGGAGTCCTCCATTCCTTCCTGGGTCAGGCTTTGAGTCAGGGTTTTTATGGCCAGGATATCTGTCCAACCATGAAGGACCACATCAAGACACGCTCAGAGCCCCGACCCATACCACTCTCCATCAGTCTGGAAAATGTGATCCAGCCAGGACACCCTGGATGCAAAGAAACCTATCCAGAGACCAGCAGAGGGACCTAGCCTATGGCCCGAAGCGCTCTGGCTTAAAAGCCAACAGAAGTCCCTCATGGATACTGGAGACCGGCCTGCAAGCACTGGACTTCTTGCCCACACAACCCTTGGCCCATGTGTTGCATGTTGGCATGACTTACAGCCTCTCCCAAACCAGGCTGGGGACCCCAAGACAGCCTGGGTTTACCTCCTGAATCCACCTGCGTCCAATCCCATCTTGTTCTTCCTCCTCCTACCTCCCACATTCATCTCCCTCTCATATCCAACCTGAGCATTCCTTTTCTTCTGCCCTCATCCTCATTTGTCATTTGGGACCCATAAAGTGGAGTCAGTAATAATAATAAGTATAATTGGCTCCTGGAGGAGAGAGGTGAGTGGGCGAAGCAGAGTAGACCTAGAGGAGGGAGAAGACCTGAAGAGGGAGATGCAGGGGCTCTCATGGAATGGCTCCCTGGTTGTCTTTGTCTGAAACTTAAGAGCCAGGAATCCATGTCTGCAAAGAGATGGTGGCCTGTGACATGGAGTCTTCCCAAGCCCTCCTGTAGAAATTGACAGCTCTTAGGGCTGGGAACCCACCATGCCCAGATCCCCTCCCGATTCCACAGATGCAGATAAAAGAATAGAAGTAACCAGCTCCCAGAGGGGTGGATGCAGATGTGGCCATCAGCACCCCAGATGTGGCTCAGCCATGGTCGCCGCCAGGGCTGCTGTGACTATGAACAGGAATGTAAACCCAGATGGGGGTGGGGATGGGAGCTGGAGGGGACAGAGCTGTTTCGGGGCTCCAGGAAGAACACAGCTCTGGGAAAGAGAGGGGTCTTGTGTCTGACTTCATAAAAATGCTCAGCCTGTTCCTGGGGAAAATAGATTGCTGCAAATAGATATTCCACCCTCATCCACCCGAGCTTCATTACCCCGTTCTAATCTCTCCTCCAACTCCTGCTGCCCATCCTGACCTCAACTTCATTAGGACCCTTCTCCACTGGTGGCCAAGGCAGCCTCTTTGGCCACTTCCTGCCACGGAAGGGAGGGCAGCAACAACTGCCTCCATCTCTGGAAAATGGAGGGAAATGTCAGTTTCGGCCTGGCAGGTCAGCCTCTGTCCTAAGCCTCGCTAATACCCAGCATTCCAGGCACCATAAAGATGAAGGGTCCCACAGCCCTGCTCACCAGCTCCTGCACATAAACACCCCCATTGATAAAGCTCCCTACACCATTGCACACGAGGCCCATTTACTTTCTACTTTGTTTTGAATTTTCATCTCAGGAGAAGCTTGCAAATCGCTAACAGCAGGAACTTTCCGGAAGTTGTAGAATATAATCAGTGCATTCTCAGATTTGTCACGCTCAGACAGAGCTTCCCCAAGGAGTCACCTATCAGGGAGCAGAGGAGGCAGGAGGCTGAACGTAGCCAACAGAGCCTGTGATGGGAAGAAGCCAGGGAGCCTGGCCCAGCCCCTGCCTCTGGGTAAGCTTGGCCTGCATCCTGCCCAGCCCCCATCTGGGTCCTGTTTGTGAAAATGAGGTGAGCAGCCCACACTCTGCTATTTTGGGAGGATTAGCTATCTCAACATAGAACATCTTTCCTGGGCAGGAAGTTCTTCTTTAAATATAGCCTGAACCCCTCCTATTGCAGAATCAGTCATTTCCTATGGTCAGGCCTCAGGAGAGGGGAGGTGGAAGAAGACAGCTGTCCCTGTCCTCCGCTAAGGAGCCACAGCCACAGTGCTGAGCTTGCCAAGTCCCCCAACTAACACACTTCTTGTCTGCATGCTACATAGACCTATTCGCTCGCAGAGTGCAGCTCTCAGATCAACCTGCCTCTGAGTGGACGGCCTAGGACTGGGTTTTTCAGCAAGACCCTGTCTCTTCGTGGGGATCCCTAGAGAAGGCTTTCTGCAATGACCTCTTTTAGAAAAAGTAATCCTCTTCTTCCAGTCATCTCCAATGAACCAAACAAATACTTGTCTGCTAGGTGCTTCATATATATATACAGAGAGAGAGAGAGAAAGAGAGACAGAGACAGAGTCTTATGTTGTCACCCAGGCTAAAGTGCAGTGGCATGATCACTGCTTACTGCAGCCTCCTGAGTAACTGGAATCACAAGCACATGCCATCAAATCCAGCTTTTTTTTTTTTTTTAAGAGATGAGGTTTCGCCATGTTGCCCAGGCTAGTCTCAAACTCCTGAGCTCAAGCTATGCTCCCGCTTCAACCTCCCAAAGTGCTGGGATTACAGGCGTGAGCTACTATGCCCAGTCTTTATATACTTTAGCACATTTAATTTCATCTCTACAACCCTACAAGTGAGAAAATACCACCAACATCTTGAACGTGAGGAAACCACCTGAGAGAGAGTAAAAAATTTACCTGAGGTTACAGAGTTGATAGATGACAGGGCCAGGATAGGAACCCAGGTCTGAGCCCTCAACCTACACTTTCTCCTCCCACCTGAGGAGACAGGAGGGCTGGACCTGACATTCGCTGAGTGGGCAGAGGAAAGAGGAGGCACACATGCAGTCACAGTGCTCAGCTGAGACTCCCCTGGCTGCCTTCCTGACAAGCCAGCATCTGGGTTCACCCCAGCTCTCACACCTTCTCACAGCCCAGGGAACAGGATTTCAGCAGCCCAGCAAGGTCAAAGGGCAGCCAGAAACATTGCTTCCTCCTTTATCTTAAGAGAAGAAGGAATCGCTTTTAGACTTCCACCTGGAATTATAGATTTAGAAGGATTATTCATGTCAGATGGGTTTAAACAAAGGAAGGCTTCCAGGAAGAGAAGAGACTATGGCCAGTTTTACAAAGAAGTGAAATTCTCTGTGGCAGAAAGCAGGGAGAAGCAAGCCCCAGAGCAGAGAACGGACCAAATCAAGTCTGGAGAAGCAGGCCACCCTCGTGGGGAAGGGCTGGGGCGCCAGAAATGGACACGCACACGATGTGGGGCTCAGCGGGCCATCTGCAGTTCTCCCATCCCAGGGCCCAGAATCCGGATCCCCTGATCCCCGAGGGGGTCGGCTGCAGCAGCCCTCCTCAGGCAGTCTACTCCACATTCCTCACATTCTTTACGCTCAATTAAGGAGAAATAATCAGGGGAGCAAGCAGGCCACAGCAGGATGGCCATGCCCCACGCCATTGGGATCACGTGTGCAGAAAAGCCCCGCAGACCCCAGACCAGAGGGGCCTTGGGGGGAAAAGGGAATCAAGCAGCGAGGACAACGGTGCCCCTCTGCGCTCCACAGAGACAAAGGAGAGCGAAGAAAGGCAGGCAGGGGGGAGATCAGGAAAGAAAAGGAGAGGAGAAGGCAAGGTCAGAGCAAAGGGAAGATGTGCAGCCCAAAGCCCTCAGCCATCGTTTCCTAATCATGCCATTGCTTCACCGCAATCACCATCCATCACCATCATCAAATGCCCTTTGAGACCCAGGGATGCTCAAAATGTTACCCGCCTTCATCAGTTAGTGGCATGTGCTGATTAAGTGTGTCATGGGAATAGGGCCTCTCTGGGGTCTTCAAAATACACTGTCTTTAGTCTGCAGGGGGATGCCATTCTTGGCCTCAGTGGAACATGCTTATTTCCTCCTCCTGGACCCAGTGAGTCTGATCAGCCAAGCAAGCTCCTACTCCCTCAAGCCTCTGTCCCTGGGCTGCCTCCCTCCCCATCTCCAGAGCCTTCCAGACTTCCCCAGTGCCCAGCAGACCCAGAGCCTATTTCTGGGTTCCCCCTTCAGTCCCCAGAAGACCCAGAGTCTCTTTCTGGGTTCCCCTTTCAGTCCCCAGCAGACCCAGAGTCTCTTTCTGGGTTCCCCATTCAGTCTCCAGAAGACCCAGAGTCTCTTTCCAGTTTCCCCCTTCATCTGGTACATGTAACCAGCGCAGCTTTTATCATGCTGTTCTGTAATTGTAGGTGTTTATATCTTTATCCCTACCAGAATGAATAACTAAATGAATGATCATTATTATCTACTGAGCATGTTCTATGTGCCAGGCACTTGTTAGCCCTTGAGAGATGACCTCATTTAATCCTTTTAACATCCTAGAGGTCATTCATATTATTATACCCAATTTACCCATGAGGAAGTTGAGACTGAGAAAGATCAAGTAACTTGTCCACAGTGACCCAGCTAGTAAATCAAAGAAGGGAACCTTGAACACAGGATTGTAAAATGCCAAAGCACATGCTATTATTCTGACACTAAGGTACCTGGGGACAGCACCTTAGCCTTGCTTACCACAGCATGGCAAAGAATAGGTGCTCAATATATGGGATGGCTGGCTGGCTGGATAGATGGATGATGTGTGCTCTGAAGAGTTTCAGCAGTGGAGCTGAGCCAAAAACTCTTCCCACCTCCTTTATGATCAATGAGTCAAATTTGTGAAAGGATTTGTTAGACCAAAGACAAATGTTATGCTCTTTGTTGAGTCTCAGATTATGACTACAGGTAGGGCACCATCTGTGTCCACTTAGGTCTCAGGATGTGGTCAGAGATGAGACCCAATTGATCATCAGGGTGGGAATCAGTCTGGGGCTAGGTTAGAGGATCAGTCTGTAGCTGGTGTAAGTTGGAGGAAGAGAACACATCTCTGCCAAGCTGACTTGGAACTGAATAGAGAATGGAAAGTTCTCAAGCCAGAGACCTTTGTTCCTGGACATTGAGGGCGGAGAGATGACATGTGTGAGAGTAACTTGGTGTGGGTGTGTGGGAGAGTGTGGACCAGAGGACTCCAGGAACGAGAGTGTGGGGACGGACCCACTAAGTGTGCACCATGTGATTTTGAGTGCCACATACATGAGAGTGCATGGTGTGGCACATGTGTGTGCTGTGTGTGTTGGGATGACAGAGGCTGGGAAGGGTGTGAGAGAGACAAGCACACACCTGTAATAACATTGGCTTCAGACGCTAGGAGAGAAGGAATTCCCCCAACTGTTTTATCAGAGCCGAAGTTACCAAATTACGTTGTTGTTTTAAATTTGAGCTTCTCTGCCTGCAAATGGGGGGCTCTCAGGTTCACGAGCTTAATGCTTGGCTGGGTCTGGAGCTCCACTTCCCAATCCAATCGGGGCTCCCAGAGCTCCCAGGCCCAAGAAACAAAAGTCTTCTCTCTCAGGGCTTTGAAGTGGAAACACTAACTGCTCCCTTTAATTAGAAAGAAACCCCCTATTGTTCCCGCTTTATTACTGATGGATGAAGACATAGCAGCGGGGGCAGAGTCTCAAGGAAGGGGGAGGGGAGCTGAGAAAGGAGTGGAGGGGGCCCAAAAAAAAATCTCTATTTGGAATAGAGATTCTCCACACTTGGTCTCCATGTGCAAACCAGACCTCTTTCAGCACCTAGTCCACAAAGATTTTACTGGACATTTGGCCTTCTACTCGACGTTATAGGAAAGACAGAAAGAGTCTCAGCCCTCAACCAGTTCATAATCTAGATAAAACAGGGCAGGGGGAGAAGAATGAAAGATAATTGATATTAAATCAGTCCTGCAGGCTGGGTGCGGTAGCTCACGCCTGTAATCCTAGCACTTTGGGAGGATGAGGTGGGTGGATCGAGGCAGGAGAATCGCTTGAACCCGGGGGTGGGGGCGGGGGCGGGGGCGGAAGTTGTATTGAGCCCAGATCGCACCACTTCACGCCAGCCTGGGCAAAAGAGTGAAACTCCGTCACACATACACACACACACACACACACACACACACACACACAATCAGTCCTGCAATACAAGCACTAAGAACTTAGGATAAATAGAGTGGGGAGATAGGTCCATAAGACAATCTTCTAAGAAAATACTGGGGGTGGCTGCCTGGGACCTGAGCTGGATGCTGCAGACTGGGGAGACTGGCAGAAAGACTAGGGGAGGGTACTCCCACGCCAAGCAGAGTAAATGGAATGTGCAAAGGCACAGAAGGAATGGACACAGCTTCTTTGGAGGAAGCGGGTCTGGTTATGGAGAAGGGTGCGTGTAAGCGAACTAAGGGAAATGAGGTTGGGTACAGCAGATGGAACAGAGGAGTGAAAGACTTTGAAAGTGTTAACGGAAAAAGGTCCCAATTCAGACCCCAAGAGAGGGTTCTTGTATCTCTCACAAGAAATAATTTGGGGCCGGGCGCGGTGGCTCACGCCTGTAATCCCAGCACTTTGGGAGGCCGAGGCGGGCGGATCACGAGGTCAGGAGATCGAGACCATCCCGGCTAGAACGGTGAAACCCCGTCTCTACTAAAAATACAAAAAATTAGCCGGGCATGGTGGCGGGCGCCTGTAGTCCCAGCTACTTGGGAGGCTGAGGCAGGAGAATGGCGTGAACCCGGGAGGCGGAGCTTGCAGTGAGCCGAGATCCCGCCACTGCACTCCAGCCTGGGCGACAGAGCGAGACTCCGTCTCAAAAAAAAAAAAAAGAAATAATTTGGGGCGAGTCCATACTGTAAAGTGAACGCAAGTTTATTAAGAAAGTAAAGGAGCAGGCTGGGCACGGTGGCTCACACCTGTAATCCCAGCATTTTGGGAGGCAGAGACAGGCGAATCATTTGAGGTCAGGAGTTTGAGACCAGCCTGGCCAACACGGTAAATCCCCATCTCCACTAAAAATACAAAAAATTAGCGGGGCATGGTAGCGCGTGCCTGTAGTCCCAGCTACTCAGGAGGCTGAGGCAGGAAAATCACCTGAACCCAGGATGCACAGATTGCAGTGAGCGGAGATCATGCCACTGCACTCCAGCCTAGGCAACAGAGCCAAACTCTATCTCAAAAAAAAAAAAAAAAATTTAAGGAATAAAGAATGGCTATTCCATAGGCAGAGCAGCAGCTTGGGCTGCTGGACTAAGGATACTTACAGTTATTTCTTGATTATATGCTAAAAAAGGGGTGGATTATTCATGAGTTTTCCGGGAAAGGGGTGGGCAATTCCTGGAGCTGAGGGTTTCTCCCTTTTTTAGACCATATGGGGTAACTTCCTGAGGTTGCCACGACGTTTGTAAACTGTCATGGCTCTGGTGGGAGTGTCTCTTAGCATACTAATGTATTATAACTAGCATATAATGAGCCATGAGGATGACCAGAGGACACTCTCGTCACCATCTTGGTTTTGGTGGGATTTGGCCAGCTTCTTTACTGCAAACTGTTTTATCAGCAAGGTCTTTATGATGTGTATTTTGTGCCGACCTCCTATCTTATCCGATGACTTAGAATGCCTAACCTCCTGGGAATGCAACCCAGTAGATCTCAGCCTTATTTAACCCAGTCCCTATTCTAGATGGAGTTGCTCTGGTTCAAACATCTCTGACAAAAGCACATAGGGAAAATGGCCCTGATGAGATCATTAAGGAGCCACTAGGCCATCTTGAGCCAGGAAGTGACCGAATAAAAGGTGGCTCTTGGGCAGATTAATATGGTAGCCCCATGCAGGAAGTCATGGAGGGGAGAAAGAGCAAAGGTGGAAAGACCAGCTGAGGAGCTCCAGCAGAAACTCAGATAATTATGGCTTAGACTAAGATGATGGCAGTGGGACTAGGAAAGAGAAGGTAAGTCTGGGATAGATTTTAAAGGAAGAAACAAGGTGTGTTGACAGAATATATATGAGATAATATAGGAAGGAGTCAAAGACACCTCCAAAATCTCTCGTCTGGGAGGACAGAAGGGTGGTGGAGGGGGGAAGGGGAATGGAAGCTGCCCTTGAGGGAAAGTGGGGAGCCAGAGGAGTTAATAAGTAAATCCCCCAAAAACTTCATTCTCTCTTCCAGAGTCAAAAGATATCCTGAACCCAGTACTCAGGGAACAGTAACTCCAGGGTAGGAAGGCCCTGTTCATTGAGACTGGGAACATCATTAACAAAAACAACCTTTGTATAATTTGTTCTTCATGCACTTCAAAGTGATTCACACCTATGCCTCATTTGATCTGCAAAACAACTACCACAGGTGTCATTATCCCCATTTTGCAGACGAAAAAAACTGAGACCCAGAAAAGCTAAATAACTTGCTCAAAGTCACATAAGTAGTTTAGGCCTGAGTTGAGAGCAGAAGCCTCTGACTTTCAGCTCAGAACCCCTCCCAGTGCCTATTAGCCGACCAGACCAGGGGAGGGGAGAGGCCTGGAGCTGCCTGTGCCCTGAGTCACTGGGGGCCAGGAGTCTGGGGCTTGGAGAGAGGGTCCACCCCCAAGTTCAACCACACCCTCAGCCTACTCCTCACACTCACATAGGGCGTAAGTCGGGAGCCCAGGGTTGGAAACGCCAAGTCTAATCAGACCTCACAAGCCCACAGATGGTTTGAATCAACATGCTACCTTGATAGGAATAATGAGGAGTCCCAAAGACAGTCTTATGCCAGCTCCATCCATCTGGACACAGAACCACTTCTTCCACAAGAGTTTCCCTGTCCAGGGTCCCATCATCCCCTAAGCCTGGCAAATGCTTCATGAGGCAGTCCCTGGTCCCACATCAACACCTGCTCCCTGGCCTCCACCAGCAGAACCACCCACAGGTTTTCCAAAATCTCTGGCCTTCTGATTTGACAAGCTCTGACTTCTTAGGCGTTTCTTGAGGCTGAAAAGGATTGCTAGGGAGAAATGACTAGCCGGGGGTTATAGGCTGGGAAGGGGGTGTGGAGCAATGTGGTGGGGTCAGTAAGCCTGGATCCAGACAAACACAGACCAGACCGATGTCCTGCCCACTTCCTGGCAGAGTGAGTGTCCCCAGCATTCATCGTTTTATTCACTCACATCACAAATATCATCATGACATTTCTTTTGATGGGACACCTAATCTAGGGCACCCAAATCCCATGCGATCTGGGATTTATAAACGTACAAGGTCACAGTGCCCCAGGAACAGAATCAGACCTATGATTTAGAAAAACCTTACCTGTTACTGGGGGAGCCTGTTAGAGCCAGGCCCTCAGAACAGTGGCAGTGGCTCTTCCCCATGGAAACCTCAGGCCTGGGCTCCCAACCCCTGATGTGCAGCCCTTTGCGCAGAGACCTGTTTTAACGAGAATCTGGCCCTGCCCAAACCCTAGCCTCGCAAAGCTTGATTGGAAGCTTAAAAAACAATGAAGTTAATTTTTAAAAACCTTTCATTGAGTTCCATGAGACCCCTATTAATTTTATTGTTTCAATAAAGCATTTATTTAATTGTCTCCAGAAGGGCCCTGTTAAATGCACAGATGTTACCTGAGTCAGAAGGGAGGGATATGGGTGCCTTTTTTTCACCCTTTCCCGTTAGCACTTTAGCAGGATTCTGTTATTGGATTAACTGATTGTCACCTTCAAAGTCACAAAGGACAGCCCTGTGCAAATACGACACAAGGCAGGTAAATTCTGAAGAGCAGGGCGGGTCACAGTTGCAGGAAACAGGAAACCCAGCTCCTGATAAAGATGCTGGGTTTGGTTACTCCAGAGGAGAGGGGCCAGGCACGGTGGCTCATGCCTGCAATCCCAGCACTTTGGGAGGCTGAGATGGGCGGATCACGAGGTCAGGTGATCGAGACCATCCTGGCTAACACAGTGAAACCCCATCTCTACTAAAAAAAAAAAATACAAAAAATTAGCCTGGCATGGTGGCGGGTGCCTGTAGTCCCAGCTACTCAGGAGGCTGAGCCAGGAGAATGGTGTGAACCCAGGAGGCGGAGCTTGCAGGGAACCGAGATCGCACCACTGCACTCCAGCCTGGGCGACCGAGTGAGACTCCGTCTCAAAAAGAAAAAAAAAAGACAGAGGAGAGGATTTTCTTCTGCTGGTGAAGAGACACTTGCCATTTAGCCTCTGATACAAGAATGATATCCCTGAAAAAAAAAAATCAGAGGATGAGTGTATCACTAGATGCATGATGTCCAAAACACAGGAGGGGAAGGGCTCAGCTTGAGTTGGCAGAAGATCTCTGGAATGTCATGTTCAGTCCTTCTACATTTATTACTGAGCACCTACTATATGCTGCCACTGCTTGGTTCTTGGAGCATACATCGGTGAACAAAACAAAGACCCTCCTCTCGTGGTGCTTACATTCTAATGAAGAAAGACTAACAACAAAAAAGTAAAAATACGACAGACGTAGTAAGATACTTTCTGAGAATGTTAAGTGCTCTGAGAACATAAAACAGAGCAATGTGGTGTAGTGACCAGAAATACAAAATAAAAAATATTGACTAATTGCCTGTGGGCCATCAGTCCTGTCTGATGAGATGACATTTGAGCCTGAATACGGAGAAGCCAGACACAGGAAGGTCTGAGGGCTCAGAAGACCTTTCCAGGCAGAGGGAGCATCAAGTGCAGAGATCCTGGGGCTGCATTTGGAGAGGAGCATCACCAAACTACTAAGTAATCAGAGGAGTGTGATAGAGGGAGGGGCCTCAAAGACCTCTTTCAGCAAGAATGTTTCAAGAAATGCCTCAGGACTAAGGCTGCATCATTCATCTTTGTGTTTTTGGTTATTCACTTGGTGTCTAGCACAGAGTCAATGATCAATAAGGTAGGATGGAATGTGGGGAAGGGAATGAGAGGGAAGGGAAAGGTCAACACTTTGGGGGAACTACATTTAGTCAGGTTTTTTGTTTTTGTTTGTTTTGTTTTTAGAGAAGGGTCTCACTCTGTTACCCAGGCTGGAGTACAGGGGCTCCATCATGGCTCACTGCAGCCTCAAACTCCTGGGCTCAAGCGATCCTCCTGCCTTAGCCTCCTAAGTAGCAGGGACTACAGGCTCACTACCATACCCAGTTATTTATTTTTTTTTTTTTTAGAGACAGGGTCTCATTATGTTGCCCAGCCTGGTCTCAAACTCCTGGGTTCAAGTGATGCTCCCACTTTGGCTCCCAAAATGCTGAGATTACAGATGTGCACCATCGTGCCCAGCCTTGGTCAGATTATTGTTTATCTTGACAAGAGAGAGATTAAAAGAGAAGAGAAAAACAAACGAACAAAAGCTCAGTCTACATACTAAGTCATTTGTTACCAAGCTAAGGAGGTAGAGTGAAGGGGAGGGGATGGGGGGTACATATCTGGGTCCATTCAGGAGATGAACATTTAATTGAAGAAACAGTAATAACAACTGCTCCTGAGATTGTTATAGGCCCGGATTTATAGTTTACAAAACACTTTTACATACATTTACTTTTTCTGACAGCCTTGTGAAACAGAAAATAACAAATATTGACTAATTGCCTATGGGCCTTGACCCTGTGCCAGACGATAGGGAATGTATGTTGAGAAGAAATCAAA
The DNA here is from genome assembly GCF_000001405.40 of Homo sapiens. Taxonomy (NCBI): domain Eukaryota; kingdom Metazoa; phylum Chordata; class Mammalia; order Primates; family Hominidae; genus Homo; species Homo sapiens. The sequence continues at coordinate 42,038,510 of NC_000002.12, forward strand.
CAGGGCCCTGCCCTCATGAAGTTTATAGAGTAGACTAATTTTAATCAAACAAACCATAAATGAGAGAAATCACAACCACAATGAGTGTTGCAATGGACAGGTACATAGGGCTGCCCATCACAAGGAGTGATTGAGCTGTCTGTCCATTAGGGAAGAGTCCTGCTTTGGTAAGGAGATTGGTTGAGACCAGTGACTCCGACTTTTTCACCACCAATAATCCCTTTTATGCTGAGTACAGTGGCTCACACCTCTATTCCCAATGCTTTGGAAGGCCAAGGCAGGAGAATCTCTTGAGGACTGCTTGAGGAGTTCAAGGCTGCTGTGATCTGTGATCATGTCAGTGAACTCCAGCCTGGGCAATAGAGCAAGACCCCATCTCTAAAAAACATTTTTAAACATAATTTTAAAGGGTCCCTTTTATTCATCCTCCTGCCCCACAAACCCCAGATTTTGAAAGAGCCCACCTACCTGGGTACATTTACATAACAACAAACTTATCTCCCCATTTTTCTTTTTTTTTTTTTCAGAAATGAAGATCTTGCTCTATTGCCCAGGCTGGAGCTGGAGCTCAATGGCACTATGATGGTTCACAGCAGCCTCAAACTCAAACTTTTGGGCTCAAGTGATCCTCCCACCTCAGCCTCCCATATAGCTGGGACTACAGGTATGCACCCCCACACTAGGCTACTTTTTAAATTTTTTACAGAGATGGGGTCTTATTATGTTGCCCAGGCTCAATCCTTTCACCTTGGCTTCCCAAAGTGCTAGGATTATAGGTGTGAGCCACCATGCCCAGTCTATTTCCAAATTTTTCTTAAGGAAAAACCAATGTCATTTGTCAAGATGAGATGCCCAATGCATGATATAATTCTGGCCATAGGCGAAGAAAGTTAACATTTCTCTTGAATGGCATTTCTTTTGACTGGACCGGCTTATTGTGAAATACATATAATTTCCTATAGGCTTTCTGGAATATTGACAATAGCTGGTAGCCATCCTCCTCCCAACACATTTGTAGACTCCTGGAAACCTTTGGGACCTAAGCTGGGAACTACTATTCTATACCCATACCCAAGATCCCTTTCAGTAAGGGGCCTCTCTAAACCATGAAGCATAGCCTTCTTGTGTTCAGGCATTTTGGAAAGAAGCAATGGATGTGGACTAGAGAGGTCATGGAAGGCTTTCAGGAAAAAGAAAGACTTGAGGCTGGGCACAGTGACTCACACCTGTAATCCTAGCACTTTGGGAGGCCAAGGCAGGTGGATCACCTGAGGTCAGGAGTTCAAGACCAGCCTGGCCAACATGGTGAAACCCTGCCTCTACTAAAAATACAAAAATTAGCCAGGCGTGGTGGCGGGCGCCTGTAATCCCAGCTACTCAGGAGGCTGAGGCAGGAGAATCACTTGAACCTGGGAGGCAAAGGTTGCAGTAAGCCGAGATTATGCCACTGCACTCCAGCCTGGGCAACAGAGTGAGACTCCATCTCAAAAAAAAGAAGAAGAAGAAGAAGGAAAGAAAAAGAAAGCCTTGAGATAGGCCTTGAAGGATGGACAAGCTTTGGCTAGGTGGAGAAAGGTCATCGTCAGGCAAGAGTTGCAGAGTTTGCTCTAAGATTAGTAAGGCAACCAGCCAGGCTTCAAAACAGAGTCAGGAAGCACTTGTGAATACAAGAAGTGAAGAGGTAGGTTGCAACGGACTTTAAATGCCAGGCTAAATTATCCTCCAAATGATGGGGAATCATCAAAGATTTTAGAACAGGAAAATGATGTGTTGGAAGCAATGTCGTTGGCAGATGAATCTGGTGCCCATACACGCTTCGAGGTGGGAAGAGAACATTTAGGAAACCAATCAACAGAGCAGACGTGAGAGGAAGAGCCAAGACTTGGGAGGACGGCAATGAGGAAAAACGGAGGAAATCCAAGAGATATTTTTTTAAAGCACAGGACTTGAATTTGAGTTTGGAAACATCAAAGAGACTCCAAGATGTCTAAGCTTGAAGCTGGTGGTACAGAAACAACAATCACCATGGGACGGTGGTGGAGGGAAGGAGATGATGAGTGCGTGTGGGATCTAAGAGAGCCTTTACACACCACATGGTTAACAGAGGTTACCTCTGGGGTTGGGGTTGGAGGGGCAGACGAGGTAGTTCGCACACTTTACTGCAGATAATCTCTTTTAATGGAGGGATTTTGTGTAATTTTTATTCCTTTTTTGTGCTTTTTGGAACTTTTCAAATAATTATTTTAATTCCACAGACTCCCAGGGTGTTGTTAACCCTTTATAAACCATCACTCCTGATTTCTTCTCTCTCCCCCCAGCGCCCTCTGGAGTCTCCGAGAAACACTTCATAGGTGTCTGGTCCTAGCTCCTGAGTCTGTGGTTTTCTTTATGGGGGGACAGGGGAGGATTCTCTTCAATGTGCCTCTTCCTGTCTCCCTCTTTTTTCCCCTACTGCTCCAGGAGGGCCTGCCTCTATCCTTTAAAGGCTTACACATCGTCAGACACTTATCTTTGAACCACGATTGCAGCGCTGGGCTTGGAAAGACTGACCTTGGGATTTTTGTAGCTGAACGAAGCCCAACCCAGCTTAGACCATGAACTAAAATGCAGGACAGAACCAGGAAGAACACAAGCTCTGCGGTCAGAGGCATCTGCATCCAAATTTGGGCTCTGCCTCCTAACAGTCTCTTTGGCCTTCTTACCTAACTAACCTCTCTTGGGTCAATTTTCTCATCTTGAAAATTGAAGATAATAACAGTATTTATCTCCTAGAGGTGGTAAGTGGATTAAGTGATAATGAAAGGCATTTAATAAGTGTGCTTTTTATTAGTATTAACAAGAACAATAAAATAATAAATCTTTATGACCAAACGTTGTTGCTTGGAGGCAAAAATGACCTTAATGAACTTCCATGTTGGTTCCCATTGGTGACATGTATTTGCTTCTCTGCCTCTCCCTTTGACTGGAATTTTCTATTTTCTCAAACCAACAAAAAGCTGAAAAAAGACCCTGAATCGGGGCCCGAGTCACTGCTTCTTCATTTCTCTGCCTCTTAGGATTGGTATGACAGTTGAACCTCAATTTCTTCATCTATACAATGGGTATAATCATTCTGCCCTCACAGTATGTGTCAAGAGGTTAGACAGCTCCTGGTGCACAGCAGGCTTTCAGGACACCATAGTTCTCCATCAGGGTTCCAGGAAGGGACCAGCCCTTTCTGAGTTCTTTCCTGCCTGTCCACTCCCGCCCCACGACCTACCCCATCTTCCACATTCTCCTTTGTATTAGCCCCTGATGGTTTGGGGCAAATCTTTCCAATTACACTATAAGCTCCTGAGGGCAGAAGCAGGGGCAAGGCCTTCTTAACTGTAAGGAGCAGTCTTTCTTCTGGGTTTGGGTCCAGGCTGGGCTCCTGGGGGACGCAGGGAAGGAGAGAATTGTCAGCCCCCTAGAGGTTCAGAACGAAAGGTACAAACTCAACAGCCCCTCTTTTCTTCCTCTTTTCTTTCCATTTCCCAAACTGCAGCCCTGAGGCCACTTGAAATAAACTGCTTCTTTCTACTTGACCATGGCCTAGAAACATGGCCCCATTGACTCAGGGTACATTTGGCTTTGTCAGAAAAGGTCTGATATGTTCACTCCTAACCACCCAGCCCCTATGCGTCCATCCCCATCACTTCTGGACAAAGACAAAGGCCTCTGCTCCATCAACCTTAGCCGCCTGAGTCCATCTGTCACTCGCTGATTGATGGCCAACTCTCCATCCCTCTACCTGCTGCTCATCTACCTGCTGTAGTCATCTGGCAGGGACTACAGAGGCCCAGGGGAGCAGCCCACACCTTTCCCACTCCCCTGTAGAGTCTCCAGAACACAGTCCCCAATCACCACAGGGTCCCCACCCCAAGGCTGCCCCCTCACCCCTTCTCTCCAGTGAGAGCTTTAAACAGGTACCTCTAAGCCTTCTCTGGGTCCACCAACCCCCTCTCTAGTCCTCAGCCCCACCCCCAGCTCCTCCAATCTCAAGAAACAGTGAAGGAGGGGGACACAGCTCAGAAAGCCAGAAAAGAGACAGAAAGACAAAGTGTCACAGAGCATCTCTTTGACTGGCGGGTGAGGCTGAGTAGGAGGGAGGCAGGAGGAAGAGAGAGCCAGGCACAGGAAGGGGTCTGAGAGAGACTCTGGGGGCCACAGACTCCGAGGCAGAGATAGAGAAGCCAGCCCAGGCGGTGAGGGCTCTGAGAGCCCACAGAGCCTTTTGGTTTCTGGGTTCCAGGAGGGCCTCCCCCTCTGACGGTCGTGGAGCTAAAATGGCTCATATTCCCATCCTGAAACCCATGGAGGGGAACTAAGCTCTTTTCCAGAAACGGGTGGAAGCATCTCTCCTGAGCCATGGCTTCCTCCGTCTTTGTTTGACTACTTTTCTCAGGATTCAGAATTTTTTGTCTATATGTTTCTTCATATTTATCTATCTCTGCACTCACACTTGCACACTCTCTTGCTCTCTCCTCTGTCTCTGCCTCCGATAATTTTTTGGGGACTCTGCCTTGGGGCTCCCGCTCTCCAGCATGCGGGAAACCTGACCTTCATCATCTGTTTTTTATATTTTGGAAATGTCAGCTTCACTTCCTACCTGAGGGAGGTGGGGGTGGAGGAGCGGGCTGCCTAGCTCCACCCTTTTCCCCCCTCTTTTCAGAATCAGTCCCCTCCCCTACAGCCTTGCTCCAGGGAGGACAAGCTGGGGCTGTCCCTGCTCTCAGACTCTGGCATCAGGAGGTTCAGCCCAGGTCCTGATTCATGGTCTTCCCTCTGAAGCTTACCACAGTGTAGCGAAAGTGGTGAGGCCTCCTGTGATGGACTACTGGTTTGCTGATTTGGGAAAAAGGGGAAATTCCAGGCACAAAAGAGCCCAGGAGGTTAAGAGATTTCACCTATGGGAACCAGGATAGAAAGTGGTTCAAGCCGGGCGCAGTGGCTCACACCTGTAATCCCAGCACTTTGGGAGGCCAAAGTGGGCAGATCACTTGAGGTCAGGAGTTTGAAACCAGCCTGGCCAACATGGTGAAACCCTGTCTCTACTAGAAATACAAAAATTAGCCACACGTGATGGCCAGCGCCTATAATCCCAGCTACTCAGGAGGCTGAAGCACAAGAATCGCTTGAACCCAGGAGGTGGAGGTGGCAGTGAGCCAAGATCGCGCCACTGCCCTGGGTGACAGAGTGAGACTCCATCTCAAAAAAAAAGAAAAAGAAAAAAAGAAAAGAAAAACAAAAGAAAGTAGTTCAACCCTGTAATTCCAACACTTTGGGAGGATGAGGTAGGATTGCTTGAGCCCAGGAGTTCAAGAACAGCCTCCACAACATAGTGAGATCCTGTCTCTACAAAAAAATACAAAAATTAGCTGGGCATAGTGGCTCACACCTATAGTCCTAGCTACTTGGGAGGCTGAGGTGGGAGAATCACTTGAGCCTGGGAGGTGGAGGTTGTAGTGAGCCGAGATCGGGCCACTGCATTCCAGACTGGGCAACAGAGCAAGACCCAAGACCCTATCAGAAAAGAAAAGAAAAAAGAAAAGAAACGAAAAGAAAAGAAAAGAAGGAAGGAGAGAGAGGAGGGAAGGAAGGAGGGAGGGAGGGAGGGAAGGAGGGAGTGAGGGAAGGAAGGAAGGAAGAAAGAAAGAAAGAAAGAAAGAGACAGAGAGAGAGGAAGGAAGGAAGGAAGGGGAAGAAAGAAAGAAGAAAAGAGAGGTTCAAGTTATTTCTGCCCCCTGGCAGAGTTATACCCAACCAAGTTGTATAAGATGTTGTCACAGATGTTTGTTTGTTTGAAATTTGTGTAAATACTAGGTCACTCAGTTAATGAGATTGAATCCCTGATTCCAAATCCCAAGCTCTTTACATCAAGTTTTCCAAGACCTGAGAAATGTATTATGTACATTTCCTTTCTCCACAAAACTCTAAGAATAGACACTCAATATCCCAAGGACCTTCTGCAACACGACCCCAGTTGCAGAAGCATTATCTCTACCTCAACACTTTCTGGGAGGCCTTGAAGGACCACTTGGCAAAGATTAAGCGGAAAGGCTAGAAGATGGTATTTCAGGAAGAGGAACTGGGAGAGAGGGCACTGATGGGAAAACGCAGATGATGGCTGGGGCAGGAGCTGGTGCAGGAGGAGTCTGACTTTGTGTGGAGGAATGGAAAGGGGAACACAGGCTTAGGTGGGGGGCTGGGGCCAGCTCATGGAGGCCTGAAGGCCAGTTCAGCTTATCCTCCAGGTTTTTGAGTAGGACAGTAATACTCCAAAAGAGGTGTCTGAGCCTTGGCCTGCAGAGAAAAAGATGGACAATAAAGAAGGCAGATGGGAGGCTAGAATAACCCTTCAGACAGTCTAGGATGATGTGACAGAAACATGCAGAAAGAAGGTATTTAAAAGACACCTTAAAGAAAATTTAGCATTTTGGAGTCTGGGCCATCTGCCCTCTTCCCAAGGATTAATATCCAAGTAAGTGTTTTGAGTGGGGTAGGAGCATGGCAGAAAGATAGAGGGAGCAAGAAAGCATAGAGCATTGGACGTACTGAGCCTTCCAGACCTTGCACAGACACTGTGGTCTGAGGGCTGCCAGAAGCCCTGGGGGAGACAGGGAGGACTGCCAGCTGATGGCTCCTGTATGAAGATGGCACTGAGGGCTCTGAGCTGGACACTGGCCTGCAGACTCTGGCCTGTGAGGCCCAGGCTATGGGCTCCACCTGGTCTTTGAGTGGGTGGGCAGACTGCAGATCAGGGGCCTGCAGCAGCATTTCATGTATTTCAATTCTTTGAAATGATTCCTCTCCCTGGGTGGCAGAAAGGAAAAAAAAAAAAAAAAGCAAACAAGCAAAATATAGTTAAGAACTCAAGAACTGCCAATTCAGAAACTCTAATCTGCTCAAAAAGTTCAATCCCTTTCTTTCAGAAGCCAAAAACCCATTTCCATCTCAGATTGTATATGTCTGTGTCTGAGAGCTGGTGAGGGAGACAGTGAGTATGCGAGGGAGGCCACTGAGATGCCTTTGTTCCTGTGTGTGAGCTACTGCTCTGAACTGCTCCGTGGACCTGTGTGTGTTGCACGCACATTTGTGCCTGTTTCTCAGGCCCCTGTGTGCCTTGAACTTTCAAACCATAACAGAAACACTGAAGCTTGGCAAAGATATCACAGGAATAATTATCTAATTTCAGAACATGTTATTATAATACCTACATGATGTGTAACAAACTTAACAATGTTCATGTTATATTCACCTACTCTGAGCTGTAGACTCACAACGCCAAGTTTTACCCTCAGAAGTTTCTCCAAAACACAAGGGCAGAGCAAGCCCCAAAGAAAGTTCTTCAGGGAATATTCCCCCACAACAGCTCCCTCACGGATTGAGACGTTTGGCTGGGTAGATGTCTATGGGGAAATTGCTGGAAGGAGGACAGAGCCTATCTTGGGATGGCAACTGTTCCTCCCAAAATCCTCATTCCTCCCCAGAAAAGAAGACATGGAACTGATAAGGAACTAGCAGCCATATTGGGGTGACACAGGCAGACAGGCTTTTCCTGATTCAGCTGTGGGCCGGGGGGGGCCTCCTAATCCACCCAGCTCCCCGTTTTCCCCAGGGGTCTGAATTGGACCAAGGCTGAGTGTGAGGGGAATGGTTTGCTGTTTGCTGCTGTTCCCTGTTGACTTTAGCCAGTAGCTCTGTTTACAAACCCAGGTTGGTTTTCCCAGCACAGTTAATTAGACCAAAGACATCTGGTGCAAGGCTGCGGAGAGGGCATCTGCTCAGAGCCTTCCCCCTACACCCTGCAGACTGCAGCCACGGCCCAGAGTGGGGCAGAACAGCTCTATCGGTACAGACCTGACTCCACCAGACCCAGTGTTCTCGGAGGAATCATGGCTTCCTTCACCCTGCCTTTCCATGCTTGCCAAGTCGGACTGGGCCCCAACTCCCCAAGCCATAGAGAACAAGGAGTCCGGGCTGGAAGGCCCACCTCAGTGGGATCATAGGCTGGAGATCAGGGACTCAGCTCTCTCCTCGGTCCTTCCATGTCCAAAGGAACAGGGCAGAAATTCCTGTCCCTTTCTCATCACAGACACTGCATTCTGTAGGAACGCCAGACCTCTTCAGGGAAAATCTCCCCTCCCTGGATACCCCCCCACCCACCCCCACCCCCAGAAAAAAGGCTGTGGACCCTTCTCCTCCCTGACCCCTCCCCAGCCAATCCCTGACACTGTGAGGAGGACAGAGATTAACCTGGCCCAGAGGGAGGCAGGAAGCTGCCCAGGAAGGTGAGAGGATCTAGGTGGGCAGTTTCAGAGTGGCGGGGAAGAGGAGAGCTGCGAGGGGGAGGGGCAGCGGCTTATCTCTCCCAGGAGGGGGGAGCTCACTCCAAACAGCTAGTGCACTGGCGTGTGAAAGCCCCTCAATTAGCACTAATGATGCAATCAGGGAGGGAGGAGGAGGGACCGAAGTTCTGGTGGCGTCAGCACCAACTTACACACAAGGTACACATTCCCTTCATCGGACACAATGGCCCCTTCAGACACGCCGAGGCACACACTCCACAGACAGCCGTCCGTGGGCACAAACGCACTCTTTGCCCAAGCTACTAGCATGCACATGGTTTCTTATACGCGGCTGACCCCGTCAGACCCCAGGCATCTTGAGGGGTAGGGAGCGACCCCCAGCTGCATTTGGGGCTTTAGAGGCAAGGAAAATCAGAAACACTTTGGTAAAAGGAGTTGAACAGGGCATCCTCGGCGAGCTCACGAGCATTCCTCTATGCCTAGAGCTCCTGTCCCACGCGCGCTCGCAGGTGCTGGCCCGGCTGTGCCCGCTTCCCCCTCACCATCGCCCCAATCCGGAATCCGGGGCTGAGCGAGGAGCCGCCACCCCCGGCCCCACCCGCGAGAGACGGGGTCCACGCGCCTTCCCTGCGCCCAAACCGCCCCGAGGCCCCCAGTCCCAGGAGGGAGCGCTGAGATCACTCGGATCTCCGCACCCCGGACTTAGCTGCTCGTCCCCTCCGGAGCCCGCTACCCGCCGGCCTCGCCCCTTTATCTTTCCCCCACTCCGCCCGGCCGGCTCCGTTATCCACCTCCCAATCCCGTTATCCGGCCGCCCCGGCCCCGTTATCCGCCCTCGCGTTGGGCGCGGAGCCCCCGCGCGCCTCCTGGCCGCCGCCGCCCCCTCCCCCGCTCCCAGACGGAGCTCGGGGGACCGCGGGCTGGGCGGGACCGCGGGCTGGGCAGGACCGGAGCCGCCTCCGCGCCGCTTCCCAGGCCCGGACGGCCGCGGGAGGAGGTCCCGCTGTCAGTCAGCGGGGAAGGCCGGGCCGGGCGGCCGGAGGGGGCGGCGCCGAGGACGGGCTCGGGCCGGGAGCTGGGAGGTGGAGGCGGAGGGGCGGGGGAGGGGGCGGGGGAGGGGGCGGGGGCGGGGGCGGGGGGCGGCTCTGGGCCTTATAAGCGGCGGGGGCAGGGCGGCAGGGAGGCAAGTGTCAGGCCGATGTGTCGCCCGCGAGGGGCCGGGGTCGGGGCCGCCGGGGCCATGCGCGCGGGCTGGGCAGGGGGCCGGCGGGGCGCAGAGCGGAGCCGCCTCGGAGCCTGAGCCGCCCGGGGCCGGGGCCGGGGAGCCGCGCGGGGCCGGCCGGCCGGGGGGAGGGGAGCGATGCGGCGCCGGCGGGCGGCAGTGGCCGCGGGTTTCTGCGCCTCCTTCCTGCTGGGCTCCGTCCTCAACGTGCTCTTCGCTCCGGGCTCGGAGCCTCCGAGGCCAGGCCAGTCCCCTGAGCCTTCGCCGGCCCCGGGTCCGGGCCGTCGCGGGGGCCGCGGGGAGCTGGCCCGGCAGATCCGGGCGCGCTACGAGGAGGTGCAGCGCTATTCCCGCGGGGGCCCCGGGCCCGGGGCGGGCCGGCCGGAGCGGCGGCGCCTGATGGACCTGGCTCCGGGCGGGCCCGGCCTGCCGCGCCCCCGGCCCCCTTGGGCCCGGCCCCTGTCCGACGGCGCCCCAGGCTGGCCCCCGGCTCCCGGCCCAGGCTCCCCCGGCCCGGGCCCGCGCCTGGGCTGCGCCGCGCTTCGCAACGTGTCCGGCGCGCAGTACATGGGCTCAGGCTACACCAAGGCCGTGTACCGGGTCCGCCTGCCCGGCGGTGCCGCGGTGGCGCTCAAGGCGGTGGACTTTAGCGGCCACGATCTGGGCAGCTGCGTGCGCGAGTTCGGGGTACGGAGGGGCTGCTATCGGCTGGCGGCCCACAAGCTGCTTAAGGAGATGGTGCTGCTGGAGCGGCTGCGGCACCCCAACGTGCTGCAGGTACGAGGGTGGGGACGCGGGGGTAACGGTGTTGGCTGGGAGTGCCCAAGACCTTGTCAACCTGGCTGGAAGAGAACCCCTTGATCTGGAGTGCCAGTGACTGCACCCAGGCTAAGCTAGACGCAGAAACCGGACCATGGCCCTTCCCACTGCACCACCCTGCTTCTCACTCCTGGGTGGGCGTCCCTTTACCGGAGAACTCCTGGGTTTCTCGGCTTCCACACATCTCTTAAAGACAGGCCAGGACAGAGGCTCCCAAAACTCAGGGGGTGGGGCAGTCCATTAGGATTTAGGACTCTACTCCGGGCTGGAGTTAGGAGGTTGAACACCAGGGATATTACCCCAAGCCAAAATGACCCTAAGCCAAGACACTTGAGTCAGAATTCCAACTGTGTGATAAAGTCCCCCTTCTTGATGGAACTTCTCCCAACTTCCAGTGATTTGTCTGGTTTTGAAAATGAGACGGGACAGCAGTGGGGCTGGGAAGAGCTGGAAAGAGACCATGTGTCAGGCTTGATTCCTATAGAGTCTCCCCACCCACCCACCTCCAGCGCCACCCAGAAGACACTGGAAGGGGGCTGGGGAGCAGGCTAGAAAAAGGGAACACAGTCCTTCCCAGAAGTGAACTAAGGGTTCCCCAGGCCTTAAAGTGGGTCCTTGAGCCCCTGGAGAAGCCTGAAGGTCTCAGCTCAGTGGACAGACTGGCGGCCTGAGGATCTAAATGTCACACTGTCTGAGTGTATATAGATAGCCAAGAGGCTGGAAGGTTGAGAAGGCCAAATGCTCAGGTTCCTACTCAACGGGACTCTGCCTCGCCTGTTCACTGGAGACACAGGCGAGAGCTGAAACCCCCACCTTGTCCCCTCCAAGCTAGACTTTGAGTGGGCCTCTCACAGTCCCAGCACCGCCCTAACACTCCACGTCCTCTCTCTCAGGTCTCCCCCCATCCTAAGATTAGACAGACTATTCCCTTTGCACATGTCTGAGCAAACAGAGGGGAATCCCTGACCGCTGTTGGCCCGGTGAACATGGGTGTGTGCAGCCTCCCCAACGGATGAAATCTTGCACACACCTTCCACCTACCAGCCCACTCAAACTAACCTTTCTGCACCCAGCAGAAATGACTGGAAACCCAGGAGTCCCTCTCTCCTTTCCTTAGGAGTGAGATGGCACCCCAGCCCTGGAGGGAGATGGGTGGGCGTCGTAGAGCAGGAGAGACTGGCCCAAAAGTTGTTTATACTCCTGTTGGCTCCCAGTCTCCCCCTCCCCCATCGTATTCCCCAACCCTGGTCAGACACTTGTGACCGGGCCCTGGGCCCCAAACTGGTCTCAGGAGCTCGGGCAGAACCAACACTTGCGTGTAGTGAAGCCTGGCTGCACAGCTCACACCGTGTCTGCAGCTTCAGGGAGTGAGCCCCTGGTTACGTGGCCATTCTAACTGGGAGGATCTTGTACTCTTTCCTTCCCAGGGACTTTTGGGAACTTTTTGGAAACTCTAGGGTGTCAGCCAGATCCTGAGGGAGTGGAGAGGTCTTGAGTGACTTAGCAGGACATAAAGTCTTAGTTACTTGACTCAAGACCCCTCTCCCTTCAGACGGGTTTGATGTTTGATGTGCTTTCCTATCTTTTAAGAAACTTGTCCCTCACTCTTCCCGCCAGCTCAAACTTCCTGACAAGCATTCAGCTAACGCCCCACATATATATCACGTGACGGTCCTCCTCTGAAATGTCAGGCCCCCAGCCCAATTCTGAAGGCACCAAAGAAAAAATTACAACAGAATAGTTTTCACCCTTCCCTCACCAAACCAAGACCAGGGTTGTCTGGGGTTAGCTGTGTGACTCTTTATTGTAGAGTCCCAGACGAGAGTTAGTGGCCCCAGGGCACAAGGGTTGCTAAGGGAGAGAGGGTCACAGGTCCTTTCTACCCAGGAAAAGTGAAAAGTGGGGGGCCCTTTAGTGTGAGTTTAGGGACTGCTTTGATGGTGGCTCTCCCCCATTCATCTTCTGACCATCAGGCCAGTGTCGCTCTGGCCTCCTAAACACGGCCATCTTTGCTGGCAGGGAAGCCTACAGTGGGGTCTTCCTGCCCAGGAGGCTTCAGGGCAGGTGTACAGGGAACTAGAAATAATGCTGCTTTAATACCTCTGAGTTATTTAAAATTTCAAAACCATTTGACTGTTTGCTGAACTGGGGAGGAGTTAGAGAACATTTCTAGAGTTCCTAGTGGTGCAGGCTCACCACCCTCCCTCTCTGAGCAGCCCAGAATTGGTGCTGTGGATTCTAATAGAAAATGCCCAGGCTAGCAGGCCCCATTCTGCACCTCCCAGGGCTTTCTCTGGTCATGGGGATTGCCTGGGCGAGATCTTTCTATCCATTTTCTTTGACCCCTCCCCATCCCGCCCCTGACACACGCATACACACTCCCTCACGTGACTTGACTCCTCTATAGCCCAGGGCCAAAGGGCACAAGGGTCTCCCCTCCCCTCAACCTCTCCCCACCTCCCCCTCCCCCAGTCATCCTGGGGCCCCCAGGCCTTGGATGGGCCCCCAGGCCTGCCTGGGCCCAGATTCTGGCCCTGCTAGAGTATATTTCTTCTCCCAACCAAACAAAAGATGTGACTGAAATGCTCAGCCTCACGCTTCCTGGGGGGGGTTAATGGTGTCTTTTTATTTTTTCCTGAGGGGTGTTGATTAATACCTCGTTAACAGCGCATTTAACGACCTCCGGGTGTTTAATAACCTTCAGAAGTTTCCCACAAAGGCTCAGACTCTGGGCAAGAAAATGAGAACCAGGCCCCAGGGCTGTTCCCCTTACCTTCCCCCCACCCCACCAGGGTCTGGGGCTTCCCTGGACTGATGGGGAGGGGGTGGAGAGAGAAGAGGGTGCCTGGAGCTGCCCTGGCCCCCCAAGTCACAGCCCAAGAGTGAGGCCTTCCCCCATGCCAGCAGGATGACGGGGAGCTGAGGGGGCACTCCTAGGGCGGGAAGAGGACATGTGAGGACCTGGAGTGGCTCTGGGGAGGGTGTGAATGATGGTATGAGGGTGACAGTGCACAGGGATATCCACCCCTCCACCGCATAGCTCTCCTCTCCCTGAGTCGGGCCTGGACAACTCAGCCTTCGTGTTTCTACCCCACAGGGTGCTGGTTGTTTTGAGCACCATACGAGCCCCTAGCTGCTGTGGAGTATGTTGGAAGAGCCAGGGGGATGCCTGTGGGTGCTGTTAAGGTGGTAGTGACACTCAGGCTTTGCTTCCCAGAAGTCCCTGGGCAGTGCGGAGCTTCTCCCCAGATGACATAGAGTGGGCAGTTCCCTGTGACCGTAACCCCAAAAGAACTGATCTTCCAGGAGGAATCATCACTCACTACCACCCCCACTGATACACATCACTCATATGCAAAACACACCTGGGGATGTGCCCTCAGGTACCTTGTTCTTATCAACACTTGTTACCAGTCTAAGGGAACTTGCTTTTCCTCCCTCAAGACCCACGCAGAGAAAATTGAAGCTGCCAGAAGGTAGAAATGATGAGGGATAGATACAGATTCAAGGAGGGGAGGAAGGATAATGTCCAACCGTATGCTCGCTTGTGTATTACCAAACAGCATTCTTAGAAAAAACAGATTGTGGCCGGGCGCAGTGGCTCACGCCTGTAATCCCAACATTTTGGGAGGCCAAGGTAGGCAGATCACTTGAGGTCGGCAGTTTGAGACCAGCCTGGCCAACATGGTGAAACCCTGTTTCTACTAAAAAGACAAAAATTAGCTGGGCATAGTGGCAAGCGCCTGTAATCCCAGCTACTCGGGAGGCTGAGGCAGGAGAATCGCCCGCACCCAGGAAGCAGAGTGAGCTGAGATCATGCCACTGCACTCCAGCCTGGGCAACAGAGCGAGGCTGTCTCAAAAAAAAAAAAAGAAAAGAAAAGAAAAATAAATAAAAATAGGTTGTGGAATCCGAGTGGCACAAATTCACATCTTAGGCTCCTACATTGATCAGCTGTGCGACCTTATGCAAGCAACTTAACCTCTCTGAGTCAGCCTCCTCACCTGAAGTTGGAGATAATAATAGCACCTACTGTGCCCATTAGGGTTATTACAATAATTGAGTTATGCACGTAGAGCAATTTAGCATGGTACCTGGCACGTGGTTAACTCACAGTGGCCAGACCTGCCTATTTACCTGAGTCGGAAGGGGTGAGGGGCTGACATGGTCAGTAGGAAGTCTGACTGCAGGGAAGAGAGGGCATGCTTCCCAGGCAACGCTGCCATTCTCTTCTGGCCTGAGCTGAAGCAAAGGCCTGGGGATGGTGGGAGGAGAGAGAGGGGGAACCTGACAGTCCAGCCCTTCCCTGTCCCCACCCCCACCCTGTGACCTAATGACCTGCCCTCGGCTTTCCCCAGCTCTATGGCTACTGCTACCAGGACAGCGAGGACATCCCAGACACCCTGACCACCATCACGGAGCTGGGCGCCCCTGTAGAAATGATCCAGCTGCTGCAAACTTCCTGGGAGGATCGATTCCGAGTGAGCTCAGAGGAGGGCTCGGGCCCTGGGCTCCTTGCTAGGATGGTTCTGCCTTAGAAGGCCAGCCCTCCAAAGCAGCTCCCACTCCTCCTCCACCCAGGGAGAGGGAGGGGAGGAAGGCGCACAGGCTGACTCAGCCACCGGCCAAAGGGTTCAAAAAAGAAGCAAGACTTAAAGGATCCCGACATGCTGTGCTCTTGCCCTCCTCACCCCTCCTTGTGCGCGTGTACACACCAGCTTGTGGGGGCTGGCACCTTAAAGAGGGGAGCACTCACACACTCACACTCAGCCTGACTGCAGGAGGGCCAGTGTCCTAGAACTAGGAAAGACCTTAATACCATCCTGACCCTCCCGATATTTCCATACACTGAACTAAAACAACATTCAGGATGCAACTTCAGGGAAGAGATGCATTATCCCCAGACCCTCGCTGCTGCAGTTTCCCACCCACTCCATATCATTTCCAGGGTCAGGCCAGCCGAGAGTTAATAGAAAATCACTGGCCTCCTCTCTAAGGCTGCTGACCTTGGCCTTTGTGGAGCCCTGGGGCCTATAGAAGAGAAGTGCCAACCCCCACAAGCAAAGTTCAGATTCCAAGAGGAGGGTGCCCTCGAGTCCCACAGACCCCCAACCCAGGAGAAAAGCAGTGAGCAGTCTTTTCTTGTGCCCCTCAGATCTGCCTGAGCCTGGGCCGCCTCCTCCACCACCTGGCCCACTCCCCACTGGGCTCCGTCACTCTGCTGGACTTCCGCCCTCGGCAGTTTGTGCTGGTGGATGGGGAGCTCAAAGTGACGGACCTGGATGACGCACGTGTGGAGGAGACGCCGTGTGCAGGCAGCACCGACTGCATACTCGAGTTTCCGGCCAGGAACTTCACCCTGCCCTGCTCAGCCCAGGGCTGGTGCGAGGGCATGAACGAGAAGCGGAACCTCTATAATGCCTACAGGTGACCTCCACCCCTGACTCGGGAACTCCATCGAAGGAGAATGGGCCAGGAGGGCATGGCAGGAAGAGAGCCAACGTGGAGGCCAGCTGGGCAGGGAGACTCAGCCTTGACCAGAGCAAGGGAAGGCTTCTACCCTGTCCAGAAGGGAACATTCAGGCCTCTGATGGAGAGGCTAAAAATAGACAGCTCCAAGGAGAATCCGGGTTAGGGGGTGGCAGCTGGAGGCTTCTTAAAATAGTGTTGGACTCGGAGCCTAGGGCTGGTGGAACTGGCACTTTTCCCTTCCCACCCAGGCCCTTGTGCTCTGGGAAATTCCTCACTGGGCCCCAGCCATGGGGCTGCTCCGACACCGGGAGTCAGTCAGGGGATAATGTGGGGCTGGGAGGTGGGCAAGTCCTGGGAAGGGTTGGGAAGCAGGCCCCTGGTTTCGGTTAGTATGAAGTTAGGTGTGGTGTTAGCATGTGCCCAGAACCCTCCCCCGAGGCTGAGTAGACTTCACTGCGTTCTGCCTGGTTGCTAGGCCTGAGGGATCCGGCTCCCTGGCCAGGTTAGCGTTCTGCCCCAGGTTGGAATAGAGGAAGGATGTGTCTCCAAAGGCTGGATTCCTGAGCCACTGGTTTCCCTCTGCCACAGGTTTTTCTTCACATACCTCCTGCCTCACAGTGCCCCGCCTTCACTGCGTCCTCTGCTGGACAGCATCGTCAACGCCACAGGTGAGCTCTCCAGGGCCCATCTGCTTCCAGGCACCTACCCCACCCCCACCCGCCAGCAAAAGTGGGGAGAAAAATAACCCAGGGCAGCAGGGGTTCTAGAAACCATCACTTCCTAAGGTGGCATTCTGCCGCAACCTCCCCGCTCCCCCGCCCTCTGTTCACTGGGGCACAGGCTCTGGAGGCAGAGGTGGGAGCAGCTGGCTGCTGACTTCAGGGAGGAGTGGGAGCCCCAGGCATCCTGTCTTAGCCACACTGCACTCTGCAGGAGAGCTCGCCTGGGGGGTGGACGAGACCCTGGCCCAGCTGGAGAAGGTGCTGCACCTGTACCGGAGCGGGCAGTATCTGCAGAACTCCACGGCAAGCAGCAGTACCGGTGAGTGGCCCCAAGCTGATCCACAGGGAAGCAAGAAACAGGTGGGAGGGTGAATGACCCCGCCCAATTAGGCTAAGTGGCTCACCCTTTCTCTGGGGACCCTTGTCTCCAAAGGCCACTGTAGGGGCTCACATAGAATCATGGAGGGGCTGACATGGACTAATTTGAGGTTCCATCTCTAGCTGAGCTAGAGCAACTATAATTCTGCCTTCAACCTGGGGTTGGGCACTGATACCCCTACTCTGGATGGCTCCAAACCCTATCATGTACTGGCTATATGACTTTGAGCAAGTTACCCCTTGAACCTCACTTTCCTCATCTGTGAATTGGGTTCACTATTACCCACCTCACCAAATTCTTATGGGAATTAAATGTCAGGTGAAATGTGTGAAAGCAATTAGTGCAGTTCCTATGACACAGCTGGAACGCAGTATATGTTTGCTTCCCTTTCCTTCCTCTAACCTCCCGGGGCTAGAAGGGCACTGCATGTTAGGGAAGGCACACACTGAAACCAGCCAAGAAGCCCCAGGGCAGGGGGAGAATTCTGGCCACTGGTTTCAGGCTGTGGTCCTTCTGCTGAAGCCCTGGGGTTTAGCTGGGGTTGGCAGGGGTTGAGGGGTGAGCAGGTTTCATATTCAAGGAGTTCTGGCTAGTCTTAGGGGTGGGGGAGCCCTGTTAGCCCTGTAAATAAAGTTTAACGAGGTGAACAATGGCTGGCTCTGTCCCTGAGGATGCTGTTTATGGGGCTGTAAATCACAGTCAGCCCTGGACTTTGGTCTAGTCCCTGGTAGAAGGAGGCAGGAGGGTGGGGTGGCCAGAGGCCCAGGGCTTCTGCATTATCAGTCCAGAGCTGGGGCTCTCCAGGCAGTGGGAAAGACAGGAGCAAACAAGAGGCCAGCAGCTGAGGAGCTCACTGATTGTGAGTTTTCAGAGCTTCTGAGGCTCTCTCTGTAGAATGAGATCTCAGATTTTCCCTCCAGCCCCCTCCCCACTCTAGCCATGGATTTTTTGCATTTTAGTCCATTTGCATGCCTCTTAACTTCAAAAACCCCGACTCCCTTCCATCCCAGGCCCTTCTGAGGAACTTGCCTAACTTCTCTCCCCAAGGCCAGGAGAAAATGTGAATGAGGGTTGCTCTGAACCCTTGCAGGCCACACTGGATGCTGGTTAGAAGTACAGATTCTCAGTTCTACCCCAGACCTACAGAATCAGAATCTTCATTTGGTTGGGCATGGTGGCTTACACCTGTAATCCCAGCACTTCGGGAGGCTGAGATGGGAGGATCCCTTGAGCCCAGGATTTCAAGGCTGTAGTAAGCTATGATTGTGTCACTGCACTCTAGTCTAGGCAACAGAGTGAGACCCCATCAAAAAAAAAAAGAAAAAAAAAGAAAAGAAAAAGAATCTGCATTTTAACAAGAGTCCTTGGTAATTCACATGCACATTGAAGTTTGAGAAGCCTGGCTCCAACTGTCTAAAATGTCCTGGCCTCAGCAATTAGCCTAGACAGCTGGGACTCCATGTGTCCCTGTATATGTCTGTACCCCTTTCATGTGCCTGCTATCTTGTACTGCCTGACCAAGCTATGTGCCCTTAGATTTGGGAAATATGTATCTCCTGAAAATCAAGTCTGTGCTTTGTCTTTATTGAGCAGTCAGCCCTGTTTCAACAGTGGTAGCTGCCTTCATCTGCGTGCTAGAGGGCTGGGCTGGACTTCAGCTTTCACCTAGGAAATGAGTCTTGCTGCCCTTTCCAGAAAGTGACACATCCTTGGGCACTCAAACCTGGGCATACAGAATTCTCATTTTACTCCATCCCCAACCCACAGAGTACCAGTGTATCCCAGACAGCACCATCCCCCAGGAAGACTACCGCTGCTGGCCATCCTACCACCACGGGAGCTGCCTCCTTTCAGTGTTCAACCTGGCTGAGGCTGTGGATGTCTGTGAGAGCCATGCCCAGTGTCGGGCCTTTGTGGTCACCAACCAGACCACCTGGACAGGTGAGCCAGTGGGAGAAGCCCTTCCAAGGGAGATGGCAGGACCTCTCTGGAGGTTGATAGATAGTGATCCCCCATCGGAAGTCAGAGGGGGTGCTGAGGTGATGAGAGAGAGGTATACGTGTCTTCAAGGCAGTCAAATTAGGGAGAATGGTCTTGCCTCCAGAAAGAGAAACATCCAGCCCTGTTACCTCTCACCTCTGCCCCCCAGGTCGGCAGCTGGTCTTTTTCAAGACTGGATGGAGCCAAGTGGTCCCTGATCCCAACAAGACCACATATGTGAAGGCCTCTGGCTGACCTATCTGAGGGCTCGGCTGACCAGCTGACTATCCTCAGCAGCTGGGCTTGCCTGTGGAGGGAGTGACTTGCACTGGCAGCACTGCATGTCACCTGGGAACCCCTGCAGACAAAGCTAACATCCCAGACAGACAGATGTGACCAGGACAAACGTGCAATAATGCCAAATGTTAAAATGTGAGTTTACCAGCCTAGCTATGGGACTGCTGGCTCCTAGTCCAGGAATCATGGGGGTATGACTGCCTCTCCAACCCTGTGGGCTGTAAGCAAGCTCAGGCTAGTCTCCCCACTGGGGGCTGTGCCCCTCCCTGGGACGGTTCCGTGGGCAGCCCCATCACTGTGTTCAATAGTGTGAGAATGTAGCTAAAGCCCCTGCTGCTGCTGCTGCACATGCCACAGCAGGCGGTGGGGGCTGCGTGGGGACAATCCATCGTGGAGTGTTCTCTCAGCTTAGGTCTGGACAGGAGACTTGGCGGGAGATGCTCCAGGATGTGGGTGATTCTGTACCTGGGGAGGCTATCTCTGACCTCCCGACAGGGGACACTCCCAGGCCAGCCCAGGGGTCAGGGGCAGAGGTGCACACCTCAGCATGAGCCAAGACTGGGGTCAGGGAGCAGGTGTGGTTTGAGCCAGGACCTGGGGCGGGGGTGGGGCCGGGGCCTTTCTGCCTCATTTGCTTTCAATGAAAGCCTCAAAGCAGCCAAAACCAGGCTTTCCCCCTTCCTCGAGTTTGAATATCCAGAATCTTTTGTACTTCTTGTTGGTTAAATTGTTTATTTTTGTAAAAAATAAAATAAAATTAGTTAATAAAATGATGTTTCACAGCAAACTCTTCCCTAATGACAGTTTCTTAGGTTGTGACTTCTTGGTCCTCAGTTATATCCTTGGTATATGTTTGTGGGGATGCATGTGTCACAGGGGAAGATGAGTGAAATCTCAGCAGCAAACCCTGAAGTCATCACAAAGTGTTTTCAGGCCCTGCTCCCACCCATGGTGCCCACCTCCTGCTGGGTCTTCCACATCGTGTCCCCAAAAAAGACATGGGGACTCCCTTTTCCCCCAAGGAAGTTCTCATTTTTACAGACCGGCTTCTTATGTATGAAGCCCTAACCCAGTGGAATAATGTCCTCATGGTGAGATGTCAGCCATGAAGGGGTCACAAGGAGCACCCGAACAACCTGCAGGTGGGTCAGCTTTACCTCTGCCCAGGGTTGGACCTGGCCTGGGCCCACCACAAGGTCATGGGCACTAAGCTTTTCTGAGTCTTTCCCTGAACATGAAATATATGAACATTCAGAAGAAAGGAGGGTCTGTGGAAAGACCAGCTTCCACTTTGTCAATTTTAGGAGGGAAGGTCTAGCTGGGCTATATCGAAGTCCAGAGCAAAAACAAGAACCTGCGGGTTTAGGATCACACGGAGGCCAGAGAGCTCCGCCATGAATGCAGGGCTTCTGACTTGAAACCCATATCTTCTCTCCTATACACCATTCTACTTTTAGAATATTCTGGATGGGCACAAACCTTTGGAGGCTTTAAAAAGAATAACCAAACTTTAACCTGATTTCTCCTCAACAGACGTGGTTGGTGTAATTTGTCACATAACAAGATGTCCCTGTAGTTCGAGGTGACTGAGGAGCCGTATTTGCTCTGCAGCCCTAGTCATAGTCGCCGCTCTGACCCTCAGGGTTGCAGCTCACCACTGCCATCCCCAGCCCACACACCCCACATCTTGCCTCTGGTGTTGGGCTTGTTGATTGTGGGATTGTGGGTGGAGGGGAGAGGCAGAGCCTCCACAAAGCCTCACACCATGACAATGCAGCCAAATCCTGCCATGCTCACCACCCTCAGACCATCCTTAACCCTCGAAGGAGGACCTCAGCTTCCATCACCCTCGGGCCTCCTTCCCTAGCTGAACTCACTCCATGCAACATGCATAGCCCACCCCACGCAATCCAGTACTGGACTTTACACAATCCTCTATTACCCTCCAACAGTCATATGGCCTGTGGGGCTCTGAGGGCCGGAGGAACCGCATCCACCAAGGAGGCACAAGGCGGGGCCAGAAGTGATGAGAACCTGAGGGGAGGGGGCTGGGCCAGGAAGTTTGCGAGGGCTGCACAGTCCAGAGGGACCCAAGGACCCAGTAATAACCAGGAGAGAGGCCCGCAGGGCTCAGGAACCACAGGACTCTGGGGAAAAAGACCAAAGTGAACCAAGTACTGCCTTCCTGGCTTTGAGAGATTTCCAGACGAGGGGTTCACCAGCCCCTGGAGAGGGACAGAGGGAAATAATACTTCCAGAGGACCAGGCTCTGGCCTCAGCAAGGTACAAAATTATTCCAATTCTAGCCCAGAAAACTGAAGCCCAGGTAACAGCTGCTAAGTGTTTCAGCAAGCATTCTAATCCAGCCTCCCTCCAAGCCTGCGCTCTGTCCGGTAGTACGGAGTGCTGCCTCCGAGAAGGGACCCATTGCAGCAGGAAGAGTGTAAGCTAGAGTTAGGGAAGCGCCTCCTTCCTGTGAGTGTGTAACAAACCGAAATGGAGGTCCCGCAAGGCATAACATCTTTTTAGAAAGACTGACACACAGTGGCTGAAGGGGATGGTGGACGGCTCCTTCCTTAGTGAGTGAGCCTTGTCCCAGAACCTATTTCTGGGGGCAAAAATGGCCAGATTCAGTCCTGCAGAGTCAAGAGAAGGGCATTTGCAACTGGGAATGGAGAAGGGATGGAGTGCCAGAAAGAAAGGGGAGGTAAAGGAAAGCCTGAAGCAAAATCATTCCTCTCCCAGATGACCTTTCACAGAGAGCCACCTGTTTCAGCCAGAAACACAACGCCACCTCCCCTTCCACCCACCAAGCCACGTTCTTCCTACTCCACTGCAATGCTAGTGATACCCGGGTGTAGTGAACAGAAAAAATATATTCACCCAACTGAAGCCTCAGGTGACATGCGCCAGAGGAGGGAAGGCAAGGGTGGGGATTGGGAAGGGATCCTTTTCTGAATTGGGGAAAGGATCCCCCAGTTGTGTTCCTGAATTGAGGAAGCAATGCAGGAGGGCAGTATGACCTAGTGGTTCCCCGTGAGGCTCTGGAGCCAGCCAAAGCTGGGCAGGAGTCCCAGACAGTTCTGCTTTTTGCTCAGTGTGATCTGGTTCATGACAACCTCCCTGAGCCTCCATTTCCTCATCTGCAAATTTCAGATGGATAATCTGCTTCACAGCAGCCTTACGGAAACTGAATAAAATCCTGCCTTAGCCAGGGTCAGCAAACGGTACATGCTTAGGAAATACTGGCTGATGCTGTCATTGTTATTATTTATTAGCGAGCTAAGCCCTCAGTGTTATCCATGGCCTGGCCTGGAAGAACATCCAGGTCAACTGCGGAGGACGAAGGCACGAGCTGGACTGCCCACCCCTTGACTCTGCAGCCCCCGCCCCACCCCGCCCTCCCACCATAGGGAATAGGGCCTTCAACTGCGGGAGGTGGGGCCCGGCTCTCTGGGTCAGTGCCCTGGGAGTTCAGTGTGTGGTAGACAGAAGGAGGAAGAGGATTAACATGAAAGCAGAAAATGGGATTAGGAGGCCTCAGGATAATGTGCCCACCCACCCCCCATCCATGACAACAGCTTCTTGCTTTCACTCTGTGGCTTCTGGAGCCCGAAGCATGTAAGACTTGGTTGTCCCTGCTCCTGAGGGCAGAGCCAGGAAAGGAGACTTGGACTCTGAGCATGAGACTACTCAGTTGACTAGGAAGAGGGGCAGGGCTGTAGCTGGCTGCAGGCCAGGCCTGCGTGACTTTCTGTGCACTTTCTCATTTAATCCTTACGGCAACTCTGAGAGGTGGGTGATGGCCCAGAGGGGTGAAGAGCAGGGATCCAAGCCTAGGCTGTTGCCCCCAAAAGCCTGTGTTCCTTTCCCTCCACCCAGAAGCACACCCAGTTATTGCCCTAAACCCATAGGAGCAATGATCCACTCACACCTGCCACCTCCCCTGGATCATCCACAAAAGTGAGGATGTCCCAAGGACCCTGACCTTAAAGGACCCCTTTGAGGTCTATGTGAAGAACTTTTATGTTTCTCTGTTCACCTCTCCGTGAACCCCAGCCAAGGCTACCCCCTGAGGTAGACAAAGTGCCACATCATTCCCACCTACGGGAAGGAGATAGACCAAGATATTTCTAATAATTGCCTCTTAAGCTCTAGAGGATCCCTACAACTGTGTTTGGGGGAAGTTCCTTCTCCCACTCTCATTCCAGTCAAGGGCCCTGTCAGTCTCCTTTTCTCAGCATTTTAACGACTTGTTGTCCTGGCCCATCCTACCCAGCCCTAGGCCCTCTGGCCTCATTCCAGCTCCAGAAAGCCTCTCCTAGGATGCAGAAAAAAGAACTTTTCCCTCTATCATTCAAGGCCCCAACAGGAAACAGAGAGCACAGTGTGCATAAGACCCATTTACAAATGTGTAGGTCCAAAGGATAGCTATGACCTGAGCCAGTGGCAGCCAAGCTATTTCCATCTCTATCCCCCACCAAAGGAAGGGAGTGGGAGCTATTACCAGAACTCAGAACCTGGAAGAAGAACCCAGGAGTCATGTAGAGTTGGCACTTGAAGAAGTGACCAAAGGACACCACCAGACAGGGTGACCCCACAAGGTGGGACATATACTCTCACCACACATTCCGTCCTCACTCCCCCAGTCTCCTGCTGAGCTCCCCATTGGCCAAACTCAACTTGAAGGCAGAGGGCTAAGGAACTCAATGTGCTCACCTAAGAGCTGGTCAGGAGCACCCCATCTCACCTCACATCTTTGGGATTTTGTTTGGCTTGAGGGGAAGGCAAGAGATGACTTTTTTGTTCCCAGTTCCATCCTTAGATATTCAGCAATTTGTTGTTGTTTGAATGAAGTCACACTTTTGGGCCCAATCCTGCAGAAAGTCCCTTACAGCATGCATTCTCAACAGAGCTACCATCATTCCCAAGGAGACAACACTTGGTTCTTGGGAGATGGAAAGTCTTAGATATCACAATGGTTTATGGCCCTGCAAAGGGCCACAGGACATAAACAGAAATGCAATATTCCATGCTATTAAAATTTCATGGAAGGTGGTGGCAACTGGGGGAAAGGTAGGTTAAAAAAAGTACTTGGTGGGGGTGGGGGATAATAATGGAAAACAGGTTGAGAAGCACTGGATTATAGTGACCCAAAATCTTTCCTTGGGCTGTCACTGAGAGCTTCAAATCTCTCATCCTCAAAGGTGCAGCTTATACTATTATTTTCTAAACTGGTATATATGATGTATTCACTATTATTTTCTAAACTGATATATATGATGTATTTACATGTATTCTCTTTACACATCCATAAAAACAAAGTTCAGGCTGGGTGCGGTGGCTCACGCCTGTAAACCGAGCACTTTGGGAGGCCGAGGCGGGCAGATCACTTGAGTTCAGGAGTTCGAGACCAGCCTGGCCAACATGATGAAACCCCAAGTCTACTAAAATACAAAATTAACTGGGCATGGTGGCAGGCACCTGTACTCCCAGCTACTCGGGAGGCTGAGTCAGGAGAATCACTTGAACCCTGGAGGCGGAGGTTGCAGTGAGCTGAGATCCTGCCATTGCACTCCAGCCTGGGCAAAAAGAGCAAAACTCAATCTCAAAAAAAAAAAAAAAGAAAAACTGCAATTCAAATGCTTTACTCAACCTGCCCTTGTCCATGGGGAACATGTTCAGCCATTCTTGAGCCCTCTGTATCTTCCTGCATCTCACAGCCCTTTGCTGGTATTTGCCTACTTGGAAGAGCTCAAGGTCATTGGCAAGCCAGAAGATTTCAATGTACACTCATTCTTCTCTCAACAGATCAAGCCACAAAATATTTCTTGGATGCTAGTCACTGTAATGAATCCAGAAATATCAACCATGCTCTGCCTTTCAGGAGCCCACTAAGTCACTGGAGATGTCACAATTCAAGGTGATATATGATCCATGACTCTATGGCGATGGGGATGATTTCCACATGTGACTTGTGAAAGCAAAAGGGCTTGATAGTCACATCTCAAATCATTAAGGGCCAGTTAACTTGGTCCCCCCAGGAGCATCAATTCCCCAGCAGGAGCCCCACAGTTCACATTTTTCCATCCAGATAAAGACTTGTTTATCCTTACTCTTTATTCCTTATCTCTAAGCCAGTTCCCTATTTGTTTCCAACATTCTCTCCATTCCCATGGTGACTCAACTCCTTTAACATGCTTTGGTGTGGCACCTGTCAGAGGACGCTTGAAAGTGTAAGGAGATTGTGTCTCCTGTTTCCCCCTTATCCGCACACTTATTCTGACCCTTCACAAAGCTCTAGTAGATTAGGGAAGCATGATTTCTCCTTACCAAAGACAGGCTGCCTTTCCACAGGAGGTGGAGTTTTCTCAAGCACCCGTAATCCTGCCCTGAGAGGTTCTGTCAGCTTGCCTGGCATGGAAACTAAACTCTCGCACCATTTCCCAGAGACCCCTCTGGTGCCTTCGGTTCTTCAGCACGAGGGTCAGTCTCAAGAAAAGGCTCTCATTTTGTCCTATGCTTCCATGATGTCAATCTTCTTATTTATTGGCAGCAGGCTGGACTGGGGGGTGGCAGGGGGTGCAGAGAGGGGATACAAAACAAAAACAAAACATACAGTGTGCCTTACTTTCCATTGCTTGGAGATTTCAGGCACTGTAATTCATCTGAACTTGTGCAGAAGATAATAGTAAGGTTATCTGTATCACATTTCATTTTATGACATATCACCTTGTTTACACCGCTCTTTGGGTTGTATATGGGATATAGATTACCTTTAAACACTCTGGTTTTGTTTAGTCCTTTTATTCTGCCATCAATAAAAAGTTTTAAAGGCAACCATTGTTCTAAGAAATGACTATTGCACTTAGGGCACAAAGCTACTTTAATTGAGAAAGACAGATTATCTTGTACCTTGGCCTCCCGTATCTTATTGAAGCAGGCTTTGATGCCGTGCGGAGTCTTCTGACTCCATCGTTGAGCTATGCAGCATTCTGCAGTTATTAAGAGCAAATGAATTTCTTCTTTAAACACAGACCTCTGCTTAGCACATTTAGTACTATTTGACTTGGGTCTCAAGATAGTGCTATACCCGGAATGGACTTCGCATGCCGAATTTTTTTAGAAATTACCCACAATCCTATCACATATGCTGAAGTGACCTTTTTTTTCCTATAGGCTCTCCAACAATGTGCTGAGATGAAGAGATTTCTACAGGGTACTTTCGGGTTAGGAACTTACAGGTTAACTCTTTAATGCTCAAGTCTTTATGTAATCCATTCATGCTGCTTCTGAAAATATATTCTTAGCAAATAATTCAAAATATGAAAAGATTCAGATGCACACAGATGCTCCTTGCAACATTATTTAGAATAACAAAAATGAGAACTGTTTGGCAATATGAGAAAATGTATAAATTATACTGTTAAATGAAAAAGCAGTATGCAACCCATATATTCAACTATGTAAGAATAAATTTGGAGGCTGGGCACGGTGGCTCACACCTATAATCCCAGCATTTGGGTGGCTGAGGCTGGCGGGTCACTTGAGGCCAGGCGTTCCAGACCAGCCTGGCCAACATGGTGAAACCCTGTCTCTACGAAAAATACAAAAAAAATTAGCTGGGCATGGTGGCGTGTGCCTGTAATCCCAGCTACTCAGGAGGCTGAGACTTGAGAATCACTTGAACCAGGGAAGCGGAGGTTTCAGTGATCTGCAGTCCAGTCTGGGTGACAGAGTGAGACTCCATCTCAAAAAAAAAAAAAAAAAAAAAAAAAAAAAGAGAGCCCCCCCCCCGCCGCCCATCTCAAAAAAAATAGTGGAAGAGACTGGAAGGAAATACACAAAAACCAGTAATTTTGCAAGGATGACAAAGGTATTTTTCTTTTATATATATATTTTATTATACTTTAAGTTCTAGGGTACATGAGCACGATGTGCAGGTTTGTTACATATGTATACATGTGCCATGTTGGTGTGCTGCACCCATTAACTTGTCATTTACATTAGGTATATCTCCTAATGCTATCCTTCCCCCCTCCCCCCACCCCACAGCAGGCCCCAGTGTGTAATGTTCCCCTTCCTGTGTCCAAGTGTTCTCATTGTTCAATTCCCACCTATGAGTGAGAACATGCGGTGTTCGGTTTTTTGTCCTTGTGATAGTTGCTGAGAATGATGGTTTCCAGCTTCATCCATGTCCCTACGAAGGACCTGAACTCATCATTTTTTATGGCTGCATAGTATTCCATGGTGTGTATGTGCCACATTTTCTTAATCCAGTCTATCATTGTTGGACATTTGGGTTGGTTCCAAGTCTTGGCTATTGTGAGTAGTGCCGCAATAAACATACGTGTGCATGTGTCTTTATAGCAGCATGATTTATATTCCTTTGGGTATATACCCAGTAATGGGATGGCTGGGTAAAATGGTATTTCTAGTTCTAGATCCCTGAGGAATCGCCACACTGTCTTCCACAATGGTTGAACTAGTTTACAGTCCCACCAACAGTGTAAAAGTGTTCCTATTTTTCCACATCCTCTCCAGCACATGTTGTTTCCTGACTTTTTAATGATCGCCATTCTAACTGGTGTGAGCTGATATCTCATTGTGGTTTTGATTTGCATTTCTCTGATGGCCAGTGATGATGAGCATTTTTTCATGTGTCTGTTGGCTGCATAAATGTCTTCTTTTGAGAAGTGTCTGTTCATACCCTTTGCCCACTTTTTGATGGGGTTGTTTGTTTTCTTCTTGTAAATTTGTTTGAGGTTCTTTGTAGATTCTGGATATTAGCCCTTTGTCAGATGAGTAGATTGCAAAAATTTTCTCCCATTCCATAGGGTGCCTGTTCGCTCTGATGGTAGTTTCTTTTGCTGTGCAGAAGCTCTTTAGTTTAATTAGATCCCATTTGTCAATTTGGCTTTTGTTGCCATTGCTTTTGGTGTTTTAGACATGAAGTCCTTGCCCATGCCTATGTCCCGAATGGTAATGCCTAGGTTTTCTTCTAGGGTTTTTATGGTTTTAGGTCTAACATTTAAGTCTTTAATCCATCTTGAATTAATTTTTGTATAAGGTGTAAGGAAGAGATCCAGTTTCAGCTTTCTACATATGGCTAGCCAGTTTTCCCAGCGCCATTTGTTAAATAGGGAAGCCTTTCCCCATTTCTTGTTTTTGACAAAGGTATTTTTCTTTATTGCCAAACCTTTTATATGTGTTGTGATTTTTTTTTTTTTTTTTTTTTTTTTTGAGATGGAGTTTCACTCTTGTTGCCCAGGCTGGAGTGCAATGGCGTAATCTCAGCTCACTGCAACCTCCACCTCCCAGGTTCAAGGGATTCTCCTGCCTCAGCCTCCCAAGTAGCTAGGATTATAGGCATGCGCCATCACGCCCGGCTAATTTTGTATTTTTAGTAGAGATGGGATTTCACCATATTAGTCATGGTGGTCTTGAACTCCTGACTTCAGGTGATCCACCCGCCTTGGCCTCCCAAAATCCTTGCTGGGATTACAAGCATGAGCCACTGCGCCCGGCTGTGTCATGATTTTGTCTGGTTAATACAAATGGTTTTATTTATATTGTCTTTCAACGTCTTAAAAAAGAAGTTCGATCTTTCTGCCTAAAATGGGACCAAAATCTCCCATTTTGTTATATAACCTTTATTTATCCTGGACTGTTGGAAAGTCAGCCCCACTAATTCTTTGATGCCTAACAAGTGTTTGATGGCCTACTACAGGAGCTGGAATCACAAATGACTATAGAGCCAGCAGGGAAGGGATCAGTGGTGCCTAAGGCCACCTGGAGAACTTAGGCGTGATTTGCATAGGTATTTCAAGAAAGCTGGAATTTTTTGTGACTCTCCTGATTTGTACACTTTGGCTACTTGTTCAAATTCAAAATTAAAATGAAATAAAAAGACATTTGTGGGCCAAACAGAAAATGTCTAAAAGCTGGATTCAACCGGCTGGCAGTGATTTTATGACCTCTGGCACGAGACCCATTTCTGAAGTTATAACCAGCTGCCTGATTTCTTAGCACTCAGACAACCAAACCTTCTCCATGTCCTTCCGTCCCTTCTTCCTTGGCGAGCCCTGCACCACTCCCGACCATGCGACGAGGGTGATGAAGAACATTGGTCCTCAGAATTAGGAAGGCTTGTGAATCTGTCCCTCCTTGGAAGCATTTCTCCTGCCAGAACATGAAAGCTGGAGACATTTTTGTTATTAATTCATTTCTCTGTCTGTCGCTTACATTTAGTGTGGCTGTGAGGAATGAATTTGATGGTGTTCAAATATGACCAATTTCATCCTTAAGCCCTTCTCAGTTGTCAGATGGTGCCAGCCAGTCCTAGGCTCTGTTTCCAGTTTGCTGTCAATCTGACTTCAGCAGTCAGTGTGTTCGTCACTGTTTATTCCAATACCACTGCCCTGTCTGGCACACTGGCCAGCTTCAGAGGACTGACCTTAAAAGGTGGCCACCTCTTCTGCTCCAGCTCCACTTCCCCTGTCTCCCTCCCCCTCTCATCGTTGGGAGCATCTTTGGCATCTCCGCCACGGAGGGATCCTATCTGCCTCTATGCTGGCGTCTGCTTCTGATCTCTCATGAAAGGCTTCAGGCAACCTCCACTTCCAGAAAATGATCCTTTTCCCTGCAGTGACCCTAGGGCTTTGCCACACAGATTTCCCACTGTTCTCGGATCCCTGGATATTGGCCCCTGGACTTGCAGTAAGGTGCAACAGACACCCCAGGACTAACCATCATCCCCAGTCCCCAGCACACCAAGGACCATCTGGTGCCATGAGGTTGACGTGACATCTCTGCTGCCCTGGGGGCATTGGAAAACTGCATCAGCATGGTCTTATAGGAGCTTGTGCACTGATCAATGAATTAATCACCAATCAATAAACGAATGAGCTGAGGCTCACCACTTAGTCATTTTAGCTTCTGTACAGTGAAGCGTCCCTCCCTTCTCCATGCAGGACCCGTTGTGGTTACGAATGCCTCCTATTAGTTCTTTGTTTATTTGGGGCATTGCAGATGCTGCCAGATGTTTACTTTTAACGTGAGGAGAATTACACCACTCCTGTGGTTGTGGAGAAAGAAGGGGGAGCTCAGGGCTGCGAAGGTGGGAAGTCCCTCCACAGCCCAGTCACTGGGAGTTCCTTCCCGCTCCCCTCCAGATGTGGCCCAGCCCCTACCCCATTTTGTCAAGTCAGCAGATCCCGACTATTCCAAGCATGGAGGGCCTGACAGCCTCCAGAGCCCAGGCAGCAGCACATATGGCCCAGCATGTGGTGTGCACATATGTAACTCCGAGGTCACGCCGGGCTCCACCAGCCCTCCCCGCACTCAGACCAGGACTCTCACTGCAGAGTCCCCGTCTCACCTGGCCCTTTAAAACAGCTCCCTCCTTGACAAGATCAAAAGGCAGAATTACCTTTTGAATTATTGGAGCTGCTGGAAAATGACACTGTTGGCAGGTATGGCCATGGTACTACCCCAAGACTAACCTTGGAACCCCACAAAGCCTGACCTATTTGCAGCAACACCTCTCAGCCTGCAAAGTCCATTAGAATTGGTGGGATCTTGTGTGGCCAAGAGGAGCTGAGGCTGATGGCAGAGGCCAGTGCAAACGCAGGTTCTCCCCACCAGGGTCCAGATTCTTTCAAAGACATGCAGGCTATTACCTACAGTCCACATCTTTTGAATGACAGTTCCTGATCCACATCACCTTATGCCACCATTACCTCTGCTGCTGGACAAGGAGGGAGAGCCTGCTCATTTGTCCATCCATCAGCCTGTTTAGTCCATCCTCCTCTCCATCTGCCTTCCTTCTCCCTTCTGCCCTCCTGGGCTCTAATAACCTAGAGCCTACAGATACCTTCCTTTTCTTTTTCCTTCTTGGTGCCCAGGAAGCACAGCCAAAAGGCAGAAGCTCATAACCTGCCCATACTCCCAAACAGAAATGAACCCGGGAGGAGGGAGGGATGAGCAGCAGCTCCCTGTCCAGCTCAGCCCAGCCCAGCCAGGCTGGAGGAGCCTTGCAAATGAGAAAGGCCCAGGGCAGAGCCACGTACTCATATTGTAGGACTGAGGACTTACAATATCAGTATGACTGAGTTGGCTGCAGCCCATATGCTGGCTTCCTAGAAAATAGACCTGTCTCCTTTCTGAATGACAACTGAAAGCTGCTAAGAGAAGAGGAGATGCCCCTTGATATCTTTCTCAAGAACTTGTTTTTCCAAGAATAAATGGGATGCAAAAATCACCAAACATTGTTTCGCTACGAAACAGTGAACTGACCCAGTTGTAGTCATGCCTGTATCTAACCCCTCCAAACCACCATCCTACACCATCTCCATCCCTTTCACCAATCCACAGTACAGATGGTCCCCAAATGATGATGGTTCAACTTACAATTTTTCAACTTTATAACATGTGAAAGTTACACATATTCAGTAGAAACTGTACACTGAGCACCCATACGACCGTTCTGTTTTTCACTTTTAGTACAATATTCAATAAATTACATGAAATATTCAACCCATATTATAAAATAGGCTTTGTGTTAAATGATTTTGCCGAACTGTAGGATAATTAAAGTGCTCTGAGCATGTTTAAGATAGGCTAGGCTAAGCTGGATGTCTGGCAGATTAGGTGTATTAAATGCATCTTCAACTTACAATATTTTCAACTTACAATGGATTTATTGGGATGTAATCATGTCATGAGTCAAGGAGCACCTGTATGTAATTATTCTGTTAGAAACTGAAGTACCCCCAATCCAGCACGTATCCTTCCTTTTCCTCTCCCCATAGCTGCTTTGAGGCAGGGCTAAAGCCAAGGTGATCTGCACCACTGCCTCTTCCAAAAAGCCCCTCCCTCTTTTCCTTAAAGACTTTTGGCCGGGCGTGTTGGCTCACACCTGTAATCCCAGCACTTTGGGAGGCCGAGATGGGTGGATCACCTGAGGTCAGAAGTTCAAGACCAGCCTGGAAACCCTGTCACTACCAAAAACACAAAAATTAGCCAGGCGTGGTGGCAGGTGCCTGTAATCCCAGCTATTCAGTAGGCTGAGGCAGGAGAATCACTTGAACCCGGGAGGCAGAGGTTGCAGTGAGCCAAGATCATGCCACTGCACCCCAGCCTGGGCAACAGAGTAAGACTCCATCTCAAAAAATATAAAAAATAGGCTGGGTGCGGTGGCTCATGCTTGTAATCCCAGCACTTTGGGAGGCTGAGGCGGGTGGATCACGAGGTCAGGAGATTAAGACCATCCTGGCTAACATGGTGAAATCCTGTCTCTTCTAAAAATACAAAAAATTAGTCGGGCATGGTGGTGGGCATCTGTAGTCCCAGCTACTTGGGAGGCTGATGCAGGAGAATGGCATGAACCCGGGAGGCAGAGCTTGTAGTGAGCGGAGATCACGCCACTGCACTCCAGCCTGGGCGACAGAGTGAGACTCCGTCTCAAATAGATAAATAAATAAATAAATAAATAAATAAATAAATAAATAAAATAATAAACAAAAACGACTTTTGCCAGCTGGGCACGGTGGCTCAATCCCAACACTTTGGGAGGCTGAGGCGGGTGGATCACGAGGTCAGGAGATCGAGACCATCCTGGCTAACACAGTGAAACCCCATCTCTACTAAAAATACAAAAAAATTAGCCAGGCGTGGTGGGAGGCGCCTGTAGTCCCAGCTTCTCGGGAGGCTGAGGCAGGAGAATGGTGTGAATCCAGGAGGTGCAGCTTGCAGTGAGCTGAGATCACACCACTGCACTCCAGCCTGGGCAACAGAGCAAGACTCCATCTCAAAAAAAAAAAAAAAAGACTTTTGCCACCTCCAGGGGACCCTCTCCTTTCTTCTTCTCTGTTCATTCAGTCTTTGACCCTTCTAAGAAGGTAGATCCATCAATTAATAATTTAATCATATATACACACAAGTCCCATTTTCCTGTTTTGTTTAACAATGTTACCACTGGGTGATTCTCTCTGAAAACTTTCCAGGAGCCTAAGGGAGAGGACACGATGGAAGAAGGGTCTGGGAAACACACAAGGAGAGCTGGGAAATGTGTGGCTCTAGTAGGCCGCTCCTGAAGATGAGCAGAAATTCAGTTATTCCAGCCTTCTCCAAATCCAGAAGAAAGTATCCAAAGCTTAGCTGAGACTCTGGCCTTAACCTTAACCCTACCCCTGTGAGTCAGTGGATCTCAGACCAGGGAGAAGTCATTGGACGCAATAGAGGATGTTGCTGGGCCTTCCCCAGAGGTCACGGAGGAGGCGCTTTGGTCTAGTGGTTATGAGCTTCAGCCCTGAAGTAAAGCACCTGGTTCTGAATCCTGGCTCCATGAATTATGCCCATGGGACATTACACAGGTTCATTTCTATTGTTTAGCCTTAGTTTCTTCATGTGGGAAAGGGGATATTAATAGTACTTACCTGATAGGGTAGTTATGCAGTATAGAGTAATTCTGGTAAATCATTGAGCCTATCACATCCTAAGTTCTCAGTAAACATTAGCTATGATTATCATTACTGTGTTTTATTATTGGGCTCCAGACCCTGCCCTTCCCTAGAGGTCCAGAGAGAGGATGCCCGCCTCTCTGGGAGTGAGTGTGCCATGGGCCCATCCAGGCTACCCCAGCTCTGTATTCAACCAGATGTGGCTCTGTAAGTACAGCAGATGAGGCAGGCTGGGAGCGCCAGGAACTGGACAGGACCACCCATGGGGCTGCGGTAGGTGCTGGCAGGACGGCCTCAGCTGCAGCTGCTGGGCAGCTGTCCAGAGTGACAGGCAGAATGCAGTGTACAAGGGTGTGGAAACAGACAACAGGTGGCAGCTCAGCACCAGTTGGCGGCTGCAGAGGGGAGTGGCAGATTATCTAGCATTTGGTAACAGGGCGTTGCTACCAGCAGGTGGACCACAGCCATGGGCAGTTCCAGAGGGGTCTTCTGAAATGTAAGCAGGCAGGCAGCAAGAAGAAAGTCTGTCAGCAGATCCCGGAACCCAAAAAAGGCTAGATGGGGAGCGGGAAGGAGGGGAGAGGACCAGAAAGAGCAATGCAGGGCCTCAAGCCTGAAAGGACTAGACAGGTTGGCAGGAACCGGCCACAGACGCAGGACACAAGGAAGCCTGGCATGACCAGAGCCCAGGCACGCAGCAGCAGGAGCAGGAGGACTGCATGGGATTGGAGTACGGCAGGTCCTAATGTGGTGCAGCCCCTCCCCCACCCCTGAGCCCAGGCCAGGCCAATCGCCAGGGCAACCAGGGCAGGCCTGAGCCTGTGCTATCCCCAGGATGAGGGTGCAGAAAGGGAAGTTGGAGGTCATCGTGGGGGTAACTCCTCCCTCCTTCTCCCTGCCTCTCTTTCTCTCACACACACACATCTAGAGTTCTGTCCAGCTACTATATCAATTCTCCTGATTCTTGCCCTTTTGCATGCTTTCTCTTCCCTAGCTCCTACTTACTGATGAAGAAATAGAATCAACTCTCAAAATGAAAAGCCCACTCTATCAGAACCTAAACAGCCCTCCAACAGTCATCTGGTAAGTGACAGGTCCCTAGGCTTCTGCTCTGTGCCCCAATGGAAGGAGCAGTCTGCAGGAGGGGACGTGGCTAGAGAGGGCTAGACTCCCTCAATTGAGGAAGGAAGGTGAGGGTCCCCATAGCCCCTAACTTGGGTTCATCTCCCACATGTCTCCTTAGGCTTGGCTAACAACCCCCTCCATAGACTCCATTCTGGGCCTCTGTCATGCCAATGACCCCAGAAGACTTTGTCTTGGAGACTGGGTGACCTTGGGAGCCAGGCTCAAGCTTATCTATTCTAAACTCACATCTTCACAGAGGAAATGAACCTATATTCATCTCCATAAGATGCTAAGCCTCGCTTGTACATGTACATTAGCTCCTAAGCTTCACACACATTTTTATGGTTTCCCAAGTCACACATGCGTGCTCTTAATCACTGGCCTCCAAAACTTAAGGGTGTGAGCAATGAGAATAGACACCATATTGGGGTGCCCCATAAGGGCAGACTGTAGTCACTAGATCACCCCTTACCCCAACCTCTTGGCATGTCAACCACATTGTCCACCCTGCTCTGGCTGTTCTTCTACCTCCCTAGCAAAATGGTCTGAAGTGACTTGGGCTTGCTGGGAGCAGGCCAGGCTGCCTTCTCAGTTTGCTGTTGGCTTTAGAATACGGTTACTCATGTGCATAGCATATGGATCCAGCTGGAGCTGAATTCCATGGAATCTATTTGGAGTTAGGGATGGAGTAACCAGAGTCACAGAACTTCCCTGACCTCCAGGCCTTCCTGGATACGCAAAAAGCAGAATGACCAACAATTTAGATTAGTTTAGATCTTCCCAGCAGGAAATGTAATAGAGAGAAGAGGTTACATAGGTGAATTAACAAAAAAGAAAAGCCACATATGGGATGATGAACCAATCCAGAGGTGAGAAGCAGCAGGGAGACACTTCTGCCCTCAGGCTGGAGGGGGTGAGGAAAGAGAGGAAGTGGGGTTACCAGAGCCCAAAGCCAAGGCTGCCCAGTGGGAACTGGCAACCAAAGAGAGAGGCAACATGTGTTGTGAGCTGGAACCATGAAGAAACCCAGATTCTGCCAAAGACACCACAGGAAGCAGAGAGCAGCAAAGAGAAATGAACATCCTAACTTTCCCCCTCCTACTGCCTTAAAGTCTCCTGCCAGGACCCCACATTGGTTTAACTCACCCTGGAAGCCATGGGCAAGGAGCCTGGGAAATGTAGTTCCTGCAGAGGAATCCTGGAGGGGCAAGGAACCAATCTGAGAGCAAACAGGCAATTGCCAGCACAGCCAAGAATGACTATCTATGGGGCCTTGTATGAACCACTTGCAAGTGTCTCTGTTTTTGAGAAATACTAGAGCCAGCTCCCCAGGGAGCAGCATCCTCCTTCACCCTCTCAGTCTCACAAAATTGGAAATGGGTCAGCTGTCTCTGGTGGAAAAGTATGTCCTGTTAATGTGCACAATCAGAAGATTATTTTGCAGGCTCAACACAGTAGGATGAGACCTTTGAAGGAAACCAGGCATTGTCTGTAAACAAGTGGTGCGTCCCTCAGGGACTGTCTTCACCCCCTGGTTAGGGGCTGGGCTGAGCCCAGGCACTAGGGGGCTCTTTGAGTCATTTCCTACAATGGAAGAAGGCATGCCCTGTGCCTTGGGGAATGGTGAGGTATCTGGCTGCGGACCATGTGGGAGGCATTGTTCAGGACACCAGAGCACTCAGCATGTTCCTTGGAGAAGACCAGAGAGCTTCCTCCTCCCACCCCTCCATGTGCTCCCCCACACCAAGGCCACATGTGGCCCAGCTTCCTTCAGGTCTCTTCCAGTGTCTCACCTGAGACTTTTGGCCTGAGCGTGCATGGAGCTCCTGCAAGCTCCACTTACATTCTTACACTCTTCCCAGGCACCCCACACTCCCTTTTCCCCCTAGCCACCCCAGGAGCCAGTCCTGATATTGGAAGCCCCTCCCTTCAAGGCCCCCAGCTGAAGAATCCTGGGAACAAGGGTAAGGGAAGAGGTAGGGTGGGGAGAGGAAAAAGACATTTCTAAGATTCCTGGAAGCTTTTCTGGCCCCAGAGAAGGAAGGCTTTGAGCCCAGCACGGGTTCAGAATCTGAATATGACTCCAAGAGAGCATGCAAAATGGAGGATTCTTCCCACCCTGTCTTCGCCCTCCTTGGGCAATCACAGCCTAACCCCTGCCCAGATACTGGCATTTACTAGTTTCAGTGTTTCAAGTAAGTCTTGTTTCTTCAGCTGCTCTGTAAGTTCTCCATAGGCAGGAGTCAGATCTGTATAGTGCAGAGTTCTGCAGATGCCCTCCCCTCATCACGCTGCACAAATCCAAGCAGTACCTTCACGGTAAGTCCTGTGCAGGGCTTGCTACACAATTGGTGGGGTCCAGTGTAAAATGAAAATACAGGCTCCTTATTAAACAT
This sequence comes from Homo sapiens, assembly GCF_000001405.40. Taxonomy (NCBI): domain Eukaryota; kingdom Metazoa; phylum Chordata; class Mammalia; order Primates; family Hominidae; genus Homo; species Homo sapiens. The sequence continues at coordinate 42,075,714 of NC_000002.12, forward strand.
TGTTAAAAACTTCAAGATGGTGGCCATACAGCATTAAGCCAAGTGCAAGACCCTTCCAAGCCCAGGGCCATGTGCAACTGCACAGGTTGCAAAACAATGGAGCCAGCCCTGGTCCTAGGTGGTGTGTGTGGTAGCTTGCTTCCAAAGATACCACCATCAATTCCTCACCTCTCTGTGCCCACATGCTACTCCTACACCAAGATGTGGAGTCTGGGCTGGGTGCAGTGGCTCACGCCTGTAATGCCAACATTTTGGGAGGCCGAGGCAGGTGGATCACTTGAGCCCAGGAGTTTGACACCAGCCTGGGCAACATGGCGAAACCCCGTCTCTACAAAAAATACAAAACATGCCGGGCATAGTGGCATGCACCTGTGGTCCCAGCTACTTGGGAGGCTGAGGTGGGAGGATTGCTTGAGCCCAGGAGACAGAGGTTGCAGTGAGCCAAGATCATGCCACTGCACTCCAGCCTGAGTAAAAGAGCGAGACTCTGTCTCAAAAAAAAAAAGAAAGATGGAAAGAAGGAAGGAAGGAAGGAAGGGAAAGAAAGAAGAAAGAAAGAAAGAAAGAAAGAAAGAAAGAAAGAAAGAAAGAAAGAAAGGAAGGAAGGAAGGAAGGAAGGAAGGAAGGAAGGAAGAAAGAAAGAAAAAGAAAAAGAGAAAGAGGTAGAGTCTAATTTCCTTCCCTCGAATCTGAACTGGACAAATGGAATTCAATGGAAACAATATCCTTGTACATCCAAGACTAAGTCACAAGAAACCCTGCAGGTTCTGCCTGGACCTCTTGGAATGTTTGCTTTTGGGACACTCCCTCTCAGAACCCGTCGTGCTGTGAGAAACCCAAGGCACATGGAAAAACCACATGTAAGTCAACAACCCCGGCTGAGCCCCACATGGACATCCAGCATCAGCCAGTCAGGTGAATGGAACACCTTGATCATCTAGCCTCCTTAAGCCCTTGTAGGACTGCAGCCCAGCTGACATCTGACTTTATCAACATGAGAGAACCCAAGTGAGAACCAACCGGCTGAGCCCAGTCAACCCACAGAACCATGAAAAATAAGAATAAATTGTTTTAAACCATGAAGTTTTGTGGTGGTTTGCCCATGTAACAATAAATAACTGAGACGTGCTTCAAGGAGTGGCATTCACTTAGGATACGATGTGAATGTCCTGAGTTGGGTGACACCACAATAATGGCTGAGCACACACTAGCAGCTCAAGAAAAGCTGCTCGCTGGCCTGACATGCTGGCACCAGACACGTGGGCCCCTACCCCACAACATGCCCTGTCTCTGACAGATGCTGTTTGTGATGAAATATCTGCCATCTGGTTTCAACCTGCATCTTCCTGGCTAATAAGGATGCGGATACTGCTGTCTCCAGAGATTCATGACCACTTCCTCCCACCCCATTCCTACCTTTCCTATCTCAGGAAATGGGCCTCTTTACCCATAGCAACATAATAGAATTCCAAAACCAATCTCACAGCCAGTTTGAATATCTGTCTTTACTGTCATAATAATGCAGACACTGCACCTGTCCTCTAATTCTGTTCTCTACTCTTGGGTTTGTTCATTTGTTTCTCTGGGATCTTTAAACATCTGATTAAATTCTGTGCTACAGATGAAAAGTTCTGAGGATGGAAGATTATCAGGCTTTGTAACTTTCATCAGCCCTCCTTTCTGCTTGGCAACTTGTTGCAACCCCTATTCTCTCTCTCTCCTCAGTCTTTGCCTCCCAGAAATCCTCCTGTGCCCCAGGAATCCCTCTCCCAGTTGCTGGTCACAACATCCTTTCCCACCTAAAGCCCAGCCCTGAAACCCATGACATGGGCAGCCCCTAGAGGAGGAACCCAAGTCAGTGCACAGCCTGAGGCTGCTGAAAGCTGGAGTTTGGTCAGGAAGAGGACTCCCCATCTCCCCAGCTGGGAAAAGAGGGGTCCAAAACCCCAGGCTAATATGCACCCTCTTCCTACGATGTTCCTGACCACCTGGCCCCGTTCCTTATAACACAAGCTCCACCACCTAATTTGCCTCTGTAGGAAGTGGGTGACCGTGCGGGCAAAACTAAGTGACCAGAGATCCAAGGCATTGAGGCTGGGCTGTACAACCACAGGGGGTCCTGAGCCTGCATCTCCCACCAACTGCCCCCACTGTCCTGTGGGAAAACAAAAGGATACAGTGGGACTTGGGCCACGGGCCACGATTCATCTGCATAGCTTGATCCTTACTTTTGTTTGTGAATATAAATGCCACTTTAGACACCCTGGTTGCAAGATAGGTGCCTAAGCTATTCTCATTTACCATATTACTTGCAAGCAGCATATTCAGCTACCAGATGGGTGGTGGTCTCCAGGCCAATAACTCCAATGTAGCAGGAAGCATTTTTGAGATAATGACCAATTTTTTTCTACCCCAAACTTCCTTCTATCCTCCCAGCCCTCCACCCTACCCCACTCCATCGCAAACTTATATTCAAGCAGCTAGATTGTTCTACACTGTCTGCCTCAAGGGAGGGATGTGATGGAGAAAAAAAGGAAAATACAAGCTTTGATGTCTGGACAAGATTAAATGTTTAGGAGAAACATCTTGAGTGTGGGCAGGGCTTCTCTCCACTCTTCCTATACACCCCCACCAAAACCAAACAGTCAGGAGTCCTAGGAAATGGTGAGTGGAGGAGAGACAGGAAGAAGGTGCAGGGCAGAGAGAGGCTACAGCCCCAATATGAAGGGCTCATGCAGGTGGGATAAAGAAGGGGCAGCAAAAGGCACTGCTGCCACCCAGAACTCTGGGCACCGGCCTTCGCCAGTACCCAGGGACTCCATGGTTGCCTTTCTTGGAGGGCCCACTAGTAGCTCTTCCTCCCTCAGCAGCTCTCTCCCCAACCAAGTTACCCCCATCCAGCCCCACAACATCCCAGGACACCTGGATCCTCAGGAAAAAGAAACTGGACCCTCAATCCCCAGCTCAAACCCTCACTCACCACTCACAGGCTGGAAGATGGTTGAACACACACCAGTTGGGACACAGACCGAGTGCTCGCTAGGTGACAGGCACCCACTTAGGGCTTTTCATGCCTTATCATATTTACTGATAGACTAGGCATGCAAGCACCTCCTGTGCACCCTTAAAACCGGGCCTTGGACTTACCCTCTCCACCAAGCCTTTCCTGATAAAACTACTCAACATCTTAGAGGTAGTTACTCTTTCCTCGGTGTTTTGTCTGTGAACTTTTCTTCTTTCTATTGTTCTCCATGTTGCACTGCACCGTAATTATTACTGATGGTCTCTGTTATGAGACTGGAGCATTTTGGGAGCAGGGCACAAGTCTAACTCCTTTTTGCATGCATGACTCTCATTGACACATACTAGGTACTCAATTAATGTTTGTATCATTAAATAAAATTTTCCACCCGATTCCCTTTCTAAAGTGAAAAAATAGAATTCCTCATTAAAGCAGCCACAAAGCAATGGAAATAATCCTAAAGAACAAACAATTAAAGAAAACACAATGTGGTAAACCATCCTCAGATTTCCCATGTTCTTAATGTCGCTTCGTGTTTGCTAGAGCAGCTGCACCGAGTCCCGCCATCTTGATTCTTCTTGCCTTCACCACTCTCCTCCAGCCCCAATCTTACCACTGCGCCCCTCATTCTGAACTCTGGCTAGGATCTTGCCTCTTACCTTATTGAGAAGAAGAATGTTTGATATCATCGCCCTCAAATTCCCATCCCTCTGTCTCGAAATCTTTCTCAAATGACTGGCAAGAGCTGTGGGGGAAGGGGGAGCCTCACACACTGCCTGGGTGAGATTGATAAAATCTTACTGGGGTGCAGTTTGGGGACATGTAGCAAAATGTTAAATGTGTATAACCTTTGACCTAGCCATTCAACGTCTAAAAACATATTCTAAAGAATCAAACTGGGTGCAGCAGCTCCCAACTGTAATACCAACACTGTGGGAGGCCAGAAGTTTGTGATCCGTCTGGGCAACATAGCAAGACCATGTCTCTACAAAAAACAAAAAACTTTAAATTAACTGGGTATGGTGGTGTGCACCTGTAGTCCTGGCTACTTGGAAGGGTAAGGTGGTAGCGTTACTTGAGCCCTGGGAGTTAGAGGCTGCAGTGAGCTGTGATTGCACCACTACAGTCCAGCCTGGGTGACAGAGCAAGATTCCATCTCTAAAAAAGTGAAAGAGAGAGAGAAAGGAAGGGAGGAAGGAAGCAGGGGGAGGAAGGGAAGAAGAGAGAAAGAAAGAGAGAAAGGGAAAGGAGGGAGAGAGAAAAAGAAAAGGAAGGAAGGAAGAAGGAAAAGAACTAGACAAGTGCACCACAAAATGAGAAATCCACAAGGATGGTCTTTGCACTGCTGTTTATAAAACACACTCTTCTAGTCTTGTTTTTGTCCCGTCTTTGTTTTCTGGGTTGCAGCCACTCTGGCCTTCTTTCCATTGCTTTTTCTTCTCCCTCCTTCTCTCCTATCCCAAAAGTCTCCACATTCCATCCTAAAGTGTCCTCCCCCGTGTCTCTCATCCCACTCCATCTTCTTCAACCTATTTCAGACCCTCCAGAAGTCACCTAGAGAATATCAAGAGAGAACCTTGAAAAGAGAACGTGCTTATGAGCAGCACACACAGTAGGTCTTGGGAAGGAACATGGCAGGGTGAGGAAGAGCCGTCCCTGCCGGGCATGCTGGCTCCCTGGCTCCCACCCTTGCTGCGCTGCTCTACCCAGGCATGGGCAAAAAATCCTTTTCTCCTGAGTTTACCTGAAACAGATTAGCATTTTTCAAAAAGAACTTGAGTTTTAGGTTTTTATTTTTAATGAGGAGGGAGATAAATTCTAATAAATGAAACAATTTTTAAAAATAGAAACAAATGAAGTTGTGTGTTGCCTATCTTAACATAATGAGCACCTGGCAAGATATCTCTTCCCTGGTAAAGTTCACTGAGCCCCCAGGCCCTGGCTCCCTGCCCTTCAGCTCTGTGAGCAACCCCCCAACACAGCTCACTGCTCTTTCCCACCGTGACAAGTGGATCAACAAGCTGGCCCTTTGGATGAATAATGGCAATCATGTTATTTCTTTGTGGTGGTTGTTCCAACTAGTACTATGTTTTATCTTACTATCTTACTATACATTTTTATTTTTGAAAAGGTAATTCTTGAATATGTTTTAAAAAAATTCAACAATAACAAAGCATATACAGTCAAAAAACTAGTAGTTCCCTCTGGCTCCTAACCTAAGCATCTGACTCTGTTCTCCAGAGGCAGACACTGTCCCCTTGCCAGCATATATGGAGAGGCTGAGGTGGGGTACACTCCACACCCTGTTCCCCTCCTTGCTTTTTTTTTTTTTTTTTTTGAGACAATCTTGCTCTGTTGCCCAGACTGGAGTGCAATGGTATAATCTCGGCTCACTGCAACCTCCACCTCCCAGGTTCAAGCGATTCTCCCACATCAGCCTCCCAAGTAACTGGGACTACAGGCATGTGCCAACATACCCAGTTAATTTTTGTATTTTTAGTGGAGATGGGGTTTCACCATGTTGGTCAGACTGGTCTCAAACTCCTGACCTCAAATGATTCACCCACCTCGGCCTCCCAAAGAGCTGGGATTACAGGCGTGAGCCACTGCGCCAAGCCTCCCTCCTTGCCTTTTTCACCTAACAATATATCTTAGAGGTTGCTCATAGCATACATACAGATCAGCCTTATTCTTCCTATCAGCTTTAGGAACTGTAATCTATACATCAGGTCCCCTAGTGATGGACACTTAGCTTGTTTCTAGTCTTTTGCTATTACAAACATGCTACAATAAATATATCTGTTAGAAATATAGATATTTTTGTACGTCTGTTATAAAAATGTTAGAAATGAAATTTCTAGGTTAAAGCAAATTTGTATTTAAAATCTTGACCAGCCTGGGCAACATAGCGAGACATCCCAGGAGTTAGAGGATTCAGTGAGATATGATCATACCACAGGACTCCAGCCTGGGCAACAGAGCAAAACCCCGTCTCTTAGAATAAATAAAATAAAATCTTGATAAATATTGCCAAATTGCCCTACAAAATGGTGTTCCAGTTCACTTGTACCAACAATATGTGAGTCTTGGTTTCCTCAACAGTTTTATCAACCTTCCACCAAACATTTTGCTTTTTGCCAATGTGATTTTTATAAAGAATGGTGTTTTGGTGTAGTTTTAATCCTTTTCTTTCTTTCTTTGGGATTTTTGTTTTGTTTTGGATTTATGTTTGAGTCAGAGTTTCATTTTGTCACTGATGCTGGAGTTCAGCAGCGCAATCACTGCTCACTGCAGCTTCAGCTTCCTAAGTAGCTGGTACTACAGGCGTGCACCACCACACCCAGCTAATTTTTTTTATTTTTTGTAGAGACAAGATCTCCCTATGTTGCTCAAGCTAGTCTTGAACTACTGGCCTCAAGCAATCCTTGCCTCCCAAAGTGCTGGGATTACAGGCACGAGTCACCACACCTGTCCTGGATGTCTTGTAGAATAGATGAGTGTGAACAGGAAGTGCTTGAGAGAACAAACTGGTCCCTGGGCTCAAATCCCTACCCAACTGCTTATTAGTTGAGTGACTGTGGGCAATGCACTTAACTTCTCTATGGTTTTGGTTCCTTATCAGTAAAAAGATATCAGAAGAATAACATTTTTCATATAGTTATTGTGAAAATTAAATGTATAAACAAACATAAAGCTCTATATAAGTTATTATTTTTTTCATATGTTTAATGACCATTTGCATTTTTTCCTGTGAACTGTCTATTCATATCCTTTGACCATTTTTCCATTAGCTGTTATTTTTTCTTTCTGCAGTATAAAAGCTCTTTATGTATTTAGGAAATTAATCCTCTGTCATTTGTGTAGCAAATGTTTTCCCCAATCTGTCCTTGTCTTTTCACTTCATTTAAAGCACTTTGCCATGTAGAAATTTTTAATTCTTATGTAATTAAATATATCAAACTTTCCTTTTGTGACTTTTGAACTTTGTGCTTTAGAAACCTCACTTCTTGAGGTATGAATGAAGAGAAACCAGAACTACTTCCTGTTTTCACTCCCTGCCTTTCCTTCCCTGGCTTTCTCCCCATCCTGTGGATGAGTCAAGGTTACCTCCCAATCCCACCTCAGTGGTTTTTCCACACTGGATCTCTCCCCACCTCCATCTCAGGCCCCTCAAGAGTAGCACCAATGAGGCCACTTCCCTGCTCAAGAATGTTCAATAACTCCCCATCACCTACTGGACTAAGAACAAGCTTCTCATTAGAGGCATCTTCCTAGATGACACCAACTTACTTTGCAGGCTGGTGATTCCCCTAAATGTCCCCTGTCTTCCAGTCCAACTCTACTTTTCAATGTTCACTTCATCTTTCCCACCTCCCTGACCTTCATCACACTATTTCATCTACCTGCAAAGGCTCCTGCCCATGTCTGCCCATTAAAATTCTCATCGTTGAAGACTCATCCCAAATAGCCCTTTTCCATGAAGCATCCACTGGTCCCCACCAATCAGATATGAGCTCTTCTTTCCTTGCATCTTCAAAAAAACCTTGTTTGTTCTTTTCCCAAGACATGCATCTCAATCTGCCTTAAATAATAGGCTATGGTGTGTCCCCCCTGCTTACAAGAACTCCATGAAAAATGTGAGCTGTGTTTCAGTTACCTCTGCATCTGTCACAGCACCATATCCTTTTGGTGAAGTATAGTAGACACAGGCCATCAGATCAAATGGGAGAGGGGAATATGAGGGAGTTACTGTTCTTTTACTAAACCATCACATCCAGACAGCTGGGCTGGAGGCTGCAGGAGATGCCTACTGAGCCAGTTTCTTCTGCTATGTCAGACAGTGGATATTGGTTACCCTTCTTTCAGTTGCAAGTGAAAGAATACCCAATCCTTAAATAAAAGAAGATTTGGGCGGATTCTGGGGCTCCAATGTTGTCACCTGGAGCTGGTCTCTCTCCAGCCTTTGGCTTCACTTCCTGTGTATTGGTATTGGTTTTGTTGTCAGACATGCTCTCCCATGCAGGCAGATGGCAGCAACAGCTCTAGCAGTCATTCATCCTTCCACATCATCCCCAATTCCAGTCCAGCGAGAAAGAGCATTTCCCTCTCTCCCAGCAGCTCCAGCAAAGGTTTTTCCGCCTTTTGCAAGCTTTTATTGGGTTAGATATCCAACCTTTACTAAGATCACAGGAATGTACTGTTCTGATTGGTCAGGCCTGAGCCCAGATCCAAGAGTTGAGTAGACTCTGTAAGCACATGGGTGCAGTGTGCAACCCGGAATAATTCTACAAAAGGAAATTGATGTAATGTTAGCAAAAGAAGGAAGAACAGATGCTTGTTAACCAAAAACACCAAATATCTACCGCACAAAATGGAGAACATTGCTGCTCTCCTGAAAGACGGAGATGGGCCTGAAGCACCAACTCTGAGCTATTTTGCTCCTTCCTGCTGCTCTCCTCTGCCCTGGAGGCAATGCTTCTAGCTTCCAAACACAACATGGTCCCCCAAGGTTTGTGGCTCAGCCACAGGACCAGTGTGAACAGATCCTAACCAAACCCCAGACCAGGCGATGGCTGGTGTGGTCCAGCTGACTCCAAGTTGTTAGAACCATGAGTCCCAGCCTGAGTCCCAAGAGTTGCAGGATTGTTTATCTTTGTTGGGGAAAAACTGTAGCCAGAGCCATAAATCACTGCCCAGCTGGATGGCCTCGCTGAAATGTTTGTTTAAACAATGAAATCTCCTGACGGACTGAAAATATAGGATGGATCACCCTGTCCTTCTCAGGCCCAGTCTTGCAGGCTGGAGCCCAGGGCATAGAGAGTGACTCAGAATTGGCTCCCCTCCCCCACTCTCCACCCCTCCCACCCCCAATATCAGCCCCAAAGAATGAAGCCACGGCATAGCTAATCCGAAACAGCAGATAATGCGAAAGCCATGTCTATCAATCTTTGAAATGCAGTCTCTGGAATGGTTCGCATTGGACGTGCCTTCCTGATGGAAGTAGCATTGCTTGGCTAATATGAACAAGAGGATGTGGAAGGGGCAGCCTCTGAAAGAACACTGCATGGAGCACCGTGGGGAGATCTGGCTCTGCCCTGACCACTGTTGGGTGTGGGCAAGTGACTTCCACTCTCTGGGCCTTGGTTTCCTCCCTTGTTAGATGAAGGAGTTAGACTTGGTCTTTGTGCTTCCTTTCAGCCCTTGCCTGCTAAGTGAGGTGGCTGTGCTTTTATATGCCCCAAAGAAAGACCAGATAAACAGGAGCAGGCAGGGGAAGAAGATGGGGAAGAAGAATAAGGAGGAGGGTTGTTGAATTAGATGAATTCCCACTTAGGGAGGCCAAGGCAGGCAGATCGCTTGAGGTTAGGAGTTTGAGACTAGCCTGGCCAACATGGTGAAACCTCGTCTCTACTAAAAATACAAAAATGAGCCAGGCATGGTGGCAGGCACCTGTAATCCCAGCTACTCGATAGGCTGAGGCTCGAGAATTCTCTTGAACCCAGGAAACAGAGGTTGCAGTGAGCTGAGATTGCATCACTGCACTGCAGCCTGTGTGACAGAGTGAGACTCTGTCTAAAAAAACAAACAAACAAAAAAAGAATTAGATGATGCCCTTGCAGTCTCTTCCTGCCCTAGGATGTCTTCTTCTGAGTTCTCTGGCCCTTCAGAGAAGGAGAGAGGGGAAGCTGCTTACTAAAGGCCCCATTGGCAGGCCCATAATCAGGAGCCTGGTACACTCCAAGGAGGTCACAAAGAGTGTTCCACTGATTCTGGGATGGGGGTGACATGGACCAAGTCAGACCTCAGGACGGGCCACTGCCCAGGCAGGACCTAGCTTCTGGGAGCCTATCTAGGCTGATGGAGATCAATGAGGGGAAGGGAGGATCCAGAGGTACACAATCTTCTTCTCAGGAATTTCCTACAGGAAAAAGGGCAGCAGAGACCTGACCCTTTCCAGTGTGGGGGCTGTGACCTTGGCTGTGCCATAGGAGCCATGACAGGCCTGAGATAGAGTATGTGAGCTGGGGTATTGACAGGTCCTGTCATTGGTTTGCCAAGTATTTTCAAGAACATATGACCTGTCACGTACAGTGGGAGGCACAGGGAATGCAAAGGTGAATAAGACCAGGGTTCTGTGAGAGTTTGCAGTGGGATATTCCAATGGGGCGAGCCATGGGATTTGCAACAGGGATTGCAGAGGAGATTGGGAAAGGATCGTAAAGGCATTTGTTAAAAGTTCCAGGAATGAGGTGTGAAGGACGGCATGTGGTCTTTAATTAAGACCTGCAGTGGAGGCTATGATGGGATTGCCTGTTGGGGATATAATGGGATGTTTTGGGGTTGGTCCAGCAGCCGTAAAATGGGAATATAATGGGAGTGTGTTGGTAGATATAACAAAGTATGTGTGGGGTGGGGGTCGATAGGATAATCCATTGACAGAGCAGCCTTTCCTGACAGCTCAGATGAGATCAGATTCTTCCTGTTGATATGGTCTCATAGTATCATATTTATCATCTATTACACTTCCCACAATTGAAATGAGTCCATTGTTTTGTACTTATTTGCTTAATGTCTATCTCCTTTACTAGGCTGTAAAAGCTGTCGGGGCTGTTGCCATGGAGGGAGGCATGGGTGTTGCTCACTACTGTACCCCATTCTCCTCCCCGCCCCAACACACAGCCCAGGACTGGGCACATAGGAAGCTCTCAATCAATAATCACTCATGGAAAGAATGGATGGAGACAGGATCTAGAACTAGCTTAGCTCCATGATCATCAAGGTGGTCAAGCCCCCTCCCCAAATCCAGACCCAAATCCTGCAGGGTTGCTCAATGTCCTCAGAATAAGTAACGGTTTTGTTATTGAATCTGGAGACTTTGGTTTCATTTGAAGGGAGGTGTTGCCATCTGGTGCCAAATTGGAGAAATACACTGAGAGAAAGTTCCTTCTGCTCCAGTTCTAGCAGCCTCCACTGACTACCCGCCCGGTGACCGTCAGCCAGCCTTCAGCCCCAGCTGCACAGAAATCAGTCCCATCTTCTCCCACTGCCTCGGGAAGTCAGGCAGCAAGAGTTCAGAAAACAGAGACCATGCAGGCCCTGTGCTGGACTACCCCTTCATCAGTCCCTCCAGTCAGCTCTCAGGTCATCATGGGCGCACCCTCACTCCTTCCTAACTTTGAACCCAAATGCTCATCCTGAAAAGCAGCAGCCCAGTGTGGGAGCAGGAGCCACAAATGAAGCTTTGATTCCACAATTAACATATGAGAAATTTCTCATCATCCGAGATTTTATTTTGGTCAATCCAGTTGACCCGCTCTGGATGGTGGGCACTGATGGAGATTTTGGAGACAAAAGACTTGTTTCTATATCATATCCTGTCATTGGCAGATGAGTATATTCCCCAGAAGTTAACTTTTTCCTCCTCTTTCTCTCCTCTGTCCTTGCCTTGAAAGCAAACACCGCTTGGCTCACACGACAATGGGGCCCAGACTTTTTTCAAGTCCAACATTGAAATCAAGCTTACAAAACAGAGAAAATGGAGATTTAATCTGCAATATAAAAGGATGAATTGCTTTACAATGTGAGTCACTACAGTTTCACTGATTCAACAAATATTTGTTATGCTCCTACTGTGTGCCAGGCATCTTTCTAGCCACAAGGAAATCAGCAGTGAATAAAACTCCAGCTCAAAGGGGTCTACATTCCAATGGAGCATCTCTCACCATGGAGCTCCTTATCCTGTGTCCTCTCCTGAAAGCAGGAGCAGCATCAGCACCCTCCTCACTACCTCACCTAGCAATATGCATATGACATCTTAACAAGAGGACTGAACATTGAAAGGACGGCTTCACAGGAACACAGCTGCTCTATAAATGGAGTGTATATTTAAATTGTCTTTATATTTTATGGAACATGTTTTATTTGCATTATGTCACTTGGGTGGGGGACAGTGGCAGTGCCCCAAGGCCATCTCATAGAAGCATGCCAGCTGAGTACAAACACTGCATTCACTAAGCAAACCCAGATGCATGGCAGCTGCCTTGTTACTCCCCAGTCAGACCCCTAACACATTTTTTTAACTTATTGTCAAAAGAAAAACTTTTGACAAATTAAATTTAACAGAACTTATTTTAGCAAAGAACAATTCATTAATCAGGCAGCACTCAGAACCAGAAGAGGTTCAGAGAGCTCCCTTTGTAATGTGGGCAGTGAGTACTTTAGAACAGGGAAGTAACTTAAAAAAATAGCTTGATTAATTACAGCTAGGCATTTGCTTTATTTGGACGTGGTCTGGTCAGCTGTCAACCTATGATAGGCTGAAGTTCAGCTGCTTGTGACTCGCTGAAACCCAGCTATCTGTTAGAAAAAGTATAGTAGTTAGATTTTAGTACCTACTAAGTTAGGTCACAGATCATTACATAGAAACTCAATGTACAAAGACAGGGTCCAGGGCCAGGCACAGTGGCTCATGCCTGTAATCCCAGCACTTTGGAAGGCCAATGTGGGCGGATCGCTTGAGGTCAGGAGTTAGAGACCAGCCTGGCCAACATAGCAAAACCCTGTCTCTACTAACAATACAAAAATTAGCCAAGCATGGTGGCACGCACCTGTAATTCCATAAAACAAAAATTAGCTGGGCATGGTGGTGTGCACCTGTAGTCTTGGCTACTTGGGAGGCTGAAGCGCGAGAATCGTTTGAACTCGGGAGACGGAGTTTGCAGTGAGCTGAGATCACGCCACTGCATACTACAGCCTGGGTGATGGAGTGAGACTCCGTCTCAAAAAAAAAAAGAAGAAAAAAAAAAGACAGGCTCTAGGCCAAACTTAATTTAACACTATCAAATTAGAAAATATATTTTTGCCTATGATACTAGTCACAACCAGAGATATTAGGAGAGATGAGCACTCCTTATGTATTGCTGCTAGCACTGAAAATTGTTAGAACTACTAAAAATCAATCTGACAATATATTTAAAAACCTTGAAAAATATTTATACATACGGATTTAGTAGTTCTGAAGACATCTATACTACAAAATAATCTTAAAGATTTATGCACAAAGATTTTCATTTTAGCATAATTTACAATAGCAAACAAATTGAATCCACAAACATTCAACAGAGAATTATGTTATATTGGTATGATGTAAAAGTAGGCAGTCATTAATAATGATGTCACAGGCCGGGTGCGGTGGCTCATGCCTTGTAATCCAAGCGCTTTGGGAAGCCGAGGCAGGTGGATCACCTGAGGTCAGGAGTTCAAGACCAGCCTGGCCAACACAGTGAAACCCTGTCTCTACTAAAAATAAAAAAATTAGCCGGGCATGGTGGCCCACACCTGTAGTCCCAGCTACTCAGGAGGCCGAGGCAGAAGAGTTGCTTGAACCCAGGATGCAGAGGTTGCAGTGAGCCGAGATCATGCCACTGCACTCCAGCCTCGGCAGCAGAGTGAGATTCTGTCTCAAAAAAAAAAAAAAAGTCACAAATAATTTTTTGTGACATGGGGGAAAATATGTATCAAAAGTAGAACGCAAAATCTTATACATAATAAATTCATATCTATTTATTTAAAAAAAAAAAAAAAAAAGGTAAAAAAAAAACTAGAAGGAAATTACCAAAACATTGAAAGTAGTTAACTGTTGCTGGCCCCTAACCCATTCTATCTGGGAATTCTGAGGTAGTCATGGCCAGGGGGTATGTCATGGGCCATGTATGAGTTGTCATGGCCAGATGCTCCAGGGTGGAGCATCTCTGGGTGTTCTTCAGCAGAATGCTGCCCCCTAGCGGGCGGCCCACATCCTGGGCAGCTCAGGAGTCACTGGATTTCCTCGCGCTCCCGCGCCACCACTCTACTGTCACCCAGCGCGGCCCAAGTCAGCCCTGCCACCAACGCCCGCCGCGGTCGAGAAAAGGCACCCCTTAGCATTTATGGCTCTATTAATTTTCCAAAGGGTGGCCCGATTCTTTTAATTTCACTAGAGCCCTTTCTCTTCAATGACTTTTAAAATCTTCCCCCCGGGGCAAAGTTGAAGGACATAGAATACTACCCACTCATTCCACCTTAAAAGCATCTTCTGGAGCACCTTCAACTGGTACCCAGCATCTTGATCCTTCCCTACCTCAGGGTTAAGTGCTCCCCCACCAGAGCAGTTAATGCCAAGAGAGACTGTCCACAACGTCATTCTCCACCTTTCTCAGTCAATTGTGTCCTCACCACTGATCTCAAATTTTTGGTCACTGTTCCTCCCAGAAGACCCACAATATTTCATCCTTGTATCCCGCAATTCTTACCATGGGTGATAACAGTCAGCTTCCCTAGGGAACACTTACTGTAAATAGGCCAGATATGTGGAAAGATCTTAAGTTATTAATACCAATAAATAAAATAAATCACAGCAAAAGAAAAATTGGTCAATTAATAAATAACTGCTGTGTTGAAACACACACATACTCACCGCCCTTTCTGTAATAAAAAACAACTAAAAACATAAAAGTGAATGTCATGTGTCTGTTTTAAGGTGACGAAGCTAATACCATTGACAGAGAAAGCACTTTAAGGACCAAAATAGAAGGGAAGAAGCTCATCAAACAATCCCAGCTGAAGTGCTGTGGGCGAGGAACCTTCAGGTCCTGCCATGGAGGCAGGCCTCAGGCACAGACATTCTCATATGTGTGCGTAACAGAAAGGAGATAACTGCATTTCTCAGCACTCCTTCCAAGGAGCAGAATGAGCAATGGAAAGAACACTCCGAGAAGCTGGTTGGGCGGAGGTATGGGCAGGTGGTTGAGGCACACTGCTGAGGATAACAACAGATGCTCAAGTGACACAGGATAGGGTCCAGCTATGCTCTAAGGAGACAAGCTGTTGTTTAACTGGATGGAGGGCACATTTAGGGCCAGAGTATGACTGCTCAGAACTGTAGAGCGAGGAGGCTAAGATTACAAGGAGGAAGGCCAGGGAAGGAGGAGACACTGGGAGGAGTGCAGGAGAAAAGGGGAAAGGCCCAGGGTCTGGCAGGTAGAGACTTGAAGGAGAGCAGAAGTATCTAATGGAGATTAGCTCTTCCGCCTAGGATGTAGAAAACTGGGAAGAGCATTGTTCCAACCTTAATGACAAGAGAAAAATGGATAATCTACAAAATTCTTGACTTTTCTTGAGTCTATCAGGAGCTGAGGTTGCAATGCAACTGAACAGCCTGAAATCTAAGGAAAGATGGGAGCCTCCAGAGAGAGATGGGTGCAAGCATGAGCTCCCCTGTGGCAGAGCAAAGGAGGAAGAAACTCAAGCACCACAGAAGTGGGGTGTCAGGTCATTGAGCTACTTACAGAGAAGCTAAATGGTTGTGAGGCTTGTTTCTGTGCTTTATTGGGGTGGTTCTAGAGCAGTGTTCTAAATTGGGTGTGATTTTGTCCCCACCCCAACCCTGGGGATATTGTCAATTTCTGGAGATATTTTTGGTTGTCACAATTAGGAGCATGCTACTGGTATCTAATGGATAGAAGTCAGTGATGCTGTTAAACATTCTACAACGCACAGGAAAGCCCTCTACAACAAATAATTATTCAAGCACACACACACACACAAATATAAATAGTACCAAGGTTGAGAAACCCTGATCTAGAGTACCTTCGCCCAGTTAGTTTTACTCTACCTTCACCCAGGCCAGTTTTACTCTATGTAATGGACTGAATGGTTGTGTCCTCCCAAAATTTACGTGTTGACATCTTAACTCCCAAAGTGATGGTGTTAGGAAGTGGGGCTTTGGGGACATAATTAGGCTATGAAGGTGGAGCCCTGATGAATGGGATTAGTGCCCTTATAAAAGGGACCCCAGAGAGCTATTTTGCTGTCTTTCTGCAATATGAGGATACAAGAAGTTAGCTGTCTGCAGCCAGGATGGGCCCTCAGTGGAACCCAACCATGCTGACACCCTGATCTCAGACTTCCACCCTCCAGAACTATGAGAAATAAATTTCTATTGCTTATAAGCCACAATTTCTATTGTTTATATCCCAGCTTGTGACACTTTGTTATAGCAGCCAAAACTAAGATATCTTACTACTAAGATCTCTACTAAATGCTCCAAACATGCAAGAATGTCTCTCCACACTCCACTCTGGCTAGTTGAAACTTGCACATCTTCCAATCTGATGAGATGTGAGCTCTGGAAATTGTTCACCTTATGGCTTCCCGGTAGCTGTGTTGCTAAAAGCTGTTCACCTGGCTTAGCGGAGTCTTATCCCACACACGCACAGCTTACTGTTTTGCCAAAATTCAAGGAAACCCCATGCAGATTGCTGGAGCTCCTTCTCTGCATACCTCCCTTCTCTCCAGTACTCTGTCCACAAATTCCAGCTGCCTCAGCCTAGCGGACTTCCAATCTCAACACATCAACTAAATGAGGACTCCCAACTCTGTTAGGTTCCCCTCTCCTGTGCTTGCTCTGAAAAGTGCCTCCAGGCAGAAAGCCTGAGTGATCAAAGGGTTCTCCACGCGTCTCTCCCATTTCTGCATATCTTACAAGCCAAGGCACTAACCACCTCTGTTCCTATCTTTTCAAGAATGTTTGTACAGTAAACAGCTGTGAAAGATAGAGATTATGTCTCCCTGTGGAGGAAAGGGTAGGTTTGTGTATTGTCCACTGCTAGAAAGATATTGTCTTCCCCCAGGACAAAGTTCAAGTAGGCAAAGTGCCCATTTTGAATGCTCGTGGTTCCCTAAGCTCAGGGTTCCTCTTCTGTAATGCAGCCCTCTACATGGGCACATGCTACTCAGACTTCTTCATTACTCACAGAAACAGCAGTGGCCAAAGTACAAACATTTGCCCTGGTTCTTTGAGTCTCAGGAAGTTGCACAGGAACCAGGGCAAATGTTTGTACTCCGGCCGCTGCTGATGCTGTGAATAATAAAGCCCTTTGTCTCTGACCTAGAAGTCTTTTGTCTTCTGCCAGCATCCGTGAAATGGTAGCAAGCTAACTTGTTAACTTACAAATACAGTAAATTTCAGACTCCTTCACAATTCTTGACATACCTACTATGTGTGAGGCTCTGATTGTAAGAGGGGTACCCTACAAAACATAGATTATAAACTGCTCTTCTGCAGACAACAATCTAGTATGAGATAAAGATTTTAAAAGACAAACATATCATTTTTAAGTGGCAGCAAGTATCAAGAAAGAAATTAGGAAATTGCAACAGAGAATGACATGGGGGACAATTTTAGATTAAGTAGTTAGAGGAGGCTTCTCTGGACAGGAGACACTTAAACTGAGTCTTAGAGATAAGAACAAGCAGACCTATGGCAAGCAAAGGCAAGAGCCTCCCAGGCAGAAGGAATCACATCTACAAAGGTTCAGAAGCAGCAAAGAGTTTGGCACATTTTGAGGAATTAAGAAATCAATATGATTAAAGCATAGTGACCATGTGGGTGCTAGGTAAGCATGGAGTTAATAGGCAAGGTCTAAATCAGGGACCTCAATCCTGGCTGTACTTTAGAATCTACCAAGGAATATATCAAAAATATCAGTGCCCCAGGTCCATCCGAGAGCAATTAAATCAGAATGTTTAGGTGTGAAACTCAACCTCTGATAATCTTTGAAATAGTCCTAGGTGATTCTAATATGCAGCAAGGGTTGAAGACCACGGATCTTGAGGCTGCCAGAGCCTCGTAGGAGTCTGAGTTTTATTGAGGAGTTCAGATTTGAGTTAAAGTGTAATAAAAAGCCATTGAGGCCAGGTGCAGGTGGCTTATGCCTGTAATCCCAGCACTCTGGGAGCCTGAGGCAGGTGGATCACCCAAGGTCAGGAGTTCAAGACCAGCCTGACCAAACATAGTGAAACCCTATCTCTACTAAAAATACAAAATTAGCCAGGTGTGGTGGTGCATGCCTGTAATCCCAGCTACTTGGGAGGCTAAGGCAGGAGAATCACTTCAACTCAGGAGGCAGAGGTTGCAGTTAGCTGAGATCGCGCCATTGCACTCCAGCCTGGGCAACAAAAGCGAAACTCCATCTCGAAAAAAAAAAAAAGCCATTGAAGGGATTTAAGCACAGAAGAGATACCATGTTTTAAAAGGATCTCTCTTGGCTGCTGTGAGAAGGATGGATTGGAGGAGTTCTGTGGTGGAAGCAAAGAGATGAGCTGGGAAGTTAATCAACTTGTCTAGACAACAGGTGAAAATGGAGGCTTGGACTAGGGTGTGGCTATAAGAAGAATACTAGGAAACATGATTGGATGAGTAGAGCGGAGCCAGATCACAAATACTCTACAATATCAGATTGAGGAAATTAGGCTTTGTCCTGCGGGTATCAGGAGAAGTGGGATATTTAAGTATCACGAGTTGGGATTACATCCAGATGCAAGTCATAGAAAACAACTTGCAGTGGCTTAAACAAAGGTTTATTTTTCTTACATAAACAAGGAATCTAGAAGTAGTATCATTTGTTCAGTTGCTCAAGGTCAAGAGCAGCATCTTGGTTATTCCCTGATGGTTGCAAAATGGCTGCTGCAGCTCCTCTGTAAACAAATTCATGGCAGTAAGGAAGGAGAACAGGTGGCACCAGCCACCTCATCAGATTGGAAGATATACAAGTTTCTTTTAACAGGCATTGGCACATGTTTCTAGAGACCACATCCACCATTTTCACTGGTTGTAACTATGACTCCCTTTCCTAAAGGGAGAGCAGACAAGAAAAGATTTAGCTTTTTCTAGACACTATCATGCAGGGAAGCAAAAACTGCTAGAATTCTGAGCTGATGAATAACATCCTCAAAGAGGTGTTTTAGGAGGGTACAGCCCAGGGGACAATAGAAAAAGTGGAAAGAGAAGAACTAGCAAACCAAGCACATTAAGAGGCAATTGATGAAGTAAATAGGATGAAGATCTGAATTGAAATGAAGACAGCAGAAATTAAAAAGGGCTTAGCTGAAGGGATGTGTCTACTCACAGCTATAGGCCTAGAGATGTTTTTCTGTGCTTTCTTGTAAATGTGTATAACTTTTGCAAAGATAGAGAAATGTATATAAGTAGATGTGCATTTCTGTAAATTCATGTTCCTCTGTGTCCATAACTGTGTCATTTATTTAGCAAATATTTATTGAGCCCCTCCCTTTGTACAAGGCAGCATGCCAGGCACTATGGGGGAACACTAACATCGGTCAACCACAAATTCTACCCTCAAGGAGATTACAGACCAGAAAAGGAGAAAACACGCATCCCCAAAGAGCCAAAATGCAAGTTAGTAAAATGACAAATATCATAAAGTTATGAAAGTTCAGAAGAGAAAGTCATTCCCTTAGCTGGTAGAAGGTTCATCTGAGTTGCTACAGGCTTGCACCTGCAGAAGGTGGCATCTGAGCTAGGTCTTCTTTTGTTTTGTTTTATTTTGTTTTTGAGAAGGAGTCTTGCTCTGTTGTCCAGACTGGAGTGCAATGGCGTAATCTCAGCTCACTGCAACCTCCGCCTCCCAGGTTCAAGTGATTTTCTCCTGCTTCAGCCTCCAGAGTAGCTGGGATTACAGGTCCCCGCCACCAGGCCCAGCTAATTTTTGTATTTTTAGTGGAGACAGGGTTTCACCATGTTGGTCAGGCCGATCTTGAGCTCCTGACCTCAGATGATCCACCCGCCTCGGCCTCCCAAAGTGCTGGGATTACAGGTGTGAGCTACCGCGCCCAGCCTGAGCTAGGTCTTAAAGAATTAATAGGCCAGGTGCAGTGGCTCATGCCTGTAATCCCAGCATTTTAGGAGCCCGAGACAGGCAGATGGCTTGAGTCCAGGAGTTTGAGACCAGCCTGGGCAACATGGTGAAACTCCATGTCTACGAAAAAAAAATTAGCCAGGCATGCTGGCATGCACCTGTGGTCCCAGCTACTCAAGAGGCTGAGATGGGAGGATTACTTGAGCCTGGGAGGCAGAGATTGCAGTGAGCCTTGATCGCACCACTGCACTCCAGTCTGGGCGACAGAGTGAGACCCTGTCTCAAAATAAATAACTAAATAAAAATAAAAAGAATTAATAGAATGGGGGGGAGGAATGTAGGAAGGGGGCAAGTGACAACACAGCATTCTTGTCTAATTGGCTAGAAAGGGTGGTGAAAAATAAGCCTGGAAGAAGTAGATCCAAAGAACTGCATCTTCTTTTACAGACTAGCAAGTATTTACTGGACTCCTACTAAGGTGGAGGTACTATGCTGGAGCCTACATTTCTACATTTGTGTTTCTATGTTTTCACATATGTGTGCCTGTTTGTGAACAAGTATATGTTTTACTCTGTGTACACAGCTGTGTCTCCCTTTGTATGTTTTAGTTGGCATCTTAATGTGTACATTTACACAAAACTTTGTGTGTATGTGCCTACATATGCCCAGCAGGTGGCGCCCAAAATCATAACTAGCAAGGAAAATTTTACCATTGTATTCCCATACCCAGCACCATCTCTAACAAATTGAAGATAATAAATATGTATAGAATGAGTTGATGAAATGCTAACATGCCCCATGGAAGAAATGGGGGAAGGAGAGAAGTTCAGAGAGGCTGACCCATCAGCAAAGACCCCCACAAAGGGTCTGTTGGATTCATGGTCACACTCATAGAAGTCACAGAGGGGTCAGCAGGGGGATGTATGATAAAACAATAAAACGTATTGTTTGCTATCACCCCTAAGGCTTCTCCTCCTCATAATGGGGCATCTAACCCTGATCCTTTCCTTCAGCTCACTTTTATTTAGTGCCTAGTGAGTACTAGGACCTATGGGAAACACCACCTCTGCCCTGTAGGAGTTTACAATCTACGAAGAGAAATAAAGCTTATTAAGAAAATAATAATAACAGAGCTGGGCACAGTGGCTCACACCTGTAATCCCAGCACTTTGGGAGGCCAAGGAAGGAGGATCACTTGAGCTTAGGAGTTCAAGGCCGGCCTGGGCAAATGGCAAAATCCCATCTCTATAAAAAATTTAAAAATTAGCTGGGTGTGGTGGCACACGCCTGTAGTCCCAGCTACTAGGGAGGCTGAGGTGGGGGGATCACTTGAGCGTGGGAGGTAGAGGCTGCAGTGAGCCATGAGCGTGCCACTGCACCCCAGCCTGGGCAACAGAGTGAGACCCTGTCTCAAATAAATAAATAACAACCAATACAACCCTCTCTGCCTACTGCTGAGGAAGTTCCATCGCACCCCGTATGAGAAGTGCTCTGTTAAGGACAGAGCCATGGAGCCAGAGGAGGGTCCAATTGATCTTCTTAAGGACCTTTTGATCCAGAGGTCTCTGCCCAGTGCACATCTGGCCCTGGCACCTCCTCCCTAACCCTTTCCCACCCTGGCTCCTCCTCCCTAACCCTTCCCCACCCTGACTGCTTCCTAACCCCTCCCCACCCTGGCACCCTTCCATAGCCTGTCCAGGAGAAAGAAGGCCTCTGATTGCCCACAGTGACTCCTGCTCTGGTCATTTCACACAAGAACATAGATAGCACCATCAATATTCTCTTTGCTCACTTCACAGGGGAACTGAAACTTAGTTTTGTAGGAAAAACCTTGAACGAACAAAGATCTAGTAAATGGGACCAATTTCAGGTCGCTGCGCACTATGAGGGCTGGCAATGCCAAACATGCTAAAAGGCTGAGTTGTCATCATGGCTGGTTCTGGCTGCTCAGTCCTCCCCATTGCCTCGGTCCTTTCTCCGCGCTTCCAGCAGCACTTGGTGACGGATATATGATGCCACTGCCGGTCAAGGCTTCCCCATGAACCTCTGAGGAAATCCACATACCTCAGTCTGGCACTCAGGGCTCTCTGCAAAGTGGACCTCACCTCCTGCTCCAGCCACTTCTCCCATTATTCCTCTGTACCCACCTGCACCCCACACTCTCAGCTCCCCAGATATACTCACACTTTCTCTCCCCTGCACCTTTGCTGAGGCGGCTCCTTTTCCCTGGAAGGTCCTCCTTTCCCATCTCCACCTGACAAATGACCACCGCCTTTCAAGGCCCACTTCAAATGCCACCTCCTTCCTCATGCCTTTCATGCTCCACCCCAACCCAGTGTAGCCTCTCCCTCCTCTCTTGGCAATTGTCATCCTCAGCTTCATTATTTTAATGTTTATTATTCAAATACCAGATCCTTCTATTAGACGCTAAGCACTGCAAGGGAAAAATCTGTTTCTTATTCACCCAGCATCCAGCAACCCATCTGACATGGAGTAGATGCTCAAAACATGCAGAGCAGCCAGGCGCAGTGGCTCACGCCTGTAATCCCAGCACTTTGGGAGTCCAAAGCCAGCGGACCACCTGAGGTCAGGAGTTTGAGACCAGCCTGGCCAACATAGTGAAACCCTATCTTTACTGAAAATAAAAAAAAATTAGCCAGGCATAGTGGTGGGCACCTGTAATCCCAGCCACTCAGGAGGCTGAGGCAGGAGAATCGCATGAACCTGGGAGGCAGAGGTTACAGGGAGCTGAGATCGCGCCACTTCACTCCAGCCTGGGTGACAGAATGAGACTCCATCTCAAAAAACAAAAAACAAAAACAACTTTCAGAGGTGCTACAGCTAAGTCTGCTGTGAATGTGGACAGCTGTACTTCAATGCTACAAGACACAGGAGCAATGAACCGTGAGCTTCAAAGGGTCCACACACTGATGCTCTTTCCATGACAAGATAAAAATAAGGCCACACTGAGACCTACCAGGTGCCAAGTACCTCCTGGCCCTAACTCCCCCCACCCCCACCAGGCTCCTGGCCTCCTCAATCCTCAAGGACTGACCACCTAGAAAATCTCTCTCCTTCCCTTCCCTCTCCTCTGCCATGCCTTTCCTTCCCCTTCTCTTCTTTCCTCTGCTGTTCCTTAAAGCCCTGGGGCTTCTGCCCCCAGAACCCTGAGGGGAAAGTCAAAGGGCTGAGGGAGCCCACCCGCTTCTGAGCAGTGCAATGAGGAAGTGATGATCAGAGGTCACTGTCTTGGTCAGTTCCTGTTTCTGAAGCAAAGATGCCAAAATCTGTTCCTTTTTCTTGTGAAAAAATATTGGGGTTTTGACTTTCAAAATTCCCGGAACCAATGCTGTCACTGTGAGTTGGCTGCGTTTCTGTCTGCCTGTGTCTGTGTGAAAGGTCTGCCAGGGCCTCCTAGGCCTGCTCCTTGTGGAGGAGTGTCCAGAGGCAATGTTGGAAGTGACATCTCATTCCCTGACGCTCCTGAGTCCCACAGACGCCCATCAGGCCGGTCTGAGGAGGGGCAAGTGCATCAGGACAGACCTGGCTCGGGTCTCCTATTTCCTCCCAGGGCCTGGCAGAGGACTTGCTCTGAAGGGAGCCCCTCCCCAGGCCTAGATCAGGCTACTTGGAAGTCCCTGAAGTGGTGGAAACTTCAGCAGGCCACTCGGGCTCAGGTGATGTGGGCTAAGTTGGGAAACTCCATCTCTGTTCTGCTTCCGAGCTTGAAGCCATCCTACCCTGGAGGCAGGCAGACAAAGCCACCACCATGCTTGCCCCCAGCCTTGGGCCAGGGCATACCTCCCAAGCCCTGGTTTTATTTGAAATGGCTGGACAACACCACTTCATGTAGAGATCATGGATCCATCCACCTTGTGGAGCCCTAAGCTGAGAAATGAGGTACACCAGCATGGGGAGCAGAGGTGGGGGGATGGTGGGCTACAGAAACAGGTGCAAAGCAACTAAGCCAAACTCAGAGCCTCAAGCCAGGGTAAGAGAGAGAGAGTGGGGGTTGGCATTGAAGTTAGTATCAAGGTGTGCAGTTCAGAGTGGTCTTGGGGAAGCGGTGGTGCTAGACCCTCTGGACTGGGCCCACCTCGGAATGGCAGGTAAGAAAGGGCAGGGCAGGGTCTGGGTAGCAAGTTCTCTGTGTATGCAGGAAGCAAAGATGAGAGCTTTCTAGCAAGTTTCACATCTGGCCTGTGTTTCCTCTGGTCTCTGCTTTCATTTATACTGTCCCCACCCAATTCCTTCCTCTTTCTCTCATTCATTCAACAAACAGGTGGTGCATTTACTGTAAGGCAAGCACAATTCTAGACAGCAGGTTTGGATGTGTATCCCCTCTAAATCTCATAATGAATCGTAATCCCCATTGTTGGAGGTGGGAAGGTGTCTTGGTCATGGGGGTGGGTCCTGCATGGCTTGGTGCTCTCCTCACCATAGTGAGTTCTCACGAGATCTGGTCATTTAAAAGTATGTGGCACCTCTCCCCCCATGCTCTCTCTTGCTCCTCCTCTGGCCATGTGAGATGACAGCTTCCTCCTTTGCCCTCCACCATGATTGAAAGCTCCCTGAGGCTTCACCAGAAGCTGAGCAGATGACAGCACCATGCTTCCTGTAAAGCCTGCAGAAACATGAGCCAATTAAACCTCTCTTCTTTATAAATTGCTTAGTCTCGGGTATTTCCTTATAGCAACGGGAAACTGGCCTAAGACAGTAGGTCCACAAAGTTAATAAAAGATTTAGCCAATCTCTGCCCTTATAGAGCTATTGTCAAGCTGGGGAGATAAGTTCACAAGCAAATATTCATGATCCAGTGTGAAAAGTGCGATCACGTGGCCGTGGAAGCAGATGGAAGGAGTAGAAGTTGCGGGGATCAAGGAATAATTCATAGAGAATAGACGCCATTGGAGCTGGAAACCAGAGAAGGGCAGGAGGGTGTCAGTACAGCAGTCTGCAGCGGGAAGGGTTTAGGGGTGCAGGGCAGATGGTAACGCCTCTCAAACGCCACTCTTGACTGGATCTGACATCCTAGTGGAGACTGATGGAGGAAAGAGATCATGGATCCATCAATCAGTCCCTGTTCCAAGTGCCAGGGGCCACCTTCCTAGCAGATGTTATAGGGGACCCAATCTAAGACCCTCAATTCACCTTCCCCTCTTCCACTTCCCCAGCCAAATCATGTTTTTGCTTGTGTCCGGGGGAAGCTGGGAGCTTTCTCAAGCTAACCCAACCCCCAGGTTTTCCATCTTCTCATGCCTCCACTCCCCAGTATAGTGTAAAGCGGCCTCCTCACTCAGGCCCAGGTCAAGACTGACCTCAGTGCCACCCTCCCGGCTCTGCCTCTAAACTTCACCCACCACAATGCAGCCAACAATCTCACAAGGGGCCGGCCTCTCTCTCAGGGCAAGCCTCATCCCCTAGAAGCCGACTCCGCCTGGCCCACCATGCCTGCAGCAGAAAGGCCTGAGGCTGGGCCTAGAACACTGAGGACGTCAGTGGCCAGGACTTTCCAAAGCTGAAACTGGGACCTGCGGAGGCCTCACTGTCCGGAGCAGCGTCCAGGTCCTCAGCATCCTCTTCGCTGGGCCCCACGCGTGTCGTGCGCCACCCCAGAAGGCAGGGCCTGATTCGGATCAGCAGGGGCTGCAGGGCCGCTCTGCAGGTGGGTGACTCAGGCCCCTCTTGAACCCTTAGGCCTGAGGCAGAGACTGGGCAGGAGGCTGGGCGTGGCCGGGGAGCCCCTTCACGTGCTCCCCTTCTCGAGGGTTCACGGGGCTCTGGAGGCCCAGATGCTGGCAAAGTGGCGGGAGCGCTCCAGGGACGAGGACTCAGGTCGGGGCGCCCCCGCCAGCGCCAGGATCCCCGCTCACCCTCCGCCGCGCCCCGCCCCCGCCCCGACACACTGGGGGAGCCCCGCCCTCCCCGAGGCCCGCGCGGCGCCGCAGGAGGAATCCCAGCCATTTCCTCCACGCTGCGCGGTATGTGGCCTGCCCGCCGCCAACCGCAGCGCGAGCCGGTCCCCAGCCGCGCCTGGCAGCTGCCCCGGCTCCGCCGTGCTGCTCGGGATTCCGGGAAGGCCGCCCCCTCGTCCCGGGCCACCAGACCGGCCTTTCCAGCGGCTCCAGGCCCGTGCAGTCCCGCCGGACGCCGGCTACACCACGCGCCGCTGCTGGAACCTCTCCCAGCCCCGCGTGGCCGCCCCCGGCCCAGGCACCCCCTCCCCGGAACGCCCCCGACGGCCCCTCGCGTCCGAGCTGGAAACTGAAGTTGACGCTTGCTCCGTCACCCTGGGGCAAATTGCTTTGCCTAAGCCTCAGTTTCTCCATCTGTGAAATGGGGACGTTGGCAGGAGTGCCTGTCTCGTTGTGCTGCCCGAGGGGTGAATGAGAAAAGGAAAGCGTTGGACTACTGTCAACGCGATTTTCATTTCCCTAGGTACCACGAGGGTCCTGGCTTTTCGCACAGGATCTTAGCACCCACCCTGCCCCTCGCCTCTCCTCCAGCCCAGTTGCCGGTGGAGCAAGCAGGCCGGGCTTTGCGAGTGGGCAGAGGAGAGGGCTGGGGCCTGCCCAAGACTGCGCCCTGCACAGATTAAACAATGCCTGAAGGTCCCACGACACAGCCTTCCTCGAGATTCACCGTTGCCCTCTCCTCAATCACTAGGTTCTTGAAAGACCCAAAGGACAGTTATTTACATTTTTTTTAAATGATGTCATCGCAGTCTGAGAGCAGCCAGACACGTAGTGATCAGGGAAAGTCGAAAGTGCAGATGGGTTCGCAAACGTGGACTCTCTAGTTTTGGGTCTGCAGATGGGGCCGGCCACCACGTGCTCTCTGAGTTCTCTTTCCAAGTACAGATCCCTCCGGAGACGGAACATTGTTCCGCCTTTAATTCTTCCCAGGAGCTGCGGAGGAAGGCGTGAGAACCGGAGCCCGGGGTGACTTGCGGGGGAGGGGATCGCTTCCCCGTCGCCCACACCTGCCTAACCCACGCCCACGGCGGCCGCAAAGGCGACACCGCGTGAATCTGGAAAGCCCCGAGTTTCAACAGGCCCAACCATCGGCGGCTTTGCAGGCGCAGCACCAAGTGCTGCTCTGCCTGTGTTCCCCCAGACAGCCCCTGGTTGTGATTTGTCGTTTCCAGTCCAGCTAGAGTCCCAAGGCCAAGAACTAGACCCTTGCAGCGAGATCCGCGCCCCCCCCCACCCCACCCCGCCTCATTCTCCACAGGCGCCACAGCCACAGGCCGCATAAATAAATCCAGGTGGAGGCAGACCCAGAAACCCAGGTGCTATAAATATCCCAGCCCAGCCGGGAGACTGACCTCCCAGGCAGCCCCTCGCCCCCACCCGCCCTAGACCAGCACTTCCGGCCACCACAGCGCTGAGGGCGGATCTCCCCGCGGTGGGAGGAGCGGGCTCCACCAGGATGCAGGCCTGGCTTCCCTTTCTTTCTTCTCCTGGGAGCCTCTGGCGGCCCAACCTGAGGGCTTGCCCTCTTCTCTGGAACCACCTCCCTAACTCTCAATCGCATACCTCTCCCTCCCTCCCCCTGGTATTTTTAGAGAGGCCTTCTCTCAGGGACCCCATACTGCGACCAGACTTCAAGAAATGCTGACTTCTCTTTCTAGATGAATAAGCATAGTTGGAAGGCAACAACCTCAATCAGAGTTTACAATCTAAAATTTGATTCTAAACTTTTTCTTTTTGAAACAGTCTTGCTCTGTCACCCAGGCTGGAGTGCAGTGGCGTGATCATGGCTCACTGCAGCTTTGACCTCCCAGGTTCAAGCGATCCTCCCATCTCAGCCTCCCTAGTAGTTGGGACTACAGGCGCTGTGCCACCATGCCCGCCTGGCTAATTTTGTGTTTGTTTGTTTGTTTGTTTTTGTTTTTGTTTTTTTTTTTGAGACGGGGTTTCACTATGTTGCCCAGGCTGGTCTCGAACTCCTGGGCTCAAGCGATCTGCCCACCTCAGCCTCCAAACATGCTGGGATTACAGGTTTGAGCCACTCTGTCCAGCCCTTGATTCTACATTTTTAATAGCATTTTTTATGTGATTAAAACACAGGCTGGAGGCAGAGTAGACCTAAAAGAGGGGAAAGAAGAAGCTGAAGGCATATGCAAAGAAGAGATAGAGCCACACTAGAAAAGAAAGCTGCTCTACCAGAAGGCTGGTACCTAGGAACTCAGTGGGACTTTCTGAGCCCAGTCTCCTGGGTCTGGGACTTGGTGTGGTGCAGTTCAATAAATCCCTATTGTGGGGGGGGGGCGGGGTAGAAAAGATGTGAGATACCTTTCCTCACCCTTCATAAGGGTCATTGCTATAGCAAAAGACTGATTAACAAGAGAAAAGCATAGCAAATTTACCGAATCAAAGTTTTATGGGACACAGGAGCCTTCAGAAATGAAAACCCAGTGACCCAGGGAAAACTGTCTATTTTTATGCCTAGGTAGAAATACACACTGTCCATTCTTCGTTGAACCTAAGCATAAAAATAGACAAAAGGATGCGATCTAATGGTAACAGACTGAGGGGAGAAACCCAGCAAGGCCTGTCTGTTCAGATTCTTCTTGGCCTCTCTGAGCAGCATTCCTTCCTCCTGGGTGTGGGGCAGGGGCTTTCTGGAGCACGGGTCTTATAACTCACAGTCAGAGGTAGATCAGAGAATCTCTTCATGGCCAGTGCCTACACAGAAAGGCAGGGGGAACTTAGAGTAACAGTTCTAGATTTTATGGCTTGCTTTGGGGGAAAGGGATTCTAGTTATTATGACCTGCCATAGGGAAGAGGAATTCTAGTTTCTATGAATTCAGGGAGAAGAAGGGGTGGGAAATAGGGCAAGAGAAGTTCAGAGAGAGATTTTACTTCTGAGACTGCTTCTAAGGCCTTCCAATCTCCTTTAGTTCAAAGTACTCAGCACGCCAAGGCATTATACTTTGACTTATCATTTTCTGAGCCCCAGCAAAATTTAAAACATAGTGAGTGAGTCTTCTAAACATGAAGTCACACCCCATTTCTGATGTAGAAGCTTACACTTTAGGAACTGCTACGGAAGCACTTTGCAAGCGCCATCTCACTGAATACTACTTAGAAGGAACTATTAACTCCCCGTTTTACAGATTAAAAATCTGAGTTTAGAGAGACTAATTAACTTGCCCGAGGACACCCAGCTAATAGGGGAGAAGTTTGAACCCACGGATCTGATTCCAGAGGTCATGTGTTAAACCTGTGCTGTACAATAAACTCTGCCAGTCTCTCTGATCAGAGATGGAAAGGACTCTATTGCAGTCTTCAGCCATCCTTCACAGTGAGGAAGACCTTCCTGTTACACTCACCTGCCTTTAGTCGACCTGAGTGATTGCATTCACATTGAATTCGATGGCTTTCCTGAGGGACCCAGGCAACCTATACTGAGGAAGAAACTATCCATAGGAACCGGATTCCAAATGAACTAGATGCAAGTCACCAAGGCCAGAGTCAGTCCTGGGCCAGCCTTTCCAGTATGATTTCAGGACCACAGGGCAGCGCCACTGGCATTTTTGCCAAAAATCAACCATAAAAGAACCATTGTGCTTAACACCAAACACATTTAATCCAAAAGTGTGCTTCCATTTATGCATGTCACTGCTACCTCACCTTGGTCCATGGTCCAAGGTGACTCAAATATGTATTTTATCTGGTACACCTAGCGTTTTTTTAAAAACGAATTAATTACCAAAAATTTTAAATTGGAAGATTATACCGAAATATCTGGATTTGTAAACAGTTTCCCCAAAACTAAAAATCTGGCCACACTGACCTGTATTCTGCAGTCTACCACAGGCTCCACCATCCCATCCTGTCTCTTTCTCTCACCAACTGCTTGGCCCACCCCTCCTCTCACACCAAAATGCAAATATTCCCTAAACAGGTAACTATTGAATCTAACTAGTCACATCGCAGCATGGAGATCTTATTCTGAGAGCTGGTTAAGGGAAATTAATTGAGGTAAATTACGGAGAGAAAGCATTGCTCCGCCAGACAGCGTCAGGCCATGGCCAGAGCACAGCAGAAAAGATTTCTACAGTTCTATAAAACCACAAGACGAGAAGTTGGTGTTTAAACAGCTGTTATGAAACTAGGGTGTGTGACAGAAACATCACCTGTTTCCCAAGAGCTCATCCTCTCACTTAATTCAGCAAACACCAAGCTTTTCTTAGCATCCTGGGCCCCCTTCCCTGCAACTCTTCTTTGGCAGTGCCTTGGGTGATAGTCAGAGGCAAAGTCTGGAGGTGATTAGATGGCTGCCGACTTAGGCTATAAGCGAGTCCAAAGGAATGGATCTGGCTTTTGATCAGGACAAAGCTACGTCCAGAGGAGAAGCTGAGTGAAGAGGAGGCACCAGTGATAAACTTGGGTTTGAGCAGCCAGGATGGAAGCACGATCTCATTCACCAAGATGGTGAGCAGCTGTGTTCTCTGAAACACAGACCACGTGAGCAAAAATTGTCTTCCCCCAATTTGGAGGCTCCTCCCGCCAAAGCAGTTTAATGGGCAGGCAGAGAGGAGGCAGAGTGAGGGAAGGTTTTATATGGAAATGTGGGAATGAATGAAAAGGCCTTACTTAAAAGGATCTATCTGATAGCCCTTGGGACAGCCTCAACCATCCCCAAATGCCTCTCTGGGGGGTGGGGAGGCATTCAGCTCTGTGGATATTTGAACTCCGACTGTTTTTGAAAGTCGCCCATGTGACAAATGTGTCAACAGAGCCCCGGATGTGCCCTCTGGGGTGGGGAGGAGGGTGGATGTGATCAAGTACATTTCAGGCTTTCAGAGAAACAGGAAATTCAGTAATCAGAGAGCAAAAAATCTATTCAATCTCTTTTAAAGCCAGTGAATAATGTAGCAGAGTCAGAATTGTCACAACCGCTGGGTGCAGCTTTGGAAAAGATGAAAGATGAGAGAATAGGAGAGGAGGAGGAGAGGCCCCTGCAGCTGGGATCACTCAGAGACACTCTCCTAACCTTCTCCTTCACCATCTGGTGGGAAGAAGGAGCCCCTGAAACTTCTCCTCGACCCCAACACTCACCGCCTCGCCACCATCATCTGCCTTGCATCCAAAGAAGCTCATCTCATCGTGCCTTTGCCCCTATTGACATCGGTCCTAAGAGCTGCTTGGTTCCCAGCTCACCTAATCTCAGCCCACGAATCCCCAGGAGGCTACGTATTTTCCCTATCCCGGGGCTTTCTTCCACCCTCCCCAACTCCTGAAACTCATCCTCCATGCCC
Organism: Homo sapiens; assembly: GCF_000001405.40. Lineage (NCBI taxonomy): Eukaryota > Metazoa > Chordata > Mammalia > Primates > Hominidae > Homo > Homo sapiens. Next base: position 42,106,703 of record NC_000002.12, read on the forward strand.
TCTGGAGTCCACGATCCATGATTAGCAAAATCTGTTTTATCCTCAATCTATTCTCTCAACATCTGCCTCACTTCTTTCCCTAAGGGGCACCTGATTGTCCCCTGAGCTCACTGCTTTTTCCAACACCTTCTCAAGCAGGGGCTATTTTGTTCTCTCACAGGCTTCTCACTGAGAGGTGACATAGGTGTCCTTCTTACTCCTCATGGTCACTTTCAGAAATATCTCCCTCCTCCTCTGCAAACCCTTGCACCCCACATTGAATTTTATATCTTCAGATTACATAAATCACTACTGTCTTATCCTGATGCCCAGAGGTCATTTTTCAATTATTTTAGGGCCTGGCTAACTGTTTCTCTAATATGTACTGTCTTAATGCTTGGTGATTACAATGTACGCGTAGATAACCCTTTCAACACCTGAGCCTCTCAGTGCCTTGAACTTCTTTCCTCCAATGATCTTTCCTCTACTCAACCCATAATTGTGATTACTTACAACTGCAACCTCTCCATAATCTCAGTTTCATGCATTCCACTCTCTGACTGCAACCTCCTATCTTTCCAGTTCATCTCACACATCCCAGCCATCCTTTGACCCCATCCGAGCCATACACTGTTGCCTACCCTGTGATGTTCCTACTCCCCTACTGACCGTGTCAATTTCATGGTTCAGCCGTTATCATCATTGCCCCTTCTGTACACCTTCAGCTCTTTGCTTCTCTTTTCCTTTGTCACATTCACCTAGCCTGAGGCAGACTTAGTCAAATCCAACTCTGCACCTACTTCATACCTCCACATCTGCTGCTGAACATGGCTGGAGAACAACACACAGCCACACTGCTTGATTCACTTTAAATTCATGATGATGAAACTCCATGGGCCCTTAATGCTGATCAGGTCATCTTCCCTGATGCATTCATTCACTTTTCCTCCTAGACAGCAGTTTCATACCTTCTTTTCTCTTCTCAAACCCTTAGCATTTCCTTCCCACCCTTACTTTCAGCTGATAATTGTATTCTTTCTCCACTGGGAAAATAGAAGCAACCAGGAAAGAACTCTACAGATTCCCACTACCACATTTATCCCCTGACCAGAAGTTGCATCTTCACACTTTCCACCTATTACCTGCCCATCAAAGCACATTCCTCGACTTGTGCACACAATCCTGCCCCTTTCACCTACTCAAGGACATTACTCCAGCAATGCTTCCCTTTCTCTCTTCCACCAAATTCTCTCTCTCTCTGTCTCTGTCTCTACTGGATCCTTTCCATCAGTACACAAGCATGCTATTATTTCTCATATCTTAAAAAACAACAAAGTCTTTTAATGACTACTTCCATCAGCAGTGTCTGCCCTATTTACTCCTCTTTAGAGCAAAAAAGAATCATTTATACTTGCTATGTCCAATTCCTCTCCTCCAGTTCTCTCTCAAATCAACTTCAAATCAGGCTTACGTCCCCATTAGCCTACAGAGATTGTTCCTGTCAAAGTTATCATGACTTTCATGTTACTAAATACAAGGGTCAATTCTCAGCTCTCATCTTATTGATTAATAGCATCTGATATAACTGACCACTTCCTCTTCCTTGATACAGTCTCTTCACTGAGGTTCACCCCAGGGCATCTTACTCGCTTGGTTTTTTCCTGGTACCTCACTCCTTCAAACCTTCTTCGTCTTTTTTCTTCATTCCTCCTCTTTTCCCTGACCCCTAAATGTTGAAATGCCCAGGGCTCAGACCTCAGTTCTCTGCTTTTCCTTATCCACCTCTTTCGATGGTCTCATACAAATATTAATACATGATTTCCAATACTATCAATATTCCCATGACCCCTACATTTATATCTCTAGCCCCAGATCTCTTCCCTCAACCCTGGACTCACGTATCCAACTGTCTGCTGCACATCTCCAAATTCAACATGTCCAAAACTGAACTCTTGATCTGCTCCCCCAAACTTGACCTACCCACAGCCTTCCCATCACAACTGATGGCAACTCTATTCTTCCAGTTGCTTAGGCCAGAAACTTAGAGTCATCCCTGTCACCTGTCGTCCTTTCACACACACATCAGATCTGGCATCTGGCAACTATTAATACGACCTTCAAAATACATCCAGAATCCAACCACTTCTTGCCTCCTTTATTGCCTCCATCTAGTTGAAGCCGCCATCATCTCTCACCTAGTAGATTCTCGCCTGAATCTACTCTTGCTCTCAACACAGCAGCCACAGTGATCCCTTTTGAATGCACCCGAGAGGCCAGGCACAGTGGCTGATGCCTGTAACCCCTGATGCCTGCACTTTGAGAGACCAAGGAGGGAGGATCCCTTGAGCCCAGGAATTCAAGACCAGCCTGGGCAACATGGCGAAACCTTGTCTCTATAAAAAATACAAAAATGATCCAGGTGTGGTGGCATGTGCCTGTAAAGCCAGCTGATCTGGAGGCTGAAGTGGGAGGATTGCTTGAGTCCAGGAAGCTGTGGTTGCAATAAGCTGAGATGGGGCCACTGAACTCCAGCCTGGGCTACAGAATGAGACCCTGTCTCAAAAAAAAAAAAAAAAAGTAGTTTAGATCATATCCCTTCTCTAATCAAAATTCTTCAGTATCGCTGCCCCCCATTTCTCTTAAGGTAACACTTCAATAACTCCCATTTCTCTCAAAACTAAAGTCCTAGGTTGGGCACAGTGACTCATGCCTGTAATCTCAGCCATTTGGGAGGCCAAGGAGGGAGGATCACTTTAGCCCAAGAGTTCAAGACCACCCTGACCCTATGAAAGAATCAAAAAATTAGCTGGGCATGGTGGTGCATGGCTGTAGTCCCAGCTTCTCAGGAGGCAGAGGTGGGAAGATATCTTGAGCCAGGGATGATCATGCCACTGCACTCCAGCCTGGGCAATAGAGAAAGACCCTGTCTAAAAAAAAAAAAAGCTAAAAAAAGAGTTTACAAAGCCAAAATTGTTCTACATTATCTGCCTACTGCACCTCTCTATCTTCTTCTCTGACACTCTTCCTCACTCATTTTAGTCTCCTTGTTGTTCCTTAAACACATTAGGCATGCACTTACCTTTGTGTCCTTGCTCTAGCTGTAACCTCTACCTGAATACACCTGCCCCAGATATCTACTTGATGAACTTTCTCATTCCTGCAATGTTCAAATCTCACCCTCTCAATGAGGCCCACCCTGACCACCCACCCTTCCCCCTACTCCCTGACACTCCTGATCACCCTTAACCTGTATAATCTTGTTCTTTTTTGTCCTCATGGACAAAAGTCTAACATACTTTGTAATTTATATATTTGTTATGTGTATTGCTGATTATCTTTCTTCCCCCTCCCTGCAGGGATCTTTATCTATTTTGTTCACAAACCTATCCTAAATGACCAGAACAGTGTCTGGCGCATCATAGGCAGATAATAAAAACTTTTTGAATGAGTGAAAAGAATCCAGTCAGAGTGAGTTATTTCTTCAGTCATGGGAAGTGGCTGGGACAAGGGCAAAGGCGAAAACAGAACTAGAAAGAGCAACTAGAACCGATAATAAATGCATGGTTAGGGAGTAAAGTTAGGCAGAGTTGAAATGAACAACCGAATCAGGTATGTATAATTAACCTGAGGGAGAGAGAGAGCGAGAGAGAGATGAGATGAGATTTCCCATATGGTAGGTAATACAGCGACTTTATTTAGCACATATAAGGTAGATAAAGGCCTGGGTGAGTGACACTGGCTTACCCAGTTCCCATCACAGACAGTTGCTTTTTAGCTTCTCTACCAGCCTTTAGTGAGCCAATGACACAGTTCAACAGAGAGGCACCGGAGAGAACAAAGTCTAAAGAAGAAGACCCCAACAGTGAGTTCTTTGAAAAAGAAACTGCTCTCTTCTCCTATTTCCCCCAAATGCCTTCTCAGTAGAAGATTCTGCAGTAGCAGATATTTTGGGCAGCCCCCAGGCCCATTTCATCGGAGCCCTGTGATCACTGGACGCAGATGAGTTAACAGTGCTGCTTGCCTGGCTCCCAGCATAGCACTGTAACACCGGCCTGCCTTCCTTTCTCACAGGGATTGCAGCCTCCAGGCTGACTGCCAACATATCTTTCTTCCAAGATGCCAATGCTGTGCAAGGAGCCTCTGCACTCAGCACAAACCGAGTTAAAGGAGCTCCTAAAGCCCCCTAGACATTTTGGTTACAGACCTGCAGTGTTAGCTGTGTTGCTGCCCCGAGGGCTTGAGGCCAGAGCAGGGTCTGGGCCAGGAGGCCTTACTCGTCCTAGGGAAATAGAATCCCAGAGCCTTTTCAGTCTGGAGGCTTCACCTCACAACACACCCAACCAGCCCCAGGCATCTCTTAGTTGCCACAGGACTCCTGGCAGAAGTTCCAGCAGGTCCCTCTTGACTAGACCCCAGCTCATAAGAAGGACTCAAACCAAATCGCACTGCCTTTTGCCAAAACGGACTCAAACCAAATCAGCTATGCTTTTCATTTACGGTGTGCCTTTTCATTTAAAGCTGTGCCTTTCATTTCATGTAAGGAATATACGTGCATCACTGGCGATCACCTAGGGCTGAGAGAGCAGCCAATAAGCCTTGAAGTGGGGTAAGCCCGTATCATTTTCTCCATAAAATGGATAAGTTCGTTCATGAGAAAGGCATTCGTATTTGTGCAAACCAGGCATGACAGAGAGCCCTATGTGGTTCAGTGCAAGCAAAAAACACAGTAAAAGAAACAGCAGTCCTGCAGAAAAAAATGTAATTTAAATCCATTAAGATATTTACCCAGTCTCGAGGGGCGTGGTGGCTCACACCTGTAATACCAACACTTTGGGAGGCTGAAGTGGACGGATCACAAGGTCAGGAGTTCGAGACCAGCCTGGCAAATATGGTGAAACCCCGTCTCTACTAAAATTACGCAAATTAGCTGGGCATGGTGGCGCTCACCTGTAATCCCAGCTACTCAGGAGGCTGAGGCAGGAGAATCGCTTGAACCTGGGAGGCGGAGGTTGCAGTGAGCCGAAATCTCACCACTGCACTCCAGCCTGGGCAACAGAGTGAGACACTGTCTCTCATATGTGTGTGTGTATATATAAGTGTGTGTGTGTGTGTGTGTGTGTGTATGTATATATGTGTGTGTATATATATACGTATATATATGTGTATATATATATACATATCTATATATGTGTGTGTGTATATATATATATATATACATATATATATTTACCCAGTTTCAAGAGAAAAAAGTCAAAGGGGTAAGAGTATTCTTCATACACAGTCTAACATCTCTTTCTTCCACTCACAGTTGTCTTATTTTGTTCCTCTTCACTCTCCCAAAACTTAGCCCATGTTCCCCAGCTCCCCTCTGCACCTGCATCTGCCACACACGTACATACATACACACACTTCACATACATGCACGCATATATACAAACACACACACATATGCGCGCACACACACACACACACACACACACACTCTCTCTCCAGCCCTTGATGCTTTCCCCCTCTCTCTTCCTCCTGGACCTTTTCTTTGCTCCATTCCCAACACACAGGTCCCTGGTCTGTCTCTGGCTCCTTCCAAGCCTTGGCTCTTCTTAGGTATTATCCCCAGCAGCACAGCAGCAGACCAGCTGACCTGGACTATTTCTTAGGCAGTAGTCAGGTAAGCTGTACCTACTCATATGGAGATATTGTTTGATCCTGAGCCTCTCCTGATGTCTCTTTTTAGCCCCCAGGGGGAGGTTTTAATATCCACATCCACCAGCATCTTCTCCCTAGGGGAGAAGGGAGTGAGATGGGGAGAAGAAAGTGAGAGGAATCGAAACATGTCTAAGGAAACTAAGAGGCAGAGGTTATTTCGATCTGCTCTTTATAATCATCTCAGATGCCTGCCCTGGGCAATGTCTAGGTTATTACTGAATTCTGGGGACACTCCCATATTAGCCCAATGACTAATCAAAAAAAGCAAGCTGACCATAGTCAACTAGAGGGTAAGGAACCAAGTGAAAATAGAGAGAGTTCTCCGGACCTCTGAATCTGGGTACAATCATTCAGTATGAAGATAGGAGCTAGGAGAAGAGAGAAAACATGGAATTGTATTTTGATTGACTTTTTTCTGATTACAAAAGTCATATATGTTCAATGTAGAAAACCAGGAAGATACTGAAAAATACAAGAAGGTGTTAAAAAAAAAAAACACTTATGACCCCACCACCTAGATTTAATCAAGATTAACATGTTAGTTTACCTTTCCAGTGTGGTTTTCAATGCATATTCTTTTTAAAATCAAGTTAGAAACATAGTGTATATGCTATTTTAGAAATTCTTTCTCAGCTGGGCGTGGTGGCTCATGCCTGTAATCCCAGCACTTTAGGAGGCCAAGGCAGGTGGATCACCTGAGGTCAGGAGTTCAAGACCAGCCTGGCCAACATGGTGAAACCCCATCTCTACCAAAAATACAAAAATTAGCTGGGCATGATGGCACACACCTGTAAATCTCAGCTATTCTGGAGGCTGAGGCAGGAGAATTGCTTGAACTTGAGAGGTGGAGGTTGCAGTGAGCCAAGATCGCACCACTGCACTCCACTCCAGCCTGGGCAACAGAGAGAGACTCTGTCTCAAAAAATAAAAAAGAAAGAAAAGAAAGAAATTCTTTCTCATACATTACATCATAAATCTTTTCCCAAATCATTAAATATTCTTCTGCAATATGATTTGTTAAAGCTATATATGATTTTGTGCAATAGATATGCTATAATAGGCTTACCCAATTTTATATGGAAGAGCACTTACGCTGTTTCCAGGCATAGAATTCTAAATATGGCAAGGTTATCTGCACAACTCCTGTTTTCAGGCATGCTGACCTCCATTCCTTACAAGCAGATAATGATCCCTTTAAAGTTCTCTGCTCAAGAGAACCGTGCCATAGCAGAAGTAATTCTTCCCCAAGCGTTCAGCTGTCCTGTGTTCTCCAGGGAAAGCCTAGCATTGGGCGTTGGGCATGCTTGCCTCTAAATGGGAAGGCCAGTTCATTCTTAAGCAGATGGAGAGAAAGCATTTGTCATTCTAAATCCGGGAAGTAGCTCAATTCAATTCAATTGCATAATTCTTAAAAACATATTTTGCGCCACTCCTGAAAATGGTATTATAGAAGAAAAGTATGGTTTCTACCTTTAAGAAGATTGCTGACCGGGCTGGGCGCAGTGGCTCATGCCTGTAATCCCAGAACTTTGGGAGGCCGAGGCAGGCAGATCCCCTGAGGTCAGGAGTTAGAGGCTAGCCCGACCAACATGGCAAAACCCCGTCTCTACTAAAAATATAAAAATTAGCTGGGCATGGTGGTGCATGCCTGTAGCCCCAGCTACTCAGGAGACTCAGGCATGAAAATCGCTTGAACCCGAGACACGGAGGTGGTGGTGAGCTGAAATTGCGCCACTGCATTCCAGCCTGGGCGACAGAGCAAGACTCTATCTCAAAAAAAAAAAAAAAAAGAAGAAGAAGAAGATTGCTGGCGGGGTGTTGTGGCTCATACTTGTAATCCTAGCACTTTGGGAGGCCAAGGAAGGAGGATCACTTGAGCCAAAGAAGTCAAGGCTGCAGTGAGCTGTGATCACACCACTCCATGCCAGCCTGGGTGACAGAGTGAAACCCTGTCTCAAAAAGAAAAAAGAAAAGATTGCCATCTTCCTGGGGTGACAAACATAATTTTAAAAGAATCAGGTAGAAACATAGGACTGTATTTATGATGAAACAACTATGACTAAATGCTATGTTTTTCAGATTACACGTGCCTTAGGAAGTGAGAAAAGTATAAGTGCAATGTGGAATTGGGTGGTTGAGAAAACTCCAGAGAGGACCTGGTAGAGCTTGGAGGCAAGGTGGGCAAGGAACATTTCAAGAGGAGGGGACACTACAGCTGAGGCACAGAGGTGAGAAAGCACAGGAAGCAAGAAAGAGGCTCATCTGGCTGCAGCAGAGGGAGAAATAGTAAATTAGATCAGATAACTCATATATTGGGCACGTGTGCAGAGGGCCAAAAAGATGTTTGGCCTTAATTCTATAGGTATTCCCCTTTGCCATAGATGTTACACCAAGAAAGAACACATTGAATCAAGCAAATTTAAGCTGGGTTTTTGTTTTTGTTTTTTGGTGGTGGGGGGGATGATTTATAAGCAGGACTTCCCAAAGCTTTTAATATGCTTATATATGTGGCAGTGTTGAGAGGGGAAGATTTGATATTCCAAGTATTTTTGGCCACAGAACTCTTTTTATCATGGAACATTTCCAGTGTTCCATGAGACACAATTAGGGGCTAGTGAGCCACTGACTTTTGAGTTGGAAAGTGACACATGGGGAAAGCAAAGTTTTGGAAGATTGATCTCACGGTAGAATATAAGGTGAACAGGAGAGAAAAGAGCCTGGATTCAGGCAACACAATCAGATGATTGGATACAGGCTCAAGATTAGGGGGTGGGTTGCACTACACTGGAGCGGAGAATGGAGAGCAAAAGCACTGATTGAATGCACAGTCTTCTGTTGGATCCTGGGATGATACAGAAGTGTCAGAGTTCCTGGGTCTTGTAGGAGTTCCAATGAGCATCAATCAAAAGTTTGATTGTAAGGCACAGAAATCAACTTGGACCAGCTAAAGCAAAAAGACCATTTTTAGGGAAATAGGGATGTGTCACAAAGAACTGCATCTAGGTACTGGAAATCAACAAAAAGTTCCCCATCTGATCTCAGCTTCTCTGTGTGTCTACTACATACACTATCTTTCTCCTCTTTTCTTTCCTCTCTACCCCCTACCTCCCTCCTCTCTCTTTTTTTTTTTTTTTTTGTTTTTTGGTTTTTTTATGTTTGTTTGTTTGCTTTTGGAGACACGGTCTCCCTCTGTCACCCAGGCTGGAGTGCAGTGGCTTAATTACTGCAGCCTCAATCTCCTGGGCTCAAGTGACCCTCCCACCTCAGCCTCCTGAATAGCTGGGACCACAGGTGCAAGCCACAGTGCTCAGCTAATTAAAAAAAATTTTTTTTTCAGAGATGGGGTCTCACTATGTTGTCCAGGCTGGTCTCAAACTCCTAGGCTCAAGCAGTCCTCCCGTTTCAGCCTCAAAAAGTGCTGGGATTACAGGTGTGAGCCATCGCACTCCACCTTCTCTATAGTTACTGAGTTTGCGTGTTACACTGAGTTTACATCTTACATTTCTAGCCATATCAGAAACGACCTCTGCACCTCTCTTTCCCAATTTGAGATTTCTAATAGAAAGAATCTTGTTCACCCAGCTTGGGACTCATTGAGTTATGACCAGTGGGATAGATTTTAGAAGATAAACATGTCTATAGGGACTTACCGTGTGAATTAGTGGGGGAGCCGCTTACCAGGCAGAGGGGTCTGCTGTAAAGTGATACTGTGACTTTAAATTGAAAGTAAGCTTCTAGAAGAGTTGAAGAGGAGTGGATTATTGTTGAATGGATGTATAACTAATGAAGCTTTAAAGGAAGTTTATTAGAAAGTCCATGTCCTTGTCTCTTTCCCAAACTCCTTTAGTTCCCAAGTCCTGAAAGAATCTATGGATAAGGGAAGCAGAATACTATAGTGGTTAAGAGCACATGCTCGAGGTTAAACTGTCTGTATTTTGGATCCTGGCCTTGAGGACTTGGGCAAGTTACGTGACCTGCCTGAGCCTCAGTTTCCTCACCTGTAATATGGGTATCACGAGGAATAAATAAGGTAATATGTGTAAAGTGCTTGGCACAATGCTCTTGATAATGTTAGCAACATAATTTTGTAATGAAAATTAACTGATGGGGCTGAAATGTGCATCAGCAGATCCAAATATCCTTGATAAACTGGCCAAAAGAAAGATGAATTGGCAGAGAGGCAAGTGTTCATCTCAGTTCTCCAGATATCCCTGCAAATGTGGCCTCTGGAGTAGAAGATTTAGGGAGAAAAATAAGCCATGAAGCTCTTCTGGCACCAACATGAACTTCAGGGATCATGGGACATTTGGGCCAGTAACATTCCTCTTTGTTCCTAGAGATTTAATATCTACCTACCAACTAAATGGCCTTGATTTGGAGGAGAGAAGACAAGAAGAGGAATTGCTTTCAGCTGGTCCTTGCCTTTAACTAACCAGGGGTACAAAAATTTTAAAATACAAAGGAGACCATGTGTAAAACATTAGTTAAGCTCAGATATAAATCTAGTCTTTGACCAGTCCAGAGCTAATCAATATGCTTTTCTACTCTCTTTGAACTTTTGAGTTTTCTGGCAACAACAAAAATCCCAAACCTCATCCAAAACCGTAGTCCAGACAGCCCAGTTTCTGCACTCCCTTCCTTGTGTCACATATTGTTGACAGAACTACTCCCGTTACCACATTCATTCCAGTGGTGATTCAAATTCTTCTGCAGAAATGGACTTGAAAGACAGAAAACTGCTCCTGTAATCACTTAATAAGGAATCTTGGATGAGGAATACAGAGCTATGAATATGGATTTACTCTTAGCCTTTATGGATGCCTTTTTCTCAGTTATTTTCACTGAAAATCATGATGAACTGATTTAAATATCAAGGTAAACTGAGATGGAAAATTACCGATAATAAGAGTTTTCTGAAAATATAGATTGGCCTCTTTAAAGCACATCGAGTTTGTTTTGTTTAAATTACAAATTCACATATATTTGAAATGTGTTTAAATGTGTCAGTTTTAGGCAAAACTAAACTATTTGATTCCTTTCCAAAAATCAGGAATTTGCTTTGGAAAAAAACCATGCAGTTTGATTTACAAAGCAGAGCGGGGGGGAAGTAGTGGGTGAGAAAGACCCACCCAAAGGCTGCAGCCAGCTTCCCCAGGAAGATTCATAACCATGCCACAATACTGTCCTTCAATTCGTTCCAACAGATTTTACTATAACTCTAAATCATTAGAAGCAACTGCTGCTATGACTAGTGCTATCTTTGCCTCAAAAAGAGGAAAAATCAGGACATACAATATAATCCCCTCAGGATCTAGGAGAGAAATCAGCCCATTTGTCATAAGAACTGAAAACCTCAGCTAAATAGTATATGAAACATTGGTATTTCATACCTTGACATTACATATTTTTGAAAATAAAGTAAGCATACACACAAGAAGTGGCTAGATGCAGCAGTTATAAAGTGGCTTAAGTTGGGTTAACTAAATATAACCTAGAAAAACCATCTTATCTATTGCAAATTATTTCCAGAAAAAGGTAAGAAAAATCCAACCAACACTTTTTAAACATCCTGAGCTATTCACAGCAAGTGAATCTTTACCCTTACCAGATGTATAAACATTTACATAAGGCAGGAGGTTCAACACTTGGAGAGTGTAATCAAGGCAGTAGTAACGCAGTGCTCCTCTCTTTGACTTGAATGACTTCCTCCCCATTAGGGTCATTATTGTTTTGCAGTGTCCCAGGGATGAAAGGACTTTGAAAGGTCATGTGTCTTGTGACCCAACTAGCAGCATCAGCATCACTGGGGAGAAACTCAAGCAGAAGCTTGAGTCTACTCCACTCTTGCTGACACCAAATCTGCATTTTTACAGGATTCTTGGGTGAGTCACACACATATTCAAGGTTAAAATATGCCACCCTAGGTCTTTCTCCTGCTTCTGAGCAAAACTGGGCACAAGGGACAAACTAGTTTCCTTCAGCCACTTTCAAATCCTTTATAGAGTGTACTGTGTGAGTCACTGAGAGGAAAGAGGAAATAATACTTATTTAGGGAAGTCTTGCATAACTTAACAAAGTTAGTAACTTCTTCAATACACTCAAGTACCTATTTTTGGAAGCCCTACAGGTTAGGTCAAAGTAAAGAGAAGCAAAAAATGGAGTGAGTTCTAGTAAAAAACTCTGACAAAATAAGGGAAGTGTAGAAGCTGAGTCTATGAGGGATGAGAGAAGCAATTTACCAAATTATCAGATCCAAAATCATCTCTGCACTGTAGATGATTTATAGCCCTGGAAGCTTAGAGGCTTGAGTCTCTTGCTGTATTTCATTTCAAATTAGTAATTTTTATCTAGGGCTTCCCTATGGCTTAAAGTGAAGGCCCTGGAATTTCTGAAGTGAAATTATCTGATGATTTTTATGTATGGTCATTCTGTAGTTATCCTGTAAGTTTCATATTTGTAACAAGACTGGAATCCGAACAATAGAAAACTCTGTGGCAGTAAGCCAAAACCTGATGGACTTAGGAGAGTTACGTATGTGTGTTTCAGTGGTCCTCAAATTCAGCTGCCTATTAGAATCACCTGGACTTTGAAAAAAAAAGAGCTTTCTTGAGGTATAACTGACAAATAATAAGACAAACATATTTCAGTATACAATTGGATGAGTTTTGACATGTTATATTCTTGTGAAACCATCACCACAATCAAGCTATTCACCCCCCAAATTTTCGTGCCCCTTTGTTGTCCCACCCTTCTTTCTGCAACCACTGATCTGCTTTCTATCACTATGGATTAATTTGTATTTTCTAGAAGCTTAAATAAGTGAAACCATATGGTGTGCATGTTTTGCAGGGAGAGGGCAGGGGGAGCTGGTTTCTTTCACTCGGTGTAATTGTTCTGAGAGTCATCCGTGTTTGCATGTGTTAATAGTTTATTCTTTTTATCGGTAAGTAGTATCCCATTGTGTGGATGTACCACATGTTGTCTAACCATTCACAACTAAAGGATACTTGGGTTGTTTCTCATTTGGGGCAATTGAAAATAAGCAGTATAAACTGCTATAAACAGTCATGTACAGATATAAGCATGTATGTTTCCATTTTTCAAGGTAAATACCTAGAAGTGGGTATGGTAAGTGTATGTTTAACTTGAAAAGAAACTACCAAAATGTTTCCAAAGTGGTTGTACCATTTTGCTTACCTACCAGAAATGTGTAAGAGTTCTAGTTACTCCACATACTTCCTAGCAGTTGATATTCTCAGTTTTTTTTTTTATTTTAACCGTTCTAATAGCTGTGTAATGGTATTCCATTACAGTACTAATTTAAATTTCCCTAATAACTACTGAGGTTGAAAAAATCTTTCATGGGCATATTTGCCATCCTTGTATCTTCTCTGGTGACGAATCTTTCATGCCTTCTGCTTATATTTTAACCAGGGTTTTGTTTTGCTTTTTCTTAACTGTTGAGTTTTAAGAGTCTATATATACTGCAAACAACTCCTTGGTAAGATATATGATTGGCAAATCCTTTCTCCTAATCTTTTTATTTCCTTAACAATGCCTTTCAAGAACAGAAATTCTTAATTTGATGCAATGCAATTTATTAGTTTTCTTTTTTCTTTTTTTTTTTTTTTTTTTTTTTGAGACGGAGTCTCGCTCTGTCGCCCAGGCTGGAGTGCAGTGGCGCGATCTCGGCTCACTCCAAGCTCCGCCTCCCGGGTTCACGCCATTCTCCTGCCTCAGCCTCCCGAGTAGCTGGGACTACAGGCGCACACCACCACGCCTGGCTAATTTTTGTATTTTTAGTAGAGATGGGGTTTCACCATGTTGGCCAGGCTGCTCTCAAACTCCTGACCTCAGGTGATCCACCCGCCTCAGCCTCCCAAAGTGCTGGGATTACAGGCGTGAGCCACCATGCCCAGCGTATTAATTTTCTTGCATGGATGGTGCGTTTGGTGATCTGAGAAATCTTTACCTAACCCAAGGTCACAGAGATTTTCTCCTGTTTGCTTCCAAAATTTTTATACGTTTAGATTTTATATTTAAGTCTATTTTGAGTTAATTTTTGTATATAATGCAAAGTTTAGAATGATGTTTAGTTTTTTGTCTATAATCTATGAATATCCAATAGTTCTAGCACCATTTATTGAAAAGACTGATCTTTATCTACTGAAGTGTCTTTGCACTTTTGTTGAAAGTCAATTGACAATTGACCATATATTTGTGGGTCTATTCTGGATTCTCTATTCTGTTACATTGATCTATTTTTCTATCTCAATACAAATATCAAATTGGGTATTTGTATTAAGACAAATATAATTTGTCTGGGTATTTGTCAAGACAAATAAAAATTGTCTTGATTACTGTAGCTTTATTGCAAGTCTTGAAATCTAACTTTATTCTTTTTCTAAGAAAAATATGAATTCTAGATTAAGCTTGAATTTTAGAATAAGTTTGCCAGTTTCTGAGAGGGGAAAGCCTACTGGAATTTTGATGAGGATTGCATTGAATCTACAGATCTATTAGGGGAAAACTGACATCTTAACAATATTGAGTCTTTCAATCCATGAGCACAAAGTCTTTTTTCATTTTTCTCAGCAACGTTTTCTTAGTTTACAGATCTTACAGCTCTTTTGTAAGGTTTTTATCTAAATATTTAATTATTTTGTACTATCATAAGTGTTATTATTTATATAATTTTAATTTCCAAGTATTTATTGAAACCATTTAGAAACAGTTGATTTTTTATATTGATCTTTTATCCTGCAGGCTTGTTAAACTCATTTATTAGTTCTGTAGCTTTTTTGTAGAGTCCATCAAATTTTCTACATAGAGAGTCATGTTATCTGAGAATAAAAACAGTTTTGCTTCTTCTGCTCCAATCTTAATTCATTTTATATTTTTTTCTTGACTTATTGCACTGGCTACAACCAGTACAATGCTGAATAAATATAGTGACAGTGGATAGCCTTTCTTTGTTCATGGTCTTAAAGGAAAAGCATTCAGTCTTTCCCATTAAGTATGATGTTAGCTTTAGGTTTTTCATAGATGCCCTTTCTCAAATTAAAGAAGTTTCCTACTTTACTGAGAGTTGCTTTATTTAAAATCAGAAATGAGGCCAGTCACAGTGACTCACACCTGTAATCCCAGCACTTTGGGAGGCCAGGGTGGGAAGATTACCTGAAGTCAGGAGTTCGAGACCAGCCTGGACAACATGGTAAAACCCTGTCTGTACTAAAAATACAAAAATTAGCTGGGAGTAGTGGTGCATGCCTGTAGTCCCAGTTATTTGGGAGGCCGATACAGGAGAATTGCTTGAACCTGGGAGGCAGAGGTTGCAGTGAGCCAAGACTACACCACTGCACTCCAGCCTGGGCAACAGAATGAGAAAAAAAAAAAGAGAGAGAGAGAGAAGGAAAGAGAGAAGGAAAGAAAGACAGAAAGACCAAAAGAAAGAAAGAGAGAGAGAGAGAGAGAGAGAGAGAGAAAGAAAGAAAGAAAGAAAGAAAGAAAGAAAGAAAGAAAGAAAGAAAGAAAGAAAGAAAGAAAGAAAGAGATCTTGGATTTTGTCAGATTCTTTTTCTGCATCTATTGAGATATTCATATGGTTTTCCTTTTCGGCCTGTTACTGTGGTGAATCACTGAGTGACTTTCAAATATTAAACTAACCTTGCATTCCTGGGCTATGGCTATAATGTACTATCCTTTTATATATTGTTATATTCTATTTGCTATATTTTCCTAAAAATTTTTGCATTTATACTCATGAAGGATATTAGTCTGCAGTTTTGCTTTCTTGTTATATATTTGTCTGGGTTTGATATCAGAGATCAGAGTAATATCAGTATTGTAGGCACCAGTAAATATTTCCTTATAATGCTTTTTATTTTTATTTTTTAAATTTTTTTATTTTTGAGACGGTGTTTTGTTCTTGTTGCCTGGGCTGGAGTACAATGTCACGATCTCAGCTCGTTGCAACCTCTGCCTCCCGGGTTCAAGCGATTCTCCTGCCTCAGCCTCCCGAGTAGCTGGGATTACAGACACACACCACCACACCTAGCTAATTTTGTATTTTTAGTAGAGACAGGGTTTCACCATGTTGGTCAGGCTGGTCTTGAACTCCTGACCTCAGGTGATCTGCCTGCCTTGGCCTCCCAAAGTGCCGGGATTACAGGTGTGAGCCACCATGCCCAGCGTACAATGCTTTTTTTTTTTGAGACAGAGTCTCACCCAGGCAGAAGTGCAGTGGCATGATCTTGGCTCACTGCAACCTTTGCCTCCTGGGTTCAAGCGATTCTCCTGCCTCAGCCTCCCCAGTAGCTTGGACTACAGGCACACGCCACCACACCCGGCTAATTTTTTGTATTTTTAGTAGAGATGGGGTTTCACCATGTTGGCCAGGCTGGTCTCGAACTCCTGACCTCAGGTAATCTGCCCACCTCAGCCTCCCAAAGTGCTGGGATTACAGGTGTGAGCCACTGCCCCCGGCCATGGCTGGGATTTAAACCCAGGCTTCCTAAGTCAAAGTTTATTGCTGTATATATATACAGGTTTTTTTTTCTTTTTTCTTTTTTTTTCTTTTTTTGAGGCAGAGTTTCGCTCTTGTTGCCCAGACTGGAATGCAATGGCATGATCTCGGCTCAACACAACCTCTGCCTCCCGGGTTCAAGCAATTCTCCTGCCTCAGCCTCCCAAGTAGCTGGGATTACAGGCATGCGCCACCGCACCCAGCTAATTTTGTATTTTTAGTAGAGATGGGGTTTCTCCATGTTGGTCAGTCTGGTCTCGAACTCCCGACCTCAGATGATCTGCCCGCCTCAGCCTCCCAAAGTGCTGGGATTACAGGCATGAGCCACTGCGCCTGGCCAGTTTATTGCTATTTTTTAGCATATCATAGCTACTTATATTTTGTTCTGTGACATGTGTTTATTGACTTGGATTCTGTCTGCATTTCTCTTTTGTCCCCTGAATACACTGTTTTGGGTTGTGGGCAGGAGCCCCATCTAACCCAAACCTTATAATTTTCACTGGACCTACCGCACTGTCTGTACCCAGAAGATGATTCTAGGGTTTTTCTTTTTCCTTTTGAGAGATCTAAGTATCTGGGTTTATCTGACCACATAGTATTCATCAGTCTGCCTTTTTCATGGTCCCTCCACAATCTAAGATTTAAATCAGGCTGTAATTAACTCTAGCACACAGGCTTTTCTACAGAAACCTTCCCAGGCTGCACTGTCAGCCTGCTTCTCTCCATTAATGCATGCCATTGGCAGCCAGAAACCAGATTTTGCCCTGAGCTACCCACACAAGTTTGAGGCAAGATTATGGGTGAAGAAAAGCTTGGGGTGGATGCATCTCCTATATGTAAAGGCTGTTTTGTTTGAGTGATTCCAAGTGCTGGTACACTATGATTAATTAACTTGGTTAAGGATTAATTCTTAAAAATCAGGAATGATTTGAATCGTTCCTCCAAGTGAGTTGCTCAGCTGCCTCCAGGGAGAGGATCAGTTGAAAAAAGTGGACAATTAATGTCTTAGAGATGACATTATCTCTTTGACATTCCATAGAGATAAAGAGAAAGGCTAATGAGGCATCTCTTTGACACACACTTTCTCTCTCTGTTTTTATTTATTTATTTATTTTTGGTTCACAGGTATCCTCAGCCCTAATATAGACTAATAAATCTAAGCCTGTAAGCCTGTGAGTTTGTTTCTTTTCGTAAGTATTCAGCAATGCAAATCCTACCCCCAAAACTGTCTTCTTTGACCCATTTCCTGTATTCCTGTATCTGTTATCTTCAGATCTCTCCACCTGACTGTCCTCATTATTGAAACGTCATATTTTGACCTCAACACTTCATAGTTGCTGATGTGACTTCCTCTATGTTTGAAATGTTTTCTCAGTTACTGCCCTAAGTAAAAAGCAAACACAACAAGTTACGGCTTGGCTATCCTTTTTTTTTTTTTTTTCCAAAAAAGAGCTATTTATTACTAAGACAAGTCTACAACAACACTAAAAGTATTCAAAAAGAAAAACATCAGTCATATTTCTGCCACTTACCACAACCACTTTCTTTTCTCCCAGATTTTCTTCCAGTCTTCAGTCAGATATAGAAATATTTTATGTAAGCATAATTATAATGTTCATGTAATTTTTGTGTTCCACTTTTTGTTTAACATCACTTAATAAACACTTTCTTGTCCTTACATAGTCTTCCTAATGATCTTTTTTTGTGGCTTCGTGGTTTCCCATGGATATGCCATAACTTGTTTAATCATTTCCCCTGCTGCTACGCATTAAGTTATTTCCAGTTTTTAACTATTATAAGTGGTTCTTTTTTTATTTTTTATTTTTTGAGATGGAGTCTCGCTCTGTCACCAGGCTGGAGTGCATGGCATGATCTCGGCTCACTGCAACCTCCATCTCCCTGGTTCAGGCGATTCTCCTGTCTCAGCCTCCCGAGTAGCTGGGACTACAGGCAGGCGCCACCCCACCCAGCTAATTTTTGTATTTTTAGTAGAGACAGGGTTTCACCATGTCGGCCAGGATGGTCTTAATCTCCTGACCTCATGATCTGCCCACCTTGGCCTCCCAAAGTGCTGGAATTATGGGCGTGAGCTGGCCATAACTATTATAAGTGGTTCTTCTATAAACATCTAGTGCATGCAAAGATTTCTTTTCTTCTTTTTAATTATTTCCTTTGTAGAAATGTCCAGGAGGGCTGTTGCCATGTTGAAGGGTTTGAATGATTTTCAGGGATGATGAGCTCTTAAAAAGGCAGTACCACAGAAGTTCATAACACATGTTATATCTTGATTTATAAAACTAATGGTGGGGCCTGGCACAGTGACTCACGCCTGTAATCCCAGCACTTTGGGAGGCTGAGGCGGGTAGATTGCTTGAGGTCAGGAGTTTCAGATCAGCCTGGCCAACATGGTGAAACCCTGCCTCTACTAAAAATACAAAAATTAGCCAGGCATGGTGGCAGGTGACTGTAATCTCAGCTACTCGGGAGGCTGAGGCAGAAGAATCACTTCAATCCAGGAGGCGGAGTTTGCAGTGAGCTGATATTGCGCCACTGCACTCCAGTTTGGGTGACAGAGCGAGACTCTGTCTCAAAAATAAATAAATAAATATGAATAAATAAATAAAAATAAAACTAATGATGATACAGAAGGGCCAAGAAACTTCATAAAGCATCACTAACTGTCCATTCTCATACTCCAGAGCAGTCCAAGCAATTCACAATAAATATATCTACATCGTCTTATTCTTTATTCTACTGAAGCCCATTAAAAGAAAATTAGCCAATTTTTTCCTGTATTTTAAGTGACGAGCTTTTGGAATAAGTTTCAAGAAACTCAAGAGCAAAGCCATGAGCTAACCAAAGATCCACTTTCTGAGATAAATCTTGTCTTAGAAAGGAAATGAAGGCATACAATGTGTGTGGCAGGAGGGGCCATGAGGAGGGGGCTGAGGTCAGATATGATCGGAACGCTAGTGTCACAGTTGTCTCCTGTAAACTGGTCTCTGGGAGCTGGGTCAAGGCAGAGGAGTTGAAAGCCAAACACAGACAGCAGCTGTTGAGGATGTAAAGTCTCTGGGCAGAGTGGATAGGGAGCTGGGTGTGGTCACCCAGAAGCCAATTTCCACCCCACCCTACAGACCTAGCGACTGGGGCTAAGAAGAACTTCCCGTGTTGCATTCCAGCCCTTCTGATTGGGCTTAGTGAGACTGCCAAAGACTGGCTGCAAGCTGCCTGATTGCACTGCATACACCTCCCTCAATGGTGTCCCGGCTGGAAAACACTGAGGCTTTTAAGAATACCACGTCCAGATGGCCAGGATGCAGGACTGACCTGCAATTGCCACACTGGGCACCAGGTACAAGTAGATTTCACTGAAGTCCTCGAGGGACTGAGTGAAACTGCTGGGGTATGCGGGTCTTTCCTATGTTGCACAAATCAGTGCTGAGCTGCATAGGTGACAATGATCACTTCCACAATTTCCCAGAACATTTGTCAAGAGCCTGAAAGGGCTGCATCACTGAGCAGGGAATCTTCATTATTCATTTCAACATCACTTTTCTTGGAAACCTTGACTACTCCGCTCTCCAGAAATAATCCATCAAACTTTTCTCTTCGTTGAAGTCATACTGCAAAAACTCCCATAATCAAATTCCCCACATTAGGATCCCTGTTTATTATGTAACAACAGAGTCAAGAGGGAAAAGAGTGCATCAGACATTGACATTTTTTTTCTCTCTCTCTCTCTTTTAAGTTTTTGTCATGAAAATTTTCAAACACACACAAAATGAGAGAAACGTAAAAATGAACCCCCATGTACCCACCATCCAGCTTGGATAATCTCAACATACACCAATCTTGTTTCATCTATTGCCCCTCACCCCCACAACTATTCTTTTTTTTTTTTTTTTTTTTTTTTGCTGGAATTTTAAAAAGCAAATCCCAGACACAGCATCACTTCACTAATACATACTTCAGCATGCATCTCTAACTAATAAGGACTTTCCTTTTTTTTTTTTTTTTTTTGAGATGGAGTTTCATTCTTGTTGCCCAGGCTGGAGTGCAATGGCGCAATCTTGGCTCACTGCAAACTCTGCCGCCGGGGTTAAAGCGATCCTCCTGCCTCTGCCTCCTGAGTAGCTGGGATTACAGGCACCTGCCACCATGCCCGGCTAATTTTCTGTATTTTTAGAAGAGATGGGGTTTCACTATGTTGGCCAGGCTGGTCTCAAACTCCTGACCTCAGGCGATCTGCCCACCTCGGCCTCCCAAAGCGCTGGGATTACAGGCATGAACCACCGAACCCAGCCAGGACTTTCGTTTTTAACATAAGCTCTGTAGACACTAGTATTTATTTATTTGGTATCTATTGGTATCTATTTAGCATTTAGTATTAGTGGGAGCCATTACAGTAAGACTCTTTACACTGTTTATTTCATAAAATCTCAGCTCAGCAAAGAAACACCCTAGAAATTCACAAACTCCCCAGGAGAAAGAAAGAAATGCCCGGGCCCTAACAACCTTGCTATTTGCATTTTACTCATGAGGAAAGGTGCTTAGCCAACTCGAGGTAAGCTGTGGAAAGGCTGCAGTCCAAGAGCCTTCAGAACTTGAAACAAGAGGCATGTCAGAGCCTGACTTTGCTCCATCCCCCCTGAGTAGTCAAGGTATTAAAAGAGCATTACTTCCTCATTTGCAAACCACCTTTTTTTTTCAAAAAAACCACTTTACACCTATCATTTGAAGTTATATTGTCAAGATAGAAACACACTTCTCGGGAAGATAGTACCTTGAAAGTAGAAACCATTCAGCAAAAAAGTTTTTGAAAAATCCAATGTACATTTCCACTAATCAGGCTTGTCTGTGAATGGAGCAGAGGGAAAATGCTGCTTCACACAAAAGCAATCTCAGTATAAACATTTCTGTTTGCTGTGCACTCTAACTTTGTCTTCTCTGTCCTTTATACATGAAAGCTCAGGAGATTTAGGCACAGCAGCTACATTGGGTCGACTTACCGAATAAAGGTGGGGACTACACAAACATGGAATTTGGAGTGAGCCTTTGCCTCAAGGACAGACTGATAAATCCATCCTGAGTCACAAAGATGCCACACAGGCTTTGGGCTGCTACCTTATGGCTGGACATTCTAACCCCAGGCTCCTAGATGCAAAACCCAAGTCAGCCCCCATATATAGTCACAACATGCTGTTGATTTTCCCTTCAAAAACTCTTATGCCTTCTTGCTGTTGCCCTCCTCCAGGTTCTCATCACTTTATGCAAGATTATGCCAGGGACTGGGATGTATTACACCAAGGAGTTGCCAGGAGCTGCAGTGTGGGTGAGGGCTATGCCTAACAAGAGGAACGGATGTTGAGATCTGGGCCAGCACTGCACAGAGCACTCACTAAAACTGAGCTGTTGCATATGCTTTGGTGGATGTTCCCTCTGCCTGGAGCACTCTGTAGATGTCTGTTTGACTTGCCCCTCAGCCTTTTCTGCTTCTTTCAGGTCTCTGCACAAGTATCCCATTCTTAAGGGGGCCATCCCTGGCCACACTATGTCAGACAGCACACCCACTGCTACTCTTGAGCCCTTTATTCTGCCTTATTTGCCTCTATCCTCCTTATCACAACCAGATAAAACAGATTTATTATTTGTTTTGTGTTTTGGTCGCTACCGTATCCCCTGCACCTAGAACAGTGCCAGGCATATGGCAAGGATTCAACACATTTTTGCAGAATAAGTGATCTCCTTAAAAACGAGATCTTGTCCTCTTCTTCTACCACACATGACTGATCTAAGCAGGCGCTAATTATGGAATGCCCCATTTTGGAGGAGGGGCTCCTCAGGAAATCCACAGGGAGATACAAACGGGCTTTCCAGAGCCAGCACTCACCCCAAAAATCTAACTGTTCTAAAAGGAATGTAGATTTCTTAAATCTGCATCATCTGTGACTGCTCCAGAGTTTGTGACTACCAGCTCCTAACCACGCATTCTGTTCCTATGCTTTGTTCCTGACCTTCAGGACCTTTGTGAAGCTTCCCGATGGCCTGATGGTAACAAACTCTCAAGCACATACACTTTAAGAATAATATATCCCTCTCAGAGCTACACCACTGAAAGGTGTTGCTTCAACAACAGAAAGATTTATTACTTTCTTCCCTCACAGAAAAACCGCAGGAATATTTCCTTCTTGACTGCAGCAGTGAGTTCCAAGTTTCATTAAAGAACCGGCCAGATGCTTCCTCCTAGCTTGCGTGGGAAGAAGTTAAGATAAAGAGCATTTGAAACTCTACCTCTGCACACCTGCCCCATACCTTATTCCCTTTTGACAGTTCTTCTTCCTGTTTCCCCAGGGTTGGGGATATAGAGCCATGTGACCTGCCTCCCCAGACAGCTGGGGCCCTGGAACCTCCCTGGCCCCTCACCCTCTGGTATTAATAATAGATGGCTCTTAGTGAGTTGCACATCTGCCATAAAGCAGGCACTACACTTTTCAAATTGTCTCAAATTCTTAACACCCAAACCGGAAAAGAGCTGTAATCTGAGTGTCTGCTGCTTGGACAGCCCTTGTAGTCATAACAGCAGAATCTATCCTTCTGCCTCTGTCACTGAAAAGCACCTTCCTCCAGTATATCTGCACACAGGGAGTAAGTTTCTTATTCCCAAAGCCAGTCCACACAGCAGCCTGTCCCTCTGCTCTTACCTGTCCCTAAACTCCACACTCAGCTGGGACCTCCGCTCACAGCACTGTGGGTCCTGCCCCAGGACTCAGGGCTGCCCTCTTCCCTTGACATGACACTGATGGTGGCCTCAGGGGTGTAGTAGGCAGAATAATGATCCCCAAAAATGTCCACATTCTGGAACCTGTGAATATCTTACCTTACATGGACTTTGCAGGTGTGATTAAGTTAAAGACCTTGAGATGGAGAGATGATCCTGGCTTATCCAGGTAAGCATGATGTAATCACAAGGATCCTCATGAGGGACAGAAGGAGGCAGGAGAGTCAGAATCAGAGAAAATGAGAGGATGGAAGCATAGGTCAGAGTGATGTGAGGCGGGAACCGAGGAACGCAGGCAACCTTCAGAAAAGGGCTAGAAAACTCCTTCTCCCCCAAAGCCTCGGGAATGAACGCAGCCCTGCCAACACCTGGATTTTAGGTCTTCTACCTCCAGATCAGGACAATAATGAATGTGTGGTTTTAAGTCACTAAATTTGTGGTAATTTGTTACACCAGCAGTAGGGAACTGATACAAGAGGTGACACAGGAATGACACATTGTTCTAGGTGCTAGAATAGAGCAGTAAACACAAATGACAAAAATTCAAGCCCTCACAGTGCTTACATTTTAATGGAACCCTCTTTTATGATATTCCCACTCAAAAGGGTTCACAATGTCTACCCCTCTTCCCCAAATAGGCTAATCTGTAATATATGGATAATCCACAGCAATACATTTTTCACAGTCTGAGTTACTCAGATAGGAATCATGCCACATAGTTAGATGATTCCCAAAATAATCCATAGTAGGCTTCATTTCTCCTTTTCTTATTCTTTTCAGGGTTCTTCCGCCAGCTTGAGGTCAACATATTCCTCCTCACTCTTCCTATGGTTTTCTGATCTCCTATGAGTAACTCTTAGATCTCTCTCTCTCTCTCGTTCTGTCTCTCTCTCTCACACACACACATGCACACACCCCAAAGACAATCATTCTCAACCTAATTCTGTATTAGTGAGGAGGTCTTTCTAAAGGCAACATATTCCATCCAACTAAATTAAAATATGACTTTGCTTTTGTTATTCAGAGTGGCTCCAGTCCCCTTTTTTTGGCCCCCCACCACCACTTATAGACTATGCCCTGGGCCTACCTGGCACTGGAAATGCTGCCCATCACTGTGCCTTTTTTTTTTTTTTTTTTTGAGACGGAGTTTCACTCTTGTTGCCCAGGCTGGAGTGCAATGGCACCATCTCGGCTCACCGCAACCTCTGCCTCCCAGGTTCTCCTGCCTCAGCCTCCCGAGTAGCTGGGATTATAGGCATGCACCACCACGCCTGGCTAATTTTGTATTTTTAATAGAGACGGGGTTTCTCCATGTTGGTCAGGCTGGTCTCAAACTCCCGACCTCAGGTGATCTGCCCGCCTCGCCTTCCAAAGTGCTGGGATTACAGGCGTGAGCCACTGGGCCCAGACCATCACTGTGCCTTTCTAAACAGAAGGCCTCCACTTGTGAGCATCACCCTGGCTATCCAGAGAACTGATAGAAGCTGAGTGGATGTGCTTTTTCGATACACTGAGCCACAGCAAATTCCTACCCAGGGCTTCCTCTCTACTAACAGTCCCTGCTAGAAGTGAATGAGAAACTCCCTTTTCCCCATCTATAGCAAGCCCTCTAGTGTCATGGGATTTTTCTTCTTTTAGTTACAGACAGGAATCCCCAAGTATAGGTACCTCCTTTTAATCATTTATAAACGATCCTCTCCTCCTCCTCTCTCATGGTCTTTTCCTAACAAAAAATGAGGACAATTCCAATTAAGCACAGGCACTTCAAGTGAATACTTTCGATTAAAACAAACTTTAACTCGGGCACAGAGGAATTTCAGAAGGAAGAATTGTTGCTGTAGACTCTGATTAAATTTGCCAAAAATAATAACGCTTGTGGTAGAGTAATTATTGTGATATAAAGAATAATACATTTCTTATATGCTGCCTAAGTACTAGGGACATGTGCTGAATATTTTACTTGTATTAGCTCATTTAATCCTCACCAATGAATTTAGGACTATTATTATTCACATTTTACATATGAAAAGATTGAGCTGTGAAGAGCTAAGAAAATTACTCCAAGATGACACTACTATTTAGTGGCAGAGCCAGGACTCAAACACAGGTTTGCCTGACAGCCAGACCCTAACCACCCTGCCATTCTGCTGTAGAATGCTTTTCCAGTTAGAAGCCTATCCAGGGTGGCACCTTCCATCTCTGTTTCCATTTTAAAGTGAAAATGCTGAAGGAGGAATGGAGGAAAAAAAGACAGGTTCATGACCAAAATTTGACCACTGTGAGAATTATGGATAGATAAGTAGAAACCTGAAAAGCCATGAACGACAACAACAAACTTTAAAAATCACATCGAATTGAGCAATGGTAAATGCAGAAATTTGGGATTTATGGTCGAAACTGGTGTAGGGACTGGTGGCAACATTTATTTGCAAAGCGTCAAGGACTGCCACCTCCATTTAGATGCCTTTACTACATGAAAGTCTAAAATACTCTAAAGAGAATCCCGGGAGAGGCTACAAGCCAAGAATCTTTGGCTTACAAAATAGTGGGGGCTGCTTCTTCCCAAGTTACCACGCACAGAAGCAAAACTTGGCAGTATCTGAAACAGAGGATTTTGATCCTGTTCCTACCATTGCTTCCAGAGAAGGAAGCAAAACAAACCACTGAGTTCTATCTACTCCGGCTCCTGAGCACCAAGACCCTGCTTGGAAGAGAATCTCACCTTGCCGTCTGCTCAGGAAAATCAGCCCCTCTAGAGGAAGCACCAAAAGACCTAAGTGCAGGGCTGGAGTTTCCTACCCCTTCTTATTTCCTGTGGAGTTCTGTTTCTTGAGGAAACTTTCCCCAAATAATCTAGCTGCCACTCTGACACCATTTTCATTGAGTAATTCATGGTGATGTCACGCCAACTAGGCACTAGGGGAAGCCCTGCTTTTATGGGTTGGCTCTTCATTTAGGAATTTTTATTTTTCTGACTTCCATCCCTTTTTCACTGGACTCCACTTTTTTTGAGGCAAGATGCCTGAGTGGTGAAGTGTTGCTTGCTTTTGAGAAAAGGAATTCCTTCTGGTTGAGAGGCAAATGGTTGAGTGAAGGCAAGATGCATGTCCTGTAATAGTACATCTTAATTGGAGAGCTGGCAAGAGAGGAAGGAGGTGTGGGCCTGCTGCGGGCTCTGTTATTCCTAATAGGGTTCATTGAGCTAAGCACGGAAGATGGGCTGGGGGCACTAGGACTAACAGCCACCCCCTGAAGACACAATCACGCATGCCTGGGGAGCTGACCACCTCCTTTTGACACCTGGACAGCCACATCTAA
Organism: Homo sapiens; assembly: GCF_000001405.40. NCBI lineage: Eukaryota > Metazoa > Chordata > Mammalia > Primates > Hominidae > Homo > Homo sapiens. Next base: position 42,133,012 of record NC_000002.12, read on the forward strand.
CCCACATCCCCACGTTCCCGCCTTGCCTCTCAGCTGCTCTGTGCAGCAAGACAGCAAAGGCAAGTTTGGCAAAGCTCGCCTGTAAAAGCCTAATCCAAACAGCATGTCCGCTGAGCTCAGCGGGGTGACTCATGTGCAGTGATGTGTGAGGCCAGCGAGCAGAGATTAGGATCTGGCCCGCCCGCCAGCCTACCTTGCACTTCCTTTGATCAACTCTGATGGTTTTTAATTCTGCAGAAGCAGCTTCCTGCCAGCAGCAAGCAGCTCTCAGTGGCGGCTGGAGCTGCGTCTGTGCTGACCTACTTGTCAGTGGGGAGGGAGGCATGTGCTAATGGCACTGGGACATCCCGGGCTCACAGGCTACACGGAGCGAGAGGGCAGCCTCTTTTGCTGAGGTGCCCATGGTGACATCAGAAGCTTGCTCCTCAGCCAACACCAGCAAGGCCATGCGTGTGAGCAGCCTGGGCTCTGAACGTGCTGCTGGTATTGGTTAGAATCACGGGGTAATCAAGAAAAATGGGACTCTCCCTGGGGGACTCTTTTTGGGAAACTGGGGCATCTCTAAGGACGCCATCTGGCACAAAATGAAGCACTCTCTGGGTTCTTCAGAAGTACTCTTTTACATCTGTTTTGCTTGAAATGGAACACATTCGGAGTATATTACTTTTTTGAACCGCTCCTTCCCTGCTTGGTTGGAATGCGTTTGCCTCTTGATTCTTCCAAATCCCCTCGATTACCACTGCCAAGCAGAGCACCTGAAATCTGGTCTCCTGCTTTCTCATTCCCTCTCTTCCACGTCTCTCCTTTCTCTCTCTTTTCTCAGGAAGGATAGCAGTGATTCTAATCTTGGCTGCATGTTAGCACCACCCTGGGAAGGGGCTGTGGTTAAAAAAAATTCCCCAGTCCCAGGCTCTGCCCCAGATTAATTCAGAGTCCTGAGGGTAGGACCAGGCATTAGTACTGCTTAAAGCTCCTATTGTGGCCAGGCGCGGTGGCTCATGCCTGTAATCCTAGCACTTTGGGAGGCTGTGGCGGGCGGATTGCCTGATCTCAGGAGTTCGTGACCAGCCTGGGCAACACCGTGAAACCCCATCTCTACTAAAATGCAAAAAAATAGCCGGGCATGGCAGCACGCGCCTGTAGTCCCAGCTACTTGGGAGGCTGAGCCAGGAGAATCGCTTGAACCTGGGAGGCAGAAGTTGCAGTGAGCTGAGATTGCGCCATTGCACTCCAGCCTAGGCGACAGAGCGAGACTCCGTCTCCGAAAAAAAAAAAGAAAAGAAACGAAAAGAAAAAAGAAAAGCTCCCATTGTGCAGCCAAAGTTAGAAGTCATTGGGATCTTGGGGTTGTAGGCCATCAGCCAAAAGCCCTAACAATGGTTCTTATCTGTCCTCCCACCACCATTCAGAAGGGTCTAAGAAGTGATGTGTACTTTAACCACTTAAGGCAAAATATTATCTGGATGGGATAACTAGCCTACATATTAAGAAGAATTTCTTATTCCGATTAAAAGTATTTACCGGCTAGGTGCAGTGGCTCATGCCTATAATCCCAGAACTTTGGGAGGCCAAGGCAGGAGGACCGCTTGAGCCTAGGAATTCAAGACCAGCCTGGGCAACATAGTGAGACCCTTGTCTCTACAAAAAATAAAATAAAAAATTAGCCCAAGCATGGTGACGTGTGCCTGTGGTCTCAGCTACTCGGGAGGCTGAGGTGGGAGGATAGGATCGCTTGACTCTGGGAGGCGGAGGTTGCAGTGAGCCGAGATCACACCACTGCACTCCAGCCTGGGCCACAGAGGGACACTCCGTCTCAAAAAAAAAAAAAAAAAAAGTATTTACCATCCAACTGAGACTTAGCACAGACAGTGAATATGCGTGACTGAAATACAAAATAGATGAGTCTTAACAGACAAGTAGGGAATGATTCAGTACACAGAGCATGATCAACTGAATGGAAATTTCTGGAAAGCAGGTTTGTCTGTGGTGATGAAGGGTTGTGGGTAGGGCAATGAATAAAATAAAGACCCCTAGTTATATTTTAATTTCAGCTATAGAAAACTAATGCAATATTTGGGATATATTTATAATAAAAAATTCATTGTCTGAAATTCAAATTTGACGGGATGATCTGTGTTTTGTTTTGTTTTGTTTTGTGTTTTTGCTAAATCTGGAAATCCTAGTTTGGGTGGCAGGCTAGAGAGGAGAACCTCAGGCATTTGAGGGAGTGGTGGGTCTCATCTGTGTGGAACTGTCCCCCAGGGGCTGCAGGGAAAGCATACAGGCATTTGGGGTTGTCCCAAAAATTAGGGGTTGCTAGTGGCATTTGGCAGATGTGGATCAAGATGCTAAATATAGTACATTAGGTATAGTTCCAATGAAGTTTTGTTCTAATGAAGAATTGTCCCATCGTAAACACCAATAGCACCTAGACCAGTGCCACCTGCTGTACCATTTTACTGAGGACTGACTCTATCAGCCTCACATAGTTGATTCCCAGAAAGCAGTGCACCAGCTAGTCAGAGAGCTTCAGAACCTGCCCTCAAGGGAAGAGACAACCAACGTCCCAGGTATTTGCCCCAAAGCCTCCTATGGTCCAAACCAAGGCATATAGCTGGTCCACTGAAATGAACCCCTGAAACGAACTGCAAGCCTTCGAAGCTTACTCTGAGTACCACCTCCTTCAGGAAGCTTTCTTTTGACTGCTCCAATTTTCACTAATCTGTCTGCTCTGAGTACCACCTCCTTCAGGAAGCTTTCTTTTGACTGCTCCAATTTTCACTAATCTGTCTGCTCAATCCCTAAAACTCTTTTTCTTCTAATTTAACATTTGAACATATTCTGCTAATAGTTCCCTGTGTGCTAGCCTGTGAGTTTTTCTCTCCAACTAGCCTGGGTACTCAGGAAAGTGAGATCAACTTCTGGGTGGCCTTGGGTGTAGCTGACCTGTGCAAATAGGGGAGACAGTTGACATACAGATGAAAGGGGAGATGGGAAGCCATACAGAGGAAGGAGAAGATCAGGAACCAGAGATAAGATAATTCTGTAAATGGATACTAAATTGAAGTCTGGGCTTCCTGACAGCTCAATCAAAAAGTGAAACACAATTGGTTACATCACTCTTACTGTCTGAAAAAAGGAAGCAATATCAGCTCATGAGGAAATGTAATCTTTTCCCTCATGCTAAATTGTAAGTGAAATTTATTACATAGATCCTAAAAGACAGGATTCTGAGAAACAGAATGAGCAATGACTCCAATTGAGTTTTCAGAATATACAAAAAGGGTTTGTTTGTTTGTTTGTTTGTTTGTTTTTCTGTGATTACCCTCTAAGAAAGTCAGAACTGGTGGGAAGCAGTGGCTCACACCTGTAATCCCAGCACTTTGGGAGGCCGAGGCAGGCAAATGGCTTGAGCTCAGGAGTCCGAGACCGGCCTGGGCAACATGGTGAAACCCTGTCTCTACTAAAAATACAAAAAAAAAATTAGTCAGGCATCATTGTCATCCCAGCTACTCGGGAGGCTTAGGTAGGAGGATCACTTGTGCCCAGGAGGCAGAGGTGGAGGTTACAGTGAGCCGAGATGGCACCACTGCACTCCAGCCTAGGTGACAGAGCGAGAGACCCTGTCCCAAAAAAAAAAAAAAAAAAGAAGTCAGAACTCCAGTATTGAACCTTGGCTCAGTGCAAAAATTTTTATAAGGAATTAAGCTAATGTATTCTAAATATATTGGTTTCTAGTGATTTTTATTAATAAACGTGTACTCAGGAGTTTTCAACAGCCCAGAGCTGTTATGAAGCCTTCATATGTGGCTCCCTCAGGAGCTTCTGACAGCCTTAAGGAAAGAGTGGGGGTGGAAGCTAAGTTTGTGGTTAGGGGTAGAGGAAAGAATGGGAACAGACACACTCTACTTGTCACCCCACCCTCCTCTCCCCAAGCTAGAATCAGACAGTGGGAATTATGCACCCTGCCAAGAAGGCGCTTCCCAGCCACATCCCCAGTAAAGGAATAGAGGAAAACAGGATGTCACCAAGGGCCCACCCCAGGATAGGATCGTGAGAATGACTTGAGAGACTCCCTGATGGTATGGATCACCTTCTAATGAGGGCTACACTTTGGGTTAGTTTGCCTCTCCTCCAAAGGCAGGGAACAAATAATTAGATGACTCAAAACAGAGTTTCCATTTTTTTGTTTGTTTTATTTGAGGCCCAGGGGCTGTGGGTTGTTGATTAACACACATGTCCCTCTCCGTGCCCACCCATCCCCATCTCAGGTAACACCCCTAGGGCTTGGTGGCTAGCTGTGGCAAAATCATGGTGAGTCTGTAGATTATCAAAAATCTAAGCAGCAGGCCTGGGATGAGAGGTCAAGGCCAAAGGTACAAACCTCTGGCACGGGCTTTTGTCTTTTGTGTTTTCAATGGCAGTAGCTTCAATTTCCTTCCTGCTGGTGTGAAAAGGATGACTGGAGCAGGCAGGGCTGATCCAGGTGCAGGTGGGGAGGATCAAACAGCCTGCCCACTGCTCCCTCTCCTCTCCTCACTGGGGCTGAGGGAGTCTCCTGTGGGAGAGAGGGGGCCATCTTTCCTTCGTCCCCGAGGAGAGGTCAACCTGATTGTGCTGCCCTTGCTTGCCTAGGGCAGTTGCTTCTCGGGTTGGTAGATACTGGGCTTAGTGCTGGAATGTGGATACTGGACTCATTTCTGATTTTCTGGCTCTTCAGCAATGTTGACCCAGGCCCTCCCTATCACATGGGATTAGAGGAAGGAGGTTTAGGTAGAGTCATTTGTGGTTACTCAGCATCTGAACTCCCTTCACATGTTTAGGACATTTACCTTTTTATGAATCTTGGTGTCCTAAGAAAGAGCCCTAAGGACCAGATACTCTCTTATTTTATTTCATCTTATTTTATTTGAGACGGAGTCTTGCTTGGTCACCTAGGCTGGAGTGCAGTGGGGTGATCTCAGCTCACTGCAACCTCCACCTCCCGGGTTCAAGCAATTCTCCTGTCTCAGCCTCCTGAGTAGCTAGGGCTACAGGTGCCCACCATCACATCCGACTGATTTTTATATTTTTAGTAGAGATAAGGTTTCACCATATTGGTCAGGCTGGTCTCGAACTCCTGACCGTAGGTGATCACCCACCTTGGCTTCCCAAAGTGCTGGGATTACAGGCATGAGCCACCACGCCTGGCCCAGATACTCTCCTTTCTAGTCTCTTTTAAAGGTAGGATATGGACACATAACCGAGACTTGGCCAACAGGTGCAGCTGCTCCAGAAGGAATCAGAAATTACTGGCACCAACAAATACGGATCCCTTTTCACAGGAAACTGCAGGGCAGCAAAAATATACAAGCTCCCAGTGCAGTGGTGCTTATGGTGGTATCCAGTGTCTGCAGCTGAAGAGGGTGACAATGTAAGTTGTGGTCCAGCACTGGGCAGTGGCAACAGTGGTATCATCATCTTAGGCCCTGTGCTGTGATTGTACCTATAGCCTTGGCTGTGATCCTGAATTTCTGGTTCCTGTGTTTTTTGAGCCTATTTCTCTAGCCTTCCCAGTTTTTCTATGAGTTGCCCAATAGCATTTCAACAAATTATTTTTCTGTTTAAATCAATCAGAGTTGGTTTCTGTTGCTTGCAACTGAGAACCCTGATTCTGTCTAACTACAACTGGCTTCGGTCAGTCATTTGCAGATGCTTTTTCTCTTTCGCTGCCTGCATTCTTCATGCCTCTGCTCTCCTGGCAATTCCTCAAGTAATCCAGAAAAGGAGGAAAGAGCATGCAGAGAATTTGACCACAGCTGGGAAGTGAGCCAAGAGAACACTGAAGAACTTGACTATTAGATCTCCTACTTTGTTAGGTGGGGTGAATGCAATATTAATGAGACAGAAGGCTGTGAGCTGTCTGTCATTTTATTTTTTTATCTCTAACTTGGTTATACAATGATACAATTATTACCTATGGTACTTAAAGGCCTATGAAGGCATGGACCAAGTCTCCCTTGTTTGCCCCAGTATCTAGGTCATACTAGGTACTCAGTAAGTAGTAGTAGGGGATGATGATGGAAGTTTGAGAAACAGAATTCAGGGAAGAGAAGCTTAATATATCCTTAATGTCTTTAAAAAAAGAATTGTCTCATCTATGTGGGAGCTAAAGATTAAGGTCTGCAAGTCGAGCCAACACTGCGAATATGTGGTGGTGTTGATTGAGGAGCAAGAGCCTGGAGCTTTAGCCATCAGACATTCAAAAGCAGAAATGACATTCTCCCAGACAGACAGAGCCTAACTTGGGTCTAGCCCAGACAGGATGCCGGTCCATTTCTTCTTGGAAGGGGGCCCCAAGAATGCCTGCAAGCTGAATTGAGATGGATCTCCAAAAAGCATTTTGAATCAGTTTCAAATGCATTGGCAGTCTGGGGGAGTCAATGTGAGTCTAGATAACCAAGGGCAGGGTTTCAGCTCTCTTAAGCAGAAAATAACTTCAATGCATCTCTTTTTTTTTCTTTTTTTCTTTTTCTTTTTTTTTTTTTTTTGTTTTTCAGACAGAGTCTCACTCTGTCTCCCAGGCTGGAGTGCAGTGGTGCAATCTCAGCTCACTGCAATCTCCACCTCCCGGGTTCAAGCCATTCTCCTGCCTCAGCCTCCCAAGTAGGTGGGACTGTAGGCACCCACCACCACACCTGGCTAATTGCATCTCTTGTAGTAAGCTTAGTTTTGAGTAACACTCTCACCTGTCTCATCTGGATTTGGGTCCTTGAGGATGCATAGTTCCAAACTGACTCAGGTGCTAATTCTTGTTCATGGGATTAACTAATGAACCCTTACCTCAGGCAGGCCTCTTAATTACGTTGTTTAAGTTCTCATTTCCCAATTTTAAAATCCCTGGTTTCAAAATATAGGGTTTGAATTACTGTGCTCACCAATTTCTTATCTAAAATGTGACAATTCCTATTACTTCCCTTAAGGACAAGAGTATAGGCATGAGCCACCGCACCCGGCCTAGCAGTGGTAAATTTAAAAAAGGGAAAATAGGTCGAGTGCAGTGGCTCATGCCTGTAATCCTACCATTTTGGGAAGCCAACGTGGGCAGATCACTTGAGCCCAGGAGGTCGAGGCTGCCATGAGCCGAGATCACACCACTGCACTCCAGCCTAGGTGACAAAGTGAGATCCTGTCTCAAAAAAAAAAAAAAGATGGGAGGATGCTGACATCCTGTGACTTGTAAATACAATCTGACCTGGCACAATGGCTCACACCTCTAATCCCAGCACTTTGGGAGGCCGAGGCAGGCAGATCACATGAGGTCAGGAGTTCAAGACCAGCCTGCCAACATGGTGGAACCACGTCTCTACTAAAACAGGCATGCTGGTGTGTTTCTGTAGTCCCAGCTACTTGGGAGGCTGAGACATGAGAATCACTTGAACCCAAGAGGCAGAGGTTGCAGTGAGCCGAGACTGTGCCACTGCACTGCAGCCTGGGCAACAGAGCGAGACTCCATCTCAAAAAATAATAATAATAATTAAATTAAATAAACAAATAAATACAATCTATAACCAGTTGCAGAAACTGTAAACTGCTTTTTATGCTCAGCTTTCTTTGTTGCTGGAGCTGGATTGCCAGGGAACCTACTTCTAGCCCAGGCTTATCTTTAGATTCATATTGAACAGGAGAAGATGGTAAAGGGTAGCATGCCTCATACTGCCTGAGGCTGTTGGAGCAGAGAGCTATGAGATAGAACACACAGGCATATATTTTCTTTTAATTTTTTATGTACTTATTTATTTATTTTGAGATGGAGTCTCACTGTGTCACCAGGCTGGAGTGCAGTGGTGGGATCTCAGCTCACTGCAACCTCCACCTCCCCGGTTCAAGCAATTCTCCTGCCTCAGCCTCCCAAGTAATTGGGACTACAGGAGCACGCCACCACGCCCAGCTAATTTTTGTATTTTTAGTAGAGACGGTGTTTTACCATGTTGGCCAGGATGGTCTCAATCTCTTGACCTTGTGATCTGCTCGCCTTGGCCTCCCAAAGTGCTGGGATTACAGGCATGAGCCACCACGCCCAGCCACACAGGCATATATTTTAACTGTGCTGTCCAACTGGGTTTTAACATGTAGAATCTATGGCAAGTTGCTTTTGCTCAGTAAGGGTGCTGTGACTCTTTTTGTCCTGGGATTCAAGTGATAAGCAGATTTGAAGGTCATAAGTGACAGCAGACAGGATGGTCATCTTATTTCCTCTGCTTTCTCCCTGGAGAGGGGCCAGAGGACTCCAAAGAAAAGAGAGATGGGAATGGAAACAAACGAATCCCAGCAGGGGAGCAGGGAGGAGAGACGAAACGGCAGCCGACTTGAGAGCTCAGCTGCCAGCCAAAATCTGATGCTCTGCATTGCTCTGCATAAAGGAGCCCAGGCTTCCCAAATCCAGGCGCCCCAACATGATTGCAAAAGCCACACCCATCAGCCCACAGAAAGCCAACACTGCTGCAGAACCAGTGAGACACCTTGGGAGGCTGCCCGAGTTTCTGGAGATATCTGTGTAAAAGCTGCTTTCCTCCCTGGTGGATGCTTGAACCCCAGCAAGTGGTGGCGGACGGGACCCAGAGCTGCCATACCAAGATGGAAAAAAAAATTTTTAAGGAAAAGTTAATTTCAAGAATTATGTTCTCAGTTTTGTTGTAGGGCTAGTTGCCAATTCCTTTTCCCACTGGCAGCAGGCAGGGCTGACTGAGCCAGCACACAGAGGCTTCTCAATGAGCTTTGATGTCAACAAAGGTAGGCAGGGCAGGCCCCGGTGGAAAATTGTGAAGTCAGCAGAGTTATCTCCGGCACTCCTCCCTTCCCCTTGCTTCCCCTTTCTCCGCCCATTTCCCCCTCTCTCGGCTTCCAGCTTCTCATTTCCCAGGGGACCCTGTAATGTACGAAAACCCGATGTCATAAGATACGAGGGGCCGGCTTGTGGCTCCAGCTATCAAAGTCTGCTTTTTCTTCCCAAGTCTAAAACAAACAAAGGCATGCATTCCATACATTTCCTAAGAAAAGAGAGGGCACACAGAAACGTTGTCCTTCGTGTTCTCTCAGTTAAACCCCAAGAGTTTGGAGCCTCAAGTTTAAAGCTGTCCTCTTGCCTCCTGGGGTTTTAAGAAGATTCAAAAGTGCCTCAAACCAATACAGCTGCTTGGTTTATGGCTCAAATTTAAACCACAAATTATAAAATGATAAATTGCTGCTCAAGTCTCTTCCAGGAAAGACTATATTTTCAGATTAAGTTACAACCTCATGGACGTATGAGTGAGTCTAGCTGCTGACTAACTCTCACACTCATTTTCCCGCTGGAGATTTTTTTTTTTCTTCATGAACATTCACTGTTTCTAAATGCTTTAAACAAAGAAAATGACCGAAGGCAGGAAAAACATCAGGGACTTCTTAACCCATGGAGCTTTGTGCTTTATTATGTAATGGCTATTTTTATTTTATGAGAATCAAAGGAAGTTTAAGAAATATCTTTGTTCTTGAGCACTTACAGTAAGAAAGGGCTTCATGGGGGCGGCTACACGCACTTCAAACACTAGCTGGCATGTGAAGTGTGTAGTAAGTCAAAGCTGTTTTAGGGAATTTGGATGTTAAAGGATCTGTTCAGTGATTTGGGCAGGATTGCAACATCAATTACTGCATTTTGTTCCCATAAAAATAAATTCTTTGGAATTCTCTTATAGGGTCTGGTCCAGCAACAGAGAAGTATGACAGGTAATTAGGGTGCATGCATGCTTTGTTGTAATGAGTTCCCTGCCAGAGCTTTGGCAGGCAGGAGGTTAGGAGGAGAGATGAAATATGGACTTGTTTGAGGCAGCCATCTTGCCTCGCTGCAGGCTCCGTCACACAGACCTCATTTTGATCACCTGTGGCTGCAGGAGGCAGCTCCATAGTCCATCCTGCAGAGTACCTTGGTTATACAACTATGACCTGGTTTCTCCAACGCCACTCCAGCCTTGAGGACCATGAGGCTGTGAGTCATAATCACCGTAGCATTTACTCCTAAATTCAACTCCTGCTTACTTTCCTCCTTGACTTTCCGTCCTCCCTTTCTTGGGCCACTCAGGTCCTTTTCTGATGTCATTTCACGCTATAGAGGCCCCCTGTAGCCACTGCAGGCCCCGCCATGGCTGCTCCTCTCTGCTTGTCTTGAAGTCTGTCCTCATTGCTGCTGCTTTTTCTGGGATACTTCAAATTGTGGAGAGAGTTCTTTTCCTGTGATTATAGCTCTTTCTTCCAATTTTGACTAGTCTGGCGTCTCTGTGATTATAGCTCATTAGGACTCCCAAGGCTAGAGAGGGCACTTAAAAAAAAAACAGTTGCCTTGTTTTTATTTTTTAAGATAACATTTATTATAACTTACTTTTGCAGAGCACTGTGAAAAAGAAAGTAATAATGGTCATTAATCCCACAGTCCAGATAACCCCTAACAGTATTTTTAAAAATAAAAGTAATACATACACAGGGGAAGAAAATTAAAACAGTAAAAAAAGGTATAAAAGGAAAAATACCTCTTCTGCCCTGAGTTTTTCCCCTAAAATATAACCAGTGTTACTATTTTTTTTGTGTGCATCCTTATTATGACATAGTTATGTATGTCCTCTAACAAAATTTTCCATGAGGGAGATCTTACTGTATTAATCATTCTGCATCTCATTATTTTCACCTTAAACACCATCTCAGAGATCTTTCAAACACGAGCTGCAGATATACTCTCTCTTTTTTTTTTTTTTTTTTTTGAGACAGTCTCTGTCGCCCAGGCTAGAGCGCAGTGGCGCGATCTTGGCTCTGCGACCTCTATCTCTCGGGTTCAAACAGTTCTCTGCCTCAGCCTCCTGAGTAGCTGGGATTACAGGTGCCTGTCACCACGCCCAGCTAATTTTTGTATTTTTAGTAGAGACGGGGTTTCACCATCTTGGCCAGGCTGGTCTTGAACTCCTGACCTCGTGATCCACCCACCTCAGCTTCCCAAAGTGCTGGGACTATAGGTGTGAGCCACAGTGCCCAGCCATACTCTCTACTTTTAATGTCTGCACAATCTTTGTTAGGAGAGAATGTGCCTTCCAAGTGAAAGGCACTCAGCTAACGTCATTCCTGGCCCCTTTCTGTCCCTTTACTTCCACCACCCCTTGAGTGCAGAGTGATTTATCTGATTATATAAATTGAACCTTTCAGGTTCAATTCTGCCCTTTTCTTCTTAGGATGGAGTTGCCTACCACTCCCCCAGAAGTGGGCAGAACTGGAGAATGTCTATCCAATTCGGGGTTTCCATAGTAGGAAGCCTATTTGTCTCTCAGTATGAGATAACACATGGTGCAGCATGCAAATTAGCCTTCATCAGAGAGATTTCTGCCTTCATCTGTCGTTTTCTCAGTTTGTTCAGATTCTGAACAGGGAAGAAGGCTGCTATGTATTGGGCCTTTTCAGAGTCCTCACATGTTATTCCTTATTTGTATGTATCAAAATGTATTTAATCAGTTTCCTTTTTTTTTTTTTTTCGAGACAAGGTCTTGCTTTGTCGCCCAGGCTGGAGTGCAGTGGCACAGTCTTGGCTCACTGCAGCCTCGACTTCCCAGGCTCAAATGATCCTCCCACCTCAGCCTCCCAAGTAGCTGGGACTACAGGCACATGTCACCCTACTCAGCTAATTTTTTTTGCCCAGGCTGGTCTTGAACTGCTGGGCTCAAGTGATCTGCCTGTCTCATCCTCCCAAAGTGCTGAGACTACAGGAGTGAGCCACCACACCCAACCAATCAGTTTCCTAATGATGGATGTTTAGGTGGTTTCCAGTTCATTGCTAGAACAAATAACACCTCAGTGAATATCTTTAAACGTATATCTTGGTAAACTTTTTGCAATCACATCAAAAAGTAGATTCCTGACCGGGCACAGTGGCTTACGCCTGTAATCCCAGCACTTTGGGAGGCTGAGGCTGGTAGATCACAAGGTCAGGAGTTCAAGACCAGCCTGGCCTAAATGGTGAAACCCTGTCTCTACTAAAAATAAATAAATAAATAAAAAATAAAAAGTAGATTCCTTACAGATATTGCTAGACCAAAGATGTGTCTTAGTGTCCCAAATAAAGATGGGAGAAAAAGATTACCCTCAACCTTAATATAAGTTGAAAAGGGGGTGCCTAGATAATATACTAATAATTATAATGGCAATAATTAACATTGATTTATTTCTTACTGTATGCCAGGTTCTGTGCTAAGCACTTTATGTATACTAATATTTTTAAATCCTCATAACAGCGTTATGAGAGTGACTATTATTATCTCAGGTGTTTTTTTTTTCTTTTTTTTTTTTTTTTTTGAGACGGAGTCTTGCTCTGGCCCCCAGGCTAGAGTGCAGTGGTGCAATCTCGGCTCACTGCAAGCTCCACCTCCTGGGTTCATGCCATTCTCCTGCCTCAGCCTCCCGAGTAGCTGGGACTACAGGCGCCCGCCACCACGCCCAGCTAATTTTTTGTATTTTTAGTAGAGACGGGGTTTCACCGTGTTAGCCAGGATGGTCTCGATCCCCTGACCTGGTGATCCACTCGCCTCAGCCTCCCAAAGTGCTGGGATTACAGGCGTGAGCCACTGCGCCTGGCCTATTATCTCAATTTTTTATAGTTGAGGATACAGAGATCAAAACTGTCAAATAACTAGCCCAAGATCACACAGCTAGTAACTAGCAGAGATGGAATTCAAGTCCATGTTTGTGCAATTTGAGAATTTATACCTCTAAGCACCAGACTAAAGGGTGTTCCCCATGGCACAGGGTGGTTAGTAGTCTGGTCTAGAATTTGAAAATGTGTGACGACCATTGGCTCAGATCTCAGCTCCCACATGCGTGTGTGTGTGTGTGTGTGTGTGTGTGTGTGTGTGTGTGTGTCTGTGTGTGTGTAATAATGATTAAGAACACAGAATCTGCAGTCAGACTATATGGGTTCAAATCCCACCTTTGTCTCTTATCAACTGTGGAATGACTACCTTAGTTTCCTCATCTGCAAAATGGAGACTTTTAAGAAGATTAGGTTATTTAATATTTGTAAAACACTAAGGAACACTGCCTGACATCAAGTAAATTTTTCATAAGTGTTTGTTATTCATTTATTTTACAATTATTTTTAATTCTAAAAGCAATATACAAATTCATATTTGTATAATACTCAATAATTCAAACAATATTCAGATATATATAATAATAAATGAAAGTCCCCCTCACCTTAAGCTTCTGCCACCACCTGACGCCACTGATTCCCATTCTTCCCTTTATAGATTAATGGTTAGTGTCTATGCCTTCAGACCTTGTTGTTTTTAACATGCATTTTTCTTTTTACGTATGTAGTTTTATTTGTACACAACTGAGATTATTCTACTGGGAGAGTAGCTTAGCATAGTGATTAATAAATGGACACTGGCGCAACTTTGTCTGAATTCAAGTCCCAGCTCATCTATCTACCCACTGTGTGACCTGAGACAAGTACCCTAACCTCTGAGACTCAGTTTTCTCATTAATTTCCACAATGAAAAATGACAAGTACCTGACTTATTATGGAGATTAAATGAGTTAATATACGTAGAGCTCTTAAAACAGTGCCCGACACAAAAAATATTCAGTAAATGTTAGTTCTTATAATTACTCCTACATGTGCTGTACTGGGACTTGCTCTGTCTCTTTAACAATATATCTTACAGGTTATCCCACAACAGCATATATAAAAATGCCTCATTTAAAAGCGGCTATAGGACAAGCAGGGTGGCTCATGCCTGTAATCCCAGAACTTTGGGAGGCTGAGGTGGGTGGACTGCTTTGAGCTCAGGAGTTCAAGACCAGCCTAGGCAACATGGTGAAACCTTGTCTCTCAAAAAAAATAAATAAACAAACAAACAAACAAACAAATTAGCCAGGCATGGTGGCACACACTGTAATCCCAGCTACTTGGGAGGCTGAGGCTGGAGAATCACTTAAACCTGGGAGGTGGAAGTTGCAGTGAGCCAAGATGGTGCCACGCACTCCAGCCTGAGTGACCCAGTAAGACCCTGTCTCAAGATTTAAAAAAAAAAAAAAAAAGTGGCTACATAGTGTTTCATAGTACAACCATATTGCAGTTTATTTAGATTTGCCCCAATTTGGGTTGTTTCTAGCATTTGTATTCTTTCTCATGTGAGAATGTAGAATTCTAGAGTGAATACCAGTCATCAGTATATTCCACTTTATTTAACAAACATATATGTCACTTACTACATGTCAATTTCCTAATCATCTTACTCATTTAATACTTATATTAACTCTATTAAAGTAGGGGCTATTTAATCCCTATATAACAGATGGGGAAATTGAGGCACTGGGTAGTTAAGTAACCTGCCCAGGATAGCATGGCCAGGAAGCTGGGGACTGGGATTCCAACCCAGGCAGTCTGGCTCCTGAGTCCATGCTCTTCACCACCACACTCAGAACCTCTCTTCTGTGTTCTAAAATCTGTGGCCTGCACTTCATTAGAACCCCAAGCCTCATCTCATCACAGTTTGCACCTATACTGTGGATGGGAATTCACCGTCTTTGGAATACACTTAGGAATATACAAGTAATGTAAGGGATAACATGATTGCTAAACCAACCTGATTCTTTGAACTACCAGAAGCGAGCCTGTCTAAGGACTGCTCCTGACAACAGCCAGCCAGCATTGAGAAAGCTCTTCAGCGATGATACCAGCACGTTCCTCCAGAGGCCCCGGGTCTGGTCTCTCAACTGTGCTTCTGTGCCACGCTGGCCCACTGAGCAAACTCACAATGCAGGGCAGCAGACAGCCTTAAAATAAACAAACATGTTTTTGTTGTGCCTGGTTAGGGAACAGTATCTATCCAATTAGGTAGTAGAAAACTCATGTAAATAATCTGTCCTTTTTTTTCAATTCCTGCTATGTGGGAGTCTTTCACAACTGACTTGGCCAACTCAAATTCCTAAAATGCTAAGGTTCAGAAAGTCTGGTCAAAATTTGCTAGTAAAATATGAAACTCTGTCTTCTCTGTCCTCTATCCCCCACCCCTACCCTCAAGCTACTTTAGCTTTCAAACATGTATGAAATGCTTTTTTCTTTAAAGATATGGGTGAGCTATTTCTTTTGGAGTATGTCCAGATGATCTGGCAAATGCACACTTGGCATTAGCCACAGGGAAGCACATTAAAAAAAAAAAACCAGAGGAGCAACAAATAAAATTAGGGCAGACTATGGGCCTACCCTTCATACAAATCAGAACATCTTTCCAAGTGGAAAACTTCATGAAACTCGGTGGGTTTAATTTTTTTTTCTTTTGCTTTGTTAATGGAAAAATATACATTCACAGACACATGTAATTTAATATTCTGGAAAGTTCTGACATTAATGATAAGAGTTTACATTTTAATTTCAAATATTATTGCTCATTCTAACATATTAAAACCTGCATTTTTCCTTTTATAAATATACTTCTATCTCTGGGTTGTGTCCTTATGAAAAGAAGTACCGAAAGCCAGTCTTTCACTCATCCCAAAGCTTAACTTTTGGCTCAAGGAGCTTCCTATCCTGTTCCAGCTGTGACATGTTGAAAGTAGACTTGGAAATTGTGGACAATTTGCTATACTCTATGAATCTTTGCTGTGGTTCTACTCCTTTGCATTTTAGGAAATAAGGTAGGAGACAGGGAGTTGTATCAGGCCATTCTTGCATTGCTATAAAGAAATACCTGAGACTGGGTAACTTATAAAGAAAACAGGTTTAATTAGCTCATGGTTCTGCAGGCTTTAAAGGAAACATCATGCTGGCATCTGCTGGGCTTCTGGTAAAGTCTCAGGGAGCTTTCAATCATGGCAGAAGACAAAGCGAGAGCAGGCACTTCACATGGCAAAAGCAGGAGGAAGAGAGAAAGAGAGAGAGTGGGAGGGTGGTGCCACACACTTTTACATAACCAGATCTCACAAGAACTCACTATCAGGAAGACAGCATCAGGCTATGAGGGATCCACCCTCATGATCCAAACACCTCCCACCAGGTACTACCTCCAGCATTGGGGATTACAATTTAATATAAGATTTGGGTGGGGACAAATATCCAAAACTGTATCAAGAGGGAATCATGGGGAGAGGCTCTGATAGGAACAGGGAATGGGTCCTGTTCAGGGACTCCTTTCTACTTTTACTGTTCACATCATCCAAAGGGACAAACTGCCTTTACAACATATGTTTAATCCAACTCCTCTCACAGAGAGATAGTTGAGCAAGGTGTAGACTGGTTTGGGATGGAACAATAGGCTAGTCTTACCCTTGATCACAGCACATAAAGCTGGATATTGAATACAGGAAACGATGTAGCAGCAGATTATTAAGACCAAAGACAGGCCAGGCACGGTGGCTCACACCTGTAATCCCAGCACTTTGGGAGGCAGAGGCAGGCGGATCACCTGAGGTCAGGAGTTCAAGACCAGTCTGGACAACATGGTGAAACCGTCTCTACAAAAAATACAAAAATTAGCCAGACGCAGTGGCACTTGCCTGTAGTCCCAGCTACTCGGGAGGCTGAGGCAGGAGAATCACTTGAACCTGGGAGGCAGAGGTTGCAGAGAGCCAAGATAGCACCACAACCTCGGCAACAGAGTAAGACTGTCCCCCACACCCTCCCCCCGACAAAAAAAAACCAAAGACCAAAGACAGACGTTGATTGCAAAAGAGTTGATCCATTTTTTTTTAATTAAAATATCAATCAATCGGCCAAGCATGATGGCTCACGCCTGTAATCCCAGCACTTTGGGAGGCCGAGGCAGGTGGATCACCTGAGGTCAGGAGTTTGAGACCGGCCTGAAACAACATATAGTGAAACTCCATCTCTACTAAAAAATACAAAAATTACCTGGGTGTGGTGGCACATACCTGTAGTCCCAGCTATTTGGGACACTGAGGCAGGAGAATCGCTTGAACCCGGGAGGCAGAGGTTGCAGTAAGCCGAGATCACTCCACTCTACTCTAGCCTGGGCGACAGAGCGAAATTCCGTCTCTCAAAAATACAAAACAAAACAAAATATCAATCAATCACACACAAAAAAAATCAATCACCATGCCCTCCTGGCCCCTGTTAAAGAAGTAGACTCAGTAGCCATGTTTTGTACCATGAGATCTAGCTCTCTGGACTCATGAATGATTGGATCAGGGTGGGCACCTGATTTAAGAGCAACCAAACCATAGATTGGCTAGATTCCCATGACCTGTAATCAGATATGAAAAGATACATTGGACCCATCAGAGCTTCTCTCTCAGAAGAATGGCATGAAAGTAGAGAAATTACCAGTTCATAGCAGGACAGAAATGAGTATGGCTGAACTATAGCTATACTGATGAAATACAGTGAAGACTTACAAATTTGTAATTGGTAAAGTGTACAGCCACCTCAAATTGAGAACTAGCTTTTAGCACTAGTTTCTCTGAAGCTAGCCCTTTATGGTTTTTGTTCTTGGGTTTCCAAAAGCTTCCATTATCTTATCATGTATTTTTCTGAATGTTCTTATACTTGAGCTAACTGGAATGAGTATCTGATACTTGCAGCCAAAATAAAGCCAAACTAAAGCATTATCAAATAGGCAAGCAAAAATGGAGCCAAAATAAAGGAGACTGAGGAATCGGGAAAGTCTAAACCAGAAGTAATACAAGTGGGTGACTTTGTTAAGGCTCATGAGGTTGCAAATAATGTTACTAAAATCAATTCAAGTCGATGAAAGAAGAAGGAAAAAAAGGAATTCATATATTCATGTGGAGGATACTGAAGTAGCTCAAGGACAGCCAGGACTCTTAAACATTAGTTCCAGACAGTTCCTCAAACTGTTAATCATAAAGTTATTACCATATGACCCAGCAATTCCACTCCTATGAAAGCATATGTGCACACAAAATGTACACCAATGTTCTTGGCAGCATTACTCATGATAGGCAAAAGGTAGAAACAACTCAAATTCCCACAAAGTGATAACCAGATAAACAAACTGTGGTGTGTCCATATGATGGAATATTATTCGGTTATAAAAAGAAATGAAGTTCTGATACATACTACAAAATGGGTTAACCTTGAAAAACTTACTGCTAAGTGAAAGAACCCAGACACAGAGGGCCACATATTGTATGACTGATTCCATTTATATGAAATGTCCAGAATAAACAAATCCATATAGACAGAAAGTAGATTAATGATTGCCAGGGGCTGGGTAGAATGGGGAATGGTGGGCAGTGACTGCTAGTGAGCTCAGAGTTTCTTGTGGAGGGATGAAAATGTTCTAGAATTAGATCGTGGTGATGCATAACTCTATACTAAAACCCACGGAACTGTACACTTTGAAAAGTTGAATTTTATGTCATGTGAATTATATTTCAATAAAGCTGTTATTATAAAAATTTTTATATATATAATTTTTATAATTATATATACATATATAACAAAACAAACAAAAAACGAATGTCACAAAGTGGAAAGCCAGAAAGAAACCACACAAGACTTTCTCACACTCTCTCTCCTCTCTGTGTCCCTGTGGACACCTGTTTCATTCTTGTCACTCTACAAATCTTAGCTTTTACATGCACATGGTAGACAGATGATGGCTACCCCACCATTCAAAATTTACATGTTGTGATAGAGACTGACTAGATGGTCACCTACCCATTTTCTCTTCTTTCTGGGCATACAACTGGACTGTGTTTCCCAGCATCCCTTCCTGTCAGGTAGGGCCATGTGATGAACTGTGGCCAGTAGAATGGGGGCATGGTGCATACTATTTCAGGTCTAACCCATTTAAAAAATCTCCTGTGCACCTCTTCAGCCTCTCCCTCTTCCCTTGACTAAGGTCTTAGAAAATAGTGAAGCCACTAGATGGAAGGAACCTGGGCACTTAGTAAAATTTATGGAGCATAGCATTTCCCTCATCTCCATCCTCCATTGGCCTACATTAAAGCATGATATGGTTGAGAAATAAACTGAAGCCGTTGAGATTTGGAGATCGTTTGTTATAGCAGTTAACCTTCTCTGACCAATACATATGTATCCTCTGTATAGGAGACTAACTCAGATTGACTGGGTTAATCTCAATTCTAATTTGAAATCCTCAAGTGAGAAAATCATATTATCTCAAACGGTGTCAGATGGTTTCCTAGTTCAGTCAACTGACATCAAGGAATGAGGTTACAGGGCATAGATACAGTCTCCTAGGGGCCTATCCATGTAAGTCAACAGCATTTCTTAGAGGAAAGATGTCTACTATAGTGGTTAAATATTAGGGGTCATTATGAATTAGAGAGATGAAGGTACAATGCCTAGTGCGCGCGCGCGCGCGCACACACACACACACACACACACACACACACACACACACATGCTCTAGTTCCTAATTCTAAAGTTCCTTGTAGGCAATTTGAAAAATACAAAAAAAATTGTCACCATTTGTTAGCACTTCCTTTCCTCCTTAATTCCCATTTTTTTGCTTCCTCCCGTCTTTCGAGGCAATAAAGTGTAGTAGATAAGAGAGGCTAAATCCCTAGAATGACATGACCTGGTGTATGTTTGTTTCCACACTGCTATAAATAAATACCCAAGACTGGGTAAATTATAAAGGAAAGAGGTTTCATTAACATATAGTTCCACATGGCTGGGGAGGCCTCAGAAAACTTACAATCATGGTGAAAGGAGAAGGGGAAGCAAGGACCTTCTTCACTTGGAGGCAGGAGAGAGAAGTGTGAGGAGTGAAGGGGGAAGAACCCCTTATAAAACCATCAGATCTCATGAGAACTCACTCACTATTGTGAGAACAGCATGGGGAAACTGCCCTCATGATCCAATCACCTTCCAGTGGGCCCCTCCCTTGACACATGTGGATTATGGGAATTACATTTCAAGAAGAGATTTGGGTGCGGACACTGCCAAACCACATTACCTGGATATAGCCTACCTTTACCATTTTTCTGGATCTGTGGCTTTGGGGAAAAGTACTGAATTGCTGTCTGTCTTAATTTTTTCATCCATATGGTTAATGATAGCACTTACCAGAGGGTTCTCATGAAGATTAAGTGAGTTAATACGTGTCCAGTGCTTAGTATAGTGCCTGGTTCATAGTAAGTACTTACTGTTAGCTGTTATTATGTATCTGAAACTGCATTCCAGTGTTTCTGCATCCTTTCTTGAATATTCTAAGGATGGAAGATTACTTTGTCTTTAGGGGAAACTCTTTTTATTTTATTAATTTATTTTTTTTTTTTGACAGTGTCTCGCTCTTTCGCCCAGGCTGGAGTGCAGTAGTGCCATCTCGGCTCACTGCAACCTCTGCCTCCCAGGTTCAAGCTATTCTCCTGCCTCAGCCTCCTGAGTAGCTGGGATTACAGGCGGGTGCCACCACACCCAGCTAATTTTTGTATTTTTGGTAGAGACAGGGTTTCACCATGCTGGTCAGGATGGTCTCGAACTCCTGACCTCATGATCTGCCCACCTCAGCCTCCCAAAGTGCTGGGATTACAGGTGTGAGCCACCGTGCCCGGTCTATTCTATTCTATTCTATTATTTATTTATTTTTGAGACAGAGTCTCACTCTGTCACCCAGGCTGGAGTGCAGTGGTACAATCTTGGCTCACTGCAACCTCCGCCTCCTGGGCTTAAGTAATTCTCCTGTCTCAGCCTTCCTAGTAGCTGAGAATATAGGCATGTGTCACCATGCCCGGCTAATTTTTATATTTTTAGTAGAGACAGGGTTTCACCATGTTGGCCAAGTTGGTCTTGAACTCTTGTCCTCAAATGATCCACCATCCTCGGCCTCCCAAAGTGCCGGGATTACAGCCATAAGCCACTGCTCCAGGCCAGGGGCAACTCTTTTTAAATTCTTGAGGACCCAAAGGAAATAACAAACAACTGTGCTTGGAAGTCCCTGAACCAGTGGAGTAATCCAAATGCAAATGTTTTAGATGAAGACACTGAGGTTTCCGTTTAACAATGCAAAAAGCCATTTTTATTGGGAGCAGGTATAGCTGTCCAGACTATCGAGTTTCCTCTGCTGATGGTCAGAAACAAGAACTCCTATTGAGTCAATAGGAGGAGATGCCCTCTGGGAGGGTGAGGCAAACCTTTGCACAACTGTGGCAGGCTGAAAACAAAGGAGTGGGCCTGTGGTGGAGAGTCCCTGGAAAGAGGCTTACAGGGAACTTTAGGAGCAAATGATATCTAATGTTCAGTGTTAAAGTTTTTTCCTGCACTGTAATTCTCTATGTAATCCTTGAGACTTTGTAAGGTTTGTTAAAATTGTAGCCAGATGATAGAGAATGACAGTCAGCTGGAAAAGCCATTTTGAGACATGTGAGAAGTGATTGGGGAAGGAGGCTGGGGCAATGCTGTGGAGTGCATAGGGATCAGGTAACAGGATGAGTTGGGGAATATGCAGACATGTGTTGGAGGGTCTCAGAAATACCCAGAGAGGGGACTGGACTGCTGTGACCGTAGAGAATGAAGAGAAGAGTTACGGCATATGAAAGTACATAAATCCAGTGAGGCTGGGAAAGCTGGAGGATCTCTCTCTCTCTCTCTCTCTCTCTCTCTCTCTCTCTCTCTCCATACATGAATCTTGTGTTTGTGTATATGTGTAGAATATATATCGACATTGGGTTTATAGGATATGTAGATAGTTTTTCACCTTGTTTTTCACTTAACTTTATATCATGAGCCTTTCTTAATTTTTTTTTTTTTTTTGAGACGGAGCCTGGCTCTGTCGCCCAGGCTGGAGGGCAGTGGCGCGATCTCAGCTCACTGCAACCTCCGCCTCCCGGGTTCACGCCATTCTCCTGCCTCAGCCTCCTGAGTAGCTGGGACTATAGGCACGCACCACCATGCCCAGCTAATTTTTGTATTTTTAGTAGAGACGGGGTTTCACCATGTTGGCCAGGATGGTCTCGATCTCTTGACCTTGTGATCCGCCTACCTCGGCTTCCCAAAGTGCTGGGATTACAGGCATGAGCCACCACGCCCGGCTCTTAATATTCTTTAATATTGTTCAAGTATATAATGAATAATGGCCTCAATAACCTATTGTATGATTATGCTATAATTTATTTAGCTGAGGTCAATTATGGGACATTTAGATTTTTTGCAGTTTTTCACTTTTATAAATAATACTTGCAGAGAATATTCTTACCTATTCTTTGCATATTAAATAACTCATTTTTTGAGTTCTCAGAAGTGTATATTCTATGGCAAATGGTATGAACAATTTTAAGGCTTTTGGTAGATTAACAAATTGCTGGCTAGAAAGATCATACCTAGGGCCAGGCGCACGCCTGTAATTCCAGCACTTTGGGAGGCTGAGGCCAGTGGATCACCTAAGCTCAGGAGTTCAAGAGCAGCCTGGGCAACAACATGGTGAAACCCCGTCTCTACCAAAAAAAAAAAAAAAAATAGCCAGGAGTGGTGGTGTGCACCTGTGGTCCTTGCTGCTCTGGAGGTTGAGGTGGGAGGATCGCTTGAGCCTGGGAGGCAGAGGTTGCAGTAAGCCGAGATTGTGCCACTGCACTCCAACCTGGATGACAGAGTGAGACCCCGTATAAAAAAAAAAAAAGAAAGAAAGATCATACCCTTGAAGGACTCCATAAGCACCCCCAGCCTCCCACCCTGAAATTATATAGGCATACATTTCATCATATCATGGGGTTACTTGCAGATTTTGGGGGATGAGGTGTGCTCATTTAAAGAAAATGAACATAGTCTGGCATGCTGGTGCCTGTCTGCAGTTCCAGCTACTCAAGAGGCTGAGGTGGGAGGATCGCTTGAGCCCAGGAATTCGAGGCTGCAGTGAGCCATGATCACACCACTGCACTTGAGCCTCGGTGACACGGGAGAGACCTTGTATCCAAAGAGAGAGGGAGAGAGAGAGAAAGGCTGAATATGATGGACACAGGAAGGCATTTGCTTAGTTACCAAGAGGTTCCACTAACAAAATATACCTCAGTTTTCATGTCAGAAGAACTGCTTTTATTTACTTGCACGATAGTCTCTCTTTAGCAGTTTTGGCAGCAGAGAAACATCAGTATCTCTTTTTTTTTTTTTTTTTTTTTTTTTTGAAACGGAGTCTCGCTCTGTCACCCAGGCTGGAGTTCAGTGGCGCGATCTCGGCTCACTGCCAGCTCCGCTTCCCGGGTTCACGCCATTCTCCTGCCTCAGCCTCCCAAGTAGCTAGGACTACAGGCGCCTGCCACCACGCCCGGCTAATTTTTTTGTACTTTTAGTAGAGACGGGGTTTCACCATGTTAGCCAGGATGGTCTCGATCTCCTGACCTCGTGATCCACCCGCCTCGGCCTCCCAAAGTGCTGGGATTACAGGCTTGAACCACCACGCCAGGCCATCAGTATTTCTTATAAAGAGAGCTCTCTAGCTTTCCTCACAATGAGCTAATTCTTAATTCTACCTTTTCTACTTTGGAGGCGAGGTGAAATAATCCATTCTTTGGTGTCATGATCGAGGGAAAACCTTCTCTCCAACTCTCAAATTTACCCCTACAAGTAGGTATCCTGGCTCAAGCTAAATGCCTACTAGGCTTACATAACATATTATAGTGACCATGACCTTATGTTAAATGCAATGGAATTGAAACCCAGAACTAGTGTTCTCACTAATAGTTTCTACCTTATATAGAGTAAATGTCATCATGGAAATATCAAAGGGGAAATGTGATGGGGGCAGGGAGACCATTTATAGGACTGGGCTGACATGGAATGATGTCCACTAGAACATGAAGGGTTTCAAGGCCGAGTGGATGTCACAGCCATGAGATGAATGTTGCAAGTGATATGTTCATACTCACACCAGCTGTCCTGGCTCTCCCTTAAGTGCATATCTCAGTTCAGGGATAACCATGAGCAGCTCAGAGCCCTCAGCACCCCAGGTGGGCAGGAATGCGTAGAGCACGGGCCACTTTGAAACCTCTACCCTGTTCCTGACCCTATTCCCACATGGGGAAAGTATGGGTCAGGGAAAGCATCTATGCAAGCTGTTCAATGAGCATGTTTTAGGCGTAGCAGTTTTTCTCTGACTTCATTAACTCATGGGAAGTAATTCTCTAGAAGTACATTAGAGCTCTTTTACTTGTTATAAACAACACTGTTGCTGACTACCAAAGTAATGCAGTACAGTGTAGAAATAGAAAAAGGAATAAAAGTCATCCACAATCCCAGAACCCAGAGATAACCACCATTAACATTTTAGTAAATGTTTTTATTCATTTATCCATAGATCTATAGACACATGGTCATCTCTTTTGTAATTCTGAGATCATACAGTAGTACTATTTTGTAATCTCCTCTTTTCATTTAACAAAATGTGAACATTTTCCCACATCATTAACCATTTTTACAATATGTGGTTTTTTTTGTTTTGTTTTGTTTTTTGAGACGGAGTCTCTCTCTGTCACCCAGGCTGGAGTGCAGTGGTGCAATCTCGACTCACTGCAACCTCCACCTGCCAGGTTTAAGTGATTCTTCTGCCTCAGCCTCCTAAGTAGCTGGGATTACAGGCATGAGCCACCACGCCCGGCCTACACTATGATTTTTACAGCTGCATAGTATACTAACCTATGGAGGTAGCATTAATTATTTAATCATGACCATCTGAGTGTACCTGTAAGTTGTTTATGTTATTGCACCATTAAAAATAATATTGTGAGAAGACTTACTGTTAGACAAATCTTTGAATATGGCTCTGATTATTTCCCTTGGGCTAATTCCTTAGTGTGAAATTGCTTAGTTAAAGGTAGTCACATTTTGGAGCTTTCGATAAACGTACTAACTTGCTCTCCAGAAATGTAGAATATTTCACACACCTGTATATGAGAGTACCTGTTTAACTGTCTTCTCATCTATACTAAAGAATTTTTTCTTTGTTTGTTTGTTTCGAGACAAAGTCTCGCTCTGTCGCCGAGGCTGGAGCGCAGTGGCACGATCTCGGTTCACTACCACCTCCGCCTCCTGGGTTCAAGCGATTCAGCTGCCTCAGCCTCCCGAGTAGCTGGGACTACAGGCACATGTCACCACGCTCAGCTAATTATTATTATTATTATTATTATTATTATTATTATTATTATTGGTATTTTTAGTACAGACGGGGTTTCACCGTGTTACCCAGGATGGTCTCAATCTCCTGACCTCGTCATCTGCCCGCCTCGGCCTCCCAAAGCGCTAGGATTATAGGAGTGAGCCACCGTGCCTGGCCAAGAATTTTTTTAAAAAACACCTCTTACCAGGCACAAAAAGACAAACTGCATGTTCTCACTTATTTGTGGAATCTAAAAATAAAAACAATTGAACTCATGGAGATAGAGAGTAGAAGGATGGTTACCAGAGATTGGGAAGGGTAGTGGGAGAGGTAAGGGTGAGGTGGGGATGGTTAATGAGTACAAGAAGAAAAACCAGAATGAATAAGACCTAGTATGTTATACCACAAGGTGACTATAGTGACTAATAACTTAATTGTACATTTTTATATAACTAAAAGATTCATGCCTGTAATCCCAGCACTTTGGGAGGCCGAGGCGGGCAGATCACGAGGTCAGGAGATTGAGACCATCCTGGCTAACACGGTGAAACCCCGTCTCTACTAAAAACACAAAAAATTAGCCGGGCGTGGTGGCGGGCGTCTATAATCCCAGCTACTTGGGAGGCTGAGGCAGGAGAATGGTGTGAACCCAGGAGATGGAGTTCGCAGTGAGCCAAGATCGTGCCACTGCCCTCCAGCCTGGGCGACAGAGCCAGGTCTCAAAAAAAAAAAAAAAAAAAAGGATAATAATTGGATTGTTTGTAACACTAAGGATGGATAACACACTAAGGATGGATACCCCATTTTACATGATGTGATTATTGTGCATTGCATGCCTGTATCAAAGATCTCACGTACCCCGTAAATATATACACCTACTATGTAGCCACAAAAATTAAAATTATAAGTTAGAAAAAGCCCAACTTTTCAAATTTGATTTCCATCAGATGTTATCTCCTCATTTTAGTTTTTACTGCTTTCTTTCTTTTTGAGACTTTATTCATTTAGAGACAGGGTCTCACTCTGTTGCCCAGACTGGAGTTCAGTGGCACAATCAGGGCTCACTGAAGCCTCAACCTCCCAGGCTCAAGTGATCCTCCCACCTCAGCACCTCATCACCTGAGTAACAGGGACTACAGGCATGCGCCACCATGCCTGGCTAATTTAGACTTTGTTTTTTTGAGATGGAGTCTCGCTCTGTCACCCAGGCTGGAGTGCAGTGGCACGATCTTGGCTCACTGCAACCTCCGCCTCCCAAGTTCGATACTCCTGCCTCAAGCCTCCTGAGTAGCTGGGACTATAGGCACCCACAGCGATGCCCGGCTAATTTTTGTATTTTTAGTAGAGACAGGGTGTTTTGGCCAGGCTGGTCTCAAACTCCTGACCTCACGTGATCTGCCCACCTCAGCCTCCCAAAGTGCTGGGATTACAGGCGTAAGCCAACACGCCTGGCCATAATATTTGTATTTTTAGTAGAGACGGGTTTCACCATGTTGTCCAGGATGGTCTTGAACTTCTGATCTCGGGTGATCCACTGGCCTCAGCCTCCCAAAGTGCTGGGATTACAGGCATGAGCCACAGTGCCCGGCCAAATTTAGACTTTTTTAGAGCAGTTTTAGGTTCACAGCAATATTGACAGGAAAGTACAGAGATATCTCATATGCCCTCTGCCCTACACATCCATAGACTCCCATTATCAACATCCTGCAACAGAGGGGTACATTTGTTACAATCAATGAACCTACGTTGACACATCATTATCACCCAAAGTCCATAGTTTACATAAGGGTTCACTCTTAGTGTTGTGCATTCTATGGGTTTGGATAAATATGTAATGACATGTATCCACCATTATATCATCATAAAGAGTATTTTCACTGACCTAAAAAGCCTCTGTGCCTATTCATTCCTCCCTCCCCACTTACCTCTGGCAACCACTGACATTTTTACTGTCTTCTTAGCTTTGCCTTTTCCAGAGTGTCATATAGTGGAATTATACAATACGTAGCCTTAGTAATATGCATTTAAGTTTCCTCTGAGTCTCTTCATGGCTTGATAGCACATTTCTTTTTAGCACTGCATATTTCATTGTTTGGATACACCACAGCTTATTTACTCATTTACCTACTGGAGGACATCTCGGTTGCTTCCAAGTTTTATCAATTATGAACAAAGCTGCTATAAATATGTGGAGATTTTTGTGTGGATGTACTGATTTTTAAATGTTCTTATATACACTTATTAGTGATTTGTATTTCTTCTTTTATGAAATGCCTGCTCACATCCTTTTTCAAGCCTACATTTTTTTTCTTTTTTTTGTTTTTGAGATGGAGTCTCGCTCTGTCGCCTAGGCTGGAGTGCAGTGGCACGATCTCAGCTCACTGCAAGCTCCACCTCCCCAGTTCAAGCCATTCTCCTGCCTCAGCCTCCCAAGTAGCTGGGACTACAGGCACGTGCCACCACATCTGGCTAATTTTTTGTATTTTTAGTAGAGACGGGGTTTCACTGTGTTAGCCAAGATGGTCTCGAACTCCTGACCTCGGGTGATCCACCCACCTTGGCCTCCCAAAGCGCTGGGATTACAGGCGTGAGCCACTGTGCCCGGCCTTGCCTACATTTATTGACCTGCGGTCTGGCCAACTTGATAAGCCTGGTTGCATGCAGGATACTGGATAACTGAGACCAGCAACTGCTGGCAATAACAGAAAGATGCTTCCCCCACAATTTTGGCCCTGGGAGGAACTTGGGCTCTTCCACGGGAATCTTTTCTCACTTTTGGGTAAGGACAGCCCATTTCACATGAAGGACTCTCTGGACCTGGGTCATGGCTCACCTCATGGGCTGATGCAAAAATGCCACCATGGCTGGGCATGGTGGCTCACACCGGTAATACCAGAACTCTGGGATGCTGAGGTGGAAAGATTGCTTGAGGCCAGGGTTTGAGACCAGCCCTGGCAACATATCGAGACCCCAACTCTACAACAACAACAAAGTCACATTTTGGAATTGAATTCAGGTTTCAGTTCTGAGGTAACCTTATACTCATTTTAGTTTTATAACAGATCCTCTAGAAACTTTAATCATCACAGTTTAAATGGAAGGGAAGCCTTATCTGAAAATGTCATTCAGCTAAGTGCAAGTCTCCCAGGTACTCAAGAAGGAAAAGTCCCTATTCTGACTGGGAGGACTTTGATGATGAGCATCATTGGCTTTATGCAACTAGACATGCTCTGTTATTACAGACCATTCACATCTTGATCAAACACTCAGTTTGGGCCAAGCAAAGTTTTAGCCTAAGAAGAGAGTGAGGAATGATACAAAAAGCTTTTTGACCATGTATCTGGAGACACACTCATGTATGTGCACACATGTGCCTTCTGTTTGCATGTATAGGCACATATAATTATTCTAAAAGAAACTAAAGGGAATAATATGCACAAAAGCAATTATGCATTTTTTATTTTTTTTCCTATTTCTTTTCTCCCCAAAATTGCAGACTGCCTAGATGCAAATTAATACAGTAACACCAAAAGAACCCTAAAGTCACAGCTGATTGCTCTGATGAACCTATGACAGGCACTAGAAGATTGCTTACTAAAGTCTGCAAGCAAAATAAAGAAACAATTTCTTACACCCATTGTAAAGGCTCTGTGTGCTTTAATTACATCCACCAAAGACCATAAACTCAGGTTGGGAAACTTCCATGTCTTTAATCTTAATTGTTGTAGTCCAAGTATTTCATTGCACTTGAAAACCCCTTATGACTTCTTACATTTCTAGTTAAAATTTATTTTTTAAATGCATGGTTTTTGTTTTTGTTTTTGTTTTTTTTACTCATAGACTTCTAAGTAAAAGTCCATAGACTTGGAAACAGAAGGGTTTAAAGTAAAACAAAAAAAATCTTAGGTTTTATTGTTATTATTACTTAAGTCAGAGGCAATTTTAACTTTTTGTCTTTATATAGCTTCTTTACAATGTTTTGATACTGCATTTGATCGTTTGGTTATTGGATATAAAGTTTGTGTTGTAAAGGACCGCAAACTAATGATTTTTTTAAAATGTGCAATTGAGATGTCATCTAATGATACACCTGTTTCTGGTTAATCAGAATGTTTTATCAAATCCTTAAAAGCTCACTGAGGTTCAACTGTGGTTTGGGATAAAATATACATAGATGAGGAATATCTGACTTATTTTTGTGTGGAACATGAAGTAGTATAAAAAATAGACTTTTCAAAGAAGAATAAGACATGATGAATAAGAAACTGTTATCCAGGAAATTGGTATTATATTAGCCTACAATACAGACAAACTGAATAATGGAGTAATGAGGATAGTATATGGGTGAGGAAAGAGCATCCAATAGATAACTCAAGAAAAGCCTAGGAAATCAGGTTCTTTGGCCTATGGAGATGGGAGAGAGAACTTGGTAACCCTTGTTTGCAAGCATACTGAGGTAATCTCAATTCTACAAATTTGCCTCTTTAGGCTGGGCACGGTGGCTCATGCCTGTAATCCAATCCCTTTGGAAGGCTGAGGCAGGAGGATTGCTTGAGCCCAGGAGTCCAAGACCAGCCAGGGCAACATGGCAAAACCCCATCTCTACCAAAAACAAAACAAAACAAAACCACACACACACACACACACACAAAAATTAGCCGTGTGTGGTGGTGTGCACCTGTAGTCCCAGCAACTCAGAAAGCTGAGGCATGAGGATCGCTTCAGCCCAGGAGGTTGAGGCTGCAGTGAGCCAAGATCATAATGCTGTACTCCATTCTGGGTGACAGAGTGAGACCCTGTCTCAAATAAAATAAAATAAAATAAAATAAAATAAAATAAAATAAAATAAAATATTCCTCTTCATCACACTTCAGCTCAATTTTCTGTTTCTGATCTTCTTTATTCATTCATTTAACAAATATTTATTGAACACCTACCATGTGCCAGGTGCTCTTCTAGGAGCTGGGAATTCAGCAGTGAACAAAACAGACAAAATCCTGCCAAATTCCTTTAAACTGTAGCCTGCATTTTTTTCTTTCCACTTTCAGACCCCCCTTTCAGTCTTTAATCCCCTGCAACTTGATTTTTTCCTCCACCATCAAGATAAACAACTCTCTAAAGACCAGTGATCTCGTAATCACTAAATCTAGTATCCGTTCCTCACTTCTCATCTTCCTTGGACTCTGTAGCATTTAACAGCTTCCAACTTCCATCATTAAAAAAAAAAAAAAAAAAAACAACCTTTTGGCTCCTTTTGGTTCTGTGATAGGGCACTAGCAGGATTTGCCTTCTATTGCTGTTATTGTTTCTTCTCTGACACCTTCTCTTGCCTCCTAAATATTGGAGGTCCCTCAAGTTCTACATTCTGCTCATTTCCATTTTTTCCCTTAAATCTTTTTCCTCTAAGATTTCTCATAGCTTAAACCATCGGCTCTATTGAGAAGTCTCCTGCGTGTATATTCCCAGACCCAACCCGCTCCTAAACCACAGTCCACATTTCAAACTGTGTGCTGGAGGCTTCCATCTGGACATCTGGTTATGACGCCAAGCACAATCTGTTTAAAACTGAACGCAGCACTTGTACCACTCAGAGTTCTCTATTGCAAACAACAGAAACCCACTCTGGCTGACTCAAGCAGAAAACAAATTCGCTGGGAGGATATCAGGTAGCTCCTTCAGTCGATGGGAAGATCAGAGGGCCAGGCACAGAAAATGGGCAGAAACCCAGGCAGTGTAGGGCACAGAGAGCATGGGCAAGTTTACTCTTTAGGACTCTAGTGAGGACGCTGCCCTGGAGTGGGCTGCCCTACTTCCTACCTCTGCACACCATCACTGTTGCTCTTCAATTTCTCAACTATCTTCAAGCATGGTCTCTGACTGCTAGTTTTTGTATCACTGCCCCCCAACTCATCCCTGCCATTAAAAGACCTGGGTTGAGGCATTCACTTGGCCTAGGTCATGTGCCTGGGCCCCAGCTGTCAAAGATGACCTCTGATTCCCTTCAGCTTCCCACAAAGGTTAATTCATCACTGTATTTTCTTTTCTCCAGTCACATCATTTCTTTAAGTTCCCATTTTAATATAATGCTGCCATTATTCTCTCCATCACTGGGAGCTGAACCTGGATAACCTGTTTTACTCCCTCCTCTTCCTTAGCTTCTGAGGCAATCAGTCCACCCAGCTCTGCGAGGGTTTTGTTTGTTGTTAATTCATGTTTTCCTTCACAAGATTTTTTTTTTCTTGGCGCTTTCTGCAGCTACTGCTTCACTGCAAGTCTCCTAATTGGATTCCCCACTTCCAGTGCCTCTTCCAATGTGTCCACCCGGTTTAATCTTCCTAAAGCAATGCTTTGATCATATCACTTTGCTGCTAAAACTGCATTGTTGATAGGCGTCTCAGTCTGGTGTTCAAGGATCTCCACAACAGAATCCCATTGAGCCCAAAAGGCAAACTGGTGCAGCGAAGAGTTTGATTTTCAGATGTAGATGGATATGGGTTCAAAACTTGATTTTCCCATTTTATAGTTTTATACTCTTGAGGCTCATTTTCCCTGTCTGAAAAATGGGGATAATGAAACCTACCACTTAAGGACCTTCATAAGTCAGAACTTTGAAAGTTGAAACGGTATTATATGTTGTATTTAGGTTGCAACATCAACCCACAGATGCTTATAATAGGCAATATTCAATTTCAGACCTGTCTGGTTCAAAACCTTAAGTAAGGCTGTCATCAGTGTGGTTTAACGCAGGCAGGTTAGGATCAGCATGCTACATGTTTTTGGGGCTAAGTGGCAATCTAACCACCAATTATGGCATTATTACTAATTTCAAACTGCTGACTTACAAATGACCTTTTGGAAATATTTTATTTGCAAGTAGAGAACTTCCTGTGTTATTAATTTTGAGAATTGAATTTCCTTGATTGGCTGCTTTCCACTCTAATATTTCTATTTAAAAGTATTTCCCTGCAGAATATCAATTTTGTAAGGGATTGTTATGAACTCTTCATGGAGAAAAATTTTACATTTATGATGGACACATGAAAATTATTAGCTATTATCTCTAAGGCTTGCGCAACATCCAGTAAATGTAGTAAAGCTATAACACATAAAAAGAAACTTTAAAGTTTGTTCCACAATCTCAACAAGTTCAAATCTCATTTCATGGCATAAATTCTGAATTAGCATTGGGAAAACTTAGCTCTGCAGGCAAGGCTAGTTGTCTTCTTTCTGTAGGTCATGGATGGCACCATGAGAAATGCCAAAATTAACCTCAATAGGCATTCGTTCACTCACTCATGCATCTATGCAGCAGGTCCTCCAAGTGAGGTATGGCTTGTGATCCCCACAGGATAGATTTCAGTCTCATAAGTTCTCACCAAGAATTTACAGCACTACTAATTGCTTGATTCTTTCCTGAAGTCAGCAAGTCTGGAAAGTCTTACGAGAGAGATAACCATCATGCCAAGATTGGTAAAACAGTTATTAAATAAGTATGATATTTTAAACCAGTCTCTACAGACACAGTTTATGAGTGTCTAAATATGCAGTGAAATATATTTTTTGTTTTTGCATTTTAATGTTTTCAAAAAATGAATACTTCTATGATTAAAATAAAATAAAAGTGAAATCCCCCATATCTCTCCTCTACCCTTTCCTTCTTCCACTTAATTTCATTTCTCAGAGGCAGCTACTTTTGACACTTTGGGGTATCTCCTCTCAAACTCCTTTTATTTCTCTTGCAATAATTTTGAAGTTCTCCCTAGGCATTCTTTATGGTTAGAAGCTAGAATAACATTGCCATTTAGCTTCTTATAGATTTTGGAATTCTTTTACACACTGCTTACATTAAACATATTATAAAAATGAAGAATCCCTTTTTTCCCCCACTCAGGTATTAACTCTGATTTTTTTCTATCAAATTTGTGCTTACATGGACTACAGGTTTATACAATCTATATAGTTCCATGACTATAGGGTTTCATTTTTTAAATAACATTCAAATAATGAAATAAAAGGAACTGAAGACACAGCATACTTAAAAAAAACCCTTAATTTTCCTTGGCATTTATTTTAAAATGTCTGCGGGAGAGAAAAGCAAGCAGACAAAAACAGTTTATAGTTACTTTTCAAGATCATCTAGCTAGTGAGAGTAAAACAAAGAAATTGAATAGGAATCTTATTTTTCTTCAAACGTTAGGTCAAGACTTTGACAATGTATCTTCACAAGTATTCTGAAACTCCTCCCACAACATACTAACCTTGACATAGAGGGGAAGGTAAGTATGCAGAGTCAAGATTCGATGTATAAAGAGAATGTTCTGGCCAGGCATGGTGGCTGAAGCCTGTAATCCCAGCACTTCAGGAGGCCAAGGCTAGGCGAATCACTTGAGGTGAGGAGTTCGAGACCAGCCTGGGCAACATGGCCAAACCCTGTCTCTACTAAAAATACAAAAATTAGCTGGGCATGGTGGTGCACAACTGTAATCCCAGCTACTTGGGAGGCTGAGGCATGCTAATTGCTTGAACCCGGGGAAGCGGAGGTTGCCGTGAGCTGAGATCGTGCCACTGCACTCCAGCCTGGGCAACAGAGTGAGACCCTGTTTCAAAAACCAAAACCATAAAGGGAATGTTCTAAGTTTTCATTATTTGATACAGCTATATTTAGCCTTTTCCAATAACTGGGATCCTGAAAAACGGCACATATTTTGCATTTGCCTGAATTAAGTTATACTTAAGGAGCTCAAAGGGGCAATGGAACTCCACATTGAAAATAATCTAAAGATAAATCCTTTGTTAAGGTGAATAACCAAAATAACCCTCCAGTAATTCGTAACTGTTTAGAACCTTAGTATTTGTGTGTGTGTTTGATAATGTTCAGCTATGGTTTCACTTTTGAAAGATGTATGTTAAATTTTATTTTATCATAGTAGTATTAGAGGCTTAGATTGCAAGATGTACTTTGATAAATATAAAACAAAAATTCTGGCTGCTTTAAAACACTCAGGCACTGGTTGTTGAAACAATGTATTCAGATTGACTAGTTTTCAGAATTCTTCTATGTTTGTTCATTATTCAATAAATATTTATCAAAAAGCTGTTCTGTAATATGCACTAAGTATATAATAGAGAGCAAAAACAGGTACAAAATAAGAGCAGCTAATACCTACTGAGCACTTATAACATATTGTGCCCTGTTTTAAGTGCTTTACATATATTACCTCATAGCATCCTCTCAAAAACTCTAAGAAGTAGAAGTGTTATCATCTCCATTTTGCAGTCAATAAAATGGAGGCACAGAGAGGTTAGGTAATTTGTCCAGTGTTTCATAGCTAGTACATGATGAGTTGGGATGTGAATCTGGGCAGCATGATTCCAGAGTCTGCACTCTTAACTGCTGGGATGTACTAACTCTCCTACATTTTAACAGCTTTCCTTGTAGTATACAGTATAATGAATGAGATGCTTATTGAATAAATCATTCAAGCAAATGAAAAATTTTAACTCTGATGAATGCCACGAAGGGGAGTGTGGCAGAAACCAGAGAGCTGTTACCAAAATATGTCTCTTTTCCTTCTGGATACACAGACTACATTCCTAGCCTCCCTTGCAGTCATGTGACCAAGTTCTGGCCAGTGGAATGTGGACAAAAGGGAGGTACACACTTCCAGGTCTGGACCATAAAACATATGTATACCAATATGCCAAGTTCTTATTCTTTTAATCGACCTAAGGCAGAGAGTGTGGCCTGAAGACACAAAGGAACAGCTGTCAGAATTGAGAACTTCTCAAACATTTACTTAGGCTTAATAGAAACTTATGCATATGAAAATGCCCATAGCAGAAGGAACATTGGGTAAATCATTTAAGTTTGAAGAGAAGGAAATTTTAGACACCGTTTAGTCTGTAACCTGAATTTATCTTGGCTGCGTTATGGCCAGTCTCCATATAGTATGGTATTCAGAAACAGGTCTTATATCCAAATAAGAAATGCAAAGTAATTTACATTTTTAGGGAAGATTTTTAAAGAGGCAACAAAGGGAGACGTATACCCCAAGAAGGTTTAACAATCCTTTCAATCATTTAATTCCTCTAAGTCTCTCTCATCATTACATATTTCTTGTCTCCCTTCTTGTTTGTCCCTCTCTCCTGCAACTCTGTGTAGTAGGACTCTGTTTTCCCCTAACTCAGCTTTTTATTATGTATTTATCAATTTATTATGTATAGATCAATTCAGTTCTTCAGTACCTTACAGCTCTTCTCTCTCTTACTCTAATCTGCACAACTGAGCCCCAGGAGGGACTTGACAAACCATGAGAAAGTCTTTAGAAGTATGGGAAATCGTGTTGGGGAAGGGAGGAAGAATATGAACGCTATGTATATTTACATGTTTTGGTTACATGTCCAGACAACCAATTTGCAAATGAATAAAGTGACGCCTAAATAAATTAGGTGATTTGACACTCTTGAGTCATACGGAGTTGGGCCTAGAACTCAGTGTTACTTCATTTGAAATAACCCTTATTATGGTTCCCTAGCAGGCCATCCTATAGCCTGCCATATATGGTCGTTTTGCACCCCTAGACGACAGAACGCTAGGGAGAGTAAGGAAGGCTGAGTTTTTGCTTCTACTAGGTTCGATGACCTTGGGCAGGTTGTCCTCTCTAAGGCTCTGTGTTTTTCTTCATAAGAAGGGTTAGACAAGATGAACTTTTGGGTCATGTCCAGCACTAAAATTCCTTGCTTCTGATCTGTCCCGGGCCCTGCGGCTGTGGCAGTGGTGGTATCGAGCTAGTCAAGAAGCTTCGCCCCTATTTGTCCCCCACCCTATTGGGGGAGAGGGAGAACCTCTCCCTCTTGGTTGCTTCTTTAGTGTCCTTGTAGGACCCACGTGGTGGTCATCTCCCGTCACGGGGGTCCAGTCTTGGCTCTGCGGGCTTCCCAGGGGCCACATAGGGAGAGGATCCTTCATGCATCAGAGTATCGCAGGCCAGAGTCTATGCCTTATCCCCACCTGTTTGGAACCAGCTTCCAAACCGTGGTCCCCAGCCTTCAGCAGGCCTACCGCGCAGGCGCAACCACCAGCCTGGCGCGAGGCGGACAAACGCCGAGGCCGAGGCAAGGTGAGAGGGCGGGGCTGGCAAGACCCCGCCTCCGTGGCGTCACGTGGGAGGCGGAGTCGGAAGTGTGACGGCGTGCGCGGGGCGGGGCTACTGCTGCGCGCGGGCGCGGGGGCGGGGCGGGGCGCGGCGCGGCGCGGCGCTCGCGGCTGCTGCCTGGGAGGGAGGCCGGGCAGGCGGCTGAGCGGCGCGGCTCTCAACGTGACGGGGAAGTGGTTCGGGCGGCCGCGGCTTACTACCCCAGGGCGAACGGACGGACGACGGAGGCGGGAGCCGGTAGCCGAGCCGGGCGACCTAGAGAACGAGCGGGTCAGGCTCAGCGTCGGCCACTCTGTCGGTCCGCTGAATGAAGTGCCCGCCCCTCTAAGCCCGGAGCCCGGCGCTTTCCCCGCAAGATGGACGGTTTCGCCGGCAGTCTCGGTGAGTACGGCTGGGGAGTCCTGCGTCTTCTGCGAAGGGTAGGAACTTTTTTCCTTCCGCACACAGCCCAGGCCCTGCCCTCCCGCCTGCCCCTCGGGGTGGCAGCGGCTCCACTGCACATGTTCCCTTCGAGGCTGCCGCCCCTCCGCGGACTCCGGTGGACTGAGGGCCCCTCCCCCATGTCCAACTCTCCTCTGTGTCAGACCCTCCTTTCCTCCCGGAGCCCCTTTCAGTGCGGGGCCCTCGTTCCCCCAAAGTGGGAACCCCTTCCTTCTCAGGCCCCCCGATAGCTGGCACACCCCTCCCCGTACACTCACGGCTCCCTCCACTTACCCCCCTTCAGAGTTGGGACATTTCTTCAAATCCAGGCTCCTCTTCAGGGTACAACCTTCCACCACCTTTCCACATACACGCCTCTCTTTCAGGGTGGGGATCGCCTTCACCCGAACAGAGGCTCCTTTTTAGGGGAGGGACCCTCATTCCCTCTTCAGGAAGGGGGCATCCCCCGCCCCCAAGTCTTCACTTTAGATTTGAAGGCGACTTTCCAGTATCCTTCAGAGTAGTAGGCAACTTCCTTTTCAATCCCTCCACTTCTCTGAGCATTTTGCAGTGGTGGAGAGACCTAGAAGCATCGGAGCATCATTTGCTTAATGCAGGAAAGGAAGAGGTGCATCTGTGTTGGGGGACCCTCTTTAAGAGTGAAAGCAGAAGTGTTTTCTGGTTCTGCATACATGCTGGGGAGAAGTGATTCTGCCCAATGAATCAATAGGAAAGGGGGCCTCTATCAGGGAAGGAAAGGATTCTCCATTTTTGGAAGATGTTGTCTTTGTGGAATGGAGAAAGGGAAGAGGTTATTAAATAGGCTGAAGTGCCTTTTCAGTGTTCCTTTCACCAGATGAAGGTAATCTTCTGGCTAGGAAAATCAAAACTCCAGGCTAGTATTCGCTGCCCTAGAAGCTGAATCTGGAATTACTATTCTTCGAGGCCATTGAAATCTAGTAAAAGATTAAGTTCAACTGTTAGAATGGTGAGAGAAACAGTTTCAGCTTTGGCTGATAACGCAGTTGTGTGATACCTACTGCTGGAACTGTATTTTGAGTTTTTTATGTGCAGGTAGCTTGTATTCAGACGCCTTTCTTTTACATTTCTTGATAATAAGTCTCTACTTGGTTAATGTTCACTGATCAGTGAGCAGTCTGGCCATAGGCCGTACTATATCCAGATAATATCGAGATGAGATGGATTTTTAAAATCTAAAGTAAAAAAGTAAGTCAAAGAGCAATGGGCCTATTATAGATATTAAATAGTAAAACCTATAATTTTGGCCTTCCCTTTTTCTTGGGCAGAAAAAATTGTCGTTATATTGCTTTCAGAGTGGAAATCCTAAAATAGGAGGCAACTGAGTGTTGTGTTACTCTTTCCTCCTCAAAGGCACCTGTTGTCCATTATCTAACCTTTGATGTCTTGTAATTCCTTACTTAGGTTGGGCTCTTTTTAGAGAGACATCCATTTTTCCCTGGTTCTTTTTTAGCTCCATGCGTTGGTTTATTCACAGTAAGTGTTGGACCGAAAAACTTGTCCTATATGTCCGCTGAAGGGCTGATCTTATACTAAAGTAAAAATTGAGTGTCTTCTTAGGGGATGTTGTGGAGAGCTGTGCTATCTTTATACTGTATTGGGTCCTCATCCTGTAGGAGTGGTGAGATCACTTTAACTTCTTTCGTGTTGGCTCTAAAGATTTCTGGAGGGCTTGTTAAAGCTTCATCTTCTGTAAGTGTTTAGGAGGAGTCTTTCTCACCAGTTGGGGCACTTAATGTTTATTTTCAAACATTGATTATGCTTTGTAATAGCTTTCTTCTTTCTTAACCAGTTTATGAGGCAAGTGATACAAAAGACCGAGAGATGAAGATGAATTGCAGTTGGGGCTCACACTTTTCATAAAGAGCGTCATTGTTGACCCTAATGTTGGATTTAAAAAATTCATTTGATGCCATGCTTTGGGTGGTATGTGATGAGACTTTCCTTTAGATATGGTGTTAATCAGGAGCAGAGGAGATATGCCTATCAGAGGAACCTGCATCTGCAGAGAGGGAAGGAAATGGTTCCTGGCAGTATTTCTGGAGCTGTTCTTGATGAAGATACTTCTCAGTGGGAGCTCTGTGCTTTCTCTTTCTGTCCCCCTTGCAAGAGTAAAACTAGGCCCCATCTTAATTGAAACCTTAAAGGGGTGGGGGAGGAGTAGTGCTGGTATATTTTACTGGTAGTCTTTAAGCGGAGCTTTGCTCAGCTCTTGCCAAATTGCTTGTTTCTGTTCTCTGCAGTTAATTAGCCTAGAGCTTAGAGTTACATTGATCTTTATTTTACCATCAGGAGAGCCATGAATATAAAGGCAAGCACTTCTACTCTAGTAGGTGTTTAAAAACTTTTTTTTTTTTTAAACAAGAAGTCAAAACGTGAAGTTCTTCTGGGGTTACAACTATTGAAAGCATTTATTCTCAAGGAAGTATGTGTGTATTTCCTTTTACATATTAGATAGATTCTTGAAAAATGGTGAAAAAACTACATTTTTATAAGCAGAAAAATTGAGTACTTTATAAACAGAATAATTTTAGAGAAGAGATTATTTCAGAGAATCCTATGGTGACTCATTTTGTGAAGTGAAAACTTAAAATTCAAACTGTACCCTTGATTGTTGCATGTTTAGATAAGAAATCCACTGTGTTATGTGCATTTTATAAGATGTCTAATGGCAATTAAGACTAGGTAGTGGTTTTTTAAATCATAGGAATGATAAGTGATTGGCCATTTTATAAATGCCACATTGAAGTTACATGGTACTGATTATGTTATCTTTGTTTTACATAAAAAACAAGTGAAGAATTCTTTTAATCTCCGCAGCTGATGAATTTCAGGCAACTTGGCTGGCAGGTGCTTGTACTCTGGAATTTCCCTTAGGTATTATTAATATATCTTTTAATCCACAAATTATGGTAACTTAAGGCAGCACTTTAGAAACCTTTTTTTTTTTAAACTTAGGAGAGAAAAGTACTCAATTACCTTGATGTGTTGCCTCTAAATCACTACATATAGATACCCATGTGCAAAATGTATATACTGTATGTATATTAAATCTCAGGTCTATGTGCAAAAGTGGGAAGCTATTCATACAGCTTTTACCGATTTTTTATAAGGCAGGGATTGGGTGCATTTCATGCTTAATCTTTTTAGAATCTCTTTCATAATAGAGGTTTAATTTTAAGACTTTTATCTTGGAATTAACCTAGAGATTAGTCTGTTTTCACTTGAAAGAAACCTTATACCTAACCAGTCAGCTTTAAATTTTTCTGCCTCAAAAGTTAAACAACAAAACTTAAAATCTTCTTCCCCCTAAGAAAAATCATAGTGAATGAAATTGTTGGATTAGGATCTATAAGAAACAACATTCTGGGTACAGGTTGTAAATGTGAACAAGTATAGCAGTATGCTTCAACTTATGGACTATTCAGAAATTAGTCTTTTTAACATCACATTGTTAGAACTGTGATTTCTCATCACAGATAATAGTCTTGCTTTCTTAAAGGAACAATGCTGTATATGATTTTCACATATTAATCTAAAGCATTCCTTATTTACATGAAAATGTTTTTCATGTAATATTTGGAGAGGTTTTTTTTTTAAACTTTTTTTATTGGTTGCCTCTTGAAGAGTTCAAGATAGACTCAAGTTGTGTAACCAGACATGAGTAGTAACTCTTAAATGGTTAGTAGAGCATCTTCAACATGAGTTAGCTAGAGTGTTTTTCAACATATGTATGGATTAACATCGAACATGGGCTAGCACTATGCTTGGTGGTTCTTATGGGAAAGACAAGTAAAAGACATGCTTTTTGCCCTTTAGGAGCTTACTGCCTGGTTTTTAAATAAGTACCATGACTAGGTGCAGTGGCTCACGCCTGTAGTCCCAGCACTTTGGGAGGCTGAGGTGGAAGGATCGATTGAGCCCAGTAGTTTGAGACCAGCCTGGGCAACATAGCAAGACCCTGTCTCTGCAAAAAAAACAAAAATAGGCATAGTGGCATGTGCCTGTAACCCCAGCTACTTGGGAGGCTGAGGCAGGAGGATCACTTGAGCACAGGAGTTGAAGGTTGCAGTGAGCTATGATTGTACCACTGCACTCCACTGGGCCACAGAGCAAACCTCTGCCTCTAAAAAATAAATAAATAAATAAAGTATGTACTGTATGTAGAGATGTTTATTATTAAGCCTAAGTACCAGAAATGGGGATGAAGGGAGGAAGCACCATTTAGAATGCTGTGCTATGTTTCAAGCAAGTAACTTCTGAGAGAACATTTGTTGATTGCTAGATTTATCTCTGCAGAGCTTGGCTTTTTAAAACAATGAAATAATTTAGCAGTTTAAATTCTAGGGAGTCTTTTTCTGTCTTATGTGTAAGTTGGAATAACATGTAGCAAAATACTGTATTTTGTATGTGGGAGTCCATTTCTGTAACATGTAAAACTTCAATATTCATAAGAAATTTTAGAAAAATATTTTGATTTTTAAAATAGATTCTAATACTTGTAAAAAGTTTAGGGAAAGAATCTACTTCATCTAGTATTACCTCAGTGTGGAAGATTCCCAAATCTATAGTATATTTCTTTGTGTGTGTGTGTCTGACGGAGTCTTGCTCTGTCTCCCAGGCTGGAGTACAATGGCACGATCTCAGCTCACTGCAACCTCTGCCTCCTGGGTTCAAGCGATTCTCCTGCCTCAGCCTCCTGAGTAGCTGGGATTACAGTTGTGTACCACCACACCTGGCTAATTTTTGTATTTTTAGTAGAGACAGGTTTTCACTATGTTGGCCAGGCTGGTCTCAAACCCCTGACCTCGGGTGATGGCCACGCACCTTGGCCTCCCAAAGTTCTGGGATTACAGGTGTGAGCCACTGTGCCTGACCCTGTAGTATATTTGTATGTCGGTATATGATCTCTTGTCCTTTAGCTGTCTTAGGCTTTTATAATACCTTAATTTTGCATGCTGTATATGATTTTTAAATATTATTTTAAAGCATTCCTTATTTACAGTTTACAAAGAGCTTTTATCTCATTTAATTTGCATACTAACCTTGGGAGATAAATTATTATACTTTTATAGGTGAAAAAGGTCTAGAAAGTGGTTTTTTTTTGTTTGTTTGTTTTTTGAGACAGAGTCTTGCTCTGTTGCCCAGGCTGGAGTGCAATGGCGCGATCTCGGCTCACTGCAGCCTCCGCCTCCCGGGTTTAGGCAGTTATCTGCCTCAGCCTCCCTAGTAGCTGGGATTACAGGTGCCCGCCAGCATGTCTGGCTAATTTTTGTATTTTTAGTAGAGACGGGGTTTCACCATCTTGGCCAGGCTGGTCTTGAACTCCTGACCTTGTGTGATCCACCCACCTTGGCCTCCCTTACAGGTGTGAGCCACCGTGCCTGGCCGTGTTTTTGTTTGTTTGTTTGTTTTTGAGACGGAGTCTTGCTCTATTGCCCAGGCTGGAGTGCAGTGGCACCATGTTGGCTCACTGCAGCCTCTGCCTCCCGTGTTCAAGCTATTCTCCTGCCTCAAGCCTCCCGAGTAGCTGGGACTACAGGCACTCACCACCACACCTGGCTAATTTTTTGTATTTTTAGTAGAGATGGGGTTTCACTGTGTTAGCCAGGATGGTTGTGATCGCCTGACCTTGTTATTCGCCTGCCTCGGCCTTCCAAAGTGCTGGCATTACAGACGTGAGCCACCGCACCTGGCCAAGAGTGTGTTATTTTTTTAAAAGGTTAAGTCCAGGTTTTTTCTTTTTTTGTATGGTTGGGAGTGTTTGTATCTATATTATTTTTATTTTATTTTATTTTGTTTTTTTGAGACAGAGTTTCTGTCGCCCAGGCTGGAGTACAGTGGCACAGTCTTGGCTCACTGCAACTTCTGCCTCCTGGATTCAAGCGATTCTTGTGCCTCAGCCTCCCGAGTAGCTGAGATGACAGGTGTGCACCACCGCACCCAGCTAATTTTTGTATTTTTAATAGAGAAGAGGTTTTGCCATATTGGCCAAGCTGGTCTTGAACTGCTGTCCTCAAGTGATCCATCCACCTCAGCCTCCCAAAGTGCTGGGATTAGAGGTGTGAGTCACCATGCCCAGCATCATATTATTTTTAAATAAAACACCATAGAAAGGAAAGAAGAATAGAAAAATAAATTATCTTTAGCCCATTTGTATGCAGCTGATGTTAACATGTTAATGTACTTGTTCTTAGTCTTTTCCTATGCTTAGTTTTTTAATAGTTAAAATCATACTGCAGACATAATTTTGCATTCTGTTTTTTTCGTTGGATCCTAACCTTTTTTTTTTTTTCCCACTTGAACTCAGATTTTTCTGATGGAGTCCAGTGGTCTTTTCTCTACTCCAATACTGACTCTTTATAACCCTCAGGTACATACCTGAATCTGAACTTCTCTCCTGAATCAGCTTCTTTTCCTTATTTCCCACTGACTGTATCACCCAGTTTGAAATTTCAGAATCATGTTTTGATTCTTTGCCATTTTTGCCTAGGGCATTAGAATCTCTTCTAAGACTTGTCAATTCTTGTCACCTTTTCTCATCCCTTTTCTTTTCCACCGCTATAGTTCAGGTACTTATTATTCGATGCGTGGATTATTGCATGGCGTCGAGAATCTCCACCTGTCCAGTTTATTTTGTACAGGGCCCTCAGATTTATCTTCCTAAAGCCATGCTTTGATTGTGCTATTCACCCTCTCAGATTGCTTCATTGCTTTAATGACTACATTCAAACATCTTAGCCTCTTAACATCTTCTCAAGTCCTCTGTCATCTCTTTCTACTGTCTTACCATGTTCTGACCAAAATGACCTATTTCTTATTCCTCACATTTTCATCTTTTCATCCTGATGACTATTCTCAGTACCCTTCAAGGCTCAACTCAAATATTATTTCCTTTCTAAAAATGTTTACTTCTTTTCATTCCCAGCCCAAAGTATTCTTCCGTGAACACTTGATAGGACCACTCTTGGGGTACTTATTGCAGAATGTTTATTCCAATAGTTATAAGGTGAAAGTAATTATTACAGATCTTACAATTGTTATGTCTTATTTCCCTGAGCCAAATTGGTTTTATTTTTATTTATTTATTTTTTTATGAGACAGAGTTTTGCTTTGTCGCCCAGGCTGGAGTGCAGTGGTATGATCTCAGCTCACTGCAACCTCTGCCTCCTGGGTTCAAGGAATTCTCCTGCCTCAGCCTTCCGACTAGGTGGTGTTACAGGTGTATGCCACCACACCCAGCTAATTTTTGTATTTTTAGTAGAGACGGGTTTCACCATGTTGGCCAGGCCTGTCTCAAACTCCTGACCTCAAGTGATCTGCCCGCTGAGGCCTCCCAGAGTGCTGGGGGATTGCAGGTACCATGCCTAAGCCAAATTATAAACCTCTTGAAGGCTGTATTGAAGGTTTTATTGAAGGCTGAAACTCTCATGTGTCTTTGAAGTCTTGCAGTGGAGATTTCATGATCCAGTAAAATGTGGAGGAAATAAATTAGGGACTAGTATATAGTTGACAACTTAACAACCTTCACTTTCATACCTCTTTTTTTTTTTAAAGAAATGACATTTGAAGACCAAAAGATTGTAATACACAATCTCAGAATAAAAAATTGTAAAATTAC
This sequence comes from Homo sapiens, assembly GCF_000001405.40. Classification (NCBI taxonomy): domain Eukaryota; kingdom Metazoa; phylum Chordata; class Mammalia; order Primates; family Hominidae; genus Homo; species Homo sapiens. The sequence goes on from NC_000002.12 coordinate 42,177,336, forward strand.
TTTGAAAATTAAATATGGCTCACGCCTGTAATCCCAACAGTTTGGGAGGCTGAGGCGGGCGGCTCACTTGAGCTCAGGAGTTTGAGACCAGCCTGGGCAACATGGTGAGAACCCGTCTCTACCAAAAGTACAAAAAAATTAGCCAGGCATGGTGGTGCACGCCTGTGGTCCCAGATACTCGAGAGGCTGAGGTGGGAGGATTGCTGGAGCCTGGGAGGTGGAGGTTGCAGTGAGCGCAGATCACACTACTGGGCTCCAACCTGGGTGACACAGCGAGACCCCGTCTCAAACAAGCAAACAGACAAACAAAAACTCATTATGTTCTTATTTCTCATTTCACCTGAAATAAGTGAAATGTTCTAGACTTTATTGGGAATCTGATAAAGAATTCTGTGCCAGATTCTAGGGTATTTTCAAGTACAAGTCATGTGCATGACCTGTTAATGGTTTTTGAAATCAGTTTAGTCGTGGTCAGGACCAACATTAGAAAAATGAGGAGAAGAGGAAGAGATAATGTAAAATATCAGTACTTCGTGTGATATTGCTTCATGGAACATTTAATTTCAGTTACATATATTTGTCTTAGATTTCAGTGTAAAATTTCTGTTGGTCACAATCAGATGAAAGATACATTTTTAGTGGCTAATCCCTATCTTTGAGAGAATAGGTGGAAAGGTTGACATACATGAAAAGGTGGATGAACAATCAGAAGTAATCATTGCGGGCTATGTCTTTGACAAGTTTTTAGAATCTGAATATAATTAGAATATGTTTAACAGCAGCAGCAGCAGAAAGATATTTATTAGTTGTAGAATCAGTGTAATTCAGGCAAACTCAGTATGTAAAGAAGTGATTTTATAAAATTGGTAGGGCTAGGGTATGTTTACCTTGCAAATCAATTCTTTACTTTGAAAGAGAATTTTCAGGCCAGGTGGTATAGCTCACACCTATAATCCTAGCACTTTGGGAGGCCAGGGTAGGAATATCACTTGAGGCCTGGAGTTCAAGACCAGTCTGGGCAACATAGTGAGACCCTGTCTCTACCAAAAAAAAAAAACAAACAAAAATTAGCTGAACGTGGTGGTGCATGCCCAGCTCCTTGAGAGGCTGAGGTGAGAGGATCGCTTGAGCCCAGGAGGTGGAGGCTGCAGTGAGCTATGATATGCCACTGCACTCCAGCCTGGGCAGCAGAGCGAGCAGCGAGACCCTGTCTCAAATAAGAAAGAGGATTTTCCTTGTTTGTAGTGTGGTGAGTATCCCCCGTGTGGTGCCTGTCACGTGAGAGATCCCTGGGAGCCAAAAACAACAACTGCAAAAAAGAGGATTTACCATATTGCTGTATTTTATTTTTAAGCTGATCTGATGGAGTTGTCTGTGTCTTGACTGGTTCCCCACTTATTTGCTGAAATACATTTTTTCCCCAGGAAGCTGTCCCTGATTGGTACACTCAAACCATTGCACTATAGCGCTTCTAAAGTGGAGGGGGCTGAGCACTTACACCTAAGGGATCTGGGAGTGTAGGCAAAAGTTGAAATCTATTTAACTTTAAAATTTATATGATTGTTTTGCATCCATTATAATAAAGATTTGTTTAGACAGGAATCATCAATAGGTGCTAAATCTAGGGGGATATTTTGGTGAGAAGCAGGTTGTCTGCATGGTCTTAAATTTCCCCCCATATAATGCTTATTACTTGTAAGGGGGGGAAACAGTAACTCAATATGGTGGTGAAATCAGACAACACCTTGTGTGCATGATCAAAATAAATATCACCAATGGATTTGTGTGTCTCTGCATGTGATACCCAGAAAAGAGCACATCAGTTACAGTGTTTTTCAGCCATGAATTCATAGCCTGAATCTAATCATGAGGAAATTTTAAACTCCAGATGGGGAACATCCTATTTTTTAAAACGTCGGGGAGCTGGGTTTTTTTTTTTTTTTTAATATTATAAAGACAAAGTCTGTGGAAACATTCCAGACTAAAGAAGACTTAAGAGATGTGGTAACTAAATGAACTACCTGATTTTAGACTGGATCTTGTATAGAGGGGAAAATACAATAAAGGATATTATTGGATCACTTGGCAAAATTGGCATGTGGATGGTGGTAAGTATTGCATTAATGTTTATTGAACTTGGTAACTGTCTTCAGGTTATGTAAGAGAATATTTTTATTCTTAGGAAATACATACCCAAGTTTTTATGGAGAATGGTCCATGATGTTTATAGCTTATGGTTTAGGAAACAAAGGTAATACATATATGGGGGTTTTTTGTTTTGTTTTGAGATGGGGTCTCGCTCTGTCGCCCAGGCTGGGGTGCGGTGGCATGATCTTGGCTCACTGCACCCTCTGCCTCCCGGGTTCAAGCGATTATCCTGCCTCAGCCTCCCGAGTAACTGGGATTACAGGCACATGCCACCATGCCCGGCTAGTTTTGTATTTTTAGTAGAGATGGAGTTTCACTATGTTGGTCAGGCTGATCTGGAACTCTTGACCCCAAGTGATCCACCCACCTAGCCTCCCAAAGTGCTGGGATTACAGGCATGAGCCACCACACCCGGCCATATGTGTTTTATATATACACACAGATACGTGTACATATAGAGGGAGGGAGGGACAGAGCATGCATATGTGCATGTGTGTAAATAAAGCCAACGGGTAAGATGTTAATAATAGGTTAATTTGGTGAAAGCTATGTGGATATTCTTGGTACTGTTTTTGTTCTTACAGCTTTTCTGTGAGTTTGGAATCATTTTCAAATGAAAAGTTTAAAAAAATTGTATGAACTTTGCATTATACTTCATAGTATGGCATTAAAAAAAATTGGAACTATCCTGTCTTCCAGAAAATTCCAGGCAAACCCTTGAGATAAAACTGCGGCTCCAAGAATATGTTCCGTGTATGTATCATGTGGCTTCCTTTTATCCCTAAGCCTCAGTTTGAGAAACATGTCTCTGGACCAGAGGTAGCTGTGGTTCAGATTTAGCCAACAGACATATTTTGTTTGGCCCTTTTGAGTGTTTTAAAAATAGGGAGATTTCACATAACAATGTGGATGTTTGGTTTCTATTGAAAAATAGGGTGATCTTGCCACTCTGGACTTGCATTCCATTCCAGATGGTCTGTATATGTGCTAAGTGGTGTGCCAGGTGCCCTCAGTCCCTACCTTACATGCAGCTTGTTTTAGTCATTTCTTTCCTGGCCTCTATAGACCTGTCTTTGCAACCTTTACCTAGCCCAAGAGGTGATGAAAGTGCCTGTCTTCTTTACACTATAACAATTTGAGAATTAAATTGCTAAATGGATGCCCTATCACCCTCTAACATTTTAGTGTTTATTTCCTGTAAGTAAGGCTTTCTCCTACACAACCATATTACAACCAACAGAATCAGGAAATGTTGATACATTACTAATTCTCAGACCCATTCTAGTTTCACTAATTGTCTCAATAATGTCTTTTATAGCAAAAAGATCTAGTTCACAATTACATGTTGAATTTAGTTTTCATGTCTCTTTAGTCTCTTTGATATGGAACAGTTCCTTAGTCTTCCTTGGGTTTTGTCACCTTGACACTTTGGAAAGTTGCCCTCCAGTTGTTTTGTAGACTGTCCCTAAATTTGATGTTTCATCCTGATTAGATTCAAATTATGCAATTTTGGGAGAAATGCCACAGAAGTGAAGCTGTGTTTGTCTCATTGCATCCTATTAGGTGGCACACAATTTTTATTTATCCCATTACTGATGATGTCCATTCTGATCACTTGGTGTCTGCTAGACTTGCCCACAATTTTACAATTTTAGTAATTGCAAAATTATTTTTCTTGTTTTACTTGTTTTAGCTGGTAGTTGATAGCTATTTTGTAAAATGTGCTTTGAAACTATGTAAATATTCAGTTCTTCATCAGACCTTCAGTTTATTGGTTTATATCTGTATGGACTCAGGTTTCTTATTTTTTTATTTTTATTTTATTTTGTATTTGAGACAGGGTCTCACTCTATTGCCCAGACTGGAGTGCAGTGGTGCGATCACGGCTCACCGCATCCTCCACCTCCCGGACTCAAGCGATTCTCCTGCCTCAGCCTCCTGAGTAGCTGGGTTTACAGGCACACGCCACTAACACTTGGCTAATTTTTGTATTTTTCGTAGGGATGGGGTTTCACCATGTTGGCCTGGCTGGTCTCAAACTCCTGACCTCAAATGACCTACCTCAGCCTCCCAAAGTGCTGGGATTACAGGTGTGAGCCACCGCGCCTGGCCAGGTTTCATATTTTTTTGATGGGTTATAGTCCATTACTATTTATTTTGATGCTTAAATTGACCCTGTTTTGGCAAGTAGATACCCCTCTAAACTGTCTTCTTTGTTCTTTTGCCACGTTCTCATCATTCTTTGAAGACTTTCTTGTTTTGTGACACAATAAGATGATCCAGGTTCATCTTGTGCCCTTTTTGCTCCAGCCCTAGAATCAGCCATTTTTGCCAAGGAGCCCTAGTTCTTTTATGGAGAAAGGTATTTAGAAACCAAGCTCTATGTGCTAGTTGTGTTCAGTGCTGCTGGAGTCCTCGTCACAGTAGTTAAAATTAAGGAATATATTTATGTACATATGTGTGTGGCAATATATAGATATAGTTACAGCTATATTTTTACAACAGCGTAGGGTTAATTTTTGTTTCCTCCTTTTACATATAGTTACTTCCCCAACAGAAACCTGGCTTCCATTATGCTTAATGTATTTATTTATTTGATGAGTCCTCCCCTACATAATCAATCTCCTGTCTCCACTGGTTTCTTTTTTTTTTTTTTTTATGTAGAAAAATTCTTCTTTTTTTTTTTTATTATACTTTAAGTTTTAGGGTACATGTGCACATTGTGCAGGTTAGTTACATATGTATACATGTGCCATGCTGGTGCGCTGCACCCACTAACTCGTCATCTAGCATTAGGTATATCTCCCAGTGCTATCCCTCCCCCCTCCCCCCTCCACTGGTTTCTGCTTCCTTGCTTGTTCAGGTTCTGATTGAACCTGTGCTGGGCTGCCCCCTCATCTTGTGCCGACATTCTCATCCCACCAGGGCTCCAGCATCCTATGCCAGGCTGCCTTTCTCATCCACCTGGTTGTTGATACCCTGCACTAAACTGACACCCCGTACTGTGCTGCTCCTCTGCCAGAATGACCTCCTTACACACTTGCCTTGCACTGGCTGCCTTGATAGCTTTAGGACTGAACTATGGGGGAAGGGGAGACACCTAATCATTTTTAGAGAAAACAGTAGCTTTAATGAAAAAGTGGAAAACTATAGCTTTTCCACCAAATATCACAAATATTTATTTTATATCACTTCCCAAATCTTGTTTACATGTCTATTGGTCTGCTAGAGCTACCATACAAAATTACCACAGACTGGGTGGTTTAAACAACATAAACATATTTTCTCACAGTTCTGGAAGCTAGAGGTCAGAAATCAATGTTTCATCAGGTTTGATTTCTTACAACACCTTCCTCCCTAGCTTGTAGGTTGCCATCTTCTGTGTCCTCATGTGGCCTTTTCTTTGTGTGTACATATCACTGGTGCCTGTGTGTCCAGATTTCCTCTTCTTATAAGGATACCAGTTGTATTGGATGAGGCCCCCCCACAGCCCACTGCCTGTCTCTACCAAAAGTACAAAAAATTAGCCAGGCATGGTGGTGCACTCCTGTGATACCAGGTATCAGGAGGCTGAGGTGGGGAGATTGCTTGAGCCTGGGAGGTGGAGGTTGCAGTGAGCTGAGATCGCACCACTGAGCTCCAACCTGGGTGACGGAGTGGTGACTGAAACTAATTATAGCTCCCAGAATGGAAATCTAATGATTTAACAAATATTTATTAAGTAAATGCTACATGCCAGGCATTGTTTTCATACTGGGAATATGTCAGTGAACAAAACAAAAATCCCTGCTCTCATGAAGCTTGTATTATCATGAGGGGAGATAGACAATAAAGAGTTTTAATTAAATTATTCACTGTTAGGAGGTCAGTGGCTTCTGTGTAAACAATTGATGTGTACATTGTCGGTTTTAAGCACATGATCCTTTTTTCTTAGATGGTGGTGATACAACCTGTGTGGGATATGGTTATGTCAGATTATACAGAAAAGTAATCTTGGGGATACAAAACAGGTAGTTACAACATTGATAGCTGTCCTAGGACTACTTTGTTATCATACATCTTAGTCACTGTATCTGATTTTGATAGGTTTTTGGTATATGTATATGTATGTATAAAATACACATATGCTTTTTGCAGGCTTCCATTCTCAGTTCCTTTTTTTTAAATCGTTTATATTTAAGGTATAAATATAATACTGTGTATACAAGTATAAATAATATACTATGCTACCTTTATGGTTGGACATATATTTTTATTTTTAGAATTTTTTTCTTATTAAATAATCTGGCTGTATTTCAATAAAATCTTTTTTTTCAGGTTAATTATTATAGGTCACTGTTTATCAATCTGGATTCAGGACCTACATCCAGTCACTAGAGAATTCTCAGGATGCTGGGGAGGTCTTAAAACAGCTGTTTGTGGGTGGTTGTGTTGGTAGAGGCAAAATGTGGGTTGTACCACCAGGATGAGGTCACCTCTTTGACCTTCTGGCCCTCTTTCTTTCCGGACTTTAACACCTACTTTGGTACTTAAAGCAATTTGGGCTATTTGCTGTGCTCTGAAGTGTTGTTTAGTAGTAGCACCTATAAGATGGTGTTAAATGTTTTTTGAATGAGTCTGTGTCACAGCAACAAAGAAAGAGTTGTTTTCAGTAGTTTGAAAACCATTGATATGGTTTTTATCTCACTCTATTCTTACTTAACCTGTATATGGCCACCAGGTTATTCATTCTAACACACTGTTTTCTTTTTTTCATTATTATTATTATATTTTAAGTTTTAGGGTACATGTGCACAACGTGCAGGTTTGTTACATATGTATACATGTGCCATGTTGGTGTGCTGCACCCATTAGCTCGTCATTTAACATTAGGTATATCTCCTAATGCTATCCCTCCCCCCTCCCCCCACCCCACAACAGGCCCCGGTGCTAACACACCATTTTCATTGTCACTCCCTGGTTTAAGAACTTTCATCTCAAGTTTCTATGAGATAAACTCTAGTATGGTGTCCAAGTTGTCCTGCCACCTGGCTCTCACCTACCTTTCCAGCTTCACCCCTTACTGCGCCCCCTACATGGATTCCCTCTGTATCCCTTTTCTTGCTTAGTTTTTTGTGAACTGCTTTCTTCTTATACCGTTATTTATTCAATATCTCTCCTTTCTCTTACTAATTCCTGTTTATCCAAAGTAGTTTAAGTCCATCTCTTCTTTTGACCACTTTAATCCACAGGGATTTTCTGTCCTATTTTCTGAAATCTAGCACATTTGATTTTCCTTACAGAGATCAATCATATATTTGCCTTATGTTCTTAAGTCATATATAGCCCTTTAAGTATTTCATGTTTATCTTGTCTCTTCAGTTAGGAAATACATTTCTTAAGGACAAGAATGTGCCTTATACTAGGTTGAATGTATTGCCTTTTGAGTGGTAACTGCTCTCATATCCAGTGCCTAACCGCTTTGGCCGATGGGAAAACCATAGGATCAGTGGATTGATAAAATTCTCTTTAACTTTTTGTTTTTATGTAATCTAATTTTCTCTCCTTTGTGCAATGATACATCTGTGACATATTGGCAAAATCATTGGTCCCGGAATAATATAATACCTGAGCATATATTGATTTTTTTTTTCATTTTATAAAGAAACTGAGTTGAAGAGAGAGAAAGTAATTTGCTCGGGATTAGAGGTTGACAGACTACCACCTTCTGGCCAGCCTGGTCTCTTGTTCGTTCTGTCTGAGAAAATGGTTTGTACATTTTTAAGTAGTTGAAAAATAAAAATATTGTGACACGTGAAAATTATATGAAATTCAGATTTCAATATCCATAAATAAAATTGTATTGGAACACAGCCGTACTCATTGACTTAGGGATTGTCTGTAACTGCTGTCACATGACACTGGCAGCGTAGAGTAGTAGTAACAGAGACCAAATGGCCTGCAGAGCCTAAAAATCTCTGCTGTCTGGTTTTTCATAGAAAAAAGTTTTCAACCCTTGCTTAAGGTTGAAACTTGTTCAGCCTTGGGTTAAGGTTGAGCCATGATTTACTTCTAGGCAGTTAGAGAGACTTCTTTAACTATACTCTCCTGAACATAGCATGGGGTCATTGGGGAACTGCTAAGTAAATATTAATAATTGAGTATGGAGATGAGAGATGAAGGCAGGAGAGGACCATATTACTGATTATCTTCAGCGTCATGCTGAAGAGTTTGGCTTTGGGCCTGAAGCTGTTGGGGGAAACCACTAAAGGACATGTAATCAAGTTTGGATTTTAGAAAGTTTAGTTTGCTCGTACTGGGGAGAATGAATTGGAGCAGACAATATTGAAAATAGGAATATCAGTGTGGAGTTTTTGCAGTAATCTAGGAGAGACATGAAGGGCCTGAAACAGGTCTTCCCTCTGGTTTTCTTCAGTAGTGGGATAGGAGATACAGACAGATTTAAAATTAGAGGAAAAATCTACAAGACTCTGTTATGAATCAGGCACTTTATGCATATGAGTTTAAGTGTTCATAGTAACTCTGAAAGGTCATTATTTTATAATACCAATTAAAAAGGCCCCAAAAAACTGTAAGTGGGATAACTGGAGTTTGATCTTTAAAAAGTCTATGCTTTTTTACTGAACTTTGCTGTGTCTGTTTTTACCTGGGAATAATGCTGCCTACCTACTTTGGATTGAATCAGTTTTCCTATTTTCCAAATAGCTTATAATTGCCACAGAAAAATACATAGCCAAAATAAGGAGATGCCGAACTACGTTACTATGCACTTTTATTTCCCTGTATTAAGCACAGGTTTGTTCGTTCTGGATCCACAATGAATTTGATTTTTGACTTTTTGAAAGTCTTTATACTTGAAAAAAAAAAACTTTTTACTGTAAGGTAAATATTTTTAATGCCTTTAACTTGACAAACTTGCTGTATACCCTAGGGTAGATTATGGAATTTGAAAAACAACAGATAAGATAAAGACACATTCCTAAGAAATGTATGAGAAAGTGTTTTTAGAGCAAGCTTTTGAGAATCATTTTCTTTTCTTTGCTTATTAATCTCTTCCTACCTCACATCACTGACATTTTGTTTTAACCCTGGATAAGGCAGTTAGCTATTTGTGTCAGACTTCATTGGACTTATTTAAAACTGGGTATACTCTGCTCCTTTGGGGATTTGTCTGGCATTTTCATTATCAAATGCATTCTCGATAGCAAATTCTCACAGTCCTTTGTTTTAAAACAACATTAGAGCATTTCATATCTTGGTTTTAGTGAAAGAGTAGAACTACAGAGTAGTTTTCAGACTTCAAAATTTTTAAATCAGCTTTATTGAGCTGTCCTTTACATATAATAAAATGACAATTTTAGGAGTACAATGGGTCTTTAAAAAATTTATATCATTGTGTATTCACTACTACAATGAAGATACAGAACATTTTCATTACCAAAAAAATTCTCTCATGCCTCTTTGTAGTCAGCCCCTTCCCTCTACATAGACTCCAGTTCTTGGCAACTGCTGATCTGCTTTTTTCCATTGTATTTTGTCTTTTTTTTCTTCTCCTTTTTTTGGAGCGGGGGGGTGGGGGGGACAGGGTCTTGCTCTGTTGCCCAGGCTGGAGTGCAGTGGCAGGATCTCATTTTACTGTAACGTCCAATTCCTGGGCTCAAGTAATCCTCTCACTTCAGCCTCCCAAGTAGCTGGGACTATAGGCACACACCACCGTGCCCGGCTAATTTTTTTTTTTAATTTTTTGTAGAAATGGGGTTTTGCCATGTTGCCCAGGCTGGTCTTGAACTCTGGGCTCAAGTGATCTGCCTGCTTCAGCTTCCCAAAGTTCTGGGATTACAGGGGTAAGCCACCACATCCAGCGTATTTTGTCTTTTCTAGAATTTCACATGACTGGGATCTTATAATCTGTGGTCTTTTTTGTGCTTTTTACGTAGCATATTGCTTTAGAGATTCATCCATGTTGTTTGTTTCACTAGTTCGTTCCTTTTCATTGCTGAGTAATATTTCTTTGTATGAATATACCACACTTAGTTTATTGACTAGATGATGGACATTTCAGTTGCTATTAGTTTTGGCTGTTACGAATAAAGCTGCAGTGAACATTTGAGTATACATCTTCTTTCAGGCCCTAGCAACCATGAATCTGTTTTCTTTCTCTATGAATTCTCCTATTTGGTGCTCATTTTTTTTAAAAAAAAATGGTTGCCTTAAGTTTTGAGAGTATTTTATATGCTTTGGGTACAAGTCCTTTATAAAAAATGTGGTTTGCAAATATTTTCTCCCAGTCTGTGGCTTGCCCTTTCATAAACTAACAGTCTTTAGAAGAGTGAAAGTTTTTTAGTTTGATGAAATCCATTTATCAGTTTATTTTGATGTTCAACTTATTTTTTTCTTTTGTAGTTTATACTTTTTGTGTCCTACTTAAGGAATTTTTGCCTAACCCAGGGTCACAAAGATTCTTATTATTTCTTAGTTTTTGCTCTTATTTTTAGGTCGATGATCTCTTTAGAGTTAATTTTTGTATAGGGTACAAAGTCAAGTTTCGTTTATTTGCACACTGATGATTTTTGTTCCAGCACAATTGAACTAATCGGAAAGATTAGCCTTTTTCCATTGAATTACCTTGGCACCTTTGCTGAAAATCAACAGACCACATATGTGTAGATGGAGTTCTGCACTCTGTATTCTGTTATGTCAGTCTCTGTTTGTCACTAAGCAAATACCACCTTGTCTTAATTACTATAGCTGATAGTAAAGGTTTCAATTAAAATTTTTATATATTTGAAAAATAATGTAGAGGAAATGGAAAATAATGTAGAGGACCTCCTGGGCTCAGGTGATCCTCCCACTCACCTCGCGGAGTAGCTGGGACTACAGGTGCACACCACCATGCCTGGCTAATTTTTGTATTTTTTTGTTGAGAAGGGTTTTTGCCATGTTGCCCAGGCTGGTCTCAAACTCCTGGGCTGAAGTGATCCGCCAGTCTCAGCCTCTCAAAGTGCTGGGATTACAGGCCGTGAACCACTGCTCCTGGGTACTTATATTTTAGGGTTTACTTTTAAAATTACTTTTTTTTTGAGACAGAGTCTTGCTTTGTCACCCAGGCTGGAGTGCAGTGGTGCGATCTTGGCTCACTGCAGCCTCTGCCTCCTGTGTTAGCCTCCCGAGTAGCAGGGATTACAGGCACCTGCACCATGCCTGGCTAATTTTTGTGTTTTTAGTAGAGATGGAGTTTCACCATGTTGGCCAGGTTGGTCTTGAACTACTGACCTCAGGTGATCTGCCCACCTTGGCTTCCCATAGGGCTGGGATTACAGGTGTGAACCGCCATGCCCAGCCTACTTTTAAAATTACTTTCAAGGGCCAAGCATGGTGGCTTACACCTGTAATCCCAGCGCTTTGGGAGTCCAAGGCAGGAGGATCGCTTGAGCCCAGGTAGGCAGCATTATTCCCAGGTAAAAATAGACATAGCAAAATCAGTAAAAAGAGCATGGACTTTTTAAAGTTCCAACTCCAGTTATCCCACTTACAGCTTTTCTGAGCCTTTTTGTTTAAGTTTTTTAAGAGATGGGATTTCACTTTGTTGCCTAGGCTGGTCTCAAATTCCTGGGCTCAAGCAGTCCTCCCTACTCGGCCTCCCAAAGTGCTGGGATTACAGGCATGAGCCACCATGACGAACCACGAGCCTTATTTTTAAAACAGTGATAATATTTCAGAGTTACTGTGGGGAGCACCTGAAATTATATTCATGAAGTGCCTGATTTATAAGAGAGTCTTGCTGATTTTTCCTCTTTAATTTTAAATCTGTCCATGTCTCCTATCCCACTACCAAGGGAAGAGAGGAGGAGACCTGTTTCAGGCCTTTATCATGTCTCTCCTAGATTGAGTTCAAGACCAGCCTGGGCTACATAGCAAGACCATGTCTCTACTAGAGAGAAAATAAGTGAGCCAGGCGTGGTAGTGCATATCTGCAGTCCCTGTTACTTGGGAGGCCAAGACGAGAGGATTGCATGAGACCAGGAGTTCAAGGTGGCAATGAGCTGTGATCTTGCTACTGCACTCCAGGTTCTGTGACAGGGCGAGAACCTGTCTCAAATAAATGATAATAAAATTACTTTCAAAAACATGATCTCCTTAATTCACTAACAATCTTAGGAATTAGAACAGACATTAATATCTGTATTTTATAAAAGAGGAAACTATAAGGTTTAAGAGGGCTGGTTTGATATCATACAGTTAGTGTGATAAAGCACTGAAGCCCAAGTCATGCCTTTCAAAATACGGTGCTTTCCACTATACGATACTTTTTTCATTTGCTGTTGTTCTCTTATGTTGAATACTGAAGAAAGAGTGTTTTATGAATAATTCAATCACAAAATTTTATTTAATTATATAGCTATATGAAGACAGCTAATCCATTTCCTTGGTTACTAACATCATGAGACATATTACGAAGTCAAAATTCCCAATCTGAAATGCAAAGAGGAAAAAAAAAGTCATCAAAATTGGGCTCTTTTTTTTTTTAGGTGATGGTGTTTTACAACCAGAAGAGGTGCTTATAATTTGATTTTAAATTTAGAAATGCAGGGAAGAGGCAAGATTTGTTAAAAGAAAGCAGAAATATTCCTTGAGAAAATTATTTTAAGAATTAAAGATGTTCTTGTCAGGATGATAGAACTTAAGCTTTAGACTATTTGAGTGTGTATGTGTTATCTATATTCTCTTTTGTTGCCAGACTTTCTATTCTTTGCAACCTTAAGTCTCTTCCCTCCCATTCCCTCCTCCTGCTGAGTCCCCCCACAATGTCAGGTCATAGTTAGGAGGTTCTTGCAGGAGTAGTGATGAAAGATAATGGTGACTAGAGTTTGAGTAGTGATGGCAAAAGAAACGGTAGGGTTTGGGATATATTTTGAGGGGCCTATGGATGTGCTTGATGAATGGATGTAAGGGACGAAGAAAACCAATGAATCACAGATAACTCCTAGTTTTTCAGCTTGATCAACTTGGTAGTACTATTTAGTGATGTGGGGAAGACTTAGATGAATTAGATGAGCTATACAGTGAATGATGGGAAATCAGATAGAAGCTATTTTTTTAAGTTTTGTTTTCATAAAAAGTAATATCACATCTCAGACATTGGAAAGGTAGAGACTAGATGAAATTACTTATGATCCTGACTTCCTGACACAATAATTTTAAGTGTTTTGGTGTGTATCTTTATAGTCTTGCATAGGGGTTGGCAACTTTCTGTAAAGGCAGCTTCTTAACTCTGTTGTAGCATGAAAGCAGCCATAAACAATATGTAAACAAATGAGCCTGCTTGTGTTCCAGTGAAGCTTTATTTATGGACACTGAAATTTGAACTTAAGGTAACTTTCACATATTGCAAAAAATTCTTTTACTCATTTTTTTCCCCAAACATTGAAAAATGCAAAAACCATTCTTTGTGTGCAGGCCACACAAAAACAGTTGACAGGCCAGATTTGGCTGTGTAGCCAGTTTGCAGGCCCCTGGTCTTGTGCATTTGTTTTATGGTTATAGTCATATCTTACATTGAATTTTATTACCTACCTTTTCTACTTTATATATGTGCATACTTTTTAAATTGAAAGACAAAGTGATTGCATTCGTTGAATAGTAAGCCCTGATAAACTTAGTTTACAAAGTGCCTTTATGTTCATTATTTTTTTTAATTCTTAGAATAACCATGGGAAGTGTGTGTCATGCTTAATATAAAGTAAAATATGTATTATGTACATAATTGAGGGTAAGTTATACATTATCATTAGAACTCTGTCTCTTCCATTTCTCTCTATATGTTGGCTTTATTCTCTGAAATGATCTTCCCCCAGCAGCAGTGGTCATGGCTACCGGTAGCTCTGGAACAACATCCTCAAAGTTTCCCTCCCTCAACACTAGTTTGAGAAATTCTAAGGCAGGACTTTGGTCCTGTTACATCAAAATTTCATCCCCCTGTTAATCATTATGTGTTGAAAGGGCAGGGTCATGTAGGAAGATAAGAGTTCTCATTTAGAACCAATGTTTAGAAAAATAGGAGGGAGAGTGGATAGTTTCTCAAATGAAGGATAGGGTAGTGCAGACATGGCCACCTGGGGGAATTATGAATTAGCCACCCCAAATTGTGTCTGTTGACATTGTTTAATATTGATTTAAAATTATTTAATTTTATGCTCTTTTCATTTACCTATTTGTATTATGCTCAGTTCTCTTTGCCGTTGCCACTTTATGTTTTATCACCACCTCAAACTGAATTTTAAAAATCCCTAGTTTTGCCGGGCGTGGTGGCTCACGCCTATAATCCCAACACTTTGGGAGGCTGAGGCGGGCGGATCACCTGAGGTCAATAAGAAACCTGGCCGGGCACGGTGGCTCACACCTGTAATCCCAGCTCTTTGGGAGGCTGAGGTAGGTCATTTGAGGTCAGGAGTTTGAGACCAGCCAGGCCAACACGGTGAAACTCCATCCCTACTAAAAATACAAAATTAACCAGGCATGGTGGCACATGCCTGTAATTCCAGCTACTCGGGAGGCTGAGGCAGGAGAAACATTTGAACCTGGGAGGCGAGGTTGCAGTGATCCGAGATCAGGCCATTGCAATAAGAGGGAAACTGTCTCAAAAAAAAAAAAAATCCCTAGTTTTGAATGTAATTTCCCCAAGAGTCTGGGTCTTATACCTCAGTGAAAGTTACTCTTTTCTTTGCTGGTTTTTTTTTGTTGTTTTTTTGTTTTTTTTTTTGGGGGGGGGAGGTGTAGTCTTGCTCCTCTGTTGCCCGTGCTGGAGTACAGTGGCACAATCTTGGTGCTTAACTGCAACCTCTGCCTGCTGGCTTCAAGAGATTCTCCCGCCTCAGCCTCCTGAGTAGGTGGGATTGCAGGCACCCACCACCATGCCTGGGTAATTTTTATATTTTTAGTAAAGGCAGGGTTTCACCACGTTGGCCGGACTGGTCTTAAACTCCTGACCTCAAGTGATCCACCTGCCTCAGCCTCCCAAAGTACTGGGATTACAGGCATCAGCCACCGTGCCCAGCCTACTGTTTTCTTTTTAAAAGACCATATTCTGACCACTCCAGTCCCTCAAATACTAGAGTCCTTTTATGAAAAAAATCTTGGTCATCTCTTGCCTCTTTGATTGCAATATGAAGAGTTAGATGAGAAATAGGTGAGCATCATTTGTAAACCCCAGACATTAAAGCATGAAGGATTTTGCTAGAATAACTGGCTCCCACTAGGATTCAAAAACCCAGAAAAACAGTGATAAATGAAGCAGTTGCTCTTCTCTGAGTCTTCAGAGCAACTGATTCCAGTATCATGATTTTCACTTTTCTGTGGTCCTTATCTAGAGACCCTGAGATTCTTGGTGCATCTGCAGAAAGCATTTAGGGTTTTGCTAATCTGGAGGAGTGATTGGTGAAACTCAACAGTCATGAAACTGCTTTGCAGACTCTGAGGTAGTATAGTGTATGTCAGGGAGGTGGTGGAAACTGACATGTTTGGCTGGTTGGCTCCACTTAGCCAAACCTTAGTCTTTAGCTGCAGTACAATATGTTTCATAGTAAAGAACAGTCATATACCACATATGAGGGTATTTCCATAAGATTTTAATACTGTATTTTACTGTACCTTTTCTGTGCTTACATACCATTGTGTTACCATTGCCTACAGTATTCAGTGCAGTAGTATTCTGTACAAGTTTATAGCCTAGGAGCAATAGGTTATACCGTATAGCCTAGGTCTGTAGTAGGCTATACCATCTAGGTTTGTGTAAGTACATTCTGTGATTTTGCACAATGAAATTGCCTGTGATGCATTTCTCAGAACTGACACATGTCTGTACTGCAAAACGTGCATGCAGTTTATTCTGCTGAAGGAAAAATTAGTAGAAGCTGGTTTTTAGATGAACGATAAAAAGAGTAAAAGCATTTAGAATGGTGTCTGCTGTGTGATTGTTTAGACTGACAGTGGAAAATTTCTTAGCAAAGAAGTTGCTGTTGCAATTTTATTTCTTAGGGCCAAACCCAATCTGATGCTATAATGAGAACTAAAATGATTTAAATTCCTTTAAGTTTTGACCTTTTTCATTGCTGAGATTTCTTAAAGGGACATTGTTGATATATTTTGCTTTTAAGTTTTCACTTTTGTCATCTATCTATTGAGTCATTATAGGCGTTCTTTTTTTTTTTTCCTTTTCTTAATGAAGTGGGGTCTTGGTATGTCACCTAGGCTGTTGTGCAGCAGCACAATCATGGCTCACTGCAGCCTTGACCTCCTGGGCTCAAGCAGTCTTCCTGCTTCAGACTCCTGGGTAGCTGGGACTACAGGCATGCACCACCATACCCAGCTAGTATCTTTATGTTTTGTAGAGACAGGATCTCACTATGTTGCCTGTACTGTCTGGAACTCCTGGGCTCAAGTGATCCTCTCCCTTTGGCCTCCCAGAGTGCTGGGATTACAGGCCTGAAACACTGTGCCTGACCTGCAGTCTTATTTTAAACTGTGTTAACATTACTTTATTGTGAAATAGTTGCAGAATTTCCCTTTTACCATTTTTAGGGTAATTCATGTTTGCTCATTTTAAATTTTATTAATCATTGTTTTTATAGCCTATATAAATATACACAAAAAGATAGTCATCATAAATTTTTAATGTGTAATGTTAATGGCTTATTTGAAATGGGATATCCTGTGGTGTTTGGTTAAGGAAATCAAGTCCTTTTAAATAAGATTAGGCAAAGTATATTTGTATATTTTTCAATTATTTTCTTTATATTTCTTTTCTTTTTTTTGTATCTAGTCCTGAATCCTAATCCAGATCTGTATTTTTCACTTCTCTCTCTCTCTTTTTTTTTTTTTTGCACTGGATAATTTATATCATTGTTGACTTGTACTATGGAAACAAATTTTTTGTCAGAAAATATTTTGTGAATATTTTCCCCTACATTGTGGCTTGCCTGGTTACTTTTTTAGTGATATCTTTTGATTGAGTAGGACTTTTTAATTTACCTTTTTTATTTCTTTTTTTTTTTTAGACAAGGTCTTGCCCTGTTGCCCAGGCTGGAGTGCAGTAGCTCATGTGATGCCCAACCTCCACCTCTTGGGCTCAAGCGATCCTCTCACCTCAGCCTCCCAAGTAGCTGGGACTACTGATGTGTACCACCATGTCTAGCTTATTTTTGTATTTTTTGTAGAGACGGTATTTTTACCATGTTGCCCAGTCTGGTCTCGAACTCCTGGGCTCGAGTGATCCACTTGTCTCAGCTCCTAAAGTGCTGGGATTACAGGAGTGAGCCACTGCTTGGCCAGGATCTTTAATCTTGATGGTCTGATTTATCATTTGTTCCTTAGGGCTTTGGCTTTTAGGTCTATGTTCTACCTTAGATTAATTTCTGTGTATGGTGTAAGATAAGAGTTAAAAGTTAATTTTTTTCTTACAAATATGCTTATAAATGCTAACAAACAACATTGTTTGGCAAAGACTTTGCTTTATTTCCAAATCAGGTAATCAGTATTATATTATAAAATTATTAGTTATTTCAAAGTAGTTGCATGGTTAGCTAGTTCATTGATTATAGAAGCTGTATTTTTTTAGGTCAGAATTATGGGTTTATACCTTCGGGATCCAGTTAACTTGGCCTTGTTTTGTGGCCATGGAATGTATTTCTCCTAAGTTGTTTTAGTCATTTGTTAGATTTGTTTCATTGCAAGTAAGAGGGTATATGATAACTTCATCATGCTACCAGATAAAACATTAGAGCATATGCCTTACACGACTATTAACTAATTTTATTTTGTGTGAGAGAGATTACATTATTACATTTTAAGGATACGGTATTCATAGTATTATAATGTTTAATGTATCATACTCAGTTTTTATGCCATACTAAAATAAGCAAAAATAAATTGATTTTAGTAAACATTAGAAATAATTTTTCAGAGTTTTGTATAGAGTGGGAAATGTAGATCTGACACTGTGAAATCCGTTTGTTAGGTTTTGTGGGTAAATAATGCTAAGTATAAAAATACAAGACATAGAAAAATTTAAAATGTACGTTTGCATATGCTTGTGCCAATATATAGACCATTCCATAAACCCAATCATTGGCTTACATTTCTGAGATACCAGCATTAAACATGAGTTATCTTTTAAGAGGCTGAATTTGAATTATATTACTCTGTTAGGATTTGTGCCAGCTTTTGGTTAATCATTATCTTGTTGATTATATTTGGTTCAAGATGACTCATTTTTCAAGGAGCTTTATTGCAACACTACATATTTACTACAGGAAGCCTGGATGGAAATGGAGCATCAGGTTATTGGAGATTTTTTTCTCCAATCTTTATTGTACCAAGTGTTATTAAAGTTAATTATTTTTCAATAACTGAATTCCCTGTGGAACCTAGTGCTTCATTAACCAACTGTAGGAGGATCATTTACTCCTTTTTCATGGCAGACAAATATATCTTTGATGATTGTTTAAATATTGGTCATACTTCTATACTATACATTGACCAGACTTAGATATAGTATTTTATTCTCATCAAATTGAGTATGGTCATTAACTGAGAATTTTGGAATCAGAGAGATTTGAGATTGAACCTTGTTTGTAAAATTTACTAGCTTTGGAAGCTTGTGCAAATACTTCTCTGAACCCTAGCGTTCATTCAGTCATTAATGAGTGAATTAATACATTCAGTCATTAATGAGTGAATTAATACATTCATTTATTAATGAATTTGGATAAAAATATTTACCTTGCAAGATCAGATTAAAAGGACATATAAAAGTATTAGCACTTAATATGTGCTTAATGATGATCACCATCTGTTGACGCTTGCTTATGGTATATATTGAGGTTAGGAGTGCCAATCATTTAGCCCTTCTGTCTCCAGGTTCTAAGAGATAAATAATGGACACAGCATCTGTTTCTAAAATTTAGACTGTCTGATAACAGCAGAATTTGAGACCATAACATGGATCTAAGGATAAATTGAGAGTCAGCTGCAATCACCAACAAATCTAGACTGTGAGACTATGATAAGAGTTCCGTCTGCCATGTCTGCTCTGACTACACTTAATCTGGCAGCTGGCGAGAAGATTAGAGGCTTACTTTATGTATCTAGTTATCAGCGAAACAAAGAGCTGGAGTGAGAAAGGGAAAGATGGCCTTGTTTTCTATGCAGTAACGTAATTTCCTTCTTGTTAAAAATAAGGTCCAAGGAAAGCTAAATCTAACCCACCAAATTAGTAACTTCCCTTCCCCCTCTGCCCATGCAGGAGTTTGTGGCTTGAGTTTGTGGAAGAGAGACTGGGAGAGTTTTCTGTAATACCTAATACAGTAACCACCCTGCCTCCACCCTGCCCTCTACTGTGGGAAAGAGAAGGGAAGTCTCATTCTTTATAATGGGAGATTAGTGTAAGAGTGCCCCCTACTTTGAAAAAGTAAATTTCACTTATGTTCAGTGTTTTTGTAGGCCCATAGAATAAATACAGTAGAAGAGCCCTGCAGAAATGAAAAGCCATGCTAGGAATCAAAGTAAATGTTGGTTTAAGGAAGTAAATTGTGTCTTTATTTATTTTTTGAGACAGGGTCGCACTCTGTCACCCAGGCTGAAGTGCAGTGGTGCGATCACTGCAGCCTTGACCTCCCAGGATCAGGTGATACCCCCATCTCAGATTCCCGAGTGGCTGGCACCACAGGCACGCACCACCACTCCTGGCTAATTTTCGTATTGTTTTGTAGAGATGGGGTTTTGCCATATTCCCAGGCTGGTCTCCAACTGTGAGGGCTCAAGTGATCCGCTTGCCTCAGCCTCCCAAAATACTGGGTTTACACGCATGAGCCACCACGCCCCATCTTTTAAACTTGTTAATAGAAAAATTGATGTTGGTAAAGAAAAAGAACCCCCCAAAAAGATAGATATAGGCAATAAAAATCACAAGTCATCTATTGGCAGGAGGTGATAAGAGTTCTGTTTGCAAAGATATATTTAAGACACCTGCTTAAATACTAGATTTTTTTTAAATGAAAATATCAGTAAATCCAAAACAATAGTCTTCAGAAAAAAAAAACAAAATGGTGTAAACTCAACATAAATTGTGAATCTGTTCTACAAATGAGTAATTTTAAATATCTGTGAAATATATATTGGTAGTGAATATTTTATCTTAAAAAGCAAAAATTTGAGAATGATCATTTATTGGCACTTCAGAAGAAACCAGTAAACGTGTAGCAAAATAGTGAATAAATGTCAGTTAAGCCAGTAAGTGTGTCATTAGCTATTGACAAAGATTACAGTTTTGGAAATAACTCCAGATGTGCTCCACCTCAAACCTTGTGTACTCCTTTAGCCAGGATTTATAAAATAGAATTAGAAGCATAATATATATGTTTGTAATTTGAAGCATAGGGTGGTGGTTAAGAATCTGGGCTCCAGAGTCACAGTGCCTACGTGTACATCCTGGCACCTGCAATTACTAGTTTGTAGCCTTGGACAAGTTATTTAATCTTTCTGTGTGCCCCATTTGTAAAGTGGTACTAATACAAGTACCTAGTTGATAGGGTTGCTTATCAGTGACTTTACTGGAATTACAGAGACCAGTTTGCTACAGGTTAGGTAGTAATGGAAAAAGAGAATGTCCAAACACCTGTAGCTTGCTCCTACCAGAACTTCTTAAGGGAGATAGAGGGAGTCTGACTTAAAATTGAATTTTTTTTTTCTTTTTTGGTTGGTAGAGATGTGAATATATATTTATCCTGAGGGAAAATGACCAGTGGATAGATCAGATGTGAGAGAGAATGGGCATGTATGATTGACCTAATGTCTCTAAAGAAAGTAATAGGGGAGACACTCTAAAGCACTGGGGGAAGGCTTGGTGTTTAACTCAAGAGGCACCTGTTTTAATGAGTTGGGAGGGGCTGGGTGTGGTGGCTAACACCTGTAATCCCAGCACTTTGGGAGGCCAAGGTGGGAGGATTGCTTGAGACCAGGAGTTCAAGCCTGGTCTTATGGGCAACATAGTGAGACTTCCATCTCTACAAAAAAAGAAGAAAAATTTTAAAAGGAAAAGGTGGTAAGGATGCTAATTTGGGGAGGAATATTTCTACCTGAAGTCTGCTATTTTCTCTTTGAAAGAGGAAGTGAGGACACATTCTGAGAAGTATGAGGTGGAGGTGGTGGAATTGAAAGCTGGAAGAGAGTTGTGAGGATTTGGAATAGTTATTGAGGCAATGGGAGTTGGAGTTCACTTGGAAAATGTAGAGAGACCAAGATGGGTTTGATGACCATGGGTTTTTGTGGTGGTTTCTGTTGTGTGTATGTATTCTCATTCCTTCCCTGTGTCTCTCTCTGCAGTACCCAGCAGCCATTGTGTAGAAACAGAAAAGCTGGGCAGTCAAAATGTTCTGGTATTGGTGGAGGCAGGACTTGACAAAGGAGAGTGGTTTGGGAAGACCCAGGGGCCAAAAGTTGAAAGTATTGCAGTGAGAGTGGTTGAAGTTATGTATCTTGGGGGTTTAGGCTGGAGAGGGAACACCTTGAAGCCAAGACAAGGTTGATAGGTGGGGAGAAAGTGGAAGAACATTAACACCAAAAGTTTCCATGAAGCTAAAGGGTGAAGTGTGATGGGGAATAGGAGTGAAAGAGACAAAGGATAAGGGCTTGGGGTTATGGGCCAAGATAATGAGTTTTAAGATTTCAGATGAGTAATTGTTGTGGGTAATAAAGCGAGTGGTTATAGAGGTGGATTATTCAATTGGGTAGTGGCTATCTCTTCACTCCTTAAGGAGGAGAGCAGCTAGGATGTTCACGTGGATTGGAATTTGCCCAGGCTAATGGTGGCTGAAAAGGTAAATTAGATAGTAAGATCAAAACTTATATGTAATTTGGAGAGTGACTGAGAAGTTGATTGATGATAATGATGAATAATTAGGTTAGTTGTTAGATCCTAGTTATAAGTAAAGGAGGAAGGTTTTGCAGGAGACTTTTGGAGTAATCATATGTGTGCTGCAATAGAAAGAAGACAGGACAATGCTGTTATCTCCCTGTTTTCTGTTGAGAGGTATAAGAGAAAGAATAGTTGCCGTTTTGACTCAGCTGGAATGGAAGTGGTGTCGTGTGGAAAAGTTGGTTTCAATTAGAGGCAAAAGGTAGACTGAGGTTCTGTAAAGGATCTAGAGAAGTTTATTTGAAAATAAGAAGCATTGCAAATGGCAGTAGTGAAAAAGGTTGGAAAAGAGGGTAACCTTTTGGGAGAGTGAGCGGGTAAGCAAGAGAAGGAACCGAAGCGTCACAGAAATCCGAGGCCATAAGTTACTAGTCAGATGGTAAATGTATCAGGGAAGTGAAAGTCATCTATGGGTTATTGTGGAATCATGGAAAGAGACCATTTGCTTTAAAGGATAAGTATATGGGGTATCATTTATGCCAGTCTTAAAAAACAATTTTGACATTGGATCATTCCTTAATGAGATGAACAGTGGCCGGGTAAATAAGGTTGCTGAGATTTAGAATAGAAATACCGGCCAGGCGCGGTGGCTGACGCTTGTAATCCCAGCACTTTGGGAGGCCAAGGCGGGCAGATCGCGAAGTCAGGAGATTGAGACCATCCTGGCTAACATGGTGAAACCCCATCTCTACTAAAAATACAAAAAAAAAAAAAAAAAAAAAATTAGCTGGACATGGTGGTGGGCACCTGTAGTCCCAGCTACTCGGGAGGCTGAGGCAGGAGAATGGTGTGAACCCGGGAGGCGGAGCTTGCAGTGAGCCGAGATTGGGCCACTGCACTCCAGCCTGGGCGACAGAACAAGACTACGCCTCAAAAAAAGAGGAATATCAGCACTGTGTAGACAAGGGGAAAAAGAAAGAATTTCAACAAAAATTATGGCCTTTGCTCC
Source organism: Homo sapiens (assembly GCF_000001405.40). Lineage (NCBI taxonomy): Eukaryota > Metazoa > Chordata > Mammalia > Primates > Hominidae > Homo > Homo sapiens. Next base: position 42,200,402 of record NC_000002.12, read on the forward strand.
ACATGTGACCTGTAAGCTGTAGAGAGCAGTCTTTTTTGAATTTGGCATAAATGCTTTTATGGACAAATGTTAATTTGAGGTTGTTAGGTATTGTGGTTGTCAGGCATATTTAATTCAACAAATGCTGATTTCTTATTTGCTGGTCATTGAGATCAAAAGCTCTCTTTTTGGCTTGAACTCCCTTTCTCCAGTTGAAAAGATGGTTTCAGAAATTCTGGCACTAATTCAGACTTACAGACTTTCTTTGTAGAGACAGTAATCCTCAAGTTCAGCAGTTTGACTCTAAATATCATAACAATTCTAAATTCATATCTAGAGGAATGTTTTATATCTTTTTTGGCATTTTTAAAGAGTTTTTGCAGACACTCATAGTCTTGGCATGCCTTCTATTGAATCTTTGGTGGGAGAAAGAATGTAAAGCAAAGGACTGAAATTTCCAGCGCTTTGCAGGGGACAGTAGGGGAAATGAGGCAGGAAATGAGGGCCCACTTAGAATGCAGTTTATTCCAAGTCTTTTCCACTTCCCCTGTTCTCCATGGGCTGCCTGCTGTATTCTCCTAAGGATGACCCTAAGAAATTAAGTGAATTGCATCCTCTAATTGTTGTCTATAGCAGTAATATGACAGAAGTATAGTACTTTTAAGTTCTTTTAAGTGAAGGATACCTGTATTCTAATTTCCATCAATCAAGTCGAATTTCTGAAGATTTTGTCAACTGTGCTAATTTTCAAAATGTTTTTGTTGGCTACATGCTAGCTGGAAATTAACTCTGAAAGCATTACCATCAAAATCTAGCTATTAAGTAAATATATAAAACTAATTTATCAGGCATCACTCTGTATCAGAATCTGTTTGATGTACTTTATGTGTATTGGCTCATTTAATCCTCATAGTAAGCTGTGAAGGAGTTAGCATTATTATCCCCATTTTACAGAGGTGGAAACTAAGGGATGAGTTAATTAACTTGCCCAAGAGCGCACAGCTAGGCTTAATGTATGCAGATTTTTAGCTTGATTTAGGAAGTTGAACATAAGTCTAATAGAACTTTAAAAAGTTAAAAGTATAACGCTTTCTGTGATGAAGCAGTCCCACTTCTGAGTATATATCCAAAGGAATTGAAACCATTATATTGAAGAGATGCCTGCACTCTCATGTTCATTGGAGCATTTTTCACAATAGCAAGGATATGGAAACCATGGAAGTGCCCATCAGTAGATGAACAGATAAGAAAAACGTACTCAGCCTTGGAAAGGGGGAAAGCCTGTCATTTGCACAACATGGATGAACCTAGAAGACATTCTGCTAAGTGGAATAAGCCAGGCACACAGAGACACATACCCAGATAACACATGATTTCACTTATATGTGGAAACTGAAAAAAAGTCAAACTCAGAAAATAGGCCGGGCATGGTGGCTCAGGCCTGTAATCCCAGCACTTTAGGAGGCTGAGGTAGGCAGATCACTTGAGGCCAGGAGTTCAAGACCAGCCTGGCCAACATGGTGAAACCCCATCTCTACTAAAAATACAAAAAATTAGCCGGGTGTGGTGCTGCGCACCTGTAATCCCAGCTCCTCAGGAGGCTGAGGCAGGAGACTCGCTTGAACTCGGGGGGCAGAGGTTGCAGTGAGCTGAGATTGCACCACTGCACTCCAGCCTGGGTGACAGAGTGAGACTCTGTCTCAAAAAAAAAAAAAAGAAGTAGAAAGTAGAATGACAGTTGCCGGGGGCTTGGAGGGGTGTAGACAGGGAAAGGAGAGGCGTTGGTCAAATAGTACAAAGTTTCATTTGGACAAGAGAAATAGATCCTGGTGATCTATTGCACAGTATGATGTCTGTAGTTAGTAATAAGGTATTGTAGGCCAGGTGCAGTGGCTCACACCTATAATCTCAGTGCTTTGGGAGGCCAAGGTAGAAGGATTGCTTGTGGCCAGTAGTTCGAGACTAGCCTGGTGTATTAGTCAGTGTTCTCTAGATAGAAGGATTGCTTGTGGCCAGTAGTTCGAGACTAGCCTGGTGTATTAGTCAGTGTTCTCTAGAGGGACAGAAGTAACAGGATACATGTATATATAAAAGGGAGTTTATTAAGGAATATTGACTCACATGATCACAAAGTGAGGTTTCACAATAGGCCATCTCCACACTGAGGAGCAAGGAAGCCAGTCTGAGTCCCAAAGCTGAAGAACTTGGAGTCTGATGTTTGAGGGCAGGAACCATCCAGCACAGGAGAAAGATGGAGGCCAGAAGACTACATCAGTCTAGTCTTTCCATGTTCTTTTGTCTGCTTTTATTCTGGCTGTGCTGGCAGCTGATTAGATTGTGCCCACCCCGATTGAGGGTAGGTCTGCCTTTCCCAATCCATTGACTCAAATGTTAATCTCCTTTGGCAACACCCTTCAATCCAATCAAGTTGACACTCAGCATTAACCATCACACCTGGGCAACGTAGCAAGACCCCATCTCTACAAAAAATAAAAAAATTAGCCTGGTGGGGTGGTGTATGCCTGTAGTCCTAGTTGCTTAGGAGGCTAAGACCTGAGGATTCCTTGAGCCCAGAAGTTTGAGGCTGCATTGAGCCATGATTGTACCAGTGTACTCCAGCCTGGGTGACAAGAGTGGGACCCTAACTCTAATAATAATAAGAAGAAGAATATATTACATATTTCAAAATAGAATAGAATAGTGGATTTTAAATGTTCTCACCATAAAGAAGTAAGTATTTGAGGTTTGGTGGATATGTTAGTTGGCCTGATTTGGCCACTCTATAACGTATGCATATATTGAAACATCACATTGTGTCCCATAAGTACATATAATTATTATTTACCAGTTAAAAGAAAACTTAACCTAACATTTTCCATGAGTATATGAAGGTAAGTTTGGTTTTTTCCCCTCATGGTCCAGTAGACGTAGTTTATCTTTCCATCTGTGGTAGCCCTTTTTTGTTTATCAGAGGATCTGAAATAAAAACGTTTTGAATCCATGTTGAATACTCTATGATAGAGTTTTTCTGAACTTGAATAAATTTGGTTTGTCATTTTTAAGCAAAGTATATTGACATAGCTGTAATTAAACTTATTAATATAACAAAGTTCACATGAACTTTATATAGATTTTATTTGTAGTACAGTGGACGGCATCATTACCTATGGAAGCAGTTATACAAGATGGCTAGTCTGGAATCACAGATTAATACTAACAGCCGTTTATATACTTATTTTTTCAGACTTTATAGCCACCCCTTTTTTTTTTTTGTAGAAGTTCCCTCCCCCCACATATTTTGGTGTGAATTGCAGTTGCCTGAACATAAAGAGGGGAAAAAAAAAACAGAGAGGATTAATTGATAATATACTTCTATGCCACATGTATAGGCACAAAAAGGCCTGGACCTCAACAGTTTGATAGGGAAAGAGTCCCCTGTAACTATAGTAACTATAGTGGTAATAATAATGAAAATATAGTGCTTACTATAAGGTATAGTGCTAAGCACTCTGTATTTACTCCTTTATACGATACTGTTACCTTTCTTTTTCCCCCAAAGAGATGGAGTCTCGCCCTTTTGCCCAGGCTAGGGTGCAGTGACACAATCATAGTGCACTGCACCTTGAACTCCTGGGTTCAAGGGATCCTCCCACCTCAGCCCTCCGAATAGCTAGGACTACAGCCATATGCCACTACCCCGGGCTAATTTTTAAATTTTTTAATAGAGATGGGTCTCACTTTGTTGCCCAGGCTGGTCTCAAACTCCTGGGCTCAAGTGATCCTCCTGCCTTGGCCTCCCAAAGTGCTGTAATTACAGGTATAAGCCACCATACCTGGCCTATCTTTCTTTAAAAAAAATTAGAAGTTTTAGTTTTAGAACCATTAGATGACTTTCGACAAGCTATATAAGCAGTTAGTGGCAAAGACAGGTTTTGAACCCAGGTTGGTCTGATTTCAGTACCTACAGCTTAATCTCTTGTCTGCTGTGGTTTATGGCAGGGGCTGGCAAACTTTTTCTGGAAAGGGCCAGATAATAAATATTTTAGGCTTTGTGGGCCACACATCTCCAGTGGGACTATTCCTCTCTGCTGTTTTTGTAAAATAGCCATTGACAGTACCCAAAAGAATGTGCCGGGGCTATGTTCTAACAAAATTTTATTTATCAACACTGAATTTCATGTAATGTTTATGTGTCTCGAATAGCTGTTGTTCCTTGAATTTGTTTTTCAGCTATTTAAAAATGTAAAAAATCATTCTTAGTTCTCTTACCATACAACTAAGGGATGGTGATGGGATCAGATTTGGCTTGTGGGCGGTAGTGTGCCAACAACTACTGAATGGCTTGCTGTATTTGTTTTTTCTCCCTACTAGGATAAACAGAAATGGATGATTCTTCTAACAGTTTTTCAGAATAATGAGAAACTGTTACAGCTAGAGTTAGACCTAGTTAACTAGTTAACCTAGTTAGGTAGGTAGAGTTACAAGCTAGTAATGAATCTGTGTAAATGTTCTTTGCCTCAGATATTCATGAATGCTAAGATTATGGGGTCCCTTTAATATTACAGTTCTTCCTATTACTATACCATATGGTTTTAGAAATCATAAATATTCATCTCTTAATCATTTGCAATACATTGCCATTTTGTTCTATAATCATCCAAAGAACTTTGATTCGAGGTCTTTTTGTATATTAGGTGTTGAGGTAATTTGATTCTTTTATTAAGAGAAAAATTTATTGGAAATAAAATGAAGGGTTCTCAACAAAGATGATTCATGCAGTCTTTACAAAGTTTGCCTCTTAGATTACAATTTGACATTTATAAACTTGACCTTGTAGAATTTTAGTATAAGTTGGCTTATGTGCAACAAAAAACACTTCCAGATGTGATCACTGATACAATTCTGAATTAAAATGCTTAATGAAAACTTCTAGTGTTGACAGATCAACACTAATCAAATAATCTGTCCTTACACATAGTGAAGTTTATCAGCAAAAGTTGACATTTTTATATTTGGTAGGGAAAAGAGATATACTCTAAAAGTAAACTAATTTCAGCTTGCCCAATAATAATAATAATAGGTGTAGATGGTGTTGAATTAAATGCCCCTGCCCTCAGTCAGCTTCCCTGGCTTACCTAACTCACAGTAAGCACTCAATAAATGTTTGCTCTTAGAAGCTGTGTGGTGTGGCCTGAATCAGTAGGCACTTAAATGAAGGAAGTGGAAGATCTGTTAGTGCAAAAAGAAAGGGTTTTTGTTGTTGTTGTTGTTTGTTTAAGGAAGTATCAACTTAGAATTTAGACAGAAATGGATAAATTGTTTGTTACAGTAATACTATGTCAGAATTATTTAGTGGTTGGCTATAGCTTATGGTATGAAATCCTATTTTCTTTGGGTTAGAATTCCCTAATTTGGCCCCAGCCTTCCTTTCTAGTCTTATTTTTACTCTCCTGTGTTAACAGACTATGTAGTCAGTTTCCATTACTCAGTCATTTATCCACAAATATTCTGCCACTTTGGAATTTTCTTCTTTCTCTCCTCTACCTAGCCTGTTTCTGCTTAGATTTCAAGACCCAATTTTTTTTCTTTCCCTAGGACCACTCTTGCTAATCATGATCATTTTTGCCTCTGAATTTCTAGCACTTACTGCATTTATCACTCATTTGACAATTACTCTTGTTCTGCTTTGTGACATTTCTTATAAAAGTAAGTAAACGTTTGTACGACATTTTTAAATCTGTAGACCTTATTCAAGTTTCACAAATTTGTTCCATATAGCATTCCCCCCCTCTGGTCCAATCCAGAATCAGGCATTACATTTAGTTTTTAATTTTAATTAATATATTTTTTAGAGACAGGGTCTCACTCTGTCACCTAGGATGGAGTGCAGTGGCATAATTGTAGCTTAGTATAGCCTCACATTCCTGGGCTCAAGTGATCCTCCCACCTCAGCCTCCTAAGTAGCTGGGCCTATAAGTGTACTCCACTGTATCCAGCTGAATTTTGAATTTCTGGGGGAGAAATGGGATTTCACTGTCTTGCCCAGGCAGGTCCCAAACTCCTGGCCTCAAGAGTCCTCCTGCCATGACCTCCCAAAGTGTTGGGATTATAGACGTGGGCACTGCACCCAGCCTGCATTTAGTTTTTATGCCTAGTTTTATGTCTAGTCGTCTTGCCTACTTTAATCTGGAACTGAACTGTTCGTGAGCCTTTTTTGTTCCTTTTATGACATAGACAGTTTTGAAGATTACTAGCCATTTATTTTGTAGGCTGTCTCTCAATTTAGTTTTGTCTGATATTTCTTCATGATCAGATTTAGGATATGCATTTTTGGCACGTATAATACATAAGTGATGTGTTCTCAGTGCATCATGTATATTATTTTTGGTAAATAGTAAAATTTAAATCATCACAGTGAATTACAATAATTGCTGGTTGGTTTGAATAACACAGTAATCAAGACAGTCCTGGATTCAAATTCTGACCTTACCATTTGTTGATCATGTAATCTTGGGTGTTACCTCTCTTTAGCTAATTTCTACATCTGTAATTGTAGATAATTTAAATACCTTTTGGTTGGTCAAAAATAGTTGCATATTGGCAGTTTTATAGGGATCTATTTAATATTTATAGATTTGTGAGATGAAATGAGACAATGCAGCTGTCACTGAATATGTGTTCAGTACACTGTAGTAATAGATTACTTTTCAATATAGTTCTGTAGAAATATGTCAGCGTGATTATTGGTTACATTCTAAAAGTTATTTTTAAGTTGGATGTATAACACCTCCTCTATTTGATATTATCAGTTATCATTTGTAGTTTTATAAAAGTAATTTTTAAATACAACCAAAACTTTTATAAATGTATATCTTTTACTAAAATATATCTATGTATACACATACAACCTCCAAATATATATTAATATAATACTAGATATAACTAGTTTTCACATAAGTAATTTAAAGAATGTAACTAGTACCTTAAGGGTGATTGGAGTGTCTTAGGGTTGTTTGCCTCTGCACTGTATGACCTAGGACCTTATACCTTTTCACTTATTGGTATCTTTTTAAAAATATGATTTTCTCATTGATGGATGAGTTGTCAGTTTCTTGCTTACGTTAGCAGCTCTACCTGAACCACTTTTTAATTTGTTGCTTTTTATTTGCTGTGAATTGGAAAGCCAGATTTTTTTGGTTCCTACCCAGTTCTAATAAATTTAGTTAACAGGCAACTTATGAGGGCCAGAGGAGCTTTCCTGAACGTAAGTGGTCTTTATACTTATGGTTTTAGTTTGGATTGTTTTGGGGTCTTTTTCTGCTTACTTTCTGGTCTTCACTCAGTTCTGATTGGTTGAAGTTGAAAAATAAGTGACTTGTCTCTGAGTTTGGCATAATATAAAATGCAAATTTATAATATTAAATGCGAATTCACCTTTGCTTCACTGATGAATAATTGATTTCCTAATTGTTCTGTGTTTTAGACAATCATATTTGAGCTATAGTTACATTATCTTATTTATAGGAAGTTTTTCCTTAAATGTTGCAGTGAAGATTGGTAATTGAGAGTCCTGAAAATGGCAGTATTTGGATATGAGTATGCTACAGTATTGACACTTTCTGAAAGTCGGACATCAGTATGCGAGAGCGTACTTCGTGATAGCAGCTCACACTTTCAATTTCACCTCTTCTTTGGTGGACAGGTACAAATTACATTTGTTTACTACCTTTTCAACTCATGTTTCTGCATTTATTCGTTTATTCTTCCTGGCCACTCTGGGAGGGAGGTCTTATGTCTTCTGAATAAAGGACAGTGGCCATAAGGTGAGTAAATGCAGAGTGAGTATTCAGATTTTGAGATAAATTTTCATTCTCAAACCTACTTTGAATCTGAGTAATTTTGCCTTACATCATTTAGAACCAGATTTTTTTAAAGTTCTGATTTTGTATATATAATCAAAGAACTAAAATTTATATTAAAAAATTTTTATTTTATGTTAAATGTTTTCTTTACAATAGATTTATTTTAGAAACCTACTCCTTTAATTTTTTTTCTTTTCTTTTCTTTTTTTTTTTTGAGACAGAATCTCTGTCGCCCAGGCTGGAGTGCAGTGGTGCAATCTCGGCTGATTGCAACCTCCGCCCTCTGAGTTCAAGCTATTCTCCTGCCTCAGCCTCCAAGTAGCTGAGATTACAGGCACCTGCCACCGCACCCGGCTAATTTTTTATGTTTTTAGTAGAGACGGGGTTTCACCATCTTGGCCAGGCTGGTCTTGAACTCCTGACCTCATGATCCACCCTCCTTGGCCTCCCAAAGTGCTGGGATTACAGGCATGAGCCACTGCACCTGGCCTGGAAGCCTACTCCTTTTATTTATTTTTTTACTTTTTTGAGACAGGGTCTCGTTCTGTCTGGCTTTTTTTTTTTTCAGACACAGAAAGCCACATAGAACAAATTTAAAGCTTGGTAAATTATTATGAAATGGACATCCTTGTAACCACAGTCTAGAACAAGAAATAGAAGTTAGTCACTTCAGAAGTCCCTATAGGTACCCATCCCATTTACAGTCTCTTTCCTCCCAAATTGTCTACTCCTAGCTTTTGTAGTAATCACTTCCTATTTCCTTATGGTTTTATCCCCTAAGAGTCCATCGCTAGACACTAGAGTTTAGTCTTCCCTTTTTAAAATAAAGTATTTAAACTGCATCTTTATAATCTAATTGTAAAGGAATGAGAAATTACAGTGTATTAAAAAATCACTAATATGATACTAAAAGCAGTTATTTGGAAACTCAAGGCCCTATATAGCTAAAAACATGGTTTCAAAACATGAAATAATTTTTAGACAATTATGTTAACTTTTCTGGTTTTTTTCCTTTTATACAAATACCACAAAGCAGAAGTGTACTTTAACTTTCTTTCAATACCCATCTTTTTTCCAAGATAATATGTTGTATTTCTTTTTATGTCGGTTATCATTTGTGAAGGGCTTTTTCAGTTTCTAAAACAGATATTCATGATCTGATTTAATCCTCACAGCAGTCTTGTAGGCATATTCTTCTTTCCATTTTATAGATGAGGAAATGATAATGTAACTAGTAGGTGGTGAAACTTTGATCGGACCTTTGATTAAAAAGGATTTCCTCATAAATGTTTTTCAAACTTTAGTTATCTGAGTACTGCCTTCATGATTTTCCCAGTCTCTTAAAACTATTACTATTTTACTTAATAATTTTATTTAAAATGACTTTTAAAAAACTGATAAGATTGGCCAGACACGGTGGCTCACGCCTGCAATCCCAGCACTTTGGGAGGCTGAGGCCTGTGGATCACCTGAGGTCAGGAGTTCAAGACCAGCCTGACCAACACGGAGAAACCCGGTCTCTATTAAAAATACAAAATTAGCTGGGCATAGCGACGAGTGCCTGTAATCCCAGCTGCTTGGGAGGCTGAGGCAGGAGAATTGCTTGAACCCAGGAGGCGGAGATTGCAGGGAGCCAAGATCATGCCATTGCACTCCAGCCTGGGCAACAAGGGCAAAACTCAGTCTCAAAACCAAAAAAACAAACAAACAAACAAACAAAAAAACCAATAGACTTCATTTAGAACAGTTTTACATTTGCAGAAAAATCGAGTAGATCATACAGAGTTTCCACACACACCCCCCATTCCCTTATTATTAATATCTTATATTAGTATGGTACATTATAATTTAAAACCCAATAACACATTGTATTAACTAAAATCCATAGTTTATTAAGATTTACTTAGTTTTTACCTAGTGCCTCTTTTCTCTTCCAGGGTCCCATCCAGTTGTCATATCTCCGTAGGCTCTTGGCTATGACCATTTTTTCAGGTTTTTCTTGTTTTTGATACCTCGACAGTTTTAAGAGCAGTACTGGTATATTGTAGCAGCTTTGGTGTATCAGATATATTGTAGAATGTCCCTCTTTTGGAATTTGTCTGATGTTTTGGGGAGGAAGACCACAGAGGGAAAGTGCCATCCTCATCACATCAAAAGAAGTATATGTGAGCAACATGACATCATTGATGTTGTTGAACTTGATCACTTCACTGAGGTACTGTTTGTTAGGTTTCTCCTTTGTAAAATTACTTTTCCCAACCCCTTTCTGTACTGTACTCTTTGGAAGGAAGTCACTATGCACAGCCCACACTTAAGAAGTGGGTGTGGAGTTATGCTTCACTTCTTGAAGACAGTATATTTACATTTATTTAGAATTCTTCTGTTCCCTTAGATAATTTTTTCAGTCATTTATTTATTTCAGTATGGACTCATGGATATTTTGCACTTTGGGTTAAGATCCAATACTATTTTATTTATTTTGTTATTCAGATTGTTCCAGCTTTGGCCATAGGTTGGCTCCTATGTTCCTTTGACATACTCCCACCTTTTTAAAAATAAAAACTCTTTTGAGAACTTCCTTACTTTCTGGCACTATAGAATAATTTAGTTTTTAGAGATTTATTTTAAGATTAATTTTATACCACTCAGTAGATAGAAAATCAGTTTATGGAAAATACTTGTGTTTACCTTAAAAATTGGTTATGTTTAAATATTAGCAAAATGTTAGAGAGGTATTAGGAACTGAGACTTTCTTCTCAAAGTAATCAGAAGGTCCATGTAATCTTCTGTCTCTTACACACTTCACTGGAGCATCCTGTCTCCTTTGCAACTATAACTCTTTTTAGTATTTGCTTTAACATTGATTGAAATACCTATAATGTGCTTGGTGTACCTACCACAGTAGATAGTGTGGAACATATAAAAGTATGAAATATGGTCTCCCATCATGAAGGGGCATACAGTTGGACTTTGTTAAGTCTGTAAGCATGGCTGAAAAAAAATCACATACTCCTGTGTGTTGTACAAAATGGTAGGGGTGTGAGGCTTATATGAGTTTAGGAAAGGAAGGGTTCTGTGTTGAATAGAATAAAAGGAAGAACTTCTTAGAGGTTAAACCCATCGTAGATCCTGAAGGTAGGTTATTGGGTAGGGGGGCGAGGTCATTTCTGATCAGAGACTGATTGAACATTATCTACAGAACAATGAATGAGGAAATTGGCTTGGGTGGAATCTTGTGTTGCTATAAACTGGAGTAGTCGGAAATTGTCTGAACCTGTGGATTAGTCCCCTCTGTAGTTAACAAGTGTGATATGCCTAAAGTGGTCATTTCTAATTATGAAAGGACTTGGATGTTTTAAACCTGCAGATAAAATGTCGTTAGAGAGGTTGAAAACTTTATCCTTCCCGGAAGGTTTCATACTTTCTTATTGAAACAGTGACATTTAAGTTGGGTAACTTTGTTCCTGTTACTGCATCGTGTGTTGCCAATGTTTTAAGTAGGGTAAAATTTACCCCTTGTCTTGGTGGGTAATGTAAACTTAGCCTGGCAGCAAACGTAGTATTTTCTTCCCAGACACAAAATAACCCACTTTCTTTTTCTTTCTTTCTTTTTTTATTTTTCGAGACAGTTTCACTCTGTCGCCCAGGTTGGAGTGCAGTGGCGCAATTTTGGCTCACTGCAACCTCTGCCTCCTGGGTTCAAACGATTCTCGTGCGTCAGCCCCCCAAGTAGCTAGGACTACAGGTTCATGCCACCACGCCCAGCTAATTATTTATATTTTTAGTAGAGATGGGGTTTTGCCATGTTGACCAGGCTGGTCTTGAGCTCCTGACCTCAGGTGATCTGCCTGCCTCAGCCCTCTAAAGTGTTGGGATTACAGGTGTGAGCTACCGTGCCTGATCCCCACTTTCAAATTGTATGTAAATATATGTAATGGCTTTCTTTAAGCCTTGTGGTACTCAGCTGTTTTGGAGACTTTCTGATCATCTGTTAAGATAAAAATGTTTTTGTTGATGGTTTTTAATTTCCTAATGAAAAATTTCTAATTTGTATTTTACTTTCAAAGTAATGCATGCTATTTGAAATTTGAACTAGTGTATATTTAATATCACCTTTAATGAATTAAATATTATACTTCCATATTTTAATAGCCATTTAAAAGTTTTTACTTAATTCCTTCAGCGTTTTAAAGAAAAGGACAGGAAATACATTAAAAGCAAACTCGGCAGTAGATTTTTTTTTTTAGCAATACATGTTTCATTGCATGAAATAGAATATTTTGTTAATGTTTGAGACCATTTAAAAAACCTTCCCTTCCTCAGCTAGTCCCTGCTAAAATTCTTTCTTAATTTCTTTTAATTTAGATCTCTTTTCTATCCAGTTAACAGATAAAATGGCATGACACCCACAGATACACTTACTGTATGTCCACATTATTCACTGCTACAGTAAGGCAGATAGTCCCCTTCATGCATTTCTATATCTTTATCACATTTTCCAGTGTTTCTCCCAGGGCACCACAGTACCATTTATTGGGTAGGGCATGAGAATATAAAAGTATACCTGTGGATATTTTAAAAGTAACTACTAGAGAAAGAGGAATTGGCAGTATTGTGTAGTGATAAAGCACTTGACTAAGAGTCTGAAAACCTGTATTCCAGTCCTGGCTGTGCCCTGTGTTCTGTAATCTTGGAAGCCAGTTTTTGCATTCTCATTTGGCTTATGTGATCTCTAAGTCACTTTCCAAAATTATATCATTTGTGCCATGGTTCTGCAAACAAATGAGCATATTAGTGTAACATAGTATCAATAATGAAATATTGGAATAACTCTGCTTCAGTTGTAAAAATGTTAGAATCTTACAGCTTTGCCCCCACTTCTTAAAAATGTAAACTTTTAATTGAAGTCTACCTTAACGTACAGAAAAAGTACACTCATGATAACATAAAACACAGATCACAAAACATTACCAGAATCCCAGAAGCTCCTTGGTGATGCCTTCTGGTCACTACTACTCCCCCTCCCACATCTAAGGATGACCACTCTCTTGACTTCTAACACCATAGGTTAGTTTTGGCTGTTTTTGGAATCACACAGTATGGCTTCTTGTGTCTGGCTTCTTTTGCTCAGTATTATGTTTGTACAATTTGTGTAGTTACATTTCCATAGCTATGTGGAGTTTTATGAATATATCATAGTCCATTTACCCAGTCTCCTGTTGGACTAACCATGAAGAAAAAATAAAATAAAATGAACTACATTAGGGTTAAGAAATTCTGGTAGTTTAAAAATACTTAATGATTGAATCTTTCCATTGCATACTTTTATGTACTATTTACATAAGCATTCAGATTGCAGATGTGTGCCTCAACTTTGTTAGCCTGTTGTCTCCCTTTTTCTTTTTCGCAGCAGCGATATGAATCTTTCCTTGCTTCCTTGACTAGAAAACAAGAATAATTTTCTAATGGTTTTAAAAGCATGGAAAAAATAATGGCAATAATTTAATATTTAAAATTTTTAGGTCTAGGAAAGATACAAGAATAGTTTACATTTATATTTTACAACTGGCTAGAAAGTACTTTTGTGTTTTCTTAAAACATATAAAATTAAGGATATTGATGACTTGTTTAGATACATCAATTTAAGTTTCTTTTATGCAGTTATAATTTGTAAGCTGAATGTATAGGATTTTAAAATTAATTCCATCAACAGTTACTGAGTACCTATTATGTGTGTAGTCAGAGAACTTTGTCTTATTGTGTATATCAAATATTATGGTAAACGGTGGGTAACACATATGTTTTGTGATCCCCCAATTTTTCCTAACATGTCAATGAAAACAAAAATGTAGAAGTTTAAAACATTTTACTGTTTTAAATTCAGTCATTTCTCTGTTAACTCTTTCTTAAGACAACAGCTTGGGCGGGAGTCACAGATCACTGACAAGATGTCAGATAGTGGATTCGGTATGAACTTAAATAGAAAAAAATTTATGTCTAGTACATTTACTCATATGAATATCATCCAAAGTATAAAAAATTAATGGTTTTAAAAAATGGACTGTTATTTGATGCTTACCTGAGTTTTTATTATAAGGCGTTTGTATATTTGAATAGGCTAGGCAGTTATTCCCAACTATGTAGCTTTTTCCTTTACTTTGTTTTCCTCACCTACTTATCCTAGAGTTTACAGCGGATTTTTTTTTCCCATTTTTTAATTCATTGAAAATGAATGTATTGCTAAAAATGAAGGATTTGGGCTAAATATTTAGTGATTAATATACCCTTATTGATCTATTCTGGTTAAAAAAACAAACACCTAATACTTAGTGGATTAAAACAACAATTTTGTTGTTATATCCAGCATTATTGTGGGTCAGGAATTTGGGCAGGGCTTGGCTAGGCAATTCTTCTTTTCCACTAAGGATACATGGTGATATGCAGCTGGAGGGTCGTACCTTTTGCATGTCTGGTGCGTTAGCCGGGATGGCTGGAAGGCTAGGCTTAGCTGGGACTGTCAAACCAAGTATGTATCTGTGGCCTCTGGTATGGTGGCTCAGAGTAGTTGGACTTCTTAAAGGGCAGCTCAGTTCTCCTGGAGAAAGTATTCCAGGAAAACAGTCTTAGATTCTGCAAGACTTATTCATATCTAGTCTTGGAAGTTACACAACTTTTGTTGGTAAAAAAGCAAGTCACAAGGCCAGCCTAGATTCAAAGGAGAGAACTACATAAGAGCATGACTACTGGTAGGCGTGTTTCATTGGGGGTTCATCTGTGGAGGCTAGCTATACTACAAGATCTATAACTCTGCATGGTAGATGTAAAACTTTTTTTTGAGACAGGGTCTCTTTGTGTCACCCAGGTTGGAATGCAGTGGCGTGATTATGGCTCACCGCAGCTTCAACCTCTCAGTCTCAAGTGATCCTCACACTGCAGCCCCCTAAGTAGCTGGGACTACCGATGCACACCACCACGCCTGGCTAACTTTTATATTTTTTGTTGAGATGAGGTTTTGCCATATTGCTCAGGCTGGTCTTGAACTCCTGGGATCAAGCCTGCCTCAGCCTCCCAAAGTGCTGGGATTATAGGCATGTGCCACCATGCCCAGCCATAAAACCACTTTTTAACAGAATGGTATTCAAATCTTATAATCCAAGCTGATTTTCATAAAATCCAACTACTTTAATATTTTATGTACCTATAAAAGCTTCCAGGGTACTCTGCAAATTTATTTCATTTTCTCTTGAAGTGTGTTGGCCTCAGACTAGATTTTTTTTCTGTTTTATTATAAAAAATGTTTAAGAAGCAAAAAAAAAAAATTTTGCAGTGAATACCTAATTATCTACCACTAAGATTCTGTAATTAACATTTTGCTATACTTGGGTTACCATATATCTATCTGTTATCAACCTGTTTTCTGGTGAATTTAAAAGTAAGTTGCGGGTACTCAGATACAGAGTTAAATTACTTTTTTCTTCCAATCCAAACCTTAAAGGACGGTTAGAAAATATAAAGAATCTTTATTGCTATACCTTCTCCCTTTGAGAACTTATTTCCTTAGAACTTTTAAATCTGCCTTATCGCATACCCAGCCAAACTTTGGTTTAGTTTTCCACAACTCTTACTCCTGATAGTGTCACTAAGATCTTTGTAAGAAAAGGAGAAACTCATTTATCTTTTTTTTTTCTTTTTTTTTGAAACGGAGTCTAGCTCTGTCACCCAGGGTAGAGTGCAGAGGCACGATCTCAGCTCACTGCAACCTCCACCTTCTGGTTGAAGCAATTCTGCTGTCTCAGCCTCTTAAGTAGCTGAGACTACAGGCACCCAACACCATGCCTAGCTAATTTTTGTATTTTTATTAGAGACACGGTTTCACCATGTTGGTCAGGCTGGTCTCAAACTCCTGACCTCAGGTGATCTGCCTGCCTCGGCGTCCCAAACCAAAGTGCTGGGATTACAAGCATGAGCTACCACACCCGGCCCACTTCTTTTTTTTTTTTTTTTTTTTTTTTTTTTTTGAGATGGTGTCTTGCTCTGTCACCCAGGCTGGAGTGCAGTGGCGCGATCTTGGCTCACTGCAACCTCTGCTGCCCGGGTTCAAGCGATTCTCCTGCCTCAGCCTCCTGAGTAGCTGGGATTACAGGTGTGTGCCACCACACCTGGCTAATTTTTGTGTTTTTAGTAGAGACGGGGTTTCAGCATCTTGGCCAGGCTGGTCTTGAACTCCTGACGTCGTGATCCACCTATCTCGGCTTCCCAAAGTGCTGGGATTACTGGCGTGAGCCACCAGGCCCGGCCCATTTCTTTTTTAATTATAAAAACAATCATCCACAATCCTAGTATGAGTACAGCTACTCTCATTAATATGTTACCTGTTCTTTTTCCATTTCATATCTCTACAGTTGTTGCTAGTGTATGTAATTAAAACATGTTTTGAATGTGTGACATTTTAAAGATTATTATAGCCAAACAATGAGTGCTTGCTATTTCACTGAATGGCTGGACTGCTATTTTTAACCATGCCACAACAATTGAGTTGCTTTCTTTGCAATGGAGGAAAGCTATTGAACCAAATTAAATACTGCTTATTGTCTAAAATTGGTTATATCCAAAGTTTATCCTACCCCTCTGACTCACACCCTTAAGTAAGAGTTGAAAGTGATGAAATGGCAGAGAAACAAAGTAGTTGGAAGGAATAAAGATCTACTTGGTTCCTGGTTGATTTTGAAACTGCAAAAGCAACAGACAAGGAAGTTAGAAAAAAAATATACAGTTTTCAACTGTAATAAAACATTTTTGTTAAGTAAATTTTCATTTTTTTAACCAATATTCTGACAGTCAATATTCTCATAGTTGGACTGAGTAAATTTTTTATTTAAAGTTTACCTGCAGATTTAAGCATATTAGAAACCTTTGGTGTCAAGCTCAAGAGCTATGACATATGTATATTTACTATGAATTTTATTTGTTTTTGTAGTGGAACTTCTTTTTGAACTCTAGACAAACAAATTGTAATCTTAGGGATACAGTCCTCCTGTACTGAACAGGATTATACTTAACCCATCAAGGCAGTTGAGTCTCTAAGTTTTTTTTTCAGAGAAAGCAATTCTTGATTGTCAAGATTCGTTCTTCTCAGAATTAACCTTTACTGTAAAAAAAATTCTTATATAACCCACATTCTTCATGTTATAGATTCAGTACATTTCTTGTTTGGCCCTCTGTGGAAACAGATGGTTACTGTTTTTCATTTAGTAACTTCAGATACTTGAAACCTAATATTTGTCTTTTAGGCTTTGCTGTGTTTGAATTATGTTATTTACATAATGCAGACTTAAACGTAGAGTTTTCTTTGTGGAATACTGTACCCATGAAAAAGATGCTTTCTGAGGATTCTTAAAATATGCTTCTGGACTACATTTGGTCATGTTTGTGTGTCCACATATTCGTTGTCTTAATGAGTAGTTAGGTAATTTGAACTACATTGCTTGATTGCTGAACTGTAGTTTTTAGAGGATATGTCCAAATATCAGATCTGTCAACCAATATTATAACCAAACTCACTAGCAAAAATGGTCTGAATTTGATCTCCTTTTAAATATGTAGATTTACTTCTAAATATGTAGAAGACATGGGGAATTTGATCTGGGTGCTGATCATCTCACTTTTGGAACATCCGTAGGGTACTGGATTGATCCTGTGATTAATTTATGGGTCTCAGTCAGATATGGGGTGATCCTAGAAGTTTGTGTAGTCTGTAATGAAGTGGGCTGTAGAACAGGGGTCCCCAACCCTCCGGGCCACAGACTGGTAGGAACTGGGTCACACAGCAGGAGGTGAGCAGTGGGTGAGTGAGCAAAGCTTCATCTGTATTTGCAGCCGCTCCTCATCACTCTCATTACCACCTACGCTTTGCCTTCTGTCAGATCAGTGGCATTAGATTTTCATAGGAATGCAAACCCTGTTGGGAACTGTGCATGCAAGGGATCTCGGTTGCTCACTCCTTATGAGAATCTAATGCCTGATCTGTCACTGTTTTCCATCACTTCCAGATGGGACCATCTAGTTGCAGGAAAACAAGCTCAGGGCTCCCACTGATTCTACATTATAGTGAGCCATATAATTATTTTATTATATATTACAATGTAATAATAATATAAAGTGCATAATAAGTGTAATGTGTTTGAATGATCCCAGCCCTCCCCCGCTGCCCCTAGTCTGTGGAAACATTGCCTTCCACGAAACCTGTCCCTGGTATCAAAAAGTTGTAGACTGCTGCCCTAGAGTATTCCAGATATTCTGTACTTGAGAATTACTACTTGGATCTCTCATGTATATGGATCTTCCTGAGCCTGTCTGAAGAGAATACAGTAGTGGAGGAAAGGAGAATTAAATTTGCCCTATCATAGTTAGTTCAGTGTCAGCCTTTCCTACTCGGTTCCTATCCATACAGCACAATACAATTCCATACTAAAGTACAAGAGTCCTCCTTTAAGTACTGAAGATGCTTTACTTTGACCACAAGAATATTTGAATTTTGGATTTTAACCAGTAGTATGGTAGTGGCTTCTTTTCAAAATCAGTGAAATTTCTTTTTTTAATTTTAAAGAGAGGGGGTCTTGCTGTGTTGTCCAGCCTAGACGTGAACTCCTGGGCTCAAGCAATCTTCCCATCTCAGCCTCGCAAGCAGCTAGGAATACAAACATGCACTGCAGCACTTGACTTAGTAAAAACTTTTAATGTAAGGTATAATGCAGTTAACTAATGCTTGTTATGCGTTTACTCCAAAATTTAACTGAAACACATTTGCTTGTTTCATCAGTGACATCATTTACACACCAATGACTCTTGGCCATGAAGAACCCACAGTGAACATAGAAAGTTTAGTTGTAGACCTTTAATTGATTAATTGTAGCAGAAACGGCATCAAATAAGGAAGAGCCCCCTTCATAAGGAAATACAGTTGACCCTTGAACAACACCAGTTTGAACTGGGCAGGTCCACTGATATGTGGATTTTTTCAACCAAACGTGGATTGAAAAATACAGTATTCCAGGGATGCCAAACCTGTGTATACAGAGGCCTCAGTTTTTGTATATGTGGATTGTGCAGGGCTGACTATGGGACTTGAGTATGCCCGGACTTGGTATATGTAGGAGTCCTGTAACCACCCTCCTGCATGTCTGAGGGATGACTGTAGATGTCTTTGAAAAGGTCTACCTGAAGTTCTGTAAATCTTAAGCTTGCTTTAGTTTCTACATTTAATTTTTCTTTTAGATTTTCATAGATTAGAAAATGACATTTTGCATTTAACAAAATTTTAAAAAATCAAAAAGTTTATGTATGTGGTTTTGTTTTGGTTTTGGTGCAGGACAATGCATTGAAAACCCCTTTCTGGCTGGGTGCAGTGGCTCACGCCTGTAATCCCAGGATTTTGGGAGGCCGAGGTGGGCAGATTACTTGACATCAGGACTTCAAGACCAGCCTGGCCAACATGGTGAAGCCCCATCTCTACTAAAAATACAAAAAAAAATTATTAGCCGGGCGTAAGGGGCGCATGTCTGTAATCCCAGCTACTTGGGAGGCTGAGGCAGGAGAATCACTTGAACCTGGGAGGTGGGGGTTGCAGTGAGCCAAGATCGTGCTACTGCAGTGCAGCCTGGGCGACAGAAGGAGACTCCATCTAAAAAAAAAAAAAAAAGGAAAACTCTTTTTTGCCAGGAATAGCTGCTTTGAAAATTTCTGTATAGGAAGGGCTTAAGGGGTGGCAGTTTGGGTAGGGGAGTATGTCTTGAAGATTTATTTTGTTGCTGCACATTATTTTCACTCATAGTGTATGTCATAGATCATTGGAAACAGCAAAATTCTCAAAAAATTGTTTTACTTATCTATAATACGTGTATAACACATAATTGAAAAAATACCAGTTATCCATATCAAATTCAGGCATACTTTGTTTTATTGTGCTTCATACTCTTGCACTTTGCAGATACTGTATTTTTTTTTTTTTTTTTTTTTACAAATTGAAGGTTTTTGGCAACCCTGCATTGAGCAAGTGTATTGGCCCCGTTTTTCCAACAGCATGTGTACCCACTTCATCTGTGTCACGTTTTGCTAGTTCTCACAGTATTTCAAACTTTTTCACTATTATTATATCTCTTACGGTGACCTGTGATCCATTACCTTTGATGTTACTGTTGTAATTGTTTTGGAGTGCCATGAGTGACACCCATTTAAGATAGCCTACTTAATAAATGTTGTGTGTTCTGACTGCTCCACACACTGGCTGTTCCTCTGTCTCTCTCCCTCTCCTCAGGCCTCCCTATTCCCTGAGATAACAATATTGAAATGAGGCCAGTTAATAATCCTACAATGGTTCTTAAGTGTTCAAGTGAAAGGAAGAGTGCACGTTTCTCACTTTAAATCAAAAGCTAGAAATGATGAAGCTTAGATGAAGAAGGCATGTCAAAAGCTGAGATAGGCTGAAAGCTAGGCTTCTCATACCAGACAGCCAGTTGTGAATGCAGAGAAAAAGTTTCTGAAGAGTGCTACTCCAGTGAACATATGAATGATAAAGTTAAACAGCCTTATTGCAGATACGGAGAATGTTTGCATGTTCTGAATATAAAGTCAGACCAGACACAACATTCCCTTAAGCCAAAGCCTAATCCAGAGCAAGGCTCTAACTCTCTTCATTTCTATGAAAGCTGAGAGACGTGAGGAAGCTGCAGAAGTTTGAAGCTAGCAGAGATTAGTTCATGAGGTTTAAGGAAAGAAGCCATCTCCATACATAAAAGTGCAAGGTGAAGCAGCAGGTTCTGAAGTGGAAGCTGCAGCAGGTTATCTAGAAGATTTAGCTAAGATCATTGATGAAGGTGGCTGCACTAAACAACAGATTATCAGTGTAGACAACACTGTCTTATATTAGAAAAAGATGTTACCCAGTACTTTCATAGCTAGAGAAGAGAAGCCAATGCCTGGCTTCAAAGGACAAGCTGACTGTTGAGGGGGTATTGTAGCTGATGACTTTAAGTTGAAGCCAGTGCTCATTGACCATTCTGAAAATCCTAGGGCCTTGGGATTATTCTACCCTGCGCATGTGTATGCTCTAGAAATGGAACAACAAAGCTTAGATGACAGCACATTGTTTACAACATGGTTTACTTTTTTTTTTTTTTTTTTTTTTTTGAGACAGGACCTTGCTTTGTCACCCAGGCTAGAGCGCAGTAGTGCTATCATGGCTCACTGCAGCCTCAATGTCCCGGGCCCAAGCAATCCTCCCACCTGAGCCTCCTGAGTAGCTGGGACTGTAAGCACACCCAACCATGCCTGACTAATTTTTGTGGTGTTTTTTTGGGTTTTGTTTTGTTTTGTTTTGTTTTAGATGGAGTTTCACTCTTGTTGCCCAAGCTGGAATGCAGTGGCGTGATCTCGGCTCATCACAGCCTCCGCCTCCTGGGTTCAAGGGATTCTCCTGCCTCAGCCTCCTCGGTAGCTGGGATTATAGGTGCCCACTACCACACCCAGCTAGTTTTTGTATTTTTGGTAGAGACAAGGTTTCGTCGTGTTGGCCAGGCTGGTCTCGAACTCCTGACCTCAGGTGATCCACCCACCTCAGCCTCCCAAAGTGCTGGGATTACAGGCATGAGCCACCACTCCAAGCCTAATAAATTTTTTGTAGAGACAGTGTTTCATCATGTTGCCCAGGGTGGTCTCGAACTCCTGGGCTCAAGCGATTTGCCTGCCTGGTCCCAACGTGCTGGGATTACAGGTGTGAGCCTCTGCACCTGGCCTAAAGTTGTCTTCTTCTCTCCTTAGTCTTCTCTCTCTGTAGCCATGGAGAAGTTGAGTCATGTTAATTAACACACCAGTGATTTCTGATTATGGAGAAGATAATTTCTCAGCCCTATTAATAAAAATTACATTTTCATTTGAGAGGAGATAGTTTTTAAAATTATTTTATATATTTTAAAATCAAATGGCATATTTGCTTATTTTAACAAATTTTTTGCAAGATAACCCCTGTTAACAGTTTAATTTGTGTCTTTCCATATCGGGTTGACAAACTTTAGCACTTTATGGCAAAATTCACTGTTTTGTATCCTGTGAGCCAAAAATGGTTTTTATATTTTTAAATGGTTGGAAAAAATCAAAAGAATATTTCATGACTCATTAAAGTTATATGAATTCTAATTTCAGTGTCCATAAATAAAGCTTTACTGGAACATAGCCATACACATTTGTATAGTTAATATCTGTAGTTGCTTTTGTGCTGCCACAGCAGAGTCCAGTAATTGGGACAAAGACCTTTTGTCCTACAAAGCCTAAAATGTTTACTGTCTGGTCCTTAACAGAAAAAGTTTGCCAACCCCTGTTCTTCATGTACACCTGCTTTCTTGTTTGCTTTTTCAAAAACAGGACATAAACTGTACTGTGTAAACAGTGAATATGCATTATCTTTTGCTTACTGGAAACTAACTTAAAATATATATCCATTGATCATGCATAGCCCTCCACATTGATATATAGAAATATAACGGTTCTTTTGTTTGTTTTGTTTTGTTTTGTTTTGTTTTTGAGATGGAGTCTCGCTTTGTCGCCTAGGCTGGAGTGCAATGGTGCAATCTCGGCTCACTGCAAGCTCCGCCTCCCGGGTTCACGCCATTCTCCTGCCTCAGCCTCCCAAGTAGCTGGGACTGCAGGCATCTGCCACCACACCCGGTTAATTTTTTTGTCTTTTTAGTAGAGATGGGGTGTCACTGTATTAGTCAGGATGGTCTCGATCTCCTGACCTCGTGATCCGCCCTCCACCCCTTCGGCCTCCCAAAGTGCTGGGATTACAGACGTGAGCCACCGTGCCTGGCCAATATAATGTATTTTTAATAGCTGCACAGATTCCATATTTAGATAACATATTTCATTCACTTGATCCCATTTTGATAGGTCTGATAGGTTTATAGTTCCCTCTCTCCCTGCTACATACATTGTTGTGTCAAAGCATGTGTATTTTTCATTTTTGTAGTGATTACGTAAAGATTACTGTTCAGAACTGAGATTTGTAGCAGTTCACAAATGCACCACTACAAATGTCCTAACTTCCTAGCCATTATTTGCTATCATTTTTTTGTTTGCTCATAAGATCAGTAAAAATTATTTTTATTTGCAAGACCCTGTCAAGTAATGAAGCTAAATCATTTGAACCTGTAAAGACATGCTTTGAAGTAGCTGAAGTTTAACGATTATCTCTGTTTTGTTTGTTTTCTGTTTTTTAAGAGCTCTTAAATGTCAGTAGTTAGAAATTACAAATTTTACTGTAGCAGGTCATCTTTCTTCTCCTTGCTTACAAGGAAGTAACCATTTTTTAGTCTTTCCCCATGACAAGAGTACAATGTGAGAAAGTTTGCTCTGCTTAGCCCAGATCTCTAATGTATATTGAAAACATCCCCATGAAAACACATCTAGATACTGTAAGAAACATCTTTGTTTACAAAGACCATTACATTTTCACTAATCTTTGGACAATTTGAATAAATATGCATAATAGTCTCTTAAGAAATGCTGGCTCTAGGCTATATTATGAAAAAGTTGAAGTTGCCCTTATCACTCCAGACTCTTTTTACCCCTTCATTTGTGCCCTCATGTAGGTGATTATTCTGGCCTTTTCACATACTAATAATACCACTACGGGTTCTCCTTCCTTTACCCTTGGGAAAATTTAAATTCTATTTATACCTTCTGAGGGAATTTACCGTTTAAATTATGAAAGTTTTTCTTGCTTATTGAATGAGGGTTTTTTTGTTGTTTTTGTAACAGCTGTTTTGAGATATAATTCACATGCCATATGAATCACCCATTTAAAACATGTACTTCAGTGGTTTTTAATATATTCACAGAGTTGTGCACAATCCATTTTAGAATATTTTTACCACAATAAGAAGAAATCCTGTATCCTTTAGCAGTCACTTCCTGTTTCTCCCAATCCCTATAGTTTTTAGGCAGCTGCTAATCTACTTTATCTTACAGGTTTGCCTGTTCAGGACATTATGTAAATTGAATCATACAGTATGTAGTCTTTTGTCACTGGCTTCTTTCACTAAGTATGTTTTCAAGATTTCATCCATGTTGCAGCATGTATCACTGTTTCGTTCTTTTTTATTGGAGTAATATTCTGTCACATGGGTATAACCGTGTGAGCACATAACTGTTCAACATTTGATGGACATTTGGGTTATTTCTACTTTTTGGCTCTTATGAACAATGCTGCTATAAACAGTCATGGGCAAGTTTTTATGTGGTCATCTGTCTTTATTTCTCTTAGGTGTATACTTTAGGAGTGGCGTTGCTGGATTATATGGTGCCTCTGTTTAACCTTTTGAAGAACTGCCAGATTGTTTTCCAAAGTGGCTGTACTGTTTACATTCCCACTAGCAGTATATGAGGGTTTCAATTTCCCCTTATCCTCACCAACACTTTGTCATTTTGATTATAGCCATCCTGATGGTGTGAAGTGGCATCTCATTATGATTTTTTATTGTTATAAAATACACATAAAATTTATCATTTTAATCAATTTTAACTTTATAGTTCAGTGTTATTAAGCACATTCACAGTGTTGTGCAACCATCACCCGTATGTTTTCAGAACTTTTTCATCATATTAGTAACTCCTCATTGACCTCTCCTTTCAGTCCCCGGTAACCTCTATTCTCTCTTCTGTTTCAATGAATTTGCCTATTCTAGGTACCTGGTATAAGTGGAAACATACAACATTTGTCCTTTTGTGTCTGGTTTATTTTACTTAGCATAATGTTTTCAAAGGTCACTCATGTTTTAGCATGTGTCAGAGTATCATTTCTTTTTAAGGCTGAATAATATTCCATTTTATGTATATGCCACATTTTGTTTATCCATTCATGTGTTTATGGACATATGGGTGCTTTCCACCCCTTGGCTGTTGTTAATAATACTGCTATGAACATTGGTGTATAAAAGTATCTGAGTCCACACTTTCGGTTCTGTTGGATTATATCTGTAAGTGGAGTTGCTTTGTCATATGGTAATCCTGTTTAATTTTTTGAGGAAATGCCCACTGTTTTCTATGGTGGCTAAACAGGTTTACATTCCTACCAGCAATGCACAAGAGTTCTAATTTCTCCACGTATGTTCATGTGCTTATTGATAATTTGTATATCTTCTTTAGAGAAATGCCTATTTAATTTTTTTGCCTACTTCTGGATTGCTGGATTGTAGGCCAAGTATATTTTCACATTTAGTAAGTCTTGCTGAATTATTCTCCAGAAGAGTTTGTCAATATATACTTCCCTTCAGAATGTATAAAAGTTCTGATGCTCTAAATCCAACTAACGTTGCCAGACTTTATTTACATTTTTTATCCAAGGATGTGTGAAATAGTATTTTGTGATTTTAATTGGCAT
Source organism: Homo sapiens (assembly GCF_000001405.40). NCBI lineage: Eukaryota > Metazoa > Chordata > Mammalia > Primates > Hominidae > Homo > Homo sapiens. Next base: position 42,225,674 of record NC_000002.12, read on the forward strand.
GTGCCTAATTACTAGTGAGCTTGATCCACCCTTCTTCCCTCCCTGCAGATAGAAGTTTGCCTAGTCATGTCTTTTTTGCATTTTTCTATTGGATTGATGTGTTTTTTTATTGCTTTATAGGCAATATTGACATATTTCTTACATATGTTAATTTTCTCAATTTTTCAGAAATTTAAAAACTTGTTTTTTGAAGTGAGAAGAAAGCAAGTTGAATTTATGTCCTTGGGATTTAACATAGTTCCTGGCAAATTAGTCACTCAATAAATGTAAAATGTATAAATATTTTACAAACATCTAAAAATTTGTTTTATTTTTAAGGAAATAATGCTACCCAAATTAAATAACAAATGAGCTCTAATTGTGCAAAAAATGTGTTACTCATACCTTTATGGTAAAATAATGTATTGGATCTTCCATTGTTCATGCCGTAGACACATTTGTAAGTGGACTAGAAAAATAGTTACCAGTCTTTTCTTGGTATGATAGTCATTTATAGTAGATTGAATCTATTAGATCTTCCAGATACACTTAAATTCTGAGATAAAAATATACATACTCATGTAATTCTTAGCCATGACACTGAAGGGACAGGGATTGGGGAGATGTTGGCCAGAAGACACAAAATTTCAGTTAGATGGGAGGAATAAGTTGAAGAGATCTATTGTAAATCATAGTTTTTACAGTTAATAAAAAAATAAATTATGGGCCGGGCGTGGTGGCTCATGGCTGTAAACCCAGCACTTTGGGAGGCCGAGGCGGGCGGATCATGAGGTCAGGAGATCGAGACCATCCTGGCCAACATGGTGAAACCCTGTCTCTACTAAAAATACAAAATTAGTTGGGCGTGATGGTGCATTCCCGTAATCCCAGCCACTCGGGAGGCTGAGGCAGGAGAATCACTTGAACCTGGGAGGCGCAGGTTGCTGTGAGGTGAGATCGTGCCATTGCACTCCAGCCTGGGCAACAGAGTAAGACTCTGTCTCAAAATAAAATAAAATAAAATAAAATAAATAAAATAAATTACATACTTGAAAATTGCTAAGAGAGTAGATTTTTAAATGTTCTTTCTCCTCATAGAAAAATGCTACGTGAGATAATGCATATGTTAAGTAGTCTGACTTAGCCATTCCACAGTATTTACATGTATCACAGTATCATGTTATACACCATAAATATATACAACTTTTACTTGTCAATTAAAAAGTAAATTTAAAAATGTGAAATGAGATTAAAAAATAAAAGAACTGCTTACTTCTAGAAATATATATATAAATTTTGATTATAGTAGCAGTATCCCACAAAATTTCCATGAAATTCAACAAAGGGAATCCTCTCAAAAGGAAAGCAAGATTTTGTTGAGCCTTGTACTGAACTTGTTTAATCCAGACTTTTTTCCACTTTCAGTTTTATGTGCATGTGAAATGATGTTCATTCTTTTTCTTTTTTTTTCCCCTTGAGGTAAGATCTCGCTCTGTTGCCCAGCTGGAGTGCAGTGGCACAGTTGTGGCTCACTGCAGCCTTGACCTCCCAGATTCAAGAGATCCTTCCACCTCAGCCCCCACAGCCTGCCCCAAGTAGCTGGCTGAGACTACTGGCATACACCTGGTTTTTTTTAATTTTTAATTTTGTAGAGATGGGGTTCTCACTATGTTGCTCATGCTGGCCTCAAGCAATGCTCCCACCTCAGCCCCGCAAAGTGCTGGGATTACTGGCATGAACCACTGTGCCCAGCCTCCATTCTTATTTTTTTAAAGAATTACATCCTACCTGCTTTCAAAATTAATATGAGCCTGTTAAGGCTTTTTTTTTTTTTTTTTTAAACCACCCCTCTTCCACAAAGAAAAACTTTAAATTTGCTTCTGGTCCAGCAACTCAATTTTGTGTGACATATTGCAATATATATGCCCTTCAAATACAGTTGACCCTTGAACAACACAGGTTTGAACTGTGTGGGTCCACTTATATAAGGATTTTCTGCTGCCTCTGCCACCCCTAAGGCAGCAAGAACAACCCCGCCCCCTTCCTCCTCCTCTGCCTATGCAGCATGAAAACAGCAAAGCTGAAGACTTTTATGAACATCCATTTCCACTTAATGAATAGTGAATATATTTTCTCATGATTTTTTTAACATATCACCTTATAAAACTATAGAATATATATAACATACAAAATATGTGTTAATCAACTGTTTGTTATCAGTAAGGCTTCCGGTCAACCGCAGGCTATTAATAGTTAAGTTTGTAGGGAGTCAAAAATTATACATAGGCCGGGCACAGTGGCTCACACCTGTAATCCCAACACTTTGGGAGGCCAAGGTGGGCGGATTACTTGAGGTCAGGAGTACAGAAGCAGCCTGGCCAACATGGTGAAACCCCATCTCTACAAAAAATACAAAAAATTAGCTGGACATGGTGTCACGCACCTATAATCCCAGCTACTCAGGAGGCTGAGGTATGAGAATTGCTTGAGCCTGGGAGGCCAAGGTTGCAGTGAGCCAAGATTATGCCACTGCACTCCAGCCTGGGTGACAGGGAGAGACTCTGTCTCAAAAAAAAAAAAAGTATACATGGATTTATATACTTGAAAATTGCTAAGAGAGTAGAAAGAATTCTCCTCATAGAAAAATGAGTGGGTGGTCAGCACCCCTAACCCCTACATTGCTCAAGGATCGACATAGTTTTAGGAATGAAGTTGATGAGTTTTGCTGATATAGCTTGTGGTTGATTGATAGATTTCCTCTGGGTCTTTCTCTGCCTTCTTTTTTATTTGAAATAGGCTAAAACATCATGTTCTTAGAGCTTGTCATTTAAAATTTAGTATTCAATACTTATATCATTTGGAATATAGCTGTAGTCTTATAATTCAGAAGGTATAGCTTTGCTTGTAATGTTTTATAGGCCTACATAGTGAGCTCTTAAAATGGCACTGCTTTAAAAAATTTCTCATGAGTATTTTGCTTTTAACAGAGAAATAACTTGCTCCAGAGACCAGGCTTTCATTCTTTTCTCTCCTGGTAAAAATTGACTGACTTTCTGTGAGTTCTACAATTTTCTGTATATATCTGTCAGGACAAGTGTTGTATTGTACTTTATTTTATTTATTTATTTACCTTCTTCTCTCCCCCACAATGCTTGCTAGGGTTAGGAAACAGTCTTATTTAAATCCTAACAATGCATGGTATGTATTAATAATTAGAAGGTCACTTAATGTTAAAAATGATTATCAAATAAATAACATATATCTTTGTGTTGTTTTCACTGTCTCCTGCTAATTCCAATTTAGTCCATTTTTAATTTTCTGATGATTAAATGAAATTTAGTGAGTAAACAAATCAGTAAAATATAGTATCTCTTTCTGCTAATGTATTAGAAACTAAGTTTTAGTAAAACTTTGATCGTGTACCCTAGGTACCTGACTGCAAATGTTACTCATCCTTAAGGATTAAGGTGATCTAGGTGTGGGTTTAGCAGACCTTTGTATTGGAATCTTATGATGATTATAGTAGTAGCTAACATTTATAAAAAGGAAAATTTCACTATTTGTTGTTTTTACATGCTGTTTAATTTATCTAATTTAATTTTCTATAACTTTATATGTCATCTAGATGTTCTTAGCTTCATTTTAAAGATGGAGAATCTGAGGCATGAAGAAGTTAAGAAACTTGCCTGGGTATATAGTTACTAAATGATGAAGCCAGTTTTTAAATCCCAGACAGTCTAAATCCAGCACTGTGCTCTTAAGCACCATATGCATATTAAGTAAGTTTTTAGCTTACACATGAACTTTGTATTCCAGGAACAGTTATGTTAGTAAAATATTAAATGGTAGAGAATTTTTTCATAAAGCAAGACAGATAACTGTCTTGCAAGAGTCACCCATTCACCACGAGAGAGAAAAATAAAAGAAATGTGAGTGAGTGAGTTTAGGGCTAAATACATGTAAATACTGAGTTTGTCAGAGGAATCAGGGAGGGAAGTAAAGTAGATTTTTTTTCTTGGGTAAGAAATAAAAGCATTTAGCTCATTTGCTTATAAAAAATAGTAAGAGGAAAACTCTAGCAAAATAAATCTAGAGTCTTGGTTGAGGCCCACTAATGCGAGAACATCTGACCTCTTGGTTGGGCTAAATCTCTAAAACTGATAGGAATAACAAAAATATACTTAATTTTGGTCATATCCTGGCAGAGGGGAAAGGAGGGCAGGAAGATAGATAGCCTCAAAATCCAGGTACAAGAAAGGAAAGGGGATATTCAGAGAAAGAAAAAAACCATAAAAAGGAAGAAATACTAGATGGTGAGGGAAGAGGAGAGAGATACCGATCTTTTCTATCATGCAATTATTGGCTAAATTTGCTTCTTCCAGATTCCCCCTCAGCTACACGAAACTTCTAATAAAGGGGGTTCTTATCTTCTAAAGCAACCCCTAGTCCTATGCATGTCACCAAACTAATAAGTGTCTTTTTTTCATTCCCTGTTTTATCCTGTCTTTGCTGCTTATTCTGAAGCACAACCACAACAAATCAACCACTGTTTGGAGAGTTATTGCAAAGTGTGATGCTTTGCAGGTGTAGAGGAAAATGAAAAATAGCTTCTTCCCCAGAGGGTTTTACAATCTAGTTAGGAATTTTAAATGTAACTTTATTAAAAGATAATTAACAATATCCTACAATATTATGAGTTGTGTGGTATATACAATTCCACACTTACCTATTAGCTCAACCTCTTATTTTTTATTTTATTTATTTATTTTTTTGAGACAGAGTCTTTTACTGTTGCACAGGCTAGAGTACAGTGTTGCAATCTTGGCTCACTGTAACCTCCGCCTCCCAGGTTCAAGTGATTCTCCTGCCTCAGCCTCCCTAGTAGCTGGGACTACAGGTGTGTGCCACCATCCCCAGCTAATTTTTTATTTTTAGTAGAGATGGGGTTTTGTCATGTTGGCCAGGCTGGTCTCAAACTCCTGACCTCAGGCGATCCCTCCACCTCAGCCTCCGAAAGTGCTGGGATTACAGGCGTGAGCCACCGTGCCCAGCCAGCTCAAGCTCTTTAACCAGGTCTTCTCAGCAGGGCACTGTGTCTCCTGCTTTACAGAAAAATTAGGTAGAAAGACAAATATCTTCACCTCCTCTCATCTTCTTCCCTTCATTCTTAGATAAAAGTATCTCTTCTCAGAAAAGGCTCATTCTTTGTCTTGTTTTTTCTATTTTAGCCCTTCACATCTCTAACGCTGGAGCTCTGCTCCATGTCCTTACGTGTTAGTATAAATAACTCTGTTGGTTCCTTCCCTCAACCCTGTAAATCTATTACTCTTACATTTAAATAAAAACACCACTGTCAGCTTTGCAGACACTCTCTTCACCCCCGTCTGGTTAAACCCTTTCCATCTTCAATCACATTCCTTAAAAGACTGCCTTACCTCCCAGCCTCACTTCAGTGCATTGCAGTTATGCTTCTGTTCCCATGACTCCACTGAAACTTCTCTGGTAAAGATTCCTTAATACTGGCCAAATCAGATGGACCATTTTTAGTCATTGTCTTTTGATATCTTTGCAGTCTAACATTATGTCTCCTTTCCTGAACCTATGACTAGCTTTCTGACAGTTTTTATTCTGTCTTCTCTGCTGGATAACTTTGGCCCTATTCCTTTCTCACTCCAAGTCATCAATTCTCACAACTCCAGTTATCAGATATGTCCTAATAAAGCTCCGAAGTGTAATCTCTAATTCAGGCCTCTATCTTAAGCCCAAGACCTAGTTATACTTTTGTTATAATGACCTCAAACTCAGCAGATCCAAAACCACACATCTTTCTGCTCCCTCATTCCCCACACTGTTTTTTTTCCTTTGTTCTCTATCAGTGCATGTTATTGAACCATTTATTCAGTCATCCAAATAGAAAAACAGGGATCTTCCTGTACTTTTTATCCTCTTATGTAATCAATGACCATATTCCATCAATTCTGTCTTGAGTATCATCTATTAAAATTATCCCTTTATGGCTGGGCACTGTGGCTCACACCTGTAGTCCCAGCACTTTGGGAGGCCAAGGTGGGTGGATCACGAGGTCAGGAGATCGAGACCATCCTGGCTAATATGGTGAAACCCTGTCTCTACTAAATATACAGAAAATTAGCCAGGCGTCATGGCGGGCACCTTTAGTCCCAGCTACTCAGGAGGCTGAGGTGGGAGAATGGCGTGAACCCGGGAGGCAGAGCTTGCAGTGAGCCAAGATCAAGCCACTGCATTCCAGCCTGGGCAACAGAGTGAGACTCCGTCTCAAAAAAAAAAAATTATTTATTTCTAATTTCTGGTAGATAAATTTCTGGCAGTAATTTTTTTTTTAAATTCTCAGCACTTTGAAAATTTTTTATATACAGTAGTACTCAAATATCTGGATGAATAGGAGTTTTGAAAAAGAGATTTGACTGTAACAGAAAAGAGAGAAGATGATTCTTAATCATAGAAACAGCTGAGACTGGGTCTCACAAGCTTTTTCCCTGAAATTAGATTTCGATTTGAGAAGAAAGAAATGGCCAGGGTACATAATATACAAATTAGTAATGCACTGCACAAGTGGGAGGTGGTGGGAAAAAAAGCCCTATATACTTTGATGTGCAAGAGGACCTTTTTTGTTATATGCTAATTAGAAAGCACTTTGTTACAGAACTTTTTGGCAGCCCTTCTAACCTTAGGAACCTCTAAGCAATCATTTAATTTGGGTCCATTTATTGTAAAGAAGAGTATAGTTGACACCTGAATTATAAAACTACAGCCTTACATTTGTCTGGTGATTCAAGTATAACGACATACAATCTGCTTTCAAGCCTCTCACCAGTCAATAGCAAGAATTTGAATTCCTTCCTAGCCTGTAATGTTTCAAACACATTATATATTCCCCAACCCACCTCACTCCTGTTAATCTTTCAAGTAACTCCTATACTTTGATGAATCTGTACCAGGTATTAATCAAAAGAGAAGTGCTTTCCTGAGTCTTACTTGTAGAAACACTCTTTTGATGGCTTCTACTTTTCTGTAAAGGCCTTTTTGTTTTGTTTTTGTTTTTGTTTTTTTGAGACGGAGTCTGGCTGTGTCGCCCAGGCTGGAGTGCAGTGGCACGGATTTCGGCTCACTGCAAGCTCCGCCTCCCGAGTTCATGCCATTCTCCTGCCTCAGCCTCCCTAGTAGCTGGGACTACAGGCGCCCGCCACAACGCGCGGCTAATTTTTTTTATTTTTTAGTAGAGATGGGGTTTCACCGTGTTAGCCAGGATGGTCTCCATCTGACCTCGTGATCCCCCTGCCTCACCCGCCCAAAGTGCTGGGATTACAGGTGTGAGCCGCTGTGCCTGGCCTGTGAAGGCCTTTTGTAAGTATTAATCTGGATCATTTTGCCTCATTCCAATGTCTTTTATCAGCTTTTGCTGTTAGTTTATCCTTAGATCAATCTCTTCATGTTCATAACTCCTCACATTTAGTTTGGTTTAGGTTTCATCCCTTCACAGCAGTTTTTGGTGCATGTGTGTTTATAGCTGTTATGTTGTTAATGTTTTATTTTGAGTTGGTTTAAATTTATAAAGTGCAAATGTAAAGCTTAAAAGCAACAAAAAGAGATAAATTGTTTGTTATTACAGGTTTCTTTCTTTTTTTTTTTTTTTTAATGGAGTCTCACTCTGTCGCCCAGGCTGGAGTGCAGTGGCGCGATCTCAGCTCCCTGCAAGCTCTGCCTCCCAGGTTCACACCATTCTCCTGCCTCAGCCTCCCCAGTAGCTGGGACTATAGGCACCCGCCACCATGCCCAGCCAATTTTTTTTTTATTTTTAGTAGAGACGGGGTTTCACCATGTTAGCCAGGGTGGTCTCAATCTCCTGACCTCATGATCCGCCTGCCTCAGCCTCCCAAAGTGCTGGGATTACAGGCTTGAGCCACCGCACCCAGCCCCTATTACAGGTTTCTTAATGCTAGTACTGCAGTTAATATTTTCAAACAACTTGGAAACTTAGTTAAGAAAAATGATTCTCATTGTTAATTATATTCATTAACTTAGCAAAATGTTTATAATGAATCTTAATATCTTAATATTTTGGTTTTAAAAATCAATGAAAAGTGATAATTCCTTTAGTTTTGTTACAATTCATGTGGATTTCATTGTATTTTAAATAAAACAAAAGGAAAAAGGAAATATGACTTGCTACTTTGTATACACATTGTTTATTTTATTTCCTACTAGGAAAAATACTTACTTTGGGGACTTTAAGCTCTAAGCAATAGTACCTTATTGTTAACCAGTTTAAAGAAGATCCGAAAAGTAGTGCCAAAGGGCAACCAAATAATTTTAGTGAATATTTGCATAGTGCATTAATTCATGCTTTTCTGCTGCCTAGGGTTTAGCCACTCCTCAAAGCAGCCCAGGTTTTTTGTCTGTATCCTGCCTGCTTTTGCCTGTGTGTTGTGTGCTCACTGTCCTTCAGTTTGTCCCCTTTTATAAAATAGAACACTTTCTTTAGTTCAGAGAGCAAAAGGGCAGGAGAAGAGCTATCTTAAGTTTTATTTTTGCCAACATAGAAGTAGTTTGTGTGGTAGGCCATCTGGACTGAGAGGATTTCCTCGGAATGTAAAGTATGTTGTGAGATCTAGAGAGCTGAGATTTGCTTTGAAACTATCTGGGAAGGTGGTATTCCTACGCAGACAGAACTGGTTTATATTGCTTACAACATCGGTGGTGGGAACGGAAGACAGCTTGCCTTGTCTCGCTTCAGTGTGGGGTTCCTCTACCCTTAAGAATTTCTGACCAGGTAAACTATCTCTCCATTCCTGTGAGTTCAGACCTGTCTCACAAACTTGTGACAAAAGAAGTCTGAGGACTTGGGAATGAATCTAGATTCCTTGCTCCCTCCATTAGCCCCCTTCTCCCTGTAAATATATGTGTCAGTAATGTGATAAACATTTGCCTACACACTTGTATAAAGTACTTAAAACTACTTACTTTATAAACAAATATATTCCTGTTGAGAGGACAGGGTGGGTTTTGCTCAGCTTGTTCTTGTTCTCTGTGAAAAAAGATGGTCATGTATATAAAACAGCAGCTTTTAATGGAAAATAATTTAAAAGTGCCTGTCTTAATAATACATCAGAAATTGTATAATTAAGCTTGACTTTTACTTTTGTGAACTCTAACCAAAAAACATCATCAAAAACAATTATCTAGGCCGGGCACTGTGGCTCATGCCTTGTAATCCCAACACTTTGGGAGGCCAAGGCGGGTGGATCACTGGAGGCCAGGAGTTCAAGGCCAGCCTGGCCAACGTGGCGAAACCCCATCTCTACTAAAAATACAAAAATTAGCGGGTCAGGCATGGTGGCTCATGCCTGTAATCCCAGCACTTTGGGAGGCTGAGGTGGGTGTATCACCTGAGGTCAGCAGTTTGAGACAAGCCTGGCCAACATGGTGAGATCCCGTCTCTATTAAAAGTACAGAAATTAGCCGGGTGTGCTTGCAGGTGCTTGTAATCCCAGCTACCCGGGAGGCTAATGCAGGAGAATCGCTTGAACCCGGGAGGCAGAGGTTGCAGTGAGCCGAGATCGCACCACCGCACTCAGTCTGGGTGACAAGAGCGAAACTCCATCTCAAAAAAAAAAAAAAAGTAGCAGAGCATGGTGGCGTGCACCTGTAATCCCAGCTACTCAGGAGGCTAAGGCGCGAGAATTACTTGAGCAGCCTGGGAGGCAGAGGTTGCAGTGAGCTGAGATCATGCCACCGTACTCCAGCCTGGGCAACAGAGCCAGACTGTGTCTCAAAACAAACAAAACAAAAACACTATACACAGTGTGTGGTATTGTTACTAGTTTCTCATGGTCTTCACTCAACGTTAGCTTCTCTAATCTAACCTAATCTTCTGCCATTACCATTCTAACCTATAAGGGCTGCACAGTATCTCAGCATAAGTGCTTTAGGAAGGGGAGATCAGAGACTATTTCAAATTTTTTAACAACTTATTTGTTCTTGGGATGATATTATATCTCATATCATGTAACTTTTTGAAATGAAGGACTGTTTTTTTCCTTAGGTTTGTAGATAATTAATCTTAGAGTCATACTATTAGGCCTCAAAACTGTCATAAAGACCATCTAGTATAGTTGTTTTTATGCCACAAAACCCCAGGGTTCTTAGAAATACAACTTCATTTTTGTTTTGGAACTTAATTCACAAAAAATGGATTCATTGTTCTCCAAAGAATAAAGTGAATAAATCAGTTATGTAGACCAGTTATCATATCCCCCATCTACTTTTACAGAAGAGAAACATCACTGAACTTCCCTCCCCCTCCCTAAAAAGTTACAATACATGTTTTAATCACGTAGATGTTCCATTATGTGTGAGTGTCTCACTGTCCTATCCTCTGTCATACAACCATCAGAAGTAACTATTGTCATAAATTTTGTGTATATCATTCCCTTGGTTTTTCAGTAGTTTTATTCTAAACATTGTATTATTTACTTTTGTATGTTTTTGAACTTTATATAAATTTCACCTGACTTGCTCTTTACATTCATCATGTTCCTGAGATTCAAAATGATGTTGCACATCGCCATAGTTTACTTTTACTATTCTGATATTCTGTTGGTTGTTAATATCACAATTTACCCGTTTTACAATTGATAGATATTTAGGTTGTTTCCAATTTGTTTTTATGATGAACTATGCTGCTGTGAATATTCTTGGACATGTCTTTTGATGTATGTATGTCTGCAGGAGTTTCTCTAGAACAGAGACTGGGAGACTGCCTGGGAGGCCACCTGTTTTATAAATGAAGTTTTATTAAATGAAGTTTTATTGGAACATAGCCACACCCATTCATATACATATTTCTAGCTGTTTTTGTGTTACAAAGGCACATCTGAGTAGTTTGCTCCACAGACTGTGTGGTCTGCAAAGCCTAAAATATTTAACTATTTTCCCCTTTACAGAAAAGTTTGTTGACTCCTACTTTAGGTTAGGGTAACACAGTGGAATTGCTGGGTCATAGGATGTGTGTGTCTTCAGTTTTACTAGATATTGCCAAGGTTTTTTTTCCCCCTAAAGTCATTGAAACAGGTCACTTTCTACCAGTGATGTTGGAGAGCTTGTATCCCTCCATATCTTTGGGAACACTGTATGTTGTCACACTTTACGTTTTTGGCCAGTCTGGTACGCATAAGATAGTATTTTGGATGGTTTCAATTTTCCTTTCCAAGATTATTAATGAGGTGCTTGAGTCTCATTTTATGTTTGTTGACCATTTATGTTTCCTTTTCTATGAGGTGTTTAGAAAGACTGGCAAAACCTTTGACTAACTATAGAATTGTTTGTAGTCTCAACCTCCCTGGTCTCAGGTCATCCTCCCACCTCAGCCTCCTAAGTAGCTGGGACTACAGGTGTGCCACCATGTCTGGCTAATTTTTGTATTTTTTGTAGAGACAGGGATGCCATGTTGCCCAGGCTGGTCTCGAACTCCTGAACTCAAGCAGTCCTCCTCCCTCGGCCTCCTAAAGTGCTGGGATTGTGGGCATGAGCTACCATGCCCAGTCTGGATACTAATTTTTATCATTTATTATGTGTTACAGCTATCTTTCCCATGTGTATGGATTACTTTCTCTCTTTATTATGTCTTTTGGAGACCAAACATCTGAATTCCATTGTAGTTAAGTATCAGTATTTTATGGTTTTTTTGGTGTCTTTTTTGGACCTTCCTGTTTGTAGGATATGAAGACATTTGCAGTTATTTTCTAAAGATTTTATGATTTTGCCTTTAATTCTTTAATCTTCTTGGATTTTATTTTTGTGTGTGGTGGAGATATGGGCTTTAATATATGGTTCACCCTTGAATAACATGGGGGTTTGGGGTGCCAACTCCCTCCCTCTCCCGCTCAGTCAAAAATCCACGTATACTTTTGCTTCCCCAAAAACCTGACTACTGATAGCCTACTATTGACCAGAAGCTTTACTGGTAACAAGTTGATTCACATATTTTTGTGTATTACATATATTATATGCTGTACTCTTATAATAAAGTAAGCTAGAGTAAAGAAAATGTTATTAAGAAAGTCATAAGGAAAATTCATTTACTATTCATTAAATCAAAATGGATCGTCATAAGACCTTCCTCTTCGTCATCTCAACTACTCAACATGAGTTGAGTAGGTTGAGGAGGAAGAGGAGAGGTTGGCTTGCATTTTCCTGTTAAGTACTTAAGTATGAATAAGTTTTAAAAAGTGATTACTTATTGGTAGCATATAAGTTCAGAGTCAGGAATGATGGTTATGCCAAAAAACAACCAGTTGTCCATGTGGGTGTCTGAAATAGTGACACCTTTGTTTTCTGATAGTTCAGTATACACTTTATTTCATGCACAAAATTATTTTTTAAATACTGTATAAAATTACCTTCGGGACATGTATGTAAGATGTAAGTGGAACATAAATGAATTTTGTAGTTAGACTTGGATCCCCTCCACAAGATATCTCATTATGTATATGCAGATATTCCAAAATCTGAAAAATTTGAGACCTGAAACACTTCTGGTACCAAGCAATTCAGATAAGGGATACTCAACCTGTAATATGTTTTTAAAATAGAAGAGGTCCTCATTTTAGAGACTTCTCATATAAACAGTTCAAAAAGCTTAGTTATTCAATGTACCATAATATAGGAAATTAGATTGGAAAGGGAGCATTGCTATGGATAGGCATAGCTAATCCCAACTGCAAAGAGGTAAGGGGAAAAGTAGAAAGAAAGATTAGAAAACCAAAAATGTGGTCTGGTGCAGTGGCTCATGCCTGTAATTCCAGCACTTTGGGAGGCTGAGAGGGGAGGATTGCTTGAGGATGGGAATTCAAGACCAGCTTGGGCAATATTGTGAGACCCATCTCTACAAAAAAGAAAATTAAAAATGTAATTTTGTTTTTATTTTTTTATTTTTTATTTTTTTGGCAATAGGGTCTTACTCTTTTGCCCAGGCTGGAGTGCAAGGGTGCAGTTATAGCTCACTGCAGCCTTGAACTGGGCTCAGACAATTCTACTGCCTCAGCCCCTGAATTACAAGCATGTGCCACCACACCTGGCTAACTTTTAAAAAATTGTTATTTATTTGTTTTAAAGACAGGGTCTTGCTCTGTCACGCAGACTTGAGTGCAGTGGCACAGTCATGCCTTACTGCAGCCGTGACCTCTTAGGCTCAAGTGATCCTCCTGCCTCAGGACTGGGACTATAGGTGTGTGCTGCCACCCCCTGGCTAATTTTTTTTGTAGAGACAGGGTCACCCTAGGTTGCCCAGGCTGGTCTTGAACTCCTCGGCTCACGCAATCATCCTGCCTCAACGTCTCAAAAGTGCTGAATTATAGGCCTGAGCCATGGTTCTCAATTATTTAATTAGAAGTATAATAGCCTCTAGGGCATCATTTCACCACAGTGCTTGCAGCGTAGTAATTAATATTCTAAATGAAGACTGAGTCACCAAGAAGTGGTTACATTATGATGGTGTGCCCCCACTAAGAAAACAAGACAGTAAGTATTCTGTTTTAGAAAGATATAAAATCGGTAAAATCCAAAGGTACTAGAATGTGTAGGCATGTCTTATTCTGATATGATACTGGATTGCCAACTTTTGGATATTTATAATGAAACACAATATACTTACCTTTGCAAAGGTGACACATTTCTCAACAGTTCAGAAAAAAATTAACTGTGATTCAGTGTAATAAAAGCATAATGAATAGCTATCATTGTATTCTTTAAACTGTAATATTTCAAACTTTATAAAGTTTACGAAGTCACATGTAGATTTCCTTGTATTTCTAAAAAGAGACTGACTCATGCCGGTAAATAGATCAGACTGATAGTGAGAGGTTTCTGGATCTCCGTTTTCTCTTCATTCTTTACTTTTTTTCTTAATGAGTTCAAAAATGCTTGAGAATTCATTTGTATTTCATATTTTAACCTTCAAAGCTGGAAACTATTTTGAGAAGGGGCAACAATTTTTAAAAACCAGGGGGCAATTAGAAAAAATGTTTAAAGGGAGGGGATTACCATTTTTAGCTTATACTCCTACTCTATAATAAAGGCGGCGGGGGGTGGGGTGTAAGGAAAATGATCTAATCTACTTGATCAAGAAAAGGGAATGTTAATAGCCCTCAGAAAATATATTCATTTACTGAACAGTTATATCCCTTAGTTTATTGTGAATGAGAATGGGGGCATCTTAGAGATTGGGAGGGAAAAAAAATAAGAGCAAAGTTTTCAAAATGGAAAGAACAAGAGCAATGCATAATATAGTCATCAGAGGAAGGAACTCTGACTCGTTTGCTGTGTGGCCATGGGTAACTCACCTGATGTCTCAGAGTCTTAGTTTACTTATTTATAAAATGATGAGAGGGGTTGTTGGACTTCAAGATAGTGTCTGTTCTTGTTTTAGTAATCTATGATAGAAATTTAAGTTATTTGCATTCTCCTTTGCTATGTTCCTTATAACACTGGAACACTGTAACTGGAGGAAACTTGTTTTAAGAAGTTAAGCTTCAGAAGCAATGCATTTTACCTTAAAGGGCATAAATTAATACACATTTTTATTGTGAAATTCGAATAATACAGGAATACATACACTAAAAAGCAAAAATTTATTTTTATTTCCTCTTTTCTAATCTTACCTTCCTAGCCAGAGGTAACCCAGTTACCAGTTTGATGTGTGTACTTCACAACTTCTTTCTGTGTACATTATATATACATATGTGTGTGTGTATATGTGTGTTTTTTGTGTTAATTTTTTAAAAGTGTGTTTTGGTGTGTGTCTATCAATTATTCAGTACATATTGTTTTGCAGTTTGCTTATCCACTTAAGTCATCTTGTAGATTTTTCAAATTTTTAGCTTATGCTCCTACTCTGTTATTTTAAATTATTCCATGATATTCTATGGTATGGACATATTACAGCTTATTTAACCTCATCCTTAGACTTCAGGTCATTTCTAATTTTGTGGCAATAATAAACAGTGCAATAAAGAACATCACTATAGGATAGCAACTTACTGAAAGCATCCTGTATTGCCATGCCATGCATTATTTCATCTAATCATCCCAAGCCTGATGTAAGTACCAGTTCACATGAGTAAATTACACGTGAAGAAAGCAGTCACAGAGTTGGTAAATAGCAAACAGATGGCCGGGCGTGGTGGCTCACACCTGTAATCCCAGCACTTTGGGAGGCCAAGGCAGGCAGATAGATCCCTTGAGGTCAGGAGTTTGAGACCAGCCTGACCAACATGGCAAAACTCCATATCTACAAAAAAATAAAAGTTAGCTGGGTGTGGTGGCATGCGCCTCTGTAATCTCCCAGCTACTCCGAGCCTCAGCTAATAGAATCTGAGGCAGGAGAATCTCTTGAACCCATGAGGCGGAGGTTGCAGTGAGATTGCACCACTGCACTCCAGCCTGGTCGACAGAGTGAGTCTCAAAGAAAAAAAAAAAGCAAACAGATAGATGTATTTAGTCAGTGTAATACCAGAGTTAATGCACTATTCTACCACAGCTTTTATTGAATTCTCAAAGAAATTCATGCCCCTGAAAGGGTTAAGAGCCAGGATTTTAGACAGGAAGGAATTAGAGCTGTGAGGAACTCTGGTGATAACTACTATGCTCTGTTACATTGCCATTGCTTGTTGCCTTGGCTATAGTGACCCTGTAATTGATCATCCAAGTCAGGGAACTTGAGAGTGAAAGAGGGGGCATTATGATAATATTTATACTGAGATAGGAGACATACTTGTTCTGGAGAAACTGAGATACTTGAACATGTTAACCCTAACATAGGCCATCATCACCTTTCACATGGGTTACTGCAACAGCCTCCTGTCTGTTCTTGTGTTTACTCTTATCCTGTTCCAATCTATTTTCACACAGCGACCAAAATGATCTTCCTGAAACAAAAAACGGATTAAATCACTCAGTAGTTTAAGCCCCTTGCGTGGCTTTGTGAAAGGATGTATTTGTTTGGTCCTCATGTGATTATTGTTAGAATGCAGCATAGAATAAAATAAAAGGCACATAAGGTGAGAGTCAAAAGACTTGTCTTTGAGTCTGAGATACCTAGATTAGTTTGGTGACCTTGAGCAAGTTATTTAGTTTGAGCTATTTCCTCCAGTGTAAAATATAGATTGTGTGTGTATGTGTGTGTGTCGGGGGGGGGAAGCTGAGGTAATAAATATGAAAGGCACAATATAAATGCAGGCAATTGTTAACTTTGTATATGTTATGCCCTTTGAAAAATTGTTCTTGTGTCTCACAGTGTCTATCAGGGTTTGGTAGGAATTTTACAAGCTGAACCACCTTTCTTGTCACTATCCAAGTTTCACACAACTTAAACACCTTAGTCATTTTTTAAAAAATCAAAGTTTGTAAAAGTTTGCTGAAGGTAAGTTACCAAGCTGGTACTAAAACCTAGCACCCTAACCTTGGCATTATAGCCTGATGATCTAGTAGTTCAGCTGCCTTCCCAGAATAATTAAGCAGGTTATATGTTTACAAAAATCATATAAGCATTTTATCTGTGGTCATAATATAAAGATATAGCTCATCTTTCATGAATTGAGAACATTTTAGAAAAATATATCCATATAGTTTACTGACTTAATCGCGGCCTTTGGTTTACAAATAATGGCTTGCAAAAAGTGAATTTATTACGTTACATAATTAGCTGGGAGGAATATTGGAGCAGCTCTCAGAATTGAAGGGCCAAGGCTTCAGAGAGTATAACTGGAACACAAGGTAGTTAGAACCACCTTTATTTTTGACAGTCCTAGGGTGACATCCTGGTAGCTGGAGAACCAAGGTGGATGGGCTATAACTCTACCTCTGGGAAATTCAAGAGGGCTTCATTTGGCCTATCCTGTATCTCATGACTACTACTCCTGTGGTAGTATTAGACTGAGCCATATTAACTAACTCACTTCCTTCCTCCCTCCCTCTCTCCTTTCCTCCCTCCCTTCCTTCCCTTTTTTCTCTTTTCTTTTCTTTCCTTTTCTTTTCTCTTCTCTTCTCGTCTCGTCTCGTCTCTTCTTTTTTTCTCTTTTCTTTTTTCTTTTCTTTCTGATAGGGTCTTCCTCTGTCACCCAGGTTTAAGTGCAGTGGTGTAATTAAAACTCACTGAATCCTTGAATTAAACCCATCTTTGACTGGGTTTAAGTGAGCCTCCCATTTCACTTTTCTGAGTAGCTGGGACTACAAACACGTGCCACCATGCCCAGCTAATTTTTTCCATTTTTGTAGACATGGGTTCTCACTACGTTGCCCAGGCTGGTCTCGAACTCCTGGGATCAAGCGATCCGCCCACCTTGGCCTCCCTAAGTGCTAGGATTACAGTCGTGACCTGCCTTGTCCAGCTGAAATTTCTAGTAGTAATATTTATACAACTGAAAAGGTCATTTTATATGGTTCAGTCTCATAGTATGGGGCGCAGAGGGTAAAGTGAAGCATCATAGATTGACAGCTCTACTAGGACCAAGAAATATGGTGGAGTTTCACAAAAGACAAGAGTGGCTATTCTTCCTGTGAGAAGAAGGAGAATAGGAAAGAATTTTGGGTAGAAAGAATAGTGACCATAGTCTAACATACTTACAAAGAATATAGATCAGCTAGAATTCAGCTAGACCACCGTGGAAGTGAAAAATACTTAAAATATAAAAATTTCTAAGGCGAGAGACTGAATTGTTCTTATCATTCCTTAAGCATCTCAGAGTTGGACACATGTGCCTTTAAGTAACAAATGTGCTCAAAGTTTTCAAATTGTAACTTTTGTACTTTGTACATATCCTAGGCACACCCTCCTTAAAACAATCCTATTTAAAGGTGAAGAAATTAATGCTCAAAGAACTTGCCTAAGATTATGTAACTAGTTAATATGGAACCAGAATTTGAAGTCTAGATTAAAGATGAAACCCAACTTTTCCTTCAATATCTACGTCTCAAAGATAAGACTGTCAGTGAAATACCAGTAAAGACAGAAGAGAGTACATGTGTATGCATGGGAGGTCTGGTGGTGTATATCATCTTAAATATGAAATATGAATATTGTTTACTGTTCCATAATGTAATGGTGATAGCTTTGGTTTTTTAAATGTTGTGGTGGTGGTTTTAAACTTTGAATTAAATTAAGTTCCATAGCATATTATCTCAGTGTGAGAAAAAAACAGTACATTCTGCCTTATTGTCTGAATGACTGAAACAGTCATTTAAATGATCTCAGTGTGGTCCAAACAGCTCTTACATTAGAATCTAAAACTTGCCCTCAGTGTAAGCCAACGGTGTTTTTAACAGTTAGTTATTTCCCTGAATTTTCCTGCTTATACTGAATGAACCAATAGCAATTAATGTTTTTTTTGTTTTTTGTTTTTTGTTTTTGTTTTTTGTTTTTTTTTTTTTTTTGAGACGGGGTCTTGCTCTGTTGCCAGGCTGGAGTGCAGTGGCGTGATCTCGGCTCACTGCAACCTTTGCCTCCTGGGTTCAAGCAATTCTCCTGCCTCAGCCTCCCAAGTAGCTGGGACTACAGGCACACGCCACCAAGCCCGGCTAATTTTTTGTATTTTAATAGAGACTGGATTTCACCTTGTTGGCCAGGATGGTCTCGATCTCCTGACCTCATGATCTGCCCTCCTCAGCCTCCCAAAGTGCTGGGATTACAGGCATGAGCCACCGCGCCCAGCCAGCAATTGATGTTTCTATATGTTTGGATTCTTATTGACCCAACAAATACAGTAGTATAGTCTAAAGTTACATAACTTTGCAAGTCCTTTGTAATTGCTGTGGTATAGCTAAGCCTTATTTGAATAGTCTTTCTCTTGTTGCTGTTACATACCTAAGGCAAATATTAAGTATTTACTTCATAAAAACCTTTTTTTAAGAGAGGTTGTGGTGTTAGGTGGAGAGAAGGAGCAGCAAAAGGTCTTTTGTTAATTACATAGCAATACCGAGTTCTGTGGGGTGTGGGAGAGTATGATAGTAAAAAGTAAAGTAGTAAAGATGCTTCCTCATCATTGTTGGTTAAGGTGATAGACTCCCTATCTGATACATAAAACCAAACAAGTGATTTATATGCCTTTTCTGTTTTCATAGAGAACTGTGATAATAATGTAATTAAGAAAGGTTAAATAGTTTGCTGTCTTGGAAGTTTCCTGATGTCTACAAGATGATGTATTTAGGGAGCCTTTTCGTGAGAAAACCAATTAAGATGATGTTGTAAAAATAGGGGAAATTTGACCGTGGGGACAATTGTCACCATTTTAATGATTTGTGAAGTTTATTAACTTATTTTAAATTAAGATAGCTATAAAAGTCTTTATAGAAGTTAATATGTGTCAACATGATGAGATGTTATGGAGTTTTTTGTTTTGAAATTTTCTTTCTTTTTTTTTTTTTTTTTTGAGACAGACTCTTGCTCTGTTGCCCAGACTAGAGTGCAGTGGTGCAATCTCAGCTCACTGCACCCTCCACCTCCGGGGTTCACATGATTCTTGTGCCTCAGCCTCCCAAATAGCTGGGATTACAGGAGCGCATCATCATGCCTGGCTAATTTTTTGTGGTGTTAGTAGAGACGGGGTTTCACCATGTTGGCCATGCT
The DNA here is from genome assembly GCF_000001405.40 of Homo sapiens. Taxonomy (NCBI): domain Eukaryota; kingdom Metazoa; phylum Chordata; class Mammalia; order Primates; family Hominidae; genus Homo; species Homo sapiens. The sequence continues at coordinate 42,245,310 of NC_000002.12, forward strand.
GGTCTCCAACTCCTGACCTCAGGTGATCTGCCTCTCTTGGCCCCTCAAAGTTCTGGAAGTACAGGCACGAGCCACTTCACCTAGCCAGAATTTTTCTCATCTTTTGTAAGTCTTATGTGGGATGGTTTTTCTAATCAGAAATTACTTCTCAAGCAGTTTACTTAAAAATATTCCATATTTTATTTTATTTTATAGATGATAGTATTTCTGCTGCAAGTACTTCTGATGTTCAAGATCGCCTGTCAGCTCTTGAGTCACGAGTTCAGCAACAAGAAGATGAAATCACTGTGCTAAAGGCGGCTTTGGCTGATGTTTTGAGGCGTCTTGCAATCTCTGAAGATCATGTGGCCTCAGTGAAAAAATCAGTCTCAAGTAAAGGTAATTGTGTTGTAAAGTTAAAAAGAGTCTTGCTTTTTGCAATATTTTCTTTGAAAGTTGAAGCTGGAAATATAAAACTAGTTTCTTATGTGGATTACTTGTGATTATAGTTTGTTTTCCATTTCGTTTTTTTAATTCCCAAAAAGTTCTGAAAGTTTATTCTTTATTATTTAAAATAAAGAATTTTTGTGTAATCCACTGATTATACTCACAGGTTTTTTATGTTACAGTATTTGTGTGAAGTTAGTATCTTCCAACTAGATGATAAGTTTACTCAGGGCAGGAACTGAATCATCGTTTTGTGTCTCTCATTTCATATTGAACATAGGTGGTAGGCACTCATGTGTTCTTAAAATTCTGTTGTCAATACAGAAACATAATTAAAATCATCATAGTTTAAATAGCTTTATTCTGAACCCTCTGTGGTTGTTAGCAGAATCCTGAAAAAATTAATTTAAGCTCTGAAGCTTACGAGCCCAGTATAATGGGACTTCTAACTTTCCAGTATTGGGAGTTTTCAAGGTTGAGACAAACAGTCGTCAAGACCCTGTTGCTCTGAGTTTGGAGCAGATGTAGTGTACCTTTTCCCTTACTTCAACCACCAAGAAAGAATTTATTATTCTTTCACATGAATCAAGATTTGAACATATCATTTGATGTCTCTTACTGATTTATTGGTAGAGTATATGGGGATAGGCGTGATTATGCCCATTTTGGCAGTGGGAAAAGTGAGGACATTTATTGGCTTGCCTTCCTACTTCGATGTCAATGTAAATTATTAACCTAGGGAGGAGTTTTATATAACTCCCAAATTCTAGCTGAGTAGGAGATAGTGCAGTCAGCCAACCAGCAAATGAGAAGCAGATTTAGAAGAAAGATTGTGAATTCAGTTTCTGAATGTTGTTTAGGGTGTATATGGTATGTAGAGATACATATTGGTAGCTGAATTACATATGGATCTAGTGCTCATGTTAGTTTTGGCTAGCAGTAAGAATTTGGGAATGTTCCTCTTATGGATGATAGTTGAAGCCATAGAGGATGTAAAATGAGAAGGCAGTCCAGCATAGTTCCACTGGGAGCTCCAACATTTCAGCATAGCACAAAAAGTGATGCACATTGCCAGCTGCTTACAGAGATGTCAAATAAAACAAAGACTGAGAGATGACCATTGGATTCGGCATTTACAGCAATATTAGAAACCTCTCCAAAAGCAATTTTAGTGGAGTAATAGAACTGCAAATCAAATACCAGTATTTTGAGAAGCAGCAATTAAGAATAATTGTAGAATTGAGAGCAACAAATATAGCCACTCTCAAAAAATTCACCTGAGTGGAAGACGGTGGTAATAGCTAGGAGAGGATGCTATGTTGAAGGCCAGTTTTAATTACTTTTTAAAATTTGTTAAAAATATGTGATAGACTTGAACACAAAGATAGGTTGAGGACAAAAAGGCAGCAGAGAGGAAGACCAATACGGGGAAATGGGGTGGTAATTGATGAGGCAAGTGTCCTGAGAATTTGAGAAGGGATCTTTGAGAACCACAACTTCTAGCCCTGATAACTGTGAATATATATCGAGATAATGATAACCTTTAGGTGCAAAGATAGGTCGTCAGTGGTAGAAAAAAAGAGAATGCATGTTTGAAATGGTTAAAGCGGAGAATGGAAGACCGTAGACATTTGAAAGAGATGCTGAGAGACCCTGAGGCTATGGAGGCGGGATACTTATTGTGGAGGAAAGGTGAGTATCATTCTGCCCGGTTTTGTGATTCCCACTCTTTTCCCTCTTGGCCTCATGTACTCTGGGTCTGTGTATTTACAGTGGAGAGTTAGATGGAAGAAAGGATTGATCTTTTTCATTAGTGATAGTGAGATAAATATGTCAATGACAAAGGACAAGGGGCCTGAGGGTTTGGCAAAAGACTTGATAAAAACCACTTTGACTAATAAAGTGTTATATTATGCTTGCTTGCTTGATTTATTTATTTATTTATTTATTTATTTAGAGAGTCAACTTTGAGGACCGCCAAGATCAAGCCAGAAAACAATTTTGTTTGGTTATGAATTGATTTTTATAGGAGGATTTTGGATTTTTAGAGTAGGATAAGGAGCTAGATCTGTTAATGTATATGGGCTTTATAGGGAATATAAGCTTTGTATAGAGAGGGAAGAACAAATTTCCTATATATAATATACAGACTCAGAACCCGAGGGTACATATAAGTATTTTAAAACCTATAATAGAAAATGATAACGATGTTTGATTGCTATTCACATTTTTAAAAGCTTATTTTAAATAGTTTATATTAGTTTTTTTAAACTTTTTTAGGAGACACGGTCTTACTCTGTCACCCAGGCTCACTGTAACCTCAAACTGCTGGGCACAAGTGGTCCTCATTCCTCAGCCTCTGGAGTAGCTAGGACTACAGGTGTACACCACCATGCCCTGCTAAAACCTTTTCTTTTTTTTGTACAGGCGGAATCTCTCTATGTTGCCCAAGCTGGTCTCAAACTCCTGGGCTCAAGTGATCTACCTTGGTCTCCAAAGTCTTTTTAATATGCTGAAAAAACAGTGCATTGTAATTTTATGTAAATTGAGAAAAATTTTAAAGATATTTTCTCTCATATTGTATCTACTAAGGTATTTCAGTAAAGAAAATTCTGAAATATTTTAAAGAAATTTAAAAATTGCTTTTTTCCCAGCATATACACAGTATTTTATATGACACATGAGTTATTTAGCACCTACTTCTCAATGTCATGAAATATAAATACAGTTAACTAGCTATAATTACTATTCCCCAGGAACTTATTTTCTGTAAGTTGTCCTTTCTGGTCCTTTTCTAATTATCCTTAGTCATAATTCCTATGTCTCTAAAGTGAGTCTAGGATCAGTTTGGTTAATGGCTCTTTTTCTGGAGCCACAGAACCATCTCTGTGGAACTTTTTCTTTTCACATAACACTAACTTAATTCTTTTTAATAACCTTACTAATTAGAGATTTTTTTTCCAATTGATTTTTAAATTATACTTCATAATTAACTTTGCTATTTTATAATATGCTAAGATGGTTCATTCTTTGAGTTACTCTGTTACCTGGAACACAGGCAGTTTATGAAATGGTTTGATGGGGGTATTGATTATATAATAATTTGAGAAAATAATTATTTCATAGATGAGCATAATTCATGTTAATTACTGTATTTTCCTTTAGTGGAAAAATATGTCCAACTAATTATGTTTCCAATAGTGATATTAAGACATTGAGAGAAATACATATGTAAAGTTTCATAATGTTATTGGCAACTCTGAACAGCTTTATCTTGGAGTTTATTTATAGCATATCGTTGAAAGCAATTGGAATTTAAGTGACTCTTCACTATTGACATTTGTGTACAGCCTAAAATAGATCATCTCAGTTTTGATATTAAACAGGATTGATAAATTAGTGGTAAGAAAATTTGGAATAAACATTTTAAGCAAAGTATTTTCAAATAAATGAAGTTTTTCATAACATTAAAAATGAAATTATCTTGTAGGGATTTGTATTTTTTCTTTAATTAAAAAGTAAAGTCATTTTTTATACTATAGACAGTTTTATGTGTGATTTTTTAGCCCCTGTGAAATTAGAATTTATAGTATCGAGTATCACATAATTTATTGACAGGAAAATGATCATTATCATCTTAAGGTGTTTACATTTTCTAGAGGATTTTTCTTTAGAGGTCAAATTAAATTCCTGTGGATAAATAGGGTAGAATCCTTTTATGAAGCTGTGGTTCAAAGGACAAGTCAACTTCCCTATTACTGAAGAGAGCTATTTTATGGTTTTGCTAGATGGTGGTGATATGGGAAGGACATAAGTTGTCATCAGATATGACCAAAAGTAAATGCTAATGATGTGTGTGCTAAGGGCTTAATGAAATTCTGCTACGTTGCTTCATAGTAGTATTGCCATTCAGTAAATACCAAAATCAGAAACACACCTAACCTTTAAATATATTTCGTTGTCTTAGTTTATCTTCTGCAGTGTGCCAGCAGTATTTAAAGCTAAGCCCCATTTTTTTCTTGAGTAAATTATGCAGGACACTTGACTGAGGTAGAAAATTTTCCCATGAGTTTTTAAGGTGGCCAGTCACTTAAATTTTTCATATACCTTCTCCTCTGTCAGAGAATTCTTTCCTTTTGACGGCATGTGTTCATAATATATGCACCAGTTGCAGCTGAATCCCTGCCAAAAGAAAAAAATATTACCTGTACTTCGGAGCAAAAGGGAAGGCCCAGAGAACACTGGAAGTTTTAGCTGCCAAGAAGATGAATTATGTCACAGCTGGTGCCTGGGAAACTCATTAGGACCTCTTGAGGTGACCAAATGAATGTAATTTGAGAACACAGCCCAGTGGCATTATGTGAAGACAAACTGTTAGTACACAATGATACGGAAGTTAAAAAGTTAAATTTATCTGAAGTTGGCAGTCAGTCATGTAAACCAGGAAACTGCTGGTTAAGCCAAAGTGTGAAGCATTGTAATTGCCACTTGAGAAACGAAAGAACCCAAAGGCAAAATTGAAATATAGGGGTCAGTTCTCCAAAAGAAACATTGCTAATTATGTAAAATCTGGGATACTCTAAAGGCACAGATTTGTATCATTCAGCTCCTGGTCCAAATAACATTTGGGAGGATTCAGGGATTATCATAGGTTTGCTGTAAATGTTATCGATAAGCACATTACCTCCATCAGCTTAGGAAGGTATGAATTGCCTTGGTGGGACCCTTACGCTAAAATGACTAGTAATTGTGGAAGGGGATGATGGAGTGTCTGATTATTTTGTGTGTAGAAGTATAGTCATGCATCACTTAACAGGGATACTTTCTGAGAAATGCATCATTGGGCATTTTTTTCCTTGTTTGAGCATTATAGGGTGTACTTGCACAAACCTAGATGGTATAGCCTAGTATGCATCTAGGCTGTATGGCATAGCCCAGTGGTCACCAACTTTTTTGGCACTAGGGACTGGTTTCATGGAAGACCATTGTTCTTCAGACTGGGGTGGGTGGGGGGAGGTGTTGGGATCATTCAAACATACTACATTTGTTGTTGTATTCTTATTGCATAGTAATATATAATGAAATAATTATACAACTCACCATAATGTAGAATCGTTGGGAGCCCTGAGTTTGTTTTCCTGCAACTAGCTGGTCCCATGTTGGGGTGATGGGAGACAGTGACAGATCATCAGGCATTAGATTCTCATAGGAGCATGCAACCTAGATCCCTCACATGTACAGTTCACAATAGGATTTGTGCTCCTATGAGAATCTAATACCGCCACTGATCTGACAGGAGGCTGAGCTCAGGTGGTAATGCAAGTGATAGGAAGTGGTTGTAAATACAGATGAAGCTTCACTCTCTGGCTTCTCACCTCCTGCTGTCTGGCCTGGTTTCTAACAGGCCACAAAGGTACCAGTCTGTGGCCCAGGGGTTGGGGACCCCTGGTATAGTCTGTTGCTCCTAGGTTACATAGGCAGTTGTAACACAATGGTAAGTATATGTATATCTAACAAACCTAAACATAGAAAAGATATGGTAAAAATAGGGTATTAGAATCTTCTTGGACCACTGTCGTATATGCAGTCCATCGTGGAACAAGACATTATGCAGTGCATGACTGTATATTGGCAGGTGTTGCCTCAGACCAGGTAACAATTACTGTTTACAGAGTGCCATTTCTATATGAGAGTCAAATGCTTCTTTGTCACTTCCACTCAAAATATACTTTTAAGTAGTGGCCACAAGTTGAAAGGCCTAAGGGTACATCTTCCTGTGAAATAAGAGGAAGGTAGAAGTATACAGATAAAATTCCAAATGGAGAAGATAGAATTTGATGGAGTACATGTAGTCCTCAATCTTCTCAAAGACTGAAGCAAGAGTAATCAGCCAATTGAGAAAAGTGACGAAGAGCCTGAAAATGAGGAGTGGAAGAAGTATGTATACAGTTGGAGCCATGAGGCATGTGATGGAGAATTCAAGATAAATAGAAGATTTGGGATATCAACTAGACTATCTCTACCCTTCTGATCAAAACTGTAACCATCTTAAAGGCCTCAGAAATTATTTCCTGAAAATGATCTATTTTTTGGCACATTTTGGAATTATTTTAAATTTTTGTTTGTACTTCTCTTTTGGCATATATATTTGTTGCTCCCACTAGGTGATACACTATTTGAAAGCAGGGACAGTCACTAACATAGTCATCCCAAGGCTAGCTGAGAAACAATTTCAATTTACAAATCAATAAATTGTTTGTAAATTGAATGCCAGAAGAAGTTAGTTATAGAAACAGGAAGTTGTGATAAAATTACAGTTTTAGAGAGACAGATTGGGATAGATGCAAGAATAAGAAGATAATATGTACCGGAGTAGCAAGAAGGATTTCAGATTTTGAGCTTTGGAATATGCGGCAGTTCTTAGTGATAACTTTACTGTGTTAGTCTACATACAGTACACTGAAATTTATTTGTATTTAGGAACTGTCAGGCTAAGATGTCAGTAAGGTCGTCTACTTGAGTCTGTCATTAAGGAGTGTAAACTATAGTGAATAGCATTCTTTTGTCATGATCAAGTGTAAAAGTTTTTATTGACCTTCATCCTGGCATTATGATGGTTTCCACCGTGATTCTTAAAACTTCCTTCACTTTTTCATTCACGCTACATAGCTCTTGGTCCCCACCATCTTATTCTCAGACCACTGCCCTGAAATCAGTTCTTCACATGGCTACTAGAGGGTATTCTCTAAAATGTAAATTGAACTCTGCTTTTCAGCTTAAAACCCTTTAGTGGTTCTTTATTCTTTATAGATAAAGTCTGCATCATCTGAATGCTACTTAACTCCTCTCTGTGAACTATCCCCTCTTTTGTTCTACGTGCTGGCCACATCAAGGAGCTTTTTGTCTCCCCACCACCACCCACTCAATGCCGCAAATACATACACTCTCTTTGCTGTTAGAGTGTTTCTGTTCCTTTACACATACTGCAATAGGATCCCATTGTCTTATCACCGCCCTTTCAGCTGTCTATTTCTTTCTTATTCTTTAAGGCCTTATTCTGTGTTTTTTCAAGGAAGCCTTTCTTGAGCTCTGTGTCCCTAATCCTTATAGAATTATGTGTCCTTTCTTTGCACTTCCATGATACTCCATTGATATCTCTCTGTTACTGTACTTACCACGTTTTCATTGCCAATGTGATTCTCCTTGAAGATTTTGAATTCCTTGATGTCAGTAACTGCCTTATATATGTTTGTAAACATAAGAGTAGGATTATAATTGGTCCTGAGTAAATATTTGATTGGTGCATGGATGATGAATACGTTACAGTTTAGGCAAGCAGAGGTGACTAGCATATGCTGGAGAGAAGGATCATCCAGGTGCAGAAGTGCAGAAGAATAAAAAGTACTTAGTTTAGGAATTCAGAATAAACTGAAGCATAGGGTGTAAGATTGGGAGTTTCAAGAAATGAACCTAGACTGGTAGGGCCCATAGTGGAAGGTTTTCTTACACCTTGTTAAGGAATTTAGTTTTCATCCTGAAGGTAGTGGAGAGCCACTAAAGAATCTTAAGCTGAGGACTGACAGGCAGATTTATAGTAATTCGTCCAAGATGCCTATGTTTTTGACATTTTAACATCTCTGAAATTACGATGCATATTACAATTGATAGTGTCTTACAGTTCTAATAGGAAATACTTCTTTCTAATGGTACTTAAAATAATGGGGCATATTACAGTTAGTGGCATTAAATTTAAAGATACATAGCATGTGGTAGGTCATTCTGGCACAGTGTAGCGATGCCATAGTGTAGGGTAAAACTGCAAGAAGAGAGACTCGAGATAAACTCAACATAATCCAAAAGAGAAATTTGGTAGTGAAGATGCATCCATTTAGTTGTTTTGATATTAAGTACTTTTTGTGTGCTAGGCAGACTGCTCAAGAGTTATTTCAACCCTAATTCGAGTTATTAAAGTCATATGCCAGGGGGAAAAAAAAGACAAAAAACAAAAATACCTTGACTCTCACCTCACGCCATAAACAAAAATTAAGCAAGATGGATCATAGACCTCAATGTAAGGGCTAAAACTTATGTAAGAAAGATCTTAGTGACCTTGAGTTTGACAAAGATTTCATAAGTAGCACACAAACAAGCATAAGCTATAAGAGAAAAATCAATTAATTGAATTTCATCAAAATTTAAAAATCTTGTTCTTTCAAAAACTGTTTTGAAAATAAAAGGGCAAGCTATAGAATAAGAGAAAATATTTGCCAGACATGTATTTGTCAGAGGACTTTTATGTAGAATATTTGAAGAACTCATATGCCTCAGTTATTAAGAAGGAAGCCCATTCTTAAAGTGGGCAAAATGTTTGAGCAATTGAAGTTGTTATGCCATTTGAGGCATTGGTAAAAGAACGGTAAAAATGCCTGTAATTGGTGGTCGGGCACAGTGGCTCACGCTTATAATCTCAGCACTTTGGGAGGCAGAGGCAGGTGGATTGCTTGAACCTAAGAGTTAGAGACCAGCCTGGGCAATGTGGCAAAACCCTGTCTCTACGAAAAAAATATAAAAATTAGCCAGGCACGGTGGTGTGCACCTGTAGTCACAGCTGCTCAGGAGGCTGAGGTAGACAGATGGATTGAGCCCCGGGAGGCCGTGGCAGCAGTGAGCCATGATTGTGACATGGCACTCCAGCCTGGGCAACAGAGCAAGACTCTGTCTCAAAAAAAAAAAAAAGACTAAGAAAGAAGAAAAAACTAAATCCAAGGCTTGCTAGAGGGAAGGAAATAAAGATTAGAGCAAAATAAAGGAAGTAGGGAATAGAAAAACAATAGAATCAGTGAAACCAAAACTTATGAGGTAACACTTAATACCCTCTTGAGTTTTTTTTTTTTTTTAACCTGAAAATAACAAGTGTTGGCAAGAATATGGTGACATTGGAATCCTCATACATTGCTAGTGAAATTGTAAAATGGCGCAGCCACTGTGTTTGGCAGTTCCTCAATAAGTTGAACATACAACAACCGTGACTCAGCAGTTCCGCTCCTAGGTATATACTCAAAATAATTGAAAACAGGTGGTTATATGAAAAATTTTACACAAATGTTTATGGCAGCACTATTCCCATTAGCCAAAAGGTGGAAACAATCCAGATGATCATCAACAGATGAATGGAAAAACAAAATATACAGTGGAATATTTTTCTGTTATAAAGAATGAAATATATGTGCTACAACATGGTGAACCTTGAAAACATTGTACTATATAAAAGAAGCCAAACAAGGTATGGCTTCTTTGGAGGGTAGGGTACAGGGAGTGACTGCTTAATGGATACGCGGTTTTTGTTTTTTTTTTCTTTTCTTTTCTTTGAGACGGAGTCTTGCTCTGTCGCCCAGGCTGGAGTGCAGTGGTGCGATCCCCACTAACTGCAAGCTCCGCCTCCCAAGTTCCTGCCATTCTCCTGCCTCAGCCTCCCAAGTAGCTGGGACTACAGGCGCTCGCCACCACGCCTGGCTAATTTTTTGTATTTTTAGTAGATACAGGGTTTCAGCATGTTAGCCAGGATGGACTCGATCTCCTGACCTCGTGATCCGCCCACCTCAGCCTCCCAAAGTGCTGGGATTACAGGCTGAGCCACCGCGCCCAGCCAATGGATACATGGTTTCTATTTGGGGTGATGAAAATGTTTTGGAACTTGGTAGTGGTGATGGTTGCACAACATTGTGAATATACTAATTGTCACTGAATTCTACATTTTTAAATGGTTAAAATGATAAATTTTAGGACTGTTTTACCACAGTTTTTAAAAAGCTACTGATATAACAATAAGTAACTTGTTTGACGTACTAGAACTAAATCTGATGACCAGTGATATTTGCATAATTTGAGGATTAATGTAACTTATATGTAAAAAAAAAATTTCTTAAGAGGTTTCAAAAAATAAATGCAGCAGGTCTCCTGCTTCCTGTCTTCTAATTCATTCAATCTAATGTAGGACTTACGAATCTATATTAAGGAAGCACGTTAGGTGATTATGACACAAATGACCTCCAACATCTTATTCTTGACAAAAATGCAGTGTTATACCACCATGTGTGGAACTTCCTAAGGTACTAGATATTACTTGTGTGCACGTGAGAAAACTGAGTCCAAAAATTAAAAAATAAAAATGTTCTCTATTCCCAAATCTTTACTTGACTCTTAGTATAGATAGGACTGTTTTATCTTATGATGTTGTGTCTTCTGACCACACTAATATACCAGTCACACATTTATTCCACTCCTTGTATATGTACTGTGTAAGTTAAAGGAGAGGTTAACTTTATATACTTATGCTTTATTTGTATGGAGTAACAGTCTAGAATTTAATATTTATGGTTTCTAGGATTTAAAATTTATGGTTTTAACAAGCTGTTTTTGAAGACTGATGGCATGGGATTTATGGATTACTTGAGGCACACATTTGAATCATGTGTTATAAGGCTGCTGTGTGTGGTAAAGCAAACCATTTAGCTAAGAGAACTAGCCCAACTGTGTTTTAGTAAATTAGTATGGCTTTCCTATAGGTCTGTTTCGATGGGATTAAGTCTTGAGACAGTATCATGTGCTGCATACCATGGGGGCATTCTGCTCAAGAGTTATAAACAATAATATACTTAATTTTTTTTCTACCACCCCCTCCTTCCAAATGGACTTAATTTTAAAATTTAGATCTTTAAGGAATATATTCAAATTTGATATAATTTTTTTCCTTAATTATCTTTAGGCCAACCAAGCCCTCGAGCAGTTATTCCCATGTCCTGTATAACCAATGGAAGTGGTGCAAACAGAAAACCAAGTCATACCAGTGCTGTCTCAATTGCAGGAAAAGAAACTCTTTCATCTGCTGCTAAAAGGTACCCATTTATGAAAGGGGGAAAAACTAACATTGCAGAATTGTCTGAATGTGGTAGAGATCTCCCTTTAGAAAGAATATGAAATAGAGCTGTTTGAATTCAAGTGAGCATGTCCTTTGAATTCTTAAACTGTGAAAGTAGAGACATTTAGCCTGTGCTCACTCAGCTTGCACTCATCATGCCTGTCAAGTTGTGTGAGGAAGCTTTCCGTTCTCACTAAAGAAAGAAAGCAGTTTCATTTCCTGGTTTTGTTTTGTTTCTTTGTAACAAGTATTTATTGAAAGCATCACTATATTTAAAGAAATTATATAACTGAATTTTCCATAGCAAGTGATATATTTGATACAGCATTTTTAAAGGCAAAACAGAATCTTCGATATATCTATGTTAGTGGGAGGTCAAATGCTATTATAACTTTTATTTTTTAACCATAACTATAAAATTAAGGCTTATTTCAAAAATATAGTACTATCTGGGGTGTGTGGGGGTGTATGTGTGTGTGTGTTAGGGGATGGTGGGCAGGAGGGCTGTGGAATTACAGCAATATAAGTTTCAGTGGATTACAGATTTGCATTCTTTATGTTCTTTTCATCAGTTAACTAATTTACTCCAATAAAAGTGCTCACAGGATTTTCCCCCTTTTGTAATTTCTAGCAAATTATTCGATGTAGAGTTTGGAGAGACCATAGGTGATCAGCTACAAAATCTTAAAACCGTTTTCTTCAAAGAATGAGTGAGGAAAAATCTTAAGTAATAAGATCATGTGTAACAATGTACTGATGGAAAATGCTTACCTCAATAAACTAATGCTAGTGACCGAATTATTCATTGGTGTGGATTCATAGATACTTAACCAAACAGTTGATGACAAGAATGTTGAAGAAATACCAAGATCTTCAGCCCTTTTAAAAATTCCGTCTAGAGGCCGGGCACGGTGGCTCATGCCTGTAATCCCAGCACTTTGGGAGGCTGAGGCGGGCGGATCACGAGGTCAGGAGATCGAGACCATCCTGGCTAACACGGTGAAACCCCGTCTCTACTAAAAAATACAAAAAAAATAGCCAGGCGTGGTGGCAGGTGTCTGTAGTCGCAGCTACTCAGGAGGCTGAGGCAGGAGAATGGCGTGAACCCAGGAGGGGGAGCTTGCAGTGAGCCACGATTGCGCCACTGTATCCCAGCCTGGGTGACAGAGCCAGACTCCGTCTCAAAAAAAAAAAAAAAAAATTCCTTCTGGAACTCAATCTTTGTCGTCGTCATTACAGAATCTAGACTTTCCCCTACAAAGGATGCTAAACTTTATTACCTGTACTCCACTTTGAGTAGAAAAAGGGAAACTAAGAAAATGTTAGAAAATTTTAGTACAATTTTAAATAAATTTCCGTGTTGTATCCAGTAGTGGTTCAGATTCAGCCCATTTTCTTACATAGCTATTGCACTGTTGCTTGTTGCTGTGTAGTGATCAGTATTATGCACATTAGTGATTCAACAATCCAAGGCCAGCTGAGTTTGTTAGTTTATGATCCAGGGTCCCTGTATTTTGCTTTTAAATAACCCAGAAGGAAAATGGCTCTTTTAGGTTGTACTGGGCCCACATAAAACTAGTGACCTCTGTAATCTTGTTGAAGAATCGCAAGGAAGAAGTAACTTCTGTTTTTTGTTTTTGTTTTTGAGAGAGTTGGACATATTGGAACTCAGTTTTTTAATTTCAGAGTTAATCTGATATTCTTGAAGTATAATTGTATTTCTTTTTTTATTTATTTTTTAAGATATATATATATATATTTTTTGAGATGTTGTTCTGCTCTTGTTGCCCAGGCTGGAGTGCAATGGCGCAATCTCGGCTCACCGCAACCTGCACCTCCCGTGTTCAAGAGATTCTCCTGCTGCAGCACCCGGAGTAGCTGGGATTACAGGCATGCGCCACCACACCCAGCTAATTTTGTATTTTTAGTAGAAACAGGGTTTCTCCATGTTGGTGAGGCTGGTCTCAAACTCCCAACCTCAGGTCATCCGCCCGCCTTAACCTCCCAAAGTGGTGGGATTACAGGTGTGAGCCACTGTGACTGGCCAAAATTGTATTTCTTAGCACCTGCTTTTAAAAAAATTGAACACAAAGTAGATAGTCAAGGGCCAGTCTGAAGTCAGAAGTTATCAGAAGTGCATCAGGTTAAGAAATGTCACTTGACATTAAAATATCTATAACATTTTAAACTATTATAATGTGATAAATTGTATATACTATGTACATTTATTTAAAATGTTCTTGAACAAGCTTACTTGTTGATTATAATCGAATTACAAAATGTCCTTTGATTAAGAAAGACATGTAAATGGGACCGGATGCAGTGGCTCACGCCTGTAATCCCAGCACTTTGGGAGGCTGAGGCAGGCGAATCAGCTGAGGTCAGGAGTTTGAGACCAGTCTGGCCAACATGGTGTAACCCCATCTCTGCTAAAAATGTAAAAATTAGCTGGGTGTGGTGGCGGGCGCCTGTAATCTCAGCTGCTGGGGAAGCTGAGGTGGGAGAATTGCTTGAACCTTGGAGATGGAGGTTGCAGTGAGCCAAGATCATACCACTGCACTCCAGCCTAGATGACAGAGCAAGACTTCATCTGAAAAAAAAAACAGGGGGAGGGGGGCGGCAGAGAAAAGAAATAGGCATTTAGTAGTTTCCTACCTTTTCATCACTGGAATTCAAGTCTTGATTCCATCAGCTTTATAATATTGTCAAGAGTGTTTTCAGTATAAGTATGCTTATCCAGTCTGGTTAGGAATAGCAGGTGGTTTATTAACCAAGAGTCAAAGTACATAATCAAAAGAATTTATACTTAAATATCTGAAATATTTTAACATAAGATACATTCACCTGTATTCATTCATCACTTTTTAAATGAAAGACCAAACCTACCCTCTAAGTATATATCTCTGATCAAATTCCTTGTTGACTGTCTTTCATAAAATATATCCATAAATAACTTTCTAAAATTTTTAGTTTCATTTCTCAGAAATGAAAGGAGTAAGAAATTTAAAACTCTGGCAGAAGAGTATGTTAGAACGCATCTCTCTTTCTATGATTTTGTTTCTTTCTTTCTTTTTTTTTTTTTTTTTTTTTTTTTGAGACGGCGTCTCGCTCTGTCACCCAGGCTGGAGTGCAGTGGCGCAATCTCGGCTCACTGCAAGCTCCGCCTCCTGGGTTCACACCATTCTCCTGCCTCAACCTCCCAAGTAGCTGGGGCTACAGGCGCCCACCACCACACCCAGCTAATTTTTTGTATTTGTTAGTAGAGACGGGATTTCACCATGTTAGGCAGGATGGTCTTGATCTCCTAACCTCGTGATCCACCCACCTCGGCCTCCCAGAGTGCTGGGATTACAGGCGTGAGCCACTGTGCCTGGCCAATTTTTTTTTTTTTTAAAGAGACAGAGTCTCACTTTGTTGCCCAGGCTGGTCTTGAACTCCTGGGCTCAAGTAATCCTCCTGCCTTGGCCTCGCAAAGTACTGGGATTACAGGTGTGAGCCACCACACCCGGGCTCTGTGATTTGTTTGTTTTTTGAGATGGAGTCTCGCACTGTCATCCAGGCTGGAGTGCAATGGTGCAATCTCCGCTCACTGCAAACTCCGCCTCCCTGGCTCAAGTGATTCTCCTGCCTCAGCCTCCCGAGTAGCTGGGATTACAGGCACATGCCACTGCGCCAAGCTAATTTTTGTATTTTTAGTAGAAACGGGGTTTCACCATGTTGCCTGGGCTGGTCTTGAATTCCTGACCTCAGGTGATACTTGCCTCGCCCTCCCAAAGTGCTTGGATTACAGGCGTGAGCCAGTGCGCCCAGCCGCCTCTGTGATTTTTTAAATTGTGTCACTCACACTAAATTTAACAGCAATTTTTTTGATAACTCATTTTTTTTGTAGTCTTTCTAGAACATTAAACTTAGTTTTCATAGAAATTGCAATTCTCTTTGTATTTAATTAACTTACATAATTAAAATAACAACTGGCATAAACAGACTTGGGGAAAACTTAAACTCTTGGTAAGTTTAAAACTCAATTGAGTGGAGTAGAAGTATACAGAAAAAAAACAGGAATTGGAGAATAACCTATTAAACATGAATATTTAGTGTTCTTTTGGCATCAGTCGGTATGCTTTACACAGATAGTCCTCTGATTTGGGTAACTTGAGGTCAGTTAAGAGACCTTCATTTGTCCCCCAAAATCTGCCAAGATGGCAAAGTTTATTAGAGACCATTTCTGTCTAAAGGGGCAATCTTCATGGGGTGTATCGCCTTAGAATTTTTATAAATTCTTTACTGAAGATGTTAATAGCTTCTGGAATTTTCAAAGAAATATTGTCCTTATTGAATGAAAACAGTGCAAATTGTATTAGCTGTATGACTTAGGGTTTTGAATTATATAATAATCACTTTTCTATCGTTTGATTTTTTTTCATTTGTTTAAATGTGTATTGTTCCATGTTATACTTTATTTTACAGTGGTACAGAAAAAAAGAAAGAAAAACCACAAGGACAGAGAGAAAAAAAAGAGGAATCTCATTCTAATGATCAAAGTCCACAAATTCGAGCATCACCTTCTCCCCAGCCCTCTTCACAACCTCTCCAAATACACAGACAAACTCCAGAAAGCAAGAATGCTACTCCCACCAAAAGGTTTTAACTGTCCCCAAGTACAGAGCTAGGGAATGGTTGTAATGATACCTAAATTCTGTGACTTGGGAAAAAGTTAGCTATCCAAGGATTCTGAGAGAAAAAGCTGGTGGCTTTATTTTTCCCTTCTTCATTGCTTATAATTTATGCTTTATAGCCCATTGGGGAATAAAGAATTAAGGTCACAATTTCTCAGTTAAAACTGGAAAAAAAAAAAAAAAAAACTAAGTTATAAACAATCTGATGAAAAGAAGGCAGGAATAACCTAGTCGAAAACCAAACAATATTTTCTTAACCACATTTTTGAATACTTTTAAAATATGTATGTAACTATGCATAAATTTATAGCCATGGATAGAAAATGGCCATATGTAATTGTCCTCACTGTATTTTGGCATCATTACAACCTTCAACCTGCAAGGGCCCATCTCAAGTGGCTCTTCACTGTGGCTGCATCTCAGTTTCAGTTTTGGGTCTTGGGAGGATAAGTTCTTGCTTGAGTAGAGAAATGAATCCATTTCACCTGGTCTTTTCTATGCTAAAGGCTTGCTTGAGGGCTTCTGTGTCCGTAATAATTAATATTTTAAAGTTATGAGAAGGGGAAAAGGGAGAAATATTCTAACAATGTGTGTGAGCCTAAATTGAGAATCTAAACCTGCATGCTGGGAGTACAGTGCTACAGCTGCCTCCTAATCAAATATTGAGACCAATCTAATTAAATTTGCCTGTTTAGAAATGCTTATTCAAGCCTTGTGATTAGGAATAGTCATATTTTATCATCGTACTTCTGCTTGGAAATCTTAGGAAACTATTAAACCATTTCCAGAACTGGCTAGAATTTTAATAAAATAAATGACAACCATTCCTAAAAGATTTAAATTTTTATTTGATCAATTTAATATTTTGCCTCAAATCGCTAATGGAAATTGGGAAAACCAAAATACCCTTCACTTGATCGATGCATGTTTACCACTTACAAAATGCTTTGTCTGTGTGTCTCATGCAGATTCTTACCCAATCTAAATGGTTTGTAGTTTATCTGCCTGGTCTCCTGTGGAGTTTTTCTTGGATATAGCTTATTAACGTTACATAACTTTGGATTGTGTGTGGTTTAAGGTGGCTTTTTATAATCAGTCTCTTTAAGGTTCTGATTTCACTTGATATCTTCTTTGTCCCAGCATCTTTTTTTCAGCTTCTTGAGGTCTCCTGGAAATGTGCTTGCCCTCCTAAATTGCTCTTTGGATATACTGTTGCAAGAAGTATTGGAGACTGGATGAGTTTGAGGATAGTTAGCAATGCAATGAAAAAATCATTTGTAAAGAAACAAATTTCACTTATAAGTATAGGGAATCAGGATTGCCAATAACCACATTCTTATATAAAGTCTTGTTTATTTCTGATCATTGGTAAAATTGTCCCTAAAGATATAAACAAGAGTTTATACCTTGTTATATTTAGAAATTGTCATTTGTACCATATGTAATGTAATTACCTGAGGACATAATTGCACAAAAAATGAAAATGGCAGCCTTATAAAATTCAATGGCTATGAAAAAATACAGGTTTTTTTGTAACTACAAATTATAAGAAACATTACTCAGATGTAAGGAAATAATTTTTTTCTGTTAACAAAAGTGTTTTTTAAAAAAAATCAGGTAATATTTGTTCTAGTGAATCTTCTGAGTGATACAGAAAATTATAATACAGATTTGGGAATTGCCTTGTTTAACTCCTTCACTCATCCAGGCAGTCTTTCAACTAATCCTTCTCTTTTCTGGATTAGCTTTAAGGAAATGTTAATTGCTGCTTTTGTGTTCTGTTTAAATTGTCAGTTACATGTCTTTGATACTCAGAATTTTTCTCTAAGAAATTAATGTTCCTTCTAGCATAAAACGACCATCACCAGCTGAAAAGTCACATAATTCTTGGGAAAATTCAGATGATAGCCGTAATAAATTGTCGAAAATACCTTCAACACCCAAATTAATACCAAAAGTTACCAAAACTGCAGACAAGTAAGTATTGCACTTTCTTCATTATATCTGAAAAGTAATAATTATTTGGCTATTATGTTTGCATGTACAGTTATGTATGTCTGGTTTGAATCTTTTTTTTTTTTTTTTTTTTTTTTTGTGACAGAGTCTTGCTCTGTCGCCAGGCTGGAGTGCAGTGGCACCATCTTGGCTCACTGCAGCCTCTGCCTCCCAGGTTCAAGCAATTCTCCTGCCTCGGCCTCCCAAGTAGCTGGGACTATAGGCACGTGCCACCATGCCCAGCTAATTTTTGTATTTTTAGTAGAGACGGGGTTTCACCATGTTGGCCAGGATGGTCTCGATCTCTTGACCTCATGATCTGCCTGCCTCCGCCTCCCAAAGTGCTGGGATTCCAGGCGTGAGCCACCACGCCTGGCCTTGGTTTGAATCTTTTTAAAAACTCTGTATTATAATTTATACTTCTCTTATGGAGTCTCACTCTGTTGCCAGGCTGGAGTGCAGTGGCACAATCTTGGCTCACTGCAACCTCCGCCTCCCAGGTGCAAGCGATTGTCCTGCCTTAGCCTCCCGAGTAGCTGGGACTAGAGGTGTGCACCACCACGCCCAGCTAATTTTTGTATTTTTGGTAGAGATGGTGTTTTCACCACGTTAGCCAGGATGATCTCGATCTCTTGACCTCGTGATCCACCTGCCTTGGCCTGCCAAAGTGCTGGGATTACAGGCGTGAGCCACCGTGCCAGCCTGGTGTATGTTTTCTTTCAAGTCTTCTACAAAAAGTTGTATCTACCTTTTAAGGCTCCCAACTCAAACAATACGTGTTTTTTTTTTTTTTTTTTTTTTTTTTGAGACAGTGTCTCAGTCGTCCAGGCTGGAGTGCCATGGCACCATCACTATCATGTCTTACTGCAGCCTTCACCTTCCTGGGCTCAGGTGATTCTCCTACCCCAGCTTCCTGGGTAGTTGGGACTACAGACGCGTGCCACCATGCCCAACTAATGTTTTTGTATTTTTTTGTAAAGACAGGGTTTTGCCATGTTGCCCAGGCTGGTCTTAAACTCCTGGGCTCAAACAATTCACCTGCTTCAGCCTCCCAAAGTGCTAGGATTACAGGTGTGAGCCACTGTGCCCAGCCAAATAATAAATCTTAATAATCATATAAGATTTGAGTATTTTTCATAAGTTATTTTTATGCTTTCACTGTTTAGATGCTCTTGTGGGATATTCATTGTTTTATAAAATAGTGTATATTAGTAGTTCATCAGTGAGAAACTTTAAAAAATGCTGATTTCTTACTTTCACTTCCAGAGATTTATCTAGATTATAGCCTAAGCATTAAAACTTTTACAGTTTCTTGAGGTGATTTTAATGGTTAGCCATATAAACTTATAAAATAAATGTGTTTCTTAAATTTCTTTTCTAGGCATAAAGATGTCATCATCAACCAAGGTAAATTAAAAATCCTTTTAAAAATTTTATTTTGCCCTTCTTAGTTTAATTTTTGCTAATTGAAAAGAATATTTTCATCCAGTGCACTTTATCAGTTCATAGTAATCAAAGAAAAGTGCGTTACTGTAGTCATTTAGGAAAAAACCCAGTTTTTATTGTAAGGTAATGTCATTTTTGTCTCAACCAGCAAAAATGTCAACTCGCGAAAAAAACAGCCAAGGTAAGAATAAGCTACGCAGTTGGTTGCCTTCTAAGTGAATTTTTTCCTGGATCTCTTATTTGGCTTTTTATTATTTATGCTGCCTGACTTTCTTCCTTAAAAAGGAAATACAGTGATTTGAGCTAGATGAATCCAGCTACATTTTACTTTTTTTTTTGAGACCGAGTCTCATTCTGTTGCCCAGGGTGGAATGCAGTGGTGCAATCTCGGCTTACTGCAATCTCCACCTCCTGGGGTCAAGTGATTCTTGTGCCTCCCAGGTAGCTGGGGACTATAGGCACCACCACACCCGGCTAATTTTTGGTGTTTTTTGTTTGTTTGTTTTGTATTTTTAGTAGAGACGGGGTTTCACCATGTTGGCCGGGCTGGCTGCAAACTCCTGACCTCAGGTGATCAGCCCGCCTCAGCCTCCCAAAGTGCAGGGATTACACGCATGAGCCATGGCACCCGGCCAATTTTTGTATTTTTAGTAAAGATGGAGTTTCACCGTGTTGGCCAGGCTGGTCTCAAACTCCTGACCTCAAGCAGTCCTCCCGCCTCAGCCCCCCAAAATGCTGGGATTATAGGCATGAGCCACCACACTTGGCCCGGCTGCATTTTTAAAAATCCATCTTATTTCTAAGAAATCTGAAGATTCAAGGTGAACAGTAAAAATACAGTATTACAAAAAGGGATAAAATACTAGAGGGAGTTTTCTCCCTTAAAAAAAAGTTTTACCTAGAAATAAACGATTGATAAATTTTAACTCAGTTTCCTGTCTTGCCAACTTCATTGCAAATAATCACTCATTTCTTGATGCTAAGACTGAAAATATGATGAGTCTAGCAAATCCATTTCCTCTTAAGTTTTTCTTTTATATTGATTGTAACTTCTGGCTACTTGCTGTTGTTGGCTTGTTCAGACCAAAAAAAGAGAGCAGACTTTTGGCGAATGCGTATTTAATTTAATTGCACTGTAGGTAAGTTTTATACATCAGTTTTACATTCTCTTTAGATTGCCTGCAAATTTAATTGAAGCATGCTGTTCTTAATGAAAGCACGTCCTTTCTGTGCATGGTTTTCACAGCTCATTTCTATGTTTCATAGTTAGCCTTATTTTCTGTTCTATTATAGTAACCAGCTGCAACGTGGTTAAAGCTTTTTTTAGAGATTTAACTTGATTTCTGTGGATTTTTACTTCTTTCGTTCCAAAAAGAAAAGAAAGAAATATTTGTAATAGTCTTTAGGTCATTTGTTTTTACATAGACATTCTAAATGAAGTTGAATTTTGCTGGCATTCTTCTTTAGTAGGTCTTACTTTCTCCCTTCTTTATAATACAACATAGATTAAGTAATGTTTGAGATACTTTAAAGGGAAAAATGAAATTTTATTTATGAAGATAATTCTTAATACATTATATATCAAAACTTTTAAGAGAGAGGGTCTTGCTCTGTTGCCCCGGCTGGAGTGCAGTCACTGCCTTGGCTCACTGCAGCCTTGGCCTCCTGGGCTCAAGCAGTCCTCTCACTGAAGCCTCCCAAGTAGCTGGGACTACAGGCGCGCACCACATACCTGGCTGATTTTTGTATTTATCATAGAGATGGGGTCTCACTTTGTTGCCTAGGTTGGTCTCAAACTCCTGGGCTCAAGCAGTCCTCCTGCCTCAGCCTCCCAAAGTGTTGGGATTACAGGCGTGAGCCACCACTTCTGGTCCGAAAACTTTTTTTTTTTTTTTTAAATAGAGTCGGCGGTATGTGATAGGAAGAGCAGTGAATGGGGAATAACTGTGTTTAGTGGTTGGTCCTGGCTCTTATGCATAATAGCCTTATGACCTAGGCTGAATGACAATGTCTCTGAGTGGTTTTCTACTCTAAATATAGTAACTATAAAGCTTATTTCACATGACTACTGAAGGATGAAATAATATATATGAAATATAAATTGAAATATAGTGGCATCTACTGAAATAGGGAACATTTGAGGAGAAGGAGATGTGTGGAAAAGGAGTTTGGCTTTGGACAATTGCATTTGAGTTGTCTATAAAACTTAACCTACATGTAGAGATGTATAGCAAACAATGTCATGTAGATGTTTAAACACATGGATTTTGGAGTCCAGAGAGTGGTTTTACCATTGACTTAGCTATAGTGACATTGAGCAGGTTACTTCAACCTCCCTAAGTCTTTGTTTTCTCATCTGTAACTGAGATAATAATAAGCCATTAAAGGGTTACTGTAAAAATTATAGTAATAAAGTGTACCCAGTACCTGACATATAATACCAGGTAAGTTTTAGTTATTAATATATGAATTTGGCAGTAAAACCTTGCACTCAGATTTGTATTATCAGATGAAAAGATAATTATTAAATAGGTGAGAGTCATTGACTGTAAGTTGTATAGCTATTTTAGAAGTGTGGTATTCATTTTGCATGGCATATTCACAACACATTTTCTAGTATTTCAGCTATTAATGCTAATATTTGTCATTTTTTGACATTCTTTTTAAAATATGACATTAATTTAGCCTCTTTTTGACAATGATAGCTGTGGCTTGTTCCAAATCATCTGCTTTGATTTGAGAAGAAGCCTATTTACATATGGTACATTTAGGTGAGTGGTAACAGAGAATACTTTACCTGAAAGGCCTGTGTCCTTCAGACAGAGCAGAGTAGGAGAAAAGCTAGAAAGCTGCATATTCCAGTCACCACTTAGGCAGAAGTCAGGAAACTGGTTGTTGAAAGCAATAGAAAGTGAAATGAGATGTACGCAGGGCAATCTCTGAGGTTAGGTGTGAGAGGAAGGGCAGGTTATGCCACTAAAAAGAGGCTCTTACTGACCTATATGTTTATACCCTGAAACCTAAACTTTTTTTCATTACTCTCTCCCCTAGTTCTGCTGGGTTGTGCTCCAGATACAGCAGAGATAAAGTCCTAGCATGTCAACTTAAAATTTGAATAAGTTCCATGTAGGACTATCTATTGTTAGAGGTAGCAGTTAGGTTGTAGTACAATAATATTCACTTTGGTGAGTTACTGATTTTAAAAAATTTTCCAAGCTAAGTTGGGGGACTTCAGGCACCATGTATAAAATTGCTTATTGTGGAAAATAGATAACAATTTGACAAATTTTCTAATAAACAAAATGATACTGCCATTAAGGTCATCCTTGAAATAGTTATCAAGTACAACTGGCCTTCCATATCTGCGGATTTCACATTCCTGGATTCAACCGACCTGCATTCGAAATATTAAAGGAAAACAAAGTTCCATCTGTGGTGAACATGTATAAACTTTTTTTTGTCATAATTCCCTAAACAATACAATATAACAACTAATAAGTAATCTAAAGATGATTTAAAGTATACAGGAAGATAGTCATAGATTACATGGAAATACTATACCTTTTATATCAAGGACTTGAGCATCCACAGATTTTGCTCTCTGCAGGAGATCCTAGAACCAGTGTCCCATGGAAACCAAGGGACCAACTATTTATTTCATTTCAAATTTATTATTTATTTATTTAGAGACAGGGTCTCACTCTGCCACCGAGGCTGGAGTTCAGTGCACGATCATAACTCACTGCAGCCTTGAACTCCGAGCTTGAGTGACCCTCCTGCCTCAGCCTTCCAAGTAGCTGAGACTACAGGCACATACCACAACACCCAGCTAATTTTTGTATTACTTTATAGAGGCAGGGTGTCACTGTGTTTCCCAGGCGTGTCTCAAACTTTTAGCCTCAAGCAGTCCTCCCATCTCTACCTCCCAAAGCGTTAGGATTATAGCTGTGAGCCGCCGCACCTGGCCTACATTTTTTAGAGATGGAAAATAAGTGTCACATGATCTCATTATTTCTGGAGGAGAATCTGAATGTCCTCAAAATGTTTTTTTCAGACTTGAATAATCTTAAATTTAATTTTTCTCTTGTAGAACTTCAAACTAGGCCTGTTTAGATTTAACACATAATTACCTGGTCATGTTGAGAAACTGAATGACTCAGATCTCTACTGGAAAGAAATCTGCTTATTTTGAGGAAAAAGGAAGTCATCAATCACTAAATCCAAGTCTTCCTCTTACTGTGCTGCCTCCCTGCTCTAGGATTAGATTCATTGTTATTTACCATTTCAGTACAGTGATATCCTAACTGTACAGGTATATCAAAATGGAAGGACAGTTATAATATCTTAGAAAATTGAGAAGTAATTGACTGTTAGCTACCTGTCCAAAAATGGCTTCAGATTAAAAATACTTGAAAAGTCATTTTGAATTATATACTGTCTAAAATCCCTCAGTAATTTATTGTAGCCAAATGCTTTATCAAATAATTTAAAAATAAATAAAACGAACTCATTTATAAAATTGGGGAAAGGAAAAACCCTGAATAATCTTGTCATTCTAACAGGTTACAGTTCTGATGTGTTTCTTTATTGTTCTTTATCAGATATACATTTTATACATTCATTCATTCATTTAACAGATATTTACTGAGTGCTTATTTTGTCAGACCCTATCCTAGGCATTCAGAGTTACAGTAGTTACAGTGTTGAACTGTGTGGAACTTACATTCATGCTCCATAGACAAAACAGATAAATACTTCATATGTCAGGAAGGTGATATATATGAGGAAAGAATAAGGAGAGCAGAGAATTGCTATTTTATATAGAGTAGTTAGGGAAGACATTTCTGATATGGTGACCTGAAGGAAGTGAATGAAATATGAAGTATGTAGATAACTGTAAAAAGGATTTTATGAACAGAGGAAGCCGTTCATAAAAGTATATAAGTATATAAGCCTCTAGGCAGGAACTTTCTTGCTCTATTAAGGAATAGCAAGGAGGTCATTCATCATAGAGTACATACAATTTTGTATTATTTAGCAATTACATTTATAAAATACAGATTCATTCCAAGCAAGAGAAGTTTCATGAGGTACCTCATGCAGGAAAGGGAAGCAAAGTGATATAGCAGAAAGGGCAAATGAGTAGTAAACATGAGACCTAGTTAGGGGTAAAATGACCTGTATCACAGAAAATTAAAGAATCACAGTTCTACACTATGAGTTAGATAACTCATAACTTTGGGAGAAGCTGAAAATTCCATTTGCTAAAGGAAATGATTTTAGAAAACTAAACATTGTTGTCTGATAAAATTTTTCCTGTTACCCTGAGACTTTGGGTCTCAGTTTCCTTACACATATTTAGGCTTAGATTAGATATCACTAAGGTCTTTTTGGTAACTTTCTGAAAGCTTTTTCTTGGAGCAAACAGGAAAGGAAGGACAGTTGCCTCCTGTCCCCACAATACCTTCACTAACTTGCTTGTGAACTACCTTTTGAAGAACTTAAAGGCTAGGTGGGGTGGCTCATGCCCATAATCCCAGCATTTTGGGAAGCCAAGGTGGGTGGATTGCTTGAGCTCAGGAGTTCAAGATCAGCCTGGGCAACATGGCAAAACCCCATCTCTACCAAAAATACAAAAAATTAACGAGGCGTGGTGGCACACGTGTAGTCCCAGCTACTTGGGAGGCTGAGGTGGGAGGATGGCTTGAATGCAGGTGCTTTTGTTCAGAGCCTTGCATTATGTTTTCTGACCTTTTGGCTCCAGGCACATTTAGTCCTAAAATCTGTTCACACCTGTGCAAACTGAGCATTGTATCTGAAAGAATAGCTAAAATTTATCGATAAAGATATATAATAGCGGTGTCCTGCTGACTCTGTATATTGTGTCACCTATTGAGAGGGTGTATATTGTCATTTACTGAGAGAGTGTGCAGTTTGAAACAAATGAAAAAAGTCAAAAGCCTTTAATCGAACTACAGACAGATTCTTTCCTTTTTACCAAGGTGGTATCCCAAACTTGGCAATTCCCGAATTTAGGAAGAAGTTTGTTGAGTGTGGATAAACAGAAAGGACGGAAGACCAATGCATTTCCAGTGGAGACACATACTTAATTCTAAAACCTATGTATTTTCTTTTTTATTTTTGAGATAGGGTCTCACTGTGTTGCCCAGGCTGGAATGCTGTAGAATGATCACAGCTCACTGCAGCCTTGACCTCCCGGGCTCAGTTGATCCTCCCATCTCAGCCCCCAGAGTAGCTGGCACATAGGAATGTGCCACTGTGCCCAGCTAGTTTTATATTTTTAGTAGAGACAAGGTTTCGCCATGTTGCCCAGGCTGTTCTTGAACTCCTGGGCTCAAGTGATCCGTCTGCTTCAGCCTTCCAGAATGCTGGGATTATGGGCATGAGCCACTGTGCCTGGCTAGTTCTAAAATTTACATACTGTCCCTTTTAATAACCTGTATAACCATAACTTGGATCCCTACATCTGGGCTTTGTCCAAGTATTCTCTGTATTTTTATTTATTTTATTTAAGAGGGTAGAGAAGGCACTGCCAAGGACAGCAGGCCCGCCAGGCCGCTGGTCTCGCCATCTGTATTTTAAAAGGAGACCCAAAAAAGGGGACCTTTCCTCTGTTGGAGATTTTTTTTTAAGCCCTATAAAGCAAAGATCTGATTTCATAATGTTGTGGTTAGTAGCAGTCTTCCAGATTAAAATATGTTTGAAGGCTGTCCAATTTTTTAAAATAGAAACTATCCCAACTTCTAAGAACATGTTCTTGACATCCTCTTTCCTTATTTTCAGCGAAGAAAAAAGCCCCAACTGCCTTCTCTGGACATCAAGTATATGACTTCATTAGAGAACGTTCTAATCTTATACGTATTTATTGTGGTTAAAGTCTTTTCATTCAAATTACGCGTATTTTTGCTATACACATACTTTTTAAAAAAATCTAAACTAGAAAATGTAATTAACCAGAAATTTTTCAGTCTTCAAGTCTGCCAGTTAACTGAGTGAAATATTTTCATAGTTAGAAATCTGTGCTGTCCAGGCCGGGCACAGTGGCTCATGTCTGTAATCCCAGCACTTTGGGAGGCCAAGGTGGGCAGATCACCTGAGGTCAGGAGTTTGAGACCAGCCTGGCCAACATGGCAAAACCCCATCTCTACAAAAATACAAAAATTTGCCAGGCATGATGGCACCTGTCTGTTGTCCCCACCTACTTGGGAAGCTGAGGCAGGAGAATCGCTTGAACCCGGGAGGCGGAGTTTGCAGTGAGCTGAGATCGCACCACTGCACTCCATCTCAAAAAAAAAAAAAAAAAAACCCTGTCCAAAAATGGCAGTTATATTCTATACTGTATTTCTTACTCTAGTAATTGTTATTGTTTTCTAGAAGCACTTTGAAAAGAATGCTAAAATTTGTGATTAGCTGTAGCCAGGAAGAGTTGCGGTTGATCAGTGGCATATACCAAGATTTCAAGGAAAAAGCATAGTAAATCCTGTGCCACGTCCCTGAACTACACTCACAATTCTCCAAAGAACAGTTTCACCAAAAATATTCTATTGTTTTCCTTTAATAATGCTTTTTAAACTTTGGTGAACTATTTTAATGTTTCTAAAAATATATTCAAATAATATAGTGAGCACCTGTATACTGACCACCCAGATTTATCAGATCTTTACATTTTGCTTTATTTGATTCAGGGGTTTTTTTCATTTGTTTTGGTCTCAAACTCCTGACCTCGGGTGATCTGCCCACCTTGGCCTCCCAAAGTGCTGGGATTACAGACATGAGCCACTGTGCCCGGCCTGGACAGCACAGATTTCTAACTATGAAAATATTTCACTCAGTTAACTGGCAGACTTGAAGACTGAAAAATTTCTGGTTAATTACATTTTCTAGTTTAGATTTTTTTTAAAAAGTATGTGTATAGCAAAAATACACGTAATTTGAATGAAAAGACTTTAACCACAATAAATACGTATAAGATTAGAACGTTCTCTAATGAAGTCATATACTTGATGTCCAGAGAAGGCAGCTGGGGCTTTTTTCTTCGCTGAAAATAAGGAAAGAGGATGTCAAGAACATGTTCTTAGAAGTTGGGATAGTTTCTATTTTAAAAAATTGGACAGCCTTCAAACATATTTTAAGAAATAACATTATAGTTGAAACTTCTCATTAATCCTGTTTAATCAGAATTTTTATATACAGGTTTTTAATGTTCTGCTGAGGCCTCCTGATTGCCTCCCTGCTATAGTTAATTGAGAAAGCAGAGCCAGGGTGTTAAATATTTTGACATTTGAAGTTTCCTTTTCAAATTTCTTATTTTTAAAAAGTTAAGTGCAACTTGGTATATTCATATAAAATGAAAAGCTTTTTCATTTATTTAGTGCTTTAAATAATTTTTCCTGAGGATATAAGTGAATGAGTTGGGAGAATTTTAAAAATAAAACCATATTTTGCCTACAGAAAAGTTTTAAGCAGTATAGTTAGTCTTTTAGCAGTTTTATGTGTCTCATATTGTTGAAATAGATTTCTTTTCCATCTTTTCCCAATAAAGTCATTTCAAGCAGTAAAAATAATCTAAAATGCTTAAGCAAACTCATGTCTGATATTTTCAAGTAATTTTATGACAGAATTGTAAACAAAACATCAAGAGAAATCTGATTAAAGGAGTTTAGGTTCAAGAAGGTGGGTAACTGTAAGTTGGCTTGCTAGTGTAATTAGTATAAGAGTTGATTAACAGGTGCACAAGACATGGTTATGTCTCCAATCTAAGCTCTTAAGAGGTTAGGTTCATATCTTTTACACTGTGCATCCCCCACCCCACTATGTAATTAAAAATTCAGGAAATTTTATCAGCCAATAGAAGAAAAAAATTAAAGTAGCATTTTGTACTTAGTCAGATTTTTTCAGACCCAAGTTTTATGCTAGCTAATAAAACTACTAATCTTTAGCAAGTACTGGAACTAAAAATTTTTTAAATCTGTGAAATAAGAAAGTTAGATTATACCCTTCTAAATTCCCTTTTAGTTTATTTGGTTATCTACATTTTATGATTTAACTATTTTTACAGCTAGATCATTGAAAGGGGGCAAAATCCAAACATGCTTACAGATTCCATTGTTTCATTGGAATTTTAAAATACTGAATTATAACCAGAAAATAACTGGATCATTAACTGGAACTTGAAGTCTTTTGTTTGGATAAAGAACCTTTTTAAGAAAAGATTTTAGCCTTCCAAAAATGGTCCTTGTCACTTTCTACTATAAAATTACAGTAAATATTTCTAGCATTTTGGTTGTCCTTTTGTTTAACTCTGTGGTTTTGGGAAGTAGAGACTGATAGTATCAGAAAAAAGGCTCAAATTAAGTAAAGATTCTTTAAGTTTCTGTTTGCAGAAATTAAGTAGCATCATACTCTCCTACCTTTCAGTTAAATATAAAACTCAAATTCCAGTTTGGGGGAGGCTTTTTAGTTCTAAAGATTGTAAAATACAGATTAAAAAATGGATTCCTAAAATGGAAACTTTCAGGAGAAAGATGCTTTAAGTTGTAAGCAATCTAAACGTTCAGAAGGCTTTCTACAGGTAGTACCCATTACACAAATAATTACAATCACAGTCCAAATCCCCGAAGTTCTGCTGTTGCCTTTGAAAGGCTTTTTTTTTCTTTTTAAACAATCTCTAAGTCCAGAAATAAAGCAAGCTTAAAAAGAAAATCACTGGAGCAACTGATCTTGGAATGGAGTATGCCCAGAGCCATCTCCCTTCTCCACTCTGCCTGAATTTTTCCTTTTCCTTTGTTACAATTTGTGAACGATTAATACTTTTTTATAAGGATCTTAAATTACTTTAAAAACCATTATTTATACGTGAGTATGAACCATTTTGAAAATATGGCTTTGCTCAGAACACCTGAGATAACTGTCCCAAAAGAATGAGAGTTTTGATTAGGGAATATGATAACCACTTTGCAATTTGGGACACCTCGGAGTATCAGATGGCCTAAGGGAGATACAAAAGTAGAAGAGCAAAACCCAAGGAAACTGAAGGGCAAGCATTAGGAGGAATGGGTGAAGGACACAGAAGGGAAAGTGCAACATCAAGTATTTCAATTTTTTGCCTAACAATCACTCTTTCCAAAGATAGTAGAGCAGAAACATCTTCCTCTTCTACTGTACTCCCTGATTTCCAGCTGTTGGGATTCAGAGCTCAAGCTAGTACTATTTGGATTAAAAGGAAGCTGTATTGTCACCCGGTAACTGGACTAGCCTGAGGCCCTTAGCAGTATCTGAACAGCACTGCCTAATGGAAATACAATGTATAACGCATATGTAATTGAAATTTTTCTAGTCAAATTTTTAAAAAGTCACAAGTAATATTAAGTTTTAATAGCATATTTTTAACTCAATGTAGCCAAAATACTGTCATTTTGATGTGTGATCAGTATAAAAAAATTATTAGTGAGATATTTTACTTTTCCTTTCATACTAAGTCTTCAAAATCTGGTTTGTATATTTCCAGTATATCTCAATTCAGACTAGCCACATGGTAAGTGTTCAGTAATCAGTGTCTTGTCATTTTAGACAGAGCAGGTCTAGATCATAGTTTTAGAGTGGAAATGTTTCCCGAGTTCTAAGTAATAGAATTTTGGAACAAAGTCTAAAAATTTATTTAACCTCTCTGAGTGTTGGTTTCCCCTTCTGTAAAAGGAGGTTAGACTAGGAGAGCTATAAGATTTCATCCAGCCCCAACATTATATGTGTCTGGGGAAATGAACAACAGCCTTTATGAACAATATCCTACAGAATTTCTTCTTTAATAATTAAACTACTCTATCACTGATCAGATTGACTTAAGAATATTTATGTTGTTTGAACATAAGTTAGTAAGTGCTAAAGCTGAGATTCAAACCAAGGTCTGTATCACAAAGCTTGTCTTCTCTTCACTCCCTCTCAGTCCCAGAAATTTTCACCATACCAAGGTTGGAGATAAAATGTTGAGTCTGGTTATATTTAAGTTAGCATCAGCTTCATTATTGAATACCTCATACTGTGTTTAACTATCATGAGGCAGGTAGTTTTCCTCACTTTCCTTTTCTGGACCACCAGACTTTGTATTGTTACTGATCTCGTATTCTGCTTTGATCAGTCCCATCGCCCATCCCTTATTGAGTTTCCTGGTGGTTTATAGTGAAGACAGGTAGAAAGTAGCATTGGGATAATACATACTGACTATAAGTTTTATGATTGTAAGATCAAGAAGCCCGAGAATCTCAGGAAAAAGTTTGCAGTGAGAATTTGACAATGACTGGGGAGAAAAGAGGCTCCTCTTCATCTATGTATTTTACCTAATACCCAAGGTAAAGAGTGTCTTCCTAAAAGAAGAGGTTGCAAACTGGTGTTGTGTGCAGGCCAAAGGTATGTTTTCATATGATGTTTCCCCTTTTTTGGTAGAGGAGTAAACATTTTAAAATTGGCAGGTTTCACAATAAATTATAGATTTTCTATTTCTTTTGAAAAATAAGAAGACCTAGTACCACTAGGTCCACATTCTTCATGGAGTGGCCTTGCTGCTCCCTCGCTGAGATGGGGTATGGGGTATTCGAATACAGTGTCCCCACCCTCAGTCATCATGTACTCTCCCACTTCTCTCATTTTCATTTCCTGCAAATGAATTTGTGTTGTTTTAAAGTGTACATAATAGACTCAGCAGAATTCTAGTTTGCTTACTTGCTGTTCTGCGGACAGTCACTTTAAAGCTTATGAAAAGATACTATAGTGTACTAAATCATAAACAATTGCTAAACAGTGTTTAGAGTGGTCATAAATCCCTTTCAAAGGCAAAAGGATAAATATGTCAATAACCTCATATTATGCTTTACAGTGTGATGTCTTATTTAATCACTTATAATTCCAAACAGTAGGTAGTATTATCACTTTATGTATTGAGAAAACGAAGCCAGTCTTGCAGTTAACAAAGCGTGAAGCTAAGATTCAAGTCGTAATCTTTTCCAAAGCTCATGCTGTTTTCACTATAATGTATTGCCAGAAATTGTTTGAAGTGCTTAGGTTATATACTTGATCTCCAACATATATGACCAATTTATAGATAGTGAAAGCATTGTCATCCTAATATGCATTGCCATTTTTATATCATATCAGAAAAGTTAGAAGCACTACATCATGCCTTTGCTTTTCTACTTGGTTTCTTAGGCTGCTTGACACTTGATACCCAATATGGTGTTCTGAGCTGTGCCTGTTCAAAAAGGAGAGCATTTTTTTTTCTTCCTTGATACTATCACTAACCCTCCCCCTTTGCTATACCTACACTCCTTTCTAAGTGGTGATAGAAGCATCTATTAAATGTCTTTTTTATTCAGAAAGTATTTATGATGTACACCTCTGATAAAAGATCCTGGAATAAATTCCAAAGGATGAGATATCTGCCTTCAGAAAGTTTGTAATCTTAAAAACTAGAGGAAAAATTATATAACAAGTTGACACTTAAAAGAGTAAACTATACAAATAAGGACAAGGAAATACAGATCAGGATGACTGCAGAAGTAGGGAATATTTACAGCTGGTCATTTTCTTATCAAATTTCAGCTATGCTAAAAATCATCAGGAAGCAGAGCCCACTCTTAGATTCAGAAGTAATGAAGACGTACATCATGTGATGTTGAAACCATAGTGTGGGAGGCCTTAGCCTGTTCTTAGATCAAACTCTGAGGCCAACTACACTGAGTAATAATAATAAAAATAACTTGAACTTCTCACCCATAACAAGCACAACCTTTTTTTTTTTTTTTTTGAGACGGAGTCTCACTCTGTCGCCAGGCTGGAGTGCAGTGGCGTGATCTCGGCTCACTGCAACCCCCGCCTCCCAGGTTCAAGCAATTCTCCTGCCTCAGCCTTCCGAGTAGCTGGGATTACAGACATGTACCACCACACCCAGCTAAATTTTGTATTTTTAGTAGAGACGGGGTTTCACCGTGTTGGCCAGGCTGGTCTCAAACTCCTGACCTCGTGATCTGTCTGCCTCGGCCTCCCAAAGTGCTGGGATTACAGGCATGAGCCACCATGCCCAGCCCAAGCAAACCTTTTAATCTGACTGAAGAAATACTTGCAGACATTCAAGAAGTAATTAATCTTTCCTTCCTCTTCATGGTTTGCATCATATAAACTACTGCATTATTACATACTCTTCTCCTTAGGTCGTTTAAGTCATTATTAGAGATCCTAAGGTTGTATCAGCCTCTGGTTGATGATCACATTTTCAGTCTGGTTCTAATGCTATTTTCATATCATGCCAGACAAGTTGGCAAGTGCTAGACATTTCCCATGTATTTGTACTAAGTCTTTGTCTCCCCTTTAGCTCCTTTTGTAACCATTTCACAATCACCATCAATATTATTAAACCTGTTGTATGTAGGTCACTGGGATGCTAGAGGCAGGGTTAAGTCGGGGTGGGGTTTTTTTGGTTTTTTGTTTTCAAAGGACTAAGAAACAATTGCGGCCGCATGCGGTGGCTCACACAGGTAATCCCAGCACTTTGGGAGGCTGAGGGGGCGCGGATCACTTGAAGTCGGAAGTTTGAGACCAATCTGGCCAACGTGGTGAAACCACATGTCTACTAAAAATGCAAAAATGAGCCAGTTGTGATGGTGCATGCCTGTAATCCCAGCTACTTGGGAGGCTGAGTGGGGAGAATCACTTAAACCCGGGTGGCGGAGGTTGCGGTGAGCCGAGCTCATGCGACTGCACTCCAGCCTGGGTGACAGAGCGGGACTCCATCTCAAAAAAAAAAAAAAAAAAAAAAAAAAAAAATCCATCAGTTGAGTGAAGTATTTTCTTTTGTAAAAGATGTGTAATATTGCCCAGGCATGGTGGTTCACGCCTGTAATCTCAGCACTTTGAGAAGCTGAGGTGGTTAGATCACCTGAGGTCATGAGTTCAAGATCAGCCTGACCAACATGGTGAAACCCCATCTCTACTAAAAATACAAAAAAATTAGCAAGGCATGGTGGCACATGCCTATAATCCCAGCTACTCGGGAGGCTGAGGCAGGAGAATCACTTGAACCCGGGAGGTGGAAGTTACAGTGAGCCAAGATGGCACCATTGCACTCTAGCCTGGGCAACAAGAGCGAAACTCTCTTGGAAAAAAAAAAAATGTATTGATTTGATTCTAGACTTGTGTTTTTTAACGTTTTAGTTTTAGACTGTCGCAGATCTTATAAACACCTATTGGTTTATGTAAATATAAGATACCTATGCTGCCAATAAGGAAACTGTTTCTTAGCACTGTCTTGAAAATCTCAGGGTATTATATTTGAAATCTTGAGGTCATGTTTTTGTTTTTTATTATTGCAAGATGTGTGTGTGTGTATATATATATGTGCATGCCACATTTTCCTTATTCAGTTGAGTTTAGGTTGTTTCCACATCTTGGCTATTGTGAATAGTGCTGCTGTGAACCTGAGAATACTGATATCTCCTCAAGATCCTAATTTCAGTTCTTCTAGAAAATACCCAGTAGTGGGATTGCAGCATCATATGGTAGTTGTGTTTTTAACTTTTTGAGGAACCTTCATCCTGCTTTCCATAGCGACTATACCATTTTGCATTCCTACCAGCAGTGTACAAGGGTCCCAGTTTCTCCACATCCTCATCAACACTTGCCGTCTTTTTTTTTTTTTTGAGACGCAGTCTTGCTCTGTCACCCAGGCTGGAGTGCAGTGGCGCGATCTTGGCTCACTGCAAGCTCCACCTCCCAGGTTCACGCCATTCTCCTGCCTCAGCCTCCCAAGTAGCTGGGACTACAGGTGCCCGCCATCATGCCTGGCTAATTTTTTTTATTTTTTATTTTTTCATATTTGTAGTAGAGACGGGGTTTCACCGTGTTAGCCACGATGGTCTCAATCTCCTGACCTCATGATCTGCCCATCTCAGCCTCCCAAAGTGCTGGAATTACAGGCGTGAGCCACCGCGCCCGGCTGTCTTTTTTTATTATTATTATTATTATTATTAATAGCCATCCGACAGGTATAAGGTAATATTTCATTGTGATTGTGATCTGCATTTCTCTGATGATTAGTGATGTTGAACAGTTTTTTGTATACCTGTTGGCCATTTTTATGTCTTTGGAGAGACTACAAAAGAAAAGATGTCCTTAGTCCATTTTAAAATCTGTTATTTAACTATTGAGTTCCTTATATATTTTTGAGATTAACCCTTTATTAGATATATGGCTTGCAAATATTTTCTCCCGTTCTGTAGGTGGCCTTTTTATTGTTGATTGTTTCCTGGCATAAGAAAAAGTTATGCCGTTTAACATCTGTAGGTTCATCCAGTAGCGTGGTAGACATGGTTGTTGTCTATCCAAATAATCTCACTCTTCTTTTCAAGTGTTAGAAAAACTGCTGTCACAAAATTTTCTTTAGCATTTTTCTACTCAGCCTTCCTGGACTTCTTGTAGAAATGTGTCAACTTAGATAAATTATATTTTAATTATCAAAAAATTATTCTCAGTTAAGGAAATGGCCATTGGTTTATTTTTCCCTACAATGTTTTAGACTAGGACTTTATAGTATCACTTTGTTTTCTGTATGCTGTGTAATGTAGTTGGCCCTCTGTATCCATGGGTTCTACATCCACAGATTCAGCCAACCATGGGTTGAAAATATTTGGGGAAAAAAATTGTCTGTTATACTGAATATATGCAGACTTTTGTCATTATTTTCTAAACAATACAACAACTATTTACATAGCATTCACATCATATTATGAGTAATCTAGAGATGATTCAAAATATACAGGTTATATGTGAATACTATGCCATTTTGTATCAGGAAATTGAGCATCCATGGATTTGGGTATCTGAGGAAGGTGTTCCTAAAATCAGTCCCCCGTGGATACAGGACAACTATATAACAAAAACAATTGTATATAATGAGACTAAAACTTTGAAGTAGTCATTTTTGTCTTGTTTTTATTGTATCACGTTAATAATCCACTTTTGTATGACTATACAGAAAATACGTATGACTTAACTTTTGTCTTGTGTTTCAACAGAAGGAGAATATATTAAAATGTTTATGCGCGGTCGGCCAATTACCATGTTCATTCCTTCCGATGTTGACAACTATGATGACATCAGAACGGAACTGCCTCCTGAGAAGCTCAAACTGGAGTGGGCGTATCCTTCTCTACCATGACAGCAAATTCATTTGCTTTGTCTCTAGTTAACAAATCAGTTAACGTATTCTCTGTCAAAATTGTCTTTATACAAAAAAAAAAAGTAACAGCTACTTAAAAAATTAAAAAGGAAACATCAGGCCAGGCGCGGTGGTTCACGCTGGTAATCCTAGCACTTTGGGAGGCCGAGGCAGGCGGATCACAAAGTCAGTAGTTCAAGACCAGCCTAGTCAACATTGTGAAACCCCATCTCTACTAAAGATACAAAAAATTAGCCAGGTGTGGTGGTGCATGCCTGTAATCCCAGCTACTCGGGAGGCTGAGGCAGGAGAATCACTTGAACCCGGGAGGCGGAGGTTGCAGTGAGCCAAGATCACGCCATTGGACTCCAGCCTGGGCGACCGGGGAAAACTCTGTCTCAAAAGAAAAAAAAAAAAAAAGGAGACATTATCTCTAATTCTTTGCTGTTAGCAATTTAAAGCCATCAAAGTTTATATCTTTGGAAAGGATAAACAATATTTTTTGAACATCATGGCAAGTACTTGCTAGAAAAGGCACTAGACTGGAACTGGAAGACTAGTGTTTGAGTTTTGGCCCTGCCACTTACTCTCCGTGAACCTTAACTTTCTTTACTTATAAAAGGGGTTAATTAATAACCCATACCTCACAGGGGCTGTTGTAGGAATTAAATAAGAAAACATCAGTTAAGCATTTTGTAACCTCAAATTAACAAGGCTGATTCTAATTCAGAATTAACTTTTCAGCCAGACTTTTTTTTAAATGACTGTTAAAGGAGAGCTTTCCTAATTTCACCTAGAAATTTTCACTTCTTTTAGAACCTCCAAGAAACTCAGTGAAACAGAAGGAGTTGGTAGTTTGAACTCTGTTGTCTGCCTCCATTCTCCTGCACTTCCTCCCACGTCCCTTGAATTATTCCCTTCTTAGGCAGATATCAGCTTGGACACACTCACCAATCCTTTCATTCTGTACAACATATTTTTAACAAACATTCTGCCTACCAAACTGTTCCTTGCTATTACTTATTTATCATTTAGGTCCAGCATAAATATCCCTTTTCCAGATAGGCCTTCTTTTGGTCCCTCCCTTCTCTCTCTTTTTCTCTCCATCTAAATTAGGTCCTCCATTTGGGCTTTCTCCTAGCAGTCTTTTTTTTACCCCCCCACGATTTGTAATTTTATATTTGGTGATTTTTTTTTTTCTTTGCCAGAGGATAAGCTCTAGAGACATAGGGCCTACATTTTTTTTGTTCAGAACTGAATGTTCACCATTATGCCTGATACACATTAGGATTTCAATACATATTTGTCTGGTAAATGAGGAAACTAAGATCTTAACATACTGAAAGAGTCAGGTTACGCTAGGGATAATGGCAGGATATGAGTTTTCCTTTTTTTTGGTGGAGGGGTGGGGGTGGGCGGCAACAGGGTCTCTGTGGCCCAGGCTGGAGTGCAGTGGCACGATCACTGCTCACTGTAGCCTTGACCTGACCTCCTGGGCTCAAGTGATTCTCCCACCTCAGACTCCCAAGTAGCTGGAACTACAGGCACAGGCCACCATGCCTGGCTAATTTTTTTTATTTTCTGTCGAGATGGGGTCTCACTATTGCCCGCACTACTCTCAAACTCCTGGACTGAAGTGATCCTCCCACCTTGGCCTCCTGAAGGGCTAGGATTACACGTGTGAGCACTCTGCCCGTCCAGGACATGAGTTTTCTAGTTCTAGTTCAGTCTTCTTCATTGTACCTTCCTAATTCCTTAAGTATCCATGAAAAATCTGTTAACAACTTGAAAACTGTGTTTATTTAAAACCTTGACTCTTTTTCTGTTAAGATATGGTTATCGAGGAAAGGACTGTAGAGCTAATGTTTACCTTCTTCCGACCGGGAAAATAGTTTATTTCATTGCATCAGTAGTAGTACTATTTAATTATGAGGAGAGAACTCAGCGACACTACCTGGGCCATACAGACTGTGTGAAATGGTTGGTATCATTTAACATTGGTTCATTTTTGTTCTTTCAGGCCCTCATTTTGTATTTTTTAAATTTGGGTTTTATTGAAAGTGATTTCTTGTGGAAAGCTCAGAATGTAAAAATATTATGGGTCATCTGTTGAATATATTTTAAAAAGAAAAAAAGGACTTTCGGCCTCCAAAATGGTGGTGTGGTATCAGCAGCAACAAAACACATCCTCCATAAATCATGATTGGAACCTCTTCTGCTTTCTCATGTCGTACAGTCCTTCTCTTCTCTGGTCTGTAGTGTGAAACATATATGGGACAGACTGGACATTTTCAGGTTTCTGAAAGTGATTATTGGTTACTCGATATTTATTGAGGATTTGTCCTATGTAGATAAATTTTATACTTGAAGCTTTATTCTTTTGGGAAGAAAGAAATCTAGCTGAATAAGGATCATAAGTATGCCGTAGGATGTCATACTACAAATGTGAGAACTCCTTTTAAATGCTTTTAAATTATTTTGTTACTTTTTAGTTAAATGCAATTATTTATTGTTTATTAATATTTTCCAACTTTTATTTTTTATTTATTACCCTTTTCCCCACTTAGATCCAAGGACTGACTGGATGTTTTCCAACATTTAAAAGCTTTTATGTCTGTACTATGCTGGCACCTGTATCTTTATCCAGAAAAAAATTAATAGATGACTATTATAATATTATATAGATATTGAACTTTTGGAGTTGATTAAAATATTGCCTTTTACACTTGCAGAATAATGTATGTACAAAACTATTTACTGCAGCATTGTTTGTGATGAAGATTAGAAACAGCCTAAGTATTTTTCAGTTGGGGACTACTGGTGAGGTTGTAGTGTACCTATAGGTCACCATGTAGCTGTAAAGAATGAGGAAGCACTTTATGTATTAATATGTAAATATCCCTCTGATGTGTTCTTAAGTACAAATATTTAAGAGCAAGAGAATGTTCACAGTGTACAACCGTTGTTGAAAGAGTCTAGATATGGACATAAAGATGTCTTTTTCAGAAATTTGCTAGTCACTCATATACGTGCTGTGAGTAATTTAGGCACATATGCTACGCTACTTCCCATTTCTATTTAAAAATTCCTTGCCTCAGTTTGACTTACAAGAATTTAGCGCTAAGAACTAATTAAAAGATTGAAAGCACTATGTGTGAAGATGCTCATTGCTGTTTTCTTTTGTTGAAAAGTAAGAAATGGCCTAAAAGATGGAAGAGTTGTCAAGTCAGCATGTATGAGGATTATGTAGCAAAAGGAAAAAATGCTTGTACTTTAATAGATTAAAATTAAACAGCACAATATTGCATCTTCACTATAATAAAGTCGTGTGATTTGTATGCCATTGTGCGTGGACTAGAAAGGAACTTCAGCAAATGAAAACAGTTCGTTAGCATGCCACAGTTATAAATATTTTCTTTGAACTTAGTGTTTCATTAATCTGTGCAGCTTAACAAGTAAAAAGTACAGCTGAAAATTCAGAAATCTTCAGATATTTGATGATTGTTTGATTTGCTGAAGAAAACAGATAAACGTATGTTTTTTAACGATTAAAAACTGCTTATTTGAAAAATGTCAGTACAAAGGTATTCTGTTGTTTCATGTTTCCTGTGTTTAAAATCATTCTTAATACTGCTTTTTAGCCTTGCTATACATCCTGACAAAATTAGGATTGCAACTGGACAGATAGCTGGCGTGGATAAAGATGGAAGGGTGAGTGGCATAGTGTTATGCCTTCTGTACCTAGAGACATTGCTGTTAGAGTGGAATCTATTGTAATTTTAACCACAACTCATTTGTTTTATTCTTTTAAAATTTAAGTACTGAGGAATTTCTAGTATAAGCATGGAAAAAACATTAGGATATAAGAACACTTTAAAAGACAGAGTCATACTAATAAATTTTGTTTTTAAAAAATAAGTGTTCTCCCTTAAGAAGCTATTTACTGTAAAAATGGGAAAACTGATACGCTCGTTACATTTTCTTTATATAAAATAACATATAAAGTAACCAGTGTCTGCGGGAAGGTACTGCAGTTTCCCTTAGTTGATGAACCTGTTGATTCTTATTTACTTTCTTAATTAATTAATTAATTAATTATAGGGGTGGAATCTCACTTCGTTGCCCAGGCTGGGCTCAAACTCCTGGGCTCAAGTGATCCTCCAGCCTTGGCCTCTTGAGTGAGTAGCTGGACTACAGGTGTGTGCCACCATGCCCGGCTAACTCTTGATTTTATGTGTGACTAGAACTGATACAACTTAAAGAGTTACAGTTACTATTTAATATTATTCAGTTGGTTTGTATAACAAATACCTTATTTCTAAGGATCAACAGTGACTATTAATGGTGACTGAGTAACGTATGTATGACTATACTCATGACATTCTCAGGCTTCAGTTTCTTTAAAGAAAAGGAGTAGAAGGTTTCTACTGGATAACTTCTAAGACCCCTTCCAGTTTCAAATGCTATTTAAGGGCTGTTTAGCAGTTTATTGGACATTGATAAAATGTGTTATTTTCTCAGGAATGAAGATTAGTAATACTAAAAGCAAAAGTATCCGGAGCAGATTTGCCTGGATTAGAATCCTGACTCCACCTTTTTTTTTTCTTTTTTTCTTTTTTTTTTTGAGACGGAGTCTTGCTCTGTCTCCCAGGCTGGAGTGCAGTGGCACAATATTGGCTCACTGCAACCTGTGTCTCCCAGGTTCAAGCAATTCACCTGCCTCAGCCTCCTGAGTAGCTGTGACTACAGGCGCGTACTACCATGCCTGGCTAATTTTTTATATTTTTAATAGAGATGGGTTTTCACTCTTGTTAGCCAGGATGGTCTTAATCTCCTGACCTCATGATCCGCCCGCCTCGGCCTCCCAAAGTGCTAGGATTACCGGTGTGGGCCCCCGTGCCTGGCCGACTCAACCTTTTAATAGCGGTATCACTTTGGGCAAGTTATTTAAATCTCTGTATTCCAATTTCTTCATCTGTTAAATGATAATTATAATAGTGTACCTGTAGTGCATAGGATTAAATGAATTAATATGTGTAATACTTAGAATAGTATGTGTAACATAGTAAATACACAAGTTATTTGCTGCTATTTTCTTATTTTCACAGTATAAGAAAATACCTACTTAAGATTCATTTGGAGGCATGTCTAAATCTAGTAATTTATTAGAAGCTTATCCATCCCTATTACTTTTTTAAATGGCATTAGTTCTGTGTGCTATTGGTGTTTATTTGCATCCACCTGTCCAGTTGCTCTGCTGTCTTGTGTTTTTGCAGCCTCTACAACCCCACGTCAGAGTGTGGGATTCTGTTACTCTATCCACACTGCAGATTATTGGACTTGGCACTTTTGAGCGTGGAGTAGGATGCCTGGATTTTTCAAAAGCAGTAAGTAACAATTTTTAGAGAAGTAAGCAAGCTGAACAAAAAAGCAGGAAAGAAGTTAAGCTCAGTTTTGTGTTTATGTGGCCATGAAGTGATAATCCTGAGTTGAAAAATGAGATGCTAGCTATTGCTAACATATTAGCTATTGCTAAATGGCTAGCATTTTGACCTAAGTCCTAAAGTACTTTGGTTTAGTTAGGATGCAAGATATTTTACTTTAATTATTCTTGGAATTATGCTGCCTTGAGGTAGAGCTCCCATGTAGTAGCAGGAAGTGGTTAGAGGAATATATACAAAGCATAGTACAATTTCAGACAAGCAATAGGATGCATTTTTGCCTTACCTTGAATCATAGAAAAGATCTATTTTATTTTAAAAATTCACAGCAAACTTGGCCAGTTCTGTACAAATATTGGCTTTTCTTGATGTCATATTTGAGCAGCAGAAACAATCAGACCTTTGTATTTCCTGAAGTCCTGAATTATCTTGGTTTTGAATTGATGACAACATGGGTTTAAAATTTTCCCCAGCAGTCCTTTCTAAGTGTTGAGGCTTTATTCTAAGGGTAAAATAAGACAAGATCTTACTCATTTAAACATTCTGGTTTTTTCTTGAATTGTATGTAATTATGATTATAAAGTATACAGTCAACCTTCTATATTTTAGGATACATACTTTTTTAGTTTCAAAGATAAATACCCCTGTAGATTTTATGTGACCTCAGTTATATATTCATATTATCTCTTCAGTTCTTAGCCATTGGCAACTGTATTCTGGATTATGGGAGTTTTGTGGGACATGGAGGAAAGGACACTTTTAGAGCAGAAAGATAAATTTTAGTGAATTTAGGAACTTTGCTAGCTTGAAGGCACTGAATGTCAAGGGTCCAACAAGTCAGGAATTGGGAGAAGGACATTTAGAAAAGGAGATAAGAGGTCATAAAGGCAATACTTTTGCTACTTTATTTTCTCCCATAAATCTCTATAGCAGGAACTGTTGTCAGGTTGTTGATAACCATTGTTACGGTGTTAAGACCATCTTGAATTGCCTCATAACTCTATCTTTTCTAATTCAGATAATATTCCAATTTAGGCTAAGAGATAAAGAGGAGAAGAGAGTAAGCTCTGCCCTTCCTCAGTGCCTCTCACTCTTCACTACAATGTTTCTCTGTTCCATAACATTGTAAAGCATATTTCACAAATGATACTATTTTTAAAAAGCATTTAATATCATCTATAGGTATTTTTCTTAAACTGGAATACTTAAAATACGTGAATGAGAATGGTTTCAGAAAAACAGGAAATTTCATTATAAAAAAGGAATTTCATTATAATTTTACTTAGGTTGTTTATTCAAGTTAATGTAAGTCAGGTATCTCACAGAAAACTGAAATCAGCAAACTCTAAAATAGCCATGAATTTTAGCTTATTCTGTCAAACTGTCAAAATTTAGTGAGGAACAAAGTTATGAAATTGTGTACATTTCTTCTTACCTACCACAAGGAAAAATAGCTTAATACAGGCAGCAAGAAGGAAGCATAAGATGC
This sequence comes from Homo sapiens, assembly GCF_000001405.40. NCBI lineage: Eukaryota > Metazoa > Chordata > Mammalia > Primates > Hominidae > Homo > Homo sapiens. Next base: position 42,287,923 of record NC_000002.12, read on the forward strand.
AGAAGGGACTAGGATAGCCTCAAAATTAGTCACTATCTCTGAATAATAGGAGTGACTAGATGGCAAGTGGAAATAACCTGGAGGGATGAGGGGATTTAAATAGAATATTTTGTAAAAGAATCTTTATATTTTTGAGGAAAATACAATTGTAGTAAATAGTGTATTCATTATGTTTCAGAGAGCGATGAGTTTAAAGGATTTTGGGTTATCTTACTATTTGCAGTTTTAATAAGATGGTATTTCTTTCTTAGAATGTTAGCCCTATCAGTGAATTTTAAAATGCCTCTGATTGACTTTTCTTTAGGATTCAGGTGTTCATTTATGTATTATTGATGACTCCAATGAGCATATGCTTACTGTATGGGACTGGCAGAAGAAAGCAAAAGGAGCAGAAATAAAGGTAAATTTTTAAAAAACCGAGTATTGTGTTTTAGAGTACGTTACTTGTTTTGCAGGTATTTGGAACTATATTGGTATTAGAACTATCTATTCGTAAGTCGCAAAAGCAGATCTACTAGCCAAATTCAGCAAATTTAGTGATTTGTCATAATCGTTAAGATATTAACACTATAGTTATACAAGATAAAATAGTCAAGCAACTTGAAGCAATTTCAATATTTCAGACATTACTATAGTCCTGAAATGCCAGAGTAGATGGATGTGTGATCTCATAATTAAGACTGAACACACTTCTTGGTTTTCTTCTTTAATAAAACATGTAATTTCATTCCATCTTTAAAGCTTTAGAAATCTAGAGGAAAAATTCAGTAGGAATACGACTGATGTAACTGAAGGGCTTATGTTAAGTTTTTTGGTCTTAATTGTGTTTGTAGGATTATTTTAGAAAATTCAATAGCATTTATAATTGCTATAATTGCATTATAACTCTTTACAGTACAAGGGTTGATCTCTGTGTAGATCAAGCTGTACGTTGTAAGAGAAGAATGTAAAATGCATTGAAGCTGGGTTTATATGAGCCAGAAATGGACTTCTCCCTCTGACAGGCATTTAAAAAGATTCAAAGTGATAGAATGGCTTTAAAAAGTCTGTGTAATATTTGCCATACTCTTAAATAACATCACATTACTCTCCAACTCCTCTCTTAACAGTTTTGTTTTGAGTAAGCTTCAAGCTTTTAGCTTGTTGGGCAGAAAGATGATGTGATGTTTAACTTAACATTTTGAAAGAAGTAGATTTGATTGTACTTAAAAGGAATATAAGTTGTCAGAAAACCTCAAACTTTAAAAAACATAAATGAAGATATAGATTGACTTCCAGTTATTCAGAGTAATTTAACATTGAAACATAGGGAAGTTGCATGAAAATGAAATATATCAATTTTGATTCTTCATAGTAAGGTTTACCAGATGAAGTCTTGTGGTTTTCCTCCTACTGGCGATTTCTCGATCTCCTTTCCAGGACTTTAAATGTTGGTGTTCTTCAGAGTTTTATTCCACATGCTCCACTGATACTATATGCTGCTCCCATGGCCTCATTTTCTATCTGCTGAGTCCCGTATCAGTTATCTCCAGCCCAGATCTCTAACAGGTTTAACTCATATTTCTAGTTGCATCCTAGACATCTTTATTTGAATGTCCTCTACCACAAATGAAAATCACCATGTTCAAATCTGTACATAATCATCTTTCCTAGCCCCCAACCACCAGTTTCATCCCTTAGTGATTGACTCCGCATTTCACCTAGCTACCTAAGCTAGAAACTTGGACATCATTCATGGCTCTTTTTACCTCACTTCTCACATCCAGGTAGTCAGGAAGTTCTCTAAACACCGTGTCCCAAATATCTGCATTATAGCACTTTCTAGTACAAGCGACTGCAAAACAATTGAAATTAACTTAATCTGGCCAGGGGTAGTCACTCACACCTGTAATCTCAGCACTTTGGGAGACCAAAGTGGGTAGATCATTAGATGTCAGGAGTTCAAGACCACCCCGGCCAACATCGTGAAGCCCCATCTCTACTAAAAATACAAAAAAAAAAAAAAAAAAAAAAAAATAGCCGGGTATGGTGGCAGTTGCTTGTAACCCCAGCTACCCTGGAGGCTGAGGCAGGAGAATTGCTTGAACCCTGGAGGCAGAGGTTGCAGTGACCCGAGATCACGCCATTGCACTCCAGCCTGGGCGACAGAGCAAGACTTCGTCTCAAAAAATAATAAAAATAAAGTTAACTTAATCAAAACAGAGGATGTATTGACTCCTGTTTAGGGAGGAAGAGAAAACCTCTAGTAAAGGTCAGAGGGAGATTTTGACTCAGAAATGACTTGATTCAGGGGCCGGATTACGGGTTGACTGTCTCTCCTCTTCTCCCTGTCTTGACCTTATTCTGTTCTACTATAGATGAGCTCCATCCTTGCTTAAGTCACAAGGATTTGGGGAGTTGATATATAACTTTTTAATTTATGTAAATTTAAAATTCAGTAAGGCGAGGGCAGCCCAGATGACCCGAGCTTGTGGGACCTCTCATGAAAAAAAATAAAAAATTAACATTAAAATTCAGTAAGGGCCTGGGTGCTGTGGCTCACGCCTATAATCCGAGTACTTTGGGAGGCCAAGGCAGGAGGATCACTTGAGTCCAGGAGTTCGAGACCAGCCTGGGCAAACATAATGAGACCTTGTCTCTACCAAAAAAAAAAAAAAAAAATAGCAGGGTATGGTGGTGCACATTTGTAGTTCCAGCTATTTGGGAGGCTGAGGTGGAAGCATCAATTGAGCCCAGGAGATTGAGGCTGCAGTGAGCTGAGATTGTGCCACTGCACTGCAGCCAGGGGAACAGAGCGAGACCCTGTCTCAAAAAAATTTTTTTTAATTTTCAAAATAAAAATAAAATTCAGTAAGGCAACTTAAAAACCTTACTGACAGAAATTAAAGAGGAGGGATGTTACATAATCATGGATAGGAGACGATGAAGACGTCACTTTTGCATATTGAGCTATATATACATTTAGCAGAGTCAAAACTCAGCTTTCATAGGAGTTGACAAACTGAATATATGTGGAAATATGAAGGGGAAGAAATAGGGAATAGCCACAATTGTAAAGAAAAAGAATAAGGTCAAAGCACATAAAATATAAAATATCAAGACTTATGTAATTAAGACATTGTGATACAAACATAGATCAGTGGAAGAGAATATAGAAACAGGTTACACAAATCAGTTGCTTGACTTATGCCAAAGGTGGCGATGCAGTAGGCGCAGAATAATGTTTTCAGTGAATGGTGCTGGCTTAATTGGATACTCATATGAAAAAAAAATTACCTTGACCCCTCCCTCACAGCATTCAGAAAAATCAGTTTTAGATGGATTATGCATCTTAGCATGAAAGGTAAAAAACAGTAAAGCTTTTAGAAGAAAATACAGAACACCTTTATAAGTAGATTTCTTAAGGCATATAAAGTACTAACCATAATGGGAGAAAAAGATAAATCATGTTAAAAACTTCTCTTTATCAAGACACCTTTTTTTTTTTTTTTTTTTTTTGAGACAGTCTCATTCTGTCACCCATGCTGGAGTGCAGTGGCATGATCTTGGCTCACTGCTGCAGCCTCCGCCTCCTGGGTTCAAGTGATTCTTCCGCCTCAGCTTCCTGAGTAGTTGGGATTACAGGCGTGTGCCACCATGCCCAGCTAATTTTTGTATTTTTTTAATAGAGTCAGAGTTTCACCATGTTGGCCAGGCTGGTCTCAAACTCCTGATCTCAAGTGATCCTCCCATCTCAGCCTCCCAAAGTGCTGGGATTACAGGTGTGAGCCACCACGCCCCGCCTATCAAGACACCTTTAAGAGTGTGAGAAAATATTTGTGATACATACTTCCAACAAAACACTCATATTCTGAATATATAAGCATCTATAGTTCAGTAAGAAAAAGACAGTTTTTTAAACAGCAAAAGACTTCCGGCACTACATAAAACAGGGTGTCCAGGTGATTAATAAGCATATGTAAAGGTACACAACCTCATTAATTATCAAAGAAATTCAAATTAAAACCCAAGTGCAATACCACTATGCACCTACCAAAATATCTTACGTGAAAAAGACAAAAATACTAAGGTTGCTGAGGAGGCAAAGTAACTGGAACTCTCACACAGTGCTGCTGGGCATGTAAGTTGATAATAGCCATATTATCTCTTCAGTTCTTAGGCGTTGGCAACTGTATTCTGAATTATAGGAGTTTTGTGGGACATGGAGGAAAGGACACTTTTAGAGCAGAAAGATAAATTTTAGTGTATTTAGGAACTTTGTGAATTGTTCCTTAGTGAATTTAGGAACAATTTAGTGAATTTCAGAAAACTATTTGACATAACCTAAAGTCGAACATATGCATGCTTTCTGGCCCAAATTGTTCATCTCGGCAGAAATATATACATGTGTTTGCTAGAAGGCAAATAGCAGTGCTGTTTATGGTAGCCAAAAACATGGAAACTACCCTGCCCATCAGCAGGAGAATGGTTAAGTCAATAATGTGATATTTTCATACAAAAGATTACAATAGAGCAAATAGAATGAACAAGGTACACCTATATGCACCAACACAAATGGATTTTAGAAATGAAATGTTGACAAAATAACCCAGACATGAAGGAATGCATTGTGTATAATTCCATTTGAATGAAACGGAGAAAAATAATCTTTGCTGCTAAGAGTCAGGATGATGGTTAAATAGAGGAAGGGGATAGTGACTGGAAAGGGGATCTAGGGTATTTATGGAAGGTTAGTAATGTTTTGTTTCTTGTTCTGAATGCTGAATAGCGATGTTTTCAATTTATAAAACTTTATTGAGCTATGTACTTAAAATCTGTGTGCATATATATATGTATATAAAATATATATCAATAAAAAGTTAAAAGGATATATCCTGTAAGGCAATACTCATACGCAAAGTGATTTAAACTCATAGATTTCTTCAGTTTATATCTTGACTGTCTTATCACTAGCATGATGGGTATGCTGGGAATATTTGTAGTTAGTTTTACAACCCTTTGATTATCTTAATTTGGCCTAAGATTTAACTGTCATGTAGTTTTGATTTGTCTGAGTGAAAACTAAAGACTGTTCAGTCAATCTTTAAACTTTACTTAGACTTGCTAAATATGTATATAGTTCTATACTACTGCATCACTGTGGAAAATTACGTAACAAGCAAGATGTGCTGTACTTTATCTTCAACTTTTTTTTTTTTCTTTTTTTGGTCAGGGTCTCACGCGTCACCCAGGCTGGAGTGCAGTGGCTTAATCACAGCTCACTGCAACCTCAAACTCCTGGGCTCAAATGAATCCTCCAGCCTCAGCCTCCCAAGTAGCTAAAACTACAGCGCGCACCGCCACGCCGGCTAATTTACTTTTTGTAGAGACAGGTCTCACTATGTTGCACAGTTGATCTCTAACTCCTGGCCTCAGCAGTCCTCCCACCTTGGCCACCCAAAGCATTGAGATTACAGGCATAAGCCACAACACCTGGCCTAGATTAGATTTTATTAGTTGAATTTTATTTATGTGCTTATGCAAAGGCCCTTAAGCCCAAATGTTAAGTAACAGAAATGTAAAACTCATGGAAATATTGGAACTGTGAGGGAAAAAAAAGAATTTACAACAACCGTTTCAAGTGTCATTTAATTAGTATAACATAAAATTTATTATTTTTAACTCGGTTCATAAGACTATCATCTTTATCTTGGTTTTGTTTCGTTTTGAGACAGAGTTTCACTCTGTCACCCAGGCTGGAGCGCAGTGGTGCAATCTCAGCTCACTGCAGTCTCTGCCTCCCGGGTTCAAGCAATTCTCTGCCTCAGCCTCCCAAGTAGCTGGGATAAAGGCGCCCACCACCACGCCCAGCTACTTTTTTGTATTTTTAGTAGAGACGGGGTTTCACCATCTTGGCCAGGCTGATCTTGAACTCCTGACGTCGTGATCCACCCGCCTCAGCCTCCCAAAATGTTGGGATTACAGGCGTGAGCCACCACGCCCGGCCCATGTTGTTTTGCCAAAAGGAAATGCTTCCGTACACGTAAAGTTCTTTGCTAAGTTAAAAAGTAGACATTAATGATCACCCTGTAAATAAACACTAGCTAATAATAAGGAGCTTTACAGGCATGTAGTTAAGTTTCACCTCAGTGTTAAGTTTGAGTAGATGATTTTACTATAAAATATCAATTTAGTGAGAATTATGATTTACTGAAATTATAGAAATACACTGTTTTAGAATGATATCCTCAATTGAAATCATTTTAATGAAAAAACTAGTAATTTCTTCTTGAGTCTCATGCTTGTATTCTTCCTAGTCCACCATAAATCTTTTAAACTTAATGCCTGTCTTTGCTAGATTTTTTGAGGGAAAAGAGCATAAAAGCCCTCTGGGAATGTTTTTGTTTTAATTTCTGTAGGAATCAGTAGTGACCATTCTAAATCTACTTTTTAAGGGTTCAGCCTGAAGGACATATCTCTAAATTAGTCCTAATCTCTAAACATTTTGTTGAGGCTGGGCGCAATGGCTCATGCCTGTAATCCCAGCCCTTTGGGAGGCTGAGGTGGGCGGATGACTTGAGGTCAGGAGTTCGAGCCCAGCCTAGCCAACATGGTGAAACCATGTCTCTATTGAAAATACAAAACTTAGCTGGGCATGGTGGTGGGCGCCTGTGGTCCCAGCTACTGGGGAGGCTAAGGCAGGAGAACCACTTGAACTCCGGAGGCAGAGGTTGCCGTGAGCCAAGATCACTCCATTTGCACTCTAGCCTGGGTGACAGAGCAAGACTGTGTCTTAAAAAAAAAAAAAATTGTTGCGTGAATGAATGCTCCATAATAATAGTACAAAGAAAGATAAGACTTTCTTTTCTTTCTTTCAATACAAATAGCAGTGTCTTTAAGAAAGAATGTACATTGCTCTTAAATTCGACAGTTTTAAGTGTACTTTTCTGGCATGTGCAAGAAGTTAAAGGTATTCATATAAGTGTCTTTCTAATGCAGCGTTTTTATAAATAGCATAAAAGGTGATACGATAATACAAGGACATCAAATTTAAATCATCCCAAAAAATACATTATCAAAATTTTTCAGGAAAATTGTCTTAGAAGAAGAGGCATTTTCTCAAAATCTTGCCCTATCGTTAATTGTAAGTAGCAGTAATTGAATTGATACTTGAAGGAGATAAGGATATACATTCATCTAAAGCTTTATTTCCCTTTTCATAGACAACAAATGAAGTTGTTTTGGCTGTGGAGTTTCACCCAACAGATGCAAATACCATAATTACATGCGGTAAATCTCATATTTTCTTCTGGACCTGGAGCGGCAATTCACTAACAAGAAAACAGGGAATTTTTGGGGTAAGAATCAGATTGTTTTAATGTCATTAGGTGTATAAGACTTTAATTTTTTTAATTGTTTAATAAGCATCAAGTTGTCATGGCAAAAAGAAAACTGAAAATTTTTATTGTTTCCTTGTAGAAATATGAAAAGCCAAAATTTGTGCAGTGTTTAGCATTCTTGGGGAATGGAGATGTTCTTACTGGAGACTCAGGTGGAGTCATGCTTATATGGAGCAAAACTACTGTAGAGCCCACACCTGGGAAAGGACCTAAAGGTACAGTATTCTTATATTAAACTCATTTCTGGTAATTCTCACATAGTACTCTTTCAGTCCCATCTCTTAGACCAGGAGAGAAAGAGCTGCAGTGTAACAATATGAGCAAGTCACCAACATACCTTTTGTTTTCAGCATTCTTCATAATCTTTTTTTAATGAAATTATTTATCCAGTTATTTATTAAGCTTATATAACCCACATTTGACTATACTGAACCATTCCCTTTAGGAAGTTAATAATTAGAAAGAAATGATATGGATATATGTTAGTTTAAAAAGTATAAAGGCTCACTTTCCCCTGAGCTGGTTCTGGGATATCTGTTAGAGCAGAATGCATGGCCATGTGATAAAATGGAAGAGTGGAGAGAAAAGGAATAAACTCATAGTTCAATCCACTTCTCCTTTTTCTTTTCCTCACTGCAGCCCTTCTTCCCAACCTTAGTGTAGGGGTCCTTGGCATCCATTCAGCTTTACCTCAAATCAGTTTTCCTAAAAAACACAGATTTATTCTTAAGTTTTATTTGCACCCAAATATACAGGTCCTCTTTGCCCTTTTCTACGGTAAATGAAAAAATTAGAGGAAGGACATGGAAAATAACCTTTTTTAAACCCCATTTTTCGTTACTATTTAAGAATAATCAAACTTTGAAAAAAATGTCCAGAGTACCATGTACTTCCTTCAGAGTAGGAGGTTCTAAGAGAAAAATTGGAGACCTGGTTCTAAAACCAGTGGGCCAGGAGAAGAGAGAGATTCTTAGCAGCAACAGGTGGTAACAGTAGAAATAGAACTAGCTAGGTCAGCCAGTCCTCAATAATTCACCAAAAAAAAAGTAAGAAAGGAGGTAATGGGGAAATCACCCTGAGTTTTCTGAGACATTTCCCCTGGGGATTGGCAGGGCAACATGTCCTTTCTCTTGTTCATTCACCTCCCCTAAACACACTGGAACAACACCTTATACTTCTCTCTCTCTCTCTCTCTCTGGAGTCCTTGCATCAGACCATGAAAATCACCCTAAGTGATTTATGAATAAGGGAATCCCTGTTCGTGTGCTCAGAAAGACCCGATTTACATATCTGCCTTCCCCAATAAGCTTTCCCTGGGCTAGCACAGTGTCTGGCATTTGCTATTAGCTGTTTGAAAACTATTTGTCAAACATTAAGGAAATAACTTTCATCTTAACTTTGGGTGTCAATGTAGGAGTAAAAGTTGAGTAGTATTGATGAAAGCACTGTTTTCACCGAAATGTGGAATTTAAATTTCGCATTACTGTTTTCTTATGACTGCACAGAGTTTCATACTGTATTTTTTAGGACAGATATTCAGATGCTCCTTGACTTCTGGATGGCATTATATCCCGATAAATCTATCATAATGTCAAAAAATAATAAATTGAACCAACATAAGTTAGGCACTATCTGTACGAAATTAATGTTTTAATTAAATGTTTTTCAAATCCATTCACCTGAATGTCTAAGCTTGGCAGTTGAATTAGACCTATTAAGAAGTTTAAAACAAGAAGCCTTAAATTGTATTACCATTGACTCCTATCTCAATCATTGGCCATATATTCTTAGCCTCTTTCGTTCAGTTTAGGTTCAAAATTTACACACGAGAAGAATGGCAGTGGGTTGAGGGTTCTTAAAAAATAGAGTTACAACAACAATATATTATCAACTACTTTTCCCATTTATTTCTCTTTTCTTTTTTTCTTATTTTTCTTTCCTGGGCACATTTACTTAGTATCAGAAATGCCAGGAACAGCATAGTCTATTAAAACAGTGACTTTTAAATTGTTCACGAATCTCCAACACTGAGCAGAATTTGCGTATAAATATACCCTTTTGTTAGCCTTAATATTTGTGTTCAGGTTGGGGACAGGAAGAAGAGGTTCAGAGGTTTTTATTTTGGTCTTTGAAAAATTTGTGGCTCAACCTCTCTACATATGCACAAACAGGAAACAGGAAATCCAATCTTGTAAATTGCTGGGCACATGAAATGGCCTGTGTTGTACTTTGCCACATGACTAACCCTATTATGGGCAAAGTTGCTAAGAATTTGAGGTTTTCAATTGGCTGGGAAGAATTTGGTGAGCGCAGTGAAATAAATGGAAGTCCAGACCAGAGTAAGTGTCCACAGTTTCCATTTTTTAATTCTGGCCCCCAGATTTCAGTAGATCCAATTTACATATTCCCAACTATGACATTTCTGCACCTGTGGCAGTCTTACCAACCAAAATTTGAGTGTACTGTGACATCCTGTCTGATAAAAGGAGATTTTTTGGATGGCAGAAGTATAATTTCACAACTAATCCTTTTACTTTTGTAATAGGAGACAAACCAAAACTGTATTTTATGTCTTAAAAGTGCTTTTATATATTTTTTTCTTGTTTCCAAACCATTTCTTCCTTAAACATGAATTAATGTGAATCTTCAAAGTAATTAGTGTTTTCTGTTTCTTAAGTAGGTATGAGGTATTTGTTATTTATTTCCTACACATATGAAATAGATTGAAATTGTTCTTATGCAAAATAATTTGTAATCTTTTAAGTGGGTAAGTGGAAGTTGAGAGTATCTACAGAACCATTAAAATGTTCACCATTCTTAAGTCTTGCAAAGGAGCTAAGAAACACTGCCATTTTATGTGTTCTCCGAATAATCAAATGGGCCCAGTTGCTAAGAATACAACATAAATTTCAAAGTCTCCCTAATATTTTATTCTTTAAACAGGCACAGAAAGCCTTCCAAACATCTTTATTTGGCAGGCAGTGTAAACTTGCTTTTTATGGAAGCTTTGTGTCTGTTAGAGATGAGAAGAAAGGGTGAGGTTTGTGATTAAGTTTGGATGGACTTGACCATATGAGTAAGCCTGAAGGCAGAGTAGGTTTTTTTAATTCAAGGATAATTATTTTCCTTGGCAGGGATTTCAAACATTATTTGGCAACTGAAATATCAGAAATACAGGCCCATAAGAAAGACATCTTTGGCTATAAATTTGTTTTACAGGTAAATACTATATAAAGGAAACTTTGATAATTTGTTTAAATTAGAAACACTAAATTTTTTAAGCTAAGTCGATACTAGGTCCACCTCAGGAAATAACTTTCCTGGAGTGAGAAGGACTCACTGACTTGATCACTATATAGAGTATTTTTATTTCTGATGAAGCATTTTTTTCTTCATTTTTTTTTCCAGTTTTCCATCATTCTGGGAGGATTTTAAGTGTTTAACAAGGTTTTTGTCATGTTTAGAAATACGGAAAGCAGACTTAAGCATAGAAAAGCTTTATTTTCTTACATTCTGATAGAGAACTATGAAACTCCCACACCTTTGCTTTTTGTGTTTTCTTACATGATACCTTCAGGCTACTCTTGTTAGTTTGACCATGCACAGGGAAATAAGCCTAGAATTTGCTTTTCTCTATTTTTATTATCCAAATAAAGCCAGTAGTACTCTCAGAAAATTCTCATCTCTCAGGTGTCCTCCCTCTCGTGGTAACATCAGAACAGAGATAGATACTTATCTACCTATGCCAGTGAACACAGTTGTGTTGTTCAATTTTTAAGGTATTTTTAGATGATAAATATTGATGTAAGTGGAGACAGTTGACCTGAACAGCAAGTTTGTTGGAGTTCTACTTCCAGCTCTGCTGAATTGGGCAAGTTCTCCTCCAAATCAAGCAAGCCCTTTCCTGTCTCCCTGCCATATATACCCATCTGTTAAGTATTTGTACCACTAGCATACTCAAACTGAGACATAATTTTTTTTAGGATACCAAAGCCTTAGAAATTTTAGTCAATTTGTTAAGTATAATAGCAGCTCAAATAGATGAGTAAAAAAGAACAATCTCAGTAACAACTTCGATATATAATTCACATACCATGAAATCTACCCTGTTGAAGTATGCCTTTAAGTTCAGTGGTTTTTAGTATATTTACAAGGTTGTGCAGCCATCACCACTATCTGACCTAAGGACATTTTCATCACCCCAAAAAGAAAGCCTGTACCCATTAGTAGTCACTTTCTATTTCTCCCTCCCCTCAGCCCCTAGGTAACCACCAATTTCCTTTAGGTCTCTATAGATTTACTTGTTGATGACATTTCATATAAATGGAGTCATACAATGTGTGGTCTTTTATGACTTGCTTCTTTCACTTAGTTTTTTTTGTTTTGTTTTGTTTGTTTGTTTTTTGAGATGGAGTTTCACTCTTGTTGCCCAGGCTGGAGTGCAGTGGTGCGATTTCGGCTCACTGAACCTCCGCCTCCCAGGTTCAAGCGATTCTCCTGCCTCAGCCTCCCAAGTAGCTGGGATTACAGGCATGTGCCATCATGCCCGGCTAATTTTGTGTTTTTAGTAGAGAGGGTTTTGCCATGTTGGCCAGGTTGGTTTCAAACATCTGACCTCAGGTGATCCACCCACCTCGGCCTCCCAAAGTGCTGGGATTACAGGTGTGAGCCACAGTGCCCAGCCTTCACTTAGCATTATGTTTTTAAGATTCATCCATGTGGTGGTAGCATGTGTCAATACCTCATTCCTTTTTATGGCTGAGTAATATCACATTGTATAGACATACTGTGTTTTTAAAATCTATTCATCAGTTGAGGAACAGTTTTAGAAAATGAATAGTTGTTAAACCTGAATTTTTTCAAGAGGACTAAGGGCTGTTTATTGACTTACTTTGGCCATATTTCAATAAGGTTCTACCTTCCCATTTTGAACCTGGTAACTAATTCTGTAGGACATCATCTTCCAAAAAGCTTTACTCTTGCTCTGCTAGCCTATCTAGCTAAAGAGCTTCTCTGAGTAAGGCATTTATGAATACCAAAGAAAAAGGTATGAGTACTATCATCTTATTCTCACCCTTAAAAGGGGGCAAAATATAATTTAAAAAACCACATGTGTTTGCCTAAAAGACCTTTTATGTACCCCCTTGGTCTCTCCCTGGGTACTTAACAAAGTGTGCTATGGGTATACAAGAAAACTGGGCTGTTATTTAGCCATCACATTGGTACAGCTGAATCAATTTTTAAAATACTGAAATTATTCTCTGCTAGTAGGTCAAAAGCCATCACTGCAGGTATCCATTGCCTACCTTTGTCCCAATAACTTCTGTAGTGCCCCCATATCTCAGCAAATAAAGGGGAGTAATCCTTGGCACAGCAGAAGGCCTCTGGGTTAACAATGGTTGTAAAACGTTAAACGTTGTGACTGTTACCTCAGAAGGTCAACCAAAGATGTTTTTGCAAAGTTAAAGGAACATCAAGGTGGGAGACTTGAGCCTAGTCACAGCTTTGTTATTAGCTAACTATGTGGTATCCCCTAAGCTGCTCCTGTACCTCTTGTGTCTTGAGCTCTCATATCAGAAGAGTGACACCTACCCTAGCTACCATACAAGATGATTATGAGAGATAGTAAAGTTCTGAAACCTATACTATATCCCCTTTCGTCTGTGGAATTATCACTACTTTTGCTTTGGTTTTTTGTAGGAAAATATTTTGAAATATTTTCAGAGTAAATAAATATTGACAGAAATGCAAAAGATTGTATTATACCCTAAACTTTACTACCTGCTTTGCACAAAAGACTTGCTGAAAATAGGTTTTTGATTGAGTCATATGAACTTTCTGATTATTAACTCTAGTTCTACTGAAGTTTTCTTCCAAATAGACACTAAAATCTGAAGAAAAGTATTATCACTAGTGTTTTTATTTTTCCCTCATATTAGGTGTATATCAAATCAGCAAACAAATCAAAGCTCATGATGGCAGTGTGTTCACACTTTGTCAGATGAGAAATGGGATGTTATTAACTGGAGGAGGGAAAGACAGAAAAATAATTCTGTGGGATCATGATCTGAATCCTGAAAGAGAAATAGAGGTAAGGATGGAAACGGAATATAAAAATATTAAATACTCTAAACTCAGGTATTTTGTCCCACATTAAGATAACTTATACTTTTCTGGCAAACTTATTAAATTCTTATAATTTCATTTCCTTTCCTCAAGAAAGGAGTTTGTTGTTGCCTTTAAGATAACTTTTTTCAAAAAAAAAAGACCATTAAAATAATTTGAAAGACTATTTTTAAAGATTAGGCAGAATAATTTGCCTGTTAAAACCAGAGCAAATGTCACAAAGTTTAATTTTTCTTCTCTTTTTTGGTGATTTATATTTTGGATTTATGCTTAGTGTTTTTTTTTCTACGTGTAGCATTCTTTCCAGAGAAAATCTTCTGGAAAATCCTCTTAAAAAGAGGATCCTGATAGTACTGCTCTTGGATTTTATTTCCAGGAAGATAGATAATAAAGAGTTGCTTAATCACAACCTTCAGTTCATACTGAAAATGCAACTTCCATCACTGTTTTCTTCACAGATAACTCATATCCTTTGTTAATAAAAGCTATACAATCTAGTTCACTCCTTCCTTTCCCATTTCTAATGTAAATTTGGATTCCTCTTAGAGTTCAGTTATTTGTATTTTTAGGAGTAATTTTAGATCCCACTTGATAAAGTGGGATTTATAATTCCATTATTTCAGAATCATTCTTTGAGATTATTATTAAATGTATTAACACAGCATTCACTGAGATTGTTCCATGTATTGCATTAAATGAAATTGCTCTCCCAAGGAATCCTATTATTATAATACTTTATAATATATTGTTTTTTAATTTACAGAGAACTTCCACATTACATTTTTTTAATTGACACATTGTAATTGAACATATTTATGGGATACAATCTGATGTTTTGATGCAGATATGCTGTATAGTAATCCAGTCAGGGTAGTTAGTATGTCTGTTGCCTCATGCATTTATCATTTTTTTGTGGTGAGAATATTTTTATATTTTGATCCTTACAACAATCAAGAGTGGGTAGGGCATGTATTATTATCCTTATATTACAGAAAATGTTTCTTAGGCTAAGTAACTTACCCAAAGTAATGTAACTAATATAACTAATAAGTAACAAAACCCGACCACATTCTTCATGTGATTTCATGTGAGCTAATAGAACTTACTTCTTTTTTTTTTTTTTTGAGACAGAGTCTTGCTCTGTCGCCCAGGCTGGAATACAGTGGCCCAGTCTTGGCTAACTGCAACCTCTGCCTCCCGGATTCAAGCAATTCTCCTGCCTCAGCCTCCTCAGTAGCTGGGATTATAGGCGCCCGCCACCGCACCTGGCTGATTTTTATATTTTTAGTAGAGACAGGGTTTCACCATGTTGGCCAGGCTGGTCTCGAACTCCTGACCTCAGGTGATCCACCCGCATTGGCCTCCAAATGTGCTGGGATTACAGGTGTGAGCCACCATGCCCAGCCTTTTTTCCCTGTTCTTAACCCTTAACTCCTAAAGTCATATAAAATATACGTTTAAAATTAACTGAAGCAAAGAATGTTGATAATTATTATAACTTCTGTATAATAAAATGTCATTGGACAAATAAATTAGTAGTAGTATGAGATTACCATATCCAAATTTGGGCTTTCGTCATAATTACCTCATAATTGCTTACAGCTATAAATGCAGGCTTCGAGTAGTAATTAATGCATATTAGTATGTATATGGTGACTTTACACTTTTTTTTCTAGGTTCCTGATCAGTATGGCACAATCAGAGCTGTAGCAGAAGGAAAGGCAGATCAATTTTTAGTAGGCACATCACGAAACTTTATTTTACGAGGAACATTTAATGATGGCTTCCAAATAGAAGTACAGGTAAGCTGTGTGATATTAACCGTTAACTGAATATTTTTTATGATATTCTTTGGTTCTTATAACAATGAGTGTCTTTCATTTTCAGGGTCATACAGATGAGCTTTGGGGTCTTGCCACACATCCCTTCAAAGATTTGCTCTTGACATGTGCTCAGGACAGGCAGGTGTGCCTGTGGAACTCAATGGAACACAGGCTGGAATGGACCAGGCTGGTAGATGTGAGTGAAGCAGGATGTGATTATTAACCTCCCCACAGAAACTCCTCACACTGGCAGTTGAGAGCAGCAAAGTAAAAAGGACTAAGTGTTGATTCAAACCAAATGTAAACATATGGTTTAGTAATAGAGGGTGGAGATAAGAGGGTAGCGTTTAGTCTTAAAGTGTGAACATGAACCGATTTTAAAGAAGTAAGTTAGGCCGGGCAAGGTGGCTCACACCTGTAATCCCAGCACTTTGGGAGGCCCAGGCAGGCGGATCACGAGGTCAGGAGATCGAGACCATCCTGGCTAACACGGTGAAGCCCTGTCTCTAGTAAAAATACAAAAAATTAGCCAGGCGTGGTGGTGGGCGCCTGTAGTCCCAGCTACTCGAGAGGCTGAGGCAGGAGAATGGCATGAACCCGGGAGGCGGAGCTTGCAGTGAGCCGAGATCGTGCCAGTGCACTCCAGCCTGGGCAACAGAGCGAGACTCCGTCTCAAAAAATAAAAAATAGAAGAAGTAAGTTAGCAGCGTAAAAGCTCAATTTGTCCATCAGCTTCAGTAGTAAAATCATAAAGATTTCAAATATCTACATAGCATTAATTATTATGGAAACATTTGTGCCTCGGGTGGCATTGCAGTTGGATTCAGTAAGTGCTGCTCACTAACAGGCTCTACTGTCTTCTTTCTGGGTGGTCTCTTACTGTATTTTCTCTCTACCCAACCCAGATATCCACCTTCTCTAGCCCAAGAGGTGTATATAAGTTCTTTGTGGATGCTAAAGAACTGTACCAGTGTTTGTTGTTATTATCCTTATTATTGTTCCACTCCCTAGCCACAAGCTGGTTGTCCCTTTCCCTCACCACTCTGCCAGCATATCCCCTTCATGCTCTGAAATTCTTTTTCCTCTCATATCTGTGTGGTATTTCTCATTAGCTACAAAGTTGATTGAAATGTTATGTTTGAATGAAACAGGTTATTTTCAGAAGTTTTTGCTACTGTCCCCATAGGGAGACTTTCTCATGTACTCCCCAACAGCTGTCTGTCTCTTTTCTAGGAACCAGGACACTGTGCAGATTTTCATCCAAGTGGCACAGTGGTGGCCATAGGAACGCACTCAGGCAGGTAGGGTCTTTAAGTGAACTGAGTAATCTGAAGTGGTGGGATGTTTAAATGCTATTCAGGAATGTTCTCAATCTGATCTGGAGAATTAATCTCTTAAGTGGCACACTAATATGCTTGTTGTTCTTATCCGTTTTGTATATTCATAGAATTCAATTATTTATTGAGCACCTGCCTTTTGCGACATGCTACATGCTATTGTGTGTATTCAGAATACATCAGAAAACAAAACAAAAATTCCTGTCCTGTGAAGCCTACATTTTAGCGTGTATGGGACAGAATAAAAAATAAGCCCTGACGCAGCCAGGCACAGTAATCCCAGCACTTTGGGAGGCCAAGGTGGGCGGATCACCTGAGGTCAGGAGTTCGAAACCAGCCTGGCCAATGTAGCGAAACCCCGTCCCTACTAAAAATACAAAAATTAGCCAGGCGCAGTGGCACACACCTGTAATCCCAGCTATTCTGGAGGCTGAGGCAGGAGAATCAGTTGAACCTGGGAGACAGTTGCAGTGAGCCGAGATTGTGCCACTGCGCTCCAGCATGGGCAACAGAGCAAGACTCCATCTCAAAAAAAATAATAAGGCGAGTTGCAGTAGCCCACGCCAGTAATTCCAGTGCTTTGGGAGGCTGAGGCAGGAAGATTGCTTGAGGCCAGGAGTTTGAGACCAGCCTGGGTGAGACACCATCTCTACAAAAAATAAAAATAATAAACATTATCACGAATTATATTAGAAAATGTTAAGAACCATGTGAGGATAGGGAAAATGATGGGAGATTAAGAGGGAGTGCAGTTGCAAAATGATAGAGTGGTCATTATGGGCTTCATTGAAAAGGAGTTGCAGATTTGACTTTTCCTTTGTGAAATGAGAAGAATCAGAAAATTTCTCTCCTCATCTTTTATGCAGGGGAAGGATTTGAAGCTGATGTAACACCATTGAGCATTTATAAGTTGTTTGTGCTATACCTTTTGCCATCCTGTCTTTTTTAAATGCTACGCAGATATATAATAAAGATATATTTTCTAAAATAATTTAAGACCTGTCTTGCAGACCTTGTATAGTACCTAAGGTTAACATGTTTATGATTTATATATCTTTAATTGACTCAACTTTATTGCCTCTGCTAGTAAGTAGTCCTTCTCACATTTTTTAAGGAGACAAAAACATGAAGTCAATTTTCCCAAAATTAAACTCATTAAAAAATGTGGAATGCTGATTTTTAATGGGGTGAGACTATTGTGAACATGCTTATGTAAATATTTTTGTTTCTATATAAGACTTAAATACTTTAAACCAACTAATTCATTTAATTCTAACTAAATTTAGTCATTTAGAGGGGGTTTTTTTATAGCGATTTTTCCTTCTGGCTGTTAGATACAAATTAACACCTGAAATGTGAAAACATTCCAATTTCTTCTTACATATAGTGCTGCAGAATCTTTCAGAATAATGGAAAAATAGGTCTTTAAAGATAATTGAATTATGAATGTGAAACTAGAGATGCTATTGAGTGAAATCATTGAATTTTTAGAATTAGGCTGCTTGAGAGAGCATTTGGTGATACTTTGCAAATATAGAAGGCTAGCTCAGATCTTCCCCAAAACACGTAAGTAATAGATCATGATGAGGTTTAAAAGCACTTAGACTTGGACATTTGTCCATTTGGACCGAGTTTGGTCCATTCTCTTTGAGAAAGACACATGACAGGTAACTGTAGGATTTGGAGGAAATTATTTTCTTCAACCAAAAAAAATGGTTAAGCACACAGGAAACCATCTGAGGTGTAGTGCTGATCCAGTTTTCAGAAAACCACAAAGGAATTCACTTCAGATCTTTATTTTTGGCAGCTAAACAGATATCACAAATGCTAAAGTCCTTGAAATAATAAAAGTAAGAGATATCATTTATTCAGTGTCTGATGACCTTGTGCTAAATCCTTTTTTTTTTTTTTTTTTTTTTTTTTGAGATAGAGTCTCGCTCTGTCACCCAAGCTGGAGTGCAATGGCATGATCTTGGCTCACAGCAAGTTCCGCCTCCTGGGTTCACGCCATTCTCCTGCCTCAGCCTCCAAAGTAGCTGGGACTACAGGCGCCCTGCCACCACGCCTGGCTAATTTTTTTTTTTTTTTGTATTTTTAGTAGAGACAGAGTTTCACCGTGTTAGCCAGGATGGTCTCAATCTGACCTCGTGATCCTCCCGCCTCGGCCTCCCAAAGTGCTAGGATTACAGGTGTGAGCCACCGCACCTGGCCGCTAAATTCTTTTTATATGTTACTCTTCACAAGAATGTAACATAGTGTTTATTAATATCGTGATTGCACAGACAGGAAACCAAGACCCATAGAGTTCTGTTACCTGTGATTGAGCTCAGGTTCTGCATGGTTCCAAAGCTTGTCCTTTCCTCTAATCCAACAGTACTCTTTGAGATATTTACAGCATTAATTAGAAATATTGTTAGGAAGGTTTATCTTTGACAATTAAATCACTGATTGACATTGTTAAAGCATACTATGTATACAAGGGAGTTAAACACTAAATGGGCGATTGTAAGGCTAGCGGGGTTTGAATCATGAAGATAAACTGCTTTGGTTGAAGAAAACACTGTGTGTTTACAAATAGACATACACGGCCCCAATTTGTAGGGAAAATTGTTCTGAAAAACTCACTGAAATTACTTTCCAGCATTTACATAGCTGTGAAGTCATCATTGACAAGCTTAAAATGGAAAGTCACTCAATTTTAGTGACTTAAACTAAAGGTAAGCCAATTGGTTTCTCTTGGAGTTGTAAGTAGAAAACACTTCATGAGAGTGATGTGATAACTAAATTGAAAGTGCTGGCAGTCCATTTGGGGATTGATTAGAATCTAGGGGAGATGTAGTTGTCAGTGTTCATTCTGTATGTAACTCCTGTCTTTGGTTTCAGATCTGGTTAGGTTCTGTTGATCCTTGGGGAACTTTCTCATTTGTTTTTATTTTTGCCTTGGATCTATGAATACCTGAATGTATTGTCTAAAATGGAAAAATCTTAATGTAGCCATTCTATTACTATCACTGACCCTAGGCCTGAAAAAAGTCACACCTAGGGTTAAGAAATTTTTATTTTATTTTATTTTATTTACTTATTTAGAGACAGTTTCCCTCTTTTGCCCAGGCTGGAGTGCAATGGCATGATCCCAGTTCACTGTAACCTCTGCCTCCCAGGCTCAAGCGATTCTTTAGCCTCAAGCCTCCTGAGTAGCTGGGATTACAGGCGCCCACCACCATACCCAGCTAATTTTTGTATTTCTAGTAGAGACAGGGTTTCGCCATGTTGGCCAGGCTGGTCTGGAACCCCTGGCCTCAAGTGATCACCTTGCCTGGGCCTCCCAGAGTACTGGGATTACAGGCGTGAGCCACCACGCCCAGCCAAGGACATTTTTCTAGTAGAATGCAACACATGTCCAAGTTGTGCATGATCCAAAAAAAGTGACTAGTAAAAAAAAGTAATGATGTCTTCATGTCCAGATCTAGATATCTTCTACTTCATGTAACTAAAGAGTAAGCACAGTGTGAATAAAGCATCAAATAAGTACAATTATCATTTTAAAATAATGTCTTATTAATGTAATTTTAAGAGAAAAAAATTAAACATATAACCTTAAGTGGACATAGTACTTCCTTAACACGTTAATGCTGCAGGGCACAGTGGCTCATGCCTGTAATCCCATCACTTTGGGAGGAGGCCAAGGCAGGTGGATTGCTTGAGCCCAGGAGTTTGAAACCAGCCTGGGCAACATGGCAAAACCCTGTCTTTACAAGAAAAATTTTAAAATTAGCCAGGCGTGGTGGTGTGTGCACCTGTAGTCCCTGCTACTCGGGAGGCTGAGGCAGGAGGATTGCTTTATCCCAGGAGGCAGAGGTTGCAATGAACTGAGATCACGCCATTGCACACCAGCCTGGGCACTGTCTCAAAACAAAAAACAAAAGTTAATGCTCACATAGAAAGGATTCTTTTTAACAACTTTGTTGAGATATAATTCACATAACCCCCCCAAAAAAGAAATAAAAAATAATTCAAATACTATAAAATTCACTGATTTAAGATATATAATTCAGTAAGTTCACAGGGTTATGCAGCTATCCTCACAGTCTAATTTCAGAACAATTTTTAACCCAGAAAGGAATCCTGTACCCATTAATAGTCATTCCCCATGACCCCACCCACCTCCCCCCTTACTCTAGGCAACTGACCCACTTTCTGTTTTTATAGGTTGTCTGTTCTGGGCATTTTCTATAAATGGAATGAATCATATAACGTGAAGTTTTGTGATGAGCTTCTTTCACTTAATGTTTTCAAGGTTTATCCACGTTAAGTACTTCATATATAGCATGTATTATGGCCAAATAACATTCCATTTTATGGATATACCACCTTCATCAACTGATGGACATAGGGGTTATTTCCACTTTTTGGCTACTATGAATAATGCTGCTACATACATTCATACATGAGCTTTAGAGTGGATATGTGTTTTCAGCTCTCTGGGATATAAAAGAGTAGAATTGTTGGGTTAAAACTCCATGTTTAACATTTTAAGACCAGGCACAATGGCTCACACCTGTAATCCCCACACTTTGGGAGGCTGAAGCAGGAGGATCACTTGAGCCTAGGAGTTTGAGACCAACCTGGGCAATATAGCAAGACCTTGCCTCTACAAAAAATAAAAAAAAAAATAGCCAGGCATGGTGGCACATGCCTGTGGTCCCAGCTACTCAGGAGCCTGAGGTGGGAGGATAATTTGAATCTGGGATGTCAAGGCTATCATAGTGAGCTATGATGGCACCACTGCACTCCAGCCTGGATGACAGAGCGAGACCCTTTCTCAAAACCAAAACAACCACCACAAAAAAAAAAAAAAAATTTTTTTTTTTTTGTTTAGGAACTACCAAACTTTTTCACAGCAGCCGTATTGTCTTATGATTCTACCAGCAATGTATGAGGGTTTCAGTTTCTCCACATCCTTGCCAGTACATATTATCTGTGTTTTGAGTATAGCCATCCTAGTGGGTGTGAAGTAGTTTTTCATTATGCTTTTGATTTGCATTTCTCTGATGGCTAATGATGTTGAGCATTTCTTCAAGTACTTATTGGCCACTTGTATATCCTCTTTAGAGAAATGTATGTTGAAATCCTGTGCCCATCTTTGAATTGGGTTGTCTGTTCTTGTAAGAGTTTTTTATATATTCTGGATACAGTTCCTTACAGATCTTTTTCAAATATTTTCCTCATTCTGAGGGTGGTCTTTTCACTTTCTTGATGTTGTTAATAGCACCAGAGTTTTAAGTTTTGATGTAGTTTAGTTTATCTGTTCTTTCTCTTGTTTCTTAAGCATAAATATTTACTTCTATGTTTTCTTCTAAGAGTTTTATAGTTTTAGCTCTTACCTTTAGGTCTCCAATTCGTCTTGAGTTAATCTTCATATATAGTATGGCCCAGTAGGTGTCCAACTTCATTCTTTTGTATGTGGATATTCAGTTACAGCACCATTTGTTGAAAAGACTTCTCTTTCTCCATTGAATAGTATTGGCACCATTTTTGAAAACAAATTGGCCAAAGATGTATGAGATTTTCTCTGGACTTTGAATTCTGTTCCATAAATATGTATATATATCTGTGCTTATGCCAGTTACCATAGTTGTAATCATTATGGGATTCTGTAAGGCCTAATGGATCTTTCTTCCTTTCTCCCCTTCCCCTTTCCCTTCCCATTCCCCTTTCCCTTCCCCTTTCCCTTTCCCTTCCCCTTCTCCTTCCCCTTCCCCTTCCCTTTTCCCTTTTGCAGAGTCTTGCTCTGTCTCCCAGGCTGGAGTGCAGTGACATAATCTCAGCTCACTTGCAGCCTCTGCCTCCTGGGTTCAAGTGATTCTCATGCCTCAACCTCCCAGGTAGCTGGGACTACAAGCGTGCACCACCATGCCTGGCTAATTTTTGTATTTTCAGTAGAGACAGGGTTTCACCATGTTGGTCAAGCTGGTCTTGAACTCCTGACCTCAAGTGATCTGCTTGTCTCAGCCTCCCAAAGTGCTGGAATTACAGGCATGAGCCCCCACTCCCAGCCAGAAGCTTGGTTCTAATGTATATACTCCAGACTAGAATAAGAATACAATGAAATAGTAAAAACTTAAATATTTATTTGGCCATCATGGTGGCTCAGGCCCAAGGCCCAGGCCGGAAGATCTCTTGAAGCCAGGAGTGAAACTTAAAAAACATTTTTTTTTAATTTGTAGAAAATCCCCTTGGCTAGAGGATTTGTTGTTAGAGATAGAGACTCTGAGCCCAAAAGTCTTTTCTGAAGGTAAAACATAGTCCTTACAATGAAAAGGGGTGAGAACTCCAAAATTATATATGGAAGTTGTATATCTTTAATAACAAACATTGAATTACTACTAAAAATGATTTACCAAAAGTAGAAGAATTAGTGTCTAATAATGTATTAATAATTAAAGAAATAGAAAACTTAGGCACGGTTTTGGTGGGGGTTTTTTGGTTTCTTTTTTGATAGTCACTATCTCTAACCAGTAAATGACTTAAGAGTTTTAGGTTTCTACACATTTTACCAAAACAGACACTCTAGGGTTTCATTACATTCTCAGGGAGTGTCCAAAGAGATAAAATTACATAGTTTTCCTAGGAAGATTAAACTGACTTTGAAACAGTCTTAAAACAGCATTAGTTAGGGCTTCTCCAAAATAAAAATTGGGCTGGTGCAGTGCTCACACCTGTAATCCCAGCACTTTGGGAGGCCAAGGTGGGAGGATTGCTTTAGCCTCGGAGTTCGAGACCAGCAACATGGCAAAACCCCTCCTCTACAAAAAATTAGCCAGGCGTGGTAGCACATGCTTTTGGTCCCAGCTACTTGGGAGGCTAAGGTGGGAGGATCACCTGAGAGCCTGGGAGGTTGAGGCTGCAGTAAACTGCACTCCAGCCTGGGCAACAGAGCGAGACCCTGTCTCAAAAAAAAAAAATGGTAATAATTTTTAAATGCATGAGAGTGTCATAAAGTTTCCATAAACTCATTAAAAACTCACCTGATACAGAGCAGTTCTGTATCTTGTCATTTTGGTGTGTCAGTTCAGTCTGAATTGGGATATTATTTTGTTCCCTTTCTCTAAAAAGGCACTTGGCATCAGCTTTGGCATTTCTAGGCCCAGAAGAATTTCAGAGGGATACTCATAAAAATTGGTTAATGAGTTACATTCTCAGAAGAAACATAACCTATGGGTACTGTCCAGTTGCAATAAAGTGTATGTCTTATGTGCTTTTTTTATTTTATATTTTACTTTTAATGTTATTTTAAAATAAAACAGAGATGAGGTCTCGCTACATTGACCAGTCTGGTTTTGAATTCCTGTGTTCAAGCAATCCTCCTGCCTCGGCCTCCCAAAGTGCTAGGATTGCAGACATGAGGCACCATGCCCGGCCTTCCTATGCACTTTTTGAAATGAAAATAATTGGTAAACATGAAGCATGTGGCTTCAAAGTGCCAGTTTTCCTGCTTATTAGCATTTAAACTCAAGTATTCACATATGAAAGATATTTACCTTACCTGAGTAGATAACAAAATTCGGTTAGCTTCCTGGAAGCTTCAGCTCACAGCTCACAAAATTACTAAAATTTATGAATGTGTTTAGTTAGAGATTTCACTGATAGGTTATAAATCAAAAATAAAATTCTAAGCCCCCCCCCACCATCGTCCCTGCCAGGGCATTCCAAAATTAACCTGAAAAACTGGTTCAGGCCGTAACAGGAAGGGAAGGTCATGCCTCGTTATAACCTCTTAGAATTCAGGAAAAGCCAACCAACATTTAATATTAATACAGCCCTTAAGTCTGATAAGAAACATTTACAGTCTATTCTCTCTGAAGCCTACCTAAAGACTTCATCTGCACAATAAAACTTTGGTCTCCACAACCCCATATCATAACCCAGACAATTCCTTTCTACTGATAATAACCAATTGCCAATCAGAATTTTTTTTTTTTTTTAGACGGGGTCTTGCTCTGTCGCCCAGGCTGGAGTGCAGTGGCGCAATCTCGGCTCACTGCAACCTCCACCTCCCGGGTTTAAATGATTCTTCTGCCTCAGCCTCCCAAGTAGCTGGGACTACAGGCGCGTGCCACCATGCCTGGCTAATTTTTTGTATTTTTACTAGAGATGGGGTTTCACCTTGTTAGCCAGGGTGGGCTCGATCTCCTGACCTCGTGATCCACTCACCTCGGCCTCTGAAAGTGCTGGGATTACAGGCATGAGCCACTGCGCCTGGCCTGCCTGTCAGAAAACTTTTAAATCTGCCTATAACCTGGAAGCCCCCACCTACCTTCAAGTTGTCCTGCCTTTCCCTACTGAACCAATGTATATCTTTTTTTTTTTTTTTTTTTTGAGATGGAGTCTCGCTCTGTCACCCAGGCTGGAGTGCAGTGGTGCCATGTCAGCTTGCGGCAAGCTCCACCGCCTGCGTTCACGCCATTCTCCTGCCTCAGCCTTCCAAGTAGCTGGGACTACAGGCGCCTGCTACCATGCCTGGCTAATTTTTTATATTCTTAGTAGAGATGGGGTTTCACCGGGTTAGCCAGGATGCCAGGATGGTCTCGATCTCCTGACCTCGTGATCCGCCTGCCTCGGCCTCCCAAAGTGCTGGGATTACAGGCATGAGCCACCGCGCCTGGCTAAACCAATGTATATCTTAACATGTATTTGATTGATGTCTCATATCACCCTTAAATGTATAAAACTATGCTGTGCCTCGACCACCTTGGCCACATGTTCTCTGAGAGCTCTCTCACCATGGGCCATGGTCACTCATATTTGGCTCAGAATAAATCTCTTCAAATATTTTACAGAGTTTGACTCTTTGTAGACAAGGTAAAAAATTGGTATCTTTGAGTCTTCAATTCTACCTTGAATGCACTAAGCCACGTTAAACCATACCACTAAGCTTTAAAAAAAAAAAATCCTTCAAGCCCTTTTCTCTCTTCTAAATATTTCTTTTAATTTAAGAGGGAAATGGTCCCTTTCCCAGATATTAGTTATAGTGCTTTAAAATGAAAAGAAACTTATTGGCCGGATACAGTGGCTCATGCCTGTAATCCCAGCACGTTGGGAGGACAAGGCGAGGGGATCACCTGAGGTCAGGAGTTCAAGACCAGCCTGATCAACACGGCGAAACCCTATCTCTACTAAAAATACAGAAAATTATCTGGGCGTGGTGGCACACGCCTGTAGTCCCAGCTACTTGGGAGGCTGAGACACGAGAATCGCTTGAACCCGGAGGCGGAGGTTGCAGTGAGCCGAGATAGTGCCACACCACTCCATCCACTCCAGTCTGGGTGACAGAGTGAGACTCCGTCTCAAAAAAAAAAAAAGCCTACCATCACGATTCTTTTTATTGGCTTACATTAGTGGTGGAATTTTTTCCATCTGAATAATTAAAAATGAAACTTGACTCAGATGGTAGGAGCAGGTAAAAAATAAAGATTAAAAATAAAAACTTGCCGGGCATGGTGGCTCATGCCTATAATCCCAGCACTTTGGGAGCCTGAGGCGGGCAGATCACCTGAGGTCAGGAGTTCGAGACCAGCCTGGCCAACATGGTAAAACCCTGTCTCTACTAAAAATACAAAAATTAGCTGGGTGTGGTGGCGCCCACCTGTAATCCCAGCTACTCGAGAGACTGAGGCATGAGAATCGCTTGAACCCAGGAGGCGGAGGTTGCAGTGAGTCAAGATCGTGCCACTGCACTCCAGCCTGGGGGATGAAAGCAAGCTTCCGTCTAAAAAAAAAAAATTGCTGCTTTTTTTGCCCTGTTCAGTTCATGAATGAATTTTTAGTAACTTGTAAGCTATGGGCTGAAACTTTTAGGCAGCTAACCTAATTCTGTCATCTACTCAGGTAAGAGAAACAGAATTTATATGTGAATACTTGAGTTTAAAGGCCAATAAGTAGTGATTTTGTTTTTCTAGTCTTGTCCTGTTTTTTCCATCCCATCCATTTTCTTCCTGCACACTGCACTACTATTAAATACCTCTTGCCAAAATTTGGTTTTTGTCATGTTCAAGACTTACTTTTAATGTATTTGTTCACTTATTCATTCTGCAGATATTTAGTGCCTACTCTGATCTGGGCAGTGCTCAACTCTGAATTCTTCCAACCAGCTGTGCATGCTGCCATCCTCTCTCTTATGCAGCCTTAAGTTTGTCTGTCCATGGTTCCCATCTTTGCTTTATATCCCTGGTCTTACCACGCTCTTCTGAAGTACCCATCCTTTCCTTCAAATACTTTTAGGAAAAAGGTCTGATAATAGTGATTTATAATGTAGTTGGATTTAAGTCGTTGTTTTACGTCTCAAGAGGCATTTACATTTTGACTTTTCCTATAAATGTGAATGAAAAGATACCTCTTTCAAAAAATTTAGAGCTTCCCTGTGCAAGTGTTGGAGGTCTCAGGGAGGAGAGTTCTCCCTGCTGGTTCTTTTGAATCACACCAAATGAATGGCTTGCTACTGTTCCCTCACACCTTCATATTGTCCATGGTTTTTCCCACCTCCTTAGCTATACAGCTGCTGTTCCTCCTGCCTAAAATGTCTGAACATTCCCTCAGTGTTCAGCTCAGCCCACATCTTACATCTTCCCTAAGGATGTTTTTCTGCTGCTATCATTCATTTTCTTCCTATGAGTTCCTCTGTTATATTGCGTCACCATCACTGAGGTTGGCATTTCTTCATTCTTTGTTTCAATTGACTCATTTCCTTTCTCCCAACTTAGTGTCTTCTTCAAGAACACTGATCCTGTATTTCTGTTTTCTATTTAAACAGTGCCTAGCAAAGAGACAGGAATGGCAGTCAATGAATACCCAAATAGACATGAGAATATGTCTAGGCCCATGTATATTTATGTATATTTTATCTAGCAGCATTTTGCTAAATGAATTTATCCTTCATTAGAAGAAGAAAACATATCATACTTAAGGACCATTATTAAAAATTCTTAAAAGTAAAAAAATAGACCTGTCTGGGCACAGTGGCACATGCCCGTAATCTCATTACTTTGGGAGGCTGAGGTGGGAGGACTGCTTGAGGCCAGGAGTTTAAGGCCAGCCCAGATAACATAGTAAGACCCCATCTCTAAAATCAAAAAAGAAATTAAAAATTAGCCAGGCACGGTGGTATGCACCTGTAGTCCCAGCAACTCAGGAGGCTGAGGTGTGGGAGGATAGTGTGAGCCCAGAAGTTCAAGGCTGTGGTGAGCTAGGATCACTCCATGCACACCAGCGTTATGACAAAGCAAGACTCCATCTCAAAAAAAAAAGAAAAAGAACAACTTTTTTTTTCTATAAATGCTAATATCTGAAGAAAATTTTGATTTTTACTTCTTAACAGGTGGTTTGTTCTGGATGCAGAAACCAGAGATCTAGTTTCTATCCACACAGACGGGAATGAACAGCTCTCTGTGATGCGCTACTCAATAGGTAGGCAAATTTACTCCCACCTCCCAAGCATGGCATTCACAGCACTTCACTGCAATTGCATAGTTTTACTTCTAATAAGGCTGACTACTTTTTTCTCTCTTTAGAGTTGTTAAGTATTAAATCTGTTTCCCCCAACATCAAATTAAATTCTGCTGCCAGAAACTGCAAAAGATCTGCTGAAGTTTAAACAACATTCTGAATCATCAAATTTAAAATGGACAGCTGCATTTGCAATTGAAAGCAGAATAAAGTGCAGTCAGATCCCCTTTTTCCGGAACTACACATACTTAGAATTTTGAATAGGTATTAGGCTAAATGTCACATCTGGTTAGCAAGCTTTTCTTTATTTATAAGAGAATGTAAAAGAAATTACAGCGAAATTCAAAATACGCAAATTGTATAGGCCCTTCAAGTCCTTTAGAATCTAGTGCATTGTTTCGGTTACATAGTAATGATTGGTTTGTTAATTAAATACTTAGCAATTCTCTATAAGAATTTGATATATTCCTTTAGCCTGCTTGAGAATAATTATTTGTACTTTATTCACAATATTAAGTTTCTGTGATAATACTCCAGTTACCTTTTCTTGTTATTAATGTAGCTTTGATTCACACCACTCTTCCCTGGAGTTAGTCTGACATTGTCTTTATTTGAAAATATATGCCAATAGTTGTTGCATTAGCACAGGATCCAGAGAATCTTTTTGATTGCTTCTCAGTTGTTTCAAAGGAAGCACAGAGAGTAGTATTCTTTAAATTGAACAAGGAAGGAAAAGTATGTACTTTAAGCTATAAGCCTTTTGAGTCCTCATGAAGCACAAAAATTTTAACATTTTTCTGGGGTTTGTTTTGTTTTATTGTTTTTTAGTGTTGTAGTAGCAAATAACCACTGCAAATATAGCTGTCGAATTCCAGAGATGACGTGGACTTTATTGACCATTTGTTACATGCTTAGCACTGTGGTGGGTACAGGGAAGGACACCACAAAAGAAAGGAATATGGTGTCTTCCCAAGAGCACCTGTTCTGTAATTGGACAGATCATATATGCTAGATGAACTAAGCCCCTGTCCACTCAGCCTGCCATGTAAACACTGTACCCTTCCACCCAAGAAGGCAGGATAACCTCTGGAGCCGGTTTTCAACTAACTAGAAGATGAGGCCTAGAGTCCAAGGCCTGTAAGCATCTCCAAGAAGGGATTGTGTATTAGACTGGATGACCATTTATTTTTCAAATGTACTTAGTGGATAGGATTCATTCATTAATTGCCAAATAGTTAAATTGATGAGATTTAACAGCATTTGTAAAATCAGTAAAATAACAGTAAATAAATTTATCAGTATATTTCTCTAGTCAACACTGACCTATTTTATTCTAGATGGTACCTTCCTGGCTGTAGGATCTCATGACAACTTTATTTACCTCTATGTAGTCTCTGAAAATGGAAGAAAATATAGCAGATATGGAAGGTGCACTGTAAGTAGTGAAGTAGAACAAGTTGTAAAATTATTGGGAAATTTTACTTCCGTTAAAAACAAATTTTTACATCGATGTGTGTGTTGTTTCCTGTCGTTAGCTGCTTTAATCTCTGTCTTTGAAAACTGGAACTGGTAATACATGATAGCAGAACATCAGAGTTCCCTGTGTGCTCTAAAAAGACATCTCCTTTTGATGGGGGTGTAATATTTGTCACTCTGTGACTAGTTTTAAAACAGTTTCTTAAAGCTATTTCCATAGGAAACCTTTAGAATAACACTTTTTGAAAATTGAATGAGTCAGAAATAAAAGAACATCTCATGTTTAATCTTAACTCCTATGATTCTGCCCACCTCAACACCCTACAACATCCTATATCACTTCTCTGCCACTGAAAATAAAAGAATGTATATGGATATTTGTCTGCATTTAAGAGAGTTAACAGAAAGGATGTTTCCTGTAATTTATTGCCTACTTCTGCCTTAATTGGGTTATAATTATAGAATGAAAATTGGATTAAATTTCTGTAAGCATGACAAGTACTGAATGTACAGCAGGTATTCCCCTAGCAAACAAAATGGCTTAGGCACCAGGAATATGTACAACATGTGTTCCTTTGTCCTCAAGAAGTACAGTCCAACTCAGGCCAGGAAGAGAAAGGTAGGCAGTGTAGCACAGTGGTTAAGAGCACAGACTCTGAGCCAGACTACCTGAATTTGAATTCTTTAACACTCTTTACCACAAAACAGTTCATTTTAGGGAAACAGATAAAAGAATTAGTTTTTAGAAGCATATACATCTTGTAATAAGCAAAATAAACTTCAATATGGGTCTGAAATTTATTTTGCTTATTATATTTAAGCAAAAACTAGGCCATGTACTATTTGAGGAAGCAGACTTATTTGCCTTTTTGCATATTTTATACCATATATTAAAACCAGAGTCCATTTGTAAACTAGTCTACAAACAACTTCAGAGTTTAGAATTTGTCCAAAATATTTTTGTTTGCCTTGACAATAATGAATCATTATCCATTAATTTATTTAAATCTATCTTTTAATTTATCAACTTAATGTTTGTCTTATGGAATAGTACACAACATGATTAAATGAGATATTCCACCAAAAGAAGTTTTCAGATCACTGAAGTTTACCCTACCAGACCCCCAATTTTTTTTGTTTTGTTTTGTTTTCTGTTTTTTTAATCTTGTTTTCACTTTTGAGACAGGGTCTTACTCTGTCACCCAGGCTGGAGTGCAGTGCCTCAAACTCCTGGGCTGAAGCAATTCTCCTGCCTCAGCCTCCTGACTAGCTGGCACCATAGGTGTGTGCCACCTTGCCCGGCTCACTTTTTTAATTTTTCATAGAGCTGAGGTCTCCCTATGTTGTCCAGGCTGGTCTCAAACTCCTGGCCTCAAGCAGTCCTCCCACCTCAGCCTCCCGAAGTGATGAGATTAGGCATGAGCCACTGCACCTGTCCGGTTTTTAATCTCAACCTTTTTTAAAAAAAAAGTCCATACCTTAATAAACAGTATATCAAATATGACTTAATCTTGTAGAATCAAGATTTTACAGGTAGCCCTGTAGCACTTAGCCCACTTTTCAGAGAAGATTAATGACTTGTCATTGGTGTCATCTTGTGACGTAATGGCAGATCAAGGACTTGAACACAATTCTACTAACTCTTAGTAGAGCCGACTTTCCAATGTACAGTAATGCCTCAGGTTTTTCATTTCGTGTCTTATTTTACTGTACAACTGATCCAGAAGAGAGAGCAATGTGTGACATGGAATAATCAGAATGACTTGGAAGTATTGAGAAATGGCAAGTTTGTCAAATGCATGAGACTTGTCCTAATCCAGTTAGGCAGTTCTTTGAAGCGTTTGAAGAAAGTATTAATTTGAGATACCCATAGGAACTGTTAAAAGTTTGCAGTACCGTTTGAGGTTGTAATGAAAGGTTCAACTATTCTGCGTTCCTAATTGTCTTCGGTTTTGTGCTTTGCTTCTAGCTTTCAGTTCTTGCTGCCTATTTCCACCGGCTGGTCTTATAGTCAGTCCCCTGCTTTTATCTATTGTCTGCTGTTATATAGGACAGGCAAAACTGGGTCAACACTGTCTCTGCTGCTTACTAGTTTGTGACTTTAGGCAAGTTAACTTCTCAGAGTTTTAATTTTATTATCTTAAAACTGGAGTTTATAATAGTTCGTACTTTATAGCATTGTTGTAAAGATGAGGTCTTTTTAAAACATAACAACTAGAACTACTCTCAAAGTTCCAAATACAAATGCTATTTTCTGTTTCTAGTAATTTTCCTGTTAACTACTCAACATTTAGGTGACTGTTATAGCTGCAGAAGCACAGTACGCTTAGAGCTTTAGGAAGTGTCACTAATAAACTATGATATCTCTAATTAAATGTCTGTAAATTATAAATGTCTCTAATAAAAATAATAAAGTAAATCTTATAACTTACAATCTAACAAATTATAAGTTATATGCATTTGGAGTCTCTCTTCACAGTAGCTCTCTTTATGTGGAAATGTCAGTTGAAAAGATGGCTGGTACCCAATGATGTGAAACAGCACTTCTTGGTAGAGGGCAGCTAGCTGATGCATGGGTCCCTTAATGAATGATGACATCATTATAGTCCAGGGCCTTGCTCTCAACTTCATAAGCTAAGAAACAAGCTTATTATTACTCACACCTGTAATCCCAGCACTTTGGGAGGCCAAGATGGGAGGGTCACTGGAGTCCAGGAGTTTGACACCAGCCTGGGCAATTAACCAAGACCCTGTCTGTATTTTAAAAAAAAAAAAAAAGCTGTGCTTAATTTGCTCCAGAGTCATCTGACCTAGTTTTGAACCCTGGGTACACCAATTTTTTGTTAAGTAACTTCAGAAAAGTTACTTAACCTATCTATGCATCCTAACCATCTCACCTACTAAGTGGACATCCTCATTAAGGTTGCCATGAGATTTAGATGTGATGATGTATGCAAGGTACTTAGTAAATATTAGGTATTATTATTAGCATTATTTTCCATGACTAGATGAGCCTGGGTTGTACCTACGGGTATTTTTCAGCATTTAACAGTAATCTATTAAAATTCAAAAATAGTTTTACAATGATGAGCATTGTGTATTTTCCTTGAAAGATTTTAAGTGTCCTGATTGACCTAAAGTTTCTACTCAGTTTTCAGTGGAATATTAAGGTTGTTTTATTATGTACCTGAGTGTCAACATAATGGCTTTCTGCTTGACTCAAATTCCTGTGTACCTTTTAACACTGTTACTCGAAGATCTTAGCCCAGGAGACAGTATATTTAAGTTGCAGTGATATCCTAAAAAGCATTACAAAATCTCTTGGAGTAGGCAAGAAGTGCTGGTAAAAGTAAGTTTGCTTTTTTGCCAGGATTTGGTTAATTGGAAATACACATCAAAAAGAGGGGGAAAAAAAGAGTAAACACTTTATCTACCTAGAAATCGCCAAGAAAATAAATCCTGAAGTTAATGCAGGATTTCAGTAAGGTAATAGAATTCAGTATCACTGTGACGGTTAAGAATTATGTGTAGTACCAGGCCGGGTGCTGTGGCTCACACTTGTAATCCCAGCACATTGGGAGGCCAAGGCGGGCGGATCACAAGGTCAAGAGATCTACACCATCCTGGCTAACACGGTGAAACCCCATCTCTACTAAAAATACAAAAAATTAGCCGGGCGTGGTGGCGGGTGCCTGTAGTCCCAGCTACTTGGGAGGCTGAGGCAGGAGAATGGCATGAACCCGGGAGGCGGAGCTTGCAGTGAGCCAAGATGGCGCCACTGCACTCCAGCCTGGGCGACAGCGAGACTCACATCTGAAAAAATAAAAAAAAAGTAGTACCTATTCACTTGAACACATCAGGGATATGGTCTCATTTAAAAGAGGCCATCAAGAACTCGGATCCTTTCTTTCTAAGCCATCTTATTAGTATGTTGCTTCCATCCTCAACATCATAACATGCTGCTGGAACTCCAGCCATCATCACCTAGTTCCAAGCAGAAGGGATTAGAGCAAGTGACAAAAGAGCACTCCTTCCACTAAGTCAGTTCTCAGAGTTTTCCTGGAAGCCCCACACAATGACTTCTGCCACCCCTAACTTCAAAGGAGCTGGGAAATAATAGTGTTCTAGCTGGTCACTCAACAGAAGGGGGATAATGTGGATTGGAGAGGCAACTAGCAGGCTACACTCTAGTCACTAGGTAAAGACCACTTTTCCTCAAACCAGCAAACGCATATCAAAAATGTGGGAGAAAAAATGCATTCACAATAGCAACAAAAACTAGATGCTTTGAGAATAAACATAGCAACAAAAGCACAGGAAGCTGTGTGAAACATTGCTGAAAGACATAACTAAGATCTGAAAGAATTAGACATAGCATGTTTCTAGATAACCTGATAAAGATATGTTTTCTACAAACTTCTCTAAGTTTGATATGATCTTCAGATTTTCAACATATTTATGGGATTAATAAAATAGTTCTAGTTCATCTGAAATTTTCCACGTATCACAGAACTATCATGGTTGGGAATAAGCAGATAGACTGATGGAACAGAAAAGCATCCAGGAACAGATTTATGTTTTTATGAAGTTTACTAAGTAATAAAAACGGTATTTCAAATCAGTAGAGAAAGAATAGACTTCTCTACCTGTATTTTCCAATATGGCAATTACTAGCCACAACTTTCTGTTCATATCATTAAAGGCAATTCAGTTCCCTGAGAGTGCAGCAACGTTTCAGTTACTTAGAAACCACAGGGGACTAGTTGCTACTGCATTGGACTGCACTGATACAGATATTTTTTATCACTGCAGAAAGTTCCACTGAACAGCATAGCTCTAAATGGACAAAAGTTAGGTCCTAAATTGAGACCTTGGTTGCTTGGTTGCTTGGTTGTTTTTTAACTCCCCAGGTAATTTTAAACCAGTTGCAAACCACTGATTCAGGTGATAATCATCATGCAGTTGACAAAGATTTAACTCAAATATTTCTGAATTTTTTCTTCATAGCCATATTCTTTCACTTTGTCACTTGGGATTATTTTTGTGGTAACGCCATATGGCTATTTAATGACAATAATGAAAGGGCCAGCTTAGAATACTTTTTTGTTTGTCTTCAAGGAGATATACTAGAATTTGCTCCTGTGTTTGTGCCCATGGAGTAAAGTTTGAGGCTTTTTTCTAAGCTGTGCATACACTTTGCATTAGCCTGTGACTTGGGTAGAGGAAGGACACTGAGGTGATTTGTGGGGAGGGTAACATAGACCCCAACAGCTGCATTTCATCTTTTCTTTGCTTATTTATTGGAATTGATGCCAGGCAGAAAATACTTTCATTTCTAAATATGAGTTAATAACTTTCCTAAGATCTTTTCTAAATTTGGGGACTTCTCCTACTCAAGAGTCCTTTTTGAGAATACTTTATGTTGATTTACCTTCTGAAAATAATCTGTGTCCAACATAGATGTTTTTGCATGAATATTATGTATATATACAATGCTTTTGATGCTCTTCTAATTGAACTATTGAAAGCTTTGCACAAAGCTTTGCACAAAGATGCAGATAGTATTTTTAAATACTATTCCATTAGGGTGAAATTCTCAGAGGCCTGTACTTTGCCATGACCAATCTTGTTAAATCTTCATCCACGTAGCAAGTTTTAATTTCAGAAGCATGGCTTCCCCAGACGCCAGAGCCAGGCTCATGTGCACTATGAAAAGGATGTATGAACCCTGCCATACTCAGAAAATAGCCAACATCCATGTGCATCTTGCTGTCTCTGAAAATTGATTTCTTAAGTTAGTAGGTCCCCTGTATGCCTAGCAAGTGATTCCCAACGTGTTTTCCAATATACCGCTTAATTCTAGTGATTTCAGAAAGCTTCACTTCTCAGATTCATATAATTTAAATTGGTTTAAATATGTTTATTTCCCATACAGCACTATGGTGGAGATTATGGCTCCAGAAAGGTTTGGGGACACATCGGTAGACTTCAGAAGGGTACTAAAAGAATTAGAGTCATTGTTCTAATGTAAATCATTAAAAACTATCCCTAAGGTACACTGAATTTGTTAACTTACAAAATAAAATCCTGGTCAGGTGCAGTGGCTCACTATAATCCCAGCACTTTGGGAGGCTGGGGCAAGTGGATAACTTCAGGTCAGGAATTCGAGACCAGCCTGGCTAATGTGGTGAAACCCCGTCTCTACCAAAAAAAAAAAAACAAACAAAAATTAGCGGGGCGTGGTGATGCGCACCTGTAGTCCCAGCTACTTGGGAGGCTGAGGTGGGAGGATCACTTGAACCCAGGAGGCGGAGGTTGCAGTGAGCCAAGATTATGCCACTGCACTCCAGCCTGGGTGAACGAGTGAGACTCTGTCTCAATTAAAAAAAAAAGAAAAGAAAAAGAAAAAGTCTTAGAGGAAGAAAAGAATAGGTGAAAAAAAATAAAGGCCAGGTGCAGTGGCTCACACCTGTAATCCCAGCACTTTGGGAGGCTGAGGTGGGCATATCACTTGAGGCCAGGAGTTCGAGACCAGCCTGGCCAACACAGGGAAACCCCGTCTGTACTAAAAATAGAAAAAATTAGCTGGGATGGTGGTGCACACCTGTATTCCCAGCTACTCAGGAGGCTGAGGCATGAGAATCATTTGAACCTGAGAGGTGGAGATTGCAGTGAGCTGAGATTGTGCCACTGCACTCCAGACTGGGCAACAGAGACTCTGTCTCAAAATAAAAAGAATAAAATCATGTGACCAGAAAGCTAGTAATTGACCGGATACAGTGGCTCATGCCAGTAGTCCCAGCACTTTGGGAGGCTGAGGCTGGAGGATCGCTTGAGCCTGGGAGTTCAAGACCAGCCTCGGCGATGTGGTGAAACCTTGTCTCTGCAGAAAATACAAAAATTAGCTGGGAGTGATGGCATGTGCCTGTAGTCCCAGCTATCCAGGAGGCTGAGAAGTGGAAGGATCACCTGAGCCCAGTGGGGTCAAGGCTGCAGTGAGCCATGATAGCACCATTGTACTCCAGCCTTGGCAACAGAGTGAGACCCTGTCTCAAAAAAAAAGTTAGTAATTGAAAAAGCACAGTAGAAATTAAATGTGTTTGACCACAGACTGTAGGAGGTAAAAGCAAATTCAAGTCTCTGTCAGCTTTGGTGAACCATAAGATCTGTGTAATTTATCTGAAATAGTTTATTGGAAATGCTTAAGTGCTTATACGTGAAGCCAACAAAAATTAGTGTTTCGTAGTTTTTTTGTTTTAATTCCCACAGTGTGAAAACCTAAGCAGAAAAAGATCGTTGTTTCCTGCTTAAGGAATGTTTTAAGGAATCATGATTTTATTGAGACCTACTGTTCTGATGGAGTACAGCGTTGGGTGAATTTTCCCCAAAACATTCTTTAGAGATAGTCTTTCTAGGATACCTCCATAGACCATATACGGGTGCTGTATTCCTCAGCTTCTGAGTTGTACCATGGATAATTCAGAAGTAGCCCAGGAAAACTGTATTCCTGATGCCTTATGCACAACTTATAACCAACACTTCATTCTCAAAAATGGAGTCACTCTCATGGGGACACCAGTGACGTGAAATAAGGCCAGAGGGTGTGGTATGTGTTGCAATGTCCTGTAAGATACAAGTTTAAGAGACTGTCTTTCTTGGAAGTGTCTAATACAGGTAGTAGGTGCTAGTTTCTGGTATCTAGATAGGCCAGAAAGTTTCTCCCAGGTTTCAAGTGCTGAGGATTTGCTGTGAGCCTGCTCAGTTTTAGAGGGTGTGACACTGCTTCCTCTCCTTTAGAAATTCCAACAAATGTGTATTCAGAAACAGTATTGGCTAGCTGTTGAACTGTTTATCATTCAGAACTCTAAATGCTTTCTAACAATTTATCTGTTATTTTCTAGGGACATTCCAGCTACATCACACACCTTGACTGGTCCCCAGACAACAAGTATATAATGTCTAACTCGGGAGACTATGAAATATTGTACTGTAAGTATGAATGATTTTATATATATATATATATGCTATGATTATATTTATATATATATATATATATATATATATATATATATATGCTAAGATGTGTCTGTCAGGGGCGCTAATGAACAGGCTGCATGGAATCTGAATTGTGCAGAGAATGCTTGCCAACCTCTTTAACCTGACAAAGCATATGTTATGCTGAGCTAAGGTAATGAGAATCTCAAATGTGATTCACTTCTCCAAGAGTAATGAATTAATGTTAATAGTGTAGAACAGAAGGCACATATAGTAATAAGAAATTACTCTGTCAAATTGATGCTGCTCTGAATGGTTTTTCATTTAATTACTTCTCCTGGAGGCAGGGAGGAATATGATAGATGGGCATTTATGCTTTTTAGAGGAAAAAAAAAACTTCCATGGGAAACAGTTTGTAGTTTTATAAACCCTGTTAAAGTGAACACTTTCTTTTCCTTTTTAAATGTGTCTTAATGTTTTTCAGTGTATGGATTATAAATACAAGTAAACGTGGCTAGTTTGAATCAAGATGCACTTTCAAATACATTTGTACACAAGCACTATGATTATACTTCCTGTTTCTAAATTTAAAGGGGACATTCCAAATGGCTGCAAACTAATCAGGAATCGATCGGATTGTAAGGACATTGATTGGACGACATATACCTGTGTGCTAGGATTTCAAGTATTTGGTAAGGAAATGACACCTGATGTAAAGAAGTGGTTTGTGGGTTTTTTATATATAATATTTACTTGCTTAAATTTATAAATGAAAAATAGTCTGTGTATTCTTTAGCTTTATCACTATTAATGTCAGCCTCAGAGAAATTAAATGTATTAGGATTGAACCAACATGGGATTTGTATTTTGCAGAATCAAGCACTTTTGGTCCTTAATATGAAAGACAAGGAATTTACATAGTAGTACAGATTACCTTCCCGTTTTTCTTTAAGTGAAAATTGAAGTTATTAAATTTGGAAAGGCATTTTTAAATAGCTTGAGATACATGCCATACAATTCACCTAAAGTGTAAAATTCAGGCTGGGCGCAGTGGCTCACACCTGTAATTCTAGCACTTTGGGAGGCCGAGGTGGGCAAATCACCTGAGTTCAGGAGTTCGAGACCAGCCTGGCCAACATGGTGAAACCCTGTCTCTGCTAAAAATACAAAAATTAGCTGGGCGTGGTGACGTGCACCTGTAATCCCAGTTACGTGGGAGGCTGAGGCAGGAGAACTGCTTGAACCTGGGAGGCAGAGGCTGCAGTGAGCTGAGATTGTGCCACTGCACTCCAGCCTGGGTGACAGAGTGAGACTCCAGCTCATAAATAAATAAAGTGTAAAATTCAGTGGTTTTTGTATACTTAGTTGTGTGACCATCAAGGTCTAATTTTAGAACATTTTCATTACCCCACAAAGAAACTCTGTACCCATTAACAGTTACCCCATCTCTCTTATCCTCTACCCCACCCCCCAGCAACCACTAATCTGTTATTGATTTGCCTTTTCTGTATAGTTTATATAAGGGGAATCATACAATATTTGATCCACTGAGACTAGCTTCTGTGATTTAGCATAACGTTTTCAAGGTTTATCCACGTTGTAGCATACATCAGTACTTTACTCTTTTTATGGCTGAGTAATATCCCATTGTATGGATAGATGACATTTTGTTAATTCATTCATCAGCTGATGGACACTTGGGCTGTTTCTACTTTTCAGCTATTATGAATACCACTGCTGTGAACAGTCATGTGCAGGTTTTTGTGTAGACATGTTTTCATTTCTCTTGGGTATTTACCTAGGAGTAGAATTGCTGAGTCAAATGGTAACTGTATGTTTACTCTTTTGAGCAACTGCCAGACTGTTTTCCACAGTGACTACATTTACATTTCCACCAGCAGTGTACGAGGGTTCTGGTTCCTCCATGTCCTTGTCAGTGTATTTTATTATTATTTTGCGTGTGGATGTCTAGTTGCCTTACACCACTTGTTGAAATACAAAGGCATTTTTAGGAGAATTATATAAAGATAACTATGTGGGGCTTCTTCCTAATCTGACGTTTTGTAACTTTCTGGAAATCCGACCTCTATGACTGTTTTCTAAGCCTTCCTCAGTATTTAGGTATCCTTCTGAAAGGGTTAGAAGATAGATGGAAAAGTTAAAATAATAAAGCGTTATTTGCAAAGAATTAAAAAGAAGTGTTATGCTCAGGTAATTAAAATACTGGATATGGATGTGGCACCAATACCTAAAGCAATACACAAAAATTAATATTTTCTCTTTAACAATTTATCTCTGCCTTCTGAAAATTGGGTTCTCCAGCCTGATCATAGATCTGAACATTTCTTTATGCTATGTGCATTAGGAAAATAATCCATTATAGGTGGTTGTTCTAAACACAAGTGCTATCAAGACAGAGAAGCCTAATAGGCCAGGAAGGAATTAAAAACAAAATAATTCTGTCCATAAACAATTTCATTATTCTACGTGAAAATGAAGCAGTGACCCATAGCTGGTAGCTTCTGTGGTTATTTTAATGAAGACATTATTTATTTAAATTATTAAGAGAGACCAATTTTAAAGTATTTTGACTTGTTTTTAGCAAATTTACCAAAAACATATTTGTTCTCTAGAGTAGCATTCAACCACAAGTGGCCAACATCTCAACCCTTAAATCTTCCATAGTTTCAATCTAGCCTAATAGAGGTTTGTGAAAATTATGTTCGACATGATCATTAGTGCTGCATAATGATTCAGAATAATTAAATTTGACGTGTCTTATCTTGGGACATAATCTTTCCAGGAAAATTACATGGGATAGCATGCTAAACTAGTGGATGGCCTATGCTTTCTAAAAGAAATAATCTCTCTGAGGTTTTCTTGGAGGTGCTTGCCTGAAAGAAAACCTAGACTCCACTTCGAAGACTTGGTGTTATGGCTTTGTTTTTGAACCTTGTCTATACAAGTAACTGATTCCCTCCATCCAGAAACTTTAAAAAGGAAGAGCTTATTGCTGAGGTGTAAGTCAAGCTGAAAGTAAAATAAATTATTAGCACCACCTGCTGGTTACCATTGAGTACCATTGAGTCTTTAAGTTTTCCATTTTGGGGCTATTTTGGTTTTTTATTAGTTAGATTTTGGACAGGACTTGATT
The DNA here is from genome assembly GCF_000001405.40 of Homo sapiens. Lineage (NCBI taxonomy): Eukaryota > Metazoa > Chordata > Mammalia > Primates > Hominidae > Homo > Homo sapiens. Next base: position 42,328,715 of record NC_000002.12, read on the forward strand.
TGAATGAAGAACAGTGTGAGCCACTGAGAAATTTGTAAAGGAAATGTTAACAGCTAAGAGTTTGAACATAGATAAAAGCTAAACAGATTCTAAAATAAAATAAACATATATAGCATCACAGTTATATTTCTTCAGCTAATTTTTCTGCATCCCTGTGTTTCCATATCAAAGGTGTCTGGCCAGAAGGATCTGATGGGACAGATATCAATGCACTGGTGCGATCCCACAATAGAAAGGTGATAGCTGTTGCCGATGACTTTTGTAAAGTCCATCTGTTTCAGTATCCCTGCTCCAAAGCAAAGGTAAACTCACTTTAATAGAAACTAATGTTATAAGGCCTTCTGTCCAGGGATGATTTTGCATCCATAGCAAGAAAATATAGGTTACTGATTCCTCTCCATGATACTCCAGTGCACAGAGGGAGATAAGGGCCATCGGTGAGCATCCATCCAGGCAGTGCTTGTCTTCTCCCCCTTCCTAAGGCTAAGGAGAAGTGAGCTGTAGAAATGACGACCGATGATGTTATTCCTGTTTCTTTATTGTCCGGTTGCTTTTTATTTTGATTTGTTGGCAATTTAAAATCTCTCCTAAATATTTTAAAATATTTTATTTGTTGGATACATATTCAACGTTATAAAACTAATGGAACTGTTTCCCGAATGTCCTGTAATCCTACCAACATAGTAAATGTTCCCCTAACCATTTCAGAAGAATAATTACTAAGCTCTGGCAAGTATACGACCAACATCTAGAAGAGACAGACTTTTAGCTATTTTTTTAAACATATAGTGTGAAAATACAGAGATGTCCAATTCTTCTGTTTCGTTTTTCCTATGTAAAGTGATAATAAAAGGAAATAACGGCTAGCCTTACTCCTGAGATTTGATGACTTCTGGCTTTAAATTGGATTGCCCATTTCACAAGCTGAGTTTACCCCCCTTACGTATCACCTCCATTTCTGAAACAGGCATGTCAAGAATGAGTTTAATTTTCCTGTCTGTCTGATTTATTTCATATAGGCTCCCAGTCACAAGTACAGTGCCCACAGCAGCCATGTCACCAATGTCAGTTTTACTCACAATGACAGTCACCTGATATCAACTGGTGGAAAAGACATGAGCATCATTCAGTGGAAACTTGTGGAAAAGTTATCTTTGCCTCAGAATGAGACTGTAGCGGATACTACTCTAACCAAAGCCCCCGTCTCTTCCACTGAAAGTGTCATCCAATCTAATACTCCCACACCGCCTCCTTCTCAGCCCTTAAATGAGACAGCTGAAGAGGAAAGTAGAATAAGCAGTTCTCCCACACTTCTGGAGAACAGCCTGGAACAAACTGTGGAGCCAAGTGAAGACCACAGCGAGGAGGAGAGTGAAGAGGGCAGCGGAGACCTTGGTGAGCCTCTTTATGAAGAGCCATGCAACGAGATAAGCAAGGAGCAGGCCAAAGCCACCCTTCTGGAGGACCAGCAAGACCCTTCGCCCTCGTCCTAACACCCTGGCTTCAGTGCAACTCTTTTCCTTCAGCTGCATGTGATTTTGTGATAAAGTTCAGGTAACAGGATGGGCAGTGATGGAGAATCACTGTTGATTGAGATTTTGGTTTCCATGTGATTTGTTTTCTTCAATAGTCTTATTTTCAGTCTCTCAAATACAGCCAACTTAAAGTTTTAGTTTGGTGTTTATTGAAAATTAACCAAACTTAATACTAGGAGAAGACTGAATCATTAATGATGTCTCACAAATTACTGTGTACCTAAGTGGTGTGATGTAAATACTGGAAACAAAAACAGCAGTTGCATTGATTTTGAAAACAAACCCCCTTGTTATCTGAACATGTTTTCTTCAGGAACAACCAGAGGTATCACAAACACTGTTACTCATCTACTGGCTCAGACTGTACTACTTTTTTTTTTTTTTTTCCTGAAAAAGAAACCAGAAAAAAATGTACTCTTACTGAGATACCCTCTCACCCCAAATGTGTAATGGAAAATTTTTAATTAAGAAAAACTTCAGTTTTGCCAAGTGCAATGGTGTTGCCTTCTTTAAAAAATGCCGTTTTCTTACACTACCAGTGGATGTCCAGACATGCTCTTAGTCTACTAGAGAGGTGCTGCCTTTTCTAAGTCATAATGAGGAACAGTCCCTTAATTTCTTGTGTGCAACTCTGTTTTATCCTAGAACTAAGAGAGCATTGGTTTGTTAAAGAGCTTTCAATGTATATTAAAACCTTCAATACTCAGAAATGATGGATTCCTCCAAGGAGTCCTTTACTAGCCTAAACATTCTCAAATGTTTGAGATTCAAGTGAATGGAAGGAAAACCACATGCCTTTAAAACTAAACTGTAATAATTACCTGGCTAATTTCAGCTAAGCCTTCATCATAATTTGTTCCCTCAGTAATAGGAGAAATATAAATACAGTAAGTTTAGATTATTGAATTGGTGCTTGAAATTTATTGGTTTTGTTGTAATTTTATACAGATTATATGAGGGATAAGATACTCATCAAATTGCAAATTCTTTTTTTTACAGAAGTGTGGGTAACAGTCACAGCAGTTTTTTTTACCAACAGCATACTTAACAGACTTGCTGTGTAGCAGTTTTTTTCTGGTGGAGTTGCTGTAAGTCTTGTAAGTCTAATGTGGCTATCCTACTCTTTTGGGCAATGCATGTATTATGCATTGGAAAGGTATTTTTTTTAAGTTCTGTTGGCTAGCTATGGTTTTCAGTACATTTCCTACTTTAAGAGTAATTACTGACAAATATGTATTTCCTATATGTTTATACTTTGATTATAAAAAAGTATTTTGTTTTGATTTTTTAACTTGCTGCATTGTTTTGATACTTTCTATTTTTTTGGTCAAATCATGTTTAGAAACTTTGGATGAGTTAAGAAGTCTTAAGTATGCAGGCGTTTACGTGATTGTGCCATTCCAAAGTGCATCAGAACTGTCATTCCCTTCTAATATCTTCTCAGGAGTAATACAAATCAGGTATTTCATCATCATTTGGTAATATGAAAACTCCAGTGAACTCCCAAGGACATTTACAACATTTATATTCACACGCTGTATGGAAGGGTGTGGGTGTGTGTGAAGGGGCGAGTGGAGACACTGTGTGTATCTCTAGATAAGAAGATATGCACCACGTTGAAAATACTCAGTGTAGATCTCTATGTGTATAGGTATCTGTATATCTTTCCTTTTGTTTACAACTGTTAAAAAACCTCAAAATAGTTCTCTTCAAAAGAAGAGAGATTCCAAGCAACCCATCTTTCTTCAGTATGTATGTTCTGTACATACTTATCGGAGCGCGCCAGTAAGTATCAGGCATATATATCTGTCTGTTAGCAATGATTATTACATCATCAGATCAGCATGTGCTATACTCCCTGCAAGAAATATACTGACATGAACAGGCAGTTCTTGGAGAAGAAAGAGCATTTCTTTAAGTACCTGGGGAATACAGCTCTCAGTGATCAGCAGGGAGTTTATTTGAGGACATCAGTCACCTTTGGGGTTGCCATGTACAATGAGATTTATAATCATGATACTCTTCGGTGGTAGTTTCAAAAGACACTACTAATACGCAGGAAGCGTTCCAGCTATTTAATGCTGGCAACTACTGTTTAATGGTCAGTTAAATCTGTGATAATGGTTGGAAGTGGGTGGGGTTATGAAATTGTAGATGTTTTTAGAAAAACTTGTGAATGAAAATGAATCCAAGTGTTTCATGTGAAGATGTTGAGCCATTGCTATCATGCATTCCTGTCTCATGGCAGAAAATTTTGAAGATTAAAAAATAAAATAATCAAAATGTTTCCTCTTTCTAAGTGCGTCTTAACTCTTTCTTCATTTATACTGAGAGTTTCCATGACTATCCAGTTATCAGAAGGCATGACAATTCAGAAGACAACATTTATCAGTGGGCTACTGCTGCTGCTGTGGATAAAATCATTCTGGTAGTAACAAACTCCCATCTCATAATGTTAGAGGAAATTACTTCTGATTTATGCTCCCCCTGAATATGTGGATAGCTTTGTTTTCACTTATTTCATGTCAGCACTTTCTCTAATGTTTAATATTGGATAATCCTGATAATCTTCGTTACCCATCCGACTAGGCTGCCTCGCAGTGTTAGCCTTTGTGAAGTACTTGAACTCAGTAGGCCATGGCATTCTCTGCTTTCTCCCATCTCTCCCATGTTGCTTTTTAACGCAGATCTTCTGTATACCACAATCACAAATTGGCTACTACAAATGTTTCTTTATAAAGAATAGGTTGATTGATAGTATTCCAAACATTCCCCAGGTTTACAATCATAGAAATGATGGGGTTTTCATTATTGCCTTACTCGTCCCTGGTGACTGAATATTCACAGCCACTTACTTACATATACTAATCCATGAGAGGCTATCCTGGGGTAGGAGTTCCATTTTCACTGATTCTGAGACAGAATGGCTAGTGGGCACCAAAACAAACCCACTCAACAATGTGATTTTTCTTCACAAGTAAGAAAATCCAAAACTACTTCTATGGCGAAATGATGAATTAGATTTTGGGCACATTGAGGTGTTGTATTAGTGTAACTTCTAGAAGGAACTAGTTTTCCAGCTTAAAGCTGGAAATAAAGGATAAGTACATGTTTTTAGGACCACGAAGGCTGAAGAGCAGATGGGCAGGATATGGACCAAGAAGAGCTGCCCCTGGAGGAGTACCTACTGTGGGCCCAACATCTCCCAATACCCAGGTGTTCAGGGATACAGGGAGGTGACTGTAGATGAAGAAATGAGTTTGGGAGATTTAGTAACCAGCCTATGTTCATTTAGATCATGGCCATGCTGAGACTTTATGTTCTAGAACTTCAAAATTTGTACTTCCTCCACTACACTAGGAGAAAGACATTCATTAGACATAGAAGGAAAGGACCAGGGTAGATTCACAGACTTACTTTGGAAAGGAGATAAGGGAAACAGAAGAGAGTCTGTGTCAGTCTTGGTCCTCAGTCTGGGACGAGGTGAGTCCACGACACAGCAGTGCCGCACATCTGTATCACCATCACTGAAGCCCTGCTGGAAAAGTCCCTTTGTCCAAGATGCCCACGACTGGAGTCTCCAGCAGCCACAGAAACAGAATGGTCTGTAGGTATGTTTCCTAAAAATAAACAGGTGCATCTCCTTGTGAAGGGGCAGCTCCTGCTCTCCTCACAGGGACTCATGTAATGTTAGTCATTTTGTGCTGATTGGTTCACCTTTTCCAAAAGAAACTTGAATTTCTGCTCTACCTTCCCTTCATTAATAGATCCTGATAGTAGCCTTAAAAGCTTTGATGTAAAGAAGACATTTCCGCTGGGCACGGTAGCTGACACCTGTAATCCCAGCACTTTGGGAGGCTGAGGCAGGTGATCACTGGAGCCCAGGAGTTCAAGACCAGCCTGGGCAACATGGTGAAACCCCATCTCTACCAAAAATACAGAAAAAAAAAAATCCAGGTGTGGTGGCGCGCACCTGTAGTCCCAGCTACTAGGAAGGCTGAGGTGGGAGAATCGCTTGAACCCAGGTGAGATTGCAGTGAGCTGAGATTGCACCACTGCACTCCAGCCTGGGCAACAGAGGAGACCCTATCTCAAAAATAAACATTTCCTAGACAAAGGAAAAGGAAGAAGAACAAATAGAAAAGTTTGTCTCCTGGGAACGTCAGACTGTTTCATTTCTTTATCCACTATCTCTTCATGGGTGATGTCAAGAGACCATGGCTTACTGAACTGACCACTTTTAAAGAATCTGCCAATCCAAACAGGACCACATTCATTACTAGATGCTGATGTATGCTTTTATTTATTTTTATATTTATTTAAATTTAGAGACAGAGTCTCGCTCTGTCACCCAGGCTGGAGTGCAATGGCGTGATCTTAGCTCACTGCAACCTCCACCTCCTGGGTTCAAGCAATTCTCCTGCCTCAGCCTCCCAAGTAGCTAGCTGGGATTACAGGCATGCACCACCGTGCCCAGATAATATTTTTTGTATTTTTAGTAGAGACAGGGTTTCACTTTATTGGCCAAGCTAGTCTTGAACTCCCAACCTCAGGTGATCCGCCTGCCTCGGCCTCCCAAAGTGGTGAATTACAGGCCTGATGTATGCTCTTAAAGGCCAAACAATTGTTCCCACATCCTCTCCCCTGTGTATCACAAAGCATCAGTATTTAAACATCCACCATGAGCCTTGTTGGATTCTGATTCAAACAAATGGTAGAAAACATTGAGACAATTGGGGAATTGTGAACAGTGGATATTTCATAAGCAATTATTTTAAGTGTGACAATAGGCCAGGTGCCGTGGCTCATGCCTGTAATTCCAGCACTTTGGGAGGCCGAGGCAGGCAGATCACTTCACATCGGGAGTTCTAGACCAGGCTGGCCAAAATGGTGAAACCTTGTCTCTACTAAAAATACAAAAATTAGCTAGATCTCGTGGCGCACACCTATAGTCCCAGCTACTTGGGAGGCTGAGGCATGAGAATCACTTGAACCTGGGAGGCGGAGGTTGCAGTGAGCCGAGATCACGCCACTGCACCTCAGCCTGGGCAACATAGCAAGACTGTGTCTCAAAAAAAAAAATAAGAAAAATTTAAAATGTGATAATAGAATGCAGTTTTTTAAAAAGCATCCTTAACTTGAAAATAAATAACAATTCAGAAATCTGGTAGAAAACCTAAAGGGCACCACTTCTATGTCTCAAAGGACAAAAACATGAAAAAATAGGCTGAAATAAAACCGAGGTGTTCAATGATTAAAATATGGCCCAGCCCCATGACTAGATGCTACTCAATGAAAACAGTTAACACTTCATGTGTTTAACATGTATTAACTCAATCTTTTCAAAATACTAAATTCGATTATCTCCATTTCACAGATGAAGAAACTTGAGGTACACAGAAGCCGACTGGCTGAGTTACGAGTTGAAGCCAGGTACTCCCGCCTCCGGAGTCCGTGCAGCCAGCTGCCATGCTCGCTTGCTGTAGGTTATATGCACTGTAAAATAACAATGGTTGTTAATAAGAATGAAATCGGTTAAACTTCCAGTAGAAGAACTTAAGACTGGCAGAAGAGAAGGTGATGATGAGGCTTTGGACTTTGAATCGTGTCAAGAGGTGAAGGGGGGATTATGCACAAATCCTTCCCTACTATCCCTACAACCACAGCATGGGGCAGAGGAACCGCTAGGCTGGTTCACTGTGGCACCTGCTGCCAGCAAATGCCTGTTCTTCCTGCCTTCTCTGACCATGGGCACAGAAGTCCTCAGTCCCTAATGTTCAATTTAAACCTATTGGTGTGAAGACACCACTCCCTTATTATCCAGGCTTTGGGCAATTTCCATTTCACTGAGCTCAGCGTGGCAGCTTCTCTCTGTCATTGGCCACGTGCTTTTTCCACTTGGTCCTCATTCCCCATCCCTCACTTCCTGTGGCCAGTGTTGGGAGGTTGGGCCAACTCCATGCTCAGCCATAGAATTTTGATCTTCCGTCCCTTCTCCCTGTTAGCAATATAATCCTGTAGTCCTGAAAATAGATTTTCCTGAGGAGCCATCCATTTGACAGACAGATGAATATGGACCACTGCTGATGATTACTAAGTATCTCAGTGGGATTCAACAAAATCGATTCCAGAGGCCGACATCAACTCCTGACAGGGTGTCCTTTCACCAGATCTCATTGAAGGCACTGAGAAGAAAGTGAGTGCCCGAAGAAAGGGCCTCAGGGAGGAAAAGGAATTTCTTAATATGCAAAGCCTTCAGCCTGGTCATCCCATCTCATGCTTGACTGATCACAGTAACCAAGCCCTTGTGCCTCCTAGGAAAGGTCACAGGAGACTCCGGAGCCTGCCACTGTCAACAGTGATGCCCGTTTGGCTGGCACTGGGTTGGAATGATTTGATAACCTGGTTAGAAGCAGGGAAACCAGAAGCTGGAGCCGTCACCGTAGAGCTCTGTTTCAATTGACAAATGCAAGCCAGATGCCTTACAGCAGCTCCTCTTCTACGGACTTCAGTCTCTCTACAAGAAACATGCATTGTGTTGCCACCACCTTCAAAGTGGCAGCCAGTGTGAATCCTGGGGAGTTTATGTGGGACTCAGGATCCAAAGGAGGCACCCATTCATCAGATATATATTAAGAACCTGCCTAGTGCAAGGAACTGTGTGGGGCTCAGCAAGGAATCCCAAAATGAGAAAGATTAGCCCCTGCCCTCACGGAGCATACACTCTAGAAAGGTTGTAAAAACAAACTTTGTATATTTTAGAATTGGATTAGAGCAAAGTCAGGTTCCCTCAAAATTAGAAAATTGTAACTAGATGCTATAATGTATAATGGATGTACAAAGTAAATGTACAAAGTAAATTATTCCTAAGGAATCTTGGATTACTCATGCACTGAAACCATCCACCCATTGCTTAAATTCTAGAATCAACCTCCAAAAGGCTGAATCTCAATATTTAAAAAGTGATGTTGCTACTTCTGGAATCTTCACAGAAAAACCAAGGTGATGTGCAACCCACACAGTGGAATAATACTTAGCAAGAAAAAGGGCTGTGAACACATGCACATGTGATGGTGCTCACGGGCATGAGCAACAGTGAAAAGCAGCCCATCTCAAAACTCTACAAACTGCATCCCATTGATACACCATTCTTGAAATGACAAAACTACAGAGACAGAGAAAAGACTAGTGACTTCAGGGGACAGGAATGGAAGGGAGGGGAGGCAACTACAAAGGGGTGGCACAAGGGGATTCCTCTGCAGTGACGATGAGTAGGATGGCGGCCACCATGAATCTACACGTGGGGTCAAATTCCATAGAGTGCACGCTGAACTGCTGAAAACCAAGGAAGCCTGTGGTCTGGATTACTGTGTCCTTCCAATGTTACTTTCCTGGTCTCATATAGTTAACGTAAGATCTCACCACTGGGGGAAGCAGAGGGAAGGGTTCATGGGACTCTTATTTTTGCAACTTCCTCAGAGTCTCAAAATAAAATATGTACATACTGACATAGAAACTTTACCTTCTTTTTATGCTTTTGAAGGGAATATGGAGAAGAAAATGAGCCTTACTACCACGAAGCCTTTTGAAACTCTCCCTGCACGTGTGCACCTGCAGTGCTCCACTGACCAGTCAGAGGAGGCAGTGCGGACCGTGGGACCAAGCGGTGCCCACTGGCTTTCTAGCGCCCGCTCTGCTACCATGGGTCCCTGTGGGAGAACCCCTAGCATGGCGTGGCCATGAGGGAAGCCTAGGCGAGGGAGGGTGTCAGTCTGGGGTATGACTGTGAAGCTCAGCATCTGGGACCATAGGGACAAGAGACGACCCGGGAGCACTAAGAATTCATCTTCTGGTCCGCCCCTCCGATGACGGTTGGTTGGTCCATAACCCTACTCCCCATGCTCCTGGCCCACATGCAAGGCAGAGACAGCCGTTCCGTGTTTCTCCCCCAGCCGCAGCGGCCAGGGAGCCGCTCCTCGTCTTGCTTCCGGTTGATGTGTCGTTGGTACTCCTCCTCGGATGCCCTCTCCTGAAGCCATCCAGCCTCTGCCTTTCCTTGCGTGTCTGGGCTGAATCAGCTTCCCTTATTCAGAATTAATCAAATGGAAAGGAAGAGCAGAATTTCACTCTCTAGCAGAGCCCTCCCAAGACTGCCGCAGAACTGAGATGAGGTGACCAGGCTTTCTCCGAGAGCGACAGGCCCCAGCTATGCTGGCAAGATCTGTGTTGATGTGGCCTGCCATGTGCTGCCCGTGAACATCTCCTCACCAGAATCATTAGCAGAAACGTTTGCCAGGCTTGGACATTTCCATGGAGAAGATGATTAATTATGAACCAAGAATCCCCCCGATAGGACTCAGCCCCCACCAAGACCGTAGAGCCTTAGTGTGATTCAACTCCATCCCCACCTGGCGGTCAGCCTGTCGAGGGGCCAGTGAGGAATCTGACAGCAGGACTCTAACCACTGGCTACGGTGGAAAAGGCCTCAGGAAACAGTTTTCACTCACAGGGAGAATTACTGCTTCCCATGAAAGCATTTTCCAGTGAGTGGAGGTGGGTTTAGGTGTTATCTGTGCGGCAGAGGTACCATCTCCCATGTCTAGAAAGGAAAAAGAGAAGATGAAGGCCTTGCCCACATCCAATCCAAAGGGGAGAGACATCCTGGCGAGCTCAGCACATAAGAGAACGAGAGATTAGCTGTCCCTGCATCAGAGCGCCAGGAAGGCTGTCCCCTCTGATCACTGGCTGGAGCCTGCATCACAGTCACCCGTGTTTGCACTGGAAGCCATGGGCAACGCAACAGATTGTGAGGAAACCCTGCAGATGGCTCCGTTAATAAAGCTGCCGTTCACCATGCCAAAGCTGAAGTGGTTTCTATGGGAAACTCTCACAATAAAATAGAAGGAAGTTTTTTTAATCAAATTTTAGTAGTTAATTACTTTTTTTATTAACCATTATCAAGTTTAAACACAAGGATTTGCCAGGGAGGGCACTCAGGAAACCACAGACGCGGCCGTTGGCACCACCAGGAGCTGAGGGGTTTCTCGGGCACAGGATCCCCCCAGCGGCTCTTGCTCCTCCATGTCCTGATTCAACGCTAGGCTCCGTTCCACACCACTCACTCGAAGCATGAGAGACACACACTAGTGGTGAACCAAGAGGACTGCGGGGCAGCCTCCAAGGCCACAGGCGTTACTCCTGCCTCTACAGAGCTGGCGCGGTGGCTTGAGCTCCAGGCATGTGAGCGACACTGGCCGACAACCTCCTTGAAACCCCCTCCTCTCCTGCCACCATTCCTCCTGGTTTCTTTCTTCCCTTCTGCCCTTCCTCCCTCCCTTTATCCCTCCCTCCTGCCTTGCTTTCCTCCTTTCTTATTTTTAACACTTTTTAAATTTATTACTTCCAATAAAGTGCAGAATCTCAGCGCATTGTGCACACATATACACCCACACAGCCACCCCTGGAGGAAGACCTGGGATGCTGCCAGCACTCAGAAGTCGGCCTGTGACCCGCTCCTGTCAGGGACTCCCACAGGGCAGCCTCGACTCTGCCCTCCTGTCGCCACTGAAGACTTTGGTTTGGTTTTAGCTTTTACATGAATGGAACCCCAAGTGTGCTCTCTGTCGTGTCCACCTTCCTCTGTTCACACAACCCGTGAACCTCGCTGCTCTCTTCCTCTCCACCCACCTTGTTCAGTCTTGGTTATCCCCCATTCTATTTCCTCACTCCCACACGACCCTCTGAACAATGTCGCAGACACCCCTGGTTTCTGCAGCCACCTGTATATTCGGTCTCGAGTTTTAACTCCAGTCCAGATCCCTCGCCTTCTCCTCAGACCGAATGCTTATGGGATTCCTCACCTAGAAGACCCATAGGCAACCCACATTCTCCAAAGAAACACGCCCTGCCTTGTTTACCCCCAGGTTCTGTACTCCACTCCCCACTCACCCAGAAGCCAAGCTGCACCATCCTGGGGGTACCCCAGAGACAACCTCCCCTCTCCAGGGACGGGCAGTTGTCACACTGAGTTCACTCTGCCTTCCTCGCGCCCCTGGGATCCATTCTTTTCTCTCGTGCCCTCGGCTGTCACTCCCAGGCCCCCATCAGCTCTCATAACAACTCTTAATTATCAATTGTTGTAAGTCTTTTTCCTCTCCATTCTGTCCTCCACACTGCCACTGTGGGTTCAAAAGAAGCAAACCAAAACAAAAACATCCTTGCTGGATCAGGTGGTTAGTCCCGACACACACCCTGCTCACCAGCCAGAGTCCAGCTCTCGGGCCTGGCCCCAGGAATGTGCTCCGTAACGCCTGAGCCTCTTCCTCTCATCCTGGATCCTGCCTTTCCTCTCTTCTCCCCGACCCCCCAGGCGCACCCGAGATGCCCTCACACCTCAGTGCATGCCTTCCCCATGTCCTCTAGTGGAAATCACCTACTCACGTGAGGTGCAAGTTCAACAGCGCCCCAGTGGGAGCTTCCCTGCCATTCCTCCTCTCACCTTCCCGGGGCCTGGCCCTGCACTGGGCCGCTCCACTGCACTCTGACTGTGCTCATCATTCTGCAAGCACGGGAGGCCAGGAGCAGTGTCGCCTTTCTCCATGTCTCCACTGCGCAGCACACTGCAGAAGGAATGATTTGTGCTTCAAGAGCTACTGATGGCAAAGGTGGGGCAAATGGTCGGCACCTCTAACCTCTGTTCAGACCTGGAGCCAAAGAAAGCGAGCTCACCTCTGGCATCCTGGGTTTGAAGGGCCTCAAGTGCCCCAGCCTGCAGAATCCCCACGCTGGCTTAGAGATTCTGTCTTGGTTATAACGTGTCACATCCATAATCAATGGAGAAAACAAACAGAAAAAATATGCTGGATGACAACTTATGGGTGAGTCCCACAGGGGGACACAGTGGTTTATTTCAGTCCTCCCTCAACCCCTCCTGCTGTGGCCACTAGACAGGAGCGTGGAATGCTGGCCCTCAGGAGACTGAGGCTGCAGACAGGCCCTGATGAGAACTCACATCTACCCCTTGGCAGGAGCAAGGCCACCCACACCTAAGGCATAAAGGCTCAGAATAAGCCAGGTCATGGCGTCGCAGGGGGCAGCACACTTCCCTCCCGACCTGCCCAAGTCCCACCTGGGCAGACCATGCCTCACTTGGTACCCCAAGGCCTGCCCAAGCTTGCCTGGGCTGGGCGGCCTACCTTAAACACTCCTTAACTTCCTTTCCCACAGCCATGGGATTGCTTTTTGCAAGTCATGTGGTTCAATCTAGCCAGCAGTGCTCCCCCAGCCCTCCTGCTGCCGTGGGCGCCCACATCCTTCAGCTCAAAGAACAGGTCCTGACTCAGAGTGATGGGTGGGGGGACACAAAGTTATAAAACCAACTTTCCAAATGACAATTTGCTCAAGAGTACTTAGTTCCAGAGGAGGCAAGGGAACAGCTACCAAGTATAAACAAAGGCTGCTCTGTGTAACTCAACTTTAATTAGAATGACAACTAATTGAAAGTAATTTAATGCTAGTTCATGAAAGATTAATGGAATTCATGTTTTGGAGATGCTGAATGCAACACAGATTTGGCCTGAAACACAAATCTAACCTTTATTCACTTTAATTATTCAGTCAGAATCATTTCCTGGGAGCAAGTCTAGTCTCTGGACGGCTCTAATCAAACACCACTGAACTTTGAAGACATCAACTCATTCAGCTGCAACTCAATTTTCAAATTAATCTGCCACATAACATGGAGGCTTTGTGGCCTAAGCAGGGGGCAGGTGGGAGGGGAAGATGGGGTTAAAGCCCTCCCAGGTATGAACTGATTCTAGAGCATCTGACCTTCCCCACCCTCTCTAGTGGCGAGGCACTTCCGGAACTGGTGCCAGGTCTTCCTATGAGAGGCTGAGCTGAGCAACCACGCTGCCTCCATGCTTGAGCTCAGGGCTCCACACTCACAACTGAAGCCTAAGCCTGGTACAGCTGGAACCCTGAAGGGGGCCCTGGACCAGCAGAGCCTGCCTCTTCCACCCTAGCCTAGCTGCCCTTCCCTGCTCTCTCCCTCTCCCTAGGAGAGCTGAGACGAGGGACTTGAGCTCTCTGCTTGGCAAGATGCCCTCAGAAACCACCCCAATTTCTGCACCCACTTATTCCTTGGCCCTTCAGGCAGGCACCAGGTACGGCCCACACAGACTCAGCCTCTCCTTCCCTGCCTTGGAAAACCCAGGTCCCTAACTCCATCTGCTTTACTTTACAGCCCTTCCAAGGCTTCTTCCTAAAACCTTCTCTGCCAAAGGGGAGGCAACGCCACCATTTCTCACAGCCTGGGGCAGCTTGGAATGTGATATTTGGAGTCAGCAAAGATTCCAATCTGGCTAATACACATTAGGCAGTGTAGAGACCTGTGCTTTGGCCCTGAGGCACAGCCATGTGACCATGACTAATCTATGTCATAGACGAGGTCAGAACAAGAGAAGGCAGGATGTCCCAGGAGGGCTGTGTCAGAACTCAAGGAAAAAAATATGACCTAAAGAATGCTCTTCCTGGCCATTCAGCGCCCCCCGTTTCGGGTTTTGCAGCAGACTTCCCCTGGGAAGTCAGCTCCAGCAGTCTTGGGACCCTGGGCAAGCAGCATCTGGGCCCCCCACCTGCCCATCCCAACACATCCTGCAGCAGTGCCGCACCCGGGCACCGTGGAGCCACAGAGGTCAGGAGGCCTGATTCCAGCTTATGCAAGTGACAGTGGCTGATGGCAGAGGAGACTGCAAGTGATCGTCCCACTCCCCTCCTACCTCAGGAGGTGCTGAGCCACCCTCACTGCTCTCGTTCACGTCATGAGAGCAAGAGTCAGCTGCTGCCGCCCTCCAGGCTACCAGGCCTGACCTGCTACCACCAAGGCATGACATGGGTTCCCAGAACAGCAGCCACAGCCAGATTTCCCTCCACCACACCCACCCGGGCAGCCTCCTCTAAAGTCACCAAACCCCGCCAGTCACAGAGAGCTCCCAGATCAGAACAGGTGAAGGATAACTGCAGAATTCCTCAATAACAAGGCCGTTTGCTAGCCATGTGGTCTATCAACCCTAAGAGGTGGAGAGACACCCTGAAAATGACCCTAAGCATGGTTCATCTCTGAGGCTCCAGCACCTAATAGTGTGTGCTTCTGCGCACTAATTAAATGTCTAGAATAACAGAGAATTAATGCAACTCCTTGAAGACTGTGGGTTAGGGAGTCCCTGAGGAGCCAAAGATACCGGCCAATGATCCCGACAAGAGGAGCTCTAGGGACAGGGCCCCATTTCTCAGCCAACCCGACATGGGCAGTCTGTGGTACTAAATAGTGACCCAGCCTAGGAGGTGTGGAGGCAAAACGTCAAATATATGTATTAAATCACTGGGACCAGGCAGTATCAGAATTTCTCAGCAACCAATTTTTATAGCCCCAGGTATAACCTCTAGCTATTGAAGATGAATGGGACAGAAAGTGAGAGGTTTACCAAGCTTTTGACCATGAGGAAAATCAGAAGGAAGACGTGGGGATGAACAGACCTCAATGTCAGACAAGCCAGGGGAGCCTGCCCAAAGCCACACACATGAAGAGAAGAAAAAAGCAGATAAATAAACGAAAGCTGGCCAGTGTTATCAAAGCCACACCAACCTTCACCTTACCCAACAGCTTCACAGCAAAGTCACACTGGATGAAGGGGCCGAGAAGGAGAGCGAAAGCTAGTCAGACCCTGAAAGGGAATCTGGCTGACAGAAAGAGCAAAGCCAGGGATAAGTGGGCACTGCTTTACAAGGACAAGTGTAAAGTAGCCATTTTCAACCTTTCTTACCCTTGTGTACCCTAAAAAAAAATTTACATCTATGCATATCTAAGCTTAATACGTAAAATTCTTCATTTTAAATTTAAATAGTTGCAAAAAGTATAGTTTCTATTGTTATAAATATTAGCTAAATTATTAAATCAGTTCTAAATGTATCCAACGGAATGTAACCTCCACTGCAGTTGGACACCCACCTTCATCTGGTTAAAAATACACATCTATACAACAGTCAGAAACCTCTGCTTACACGTGTTTTTCCATTCCACTCCCATACCTACAACTCTGTCCCAAAACATTTACCCTACTACAACTTTAGGAATGAAAGTCTCCTTTTGCTCATACATAATTCTCTGTAACACTCTAAAATTGAAATTTGTTTAAATTTCCTGTGACCATAAACTCTAAGTGTTAGAAATACTTTTGTTCTAGATTGAATTATTACAATTACTATTAGTACATATTTGACCAAAACAAAGTATGAGAAAATCTGTCTTAGAATGCGTCGCAGGCCCGGCGCGGTGGCTCACGCCTGTAGTCCCAGCAGTTTGGGAGGCTGAGGTGGGCAGATCCCGAGGTCAGGAGATGGAGACCATCCTGGCTAAGGCAATGAAACCCCATCTCTACTAAAAATACGAAAAATTAGCCCACGTTGTGGCAAGCGCCTGTAGTCCTAGCTACTCAGGAGCCTGAGGCAGGAGAATGGCGTGAACCCAGGAGGCGGAGCTTGCAGTGAGCTGAGATTGCGCCACTGTACTCCAGCCTGGGTGACAAAGCAAGACTCCGCCTCAAAAAAAAAAAAAGGCATCGCAATTAGAGGGAGGGAGCTGGTTCCGGTTTCCATGGATAAATCTTGCTTACTGTTAAAATAAGGTAATTTCAGCATCAATTCCATTCCCATTTTTATTTTTACAGATATAAGCACTGAAAAACCTTGTTTTCATAAACAGAAGGGAATGAAGTTTCGTGATAGCAAAATCACAATTCTTTGAACTCCTGAGTTATAAGTCATGTGTGATCTATTATCAAAATTATTTTTAGGCCAGGTATGGTGGCTCACACCTGTAATCCCAGCACTTTGGGAGGCTGAGGCGGGCAGATCACCTGAGGTCAGGAGTTCGAGACCAGCCTGACCAACATGGAGAAACCCTGTCTCTACTAAAAATACAAAAATTAGCCAGGTCTGGTGGCACACACCTGTAATCCCAGCTACTCAGGAGGCTGAGGCAGGATAATCACTTGAACCCGGGAGGCGGAGGTTGCAGTGAGCCGAGAATGTACCATTGCACTCCAGCCTGGGTGACAAAAGCAAAGCTCTGTCTCAAAACAAAAACAAAAACAAAATTATTTTTAATGATCAAGTGACAACTTAGCTGGCTCCTCCTTCAATTTTGTTAAAAACCTCTAAATTGCAAAAAAAAAAACTGTCAGTCATTAGAGACACACACTTCCTCAATGTTACCAATATTTGCACATATTCCTACATTGCCCCAGGGATGGTTTTCACTCTCCAGGGCAACACCCCTTGGTGGGACAAGAATGGCTGAGGGTCTGCCTTCCTTTCAGAGTGAAAGACCATCATACAGGACCCCCTTAAGCCAGGTGTGCTCTGCAGCAGCTTAATTTTAGGAGGTATAATGGAGGATGACTTAAAATAATTCCCTTAAACTATCCTTGTGTGGGTACCCCATGAAGTCTTCATACCCCCGGGGTCATGTGAACCCAGAGCACTGTTGTGAAGAGTAGGACCGCACTTACTCAGCACCGTGGCCTAACTGCATGGCCTGGAGGAGGTGAGTAGAGGGAAGGACCCTGTATTAACAGCATCTCATCCAGACAGCACTGAGAAGAGACGAGCCGGTGAGAGGGAGGAGGGTCTTCCTCTGAGTAAACAAACCAACCTGGCAAGGGTTCAGAGTAACGTGCTTAGAAGGCATAATCCTAACTCTGAGAATAAAGCGAAAGATTCTGCACCGTCAATTAACATCCAAGAATAGGGCAGCCTGCACTCCTTCCCTGCATCTGCCCCCACAGCCTGGCACCAAACAGCTGACTGGCCCAGTGGAGGACACCTCACCCAAATGGGACAATAACATTCTCTCTCTCCTGGAATTAAGGGCATGTTGCCAGCAGCTGGACAACAATTTCCTTCCAAATCCAATGAGAAACAGAGAAAGCTGGTCTGCAGAGACAGAATTAAACAGCTGCATAATCAAGAGAGTGACAGAAAGGACAGGTACCTTGGACTCGAAGGCAGTCCTTGTGAGGCCCAGCTTCGCTCAGGTTCTGAAAAATCTCCCTTTGTGTATCAGCTGGATTTAATGAATTTCTGGAGCTTGCAATCAGAAGAGGTTTGGCTCAGGAGTCACTAGAGACTATTCCTGAGGAAGTCAGCCCAATAGACCAATACATTTAGCATTATCAATAAGTACTCTGGGCCAGGCAAGTGGCTCACATCTGTAATCCCAACACTTTGGGAGGCTACAGCAGGAGGATTGCTTGAGGCCAGGAGTTCAAGACCAGCCTGGGCAACACAGCAGCAAGACCTCGTCTCTCCCAAAAGCTTACTGCAACAGCGCCTATTGTCCCACTACTTAGGAGGGTGAGGTGGATCACTTGAGCCCAGGAGGTCAAGACTACAGTGAGCCAGTATCGAGCCACTGCACTCCAGTCTGGGCGACGGAGTGAGACCCTGTCTCAAAAAAAAAAAGGAAATTAGCTTTTTATTATAATTAGTGATGTTGAATATCTTTTTTAAAAAAATGTTTTATTCTTTTTAAAGTTAAATTATATTTCCTTTTTTTATGAGCTATCTATTCATGTACTTTGCCCATTTATCTCCAGAGTACTTTTTTTTAAAAATTCTTTAGAGATTGGCTTTTGCTCTGTCGCCCAGGCTGAAATGCAGTGGCGCAATCTCAGCTCACTGCAGCCTTGACCTCCTGGGCTCAAGCGATTCTCCTGCCTCAGCCCTTTTTGTATTTTTGTAGAGACAAGGTTTCACCATGTTGCCCAGGCTGGTCTTGAACTCCTAAGCTGAAGTGATCTGCCACCTCAGCCTCCCAACATGCTGGGATTATAGGCGTGAGCCATGGCGCCCGGCCTAGTAAGGCAATTTAAACCACAAAGAAATGTTATCACTTAGAGGACTGGCAAAGATCAAAAAGTTTGGTAATATTTTATGTAGACAAAGGTAAAAAGAAACAGGCACTCTCAACACTGCTAGATAGGAATGTAAACCAGCACCTTTTTTTTTTTTTTTTTTTTAGTAATTAGCACTATTGAAATTGGAAATGCACATCCCCCTCACCTCCTAAATCTCACGTCTAGAAATGATCCTAGAAATATATCCAACATTGTATTAAATGACAGCTAAAGATTATGCATTAAAGTCATATTTATAAAAGCAAAAAATTTGAAACTGAATACCCTTCAAAAAGAGACTAAACTATGGTACATTCATAAAATAAAATCCAATATAGAAAAATGAGACAGAACAATCTCTAAGCTACAAGTGAGATTTGGAAGGTATACTAACTACCATTTAGGCAAAAATAAAACAGGCAAAGAAAATGCGTTGGCCGGGCGTGGTGGCTCACACCTGTAATCCCAACACTTTGGGAGGCCAAGGCACGTGGATCACCTGAGGTCAGGAGTTCAAGACCAGCCTGACCAACCCGGAGAAACCCCGTCTCTACTAAAAATACAAAATTAGCCAGGTATGGTGGCGCATGCCAGTAATTCCAGCTACTCGGGAGGCTGAGGCAGGAGAACTGCTTGAACCCAGAAAGCAGAGGCTGCGGTGAGCCGAGATGGCGCCATTGCACTCCAGCCTGGGCAACAAGAGCGAAACTCCATCTCAAAAAAAAAGAAAATGCATCTATATATGTTCATAGAATATATCATAATAAACAGAGGAAACTGAGGTAAGGAAAACACAAGGTCAGCATGGAAGCCATCTTGTCTGTCACAAGGTAGGGAGGTGATCAAAGACTGATAGGAGATGCTCAAAGAACACAGAAGCCACATTTCAGCATCAAAATCAATAATGGCAGAAATGCTTACTATACATCAAATCAGGAAATTCCATCAAATTTCTTTAAAGGCTCATCTTCACAGAAGAAATATCAAAAATGTAGAAGGAATGACAACAGAAAAAATCAGTTTACAACTACCTTAGTAATAATTCAGTCAAGAATGACCAATGAACAGAGTGCAAACTGCTGAGGACACGATATTCCTAGTCTCAAATATCGCCCCTCAGGCTACTTATTAACTGCAAAGGGGAAAGGGTATCAACTTGACAAGGGAGAAATCCGGCAGACACAACTTCAAATCACCAATAATGGGACAAACTGGTATCAAGTGCCACCTGACATAACGAGGACACCATATCACCTATAAAAAATTCCTGACAAAAATGTTTAACCTGAAACCACCAATGAGACAATCAGACAAATCCAAGTTAAGGAATGTCCTACAAAACAACTTGCCTGGACTCTTCAAATAGGTCACTATCAGGAAGGGCACTGGGGACTGACTATTCTGGATAAAAAGAGACTAAACAGTCACAACATGCTGGGCACGGTGACTCACGCCTGTAATCCCAGCACTTTAGGAGGCTGAGGCGGGCAGATCATGAGGTCAGAAAATCGAGACCATCTTGGCCTACATGGTGAAACCCCATCTCTACTAAAATTACAAACAATTAGCTGGGCATGGTGGTGTGCACCTGTAGTCCTAGTTACTCGGGAGGCTGACTCAAAAGAATTGCTTGAACGTGAGAGGCGGAGATTGCAGTGAGCCAAGATCACGTCACTGCTCTCCAGCCTGGAGACAGAGCAAGACTCCATCTCAAAAGAAAAAAAAAAGTGACAACAACTAAATGCAATGTATGATCCTTTGCTGGATCCTGGACCCAAAACAAAAACAAAAAGGAACTGCATGTGCTGGTGAGAATGTTAAATGGTACAACTGAGTTGGAAACAGTCTGGCAGTTCCTCAAAATGTTAAACAGAGTTACCATATGACCCAGGAATTCCACTCCTAGGTAGATACCCAAGAGAAATGAAAACATATGTCCATGTAAACATATGTTCACTATTGCTCATAGCAGCATTATTCGTAACAGCCCCAAAGTGGAAAGAACCCAAATGTCCAACCATAGATAAACAAAATGTGGTATACCCATTCGATTGAATACTATTCAGATAATAGAGTATCGATTCATGCCACAACATGGATGAGCCTTAAAAACATGACACTGAGAGAAGCCAGTCACGTACATCACACATCATATGATTATATTTATATGAAATGTCCAGGAAAGACAAATCCATAGAGACTGAAAGTAGATGAGTGCTTGCTTTGGGCTAGGAGGTGGGAGTTGGGATGGTGGGAGGGAAGGCAAGTGATTGCTAATGGGTATGGGGTTTCTTTTTAGGGTGATATAAGTGTTCTAAAATTGATTCTCATGGTGGCTGTACAACTCCAAATACAGTAAAAACCAATGAATTGTACACTTGAGGTGAACTGTACAGTATGTAAATTATATCCCAATAAAGCTGTTATTTTTTAAAAACACAACTATGAAGAACTCATTATTAGAACACCTGGGGAAATCTGAAAGTAAACTATGTATTAGATGGTAGTATTGTTATAAATGTTAACTTTATTGAGTCTGACAACTGCATTATGGTTATAAAGGAACACATGTCCTTACTCAGAAGATACCTGCTAAAGTACTATGGCTGATTTATCATAATTCCCTAACAATCTTAAATGACTCAACAAAAAACAGATCTATGTGTGTGTGCATATATGCATTGTGTGTGCCTGTGTGAGAGAACAAGAAAAAGCAAAGGTGCCAATATATTGATAACTGGTGATCTAAGTGAAGGATATACAGGTGTATATTGTACTATGCTTAGTCCTTCTGTAGTCTGAAAATTTTCAAAATAAAAACTTGGAGGAAATACCAGAGAATAAAATTTAGATTTGCAGAGAGAGAGAGAGAGAGATATCACTGCAAGGCTACTATTGAGTATTTTCAAATCACCACATCTTATCCTGAGCAAGAGGTCACTGTTCTGTGCTATGGTAAGATACAAACTATTCCTTCATATATAATAAAATTCCACCTTTTTTCAAAATTAATATAGGGTAAGTGAAGTCTACCAATCATGACAGCAAAGGAAATTAGTGTCTAAATGAACTGTGAGTTACAGGTACCTTTCACTAAGGGGCAGGCAGGTTTTTATAAAAAACCATGTGGTAATCATCAATATGCCATTAAGACTCCTATTACTAGACTTTTAAGAACCATTTTATAAAGATTATCTGGTGCCTAATTAACAAGAAAGAAATTAGACTCAGGTTTAAGATGCTGCTGGTGTTCTGAAATTACTCTGAAAGGTCATTCAAAGAACTTCAAACTTAAAATTTTTCATTCATGTATTTATTCCACAGTCAAAATAAATCAAAATTTAAAGCTATAACATTTTTAAAAGATAAAGGAGAATTTGTGGCACAGCTGCATTAACAAAACAGACACCAGTCTAAAGTGCAACACTAAACAGGTATTCTCTGTTCCCACGGTGGAATAATTACACATAAGATTTCACTAAAGATAGGAGATGAGGCAAATAACCCTTTGAAATTACCTGCCCAACAAATAGAGGCAGGCTACATTAATTTAACATTTTACTGCAAAATGGAAAAAATCCCCGAGGTGACTAACTCAAACTCCTCATTTCATGCACATGACCTTGGCTTCTGTGTTCTTTCCATAGCCACATCCAAATCCAGAAAGGCTCCTGCACCCCATGCTCAAAAATGCAACCTCAAGTCCCTGAGGTCCTCAGCACAGACTGACATTAACAAGCCTGTGTTCAGCCTTCATCCAGAACCTCCAGGGAAATCAGGAGCACAAACACAGAGCAAAGCACCATTTCTTTAAACAATGGCTTTAACTGTCGAATGAGCTCTGACAAGCCATATGCATTTCATAAACAAACCAAAACATCATCTTCATATCTTCCTATTTTTCTTGCAAAAATGTTAAGCCATCCAAGTAAAAAAAAAAATTTTAATTTAACAATGAAAAAGGAACTTCAAAGGGTTTATGCCAAAAAACAAACCAGTCCTCTGCAGCCTAACTCATTTGTTTTTGGGCTGCGAAGCCATGTAGAGGGCGATCAGGCAGTAGATGGTCCCTCCCACAGTCAGCGCCATGGTGGTCCGGTAAAGCATTTGGTCAGGCAGGCCTCGTTTCAGGTAGACGGGCACACCATCAGCTTTCTTGAAAGCAAGAATTAACAAGGGCATGGTTGAGAAGAAAAATATTTTACAATTTTACTCTTAAAAAATAACAAATTTGTCTACTCGGTAAGTAATTCATCAACACATGACAGTGGGAAAAGCACTAATCCATGGAATGCTAGTAGAAGTTCCTATAAATGTAGCTAAAGCTTGTAAATCCAAAGTCATTCTCCAAAATGCTGCCTCAGGAAGCATGCATGCAAAAGATTCCAAATGTCTAAGACATTTATCACATATTGCTTAACTGGAGCATTGGTGCATTTTTTAAAAGGCAAAGGTAATCAGTAGCTAAAAGAAGTGCAGGCAGGAGAGGCTGGGCGCGGTGGCTCACACCTGTAATCCCAGCACTTTGGGAGGCCGAGACAGGCAGATGGCTTGAGCCCAGGAGTTCAAGACCAGCCTGGGCAACATGGCAAAACCCTGTCTCTACAGAATAACTAAAATTAGCCAGGTGTGGTGGTATGCACCTGTAGTCCCATTAGGGACTTCCTATTAGGGAAGCTGAGGTGGGAGGATCGCTTGAGCCCAAGAGGTCAAGGATGCAGTGGGCCATGAGTGTGCCACTACACTCTGGCCTGGGTGACAGAGTAAGGCTCTGTCTTAAAAAAGATAAAAAGAGGTGCTGGCACGAGAAACGTTCTCCATTTAGTTTGGCTTCTGATCATAAGTGGATGGGGTCGGAGTACCTCATGTCAATAGGTTCAAGTCCATTTGGCATTCAACTGCCTTCTTTCCGTCACACTGTTAAACCCATTTAATAATCAAATTCCATGAGATATTTAAATCATCATCTTCATCATCATTTTAGAGACTGGGTCTCACTCTGCTACCCAGGCTAGAATGCAGTGGCTCAATCATAGCTCACTGCAACCTCAAAATCCTGGGCTAAAGTGATCCTCCCGCCTCGGCCTCTGGAGTAGCTGGGGTTACAGACGCGTGCCTATACACTCAGCTAAGTTTTTTTGTAGAGGCAGGGTCTCGTTATGCTGCCCAGGCTGATCAAGCAATCCTCCTACCTTGGCCTCCCAAAGTGTTGGGGCTGCACAAGTGAGCCACCACACCTGGCCTGTTTAACTCATATTTTGCAGTGTCCAAAATCCTTCCCCACCGCACCTTGAGATTCTAAATGCTCTCTCAAACCTTACTTATCAGATAAAAAGAGATTAAACTGATCAAAACAAAAGTGCTCTATCCTCAAGATGGGTCTGGATCTGGACTACTTTTGAGGAGGGGGAAGCTACCTTACAGCAATAGCAGTAGCAAGCACTGCCACTCCCATGGCACCTAAGATTTGGTCAGGTCACTAATTTCTCAATAATTTGCAGGTAGATTCACTTTAAAAACATTTTCAATTCTGATTCTGGATTCTCTACTCATGTGCAAACCCGTAAGCACCTCCTCTACTTTCAGCAATAGCTCAGTGAATTTTAATATCAAGCAAGCAAAAAACAATGAGAAAAAAACCCACTGCCAAGTCATTACATGTGTCACGAAGTCAAATATATATATTGGGTCATTCAGTTATACAGGCTACTCAGTTATTGAGGCTATTGCTTCTTCCATGCAATAAATGATCAAGAGCTATTCATGCCATTTCAAAACCCTCACACCCTTAAATACTAATGAGGAAATTAACCACCCTCCCCTCTTTTATCAGTATCTACCTATATAAAGTTCTATTCGTTTATGGCTCAAACTAAAATCAAGAGAATACTACTTAAAGAAAAAGAAGGAGGGTGGGTAGTAAACTAGATTAAGATTTAGTTTCATAAGGGATTTTTTAAGCCTATTTATTTCACAGGCTTTTCTGTTGTAGAGTATCTTCCCTCACCTGGAAAAACTTTTGTAGCTCTGGAACTTTGTTTTTCCCAGCATAATCATACACTGTGGAATCGGAGGTCAGTTTAGTTGGTGTGGCAAATATGATAGGTGGTGCTTCTGTGGAAACCACAGGCTTTAATCCCTGTAGAGAAAAAAAGGAAAATGGCAAGTTGAAAGTATGTCTGAGGAGGCTGTCTGGAATAGTGGAGGCAGCCATTCAACTACGAGAGAGCAAGAAAGTCTCTCCAACTTTCCCAGAGCAAACCCTGTCAAGAACCCCTTGCCATTACGATTGCAGGGGGCGTGTGAGGGTCAGGGGGACGCCAACAAAGGCCCAATCTGAGCTTCCAGAAATACCTGGTGTGTCTATCTTCTTAGCAACCAGTAAAACATTTATAATCTGTTACGAACTTGTCATTAGCTTTCATGAGGGATCTGTCTGCCATTTTTTTCTTCTAAATGAGCTAATCTAGTAACATGGAATGTCTAACCCCAGAGCAGACTTCAGAAACTTTTCCAGACACACAATAAAGAAATATTCAATGTGGAACAGGCTTACTGGTTTAAAACAAAACTAAACAAACAAACAAACAATACTTGCCTTCCAGGACCAGAAAACAAAATCAAAACAAAAAACTTTTCGAAATGAACTTTTCAGCATAAATAAACACATAAATTGAAAACACATACAGTAAAAATTTAAACAAGGTGAAGGGGAGGAAGTACTGACACATGCTACAACACGGATAAGCCTCTAAAACATTACGCTGAGTCAAAGAAACCAGTCCCAAAGACCACATACTGTATGACGCCATTCACAGCAAAGTCAGAAGAGGGAACCGCAGAGACAGAAGGTAGGTTAATGGTTGCTTCAGGTGGGGGCTTGGGGGCTAGGGAGGTAACAGTTAAAAGGTACATAGGTATCCATTTGAGGTGATTAAAAAAATGCTCTAAAATTAACTGTGGTGGTAGTTGCATATATCTGTGAATACACTAAAAAACCCTAAATTGTACCCTTTAAATGGGCAACTTGTATGCTATGTAAATTATATCTCAATAAAGCTGCTTTAAAAAAAGGTGGGGGGGATCTCTGGTTTTTTTATCTGAAAGGAATAAACCTACAGTGACAAATATATAGAGTAATCCAAAATAACCTGTAAATTAAAATAAGGAGCTAAGAGTTATAAGCCAATAAAAATCCTCCTTTTATGTTAAATTCTAACTAAGAAAAATAAAAATTTAAAGTCAGAAAGCATAATTCAAACCCAGCCTTTTCCTTTTACAGACAAAGAAGGAAACCTCTTGCCCAAATACAGTGATCAGTCCGCTGATTCTTGTCTCAAAGAAATCTAAATTTACCTATAATTGACAGGGCATATTATAAAGATTAGATATTGAAAACCTCAATGCTACTCCCACCAGGCAAGCACTAGATGAACAGGTCAATAAAAAGAAGCATTAAAGTAAACTTGGCTTCTATTTCTTCTGACACAGTACAGTAAATGGGAATGAACCATGGCCTGTTTTCTGTAACGTATTCATTCATTCAACATTTATTACTGATCACTTGCTCTACACTAGAAATACACAATGAATAACATTGCCACAGTCTCAGCCACCATGGATATTAATGTTATAAACCAACAGCAGCTAATATCTATTTAACCCTTGTGAAGTGTCAGTATCATGTCAAACATTTCACATGCATTACTTCACTTAATTCTGACAGCAACCCTATGAAGATATTACTATTCCCATTTTTCAGAGGAAAACACTGGAGAGAGAATAACTTGCCTTTGATCAAATAGTGAAAAGCAAGTCAAGTTTTCAAACTCAGGCCTTTCTCAAGTCCAGAGCCCTGGCTTTTAAGTATTCCACAACTCACACCCCACCCTCCCAATCAACTATTGCTTAAAAACAACAGCCCATTTAAAGAGAAAGTTTGGTCAGTAAGATGTTGGCCTACATTTAGAAATACAACACACTCAAAACAGAGACTCAGAGGAGTCAGAGAGGCAAACAGGGGCTCTACTATCAAGATCAAAAGGCTAACAAGAATCATGGTTTGAACTGGATGGAGAATGTTAGATACTCCTTTATATCATTCTGTGAGCTCACCATATTTTCTCCTTGAAATGCAAAAATTTCTTCTTGAATGCAAAAATGTAAAAACTCTTTCTACCAAGGATCTCCAAAAATGGCTTGAAAGTAAATTCATGTTTCGACAGGACTAATGTGAGAGTATTTTTGAAGGGATTGTATTTGTTTGTCCAAGCATGCAGTGATTCAAAACTACAGCAAAGTTTTTGAACAGTATCATCTGAAAACAGGAATACCAACCATCTTAATTTTAAATTAATTCCGTATTTCCCTTTATAATATTGTAAAAGTTTATAGAATTGAAGTTACCTATAATCTCATTATCTCATCCCATTAATTGTTATAAATTGTAACTTTTCCTCCAATGTTTATTCAGGTTTAATAATTTAACAGTCACAGTGTAAAATCCTACGTTCTTTTTTTTTTTTTTTTTTTTTTTTTTGAGACGGAATCTCGCTCTGTTGCCCTGGCTGGAGTGCAGTGGTGCAATCTCGGCTCACTGCAACCTCTGCCTCTCAGGTTCAAGCCATTCTCCTGTCTCAGCCTCCTGAGTAGTTGGGACTACAGGTGCACGCCACCACGCCCAGCTAATTTTTGTATTTTTCATAGAGACTGGGTTTTGCCATGTTGGCCAGGCTGGTCTCGAACTCCTGACCTCAGGTGATCCACCAACCTTGGCCTCCCAAAGTGCTGGGATTACAGGCGTGAGCCACCACACCCGGCCCATTCTGTTTTTTTTCCTTTTTGAGCTAGGCTCTTGCTTTGTCACTCAGGCTGGAGTGCAGTGGCGTGATCCTGGCTCAGGAGCTATCCTGAAACCTCCCAGGCACAGCCATGTTCCCTCTGCCTAGAATGATCTTCTCCAGGTATCCACGTGGCTTATACCCTCACCTTCTTCAGGTCTTTACCCAACCCCATAAGTCACCTTTTCAGAGAGATCTTTCTGACCACCCTTTTAAAAACTGCATGTCCTCCCCCTTGCCCTACTAACAACTTACCCTCTTTATTTTTCTCCACAGCACTTATCACCACCTAACATACTATGTTTTACTTTGCTTACTGTGTCTCCCCCCACTATAATGGAAGCTCCACAAGCACAGGATTTTGGCACATCTTGTTCACTGCTCCTATATTCCAAGACTTAGAAAAGCAACCGGCAGAGTAAGCGCATTCAGTAAATATAGGCAGAATGTTCAAATAAACTAAAGAAGGCTATAGCTTCACAGTGTAGGTTTGAGTATCTCAGAAACAAAGTCTGATCAACTGGCATTTGATGGCAGGGCATCCACAATTCCCATAGCAATAAGAAAACAACTGAAAGCTGTTCTTATAAAAAGTGGACAGGCTGGGCGTAATGGCTCATGCCTGTGGTCCCACCACTTTGGGAGGCTGAGGTGGGAGAATCACTTGACTCAGGAGTTTGAGATCATCCTGGGCAACGTAGTGAGACCTTGTTTCTACAAAATATCAAAAAATTAGCCAGGTACAGTGGTGCACACCTGTGGTCCCAGCTACTTAGGAGGCTGAGGTGGGAAGATGACTTGAGCCCAGGCGGTCGAGGCTGTAGTGAGCTGTGATCACGCCACTGTACTCCAGCCTGGGCGACAGAGACTCTGTCTCAAAATAAAATTAAAAATAAGTGGCCCATAGATCAAGAAAAATCACATACTTTACTTTTTAATACTGAATCTCTTAGCTGCTTAAATAAGCCCCACCTCCAAAATTAATTACGAGCCATTCAACCTTAACCACGTTTAGTAATTAAGTTCTTCCTAGTTTATTTCAATTGCTCCAAATTTTTAAAGAGAAAAGTAAACATGATTTTCCCTCTAAAAGTTGGTTGTAACATTTTCCTTTTCTTCTACCTCTTAGGTTTGGGGAAGAGGGTGGAGAGAAAAGAGGATCCCCATAATTTTAATTTTTAAATGATAGAAATGTATGAACTTTTCCACTGTGATTTAGGACTGGAGACCAGTTTCAATCTGCAGTGACTCAATTCATTTGGCTTTTTGTTTTGTTTTGTTTATAGATAGATCTTACACTGTCACCCACGCTGGAGTGCAACGCATTGATCACAGCTCACTGCAGCCTCAATCTCCTAGGCTCAAGTGATCCTTCCGCGTCAGCCTCCTGAGTAGCTAGGACTACAAGTACGCTTCACCATACCCAGCTAATTTTTCTTATTTTTTTTTTAGAGACGGGGTCTCACTTTGCTGCCCAGGCTGGTCTCAAACTCCTGGCCTCAAGCAATTCTCCTGCCCTGGCCTCCGGAAACACTGGGATTACCAGTGTGAGCCACCGCACCTGACCTCTATTTATTTCTAACGGTAAGCTAGACATCACCACCTACCTCCATGTCCTTCTGACACCTCACACTCATCATGTCCAAAATTCACTCCTAAGCCCATTCAGGAACACCCTGTCACTGTGAAAAGCACCAATTCACCAATCATGCTGAAGCCCTCCCTCCTCATCCCCAACATCTGTCTCATCTGAAAGGACAAACTACCACAACTCTGCATCAAGTTGCTCTGCAACTTCCTACTAGTGCCTCACAAAATTAAGTCCTTACATACTAGGCCCTTCATGATTTACCTCCATCCTCCACAGTCAAACTTACCTACCCAATGCTTCTCCTCCAGACCCCCTCCCTTCCTTCACTCTCACAGTTCCCTTTACCTAGAATACCATTCTGCCATCTTAATTGGGAGAGGAATTCCTAGATCACACAGTAAAATTACGTTTCCTTTTTTAACAAACTGCCAAACTGTTTTCCAAAGTGGCTGCGTCATTTTACCATTTCCACCACAAATGTAACATGTTTCGTTTCTCTACATCCTCACCAATACTTGTTATCATCTGTCTTTTTGATTCTAGGCATTCTGGTGGATACTAAATGGTACCTCATTGTGGTTGTGATTTGCTCTAATAACTGAAAATGTTAAACATCTTCATGTGCTTATTGGCCTCAATTTATTTTTGACGCAATTCAGAGAAAGGTAAGGAAGATGCCTTTCAACCAATGGAAAATGCCATCCCACCAACTGCTTGCTGTCAAGCTGACTTACAAATCTCTACCTGTGCAATTGTTACAGAACCACCTTTTCCATATTATGTTATTTAGTGCATGGCAAATTATTCACTTTACTTACTACTACAAATTACAAACATCTTCATCGTATGTTTCCAGGAAAGGAAAAAGCTGAAGTACTCCTAATTACCAAAGTCAGAGCACCTAGTTGGGAGGGCACCTGTCACAATCACTCAGAAATTTACAATTCATATAAAGCCTACACAGTATCACTTCTTTTCAACATAGTTTAAGAAATCTTTAAGTAACTAAGAAGTTCAAATTCTCAAGAGAAACACGATTCACGAGGAGAGGTACTAGAAATCTGAAAGCCCTATCTATATCAAACTCATCGCAAGGTAATCTCTGCTGAGCGCCCATTTTATTACAATATGCCAGTTTTTAGTCGAAAAATTTACTTTTTTCTTACTAAGCAACAAAACCTAGATTATGCTGAAGATATATTAAAAGAACATAAACCAAGTGTGGTGGTACACATCTGTAACCCCAGCCACTCAGGGGGCTGAGGTGACAGGACTGCCTGAGCCGGGGAGTTCGAGATCAGGCTGTGCAACACAGCAAGAACCTGTCTCAAAAAATATTTTAAAAAAATAAATAAAAGAACATCTACTACCACCAACAGAATAAACTGTGATATATTTATAAAATGAAATCCCACAGAAGAATAAGAGGATAAAAGGAATTAACTACTGATACGTACAACACGGACTAACCTCAAAAATATTTTTTGAGCAGCCAGACACGGCGGCTCACATCTGTAATTCCAACATTTTCAGAGGCAAAAGCAGGACGATTACTTGAGCTCAGGAGTGAGTCTACAGTGAACTGTGACTGTGCCATTGCACTCCAGCCTGGGTCAGAGCTGGTTCCATTTACATGAAGTTCAAAAAAAGGCAAAACTATCTATTTATGATGATAAAAGTCAGAATAAGAAGGTGGCAGGGATTGACAGAGGGTACAAGGGAACTTCCTGGGATGATGTAACATCTTGCATATTGAGGGAGGTGTGGTTATACAGTACATGGGTTTGTCCAAACTCATCAAACTGTAACATTTAATATCCATACACTGGAGAATACATTTCATAGAAGCAGATGATAGAAATGGCCATTTTCTCACATAATCTGTAAAAGAAGTGCAACACTGCTGACTATTCCTTCCTTACAAGTCATTACCAATTCGGTTTCAGTGAGACCACACTGGTTTCCCTTCTCATCCGGACTATTCTTTAAACACATTCTCCTTCTCCACCCTTCCCTCATGTTTCTATACTCTAACTATAATCCAACCTTTCTTCCCTACAAATTACCACCTATGGGCTGAAGACACCCAAGTTTATTAAACTCCATATTCAA
The DNA here is from genome assembly GCF_000001405.40 of Homo sapiens. NCBI lineage: Eukaryota > Metazoa > Chordata > Mammalia > Primates > Hominidae > Homo > Homo sapiens. The sequence goes on from NC_000002.12 coordinate 42,359,748, forward strand.
AAATCTAGCTGCTACCAAGCATGACATATCACAAACTCAACATTTATAAACCCTAAACTCTTCCTTCCCGTTCCCACCGCAACTCCCCCACTAACCCCCGAAAAAAAAAAAAAAAACTTGCCCTTCTTATCTGAGATTAGAATCATCTGTTTTTGTTTTTAGAGACAGGGTCTCACTATGTTGCCCCAGGCTGATCTCAAACTCCTGGGCTCAAGCGACCCTCGGCCTCGGCCTTCCAAAGTGCTGTGATTTACAGGCGTGAGCCACGGTACCAGACCTGAAATCTTTCTTAAACATCTGCCTCTTGGGCAAGCTGCAGTGTCCCACAGAAAAAGGAAATGAAGCAACAGTAATGGAGTATCCTTTACACCTCATCTGGGCCCCTCACTACTGCAGTCTAACTGCGTATCTCACCGACACTTCCCACACTTCTCTAGAGGATTAGGAGGGAATATACTATCTCAGACAGCTTCTGGTGAACAGTTAACACTTATCCAGAACCAACCACCTGCCCAAACTGCTAGTCACTTGACACACTTCATTTAATGTGTACTAACGCCGCCCTGGATGAAACTGAGCTCACAATAAATTAAATAACTTGGCCAAGGTCACACAATTAAAGCGGAAAACGCCATGATTTGAAAAGGCACGTCTGGGGCTCTAAAATCCCTCATGTTTACCCCCAACACATGCTGGAGAGTCAAACTCCAATTGGTAGAATCTGCGTGAAATGGAATACTTTTCAGACAACCCAAACAACGAGCATCTGTCAAATATTTTACAATCGGGAAAGTGTAACCTCGCTGCATGCAACTTCCCTCCCTGGACGTGTTAAGTAACCTGTTAAATTTCCCAACCCAGATCATAGCCCCCCAACCCCCTGCACCATGGTTTCTCTAAACGCCTTTATAGCCCCGCGCTCTCTAATCTCGAGCTCAAGTGAGGCTGCCTATGGGGCTCTGGCAGATGACAAACGACAAGGAGGCCGAAAGCCAGATGTCTTCGAATTGAGGGAGAAGGCCGGACCTCTGACTCGGGTCACACTGGGGACCCCCACAAACCATCCCTTTTAGACAAGTGACCCCGGGGGTCACCTTGACCCCTGCAGTGAGCCAGACCAAACTTCCACGCCAGGCCAGCCCCCGCCAGGTGAGCAGGTACACAAAAAGAAGCCTCAGTGACCACCGTACGCTGGTGTGGAGAGGCCCCGGGAGGTGCAAGGAGAACAGAGACGAACTCGACCGCGGGCAGAAGCCTCCCCTGGCTCCAACGCCGCGACTGCCTGTCGCCGAGGCTAGGGCCGCCACTTCTCATGTCCGAGCTGGCCAGGCGCCACTCGTACCTGCGGGCTATAGGCCTCCGAAGCCCATGCTCCTGCCAACTTCTGCGTGAAGCCACTAAACTTGTAGTACATGACGCCCAGAGTCCGGCTTCCCGCATCCGCTGCCAACGCGACCGCCCCAGAGAAGGACCCCGCCTCCCCGGCTGTGGTCCCGAGACTCAGCGCAAGGACCCGGTGCTGGGACTAGGGCTGCCCGAAGATCGCCTAACTTAAAACCTGCACACTTAAGCCGCATTGGGGAACCAAAAGCCAGGGTTCTCAGGACCACGAAAGGCAAAACCAGCTCTAAGAGAGCACGCAAAGTCGCTGTGGCGGAGTCTGTAGGAAATATGAAGTTCCCTCTTTCCCCCATTCAGATTTGGGCAGTGCCACGACAACTCAAGAAATGCGCAAGCGCTCCACGGACTAAGCCCGGCGGACTAAGCCCGGCAGTGTCGGAGTCAGGTGGAGCATGCTTTAGGAGGGGCGGGCTCCAGGCGGGGCCTGGGGGGGAGAGGGCGGTGATTGGTGGGCGTGGTCTGGGTAGGGGCGGGGCTACATCGAAGCCGGTTGGGAATTCCACCATCCGAGAGAGTCTGTGCTGCGGAGCCACCGTCTGGTCGTCGGGTTGAAGGCGTCTCTTGCTTTACCGAACTTTAACTGATCGTAGTCTCATTTATTTCCTTCCGACCTAGAGCACCTCTTATCCAGAAGCCACCACCTGCTGTTGCTCAGTCTGCCCAGGAGTATAGACTTGTCGGCCAAGCTTCCCCTGGCAACCTGGGAGTTGAAGCAAATAAGAAAATTTGGAAGCACCTGCTGAAGGCTGTTTAGTACCCAGGGCTGTTGGGAGATTTGCCCCAATAATATAAAAGTAGCCTCCTGGGCTTTGTGCAGAGGAAATACACATGCAGAGTGATCTAAAGCTCAGGTACCAGGATGTAAATGTCACACGGTTTCTCAGAACTGGTTTTTATTCTCACCTGAGTTTTAAGGTCATTGATTATTCATCCTTTTCCTGGCCTCTGCTCTTTGCGATAAATGAGGTAGGGGGAGGGTGATCAGAAACACTTGTAAAATCTGGACCTTGAGCCTGAAAGATCTGGAACTACCACTTTCAGTTCTGGTAGTATTCGCTTCAGTTCAATTTAAATATGTCTGTTAAGCCTGTGCTGTGTGCAAGGTACTGTGTAAAAGGAGTATACTAGTTTCTTACTCTCCAGGGATGGACTCAGGCTTTTCTTAGCTTCATCATCTAACCATAGGTTTACACAAGCATATTCTAGATGCACTTATGAAATCATGTTGCAAATTGATGGATGATACTAACCTATATATAGCATTGCCCTAAACTCATTTAATCTTCACAACAATCCTATAAGGTAAATGCTATTATCATCTCCATTTTAGAATACAGGAAAATGACGCCTGGAGAAGCTAAGTAACTTGCTCAGGTCAGGGATAAGTGGCAGAGCTAGGCATTTGGCTCAAGACTTCCTACTGTTAAGCACTATGTTACAAATAAATAGATATGAAGCCATTCTGAAAAGAGGAGGATCAAGGCTGAGCATTCCAGGGTGAGGGTGTACACCAGCATCCTGGTTGCAGGCTTACGTTCAAGAGCCCCAAGTATTCAGCACCGCCAATATGTTGTAAAGGTTTCAGCGAATTCATGTAAGCCAGCCCAAAGTTGCCACTTTTACAAAGAGACACTGTGATATAATGGAAAGAACATGCAATTTGGGTTTATGTCCATATTTCTCCAAGGATAAGTGGTTTGGGACTAGTGATTTCCTTTTTTTTTTTTTTTTTTTTAAATTCTTTTTGAAACAGGGTCTCACTCTGTCCCAGGCTGGAGTACAGTGGTGTGATCTCGGCTCATTGCAGCCTTGACTTCCCAGGCTGAGGTGATTCTCCTACCTCAGTCTCCCGGGTAGCTGGAACCACAGATGCGCGCCACCACGCCTGGCTAATTTTTTGTATTTTTAGTAGAGATGGGGTTTCACCATGTTTCCCAGGCTAGTCTCAAACTCCTGGGCTCAAGTGATCTGCCAAACTCAAGACTCCCAAAATGCTGGGATTACAGGCATGAGCCACCGTGCCAGGCCCACCCCATGTTTTGATACTGAATAGATTCAGGAAGATTTTTCTACGACAAAAAGTTCGACTACCTCAAAAGAAAATGATCCATTGACATTAGCCTTCTTGAGTCCCAGGCGCTAGCAAATATTGAGTGAAAGAAAAAGCCTTTCATAGAGTTTAGATTGAAAAGAGAAATTAAATGATTTGGGACAGCTACTGTCTCCATCCCACTGACTTCTGGACATATTTTGGAAGAAGAAACGAAAGAATATTCTCTAACTTTTAGCAGCACTAAGGTGTACCAGCTTCTTTTATAAGGTGCCTGTCAACACTGGTTATTTTCTTAAAGTTCCTGCCATCTGATTTTAGATCCTGCAAGACATAAATTAAGAATCCTGAAAATGTTACAACAGCCAGGCTGTTCAGTGGGAGATAAAATGTCAGTAGCAGAGTGTGGGTTGGGATGTCACATGGAATGGCTGATCATGGGAAGATTTTGTCTCATTTCCCAAATAAAACACAGCACACTCTGACAGTACTAAGGCACCCTATTCTCATTCGTATTTGCATATCCCATCCAACATCAAAGACAATCTTTTTTTATCACGATCCCTTCAGGTTGTTCCCCACATTCTATTCTGAAGGGAAGTGACCACGACTCAGAGTAGAGAAGCTTGCCAATCACCAGGTGAACTGAGTGAGTGCAAATGCCAGTCCAGCTCCTGGTGAATCTGAATGCCGCTGCTTCTCCATTTGTGAGGGGTGTGTGCTAATGGCCTCTGGCAGGCCGCTCTGTGAAAGCGCCTGGGGAATGGATGGAAAACCAACATAAAATTTAAATTGGGTAATACTGAGTAGAGATAGGAACCAACTGTGAAATAGTTGTTAATTTTTTAAATTCTCTCATTTTTTCCAAGCTGACTTTTAAAAAATTGACAGTGATATAAAAAATTAGCCGGGCGTGGTAGCGGGCGCCTGTAGTCCCAGCTACTCGGGAGGCTGAGGCAGGAGAATGGCGTGAACCCGGGAGGCGGAGCTTGCAGTGAGCCGAGATCGCGCCACTGCACTCCAGCCTGGGCGACAGAGCGAGACTCCGTCTCAAAAAAAAAAAAAAAAAAAAATTGACAGTGGGTCTGGCAGAGATAAAAAAACATGTAGGCCTGCAGGAGTTGAGGTCATTGTGGGCTCCCGTTTCTGAAGGATTTTGCCCATTCTACGGTAGTTTCCCTGAGGGAAAATGGAACATACATAGTGCAATGTTATAGTGAAGTGTTACCTTTTCCATTGTTGTTTATGTCTACTCTCTCTTTTTACATTTTCCCAACATTTAAAACTGCTTGATAACCCCAAGAAAAGCATCCCCAGTAAAATACTGGAAAGCAAAATGGAGTGCTAAACTCACTTTATGATATTCAGAATGATGACACCTGCCATGCAATTATTCGGTAATTTTCATGTGGCAGAAATCTCAGCTGTCATCTCTTACTGTTTTTGTCAAATAAAGCCCTATCTGGTGTGGAAATTTTATCTTCCAAGCCTGAAACCTAGATTATATTGATATTGAAAACCAAATCTTTCTTAAAGCATGGTGTTTTCATAGCTAAAGAGCTGAGGGTCTGAATGGCTCATTTCTCACCCAAAGGAGGGGAAATGGCAGCTGGGATTGCAGTTGCCGGGACAGCTTTATTGCGGTACAGGATGAACATATTGACATCAACTCCCTACTCTGACCTTCTCGTTGTTGAATGTCAATACAGTGTGTGAAACTGCCTCACTTTTGCCTGCCTGCTTTTCCTTATGTGCAAGTCAAAAGCACATCCACAGAGAATATGGATTTAACTCAATTTTGACACATCACATTTCATCTCACTGGTTAAGAAAGGCTGAGGTATGACTCATAATTTATTTTAAATCATTTTAAATACACTTAATTATGCATAGAAAAAAGTTGAGATCCAAAACCAGAGTCATGCTATTTTACATTGACATCATCTGTAAAATTACAGTACACACAGTTGTCTTATGCATAGAATGAAAGAATTAGCAGTGGCCTCCAGTTTGGGGGACGGGTGGTGGTTTCTCATCATTGAGGATTCCCACTCTCTACCTCACATACATCTGCAGTGTTGAAATATTTCACAGTGAGCATACATGAGTTCTGTAAGCCCACATACACACACAGAAATACAAAGTCGGTTGGGCACGGTGGCTCACACCTGTAATCCCAGCACTCTGGGAGGCCAAGGCAGGTGGATCACCTGACATCAGGAGTTCGGGACCAGCCTTACAAACATGGTGAAACCCCATCTCTACTACAAATACAAAAATTAGTTGGGCATGGTGGCATGCATCTGTAATCCCAGCTACAGGTGAGGCTGAGTCAGGAGAATTGCTTGAACCCAAGAGGCAGAGGTTGCAGTGAGCCCAGATCATGCCACTGCACTCCAGCCTGGGCGACAAGAACAAAACTCCGTCCCGAAGAAAAAAAAAAAGAAAGAAATTACACAAAGTCCACCAAAAACATACAAATTAGAATTTTAAAAATGCTTTCATGTACTTACACCCCCAAATTACCAGGTAATTTAGAATGTTCTTTAATCACCTCCTGCGTAGATGTGAGGGGCCTCTTAAGTGACAGTGTCCAAGTGTTAGGCCACAGGAAGGGTGACTAAAGGGCCATTCTGCCCATTACAGTTAACACTATAGTGGTTCTTCTTCCTAGCGCTGTTGGAGAAAAGAATGAATGAATGAACAAATGAATAAGAACAAACATATCACCTCCACACATTGCTGGGAGAAATGAGCAACCACTCTGGGTAGTTACTTACATTAGTGCCCAGACAGCCATGGAAATTAGTGATCAAGTGGAAAAGATTAAGAACCATACACCTGGGTCTTAAGGAGGCTAATGTCAATGGATCATTTTCTTTTGAGGTAGTAGAACTTTTTGTCTATAGAAAAGCTACCTGAATCTATTCAGTAACAAAACAAGGGGCGGGCTGGGTGTGGTGGCTCACACCTGTAATCCCAGCACTTTCGGAGGCCAAGACCAGCGGATCACTTGAGTCCAGCAGTACGAGACCAGCCTGGGCAACATGGTGAAACCCCATCTCTAAAATACAAAAATTAGTCGGGCGTGATTGCACACCTGTAGTCCCAGCTACTTGGGAGGCTAAGGTGGGAGGATCACCTGAGCCCAGGAGGTTGAGGCTGCAGTGACCCAAGATCGTGCCATTGCACTGCAGCCTGGGTGACAGAATGAGACCCTGTCTCAAAAAAACAAAAACATAGGGTGCTCTGCTAGCCATTGAAGGTCAGGATGTCCAGATTCCAACCCTGCACTAGATTTATGACCTTTGGCTAGTTCCTTAACATCTCTTAGTCACAAGATAAAATTTTCAGTTTAACAGGGTGATTGCAAAGATTAAATAAGATGGTATGTACTGAAAAAGCTTAAAGAAAATATGTAAATACCTGGAAGTCTATATAGGAAATACATTTTGTAAAAGTAGTAAAACTGGATCTGCAGTCACTGATATTGCCCAAAAATTAATTTAGCATGATGTAAAGCATTAGAGTTTTGAGTCTAGTCTATGTTTGTATAAAGTTAGCTGGTTATAAGAAAAATTATAATCTACAAATCTCTCCATTTCCCCAGCCCCCTTCCCTTTCTCTCTCTCTTGTTCTTCCCTCTTCAGCCTCCCTTCCCCAGAAGTAGTAACTATTAGTTAAGGCTGTGGGACAGTCAGACTAGAGCTGTCAGGTGGATCCTGGTATGAAAACAGCCATCAAAGATAAGGAATCTGTATAAAGCTTGAAGACCAAAGAGAGGAGTTGGGTATCCCACTAAAATACCAGCCAACCTTTTAGCATTGGCATTAAATTTAAAAATCAGATCACTTCCAAGTGCCAAATACATAATTTTACTTGCTTCCCCTTTCTCCTCAGATTCTCAGATGGTGGAGATTTGGCATTTCTTTAAGTTTCTGCTCCATAGAAACTGAAAGTCATGGCCCTAAGATCTGCCTTCTGAAGAGGGTGACAAGTACATAGGCTGTACCTGACTAACCTGGGTCTGGATCCCAGATCTTCCTACTGACAAGCTCAGTTACCTTGAATAAGTTACTTCCCCACTCTGAGTCTCAGAGGTGAAATGATGTTCTAAATCAGAGGATTAGCCACGTATTACCAGGTAGCAAAGGTACCAGCGTGTGTCCACTAGTGCCTAGGCAAGGCCTGCCAAGTGATTCCAAAATGGCTAACTTGGGGAGGAGAGCTGGGGTCTTCTCCCGAGAAATGGACAGGTCTGTAGTCTAGGAAACAAAACCTATAAAGAAAAAAAAAGCTAGGAGGAAGTTATCAATCAGTGAAAAGTATCTAATGGAAGGCAAATCTCCTCCTTAAAAGAAAGGGAACTGGAGAGGGTATGACATTCCCAAAAGCACAACTGAGAAACTTGGAAAGCCCAAGTCAAGGGGCACTGGCCCTGGCCCTGGAACTTCCAGCGACACGCCTGCCGTTAGCATGGCTGTGCCCTCCACTGACCACCGATTGGCACTCTGAGCCAGGGGAGAAATTTGCTGAAAAGCAATTCCAAACAACCCAGGGGTTTCCAGCAAAAGACTTATGCTGAAGCTCAGCTTTCTGACAGCAGGGAGAGCCCAATGCAGACAGGATTGCTGGCGTTTCATTGTATGATCCTCACATCTCTTCCACCCCCAAACTGCAAGGCTACCGTGTCCTCTTCCCTGGCACCACTCCTATACCCTAACAGCCCACAGATGCATATTGGAGAATAACCACATCTATTTTAATTTAAACCATGGCAAAGGTAAAAATCAAATCAAGGTGTTTGTGTTTTCTCCCCCTGGGAAGAAGCAAGCACTCTGTAACACACATAGCCTTGTTTCGGCACAGATGTCAGGAATGCAGAGCCTGTAAATCTGCCCAGGCAGTTCTGTTCTTGAATCATTAAGAACAACCGAGTGGGTGGAACAAGAACATGAAATTGCTGTGTGCACTCATGTTTTGTTTATGGAGCAATCATTTCTAGATGTGTTTTCTTTTTTTTATGAAGAATCTTTTCTATGTTTGCCTTTTAACACCCCACCTTCCTTCCTGTCCCCAGCTCTCCCACACCCACTAAAAAGAAATATTGAGAGCATTACAAAAATCTCTGTGAATTTAAAGAATGGGTTACATTAAATGTCTCTCTAAAGCAATTCCATTTATTTAGTCAAAATAAATGATTTAGTAATATGAATAACACAGGTAACAGTTGAATATCAACAGTGTGTTTGTTTAAAAAGCTCATAACAACTGTTCCCTAATCATAAAAATCACTTTCCTTTTTCCACCATTGTGCAATGAGGACCTTGTTAACCCAGTGAATTGAAAGTTCTTGTGATGCTAATTATCAGCAGTATTTAATTAGTGGCTTATGTATCTGCCACAAGATTCTTCACTTCACTGAGCCTCAGTTTATCTATAAAATGGGAATGATATCTACTTTGTGAGGATTGAGTTTATTCATATGAATGCCTAGGACACAGTAAGCACTCATTAAACTGCAGCAGTTACTGTTATTACTAGTAGTTGCAGCAACTGAGCAGACTGGATGGAGTAGGATTTTGCCAAATCTTATCAATCCTCTTCTCCAGTAGACCCCAACCTTGGCACATAGCAAGCACCCAGTAAATGGTAGCTCTTAGACTTACCAAGTCAATAACAACTCCAGTTAGTGCCCCAGGCTTCTCACATCCCCAGCAGTTTCCGTCCATCTCCCGACCTCCCTGGCTGCTTTCCCCACCGCTCCCAGAAGGGAAGTGTGTGGTAGCTCTGCTGCTGTGTTTACCATTCTGGGCGGGTCTCACTTTATTGTGTTTTCTCCCACTGTTTTTGGCTTCCCTGCATTGTCCTGCCTGGCACACGCCCCAGCCATGTTCTCTGTGGCCTATCACCGTGATGTCCTCCTGTTTTGGGCATCTGCTTGCTGCTACAGGCAGAACATGGTGGCATCAGGTGGCTTTAAAAGAGGGAGAGATTGCATTAAATTTTTTCTCAGGAAAATGAGCTTGGTTTAAAAAAAAAAAAAAAAGTGTTCCATGGAACAGATCTAATAACTTAGCTCCCTAATAATTTTTCCTCTGCTTGCTTTAATTGCAAAGGATTCTTCCACAAACAGTGGAGTATTATTGCTTTTCAGTAGGCTAATGAGACTGCCTGTACACAGTGTTTTTCAGGCTTTACCCCCAACACGAAAAGGCACCAAGGAAACTTCCCCAGCAAGGACAGGGCTGGTCCTAGAGAAGACCTAGGAGACTCAGTGGGTGCCATGGGCCTTCAAATCATGCTTTCCCCAGGAGGGTCTTACAAGTCTCCACAAGAGGCACTTTGCCTTTTGTTCTGAAAGCCTGCCCAGCCAGCACTTAGTGTCCAGGACAAGGTCTTAACCACAGCAATCCAAACCAGGTTACCAGGCCTACTTTCTTCAGGCTCTGGGACTGCCAGGGGCTGTCCATCTCCAGCTAAGCACACTCTAGGAGCTGATCAAATTAGAGAGCTGGGGGAGGGGTGGTATAGACTCTTCTAAGAGAGCTGTAATGCTGTCAATCAACTAGCACTTAATTTCCGGTGGGTTGTAAAAGTGCCATGTATCCTGCAAGCTTCAGGGTGAGTAGCCCGGTAGGATTCTAAGTTAAATGATGCGAGAAGAATAACTCTTGGTGAGGATTTTGCACCTCAGAATTAAAAACAAAGCAAAAAAGACCAAACCTATATTGATTGCAAATATTGTGGGAAGGAATTTCTTTCCAATCTATTTCCATTAAATTCCCTTGATGACATCACATGTCACCTGAGTTGACAGCCACTGGAGGCCTGCAACTGTTCAGCACCCATCATGGGCACAAATGGAACTTTGCTACCATGCCCTTATGGGGCTGGGCCTCTGCAGGCTGCTCAGTTTTGACACTGTCGTGCCCGTAAGGGGATGGTCCCCAGGGAAAATGGATAGAGTCAGCTGAAAAGGTAATGGGGTGGATGGAACTGGGGCAGTTAGGAGGGGACAGCAGCAGTGGCCCTGGAACAGTGAGGCAGTTGGTGGAAGGAGGCCGGAGGCTGGTCTGCTGCCATCAGACATTTATACCATCTCCTGGCCTTGCAGAACTCTGATTCAGAAAATCATGGGGTGGCCGGGTACGGTGGCTCACGCCTGTAATCCCAGCACTTTGGGAGGCTGAGGCGGGTGGATCATGAGGTCAGGAGATAGAAACCATCCTGGCTAACACGGTGAAACCCCGTCTCTACTAAAAGTACAAAAAATTAGCTGGGTGTGGTGGCGGGCACCTGTAGTCCCAGCTACTCAGCAGGCTGAGGCAGGAGAATCATTTGAACCCAGGAGGCAGAGGTTGAAGTGAGCCGAGATCGCGCCACTGCGCTCCAGTCTGGGCAACAGAGCGAGACGCCATCTCAAAAAAAAAGAAAAAGAAAAAAAAGAAAATCATGGGGAACTTTTCATTTCTAAGAAAGGCCATGAAATAAAGAAACAACATCATGTAACCCTGTAGAAGGAGCATTGGTGTTAAATTCCTTACAGGATGCAAAAATGCTGTTCAATAAGTTTTACCAAAAATGCACAGTTAAATTCAACAATAAAAGTAGATGAGCAGTGCTGTCCAATAGAATGTTCTCTGATGATGGTCATGTTCTGTGCCTGTGCTGGCCGGTATGGTGGCCACCATCCACATGTGGCTACTGAGCCTTTGGAATGTGTCTAGTGCAACTGAAGAACTGAATTTTTAATTTAATTTTAACATAGCCACATACAGCTAGTGGCTATATTGGATAACACAGGTGTAAGGAGATTAAGGTGTGAAGGAGAAAGCCAGTGTAAGAGCAGCCTTCCTATTTGTCCAAGTCCCGAAAGAAGGAGATCCAGGCTGGGTGCAGTGACTCACGCCTGTAATCCCAGCACTTTGGGAGGCTGAGGCAGGAGGATTTCTTGAGCCCAGGAGTTTAAGACCAGCCTGGGCAACATAGCGAGACCGCGTCTCTGCAAAAACCTTAAAAAATTAGTCAAGTGTGGTGGCACGTACCTGTAGTCTCAGCTACTTGGGAGGCTGAAGTGAGAGGATTACTTGAGCCTGGGAGGCAGAAGTTGCAGTGAGCCAAGATTACACCACTGCACTCCAGCCTGGGGAACACAAGACCCTGTCTCAAAAAAAAAAAAAAATAAAATAAGGCCAAAAACAAAAAAAAAGAAGAAGAAGGAACTCCACCTTATTTGCTAATGAGTTCAGACTACAGGAGTAAAATAATTTCAATTTGTTTTGAAAAGTGCTTTATTTCCTGTCTAAATGTTGAACCATAATAGCTTCTCTTTTTTATAATTTCAGTGGGGAAAATACCATTATATGCTTCTGGAGATTAGAAGTACCATCCTCAGCATGTGCCCACCATTAATAGCTTCATCTTTTAGCCACATAGGGTTTTTGCCTCTGTAGGCTTCTAACATATTACGGTTTTTATAGCCAGAGGCATAGGCAAGTTCTTCTATTGCTAATGACAGGTCCGTTTCTCACCCTAATTTAGGCAACCACTCTATCCAACAGTTCACTGCATTTCAACATTTCTGATTTGTGACGTGGCGACTTATTCCTCTGAGAAATGTTTCGCATGCTGCTGCTTGTTCAGCAACCAGTTCATATTCGCAGATCTGAGCGCCATCCCTGGGCCTGGGTGAATCCCCTGAAGATAAAGTGGCCTCTGTCCTGAGACGGTGGGCACCAGGGAAGGAGCAGTACACAAGTCTTTCTGGCTGCCCACTCACAGCCCAATCTCCCAGCAAGCCCCGCGGAGCAGGCCCTGAAGCCCTGGTCTCACCCCTTGCAAGGGGCAAAGGTCAAGCCAAGGGGTCACAGGTAAGGGGAAGCAAAGTGTTTTTAAGCAGGGCACAGGTGGGCAGCAGCAGACCAAGCTCTGGGAAGAAGGGGAGGAAGAGGGAGATGAGACTTTTCAGGTTAAGAACAAACAAGGGAAAGATTCAGTAAGCAGGCAGCTGGGAGCCACATGTCTGGGCCAAACAACAAGCTTTTAAAAATCCATAAAGGGCAAGCACTGCATAACAGCGCTCTCTGATGTCAGAGTTCTGCCCTGGCCTTGTGAAAAGCACCAAGGACTCACCCTGCAGCAGCCAGTCCCTAAATAGTGGGGTGGGGGCTGGTATATCCCAGGCAGCTGGAGGGTGCACAGAGCAGATGCACCAGACCAGGCTCTGCAGGCCTGGACAGGCAGCTCAGCCAGGCCTGCTTCATTGATATAGGCTCCTAATGAGCAGGATAAACACCATTTGGGGCCATTTGCTGTGAAATGGGCTGGGGTGTATGAGAAATTAGCCTTGTATGGGCATAAAACACACATATCAGCAGAAAATAATGTGCTGGAAAAGTTTAAATTGAAGACATGCCATTCTGAGTGTGCAGAGGCGTTAATGCTTATGTAATTAATCATTTCATATGTGAAGATTGGGATTTTTTTTCCCTTTTAATTAATTAGCCAGTAGACTCATTATAGTACATTTTTCATGTCAAAAAGGCAGTGGGTTCTAAGAAAAGGGAGGGGGGCTGTAGGGGAGAAGTGACAGTGTGTTATAGTGTGATGTGGAAAGTGCAGGGAACCACCATCCCTGCTCGGAAGAATCCCTGTGGAGGGTGCAGAAATCCAGAACTCAGCAAAATGCTTTTGACTTATTCAAGTCCCATGAATGCAAGACTGCTGGTGCTCACATTTCCCAGAACCTGCATTTAGCTCCTTTCCAAGAGCTGCTGCCTACTCAGCTAATCTGTCTGTCTTTTACTAGAAAGAGGATGCAGCAAGAGGGCTAAAGGTTAGACTCTGAAGCCAACCAGCCAGATTCCATCCCTGACTGCACCTTATCAGCTCGAGACTTTGAACAAGGAACTTAACCTTTTTAGGCCTCAGTTGCCTTCTGTGTACAATGCAGATGACAGTACCTACCTCAGGGTTATTGAGAAAATAAAATAATATATTAATAAATTGCTTACCTGACACATATTGAAGACTCAAAAATGATAGACTTTATTACTAGAAGAGCTGCACTTCTTTGTGGAACAGAACACCACCCTTGACTTTTTTTTTTTCTGGGTTTTTTGGTTTTTTTTTTTTTGAGGCAGTCTTGCTCTGTTGCCCAGGCTGGAGTGCTGTGGCATGATCTCTGCTCACCACAACCTCCACCTCCCAGGTTCAAGTGATTCTCATGCCTCAGCCTCCTGAGTAGCTAGGATTACAGGCGTGTGCCACCACGCCCAGCTAATTTTTGTATTTTTTGGATTACAGGTGTGAGCCACCACGCTTGGCTTATCTACCCTTGACTTCTCCAAAAAGACAAAGCTTTGTGTGTGTGTGTGTGTGTGTGTGTGTGTGTGTGTGTATGAAAATACATATAACCATTTTAGCCATTTTTAAGTACACAGGTCAGTGGCCTTAAGAATATTATCGTACAACCATCACCACTATCCATTTCCAGAACTTTTTTATCTTCCCCAACTGAAACTCTGTACTCATAAACACCAATTCTTTATTTCCCCCTCCTCCCAGCCCCTGGCAACCACCATTTTACTTTCTGTATCTATGAATTTAATACTTAGGATTTGTTGTTGTTGTTGAGACGGAGTCTCACTCTGTTGCCCAGGCTGGAGTGCAGTGGTGCAATCTCGGCTCACTGCAACCTCCACCTCCCTGGTTCAAGCAATTCCCCTGCCTGCCTCAGCCTCCCGAGCAGCAAGGACTACAGGCATCCACCACCAGGCCGGGCTAATTTTTGTATTTTCTGTAGAGACAGGGATTCACCATGTTGCCCAGGCTGGTACTGAACTCCTGGGTTCAGGTGATCCTCCCACCTTGGCCTCTCAAAGTGTTGGGACTATAGGCACGAGCCACTGCACCTGGCATGCTTACCTTTTAAATGTTTGTCTCCTCCTCTGGAGGGTTAGCTCATGAAAGGAGGGACTGTGTCTCTCTTGCCTGGTACAGAGCAGGAGCTCAGTAAATATTTGTGAAGCAAATGGATGAATTGCATCTCTGCATTTCCACTTGAAGGGCTTAGTTCTTCCTCCACATGTTTTCTCTCAGACATAGGTCCAGACTCCACCTCTGACTTCTCTCTCTTCTCTACCTTTATCCTGTCTGTTTCCTACTTTTTTCACAGAAGTGTCTCTCCTAACCTTCTTCTTTTCCCTGGCTGGCCCTTAGCCCTGGGCTACTCCACCTGTGCCCAAGACTGTAGTCCCTTCCCCTCCAATTTACCCCCAAACCTTTTTCATCAAGTCCTCTTTCCCCACATTTTCCCCCATTAAGAATCTGCTCCCCACTGGGCGTGGTTTGTCATGCCTATAATCCCAACACTTTGGGAGGCCAACGTGGGAGGATCCCTTGAACCCCAGAGTTTGAGTCCAGCCTGGGCAGCACAGTGAGACCCTGTCTCTACAAAAATTTTTTTTTAATTAGCCAGGCATGATGACACATGCCGGTGGTCCCAGCTACTCAGGAGGCTGAGGTGGAAAGATTGCTTGAGCCCTGGAGGTCGAGGCTGCAGTGAGCTATGATTGAGCCACTGCACTCCAGCCTGGGAGACAGAGTGAGACCCTATGTCAAGAAAAACAAAAAATAAATAAAAGAATCTGCTGCCCGATGCCTATCAAGTCTGAATTTTTTTTTTGGTCTAATTTTCTAAGTCCTAAAAAAATGTAGATTTACAGGGTTTTTTAAATATTAACTCTTGACACTCAAATTTATTGAGGGTCCGGAGGAATCTATACTCACTTTATATAGTTCTGGTATTCATTCTGGAATTTAAAACCTTAAAAATGTGTAAATCTGGCCGGGTGCGGTGGCTCACCAAAGTGTAATCCCAGCACTTTGGGAGGCCGAGGTGGGCGGATCACGAGGTCAAGAGATTGAAACCATCCTGGCCAACATGGTGAAACCCCGTCTCTACTAAAAATACAACAACAATTAGCTGGGCGTGGTGGCACATGCCTGTAGTCCCAGCTACTCAGGAGGCTGAGACAGGAAAATCGCTTGAACCCAGGAGGCAGCGGTTGCAGTGAGCCGAGATCGCCCCACTGCACTCCAGCCTGGCAACAGAGCAAAACTCCATCTCAAAAAAAAAAAAAAAAGTATAAACCTTTTCACCCAGAAATTCCATGACTTTGTGCAAAGAAGTAATCATAATTATATCCAAAGATGTATCTTCAAGGATATGCATTGTGGTAAAAATTTAAAAAGGTACAAATAAACTATCTGATCAAAAATAGGCAATTGATAAATAAATTATGATACATTTGCAAAATGAGTACTTTGAACCCATTACAAAGTTATGCTGTAGTAGAATTCTTGCTATTGGAAAACTTTATTAACACACTGATACATTTTTATCTAAAGAGGAGTATTAGTTAAGATACAGTTTCAAATGCTAAATCAAAAGTCAAAATGATAGTAGTTTAAACAAGATAGAAGTTAATGGACTGTAGGGCTGATGAGGGTCCACAGGGTCAGGGACCCAGGCTCCTCCCCTCCTGTCCCTCTGTCATCTGCCTCATGATCTCCAATGGCTGCTACAGCTCCTGTCATCACAGCCGTCAGGGGAGGAGAGAAGTGGGCATAGGGGGCAAGCCCCCATCCTTTAAGGGCATGAGCCAGAATTCCTACACATCCCTTCTGCTCACATCCATTAGCCAGAAATTAATCACACAGCCATGCCTCGCTGCAAGGGAGATGAGAAAATGGATGCTATGCCCAGTGAGAGTAAAGATCTTTGATTACAAAAGGACTCAGGTTGAGTGGCCTGGAGAATAACAAGCAGCCTCTCCCACAGCAGACAGCAAACGGCGCATGTACAGTATGACATATGCCAAAAATTTTCAGCAGTGATCATCTCTAAATGGTGATTTTTCTGTTTGGTTTTTGCTTTTCTGTACAAATACTCTAATGAACATGTACTACCTTTGAAGTCAAGGCAAAAAACGTTACCATATTTCCTCTCTAATTATTCCAGTCTCCCTGAACTTCTGCTTCATTTCCTGCCACGCCAGGGTCTTTGCAGTGCTGGCACAGCCCTGGCTCATTTGGCCTCAGAGTCTTTTAATCATGCTGTCCCTAGGGCCCCGAGTGCTGCCTGACCCCCTCCCCCAGCATCCCCATTCAGTTCTCCTCCTTCAAGATCAGTTCAAGATCCATCCACCTGCACTCCTGCTTCTCCAGGAGAAGTTCCCCAACTGTCACAGGCTCTGGGCAGTCTTGTCTCAAAAGTAACCACATCAGCCAGGTGCAGTGGCTCACGCCTGTAATCCCAGCTTTGGGAGGCCGAGGCGAGCAGATGACCTGAGGTCGGGAGTTTGAGACCAGCCTGACCAACATGCAGAAACTCTGTCTCTACTAAAAATACAAAATTAGCCAGGCATGGTGGCGTATGCCTGTAATCCCAGCTACTCAGGAGGCTGAGGCAGGAGAATCACTTGAACCCAGGAAGCAGAGCTTGTGGTGAGCCGAGATCGCGCCATTGCACTCCAGCCTGGGCAACAAGGGCAAAATTCCGTCTCAAAAAAAAAAAAAAAAATTAACCACATCACATCCACATACGCAGTTTCGTACCTTTGTTAAGCCCTCTGCAGTCCACTTCCACCCCCTACCACGGTGCCTTATGTAAGCCCCAAGACTGGAAGTGCCTGGAAGGCAGGTGGCTACATTACACTGCTGTGATCTTCCCACTGGCTCCCCAGCTGACCCTGAACAGAGAGGCGGGGCCACAGACTGTTATTTCTGGCTTGCCTTTGTCAAAGACGATGCAATGGAACAGTAGAAGGGTTTCAGTTCAACTACTTATGGGTTACATCTCTTGGTCTGTGTTCCTTGAACCTATTAACCTATAAAGTTAAACATAGTTACAAATGTTACCGAGGTTGCTTTTAAAAAATATCTTTTTTTTTTACAACAGCAACACAGTATAGGAATATTGAAAAATACAGAAAAATACAAAAATAAAAGCAAAACACCTATCCTTCCACCCCCTTATCCTCCCTTCTCATGTAAAGTAAAACATGTAAAGTAAAATAGGAATAGGAGAGATCCTCCCACTATCCCAGAGCTAAACTCTGTGAGTAAATGATTTGGCACAAACATGGAGAGATTTGTTTCTATAGTTATACTAAATGTAATATCTTTCCATATTCATATCTGTAGCATCCATATAGTATCTATGTCTATATAGATATGGACATATTAAGTACTATTTTTTCCAAAATAAAATGTTGTTATGCTGTTCTACAATTTTCCATTTTCTCAATGATATTTGTATGTCATCAAGGTCTTGCTCTCTTTACACACACACACACACACTCTAATGCACATGTGCATGAGCACACTCGCCTTATCAATATATCCCATTTGTATGTGACATAATTTATTTTAAACAGGTTCCTACTTATCAACAATTGTTTTCCACTCCATCACTATAACCAGTGTTATAATAAATACCTTTGGGCCAGGCATGGTGGCTCATGCCTGTAATCGCAGTGCTTTGGGAGGCTAAGGCAGGGGGATCGCTTGAGACCAGGAGTTTGAGATCAGCCTGGGCAACATAGTGAGACTTCATCTCTACAGATTTGTTTTAAGTTAGCTGGGCATGGTGAGCACCTGTAATCCTAGCTACTGAGGAGGCTGAGACAGGAGAACTGCTTGAGCTCAGGAGTTCAAGGATGCAGTGAGCTATGATAGCACCACTGAACTCCAGCCTGGACAACCAACTGAGACACTATCTCTAAAAAAATGTGTGTGTGTGTGTGTGTGTGTATACATATGCCTTTGCACATATGCCTTTACATTCTCATACTAGAAGTGAGATTGCTGGGTTGGTAAAGATATGCATTTAAATTTTGAATTTTATTAGATACTGTCAAGTTATCCTCCAAAAAGGCTACAGCCATTTTCCCAGCCCCCCTTAGGCTATGTGGGCAGGCTGTAGGCTGCAGTGAGGAGTCCCAGTCCCCAGTACCATCCCCGTGTCTATGCCATCAGCTTAGCCTAAGCCTTATTTCCCAGTCAGTAATGAGGAGGCCAGAACCTACAGCAAAAGTTGCTGTGAGTAGGACATAGAAGGATCCACATCTCAAAGATGTTACCACAGTGCCCAGGATGTAGTACTCACCTCACAAAGTCAGCTGCCATTATTATCTTTTAAATTTTAGCTAATCTGATAAGCAAAAAAGTCATATTTTATTGTTGTTTTAATTTGCATTTCTGGAATCACTAAAATGATTATGGCAACTTCTCCTGAGAGTGTTGCTGGCTTCCCCACGATGTATTATGTATTTGGCCAATACGCCAATCTCATTACAGTGCTCTGCAGAGCCTCATCATACAGGCCTGTGCCCCAGACTGACCCAGAATAGACCCCTATTAGCCACAGCTGCACCCCCAGGGGGCCTGCCTCACTGTCCAGATCCCCTCTCCTTCACCTTCAAGGCCACACTGTGACTGGACTTTAAAGGGCAGGGATGCGGCCAGGCGCAGTGGCTCACGCCTGTAATCCCAGCACTCTGGGAGGCCAAGGCGGGCGGATCACGAAGTCAAGAGATCGAGACCATCCTGACCAACATGGTGAAACCCCATCTCCACTAAAAATACGAAAATTAGCTGGGTGTGGTGGTGTGCACCTGTAGTCCCAGCTACTCAGGAGGCTGAGGCAGGAGAATCACTTGAACCCGGGAGGCAGAGGTTGCAGTGAGCTGAGATCGCACCACTGCACTCCAACCTGATGACTGAGTGAAACTCCATCTCAAAAAAAAGAGAAAAAAGGGGCAGGGATACCTCAGGTAGTAGAGATCAGAGAGGCTTAGTTTTCCAAGACACTGGGAACCTGAGGGAGGGTCTCAGGAGGCCTAGAGACTCACGCCTACCCTTGATGGGACCACTGCTCAAGTCACCTATGGTAGAGTTGCCAGGCTTAGCAAACAGTAATACAGGATACTCTGTTAAATTTGAAGTTCAGAGTCAGGCATAGTGACACACCCTGTAGTCCCAGCTACTTGGGAGGCTGAGGTGGGGGGATTGCTTGAACTGGGGCAACATAGTGAGACCTCCTCCCCACTCATCTCTAAAAAAATAAGAAATTGAAATCAGTTAAACAAGGATAGCAATATTAGATGGGATATACTTATACTAAAGAAATTATTTTAAAACTATTCATTATCTGAATTCAAATTTAAGTGGGTGTGCTGTATTTTATCTGGTAGCCCTAGTTACCAGCTACTTTAGGTTTTTTATTAATCTGCTGTATTAGTTCTCTATTGCTGCTGTAACAGATTACCCAAATATAGCGACTTGAAACAGTACAGACTTACTCTCTTACAGTTCTGGAGGCCAGAAGTCCCAAATCAGTCGCACTGAACTAAAGTCAACATGAAGCCATGGCTAGTTCTTTCTGGAGGCTCCAAGGGAGAATCTGTTTCCTTGTCTTTTCCAGATTTTAGAGGATGCCTTTATTCCTTGGCTTATGGCTCCTTCTTCGATCTTCAAAACTAGCAGTGTTGCATCTTCAGATCTCTCTCTATCCCTCTCTGACTCTGACATTTCTGCCTCCCTCTCATGAGGGCCCCTGTGATTACACTGAGCCCACCCAGATAATCCAGGAGACTGTCCCCATCTCATGATCCTTAATTGCACCTGCAAAGTCCCTTTTTATTTTTATTTTATTTTATTTTATTTTATTTTTTTGAGATGTAGTCTCGCTTTGTCACCCAGGCTGGAGTGCAGTGGCACGATCTCGGCTCACTGCAACCTCCACCTCCTGGGTTCAAGCCATTCTCCTGCCTCAGCCTTCCGAGTAGCTGGGATTACAAGTGCGCACCACCACGCCTGGCTAATTTTTGTATTTTAGTAGAGATGGGATTTCACCATGTTGGCCAGGCTGGTCTCAAACTTCTGACTTCAAGTTACCCGCCCACCTCTGCTTCCCAAAGTGCTGGAATTACAGGCGTGAGCCACCACGCCCAGTCCGAAGTCCCTTTTACCATGTAAAGTCTATTCACAGGTTCTGAAGATTAGGACACAGACATTTTTAGGGGACCATTATTCAGCCTACTACACCTGCCTGGTAACCTTCACACATTATATTGCTTCTACTGCAAAAAACATTCTGAGTTCTAAACTCCAAAACCAACTTTCTTCCTCTATCTGCATAATAGCACTTGGCATATTCTATTGTGACTATTTTACATCCCTCTGTCTCTGTCTCCTGACTCATTTATCCCAGGCTGCCCTGTGCTTGGCACACAGTAGGCACCTGAGCCAATGATGATTGAATTAATATTAAATTGCAGATTAGGGTGTACCTCTAACCATGTATTTATATTATGGAAGTGAACAAGAGAGAGTGTATTGGGTGGGAATGTGGACTTGGGAAGAGAGATGGGGTCAGGACCAGAGAGCTGAGCAGCAAATGGAACACCGTGATCAGAGAGGCTCAGGTAGGAGAGAAAAGAATGAGGCAGAAGGAGATGAGCACCCCAAACTGTGACCCCTCCCTGGGTCCTAGGTGCAGACACGGTACATTTAGGAGGTGGTTATGAAAGTAGCACACCCCGAGGCAAGGATCTGGGTGTAGGCATTTTGAGAGAGTATCCCAGGTAGCTCAGTGAGGGAGCAGACCTGTTTACAGGTGACTGGAGTGGGGAGCCAGGGGGATATAGTGGGACACCAACATTATCTGCTCAACATGGTTATTACTAGGAGGTGAAATGCAATGATGTATACCTTAACTTTATTTTGTAACATTTTTAAATTTTGCAATTAAGAATACTTCCATTTTGTAAAAATATATATATATAGGTAATTGTAGGAAATATTCATGCCTCACCATTCAAAGTCCAATGCTGTGGCTAGGCTTCTCAAGAAAGATTGCTTTTCAACCTCCAAGACAGCTGCCACCTTTGACTCTCCTAATCTGATACATGTACAGAAAACACCCGTTGGCATTTCTGATTTGGGTTCACTAAAATTATCCTCTTTCCCCACCCCTTTCCTTGTCATGGTCTTTTTTTCTTTTCTTTTCTTTTTGAGACAGAGTCTCGCTCTGTCGGCCAGGTTGGAGTGTAGTGGCATGATCTCAGCTCCCTGCAACCTCTGTCTCCCGGGCTCAAGCAACTCTCCTGCCTCAGCCTCCTAAGTTGCTGAGTTTACAGGCGTGTGTCACCACACCCGGCTAATTTTTGTATTTTTAGTAGAGACAGAGTTTCACCATGTTGGCCAGGCTGGTCTTGAACTCCTGACCTCAGGTAATCTGACCGCCTTGGCCTCCCAAAGTGCCGGAATTACAGGCGTAAGCCACCGCGCCTGCCTGCTTGTCATGATCTTTAACCAGTTATCAGTTTCCAGTCACAGTACATCAGGGTCCATCTCTGATCATTAATGGTTTCCTCTCAAAAGAATATAAATCCCAGTCATTATAAATTCATCAAGTTCATTCTGTTAGGATGAACTTTTGTTTCCCTTTATGTTCTTGTTTCAATGAATTTTGTGTTCTTTGGCTGTTTACAGACCATGTGTATACCATATCTGCGTTCATTCTTTGGTCTTTGAGTTGGGATCATGAAGGGAAAAAGGGCCATAGAAAGCTATCATAGGTGACAAGACCTTTCTGAGTGTGAAGAGCTCAAGCGGGCTGCCAGGCTTCACTGTGGGGTCCATGATGACAAGATCGCTGGTCCCTGCCAGCCATCCCTAGGGCTGCTCCCAGGTGCAAATCCAGGATAGCAGTCCTCCCAAGACATCCCAGTTTGGGTGGATATGGGTTGGTGGATTAAACCAGAAAGTCTGCAACTCAGAGGCACTGGAGTCACCTGTCTAGTTTCTTGATGCGAAAGAGAAAGAATATGGAAATTTTCTCTTCACTCATTCACCCCACGGATTCTTGTTAAGGGTCTATTATGGGCAGGCACTGTGCTAAGTGCCCAATCAGAGATTAAATGTGAATTATTTTCCCCCAAAGGAATAAAATGCATGATGCCTGCGATGCTATCTGGTCAGCCCAGAAATGGAACAAGTAAGAGGTGAAGAGGAAACAGAGAGAAAAGGGAAGAGGGAGCAAATAATCCCCACCCACGACAAACACTGGGGCCACAGCCCATAGCCAGCTGGCTGACCAGTGGTGACTGACAAAGTTGGAAGCACATGGCATCTCGTTCCATCAAAAACCTTCAGGAACACAGTGTTTCCATAAGCAAGCATCACACACACTCACAGTCCGGAATGCTCTGCTAGCTTACCACATACAGTGGATTTTTGTTTACTTTGGAAAATCTAAATTTGAATCTAGAATCTCATCACAAGGCCTGCCTCGCAGACACTGGGCCCTGTCACGCGTATGTCCCTAATGCAGCAGGGGCGGAGTGGGGGGAGGCCAGCCCACTAAGGTGGGCCAGACCTCAGGTCTCGGGTCCCCTGCCAGCTGTTCTCTGACTGCCCACCATTCTGCCCTTCAACTGTACAACCTGTCTTGCATCAACAGTTGGTGTTCAGTTTTCAGGGGATGAGCACCAAGTGCAATTTTTTTTTTTTTTTAGATGGAGTCTCACTCTGTTCCCAGGCTGGAGTGCAGTGGCCCGATCTCGGCTCACTGCAACCTCTGCCTCCCCGGTTCAAGCAATTCTCCTGCCTCAGCCTCCCGAGTAGCTGGGACTACTGGTGCACGCCACCATGCCCAGCTAATTTTTTTGTATTTTTAGTAGAGACAGAGTTTCACTATGTTGGCCAAGATGGTCTTGATCTCTTGACCTCGTGATCCACCCACCTTGGCCTCCCAAAGTGCTGGGATTACAGGCGTGAGCCACGCGCCCCGCCCAAGTGCAAAATATTAACCAAATGGAAGTTAAGCTTTGGCACAAAATTGATTGCTGCCTCAGTGAATTAAATTCAGTGAGCTGCCTCCTTATCTTAGCTGTGCCTGTAATAATCAGCAGCACCTCCGCCTGATCTCTAGGTAAGGAAGTTGGAGGCAGAGCGAGATGGGTATTAGGTAGGATATGCTGTTGGCAGAATATAGCTGCAAGATGATCATCTCCTTAGCGGCAAAAGAATAGCTGGCTCTTCTCCACATTCATCTCCACTAAAGAATTCACTCCCCCCACCCTTCCCACATCCACTCTGAGCACTCTGAGAGCGGCAGGAGACCACTCTGCTCTGACAACTTTCTCTGCCACTGACATTATCTCCTAATTATCTTCTCAGCAGTGACGGCCTGGTACCAGTCTTCAACTTGTGCAAAATGATTATAATACCCAATCTGATTGAGAGGAAAAGGAAATTCTGCAGTTCTTTGAGCTTCTTGGGGCTGTTACCATTTTCCCAAAGGGCCTAAATATTCACAATGATCAGAAGGGGCAAAACACACACATTACTTTAAATGACCATTACTCAGAAAACAATAATACATTTTTCAGCCAGATGAATATGTTTATGTAAGAGGGTAACTCTTGTCTGCAGCAGAGTTTCTAAGAACCAAAGCCATTAAGTTAATGGCCTGAAACAGAACCCAAACAATGTCAGGCTCGTATTTGTTCCATGACATACACCCTGGGTGGTGGGACACACTGTAGTCTTTTAAAAAAATGATTTTTCTTTTAGAACAAATAACTTTTTCAACAGCTTTGAGGTAAGCAGCTGCAGCACATGGCATGCTTTGCTAGGGGAAGAGGCCAGTTTGGCCCAGAAATCAAGTGCTGGCGTTTAAAGGCCAACTTCGATGAGCATGTGACTGCGTCTGTCCTTAGAGAAGGAAGAGTAGCAATCACACCCCAAGTCTCCGGCCCAGCCTCAATCCCCTTCTTCCCTTGGTCTCTGGTCGCCTCTTGGTGATATAAACCAGTTCCTGGTGGCCTAAACCTCCTCTACCACCAGTGTGGAGCCAATCGGTCAGATAAATAGAGCCTGAAACCGCTCATCCTTGGTTAGCTTCCTTTGGTTTCATAAACCCAGAATCCCCGACTGGCCATGCTAGTGGTCTAAGGGGTCTTAGGGCTGTGAATGGACAATGCTTCCACACAGATGGAAAAGCCACCCGAGTGTTTGCAGGCCTGACACCTGGGTGTAAGGACCACACACAGTGTTCCACTGCAGGTCAGTAAGCCATCCTCCTAGCCCCTTTCCTCCTCAGGGACTCTCTGGGGATAGCCCCAGTGAGGGGCAAAGGCCTGAGAATTTGGCACAATGCACACTGCAGCACTTCTTAGCGCTCGAATATATGAACAACAACTTTTAGCTCTCCAGACTGGAGCAGCTGTGTGGGTTTACTTTAACTGGGAGTCCATTGGATCTCCAGTCCTGGTGTGACTAAATTTACTGTGCAGTTCTCTAAAAACTACCTAGTTCTTTGGGGCAGTTTTCTTTCATTTT
Organism: Homo sapiens; assembly: GCF_000001405.40. Classification (NCBI taxonomy): domain Eukaryota; kingdom Metazoa; phylum Chordata; class Mammalia; order Primates; family Hominidae; genus Homo; species Homo sapiens. Next base: position 42,384,616 of record NC_000002.12, read on the forward strand.
GCAAAAATAAAGTTATTAGAGCAGCCTCCTAAGCCATCAGCTTACTGGTCATTAAACCTCACAATTGCTCAGGTGAATGGATTGTCTACATTTAAAAAACATCATTAATGATTCTATTACTGGCTTTGTGAGAGGAAATGTTCGAAGAGAAGTACACTGTAACATTCAAGCTGAAATGCTCGCTTCCCTTCCAAATATACAGCAGCTGGGTGCCTCTCCAAGCCTCCTTTTCCCTCTCCTGCCCACCTGCCTTCCCCCAGCTCTGCAAGGTGCCAGCCTTGCCAGTTTCTGGACTGTGGTCGTCAGCAAGGCTGTTGCTGCTGCAAGGAAGCTGGGACACACAGGCCATCAGCTGGGCTGCCAGTTGTCATTTAAAACCTCAGGCTTCTACTATTTCTTGTAAATAACTGGGGAACAAGTGCCTCTCCCCAGTGCTAGTCTCACTTCATGCCTTCCTCAAATCAATTCAACAAAGATTTGTTGGCCAGTTACTAAGCGTCAAACAGTGACAGAGAGAAAATGCAATCCCAGTGAAGAAATAAAAAATTTATCATCACTGAGGATGTGGAAGGCTGAGGCTGGCCCTAAAAATGCCAAAATGAATGTTGCCAGCGCTGCCTTTGAGACGCCGATGGAAGACCAAGTCCTTACCCTCAAGGAACACACAGCCTCAGAGACTCATGGGAGGACACCACCAACCTGCTGTGACAGCAGGCCGAGCCAAGCACTGGGAGCAGCAGAGGGAGCCCTTCCAAAGGCAGGGACTGTGGAAAGAGGGAGGCAGAAGCATCTGAGCTGGACTATGGTGCCTAAGATTTCAGGAGAAAGAAGGTGACACGAGAACATGATGCAGGAAGTCACAGTGTCAGCAAAATGCAGGAGGGTTTCAAGGTGTCAGGAAAGAATAACCCCCATCAGACCCCTGTAACAAAAGACAGATTCACAAGAGAAAAACGAACAGAAGCTTATTAACATGTAGAGTTCACATGTGCATGGGAGACACCCGGGCAATGAGAGTTCTCAAAGAGGCAGCCTTGAATTCCAGCTTATTCTCAACAAAGAACAGTAAATTTTTAGATAAGTGACAAGACAAGAGAAAAGGACTTTGGGTCTCTAGGGGGAGCACTCTGGGGGGGAGCAAATACATGCAGATAAAGGCAAATTACCAAGGCTCGTTAATGTAGATTCTTCTGGTACCATCTCCATGCCGATAAGGGTCCAAAGTTGTCTTCAGCAGTTAAACTTTGTCCTCCCTAGTAGAAGAGGGAGCCGGGGCCAGGTGTGGTGGCTCACGCCTGTAATCCCAGCACTTTGGGAGGCCGAGGTGGGTGGATCACCTGAGGTCAGACGCTCAAGACCAGCCTGGTCAACATGGTGAAACCCCGTCTCTACTAAATATACAAAAATTAGCCAGGTGTGATGGCAGTTGCCTGTAATCCCAGCTACTAGGGAGGCTGAGGCAGGAGAATCACTTGAACCTGGGAGGCGGAGGTTGCAGTGAGTCGAGATTGCACAACTGAACTCCAGCCTGGGCAACAAGAGCGAAACTTGGTCTCAAAAAACAAAAACAAAAAAAAAAAAAAAAAGAAGAAGAAGAGGGGGCCAGGAAACCTTTTGTCCCTGTAAATCTGTGTCATGCTTTTAGGCAAATACAGGAAGGGCAGAGAGCTTTCCTGCATCTGCTTCTTCTTATCTTCAGCTCATCAATCCTTCAAATTTGGGGGCAGCATATTCTGGTCTTCCAAGGAAAGTCAGCAAGGATGGTGGAAAGGATCAAGGAGAGATGGGCTCCTTGATCCTTGATGTCCACAGGCTGGGCCACTTAGGGAGGGTCTTGGAGACCATGTTGAAGAGTCTGGCCCTGACTCTGCCTCATCAGACAGTGATTGGAAGTTATGGAGTAGGGAAGGCCTCTATCAGATCACTTCTCTTCCTCTGACAGAAGCCTCCCTCCCATTCTTGCTGTGGGCCTTCTTGCCTTCCAGGTGTAAGGGGTGAAGTAGAGAGGAAGAGGTGCCAGCCCAGCCTCCAGCACTCTCTTCTATGGAGTTGAAGTTCAAGGGAATTGGGGCTGAGGGTTTGTACATCTGGGTCGGTCCTGATTCTGATCACACTGCCCCGCTTTGTGACACCAGGTCAGTTCTCCTCTGGTCAAATGCCAGAGATGGCCCCTAGAGATTATAACAATTAAAAGAATCCTCCACATTTCCACCCTCTTTGGGTAATGATAATGTGTGTGCATGTCTATCTCCCCTAGTGGACAGTCCTTGCCTTAACAGCAGGTGTTATTTTGGTCTTCAGCTTTGCATGTCTTCAAGTTTAGCACGATGCCTTGCACAGTTTGAGCACTGACATACATCTGTTGAGTGCACATATTACAATACTTTTTTTTTTTTGAGATGGAGTTTTGCTCTTGTCGCCCAGTCTGGAGTGCAATGGCGCAATCTTGGCTCACAGCAACCTCAACCTCCTGAGTTCAAGTGATTCTCCAGCCTCAGCCTCCGGAGTAGCTGGGATTACAGGCGCTCGCCACCATGCATGGCTAATTTTTGTATTTTTAGTAGAGATGGGGTTTCGCCATGTTTGTCAGGCTGGTCTTGAACTCCTGACTTCAGGTGATCCACCCGTCTCGGCCTCCCAAAGTGCTATGATTACAGGCGTGAGCCACCACGTCCGGCCAACAATACTCTTTATTTTTCTACCTTATATGTAAATATTATTTTTAAGTTCCATAGTCAAAGAGAGCAGTAGCAATCCTCATGCCAATACAAACTCTTCCCAGTTCTTCCACTCAGTCACCTTAAATTTTACTTAACTCCTAGAACACTAAGAAATCTAGCAAAGAGTGCCGATGTCTGCAACAGTTCTTATTCGCTAATGCAAAAACAGCAAAATCCCTAAGAGGATTTAAAGATGTTTATCCAAGCTCATACTTGTCAATGCAGAACAAATTCATAAATAGATAAGTCTGAAGCTGGATTTCAACATTGACAGATTCTAGCTTTTGCAGCAAAGCCATTGTCACAAGCACCACCTTCTTTCTGGGGCCCAGCATCCAGGCTTCACCTTGCCACCAGGTGGATGCACAGGAATAAATCAAGACTGGCTGCTGGAGCCTCTATCACAGCCTGCACACCCTCTGGGGTACTGGAAAACACATGGCCCAGAAATAGCTCATGGTTGGCAAGGAAGTAGGAGAATGTAACACCTTTCTATTTCCAATATGAAATTTATACCTGGAGTGGGACTCTGGAGGATTGAGACTGCTCTCCAAATCTTACTCACAAGATTAACCAGGACTGATGCAAAAGAAAGAACTAGATAGGCAGTAACTAGTAGCAGAGTCGGGCACTGTTCTTGGAGCCAAGAAACCCAGTTCCTGGACCTGGGTCCACTGCCACTAGCCATGTGACATTGGGCAAGCCACCTAACCTCCCTAAGCCTTGCTCGTGCCTGCCTTGCTTACTGCTTGTGGCAGTCAACTAAGTTAACATATACAGATGTGTGTTTTAAACTCTAAATCACTGTGCAAGCTCAGCTAGAAATTATTGGCAATGCCAGGGATGTGGGGGTCCATGCCCCCTCCCTGAGCACCTGGCATAAGGAGCCTGACAGCAGGTGGACACCGCGAGGAAATGATCTTTGGGTGATCTCACCGTTCCCACTCAATACTATTCCCGAAAGAGACCCAGAGAGCTGTGTTCCTTTCTGTCGATAATGAAGTGAGCCCTAAGAATAAACGTTTCACATTTATTGTTCTTTAAATAATAAAGCAATTGATATTCACTACAGAAAATAACAGAGAGCAAAAACAAGAAAATGTACATACTCACTGTCTTAGCTTGGGCTGCCATAAAATACCACAGACTGGTGGCTTAAACAACAGGAATGTATGTTCTCACAGTTGAGTTCTGGGGTGCAGGGCTCTCTTCCTGGCTTGTGGGCTCGGCTGCCTTTTCGCTGTGTGCTCACATGGCTTTTCCTCGGTGTGTGTGCACAGAGACAGCTTTCTTCTTGTCTCTTCTTGTGAGGCCACCAGTCCTATTAGAGTAGAATCCTATGATTGCATTTAACCTTAATTACTTCCTAAGAGCCCTATCCTCAAATACAGTCACACCAGGAGTTAGGGGTTCAACATATGAATTTGGAGGTAGGGGGCACAATTCAGTCTATGGCACCCAATAGTCTCACCCGCCTAGAGAAAACCACTATTTATACCTTGATATATCTTGTCTCCTTCTTCTAAGCACATAATTTTTTTTTTGAATGAGATCATACTATGTAGATTACTTTGTTTTGGTTTTTGTTTGTATTTTATTTGAGAGGGAGTCTCGCCCTGTCACCCAGGCTGGAATGCAGTGGCAGGATCTCGGCTTACTGTAACCCCTATCTCCCAGGTTCACGCGATTCTCCTGTCTCAGCCTCCCGAGTAGCTGGGATTACAGGCACCTGCCACCACACCCAGCTAATTTTTGTATTTTTAGTAGAGACAAGGTTTCACCATGTTGGCCAGGCTGGTCTCAAACCCCTGACCTCAAGTGATCCTCCCCCTTCAGCCTCCCAAAGTGCTAGGATTATAGTCATGAGCCACCTTGCCGGCCCCATGTAGATTACTTTGTAACCTGCTTTTATCACTTAACAGTGTATGATCATAGTCTTTCCACATCATCAAACATTTCCCCAACATCGCTGTTAGTAACTTTGTAAATTCTTTGGCATGGCTATACTATTGTTCCTATGGTCCCTAAATTTGGACTTCTGGTTTCTTACCAACTTTACTCAGAGTGCTGAAAGAAAGGCCCTTGACTATTTCCTGGGAATGAAATGATGGGTCAGTGGGCACATACATTTCTAAAGATTTTAATGAGCAGTGTCAGAACATTTGGACCCATTTATGCTCCCAGTAGTAACAAATAAAAATGTGACTTCACTTTTTCAAGAATAAACTTTTTATTTTGGAATATATTTGTATCTACAGAAAAGTTGTAATTATAGCATGAGGAGTTTCTGAAAACACCTCACCCAGTTTATCCTAATGTTGATATATTACCTGACCATTGTGCATTTGTCAAAACTAAGAAATTTAAATTGGTATGTCATAATTAACTAAACTGCAGACTTTACTCACATTTCACCAGTTTTTTCCACTAAGGTTCTTTTACTGTTCCAGTATCCAGTCCAGGACACCACACCATATTTTGTGTGGCATCACTTTTTAAATCTTATTTGTTATCAACTGCAAGAAAGTCCCTGGTGCTTTGGGGGCTTGCTGTCTGTGATGCTAACTAGTGGTTATTCATTGTTTTGGGGTATGTCTTGTTTCTGCCTATATTTGTTTCATCAGCAAAGTTTACTGTTGTATAGGGCAGTGCCAGAGATTTAGAGAAAGTGACCATGGTGGCTTACTGCCCCCACCCTAACTTTGTAAAGAGCCAAGGGGAAGGCTCTCTATGTGGGAAAGGACATATGTGTGTTCCTACTGCATCTCCCATGTGAATGTCATGCAGGAAACATTTATAAACAACAGCACCAAAATTGGATTTTGCTCTATATTTGGAAAAATTTGGCCCTTCATTACAAAGCAAGCTGATGCTATCTTATTTAGTTCATTCTTTTGCTCATCTCCTGTAATCATTAAATTACAGAGCCATATTTCCAAAGCTCTAAGAAAAAAAATGGATTAGGAATAAAATCTTTTAAGCTCCTTTAGAAAAGCTCTGGATTCATTTATGAATGGTGGATGCAGATCCCAGGGAATGATCTATTCTGAGCCATCCTGGGTGAAAGATTGGCTTCATTTTCCGTAGCTCTACAATGTTCACTCTCTAATGCAGAACAAGGATGGTGCCTTTAATATTTTGTTCCTGGATGTATTCCTGATTGCTGCATGACCCAATCCCCAGGGGCAAAAGTGAACGAAGGAGTGAGAAATGATATACGTGAATGATCAGGAGGAAGACAAAAATTTTAAAACCCAGGGAAACAAGGCTGCTGTGTTGTTTATCAGACTCCTCTGAATAAGGCCATTTTGATCATGTGGACTTATTCCTCACCTTTCTCAGAACTGTCAAACTGAAAAAGTCTTTGTTCTTTCCTTAGAGAGGCCTGTTTCTCTTAGATGACTCGAAAACTTAACAAATAATCAGTGAGCTATTAGAACAGCTCTCCCACCAGCATTCACAGGCTGTTATCTTCCTAGCTCCAAATCTGTCTGAAACCATGATTGATTCACTTATATTTTCATTTCCCCTCATTTTCTCCGAGAGTCCAATTTGGACTCTTTTCAGCAAGGTTCATTGGGGACACCTATTTGTTTCTCTGGGCAGTCCAGTTTTGCCTTAGGATTTCCCCCAGAGTCACCAACTCTCATTCCGGAGGAAAGTGCTGTAGGCTGAGCTCCCAGGTTCAGCTGGGGAATCTTCAGGAAGGACTCTTCTGGAGAGCGCTGCTGTGACTATTTTCCTCCCAGACAGCTCTGCCAGGATGTGGCTCTGCAGGCCAGATTTGCATTCCAAATACAGGGCCCATTTGCCTCATTATGTCTTGTGTCTTTATTAAGAATGAGGGGAAATTAGAGCAGAAGAACATTTCTAACATGGTGCTATTGAAATCCCCCAGCAAGCCATCTCCTACTCATGGAGCGCTCCACATTGTCCTCACTTCTATGACCAGAAGACAAGCCCCTAATGGTTGCCTAAAGACCCAGGGCAAAGTGACCTACCTGGTTCAACACCCATAACTCACAGCTCACTAGCATGAGCTCAAACTCTGCTTCCAGCACCTTCTAGCTTGCAACAGCATCCTTAAGATTGGCTTATTTACAGCCAGTTTGGGGACCAAGGATTGAAACAAAGTGGCAACAGAAACAGACCAAATTTCTCTCTACAGCTTCCTGAGAAAGCTGTCCTTCCCAGCCTTCTCAATAATCAAGAGTAGATGTCTAGCATACACTTGTCTCTCTTTTAAACATTTTATATCTCTTTTTTTTTTTTTTTTTTTTTTTTTGAGACGGAGTCTCGCTCTGTCGCCCAGGCTGGAGTGCAGTGGCGGGATCTCGGCTCACTGCAAGCTCCGCCTCCCGGGTTCACGCCATTCTCCTGCCTCAGCCTCCCAAGTAGCTGGGACTACAGGCGCCCGCCACTACGCCCGGCTAATTTTTTGTATTTTTAGTAGAGATGGGGTTTCACCGTTTTAGCCGGGATGGTCTCGATCTCCTGACCTCGTGATCCGCCCGCCTCGGCCTCCCAAAGTGCTGGGATTACAGGCGTGAGCCACCGCGCCCGGCCTAAACATTTTATATCTCTTGTCTTTGATGAATTCCATCAATAAAGATGTTTTTACGGTGCCAGGCACTCATATCAGTATCTTAAAATTTGGCCCCCTATTTTTCCTACCAAAGATACAGCAAAATCTTAGGGATCTCTTTATTCATAACAATTAGAGCATCTGAAATTCGCTAAATAATTATTTCATCAGTTTAATTCAAATAAAGTCAAGATGTACCAAAGCCTATGCCTAAGAAAATGATGCTAAATGTCAGAAATGCCTTATAGGCATGAACTCAGGAGGCTCTCCCTGCCACCTTCCTCTAATGCATTCAGGGAAAGGGAGTTTGTCTCCCGTCTGCTCTTAGTCCATGCTGCAGCCCACATCTCCCTGCCCTGCCAGGTCACCTGGTCCCTTCCTCTAGTCTCTGCTTCTCCTTGGCCCTTTGCTTGTTGCACTACTAGTTACAACCTGAAACTTTGGGATCTCCTTCCTTCACATCCTGGGTGTCAGGGAGTGGGTAATGCCAGGGGAGGATGGGTGTCCCCCACCTGCTGATTCTCTAATACAACACTGTGGTGGTAGCAGATTCAGGGGTGGTAGTGCACAGCTGTTACTGAAACACCAGGGTTCAGTCTAGGTCCTACTGCTGGCAGCATAGAAAGCCAATCACTGAGACAACAATTATGGCCAAAGAGAAGGCTTTAGTTGGGTGCTACAGCCAAAGAGATGGGAGCTCGGTCTCAAATCCATCTCCCTGACTGACTAAAATTAGGGCTTTATAAAGCAGGGAAGAAATGTAAATATATATGGGAAAATAGGAACTCAGGAGGGGTAAGGAAGTAATCTCGATGAATGAGGGTCCTGGCATCTCATCGTCTGGACGCAATGATCTAGTAAGCTTCAGTTCTTTGATACTTTTGAGAGTCCTGGGGATCCTTTCCTGAGGAAAGAACTCAGATACAACAACGTGAGTTTCAAGCTTTAAGACCAGAAGCGTCAATTTCTATGTGTATCAAAACAAAACAAAACTGTCTATGGGAGTATTGGGTTGATTTCACAGCCGTATCAGTTAGGATTGGGTTCAGCTATGTTGATGCAGTTTAAGTCAGTCAGTCTAGCACAAAGTTTACAAACACAAATTGTTATTATATTAAGCCCAAATTAATTAACTTTGGGCAAAATAGCTAATCTCTCTGTGCCTCATTTCTTATCTGTAAAATAGGGATAATAATAGTACCTGCTTCATAGAGTTGGTAGTAAGAGAATTAACTTAGTACATAATCCAAGCATTTAAAACAGTACTTGACATGCAATAAGTGATTATTATGATAAAACAGGAAAACAAAAAAAAACAAAGAATTTTATTTATCTCTTACATTAAAAAAAAAAAAAATGCCCAGGCACGGTGGTTCAGGCCTGTAATCCCAGAACTTTGAGAGGCCAAGGTGGGCAGATCACTTGAGGTCAGGAGTTTGAGACCAGCCTGGCCAACATGGTGAAACCCTGTCTCTGCTAAAAATACAAAAATGAGCCGGGCGTGGTGGCGGGCACCTGTAATCCCAGCTATTCTGGAGGCTGAGGCAGGAGAACTGATTAAACCCAGGAGGCAGAGGTTACAGTGAGCTGAGATTGCACCACTGCACTCCAGCCTGGGCAATAGAGTGAGACTCTGTCTCAAAAACAAACAAACAAACTGTCCAAACATAAGAAGTTCAGAGCTGGTACAGCAGCTTCATAGTACTGTTAGACTTAGACTCCTATCTTTCTGTTGCTTCTTCAAGATTACCTCATAACACAAGGTAAGTGCTGGAGCTCCAGTCATTGCATCCAAATTGCAGTCTAGAAGGAGGAGGAAAGGCAGATGGGCCAAAAGAGGTTATCTTGACTGAGTAAACTTCCCCCTTTTTTTTTCTCGAGACAGAGTCTCGGTCTGTCGCCCAGGCTGGAGTGCAATGGTGCAATCTCAGCTCACTGCAACCTCCACCTCCCAGGTTCAAGCAATTCTCCTGCCTCAGCCTCCCAAGTAGCTGAGATTACAGGTGCCCGACACCATGCCCAACTAATTTTTGTACTTTTAGTAGAGATGGGATTTCATCATGTTGGCCAGACTGGTCTTGAACTCCTGACCTCAGGTGATCCACCTGTCTCAGCCTCCCAAAGTGCTGGGATTACAGGTGTGAGCCACTATGCCAGGCCATAAACTCCCTTTAATTAGTCTTCCTGGGATTCTGACATAACACTTCTGCTTACATTTATTGCCCAGAACTTGAACACACTTCTTAAATTTTATTGACCAGAACTGGGTCACATGACCATGACATGCTGCAGGGGAAGCTTGGAAGCTCTTTATTCCAAGTGATAAGGGGCCCAACAAAAACTGCTAAAAAGGCAGGGAAGAGTAGACATAGGGAGACACAGTCTGCCGACACCACGGCACAGCAAACAGCCTAAGGGTGGATATCAGGCTTCTCTTTTCCAAAGCTCCTCAGCCATTCCCTCCCACAGGGGAGTTTTCATCAGCTACCATTCTCTCCTTCTGCTCTAACTTACCTGTATTACTTAGCTCAGGCCTTCTCTAGACCCTTGTCACACCTACACCCTTCTCACATCTTCCTCTTTTTTTCTGTGAAAGGAAAATAAATCTTGGGGTCCCCAAATCACTAAGCTAAAGGGAAAAGTCAAGCTGGGAACTGCTCCCATTCTATTCAAAGTCAGCCCACTGCTCACTGAGATAAATGCATATCTGACTGCCTCCTTTGGAGAGGCTACCTATGACCTGGAAGCCCCTCCCTGATTTGAGTTGTCCCGCCTTTCCAAACTGAACCAACATTCATCTTACATATGATGATTGATGTCTCATGTCTCCCTAAAATGTATAAAACCAAGCTGTACTCTGACCACCTTTGGCACATGTTGTCACGACCTCCTGTCACCGGCACACGTCCTCAACCTTGGCAACATAAACTTTCTAAATTAATTGAGACCTGTCTCAGATATCTGGGGTTCACACTTTCTAGTCTCAGACCACTCCAGAAACTCCAAATTCTCCTTGGTGTAGTACTGAGCAATTCATCTTCCTCTTGACACTGCCCTCACCTGTATCTGAATGCCAAGGGGCCCTGCGATGGCTGGGACAAATCTTTCTCAACCAAAATGCTCATCAGAGCAACCAAAGCATTTTTCTAAATCAAAGAATAACTGAAGCTGGTGGACTGAATACAGGTATTTACTCCTGCCCCCTCTCCAACTCCTCTAATTCATCGGTTATAGATTTATAAAGGATACAAGCCCATGGGGACAAACAATGAACTGGAGAGGAGACAACAGCAATGTTCTGGAAACTGGAAAGCACATGGAGAAGTGGTCCATGATTTAGGCAGTTCCAAGAAAGTTGAGTGATAAGCCAGCAGGTGGAAAAAAAACACACAGCACTCCCTTTTACAGCACACTCACAAAGGCCAGGATTGGGTAGTAGCAGTGAGTGGGGAGCCAGAAACAGGAAGACTGGTGGAAAGGCTGTTTAAGAAGGAGTTGGGGCCAGGCGCGGTGGCTCACACCTGTAATCCCAGCACTTTGGGACTACAGGTGCGCAGGAGGAGCTGGGACTACAGGTGTGCATTTTTACTGTATTGTTTACTTTGGTAGATGTAATAATGATGTCTGTGTTGGACAATGTCCTTATTTATTGGATTGTATGCATAAGCACTGGTGCTCCTTGACTTAAAACAGGATTACGTTTCAGTAAACCCATCATAAATTGAAAATGTTGTAAATTGAAAATACATTTAAGCCAGCCATGTTGACTCACGCCTGTAACCCCAATACTTGGGAGACTGAGGTTGGAGGATTCTTTGAGGCCAGGAGTTCAAGACCAGCCTGAGCAACACAGCAAGGCCCCATCTTTATAAAAAATTTTAAAATTAGCCAGGTGTGGTGGCACACACCTGTAGTCCCAGCTACTTGGGAAGCTGAGGTGGGACACTTGAGCCCAGGAGGTTGAGGCTGAAGTGAGCTGTGATCAAGCCACTGCACTCCAGCCTGGGCAACATGTTGAGCAAAACCTTGTTTCAAAAAAAAAAGAATATGCACTTAATACCCCTGACTCACAGAACGTCACAGCTTAGCTTAGCCTACTTTAAACATGCTCAGAACACTTGCATTAGCCAACAGTTGGGCAAAACCATCTTATACAAAGCCTATTTTATAATAAAGCATTGAATGTCTCATGTAATTTATCAAATACCATACTGAAAGTAAAAATGGAATAGTGACATGGGTACTCCAAGTATAGTTTCTACTGCATGTATATCAGTTTTGCATCATTGCAAATTCAAAAAAATCATTAAGTTGAACCATATAAGCCAGGGACCATCTGTATTTATACGTGAAGCATCTAATGTCCATAAATTTCTTTAAAATTTTGTCCATTTTTCTAAAAATCTCAGGAAAAATAGATGCATCAGATATGCCAAAATGTTAAGAATTTCTTAATCTAGGTGTGGGGAAGTATTGGGATTTCATTGTCCTATTTCTTCTGTTTTTTCTTTTCTAGTTTTTCCTTTTCATAATAAAAAGTCCAACCAACCAAAAACAGTCAGGGAATGACAAAATAAACTGTGACGGAACTTCTCCAAATTCCACCAGAAGAAAAGTAGGCAAGAAGAGGTCAGTTTGGTGGCTCCTGCAGTCATTTCTACCTGAGTCCACAAGGGCCAGTGAGAGCTGGGGAGAACCAGTTCAAGACCCCTGGGAAAGTCAAGATTCTAATCCTGGAAAGTTCACGCCCAAACTTCAAGTTCAGGGCAGGACAGATTGAAGTTGGGGGTCACAGAGCATGGTTCAGAGCTTGGCAGTGAGAATTCAAAGCCAAGGATGGAGTTTCAGGAAATTGCTTTGAAAACTGATGGATGGGTAGGAGAGGTCAGGCACATGCTGTAACCACTAAAAATTATGTTTACACAAGTCACTCGTTGGGGCATGATTTGTTATAGTAAAAAAAATTAAAAGAATGTTAGTTGTTTAGGGAACTAGTTGAATAAACTAAAATAAAGCCACACAATGGAGTAATGGGTGGCCATAAAAAGCAATGAGAGGCTGGGCACGGTGGCTCACACCTGTAATCCCAGCACTTTGGGAGGCCAAAGTGGGTCAGCATTTTGAGACCAGCTTGGCCAACATGGCGAAAACCTGTCTCTACTAAAAATACAAAACTTAGCCAGGCGTGGTGGCAGACACCTGTAATTCCAGCTACTCAGGAGGCTGAGGCAGGAAAATCGCTTAAACCCGGAGGTGGAGGTTACAGCGAGCCAAGATCGCACCATTGCACTCCAGCCTGGGCAACAGGAGCAAAACTCCATCTCAAAAAAAAAAAAGAGAAAAAAAAAGCAATGAGAAAAAACTCTAATCACGGAAATGGGATGGTTTCTAGGATATACTGGCAGAAAAAAGCAAGGTATAGTATATGTTACTTTTCATGTGGGAAGGAAGGGGTAATATATGTAAGTACCTGAAAGACACACCATAGACAAATAAGCACGATTACTTACAGGAGGAGAAAGAGACTGACAGAGGAAAGAGATTGAAGCTTACCTATACATATGCCTATTATATATTATAGTTTCAACTTTGGAATTATGGTTTACATATTCAAAAATTAAATGAAAAGAAAAAAGAGGCTTATAAGGACTGAAATCATGTAAGAAAGTATTGTGATATTAGGTATAAAGGTGACACACATCTTATGTTCAAGCCTTTGCATGGGATACTGACTGGGAGGAGGTACATTACAATGCTCTGTGGTTGCTTTGAAGAATGGGACTGGGTGTTTTCCTCTTCTTTCTACTTGCTTATATTTTCAAAATTATCTTTCATGAGTCTGAGTTCACTTAATAATGGTGAAAAATAAGAATGTGTTTTTAAGAAGACATGTTTGTGTTATGCATGAGAAAATCTGGCATTTGTATGGCCCTTTTAGAGTCTGTTCACTCTCATATGTAGCTAGCCACTTAATTCTCACAACTCTAACAGGCAGACATTGTCTTTAAAATCAAGAAGACGGGCTGGGCACGGTGGCTCACGCCTGTAATCCCAGCATTTTGGGAGGCCGAGGCAGGCAGAGCACGAGGTCAGGAGATCGAGACCATCCTGGCTAACACAGTGAAACCCTGTCTCTACTAGAAATACAAAAAATTAGCCGGGCATGGTGGCGGGCGCCTGTAGTTCCAGCTACTCGGAAGGCTGAGGCGGAAGAATGGCGTGATCCCAGGAGGCGGAGCTTGCAGTGAGCCGAGACCGCGCCACTGCACTCCAGCTTGGGTGACAGAGCGAGACTCTGTCTCAAAAATAAATAAATAAATAAATAAATAAATAAATAAATAAATAAAATAAAATAAAATCAAGAAGAAAGAATAATACTTGAGAATTGGACCCTGAGATCAGTGCTTTTTGCCATGGTTGCTTCCATCATTTTGGTGGCCCTTGTTTTGCTCAACTTCTGAGCATCCAGTCTCTTCCTCTGGCCAGAGGTAAGATGACAGTGTCCCAGGAAGAGCCCTGGGAATCCCATGAAAAATCTAAGCAGGTGAGTTTTGAGACATACGCATTATGGAAGACTCAGAATGGCTTTGATAAGCATTGTAACCTTCCAGATTAAATAAACCGTCTTCCAACAGAAACCAATCTTTTGTTATTAATTCTGAAACGGCCCAGGAGCAAATACAACTTGCAACAGTAGAAGGTTCATTCCTTTTACTCTGCAAGTGATGGGATCCACAAGATGTCAACAAGCTGTGAACATGCACACAAAGATGCGAGAGGCAAGGGGAAATGTTCTCACGTATCCAAGGGACAGGAGCCGGGCTCATTTTGGGAACTCAGGGATAAGAGGACAGACCTTCACAAATCTTGCTTACAGTAGGGTCCCAGAGCTCCAGGGAGAAATGGAAAAGGAATTTTTGACATGTCAGCACTGTGAACATTACTGACTCGAAGAGAGACACCAAGGGTGCCTCAACCACTGGGAGCTCTGCCTGGGCAGGAATCGCCTCACCCTCAGCATCTTTTCAATGTTCATTGCCTTGTAAGGCTCATCTTTTGTGAACTGCCTGTTCATATCCCTGGCCCGTTTTTTAATATTGGGTTGTTCTTTTTTTCTTTTCTTTTTTTTTCTTTTCTTTTTTTTTTTTTTTTTTGAGACAGGGTCTCACTCTGTCACCCAGGCTGGAGTGCAGTGACTGCATCACAGCTCACTGCAGCCTTGACCTCCTGGGCTCAAGTGATCCTCCCACTTCAGGTTTCCGAGTAGCTGGGACCATAGGCATATGTCACCACACCTGGCTAATTTTTGTGCCTTTTATAGGGACAGGATCTTGCCCCGTTGGCCCAGGCTGGTCTTGAACTCCTGGACTCAAGTGATCTGCCCTGCCTCAGCCTCTCGAAGTGCTGGGATTACAGGCGTGAGCCACCGCGCCCGGCCTGTCCTTTTCTTTTTTATTTGTGGAAGTTCTCTATTGTAGATACTATTCCTCTGAGTAACGTGATGTTAAAATAGGGCTCTTTCAGCTTCAATTCTAATCTTCAGTCAGAGCTACTGACATGTTATATAGCAAATACCAAAGTGAGAGTGAGGCTGGCTCTCCCATGCAGCATTTATTTATTTATTTATTTAGCCTTTTGACCAGGAAACACATGCAGAATTTACAAAGAAAATTTCAGAAACAAACTAGTTCAATAATTCTTAGACTCCTCAGTCACATCAAGAATAATTAAAGGGTAAGAGTGTGGAGACAGAAGAGAAATTTCTGAAGAGATTTTGATGGAGAGAAACTTGTTGCTGCACTGTGAGCAGTTCCCATCCCCTCTCAGCTTAGGTGCACAGGGTTGCTTTCTCCTTTGCCGGAATCCTAGGGAGAATGGGCTTCTATGACACTACTCAGGAAGCTTGATACGTCTCTCCCTACAGTTGGGGGTCACCATGGACCAGGGTCTGACTCCTGCCTTAGAAACTCAAGTACCAGCAACCTTCCACTCTTTGAGTTCTTCAGGACAAAGGATGCATCAGTGTTTCTATGGACAACATGTGAGCAGGCTGGGTGCAGTGTCTGTGGTCCCAGCTATTCAGGAGGCTGAGAAGAGAGGATCGCTTGAGCCTGGAAGGTCGCGGCTGCAGTGAGCCATGATCACACCACTGCACTCAAGTGTGGGCAACAGAACGGGACCCTGTCTCAAAAAATAAAAATATGGGCAGTGTGGGAGAGGGCTGGCATGGGTGGTCTTAGTCCTGTCCAATAGGTCCACTTCAAGGAGCAAAGGGAACCCAGTAGAAAGAAGCTAGAGATGAAGCCCAATTGGAAGGAAACACAAGCAACCACTCACAATAAAACCCATCTGTCAAGGTCAAGGGACCTGCAGGATGGAGGTCCCTAGGAAGAGAATTTCCTAAGAGACCATGACAGTGCCCATGAGACAACAAAACATGCTTTAAACTCTACCAAGCTCAGAATTCAAAGCCAGGTTATGAGAGGACTTTTCTATCCCATTTGCCATCCCTCTGTTCCTACATCTGGACCTTGGAAAGATAAAAACTGGGCAGCAGGCTTAAAGTTGGAGGAGTTGAGAGAACCCACAAGAATGAACTAAAGAAAAACACCAAACACCCCCTCCTTGTCACCCACCTGAAGCAGACCTAAGTTGGAGGAGGAAAGAAATTTAGACAGTAAATGAAGTTCATAGTTTTTATTAAGATCTTGGATGGATAATTCAATATATAAATTGAGACTAGGCTTATGTCTTGTGACTAAGTGACTCTAAGATTTATTATCTAAGAATGAACAGAAAAGTCTTGGACCTGCCGGAGTTTTTATCCAGGAGCAAAAAAAGATTATCCCACTGGAAAAAATGGGTTTTTTTTTTCCCCTATGGTATTTTTGTTACAGCAACCAACCCACTGAAATTTTTAAAGGAAGTTGGAAACAAAAAAAGAAGTTGTTTTTGGTTATTCACCAGTGATGCTTGTCCAATATACTAAAATTCATCTATTATAAATATTTCATCTCTCTTCTCTCAGTCTGTCGTCTTTTAATTTATGAATGGTGACTTTTGTCAAAATAAGCTCTATATTTTAATATTAAATGTATTGTTTTCTCATTTTAAAAACACATGTGTGTATATAAATATTCATACATATATTTACATTTAAAATGTATATGTATATATTATACACTTGTCTATATGTATATATAAATGTATGCGTATATATTATATATACATATTTTTTTCCTCTGGTGTATACATGTTTATATGTATACACACACAGAAAAATATATGTATATATAATATATACACATATGAAAATACAGGTATGTATATATGTATAATATGTGTATACATCCACACACATTTTAAAAAGAAGAAAACAATACATTTAATATCAAAATATAAAGCTTGTTCTAACAAAAGCCACTGTCCATAAATTAAAAGACAATAGACTAGGAGAAAGGAGCTGAAATATTTATAATAGATGAATTATATAGAGAAAAATATATTTATATAAATATATATACATATATGTATTTTTGGAGACAGGTTCTTGCTCTGTCTCCCAGGCTGGAGTGCAGCGGTGCAATCACAGCTCACTGCAGCCTCAACCTCCTGGGCTCAAGCGATACTCCTACCTCAGCCTTCTCAGTAGCTGGGGCCACAAGTGCACACAACTGCGCCTAACTAATATTTTTAAATTTTTTGTAGTGACAGGGTCTCACTATGTTGCCCAGGCTAGTCTTGAAGTCCTGGGCTCAAACAATCCTCCTGCCTCCCAAAGTGCTGGGATTACGGACGTGAGCCACTATGCCCAGCCTCCTTTTAAAAATATTTTAAAAGAAATACTGTGACACCTGGGAGGCTGAGGCAGGACGACTGCTTGAACCCAGAAGGTGGAGGTTTCAGTGAGCCAAGCTTGCGCCACTGTACTCCAGCCTGGGTGACACAGCGAGAATCCGTCTCAAAAAACAAAAACAAAAAACAAACAAACAAACAAAAAACCAGAGAAATACTGTGATGGTTAATTTTCTGTGTCAACATGGCTGGGCTACGGGATGCCCAGATAGCTGGTAAAACATTATTTTTGAGGGTGTTTATGGGGGTGTTTATGGAGGTATTCGTATCTGAATCAGCACACTGAGTAAAGATCATCCTCATTCATGGGGATGGGCATCATCTAATCTGCTGAGAAACTGAATAGAACACAAAAGCAGAGGAAGGGTAAATTTGCTGTCTCTCTGTGAGCTGGGACATCTACCTGCCCTTGGACATCAGAACCCCTGCTTCTCAGACCTTCGGTCCAGACTGAATTACACCACTGGGTTTCTAGGTTCTCCAGTTTGCAGACAGCATATCGTGGGGCTTTTTGGACTCCAATATCATATGAGCCAGTTCCCTAAATAAGTAAATCAATCCTATTGGCCTGTTTTTCTGGAGAACTCTGAATAATACAAATACTTTCCTTTTAATGGTTTTAGTTTTGGGCCAGGTGTGGTGGCTCATGCCAGTAATCCCAGCACTTTGGGAGGCCAAGGTGGGAGGATTGCTTGAGCCCACTAGTTCAAGACCAGCCTGGGCAACATAGTGAGAACCCATCTCTAAAAATAAAAGTTTTAAAGTTTTGTTTTTTCACGCACAGATGTTTAATTCAGCTGGAATTCGTTTTGTGTATGGTATGGGATAGAGATTTTATCTTTTTATAGAAAGTCAATTTTCCTATTACCATTTATTGAACATCCACCCTTTCCCACTGATCTGACAGAGCACATCTATCATATAACAAGATCTCACAATATTTGGGCTCTGTTTTGGGGCTCTTTGTTCTGTTCCACTGATCTATTTGTTTATTCTGTATCAATATCTACCATTTAAATTACTCTAGACTTATGCTGCCTTGATTTCTGGTACTAATTCTTCCTTTTCAGAATTACGTTTGAATTGTCACAGCTGTTCATCTTCTATATGAATGTAAAAAATGTTTGTCAAAGGGCTACCAAAAAAATTTATTGGGAATTTTTGTTAGGATCACATTGAATTTATAGATCAATTTGGGCAGAATCGCCATTTTGAGACTACTGAATCTTCCCTTTCATAAACATGATTTGGTTCTTCTTATGTGACTTTAAATGTATTTTTATAGGTTTTAAAATGGGAGTTTGCCTTTTATTTCTAAGTATTTTCTTTGTCTTGTTAATGTGAATGGTCTCTCTCTTATTGTTTATGTGCCTTTTCCTTTTTGAGACAGGGTCTCACTCTGCCACCTAGGCTGGAGTGCAGTGGCACGATCATGGCTCACTGCAGCCTCAACCGTCCCAGGCTCAGGCGATCCTCCCACCTCAGCCTTCCGAGTAGCTGGGACTACAGGCACACATCACTACACCTGGCTAATTTTTGTATTTTTTTCTGGAGACGAGATTTCGCCATGTTGTCCATGCTGGTCTCGAACTCCTGGACTCAAGGGTTCCTCCCACCTTGGCCTCCCAAAGTTCTAGGATTACAGGCATGAGCCACCATACCTGGCTTATTGTTTCTGTTCTAATTGGCTATTTCTTTTCTGTTTTTTTTTTTTTTTTTTTTGAGACAGAGTCTCACTCTGTCACCCAGGCTGGAGTGCAGTGGCACAATCTCAGCTCACTGCAACCTCTGCCTCCTGGGTTCAAGTGATTCTCCTGCCTCAGTCTCTCTACGTGACTTTTTTTTCTTTTTTTTTTTTTTTGTATTTTTAGTAGAGACGGGGTTTCACCACGTTGGCCAGGCTGGTTTTGAACTCCTGATCTCAAGTGATCTACCTGCCTCGGCCTCCCAAAGTGCTAAGATTACAGGCGAGAGCCACCGTGCCTGGCCTAATTTTTTAGTTTTTTGTAGAGATGAGGTCTCACTATATTGCCCAGGCTGGTCTTGAACTCCTGACCTCAAGTGATCCCCCCATCTAGGCCTCCCAAAGTGCTGGGATTACGGGCATGAGCTACCCTGGCCCTAGCTGCATTTATGTTCTTAAGATTGTACTTTAACTTTCTTCTGTTTTACTCTCTTTATCCAGTTTTGATATTAAAGTTATACTATCTTCACAAAATAAGCTAAGTAACTGTTTCTATTTTTCTTTTCTCTGGAACAATTTGCATGATATAAAGGTTACCTTTTTTTCTGGGAAAACCGGCCCATAAAACGGTCCAGGCCTAGTAACCTTTGCATGGGCATTTGGGAGGCAGTTTTGAATACCTAGTCAGTTAATTTTATTAGTCTATTCTGGTTTTCAGTGTTAGCTGGGACAATTTTGGTAATTTACATTTTCTAGGAAATTATCCATTCCCCTAAGTTTTCAAATTTCTTGGCACAGAATTGTTGATAGTATTCTTTTCATCAGTTGTGCCTGATACAAGGAAGAAGAACCCCTGTTTCAATGAAGGGAACTGGGAGCTTACAAAATTGTTGACAAGGCTAGAGAAGTGAGCTCTAGAAATGACTCCCAGAACAGTCTAGAGCTGTCGAGAAGAGCTGCCAAGTATGGCACCATTAGTAAAGTGGAGCCAGGCGCGATGGCTCACACCTGTAATCCCAGCACTTTGGGAGGCCGAGGCAGGCAGATTTGTGTGAGCTCAAGGGTTTGAGACCAGCCTGGGCAACATGGCGAAACCCCATCTCTACTAAAAATACAAAAATTAGCCGGGCGTCGTGGCACACACCTTAGTCCCAGCTACTTGGGAGGCTGAAGTGGGAGGATTGCTTCAGCCCGGGAGGCGGAGGTTTCAGTGAGCTGAGATTGTGCCACTGCACTCCAGCCTGGGCAACGGAGGAAGACCCCATCTCACCAAAAAAACAATGGAAAGTAGGGAACCAGATGCTGCCACTGGGGGAGTATACTCAGTGTATACAACTGAGTTCAAGTATACACGGCAATGATTGCAATCCCGGGTCACAAAGCCATGGTTAAAACCACCACTGACTCTTAAGAGCTGTAACTAGATATGGCACTGCTGATTCCAGCTGCTGTTGCTGCTGCTACAAACAACTCCCCAGACCCCCAAAGCCGGATCCTGGACTCTGAGTTTGGCAGCAAAAAAAGTCAGTCCAAAGTTTTAGAATTATGGCCATTGCTTCCCTTCTTCCAACCAAATCTCACACAACTGCAGCTAACTAGCAAAATCTGATTCTCATCTAGAAACCTAATTGAAATGCAGTTTTCAGCTTTGTAATCTCTGTAGTTAGGCAAATGCCCTCGAAGGAGATGGAAATAACTATCCAGTGCCAATCAACTATATCTAATACGTCTGGAATCACGTTTTATAGCTCTCTACTATACATGCAGTTATGTGCACTCTCTTGACCTAATATTATTTACCTTTTCTTCCTCTCTTTTTCTCACTTTTGGCAGATGTCTATTTTGTCTTTTCAAAAGAATTGCTTTTGGTTTTGTTGATTTCTCCTTTGTGTTTGTTTTCTGTTTCATCAATTTGTGGTTTTATCTTTATTCTTTCACCCCTTCTGCATTCATTGGGTTCAGCTTTTTGTTCATTCTGCAGCATTTTTTTTTTTTTTGAGACGGCGTCTCACTCTGTTTCCCAGGCTGGAATGCAGTGGCGTGATCTCAGCTCACTGCAGCCTCTGCCTCCCAGTTTCAATCTATTCTCCTGCCTCAGCCTCCTGAATAGCTAAGATTACAGGCGTCTGCCACCACATGTGACTAATTTTTTTTTTTTCTCTTTTTGAGACAGAGTCTCACTCTGTCGCCCAGGCTGGAGTGCAGTGGCGCAATCTCAGCTCACTGAAAGCTCCGCCTCCCGGGTTCACGCCATCCTCCTGCCTCAGCCTCCCAAGTAGCTGGGACTACAGGCACCCGTCACCAAGCCCGGCTAATTTTTTTATTTTTAGTAGTGATGGCGTTTCACCATGTTAGCCAGGATGGTCTCGATCTCCTGACCTCGTGACCTGCCCGCCTCGGCCTCCCAAAGTGCTGGGATTACAGGTGTGAGCCACCGCACCTGGCCTAATTTTTGTATTTTTTAGTAGAGACAGGGTTTCGTCATGTTGGCCAGGCTGGTCTTGAACTCCTGACCTCAGGTGATCCACCTGCCTCAGCCTCCCAAAGTGCTGGGATTACAGGCGTGAGCCACCATGCCCAGCCCATTCTCTAGACTTAAGTTGAGCACTAAATGACATGTTTTCAATATTGTTGTTTACTAGTAACAACACTGCTTTATCTGCATCCCACAATGTTTGATACTTCGCTAGTGTATTTTACAGGGTTTCATTGTCATTCAGTTCCAGATATTTGGTACCTTTCCCTGTCCTTTTTTAACACATTAATTTTTTTTTTTTAAGATGGAGTTTCACTCTTGTTGCCCAGTCTGGAGTGCAATGAAGTCATCTTGGGTCACTGCAACCTCTGCCTCCTGGGTTCAAGCAATTCTCCTGTCTCAGCCTCTGGAGTAGCTAGAATTACAGGCATGTGCCACCACACCTGGCTAATTTCGTATTTTTAGTAGAGATGAGGTTTTTCCATATTGGTCAGGCTGGTCTTGAACTCCTGACCTCAGGTGATCCACCCACCTCGGCCTCCCAAAGTGCTGGGATTACAGGCATAAAGCCACCGCACCAGGCCTAATGCATTATTAAGAGGTGAGGCAGGCTGGGCACAGTGGCTCACGCCTGTAATCCCAGCACTTTGGGAGGCTGAGGTGGGTGGATCACAAGGTCAGGAGTTCGAGACCAGCCTGACCAATATGGTGAAACCCCATCTCTACTAAAAATTTAAAAAAATAAGCCAGGTATGGTGGCACATGCCTGTAATCCCAGATACTTGGGGGGCTGAGGCAGGAGAATTGCTTGAACATATGAGGCAGAGGTGGCAGTGAGCTGAGATCGCACCACTGCACTCCAGCCTGGGTGACAGGGTGAGACTCCTTCTCAAAAAAAAAAAAAAAAAAGAAGGAGGCTTTTGGTTTACAAATATAGTGTGATTTCTGGGCTTTCATTTTATTGTTGGTTCCTAATTTTATGGCATTGTGATAAGAAACATTCTATATGATAAAATTTCTTTAATATTTGTAGCCAACGCTTTTTAAAAAAAGAATTATCTAACTTGCATCAGAGAGTGGTCCACTGTTAAAAAAAAACAAAACACAAAACACTTCACATCATGCTTGATAAGAATTCATATTCTCTATTTGTTGGGTACATGCTTCTATACAAATCTACCAGAATACATTTGTCAGTTGTCTTTTCAAGTCATTAATATCATTGTTTTTATCTGCTTGATCTTTTTTTTTTTTTTTTTTGAGACGGAGTCTTGCTCCATCGCCCAGGCTGGAGTGCAGTGGTGCTCATGGCTCACAGCAGCTTCAACCTCTTGAGCTCAAGCAATCCTCCCACCTCAGCCTCCTGAGTAACTTGAACTACAGGCGTGCGCCACCACACCCAGCTAATATTTTTAGAGGCGGGGGCTTTACCATGTTGCCCAGGCTGGTCTCGAACTCTTGGACTCAAATGTTCCTCCCACCTTGGTGATGGCAACAGCAGCCTGTCTGGAGCGGATGCTGCCATCACACTGGCTGCAGGAGGGAGGGGCGGCCAGGGCTGCACACCCTGTGGAGCCAACAACAAGTGGGAGCCCCACCTCTTCTGAATTGGTGGGGTGGGAGCTCCCCAGGTGCAGCCACAGCCATCCAAGTCATGGCTGTGGACCCAGGCCTCCTGCTCCTCCAGGGAGCCCCGCTTGGGGGGCAGCTGCAGCTGCCCAAATCACAGCTGCAGACCCGGGCCTCCCTGTGCTCTTGCAGGTGCCAAGAGCAAGCAGGAGCCCTGCCCTCCCTGGTGCAGCTTCAGACCCGGGCCTCCCTGTGCTCTTGCAGGTGCCAAAAGCAAGCAGGAGCCCTGCCCTCCCTGGTGCAGCTTCAGACCCGGGCCTCCATGCAGCAGGCAGGAACCCCATCCCCGCCAACTCTGGGGCAGCTGCAGCCACCCAAACCGTGGCTGTGGACCAAGGCATCCCTACACTCTTGGGGGCCCAGAAAGCCCCACCTGACCTTGCAGGCTCGGAAATGCCTGCTCCCACTGCCTGACTTCTCCCTGCTGTTGGTGCCCACGCCGATCTCAGAACAAAGCTGGGGTGAAGACAGCCAGGTGTGCACAGGCTCAGGGCAGTGCTGACATGCTAGCCCCCTGCCACCTTGGCCCCCTCTGGACTTTGGGTGCCTATGAGCATGGGTGGGAAGCCAAGTGGGGGCTGAGGGCAGCTCAGCACTGGCTTGCAGAAGCCCCTTGGCAGGAACAGCCTGGGCGCCATGAACAGCAGCGGGAGGCAAGACAGGCTCCTGGGCGTAAGAGGGCGAGTCCCCGGTGAGGCCCCACCTTCAGGCCACATAGGGCCTGAAGGCTAGGGGCTGGGCTGCCTGTCCCGCAGACCAGAATGGGAACTTGTGGTGCCTTTTCTGGGCCCGCTCATGGCCGCTAATGGAGCAATTGGTGTGCACTTCCTCCCCTCAGAGGCCCATAAAAGCCCAGGTTCAGCTAGAGCTGGGCAGACCTCAGGATGACCAGCTGCAGAGAGGAGCTACCCACTCCAGGGCCTCCTCTCTGCTGAGAGCTGCAGAGATTTTGGGACAACCTACCTGCAAAGAGGAGCTTCCCACCCCAGGGTCTCCTCTTTGCTAGGAGCTGAACACTTGTTGGGACACCCTGGAAGCAGAAAGGAGCTGCCCCCTGTGGTAGACTGAGCTGTTCTAGTGCTCAATAAAGCTCCTCTTCATCTTGCTCACCCTCCTGCTCACCCTCTGCTTGTCTGCATACCTTATTCTTCCTGGTTGCAGCACAAGAACTCGGGACCATGGAATGATGAGGTTAAAAGAGCTGTAACACAAACAGGGCTGAAACATGCCCCTTGCTCACCACGTTGCTGGTGAAGAGAAGTAGAGAAGAGCTGCAGTCCTTTGCGGAGCCCAAAACTGGGAGCTCCCTGAGGCAGGGCTGTGATTCCCTCTTTGGGGCCCTGCTGTTCCTGGTGTCTCCAAGTTTCTGAATGCTTGTTCCCCGATGCAAGCCATGGAATCTGCTTGTGGTGGTACCTGGTCCGGCCGCAGCCTCACAGAGAGCCAGTGCCTGTGCTGGCACCTGGAGCTGCCCACCCCACTGCAGCAGCCAGCATGTCTGACTGTGTGCAGTGGCCAGACCCCACACTCACTCACACACCCCTTGCCATTCCATGTCTGACTTGCCCTTGGTGGTGTGGGATCCAGGCTGGCAGCAAGAACCAAATGCAGCCTGCCAGGCCAAGTGAGTGAAATGACTCCAGCGGGCCCGAGCAAAACTTGGGGAAAGGTACCACTGGCCACAGAGGTTTCCTGCCAGAAAAACGACACCCCAAATATCCTATAATTGCTGCCACCCAAATCAGCCTCCCTCTGTGCTGGAAATACAGGCATGAGCCACCATGCCTGGTGATCTTTTAATTAAAAATTATTTTTCAAATATTTTTAATAGATAATCCATTCAAAGCATTTTTTTAAGGCTGGGCGAGTTGGCTCACACCTGTATTCCCAGCACTTTGGGAGGCTGAGGCATGAGGATTGCTTGAGCTCAGGAGTTTGAGACCAGCACAGGCAACACGGTGAAACCTGTCTCTACAAAAAGGTACAAAAATTAGCCAGGCATGGTGGTGTGCACCTGTAGTCCCAGCTACTCGGGAGGCTGAGGTGGAAGGATTGTTTGAGTCCAGGAGGCAGAGTTTGCAGTGAGCCATGATTGTGCCACTGCACTTCAGCCTGGGTGACAGAGTGCCTGTCTCAAAAAAAAAAAAAAAAAAAAAAAAAAAAAATTTTTTTTTAAATTATACAGTGAAAAAGCTCGCGCTCCCACCCTGTCTCCTTAAACCCAATGCATCCCACTCCCAGGTAACCTCTATTCTTCCCCAATAATACTTATTTGGCTATAACGTGATTGACAATTGACTTTTGGACCTCCAGGTCTCCTAGCCAGCCAGCTGCCTACTACACTCATTGCAGTCATTTCATGAAGCTTACAGTAATGTGATCACATAATTTACACCACTCAATTTTTGGGCCCCACTTAGAACTTTTGGGTTTCATAATCAAATATGAATCTATGTTTATTTTCCCACCCCCTTCCCACACAAAAGGTGGCATACTATATATACTGATGTGTACGTAGCTTTCTCCATTCAATAATAATTCCTGGAGATCTTGCCATAGGTGGATAAGAGCTTCCTACTTCTTTATTGTTGTTACCTAGTATTCCATTGTTGGATGTCTCAGATGTTATTCACTTGGTCATATTTTGGGGGCAATCGGATTATTTACAATCTTTTCTATTATATACAATGCACAATGAATAACCTTATATGTATGTCAGTTCATACATGTGTGGGTATATCTGTGGTATACATTATCAGAAGTGGTACTGCTTGATCAAGGGATACACGCATTTGCAATTCTGACAAAAATTGTCAAATTGAATTCTAGAGAGGTTGAAACAATTTATAATCCCATCCACTGTTTTCCCCAAAGCTTTACCTATGGAGTATATTATTAAACTTTTGAATTTTTGACAACTTGATAGGTGAAAAATGGCACCTTAGTCTAGATTGAAATTGCTTTTCTCTTATTCTGAAAGATGTTGAGTATATTTTCATGCAAGTAGGGGACTTTATATTTTCTAGAGACTTTATATTTTCTATGTAAAACTGTTCATATGCTTTGCTCATTTTCCTATTTGGTTGTTGATTCTTGTTTTATTGATTATTGATCATAAGCTCTTTTAGTTTTTAAAAAACATTTTTTTAAGCTTTTATATAAATTAGGGGGCCTGGTCCTTTAGGATGTAGTTCCAAGTTGTTTTTCTTTTTCCTAAGCTTTTCATTTGTCTTTTGACTTTGCTTCTTTCTTTCTTTCTGCAATGCAAAACTGTACAGTCAAGGTTGGAAAGACTACTTCGTTATGCCACAGTTAAGAAGGAATTCTCCTATGTTTCCTTCTAGTACTTTTATGGCTTTATGTTGTACATTTATCTTTAACCTTTAACCACTGGGAGTTTTTCTGGTGTATGCTTTGCGGGTGCCAATTGCTTTTTCCAGATAACTTTCTGACTGTTTCAATACAATTTATTGAGTAGTCTATCCTTTATTCACTGATTTGAGATAGTTCTCTTAACATATATAGATATTTTCTCATGCATTTTAATCTTTTTGATTTTCTGTTCTGTTTTATTGATATGTCTATTCATTCATCAATGCTCAACTGTTTTCATTTTTGAGGGCTAAGTGTTTTAAGATCTGGTATGTCCAGTTCCCCTTCATTGATTTACTTTTTTCAATTTTATTCTTGCCATTCTTGTTTATTTTTCCATAGGAATATTAGAATCAGCATATCTAGTTTTAAACAAGTGTCAGCATTTTTATTGCTCCTACATTACATTTATAAATTAAGTTAGAGAACTGAAGTCTTTATGAGGCTTAGTCTTCTGATCCAAGCACACGCAAAGTTTTTCCATTTGTTCAGGTCTCCTTTAGTGTCCCTCAGTGCTATTTTTAAAGTTTTCTTCATACATGTCTTATATTTTTTTTTGTTTGAGAGAGAGAGCCTTACTCTGTCACCCAGGCTGGAGTGCAGTAGCGTGATCTCAGCTCATTGCAACCTCCACCTCTTGGGTTCAGGCAATTCTCATGCCTCAGCCTCCCTAGTAGCTGGGCTTACAGGTGTGCACCACCACTCCCAGCTAATTTTTGTATATTTAGTAGAGACAGGGTTTTGCCATGTTGGCTAGGCTGGTCTCGAACTCCTGGCATCAAGTGATCTGCCTGCCTCGGTCTCCCAAAGTGCTGGAATTACAGGCATGAGCTACTGCGCCCAACCAGGTCTCATACATTTTTCATTAAACTGATTCCTAGTTATTTGTACTTGCTACCATCAATTGGTACTTGACCTTCATTCTCATCTACTTCTCTGTTTCCTACTGAAATACAAGGGCTGAAAGGCTAAATAAATAAATCACATTTCCAAGACTATGTGACAGCAAATTCTAGATATGATTTAGCTTTGATGAATCAAATACATACATACATACAAGAGCAGGAAGATGGAAAAGACGTGGAGCCCCTTGTCCTCCTGCTGTGGTGGCTGGCAAGCCAGGTTGAACTGACTACCCCTGGACTCAATATTCCAGTGTCTAGTCACTACCTTTGTGGACATGAGAAGATTGTGGTGGCAGCAGCAGTGACAGCTTCCTGACATCTGAATTACAGCTATGATGATATGACTTTGAAATCATTACTCCCACGACAGTCCTCAACTTTATGTATCTTCTAAAATTTTATCTAACACTCATTTAATACATACTAGCTGCCAGAAACTGTTACAAGCAATTTTTCAAAATTATATATGTGAAGGCCTAATTATTTTGGAAGCAGCTAATTCCCCATCTTCTTTTGTACTTGAAATTCTTGGAGTGACTTTGGTTTCCTAAACTGATTCAAGGTTCTTTAGTGTGACTATTATAGTACTAGGTTCACCTTCTGTCATTATACCTTATGTTTGTATGTGTAAAAACAGACATCGATTTTTTAGATAGTGTGTTAAAATCTCCCATTATGATTGTAAATTTGTCAAATTCTATTAGGTTTGTTTTATATATTTTAACGCTTTTATTGGATGTAAAGAAATGCATGATTCTTATTTCTTGGTAGACTGTTTCTTTCTGTGAGATAAAATAACCTTTGTGCATATTTCTGCTTAAATGTTATTTGGCCTGATAACATTATTTTATCATTTATATTATACTATATTGTTACACCAACTTTCCTTATACTAGTAATTGAGAATTTTGTTTGTTGAGAAAGAAATACATTCACATGGTTCAAAATTTAAAAGGGCATTCAGTGATGTTTTCTTCCCACACCTCACCCCCAGCTACTCAGTTTTCTTCCCTGCTGGCGTCTGAAATACCTTTTTCCATTCCTTTATTTTTAATTACTACGTCACATTTTTTAGAAATGTTTCTTTCTTTTTTATTTATTTTTATTTATTTTAGAGATGAAGTCTCACTCTGTCACCCATGCTAGAGTGCAGGCAGGCTAGAATGCACCCAGGCTGGAGTGCAGTGGTGCAATCATAGTTCACTGCAGCTTTTATCCCCAGGGCTCAACTCCTGCATAGTTTACAGTGGCCTTTAACTCCTGGGCTCCCACCTTAACCTCCCAAATAGCTAAGACTACAGGTGTGTGCCACCATGCCTGGGTAATTTATTTCTATTTTAATTTTTAGAGACAGGGTCTCACTACATTGCCCAGGCTGGTCTCAAACTCCTGGGCTCAAGCAATCCTCCCTCCTCAGCATCCTGAGTAGCTGAGATTATAGCCAAGGAGTGTCCCTCATAAATAGTATTTTTAAAATCCAGTCAGAGTCTCTGCTTTTAATAGAGGAATTTAATAGCAATATACTAATAGTGATCACAGACATACCTGGATATAGATTGGCCATCTTGTTTTTTTCTATTTACTGTTCTTTTTTATCACATTTTTCTTTCTCTCTTGCATTCTACCAGACTGATAAAATTTTCTTTATTCCATTTTTCTTCTTCTAATGATTAAGAAGTTATATATTCTATTTCTAGTCTTCTAGTCATATCACTTACATTTTAAACCTTTTATTTTGTATTTTTATTAGTCCGTTCTCACACTGCTATAAAGAACTACCCAAGACTGGGTGATTTATAAAGGAAAGAGGCTTAATTGACTCACAGTTCCACAGGAGGGAGGCCTCAGGAAACTTACAATTATGCAGAAGGGGAAGCAAACATGTCCTTCTTCACATGGCAGCAGCAAGGAGAAGTGCCCTGCAAAAGTGGGGAAAGCCCCTTATAAAACCATCAGATCTCGTGAGAACTCACTATTGCGAAAACAGCATGAGGGTAACCATCCCCATGATTAAATTACCTCCCACTGGGTCCCTCTCATGACACATGGGGATTATGGGAACTATAATTCAAGATGAATGTTGGCGGGGGACACAGCCAAACCATATCAGTATTTTTCCAGCAAAGTCTAAAGCTAACCAGTATTTCTGAACAAAACAATGATCTTAACATTCTTTAGCTTTCTTCTGAAATACCTACTTGTTTTTGGCCTAGAATGTAATTATCAGCTTGCCTTTAAATACACACACAAAAACTGTTGTTGTTGTTATTATAATTATTATTTTATTTAAAGTTTGTCAACATGTTTTACCAATTTCTCTTTTTCACCTTTTCTTGTGGCATCATGCTCTTTCCTTTTGGATTCATTTTTCTTCTAGCCAAAGCAGTTTTTAGTTGTCCTTTCAGTGAAGGTCTGTTGGTAGTAAGTTCTTTTGGTCCTTGTGTGTGTTAAAATATCTCTATTATGCACACTCTACTGACAGTTTAGCTGGGTATGAAATTCAAAGTTCAAATTATTTTCCCTCAGTATTCTGAAGTTGTTATTTCATTGTTTTTTTGGCAATGATTTGTGCTAAAAATAAGCATACTGTTATTCTGATTGTCATTCCTTTGTAGATAATCTGTCTTTACCTCCTGGTAGCTTTTAAGAGGATTCTCTTTATTTCCAATATTTTGTCATTTCACTGCAATCTTCTAAATGTACTTTCTTTTCTTTTTTTTTTTTTATATTTGTGCAGTCTGTCTCAGCATTTAGTGGTTTCAACCTGACAATTTGTGCCCTTTTTAAATGCTGAAAAATTCTTAGCTATTCTATCTTCAAATATTGCTGTCTTCACTCTATTATTTCCTTCTAGGAAACCCTCATTTGTGTAGGCTAAAATATCTCAGTCTATCCTCCATGACATCAACTGATTACCTTTTTGTTCCATACTCTAAGAGTTGTCTTCAGTTCCATCTTCCAATTTACAAATTCTCTCTTCAAATATGTCCAGCCTAGAAGTTTTAAATTTCAATGACTATCTTTTTCACATCTACCTGTTCTTGTTTCACTGCCTCCTGATCTTACTTCACTGATACCAGTTCATCTGTTATATCTTTAAGCATTTTAAGCATACTTTTTATTTTAATGTCTTTTAGATGGGCCTACTGTTTATATTTCTTGATATAAATTCTCCTGTTTGTTGGATTTGTAGATTTTCCTTGATAGGGCTGAACCTCCTCAAACACTTTGTAATTTATGTTTGAGAGCTTATCTTGGGAGTTTTTTCCTTGTGCCCTTTCTTATTAAGTGATTTCTGTGGTGCTGTGTTCCATCCTAAGCAGGTACAGGGATCTGAGCTGGGCCCCACATTAGGGCTCAGAGGTGTTGCCCCATTCAGATAGCATGATTCCAGATCATGCACTACCTTATAGTGAGGTCTCATATGTACAGATGTTTCCCTTCCTCCATGGCCAAGACAAGCATCTTATTTCTGGTTATAACCCTATAGTAACTGTATTATTGCTCCCAAATAATCACTGCCCCTTCCTATAGGAGGACTGTATTTTCCCATCCCAATAAGGTCAGGCTAGGTTATATGACTAGCTTTAAGAGTCTCATGCTTCCATGATTTTTTCCTCTGACCCAGAATGGCAACATACCAGATAAGGGCATATCCTTCATCCTGGATTCTAAAATGAAGAGGATGTGGCACAGAGTTGTGGCCAACCTGTAAAAGACATGTAACATGAACAAGAAATAGACTTTTGTAGTTGTAAGGCATTAAGACTTGGAAGTTGTTAGCTACTACTGCATAACTTAGTCCAAAGTCTGACATAAACTTTAAGCCATCTATATAAAAATACGGTTTAGGCACTCCAGCCTGGGTGACAGAGTAGACTCTGTCTCAAAACAAAACAAAACAAAACAAAACAAAAAACCCTACTTGGCCATAAAAAATTTGCAGCAACATGGATAAACCTGAAAGACATTATGTTAAGTGAAATAAGCCAGGCATGGAAAGGCAAATATTGCATGATCTTACTCATATGTGGAATCTATAACACTATCCTCATAGAAGTAGAGAGTAGAGGCCGGGCGCAGTGGCTCATGGCTGTAATCTGAGTACTTTGGGAGGCCGATGTGGGTGGATCGTTTGAGGTCAGGAGTTCGAGGCTAGGCTGGCCAACATGGTGAAACTCCATCTCCACTAAAAGTACAAAAATTAGCTGGGTGTGGTGGCGTGCATCTGTAATCCCAGCTGATTGGGATCAGCTGGGATTGGGAGGCTGAGGCACGAGAGTCACTAGAACCTGGGAGGTGAAGGTTGCAGTGAGCTGAGATCATGCCACTGCCCTCCAGCCTGG
Source organism: Homo sapiens (assembly GCF_000001405.40). Lineage (NCBI taxonomy): Eukaryota > Metazoa > Chordata > Mammalia > Primates > Hominidae > Homo > Homo sapiens. The sequence goes on from NC_000002.12 coordinate 42,416,188, forward strand.
AGACAAAGGAAGGCAGGAGGAATAGTGAGAGGTTAATAAATGAGTACAAAGCTACAGATAGGAGAAATATGTTCTGGTGTTCTACTGCATAGCAAGATGACTAGAGTTAACAATAATATATTGTATATTTCAAAATAACTAGAAACTAGGTACAGTGGTGCATGCCTGTAGTTCCAGCTACTTGGGAGGCTGGGCAGGAAGATTGCTTGTGCCCAGAAGTTCAAGGTCAGCCTGAGCAACACAACAAGATGCGGTCTAAAACAAACAAAACACAACCTAAAGATCATGAAAAACACAATGGCAAAGACAAAATAACCAGATTTTGAATGTGCACATCACAGAGAAATAATAGACATTTAGGCTGGGCACGGTGGCTCACGCCTGTAATCCCAGCACTTTGGGAGGCCGAGGCAGGTGGATCGCTTGAGGCCAGGAGTTCAAAACCAGCCTGGTCACCATCTCTACTAAAAATACAAAAAAATTAGCTGGGTGCATTGGCTCATGCCTGTAATCCCAGCTACTCAGGAGGCCAAAGTGGGAGAATTGCTTGAACCCAGTAGGCAGACGTTGCAGCGAGCCGAGATTGCGCCACTGCACTCCAGCCTGGGTGACAGAGTGAGTCCCCTGTCTCAAAAAAAAAAAAAAGAAAAAAGAAATGATAGATGTTTAAGGTGACAGATATGTTAACTGCTCTGATTTGATCACTATACAATGCATACATGAATCAAAACATCATGTCATACCCCACAAATATATTAATTATATAAAAACATAAATTCGTCCTGGCACGGTGGCTCATGCCTGTAATCCCAGCACTTTGGGAGGCTGAGGTGGGTGGATCACTTGTGGTCAAGAGTTGGAGACCAGCCTGGCCAACATGGTGAAACCCTACTAAAAATACAAAAATTAACCAGGTGTGATGGTGGGTGCCTGTAATCCCAGCTGCCTGGGAGGCTGAGGCAAGAGAATCGCTTGAACCTGGGCAGTGGAGGTTGCAGTGAGCTGAGGTTGCACCACTGCTCTCCGGCCTGGGCAACAGAGCAAGACTCCATCTCAAAAAATAAAAAAATAATTTTTTTTGCATTTAAAAAATATTTGCATTTTTATCATAGTATTTATCATTTGTAGGTGTGTGGTGGGAGGAAGATTTGGAGACAGGGTCTCATTCTGTCACCTGGGTTGGAGTGCAGCTGCACAATTATGGCTTACTGGGGCCTTGACCTCCCAGGCTCAAGTGATCCTCCTGCCTCAGCCTCCCAAGTTGCTGGCACCACAGGCACGCACTAACACACTTGGCTAATTTTTGTATTTTTTCTAGAGACAGGGGTTTCACTATGTTGCCCAGGCTGGTCTTGAAATCCTGGGCTCAAGTGATCTGCCGATCTCAGCCTCCTAAAGTGCTGGGACTACAGGCGTGAGCCACCATTTGTGTTTACAGAATAGTATAGAAAATTACGTGCTCATTGTTTTTCTTATTTTGTGTAGTAAACTATACTGACACAAAGTCAGGCGTGGTGGCTCACACCTGTAATCCTAGCACTTTGGGAGGCCAAGGCAGGCAGATCATGAGGTCAGGAGTTTGAGACCAGCCTGGCCAGCATGGTGAAACCCTGTCTCTGCTAAAAAATTCAAAAATTAACCGGGCTTGGTGGCGTGCGCCTGTAGTCCCAGCTACTTGGGAGGCTGAGGCAGGAGAATTGCTTGAATCCAGGAGGTGCGGGTTGCAGTGAGCTGAGATCGCGCCACTGCACTCCAGCCTGGGTGACAGAGTGAGACTCCATCTCAAAAAATAAAAATAAAAAATAAAAATAAATAAATAAATAAATAAAATATATATATACTGACACAAAATCACCATTTTAACTGTTTTTAAGTGAACAATTAAGTGGCATTAAGTATATTCACAATGTTGTTTAACCATCACCACTATCTATTTCCATAACTCTTTAATTATTCCAAACAGAAACTCTATAGCCATCATACAATAATAACTCCTCATAAGTGGAATCATACAATGTTTGTCCTTTTACATGTCTTATTTCACATATTACTATGTTTTCAAGGTTCACCCATGTTGTAGCATGTAGAATTTCATTCCATTTTAAGGTTAATATTCCATTGCATATATAGACCACATTTTGTTTATCCATTCATCTGTTTATGGACAGCTGGGTTGTTTTCCACATTTCAGCTACTGTCACTGTGCTTTCTTGATCTAGAAGTACCCAAAAACATACTATTAGAGAAAAAATACCGCAAATAAACCACAACCAGTGGATGCCTGTTGAGTTCAATCTGGAATGAGGAAAACTTTTACTCTTCATTTTGTATATTTCTTTATTATTTAAATTTGTTGCAACAATTTCTATGTAATTTTTAAAACTAGTAAAGAGTTTTTAAAATAAATGCTTCTTTTTGATCAGAAGAGAGATGCTCAAGAGAGATAATGAATCATTGCAAATGTGTGGGTTTAGGGTTTTTTGTGGTTAAAAACATGTATCATAAATTTTACCATCTTAACTATTTTGAAGTATGCACACAAATGTGATTTTTAAAATTATTAGGAAAAACCTAGGGAGGCTCCACTGGTAGCCAGCCAGCCATAGAATCACCATAAATGAAGAGTAGTTATTAAAAATTAAAATCACACCACAGGAAGCTGTATATGACCAAATGAGAATCTTGCACATAATATTCACTTTTTTCTTCCTTTAATTACCTTAGTCTTCTGTATCAGATTTTATGGCTCATAGTGATTAATGATTATTAGTAATAACAGTCCTTTTTGAACAAAGCTGAAGCTTATCCCAGCACTGCATTCTCTGAGTCTAAATATGATTAAGAATGTACTCAAATTCAGCCTCATTTCAGTAGTAAAATGCTACCCTTGTGTAACTGCTCTTGGTTTTTAACTGAAAAATGCTACTGTGCGTTTTAGCTGTTCAGACCGTGTAATGTTCCTGACAGGCCTGTGGAAATTCGCATGTGCTGCTATTTCCCAGGTGGTCACAATAAAGCTCAGATGGTATCTCTTTTTTTTTTTTTTTTTTTTTTTTTTTTTTTTTTGAGATAGAGTCTCACTCTGTGGCACCCAGGCTGGAGTGCAGTGGTGCAATCTTGGCTCACTGCAACCTCTGCCTCCTGGGTTCAAGCGATTCTCCTGCCTCAGCCTCCCAAGTAGCTGGGATTACAGGCACCTGCCACCATGCCCGGCCAATTTTTTGTATTTTTAGTTAAAGAGATGGGGTTTCGCCATGTTGGTCAGGCTGGTCTCGAACTCCTGACCCCAGGTGATCTCCCCGCCTCGGCCTCCCAAAGTGCTGGGATTACAGGCGTATCCCACCTGTAATCCACCACGCCCAGCCCTCAGATGGTATTTCTTAATATCCTTGCAAAAGGCTGGACTTAAGGAAGTGGAAACTGAATCAAAGGTTTGCTAAACCAGAACTGGAAAGCCCAACCTTAGCACTCAGCTACTCAATACAGCTTGAACTTTCAGCCTTCTGATTAAAAGTAAGATCATCTACTTATTTCATGTTCTGGCTCTGTAGACATAACTTCAACAGAATAAAATAACTATCCAAAACTAACAAACAGCAGCAATGAGGAGACAACAGGTCATGTGCATCAGGGTTAAATCGCAGAACTGATTTCAAGGCCAGCACTACTAGCAAGAGAGCAGAGACTGCCGGTCAGTCTGTAACCAGAGATTTCCACACTACTATCTGCATAATCTACATAAAATGAGGACCCAGCTGGGCACGGTGGCTCATGCCTGTAATCCCAGCACTTTGGGAGGCTGAGGCGGGCAGATCACCTGAGGTCAGGAGCTCGAGGCCAGCCTGGCCAACATGGTGAAAACCCTATCTCTACTAAAAATACAAAAATTAGCCGGGCATGGTGGCGGGCCCCTATAATCCCAACTACTCAGGAGGCTGAGGCAGGAGAATCGCTTGAACCCGGGAAGCAGAGGTTGCAATGAGCTGAGATCACACCATTGAACTCCAGTCTGGGTGACGAGTGAAAAGAGCGAAACTCCGTCTCAAAAAATAAAAAATAAAAATAAAATAAAAGAGGACTCAGTGTTAGAACATCTATGTTTGAATTGCAGCTGTGCTACAAAGAGCTAGTGTGCTTTTGGACAAGTTACTTAACTACCCTGAGACAGTTTCTTCATCTGTAAGAGGGGGTTAATAATAACTACCTTACAGAATTAATGCAAAGACTATGCAGTATCACATGAGTGGAAGTGCACTAGAAAGGCTAGTCATCATTGCCCTTCCTCAACCTCCTTGGCACTTGATTCAGATTCCAACAGGGGGCCGGGTGAGATGGCTCATGTCTGTAATCCCAGCACTTTGGGAGGCCGAGGCAGGTGGATCACCTGAAGTCAGGAGTTTCAGACCAGCCTGACCAACACGATGAAACCCCATCTCTACTAAAAATACATAATTAGCCGGACGTGGTGGCACATGCCTGTAATCCCAGCTACTCGGGAGGCTGAGGCAGGGAGAATCACTTGAACTCAGGAGGCGGAGGTTGCAGTGAGCCGAGATCATGCCATTGCACTCCAGACTGGGTAACAAGAGCAAAACTCTGTCTCAAAAGAAAAAAAAAGAAAAAAGAAACCAACAGGGCCAGCACTCTCAGTGACAAATCATTCTGACCTCTCCAACAACCTATCAGTTTAGACATATTGACCATTTAAAAAAATTGAATTGACCAATTTCTTCAATCTAAGTTCCAGGTTGTATCCTTAGCCCAGACCACCCATTGCTCAACTGTATGTTGTTAGAAACAAAAAGGGCAGCTTTATGAGTAAGAATGACTCACCATAAAACGCTACCACACAAAAATGACTCAATGAGAGTAGAACACAAATCATGAAACAATAGTATAAACTGATCTCATTTTTGAGATGTTTTATCTTGATATACAGACATATTCACAGGGAAAAAGCACAAAAGGAAATATGCCAAAATGTTAAAAATGATTACTTGAATTTATGTGTTCATTCGACATTTACTGAGCAACAATTATGTGCTGGCCTCTGTGCTAAGTGTTGGGGATACAGTAATTAATCACACATATAAGGCTGCTGTTCTGGTAAAGCATTTATAATTCAGAAGTGACAATAATAAAGAAAGATCAACAGGATGAGAGAAGATGAACCTAATCTATTATAGGGTTCAGTCAACAAGTCCCCAAGAAAGGAACGTTTAAACTAAGACCTAAAGGATAATCAGGAGTGAGTCAAACAGCAGAGCAGGATCGTGGAAATAGCATGACAGATTACTTTTATTTTCTTCTTTTTTATTATCTATAATTTATTTATTTTTTCTTAATGAACAAGAGTTCTTATTGTTCTGTTGGTAATATCTTCCTACTCTAAGGCCTAATATGTTTTTCTGATCATATCAAAATTTTCAGTCAATTTCTCAGTGTTTATTTGGGGCCAGCTGTGGGCCCCATACCCTCCTAGTCACTAGGAGTTGCAAATGGAGAACAGAGCAAAATACCTCAGAATCTTAGAATTGGGGAAAAAACCCAGAGAAAACATCAACAAATTATCTTAGTCAAGAAACAGACCCAGAGAGATGAAGCATTTTATCCAGGACCACAGCAGAAGAGCAGTCAGCCCCACACAGTGGACAAATGCTTTAACAAGTTTGTTTTCTGTTTCCTCTTTAAACTACCAATCCAATATGCGTTTTTTTAATCTGGTTGGTTAGTAACTAAAAGTGATTGTAACATATAGTCATTGGTAACCAAGATGTTATTACAAGAGACACAGTGAGAAGCCATTGTTAATCTGTTGCATTAAGAAAATAATGTAATGAAGTAAAAGCCAGAGTTTATGAGGGTGTGGTAAAACCAGAAAACAATTTAATGAGGTAAAAGCCAATGTTTATGAGGGTGTGGTAAAACCGACAGTATCAAACATTACCAATTGCTACGGTTTGAATTTGTCCCCCAAAGTTTATGTGTTGGAAAGTTAATCCTCAGTGTAACAGTGTTGAGAGGTGGGACCTTTAAGGGGTGATTAGGACATGAGGGATCTGCCCTCATGCATGGATTAATGCTGTTATCTTGAGAGTAGTTTTCTAATAAAAGGATGAGCTTGGCTTCTCTTCCCTCTCTCTCTCTTGCCCATGCCTTCTGCCATGTTATGATACAGCTAGAAGGCCCTCACCAGAGGGCCTTCAATCTTGGACTTCCCAGCTTCCAGAGTGGTGAGGCAAATAAGCTTCTATTGTTCACAGATTACCCTGTCCGTGGTATTCTGTTATAGCAAGAAAGAATGAACTAAGACACTGACAATACTCCTAATCAGTACATCCCAACTTAAAATCAGTGTGGTAATGTATTTCAAAAGCCATAAAAATGATAGGACTCTTTGGTCCATTTCTTTAGACTCTGTTATCTAAAGAAATAGATAACTTCTGGTATACCTAAAGGCAGACAATTAGAAGTAATGGCTATGAGGACTCCATAGTAGGAGGGAAGAGCTCAGGGTTTAATATGGATGATGTTTATATTTCCACCATATTTATAGCCATAGTTATGAAGAAGCCTGTAACCTGCATCTGCACCCTAAGCCACCAGAATGGCTTTCTGCAAAGCCCCCATAAGCGCCTAGTTGCTGAAACCAGTGAACATCTGACTGTGAGGAGCCATTTAACACCCCACCTCCTTGTTGGGCCCTTCAACCCCCTTTCCTCCTCTTATCCAGTTTGGTGGTCTCCAGGGACCAAGCCTAGGTTACTTCCTCCACTCCCTCAACACTCTTACAGAGGGACTTTTCACATCTTTTTCCAAACTAGCTTCCACTTCCATCTTACAAGCCAAGGATTCCAAAATCCTGACCATTTGGACCACTCTAGACAGAACCTCTCCCCAGTGCACAGAGCCAACAGTCGGCTTGATATTTCCATTTGGATACTTCCCAGGCTCCTCCAATCATTAAATCTACAATGGAACTCTTTCCCACCAAAAGCTGCTCTCTTTCTATCTCTCTCTCATTATTGCTACGGAAACCACTCCCATTGCTTCCTCTTACTTGAATGATGACCACAGTAATTCCCTAATGGGTCCCACTGTCCCCAGTCTCTCTCCACCCTTGACACAGTTGACAGAGTAATCCTCCTTAAGCACAAACCCTGTTTTTCCTGACTTAGGTCCTTCAGTGGCTCTCTGCCTGCAGGGTGAAGCCCACCTTCTTGGCTGGCACATGAGATTTTTCCTAATCTGACCTCTGCCCACCCAACAGCACTCCTCACACACTCTCTTCTCTCTGCACTTACCCAACCAAGTGCAACTGCCAAAACATGCCACTTTCTCTTGCTTTGGTACATGCTGAACCCTATAAGTGTCACAGATCGTCAAGGGTCTGTCTCCCTGAACTGAATTTAAGAATCACTCTTCTAGGAAGCCTTCCTTGACTCCTGAACTGTCTTCTGCGATCTCACAGCATCTATTTCATAATCTTTACCCTACCTGTAAACGTCTTCAATGTTTTATTACTGGTCACTTTCCCCCAAGAGCTCTTTATGAATGGGGAGTGTACCTTCCACATATGTGGCTAGAGCCTCGCACAGTCGGAAATGAGGTGAAAGGAAAAAAAAAAAAAAAGCAGATGATGACAGTAACTTATTACAATGACAGGGAAGTATGTGCTTATTTTTTCCTCCCCATTTTCCACATTGTCTAGTATGTGGATTATACTATTTTGATACATTTTAAAAATCAATTCATTTTGAAGATATGTCCAATCTCTCCAAGCTAGCTCCTGTAAAATAACTTACTGCCCAAGTAAAGTCAACTTCAAGATCCTCTTTCCCCAGAGCCTTTAGGCTCAAGACCCCCACCTCCAGCTTTGCAAATCCAGGATTCTACTTTCCACAAATCCTTCAGGATTCTACTTTCTGCAAAGTAAAACGGCTTATTTCAACATTTTCAGCAGACAGAAGGACCACCCACACACCAAAAAATTCCTTGGCCTTGAAAAGGTTACATTGCTCTTGTAGCTGAGTGCCAAAACTCATTTTTGTCCAAACATTCGTCAGAACCTCACTGTATTCACAGCCTGAACACAAAAAAATGAGGTGCTCTGACAACCTTGCCACAGATTTACAGGGGACAGAGATGATGGGACTTCTGACTGGTATATCCATCACCTTGTCAGCTTAAGACATCAATGAAAGATGGGGGTTCGGGATAGACTATGAAAATTCCCCCTCCGTCCCTTTAAAAAAAAAAAAAAAACCCAAAACATTAATTATCTTCTCAGGTATCCAAAAGTTCAACCATGCACACTGGCTCTTAATTCTTTTAAATTTGTGAAAATAATCCAAACACATAATGTTCAGTCTGACATTTGCTATTATTTTTCCCCAAGAGAAAACAAAAACCTGATTAGTTCCAAAAATAAAATATAAAGAAGAACTCAAATGAGAAGCAAACCCTGTGGCTTAGAAACCATTGCTCTGATTAATAGCACATAAGTGTTACCTGACGAATGGGTTCCTGTCTTAAATGCAATTATCACAAATTTCTTGTGATTCCCCACTGTTTTTATGGTTTATGCCCAGCTCTCAAAGCAACAACTTTAATAGCAATAAATCAAAGGAAACCTCTTCTCGGGACATGGGCCGACTGCTTCACATCTCAGTCAGCAGAGACGCCAGAGGGAAATGCAGGACCCCGGCTCCACAGCTATCCAGGAAGGTATCTACTTCTCCGCCCTCAGAAGTCCTTGCATCCACCCCTGAAAGGGTGATTTTCACAGTTAAGTCCATCGACAGGGCCTGCTGCGACAATCAGGACAAGGGCCTCTGTCCTCAGGAAACCCCCTCCTGGCGCTGCGGGCCTGCTTCCTGGGGATGCAACCGCCATGCTGTTGGCGGGGCCACACAAGGTGCTTCCGGCAGGGTGGAAGCACCACCGGGTCAAGGGGTCTGGGGGCAGCTGCTCCACCGGTGGGCCACTGTCAACGCAAGAATATCAAATCAGCCAGCCCGGCCAGCATGGCAAAAACCCGACTCTACTAAAAAAAAAAAAAAAATTAGCGGGGCGTGGTGGCGCGCCTGTAGTCCAAGCTATTGGAGAGGCTGAGGCACGAGAATCGCTTGAACCCGGGAGACAGAGGCTGCAGTGAACTAAGGTCCCGCCACTGCACTCCAGCCTGGGCGACAGAGCAAGACTCCGTCTCAAAAAAAAAAAAAAAAAAAATCAAATCAGGAATTATTTCCTCCAGGAAGTGGGGATGCGGGGTGTAGAGTGTGGGCAGAAGAGAAATAGAGGGATGATGGGGAGTGGGAGGAGGATCATGTGGTCTTTTTACTAGGAGAACTGAAAGCGGCTGGCAGGCATCTTTGAAACAGAGAACATACTATAAACAAACAGCAGCATTTAGAAGGTATAATTTCCAAGATTTTTGATTCAACTCAACATGTACTACGTGCCTATAGGTACCCATCATCATGACCTGGAAACTTGCCTCGTGTTGATTAATGATATTCTTACCACGGAGAAGAAGAGTAATTAAAAGGGAGAAAAACAGAATATGAAAGCGGGTCAAAGATCAAATGACTGATTCAAGGCTACCTGACCAACAGAGACATTGTCACAGCCAGGAGACACCTTTGTGCTTCATTCACCAGTAGTTTATTGCAAAGTGAAGTTTTGGTTCAGAACAAAAGGGAAGTAAGTCCACTAAGAATGAACTACTGTACACAAATTGCTGAAGTTGACGCAATAGATAGTAGCATGTATTTAGTATCAGCTGTAGGTGGTTCTCAAAGTCAAAATTCATTAACTATTCAAATGTTCAAGCTGTAGAGACTTTTTTCAGATGTGCATACAACATACTTATAACAAAGTTAATTTTTATAAAATATTATTTCCTTAAGAACTGAAGATGCTAAAAAGCTCCAACCATAAATTAATCAAATATTTGATGCCCATTTAAAGATACTATTAAAGATCTGACAAATACTAAATAACACACCTGAATGAGGAAAGTTATGACCCAAATGACTGCATACTTTAATAATCCCATATTAAAATAGAAAATGTCACACAAATTGAGCTGATTTGAAATATTTTTATTAGAAAATAAAAGCTATGTCCATTTAAACCATCATTCCTAAAACGCCTACCAAACAACATAATTATTACCTTAAATCCCAAATGATAATACAATCTTTTCTATCCACATTATCTTCCCCATTGGTTGATACAGTACATCTGATCCTTCCATGACATATACAATGGCCATTAAGGATGACAGTTAACAGTAGTTATGTATATACAGTGAAAATAGTACAACTGACCACACACACAATTGAATACTCTCATTGAGGATAGGGTCAATAAAAATAATGGTTAAAACCAATACATAATTTTATCTGTTCAATCACTTGCTGTCTTTAGCAGTAAAAGTCAAACAACACACACATATTATTTTTTTCCATAAAGTCTTCACATGTTGAAAATACTTTTTAATCCAGGTGCAGATAATTAACAATGAAAAGACATTTCATCTTCTTTCTTACATCCAGGGACTTTATCAGACTTAAATTCACTAGGTGCATGGAAAGAACAGTAACTGAAAAGGCAATTTGACCATAAACTGTTTGCAAGACAGAAGTGTTCTATTTTAAGGCAAGTATCTTTATCACACACATACATAGCAATTTATCCACTGATGAATTTTATCAAATGACAGTATCAACCAAGAAAGTGAGGTATAACTTTACTCAATGTAAGTACAAATGTCAGAAAATGTAAAGACATTCTCAATGTACTTAATATATTTTACCCATAACTAGAGAACTCTTCTCAAAGTTCTTATATGCTCAGAAATACCCGAGATTCTCAATTCTAGAAAAAATAACTAGAAATTAAATACTCTAATATCTTTGCATAAGGCTCTCCATATATAAGGCTACCTTTGATATAAGGCTACTTCGATGTATTTTCTGAAAATAGCAAAAATGTGCACCAAAATTCAAGGTATTCTGAAACTAAAGAAAGAGGTCTTGGTCTTGCGAGGGATAGTGAGGTGGTTAGTTTATTGATCAAACTTAAGCTAAAAATCAAATTTAAAATGCACAAAATAAAAATGTTTCCTGACAGGGAGTGGTGGCTCATGCCTGTAATCCCAGCACTTTGGGAGGCTGAGGCAGGTGGATTTGCTTGAGCCCAGGAGTTTGAGACCACCCTGGGCAACATGGCAAAACCCCATCTCTATTAAAAAATGCAAAAATTAGCTGGGTGTCATGGCATGTGCCTGTAGTCCCAGCTACTTGGGAGGCTGAGGTGGGAGCATCACTTGAGCCCAGGAGGTTGAGGCTGCAGTGAGCCATTATCTCGCCACTGGACTCAAGCCTGGCATCAGAGTGAGACCCTGTCTCAAAAAAAAAAAAAAATTATTTCAACATAAAACTGAACTATCATTGTATAAAAATGGTTGAATGCATAAGATATTTTTTAGTGCAAAACAGACATACATTTATCTTTACATAAATAATTTAAATAGAATATAATCCATAACTTGGTATTCATAATATATTTTAAAAATCTACATTCTGTTACCTTTACAAAAGTAAATCTGTTCTTTACTTTCAAGTTAAAAACGGCCTAAAAGTTTATCTTTGGAGATTTCAAGTCAATGGCTTTCTAAAATGAAGGATAATACAAATCTAAGTCATAGGTCATTTGGTACATTAACATGTAAGCCATCAGTTTGGGGCCCTAAAAGCAAAAAATAATTAACTACTACAAAAAGTGGAAAATAATGTACTCCAGATTTATGCTCTAGTCCAAAGACTTATAGTGTCTATGTATTTTTAATTATTAAATAGTCTGATGCAATGACATTCAGTGCTAACTGAATTCATGTTCAAAATATTTTCCTTAAAATAGAAAGTATTCATCATCCCAAATATAAACTAATAACAAGGTAGATTTTTTTTTTTTTAAGTTTAGCCTGGGCATGTTGGCTCACATCTGTAATCCCAGCACTTTGGGAGGCCGAGGCAGGTGGATCATTTGAGGTCAGGACTTCGAGACCAGCCTGGCCAACATGGTGAAACCCCATCTCCATTAAAAATACAAAAATTAGCCAGACAATAGTGGTGCACGCCTATTATCCCAGCTACTCAGGAGGCTGAGGCAGGAGAATCCCCTGAGCCTGGGAGGCAGAGGTTGCGGTGAGCCAAGATTGTGCCACTGCACTCCAGTTGGGGTGAGAGAGACCCGGTCTCGGGAAAAAAAAAAAAAAAAAAAGAAAAGAAAAAGTTTGACAATTACTGCACTCATTTCCTCTACCAAACTCTCAGTGACATTAAGAGAAAAAAACTCTAATTATTTTCACCTAATAATTTAATCAAGCACTCTAGAAAAATGTTCTTCTAATGGGAAGTTTGGTAGGAATTTCTTACTATATTTCCAAATTAGATCAAAAGAAGGGAAAAAAGGGGGATTCAAAAAGACTAGCTAGCTTAATAAATAATAACAATAAACATTAAAACAGCTGCATACTAAGTAATCAGAAAGATCCACAACTCAAATACCACTTCCACAGTGATGTCAGGTGTCACCTGGTTGTGGGGCCTCCTGCTGATTCCTACAGAAACAGGCACGACGCTGAGTGTAGTGGCTTGTGCCTGTAATCCCAGCACTTTGGGAAGCTGAGGTGGGCAGATCACTTGAGGTCAGGAGTTTGAGACCAGCCTGGTCAACATGGTGAAGCCCCATCTCTACTAAAAATACAAAAATCAACCAGGTGTAGTGGTGCACTCTTGTAATCCCAGCTACTTGGGAGGCTGAGGGAGGAGGATCACTTGAACCCAGGAGGGGGAGGTTGCGGTGAGCCAAGATCATGCCACTGCACTCCAGCCTGGGTGACAGAGCAAGACTCCATCTCAAAAACAAAAAAACAAAAACAAACAAACAAAAAAAAAACAGGCAAGAAGCACCCTCAAGTGCCAATCTCACAGAGTTGCTCCTTTGCAAAAATGTCCTAACAGTTGGGGAAAGAATGTGGTACAAGGGGAGAGGAACTTTAAGTGTAGATACCAAGGTAGATGCTCCTTTATTTGAAGAGATCTAGAAATCTGCTTATTTAGTAATTAGCTGAACATGCCAATGACTTCAATTCAAACACTCACCCTTCTAGAGACTGCCACAAATCAGCCATGGCCTCTGCCCACAGAATGATTTATTTTTGTTATAACTGTGGCTAATCCCAACAGCAATTTGAGCTTAGAGTAAAATTCATTTTCTACTCTTGAGTATACCAGACAGGTCAATCACTGCGACATCTAAGTACTTGCTACTTCTTTCTCATCATGTCGAATCAGCAAAATGTCATTAACATGGTGGGCCAGGGTGTGACACTGCACAAAGTCTCTGTGGACCATAGGATGGCACTTCCAACACTTCCTTCTAAAAGAAACTGCCATGCCCACATCAATCACCTCACCCAAAAAGGCTGCTTCCCCCAGGGCAGGGAGCCTAGCTTTTAAAACCTCTCCCCAACCCAGGTGATGGTAAGACTCAGCTAATGCTACTCTGGAATCTGAAGCTGGAAAGTATGAAGAGAATCAACCAGTGGACCTCGAGTAGAGAAGATACGGGAAAAGAAGAAGAGAAACAATGCGGGTGAGAGTGATGCCAGACCCTGAGAGGCAGGAGGAAAGAGAACAGAGCCACCAGACTCAGCCAGGCAGCTGCTGTTGTGTCCTTACAATAATCACCCCATTACCTCCAGTGACCTGTGTTTTCCTGTAACTAATGAGTCTATAAATACAGAGAGAAAGATATATTTTTGAGAGACTGCTGGCTACAATTTTTTTCTCTAAGCAAATTTTATTAAGGTAACCAACTAGGGGGGCGGACATGGTAGCTCATGCCTGTAATTCCAGCAATTTGGGTGGCCAAGGCAGGCAGATCACTTGAGCTCAGGAGTTCAAGACCAGCCTGGGCAACACAGTGAGACCTCATCTCTACAAAAAATAAATAAAATTAGCTGAGCATCATGGTGCACGCCTGCAGTCCTAGCTGCTTGGGAGGCTGAAGTGGGAGGATTGCTTGAGCCCAGGAGGTTGACACTACAGTCAGCTGTGATTGTGCCACTGCACCCAGGCCTGGGCAACACAGACTGTCTTAAAAATAAATAAATAAATAAATAAATAAATAAATAAATAAATAAATAAATACGCTAACCAACTAGGATCAGAGGTTTATTTTCAAAATACTTAAAAATATTAAGCAGGCCAGGTAAGGTGGCTCATGCCCGTAATCCCAGCACTTTGAGATGCCAAGGCAGGAAGATCACTTGGGCCCGGGAGGTTTGAGACCAGCCTGGGCAACATAGTTAGCCCTTGTCTGTACAAAAATGTTAAAAATTAGCTAGGTGTGGTGGCACACACCTGTAGTCCCAGCTACCTGGGAAGCTGAGGTGGGAGTGGGAGGATCACTTGAGCCCAGATGGTCGAGGCTACAATGAGACATCATGCTGCTGCACTCTAGCCTGGGCCACCTTATGAAATTCTGTTTCAAAACAAAACAAAACAAACAAACAAAAAAACAAACCAAAGAAAGTATTAAGCAAAAATAAAAGACCGATTTTTAGGCCAGGAGTGGTGGCTCACACATGTAATCCCAGAACTTTGGGAGGCTGAGGTGGGCAGATCGCTTGAGGCCAGGAGTTTGAGACCAGCCTGACCAACATGGTGAAACCCTGTCTCTACTAAAATTACAAAAATTAGCTGGGTGTACACGCACCTGTAATCCTAACTGCTCAGGAGGCTAAGACATGAAAATCACTTGAACCCAGGAGGCAGAGGTTGCAGTGAGCCAAGATCATGCCACTGCACTCCAGCCTGGGCAGACAAAGCGAGACCCTGTCTCCAAAAAAAAAAAAAAAATTATAAAACATTTATACATTTTTTATGAAAAAGTTGCTATAATTTTCATTACTAGGAGTTGTAGCCATTATTCAAGCAGCCAATGACTAATAATTGGGGATCCTGCTATTCCTAAGAATAGCTGTTATGAATAGTACTGAATACATTTATTTTACAGTTATGGCAAAGTACATCTCTCTTTGAAAGCTTTTTTTTTTCCCTGAGCATTTTAAATAAATATGTAACATTAAAAATGTAGTGTGCCCAAAATCTTGAATCATAACTCCGTTAGGTTTGATATACACATTTGCATTGAAGATTAATATTTGCCTAGAACATTCACAAGATTTATTTAAAATGTAGCCATTAACCAAAGGCCTTTGGGGCATATGTACAAAATTAGAGAACTGTAAGTATTCACTCAAAAACAACATTAGAAATATTACTCATGAGAAAATGCTAGTGGTGCTCTATCTAAGAAAAGTTAGTCAAAACCGGGAAACTCGCAAGTGAGCTTCCAACCATTTGAGGAAATGTTGCTTGCAGATAATATTAAGCTTTTCCTCCACTGATCTTAGTAACATAATTCCCTAAAGGAATTTCACAATGATTACACTCATGATGATGAATTACATTAAAAAATCTGGGCTTAGGGCAGGGCATAGTGGCTTCTGCCTTTAACCCCAACACTTCGGGAGGCCGACGTGGGCGGATCACCTGAGGTCAGGAGTTCGAGACCAGCCTGGCCAACATGGCGAAACCCCATCACTAATAAAAATACAAAAAATGAGCCAGGCATGGTGGTGCATGCCTGTAATCCCAGCTACTCGGGAGGCTGAGGCAGGAGAATCGCTTGAACCCAGGAGGCAGAGGTTGCAGTGAGCCAAGATAATGCCACTGCACTCCAGCCTGGGTGACAGAGCAAGACTCTATCAAAAAAAAAAAAAAAAAAATCTGGGCTTACTGTAAAGGACCCCAGAATGGGTCTTCAAGGGCTTTTTGCAGGTACAAGGATCTCTCAGGGTGTCAGGGCAAGGCCCGTTGATGGTCATCTCTGTATACCCCACAGTGCCCAGCACAGAAGTGACACTTGTTAGGCAAATGCTCCTGTTTTGTGCACACAAAGGATTAAAATTCAACAACAACAACAAGAAAACCCAAAACTTTTCCTAGGGCAATGCTGAAGGTTAATTAACCATCAAGTCCTGTTTTTGGAATACCTCCTCCACCCCAGTAATTCAGTGGTACTTGTGCTCACTGTAAGTACTATGGAAAGATAGGATTAAACACTGTTGGGAAATCCAGTTCCCGGAAATTCAGAGCTGTTTCTCAGCTCTTCTGCCAAAATATCCCCAAGATAGGTAAAGGAAGAGAACTGAAAGAGCTCTAACATTGACGATTCAAGGACACAGAGGCACCTTGTATCTACAACCTCCAGCATTCTCCCAGGAACCTGAAATAACTGAGTTTGAGAAGCATGAGGTCAGGTAAAAAAGAGGTATTACAATAAACCAACCAACAGAAGCAAGTAATCTTTTATCTCTCATGTCTGTGTGTCTCTATATCTTTAGGCAAGTGAACATAAACTCAAATTAACTTGGGTTAATGAAGAGAATCAGTTTAATGAACTTAGAAACCATTAAATATATACCAATTGAAGAACTGTTTAAAAACCATCAACAAGTACTTCTATGGCTTCGACTTGGTAAATTTCTTGCAGAGATTTTAAAACTTCAACAAAATGTATTTCCTGATATAGACAGTACAACAACTTAACTCACGAAGTCTGTCCATTTCTTCATTAAAACACAGAGTCAATATGCTTTTATGATAAAAAAAAAAAAAACAAAAAAACAAAAAAAAAACACTCAACAAACCAGAATAGAAGGATAGTTCCTCAACCAAGTAAAGGGAATCTATGGAAAAACCCACAACTAACATCATACTTAGCAATGAAGGACTGCAATTTTTCCCCCAAGATCAGGAATAAGGCCAGGATGTCCACTTCTATTTGACATTGTACTGTAAGTTCTAACTGGGGCAATTAGATAAGAGAAAGACGTAAGATACCCAGATTGAAAAGAAAGAAGTAAAATTATCTCCAGTTGCAGATGGCATGATCTTATATATAGAAAACCTAAAGAATCCTATTATAGCTAATAAAGCATTCAACAAGTATGATGGTTAATTTTAGGTGTCAACTTGACTGGATTAAGGAATAGCTAGAGAACAGGTAAATTATTACTGCTGGGTGTGTCTGTGAGGGTGTTTCCAGAAACTGGTGTGTGAGTCGGTGGGCTGAGTCGGGGAAGATCTACCATCAATGTGGGCAGGCACCAACCAGTTGGCTGAAGGGCCAGGGGTGGTGGCTCATGCCTGTAATTTCAGCATTTTGGGAGGCTGAGGGGGGCATATCACTTGAGGTCAGGAGTTCAAGACCAGCCTGGACAAAATGGTGAAATCCCGTCTCTACTAAAAATACAAAAATTAGCCAGGCGTGGTAGCGCACCCCTGTAATCCCAGCTACTTGAGAGGCTGAGGCAGGAGAATTGCTTGAACCCGAGAGGTGGGGGTGCAGTGAGCTGTGATGGTGCCACTGCACTCCAGCCTGGGTGACAGAACAAAACTCTGTCTCAAAACAAAACAAAACAAAACAAAAAAACAATTGGCTGAAGGACCAGACGCAACAAAAAAGACAGAGAAAAGGTAATTTCTTCTCTTTTCCTTAAAGCTGGGGACACTCTTCTCCTACCCTGGGACATCAGTATTCCAGGCTCTCTGGCCTTTGGACTGCAGTAACAAAAATAAACTACTTTGGGAATAAGTTAAACCAAACAAATGCAAGACTTGTACACTGAAAACTATAAAACATTGTTGAAAGAAATTAAAGAAGACATAAGTGAATCGAAAGGCACCTCATATTCATAGATTAGAAGACTTAATATGAATAAGATGCTACCCCCTAATTTATCTACAGATTCAATGTATTCACTGTCAAAATTCCAACTAAATTTTTTTGCAGAAATGGACACACCAAACCTAAAATTCATATAGTAATACAAGGAATGGCCAGGCACTGTAGCCTACACCTGTAATCCCAATACTTTGGGATGCTAAGGTGTGAGGATTGCTTGAGCCCAGGAGTTCAAAACCAGCCCGAGCAACACAGGGAGACCCTATCTCTACAAAGAAAATTTTTTTTAATTAGCCAGGCATGGTGGTACACACTTGTGCTTCCAGCTGCTCAGGAGGCTGAGACAGGAAGATCCTTTGAGCCCAGGAGGAGGTTGAGGTTGCAATGAGGAGTGATCAGAGCACTGCACTCCAGCCTGGGCAACAGAGTGAGACACTGTCTCAAAAAAAAAAAAAAAAAAAAAAAAAAAAGAGAGAGAGAGGGAAAGAGAAAAAAATAATAAAAAATAAACAAAGAAATACAAGGGACCCAGAATAGCCAAAATAATTTTTAAAAAAGGGAATTGCTTGAACCCGGGAGACAGAGGTTGCAGTGAGCCGAGATCGCACCGCTTCACTCCAGCCTAAGCAACAAGAGTGAAACTCCATCTCAAAAAAAAAAAAAAAAAAAAAAAAAAGGTAAGAGAGACTCACACTTCCTGATTTCCAAACTTACTACAAAGATACAATCTTTTGTTCTGGCATAAAAATCAACACATAGATCACTAGAATAGAATTGAGAATCTAGAAATAAACCCACACATCTATGGTCAATTGATTTTTGTCAAAAGTGCCAATACCATTACATGGGGAAAGACTGATCTTTTCAACAACTGGATATCTACATGCAAAAAATAAACAAATAAAATTGGACTCCTACTTCATAACAGATGCAAAAATTAACTAAAAATGGATCAGAGACCTAAAGACAGGCATTAACACTATAAAACTCTTAAGAGAAAACAGGGCTGGGCGCAGTGGCTCATGCCTGCAATCCTAGTACTTTGGGAGGCCAAGGCGGGTGGATCACCTGAGGTCAGGAGTTCAAGACCAGCCTAGTCAACATGGGGAAACCCTGTCTCTACTAAAAATGCAAAAATTAGCCAGGCATGGTGGCGCATGCCTGTAATCCCAGCTACTCAGGAGGCTGAGGCAGGAGAATCGCTTGAACCAGGGAGGCGGAGGTTGCAGTGAGCCGAGATCGCCCCATTGCACTTCACTCCAGGCTGGGCAACAAGAGCAAAACTCCATCTCAAAAAATAAAATAAAATTCTTAAGAAAACACATAGGAGTAAATCTTCATGACCTTCACTTTATTAGATATGACACCAGAAGCAAAAGAGACAAGAGAAAAAACAGATAAATTGGGAAACATCAAAATTTAAAATGTGTGCTGCAAATGATACATACCACTAAGAAAGTGAAAAGACAACCCTCAGAATAAGAGAAAATATTTACAAATCATATATTTGAAAAGGATCTGTATCCAGAATAAACAACTCTTAAAATCCAACAACTTTTTTAAAAAACCTATTTTTTTAAGGGCAGGGGTTTAAGTAGACATTTCTCCAAAGAATAGATGAAAAGATGACCAACAGCATTGTCATTAGGGAAATGCAAGTCATAATCACAGGGAGATAACCATTTCATACCCACTGTGACGGCTATTATTTTTAAAAAGGAAAATGACAAGAGTTGGGGAGGATGTGGAGAAACCGGAACCTTCACACATTGCTGGTGGGAATCAAATTGCTCAGCTGCTTTGGAAAACAGTTTGGCAGCTCCTCAAAAAGTTAAACATTAGCATCTAACCTGGCAATTCCATTCCTAGGTTTATATCCAACAGAAAAAGAAACCCTATGTCCACATGATAATTTGTACATGAATGTCATAGCAGCATTATACATAACAGTCAAAAAGTAGAAACAAGTGTCCATCAACTGATGCATGGATAAATAAAATGCAATCTACCCATACAAGGAAATATTATTCAGTCGTAAAAAGGAATGATGTACTGATACATGCTACAACATGGATGAACTTTGAAAACATGACACTAGGTGAAAGAAGCCAGACACAAAAGGCCAGCCACATATCATATGATTCCATTTATATGAAATGTCCAGAATAGGCAAATCCACAGAGACAGAAAGTAGATTAGTGGTTGCCAGGGGATGAGTGGAGTGGAAATGGGTAGTGACTGCTAATGGGCACAGGGTACATGAAAATGTTCTGGAGTTAGATAGTGGTGATGGTTATACAGCTCTATAAATATATTAAAAACCACAGAACTGTACATTTTAAGATAACAAATTGTATGGCATACGAATTATGTCTCATCTTTTTTAAAAAAGGCATTGTTAGGACCACCCCATATTTATTTAGTTCCATTTTTAAACTTCCCTAAAAACTCTTGCTAGATAGACTAAAGCTTGTCTACAGAGCCACACTGCCAATAACACTGACTGGTCAAGGTAGTCATGTACCCAGGAACTACCCTTATTTCCTTCTCTGGCCACTCAATTGCCTCTTGGCATGGTGAAGACATGCTTAACACTCACTTGTGTGGGATTAAACAGAATACAGTGTGAGTCGCAAATACAGTGAGGGCAAAGCAGAAAACAGCTAGAACAGGGAATAAAAAGAAGGTATCCATCTATCATCCCAGCTACCCCTTAGAAAACTTTTGTGAGGACCATAAAAACCACACTTTCTTGGTTGACAAAATTCCTCATCCTTAGGTCAAACATTGTAATTCCTCAAATCTGATTTTACACACGCTGGCTTTTTAATAAAATCTGATTCTGTTTTGACCCTTATACAAGAATGCCCTTCTCAAAAGAACTTGTTCTTTCATACATGCATGAAAAATGAAATTTTTTTTAAAATCTCCTTTAGGGGATGATAGGTAACACAACAGAAGGGTGACCCACAGGTTAGATTCCCTAATTGAGTTCCTGTACATATCTACCATTAGGTAAAATATGAAGACATTTACAACCCTTTTTTCCCATACGAATGTCTGGAAACCTATCTATTACATGAAGTGGGGTGCACCTAATTATTTCTTACATGCTATAGTGTTCCTATCTCCACCTTGTACCACAGCACAAAAAGATGCATACATAAAAAATATATATTTAAGAAAAAGACACACAAACATGTGTGTGCCCAGTTTCTGATCTTTTTAAACAGGGTTAACTGGGAATCTAATAAGTGGTTTTGATTAAATTAATATAAGTCGAATCTTAGAAAGAAAGCAACCATGACCCACGATTCTAACTTTAAAACTAGAATATTTATGTGATTTGTATTATTCTTTGTTTTTAAGAGCCTTCCAAATGGTAAGAATTACTGAATAAAAAATATAGGTAAGAGATTAAGCAGTTTATCTCAAAGCAAAACATCTAAAGTTTCTACCTCTGTCCTAGGAACAAAAATAAACAACCTTCACATAGATCTGAAAGTTAAGCCTTACACAGATTTTATGATTTGCATTTTACTTCAGAGTGTA
Organism: Homo sapiens; assembly: GCF_000001405.40. Lineage (NCBI taxonomy): Eukaryota > Metazoa > Chordata > Mammalia > Primates > Hominidae > Homo > Homo sapiens. The sequence continues at coordinate 42,437,569 of NC_000002.12, forward strand.
TAGTATAAAAGCGTGGATATGGTTTAATTTTTTTTTATTTTGCCAAACAGCACTGACATAGGTATGGTTTTAAAAAATAAATATGTGGGCTGGGTGTGTTGACTCACTCCTGTAATCCCAGCACTTTGGGAGGCTGAGGTGGGCAGACCACATAAAGTCAGGAGATCGAGACCAGCCCGGCCAACATGGCAAAACCCCATCTCTACTAAAAATACAGAAATTAGCAGGGCATGTTGGTGGGCGCCTGTAATCCCAGATACTTGGGAGGCTGAGGCCGGAGAATTGCTTGAACCCAGGAGGTGGAGATTGTAGTGAGCTGAGATTGTGCCATTGCACTCCAGCCTGGGCAACAAGAGTGAAACTCTGTCTCCAAAAAAAAAAAAAAAAAAAAAAAATTTTCTGTCACTACAATCACATAATAAACGTTCCATTTTTATCACAGCTCAGAATTTGTAACTATAAATATTACTCTCTACTAAGAAAGTAAAATTATCTTGCCCTCTATATTGTAGAGAAAGAAAGCATGGAATTCCATCAGAGTTATAAGATCGAGGTTGTAATATGCAGTTGAAAAATAATACCTAAGTTGAACAAATCATCGTATATTACTACAGCAGATGTCACTGCTTGAGCCCAGGAGTTTGAGACCAGCCTGTGTAACATAGGGAGACCCTGTCTCTACTACAAAACAAAAACAAACCAATACACACTACAAACTGCCTCCACTCTGTCATGGGCAGAACTATAGAATTATTTCCAAATAACAGAAATAGTGATCCTATCTAATATAAAATTACGGGAAATTTTAGTTTTAGTTTTAATATAATGCTGCATAAATAAGTACATCAAAGCACTCCTTCAGATATAAATAACATAGAATCACTTACTCCTGGTAGGTGAAAGCCAAATAATATTCTCCCTTCACTTTCATGTACTAAATGTTATATTTGGTATAGTCTTGTTGATATTTTAAACGATAAACCAAAGAATTCCCACCAAAGCTACTTAAAATGTATTTGTTTAAATTACAGCATAAATGCAGATTATCAAGTTCAATTTTCTAAGCAAATAGTAGTAAACTGACAATTGAGCTTATGCTAACAGTCAAAAGCTCCAGTACTTACTGAAAATATTTGGAAGATCTAGAAAAATCTGAAAGTTTGGGCATAAGTTAACCACAGAATGGGACAATATAATCATGCTTCTGGATGACATTTCACAAATCTATGGAAGGCTTCACTGCAAATGAGGCAGTAAATCATTAGTCTACTTTCAGAAGCAGAACTGATATGCCCAGGTTTCTGAGTGCAGATGGGCTCTGGAAAATCAGGAAGTGAAACACCATAGGAAAGAACACTGAACAGACACAGAAGTAAATGGATGCAACCTTTCCTGACCAAAATGGAACTTTCCAGAACATTCCATCAAAGCTTCAACCCATGTTACTTGACATTTCTCAGCCTGGTTCTGAGAATGTCCTGAATAATGCAGTGACAACTATCAAATACCTGTACTTATTTGGATACATGTGGATGAGTGCACAACTGTACAGTAATTTTTAAAATTCTAGAGAAAATCTGAGTTACTTATGCATTTGTCTCAAGCCCTCCTTCTTGACATCTAAGGCTTCTAAAAGCAATATTATTTTTATTATAAAAATAAACTGTCAATTATATATTATTGTATATATATATATATGATTTTTTTGAGAGAGAGAGAGTTTCCCTCTGTCACCCATGCTAGAGTACAGTGGCACGATCTCAGCTCACTGGAACCTCCACCTGCCAGGTTTAAGTAATTCTCATGCCTCAGCCTTCTGCGTAGCTGGGATTACATTCACGTGTCATCAAGCCTGGCTAATTTTTTGTATTTTTAGTAGAGACAGGGTTTCGCTATGTTGGCCAGGCTGGTTTCGAACTCCTGACCTCAAGTGATCTGCCCACCTTGGCCTCCCAAAGTGCTGGGATTACAGGCGTGAGCCACCATGCCCGGCAATAATTGCTTTTTAATTCAAACGTTAAAAAAAAAAAAGAAAAAGAAAAAGGAAAAATACGGGGAACACCAAAGCCCTAAATAAAAAAAAATTTTTTTTTTTGAGACGGAGTTTCACTTTTGTCACCCAGGGTGGAGTGCAAAGGCGCGATCTCGGCTCACTGCAACCTCTGCCTCCCTGGTTCAAGTGATTCTCCTGCCTCAGCCTCCCAAGTAGCTGGGATTACAGGCACCACGATGCCCAGCTAGTTTTTATATTTTCAGTAGAGATGGGTTTTCACCATGTTGGCCAGGCTGGTCTCGAACTCCTGATTTCAGGTGATCCACCCGCCTCGGCCTCCCAAAGTGCTCGGATTACAGGCGTGAGTCACCATGCCTGGCCAAGAAAATATTTTTAAAAGAAATCCTTCATGGCTTCCGAAGTTACAAGATTCTTAAAGGAAGTATATCCAGAGTACTAAGCCAAAAGTCTGGAAATCAAGCTTCTGGGACCTAACCTGACACTAGAGTGACCATGGCTAAATTACAACCCACTGGGAGCAGAGTTCCCTGGTTGCTAATATTTGGATCGGACAAAAGGCATACAATTGGGCCAAAATAGACCAGAAGGTTTCCACAACCCCTAGTTCCAACTTCCTATGACCCTATAAAATGATTAGACTATGTCTGATTGAATTGTATATTACACACCATAAGGGAATGCACATTTATGAAGGGTCAGAGGACTCGAAATATTCTATGACACTATGCATTAAGTTTGGAGTTACACAGCTGAATAGTAATACAGAGCTAGGAGCTTTCAATGTTTTATTTTTCATTTCTATGGAAAAGAGGTGAAGTGGACAGAAGGGATGTCTGAAATTCTATCCTGAGGCTTTAATATTTCAAATATTGTTTTGCATCTTTTTGTCTGTTTTCTTTAAAAAAAAAAAAAAAAAAGGAAAATAAACTGCTATTAGCAAATACCAAGCCAACAGGGAAAATTCTCCCAACACCAACATCCAAATTAACCCCATCTCCACCTCTTCCAGATCACAGGACATCTGGACAAAGGTTTAAAAAGACAAATAATTTTGACTTATTGACAGCCATTGTGGAAATAACTTTTCAGAAAGTATGAACTTACAAATGGGTACTTATAGGTAATGACCAAACCCAAGAACAAATGCAACTGTTTCAATTAGCAACAAGGACAATACAGTAATGAAAGCCTTGAATTGTTAGTTTGTTCACTTTCAAATATATTCCCTAATTTTGTGTTTGTAATCCTAAAACTCCCATTTTAGAGAATACAAAACAAGTTACATATTAGATCAAGTCATGTAAATTCAGGTGTGGTAAAATCAGATTAAAGATTAGGAGATTAGGGCTTTTTTCCTCTTTGGGTATTTTAATTTAGGATAATGTCTGACTTACTGGTACCAATACAGATATTAATGAAAACATTTCTGCCATGAAAAGACTGAGTTATAAGAGATGTCTGTAAGTATAGCTAAGAAAGAAGTGATACTTAATGGTTTTTTAAAAAAGCAGCAACAGGCCAGGCACAGTGTCTCATGCCCATAATCCCAGAGCTTTGAGAGGCTGAGGTGGGAGGACTGCTTGAGGCCAGGAGTTTGAGGCAAGCCTGGGCAACACAGTGAGACCCCTATCTCTACAAAAAAATAAAAATTAAAAAATTAACCAGCATGGTGATGCACACCTATAGTCCTAGCAACTTGGGAGGCTGGGGTGGGAGGACTGCTTGAGCCCAGGAGTTCAAAACTGCAGTGAGCTATGATCACACCACTGCACTCCAGCCTAGGCAACCAAGCAAAACTCTATCTCTAGAAAAAAATAAATAGATAAATAATGATAAAAGTAGCAACGCTCAGGGAACGTTACAATAAAATGCTGTTCCTAAAAAAACACAACATCCATGAAGACAAAACCCTAATACATATTTTTTCATTTATGAATGAACTACTCTATCACGTCTCATCGTCTCCTTATAAATGGGTAGCTTAACTGCCACTAGTATTTACCCAACATGCTTCTTTATGAAAATCGGTCCTATGGAAAGTCTGGAATCACCAACAAGAGATTTCACACTTGTTACCTAAGGGTAGCATGAAGTCTGTGTGTATATTTGCACATGTACATTATATATATATATACACACACACATATCCCTATATATAAAATATATACACATATATATACCTATATGTATGTATAAAATATATATATATAGGTGTGTGTGTATATATATACCTATAGGTATATGCTTCTCCTCGTCTCTTCACACAGAAGTTTCTCCCCTCAAATCAGTCAACTGTTTGTGCCCAAGTCTGTAACAGACACTGTCGGGGATACAAAGGTGTATGCATGAGAGAGGATCCCAGCTCTCAAGACAGTTATAATTTACTTGGGAAGATAGGACATATTCACATAAAGCGGTCCCAGTACCAGTAAAATTGATGGTTATCATATTTTTATTAGTAATATGGAGGTGCTATCATCTGCACATTGTTTGCATGAACCACAAAGCTTTAATCCAAATAGTTAAGAAAAAATAAATCCATGCCATTTATTTCAATTATATTAGAATACAATAAATATACAATAAATAACTGAATTTCTTTTGGGTATGTAAGAAGTAGCATACTAGCAGTAATAGGGAAAATAGGGCAAGATATTTAATGGCCAAACTATTACATAAGCTTAGGAAAGGAAATTAAGGGAAAGAAAACAGTTTTGCTATTATTACCTCAGCATGACAATGACAAAGAAGTGTGATTTTTCCAGGCTTTTCTCAGAACCCAGAGATGTGTGAAGATTAACCTGCTGGGCTAGGTTTCTGGAGATCCAGGTGTTAGCCCTGACTCCTTCACAATTATATTCTCTCCTGCCCTGATTTTCTACCTGTAATAGTTGAGGTTTGAACTAGATGATGGCTAAAATTCCTTTAATGAACACTTCTGGTAACCCTTTATTTGATAAATATATCCAGGTCCTCCATCACCCACCACTTCCCAATCCCTGTCTTCTCTACCTCTGACAAAATTACTGTGTACAACATTCAATTTTTTATGAATCTGTCACTAATTATTTGTGTTTATATATACACTAACTTCTTTATGGTAACTGGTTGAAAAAGCAAAATTCTAATTTCTGTTGCTAAAATTTAGTTACTAAACAATCATCACTTTTACATTATCTAGTCCTAATAATCTAGCCAGATTAACATGGCATATTAGTCAGTATTCTTACAAGAAGAGTTTTGGTGTAGCTGTGATTCACAATAGTTAAAGATCAGATCAAATCATTATGTATCCATCGCTTTTACTGGCTTAAAATTGACTTAGCTACACAGCAACTAAGAGTACAGTAATATTTAATTTCTCCCTTTTATGATAATCCAGTGACAACACGTAAGTATGACTTTGCTACTAAAAGGCTATATAAATATCCTTTCATCTGATAAGTCTTATTAAACCTCTAGTGTTTGGGGGAGGAGGTTAAGAGAAGAAGAGGTTGTAATATTGAGTCATCTCAAATTATTCCTATTATAATTTTTATGTTGGAAGTATTCTTGTTTGGACATCTAAATATTAGGACAGTTATCACCTAGGAACAGCAATGAATTCAAATATTATCCAGTAAGATGCTAAACAACACAAGCTCTCGTCAATTCTTAAATACCTTTTGAGTCATTACAGTAAAGAGATAAATCCAAAATGGAAAAGGGAGAACATACTCAAGCTTCCATGAAGCGGCACGATAAGGTGAATAATTGGCACAAAAATAAAGCAAAGAATTGAGAAGTATGCTGGAAAAGTCTTTCAAATACTATTCTTGCTTGTATCTAGCTCCATTATACAGTTTAAATTTTGGCCAAATTTTTAAAGTATTTGTTAAACAGTTCCCGCATGTGACATATGTTTCCAGGATACTTCTGACATTGATATGAGAAATTATAAAACATTTAGAAATGAAAATGTTACTCTCAAACAAAAAACACTATAAGTTCCAAGCTTCTTCTGAATTCATAAGATGGAAAAACATTTGGAAAATAGTACCTTTCTGTTTTAAAATGTTCAAATAATGTATTTTTTAAAAATGTGTAATCATTCAAGGAAACGGGAAAACAAGTCTAAATAAAACCGGGTCCTAAAGTTTACTCTAGGAGTCATTATTCTTCCTTTGCAGTCTCAATTCTATTTACTCCATAACAAGTAAACTGTTTTATCCCTTCGGCTGGGAAGGATAATTTTTACCCTACCAAGATGATGACAATGCCACTGCAGTGCTCACCCAGCAAGAAACACATAAATATGAAGCAGCATCAAAGTCTTTCTATGAAGTGTATGCAAGAATTGATTTGCAATGCATTAATTCAGGAATTCAGTGGAGAGGCTCCTACTATACCTAGCAGATCTAAACTTGAGCTCATGATAACACTGCACAAAGCTATGGTAGATAAAAGTGATAGGTAATGCCAATAGAACAATTCCACTGACAACACAAACTCCTCCAAGAATTCTTCCAGGCACTGTGATAGGATACATATCTCCATAGCCAACTGTAGTCATAGAGATAATCACCCACCAGCAGGCAGCAGGAATGCTGGTAAAGTCCTTGTTGGATGTTTCCAGGTCCAGCCCATGTTCAAGAAGCTGAGAAAGTGCACTAAAGATTGCCATGGCAACACAAATGAAGACAAGTAACATAACCATCTCTCGGTAGCAACGTTTGAGAGTCAAACCGAGTGTCTGAAGACCAATGAAGTGACGGGCAAGCTTAATCACCCAAAAAATCCTCATCATTCTAAGTACCCTCAAGGTGACTCCAGCCCTCTGGAGTTGAGAGTTCTCGCCTGTAAACACTGTCATCAACACAGAGATGTAATACGGCGTGATTGCCAGTAAATCAATGATGTTCAGGGGTCTCTTGACAAACTCACACTTGTTTTTGGAGACAATGAACCTCACGATGCACTCGGCAGTGAACCAACCTATGCAGATAGCTTCAATTATCCTGTCAAGAGAACAAAAGAAGAATTGATCATTTTATTTTTAAGCATTTTAATAGCTCTTAGATTTCTTCAGATAGTACTACACTGACATACTAATTCAGTTACTTTTCCAGAAAACATAAAGAACAGACAACATTAGCAACATCATCAGACCACCAGGATGCACGCAACAGAACAACAAATCAATTCAGATGAAAATTGAGACCAGGTGCAGTGGCTCATGCATGTAATCCCAGGTCTTTGGAAGGCTGAGGTGGGTGAATCGCTTGAGCCCAGGAGTTCGAGACCAACCTGGGCACCACAGCAAAACCCCGTCTCCACAAAAAAAAAATACAAAAATCAGCTGGGCTTGGTGACACACACCTGTAGTACCACCTACCTGGGAGGCTAAGGTGGGAGGATCACCTGAGCCTGGGAAGGTCAAGGCCAGAGTGAGCCATGACTGTGCCACTGCACTCCAGCCAGGATGACAGAAAGAGACCCTGTCTCAAAAATTAAAAAAAAAAAAAAAAAAAATTGAACTTGATAAAGTTCTTACTTCTATGCTACAATACTATTAAATTTTGTTTTTTACTTGTCACTAATACTTTTAAAAAATATCTCTCTTATTTGGTAGTTTGAAATTAACTTATCTTCAGTTGGCCACAACATGAAATTTAACTTACTCTTGCAGGACAGTGGTTCTCAGCTGTGATACGAGTTCTGAGGTGGATTGGAAGGGCATTATTCCTATAGAATGTGGACCTATCTAAGTTTTTTGATGGGCTATTTCTTGGTAACTTACAGTCAATGCAAGATCATTTCCTAAAACGTGAATCGTCCTTCCTTCCCAATAGGCTTGTATGGGAGATACTGGCACCGAGCAAGTTTATGGGGAACTGGGTGAGTGCCCTCACCAGAAACTCACCAGGTCACAACTATCCTAAAAAGGTCCCAGCAGAAACGAGGCCGAGGACTCCCACATTGGAGCAAAATGGCCGCTAGGATTTTCCCAAAGACCACAAATACTTTGTATTCCATCATCATTTTTACACAGCACATATTTTTAAAAGACCACATTTTACCTAGAGCAATATTTACCACCCTTTCTGCATTACTGCATGCACTGAAAATAATCGCATTTATACAGCACACTGCAGTCAAGGGATAGGATTCCTTTTTTTTTTTGAGATGAAGTTTCACGCTATCGCCCAGGCTGGAGTGCAGTGGCACGATCTCAGCTCACTGCAACCTCTGCCTCCCGGGTTTAAGCAATTCTCCTGCCTCAGCCTCTCCAGTAGCTGGGACTACAGGCGTCTGCCACCATGCGTGACTAATTTTTGTATTTTTAGTAGAGATGGAGTTTCACCATTTTGGCCAGGCTGGTCTCGAACTCCTTACGTCAGTTGTTCTGCCCACCTCAGCCTCCCGAAGTGTCGGGATTACAGCCATGAGCCACCACACCCAGCCAACGGGTAGGATTCTTGAAGAAGCCTGCATCCTGGGAGCTCTAGGCCCCCAGCCCTCAGCCCATAAACCCCAAAGCTGAGAAAATCAAATTTCAACACCTCTGGCCCTGTGAGCTGTAATTTGAAGGTAATTTTAAATTTAATTAACATTTTTTATTTTTTTTTAATTGAGATGGAGTGTCGTTCTGTCACCCAGGCTGGAGTGCAGTGGCACAATCTCGGCTCACTGCAACCTCTGCCGCCTGGGTTCAAGCAATTCTCGTGCCTCACCCTCCCAAGTAGCTGGGACTACAGGCGCGCGCGATCACGCCTGGCTAATTTTTTTATATTTTGAGTAGAGACGGGGTTTCACCATGTTGGCCAGGCTGGTCTCAGACTTCTGACCTCAAGTGATCCGCCCACCTCGACCTCCCAAAGTGCTGGGATTACAGGCATGAGCCACCATGCCCAGCCCAAAATTTTTAACATTCGAAATTAAAATTTATAATTATTATACCATCACTTGTTTTTCTCCACATAATTCTTTCTCACCACTAACTTAAACCCAAACATCAGAAGTACAATGGAGAGAGAAGAAACTGGAGTAAGTGGGAGGAGAGTAGGTGGGGCAACATTTTGAAAAGAATTACTCAAAGTGCATTCCACAGAACACAAGTGGTACTTGATGTTACTCATAAAAATGAATAAATACAATTAACCATGTTTCCCTATTGTAGGGCTTTACAGGGCTGTAAAGATTAACTTTATTAACTTTTATTTTCTGAATAGGTATTCACATTCACATGGCTTAAATCACATGATTTTAAAAAAAGAATATAGAAAGAAAGGTCTCAGGCCAGGCATGGTGGCTTATACTTGTAATCCCAGCACTTTGGGAGGCCAAGGTGGGAGTATAGCTTGAGCCCAGGAATTCAAGACCAGCCTGGGAAACATAGTGAGGCCTCCTCTCTACAAAAAATGAGGCAGGAGGATTGCTTGAGCCCAGGAGATTGAGGCTGCAGTGAGCCATGATCACACCACTGCACTCTCACCTGTGTGACAGACAGCAAACCTGCCTCAAAAAAAAAAAGGGATGAGGAAGGGGAAGGGAAAAGTCTCACCTCTCACACTATTCCAGCCACCCAATTCCCCTCCCTGGAGTCAACAAATATAATCACTTTCTTATGCATCCTTCCAGAGCTATTTGATGTATGTACAAACAAACAAAAATTTTTACTTACATGTGTATATATATGTACATACATGTATATATATATACATACAGATACATACATACACACATATATATGTATGTATCTCCTTTTACACAAATAGTAGCATGTTACACTAATTGCCCTGCCTCATTTGGTTAATATATCTTGGAGGTCATTCCAAATCAGTAAATAGAGAGCTCCCTCATTTCTTAAACATGGTGACACAGTGTTCCACTGAATGTACTGTGATTTATTTAACCAGTCCACCAGATGAACATTAACACTGATGCAATGAATATTCTTTTTTTTTTTTTGAAACAGGGTCTTACTCCCGTCAACCATGCTGGAGTGCAGTGGCACCATCACAGCTCACTGCAGCCTCAAATGCCCAGGCTCAAGCGATCCTCCCACCTCAGGCTCCCAAGTAGCTGGGACTAAGGCACGTACCACCACACTTGGTTAATTTTTTTTCTTTTTTTTTCTTTTTTTTATACTTTTTATAAAGATGGGGTCTTGCTATGTTGCCTGGAATGGCCTCGAACTCCTGGGCTCAAGCAATCTGCCCACCTTGGCCTTCCAAAGCACTGGAATTACAGGCATGAGCCCAGCCAATGCAATGAATACGTTTGTATATCATTTCCCACATGAGCAGATATATCTGTAGAATAAATCTGAGACTTGGAATTACTGGATCAGAGAAGATACATATGTATTTGTAATTTTGATAGATCTTGCCAAGCTACCCCTACAGAGGTTGTACCAAATTACCCACCCACAGGCAATGCATAGGAGTGTCTATTCCCCACGGCCTCACTAATGTAAAGTATTGTTGAACTTGGAGGTCTCTGCCACTCTGAGAGATGAAAAGTGCTAGCTTATTTTGAGCAATGTTGAGCATCTTTGCACATGTTTAACGGCCTGCTCTGTGACCTGTCTGTATCACTTGCTCACAAAGGCTTTAATCTGCTCAGAAACAGTAGGAATATCCTTCAGAGTATCAGGCCAGGACTACTGTTCCTTGAAATACCAGTTTTGCAAAATGATTCCAGAGCCTTTGCCTGTAAATTTCTTAGTAACAGAGTTTGACAAACTATAGCCCGGGGTCTAAATCCTGCCCACTTCCCACTTATTTATTTATTTATTTATTTATTTATTTATTTATTTATTTTTTGTATGGCATGCAACCTAAGAATGGTTCCTAATTTTTTTCCCCCACTGGTTTGAAATGGTGGCTTTTATCATACATTAAATTACCAATCACACCTAAGTAAAATTCTTGATTTTCCACTTTCCAGAGTGGAAAGTTCAGAACTTCACTCAGGTATATCTGATCGATCCATTCTATCTTATACTATGCTACTCTCAATTTTCATTACAGTTGACCCCTGAATAACATGGGTTTGATCACAAGGATCCACTTATAGGCAGTTTGTTTTTCAACCAAATGTGATCAAAAATACAGTATTCGCAGGAAGTAAAACACGCTTATGGCCGGGAGCGGTGGCTCATGCCTGTAATCCCAGCACTTTGGGAGGCCGAAGCGGGCGGATCATGAGGTCAAGAGATCGAGACCACAGTGAAACCCCGTTCTCTACTAAAAATACAAGAAATTAGCCGGGCGCAGTGGCGGGTGCCTGTAGTCCCAGCTACTTGGGAGGCTGAGGCAGGAGAATGGCATGAACCTGGGAGGTGGAGCTTGCAGTGAGCTGAGATCGCGCCACTGCACTCCAGCCTGGGTGACAGAGCGAGACTCCGTCTCAAAAAAAAAAACAAAACAAAAAAACATGCTTATACAGACAGCCAACTTTTCATATACTTGGGTTTCCCAGGGCCCACTGAGGGACTTGAGTATGTTCAGATTTTGGTATATGTGGGGGGTCCTGGAACCAACATCCTACATGTACCGAGAAATGAGTGTACTTTGTTTTGATGTCTAGTTGAATGTATCACTCAATTGTGTTCTTCCTTTTCAAGACTGTCCTGGTTATTCGTAAGCACTTGCTCCTCCAACATAAATTTTATTTTTTTATTTTTCTTAATGATTGGGGGAAAAAACAAAATCTAAAGAATTATATTTTATGACATGTACAAATTATGTAAAATTTGAATTTCAGTGGCCATAAATAAAGTTTTATTGGAACACAGCCATGCTCACTCATTTACACATTGTCTATGGCTGTTTTCACAGCAAAGTTGAGTGGTCATGACAGAAACCATATAGCTCTGCAAAACCTAAAGTACCTACTATCATTGAAAAAAAAAAAAGTCTGCTGTTGTGTTAAGCCACTGAGATTTCTTTTTTTTTTTTTTTTTTTTTGAGACAGGGTCTCACTCTGTCACCCAGGCTGGAGCACAGTGGTACGATGTTGGCTCACTGCAACCTCCACCTCCCGGACTCAAGCAATTCTCCTGCCTCAGCTTCCTGAGTAGCTGGGATTACAGGCGCGCACCACCACACCTGGCCTCAAGTGATCCACCCGCCTTGGCCTCCCAGAGTGCTGGAATTAAAGGCATGAGCCACCGCACCCAGCCTGGGATTTCTAAATTGGTTGCTATCTTAGGTAGTAAACTGGTAAATATGGTAGGTAGTAGTAAGATGTGCACTTAAAAGGGATTGCAGGAGCACGCAGCAGTGATAATAATAGTTTCCTTAGATTGGCTTGTGGGTAAGATGTACCAGTTCTCCAGCTAACATACTCTGTCTCTTATCTAGCCAGACACAAGCAAGGGCACTGAACTTGACATCAGAGGCTCTGTGCTCTTTCCATTCTGAAGGACAAGCCTCACCATCAAGTGGCAGATTTACATGGATCTTATAAGGACCTTCCCAGCTCTAAAATCCTAAGATTCTATTAATTTCAGAAGAGTAAAAATGTCAATTGTGCCAAAAATACCAGAACATTTTCTGTCTAATTATTTCCAGCAGCAGCCAAAGTTGTTATGACTAAGAAGGAGGAAATCCAAATGGTGTGGAATAATCTCTCAATAAGGGAATTTCAAAGAAGTAAGCTCGTCTGTAATGAGGTCCTCAGGGTTCTGCTTGCCCACACCTTAGGTCAGATGCAGTTTATTCAGAATTGCACACCAAAGGGATGAATCAGTGAGAAACCCCAGGCATCATTTTCACCTTCAATTATGCCAAGGCAGTCTCTAGCAACAAACACCACCAAGCCTGCCAAAATTCCTCATGTTTCCAAATGGCACTCTCACCAATGCCACCACTGACAACTGCTGAAAAACTGAGTACTGTTCACTGAGCACAAGAGCAAACAATTGGGTATTCCCGGAGGTTACTTCTGTAAAATTAAACAGGAAAAAAGAAACTAAAGATACATCACATTCCTTTGAAGCCGATTCTGATTTCTTCTGAGTTCCAAACATATAGATGTTCATGAATGTATGCCTAATAAAAATATTCACCACTGACTGATGCCTTTCAGTTGGGCACTGTGCTAAGCAATTTACAGACATCATCTCGTCTGATCCCTTTCAAGAAGTCTATGAAATATGTATTTCCCCTAGTATCTCCGCTTTACAGATGACAAAATTGAGGCTGAAAGGTTAAGCACTTTTCCAAGGTCACACAACTAAGAAGCTGCAATTACACAGGTAATGAAACCCAGATCTACAAGATTTTAAAGCTAAAAGGAGCATTTGGAAATGCAAATGATTTTATGACAATGTCCATTGTTAAGATTAAATGGGGCCAGAAGCAGTGGCTCATGCCCATAATCCTAGCACTTTGGGAGGCCAAGGCAGGTGGATCACCTGAGGTCAGGAGTTCGAGACCAGCCTGGCCAACATGGTGAAACCCTGTCTCTCCCAAAAATACAAAAATTAGCTGGGCATGGTGGCAGGCGCCTGTAATCCCAGCTACTCGGGAGACTGAGGCAGGAGAACTGCTTGAACCTGAAAGGCAGAGGTCGCAGTGAGCTGAGATAGTACCACTGCACTCCAGCCTGGGTGACAGAGCAAGACTCCAACTCAAAAAAAAAAAAAAAAAAAAAAAAAGATTAAATGGTATATGTCAACCATTTGGTCTCCAGGGTTTACATTAGAATAGCATTTTTTTGTGTGTGCCAGGGGCAGTGACACACACCTGTAATCTCAGCACTTTGGGAGGCTGAAGTGGGAGGACTGCTTGAGCCCAGGAGTACAAGACCAGCCTGGGCAACAAAGCAAGACCCCATCTCTACTACAAATAATGTTTTAAAATTAGCAGGGGGCCGGGCACAGTGGCTCACGCCTGTAATCCCAGCACTTTGGGAGGCTGAGGTGGGTGGATCACTTGAGGTCAGGAGCTCGAGACCAGCCTGGCCAACATGGTGAAACCCCGTCTCTACTAAAAATACGAAAATTAGCTGGGCGTGGTGGTGCACGCCTGTAATCCCAGCTACTCAGGAGGCTGAAATAGGAGAATCTGCTTGAACCCAGGAGGTGGAGGTTGTAGTGAGCTGAGATCGTGCCACTGCACTCCAACCTGGGCGACAGAGCAAGACTTTGTCTCAAAAAAATTAATTAATTAATTAAAATTAGCAGGGAGTGGTGGTGTGTGCCTGTAGTCCTAGCTACTTGGGAAGCTGAGGTGGGAGGATCCCCTGAGCCCAGGAGTTCAAGGCTGCAGGGAGCCATGATCTTGCCACTACACTCCAGCCTGGGCAACAGAGTGAGACCCTACCTCAAAAACAAAAACAACAACAACAACAACAACAAAGATACAATCAAGAGTGAAAGGGCAACCTACAGAATGGGAGATGATATTTGCAAGTCATTTATCTGAGTAAGAATTAATTTACAGGACATACAAAGAACTCCTGCAACTCAGTAACAACAACAAAAAAAATCAACCCAACTAAAAAATGGACAAAGGATTTTTTAGATTAATTTTTTATTTTTAATTTTCATGGGTACGTAGTAGGTGTATATATTTATGGGTTACATAAGATATTTTGATACAGGCATGCAATGCATAATAATCACATCAGGGTAAATGGGGTGGTAAATATATATATATATATATATATATTTTTTTTTTTTTTTTAAAGGAAACAGAATTTTGCTCTGTCACCCAGGCTAGAGCATAATGGAGCAGTCATAGCTCACTGCAGCCTCAAATTCACCTAAAGCATTTATCCTTTGTGTTACAAACAATCCAATTATACTTTTTTAGTTACTTTAAAATGTAAGATTAAATTATTTTTTTACTATAGTCACCCTGTTGTGCTAGCAAATACTAGGTCTCACTCATTCTTTCTAACTATTTTTTTTTTAACCATTAACCATACCCACTTCCCCACCACCCCCGCTACCCTTCTAAGCCTCTGGTAACCATCCTTCTACTCTCTATATTCATGAGTTCACTTGTTTTAATTTTTAGCTCCCACAAATAAGTGAGAACACAAGAAGTATGTCTTTCTGTGCCTGATTTATTTCACTGAAAAAAATGACCTCCAGTTCCATGTTGTTGCAAATGGCAGGACCTCATTCTTTTTTATGGCTGAATAGTACTCCATTGTGTGTAAGTACCACATTTCCTTTATACATTCAACTGGGTGTGTGTGTGTGTGTGTGTGTGTGTTTTGAGATGAAGTCTCACTCTGTCACCCAGGCTGGGGTGCAGTGGTGTGATCTAGACTCACTGCAACCTGCGCCTCCAGGGTTCAAGAGATTCTCCTGCCTCAGCATCTTGAGCAGCTGGGACTACAGGTGCATGCTACCATGCCGGGGTAATTTTTGTATTTTTAGTAGAGATGGGGTTTCACCATGTTGGCCAAGCTGGTCTCGAACTCCTGACCTCAGGCAATCTGCCTGCCTCAGCCTCCCAAAGTGCTGAGATTACAGGCGTGGGCCACTGTGCCTGGCCACATTCATTTGTTGATGACACTTAGGTTGCTTCCAAATCTTGGCTAACATGAATAGTGCTGTAACAAACATGGGAGTGAGTGCACGTATCTTTCTGATATGCTGATTTCCTTTCTGTTGGGTATACACCCACTCAACAGTGGGATTGCTGGATCATATGGTAGCTCTATTTTCAGTTTTTTAAGGAACCTCCAAACTGTTCTCCATAGTGGTTGTGCTAATTTACATTTCCACTAACAGTGTATGAGGGATCCCTTTTCTCCACATCCTCGCCAGCATTTGTTATTGTCTGTCTTTTGGATGAAAGCCATTTTAACTGGAGTGAGATGATATTTCATTGTAGTTTTGATTTGCACTTCTGTGATCATCAATGAGGCTGAGCACGCACCTTTTCCATATACCTGTTTGCCATTCGTATGTCTTCTTTTGAGAAATATCTATTCAGATTTTTTGCCCATTTTTAAATCAAATTATTAGATTTTTTTTCCTATAGAGTTGTTTGAGCTCCTTATACATTCTGGTTTTTAATCCCTTGTCAGATAGGTAGTTTGCAAATATTTTCTCCCATTCTGTGGGTTGTCTCTTCACTTTGTTGATTCTTTCCTTTGCTGTGCAGAAGCTTCTTAATTGGGTGTGATCCCATTTGTTCATTTTTGCTTTGGTTGCCTATGCTGGTGGGGTACTGCTCAAGAAATCTTTGCCTACTTGAATGTCCTGGAGATTTTCCCCAATGTTTTCGTGTAGTAGTTTCATAGTTTGAGGTCTTAGATTTATGTCATTAATCCAGTTTGATTTGATTTTTTTAATATAGTGAGATAAAGGGTCTAGTTTCTTTTGCATATGGATGTCCAGTTTTCCCAGCACCATTTATTGAAGAGACTGTCCTGGACAAAGGATTTGAATAGATATTTCTCCAAAGTTAATAAGGCCAATGAGCATATGAAAAGATGCCCAACATTATTAATCATCAGAAAAATGCAAATCAGAACCACAATGAGGATGGCTACTATACCAAAAAAAAAAAAAAAAATCACACCAGAAAATCACAAGTGTCTTGAGCACTGTTGGTAGGATTGTAAAAGGGTACATCCACTATGCATAACAGTATGGAGGTTCCTCGAAAAATTAAAAATAGAAATATCACATGCTGAAGTAATCACGCTTCTGGGTATATATCCAAAAAAATTGAAAGCAGGGTCTTAAAGAAATATTTGCACACCCACTTTCACAAATACAAATGAAGCATTACTGACAATAGTTAAGATGTCGAAGCAACCTTAATGTCCACTGACAAAAGAATAAATAAAGAATCTATTTGGAATTTAATATTGAATTTAAAATTGGAATATAGCTGGGCATGGTGGCTCACTCCTGTAATCCCAGCACTTTGGGAGGCCGAGGCGGGCAGATCACCTGAGGTAAGGAGTTAAAGACCAGCCTGGCCAACATGGCAAAACCTCGTCTCTACTAAAAGTACGAAAATTAGCCAGGCGTGGTAGTGGGTGCCTGTAATCCCAGCTACTCGGGAGGCTGAGGCAGGAGAATCACTTGAACCAGGGAGGCAGAGGTTGCAGTGAGCCAAGATCGTGCCATTGTACTGGGCGACAGAGCAAGACTCTGCCTCAAAAAAAGAAAAAAAAAAAGAAAGAAAGGAAATCCTGTTACGTGGATGAACCTTGAAGACATTACGTTAAGTGAAATAAGCCAGTCACAAAAAGACAAATACACTGTGATTCCACTTACATGAGGTATCTAAACTAGTCAAATTCACAGAAACAAAAAGATGGTAGTTACAGGCAGCTGGGAAAAGGTGAAAGAGAAGAGTTGTTTGATGGGTACAGGGCTTCAGATTGGCAAGATGAGATGAAAAAGCTCTGAAGATCTGTTTCATAACAATATGAATATATTATACTTAACACTACTAAATGGTATACTTAAAAATTGTTAAGATGGTAAATTTTATATTATGTATATTTTACTACAATTTTAAAGAGCAAACATATGAGCAGTGATGGAATACAAATCTATGCCCCCAAGAAGGCTAGAGCCTTAATACAGAACTTTTTTATCTTTTATGTTCTTTATATTTTGTAGAGCTGAGATCTCGCTATGTTGCTCAGGCTGGTCTCAAACTCCTGGCCTCCCAAAGTACTAGAGGCTACAGGTGTGAGCCACCACGCCCAGCAAGTTGGACTGCTCAGCCACACTACCCGTGGGGTCAATGGAAAAACAAAAACAAAAACAGTACTGACTTTGACATTAATTAATTTTTGACTTACATTCTGCTTTACCTCAGAAGAATTGAACGAGATTGTTCCTGTCATTAACACCAAACAGAACCTGATTAAAATTTAATATTACAAGGACAACTATGAAAATTAATATAAAAAACAGCTGTGGCTGGCCCCAATAGTTCATGTCTGTAATCCCAACACTTAGGGAGGCCAAGGCAGGAGAACTGCTTGAGCCCAGGAGATCTTGGAATACAGAGAGATCTCACAATATAGTCAGATCTCATCTTTACTAAAAATTTTCAAAAAATTAGCCAGTGTGGGGCATGTGCCTGTAGTCCCAGTTACTTGGGAGGCTGAAGTGGGAGGATCACTTGGGCCCAGGAGCTTGGGGCTGCAGTGAACTATGACTGCTCCATTACACTCCAGACTAGGCAACAGACCAAAATCCTGTCTCTTAAAAAAAATAAAAATTAAAAATTAAAAAATTATATATATGTATGTACAGCTGAAAGCTGAATCTGAATAGCTGACTTGAAAAAGCTAAATGAATTACACAAGCAATAGGCCAACACAGAAAACCACCTAAAATAATAATTATATACATATAGTTATTATATACCTATAATATGTGCATATATAATTATATTACATTTAAAATAATATATAGTATATTTTAAATATAGTACAATATCATAATGTGTAAGAATATAAAATAAGGAAATGTTATATGAATCCAAACTCCAATAACTTTGTTACTTACTAATCATATTTACACTGAAATAGAATTTTAAGATAAAACTTAACAGTTTTGGCAGGGAAAAATGAAATTTATTTATAACTTCTTTGAAGCCATAAATATTGAATCATCAGTATAAGATGAAAGGCATAGACTGCAATCATTTTTTAGCCTCTCCAAAAATAATATGGCTAGGTGCAGTGGCTCACACCTGTAATCCCAGCACTTCAGGAGGCCAACGCAGGAGGATTACTTGAGTCATCTTCTTAGTAGTTCGAGTCCAGTCTGGGCAACATGTCAAAACCCTGTCTCTACAAAAAATACAAAAATTAGCCAGGCATGATGGTGCATGCCTGCAGTCCCAGTTACTGAGGAGGCTGAGGAGGAGCACCTGAGCCCAGGGCTGCAGTGGGCCATGATCGCACCATATATTCCAGCCTAAGCAAGAGTGAGACCAGCCTCAAAAAACAAACAAAAAAAGATTTGTGACCATTATTATTACTGCAAACCATCTCTGAGCTCAGAGCCTTCTATTTACAAAAGGAGTTCAGTTCAAGCCCAACTTAAAAACATTTTAAAAGAAAGTAAACAGTATGCCCAACTAGAAGAGCAATCACCATAATCAAGTCATCAGCAGCTTAAATCAGCCTTAACAACCCCAGGAGTGCCACAAAAGGAAAAGTTACCTTCTTACTCCAAGCCTTCAGATTTAAATGTACAAAGCATTTCCAATCACATTTCTAACAGGCATGTACAATGTAACAACACAAGGCACAATAAAAATTTCCAGCAAACTGCACATCAACAGCCACTTCATTACCTAGAGTCTTTCATGTCCTTATAAGAGTTTTCTCCACAACAATTGGTTAAATAGGAAAAAAGTAGGGTTTTTTTGAGAGGAAAAAAACATGATTTTTTTCTTACACACTTTAATTATCTTACAGAGAAAAAATATATACCATTCATACCTCTTTATCTTCCAACCTAGATCAATAATAAATTAAAACACATAATTGAACACTTATTCAAGTTCCAAACATCTTTCTATACATTTACATACTAATTCACTTAATTCTCACAACTGTATGCAATAGGTTTTGTTATGATCCCCACCTACAAATGAGGAGACTAAGCCAAAGAGAATTGACTAGTGGCCAAGTGCGGTAGCTCATGCCCGTAATCCCAACACTTTGGGAGGCCAAGAAAGGCAGACTGCTTGAGCCCAGGAGTTCAAGACCAGTTTGGGCAACGTGACGAAACTCCATCTCTGCAAAATACAGAAAAAAAAAAAAAATTAGCCAAGCATGGGGGCACGCGCCTGTACTCCCAGCAACCTGGGAGGCTGAGGTAAAAGGGTTCCTTGAGCCTGGGGAGGTTGAAGCTGAAGTGAGCTGTGATTGTGCCACCGCACTCCAGCTGGGCGACAGAGAGACTTTGTTTCAAAAAAAAAGAGAGAAGTAACTAGATCATGTCACACAGATAATAAATGGCAGGTTAATAATATTTACAAGGCTGGCCAGGCACGGTGGCTCATGCCTGTAATCCTAGCACTTTGGGAGGCCGAGGCAGGCAGATCTCACACACACACACACACACACACACACACACACACACACACAAGGCTGGGCGCAGTGGCTCACACCTCTGATCCCAACACTGGGAGGGCAAGGCAGAAGGATCACTTGGGCCCAGGAGTTCGAGGCTGCAGTGAGCTATGATCACACCACTGCACTCCAGCCTGGGTAACAGAGTAAGACCCTATCTCTAAAAAAAAAAAGAAATGTACAAAGCCAGGTGTGGTGTCACGCACCTGTAGTCTCCTAGCTACTTGGGAAGCTGAGGAAGGAAGATCACTTGAGCTCAGGCTTCAAAACTAGCCTGAGCAATATAGTGAAACCCCTCATCTCAATATATAAATAAGTAAATTTTAAACAAACAAAATATATGTACTCACTGACTAAGTCATACCTTGAATCACGCCTGGGATTCATGGATGTCCCTATATAGCTACAGTCAATGTATGTGTTAATTTTTACATTCCTCACTTGATACTATTTTGTTTCCTCATGCTCACATTTGGACGGCCATTTCATTAGGATATGTGGCAGGACAACGATAATGATGAATGAAAAGTTCACTCTCTCAAAGTCATTGGGATTGGCCACAGAGAACTGGGCTCCTCCCACAGTTTTTAAGGGGCTGCTATTATTCCGTCGGATCTCTTTTCCTGCAATCACCTCCACCTTTGCTTTTCTCACTTTCCCTTAGCAGACAGGAACATGCGCCCTTGCCTGAGGAATCTGGCCTCTGCCTCCTAAACACAGTTTACCCTCTGTGGTTCCTCTGTCCTCTGTTTTGGCAACAGAGGTACCAGATTCACATTCTCTCTTTATTGGGAAACAGGGACTGATGACCCCCTACAAAGAAACAACCAAGTTCCTGACTGCAAATGCAAAGGCAACAATACCTGTCCTGCTAAGACAGGGGCTATCCATCACATATAAATCTCCATCAAAGTGTGTTTCTGTGAAAAATTACAGGCAATTACTACAAATAACCCTTATCTTTTCTGACTCCTTTTGGCATAATTCAATATTCAACCCAAATATATGACCTAAGTGCATTGGAGTGTCTGCAGTGTAGCCCGAGGTAGTGTCTTGCAAGGAGTTCTGTCCTGCTAGTGTGAGCTTGTAGAGACAGACTTTAAAACCTCAGAAAGAAGCAACATAGGAGACCCCATTACTTAAAAAAGAAAAAAAAAAGGAACCTCAGGAAGAAACAGTTTTGATATTATGTCAGTGTGGGGTAGGCTTTTGTTTCTTAAACTTTTAGAGATGAAGAACTGAGACCATTCAACATACAAGAGAAGACAGAATGGCCAGACGCCTGAAATCCCAGCACTTTTTGAGGCCAAGGTGGGTGGATTACCTGAGGTCAGGAGTTCAAGACGAGTCCGACCAACATGGTGAAACCCCATCTCTACTAAAAATACAAAATTAGCTGGGCGTGGTGGCACACGCCTGTAATCCCAGATACTCGGGAGGCTTAGGCAGGAGAATCGCTTGAACCCGGGATGTGGAGGTTGCAGTGAGCCAAGATCGCACCACTGCACTCCAGACTGGGCAACAAGAGCGAAACTCCATCGTCTCAAAAAAAAAAAAAAATAGAGAGAGTGAGAAGACAGAATGGTATTATGGTTTTATGACCCCCCAGATACCCAGCCCCATTCACCATCAGCCCAAAGCCAGTTCTGACCCGCTCCACATCCTCATCTACCTCCCTCATGTCTTATTTTGAAATAAATCTCAGAGTGTGGGCATTTATCCCAGAGTCCTTTCTCACCCTCCCTGCCTGGCAAGTCAACTAATGTGCACAAAGGAGGCACGAAATGTGCATGGCTTCAGTCTGAGTCTGTTGAGACAGGTCACTTGTAGCCAGGATGATGCAATGTCCTCAAGTCAGGATGGGATGACAACATATTAACCTGGATGTGGCTGTAAGCCCATGGAGCCCATTAATTCATTCACCATGCAACAAAGCTCATGAGTGACTGCCTAATGTATGTCAGGCTCTACAGAGCCACAGAGAGGTGCATAAAGATAAACTAAAGATAGAACTTAAGCACAGTTATGTAAGATGTTATCGGCCGGGCGTGGTGGCTCACGCCTGTAATCCCAGCTCTTTGGGAGGTCAAGGCGGGTGGATCATGAGGTCAGGAGATCGAGACCATGCTGGCTAACATGGTGAAACGCTGTCTCTACTAAAAATACAAAAAATTAGCTGGGCATGGTGGCGGACACCTGTAGTCCTAGCTACTCGGGAGGCTGAGGCAGGAGAATGGTGTGAACCCGGGAGGTGGAGCTTGCAGGGAGCCGAGATTGCACCACTGCACTCCAGCCTGGGCAATAGAGAGAGACTCCATCTCAAAAAGAAAAAAAAAAAAGATGTTATCATTGGGGAAACCAGATGAAGGGTAAAACAGAACTCTCTGTGCTGTTTTTGCAACTTCTTGCAAGTATAAAACTATTTTAAGCCAGGCAAGGTGGCTTACATCTGTAATCCCAGCACTTTGAGAGGTTGAGGTGGGAGGACTTCTTGAAGCCAGGAGTATGAGACCAGCATGGACAACATAGCAAGACCCTTATCTCTACAAAAAAAATAGCAGGCATGATGGTGCACGCCTGTAGCCCTAGCTACTCAGAAGGTGGGAGAATTGCCTGTACCCAGGAGTTTGAGGCTGCAGTGAGTCATGATTATACCACTGCACTCCAGCCTGGGCAACAAAGCAACACTCTCTCTAAATATAAATCAATTAACTAATTAATTAATAATTAAATCATTTCAAAATAAAAAGATTTTTAAAAGAAGATAAAACAGACTGAAAGTTTGCGACCTAGCAAAGGGTAAGATATACCCTCCCTAACAACAATCCAATCCTTAAGAACTCAAAAATAGAATGTAGAAAGTAATAAATGCTATAATTGATGTGCATTAAGTTCAGAAGAAGATAAGTTTTTCTTCATCTGGGAGACCACGGAAAGCTTCTTTGAGAAAGTGGCGATTTAATTTGGCAAAAACAAAATCAGGAAAGTGCCAGATACCTGATGAAGTAAAAGCAATTACATTTAAAAAGTTAACAAAACAAAACACAGATGTGAGCAGATGCCCTACATAGATTAAACAGGTACACGACACTGGGCCACTGACCAGTGTTTAGGCTTCCCCTAAATGGAAAGGCAAGTGAAGAAAACAAAAGGCACCCCAAAACATCTTACAAAAAAATGGCTACTCTGACTATTCCTTTGATTTTCTTAACTGATAAAAAGGTAGGCCAGGCGCGGTGGCTCATATCTGTAATCCCAGCACTTTGGGAGGCCGAGGTGGGCAGATCACAAGGTCAGGAGATTAAGACCACCCTGGCTAACGTGGTGAAACCCCGTCTCTACTAAAAATACAAAAAATTAGCCAGGCGTGGCAGCATGCGTCTGTAGTCCCAGCTACTCGGGAGGCTGAGGCAGGAGGATGGCGTGAACTCAGGAGGTGGAGCTTGCAGTGAGCCGAGATCACGCCACTGCACTCCAGCCTGGGTGACACAGCAAGACTCTGTCTCCAAAAACAAAACAAAACAAAACAAAAAAAAAAAAAAAAAAAAAAAGGTAGACATCATCTTCTAGGAGCTAATTTACATAAAGAATTTCATCCATCCCATGCATCAGTGTTCGTGTTCATTACGCTCTAACAGAGGACTTGGGTTGCTTTTTCCTTAGCTCTGAACTGGCTCCATGGACAAACCAGAGGTGTTTCTGTGTGCGCCTTGCCTGAGGCTCTTGAGAGTCAGAAACTCTCAAGATTTCTGACTGACCCAGAAATCAGGGTGCACTTCTCTTCACCAGAGCCAGGGAGTGTGTTTTCAGAAGACTACCATGCTGTAGAGGACATATGCATACAGGCGAAGAGATCAAAAATCTGTGGTTCTGACTCTCACTGCTAAAAACTTTCCAGAGATGACAGCAGCAGAAACCCAGGCCTGACAGCACCTGTGGTCCCCGGCCCCACACTCTCCACTCCGGGTGGGCCCCCTTAATCTTCAGGTGCCACAATCCCTTTCTGCACCTTCACCACCACCCCAATGTACATATATTTGCCTAAATAATACAAGAAGATCAATCTCAATAATCTGTTCCTATTCCATACATGACTACCACATGGGTTCTATTCCCTTTTTATTTAACTGGCAGTTCATTAGTAAAAGAATTATGAGACTAGAAAGGATATCAAGATCTACCTCTTCAAACAAGATCACCTTACAAAAAGTGATAACAATTCTTTTCTTTAATAGTATATTACCATTTTGGCTTCAAGATAGTTTTTATCTACAGAACAACTTGGGAAGATGAATTTCAACAAATGATATTTTTAATTTTTTGAGGTTTCAATATTTTATTCAAGTTTTATTTTAAGTGATGTTAATTACAGCACTTGAAGGGGAGGATCTAATTCCACACAAAATGAAAGACTCTAAAATGTACCCATTAAACTGCTAAAAAATAAATTGAGTGGTGAGAATGCAACAGAAGTCCAATTTAGATTTTAAGTGTTGTCACCATGTGATTACAATCACACAACCTCTCCCCAGCTTATAGCTGGAGCTCCTGGAAGCTATTTCATACTCTAGTGCAAGGGCAAAAAAGCACAACAAGAGAAGGAATTCAGTCCTGAATTATCAGCTTCATCAGATCCACCCTCTCCACCCCAAAATGGTAGAAAAGAAGCAGCTATCACACCCTGCAGACCTTTTGGTATAAGACAGGTGATGAAGGACTGGGATGGGAACAGGTCATGAAGATCTGTCTAAAAAGATCCCTTAGCCGGGTGCAGTGGCTCATGCCTGTAATCCCAGCACTTTGGATTACTTGAGGTCAGGAGTTGGAGACCAGCCTGGTCAACATGGTTAAACCCCGTCTCTACTAAAAATACAAAAATTAGCCGGGCGTGGTGGCACGTGCCTGTAATCCTAGCTACTGGAGAGGCTGAGGCACGAGAATCACTTGAACCCACGAGGCAGACGTTACAGTGGGCTGAGACTACAGCACTGCACTCCAGCCTGGGCGACAGAGTGAGACTCTGTCTCAAAAATAAATAAATAAATAATAAAAATTAAAAAGTCTTTGTCAGGTGAATTTGTACACACCACGAAGCAATGAGCCTCTGATCAACTGGGGTTAGGAAACCAAGGTTCAATTATCAGGAAGTCACAGTTTCATTCATTTATTCAATACAAATTTACAAAGTGCCTATACATAATCATCTTCCACTTGCAGCCACTGCAAGATTTTTTTAAAACCTGGCATCTCTAGAAGGGCTACCAAATTCCCCCCAAGTCTACAGCTAAAAGGACCTTTTTTGGAATTGGGTTTCTTCTGTATGTCTGAAAAGGTAGCACTCTTTGAATCATCTTTAACCTGGAGGTCTAGCATGAAATGTAGCAATACTTGCATCTCAAATATATGTTAAAAGATACATTAAATTCTGAAGGTAGCTACACTGCAAAATAGTTTAAAATTAAACAACTGTACAGTATTCATTTGTGCTTGAAATTCTAATCCTAGACCAAGCTCATGGCCACCAGCATCGACGTTCTTGCCATCCAGCTGAGCTGACAGCATCAGCTTGATACTTGGCTTTACGGTCTGAGTGTACCCTAAACCTATCAGGCTAGGGTTGTACACTTTAGCCAAGAAGCAGGCATCAGGGTCCATCTGATACTTGCCTGCTGTAGTGAGTGTTATTGTTTCCTGATGAAGTGAGTGTTACTGTTTCCTGATATCCAGGCAAGCTTAACAGCAGTGTCCAACTTCTTATTCACCTCTGGGAAACAAAGGTGCCAAACTCTGCCCCGTCATTCACATAAGTGTGAAGCTGGAATTCATCAATCTTGTAGCCAAGAGTAAAGTCCCTCTGCTTCTCTTAAAACTCTGTGGTCTCAAAATTCATCCGGTAGCCATCCAGCCAGCCCTCATAACCCAGCACCAGGGCACCCCAGATTGAAGCCTCAACAATCCACGGTGCAACCCAGGTTGATATGCTCCTGCCTATAGCAGTTTTGATTTTAGCATTTTTTCCCCCCAGCATTAGGTGACAAGCGATGAATCAAAGGTCAGCTTCAGTCCACATGCAAGCTGATCCTCCACGCAATCTCGGTGCCTGGTGTGCGGTCAGTGTTTCATTTCTCCATAACTGTCAGGCCATATCTGGTCCATCTGTACTTGGTTCGCAGGCTGCCAGTCACTTTGGTGGCCTCAGTGTTGGCTGAGCCTAGTTTGTAAATTCTAATCCCTTCTCAGATTTTGTTTTCAAATCAAGTTTTATTAAGCCTAATCCACAGCCCTTGGTGAACACATCCCTGGCAGATTTGCCAAGATCAGCGTACGTGGGAGGCTTAACCATCTTCTGCTTAGAGGCGGTGGCAGTGGGCTCAGTGGTGGTGGCAGGCTCGGTGGTGGCTGCAGCGGGGGCTGCCTCAACAAATGACATTTTGAAAAGCGAGGTAGTTCATTCTGATATCATTATTTGCTATTTCCTAACAACAGGTAACTAATGTGTCCAGTGCTCAACTCAGATTATTCTTACTTAACTACTGTGTACTAGGTACTCACTGCAAACATTAGGACAATGATACTTCTACGCACACAAAGTTTCCAAATGTACATTAAAACAAGTTGCCCAGGTTGGTCTAGAACTGCTGGCCTCAAGTGATCCACCTGCCTTGGCCTCCCAAAGTGCTCAGATTACAGACCATGAGCCACTGAGCCTGGCCAAAACAAAAGATTTAAACAAAGGTAGGGATATTTCAAAGTATCTAGACTATAAGGTCTTCCTGAAACAATAAGCTAAGTGTTTTAGTCTATAGTCATGAATACAAAAACATTCGCAGTACTAAAAGCAGCAATACTCGAATACTCTGAGTACTGAGGTATTGCTGACTCCTAACTCTCCACAGATAACAGCTAAAATGCATGAGTTATCATCCAAAGCTTCAGATCTGCCACTCTCCGCCTTGTACCATCTGCTCCAACTAATGGAAAGTAACACAGTCCCCAGTCTTCTCACGCCTCTTGCCTTTGCACATCTACCCTCCCTTCTTGGCCAGCATCAACCAGGCCTTCAAGTCTGAGCTCAAGGATCACCACCCCAGGGAATCCTTATCTTAGGTCCACTAGCATGGCTGAGCTTCTCCCTGATGTTCCTACAGCAGTCAGTGCTTATCTCTAGCAGTGCACATAGCACAACGTGTAGTGGTTGTAAATTCAGCCGTCTGTCTCTCCAGCTAGGAAGCAAGTAGGGCTGTGTGTCTTTAAAAAAAACAAACAAAAAACACTATATTGCCTAATCATGGCACTTAATAGGTACCCAGAAAATACGTTGCTTGACTAAATTAATGGTACAAAAAATTTAATCATTAGAGAGTTCAACTGTTTTATCAGTCTAATGGAATATTTAGGACAAAATGATATATTTGGTGTGTTGATTTTAACAATTAGAGATAATGCATTACTATCCTTACTTCATACCACACACAAAAATTAATGAGAATGAGTGTAGTACTAAATTTAAAAGTGAAAACTTTAAGATTTTATTTTTTTAAGAGTATTTAATTTCTTTCTTTCTTTCTTTTTTTTTTTTTGAAACAGGGTTTGGCTCTGTCGCTCAGCCTGGAGTGCAGTGGCACGATCATGGCTCACTGCAACCTCTACCTCCCAGGCTCAGGTGATCCTCCCACCTCAGCCTCCCAAGTAGCTCGGACTACAGGTGTGCACCACCACGCCCAACTAGTTTTTGTATTTTTAGCAGAGACGGGATTTCACCATGTTGCCCAGGCTGGTCTTGAACTCCTGGGCTCAAGTGATCCACCCACCTCAGCCTCCCAAAGTGCTAGTATTACAGGAGTGAGCCATTGTCCTCAGCCTATAAAGATTTTAGAAGAAAACACAGGAGTAATGTTTGTGACTGAGCAAGTAGGCAAACTTTCTTACATAGGGCACAAAAAGTAGTAATCATGAAAGAAAATACTGATAAATTAGACTTCACCAAAATTTAAAACTTTAGTATAGTAAAAGACACCACTAAGAAAATAAATTGGCAAACCAAAAAACTAGAGGAAAATATTCACAACACATTTATCTGACAAAGGACTAGTATCCAGATTGTACAAAGAACTCCTGAAACTCAATAGCAAAAATAACCCATTTTTTAAAAAATAGGCTATGTGGACAAACATTTCACATAATAAATTATGTAAAAAGCCAATAAGCTAATGAAAATGATGATCAACTCTGTCATCAGAGAAATTAACACCACAATGAGACATTACTACACTTGAGACAGAATAACAAAAATTTGTAAAACCAATAACACCAAGTTTGTGAAGTAACTGAAACCGTATACAGTCATACACCACATAATGACATTTCTGTCAACAATGGATCGTATATATGACAGTAGTTCCATAAGATTATAATACTGCATTTTTACTATACCTTTTCTCTGTTTAGGTATGTTTAAATACACAAATAGGCTAGGCACAATGGCTCACATCTGTAATCCCAACACCTTGAGAGGCCAAGATAGGCGGATCACCTAAGGTCAGGAGTTCGAGACCAGCCTGGTCAACATGGTGAAACCCTGTCTCTAACAAAAATACAAAAATTAGTCAGGCGTGGTGGTGCCTGCCTGTAATCCTAGCTACTCGGGAGGCTGAGGCAGGAGAATCGCTTGAAACCAGGAGGCGGAGGTTGCAGTGAGCCAAGATCATGTGCCACTGCACTCCAGCCTCAGCAACAGAGAGAGACTCTGTCTCAAACAAACAAAAACAAAAACAAAAACGAAATACAATACACAAGTATTTACCACTGTGTTGTAACTGCCTACAGTATTCAGTAGATTCTGCATAAGCTTGTGGCCTAGGAGCAATAGGCTATACTATACAGCCTAAGTGGTGAAGTATGTAGCAGGCAGTACCATCTAGGTTTGTGTGAGGACTCTCTATGACGTTCACAGAGCAAAGAAATCTCCCAAGCATCTCCGGTCGTTATGCGACACACGACTGTGTACTGTTGGTGGGAGTACAGAATGGTAGACTGGTACAAAAGTTAATTGTGGTTTTTGCCATAGGAATTAGTGGCAAAAACTGCAAATACTCTTCCTTTTTTTTTTTTTTTTTGAGATGGAGTCTCGCTCTGTCATCCAGGCTGGAGTGCAGTGGTGCGATCTCGGCTCACTGCAACCTCTGCCACCCGGGTTCAAGCGATTCTCCTGCCTCAGCCTCCCTAGTAGCTGGGATTACAGGCACTTGCCACCACGTCTGGCTAATTTTTGTATTTTAAGTAGAGATGGGGTTTCACCATGTTGGCCGGGCTGGTCTCCAACTCTTGACCTCAGGTGATCCGCCCGCCTCGGCCTCCCAAAGTGCTGGGATTATAGGCAGGAGCCACTGCGCCCGGCCAAAAACAGATCTTTTATAAAAACATAAAAATATATTAAACCACTCCATGAAGATAAATGTGAAAATTTAGGTGAAATGGACAATTTCCCAGAAAAATGAATCAGACCAAAATTTTCAGTTTTAGAATAACTGGAAAAACTGAACGGTCCTACAATCATGAAAAAAATTGAATCTACACTTTGACATCTATTCACCAAAAGATGCATACCGGGTCCAGATGATTTTACAGGCAAGTTCTATCATATACCAAGCATGAATAATTCCTATTTTATATAACACTGTCCCAAATAATTAAAAAAGCAGTCACCAACTCATTTTAAAAAGTCAGTGAAAGGCCAGTCGCAGCAACTCACGCCTGTAATCCCAGCACTTTGGGAGGCCAAGGCGGGTGGATCATCTGAGGTCAGGAGTGCAAGACCAGCCTGGCCAACATGGTGAAAACCCATCTCTACTAAAAATACAAAAATGAGCCAGGCATGGTGGCACATGCCTGTAATCCCAGCTACTCAGGAGGCTGAGGCAGGAGAATCACTTGAACCCAGGAGGTGGAGGTTGCAGTGAACTGAGATCATGCCACTGCACTCCAGCCTGGGTGACAGAGTGAGACTCTGTTTCAAAAAAAAAAAAAAAATTAGAACCATGTGTGATGGCTCACAACAGTAATCCTAGCGCTTTGGGAGGCCAAGGCAGGCAGACTGCTTGAGCCCAGGAGTTCAAGACCAGCCTGGACAACATGGCGAAACTCTTGTCTCTACAAAAAATACAAAAATTAGCCAGGCATGGTAGCATGCCCCTATAGTCCTAGCTACTGGGGAGCTGAGGTGGGAGGATCACCCGAGCCTGGAGAGATTGAGGCTGCAGTGAGCCATTATCATGCCACTGCACATCAGCCTGGGTGACAGAATGAGACCCTGTCTCAAAAAAAAAAAAAAAAGTTACTGAAATGTTGATACCAAACCCAGACAGACAGTACAAGAGAGAAAAACTGTAGGCCAATCTTACTTAGAAACACAGATGCAAAAATTCTACATAAATTAGCAAATGTGATCCAAAAATGCATTTAAAAATAAAAATAAAAAGACAAGAATGCCGGCTGTCACCATTTCTCATCAGTACAACTCTAGAGGGTTTAGTCACTGCAGCAAGACAAAGGTATTATAAAGGTTGCAAAGACTGTCTTTATTTCCAGACAGTATCACTGTCTACATTACAACAAAAATAGACCCTTTGAATTATTAGAATAAATGAAAAGTACAGGTGCTCTTTGACATACAATGAAGTTAAATTCCAATAAACTCATCATAAAATCAAAAAATCTTAAATTGAACCATCATAAATTAGGGACAGTCTATACTGCTACAAGTAAGATGAAGGTACAAAATCAACTGTACAGCTATATCAGCAAAAGGCAGAAATTATAATTTTTAAAAAGGATATAATCAGCAATAGCAACACAAGTTATAAGGTACCTAGATATAAATCTAACAAAAGATATAAAATAATTTTTAGATGAAAATCATAAAACTTTATTGAAAGACATTAAAGAATAGTGGAGTAAGTGGAATTATATACTATGTTCATGGATAATAAAACTAAATAATGTAAAAATGCCCACTCTCAGGCTGGGCGCAGTGTCTCACGCCTGTAATCTCAGCACTTTGGGAGGATGAGGCAAGTGGATCACGAAGTCAGGAGTTCAAGACCAACCTGGCCAAGATGGTGAAACCCCGTCTCTACTAAAAATACAAAAAAATTAGCTGGGCTTGGTGGCAGGCACCTGTAATCTCAACTACTCCAGAGGCTGAGGCAGAGAATTGCTTGAACCTGGGAGGCGGAGGTTTCAGTGAGTCGAGATCATGCCACTGCACTACAGCCTGGGCGACACAGCAAGACTCCGTCTCCAAAAAAAAAAAAAAAAAAAAAAAAAAATGCCAACTCCCTAAATCCATAAATTTAATGCAAAAAATTTTAGTGTAATGTGATCAAAATTCCCAAGAAGGGTTTTCATGGTAATTAATAAGCTGATTATATTATTTCAGTAATTAAGACAGTATAGTGTGAATGCTGGAATTAATAGGATGGCAGGCCGGGCGCAGTGGCTCACACTTGTAATCCCAGCACTTTGGGAGGCCGAGGCAGCTGGATCACGAGGTCAGAAGGTGGAGACCAGCCTGGCCAACATGGGGAAACCCCATCTCTACTAAAAATACAAAAATTAGCCAGGTGTGGTGGTGCATGCCTGTAATCCCAGCTACTCAGGAGGCCGAGGCAGAAGAATCGCTTGAACCCAAGAGGCGGAGGTTGCAGAGAGCCAAGATCAGGCCATTGCACACGAGCCCGGGTGACAGAGCAAGACTCTGTCTCAAAAAAAAAAAAAAAAAATAGGATAGTGAACCTAGAAGTAGATCCACATACCCACAGAAACAAGATAAATGGCAAATGAGGCTCTTCAGATTAGTGAAGTACATACTGGACTATTCTGTAGTGCTAAGGAAAGTGTTATCCACGTGAATAAAATTAAATTCCTCACATAAATAATAATAGGTGGACTAAAGACTCAATTTGAAATGTAAAAGTTAAGTAAATTATTTATAAATATATTTAAAACTTTAAAGAAAATATAAAAGAATCTTTATGATCTTGGAGACGATATTGGATATTTTCTCAGACAAGTTAAAAATCACACTAATCATAAAGAAAAATTTGATAAATTTGTCTGTTAAAATGTACAGCTTCTTCCTTTCGCTGCCTGACTGCTGCCATCATGGGTTGCATGCATGCTCCCAGGAAGGGCCTGTCCTGGTTGGCTCTACCCTAACAGTGCAGCATCACCACTTGGCTGAAGTTGACATCTGATGAAATGAAGGAGATTTACAAACTGGCCAACAAGGCCTGACTCCTTCACAAACCGGTGTGATACAGAGAGACACATGGTGTTGCACAAGTACGTTTTGTGACAGGCAATAAAATCTTAAGAATTCTTAAGTCCAAAGGACTTGCTCCTGATCTCCCTGAAGATCTCTACCATTTAATTAAGAAAGCAGTTGCTGTTCAAAAGCATCTTGAGAGGAATAGAAAGGATAAGGATGCTAAATTCTGTCTGATTCTGATAGAGCGTCAGATTCACCATTTGGCTTGATATTATAAGACAAAGCGAGTCCTCCCTCCCAATTGGAAATATGAGTCATCTACAGCCTCTGTCCTGGTCGCATAAATTTGTCTATGTACTCACGCAATAAAATAATTGTTTAAATTTTAAAAAAATGTACAGATTCTATAAGCCCCAAAACACCATAAACAAAGTAAAAATACCAGCCACAGTCAGAAAGATATTTGCAGTCAGGCATTGTAGCTCACGCCTGTACTCCAGACACTTCGAGGTCCGTACAGGAGGAATGCAGGAGTTCAAGACCAGCCTGTGCAACATAGTAAGACCCTGTTTCTACAAATATTTTAAAATAAATAAATAAGACAAGATATTTGCAATACACAATCAGTACCTAGGATGTATAATCAACCATTTAGAAAAAGAAAAGTCAGGATCAAGCACGGTGGCTCACAACTGTAATCCCAGCACTTTGGGAGGCTGAGGCAGGCAGATAGCTTGAGCCCAGGAGTTTGAAACTGGCCTGGGCAACACAGTGGGAACCTGTCTCTACAAAAAAGTACAAAAATTAGCCAGACGTGGTGGCATATGTCTGTAGTCCCAGGTACTCAGGAGGCTGACATGGGAGGCTGAGGCTGCAGTGAGCCATGGTCACATCACTGCACTCCAGCCTGGACAACAGAGCAAGACCTTGTCTCAAAAAAAAAGAAGTGGGGGGCCAGGTGGCGTGGCTCTCACACCTGTAATCCCAGCACTTTGGGAGGCAAAAGTGGAAGGATCACTTGAGGATCGAGACCAGCCTGGGCAACACAGTGAGATCCTAACTCTACAAAAAATGTTTAAATTAGCCAGGCGTGGTGGTAAATGCCTGTAGCACCAGCTACTTGGAAAGCTGAGGGTAGAGGATCACTTGAGCCTAGGGCTTCAAGGCTGCAGTGAGCTATGATCGTGCCACTGAACTCCAGCCTGGGCAACAGAGTGAGACTGTCTCAAAAAAGTGTGTGTGTGTGTGTGTGTGTGTGTGTGTATATATATATATATATTCACACAAAAATTTGGACACAAATGTTTATAGCAGTCATAATAATCAAAAAGTAAAAACAATACAAATGTTCAACTGATGAATGGGTAAACAACATGTTGCATAACCATACAATAGATTATTATCCAATCATAAAAGGAATAAAATACCACATGGATGAATCTTGATAATAAACTAAGTGAAAGCAGCCAGACACAAAAGGCTCCATGTTGTATAACTGTATTCATATGAAATGTCCAGAATAGGCAAATCCATGGAGATAGATAGCAGATGGTTGTCAGGGTATGCGAGGAGGGGGAACAGGGTGTGACTACCTAACAAGTAGGTTTCTTTTTGGGGTGATGAAAATGTTCTGGAATAGTGATGATAGTTGTACAATGTAGTGCGTATCATAAAAACCACCAAATTGTATACTTGAAATGGTAAATTTTGTTACATGGATTATATCTCAATTTTTAAAAAAGGAATGAGCAATACAAACAACATGCAGATAAATGTTTTTAAACATTATGCTCATCAAAAGAAGCCAGACATGAGGCTGGGTACAGTGGCTCATGCCTGTAATCCCAGCACTTTGGGAGGCAGAGGCAGGAGAACTGCTCTAGCCCAGGAGGTTGAGGCTGTAGTGAGCCATGACTGCACCACTGCACTCCAGCCTAAGTGACACAGCGAGACCCTGTATCTCAAAAAAAAAAAAAAAAAAGAAAGAAAAAAGAAAAAAAGCAAAATATATTTCATATCTACCAGATTAGCAAAGTGTTAAAGTCTGACAACATGTAGAAATGGCAAGGATATTGAACAACAGGACTTCTATTCACTACTGTTAAGAATATAAATCAGTAGAACTACTCTGGAGAGCTATTTAGCAACATCGAGGAGAGATGTGCATACTTTTCAATACAGCAACTCCAATCCTAGGTAGATGCATTAAAGAAGGTCTCCTACATGTGCACTGAGACATGAACAAAACTATTCATTGCAGCACTACAGTAATAGCAAAATTTCTGTGAACAAAAGAACAAATAAATCAATTCCTACTACATTACAGTTAAAATGCAAGGGCTACAGCCATAGAAATCAAACGTGACATGAAGTTGAACTAAAAAGGCAAGCTCTGGACTCCATTGATTATACCATTATAAAAACAGTGTATGCAAAACAATGCTATATTTCGTGTACATAATCATATATTAAATGTATTTTTAAGTACATGGGAATAACATCAAAGTCAGGAGAGTGCCACTTTCTGTGGAAAATGAAGGGATTTCAATGGGAAAGAGGCACTCAGTAAACTTCGACTGCATTTTTTTTTTTTTTGAGACAAGGACTCACGCTGTTACCCAGGCTGGAGTGCACTGGCACGATCTCGGCTCACTGCAACCTCTCTCTCCTGGGTTCCAGCGATTCTCCACCTCAGCCTCCCCAGTAGCTGGGACTACAGGCATATGCCAACATACCCGGCTAATTTTTGTATTTTTTGGTAAAGACAGGGTTTCACCACGTTGCACAGGCTGGTCTCAAACTATTGGCCTCAGGTGATATACCCGCCTCGGCCTCCCAAAGTGCTGGGATTACAGGCTCAACGATATATCTATAGATCTATACATATATCGATATATCTAGATATCTATATATAGATATCTATGTAAATATATAATCTATAAATATATATATATAGATCTATCGATAGATATATATATATATTTTTTTTTTTTTTTTGAAACAGAGTCTCGCTCTGTTGCCCAGGCTGGAGTGCAGTGGCGCAATCTCGGCTCACTGCAAGCTCCGCCTCCCAGGTTCACGCTATTCTCCTGCCTCAGCCTCCCAAGTAGCTGGGACTACAGGCACCCGCCACCACGCCCGGCTAATCTATTTTTAGTAGAGACGGGGTTTCACCGTGTTAGCCCAGATGGTCTCCATCTCCTGACCTCATGATCCACCTGCCTCGGCCTCCCAAAGTGCTGAGATTACAGGTGTGAGCCACCGCGTCCGGCCCTCAACAATATTTTTAATGTTTTATTTCTTTAATTGGGTAGTGGGTAAACAGGTATTAATTGTGTTATCATCTATTGTTTTTTATATGCCTGAAAGACTTTATAATGACTTTTATGCATAATTTCCTCTTCTACCATTGTAAAGCATGTTTCTTTTTTTTTTGTTTGTTTTTTTGAGACAGTCTCACTCTGTCTCCCATGGTGGAGTTCAGTGGCCCGATCTCAGCTCACTGCAACCTCCGCCTCCCAGGTTCAAGGGATTCTCCTGCCTCAGCCTCCTGAGTAGCTGGGACTACAGGCACACACCACCATGCCTGACTAATTTTTGTATTTTTAGTAGAGATATGTTTTCACCATGTTGGCCAGGCTGGTCTCGAACTCCTGACCTCAAGTGATCTGCCTGCCTCAGCCTCCCAAAGTGCTGGGATTACAGGAGTAAGCCACCATAGCTGGCTGTAAAGCATGTGTTTCTTTTATTTCACAGATTGATTTGTTCTGCTTCTTAGGTTTTTGATAGATGTAGTCAAGAAAAACACATTTTGATTGGCATAAGGAATTCGGTTTTTAAATGCTTAAATTTTGCTTTATTTTCAACACTTATATTAGAAAAAAAAAATCTTCAAAGCATTTGCTGTAATGACTTAGCACCAACATTTAAATAAATTATTCAGGTTAGGCCAGGCGCGGTGGCTCACGCCTGTAATCCCACCACTTTGGGAAGCAGAGGCAGCTGGATCACTTGAGGCCAGGAGTTCGAGACCAGCCTGGCCAACATGGTGAAACCCCGTCTCTACTAAAAATACAAAAATTAGCTGGGTGTGGTGGTACACACCTGCAGTCCCAGCTACTTGGGAGGCTGAGGCAGGAGAATCGCTTGAACCCAGGAGGCAGAGGTTGCAGTGAGCCGAGATCACCCCTTGCTGACCATCCTTATCTTCTGACTCTTGGTGATGCTATTTTGACTTAGTGACCTAGAGCAGTGGGATCCCACAACCCTTGCTCTGGGCGACAGAGCAAGAGTTCATCTCGGAGAGAAAAAAAAACACTGTTCGGCCAGGCATGGTGGCTCATACCTGTAATCCCAGCACTTTGGGAGGCCAAGGTGGGCGGATCACCTGAGTTCAGGAGTTCGAGACCAGCCTGGCCAACGTGGTGAAACCCTGTCTCTACTAAAAATACAAAAATTAGCTGGGCATGGTGACGCATGCCTATAATCCCAGCTACTCGGGAGGCTGAGGCACGAGAATCGCTTGAACCCAGGAGGCGCAGGTTGCAGTGAGCCAAGATGGCACTACTGCACTCTAGCCTGGTGACAGAGCAAGACTCCATCTCAAAAGAAAAAATAAATATATTTTAAAAACGGTTATGAATCTAAATATTATGTTTTGATATACCTACCAACTCTCATTTTAAAAAATATATACTAATCTTTAACAGAAAATTTACATTGCTACTTCTTCTCATATATTTCTATTCTGCTTCTCCCACTTAATTTTGCCCTGATATATTTTTTAAACATTTGTCAAATTTTATCAAATCTTACACTTAAGTTTTATGCACTACATTGTAATTTTCACTTAAAATTTTTGTTGTAAAACAAAAAGAAAATTACATATGGACAAATTAAAGAGAACACATAAAGGGGAATTCTTTTGTTCTGATGAATCCTTTGAAAGCAATAGGTTTGGGAGGAGCCAGCCTGCCTTACTCCAGTGGCAGCTGACCCAATGTACACGACTTCTGCAAACTAATCATAATTAGACCAGGCTACACAAGGGCAAGGAAGCTACCTTATTTCCTGTCTTCTCATCATTGTGTCCTTAGCACACAGTACACAGGTGTTCAGTATATTTGCTGAACAAACTTCTATAACAAAGGTTTAAAAGGACCTACTGTAATATATTTTGATACTTGAAATTTTGTAAACACCCATTACCTTTCTCTGCAACAACAAAAAATAGGCTTACAATTTAACTGTTTAAAATTTCCTGTGCTACTGGGTGCAGTGTAGTCCCAGCTACTTGAGAGGCTGAGGCAGGAGGATAGCCTGAGCCAGGAATTTGGTGCTTCAGTGAGTTATGATCACACCACTGTACTCCAGCCTGAGTGACAGAACAAGCCTCTGTCTCTTTTTTTTTTTTTTTTTTTTGAGATAGAGTCTCGCTCTGTCGCCCAGGCTGGAGGAGTACAGTGGTGCGATCTTGGCTCACTGCAACCTCTTTCTCCCAGGTTCAAGTGATTCTCGTGCCTCAGCCTCCCGGATAGCTGGGATAAGAGGTGCACATCATTACACCTGGCTAATTCTTTTATTTTTTTGTAGACACGGGATTTCGCCATGTTGGCCAAGCTGGTCTCGAACTCCTGGCCTCAACTGATCTGCCCACCTCAGCCTCCCAAAGTTCTGTGATTACAGGCATGAGCTGCTGCGCCCGGTCTGAGACTCTGTCTCTTTAAAAAAAAAAAAAAAAAAATTCCTGTGACTGTAAATTGTGTCAAATTTTTTCATCAAGTTACCACTCCAAGTATTAATAGGATGCAATTGATCAAAACATGAATATTACAAAATTCAGTATAAAATTAATAAAATCGGGCCAAGCACAGTGGCTCAGCCTGTAATCCCAGCACTTAAGGAAGCCAAGGTGGGTGGATCACCTGAAGTCAGGAGTTTCTGAGACTAGCCTGACCAACATGGTGAAACCCCGTATCTACTAAAAATACAAAATTAGCCAGGAGTGGTGGCACATGCCTGTAATCCCAGCTACTCGGGAGGCTGAGGCAGGAGAATCACTTGAACCCGGGAGACAGAGGTTGCAGTGAGCCAAGATCGTGCCATTGCACCCCAGCCTGGGCAACAAGAGTGAACTCCGTCTCATATAATAATAATAATTAATAAAACATTAAAATTCTATTGAAACTTTTTAAATAAAGTAAGTACAGTTTTTTAAAATTTTTTCAATTATTCATGTCTCTTTATCTGTTACAAATTTTACAACCAGGCCGGGCGCAGTGACTCAAACCTGTTATCCCAGCACTTTGGGAAGCCGAGGTGGGAGGATTGCTTGAACTCAGGAGTTCGAGACCAGCCTGGGCAACATAGAGAAACCCAGTCTCTACAAAAAAAAAATACAAAAAATTAGCCAGGTACAGTGGCACAGGCCTGGAATCTCAGCTACTTGAGAGGCTGAAGTGGGAGGATTGCCTGAGCCCAGGAGGTTAAGGCTGCAGTGGGCTGAGATCATGCCACTGTAATCCAGCCTGGACAACAGAGTGAGATCCTTCTCAATAAAAATTTAAAAAAAAAAAAATTTTTGAGACAGAATCTTGCTCTGTCACCCCAGCTGGAGTGCAGTGGCACGATCTCAGCTCACTGCAACCTCTACCTCCCGGGTTCAAGAGATTCTCATGCCTAAGCCTCCCAAGTAGCTGGGGTTATAGGCGCACACCACCATGCCTGGCTAATGTTTTTTGTATTTTTAGTAGAGACGGGGTTTCACCATGTTGGCCAGGCTGGTCTCGAACTCCTGGCCTCAAGTGATCTGCCAGCCTCAGCCTCCCAAAGTGCTGGGATTACAGGTGTGAGCCACCATGCCCGGACAAAATAAAACATTTGTAAAAAGCAAAGAACTGATAATCATATAACTTTGCAAAAGAATTTGTTGCCCATGATTAGAGTCATTCACTTTCTCACTTCTTCAAAAGTACTGCTTAAGGCCGGGCGTGGTGGCTCACACCTGTAATCCCAGCACTTTGGGAGGCTGAGACGGCGAGATCACGAGGTCCGGAGATCGAGACCATCCTGGCTAACACGGTGAAACCCCGTCTCTACTAAAAAATATAAAAAAAAAAAATTAGCCGGGCGTGGTGGCAGGCACCTGTAGTCCCAGCTGCTCAGGAGGCTGAGGCAGGAGAATGGTGTGAACCCGGGAGGCGGAGGTTGCAGGGAGCTGAGATTACGCCACTGCACTCCAGCCTGAGCGACAGAGCAAGACTCTGTTTCAAAAAAAAAAAAGAAAAAAAAAAGTACTGATTAAAAAAAAATACTTAGATCAAAAGGTTTCCAGTGACTGCTAAATACACTAGTTACTCTTATGCTTAAAGGCAGAAAGGGACGATACATTAAAATATTTCAAGACAAATTTTTCAATACTATATATATGTGTGTGTATATACATATATATACACACACATATATATACACACACACACACACACACACACACACACACACATATATTTTTTTTTTTTTTTTTTGAGACGGAGTCTTGCTCTGTCGCCCAGGCTGGAGTGCAGTGGCGCAATCTCGGCTCACTGCAACCTCCACCTCCCGGGTTCACGCCGTTCTCCTGCCCCAGCCTCCCAAGTAGCTGGTCAATACAAAATTTTTATTAGATATTTGTGTCGGGGTCGGACATGGTGGCTCAGACCTGCAATCCTAGCACTTTGGGAGGCCGAGGTGGGTGGATCACCTGAGGTCAGGAGTTCGAGACTAGCCTGGCCAGCATAGCGAAAATCCGTCTCTATTAAAAATATAAAAATTAGCCAAGCATGGTAGTGCATGTCTGTAATCCCAGCTACTAGGGAGGCTGAGGCCAGAGAATCGTTTGAACCCAGGAGACAGAAGTTGCAGTGAGCCAAGATCGTGCCACTGCACTCCAGCCTGGGTGACAAAGCAAGACCCCGTCTCAAAAAATATATATATATTTTTTTGAGTCACCTCTTTCACGGGCATCCCACAGGGTTTTATACCCTGACACAACGCACCTTAGTAAGGTTCTGGATGAGTGAGAGGAGTGTTTTTCGTTTGTAAAGTGGGAGTTGGAATTGTGAAAGGAGAGCCTGGAGCCTTTACCACAGGCACGTTCTCAGGCCTACTTGTTATAGGTGTCCACATTGAAGTTGAGGACTTGGAAACTGGTTGCCTTTAAAACCATGGTTCTCAAACTTTTGCGGCTCAGGACCCCTTTACACTCAACTCCTGAGGATCTAAAGGAGCTTTTGTTTTATGTAAATTACATCTATCTATATTTATCATATTATATATTAAACTAGAATTTTTTTTGAGATAGGGTCTCACTATGTTGCCCAGGTTGGAGTGCAATGGCACCTTCATGGCTCACTGCAGCCCCGACCTCCTGGGCTCAAGCAATTCTCCCACTTCAGCCTCCTGAGTAGCTGGGAGTAGTGCACGTCACCATGCCTAGCTAATTTTCTTAATTTGTAGAGAAGAGGTCTCATGATATTGCCCAGGCTGGTCTTGAACTCCTGGGCTCAAGTGATCCTCCCACCTAGGCCTCCCAAAGTGCTAGGATTACAGGTCTGAGTCACCACACCTGGCCTGTCAAAGACATTCTTAGGTAAAGCTTAAAAAAAAAAAATTGAGTACATGGTAGTGGAGGATATAAAAACTAACACAGTTTGGTGTCACTCAAATGACATAACCTCAGAAGCCCTTCTGGGACACCCCAGGCTGTGTTAGTTCTGTCCCCCACCTGCACTGCCTTCCACAGCGGCACCATCTCACCTTCTCTCATAGATGGCTCTATGGCTACTTGAGGGCAAGGGTCCCGTCTTGGTTATGCCTCAAGAGTTACTGGGTAATATTAACACATATAACTCACTTCCTTTCTTAAAGTGTGCATCCCAGTTTATTTCATATAAAATCATAAACTTTTAATACATTACTAAAACAGCTGTCCCTGATTTAATACAGGTTGAGTATCTCTTCTAATATGGTTGGGACTAGAAGTATTTCAGAGTTTGAATTTTTTTTTTTTTTTTTTGGATTTTGGAGTATTTGCATAATACCACTTGAGTATCCCAAATTCGAAATCCAAAATACTCCAATGAGCATTTCCTTTGAGCATCATGTCAGCACTAAAAAAGTTTCAGATTTTGGCACGTTTTGGATTTTCAGATTTGGGACGCTCAATCTGTAGCACCTATCTCCTGAATCCCAGTTTTGATCACACATTGCCTCCCCAGCCACCAGATTTACGAAGTCAGACTCAAGAATAGCTAAACTTTCTTTCTCTAGGATAGATACAAAGAATAAAGCACTTACTAGAACCCAGAAGTAACTTGCCATCTCACAATCAGCTCCAAGTAGTGAATCCTGGTATTTTCCAAGGTGGAGCTCAAGCATGAATATCGTCATATAAAAGTGGAATAGCCAGGCTTAGTCACTCACACCTATAATCCCAACACTTTGGGAGGCCAAGGTGGGCAAATCCCTTGAGCTAGGGAGTTTGAGACCAGTTCTGGGCAACTGAGCAAAACCCCATCTCTACAAAAATTCAACAAAATTAGCTGGGCATGGTGGTGCATGCTTGTAGTCCCAGCCACTTGGGGGGCTGAGGCAGGAGGGTCGCTTGAGCTCAGTAGGTCGAGGCTGCAGTGAGCCAAGATAGCACCACTGCACTTCAGTCTGGGTGACAAAATAAGACCCTGTCTCAAAAAAAAAAAAAAAGAAAGAAAAATAAAGAAAAAAAGAGTGGCATAAATGAGGCTTAAGCATCTCTGAAATTAACACAAATCAGGCAGGCGGGGTGACTCACGCCTGTAATCCCAGCACTTTGGGAGGCCAAGGCGGGCAAATCACTTGAGGCCAGGAGTTCAAGACCTGCCTGGGCAACATGGTGAAACCCTGTCTCTACTAAAAATAACAAAAATTAGCCAGGCGTGTTGGTACATGTCTGTAACCCCACCTACTCAGGAGGCTGAGGCACAAGAATTGCTTGAACCCAGGAGGTGGAGGTTGCAGTGAGCTGAGATTGCATGCACCATTGCACTCCAGCCTGGGTGACAGAGCAAGACTCTGTCTCAAATTAGAAAACAAAAACAAACAAACAAAAACACACACAGATAGTACTTAACTTCTAAATACTTGATATCCCACACCAACCATAAAAGCCCCTGTTCTACCAGAACTATCATGATTCAATAAGTTCTAATTATTGTTTAGTACTTTGGGGAAATAGAACACTCTGTAAGTCAGGGTGGTCCTCAGTTGGATCCAAGGGCGCTTAGCATGGCTGGTTAGAAGACTAGAATCAGGCATCACTTCCTGATCCTGGAAGCCACCAAATATCACAGGTACTCTCATTATCCCCATCTTACAGACAAGCAAACTCAGCCTTAGGGAAAGAACGTGCCTGAGGTCCTGTAGCTAGACACTGGTAAAGTGTTAAGTCCAGGCCTGGGTGGCACCACCATTCTAAATCAGGGGTTGGCAAATGTTTCCTATAAAGGGCCAGATAGTAAATATTTTAGGCTTTTCAGGCCATACAGTTTCTATTGCAACTACCCACCTCTGCCAAAGTAGTAGGAAAGCTGCCATAAACAATATGTAAAAGAATGAGTGTGGCTGTGTTCCAATAAAACTTTATTTATGGACACTAAAATGTGAATGTCATGTAGTGTTCACGAGTCACAAAATATTCTTCTTTCAATTTTTTTTCAACATTTACAAAATGTAAAAACCATAACTACTCATAAGGCTGAGATAGGAAGAGCCTTTCAGCTCGAGTTCAAGACCAGCCTAGGCAGCATATTGAAACCCCATCTTAAAAAAAAAAAAAAAAAAAAAGTAAAATCCTTTTTTTTTCTTTGAGATGGAGTCTTGCTCTGTTGCCCAGGCTAGAGTGCAGTGGCGTGATCTTGGCTCACTGCAACCTCCACCTGGGTTCAAGCAATTTTTGTGCCTCAGTCTCCCTAGTAGCTGGGATTACAGGCATGCACCATCACACCTGGCTAATTTTTCTATTTTTAGTAGAGACAGGGTTTCGCCATGTTGGCCAAGCTGGTCTCGAACTCCTGACCTCAGGTGAT
The DNA here is from genome assembly GCF_000001405.40 of Homo sapiens. Taxonomy (NCBI): domain Eukaryota; kingdom Metazoa; phylum Chordata; class Mammalia; order Primates; family Hominidae; genus Homo; species Homo sapiens. Next base: position 42,481,022 of record NC_000002.12, read on the forward strand.
TTGCCCGCCTCACCCTCCCAAAGTGCTGGGATTTCAGGCATGAGCCACTGCGCCTGGCCAAAATCCATTCTTACTTAGTTCAGGGGCTACACAAAAACCAGGCAGTGGGCCTGAGTTCGTCTGCGGGTTATAGTCTGCCCACCCCAGCTCCAGACTCCCATTGGTCCTGCAACAAAGTGTGTGGGGGATGAGTAGAGACCCTTGTCATACCATGAGGCCAGAGGCTCACTTGGCTGATTATAAGAATATCTTTACCCAGAAAAAGGGAAACCCTGACACCACAGCCTGGATCAACAGGACCTTTAGCTGCCTGAACCCAGGACTCAAGGAAGTCCTTGACCATCCAGGAGAAACCAAATACCAGTACCAAAGGCTTCTGTGAGCTAGCCAAGAAACCCACCCTGCATCTCTTACTGAGGTTCTAACTGGCTTCACTGGCTCCACCCTTGCAGGACCCTGGAGTCTATACTCCACATGCAGACCAAAGCGACCTTTTAAAATTAAGCCAAATTCTCTATTCTCCTCAAAACCCACATTCAGATATAAATCCAAAATCCTTAACAAATGGTAAAAAGAAAACAATCAAACCTAAATCCTTTTAGTTGGTGCATCTATAAGGCGCTTCCTGGGCTACACGTCCCCTGCCTTCCCCCGCATTCCCCACCACTCTCACCTCTCTCGGTTTCCTTCCTGTTGCTCCAATTGACCAAAGACATATCCGCCTCAGGGATTGGTTTGTGCTTCCTCTTCTCTATGCTTAAAACTCTTTCACCCAGCTATCTTCCCAGGTGCCTCCTGCATCCCTCCAGGACCCTATTCAGGCATCACCTATCACAGAGGCCTGTACTAATCATGGCGCACACTTACACTCTGCACACCCCTTATTCTGACTTATTACTTCATAACACTTATCGCCCTCTGGGTTTTTCTTGTTGTTGTTTTTCTCTAATCCCATGAAAGATAACTTACATTGTGTTTTTTCTTTTGAGATGGGATCTCACTATGTTGCCCAGGCTGGCTTCAAACTCCTGGGCTCAAACAAACTGCCTGCCTCAGCCTCCCAAACAGCTGGGACTACAGTGTTATGTATTTATTTAATAGAATAGGTGGTCATTGAAAGCAAGGACTTTGTTTTATTCACTGCTATATCCCCAACACCTAAAACAGTCCTAAATACATAGTCGGTGCTCAATAAATGTTTGTTGAATTTAACGAATACATGAATGGGGAGCCATAAAACCAACTTGCAATTGATTTTTAAAAATATAACCTACAGATCGGGCATAGTGGCTCATGCCTATAATCCCAACACTTTGGGAGGCCAAGGCAGGAGAATTGCTTGAGGCCAGAAGTTCAAGACCAGAATGGAAACACAGAGAGACTCTGTCTCTACAAAAAATTTAAAAATTAGCCAGGCAGTAGGCCAGACGCAGTGGCTCACACCTGTAATCCCAGCACTTTGGGAGGCCAAGGTGGGTGGATCACAAGGTCAGGAGTTCAAGACCAGCCTAGCCAACACGGTGAAACTCCGTCTCTACTAAAAATACAAAAATTAGCCGGGCCTGGGCATGGTGGCACACCCCTGTAATCCCAGCTACTCAGGGGGCTGAGGCACAAGAATCGCTTGAACCCGGGAGGCTGAGGTTGCAGTGAGCTGAGATTGCACCACTGCACTCCAGCCTGGCAAACAGAGCAAGACTCCACCTCAAAACAAAAACAAAAACACTCTAGATGGTGACGGTTGCACAATCTTGTAAATATCCCAAAAACCACTGCATTTTATGGTATGTGAATTATATCTCAATAAAGCTATTCTAGGCCAGGCACAGTGGCTCATGCCTATAATCCCAACACTTTGGGAGACCGAGATACATGGATCACTCAAGTCCAGGAGTTCAAGACCAGCCCGGACAATATAGCAAGATCCCATCTCTACAAAAAATATAAAAATTAGCCAGGCACGGTGGTGTGTGCCTGTAGTCCCAGCTACTTGGGAGGCTACAGTGGGAGGATCGCCAGAGCCAGGGAGGCAGAGGTTGCAGTGAAAGGAGACTGTACCACTGCAATCCAGCCTGGGTGACAGATCAAGACCCTGTCTCAAAAAAATAAAAATAAAAAAACAGCTGTTCTATTTTTTTAATTACGTTGTTTCCAGATGTTTGCTATTAAATGTGCTATTAAATGTGTTATTAATATAGGATCCTATTCATTACTAACTGCATATGATGATGGTTATCATCAATAAAGAATAGTTCTGACTTGCATATTTTAGACGGAAATTTAGCAGTATCTATCAAAAAATGTTTAAAGCACAATCCTTTTAACTCAGCTATTTTCCACTTTGGAATTTAGCCTAAATATATACTCACACCAATTTGCAAGGATATGTGGAAATGATCGTGTTCTGTGCCACTGTTTGCACTTTTGAAAAACTAGTATCAAACTAAGCATTTCTCAGCAGAGTAGAGTGGGAGCATGGGAATCAGAGCCCAGGGCGCCACTGACCCACTGTGTGAGTCTGGACATATTGGATAAAGTACCTAAATCTCAGGCATAAAACTGGGTAACAGCACTACTTCATAGGACTGTAATGAGACTTAGACGACAAAACACATGTCAGTATTCAATAAATATTAACTGTTACAATCATTACTATTATCATCAGATGAGACATTTATTAAATGAATTATGGCACATCCATGCAGTGGAATGCTATACAAATATTTAAAGAATGGGGGAGATTTATAAGAACTAATATGAAAAGAGTTTCTTTTCTTTCTTTCTTTTCGAGACAGGGTCTTGCTCTGTCACCCAAGCTGGAGTGCAGTGCCACAATCACGGCTCATTGCAGCCTCTAACTTCTAGGTTCAAGTGATCCTCCTACCTCAGACTCCTGAGTACCTGGGATTACAGGAGCACGTCACCACACCCGGCTAAATTTTGTAGAGACGGGATTTCGCCATGTTGCCCAGGCTGGTCTCGAACTCCTGAGCTCAAGCGATCCTCTCGCCTCAGGCCTCCTAAAGTGCTAGGACTACAGGCCTAAGCCCCTGCTCCTGGCATGAAAAGAGTTTCAAAATGTATCATTAAGTAAAAAAGGCCAATTGCTGAACAAGATCATAGAACAATCCCAATTATGTATTTAAAAGAGAAAATCTGACCGGGTGCTGTGGCTCACACCTGTAATCCTAGCATTTTGGGAGGCCGAGGAGGGTGGATCACCTGAGGTCAGGAGTTCGAGACCAGCCTGGCCAACATGGTGAAACTCCATCTCTATTAAAAATACAAAAATTAGCTGGACATGGTGGTGCACACCTGTAGTCCCAGCTACTCGGGGGGCTGAGGCAGGAGAATTGCTTGAACCAGGGAGGCGGAGATTGCAGTGAGCCGAGATCGTGCCACTGCACTCCAGCCTGGCAACAGAGCGAGACTCCGTCTGAAGAAAAAATAAATAAATAAATAATAAAAGAGAAAATCTGTATGTGTGTATATATATGTAATTGTATACACTTGCATGTATGTGTTTGTGTGTGTGTGTACACGCACATGTGTATATATGTTCATATGTGCATGGAAAGTTTCTCGAAGAATACCCAGAAACTGGGTGGTGGGATTGAAGAGATAGGGCAAGTTAACTTTTCACATTTTAACACTTTTTTTCCGATGAAGAAAGTTCTAATTTTACAAATATAAAAAGAATAATGTTGAAAATAACTTGCTTACCAAAAGGTAGGGAAAAAAGAAGCACTCTGGTTACAGAAAGGGCATTGACAAAAGAAAGTTTCCACTGAATTCTAAAATTGGCAGCAGCCTGTACACATTAAAAGAAACAGTCTACTGTGAAAGAACAGAATTTAACTGAGGTTCTGGGTTATGTACAATCCTATCAGAGATCTAGTAATTACTGACTTCTGAAAATATCCACCTTATCTGCACAGTAAAAGCACTAAGACTTTCATCTTCAGTTTCAAATACTGCTTTTTATTTTTAAAGTACTTAAAACCTATTGGATTTATGCAGTATTGAACTGAAAGGCAATCGAAATAATATAATTGAAATTTAAATTTCCATCACCTGGTGTTTCATTTTGATCATTTAATTTTTTTAATTGAGGATTAAAATAACACAAGAAATTTTAACATTTTAAAAATCTCAAATTCTCACCACCACAACACAAAGCAATACCAATTAAAGATCAAAATTCCAACATGAAGCAACTTTTAGAAAAAAATTTCTAAAGAGCAGATCAAAATTATAGCAAGACTTTGCCTGCTAAAGAGATTTAAAACTCAAACAAGAACACTTAAGCTGAGATTGACTAAGGGGACAAAGTCTATAGGCAAAAGGGACCAAAAAACAAAAGGGGACACTACTTTATGTCTGACCTTTCAGAAGTCACAACTTCTCAAATGCTGCCAGCAAAGAGCATTTTTTTTTTTTTAAGACGGAGTCTCACTCTGTCACCCAGGCTGGAGTGCAGTAGTGTTATCTCGGCTCACCGCAAGCTCTGCCTCCTGGGTTCACGCCATTCTCCCACCTCAGCCTCCCGAGTAGCTCGGACTACAGGCGCCCGCCACCATGCCTAGCTAATTTTGTTTTTGTATTTTTAGCAGAGACGGGGTCTCACCGTGTTAGCCAGGATGGTCTCGATCTCCTGACCTCGTGATCCACCCGCCTCGGCCTCCCAAAGTGCTGGGATTACAGGCATGAGCCACCGTGCCCGGCAAATGCTTAGTCATTTTAAAAAACAACTTGTCTATATGTTAAAATGAGAAACAGAACATTAATCTCCTTGGAAGTGTCAGAATAATACTCAGATGTTACTAGAAGGCAAACTGCCTGAAAAATCTAGTTTATCTTAATAATCAGATAAAACATTAAGAACATCACCATTCTAAGATTAATTCATTACTAGAACTGTTTATCAAGGGAGATTGTGAATGTGCTCACTATTATCTTTAACAGGTGAGACAGTCCTCTCAATGAGGACTAAACTCAGTTGTAAAGTAAGGAAAGACATCTATGATCCTTCTCCCACCAACATGCTGGAGATCCCTCTTCCAGAGTCTGCTCCCCACAATATCCCCAAATGGGAAGCAGATCCTGTAGAAAAAGAACTGGATTCAGGCTTACTGTGTGTGAGCCAAAGTAGTCAAGCGAGAGGGTCCCCAGTGCCTGTGGGCCCTAGCACAGCTTCACACAATAAATATCTCATACACTCTCCTAGTCCTGGTAGGTGAGCTGTCATTAATGACATAATAACACCCACATAATTCACCTGAATCCAGTCACGTCTCACCGTCTCCACTGCTATTCCCTAAGATCAAGGTCCATATGCTCTCAGCTGCCAGGTCTCTCCACATCTGCTGTTGACCCTCCCTTCATTCTCTACCCAGTGGTGTTTTTAAAACACATATCATAGCTTTCATCTGCTTAAAACCTTCCAAAGACCTCCCTGTCACATTTGGAAGAAAATCCAAACTCCTTCCCATGGCACACAGGCCCTGCCTGATAGGTCCCATTGCCCTCCAACCTCATCTACCCTTGGACAAAACTATAGCCCACATGGGCCTTCCTTCTGTCCTGTAGACAAGCCCAGCCCATTGCCATCTCAGTGGCATCTTTGCATTAGCTGCTCCCTCTACCCAGAACACTCTTCTCACTCAACTCACGTCACCTTTCACAATCTGAAATGATTTGCTTACTGTGCTGTCTGCTTCTATCACCACTAACTGCCCAGCTCCATGACAGCAGGAACCCTTTGTAGGAACCTCTGTGCCCATACTGTCTGGCACAGCGCCTGGCACAATCACAGGAGCTCAAGAGTTGATGAATGGTTAGAATTCACAATTATTGGTCTGGCACGGTGGCTCACTCCCGTAATCCCAGCACTTTGGGAGGCAGAGGCAGGTGGATCACAAGGTCAGGAGTTTGAGACCAGCCTGGCCAATATGGTTAAACCCCATCTCTACTAAAAATACAAAAATTAGCCGGGCATGGTGGCGGATACCTGTAATCCCAGCTAGTTGGGAGGCTGAGACAGAAGAATCGCTTGAACCCAGGAGGCAGAGGTTGCAGTGAGCTGAGATCGTGCCACTGCACTCCAGCCTGGGTGACAGAGCAAGACTCTGTCTCAAAAAAAAAAAAAAAAAAGAATTCACAATTTTTTTTAATCATTATGCATTTTTGCTCAACAAATAGATAGTGAAAGTGCAGCTACTATGTTTTAGGCAATTGTAGTTGTCTTTTAATGGGGTCCTAAATTAGAAAACAAAGTATTTGCAACTAATATCATAAAAAGAGCTAATTTCTTTTTTTTTTCTTTCTTTTTTTTTTTTTTTGAGATGGAGTCTTGCTCTGTCACTCAGGCTGGAATGCAGTGGCGTGAGCTCAGCTCACTGCAACCTTAATATTATTTTTAATCTTCAAACTAAGAAAGTCATTGACAAAACCAGAAAAAGGTATAAATATCTCATTTTTAAAAGCAAGATGAATGACTCCTCAATATATGTAAAGATGCAAAATCTTGCTCAAAATAAAACAAAACTACTGGATACCATTTTTCACTTTTCAGCATAGTAAAGATCAAATACTTTGCAGAGTATGCAGAAACACGCTCTCTCCTATATTGCTGGTGGAAGCATAAATTGATACAGTACAATCTTTTTGGAGAGTAGTTTGGAATTATCTGTGAAAATTACAAGTGCATATCTCCTTTGACCCAATGATTTAACTCTCAGGAATGTATCCTATGGATATACCTGCATAAAAGAAGTAAAATATATATGAACAGGATAATCACTGCAGCGTTTACTACAGACAAGAAACGACATAAATGTATAGTGACTATGGGCCATCTCTACAGTAGAATACTACGAAGCTGCAGAATCAGGGAGCTCTTGGACTCACATGGAATGATCTACATGACACACTGTTAGTTAAAAAGCAAGTTTCAGGACTGTGTATTACACTGTATTTCTGGCTTTTGTAAATATATATAATGTACTTACAAATATATAAAATGTCTCTGAAATGACAAACCAAAAACTAGTAACTTTGGTTACATCTAGGGAAAAGAACTGAATGGCTGGAAGAATGGAGAAAGGCTTAGTTTTGTAGCTTTTAGATTTTGAACCGTTTTTATATGATTATTAACCATCTAAAACAAATCAATTTAAAAGGATTATCCTCATACATAAAAAGTTCTAAAATATTGCTTTGGAAGACCTAAGATTTCTTCCAAACTTTAGATTGTGCACTGTGCCAAAATTTCGGAGGTTCATAAAAGTAAACCATACTCTTATCTTTATTCCTTTCGTACCATTAAGTACTTGATAAATAATTGTTCCTTGATTTTTTTGTTGTTTTGTTTTGAGACAGGGTCTCCCTGCTGCCTAGGCTGGAGTGCAGTTGCTGAATCATAGTTCACTGCAGCCTTCAACTCCTGGGCTCAGGTGATCCTCCCACCTCAGCCTCTGGAGTAGCTGGGACAACAGGCTGTTTCCTGATAGACCTTATTCATTTTCTTTTCTTTTTTTTTTTTTTTGAGACTCAGTCTCACTTTATCGCCCAGGCTGGAGTGCAGTAGCGTGATATCGGCTTACTGCAACCTCCGCCTCCCAGGTTCAAGTGATTCTCCTGCCTCAGCCTCCTGAGTAGCTGGGATTGCAGTCACCCACCACCACGCTCAGCTAATTTTTGTATTTTTAGTAGAGACGGGGTTTCACCATGTTGGTCTGGCTGGTCTCGAACTCCTGACCTCAGGTGATCCGCCTGCCTCGGCCTCCCAAAGTGCTGGAATTACAGGCGTGAGCCACCACGCCTGGCCCCAAACAGCATTTTAAATTATACAATAGAAGATATAGTTCTGGAAGGTTATATTTTGAAATGTTATATAAACAATAGATATTTATGGTGCCTGAATAGCAATTTTTGCGGTAGTGGAGAAATGACAACTCTGGCAAGTACTAAGAATTATTTCCTAGTATTTCAGCTGGGCACAGTGGCTCACACCTGTAATCCCAATACTTTGGGAGGCCAAGGTGGTAGGATTGCTTGAAGCCAGGAGTTCACAACAGGCCTGGGCAACATAGTAAGACCCCATATCGAACTCCTGACCTTGTGATCTGCCCACCTCGGCCTCCCAAAGTGCTGGGATTACAGGCGTGAGCCACCACGCCTGGCCTGTGAGACCCCATGTCTACAAAAAATGTTCTTAATTCACTGGGCGTGGTAGCTCATGCCTGTGGTCCCAGCTACTCCACAGGCTGAGGTGGGAAAATCACCTGACTCCAGGAGTTCCAGGCTGCAGTGGGCTTGATCGCACCACTGCACTCCGGCCTGGGTGACAGAGTGAGATCTCTTCTCAATCAATCAACAAAAATACAAAATAAAAGATGTTTTAATAACAAATAGTATAAGAGAATTTACCTGCCTTCTAGGACTTTTTATCTAATCCAACTTAGGAGCCAGGATATGTTTATATGAAAATATAACCATCACGCTAAGAAGGATATCATAGATGCCAAATAAATAGTACAAATAAGCAATTCCTTAAGGAGTTCAGGAGGAAACATCACATCCACTAGGGTGATCAGTAAATGCTTCAAGAGAGGAATAGAATCTGAATTGGGCTTGATGAATAATCCAATTTCAGCAGGCTAGGCATTGCACAGTAAGGGACATTTGAGTGGCTCAGGAAGAAGTAAGCAGGCCAGGCTGGACAAATGAAGACTGCAAGTGGCAGAGGATACTGTTAACTCCTGGAAAGTCCACTTCATCAGTCCCTGATGCCTGTGCCCTTCCAATGCCCTGGATTAATTTTGACTCTTCCTGGTATTTTCCAGAGTTGTCATTTCTCCTCCATTTCTCCACCACCACAAAGCCATCCAAGCTCTCATCCCCTCCCTCTGGGAAGATCTCCAACTCATCTTCCTGTGTACAATCTTCCCTCTCTCCAAATCACAGAACACATGTACCACATGTACTACTTTATATGCATAACCCATTTACCCTAAACACAAAACTGGCTAATGGCTAGCCACTGCCTGCAAAATAAAATTATTCTCCCTGGAATTCAAGGCCTTCTGTCATCTGCTCTCTATCCACCTCTCACTCCATCACTGGACTCACGCTTCCATAAACTTCATATACAAGTTTCTTGCCCACGATGTTCCTTTTATCTTAAAAAATCTCTTTTATTTTGTTCCCAGGCAGGGCACATATGGTTGTACAGGTTGCATTAACTAGAATTTATATAAATGACACTCCCTGGCCAGGCGCGGTGGCTCACGCCTGTAGTCCTAGCACTTTGGAAGGCCGACACGGGTGGATCACCTGAGGTCAGGAGTTCGAGACCAGTCTGACCAACATGGAGAAACCCCATCTCTACTAAAAATGCAAAAAATAAAATAAAATAAAATAAATGACACTCCCTGCTAGTTTGGGCAGTGCACAACCTCTGCAACCTTCCAACCATGGTTTGTTTCCATCCTCCACCACCCTGAAGGCCTTCTCTGAACAACGGAACTCTCAGAGATCAATTGTGCCTCTGATTCCTACACCACCAACTTGACACCAACTTTTCTTTACAACAGAAAGTTACAATATTTGGAACACCAGCAGTGCCTTGAACATAACAGATATTCAAAAGATGTTTGCAAACTATGATGGAGTAAGTCAAGATCGGCAGGTTGTCATCAAACTGTAAAGAGCCTTGAAGGCCAAGAAAGAAGTTTTGGCTTTATTTGGCAGATGCAAAATATGGTCAAATAATGAGAATGATGTTTTAGAAAGACTAATTTCAGCAACCACAAGCAAGCAGGGTTTTAACGACTATACTTAAAGTGACAGGTTAAGGGCCCTCTCTGTTGAAGGGCAGAGGGGAGCTTCCTCTGTAATGAGCAGCATCCTCATTCGGCCATCCTGCAGTTTATCTGTTTGGGATTGCAGATATTGGTTTTCATATACCTACACTCAGACAGTGAAGCTAAAACTGGGCCATTAAGCTAAGAAAAACATGCTTTTGCCTGAAATATCTAAGTATCTAGGAAACAGCTCTGACTTGAATAATTATACACATACATAAAATACATATACACAAATAAGCATTACTTTTCTCCCTTCACTTCTTTTGCAGTCTCCCTCTTTTCCATCTCTGTCTTCCCTTTTTTGTTTCTTGTGTTTCTCTCCCTAAAATTACTATGCATTTCTCTCATTTCTTTACAAATGCTTTACATTAATGATCTCCATATGGCCCTTTCCCTCTCCCAAAACACCCTCCCTCCCCCTAAGATTATATTTGAGGTATTTTACTGGTTTTGCTCATATACTGGTTCAGTCAACTCCCTCATTATCTGCACTAATAATAATTCAATTCTCCTGTTTCCTTTGCTAATGTAGCTCAAACCTTCACTAACCTTAGAATTCTACAGTTACTGGAGAATCAAAATTCCAAGTCCATTTTCCTAAAGCCCTCCTTAAAAAAAAAAGGCATTTATGTATTTAGGTAAATAAATTAATTTCATTGTATTGTTGGAGAACCAAATAAGTAACTCTTATCTGTAAATTCAAAACTGTTAGAACCTAATTCACTAAACAAAATGAGTTTCCTAATGAATTTCCTTTCAAAGCATGTATCTTCGATTTCAAGCCAAGAAGAAATAATAGACTCCGTGGCACTAGACAATTTTATTTACTTCTTAGATTTATATAAAAATCCTTACTCCCTACAGGAAGAATATTATGTAGAAGTAATCCACTGCAATAGCAAGGCCGCCGTTCCGAACATGTACATGCCTATCAGTAAAACATGACAGGGCACAACCTTAAATTTAAAAAATGAATGGAAGGAGGATCTTAAGACAGTGTCAAACAGATAAACTATAATATGCAGTTTGGGTTTTGTGCCCCAAAAGGCTGTCTTCTTTGAAAGTCCATCCTTAGTCTGCTTATTCCTCCCACTGAATATGCTCACTTGTACTAAAAACAGGAAAGTGCTATCACCACTTCAAGGTAAGACAGTCTAAGAAAAGACTGCAATATTTTCCCATTCATCCTAGTAAAGTAGAAAAAAAAATTTACCCAAATACTGTTTTCTGGATTTAGGACAGTTTAGATTTTTCTTTGTTCTCAAGGTAATGGTTTTTTCCCTTCCCATATCATAGACCCTCTGAAAGTCGCAGTGTGAATCTTTGCTACCAAACGGTGGACAAGAGGTTTGCTAACTCCATACTTTGTAGGAAAAGGGGGAAGAAAAGGGCACAGACATCCATTATTTAGAGTCTATCGATAAATTAACCTGCTTTATAATATAACGATTCCATTACAGCACATAGTATGCCGGGGGCAGAGTGTATAGAATGTGTGGAGAGTGCACATTTCACCATAACAAGAATCCATCTTTCCAAACACTACCAAAAATTGGCAAATAATTCAAACTGCGCTTAGTTCAAGGCTTAATTGTTGAACCCTAACAATAAAAGTTCAGAAAAATGTAATTAGCAGGTTGCTCTCTGCGCAAAAGTAAACTACAAAGAGGGGACATTTGTCTATCTCTACACGCCCCTCCCCATGCCTGAGGATTTCGCCCTCAAGAGGTGCGTCTAGTGTAAGGGCCAGACCCCGCTGGTGCCCCGGACAACGGGGTAGGAGTGGGGACCGACCGGTCCCGTAGTTGGCCGCGCCTGGGCCTCGCTGGGCGCGCACCCCGCTGGCTCGGTCGCCCGGAGGCGGACAGGACGGAGACGGGACGTATGGACGGGACGGACAGACGCGACAGGACGGACGGGACGGGTAGAGAAGCAGTGCGTCCTACCCGGAGGGCTCCCTCCCAGGGCCGGCGGAGTACCTGCTCCGGTCATCCAGGCTGCGGTTGTCGGCGGCTGCGTTGCGCCAGTCGGGCAACGTGCTGGCGCACAGCACCACCATGGACACGATCACGAACACCACCGACACGCTAGCCAGGATCTGCGCGGCCAGCGACGACGTGGGCTCCTCGAAGGTCCGCCGCATGCGCTCCAGCCAGCGCCTGGAGGGAGCCGCCTCGGCCCCGCCGGGGCGCGCCTCGTCGCGGCCCAGCACGCCCGGCTCGTCGGCCGAGTAGAAGGTGTAGGTGTCGGACATGCGGTCGTCGAGGCGGCGCTGGCAGCAGTACTCGAGGTGCGCGCCCTCCAGGCCCCAGTAGATCATCTCGTTGTAGAAGGAGAGCTCGCACATCCGCGGCGCGAAGCGCAGCTTGCCGTGGCCGCGCACGTAGAGCAGGATGAAGCCGAAGGCCTCCGAGTGCCGGTCGAAGAAGTACTCGTTGCGCTCGCGGTCGTAGTCGTCGCACACCTCGAGCACGTCGCGCTCGGAGCGGCAGCCGTGCAGCCGGCTCACGCGGCGCAGCGGGAAGTCCTTCAGCAGCTCCCGGGACAGCGAATACCGGGCGCCGCCCACGTTCAGCACCACCGAGGCCGCCCCGCTGCGCCCGAAGGTCATGGCTGGCCGCCCGGGGGACTTTCGGCCCGAGGGCCCCGCTGCAGCCCCCCACCCCAAGCCGCCACGCGGGGCCTGCCTGCCCGTGGCTGACGGGGGAGCGCGCCGTCGGGGCCCGCGCTCCCTCGGGGCTCCGCTCCTGCCCTCCGCTGGCCCGGGGGTCCCTGGGCTCGAGTATCTCCGGCGCTGCTAGTAGCGCGCCCTCCGCCCGGCGGTACCTGCGGGTGGCCGGGGAGTCCTCGCCGGCGCCAGCGCTGAGCCCCACCGGCTGGGAACGCGGCTGTGTCCGCGCCGCCGACCCTCGCGCCCGAGGGCTGCGCACACCGAGGCCGCGGTGCCCTCTCCCAAGCCGCGGGGCCGACCCCCTGAGGGCTGCGGGCGCCGAATGGAGCCGCCGGGGCGGAATAGCTCCCCGTCTCCGGCGCTCCCTGCGGCCGCGAATCCGGCGGCCGCCCCGCCGCCGTCCAGAGGCGAGAGGCAAAGTGAGCGGGTTCGGAGGCGGCGAAGAGCCGGCTCGCGGCGGCGGGGGCGGGGCCTCTGTGCAGTCCTCCTCCTCGCCCGCCGGCTCCGCGCGCGCCGCTCACCTCCCTCCGCGCCGCCCTCCGCTTCCCGCCCGCGCCCGCACCTCCCCGGCTTGCTCGGGCTGGGATTCCCGGGCGCCCCGCCCTGGACCTCGGGCTCCCCGCCTCGTGACGCCGTCCTCCCCCTCCGCTCCGGCCCGTAGTGGCGGGGAGGGGTCCGCAGGGCGGGGGAGCGGGGAGCCCAGCGCCGGGATGCCTGCTCCCGCGTCCTGCCCTGGGCCATCGGGATGAATTGGGCAGTCCCCAGGGCCCCTTTTAACAGCCCTGGTTCAAAGCCCAGTGTGGACTCGGGTGCGGGGACAGACGGCGTTTGGAGAGCTTTTTCCAGAAACTGTCCGGAGCCCAGCTCGGGTTCTGACATCGCCCCTAAGGATTTCTCAGGGAAGGCATCCCAGCCACGGCTTTTCCTGCCGACTTTGCTCTTCCTACCGCCGCGCGGGGCGACCCACGTACCGCGTGCTCAGAGGGCGGCTACACGCCCCATCCCCCAGCCTCGGTGCCGCCTGCCAGCCCGCGGAGGGAAGCGGTCCCCGACCCGGCCCCGGCCCCCACGTTCTGGGGCGCGAGTCCTGAGAAGGCGCCTAACGTGTAGCGCGCCTGGACCCTCTCGAGATGCTGCCCTTAGAGTGGGATGAAAGTCTGGGGAGGAACGCCTTGTCACCGGCAAAAACAGCCTTTCTCTTGGTCTTCGTCTGCATCCTCCTTTTCAAAATATCTTGATTTCCCCCGCGCACCCCTGACCCGGCTGCAGCACCGGCCCTCCGAGCGGGAAGAGCCCCGTGAAGGCTCCGCAGAGCGATCTACCCCGCGCTCTTGTCCGTGCCCAGAAAGCGGGTTCCACTTGGCAGGGATTATTTTAAACTGCTACCAGCAATTCATTCACCTGACACCCGACACCGGCAGCCCAGCCCGCCGGAGGCGAGACAGGTGAGTTGTAAGGCGAACCGTGTTAGATGCAAAACAAATACTAGAAGAAAAAAATAAGGGTGGGGTAGGGTGAGATGCGGTCATCTGACCACAGGGTAACCTGGCTGGTTAAAGGGAAGAGTTTTTCATTGCCCTCTACTTTTCGTAATTTTGTAGGATTGTCCGGTGCCCGCTAGAGGTCGCCAAACGGAGTCCTTTTGCGCTGGTTCTTAAGTGGATTCCTAGTGAAAAGGCAGACAACTGAAAATGTGAGTGCTGTCTTTTAAGTAAAATCACTCTCGGTGGCTTCTTAAAGAATGAAAATCTCTGTGAGTTGTTTATCCCCAGACTTGGATAATTTATCTTAAGAGCACTAAATGTGATTAAAAGCTCAAAAACAGGAGTTATTTGCTACTTTAGTATCTACTAAATAGTTTGCTATTCAGTATCTATTTTGCTATTTAGTGTCTACTGGGTAGATACTGCTACTTTGCTGTTTAGTATCTACTAAGTAGATATTAAACAAGAAAAATATCTGTAAGAAAGTGAGTTTCAAGACAGAATTGGAGGTGCTGATGGCCATGAGTTGGCACAGAGAAAGGGCAAAACATTCCTAGTAGCAAAATCTCGAATGTGGAGGTTTAAAGTCTGTGAAGAAGTATAATGCACTTGCCCACTGAAACAATGGGGATCTCAACTGCAGCATTTAAATTGGATCCCATAAGCAATGGAATCCCTGGAGGTTTCCATAGCAGAAATGGCTTGATGAAAGCTTTATTTCAGGAAGATGCCTTTGCACTTTGGGTCATTCTAAGGAGAAGGTCATTTCGCAACCCAGGAATGGGATCCCCAACCCCGTGTCTGTGAAGATGAAGAAGGGTCTGTTCTGAGAAACGCTGAGACCAAGAACTTTGCAGGTCTTGAAGATGGATTTGTTGTAGGACGTGAGGATGGGGAAAAGTTTGCAGATGTGAGCCAGAGATGAGCCTGGCTTGATACCAAGAGCCAATTCATCAGGAAGCCGTTAAAAAATACTTTCTAGAAGCATCACAAGCAATAGAAGACAGAACTATAGTGCCGATTGTTTGCTCTAACATTATTGTAGGGTTTATTTCCTGTGTTCTCTCCGTAGAATCCTTCTACTGTCTGTTGATTGAACCAGTTGAAGAAATATCTCATTTTAAATTACATTTGAGCTTAGAAAACAAATTAATTTGATGACAATACAATGTGTGCCTCCTAGGTATATTTTCATGCGATTTCTTAGAGAGATAGGCTTAAATCATTTCATTTGTTTCAAGAGTAATATTTTTATTTGATTTTAATATCATCAACCACTGCTGCAGCAGCAATACCCAAATCGTTTTCTTAAACAAAGAAAACAGTGATGCAGAAATGATAGGCTTGTCTCAATATAATCTGGTTTAGAGAGCATTCTTAAAGCCAATTCTATTCTTTGTACTTTGAGAAGATAATGTTGAGAAGTATTACATCCAGATTCTCTCCTAGACTCGGGATGGTATTTAGGGTCTTCATATCTAAATCTTTAGAATGCATTACAATTTAAAGGTAGAATTTTAGAGTTTGAAAGAACCTAGAGGTTTTCTAGTTTCAGAACCTAGGAAAAAAAAAAAAAAAAAAAAGCAAATTACTCCCATTTTTTCCTCCCCTCCGAAGTTACAAAGCTTCAGAGATGTGGCTGTAACTAGCCCGAGCATTCCCAGCAGCAGCATCCTGGCAGAGGCTAGAATCAGGTTTTCTCATGTCAAACTCTGCTCACTCTGTTTCCAGGGCCTGGATTGCTGCCACAACCTTCTACCTCATCTCTTTGCACTCCAGTTCTTTCCTATCTCTATGAATTCTGAATAAGGCCACCACAGAGCTCTTCCTTCCATCCATTTTCATCAGGGCATTCCCAAATTCAAAAACCTGAAAGGTGGCTGGGTGTGGTGGCTCACGCCTGTAATCTCAGCACTTTGGAAGGCCGAGGCAGGCAGATCACCCAAGTTCAGGAGTTCGAGACCAGCTTGGCCAACATGGTGAAACCCGTTTCTACTAAAAATTCAAAAAATTAGCCAGGCATGGTGGTGCACACCTGTAATCCCAGCTACTGGGGAGGCTGAGGCAGGAGAATCGCTTGAACCTGGGAGGCAGAGGTTGCAGTGAGCTGAGATTGTGCCATTGGACTCCAGCCTGGGCTACAAGAGCAAAACTCCTCTTGAAACTAGAGGTTTTCAAAAAAAAACAAAACAAACAAAACCTAAAAGGAGTATATAAAAGTAGATAATTAGAAATTGTCCATACAATAAAGTCCAAATTGGCCAGGCGCGGTGGCTCATGCCTGTAATCCCAGCACTTTGGGAGGCCGAGGCAGGTGGATCATGAGGTCAGGAGTTCGAGAGCAGCCTGGCCAAGATGGTGAAACCCCGTCCCTACTAAAAATACAAAAATTAGCTGGGCGTGGTGGTGCGCCCCTGTAATCCCAGCTACTCAGGAAGCTGAGGCACGAGAATCGCTTGAACCCGGGAGGCAGAAGTTGCAGTGAGCCGAGATCGCTCCACTGCCCTTGAGCCTGGGTGATGGAGCGAGACTCCATCTCAAAAAAAAAAAAAAAGTCCAGATTGTCTATAGGGCTCTCTCTAGGCTCAAACCCTGGCTGTATAACTCATTTGCTAAGCCACCTGGAGCCAGTTCCTTAAACCTCATTGATCTTCAGTTTTTCTCCTCCGTAGAATGAAGATAATAATACCTACATCCAAAGGGGTAATGAAAAGATCACAAGCTGATGTGAAGGTGGTATATAGCTCAGTGCATGACACTAGAAACATCTCACTTCATGTATGCTTCCTTTAGCCCAAATCAGCCATGCTCATTTCTCATTCCTGGGTTCTAAATAAACACAGATTGGATAAGTGAATTGATTTGTCTAAACATGTGACCAACAACAGAGTAACCTGAAACAAAAAATTCAGTAAAAAGTTGTGACCCTTTTACTGCTGACTCTGGCTTGAACACAGATTCCTCCATCACTTTGCATTGCATAACTGGATGTGTTCGAGGACTCCAAACACCGTTTCCCCCAAAGCTTTAGAAATTGAAATACCCTGTGGGCACTACTGTTCCATGCAGCTTACTTATCAACTCTGTCTGCTTTAAAAAGCCCTTGCCCTGCTGTTAATTCATATTTTTCAATGTTTGCATTTACATCAGTTTATTTCTCAGCCTCTGCCGAATCAGTTGGTACTTTTAAAGACAGCTTTTCGAATGGAAATTCAAATGGAAACTTCTCTCATTTTAAAATATAAAAGGCTAATGACTTAGCCCAGTGTGCAGAATGACCCCTGTAGAAGGTGTTCAGAAGACCACCAGGATGGCTGAATGGTAGAAAGGAGAGCTTTATTGTTGTTATCAGTTTGCAAGCCAGGAAGAGAAAGTCTCCGGTGTGGACTGAAGGTGCTCTCTCTTCAAAGAGGGAAATAACAGGTTGGGTTTTAGGCCTCACAGGGCCTGTATCATACATAGTCAGCAGGCTTGGGGGAAAAGCTATACATACTTACGGGGGAGGCGCACACATGCATAATTGGTACACATATATGTAACATACATCGTGTTCACTTTGTGATGGGGCTTTAGCATTAAAATGAGGTGGAATTTGGCTCTTTATGTCAACAGGTGAACTACAGGCCACAAAGACAGCTTGTGTGCTGCCTCTGTAAGCTGGCTGAAACTGACCTGGGGTCTGCAGCAGCTCATCAGAAAAGAATGTTTGTAATGGCTGTCTATCCAGACAGAGTTGTTGTCATCTGGGTTGTATAACAGAATTGAAAACTCCTATTTTTAGGGAGTTTAGCCACAGTAATTTAGAAATTTGCCAGCCAAGCCCTGAGCCCTTGACCCATCAGTAACTTGGTTTCCTTATCTTAGGGTCTGTCTTAGTTTATTAAGGGGCATCTATTTTCGTCTCTCAGATTACAAAGGTAGAGCTGTAACTCAATAGCACTATGAGGTTATCCCAAGATTCAGAGTGGTCTTGTTTACAGAGCTCTAATACAGGGAGGTATAAGTCAAAGGGTATGAAGTTTCAGTTATATAGGATGAATAAGTCCTAGAGATCTACGATGTGGCATAGTACCTATATTCAATAGTACTATAATGCATACTTAAGCATTTGCTAAGAGGGTAGATCTTTTTTTTTTTTTGAGACGGAGTTTCACTCTTTTTGCCTAGGCTGGAGTGCAATGGTGCGATCTCAGCTCACCGCAACCTCCGCCTCCCAGGTTCAAGCGATTCTCCTGCCTCAGCCTCCTGAGCAGCTGGGATTACAGGCATGCACCATCACCCCGGCTAATATTGTATTTTTAGTAGAGACAGGGTTTCTCCATGTTGGTCAGGCTGGTCTTGAACTCCCAACCTCAGGTGATCCACCCGCCTCGGCCTCCCAAAATGCTGGGATTACAGGCGTGAGCCACCACGCCCGGCGAGGGTAGATCTTATAGGTGTTCTTATCATTTCAAAAAAAGGAATAGTGGGACATGATGGCTCATGCCTGTAATCCCAGCACTTTCGGAGGCCGAGTCAGGCAGATCACGAGATCAGGAGTTCAAGACCAGCCTGACCAACATGGAGAAACCCCGTCTCTACTAAAAATACAAAATTAGCCGGGGTGGTGATGCATGCCTGTAATCCCAGCTACTTGGGGAGGCTGAGCAGGAGAATCGCTTGAACCTGGGAGGCGGAGGTTGCGGTGAGCTGAGATCAAGGCAATGCACTACAGCCTAGGCAACAGAGGGAAAAAAAAAAAGGAATAATAAAAAGACAGAAAGAAACTTTCAGAAGTGATGGATATGTTTATGGCATAGATTGTGATGACAGTTTCAAAAGTGTATACTCATCTCCAAACCCAAGAAGTTGTATACATGAAATATGTACAGTTTTTTGTATGTTAATCATACCTCAATAAAGTGTTTTCTTTTTTGAAAAAAAAAAAAGAGAGAGAGAGATGGCTGGGCATGGTAGCTCATGCCTGTAATCCCAGCACTTTGGGAGGCAGAGGCAGGTGGATCATTTGAGGTCAGGAGTTTGAGACCAGCCTGGGCAACATGGTGAAACTCTGTCTCTACTAAAAATACAAAAATTTGGCCGGTGGCTCACGCCTATAATCTCAGCACTTTGTGAGGCTGAGGCAGGTAGATCACCTGAGGTCAGGAGTTCGAGACCAGCCTGGCCAACATAGTGAAACCCCATCTGTACTCAAAATACAAAAATTAGCTGGACGTGGTGGTGGGCGCCTGTAATACCAGCTACTCGGGAGGCTAAGGCGGGAGAATCTCTTGGACCTGGGAGGCGGAGGTTACAGTGAGCCGAGATCACGCCACTGTACTCCAACTTGGGTGACAGAGTGAGATTCCATCTCAAAAAAAAAATTAGCTGGGTGTGGTGGCACGTGCCTGTAGTCCCTGCTACTCAGGAGACTGAGGCAGGAGAATCGCTTAAACCTGGGAGGTGGATGCCAGTGCACTCCAGCCTGGGTGACAGAGGCTCTCTCAAAAATAAACAGAGAAACAGAAATGAGAGATACAAGAAAAAACGTAAAAGTTCTCAGATATCTAAGGCTGAGGCAAGAAATATGTGTAAGGGAGGGGAAAAATTTTTTCCTCTACCTTCCTAGGTTCTTGGCCTATGCTCCTACAAATTAGACTGACAAAAGATAAATTAACAAGAGAAACACAGTTTATTAGAAACACTTTATTAACAAGTACAGCATAGTACATTACACCGAGAAAATCAAAGGGTTGTTAGTATCAAAATCAAGAGGCTTTATGAAGCTTTTTTTTTTTTTTTTTGAGACGGAGTCTCACACTCTCGCCCAGGCTGGAGTGTGGTGGCGTGATCTCGGCTCACTGCAAGCTCTGCCTCCCGGGTTCACGCCATTCTCCTGCCTCAGCCTCCCGAGTAGCTGGGACTGCAGGTGCCTGCCACTACGCCCGGCTAATTTTCTGTATTTTTAGTAGAGACGGGGTTTCACCGTGTTAGCCAGGATGATCTCCATCTCCTGACCTCATGACCTGCCCACCTCCGCCTCCCAAAGTGCTGGGATTACAGGCATGAGCCACCGCGCGTGACCTGTATAGCATCTTAATAAAGAATAATAAATTTGCTACGAAGTAACCAGCTAAAGGAAAAGGAGTTTAGGCTTTTAGGGGTGGCAAACTATGGGAAAGTAAACATGTCAGGAAACTAACAGAAGGTAAGTGTTGTTTTATAAGATGCATTATGCATTACATAGATTCCTCTGGTCCTATCTCTAGGCTGATAAGAGGCTAGGGTCTCCAGTGGTTAAGAATCTTTCTTCCTTTCCTAGTAGAGAAGAGGAGGGCATAATTTTTTTCTTATGTCTGATTCTTCTCAATTGCCTTTAGCTCAAAATAATCCTTACCTCAAAATGGCATATTTTGGGAGGCATATTCTGATTCCCTGCATATGGCATGGAGGCCATTATTGTATTGTCAGCCAACCCACTCCTAACACTGTAGCTTCATTAAACTTAACATTTAGGTAACATTAAAGTTACCTAACTGAACTTGAGTCCACTACCCAATGCAGTAAAGTCAAACACTGGCATCAGGATTGCAGCGAGACAAAGTGAGGCATTTATTACAGAGTGCCAAGCAAGGAGAATCGGACAGCCCATGCTTAAGACCTGAATTCCCAGCTGGTCACGGTGGCTCATGCCTGTAATTCCAGCACTTTGGGAGGCCGAGGCGTGTGGATCACTTGCGGTCAGGAGTTTGAGACCAGCCTGGGCAACATGGTGAAACCCTGTCTCTCCTAAAAGTACAAAAATTAGATGGGCCTGGTGGCGCATGCTTGTAATCCCAGCTGCTGGGGAGGCTAAGGCAGGAGAATCACTTGAACCTGGTAGACAGAGGTTGAGGTGAGCCGAGATCGTGCCACTGCACTCCAGCCTGGGCAATAGAGTGAGACTCTATCTATCTCAAAAATTAAAATTAAAATTTAAATTTAAAAAAGACCCAAATTCCCTGATGGCTTACAGGTAAGGGTTTTTAAAGTCAGGAAGGCAGAGGTTACAGGCAAAGTCATAAATCAATACATGGAGGCCATACATTGGTTTGACCTGAAAAGGGGGGACATCTCAAAGTGGGGGTGTTGGGGGTGGCCAACAGGTCATAAATGGATTCAAAGATTTCCTGATTTGCAATTGATTAAGGAGTTGAAGCTTTGTCTAAAAATTTGGGATCAGCAAAAAAGAACGTTGGCTCTGGCCTGCAAGTGTGACCTCCTCCAGGACCCTCAGGAAGAATTTTAGAACAAAGAATGGCAGTCTGAGTTCAGTTGTTAGTCCGCCATCTGAGGTCTGTGTGCCAGTGGATGTGTTTGGTGGAGGTACGGGTTTCTGAAAAACAACTCAGGGACATATGTGCAGATGTTATCTTTACTTTCTATAGGGAAATAACATGCCATGATTCTAATTTCCTTAGCTATTATTGTTATTGGAAAGGGGTCCCAATCCAGCCGGGTGCGGCGGCTCATGCCTGTACTCCCAGCACTTTGGGAGGCCAAGGCAGCTGAATCACCTGAGGTCAGGAGTTTGAGACCAGCCTGGCCAACATGGTGAAACCTCGTCTCTACTAAAAATACAAAATTAGCCGGTGTAGTGGCGCATGCCTGTAATCCCAGTCACTCAGGAGGCTGAGGCAGGAGAATCACTTGAACCCTAGAGGCGGAGGTTGTGGTGAGCTGAGATCACATCATTGCACTCCAGCCTGGGCAACAAGAACAAAACTCTGTCTCAAAAAAAAAAAAAAAATTAGCCGGGCATGGTGGCAGCCGCCTGTAATCCCAGCTATTCAGGAGGCTGAGGCAGGAGAATCACTTAAACCGGGAGACAGAGGTTGCAGTGAGCTGAGATCGCACCACTGCAGTCCAGCCTGGGAGACAGGGCAAGACTCTGTCTCAAAAAAAAAAGCAAATAAATAAAACATTAAAAAAAAAGGAAAGGGGTCCTGATCCAGACCCCAAGAGAGGGTTATTGGATCTCACACAAGAAAGAATTGGAGGCAAGTCCGTACAGTAATGTGAAAGCAAGTTTGTTAGAGAAGTAATGGATTAAAGAATGGCTACTCCATAGACAGAGCAGGTGCTCCCAAGGGCTGCTGGTTGCCCATTTTTATGGTTATTTCTTGATGATACGCTGAACAAGGGGTGAATTATTCATGACTCCTCTTTTTAGACCATATAGGGTAACTTTCTGACATTGCCATGGCATTTGCAAACTGTCATTGTGCTGGTGGGAGTGTAGCACTGAGGACGACCAGAGGTCACCTTGTCACCATCTTAGTTTTGGTGGGATTTGGCCAGCTTCTTTACTGCAAGCTGTTTTATCAGCAAGGTCTTTATGACCTGTATCTTGTGCCAACCTCCTATCTCAACCTGTGACTAAGAATGCCTAACCGTCTGGGAATGCAGCCCACTAGATCTCAGCCTTGTTTTACCCAGCTCCTATTTATTCAAGATGGAGTTGCTCTGGTTCAAACACCTCTGAAATTTTAAACTACTGTTACCTTCTTGCTTGTCAGGTTGTTTATTTACTTCTCAGGACTAGCTAGGTGCCTGGAATTTACCTTGAAGGAGCTCAAGAATTTCCTTTTATTTCTATGCTTTGAGGTGGAGGGTGCCCAGCAGGCCCCTAAGAGGGGCTCCTGTTCCTTCTCATGGCCTCAAAGCCAGGTGTGGTAGTGTGTACCTGTAGTCTCAGCTGCTCAGGAGGCAGATGCAAGAGCATCCCTTTGGCCCAGGAGTTCGAGACCAGCCTGGACAACATAGCAAGCCCCCATCATTTAAACAAAATGAAAGAAAGGAAAACAAATAAATAAACAAACTGCCCTCAGACCCATCCAACCCCATGAACCACATTCTTTTTTTTTTTTTTTTTTTGAGATGGAGTTTCCCTCTTGTCACCCAGGCTGGTGTGCAGTGGCATGATCTCGGCTCACTGCAACCTCCACCTCCCGGGTTCAAGCGATTCTCCTGCCTCAGCCTTCTGAGTAGCTGGGATTACAGGCAGCTGTCACCACGCCCAGCCCAGCTAACTTATTGTATTTTTAGTAGAGATGGGGTTTCGCTGTGTTGGACAGTCTGGTCTTGAACTCCTAACCTCAGGTGATCCATCCGCCTTGGCCTCCCAAAGTGCTGGGTTTACAGGCGTGAGCTACCACACCCAGCCATGAACCACATTATTTTTTTTTGAGTCTATCAAAAGACTTCGCTCTGTCATCCAAGCTGGAGTCTAGTGGCGTGATCTTGGCTCACTACAACTTCCACCTCCCAGGTTCACGTGATTCTCCTGTCTCAGCCTCCCGAGTAGCTGGGATTACAGGCATGCACCACCATGCCTGGCTAATATTTTGTATTTTTAGTAGAGATGGCGTTTCGCCATGTTGACCATGCTGGTCTCAAACTCCTGACCTCAGGTGATCCAGCTGCCTCGGCCTCCCAAAGTGCTGGGATCACAGGGTGAGCCACCACACCAAGCCCCATGAACCACATTCTTAAAGATGAGAAGCCACCAGAGGGACATGTCGCTCCTGTGTCATACTTATGACACCATCTCACATCAATGTCCTTGCTTTTTCTTCTGCTCTAGGACCCTTTAAGCTTGCTTTTTTTTTTTTGTAGAGATGTGGTCTCCCTGTGTTGCCCAGGCTGGTCTTGAACTCCCGGGTTCAAGCAGTTCTCCCACCTCATCTTCCCAAAGTGCTGGGATTACAGGCGTGAGCTACCACAGTTGGCCCCTTTTTGCTCTTATTCAAGCAAAAGAAACACTCTCTTCCTTAAATTTCCAGCTTTGCAAAGCTCACTGTATAATCATTAACAGGTGCCATTATAGGAACAGCCCCTCTTTGTAATCTTCACCCCAGCCTCACTCCAGTCATGCTGCCCTGTTGGACTGGGATGACCCTTCTCCCCATCACCACTCTGTGGACCTTGCTCTGTACGATGGCTAAGCCCTTCTAGGAGGCACCATGCACTCTGCTGCCCACAAAAACACTGTTATTATTACTCCCATTTTGCAGATGAAGAAATGAGGCTTTAAGAGATGAGATGGGGTGGGACGTGGTGACTCATGACTGTAATCCCATCACTTTGGGAGGCTGAGGTGGGTGGATCACGAGGTCAGGAGATTGAGGCATCCTGGCTAACACAGTGAAACTCTATCTCTACTAAAAATACAAAAAATTAGCCCGGCGTGGTGGCATGCACCTGTAGTCCCAGCTACTCAGGAGGCTGAAGCAGGAGAATCGCTTGAACCTGGTAGGCGGAGGTTGCAGTGAGCCGAGATCGTGCCACTGCACTCCAGCCTAGGTGACAGAGTGAGACTTCATCTCAAAAACAAAAAAAAAGGAGATGAGATGACTGACTCACCTAAGGTTCCAAAGCTAACTAGTAAGTGCCAGAACCAATACTGAAACCCACAGACTATGCAGGCTGTCTTGCCTCCCATGCTGGCTCAGCACCACCTCTCCTCTCTACCAAGCACTAAGCACCCCCCTGGAGGGAGGAACCAGTTAGGTGATGCCAGAGGAAGCAATCAGATGAATCTAGAATGCGGATCATTATACAAGATAGTCTTCCAAAAGCCACTTTCATATCATGAAATATTTAAGGAGAAGATCATATAATGTCTGATATGTACTTCAGAACAACCAAGAGCAAGGGCAAGTGGGTGGGAATATAGATGAAACGAGATGGGCCACAAATTGATAATTTTTTTTTTTTTTTTGAGATGGAGTCTCGCTCTGTCACCCAGGCTGGAGTGCAATGGCGTGATCTCAGCTCACTGCAGCCTCCATCTCCCAGGTTCAAGTGATTCTCCTGTCTCAGCCTCCCGAGTAGCTGGGATTACAGGTGCCTGCCACCACGCCTGGCTAATTTTTGAAATTTTAATAGAGCGTTTCACCGTGTCAGCCAGGCTGGTCTCGAACTCCTGACCTCAAATGATCTGCCCGCCCCGGCCTCCCAAAGTGCTAGGATTACAGGCATGAGCTACCACACCCAGCCCCCTCAAATTGATAATTATTGAAGCTGGATAATGGGGTTCATTTTATTAATCTCTCCACTTTTATATGTATTTGAAATTATCCATAATAAAAAAGTAAAGCCCAGTACGGTGGCTCATGCCTATAATCCCAGATCTTTGGGAGGCTGAGGCAGAAGAATTGTTTGAGCCCAGGAGTTCAAGACCAGCCTGGGCAACATAGTGAGACCCTGTCTCTACTAAAAATAATTTTTTAGAAATTATCTGCATGTGGTGGTACTCTATGCCTGTGATCCCAGCCACTCAGAATGCTGAGGTGGGAGGATCACTTGAGCCCAGGAGGTCAAGGCTGCAGTGAGCCATGATCATGCCACTGCACTCCAGCCTGGGCAACAGAGTGAGACCTTGTCTCAAATATTATATATATATATTTTTTGAGTAAAAATAAAATGTTAACACCTTGGACTTCATTTAAGCTTATTTTTGAATGCCGATTGTGATTCCTTAATTCCTTCAGATTGGATCTGAAAATAGAGAGGTGTAGGCGGGGGGTAACGGATTGGAGATAATTTACTTATTATTATTATTTATTTATTTATTTATTTATTATTCTTTTTTGATATGGAGTCTCTGTCTGTTTTCCAGGCTGGAGTACAGTGGCATGATCTCGGCTCACTGCAACCTCTGTCCCAAGTAGCTGGGACTACAGGCACAGACCACCACACCCAGCTAATTTTTGTAAATTTAGTAGAGACGGGTTTCACCATGTTGGCCAGGCTGGTCTCAAACTCCTGACCTCAGGTGATCCGGCCGTCTTGGCCTCCCAAAGTGCTGGGATTACAGGTGTGAGCCACCGCGCCTGGCCTGTTTTATTTTTTTGAGACAGAGTCTCACTCCATCTCCTGAACTGGAGTACAGTGGTGCAATTATAGGTCACTGTTACCTCGAACTCCTAGGCTCAAGTGGCTTCTTCTCTCTTCAGCCTCCCGAGTAGCTGGAGTAGCATGCGTGATCACGCTTGGCTAATTTTTTAATTTTTTGTAGAGAGAAGGTCTCACTGTGTTTCTGAGGTTGGTTCCCAGCTCCTGGGCTCAAGCAATCTTCCCACCTCGGCTTCCAAAAGTGCTGGGATTGCAGGCGTGAGCCACTGGTGATGGTCTTGCTTTGTCTCCCAGGCTGTAGTAGAGTGGCACAATCACAGCTCACTGTGGCCTTGACCTCCTAAGCTCAAGCAATCCTCCCTCCTCAGGCTCCTAAGTAGCTGGGACTATGGGCATGCATGACCACACCCAGCTAATGTCATTTTTTTATATAGAGATGGGGGTCTCACTATGTTGCCTAAGCTGGTCTCAAACTCATGCAGTCCTCCCACCTCAGCCTCCCAAAGTGTTGGGATTACAGGCATGAGCCACTGTGCCTGGCTGAGAATAAGATTTCTGAAAAAGATACATAAAATAGTTATGAGTGGTTATTTCTTGGTCGAGGGACTAGGAATATGAGGTTAGACATGAGACCTATCTTTTGTTGGTTATTATAAACCTTTCATCTTTTTTTTTAACTGTGTGAAAAGATTATGTTTTTAATGAAAAAAAAAAAGGAAAACTAGGTCAGGTGCCGTGGCTCACACCTGTAATCCCAACACTTCGGGAGACTGAGGTGGGAGGATCACTTGAGCCCAGGAGTTCAAGACCAGCCTGAGCAATATAGTGAGACCCCCAT
This sequence comes from Homo sapiens, assembly GCF_000001405.40. Taxonomy (NCBI): domain Eukaryota; kingdom Metazoa; phylum Chordata; class Mammalia; order Primates; family Hominidae; genus Homo; species Homo sapiens. The sequence continues at coordinate 42,507,761 of NC_000002.12, forward strand.
TTCTACAGAAACGTTAAAAAATTAGCCAAGCACGGGGGCGCACACCTGTAGTCCCACCTACTCCAGAGGCTGAGGTGGGATGATGGCTTGAGCCCGGGAGGCAGAGATTGCAGTGACAGAGGTTGCAGTGAGTCAAGATCTCGATGCTGCATTCCAGCCTGAGCAACGGCGTGAGTCTGTCTCAAAAAAAAAAAAAAGAAAGAAAGAAACCTAGTTAAAAAAAATCTGAGCATGTAGCATTCTACCAGATTACCTCTTTTTCCTGAGGCCCATTCTTGCTGGTTTCTGCATCCCCATCTTCTGAGTTACACCTGGGCCAGGCTGGGCACCTGCTGTTCCCTCTGCCTAGAGCACGAACACATTGTCCCAGAGCATTAGGTGGGTCATTCCTTCTTGTCAGTCAAGTCTCAGTTCAAATGTCACTTCCTCAGAGAGAAATCTTTCCCCAGCCACACATTCTAGCATATAAACCTATTTTTTTCTTTCCCTTACCCTATTTTTAAAAATCTAACTTGTCCAAACCCATAGAATCTCCAGCACCAAAAGTGAACCCTATATATGAACTATAGACTTATTTTTTTCTTTTTCTTTGAGACAGTCTTGCTTTGCCACCCAGGCTGGAGTGCAGTGGCACCATCTCCACTCATTGCAGCCTCAACCTCCTGGGCTCAAGCGATCCTCCCACCTCAGCCCCCTGAGCATCTGGGACTACAGGCGTGTGACACTATGCCCTGCTAATTTTTTTTATCTTGTGTAGAGATGGGGTCTCACTATGTTACCCAGGCTGGTCTCAAACTCTTGGCCTCAAGCAGTCCTCCCGCCTCAGGCTCCCAAAGTCCTGGGATTACAGGTGTGAGCCACTGCACCCAGCCTAGACTTTGAATGATTATGATGTGCCAATAACGTAGTTTCATTGACTGTAACAAATATACAACTCTGGTGAGGGATATTAGTTAAGGGGGGAATATGTTGTATATATTTATAATATTATATATTATATAGTATTATATAATATATTTAATATATCATAGATTAAATATATTGTAAATTATATATGATATATATGATATATAATATTAAATATATTAAATTATTAAATATATTATATAATATATTATATATACAACATATATACTATACAACATATAGTATATATGTTGGGGGAAAGGGGTTATACATCTCTGTACCTTCCTTTTGATTTCACTGTGAACCTAAAACTGCTCTAAAAAATAAAGTCTATTTTTTAAAAATCACTTTACTTATTCACCTGTTACTTGTTTTTGTTGTTGTTGTTGTTTTTGTGACGGAGTCTTGCTCTGTCGCCCAGGCTGGAGTGCAGTGGCGTGATCTTGGCTCACTGCAACCTCCACCTCCCAGGTTCAAGCGATTCCCTTGCCTCAGCCTCCCAAGTAGCTGGGACTACAGGTGTCCACCACCATGCCCAGCTAATTTTTGTATTTGTAGTAGAAACGGGGTTTCACCATGTTGACCAGGCTGGTCTTGAACTCCTGACCTCAAGTGATCCGCTTGCCTCGGCCTCCCAGAGTGCCGGGATTACAGGTTAGAGCCACTGCGCCTGGCCTCACCTGTTACTTATTTACCGTCTGTCTCCCACAAGATGCTGTTCACTTCCTTTGAGAGCAAGGACTCTGGGGTCAGTTCACACCAATACTCCCAGTTCCTAGAACGGTGCTTGGCTCCTTGTAGAAGCTCAATACCTATTTGTTGGCCGGGTATGGTGGCTCACACCTGTAATCTCAGCACTTTGGGAGACCAAGGTGGGTGGCTTGCTTGAACCCAGGTGTTTGAGACCAGTATGGGCAACATGGCAAAACTCTGTTCCTACTAAAAAATGCAAAAATTAGCCAGGCGTGGTGGCATGAGCCTGTAATCCCGGCTACTTGGGAGGCTGAGGTGGGAGGTTCAATTAAGCCTGGGGGGTTGAGGCTGCAGTGAGCCATGATCATACCACTGCACTTTAGTCTGGGCGACACAGTGAGACCCTGTCGCAAAAAACAAAAACAAAACAAAAAAAAGTAAAATAAAGGAATAAATAAATATTACTGTTGATTTAAATGCTGTTCTCTGAGTGCTGAACTGGCTATATTAATGTATACATTATATAGTGAGGCTGGAATTGACCAACTTAGGAAATCTAGGCTTTTTCTGAAAAACCACTTCTGTTTTCTTAAATGGTTAGCATTCTGGTAGAGAAGGTCTTGGCACTGCTTTCCCCCCATACCTGCCGTGTCTGCCAGCTTCCCGTGTTTAAAAGCACTGCAGAGCTGGGCACAGTGGCTCATGCCTGTAATCCCAGCACTTTGGGGGGCCAAGGTGGATGGATCACTTGAGGTCAGGAGTTCAAGACCAGCCTGGCCAATATGGTGAAACTCCATCTCTACTAAAAATACAAAAATTAGCTGGGCATGGTGGCACAGGCCTGTAATCCCAGCTACTCGGGAGGGTGAGGCAGGAGAATCGCTTGAACCCAGGAGGCGGAGGTTGCAGTGAGCTGAGATTGCACCACTGCTCTCCAGCCTGGGCGACTCAGAAAAAAAAAAAAAAAAAAAAGCACAGCAGAAATCCTCGTTTAGCTGGCCCCAATCCTGGGTCAATGAGTACCCCTGTTATTCCTTACTCAGCAGATGCTTTAGTCAGAAAAGTTCTTGAGATCAGCTCCCATCATGTCTGGGTCCCCGCCTTCACCCCTTCTGTCCCTGGAGGAAGGAGAAAATGTGAAAGCAGACCAGGACCTACAAGGAGGGAACTGTTCACTATTGAATTGAACACTTCAAATGGGCAAATTGTGAATTATATCTTAATGACACTGTCATGAAACAAAAGAACTGCTTCTTTCCTGTAGTATCTTGGCTTAGAAACTATAGAAAATATGGGGAAAAAAATGTAGAGGGCTGTTGCCCTGGGGGTAGATTGACATCCCTGATATCCAACTGTTTGGGTGCTGGAGATCAGGGGAAGAAGCGTTCCAGCAAAGCAAGCCTTGAGCCCAGACAGGAAGGAAGTGGGAGAGCCAGGCAGAGAGAGGGGGATGCCCCCACTCTGACCCTTATCACATCACAGGACATATTCAAACAGCTGGGCAAGGATTCTGTTCGGAAGAAAAATCAAAGACACTTTCAAACTGAATGGAAGTTCCCCACTGTGTCCTATCCATTCTGCAAAGAGGAGAGCTCCCTTTACCAACATTAATGAACCAAAATTAACTAGTTTAGGAGTTAGCTTTCAAAAACACCTGCTGTTCTTACCCTTCTGTCCCTCTAACAATCTATTTCCCAACCCCACAATCCTAGCCCTCCTCCCACTATGTTCAGTGCTGCTATTTCTGCCTTAGAGGAAAGACTGGGACTGGGTTTGACTGAAGTGAAGTGTATGGCATTCCTGGAAATGATCTTCTCATTGTAGATGCAACCAAAATAGCATTGACTCCACACTTAATAATTGATATACTCTTCAACAGTAATTGCATTTTTCTCCAAAGTGCAGGATTTAAAATACTTTTTTTTTCTCTGGTTCTTAACTGGAGATAAAATGATTCAATTCTGGTGTGTGTGATCTCATTACCTTTCTACGTCAAAAAAAAAAAAAAACCTCAGGCATTTGCCTCAGTTTACTCTGAGATACATGTTCTCACAGGTTGCAAAAAATAATATTTTTGCCGGGCACAGTGGCTTATGCCTGTAACCCCAACACTTTGAGAGGCCAAGGTGGGTGGATCACTTGAGGTCAGGAGTTCAAGACCAGCTGGACCAACATGGTGACACCCTGTCTCTACTAAAAATACAAAATTAGCTGGGCATGGTGGTGCATGCCTGTAATCCCAGCTACTTGGGAGGCTGAGGCAGGAGAATCGCTTGAACCCAGGAGGCAGAGGTTGCAGTGAGCCAAGATCGCCCGTTGTACTCCAGCCTGGGCAACAAGAGTGAAACTCTGTCTCAAAATAAAATAAAATAAAATAGGCCAGGCGCGGTGGCTCACGCCTGTAATCCCAGCACTTTGGGAGGCTAAGGCGGGCGGATCACAACGTCAGGAGATTGAGACCATCCTAGCTAACACAGTGAAACCCCATCTCTACTAAAAATACAAAAATTAGCCCGGCGTCGTGGCGTGTGCCTGTAGTCCCAGCTGCTGGGGAGTCTGAAGCAGGAGAATGGCGTGAACCCGGGAGGCGGAGCTTGCAGTGAGCCGAGATTGCACCACTGCACTCCAGCCTGGGCGACAGAGCGAGACTCCATCTCAAAAAAAATAAATAAATAAATAAAATAAAATAAAAAATAATTATAATAATATTTTCTGTGGAAACCTGAGAAGTATAGCAATCTGGAAGACTGGGAGGGTTTTTTTCTTTTTCTTTTTCCTTTTTTTTTTGTTTTTGTTTTTGTTTTTATACTAGAGATCAACCTCAACTTGATGACTGGCAGTTTTTGAAAGGGATTTGGAGAAGATGCATTTAGGTTGGTGTGTAAGCCTGTCTCAGGCCTGAGTTTGAAAAAAGAGCCTATGGCTCAGCCAAAAATGATGAGAGATGAGTGCCCACTGGAGCTTTCCTAGTTTTTCGGGATTCCACTTCCAGTGCTGTAACTCCATGCTGCCATGTGGCCAAGCAACAGCAGGTCCTCTCCCCAGAAGAGAACCTTCCTCTGACTGCAGGAGTGTTGCCCTCTGCTTAACATTTGCTAGTACTCTATGTCTTCCAAGTAGGATTTTTCCTTTCCAGAGGAAAGTAATCACAAACAAAAATCTTTATAGCAAAGGACACTGAGAAGCTTTTTATCCCCTTTCACTAGCTTCTGTTGTGAGGGATGAAACTGAAAGGACAATTAGAACAAATGTCAGCGTAAATCTCCAAAGAAAGAAGAAAATAAGCTTACCAAGTTTCCTTTGATGATGCCAAGAAGACATTTTCTCCTCTAGATAACAGTGTGTATTTAATTTAGACCATGTCAAGGGATTAGAAAACACTCAACCACTGTACCAGTGGTCTACCTCAGTAACAACAGATACTTATGGAAAGGGAGAAATTGTATATAACTTCCATTGACTCGGCATTAGTTAAGACTTTCAATTTATAGTTCTTTGTGCTTTCACCCTAGTCACCAACTCAAGAATGACATTTATATTCTATATAAACATTCTGAGACATCCTCTACTTACAGGACCCTTAAGAAAACTCCAATTTTAATGGCACCAATCAAACCATCCATCAATTCTCCCAGACTGTGAAAATGCAAGGTCTACAGATAATTTTGCCACTTAATTTAAATCAGTCCCCATGGCATCCCCTATAAAAATGTTCACTCTGCCTTTACTTGCTAACTTGCTAAATAACCAACTGGGCATACGAGAGGCTAGTGTTTCTGGTTACCCATGCAGGGGAAACCCCATTTCATCTTTGTGTTGGCAAGCCCTTTGTTACATGTTTAAGTTACTTTTTGGATATTAAACTATAGTGATTTATTCTGCAAAACCTATTGTGGTTGGAGGGAGTGTGAGGGGAATGAAATGAGCATTACTTGGGATACTGGTCCCTGTTCAGGTTGGGACTGAGAAAGGATTCAGCAATCACTGGGGTGGGTAGGTCAGTCTTTTCAGTTTGACAAATATCCTTGGAACTTAAACAAAACAAAACACTTCCAGAGAGGACCACTAGGAGGTGCTGGGAAGAAAGGGCAATGACTTCACCCAGGAAAAGGGATAGACTCCAAGTGAAGAAGGAACAGACTCCGTGTTAAAGCCTCCTGGCCAATAGTGAGGCCACATCTAAACCTAGCGAGAGACCCAGCTCCATGGAATGGTATAACCAGGCTTATCAAGACCCTCAGAAGTAGTATTTGGCCAGCCACATAGGACAGAGAAAAGGGTAGAACTTCCAGGACAGAGAGAGACAAACACCAGGAGGGACATTTGGAAAACTAGACCCACTTGTCCTGAAGCCCAGAGTGCTGGACTCAGTGAGCCGGGAATGAGGGAGAACTTAAAGGGACAGGGAAGTGCAGGACTGCCACGCCTCCCAGGCTGGCCTGAGGGGCAAACGGGCTTACACCTAGGAAAGCCCTGGAAGGATTTCAGACTCCCATGAAATCCAGCAATGCTGGCCTCCCTCCACTACCTCAAATTGAGACAGACATGAGAGCTCAAAGAATCCCAAGTCTAGGCCAGGCACGGTGGCTCATGCCTGTAATCCTAGCACTCTGGGAGGCCAAGGTGAATGGATCACCTGAGGTCAGGAGTTCAAGACCAGCCTGGCCAACATAGTGAAACCCCATCTTTACTAAAAATGTAAAATTAGCTGAGCATGCTGGTGCGTGCCTGTGGTCCCACCTACTTGGGAGGCTGAGGCAGGAGAATCACTTGAACCTGGGAGGCAGAAGTTGGAGTGAGTCGAGATCGCGCCACTGCACTCCAAGCTGGGCGACGGAATGAGACTCCGTCTCAAAAAAAAACAACGAGAAAAGAATCCCAAGTCTGCAATATGAAAACTGGTCAAATAAGAGTTATCTAAGGAGAAGAAAATTGTGCTTTGTTAGCTCACTATTTATATGATGCTTGTAAAAAATACATATGCTTTTAAAATATTTTTCTTTCTTTTTGTGTGTATGTGGTTTTTTGTTTGTTTGTTTTGAGATAGAGTCTCACTTCATCACCCAGGCTGGAGTGCAGGGGCACTGTCTTGAGGCTCACTACAACCTCCACCTCCAGGATTCAAGCAATTATCCTGCCTCAGCCTCCTGAGTGGCTGGGATTACAGGCGCCCACCACCACATCCAGCTAATTTTTGTATTTTTAATACAGATGGGGTTTCACCATGTTGGCCAAGCTGCTCTCAAACTCTTGACCTCAAGCGATCTGCCCACCTCGGGCTCCTCCCAAAGTGCTGGGATTACAGGCATGAGCGCCCAGCCCCTTTTTTTTTTTTTTTTTTTTTTTTTGAGACAGGGTCTCACTGTTGTCCAGGCTGGAGTACAGCAGTGCAATTTTAAATCACTGCATCCTCATACTTATGGGATCAAATGATCCTCCCGCCTCAGCCTCCAGAGTAGCTGGGACTACAGGCATGCACCACCATGCCTGGTTAATTTGTTTTTATTTTTTATAGAGATGAGGTTGCCACTGTGTTGCCCAGGCTTGTATCAAACTCCTAGCCTCAAGCGATTGTCCTGCCTTGACCTCCCAAAGCGCTGGGATTACAGGCGTGACCCACTATGACCGGCCTAAACTTTTATATTTTTCTTTGGATATGTATGCCTGTGTTTATTTTATTTTATTTTATTTTATCTTATTTTATTTTAATTTTTTGAGACAGAGTCTCGCTCTGTTGTGCCCAGGCTGGAGTGCAGTGGTGCGATCTCGGCTCACTGCCAGCTCTGCCTCCCGGGTTCAAGCAATTCTCCTGCCTCAGCCTCCTGAGTAGCTGGGATTACAGGTGCCCACCACCACACCTGGCTAATTTTTGTATTTTTAGTAGAGACAGGGTTTCACCCTGTTGGCCAGGCTGGTCTCAAACTCCTGACATCAGGTGATCTGCCCACCTCAGCCTCCCAAAGTGCTGGGAATACAGGTGTGAGCCAGTGTGCCCAGCCTATTTTATTTTTTGAGATGGCATCTATGTTGTCCAAGCTAGTCTTGAACTCCTGGACTCAAACAATCCTCCCACCTCAACTTCCCGAGTAGCTGAGATTATAGGCATGTGCTGCTGCATGCAGCTTCTGTGTATTTTATTTTATTTTATTTTTTATTTTTTTGAGATGGATTCTCGCTCTCTCTCCCAGGCTAGAGTGCAGTGGTATGATCTTGGCTCACTACAACCTCTGCCTCCTAGGTTCAAGCGATTCTCCTGCCTCAGCCTTCTGAGTAGCTGGGATTACAGGTGTGCACCACCTCGCTCGGCTAATTTTTGTATTTTTAGTAGAGACAGGGTTTCACCATGTTGGTCAGGCTGGTCTCGAACTCCCGACCTCGTGATTCGCCCACCTCGGCCTCCCAAAGTGCTGGATTACAGGCGTGAACCACCGTGCCCAGTCGTTTCAGTGTTTATTTTATTTTATTTTGTTTTATTTTATGTATTTTTTTTTTTTTTGAGACAAGAGTCTCGCTCTGTCATTCCCAGGCTGGAGTGCAGTGGTGCGATCTCGGCTCACTGCCAGCTCTGCCTCCCGGGTTCACGCCATTCTCCTGCTTCAGCCTCCTGAGTAGCTTGGACTACAGGCGCCTGCCACCATGCCCGGCTAATTTTTTATATTTTTCTCCTGCCTCAGCCTCCCAAGTAGCTGGGATTACAGGCACCCGCCACCACGCCCAGCTGATTTTTTTGTATTTTTAGTAGAGACAGGGTTTCACCGTGTTAGCTCCAGGATGGTCTTGATTTCCTGACCTCATGATCTGCCCGCCTCAGCCTCCCAAAGTGCTGGGATCAGGCATGAGCCACCGCTCCTGGCGCAGTGTTTATTTTAAAAGCTGTTTCTGTAAAAGCTCAGTCAATATTAAAGTAAAGGGAAAGGGATTTTTGACCGCACTTGGATTTTAGGTTGGGAAGAGTAGAGATAAATTATAAAAAATACCAGAAATACTGCAACGTTTTCCTTGGATCTAGGCTTTTTATTAAGCGCAGAAAATGGATACATCTTTATGAAACTCAAAGCTTTTCTGCTAAAGGTCCCAACCCATCTCACTTCCATAGGTGTCCAGGTTACTCCTTTTCTCCTTCCCCAACAATGGTTTTACAGAATTCTAATGTTCACAGGCTTATAAACCCAAGGCAACTGTTATAGTTTTATTGTACAAAATGGCAATATCCTGCACTAGGAAAGAAGGAAATGGCTCACCGGCGGGAACTTAGGTCTAGACTTGGAACTATTGAGGAATGTAGTGGTGACAAGCCCTGCACACAGTTCAGCCAAAGCCTGTTTAAGCAGCTTTAGATATATAGAGAAAACAAAGAAGTCAATGAATATTAAAGTATGCAAAGAAATTAGGAAACCAAAATAGAAACAAATGTAGGCGTGTGCAAAAGTATAGTGCACTTTACCTTAGGTCAGGAAATAATGAAGCATGAAAATGCAGTATCTGCCAGCTGTGGCTGCTCATGCCTGTCGTCACAGCACTTTGAGAGGCCATGAAGGGAGGAATACTTGAGCCCAGGAGTTCAAGACCAGCCTGGGCAACATAGCGAGACCCTGTCTCTATAAAAAATAAAAAATTTGGCCCGGTGTGGTGGCTCACGCCTGTAAACCCAGCACTTTGGGAGGCCGAGGCGGGCAGATCACCTGAGGTGAGGAGTTTGAGACCAGCCTGACCAACATGGGGAAACCCCATCTCTACTAAAAATACAAAAATAAACCGGGTGTGGTGGTGCATGCCTGTAATTCCAGCTACTCAGGAGGCTAAGGCAGGAGAATCGCTTGAACACGGGAGGCGGCGGTTGCAGTGAGCCGACATCATGCCACTGCACTCCAGCCTTGGGGACAAGAGTGAAATTCCACCTCAAAAAATAAAAATAAATAATAAATAATTAGGCTGGGTGCAGTGGCTCACACCCCTAATCCCAGCACTTTGGGAGGCCGAGGCAGGTGCATCACCTGAGGTCAGGAGGTCAAGACCGGCATGGCCAACATGGTGAAACCTCATCTCTACTAAAAATACAAAAAGTTAGCTGGATGTGGTGGCACATGCCTGTAATCCCAGCTACTCAGGAGGCTGAGGCAGGAGAATTGCTTCAATCCGGGAGGTGGAGGTTGCAGTGAGCTGAGATCATGCCATTGCACTCCAGCCTTGGGGACAAGAGCAAAATTCCATCTCAAAAAAAAAAAAAAAAAATTAGGCCAGGCATGGTGGCTCATGCCTGTAATATCCTAACGCTTTGGGAGGCGAAGGAAGGTGATCACCTGAGGTCAAGAGTTCGAGACCAGCTTGGCCAACATGGGGAAACCCTGTCTCTACTAAAAATACACAAATTAGCCAGGTGTGGTGGCGGGAGCCTGTAATCCCAGCTACTCCGGGAGACTGAGGCAGGAGAATTGCTTGAACCCAGGAGTCAGAGGTTGCAGTGAGCTGAGATCATGCCACTGCACTCCAGTGAGACTCTGTCTCAAAAAAAAAAAAAAAAAGAAGAAAAGAAAATACAGTAGAGGCTGGGCGTGGTGGCTCACGCCTGTAATCCGAGCACTTTGGGAGGCCAAAGTGGGCAGATCACCTGAGGTCAGGAGTTCAAGACCAGCCTGACCAACACGGTGAAACCCCTCCTCTACTAAAATACAAAAAATTAGCAAGATGTGGTGGCAGGCACCTCCCAGCTACTCGGGAGGCTGAGGCAGGAGAATCGCTTGAACCCGGGAGGCAGAGGTTGCAATGAGCCGAGATCGCACCATTGCACTCCAGCCTGGGTGACAGAGTGAAACTCGGTCTCAAAAAAAAAGAAAATAAAAGAAAATACAGTTGAGTTGCATGCACTAAGCACCCATATCTTGGCTTTAATACAATTCTCCAATAAAAGGAACTAGGGCTCCTTGGAAAAATAAACTAAGTCTAGGACTAGAATAGGAAATATACAAGATGAACTTAGAGTGTCTTATAGTGCCTGAAAGTAAGGAAATGCTCAAACAGACAAACAAATAAAACAATGATTGGGAAATGTCAAAGCCACAGAAGAACCAACCGAAAGAGCTTCCCATGGCCAAAGCTAGAGCAATTTGAATAACAAAGTAGTATTGCGTTGTAAGCCAAAGTATAAAATAAATATCCAGGAGTCTATACTTATAGAAAAAGACTAAATAAATAAATGGGAAGAAAAGACAAATCTCCATGCAGAATAATTCCAAATCATTGATGTAGCTATTCCACCCTGAAGGAGGTTGATCATAACTCCATACTCCTGAAGTGTAGATTGCTCATAATGACTTCCTTCCAAAGAATATAGTATAGGCCAGGTGTGGTGGCTTACTCCTGTAATCCCAACACTTTGGGAGGCTGAGGCAGGAGCCCAGGAGTTCAAGACCAACCTGGGCAACATAGGGAGACCTCATCCCTACAAATAATTTAAAAATTAGCCAGGCATGGTGGGGCGAGCCTGTCGCCCCAGCTACTTGGGAGGCTGAGGTGGGAGGATCACCTGAGCCTTCGAGGTTGAAGCTACAGTGAGCCATGACTGAGTCACTGCACTCTAGCCTAAGTGACAGAGTGAGACCCTTTCTCAAAACACACACACACACACACACACACACACACACACACACACACACACACACACACACACACACGAATATAGTATGGAAAGGTGGGGGAAGAGTAACTACAGTGGAGAAACCTGGGAAACTACCCCAGCCAGTTGATCAAGGTCACCATCACCAATAATCAGTCATGTTGATCACATGTACCCCTTGATATGATGTGATGAGAATGGCACTTTGCCTCTGTGGTCTTCCCCCTAAAATCTCACAACCCAATCTGATTATGAGAAAAACATCAGACAAATCCCAATAGAGGGACATTCTACAAAATACTTGATCAGTACTCCTCAAAACTGTCAAGGTTATTAAAAAAACAAGGAAAGAGCCAGGCGCAGTGGCTCACAACTGTGATCCCAGCACTTTGAGAGGCTTAGGCGGGCAGATCACCTGAGGTCAGGAGTTCAAGACCAGCCTGGCCAACATGGTGAAACCCCCTCTCTACCAAAAATACAAAAAGTAGCCGGGTGTGATGGCACATGCCTGTAGTCCCAACTACTTGGGAAACTGAAGCAGGAGAATCCCTTGAACCTGGGAGGCAGAGGTTGCATTGAGCCCAGATGGCACCACTGCACTCCAGCCTGGGTGACAGAGTGAGACTCTGTCTCAAAAAAAAAAAAACAAGGAAAGAGCCAGACATGGTGGAACGCATCTTAGTCCCAGCTACTCAGAGGCTGAGGATCACTTGAGCCCAGGAATTTGAGACCAGCCTGGGCAACATAACGATACCTTCATCTGTACAAATAAAAATTCTTTTAAAAATTAACCAGGGCCGGTTACGGTGGCTCACACTTGTAATCCCAGCACTTTGGGAGGCCGAGGCAGGTGAACTCCTGAGGTCAGGAGTTCAAGACCATCCTGGGCAACATGGTGAAACCCTGTCTCACGTAAACAATTTGCCAGGCATGGTGTTGAATGCCTGTAATCCCAGCTACTCAGGAGACTGAGGTGGGAGGATGGCTTGCGCATAGGAGGTGGAGGTTGCAGTGAGTTGAGATCACGCTGCTGTACTCCAGCCTGGGTGATAAGAGCCAGACCTTGTCTCAAAAAAAATAAATAAAGTGATTGAGTTCAAGGAAAACTTAAACACAATTTAGGGTAGCAGGGTCATGACAAGTCTTAAGAATGGTAAATGTCCTAGAGCCATTTTCAGCAGTAGTTGCCCTATGGAACTGAGTGTGCCTCAGTCTCCCTTAATGCTCTGCTCCAGCCTCTGTGCTACAGTCTAAGTGTTTGTGTTCCAAACCCTGCACCTGTAGGCCCTCTTTAGATCTCCCGTTCTTTTCCAATTGTCCAGAGGACCTCTCCACCTGAACATTCCACAGGCACCACAAAATCAACTTGTCCCAGAGCAAACCAATGACCCTCTTTATTTCCTGTCTTGTTGAACTGTACCACCATCCACCTGCTTCAGTTGTGCCCAGCTTCATGCTTCAAGATGCTGCCCCCATAAGCATAAGAGAGCAGTGGGGTGTAATGAGCAGGCTTCCCAGGATTGCTTCCTTCGTGACCCTTATGAATCATTTATACCTTTTCCCATCTCAGGTCATCCATCATTGGCTCTCACTCATTCTTTTGTTCCTCCTTTTTTTTTTCTTTTTGAGATAGGGTCTCACTATGTTGTCCAGGCTGGAGTCCAGTGGCCTGATCATGAACCTGCTGGGTTCAGGTGATCCTCCCACCTCAACGTCCCAAGTAGCTAGGACTACAGGTGTGCACCACCACACCGGGCTAATTTTTGTATTTTTTGTAGAGACAGGGTCTCCCTATGTTGCCCGGGCTGGTCTCGAACTCCTAGCCTCAAGCGATTCTCCTGCCTTGTCTTCCCAAAGTGCTGGGATTACAGGTGTGAGCCACCACGCCCAGCCTGGTTCCTCTTCCACCTAGCCTCTCCACCCCAGTGGAGCTCCCTACTGCTGACCTCAAGTTCTCGACTTTGATAAATATCTCTTTCCTCTCTCCCGGCATCTCTTAGAACTAACAAATGGCAAACTCCTTGTTGGCATCACATCTCTGGGGCTTCCTGTGGTAGGCAGCCTGTAAGGTGACTTCTTGTGTAATCACCTCCCCTTGAGTGGGGATTGGACCTAGTGGCTCACTTCTAATGAATAAAATACAGCAAAAGGGATGGGATGTCACTTCCAAGATTTGGTTACAAAAGCCTGTGGCCTCTTTCTTGGACATATCTGTTGCTCTCTTCTTGGCTCACTCTGAGGGGAGCCAGCTGCCATGTTGTGAGCTGCTTTTTAGAGAGGCCTACGCAGAAAGGAACTGACATCTCTGGCCAGCAATCAGAGTGGACCTGAGGCCTGCCAACAGCCACGTGAGTGAACTTGGAAGCAGACCCCACCCCATCGGCCTAGTGATGATTGCAGCCTTGTGAGAGACCCTGAGCCAGGGGCAAACAGCTAAGCTGCACCCAGATTCCTAACCATAGAAACTAAGACAGTAATTGTTGTCTTAAGTCATTAAGTTTTGGGGTAATTTATCACATAACAATAGATAACTAATACCTCCTAAACCCTTGTACCACCTTCATGGGCAACTCAAACTAGTTGTAGTACAATGTTACACATGGATTTCCATATTATTACACAGGGCCATGGACCCGGGGCACACAGAAAGGAAGGGTGGCTCTCAAAATAGGCAGAGCCCTTTCCTCTCATTAATTCAAGCCAGTTTGAGAAGCCCTTTGTCAGACTGGCTAATCTAGGCTGGATAGTGTCCAGATAACTGCCCCTGAATCTTTCTCTCTTTTTTTTTTTTTTTTTTTTTGAGACAGAGTCTCACTCTGTTGCCCAGGCTGGAGTGCAATGGCACAGTCTTAGCTCACTGCAGCTTCCGCCTCCCCGGTTCAAGTGATTCTTCTGCCTCAGACTCCTGAGTAGCCGGGATTACAGGCACCTGCCATCATGTCCAGCTAATTTTTGTATTTTTGTAGAGATGGGGTTTCACCATGTTGGCCAGGGTGGTCTTGAACTCCTGACCTCAGGTGATCCACCTGCCTCGGCCTCCCAAAGTGCTGGGATTATAGGCATGAGCCACTGTGCCTGGCCACACCTGAATCTTTCTAAGGCAGCAAGCCAAGCTGTACAAGTCCAAGTCCAAATAAATACATAATTTCCTAACCTTTCCAGTTGTGTGATAGAGGCAGCCTCAGTAGTCTTCCTAGTCCTAAAGCAAACTGGGGAGACTTGGAGAGTGAGGTAGTTACAACCACCCTCCGTCCCTGACTTTGATATGCAAAGAGGATCCTCAGGGGTTACTTGCTGTAGAATGTGAGCTATCTGTGTCTAGGACCTGTGTCAAGGGTACAATCAGAGCACTGTGGCATCCCTGGGAGGGTAGGGGCAGGTGAACTGTGGCTCTTGCTATGAGGCTTGCTTGGGAATAATTTCGTTCCTTGCACCCACTTTCAGGAAGGAATATGATCAGCACCTCTGGAATGATATCTCTAGGCAAACTGCTTGACAGAATTGGGGGACACACGCTTCTGGCTTAGGGAAAGGCTGGAGGGACCCAGTGCGGTGGCTCACGCCTATAATCTCAGCACTTTGGGAGGCTAAAACGGGAGAATTGCTTGAGCCCAGGAATTCTAGACCATCCTGGGCATCACAGGGAGACCCCATCTCTACACAAAAAAATAAAAATTAGTTGAGTATGGTGGTGTGTACCTGTAGTCCCAGCTATTCCAGAGGCTGAGACAGGAGGATCCAGCTTGGGAGAGAGAGACCCTGTCTCAGAAAGATGGGAAAAAAAGGAAGGAAGGAAGGAGGGAGGGAAGGAAGAAGGGAGATCAACATGTGGTCTTTTTTTTTTTTTTTTTTTTGAGACAGGGTCTTACTTTGTCAGGTAGGCTAGAGTGCAGTGGCAGGATCACAGCTCCATTGCAGCTGCAACCTCCTGGGCTCTAGTGATCTTCCTGTCTCAGCCTCCCAAGTAGCTGGGACCACAGGCACTCGTCACCACACCCAGCTAATTTTTTTTTTCTTTGTAGAAACAGGGTCTCACTGTGTTGCCCAGTTTGGTCTTGAACTCCTGGGCTCAAGAGATCCTCCCATCTCAGGCCTCCCAGAGTGCTAGAATACAGGCGTGGGCCATCACACCCAGCCCAAAGATGAACTTTTCATCAGTGTTTATCCTAAAGGGGCTTTTAGTTCAATGTATATTCCTTGAACTTGGCCTCATAGTTCTGAATGTCAGTTGACTTCCCTGCCACCATGGGGTTGGATAGCTAGATGCCCCCCAAATCCACTCTCCCTTTCTTCCTGAGTAAGGAAGCAGTTATAGCAAGGCTGCATGTCCTGGGCAATCTTTGGGTAAGGTATGGCCAAGTACTAAGTCCTCATGATTGGCAAGAGAGCGGCAGTGAGACCAGGCCCTTAATTGAACGGCGTGTTCTCGTCAGGGTCTCTTCCCTGCTGCTGGAGCCTGAATAAGGCAACGATCCAGCCTCAACCAGGAAGATGAAGAAGAAAGAGCTACAAGAGGAAGAAACCTGACCCCTCAGTGACTTCAAGAGCAGAGCTGCCTGCCGACCTAGACGCTCATCTCAGTTGCTGTGTGAGACGGAAATCAGCGTTTGTTCTTTAAGCCACCGCATTCTGAAATTCTCTTTGAAACAGTAACTTATGGCTGGGTGCAGTGGCGCATGCTTGTAACCCCAGCACTTTGAGAGGCCGAGGCAGTAGGATCACTTGAGCCCAGGAGTTTCAGACCAGTTTGGGCAATGTGGCGAAACCTCTTCTCTAACAAAACAAAAACAAAACAAATAGCTGGGTGTGGTGGTGCATGCCTGTAGCCCCAGCTACTTGGGATGCTGAGGTGGGAGGATCACTTGAGCCGGGAAGTCAAGGCTGCAGTGAGCCATGATCGCACCATTGCACTCCAACCTGGGTGAAAGAGCCAGACCCTGTTTCTAAAATAAATAAGTAAATAAATAAATAAAAAAGGCAAGCCACGGACTGGAATAGAATATTTTTTAAAAAGAAAAAAAACCAGTAACTTAACAAACCCTCTCTCCCCAACAACTAATATGATTGCCTCTCCAGAAACAGAGACAATGTGTTGCCATGACCTGGGGGGGCCATCCTAAGAAACATCTTCAGCCAGGCTATGCTGACCCTAACAAAGGGAACCATGGTTCTAGATTGGAAACTCCTCAAGCCATTGGAGACACAAAGTAGTTCCTGGGCTTTGTACACTCTTCCCCTGGTAAAATTCCTGTCTTTCCCACACCACTCCCTTTGATTGACCTCCTGAAAAAGAGCATATGTTCAGCTTCAATGGTTGCAACCATTATTATTATTTTTTTTTTTTTTTAAATGGAGTCTCACCCTGTTGCCTGGGCTGAAGGGCCGTGGCCTGATCTGGGCTTGCTGCAAGCTCCGCCTCCTGGGTTCACGCCATTCTCCTGCCTCAGCCTCTCGAGTAGCTGGGACTACAATTGCCCGCCACCACGCCTGGCTAGTTGTGTTTTTTTTTTTTTTTTTTTTTTTTGTATTTTTTAGTAGAGATGGGGTTTCACCATGTTAGCCAGGATGGTCTCAATCTCCTGACCTCGTGATCTGCCCATCTCGGCCTCCCAAAGTGCTGGGATTACAGGTGTGAGCCACCGCGCCCCGCCAGCTGCAACCATTATTTGGGGGAAGTGCAAGACCATCTTCATCCCTGTATTGCTCTTCACATACCCTGGCCCAAGATTCATGCCAAAGACAGATGCTCCCAATCTTGGGGTGATGCTTCTTTGTCTCAGAACCTGAAAACACTAGGGCCCTAAAACTTTGTATTTTGACACTGGTGGAAGAGAACAAAAACCTATCTAGCATCCAAAAAAAAAAAAAGAAAAAAAGAGACACCTGCAGTAAGGCCACCTTCCAGGCCTGAAGGCATCCTGGCGGGGACCGAATACTCCATGACCACACAGTTGAATTACCGAAGGTGAAGCGCCTGTGGGTCTCTTTTTTTTTTTTTTTTATACTTTAAGTTTTAGGGTACATGTGCACAACGTGCTGGTTTGTTACATATGTATACATGTGCCATGTTGGTGTGCTGCACCCATTAACTCATCCTTTAGCGTTAGGTATATCTCCTAATGCTATCCCTCCCCCCTCCCCCACCTGTGGGTCTCTTGAGAGTTGAGATGTGGTAGGTACAGCAAGTTTGTTTTTCAGCACTTCAATTTCTTTTTCTTCTTCTTCTTTTTTTTTTTTGAATTTTGAGTTTGGGGTTTTGCTTTGTTGCCCAGGCTGGGGTGCAGTGGCACGATCTCAGCTCCCTGCAACCTCCACCTCTCAGGTTCAAGCAATTCTCGTGCCTCAGCCTCCTGAGTAGCTGGGATTACAGGCACTTACCACCATGCCTGGCTGATTTTTTGTATTTTAGTAGAGATGGGATTTCACCGTGTTGCCCAGGTTGGTCTTGCACTCCTGAGCTCAGGCAATCTGCCCGTCTCAGCCTCCCAAAGTGCTAGGATCAATTCCTTCCTTCCTTCCTTCCTTCCTTCCTTCCCCTTCCTTTCTTCCCTTCCTTCCTTCCCCTTCCTTCATTCCTTCCCCTTACTTCCTTCCTTTCCTTCCTTCCCCTTCCTTCCTTTCCTTCCTTCCTTTCCTTCCTTCCTTCCTTCCTACTTTCTTTCTTTCTTTCTTTCTTTTTTTCCTTCTTTCTTTCTTTCTTTCGTAGATGAGGTCTCGCTCCCTCATCCAGGCAGGAGCACAGTGGCACAATCTCGGCTCACTGTAACCTCTGCCTCCGAGGCTCAAATGATCCTCCCACCTCAGCCTCTCAAGAAGCTGGGACCACAGGTGCACGCCACCATGCCTGGCTAATTTTTTGTATTTTTCGGTAGAGACGGGGTTTCACCTCGTTGCCCAAGCTGGTCTCAAACTCCTGAGCTCAGGCAATCCACCTGCCTCAGCCTCCCCAAGTGCTAGGATTACAGGCATGAGCCACCGCGCCTGCCCTAGCACTTCAGTTTCAACCTATCCTTTGCCAGAGAGAAAGAACCCCCTCGTTAATGCCTTCCTTGGAATCCAGAGTACCCAGGAATTTCAAATGCCACCTGAAGAAACCCACAGCCAGGTAACCCCACCTTGACCTAGAAATAATTGCCCAGAACCAACAGTAACAATGCTCTAATCCCAAGAGTCCCATCACCCAGATAAAGCCCCAGAGAAAGGCCGGTACAGGGGTGGCTGCCTTCCCTTATAGCTGGTTGTTTGCCCTGCTGGGTTTTGTTTAGTTTTTGTTTTTGAGACAGGGTCTCACTACGTTGCCCAAGCTGGTCTCAAACTCCTGTGCTCAAGCAAGACTCCCATCTCAGCCTCCTGGGTAACTGGGATTACAGGCGCATGCCACCGAGGCCGATTGGCCTTCTGGGTGAGGCCAAGATTCCTGGCTCTCCCTGTGTCCCACACTTCTCCAGAAGCCCCCAGGGTCCTGCCAAGATGATCAGTACATTCCTTGGAATGTCTATTGGCCCTACCAACACTCAGTGTGAACCCAGATACATCACAGGCACTCGGATGTCAACATCCACCGTCATCTCTGGGCACCCTGGCAGACGGCTTGTGACATTATTTACCTCTATGATCCCCTATTTTGGGACCATGATTTATTTGTCCTTCCTTCTATTCAACAACATTTACTGAGAAATTGGTATGTGGTTAGGCACCGTTCTAGTATCTGAAACAACAGGGTGAATAAAAGTGAACCTGAAAGAGGCTACCCTTCAAGATGGATTCAATGGGCTAATGACATAAATTTCAAATAGAGCCAGGCTGGGTACAGTGGCTCACGCCTGTAATCCCAGCACTTTAGGAGGCCAAGGCGGGCAGATCATGAGGTCAAGAGATCGAGACCATTCTGACCAACATGGTGAAACCCCGTCTCTACTAAAATAACAAAAATTAGCTGAGTGTGGTGATGCTTGCCTGTAGTCCCAGCTACTCGAGAAGCTGAGGCAGGAGAATCACTTGAACCCAGGAGGGAGAGGTTGCAGTGAGCTGAGATCCCGCCACTGCACTCCAGCCTGATAACAAAGCAAGACTCTGTCTCAAAAAAAAAAAAAAAAAAAAAAAAAGAGCCAAGCAGCCATTTGCGGACTAGAGGTTACAAATGTACTCCGAGTTTCCAGAAAACCCCTACTTCTTTAACTTTGGGACTTTTGGAGCTCACCTGAACCAATCAATCAAAGCTCAACTGAACCAACCAATCAGGCCTCAGCTGTATCAACAAATCAAGGCTCAGCTGTGTTGACCAATCAACACTCAGCTGCATCACCCAATTGGAACTAAGCAAGTTTGAATCCTTCATTTGCATAAATGGACCTGATCAGGAAATGGGGCCCAAACTTTTGTTATAAAACCCAACTCCTCCCTTTGTTCTTTGGACCACACCTTCTTTTATAGTGAAGGCCGCATCTCTGAGGTTTGCAAACTGTCCACTGCAATACTCTTTTTTCCTCTAGATTCCTTTTCAGAGAACTTTTGTTCACAATAGCAATGAACAAAATCAACAAAATCTGTAGCTTTGGCCCTTATATTCTAGGGGTGGAGGGAGATGATAACTTTAAAAAGCAAATACAGACATTTATCTACATTATCTACAGAATACCTGACCAGTACTCCTCAAAAGTGTTAAATAAAGTTTAATAATTTTTTTAATTAAATATATATTAGGTGCTGATGAATGGCATCAAGAAAAAGCAGGAGTATCAGGCATGATGGCATTTGCATATGTTTCAGCTACTCAAGACACTGAGGTAGGAGGGTCACTTGAGCCCAGAAGGGTGAGGCCAGCCTGGTCAATATAATAGGATCATGTCTTTAAAAAAAAAAAAACAAAAACAAGTGCTATTTCTCGAACATAGTAAGGGTTTTGTCCTCCATGAGATAGCATGAGATCTCTCCTTGGTCTTATGACTTCTTTTTCTTTTCTTTTTTGAGACGGAATCTCACTCTGTCACCCAGACTGGACCAGTACAGTGGTGCAATCTCAGTTCACTGCAGTCTCCACCTCCCGGGTTCAAGTGATTCTCTTGCCTCAGCCTCCCGAATAGCTGGGACTACAGGCACGTGCCACCATGCCCAGCTAATTTTTTTGTATTTTTAGTAGAGACAGGGTTTCACCGTGTTACCCAGGATGATCTCAATCTCCTGACCTCGGGATCTGCCCGCCTCGGCCTCCCTAAGTGCTGGGATTACAGATGTGAGCCACCGTGCCCGGCCCCCTTTTTTTTTTGGAAATAGAGTCTTGCTCTGTTGCCCAGGGTGGAGTGCGGTGGCGTGATCTCGGCTCCTGCAGCCTCCGCCTCCCAGGTCCAAGCTATTCTCCTGCCTCAGCCTCCCAAGTAGCTGGGATTACAGGCACCTGCCACCACACCCGGCTAATTTTTGTATTTTTAGTAGAGATGGAGTTTCGTCATGTTGGCCAGGTTGGTCTCGAACCCCTGGCCTCAAGTGATCCACCCGCCTCGGCCTCCCAAAGTGCTGGGATTACAGGCATGAGCCACCGCGCCTGGACGGTCTCATAATTTCTAAATGGCATGTGTCTTTGCGGAGAGCCAGGGAAATTACTTGTTTCTTTTGTAAAGGAGCACAGTTTTTAGAGACAGACCTGGTCATTTGAATCTTGGCTTTACTACTGAAGAGATGTGTGATCTTCGGAAAATTGCCTGCCCTTTCTGAGCATCAGTTTCTTCATTGATTTCAGCCACTTTCAGTTTTGTTTGTTCATTTTGTTAAAAGAAAGACTTTAGACAAATTAAATTTAACAGAGTTTAATTGAGCAAAGAACGACTTGTGACTTGGTCAACCCCCAGAACAAGAAGAGGTACAGAGCAACTCCATGCTGCTGTGTGGTCAGAGAATTTATGGACAGAAAAAGAAAGTGACACACAGAAACAGCTGGATTGGTTACCCTGCAGCGTTTGCCTTATTTGAATAGGGTTCAAACATTTGGTTACCTTTGTTTGGCAAAACTTGGAGATTGGTACTGGAGTAGTTTGTAGCCTGTTTACACATCCCGTTAAGTTACAGTTTACCATGTGAAAAAGAAACCTTTAGGCAGAACTTAAAATATGTAGGAGGCAGCTTTAGGCTAAACTTAATTTACTGGGTTTTTTTGTTTGTTTGTTTTAAGCAGTGGAGCCATTTAAAAAAACAATATGGCTTGCAAAATCTTGATGTATAAATAGATAAAAAGGAACTCTCTTGGGTTAGGGGGAGCTTAGAGAGTAAAGGGCAAGACCAGCTAGGCCTCTTTACTCTCTTTTACTATCCTATTCTAAGCAGTCCCCAGAGGATCTCTATAATCTGGGAGCTTCGCAGGGCAGTGTTTGAAGACCACTGTTCTAGACCAAAGGAATTGGCACAGCTTCACCAGCCCCTGGTCTTGGTCCATCATGCTCCAGGTCCTCACCTGTCCTTAGGTGCCAAGGGCCATAAGACAACCACCTACTGTTTAAGCAACTGAGAGCCAAGAGAGAAAGACCTTCTGCACCTCACCTTGTCCTGTACCCTCGTTTTTATTTCCAATCTAAGGACTTACTGTTTCTTCAGTGATTGGCACCAAGCATAACCTCACTCCTCAGGTGATTGTGCCTCCCACGTGTTTTCTGTTTCCTTTGCAAGGCCCTAACTCTTGGCATTTGGGTAGCAGCGGTGTGAGACAGGCAATGTGACCAGCAGTGAGGTATTTGAGGAGCATCTGATGAACTTCATCCATCTGAATTTCCCTGCCCTACAACTGAAGTTGTTAATGCTGGGCACAGAATGGTGTAGGGCAGGTTCTTAACCATAAGGACCAGGAGGCAAAGAAAATCTAAAAGGTTTAACGGCACTCCATAAAAATGCATCAATCCAGATGAGTCGGTCAGAGAGGCAAAAACTTCTCATTAAGATTACAATCGGACAGGCGCGGTGGCTCACGCCTGTAATCCCAGCACTTTGGGAGGCCAAGGCAGGAGGATCACGAGGTCAGGAGTTCGAGACCAGCCTGGCCAACATGGTGAAACCAGTCTCTACTGAAAATACAAAAATTAGCCGGGCGTGGTGGTGGGCGCCTGTAATCCCAGCTACTCGGGAGGCTGAGGCAGGAGAATAGCTTGAAACCGGAGGGCAGAGGTTGCAGTGAGCCAAGATCATACCACTGCACTCCAGCTTGGGCAAAAGAGCAAAACTCCATCTCAAAAAAAAAAAAGATTACAACCATTGCCGGCATGGTGGCTCCTGCCTGTAATCCCAGCACTTTGGGAGGCCAAGACAGGCGGATCATGAGGTCAGGAGATTGAGACCGTCCTGGCTAACATGGTGAAACCGTCTCTACTAAAAATACAAAAAATTAGCCAGGCTTGGTGGCGGGCGCATGTAGTCCCAGCTACTTGGGAGGCTGAGGCTGGAGAATGGCGTGAACCCAGGAGGCGGAGCTTGCAGTGAGCCGAGATGGCGCCACTGCACTCCAGCCTGGGCGACAGAGCGAGACTCCGTCTCAAAGGAAAAAAAAAAGGGCTGGGAGCGGTGGCTCATGCCTGTAATCCAACAATTTGGGAGGCCGAGGCGGGCAGATCACCTGAGGTCGGGAGTTTGAGACCAGTCTGACCAACATGGAGAAACCCCCTCTCTACTAAAAATACAAAAAATTAGCTGGGCGTAGTGGCGCATGCCTATAATCCCAGCTACTCGGGAGGCTGAGGCAGGAGAATCGCTTGAACCTGGGAGGCGGAGGTTGCGGTGAGCCGAGATCACACCGTTGCACTCCAGCCTGGGCGACAAGAGTGAAACTCTGTCTGAAAAAAAGAAAAAAGAAACTTAATCCCCATTGTGGTAGTATTTTTTGTTTGTTTGTTTTTTTGAGACAGAGTCTCACTTCATCACCCAGGCTAGAGTGCAATGGCGCAATCTCAGCTCACTACAACCTCCACCTCCCAGGTTTAAGCAATTCTCCTGCCTCAGCTCCCCGAGTATCTGGGACCACAGGTGCGCGACACCACAGCTGGCTAATTTTTGTATTTTTAGTAGAGATGGCGTCTCGCCATGTTGGCCAGGCTGGTCCTGAACTCCTGACCTCAGGTGATCTGCTCACCTGGGCCTCCAAAAGTGTTGGGATTACATGTGTGAGCTACCATGCCCGGCCCCATGTGGCAGTATTAAGAGGTGGAGCCTGTTGGTAAGTAAGCCGGACTTTCATAAGACAGCAAACCTGCCAGCACCTTTACCTTGGGACCTCACAGCCTCCAGAACCCCACATAAGCTTCTACTGTTTACCCGGGTCTGTGGTATATTGTTATTGCCAGACAATGGCCTAAGACAAATGCTATAACCACTATTATTTTCTGAGCCCTTTTTCATGCATGGTCAAAGCAATTCCAAACTAGTATGTAACTATGTAACACACAAAGAGTGGATGCTTTAAACAATCTATTTTTTTAGTAGGATTCAGAAGCAAACTCTTTTTTTTTTTTTTTTTTTTTTTTTGAGAAGGACTCTTGCTCTATCGCCCAGGCTAGAGTGCAGTGGCCCAATCTTGGCTCACCGCAACCTCTGCCTCCCGGGTTCAAGCAATTCTCCTGCCTCAGCCTCCCGAGTAGGTGGGACTACAGGCGTGTGCCACCACACCCAGCTAATTTTGGTATTTTT
This sequence comes from Homo sapiens, assembly GCF_000001405.40. NCBI lineage: Eukaryota > Metazoa > Chordata > Mammalia > Primates > Hominidae > Homo > Homo sapiens. The sequence continues at coordinate 42,531,633 of NC_000002.12, forward strand.
AGTAGAGATGAGGTTTCACCATATTGGCCAGGCTGGTCTCAAACTCCTGACCTTGTGATCTGTCCACATCAGCCTCCCAAAGTGCTGGCATTACAGAAGTGAGCCACTGGGCCCGGCCAAAATCCAGCTTTTTGTTTTTTTTGAGACGGAGTCTCGCTCTGTCACCCAGGCTGGAGTGCAGTGGCACAATCTCGGCTCACTGCAAGCTCCGCCTCCTGGGTTCACGCCATTCTCCCGCCTCAGCCTCCCGAGTAGCTGGGACTACAGGTGCCTGCCACCACACCCAGCTAATTTTTTGTATTTTTAGTAGAGATGGTATTTCACTGTGTTAGCTAGGATGGTCTCGATCTCCTGACCTCATGATCTGCCCACCTCGGCCTCCCAAAGTGTTGGGATTATAGGTGTGAGCCACCACGCCCGACCAAAATCCAGCTTTTTAATGCTACAATTATGAGTATTAAACTTTCCCTGAGCTTAGCCATAATCCAATAGATAACGTTCCACTTATTTTTGTAAATTATTTTATTTCTTCCATGATGATTTAGAAGGACTATCTTCAAACAAGTACAAATATTTCGTACATAATATCTGGCCTAGGCCGTGTGCAGTGGCTCATACCTGTAATTGCAGCACTTTGAGAGGTTGAGATGGGTGGATCACTTGAGGTCAGTAGTTCAAGACTAGCCTGATCAACATGGTGAACCCCATCTCTACTAAAAACACAAAAATTAGCCAGGTGTCATGGCGGGTGACTGTAATCCCAACTACCTGGGAGGCTGAGGCAGGAGAAGCCCTTCTACCCGGAAGGCAGAGGTTGCAGTGAGCCAAGACTGCGCCTCTGCACTCCAGCCTGGGCGACACAGTGAGACGCCATCTCAAAAAACAAAAAAAGAAAAAAAGTATATCTGGCTGTTTTCTAACCAATTCAGTAATTTGTTGCACAATAAGCCACCTCACATCTTTCAGCAAGACATAAACTAAATTTGAATAGTAAAGACATTACACAATAAATTAGTACACAATTAAAATTTGGTTTAAATATTTCTTTGGGGGAGAGGACACCACACTTCTACTCAATGAAGAGAAACATTTTTACAATCCAGAGGTTTTTTTTTTTTTAAACACCTATTATGCATGAACTCATAGGGAATGGGTTCCAGCAGCTCGGGCTCCTTCCCATTGGTTCTCTCACAGTGTGCTTCTCTGGGTGGAGCTGGCTGGCACTTCAGTTGAACCCAGGCACCTTTCTCTTTGGCTTCTTTTTTTCCTGACCATTTTCCTTCACGCGCTTCAGGAAGCTCTCTCAGCTCAGAGAGTGCTTAATGTGCTCAATATGCACATTAATTCTCTTAGCAAGAACCTTGCCCTTGTTTGTTTACAGCAATGCCAACAGCATGCTGGGTGGCATTGCAGACTTCCACTTTTGCCATGGTAACACTTGTGGGGCATTCTTTTTTTTTTTTTTTTTTTTTGAGATGGAGTCTTGCTCTTGTCGCCCAGGCTGGAGTGCAATGGCTCACTGCAACCTCCACCTCCTGGGTTCAAGTGATTCTCCTCCCTCAGCCTCCTGAGTTGCTGGGATTACAGGTGCCTGCCACTGCGCCCGCCACCATGCCCGGCTAATTTTTCTATTTTTAGTAGAGATGGGGTTTTACCATGTTGGTCAGGCTAGTCTCGAACTCCTGACCTCAGGAGATCCGCCCGCCTTGGCCTCCCAAAGTGCTGGGATTACAGGTGTGAGCAACAGCGCCTGGCCAACTCCATGTTTTCTAAAAGGCCTAGAGAACACATTTTGGGTGCTCGTCATTTTGGCGAGTTACTGGAAGATGGCGGTTCCAGCCGAAAGGAAGATTCTGTTTCTTTTCCTTTCTTTCTTTCTTTTCTTTTCTTTTTTTTTTTTTTTAGGAAAATAAAGAAAAGGCCTGGCGCAGTGGCTCACGCCTGTAATCCCAGCACTTTGGGAGGCCGAGGTGGGCGGATCACGAGGTTAGGAGATCGAGACCATCCTGGCTAACACAGTGAAACCCCGTCTCTACTAAAAATACAAAAATTAGCAGGGCGTAGTGGCGGGCGCCTGTAGTCCCAGATACTCGGGAGGCTGAGGCAGGAGAATCGCTTGAACCCAAGAGGCCGAGGGTGCAGTGAGCTGAGATCGTGCCACTGCACTCCAGCCTGGGTGACAGAGCGAGACTCCGTCTCAAAAAAAAAAAAAAAAAAGGAAAATAAAGAAACGAAAGAATGGCTATTCCATAGACAGAGCAGCCGATTTTCTCTCTTTCTTTTTACTTTTTCTGTTGTGGCTACCAGACAAGTTTAAGTTGCATCTCGTTCACATTATTGGGCATGGTGGTTTAGACTCTGGGCCCTAGCGAGATCTCCTGAGGCTGGAAAATCAAGAAGGAGGGACTTTTTCTTAGAAAACCTGAAACCTTCCCTTTGGATGAGGCAGAGGTTAAAAACACCCACTCAGAAGCAGCTGAAATGGAGTCTCTCTAACCACTTTTCTTGGTGGAAGATCCTAACATGTTCGGTAGGATTCTGAAGGTAGGGAGCAGATTTGCATAGAGCAGGAATCTTCACTACAGCCTGCCTGGAACTGGCCCCATCACTGATTTCTCCAATACACTTCAGTGCCCACCCTAGGTTGTTTGATGGAAGATTAGCTTTAATTGTATAAAATGAGGCTGGGTGCCGTGGCTCAAGCCTATAATCCCAGCACTTGGGAGGCCGAGGTGGGTGGATCACCTGAGGTCAGGAGTTCAAGACCAGCCTGGCCAACACGGCAAAACCCCGTCTCTACTAAAAATACAAAAAATTAGCCAGGAGTGGTGGTGAGCACCTGTAGTTCCAGCTATTCGGGAGGCTGAGGGAGGAGAATCGCTTGAACCCGGGAGGCAGAGGTTGCAGTGAGCCAAGATCGAGCCACCGCACTCCAGCCTGGGCGATGAGTGAAACTCTAAAAAAAAGAAGAAAAAGAAAAAGAAAAATTGTATAAAATGGACAAACCCCAAAATAACACTGGCATAAACAACTCAGAACTTTATTTCTCTCCTAAGGAAAAAAATAGTTTTGAGGGAAATAAACTTCTGTCTTGTTTATTCTACTGTTATTTTGGACTTCATCTATTATATGCCACTGAACCTAACTATTAGCGTTGTGTGGATTCCTTTTTTTAGAAATGGGGTCTCACTGTGTTGCCTAGGCTGGTCTTGAATCCTGAGCTCAAGTGATCCGCTAGCCTTGGCCTCCCAAAGTGCTGGTTTTACTGGCGTGAGCCACTGCACCTGGCCTGTTGCATGGATTTCTAACAGCCTTCTTGGACCTGAGACAATGAATGAATGAAAGCAGACAAACAAGATTGAAGGAATCTAGATCCTGGATGACAATGGAGCTGTCATTGGCTTGTTATCTATTAGAATCCCATATTTCAAGCAGTAGAAAGGAGAAAGGGCAAGGAATAAGACCCAGTACAGGCTGGGCGCGGTGGCTCACGCCTGTAATCCCAGCACTTTGGGAGGCAGAGGCAGGTGAATCACCTGAGGTCAGGAGTTCGAGACCAGCCTGGCCAACATGGTAAAACCCCGTCTCTACTAAAAATACAAAAATTAGCCAGGCATGGTGGCACATGCCTGTAATCCCAGCTACTCGGGAGGCTGAGGCAGGAGGATCACTTGAACCTGGGAGGCGGAGATTGCAGTGAGCCAAGATGGTGCCATTGCACTCCAGCCTGGGCAACAGAGCAAGACTTTGTCAAAAAAAAAACAGACAAACTTTTTTTTTATTAAAAATTTTTTTGTGTGTGGAGATGGGATCTCACCATGTTGCACAGGCTGATCTTGAACTCTTGGCCTCCCAAAGTGTTGGAATCACAGGCCTGAGCCACTGCACCCAACTCCCTTCCTTCCTTTTAAGGAGACTACCCAGAAATACCATGTAATACTTCTACTTGCATTTCATTGGCTAGAAGTTGGTCAGATGGTATATCTAGCTTCTAGAGAGGGTGGGAAGTGCCTTTTAGCTAGTTAAATAGCTGCCTTAAATAAAATCAGGGTTATGTTGTTAAGAAGGAAGAGGAGAATGAATGTTGGAGTAAGCAACACATGCATAATAACCCTTGGGTAAGTGTTGACCTGTCACTCTGAAAGGATCCTGGGGGTGGTCCTACAGCTTCCAGCATGAGCTTGGAGATAAAAATGGAGCCACTGGCTGGGCACAGTGGCTCATGCCTGTAATCCTAGCACTTTGGGAGGTCAAGCCAGGAGGATCCCATGAGCCCAGGAGTTTGAGACCAGCCTGGGCATTATAGTGAGATCCCGTCTCTACAAAAATATTAAAAAATTACCCAGATGTGGTGAGGCAGATCTGTTGTCACAGCTACTCAGGAAGTTGAGGCAGGAAGATTGCTTGAGTCTGGGAGTTCGAGGCTGCAGTAAGCTATGTTCATGCCAGTGCCCTCCAGCCTGGGCAACAGTGAGACTCTCTCTCTCAAAAAAAAAAAAAGCCATAGAGCATTTACCCCACAACGGTCTCCCCCGGGCCATATGAAAATCGAGGGGTTAGGCTGGGCGCAGTTGCTCACACCTGTAATCCCAGCACTTTGGGAGGCTGAGATGGGTGGATCACCTGAGGTCGGGAGTTTGAGACCAGCCTGGCCAATATGAAGAAACCCCGTCTCTAATAAGAATACAAAAAATTAGCTGGGCCTGGTGGCACATGCCTGTAATTCTAGCTACTTGGGAGACTGAGGCAGGAGAATTGCTTGAACCTGGGAGGCGGAGGTTGCAGTGAGCTGAGATCTCGCCATTGCACTCCAGCCTGGGCAACAAGATCGAAACTCCATCTCAAAAATAAAGGAAAAAGAAAAAAAGAAAATGGAGGTGTTAGAGACCCTTTCCGAGGCAATCCTGCTTCAGTGATAATTGAGTGATTAGGAGTATATAGTGGAGGCTGGGCGTGGTGGCTCACGCCTGTAATCCCAGCACTTTGGGAGGCTGAGGCAGGCGGATCACGAGGTCAGGAGATGCAGGCCATCCTGGCTAACACGGTGAAACCCCGTCTCTACTAAAAATACAAAAAATTAGCCGGGCGTGGTAGCAGGCGCCTGTAGTCCCAGCTACTCAGGAGGCTGAGGCAGGAGAATGGCGTGAACCCGGGAGGCAGAGCTTGCAGTGAGCCAAGATTGTGCCACTGCACTCCAGCCTGGGCAACAGAGTGAGACCCCATCTCAAAAAAAAAAAAAAAAAAAGGGAGTATATAGTGGTCCCTCATGTCCCATGTTTGACCCCAACACAGGTATCCCGGATCACCTGGGTGTAAGGAAAAAAGGTTTTCTAAAAGGGAATACAGTGGATCCCAAAATCTCTGTAGAACACATCCAAGGTCTTCAATATATTGTAGCATGTGGCTAGAACATTGTCACAGTGATACAGCCTTAACCCTTAGTGTAAGCCCCAGGTTATGCCCATCCCTGTACAGCTGACCTCCTCCACATTCTACACCTGTTAGGACTCTGTAAACTCATCCCAGCATAGACACACCTCTGTCGTGTTCCTTCTAAAGATATTGGCCTGAATGTGGTCACTAAAAAACAACCAGTCAAGTCCAAGTTGGGGAACAAGCTACCTGAACTCTTTAAAAGTTATCAATGTTGGCCAGGTGCAGTGGCTCACACCTGTAATCCCAGCACTTTGGGAGGCCAAGGCGGGCAGATCACCTGAGGTCAGGGGTTCGAGACCAGCCTGGCCAAACATGGTAAAACTTCATCTCTACTAAAAATACAAAAATTAGCTGGGCATAGTGGTGGGTGCCTGTAATCCCCACTACTCGGGAGGCTGAGACAGGAGAATCGCTTGAACCCGGGAAGCGGAGGTTGCAGTGAGCTGAGATCAAGCCATTGCACTCCAGCCTGGAAGACAAGAGTGAAACTCCATCTCAAAAAAATAAATAAATAAACAAAATAAAATAAAATAGTATCAATGTTAAAGACAGGGAAGTGCTGGGAAATGGTTCTGGATTAGAAGAGGCTGAGGAGCTATGACAACGAAATGCATTGCGTAATCATTTATTGATCATAAATCAAAAAGAATATCACCTATCAGGGACATTATTCAGGAAATTGGAGCATTTTAATGGGGGCTATATGTTGGATGAAACTATGGAATGTTGAAATTCCTGGATGTGGTCATTCTTTTTAGAGTTTGTAGGAAAGTGTCTTTCTTCTTAGGAGATATATGTTGAGGTGATAGGGGGTGGAGTATCATGATATCTGTACCTGACTTCCGGGTAGTTCAGCAAATAACAATGATAATTTTGACAATAGGCCAGGCACAGTGGCTCATGCCTGTAATCCCAGCACTTTGGGTGGCCGAGGCAGGCAGATCACGAGGTCAGGAGATTGAGACCATCCTGGCTAACACGGTGAAACCCCGTCTCTACTAAAAAATACAAAAAATCAGACAGGTATGGTGGCGGGCACCTGTAGTCCCAGCTACTCAGGAGGCTGAGGCAGGAGAATGGCGTGAACCCGGGAGGTGGAGCTTGCAGTGAGCTGAGATCACGCCACTGGACTCCAGCCTGGGCGACACAGCGAGACTCTGTCTCGAAAAATAAATAAATAAAATAATTTTGACAATAATAAATGTGTAGATATCAATAAATGGAAAGATGAGCATATTGGCCAATCGGTAAGTATGGGTGATAGCTATATGGGTGTTCATTATCTTGTTCTTGTAACTTTTCTGTAGATTTGAGCTTTTTTAGGATAAAAAGTTTGGCAAAAATATGATAAATGTTAGGCCGGGTGCGGTGGCTCATGCCTGTAATCCCAGCACTTTGGGAGGCCAAGGCAAGCAGATCACCTGAGGTGAGGAGTTCGAGACCAGCCTGGCCAACATGGTGAAATGCCATCTCTACTAAAACTACAAAAATTAGCTGGGCGTGGTAGTGGGCACCTGTAACTCCTGCTACTCAGGAGGCTGATGCAGGAGACTCACTTGAACCTGGGAGATGGAGATTGCAGTGAGCCCAGATCGTGCCACTGCATTCCAGCCTGGGCGACAGAATATGATGACTCTTTCTAAAAAAAAAAAAAAAAAGAAAAAGAAAAGAAAAGAAAAAGAAAAAAATGTTTTTTTTGTTTTTTTTTGTTTTTTTTGAGACGGAGTCTCGCCTTGTCGCCCAGGTCGGACTGCGGACTGCAGTGGCGCAATCTCGGCTCACTGCAAGCTCCGCTTCCCGGGTTCACGCCATTCTCCTGCCTCAGCCTCCCGAGTAGCTGGGACTACAGGCGCCCGCCACCGTGCCCGGCTAATTTTTTGTATTTTTAGTAGAGACGGGGTTTCACCTTGTTAGCCAGGATGGTCTCGATCTCCTGACCTCATGATCCACCCGCCTCGGCCTCCCAAAGTGCTGGGATTACAGGCGTGAGCCACCGCTCCCGGCCTGAAAAAAATGTTATAAGTGTTTCAATGTATGAAGCTTTTTTCCCTCTCTGTGCCTAAAATTATTTCTTTAGGTTAGTTCCTTAGTTTGTCAGGAGTAGAATTACGGGGTAAAAGAATATTGTGTATTAGTCCATTCTCATACTGCTATAAGGACATACCCGAGACTGGATAATTTATAAAGGAAAGAGGTTTAATTGACTTACAGTTCCGCAGGGCTGGGGAGGCTTCAGGAAACTTACAGTCATGGAAGGGGAAAAAAACAAGTCCTTCTTCACAGGGCAGCAGGAGAGAGAAGAATGAGAGCTGAGCAAAGGGGGAAGCCCCTTATAAAATCATCAGATCTCGTGAGAACTTACTATCACGAGAATAGCATGGGGGAAACTGCCCCCACGATTAAATCACCTCCCACCAGGTCCCTCTCACCACATGCGGGGATTATGGGACCTACAATTCAAGATGAGATTTGGGTGGGGACACAGCAAAACCATTATCAATTGTAAAGCTTTTTTTTTTTTTTTTTTTTTTGAGACAGGGTCTTGCTTTGTCTCCCGGGCTAGAATGCAGTGGTGTGATCTCAGCTCACTGCAGCCTCAACTGCCTGGACTCAAGTGATCCTCCCACCTCAGCCTCCTGAGTAGCTGGGACTACAGTCATGTGCCACCATGCCCAGCTAATTTTTATAGAGACGAGGTCTCACTATGTTGCCCAGGCTGGTCTTGAACTCCTGGACTCAAGAGTTTCTGCCTCCTTGACCTCACAAGGTGCTAGGGTTATAGGCATGAGCCACCACTCCTGGATAGCATTTTAAAGCTCTTGATAAGCTACACTCTAAATTCCTTAAGGAAATGGCCTGTGGTTTCCTGAGAACATATCTCTCTTCCTGCTGTAGAATGGCTTCTTCTGCTCAGCTAGAAACTCCTCTGCCACCAGAAAGAAGCTGCACCTTCCTCCCTCTCTCTGGCTGGAAATTTTTAAATAACGGGGGAGGGATCTGATGGATCCAGTGCATCACAGGCCCTGTCCAATCACCAGGAGTTGAGTCAGGTGAAGGAGGTGGGGGCCCATTACAGCCAATAGTGGGCATTAACTTTGTAGATTTTTTTTTTTTTTTTTTTTGTAGACAGGGTCTCACTCTGTCACTCAGGGTGTGGTGCAATGGCAGGATCATAGCTCACTGCAGCCTCAAACTCTTAAGCTCAAGTGACTCTCCTGCCTTAGCCTCCTGAGTAGGTAGAACTACAGGCACATGCCACCACACCCAGCTAATTTAAAACATTTTTTGTAGAGATGGGGTCTTCTATGTTGCCCAAGCTGGTCTTGAACTCCTGGTCTCAAGCAATCCTCCTGCCTTGGCCTCCCAAAGAGTTGGGATTAGACATAAGCCACAATACCCAGGCTGTAAATACCCTTGACAGGGGAAAATGATCTGTCTATATTTTGAAAAAGTATTTTCCCTTTGTCATTAATATTCTTTCCCCAGCTGGGCACAGTAGCTCACACCTCTAATCCCAGGCCTTTGGAAGGCCGAGGCAGGAGGATCGCTTGAGGCCAGGCGTTCAAGACCAGCCTGGGCAACATAGTAAGACCTTGTCTCTACAAAAAATTTAAAAATTAGCCAGGCATGGTGGTGCATGCCTGTAGTCCTACCTACTTGGAAGGCTGAGGTAGAAGAATCACTTGATCCCAAGAGTTTGTGGTTGCAGTGAGCTGTGATCGTGCTATTGCACTCCAGCCTGGGTGGCAGAGCAAGACCCTGTCTCAAAAAAAAAAAAATTAAAAAAAAAAAGTTTTTTCCCAAATTGATAATTTGCCTTTTAATGTTAGCCATTCAGTAAACAATTCAATGCACGAATTTTGTACTACACATGGTCCCTGACTTATGATGGTTCAACTTAAGATTTTTCGACTTCATGATGGTACAAAAGCCATACACATTCAGTGGAAACCTTACTTCAAATTTTTTTTTTTTTTTTTGAGATGGAGTTTTGCTCTTGTTGCCCAGGCTGGAGTGCAGTGGTGCAATCTCAGCTCACCGCAACCTCCGCCTCCCAGGTTCAAGTGATTCTCCTGCCTCAGCCTTTCTAGTAGCTGGGATTACAGGCATGCACCACCATGCCCGGCTAATTTTGTATTTTTAGTAGAGATGGGGTTTCTCCGTGTTGGTCAGGCTGGTCTCGAACTCCCGACCTCAGGTGATCCACCCGCCTCGGCCTCCCAGAGTGCTGGGATTACAGGCGTGAGCCACTGCGCCCAGCCCAAATTTTGAATTTTGGTCTTTTCCCAGGCTTATTGTGATATTCTTTTGTGATGATGGGCAGTGGCAGGAAGCTGTAGCTCCTGGTCAGCCACACAATCATGAGGATACACAACCTGTAATGTACTCTACAGTGTACTGTTCTCAATACATTCCATGAGATAGTCATCACTTTATTATAAAACAGGCTTTGTGTCAGATGATTTTGCCCAACTGTAGACTACTATGTGTTCTGAGTGTGTTTAAGGTAGGCTAGGCTTAGCTGTGACACTGGGTAGATGAGGTGTATTAAGTGTGTTTTTGACTTACCATGGATTTACCCAGTGGTAACCCCATCATCAGTTGAGGGGCATCTGTAGAGTCCTGTGCCATTCAGTAACCTTGTTTCAGTCACAGTAGCAATTGATTAGGTTATAGCTGTCAGTATATCCCTTCCAGTCCTAAGGATATGCTCCAGCCTCTTGCTGGGATTTAGGTTATTTCCCAAGTCTTCTCAGTAATACCTATTCAAACCACTTCTTCCCTTCAGTCTCTTGTCCAGATGGCTACTGTCAATTAGAGAGGGCTCTGTGGCTGTGAACAATGGAAGCCTGCTCAGGCCAGGAATACTGAACCCATGGGCCCAAAAACCAGCCTCAGGAGGGATTGAAATCTAGAACTAGAGGGTTGTGAGGAGCCAAGGCAGCAGTTTTCTGGGCTTTTCAGTGTGTGTGCTGTCTCCTTTCTGGAACTACACTGATAATCCCTGCTTTATTCTGCTTTCTTTGCAAATGGGTTTGCTCTATGCCTAGATCAAGTATAGACTCACAAGTCTCCACTCCATTCCCAGACTCTTGAGTAACTGACCCATAGGAGTCAGGGGTCTTCCCGTACGCCAGTCAGCTAGGGACAGGGGAGCGGGGTCCCAAATAATACACATGGCCCTGAGCCCATCTCTGCGAAGGGGATGGGAATGTGGGTGAGTTATCAGACAATGCAAGTCGTGGGCTTTCTGTTACGTTATAATCCTATGGAGAACTTCTTGTTATAGATACCCATATGTGAAGAAAAGACTGGTACTGAATACCAAGGATATATTAGTCAGGGTTCTTTAGAGGGACAGAACCAATGGAATATATATATTCAATCAAGTTGACACTCAATATTAACCGTCACACGTACACCCCTTGTTAGCTTAAACCCTTACACATCTCCTGAAATCATACATAATCTTTTATTTTATTTATTTATTTATTTATTTTGAGACGGAGTCTCACTCTGTTGCCCAGGCAAGAGTGTAGTGGCATGACCTTAGCTCACTGCAACCTCCACCTCCCGGGTTCAAGCAATCCTCCCACCTCAGCCTCCTGAGTAGCTGGGATTACAGGTGCCTGCCACCTCACCCAGCTAATTTTTTTTTTGTATTTTTAGTAGAGACAGGGCTTCACCATGTTGGCCAGGCTGGTCTCAAACACCTGACCTTAAGTGACCTGTCCACCTCAGCCTCCCAAAGTGCTGGGATTACAGGCGTGACCCACTGCACCCAGCCCATAATCTTCAAATAAAGACAATAATAAGGTCATATTTACGCCTAACATAATACAACTATCCTTCATACAACCAGAAACACATCAATCCCCAACCCAAACTATTAAGTCTCCCCGAGGAGTTTGGGGCTGGGGTTTTTAAGAGTTTTGGGGTAGGCAAGAAGTGTGGAGAGTGTTGATTGGTCCAAGAGCTCAGGACAAATTCTTAGGACAGGGAGATGAAGAAACTGTATTCTCATGCTGATTCCATTTCTCTGTGGGAGTCTTTAAACTGGGTGGCATCAACTGTTTGCTGGAATTCAGGATCTGAAAAACATCTTAAACAATTTTTTTTGTTTTTTGAGACAGAGTCTCCCTCTGTCGCCCAGGCTGGAGAGCAGTGGCGCAATCTCAGCTCACTGCAAACTCTGCCTCCCTGGTTCAAGCGATTCTCCTGCTTCAGCCTCCTGAGTAGCTGGGATTACAGGTGCACACCACCATGCCCAGCTAATTTTTGTATTTTTAGTAGAGGTGGGGTTTCACTATGTTGGTCAGGCTGGTCTCGAACTCCTGACCTCGTGATCCACCTACCTCGGCCTCCCAAAGTGGTGGGTTTACAGGCGTGAGCCACTGCTCCCAGCCAACAGTTCTTTTTATGTTTGTTTGTTTGAGACGGGGTCTCACTGTGTCACCCAGGCTGGAGAGCAGTGGCAATTATAGCTCATTGCAACAGCCTGGAACTCCTGGACTCAAGCAATCCTCCCACCTCATCCTCCCAAGGGACTGGGACTATACTCACTTGGGAGGTTACTGATTTTTTTTTTTTTTTTTTTGTACAGACAGGGTCTTACTCTGTTGCCCAGGCTGGTTTCAAACATCTGGCCTCAAGCAGTCCTCCCTCCTTGGCCTCCTAAAGTGCTGGGATTACAGGCATGAGCCGCTATGCCTGGTCTTTAAGCAACATTTTAAAAAATTATGTATCTAACATATACATACATTAAAAAATATATATATATATTTTGTTCATTTGTTTTTAATTAGAGACAGGGGTCTCACTATATTGCCTAGGCTTGTCTCAAACTCTTGGGCTCAAGTGGTCCTCCTGTTAGAGAAACAGGAAGATAGCCGAGCCAAGGTGACACCATTTTAAAATCAACTCCATCTTTAAACTAGAAAGACACATTCCTTGCCAGTCCTCCCCATGGTCATAAGATGTTTATGACTAAGGAAGCAGTTTAGTTCGCCTGCAAGGACAAACTCCTATGACAGCAGAATGTCCAGATGTCTCCTGCTATCACATAACAGTATATGCTTCTAAGATAGTTACAGTCTGGCCTGGCACGGTGGCTCACGCCTGTAATCCCAGCAGTTTGGGAGGCCAAAGCAGGCAGATCACAAGGTCAGGAGTTTGAGACCAGCCTGACCAACACAGTGAAACCTCGTCTCTACTAAAAATACAAAAATTAGCTAGGCATGGTGGCACGTGCCTATAGTCCCAGCTACTCAGGAGGCTGAGGCAGGAGAATCGCTCGAACCCAGGAGGCAGAGGTTGTGGTGAGCCAAGATTGCGCCACTGTACTCTGTTGCCAGCTTGGGCAACAGAGCAAGACTCCATCTCAAAAAAAAACAAAAACAAAAACAAAAAAAAAAACATAGTTATAGTCATGCTTTGATGTACTTAGGCACTAAAATACCAAAAATAACTTTTTTTTTTTTTTTCTTTGAGACAGGATCTTGCTCTGTCACTCAGAGCAAGTGTTGGCCAGGCTGGTCTCAAACTCCTGACCTCAGGTGATTGCCACCTCGGCCTCCCAAAGTGCTGGGATTACAGTCGTGAGCCACTTTGCCCAGCATTTTTTTAAAAAAAACAGTGATATTCCTTGCTACTTTAAGCAATTATTAAACAAAACCTTATGATTCTGACATCAGAAATTCTATCTATAGGAAGAATGAGGAGGATGCAAATGGTCAGTATCTCGTGCTATATGGCTTTCAGTTACAAGGAAGTGGGTCAAGTACAGCCTGATTAATGCTTAATTTTAACTATATTTCTGTCTAGAATTTTTGTTAACCCTGTAAGGACAACTTCACAGCTGGCATTTTGACAACCAGCTAATATCTGACCTTAAACAGCCCATTCTTTGAACAACATAATTGTTTGTTTAGGACTCACAAAGTTTAGTGGCCTCCAGCATTCCAAGTCCAGGTGATGAGAGCTGCAGAAAACAGCTCAGTCATGAGACCATTAAGATTTTGAATCCCAACCAGGCGTGGTTGCTCATGCTTGTAATCTCAGCACTTTGGGAGGCCAAGGCAGGAGGATCACTTGAGCCCAGGAGTTTGAGGCCAGCCTGGGCAACATAGTGAGACCCTGTCTCTACCAAAAGTACAAAAATTAGCTGGGTATGGTGGCACACGCCTGTACTCGCAGCTACTTGGGAGGCTGGGGTGAGAGGATCACTTGAGCCTGGGAGGCTGAGGCTGCAGTGAGCCGTGATCATACCACTGCATTCCAGCCTGAGCGACAGAGAGAAACCTTGTCTCAAAAATAAAATTAGAAGAAGAAAAAAAAAGGAACCTAAGAAAACACAAGGCATTGTCAGTAACTCGGGAGAGAAATGCTCTAGGTAAGAACTAGGGCAAGGAAGGCTATGTTTGAGGGATGGAAGGGAGAGTGGGAGGTTCCCAGATAGAATCAATGAGTTGGAGTTAAAAATGTGTGAGTGTTTCGGGGGTGGGACAGCAGAGGAATCTGGTTTCTTATGTGTAAAATAAGGGTATAAGGCCTACCTCATTAGATAAAATGTGTAAAGCTTCTAGTTTAGTGCCTGGCACATGGCAGGTTTTCAAGAGGGTTTAAAGTTGACACATCGTTTTCAATAGATTGCATGATGTGTACCTTAAAGAAGCTTGGGATACAAAAGCAGATAGCTTACATACATGGATGGACATTGAGGCTCATGGATTTCAGACTGAGGTTCAGGTTAAGATTCCTGATTAAGCCCTGACCTGAGATCTCCATACTTCCTACTGTGCCACGCTGCAGTTGGAAGGCCTTCAGACTGGAAATTCTGGTTATTGAAATTCTCTTAAGATGGGTATCTGGAACGTGCCTTCCCAGAAAGATTTCAAGAAATGAAAGACAGGCTCCGCGTTAACACTAATCGCAATGATAATGGTACTATTTAAAAGCAGCTTCCCTAAGCCACTCCTGAAAGGGCAATTGGCTGATCCGGGAATTCACTCTTTAGATAACCTGGTAGGGAAGGGAAGGAGGGAGGGAGGACCTTAGATTTTTAATAAGAAACCATTAACTTCAGCTAACAGCAATAACAATGGAGGCGCCTGGTGACTGCTGGCACTTAAAATATAAATGGAAAACACAGGGCACCTCGGATTTCTCCATTGTTACATGCTAATGAAGTGGCTCCACTCAAACAAAGGCCCCAGGAGAAATTAGTGGAGGGTGTGGCCTGGCCCCACACTGAGGAAGAAGCCTGTGTAGGATGCTGGCAATCTCGGTTCCAGAATTAGGATGTCCTTGTCTGCTCTACTTGGTTTTCTGACCCTGAGTGTCCCTGGACCTGTTTCTTTCAGTAAAATGTGTATAATCAAATCCAGGGGTGGTCATCCCCTGCCATCTAACCTGGCAACTTTGGTCATCCTTTTTCTAATCAAACCAAAAAGAACTGAAAAAAATTACTTGCAGTTTCCTATGTGCACTCCATCTAGAGGCATTTCTAGTTGGTCACTTTTTTCTAGTCAAACTAGAGGCGTTTCTAGGTTGGTCATTCCTAGTTGGTCATCTTTTTTCCTGGTCAAACAAAAAAGAACTGAAAAAAATTACTTAGAGTTTCCTACATGCACTCTATTTAGAGGCATTTCCTGGTTTTATTCCTTACGCATGTTGCAAGACTGCACCCAGCATCCGTGTTCATATAATCTGTGGCGGTAACAGAAGGGGTCTCTATTCTCAATGTCTCACATTTTGGTAGGAAATAGGACATGTGGGCAGACAGGAGGATGAATGTGATCAGGGTGGGACATGCAGGCAAATAACGATACAATGTGGCAGAATGAGACACTTGTCACAGGGATCTTATTGCTAGAGCTTTACAGAGGTGGTAAGAAACTGCGTAGGGAGCTAGCAGGGGCTAATCTGCCAGGCTTCACGAGGATGTGGACTTTAAACTGCAGAGGTTCCCCCCACTACTCTCTGATGACTACAGTCTATGGAGGAACTTTATAAAATACAGATTCCCTGGCCCCTCCCCCAGAGACAGATTTTGTAGGTCTAGGGTGGAGTCTGGAAGTCTACTGATAAAAATCTCAGCTGAATTAAATGAACAATTCGCCAATCGGGCAGCCGGCAGAATCACAGCAGATTCAGAGACTCCAGCCACGTGGTGTAAGATTTACAGACAAAAAAAGGAAGTGATGAACAGAAATAGGACGTGAGGTACAGAACAGCTGGCTTGGTTACAGCTCTGCGTTTGCCTTATTATTATTTCTGAGACTGAATCTTGCTCTGTCGCCCAGGCCGGAGTGCAGTGGCGCAATCTCTGCTCACTGCAACCTCCACCTCCTGGGTTCAAGCGATTCTCGTGCCTCAGCCTCGTAAGTAGTAGCTGGGATTACAGGCACGCGCCAACGCGCCCGGCTAATTTTTGTATTTTTAGTAGAGTCAGGGTTTCACCATGTTGGCCAGGCTAGTCTTGAACTCCTGACCTCAAGTGATCCGCCCGCCAAGGCCTCTCAAAGCGCTGGGATTACAGGCGTCAACCCCCGCGCCTGGAGGCATTTGTCTTATTTGAACACTCAGCAGTTGAAGTATGGCTTCTGGGACTGGCCAAGACTTAGCTATTGTTACAGGCGCATACTCCTAAATTAGGTTTTCAATCTTGTCTATTAAGCTAGGTTGCAGTTCGTCCACGAGGACTCAAATAAAGAAGTACAGAGTCTTTCTAAGGCCATATTTAGTTCGCTTTAACGCGACTAAGAAAAATAAGATAAACTGCCCTGTGGTCCTGACTTAGCTATTGTTACAGGTGCATACTCCTAAATTAGGTTTTCAATCTTGTCTATCTATTAAGCTAGGTTGCAGTTCGTCCACGAGGACTCAAATAAAGAAGTACGGAGTCCTTCTAAGGCCATATTTAGTTAGCTTTAAAGCTACTATGAAAAATAAGATAAGCTGCCCTGTGGTCCTGATGGTCAGCCCAGTTTGGAGGCCACCCATACAGTAGAGAGGCAACCCCAAATAACCCGTGACATTACAATCATCCCCTCTTATCCGTGGTTTTGTTTTCTGAGGTTTTAGTTAACCTGAGGTCTAAAAATATTAAAGGGGGCCGGGCGCGCTGGCTCATGCCTGGAATCCCAGCACTTTGGGAGGCTGAGAGGGGCAGATTGCTTGAGGTCAGGAATTCGAGACCAGCCAGGCCAACATGGCAAAACCCTGTCTCTACAAAAAATACAAAAAATTAGCGGAGCTTGGTGGTACTCACCTGCGATCCCAGCTACTCAGGAGGCTGAGGCACAAGAATTGCTTGAGCCTGGGAGGCAGAGGTTGCAGTGAGCCGAAATTGCTCCACTGCACCCCAGCCTGGGCAGCAAAGCAAGACTCCGTCTCAAAATATACGTATATACATAAAATTAAAATGCAAATATTAAATGGGCTGGGCATGGTGGCTCACGCCTGTAATTCCAGCACTTTGGAAGGCTGAGGCGAGAGGATTGCTTGAGCCCGGGAGTTCAAGACCAGCCTGGGCAACATGGCAAAAACGCCATCTCTACAGAAAACTCTATCTCCACAAAAATTAAGCCAGGTGTGGTGGCACACACCTGGGGTTCCAGCTACCCAGGAGGCTGAGATGGGAGGATCACCTGAGCTGGGGAGGTTGAGGCTGCAGTGAGCTGTGATTGCCCCATGGCACTGCAGCCTGGGTGACAGAGTGAGACCCTGTCTCAAAAAAAAATATATATATATATATATAATATATATATATATATAATATATATATATAATATATATATATATATAATATATATATATATATCAGCGGGCACGGTGGCTCACGCCTGTAATCCCAGCACTTTGGGAGGCTGAGGCAGGCAGATCACCTGAGGTCAGGAGATCAAGACCAGCGTGACCAACATGGAGAAACCCCATTTCTACTAAAAATACAAAATTAGCTGGGCGTGGTCGTGCATGCCTGTAATCCCAGCTACTCGGAGGCTGAGACAGGAGAATTGCTTGAACCTGGGAGGCGGAGCTTGCAGTGAGCCGAGATCGTGCCATTGCACTCCAGCCTGGGCAACAAGAGCAAAACTCCATCTTAAAATATATATATAATATATATATGTATATAATATATTATATTTGTATATATTATATATGTATACGTATATAATATATTATATATTATATACGTGTACGTATATATGTAATATATAATGTATATGTACACGTATATAATATATAATATATTATATACGTATACGTATACATTATATATTACATATATACGTATATACGTATATAAAATATATGTATATATTATATATACGTATATAATATATATTATATAATATATAATATATACGTATACATATAATATATTATATATACATATTATATATTATATATTTAAATTATATATTATATCATATATAATATATATGATATAATATATAATATACATATATTACATAATATATATTATATACATATACATATATAATATATAATATATTATATACATATACATATATAATATATAATATATTATATACATATACATATATAATATATAATATATTATATACATATACATATATAATATATAATATATTATATATACATATTATATATTATATATTTAAATTATATATTATATATGTATATAATGGAAAATTCCAGAAACAAATAATTCAGAAGTTTTAAATTGTGTGTAGCTCTGAGTAACATGAAATCTTGGGCCACCCAACTCCGTCCCACTGTAAGATGAAATCCTGTGCCACCCAACTCCGTCCCACCTGGCACATGCATCCTCCCTTCCTCCAGTGTATCCAGGCTGTACCTGCTCATTAGTCACTTAGTAGCCTTCTTGCTGATCAGATTGATTGTTGCTGTATCACAGCACTTGTGTTCAAGGAACACTTATTTTACCTAATATTGGCTCCAAAGCACAAGAATAATGGTGCTGGCAATTCAGATATGCCAAAGAGCAGCCATAAAGTATTTCCTTTAAGTGAAAAGGTGAAAGTTCTCAGCTTACTAAGGAAAGAAAAAAACTGCAAGCTGAGGTTGCTAAGATCTACCATAAGAACAAATCTTATAGCTATGAAATTGTTAAGAAGGAAAAATAAATTCATGCTGGTTTTGCTGTCACACCTCAACCTGCAAAAATTATGGCCACAGTGCATGATAATTGCTTAGTTAAGATGGAAAAAGCATTAAATTTGTGGGTGGAAGACATTAACAGAAATGTGTTCTGACTGCTAGCAATCAAGTTCAGTACTATCCTTGGTTTCAGCATCCACTGGGGGTCTTGGAAAGCATCTCCGAAGATAAGGTGGGATTACTGTACAATACAGTAGTGTAATGGAGGTGTTAGTGCTCTGGGGAGGAGGTTTTGTATATGCTGAGGGGTTCACCCAATGGAGCAGCAGAAGGAAGGAGGTCAGGTTGTGGAAATGTGGGTGCAAGGCTTAGGCCAAGGAAAGCTCACGTCCTGCTCAAGGAGCTAAGGGTGGCTCAGATTTGGCAGAGTACATGGGGAGAAAGGCGCTGGGACAAGAGACTGGGAAGGGGAACTGGGGGACAGATTGTAAAGGGCTATCCTTGAATATTGTGCTAAGGAATGTGGACTTGATGGTGGAAGTACTGGTGGAGCAATGAAGATATTAAAATTCATGATAGAGGGCCAGGCACAGTGGCTCATGCCTGTAATCCCAGCACTTTGGGAGGCCAAGGTGGGTGGATCAACTGAGGTCAGGAGTTCAAGACCAGCCTGGCCAACATGGCGAAACCCCATCTCTACTAAAAATACAAAAATTAGCCGGGCATGGTGGTGCACACCTGTAGTCCCAGCTACCCCAACTACTTGAGAGGCTGAGACAGGAGAATAGCTTGAATCCAGGAGGGGAGGTTGCAGTGAGCAGAGATCGCACCATTGCACGCCAGCCTGGGTGACAGAACCAGACTCTGACTAAATAAATAAATAAATAAATAAATAAATAAATAAATAAATTAAAATTTATGATAGAATAGTAGATGAAGAAGACTTTCTCTCCAAAACAGCTTTGAGCTCGGGTCATTCATTTGATCAGTGAATATTTCTTTTTTTTTTTTGTTTGTTTGTTTGTTTTTTGAGACGAAGTCTTGCTCTGTCGCCCAGGCTGTAGTGCACTGGTGCAATCTTGGCTCACTGCAACCTCTGTCTTCTAGGTTCAAACAATTCTCCTGTTTCAGCCTCCCGAATAGCTGGGATTACAGATGCACACCACCATGCCTGGCTAAGTTTTATATTTTTAGTAGAAATGGGGTTTCACCACGTTGGCCACCCTGTTCTCGAACTCCTGACCTGAGGTAAACCACCTGCCTCAGCCTCCCAAAGTGCTGGGATTACAGGCCTGAGTCACCACGCTGGCTTTATTTCTCAAGTATCTTCTATCTGCCAGGTGTGCCCTTGAGGAGACTGCAGTACATAAAACAGACAGACATGCCTCTTCTCAAAGAGCTTACATTTTAGTGGGAAAAACATATTGTAAGTACAATATATGGTATGTCAGGTGTGTTATGGAGAGGAATAAAGCGGGAGAGAGTGACACAGAGTGCTGGGGAGTTGAGCAGATATTACAATGTTAAATAGGATGGGAAGGGAAGACTGCACTGAGGAGGTAATTTTTTTTTTCTTTTTGAGATGGAGTTTCGCTCTGGAGTGCAGTGGTGCGATCTCGGCTCACTGCAACCTCCGCCTCCTGGGTTGAAGCAATTCTCTGCCTCAGTCTCCAGAGTAGCTGGGATTACAGGCACCCGCCACCACGCCTGGCTAATTTTTTGTATTTTTAGTAGAGACGGGGTTTCACCATGTTGGCCAAGATGGTCTCGATCTCTTGACCTCTTGATCCACCCACCTCGGCCTCCCAAAGTGCTGGGATTACAAGTGTGAGCCACCGTGCCTGGCCTGTTTGTTTTTTAATAGAGATGAGGTCTCCCTATATTGCCCAGGCTGGTATCAAATTCCTGGGCTCAAGCAGTCCTCCCACCTCTGCCTCCCAAAGTGGGAGATGTATTTGAGCTGTCAAGCCGGTGAGGGAAGTTTGGGGTGAAGCAGAATTGCAAAGGCCCTGAGACTGGTGTGTGCCTGGCATGTCTAGGGAATAATCAGACCAGTGTGGCTGAGCAGCAGTGAGCTGGTAAAGAGATA
This sequence comes from Homo sapiens, assembly GCF_000001405.40. Classification (NCBI taxonomy): domain Eukaryota; kingdom Metazoa; phylum Chordata; class Mammalia; order Primates; family Hominidae; genus Homo; species Homo sapiens. The sequence continues at coordinate 42,552,268 of NC_000002.12, forward strand.
AAGGCCACAGCCGAGAAGTAAGGGGAGAGGTATGAATCAGATGGGATTTGGTTATTCCTTCCTGCCCTTTCTTAGATAAATTAATGAATAATACAAGTGAATCTGAGCTCATCAGCAAATTTAGAGCAGACTATGAAGATGCTTGTCTTAAAACTTTCTCTCACTTGGACTATTGAAAAGGCTTTTTAAAACTAGACTCCTAGCCCCAGGGGGTGGTGGCTAAAGCCTGTAAGTAATCCCAACACTTTGGGAAGTGAGGTGAGAGGATCCCTTGAGCCCAGGAGTTTGAGGCTGCAATAAACGCCCAGATGGCACCACTGCACTACCACCTGGGTGATGGAAGAGACTCCTTGTCCAAAAAAAAAAAAAAAAGAAGAAGAAGAAGAAAAAGAAAAAAGAAAGGGCCAGGCGTGGTGGCTCATGCCTGTAATTCCAGCATTTTGTGAGGCCGAGGTGGGCGGATCATGAGGTCAAGAGATAGAGGCCATCCTGGCCAACATGGTGAAGCCCCGTCTCTACTAAAAATACAAAAATTAGCCAGGTGTGGCGGCACATGCCTGTAGTCCCAGCTACTCGGGAGGCTGAGGCAGGAGAATTGCTTGAACCCAGGAGGTGGAAGCTGCATTGAGCCGAGATCGCGCCACTCCCCTCCAGCCTGGGCGACACCGCAAGACTCCATCTCAAAAAATTAAAAAAAAAAAAAAAATCAAAGAAAGTTCTACTCCGAGGCTGAGTATGATGGCTCACACCTATAATCCCAGCACTTTGGAAGGCCGAGGCAAGAGGATTGCTTGAGGCCAGGAGTTTGAGATCAGCCTGGGCAACATAGGGAGACCCTGTCTCTACAAAAAAATTTTTAAAAAATTAGGCTGGGTGGGCCGGGCGCAGTGGCTCAAGCCTGTAATCCCAGCACTTTGGGAGGCCAAGGTGGGCAGATCACGAGGTCAGGAGATCGAGACAATCCTGGCTAACGCGGTGAAACCCGTCTCCACTAAAAATACAAAAAATTCGCCGGGCATGGTGGCGGGTGCCTGTAGTCCCAGCTACTCTGGAGGCTGAGGCAGGAGAATGGCGTGAACCCTGGAAGCGGAGCTTGCAGTGAGCCGAGATTGCGCCACTGCACTCCAGCCTGGGCGAGAGAGCGAGACTCCATCTCAAAAAAAAAAAAAAATTAGGCTGGGTGTTGGGCCAGACACGGTGGCTCATACCTGTAATCCTAGCACTTTGGGAGGCCGAGGCGGGCATATCACCTGAGGTCAGGAGTTCGAAACCAGCCTGGCCAACATGGAGAAACCCCGTCTCTACTAAAAATACAAAATTAACCGAGTATGGTGGCGCATGCCTGTAATCCCAGCTACTCGAGAGGCTGAGGCAGGAGAATGGCTTGAACCCAGGAGGTAGAGGTTGCAGTGAGCCGAGATCACGCCATTGCCCTCCAGCCTGGGCAACAAGAGCGAAACTCCATCTCAAAAAAAAAAAAGATTGACTCTAATTTCTTGAAAAGCATCATGCATACTTGAGACTTCTTTGAAATGAGTACCTGAAATGAGCTGAGATTGTGCCACTGCAGTCCAGCCTGGGCGACAGAGCAAGACTCCATCTCAAAAAAAAAAAAAAAAAGAAAAAAAAACGAAAGAAAGAAAGAAGGAAGAAGAAAAAAAAAACAAAACAAAAAACTAGTTATCAGCGGGCATGGTGGCTCACGCGTGTAATCCCAGCACTTTGGGAGGCCGAGGCGGGTGGATCACCTGAGGTCAGGAGTTTGAGACCAGCCTGACCAACATGGAGAAACTCCGTCTCTACCAAAAATACAAAAATTAGCCAGATGCTGTGGTGCATGCCTGTAATCCCAGCTACTCGGGAAGCTGAGGTACGGGAATCGCTTGAATGCAGGAGATGGAGTTTGCAGTGAGCCGAGATCACGTCATTGCACTCCAGCCTGGGCGACAGAGCAAGACTCCGTCTCAAAAAAAATAAAGTAAAATAAACTAGTTATCTATTCATGCCTACCTCTCCTCTTCCATTGGATGGTGAACTCCTTGAGTCCCAGAACTCCGTTTCATTTATCAAGGTAACCTAGACTATGGTGCTCGATGTAAGAATCACAATAAGTGTTGAACTGAGTTGAACTGATGCATTTGTATTTTCTGCAGTTATTTCCTTTTCTTTCCTAAATTCTGATAAAAGTTAATTTGGAAAATGTCAGCCTGTCTCAGCTGTTCTTAGAGGAAAGAAGGAAAAGGGCACTTGTTCATGCAGAGACTGAGAAAAAGCACATCCCTGGGGGCCAGGGATAGTGACTGCTGTTGAGATGCAAGTGAGGGACCCCACAGGGAGGGAAAAAAAACAGCAGGGAAAGCCAGCCCGAATGACAGCTGTTTCTTTCTACATGAAAATCTCCTTTTGAGATCTCCTCTTTCCTCAAATCTGGAGGGTGGTGGATATTCTAAATAGAGGGACATGCTCCCTCACAGCCTCTCTGAGAAGGGTCTCCCCAGTGTTTGTGTGCAGCAGGTGGAGGTCAGCTTCCTGATTGGAACCTGTATCAGGTGGGATGGGAAGAATCACTACCAGAGGATGGGTTCATGGCTGCCTGACACCCTACTACCCTTCTTCCAGCTGATTAAAAGGATAATGGTTTGGGAGGCTGAGGCTTGAGGATCACTTGATGTCAGGAGTTTGAGACCAGCTTGGCCAACCTGGTGAAACCCCGTCTTCACTAAAAATACAAAAAAATTAGCTGGGCATGGTGGCAGGCACCTGTAATCCTAGCTACTCGGTAGGCTGAGGCAGGAGAGTCGCTGGAACCCAGGAGGAGGAGGTTGCAGTGAGCCGGGATCTATGCTACCGCACTCCAGCCTGGGTGACAACTAACATAGGAAAATGCAGTAGCACAGTTATTTTGAGAAAAGGAGGCCGGACATTGTGGCTCATGCCTGTAATCCCAGCAATTTGGGAGGCCTAGGCGGTGGATTAACTGAGGTCGGGAGTTCGAGACCAGCCTGACCAACATGGAGAAACCCCATCTCTGCTAAAAATTAGCCGGGCATGGTGGTGCATGCCTGTAATCCCAGCTACTCGGGAGGCTGAGGCAGGAGAATTGCTTGAACCCAGGAGGCGGAGGTTGTGGTAAGCTGAGATTGCACCATTGCACTCCAGCCTGGGCAACAAGAGCGAAACTCCATCTCAAAAAAAAAAAAAAAAAAAAAAGAGCCGGGCGCAGTGGCTCACACCTGTAATCTTAGCACTTTGGGAGGCCGAGGTGGGCAGATCACGAGGTCAGGAGATCGAGACCATCCTGGCTACCACAGTGAAACCCCATCTCTACTAAAAATACAAAAAAAAAAAAAATTAGCCAGGTGTGGTGGCAGGCGCCTGTAGTCCCAGCTACTTGGGAGGCTGAGGCAGGAGAATGGCATGAACCTGGGAGGCGGAGCTTGCAGTGAGCCAACAGGGTGCTACTGCATTCCAGCCTGCGCAACAGAGCGAGACTCCGTCTCAAAAAGAAAGAAAGAAAGAAAAGGCCAGGCACGGTGGCTCACGCCTGTAATCCCAGCACTTTGGGAGGCCAAGGAGGGTGGATCACCTGAGGTCAGGAGTTCGAGATCAGCCTGGCCAACATGGTGGAACCCTGCCTCTACTAAAAATATAAAAAGTAGCCAGACATGGTGGTGGGCGCCTGTAATCCCAGCTACTCAGGAGGCTGAGGCAGGAGAATTGCTAGAACCCAGGAGATGGAAGTTGCAGTGAGCCGACACAGTGCCGCTGCATTCCAGCCTGGGCGACAGAGCGAGACTCTGTCTCAAAAAACAAAAGCAAACAAACAAAAAAAAAAACAAACAAAAAAAGAGAGAAAAGGAGATGGAGCTCCCTGGGGAAAAAAAAAGCAGCCTGAGGCATGCAGCCAGCCTGACTGTTTGGGTGTCTCCCAGTCTCATTCTTCTGCTTCTCTATCTCCCCTCCTGTACTCCTACTCCAGAGTCTCCCGAAAGCCTATAGATCTGCTCCAGAGAGGAAGCTGGGAGCTGATTCTGGAGGAGAGCCCTAGACCAGGGCCCCCAGCTTTCTCTTATGCTCTGGAAAGTGTTTACCAAGTGCCCAGCCTTGAAGTCATTTGTGACGCTCTCTGCCTTACTGAAGAAAAATGGGTTTTGCCTCAATTCCTCAGTCCTGTTTAAATATTTAGTTTAATCAGCACTGGCCCAAGTGCCTTTTCCATTTCCCCCAGTGCCTGGGAGCCATGCTGACACCAGCATCATAAATAATGCATCCGATCCCAGCAACATGCCACTGGCCGGGAGTCACTCCCTCCCTCAAGTCTCCCAGCCTGCCCGATGCTGCAGATGCTTTGGGTAAAGCTCGACCAAGATGGAGAAGTCAGTCTTGAGCCCTGCAACCTTCAGCCAGAAAGCCACTCCTGGAGGGAGTCAGTATGACAAGCAAGTGGTCCCCATGCCAGCCCAGATCTGAGGGGCCTTTGAGGGGCTGTATTGGTGGGGGGAATGGGAAGAGGTAGAAGCACCAAGGCCACAGAGTGTTCAACTCTACCTTCAGCATTGCTCTGACCTCATGGGGAGACTTCAGGGCCCGTTAGAAAAGGTCTGACTTAGGCTCTGTGTGAGTATAGAGCAGAGGACAAGGGCACCCGATTTCCAGATTTCAGGAGCCAGCCAAGATCAAGGGCAGAGGAAGGAGGCCCTACGAAACGCTGGAAACTTCTCTCCTCCTTCTGCCTCCAGAATTCTAGCTTCTAACATGGACTCCACCCTTCAAGAACACAGTCCAAAATATATATACCTACTTTGTGCCCACAAAATTTAAAAGAAAAGACCAGGTGAGGTGGCTCACGCCTGTAATCCCAGCTACTCGGGAGGCTGAGGCAGGAGAATTGCTTGAACACAGGAGGCGGAGGTTGCAGTGAGCAGATATCGCACCACTGCACTTCAGCCTGGGAGGAGCCGAGATCGCGCCACTGCACTCCAGCCTGGGCAACAGAGAGAGACTTTGTCTCAATATAAATAAATAAAAATTTAAAAATTAAGAAAAAAAAAACACAGTCCAGATTTTTCTTCATTGTTCTAGAAGCCTGGAGGGGGTGGGGTAGGGTGGGGGAGTCAGGGCTTCCAGAAGACGTACATTATGTCTCCTCTTACAGAAAGGAACCAATGACAGGTTTTGGCTGGACGGATTCTGGGTGTCCTTTACCAAAGCCTCGAAAAGGTCAAACTGCCTCCAGGTGTCCTGCTCAGTGCTCTGATCTGTGCAATTAAACGTGAAACATTGCATTAGTTGCCACTAATAATATAGTCCTGACCTGGCTTTGTAAAAGCAGCTCCTTGAAGTGTCTCTGTAATACTCATGCTTTTTTCCTCCAAAAATTTACAGAGATAAAAGGAGACATAAACAATGATTTATTTATCTAGGACTTCGAAGTTTAGCTTGAGCTCTCCAACATTTTCAGTCCTTTTTGAAATCAAGAGTGCAAATAAACTTCCCTCTGTCTCTTATAGAAAGGGCAGTAGCTACAAACCTACAGATAAAGATAAAAGGAACTGATAAAAAGAGCAAATTCTAGTCTCTATTCCTCAGTCTGGCAGGGGATGTGGGGGGTTCATGAGTCCCCTCTCTGTGTCCTTGGAGTCGTCTACACCATTGGGTATCTCAGGCCAACCCTACCAATTTATTTTGAGCTGCCTAGCACCTGAAGAATCAAGAACCACCAAGGAAAGATGGCAGGGGAGTTGGTATTCATTGGCCACCACTTTGCCAAATCCAGTGTTGATTTATTATTACTCTTGCTCCAGTTTGTCGGTTGGACCACTCCCTTTTTCACTTGGCTTTTGGGACCGGTACTTCCCTGACATTTTTCACACCTCCCTCAATGCTCCCTAGTCTCTCTTTATGGCTCTCCTCCTGATCACTACCTGCATAGTTCTCAATTCTTGGCTACACTGTGGAATCACCTGAGGACTTTTTTTTTTTTTTTTTTTTGAGTTGGAGTTTCGCTCTTGGTACCCAGGCTGGAGTGCAATGGCATGATCTCGGCTCACTGCAACCTTTGCCTTCTGGGTTCAAGCGATTCTTCCTCTCAGCCTCCCAAGTAGCTGGGACTAACTGGGACTAAAGGCATGTGCCACCACGCCTGGCTAATTTTGTATTTTTAGTAGAGATGGGGTTTCTCCATGTTGGTCAGGCTGGTCTTGAACTCCCGACCTCAGGCCATCTGCCCACCTCGGCCTCCCAAAATGCTAGGATTACAGGCATGAGGCACCACACCCAGCCTTTAAAAAAATTTTTTTTTTTTTTGAGACAGAGTCTCACTCTCTCACCAGGCTGGAGTGCAGTGGCATCATCTCAGGTCACTGCACCTCCGCCTCCTGGGTTCAAGCAATTCTCCTTCCTCCCAAGTAGCTGGGACTACATGCACACGCTGCCACGCCCCGCTATTTTTTTTTTTTCCATATTTTAGTAGAGACGGGGTTTCACCATATTGCCCAGGCTGGTCTCAAACTCCTGAGCTCATGCAATCCGCCTGCCTCAGCCTCCCAAAGTGCTAGGATTACAGGCGTGAGCCACCGTGCCCGGCCTTTTTTTTTTTAACTAAAACCCATGGACTACTCCAAACTAATTAAATCAGGATTTCTTGGGGTGGAGCTCAGCCTTGTCTCAGTAGTTCCCCTGGAGCAGCTAGAGTAGAGAACCAACCTTTGCTCTCAATGTTGGCTTGCCCCAGGGCTCAGGCCTCTGCCCTCCTCTCCACCCACACTCCCTCTCCTGGCAGGTAATCTCACCAGTCTCCAGCTTCCTCCACTGTCTATGTGGTGGTGACTCCCAGATTTGTATCTCTAGTCTAGGCCTCTCTGCTAAGTTCCAGAGCCCAGATCCAGTTGTCTATCTAATATTTCCAAACACATGTCTATAAGCACCTGGGAGTCCCAACAAGTTTGTTTTGGGCTGGGCGCAGTGGCTCACGCCTGTAATCCCAGCACTTTGGGAGGTCAAGGAGGGTGGATCACATGAGGTCAGGAGTTGGAGACCAGCCTGGCCAACATGGTGAAACCCTGTCTCTACTAAAAATACAAAAATTAGCCAGGCGTGGTGGTGTGCGCCTGTAATCCCAGCTACTCTGGAGGCTGAGATGGGAGAATTGCTTGAACCTGGGAGGCGGAGGCCGCAGTAAGCCGAGATCATGCCACAACACTCCAGCCTAGGCAACAGAGCGAGACCTTGTCTCAAAAAAAAAAAAAAAAAATTTTGTTTTCCCATTTCATCTCTTATATTCAATCCTTCAGTAAGAGCTGCTGGCTCTGCCTTAAAAAATATATCTCTGGCCAGGCGCAGTGGCTCACGCCTGTAATCCCAGCACTTTGGGAGGCTAAGGCAGGTGGATCACCTGAGGTCGGGAGTTCGAGACCAGCCTGACCAACATGGAGAAACCCCATCTCTACTAAACACAAAATTAGCCAGGCGTGGTAGCGCATGCCTGTAATCCCAGCTACTCTGGAGGCTGAGGCAGAAGAATCACTTGAACCCGGGGCGGGGGGCGGGCAGGGGGGTGCGGTGGAGGTTGCAGTAAGCCGAGATTGAGCCGCTGCACTCCAGCCTGGGCAACAAGAGCGAAACTCCATCTCAAAAAAAAAAAAAACTCCATTGGCCGTGACAGCTACCATTCTACTCCAAGTCTTTGTTACTTCTCTCTTCCTTGAAATATGTCAATCTCCTATCAAGTCTTCTTGTTTCTCTTCCTGAGGGTTCATACTCTGCACAGCAGTCCAAGTGATTTTTTTTATTTTTAATTTTAATTTTTATTTTTTGAGATGGAGTTTTGCTCTGTAACCTCCGCCTCCCAGGTGCAAGCGATTCTCCCGCCTCAGCCTTCTGAGCAGCTGGGATTACAGGTGCACGCCACCACGCCCGGCTAATTTTGTATTTTTAGTAGAGATGGGGTTTCACCATTTTGGCCAGGCTGGTCTTGAACTCCTGACCTGAGGTGATCTGCCTGCGTCGGCCTCCCAAAGTGCGTGAGGCACTGTGCCCGGCTGATTTTTTTTTTAAAACTGCGTCACTGGCAAGTGAGCTTTTAAAAACAAATCAAGCTGTGGTTGGTGGTGGACGCCTATAATCTCAGCACTCTGGGAGTGAGCGAGTGGATCACTTGAGGTCAGGAGTTCAAGACCAGCCTGGCCAACAATGCGAAAGGCTTGAACCCGAGAGGCAGAGGTTGCAGTGAGGTGAGATGGTGCCACTGCACTCCAGCCTGGGCAACAGAGTGAGACTCCATCTTAAAAAAAAAAACAAAAAACAACAAAACAAAAAACAAACAAAACACACACACACACACACTCAAAACCCCAGGGCGTGGCACGGTGGCTCACACCTGTAATCACAGCACTTTGGGAGGCTGAGGTGGGCGGATCACCTGAGGTCAGGAGTTTGATACCAGCCTGGCCAACATAGTAAAACTCCATCTCTACTGGAAAAAAAAAAAATTAGCGGGGATATGGTGGCGCATGCCTGTAATCCCAGCTACTCAGGAGGCTGAGGGAGGAGAATCATCTGAACCTGGGAGGTGGAGGTTGCAGTGAGCTGAGATCTAGCCACTGTACTTCAGCCTGGGTGACAGAGCGAGACTCCATCTCAAAAACAAAACAAAAACCAAATTAAGTCTCCATTATTCCATGTTTAAAAACTTCTAAAGGCTTCCCACTATATTTAGAATAAAATCCAAACTTTTTACCATGGCCCACCGGTCCCTATGGGATCCTGACCCTATTCACCTCCCTGACCCCATCTGCTCTCCACACTGGCCTTTCCATGTCATGATCAGGTCAGGCTGCTTCCTGATGTGGGGAACTTGCACTTTTTCCCTCTGTCTGGAATGTTGCTCTCCAGATGTCCCAAGTGTTCACTCTATTTCATTATTTTAGTTTCTTTTCAGTTCTTAGCATATACAAAAGGCCTTCCCTTACCACCATCATCACTTTTTGTTCTCTGATCTTGATTTACTCTCCTTGTAACATTCATCATTCTATACTAGCATATCTGTTTATTTATTTATTTCTTTTTTTTTTTTTAGATGGAATCTCGCTCTGTTGCCCAGGCTGGAGTGCAGTGGCACAATCTTGGCTCACTGCAACCTCCATCTCCCGGGTTCAAGCGATTCTCCTGCCTCAGCCTTCTGAGTAGTTGGGATTACAGGTGCCTGCCACCACGCCTGACTAATTTTTGTATTTTTAGTAGAGACGGGGTTTCACCATGTTGGCCAGGCTGGTCTCAAACTCCTGACATCAGGTGATCTACCCACCTCTGCCTCCCAAAGTGCTGGGATTACAGGCGTGAGCCACCGAGCCCGGCCCCAGGTGTCCTTTTCTCTTAGCACTAAGCCAACCATGTCAGCTAGGAGGAGAGACAAACCAAGGTGAGTTAAACATGTTGACTGTTTCAAGGGATTGAGTAGGACTTAGATAAAGTGGTGAGGGGGTCCCCTTCTTTCTCTGTGTATTTCTCTTTATTCTATTATTCTGTTTCTGTGTCCCTTAATCTGTGTATACTGTATACTGCTCTAAGTGTTTTCTGGGTGACTCTATGTTTACTTAAAATTGAAAGGTGGATACCATCTGTAGGAGTTTCCTAAGGCTCCTGTAACAAATTACAACAAATTGGGTAGCTTCAAACAATTCATTCTCTCACAGTTCTACAGGCCAGAAGCTTGAAAGCAAGGTGTCAGTAGGGTTAGTCCTGGAGTCTCTGGGGGACAATCCATCCCATGCCAGTGGTTGCTGGCAACCCCTGGCACTCCTTGGTTTGTAGCTGCATAAGTCCCATCTCTGCGTCTCCCTTCACAGGGCTGCCCCCTTTTCTCTGTGTCTTTCTTCTTCTGTCTCTTATAAGGACACATGTCATTAGACTTAGGGTCCATCCTAATCTCAGGATAATCTCATCTTGAGATCTTCAGCTTAATTATATCTGCAAACACACTTTTTCCAAATAAGGTCATATTCGCAGGTTCTGGGTGGGCATGTCTTTTGGGGGGCCACCATTCAACCCACTACATCATCTTAGAGGCAAGAGGGTGAGGTAGGAATGAGTCAGATTTGCTTTTTCAGGCTGTGTCCCTTTCCGTCTCCTTCTGTTCTTTCCATCTTCCCTCCCCCTCCCCACCCCAGCTGCTTTTCAGGGCTGGGAAGAAGGAGTGAGGGTTGAGGCAGAACCTTCTGTGGATGCTTGCTGACAATTTTTCTAGCTAGTCCTAGTGAGATGGTCAGCACAGGCCATTCCCCCTTGGTTTCCCGGTCTGCCTTGGGCAGTGGCTTATGTGGCTCTGCCCACACTCTGCCTATTTGCACATTTGCACCTGGACTCTGATCTCCTGAACCTGACCTGCCAAACCTGTTTCCACCCAACCTGAAGGACTCAGGGAACCTGCTTCTTTCCCTGGGGCCAGGGTTTGGCTTATTCCTTAGATTGGCTGGGCTCTGGGGTGATGGTAACACCAGAAGTGGCTATTTCCAGCTCAGAGCTCCCTCCTAAACACCAGGCCTTTTCATCCAACTGTTTCCCAAAGAGAAGACATCTACCTGGATATTTCCAAAGGCACCTCGAACACAACCCTTCCAGCACAGAACCTGTCCACTATCCTCTTCCCCAACTTGCCTTTCCTCCTGTATGCTTTACTCACTGATCTCTACTTACAGCTCCCCATAAGCCTTGTCACCACCCTTTCACCTCGTGCCTCCCTAGAGTCACCAGATCGGATCTTGCCTCCTACATCTCTCTAAAACCATCTACTTATCATAACCCACTGCCTCTACCCTAGGCCAGACCACCACCCCTTCTCACCAACCTCCCAACTGATCTGGTCTGGAATCTCCACCCTTTCTAATCCACTCTCTGTACTGCAGTCTGAATCATCTATACAAACACCTTACTCCCTGTAACATTCCTTCAACACTTCCCATTGATTCTTTTTCTTGACCCTACAACCTCCACCTCCCAGGTTTAAGCGATTCTCCTGTCTCAGCCTCCCAAGTAGCTGGGATTACAGGCGCGCGCCACCATGCCTGGCTAATTTTTGTATTTTTAATAGAGACGGGGTTTTGCCATGCTGGCCAGGCTGGTCTCAAACTACTGACTTCAGGTGATTCGCCTGCCTTAGCTTCCCAAAGTGCTGAGCGTGAGCCACTGCACGGACCAACCATTTATTTTTATTTATTTTTTTGAGACGAAGTCTCACTTTTCGCCCAGGCTGGAGTGTGGTGGTGCCATCTCAGCTCACTGCAAGCTCCACCTCCCGGGTTCATGCCATTATCCTGCCTCAGCCTCCTGAGTAGCTGGGACTACAGGTGCCCGCCACCACACCCAGCTAATGTTTTGTATTTTTAGTGGATATGGGATTTCGCCATGTTAGCCAGGACGGTCTCGATCTCCTGACGTCATGATCTGCCCACCTCGGCCTCCCAAAGTGCTGGGATTACAGGTGTCAGCCACCATGCCCGGCCTGGACCAAACATTCCTTCCTTCCTTCCTTCCTTCCTTCCTTCCTTCCTTCCTTCCTTCCTTCCTTCCTTTCTTTTTTGATGGAGTTTCGCTCTTGTTGCCCAGGCTGGAGTGCAATGGCGCGATCTCGGCTCACTGCAACCTCCGCCTCCCAGGTTTAAGCCATTCTCCCGCCTCAGCCTCCAGAGTAGCTGGAATTACAGGCGTGTGCCACCACGCCCAGTTAATTTTTTGTATTTTTAGTAGAGATGGCGTTTCACTATGTTGGCCAGGCTGGTCTTGAACTCCTGACCTCAGGTGATCCGCCTTTGCCTCCCAAAGTGCTGGGATTACAGGTGTGTGCCACTGTGCCTGGCCAACCATTTCTTATTCAAATCTACAGTAGTTAAAAAAGAGAAATAGTAGGGTCAGTTAGGTTAACCACCCAGAGGCTCATTTCTGTCCCCATTATGACTTAGTCCCTTTTCTACTACCTAAAGGTAATGTTACTAGAGAAGGAACCTTCTTGTGGAAGCAGCCAAATGGCTGAGCTAGCTCCCCTGTGAGGGCATGAGGGAACTATGGGATCCGAAAACACATACTGCCCGAAACCAAGACCTTTAGGGATTTCATGTTTTTTGCACAGGAGATCTATGGAAGAACCATCTCTATGACTAGAGAAGCTACAGAACTCCCAATTCTGTTTCCTTTCTCCTTGGGGCTCTTCTGCTTTGATTCTTGCCATCATATGCCTACACTTCTCTTGGGTTATGTTCCTCTGCCTTTAAAACCCAGGCCCTCCTTAGAATATGAGACAGACTGGCCTTTTCTGAAAGAATTTTACTAAATAAGAGAAGAAGTTAATGAAAGGAAAAAGAAGAGAGAAATAAATCATGGAAAACACGAACCAACAAGATAAAGTCCCTTTTCCAAAGCCTGGCCTCTGGTTTCAGATTAATTACATTTTAGACCTCCAGGCTCCTGTCCTGGGTTCAGTATGACAGAACTCCCAGACTGTGGCCAGCACCAATCTCTTTTAATTTATTTTTTTTGAGATGAAGTCTCGTTCTGTTGCCCAGACTGGAACACAGTGGTGTGATCTTGGCTCACTGCAATCTCTGCCTCCTGGGTTCAAGCGATTCTTCTGCCTCAGCCTCCTGAGTAGCTGGGACTACAGGCGCTTGCCACCATGCCCGGCTAATTTTTTGTATTTTTAGTAGAGATGGGTTTTCACCATATTGACCAGGCTGGTCTCGAACTCCTGACCTCATGATCCGCCGGCCTCGGCCTCCCAAAGTGCTGGGATTACAGGTGTGAGCCACCGCGCTCAGCCAACCGGCACCAATCTCTTTTTATTTTTTCGCACATATAAAAACTCCATCCCTACGTTGAGACAAAAACCAACTCTCCATTTTACCTATTCACCTAAAGCTTTCTTTTTTTTCTTTTGTTTATTTATTTTGAGACAGAGTCTTGCTCTATTACCCAGGCTAGAGTGCAGGGGCATAAACATGGCTCACAGCCTCTACCTCCTGGGCTCAAGCGATTTGCCTGCCTCAGTCTCTTCCAGAGTAGCCAGGACCATAGGTGCGCACCAACTGGCTAACTTTTTTTTTTTTTTTTTGGTAGAGGTGGGGTCTTGCCATGTTGCCTAGGCTCAAATGATCCTCCTGCCTTGGCCTCCCAAAATGCTGGGATTACAGGCGTGAGCCACCATGCCTAGCCACCTATAGCTTTCTTGCTGCATCCACTTCTCTTCAACTAAATGGTAAAGAACTACCTTGTATGTGGTTCTTTAATTGCAACAACTGTGCAAGGAAATTTCATCCATGGAAGGGCTGGATTTGCCCTGGGATTTCTGGCATGGCCTGAGAGACACTTCTTCCTTAGTGATGAGAATAACTGGAATAGAGAGAAGGGACCTAACGCATATGAAGCGCCCAACAAGTGCCAAACACCTTCTATATTTAAATTTTACCAGGCTGGGCATGGTGGCTCATGCCTGTAATCCCAGCATTTTGGGAGGCTGGGCAGGCAGATCACTTGAGGTCAGGAGTTCCAGACCAGTGTGGCCAACATGGTGAAACCCTGTCTCTACTAAAAATACAAAAATTAGCCAGACGTGGTGATGGGCACCTGTAGTCCCAGCTGCTTGGGAGGCTGAGGCAGGAGAATTGCTTGAGCCTCGGAGGTGGAGCTTGCAGTGAGCCGAATCCGAATCGTGCCATTGCACTCCAGCCTGGGCAGCGAGAGCGAAACTCCGTCTCAAAAAAAATTTTTTTTTCTACCATAAGCCTTTGAGGTAGGTATCAACCAGTAGTCATATTTTGTAACCCCTCTTGAGGCTCAGAGGGGTTAAGTAACTTGCTCAAGGTCTTTATAGTTAAACTGCCAAACTAGGAGTGAAGTTAGGGCTGGTTGATGACAAGTTTGTGGTCTAAACCATGTAGCTAAGAAGGGAGAGGCGCCTTTGCTTTTTTAAAGGTGCAGGCTTTCCACCCGTCTTTGGTTGAAAGGTTTCTTTCAATCTACAAACATTTGCTGAACTCCTTTATGTGTGAACCTCTCTGGAATTAGGACATATAAAAGTTTCACAAAGTCCTTGTATTCAGCTCTTCTGATTCTTTGAGTCCACGATTTGTTGGTATTTATTCTTCAGATACTGAGCATCTACTGTGTCAGCTCAGAAATGTAGAGGACATTGGCCTAGGAGCTGGACATGGAAGAGACTAATATATAGAATCTAGAGCAAAAAACGGTTCTAAGGCCTGCCACCATCATTACCTCCTGCTAGTCCCCTTCAAGTCTTTGAGGCCTTTCATGGGGGGCTTCTGGATGAGGCTGTTCCTAAGGGGACATAGGGAGGAGTTTTCTCGGCATCTTTCACCATTTATTGTGGTTAGCACAGTCATCATAAACACCTGGCAAGAGCACTAAGCTTGGGAAATGAGACAGGCACACAATGAATTAACAAAAACAGGGAAAGATTTCGAAGGAGGAGAAATTGCTTATGAAAAATTAATGGGAAAACATCCTAAAGCTTGTGATCCACTTCTTTGCACTTTATGGTTTCTAGGTGGCTTTTGTACTTGGAGAAACACTGTGGTTCAGAACATTCTAGGCCAGAGGAAAGGGCTGATTCATAATCCCAAAATTGCTGCCAGTTTACTGTGTGATTCCAGGTGAATTATTCAACCCTATTTATGTGTCAGCTCAGAAATGGAGTGATGTCAGTTTTGTCAGAATGTTTTTGGTGGGATCTCTGGTAAATGTTGAATGACAGCTATGCAATGTGTGGAACAGAACACTTTTGCTTTCTTCTTTGGGTCAGAATTTGACACATGGCTCAGAATTTGACACACAGCAGAGAACCCTTGGGAATCTGTGGTTTTCTGGGGTTAAAAAGAAAGCAAGAGACACCTGTTATTTGCATGGTGCTCTGTGTTCCCTGGTTTACAAAGCATTTTCAGATATCATCGCAACTGATCCTTACCACACCTGTGAAGGGGGAACTCACGTCCCCATTTTATAGACGAGGAAACAGGTCATAGAGTCAATGTAATTCAATAGTGCTTTATTTTTTATTTTTATATTTTGCCTCAGCTATGCACAGTTTTTTCATCTCAATACTTTGTGATAAGTGACCATCACAAATGTCATCACCAAACCACCAAAACACAACCTTCTTTTCTGGGGGCACCTCTTAGCCCCGCACAGACCTTAAACCCAGAGTCGACAGCACACAGCTGTGTATCACCACACATTCCAAACAAGCCACCACACCAAGAAATCTTCTTCGTGTTTATTATGCAGCAATGTCTGGGAGTACTTTGGAATGGACTGGCTTCTCTAAAGAAAGTTATTTGTGTTCATTTGGGGGATCGCCAGCTAAGATTCAACGTTGTTTTTTTTTTTTTGTATCTGTGAGAGTAGGAAGGCCGTGAAAACAGAGGTTGTTTAGAGAATTGGCCTGGGACAATAACCATTTAGAAGCTTTAGGCACGTAACCAGTTAAGTGTCCATCGACATGAAACTGATTGAATACAATCTCCTCTGTTTGGGGGTGGTGGTGATTGTGAACTGTAGGGCCCTGTTCCCCCATGGACAAAGGAAGCCCCTCACTCCTAAAGGTCCCTTTTCCCAGCAGAACAGGCCCTGCATATACAGTGCCCGTCTAGAGCCAGGGCCTCCATCTGGGTGTTGGACAGTTGGTTCTGCTCAGCCCAGTTTTGGGGTAAACGATGACGCAGTTAGGGTGGCCTAGGAAGGGAGTTTTTCTACCTCTGTCCCCAGCTGGGTCTCTGGCGAGGCGGGAAGCACCCGGAATCTTCCTGGCCCTAGAGCCTGCAGGCTCCAGGCCGGCCCCTTGAATCTCACCGCGAGGAAGGCACCCTGCTGCCTGCACTTATTTGCATCCAAGAGTTTGCATTGAGACTGGCGCTTGCCTACTAGGGCAGCCACAGGGGGGTTCCCCAGGGACAGAGGTAGGGAAGGAGGACCTGTCTTGGGGTGGACAGGTGACGGGGTACCCTGGGTGGGGGAAGAGGTGCTGGGGAGAGGCTAAGCCCCAGCCCCCACTCTAATTCTCTAACAGCCCCTGGTCCGCATTTGAGTGCAGGCCTCTGCCTCAGCCAGGACCCTGACCCCAGGGCCCTCCACTTCCAGCAAGGCCCCCCACCCTCCCTCCCACTCCCACTCCCTTTCCCCTCCCCCTCCCCCCCAATTCCCGCTGGCCCCGCAGCGCTCCAGCCTCCCCGGGCCTCCCCCGGCCCGGCCCACTCGGCCTTGCTAGCCTGGCGCTGGGGGCGGGCACCAGCCCCCACCCCTCGGCGTACCATCCCCTTTACTTCCCCCACCCCCTGTCCCCTCCCTTCCCTCCCTTCCCCCCCGTGGCGAGGCAGCAGCGACGGCGGCGGCGGCAGCGGCGGTCGCGGCTGAGGCTGAGGAGGAGGCGGCGGCGGCGGGCGGGGCTCGGCTCGGGCTCCGCGGGCGGGCGGGCGGACATGGCGGCCAACATGTACCGGGTCGGAGGTAGGCAGGCTCGGCCCGACCCGGCCCGTGTGGGAGCGGGTTCCGGGAGCGGGGGGCCGGGGCGAGTGCACGCCAACTGCCGGGAGCCAAGGGCGCCGGGGCTGAGGTCGCAGTGGGCTGGGGCGCCGGGGCCCGCAGAGGGGCCGGGACTCCCCACCCCCACCCATCCCTTCCCCTCCCCCCACGCGGGCTCGCGAGGGCCCGGGGCCACCTTCACCCTCGCACCCCGCCCAGTGTTTAGGGCCAGGCCTCTACTTGGGGGTACGAATTACCAGACACCCCCCTCCACGAAACCCTCATCGGGGTAGGGCCCGTCGAGCCCCCTGAGAAGGTGGCCTTCTTGCGTGGCTTCTAGGCGCTGGAGAGGATGAGGGGACATCCCCTCTCCTGCTTCTTCCCCACTCAGTGGGAGCCTGGGGTGGGGGTGGGGGTGGGGGCGGTGGGGGCCCAGCCAGGGGCCCAGCTGGACGGGCCTGTTTGCGTGCCGGGGCCCTGCACCTCCCCTTCCTCGGCCCCCCTCCTTTTCGTTTCTGGTCCAGTCCCCCACGAATGGGGCTTCGTGGGAGCTGGGAACCTCAGCCGGAGGTGGGGAGTTGAGCTCTGCCTGGACGTTTGCTCTGCTGCCTGCCTCCTTCCCAGTCTTCTGCGGAAGAGAGAAATAAGGTCAAACAAACTTTCTCCCTACTCACGACGCCCTCCTCCCTCTTTCCTGGTAAAATAATAATTCAGATAAGTGGCGTGTTTGTATGAGAGACTGGCTCTTCCTTCTCTGCTCATTAGCCGAGCTTCTGATGGATGGTGGTGGGAATGGCCTGGCTAAATGAGGCCACTTTGCAGAAGAGAGCGGCGAAAGAGCCACTAAGATAGACAATAACAATGCAGCTGCCTTTCGGATAAACACACAGTGGGAAGTTTCCAGCAAGCCTATTAGATGAGAGGAAAAGCCACACTTGAAAAATTTTATCCTTTTAGTTGAAAGCCTGCAGCAATTTCTTAATCACAAGACATTAAATGGATCTGGATTAAATATGGTAAAAGGGTAAAAAAGATGCTGATATCACCCCCAGAACACTTTGCCTCTTAGAAGTGATCCCCCGGCCCCCTTTTTTCCTCATCTTCCCAGGTAAAACTGTGGAAAAGTTTGTCAGCGTTCTTCCTCTTAACCTGTTCTGCTCATCTGATTTTTTTTTTTTTTTTTAAGTAGTGATTGAAATGTAGGTTGGACTGTGAAGCCTTTCTCCCTGCTCTGAATGTGTCTTAGGTCAATAGTTTTATGTGAGAAGCAGCCTGCAGGGCAAATTGTATTGGAGGAAAAAGATGTGGAAGTAGTTATAGTACAGAGGACACATGTTTAGCGTGCCCTGACTACACAGTGATAAGAGGTGTCTTTTTTGTTTATTATTAAAGAAATGACGTATTGGGACAGAAGTCTAGGAGAAACTGATAAAACATTAATTGAAATGAAAATGCCAAGAAAATAAAGGTCTGTGAATAGTAGGCACGTGAGAGGATATATTAAGGCTGCATTATTATGTTTGCTTTTACCAGTGAATGAATTATGAGCTTAATTTCAAACGTGAAATGCCTAACATAAAAAGTCTTGGATTGACAAATCTGAACTTTCTGTTAAAAAGATTAAGTTCTGTACTTCCTTTAATTACAGATTATGTCTACTTTGAGAATTCCTCCAGCAACCCATACCTAATAAGAAGGATAGAAGAACTCAACAAGGTATACACTGAGTGTTCTTAATTTTAATATTAAAAATATTTATTTTCCCTTGATGGGTAATTGGGTAAAGGGTGGCCTGGTGTGGGGGCTCATGCCTGCAATCCCAGTAAATTGGGAGGCCTGGCGAGTGGATAGCTTGAGCCCAGGAGTTGGAGACCAGCCTGTGCAACATAGTGAGACCCTATCTCTTATTTTTTTTTAATTAATATAAAAAGTAAAAATATGGCTGGGTGCGGTGGCTCATGCCTGTAATCTCAGCACTCTGGGAGGCTGAGGCGGGCGGATCACCTGAGGTCGGGAGTTCGAGACCAGCCTGACCAACATGGAGAAACCCCGTCTGTACTAAAAATACAAAAAAAATAGTCGGGCATGGTGGCACATGCCTGTAATCCCAGCTACTCGAGAGGCTGAGGAAGGAGAATCGCTTGAACCCGGGAGGCGGAGGTTGCGGTGAGCCAAGATTGTGCAATTGCACCCTAGCCTGGGCAATGAGATAAACTCCGTCTCAAAAAAAAATAAAAATAAAAAAATAAAAATAAGCTGGGTAAAGGGGCATAAGAGATGATTTTACTTTCAGTCCCAGACTCTTTGAAAGATGAGATTTTAGGCTGGGCATGGCGGCTCACCCCTGTAATCCCAGCAATTTGGGAGGCCAAGGAGGGGGTGGATCACTTGAGGTCAGGAGTTCAAGACCAGCCTGGCCAACATGGTGAAACCCTGTTTCTACTAAAAAAGTACAAAAAAATTAGCTAGGCATGGTGGCATGCACCTGTAATCCCAGCTACTCAGGAGGCTGAGGCAGGAGAATCCAGGTGGAGGTTGCAGTGAGCTGAGATCACGCCATTGCACTCTAGCCTGGGTGACAGAGCAAAACACTGTCTCAAAAAAAAAAAAAAAAAAAAAAAAGTTGAGATTTTAGAGAGTTATGCACGATTCTGAATTCCGAATATTCTTTTGCTTTTTTGTTACTGAATATTTAAAAGTGTGCAGATATTTTCAAATTGCTTAGAGCCTCTGAAAGAGCAGTTCACTTATGTAACTCAGACCCTTTTTATGTTTAGAGTCATAATGTGTATTTTTCCCTTTTTAGTGAATTAATATTTTCCTCTTCCAGGTTTAGAAGGAGGAAGCTAGGGAACATAATATTGAAAGGAATTGGCTGGGCGGGTGCGGTGGCTCACGCCTGTAATCCCAGCACTTTGGGAGGTCGAGGCGGGCGGATCACCTGAGGTTGGGAGTTTGAGACCAGCCTGACCAACATGGAGAAACCCCATCTCTACTAAAAATACAAAATTAGCTGAGTGTGTTGGTGCATGCCTGTAATCCCAGCCACTTGGGAGGCTGAGGCAGGAGAATTGCTTGAACCTGGGAGGCATAGGTGGCAGTGAGCCAAGATCACGCCATTGCACTCCAGCCTGGGCAACAAGAGTGAAACTCCGTCTCAAAAAAAAAAAAAAATTGAAGGGAATTTGTAAAATTCTGGACTAGGCTGGCTGGGCACGGTGGCTCACGCCTGTAATCCTAGCACTTTGGGAGGCCAAGGCAGGCGGATCACGGGGTCAGGAGATCGAGACCATCCTGGCTAACATAGTGAAACCCCGTCTCTACTAAAAATACAAAAAAAATTAGCCGGGCATGGTGGTGTGCACCTGTAGTCTCAGCTACTTGGGAGGCTGGGGCAGGAGAATGGGGTGAACCTGGGGGGTGGAGCTTGCAGTGAGCCGAGATCGCGCCACTGCCCTCCAGCCTGGGTGACAGAGTGAGACTGTCTCAAAAAAAAAATTCTGGACTAGGCTAAATTGTCTGTGGTAGCTCACACCTGTAATCCTAACATTTTGGGAAGCTGAGGCCTCAGGATCCTTTGAGTCCAGGAGTTCCAGACTAGCCTGGGTAACATAGGGAAACCCTGCCTCTACCAAAAAAAAATAGCCGGGCATGATGGCACATGCCTGTAGTCCCAGTTACTTGGGAGGCTGAGGAAGATTGCTTGGGCCCAGGAGGTCAAGGCTGCCGTGAGCTGTGATTGCATCACTGCACTCCAGCCTGGGTAACACAGACTGTCTCGAAATTAAAAAAAAAAATTATGGTTTTGGTGTAATAAATATAAAGTAGCTTTGTACCTTTGGCCCAATTAAAATTTTCACATTAAGATTTGTCCGAGATGGTCGTTTATTAGGACAAAAGAAGCCTTATGATTGCAGGAGAAGAAACTTTTGTTTTGTTTTGTTTTTTGTTTTTTGAGATGAAGTTTTCACTCTTGTTGCCCAGACTGGAGTGCAATGGCGCAATCTTGGCTCACTGCAACCTCTTCCTCCCAGGTTCAAGCGATTCTACTGTCTCATCCTCCCAAGTAGCTGGGATTACAGGCATGCGCCACCATGCCTGGCTGTTTTTTGTGTGTTTATTAGAGACAGAGTTTCACCATGTTGGTTGGGCTGGCCTTGAACTCCTGACCTCAGGTGATCCACCCGCCCCAGCCTCCCAAAGTGCTGGGATTACAGGTGTGGGCCACTGCGCCTGGCCAGGATTTATAATGGAGGTACCAGAAAGCAGTCAAGCTGCATGGACCATGGATTTTCTAATGATGTTTTGTTTTCCTCCGATTTTCTAATGATGCTTTGTTTTCCTCCAGACTTCTCTGAGGGTTGTGTGGTTTATGAGACTTCATAGTGTTAAAATCTTTGAGTCTGTCTAGCTAATACCTTTCCCTCAAAATGCCATCTGGTAACTTGTTCAGTTTTGTCTTGAGAAGGCAAGCCTGACCTAGGACATTCTTAGTTTGAAGAGCCTTGAGACCTTGGTTTGTTTTGGGAATATCCCAGGGAATTTGCATTATTTTTATTTTATTCCAGAGACAGGGAGACAGGGTCTCACTCTGTCACCCAGGCTGGAGTTCATTGGTATGATGATAGCTCACTGTAACCTTGAACTCCTGGACTCAAAGCAGTCCTCCTGCCTCAGCTTTCCAAGTAGCTGAGACTACAGGCATGTACCACCATACCTGGCTAATTTTTTGTTGTTGTTGCTATGGATTCTTGCTCTGTTGCCCAGGCTGGAGTACAATGGCATGATCTCCGGTCACTGCAACCTCTGTCTCCTGGGTTCAAGCAATTCTTCTGCCTCAGCCTCCCGAATAGCTGGGATTACAGGCGCCCAACACCATGCCTGGCTAATTTTTGTATTTTTAGTAGAGACAGGGTTTCACCATGTTGGCCAGGCTGGTCTCAAACTCCTGACCTCAGGTGATCCACCCGCCTTGGCCTCCCAAAGTGCTGAGATTACAGGCGTGAGCCACTGCCCCAGCATTTTCTTTCTTTCTTTCTTTCTTTTTTGAGATGGAGTCTCGCTCCGTCGACCAGGCTAGAGTGCAGTGGCGCAATCTCAGCTCACTGCAAGCTCCGCCTCCTGGGTTCACACCATTCTCCTGCCTCAGCCTCCCGAGTAGCTGGGACTACAGGAGCCTGCCACTACGCCTGGCTATTTATTTATTTATTTATTTATTTATTATTTATTAGTAGAGATGGGGTTTCACCGTGTTAGCCAGGATGGTCTCGATCTCCTGACCTTGTGATCCGCCTGCCTCGGCCTCCCAAAGTGCTAGGATTACAGGTGTGAGCCACCGCGCCCGGCTTTTTTTTTTTTTTTCTGAGGCGGAGTTTTGCTGTTCTTGCCCAGGCTGGAGTACAATGGTGCAACCTCCTCTCACCACAACCTCTGCCTCCTGGGTTCAAGCGATTCTCCTGCCTCAGCCTCCTGAGCAGCTGGGATTATAGGCATGCACCACCATGCCCGGCTAATTTTTAGCAGAGATGGGGTTTCTCCATGTTGGTCAGGCTGGTCTCGAACTCCCGACCTCAGGTGATCTACCACCTCGGCCTCCCAAAGTGCTGGGATTACAGGCGTGAGCCACCATGCCCGGCCTCCTTTTCTCAAAATAACTGTGCTACTGCATTTGCCTATGTTAGTTGTCACCCAGGCTGGAGTGCAGTAGCATAGATCCTGGCTCACTGCAACCTCCTCCTCCCAGGTTCAAGTGATTCTCCTCCCTCAGCCTCCCAATTAGCTGGGATTACAGGCACCTGCCACCACACCCAGCTAATTTTTTTGTATTTTTAGTGAAGACAGGGTTTCACCATGTTGGCCAGGCTGGTCATCAAGTGATCCACCCGCCTTGGCCTCCCAAAGTGCTGGGATTACAGGCGTGAACCACTGCACCCCGCCTAATGTTTAAATTTTTTGTAGACGTGGTCTTACTGTGTTGCCCAGGCTGATCTAGAACTCCTGGCCTCAAGCAGTCCCCCATCTTGGTCTCTCAAAGCACTGGGATTACAGGCTGACTGCCTTTGCATTAAAAAAAAATTATTTAGTCTTTGAGACCACCAAGTGAAGAGAATGGCCTCAAGTGTAGATCAGTCCGTGGATGGGAACTGTTGGCATGTGATTCTGATCTTTTATGTTATTGATGTAAGGTATAAGAATTGAGGCAACTCTAAACTATTTACCATATCAGTTTAATTAGAAAGTTAATTACATCGAAATAGAAATCTTGACCTATGAGACCCTATATTCTTTGGCTGTCACTGCCCCTCTCTGACCTCCACTTTCGCTGAAAGCAGGTGGGAGCTCTGCCTTGCTTACTTGGCACAAAGCACAATGGGCTTTTGGCTGTTTCTCCCTGCAACCACCTTAGGAGGACCGTTTATTTGTGTCCGTCCTACCCCTCACCCCTTGCTCTTTTTTCCATATCATTTATCACCTCCAAATATACTTACTGTGTTTATTTTCATTACCTGTCTTCCTAGAGTGTCAGCTGCAGTGATCTTTTCTGTTTTGTCCAGTTATGCATTCTGAGTGCCTTAGAATAGTGGCTGGCACATAGTTAAAGGCATTCACTAAATACTTGTTGAATTAATTAATTTCTGAAATGTCTGATGTTAATGCTTATGTGTACATAGCTTTACTATTTACAAACTGCTTTGATTCATTCATTTTACAAATAAAATTGAGGACCTTCTACCAGCCAGGTACTTTTAGACAGTGAGAATGCAAGGGTGATAAAAAAAAAACAGGTCTAGTGGAGACAGACATCAACCATATAGTCCCACAAGTGAAAGTAAAATTGTAGCTGTGCTAAGTTTAGAAATGTCACAGCATGGTGCTCTGGAAACCTAACCCAGGATTCACGTTTGTTACCCTTTTGAGCCTCACAGAACCTTACACCTTAAGGTAGCTAAATCATGCATTGTTTTCTTGAGGCACATAGTAGCTAAATTATTGGGTTGCACATCTAGGTGAACATAGCTTATTTCACACTCCTTTATCATTTCATGGCCATTCATTTCTGAAATGCCCCCCTCATCCATCCTCACCTCCTCCCTCCGCCTACCTGTTGTCAGCACAGAGTCATCCATGTAATAGCGAGTTTCTGGGACTGGGGTTGTGTTGTGAGAGATGGGATTCTTTGTAATTTCACAAAATGGTAGTTTGAATGGCTAATTGAAATATTTACATAGGGTCTTTATTTCTGAAGGGATGTGAAAAAGACATCTTATTTTAGATAATTCATTAAGCAAATATTATTGAGTACCTGTTTTGTACCAGGCACTATGCTAGGCTCAGAGATAGAATGTGAACAAGATGTACATGGTCTCTACCCATACAGGGTCCACATTCTAATGAGGGAGACACCCGGAAAGACAAGTTGATGGGCATAAAGAAAATAGTAATAGTAATGAATTGTATTAACTTCTAAGAAGGCAAGAACCTTGACATAGAGAATGACAGGTCATTTCCTTTAGGTAGGGTGGAACAGGACATTGAAGTTGAGGCCTAAAGGATGAGGAAGAGGGAACCATGGGAAGAGAGGACGCAGGAGTGTTCTAGATAAAGGCCCTGGGAAGATCAGAGGTGAAATTGGCTAGGTAGGGAAAGTTGTTAACATGATGGGAAAATCCAAATAATGATTTAAAAATACTTGAAGACAGGCATGGTGGCTCAGGCCTGTAGTCCCAGCTGCTCGAGAGGCTGAGGCAGGAGGATTGCTTGAGCCTGGGGGTTTGAGACCAGCCTGTGCAACATAATAAGACCCCCCATCTCTGAAAAAAACCAAAACAAGGCCAGATATGGTGGCTCACGCCTGTAATCCCAGGACTTCGGGAGGCCGAGGTGGGTGGATCACCTGAGAGGAGTCTGAGACTAGCCTGGCCAATGTGGTGAAACCCTGTCTCTACTAAAAGTGCAAAATTAGCCGGGCATGGTGGCGCATGCCTGTAATCCCAGCTACTCGGGAGGCTGAGGCAGGAGAATCGCTTGAACCCATGAGGCGGAAGTTGCAGTGAGCTGAGATCGTGCCATTGCACTCCAGCCTGGGCAACAGTGAAACTCCATCTCAACAAACAAACAAAAAAACCAAAACAAAACCACCTCTAAACTGAAAATACTTACTTTGTTCTGATAGATAAGCTAGGGAAAAAAGGCTACTTGGGAGGCTGAGGCAGGAGGATCGCTTGAACCAGGGAGTTGGAGGTTGCAGTGAGCCGAGATTGTGCCACTGCACTCAAGCCTGGCAACAGAATGGTACTCCATCTAAAAAAAAAAAAAAATATATATATATATATATATATATATATAAAAATGAACTCTTAATTGCTGTAATGCACTTAGTCTCAAACCCTGTACTCATTTCATTAAATGCCATTAACAGTTGCAGACTGGCACTGGGCTGTAGACCCATGAGTAACCATGCTTCAGAAGAATGCTGGAGAGGGTGTGTTTGTAGAGGGGAAGAGGAATATGGTAGCTGTAAGCTACCTAGTAGCTAAGTGAGTGCATGGTCAAGAAGAGACTATTTATTTTGAACTATGCTCCCCGCCCCCTAAGCAGGTTTAAATAAGAATTTAATTAGCTTTGTATAGCATCCCTATTGGAGGAACTCACTAGTGAGGCAGAAAAAAATATGCCTTGAAACTGTTGATTTGGATTTTTTTTTTTTTTTGAGACGGATTGTCACTGTGTCACCCAGGCTGGAGTGCAGTGGTGTGGTCTTGGCTCACTGCAACCTCCACCTCCCAGGTTCAAGCGATTCTCCTGCCTCAGCCTCCCGAGTAGCTGGGACTACAGGTGTGTGCCACCACACCCAGCTAATTTTTGTATTTTTGGTAGAGATGGGGTTTTACTATGTTGGCCAGGCTGGTCTAGAACTCCTGACCTCGTGATCTGCCCACCTTGGACTCCCAAAGTGTTGGGATTACAGGTGTGAGCCACCGCACCCGGCCTGGATTTTTAATGTCTCAAGAAGAGACAAAAATCACATTGAAAATCCAAAGCAGCAGTTTCAAGGCATATCTCAAGAAGACAGAAATGACTAAGAGCTTATATTTGAAGTCATTGATAGATTTTATTTTATTTACATGGAAATTTTGGCCTGTTCATTTAGCAGATTGCTGGATCATTACTTCTGGAGAATGTATTTGATCACAATATTATGAAATATAGAAGCACTTTGGTTAGAAATTTAATATGATTTCAGTTTTAAGGGGCACTGTTTCCACAGGACTATTTCTTAATCTAAAATACGGCTGCTGGACTTCATAAAATTGACAAATTTACTGCAGCACTTATATTCTTCTTTGTATTTGAGTATATCTGTAAGACCAGAGAAATTTCTGAAAATTTGTTCTCACACTTGTTTGAAAATGGAAATCACAATAGCATTTTATTATAATCTGTGTGTTTTTACAGGGAACTTTGTAATGAATGATTGACCTTCTTGAGAGCTCTCAGAATTCTAGAGAATAGGAGAGCAGGAGCCTGGGCCCCAGCTGCAGTAAATGACAGCATAACTGAATTTTTTTTTGAAGCCATCATACTTTGGAAGAACCTAACTGAATATTGTTTGCATTGTAGATTGTAGCCAAAAAGAAATGAGAGTTTCAGTGTTCATAACTCAAGGTTTTTAATATTTTTAGATGTGAAGGTAAACTAAGTACTGCTTAGAATATTGACTCTTAGAGATTCATAGACTTCCTTGGTGTAGAGAATGCTTTTCCAGGTCACCTGGTCTATTCTGCATGATGGCTGCTTCCCACCTGCAGAGCTTCACTGTCCATGGAACATGGGATACTTAGGGGAGGGCTTGGTGATTTTACACTTAGCTAGTGCTTTCTGGGAATGGGTTTGGACGAGGTGTGTTTAAATGACTGAAATAAATTATTTCCGTCAGTTGTGGCTTTAAAAATTGGTGGGATTAGTTTCTTTCTCTTTTGTTTTTTTTAAGGCTAGTTAATTGAAGCAGTTGGGGGATTAGTTTCTTAAAGCTAATCAGTGTTAACTATGTCTGGCTTTAATCATTAAAGCAGTCTAATCAGTTTAGTTTAATTAATGCCAGTGTTATTATATGTTTGACATTCCAGTTGTGCTTGGAAGCAGAACAAATGTTGCTCATCCTTATTTGAATTTTTTAGCTCTGTGGTTATCCTGCAGTTGTGGTTGGCACCAGTGTTAATGAGCATGATCATATAATTGTGCTGTATCTAGTTTCGTTGTATAAATTATTTGACTCTAATATTCAGTGCAAATGACTTTTATTTTTCTTATCTCTTAGACTGCAAGTGGCAACGTGGAAGCAAAAGTAGTATGCTTTTATAGACGACGTGATATTTCCAACACACTTATAATGCTCGCAGATAAGCATGCTAGTAAGTTGTTTTTCTCTGATTAAAAAAACGTTTTAAGTCTTGTGTTTTTTGTGATGAGGTGGAAACATGCTTTTTCTTACCTGAAGTCTTTTGCTTGTCCATTTATCTTCTTTGTAGTTTTGATGGGAGTAAAATAAGTGATACTAACTGAAACCAAACACTGGTGTTTGGTTTCAGTGTATATGTGTATATATGTGTGTATGTAATTTTATATCTATATATATATATATTTTTTTTTTTTTCCGGAGACAAAGTTTGCTCTGTCACCCAGGCTGGAGTGCAGTGGTGTGATCATGGCTCACTGCAGCCTCAAAATCACAGGCTCAAGTGAGCCTCCTGCCTCATCCTTGCAAAGTGCTGGGATTACAGGTGTGAGCTACCAGGCCTGGCCTAGTATATGGTTTTTTAGGTTGTATCACATTCATTAATTGGTGAAAATGTTGACATAGAAGCCTTTGTAAATAGGCTTTAGCAAAGGATCTGGGCAGTGTCTTGCCATCTCCTGTTTTCAGTGGTGGATTTTTCTTTTGAATAGAGATGGAGTCTTGCTATGTTGCCCAGGCTGGTCTTGAACCCTAGGCCTCAAGTAATCTCCCACCTTGGCCTCTCAAAGAGCTAGGATTACATGCATGAGCTACTGGGCCTGGCCTATTGGTGGTTTTGTGAGGATACAGATAGGAGGAAATTTATACTTCACTGTTTCGGAGGATGTTTTCTCCCTGCTAAAACAACTGAATAATACTTAGTTTTTTTGGTGAGGGGACTAGGTCTTGCTCTGTTGCCCAGGCTGGAGAGTGCAGTGGCACAATCATGGCTCACTGCAGCCTCGATGTCCCGGGCTGAAGCAATACCCCCACCTCAGCCTCCAGAGTAGCTGGGTCCACAGGTGTGCACCACGACACCAGGCTAATTTTAAAAAAGCGTGTTACAGAGATAGAGTCTCCCTATGTTTCTCAGGCTGGTCTGGAACTCTTGGGCTCAAGTGATCCTCCTACCTTGGCTTTCCAAAGGCTCAAGTGATCCTCCTGCCTCAGCTTTCCAAAGTGCTGGGATTATTGGTGTGAGCCACCATGCCCAGCCACATTTTTCCCCCCCTTCTTTTCAGTTCAGGGGTACCTGTGCAGGATGTGCAGGTTTTATTATTTTATTTAATTAATTTTATTTATTTATTTATTTATTTATTTATTTTGAGATTGAGTCTTGCTCTGTCACCCAGACTGGAGTGCAGTGGTGCCATCTTGGCTCACTGCAACCTCCGCCTTCTGGGTTCAGGCGACTCTCCTGCCTCAGCCTCCTGGGTAGCTGGGATTACAGGTGGGTGCCACCACACCCAGCTAATTTTTGTATTTTTAGCAGAGACAGGGTTTCACCATGTTGGTCAGGCTGGTCTGGAACTCCTGACCTCATGATCTGCTGACTTCAGCCTCCCAAAGTGCTGGGATTACAGTGCAATGACATGATCTCAGCTCACTGTAACCTCTGCTTCCCAGCTTCAAGCGATTCTCCTGCCTCCGCCTCCCGAGTAGCTGGGATTACAGGCATGCACCACCATGCCCAGCTAATTTTTGTATTTTTAGTAGAGACAGGGTTTCACCATGTTGGCCAGGCTGGTGTTGAACTCCTGACCTCAAGTGATCCGCCCAGCTTGGGAGTGCTGGGATTACAGGTGTGAACCACCCCACCCGGCCAGTTTGATACTTTGATTTATAATCACTATGGTCTTGAGGACCCTGAAGCTTTTGAAATGTTCTGGTATGGGTGTAAGGAAGGCTGCTGTTTGCATAGGTTTGTTCTGAGTTTGCTTGAGAGTCGTTGCCCACTGTGTCATCCGTTTAGCCAGGCAAGTTAGTTGTCTCATAAGTTAAATTCTTACTGTATTTTCTCCTGTAGTTCATTGTGTTTTTCTGTTTCTGTATAGAAAGTGTTCATTATTTCAATTAATTGCTGACATGTAAAACAAAAAAGTGTTCATTATGATATGAGTTCTGTCACGTTTACAAATTATATATTCAGCATATCAAGGCTTCACATTTGCTACTGATAATGAGAACAAAATATTGCTTTAAAAGCACCAGGCTGGTATTGAACTCCTAGCCTCAAGGGATCCTCACAAAGTGTTCGGATTACAGGTGTGAGTCACCATGCCTGGTCCCAAATTGCTTTTTTTTTTTTTTTTTTTTTTTTTCGGAGACAGGGTCTTGCTCTCTTGCCCAGGCTGGAGTGCAGTGGCAGGATCATAGCTCACTGCAGCCTTGAATCAAGCCTTGGCTCAAAGGATCTTCCTGCCTCAGTCTTTAGAGAAGCTGGGAGTACAGGCGCATCTCACCGTGCCTAGCTAATTAAAAAACTTTTTTTTTTTTTTGGTAGAAATGGGGTCTTGTTATGTTGCCAGGGTGGGTCTCAAACTATTGGCCTCAAGCAGTCCTCCGACCTCGGCCTCCCAAAATGTTGGGATTACAGGTGTGAGGCACCACACCCAACTAGCAACAACCTTAGAAGCTAGATTACAAGCATGATTAAATCCAAAGTATATGAACATAAATCAGATTTTAAAAAGTATTTTATTTTATTTTTATTTATTTAGAGACGGAGTTTCGCTCTTGTTGCCCAGGCTGGAGTGCAATGGCACGATCTCGGCTCACTGCAACCTCCACCTCCCAAATCAAGTGATTCTCCTGCCTCAGCCTCCTGAGTAGCTGGGATTACAGGCATGTGCCACTATGCCTGGCTAATTTTGTATTTTTAGTAGAGACGGGGTAGGCTGGTCTCAAACTCCCAACCTCAGGTGATCTGCCCGCCTCTGCCTTTCAAAATGCTGGTATTACAGGCATGAGCCACCGTGGCCGGCAATATGAGATATTTTATCTTTTTTTTTGAGACGGAGTCTTGCTGTGTCGCCCAGGCTGGAGTGTAGTGGCGCGATCTTGGCTCACTGCAAGCTCCGCCTCCCAGGTTCAGGCCATTCTCCTGCCTCAGCCTCCCGAGAAGCTGGGACTACAGGCGCCTGCCACCACGCCCGGCTAATTTTTTTGTCTTTTCAGTAGAGACGGGGTTTCACCGCGTTAGCCAGGATGGTCTCGATCTCCTGACCTCGTGATCTGCCTGCCTTGGCCTCCCAAAGTGCTGGGATTACAGGCGTGAGCCACTGCGCCCAGCCCGAGATATTTTACCTTTTTTAAGTTTATGTTGTAAATGGTGAATAAAATCCAAACAAGTTTGCATATATACTTTAATACATTAAATTTATAGATTTTTGCTATAACCAAAATACCTGATTAGTATGTCATTCTAAAAAGCAATATCTTGGCCAGGAGTGGTGGCTCATGCTTGTAATCTCACCATTTAGGTAGGCCAAGTTGGGAGGATTGCTTGAGGGTAGGAGTTCGAGATCAGCCTGGCCAACTTAGCAAGACCCTGACTCTATTTTTAAAAAAATTATTGCTGCAAAAATAGTGAGAGGAAATGATTTTTAGGGGGTCTGCTCACTGTTGGTAGAGCATCTGCTGACTGGAGAGTCTCAGCATGACAGCATCTTGGTCTTGTCTATTTTAGGATTGGGTATGTAGAAAATTAATTTATTCATAATTGATTAGCCTGTTGGTATTAACTCGTAGAAAATAAATTTTAAGGAACTTAGCATCAAGCAAATGATGTAGTAGCCATCATGCATTTTTTCTTTCATTTTTTTCCCCTACTGCTTGCCACTCTCACCACACATTTTAAAGAAAGACCTGGGTTCAGATTCTGGTTGGCTGTTTTACTGCTTGACATAGGAAAATTTCATAACTTCTTAGTGATTTCCTTTTTTTCTCATCTGTAAAATAGAGAGTAGAGAAATTACTTCATTTTGTGTTATAGATATATTTTACCACCAAAAAACGGGGAGAAAAAAGACACCCATGTTGATGTGAGGATTATGACATAAGGAACAACTCATAATGGGTGTGTAGTAAATGTCAGATGGTTTGTTTTCTACCTACCCAGCAATTTGTTGATTATCCCTATGGGTGGATTACTTCTATGTATATTTATCTGTTTAGAAGGATTACTTCTATGTACATTATTTGTTGATTTTACTTTCAAAGGCAACTATATATCCGGGAATGGTGGAGTTAGATGTATCTTACTGTATTTCTGTTGGTATTGACTAAAACATCAGGTGCAGACAGCACATAAAGTTGTCTGAAGAATTCATGTTTTATGAGGAGTTTTTTAGGGAGGATTAATGGAGAAAGTGTTATTAGAATGAGTTCAAAACTGGAGTCCTGAGTGTGGATGCCACTTAATTTTCCTGAACTTTAGTTTTTCCATTTAAAAAACTCTTCTCATTATGGACTTTTTTTTATTTTTTGAGATAGAGTCTTGCTCTATCGCTCAGGCTGGAGTGCAGTGGCACAATCTTGTCTCACTGCAGCCTTCCCTGGTTCAAGCAATTCTCATGCCTCAGCCTCCCGAATAGCTGAGAGTACACGCGCATGCCACCATGCCTGGCTAATTTTTGTATTTTTAGTAGAGATGGGGTTTTGCCATGTTGGCCAGGCTGGTCTCCAACTCCTGGGCTCTCAAGTGATCCTCTTGCCTTGGCCTCCCAAAGTGCCATGATTGCAGGTGTGAGCCACTGTGCCTGGCCATTATGGACTCTTTTTTTGTTTTGTTTTGAGTTGGAGTTTCGCTTTTGTTGCCCAGGCTGGAGTGCAGTGGCGCGTGATCTCAGCTCAACGTAACCTCCACCTCCCAGGTTCAAGCGATTCTCCTGTCTCAGCCCCCTGAGTAGTTGGGAGTACAGGCATGCGCCACCATGCCTGACTAATTTTATATTTTTAGTAGAGACGGGGTTTCTCTGTATTGGTCAGGCTGGTCTCGAACTCCCTACCTCAGGTGATACGCCCACCTCTGCCTCCCAAAGTGCTGGATTACAGGTGTGAGCCACTGTGCCCACCTTACGAACTCTTAAAAAAAACAAACTTTTTATTACAGAAAACTTTCATCATGTACAAGCAGAGAAGAATACAGTATGCCTGGTGTTTCCATCACTGTGTATTAACAGTAATCTACACATGATCAACTGTGATTCATCTAGACCTCTACTCGCTAGCCCATTATTTTGAAGCACGTCAAAGAAGCCTTACCTTTTTATCTGTAAATATTTCAGTACTTACTTCTAAAAGGTCATAACATCTTTCAAACTTAAAGTGTCCAAGTGTATAAGGAACTCTCCATGCCATTTACTCAGATTCAAGAGTTGCTAACATTTTGCCCTATTGGCTTTATCATTCTATATATAATGCAAATATACATATATTATTTTCTGAACCATTTAATGGTAAGTTGGAGACTTCAGTGTATTTTTTTTTTTTTGGGATGGAGTCTAGCTCTGTTGCCCATAGTTGAATAAAAAAATTACAGAAACCCAGCACTTTGGGAGGCTGAGGCAGGATGATTACATGAGCCCAGGAATTAGATACCAGCCTGGACAGCACAGGAATACCCCATTTTAACAACAACAAAAAGAAAAGATTAGCTGGGTGTGGTGGCACACAGCTCTGGTCCCAGTTACTCAGGAGACTGAGGCAGGAGGATTGCTTGAGCCCAGGAGATTGAGGCTGCAGTGAGCTGTGTTCGTGCCACACCCTGGGTGTGTTTGCACTCCACCCTGGGTGACAAAGGGAGACCCTTTCTCTTGGGGGAAAAAAATGGATTAAGAGACCTAGAAAGTAAGTCCAGAAGCCATAAGATTTTTTTTTTTTTTGAGACAGAGTCTCGCTCTGTCACCTAGGCTTGAGTGCAGTGGCACAATCTCGGCTCACTGCAACCTCCACCTCCTGGGTTCAAGCAATTCTCCTGTCTCAGCCTCCCAAGTAACTTTGATTACATAATAATCAAATAATAATAATAATAATTTTTTGAGACAGAGTTTCGCTCTTGTTGCCTAGGCTGGAGTGCAATGGCGCGATCTCCGGCTCACTGCAACCTCCACCTCCTGGGTTCAGGCAATTCCCTGCCTCAGCCTCCCGAGCAGCTGGGATTACAGGCATGTGCTACCACACCTGGCTAATTTTGTATTTTTAGTAGAGACGGGGTTTCTCCATGTTGGTCAGGGTGGTCTCGAACTCCCAACCTCAGGTGATCTGCCCACCTCGGCCTCCCAAAGTGCTGGGATTACAGGCATGAGCCACCGCGCCTGGCTGAAAAGTGGAAATTATTAAAAAGAAAAACATTGTAAGTTGAGTTCAGTAACAATATGAAAGACCAAATGATTCTTTTTTCTTTCTTTTCTTTTTTTTTTTTTTTTTTGAGACAGTCTCACTCTGTCGCCCAGGCCGGAGTGCAGTGGTGCAATCTCAGCTCACTGCAACCTCCGCCTCGTGGGTTCAAGTGATTCGCCTGCCTCAGCCTTCTGAGTAGCTGGAACTACAGATGTGTGCCACCACGCCTGGTTAATTTTTGTATTTTTATAGAGACCGGGTTTCACCGTGTTGGCCAGGATGGTCTTGAACTTCCAACCTCAAGTGATCCACCTGCCTTGGCCTCCCAAAGTGCTCGGATTAGAGGCATGAGCCACTTTGCGTGGCCCCATCCTGTATTTTATTTTATTTATTTGGTTATGTATAATTACAGTTTTACCTACAAAGGAGGGTGAGATAGGAGAATCACTTGAGTCCAGTATTTCAGGGTTGGAATGAGCTATGATTGAGCAATTGCATTCCAGCCTGGGCAATAGAGTGACACCTGTGTCTCTTTAAAAAAAAATAAATTATAAACAAGATGAATAACTTCCTGACAAATAAAAAGAAAATTTAGGGCCAGGCGCAGTGGCTCATGCCTCTAATCCCAGCACTTTGGGAGGCCGAGGTGGATGGATCACTGGAGGTCAGGAGTTCGGCCTGACCAACGTGGTGAAACCCTTTGTCTACTAAGAATGCAAAATTAACTGGGCATGGCAGCACATGCCTGTAATTCCAGCTGCTTGGGAGGCTGAGGCAGAATTGCTTGAACCCGGAAGGTGGAGGTTGTAGTGAGCTGAGACTGTACCATTGCACTCCAGCCCGGACAACAGGAGTGAAACTCCATCTCAAAAGAAAAAAAAAAAAAAGAAAATTTAGGCCAGGGGCAGTGGCTTACGCCTGTAATCCAAGCACTTTTGGAGGCCAAGGTAGGAGGACCACTTGAGTCCAGGAGTTGGAGACTAGCCTGGGCAACACAGCGAGACCTCATATCTAAAAGTGAAAAAAAAAAAAAAGGAAATTTCAAGAAACCGGTACAAAGAAGGAAGGAAAACACACACACACACACACACACACACACACACACACAAACACACAAAGGAAGGAAAAACACACACACACAAGGAAGGAAAACACACACACACACACACACACACACACACACACACACACACACACACACACACACACATCGTTGGCTGGGCACTGTGGCTCCCAGCGCTTTGGCTTCCAGCACTTTGGGGGCCCGAGACGGGTAGATCACTTGAGGCCAGGACCAGCATGGCAAAAACCCATCTCTAGGAAAAATACAAAAATTGGCTGGGCATGGTGGCTAACGCCTGTAATCCCAGCACTTTGGGAGGCTGAGGTGGGTGGATCATGAGGTCAGAAGATCGAGACCATCCTGGCCAACATGGTGAAACCCCGTATCTACTAAAAATACAAAAATTAGCTGGGTATGGTGGCATGTGCCTATAGTCCCAGCTACTCAGGAGGCTGAGGCAAGAGAATCGCTTGAACCCGGGAGGTGGAGGTTGCAGTGAGCTGAGATCGTGCCACTGCACTCCAGCCTGGTGACAGAGTGAGACTCCATCTCAAAAAAAATAAAAATGCAAAAATTAGTCAGGTGTGGTGGCAGGCACCTGTAATCCTAGCTACTCAGGAGGCTGAGGCAGGAGAATACCTTGAACCCAGGAGGCGGAGGTTGCAGTGAGCCAAGATCGTGTCACTGCACTCCAGCCTGGGTGACACAGTGAGACTCTGTCTCAAAAAAAAAAGTAAAATAAAAAATAAAACGTTAGTACAGATCGCTGGAGGTTGAGGCTGCAGTAAGCCATGATTGCGCCACTGCACTCCAGCCCGTGTGACAGAACAAGACCCTGCCTCCCAAAATATAAGTTGACATTTGAATGAGCAAACATTTAAAAGATACAAAAATGTATTCAGTGTAAAAACTCCCTATATCAGGACCCCCCAAAACCCAGTTCTCCCCGACAAGTCATTATTATTACTAGCTTCTGGTGTCTTTTCCAGTGAGAATTCTTGTGTATGAAATAAAATACATACAAAAATGTATACACACGTTCTTTCCTTTGCAATATTTTTTTTCAAAAATGGTAGCAGAATGTTTTCTGTTTTTTTCTCTCGATTTTCCCTTCTTTTATTTATTCATTTATTTGTTTGTTTTTTTGAGACAGTCTGACTCTTGTCACCCAGGCTGGAGTGTAGTGGCACAGTCTCAGCTCACTGAAACCGCTGCCTTGAGGTAGGGATTCAAGTGATTCTCCTGCTTCAGCCACCCGAGTAGCTGGGATCACAGGCGTGCCCCACCACACCCAGCTAATTTTTGCATTTTTTGTAGAGATGGGTTTTTGCTGTGTTGGCCAGATTGGTCTTGAACTCCTGGCCTCAAGTGATCTGCCCACCTTGGCCTCCTAAGGTGCTGGGGTTCCAGGTGTCCCTGGTGTACTAACCTAATGTTTTTTATGCTTGCAAATTATATTAATTATCTTATGAATCACTGCAACAGAAATGCCTATGTAAATTAAAATGTAAAACTATTTACATTTTCTGAGTTCATAAGGCTCAGAGTCTTAACATTTTTCCTTGGATTTTTATAATAATAGTATACATTGTAAAATTTTTGATAATTAGTAAAACTAAAAGTGTGACATTTTCATAGGAAATCTTAAGCTTAGTGGGGCTTCCTCTCACTCCAATTAGCTTAATGAATCCTTGAAATAATATACCTCATTGCTAGAATGAGACAGGTTTAGCTTTCATTCTGTTCCTCATGTTTGATTTATATACATGTAGATTCTAACAAAATTTTTACATGTAAGTAAGTAGATCAGAATGGTGGAGTTTTACTATGTATTCATTTACCAAATGTATTTTGAGCTCCTGCTGTGTACTGGACATTCTACTAAGTACTGGTGATGAGTGGTGAACAAAGCTACCGAAATCTCTGCCCTTAGAGCTTATAAAGGTGTCAGTTCTTTGTTCTTCTCAACTGTGTTTGAAAAAGCATATAGCAGTCATTGACAATAAAGGATTTTTAATGATTTAGCAGCTGACAATTCAATTAGGTCTTCTTTCAGTTTTGCTAGAAGCAGATAATTTGAAACCAGCAGACATGGAAGAGATTTAGGTTTTTTAACAAGTCATTAGGGCCCTTTGCATTCTCATTTTCTGAGAAGCAAAGTAAAAAGGTTTTACTGAGACCTAACAAAAGATTATTAATTATACTTCTTACTATTCACCTATCCCTATAGGTGTATCAATTAGTGTTTTACCCGAGAAAGAGAACCAGATGGAGATTATGTATGTGTATAAATATACAGACACATATGTATGCATGTATACACATGTATGTATTATACATATATATATATGCTATATAAAATTTTCAACAGGTTTATATACATATAAAGAGATTTTTTTTGCAAGGAACTGGTTTACATAATTGCTGGGGCTGGCTAGGCAAGTCTGAAATCCACAGGGAGGCTGTCTGTTAGGTGGACATTTCTTCTTCAGGGAAGCCTTAGTTTTGCACTTAGGGCCTTTTACTGATTGGATGAGGCCCACCCTGATTGTGGAGGCCAATCTTCTTAACTTCGAGTCAGCTGATGTTACTCATATCTACAAAATATTTTCATAACAATATCTAAATTAGATTTTGATTGAATGACTAGGTACTATAGTTTAGATAGTTTGACACATAAAACCATCATCGGCACCTTATTTCAACCAGTATACTCAAAGGTTTGGGAAAGTTGAAGTAATGAAGTAATGTTCATTAAAATATACGTTTGTGTTTTAAATTTATGTCCGGTAAATGTTTAACTCTTAGATCATGTACATACTTAAATATGTATTTAAATACATGATGCAAATTTTAATATAATTATAAACTATTTAAATATATTTTCATCTAATTCTTGGAACTGTGGATTTAATTTGTTCAGTTGTGGAAAATTATCACCAGTAACCTTAATGGCAAAGCCAGTCTTCCCTGACAAACCAGGCAGCTAAATAAATAACACTGATTTTCTGCCAGAAAGTCTGACTCCTTTTTTCCAATTTTAATAAATGAGTACTGTACATCTGTAAGGTAACCACCTCTTTTTGGATTTTTGTTTTTTTGAGAGAGAGTTTTGCTCTTTCACCCAGGCTGGCGTGCAGTGGTGCCATCTCGGCTTACTGCAACCTCTGCCTTCCAGGTTCAAGCGATTCTCCTGCCTCAGCTTCTGGAGTAGTTGGGATTACAGATATGTGCCACCATGCCCGGCTAATTTTTGTATTTTCAGTAGAGACAAGTTTCACCATGTTGCCCAGGCTGAAGTATGTATAGGACACAAAACCCTACTGTGAAACTTTTTGATATCTGGGTTAGAGGCTTCTCAGAGACCTGTATTGTATTTCTCTTTTGTCACCAATGGTCCCTTTGTTTGGTATCCTGGAGGTTTTTACTCCCCATGTTTCACCCAAGTTCTGCAGTAAGATTTAGGGTGGTTGAGAGGAGATGCCTGTATATAAGACAAGGGCAGTTGTGAGAAGTGGAGATGAGGAGAGATCAGTCTGATGCCTTGAGCTTGTGCTAGTTCTCAGGCAGATCAGTAGGAGCATGTGGGTGTTGATCTTAAACCTATGTTTCTGTGTACCCCTTAGAATGTCTTCTTATACACCCAAGAGACAGGTTCTTCTTTTGGAGACTTTGGGTACACTATAGCCCTTTTCCTGCGTGCTGTGGTTTGGATGTTGTGCCCTCCAAACTCATGTTGAGATTTGATCCCTGGTGTTGGAGGTGGGGCATAATGGGAGATGGTTGGGTCATGGGAGTAGATTCCTCTTGAATGGATTAAATTAATGCCCTCCCTGGAGTAGACGTGACTTCTCACTTTGTTAGTTCCCTAGAGAGCTGGTTTTTAAAAAGAACCAGCACACCTCCAACCTTGCTTCCTTTCTTGCCATGTGATCGCTGCATACTGGTTCCCCTTCACCTTCTGCCATGACTGAAAGCAGCCTGATTCCTTCATCAGATGCAGATGCCCAGTCATAAACTTTACAGCCATTAGAATTGTGAGCCAAATAAACCTTTTTGCTTTGTAGATTACCCAGCCTCAAGTATTCTTTTATAGCAACCCAAAATGGACTGAGAAACTGGGCTTGCTTTTTTTCATGTTTGCTTTTTTTTTTTTTTTTTTTGTGAGGTGGAGTCTCGCTCGCTCTGTCACCCAGGCTGGAGTGCAATGGTGCGATCTCGGCTCACTGCAACCTCCGCCTCCTGAGTTGAAGCACTTCTCCCACCTCAGCCTCCTGAGTAGCTGGGACTACAGGTGTGCACCACCATGCCTGGCTAATTTTTGTATTCTTAGTAGAGGCAGGGTTTCACCACATTGGCCCGACTGCTCTCGAATTCCTGACCTCAAGTGATCTGCCCGCCTGTTTGCTTTTTTTAAAACTGTGTTCCAGTTTTCATGACTGTGTGTTATTCCACACTTTGAGGTACTGTAATTTGACCACTGTGTACTGGTAGAGGATTAGGGTATTTTTCATCGTTTGCTACTGAGCAGTCTGCAGAACATAGCCATGATTGCTTTGTGACAAGGATATGTTCTGAGAGATGCGTCATTAGGTGATTTTGTCTTTGTGTGGACATCATAGAGTGTACTTACACAAACCTAGATGGTATAGCCTATTACACACCTAGGCTATGTGGTATAGCCTATTTGTACTTAGGGTACAAATCTGTACACATGTTATTGTATTGAA
The DNA here is from genome assembly GCF_000001405.40 of Homo sapiens. NCBI lineage: Eukaryota > Metazoa > Chordata > Mammalia > Primates > Hominidae > Homo > Homo sapiens. Next base: position 42,591,200 of record NC_000002.12, read on the forward strand.
TACTGTATGCAGGTGTTACCCAATTTTGGGTATTTGTTTATCTAAACATATTTAAACATAGAACAAGTACAGTAAAAATGCAGTAGAAAGGATAAAAAGTGATACACCTGTGTAGGGCACTTACCATGAATGGAGATTCCAGGCCTTGAAGTGAGTCAGTGAGTGAGTGGTGGTAGAATGTGAAGGCCTAGTACATACTGTACACCACTGTAGACTTACTAAACACTGTACACTTAGGCAACACTAAATTTATGGAAACGTTTTCCTTCAATAATGAATTAACCCAATTTATTATAACTTTTTAACTTCATAAACCTTTTAATTTTGTTTAGCTTTTTGACTCTTGTAATAACAACTTAAAACACAAACACATTGAATGGCTATACAAAAATATTTTCTTTCATCATATATCCTTATTCTATAAGCTTTTTTTCTTTTTATTTTATTTATTTTTTATTTTTATTTTTTTGAAACGGAGTTTCGCTCAGTGGCCCAGGCTGGAGTGCAGTGGTGCGATCTCAGCTCACTGCAATCTCCGCCTTCCAGGTTCAAGCAATTCTCCTGCCTCAGCCTCCCGAGTAGCTGAGATGACAGGTGCACACCACCACGCCCAGCTAATTTTTGTATTTTTAGTAGAGACGGAGTTTCACCATGTTGGCCAGGATGGTCTCTATCTCCTGACTTCGGGATCTGCCCACCTTGACCTCCCAAAGTGTTGGGATTACAGGCGTGAGCCACCGTGCCTGGCCTTAAGCTTTTTTCCTATTAAGAAAAATTCATTTGGCCAGGTGTAGTGGCTCACGCCTGTAATCCCAGCACTTTGGGGGGCTGAGGCTGGCAGATTGCTTGAGCCCAGGAGTTGGAGACCAGTCTGGGCAACATGGTGAAACTCCGTTTCTACAAAAAATATAAAAATTAGCCGGGTTTGGTGGTAAACACCTGTAGTCCCAGCTAAGGGAGGCTGAGGCAGGAGGATTGGTTGAGCCCAGTAGGCAGAGGTTGCAGTGAGCTGAGATCATGCCTCTGCACTCTAGCCTGGGAGACAGAGTGAGACTCTATCTCAAAAACAAAACAAAACAAAACAAAAAACCAATTCATTTATGGCTGGGCATAGTAGATCATACCTGTAATCCCAGCACTTTGGGAGGCTGAGATGGGAGGATCACTTGAGCTCAGGAGTTTAAGACCAGCTTGAGCAACATAACAAGACTCCGTCTCTACAAAATATTTAAAAATTAGCCGGGTGTGGTGGCATGCACGTGTGGTCCCAGCTACTCGGGAGGTTTAGACAGGAGTATTGCTTGAGCCTGGGAGATTGAGGCTGCAGTGAGCTGTGTTTGCACCAGTGCACACAAGCCTGGTGTACAGATGGAGACCCTGTCTCAAAAAAATTCATTTTCACTTTTTAAACTTTTTTTATTAACAATGAAAACATAAACATATATATTAGCTTAGGCCTACACAGGGTCAGGATCATCAATATCACTGTCTTCTCAGTCCACATCTTGTCCCACTGGAAGGTCTTCAGGAACAGTAACACACACGGAGCTATCATCTTTGATAACAATTCCTTCTTTTGGAATACCTTCCGAAGGACCTGTCTGGGGCTGTTTTACAGTTAACCTTTTTTCCTTAATGAGTAGAAAGAATACACTCTAAGACAACAATAGGCCAGGTGCGGTGGCTCACGCCTGTAATCCCACCACTTGGGGAGGCTGAGGTGGGGGGATCAGTTGAGGTCAGGAGTTCGAGACCAGCCTGACCAATATGGTGAAACACTGTCTCTACTAAAAAATAACAAAAGTTAGCTGGGTGTGGTGGCATGGGCCTGTAATCGCAGCTACTTGGGAGACTGAGGCAGGAGAATCGCTTGAACCCAGGAGGTGGTGGTTGCAGTGAGCCGAGATCATGTCACTGCACTCCAGCCTTGGCAACAGAGCAAGGCTCTGTCTCAAAAAAAAAAAATTAAATAGAATTAAAACAACAATAAAACATATAGTATATTGGCCAGGTGCAGTGGCTCACACCTGTAATCTCAGCCCTTTGGGAGGCCGAGGTGGGCGGATCACTTGAGGTTAGGACATTGAGACCAGCCTGACCAACATCGTGCTACTGCACTCCAGCCTGGGTGACAGAGCGAGACTCTGTGTCAAAACAAAAAAAAGTATAGTATAATAAATACATAAATCAGTAACATAGTCATTATCTATGTCAAGTGTTAGTACTGTACATAATTCTATGTGCTATACATTTATTTGATGGGCAGTACAGTAGGTTTGTTTATACCAGTATCATCACAGACATGTGAGTAATGCTTTGTGCCATGATATTACCGCTATAGTGTCACTGGGCAGTTGGAGTTTTTCAGCTTCATTATAACCTTAAGGGACCGTTGTTCATATGTGTGGTTTGCTGTTGACTTAAATGTTATGTGGTGTGTGACTATATATGTCATTTAGTACTCGGAGGACTATGGCATCTATCTTTATTTATTTATTGATATGGAGTCTTTATTTATTTACTGAGACGGAGTTTTGCTCTGTACACTACAATGGAACCTGTGAATAGCCACTGCATTTCAGCAGCCTGGGCAACATAGCAAGACCCCATCTCTATAAAAAATAAATGGTTATATGCATTGTGATTTTGACAGATATTACCAAATTAATTGCTTCAGATATTCTTCCAATTTACACCTACCAGCAATGAATGAGTGCCCATTCCCTTCCATTTTTACCAGTATAGGATTAAGTTTTTTTTTTTTTTTTTTTTTGAGACGTCTTCTTTTGTCACCCAGGCTAGAGTGCAGTGGTGTGATCTCAGCTCACTGCAACTTCCCCCTGTCAGGTTCAAGCGATTCTTCTGCCTCAGCCTCACAAGTAGCTGGGATTACAGGCGCACACCACCATGCCTGGCTAATTTTTGTATTTTTAGTAGAGGTGGGATTTCACTATGTTGGCCAGGCTGGTCTTGAACTCCTGACTTCAGATGATCCACCTGCCTTGGCCTCCCAAAGTGCTAGGAGGGAGCCATGCGCCAGGCCCCTTTTTTTTTTTTTTTTTTTTTAAAAGACAGTCCCTAGGCTGGAGTGCAGTGGCATGATCTGAGCTCATAGCAACCTCTGCCTCCCGGGCTCAAGCAATTCTTATGCCTCAGCCTTCTGAGTAGCTGGAATTACAGGTGTGCACCACCATGCCCGGCTAATTTTTTGTGTTTTTAGTAGAGACAGGGTTTCACCATGTTGGCCAGGCTGGTCTCAAACTCCTGACCTCAGGTGATCCACCCAACTCGGACTCCCAAAGTGCCGGGATTACAGGTGGGAGCCACTGCACCAGGCCTAGGATTAAATTTTTTAATCTTTACTAATCTTACAGATTAAAAATGGTGCCTTGGTGGGATTGTATCTTAAATTTCTTATGACTGAAGTGGAACATCTTTTTATATATATATATAAATATATATATACACACATATATAAATATACATATATACATATATAAATATACATATATATATATATATATATATATTTTTTTTTTTTTTTTGAGACAGAGTCTCACTCTGTTGCCCAGGCTGGAGTCCAGTGGCGCGATCTCAGCTCACTGTAAGCTACACCTCCTGGGTTCACGCCATTCTCCCGCCTCAGCCTCCCAAGTAGCTGGGACTACAAGAGCCTGCCACTACGCCTGGCTAATTATTTATTTATTTATTTATTTATTCATTTATTTATTTTTTAGTAGAGATGGGGTTTCACCGTGTTAACCAGGATGGTCTTGATCTCCTGACCTCATGATCTGCCTGCCTCGGCCTCCCAAAGTGCTGGGATTACAGGTGTGAGCCACCACACTGGGCCATAGTTATCTATTCTTATTCAAAACCAAGGTAGTAAGGCTAAACAGGAGCTTCATTTTTTTTTTTTTTTTTTTTTGAGACAGAGTCCCGCTCTGTCACCCAGGCTGGAGTCCAGTGACGCGATCTCAGCTCACTGCAAGCTCCACTTCCCAGGTTCACGCCATTCTCCTGCCTCAGCCTCCCGAGTAGCTGGGACTACAGGTGCCTGCCACCATGCCCGGCTAATTTTTTTGTGTTTTTAGTAGAGATGGGGTTTCACCGTGTTAGCCAGGATGGTCTCAATCTCCTGACCTCGTGATCTGCCTGCCTCGGCCTCCCAAAGTGCTGGGATTACAGACGTGAGCCACTGTGCCCGGCATGTTTTTATATTTTTAAAAGGCCACATGTGTGTCCTTTTCTGTGAACTGTTTATATTCTTTGCCTATTTTGAGTTTAACTTTTGCTAAATTAATTTGTAGGGGGAAAATAATAAAAGAAACCTTTAGTTACTCCAATAAAGGAAGTAAAGCAGATATTCCTAATTGTAAACTGACGTGTTTAACCTTACATTTTTCCGTGACTTCTTCTCCTATTAGAACAAGGAAATACATTTTACTTAGCTTTTCTTCTTTCCTTGTCCTCTACCTTCCCATGTTTAAGTAAACGGTATTTGGGTATATATATATTTTTTCAGATCACATAGGACTGGAAAAAATTTTAAAAATTATTATTGTAACTTTTTACTTAGTAACTTATGACTTAGTAATAAGTTACAATAATGATTTAACAATAATAGTAGGAGCTAACACATAATACCAGACACTCTAAATGCTTTTACATGTAAGTCCATTTTATTCTACATGTAAGTTAAGTCCATCTTACATTATATATGTCCCCATCTAAGTTTCTGAAAGCATTTGTCTGTGATTCATTCTGCCCAGTTTTTGAAATCTTAATACTTCCGAGAGAAATACTAAAGAGAGAAGGGAAAATAAAAGAACAATAAAAGGTCATCCTGGCATTTGAAAAACTTTTTCTTATTTCTAATTTTGTACTTCAGTCACAAAGTTTATTAGGAATAAAGCTAAACATAGTTGATTTTTAAGATGTGTGTTGTATTTTCTTATAACATTTTACATTTTGAGAACATAGCCCATGGCTTTTTGTTTCTTAGTCTATGAAGTGTGTAGGCACATAGACCTCAGTCAGCCTGCTACTCTCCTTTTGCAGCCAGGGCCCAACCAAGATACTGAGTCCTTACTCTGCCCTTGGGCCCACTTGGTCCTTTCTAGCCAGCTGTTACCCCTTGATTGGAGTTGGCATAAAATCTATTTTTTATCACAGCATTAAAGTAATCAACTTTCATTTAAAAGGACATTTTTCTCTTGCTATTTTATGGAGTTTTTATTTTTGTAAGTGACATTTTGTAATTGGCAGTTATGGCAAGTTTGTGTCTCATTAACCAGATTATTATCAACTGTAAATATTATAAAGGTTTATTATTTGACAAGTTAATTATGTTTTATGATATACATTTTCTTATTGATCTGGTCTTCTGAATGTTAATGGTTTATATTTTTTGTGAACAAAGCAAGTACTGTATTAATACTTTAAAATTGATGTCACATTGCTTATTGATCATTAAATGAGGCATTCCAGCAATTAGATATTCTTAAGCTTTTTAGAAAGCCTTGTGTTAGCTTTACTTCTGTCATTGTGTGGCTTAATTTGTGGTCTGGAAGAATACAGGCTCATGTTGTATATTTTCATGTGACTAGTTGATTGAAAATCCTTAATTTTTTTTTTGCTGTCTGTGGACTTACAGAATGAAAATCATTTTTATACTTGAAGTAGCTAATCTAAAATTTTCCACAAGTTATCTTTTTTTTTTGGAGACAGAGTCTCGCTCTGTCGCCCAGGCTGGAGTGCAGTGGTGCGATCTTGGCTCACTGCAACCTCTGCCTCCCGGGTTCAAGCAATTCTCCTCCCTCAGCCTCCTGAGTAGCTGGGACAACAGGAGCAAACTGCATTGCCCGGTGAATAATTTTTTTTTTGTATTTTAGTAGAGACGGGGTTTCACCTTGTTGTCCAGGCGGGTTTCGAAATCCTGAGCTCAGGCAATCCGCCCACCTCGGCCTACCAAAGAATTGGGATTAGAGGCATGAGCCACTACACCTGGCCATCTTTTTAAAAAATTATTATTATTATTATTTTTGTAGAAATGGGGTCTCACCGTGTTGCCCAGGCTGGTCTCAAAGTACTGGTTTCATGTGATCCTACTGCCTAATCCTCCCAAGGTGTTGGGATTACAGGAGTGAGCCACTGCACCTGGCCGACAAGTTATCTTTTTTTTTTTTTTTTTTTTCTGTTTTTGAGATGGAGTCTTGCTGTGTTGGCCAGGCTGGAGTGCAGTGGCATGATCTCGGCTCACTGCAACCCCCACCTCCTGGGTTCAAGCAATTCTCCTGCCTCAGCCTCCTGAGTTACTGGGATTACAGGCGTGCACTACCACGCCCAGCTAATTTTTGTATTTTTAGTAGAGATGGGGTTTCACCATGTTGGCCAGGCTGGTCTCAAACTCCTGACCTTGTGATCTGCCCGCCTCAGCCTCCCAAAGTGCTGGGATTACAGGTGTGAGCCACCTCACCCACCTGTTTTTTTTTTTTTTGAGATGGGGTCTTGCTCTGTTGCCCAGGCTGGAGTGCAGTGGCACCATCTCAGCTTACTGCAACCTCTGCCTCCCAGGCTCAACTGATCCTCCTGCTTCAGCCTCCTGAGTAGCTGGGACTACAGTTGTGTGTCATCGTGTCTGGTTAATTTTTGTATCCTTTTGTAGAGACAGGGTTTTGCCACGTTGCCCAGGCTGGTCTTGAACTCCTGGGGTGAAGCGATCTGCCCACTTTAGCCTCCCAAAGTGTTAGGATTACAGGCATGAGCCACTGCGCCTGGCCAAGTTATCTTTTTAAAACAAATCTTTTTATTGAAGTATAGTGTACATTCACTGAATTCCGGATCTTTTTGCTACTATTTTTATTTCTTTTCTTTTCTTTTTGTTTTTTTGAGACAGAATCTTGCTCTGTTGCCCAGGCCGGAGTGCAGTGGCATGATCTTGGCTCACTGCAACCTCCACCTTCTGGGTTCAAGTGATTCTCCTGCCTCAGCCTCCTGAGTAGCTGGGACTATTGCCACCACACCCAGCTAATTTTTTGTATTTTTAGTAGAGATGGGGTTTCACTGTGTTAGTCAGGATGGTCTGTATCTCCTGACCTCGTGATCCACCCGCCTCGGCCTCCCAAAGTGCTGGGATTACAGGCGTGAGCCACCGCGCCTGGCCTTCACTACTTCTATTTCTAAATAGTGCTTTTACCTTAATATAGTGCCTCTATATTTAGGTAGTCCAAAGTATTTTTCATTTAGCATTCCAAATCACGGAATTTTAGACCTGTAAGGACCTTATACATAATCTGTTTAAACCCTCTGTATTTTTTGGTTGAGTCCTTGGTTAGGTCTAAGGTCACCTAACTGGATTAGTATCCTGTCCTCTAAATGCTTCTTTTGTATGTTTTATTTATCTCCTTAAAATTTATTTTGGATAAGATAAATATACTGCATTTTGTTATATGTTTGTATAATTTGGCATTATGGGGCAGATAAATTAACGTTGTTGAGCCTTAATTCATCTTTACAAGGGACTCATTAATACTTTCTACCTTATTACCCTTCCTGTGTTGAGGGTTTTTGTAGCGATTAAATGAATAAAAGCCCCTACAAATCATAAGACATGCAGAAAACAGTAGCTTTGACTGGGCCCCCTGGAGGACTTTCACATTAACACAGAAGCCTTGACATACATGGGAAGTGGGTACCACTGGAGGCTTTTCTAGAGTTGTGCTAGTGGCATGCATTTTCAGTTGTCCCTTCCAGCCAGGAAGTTGGAAAATGGTCATCTGAAGCCTTAGTTCACTCTGCCCCTTTCTTGACACCTAGGAATGTGGAGAATGGTTGTGGCTGCTCTCCTTTTTAACTTCGTTTGCTAGTGGTGACAGCTCAGGGCTCAGGACGGTGGCTAATGTCCCATATCCTTTCAGTGTACCTCATGCCAGTTCCTTTCCGCAAGTTTTTCCTGAGCCAGTGTTGCATCGTGTCCATGTTTATAAGACTTCTATGAGTCTTTAAAGCTGCACATGTTTTCATATTATGGGGATTTGTGCATCTTTCTAGCAACATTATAAAAATAGTTGGCTAGCCAAACTTGCTTTACATTTAATAGTAGTGGTACCGGGCGCGGCGGCTTATGCCTGTAATCCCAATCCCAGCACTTTGGGAGGCCGAGGCGGGTGGATCACAAGGTCAGGAGATCGAGACCATCCTAGCTAACACAGTGAAACCCCGTCTCTACTAAAAAAAATACAAAAATTAGCCGGGTGTGGTGGCGGGCGCCTCCAGCTACTCAGGAGGGTGAGGTAGGAGAATGGCGTGAAGCTGGGAGGTGGAGGTTGCAGTGAGCCGAGATTGCGCCACTGCACTCCAGCCCGGGCGACAGTGTGAGACTCCATCTCCAAAAAAAAAGAAAAGAGTAGTGGTAATTCATGTGGGTGAAACTGCAGTTCCTGACAGGAATTAATTTCATCATGGTAGAAAATTATTCAAGGTTAAGATGTTGTAAAGATATCCCTAAAGATAACAAAATAAAATATTTTATTTCCTGTTTTTGTTTAATTCTTTTTGTCATTAAGGTATAATATGGTTGACTCATTTGGTGGGTTTTTGTAGCTTAAGGAGTTTCATTTCTTCTTTTGTTTAGGTGGTTTTCAGACTACTCTGTTCTCTATACAGTTAGGGAAATGTTTTCCATTTCAAGACTTTTTAAAAAACTTGCTTATGGGCCAGGCATGGTGGCTCACGCTTGTAATCCCAGCACTTTGGGAGGCCGAGGCGGGCGGATCACGAGGTCAGGAGATTGAGACCATCCTGGCTAACACAGTGAAACCCTGTCTGTACTAAAAATACAAAAAAAATTAGCTGGGTGTGGCGGCACATTCCTGTAGTCCCAGCTACTCAGGAGGCTGAGGCAGGAGAATCGCTTGAACCCAGGAGGCAGAGGTTGTAGTGAGCCAAGGTCGCGCCACTGCACTCCAGCCTGGGCAACAGAGCGAGACTCTGTCTCAAAAAAAACAAAACAAAACAAAAAAACTTGCTTGTGGTTGTCTGTCTTTTCATATGAACAGCTGTAAAGGGGAAAGGGCAACAGGATTAGAAGAAATTTGTTAGTGAAGGGCTCCCAGAATGAAATGTACTATAGCAGATGGTTGCAGGAAGTGAAGTTATAATCCTTTACCCTCCAACTGATTCTTATTTCCATTTTGTCCATGGTAGACTATTAATTTTCTGACTTTTGGTTTCCAAACTGGTTAAAGGTTTGAAAAAGGTTACATCCTATAGTATATATGGCCCATGTTTCTTTTTATTAATTTTTTTTTTTTTTGCATCCCCTTTCCCATTCAGGCCCATGTTTCTTTGTTTTGTTTTGAGACCGAGTCTTGCTCTGTCACCCAGGCTGGAGTGCAGTGGTGTGATCTCCGCTCACTGCAACCTCTGCCTCCTGGGTTCAAGCGATTCTTGTGCCTCAGTCTCCTAGTAGCTAGGATTACAGGGATGCGCCACCACACCTGGCTGATTTTTGTATTTTTAATAGAGATGGGGTTTCGCCATGTTGGCCAGGGTGGTCTTGAACTCCGGACCTCAGCTGATCTGCCTGCCTTGGCCTCGCAAAGTTCTGGGATTACAGACGTAAGCCACTGTGATTAGCTCAATGGTTCATTTCTTTTACATCTTTTATTTGCTGAGTAGAGTTTGTCTCTGGATTTTTTTCTTTTTTCTTTTTTTCTCTTTTTGAGATGGAGTCATGTTCTGTCGCTTAGGCTTGAGTGCAGTAGCGTGTTCTTGGCTCACTGCAACCTCCGCCTCCCGGGTTCAGGTAATTCTCCTGCCTCAGCCTCCCGAGTAGCTGGGACTATAGGCATGCGCCTCCACGTCCGGCTAATTTTTGTATTTTTAGTAGAGACAGGGTTTCACCATGTTGTCCAGGATGGTCTCCATCTCTTGATCTCACGATCTACCCGCCTTGGCCTCCCAAAGTGCTGGGATTAAGGTGTGAGTCACCATCCCTGACCCATTTTTTATTATTATAAATCAACTTGAACTTTGTTCTGGGATGCATTTAAGTTACTTGGAAACAGCCTGATGTTTGGTTGTTGCATCTGTGATTTGTTAAGTGAGTGTGGAGCAGTGCTCAGCCTGGGGCTTAATTATTCCCTCTTACAGAGGCAAGACCTTTTTGTGTAGTCTATCCAATACGCTATGAACTATTAAGTTTTTCCAGTGTGGCTGTTTGTAAATAAATACTGCTCACAACACTGTGTAAGCACTGAGCACTGCCTTGTCTGTTTTGTTGTTGTTGTTTTGAGGCAGGGTCTCCGTCAAGTGACCCTCTCGCTGGTGCGTGCCGCCACACGACTAACTTTCTAAGTTTTGTTTTGTAGACATGAGGTGTTACTATATTGCTCAGGCCAGTCTTGAACTTCCAGGCTCAAGGGATTCTCCCACCTCGGCCTCCTGAGTAGCTGGGATTCCAGGTTCACGCCACGAAGCCCACCTAATTTTTTTTGAGACAGAGTCTTGCAGTGCTGCCCAGGCTGGAGTGCAGGGTTGCGATCTCAGCTCACTGCAACCTCCACCTTTCAGGTTCAAGTAATTCTCCTGCATCAGCCTCTGGAGTAGCTAGGATTTCAGGTGTGCACCACCACTGCCAGCTGTTTTTGTCTGATCCCATGGAGTCTTGCTCTGTTGTCCAGGTTGGAGTGCAGTGGGATGATCTTGGCTCACTGCAACCTCCACCTCTCGGATTCAAGGAATTCTCCCACCTCAGCCCCCTGAGTAGCTGGGATTACAGTCACCCACCACCTTGCCCGGCTAATTTTTGTATTTTTAGTAGAGGCGGGGGTCTTGCCATGTTGGCCAGGCTGGTCTCGAACTCCTGACCTCAGGTGATCCACCCATCTTGGCCCCCCAAAGTGTTGGGATTACAGGCGTGAACCACTGCCCAGTCCTAATTTTTGTATTTTTTTGTAGAGATGGGGTTTCATCCTGTTGCCTAGGCTGGTCTGGATCTCCTGGGCTCAAGCTGTCCACCTGCCTCGGCCTCCTGAAGTGCTGGGATTACAGGCGTGAGCCACCATACCCAGCCTTAGTTGTTGTTCTCCTATTACTGAACATTTGGCTTATTTCCAGTTTTTGGCTACTGCAAATAAAGCTCCTATGAACATTCATGTACAGGTCTTTTGGTGTACTTATGCTCTCATTTCTCTTGGGTAATTACCTAGGAGAAACATTGTTGGTTCATGTGGTGGAAGAAACTTGTCACAGAAATTTTACTTCAGTAGATTTTGCCACACAGATTCCCAAAGTGGTTGGACCAATTTTTCACTTCCTCTGTTAATGTATGAGAACTCCAGTTGGTCTATGTTCTTTCAGTCTTTTAAATTTTTAGCTATTATGGTACCATAAGTTTAATGCTTCATTTGGGTAATATGAGGGCTAGGGTGATCAAATTGTCCTCATTTGCTGGGGACTGAGGGGTTCTCTAAATGAGGGATTTTGAGCTTTAAAACTGGGAGACACTCCCTAATGAGGTTTTTAGCTGAGTTAGCAGGATGTGAAGGGAAAAGCAGTAAATTCCCTCAGTCAGACCAAGCCCAAGTACAGATACCTGGGCTATCCTTATCCAGAGGAGTGTTCTCTAATTACCAAAGACAGGGGCCCAGCCATCCACCCCCTTTCCCTTCTGGTGTCCGTTCAGACTGATTTCTTCAGAGAAGCCTCTGCTGGCTCATCAAGCTACATGACATGAATTTCCTCTGTCATGCTTCCAGAGTATGCTGTGTAATTTTATAGTACTCACCAAATCTGAAGGTATATATTCTTGCCTGGAATCCAGGATGGACTGTAATTCAGGGTAGGACTTTTATGGCTTCCTCATAGCCTCAGAACACGTTGGTAGGCACATCAATAAATTTACTTTTTTTTTTTTTTTTTTGCTGGGGGTAGGGTGGAAGGGAGAACACAGGTCCTTGTTAAAACATGTGGCAAGGCAGATTGTTAGATGTATAAGCCGTGAAAGTTTAGTTTTTACCCTAATGGTGGTTGGTTGGAAGTTATTGAGGCCTTTTTATCAAAACGGGAGAAATAGAAATTGTGTTTTAGGAAGCTGCTTGCTGGGGTGTTAATGAATTAGAGGATGGATGGTGCTCTGTTGGTGCTAGATAATTTGGTTCTGATTCTTTGTTTTAAAATTGATAGCAAGTGAAAAATAGTACAGTAGCATGTTGAGACTATATAAAATTCCATATGGACTTGGAATTTATTACAGTATTGGGCAGCTTTTGCCCGATGCAGTGTTCTTTGAATAAATATAAAGCAGAAATAGCTTAAATTTCTGATGGGATCCTGATTTGCTATAGAATAACTGATGAGTCCTTGTATCTCACACTGTGGAAATAAAATTTCTGTGGTAAATTTCTTAAAGTCAGTAAAGTAAAAAACTCATACTTAGCCAATTTTTGGTTTTCATTTAATATGTACTTTAAGGTAAGATTTCTTTTGCATTTAGTTCAGCAGTTCCTGAAATCCTTTCCAGGGGGTCTATGAGGTCAACACAATTTTCTTTCTTTCCTTTTTATTTTCTTTTGAGACGGAGTCTGGCTCTGTCACCCAGGCTGGTGTGCAGTGATGGCTCACTGCAAGCCCCGCCTCCCGGCTTCACGCCATTCTCCTGCCTCAGCCTCCCCACTACCTGGGACTACAGGCGCCCACCATCTCACCTGGCTAATTTTTCTATTTTTAGTAGATACGGAGCTTCATTGTGTTAGCCAGGATGGTCTCGATCTCCTGACCTTGTGATCCGCCTGCCTCGGTCTCCCAACGTGCTGGGATTACAGGCGTGAGCCACCGCACCCAGCTCTTTGTTTTTGAAACAGAGTTTTGCTCTTGTCGCCCAGGCTGGAGTGCAATGGCGTGATCTTGGCTTACTATAACCTCCGTCTCCTGGGTTCAAGCGATTCTCCTGCCTGAGTCTCCAGAGTAGCTGGGATTACAGGCTCCCGCCACTATGCCCAGCTAATATTTTGTACTTTTAGTAGAGATGGGGTTTCACCATATTGGCCAGGTTGGTCTCAAACTCCTGACCTCAGGTGATCCACCCGCCTCGGCCTCCCAAAGTGCTGGGATTACAGGCATGAGCCACTGCGCCCGGCGTCCAGTGTAACTCTTAAGTTTAGTCTCCCATCCACTTTGTGTTAAATCTTGAAAGAAGAATTTTGAAAAGCACTGGAATGAAATGTGAAAAATAAAGCCCCTTTTACAGTAACTTATTGATGTTTATGTTCTGCAGTGTTTTATGCTGTAACTTTGTGAGTCTATCCTTGCTGCTGCTGAATTTAGTGTTGCTCGATAATTCTTACTTGGTCTGCTCTGAATGTTTCTTTTCTTTTTTTTTTTTTTTAATTTATTTTTTTATTGATAATTCTTGGGTGTTTCTCACAGAGGGGTATTTGGCAGGGTCATGGGACAATAGTGGAGGGAAGGTCAGCAGATAAGCAAGTGAACAAAGGTCTCTGGTTTTCCTAGGCAGAGGACCCTGCGGCCTTCCGCAGTGTTTGTGTCCCTGATTACTTGAGATTAGGGATTGGTGATGACTCTTAACGAGCATGCTGCCTTCAAGCATCTGTTTAACAAAGCACATATTGCACCGCCCTTAATCCATTTAACCCTGAGTGGACACAGCACATGTTTCAGAGAGCACAGGGTTGGGGGTAAGGTCACAGATCAACAGGATCCCAAGGCAGAGGAATTTTTCTTAGTGTAGAACAAAATGAAAAGTCTCCCATGTCTACTTCTTTCCACACAGACACGGCAACCATCCGATTTCTCAATCTTTTCCCCACCTTTCCCGCCTTTCTATTCCACAAAGCTGCCATTGTCATCCTGGCCCGTTCTCAATGAGCTGTTGGGTACACCTCCCAGATGGGGTGGTGGCCGGGCAGAGGGGCTCCTCACTTCCCAGTAGGGGCGGCCGGGCAGAGGCGCCCCTCACCTCCCGGACGGGGCGGCTGGCCGGGCGGGGGGGCTGACCCCCCCCACCTCCCTCCCGGACGGGGCGGCTGGCCGGGCGGGGGGCTGACACCCCCACCTCCCTCCCGGACGGGGCGGCTGGCCGGGCAGAGGGGCTCCTCACTTCCCAGTAGGGGCGGCCGGGCAGAGGCGCCCCTCACCTCCCGGACGGGGCGGCTGGCCGGGCGGGGGGCTGACCCCCCCACCTCCCTCCCGGACGGGGCGGCTGGCTGGGCAGAGGGGCTCCTCACTTCCCAGTAGGGGCGGCCGGGCAGAGGCGCCCCCTCACCTCCCGGACGGGGCGGCTGGCGGGCAGGGGGGCTGACCCCCCCACCTCCCTCCCGGACGGGGCGGCTGGCGGGCGGGGGGCTGACCCCCCAACCTCCCTCCCGGACGGGGCGACTGGCCGGGCGGGGGGCTGACACCCCCACCTCCCTCCCGGACGGGGCGGCTGGCCGGGCGGGGGGCTGACCCCCCCACCTCCCTCCCGGATGGGGCGGCTGGCCGGGCGGGGGGCCGACCCCCCCACCTCCCTCCTGGATGGGGCGGCTGGCCGGGCAGAGGGGCTCCTCACTTCCCAGAAGGGGCGGCCGGGCAGAGGCGCCCCTCAGCTCCCAGACGGGGCGGCTGGCCGGGTGGAGGGCTGACCCCCCCACCTCCCTCCTGGACGGGGCGGTTGGCCGGGCAGAGGGGCTCCTCACTTCCCAGTAGGGGCGGCCGGGCAGAGGCGCCCCTCACCTCCCCGACGGGGCGGCTGGCCGGGCGGAAGGGCTGACCCCCCCACCTCCCTTCCCGGACGGGGGCGGCTGGCCAGGTGGGGGGCTGACCCCCCCACCTCCCTCCCGGACGGGGCGGCTGGCCGGGTGGGGGGGCTGACCCCCCCTCTCCCTCCCGGACGGGGTGGCTGGCCGGGCTGAGGGGCTCCTCACTTCCCAGTAGGGGCGGCCGGGCAGAGGCGCCCCTCACCTCCCGGACGGGGCGGCTGGCCGGGCGGGGGGCTGACCCCCCCCCACCTCCCTCCCGGACGGGGTGGCTGCCGGGCGGAGACTCTCCTCACTTCCCAGATGGGGTGGCTGCCGGGCGGAGACGCTCCTCACTTCCCAGATCGGGTGGCTGCCGGGCGGAGAGGCTCCTCACCTCTCAGACGGGGCAGCTGCCGGGCGGAGGGGCTCCTCACTTCTCAGACGGGGCGGCCGGGCAGAGACGCTCCTCACCTCCCAGACGGGGCGGCGGGGCAGAGGCGCTCCCCACATCTCAGACGATCTCCTCACATCCCAGATGATGTGCGGCCGGGCAGAGACGCCCCTCACTTCCTAGATGTGATGGCGGCTGGGAAGAGGCGCTCCTCACTTCCTAGATGGGATGGCGGCCGGGCGGAGACGCTCCTCACTTTCCAGACTGGGCAGCCAGGCAGAGGGGCTCCTCACATCCCAGACGATGGGCGGCCAGGCAGAGACACTCCTCACTTCCCAGACGGGGTGGCGGCTGGGCAGAGGCTGCAATCTCGGCACTTTGGGAGGCCAAGGCAGGCGGCTGGGAGGTGTAGGTTGTAGTGAGCCGAGATCACGCCACTGCACCCCAGCCTGGGCACCATTGAGCACTGAGTGAACGAGACTCCGTCTGCAATCCCGGCACCTCGGGAGGCCGAGGTTGGCGGATCACTCGCGGTTAGGGGCTGGAGACCGGCCTGGCCAACACAGCGAAACCCCGTCTCCACCAAAACCAGTCAGGCGTGGCGGCGCGTGCCTGCAATCGCAGGCATTCGGCAGACTGAGGCAGGAGAATCAGGCAGGGAGGTTGCAGTGAGCCGAGATGGCAGCAGTACAGTCCAGCTTCGGCTCCGCATGAGAGGGAGACCGGAGGTAGAGGTAGGGGTAGGGGTAGGGGTAGGGGTAGGGGTAGAGGTAGAGGTAGAGGTAGGTAGAGGTAGAGGGTAGAGCTCTGAATGTTTCTTGAGGTTCACTTTTACCCCGCAAGTAAAATAGGGTGGATACAAAGATAAGTGACCTGTCATTGTTCTCAAGGGATGCAGTGAAATCAGTTAACTGTAGAGTAGAGCAAAGCATACTGTGAAGTACCTTAAGCGTATGTGGGTGCTGCTTTGTAGCAAAGAGGAGTCTCCCGCTGGAGATTGGTGAGAGTCTCATGGATCAGACTCTGGCTCAGAGGCATTGTTCAACTTTATTTATTTATTTATTTCGACATAGGGTCTTGCTGTATCGCCCAGGCTGGAGTGCAGTGGTGCGATCTCAGCTCACAGCACCTTCCACCTCCTGGGCTCAAGCGATCCTCCTACATCAGTCTCTGAGTAGCTGGGACCATGGGCTTGGCTAATTTTTGTATTTTTTGTAGAGATGTTTGGTCTTGAACTCCTGGGCTCAAGCGATCTGCTTGCCTCAGCCTCCCAAAGTGCTGGAATTGCAGGCATGAGCCATCACACCTGGCCTGTCTAACTTTAAATTTATCTTTTGAATTCTCTTTACTCTTCATCCACTCTAATAATTGATTTATCTCACACCGAGGTGGACAGATTGCTTGAGCTCAGGAGTTCGAGATCAGCCTGGGCAACATGATGAAACCCTGTCTCTACTAAAAATACAAAAATTAGCCAGGTGTGGTGGCACACGCCTGTAATCCCAGCTACTCAGGAGGCTGAGGCAGGAGAATCACTTGAACCCGGGAGATGGAGGTTGCAGTGAGCCGAGATTGTGCTACTGCACTCTAGCCTGGGTGACAGAGCGAGACTCCGTCTAAAAAAAAGTTATACAAATACATAAATGAAATTTGAAATTTAACTGGTAAATTTTAAAAAGTGGTTTTCATTAGTGATCTGCATCATGAGAGATGCCGTTGTGATTTTTGTCTTTGGTTAGGTTGGATTTCAGTGATTTTGGTCCTTTTTATGGTGAACCAAGGGATCGTATAAGAACGTAAGATTTACTGTTGCTGTTGTAGAGCTGGTTGCTGTTTTAGCTCTGTAGGGTATGCATTAGAATTCAGTTAGCTGTGTCTTATACAACAACAATTTGTCAAATCCTAATTAGGTAAAGAGTGTAATTTTGTATGTGATATTTTCTAGTGCTAATAGTGCCAATGCAGCAGCAACTTTATCAATCTTCACTGGTGAAATGTTATTAGACCTGCAAGTAAATGGCCCTTTTAGTGCTATATTTCTCTTTGAGTAGTTCATTAAAAAGAATATCCAAAGAATTTTAAATTGCTTTATTCTTGCTTTGAGCTAGGTGCATCTTTTTCTAAGTTACTGTTTAAGGTTCATTTTCAATTCAGTTTTAAAAGTTTGAAAGTAGAAAAGATCTGATACTTACTCCATTCATTACCCTCATGCTATTCATAAAGAACTACTTCAACAAGAGCATTATATTTGATAAAATCCCTTCTGTGAGGTTGGGTGTGGTGGCTCATGCCTGTAATCCCAGCACTTTGGGAGGCCAAAGCAGGCAGATCACTTGAGCCCAGGAGTTCGAGACCAGCCTGGGCAACATGGTGTAACGCTGTCTCTACTAAAAATACATAAAGTTAGCCAGGTGTGGTGATGTACGCCTGTAATCACAGCTACTCTGGAGGCTAAGGCACAAGAATTGCTTGAACCTAGGTGGTGGTGTTTGCAGTGAGCTGAGATTACACCACTGCACTCCAGCCTGGGCGACAGAGCAAACTCTATCTCCGAAAAAAAAGTGAATTAATTTTTAAATTGATATGTAATATTTGTGTATATTTTTGGGGTACCATCTGCCATTTTTAAGTTGGAATTTTTCTTCTTTTGAGGCCCTGATAATTTTATGGTTATAGTTGAACTGACAAGATAAATGTTTAATTTTTTTTTTTTTTTTTGAGACAGATTCTTGCTCTTTCACTCAGGCTGGTGTGAAGTGTACGATCTTGGCTGACTGCAAACTCCACCCCCTGGATTCAAGCAGTTCTCCTGCCTCAGCCTCCCGAGTAGCTGGGATTACAGGCGCCCACCACCATGCCAGGCTACTTTTTGTATTTTTAGTAGAGATGGGGTTTCGCCATGTTGGCCAGGCTGGTCTCAAACACCTGACCTCAGGTGATCCACCTGCCTCAGCTTCCCAAAATGCTTAGGATTACAAGCATGAGCCACTGCACCTGGCAAATGTTTAAATTTAAAATTGATTAGTTTGAAGAAAATATTGAATAAAATGTTGATTTGATCTGTTTCAATATCCAAACAGATAATGTGCTTTGTACTAATAAATTCTTTGAATTTTATTTGTGTAGAAGAAATTGAGGAAGAATCTGAAACAACAGTTGAGGCTGACTTGACCGATAAGCAGAAACATCAGTTGAAACATAGGGAACTCTTTTTGTCACGCCAGTATGAATCTCTGCCCGCAACACATATCAGGTAAGAACTTTTTAGGAACTAAGGTACTCAGTACTACGGTGACCAAAAAACAAAAGACTTCTTTGAAGCGTTTTCCAGACTCTTCTCAGGATCTTGCTTAAACTACTTTGCTAAAGGCTTCATAATGGAATTTTAGGTTGGAAATTTATAATGTGTATTACCATATTAAAGCCCCACAAAAGTTCTCCAGTAAAGTAACCATTTTAACTTTGTTTTAATAACAGACTTTCCTGGCCAGGCGCAGTGGCTCACGCCTGTAATTCCAGCACTTTGGGAGGCTGAGGCGGGCGTATCATTTGAGGTCAGGAATTCGAGACCAGCCTGGCCAACACGGTGAAACCCCATCTCTACTAAAAATACAAAAAATTAGCTGGGCGTGGTGGTATGCACCTGTAATCCTAGCCACTCAGGAGGCTGAGGCAGGAGAATTGCTTGAATCTAGGAAGCAGAGGTTGCAGTGTGCTGACATCGTGCCACTGCACTCCAGCCTGGATGACAGAGTGACACTCTGTCTTTAAAAACAAACGAAAAAAAACAATAAGACAATAAAAATCGGGCCTTTCCCGATTGATTTGAATATCTTTTCAGAATGGTACAGAAGAGGGTCTAGCAGACATCATTTTGGGAAATGCTGGTCTTCCAGGTTCTAAGAAAATTATATAGCCATTAGAAGCCAAAGGTTAGAACCTAAAATCTGCTTCCCAGGCAGGTGACTCTTGACCTTATAGGATATATGGCTTTTTGTTTTCTTTTGAGGATCACTGGGATGAAAACTTTATATTCTTTACTATTCCTTAATAACACCTGATGTATGCATTGATAGCATACAAATGTGCAGAAAAAAGGTGACTGATTTGGGCGATATCTCTGGTTCTCTAACATGGACCACCCTTCCATTAATTAAATTCTTTTTCTACTGCAGAAAAAACAAAAAGTGAAAAAACCTAGCCCCTTGTTTGTCGTTTTGGCAGTTGTTGAGGAAAAACGGTGGTTTTCTATGATCTACTGGTGGTGATCAAATTTAAGATATTGTTGAGCTTTTTTTCATTGTAGTGTATAATCAGTGCATCTTAGAGGTATTACAAAATGTTTGAGCTCAAAAGATTCTTACCCTCGGTCAGGAAAGCTTCAAGAGGAATTGCTACTTACTCAGCCTTCCAGAGAGTATGAGGCACAAATAGAGGGCACAGGTGAGCATAGGGTGTATGAAAGCAGCAGCTTGTGACCAGGGTAAGGATGTGTGAGCAAGTGCAGTGTTTCACTCCTCTTAGGTTAAAGAAATGCCTTCAACTTTTGTTCATAATCTGTATTTCTATTTCTTTTGTCCACCTCTGCTGGTCATAATGGTCCTTAAAAACTATATATATAGACATAAAATGCATTATTTCTTTTCTTTTCTTTTTTTTTTTTTTTTTGAGACGGAGTCTTGCTCTGTCACCCAGGCTGGAGTGCAGTGGCGCGATCTTGGCTCACTGCAACCTCTGCCTCCCGGGTTCACGCAGTTCTCCTGCCTCAGCCTTCCGAGTAGCTGGGATTACAGGCACATGCCACCATGCCCAGCTAATTTTTTGTATTTTTTTAGTAGAGACAGGGTTTCGCCATGTTGGCCAGGCTGGTCTCGAACTCCTGACCTCGTGATCCACCCGCCTCAGCCTTCCAAAGTGCTGGGATTATAGGTGTGAGCCACTGTGCCCAGCTGAGGTTTGTAGACTTTCTAAAGCTCTGGTACTTAACACATACACACACACACACACACCCCCTCACACACATGCTCCAATTCCTGATACCTTTGTGCACAACTCCTTTTTTATAGAAATGGACCCAGAGATCTTCCATGGCAGGAAGTATGTGATAAAGATACTGGAATTTCTTTGTCTCCAAATCTTGTCAGAAATAATGTGAGCCCTCACCCCCATAGAAAACCTCATGTCATTGTTTTTATTTGGTTTTGTTTGTTTTTGTTTTCTAAATTGAGATGCAGTCTTTGGGAGGCCTAGGTGGGAGGAGGATTGCATGATGCCAGTAGTTTGAGCCCAGCCTGGTCAGTAGAGCAAGACCTTGTCTCTACCAAAAATATAAAAATTAGCTGAGCGTGGTGGTGTGTGCCTGTGGTCCCAGCTAATTGGGGGGCTGAGGTGGGAGGATTGCTTAAGCCAGAAGTTTGAGGCTGCTGTGAGCCACAGTTATACCACCACACCCTAGCCTGGGGGACAGAGTGAGACCCTATGTGAAATAAATAATAAATAGGTGAGATAGATAAATAGATAGATAGAGAGATATGGAGCTGGCTGTGTTGCCCAGATTGGTCATGAGCTCCAGCAATCTTCTTGCCTCAGTCTCCTGAATGGCTGGGACTACAAGTGCTTTCTGCTATGGCCTGCTATTTAGGATTTTTATTAGGGGGCACTATGGTTAGATTTGCTAGGGTAAGTATATTCTGTATAACTTAAGTCATTTGCTGGAAAAGACAGTTAGGCCGGGTAATATGGGAATAGTCTTTTTATCGACCAATAATGCTTTTTCAAGAAAGAAAAATAGTAGGTGATTAATTTTTGTTCAAAGAGATGGAACATAAAAACGTGACATTTTCTTAAAGTTGTGTGTAACTAATGATGCTAAAGAGCCATATGCACTTTTTATCGATTGACTGTGCGGGATCCTGCTTTGTTGCCTAGGCTGGAAAGTAGTGGCATGATCATAGCTCACTGCAGCCTTAAACTCCTGGGCTCAAGCGATCCTCCCACCTCAGCCTCCCGAGTAGCTGGGACTACAGGCTTGTGCCACCATGCCTGGCTAATTTTTTATATTTTTTGTAGAGATGGTGTCTTGCCATGGTGGCCAGACTGGTCTTGAACTCTTGACCTAAAGTGATCTGCCCACCTTGGCCTCCCAAAGTGCTGGGATTACAGGTGTGAGTCATGAGCATGGCCTCCATTTATTTAATTGGAAGACACTAGAATATAAAGATTAATTTTAAGTTTAAGAAGTTATGTGGGGCTGGGTGTGGTGGCTCACACCTGTAATCCCAGCACTTTGTGAGCCAAGGCAGGTGGATCCCTTTAGGTCAGGATTCTGAGACCAGCCTAGCCAACATGGTGAAACCTCCTCTCTACTAAAAACACAAAAATTAGCTGAGCATGGTGGCACATGCCTGTAATCCCAGCTACTCTGGAGGCTGAGGCAGAAGAATCATTTAAACCTGGGAGGTGAAGGTTGCAGTGAGCCAAGATCGCACTACTGTACTCCAGCCTGGGCAACAAGAGAGACTCTTGTCTCAAAAAATAAATAAATAAATAAATAATGAAAAAGAAGTTACGTGGCCAGTCTTAAGACTCTTGCCAGAACAAGAATCTGACAAATGGTTTTAAAAATGTATCTAAAAGACACAAGTATATTTTTAATTTACTCTCCTGATAGCTTGAAATCTGTTTATAAGTAACGTTGGTTTCTTTTAACAGATTGCCTGGAATGGAAAAACTAGTGATGTGTTTTTTGTCTTCCATAAGGACTGAGAGAGTATATTAAAATATAATTATCAAGACACTTCTTTGTTGAACATAGAAATTACATAGTCTACATGATCGTTTAGTTACTGTTGAACACATTTCCTGAGTATATTCTAGCTTAGGGAGCTTAATAAGTGCTTGATAATTGAGACAAGGGACCTAGCTTATAAATTCAGTGAGTTTACCGGGTGGTAATTCCTTTGAATTATGATGAAGAGACATAGACATTTGGGGCTTTTTGTTTTTTTCCAAATTGAGGAGGAATAGGGCAGAGCCGAGTTTTCTCATTTTAGCTTTGTTTAGCCATCATTTTTAAACAGCTGAATGGGGTTAGGGGCAGTCCCTGGCCAAGGCATGGAGCTGTG
This sequence comes from Homo sapiens, assembly GCF_000001405.40. Classification (NCBI taxonomy): domain Eukaryota; kingdom Metazoa; phylum Chordata; class Mammalia; order Primates; family Hominidae; genus Homo; species Homo sapiens. The sequence continues at coordinate 42,613,456 of NC_000002.12, forward strand.
CTAACCAGCCCACATGCTGATGTAGAACAAGTGCACATTGGAGTGGTCTTGACATTTTGCTAATGTTGAAGTCATGCCTTATCTTTTTGGCTTTAAAAGGAGAAAATTATCAAAGCCCCATCGTTCTTTGGCAGCAAAGAGGGTAATTTGGTGAATACTGATGTTTTACTCTCAGGGACACTATCAAGTGCCCAGAATTTCCTTGGTGCTCTTTGGAACATAGAAGAAAACCTGACTGAGGCATTCTTGAGTTGCTTTTTAGTCTGTGAACTATAATATTCATGAGACGCTTAACACTTCCCAAAGTGGCAGGGAGGAAACTCTTTGTTTCTTCTGATTCCACCGGAAGAGAGAGTGGACAGGACCCAGGACTTTTCGGAGTAGAGTTAGTGATTCATCTCTTGTTTGTGAGATAGATGGGGCTTGAGTAGTGAGTATCCCTTTGGGACATTTTTTTGAGGGGAAGTGAGAGGCAGCATGCTTCATTTATGCACAGTGATTGAGGTCGCTGAATAATAGATTATATGTTGCAAACATTATTAAGCACTATAAGCCTTGTTATGTCAGCTGCTAGATATCATATGTATTTATTTTACTATATTCAGTTCCAATATGTGTGTATGACTTAATATCTTCATTAATAGATTTTCTTTTTTTCTGAGACGGAGTTTTGCTCTTGCTGCCCAGACTGGAGTGCAGTGGCACGATCTTGGCTCACCGAAACCTCTGCTTCCCGGTGGTAGGTGATTCTCTTGCCTCAGCCTCCCGAGTAGCTGGGATTACAGGCAAGTGCCAGCACACCCGGCTAATTTTGTATTTTTAGTACAGACGGGGTTTCTCCATGTTGGTCAGGCTAGTCTGAAACTCCCGAGCTCAGGTGATCTACCCGCCTCAGTCTCCCAAAGTGCTGGGATTACAGGCGTGAGCCACTGCGCCCAGCCTGATAGATTTTCTTACTACAAATATTCAATAACTTTTAAATTTGTATCATCTGACTTACAAATATCTTTTCATTGTGCATTCATTCATAAGTAGACTGAAAATTTGTAAATTTGAGATGGGCAACACAACTCCTCACAATTATGTAGCTATTTCTTTTATCTCATCTCTAAACCTACCCTTCCATTATCTGCTTTGTGATGCTCGGGCTGTTGTACTCATTATATTAATATATAACCCAGTCTTATATATAACTCGTGTAATATAGTGAATTCGGCTTTAAAATATTCTAATATTCAGCTGGGTGCAGTGGCTCATGCCTGTAATCCTAGGACTTTGAGAGGCCGGGGTGGGAGGATTACATGAACCTTGTAGTTAAAGACCAGCCTGGGCAACATTGGGACACCCTGTCTCTATAAATAATAAAAAAATTAGCATGGCATGGCAGCGTATGCCTGTATTCCCAGAAGTATTTGGGAAGTTGAGGTAGGAGGATTGCTTGAGCCCAGGAGTTCAAGGCTATAGTGAGCCATGATTGTGACACTGTACTTTAGCCTGGGTGACAGAGCAAGACTCTGTCTTAAAAAAAAAAAAAACAAAAAGCAGAAAACCTAGGCTGGGCACGGTGACTCATGACTGTAATCCCGGCACTTCTGGAGGCCGAGGCAGGTGGATCAACTGAGGTCAGGAGTTGAAGGCCAGCCTGGCCAACGTGGCGAAACCCCATCTCTCCTAAAAATACAAAAATTAGCTGGTCATGGTGGCACGTGCCTGTAATCCCAGCTCCTCTGGAGGCTGAGGCAGGAGAATTGCTTGACTTCATCTTAGATTATAAGGTTCTTGAAGATCTATTGTCTGTTTTTTTCTTTTTTTTTTTTTTAATGTTTACTATGGAACACTGTATCCAATAGCCATTCAGGATTTGAACCTTGTATAGTGTTTACATTTAATTTTACTTTTATTTTTTATTTTTTTTGATGGATTCTCGCTCTGTCACCTAGGCTGGATCTGGGCCTAGTGCTGCGATCTCGATTCACTGCAACCTCTGCCTCCCAGGTTCAAGCGATTCTCTTGTCTCTGCCTCCCTAATAGCTGGGACTACAGGCATGCGCCAGCGTGCTCAGCTAATTTTTGTATTTTTAGTAGAGACAGGGTTTCACCATGTTGGCCAAGATGGTCTTGATCTCATGACCTTGTGATCCGCCCACCTCGGCGTCCCAAAGTGCTGGAATTACAGGCTTGAGCCACTGCGCCTGGCCAATTTTACTTTTATTCTTTAAGGAAATAAGTCACCACAGATACTTGAATAATCTCTTCTTTTTTTTTTTTTTTTTTTTTTTTTTTGAGACGGAGTCTCGCTCTGTCGCCCAGGCTGGAGTGTGGTGGCCTGATCTTGGCTCACTGCAAGCTCTGCCTCCCGGGTTCACGCCATTCTCCTGCCTGAATCTCCAGAGTAGCTGGGACTACAGGCGCCTGCCACCATGCCCGGCTAATTTTTTGTATTTTTAGTAGAGACAGGGTTTCCCCATGTTCTCCAGGATGTTCTTGATCTCCTGACCTCGTGATCTGCCCACCTCAGCCTCCCAAAGTGCTGGGATTACAGGCATGAGCCACCGTGCCCGGCCGTACAGGCGTGAGCCACCGAGACTGGCCGCTAATAATCTCTTCTTTGTTTTTGTTTTTGAGACATAGTTTCACTCTCATCACCCAGGCTAGAGTGCAGTGGTGTGATCTCGGCTCACTGCAACTCCGCCTCCCGGTTTCAAGCGATTCTCCCACCTCAGCCTCCCGAATAGCTGGGATTTACAGGCATGTGCCACCACGCCTGGCTAATATTTTTGTATTTTTAGTTGAGACGGGGTTTCACCATGTTGGCCAGGCTGGCCTCGAACTCCTGACTTCAGGTGATCTGCCTGCTTTGGCCTCCCAAAGTGTTGGGATTACAGGCGTGAGCCATTGCACGCCTGGCCTAGGTGGTTCTATTTAGAGTTCATTTTAGATTATAAGATTCTTGAAGATCTCTTGTCTTTTTTTTTTTTTTTAATGTTTATTGCGGAACATTGTATCCTACAGCCATTCAGGATTTGAACCTTGTATGGGGTTTACATTTAATTTTGCTTTTATTCTTTAAGGAAATAAGCCATTCACAGAAATTTGATTAATCTCTTCTTCTTCTTCTTTTTTTTTTTTTTTTTTTTTTTTGAGACAGGGTCTCACTCTGTCACCCAGGCTGGAATGTAGTGGCACAATCATGGCTCACTGCAGCCTCGTCCTCCCTGGCTGAGATGATGCTCCCACCTTAGCCTCCTGCATAGCTAGGATTACAAGCTCACGCCACTATGCCTGGCTAATTTTTGTATTTTTTGTAGAGACGGGGTTTCGTTGTGTTGGCCAGGCTGTTCGCAAACGATCGCTGCTGGTCTCAAGCGATCCTCCTGCCTTGGCCTCCCAAAGTGTTGGGATTACAGGCGTGAGCCATCGTGCCTAGCTGAGTAATATCTTCTTAATTGCAATTGACTTTAAATGTAATTTTAGATTTCGTGCTTTTTCTTTTTTTTGCTCACACTCTGAGCAAGGGTGGCTTGTTCTGAGTCAACCTCGGACTTTTAAATGGAATACTAGACAGAGAATAGGAAAGCTTTTTTGTATACTCATTATTTGTTGTGAAACAAAACCAATTTAAGAGCAATTTGCAGCAACCATGAGAAAGGGATAAATAGGAAAGGTTCTAGCCTATAAGAATTATTTAGGAGAGAGAATACTGTAGTTCTTATCTTAATATCCAGTATTGGATGGAGAAATAGATACTCTTCTTGTCAGAGTATTAGTATAACCAGAAAGATCAGTCAAATTGCAATGTGTACATACCCTTTGAGCCAGCAATTCTGCTTTTAGGACTTGATCTTACAGAACTTCTCACACAAGTTTGTAGAAATATACATACTGATGTGTTCATTGTAGATTTGTTTTATTTTTTCTCTGAGTTTTCTTGCTAGGAAACAATTGTTTTAATATCAAAAAATGTTTTGATATAAAAAAAGCAAGCAAATGTTATCTTTATACTTATAGTTTTCCTGAAATGAGTAGATAGATATATAATGGGAAAAGGTATTATTTTAAAATTTGCATGTTTGAGGCCGGGCATGGTGGCTCAAACGTGTAATCCCAGCACTTTGGGAGGTCACCAGCCTGACCAACATGGTGAAACCCCATCTCTACTAAAAATACAAAATTAGCCGGGCCTGGTGGCGCATGCCTGTAATCTCAGCTACTAGGGAGGCTGAGACAGGAGAATCACTTGAACCCGGGAGGCGGACGTTGCAGTGAGCTGAGATTGTACCATTTCACTCCAGCCTGGGCAACAACAGTGCAACTCTGCCTCTAAAAAATAAAAAAAAAAATGCGTAAAATAAAATTTGCACATTTGGACATCAGATAGAGAAAATGCCACTTTACATCTATTTTTATTCCCCTCCTCGCTTGACAGTATGGCTGGTTCTGATGAAGGGAGCATTGATAGAAATCTGCTGAAAACAACTCTTTTTTTAAAAAAAAAAAAATTTAAATAGAGATGTGGTTTTGCTCTGTTGCCCAGGCTGATGGGCAATGGAGTGATCATAGCTCACTGTAGCCTCAAACTTCTGGGCTCAAGTGATCCTCCCACCTCAGCCTTCCAAGTAGCTGGGACTGCAAGTGCACACTACCATACCTGGGTAATGTAAAAAAAAGTTTTGTTGGAGAGAAGGTCTCACTATGTTGCCCAGGCTGGTCTTGAACACTTGGCCTCATGTAATCCTTCCACCCTGGCCTCCCACCGTGAGTGAACCACCATGCTCTGCCCGAAAACAACTCTTAATCTTCCCTTTCCTAGTAGTAAAAACGTAGTCACGTTAAGTGTCATTATCATTTGAGAACAGACCTTTTTCTAACTTAGGGGAACATATTTCAAATATTTTTGTTACAGAATGCTAATCCTTCAAGAATTCTGTCAATTTCCTCCCGGTAATGTATTATGAATATGTTCATTTTGCTGTTACTTCAGCATTAGCTGTATGTTAAAAATTTTAAATAAACTTATGTGTATTTTCTGGTCATAAAAACAATATAATTTATTGTTGACATGTAGAAAATATAGAAAAAGACACTACTTCTCTCCTTATCTGTAATTGCATTGCGCAGAAGTACTACTGACATTTTGGTATATCATTAATGCATTTTTTTTCTATTTTTTGAAACAGAGTCTCGCTCTGTTGCCCAGGCTAGAGTGCAGTGGCGTGAACATAGCTCACTGTGGCCTCCACCTCATGGGCTCAAGTGATCCTCCTGCCTCATCCTCTTGAGTATCTGGGACTACAGGCATGTACCACTATGCCTGGCTTATTAAAATAATTTTTTTGGTAGAGTTCGGGTCTCATATTATTGTCCAGGCTGGCCTCAAACTCCTGTCCTAAAGTGATCCTCTTGCCTCGGCCTCCCAAAGTATTGGGATTACAGGTGTGAGCCAGTGAGCCTGGCCCATTTTTCTTTTCTGTAATAATTGTATGTGTGCTCACTGCTGGATTTTGGCAACATCTGACTGACAGAGGAGCCTCATTACTTGCATTGGTAGCTGCCTCTCATGTTAAGTAATGCTTATTCTTCAGTGCACCTGTTGTCATTTTTGCTTGTTCTAGCTTGGTTGGTTGGTTTTTAAATACGTGAGAAATAATGATTGCAAAATGAACAACGGAACAGCAAGAGGAGAGAGAACAGTTAAAGGCTGGGAAAATTCCATTGTTCAGTAGTTGATAGATGTGACTGATAAGTTTGATACAGATAAAGGAGCAGAATGGAAGTTGAGTAAGCAGAGTGGTGACTCAGAAAGAGCACTCATGAAAAAACTAACCCAGTGTCACTGTTTTGGAATAGACAAAGATTTCTTAAGATTGTGAAGATATTCTCAAGTATATTCATCTAGATGCTTTACTGTTCCACTTTTTGTATCTTAGTCAGTTTTACTCAGTGTGTATGTGGTGTGAGGCCAGGTCAGTTAGGAAACTCAATTTAAAATGATATTTATATTATCCAGAAACATCAAATGAATCTAAAGAAAGATCTGTAAAACCTCTACATACAAAGTAAAATATTGCTGAAAGAATTAAAGAAAAGTTAAATAAATGTGGGATATATCATTACAATATTTGAGTTTCCCCCACATTGACCCAGTGATTCAATGTAGTTCCAAATAAAATCTCAGCAGGATTGTGTGTGTATGTATAAATTGAGAAGTTGATTCAAAAAAAGGGAAGGACTAACAACAATGAAAATAAGGATTTTTCAAATTATTATTTCTTTATGCCCAGATGTCCCCCAAGACTTTTTCCGAGGGTTTATGAAATCAAGACTATTTTCATAACAGTAAGATGTTACTTACCTTTTTTCTGTGTTGATTTTGCTCTCCTGGTGCCGTAGCACAAATCCGTGGTACCAGGCCGAGCTAGTTAGTAGTTGTGTTCTAGAACGCTGTGCATTCACAGTTTAAGAAAAAAACAAAGGCAAGTTCTACTTAAGAATGTTCTTGGCAAAGTAGTATAATTTATTAGCTTTAATAAATTTTGGCCCTTCTTTATAATTGAGGTGAAATTCATATAACATCAGATTAACCATTAACCATATACAGTGGCATTTAGCACGTTGACAGTGTTTGCAACCATCACCTCTGTATTGTTTCAAGACATCACACATCTTTTTTTTTTTTTTTTTTTTAAAGAGTCTTGCTCTGTCGCCCAGGCTGGAGTGCAATGGCGTGATCTTGGCTCACTGCAACCTCTGCCACCCACGTTCAAGTGATTCTCCTGCCTCAGCCTCCCGAGTAGCTGGAATTACAGATGTGCACTGCCACGCCTGGCTTATTTTTGTATTTTTAATAGAGACGGTGTTTTACCATGTTGGCCAGGCTGATATCAAACTCCTGGCCTCAGGTGATTCCACCTGCCTTGGCCTCCCAAAGTGCTGGAATTACAGGAATGAGCTACCGTGCCCTGCCGACATCACACATCTTGACCTGTGAACTCAGAAGTACACCTAAACCCACTTCTGTTGCATATTGATGTGTGATGGTTTTCTTTTCTTTTTGAGAGATAGGGTCTCGCTCTGTTGCTCAGGCTAGAGTACAGTGGTGTCATCACGGCTCACTGCAGCCTTGACCTTCTTAGCTCAAGCAATCCTGCCACCTCAGCCTCCCAATTAGCTTGGACCACAGGTGCACGGTACCATGCCTGGCTAGTTTTTAAACTTTTTGTAGGGATAGAGTCTAGCTATGTTGCCCAGGTTGTTTCTTAAACTTCTGGGTTCAAACAGTCCTCCCATCTTGGCCTCTCGAAGTGTTGGGATTACGGGGATGAGCCACTGGGCCCAGCTGGTTAACTCGAGAAAACATGGGATTGTTTGAATCGTGAGCTGAACTAGCTGCCTTTTTCTTGGAATACCATTTTTACTTCAAGATAATCACTGAAAGCTAAACTATGTTTATTTAGACATGGGTATTTTATCAGCTTTTTTTGAAAAGTCATGGTTATTTCATAGATATTCATGTGAAACTCTAGTTGTCAGCCATTCACAATGTAGACATACATCAAAACATCATGTTGTACACTGTAAATATACAATTTTTATTTGTCAGTTATACCTCAGTAAAGCTATTAAGGTAGACATTGAAGCAATTTGCAAAAATGTGAAACAATGTTACTCTTATTAGAGTTTTTTTTTTTTTTTTTAATTGATCATTCTTGGGTGTTTCTCGCAGAGGGGGATTTGGCAGGGTCATAGGACAATAGTGGAGGGAAGGTCAGCAGATAAACAAGTGAACAAAGGTCTCTGGTTTTCCTAGGCAGAGGACCCTGCAGCCTTCTGCAGTGTTTGTGTCCCTGGGTACTTGAGATTAGGGAGTGGTGATGACTCTTAACGAGCATGCTGCCTTCAAGCATCTGTTTAACAAAGCACATCTTGCACCGCCATTAATCCATTTAACCCTGAGTGGACACAGCACATGTTTCAGAGAGCACCGGGTTGGGAGTAAGGTCATAGATCAACAGCATCCCAAGGCAGAACAATTCTTCTTAGTACAGAACAAAATGGAGTCTCCTATGTCTACTTCTTTCTACACAGACACAGCAACAATCTGACTTCTCTATCTTTTCCCCACATTTCCCCCTTTTCTATTCGACAAAACCGCCATCGTCATCATGGCCCGTTCTCAATGAGCTGTTGGGTACACCTCCCAGACGGGGTGGCAGCCGGGCAGAGGGGCTCCTCACTTCCCAGACGGGCGGCTGCCAGGTGGAGGGGCTCCTCACTTCTCAGACGGGGCGGCTGCCGGGCGGAGGGGCTCTTCACTTCTCAGACGGGGCGGCTGGGCAGAGACGCTCCTCACCTCCCAGACGGGGTCGTGGCCGGGCAGAGGCGCTCCCCACATCTCAGACGATGGGCGGCCAGGCAGAGATGCTCCTCACTTCCTAGACGGGAAGAGGCGCTCCTCACTTCTCAGACTGGGCAGCCGGGCAGAGGGGCTCCTCACATCCCAGACGATGGGCGGCCAGGCAGAGACGCTCCTCACTTCCCAGACGGGGTGGCGGCCGGGCAGAGGCTGCAGTCTCGGCACTTTGGGAGGCCAAGGCAGGCGGCTGGGAGGTGGAGGTTGTAGCGAGCCGAGATCACGCCACTGCACTCCAGCCTGGGCAACATTGAGCACTGAGTGAACCAGAGTCCGTCTGCAATCCCGGCACCTCGGGAGGCCGAGGCTGGCAGATCACTCGCGGTTAGGAGCTGGAGACCAGCCCGGCCAACACAGCGAAACCCCGTCTCCACCAAAAAAAATACGAAAACCAGTCAGGCTTGGCGGCGCGCGCCTGCAATCGCAGGCACTCAGCAGGCTGAGGCAGGAGAATCAGACAGGGAGGTTGCAGTGAGCGGAGATGGCAGCAGTACCGTCCAGCTTCGGCTCGGCATGAGAGGGAGACCGTGGGGAGAGGGGTAGGGGGAGGTAGAGGGGGAGGGGGAGGGAGAGGGATCTTATTAGAGTTTTATATTTGTTTCGGGAAATAGTAATTATTCATAACAAATACTTGCTAATTTGTAATATGTTTTTATTTTAAATTAGTAAATGTTAAGTTTCTTCTCAGTTTTAATTTCAACATGGTAAATGTTGATACATATGTATCCAACGTAAGTTCTTTGAGTACCTCAATAGGTATAAACGTAAAGGAATCTTTTTAAAAAAATTTTTGCCTATTTTTTTTTTTTTGAAATGGGATCTTGTTTTGTTGCCCAGGCTGATCTTCAACTCCTGGCCTCAAGTAATCTTCCCACCTTAGTCTCTCAAAGTGCTGGGATTATAGGTGTGAGCTACCACACCTGGCCTCCATGTAAGAGAATCTTGAGAACAAAAGTTTTGAGAAGCGTTGACAAAGTCAGTCTTGACAAACAAAAGTGCTGGAGGACTTACGTTGCTTATATCATTAGATTGGAAGACACTTGTAAAGTTAGAATAATTAAGATACGGTATATTAGTAAGTGAATTGAAAAATAAACCAATGAAACAATACAAAAGCCAGAAGAGATTCACAAGTATAATACAACTTTGTTTATGACAAAGTCTCCATGGTAATGTAATGAGGAAAAGGTAGTTGTTTTAGTAAATGGTACCAAGTCAGTTGGGTGGTATATGGTGGGCGTGTCTTGCCAGACAGCAATAACTCAAGCATACCTTGAGAATGATCCTGTGTTCCTTGATGAATGTTTGTTTAGTGTTCCAGTAATGGCCAACCCTGATGTTTATGCCATACCTGTGAAGGACACCTGGATCCTGGCGTGTGCCTTGGAATGCAGGTGGTCCAAGGAACTGAGGCCCATTGTTTTCAGCTAGGTGGAGGCTGCTAAGTGGTGGTTGCTATGCGAAGGGTACTTGCTGTAAAACCTGCATGCTTTTTATAAAAGGGAATGGTTTTTCCTGTCCAGCCTTCCCCTCCTGGACTCCCTGGACATAAGTTCCCTGAATAAAGCTTATGTCACGCCGCTGTCTTTGGGTCTTTTCTTCAGTCCTCTAGAGGCAGTGCTCTCCTAGCTTGCAAGCTTGGGAATCCAGCACAACAGGTGGCCACAGCAGGGGAAATGTTAGGACTTCCCTTTTCCTTCTCTTTCTTTTTCCTTGGCTAGTTTTTGTTGAAGAAACTGGGATTTTGTTTCCTTTTCACTGTTTGGATTTTGCTGATTGTATCCCCATGGTATTTTACCATGCCCCTTGAGTTTTCATCTTGGTAGTTCAGATTTTTTTTTTTTTTTTTTTGAGACAGAGTCTGTCGCCCAGGCAGGAGCAGTGGCACAATCTCTGCTCACGGCAAACTCCGCCTTCCAGGTTCAAGCCATTGTCCTGGCTCAGCCTCCCAAGTACCTGGGACTACAGGTGTGCGCCACTACACCCGGCTAATTTTTTTGTATTTTAAGTAGAGACGGGGTTTCACCATGGTGGCCAGCTGGTCTCGAACTCCTGACCTTAGGTGTGATCCACCGACCTTAGGTGTGATCCACCCACCTCGGCCTCCCAAAGTGCTGGGATTATAGGCTGAGCCACTTCGCCCGGTCTGGTAGTTCAGATTTAAAGGTATGGTTGGAGGGGTAAAAGGGAGGAACAAACGCAAGAGACAGAAAGATGGTGATATCTAACGAGAAGTGTATAGTTTGGTTGTTGCTTTTTAGGATGTTACTGGAAGTCAATTATTGCCTAGTGATCCATAATTCAGACTTTTCTTTGTTTAGTATTTGATTTTATTTTTATTTCAATAAAACTGAATTACTTTTATAATAAAATACAATAATTTTTAATATTATTTTTGGATTTTTATTAATTTTCATTTTGTATCTTAATGTATATTAACTTTAATTTTTAATTTTTTAATTTTTTATTTTTTGAGATGGAATCTTGCTCTTGTTGCCCAGGCTGGAGTGCAGTGGTGTGATCTTGGCTCACTGCAACCTCCACCTCCTGGGTTCAAGCAGTTCTCTGCCTCAGCCTCCTAAGTAGCTGGGATTACAGGTGCCTGCCACCACACCCAGCTAATTTTTGTATTTTCAGTAGAGACAGGGTTTCACCATTTTGCATTTTGGCCAGGCTGGTCTTGAACTGCTGACGTTGTGATCCACCTGCCTCGGCCTCCCAAATTGCTGGGATTACAGGTGTGAGCCACTGTGCCCAGCCTCTTTTTTTGTTTTTAATGTGTATTAACTTATAGCAGAGCTTCTCAACTTTGTCAGACTCAATCACTCTTTTAAATATTTTGTAACTTCCTATACTATTCTGGTATGAAATTCATAATTTAATAGTAGACACTTGATACATGATCTTTCTTTGCATTGAATTTTGGGTTGAAAATGATTTTTCCTCAAAACTTTGAAGATGTTTACCCCATTGTCATCAGACATCCATTGTCATTGAACATGAGTTTTATACCACATCGGTTCTCCATTCTTCGCATGTTATCTATTTCCTCTCTGAAATCTTTTTAGAATTTTCTTATTTGTTGCATACTAAAATTTTACAGTGATGCATCAATGGTAAGGATATTTGATACACCATTGTAATTTGAAGATCTGTTTTCCTTTATTTACTTTTTTATTTTTTTGAGATGGAGTCTTGCTTTGTCACCCAGGCTGGAGTGCAGTGGCGCCATCTCGGCTCACTGCAACCTTTGCTTCCTAGATTCAAGCGATTCTCCTGCCTCAGCCTCCTGAGTAGGTGGGATTACAGGCGCCCGCCACCATGCCTGTCTAATTTTTGTATTTTTAGTAGAGATGGGGTTTCACCATGTTGGCCAGGCTGGTCTTGAACTCCTGACCTCAGGTGATCCACCCACCTCGGCTTCTCAAAGTGTTGGGATTACAGGCGTGAGCCACCGTGCCTGGCCGTTTTCTCATATTTTCCATTTTTCTTTTTTTCCCTTTTTTGGAGGTGGAGGTCCCTGAGCTAAATCTTTGATTTTTCTAGCACGTCTAGTGATATTTTAATTTTGCCAATCATGTTTTAAAATTTGTTTTATGGGCCGGGCACAGTGGCTTATGCCTTTAATCCCAGCACTTTGGGAGGCCGAGGTGGGCGGATCATGAGGTCAGGAGATTGAGACCATCCTGGCTAACACGGTGAAACCCCGTCTCTACTAAAAATACAAAAAAATTAGCTGGGCGTGGTGGCAGGCGCCTGTAGTCCCAGCTACTAAGGAGGCTGAGGTAGGAGAATGTCGTGAACCCGGGAGGCGGAGGTTGCAGTGAACCGAGATCACGCCACTGCACTCTAGCCTGGGTAACAGAGCGAGACTCCATCTCAAAAAAAAAAAAAAAAAAAAATTTGTTTTCTGAACACAGTATCCTCACCAGTCATTTTAATAAATCTATTATCTGCATGCACAGTTCTGTGTTGTTGCCTAAATTGTTTCTTCAAGTTCAGTTGTTGATTTTTTATATTTATCTTTTATGCTGTAGTCTGTTCTCAAGTATTAGATGATTCAGTTATCCTTTTTTTTTTCTTTTTTTTTTTTTTGAGTCGGAGTCCTGCTTTGTCGCCCAGGCTGGAGTGCAGTGGCGCAATCTCGGCTCACTGCAAGCTCTACCTCCCGGCTTCATGCCATTCTCCTGCCTCAGCCTCCCGAGTAGCTGGGACTACAGGCGCCTGCCACCACTCTCAGCTAATTTTTTTGTATTTTTAGTAGAGATGGGGTTTCACAGTGTTAGCCAGGATGGTCTCGATCTCCTGACCTCGTGATCTGCCCGCCTCGGCCTCCCAAAGTGCTGGGATTACAGGCGTGAACCACCGTGCCCGGCCATAGTTTTCTATTCTTATTCAAAACCAAGGTAGTAAGGCTGAACAGGAGCTCCATTTTTTTAAAATTTTTTTTGATTCGGAGTCTCACTCTGTCACCCAGGCTGGAGTGCAGTGGTGTAATCTCGGCTCACTGCAACCTCTGCTTCTTGGGCTCAAGCGATTCTCCTGCCTCCGCCTCCAGGGTAGCTGGCATTAAAGGCACCCACCACCATGCCCAGCTAATTTTTGCATTTTTAGTAGAGATGGGGTTTCACCATGTTGGCCAGGCTGGTCTCGAACTCCTGACCTCGTGATCCGCCTGCCTCGGCCCCCCAAAGTGCTGGGATTACAGGCGTGGGCCACCGCACCTGGCCTAGGAGCTTCAGTTTTATGGGCTGACTTTGTCTTCAGGCAGTTGTGAAGTTGACTTTTCTAAGTCTTACCCTCTTAGACTAGAAAATTCTTCAGGACTATCCTGGATAGGTCAGTTCCATTTTTCCTAGTATTAGCTCCTTTTTTTTAAATTTAATTTTTTTTTAGACAGAGTCTTGCTTTGTCGCCCAGGATGTAGTATAATGGTGCCACCTCAGCTCACTGTAACCTCTGTCTCCCAGGTTCAAGCAATTCTTGTGCCTCAGCCTCCCAAGTAGTTGGGATTACAGGCCTACCCCACCACACCCAGCTAATTTTTGTATTTGTAGTAGAGATTGGGTTTCACCATGTTGGCCAGGCTGGCTTCAAACTCCTGACCTCAGGTGATCTGCCTGTCTTGGCCTCCCAAAGTGCTGGGATTACAGGCATGAGCCACTGCACCCAGCCATCTCCCTTTATACATATTTTGGGCTTTGTTTCTTTTTTCTTTTTTTTTCCTTTAGCACAGGATTTCTCTCTGTTTTCTAGGCTGGAGTGCAGTGGCACGATTCGTGGCTCATTGCAGCCTTGAACTCCTGGGCTCAAGCGATCCTCTCACCTCAGCCTCCTGAGTAGCTGGGACTGCAGGTGCTGGCCACCATGCCCAGCTAACTTAAACTTTTTTTTGTAGCGACTGGTCTCCCTATGTTGTCCAGGGTGGTCTCTAACTCCTGGCCTCAAGTGATCCTTCTGCCTTGGCCTTCCAAACCACTGCCAGGCCTGAGCTTTGTTTCTTAATTGTTTTTCTTGTCCTAATTATATTAGGGAAAACCAGCAATGCTATGTTTAGTAGTATTTTAGATAGTGGCCAGATGTGCTCTTCTTAGTCTTTTCTTCTTAGTCTTTCCCTTTGGTCTTCCAAAATTTTCTGAAAATCTTTATTCTTCTAATGGCCCCCTCACATTCTCTTTATTATGGTTTAGATTCTTTTTTTCTTTTTTTTAAATTTGAAACGGAGTCTCGCTCTGTCTCTCAGGTTGGAGTGCAGTGGTGTCATCTTGGCTCACTGCAACCTCCACCTCAGGAGTTCAAGTGATCCTCCTGCCTCAGCCTCCCAAGTAGCTGGGAGTATGTGCCACCAAGCCTGGCTAAATTTTTTTTTTTTTTTTTTTTTTTTGTATTTTTGGTAGAGACATAGTTTCGCCATGTTGGTCAGACTGGTCTCAAACTCCTGACCTCTAATGATCTGCCCACCTGGGCCTTCCAAAGTGCTGGGATTACAGGCATGAGCCACCATTCCCTGCCAGGTTCTTTTGTTTTGTTTTGTTTTGAGACAGAGCCTCACTCTGTTGCCCAGGCTGGAGTGCAGCGGCGCCATCTTGGCTTACTGCAATCTCCGACTCCCGGGTTCAAGTGATTCTCCCGCCTCAGCCTCCTAAGTAGGTGGGATTACAGGTGAGCACCACCACGCCCAGCTAATTTTTGTATTTTTGGTTAGACCAGGTTTCACCATGTTGGCCAGGCTGGTCTTGAACGCCTGACTTTGTGATCCACCCGCCTTGGCCTTCCAAAGTGTTGGGATTACATGCTTGAGCCACCGTGCCCGGCGGTTCTTTTAATTTTCTTCTTATCGTTTTATTTATTTATTTATTTATTTATTTATTTATTTATTTTTGAGATGGAGTTTTGCTCTTGTCACCCAGACTGGAGTGCAATGGCGTGATCTTGGCTCACTGCAACCTCCACCTCCTGGGTTCAAGTGATTCTCTTGCCTCAGCCTCCCGAGTAGCTGGGATTACAGGCGCCCACCAGCATGCTTGACTAAATTTTTTGGTATTTTTAGTAGAGATGGGGTTTTGCCATGCTGGCTAGGCTGGTCTCAAACTGCTGACTTCAGGTAATACGCCTGCCTCAGCCTCCCAAAGTGGTGGGATTACAGGCGTGAGCCACCAACCCAGCCACCTTCTTATTTAAAAGGCATCTCAGAAAAGAGGAGATAAACACATTGGCTTTGCCTGTCATTTAATTCATTATTCTGTTGAGACTGAAAATATTATTCCATTCTCCTCCCTGCATTGAGATGCTGTAAAACTTCTTTCAGTTAGCTCACTGAATAAAAATACCATACAATTCTGGGATTTATCTCTTCTTGTCTCTTTTTAAAACTGAGTTATTGAGTATTGACAAAACATTTCCACCCTTTTTTTTTTTTTTTTTGGTTTATGTTTTACCTAGAGCAATTAGTGTTTGAAGGGAAATTTTTCCTCGGGTTGTCCTATGTGTCAGAAACAAATAAATGAACTAAAAATATTTTATGTGTAAGCAGAATTTTCTTTTTAAACAAAAAATATTTCAAATACTGGGCAAAGAAATAGTCGGTAGATGGGAGTAGATTGGAATAGATTGCCAGAGTGAATTTATATATTGCTGTGTTTAGGGATGGTATATCCAGTTTGGTTAAATGCTCAGTGCAACCTGGGATCCAAAAGCAGTGGATGATAGAGCAATATATATATATATTTTTTGAGACGGAGTCTTGCTCTGTGGCCCACGCTGGAGTGCAGTAATGTGATCTCAGCTCCCTGCAATCTCTGTCTCCCAGGTTCAAGCAATTCTCCTGCCACAGCCTCCTGAGTAGCTGGGATTACAGGTGCACGCCACTATGCCCGGGTACTTTTTTGTATCTTTAGTAGAGACAGGGTTTCACCGTGTTGGCCAGGCTGATCTCGAACTCCTGACCTTGTGATTCACCTGCCTCGGCCTCCCAAAGTGCTGGGATTACAGGCGTGATCCACCGTGCCCAGCGGATAGAGCAGTCTTTTTTTGTTTTCAGGACCACAGAAAACTTATGACATGCCCTCTTGCTTTTAAAATTTAAATTTTTTTTGGTAGTGTAATTGTGATAGGTTAGCTGCCCACTGAGCACAGCCAGTCAGTACTCTGAGACACCAGGTTGCAGCAAAGAAGGAGGTTTAATTGTAAGGTCCTTGAACAAGGAGGTGGGAGGAAACCTCTAATCTATCTCCTCAGGGAATTTGCAGTTGGGGTTTTTAAGGCTTTTGGAGTGAGCCGAAGTTTGGAGATCTTTGATTGCTCCAAGAGTTGTACGGTGAAGTCATGAAGTGAGGGATAAAGAAGCTGAATTCTTCTGATCTCGTTCCTCTGTGGGGGCCTTTAAACTGGTTGCTGGAATTCATGGGGCCTGAAAAACAATTTTTTTTTTTGAGGTGTAGTCTTGCTCTGTCTCCCAGGCTGGAGTTCAGTGGCATGATCTCGGCTCTCTGCAACCTCTGCCTCCCAGGTTCAAGCAATTCTTGTGCCTCAGCCTCCTGAGTAGCTGGGATTACAGCGGCCTGTCACCACACCCGGCTAACTTTTTTTGTATTTTTAGTAGACATGGGGTTTCACCATGTTGGCCAGGGTGGTCTCCTGACCTCAAGTGATCTGCTTGCCTTGGCCTCCCCAAGTGCTAGGATTACAGGCATGAGCTAACACACCCGGCAAAAAACAATTTAAGCGATCCTTAAATAAAAGCCTTATGATTCTAATGTCAGAGATCCTGTCTATGGGAACAGTGGGCTCCCCATACACTTGATCTCTGATACTAGAATCAAGGCTTTCGTCAGTATCTTGTGCTACATTACTTTCAATAGCAGAGAAGTGAGCCAAAGTGCAGCCTGATTAATACTTAATTGTAACTACATTTCTGGCCATAACCTGCATGCAATTCTTGTCAACCTTGTGGGGACAGTTTCAGTGGAGGGGGATTTGTAATATATGATTCAGAAATCAAAATATACAAACATGAAGTATACAATAAAATGTCTGTCTCCTGCACAGTCCCCCCAGGTCTTCAGTGTTTTAGTCTTAGGTGTACTTCCAGAAATATTCCATGCGTATAGAAGCAATGAGGTATGTATGTTTGTATGTCTAAGTAAATTGTGGAGTAAATTATGATGCTTTTATGTTGTGCTTTTGAAATGAAGTATCTTGGTGATAGGTCCATATTGGATCATAAAGATCTGCCTCATTCTTTTTTATGGCTGTGTTGTATATCTAATTTGTTTAATCCTAACTAATGGATTTTTGGTTTTTTTAGTCTTTTGCTGTTAAAAATAATACTATAATGAATAAACTTGTGCCTAGGACATTTTAGTTGTGTGATTGTGAGTGTAGCTGCAAAATTATACCAAGTAAAATAGTTGAAAGTATCTTAATTTTTATTTTGTATTTATTTCTTCATATTTCTCCATTGGTCAAAGCAGGGAGGTTCAGCTGAAAGGATTTGTAAATTTAATTTATGTCTATTGAGACCTTTTTTGCTACTTTCAGAGAAAAACAAGTTTTTATGGATATGTTTATTGAAAAATAAATAGTAGTGCTAACTTTATATAAGTAATAAAATAGAACTCCACTGTGGATTATTAGTCTCTCTTCAGTTTGGCTGTGAATGTTAAAAACTTACTTGGAATCTTTAAAATAATTGGTTTTCTTCCTGCTCATTTAATTATGACAGTATGTTAAAGTGTTAGGCTTTTGTAATTTTTTTGGTAATCTATACATAAAATTTGAATTAGCCAAAAGGGTACTGTTGATACCTATAAGTAGTGCTCCTTAATAAATGAAGTTAACATGAGAAAGTTAGTTAGTATGCTTAGCCTCTTAAGATTGCTAGTAGGAGGAAAACTAGAGGAAAAATACAGTAAGTGGAGAAAAATCCTGTCACAGCTTAACATTTTATAGTGTACATGTTTAGCATGCTCTTTTTGGAAGATGTGTGTTTATACTATATAACCTTTCCTTTGAATTAACTGCTTAACCCCTTTAAGGGCTGAAGTAGTTTTCTTCAACCAGAATCACAGTGCACAAGAGCATTTGGGTTAGATGCAAAGTATGTCCTATGTATTGTCTCAAGTACTTGTGTGTGTGTTTTTTTTTGATTTTCAATTTTTGTGGCTACATAGGTGTATATATTCATGTGGTACAAGATATATTTTGACAGAGGCATGTGATGCATAGTAATCACATCATGAAATATGGGCTATCTGTCCCCTCAAGCATTCATACTTTGTGTTACAAACAATCCAGTTATACTCTTTTAGTTATTTTGTATTATTATTTTATTATTATTTTTTGAGACGGAGTCTCCCTTAGTGACCCAGGCTGGAGTGCAGTGATCCAGTCTTGGCTCATTGCAACCTCCACCTCCTGAGTTCAAGTGATTCTCCTGCCTCAGCCTCCCAAGTAGCTGGGCTTACAGGTGCTCACCACCATGCCTGCCTAGTTTTTTTATTTGTCATAGCGATGGGGTAGCACCATGTTGGCCAGGCTGGTCTTGAGCTCCTGACCTCAGGTGACCCACCCACCTTGGCCTCCCAAAGTGCTGGGATTACAGGCATGAGCCACCAGGCCTGGCCTCTTTTAGTTATTTAAAAATGTACAATTAAGTTATTATTGACTGTATTCACCCTATGATACCATCAAATATCAGGTCTTACTCATTCTTCCCAGCTGCTGGGTTTTTTTTTTTTTTTTTGAGATGGAGTCTTGCTCATCGCCCAGGCTGGAGTGCAGTGGTATAGTCTCGGCTCACTGCAAGCTCTGCCTCCCAGGTTCACGCCATTCTCCTGCCTCAGCCTCCCAAGTAGCTGGGTTCTACAGGCGGCCGCCACCATGCCCGGCTAATTTTTTGTATTTTTAGTAGAGACAGGGTTTCACCGTGTTAGCCAGGATGGTCTTGATCTCCTGACCTCATGATCCGCCCACCTCGGCCTCCCAAAGTGCTGGGATTACAGGCTTGAGCCACCGCGCCCAGCCCCCAGCTGCTGTTTTGTACTTATTAACCATCCCCACAAGTACTGTACTCCATATGTTGTGGAACCTCTGAGAGATTTTCCTGGTGGTCAGAGTGATTCATTTGCCATCTTGTCCAGGAGAGGAGGATCTTTCCAATAGGTATTGACTTTTTGGAACATTTCACTTTCTCCTGTAAGAGGGAAGAGTGGTATCAAGAGAAGGATATTTTTCCTACTTGATTCCTCCTTGACAGTTTCTTTCATATTTGTTATCAAATATTCAGAATTATGGTGTCTTTGCTATGCTCCACATCCCATGGATGGAATGGGCATCTCAAAACATAATTTGTCAGTCATTTTTCTTCAGAAATAGATTAATCGATTTTATTAAGCCCAAACTTCTCTTTTTGGCTTTTCATTCCTCTACTTTGTGTACACACAAACAGATGTTTCAGGGTGGTGTGTGTGTGGCTTCTTTTAAGTTTTATTTGTGAGCATCTGTTAAAGCAGTATTAGTAACAGATCTTCTATTCAAAGATCTATCTTTGAATAGAAATATTTAAAGATTTCCAGATTTAATTCTCTTTGTACTCCTTTTTAAAAAAAAAAAAATACAGTCGGGCATGGTGGCTTACACCTGTAATCCCAGCACTTTGGGAGGCTGAGGTGGGCGGATCATGAGGTCAAGAGCTCGAGACCATCCTGGCCAACATGGTGAAATCCTGTCTCTAGTAAAAATACAAAAATTAGCTGGGTATGGGGGTGCATGCCTGTAGTCCTAGCTACTCGGGAGGCTGAGGCAGGAGAATCGTTTGAACCTGGAAGGCAGAGGTTGCAGTGAGCCGAGGTTGCAGTGAGCCGAGATCGCACCACTGTATTCCAGCATGGTGACCGAGTGAAAGTCTGTCTCAAAAAAAAAAAAGCAGAGGTCCAGGGTCGGGTTTGATGGCTCATGCCTGTAATCCCAGCAATTGGGGGGCCAAGGAGGATCGCTTGATCCTAGGAGTTTTAGACCAGTCTGGGCAACATGGTGAAACCCTGTCTCTACAAAGAATACAAAAGTTAGCGGGGCCTGGTGGTTCATGCCTGTGGTCCCAATTACTCAGGAAACTGAGGTGGGAGGATCACTTGAGCCTAGGAGGTGGAGGCTGCAGTGAGCTGAGATCACGCCACTGCACTCTGACCTGGGTGACAGAGCGAGATCCTGTCTCAAAAAAGAAGTCCATTAAAAATCATATTCTTGGCTGGGCGCGGTGGCTCATGCCTGTAATCCCAGCACTTTGGGAGGCCGAGGCGGGCGGATCACAAGGTCAGGAGATCGAGACCATCCTGGCTAACACAGTGAAACCCCGTCTCTACTAAAAATACAAAAAAAAGTTAGCCGGCCGTGGTGGCGGGCGCCTGTAGTCCCAGCTGGAGGCTGAGGCAGGAGAATGGCGTGTACCCGGGAGGCGGAGCTTGCAGTGAGCCGAGACCGCGCCACTGCACTCCAACCTGGGCGACAGAGCGAGACTCTGTCTCAAAAAAAAAAAAAACATATTCTTTCACTTAATATATGCAATCTTAAATGTTTGTTACCAAGATATAATTAAGAAAACCATAGTTTTCTTAATGTAGAACAGTGATTCTCAACCGGGAGTGATATTGTATCCCAGGGACCTTTGACAATTTGGACAGTTTGGCTCTAACAAATGGATGAGGGGGTGCTACTGTCATCCACTGCAGAGAGGCCAGGGATGCTGCTCAACATCCTGTAGTGCATGAGACAGCCTCCACAACAAAAAATTATCTGGCCCAAAATGTCCACCAGTGGTGCCGAGGTTGAGAAAACCTGATATATAGAGTCATTGTACATAATCCTTGCTCCCTTGGTGTGGTAGTCATGGAAATTTATGTATTTTAATTAGGTATTTTAATTAGGATTTCTCTTTATTAGTCTATTCTCACACTGCTATAGAACTACCCGAGACTGGGTAATTTGTAAGGAAAAGACTTTTAATTGATTCACAGTTCTGCATGGCTGGGGAAGACTCAGGCAACTTACAATCATGGTGGAAGGGGAAGCAGGCATGTCTTACTTGGCAGCAGGCGAGAGAAGGAGAAGGAGGAACTGTCAAACATGTATAAAACCGTCAGATCATGTGAGAACTCACTATCATGAAACTGCCCCCGTGATCCAATCACCACCCACTAGGTCCCTCCCTCGACACGTGAGGATTATGGGGATCACAATTCAAGATGAGATTTGGGTGGGGACACAGAGCCAAACCATATCACCCCCTTTCATTTTAAATTTAAATTTTGTTATTTTTTTAAAAGTGTATGGATATGGCTGTCTAATAATATCCAAGGCAGTCATTTGCTTGGTTCCAACTCTGTAGTCATTTTCAACTCCTCTCGATGGTGGCTTCTGGCATTTATACTGTTCTTATATTCCTACTATTAATTTTTCAGTTTTAGGAATTTACCTTTACTTCTCTCTTCCCTATTCCCTTTGCCATCTGTTTCTAATATTATCACAACTTTTATTTAACTTAGTAAACAGTCTTTGTGTTTTATGAACATGTCAGTATTATGTATTCTTTCTTGTATAAACTTTTGTTTTCCATGGAGTTTATCATTGTTTTACCTTTGCCTTTTGATTAAGTCTTCTAAAAATGTAAAAGTTTTTATTCTCATATATCTAAAAATATTTCTCACACTTGGCCAATGATTTGTTTAGACATAGAATTTTGGTTTGGAAATCACTTCTCTCAGAATTTTGAATCTGTGCTATTCTGTTTTATGCGGTTGCTGTTGAGAAATCTAGTCTTCTGAAAGCATTTTGCATCTCTGATCTTTATTTTTTTATTTGATTGTTCATTGTGTTCATTGTGTTAAATGCTGTCAAAACTGTCTACTCACTGATTTACCAATCCCAGAACCTAATATTTTGACACTGTTCTTTATACAAAGAAATATTAAGAATCTGTAACTTGGGCCGGGCAAAGTGGCTCATGTCTGTAATCCCAGCATTTTGGGAGGCCGAGGCGGGTGGATCACCTGAAATTAGGAGTTCGAGACCAGCCTGACCAACATGGTGAAACCCCGTCTTTACTAAAAATACAAAAATGAGCTGGGTGTGATGGTGGGCATCTGTAATCCCAGCTAGTTGAGAGGCTGAGTCAGCAGAATCACTTGAACCCAGGAGATGGAGGCTGCAGTAAGGATAAGATCACACCACTTGCACTCCAGCCTGGGCAACAGAGCGAGACTCTATCTCAAAAAAAAAAGAATCTAGAGTTTGTGGCAAATGTAAGACTTGTAAAGTCAATAAAAAAATGTCTTTCTTTAATGAAGCAATAATACTGTTTGTTGAACAAGGCAAGTTTAATGTCAAACTCTGCATCTATAGGAATTTTTCTGTTTTTTTTTCCCAAGACAGAATTTCACTCTGTCACCCAGGCTCGAGTGCAGTGGCATGATCTTGGCTCACTGCACCTCCTTCTCCCAGGTTCAAGCAGTTCTTGTGCCACAGCCTCCGCAGTAGCTGGGATTACAGGCGTGCACCACCACACCCAGCTAATTTTTTATATTTTAGTAGAGATGGAGTTTCACCATGTTGCCCAGGCTGGTCTTGAACTATACCTGAGCTCAGGCAATCTGCCCGCCTCAGCCTTATAGAATGCTAGGATTACAGGCGTGAGCCACGGCGCCGGGCCAGGAATGGTTTTTTAAGTTTAGTGAACTTAAAAAAGTTCACTAAACTTGGTGATGTTTGTTAATCATGTAGATTCCTGGACCCATCCCAAGACATTGAAATTCAGTAAGTCTGGTACAGCACTAAGATATCTGCACTTTTCTAAGTGGGTAGTCCCCGCTTCAAGTTGTATCAAGGTAAAAGAAAGTTTGGGCCAAGTGTGGTGGCTCATGTCTATAATCCCAGCCTTTGGGAGGCCAAGGTGGGAGGATCGCTTGAGCCAGGGAGTTTGAGAGCAGCCTGGGAAACATAGCAAAACTCTATCTCTACAAAGAATTTAAAAAAAATTAGCTCTGCGTGTGGCACACACCTGTAGTCCCAGCTACTGGGGAGGCTGAGGTGGGAGGATTGATTGAGTCCAGGAGGTTGAGGCTGCAGTGAACTGTGATTATGCCGCTGCACTCCAGCCTGGGTGACAGAGCTAGACCCTTTCTCAAAACAAAACAAAACAAAACAAAAGAAGAAAGTCTACAGGCAGGGGGTAAATGATCACTAATTTAAACTTCTTTCTCTTTCTTTCTTTTTTTTTTTTTTTTTTTGAGACGGGGTTTCGCCCTGTCACCAGGCTGGAGTGCAGTGGTGCGATCTCGGCTCACTGCAACCTCCGGCTCCCAGGTTCAAGCCATTCTCCTGCCTCAGCCTCCAGAGTAGCTGGGACTACAGGCGTGTGCTACCACTCCCAGCTAATTTTTGTGTTTTTAGTAGAGACAGGGCTTCACCGTATTGGCCAGGCTGGTCTCGAACTCCTGACCTCGTGACCCGCCCGCATCGGCCTCCCAAAGTGCTGGGATCATAGGCATGAGCCACTGCGCCTGGCCCTCCTCTTTCATTTATACAAATATGTACTAGCTTTAGATAAAAGAAATATATAACCTGTATGCACATTTTTACGTTTTTCAGTCTGTAGGATTATATGGGACATACCATTAAGCAAGTAGCAGATTCCAGGCTGATCAGCGCCTGCTGTTGAACGTGTGACTTTGTTTTGTCGTAATTATTTATTCACATGTCTTTGTGTCCCAGCACCCTGCGCAGTCTCTGAAACAGATTATACTTTGAAAACCTTTTCAGTGACCTGTGGGAAAGTAGGTTTTCTTTATAGCAATTCTGTACTCCTTTGTGGTTCTGTGTAGAAAAGTAGTACGAGTGATTATATGGGCCTGGAGTGATCTTTGTGTTGTGGTCTTTGATACACTTCATATCATGCTTGGGCATCTTTATTATTTAAGGATTAAAATATCGTACATGACACATGATTAGGTTCATTGCTTGAGACTCAGTATAAATTGCCTATGGTATCTGTATACGGAATTTGATAATAGTTCCTTTAGGTTGGGGTTAGCTTAAAATTTACCATGTTTTTATCTATGAGCCAAGATTTGTTTGGCATAAAGGAAACTAACGCTTTAAATCTCTTTTTAAACCACTTTTATCAACAACTCTTGGCATGGTAATATATGTGTTAATTACATATTCATATTTACTTCATAAAATAATTCTGACTCAACCTCTTAGCTGTTAATGTATGTACATGAAAATTGTAAATGTTAGATTTTCATTTTTAATTTGGGGAGATGTACAATATAGCTATATTAAAGAAAAATTTAAAACTTAGATCACTTATTATCCTTTCATCTTTGTATAAAAACTGCATTTCCAAAAACAATTTGTACTTCATTATAACCTGTGTTTCCTTATTTCCTAATATAATTATGAAAATAAAGGTTTTATAATTTAAAATCTTTTATTTCAGACCATATGGAAGAGACTTTTAAAGTATGCTATATTGTTTGTTTGAATTTTCAGTGTCCGTTAACCCTTAAAAGTCAAGGGACTATTAAAGACAGTGGTATTGGCTGGGCATAGTGCAGTAGTGTTTATAACCAGTTACAGATTTCTTTTTTTCTTCTCCACTATCACTGTTTCAGTTGACTAGCCTTAAAAAAAAGTACCTATTAAAATAAAATTTAGCAGGTTTTACTCCTCCCCATTAAAACAAGCAAATCTGACTTTAGAGAACTTATTTTTTTAAAAAGGGGGATTTTTTTTTCTAGGTGATTGAGTATCAAATGTTAGAAATATTGCTTTGTCAGCTGTTAATGAGGGGAAAAAGTAAGTGAAAACTATTTTTAGAAACCTCATTTATTAAGCATATTGCATGTGTGAGCACATATTCACAGGTCATAGATATTCTGTGGCAGCTGTCGATGTGCTAACGGCAGCAGAGCAATTTCCCTAGTTGCAATTCTGTCCGTTATGAGAACATGTCAGATAATTGTTACCTTTTCTTTTTTTTTTTTGAGACAGGGTCTTGCTCTTTTGCCCAGGCTGGAGTTCAGTGGTGCAAATACAGCTCAGTGCACCCTAGACCTCCTGGGCTCAAGCAGTCCCCCAACCGCGAGTAGCTGGGACTATGCCCTGCTTATTTTATTTTTTTTAATTTTCAGTAGAGTTGAGATCTTGCTGTGTAGCCTGGTCTCAAACTCCTGGGCTCAAGCGATTCTTCTACCTCGGCCTCCCAAAGTGCTGAGATTACAGGTGTGAGCTGGGCACAATTGTTGTCTTTTCAGTGTTGTTATGTGTGCTAAAGTGATGTTAATTTTTTTTTTTTTTTGCTTCACTAATCTACTTGAATAAAATATGTTAGAAAAAAAGAAAACCTTTATAAACACTTCCAGTAACCACGTTAGAGATTTGACAGGATAGTGTGGAAATACCACATGCTCTCAAAGAAAGCTTTCTAACCTACAGTGATCACCAGAAAAAGACATTTTTATAAGGGGTTTTTTTTTTTTTTAATTTAAAGAGTATATAGTTGCAAAATGTTTAGCAAGCTGTTTTGACCAATGTGTTAGCACTTTTAGTATTTTATTTTGCTCTTGGTAATTTTTTTCTTTGAATTGTATTTCACTCTGGTGATCCAACAGCAAGCTTTTCTAGCTTGCTTTCTTTCTTTCTTTTTTTTTTTTTTTGAGGCGGAGTCTTGCTCTGTCGCCCGGGCTGGAGTGCAGTGGCACGATCTCGGCTCACTGCAACCTCTGCCTCTGGGGTTCAAGCGATTCTCCTGCCTCAGCCCCCTGAGTAGCTGGGATTACAGGCATGTGCTACCATACCCCACGAATTTCTAGCTTCTTATTTAATATATATGTGATATATTTGTTTTTGCATGTTGGCTTTTGGAGATGTCTTAATTTTTGTTTAGAAAATCAAATGATCTTACGACATTTTAAAGAAACATTGTGTGAGCCCTGACCAGTATTTGTAACTTGAATAATCTTCAAAATGCTCCTGTCAGATTTCTATTAGTTATACGGATTTTTTTAGGCTAGTTAGGGTCATTTTGAAAGTGCTCGTAATAAATGCCTCTACCTACATAACCTCAGTTTTTCTCAGAGTCTAGACAAGCCTTATAAAAACAGACGTTAGTTTCCAAGCTCAGATCAAATGTAAGTGCTGTCAGACCTCAAGGTCCGTGGATCTGTCGATGTTTATTTTGCCCCTTGCTCTATAGAAGGCTCCTTGTGTTTAAATTTTAACTAGTTTTTAGAGTAATTTCAATATAGATGAATTAGTTATATCCTGATATGAATGTGTATTATTTTTAGGTTCTTAAATGTAGTTAGTGGCTGCTCATAAAAATCTGAATATTATTTAGCCATTGGTTTGTGTGGTGGTGTCTTTGTCTGAACATCCCTTTTATAAAATTACCTCATAATATCTATTTATAGGTTCAGAAACTGACTCTTAGTCTGAAGTTCTCATTGTACTCTTTTTTTTTCTTGAATAAGTAGAAACTACCTATAAAGTATTGCATATTAGGATTTATTGCCTAACACAATTACTCCAACAGGCTAGCCTCTCAAGAAATGCCTATAAAGACAGCCTTATTTTATAAGTTACCTGACATTAGGATTGTAAAGTGGGTCTAAATGGTTTGAAAAAATATATATTCCTAACTGCCATGTAGTTTCTTAATACCAGTCTCACATTCTTAACTTTGTATTTCTCATCACTGAGAAGGTGAGGTGGCCTTTGTTACATTTATTCTTTTTTTCTTTTTCAACAGGGGAAAGTGCAGTGTTGCCCTTCTGAATGAGACAGAATCAGTATTGTCATATCTTGATAAGGAGGTAATTCACAATCATAGTTGTTTTGTTTTTTTCTCCCTTTATTTCACATGAAGCTCTTTCCTTGGAATTTATTTCTTTTTGTACAAAAGTATTATTCCACCATTATATTAATAGCAGTATTATAGTAAAAGTATAGTGACTAGAATGCATTCGGGTAAATTTGATTTTTCTGGTTATCTGAGATAAGAGCAAAAACTGTGTCTGTTTTTCAGTTGGTAATGAATGGCATTATAGAGAATGGTACATGGATTTAGTTGATAGTAGATGAATATTTTTGACTTTATGAAATTAATGCTTTAGTGTGCTTGGCTCCCCTTTCTGTTTTGTTTTTGTTTTTATTTCTTGAATAAATGGTTTTTCTTTTAGACTGTTTCCAGATGAGATTTTACCTTTGGTGGTCTGCTTTCTGGAATCCTAATAAATTTTGTCAGTTAAAAATATTTTTCACTAAACCTCAACAAGAAATGTAGTTAACAAGTTGAGATAGAGCATACGCTTCATGGAAAGGAGGAAATTTTTATAAGCAGAATATTCCATGGTATGCATAGTTTTAGGTGACATTTAAAGCAACATCATTTGTATGGTGGGAAACATATTTTAGTATCAGTGATGCTTCAGTATTTAATCTTTATGATTTTTTTCTTCTCCCCCAAAAGCTTTATTACATATACGTATGTTTTAGTTTTTGGAGACAAAGTCTTGCTCTGTCCCCCATTCTGGAACGCAGTGACGTGATCTTGACCCACTGCAACCTCCGCCTCCCGGGTTCAAGCAATTCTCATGCTTCAGCCTCCTGAGTAGCTGGGATCATAGGTGCCTGCCACCATACCCGGCTAATTTTTGTGTTTTTGGTAGAGATGGGGTTTTGCCATGTTTGCTAGGCTGGTCTTCAACTCCTGGCCTCAGGTGATCTGCCTTCCTCAGCCTCCCAAAGTGCTGGGATCAGAGGCATGAGCCACTGTGCCTGGCCGGTTTTTTTTTTTTTTTTTTTTAAATCTTATACTCAAGTGTTGCCCATTTATCTCAAATGAAGAAAATATAACAGAAAAAGTTTGATACAATCATGCAGAACCCACTATACATTAGAAAACCTAATAGGAAATAAGAAAACCAACAGGAAAAGTCATATTCAAAGCAGAAAAAAGGCTAATAGACTTTATAACTTACCTTTGTAAAATTTAGATAGGCTTTTGTCATTAGTCTGTCCCACAGAATGATGGATTATAATATGGATAATGATAATGCCCAGAAATTAGCATTATTTCACGGAAGCAGAAAGAAAAAGGCAAAACATTCCATGCATTTCATTGTATTAAATTTTTTTTTTTCGGCCGAACGTGGTGGCTCACACATGTGATCCCAGCGCTTTGGGAGGCCGAGGTGGGCGGATCACGAGGTCAGGAGTTCGAGACCAGCCTGACCAACGTGGTGAAAGCCTGTATCTGCTAAAAATACAAAAATTAGCTGGGCCATGCAAAAATTAACCGGGCGTGGTGGCGCATGCCTGTAATCCCAGCTACTTGGGAGGCTGAGGCAGGAGAATACCTTGGATCTGGGAGGCGGAGGTTGCAGTGAGCCGAGATCGCGCTACTATACCTCTAGTCTGGGTGACAGAGTGAGACCTTGTCTTAAAAAAAAAAAATAGACATTGGAGAGGGATGAGGATTGAAAAATTACCTATTGGGTACACTGTTCACTATTCAGGTGATGGGTACACTAAAAGCCCAGACTTTACCATGACACAATGTATGCATATAAGAACTCTGCACTTGTACCCCCTAAATATATAAAAAATTTAAAAATAAAATATTGAGATTGGCATAAAGACGGTAACCCAAAGAATAACTTTTTAATTATCATCCTTTACTTTTAACTCTGTGTTCTTGAAATTGGCCTATCTGGAACCTTTTCTTCTTCTTTTTTACAACTTCTATTATAAACCAAACATATTTTGAATATTTTCCCATATCAGGACATAGAAATCTAAGGATTTTAAGCAACTTATATGACCCAAATAATCATTTCATCTTATTATATTGTAGAGTATGGCAAGCTCCTGTTTTTATTGGAGTACCATGCTAATAGGTTTTACAGATAAAAAGTGAACTGAAGTATCTCTGCATTTAAATCTGATGGTGGCTTCATGTGGGGGCTCATGTCTGTGATCCCAGCACTTTGGGAGGTTGAGGCAGGAGGATTGCTTGAGCCCAGGAGTTTGAGACCAGCCCAGGCAACATAGTGAGACGTCGTCTCTATTAAAAAAAAAGAAAAACAAAATCTGATGTTGAGCCAGTGGCAATAACTTCAGTTACTGAGTAATATTTATTACTCATGTCTGTAAAGCAAAACAAAAAAATCAAACAATTCTGATTACATAATGATCATCCCCTGTAGCTTTGTTAAGTTGGTTTTTTTTTTTTTTTTTGAGATGAAGTCTCACTCTTGTCCCCCAGGCTGGAGTGCAATGGTGCAATCTTGGCTCACTGCAACCTCTGCCTCCTGTGTTCAAGTGATTCTCCTGCCTCAGCCTCCTGAGCAGCTGGGATTACAGGTGCCTGCCACCACACCCGGCTGATTTTTCTATTTTTAGTAGAGACGGGATTTCACCATGTTGGCGAGGCTAGTCTCGAAGTCCTGACCTCAGGTGATCCGCCTGCCTCGGCCTCCCAAAGTGCTGGGATTATAGGCATGAGCCACTGCACCTGGCCTAAGCTGGTTGTTTTATCTATTCCTGCAGATTTTTTCTTTCCTTAGATAGCACTTTAACAGTATGCATAAACTGTCACATATTGGTGTCTCCCCCCCCCCCCTTTTTTTTTTAACAGTTTTTTTGTTTAAACTTTTTTCCTGACAGTGAACAATGAATAAAATACAGCACAGAATTTCTCAGTGGTTGGAATAACTCTGTTTTTTTTCCCTTTCCCCTTATCACAGTATGTAAGAACTCCCATAGGAGAGATTTTTACTGTCTGACAGATTATCTTTTATTTGCAGTTTCCTTTGCTGGGGCTTGGTAAAGTTCTGGTAGTAGGGACAGGTCCTTCCAGGATATAATACAGAGAACTGGGCAGCCGATAACCTTTGGGATCGTAGTGGAAAGCAGAAGATGGGACTTCTGCTTCTGGTTCAGATAATCTCTAGTGGTTATACGGAATTCAGCAAAGGACTGGTGCCAGGTCATTTTGTCCATTAGGCTCAGAAACAAGGACATAGGAGCTTTGTAAGGGAGGACTGGAAATTTTGGTGTGTATGCTGTTGGTGAGCATGTATATAGCTATGTTTGTATATCTGTCTATATGTATATATATGTATGCCTCAGTACTTAACTGCAGAATTATAGTTAATACATGTTTAATTAAATATTTACAAAGTGGTATTATTATAACAGTAAACCACATGTAAGTTCAACTCATGCAGTTTAATGTGAGATATGTATACTTTTTAATCTTTTGACTAAAAGCTGGGATGGACATTACAAAAGTAAGAGTACCTGGTATCTGTGAAGTCTTCCCTTCTGTTTGGTGTGGACTTCAGAAGTTTATAAGATGATTTGACTTTAGGTGTCTTACCTTGGAGTTATGGTTTAATTTTGCTAGCTCTTGAAACTCTGCTTTAGAGAGCAAATGGTTTTCTTTTAGACTAAAACAAATAATAGAACTTTATAATCTACTTTGTTTCAAGCTGTTTCTTTTGGCTTGATTTAATTTTGTACTGTTTTACATGATGACGGTAACACCATGCTCTCCTTAAAGATTTATGAGTTTATTCACCAAAATGAAATTTTATATACTCTCTGGGGTTTATATGTTCATTGTAGCAACATTGATTTTAATGCTTTATAAGAAGTAGAAGGAATTAAGTATACCTATGTATTTTGTCATATTTTTCAGGATACCTTCTTCTACTCATTGGTCTATGACCCCTCATTGAAAACACTATTAGCTGACAAAGGTGAAATCAGAGTGGGACCTAGATATCAAGCAGACATTCCAGAAATGCTGTTAGAAGGTACGTTTTTCTGCGTGTTTGCAGTTTTGTGAAACAAATATATCTTGAAACTCAAATATACATGTCCTCATGTAGAAGAGGCAATGTTCAGGGCAAAGTCTAAAAGTTATAAGCACTTGCCATTTTACTGTTCTTTGTAAAAAATAAAAAATAAATAAATAAATAGAGATGAGGCCTCGCTATGTTGCCAAGGCTGGTCTTGATCTCCTGGCCTCAAACAATCCTCCCACCTCGGACTCCCAAAAGTGATGCTATTATAGGTGTGGCCTGGCCAGCACTTCCAATTTTAGAATTACAAAATTGCCTCATTTTAATGTACTTTGTTTTTACTGCACTTCATATATATCTAGTTTTTTAAAAATTTGAAGGTTTGTGGCAACCCTGTTGAGTAAGTCATTTGGTGCCATTTTTCCAACAGGACAGTGTCTCTGTGTCAAATTTTGGTAATTCTTGAAACATTTCAAACCTTTTCATTATTATAATATCTGTTATAGTGATCTGTGATCAGTGATCTTAGAGGTAACTATTGTAATTGTTTTTGGGGCCACGAACCGTACCCATATGAAAGGATAAACTGAATTGATAAATGCTGTGTGTTCTGAGTGCTCCACTGACTGTCCCTTCCCTGCCTCTTTCTCTCTCCTGGGGTCTCCCTATTTTATGAGACACAACAATATTGAACTTAAGCCAGTTAATAACCCTGCAGTGGCCGGTAAGTGTTCAAGTGAAAGGAAAAGTAGCATGTCTCTCACTTTAAATCATAAGCAAGAAATGAAGCTAGTGAGGAAGGCGTGTCAGAAGCCAAGATAGGCTAAAAGCCACGCCTCTTTCCCCAGTTAGCCAAGTTGTGAATGCAAAGGAAAAGTTCTTGAAGGAAATTAAAAGTGCTACTCCACACTCCAGCCTGGGTGACAGAGTGAGACTCTGTCTCAAAAAAAAAAAAAAAAAAAAAAAGCTACACCAGTGAACACACATGAATGATAAAAAAAAGCAAAACAGGCTGGGTGCAGTGGCTCATGCCTTTAATCCCAGCACTTTGAGGGGCCGCAGCAGGTGGATTACTTGAGACCAGGAGTTCGAGACCAGCCTGGCCAACATGGTGAAATGCCATCTCTACTAAAAATACAAAAACTAGCCAAGTGTGATGGTGTGTGCCTGTATTCCCAACTACTCGGGAGGCTGAGGCAAGAGAATCCTTTGAACCTCGGAGGCAGAGGTTGGAGTGAGCCAAGATTGTGCCACTGCACTCCAGCTTGGGCAACAGAGTGAGACTTTGTCTAAAAAACAAACAAACAAACAAACAAACAAACAAACAAAACAGCCTTACTGCTTTACTGCTGATACCATGGAGAAAGTCTTAGTGGCGTAGATAGAATATCAAACCACCAAGAACATTCCTTTAAACCAAAGCCTAATCCAGAGCAGGGCCCTAAGTCTCTTCAATTCTGTGAAGACTGAGAGGTGAGGAAGCTGGAGAAGAAGAATTTGAAGCCAGCAGAGGTTGGGTCATGGGGTTTAAGGAAAAAATTCTTCATCATAACATAAAAATGCAAGTAAAGCAGCAAGTGCTGATGTAGAAGCTGCAGCACGTTATCCAAAACTAGCTAAGGTCACTGATGAAGGCTGCTACTCTGAACAACAGAGTTTCAATGTAGATAAAACAGCTTTCTATTGGAAGAAGATGCCATCTAGGACTTTCATAGCTAGAAGCTTCAAAGGACAGCCTGACTCTCTGATTAGTGACTAATGTAGCTGGTGACTTGAAGCCAATCCTCGTTTACCATTCCAAAAATCCCAGACCTCTTAAGAATTACACTAAATCTGCTCTGCCTGTGTCCTGTAAATAGAACAACAAAGCCTAAATGACAGCACCTCTATTTACAGTATGGTTTACTGAATATTTTAAGCTCACTGTTGAGACCTACTGCTTAGGAAAAAGGATTCCTTTAAAAATTCTTTTCAAAAACTGCTCATTGATAATGCTCCCCTTCACCCAAGAGCTCTGATGGGGATGTACAAGGAGGTGAATGTTGTTTGCATGACTGCTGAGACAACATCCATTCTGGAGTCTATGGATCAAGGAGAAATTTTGACTTTCACATTTTATTATTAAGAAATAACATCACCTAAGGCTATACTTGCCATAGATAATGATTCCTCTGATGGATCTGAGTAGTCAATCGAAAACCTTCTGGAAAGAATTCTCCGTTCTAGATGCCAGTAACAACAACTGTAATTGATAGGAGGAGGTCAAAATATTAACATTAAGAGGAGTTTAGAAGAAGTTGATTCCAACACTCGTGGATAACTTTGAAGGGTTTACGACTTCAGTGGTGGAAGTAACTGTAGTTATGGTGGATATAATATGCAAGAAAACTACAGTGAGCGTGGGCCCTGAGGATGTGACTGACTGAATTGCTGCAATCTTGTGGTAAAACTTGGATGAGTGAGTAGTCGATTCTTATGGATGAGCAAAGAAAGTGGTTTCTTGAGATGGAATCTACTCCTGGTGAAGATGCTGTGAACACTGTTGAAATGGCAACGAAGGATTTGGAATATTATATAAACTTAGTTGGCAAAGCAGTGGCAGGGTTTGAGAGGGTTGTCTCTGTTTTTGAAAGAAGTCTACTGGCTGAGCACGGTGGCACACGCCTGTAATCCCAGCACTTTGGGAGGTCGAGGCAGGCGGATCACGAGGTCAGGCGATCGAGACCATCCTGGCTAACATGGTGAAACCTCGTCTCTACTAAAAATACAAAAAATTAGCCGGGCGTGGTGGCGGGCGCCTATAGTCCCAGCTACTCGGGAGGCTGAGGCAGGAGAATGGCGTGGAACCCAGGAGGCGGAGGTTGCAGTGAGCCGAGATCGCGCCACTGCACTCCAGCCTGGGTGACAGAGTGAGACTCTGTCTAAAAAAAAAAAACAAAAAAGAAAGGAAGTCTACCATAGGTAAAATGCTATTGAGCATCACATGCTACAGAGAAAAACTTTTTTTTAGAGACAGAGTCTCGCTCTGTTGCCCAGGCTGAAGTGCAGTGGCACAATCTTGGCTCACTGCAGCTTCCGCCTCCTGGGTTCAAACGATTCCTGTGCCTCGACCTCTCGAGTAGCTGGGATTACAGGCATGTGCCACCATGCCCAGCTAATTTTTTTTGTATTTTTATTAGAGATGGGGTTTTGCCATGTTGGCCAGGCTGGTCTTGAAGTCCTGACTTCAAGCGATCTGTCCACCTTGGCCTCCCAAAGTGCTGGGATTACAGGTGTGTGCCATCCCCCCACCCCACCTGCCTCCCACCCCGCCTCCCACTGCCAGCAGTCTTGGAATGTTTTAACCAGAAACAAGGAATGCCTTTCCTTTCTTCAAGGCTACTTCTGGGTATTTATTTTTACATTTTATAACTTGGTAGTTTTCTTTGTTAAGTATTCATCTCTAACAAAAACAACAGATTTATCGATTTTATTGAAAAATACTGTATTTTTCATCATAAATGTAGAAGCCATTTTGAACTCTTATTTCAGCCTGAAGCATTAAAGCATATGCAGAATGTTTCTTTTCACTTGTAATCAGGCAACTGAGTAGATGCAAGGTTTAAAGAACTCTTCTTTTTTTTGAAATGGAGTTTCGCTCTTGTTGCCCAGGCTGGAGTGCGGTGGCGTGATCTCGGCTCATTGCAACCTCCGCCTCCCAAGTTCAAGCAATTTTCTCCTGCATCAGCCTCCCAAGTGGCTGGGATTACAGGTGCCTGCCACCACACCCAGCTAACTTTTGTATTTTTAGCAGGGACAGGGTTTCGCCGTGTTGGCCAGGCTGGTCTTGAACTCCTGACCTCAGGTGATCCACCTGCCTTGGCCTCCCAAGGTGCTGGGATTACAGGCATGAGCCTCTGCACCCAGCCACCCTTCTTTTTTCTAATGACTATTTTTTTAGGGGGGAAGGAGTGGGGATACCAGTAGGTATACCAGTAATTAACCACACTTGAAAAACATGGTCATTGCCATCACAGAAACTCCCATATGTAGCTAGTACCTGATTGCAGGGAAGTTAAATAGTAGGACATATCATATTCAAGAACAGATGTTTAGGATTTGCTGGAATCCATTCTTCCTAACCCTTTTAGTACTCCTGAGTGGGTACATTTCCACCAGTGGCCAGATTCTAATTTGCATTGGCATGGAATGTAGAACTGGAATTAATATCTTGGGTAGGTGGCAGCAGCAGCACTCTGCCAGGATATGTTACAGGCTTGCTTTCTTTGTGAACATGTCTTGATGGATAGGATACTGAGAGATTGTTGCAGCATTTGTCTTGCTAGGGAATAAATCTTTTTGTGGCTTTTCGATTTTTAAATTCATTTATGGCTACCCATCACCTAACAAACTCTAGAGATCTGAAAAGAGTATGTAGTTTACAAATGAAAGTAAAGGCGTCTTTTAGATTTTACATCTTTCACTGAGTTTGAATAAACCACCTAGAAAATTTTCCATAAAAGAGAAGTTTTGAGTCATTGTTTAAATGTATTATTATAACATTGGAATTTTAAGAAAAATTTGTTCTACATATTAAATTTAAATTTTAACTGTTAAAGTATGTTATGAAAACCTTAAATTATTAAACGAAAATGACTCTAGGTTCACAAGTTTGGGTAATCCTGACTATACTATGTTTTAATTGAGTAACCTTGGGGAAATGATTAACCCCTCCAAGTTCCTGTTTCTTTCTCTTTAAACAGGGAATGATAGTGTATGTAATACATTATATCGTTGCGATGAGCAAATGAGGTAATTCTTGTCATGCAGTTAGCACAGCGCCCAGCTGTTACAGTCTTCTCCCCCTGGCCTCTAGTACCACTCATTTAATAGCTGTTATCGGCCGGGTGTGGTGGCTCACTCCTGTAATCCCAGCACTTTGGGAGGCTGAGGCCGGCAGATCATTTGAGGTCAGGAGTTCGAGACCAGTTTGACCAACCACGGTGAAACCCCATCTCTACTAAAAAATACAAAAATTAGCCGAGTGTGGTGGCGGGTGCCTGTAATCTCAGCTACTCGGGAGGCTGAGGCAGGAGAATTGCTTGAACCCAGGAGGCAGAGGTTGCAGTGAGCAGAGGTTGCAGTGAGCCAAGATCGTACCACTGCACTCCAGCATGGGTGACAGAGTGTGACTCCCTCTCCAAAAAAAAAAAAGCTGTTATCACCAGTCACACTCTTTGAGTGTTAAAGAATTAAAATAGTATATCTTTTGTTATATTGTATGCACTTAAAACTTGTATTAACTCATGTTCTGTTGGCAAATAGGAAAATGTTAGTATAGAGTGAAAATTGTGTCAGTTCATATGTGGCTTTCCCCAGCAATAAGGGAAACAAGTGTTCTCACAGATAAGGAGAGTTTAAGAAAGAGCAAGTGGAAATTTTTACAAAAGTGCCTTCCTTTGATTTAAGCAGTGGCTGATTTTGTGGTCTGAAAATCTGAGGCACTTTCCACTGTGTTACAACTTTATGGGAAGCTTTGAGTTACAGATGAAGAGACTCTGAAGATATTTCCTTCAGTGTTTGGGGGAAAAATTACATTCTGCATTCGATTTTTAATTTATTTGAAGCTGTAAAAAGGGACCTACAGCTCAGTGGAAGAAGCATGAGTCCAGGGTTTAAGGAGATAAAAGATCAGCGGACCTTTATGCTTGGCGCAAATGGCAATAGAGATTTAACTGTTTTATTATGATTGTTACTTTTTTTTGGAATGCTCTGGTTACCAACTCTCCTAGGTTTTGAGAGTTTTATCCTATTTTTTCATAAACTCTATTACCTTCAATTGGTAGTTTTGCAGAATATGAACTTCTTAACAATGTAGTGGATAGTCGTTAACTTAGAAACACTGACCCGTAAGAATTGTTTAAGCAGGTATTGATTGCCATCATATAAAATAGGAATTTTCAGCCATAGGGCAATTTTGTCCTCCAGGAGAATTAGACAATATGTAGACATTTTAGTTGTCACGTCTGGTAGAGGGGGTAGAGGTGGGAAGGGGCACCTAGTGGAGAGAGAGGCCAGGTATGAAAAATTTATAGGAACATAGTAACTTTTCAATAAATGTTAGCTAATATTTACATAATTATAATACTATGTACATTTTCAAATATAAATGATTATATGGTCTGGTCTATTTCTGTACATTTGATTGTGTTTGTTTGGGGTTTTTTTGTTTTTTTGGTTTTTTTTGAGACGGAGTCTTACTCTGTCACCCAGGCTGGAGTGCAGTGGCACGATCTCGGTTCACTGCAAGCTCCGCCTCCCGGGTTCACGCCATTTTCCTGCCTCAGCCTCCTGAGTAGCTGGGACTACAGGTGCCCACCACCAAGCCCGGCTAATTTTTTTGTATTTTTAGTAGAGACGGGGTTTCAAGGATGGTCTCAATCTCCTGACGTCGTGATCTGCCCGCCTCAGCCTCCCAAAGTGCTGGGATTACAGGCATGAGCCACCGCACCCTTGATTGTGTTTGTTTTTATGGTAGTACATACAACATTGTTTTGATTACTGTTGCCATATATTGTAATCTTATCCAGTTGAGTTAATCCTTTCCCTTATTTTAGAACTATTTAATTTGTAGATATTCAAAACATTTTATATCTACTTCCAGAACTAATTCTTTTGTGGCCATGCATCACCTAATGACAGCAATACATTCTGATAAATGTGTCCTTAGGTGATTTCATTGCTGTGCCAACATCATAGAGCGTAATTCCACAAACCTAGATAGGTGCAGCTTACTAAACACCCAGGCTATATGGTATAGTCTATTGCTCCCAGGCTACAAACCTGTACAGCATGTTACTATACTGAATACTGTAGGGAATTATAACACAATAGTAAGTATTGTGTATCTAAACATATCTAAGTATAGAAAAGGTATTGTAAAAATACAGTAAAAAGATAATAAGTGGTGCACCCACTGTGTAGGGCACTTACTGTGAATGGAGCTTGCAGCACTGGAAGTTGCTTTGGGTGAGTCAGTGAGTGAGTGGTACGTGGATGTGAAGGACTAGGACATTACTGTAGACTTTATAAACACTGTACACTTAGGCTATACTAATTTTATTTAAAAATTATCTTCAGTAATAAATTAGCTTGCTCAACTTTATTTATTTTTTTAACTTTTTGACTCTTCTATAAAAACACTTAAATATAAACACTGTGAGACTCAAAGAAGAGCCAGATGATGGAAGTTTTTAATACTGCCATCCTGAGGTTACCAAAAGAATAGGCAATTGGTGCTGGGCATGGTGGCTCATGCTTGTAATCCCAGTGCTTAGGAATTGGAAGGCTGAGGCTGGCGGATGACTTGAGGTCAGGAATTCGAGACCAGCCTGGCCAACATGGTGAAACTCCATCTCTACTAAAAATACAAAAAATTAGCTGGGCATGGTGGTGCGTGCCTGTAGGCCCAGCTATTTTGGGAGGCTGAGGCCGGAGAATCACATAAGCCCAGGAGATTGAAGCTGCAGTGAGCTGTGGTTGTCCGCCACTGTACTCCAGCCTGGGTGACAGAGCGAGACCTTGTCTCAAAAAAAAAAAAGAGGCTGGGCATGGTGGCTCACTCGTAATCCCAGCACTTTGGGAGGCCGAGTTGGGTGGATCGCCTGAGGTCAGGAGTTCAAGACTAGCCTGGCCAACATGGTGAAACCCCGTCTCAACTAAAAATACAAAAAAATTAGCTGGTCATGGTGGTGGGCACCTGTAATCCCAGCTACTTCGGGAGGCTGAGGCAGGAGAATGACTTGAACCCGGGAGGTGGAAGTTGCAGTGAGCCAAGATCACGGCATTGCACTCCAGGGTGGGCAACAAGAAAAAAAAGAAAAAAAAGAGTAGGGTGAAGGGAGTTAGTGACACAGGTTACAGGAGAGCAGGGTTAGCAAAGGTTGCATGGCTGCCTTGTTACGTGGATGAACCTTCGAGGTAATCTCCAAGCTGCCTTCAGAAAGGTGTAGCTTGGGATGAAGTGTCTATGTCAGATCTTTGGTCTCTTTTTCCTGTAAGTTAGTCTTTCTTAGATTCATTTAAAGGGGCCTCAGAGAAATCCTGTTTGCATTTGCGGTTTACTTCACTAACGTAGATTTCCTCTACATATGCAGATCTCCCCCCATCCCCCCACGTAAAAGACAGCCTTTCAGGGCTGGGTAATCTTGTTGTGTTTATTGATCTCAGAATAGCCATCTGGAAATATACCGAAGAAGTATATTTTGAGGTGAAATATTCTGGTTTTACCTCACTTCTTGATTTTTATTTTAGAAGTAGAGAGTGGGTCTCCCTGTGTTGACCAGGCTGCTCTTAAACTCCTGGCCTCAAATGATCCTCCTACCTTGGCTTCCCAAAGTGCTGGGGTTACAGATGTGAGCCACTGCACCCTGGCCTTGCTTTTTTATTTACTCAAATCATCTGATCTTCTTTTGAAAATTTTGAAATTTCTTTATATAAAATCTCCAATTTTATTTCCTAGTGTTTTATATTTTTATTGTCAAAATGAATGTGACTTTAAAAAATTATAGTAACTTGTTATTCTTTTGATTCATAACTTAATATGTTGGCCAGAACTTTCAGGACAATATTGAGCAAAAATGGTGATAAAAGACATCCTTGTGTGTTCCTGAATTACATATAATATAAAAAGTATAGTACTCTGATGACTGGTGCAAAGAAAACGTTATTGTATTTGGAACAAAGAATGTTTCAAATTGCCTAGGAAAGGGCCTTTAGGAATCCTTAGTTCTTCAGAGTATTTGAACAACACTGTGCTCAAAATTCTTAAGAAGTACTTTGTCAGTATTTTGTAGAGATTTAAAAATATAACTGGAGGGTTAGGGCTAACATTTAAAATAGTTGCTGGGTCTACATTTCTTCACAATTAAACGAAGCAAAAATAGGAAGCTGTATACAATCACACATTTAGTTGGGAAATACATTTGTAGGAATTTAGAGGTTAGGGGAGATCGTCATGGTCTGTGTTTTTTGATGATACGGCACTTGAGCAGATTGGAATTGCCCAGATTATCATACGTGGAGGAGGAAGGGGAGATTATTATAAAGACTGGAATGAACATTAACATGGAATTAATCTTTGTTCAGTTTTTGGCTCATTCCTTTGTTACCAGGGCCATTCCAAAGATTGCTGCTAGCGTAGCTGAAAAAAACTTAATTATAAAAATTCTAAATAAGTTAATTCAAGAGCTTTTTAAAAGTTTTTTCCATGTGAAGAAGTGATCAAACTGATATGAATGTAATTATTTGGTCTGTTCAAAATGGGAATCTCCTCTTAGTTTGAAATGATCGTTTGATATAGAGAATTTCTATATTTATTTTTTGTTCTTGCTATTTTTCTTCTCAGCCTATGGTTGTCTGTGTTTTTGGTGTTAGTTTAAATGCTTTCAAGAGTGTTTTATTATTGTTTACAGTGAATTTATTTAGAATTCTTCTAAGTCTTACTTCTGCTATATGCTGCAGACTGTATGGGTGGAATTAAAATTTGTCAATTTAACTGACTTGAATTTGAAAAATAAACATCAATTGTAGTCTTACGTTCAGGAGTATACAACAGAAGGGGCTTAAGACTGAATAGCAACATCATTTCTTGTGTGTTATTTAAAATGTAGATTTCAAATGTTTTACCACTACTATCTATCCTTATTTAAATTATTTTTAAAAAGACACAGGCAGGTTAATTGTGTCATTCTCCATTCTCAGGTTTCATGTGGCTTGCAACTGTTTGATTTTTAACTGGTCTTTAAAAATGAACCTAATGTTGAGTGTCTTGTCTTGGCATGCTAAGAATTGTAAACAAAACAAAGAATGAAGTCCTTTCAAACCTTAGATCTTTTTGGCCTAGTACTAGCTCTGCTCTACTCTGTTTATGTCATTTTATATTGGGGTTGGCAGTTGGCTCTCTGGTTACCTGCCTTTGAACCAGGGACAGAATGGGCAGGTCTTTAACCTAACAACAGTGGCCTGACTTAAGAGGCTGCAGATGGAATGCCTGCTTCTGTCCTCTCCTTTCCATTGATACCTGCTTGCTCCTATACTAGGCGGCCCATAGCCTGGGTTTGTCAGTCACTGGGGAATGGTTGGCTTCAGAGTATTATGTCAGCCGTTGCAAGCCTAATGTTACAGATGCAGTGATCAAAAGCAAAACAAAGCCAAAGCAGTCCCTATCATTAAAGAGCTTTTATTCTAGTAAGAATCTATAGCTATAAATCAAAATTCCATTGGCTCCCAACTTTTCATTACAATCATTTGTCCTAACATTGACTCTTGTTCAATAGTTATCCCTTTGTGAGACATTCTAAAGCAAAGCATTCAGCATTATTGTCAGTCTTCTCTTGGCCCTTACTTCCTGTTTGTGTATCTTTTTTGTTTTGTTTTGTGACACCCAGGCTGGAATGCCGTGGTATGATTATGGCTCACTACAGCTTCAACCTCCTGGGCTGAAGCAGCCTTTCCACCTCAGCTTCCTGAGTAGTTATAACTACAGGCATATGCCACAACACATGGCTAATTTTATTTATTTTTTGTAGAGTTGGAGTCTCACTGTGTTGCCCAGGTTGGTCTTGAACTTCTGGTCTCAAGTAATCCTCCTGCCCCAGCTTCCCAAAGTGCTGGGATTATAGGTGTGAGCCACCACACCCAGCCTCCTTCTTTCTACTAATGCCAACGCTGTGAGTACAGCTCACAAAACTTGAAATCTACACTCTACATCCAGTCTGTCACTGACATTCCCAAATCTCCTTTCTTTGTGTTCTATTACCAATCTCATAACCATGTTTCAGCCCCTCATTACTTGTGAAGGAACTCTTAAAGGAGGCTGCTATGTCTCTCTCTCTCCTTATCAGGTATCTCTGCAGAGGAAATTATAAACCATGACTAGCTTTGAAAGTTGAAGTTTAGTTCTGCTCTTGTCACTCCCTTACCAGAAAAATCAAGGGCTTCTCATTACCTCCAAATAAAGTCTCTTCGAAAAACATCTATGTAGGATCTTCAGTAATGTGTTCATAACCCACTTCTCTTAGCTATCTTCTCTCATTCCATAAAGTACTCCAGACATTATGAGCTACTTTTCTATGACATTTTAATGCCCCATGACTTTGTTCATGTTCTCATTTCTTTTTTAAAAAATCTTCCCCTGCTGGTGCATTCGTACCCTTTAGTTCTTAGCAGAAGTGCCATCTCCTTCATGATATTGTTTCTTACCTAGCTTGAAATGATTTCTCTACTCTTCAGATTCTTATGCTATAACTGTTAATATGTGTCTCTTATTCTATTTATTTGGTTTATATCATATGTATTTATGCATAGTTTAAACATCTTGTGGAAGTGATGCTTTCTTTCTTTTTTTCTGAGACAAAGTCTTACTCTGTCGCCCAGGTTGGAGTACAGTGGCGCAATCTCAGCTCACTGCAACCTCTACCTTCCGGGTTCAAGCGATTCTCGTGCCTCAACCTCCCGAGTAGCTGGGATTACAGGCGCCTGCTACCACACCCGGCTAATTTTTGTATTTTTAGTAGAGACAGGATTTCTCCATATTGACCAGGCTTGTTTCAAACTTCTGGCCTCAAGTGATCTGTCTGCCTCGGCCTCCCAAAGTGCCGAGATTACAGGTGCAGGCCACCGCACCCAGCCTGTTGCATTTTCATCTTTATGTCTCTTAGCATGGCACTTACTGCCTCTCACATACAGCTACTCCAGAAATAAACATTAAGGACTAAATGAAGATACCTTTCGGTTAGTTTGGTGTCATTATCATCAGTGTTCACTTTAACGAGGTGTTGTACATCTACGTCTGAAAGAATATGCCAAAACTGTGGGCACTTACCTTACACATAAACATTTCTAATGCTATGGTGACAGTTGTCATCAGTGGTATGAGACAGTATGCCTTGTCAGTAACAAGACTCCATTTTATTTATTTTTGGACAGGAGAATCAGATGAGAGGGAACAATCAAAATTGGAAGTTAAAGTTTGGGATCCAAATAGCCCACTTACGGATCGACAGATTGACCAGTTTTTAGTTGTAGCACGGTGAGTATGAGTATGGCATTATTGAGTCAATAAATTTCTTTATATAAAAGAATTTATAGGTATATGTATTTTTATTTCTTTGTATTCTGCTTTTCTCCCACTGATTGTATTATTTTTTTAGTTAGGTAAGAAAGCTTAATACGTTATGCTGCTTCCTAATTTTATTAATTTCTGTTTTAAATGAAAATAGTTGTATTAATTTTTACTGATTAAGAAAACAGAAAAGTATAAAGAAGAAATTCTTTATACCTGAAGAAAATACCTGAAGTCCCACATCCTTAATAAAAAGAGTCATCCTTTTTACTTGACATAGCTTTACTCTAGACATGGATTATTCAGGTATCAATAAGAATGTGCACCTGGAATTCGCTCACCGCATCCATGTGTGGGTAAGGCCTGTTGCTAAGCATAGCACTTTGCCTTGAGAGCTTTCAACCTGGCTACCTGGCTGGCTTCCTTCCTTCCTCCCCTTTTCTTAAGAGAATGAATGGGACAGAATTTTATTTTTATTTAAAAAATGATAACAGTAAAAGTACATCAGCAAGCAATTGATGAATGAACTGAGGTATACTCATATAGTGAAATATTATTTTATGGCAATTGAATGAATTAAAGCTATATGTAGCAAAGAGATAAACATCACAAATAGTGTTGAGGGTATATACCATGTGATCATTTATGTGTATACAGAGTAATTATAAAATGTTTGCTGTGTACAAAACTATTTTATTAGTGGATTTTTAAATACATTAAATGGGTATATATAGTATATATGATCTAGGAGTATATATAGGGAACTCTAACAAATTTATAATATTTATTTTTTAAAAGAATGAACCAAACATGGCAAAATATTACTATGAGTTAGATCTGGACAGTGGATGCAAGGGTCTTCATTATGTTATTGTCTGATTTTGTGTTGAACTTATTTCACAATGCAGAGGAAAAAATAGTCTTGGCTCATCCTTAGATATCACTGTTCATAGAGCCAGTCACCATGGACGATCCCACTTTTTATTGGTGGCCAGGCATTTGGAGTCCAGAGCCCATCACCTAACTACTAAGTGACTGGATGGAGACACTTGATGAGCATTGTAAAGGGGCCAATCTTGTGGCCCCTTGTTGAGTACAGAATATTGGTCTAGAGTCTCCAGACAGGCTGTCTAGATTGGGGATTGGTTAGGAGACATTGCCATTTTCAAATTAGATTTGTATTCTGTATTTTCATTTTTCTGATTGCCAAGGGCTGTATGTTTCCCCTCAAAGCCAGCATGAAGGACACCAAGGAGTTGGTTCCTAGTATGTTTTTGTTTTCAATATTTGTTTTAAAAAATAATCTTGTAGGCTGGGAATGGTGGCTTATGCATGTAACCCCAGCACTTTGGGAGGCCAAGGCAGGAGGATTGTTTGAGTCCAGGAGTTCAAGACAAACCTGGGCAATATAGTAAGACCTCATCTCTTAAAAAAAAAAAAAAAAAAAAGGGCCCGGCACAGTGGCTCACGCCGCCTGTAATCCCAGTGCTTTGGGAGGCCAAGGCAGGCAGATCACCTTAGGTCAGGAGGTCAAGACTAGCCTGGCCAACATGGTGAAACCCCGTCTCTACAAAAATACAAAAAAAATTAGCTGGGCATGATGGTGGGTGCCTGTAATCCCAGCTACTTGGGAGACTGAGGCGGGAAAATTGCTTGAACT
This sequence comes from Homo sapiens, assembly GCF_000001405.40. Taxonomy (NCBI): domain Eukaryota; kingdom Metazoa; phylum Chordata; class Mammalia; order Primates; family Hominidae; genus Homo; species Homo sapiens. Next base: position 42,657,996 of record NC_000002.12, read on the forward strand.
TGCGAGACGGAGGTTGCAGTAAGCCGAGATCGCACCATTGCACTCCAGCCTGGGCGACAGAGGAAGACTCTGTCTCAAAAAAAAAAAAAAAAAAAAAAAAAAAAAGATCTTCTAAATGCAAATTAAGACCACAGTCAAATACCACTGCCAATCCACCAGAATGGTTAAAATTTTAAAGACTGACAGTGCTAAGCATTGATCAAGATTTAGAACCAATACTCTCATATCCTGCTGGTGAGTGTGTAAATTGGTACAGCTCCTTTGGAATACTGTTTGCTGTCATCTAACACAAGTATCTCTTAAGTTTCACTCCTAAATATCTATGCAGCAGAAATGCATATACCTTTGCACCAAAAGATACGTATACAAATGGATTTATGGCACTATTCATAGTAACCCCAAACTGGAAACACATGGAATGTCTGTCAGCAGTAGAGTGGAGGTGGGGATGAGACGTCGTACAACGGAATGTCGCGTAACAGGGAAAATGAGTGAATACAGCTGTAGCTAACAACATGGATGAACCCACAAACGTAATTTTAATCAAAAGAAGCTGGACGTAATATCCAGCTGTGTGATTCTATTTGAGCAAAACTAATCTGTGGTGCTATAATCCAGGGTGGTGGTTCCCTGTGGAAAGGAGCTTGAGGAGCCTCTGGGTTGTGGTCATGTTCTTTCTTGAACTGTATGTTGGTGGCATGCATGTGTTCACTTTACAGTAACTATCTGTTTACTGTGTACTTTTCAACATGTTTGTTGTATTTTAATTAAAATATTTATAAAATTTCTTCCTTAGGGGTCAACCACAATGGCTCATGCCTATAATCCCAAAACTTTGGGAGGCCGAGGCGGGAGGATCACTTGAGCCCAGGAGTTTCAGACCAGCCTGGGCAACATAGGGAGGCCTTGTCTACAGAAAATTTTTTTTAATTAGCCAAAAAAAAAAAAAAAAAATAGCTGGGCGTGGTGGTGCATGCCTATAGTTACAGCTACTTGGGAAGCTGAGGTGGGAAGATTGTTTGAGCCCAGGAAGTTGAGGCTGCAGTGAGCTATGATCATACTATTGCGCTCCAGCCTGGGTGACAGAGTGAGACCCTGTCTCAAAAAATAAAAATAATAAAAATAAAAAATCTCTTCCATAGCAAACATGTTTAAAATACAGGCAGGAAAAGCAGTGAGTCTTCATTTTATGCTGTATGTGTTAAGGTTAGGGTTTCTTACATATTGGAAGGACTTCCAAATCATTAAAATCAGCATTATGGTAATTTCTTTTTAAATGAGATTTTAGTAGAAATCTGTTTCATGTTGAATCCTCACAGGAAGGGGTTGCTACAGTTAATGATATATTGGGGGAAAAATGTAACTGAGTTTTACAATTTGGGCTTAAAAAGTAGTCAAAACTTGCTTTGCTGTAATAGTCAAACTCTGCAGCTGACTTTTTATTTTTTGAGCCAATTTGAATAAATGTTTTACTCCATGACATGTTATAACAGAGCTTCCCTTTCCTTCTTTTTTACCCCCTGCACAGGCTATTTTTTTTCTTGATTTCATGATAACGACCTGTTTATAGTAAATTGGCTTGTCAATTATTATATCTTATAGAGTGAAAATTCTTTTTATTTGATGTTTGATTCTCATTCAGAAACTTGTTTTTGCCTCTTCTTTTACAGTTTTTTATTTACTATCCAAATGTGTTTTTTAAAACGTTAAAAAAACAAACCAAAACAGATACTTAATTCTTCCTTATTGTGTTTGTGGTTTATTCAGTGCTGTTGGGACATTCGCCAGAGCCCTGGATTGCAGCAGTTCTGTGAGGCAGCCTAGTTTGCATATGAGTGCTGCTGCAGCTTCCCGAGACATCACCTTGGTAAGACATGGTTTGAAATTTTGTGGGTATTTATCCTTCTGTTACTTGTTTAATTTTAAAGCCATTGTGGCAATACTGTAGACCGGGAGCTTTTGGGCTCTTAGCCTTCCTGACTGCTAGGTTGATTTGGCTTGGTTACTTGGTTGACTGGGTTATGATAACACTCGTCTGTGAGTTGAGAGTTTTTTGTGTCTGTTCATTAGAAAGAGGGGCTGTTTTTTTTTTTTTCTTTCTTTTTATATTTGGAGATGGAGTCTTGCTCTGTCACCAGGCTGGAGTGCAGTGGCATGATCTCAGCTCACTGCAACCTCCGCCTCCTGGGTTCAAGTGATTCTCGTGCCTCAGCCTCCTGAGTAGTTGGGATTACAGGCACGTGCCACCACACCCAGCTAATTTTTGTATTTTTGGTAGAGACGGGGTTTCACCATGTTGGCCAGGTTGGTCTCAAACTTCTGACCTTGTGATCCACCCGCCTCGGCCTTCCGAAGTGCTGGGATTACAGGCATGAGCCACCACACCCGGCCAGAGGGGCTATTTTCTATATAATTTTATTACATTATAGTTGATATCTTTTAAATCTATTTACTTTTTTCTTTCGGTGATCAAATGAAGCTTCCTATATTCAGTTTAATTTTACCACTAATGGCTGCCGTGGTCAGGCATAGGACCTGGCACTTACTGCTTTCTCTGCACTCCAGAAAAGTGGACCTGTGAGTTTTTTGCTGATTGAAGTTACTTACTGTATTTGATTCCTGTTACCCCTTGTGATAGGCACGGTAGGATGCTCATTTTACACACGAGAAAACTGAGTTTGGTGAGGTTATTTGACCAGTATTCATTACATGTAACAAAAGTTTCAATATTGTTTTCTAATGAAATGGAATACAATATGGGTTTTTAACTTTCTTATCATAATGCCAATTTGACATGCTTTTCATAAAATATTTATTTTGATAATGTAAGAACTCATAGAGGAATACACATCAGATAATAAAAATAAAGACAGGGTCTTACTATGTGATTGCCCAGGCTGGTCTTGAACTCCTCCTGGCTTTAAAGCAGTCCTCTTGCCTTGACTTCCCAAAGTGCTGGGATTACTGTTGTGAGCCACTGCTCCCAGCCTTGTTTCTTATGCATTTTGTGTACTTCTGTACAATTATAGATTGTGACTAAAGCTGTGGAACTCCTTGCCTTTTCCTTTCTCAAAGACTAGAATTGTTCATAGAAGAAAGTTTTGTTTTCTCCATTGGGACATTAATATTTTACCCCAAATTTTAGGATCTCCAAAATGGGTTTGTATTTCAGTTGTTTAGAGCTTCGAGAATATTTTATCAGAGAAGCAAGAGTACAGATGTCATGTTTGCAAGAACTTTAAAAATCAGATATTTCACTTTGGGGGGCTGAGGCCAGTGGATTGCTTGAGCTCAGGAGTTTGATACCAAGGTGGGCAACATAGTGAAACCCCTGTCTCTACAAAAAAATACAAAAATTAGCTGGGTGTGGTGGCATGCGCCTGTCTTCCCAGATACTTGGGAGGCTGAGATGGGGAGATTGCTTGAGCCTGGGAGGAGAGGTTGCAGTGAGCTGAGATCATGCTCATGCCACTTGCCCTCTAGCCTGGGTAACAGAGTGAGACCCTGTCTCAAAAAAAAAAAAAAAAAAAAAAGAAAAAGATATTTATGTGAACCAGAACTATGTGGAATCTAATAACTACCTGTATATATTTTTCCTGGTCAAAGTGATTTTTGCTCAATTTAAAAATTAATGTATATCTGTTATGAAAAATTAAAAAATAGTACAGCAGCAGCCAAAAAAAGCTTTGTTCTCATTACCCAGAGTAGAATGTTCTTACTGTTTTGTTTTCTTTAAGCCCTTTTTTATGCATTATACATAATAATAGCAAATTACAGAATAGTATAGAGGATAATGTAATAAAACTCCATATAAGGGCACCTAAAGCAAATGTTAATATTTTAGTTCTTCAGGTTAAAAAACTTTTTTTTCAACCATTATAGTTAATGTTGAAGTCTCTAATATTCCCTTCTGAGTCCTACTTCCCTTTACCTCTGCCTCCTTTCAAGAGCCAGCCACTGTAACAGATCTGCTATGTATGTAGTCTGTGTTTTTATAGTTGTATTATTTATTATTCCAAAACAACATAAATATTCTTTTGCATATGCTTAAATTTATTGTGTAACACTTGCCATTTGCCCATTATTGAGATCTAGCCGTGTTAATAAATATAAACACAGTTCATTCATTTTAACTGCTTTCTATTATTTCCAATATTCTTGTATATAATACTACACAACATTATTTATGTATTCTGTTACCAGGGAACATCTGGAGTGCTTTCAAAACGTTTTTCTTTTGCTGTGTTACTCATAATGCTATGTTGAAAATTTCACACATATCCCTTTGTGAGCATGTGTGTGAGTTTTTAGGCTATAACTAGAGTTATATTTATATATATAAATTTATATATTTCTTGTGTCTTGTTTTTTCTAATGGTTTTAAAGTTTTCTTCATATTTAGGACTGTAAATCTATATAGAGTTTAATTTTGTGAATAGAGTGAGGTAGGGATCTAATTTTTCTCATATATTAAATTAATTGTCCCAGTACCATTTATTGAATTTGTTTCTTCATGATTTGTAATGCCCCTTTATCATATTTTAGGTTCCTAGATATACTTAGGCCTGTTTATAGACTTTTAATCTATTCTCTTTTGTTTTGTAGATCTATTTTTCCCTGTGCAAGCACCACATTTTAGTACATTTTGATAACTAAGTCTTATGTGAACTTTCTTTTTAACTGTTTTAAATGACCTCCACCGCCCCTATGTTTTCCCTAACTATATTATATAAATACTTTTTTTTTTTTTTTTTGAGACAGAGTCTCGCCCTGTCGCCCAGGCTGGAGTGCAGTGGTGCGATCTCGGCTCACTGCAATCTCCGCTTCCCGGGTTCAAGTGATTCTTCTGCCTCAGCCTCCCGAGTAGCTGGGATTACAGGCGCACGTCACCACACCTAGCTAATTTTTGTATTTTTAGTAGAGACGGGTTTCACCGTGTTGGTCAGGCTGGTCTCGAATTCCTGACCTCGTGATCTGCCCACTTCGGCCTCCCAGAGTTGCTGGGATTACAGGTGTGAGCCACTGTGCCTGGCCGGATAAAAATACCTTTTTAAAAATCACTGCAAGAACTTAGTTTTACCCTAATGTTGCATGATCTTATATAGGTAAACTATTATTTATGTAACCAGTCCCTTGTAGTTTAACACTATTCTTATGAGATACTGCTTCTCAGATTATAACTGGGGATGTGGTCCCTGCTTGAGTGCAAGTGGAAAAGCTTGTTCCTGAGATGGTGGAGAGTTCTCGTGGCAGCTGGGCTGACTTGCCTGAGGTAGAGAGGGCCTGTGTGGGCTCTTGGTTCACAGCTGCAGCAGCTCACTGCTTCCCACTGCTGGTGAATGTGCAGGACAGCAGGTGAATTTCTTTTGGGAGAGGGCAGTTTTAGAGGTTTGGTATTTGTTGTCAGTGAAGGTGATATTTTAAAGAAGCATTTTAAAGAGGATTCTACCTATATACCTTAATTCCTTTAAACATCATTTTATGGCCAAGTACACTGGCTTATGCCTGTAGTCTCAAAACTTTGGGAGGCTGAGGCAGGATGATCACTTGAGGCCAGGAGTCTGAGACAGGCCTAGGCAACATAACAAGACTCTGTCTCTACAAAACAAAACAAAACAAATTAGCCAGGCATGGTGGTGAGTGCTTGTAGTTCCAACTATTCGTGAGGCTGAGGTGGAGGGATCCCTTGAGCCAAGAAGTTCGAGGCTGCAGTGAGCTATGATCATCCCAATGTAGGCAACAGAGTAAGACTCTGTTTCATAAATAATCATTTTCTGTGTAGTTTCTGTAATACTTGCCTCTTATGCTCCTTCTAGGAAGTTACCTTCACACCCTTCAGTGTTTTTTATCTCTCCTGTTTTGTTTCCATTCTGAAGCTTAGTAATTTTGAGGTCCGATTACTTTTGTATCACATATATTCTTTCTAGTTATTTATTACCGTAATTATTTTCTAAAGCAGAAGTAGGCTCAGAGGCTCAGGAAGTGGTGTTTTGTCATGTTTGTATAGCTGGTTTCAGAGATAGGGTTTGGATCTGCACTTGATTCCTCCTGAGTAGTTATCTCTCCTCTGTCAGATTACCTCTTCTATCTACCCTTCCACCTCATTTTTGTTAGAATGACTTGGATTTAAGCGTCATTATTGTCTTTCTTTGAGGCAGCACTGAAGAAGATGTGTTTTTTTGCTTGCAACATTTAAATACCATGGTTTCCTTCTCATACTGCTTTAGGTTCAGCTTTACTTAGACTCTTAGATCCTGAGGCATTTATAAAATTGAGTAGTATGGTTAAAAATTAATTATTAGTATGTTGATAATGAGCTTTGCAGATTGTTTCCCAAAAAGAACATATGAAAGGTTCATTGGTTGTTTTGTACCATTAAATGAAAATGGATTCATCATTCAGTTGAATTTGGGGAGTCACATTCTTTTCTTTGAGTATTTATGGTCCTACTACCCCCTCACCCCGCTTACCTTTTTTTTTTTTTTTTTTTTTTTTTTTTGAGACAGTTTGCTCTGTTGCCCAGGCTGGAGTGCAGTGGCGTGATCTTGGCTCACTGCAACCTCTGCTTCCTGGGTTCAAGTGTTTCTCCTGCTTCAGTCTCCTGCCTCAGCCAGTAGCTGAGATTACAGGCGTCCGCCACCACTGCCGACTAATTACGGTCCTATTCTGATCGCTTTAGCACCTTTTTCTATTAGGTGATCAAACCTTGGATCTGAAGACCTCTTTGAGAGGCCTGCAGAGAGGGCAGGGTTGTGGAACTGCTGAAACCTGATAGCCCTTCCTAAGTGATTTTCTTTGTGACTTTTATTCTGAGGACTTCAATGGGCTGTCAGCATTCCTAATCTGACATCGATTTATCCGAGACAATTTATGCTACTTGTCAAATCACCAATAATGTATTGGGAGCAGGTAATTAAACTGTTTGCACATCAGTAGTTCTCACATCCTCATTTTGAAATCTGTTATGAATATAGTTGAGCTGTGAATTTCAAACACTGCTAATCTAAAATATATAAGATTCATAATTGTTAAAAAACATTGAAGCCATGGGGGCTTTATAGGTTTCACTCGTTTTGTTAAAATATAAGATCTGTTTTATACAATATACAAAGAAGAATATAGGGCTGGGCAGTGTGGCTCACGCCTGTAATCCTAGCACTTTGGGAGGCCAAGGCAGGTGGGTCAAAGGAGTTCGAGACCAGCCTGGGCAACATAGTGAAACCCCATCTCTACTAAAAATACAAAAGTTAGCTGGATGTGGTGGCACGTGCCTGTAGTCCCAGCTACTCGGGAGGCTGAGGCAGGAGAATCGCTTGAATCAGGGAGGTGGAGGTTGCAGTGATCCGAGATTGTGCCACTGCACTTCAGCCTGGGTGACAGAGCAAGTTTCCTCTCAAAAAAAAGAAAGAAAGAAAAAGTAGGTTTACAGTACTTACATTGATCCTTTCTACCATTACCCCCATGGGAACAAAATTCCTTAGAACCAAGGAAATCCTGCATTAGTTAGTAAGTGGCAGTGAGTTAGTTGATGGAAGTTACAGCTTCTGACTCCCTGTTTGGTGGTGTTGGCCAGAGCAAGGTCTGCACTCCCCTGGCTTGAAGAACAGAATGTCATGAGCATTGTGAGGGAGCTGGATCGAAGCCTTAGACCTGCCAAAGTGAAGGTACTGGCTTACACTTTTGCCTGGACTTTGAAGACTAAATAATTTGGGGAGGAGGGGTAAGAATAAAAGAGAAAGAAGTTTTTGAGTTAGTTTGGAGCCTGATGCGCCTTCTAGAGAAGACTGTTTTACAGGTGATGAGCCGAAGGGACAAAACAATACATTGTATAAGGACTGACATTTAATTGGTGACATAATCAGGACTAGAAATTTAGGTTGCCTAATGCCAGGTCTGGTTCTGAGAAAGGCCAAGCTGTGTTGATTTAGGAGGGAGGAAATTGTGTCCTGGAACACCTCTGATTTCTATGTTATATCTGATCTTTTAAAAGTGTAACTGTTGGCCAGGTGCCGTGGCTCACGCCTGTAATCCCAGCACTTTGGGAGGCTGAGGTGGGTGGATCACGAGATCAGGAGATTGAGACCATCCTGGCTAACACGGTGAAACCCCGTCTCTACTAAAAATACAAAAAATTAGCTGGGTGTGGTGGCACGCACCTGTAGTCCCAGCTACTCGGGAGGCTGAGGCAGGAGAATCACTTGAACCCGGGAGGCGGAGGTTGCAGTGAGCCGAGATCGTGCCACTGCACTCCAGCCTGGGTGACAGAGCGAGACTCCATCTGAAAAAAACAAAACAAAACAAAGCGTAACTGTTATTTTATTTTGCTACCTCCTACCTTATATCCTTTTAGTGGCTTTTAATTGCATGTAGGGTTAAAACTTAGATCATTACTGGTACTGTAGTCAACAAAACTATTGAGTTTTGCCTGGCCTCTGTCTATAGCCCCTTTGCCCAAACAGTCCTCCGTCCTCTGGACTCCAGCCAGGCTGTACCCTTCCTTTGGTTTTGTGTCTTGCCACAGGACTTGCATGTTCAGGTCCCTTTCCCTGATGCTCTCATAGCCCCACATAGTTAACTCTGTTTAAAACCACATCTTGGCTAATCCATCACTTTAGGGCAGGTTGCTTTGTGATGTGCTTATGTAGAGAGCCAGGTCTATAATTAAAAACTCATTTTTGTGATTATTTTGTGTCTCTTTCTCTCCTTCCCATTCCCTGCATACCAGCTTGTTATATCCCTTAGTGTAGTTACTGCATCTGTTTTTCCTCACCATTGAATTCCCAGCACCAAGCATAGTGCCTGGCATATATATATAGGTGTTCACTAAATATTTGAGAATGAGTAAATTAGCTTCTTTCTCTGGGACATAGGTTCTTATTGAAATAGGTCATTGCAATATATTGTTTTCTGTTCCTTTGTTTAAGCATTTTAATGTTTTATAGAGAGCGTCTCATCACTAAGAGTGATGTGTATATGTGTATTTGAATTCTAATTTTATTATATCCCCAGAGCTGTACACACACAGTCTGAACACTATGAACTGTAGGAAGTTTTAAGCATACCATGCATGCTGCCACATACCCCTCATCCTTTTTAAGAGATGGGGTCATGCTGTGTTGCCCAGGCCAGATTTGAACTTCTGGGATCAAGCAATCCTCTTGCATCAGCCTCCCGAGGAGTAGCTAGGATTATAGGTGTATGCCAGCATGCCCAGCTGTGATGCACTTAAATTTTGTGTTATATATATTTTATTATAATTTCAAAACTCCTTTTCACCATTTTTAAATGTATTAAGTAGATTCACTCTGGCATTACATACATTCACATTGTTGGTAACTATTACCACCATCCATCTCTGGAACATTTTCATTTTCCCAAACAGAAACCTCATCCCCATTAAACTCTAACTCTCCATCCCCTCTGCCCTCTAGCCACTACCCTTCTACTTTTGTCTCTATGAATTTGACGGCTCTCAGTATCTCATAAGTTTTTCGTTACTGGCTTATTTTCACTTAGCATGTTTTCAAGGTTCATTAATGTTGTACCATGTGTCAGAATTTCCATCATTTAAAAATTGTGTGTGTGTGTGTGTGTGTGTGTGTGTGTGTGTGTGTATAGAGAGAGAAAGAGAGAGAGAGAGAGAGAGAGAGAGAGAGAGAGAGTCAGTCTTGCTCTGTCCCTCAGCCTGGAATGCAGTGGCGTGATCATAGCTCACTGCAGCCTCAAACTCCTGGGCTCAAGTGATCCTCCTACTTGAGCCTACCAAGTATTAATAGCTAGAACTACAGTCATGTGCTACCACTCCCAGCTATTAATGCTAAGTAATAATACATTGTGTGTATATACCACATTATGTTACTTTATCAGTGGCCACTTGAGTTGCCTCTATCTTTTGACTGTTGTGAATAACCCTGCTATGAACAAAGGTGTACAAATGGAGACATTTTTATGATTCTTTCTTTTCCCCCATCAATCTGTAGCTCATGTATGATCCGTGTAGCCCGGCGCAAGTTACTTAACCTACCTTTGTCTGAGTTTCCTCATCAGCAGTGGTAGTAATAATAAAACCTACTTGCTCTGCTTCAGGAAGGTTATGGATGGGCAGGAAGAGGGAGTGCAGCCACACTATGAGTTGCTGATACGTGTAACCAAGGATTCAGAACTCAGTGGAACTGCAGTGGCTCCTCAAAGTAGAGGCAGTTGGGGGCTCCTTTTCTGGGGGCCTTGGATTCTGTGGAGGGCTTAGAGCTGTTTGCAACATTAGCTGCTCAGGTTGGCTGGAAGACAACTGACTGATTTATTCAGCAGTTTATGTACCTTCATTTTAGGTAATGTTTGCAAACATTGGGCCCTTCTGGCTCTTAAGGCCCCATAGAGGCCCTGTCCTTACTGGGAGAGAGCAGGCAATGCCTCAGGGTCCTGAACAAGACCCCTGCGACCTTCCAGCCTCGGAAAAAGGCTGCCGCTGAGTTCCCACATGACATCAACTTGAGGATGAATTGAGATAATTACTTGTAAAGTGTTCAGAGCAGTATCTGGCACAGTGTCAGAGCTCAATAAATATTAGTTGTTATTGTTGAGAAGACGACAATGGTGCATTTGTCTTTTTCACCCATAATCTTTGTTGAGCCTCATTTACTTCTGATTTTATAGCCTTATTGATTGTCTGATAGGTATTTTGTCATGCCGTGTTTATTATTTTAGTAGATTATCAAGTTTAAATATGGTCATTAGGCTATGATTAACCATACCATTTAATATAATTGTTACAAGAAGTCACTGTAAGAGTTAAAAGTGGTGAACAAAGGCTGTTAATATAATCTTTCATATAATCTTCCTCTTAAAACAAGCTATAATTTTTTCAAAAAAAAATTTCCCATCAAGAATAACTTAGAAAAGACAATTTATTTTTTGGATGAGGGAAAGTTGACCTAACAGTATTATTATTCTTCAGATACTAACGCTTTATAAAAATGCTAGCCATCAATCACGTACTTCATTCTGTTTGTTTGTGAGTCTTGTTTCATTTAGGGCCTTGTGGGTACTGGGAATTGAGGATAGTTTAGAAGGCACAACAGAAAATACAGATTTTTTTTTTTTTTTTTTTGGGAGGTAGTCTCGCTCTGTCACCCAGGCTGGAGTGCAGTGGTTAGTTCTTGGCTCACTGCAACCTCCACCTTCTGGGTTCAAGCGATTCTCCTGCCTCAGCCTCCTGAATATCTGGAATTACAAGCACCCCTGCCCCCCTGGCTAATTTTTGTGTTTTTAGCAGAGATGGGCTTTTCACCATGTTTGCCAGGCTGGTCTCAAACTCCTGACCTCAAAGTGATCTGCCCACCTTAGCCTCCCAAAGTGCTGGGATTACAAGCGTGAGCCACTGCGCCTGGCCAGAAAATATTAATCTTTTGATTAGCATTTTAGATATCAACTTATGTCAGAAATCTAGACTTCAAAATGGACATAAAATTGATGGGGATTCGTATAACTTAAAAACCCATGAAAAACTTATCACGGGTACTGTTCATGTTTCCAAGGCTATAAAATTAGAATTAGTACTAATGGACTAGCACTGCAGTAAAAAATAGGAAACACGAAATTTTTCTTCCTGCTAAATACATCATTAAAGCAATAATATTCTACATTACACACACGTCTTTTTGTTGATGATCTATTACAGATGAGTGTGGAGACGCTGCAGACTATCCTAGGAGAATTGTTTGTGTGTTTTATGGTCTATTAATCCATCTTTTCCTTTTAAATTTAAGCTTTAATGAGATTTTTTCTTTTTTGGGGTAAATACAGCCTTTTACTTTTTCTCCTACAAATTTCACATGAATATAGAAACATCAGAAAGGCACTGTAGATTTGAACTTGGGAGAAATAGAAAGAGAATTGTTTTAGCAACTTTGTCTAGGATAATTGGTGGAAAGATTTGTATTTACAAGTATGAGTTAGTGGAAGGCTTGTGGTTATAATTTCTTAAAACTAGCTGGGCATGGTGGCTCATGCCTGTAATCCAGGCGTGAGGCCAAGGCAGGTAGATCATCTGAGGTCAGGAGTTCGAGACCAGCCTGACCAACATGGTGAAACCCCATCTCTACTAAATACAAAGAATTAGCTGGGCGTGGTGGCACATGCCTGTAATCCCAGCGACTTGGGAGGCTGAGGCAGAAGAATCGCTTGAACCCAGGAGGTGCAGGTTGCAGTGAGCTGAGATTGCGCCATTGCACGCCAGCCTGGGCAACAAGAGCTTAACTCCGTGTCAAAAAAAAAAAAAAAATCTTAAAACTTTGTATTTTGTGGTAATACAAAAATAGTGCAAAGACTTCCTGTATTCACTTCATCCAGATTCCCCAGTTGTTACCATCTTTACCACATTTGCTTTATTATTATTATTGTCAAATGACACAAATTAGAGAATTTAGTTTAAGCATCTAATTGGCTTTCATTTATTCTATCTATAAAGTAGAATAAGCATTCTGATGAGCTGAGCAGAGGTGATTGGCTTTATAGACAGGAAAGGGCTGAAGAAAAGCAGAAACAGGGAACAAGAAGCAGATTGGTTGTTTCAAAGTTGCTTTCCTTAAAATAGAGAGGACTTCCTTATGCCTACTCAGGTAAACTGGCCCCTTCTGATTGGTTGCTGTGAATCTTGGCACTAAGCACAAGTGACTGCTTTCTAGTCTGATCTGCTGGGGCCTAGTGCGAGAGCTCAGTCCAAAATAATGGCCTTCCATAAACTCTAACACTATATATATATATATATATAGTTCTTAACAGTTTGAAAGTAAAATTTCAGAATAAATGTCCCTCTACTGCTAAATATTTGAAAGAGTATTTCCTAAAAATAAAAACCAAGGATATTCTCATATATTAGTTCAGTATAATAATCGGACTCAGGAAATTAACCTTGTTACAGTACTGTTGTCTAATCTAGAGACTTTATTCAGATTTGTTAGTTGTCCCAGTAATGTTCTTTATGGCAAAAGAAAAAAAAAATTCTGGCCCAAGATTTCCTTGTGAATCACTTGTGACATTTAGTTGTTGTATCTTCATAGTCTCTTTCATTCCTGAACGATTCGTTAGTCTTTCTTTGTGTTTTATGACCATGGTATTTTGAAGAGTGCAGGCCACTTATTTTGTAGAATGTCCTTCAGTGTGGGTTATGGTTATAATCTGATTTATAATTAGAATAAATTTTTGTTCTACTTAAGTCCATTTTGGTCAGTTATGTCCATCTAGGAGATTATATATTTCCCCCTAAAATTTTCAAATTTAACATTTTTACAGTATTTTTAAACAGTTTGCCGTATTTGTAGTTACAAATAGATTTTCATTCTTGTTATTGTTTATATGTATCACATAACCTTTTTTTCTTGATTGTTTTGCCTGAGGTTTCTTTATTAGTTATCTAAAAGAATGGGAACTTAATTTTGGTAATTAAAAAAAAGTGGTACATATTCTGTTTATTTTTACTCTTATTTTCTTCTGCTTTTCTTTAGGTTTACTCTAATATTCTTTTGCTAGCCTTTTTAAGACCTTTTTAAAATTACTTTTCATGATAAACATACAAGATTGTGAATGTCCCTCTAATTATCACCTTGGCTGTAGCACATATCTTTTAGTATGTAGTATTTTTATTATCATTTGGTTCTAAATATTCACTAATTTGCCTTATAATTTTTAATTTAACTTGTGAGTTAATTTAGAAGGAAGTGTGGCTCATCTACCTATTTTAATTGCCTTTGAGAATGTGGTCAGAGAACATGTGTGCTACCAATTGTTTCCATGTCTTGAGATTTCTGTTAGGGCCTGGAATAGGATCCTCCCCAGTATTTTGCTCCCTGGGCCTTACTGACTCTGGCAACATCAAGGTCTGATGCTTGTCACATCAGACTAGTAAAAAAGGAAACTTGCTGTTTGGCTCGATTTCACCTTATAGCAGTCTAGAAAATACCCTCATGATAAAGGCCAAGATCAGTGTGGAAACTCAACTATTACACTTTTCAGAGGGATCATCACCTCTCCTTGCCTGTATTGGTTCTCCAGTGTCTTCACACAGTTGTTTTCACATATTTGTCTGGTTTGTGCCAAGAATCACAGCCAGGTGGCAATAACTTTTAATTACGCTCATAGTAAGTTTGGAAATGACATCTGGGGACATGGGGTCACTGTGACCTATTGTCCCCTGTAGCTTTCTTGTGATAATAATAAAAAAGAGCCAGGTATGTTGGTGTACACCTGTAATCACAGGTACATGGGAGGCTGAGGTGGGAAGATCACTTAAAAGCTTGAGACCAGGAGTTTGAGACCAGCCTGAGTCAACATAGTAAGTCCTCCTCTCTATTAAAAAAAAAAAAAAATAGGCCAGGTGCAGTGGCTCACGCCTGTAATCCTAGCACTCTGGGAGGCCGAGGCGGGTGGATCACTTGAGGCTAGGAGTTCAAAACCAGCCTGGCTAACATGGTGAAACCCTATCTCTACTAAAAATACAAAAAAATTAGCTGAGTGTAGTGGTGGGCGCCTGTAATCCCAGCTACTTGGGAGGCTGAGGCACGAGAATCTCTTGAGCCTGGGAGGTGGAGATTGCGGTGAGCCGAGATCGTGCCACTGAACTCTAGCCCGGGTCACAGAGCAAGATTCCATCTCCAAAAAAAAAAAAAAAAAAAAAAAAAAAAAGTAATCAAAAGGTGTGAGTACACACAAGAACATGACTCAGGGTGTCTTTTAGGTTGATTTGAGTGGATGCCAGCTAAGCCTTAGCAAGTTTGTTGGATGAGGGGTTTTGTTATATCTATGCATTAAAGCAAAAATTGAAAGTAGATGGCAAACTTTTTTACGTATAAAAAGCTTTTTTTTTTTTTTTTTTGAGACGGAGTCTGCCTCTGTCACCCAGGCTGGAGTGCAATGGTGCAATCTCAGCTCACTGCTACCTCTGCCTCCTGGGTTCACGCGATTCTCCTGCCTCAGCCTCCCAAGTGGCTGGGATTACAGGTGCGCGCCATCATGTCCAGCTAATTTTTGTATTTTTAGTAGAGATGGTGTTTTGCCATGTTGACCAGGCTGGGCTTGAACTCCTGACCTCAAGTGATCCACCCCCGCCCCCCTCTGACCTCCCAAAGTGCTGGGATTACAGGTGTGAGCCACCACACCAGACCAGCATATGAAAAACTTTGTCCATATCAGTTTGAGGTTTACTCATGAGAGTTTATTATAATCTTCCTCTGCTTGGAAAAAAAGAATGTGGTTATTAATTTTTAAATAGATGTGATATTCTGAATGCTGTAATTCCTGTAGGAGGTATATATGTGAAGTTTTTGTGAAATTGTAACTGAACAAATCAGTACAGATGGCCCTCGACTTAGGATGTTCAACTTAACAATTTTTGCTTTGTTTTGTTTTTTACAATGGGTTTATCAGGGTATTAAATGCACTTTTGACTTATGATATTTTCAACCTATGATGAGTTTTTTGGGACGTAGCCATCAGTTGCAGAGCATTTGCAGTTAGTATTGAATATAGTATATGTGTATCAGTTAGCTGTTGTCATAATACTGCATTTTACAGGTTGGGTTCCCTGGAAGCAGATTCTGATAGCAGTTTTTATGTGGGAAATTTATTAGGGATTCCCCTTGGGATCAGCACTTGTGGAATAAAAGGCAAGGAGGCAGGATTGACTAGTGGGAGGAGGTGGATACAATCGAATGAAGGCCTCAGCTGACTCCAGCTGATTTGTGGCATCCCAAATCAGGGTGAAAAGCTGGGCCTTTACAGCCCTGCATTATTGGATGCAGGTTGCTCCAGGAAGAGTGTGTGGACTTTCACGATGAATTGTTCTTGAATTGAAATAATTCCGAAAAAGATCAGCAGCTGAGGACTGTCTTATTCACAACACTTCTGGCAACTAGGTGAATTAAGTTCTTTAGTCTCAAAGAGGAAAACACATCTATTACACTGCCCAAATTTCAGTGGCTTATAACAACAAGCATTGATTTCTGATACACTCATCTGCAGATTGTCTAGGATTCTGCTGAGCTAGACTGGGCTCTGATGTAGGTGCCAAGCTATAGGTTGGGTCCAGATCTGCTCCATGTATTTCTCATCCTCCATGGACAAAACTCAGTAGCACAAGAGGGCAAGGCCAAATGTGCAAACACTTGTCAAGGCTCAGTTATGTCACATATCCTAACATCCTATTTGCCAAGCAAGTCACATGGCCAAGCCCAACATCAGTGGAGTGGAAGAATACTCTCCTGTGGAGGTGTGGGGGAGGGAATGAATATTTGCTGAACAATAGTCCAATCTACCCATAGTGTGGTTCTGCTTAACAAAAGATGAGAATTCCATTGCCAAGATTTACTTGTCAGTCTTTCTCCTAAAATACTTCTTTTTGTCATCTCCATCTGTTATGAATGAGATGAAATGTGACAACACCTTCACTGCTTTTTGGCAGAGAGAACAGCTTGTGCTGGGTTCTTAAGATTTTTACAATTTAGATTTGAATGGATCGTGCAATGTGTATTGGTATCTCTATTGAAAACATGGTATCTTTGCAAAGTATTTAATCTGGAGGGAAGACTTTTAGTTTAGTTTTCTTCTTCTTTTTTTTTTTTTTTTTTTTTGAGACGGAGTCTCACTCCATCACTAGGCTGGAGTGCAGTGGCCCGATCTCAGCTCACTGCAACTGACACTTCCTGAGTTCAAGGGATTCTCCTGCCTCAGCCTCCCGAGTAGCTGGGACTACAGGCGCGTGCCACCATGCCCGGCTAATTTTTGTGTTTTTAGTAGAGGCGAGGTTTCACCATGTTGGCCAGGATGGTCTTGATCTCTTGACCTCGTGATGATCTGCCCGCCTCGGCCTCCCAAAGTGCTGGGATTAGAGGCGTGAGCTACTGCGCCTGGCCTAGTTTTCTTTCTTTCTTTTTTTTTTAATATAGGCACTCAACACTGTGCCCAGCTAATTAAAATTTTTTAATTAATTAAATTTTAAAATTAAAAAATTAATGCTGAGGCTGGTCTCGAACTCCTGCCTTGGCCTCCCAGGGCCTCTCAAAAGCTCTGGGATTACATGCCTGAGCCAATGTACCTGGCCAACTTTTAGCTTTTTAATGCTTAGTTTCAAAATTCCTTTTCTATTTCTTTTCTTTTTTCTTTTTTTTGAGACGAGGTCTCACTCTGTCACCCAGCTGGAGTGCAATGGTGACGTCTCTGCTCACTGCAACAGCCGCCTCCTGAGTTCAAGCGATTCTCCTACCTTAGCCTCCTGAGCAGCTGGGACTACAGGCGCATGCCACCACACCCAGCTAATTTTTGTATTTTTAGTAGAGATGGGCTTTCACTCTGTTGGCCAGGCTGGTCTTAAACTCCTGACCTCGTGGTCCGCCTGCGTTGGCCTCCTAAAGTGCAGGGATTAACAGGTGTGAGCCACCGCACCCAGCCTCAAAATTCTTTTTCTTATTTTAAATTGAGGTATACATATGGTAACATATATAGAGTGCCCTACAGTTTGTTACACAGCTTAAACATTTTTACCTGTGTATATATTCGTGTAACCACCACTAGATGGTAAAGAACATTACCAGTATCTCAACAGCTTCCCTTCTGCTCCTCTCCAGTTAGGAAATCACTATTCTGCCTTCTCTAACAATCAATTAGTTGTTCATTTTTTCAAACTTCTCTGGCATTTCAAATTTGTGTTATCTTACTGATAAACCGCAAGTCGTTGGTCCTGTGTTATGTTACTGTGTCTTTTCCTAGCTTATTTTCTTTATTTACCCTACATTTTCTCTACTGGATTTTGTCTCTTCTGTTATAGAAACTGTATTCATGTAAAGCTCTTAAGGGTAAGATTAGACTACGTAAAGTCCATTCAAAAGAAACTTCTGTGTGTATCAGAAAGATGGGGTTTATATGGACTTCTGGCACATAATATGATTCTCTGGTTTCCTTTATGAAGTTGGTCAGTTTCAAAGGAATTATTTCCTAGTAACTCCACAGTGTACACACCTGATGAGTGTTTACTTTCTACACATTCTGAGCTTTACTCTCCTCTCCTTTGGTCTTTGGTATAAATGTGCGCTTTGGAGGTTTCATATCTCCTGGTGAACAGTAATTCCAATGTATTCTTTCTCATTTGATTTGAGACAGTACAGGAGCTCCTCCTCTGAAAGCAAATGGTTCCTTCAGTGTTCAGGAACACAAACTAAACACTAAAGAGTAGAACCTTTGAAACAATGAATATAATCATTTTTTGTCATAATCACTTGATGAAGGCTAAGATACTACTTCAGTTCTTTGAAGCCCTTTAGGTAACAGCCCATCATCATTTAAAAAAGTATCCATAAGAAAAGCAGTTTCACTCATTTAACATGAACACAAAACTGAAAATCCATTCATGATTTGAGTGGTTGGTGTAGCATCAGCTGAGAAAAATGCACTTAATTCTGTGACTGGTTTCAGAGCCCCTGTTAATTATAAAAATTTCTTTTGGCTAGATGCAGTGGCTCATGCTTGTAATCCCAGCACTTTGGGAGGCCAAGACAGGCAGATCGCTTGAGCCCAGGAGTTGGAGACCAGCCCGGGCAACATGGCAAAACCCTGTCTCTACTGAAAATACAAAAATTAGCTGGGCATTGTGGCATGCACCTGTAGTCCCAGTTACTTGGGAGGCTGAGGTGGGAGGATCATCTGAGCCCAGGAGGCAGATGTTGCAGTGAGCTGAGATCATGCCACTGCACTCCAACCTGGGCAACAGAGTGAGACCCTGTCTCCAAAGAAAAAGATAAATTATTTTTATTTTGAGGAATTTTAGCATTTTTGAGTATCTTTTAATCTTTTAGTTTTTTCATTTATTGTAAATTTAGAAGGTTTAAAAAATAATTGTTTATGGGATTATTAACTGAAAAGGTCCCTAAATGCTATTGATCTTTCTTTTCATTTTCATGAGGTTAGTTATTAAGAAACAATAATTACAGTAGTCTTTCTTTTCCAAGAGAAGATATATTTCAGCACCCTCAGTGGATGCCTGAAGCTGAGGATGGCACTGAATCAGACTTTTTTTTCTCTACACTATACCTAACATAAGGTTTAATTTATAAATTAGGCACAGTAAGAGATCAACAAGAATAATCATAGAACAATTATAAGAATATACCATTATAAAAGATATGTGACTGTGCTTCATATGGTTTGGCTCTGTGTCCCCACCCAAATCTCATCCTGTAACTCAATAATTCCCACGTGTTGTGGGAGGGACCACCGGGGGAGATAATTGAATCATGGGGGCAGGTCTTTCCTGTGCTGTTCTCGTGATAGTGAATAAGTCTCATGAGATCTGATTTATTTTTTTTTTATTTTTTATTTTTTGAGATGGAGTCTCGCTCTGTCACCCAGGCTGGAGTGCAGTGGCGCAATCTTGGCTCACTGCAACTTCCGCCTCCTGGGTTCAAGTGATTCTCCTGCCTCAGCCTACTGAGTAGCTGGGATTACAGGCATGTGCCACCATGCCTGGCTGATTTTTTGTATTTTAGTAGAGATGGGTTTTCGCCGTGTTGTCCAGGGGTGGTCTCAAACTCCTGAGCTCAGGCAGTCCGCCTGCCTCAGCCTCCCAAAGTACTGAGATTACGGGTATGAGCCACCGTACCTCGTCCTGATGGTTTTAAAAATGGGAGTTCCCTGCACAACCTCTTGCTTTTTGCCTGCTGCCATCTATGTAAGACGTGACTTGCTCCTCCTTGCCTTCCACCATGATTATGAGGCCTCCCCAGCCATGTGGAACTGTAAGTCCAATAAACTTCTTTCTTTTGTAAATTTCCCAGTCTCAGGTTTGTCTTGATCAGCAGTGTGAAAACAGACTAATACAGTGCGCTCCCTCCCTGTCTCTCTCACACACACAAATATCTTACTGTACTATATTCATCTATTTTCAGACCACAGTTGGCTACGGGTAACTGAAACCTTGGAAAGTAAAATCATGAATAATGGGGTACATACTACATTGTATGTACAATGGAGTTGATGTAGAAGTGTGTAAAAGTACATACTACAGCTAAACTACACAGTCTGTCTAGTTAGCTTAGCTGCAGAATTTAGCTGATTCTGAAATTTGCAGAGCAAAAGCTGAAGAACCAAGATCAATTCTTGTGTTTTGTTTTTTTTTTTCAACCTCTGCTGCAGAAGAGTGAGAGGAAATTCACTTCAAAGTTGGAAGTCATTGTTCCATGGTTGTGACACATACAACAGAAGACTACACATGGCCAGTGGCCTTTGTTATGATTATAACTCGGAAATTGTTCATGAAATCCCTACTTCTGTTTTGTGAAAGCCAATGATTTATTTTTATTTTTATTTATTTATTTTTTTTGACAGATCCTCACTCTGCCGCCCAGGCTGGAGTGCAGTGGCGTGATCTCGGCTCACTGCTACTTCCACCTCCTGGGTTCAAGTGATTCTCCTGCCTCAGCCTCTTGAGTAGCTGGGATTACAGGTGACTGCCACCACACCCAGCTAATTTTTGTAGAGACAGAGTTTCACCATATTGGCCAGGCTGGTCTCAAACTCCTGACCTCAAGTGATCCGCCTGCATTGGCCTCCCAAAGTGCTGGGATTACAGGTGTGAACCACCGCACCTGGCCCCAATGATTGATTTTAAGTGAGATGTCAACCCTTGTTAAAGCAGTTATTTACTGTACCTAAACATGTTTACATGTTCTAAATACTGCCGTTACTCGGTGAACAAATTCATAATCTATACCCTTATCATTATCTTAGTTAATGCATCACTGTGTGTGTGTGTATACATACATATACATACATATTAATGCATACTTTTGCTAATAATGTTTTCACTTTAATAGATGTTAGTTGACATTTGAGCTCTCCTACAGTCTCCTACCAGATAGTGAGGGATCACTTAAAAGCTATTTTAAAAAAATACAAATAAGAAATGATCTTTCACATACATTCTCATTTGACCCTCACAAGCCTGTGAGGTAGGCAGCATGGATATTCTTCTCATTTAACAAACAAGGAAAGTGAGTCTCAGAGCAGTTAACTGATCTGGTGCCCCAGGTTCTACAATGAGCAAATACCTTGTATTATTATCAGTCTTTGACCTAAAAATTCAGCACCCAACTTCCCCTCATACTTGCCCTACCTACTTCACAGGAATAATGAAGGTAAAATGAATTCTAGGCTAGAAAAATACTTTGAGAGAAACATCACTGCGATTATACTTAGAAAGTATAATTTTCCATGATATTATGGCTCACTCCCCTTCTCATCCCAACTTGTGCGTGAACCCCAGATTTTATATTGCCTTTGTTCTGTGCTCAACTAAGGCGGGGAATAGTGTGATTCTGTTTAAAGTTATATAAGTTACAATTGGGGTAACCGCTATCATTAAGCAAATTGAAAACCGCACAGAAAGGCCAATGTGCAACTAGGCTTCACTAAAGCACAGAGTGAAGCAAGGAAAGATGATCAGATAGGGCATGATAGCCTAGAAGGAAAACGTGGTGTCAGACTTCTGACTGGCACACACAGTTACCTAAGGCACAGTGGTGGCAAAGAAGAGTTATTTGTTCCACATTATATAAACAAGAACAGAAGATTCATGGGAACCCATGCAGAAGCATCTTGTGTCACACAGATCTCTCCAGCTGCCTACAGGAAATATAAACAACAGTGCCTTCTTCATTTTAAAGAATGGCTGTACTCGTTTTTTAAGCTACACCAAGGATTACCTCCATGCTAAACTTCATTGGCAAAAATACAACCAGCACCATAGTTCCTCATCAGACAAACAGAATATCTTTTAAGGTAATGAATTAGATGGCTGTGTGTTGTTTTTTTTTTTCCCCACTTTGGATTCTTTTCTTTAAGACTCAAAACAATTTACATTGAGTATTTATAGATGATTCTAAGTGTGTTTATAATAAAGTGTGGTAGGTGAATGTAACAGATTAAAAGAATTCTGTAGCATCTATCTAGAAAAGATTATATAATATACAAACTATTCAAGTTATACAAAACCATTTTTTAGTGTCTTTTCCACTGAGAAGAATCCTATCTGGCACACTTCACCTGAGGTCGTTCATATTTATCTTTCATTTCTGTCAATTCTAGGGGAAGCACTTCTATTTCTGGATTTTCTGGGATAGCAACTCCTAAGTGATGCTTTAAAAAAACCAAAGCAGTATTAGGTTTCTCTGGTTCTTTTCTAAGGCTACCAGCACCTTCGTTCAGCACCCCAGAGCCCTAAGCACCTCCAGAATTGCTTGATCTTCGAGTTAGCAGTGTTCTAATGGGCCATAGTGACAGCTGCAGTGGCATAGCTGGCACTGAGACCTTGACTGGTGGCGGGCTTGGAGATGCACGACTTAAGCCAAAAGCTAAATTTTTAAGAGTTCTATTGTTGCGTAGAAGTGAAGCTATCCCCATTTGTGAAATTTTTAATAAGTAGCAGGAGATACTTTGCGTAAAAGGTGCAAGACTTTAAGTTTATGTGTTAGAAAGTCTGGGTGGGGGTGAGAGGTGGGGAGAAAAACAGAACTAGTTCTCACTTGGGCAAGAATTAGATCACTTTGCAGCACCCATGTGCTAATCCGCGACATAGGCAGAGATGATTTTGTTGCTTTTCAGTTTTCCTGTTACACATACACATGTATGTACATGCTATGGATGACTCTCTTTAAATCAAAGGTTTTTCAAACCTCGAAGTTTTGGAACCTAGTTATTCATTGTTCTGATTGGAGGAAAATGCCTTCTTTTTTAAAAAATAGGGCATCACTCTGTTGCCCAGGCTGGGGTGCAGTGGCATGATCTCAGCTCACTGCAGCCTCGACCTCCCTGGGCTGAAGTGATTTTCTCATCTCAGACTCCTGAGTAGCTGGGATTACAGGCAATATGCCACCATGCCTGTTTTTTTGTAGAGACGGGGTTTCACTGTGTTGGCCCAGGCTGGTCTCGAAGTCCTGGGCACCAGCATTCTGCCCACCTTGGCCTTCCAAAGTGTGATTATAGGTGTGAGCCACTGTGTCTGGCCAGAAAATGCTTTTTAAGTAAGCTAGACCTAAGTAACTTTTGCAGAAGTAACCTCGGGCCCAGGAGTTCAACGTTATGGTGCTTGTGTGTTCTAATCTATCTTTTCTCCTTTCAAATTGTGCTTCAAATCACTTTCCCTTGAAATATATAAGAAAACCACAGTGGCCTTGCTGTTCCAAGCAAACCTGGCCATCTATTCTTTGTCTTCTACAATCTCAACCAAGTTACCATATTAAGATGAATATGTAATTTTGTTTTGTTTTGCTTTTTCTGTGCAGCATGTTTATAATTTTGTCTTAAATATCATACTCTGCTCCATTGTTTTCTTTCTGTCTTAGTACATGATTCCTCAACCCAATCTGAGAAGATTTTTTTCTCACTCTCTGATACATAATCTGTATATTTTTCCCTGGTCAAGAATGGCTGTGCTGTGTATCTTGCACAAGAGCTGAAGTGACTTTGATATTTTTATTATTTTAATTTTTATTTTTTGAGATAGGCTGTCACTCTGTTATCCAGGCTGGAGTGCAGTGGCACAGTCACAGCTGACTGCAGCCTCAACCTCCTGGGCTCAAGCATTCCTCCCACCCCAGCCTCCCAAGTAGTTGGGACTGTAGGCATGCACAACCAGGCCCAGCTAATTTTTTATTTTTGCAGAGACAGGTCTCACTATGTTGCCCACACTGGTCTTAAAACTCCTGGGCTCAAGTGTTCCTCCCACCTTGGCTTCTCAAAGCGCTGGGATTACAGGCATGAGCCACGATGTGTGGCCTGGCTAGACTTTCAGGGTTACAGTGAGCTATGACCATGCCACAGCACTCCAGCATGGGTAACAGAGCAAGAGCCTATCTCAAAAAAAGAAAGAAAAAAAAAAGGTAAATAAATAAAAAAAAATAAAAATAAAGGAGACCTAATCCTAGTGCTTTGGGAGGCTATAGTGGGAGGATCAGTTGAGCCCAGGAGTTCGAGACCAGCCTGGGCAACATAGCGAGACCCCCATCTCTACATAAAATAAAAAAACTAGTCAGTCATAGTGGCGTATACCTGTGGTCCTAGTTACTCAGGAGGCTGAGGCAGGAGGATTGCTTGAGCCCAGAAGGTTGAGGCTGCTGCTGCACTCTAGCCTGGGAATAGAGGGATACCCTGTGCTCCCCTCCCCCCAAATAAGGGTACAAGTCAGCATTTTCTAAAGCAATAAATGATATCTTAAATAATTATTTAGTAATCTGTTTAAAATTTTGTTAAAAAATAAATAAGTATATTGTTAATTAAGTACATCATATATTTTAGTGTTTATATTCTTACATAATGTAGCATGTTTGCATTTCTGGTTGATATTTTCTGTTCATTTTGTTTCTTTAGTTTCACGCTATGGATACATTGTATAGACACAGCTATGATTTGAGCAGTGCCATTAGTGTCTTAGTACCACTCGGAGGACCTGTTTTATGCAGAGATGAAATGGAGGAATGGTCAGCCTCTGAAGCTAGCTTATTTGAAGAGGCACTGGAAAAATATGGCAAAGACTTCAATGACATACGGCAAGATTTTGTAAGTAGAAAATTATGAGTAAAATAAAATGTTGAGATGGGAATATTCTGTTTTAGAAATCTGGTAAACCTTACAGTATTCATTTAGCAAGTTTGTGAGTTAATAGTTTTTATCTGCTCAAAGTAAAATGAAGGTTAGTCTTGTAAAGGGAGAAACTGATAATTGTTTGGAGGAGTAGTTGTAGTAAGACCCACGCTATCAGGCCGGGTACGGTGGCTCACGTCTGTAATTCCAGGACTTTGGGAGGCCGAGGTGGGTGAATCACAAGGTCAGGAGTTCGAGACCAGCCTGGCCAATGTGGTGAAACCCCATCTCTACTGAAAATATAAAAAACTCGCTGGGCGTGGTGGCACGTGCCTGTAGCCCGAGCTACTGAAGAGGCTGAGAAAGGAGAATCTCTTGAACCCGGAGGTGGAGGTTTCAGTGAGCCGAGATGGCACCACTGCACTGCAGCCTGGGCAACAGAGCAAGACTTGGTGTCAAAAACAAAACAAAACAAAAAAACCCCTACACTATCAGGAAGTCCTGTGTTTTTGGTGTAAACCTTGGCAATATTAATTTATCCTATTTACTTCTCTCTGAGTTCCAAGTTAAAATCTGGTCAGCTTTTCTCACCATTTGCGCTAAACAGTCTGATCTCTGCTTTTAGACTAGTTGCTCTGCTTTAAGCTTTCTGTATTTTTCTAGTTGTCTTACTAATTGTTGAGCCTGAATTTGATCTGGACCCTTAATGAAATGACCTCTGCTAAGCACAGTAGGAGAATTTGTTTTATGGGCTTTTGATCTTTGATTCTTCTTAATGATGTAGAGGAGTGGTCCCCAACCTTTTTGGCACCAAGGACCAGTTTTGTGGAAGACAGTTTTTCCATGGACTGGGGGTGGAAGGAGGTTTCAGGATGATTCAGGTGCATTACGTTTATTGTGCACTTCATTTCTATTATGATTACATTGTCATATATAATAATTATACGACTCACCATAATGGAGAATCAGTGAGACCTCTGAGCTTGTTTTTCTGCAACTAGACAGTCCCATCTGGGGGTAATGGGAGATAGTGATAGATCATTAGGCATTAGATTCTCATAAGAAGTACGCTACCTAGATCCCTCGCATGCACAGTTCACAATAGGGTTCATGCTCCCGTGAGAATCTAATGCCGCTGCTGATCTGACGGGGCAGACCTCAGGGGGCAGTGGGAGTAATGGGGAGTGGCTGTAAATACAGATGAAGCTTCGCTCGCTTGTCCATTCAACACCTGCTGTGCAGCCCAGTTCCTAACCAGTCCATGACCTGGGGGTTGGGGACCCCTGAGTATCCTATGTATATTTTTTATTATTAAAAATTTTTTTTTCCTCAGCTTTACTGAGGTATAATTGACAAGTAGAAAATACATATTTTCAAGGTATACAATATGATGATTTGATATACATATACATTGTGAAATGATTACCACAATTAACACATTCATCACCTCACTTACTTACCCCATGCAGTGGGGTAAATACCAGGTCATCTTGTCTAACTATAGTATGTACTTTGTTTTGTCTTTGTGTTTATGGACTTACTGTCTTTAGTTAAACTTATAGTTCCTTTGAAATGGTGAAATTTCCATTTGAGATTTTCATAAATAGCTTTCTATGAAGTCATCCTTTATTTTAAATTATGAAAATAGAATCTTTATAGACCATTACGTATTTGATGTGAGCCAATAGCCTGCCTTTTATGTTGCTGCATCTTTACTGAATTGTTTGACACAAAGTTATTACTTACCAATATGGGCTGATAAATTAAATCCCAGACATAGTAATTAAAACTGTTAGTGTCACTGATAATTTGTTCTTCTGGCAAAACTTCACTCATACTTAAATTGTTACATGCCATGATTTAAATTTGTAGGATGCGCAGCTGAAAATTTAAAGTGCATTGGTATTTAGCTTCAGATGGTCAGAATAACAATAGAGCAGTGTTATTAATATAACAGTTATTAAAATAATAGAGCTACAGCTACATAGAAATTGCAAAGAATGAAACCTAACAAATCAAATCTACACTGTGAGGCTCAATGAAAATTCAAAAAAGATAAATAAAACCTGCAGATCTGATAAAGGAGTAGGAGTTGAGAAACACTAAAGTGAAAATACTTTTCCCTGCACCAAATGTAATACCTCATTCTGTGCTCTGGTGGTATTTACTGAGTACCTGTAACATGCCAGGCTTGCAAAAAGGCACTAGGCATGCAACAAAAATTGAATGTGGTCCTTACTTCAAGGAATTAGTTCACAGTTAAAATCAAGAGATTGAAATATACACCCAAGTAAAATATAATTAATTACTTCTGTCAGTACATGAACAAGTGTATAGGAATATTAAAAAGGATTCCTTGTGCCAAAGTGGAAGAGGCTTCATGGAGTTAACTGGCATTTTAGCTGGGTCTCTAATAGGTAAAGAGAGAAAAGAGCAGATAGCAAGGTAAACACTGAGGTGTGAAACTTACAGCACTCCTAGGCACTTAACACAGGACTAGAAGATAACTCTGTGAACTGTAGGTTAGTGCAATATACTTGGACATAGAGGCTGGCATCAGTATCAGATAAAATTAACTATGAAAATGAGTATAACAGTAATAATACTGTTAGATGATTTTTTTGTTGTCTTTGTGGTCTAACAAAATTACAGATTTGTAGCATGGTATATATTAGTTTTTCTTTTGTTTTACCCTAGCTTGTTTCAATAGAGAGCTTATTGAAACATTAAGTACTAGGGAAGATGAAGAAATAGACATCAGATCGGGCCTCCAAGATTGTGACTTTGAAAGTCACACTTCAGAATGGGCCAGCTAAGGATACTGCCGTCCCTGCTGTGATTAGAAACCTAACTGCTGAAGTAGGAAGCTAACACTCTACCTGTGGCTCCAACGTGCTGTCTCTCCCTTGAACCCCACCGGCAGGGTGCCTTTAGTACGAAATCCATCTCTCTTGCCAGTGCATCTATGATGCAACCTAAATTATACCCAGAATCTTAGATGCAAGGGAGTCTGGGAAATGTGGATCTTAACCCTGCAGACTGCCCCT
Organism: Homo sapiens; assembly: GCF_000001405.40. NCBI lineage: Eukaryota > Metazoa > Chordata > Mammalia > Primates > Hominidae > Homo > Homo sapiens. Next base: position 42,685,661 of record NC_000002.12, read on the forward strand.
TAGGTCATGGTTGTTGAAGGGCCAGTCTTGAAGGGCCAGTCCATATTAGATTTGTTGTATTTTGGAGACTGGAATTGGCTACTTGTGTCAAACCCTTAAAATAAACAGGATAGAATGTCAGAGTGTTAACTGCTCAAAGGGTTTTGTGTTTTTTGTGGTAGTTGTTGTTTTTAAATTATCATCCCCTCTTTCCCTCCATACTTATAAAAGTAATGTATAAACCTAGTAGAAAATAAAATGCAAATAATGTTATTTCCTATAATGCCATCACAGGTACATGATGTTGTTGGGGCAATGTATTTCTTATGACATGAAGTTTTAAGAAGTGTCCTTTTAGAAACTGTCAGGTAGTGTATGCAACAAAAAGTCTCCTGGGCCTCCTCTGCTTAAATACTAGACCTTTACCTGAGCACTGAGCAACTGTGTCATAATGGTGAGTTTTTTAAAGTGGTTTCATCCCACTACCCAAAAGTGATCATTGATTATTTTCTGCTTCCAGTGTCTTAGTTTTCCCAAGTGAATGCATATATTATTGTGTGTTTGTACATTTAAGAACAAATTGTGTAGAAGGCACATATTTGGGTATAGATATTTTTATATTTAGTGGTTAGCGATAGCTTTATTCCGAAGCTTAATTTAACTTATTTCAAAATTTATACACAGTAAAATTCACTCCTTTACAGTTTTTTACAGTTAAAGTTCTGTGAGTTTTTATAAATGCATACTCCCATAATCATCACCACAGGCTGGGTGTGGTGGGTCACACCTGAAATCTCAGCACTTTGGGAGTCCGAGGCAGGAGGATCACTTGAGCCCAGGAGTTTAAGACCAGCCTGGGCAACATAGTAGACTCTGCCTCTTAAAAAAAAAAAAGAAAGAACAGTCTGGGCATGGTGGCTCATGCCTGTAATCCCAACACTTTGGGAGGCCGAGGCGGGCGGATCACTTGAGGTCATGAGTTCGATACCAGCCTGGCCAACATGGTGAAACCCTGTGTCTACTAAAAATACAAAACAATTAGCTGGGCATGCTAGTGCAGGCCTGTAATGCCAGTTACTCGATAGACTGAGGCAGGAGAATCGCTGGAACCCAGGAAGTGAAGGTTGCAGTGAGCTGAGATCACGCCACTGCACTCCAGCCTGGGTGATGGAGCAAGACTTCATCTCAAAAAAAAAGGGCTGGGCATTGTGGCTCACACTTGTAATCCAAGCACTTAGGGAGGCTGAGATGGGCAGATCACTTGAGGCCAGGAGTTTGAGACCAGGCTGGCCAATATGGTGAAACCCCATCTCTACAAAAAAAAAAAAAATACAAAAATTAGCTGGGCCTGGTGGCACATGCCTATAATACCAGCTACTCAGGAGGCTGAGGCATGAGAATTGCTTGAACCCAGGAGGCAGAGGTTGCAGTGAGCTGAGATCGCGCCACTGCACTCTAGCCTAGGTGTTAGAATGAGACTCTGTCTCCACAAACAAACAAAACTCATCACCACAATCAAGACACAGTACAGTTTCATCACCTCTCCCGTCAAGTCTCCCCTTTTATAGTCAACAATACCCTAGCCCTAATCCTGGCAACCACTGATTTATGCTCCATCCCTATAGTTTTGCCTTTTTCTGAACACTGTGTAAGTAGAATCGTTTAGTAGTATGTAACTTTTTAATTTTGGTTTCTTTTACTTAACATAATGCATCTGGTATTCATCAGTGTTGCTGCATATATCAGTCGTTCATTTTCACTGCCTAGTAGTACTATTCCATTGTGTGAATGTACCACAATCAGTTTATTCATTCACCTGTTGAAGGGAATTTGAATTGTTTCTGATTTTTGATGATTATGGATAAAGTTGCTATAAACATTTTGCATGCTAGTTTTAGTGAACTTAAGTTTTTGTTTCTCTTGGGAAATATGAGCCGTGGGGTTGCTGGGTCTTACATGATAACTATATGTTTAACTTTATAAGAAACTACCTTTGTTAGCTTTATAACATATCAGTGTAGCCAGACTGAACCACATTTTCCAGAATTCCCTTCCCGGTATGTTGCCCTTTAGGGTGGGCCATGAGAAATTCTAGTGCAGGATTTGGAGAGCAGAAATGAAGCACCAGCCATTTTTGTAGCTCATATGTGTTCTCATTTATCTGCTGGCCCAGTTTGTTGGCATGAGGCAATGCTGGGACTGCAGTTGCTCTATTTTCCCTAGGATCCCCCTTCTTCATCTCTGACTCCAGGGCAAGGTGTGTGTTTGTGTGTTTAGCACCATGAAGAAAGCCTTAGTTTCTGCAGAACATGCATACCATCAGGGTCAAAGGCAGTCGCTACTGACAAGGGTTTTTCCCATCCTTGTAGGCTCCAGCTCATGCTGTCGTATTTTGCTAGTTTGAATGCAAATTGATACAGCCACTTGGGAAAACAGTTCGCTTATCAGTCAGGATTCAGTTAGAAAAACAGGACCACTAAAACAGGTGTGGCATGATCATAGCTCACTGCAGCCTCAAACTCCTGGGCCCAGGTGATCCTCCTGGCTTCAGCCTTGCACATAACTGGGACTACAGGCATGTTGTGCCACCATGTCTGGCTAACTTTCTTTTAATTATTATTTTTTGTATAGATGCAGTCTCACCATGCTACCCAGGCTGGTCTCCAACTCCTGGGCTCAAATGATGCTCTTGCCTTGACCTCCCAAGTTGCTGGGATTATAGGCGTGAGCCACTGCACCTGACACATTATTGTCATTTTTTAAAAAAGCCATTATAATAGGTTTGTAGTAGCATTTCATTTCGGTTTTAATTTGCATTTTCCCTGAAGACTAATGATAAGCCTCTTTTCATGTGTTTCATTGCCCATCATATGTCCTTGATGTGAAATGTTTTTCAAAATCTTCTGCCTATTTTAAAAGTGGGCTTCTTTTGTTTGTTGATTTTGAGAGTTTGTTATGTATTTTGCATTCAAGTGTTTTTTTTTTTTTTTTGTAACATTCTCTCCTAATCTGCAGCTTTTATATATCCTCCTTGTACTCTGCAGCCTTGTGAATCTCTTGCAGTAGTTATAGTCGGTTTTTTTGGTAGATTCTTTCTACATAGACAGTCATGCTGTCTGCACATAAAGGGCAGTTTTTGTTTTTATTTCCCATCTGAATGCCTTTTATTTTTATTTATTTATTTATTTTTGCCTTATTGCACTGGCTAGTATTTCCAATACAGTGTTCAAAAGAAGTGATAAGAGCAACATCCTTTTCTTGTTCCTGTTCTTAGGGGAAATTCATTCATTTTTTTACTATTACATGTGAGATCAACTGTAATTTGTTTTGTTTTTGTATGTATCTTTTAATGACGAGCAAGTTCCTCTCTATTCTTATTTTTTGAGAGTTTTTAAAAAAATCATGAATGATGTTGAATTTTGTAAGATGTGTTTTATGCATCAGTTGTGATTATGGAATGTTTATCTCTTTGTCTTTTGATATGGTGAATAACATTGATTAATTTATGATTGTTGAAAACAACCAGTGTACCTGGCTATCAATTCCACTTGGTCATGAGGTTTGTTTTAATACAGTGCTGAATTTGATTTCCCAGTATTTTGTTAAGGATGTTTGCATCTGTGTTTTTGAAATTTATCTTTTTAAATTGATAAACTAAGACTTAATATACATTTATTGTGTGGAACATGTTGTTTTGAATCTATGTTAATGATTAATACAGATCTTTTGATTTCCTTGTAATATTTTTGGTTTTATTTCAGGCTAATGATGGCTACTTAGAATGAGTTGGGAAGTATTCTCTTTTCTGTTTTCTGGAACTGTTTGTGTAGACTTATTCCTTACATGTTTGGTTGAGTTCACTAGTGAAGTCATCTCTTTTTGGAAGGTTTTAAAACTGTGAAGTCATTTTGTTTAATAGATACAGGTCTTTTATTGTTACCTCTTTCTTCTTGAGTGAGTTTGGTAGTTTGTCTTCCAAAGGATTTGTCCCTTTTATCTTAAGTTGTCTAGTTTACTATTATAAAGATGTTTATAATAGGAGTTTAGAATTTTCTCATGTTATCCTTTTATGGTCTGTAGCATGGATCTGTATTTACATCTACTCTCTCGTTCCTGATACTGATAATTTGTGTCTTTTTTTTTTTTTCTTTTTTCTTGATCAGTCTGGCTAGGAGTTTATCAGTGTTGTTGAACTTTGCAAAAAAAAAAAAAATCCAGCTTTTGGTTTGATTGACTTTGCTCTATTTTCTGTTTCAGTGATTTCTGCTTGTGTCTTTATTACTTCTTTCCTTTACATTGCTTTGGACTTAATTGCTTTTTTTTTTTCCTAGTATCTTCTTATTGATTGAAGCTTAGGGCTACAGATGTGGTAACACACCCTGTAGTCCCAGCTACTTGGGAGCTTGGGAAACTGAAGCGAGAGGATCACTTGAGCCTGGGATTTTGAGGCTGCAGCATGCTATGACCATGCCTGTGAATGAATAGCTACTGCACTCCAGCCTGGGCAGCATAGCATTACACTATCTCAGTTAACCAAACAAACAAAAAGATTGAAGCGTGCATCATTAATTTGAAATCTTTCTTCCAATATAAGCACTTAATGGCAGTACAACGATGAATTCAGCTTTGCTTGAAAAACTCTGCTATTACTTAAAACATATTTCATTTTTTATGTAATTCACTTTTATCCTTTTCTTTTTCAGTACTGTAAAGCTGTCTCTTTATCTGATGTACCTAGTTTCTGATGAGAAGTTCCTATGATGTGATGTTTCTTTTTCTTTGTTTTCAAAATTTTCTGTCTACTTTTGGTTTTTAGCATTTTTACTTCCACAGTGTGACTGAGTATGTTCTTCTTTGTAATTATTCTATTTGTAATTCTCTGAGCATCCTAGAGCTGTTTTTTTGTTTTCCATTAATTTTGAGTAATTCTTAGCCATTTTCTTTTTAAACATTTTTTTCTTTTTTTAATTTTTATTTTTAGATTTTTCAGGTTCATAGTAGGTGTATATAATTATGGGGTACATGAAATTTTTTAATTTAATTTTTTTTTTTTTTTTGGAGACAGAGTCTCTATCACCAGGCTGGAGTGCAGTGGCGCAATCTTGGCTCACTGTAGCTTCCGCCTGCCAGGTTCAAGTGATACTTCTGCCTCAGCCTCCCGAGTAGCTGGGACTACAGGCACACGCCACCAACCCCAGCTAATTTTTGTATTTTTATTTTATTTATTTATTTATTTATTTATTTATTTATTTATTGAGACAAAGTCTCACTCTGTTGCCCAAGCTAGAGTGCAGTGGCGCGATCTCTGCTTACTGCAACCTCCACCTCCCAGGTTCAAGTGATTCTCCTGCCTCAGCCTCCCAAGTAGCTGGGACTACAGGTACACACCACCATGCCCAGCTAATTTTCTTATTTTCAGTAGAAATGGGGTTTCACTATGTTGGCCAGGCTGGTCTTGAACTCCTGGCCTCAAGCAATCCGCCCGCCTCGGCCTCCCAAAGTGTTGAGATTACAGGCGCATGCCACCAGCCCCAGCTAATTTTTGTATTTTTAATAGAGACGGGGTTTCACCATGTTGGCCAGGATGGGCTCAATCTCCTGACCTTGTGATCTGCCTGCCTCAGCCTCCCAAAGTGCTAGGATTACAGGCGTGAGCCACCACACCGCGGCCTATGAAATACTTTGATACAGGCATGCAATATGTAGTAATCACCTCTTAGAACATCGTACACACACACACACACATCCCCCCCTAAAACTTAATAATTAGAAAACTGCATTTTAACTTCATTCCCCTTTTTAACTTTTTGTTGATTCTGTGTCTTATTGTACTATGTTTTGGAAAGTTGTAGTTATTTTTTTTTATTAGTTCATCATTTAGGCTTTGTGCTTAAGACAAGTGTAGTTTACATACCACAATTACAGTGTTATAATACTCAATGTGTTCTTCTGTGTACTTACTATTACCAGCAGGTTTTGTACCTTCAGATGATTTCCTCTTGCTCACCAACATCTATTTTTTTCTGATTAAAGAACTCCCTTTAGCACTTCTTATTGGACAGGTCTAGTGTTGATGAAATCCTTCAGCTTTTGTTTGTCAGCAAGTCTTTATTTCTCCATCACGTTTGAAGGACATTTTCACTGGATATACTATTCTTGGGTAAAGGTCTTTTCCTTCAGCACTTTAAATATGTCGTGCCACTCTCTCCTGGCCTGTAAGGTTTCCATTGAGAAGTCTGCTGCCAAACGTATTGGAACTCCATTATAAGTTATTTGTTTTTGCTCTCGTTGCTTTTGAGGTTCTTTCTTTATCTTTGACCTTTGGGAGTTTGATTATAACCTTATTGAATATCGATGTTAATATTTTTCTCCAGGTTTGGGAAATTCCCTAATATTATCCCTTTGAATAATCTTCCTGCCCCTCTTTCTCTACCTCTTCTTTAAGGCCAATAACTCTTAGATTTGCTCTTTCAAGGCTATTTTCTAGATCCTATAAGCAGGCTTCATTGGTTTTATTCTTTGCTTTTTTCTCTCCTCTGACTGGGTGTTTTTCAAATAGCCTGTCTTCAGGCTCAATAATTCTTCCTTCTGCTTAATTAGTTCCACTATTAAGTGACTCTGATGCATTTTTTCAGCATGTTAATTGCATTTTCAACTCTAGAATTTCTGCTTGATTCTTTTTATTTCAGTCTCTGTTAAATTTATCTGACAGAATTCTGAATTCCTTCTGTCTGTCATCTTGAATTTCTTTGAGTTTCCTCAAAACAGCTATCTTGAATTCTTTTTTTTTTTTTTTTTCTTTTGAGACAGAGTCTTGTTCCGTCACCCAGGCTGGAGTGCAATGGCGTGATCTCGGCTCACTGTAACCTCCACCTCCCGGGTTCAAGCAATTCTCGTGCCTCAGCCTCCCAAGTAGCTGCAATTACAGACATGCATCACTATGCCTGGCTAATTTTTTAGTATTTTTAGTAGATACAGGGTTTCACCACGTTGGCCAGGCTAGTCTCGAACTCCTGGCCTTACGTGATCCTCCTGCCACAGCCTCCCAAAGCGCTGGGATTACAGGCATGAGCCACTGTGCCCAGCCAGCTATTTTGAATTCTCTGTCTGAAAGGTCACATGTCTCTGTTTGTCCAGCATTGGTCCCTCCTGACTTACTTACTTTGTTTGGTGAGGTCATATTTTCCTGGATGATGCTTGTAGATGTTCGTTAGTGTCTGAGCATTGAAGAGTTAGGTATTTACTGTAGTCTTCACAGTCTGGGCTTGTTTGTGTCCGTCCTTCTTGAAAAGGCTTTCTAAAGGACTTGGGCCTCAAGCCCAATATCACTGTGGTTTTTGCAGACTCAAAGTACTCCCTTGGTAGTCTCAGATTAGATCTGGAATTCTCTGGATTACCAGACAGACTCTTGTTCTTTTCCCTTTCTCTCAAAGAAACAGTGTCTCTCCCTCTCCCTCTCCCTCTTCCCCTCCCCCTCCTTCCTTCTCTCCCCACACCCCGTCCCTTGAGCTACCTGGAACTGGGGTGTGGTGACACAAGCACTCTTGTGGCTACCACCACTGGGGCTGTGCTGGGTCATGCCTGTCGTAACTGCTCACTTGCTACCACCTATGCTCACTCAAGGCCCTAGGGCTCCACAATCAGCAGGTGGCAAAGTGAGACAGGTTTGTGTCCTTCCCTTCAGGGTAGTGAGTTCCTCCAGGCCCTGGTGAGTCCAGAGATGCTGTCTGAGAACCAGGGATTGGAGTCAAAAACCTTAGAAATTTGCCTGATGTTCTATTCTGCTGTGACTAAGCTGAGACTCAAACCACAATATAAAATCCTTCCTGCTTTTCCTTCCCCTTTCCACAGGCAGAGGGGCCTCCCTGTGGACACCAACACCCAGCCACTATTGGGGGTGGGGGTAGTTCTGCCAGGCCACCTCCAATGTACACTTAAAGCCCATGGGCTCTTCATTTTAGTCAGCTGGTGGGGAATGCTGTCCGGCCTGGGATCACCCTTCAGGGCACTGGGCTCCCCTCTGGCCCAAGGCAGGTCCAGAAATTCTGTTCAGGAACTGAGGCCTGAACCTGGGGACCCCAAAAGCCTGCTTATTCCTCCACCCCACTGTGGCTGAGCAGTAACTAAGGTGCAAAACAACAACATCCCTTTACTTTTCCATCTTTTTAAACAGAAGAAGCCTTTCACCATAGCCACCTATAGCTGGGAATGTGCTTGGGAATGTGCTGGGTCACACTGTAGTCAGCACATCTCAGAGCCCAAGGCCCATGGTGTACTACTACCCAGGCATTGCTGCTGGTTACTCGGGGCCCATGGGCTCTTTAGTCAGCAGCTGATGAATCTTGCAGGGACTGGGTCCTTCCTTTAAGGCAGCAGGTTCTGTTTTGTCCAGATGGTGTCTAGAAATGTGTATAGGAGCTAGGGCCTGGAATGGGGGCCTCACGACTCTGCCTGGTGCCCTGTCCTACTGTGGCTGAGCAGGTATCCAAGATGCAAGACAAAGTCCTCTTTACTCTTCACTTTCCATCCCTTAAGCAGAAGGAAGGAGACATTTTTGCCCCTGAGCTGTACTGCCTAGGTTTGGGAGAGGGGTGGTGCAATCACTCCTTTAGCCACCCTGGGTGTCTCCCTAGGTCACATGCCACCCGAAGTCCTCTGGCTCTGAGTCCAGCCCAGCACTAGGAGTTGTTTAGGAGTTGAAGTCCTTGTGTACCTAGGCTGTCTTCTAAGTTTACGTAGGTCCTCAGAGCACTTCAGCCCATGGTCATGAGGCTTGTTGAGAAACTCAAGTTCCAACCGATAGGATAGGTGATTACCCTCTGGCTAGGTCTGGTACAGATTCTCCCTCCCTACACAGGTACTGGCTGACCCCAGCATGGATTTATTCTCTGCTGTCACAGGGCAGCACTAAGTTCAATGTAAAGTCCCCTGGTCACTGTGATGTTCTTCCTCCATATGCACAGACTCTGGCACTGCAAGGCCTCTGCCAGGGGATGGGAGAGGGGTGGCATCAGCGATTCAAGACGAGACTGTCTCTCCTGTCTTCCTCAATGCCTCTTTCAAGGATTTGCAGAGACCAGATGACACACAGTCATAGCTGCCATCTTTGGAAGCTGAAATAACTCAGGCTAGAGCTGTTTAAATGCCGTTTCTAAAATAGTGCTGCAGCCCCACCTGTAGCTTGAGAACTTTCCCAAGTAAGTCATGAAATGTTATCAGGGCTGGTCACGGTGGCTCATCTGTGATCCTAGGACTTTGGGAGGCTGAGGTGGAAGGATTCCTTGAACCTAGTTGTTCAAGACCAGCCTGGGCAACATAGGGAGACCCCAACTCTACAAAAAATAAAAAAGAATTAGCCGGGCATGGTGTCACACCTATAGTCCCAGCTGAGGAGGCTGAGGCAGGAGGATCACTAGAGCCTGGGAGGTTGAGACTGCAGTGAGCTGTGATCATGCCACTGCACTGCAGCCTGGGTGACCCTGTCTCTTAAATAAAAAGAGAAAGAAATGTTATCAGTTATGATGTTTATAATTTTTAGTAAAATGTATAAACGGAATGAGAAATGGAATGTGTTGTATTCACATTCCATACTGAATATGACTTGTTTGGGGTACCGTTTGCTAAGGATTAATTTTAAATTTCTCAAATATTCTAGAATGAATCTTCCATGTGGATATTTGCTTCATTATTTTAATAAAGAAGTGGTTTTTAAGGGCCAGGTGTGACGGCTCGCACCTGTAATCTCAGCACTTTGGGAGGCCGAGGCGGGCAGATCACCTGAGGTTAGGAGTTCGAGACCAGCCTAACCAACATGGTGAAACCTTGTCTCTACTAAAAATACAAAAAATTAGCTGGGCATGGTGGCATGTGCTTCTAATCCCAGCTGCTTGGGAGGCTAGGCAGAAGAATTGCCTGAACCCAGGAAGCGGAGGTTGCTGTGAGCTGACATCGCGCCACTGCACTTCAGCCTGGGCAACAAAGTGACAGTCTATCTCAAAAAAAAAAAAAAAAAAAAAAAAAAAGAAAGTGGTGGTTTTTAAGGAAAGTACTTTCTATAGTAGCTTATTTTCATCTCATTTTATTATATGTTAACATAGATGATAGGTTGATTTTTTTTTTTTTCAGCTTCCTTGGAAATCATTGACTAGCATCATTGAATATTATTACATGTGGAAAACTACTGACAGATATGTGCAACAGGTAATTTTTTTCATATTGCTACCAATATGGTTGCATTTAAGTGAACTTTCTGTTTATATTTTAATATTTTTTGGCGATGTACTACTTTTAAATTTGTTTACCTTACTTTTTCCAGACTACTTTAAACTACATGATTTCATATCTTTAGGATATTATTTAAGATTTTAATCTTAATATTTCCTTGACTTCGCATGAATTATGATAAATATTTTGGAGAGATACCACTAGAGAGGCATTATTTTCCTTGCATTTGACTGATCCTTCATCTCTTTGTAGTTCATGGCAATGATCAAAGATGTGATGCTAACACAAACCTCTTGAACAAGTTATTTTTATGAAGAATTGAGTATTTAGACCAATGTCATCAGCCATATAATTTGATATGTTTTTAAAGATCTTCTGAAACCTCTTTACATGACATTTGTGTGGCTATACCCCCGAAATCCTTGACCTTAAATGTAGTAGTCTTACTAGTATGGTGTTTTTGTACTGTACATAAGCTTTTTCTTAAATGTAATTTTTGAGTCCTTCTCAAATATCCTAAATTCAGGTAACTCTCAATTACTTATTTTTTGAATAATATTACCTCTGGGGAAAGGCACATTTTCCTGAAATGACATCGGTCAATACTTGTGTTATGTTTGTATAGGCACATATTAGAACTGATAAAAAGGCAAATATATTTAACACAGACATTATTTTTCCTATATATGTAGGTTATACAGTGGCAAGTATTAGATGCTATAAAAAAATTTTATGAATCACTTTTTAAAGTATCATAGTGAGCTGGGTATGGTGGTGTGCACCTATATTCCCAGCATTTTGGGAGGCCGAGGCAGGAGGATTGCTCAGCCCAGGAGTTCATGTCCAGCCTGGGCAACATAACAAGACCCTGTCTCTAAAAATAAATAAAAATTGAAAACAAAAAGTACCATGGTGAATTGCTGAGGTCACAAATAGTGAATAGATACTCATGGCTTGTTGAAAAATTTCCAGTGTCAATATTAATATAATTCAAAAAGTGCTTATTATAAACAACTTAGGTATAGATCAAGACCATGTAGTCTGGGAACCTATTTTATTAAAAAAGAGTCTCTAAAGATGGAGATGATGGTATCAAGGATGGTTGAAAAGTAGATAATATTCTTTCCAAAAACTTCAACCCTGTTCTAAAAGTTTCAAGTTGTCCCCCTAAGTATTTCTGTTTTCTCCTCATTGGGAAAATAGAAGATAGCCTTATATTCTGGTTTGTCTTATTTTTGGACATCAACCATATGTTATTTTACTTCTCTATTTGCCTGCATTATCATGTTGGTCAGTGTCTGGATTTGATTATATAATCTCCTTCCCCTTCCTTTCCCTACATATGGCTCCTAATTGGTTCCAGTAGAATATTATGTGAATTCAGCTGAGGTTTAAAGTTTAATGCATATCTCCCAACATTTGAGAATAAATGCTTATTTAGTTCTACTTAGAATAGCCACAGTCACTCCTCTTGCCTGGATTTTGGAAATAAATAATCTCTGAATATTTTTCTAAAAGCAGAGAGAGAGAGAGAGAGTGAGAGTGTGTGTGTTTTCTTCTAGAGAGGCAAATAAGTAATAAAGTAGAAACTAAATTTGGAAAGTAAAAATGGTTACTTTTTAAAGGTCCTGTTTATTCAGTCATAGAGGAATGGAAAATGGAGTTGCTCATTGCTTTATTTTTTTAAACCTATGCCTAAAATTGTATTAATACTTAAAGTTGTGTACCACAGAATCTAGTGACTTTTCTTAGACATTATTGCAGTTTAAGAATATGCATATGAAAGAAAAGCTTAAGATGGTAATTTTTGAATTACACTTTAATACGTATTTTCTTGTGAATTTTTAAGACAATGAACAGTAGTAATAATTAGGCATTGCATGTAAAATGTTTTATTCATCTTTTGAATTAGAAACGTCTAAAAGCAGCAGAAGCTGAGAGTAAACTGAAACAAGTATATATCCCAACCTAGTAAGTAATTGAAATCTTTTAAAATATTTGTTTTGGTCTTAATTTTATCATTGCAGAATATGTCATTTTGTTCAGTTTCAGCAAAATTTGAACTTTTGTGTATCTTTCTTCTTCTACAAAGCATGAGACTTACTATTATACCACTACAATAAAAAGGAGCCAGTGAGAGAAACCTCAAATAGACTAACCTGAAGACTAGAGGAAGAAATGTACTATGTACTATACTTTTATTAAATCAAAGCTGCAGGGAAAGCGTCAGAAAACCTATGAAATGCTGTATTATTTGAAGCAAATGTGTTTCAGAAAGCTAGCAGCTTTTCAAACTATAGATTTTGTTTGGGTAATGCATACTGCTCTTTGGAGGTTTGTTGTTTATTTGGTTGAGGATTTTACATTGTTTTCTTGGTTCCAATGGCAATTAGAACCATATTTGGTAAATGTGTGATAAATAATGGAGAGGTTTTGATTATTTTGTTTGTCTAGTGTTCTATCATTATTATCCTTTGAATTCAGAAATCATTGTCATCTCAAAATGAATGCCAATTTTTTTTTTTTTTCCATTTGCTTTGTTTTAAATGAGGCTGAGCATGGTAGTTCACGCCTATAATCCCAGCACTTTGGGGAACCTCGTTTCTGCAAAAAATTTAAAAGAAATATAAGGTACTATATCCTTTTGTTGAGATTTTCAGAGTTTGCTTATTCATTTGTTCAGGAAGAATTGGTTTATTAAGCACCACGTGTATATTGTTCTATCCTAGTTTCTTTTAGGATTAAAATGAAATTTATTGCAGAGTTCTGTGTGCTGCTCTAAGCCTTTTCTCCCTCTTCAACCTATTTACAGTTGTTTAATAACTAGCCTTTTGTTTCTGGAATTTTGATATTTTGTATAATACATGTTTTTATATACATAGAGGAGGCCTCATAGACAATGAGTTCTGATCTTTCATATTGATCTTTTACCACAAGACAGATAACTCTGGTTTAATTTTAAGAACATGTAATTTTTACAGAGTCTGTAATTTTTATTAAGAACTGTAATAGCCCATCTGCAGAGTGGTTTCTAATTCCTTCTAAATTATATGTTTTATATGATGAATTTATAAAAGAGCCACTTCTCAAATAAAATACTGTTGCAACTCATGTGTCTTAGATTTTCAAAAGCAAGCATACCAGCTTTCTTATACTTCAAAGTGCTGCCACCATGAAATAATACATTTGGCTAGTTTTGACCAAGTAACCCAGATAATTGTTTCCATTTGGCTTTACGCTGACTTTGGAGTCAATGTAATCTAAGTCAGGGATCAACAAACTATAGTCGCAAGCCAAATCTGACCTACTGCTTGTTTTGTGAATAAAATTTTGCTTGATTTTTGTTTTTGTTTTGTGAGATGAGGTCTTGCTCTGTCACCGTGGTTTAAGTGCAGTGGTGCAGTCATGGCTCACTGCAGCCTCAACCTCCTGGGCTCAAGCGATCCTCCCACCTCAGCCCCCCAGGTAGCTGGGACTATAGGCACGCACCACCACACCCGACTAATTTATTTTTTATAGAGACAGTGTCTCCCTATGTTACCCAGGAGTTCTCATGAACAGTGGAAGTTGATTTTAAACAATGAAGAGTCATGGTCAGATTAGCACTTTAAGATCACCTGCTATATGTTGGGAAATGGTTTGAGAAAGAGGACTAAGAGTAGATGCAGAGGGACCAGTTATGAAGTTCTTGGAGAGGAAAGATAACACTAGCTTGACCTAGAGTAGTAGCTCTGGAAATGGCGTGATATTTGGAGGTGACTGACTTTTATGGCGGGCGGGGGTGTCAAGTGTGAATCCTAGGTTTCTGGCACAGTGAAGTGGGTTGTCATGCTATTTGTTAAGCTCAGAAACTGTGGCAGAGAATCAGGTTAGGTCATTTTGAGTTTATCAGAAAAGAGTTGTTCAATATGCTGTCACCAAATACTGGATGTATTGGTCTTAAACTCAGTGTGGGAAGGTCTGGACTAGAGATACATATTTGAGCTTCATCAGCATACAATAATTATATTTGAAGCCATAGATAAGATTTCTGAGGGATAGCAATAAGAAAAGGGCCTTGACTTAGCCTTGAATAAATCCAGTATTTATAGATCAGATAGAATATGATAGCTAAAATGATAGCTAGGCGAGTATGGTATCACAGAAGCTAAGAGAGGAGTGTGTTTCAGGGAGGGGGAGAGAGATTTAACAGTGTTGGATGCTGGTGGGAAATAGCCAAGTAATTTAATAACATGGAGATCATTGGTGATCTTATTGGCATGGTGAGCACTGCTGCATATGAGCCAAGGAGGTACAAGCAGATGAGAGAGGGAGTGTATAATGTTCTCTAGAGGGCAGGAGGGCTGGAATCTGGAGCACTGATGAGGAGAGTGAGGGAAGGTTTGAGCGTTAGATAAAAGGAAGGGCAATTTCATATAATGTGTCTTTTAAAACATTAAAAATGTTTGCTTACAGTCACAGATTGTCACAATGACATCAATCATTTGTCCCCTGGGAATTAATCTATAGGTACCTGGTTTTGCAGAACATATTTTATGTGATTCACATGTCTATATGCAGTCTTGGCACACTTGTTTTCCTTTTGTGATTATTATCATTAAGACAAGTGATGTATTCAATCAAATAACGTTCTAGATTCAGTTGAGCAATGAACTTTGCTCTCATTCTTTTTTAAGGCAGCTCAACTGTACATTTGTATTAGCTCTTTTTCAACACACATATTTAGCCCTGGGTTAAATATCAGAAATTTTCATATTTCTGGTAAACCTCTGGCCAGTCATTTGACCCCAAGGGGAAATCAGTTCTATCTATATATAGTAGATTTTTAAAAAAAGGAATATTGTATATTATTGAAAATGCTGGTCATTCTAAATCGCCACTTTTCACTTAGTATAGTGTCAGCTGAAAACCGTAAGAAGAGAAACACCTTCCATCTGATTTAAAATATGTTTTAGGGCCAGGTGCAGTGGCTCATGCCTGTAATCCCAGCAACTTGGGAAGCTGAGGCAGGAAGACTGCTTGAAGCCACGAGTTTGAGATCAGTCTGCACAAAATGGACCTCGCCTCTACAAAAAAATTTAAAAATTATCCAGACATGGAGGCAAATGCCTGTAGGCCCAGTTACTTGGGAGGCTGAGGTAGGAGGATTGCTTGAACCTGGGGGTTTGATGCTGCAGTGAGTTGTGATCATGCCACCGCACTCTAGTCTGGGCAACAGAGTGAGACCCTGTCTCTAAAAAAATTAAGTAGATAGATAATAAATAATACATTTTTATAATTATCTATTTTATAACCAGGCATGGTGGCGTGTGACTGTAGTCCCAGCTACTCAGGAGGCTGAGGTGGGAGGATCACCTGAGCCTGAGAGGTTGAGGCTGCAATGGGCCATGGTCATGCCACTGCACTCCAGCCTGGGTGACCCTGCCTCAAAAAAAAAAAAAAAAAAAAATTAAAGGCCAGGCATGGTGGCTCACACCTGTTGAGAAGTTGAGGTGGAATGATCCCTTGAGCCCAGGAACTCAAGACCAGCCTGGGTAACATAGAGTCCCTGTATCTATCAAAAAAAAAAAAAAAAAGTAAATAAAGAGCCAGGCATGGTGGCACACACCTGCAGTCCCAGCTACTTGAGAGGCTGAGGTGGGAGTATCACCTGAGCCCAGGAGGTCAAGACTGCAGTGAGTGGTGATCACACCACTACACACCAGCCTGGGTGACAGAGTGAGACCCTCTCTCAAAAAAAAGAAAAATGTCTTTTAAAAACCAATTTGTTGGCTGGGCACAGTGACTTACGCCTGTAATCCCAGCACTTTGGGAGGCCGAGGTGGGTGGATCACCTGAGGTCAGGAATTTGAGACAAGCCTGGCCAACATGGTGAAACCCCGTCTCTACTAAAAATACAAAAATTAGCTGGGTATGGTGGCGGGAGCCTGTACCAGCTACTTGGGAGGCTGAGGCAGGAGAATCGCTTGAACCTGCCGGGGGCAGAGGTTGCAGTGAGCCGAGATCACGCCACTGCACTCCAGCCTGGGCGAAAGAGTGAAACTCCATCTCAAAAAAAATAAATAGGCTGGGCATGGTGGCTCACGCCTGTAATCCCAGCACTTTGGGAGGCTGAGGTGGGCAGATCACCTGAGGCCAGGAGTTTGAGACCAGCCTGGCCAACATGGTGAAACTCCGTCTCTACTAAAAATGTAAAAATTAGGCAGGCGTGGTGGCAGGCACCTGTAATCCCAGCTCCTCAGGAGGCTGAGGCAGGAGAATCGCTTGAACCTGGGAGGTGGAGGTTGCAGTGAGCCAAGATCGTGCCATTGCACTCCAGCCTGGGTCACAAGAGCGAGACTTTGTCTCAAAAAGTAAATAAATAAATAAAATAAAAATAAAAACCAATTTGTCCTTAACATACATTGCTGACACAGGTTAGAAGTGTAAATAATAGTCCTATTTTATAGAGTAGAGATCTCAGTGCACACAGTGGTTAAATGATTTCTTCTGGTAGCAGTGGTGGGAGTGTCACCTGATAGTTGTAATAACAATACCAAAAGGAAATCTTAAGTAGGGTCTTTGCTGTCAGGCCAGACCAACTTTACAAACCAGGCTTTAACAGGTGAATGGAATTGTGGAAAGTGGAAGACCTTGAGTCAACTCTGACTTCAGCTGTCTTGATAGTTGTGAGGTCTCATTGCATCAGTAGATATGGGAAGACAGCATATAATCTGCATTTAGCCATTCAGCATTCATTTCCGATAAATTATTTACTGATTTATTTTGCTTATTTTCTGTTTAGCAAATAAACACAAAAAGTATCGAGAATGAAAGCTCCTTGAGGTCAGAGACTTATTTATTAGGCACTGAACAAATACATGTTAAATGAATTATGAATTTATTGAGAACGTACTATGTGTACCTGTGCAGTGTTCTGGGGCACGGTTTATAAGCAGCGGGGGAGTTAGCCTACCGTACATGGGGAAAAGTTAGCCTTGTTTGCCTGGGAAATACCAAGATAATCTGGGCTGCACGTTTCTAAGGAATTAATGGCTCTGTTGACTTGGTCTTTGGGAAATTTGCATATACACTTCTGGTAGATGTCTCTTCCCCTCCCTGCTCCCCAAAAGAAAGGGTCTCCCTCTGTTGCCCAGGCTGGAGTGGAGTACAGTGGCATGATCATGGCTCACTGCAGCCTCTAACTCCTGGGCTCAAGTGATCCTCCCACCCTAGCCTTCTGAGTAGCTGGGACTACAGGCGCAGGCACCTATGCCTGGGTAATTTTTATTTTTGTTTTTGTAGAGACAGAGTCTCACTGTGTTGCCCAGGCTGGTCTCCGAACTCCTGGCTTCAAGTCATCCTCCTGCCTCTCTTTTCTCCTCTTAAAAAATACTGTCTTAAAAAGGAAAACCTCCAAATACCTTTACTGGTTTTTAAAATTTCAAATGCTATGTAATATTTCTGATAAAATTTCAGATGTAATCGGAGTGGTCATCATGAGTGGCCAGAAGCTCCTGAAGTCCTAAGTGACCTAGAGATGGGCCCTGTTGACCCCGCAGCATCTGCTAAGCGTGTGGCTTTTGTGCAGCTCCCTGGAGAGCTGGAGTGCAGTAGCCACAGCCCCCACACCAGCAGCAGGAACTGAAGAGTGGCTTTCTCGAAACACAACCATGTTGCCTTTCACTTAATTTGTTTGATCCAAATAATTATTTTCTCGGGAGAATTTATAAACGATAACTTGTCTCTTTCAAAAGTGTCAGAGGGGCCGGGCACGGTGGCTGACGCCTGTAATTCCAGCACTTTGGGAGGCCGAGGCAGGCGGATCACGAGGTCAGGAGATCAAGACCATCTTGGCTAACACGGTGAAACCCCGTCTCTACTAAAAATGCAAAAAGTTAGCCGGGCGTGGCGGCGGGCGCCTGTAATCCCAGCTACTAGGGAGGCTGAGACAGGAGAATTGCTTGAACCCGGGACACGGATGTTGCAGTGAGCCGAGATCGCGCCACTGCACTCCAGCCTGGGCAACAGAGCGAGACTCCGTCTCCAAAAAAAAAAAAAAGTGTCAGAGGATGTTCTAAGGAAATTGTATTCGGACCAGAAAAGAGATGGGACAGTATTTACTTCGTGAATGTCAGGCATAAGCAATTCCTTTTTTCATAGACTCGTTTTATAAAGATGAGTAGTGTGAGTTCATTTAACACCTTGGTTTTACCAGTTTATTTCTTCTTCACACATTTTAAAATGTTTGTTTATGTTTATTAAATAGTGACGGTAAATCAGTAATGATATAGAGCTTTTTGCCTTATTGTACAAATCATTTTATCACCTTATTTTAATTTCATTGAAAGCAGCAAACCAAATCCCAACCAAATATCCACTAGTAATGGGAAGCCTGGTGCTGTGAATGGAGCTGTGGGGACCACGTTCCAGCCTCAGAATCCTCTCTTAGGGAGAGCCTGTGAGAGCTGCTATGGTAAGTTTTCTCTAGCAGGTCAGTTAAGCATCGGGAACTGTTCTGGCTCATGGGGTGTGAGCGTCTGGGAAGTGCCTGAGGTCAGTACGGTGCACCTTGGAAGGCACAAGCATGTCTCCTCTAAATGAGTAGATGCCCCTCCTTACCTTCTGCCTGGAACAGAGGGACTGTTTATTGAATCCTTATTACGTACCACACACTCAAGTTAGGCATTGGATTTCCCTTGATGTACTCTTGTGGTTTGTTGATTATTTCATAGCAGTGTTTGCTGAGTTGTGTTTAGAGTCATATTAGCTTTGCAGAAACTGTGTTCCCATGATGCATACCAAATTCCCCTTTGGAGTTTCTCAGTATACTTTGACAAATTAAAGCTCCAAGTAATTCTGTAGGAAAGGCCTCTGTGTGGATAAGCTGCTGTATATAATCCTCAGACCATGTTCCCTCAGTGCACCAGTTTGGGAAATGCTCTTCTATGATACTTGCTTTTGGCCTCAGGATCCCACTGTATTTATCTATGGTGGCAGTATTTTATTTGCCCAGGGTGTTAAATGGGGTCGGTGAAGTGAACCGTTAGGTAGTTGATAGACTTTGTGTGTTTATTTTAAATCTCAAGCAAGGATACAATATCTTAATGGGGCATTGGTGATATTATCATCTATGTTTCCTTCCAGTTAAGGTAGCCTGGGATGGGAGAGGGAAGGAAACGAATGTTTATTGAAAACCTACTTGGTGCCCCATTTTGGGTTCTTAGTAGCTCTTTGAGAGTACATGTAGCCTACTGCCTTCAGGAAGGATATAGGAATGAGGGACGGCTGTGAGTACGATTACGTCGATTGATCCCAAGGAAGGTGTGAGCCAAGTTGCTGAATTTGTAGAAATGGTACATGGGGATGTGTTTAACCATTTTTTTGCAGCATGGGAGCACAAAGGGAAACAATTTGTGGAAAATTAAGATTTTTTAGGTCAGGCTTTTACATGGATAGCATCATAAATACCTTGAATTGGGAATTCTTGGATTTTGTAGTTCATGTATATTCAAATGAAAATGAAAAGAATCCTGCAGACAAGTGGTAGTGGCTTAACCTGTCTTGATTTTAACTTGCAGGCAGGGTGCTGTGGCTCATGCCTGTAATCCCAGCACTTTGGGAGGCTGAGGCGGGTGAATCACCTGAGGTCAGGAGTTCGAGACCAGCCTGGCCAACATGGTGAAACCCCGTCTCTACTAAAAATACCAAAAATTAGCCAGGCATGGTGGCATGCACCTGTAATCCCAGCTACTCAGGAGGCTGAGGCAGGAGAATAGCTTGAACCCAGGAGGCAGAGGTTGCAGTGAGCTGAGATTGCACCATTGCACTCCAACCTGGGTGACAGAGTGAAACATCGTCTCCCCCCCGCCCCCAAAAAAAAAATTAACTTGCAAACCCCTTTCACACTCACGTATATCCCCTTAAATGATTATTCTGTTATTTTTATGTGTGCATGATGAATAAGCTATTTTTATTTTATAATATTTACTTTAGACTCATGTATTACTAATCTCCATGATAAAATGTTATCTTAATATAAGATTTATCCTTACAGAGAGATAGAACTTGATGTTTTCTATTTATTAAATGATACCTACTTTCCAATTGAATTTGAGTTATTTAAGGAGAAAGGCATTTATTGACAATTATTAAAATGATTTGCATGATTAGTTTACGTAAAATGTATGTTTTAAGTGAAATTTTATATTTAGAATTCAAAATAGATTCATAGCTTAATGTTTAAGATTTTGAAGGGGAACATCACATCTGGGGACTGCTGTGGGGTGGGGGGAGCAGGGAGGGATAGCTT
This sequence comes from Homo sapiens, assembly GCF_000001405.40. Classification (NCBI taxonomy): domain Eukaryota; kingdom Metazoa; phylum Chordata; class Mammalia; order Primates; family Hominidae; genus Homo; species Homo sapiens. Next base: position 42,706,155 of record NC_000002.12, read on the forward strand.
TAGGAGATATACCTAATGCTAAATGACGAGTTAATGGGTGCAGCACCCCAGCATGGCACATGTATACATATGTAACTAACCTGCACATTGTGCACATGTACCCTAAAACTTAAGGTATAATAATAATAAAATAAAAAATTTAAAAAATGACTTATTAGTTCTAAATTATAGGAGGAAAGGCTTTTAGGCTTTCATTTGTATAAAATAGTTATTTGTATAAATGAAAGCCTAAAATAGGCCTAAAATATTTACACAAATAAAAGCCTAAAATAATAATCCTCCAAAAATAATACATGATGGGTGTACAGTGTTATTCCCGATAAACATGAATATAATGGTCTCTGTATTTTCTCTTTTTCACATTGGTTTGTGAAGTGTTAGTTGATATCTTCATGTGCTGTTTGAACATTTGAAGGTAACTTACAGGTCAGAGAAATAATATTTTAAGGCAAACTTACAGAATTACAATTTTTTATGCACCCAATTAACTTATGTCTCAACCTCAATGTTTTCTCTTAAACTTCAGATCTATCACACATGTATTTTAAATGTCACATGTCAGTAATTTAAACTACAAAACAAAAACTAACACAAGCTTACAGTGTTCAGCTAGCTGTTAAATCATCTGAGTTTTAGGCCTCAAGCATGCTGTGATGTCAGCTGCCCATGCTCACTTCATATGGATTTAGAGTCTTGAAAGGGATTCTGTCTGTAAATGGAGATTTTAAAATAAGGATTTTACTTATTGATTAAAATAAAGGAGTGCAAAACAGATACCTGTTTGTTTCTTCTCTCCTCCCCTACTCCCTCCCTCTTCCCCTCCCCAGCCCCCTCCTCCTCCCCGCTTCCCTCTGTAACCCAGGCTGGAATGCAGTGGTGCAATCACAGTGGCCTCAACCTCCCAGGCTCAAGCAGTCCTGCTGCCTCAGTCTCTGTAGTCGCTGGGACTACAGGGGTTCACCACCACACCTGGCTGACAGATACCTGTTTTTATTAGATTCCTGACTTTATCAATGAGACCTCCCTGAGTACCTTAAATAATCCTTGGAGTGGTGTCTGAACCCTGGGTTTGGAAACGTGGATTTAGATTTTTTTTTTTTTTCTTTTGAGATGGAGCCTCACTCTGTCGCCCAGGCTGGAGTGCAGTGGCGTGATCTCAGCTCACTGTAACCTCTGCCTCCCACATTCAAGCAATTCTACTGCCTCAGCCTACCGAGTAGCTAGGACTACAGGTGCGTGCCACCATGCCTGGCTAATTTTTTTTGTGTGTTTTCAGTAGAGACGGGGTTTCACCGTGTTAGCCAGGATGGTCTTGATCTCCTGACCTCATGGTCCGCCTGCCTCAACCTCCCAAAGTGCTGGGATTACAGGCGTGAGCCACCATGTCCGGCCCCAGATTTTTTAAATACTACCATCTTTTTGAGAACCTATTTCCAGAAACATACACAATAGAGTATTTTTAATCAACAAAACAAAAACTCCCTCAGCAGCACAATGCATAATACAGGATGCTTCACTGAATAGCTTTAACAGGGCCACAAGCACTTTATATAATAATGGAAATAAGTTGGTTTAATGAATTCTGAGTATTAAAAAAACAAATATACTATTATGTTTGGCTTGTAAGCTGGGAACAATAACATTGTAAACTAAGCATGACAAGTATTTTTAAAATGTTTGATTATTTTGTGTTGATGTTACAAATTAAATAGCATTTTTCGTTTTTTCTTATTTTTCTTCTGCTTTAGCTACACAGTCTCACCAGTGGTATTCTTGGGGCCCACCTAATATGCAGTGTAGATTATGTGCAATTTGTTGGCTTTATTGGAAAAAATATGGAGGCTTGAAAATGCCCACCCAGTCAGAAGAAGAGAAGTTATCTCCTAGCCCAACTACAGAGGTACAGTAGTCTTTTTAGTGTTGAAAAATGGCATGTTTTTAAATGGGTTGATTATTCCTTGGAAACAGAAGTACAGTATAGGATAATTAAAAAATGAAGAAAGCTACCTTTATAGCTAAACGTAGCACTACAATATTCAGGGTAGGTGTGGAGAGAAGCAGAGAGAAATTAAATTTTATCAGGTATTCAGAATAATGGTCTCAGACAAAAAAACAATGAGTGTGGGAGATGTTAGCATAAGTAGAGAGCTTACAAATTAAATGTTTAATTGCTTTTGAAAACAGTTCGTAACCTTTACATTCTGTTGAAGGCGTGTCTTACTACATAAAGTCATAAATGCAAATTAAGCATTTTTTCTCCCCGTGGCTGTTTTGGAGGGACAAGAAGTATGGACTTAATCTTGAGGTGAACAACAGTTTAAATGTGATTTTGGTAAAATCCTCATAGGCTGAAGATGCCAAACGCCTGTGTTTACCAGTGGGCGACTACCCTTTTTCAGTGCTGACGGGCTTTCAGGACTCCTTAATTTAAAAAAAAGTGTAGTTAACCCCCTTGGCAGTTTCATACCACTTACTGTGAATGTGATTTTGGATTCCTGTATAGCAGTACAGTATTCTCCACAGTTCCCTTCTCTACTCCCCACCTCTTTCCCAAAAGTGCACACTTTAATTCTCTCTTTTAGAGGTAGTGCACCAAGTGACGTTATAGATGCTTCATGAAAGATTTAAAAGTTGCACTTTTCTTTTGAGCATGATGCAAACAGTAACGTGTTTGGGCAAGTTCACTTCCTTGAGTGTTTGTTGTTTTCTGATTTTGCAGGACCCTCGTGTTAGAAGTCACGTGTCCCGCCAGGCCATGCAGGGAATGCCAGTCCGAAACACTGGGAGTCCAAAGTCTGCAGTGAAGACCCGCCAAGCTTTCTTCCTTCATACTACATATTTCACAAAATTTGCTCGTCAGGTCTGCAAAAATACCCTCCGGCTGCGGCAGGCAGCAAGACGGCCGTTTGTTGCTATTAATTATGCTGCCATTAGGGCAGAATGTAAGATGCTTTTAAATTCTTAACCTTATATGTTGTGCTTCTGACCATTTTCTCTTTTCCTCTCTTTCCTTTTTTTTTTGTTTGTTTGTTTGCAATAAACATAAGTTCTTGTGTACAGCCTTTTATTTGGTTTATTTTTTAACATTGTTTTTGTGTGCTGCCATTTGTATCATGCCAACCTGGAAAAAAAAAATCAAAACATTGAAACTTCTGTACTCTTTACCAGAGAGTAGTGCTTAGCAAAAGATTGGTGGGAGGTGATCCTATTCCATGGGGTTTTGTGATGGAATTGCCTGCAGAGCCCTTATTGAAGCACTTTTACCTTTTAGGTAGTGCCACAATGTAACCCCTAAGGATGCTGTTATAATGAGACTCCATAATCGAGACAGTACAGTCCAGTCTTACATGGATTCATTAGGTTTAAATAAAATTTGCCAATTTACACTAATTAGAGACTGTATGTCTTTGTAAACCTCTCGTTTTTCTCATGAACCTTTTACAATTGTCATACAACATTATGGAAATTCACCCTTGATTCATAACAAATACTATATTTATTAGAAGGTCTAGCAAATTACAAGTAAATTTTAAACTCATTTTTGGGTGAGTTTTCTGAAATTACACATTGCATTTTCATAAGCTAGCATCTAAACATATGGTTGAGCAGCCTGTTTGTCCAGTTTGGTTTCCATTTCATGATCATGTATCATATATATCACCACATAACATTTACATGACTTACTACTCTTATTTTCAACACATTTGGTCTTGCTTATCTTTTTTATTTTTATTTTTGTTAGCACAGAGATCATATGTGTCCATGAATTGTGGATCGTTTTGTCATTACCATGTCTCTGACAATATGTGTATAATTAATATGTTAGCTCTGGAGTCACATTCCAGGCTAGCATGTTAGAGCCGTGCAGCTTTTGTTCCTTAAGGGGTGACAAAACTTGCTGTCTGGCCTAACAGATAGGAAATCCTAAAGCCATTCTAAGAAATCTCTTACTATGAAATGTTCCCCTTTGATTTAAAGAGGATATCAATAAAAGGAATGATGACTGAAAAAAACATTTTTTGTTCCTAAAGATAATTTTTAGCAGAATAGTTGAAAGGCTTTAAAACTTAAGTAGCAGCTCTATAAGAAGAAAAATGCTTTGTAAAGGGAGTTGAGGGCTGGGCGCGGTGGCTCATGCTTGTAATCCCAGTACTTTGGGAGGCCGAGGTGGGTGGATCACCTGAGGTCAGGAGTTCGAGACCAGCCTGGTCAACATGGTGAAACTGTCTCTACTAAATATACAAAAATTAGCCAGGCGTGGTGGCAGGCGCCTGTAATCCCAGCTACTCAGGAGGCCAAGGCAGGAGAATTGCTTTAAACCGGGAGGCAGAGGTTGCAGTGAGCTGAGATTGCGCCATTGCGCTCCAGCCTGGGCAATGAGCGAAACTTCATCTCAAAAAAAAAAAAAAAAAAAAAAAAAGAAAGTGGTAGCAATGTCAGAGTCCCACAGAAGGGGGATTACTATATTAGATTCATGTATATTTGAGAGTTTAGGCTTATATTTAGGTTTTGTGCTAGCATTTGAGACCTCATGGACTTACGTTACCACTTTCCCATTTTGGGAATTAGAAATATTTATAGTCTAAATTGTTCAGCTCATTTAAAACACATTTTCATGTAATTTTTTAAATAAAATGGTGAAGACCAGTCACGGTGGCTTACGCCTGTAATCCTAGCACTTTGGGAGGCCGAAGTGGGCAGATCACCTGAGGTCAGGAGTTAGAGACTAGCCTGGCCAACATGGTGAAGCCTCATCTCTACTAAAAATTCAAAAATTAGCCAGGCATGGTGGCACACGCCTGTAATCCCAGCTGCTTGGAAGGCTGAGGCAAGAGAATCACTTGAACCTGGGAGGCAGAGGTTGCAGTGAGCTGAGATCATGCCACCGCACTCCAGCCTGGGCAACACAGACTCCGCATTAAAAAATAAATAAATAAATAAAAATTAAAAAGTAAAACATTTAAGAATGAAAATGAATGAGACTTTTCCATTAAGATTGGTGGGGATCCAGTATCATCTTTGTCCTAGGACTAGAAGAGAAACCATCAGCAACTCAGTTGGCTGCTGAGGAAACTCTGTTTCCCCAGGGCTTGTGTGTTAATTTTCAGTTAATTTGCACATTATCTTTGTTTTGATTATTCTTCAATGAAGTATATTTTTCTTTTATCTCGTTCTAATTTTTTTCTCAATTGACGGGCCATGCTGCTAAAAGGGATCATAATTAAGTTACCTGTATTTTATTTCTATAAGCATATAGATTATAGTAATCATAAAAGAGCAGTCGTCTATCTGGATGAAATTCAGAGAGCATGTATTATTTTGTTTTGTATTTAGCTTCACTGGTCATTGAGTTGTACATAATCAGATTCTTAAATAATTTTACCTTGAGATTTAAAATGACAGTGTTTCAGCAGCCGTCTACTCTTTTTTATTTTTCAGACAAGCAATGAACTTTTCCTAACATCTAATTGATTATGCTATCATCTCTTCTGTTCTTATACTTACCTTGTTACAACCTCTTCAGCAGATGTCTTGATCTTGGCTTGTTAGGGAGATTAGGTATTAATAACCTGATGTCCATAGGCAACCATGTCTGTGATCTACTGGGAGTGTATAGGAGAGAGAGAGAGTGTGTGTGTGTGTGTGTGTGTGTGTGTGTGTTTTCCAGTAAGTTTTCCTTAGTTTCTCAAAGGCAGTGTTAGGCCCTCCTCCACCCTGCAGAAAGTTAAGAATCGCTGTGATGCAATGTGAATGTACTTTCAGATAAGGCTGAAGTGTGTTATTCTCAAAATATTGATGGATCTAGAGTTCTAATTAATGCATTTTAGAATAATTTATTAGTTCTTCCCTGTGAGCTTGAGACTCTTCCAAGCACTGTAGAAGGTGACCTCTTCAATTGCCTCTGGCCACGGCAGCACCATCACAACCAGTGTCATAGTCAGTTTATGGGATGACACTGCATGAAAGTGAAGAAATGGGAGCTTTTTAAACCTGTATTAAAGCAAATAGTAAAAACAAAAAAGGTCTTTGCAGATTCATAAAATATCTCAAAGAATATGTAAAGAGTAATGACATCTGAGGTAAGGGAACCTGGGAGGGTGAGGGAAAGGGGTGGGAAGATTTACCACTCTTCATCCATATATAGGAATTTTTTTTTTTAAGAGACGGTCTTGCTCTGTTGCCCATGCTCTGGAGTGCAGTGGTACCATCATAGCTCAGTGCAGCCTTGAACTCTGGGGCCCAAGTGATCCTCTTGGCTTCTGAGTAGGTGGGACTATGGGTGTGGCCCACCACACCGGTTAATTTATTTTTTTTAGAGATGGGGCCTCACTATGAAAAATTTATTTTTTAAACCAATTTCCCCAAATACCTAAATATTATTTTAATAATCTTTATATGTGAATGTATAAATCCATGCCAAAAGTTACTAACATTGGTAAAATGCCTGAGCCAGTTCTACCACGTAGACAGTACTTATTAAAAATGGATTGGTAGACCAAAATTCTTCATTGCATAAAGAAACGTACTGTTTTCTTAAGATTTGTGGCCCAACAGCAAGGTTATAAAATACCAAGTTTGGACATCGTGCTCACTTCAGCAGCACATATACTAAAAATTGGAATGATATGGGGAAGATAATCATGGCCCTGAGCAAGGATGACAACACAAATTAGTGAAGTGTTCCATATTTTATTAAAAAAAAAAAGTTAGCCGTCTTTTCTTTTTTCCCCCCTGAGGTCCCTCCCCCTAGTAAAAAAGCTATGTATGGGAGAATGACGTTCCTCTGTTATTGTCATCAGACGTTATTTCAGAGACTTCACCAAAGATCTACAGAATCATCCAAACACCTGATGCACACAGGATTATCAGCACTTGAGACTCAGGATCCTCACAGACTGAGGTTAAATAGAAGTAGGTTTACTAGCAACATTCCAAAGATGAAGCTAAAGTGCCTGGAAAAGTAAATCCGGATGATTTGCCTGGCACCTTGGTGGCTTGCAGAGAGAGTGAAGTGGTTTGGGCTGATAACATACCAGACTTGAATGGGCCACAGTATTCCCCTGTATGAGGTTATTTGGGAGGAACCTGAAGCTATTTTTCTGTTTGAAGAAGCTAATTTGGCTTTGGAAGTATCTCAAGACCCCACTTGATGAAAAATGTGTTTTATGAGATTTTTCTAGAGATTTCTCAGCTAAAGTTAATGAGTATAAGCTTTTCTGAAATTTTAAGCTTGAATCATGAGAGAATAGTTGGTTTGCTTCTTTTGGTATTTTTGGTAGAGAGTTTAAATTTTTTTTTTAGTATGTGCCTTGTGGTATAAGCCGAGGGAGTTTAATAAAAATTTGGTTTTGAATGGATACTGAAAAATTTTTCTAAAGGTACAAAAGTGGTTACAAATCTCATCACGTTCCTCATTCCTGATTTACCCCATTCAATGATAACCATTATCATCGTTGCCTTAAGTATCCAAAAAATATTCTGTGCATCTATAAGAGTCTAAGTAGGCTTATTGTTTGTTTCTATATGATATTAACATACTGTCTATATTGCTCTGTCCCTTGCTGCTTTTTACTTAACATACCGTGCCACTGTATTGAAAACTGCCTCCTTTTTGTGTCAGCTGCATAATCTATTTTGTTGTACCATAACTAGTTTCCTATTAAAAGCTTTTAAGTTATTTTCAGTCATTTTCTATCATAAATAATGTTGCAACAAATATCCTTATGCAGATATCATTTCATACTGATGTATAAAATGGGAATGTTCCTTACAAGATAGATCCCTAAAAGTTAAAGTTGGGGCCAAGGAGCATACATTTTGAATTTTGGTGTAGTTTTATTGCCCGTAGAAAAACTGCAATTCACAGTCCCACTCACAACATCTAGACAATTCCTATTTCTCTAGAACTTTGCTGGCAGTGTTACCCATCTTTGAAACCCGTGACTAATTGACAGATGACAAGTTATATTAGCTTGCATTTCTCATTTTGAATGAGATAGAAATCTTTGCCTATATTTGAAAACCATTTATCTCCTTTTCTGTCAACTGTTTTTGCCCGTGGCCTGTTTTCTATTGGCAGTCTTACTGACTTGTGGGAACTTTTTATATTTTAACAAAGTTATCTCTTAATCTGTGATATGTGATACAAATAGTTCCCCCGTTTTCTCTTTGACTTTATGGTGTATTTGCCAAGCAGATTTTTTTTTAAAAAAAGACATATTAATAGTTGAATTTATAAAAAAAAAATCATGAGTTTTGTGGCTTCTTTAAAAATACCTTTCCAGTTCTAGAAGCAAACTCTACTGATAGTTTTATCTTGACAGGGTTCTTGAATGCACATGTGGGATGTTTTTGTGAATTCTGTGTGTATATTGCAGGGTTTCCATCTCACTGCCCCCAGTATTTCCAAAACACTGTAGAAAAATAACCATGAGTTTCAACAAAAGTAATAGTGTATTTCTAGGTTAACCCCAAGGAAATATAGATCATCCTCTAGGACAGTGGTCCCCAACCTTTTTGGTACCAGGGACAGGTTTCATGGAAGACAATTTTTTCATGAACTGGGTGGTGTGGGCCGTGATGGTTTTGGGATGAAACTGTTCCACCTCAGATCATCAGGCATTAGTTAGAGGCTCATAAGGAGCAGGCAATCTAGATCCCTCGCATAGCGGTTCACAATAGGGTTAGCGCTCCTATGAGAATCTAATGCTGCCACTGACCTGACAGGAGGCGGAGCTCAGGCGGTAATGCTCACCTGCTGTCCGGCCCAGTTCCTAACTTGCTACCACTAGTACTGGTCTGAGGCCTGGGGCTTGGGGACCCCTGCTCTAGGAAACTAAAGACATGTTCCTTGTGACCAGTCAAGTGACTTGAGTGAGATATAGATGTTCTCTCTGGACAGGTTTTGATTCCTTCTGGGTTCTTTGGGGATTTCTCAGATTGCTTTCATTATCTGTGACTTCAAATGCATATCTCCCTGTTGAAGTGGAGTTAGGTGAGTAATTTGGGAGCAAGGACTGTCTGACAAGTGGCAGCATTGTTGGCCTGGCATTGAGTGCAGCCCAGCATTCCTTCTAACCAACTCAAGTGTGGGCCAGACAATCCCACCTATGGCTATTTCCTCAGGGCCAACTGTATTTTTCCTACTGAATGGCAACAACTTTTCTTATGTTAAAGAGTGACTAAGGCAGTCCTAGAATCTTTTCACTCTAATTTTTTCACAGTTGAGACATAATTCTTGCCACCAACTACTTTTTTTTTTTTTTTTTTTTTTTTGAGACAGGGTCTTGCTCTGTCACCCAGCCTGGAGTGCAGTAGCGTGATCATGGCTCACTATAGCCTCTAACTCAAGGGATCCTCCCTCCTCCTCCTCCTGAGTAGCTGGAACTTTCTATAAAATATTATGAGGATTAGTGAAATATGCTTCTTTCTAAAAAGCTTTGATCTCCCATTCAGAGGTACTCTGTAATGCAAATTGTCACTTAGAACATCATATAATTAATCCTCCTATTTTTAATGAGAAATTAGAAGCAAATATAGTTTAAAATGAAGTATCTTTGGGTATTGTGTTGGTGACCTCTTTGATGGATTTGTTGATGATAGCCATCAATGTCTATCAATTGCTGCCATATTGGCAGTTTTCCTTTGGGTCATCTAGACTGGAATAAAAGGCAAATCTTATTACTAGTAATATGGTGATTGCCTTTGTCAAGACATTGAGGAAATAACCAAGATGACTCATTCCAGCTTTATTAATAGAGAAGAAAGAAAAATTTATCTTGTCCTTATCCCAAATATAACTTGAATTTCAGGTGAATCAGTAATATTAGCAAGAAATTATGTAGTGTTAACTCAATGGTTTGGCAGGCGTTTGATCCTTACAGGCTTTGGGTTGCTTCCTAGTGTTTATTTAGATTACTCTTCCACAAGATGTTTATTATATTTCTGCCTGTATCTTCACTATTATTCAACAATAGGTGAAAAGCTTCATAGCTTAGTAATTTATTTTTTCTCCTGGGAATCACCTGAATAGGAAGAAAAGAAATTGGATCATTTATACTTGTCAGTGGTTGCATAATAATTAGCCAATATCTGGGTGCTATATTTTCAGATTCCTGATTGTTTTAGGCTCTCTGCAGTATGTGCTTTGTCTATTTTAATGTTTTTAAACTTATTTTTTAACTTTTAAAAAAGTTCAGGGGTACATGTGCAGGTTTGTTATATAGGTAAACTTGTGTCAAGGGGGTTTGTTGTACAGATTATTTCATCATCCAATTATTAAGCCTAGTACCCATTAGTTATTCTTCCTGATACTGTCCCTCCTCTCACCCTCCACCCTCCAATAGGCCCCAGTGTCTGTTGCTCCCCTCTGTGCATCCATGAGTTCTCATCATTTAGCTCCGACTCATAAGTGAGAACATGCAGTATTTGGTTTTCTGTTACTGTATTAGTTTGCTAAGGATAGTGGCCTCCAGCTCCATCCATGTTCCTGCAAAGGACATGATATCGTTCTTTTCTTCTGGCTGCATAGTGTTTCATGGTGTACATGTACCACATTTTCTTTATTCAGTCTATCATTGGTGGATATTTAGGTTGATTCCATGTCTTTACTATTGTGAATAGTGTTGCAATGAACATATACATGCATGTGTCTTTATGATAGAATGATTTATATTCCTTTGGGTATATATCCAGTAGTGGGATTGTTGGGTGATAGTTCTGTTTCTAGCTCTTTGAGGAATCACCACACTGTTTTCCACATGGTTGAACTAATTTGTATTCCCATCAACCGTGTATAGCATTTCTTTTTCTCTTCAACCTGTTTTCTCTGCCAGCATCTGTTATTTTTTGACTTAATGATAGCAATTCTGACTAGTGTGAAATAGTATCTCATTGTGTTTTTTTTAACCACAATGAGAATTTTTAAAAAATGCTCTTTTGCCATCTTCGGTTTAATAATTTTCAGAAAAGAGTTTTTTTTTTTTTTTTTTTTTTTTTGGTGAAAGGGCTAGAACTCATAAAAACCTAACTTTTATTTAAAATTATTTGAAGTTCCAGACTTGCACATTTTAACTCTAGTAGAGCAAATAATTCCTGTGGGTATCAAAGGAAATTCCCTGTGTGTATGCCCAGAAATGTCTCAGTTTGCAAAAGGAAAAATTCTTCAGTAAATCAGAAAACCTGTAGGACATTTTTGTCAAATATTTGAAGGTGGGAAAAAGGCATAAACATAGTAGAATCATACAGGTTAAAGTGATTCTGTTAATATTTATGACAGTATTAAAGTGTTTCAATACACGTTTTGTTTTGTCCCTTTGTCTTGCACATCTACTCTTCCAAATGACAGCTAATTAAAACACAGAATGTTTGTATTGTATGCTTTATTTTTGTCTGAAAATGTCTTACAATAGGGTATAATGAGCATCATGAAAACTGATTAGCTAATACCCATCCTCACTGTTTCTTACTGTTCTGACTGTTGGATGAAATACTCTGTTTGCACACAGGTAGCCTTTTAAATCTCAGCACCAATGAATGACATAGCTTGATCAGGGTTAGAAAACCAGTGATAAAACCAAATGGCCCATTATTACTCTTGCAAATCCCTAGCCTAACAATTGAGTTTTGCCAAGATAGGTTAAGCCTTCACAGTGGGGAAGGGATGGCCAAGTATGGCCCATCTAGGTCAGAGATGGCGAAGTTTGTTGCCTTTAGCAGCTGTCATTTATCTTCCATGTCATTTCAATCTTACGTTAAGACTGATTCCACCTTGTGCTTTACGGCGATTATTTCTGCTATAATGTAGAAATGCCATGGCTAGAAATGAAGCATATTTCTGAGATGGGCACACGCAATAAAAAAGCATGAGTGTGTTGGATGTGTATTAGCTATACCCATATGGGGCTTTAAAGTGAGTGTTTTCCATATTACTCTGGTACCTTTTTTTTTTTTTTTTTCGCTTTATTTCTAGGGGTTAACGAGTTCTTTTGATAGCCCATGAAAACATCACATGGTTATTGTAGGCATGACCTAGATAATGGTGGTAATGTCCTTGAAGAGTGCTGTCTGTATTCTCTTGCATGTAAATTATTATTGTTATTATTATTATTGAGATGGAGTTTCGCTCTTGTTGCCCAGGCTGGAGTGCAATGGCGTGATCTTGGCTCACCGCAATGTCCACCTCCTGGGTTCAAGCAATTCTCCTGCCTCAGCCTCCCGAGTAGCTGGGATTACAGGCATGTGCCACCATGCCCAGCTAATTTTGTGTTTTAGTAGAGATGGGGTTTCTCCATGTTGGACAGGCTGGTCTTGAACTCCTGGCCTCAGGTGATCTACCCTCCTTGGCCTCCCAAAGTGCTGGGATTACAGGCATGAGCAGGTGGGCAGAACACAAGATTAGGAGTTCGAGACCAGCCTGACCAACATGGTGAAACCCCATCTCTACTAAAAACACAAAAATTAGCCCAGCATGGTGGTGTGCACCTGTAATCCCAGATACTCAGGAGGCTGAGGCAGGAGAATTGCTTGAACCCAGGAGGTGGAGGTTGCAGTGAGCTGAGAGCACGCTATTGTACTTCAGCCTGGGTGACAGAGTGAGCCTCCGTCTCAAAATAATACTACTACTAATAATTACATGTTATTTTATGTAAATCCCATTTAGAAATTGGGAACCAGAACTAGAAACCATTTTCTCAAACCCAAAAGGAAATTATGCGGGAATCTGGTGGCTATTTTGTACTGTTTTCCACTTGTACCTTTATTTCTGTGGTGCATGTAGTCTGGCTAGAGAAATCCATTTCATTGGTTATCTCCATGTTTCTTTCTCTCCTCAGATGCAGACAGACATGCTGAACTATCTGGAAGTCCACTGAAAAGCAAAAGCACTAGGAAGCCTTTGGCATGTATCATTGGGTATTTAGGTGGGTATTTTCTAATAGAGGAAAAACTCAAAGAGCAATTTCTGAATAGTATAGATATTTGGCAATTCTAAATGGACATACCTAAACTAATTCAGGCCCTTCAAATAGCCGAAATTGGATACCTTTATATAGTCAGTTTATTTTGTTTCAGAAACTTTTATTACCAGCACACACAACACACACACATACACACACAGATTTATGATATATGTCTACTTTTTCCAAAAAGCCATCGAATAAAAATGTAATATATATTCATGGAAATAAATACAGATTAAGCAAAAAAGAAAATGAAAAGCATTCAGTTAGTACTTAGGATGAATAGTCTTAATATTCTTCTTCAGATCCCTTCCCTGTTTCTAACTCACCTCACCTCTTTTTAAATAGAAGATTTATTTACTTATTAAAATGAGATCAAACTGGTTTATAACTTATCTTAAAATAATTATAGGTTTTAATTTTTTATTTTATTTGTTTTTTGTAGAGACAGGGTCTCGCTTTGTTGCCCAGGCTGGTCTCAAACTCCTGGCCTCAAGCGATCTTCCTGCCTTGACTTCCCAAAGTGCTGGGATTACAGATGTGAGCCACTGCTTCAAGCCTTAAATATTTATAGTTTTGGTGTGCTTTAGGTGACTTTGAAGGGGAGGCATTTGTATTGCTTTCTTATTTTTATCATGCCATCTGACTTGGAAATCTCCAAAGATGATAGCTCCATTTTTATGTTGAAATATCACAATTAAGAATAGTATACAAAATTACTATGCAATAATCTCTTTGTTTAAACAAAGTTTTAAGAGAAATAACTTACAAAATAATGGTTTTTCACATACCTAGAAGCAAGAATGGCATGTTTTTGTGCTTCTCATAGTTCTTTTTCAGTAAAGTGAAATATGTACTCAGAGTTGCTTTGACAGAAAGATTTATAATTATGAAATGTTCAGACTGCAGACATCAACTCTTTTAAAAATCAAAGTGTAGTCTTGAATTTGGTATATTATCTAGTCCTTACCCAAAAGAATGTTCCAGGATTCAGAGGCTCAAAGCTTCTTCTTTGATGTTACTGTACTACCTTATTCCTTGCTTTATTTATTTATTTATTTATTTATTTTATTTATTTATTTTTTTTGAGACGGAATCTCACTCTTCTGTCCAAGCTGGAGTGCAGTGGCGCAATCTCGGCTCACTGCAAGCTCCGCCTCCCAGGTTCACGCCATTCTCCTGCCTCAGCCTCCTGAGTAGGTGGGACTACAGGCATCCGCCACCACGTCCAGCTAATTTTTGTATTTTTAGTAGAGACGGGGTTTCACCTTGTTAGCCAGGAGGGTCTCAATCTCCTGACCTCATGATCCGCCCACCTCGGCCTCCCAGAGTGCTGGGATTACAGGCATGAGCCACTGCGTCCGGCCATTTCTTGCTTTATTTCTCAGGGGTTAAAGAGTTGTTTTGATATCCCCTGAAAATGTCACATGGTTATTGTACACATGACCTACGTAATGGTGGTAATGTCCTTGAAGAGTGCGGTCTGTATTCCCTTGCAGAACTGTCTCCAGATGCCCCTTCCCACCTTGCATGGGAAAGTTTCTGATCACAAAAAATAGAATAGGCCGGGCATGGTGGCTCATGCCTGTAATCCCAGTACTTTGAGAGGCAGGCGGATTGCTTGAGTCCAGGAGTTTGAGCCTGGGTAACATAGCAAAACCCTGTCTCTACCAAAAATACAAATATTAGGCAGGTGTGGTGGTGCGTGCCTGTGGTCCCAACTACTCAGGAGACTGAGGTGGGAGGATTGACCGCTTGAGCCCAGGAGGCAGAGGTTGCAGTGAGCCAAGATTGTGCCACCACACTCCAGTCCAAGTGACCAATTGAGACCCTGTCTCAAAAAAAAAAAAAAAAAAAAAAAGAAAAGAAAAGAAAAAAAGAATATAACATTATTAGCCTTTCCAAGAATAATTGTGTGCTCCTACTGTGGGCAAATTGGTCTCTATATCTACCAGATAGGCCCAGACTGTGCTGTTCTTACCAGCTGAACCACATCCCTACACAATATATTTATGAGTATTTATATGTTGAAAACACTGTACTAAGTGATTTGGGGAACACCAAGATGGGTAAGACCTTGCCCTCAAAATTCTTAGTGTAGTGGGGAAAGCAAGCAGGTAAGAACAATAAAACAAAGGATTAGATCCTGTAAAATAATTACAGGTAATATGCGTTGGGCACTTGGAGGAAGGACTGTTCTTTTTCTTTTTCTTTTTCTTTTTTTTTTTTTTTGAGATAGAGTCTCACTCTGTCACCCAGGCTGGAATACAATGTCTCCATCTTGGCTCACTGCAACCTCCACTTCCCAGGCTCAGGTGATCCTCCCACTTAAGCCTCCTGAATGGCTGGGACTACAGGTGTGCACCACCACACTTGGCTAATTTTTAAAAATTTTTGTAGAGACAGGGTTTCACCATGTTGCTCAGGCTGGTCTCGAACTCCTGGACTCATGCAGTCTGCCCACCTTGGCCTCCCAAAGTACTGGGATTACGGATGTGAGCCACTGCACCTGGCCAATGAGGGAATTTTTTCTAATGAGCGTTAGGGCAGCCTACCTGAAGAAAGTAATAGTTAATTTCAGCCTTAAAAGATATTTAGGATTCGAATAGGTAGAAAAATAGGAAAAGCGTATTCTCTTCCCTCATAAGGCCAAGACAACCAGATGAACAAAGGCTTCAGTGAGTCCAAGGACTTGAAAGCAGCTTGTTTGGTCTAGATGGAGCATAGACTGTGGAGGTTAAATGAAATGCAAGGCTGGCAAACTTGTCATGTCATGTTGGAGAAAAAAAAATCACTTTTTTCGGTGGTAGTATTTAAGCCATTTCTAAATTTTGGCAAGTGTGGGACTTTGACCAGAGCTGTAGTAATTCTAACAATTCCAATGGCTTTTCCTAAATTCCAGTAAATAAGGGTGATATCTCAGCCCTTACCTTCAGTGAAAGGGTGAGAAGGCAGGGTGGCTTGTGTGTAGTTGGCCAGCTGCATGATGACTCTGAGAATCAGTGAGCTGCTAAGCTTTAGAAAAAGGCTGCCCAGCTTTAGTAGTAAACTGAAGTTCTTAAATCCAGTTCCTACAGTGTTACAGTTTCTGTCCATCTACAATAAGAGCACGTAGTTCTGGGCTGTATGGCTAACAACAATATACCTTTGTTAAACATGCATATACCACAGGCACATTATGGTTTTGTGATATATCCTTGGATAAAGCATTTCATCTACCTCTTGACTATTGTATTTGGACTTTGGTTTCAGGTTTCATCTATATCAAAATGTTCTAGGCTGCGAGTAATTGATCCTGGTCCCATACTCTGTCTGGTTGCAGAGCCAGAGGAGGAATCCCGTTTTTCAGAAAGTTCGCATACGTGACATGGTGCCTGGTTTGACAGAGCACAGAAGTGTTTTACCCCCCTCACCCCAAGGCTACCTCTCCAGATAGCCTTTTGATGTCTAATATCTTGAGGAGTCAGATGCCTTATTCCCTTAGTAAATCACATGTTGTATGTGACCTTCTGAAGTGGCTTTTTGTTTTGTTTTTGCTTGTATTCACAACCCGAGGCTCAGAGCTCCAGCCAGCAGGGAAAAAACCAGCTTACTTGATAAGCAAAGCCATGGCAACAACACTTGAAGCTGACTCATTATGCAAGTCCTTGGCTGGCTCAGGAGGAACTGACTCTCAGCTCATTAAGAAATAAGATGTGTGCCTATTAGCCAATGTAAATGCACACAGATTTTTAATATCATGTTCTGAATTGAGAAACCTTTTTTCCCCCATCAGAGATCCATCCTGCAAAGAAACCTAATGTAATTCGATCTACACCAAGCCTGCAAACCCCAACTACCAAGCGGATGCTAACAACTCCAAATCACACATCTCTGAGCATTCTGGGGAAAAGAAACTACAGTCATCACAATGGTCTGGATGGTATGTAAGCCCAGGAATTCTGGAGGCTGTTCTGATAGAGTGCCTTCACACTCAGGCATGTGTCTGCCACATCCAAAAATATATTATAAGCATGTTCTTGTATTCCATGATTGAAGTATGTGGTTGAGGAATAAGGGGGAATACAGCCATATGCCACATTTTGCCAAGGGATAGTTCTCCATCCCATCAGGAGGTACTTATTTGCTCCCATCTCCTGTTAGGAGGCGTTTTTGGAGATGAAATCTGTATTTAGCAGATTGCTTCTGCTGGGTAATAATGTTCTTGCTGTGATGCGCGCTCACTGTTCATTTAAGTTTTCTTGAGCAGAAGGGATTATTTTGCCTTATGTCTAAGACATCAGTGTTCTCTGGGGGTTCTTCAGTGTTCCATGGGTCATTCTAAATTTGGCATTTGTCCCTTCTTTTACCTTATAAATGTTTTTAATTGCTCAAGAGTGCTACATGTCATGAAAGGAATTGCCTGGGTGATGTCCTAAATACAGAAATAATAATTTGCTTGAAATGGAAAAATAGAAATATCACCTCTTATCCAAAGTACTTCTCTTGGGCTTGGCCATGTAATGACTCTCCAGGTGGAACTGAATTATCTTCTCATTTGGACTATAAACACAACCATAATAAATCATCCAGGCAGTATATGTTCTTCATTTCAGTAGTTCTGGACTTTGAAACTGTCTTTATTGTTTAAATGTTGGCATTTATTTATGAATAAAACTCTCTCCAGGCTTTTCATGCCTTCTGGAACTCTAAATTACTTATGTGACAGTAAATTATTTATAATGAGGCCCCAGAGCAAGGATGTGGAGTAGACCTTCTAATAATAATTTCCTATGGTTGTTTTCCTCCATTATGACTTTTGATGTTCATAATAATGTCAAAAATGTGTAAAACAGTGAGGGTGAGGAATTGAGTTTGCATTTATAGGTTATCAATGTGTTAAGATATGGTTGTCAAGAATTTAGCTACCCAGAAGTCTTACAGAAACACTTCCTTTCTAATGAGAACGTTGGCCATCCTTGACACAATATACCTGATGTCTAGACAGCAGAAGGAGTGTATCAAAGTGTGAAGATTGGATGTATTTCTTTCAGCCTTTTCTTGCCCACAACCTTTGGATTCAGGCTTGAATGTAATCTAGAATCTCTCTTTTCCATTATACCACCTCCCTGGCCTTTCTAGGCATATAATATTGCTGTAGAAGGTATAAAGTAAGTCCTGAAAAACACACACACACACACACACACACACACACACACACACACACACACACACACACGTATATATTCTTTTCGGTAAAAAGACTGTCGTTGTGGGCCAGGTCCAGTGGCTTATGCTTGTAATCCCAACACTTTGGGAGGCTGAAGCAGGAGGATCACTTGAGCGCAGGAATTCGAGACCAGCCTGGGCAACACAGAGAGACCCTGTCTCTACAAAAAGTTTACAAATTATCTAGTGGCGCATGTCTGTAGTCCCAGCTACTCAGGAGGCTGAGGTGGGAGGATCGATTGAGCCCAGGAGGTCGAGGCTGCAGTGAGCTCTGATCATGCCACTGCACTCCAGCGAGGATGACAGAGACCCCATCACACACACACACACACACACGACTGTTACTGTGACTGATGTTAGCATAGCAGCTTTCTGGTATCTTCTTTCACTCACACCCTGTGGTCATTCTGGATCCCAGTCCTGGCCTGCAATACCTCTTCTGTTGCTCTTTCCTCAGTATCACAGGTACCTGTTTTTCTGGAATTTATTTAAAATGTCACCTTGTAGTGTTCCCTCTCTAGGGCTGTTTGTTTCATTTCCCTCTGAATGAATGCTGCCACACGGTCATTGCTTCTCTGCTCTGAACAGAAGGAATGGACGGGGCACACAATGAATCCTTGGTTTTCTGTAGACAGAGACCTTCAGCCTTTTTGGGGGAAAGACCCATCTTATTTTCTGAAGAGACTTAGCTGCTGAAACACTTCCTTCTTTAAGACCCATTTGTGTTTGCTCTGCTGTCATGGGATGGAGAGGAAGGCTGATGACATGTGCTCGGCACTTGTGCTAACTCCTTTACTGAGTTCTCTCATTTAATTCACATGACAGGAGGTTCTGGGAGGTCAGGGAATTTGTTTTGCATATCATTGTATCTCTGTGCTTAGCACAGTACTTGGCATGTAGTAGGTACTCAATATATATTAGTTGTATAAATGAAGGTGATTGAGAAAAATGAGACCTAGAGAAGTGAATTAAATTTTCCAAAGTTACCAGGCACTACAGAGATGAATTGAGATTCCCACTCAGATGTGACTGATTTCAGAATCTTCTCGTTTAACCACTGTTATGAATGAAATCGTGGCTCTCAAATGCACTGTATTAGGTTCTATCAGCAAAGTAGAAACTATATAAGTTATTTCAACAGCTAATTTCATAAAAGAAATCAGTATGATGGATATTGGAGGACAGAATAAATCAACAGAGAACATGGGGCAGGGGCACAGGAAACAGCCACCATTCTCAGGGTTGGGAGAGCACAAGGAAGAAGCTGGGCTTATCACAACCCAGAAGCTCAAGGAGGGCCTCAGAGCCAGAACGCAACCCAGAGGAGAGGGCACTGCCCTGCCGGTGCAGGCACCTCTCAGGAGGTGTGATGAGGCTGGTTCTGGTACAAGCTTCTGCACCTACCTGGGGGGACACTGACAGGGACAGGACCGAGCAGTTCCTACCTCCCTGCTCCAGCACTGCAGAATCCTTCTAGCGCCCTGCTGGTGTGACACAGAGCCAGACAGCAAAGGGGAAGTGTGCTTGTAGAGTCCCACCCACCCCCAGCATCATGGAGCTGAGAAACAAGAGTGTAATGGAGGCACACATGTTAGAAAGTGCCCACATTCTTGTGTTACGAATGGACCTTTTCATTGGGATAATGGGCCTGTTTCCTATGTCCACAGGGTATAGGATCCTGATTAACCAGAGTTTCCAAGATGAACTCAAAGTACTGGAAAAAATGTTCTGTTAATACTTTTCATGAGCTAGTTATTACCATCATATACTGAAATAGATACAAACTCATGGGAAAGCCTTGTTCTGTGTGATCCAATAATAAAATCAATTAGCACTGCTACTTAATTATCAGCATGTCAGACAGATGAGCATACCAAACAGAGTGTTGATGGGCAGAAGAAACTGAATTGGAAACAACACCCGGGGCTGCTGAGATGTTTAGGCCTCTTAGCTTTAGGGCAGCCTGCCCCCTTCAGTGGCTTGCCTCCTCCACTCACCCTCTACCTTTGCATTGCAGGTTCTTTTTTTTTTTTTAATTTTATTATTATTGTACTTCAAGTTTTAGGGTACATGTGCACAATGTGCAGGTTAGTTACATATGTATACATGTGCCATGCTGGTGTGCTGCACCCATTAACTCGTCATTTAGCATTAGGTATACCTCCTAATGCTATCCCTCCCCACTCCCCCCAACCCACAACAGTCCCCAGAGTGTGATGTTCCCCTTCCTGTGTCCATGTGTTCTCATTGTTCAATTCCCACCTATGAGTGAGAACATGCGGTGTTTGTTTTTTTGTCCTTGCATTGCAGGTTCTTGATGATGGGAAAGGAGTCTGTGAATTTGGGCTAGCAGAAAGGATTTTGCTTGGCATTAGAAAAAAAAGATGGACAGCTTCTTATTTCCTCCCTGAAAATCACGGTCTTTCCTGGCCCTGATGAAGGCCTTTTAAAGAAAGGCCTTGGTATGGACTGGGTGCAGATAGTCAGAACTCTGTATGCTCTATTAAGGAAACTCCAGGGCCACACACAGGCCCTGTGACCAATCTAATAGAATCTAAACTCCAAAGGTGAAGATGAAAGATGTATACATAGGGGGAGTGGTGGCTTGCACTGGTAATCCCAGCAACTCTGGAGGCCAAAGCGGGAGGCTCACTTGAGCCCAGAATTTGAGACCAGCCTAGGCAACACAGTGAGACCCCAACTCTAAAAAAGTTTTTGTTTTAAATTAGCTGGATGTAGTGGCATGCACCCACAGTTCTAGCTACTTGGCGGGGGCTGAGGCAGAAGCATTGCTTGAGCCCAGGAGGTTGAGACTGCAGTGAGCTATGATTGTATCACTGTACTCTAGCCTGGGTTACAGAGTGAGATCCTGTCTCTTAAAAAGAAAGAAAGAAAGAAAGAAATCTGCATACGCAAGAAGCCTCAGTACTCAGTGCAAGGAGTCAGTAATGATAAAAAGAATAAAGGTTCAAAATTAGAGATCTGCACAGTGCCTTGCCAGTCTCCCTATACTTCAGTCTTTCTCCCTAGGATGTCGGTCCAGCAGTGTGCCGTATGCTGTCATTGTGGTTTCCAGTCCCATCTCCTCCACTGTGGACATTTTTACTGCTAGCAAACCAGGTATCACCTACTATGTTTGCCCTACTTGGTTAACTCCAAGTGGCTGTGAGTAGGTGAGGGCTTAGGCCAGCAGGGATAGAAGAGCCATTACTGGAAAACATTTCCATGTCAGAAAGCCCTGAAGAGAAGGCAGCAGGGGGAGATGGAACTTGTCTGTGCCATGGGGGGAAAAAGGGGTATCTGAGTGTTTGGAATCAGTTAGGATTAATTGCTTACTCCTCTGATTGCTTCTTGTGTGACCTTGGGTGAATCACATGGTTTTTTTTTTGGATGAGTTTTCTCCTCTATAAATCTGTAGAATACAGATGACATTTGCCTTACAGAATTGATCTTACGATTGAAAATTTTCATGTGCTTTATTTTTTAATTTTTAATTTTTTGTGGATACATAGTAGATGTATGTATTTATGGGATACATGAGATGTTTTGATACAGGCATATAATGCTTAATAATCACATGAGGGTAAATGGGTTATCCATTACCTAAAGCATTTATTCTTTCTTTGGTCACAGACAGTGCAATTTTACTCTTTTAGTTATTTTAACATGTACGATAAATTATTGTTGCTGTAGTCACCCTGTTAGCTATCAAATACTAGATCTTATTCATTCTATCTAACTATATTTTTGTACCCATTAATCATACCTCCTACCACTATCCTTCCTACCTTCTGATAACCACCATTCTACTCTCTATCTCCATGAGTTCAATTTTTTTAAATTTTTAGTACAAGTAAGTGAGAATGTGCAGTTTGTCTTTCTGTTCATGGCTTATTTCACTTAACATAATGTCCTCCAGCTTTATCCATGTTGTTGCAAATGACAGGATTTCATTCTTTTTTGTCTGAATAGTACTCCATTGTGTATATGTACCACATTTTCTTTATCAACTTGTCTGTTGATGGACACTTAGGTTGCTTCCAAATCTTGGCTACTGTGAATAGTACTGCAGTAAACATGGGAGTGCAGATATCTCTTCAATACGCTGATTTCTTTTCTTTTGGGTATATAACAGCAGGATTGCTGGATCATATGGTAGTTCTATTTTTAGTTTTTTGAGGATCCTCCAAACTGTTCTCATAGTGGTTGTACTAATTTACATTCCCACCAACAGTGTATAGGGTTCCCACCAACAGTGTATGAGGGTTCCCTTTTCTCCATATCTTTGCCAGCATTCCTTATTGCCTGCCTTTTGGATAAGAGCTATTTTAACTGGGGCTAAATGATACCTCATTGTAGTTTTGATTTGCATTTCTCTGATGATCATTGGTGTTGAACACCTTTCCATATGCCTGTTTGCCATTTGTATGTCTTCTTTTGAGAAATGTCTTTTCACACCTTTTGCCCATTTTTAATCAGATTATTAGATTGTTTTCCTATTGAGTTGTTTGAGCTCCGTATATATTCTAGCTATTAATCCCTTGTCAGATGGATAGCAGATATTTTCTCCCATTCTGTGCATTGTCTCTTCACTTTGTTGACTGTTTCTTTTGCTGTGCAAAAGCTTTTTAACTTGATATGATCTAATTTGTCTATTTTTGCTTTGGTTGCCTGTGCCTGTGGATATTACTCAAGAAATATTTGCCCAGAACAATGTCCTAGAAAGTTTCTCCAGTGTTTTCTTTTATTAGTTTCACAGTTTGAGTTTTTTTTTTTTTTTTTTTTTTTTTTTCACAGAGTCATGCTCTGTTGCTCAGGCTGGAGTGCAGTGGCACAATCTCGGCTCACTGCAAGCTCTACCTTCCGGGGGGTTCATGCAATTCTCCTGCCTCAGCCTACCCAGTAGCTGGGACTACAGGCGCCCACCACCACGCCCGGCTAATTTTTTGTATTTTTTTTTTAGTAGAGACGGGGTTTCACCGTGTTAGCCAGGATGATCTCGATCCCCTGACCTTGTGATCCACCTGCCTCGGTCTCCCAAAGTGCTGGGATTACAGGCGTGAGCCACTGCGCCCAGCCCAGAGTTTGAGGTCTTAGATTGAAGTATTTAATTTATTTTGATTTGATTTTTGTATATGGCAAGAAAGAGGGGTCTAGTTTTATTATTCTGCATATGGCTATCCAGTTTTCCCAGTGCCATTTATTGAAGAGACTATATTTTCTCCAATGTATGTTCTTGGCACCATTGTTTTAAATGAGTTTAAAATGAGTTTATACTGTAGATGTATAGATTTGTTTCTGGGTTCTCCATTCTGTTCCATTGGTCTGTATGTCTGTTTTTATGCCAGTACCATGCTGTTTTGCTTACCATAGCTCTGTAGTATAATTTGAAGTCAGATGAAGTGATTTTTCCAGTTTTGTTCCTTTTGTTCAGAATAGCTTTGGCTATACTGGGTCTTTTGTGATTCCATATAAATTTTAGGACTATTATTTCTATCTCTGCGAAGAACATCATTGGTATTTTGATAGGCATTGCATTGAATCCATAGATTGCTTTGAGTTAGTATGGACATTTTAACAGTATCGATTCTTCCAATCCATGAATATGGGATATCTTTGCATTTTTTGGTGTCCTCTTCAATTTCTTGCATCAGTGGTTTATAGTTTTCATTGTAGAGATCTTTCACTTCTTTTTCAGATTGTTTAGTGTTGTCATATAGAAATACTACTGATTTTTGTATGTTGATTTTGTATCCTGCAACTTTACTCAATTTGTTTGTCAGTTCTAATAGCTTTCTTGTGGAGTCTTTAGGTTTTTCCAAATATAAGATCATATCATCTGCAAACAAGGATAATTTGACTCCTTATTTTCCAATTTGATGACTTTTTTTTTCTTGTTTTATTGCTGTAGCTAGAACTTCCAGTACTCTGTTAAATAACAGTGGTGAAACTGGGCATCCTTGTCTTGTTTTAAATCTTAGAGGAAAGGCTTTCAGCTTTTCCCTGTTCAGTATGATACTAGCTATGGATCTGTTATATATGGCTTTTATTGTGTTGAAGTGTGTTCCTTGTATTCCTGGTTTTTTAAGGATTTTTATCATGAGGGGATGTTGAATTTTATCAAATGCTTTTCAGCCTCAATTAAAATAATCAGATGGTTTTTGTCTTTCAGTTGATGTGATATATTACACTGATTGATTTGTGATTGACTTGCATGCTTGCATTCCTGGGATAAATCCCACTTGGTCATGAGATAATCTTGTTAAATGAATTGTTGAATTCAATTTGCTAGTATTTTGTTGAGGTTTTTTCGTCAGTGTTCATCAGGACATTGACTTGTAGCTTTTTCTGATATGTCTTTTTCTGGTTTTGCTATCAGAGTAATACTGGCCTTGCAGAATGAATTTGGAAATATTTCTTTCTCCTTTATTTTTTGGAGTAGTTTCAGTAGGATAGGTTTTAGTTCTTCTTTAAATGTTTTATAAAATTCAGCAGTGAAGCCATAGGGTCCTGGGCTTTTTTTCTTTGCTAGGAGACTTTTTATTATGGCCTTGATCTCATTACTTGTTATTGGTCTGTTTAGGTTTTGGATTTCTTGATGATTCAATCTTGGTAGGTTGTATGTGTCTAGGAATGTATCCATTTCTTCTAGCTTTTCCAGTTTGTTGGCATTTAATTGCTTATGATAGTCTCTAATGATCCTCTGAATTTCTGTGATATCAGTTGTAACGTCTCCTTTTTCATCTCTGATTTTATTTGTGTCTTCTCTCTTTTTCTCTTTAGTCTGGCTAAAGGTTTATTGATTTTGTTTATAATTTCAAAAAATCACCTTTTTGTTCCATTGACCTTTTGTATTGCTTCCTTCATTTTGATTCAACTTATTTCTGCTCCGATCTTTATTATTTCTTTTCTTTTACTATTTTGGATTTAGTTTGCTTTTGCTTTCCTAGTTCTTTAATATGCACTGATTAGGTTATATGAAGTATTTCTAATTTTTTGATGTAGGCTTGTATTAGTCTGTTTTCACACTGCTGATAAAGACATATCTGAGACTGGGAAGAAAAAGAGGTTTAATTGGACTTACAGTTCCATATGCCTGGGGAAGTCTCAGAATCTGGTGGGAGGCCAAAGGCACTTTTTACATGGTGGCAGCAAGAGAAAATGAGGAAGAAGCAAAAGCAGAAACTTCTAATAAACCCATCAGATCTCGTGAGACTTACTCACTATGACAAGAATAGCGTGGGAAAGACCGACCCCCATGATTGAATTACTTCCCCCTCCCACAACACATGGGAATTCTGGGAGATACAATTCAAGTTGAGATTTGGGTGGCGACACAGCCAAACCATATCATTCCACCCCTGGCCCCTCCAAATCTCATATCCTCACATTTCAAAACCAATCATGCCTTCCCAACAGTCCCCCAAAGTCTTAACTCATTTTAGCATTAACCCAAAAGTCCACAGTCCAGTCTCATTTGAGTCAAGGCAAGTCCCTTCTCCCTATGAGTCTGTAAAATCAAAAGCAAGCTAATTACTTCCTAGATACAGTGGGGGTACAGGTATTGGGTAAATACAGCCGTTCCAAATGGGAGAAATTGGCCAAAACAAAGGGGTTATAGAGCCCATTCAAGTCTGAAATCCAGTTGGGCAGTCAAATTTTAAAGCTCCAAAATGATCTCCTTTGACTCCGGGTCTCATATCCAGGTCATGCTGACAAAATGACCTGGTACACAGTGTAAACTGTTGGTGGATCTGCCATTCTGGGGTGTGGAGGACGGTGGCCCTCTTCTCACGGCTGCACTAGGCAGTGCCCCAGTAGGGACTCTGTGTGGGGACTCTGGCCCCACATTTCACTTCCACACTTCCCTAGCAGAGGTTCTCCATGAGGGCCCTGCCCCTGCAGCAAACTTTTGCCTGGGCATCCAGGCATTTCCATACATCTTCTGAAATCTAGATGGAGGCCCCCAAACCTCAATTCTTGACTTCTGTGCACCCACAGGCTCAACACCATGTGGAAGCTGCCAAGGCTTGGGGTTTCCACACTCTGAAGCCACGGCCTAAGCTCTACATTTGCCCCTTTCAGCCACAGCTGGAGCAGCTGAGACACAGGGTACCAAGTCCCTAGGCTGCACACAGCACAGGGACCCTGGGCCTGGCCTATGAAACCACTTTTTCTTCCTGAGCCTCCAGGCCTGTTATGGAAGGGACTGCTGTGAAGACCTCTGACATGGCCTAGAGACATTTTCCCCATGGTCTTGGGGATTAACATTAGGCTTCTTGCTACTTATGCAAATTTCTACAGCCAGCATTAATTTCTCCCCAGAAAATGGGTTTTTCTTTTCTATCGCATAGTCAGGCTGCAAATATTCTGAACTTTTATGCTGTTTCCCTTTTAAAACTGAATGCAGTACCCAAGTGACCTCTTGAATGCTTTGCTGCTTAGAAATTTTTTCTGCCAGATATGCTAAATCATCTTTCTCAAGTTCAAAGTTCCACAAATCTCTAGGGCAGGGGCAAAATGCCACTAGTCTCTTTGCTGAAACATAACAAGAGTCACCTTTGCTCCAGTTCCCGAGTTCCTCATCCCCACCTGAGACCACCTCAGCCTGGACCTTTTTGTCCATATCACTATCAGCATTTTGGGCAAAGCCATTCAGCAAGTCTGTAGGAAGTTCCAAACTTTCCCACATTTTCCTGACTTCTTCTGAGCTCTCCAAACTGTTCCAACCTGTGCCTGTCATCCAGTTACAAAGTCGCTTCCACATTTTCGGGTATCTTTTCAGCAACACCCCACTCTGCTGGTACCAATGTACTGTATTAGTCTGTTTTCACACTGCTGATAAAGACATACCCGAGAATGGGAAGAAAAAGAGGTTTAATTGGACTTACAGTTCCATATGGCTGGGGAGGCCTCAGAATCATGGCAGGAGGTGAAAGGCACATCTTACATGGTGACAGCAAGAGAAAATGAAGAAACAAATGCAGAAACCCCTGATAAACTCATCAGATCTTGTGAGACTTTTTCACTATCATGAGAATAGCACAGGAAAGACTGGCCGCCATGACTCAATTACCTCCCTCTGGGTCCCTACCACAACATGTGGGAATTCCGGGAGGTACAATTCAAGTTGAGATTTGGGTGGCGACACAGCCAAACCATATCAAGGCTCTTTTTGCTATAAACTTTCCTCTTAGTTTGCTTTTGCTATATCCCATAGGTTTTGGTATGTTGTATTTCCCTTATCATTTGTTTCAATACATTTTTAAATTTCCTTCTTAATGTTTTCATCGACCCACTGGTCATTCAGGAGCATATTGTGTTTTTGCTTGTTTGTTTTTGTTATTGTTGTTGTTTTGTAGAGACAGGGTCTCACTGTGTTGCCCAGGCTGCTCTTGAACTCCTGGACTGAAGCAATCCTCCTGACTCAGGTTTCCCAAAGTGCTGGGATTACAGGTATGAGCCACTGCACCTGGCCCAGGAGCATATTGTTTAATTTCCATGTGTTTGTGTAGTTTCCAATATTCCTGTTGTTATTGATTTCTACTTTTATTTTACTGTGATCAGAAAAGATACTTGATATAAATTTATTTTATATAAATTTTTAAAGACTGTTTTTGTGGCCTAACATATGGTCTGTCCTATGATCCACATGCTAAGGAGAAGAATATGTATTCTTTAGCCTTCAGATAAAATGTTCTGTAAATATTTATTGGGTTTGTTTGGTCTACAGTGCAGATTAAGTCCTAGGTTTCTTTACTGACTTTCTGTCTGGACGATGTGTTCATTGCTGAAAGTGAGGTGTTGAAGTCTCTAGCTATTATTGTTTTGTGGTCTCTCTCTCTCTCTGTAGTGCAAATAATATTTGCTTTATGTATCTGGGTGCTCCAGTGCTTGGTGCATATATATTTGTAATTGTTACTGCCTCTTACTGAATTGACCCCTTTATCATTATAAAAATGACCTTCTTTGTCTCTTTTTATAGTTTTTGTCTTTAAATCTTTTTTGTCTGATATAAGTATAGCTACTCCTGCTCTTTTTTGGTTTCCATTTGCATGGAATTTTTTTTTTTTTCCATCCCTTTACTTTGTTTCTCTGTGTGTCTTTATAGGTAAAGCGTGTTTCTTGTAGGCAACAGATCACGGGGCCTTTTTTTTTTTTTTTTTTTTTTAATCCATTCAACCACTTTATGTCTTTTGGTTGGAGAGTTTGGTCCATTTACATTCAGTGTTATTGTTGATAAGTAATGACTTAATCCTGCCATTTTTAAAATTTGTTTTCTCGTTATTTTGTGGTCTTCTCTTCCTTCTTCCTTCCTGTCTTCCTTTTAGTGAAATTGATTTTCTCTGGTGTTATGTTTTAATTTCCTGCCTTTTATTTTTTGTGTATCTGTTGTATGTTTTTTGATTTCTGGTTACCATAAGGCTTGCAAAAAATATCTTATAACCTGTTATTTTAAACTGATGCCAAGTTGACACTGATTGCATAAACAGACAAACAAATAGGCAAAGAGAAAACTAGTGGAAACTCTCTACACTTTAACTTCATCCCCCGCTTTTTAACTTTTTGTTGTTTATATTTATATCTTATACTGCTTATCTCTTGCAAAGTTGTTGTAGTTATTATTTTTGATAGCTTCATATTTTAGTCTTTCTAGTCAAGATATGAGTAGTTTACAGACAATTACACTGTTATAATATTCTGTGTTTTTCTGTGTGCTTACTATTACCAGTAAGTTTTGTACCTTCAGATCATTTCTTATTGCTCATTAATGTCTTTTTCTTTCAGATTGAAGAACTCCCTTTAGCATTTCTTGTAGGACAGGTATAGTGTTGATGACATTTTTTAGCTTTTGTTTGTCTGGGAAAATCTTTATTACTCCTTCATGCTTGAAGGATATTTTTGCTGGATATACTATTCTAAGATAAAAGTTTTTTTCCTTTAGCACTTTAAATATATCGTGACACTCTATTCTGGCCTGTAAGGTTTCCACTAAGAAGTCTGCTGCCAGACATATTGGATCTCCTTTGTATGATATTTGTTCCTTTTCTCTTGCTACTTTTAGGATCTTTTTAAAATCCTTGACTTTTGGGAGTTTGATTATTAAATGTCTTGAGGTAATCTTCTTTGGGTTAAATGTGCTTGATATCCTATAACCTTCTTGTACTTAAATATTGATATCTTTCTCTAGGTTTGAGAAGTTTTCTGTTATCCCTTTGAATAATCTTTCTACAATCTGTCCCTCTACTTCCTCTTTAAGAACAATAACTTTTAGATTTGCCCCTTTGAAGCTATTTTCTAGATCTTTTAAGTGTGCTTCATTGCTTTTTATTCTTTATTCTCTTGTCTCCTCTGACTGTGTATTTCAAATAGCCTGTCTTCAAGCTGACTAATTCTTTCTTGTGCTTGATCAATTCATTAAGAGACTCTGATGTATTTTTCAGTATGTCAATTGCATTTTTCGCTCCAGAATTTCTGCTTGGGTCTTTTAAATTATTTCAGCATCTTTCTTAATTTTATTCTATTATTGAATTCTGTTGTGCTTCCTCAAAACACTTATTTTGAATTCTCTGTCTGAAAGGACACATATCTCCATCTCTCTGGGATTGGTCACTGGTGTCTTATTTAGCTTGTTTGGTGAGGTCATGTTTTCATGGATGGTCTTGAAGTTTGTGGATATTCTTCAGTGTCTGGGCATTGAAGAGTTAGGTATTTGTTGTAGTCTTCACAGTTTGGGCTTGTTTGTCCGCATCCTTCTTGGGAAGGCTTTCCAACTATTAGAAGGGATTTGGGTGTTGTGATCTAAGTCTTTGTTCACTGCAGCCATACCTGCATTAGGGGGCACCTCCAGCCCAGTAATGCTGTGTCTCTTGCCTTGGTTGTCTTGGGTAAGATCTGGGAGAATTCCCTGGATTACTAGGTGGAGACTCTTGTTCTCTTCTTTTACTTTCACTCAAACAAATGGACACTATGTCTCTGTGCTGAGCTGCCTGGAGCTGGAGAAGGGATGATGACACAAGCACCCCTGTGGCGACTACCACTGGGACAGCTCTGTGTCAGACCTGAAGCCAACACAGCACTGGGGCTCACCCAAGGCCTATGATGATCACTGCCTGGCTACCACCTGTGTTCACTCAAGGTCCAAGGACTCTCCAATCAGCAGGTGGCATATCCAGCCAGGCATCTTCCCTTCAGGGCAGTGAGTTCACTGTGACCCCAAGTAGGTCCAGAGATGCCAACTGGGAGCCAGGGCCTGGAGTCAGGAACCTTAGGAATCTACCTGGTGTTCTACCCTAGAGTGGCCAATCTGGTACCCAAGTTGTAAGACAAAGTCTTCTTACTCTTCTCTCTCCTTTCCTCAAGCAGAAAGAGTCTCTCCTCATAGCCACCCACCTGGGAATGTGCTGGGTCACATCTGAAGCCAGCATGTCTCTGAGTCTCATCCAAGGCACACAACAAGTACTGCCTGGATACCACTGCTGATTATTCAGGGCCCAAGGGCTTTTTAGTCAGCAGCTGGTGAATCCTGCCAGGACTGGATCCTTCCCTTCAAGGCAGTGGGCTTTCTTCCTGCTTGAAGTGTGTTTTCAAATGTCATCTGGGAGTTAGGGCCTGGAATGGGGGCCTCACAGCTGTGTCTGGTGCCCCATCCTACTGTGGCTGAGCCAGTATCAAAGTTGCAAGAGAAAGTCCTCTTTACTCTATCCTTTTCTCTCCTAAGCAGGAGGAAGGAGTCTCTGCAAGGGCTGTGAGCTGTGCTGCCTGAGACTGGGGGAAGTGTGGTGTAAGCATTCCCTTAGCAGCCCTGGCTGGTATCTCACTAGGTGATATGCTCCCCAAGTCCATTGGCTCCAAGACCAGCACAGCACCAGGATTTGCCTAGGAATTGCAGTCCTTGTGGCCTAGACTGCCTTTCAAGTTTATTTAGGAACCCAGAGCACTTTAACCCACAGTGGAAGGGCTTGCCAGAACTCAGGTTCCAACTGCTGGGATGAGCTATTCCCCTCTGGCTAAGGCTGGCCTAAATGCTCCTTCTGTGGGCACCGGCTGAGTTCTGCCTCGTATTGCTTTCCACTGTGTCAGGGCAGCACTGGGTTCCAATGCAAAGTTTCACAATCACTGTGTTCTCCCTCCCTCTTCCCTTCCCTCTTCAGTGCCTGTTTTCTTAATATGATGTTAAAATCAGGTACTGTGATCGCTTACCTGATTTTTGGTTCTTATGAAGGTGCTTTTTTGTGTAGCTAGTTCTTCAATTTGGTGTTCCTTCAGCAGGGACAATTGCTGAAGGCTTCTATTTGATCATCTTGCTCTGCCTCCCTCTTTTCATGTACTTTATATCACTTGGTTTTCCAAATACTTTATGAGGTAAATGTTATAACCTACATTTTAGGAATGGAAAAAATAGAAGCTCAAGAAGGTTGAAGAATTTGCCCAAAGTCGCATTGCTAGAAAGTAGCAGAGATGGGATCTAAACTCCAAATCTAGTGTTTTTTCCACCGAATGAATACAGGCCCAGATTTGTATATTGAATACAGCATTTACAGGCATACCTCAGAGATACTATTGAGTTCAGTTCAACACCACTGCAATAAAGCTAATATCACAATAAAGCAAGTCACATGAGTTTTCTGGTTTCCCAGTGCATATAAAGTTATGTTGGCTGGGAGTGATGGCACATATCTGTAATCCCAACACTTTGGGAGGCCAAGGCAGGCAGATTGCTTGAGCCTAGGAGTTTGAGATCAGCATTGGCAACATGCTGAAACCTTGTCCCTACAAAAAATACAAAAATTAGCTGATCATGGTGGCATGTGCCTGTAGTCCCAGCTACTCGGGAGGCTGAGGTGGGAGGGTGGATTGAGACTGGGAGGTCGGAGCTGCAGTGAGCCAAGATTGCACCACTGGACAAGGCTGGGCAACAGAGTGTGTTGCAGGAAGTCAGGGACCCCAAACAGAGAGACCGGCTGAAACCATGGCAGAAGAACGTGGATTGTGAAGATTTTATGGGCATTTATTAGTTCCCCAAATGAATACTTTTGTAATTTCTTATGCCTGTCTTTACTGCAGTCTCTAAACATAAATTGTAAAGATTTCATGGACACTTACCACTTCCCCAGTCAATACCCTTGTGATTTCCTATGCCCGTCTTTACTTCAATCTCTTAATCCTGTCAGCCGAGGAGGATGTATGTTGCCTCAGGACTATGTGATAATTGCATTAACTGCACAAATTGTACAGCATGTGTGTTTGTGCAATATGAAATCTGAGCACCTTGAAAAACAGGATAACAGCAATTGTTCAGGGAGTAAGAGAGATAACCTTAAACTCTGACTGCTGGTGAGCCAGGCAGAACAGAGCCATATTTCTCTTGTTTCAAAAGCAAATGGGAGAAATATTGCTGAATTCTTTTTCTCAGCATGGAACGTCCCTGAGAAAGAGAATGCGCACGTAGGGGTAGCTCTCTGAACTGGCCCCCCAGGGCGTACCTGTTTCTTATGGTTGAGACTGCAGGGGTGAAATAAACTCCAGTCTCCCATAGCGCTCCAAGGCTTATTAGGAAGAGGAAATTCCTGCTTAATAAATTTTGGTCAGACCGGTTGATCTCAAAACCCTGTCTCCTGATAAGATGTTATCAATGACAATGGTGCCCGAAACTTCATTAGCAATTTTAATTTCGCCTGGGTCCTGTGGTCCTGTGATCTCGCCCTGCCTCCACTTGCCTTGTGATATTCTATTACCCTGTTAAGTACTTGATGTCTGTCACCCACACCTATTTGCACACTCCCTCCCCTTTTGAAAATCCCTAATAAAAACTTGCTGGTTTTTGTGGCTTGTGGGGCATCACAGATCCTACCAACGTGTGATGTCTCCCCCAGATGCCCAGCTTTAAAATTTCTCTCTTTTGTACACTGTCCCTTTATTTCTCAAGCCAGCCGACACTTAGGAAAATAGAAAAGAACCTACGTGATTATCGGGGCAGGTCCCCCAGTAAGAGTGAGACCTTGTCTCAAAAACAAACAGACAATAATTATGTTTACACTATACTGTAGTCTATTAAGTGTGCAATAGCATTATGTATAAAATAACAATGTATATACCTTAATTTTAAAAATACTTTATTGCTAAAAAAAAAAAAAAAGCTAATGATCATCTGAGCCTTCTATGAGTCATAATCTTTTTGCTGCTGGAAGGTCTTGCCTCAATGTTGATGGCCACTGTTGATCAGGATGGTGGTTGCTGAAGCTTAGGGTAGCTGTGACAGTTTCTTAAAGTAAGACCACATTGACATTTGCTACATCAGTGGACTCTTCCTTTCACGAAAGATTTCTTTGTGGCGTGTGATGCTCTTTGATAGTATTTTACCCACATTAGAACTTCTTTCAAAATTAGAGTCAATCCTCTCAAACTCTGCTGCTGCTTTACCAACTAAGTTTATGTAATATTCTAAGTCCTTTATTTTCATCTCAACATGTTCACAGCGTGTTCAGGAGTAGTTTCCATCTTAAGAAACAACTTTCATTGTTCATCCGTAAGAAGCAACTACTCATCTGTTCAAGTTTTATCATGAGATTGTAGCAATTTAGCCACATCTTCAGGTTCCACTTCTCATTCTAATTCTCCTGCTATGTCCACCATATCTGCAGTTACATCCTCCACTGAAGTCCTGAACCTTTCAAAGTTATCCATGAGGGTTGGAATCAATTTCTTCTGAACTCCTGTTAGTATTGATATTTTGGCCTCCTCCCATGAATTTCTGATGTTCTAATGGCATCTATAAAGGTGAGTCCTCTCTAGCAGGTTTTCAGTTGACTTTGCCCAGATCCATCAGAGGAATCATTATCTATGGCAGGCATAGCCTTACAAAATGTATTTCCTGAATAAGACTTGAAAGTTAAACTTATTCCTTGGCTGGGCGTGGTGGTTTACACCTGTAGTCCCAGCACTTTGGGAGGCCAAGACAGGTGGATTGCTTGAGTCCAGAAGTTCAAGACCAGCCGGGACAACATAGCGAAACCCTGTCTCTATAAAAAATACAAAAACTTGCCAGTCATAGTAGCACATGGCCTGTAGTCCCAGCTACTCAGGAGGCTGAGGTGGGAAGATCACTTGAGCCCAGGAGGTCGAGGCCCAGTGAGCCATGTCACTGCACTCCAGCCTGGGTGACAAAGCAGGACCCTGTCTCCAATGAATGAATGAATGAATCAGTGAATGAATCCATTCATTCATCCATCCGTTCATCCATCCTAGAATGGATAATAGAAGTTGTGCTAGCGCACATGAAAACAGCATTCATCTCCTTGTACATCTCCGTCAGAGCTCTTGGGTGACCAAGTGCATTGTTAATGAGCAGTCATATTTTGATTTTTTTTCCTAAGCAGTAGGTCTCAACAGCAAGCTTAAGATATTCCGTAAACCATGCTGTAAACAGAGGTGCTATCATTTAGGCTTTGTTGTTCTATTTATAAAGCATAGGCAGAATAGATTAAGCATAATTCTTAAGGGCTGTGTGGCTTTTTGGAATAGTAAATGAACACTGGCTTCAACTTAAAAAGTCACCAGCTGCATTAGCCTCTAACAAGAGAGTCAGCCTGTCCTTTGAAGCTTTGAAGGCATTGGCTTCTCTCTAGCTATGAAAGTCCTAGATGGCATCTTCTTCCAGTATAAGGCTGTTTTGTCTACATTGAAAATCTGTTGTTTAGCGTAGCTGCCTTCATCAGTGATCTTAGCTAGATCTAGATAACTTGCTACAGCTTCTACATCAGCGCTTGCTGCTTTACTTGCACTTTTATGTTTATGGTGATGGCTTTTTTCCTTAAACCCCATGAATCAACCTCTACTAGCTTCAAACTTTTCTTCTCCAGCTTCCTCACCTCTCTCAGTCTTCATAGAATTGAAGAGAGTTAGGGCCCTGCTCTGGATTAGGCTTTGGGTTAAGGGAATGTTGTTGCTGGTTTGATCTTGTATTCAGGCCACTTTCTCCTTATCAGCAGTAAGATTGTTTCACTTTCGTATCATTCATATGTTCACTGGAGTGGCACTCTTAATTTCCTTCAAGAACTTTTCCAAGTTGCATTCACCACTTGGTTAACTGTTTGGTGCAAGAGGCCTGACTTGCAACCTCTCTTGGCTTTCAATACGCCTTCCTCATGAAGGCTCATCATTTCTGGCTTTTGATTTAAAGTGAGAGATACCCTTCTTTTCGCTTCAACACTTAAAAGCCATTGTAAGGTTATTAATTGGCCTAATTTTGATATTGTTGTGTCTCTGAGAATAGAGATGCTCAAGGAGAGGGGAAAAGACAGGGAAAGGACAGTCACTGGAGCAGTCAGAGGACACATAGCATTTTTTTTATTAATTTTTTTTTTCAGAGCTCCACTCAAGAAAGAACACACACATTTATCTATTAAGTTTCCCATCTTATATGGGCATGGCTTGTGGCCCAAAACAATTACAATAGTAACATCAAAGATCACCAATTACAGATCAACATAACAGATATAATAAAGAAAAAGCTTGAAGTATTGTAAGAATTACCAAAATGTGACGCAGAGACATTAGGTGAGCACGTGCTGCTGGAAAAATGGTGTCAATAGACTTGTTTAATGCAGAGTTGCCAACAAAGCTTCAATTTTTAAAAAAGCACAGTATCTGTAAAGCTCAACAGAGCAAAGCTTAATAAAACTACATATTCCTGCACATGGGAGATGTTCATATTTTCTTTGTATAGGAAATGGGTATATGTTTGCGAATGCATAGAGCAATATAGTGGGGTATTTTTCTTTGCTCAGACCATAAAGCCATCACTTTCTTTCTTTCTTTCTTTTTTTTTTTTTTGAGAAGCAGACTCGCCCTGTTGCCCAGGCTGAAGTGCAGTGGCATGATCTCAGCTCACTGCAACCTCTGCCTCCTGTGTTCAAGTAATTCTCCTGCCTTAGCTTCCAGAGTAGCTGGGATTACAGGCATCCGTCACCACACCCAGCTAATTTTTGTATTTTTAGTAGAGACAGCCTTTCACCATGTTGGCCAGGTGTGTCTCAAGTGCCTGACCTTAGGTGATCCGCCTGCCTCAGCCTCCCAAAGTGCTAGGTTTACAGGCGTGAGTCACTGAAGCCATCACTTTTTAATAAAACCCCTTCACCATCATTTTTTGCCTGTGTAAAGCTCATCTGCCGATATACCAAATATAAAAGTTGGGGTATAGGAACTATATTTTTCTGGAAGTTGGGGCATAGGAGCTATATTATTAGTGTTGGAGAGAGAAGGGAAAAAAAGGAAGAAGAGAAAATTCACAGAATCACCTAAAGATGAAATGTATTTAAATTGAATTATATCCTCTTCCCAGCATAGTCTCTGACTCATAGTAGGTATTTATCAAGTGTTAAGATTCTACCTCTGACTTAAAGAATAGCTTCTATTAAAGTTTTATTTGGAAAATTTCTAAGATATCAACCATTTTTATAGTCCTGAGAACTGTACATAAATAATATTTCAGTACCTTCCTTATAACTATATTTATTTCTTACCTAAAAATATGATTTTTAAAATATGACTTATGGATTTGCTTGAAGGTAGATGGTTATATTCCAATGGATGTTTGTACATTACAGGGCCCCTGTATCTATAAAGAGGAACTACCCTTGGATTAAGTTATTTTGAGGAGCATTGAAGGCAGGAATTTAGGTTTATAGGAAGGACTCACTTAGCTCCCTGTGGGCTCCTCTATCAGAGACCCTACAGTAGAGGAGATAGAACATCCTGACCTTGAGACAGTAGAATCTTATTCAGAGTGAAGTCTGAATCAGAAAGAATCCTGGAGAGAAGAAAGGCAGATGGGCTGTACAGGCCTCTCATCCTGTCCTGACCCTTAAGAAGATGCCCTTGGTTCTTTCCACAGTGACAACTACTTGAGCTTTGTTCAGTCTGCAGATCTTCCATTCCAATGAGCAGGGACAAGGCGATTGCCTGCTATCTCAGTCTTTATCAGAAGGGGGCCTTGAGAAAGACTTCTTGTGAAGTGATACAGACCATCGTTTGGAGGTGCTCTTAACCTTTTTCCAAAATGACATGGCTTTTTGTCTCAGGGGTACTGAAGCAGGACTCAGCATGTCAGCAACAGGCTCAGAAGAGAGATGAGTTTTCAGTGGGACAGAGTCAGGGCATCTGAGCCAGGGAAAGTGATGAATTGTACAATAAAGCCCTTTTGAATCTGCTCTCCTCTGGCTTATTTCCCCTAGGGCATGTGAGTACACTGTGGATCTGTTTATTTTTCTTATTTATTTTCTGCATTGAGTAATACAATTTTTGAGACTCCTATGAAGAGGGTATCTAATGTAGATGACTCTGTAAGTACAATATTATGATCTGGAGTGTGAAGATTGTCCTTCTGATGGCTTGAGTCTGAAATCAGTGATTCAACAGTTCTAACTGTTGGCATCCCAACCCTGGGAAATGGGTGGTGGTGAAAGCCATTGTACCAGTGAGTGAGCTCTGGGAATGCATCTGCTCTCTTCACGAATTCCAAAAAAAATAGACTGCCAGGGACAGCTGATGGCACTCCTAGGCATGCTTAGGCCCAGGCTGCCTTCTGTCAAAAACTCATGCCATTTCAAAAGACTGCAGTTTTAAAAAAAACTTTTAAAACATTGTCTCTGGAAGAACTTGAGTGTCCCTAGACTCACCTCTGCTCTCCTTGTCTCAAAGGGTAGTGTCATAACCTGGTTAAATATATTTTTAAAACCTTTGAGATTCAAAAAAATATTTTCTAAAGGACTATTATGCCCCCAGGGTTACTGAATGGGAAGCAATATAGCGGAGTACCTTATGTATTGAGAGGGTTTCAGGCCTATTGAAGCATTGTCTGAGGGCAGCAGATGGTCTCCACCTCTGAAGCCATGAAGAAGACAGATCCAATTGCATTCGGCATAAGTAGTCAACAACTTAGTGTTTTAGAATATTCTAGAAGGATGCCAAATTAGCCACCCCTGGGACCATTCCTGGGTTTACTAATATCACAGCTTCTCCCAGAGAGTACTTCTATCATGTCTCTGAGGGAAGCACTAGTGTGTGAGCCCCTCAGAGGCCTAGACTTGAGACCCTCTCAGCAGTATGGAGGTCCTAGAAGAGTGACAGCAGTCCATGGTTCACTGCCTCCTTAATAAGTGTCTCTGTTTACCTGCAGGTAAACGATCTTTTTAAATTAACCTGACCCTCTGTTCCCCTTTCCCCCATTCTCAGTGACCCATAGAAGGTGACCTCTGAGAAGGAAAGTGTAGCTCTGACTTGAGAGCTAGGTCTGAGAGCTAGGTCTCTCACATGTTTTGGGAGGAGGAGTAGAGGTTTGCAAAAGGAAAGGGAAGGAGACAGCAGAGGGAGCGGATTAGGTATCTAAGAAGAGGATTTGACTTAGAAGAGGTTTGACTCATCCATCAAAAGAGCAGTCATAACTGTCTGAAAAAGCCATTGGGATATCAGTACGGTAATATATCTTGACAGCCCAGGGAAGTAAAGAACAACCCCAGAAACCAATTGATTTAGGCATCCCCCTGAGCAATCTGTTCACGTCCTCATGAAGAAGTGAGGAGAAGCCTTCTGAATCTGCAGGGCCCCCAGGGCAATGGAAATGGAAGAATTTGTCACAGTCTAGTTGATTTGGAAACCTCCACTGGGTTCATTTGAAGCTTCTCAGCCCTGCTCACTGTTTATTTCACTGTTTTCTGTTTTCCCTTCCAAATGACTGAGCACTCTTTAAGCTCAGAAAACATCTGAGTTATAATCTATGCATTTTCCTCTATCAGCCAGATATTTATTTTTATCAGCAACTATTTACATATAAATGAACATGAAAAGTGATGACATATAAATGAATATGAAAAGTGATTAATGTGAAACCAAGGTGCAGACTTGAAGTTAACTTTGTTAGATGGAGATTCCCAAAGAAGAGACCTAAGAAGACCCTTTCCGTAATGTTCTGATTCCAGCTTAACTGATTGAGCCCCTCTAGGACAGCCAGTGAGCAAGACCAAGAGTAAGTGTTTGGGAAAATAGGGCTGACCACATTTAAGTATCTGGGACTGAACATTCAGCAGGAAAAAATGAGTAGGATATTGTTTGGACCTCCTGGACTGGCCCTCTGATTTTCTTATTGTTTCTCTATAGCTTATCATCTCTGTCTTTTTATTCTACTTTCTGGGAGACTTTCTCAACCTTTTTAAAAAATAGTTTTTAAAATTTATTTTTACAGAGATGGGGGCAGGGGGTCTTGCTATGTTGCTCAAGCTGGTCTCGATTTCCCAGCCTTAAGCCATTCTCCTGCCTTGGCCTCCCAAAGTACTGGGATTACAGATATGAGCCACTGCACCCAGCTGAGACTTTCTCAACTTTATATGCCAACCAGATGTATCTGTTTCTCCCTTTAGTTTGTCAACTTTGCTTCATATATTAAAAAATTCTGTTATTGGGTATATTTGTATTTAGGATTTTTATGTCCTTTTGAAATAGTCCTCTTTTTTTTGAGACAGAGTCTCGCTCTGTCACCAGATGGGAATGCAGTGGCTCAATCTTAGCTCGCTGCAACCTCTGACTCCCTGGTTCAAGCGATTCTCCTGCCTTAGCTTCCTGAGTAGCTGGGATTACAGCCATGCGCCACCACGCCCAGCTAATTTTTGTATTTTTAGTAGAGACGGGGTTTCACCATGTTAGCCAGGATGGTCTCGATCTCCTGACATTGTGATCCACCCGCCTTGGCCTCCTAAAGTGCTGGGATTACAGGCGTGAGCCACTGCGCCCTGCCAAAATGGTCCTCTTTATCTCTGTTAATACTCCTTGTCTTGAAATCTTTGTCTGATTTTAATACGGTGACACCAGTTTTCTTTATTTTTCCCTGGTTTTTAGGATTTTTAACAAACTTTTTTTCTGGTTTTATTAAACTTGAAATAGAATGATTCTTACAGCATCTGTAAAGCCAGCAGATGTTGTTCGAGCACAGATTTTAAAAGCCCTATTAAGGGGAAAAAACACACTCAGAGCAGTTGCTTATTTTTCTGTTCTCTCACTGAACAACAATCGACACAGAAGACTTCTGTGACCAAATGTGTGGGGACTTTTCCCCACACACCAAGCAAGCAATCAGTTTTGCAGCAGACATAAGCTGAGTATCCTCCAATTCAATTCTGACCATGTCTACCTGGAGAGTGTCAGAACCTATAGATTGAGGGCTCTCCCAGTCCCACAAGACTGCCACCCGACTTCCAGTGGCATTCACAAGCCCCAGGCTGTTTTTCCTGTGATTCTGACCTGCTGGCTATAAATCAGGAATTCCACAACCCCCTCCTTGGGTTCAATTAATATGCTAGAGTAGATCCTAGAATAGGAGAAACATGTTTACCTGTCTATTATGAAGGATATTATGCCAAATACAGATGCAGAGATGCATAGGGCGAGGCATGTGAGAAGGGGTATGCACCTTCCATGCCCTCCCTGGGCACACCACCCTCCAGGAACCTTACACGTTCAGCTCTCCAGAAGCTCTCCAAACTCTGCCCGCTTGGGCCTTTTATGGAGACTTAATTGGGTAGGCGTGATTAACAACCATGTAGAAATGTGATTGGACAAAAAGGGTATGATCTAATATGAATAGACTGAGGGGGGAAACCCAGCAAGTCTTGTCTGTTCAGGTTCTAATTTTGTTTTTTTTTTTTTGAGATGGAGTCTCACTCTGTCACCCAGGCTGGAGTGCGGTGGTGTGATCTCAGCTGACTGCAACCTCTGTCTCCCGGGTTCGAGCGATTCTCCTGTCAGCCTCCCGAGTAGCTGGGACCACAGTCACATGCCACCATTCCCAGCTAATTTTTGTATTTTTAGTAGAGACGGGGTCTCGCCATGTTGGCCAGGCTGGTCTTGAACTCCTGACCTCAGGTTATCCGCCCACCTCAGCCCCCGAAAGTGCTGGGATTACAGGTGTGAGCCACTGCGCCTGGCCCCCTGTTCAGATTCTTCTTGACCTCTCTGTGCAGCATTCATTCCTCCTGGGGGCAGGATCCTTTCTGAAATGAGGGTCTTTTGGCCAACATAAGACAAGGTAGGTCAGAGCTCCAAGACAGAAAGGCACCGGGGTGGGGGTGCAGAATACTAGCATATGTTTTTGGTTTCTAAGGTCTGCCTTGGGGAGAAAGAGGAGCAGGTGAAAGGGGGGCAGGAGAAGGTCAAGGAGAGAGACTCTGTTTTCTGAGGCCTGCTCTTGAAGCTTTAAGGTGCCCCAACAGTATAACAAGCGCAATGGAAGTTCCTGGCTGATAACGCCCATAGTGCTTGTTACACTGTTGGGGCACTTAAAGCCTCAAGAGCAGGCCTCAGAAAACAGAATCTCTCTCTTTGACCAATATAACCAGTTATTATGTAACTCCCACAGAGCTTGTTTATATCACACCTATAAAGACATTTTTCATTACTATTTTTAATAGCTTTATTAAGATATCATTGTCATTTGGTAAACTATATATTATTAAAATATACAATTTAATAAGTTTTGAAATATGTACACCAGGAAACCATCACCACAATCAAAATAATAAACTTAATCATCACCCCCAACAGTTTTCTTGCACCCCATTATAATCCTCCCACCTGCCCTCCCCATCTCCCCCACCTCACCCCCAGGTGACCACTGATTTGTTTTTTGCCACTATAGATTCATTTATATTTTCTAGAATTAGTTTTTTGTTTTTTTTGAAAGGGAGTCTCCCTCTGTCGCCAGGTGGGAGTGCAGTGGCGCGATCTCAGCTCTCTGCAACCTCTGCCTCCTGGGTTCAAGCGATTCCCCTGCCTCAGCCTCCTGAGTAGCTGGGACTACAGGCATGTGCCATCACATCCAGCTAATGTGTTTGTGTGTGTGTGTGTGTGTGTGTGTGTGTGTGTGTGTGTGTTTTAGTAGAGACGGGGTTTCACCGTGTTGGCCAGGATGGTTTCCATCTCCTGACCTCATGATCCGCCTGCCTCAGCCTCCCAAAGTGTTGGGATTACAGGCGTGAGCCACTGTGCCCGGCCTATTTTCTAGAATTATATATAAATGGAGTCATACAGTGTGTACTCTATTTGTCATTTTGGATGATTTTTAGAGTTCTATCATCAAGTTCGCTGATTATTTCTTCTACAGTATCAAATCTACTATTAGTCCCATCCAACACATTTTTCATTTTAGATTTTGTATTTTTCAGTTTTCAG
The DNA here is from genome assembly GCF_000001405.40 of Homo sapiens. NCBI lineage: Eukaryota > Metazoa > Chordata > Mammalia > Primates > Hominidae > Homo > Homo sapiens. The sequence continues at coordinate 42,748,541 of NC_000002.12, forward strand.
ATTTCCAATTAGTTATACTTCTAAAATTGCCCACCTTGTCACCCATTATATTCGTCTTTTTCTATAGATTCTTTAGCGTATTTATAGTAAATATTTTAAGTCCATACCTGCTAATTCTAACATCTGAATTATCCATTAATCTAGGGACTGTTTTTTCTTTTGATTACGGGTTGCATTTTCTTGTTTCTCACTGCGCCCAGCCAGTCCAATCATATTTAAATGCATACTGGGTCAGTGTGAATGATGAGTTATAAAGACTCAGGATTCTGTTATTTTCCTTTGCAGAGTGGTAAGTTTTGTTCTAGCAAGGAGTTACATTGGTGGATCACTTCGATTCTGTGGAGGCTTGGTTTGAAGCTTTATTAAGCCTCACATATTTCAATTTTGCCCTTAGTCCGATGGGATTTCAATGGAAAGACCAAGTTGTTTACCAGGCCCCTTTAACTTCACAGAACTTGAACTCCAAATTCTGTCTTCTCAGCACTGGACAGCTCTTGAAGTCACTGCTCGGCTCCTTGAGCCTTCTAGCTGATGTTTTCCATCGGGCTCCTGGGAATCTCACCCTGTACTTGCATAGTTCAGAAATAAGCAAGTAATGTGAGGGGAGTTTGTATGTAGATTTGAGGGCTCCCCCTTCTGTGTCTCCTTCCTCTGCAGGATCTCCTCCCTCAGTTTCCAGCTGCATTGGCTGCCTCAAGCTCTGACCTCTGGTTCCTCAGCCTAGTAGACTGTAGCTTTCTGCCTGAGCTATATTCATCTCATACTGCATGAATGTGCTCATGGGGAAAGACACTTAAGAGTGGCTCTCACTTTGTCTCACTTTTTCTTACTTTGTCTCTCTTTTTTCTAGGTTCATAACCCCTCCAATTTTTACCTGATTTTGGTTGCTCTCTAGTACTTTCAAACAGTTGTTCTTTTTTAAAAAAATTATTTTATTGTATTTTTGAGACAGAGTCTTGCTCTGTCACCCGTGCTGGAGTGCAGTGGCATGATCTCGGCTCACTGCAACCTCCGCCTCCTGGGTTCAAGCAGTTCTCCTGCCTCAGCCTCCCAAGTAGCTGGAATTTCGGGTGGCCACCACCATGCCTGGCTAATTTTTGTAGTTTTAGGAGAGACAGGGTTTTGTCGTGTTGGCCAGGCTGGTCTTGAACTCCTGACCTCAAGTGATCCTCCCACCTCAGCCTCCCAAAGTGCTGGGATTACAGGCGTGAGTCACCACACCTGGCCTCAAACAGTTGTTCTTTATATTTCGTCCAGAGTTTATCACTGTTACTGGCTGGAGGGTTAGTCAAATTAGCCTACCACGATAGGAAGCAGAGCTCCTCAGTCCTTCTATGTGCTTCCCCTCCTGTTTCTCTCAGTTAAGAAAAAACAACATACTATGTATGTTTCATAGATACTGTATTTTTTCTTCCCTGAGGATATTAATGATAGTGGCTTTTTATTTTTATTTTATTTATTTATTTTTTTGAGACGGAGTCTCACTCTGTCGCCAGGCTGGAGTGCAGTGGCACAATCTCGGCTCACTGCAACCTCCGCCTCCTGGGTTCAAGCGATTCTCCTGCCTCAGCCTCCTGAGTAGCTGGGATACAGGTGCGCCCCATAACACCTGGCTAATTTTTGTATTTTTAGTAGAGACGGGGTTTCACTCTGTTGGCCAGGCTGGTCTTGATCTCTTGAACTTGTGATCCACCTGCCTTTGCCTCCCAAAGTGCTGGAATTACAGGTGTGAGCCACCACGCCTGGCCATGTTTTTTGTTGTTTAAGTATTCTTCTCTGTTTCTTCTCTCTGTTTCTTCCAATTTGTACTCTTCTGTTGATTATGTGTTATTTGGTCTCTAACACCTGCTGTTAGAGGGTCTTTGTTTTTTTTTTCCCTGGTGACCTTTGTTGTCAAACAATGTTTAAAAGTAGGAGACTAAAAATCAGAGTGAAAGCTCTGTGCTTGTTCTTGGCAGAACCTGTAGTGCAGTTCACTGTAGGGTGATCAGGTTGGCCTGGTGTTTGGACGATAAATGCCAGTTTCTTTCGATATTTTCTCATGGGCTTGTCAGATTCCCCAGAGAAGTTTCTTCCTATCTGTTCCCCAGAGGATAAATGTTTGTTACCTGCATTCTGAGAGCTTCATGGGAAGAAGGCTGGGGGCTCACCATTCAGTAGACATAGGTTCACTTGATCTCTCTCTGTTATAATTGTAGCCTTGTCCTTAGCTGTGCATGGTGCCTCGTGTCCCCTAGGCCTGAAACGGTTTTGTCCTCGTCAGAGAATAAATATCTCGACTGGTGGGACGTAGACAGTTGCCTGGTGGTATGGAGTTGGGAGAGCTTCTTGGGATCCAGCTGCTTCTCAAAGAGCCTTTAACTCCTCTTCCTTGCTTCAGTCCCCTCCCCTACTTCCAGAGGTACCTGGTGTCATTTCATGAGCCTTTGGGGTTCTCTAGACAAATTGGGTACTCAGCTTTCCACACTGAACCTTCAAGTCTGTCTGTCTTGAGTGCATAGTCTGTTATCACTCATTTATCTGCTTTCCAGCTTCTAAAATTCTGTGGTTTCTTCTCTGATTTTCAGAAGGAAAGGAAACTAACTCAGAAGCCACCAGCTAGCTGGCTGGATTGCTTTCATTGGATTGGTTGATTTAAGTGCAGAATCTCCAAGTCCATGGACTTCAAGTACTTCTGAGTAGTCAAACCATTAGGGAAAATTTTGCAAAAAACAAACAAACAAAAAAATAAGTGCCTGTCAGTCAGGGCGAGTACGTACCAAAGTGGCAAATATAGGTTAATACATTTGAGAATAAATAAACAAAAAGAGAAATGATTTGGGCTACATCATGGTCTAGGAAGGAGACTGAGAATTGATGTAGACATTTTCCTGGGGCTCTCTGCCTGTGCTACTGTGCTGAGTCTCTGTATCTGGCTCTTGTTCCTGCTCCAAGGAAATGCAGAGGATCTGGGGAAGCTCTGAGCAGAGGAGAGTGAAGTGATAACCTTGTAAGGGCAGGTGGTAAGTACTGGGATTCTTCAGCCCAGAATACAGAGAGGTGGCCTGTCTCAATTGAAAACCGTGGCCAGGGTGGAGAAGGCAGAGTGGAGCCTGGGCACCAGAACCTGAGATGCTAGGAGGAGAGGGTTGTTTCTGAAACCGCAGCAGGCAAGTTTGGCACAAATAAAAGCACAATTTACCATGGCAGGCTAGAAACTTGGGAAACTATTAAAAGCAGCTCTTTTGATAGGTGGTTTAATTCCATAAGGGTTTAGACAGATGAATGACAGAGCTCCTGCTCCACTAAATACAAAAAGAGAGAGTGGCTCCTAGGAGACGCTGACACTTACATAACCTTCCATTTAGACACTGAGGAGGTCAGGATGCTCTTACTGGGCTGTTAGCAGAACACTGGGCTGGATGGAGAATGAGCAGCTTGGTGTAGTAGGAAAAACTTGACACAAATTAAGGTCTACATTCAAATCTTGACTCCTCAGCTTACTTACTGTGACCTTGAGCAAGTTCTTAACCTTTCTGACACTCCCAAGATTCTGCTGAAGGTTAAATAAGGTAGTTACATAACCTACAGTATGTTCAATAAAGCAAGGTTAGCATGATTCCTAAACTGAATTTATCTGGGCCTTTATTTAACACATACTTGCTGAGCTCATATCAAATACCAAGCTGGGTACAGGTATCTTCCCTATCCTAGAAAAGCTCATGAAGTGAAGACACAGCTCTGCTCCATCCTGCAGCCCTTCCTTGGCATGCTCTGAGGCTGTGAAGGTGAGCATTGCTGGGTCCTTTCCTGGCAGCAGGGTGATGTGCCTGGGGCAGAGAATATCTGAGCATCTTATCCCTTCTCAGCAAACAACCCCACTTCCCTCCTAGCCACTTTCCTAATAACTAAGTAAAAAGCTTTCACAACTTTCTAATACAACACGGTGGTGATGTGGTTTGCAGGCCACTTCTGCTTTTTCATTTACTTGTCTCTGCTGTAGTCTCCAGATGGTCAGAGTTGAAGGTTTTTGGGGAAGTGGAGGGGGTGGGAGTGAGGGGCATAGGAATAGTTCCTGACACTGTGGGAGAGTGAAGTTCACTCCCCTCCTACAAGAAATGTGTTCATAGCCTCTGGGTGCCCACATCATTATGATTAATTATGATGAGCTCAGATGAGATCGTGCCTCCTCCCAGCCAACTGTGTTCCCTATTCCTTAGTATCCGTCAGAAAAGTTCCATGAGTCTCTTCTCTTGCCTGGTGTACTGTAGCACCTCTCCAGTGACCACTAAACCCGCCTATTCAAAACCCAGCTTTTAAGATCTTTCCGTCCTTCAGTATCAATTATATATTTTATTGGCCCTAATTAAACTTTCCCTTTGATCCAGTGTTAAACTACATTGTGAGCCCTTTTTTTTTTTTTCAGACAGGGTCTTGCTCTGTCGCCTGGGCTGGAGTGCCGTGGTGCGACCACAGCTCACTGCAGCCTTGGCTTTGTGAGCTCAAGCAGTCCTCCCCCCTCAGCCTCCTGAAGTAGCTGGGACTACAGGCATGCACCACCACACCTGGCTAACTTTTTATTTTTATTTTGGTAGAGACAGAGTGATGCTATGTCGTCCAGACTGTCTTGAACTTCTGGCCTCAAGCCATCCACCGGCCTTGGCCTCTCAAAGTGCTGGGATTATGGGCATGAGCCACCACACCTGGCCTAGTCATGAGATTTTCTTTGACCTACTGCTGAGCCTCCTTTCCCTGAAGGTTGTGATGTTGGGAGGGGTGAGTCCATCCTCCCTTTCATCTTGCCTCCACCATCGGGACTTGTTTAACCTTCACACTGTTACTTCCCTTTTCTAGAACTCACGTGCTGTGTGTCAGACTGAGCTTTCCCTGATTCATTCTACAATCCAAGACTTGCTGCACTGTCCTGCTGATGTTCACAGCCGTGCCTGGGAAGAAGGCAGCCCCACTCCCAGTACATTTCAGTGGGAGACCTCTGCGTGCATCCATGGAGACGCAATGGGGCGGGGAAGGAACTGTGGGAGTGCACGTTCCAAATCCTGTGTCTCCACGTGTGGATCAGCAGCACCTCGCTTTCTTGTCAGAGACCTCGCTGTTACGGAGCGAGACCTGCTGAGAATTGAGGGGCTGAGGGAACCCCTCCACCTCCTCCCTTCTGCAGCGCCCTGCGCCCCACCCAGCAACAGCGGCCACTTGGCAGTGGGGCTGCTGCAAGCTCAGAGCCGCTGCCACCCTGCATGTGTCCGCTCAGCTCGGTCTTATGCTGTATAGTTACTAAATATGTACAGGAGGGCCATGGCATCTTTCTGAATGGATTTTTCTTAAGAAATGCGCCAGTGTTTATGAGGTTCAAGGTATTTCCCTGTCCTTGCTGTTACCGTCACTCAGCTTTTTCTCGATAGGCTTCATCCTTGTTTTTTTGAAATGGGGGAATTTGCTGTTTACCCTCTGCATTCCTATATGTGACCCTCCCTCCTACTCCTCCAAGGAACAGAATTACCGAGGTTCTGACAAAAGATAAGCCTGTAAACTCATCATCTGTGTTTTGTGGTTGGAGAGAAACTGGTGTTCTGCCCGGCTCTGCTTGGTCACAGACAGCTCCAGCAAGAGCAGTTGTTAAAAGTGCCAAGCGTGTGTATCACTGTGACAAGCCGTTTGCTTACTGCCCTGTTCCCTTGCAGCCAAACCAGCTGATGAAGAACTGCTGCCAGGTGGGTCCTACAGCAGGTCACAAATGACCTAGTTTCATTTTAAGCAGACAGACTCTGTTTGGCCTAGAGGTGTGGAGTGAGAGAACTGTGTTTGTGGGTATGAGTCTGTGTGGCCAACCCCATGACCCCCACCCCTCCAGCCCAACATCTTGTGAGCACATGTGACCTAGGCCCCGGGGGACCTGCCTGCTCCTTTGGCTTGGGCTCTTCGTGTTTCCCACCTGCCCTCGGCACGAGCCCTTGGTGGCATCACAGTTGGCCACTCAGCTGTGCTGAGTAGCTGTGCTACTTGTGCTGGCAGCTGCAAGGATAGGAATAGCTCAGCGCCCGATGAGCTCCCTGAGCAGATGTGAGGCTGGCAACTCCCCTGCCCTCTGTTTGCAGGCACAGGGTCACAGTCCCAAGAAAGACAACTGGAGTCTGATCTCCCAGCCATCTCTGGGGTTACTAGGAGGCAGCTGGATGGCAGATACGAGAGGCCCAAATAGCCAAGCTGTTGCAAGACAGAGTGGCTACAATTGAATTGACACCCTGGGAAGCACGAGGTAACTTGGTAAGGATAATGATGCTGTAGATGTCTGTGTCCTCGGAGGCTGAGCTCCGCTTGGCAGAGAGAGCGTGCTGTGTGAGGTGGAGGGCGGTTTTGCAGACATCTCAGCTTCTTTTCTGAGGAGGAGTTGGTTCTCATCTTAGGCTTCTGCAAGGGCGAGCATGGGATGTCTCCACCACCACCCACTCTTGGAGCTGTGCTGGGTCTTGGCTTGGGGCGCTGAGGGTGGGGCCTGTGTCAGAAGCATTTGGTGAGAGGGGTGGAGGTGGCAGGCAGGGGTTCTCCTCAGGGTTCCCACTGAGGGGTCCCTTCAGCAAAGACCTGGGAGGAGGTGCCGCATCACGTGGATGTTTCTTCCCTAAAGAAAAAGACACAGGAAAGCTGTCTGTCTGTACCCTGCTCTGGATTTATTGTCGTACTTGGACCCAGAAGGGGAAATGATTCCCTCACCCTTTCACTTTCTCTCTGAACCCCTACTAAGTGGTGACTGCAGATTCTGGAAACAATTAGCTGCCCGTGACTCAGCTGCCAGCTTCATTTTCTCTGCCTTTTGGGAGAGGCCCTCTCACCCAGGCCCAAGAGATTTGGAGACAGGAGTCAGGCCAGGTCTGAAGCAGGAGAAGGGAGGCCCCTCCTATCTACCCAGTTGACATTTGGCTTTGGGAAAAGCGCAGCTTGTTCGAGCCACGTGTGCCAAGCAGGCTTTTCCTTCCTCTTGTAAGTAAAGCTCGTGGTTCTGTAGTCCAGTCATCCTAGGAGGGTGATGTTGACTGAGACTTCACGCTCTCCCTTTGTCTCTGGAAACTGCCCCCTCGTTCTGACAGAATCCCCCAGGCAATGGAGGAAGGGTGCCGAGGCGCCTCTAGTCTGTGCCTTTGCCGTTGGAAGCATTTGGTGCTGAGAGGGTTTCCCAGCCACCCGCTCCCTTTCTGGGGCCATGGTGTCCCTGCTGTGTGTCAGTGGCATGTCACTGTGGTTCAGTGAGCACATGGGTGGACGTGCAGAGACTGTCTGCGCAGCCCCCAGCAGACATGCCCCTGGGGTGAGGACACAGGCTCTGCAGGCTATCTCCCCCTCTGGCTCAGTCATCGCCTGCCCACCCTTCACTTCTTAAAGGTGCGCAAGAGAGGAGGGCCGACTGGAGGGTGTCGCCGGAAGGTTTCAGCCTGCCCTTCACAATTCCCCTTGTGCACAGCCCAGTTTCCATCTCTCAGGGCCCACCCAGGAAAATGGATTTCAAGTGGGGGTTTTCATCCAGAGATTTGTTTAACACAAAACAAGAAAAGCTGAGAGGCAAAACAGGGGAGTGAGGGGCAACCCAGAGGTGGGGAACAACAACAGCAAGCCGCCCCCATCCTGAGACTGGCTGGGCACCAGGGGAGGACGCGTCACCAGAGCCTGGGGCCAAGGCCACTGGGGGACCTGCCACACTGTGGACCTGTCTGGTGGGGGCTGGAGCCTCGAGAAGCCATGATTCTTGTCAGAAACATTTCCCCAGGCAGAGAGAGGGGGCCCCAGCCTCTCCCCTCCTCTTGGCCTCCAGAGTCCTGCAGGTGCCTCACAGTAGTGAAACCCAGTTGGAAGCAGCTGCCCTGGGAGCCTGGGACAGGCGACCCACCGGGTCAGTCCCCTGCCACTCAGAGCAGAGCAGGGGGCTGAGGGCAAGCAGGTGGGGCTGTGCGTGGCCTCAGTGCACTCGGTGTCATGTCTGAGCCTGGTGTTTATGCCCCACTGCTGTCCTAAGTCCCTGGCGAGGGGAGGTGGAGGAGCTGCCCCGTGGGTGTTTGGAGATTCTGTTTTACTCTGCCTAGAGAGGAAACGGCTTTGGGGAGGGAGGGGGAAGCCTTTATTCTTTACTGTTGTCCCTGTTTTCCTTTGGGGGAATTTACTCAGTTAGCAGCCCCTCCTCACCATTCCCCCCAGGAAGGCCATGTCCCAGTTTTCTGTCCACCCCTCCTGTTCCTCTGCACTATGTCTCTGATTTTCCCTGCCAGGGAAGCTAACCCAGAGCACGCACCTGTGCTCATGAGTGTTTCCGCAGGATAATTCGTTCTGAGCATGATACCACAGTGTGGATTGTCTGTCTGTAAGGAGATGCCATCTACTAACCAATTTGTATTGTGTTTCCAATAAATTCCTGGAAATTTTGCCTGGTTTTATGCTGTTCTTTACTAGGATGATGGCTCAGGTGTAAGACTGTGCACGCACCCCTAGGCCCAGCCTCAGGTGGTCCTTGTTTCAGAACCTTGAGCTCCGAGGGCCCCGGGGAGGTAATAGGCCAGGCCAGTTGGTCTGCTGTGCCCCAGCTGCACTGAGACTCTCAGAGGCCTTTCCCCAGGGTCTGCATCTTCTTCTGCTGTCTCATAAGCCACATCCTGGGGACATGGAAGTTTCACGAGGCGAGGTCACCCCAGTAGGAGGCCTTTGACCCTGTGCCCCCAGGCCTGGAGGTATGAGGTGTAATAGGCAGCCTTTTTCCCGTGAACTACCCTGCAGTGTGACTTGTGCCCTGCTGTGGCCAGTGCTGGGTTGTGGGGATGGGTGCTGGGGTATTCAGGTGGTGCACTGAGGAAGGCTGCTGTGCCCCAACATGGGGTTTGCTGTTTGGCTGGCTGTTTGTGTGGACTCTGTCTCAGCTGCTGTGCCAAGGTCATTATAGGGGAAAGTGAAGCTTGGCTCCCTTGGGACCCCTCCAGCCTGTGTTTGTGAAGTACACATGTTTGTGACTCTTGTTTGCTGGGCTTTCTGAAAGATTTTCTTAAAAGGAGTCACTAAGCTTATTTTTTTCTTTTCCTTTTTCTCAGACATGGTCTTGCTCTGTCACCCAGACTGGAGTGCAATGGCGCGATCTCGACTCACTGCAACCTCCACCTTCTGGGTTTAAGCGATTCTCGTGTCTCAGCCTCCCAAGTAGCTGGGGCTATAGGCGCACGCCACCATGCCCGGCTAATTTTTGTATTTTTAGTGGAGACGGGGTTTCACCATGTTGGCCAGGCTGGTCTCGAACTCCTGACCTCAGGTGATTTGCCCTCCTTGGCCTCCCAAAGTGCTGGGATTACAGGCATGAGCCACTGCACCCAGCCTTCTTAGTGTTTTTATTGTTTGTTTTTTTGTTTTTTGTTTTAAATTAAGGCTTTTAATGCGAACTCAAATATCACCTCCCTCTTTCTGGAAGCTCCTCTGTAGCTTAGAGTGTTGCATGCCATACCTCTCAAGGGGGCCGACCTTAAGCTCCATACCAGGACTGGGTTTTTATCATCGGACTTCCTAGGAGGTTTCTTCTGCCCCTCCCTGGGTAGGTTTTACCCTCTGTTTATTCTGATTCTGCTCCTGGGTGCAGAGATTGCTGGAGGAACCACACCACCTACTCACGACCCCACAGCTTAACTCATCAGGGTGCTTAACTCACCAGGCCCCTTTGAGCCACTTGCTTAGTGACCCTTTTCTATGTTCTTCTTTGGGAGCTTGATTTTCTTATTTCCAGAACCAGCTGTTCCAATCCTTTGCCACTTTTTAAGTCCTTATCCCCTGAGAGCTGCGGCTTCTAAGAATCCCTTCAGCTTTATTCCCCTTGTCCCAAGACCTACTGAAATAGTGCCATTGCTCCAGCTCAAAGAGGCATCCTTCTATCTTCTGGGGACAGACCCTCCTGCCACCCATGAGCTGCATTCATCCTTCCACTCCCTTAGGGCCTTGCAATAGTGTCTTGACTCAGGCCAGACTGCCACTTACTAGCTGGATGACCTTGGGCAAATTATTCAACCTCTGTGTGCCTCAGTGTTTCCATCTGTAAAATGGGATAATAATGGAATCTCCCTCATCAGGACTAAAAAAATTAATATGTGTAAAATGCTTAGAATAAGGTCTGGTACATTCCAGTCCCCATCATCATTCCCCTCCTCCCCAGTATTTTTCTTTTCTCCCTTCTCCTCCTGTATTTAAAAATCTCTTCATCTAATCCACCAAATAACAGAACAGTCAAACCACCAAAACATCTGTCCTCTGCTTAGTTTCATCTAAAGCTATTATCTTCTCTCCTTTTACTGGCACATTTGTTGAAAGGGGAAGAGTTGTCTCCATTACTTCAAATCTCATTAATTCCTCAACCCATTATAGCACTTTATGGCTTCCATTCTGCCCCCACCCCCATCCACTCACTGAAATTGCTGTCAATAAAGTCACATTTAATGACCTTCTAATTGTTAAATCCAATGCTATTCTTAAGTCATCCTCTTTGAGCTTTCTTGAGCATTTGAAGATGTTGTAGCCATATGAATTTTCTTCATTCGTTACACTAATCCCTTTATTCTCTACCCAAAGCAATGCTAAGTAACATGCAGATGTCATTCATAGTCGTTTTTTCAGATTTTTTTTACAAAGATAATTTCAGATCTAGTAGTAAATCACCTGTGTGCCACTTCCCATTTTTCCTCCATCTCAGCAGTAAGTACTCTCTTTAATTTAGTGTTTATCATCCCATACATGATTTTATACAATTAATGCGTATGTATGAATCCATAAATGATAGCATGTTTTGCATATTATTAAATTTCATACAATGACAACCTATCACTTTTTGAAAAGCTTTTAAAAAATAGACCCAGACAGTGCATTGTTAATCCAGGTTGTCCATCCAGGGTGTTCATTGACCAGACAGTGTCAGACATGGACACTGGTTTTCAGATCAACTCTCTTCAATATGTAATTAGGAAACACTTTTGAAAATGCTCTGTTCTTGCAGGAGGCACTTTGCAGACTGTCTGGGTATTTTATGTTTGGCTTTTACCTTCATAAAAGATGGCTTGATTCTGTCCTTTTTAATGGGCAATCTCTTACTTGGGTGAAGATTGCCTTGACTTCTTTTCTTCTGCAGTCCTGCTTTTTTCCTAAAGATTTTTTTTTTTTTTCTGAGCATTTCACTGGGTTTTCCTACATGTGTCCCTTACTTGCAGGGATTTTTTTAAAGGATGTTTCTTGATTCTCTTCATTCTCACCAGATGACCACATTCTTTCCCATAGCCCTGGTGAGTGGAAGACCCTTGCTTCTATCTCCAGTCCGAAGTGTGCTACTGTACATGTTTGCCTGGGTGTCTTCCAAGCCCCTACAACTTGTTTTACCTCCAAACCTGCTCCACCACCTGCATCCTCAGTGTGTCCCCCACACAGCCTCCCCATTTGGACCCTCCGTGGTCTCTGCTGCTGCCTTTCTTCAGGCCTTTGCTTGGAATACAGACATAGGTCATCTCCCACGTCCCCTACCCTCATGCTCTTGCCAGAGTAACTGATGAAAATGCAAACCAATCATCATCTTCCACTTAACAACCTCGTGCACACACCCGTCTCCTGCCATACTGTCTGCAGGATCAACCCAGACTCCTGGGCTTGGCACCAGGGCCCTTCTGGATCTGGTCCTTCCTGCCTTTCCTGCCTGTCCCCTAGCTCTGTGGTAGGCCTCCTCCTCTCTTGCCTCAGTGGTCTCCTCCCCACACCCCTGCACACTGAGTCTTCTCACAGCTGCATGCGCTGGCCATGCCCTTCCAGTGCCAGGGATGCCATTCTTTTCTCTCCTTCCTCATCCTCTGAGATCCAGCTTATGTGCATGACTTACCTGACAGCCCAGGCAGAGTCAGCTCTTCAAGCCTCTGCTCTCAGGGTGCATCACCACCTAAAAGACCCTGGCCTGCACTGGGTTGCATTGCGCTGGTTCCATTTGCAGGTCCGTCTCTCCCCGGCTTGGCCGGGGGGAGCTCAAAGTGAGAGTACAGTTGTCTGCCTTTGTAGCTCAGTGTCTGGCCCACGGCAGGTGCCCAGTAAGCACTGGCAAGTTAATGACTGCTGGCCTGTCACCCAGCCCTGCCTGCTTGCCCCCTGCTCAGGAGTCCCTGGAGGAAGGTAATGCATGCCATCTGATCCTCTCTCAGGGGGGCAGCAGATTATGTTAGGAGAAAGAAGAGAAAAAAGGGTGGAAGATGCTGCCCAAAATTCACACTGGATAGTGCAGCCTGTCCCCGGGACCAAAATGCCATTTAGAACCCAAATGTAGGAAATGGGGTCTCCGCCTGCCCCCAGCTCCCATTATACCACCACGGGGTACTACTCCATCTCTAGGAAACCCTACACTTAAACACAGTTTTCTTTCTCTTCCCACTCCTCTTCCTTCTCCCTTCCCTGCTCCACATAATAACTGCCTTCCTCACCAAGTGCTCTGGGCATATAGTTACTCCCATCCCCAGCCCCTGGAGCTGGGCAAGGGCCAGGATTACTATTCCTATTCACAGATGGAGAACTAAGTCCAGAGAAGGGTACAGTGGGCTGGGGCCATAGTTCGGACCAGGGAGTCAGTCCTACCTCCATGTGGCGGCAGCCTGAAGCCTGCTTCGCGAGGGAGCACCCAACCCCGTTTAGAGAAGGCCTTGCAAATGATGGAAAGGCGGGGAAGGGTGGTGTGACCCAGACTGTCAGTGAGGAAGCAGTCCTCAGGGTCAAGATGGGGAGCAAGGAGAATCCAGGGCAGGTTAGGAGTGCGGGCCTGAACCCTGTGACCAGCATCTACCCAGGAACTCCTCAAGGGCAGCCTCTGCTCTCTCCCTTGATGGGAAAAGACAGGACTGCAGACATGCCTGCAAACCATGGGAGTATCTGTCCATTTCCCTTCCATCAGGTCATGAAGGAGTGAGGGCAGGTGCTGGGAGAGGTGCGAGGACTTGAGGGAGGAGTTGGTAGGAGAAGGGTCCAGGGAAGAGGAGATTGAGGAAATGGCCCGTGGAGCTGCCCTGAGCCCAGGTGGGCGCATTCAGGGGCAGAGATGGTACCAGAGGAAAGGTGCCTGGTGTTGAGCTGGCGGTAAGTGTTGGCGCCCCAGGTGGGGATCCACCCGAAGGAGCTGCTCAGTCCCCATCCTCCAGGAGTGTGCAGGCCTTTCCTAAAAGACCTGACTCAGGCTGAGGTGGCCCCGCCCAGGGTTGGACTCCCTTCCCTGTGGTGACAGAGGGCGTGGAGAAGCAGGGACCCCCTAGGCGTGGCTCCAGGGAGTAAAAGGGAGCAGTAGGAGTTGAGGGGGCAAGAGGGGCCCATGGGGAGCCGAGAGACAGAAGAGCAACCCTGGGGGGGGCCCAGGTGGCACCCCAGTACCTTGGTAGGTTTCTGAGTGCAGCAGGTAGATTTTCAGAACAGGGAAGTGGGCTGGAGATACACGGTGGAGGCGGGGTCTGGTACTCACCCGCTCATCCTTCCCGGGCCCACCTCCCTCTGCCTGATACTTTTTCTCTCGCTCCCTCCCCAGCATCCACATGGACCCTTGATGCCACCCTCCTGGTCTGTGTGTGACACTTCTGGGCTTTCACTTCTATTCCTGACGACTTTAGTAGCTGGGGTGCGTCCTGTCCATGATATGAGAGGGCTGGGCTAAGTGGATTGAGGGAACTGGGGAGGGATGTTAGGTCCCCAGCATCAAACTCTGTACCCGAGGGCCTGGAGCCCTGGTGGCCTGCCTGAGGCCTCACCCAAGAAAGCAGTTCTGCCTTTCAGGACATGCCGGGGCTTCCCAGAAGTTCTGGGAAGGACAGTGCCCCCTGGGATGGGGCTGTGGGATGGCTTCCCCACTCTCTCCCAAGTTTCCCTTCACCTTGGGGCGCTCACTTTGACGCCTACTGACAGTCCCAGGTTAGAATTAAAGACAGATATTTGGTCTTGCAAATAAATATATTTAAAAGGGAAGTTTATTAATATTGGAAGGGACAAACTGGAGAGCACAGAACATGCAGCTGTCCAATTTCTAAGGTGACTCTGCTGTGACAGTGATTGGCGTCTGTCCCCTGCAGCTGCGCAGGCCCCTGTCTGAGCTGGTGTGCCAACGGCACCTTGCCTGTCTCCTCCACCCGGCATCCTGCTCTCCCCTGCATTCTGGGAATGCCATCCTGGACACACTGAGAGGCCTAGGTGGGTTTCTCTCCCTGCCACCCACCTGAGTCCTGCCAGTGCTTTGGCCTGGCCCCTGGTCTGCCGCCATCCCTTGTCCAGTTGGTTGAGGCACCGTGTGCTGGCCTTGTCCCTCCAGGCCAGAGCGCGGCAGCCCTTACCCCCACAGCGCTGCAGCCCTGCAGCTGGCCCTCAGCCCTGGGAGGAGCCTTCCTTTTCCAGAGAGACCTCGCCCTGCACTTTCAGCTTCCCTATGGCCTCCGCCTTCCTAGAGGCCTCCCGGTAGCGCCACTGCCTGGAGGGTTGGTAGGAGCTCTCGTCGCTCACTGGGCCCTGCCGGCCCCGCGTGAGGCCCAGCAAGGCCCGGCTCTGGTGGAGGAAGTTGGGGCTAGAGAAGCAGTAGAGCACGGGGTCCAGGACACTGTTGAGGTAGGTGAAGGCCAGGGAGCCATGGAAGAGCTGTGTGCAGAGGTCCAGGGATCGGCAGGCGGACAGCCAGAAAGCCACCATGGAAGCCATGCCAAAGATGATGCTGGGCAAGAAGCAGATGGTGTAGACGGCCACCACCATGGCCAGCACACGCATGGCCCTCTGCGGGCCTGCCTGCCCGCCCAGACCACGGTTCCGGATGGTGAGCCCAATGCTCACAATAGCAAAGAGGATGAGCGCCAGTGGCAGGAAGAACTCCAGCAGGTACAGTGCCTGGTGCCAGCGGAGCGAGGCCGAGGGCTTCGTGCCCACCCTGTAGCTGAGGCAGGAGGGGCCGGAGAAGGTGCTCAGGAGCAGGTGCCCGTTGAGGAGCAGGATGCCCACCCAGAGTCCCCCGGCCACCCGGGCAGCTGCCCCCACGGAAGCACGGCTCAGCACGTGGTGGGGCTGCACCACCTTCAGGTAGCGGTTGAGTGCGATGGCTGTGAGGAAGACAACGCTGGCCGTGCGGTTGGTGGACAGCATGAAGAGGTTGACTTTGCAGGCAGCAGCCCCAAAGCGCCAGGTCTCATGGAGGAGGTAGTAGTCCACGCGGAGGGGCAGGTTGCTGATCAGGAGGAAGTCAGCGGCCACCAGGCTGACCAGGAACACCGTGTTGGAGGTCCAGGGCCGCGTGTGGATGCAGAAGATGAAGAGGGCCAAACTGTTCCCCACCAGGCCCAGGACAAACTCCAGGGCCAGGATTGGTGCCAGGAAGGCAGACACCAGCGAGGAAGAGGTGGGGTGGCAGGGCCCTCCAGAGGACCCCCCCACAGTGGTAAAGGCAGAGGGAGCAGAGGAGGGTGAGGGAGAGAAGGAGGGAGGGAGAACAGAGGAGGAGAGAGAGGGAGATGGAGAGCTCAGGTTATGAAGTTCCATGGGCTGCTTGGGCCATGGGCCTGAGAGAAGGTTCTGGAGTCTTCTACCCCTGCAGGAGTGCTCAGGGCAAAGTGGGATGATTGGCACTATCAGCTGGCCACCACGGTGACACAACATCCTGGGGTTTTCATCAGCATTCTCGCAGCCACTGAGAAACACCCTGTGTTCCTGTTTGCAGGCCAAGGGGAACCCTGCAGCCCTCCCTCCTTCCCTCCGCCTCGGGGTACTGAGTGATCCCACCACATGAGGTCTCTGAGCCCAGCCTGGGGGTTGTGCTGCTGGTAGAGGAGGAAGCAGGGCTCAGCAGGGGCAAGATGGAAGCCCAGAGAAACCCTGAAGTGGGAGGATAGTCCAGCCGGGTGAGGTGGGGGCTCTCAGGATCATGCAGCCCTCCCTGGACACCCCCTCCTCCACTACATATAGAGGCTGGTGGCTGCCTCCCTGCCCCCACCAGCTCTGGCTTCAGGGACTGTGGAGCCAAAAGGACATTGTCCTGAGAGGTAGGCAGGGAGTCAGTGAAGACCTCCACCGCCCTGCTGGTGGCCTGGAGGGAACCAGTCCTATTTGTGCTCCGCCAGCCTGCTGTGTGTCTGAAAGCCCACTGTAGTTCAGCTTTCAGTTGCTCCCAGGTTCCTGATGGTTCCGAAGTCTGTGATGGTCCCAAGTCCGGGTACACGGTGAAGTAGGCCCCATGGACGGGGACGCCCCTGCCAAATTTCTACTGCCATGGCACGGGGAGCTGGGGGCTTCTCCCGCAAATAGAACAATCCTGATTTTTCCCTGTCTGTGTCTCCCCATGGCTCCTTGTCCACTCCACTCCTTGCCCCCATTAGCATTCACTGCGGAATAGGGAGTGGGAGGCTGGGGCTAGCTCCAGACAAGGTACAAGTCCAGCTGTCCCATGGTGAGGTATTCTCATGAGCCCATGGGCTGGTCCTGTGGGTGGAGATGAGGGCTTCAGGCTCCTGATAACCCGGGACAGCAGGGCCAAGGGAGGTGCTGGTTCCAGGCTCCAGGGCCTGACCCCATCACTGCCAACTGGCTGGGGTCAGCAGTCTGCCATGTGTGGCCTGGCCTCTGTGTCCCAGGCACAGTGGCCCCTGGCCTCTCTTGGCTGCCCTGGGCTCCCATTTGGTCAAGGCTGAGGGCAAACATCCCTGGGAGAAGCAGGGTGGTGAGGCCCAGCCTAAGCTCCATATGCAGACAGGCCTGGGTTGGAAACAGAGCTGCCCTATTTCCAAACCTCTCTGAGCCTGATCTGTAAAATCAGGCACTACCACCTTCTTGGAGAGTTGTGAGGATAAAATGAGATAATTTATGTAAAAACTTATAGGCCAGGCACAGTGGCTTAAGCCTGTAATCCCAGCACTTTGGGAGGCCGAGGCGGGCAGATCACGAGGTCAGGAGATCGAGACCATCCTGGCTAACACGGTGAAACCCCGTCTCTACTAAAAATACAAAAAAAGTAGCCGGGCGTGGTGGCAGGTGCCTGTAGTCCCAGCTACTCGGGAGGCTGAGGCAGGAGAATGGCGTGAACCTGGGAGGCGGAGCTTGCAGTGAGCTGAGATCGCGCCACTGCACTCCAGCCTGGGCAACAGAGTGAGACTCCGTCTCAAAAAAAAAAAAAAAAAAAAAAACAAACTTCTAGGGGATTCCTTGGGACAGAGCGAGTGTTCACAAAAACAGATCTAATTTTCATGACTTTCTCTCTGGATTAAGCTTGCCCTGCATATGAGAGTAAACTCTTCTCTTCACGGCCATCGGTATTCTGACCTGGGTCCTCCCTGGAACATTCTATGTCTTCTTCTCAGGTCCTGCACGGAGCAGTGCATTGCTACAGGCCAGGAACGAGCCGCGTGGAGCCTCTGCCTGTGCCTATCCTGGACCATTTGTGTTTGAAGGAGCCTGATGGTGTTTTTTCTTTGCTTGCAGGAGAGGAAAGCCCTTAGGGGTGACGAGGAGGTTGAAGGTCCCGATGTCTCTTAGGGCCAGTAGCCTTTTCAGCAAAGGCAGGTCTTTCTCTGCTCCCAGTGGAGTGTAGGAAGGCAGTGAGCCACTGGGCTGGGGATGAGGGAGACAGGGGTCAAGTGTTCTTTTCTAGAGGAAGCTTTGAGTCCACGCAGGGACCTGTTCTGTCCAGATCTGTCACTCTCATGTGCATGCCCTCATTGACTTCTCACGGAAGTCCCAGGAAACTGAGCTGCGCCCGCTGCAGGTTCCACATTCTTGTCTCTTCCCACTGGTGCCTCTGAGGCCTCCAGCATCCCTAGACACCCATAGCAGGCTCAGGGGTCCCTCTGGAGTCTTTGAACAGGGCACCTGTGCATGACAGGGGAGGGAAGGGGACACAAGGCCAGACACCCCCACCAACACTGCTGAGCTCCTGGTACAACTTCATGCCCCTCTCCAGGCTGATCATAGTCTTTAGGTATTAACAGTGGTTAGCTCTGGGTGGGGGATTTTGTGTATTTCTGGGTTTTCTATAGTTAGCACAGATGACTTCTGTTATTGGAAAAAAACTCAACAGATGCTAGTGTTTTAAAGTTATGTAAAAAGACAGACTGGGCAACATGGTGAAATCCCCATCTCTACAAAAAAGAAAAAAAAAATTAACAGGGTGTGGTGGTGCATGCCTGTAGTCCCAGCTACTCAGAAGGCTGAGGTGGGAGAATCACTTGAGCCAGGAGGGTCAAGGCTGCAGTGAGCTCTGATCACACCACTGCACTCCAGCCTTGGTGACAGTGAGATCCTGTTTCAAAAAAAAAAAAAAAGTAAAAAGAATAAATGAGAACAGAGAAGGAAGTGGAGAGATGACATTAGCCGTGCTCCCAGGACCAGGCATGGAGCATGCGTGGATCAAGTCACACACACAGTGAAGAATGCCCATCCACAAACAGGGATGCCCAATAACAGACCCTCCAACACGTCCATGGTCACCTGGTGCCCTGATGCCCCAGACACACCACATGGTCCTGGGGGGCACATGGGAAGGCCAGTGATGACTGCCTGCGGCAGACCCCCAGGTGTGCGTTCCTCAGGAAGCCTTTATTGAGGGCCTTCTTGGTGTGGAAGTGCTGCACTGAGTCTGCAGGGACAGAGGAATGGGCAGGAGCGGGGCCGGGGGTAGACCACCTGGCAAGACTGGCAAGGCAGTGGGCTGAGTCTGCCAGAGAAGATGGGGAGCTGCTGCCCGCCCAGGGGCATGGCATCTGGGCTGAGAAGGGCAGGAGGGTGGGTGACAACAATGTGCAGGTCTGTGGGGGACACAGCGGCAGTACACAGAGAGGTAGTGGGGGCTGGGAGAGTTGTTTGGCAGGGATGGCACTCGAGGGTGCTTGGCACACCTGTGGCTGCTTCAGGCCATGGCAAGAGGGTCACCCCAGGGGCTTCTTGCAGGCAGGGTCCTGGGTCACAGACAGGGCCACAGAGCCTTGTGTTCGCTCCCAGGCATACCTGTGGACACACAGATGAGCAGGGATCACACAGAGTTGGACCCTGAGGATCCCAGGGAAAGCCCTCCCTGCGTACTCACGAGGTCCCAGCTAGCACCAGGAGGCTGTCATCAGGGGCCAGGCTCAGGCGCCGTCCCCCCATTGTCACCACCGAGGAGCCCTCCTGGAGAAGAGGAGCAGGAGAATCAAATGGAGACTGTTGGGCCTCATCACCTGGGTGAATGTCTGAGTCTGCCTGGGCCCCAAGGCCCCAAGAGTGGGCCCCGTGTGGGAGCCCAGGGCCGAGGAGCGGGCTGATGCCCTCTGGCAGGGGGTTCTGCAACCCTGTCCCTGGGCCCCACTTGCCAGCTGCCACAGCCACACGTCCACATTCTGTCTCAGGCCTTCGCTGCTGCCTTGCCCATAGGCGATCACCTGGTGGGAGGTGAAACAGAAACTTCTGGTGCTTCTTGCCCCACATGGGAGATGGTCTTGAACCTGGCCCCCAGACACCAGGCCTGCTTGGAGCAGGGTTGGGGCCCATGAAACAGCCCCATCACCATGTGCTGAGCAGAGACCAGGACTTGGAGAGGAGGGCTGCCTGGGCTGCAGGCCTCCCTGTGCCCGCCGCTGCAACAGGTATTTGGGATCACACATGCCTGCCTTTCACGTGCAGTGCACCCGTGGTCCCTCTGATGTGTGCTCATGCGAAGGCATGCTCACCAGGGCACATGAGGGACGCATTTCCATCAGCTTCCCAGAGGGTGCCACCTCCCTTTCTCTGAGAGAGGTTATGAGTCTGGCCTCAGGAGGAGGAGGGGACAAGGAAGGTGAGGCTGAGGGCTCTCTGACATGCACCAGCCTGGAAGCACACAGCTACTGTGCAGGGCCGTGCTGCTGATGCCCTGGAGAGGGTGCATATTCATTAATGTAAACTGAAGCAGGTAAGAGCAGGGTATTGCAGAGGTGGGGTGCAGGGCTGAGTGGTACTGCTGTGACATGTGCGCATGTTCTCGCAGCCCTGTGTAAGCTCAGGACGTCCCTGGTACCCAAGAGCAGCAGGCCAGGCCTCTACGGGAAGCCTGTGGCCATGAGCATCCCTGCACAGATTGACTCATTCAAAGCCCATGGGATGTGCCAGTGGCAAGCCGTAAAGCACAAGTGAACACAGGTCTCCCTGCACCACTCTTGCCCTCCCAGCCTTGTTCCCACACGTGGTACAGAAACACCACTCTGGCCTGTCACTCCCCTGCTTCAATACTTTGGTGGAGGGCTGTTGTCTTTAGGACAAGTCCTCCCACCTTGCCTAGCCCAGCAGACCTACCAGGACCTGGGCCCTGCCTGCTGCTCCACAGTCCACCAGTCACACTTGTACCCCCACCCCCAAGCCCCGCCTCTGGCCAACTTCGGCTGCTCCCAGTGCCAGGCTGTTTCAAGCCTGAAACAGCTCATGCTCATGCTTCTCCCTCACCTAGAATGCTCTCTCCACCTCCCTTTCTTTCTTTTACAAACTCCTACACTAGCTTTAAAATGCAATGTGCATGTCACCTCCTCCAGGAAGCCTTCCTTGACTTCCCTTTCAGAGTGGGTTCCTCCTTTATCCTTCTATAGCTTCCTATAGCTTTTCTATCTGATACTTTATCACATGATTGTGGCAATTGTTGATTAACTTGTCCATCTCTTTAACAAACTATACATTCTTTAAGGTAGCAACTCTATCCTACTCTCCCACTAAAGCCTGAAACATAACAGGCATTTAATAAATGTGGAATGAAAGAAAGTCAGCCTTGTTTGAATCCCTCTCTCCACCCAACCCTCACTCCCAAACAACTCTCTCCCTTTTGGCTTCCAAGGGTGTGACTGGCTGAAGGTTCAGGAATTCCTAGCGAGGGGAAAACTGCAGACCCTCAGGAAGCTGCCAGTGAGTGGGGGAACCTCCAACTCTGAAAGTGAATTCAGATCATAAAATTGCTTGGGACCATGTAGCCTCCACAGACTTCACTCGGAGCAGAGCCATCGCCTTCTGCGTCAGGGAGGGAGCACAAAGGCCTATGCTCATGTCTACAACCTCTGAAATGTGTGTGTGTGTGTGTGTGTGTGTGTGTGTGTGTGAGTGTGTGTGTGAAAGAGAGAGAGAGAGAGGCAGTGAGAGAGAGACTGGTTCCCATTTTCCAGGGCTGCTGTGGGAGGATGCCCCGGATGCCCCAGGACTACATTACCTGGGTCTCATAGGTGTCCCCAAACAGGCTGAGTGGTGTGCCTGCCTGCAGCTCCCTGTGGTGGCTGTCCAGCCAGGCATCCAGGGACATGGGCTCCATGATGGATCGTGTGCTCAGAGGGAATGGTGGCTCCTTGAGCAGCTGGTCTGCACCCACAGCATGACTATAGTCGGTGTCCTCAGGACCCAGCCCACCCAGCCCCAGTGGGCCCAGTTCCCAGGGGCCCCAGGTCTCAATTGCCAGAACAGGCTCTGTATCCAGCTCAATGATCAAGCAGCCATGTGGGAGGTACCATTGGCTGCCATCTTCTTAGTACCTTGAGGACTGGGCAGAGTATTCAAAAAGAGACTCCCCGGTCCCCTGGACCAAAACCCATCCTATTTTGGAAGGGGAGGGAGGGAAGGAGAAGGGCAGTTCCCAGCGGCCTCACCAGGGATGGGCTTTCCTGTTCTGTACTGCTCAGAGCTGAAGAACCTGCAAGGACGAACAGGGAGGAGCAGGAGTGGCGAGCACTCCCATCGGAGTGGCCAGCGACACACACATACACCACACTCACGGTCAGGTGCAGGTGCCCACACACACTCATGGGGCTCTCACACAGCTGTGTGTCTGCCATCCTTTCCCTCCCAGCGGGGCTGCTGCTCCCCCCTCCCCCCGGCCTGGCAGTGGGCTCTCTGGGCCAGGATCTCCACCCTGGGAGGGGAGACTTTCTCCCAGGGCATCAGGTGCTGATGCAGAGCCCCAGGAAAGCAAGAGGCAGGGGCTGGGCTGGGGGCTCACTCCTGGATGATGGGGGCCAACTGCGTGCCGAGGTCCTTGCAGTAGAACCACTTCTCAAACAGAACGTCCATGGTGTCGCCCACATAGTACCTGCCAGAGCAGAGGACAGGCAACCCTGCTGTCCCCATCTGGGTGGCTTCAGGGCAGCCCCACTCAGGCCTGGCTCTGCTTGTAGAAGTCCCTGCAGAGCCCTGCTGTCTGCTCACCCCTGTTACACACCCTAGTGGTCACTGGTCACTTAACACCTTGCTCTTCAGAAGCACACGTGCGCCCCCTGAGAGGGCTACTATCCCGAGAATTCACACGGCTCTCTCCGGTTCCCAAAACTAGACCCAAACTGGTTCCCAAAACTAGACAAAGCAGATAGAACTCTGAGACTCACAGAAGCTGAGCAATTTGCCAAGGATTACACAGCCTGTAAGTGGCGGAAGCAGGCCAGTCTCAAGACAATCTTAAAAACTTAGAGAGCATCTAATCGCAGTTCTTTTGTTTTTCGCAAAGAGGAAGCTGAGGCTGAGCCTGAAACCAGGGCCAGTGGCTGGACGCTCTGCTGGCCTGCAGTGCTCTAGGCCTGAGTGCACGGACACTTAAGAAACCAACATGGCCGGGCGCAGTGGCTCACGCCTGTAATCCCAGCACTTTGGGAGGCTGAGACGGGTAGATTACTTGAGGTCAGGAGTTCAAGACCAGCCTGGCCAACATGGTGAAACCCTGTCTCTACTAAAAATAATAATAATAATAAATAAATACAAAAAATAGCCAGGCATAACAAAAGATAGAAAAAAAATAGCCAGGCATGCTGGCAGGGGACTGTAATCCCAGCTACTTGGGAGGCCGAGGCAGGAGAATTGCTTGAACCGGGAAGCGGAGGTTGCAGTGAGCCAAGATTGCACCGCCGCATTCCAGCCTGGGTGACAGAACAAGACTCTGTCTCAAAAGTAAATAAATAAGTAAAAAAAAAAAAAAAAAGAAGCCAACACGCAGAAGATGTCCCCCAGTTTAGGGGTTCTTCTTCTTTCAGGGTCATGATTGCCTTTGAGAGTTGGAGCAAAGTTTTGGACCTCTTTTCTGGGGTAAGGCCCATGTACATGTACATATAGCCTTCAGTAGACCCCTAAAGCCCACCCCAGCCCCCAGCCTGGCTCAGTGAGCTCCTCCCCCGGCCTGAGGAGCACCTGGCAGGCTGGGATGGGCCCCAGGCCCCTGTGGGTGCTGCACATGGTGGGTGCCAGGAACGCCTGTTAACTGAATGCCTAATGCCCAAGCCCAGCTCCTGGGCCCAGGCCAGCTCTGTCTGCTCTTAAAAGAGATGTGGTCCCGCTGGTGGGAGATGCTTTACAGACACACAGTGCATCCACCCACTTGGCAGCCTAAATCCTATCCTGGGATGGAGCTGGCCACCAGAAAGCTTCATAACTGGATGGCAGTGCCCTCCGGGAACTGCCTTTGGAGTGGCATTTTAATGTTGAGTCCCTGGCTTTTATTAAAGGTCAAAAGCAGCCAGATGAAATGTGTTATTGAATTTGCTGTAAAATGATATTGAGGACACCATCCTCTCCATCAGACTCACTATATTAAAGTCCCTTGTGACAAATTTTTTCTAGAAGATAAGACCACGTGTCTGTCTCTACAACAGACTGTTACACAGTAAATGATTATGCAGCCATTGTGTTTTTTGAAAAGATTTAATAGTGTAAGAAATACTCGGCCGAATGTGGTGGCTCACAACTGTAATCCCAGCACTTTGGGAGGCCGAGGTGGGTGGATCACCTGAGGTTGGCAGTTCGAGACCAGCCTGGCCAACATGGTGAAACCTCGTCTCTACTAAAAATACAAAAATTAGCCAGACATGGTGGTGCATGTCTGTAATCCCAGCTACTCAGGAGGCTGAGGCAGGAGGATTGCTTGAACCCGGGAGGCAGAGGTTGCAGTGAGCCGAGATTGTACCACTGCACTCCAGCCTGGGTGACAGAGCAAGACTCCATCTCAAAAAAAAAAAAAAAGAATACTCATGAGTTTCTTTTAAGTAAAAAAAGATATAGGTAAGCATAGAAATAAGACAAGATGGAAGTTTAGGTTTCATTAGGTTTCATTGGTGACAGGACAATTTTTTTTGTTTTCCCTTTTTTATTATTTTGTTTTCTTGAGATATAATTCACATACCATCAAATTTATCCTTTTAGTAACAAGTAATTTTAATTTTGTTCACTTTGCATTCCTGTACTTTTCCAGATTTTGAGAATGAATGTGTATGACTTTGATAATCAGAAAAACAACACGTATTTTAAAAATGCCTATTATAACAAAAGATGTAGGCCAAAGTATCCTGTTCCTGGTGACCTGATGGGAAACTTGAATTTTTTTTAGTTAAAAAATACAACAAATAATGATCACGCCACTGCATTCCAGCGTGGGTGATAGATAGAGTGAGCCCCCATATCAAAAAAAAAAAAAAAAAAAAACCCAACCAAACACTGTTGAGCTTTTGGAAAATCTATTTCCCTGAGCAATAGGTTGCTTCCTCCTTTCAGAGGAAAAGAATTGGGTGACTGATCAGAACCAAATGAGAACCCCGGCCATGGAATCAGAATGCTGACAGCGGGGCCTATTTTCTTCCCCTCTTTGGTGTTGACTCCCACTCCTCTCTATACTGTCCTGGCCCTAACTCCATATTTCTCTATAATGCCAGATCTAGCAAGTAACACTTTAGCAACTTTAACTTCTTTGTAATGATAACAGCACCTCCCCCATAGGATCGCTGGGAAGATTCAATGAATAAATACATGCAAAGACCTTAGCCAGGCATCTGGCACATAGCAAGTGCCATCCAGATGTCAGTGTGTGTTGTGGAATGAGCTGGGGTAGAGAAACAAGCCGAGGGAGGCACTGGCCGTGATTCTAAATTCTGGGGGGAAGCAGCAGTTCTGGCTGCACTGGGGGAGGTGGGTGTGACTTTGGAACCCCTCTGGCCCGCTTTCCACATCTCACCCCTCCCAGAAGACCTTGTGAAAGGAAAATATCTTGGGCCCCGAAATCACTAAATTAAGGGAAATGTCAAGCTGAGAACTGCTTAGGGCAAACCTACCCCCTATTTTTTTTTTTTTTTTTTTTTGAGACGGAGTCTCACTCTGTCACCCAGGCTGGAGCGCACTGGCGCGATCTTGGCTCACTGCAAGCTCTGTCTCCTGGGTTCATGCCATTCTCCTGCCCCAGCCTCCCAAGTAGCTGGGAATACAGGCGCCCGCCACCACGCCCGACTAATTTTTTGTATTTTTAGTAGAAATGGGGTTTCACCATGTTAGCCAGGATGGTCTCTCTCGATCTCCTGACCTCGTGATCCACCCGCCTCGGCCTCCCGAAGTGCTGGGATTACAAGCGTGTGCCACTGCGCCCGGCTACCTGCCCCCCATTGTATTCAAAGTGCCCCTCTGCTCACTGAGATAAATGCATATCTGATTGCCTCCTCTGGAGAGACTAATCGGAAACTCAAAAGAATGCAACCATTTGTCTCTTTTCTACCTATGACCTAGAAGCCCCCTCCCTGCTTTGAGTCATCCTGCTTTTGCTTTGAGTTGTCCTGCCTTTCCAGACTGAACCAATGTTCATCTTACATATGTTAATTGATGTCTCTTGTCCCCCTAAAATGTATAAAACCAAGCTGTGCTCTGACTCTCTTGGGCACACGTCAACAGGACCTCCTGAGGCTGTGTCACGAGCGTGCATCCTCAACCTTGGCAAAATAAACTTGCTAAATTAACTGAGACCTGTCTCAAATTTTTGGAGTTGACATTTTGATAACCACAGAGGCATTCTGAGTGGAGGTGCCCCTGACCTTAGACAAATCTCCTAAGGGTGCTTGGTACCCGCGTGAGCTAACTTTATGGCTCAAACCAATAGGACAATTTGCTGAGGTGTGGGAGCACCCCCTCTAGAGAATCCCTGATCTCCCCAAATTTGGTTGAGATCTAAAGTTTATTTTGCTGTACAACTCCCTTTTTTTTGGAGTTTTACTTGTTTCCAACAAGGAAGGCAAGTTTTCCTGCTTCCATGACAATGGAAGGCAGGTAACTCCTTTATGGAATTTGAGCTTGCATCCAATAGGGAAAAGGAGGTTTTTTTCCTGCTTCTAGGATGGTAGAGAGTTGTCTTGAGCCTGAGACCCATCCCTAGGTAAGTAGCTGAACTGGGGGTTTGTTTTGGCTAAAGTTAACAATCAGGTGCTCTTAATTTCTCCTTCCCATTAGAGCGCTCAGTGATCATAGAAGCTGCGCGATTGTTTGTTTTGCTTCACTGTTTGTTGTTGTTGTTGCTGTTTGTTTCTGTTTTGTTGTTGTTTCATTCTTTTTCCCATTGGGTTTGATCAGCTCTACCTGACTTGATAAAATCCTAAAGAAGTTCCAAATTATGGGAAACAAGGCCTCTAGAGTGGCTAAATTTCCCGTCCCTCCCCACCAACACACACACACACGAAAAGGGCCGGGCACAGTGGCTCACACCTGTAATCCCAGCACTTTGGGAGGCCGAGGTGGGCAGATCATGAAGTCAGGAGTTCCAGACTAGCCTGACCAACGTGGTGAAACCCCGTCTCTACTAAAAATACAAAAATTAGCTGGGCGCAGTGGCGCGCACCTGTAATTCCAGCTATTCAGGAGGCTGAGGCAGGAGAATTGCTTGAACCCAGGAGGCAGAGGTTGCAGTGAGCCGAGATTGCACCACTACACTTCAGCCTGGGTGACAGAGTAAGACTGTCATGGAAAAAAAAAAAAAAAAAAAAAAAGGTTGTCTGGTGGGGGGAGAAAAAAGGCCAGTAAAAGGAGAAAAGAAAGATGAAAGATTTTGTATTTTGACTGCTAAGGGGCTTGATTTACATAAACAAGGCCACTTTTGCTAGCCAGGCAAAACTGAAAGAGCAATGGCTGTACTTCTGAAACAGCAGCATTTTTTTCCAGCTGAAATACGGTAATGAGATTTAAAAAGATTTTTTTAAAGGAGCTCAATGGTTAAAAGTCAGCTTAATTAAAAGCTAACATCCAAGGGGTGTGTGTGTGTGTGTGTATTTAACTTTCATGTTTTTGTTTTTGTTTTTCTCCTAGGACCTTGTCTTTTTTTTTTGAGCAAAAGTTTTTTTCTTCTCAGTTGACTGAATTCTGTTTTCTTCATTTACTTCTGCTGTCTCTCCTTTCTCCTGCACCCTCTGCTGCATGAGGGACCTAAAATAGTTTATAGTAGCCTGGGGTTTCTTAAAGAAAATGAAGAAGGCACTAGACTCCTTTTGGGGGAGAAATCTGTTTTTCCTTGTGGAACCCCAAGAATGTAAAAAGATAAATGGTCTCAGCTGTTAAACTGCTTACTTTTATATTGTGTTATCCTTTTTTTTTTTTTTTTTTTACTAAAATAGTTATTGTAACTGAGGTTACTCTTACTCTTGAGTTTTTAAGGAAGAGTGTGGTTTTATCGCTTCTGGGCCTTTGGCTAAGATCAAATGTGGAAGAGTGTGGTTTAGATACTTAGAAATGTCTTTGTTTAAAAAAAACTTTTTTTAAAGTGCACTGTAAAAGCATCACGTGGTCTAAGCTCATAATAATTCTCCCTTTTTGGAGACCCAGGATTCGGTGTGGACTTTGCCCAGAGCTCAGAGATCTAGTTAAAAGATAGGTGGTCCCTATCTAAATAAAATTGGTATCCTTATACAATCCTGTGATAGATTTCTGTAATTTTATGTTTGACTTGGCATCCATCTTTTTTTTTTTTTTTTTTTTTTTTTGAGACAGAGTTTCACTCTTGTTGCCCAGGCTGGAATGCAATGGTATGATCTCGACTCACTGCAACCTCTGCCTCCTGGGTTCAAGAGATTCTCCTGCTCAGCTTCCCTAGTAGCTGAGATTACAGGTATGTGCCACCACACCTGGCTAATTTTGCATTTTTAGTAGAGATGGGGTTTCTCCACGTTGGTCACGCTGGTCTCAAACTCCTGACCTCAGATGATCCGCCTGCCTCTGCCTCCCAAAGTGCTGGGATTATAGGCATGAGCCACCATGCCCAGCCAGCATCCATCTTTAATCTCCCTCTAGCACCATCCGACTTCTCTCTGTACCTTATGATGGAAATTTTGTTATTTGATTTTTCACCTGAGTTGTTTCCTTTTTTTTTTTTTTTTTGAGATGGAGTCTCACTCTGTCACTCAGGCTGGAGTGCAGTGGCGTGATCTTGGCTCACTGCAACTTCCGCCTCTTGGGTTCAAGCAATTCTCTGCCTCAGCCTCCTGAATAGCTGGGATTGCAGGCGCCTGCCACCACGCCCAGCTAATTTTTTTGTATTTTTAGTAGAGACGGGGTTTCACTATCTTGGCCAGGTGGCTATTGAACTCCTGACCTCATGATCCGCCTACCTCAGCCTCCCAAAGTGCTGGGATTACAGGCCTGAGCCACCGTGTCCGGCGAGTTGTTTCCTTTAATATGCAACTTTAAGGCTATTTAGCTGACAACTGCCTGTGGTTGTAAAACAGGTTATCAAGAATCTGAAAGTCTGACCGGGCATGGTGGCTCACACCTGTAATCCCAGCACTTTGGGAGGCCGAGGTGGGTTGATCACCTGAGATCAGGGGTTTGAGACCAGCCTGGCCAACATGGTGAAATCCTGTCTCTACTAAAAATACAAAAAATTAGCTGGGTGTGGTTGTGGGCGCCTGCAATCCCAGCTACTTGGGAGGCTGAGGCAGGAGGATCGCTTGAACCTGAGAGGCAGAAGTCGCAGTGAGCCAAGATTGTGCCACTGCACTCCAGCTCAGGTGACAGAGCAAGACTCTTATCGCAAAAAAAAAAAAAAAAAAAAGAAGAAAGAAAAGAAGAAAAAGAATGTGAAAGTCTAAGATAGGAAAAAAAAGTTGCTATGAATCTATAAGATGCACTTCTATTAGCATGCCTAAGACGTCTATCTATGTGTTGTGTACACAATGTTTCACTGCTGAAAATATAAAAAGGGGCTCTAATTAACTAAACTAAGTGCCTCTCAAAGTTAGTTCAGCCTATGAACAAGGAGAGCTTGGAGGTTAGAAGCAAGATGGAATCAGTTAGGTCAAATCATTTTCACTGTCTCAGTTATAATTTTGCAATGGTGGTTCCATAACTTTAAATAATGACAATCACAATTTTTAGAAATAATCTAAGTAAATGATTAAAATAATTATGTAAATGCAATAGGATAAATACTTGTAGACAAACTTGTCATAATTTAGAATCTAAAGTTAAATTAAATAATAGATATTTCATTATTTGGGTACTTTCCAATAAAAATATATTTGTAGGAAAACATTCTTTCTAAAAAAAAAGGTGTGTCCTTTTAAAAAAAGTGAACCATTTTATCTAATTTAAGGCTTATTTAAAGGTCATGTATAAAACAAGGTAAAAGGAAGCAGGAAATAAAAGACATGTAAAGAAAGTCATAAAAACAAAGAGGTTTTTTGTGGTAAGAAAGCTTAAAGAGACATAATTTCATATGAGAAAGACTCTTGTATGGTAAATTTAGTTGTAGAGTAAAATGACTGGTTGTTGAAGAAGGAGGGATGTTCAGGACAAACCAGAAAGTCTAAGCATAGCATGAATGGTCTGTGTAAGTCACAATAAGAGGATTTATTTAAAAAAAAAACCCAAAAACTTTTATATGATCAAGTTATCACATTATTATTAAGTTTTCGGTTGCTTAGGAAAAAAACTGAGATTAAATTTTTTCAAAAGTTAAGGTTATTACATCTGTGTATCTCTCTGTATGTGCTTTTAATGTCCTTGTGACATTAAGTTACAGGGCTTTGACTCCTGGGTCTAAAAAGGACACCAGGTCCTGCTAATTTTTTTTTTTGACATGGAGTCTTGCACTGTTGCCTGGGCTGGAGCACAGTGGCATGATCTTGGCTCACTGCAACCCTCCACCTCCCAGGTTCAAACAATTCTTCTGCCTCAGCCTCCTGAGTAGCTGGGATTACAGGTGCCTGTCACCATGCCCAGCTAATTTTTTGTATTTTTAGTAGAGATGAGGTTTCACCATGTTGGCCAGGCTGGTCTGAAACTCTGACCTCATGATTTGCCTGTCTCGGCCTCCCAAAGTGCTGGAATTACAGGCGTGAGTCACTGTGCCTGACCAAGTCCTGCTAAACTTTAAACACTGACAGCAATTAAAGCCCCATCTTCAGGCCCAGTAGAAGATGCCAATCAAAATAAACTGCATTCCTGAAACACAGGGACAGAAATTAAAGCTCCTCAAGGCCCAGGGACTATCATGTAAGAGATGGGCATGGGAGACTGTAAGGACCAATTTTGAGAGATAAAATAAGTTCAGTTTCTCGCTGGGTGTGGTGGTGGCTCACGCCTCTAATTCCAGCACTTTGGGAGGCTGGGGTGGGTGGATCATGTAAGGTCAGGAGTTCGAGACCAGCTTGACTAACATGGTGAAACCTTGTCTCTACTAGAAATACAAAATTAGCCAGGCATGGTGGCACATGTCTGTAATCCCAGCTACTTGGGAGGCTGAGGCAGGAGAATCACCTGGACCCGGGAGGTGGAGATTGCAGTGAGCTGAGATCACACCATTGCACTCCAGCCTGCGCAACAAGAGCAAAATTCCATCTCAAATAAATAAATAAATAAGTTCAGTTTCTCTATAAATTAGTCATTAATGTCAAAGGTACACTGATGCAAGACCAGCATATGGGCCCCTGTGTCAGATTAAAAAGGTTTTATTGAAGCATTAACTGACTCCTAAATATAGGTTATGAAAGGTTTATGGAAATTATATCTTATGGTCAAGATATAATTTTGAAAACTATAGTTAATTGGGTTCATGCTATTTTTTTTTTTGAGACAGAGTCTCACTGTTGCCGAGTCTGGAGTGCAGTGGTGCGATCTTGGCTCATTGCAACCTCCGCCTCCCGGGTTCAAGCAGTTCTCCTGCCTCAGCCTCCTGAGTAGCTGGGATTACAGGTGCACACCACCACACCCAGCTAATTTTTGTATTTTTGGTAGAGGCGGGGTTTCACCATGTTGGTCAGGCTGGTCTTGAACTCTTGACCTCGTGATCCCCCCACCTCGGCCTTCCAAAGTGCTGGGATTTCAGGCGTGAGCCACCGCGCCCAGCTTCATGCTATTTTTATTAGAGCTTATTGTTTGGAACATTAAGTCTCTTCTCAAAGAATGAAGGTTTTCACCTTTTTTGAAATCCTTGAGTTATTACTTTGGTTAAATGAATGATCCTATATTGTGATATCAAGAGTTTTAAACCTTTGATATTTGACAAACTTTCCAAAATCAAATGATAAATTATGTCTTTTTCTGACCTAATTAATCTGTTAAGATATTGGGTTCCCTAAAGTCCCAAAATGACATAGTTTGGCTTACTTGGTATAAAAATTATACAGGAAGCATTGCCAAATATGAAATGGTGTTTGGTTTTCTTTAGGCTGTATTTGTATAAATATATTATTGGTATGTATTCCAAAATTATGGGAAACTCCTATAATCCTGATAAAACTTAGTGTACATCATCAGTAATAATCATAATTATATTAAATTATTGTGTGCCACAGAGGTAACAAATTTCCTTGCCAACTGCGTCTTTGACTATGGCTGCCTTAAAACTTTTTGTCATTCACAGAAAATTGTCCTGTTTTGGTTCTCTTTAGGAGGTGGCTTTATAATCAGCTCTAGAACACAGGTGTTCTTTTTTTTTAATTTTTTTTTTTTTTTAAGATGGAGTCTCGCTCTGTTGCCAGGCTGGAGTGCAGCGGTGCAATCTCGGCTCACTGCAACCTCCGCCTCCCAGGTTCAAGTGATTCTCCTGCCTCAGCCTCCTGAGTAGCTCAGAGTACAGGCACATGCCACCATGCCCAGCTAATTTTTGTACTTTTAGTAGAGATGGGGTTTCAACATGTTGGCCAGAATGGTCTCGATCTCTTGACCTCGTGATCCACCCGCCTCGGCTTCCCAAAGTGCTGGGATTACAGGCGTGAGCCACCGCGCCCGGCGAACACAGGTGTTCTTAAGTGCAGGTTTCTGATAACTTTGGAGATTGTGACATTAGAATAGAGAAGAAAAACTTTCAGGACTCTCATGGAGAGCTGAAATGTTCATGAGTATCAAGCAGAACAGGAGTAAACTAAGTAAACTGAACTCATAGAAGACTAAAGTAATCTTTTTTACTTTTGCTTTAAATGTTGCTGATCCTTTGTTTTATTTTGTTTTTTTTCAGAGTCAAGGAAACTTTTTTGTGTGTGCTATTGACAGCTTTTAACAATTTAATACTCCCGGCCGGGCGTGGTGGCTCATGCCTATAATCCCAGCACTTTGGGAGGCCAAGGCGGGTGGATTACGAGGTCAGGAGAGCGAGACCATCCTGGCTAACATGGTGAAACCCTGTCTCTACTAAAAATACAAAAAAAAAAAAAAAATTTGCTGGGCGTGGTGGCAGGCGCCTGTAGTCCCAGCTACTCAGGAGGCTGAGGCAGGAGAATGGTGTGAACCTGGGAGGCGGAGCTTGCAGTGAGCCGAGATCATGCCACTGCACTCCAGCCTGGGCGACAGAGCAAGACTCTGTCTCAAAAAAAAACACAACAATTTAGTATACTCCCATGAACAAAATTTGGAGCATATTTTTTTCTCTCTACCTGATTTCTCCAGAATTTGGAAGCTATTTGTGAGTATTCTTAACTTATGGCAATACAGTTATATGCATAAGTGCAATAAGAATCTGTTTTCATTTTGCAACAGGACACAATTGGAGAAACTGGTTATTTTATCAAGGATTTGACTGGAATGGTGTGCTTTCCTTTATTGGTTTATGGAGCCAATAAAAACCCTTTAGGGAAACTGGCCTCATATCTTCCCTGTATAGGGTTTCTGACCTTTGGTAAGTAAAGACCCTGTCTCTGACACGCCCAAAGGCCTCAAGTTTACCTTGGAACCTCAAGAAGATCACCCAACTCATAGGTATTCAATAGCACATATCCATGGCTAGGCTTGGCTTTAAAAAAAGGTCTTATCTGAGATTCCTTCTATGGAACAAAGTTCCATCAAAGCCAATTTAAAAGCCTATGTAAAAAATAATTATTCTTGGCCAGGTGTGGTGGCTCATGCCTGTAATCCTAGCACTTTGGAAGGCCGAGGCAGATGGGTCACCTGAGGTCAGGAGTTCGAGACTAGCCTGGCCAACATGGTGAAACCCAATTTCTACTAAAAATTCAAAAAATTAGCCGGGTGTGGTGGCGGGTGCCTGTAATCCCAACTACTCAAGAAGTTAAGGCAGGAGAATCACTTGAACCCAGGGGGCGGAGGTTGCAGTGAGCCGAGATCGTGCCATTGCACTCCAGCCTGGGCAACAAGAGTGAAACTTTGTCTCAAAAAAAAAAAAATTATTCTTGCTGCACTGTATACAAATAATTAGGCCAAGTATAATAAAGCAAATCAGTCTTACCATGATTTGTCTTTAGTAAAAAGGGGAAACTGGAGAGAGAAAAATTATGTTTTGAAAACTATAGTATACCTGATGTTAGATTCTAGTCTTGCCTAATGTTTTTCAATTTTTATTATTTTTCTGTGATTTGGACTGAATTCTAATTTTTCTTGACTACAAGTCTTCAAAATAATGTTTTCAATTTTTTTACTTCTTTTTTTGTTTGTTTTTCCTAACTTGGAGTCACTGAAAGCTGAGCTGTGCTTTCTTAAAGCCCTGAAAACTGAAGCCTGACAACTTAAACTTCAGAAGAAAATGTCAGCAACCAATTTACGTACCTAAGCCACTTTCATACTTGCCTACTGATGTGTGAACTTCAGAGTAATGTGGTCTATATCGATTTTCCAGGATTGCTCTTCTGTTGGTTGTTGTTTTTCTCCCTTCCTCCCCCTATTTTCTCTTTGTGAGACATGAGACTTCACAGCTTTCTAAAACTGAACTTCCCTAATAACTTGGGATCTACCCGTCTAGGAATAAACCATCCTAGCCATGAGACATCAGACAAAACCTGGGACCAGAGACTCAATTTCTTCTAAAATGCTTTCTCCAAAAGATTTTAAAAAAGAAAAGGGGGAAATGTGAAAGGAAAATATCTTGGGCCCCCAAAATCACTAGGCTAAAGGGAAAAATCAAGGTAGGAACTGCTTAGGGCAAGCCTGCCCCCCATTCGATGCAAAGTTACCCCTCTGCTCACTGGCATAAATGCATATCTGATTGCCTCCTTTGGAGAGGCTAATCAGAAACTCAAAAGAATGTAACCATTTGTCTCTTATCTACCTGTGACCTGGAAGCCCCCTTCCCACTTTGAGTCTTCCCACCTTTGCTTGGAGTTGTCTCACCTTTCCAGACAGAACCAATGTTTATCTTACATATATTGATCGGTGTCTCATGTCTCCCTAAAATGTATAAAGCCGAGCTGTGCTCTTACGACTTTGGGCACATGTCATCAGGACCTCCTGAGGCTGTGTCACGGGCACACGTCCTCAACCTTGGCAAAACAAACTTTTAAATTAACTGAGACCTGTCTCGAATTTTCAAGGTTCACAACCTCACGCAGAAAGCACAGATTCTGATTCCAGCCAAAGTTCATCAGGCTGAGTGAGCTTCCAGGGGGTCACAGAGAACAGAATCCACCCCACTCTACCCCTCCACCATCAGCCAACAAAGACAGGATCTCCACTGCCTCTGCTGTGAGGCCCTCCTGCCCACTCAGTGGCCAGGACGTGCTTTCTTGAGTCTATCTAGGATCCCTTCAGCTGCAGTTTGGAGCTGTGCTCCTCTGCTGTTTGCCCTTTCTCTGCCCCAGCCCTCCAGACAGAATTTACCTGAGCCCATCTAGCTCGGTCTCCAGCCGCCTTCGCTCAACCACCAGCCCCACGGTGTTGGCAAACCTCTGTGGTGAGTGGGGCACCCTGGCAGGCAGGAGGAATATCTGCAGTGGTAGAGATAAGGTGCACAGTGAGGCTGCAATCCCTCATGGAGACCTTAGCGCCCCCAACATCCTGGGCATCCCCAGCTGACCCCCGGGCAGCAAAGGGGTACTGCTTGTCTACCCTGGGCCCTCTTCTCTGCCCAGCCTCTACACCAGGGAACCAGAGGGAATGTTGGACCGTGCTGAGGATGGGGCAGCCTGGAAGAGGAAGGATGGGGAAGGGGCAGGTTGGCAGGGGAAGGTGTGGGAGAGCAGGAAAAGGTAGGGAGGACAAGACCTCAGCCAGGGCCAGGATGAGTGGACAGGGCGGATTCCAGCTGTGGCCGCCTTTCTCTTCCCCACCCTGCTGGGATCCGGCCTCACCTCTCCCTGCCGAATGACCACATCCCGGTGTTTCCCTTGCTCCAGGACTCGGAGAACCATGTCTCCCTCCAGCTGGTAAAATACCTGTGGGACAGGAGAGAGGCTTGGACCCTCCGCACTTTCTCTTCCAGGTCCTTGGCCACTGCCCAGGCCCTGAATTCTGACCGGGAAACCTGAGAAACTTTCTGAAGGCCTTGGAGTTGATGGGCAGCTCCGTCACTTCTGTCCTGAGGCCTGTCTCCCCGGTGCATGCCATGGAGTGCCGGGGACACATGGGATCATGTCTTGGACATGCAAGTGATGACCAGAGTACCCAGGATGCAACAGTGGTTGCCTGGCTGGCGGGCAGGAACTGGATGAAATGCTCACTGGGGAACTGAATGACCCAGCAGTCAGGTAGGGAACCCACCCATTTACTGGGTGCCAGGGGCTGTGCCAGGCACTTTTCCACCAGAAACCTTCACAGCAACCTCCAAAGGTATCATTAACCCCAATCAGCAGAAAACAAAGAAAGAAAAACAAGGCTCAGAGGGTAAAACAGCTGGCCTAAGGTCACATAGCTGGTTAGTCTCCAGCTGGAGCCGCAGCTTGGATCCAAGGCCGTATGTGGCTCTGGAGCCACTGGCCAGAGTGACACCTTGGCAAGGGGTGGGGCTGTGGAGGTTGCTGGCAGCCTGGGATGGGTTAGGGGCTGTGGGGGATGGGAGCATATGCCTCTTGTGCTCTCCTGGGGGTGGGGGGAGGTGGGGGGGGCGGGGGGGGGGGTTCCTACTGCATTTTTCCGATTCCATCCTAAGTCCCTAATTTACTGAGATCACCCCATGGAACTGGGAGGAAGAGGAGGAGGCAGACCGGTTTTCTCTCCACCAGTCACACATTGCCTGGGTGTTAAAAGCCCCAGCCAAATACTTGAAGGAATGTTATCAACAGCATCTACTAAGAGAAACCAAGCTGACCTCGAGGGACCTAGAGAGATGTGGCTCTGCAGTCTGCCACTAGGCACAAATAGTCACCA
Organism: Homo sapiens; assembly: GCF_000001405.40. NCBI lineage: Eukaryota > Metazoa > Chordata > Mammalia > Primates > Hominidae > Homo > Homo sapiens. The sequence continues at coordinate 42,784,799 of NC_000002.12, forward strand.
CCCTTCTGAAGGGCAACTTGGCCATGGGCGTGAAGTGCCTTGGCAGTTCACACCCCTGGAGGGACTGTGGGGTTTATTGGGATGCAGGACCCTTAGTGCTAAAACTGGGAAAGTTCTAGGTGAATCCAGATAGCTGGTCACCACACAACCTTGACCTCAGTAATTCTACCTCAGGAATGAGACCTCAGTTCATCAGAGACATACCTGCCTAGTGGTGTACATTCAAGGCTGTTTTCAATGCAGTGCATAGTTAAAAGCCCTCAGCTCTGCCAGGGTGCTGTGTGCCCTTGGTCAATTCAGTTAGCCTTTCTGTACCTCAGTTTCCTCATCTACATAATGACAGTTATCTACTCAAAATGTAGCTGTGAAGATGCCAGGGATGCTTTACACATATGTGCTCAGCGCATAGTAAGCCCTCAGTAAGCCTCTAGCTATTAGTATTGATGATGGTAAGAATGACAAAAGTAATGCTAATATAATTATAGGAGAAATGTAAATATTTGATGGTAGATTCAAAATATGGAACATTATGCAGCCATTAAAAACTACGTTTTTGAATAGCTGTTAATAAAATGGGAAAATGGAAAATGCTAAAGTTACGTTAAAGATTCAAAACTATACCCAGCAGGGCTTTAGTTTGTAGCAATACAAATATAACAGAGGCAGCCTGTTCACAGCGGCCCTCTGCGTGGTGGGATTATGAATGAGGTAAGGATTTTTCTTTCTATATTTCTCATATTTTCTACAAGGAACAATGTTTACTTTCCTTATTAAAAAAAAACCCATAGGCCGGATGTGGAGGCTTATGCCTGTAATCCTAGCACTTTGGGAGATGGGAGGATCACTTGAGGCCAGGAGTGGAGACCATTCTGGGCAACATGGTGAGACCCCATCTCTACAAAAACTAGAAGAAATTAGCTGAGTATGGTGATGTGTGCCTGTAGTCCTAACTATCTGGGAGCCTGAGGTGGGAGGATCACTTGAGCCCCAGAAGTTGAGGCTGCACTGAGCTATGATTGCACCACTGTACTCCAGCCTGGGTGACAGAGTGAGACCCCCATCTCTAAAAAACAAAAACAAACACAAACATGAACAAACAAAAACCCCATAAGCATTATTTAATACAAATAATAAGAAACCTACCAGGTTCTCTTATAGGGAGCATTTCAGTATGCTCTCCTCCCCCACTCTCCAAGCTGGGAGGAAGCCTCTGTGTGTGTGTGTGTGTGTGTGTGTGTGTGTGTGTGTGTGTGTGTGTGTGTGTGTGTGTGTCTAGGGACCTTTCACAGTGAGGGAAGGGAGGAGGGACAAAGGAAAAGTTGGGAGAGGGGAGTCCGGAGTGACCCTCTGGGCCAGATTTAAACCCTTACTGCCTTACTGGGCAGGCTATACGATATTGTCTCTATTTTCTCGCTCTTGTCCCCTGCTCAGAGGTCTTCCCTGTGATGAGGGGCAGGCCTGGCCTGGGGCAGAGGTACAGATCACTGAACAGCAGAAAATCCTGAACAGCTGTGGGCAATCCTAAAGGAATTATGCTCAGTTTGGAAGTAAATGATGTTTGGGAGCCTGGGGCTGGCTAGAAGATTAACTGTACTGGCTCAGGCAGATAATGAATAGAATCTGGCTTTCTGACCTGGAAAGGCCTTTCAGGCAGTCCAGGCAGAAAGGGCGAGAGGTGTAGAGGAACAATGCATATCAAGCACCAACTCTGCACCAGGCTGTGTGCACATACTCTATGCACATTGAATTCTTCCACCAGACAGGGGCTGTTGTCCCCATGTGCTTATGGAAACAGGCTTGGAGAGGTGACATGATGTGCCCTGTCCAAGATCCCGGGGTTAGTAAGCGGCAGAGAATTCCCCCAATGCAAGTTCATCTGCCTCTGGCCCCCCTGCACCTGCACGCTCCAAGAAAGGAGTGAGGTAGGTGGAGTATAGGTGGTAGGTGGCGCTGGGGAGTGGGGAGCCGGGCCAGGGAGCTGGAGGTACCCTGACCGCTATTGCAGAGGCAGAGCTCAGTGAGGAGGAAAGTGTGGTTTGGTAAGAGGTGTGATTTGAACCCAGGTCTGAGCAACTCCCCTTTTCTCACTATTCAGGAGGAGCCCGGACCCTGAGTTACGCCACTTCCACAGCGCATCCTGGAGTCTCCCCAGGCTCCAGCTGGGTGAGGATAGGCAGGGACAGAGAGGAGGCCGACCCTCAGCCCTGAGGCTGCCCAAGTGCTGCACCACCCCGCCACCAAAACCTCAGCAGGGTGGGACCAAGCCCTGTCACAAGCCCACCTCCAGCCAGATTCCTCCCAGACACCTGGGCGTCCCTCCAGAGTGAGGACACCTGTGCTGGCCAGCTCTCCTTATCACTCAATCCCTCAGCTGCCATCTGAGTCAGGACGTGAGCTGCTGGCCAGGCCCCTCAGGGGACACTCAGGCACCTGAGCTTGGAGAAACCATGGGATGGGGCATGGAGCAGAGGCAGCAGGGGGCGAGAAGGGAAGCAAAGACAGAGGGAGACAGGAGAGGCGGGTGCTGAGACCAGGGCCAACAGAGAAGGCAGAAGCCTCTGGAAGACTCCGCAGCCAGCTGTGCCTCCCATGCCATAGCCATGCCAGGTCTACCCACCTCCTCAGTATAGTTTTAGATTTTCCTATTGACTTTTTCCACCAAGGAAACGGTCTCCAGTGAGGTGTGTTTGTGAGAAGGGGGTGGCCAGGGGAGGTGCAGGGCCCCTGGAGCGTGAGAGGTGAGGAGTTGGCTGGTTCTGCTGGCCCAGGGCCCATCGTTCCTCCACACAGCCTTGGGTGTCCCAGTGCACACATGAGGTGCTCAGCAAATATTTATTGAACAAGTGATTCTCCCATGCTCACCACAGTCCCTGGCTGTGGCCTGGATGCCCTCAGTGGGGACAGAGGCTGTTGATCAAGCTGGACTCTGGATCCTGAACCCCCAGAATGAGGCTCCCTGAGAGGATGGGGAGCCCCTCTACTGATCCTTTTCCACCAGAGGAGATTCTGTGTCTCTCCTTAAGGGGACACACCTTTCTCTTTAAATTTTGCTTTTGTTTATTTATTTTGGGGTAGGTAGTAGAGAAGCACAGTCCAAACTTCAAGGTGCAAAAGGTGATTCAAGGCAAATTCCCCCTCCCACCTGCCCCAGCCACAAGCCACGAATGGGTTTTGCAGCCTCTAGTTAAGGAAGGGCCACCCTGCCCCAACTCCTCCTTCAGCTCCAGGCACCTCCCTACCATGCCTACCCCTCAGCCACTAGCTCCTCCTCCCTCAGCCCCTCGAACTCCCTCTGCCACCCACTCAGCCCAGCCCTCACCCACGGTGTTTTTGCACTTTGCCCCCGTCTGCGGGGGAGGATCTCATTTTGGAGACCAATTGAATCTGTCAAGTTTGTGGGGAGGGGACCAGGACGTCCCCCTTCACATGGCCAGCCCCTATATCCAGGGGGAGGATGCCCCATGGCTAAAACCTCTCACCCGCAGGGCATGGGTTGTTTCCTGGGGCTCCCCCAGCAGAGGTGCTAGCTGTGGAGGCGTCACTGCCTGACCACCAGCTTGGAGGCAGCAGTCGTGCCCTGTGATTTCAGCTGTGCCCCCTCCACTCATCAGCCACATGTCCACCCCTCTCCAGTCCATCATCTCTGGGCCTCGAGTGGGAAGCGCCCCCTCCCGCTAGGGCCAGGCTCCTTGCCCGCAGGCCTAGATCCAGGGAGACCAGTCAAACCTACCTCTTCACCCTCTTCGATGTGATAGTCCTTCCTGGTGTTGGGGCCTCCGATGAACATGACTTTGAGCTGCTCCTGGTGCCTGCAATGCGCAAAGTGGGGGAGACGTTCTAAACCATCTCCTAGGAGTGAAGAGAGCACGGGTCCCGTGGGGGCCAGGAGGGAGCCTGAGGGCCCCTGGGAGAGGAGCAGGGCTGTTTTGGCCTCACTGTCCCTGTTCCCCAACTCTCATCCCCGGTTCATGCCTGCGTGCATCTAAGTGTCTATGTGTCTGGGATCGTGTCTGTGTGTCTGTCTGTCATTGTTTGTGTGTCCCCCCACATCGTCTGACCCAACAAGGGAAATGATGTGGTGGTGAATCTATGGCTTCATCAACCAGGATCACAGGATCAAGATCTCGAATTACAGGAGAGTAGCAAATTGAAGACCCCTTCCCAGGATGGGGCAGTGTAGGGGCAAAACGACCTTGACCTGCCACTCACCCATGCTGTCTGACTATAGGACCCTGCACTCTCCCCTGGCTGGAGGCATGGCTCAGTGGATGCAGGAGACCGTGACATCTAGCAGGGGCCTCAGGCGGTGTCAAGTCAGTGTGGCATGTGTTTATAAGCACAGGCCCTGGGGCATGTTACTAACCTTATCTGTAAAATAGAGGAACAGTTCTTACCTCACAGAGTTTAAACAGAATACATGAATTAATATTTGGAAGCTCTCAGAATGGTGCCTAGCATATAGTAAGCACTATTTAAGTATTTGATAAAATAAATAAACCCGGCCGGGCGTGGTGGCTCATGCCTGTAATCCCAGCACTTTGAGAGGCAGAGGCGGATGTATTGCTTGAGGCCACTAGCCTGGCCAACATGGTGAAACCCTGTCTCTACTAAAAATACAAAAATTAGCCAGGCCTGGTGGTGGGCACCTGTAATCCCAGCTACCTGGGAGGCTGAAGCACGAGAATCGCTTGAACCTGAGAGGTGAGGTTGCAGTGAGCTGAGATTGCGCTACTGCACTCCAGCCTGGGTAACAGGGGGAGACTCTGTCTTAAATAAATAAATAAATAAATAAACTCAATACAACCCTCTCATTTTACAGCCGATTTAGCCAGCCAAGAGAGGGTCACAAAGCCAGGGAATGACTGAACCTGAGCCAGGTCTCAGGCTCCTTGACTCCCACGCTGGCGTTGGGTCTGTGGGGCATCTAGTCAGCTGTTTGGAACAAAAGGGTTCCCAAACTCCTCAGTCTTTCTGCTGTTGGTGTGGTGTTACCTTTTTATGCAAAAAATACCTCAGCACCTCCTGAGAACAGCCTGCCCCATCCCCACAGCAGGGTCCCCTTTCAGGGTGCAGACACTGGGGTGAATAAGCAGCAGAATGTGTCTGTGTAGGGCTTCAGGGTGTTCTCAGGTGGCCCTGCCACAGAGGGCAGGGGCAAGGGCTTTCCTCTGGGAAGGGGAGGCGCTGGGTCTGGGACCATTTGTACACACAGGGCACAGCAGCCTAGAGGCTGCCTGCATGGATGACGATGGTGTGGATGGCAGGGGAGGGGCTATGGGGGAGGTCTGAGCCCCCAAACTAGACTGGCAGGTCCTTTCTGAGTGTCCTGTCCTGTGGGCTGCTTTCCAGCCCAGCTGGGAGGCATGGAGGCAAGACGGAAGAGCCAGTCTCTTTCCTTTTCCTTCCCTTTTGGGAGGCTGGGCCCAATAAACCGGAAACACACGTGTGGACCTGATGTTTGGAAAGGTGGATGAGGTTGCAGGGCAGGAGAAGGCTGTCATGAACAGTCCATGCTTAAAGAACTTAAAGCTGCATAGAGCTTCAAGGAGGGGAGGGAAGCCGCAAGGAACTTGACTGGGGAAGAGTGTGCACAGGAGAGCTGGGTGCAGAGGCTCTGAGATTAGAAGCACTGGGGGTGAGCTTGGGGAACGATTGAGAAGGCTGGTCCAGGAGGGTGGACCAGCCATGGAGTCTGGTCTTGGCCTAAGGGGTGCTGGGGAACCTGGAAAGTTTGTTTTTTTTTTTTTTTTTTCAGATAGAGTCTTGCTTGCCACCCAGGCTGGAATGCAGTGGCACAACTTCGGCTCAGTGCAGCCTCCACCTCCCGGGTTCAAGCAATTCTCCTGCCTCGGCCTCCTGAGTAGCTGGGACTACAGGCGCGTGCCACCACGCCCAGGTAATTTTTGTATTTTTAGCAGAGACGGGGTTTCACCATGTTGGCCAGTCTGGTCTTGAACTCCTGACCCCAAATGATCCACCCACCTCAGCCTCCCAAAGTGCTGGGATTACAGGCATGAGCCACTGCGCCCGGCTTGAAAGTTGTTTTTTAAAATCAACTTCACTGAGATGTAATTTAGGTACATACAGACAATTCTTAAACAACTCCACTCAAGAATTCTTTCAACCCATCAGTCAGAATGCATAAACCAGACCTGCCCCTCCTCTGCCCAGAACTCTTCAGCAGCTTCTCACCTTGCTTGCTTCAGCAGCTTCTCACCTTGCTGAATAGTAACCCCTCCTGTAAAATTTATATGTTGAAGTCCTAACGCCCAGTACTGCAGAATGTGACCTTATTTGGAATAGGGTCCTTGAGATGTAGTTAGGTTAGGATGAGGTCATCCTGGAGTAGGGTGAGCCCCTGATCCAATATGTCTGGTGTTCTTTTAAAAGAGGGAAATTTGGACACAGACACACACACAAGGAGACTGCCTTGTGAAGACGAAGGTGGAGGTGGGCGTGGTACAGCAGAAGCAAGAATACCAATGATGCCAGCAAACCACCAAATGCTAGGGAGAGGCCCGGGCAGATGGACGCGAGACCTCAGGGGGAGCGAAGGGAGGACTGAGAAGGAGCGACTGCAGATGGGGATGAAGTGTTGGAAGGAGGCAAAGATGATGCTACATCTTTAATTGGGGGTGGGCAACAACAGTGATAGAAGAGATCTTTGGGGAGATATTGACTGTTGGCCATGTGGTATTGCATGGTAACCAAGAGTGTGCGTGGACTCTGGAGTCGAACTGCTCCGTGGGTTGAGTCTGGAGCCTATCGCACAGGCGCTCCGTGACACTAGAAAAGTTACTTATGAAAATCCCCCCTCACGGTGCTACTGTGAGAATGAGATGAGATGATGTAAAAACACTTGGCATAGTCCTGGGCCTGCTGTTTGCCTTGAGGTGCCACCCTACTGACCATGTCCTGTGGACACAGCAAAAATGGGGAATGTAAACCTTGATCTAGCTGGCATGTGGGGCCCCGCCATGGAACTGGGGGGATGAGGGAGGTGACCATACCACAGGGGAGGGCCTGAGAGGTCTGCCTGAGAAAGATGGCAGCTGGATGGCCAACCCTGTTGGGTGCTGCAGGCAGAGGCTACTGGCAGAGGTGGCCTAGGGAGGGTCTGGTGTGGTGTGTGTGTGTGTGTGTTCGTGCACACCTGCATAGAGGGGCCCTGAAAAAAGCAAGACATCAAGATCTTCCCAAAGGAGCGGATTCTCTGCCTCCCCCTTTGCCTGTGGCTTCTGGGACAGGGTTGGGGTGTATGATTTGGCTGCCCCCAGGCCTACATTCTAGTGCATTTCTGCCTTGAAAACCACCCTCCCCACACTTTTGAGTTTTCCCAAAATGCACAGTGTCACTTGGGGTTGGAGAATTGTTTCTCAGCCCTGGAAGGAGAGGTGCACCCTGTCATGTCATCTCCTACAGCCTGAGAACCAGCTCAGCCTTCTTCAGAAGTCAAGGCCACAGTCACAAGAAAGAGGAACAGACCGATGTGGTGGAACCGGAACAGCCTGTCTCCATCTTCCCCCAAGAACCAAGAGATTAAAGCGGTCCTTCTGCAAGCTTCTGGGTCCAGGAACTCGGAGCTGGAAGGTGAGGGCGCAGATGGAGGAGGGGGAGGAGGCGAGGGCAGGGGGCGGCCATGGGGGTGCTGGACTCACATGAGCTTGTTGCAGACCGGGGGCTGGAAGGAGCCCCGGTTCTCCTTCACCCAGGCCCTCACTCCCAGGCGGCGCTCCATGACTGTCCCGGGCGCCTCCTCGCAGCGCTGTCCTCCCGCCGTCGGAGGCCCGCAGCTCCGCCCAGCCGCCTTTTTAACCAGAATCCCAAGCTCACGAGGCGGAGCAAACCCCCGCGACCCCGTGGTGGGGGCTTGGGGCCCGCGGACTTTGCCCCCTGGTGGACTTTGGTCTGAGCCCGCCGCCCTCCGCGCCACTCCAGGCCCTGGCGAGCGCGGCGGCGGCAGCGCTGGGGAACGGCGTCCCGCGCCCTCTGCTTCTCCGCGGGGCAGGGGCTCGGTCCCCGCCACCGTCTCCGGGGCGCCCCACACACTGGCGCCTGCGGTGGGGCCTGCTCCCGGCGGAGGACAAAGAATCCAGACCCTTCCTGGACGCTTGTCCCCAGACGTTCCTTCCCTCTACGCCCCGAGGGGAATCCCAGGGAAGGTTCCCAGAAATACTACAGTGAGGAGATCGCGGGTTGGAAGTCCCAGCACCTGAGAACACGGTGCTGGCGCTGGGCTCAAGATTTGGCTTTCCCATCTGGAAAAGGGGAATGACTGCCCCGCCACTCAGGGCTGCGGCGCTCACCCAGCGGGAAGCCGCACGGCGGTCCCCGCAGGTCCCGATTCAAGGTGAGCCCCAGACCTGCTGCGTGCGGCCGGCAGACTCCGCCGCGGGCTCGGCGAGGGGAGCGGTGCAGGCGCCGAGCTGCGGAGCCCGGGCTCAGGGCAGGACCGCGAGCCCTCCCCACCTGAGGCCCAGCCGAGCGGCCGCTGTCCGCGCAGTGTCGCAGTGGACCCCGAGCCCCGTGCTGAACTCCTTAGGCGTCTTAGGAACATACTCAGTTCGCACGCAGCTATGGGAGGAATTTGGCAGATGTGGACACCGGCCTCAGTGTCCTAGCCCTCGGGAATCTCGGGGTGTTAATGATGACAGCCCCGTGTGAGAGACTCTAACAGTTATCCTGGGGGTGAGGGGCTGGGGCGCTGGGCCTGGGCGTGCATGTGTGAGGAAAGAGAAATCTGCGCGGGTGTGGAAGATGGAGAAGCCTGTCTTTCTGCAGGACTCAGAACTTTCTTAGGAAGTTTGGAGGGAGTGGGAGCTGACGGGTAGGGGAGGAGGAAAATGGCTCAGGCCCCTGACACCGGAATCCAGACTATAGAGTTTAAGAAACTAAACGCCTCTAAATCCTGCCCTCACAGCCCGCCTGGCCTGGGCTGGTTTTCTCAGCATTCCAGACATAAAGACTCCTCTAGTACAACTCAAAATCAAAACCCAGACGACAGGAAGCCGAATTCCCCACTGAGACCCTCCCGTTTCCTCTCTGACGCTCTTTTTTTTTTTTTCATTTTTCTCTCTCCTTTTTTTTAGTTATTTATCTAGCACAGTTTTAGCTGAGCACTTCTAGTGCAAAACTAGAATATCGTTTTGCACCCAAGTAACTCACACCACCTTCTTTATTTTTCTCATCTACAAGTAATCAGAGGAGACGTAAACAATGACACATGAAGCACTGAGGATCTGAGATGTGTTAAGTTTGCTTTGAGTGTTAGTTAAATGGAGGGATGGGTGAGTGGGTGGATGAAGGCATCAATGAATTCACACAAAAAGGAGAAAAAATTGATTTCAGCCCAACAGATGTTCCGTTACCATAGTGCAAAGGAAAGAATGATAGGTACTCTGTATTTTAACTGATGTGATCAAATAATGTGAATAATTAAGGCCACAAGTAGAATTTTGGGGGTCTGAAATATCCCGAGTAACCCTCTACACAAGCTAAATGACTGCTATGTTATCACTATCAAATATGCCCTCTGATTTGTGCTGTGTAGAGCAAATACCACGTCTGGTCTACTGAATTGGCAAGCCTCCTGGCTCAGGCACCACTGGACTCCAATGTTCAGAAAACGGACAGTTGCTATGTTGTGAGTATTCTGGCATTGTTGAGTTGGAACCATCTGGAATCCTTCTGGATACTGACTGTTGGGCCCCTTGTAGTTTCTGGAATTTACCCGCTTCTAGGAGCCACCTCTCTCCTCTGCACACAGGAGCTCATCTGCACTAAAGGATTAGAAGCAAATAGAATCTACCCCACGATCCAAGCTCAAAGGATCTGGCCTGCTTGCTGGTGTCTTCCCCTGGCCTCCGCTGGGTGGTGTTTGCCTGCCCAGGTCACTGAGACCAGCAGATCCTTCTAGGCTTTGCTGAACCTGGCTGGTAATAACTATCTGACCCTTCAATTCTTCCATACACTGAACTCGTTGCTCCAGTGAATCCCTTTCCCAGCCCACCTTGTTTTGTCTCTGCCTTTCTGTCTCTCCCACTTTCTCACCCTTTCATGTAATTCAGCAACTATTTTAAAACAAATAGCTTTATATGAACAAAAGGACTAGATCATGAACTACACTGGTTATTTGGAAGTCTAGGTTCTGGTCCTGCTACCCCTTTAACTTGAGTTATTTACAAGTCTGTTTAAAAGTTTCTAGACATACACTGGTTTGTTTTTTGTTTGGCTATCGTTTTGTTTTTCATTTCTAATTGTATTGCATTGTGGTGAGAGAAGATGGTCCGTGTTGTATTATTTTTGGGTGGGGAGATGTGTTAAGATTTCCTTTGCAGTTTAGCTTATGGTCAATTTTTGTGAATGTGTATACTCTGCTTAGAACGTAGTTCAGAATATTTCTATTAGGTCATGCTATTGTGTTAGTCAAATAGTCTTGATCTTTATTTTTTAAAGTGCTTAATATTTTATTTTCCAAGAGAGATATGTTAAAATCTAACACTGTGATTTTTGGGGTCAATTTTTCCTTTTTTTTTTTTTTTTTTTTTTTGAGACCGGTTCTCACTCTGTGCCTAGGCTGGAGTGCAGTGGTGCGATCTTAGCCTCAATCTCTCCGGGCTCATGTGATCCTCCTGCCTGTCCTCACTGTAGCTGGGACTACAGGCTCACACCACCACGCCTGGCTTTTTGTATTTTTTTTGTAGAGATGGGGTTTCCCCATGTTGTCCAGGCTGGTCTTGAACTCCTGGGCTCACAAAGTGCTGTAATCACAAAGTGCTGGGATTACAGCTGCGAGCCAGTGTGCCCAGCCTCTCCTTATTCTTTAACAGCTTTTGCTTTACATATTCTGAATGTATGTCATTAGACGAAAACATGCTCATGACTATTTTATCTTCTTCTTGTAGTGTTTCTTTTATCTCTAAGAAATATTTCCTCTTAGTTTCTTTTCACCTTGACTTCAACTTTGATATTAATATTCCTACACCCACTTTGTGCTAGTGTTTTCCAGATATGGTAAGTTGATCAAAAAGATGACACAATAACTCCTTCCCTTCCTGAATCCATACGCCTTGTGACTTTGCCTCTGTTCTAATAAGAGGTGAAGTCCATTTCCTTATTCGTTGAATCATGTTTGGCATTGTGACTTGTGAATACAGAAGGCAGCAGAACTAATGCTATGGGACATCTGAGTCTAGTCCTCACCAGGTCTCCCAGCTGCTGATCTCATCACCTGGAACGCTGCTCCCACCATGTGTAGAAGCCTGGGTTAGTGTCCTGGAGGATGAGAGACAATGTGGAGGGTGAGGCTGGCCAACAGCCTGCACCAGCTGTGTAAGACCATCTGAGATGACTGTAGCTGCATGAGTGAACCCAGGGGAGACATGCAGAGACTTGCCCAGCTGTCTTACTTGTTACTTTAAGCCATTCAGTTTTTTCTAAGATAAAAAAGGTTAGTTTATCTAGGCAGAAATAGTATGTAAATAATTATACAAGTAGTACATGGATATGACGAAAACCTTGAAGCTGATGTGCAAAGAGCTGAAATTTGGAAAATACTTAATGAGAGAATGGCCTAAAGAGCTATTCGGTACTCTGAATTCCCCAAAGGCAAGGACCAATATTTATCCACCTCCGATATCTCCTCCGGAACCTTACACAGTACTTGGAACACAGTGGACTCTCTACAAATACCAAATTGGGAATTAACTCTTATTATAAACACTGAGTGTCAGCCCTGGTTCTTCCGGGCTCCAAAACTAACATATGAGTAGATTTCTCCAGGTAGACAAGAGTGAGGTAAACCCCCAAGAATCAGGAACTAGAGCCAAGTAAAGAATAAGCCCCGAGAAGCTTTGAGTAAAAAAGGATACTGTTTGCACATTGCGTATTGGAAAACAAGTAGAAAGTCCAAAAACAAAATAAAAACTTACAGCAGGAAGAAAAAAAAAAAAAGCCCCACAAACTCTACAGCTTAAGTTAGCCTAACCACAGCTGAGATATTTCTTCCGAAAGAACTAAATGACAAGTTGAGAGAAAGGCCCCATTGTCAGGTCAGCTGTTCCTGAGAAGAACTAAATTCAAAACTAGACAAAACTCTCTCACTACTAAAAACGCATATAGACAGGGAAGCATTTTTTCAAGTTATACTAATAAGTTGACTTGGATGCTTTAATAGCTTTCATGAATAATTCTGAAAATTGTTTAGCATATTTGAGGAACTCCACAACTACTTAGAATAAAAAGAAAAGCAACTTTTTAAAATTTAGTAGTATCTCAAAAAAGAAAAACCTAGTTACATGTTCTTGTAAAGAAGTTTCACTATTAATATCAAATGCTCCAGAAGTTTACTTTATAAGACATATTCAAAATATATACCCAATAATCTAAATTTAGATGCTAGAGTAGCAATATAATTTTGGTTCTCCAAAGATTACCAAGCATGAAATAGCAGTCTCCTTGGGGTGTTGCCAAACCAGGTGTCTTTACATCCCATGAGATCTTAACACCAACATGCCAAGTATCAAGATCTCTGCCTTCAAGATGAGAGTCGTCCTCACTTTCCTCTTTGGGGCCTGTCCACCAGATTTTCAGCATGATGCCAGCGCACTGCCATTTTCCGCATGCCAAAATAAGGTTTCTCTTTCAGGTGTGGGATTTTCGGAGGATCCATGAATTCAGCAAAGTTACGTTGTATGCTGCTCTACTCTTTATGTCCAGTTCATCTTCTTGTCCATCACCGGATGACCCCATGCCAGCACTGGGGAAATCTGCAGCCAAACACACTGGCACAGCATCCTCATTAGCTTTCTCTTTGGCAGCAAGTTCTTCCAAAGCCTAGATTATTTCTATCTGCAGGTAGTCATTGACCTTGAGGAAGGTCTGACAAGCAGCAGCTATTTCAGCCTTGGTGTATTTTATTTTATTTTTTGAGACAGAGTCTCACTCTGTTTCCCAGGCTGGAGTGCAGTGGCACGATCTTGGCTCACTGCAGCCTCTGCCTCCTGGGTTTGAGCGATCCTCCTGCCTCAGCCTCCCGAGTAGCTGGGATTGCAGGTCCGTCCATGCCATCATGCTAATTTTTGTATTTTTTTTAGTGGAGACAGGGTTTCACCATTTTGGCCAGGCTGGTCTGGAACTCCTGGCCTCAAGTGATCTGCCCACCTCGGCCTCCCAAATTGCTGGATTACAGGGCGTGAGTCACTGCACCTGACCCTCGGTGTATTTTATATTAGACCCTTTCACTGGCCATGGTACCATAAAGAACCTAGTGTTCAGGGACTTGTAGGTGCAACCTGGATTACCAATGAGGATGGGAGATACTGAAGTGAGCAAATCTTTGCCTTGGATCCTAACCAGGGCTCAAAATAAGCAGCCATGCTTGTGCAGTGTGAGAAAAGCTTCTTGAGCCTCTTTTTTTTTTTTTTTTTTTTTTTGAGACGGAGTCTCACTTTGTCTCCCAGGCTAGAGTGCAGTGGCTCGATCTTAGCTCACTGCAAGCTCTGCCTCCCAGGTTCACGCCATTCTCCTGCCTCAGCCTCCCGAGTAGCTGGGACTACAGGCATCCACCACTACGCCCGGCTAATTTTTAAAAATATTTTTAGTAGAGATGTGGTTTCACCGTGTTAGCCAGGATGGTCTCGATCTCCTGACCTCGTGATCCTCCTGCCTCGGCCTCCCAAAGTGCTGGGATTACAGGCGTGAGCCACTGCGCCCGGCCTCTTGAGCCTCTTTATGGAGCTCCCCAGATACACTGCTGGCTTCTTGGAGAATTAATTTAGGATATTTCAGCTGCCACGGCTGATAGAATTCATCTTTGGGGGTCAGATAAGGAAGCCAAGTGTCTTCAAACTCTTCAAAATGCCTCAGTTTCTTAGCTTTGCACTCTTGTTCCTCGGCAATCAGGGTGTGCTTCATGCGGCCACTAAAGCCACCTTCCTAAGTCATTAAGGTTTGGTTTGGTTTTGTTTTTTGAGACAGTCTCACTCTGTCGCCCAGGCTGAAGTGCAGTGGCACAATCTTGGCTCACTGCAACCACCACCTCCCGGGTTCAAATGATTCTACTGCCTCAGCCTCCCAAGTAACTGGGATTACAGGCGCGTGACACCATGCCCGGCTAACTTTGTATTTTTAGTAGAGACAGGATGTCACCATGTTGGCCAGGCTGGTCTCGAACGCCTGACCTCAAGAGATCCACCCGCCTCGGCCTCCCAAAGTGCTGGGATTATAGGCATGAGCCACGTGCCCGGCACTAAGTCATTAAGTTTTGAGGGTGGTTTGTTATACTGCAGTAGATAACTGAGACAACAGGTATATGGTTTCCCTGCATCATTTTGTTTTAGATATATCTTTCATGAAGGGCACCTACCTGGAGTTTAAAAAAAATCCAATCTGTTAGTTACGTGTTTAGTAGTCATTGGATTCAACTCTTTCATATCTATTTAATTATTGCTACATTTGTACTTATTCGTAGCATCTTCTTTTGGTTTTGTAACTACCATGTTGTGTGAGTTTCCTATAGCTGCTATAATAAATTACCACAGGCCCAGCATGGTGGCTCAAACCTATAATCCCAGCACTTCGGGAGGCCAGGGAGGAAGGATGGCTTGAGGCCTGGAATTTGAGACCAGCCTGGGCTATATAGCCAGATGCTGTCTTTACGAAAAAATAAAATAAAATAAATTGAAAAAAATCACAAACTTAGTGCCTTAAAACAACACAAATGTATTGTCTTATAGTTTTGAAGGTCAGAAGTCTGAATGGGTCTTATAGGCTAAATCAAGGTATTGTCAGAGCTGCATTATTTCTGAGAACTCTAGAAGAAAATCTGTTCTCTTGCCTTTTCCACCTTCTAGAAGCCACCTGCATTCCTTGGCTCACAGGGTGCCTTCCTTCTTCATTAAAACACATCATTTCATTCTCTTTTTTTGTTGTCACATTTCCTCTGTAACTAATCCTTGTGATTACATTGGGCCTACCCAGATAATCCAGGATAATCTCTTCATCGAACTACTTAATCACATCTGCAACATCCCCTTTTGTTTTGTAAGGTGACATACTCAGATTCCGGGGATCAGGACAGGAGATTTTTGAAAAGAACCAAGAAGGATTATTTCATCTACCACACATCCCTTTTCCTGGTTTCTTTTTTATCCTCTTTTTTGCTTTCCTAATCTATCAAGATGCTTGTGGCTGCAAAGTAGCAGAGGCCTTAGTTAAACAATGCTGTAATCAACAGAAAGACAGAAGGCTTACACAACTGGATACCCAGAGGAGAGTGAGCCCGTGACTCAGCATCGCCATCATGGACCCTGGTTCTTTCCATCCCTCCCATCTGCTACCCATAGCATTAGCTTCATCCCGAGGCTGGTTCCTTGAGTGGCCAAGGGATGAGGCTGGAAGTGTCCTTATTCACACCCACTGAGGGAGATAGTTGAGTACTTATCACTTTCCATTTGGACCCGGTTTCACAAGCTTGGCACTATTATTATTATTAGCAGTAGTAGTGGTAGGGACGGGGGTCTCACTCTGGAGCTGTCTCACTCTGTTGCTCCAGGCTGGAGTGCAGTGGTGTGATGACAGCTCACTGCAACCCTGAACTCCTGAGCTCAAGTGATCCTCCTGCCTCAGCCTCCCAAGCAGCTGGGACTACAGGTGCGCATCACCACACTGGATTCATTTTTAAATTTTTTGTAGAGATAGGTCCTCGATATGCTGCCCAAGCTGCTCTCAAAGTCCTTGGCTCAAGCGATCTTCCCACCTTGGCTTCTCAAAGTGTTGGGATTACAGGCGTGAGCCACTAAGCCCTGGCTCCCTTAGCAGTTTCCAAACCCACCCTGTGGTTTTCCCAATACCTGCAGAACCAGCTTTAAAGTGACCACAGCAGAGATGCCAGTGCAGATGCTGGAGCCTTTCCTCAGAAGTCTGAGTTTCAATTATGCAGAGGGCTCTTCCTCCAACTTCTAAGCTTTAGTGGTTCAACTTCTTCCTTTGTTCTCTCAGCCCGAGTGGGTAGCTGCTTCTTGCAGTTACTAACTTAAGTGATACTGCAGATTTGTTTTTTTGACTTTTCAGTTATCTAGTTAATAACCATAAACCTAGTTAACAGTTCTCTGTATTACATTGTCTCTGTTAAATAATTGGTATAGTTTCTGTCCCCTGACTGATGTATCTTTATAAGCTTAATTCTCTATTACGATACATTTGTTTATGGTTGTGATTTGCACCTCTGGGAGGGTTAGGTTCTAAGATCAGGGTATCAAACAATAAAACTTGTTGGTCCCCCAATACACTGCCTCCTTAATGTAATCGAAATTGGCTGTTGGCCCTGGGATGGAGCCAGCTACCCTAGCTAAGACACTGTTGGGCAGTGCAGAGCAGAATTTGGCAGCTGAGGAGAAGGCCTCTCATCTGGCTGTGGTCAGTGTCAGTTCCTCAGGGCTCTCTGCAAACAGAACTGGAAGTTTATGCTCCCTTTTACCCCACAGGCAGAAGGTCCCTCTGGGAGAAATTCATAGGCCAGCTCTGTGCTGAGATTTCAGTTTAGCTTATATATCTGCTACATTTCCATTTTCCCCTGCTCCAGGGCCAGTTGGACCACCCCTCCCTCCCTGTCTTCCCTCCCTCCTTTCTCCATGAAGACATTTTTCAGCTCCCTCGTCTTCTTTCTCTTTTTTGCCAGGGGCCATTGAATGCTACCTCATTTCAAATCACTCTGGGTTAGTGCCCTCCTCCCAGCCCCCATATCCTCTGGCATGTGCCTCATTCTTCCTGGCATGGATCCCGCATGTCTTAGATGGGAGAAGGCATGCATGGATTCTTATGAGTCCCGGGTACTGTGAGCAGTGGCCAAGCTTGGCATTTCTTGTAGCCCAGATGTCATGGAGGAATTCATACTTGCTACCTACAGATAAAGAAACAGAAAATCAATGACTTACCCGAGGCATTTAGCCACTCCTACAACTTAATTAAAAAAAAAGACCAAAACCCAAAAACAAAAAAGAAGACAAACAAAAAACAACAAAACAATGGGCAAAAGGTTTGAGCAACCATTTTATAAAGATACACAGATGACCAATAAGCACACACAAAATATTGCTTAACATCATTAGTTGAGCAATTAATGACATGCTCAAATTAAATATATGCAAATTAATTTGCATTGTATAAATGCAAATTAACATGCAAATTAAATATACAATGAGATACTATTACACACCCGGTAGAATGGCTAAAATTAAAGACTGACAATATGAAGCATTGGTGAGGATGTCAAGCAACTGGAACTCTCAACATTACTGGTGGGAGTATAAGGTGGCACAACTAATTTGAAAAAAAAGAGTTCCATAGTTTCTTATAAAACTAAACATAGGGGTCGGGTTCTGGGGCTCATGTCCGTAATCCCAGTGTTTTGGGAGGCTGAGGTGGGAAAATCCCTTGAGGCCAGTAGTTCACGACAAGCCTGGGAAACATGGCAAGACCTCATTTCTAATTTAAAAAAAAAAGTTCGCAGACAGTGGTGGCGTGTGCCTATAGTCCCATCTACTGGGGAGGCTCAGGCAGGAGGATTGCATGAGCCCGGGAGTCTGAGGTTGCAGTGGGCTATGATGGCATCATTGCACTCCAATCTGGGCAACAGAGATAGACCCTGTCTCAAAAACAAAGCCCCAAACAACCACCAAACATAGGACCTTTATCAAAATTAAAAACTTTTGTGCATCAAAGGACACTATCAAGAGAGTGAAAAGGCAAGCTACAAAATGGGAGAAAATATTTGCAAACCATGTATCTGATAACGGGTTAATAGCCAGAATATAAAACAACTCCCCAAACTCAACAACAAAAAAAACAAGCAACAGAATTTAAAAAATAGGCAAAGGACTTGACAGACATTCCTCCAAAGGAGATATATAAATGGCTGATAAACCCATAAAAAGATGCTCACATCACTAATGATTAGGGATGCGCAAATCAAAACTACAGTGAGATAGTGCTTCATTTCATTAGGATGGCTATTATAAAAACAACAGCAACCACAACAAACCAAAACATAAAATGGCAAGTGTTGGTGAAGATGTGGAACTCTTGTGTATTTTTAGTGAGAATGTAAAAATGGCACAGCTGCTGTGGAAAACTGTATGGTGGCTTATCAAAAAAATTGAACATAGAATTAACTGTATCTTCCAGGAATTCCACTTTTAGAGATACACCCAAGAGAACTGAAAGCAGGGACTCAAACAGATATTTGTACACCGATGTTAGTAGTAACATTAGTCACAATAACTAAAAGATGAAAACAACCCAGCGTCTATTGACAGATGAATGTATAAACCAAACGTAGTATCACATATAATGAAATATTATTCAGCCTTAAGAAGAAATGAAGTTTTGATAGATGTTACAACATAAATAAGCCTTAAAAATATTACGCTAAGTGAAACAAACCATGCACAAAGGACAAATATTGTATGATTCCACTTTTATGAATACTCAGAATAGTCAAATTTGTAGAGATAGAAGGTAAAATAGTGGTTACTGGGCTCGGGGGAGGAGGTAATGGAGAGTTATTGTTTAATGGGTATGGGGTTTCAGTTGAGATGAGAAAAAAGTTGCGGAGATGAATAGTGGAGATGGTTGTACAACAACGTAAATGTATTTAATGCCACTGAATCACACACTTAAAAAGGGTTAAAATGGTAAATTTTATGTTCTGTATATTTTACCACTATAAAAAGAAAAAAATAGCCAGGTGTGGTGGCTCACGCCTGTAATCCCAGCACTTTAGGAGGCTGAAGCGGGCAAATCACTTGAGGTCAGGAGATATAAAAAAATTAGCCGGGCGTCATAATGTACTAAATGCCACTGGATTGTACAATTTAAAAACAGTTAAAATGGTAAATTTTATGTTATGTGTAATTTGCCACAATAAAAATGCTAAAAACAAAGAAACTATACAGAAACATACCTTACAACCCAGCAATTCCATTTCTGTATTTATCCAAGAGAAATAAAAATAAAAATACTTGTACACATATGCTCCTAGAAGCTTGTAAAAGCCCCACATAGGAAAGAGCCTAGGATGTCCATCAATAGGAGAATGGCTCAGCCAACTGTGGTATATATGATCAATGGACAACTATTGAAGTCACTCAACCAGTTGGTTGAGCAGAAACATGGATGTAGATTGTTTTACTCCAGTTTCTTGTCTTTCTTCTTCCCCACAAGGTGGGCTTTCCCACTCACCCAAAAATTTTGACCTAAGGAACACCTTGAGTGTTACTGAAACCCTAGAGCTCCCTGGCGGGCTCTGTTGAAACTCTTCCTTTGTCCTCTCACAGGAAAGTCATCATCTGTGCTGTGGCCTCCGAGACCTCTATCTGGTCCCATAGGTTTGGGTCCATCCCTTGCCAGGATTGACAGAGGAACCCTCCCCATTCCTCAGCAGAGGGGAATCTAGGCACAGAGGCGCCCAGCATGCCTGGGTCATGGTTTTCACCTCTCTAGGGGTCAGAATTCTAACTGGTCTTTCTTTCCCATGTTTCAAGTTGGAATGCTTTGGCCACCAATACACAGGCTTCTGTGAGCCTGACAAGAGCCTCTCTTGGGGGTGACCCTGAGAGGCACAGAGTTGTCAAGGCCAGGCATGCTCACTGTTCTCCAAGTTGCAAAATGAGCCATCTACTCCATACAGTTTGAGGGCATGGATCTTCAGTTGCACAATCTGTATTTGAATCTTAGCTTTACCACTTGTTTTGGTAAACTGCACGACCTCACTGTGCTGCACGTTCCTCATTGGTGAAAGGAAATGAGAATGCTACTTGCTTCATGGGGTTGCTGTGAGGATGAAATTGCTTCATAGGGTGTCAAGTTCTTGGAGTTGGTGCGTAGCACATGATAAGTACTATGTAAGTGTATTATTTTTACCCACCAACCACCATGTTCTCCATGTTCTTTGAAGGCTGTTGTTCTCCAACAAGTGAAAAGAAATAATTAATGCATCCTATCAGTCAGGATTCAGACACACCAGTAGTTTGAATAGGGAAAATTTAATGTAAAAAATTATTAACTAGTAAAGGAGGATTCATTACGAAGAAGGGTAAATGGAACTCTAGATAATTCAGGAATAACAAAGGGAGCAGCCACTACCTCTAGGGCTGACATAGGGAACCCAAGGAAGCAACAAACTCTCCCTCCCCTCCAAGGCTGAGATTCAGAGTTCACTGGTGAGGGTGGCTCCGGGGCCTGCGGATGGTGGAGGAGTTTGCTGAGGTGCTGCAGGCTGAGGATGGCAAGCAGGAAACTCTGTCGGGTGCTGGCAAAATCTCACCGGGAAGCCGCCCACTGGCAGCTGTGCTGTAGGAGCCAGAAGAAAAGCACTGAGCTAGGAAGAGAAGTCCCTTCTAGTGTTCTTCTAGCACTTTCTACTGACAAGACCTAACAGTGGCACCAGCTGACAAGACAAATACTTTCAGGGTCCAGCTCCAAGATCACAAAGCAGGGCCAAGAAGGGCGAATTTGGAGTAGAGCAGTACGAAATGGACTGGTACACACCCCATCCATGTTCTTATAGAGACGTTTAACAAGGAGTTTTCCCTAATTATGGTTTATATATTTATGGTAACACAAAAGGGAGCTAGGATTAGGGTGACCATATGTTCCAAATTGTCCGGGACGGCACAATTCATGCTTGTTGGTCCAGTATTATTAACAGTGCTCCTTTTGACTCTCAGAAATGTCCCTGTTTGGAGGATAAATTATGTGGTCACATTATCTACAGATGCATCAGCTTCCATGAAACTAACCTTCCCACTGCTAGTAGCTAGAAATTCTGTAAATACCCCACCCTACCCCCAATCTGTCTGAATGCAACAATGAGCCACCAAGGCAGCCTAAGGGCTAAGGGGCCAAAATTTCATGGAGAAGAGAAGTGCATTCAGGGGGGCTCAGCACCCTGAGCTGCTGTCCTCCTTGAAGTGTTTGTCAGTGACAGAAACTATGAGGCTGAAAAGGTGAGCAGAAAGCAATGGCTCTCCAGAGGAACATATGATTAAAAATACATCGAGTCATCCATAGGATCGTTTTTTTTTTTTTTTTTTTTTTTTTTTTTTTTTTTTTTTTTTTTTTGAGATGGAGTCTCGCTCTGTCGCCCAGGCTGGAGTGCAGTGGCGTGATCTCGGCTCACTGCAACCTCCGCCTCCCGGGTTCACACCATTCTCCTGCCTCAGCCTCCCAAGTAGCTGGGATTATAGGCACCCACCACCACGCCTGGCTAATTTTTTGTATTTTTAGTAGAGACGGGGTTTCACCATGTTAGGCAGGATGGTCTCGATCTCCTGACCTCGTGATCTGCCCACCTCGGCCTCCCAAAGTGCTGGAATTACAGGTGTGACTCACCACGCCCAGCTAGGAGTGATCTTAATGAGTATAAGACGCAATTCTAAGTGATATGAAAGGACTGTGTCATAGTTAAAACGGTAGGTTTTGTTTTCTTAATGGTACATAAAATAATAGCACATTTTACAATTTAGAGTGTTTTAGATTTGATGAAATATGGTATATTTGTCCACAAGTATGGGTATATCTGTAAGAGAGAATCTTATAGAAACTGCTGGATCAAAAGATACATGCATTTAAAACACTGACAGATTCTGATAAACTATCTTAAAAACAAAACCAACTAAAGACTATCCATTTCCCCACACTCTCATCAACACTGGACATTACCAATCTTTAAAATTTTTCTCATCTGACAGGCTCTCACCACTTCTTCATTTCGGTGTCAATCCAGGCAATTTGATGGGATCCCTCAAATTATCATATGTTCCACTCTCTGTGTAATTGGTTCAAATCTGCAGCACACCTCCCTAGAGCATGGGCCTTGAGACCTACACCTCTTTCTCCTCCTAAGGGAAAATAAGGGGTCATTTTCCCCGGGGATGCTGGTGAGCATCATGGACTATCAGGACAGGAGGGGACCTCAGACACTGACAAATGGAGGGGGTTCTGAAAGGCATTCAGGAAGGTCCACAGTGTTGCACGTGGCAGTGGCATCTTTTACATTTCCATTTGGAAAAATAACAATTAAAATAATCCTTTAAGATCCCCCGCTACCCATTAAAATGGAATCACTTTGGAAGCCTCTGAATGCGTGCTCACCGGTACATGAAGCATTCATTCCTTGAACACCAGATATGCGTTCATGTGACAGCTGCTTGGGTGGCTTCTCATGTGGGCTTTGCCTACTCTACAGCAATATTTTTAAAAGTCATATGCTGCTTAATATATACCCATAATGAAATGCTGGCTAAAAATAGAAAATATAAAACATTTGCTGGAATAAAGTAAATGAGGACCATAAAATGAGAATTCTACAATTTTGAACCAAGACGATTTTCATTCACTAGACCTACAAATTGCATTCAGCCCATCAAACTGTTTATATGGCTCATCACGGTGTCTCTTGTATATCTGAAACCAAAGTCATAGAGAAAATATAGTGACCATTAGATCTGATTTGGCCTCTCATTATTAGAAATGAAGACCAGCCATACCCACATCATGCTATTTGCAGAATGTCACTTGCATACAGCAGTCTGAACCCTTCTGTTTTATCTCATCATTTAGACACAAAAAATGAAAGTAATAAAAATAAACCAGTTTTTTAAAAAAAATGCAAAAGGCATGAATTCCAAACATTCATTTAGGAAAGCAGTTTTTGTCTATTTTTGATGCTACAATGAGTCATTAAGTTTCATACATTTTAATATACATTTGTCCCAATACCAGATATATGTTATTTTAAAAGATATTTGTTAACAAAGCATGCTTTCCCCTTACATAATTAAACATTTTGCATTACTTGGAAAATGTGAAAAGGTTGAAACTAGTCTTTTAATAATATAGATATTACTGCTGTATTTATGTATTTACTGAGACAGGGTCTCTCTCTGTCGCCCAGGCTGAAGTGCAGTAGTGTGATCTCAGCTCACTGCAACCCACAGGAGGTTTCGCCATGTTGGTCAGGCTGGTCTCAAACTCCTGGCCTCAAGTGATTCACCTGCCTTGGCCTCCCAAAGTGCTGGGATTACAGGTGTGAGCCAAAGTGCCCAGCCGGTATTACTGTTTTAAAGTTATACATGGATCTAAAATAAGTTTTATTTAACAATCCCTTCTCTATTACACATCATACACAAATTATTGCATGATAAAATACTTCCAAGGTGTTGGCAAGAGTATACATGGTAAAAGGGGTCCTCCACTAGTCAAGCCAGGCTGGAGACCTCTTATCTGGTCTAGATTCTTCAATTTATAGATGAGGAAACTGAGGCCCGGAGAGAGTAAGAGACTTATTACAGTCTCTTACAAACTTAAGAGGACCACAGCGAAGACTCCTAAGTTCATTGTTCTTTAGCGGCAGTCTGGGTGAGGTTAAGTGCCTTTCAGGTCCCAGGAGACTTTTCCTTGCTGGAAAAGATCTCCAGCAGCGGAGTTTCTGACCCTGCCCCCTTCACCAGGTGCAGCCTTACCCACACTAGGCTCATTAGAGAACAAATATTCTTGGGGGCTAAGCAATTTAGGTTCACTTTATGAGGGGCTGACTTCCCCTTACATGCAGTCGGGGATCAGTCAGTATCTGTGGAACCAATAAAGGAGTAGATCCATGAATGGGGCTAGTGGGAGGGGACGCTGGACCACCGAGGGCCAACTCTGCTGCTTGTGGTTCACCAGGTGGGCTCTGCCTGAGAGACTCCAGAGGAAGGGCAGATTCTGCAAATGCTACGGGATTTGAGAAGACGCTGTGCATGAGTCCACAATTTATTTGTTACCAGGAATTAACCCCTTTCAATTTAGGGGGGAAAAATCATCCCCACCCTGCACAAACCATGCATTTACCTTTACATCCTGTTCCAGCTTCCGGGAAGAACTTATTTAACGGATCACTCTCTGTTGCCCTTGATTTACCCTGGCCTCATCCACAAGTGCTCCAAGGAGCCCTAATCCTGGCATGCTGTAAAGAGCCCTGTATCCCACCACCTGCCTGGTGCGGGGTGGGATCTTGCGAGGTGTTGACCATCCCTGTTGTGAGTTCCTGAGTCTCCAGATGTGTCTCTCAGCTTACAAAACCATCTGGAAACAGCCTCCCCGGGCTTCTTTCTAAGGAGACTTTCCTAAAAACTCCTTCGGGAGGCCCCCTGCGTTACATAGAATCTTTTGCTACCTCCTCATGGTCTACCTGATCACTTTAACTCTTCTGCTCGAGTTTCAAGGCCTTCTACAGTCCAGGACCATCCCACTGCTTGACATTTGTCACCCTAACACAATCTGTTACTGTGGCCAAGTCACCCTCAAGGTGACTACACAAATGACCTTCATTCTGTCCATCGCTTGCTCATGCAGTTTCCCCCATTATTGCCATAATCATTCTGTTGTTTGCTCGGCTGGCTCTCCCAGGAGAGCAGACGTCATCAAACAGGTGACCAACATGCCAACAGGTGCTCAGAGACCATCAAGATGTGTGAGACAAGCCTGAAGGAAGAGACGGGGGTGGTGGGCACTCGGGAGGTGGCTGGCACTCTGGAGGTGGCTGCTACCTTCCCTGGAGGACCAGCTTCCTGGCAGGCTTATCAATTAGGTACAACAGGCACAGTGCATAGACCAGAAAAAATTTAAATGTTAATTTCTTTTGAAATGAGAAGAAAACGAATATAGTATTAAATGAAAAATAGTAATATGAATATAGCAATAAATTCAGCTTGAAATACATTCATTTTTATATCATCACAGTGGTAAAATATAATTTTCCAAAACTTTTTCTTTTTTTTTTTAAATGGAGGACAGGAGCTCACGAAGACAAAAGTGCCTACGGCCAAGAACAGTCATAATTCAGCCCTGGGTGCAGTGTTTAGATTTTGTTTTGTTTTTAAATGGATATCTAGATATTTGTATGAGATCGCCTGATTTTAAGTAATGGAAATTAGTTTTAACATCAAACATTTTGTGGCCCAACAAAACACGCAGGGTTTGGGCTGCAACTCCTCCAAAGCCGGGGCTATCTCCGCGTCCTCCGCTTGGGGTGGCCTGGCCGGGTTTCGGGGCCCCGCCTCCTGCCTGGAGGGCCCAAGAGCTGCCGGAACCTCGCGAGCCGGACCAGGCGCCAAGCCACAGCCGCGCGCCGCCACCGGCCCCTGGCCTCGCCCGGCCGGGGCGCCCCCGCCAGCCGCCACTGGGGGGCTCCGGACGCTCTCCTTCCGGGGGGCCCCGCGGGCAGTCGGATCGGGCCTCCCCGGGGCGCGGGAGCAAGGCCGCCCGGCTCAGCCCCAGCCCCAGCCCCAGCCCCACCCCCGGACCGCGTCACCACCGCGGCGAGGCCCGCCTGCCGCTTCCCCGGCCTGGGCCCTGCCCCTCGCGGGCCGGCTCCGGGACGCGAAGCCCATAGAGGGGGTTTTCCGGCCGCAGGCGCTGGGGCCGCTCCTCCTACGGCGAGGCCCGGGGCTGCGCGCTGCGCTCTTTGCAGGGCCCCCGTGGCCCTCCCGTCACGGCCAGGCTAGGCGGCCCCTCCATCCCCGAGGGCGACACTCGCAGGCTTCCCCGGCTCGATCGGCTGCGGAACAGCCGGGAGCTCGGCGCGAAGTCGCAGAAGGCTCGGGCCTGGGCTCGCGCCGCGAACGCGCATGCTCTGCCGAGGCCCGCCGCGGGCGCCAGCGCACCCTGATAGAGCCATCACGAGGCCCATTCAGCAGAGCTCCAGTGGCGCAATCGGTTAGCGCGCGGTACTTATACAGCAGTACATGCAGAGCAATGCCGAGGTTGTGAGTTCGAGCCTCACCTGGAGCAAGACCCTTTTGGATGTTCGCAACCCCTTTTGTGTATCTCGTTGCCAGAAGTAAGGAGTCTCTCTTTAGTCTTCTCCCTTCTTGTTTCTAACTGCTCTGCCGCACGTCCCCATTGGCCGCAAGCAGGAAGCAGCTCGCAGTGGACTCTCAATACCCCTTTTCCGAGCTACTTGTTGCCACCGCGCGACATCCAGCCGCTCGAACTCGGACATCCACCCACTGCGTCCTTCTAGTGCTCTTCTTAGGCGGGTCCTGTAACTGCACCTAGTCCCGGACCACAGGAGGGCGGATGGAGGTGGCGAGGCGCTCCACTGTGGCGGGGTCCCTAGCTGGCCGTGGGGATCGAATATTCTACAGGGCACTTCATTCTACAGTGTGAGCCCGAGCTCCCGGTGCGGAGATGAGGCCTGGGGCCGGGCCGCTGCCCCTCGCCCCCGGGCGGGGCCCAAGCACCGCCGACCATTCCCAGGCGTTGGGGCCCGAGGCCTAGCGCGGGGCGTCCGGGGAGCTGTGGGGAGACCTGGGGCGGCTGTTTTCCGCCCTTGTAACTCGTGATGAGTTCTTCCCCCTCGCTTCTGTCTGCAGAGACCAATAAGACTGCGGGCCCTTCTCCTCAACCCAGGCGCCCAGCCGTCCCTGGGCAGATTTGCAGTTTGGGGAATGTGCTCGGAGAGTTCCCCTCCCCATCATGTGCCCCTTCTCCTAGCGGCACGTCACAAATCCTGGTTCAGAAGTCCTCCCGGGGGCCGGGAAATCAGGCCAAGTGGTCGCCGGCGGATGCGCCCTGCCCCACATCGCCAGGGGGGGTAGGCAAAGCGGGCACAAGCTTAGTTAAGGGATGGAAAGCCTCCTGGACGTGTTCTTTCAAAGGGGAGATTTTCAGCTGTTTTCATGGACGGGATCGTTGCTAGATTTTGGGTGGAAATATTACCCCGCGAGTGGTGAAAATCAAGACCTAGAACGTTCAGAGAAATGGATGGAGGGCGGAGCTCTTGTCTATCTCCTGCGCTAGCCCAGGCTTCGGTTGCTCTCACCCATCCAGCCCCTCGATGCAGAACAGGAACCCTATGCCAACTGGAATGTGGGAAGGGCCGCCCACTTCCCCTCGTCCTGGTGCCGGGTTCCTCGCCAGCCCCGGGGAGGTCGCCTCTGGCTCACAGACATCCTCAGAGGCATGGGATAGGTCCCCTGTAGAAATGCAGCCCAGGCTTAGAAACAAATAAAATCTCTATCCATTAAAAAAGAATAATAATAATAATAAAAAAATAGGCGCGGTGGCTCACG
Source organism: Homo sapiens (assembly GCF_000001405.40). Lineage (NCBI taxonomy): Eukaryota > Metazoa > Chordata > Mammalia > Primates > Hominidae > Homo > Homo sapiens. The sequence goes on from NC_000002.12 coordinate 42,811,912, forward strand.
CCTGTAATCCCGGCTTGGGAGGCTAAGGTCGGCGGATTTTTTTTTTTTTTTAATCACCCAGGAGTTTAAGACCAGCCTGGCCATCAGGGCGAAACCCCGTATCTACTAAAAATACAAAAATTAGCCGGGTGTGGTGGCGCATACCTGTAATCCCAGCTACTCGGGAGGCTGAGGTGAGAGGATCTCTTGGATTCGAGAGGCCGAGGTTGTAGTGAGCTGAGATGGCACCACTGCTCCAGCCTGGGCCAGACCTGTCTAAAAAAACAAAACAAAACAAAACAAAACAAAAAAAACTTGCGGCTGAGCGTGGTGGCTCACGCCTGTAATCCCAGCACTTTGGGAGGCCAAGGCGGGCGGATCACGAGGTCAGGAGACCATCCTGGCTAGCACTGTGAAACCCCGCCTCTACTAAAAATACAAAAAATTAGCCGGCTGTGGTGGCGTGCGCCTGTAATCCCAGCTACTCGGGAGGCTGAGGCAGGAGAATTGCTTGAACCTGGGAGGCGGAAATTGCAGTGAGCCGAGATCGCGCCACTGCACTCCAGCCTGGGCGACACAGCGAGACTCCGTCTCAAAAAAAAAAAAAAAAAAAAAAAAAAAGTATGCTTACTTTCTATAAAAAAAAAAACAAAAAACCCAACAGCTTTAATGGGATATAATTCCTATACCATACAACTCGCCCATTTTACAGTGTACAATGGATTTTAGTATATTCACAGATAAGTACAATCATCACCACAGTAAATTTTCAAACATTTTCATCACCTCAAGACTAGTTCTCACCCTCTCATCTTCCCATCCTGTTCCCCCACCAGCCCTAAGCAACCACAAATCCACTTTTTGTCTCTGTAGATTTCCCTAGTCTGGACTTTCCTACGAATGGAATTATACAGCATGTGGTCTTTTGTAATTGGCTTTTTCACTTTATAATGTTTTCAATATTCATCCATATTGTACCATATATCAGTGCTTCATTTCTTTTTATGACTGTATGACAGTCCATTGTATGGATTCTTTCCATTTTTGAATAATGGAGAAAGGGTTGGCATTTTCAAAAGGAAATTTGCCAAAAACTGCTTTGTAAGAGGTGATTAATTTTAAAATGCACAAACAGAAAAGTGATCAGACTCAGAAAGTGCAGGTTTCTAATCTTCACAGGTAACTCACTGACCACCAGGAGTCTCTTAGGTACTTCTGAGAGCTGAGCTCAAAGCAAGATCCCAAACAGACAACAATAAATGAATGAGAGATCATTCTGTCAACCTCCTATCCACAGAGAAATCCTTTCCACAAAACCCTAGCTCCTATTTGAAAACTGCTAGCATCAGAATTTCAGTTCCTCTCAAGGCAACTTATTCCATTTTCCAACAACTCTTATGGTTAGAACATTCTTCAATATTGTTTCTGTCCCTACTGGTTACTGCTGGAATGGCAGTGGCTTTAGGAACTGTTTTCCTGATAAGATGGTAGGGTTGGAAGGAAGCTAAACTAGTTCTTCTTTCCTTAATTTAGAAATCTTCAGCTACGAAATTATTGATTAGGCCATAAACAACAAACATACTCTGAGCCTATTTGTGGCCCAGTGTCTTAAAGTGATGTTGATAGAATTTTTTAAGGTTGTGGTGGGTGATAAAAATCAAGTGAGGCAGGGCATGGTGGCTCACACCGTAATTCCAACACTTTGGGAGGCTGAGGCAGAAGGATTGTTTGAGCCCAGGAGTTCCAGACCAGCCTGGGCAACATGGTGAAACCCTGTCTCTACAAAAAATACAAAAATTAACCCAGTGTGATGAGGCACGCCTGTAGTCTCAGCTACTTGGGAGGCTGAGGTGGGAGGCTCACCTGAGCCCAAGAGGTCGAGGCAGCAGTGAGCTGAGATTGCACCACTGCACTCCAGCCTGAGTGACTCTGTCTCAATTAAAAAAAAAAAAATCAAGTCAGAATATGGGAAAATGCTTTAAAAACCACAAAGTATTATGACATTTTTATTAGCATCAGACCACTGGCTTAGGCCTGACTATACTGTGTAGTGGCTTCAAGAAGGAAGTGGGTAAGTATGAAGTGACCAAACTGCGAAGGAAGCTTGAAGTGACAACTGAACAACCCCAGGCCCCAGCAGGAGAGAAACCTGATGTAACCCAGGCTGACCTTGGCTTTGTAGAATGCTTGGATGAAGAAGGGCTCATCAGAGCTAGGGGTGACACAGCCTGAAAGGAGTGCAGATTCAGTAGAATTTAGAAGAAGAGTGGAGCCAATCTGGAGGCAAATGTTTCTGACAAATGATAAGATGCAATTTTCATAGAGATAATTGTAAGTCTATGTTCAGTTCAAAGTTCCATGTGTGAGGATGCCTGGCTTGACAGCTGTTTGCATGTAAAAGATCTGGGGATTTCAGATGTGTGCAACCTCGGTTGTGCCAGCAGTGTGACCCAACTGCTAAGAATGTCAACTGATTATTAATGCATTACTATATAATGCATTAGATGCTGTGGTGTCAGGGATCACAAACCAGCCATCTATGGAACAAATCTAGCCTGCAGACAGATTTTGTTTGGCCTTCCAGCACTAACTTGCAAAGTGCTGACATTAAAAAAAAAAAATCATTTGCCTCCATATTGGGAGATTTCACAGAAATGCCGAGATTTTCAGTTTCTAATGAAAAGTCAGGACTGGGTGTGGTGCCTCACGCCTGTAATCCCAGCACTTTGGGAGGCTGAGGCGGGTGGATCACCTGAGGTCAGGAGTTCAAGACCAGCCTGGCCAACATGGCGAAATCCCACCTCTACTAAAAATACAAAAATTCGCCATGCCTGTAGTCCCAGCTACTCGGGGGGCTGAGGCAGGAGAATCTCTTGAACCTGAGAGGCGGAGGTTGCAGTGAGCCAAGATCACACCACTGTATTCCAGCCTGGGAGACAGAGTGAGACCTTGTCTAAAAAAAAAAAAGCCGGGCCATCTGGGGCCCTTATTCCTATATGGCAAGACTGACTGCCCATCTTGGATGTGTATGTGGCTTTCGGTTTGCCACGGTCCCTGTCACTCTCCATTATTCTCCAACACAGAGGTAGGTGCCAGCTGCCTTGATTCACTGGCTTGCTTTGCTGTTTTCTTTATCCCAGGCTCATTTCAGTCATTTGTACCCTACAGATATTGAGTGTGTGGCCTCCATATGGGTAAAGGGAGGGAATCCTGTTGAACTCTCAGTAGGTCAGAACACAGCCAGAGGGCTGTGATCTGTAGAAACAAGCTCATTTAAAATTCAACAAAACGAAACCAAAGCCCAATTCTTTATTATGGAAAATTTCAAACATACACAAAAGTAGAGAGAACAGTATAGTTAACCCCCATGTTTCCACTTTTAAAGAATTGTCAACATTGTTTTATCTATATCCTTCCCACAACATTCACCCCTTACCTCTGGAATATTTTAGAGGAAATCCTAGATATGGTTTAATTTAACCTGTCAAAACTTCAGCATATATACCCAACAGGTAATCACTTTTTTAAAAAAGCATAACCATGGTATCATTATTACACCCAACAAGAGTAATAATAATTACTTAGCTTCATCTCATACCTCATCTGCTTTCAAATTGCTACCCATATCTCTGAAAAATATTTTTACAGAAGATTGGTTTGTTTGAATCAAGATCCAAATATGGGCTGTCCTTGGCATTTGATTGGTGTATCCTTTAAGATATTTAAAGGATAAATCTCTTTTAATCTATTCGAATTTCCTCTCTTTTCACCCCCTTTTATGACATTTCTTTGTTGACCTTTAGAATTTCCCACAGATTTTGGCTAATTGCATGCTCAAGGTTTTCTTCAGCCCCATGTTCTTCAATCCCTCATGGCAATTATATCTAGAAGCTTTATAATATTCAGATTATTTTTCCCCCAAAATATATTCTAGATGGTACTGTGTGCTATTGCACCACAAAAGAAAGTACATAATGTCTGGCTGTCCCACATTTAGAAATATGGCTTTTGATTGATGATTTCAGCATGGTCAGCAGAATCCATCCATTATAAAATCCTTCATCAGCCTCTAATCCTTCATCAGCGTGGTTGGCTGAATCCATCCATTATAAAGTCCTTCACCAGCCTCTAACCTAATGTTTTAGCAGCCGTTGATTATCTTGGTCTAAATCTATTATTTTTATTGAGGATTCCCCAATGGTGCTTTTCTAATTCTATTATTCCTTCTGTATTTATGACTATGGAAGCACAATTCACATAAGAAAGACTGGATAATTTCTTGATTCTTTCTCTTTTTCCACCAATCTTTGATTCCCTAATAATTTCTAAAGATAACCAATAAGTTTTAAATTTTAAAGCTTTTCTGAGTTATAGTTTATGTACAATGAATTGCATTAATAATGTTGAGTAGCTTTTCATATGCTTATTAGACATTAATATATCCTCTTTGGTGAAGTATTTTTTTGTTTTTTGTTTTTGAGATGGGGTCTTGTTTTGCCCCCCAGCCTAGAGTGCAGTGGCATGATATCACAGCCTCAAACTCCTGGATTCAAGCAATCCTCCTGCCTCAGCCTCCCCAGTAGCTGGGACCACAGGTGCAAGCCACCACTCCGGTCTTCTGTCTGCTTTTTATTGAGTTGTTTCTCTTTTCATTATTGGGTTGTAGAGATTTTCTGTATAATCTAGATGTAGTTCCCTTGTTGGATATATAATACGTATATTTTTTGAGACAGAGTCTTGCTCTGTCACCCAGGCTGGAGTGCAGTGGTGCAATCTCAGCTCACTGCAATCTCCGCCTCCCAGGTTAAACCGATTCTCCTGCCTCAGCCCCCCAAGTAGCTGGGACTACAGGTGCACACCATCATGGCCAGCTAATTTTTGTATTTTTAGTAGAGACAAGGTTCACCATGTTGGCCAGACTGGTCTTGAACTCCTGACCTCAGGTGATCCATCCACCTCGGCCACCCAAAGTGCTGGGATTTCAGGCATGCACCACTGTGTTTGGCCTGTGGATATATAATTTGTAATTACTTCCAGTTTGTGGCTTGGGTTTTCATTTTCTAATATCTGTTAACGAGCAAAATCTTAACATTTTGATGAAGTTCAATTCATTGATTTCTTTACCCATTATTGATTGTACTTTTGGTGCTATATCTAAATAACCTTTGTTTAACTCAAGGTCACCAAGATTTTAGTCCATGATTTAGTTCTTATATTTAGGTTTATGCTCCATTTTGAGTTGACTTAATTTTTGTGTATGGTGTGAGGTAAAGGTCTCATTTTGAGGGGGGTTGGGGTATGTGAGTATCTAAATTATGGCACCATTTGTTGAAAAGCTTATTCTTTCCTGATCAAATTGCCTTGGCATCTTATCAAAAACAAGCTGTCCATAAATGTGTTGCTCTATTGCTGTACTATCGTTCTATTCTATTGACCTGTCAGTATGGTGTTATGCCAACACTACACTGTGGTGATTACTGTAGATTTAGAGTAAGTTTGGAAACCAGGTATTATAAGTTCTCCAATTTTGTTCTTCTCTTTCAAAATGCTTTTGGCCATTGCAGGTCCTTTACATTTTCATATAAATTTTAGGTTCAGTTTACCAATTTCTATGAAAAGTTCTGCTTGGATTTTGATAGAAATTCTGTTAAATGTATTGATCAAGACGTTCAACAATTTGAGGAGAATTATCTTCTTCAAAATATGTCTTCTGCAGATCACCTGAGGTCAGGAGTTCGAGACCAGCCTGGCAACATGGTGAAACCCCATCTCTACTAAAAATACAAACATTAGCTGAGTGTGGTGGTGGATGCTTATAATCCCAGCTACTTGGAAGGCTGAAGCATGAGAATCGCTTGAACCAGGGAGGCAGCAGAGGTTGCAGTGAGCTGAAATCACACCACTGCACTCCAGCCTGGGAGATAGAGTGAGACTGTGTCTCCAAAAAAAAAAAAAAAAAAAGTCTTCTGATTCCATAAACATAGTATATCTCTCCATTTATTTAGGCCTTCCATTTCTTTAAGCAATGTTTCATAGTTTTTTTTTTTTTTTGAGACAGGGTCTCAAAAAATGTAAATGTATGTGTTCAATGTATTGGTCAATACATTCAACAATTTGAGAATTACCTTCTTAAAAGTGTGTCTTCTGATTCCATAAACACAGCATACCTCTCAATTTATTTAGGCCTTCAATTTCTTTAAGCAATGTTTTGTAGTTTTTTTTTTTTTTTTGAGACAGGGTCTCACTCTGTTGTCCAGGCTGTAGTGCAGTGGTGCAATTATGGTTCACTGCAGCCTCAACCTCCTGAGCTCAAGTGATCCTCCCGTGTCAGCCTTCCAAGTAGCTGGGACTACAGGCACGTGCCACCACGCCTGGTTATTTTTTTGTAATTTTTGCAGAGGTAGGGTTTTGCCATGTTGCCCAGGCTGTTCTTGAACTCCTGGGCTCAAATGATCCTCCCTCCTTGGCCTCCCAAAGTGCTGGGATTACAGGTGTGAGCCACTGTGCCTGGCCCTATTTCTTTATTAAATATTTTGTGAATTCACAGTGAAGCTCTGTGGGCCTGCAGTTTTCCTTGTGAGAAGGTTTTATGTTTTTAAAATCCTATAAGTTCAAGTGTTTAAAATGTGTAAAGTTATTGAGGTTATCTATTTATTCTTGAGTATACTTCAGTACTTTGTGTCTTTCCAAAAATCTATTTCATTTGATTTGTTAAATTTATTGGCATAAAATTTTCACAATAGTCCCTCCTTATCTTTCTAAATTATCTGTAAGATCTGTAGTGATGTTCCTTCTCTAATTCCTGATATGGGTAATTTGTGTCTTTTCTCTCTCACTCTCTCTTTTTAAAAAAATCAGTTTGGTTAGGGGTTTTTTACTTTCATTTATCTTCTCAAAGAATTAGCTTTTGGCTGGGTGTGGTGGCTTATGCCCCTTTGGGAGGCTGATGGGGGTGGATCATTTGAGGTCAGAAGTTTGAGACCAGCCTGGCCAACATGGTGAAACCCCATCTCTACTAAAAATACAAAAAAATTAGCTGAGCATGGTGGTGGGCGCCTGTAATCCCAGCCACTTGGGAGGTGCACCACTGCACTCCAGTGTGGGTGACAGAGTGAGACTCTCAAAACAAAACAATAACAAAAACCTCTTTTTACAATTTATTTTTATTTTTTTGAGATTTTAGTTTTACCTTTCCTATGGTGCTGATAAAAACTCTTTTGTTAATGCGTATATTCTTTCCCTTTGAAAGTTTCATTCTGCCCTTCCCTCTGTCTAAGACTAAGGTCTTTTCACTCATTTCCTTTTAATCTTCATTTTTTCTCTACATTTATTTTTATCTTATCTTATCTTATCTATTTTCTTCTTCCTTTTAACTTGAACTGTAAAACTGAATTACCTTTAATTGCCTGTATTCTCCCTGCTGGTTGAGTGCCCCACCCTGGGGGTACAGGCCGGCAGTTGGTGTAGAGGCTAAGCTCTGGGAAAGCCTGGTGGGGTAAGGAGCTTTGCTTCCTTATTTTGGTTCTCAGTCTTTCCCCACAAAGTCTTTGGCACGACAGCTTCTGACCTTAGTGATCTAGGGGACTAGATGCCTCTCCATTTCTTCTAACAATAGGTCATCCATGGTGACTGTGGTTGAAACTCCAAGGAACATGGATCCTGGAGAAGAAAGGACTGAGGATGGATTTCTGAGCTGCTTTCAAATATTTGTGAAAGAAGAAATGGTCGTAGACAGTGTTGCCCTAGAGAAAAGAACATGAGCTTAGAACTAGAGCCTGTGGGTGATGACCACAAGGAGGCAAACTTATTTTTAAAGTGATTAGCACTGTTGAGAAATGGGATGGGTTGACTGATGGAATGCATTTCCCAGATTTAAAAGTGATTGAGGCTGAGTGACTGAGGCTGATGCCTGTGGTACCAGCACTTTGGGAGGCTGAAGTTGAAGGATCACTTCAGCCCAGGAGCTCAAGACCAGCCTGGGCAACATAGTGAGACCCCGTCTCTATCAAGAAAAAAGTGATGGAGCAGAAGCTGGGATATTGGAGAAGAGAGTCTTGCATTGGCTGGGAGGTTGCTTTGGGTAGTATGGACATTTAACAATATTAATCCTTCCAATCCAGGAACGTGGAATATTTTTCCATTTTTTAGTGTCCTCTTCAATTTCTTTCATTAGTTTTTTATAGTTTTCATTATAGAGAGCTTTCACTCCTTTGGTTAATTCCTAGGTATTTAATTTTATGTGTGGCTATTGTAAATGGGATTACTTTAAAAATTTCTTTTTCACATTGTTCACTGTTGGCATACAGAAATGCTACTGAATTTTGTATGTTGATTTTGTATTCTGCAACTTTACTGAATTTTTTTAATCAGTTCTAATAGTTTTCTTGTGGAGTCTTTAGGTTTTCCTAAATGTAAGATCATATCATCTGCAAACAAGGATAATTTGACTTCTTCCTTTCCATTTTGGATGCCCTTTATTTCTTTCTTTTGCCTGATTGCTCTAGCTAGGACTTCCAGTAATAAGTTGAATAACGGTGGTGATAGTGGGCATCCTTGCTGTGTTCCAGATCTTAGAGAAAAGACTTTCAGGTTTCCCCCATTCAGTGTGATACTAGCCATGTGTCTGTCATACATGGCTTTTATTATGTTGAGGTGTGTTCATTCTATCCCCAGTTTTTTGAGGGTTTTTATTATGAAAGGATGTTGAATTTTATCAAATGCTTTCTCAGCATCAGTTGAAATAATCATATGGTTTTTATCTTTCCTTCTGTTGATATGATGTATCACATTGATTGATTTTTGTATGTTGAACCATCCTTGCTTCCCAGGGATAAATCCCACTGGTCGCCATGAATTATCTTTCTAATGTATTGTTGAATTCGGTCTGCTAGTATTTTGTTGAGGATTTTTGCATCAATATTCATCAGAGATACTGGCCTGTAGTTTTCTCTTTTTGATGTGTCTTTGTCTGGGTTTGGTATCAGGGTAATACTTGCCTCATAGAATGAGTTTGGAAGTATTCCCTCCTCCTCTGTTTTTTGGAATATTTTGGGTAGGATTGGTATTAGTCTTTTAAATATTTGTTAGAATTCAGCAGTGAAGCCATCAAGTCCTGTGTTTTTCTTTTCTGGGAGACTTTTTATTATGGCTTCAATCTTGTTGGTTGTTATTGGTCTGTTCAGGTCTCAGATTTCTTCCTGGTTCACTCTTTGTAGGTTGTATGTATCTAGGAATTTGTCTATTTCTTCTAGATTTTCCAATTTATTGGCATATAGTTGCTCGTAGTAGCCGCTAATGACCCTTTGAATTTTTGTGATATCAATTGTAATGTCTCTTTTTAATTTCTGATTTTATTTATTTGAACTTGCTCTCTTTTTTTTCTTACTTAGTCTGGCTAAAGGTTTGTCAATTTTGTTTAACTTTTCAAAAAACAAACTTTCTGTTTCATTGATCTTTTGTATTTTTAAAATTTCAATTTTATTTCTGCTCTGATCTTATTTCTTTCTATGTATTAATTTTTGGTTTGTTTACTCTTGCTTTCCTGGTTCTTTAAGATGCATTGTTAGATTGTTTATTTGAATTTTTTCCTTTTTTTTGATGTGGGCACTTACAGCTATAAACTTCCCTGCTAGTACTACTTTTGCTGTATCCCATAGGCTTTGATATACTGTTTCCATTATCATTTGTTTCAAGAAGTTTTTCAATTTTCTTCTTAATTTCTTCATTGACCCACTGGTCATTCAGGAGCATATTGTTTAATTTCCATGTATTTGTATAGTTTCCAAAATTCCTCTTGTTATTAATTTCTAGTTTTATTCCATTGTGGTCAGAGAAGATGCTTGATGTTATTTCAATATTTTTAATGTTTTAAGACTTGTTTTGTGACTTAGCATATAGTCTATCCTTGATAATGATCCATGTGCCAAGGAAGATAATGTGTATTCCGCGGCTCTTGGATGAAATGTGCTGTAAATATCTATTAGAGCCATTAGGTCTATAGTGCAGATAAAGTTGATGTTTCTTTGTTGAGTTTTTGTATGGAAGATCTGTTTAATGCTGAAAGTTGTGTATTGAAGTCTCCAGCTATTATTGTATTGGGGCCTATCTCTCTTTTTAGCTCTAATAATATTTCCTGTATATATCTGGGTGCCCCAGTGTTGGATACATTATATATTTAAAATTGTTATATCTTTTTGCTGAATTGACTCCTTTGTCATTATATAATGACCTTCTTTGCCTCTTCTTATAGTTTTTGCCTTGACATCTATTTTGTCTGATATAACTATAGTGACTCTTGCTCTTTTTTTGTTTCCATTGGCGTAAATACCTTTTTCCATCCCTTTATTTTCATTCTACATGTGTCTTTACAGGTGAAGCGTGTTTCTTGTAGGCAACAGATCAATGGGTCTTGTTTTTTTTTTTTTTTAACCCATTCAGCCAGTCTGTGTCTTTTGACTGGAGAGTTTGTTTATTTACATTCAATGTTATTCTTGATAAATAAGGACCTGCCTCTGCCATTTTGTTATTTGTTTTCTTGTTGTTTTGTGGTCTTCTCTTTCTTCTTTCTTTCATTCATATACTCCTCTAGTGAAGTGATTTTCTCTGGTGATGTGGTTTAGTTTCTTGCTTTTTATTTTTTGTGGTAATTTTTTCTGCCATTTTGTTATTTGTTTTCTGGTTGTTTTGTGGTCTTCTCTTCCTTCTTTCTTTCATTCATATCTTCCTCTAGTGAAGTGATTTTCTCTGGTGATATGATTTAGCTTCTTGCTTCTTATTTTTTTGTGGTAATTTTCAAATGTCTTAATAAGAATTTTCTTTAGAAGGAAGAAGCTAAACCAAAAATTATTGTAATCTTTCAATCTGTTAAACTGGCCTAGGGATAAAGTCAGGGTGTCCTTCCCTGTGGTTTTGTAGAAAGCCTGGCCCCTCCATGAGCACACCTGCCATATCCACTTGGAGGACTCATAGGCAGCTCAAAGTTAACATATTCAAAAACACAACTTTTGCTTTTTTCTTCTCCCAAACCTGCTCTTCCCCTAGTCCTTCCCATTCCACAAAATGATCCTTTCATCCATTCACCTGATTCTACCTGAAAAACTTGGCAGACAGCTTTGGTTGTACGCTTCTAACTCCTCCTACATCTAATCCATTAGCAAGCTCTGTGTCTTCCTCCAATCTGTTTCCTGAATCCTTGCCCTTCTCCCCATCTGCAGTTTCTGTTATGTCCCACTTAGACGATTGCAGGAGCCTCTTAACTGGCTTCTAACTTCCACTTCTTGTCCCTCTTCAATCCTTTCTCCATACAGAAGCCCAAATTAACCTTTAATGACACAAGTCAGACTCTGCCATTTCCTTGCTTAATACCATCTATGGTTTTCCACTTCATGCAGAATAAAATGCAAAGGCCTACAGTGGTCCAGAAGGCCCCCACGTGTCCACATTGGCTGCTGCCCACCTTGTCAGCCTCAGCTCCCGTCGCTCTGTCCCAGCTTGCTATGCTCCACCTGCTCTTGTCTTCCTAATTCTTGTTTCTGCCTTGGGGCTTCTGCAATGGCCATTCCTTCCCCAGGAACAGCTTCCCCCACATCTTAGGATGGCTAGCTGCTCAACCATCAGGACTCAGTCAAATATCACCTTCTCAGAGATGCCTTTGAACATAGTCTCTCCCCATCAAATTATTCTGTTTGTCTCTTTCTTATTATATTTACTATGATCTAAATTTATTACACTTTTATACAAGCATTAATTGCTTATCTTGCATCACTAGGATATCAGTTCCTACTGTGCCAAGCTAGTAGGTACTCAACAAATATTTAATGAGTGAATGGCAGAAGGTGGAGAAGCAGCACATGGGCACAAACTCTAAAGCAGAGAAGAGGGCATATGTCCAGGTGCTTCGGGTGTGCTTTGCAGATTCAGGGCTGAAGCCTGGTGTTTAGAGAGTTCTTTTCAGTCTTTCCAAGGTCTCATCCCTAAGCACGTGCGTGCCCTGCCTCAGGTGGCCTCCTGACTGGCTGAATAGTAACGCTCGTACTACATGCCAATGAGAAACCACAGCCTGAGAGTGTTGGAGCCGTGGCTCGCAGACATTGATGTTTATAAGAATCATCTGGGGAGCTTGTTACAAAGCACGTTCCTGGGCTACGGCCCCAGAGATTCTATCAACTCTACTGATGAAGTCCTGCAGCTAGACTGAGGCAACACAAGGACTGGGTGACCATTTTGTCCAGTTTTAGTCCTGAAGGCCTCAACTTTCAGAACATTCCTCAATGCCTGGCAAACCAGGTTGGTTTGTTGCCCTAATGGAAGGTGTTCAGAGAGGCAAGGAGTAGCTGATGAAGTAGTGAAGAATAGTTTCCTGCAGGAGCTGAGGGGGAACGTTTCTCATCCTAGGCATTTGTTTTTGGCTGTCTTCCTGGCCTTGCCTTTGAGCCAGTCTGGGTTTCTCAGGCTCTAAGCCCAGACAGAAGGGGAAGGAAACCGTTGTTTCTTAGACACCTGCAATGAGCTGTCTGCTACTCTACATTTTTTATTATCTAATTTATTCCTCAGAAGCCTTTCATGACTCCCATTTTAGAGACAAGACACTGAGGCTTGATAATGGTTCTGTAATTGCCCAAGCTCAGACATCTGCAAAACGGAGGAGATGGGAGCAACAAAATCCACCTGACTCAGAAACCTGGCCCTTTCTAGGTGTTTTGCTAAGGCTGGGGGCGGGGGGCAGAGATGTGGCTGGGACCTTATCTTGACAGATGTCCCTCAGTCCAGGGGGATGGGGCTCTCTCCTGGGATCTAGGGAACACCCCAGTGACTAGACAGTGAACTAATTTTTTTAAAAAAAGAATTAAACTATTTTATTTAACATGTCATAGTCATAAAACAAGTCCATATATTTAGTTTTCTGATATCCTAATGTATTTCCACAAACCTTTTAAGTCTACAATTTTATATAGTTTTCCATCAGGGAGGCAAGATATATGTAATTTCTTTCTTTCTTTTTTTTTTTTTTTTTTTGAGATGGATTCTCGATCTGTCACCCTGGCTGGAGTGCAGTGGCGTGATCTCGGCTCACTGCAACCTCTTCCTCCCAGATTCAAGCAATTCTCCTGCCTCAGCCTCTCGAGTAGCTGGAATTACAGGCACATGCCACCACGCCTGGCTAATTTTTATATTTTTAGTAGAGACGGCGTTTCACCATGTTGGTCAGGATGGTCTCAAACTCCTGACCTCATGATCTGCCCTCCTTGGCCTCCCAAAGTGCTGGGATTACAGGCATGAGCCACTGCGCCCGGCCTATAATTTCTTTCTATATGTAACTAATTAAAGGTTTTTAAGAGGGTTTAATCTCTAAATAATTAACAGTTTAGTCATAACACCATAGAAACACATTTAAATATTCAGGAAAGAGATTTTTAAGATTATTGCTTAGTCTTATAAAATGGTGAATTTTTTTTTTTTTTTTTTAGACAGAATCTTGCTCTGTCACCCAGGCTGGAGTTCAGTGGCGTGATCTCGGCTCACTGCAACCTCTGCCTCCCAGATTCAAGCAATTCTCCTGCCTCAGCCTTCCAAGTAGCTGGGATTACAGGCATGTGCCACCATGCCCAGCTAATTTTTTTGTATTTTTAGTAGAGACGAGGGTTCACCATATTGGCCAGGCTGGTCTCGAACTCCTGACCTTGTGATCCTCCCACCTCGACCTCCCAAAGTGCTGGGATTACAGGCGTGAGCCACCGTGCCCAGCCTAAAATGGTGAATTTTAACCAAATTGATACCTCTGTATTCTTATTTTATGTTTCCTATACTCTTACATCATACTGCTTGGCAAGTAATGTAAGTTTTGACGTAATTTAAAAATTCAATTAGTTGTAAACAAATTCTAATTTGTTAAACAATTTATATATTCCTCTTTACTTACTACACTACCTCAGAATTAATCTTCCTTAAAAAAGTAATCATCCCACATAGAAAAAACTGCAGAGCTTCATCTCTTTCTTAAATATTTTCAAATAATGTAAGAACATAAATCCATGTAAAAACTGATTAAAAATGGACACTTCATCTTCCTTTACTAATTATGGAATAATAGAAAGAAGTAAATATCATGTTCTTAATATTTCTCTGCTTAACAGAGAAATACGAAGAAATACTGCAATTATGGTTATGGGAGATTTTCTAGCTTCTTCAAGTACAGGACACAACTATGGTTCCTACCAGTAAGGAGAAACGAATAATCAATCTTACATAACACAAAAGAAAGGTGAGAGGCACAAAAAGACAAACTGACTTTGGCTTTTAAGAACCTAATGTTAACCCTGAAATGCCCGATTGAGTAACACAACAACAAAACAAAAGATGACAGCAGCAAGTCACCACTTCACACAGTATTAAGAATTCTGAAATACGTAATAGCCTTCCTCCCATGTCCCGCTCAATCTGTTGTGTTGTCTTTTTGTTTTTCCTGCTTTTTGGCTGCAGGCAGTTCAAGGCTTGCCCACTGCATCGGTTCAGCTTTTCTCATAGTGATCTCAATCTTTGTTGCAGTCATAGTTACATAACTTCACTTTACATCAGTCACACCCCATAATTTCACATTTTGATGAAATCCCTTCTCTCCTTCAAATCCAATGTGCACATTTAACAACGTGCTATTTACTTCTACTCGGCTAAGTTCTGGAAGTGAATTTTTAGCATATACTGAAATGGTAACTTCACCTTCAGTCTGATGCCAGTCCTCTCTACGTGGAACATTTTCCCCAGCATCCTTTTTAGCCCATATGTGTTTCCCTGTTGAACAGCCCTCTTGGGCTAAGAATGTATTAAAATCAGAAGTTTTTCTTCTACAACAGCTCCAGTATTTCATCCCCTCATGGAAAATAGGTACTCCAGAATGATACACACAGACTTCTTCTAGACTCTCTAGACCCCGATATGTCTTTGAACACCCTCCATTCTTACATGAGGTCCCAATCTTAATTTCATCAGTCTTGTTGCTCTCTTTTTGTTTTTTTTTTTTTTTTCTGGTGGAGTCTTGCTCTGTTGCCAGGCTGGAGTGCAGTGGTGCAATCTTGGCTCACTGCAACCTCTGCCTCCCAGGTTCAAGCAATTCCCATGCCTCAGCCTCCCAAGTAGCTGGGACTACAGGTGTGCACCACCACGCCCGGCTAATATTTTGTATTTTTAATAGAGACGGGGTTTCACCATGTTGGCCAGGATGGTCTTGATCTTCTGACCTTGTGATCCGCCCGCCTCGGCCTCCCAAAGTGATGGGATTACAGGCGTGAGCCACCACGCTTGGCCTCTTCTTCTTTCTTATCTTCTTCATTCCCTGATGACAGTTTAAGTTTATCAGGTGAGGCAGATATTTTTAATTCCAAATTTGTCATTGGTGCATCTGGGCTTGGCCTTTTGATTGCTTCTACTGGCTTCGGGGCTTGAATGATGTGTTCCTGAAATTTGGGTTTCAATTCAGATAGTTCTTTCTTCTCAGTAGTCTTTACTTCAGGTTTGACTGGCTCATGTGGCTTCTCACTATTATGTCTACCTTTTGTACAGCCTACAATGCTTAAGAAATCAGAAAAATCAATTGTTCTTCTCTTATATCAAGACCAATCCTTAATGCATCGTGAAAGACTGGAACACCTGGGTGGCATATGCAAGCATCATCGGAATTGATCTCAGGATCGAAGCGCTGACCGCAGCCCCGGTTGTAGCACAGCAAGGCCATTTTCTTTTCCCACCGTCACAGGCAAGGCCCAAACACCGGGAACGGCAAGAGGGTGCATTTGCCACTCCCGTGTCGCTAGCACCGGCCTTGACAGTGGACTATTACAAGGATTTCTGTGGGCCCGCTCTGAGCCGCCGTTTCTGGCCGTGCAGACGGACTTCTACCACACGGTGGCGCTGCGGCTCTGCCATAGAAGGCTCCTCTCGGTCCAGGAGACAGGCAGGGCCGGCCACAGGACCAGCCTCCGACAGCGATTTCATCCGCACCCTGCGGGGCAACGTGGGGGCCTATCCGTAGCTTTCAGCGTTTCCTGGACCCTACCAGGACAAGAATCGCGGGGAGAGGTGCGAAGAAGGTCTGGAGAGGAGGAGGCTTGGGACAATGCAGAGTCCTGGAAGTGAGGCTGACCGCTGACCGCTGTCAGGAGGGACATGGACCGCTGCCGGGGAATCATGGGATTTCCCACCGGCCCAGTCATCTCCCACGTCGGGAAAAGGGAAGAGCTGCTTCCCCATGGCGTGTGCGCGTGGGAAGGGTCTCGGGCAGAGAAGAGGCACTTTTTCTGTCCTCCAGGCTGTTTCCGCCAAATGAAGACCTGGGCTGGAAGAGCCAGGAACAAAGAGGAGAGTCGAGTGCTGAGCACCCAGCGGGAGAGGATGCAGCCCGGTCATCTCACACCTGCTGACCACACAACATCGTCTGCGAGTTCCCCCCACCTACTTCGCCTGCAGCTGCCATTTGGGAAGATGACTCTTGCCTCTTTCACCGTCTGTTTTTTAGATTAGGACTCACGGGCCTAGGGCAGGAGTCAGCTCTTCCAGATCTTTATCGAAAAGTAACATCACACTTGTGCCCAGGGGTTCGAGACCAGCCTGGGCAACAGGACAAACCCCCTTCTCTACAAAAAAACCCACAAAATCTGTGTGGAAGGTGTGTGAACCCTTGGGAAACAGAGTTGCTGTACACGTGTATCAGGCCCTGAGCCAGCTGCAGGGTGGGCATTACTGCTTGGTGCCCTCCGCCCTCACTCTTCCTCCCTGGATGTTGAGGATGGCCCCGTAAACCTTGTTCATAGGGGTCCCTCGTTTTCTGAGACACCTCATCTGAGCACTGACGAGGGGACACAACTCTTGGCTGGGAAGCAGGAGACTGAGCATTGCCTTCAAGCCATCCCCACACATGTGACCTCAGTCAGCATTCTGCCCTTTCATGGGTGTCAGTTGTCTCGTCCATAAAATGGGATGATGTTCTTGTTCCAGCCGGCATACTGGATGACTAAATGAGGGAACAGGTAAGAAGCTGCATTGGAAAAAGGTACCATTCAGCTGCAAGACATCCTTGTGCAGTTCCCCCAGGGCTAATGGGGTTTGGTTGCCCACCTTTGCTGTGTCTCTTCGTGGCGCCAGCAGGTGGCAGCATTGCCTTTGCATGTGCCGGCTCCACCTCTGGCCTCTCCCAGACATGCAGCGTGTAGGGCAGGGGACCATTCTTCACCCAATTCATTTCAGGGGTCATGGGAAGGAGGGATCTGAAATGCCCTGAATGGGAAGGGCCTGGAAAGAAAATGAAAATCTCATTCCTCCCCTCAAAGAAACACAGATAAGCCAGGAGAGCAGGATCTGGTGCATGAGCCCAAGAGGGCTAATGTGACCACTTAGGCTGAAGGGGGACCTTACCTCTCTCTGCCACAACGGTGTCCCCCACCACCTGGAGGAGGGAACTGGGGATCCAGAAGGCTTGGGTCCTTGTCTTTGGTTGGAAAAGTCAGCCAGCATTGCAGTGGGGCAGCAGGAATTCCTCTATTTTTGTGTGTGCAACAGAGTTGAAAACTTAATTCACTCTATAATTTATTTGTGCAAAAAAAAGGTAATTTCCTTATTTATGAGTCTATAATGAATCTGGCCTTTCTTCCAACCCCTGCCTGATGATAAGCGAGAAAAACAATGAAATTTTCAACTTGATTTGAACATCCTGGGGCCAGAGAGTTTAGCCGGTCTTGTTAAGTGATCTTATTAATTTCTCTTGGATAAAATGCTTAGTTCTCAGACTGCTTTGCCCAGCTTCTCCCACTGTGGTGCTGTTGGGGTTTTGTAGACAGTCAAGGGCAGCTTGTGTGGCATCTGGTAGGAGGCATGAGTTGGGATCCTGGGGTGTGGTGTCCTCTAGACCCAGCAAGGTCCCCTGTCCCTCCTGGCCACTGATCATACTAGAAGCTGAGTTTATGAAACTCATGGTCCAGTCCCTCCTGATCTGACTAGAGCCCATGTGGCGCCCCTGGCTGGCCAGCCCTCCTGCACCTGGGCCCCTCCTCCCCACCAAGTCTCCTAGCTGTGCCACCATGGCCCCAGTAGGGCTGCTGGCTCACAGGAATGGAAGTTGGCTTTGAAAGCTGAACTTTAGTGGTGCCTCTCCCTTACCGGGGAGCCCTGGTGCTGGAGGCAGAGGCCGAGTTGGTTTGCAGCTGCCTGGGATGCCACTTCTTCCCAGAGTTCCAATGTGAGTTGGGGACAAGGGCTTCTTTCTCTCAGGGAGGGGTGAGTGGGCCAGTGCTTGGCTCTGCTTGTTATCCTTCTAATCCCCTTCGTACCATCCCCTGGGCAGGAAGGAGGGGACCAACACTCTTCCTCTTCTTGCTCAGTCATCCATTACATAAAATTCCAGGGCCACACCCAAGGAGAGGGATGAGGGAATCCAGGAAACATGCTCTCAAAAGAATAGCCTGCTTTAGAAGACTTTTGATCTGCAGCATAATCCTATTTTGCATGTCAAATACCAAACATTACCACATTTTTTCTTCTGTGCATTCTGTCTATATCAAACATTAATCCTGGTCTCTCTTTAAGCAGAGATGCATGCCTCAGGCCAATGAAGATGAAGATCATGTACCCATCAAGGCAAAAGAGAAAAGCACTGCACTCCAACCCGGGCAACAGAATTATTATTATTATTTTTTAAGAGATAGGATATCATTCTATTGCTCAGGCTGGAGTACAGTCGTGCGATCATAGCTCACTGTAATCTTGAACACGTGGACTCAAGTGCTCCTCCTACCTCAGCCTCTAGGTAGCTGGGACTAGGGGTGTGTGCCACCACACCTGGCTAATTTTTCTATTTTTTTTTCAATAGATGGGGTCTTGCTGTGCTGCCCAGGCTGGTCTTGAACTCCTGAGCTCAAGCAATCCCCTTGCCTCAGCTTCCCAAAGTATGGGGATTACAGGCGTGAGCCATTGTGCCTGGCCCAAAATTTTTCAAATATCATCCTTTTAAGCTTCAAATGTTACCAACATTGGCGAATGCAACCAGAGGAGACATAACACATAAAACATGGGGGGTTTATCCACAAGGAGAATTCACTATCTTGCTGGTGTTAGGATCTGTCCTTCCAGGGAGGATACGCCATGAGTCAGAAGTAGATGCCACTCAGCAAAAAAAAAAGAAAAAAGAAAAAAAAAATCACACCCCTATGTAAAGATGGCGTGGCCCAGTTGGAACCCCTGCAGAGCTCAAGGACTCTCAAAAGGAGGCTCTTAGCCTGGGGCCAAGGCAAGACCAATTCATAGGATGAAAGGAAGGCTGTGATTGGTGGGCTCTTGTCCAGGCTCCTCATTTGTCCTTTCCTACTGGAGGAAATGTGACATGGGCAATTCAAGCCAATAGGGAACCTGGGGAAGGGGCTGGTGGTGGGTTTCATTCACTGCTTTCCCTCACGTGACTCCCTCAGGAAGGGGGTCTTACTGGGCAGGGCTGAGGCAGATGGCCACACTTACAGGTACTCACTGGCACATGTGGCTGGATGTGGGGGTGGGGTGGGGTAAATAACCATAGCTACCTCATGTAGTTGTTGCAAGGATGAAATTACTTAATCCTTTCTTTTTGAGACGAAGTCAGGCTCTGTCACCCAGGCTGGAGTGCAGTGGCACGATCTCAGCTCACTGCAACCTCCGCCTCCCTGGTTCAAGCAATTCTCCTGCCTTAGCTTCCCAAGTAGCGAGGATTATAGATGCCTGCCACCATGCCCGGCTAATTTTTGTATTTTTAGTAGAGACAGGGTTTCGCCGTGTTGGCCAGGCTGGTCTCGAACTCCTGACCTCAAGTGATCCGTCTGAGAGACAGGACTAGCTGGATTTCCTAGGCCGACTAAGACTCCCTAAGCCTAGCTGGGAAGGTGACCGCGTCCACTTTTAAACGCGGGGCTTGCAACTTAGCTCACACTGACCAATCAGGTAGTAAAGATAACTCACTAAAAAGCTAATTAGGCAAAAACAAGAGGTAAAGAAATAGCCAATCATCTGTCTCCTGAGAGCACAGCAGGAGGGACAGTGATCGGGATGTAAACCCAGGCATGCGAGCCGTCAACATCTACCCTCTTTGGGTCCCCTCCCTTTGTATGGGAGCTCTGTTTTCACTCTATTAAATCTTGCAACAGCACTCTCTTCTGGTCTGTGTTTGTTACGGCTGGAGCTGAGCTTTCGCTCGCCGTCCACCACTGCTGTTTGCCGCCATGGCAGACCCGCCGCTGACTTCCATCCCTCCAGACACAGGGTGTCCGCTGTGCTCCTGATCCAGCGAGGCACCCATTGCCACTCCCGATGGGGCTAAAGGCTTGCCATTGTTCCTTCATGGCTAAGTGCCCGGGTTCATCCTGATCGAGCTGAACACTAGTCACTGGTTTCCACGGTTCTCTTCCATAACCCATGGCTTCTAATAGAGCTTTAACACTCACCTCATGGCCCAAGATTCCATTCCTTGGGATCCGTGAGGCCAAGAACCCCAGGTCAGAGAACATTAGGCTTGCCACCATCTTGGAAGCAGCCGGCTGCCATTTTGGAAGCCACCTGCCACCATCTTGGGAGCTCTGGGAGCAAGGACCCCCCAGAAACATGTCCACCTCGGCCTCCCAAACTTAATCCTATTTATAGTGTTAGAACAATGCCTATGATATCGTAAATCAGGCTGGATGTGTACTTGCCATTTACATCCACGTATGTGTATGTTTCCATGTGAATACCTGTAGAACTTAATGCCTGACACAGAAGGCACTCAATAGATGCCAGTTGTTCTTATCATTGGACACACAGAAACATAGACACAGACACTTAGATGAGTATATCTTCATAAACAAAGACATAAAGACACCCCTATACCTTTACTAGATACACTTGAATTTACATTTGCAGATGCGGATATACACAGTCACACATCATAATTATAACTAACACCTATTGGTAATTTACTATATCATAGGCATTGTTCTAACACTATAGAAAGGATTATGTAATTTCATCCTTGCAACAACTGCATGAGACAGGTATAGTTATTTACTCCCACATAGAGGTCAATTGAGTCACATAGAGGTCAACTCAAGCTCACAAAGCCAGTAATTGGTAGACTTGGGATTCAAGGCCAGGTAGTCCGGCCTCAGAGCCTGCACATGTAACCAGTGGCAATTCTGCTCACAGACACCCACTGTCTTCCACACAGTCTCAGTCATAGACCTTCACCCAGGCAAAAAGAAATCTCCCACCTACAAGTAGATGCACTTCCATGGTCACAAAACTGACGTGGGATCCTTGCACACACGTGCGGAGCCAGAGGCTCTGTCTGAGCCTTGCAGAAACTCCTAGCATTCAGATTAACTGGTCAAATGTGATAGTGTATTTTCTTGGTGAGTGGGCTTCCAAACAGCTCTGATTCTGCACCTGTCCAGGTGTTAGGTTTATAGCCCCCACTTTTTTGAGGGACTTGGGGAGGAGGCCAGTTCTGTCTTTACCTCTAGTGGCTAAATCAAGTTTTGGCCTTGTCTGAGGGTTTCAGGATCCCTGGTCGTTTCCCCACCTGCTTGTCTTCTGTGAGTGCTGGATATTGCCTGTGGGTGGATTTTTAAAATTTTAATTATTATTATTATTTTTATTATTATTATTTTGAGAAAAGGTCTTGCTCTGTCGCCCAGGCTGGACTACAGTGGCATAATCACTGGTCACTGCAGCCTGGATCTTCTGGGCTCAAGCCATCTTCCTGCCTCAACCTCTCGAGTAGCTGGAACCACAGATGCGCACCACCTCAACAGGCTTAAAAAATTTTTTTTGGTGGGGCATGGTGGCTCACGCCTGTAATCCCAGCACTTTGGGAGGCTGAGGTGGGCGGATCACAAAGTCAGGAGTTCGAGACTAGCCTGACCAACATGGTGAAACCCCCACTCTACTAAAAATACAAAAATTAGCCAGGTGTGATTGTGCATGCCTGTAATACCAGCTATTTAGGAGGCTGAGGCAGGAGAATCGCTTGAACGTGGAGGCGGAGGTTGCAGGGAGCGGAGATTGTGCCACTGCACTCCAGCCTGGGTGACAGAGTGAGACTCTCTCAAAAAAAAAATTGTTTTTTTTTAAATAGAGACGGGGGGTCTCACTATGTTGCCCAGGCTGGTCTTGAACTCTCAGGCTCAAGTAATCCCCTTATCTCGGCTCCCTAAAGTATTGGGGTTACTGGTGTGAGCCACTGTGCCCAGTGCCTGTGGATGGTTCATCTTAACTTCTTTGCGCGTTTCCAATTCTAGTTGTTGTTCCTCACCTTAATCCCAGGGCCAGGTGTCCCTAGCTGGAGGCTTTGAGCTGGGCCCACCTGGGAAGTCCTCCGGGCTTCCTGGGGCCTGGGGGACAGGTCTGTGCACAAAGGGGAGGGCAAGGAGGTGCAGCCAAAGCTTGCAGCCCGGGGGGGCGGTCACCTTGATGGCTTACGATGGCCTCTGGGTGAGTGGACACTGGGCTGCATGTGGGCTTTGACCTGAGGCCAGGCTTAGGGGAGCACAGGGAGAAGCTAGAGTAGCTGCTCCGCAGATGATGGGTGGGCCTCTCAGCACCCTGCCCCAGCCCTGCTCCTCTGCGCTTCGCCCATGTGCTTGCCCAGGTGTTCCTTCTGGCCCTGATAAGTCCCCATCTTCTCTTCTGGCTGCTGCAGTTCTTCCAGCCCTTGTCTTGGTCAGACACTCATTTATTAGTTCTACTGACATCCACCCCTAAAGAGGAGTCTAAGTGGAGGCCCACAGGCTGTATATATGGAGAGTTAAAGTTATAAATCAAGCTGACAAACTTAAATAAAATATGTTGTATCCTTCAACCTCGACAAATTCACCTTCAAAATGAGAATATTGAAAATGCACATGAACATGAGTTACAATTTTTTTGTTTGTTGGTTTGTTTGTTTTTTTGAGATGCGGTCTCGCTCTGTTGCTCAGGCTGGAGTGCAGTGGTGCAATCTCGGCTCACTGCAACCTCCACCTCCCAGGTTCAAGCAATTCTCCTGCCTCAGCCTGCTGAGTAGCTGGGGATTACAGGCGTGCACCACCACGCCCAGCTAATTTTTGTATTTTTAGTAGAGATGGGGTTTCACCATGTTGACCAGGATGGTCTTGACCTCTTGACCTCGTGATCTGCCCACCTCAGCCTCCCAAAGTGTTGGGATTATGGGTGTGAGCCAATGCGCCTGGCCGAATTATAATTTTTATATGACTGCAAGTCTGCACAATATTGAAGACAACTGAATTTAGTTATGATGAAGCCCCTCAGGGGATTCCCAATAGAATGAGAGTGTCTGTTGCCATTATCCTGTGTCCACTTTGTTGCTGTACGTTGGCTATGGGGGAAGATAACTTGTCTCTTTAGCTCACAGATCTTCAGGGCAAAACGAACCCTCTCTAAAGAACCACACCTGAGGGGCCTTATTTGCACCTGGACCTGAGTTAGAGGTTGAGGTCCTGGATTTGGAGCCTGAGCCCGAAGGCTTCATGGCTGATACCTTAAGGGTCTTGGAAGGTGAGTGTATTTTGCACGTGGGAGGTATGTGATTCATGGGAGGCAGAGGGCAGACATTGTGGCAGCTAGTCTTTCAAGATAGGCCTCCCGTGTTCACACCTCTAGTATGCCCAACCATGTGTGGTCCCCTCTCTTAAATTCTGTGGATAAGCCAGTGATGTTTGGGCAAGGAATAAAGACATTTATTACATTTCATAAGTTAGTGTATATTTACTTTCTAGAATTCACTTCTTTGCCTTAACTTCAGCAAAATTAGTAATCATGTTTTTATAATAGCAAACTCATCATTTGTGTTCCGATGACAGTGCTGATCTACAGGATGAAAGAGAAAAGGAGCTTGTGTCAGAGTTGTTTCAGTCATCTGTGCTACGTAACAAACTGTCCCAAAACTTAGGGGCTGAGAACCACCACCATTTGATTATTGCGTGTTTCTGTGGCTTGGCTGGGTTTAGCTGAGCAGCTTTGCTGCTGCTGGTGCTTGGGAATTCTCATGTGGCTGTGGTTGAGTGGTGGATGAGGCCGGGATCATTAGGAGGCTCAGCTGGGAGGCAGGGACATCTGCTCCTTTCTCCCTCTGTGTGTCATCTCTGGCCTTCTCTCTCCAATAGAGTTGCTGGTCACTCCAAGGGGGTAGCTGGACTTCTTACATGGCTGGTGCTCAGGACTCACAGAAATGAGTAATTTAAAAGGGAGGAAGAGGAAGCTGCCAGTCCTCCTGAAGGGTCCATCCAAAAGTTATGCAACTGCTTCCACTGCATTGTATTTGTTAGATGAGTCACAGGCCAGCCCAGATTCTTCGTGGGAGGACCACACAAGGTATAAATACCAGGAGGTCTTGTTCACTGGGGCTTTCTTTGGAAGGCTGGGACCACAGTGCTAGAAGTGGTGTGTTGTAAGAAAAACCTAAAACCTGTGGTGTACTGAAATCTTGAGACAGAGTGAGGAAACGTATTGGAGGCTGGAGAACAAAAGGCCTGGGAGAGGCACTGGCAGAAGAGTTAAGTGAGTTCCTCACCTGCAATGATGTGGACATAGAAAAGGGCACCCAGTGAACTTGGGGATCTGGCTAGGGCGATTTCAAGGCGGATCTTTTGAAAGTGATATTTAATAATTAGCTTCTTCCACCCGACTCTGATAAAACAGGAAGAGTCTGGGCGTGGTGGCTCACGCCTGTAATCCCAGCACTCTGGGAGGCCGAGGTGGGCGGATCACTCGAGGTCAGGAGTTGGAGACCAGCCTGGCCAACATGGTGAAACCCCGTCCCTAGCAAAAATATAAAAAATTAGCTGGGTGTGGTGGTACACGCCTGTAATCCCAGCTACTCAGGAGGCTGAGGCAGG
Organism: Homo sapiens; assembly: GCF_000001405.40. Classification (NCBI taxonomy): domain Eukaryota; kingdom Metazoa; phylum Chordata; class Mammalia; order Primates; family Hominidae; genus Homo; species Homo sapiens. The sequence goes on from NC_000002.12 coordinate 42,836,766, forward strand.
AAAATCACATGAACCCAGGAGGCGGAGGTTGCAGTGAGCTGAGATCACACCACTGCACTCCAGCCTGGGTGACAGAAGGAGGCTCCATCTCAAAAATAAATAAAAAATAAATAAAATAGGAAGAGATAGAGATGAACTAAAGAAGGAACTATTTAGGTTTTGAGCAGAATTTTGGAAATACAAGGAGCCCAGGACTGTTGTTCCAGCCAGTAAAAGGCTTTCAAAATAAGAAATGGTCTTAGAGCAAAGATAAAATTTAGGGCACTGCCCGTAAATTGTGGCCTTGGGTAAATGTGAAATCAAGAATGTGGCTGTAAAACCCTTTATTAAAACCTCAGAAAAATTTAAGGGCATTATTTTTGTAGACCTTTTGGATAGACAAAAGGGCTTCCGAGAATATTTTTTTCCCCCTTGAGACAGGGTCTTGCTATGTTGTCCAGGCTGGCCTCCAACTCTTAGGTACAAAGAGCCCTCTTGAGCAGCTGGGACCACAAGCACACACTGCCACGCCCAGTAAAGAATCTTCAGAGTATACATCTTAGATCCTCTCTGCTAGACAATAGGACTTCTAAGAATCCCACAGCAACCTCACAAGTGGCTTAAAGTAGAAGAAGGCCTACTAGGGGAGAAATGGGGGTATGGCTATTGTCTTAAGTAGTAAATTATCATTTGATATTTAAGAAACCCACAAGTTTTTGAAAGAATTGTATCAAGTTGGGTGGGAAGGGACGGAGACAGTTCAAAATGCAGCAGACCCTGGTCATTAGTTTCTTTCTTTCTTTTTTTTTTTGAGATGGAGTCTCACTCTGTTGCCCAGGCTGGAGTGCAGTGGCACAATTTTGGCTCACTGCAACCTCCATCCCCCGGATTCAAGTGATTCTCTTGCCTCAGCCTCCTGAGTAGCTGGGATTACATATGTATGCAACCACACCTGGCTAATTTTTGTATTTTTAGTAGAGATGGGGTTTCACCATGTTGGCCAGGCTGGTCTCGAACTCCCAACCTCATGTGATCCACCCACCTCGGCCTCCCAAAGTGCTGGGATTACAGGCGTGAGCCACTGTGCCCAGCTGCCCTGGTCATTTCTTATGGAGAAGGATGGATAATTGAGTGTGAAGCCAACAGCTAGGGACAGCCCCTCCCTGAGAGCAGGACCAGGTCTAATGAAGACACTGGTGACATGTGCCTGGCTTGCTTTCGGAATTGCACTGTGCTAGTTTCTTCTCCTTTTTGAATGAGAGTGTCTGTTGCCATTATCCTGTGTCCACTTTGTTGCTGTACGTTGGCCATGGGGGAAGACAACTTGTCTCTTTAGCTCACAGATCTTCAGGGCAAAACAAACCCTCTCTAAAGAACCACACCTGAGGGGCCTTATTTGCACCTGGACCTGAGTTAGAGGTTGAGGTCCTGGATTTGGAGCCTGAACCTAAAGGCTTCATGGCTGATACCTTAATGGTCTTGGAAGGCGACTGTATTTTGCACGTGGGAGGTATGTGATTCATGGGAGGCAGAGGGCAGACATTGTGGCAGCTAGTCTTCCAAGATAGCACCCCCGTGTTCACACCCCTAGTATGCCCAACCTTGTGTATTCCCCTCTCTTAACTCTGGGTTGTCTCCGTGACTCGCTTTTGACCAACAGAAAGCAGTGATGGTGAGGCTGCATGACTTCTGAGGATAGGCCATGGGAAGCCTTTTGCCTTTCAGCTGGGTCTGTTAGAAAGCTTGCTCTGGGGTAAGTCAGCTATCATCTTAGAAATTTGATTCCTCTGAGGCCATCATACTATAAGGAAGCCAAGATAGCCACATGGAAAGGCCACATGGAGAAAGCAATAGATTCAGCCAGATTCCACTTGTTCCAGCCATCCCAGCTGAGGATGAAAGAAGATAGGTGAAAGAAGATGCTGCCATCTTGGATGTGCAGTCCAGTTGAGCCAACGTTTGACTCTAGACCAAGGGTGTCCAATCTTTTGGCTTCTGTGGCCACATTGGAAGAAGAAGGACTGTCTTGGGCCACACATAAAATACACTAACAATAGCTGATGAGCTAAAAACAAAAATCACGCACACAAAAAATACTCATAATTTTTTAGAAAGTTTATGGGCTGGGCATGGTGGCTCATGCCTGTAACTCCAGCACTGTGGGAGGCTGAGGCGGGTGGATCACCTGAGGTCAGGAGTTCAAGACCAACCTGGCCAACATGGTGAAACCCAGTCTCTACTACAAATACAAAAATTAGCTGGGCATGGTGGTGGGTGCCTGTAATCCCAGCTACTTGGGAGGCTTAGACAGGAGAATCACTTGAACCTGGGAGGCAGAGGTTGCAGCAAGCCGAGATCACGCCATTGCATTCCAGCCTGGGCAACAAGAGCGAAGCTCCATCTCAAAAAAAAAAAAAAAAAAAAAAAAAAGAAAGTTTACGAATTTGTGTTGGCCTGCATTCAAAGCCATCCAGGGTCTCATGCAGCCCATAGGCTGCAGGTTGGACAAGCTTGCTCTAGGTCCTGCTGCCATTTGACTGCGACTACATGAGAGACCTGTCCCCATAAGCGACCACTAAGTCCAGGTAACCCTGAGAGCTAAAAATATTTTGTTTTTATTAAAAATAATTGTTTTTAATTAAAAGCTTCTTTTGTGTGGAGATGGGGGTCTCTCTATGTTGCCCAGGCTGGTCTTGAACTCTTGGCCTCAAGTGATCCTCCTGCCTCGGCCTCCCAAAGTGCTGGGATTATAGGAGTGAGCCACCATGCCTGGCCAATTGATTTTAAAGCACTAAGTTTTGGGGTTTGTTATGCAGCAGAGATAACCAAAACAGCACAAAATTGCACCTATTTTAATAAAAATGTAAATTAAAGTAAATTGTAAAAGATCAAAGCTTAAAGTTACTTCTCTTGTAAGTTTTAAAAATTATTTTTTCTTAAAATCTTCAAAATTATCTATTAAAATTAAAAGGCAAACATAACTAATAGTATAACCGATCAACTTTATCTAATACATTCAACATTTAAATAAGATGTTTAAGTGAAGCTAAATTTTAAATATAAGTCTTGAAAATGTAATGAAGTCTTACTAAACATTTTTACAAAAATAAACTCATTTACAATTGTAGCATTGTTCCATGTCTGTCTAGTTGCCAATGTAAAGCATCAGTGTCATGCTTCATGCATGTTATATCTTGACCTACATGTGTGCAAATGTAGGCAAATTATGAATTATTCATATTGGAAAATGCTCCTCAGCTGCCATGTGCAACTATAGCAAATATTGTGCTAATGTGTGAGTACCTCTGCAACCACAAAGAAAAGCAAGAAAGTGCATCTTGCCACCGCTGGGATCTGCCACTTCTCTTGCATTCTTGCTATGTGAGAGGAAGGATTTGATCAATGCCTTTTCTCTTACCTTAGTGTGCACACCATCCACTCCTCGCTACACTCCAGAGCCAGGGCAGTGTCTGTCTCTGGTGTGAACAGCAGCATAGCCCAGAAATTTTCACAGTATGTAGACACAGTCTTTTTTGATTCAAGGACATAACACAAAGGATGTGAGGCGTTTCCCTGGGGCCTGAATGGTGTTGCTCATGAGAGTGGATGTTTTGGGGTTAGAGATCACACTGTACTAGTGCTGAGTGCTGGATCTCGAGGGACAAGGGCAGAGATATCCATGTATTCTTTAATGTGTGTGTGTGTGTGTGTGTGTGTGTGTGCAGGGGCCTCTCTTGCCTATGTCTAAGGGCAGTACTGCTTCTAGCTGGCCTGTCCAGATCTGGCAGAGGTCTTTTATGTTTCTCTTCCAGAGAACTATGGGATTCTGACCCTTGGAAAACACATTTTCACTCTGACTCTGTTCTTTGGTTTGGAGCCTATTTCATAGTTAGTTATTAGTCTGGTATGTTAGATGGGACATTTTCAGTTGCAAGTGACAGAAGACCAAATCAAACAGGCTTGAGCAGAAAGGACTATATTGGCTTCCACTGCTGAGAAGTCCTAGGGCGGAGATCCAGGGCTCAAACTTGTTTTCAGGGGTGGGAGCTGGGGAGCCCTGGGATTAACAGATGGCCCCACCAGGACTCCTGCAGTGGGGGGCAGTGGGGATGTGTGTGGTTCCCTCATGGACCGGGGACAGCCAGACAAGAATGTGTCCTCCAGACCTGGTTATCACCTTTTCTGAAATGTAGTTCTTGAGTCTATTGTGCCGGGTGCCTGTGCCAGATTTCTCAAGCAGCTCAGGTGCTGGGCACGATCTTCCTGAAGCATCTGCAGCCTGGAGCCATTCCCCCCGGCCCCCACTCATGTTTCAAAGCTCTCAAACCCTCTCTGCGCCCCCAGCGTTGAGTGTGACATCTCACCAGTAAAGCCTGGTGAGGACAGAAGGCTTTCTGGGCATAGAAGACCATTTCCTTGGGTCTATTTAAACCCTCAAGGACCCCCCTAGGGATGGCTCCCCTGGAATATTACCACTGCAATAGTGCAAAGTAAAAATGCCTGTACAATAAAAACCAAAGAAACCATCTCTGCCAAGCAACTGGGAGTGTCATCTTTCTCCCATGGAGCTCTGCTGCCAGGCTCACAGTGGTGGAGACCCCCGAGTCCAGCCTCTCATAGACATTTCACTTCACACAGCAGCTCCTCCATGTGGAATCCCTGGAAGCTGGGCATGCAGGACAGATTACCCTCCGCAAGGCCCCCCAGAGTCCCCTCCTGGGTGCTCCCCTCCCCCCACTCACTTTCCACGGACCCTCCTAGCTGAAGATGGCCGCTGCCCCTTGCAGCCCAGAGTCCTCCCGTGTTTCCCAATCTACCCTCCCAAGGCTTCTTAGAGTCAGCTGGAAACCAACCCTGGGAGAAAAGAGAGGAGGGGCTGGGAAGGCTGCTGGCTGCAGGTCCTGGAGGCCTTGCTGTCTGTCAGCATGAGGCTGGCCTTGACCCAGTGTCCTTGGAGCCTAGAGATGTGTATGGGTCACACCTGGGGCCATGATATACCTGGTGGGCTGGGGCCTTTCCTATGAGGCTCAACCTCCTCTGTCTCTCCCTCTCTCCCTTTCCCTCCATGTGTCTTTCCCCTTCTCTCCCTCCTGTGCTCTCTTTCTCCCCAGCCTAAATGAGGTCCGTTAGACAAACCTTGACACACCAGACTCTGAACACCATAAGTCTGATCATGTTCCCTTTTTTTTTTTTTTTCAAGATAGGTTCTTGCTCTGTCACCCAGGCTGGAGTGCAGTGGTGTGATCATAGCTCACTGCAGCCTTGAACTTGCTGGCTCAAGCAATCCTCCAGCCTTGACCTCCTAAGTAGCTGGGACTACAGGCACACACCACCATGCCTGGCTAATTTCTTATTTTTTTGTAGCAATGGGGGTCTTGAACTCCTGGCCTCAAGTGATCCTCATACCTCGGCCTCCCAAAGTGCTAGGATTATAGATGTGAGCCACCGCACCTGGCCTCAATCATGTTTTTAAGAATGTTTGTTGACATGAAACTACCCGTGATATATTGTAGAGAGAGGAGAGCAGCTCACCAGACATTAGAGACAGGGCGAGCTCAGTTTTCTAACTAGCTCTTGCCCCTGCTCCCCAAAAAAAGACAATGTAAATCATACAACACAGATTCATAAAATATATATATATATATATATATATATATATATATATCTCACATGTATAATAGTGTCCTCTTCCTTTCAATTTTGCCCTTTGGGGTCTAGGCCCAAGTCCCTGGGTCAAAGCCCTCTGAAGACTCAAGGATGGCAGATCCAGCCCAAAGCAGAAATACATTTCAAAGGCTGGCCTGTTCCTCCTCCTCGCCCACTATGGCGTTTGTCACTTCCTCCCCTGGGAGTATCTGGGGCCCCAGCCTTGGGAAAAGATGAAGCCAGAATTGTTGGATCAAAGTCCCAGCACATAATAAAGGCATCTCCCAGCCCCACCTAAGGACATGATCATGTGTGTTTGCTCACACAAACAGCCGTGGGCTGGCCCACCAGAAACCATCTCTTGTTACAAAGCCAGAATCTTTTCCATCTGTGTTTAAGCTGCAGCCCATGAAATAATGTCCATAAAAGTAAGATTGGAAGTGAACATAGTGAACGCAATAAATTATGGCTACACTGTGTTCTCTCCGGAGGGACGCCCTGGCAAAAGAGCCTTCAATATTTCTTTTTTCTTTTTTTTTCCTCTTTTTTTTTTAAATTATACTTTAAGTTTTAGGGTACATGTGTACAACGTGTAGGTTTGTTACATATGTATACATGTGCCATGTTGGTGTGCTGCACCCATTAACTCATCGTTTACATTAGGTATATCTCCTAATGCTATCCCTCCCCGCTCCCCCCACCCAAGCCTTCAATATTTCTATCTAGCACTGTGTTGTGTGTTTCCTCAGAAAGCATTCCATTTGTGGATGGGAAGAAAGGGCCTAGACGGCTGAGGTTGATCCAGTAGAGCTGTGGTGCTTGGCTGGCTGTCCATGCCTGGCATCTTAATGTCTTTTCCAAAGCAGAGTTGTTCAACTGCAAAGTGTAGCCAGGGGGAGATTGTCTAGGGGAAGATTTGTTGGCCAGTTTCCATTACTACCACCATCTTCCTTCTTGCAGTTCAACCCCACCGCCACATCCCACCACGACCACAGGCATGGATCCAGACACCACCACCAACATCCTCTGCTGATTCCACGTACCTACCATTGCCCAGGCCGTGAAGAAGCGTTTGGGAGGAAGGGAAACCTGAAAGAGTCACAGGACCACAGACCTGAGGGTTTAGAATCTCAAGGGGGGTATAGGCCAGATAAACAAATAAATACAGATAACTTAGAACAAGAAGGAAAGTCATCAGTTAGGTACTGAAAAGTTCTCCCCAAGTTCAAAAGAGGGAGGATGAGTCTTGCTGGAGAAAGTGGCTTTTGAATGGAACTTGGAAGGGTGGCTTGGATCTGGACCTGGAGGAAGAAAAGGCCTTCTCAGAAAAGGGATTGATTAAGGGAAAGCATGAAATTGTAACACATGGGTGAGGATGGAATTCATGGAATTCCTGCACCCTCAGGTACATGAGGAGCAGTGAGGGAAATCAGGCTGGAGGATGGGTGGGATGGGCTGGGGAATGTAATGGGTAAAAGAAAGAGCCATTCAGTCTAGGGATTTGGGTCTTTCATGGGGGAAAGGGGAGGATCAGCTGACAGTTACTGAGCTGAAAGTGGACAGAGCTGGTTCAGGAGCTAATCATTGTAGTGGGATCTTGGGGCCAGGGAACATTCCCCTTTCTACACTCTCTTCCCTAAAAAGATTGGTTCAAAAATCCCACAGAACTCTTGAGTGTTAGCCATTTGCTTTAAATCCTACCATGTCATACCTTGTCCTTTAGGATTATGCATTTGTGATAGAGGAGGGCATGGGAGAATGAAACACGTGTGGCCGTTTCTCTATTACTCAGACCTCAGGGCAAACAAGTACATCGGAACTTTTCTGAAGGGTGGGCTTTGCTTGGGAGAGGTGGAGTGTGAGGGTGCCAGGGCACTTGTTGGGTTGGCGGGCACCCCAGGAAAAAAATGTAGCAAGGACACAATTGTGGGCATGCCCCACTTTTTTTTTGAGATAGGGTCTCGCTGTCACCCAGGCTGGAGTGCAGTGCTCTCAGTGTCACCCAGGCTGTGCAGTGTCACCCAGGCTGGAGTGCAGTGCATGGCTCACTGCAGCCTCCACCTCCTGGGCTCAAGCGATCCTCCCACCTCGGCCTCTGAAAGTGCTGGGATTATAGGAGTGAGCCACCGCACCCGGCCTGCTTTGCCCTTCTTTGAGAGATCAGCTGGATGTGGCTCTGAAGTGTTCAACTCAGAGGAGAGAACTCCAGGACTCAGGGCAAAGGCATCTTCAGGAGCTGATGGGAAGCCCAGGCCCCCTCGTGCCTGAATGGGTGGACAGGGCTGGAACCACCTTTCATGGCTTTTGTCCTGGGTGCTGAGGGTGATGCTGTGCTCACCCCACTTTCCTATGATTCTGATGGGAACCCCTGGGCTGCATCAAAGAGGCATTTCCAAGTTCTTTGCAAAACTTTTCTTGACTTTATTTGACAGCCCAGCCCCCAGTGCAGTGACATTTCCTCTTCTTTCTCTCTGGGCCGGGTGAATGTGAGTTCTCTGTAGTGGGGGAGAAACGGACCAGTTGTCCCATCGGGGCTTAGCATCGACTCTCTTTCTCTGGCAGATGTTTAGGATTTAGAACTTGGATCTCTCCCTTCACCCCACCGAGCACAGAGCGTGAGTCCAAGGAGTTGGGAGCTCTGGGAGAAAAGGGGCTTGTGACCCTGGCCTGCCTTGTTATTCTCTGAGGACAGGCGGGAAGGGCTCTTCTAGTCCATGCTGGCGGCCAGGCCAGCATTTGTGGTAGGCGGTGTTTATGTGAATGCACAAATGTTTATGTGAGATTGCCAACCGGTTATTTATGAGTCTCTCAGCCCTTCCCCAATAAAAGCTGTTTCCTCAATGTTCTGACAGGCCCTGCATCTGTAACTAATGTGTCACTCGCTCAGCTAATGCAGTTCACTTGTGTTTATTTTTGCACAAAAGCAATTTATCCAGTGCGCTGAAAAACAAAACAAAACAAACAAAAAAAAAAACCAGCCCTGTCAGGGGCCTTCTCTTTGGGGCAGGGTGTTTTTCCTCAAAAGAAGCTCCAAACAGCTCACGGAACAGGGCAGGCTTTTGGGATGTGTGCCTGCCTGTGCTTCTGGCATGGGTCCCTTTGTTCGGAGTGTGAGAGCGTGTGTTGAGGGGGTGTCTGGCAGCGTGTCTGCTGTTGTCTCTGAGTGTGTGGATGTGTGTCTTTGGGTGTCCATCAGTCTTTCCTAGCCCGTGTGGCTTTGAGTGTTTGCCTCTGAATGTAAGAATCCACCGGGGTGTGTGTGGCTCATATTTTAAGAGGTTGTTGAAAGCGGGGCTAGATCTAACTTTGCAGTCCCTCTGGTTGAGATAAATCAAAGTTGGGAGAGGGGGTTGTCAGCAGGAAAGGGTCTGGAAGAGGGATCCAGGGAGGAGGAGGGCGAGCGTAAAGGTGAAAAGGAAGGATGCTTGACTTCAGGGCCAAAGGAGCATCAGCTCTGGTGGCCAAGGATGAGAACTATAAAACTGGAGGCAGATTGTCTACATCCCAGGCCCTCCCCACATTGGTGAATTTTCTCCTTCTCACTCGTTTTCCTTTTCCAGCATTGGCAGTGGATCTTTGTTGTGCACAGGATGGACTGTGGCTTGTTTGGGCAGTGAGAAAGGAGGCAGCCTGAGAAGTCATCTTCCCCTGCAGACCCGGGTTTCAGGGAAAAGGAACCAAGAAGTGGGGTGAGGTGGGGAGATGGCAGCAATGTCGGGGGGATCAGGAGTCAGGCTGGGTGCTTGGGGTCAGCCAGAAGGAAAAGAAGGCACCCACTTAAGCTGGGGAAGGGCCTCCACCTCATCCCATAGATTGTCACTGTGACCCTGGCCAGTCACTGACCCAACCTGGGCTGGGCAGGAGGGTCACGGGCTCCATGCAGACCCCTCCCACTGTGGGAACAGCAGCTCCTGCATGCCCGAGTCCAACTGATGTGGAGGCGCCAGCCCCGATGGCAGATGTCTTTCTTTCTTTCTTTCTTTTTTTTGAGACAGGGAGTCTCGCTCTTTCGCCCAGGATGGAGTGCAGTGGCATGATCTCGGCTCACTGCAAGCTCCGCCTCCCAGGTTCACACCATTCTCCTGCCTCAGCCTCCCGAGTAGCTGGGACTACAGGCGCCCACCTCCACGCCCAGCTAATTTTTTTGTATTTTTAGTAGAGACGGGATTTCACCATGTTAGCCAGGATGGTCTCGATCTCCTGACCTCATGATCCACCCACCTCAGCCTCCCAAGGCAGATGTCTTTCTTGTCACACCTAAATGGCCCAGCAGGAGTAATGGCATCTTAGGACAGTGGTTCCCAGCCACATGCCTGAGGGAACTTGGCACTTATTCACTGAGACGTGGCGTCATCTCACAGCCCAGACCAAATCATGGCTGCCTTGTCCCAGTTTGCAGGAAAATATTAAGCTTACTCAATCTTGAGTTTTTCTCCAGTAAGATTTCATTAAATCTTTGGTGGCTGCCAAATGATAAGTATGTCGATATTTGTGTACACATATAGAAACAGACAATTGTGTTTTATCCGAAAGGTTTTTTTCATGGACCTGGGCTGTTGCAACAGTGATTTTGTCAGACATCCATAGCCTGGCTATGAGGCTGAGAGGCTGAGGAGGGCCATCCATCTGGCTCTTGGTTTCTCTGACCAGGTGACATTCATGGTTAACTTCCTGTCTCCCTGTGACCGAGTGAATTGGACTTAGGGGACTGTTGATTTGCTGGCTTGGGTGTGTGTATTTGGGGCCGGGGGAGCTGAAGGATGTCAATCAGTTCTGTGCTCTGGTTTCCAGATACGGACATTCAAGCTGGGCAGTGGCGGGAGGCCTCTGAAAAGTCAGGATTTGTCCTCTTGATCTAACCATCAATGCCTGGTCCGTAAGACAGGCCTCACTGCCCCTGCCTTCAGGGCCCCAGGGGTGTGTGTTTCCTTGGCCCCCACCTCCAGAACCCTCCCTTCCTTCTGCTTCCAGTTTCTTCCTTCTTTCCTGGCACCCTGGGATTTTAAACTCTTCCTTGCAATTGAAGTTGTCCTCAGGCCGGTGGCCTTCCCTGCAGTGAGTGAGCCTCGCAGCCGCTTCTGTCTTGGAAATCTTTGGGACAGGCTCAGGCCCTGGTGCGGGTTGGGAGGCCCAGACATTTAGAAAGCTCAGTGTCTGTGGGTGGGGGAAGAAGGACTGATGGGGGGTGACCATGTGCTCTGAGAAACAGCTTACTTTAGAATCTAAAGAGAAACAAGTTGAGCCCTCACACTGCAAGGACTGAATCCCACACAACCCTCACCGGGCTCAGCTATCACCTCCACATCTTCATCAGCGCAGCTTTCGGGTGATTCTGCTGACCCGGCCTCTCCTGCCTACCTGACAGTAAGTCCCAGCACGTGGCCATCTGCTCCTGCCACAGCCTTGGTTTGCTGCCACACTCAAGCCCTCTTTCCTAATTCTTGGGCCCTCACCTCCCACCTCGTCTACTGTAGGCTGGGAAAGGGTGGTGCTGCTGAACATACAGAGCATGGAACCGTATTTTCCACTAGCAAAACTGTTCCTCAGGTTCCAAAATGAGGATTCAGGCCAGGCATAGTGGCTCACACCTATAATCCCATCACTTTGGGAGGCCGAAGCAGGAAGATAGCTTGAGTCCAGGAGTTTGAGACTAGCCTGGGCAATGTGGCGAGAGCCTGTCTCTACAAAAGTAAAAAATTTAGCTGGGCATGGTGGTATGAGCTTATAGTCTCAACTATTTGGGAGACTGAGGCAGGAGGATCATTTGAGCCTGGGAGTTCAAAGCTGCAGTGAGCTGTGATTGCACCACTGTACTCCAGCCTGGCGGACAGACTGAGACCCTGTCCCTAAATAAATAAATAAATAAATAAAATGAAGACTCACAAACTTCAGTGCCTACAGGGACCAGGGTGGCAGTTTAGTAAGAGAGGCAGGACTGAGGAAAGACACCAAATGGCACTGAGTCCCAGGGCAGGGAGTCCTGGGGAGGGTCTCCCTTCATCGCTGGAAGGGAGGTGCAGTGGGAGAATGCCAGCTGGTGAAGTCAGTTTGTCTGTTTTCAAATTATGTGAACCCTCCTAATGTTACATGTTGGCAGCAAATTCCAATTTCAAGCATGGCATGGGCCAAGCAAAACATGTCTGTTGGCTAGCTGTGGCTAGCTTGTCCCTCTGCTGCTGGGAGTGGTGATATAGCTGTCATTCTTTCCCCTTTTTTTTCTTTTTTTTTTTTGAGAGAGGGTCCTGCTCTGTCACCCAGCCTAGAGTGCAGTGATGCGATTATAGGCTTAACCTCCTGGGCTCATGTGATCCTCCCCACTCAGCCTCCTTGAGTAGCTGGGACTTCAGGCGCATACCACCACATCTGGCTAATTATTTTATTTTTTGTAGAGATAGGGTTTCACCATGTTGCACAGGCTGGTCTCTAACTCCTGGGCTCAAGCGATCCTCCTGCCTTGGCCTCCCAAAGCGTTGGGATTATAGGCGTGAGCCACCACTGCTGGTCGAGCTGTTATACTTGATATTTGGAGATGTGTATTATGACCTCCGGCGCCCTCAGCCCTGAACTGACTTTGGAATCCACGTGTCAGGTGCTGTGAGGACTCACACCCTATGGTGAAAGGTTGAAAAATGTTTTCATTTCCTAAGGAACCAGATGTCTAGCCTCAACTGTCCTGCTTTTTCTCCAGGGAGGGACACAGACCCCAGTGTTTTCACTGGGCGTGTCCTATCAAGGCCCTTGTGAGCTTGGCCTCTGGGATGTAGGGGCAGGGAAGGGAGGCAGTGGGCAGCCCAGCCTGGATGCCTTCTCTCAGGCGGGTGATGGGATTGAATGTGTGGATGAAGGAGAGGGAGTGTCAAGGGTGGCTTCAGGGGTTCTGGTATGAACCAGTGGAGGGCTGGGGTGCCTCTCCCAGTGAGAGGGAATACTGGAAAGTCATTGGGTTTGGTGGGGGATGATCTTGAAGTCCCCAGTTTTGCATCATTTTCCCAGGTTGGGTGGAGGGGGAAGCGCAGCCTTTGGCCTGAGACTCGGCATTGCGACTGTGGCTTCAGCTTCTCTCCAATGTCTAGCTTCCAGGTGGAGGGGGGTGCAGGGCCTGCTCCCCTAGCTGTGCCCCAGAAGGTGTTCTAAGGCTCAGTCTGGCTCTGCAAGGCCAGCCTGGCAGTGATCACCAGGCCCAGGTCACGTAGGTCCCAGGGTCACTGGGGCTCCCAGTGGCATGGAAGGACAGTTCCAGCTCTGCCCCTGATTAACATGCGACAAAACAAAAATCAAAAAACAACCAACCAAACAAGACAAAGCCAAAATAATTAAAAACAAAATAAATAAAAAGCAGGCACAGCAAAACATGTAGTGATCTAATGAACACCCATGAAACCACAAATTAGTTTCAGAAACAAAACCAACAAATCCAGGTGGAACCCCTGGGTGCAGCTCCCTAATACACCTCCCTTCCACTGTGCACCCTGCACTCCAAAGAAGGAACCACTATCCTATATTTGGGATTTCTTATGAATTTCTTTAATTTTTTTAACCACATATGCAAGTTTTCTTGAAGTATTTACAGGGCTGTTTTCTATGCTTTGAAACTGTATAAATAGTGGCGTTCTAGTATGTATTCTTCTGCAATTAGCTTTTTTTTTCTTTCGACATGTTGGTGAGATCCATGTGTGTTGACGTGTGTAAGTCTGGCTCACTTATTTTCAACGTTGCGTAGAATTCCACCGCATGAACATAACCTTTCTCCAAGGAGAGCTCCTCGTGGCCCACCAGAGAGTGGCTCAGGTCACTGGGCGCATTCCCTTCTGCGGAGACAGCTCCAGTTGTGTGGATGAGCCCCGGTCCTCCTCCCTCATCCCCTTTGGGATGCCAGGGCCCTTCCCACCCTCCCAGGACCGTTGCTTCACTGAGGAGGAATTCAGGTGGATTTCAGGCAACCTTGTGTTTCCCATAAATCAAAATTGAAAGTGAATCCTTAGCACAAGGGACTGCAATTGCACCCAGCTGAGTGAGGACAGGCAGGCTAATTTGAACCTGGCCTGGGTGGAAGGCTTTGTGAGCTGGGAATGGACACAGGTCTCTGAGGAAGAGGCACTGCTCAGCCCATCTCTAGCACAAAGCGGGGACACTCTGCCCAGCTCCAGCCCCTGGCCCAGCCCCTGCACTGATCCGGGCTCAAGGGGTCCCCCTTACTCTCTGCTCTGAGCCCGTTGCTCATCCAGTGGCCTCCAGGATGAGTTTGCCACATGGATGTAAGGTGGTTGTTGTAGCAGCTTTGAGAAGGGAAGAGTGAGGTTCTGGGAGTTGCTGGGGGCAATCTTGAGGGGCTTCGGTTTTAGAAGCCTGAGAAGGAGAGAGGCAGTGAGCTCCCATACCAGGGCAGCCCAGCCCTTGATACCCATAACACCCATAGCTCCCAGGGCACACTGTGACTTTCCTGGCCCCAAGCGCTTCTGCCCCTGTCCCCCTATCCATGAAAAACATGAAAAATTATACTTCATGACTGTGTTGGCATAAAGGTGAGTATAAGCCAGGCTGGATTCTTTATTATATATTCCTTATTATTGTAATATTCTTTTTTTCTTCTGATTTTAAAAGAAATGAAAATATTGTCATGGGCCCCTGAAAGACTCATGGACTTGGGTGCTGTACCTGCTAGGCCAGTGGAGAAGTCAGCCCTGACAGTGCCTGCCGAGCCCCTAACACCCTCCCTTTATGGAAACTCTGACCCCTCTCTGCTCTGAGATGTCTTCCCTGTTTGAATGGAGGGGAGGGAGGACATGGCTTCCCTTAGCCCCAGCCTCTCCAGGGCTCTCTTACCTGTTGGGGGGGCTTGGATGGTTCATGCAGAGGGCTTGGTGTGCATGGCCTGCCTGGCGGAGGCAGAGGGCAGCTGGCATTTCTCCACACGGCCCATCTGCAAGCTGAATAGCTCCTTCATGGGGCTTTGTCTGGTGTTGGGTGGGGGGTGCAGCATTGCCCAGGAGGGATCTGGGTCAGGGGTGTTGGGGGACTGTGGCCTGGGGGTGCTGAACCCTGCCCTAGTGCTCACCGGAATTGAAGAGGTGACATTTGTGTGTACAGGGCAGGAACCATTGGTCTGCATTTTCAAGGCCATCTGACAGTCCCCATTGCACGGAGTTTTGTTTTGTTTCTGTTTTTGGGGTTTTTTTTTAGATGGAGTCTCACTCTGTCACCCAGGCTGGAGTGCACTGGTGTGATCTCGGCTCACTGCAACTTCCACCTCCCAAGTTCAAGCGATTCTCCTTCCTCAGCCTCCTGAGTAGCTAGGACTATAGGCACATGCCACCACACCCGGCTAATTTTTTTTGTATTTTTAGTAGAGACAGAGTTTCACCATGTTGGCCAGGCTGGTCTCAAACTCCTGACCTCAGGTTGTCCACCTGCCTCACCCTCCCCAAGTGCTGGGATTACAGGAATGAGCCACCCTGCCCAGCTGACACTGAGTTTTATTTTGAGGGAGGCAAGGCCTGTCCTGGCTATGGGGGCATTAGACCAGGACAGTAGCTGGCTGGGGAAGGGCTGTGTTAGCCAGCTTGGTCTGCCAGAGCGAGTACTGCAGACTGAAAGGCTTGTGCAACACACATTTATTTTCTCACAGTCCTGGAGTCTGGACTTCCAAGATCAAGGTGCCAGCGGGGTCTGTCTTCTCAGAGGCATCTCTCCTTGGCTTGCGGATAGCCACCCTCTCACTGCCTCTTCACAGCTTGTGCAGGCATGTCCCTGTTGTCTCTCTGTGTGTCCTGAGCTGCTCTCCTTACAAGGACACCAAGCAGACTGGATTAGTGTCCACCCTAACAAGCCCCCCCTCACTTTTTTTTTTTGAGACAGGGTCTCATTCTGTTGCCCAGGCTGGAGTGCAGTGGCACAAGCATGGCTCACTGCAGCTTTGAACTCCTGGGTTAGAGCGATCCATTCATGTTAGTTTCCCGAGTAGCTGGGACCACAGGTGTGTGTCACCACAGCCGGCTACTTATTTATTTTTGTAGAGACAGGGGTCTTGCTAGGTTGCCCAGGCTGGTCTTGAACTCCTGGGCTCAAGTGATCCTCCTACTTTGGCCTCCCAGAGTGCTGGGATTACAGGTGTGAGTCACCGCGCCCAGCCCCTAACAGCCCCATTTTAACTTAATACCTTTTTAATGGCCCTATTTCCAAATACAGTTTCATTCTGATGTGCTGGGATTAGGACTTCAATAATATGGCTCTTAGGGGACACGGTTCAGCCCAGAGCAGGGGCGACGGAGGCCTCATGAAAGGCTGCCGCAGAGAGCACAAGGGCACGGCGAGGGGGCGCTGCTTGGATCATGGACGCTTTATTATTTGGAAATCTTCATTTTTTTATATAATTTCATTGCCTCCAAAGGTGGGCAGTTTCTGTATCTCTTATGTCATATTTTCTGCAGGTGGCAGTGAAGTACTTATTCTAACACTGTCAGTATATTCTAACTTTCCGACCAATGGAAATCAAGTACCTTGGAAAGGCAACCTCTTTTTCTGCGCCATGTTATTGGACTGGCAGTGGCCAGGCCACATGACTGTCCAGGGCTTAGGCTGGCGTGGAGTAGGCCATGTGATACATTTGGCCACGCTCACTGAATCTGAGCAGGATCATGTGACTTAGTTTCATGGACCAAGTCTTAGGAAGGTGACTGCAACAACCTCGTAGACTGGGCTGGAGCATGGGACTATGGCTTCTGTTGTTTCTTCAAACATTGCTAGAATCTACTCTCAAAGGCTGCCCAGTCTCTGGAGGAAATATGGGAGTGGTCTTAAACCATCTCTGTTCCCACCACCCAGGAACTGGGGACTCTGTGGACCTCTAGAGATGGCGTGACTGCCTGAGACTGTCCCATGAGGCCCCATCTATGTCTGCTGGAGAGCGCTATCTCGTTGCTTTCCTCATTGCTCTGTGCGCGGGACCACCTGGGTCCCTGATATCCTCAAACTCATGGGCCAGCTAGTGCGAGGGAGGTTAGGATAAGTGGAGGCAGAGTGAGAGGGATCCACAGAGCAAGGAGAGGTTTAGGGCGTACCACTGGAGCCAAGCACTGAGCACATTTTTGGGGGATACATTTTGAAGCCCTTCCACATTGCCTTCCACCCAGCAGACATGGCAACTATGGCCTATTCCAGAAGCCGAGGGGTGTGTGGCAGCTCAGCCTGACCTTGCACCCTCCCTCCCACTCCACTTGGCCGTTTCTCTCACTACGTGCAGCCGTGGGCTGGGGGCAGTGTGATGGGAAATCTTTTTTTTTTTGTCTTTGCTAAAAAGTACTCTGTCTCTTGGGCCGAGGTTGTTTGAAGGTGAACTGTGAAAAATGACCTGCCGTGCTTCAAATCACAGCTCTGCCCTCTTCCCGAACTGCTCTGGGGAAAGGAGGGGTGGGCTTTTTGCCAGAGACTCAGCCCTGTCATTGTGGCCAGGCCACCCAGCCCACCTCAGGGTCAGTCAAGGGCAGCAGTGGGGTATGTGTGTGCATGCGTGTGTTTGCAAGTGTGTGCTTGTGTATGTATGTGTGTGCTTTGCATGTGTGTCTGCGTGTGTCTGTATTTACACTTGTGTGCATGTCTTTGTGTGTTTACATGTGTATGTTGTGTGTATACACACATTTATGTGTGGGGGTACACGCTTACATTTGTGCATGTGTGTTTACATGTGTCTGCGTGTGTGTGTGTTGTGCCTGTGCACATGTGTGTGAGTATGGGAGATGGATGGTAGAATGAACACCAGGCATGAGGGGGCCCAGGGCAGAGTCTCAGGCCTTGACCCGGGTTTCCAAATGGCCACAGATGTGACCCTTCACCCTTCCCTGCGGCTGTTGAGGTCATTGCCCAGAGAACTTTCCTTTGGAACCAAGTGGGCCTTGCTGCCTGGAGAGGGAGAAAGCAAACCGGATGATCCTCATCCTGGGGAGCCTGGAGCCAGCGGGCCCTTGTTTAATTCTGAAGGAATGTGCGAGGTTCCCGCCCAGCGGAGCAGGCCCCAGCCTGACTGGGAGCCTCAGCACTCCTGGGGCAGCAGCTGCGTCTGCACCGGGTCGGCGTGGGGGTGGGAGCTGGGCCAGCTGGGGACCTACAGCATCCAGGGAGAGACAATCACACAAACTGGGTGGCTGGAGTAGGCTAGGGGCGAGGGAGGCCCATAACACCTTCCTCCAGGAGCCGGGGCCTGTGTGTCCAGCTCTGTGCTCAGGGGAGGACAAGCAGGGAAGAGGAGACGGTCCTGGCAGTGGAGAGCAAAGTCCCCGGCAGGAGATGAGGTGCCATGGGAGGCAAAGCACAGAGTACAGAGAGGAGGCAGCGAGGAGCGTTCCCTGGGGGCTGTGTCATCAGGGAAGGCTTCTTGGAAGAGGTGGAGGTTTAGCTGGGCCCTACAGGGTGGGGAGGATCTGAAGGAAAAGAGGACATTCCGGGAGAAGGAAGAGGACAGGAGGTTCTGCTAAAGATGCAGAGCTGGAAAAGAGCAACGCCTCTATGGAATGACAGTGTGGACCCGGGTCCAGAGGAGGGGAAAAGAGGCGGCTAAGGCAGGAAAGTCAGCTCCGGTTCATCCTGAGGGGTTTGAGTGCCAGCCAGAGGTCCTCCTTACACAATGGGGGTGGTGGGGTGGGGGGCAGGGGAGCTCTTGAAGGTTCTTGAAAGGGGAGTTACCTGATGAAGTAGGCGTTTTAGGATGAGAGGCTGGCCACATAATCTGGTGGGATCATGGCAGCTGGGACGGAGGTCATGAGAGTGGAAGAGGCTGGAGGAGGGGTGTTTGGCGCGGGGGAGAAGGTTTGAGTGGGGAAATGGCTGAGGCCTGGGGAGTAAAGCAGGCAGAACTGAATCCATTTCACATTTGGGACATTCTTGAGGCCTCCTTTCTGTGTTTGGGTTCCCCTGACCTAAGAGCACCGTGTCAGCCTAAGACAGCTCCCTGCCCACAGGCCAACTGGCCCAGATGGACCTGGGGGACAGAAGCCAGGCCCTATGCTAGCCTGGGTCCCAGCCCCCATTCACACCCTACCCAGAGTGGCCCTGGCCTCTCCAGTGGGCTTCGGGGTATCTTATTCCCTGACACAAAAAGTGGCATCTCTCCCTGGTGTGGGGATTATCCTGGTGGGCAGAGGCAGAAACCCCTTGAATAGGAACTTAGCCAGTCCAGGTGAGCGTGTGAATGCCTGTGTGGCCCAGCTGGGTGTGAACACAAGTGTGAGTTCTGTCCAGTTCTTGCAAGAGAGTGGGGGACCCTGTCCAGCCTGGGTGTGTGACAGTGTGGTGTGTGTGCGCACACAGCCTGGCCTGAGTGAAGAAATGTGAATGTGGACACAGCTCGGGGCCCTCCAGATTGGTGGCCCGGCCCACGGAAACTGTCCTCACAAAGGCCCGCATCCACTGGGGAGGGCTGCCTGGCCTTCCTCAGTGGGTAGACACTGGTTAGGCCTGTGGCAAAGCCCTCTGGCCTGGCCACACACAGGCCTTGTGTGAGTGGTCTCGTGGCAAAGGAGTGAAGGAAAGGGGTGGATTATTCTAGCCCGTGAATGTGGGGCCGGGACACTCTCTGCCCACTGAACAAATGCAGTAGGAACTGGTGCTCCGAGGCAAAGACATATCGGAAAAGTGTGTAAGCGATCGGAGTGCGGCCAATTCTCCCAGAATCTCAAAGGGCAGGTGGCCTACATCTCTACCATGTCAGTTTCAGGGCTCCGAGGACTTTGATTTGCTGCTAACTTTGTGACATCTTTAAACATTTTTTTGTCAGTAGCTTCTTCTCTAGAGTGTCGATGGGAGTGAGCAGGGGAGCCACAGGGTGAGGGGTGAGGGGAGGGGGACGCTGGCCTGGGGCCTGGACGGGCATGTGCCTCTTGGAAGAAGCCATGGCCACTTCCTTGGGACCAGGGTCTGCACACACATACAGAGTTGTGGGGCCCGTGGACGGTGGGTATGGCGGAGCATGGAGAACCCCTGACCTCTGCACTCACCTCCCACCTCCTGGGCGGTCACGCCCTGCTCAATCATCCGTCCTAGGAAGCGGATAGAGTCTCTGGAGAGAGTCCAGGGGATTGGAGCCACACAGTGGGGAGCACACCAGCTAAATGAAGGTGACTTGTGCTGACCCTTCAAAGGCTGAAAGCCAGGAGAGCCACTGCCTTGGATAGAGAATCTTGGGGCCTGGCTCCCATTTCCTCTGTTTGGGGTCTATGGCTACCTTCATTCAAGTCATCGCCCCCTCCCTTTACCCTTCAGGCTCCACCCTCTCCCTGCATCTGAGGTGTCCTTCCTCGCTCAAGCCTGGGTTGGAGGGATCACCCCCTTTCTCCCTCCACCCTGTAACCACCCTGCTTGTTGAGACGTGGCTCCATCTCTGGGCCACACGCTTCCCATTCTCTTTAGTCTAATGTTTCCCTGGTTATACAGCTTATTCATGCTAATTGTAGGAAGCACGGGAAATTCGGAAAACATAAAATGAGGAGCAAAGTTAGGCCTAGACCCGGCACTTAGAGATACACACTTGCCCGTCTGGAACATTCGACAGTTGCGGGGTGCCCCTGACTTGTAACAGCACTTCCTACCCTCAGCACGTTGGTATTCTCACTCAGCTCTACGAAGTGGCAGCTGCCGCCACTCATTTTTCCTTTTCACAGCTGGGGAAGCTGAAGCAGAGAGCTGCGGCCACTTGTCCCGAGGCGCATCGTCTCAGGCTCCCCAGCACACCGTCCACTGTTGCCTTGCACCCTACCCCATGCCATGGCCTGCTGCCTGCGCTGGGGCCGGCAAGCCTCCCTGCATGGTGGGCACCCTTCCTAGTCCCCTGCCTGCACCTGGTCTGACTTGTGGGCTGGCTCTGAGCTTCACCCATCTCCCTGGGGCCACTGCAGCCAGGATGGGGAAGGGCGGCACATTTCAACGGCGTGCCTCCTGGAAACCACATCAAATGGTGCAGCTAGGAATTAATAAATAAACTTGGGAGACAAGTCAATTACCCTCTCCCTGTGCCCCTGTCCCCCAGGGGCAAACAGTGGCATGTGGTTCCCGGCCTCAGCATGCCTTCCCGGGGGCAGGCCTAGTGCTGCAGCTGGCTTCTGTCAGATTAGCTGGGCGAGATGCAGCAGGCCTCTGTCCTCTGGGGAAATGGATCCCTTCCTGGGAGGTGGGGACGGCATTCCCGGGTTACTCTGTTACTGCCCTCTTCCTGCACCCGTCCGTGTCTCACTGTGTTCATGGTGCCCAAATCACTGCCCTCCCTAGTCCCCGACACAAACGCTTCTGGTCAGCCGTCATAACGTCTGCAGCTCCGTCCTCAGAGCTGGAAGCTGACATTACTGAGACTCCAGTAAAGGTCCACACTGCTTAGTGTCGTCAACTCATCAGAACTAGCATTATCATTTAAAAATCAGAGGGACTACTTGATGCTTTTGAAAACATTTATTTATGGCTGGGCGTGGTGGCTCACACCTGCAATCCCAGCAGTTTGGGAGGCGGAGGCAGGAAGATGGCTTGAGCCCACACGTTCGAGACCAGCCTGGACAACACAGAGAGCCCCATCTCTATAAAATAAAACAAAAGTAATAAAGAAAAATAAAAAAGAAATAGCCGAGTGTGGTGATGCATGCTAATCCCAGCTAATCAGGAGGCTGAGGTGGGAGGATCGCTTGAGCCCAGGAGTTCAGGGCTGCAGTGAGCCATGATCGTGCCACTGCACTCCAGCCTGAGAGACCGAGCAAGACCCTGTCTCAAAAAAGAAGAAAAGAAAAGAAAGGAAAAGAAAACATTTATTCACTCAGCAAATTCTTAACAATGCCTGCTTTGTGGCAGAGTTTTTTCTAGGTGGCAGAGATACAGAGACAAGAGACGCAGCCCTGCCCCATAAGGAGCTTACAGTTGTGTGGAGAAGTCAGACAATACAGCTACCATATGGGGCACTTCGGGGGGAAGGAGGGGGACCCAGCACAGTCTAGAGGGCTCCCCAAGGGGCTTCCTGAGTAGCTGATGCCTGAGCTGCATTATGAGGGACAAGTCATGGGGGCTGGAGGGTAGGATGGTGACTGCTGTTCCAGATGGAGGGGACAGCTCTGCAAAGTCTCAGAAGGGGAGTGAGGTGAAGGGGGAGAGCTGTGAAGGCACTGGCCTGGCTGGAACTTGGGTGTGGAGGGAGCAGGGTGAGAGCAGAGGCTGGGAGTGGGGACACGGCTGTGAGGGCCTGAGCTATATGTAACTGTTACAGAGTTGTGTCTTAGGGGTGTGTGTGTGTGTTGGGGGTGGGGGGGTCGGAGATGGAGTGGCCACATAGACTTCTTTCTTCCTTTAAGTTTTGAAAAAAGTGATGGGATTATGGATTCTTTCCAACTGTGTGTGTGTGTGTGTATATATTGGGGGTGGGGTTTTTTTTTCTATGTAGAAACTAAGAAATTAGCAGTCTGACAAATATCAGAACAGTATCAGGAAAGAATGAGTCCTCTTCTGACATTTACTGTCACTGAATTTTCTATGGTTGTATTATATAGGCATGTCCTTTAGATCAACCATTCTCAAGTTTCAGTGTGAATGACCACTGGGGACATTTACTGAAAATCTGGGTGTTTGGGATTTGTCCTGGAGATTTTGATTCAGCAGGGCCCAGCATTGTGCATTCTTCAACAAATTCTCCTGGATTATGTGGAGTCAGTTTCTACTGCTTTGATAAACTCATTCCGAGAGCCTGATTATTTCCTCTTGGGGAATTTGCTGGCAATTCAAGAGTCTACCACCAGATGGCAGTGGTGCTTTGTGATGGATCTAGGCAAAGCCAGTTTTCTACAGGGGGATAGTTGTTGAACAGGCAGTTCTCCTTTATTGCAAGAATGTACAGAAAATAACTCTTTTAGATAATTTCTAAAATAATTTGATCACGAAATCTTAGATATAGGAGCTTGTTTTAAAGTTAAATTTACCCTTCAAACATTACAGCTGAGCTTTCCAATATGGTGACCACTAGCCATGTGTGGCTTTTGAGCACCTGAAAAGTGGTTAAATTGTGATGTGCTGAAAGTGTCATAAACACATTGGCTTTCATTCTTTAGAAGTTCCTATGACTTAAAGACATAAATAAAAAAATTAGCTTTCAAAAGCAAAAAAAGTCTTATTAATATGAAGATTGCATGTTGAAATATTTTGAGTTGAGTTAAATAAAAGTTTATTAAAATTCATTTCGCCTGTCTCTTTTTCCTTTTTAAATGTGACTACTAGAAAAGTTTAAATTATATGTGTCTCATATTCTATTTCTAATGGACAGTGCTGCATTGAAATAATCTAAATTAATTTCTTCATTTTTGAAAGTGAGAGAATCGAGGCCTCAAGTTTGATGGAAAACTGCTGGATTTGAAGTCAAAGACCTGTATTTAAGTTCCAGTTCAAACACTGACTTCATGCCTCTGGGCAAGCAATATACCTTCTCTTAGCCTCCATTTCATTGTCTGTGAAAAAGGGATAATTACAGCAGCCTTACTTAAAAGAGTTACTTAAAAGACCAAGTGAGAGAATGTGTATAAAGGAAGTTGTGTAAACTTCGAAGCATCATAAAGGTATGAAATTACTATTGTTGTGGTTACTGATAATGACTAGAACTCAGGCCAAATAAACTCTACAAGTCATGAAAGCATTCACCGTGTGAAAGTCACTGGATTGGGCACTTCTAGACTGTTAGGAATTTATAGCTGACTTGAGGAGTTGCTACTTAAGCTCACGAAATGGAAAATGACAATGCAATACACGATAAAAACAGTGATTCAAATAAGAAATGGAAAGTTTGTCCCAAGGCATATATGGTTAATAGTGAGTGTTACTGCTTTTTCTTTCTAAAGTAAGCATTTATTGAGCTGGTACAGTAGGATTGGAAGGTTGGGGTTGGGAAGAGGGAGTAATGAAAATGATGAACATGTTTTCTCTGTTTACAAAGAGGTTTGCCATCTGAGTAGAGGAATGAAGGCAGACACAGAAGACATGAGCGACTGAAGACCCAGTGTGGAAGCTGCCAGCCTTGGTACTTCCAATAACAGCACTGGAATTAGGCATATGTGACAGGGCTGCCAATTCCTGACCAACTCTCAACTCTCCTCTGCTATATAGAATCTCAACTCGTTAGGGTTGGCAATTGGCCCAGCTAAAATACTTCATTTTCTAGTCTCATCTTGAAGCTAAGGATAGCCACATAATTCAGTTCTGGATAATGAGGTGAAGCATGAGTGGTTGGGTTGAGCTTCTAGCAAAGTTCCTTAAAAGGTGGACATTCAGCTAGTGCACACACCAGCACCATTAACCTTTCCTCTTGCCTGGACTATGGATGTGATGGTGGTAACTTCAGCAACCATTTTGTGAGCATGAGTTCAAAAGTCATACCCTATAGTAGCAGAAGAGAAGGCCAGGATGAGCCCAGGATCTGGACAACATCGTGGAGATGCTGGGCTGCCCTGAATTTCCAGCCTTTGACCTTTTCATCATGTGACAGAAAAATGAGTTCCTCTTTTGTTTATGCCTCTGTGATCTGGGTTTCCTGTTCTATGCAGTCATTCCAATTCCTGAATGCCATTGAACATATCGTGCATATATCAAGGCTCTTGAGTTCTGTGTACCTATGGCAGGAAGAAAGTGAGAGGATTGTATTGGGGTCTGGGGCGAGAAGGTCACATGAGAAGGATGGGGCTACTCTTAAGCCCCATTCCAGCAGGTTGGGTGGTGGTGAAACATCCTTCCTTCCTTAGGAGGACGAGGACGGCAACTGATCTAAGAATCCCGAAGAAGGAGAAAACAGAAATATCACAAGGAGCAAAATTAGGAGAAGTGGGTTGTAGGCACTGAGTGGTGCCAGCCCACCCTACTTCATAGCCCTTCTGTAGAAGGTGAAGTAAGGGGAAAATTAATTGGCAACACATGTGGATTTGAATTTTCTATTTTTTTCAACAAATTTGACTAAAAAATTAAAATTTAAAATCTAAAAAATTTAAATTAAAATATTTTTAAAAACTTATGGTTGGCAGCATGCACCTGGACCCTGCCTTGGCCTTGCAGGATCCAGGGATGGGTGCCTGGAGTCCTCGGTTGGGGAGGCAGGGAATACCCTTCTGGACCTGGGCTTGGAGGGTCTACCCTGTCCAGCCTCCTACCCTTGGCCTCCTGGGATGTCCCTGCAGGGCTGCCCCTGTCTTCTTCATCTGTGCCCTCGAACTCTCCTCTCTCTGGCAGTGTTAGTGAGATGCCTTGTTCTATTCTGCTGTGTCTTTTTTAGTTTTCCTTTGTGTTTTCCTCTAGATTTCTCTTGATTGGCCCCAGCCCTGGTTGGTGCCTGTCTGCAGACAGGGCAGGTAGGGCTGTGGGTTCGAGAACTCCTCTATGTCCCTGGGTCCAGGGCCCTGGAGAAACCTGTACCCACTCCTCCCCACAGGAGCTAGTGGTCGCTGGGACCTGGTTCCAGATTTGGCTGTAGCCTCTGAAATGCGGGCAGAGGAGGAGGGTCCCAAGGGACTTGTGCTTTCTGTGGGTCGTGTCCCCACCCCCCACCCTGCCTAGCCTCATCCTTATATTTAATTACTTGAACAAGCTCTTTCTCATACCCCATCTCCCCCACCCCCCGCTGCCCAAAAAAACCCCCCAAAACCCCTTGTGGTGAAAAAACACACAGTAACACTTAGCATCAGTAACATGTATCATTTTAACCTTTTTTTTTTTTTTTTTTTGAGACAGAGTCTTGTTCTGTCACCCAGGCTGGAGTGCAATGGTGTGATCATGGCTCACTGCAGCCTCCACCTCCCAGGTTCAGGTGATCCTCCCACCTCAGCCTCCCGAGTAGCTGGTACTACAGGCATGCGTCACCACACTCAGCTAATTTTTGTGTTCTTTTTTTTTTTTTTTGTACAGATGAGGTCTCGCTATGTTGCCTAGGCTGGTCTTGAACTCGGGCTCAAGTAATCCTCCCTCCTCAGCCTCCCAAAGTGCTGGGATTACAGTCATGAGCCACTGCGCCTGGCTTATCTAAACCATTTGAATGGATTTCTTTTTACTGTTTCCTAAATCCTGTTTCCTTGCAGCCTTCCACCTCAGAGGCTGAGCCATGAGACTGACTGCCACAGGAAAGGAAAGGAAGGTAGCCATCTTTAGGCTCAGAGCTGACTTCCTTGACCTCACTATTGAGATACTGGTGGGGAAACTCAGGCTTTGTGGAAAGAGCAGGGGATTTGCTAACAGAAATCTTCCTGTAACATCTTGAGGGCCAGGCCTGGTCATTTAGAGAACAGAGTTCACCACAACCCAGGTAGGAAGGAGGTGTGTTGGTCTGGTTGAGGGGCCACTGAGGGCAGGGGGGACTTGTTCTATCTCACGGGGGGCCTGGAGAAAGCCACCCTGAGGTCAGCCCTCCAGCACCCACTGTCGGTGGCCAACTCAGATTGTAGGCAGCAGCTCAGTGGGGTTGGGCCGAGGCGGGCCCTGAGGTTCGCGTTCTCCAGCTGCCCTGGGTGTCTGCATGTGGATGGGCTCTGGAATGTCCATGTGAGCCCCCGGGAGGCTGGGAATTGGCTGCGAGTTGGGCTGAGAAGCTTTCCTCTCGGGGCTGGAGCAGCAGGGTCACAGGACCCATACCTAAGCATCCCGGGACTGACCACCTACCTACACTGAGCATCACAAGCGAGGCACAGCCAGACCTGAGGGCCCCTGTAGGTGACGTGAGGCCTCTGCCCAAGACAGAGAAAGCAGGATGGGGTTCTCTGGCTGTGGACCACAGGCAAGTAGACAAGAGACACTGCTTTGGAGATGGAGGATTAGGAGGAGAACAAGGTCCCATGTCATGCAGCTTTTGCTAGGTGAGGCTGCAGTCACAAATGGCCCTGTATTGCTATGTCCTAAAACATAGCAGTTTATTTCTCACTCATCTTACATGTTGGTGGCTGTAGTGGGAGGGGGCTCTGCTCCCCATGACTGAAGGAGCAGTTCCCATCTGGGTCCTGCCCTTCCCAGGGCAGGGGAAAAGAGTAGGAGAGTGGGCAGAGGCCAGCCTTGTGTTTTAGTGCATCTGCTGGGACACGGCCTATGTCCTATGCTCTCACCTGCCATTGGCCGAGGCTGGGCATGTGGCCAGTTCAGTCGTGTGGGGAAGGATGCGCCTTCCACGGATGTCATTGGAGGTCGCATGGCTAGAGTGGGGATGCATGACCCACTTTCAGGAAGGGCGAGAGAGTCGGTGAGAATAAGAATGGAACCTACCGCAGGGCTAGGCTGCCCTCCTCCAATGTGGGCTCATATCAGCCCCCTTTGCTCTCCTTGAGTCCCCAGACACCTCGAGAAGTGGGGTAGGGGCCAGAAGACTAAGGACTTACCTGCAGAGGCCAAGTCCTGGAAAGACAGCTTGAATCACTAGATCAGGCCGAGTGTGCCTGGCTGGACCGACTGTGGGGAGAGTGCCTGGGAGGATCTGGTGATGGCAGAGAAAAGCAGGTGGGTCTTCTCTTCACCTTGGAGGGTGGCATGAGTACCTTGCCTTCCCAGCCACAGCACCGGAGGCGCAGGATAAAAGGCTGCCTCCACCCCACACCAACAGAGGGGCTCTGCCTCCCTCGCTGCCCGGCCTCGCTGCCCTCTGACTCCCTCTCCTCGTTCCCAGTGAAGGCACACACAGACGTTCGTGGAGTTTTTGTGCTGCAGGAGGTGTTTTTGCCAAGCTGATAGAATCAATTTTTTCCTTATCTCAAACCTGTTTTTAAAAAGACCATCCTGTTTCTTTTTTTTTTAATTGCAGAACATTTTAAATAACATACTTTGAAAGGAATAAACAGAACCTAGCAAAAACAGTTATTAAAGAACCATAAAATGGTTTTTTCACACTTGTCACCGTTTATTTCTTCCCCATTCAGGTGGGTCGGGCTTGGTTAGGGCCTCAGTGGGTTCATCAAGGGGGGGCCATCTGCCCAGGTGCCTGGCCCTTGCTCCCACATCTAAAGGAACTGGGCGCACCTTCCCCCAGCCCTGCAAGCACATTCTCACCCCTCTACGTTTTGTTACTTTACAGGCTATCCTGCTTTCAGAGTTCCCTGGTCCTGGGGCTATGGGACTGGGCCAATTTTACAGCGGGTACAGGTGGCCATCAAAGGGGACTGGGAAGACCTTTTTTCTTATCACTTCAGCCCCACAATGTCACGCCACCCTCCTTTCAAGGTGTCTAAAATTCCACCATGAGGACTCTATGACTTTTGAGTCTTGAAGATGTGTCCAGGCTCCTCCCAGGAAGGTCCCATATTAAAGCCATGAAGACCTAGGGGTTAATGAGTCCCAGCTCTTTTCATTTCTGTCTGCCCCATTCTCAGAACCCTCAGAGTGCAGAACTGAAAGGAAAGCTCGCAGAGCCTGGAGACACCAATTTTGATCATGTCTTGTGTGATACATTGGGGCGGGCTCTTGGACACCTTCTGCTGTAACTTTCCCCCACCCGTTCCTGAGCCCTGGGGGGCTGATAAACTCATTTACTAAGAGGCGCTCATAACTGATAATGTTTAGACATGTGTCCTAGCCCAGGGGGCTCTGCCCTCTATTTATTTATTTATTTATTTATTGTTATTTTTTTGAGATAGGTCTTGCTCTGTTGCCCAAGCTGGAGAGCAGTGGCACAATCTTGGTTCACTGCAGCCTCGACCTCTCAGGCTCAGGCCATCCTCCCGCCTCAGCCTCCCAAGTAGCTGGAATCACAGGTGCACACCACCATGCTCAGCTAATTTAAAAATTATCTGTAGAGATGGGGATCTCCCCATGTTGTCCAGGCCGGTCTCAAATTCCTGGCCTCAAGCAATCCTTCTGCCTCCACTTGCAAAGTGCTGGGATTACAAGCATGAGCCACATCGCCCAACAGGGTCTGCCCTTTAGTGAAGATAAAGACTCACGAGAAGCTGAATTGACAATGGCAGGGAGGAGAGGGAGATAAATTGAAGCAAGAAGTCTTTCTGCTCTCTCCAATTGTGAAGGTAATACTGGGCAGCCCCAGAATTGGTAGAGCATGTCAGAATCTGCAAAGCCATTTGATTCTTCCATCAGTTGATAGAGGCACCTATATAGATATATAGGTTGATGCAAAAGTAATTGCGGTTTTTGCCCCTACTTTAATGGGCAAAAACCACAATTACTTTTGCATCAACCTAATATCACCATTTGCAAATGAAGAAACTGAGGCCCAGAGAGAACGTGGGATGTAGCTAAGGCCATGCAGCCAGCTGTTGGCAGAGCTGGAACAGACATTGGACACTCAGCCTAGGCAGGGGCATGCAGAGAGGGCAAAGCCTAGAGAAGGCCTAGGAGGTGGCGGACAGGGCAGGAGACATGGAATTAGAGGGCCTGCCTTAGGACACTCTCCTTAGCACCTTCTCCTTATTGGTTATTGCCACTGAACCTCAGTTTCCTCATTAGTAAAATCGGGATAATAATCCTCCTATGGGCTGAAAGTTTGTGTCTGCCCCAAATTCCTAGGTTGAAATTCTAACACCCAATGTGATGATATTAGGAAGTGTGGTCCTTAGGAGGTAATCACATGCTGAGGGTGGAGCCCTCGTGAATGACATTAGTGCCATATAAAAAGACACAGACACAAGAGAGTTCCCGCCACAGGAGGATACAAGGAGAAGGCAGCGGCCTGCAACCCGGAAGAGAGCTCTTACCAGAACCATCATGCTGGCACCCTGATCCTGGACTTCTGGCCTCCAGCACCAGGAGAAATTAATGTTTGTTGTTGAAGCCACCCAGGCTATGGTATTTTTGTTATAGCAGCCAGAACTGACTAAGACAAACCCCTTTCTACCCTTATCTAACCGGGTTATTGTGGGGACCAAAAGTGAGATAATGTGATTGAAAAATAGTTGCAAACTGCAAACTATTGACCCACATGCTCTATTCCAGGAAATGAGGGCAGGACTCTCTTCACACCATTCCCACCCTTCCTTTGGGGGAGGCAGCATCTCAAAAATAGCCTTCAGTCCTGTCCTCCCTGTTTTCCCCCATGGGAGCAGGGCTGAATATTTTCTTCTTGAGAAACAAAAAGGCAAAGCTATTGCAGAAAAACCAAAGCCTGCTTCTGCTTCCCCTTGGCGCCCTCTCTGCTCTCCGGGGCCAGGAGGGGAGGATGTTGCTGGAGGCCTGGGTTCAGGTGGGGCCGTCCAGAGTCCTCGCTGCCCTGCAAGGGCTGCCAGGGGAGGCCTGGATGATGTTTGTCATCCGTTCAGCTGGCCACAAAGAGCAGAGGCCACGGTGGTAATCCTCTGAGGTGTGGGACCCCGATCTTCCTCCAGAGATGGGGCAGGGAGGAGAGGAGCCCTGCTCTGTCAGGCCAGGCCATCATCGCTCAAGAACACCAGGGAATCGCTCTGGACATGCCCAGAGAAATCCATCCTGTCCTCTTCGCCAGAAATAATTATTCATTTCCACTGACACTTTTCTGGCCATTTGTAAAATGGAGTTCAGAATCCTGTGAGTCTGTTTTTTCCCTTCTAATGATCTGCAGATAAATTTTCAGGGCGTTTTTATCTTTGTCTAGGAACAGAGACAGACCAGTTTCAGAGAAGAAACAAAACCCACAGTGCGTCTGTTGTGTGGCACACCAGAGAGACCCTGGATGGGAGTAGGAGGGTTCTGGTTCCACTCTGGACTCAGGATCTTCACTTGAGATGGTCAGGGGGCTCACTGTTTATCCGTGCCTCCTCAACAGTATCTGAGAGGGGCGTCTTTATACTCAGAATTTAACAACAGTGGCAAAAAGGATTCCTTGAGAGGAACCTAACCTATATCACAGAACAGACTGTATACAGTTTCCTAAACAGGCACAAACATATCCACAGCAATCTCAGTCAGTGTCTGATATGAGTCTGGTGGTCATAATCCCTCCTCCCCAGGGGACTGAGGAAGCGATGCTCCAGTCCATGTGCTAGCCTAGGTCTCTGGCAGTGGCCAGGTTCTGCCTTTCTTCCGAGCCTCCTCTTGTTCCAAACCGTTTGGGTCCCGTGTGGTTCCCTGCCATCTGCGCCCTTTCTTCTTAGGGCACTTGGCCCAGGAACTCTTGGTTATTATGTTGCAATTTCCCAAGGTGAAACTTGAATACAGGGTTCACAGGCATGTTTTCACAGCTCTATTTCTTTGCCTTTTGCTACACCGCAGGCTTGTCTGAAGACTGAAACACAGAGGGTGGGGCTTTCAGCCAGTGTACATTCTGCCAAATAGGTCTACAGTGCCAAGAGCCTTCTTTCTGCCACCGCTGTGGTAGGTTCAGTTGTGCTGGCAGCTTTGGATTTTGATAGGAGAGCCATAACTTCTGAGATGAATATTATTATATCAAAGAATTTTCCCTCTATTTCCCTCTACAATAAGACCGTTTTCTGAACTAACTACTGCGTGGCTACTCACTACCTGTGTGTGTGCCCACATGTGTTACTGAAACATGCTCATGCAAAGACCAGGTGTGAGATAAAACTGGAGGCTGCAGACGCCTCTCTTAGTCTGTGTTATAAGGGCTGGGTAGAGGGCCACCAGGGAGGATCCAGGAAAGCTGATCTTGTAGTTAGAGAATCTTCATGGAGGGCTGGGAATTCATTAGGTGTATTGGGCTGTTTTTGTGTTGCTGTCCAAGGCTGAGTAATTTATAAAGAAAAGAGGTTTCCTTGGCTCATGGTTCTGCAGGCCGTACAAGCATGGCACCAGCATCTGCTCAGCTTCTGGTGAGGTCTCAGGGAACTTTCGATCATGGCAGAAGGTGAAGGGGGAAGCTGATGTATCACATGGCCAGAGAGGGAGCAAGACAGCTAGTGAGGGTACATCCTAGACTTTTAAACCAGATCTCATGTGAACTCACTTAGTGAGAGCTCACTTATCACCAAGAGGATGGTGCTAAACCATTCCCGAGGGACCACGGCCATGGTCCAATCCACAGGGCCTGCCTCCAACACTGGGGATTACATTTCAACATCAGATTTGGAGGGAATGAATATCCAAACCATATCATTAGGAGAGGGAGAAGAGTGGCTGGCTGGCAAACACATCAATTACCTGGTTGGGTACAGGGAGAAACCCACTGAGGCAGAACCCAGGATTCATTCATTCAATTAATTAGATACATATTGGATTCATTCATTCATTCAATTAATTAGATACATATTTTTTGAGTACTTGCTACATGCCGAGCACTCTTCTAGGGGCTGGGGATACCACGGTGAAGAAAACAGACAAAAGTTACTGTCCTCATGGGGCTGAATTCCCAGCGCTATGTTGTGGCTCCATTTGTTTGACTATGAAACCTCATTTAGGTTTCAAGATCCTAGCCTCATCATTGTGCTTGGTTGCAAATGGCTCAGGTAGGATCTTCCCTTCACTCCCTCCTTCTTTCTGTTTTCCTTTACACAACCCTGGAGTTATTATCATGTTTCTCAGTGGTCAGATCCAAGACTCTTCTTAAGAAAGATCCCAAGTTCTGGTGGCCATCACTCTAGGGCTCCCAGGTATATAGTGACCATCTCTCAGGGCTTCCTTGGCCTTGATAAAGGAGAGACCTTTGGATCTGAGGTCATAGACGATACCTACCTACCCATCTCCCATATTTTTTCTCACTGCTTCCAGGGAGACTGACTACATGCTGAAAAGCAAACACGAAGGTTGAATCTTAAAAGCAGGCAGAGAGAAAGACACAACAGACTGACAACTGACTTCTCAAGTGAAACTATGGACTCCAGAAGACAGTTAAATGATATCTTCAAAGTTCTGAAAGAATAACTGCCAACTAGAATTCTGTGGAAAGAAAAATAAAAGGAAAATACAGACACTTCTAGAAAAAAAATGTGATAAATCTCACACCAACTGACCTGTAGCAAAGGAAATACTAAAGGGTATGCTTCAGGCAGAAGGAAAATGAACTCAAATGTAATCTGAAAGACACAGAAAGAAATGAAGAGCAATAGAAAGGATAAATTTGTGTGTAAATTTAAATTTAAATTCATTGCATATACAACAAAGATAATATCTTGTATGGTTTAATATGTGTAGAGAATTAAAATATCTGACAATAATAGCATATGGGAGAGGATGGTGGTAAATAGAATTAAAGCAGCCTAAGGTTCTTGCATTATCCAGGAAGTGGTAGAAGTACCACTTATTTGTATCAGACTTGATAAGTCAAAGATATATGTTGATATATGTTGCAACCACTAAAAAAATAGTAAAAACACCAGAGTATTACTTTAAAAAGAGTGGGTCAAAATGGCACTGTAAAAACATTGAATCAATCCAAAAGGGGGCAAGAAAGGATAATAGTACAGGCAGAACAAGAATAAAGCAAATAAGATGGTGGATTACAACCCAACATAACAGTAATTATAATAAATATCGAAGGGCTGGCTGAGTGTGGTAGCTTATGCCTGTAATCCCAGCAATTTGGGAGGCCAAAGCAGGAGGATTGCTTGAGCCCAGGAGTTTGAGACCAGCCTGGACAACATAGTGACATCCTGTCTCTACAAAAAATAGAAAAAATTAGCCAGGCCTGGCGGTGTGCACCTGTAGTACCAGCTATTCAGGAGGCTGAGGTGAGAGGATTGCTTGAGCCCAGGAGGTTGAAGCTGCAACAAGCCATGGTCATGCCACTGCACTCTAGTCTGGGTGACAGTGTGAGACCCTGTAGAAGGAAGGAAGGAAGGAAGGAAGGAAGAAAGAAGGGAGGGAGGGAGGGAGGGAGGGAAGGAAGGAAGGAAGGGAGGGAGGGAAAGGAAGGGAAGGACAGGTTATCATTCTACTTAAAATATATAATTTTCAGATCAAATAACAAAACCAAACCCAACTATATCCTGCTTACAAGACATATGACTTAAATATAAGTAAACAGAAAGATTGGAAGAAAAATGATAAAAGATATTGTGAGAAGAAAGTTGGCATAGCTATATTTCTAAAAAATGAAATAGATTTTAGGGCAAAAACCCATTACTAGAGTAGGTGATCCTTCATAATGATACCAAGTTCAATTTATCAGGAAGATAAAACAATTCTAAAGTTGTAAGAACCTAATAATATTGCCTTAAAATAAATAAGGCAAGCCTGGGCAACATGGCGAAACCCTGTCTCTACAAAAAATACAAAAATTTGCTGGGTGTGGTGGCACATGCCTGTAGTCCCAGCTACTTGAGAGGCTGGGATGGGGGGATCGCTTGGACCCAGGAGGTGGAGGTTGCAGTGAGCCGAGATCATGCCACTTTATGCCAGCCTGGGTGACAGAATGCGACCCTGTCTCAAAAACAAACAAATAAATAAACAAACAAACGAAGCAAAAATGACAGAACTAAAAGGAGAAATGGAAAATCCATAATCCTATATAAGGGAGATTTTTTTATATACCTCTCTCAATTACTGATAGCTCAAGTCAGGATGTAGGTTTTTTATTATTGCTGATAGACCCAGTAAGGATTTTTATATACATCTCTCAATTACTGATAGATCAAGTAAGGATAGAGGTTTTTTTATTAGTACTGATAGATCCAGTAAGGATATAGGTTTCTAATTTTTTTTATAGACACAGGGTCTTGCTCTGTTGCTCAGGCTGGAGTGCAGTGGTGCGATCATGGCTCAGTGTAGCCTCATCCTCCTGGGCTCAAGCACTCCTCCCACCTCAGCCTCCTGCGTAGCTGGGACTATAGGTGTGCACCACCATGCCTGGCCAACGTTTTAAATTTTTAGTAGAGATAGGGTCTCACTAAGTTGCCCGGCTGGTCTCGAACTCCTGAGCTCCAGTCATCCTTACGCCTTGGCCTCCCAAAGTGCTGGGATTATAGGCGTGAGCCACTGCATCTGGCCTAATACAAGAGATTTGAACAACATGGCTAATAGTTTTGAATTAATGGATATATACCGAACGCAGCTTTCAACAACTTCCAACATACATTCTTTGCAAGTGCAAATGAAACATAAAAACTGGTCCTATGTGAGGACATAAATAAAATCTCAACACGTTTCAAAGGACTGAAATCCAATATAACATAATCACTAACTACATTGAAACTAAACTTCAAATCAGCAATAAAAAGACAATCAAAGATCCCCAAATGTTTGGAAATTAAGCAATATTTTTCTAAATAACTTATGGTCAAAGAAGAAATCACAATGGAAATTAGAAAATATTTTAAACCGATAATAAAAATACTACATTGCGAAATATGTAGGATGCAGTTAAAACCAGACTCAAAAGGAAATTCATGGACTTAAATGCTTATATTAGAAATGAGAAAAGGCTTAACAATCAATAATTTAGGCCAGGCACAGTGGCTCACGCCTATAATCCCAGCACTTTTGGAGGCCGAGGTGGGCAGATCACTTGAGGTCAGGAGTTCAAGACCAGCCTGGCCAACATGGCAAAACCTGTCTCTACTAAAAACACAAAAATTAGTTGGGTGTGGTGTCACTTGCCTGTAATCCCAGCTACTCAGGAGGCTGAGGCAAGAAAATCACTTGCACCTAAGAGGCAAAGGTTGCAGTGAGCCAAGATCACGCCACTGCACTCCAGCCTGGGTGAGAGTGAGACTCTGAAAAAAAAAAAAAAAAAAAAAAAAAAAAAAAAATATATATATATATATATATATATATATACACACACACACACACACAACTCAAAGAGTTAGAAAAATAATAGCAAATGAAAGTAGAATGATAGATGATGATAGATACAATGAAGCTGTGAGCATAAATTAATGAAACAGAAAACAATAGAAAAGGTCCACAAATCTGGTCCTATGAAAAGAGTAAAATTAACAAGACTTGGTGAAAGTAACCAGGAAAAAGCAGAGAGAGAGAGAGAGAGAGAGAGAGACAGAGAGAGAGAGAGAAAGGGAAGGCAGACATAATCAATATCAGCAATAAAAAGGGAGACTTTAATACAGATTCTGCAAACATTAAAAAGATAATGAAAGGATATTATGAACAGTTGTATGGCAATATGTTTGAAAACTTAGATGCTGATATGTTTGAAAACTTAAATGAAACGGAAAAATTCCTTGAAGAACCACAACTTAAATTTGACACAGGTAGAAAATCTGAATGCAGTTGTCCTTCAGTATCTGTGGGGGAATCGGTTCCAGAACCACTCCCCCAATACCAAAATTTATAATTGCTCAAGTTCCTGATATAAAATGGCAAAGTATTTGCATATAACCTATCCATACCCTCTCACATACTTTAAATAACCTCTCAGTTACTTATAATACCTAACATAATGTACATTCTGTGTAAATCGTTGTTATATTGTATTTTAAAAATTATATTATTTTGTATAGTTGTATTATTTCTTGTGGCTTTTTTTCCCAAATATTTTTAATACACAATTGGTTGAATCTGGAACTCATGTGGGATCCATAGATCTGGAAGGCCAACTGTGCTCGTAACTTTTAAAGAAATGGAATCCTTTCTTAATATTCTTCCTACAAAGAACACGCTAGGCCCAGATGTCTTCAATTGTGAATTTCACCAAACATTACAGGAAGTAGTAACAGCAATATTACACAATCTTTTCCAGAGAATAGGAAAAGAGGAAGCATTTCTTAATATGCTTTATCAGGCTGAAAAAGCCTTGATACCTGACAAGGACATTACAATGAAAAAAAATCCCATGCCAATTTCTCTAATGAATATTTCTTGGATGAATAAAATATTAGCAAACCAAATCCAGAGCGATCCAAAAAATATTAAATCATGACCAAATTGGGTTTATTACAGAAAAGCAAGTTTGGTTTAGCTTCAGTGACTCAACAATGTTCATGTTGTCCTATAAAAAAAAAAAACAAAAAATCCCTCTCAGTTTAGTTCATCACTTTTATGGAATAAAGGAAAAAAGCATAAGACCATCCTAATTGGTATAGAAACCATTATTTGATAAAATTTATTTAGAAAAATGTATGTTTTTGAATTTAACATACAGTTTGAAAAAACTTTTAATAAAATGGGAATAGAAAAGGATTTTCTTAATCTGATAAAGAGAATTATGTTAGGGTTCTCCAGATAAATAGAACCAGAATGGATGGCCAGTATGTATATATGTGTGTATGAATAATATTTATGTATGTTTGTATGTATGTTGGCTCATGTGATTGTGGAGGATGGCAAGTCCCAGATCTGCAGGGTAGGGTGGCAGACTGGGGTCCCCGGGAAAAGCTGATGTGTGTGATTGATAATGCTAAGAATTGGTAAGGATGTGATGTAACTGTTAGGACTCTTATATATTGATGGTGTAAGTTGAAAACTATTTGAACACATGCACATCCTATGACCCAGAAATTCTACTTCCAGGTATATACCCCCTAAAATGCATTTATTTGATGCCAAAAGTCATGTATGAGAATGTTCTTAGGAGTATTATATAGTTACTCAAACCAGAAACAACCCAATGTCCATCACTGCTAGGCTGGATAAACAAATATTGGTTTACTCCTACTGTTACCCGAAAGGGGTCTCAATCCAGACCCCAAGAGAGGGTTCTTCGATCTCATGCAAGAAAGAATTCAGGGCGAGTCCACAGAGTAAAGTGAGAGCAAGTTTATTAGGAAAGTAAAGGAATAAAACAATGGCTACTCCATAGACAGAGCAGCCCCGAAGGCTGCTGATTGCCCAATTTTATAATTCTTTCTTGATTATATGCTAAACAAGGGGTGGATTATTCATGCCTCCCCTTTTTAGGCCATATAGGGTAACTTCCTGAAGTTGCCATGGCATTTGTAACCTGTCATGGCACTGGTGGGCGTGTAGCAGTGAGGATGGATGACCAGCGGTCACTCTTGTGTCTATCTTCATTTTGGTGGGTTCCAGCTTCTTTACTGCAACCTATTTTATCAACAAGGTCTTTATGACCTGTATCTTGTGCAGACCTCCTGTTTCATCCCATGACTTAGAACACCTAACCATTTGGGATTGCAGCCCAGTAGGTCTCAGCCTCATTTTACCCAGCTATTCAAGATGGAGTTGCTCTGGTTCAAATGCCTCTGACAATACTATAGTCTACTATTCAGCAATGATAATTAATAAATATGACACACCAAATAACATGGATGAAACTCACAAACAATATTGAGAGAAGAAACTAAACCCAAAAAGTACATACTATATGATTCCATTTATATAATGTTCAAAAACAGACAAAACTAATATAGTGTTAAAGATCAGGGTGGAGGTTACATCTGGGAAGGAGGAAGGGGTGGTGACAGCAAAGGGGCATCCAAGGGGTTCTGATACTGCTCATGCTTCATTTCTTCAGCTGAGTGTTGGTCACATGGCGCAGCCACTTTGTGAAATTCATTAAGAGTACATTGAAAAAAAAGAGAGAACTAACAGAAGGATGACTGAAAACAGCAAATATAGACAACTCTTTCTGGAAAGTGTGCTCTCAGGGGGAAGGGAGGGGGGAATGATCAGGAGCATTTTTTTTCAATTATTACTTTTTTTAAGGATGGGAGGATATGCTTGTTGCCGACGAGAATAATCCAATAAAGAGGGGAGAACTGATGCCAAAGGGAGAGGCAAGAACTGCTGGAGTGATATTCATGAGGAATGAAGGCCTAGGCTGTAGTGCAAGAGTGGAGGGCAGGTCTTAGAGACAGGGCCCCCAGGTGCTGGGCAGAGCAGACAGGAGGGGAGGCGTGGAGTGGGGGCTTGCATAGGCACCTCCTTTTCTAGTTGCTCAGGCCTTCTCCCATGAGCACCGGGTGCTGTGTGCATACTCTCATTCCCAGTCTAGGCCAGGGATTAAATGGATTCTCTGCTTCCTGAAAGGTAGACGGGAACCGTCAGGTGGGAGCTCATGGCCAGGTCTGTGGCCTTTGGGCAAAGCACGCATGGCTGGGGAGGAGGTGGAGGTCCTTGCCTGAAATGGGCTTTGCCGGGGGGCGGGGGGGTTCTGTGGATTTCTGCCATCAGGGAGCCCCTGTCCTGGTTGCCTGGTTAGGGGTAGATCAGGGGACAGCCACCAGGTGCCAGCTCCCTCCTCCTCCCGGCGCCGCTTTGTGAGCAGTGGCTGCTGGGCCGCTCGCTACTCTCCTAGGACCTCAGGGCTCTCCCTGTGAGCGGAGGGAGGGAACTTTGGCCGCAGGAAGGACTGGAAGCCAGCTCGAAAAAGCACATTCCTTGGCAGGATAAAAAACTTTTTTTTTTTTTTTAAATAAGTGTAAGGACTTAACCTTTGCTAGGAAATGGTTGCAGTATTTTCCTTTAAATGAAAAGAGACCATTGTGATTGAAACTTCGGAAAACACACAACATCCTGGTGCCGTTCTCCAGGGCCAGCTCCTGAGTTCCGTGTTGGGCCAGCTCCGGTCTTTCCTCCGGATGGTCTCTCCTTGCACCACTGAAGGGGACAGAGGACTGTACTGGTCCCTGGAAGGCCAACCTTGGGCTGCTCAGCTTCTCTCACGGGAGAAAGCTCAGGAGAAGGCCTGAGACAGAAAGGGCTTGTTGTTGCTTACAGTGACCTCCACTCAGGTCCTGCTCCATAATTTGTGGGGCCCAGTCAAAATGAAAATGTGAGCCCATGGTTCAAAAAGTATTAAGAGTTTCAAGACGGCGACACCAGGGCATCAACTCAAGTGCAGGATCCTTCTGAGCATAGCCCCTTTTAAGTGAGTGGCCTTGTGTGACTGCCCAGGTCGCATGCCAGGAAGCTGGCCCAGCCTCCAGTGGACCACTCTTATTCTGCTGGCCAGGCCTGAGTTTCTGCAGCTTCTCTCTCATGGGGCACCTCCAGGCCTAGACACAGACCCCAGAGGATTCAGGGCAGGACTCAGGACTTCCTTCTGGGGTCCCAGCCCCATCCTTGGCTCCCATATACCACAACTGGCAACAATTTCCCAACCTGGTTCTTCACTTGATTTCTCCTCATGGTTTAGAGACAGTGCTTCCCGGTTGTGAAAACATTCTGGGTTTCATCTGCGCTTGCTTGTAACCCGGGGGTCTGGAGTAATTGGGAACACAGAACAGCTGCATTGAGTGCTGGTCTACTTGGCGCTCTTCAAGCTCTTTACAAGCCTCCTCGTAGGCCTACTGTAAATAGGAAAGTACAAACACATGCCGATTTTGCCGCAGATTAAAACCATCTCCTGCGCTCCCTGGATCGTAACACATAACAGTTTGTGTTTATGCAGCATTTATTAGCTTGCATGCTACTTAGGGACTTTCATAGTTCTCTGCTAGGCGAGGCCTTAGTATTTGGGCTCTCCAGCGTCTGGGAGGCACACCATATGGAGAGTTGTAAAGCCTCATTTCCAGGGTCAGCCTGACCGCACAAGGCCAGAGCCTCTCCAGAGCTGTGCTGTGCAATGCAGTGTGGCCACTTGCCACTTATGTCTCTTGAGCACTTGAAATGTGGCTAGTCCGAGTTGAGACATGTTGTTCATGTAGAGTACATACTGAACTTTGAAGGCTTAGTACAAAAAAAGAAATGTAAAGGATCTCATTAATTTTTGGAGGGGAGGGGGGCAGGGATAGAGTCTCACTCTGTCGTCCAGGCTGGAGTGCAGTGGTGTGATCTCGGCTCCCTGCAACCTCTGCCTCCTTGGGTTTAAGTGATTCTCCTGCCTCAGCCTCCCGAGTAGCTGAGACTACATGTGTGCACCACCATGCCTGGCTAATATTTTTGTATTTTTTTTTAGTAGAGACAGGGTTTGACCATGTTGGCCAGGCTGGTCTTGAACTCCTGACCTCAGGTGATCCACCCACCTTGGCCTCCCAGAGTGTTGGGATTACAGGCGAGAGCCACTGCACCCAGCTTTCATTAATTTTTCACATTCATTGCATGTTGAAATAATATTTCTTACATAATGAAGTAAAATCCATTACTAAAGTTAGTGTTACATGTTTCTTTTTCCTTTTTTAAATGCAGCTACTAGAAAATGTAAAATTATATATATGACTTGCATTTTTTTTTTCTTTTTTTGAGACAGGATCTGGCTCTGTCACCTAGGCCGGAGTGCAGTGGCATGATCACGGCTCACTGCAACCTCCACCTCCTGGGCTCAAGGGATCCTCCCACCTCAGCTTCCTGAGTAGCTGGGACTACAGGCATGCACCACAACACTCGGCTAATTTTTGTATTTTTTGTAGAGATGGGGTTTCGCCATGTTGCCCAGGCTGGTCTTGAACTCCTGACCTCAAGTGATCTGCCCACCTTGGCCTCCCAAAGAGCTGGGATTACAGGTGTAAGTCACGGCACCCGGCCTATGGCTGGCATCTTATTTCTGTTGGATAGCTCTGCTTAAAGCCTCTCTTTGTTGTATTTACATACACACACACACACACACACCATACAAACATATGCTCCTGAGCTACTGACAGGATCTTGGAAAGAAAACCAGGCACAGTGAGATCATGTGACTTAACCCCAAGTGTCACACTCTCTAGGAACATTCCTCAGAAGATCCCGTGGCCACCTAATACTACCAACCTAGAGGCTTTTATTTGGCCAATGGTAATCTGTCTGCCTTGCCTTTTAAAATTAAAAAAAAATTAATTTAACACCTGTTTATTGAACACCTATATTTGCAAGGGAGTATGACTTAGTGATTTCAGAGTGCAGGCTCCAGAGACCACATGACTTGGATTCTAGACCTGGCCCTACCAAATGAGCTATATGTCCTTGAACAAGTTTGCCTTCTTCATGCCTTGGTCTTCTCATCTGCAACGTGGGAATTATGACATCCAAAGGACAGAATCAGGATGGTGACCCAGGTTTCTACTTCATGGGCTTATTGTGAGGATTGAATGAGATGAGGCACAGAACACCCTTGGCCTGGAGTCATTCTGCTGTAGGCAGCCATGGGCCTGATCTGGCCCCTGGACTTTCACAGGGCTCAGCAGACTCTGAGGAAGGGAGGGAACCATGATCCCAGAGAGGCTCCAAGACAGATTGGAAAGACCATCCTAGGTAAAATGTAATGTCAAAAGTTAGGATTCGGAAAGGTTCCCAGTCACAATGTCAAGCTGGAAGGCCCAGGGTAGGAGGGTCTGGAGTGGGGCTAGGATTGATTCTGGGAAGCCAGAAAATGAGTGAGAAATAGACAGTTCTGCTCTTAGTCACCTGAACTCAGAGCATCCCCTCACTGGGGCCAAACCAATGGCC
Organism: Homo sapiens; assembly: GCF_000001405.40. Taxonomy (NCBI): domain Eukaryota; kingdom Metazoa; phylum Chordata; class Mammalia; order Primates; family Hominidae; genus Homo; species Homo sapiens. The sequence continues at coordinate 42,878,511 of NC_000002.12, forward strand.
AAGGCTGAGGAAGTGGGCCCAATCACATTCCAAGTCCTACATTGGGCCTAAGTAGGCAGATCTGGAGTGTTGGACCCATTTCCTCTTTGCAGTCTTGTCCCTGTAAGGCAACTGCATTAGGGTAATGCGGGTTGATGAAACAAATGAATCCCAAAATTTCAGTGGCTGAACATAATAGAGGCTACTTGTCACTCACATAACAGTCCACTATGGGTGCTCCTGGTCGGTAGGAGGGCTTCCACGTGGTGAGTCAGGGATCCAAGCTCTTTGTACCAAATGACTCTACCCTCCCTTAGGCCTGAGTCCTCTGCATCTAGAGAGCAGACAGGAAAGAGTGGGTGGAGAAGACACAACCTCTTCTAACCACCTTGGCCTGAATGTAACATGTATCATTAACTTTATGTTCAATCTGTGACAACTAGTCTCATGGGCCCACCTAGATCCAAGAGTGGCTGGGAATTGCCGGCTCTACACGATAGAATAGAGAGACTCGTTTCTGGCGGGCATCTCTGCCAGCTCCCACTCTGTAGGGAGAGCCAACCTAGCAGCCTGGCCTCCCTCCCCACCAGTCCCCCTAACTTCCCTAAGGCATTTGCCAGTCACCATGCCCAGGCCAGGCTTCTGAAAGGAAATAGAGGGAAAAAATCATGAACACTTCTAAGGGAATAATGACACAACAAGCACACTCAAAGAGACAGCACACACACCATAGTCTCAGCACTTCAGGCATCCTTGAGTGGTTCCAAAGGCCTCCTTCTCAGAGCCCTCAAACCATACCCAGGCACTGGCCTTGAGAGATATTGAGCTCAGTGAGCCAAGCCAGGCCTGCAGTGCTGTTCTGAGGAGGATGCAGGCAGGTGGAGGCGGGACCAGCAAAGTCTTCCTAGAGCTCCCCTGTCCTGGCCACAGACAGCTTAGAGAGATCTCAGGGGGACCTCTTGGTCTGCTGAGCCACTTTCCCGGTGTGCCCTGGTTATTGCACTGGCAAAATCCCAAGTCCTTACTGGCCAGGACTGGATCAAAGGGGAGAGGTGTGTGTGGGGTCGAGGGCAGGTCTCACTTATTATCCAACACAGGCGCGGTGCTTTTAACCAGTGCTTCTTCCACACCTGCTGGCAGCTGGGGAGGGGCGCAAAGAAAAACCAGACCCACTGAACCTCAGGTTGCTCATGATTTTGTGGACAAGATGGCCAGACATCAAGGACTTCTGTCTGATGCAGAGAATGTGTCATGCCTCTCAAAGAGGGGAAGTGGTGAATGCCAGAGGGGCACTCATAAGTGAGTCCATCTTCATTTTGGGACAATCGGAGAAGGCTTCCTGGAGGCTGAGTTTTAAAGGATGGGAAGGGAAAGAATCTCCTCAGGATTCCCAGCAGTGTTTCCCTGTGCGTGGGACATTATGGTTGCAAAGCTGGTGAGGCAGGCAGGGCAGACAGGAAGGCAGGGCCAGTCACCTCCACTGGACGGGGGAAGAGACAGAGGCCAGAAAGGCGGAGCTCCCTGCCCAAGGTTGCACAGGAATGTTGCAAGTAGGAATGCAGACATCTGGCCTACCAGTTCTGGGCTCTTTGTATGAGCTTGATAAGCATGTTTCTCCCTCAAGGCTGGTCCGGGCAGGTCCCCAGGTGGGGCAGGACACTCTCATGCAGGGAGCAGGTCCTCCTGGGGGCTTCTCAAGGCTGGGTGCTCAGCCTCCCCCGAAGAACATGTGTTTCCTGTTTTCCTGCTCCCTCTGGCTCAGGAAAGAGAACGGGTTTTCCTGAGCGGAAGAGCCTCAAAGACCTGGCCCGGGCCCAGAGAGCTCTACCGGTCAGCCCGCTCAGGGCTCTTGTTCCTCAGGGCAATGGGCCCCTCACCCACCCACCCGGCCTTCCAAGGACACTCGTGGCCATTATCTCCCCTTGCTCTCCCCAGACTGTCTTGAACCCAGGACCTTGACTCCCAGCTTGGTATTCTTGGAATACGCTTTGCTGATCCTCGGCCAAACCTGGAGTTTGTGCCGGTTTGGAACTGAAAAGTCAGGGCTGTGGGACAAGGACTTTGGCCAACCCTACAGCTGCTGGAGATTGAGAGTCCTTATACCTCCCCATCCCTGTCCCCACATTGTTTCCTATTGTCCTGGGATGGAGGCAGGGTACGGACGGTCAGTGGCCGACATCATCCCAGCTTTCCAGCCGATATTCTGTGGGCTTGGCACAGTCTGAGCTCCATCCATAGCTGCTCTGAAGCACAGAGTCTTTCGATGTGAATGCAACATCTTTCCCCACTGTCTGGTCCAGGGTTTTCCCTGCAACTTGGATGGAAGAGAGATATTGCGTGAAAGTGGAGGGAGAGTGAGTGAGCAGCCCAGGTCTGCAGAGCCACGGAGCCCAGCACCAGTGTGAGCTAGAAAGAGGCTAGCGGTGCCTGCTCCTTGTGACTCCCATCCTGTTGGTGGGGAATAAGAGGAAACAATTTTCTCCAATTCCTTAGCAGCCCCATCTCTCCCTACAAAGAGGAATCCTCCCATGTTCAGGCCTGTTGGAGAGCCTGGTTCTGTGTTTAGGAATTGCTGTTGGTGTGTGTGTGTGTGTGTGTGTGTGTGTGTATGTATGTGTGTGTGGTGTTTTCTGTAAGACGAGGCACTGGCTATGGATGAGCTTTGGAGTGGTGGAAGGTGTGTCTGTGTATGTGAGACAGTGTGGCTGCTCATATGTGACCCACGTTGTCCTGGGAGGCGATATTCAGGCCCTTCCTTGGCCTGCAGCCCATGGACAGGCCTGGAGTCCACAGCAGGAGACAACTAACTCTGAAGACTGGGCTATGGACTTTGAAGTCCTTCCTAGTGAGGGCTCCAGGCACAAGCTGCCCAAGTTTATTAGGTACAGGTTTATCTGGGGCTAATTTACCTTGTTAACATAATTGTGCCAGAGGATGCAGCCCTGAGGCCCTGCCTCAGTAATTACCCTTCTCTTGATCTGTTTCATCTCTAAGGGCTGTGCCTTCATGCAGAGCTTTGCTGGGCCCCCACTTGCTCCTTCCAAGGCCCCGGGAGGGGCCCTGGCAATGCTTTCACATTTTTGTAAAATTTGCAAAAGTATATTGTATCAACCACAATCATTCAAGGCTGCTGTTTCTTTTCACCCTGACTTCCCCTCTGTCACATTTCCCTTCTGTCAAGGGATATCGGAATAACTGTGGCATTTTGGGGATCCAGCTTAGGGAAGCTTGAATTGAGGGATGCATTTAATGTGGACAAATGGGATGTATTTATGTGGGATGCAATATATGTATATAATATTTCATGAGTGTGACTCTCAGTCACTTCCATGTATCATGACAATTATTGGGGAGGATTGGTTTCCAGGAATACTCCTACCACCCATGGTGTTGACTCACCTGGGGTGATGCAGCATGAATGTGTCCTATGGCTCTTAGTACAGGAAGCATGTAGGAAGTGGAAATGAAACAAGATTGAAATGCACACAGCCAGAAGCTGGTCTGTGGAAAAGTCCCTGTAGTCTTACAGCTCATGTTAGAGGTTTACTCCTAATTGACAACTGTGGTGATTAATTCTGTGTGTCAACTGGACTAGGTTAAGCGATGCCCAGATAGTTGATAAACCATTATTTTGGGATGTGTCTGTGAGAGTGTTTCCAGAAGAGATTTATATTTGAATTAGTAGATTAAGAAGACTGCCCTCACCAATGTGGGTGGGGATTATCCAATCTGTTGAGGGCCCAAATAAAACAAAAAGGCAGAGGAAGACAAACTTGTTCTCTGTCTCTGTTTGAGCTGAGACACCCATCTTCTCCTGCCCTTAGACAGTAGTGCTCCTGGTTGTTGGGCTTTGGACTTGGACTGAATTACACCACCAGCTTTCCTGGTTCTCTAGCTTGCAGATGGCAGATTGAGGGAGCTCTGAGCCTCTGTAATCACATAAGCCAACTCCTATAATCAATGTGTGTGTGTGTGTGTGTGTGTGTGTGTGTGTGTGTGTGTGTGTGTATCCCATTGGTTCTCTTTTTCAGGAGAACTCTGACTAATGCAGATTTTAGTATCAATAGTGGTTCTAGGAGAACAGAATTTTAAGGTTGAGTTTCCTGAATTGGTTCTGAGGTTTATGAGACTGGCCCTCTAATCTGATTGTTCATGGTGTTGGCTGTTTATAGAGATATGCAAAATATCTGCATTGGATACTTCTAATCAACCACTTATAAGAAGCAAGGAGCTACGTGACTTCATTTAAGATATTTCAAACATTTTTGGAAAATTGAGGAATATAATGACATTGGTTACTTGGTTACTTGTTTCTAATGTCATTGGACAGATTTGTAAAAGAAAAGGATGAGATCATGGATTCAAATTCCTAGCTCAAACAGTGCATAAAAGATCTTCTAGTTGTGCCCTGAAGGGCAACCTTATTTCAGGACTGAAATTGCTGAAAATCACATGCAAAACAAATCCTGTGACTGACTGAATGACAACTTCCCAGCCTCACATGGTCTCTACTGTTACAGTGAGGGCATTGACTGGGAAAGAATGATATCCTGTGAGTTGGGTGGGTGACCTATGGGAAGACCTTGATGAAGCTGGAGACCTTGAGCCTCTAAGTTCTCATAAGTCTTCTTTACCATGGAAGAGACTGGCCTACGCCCAGTGGAAGTGGCATCCCTACCCCCAGTGAAGTTGCCTACCCACCCTTAGCAAAAGTGGCTTCCTCACCCACAGTAGTGGGGATAAATCTTCATTGCCTGATGAAACAGTAATGGCCACCCCTGAAGCAGTTGCTATATAAGACAGGGCAGATTCACCCCTGGACCCACCTCATCAGCATTCTTTGCTTGTAGACCTATATCTAGACTCGAGTCCCAGAAGCCCCCTAAAGGTAAGGTACATAGTGTGACCCATGAGGAGGTGTACTGCCCCCAAAATAATTCCTTTATACAAGCAGAAATCTGGGGAACATGCATGGGAGTGGATATTGAGAGTGTGGGGTAATGGTGGAAGGAACATAAAGGTGAATCAGGCTGAATTTATTGCTATAGACCCACTAAGCAGAAATTCTGCATTCAATTTTGCAGGTGGGGGAGTTACAAAGGATTCTAACAGTTTGTTTGGCTGAAATATGGATCAAAAGGTAGGCCACCAAGAGTGAATTGGAAATGCCCGAGCTCCCTTGGTTTAACGCAGAGGAGGGGGTTCAAAGACTTAGGAGATTGGAATGTCCAAGTGAATCTGTCATTTAAGACCCCTTCACCCACACTGAGAAGGTCCAGAAGACATACCCTTTACCAGTATTTTGAGGAATAAATTTGTGAGGGGAGCCCCAGCATCCCTGGAGAGCTCTGTGGTCACTCTTTTCTATAGGCCAGACTTCACATTGGAAACCATAGCCACTCAACTGGAAATCTACATGCAACAGGGGGTAATTGGATTCCAAGGTGACAGGGCCAAGTGGCGGCACCCAGCCATCAAATGCAAGGTGGGTGTAGTTACCTTAATGCACAGCAGAGGCAAAGCACCAATCAGAATAATCCGGCTCATGCAGACTAGTATGGCATTGGCTAGTTAATCATGGTGTTCCTAGGAGTGAAATAGAGAAGAAGCTTACTAAGTTCTTTGTTGATTTTTCTAAGCAGAAAAGTTTTAAGTCAAGAGAACAAAAGTGTAACCCAAATCACCAAAACAGAGTCACAGCTCCTCGATCAGTTTTCAGACTTGACCAATTTATAAACCCAGAATCCCTTGAATGGAGGGGAGGCCGAGTCTCTTCAAGGAAGGACTCCCCTACAACATCCAAAATGTATGCTATTAGTCTTTCTCCCAGCCTTCTTCAAAGGGACCTTCAGCCTTCACCAGGGTAACTATGGATTAGGGAGGAGGAAATAATCAAATTTTCAGGGACTACTGGACACTGGGGCTGAACTGACACTAATTCCAGGAGAACCAGAATGTCACTGTGGCCCTCTAGTCAGAGCAGGAGCTTATAAAGGTCAGGTGATCAATGGAGTTTTAGCTCAGGTCCATCTCACTATGGGTCTTGTGGGTTCCCAAACCCACTCAGGGTTATTCCTCCCATTCCGGAATGTGTTCTTGGAATTGACATACTTAGCAGCTGGAAGAATCGCCACCTATGGAATGAGGGCTATTAATGGTGGGAAAGGCCAAGTGGGAGCCAGTGGAGCTGCCTCTACCCAGGAAAATAGCAAATCAAAAGCAATACTGCATTCCTGGAGAGATTACAGAGATTAGTGCCACCATTAAGGACTTGGAAGATGCAGGGGTGGTGATTCCCACTACATCCCCATTCAGTTGTCCTATATGACCTGGGCAGAAGACAGGTGAATCTTGGAAAATGACAGTGAATTATTGTAAGCTTAACCAGGTGGTGACTCCAGATGTGGTTTCATTGCTTGCACAAATTAACATGTGCCCTGGTACCTGGTATGCAGCTATCGATCTGGCAAATGCCTTTTTCTCTACCTCTGTCCATAAGGCCCACCAGAAGCAGCTTGCCTTCAGCTGTCAAGACCAGCAGTGTATCTTCACTGTCCTACTGTAAGGGCATATTAACTCTTTAGCCTGGCTGGGCACCATGGCTCATGCCTGTAATCCCGGCATTTTGGGAGGCCAAGGCAAGAATTCCTCGAGCCCGGGAGTTCAAGATAAGCCTGGGCAACGTGGTGAAACGCTGTCTCTACGAAAAATACAAAAAATTAGCTGGCCATGGTGGTATGCACCTGTAGTCCCAGCTACTTGGGAGGCTGAGGTGGGAGGATCACCTGAGCCCAGGAGGCCAAGGCTGCAGTGAGCCATGATTGCACGACTGCACTCCAGCCTGGGTGATAGAGTGAGACCCTGTCTAAAAAAGAAAAAAAGAAAGAAAGAAAAGAAAAAAACCCAACTCTACAGCCTATGTCATAATTTAGTTTGCAGAGCTCTTGATCACCTTTGCTTTCACAAGATACCTCATTCATTCATTTCATTGATGACATTATGCTGATTGGACCTACTGAGCAAGAAATAGCAACTACTCTAGACTTATTGATAAGACGTTTGTGTGTCAGAGGGTGGGAAATAAATCTGACAAAAATTCAGGGACCTCAGTGAAATTTCTAGAGGTCCAGTTGTATGGGGCATGTTGAGATATCTGTTATAAGGTGAAGGATGAATTGTTGCATCTGGCCTGTCCTACAACCCAGAAAGAGGCTCATGCCTAGTACATCTCTTTAGATTTTGGAAGTAACACATTCCTCCTTTGGGTATGCTACTCTGGCTCATTTACTGAGAGACCTGAAAAGCTGCTAGTTTTGAGTGGGGTTCCGAACAGGAGAAGGCTCTGCAATAGGTCCAGGTTGCTGTGCAAGCTGCCCTGCCACTGGGGCCATGTGATACAGCAGATCCAATGGTGCTTAAAGTGGCAGTGGCAGATAGGATGCTGCTTGGAGCCAGTGGCAGGCCCCTATTGGTGAATCGCAGGGCAAGGCTTTAGGATTTTGGAAGAAGGCCCTGACATAATCTTCAGATAATTACTCTCCTTTTGAGAGACAACTCTTGGACTGTTACTGGGCCTCAGTAGAAACTAAACACTTGACCATGGACCACCAACTTACCACGAGACCTGAGCTGCCCATCATGAACTGGGTGTTATCTGACCCATCTAGCCATAAAGTTGAAAGTGTTCAGTAACACTGCATTATCAATGGAAGTGGTATATATGTGATCAGGCCTGAGTGAGCCCTGAAGGCACAAGTAAGTTACATGAAGAAGTGGCCCAAATACCCATGGTCTTGACTCTTGCTACAGTACTTTCTCTCCCTCAGGCTGCACCTATGGCTTAATGGGGAGCCCCCTACTATCAGTTGACAGAGGAAGAGAAGACTTGAGCCTGGTTTATAGATGGTTCTGCATGATATCCAGGCATCACCTGAAATTGGACAGCTGGGGCACTACAGCCTCTCCCTGAGACATCCCTGAAGGACAGTGGTGAAGGGAAATCTTCCCAGTGGGCAGAACTTTGGGTAGTGCACCTGTGTACTTTGCTTAGAAGGAGAAATGCTCAGATACAAAATTATATCCTGACTCATGGGCTGTAGCCTATGGTTTGGCTGGATGGTCAGGGACTTGGAAGGAACACAATTGGAAAATTGATGACAGAGAAATGTGGGGAAGAAATATGTTGATAGACCTTTTCGAATGGGTAAAAAAATGTGAAGATATTTGTGCCCCATGTGATTGTTCATCAAAGAATGACCTCAGCAGAAGACAATTGTAATAGTCAAGTGGTGGCCCGGCGCGGTGGCTCATGCCTGTAATCCCAGCACTTTGGGAGGCCGAGGTGGGCGGATCACCTGAGGTCAGGAGTTCAAGACCAGCCTGGCCAATGTGGTGAAACCCTGTCTCTACTAAAAATAAAAATTTAGCTGGGCGTGGTGGCAGGTGCCTGTAATCCCAGCTACTCAGGAGACTAAGGCAGGAGACTCATTTGAACCCGGGAGGTGGAGGTTGCAGTGAGCCGAGATCATGCAATTGCACCCCAGCCTGGGCGACAAGAGTGAAACTCTGTCTTAAAAAAATAATAATAATAATCGTCAAGTGCTGAGGGTGACTCATTCTTTGGATACCAGCCAGTCAAGCTCTTTCCCTAGCCACTCCTGTCATTGATCAATGGGCTCATGAACAAAGTGGCCATGGTGGCAGAGATGGAGGTTATGCTGGGGCTCAGGAACATGGATTTCCCTTCACCAAGGCTGACCTGGCTACAGCCTCCATGGAGCGCCCAATCTGCAAAAAGTGGAGACCAACGCTGAGCCCCTGATATGACACCATTCCCCAAGGTGATCAGCCAGCTGCTTAGTGGCAGGTTGATTAGACTGGACCACTTCCACTGTGGAAGGGGCAGTGTTTTGCCCTTACTGGAATAGATACCCTGGATATGGTTACCTTCTTTGCACATGATACTTCTGCCAAAACTACCACATGGTGATTTACAGAATGCCTTATTCAACATAATGATATTCCACACAGTCACTTCATAACAAAAGAAGTGGCCCATATTCGTGGAATTCACTGGTCTTACCATGTACTCCACCATCCTGAAGAAGTTGGCTTGATAGAACAGTAAAATGGCCTTTCAAAGACTCACAACACCAGTGTGGTGGAAATACTTTGCAAGGCTGAGACAGGGTTCTCCAGAAGGCTGTATATGTTCTGAATTAGCATCTTGTATATGGTGCTGTTTCTTCCAGAGCCGGGATTCACGGGTTCAGGAATCAAGGGGTGAAAATGGGAGCAGAACCACTCATCATTACCCCTACTCATCTACTAGCAAAACTTTTGCTTCCTTTTCCCACAGTTTTATGCTCTACTGGTCTAGAGGTCTTAGTTCCAGAGAAAGAAATGCTTCCACGAGGAGACACAACAACGATTCCATTGAACCGGAGGTTAAAACTACCACTCAGCCACTTTGGGTGCCTCATGACGCTGAGTCAACAGGCAAAAAGGGAGTTACTCTATAGGCTCGGGTGATTTACCTGACTGCCATTGGGGAAATTGGACTACTACTCTGCAATAGAGGTAAGAAGAGTATATCTAGGATACAGGAGATCCTTTAGGGTGTCTCTTAGTATTACCATGCCCAGTGACTAAGATCAATGGAAAATGGCCAGGCGCAGTGTAATCATGCCTGTAATCTTTGGGAGGCTGAGGTGGGAGGATCACCTGAGTCCAGGAGTTCAAGAACAGCCTGGCTAATATGGTGAAACACCGTCTCTACTAAAAATATAAAAATTAGCTGGGCAAGGTGGTGGGTGCCTGTTATCCCAGCTGCTTGGGAGGCTGAGGCAGAAAAATTGCTTTGAACCCAGGAGGTGGAGGTTGCAGTGAGCTAGACTCCCTAAAAAAAAAAAAAAAGAAAGATTAGTGGAAAACAATAACACCCAATCTGGGCATGAATACTAACGGCCCAGACACTTCAGGAATGAAGGTTTGGGTTACCCAGCCAAGTAAAGAACCACAGCCATCTGAAGTTGAGGTGCCTGCTCAGCCTTGGAATAATGGAATAATGGGTAGTAGAGGAGGTAGTTACAAATAACAGTTATGACCACATTGTTACCGGGAAGGGGTCCCGATCCAGACCCCAAGAGAGTCTTTTCCCACAAGAAAGAATCTGGGGCAAGGCCACAGAGTAAAGTGAAAACAAGTTTATTAACGAGGTACAGAAACAAAAGAATGGCTACTCTGTAGACAGAGCAGCCCTGAGAGCTGCTGGTTGGCTATTTTTATGGTTATTTCTTGATCATATGCTAAACAAGGGGTGGATTATTCATGAGTTTTCTGGGAAAGAGGCGAAGAATTCCTGGAACTGAGGATTCCTCTTTTTTTTTAGACCAAATAGGTTAACTTCCAGATGTTGCCATGGTATTTGTAAACTGTCATGGCACTGGTAGAAGTGTCTTTTAGCATGTTAATTGCATTATAATTAGTGTAAAATGAGCAATGAGAAGGACCAGAGGTCACTTGCATCACCATTTTGAATTCAGCAGATTTTGGCTGGCTTCTTTAGGGCATCCTGTTTTATCAGTGGAATCTTTGTGACCTGTATCTTGTGTTGACCTCCTATCTCATCCTGTGACTAAGAATGCCTAACCTCCTGGGAATGCAGCATTATTTTAGTAGGTCTCAGCCTTATTTTACCCAACCCCTAATTCACAATGGAGTTGCTCTGGTTCCAGTGCCTCTGACAATGTGATCAGTTACAGAAATGAAAAGTAAAATTGTCATGAGTATTTTACGCTTATTTTGTTATGAATATGTTTGTGTGTACGTATACATATATTAAGCAAATATCTTTGTTTTCTTTTCTCTCTTATCATGTAACATGGGGTATTGCCCTTATGTCATTGACATGCCATTAATAAGGTATTGGCCTTATTAATACCTTATTAGTATTTGAGTGCTGTTAATTTTATATCATAGTATTTAAGTTGTGGGATATCAGAAGAGTAGATATCACTTAAGGACTTTACCTCCTCTTCTAGGAAAGGAATTCTTGCATTTTCAGTTGTATGGGGGATAGTTGTATCATATTAGGCAGAATTATTATAATCACCCGATAGGTTCTTCCTGCCCACTTCAAGACAAAACCAATTCACTGAGACCATGGCATTGCAATAAAGAGTTTAATTGATGTGAAGCTAGCCATACCACATGAAAGACAGAGTTATTACTCAATTCAATCTCTCTGAAAATTCGGAGGCTGGGGTTTTTCAAGGATAGCTTGTCAGGCCAGGGAATGAGTGCTGCTGATTGGTTGCAGATGCCAACACAGGGGTGTGAGAAATGGTCCTGAGAAAATGTGCTGAGTCCGCTTCTGGGTAGGGGTATGGGGCTGGGTGGAGCCATCATTTGTCAGAAATGCAAAAATCAGAAAAGATGTCTCAAAAGGCCAATCATAGGCTTTAAAATACTGATGTTATCTGCAGGAGTAATTGGGGAAGTTGCAAATCTTGTAACCTCCAGAGTAATGGCTGGTAATCATTTATGTCTACACTTTAGCACGTATTCAGGCTCCTCATCCTCCTAACCTGGTGGTCTTTCATTAGCTTTACAAACACAGATTAAAGAGCTGCTATCATTTAAACTATAAACTGAATTTCTCCCAAAGTTATCTTGGCCCAAACCCAGGAATGCCTGAGGGCAGTGTGGAGGTTAAAGGCAAAATGGGGGGTGGTTAGATCAGCTCTCTGCCACTGTCATAATTTTCTTATAGTTATAATTTTTTGCAAAGGCAGCTTTATTATAACCTTGTTATTGAAACTGCCTTTGCAAAATTATGACTGAGATGGTGAAAGAGGTTGAACTTAACCGACTCCATCTTGCTTCTAACCTCCAAGTTGTCGTTGTTCATTCCTGGGCGTAGGCTGAACTAACTGTAGGAGAAACTCAGTTTATAGTGTATAGTCTAAAACAAAAGACCATAACAGCTCTTTCCCAAAGCAGACCTCCTTCTTGCCTGGGGACTAGATTGCCTTTGTAGGGCTACTCTTAGCCACAAGATTAGAAATTATGGTTTAGGTGTCGTGCAGCTGGATTCTACAAGATTCTGACCCTCCCTAAGCTGCTCCTAAGATCAGTGCTTGAGGTATTTTGCAGACCCTGCACTTGATAAATCAGCTGGCATCACCCAGATCAATAAACTGGCTCATTTGATATTGTGGTCCCCACCCAGGAACTGACTCAGCACAAGAAGACAGCTTCGACTCCTTACGATTTCATCTTTGACCAATCAGCCTCCTGGCTCACTGGCTTCCCCCCACCCACCCAGTTGTCCTTAAAAACTCTGCTCCCTGAATGCTTGAATGCTTGGGGAGACTGATTTGAGGAATAATGAAACTCTGGTCTGCTGCATAACCAGCTCTGTGTGAATTACTCTTTCTCTATTGCAATTTCCCTGCCTTGATGAATTGACTCCGCCTAGGCAAGTGGGCAAGGTGAACCCCTTCGGCGGTTACATTATTGTCTTTATTTGGTGATAAACTGTGGTATAAGAAGATGTGTATGGGTGCCAAGTTGCCAAGGAGTGGACTTGGGATAGTTAATTTTATGTGTCAATATGACAGAGCTAAAGGATGCCCAGATGGCTGGTAAAAGATTATTTCCAGGCATGTTTCCAAAAGAGATTAGCATTTGAATGGGTAGGCTGAGTAAAGAAGATCCCCCTTCACTGGGGTAGGGACCATCCAGTTGGTTGAGGGTGGAATAGAAGGAAAAGGTGAGGCTGGGTGCGGTGGCTCACGCCTGTAATTCCAGCACTTTGGGAGGCCGAGGCAGGCGGATCACGAGGTCAGGAGATCGAGACCATCCTGGTGAACACGGTGAAACCCCATCTCTACTAAAAATACAAAAAAATTAGCTGGGTGTGGTGACGGGTGCCTGTAGTTTCAGCTACTCGGGAGGCTGAGGCAGGAGAATGGCATGAGCCCGGGAGGCGGAGCTTGCAGTGAGCCGAGATCGTGCCACTGCACTCCGGTCTGGGCGACAGAGCGAGACTCCATCTCAAAAAAAAAAGGAAAAGGTGAAGGAAGTGTGAATTCACTCTCTCTGTTACTGGAAAGAGGTCCAGATACAGACCCCAAGAGAGGGTTCTTCGATCTCTCACAAGAAAGAATTCAGGACAAGCCCGTCAAGTGAAAGCAAGTTTATTAGGAAAGTAAAGGAATAAAGAATGGCTACTCCAGAGACAGAGCAGCCCCGAGGGCTGCTGGTTGCCCATATTTATGGTTATTTCTTGGTTATATGCTAAACGAGGGGTGGACTATTCATGCCTCCCCTTTTAAGACTATATAGGGTAACTTCCTGAAGTTGCCTGGCATTTATAAAATGTCATGGTGCTGGGGGGAGTGTAGCAGTGAGGACGACCAGAGGTCACTCTCGTTGCCATCTTGGTTTTGGTGGGATTTGGTCAGCTTCTTTACTGCAGCCTGTTTTATCAGCAAAGTCTTTGTGACCTGTATCTTGTGCCGACCTCCTATCTTATCCTGTGACTTAGAATGCCTAACCGTCTGGGAATGCAGCCCAGTAGGTCTCAGCCTCATTTTACCCAGCCCTTATTCAAGATGGAGTTGCTCTGGTTCAAATGCCTCTGATATCTCTGTTTGAACTGAGGCATGTATCCTCTGCCCTTAAACATCATTCCTCCACCCTCATTCTCAGGCCTTCAGGCTCAGACTGATCTATATATTGTATTGGTTTTGTTTCTCTGGAGAGTATTGACTAATTCAACACCTATCCTGAAAATTCACACATTCGTTGTGAAGCTGAAATAAACTTTTCTAAACTCTCAGTAACAAAGTATATATTTTGAATAAGGATGTTAGAGGAAGCACCATTCTATCTCTCTATAGAAAAATATACTATGAAATCATTGACATATGGTGAGGCAATCAAAGAGAACACAAAGCCAAAAATATAGAGAAAAGAGTATTATAAAGGTGTGTTGGCAAGTTGATTTATTAAAATATTATATTTCTGGTTTTTGTGTATATCTCAGCTTTGAAAAATGTATTGGTTGATGTGACTTCTAGGAAAGAATGAGAGGCATTTTAAAGGTGGCGTGATCTTGGCTCACTGCAACCTCTGCCTCCCAGGTTCAAACGATTTTCCTGCCTCAGCCTCCCAAGTAGCTGGGATTACAGGCACCCGCCACCATGCCTGGCTAATTTTTGTAGTTTTTAGTAGAGATAGGGTTTCACCGTGTTGGCCAGGCTGGTCTCGAATTCCTGATCTCAGGTGATCTGCCTACCTCGGCCTCCCAAAGTGCTGGGATTACAGGCGTGAGCCAACGCGCCTGGCCGAATATTCACTTTTAACCTAGTTTTGTATTAATAATTTTGTGTTCTGTTTCCTAAAGAGAATCCCCTAAGTTGTATAAGTTCCAGGCTTTATAAAACTTGGATCCACCTTGGTGCTGCTGACATTTGTCTGTGGGGATGGGTGAGGGAGATGAATGTGCCTTGAGACTCACCCAAGGGTGCCCTGCATCAGGGAGGCAGAGCTAGGGAGTGGCCCAGGGGACTTGCCTGCTGTCCTTGTGTTCCCTGGGGCCTCTGAGTGACCCAGGAGGACCTGCTGGAACCACTGGGCTCCTTTGCAAGGCTCCCGTGGACTGTCAGAACTTCCTGAAGGTAGGGGCTGGGTGAGCTGGTCTCCTGCAGGCCCTTAGATCTCTTTATGTGTGTGTCTCTGGTGAGGGCAGGAGGGCCACAGAGAGAGGAGAGGTGCTCTTACCACCACTGTCATCAAGTATCTCTATCAGTGATTATTTCCTGAATGTCCTTCACCCCTGCTAGACTGTGAACTCCATCGTCTCCCCAGAATCTAGCTCAGGGGCTGGCACAGAGTAGTGCTTAGTTAACCTTCACTCCCCCAAAATGAATTGAATAAATAAACACAGGCATCACTACGTTCCCACACATTCATGTGTGCAAACTGTGTGTAAGTATTTGCAGGGAGGGGGTTAAGGAAGGAGGGAAACAGGGCTCTGAGCCCTGTCACTTACTTGGTTCAAAGTCCCCCTGCTTTTGCTGTGTTTTGACATTTTGGTTCCCTCAATAGAAGATGCAGACAATAGAGGCCAGTCTCGGTGGCTCTCGCCTGTAGTCCTAGCACTTTGGGAGGCCAAGGATTGCTTGAGCCCTGGAGTTTGAGACCAGCCTGGGCAACATAATGAGACCCTGTCTCTACAAAATGTAAAAAAAAAAAAAAAAAAAAAAAAATTGGGTGTGGTGACATGTGCCTGCGGTACCAGCTACTAGGGAGGCTGAGGTGGGAGGATCACTTGAACTCAGGAGGTTGAGGCTGCAGTGAGCCATGATTGCACCACTGCACTCCAGCATGGGTGACAGAGCGAAACCCTGTCTAAAAACAGAAACAAAAACAAAAGAAGTTCCCTATGAAAGAAAAGATTTGGAAACTACTGATCTAGAATAAGACATTATAAAACCAGTTTTCATTAGTCTCTCTATGTGTATTTTAAATTATCACATACCAGTTGCAATACTATTAGTTTGTATTTTTATAAACCTAAAATCAGAGTAATTTGTCTTAAAACCACCAAGAGTGTTGCTATATGCTACATTAAAACGCCAAAGATATACCATTTAGATAGCTTTAAAAATAATTTTTATTTTTTACATTTCCGTAATTCTCAAGAGGAGAAAAAAATGCTAATCAGAATAGCAAAATAGCAAAACAGTTCCTGAAGCTCTAGTTCTAGTTCAAAGAACATAAGACTGATGGTGTGGACATCTCCCTCTATACCTCTATACCCGATGAGAGTAAAGAAGGCTTAAAACAAAAACAAAACCCCAAATACACACTTACTATCGGAAAAATATCTGTCTCTACCCACTCCTGCCAGAAAAAAAATAAAAAATATTTTCTCAAAGTTATTAAACAAGATAGGTCCCCCCCTCCACAATCATGGTGTTAGTATCTGTTGTTAGTTTGTAACTTTCTCCTTGCTGTTCTGAGACCGCTGTTATGGCAGTGGGGCAAATTTGCATACAAAATGTGCTTCATTTAATGATGACACCTTTAATTGTTTTTCTTTTTTTTAGGATTGTACTAAAAAAGATGAAGTGACATTTAATTTTTTAATTTCACAGTTAATTACACATTCTTATCTTTTGAATGATGATTTATTTTTTAAAATTTTGTCCTTTAATGATTTGTTCTGATATGATATTATGTTTAATATTTATAGTTCTATGAATGTATATTTTACATAATGTTTTATAATGGGTTCATTAATTTTTGAAGTTAAAATATTTAGTTTCACTGATTTAAAGATGTATTAATAATTCTGAACACTTAAAATACAAGGAGCCTCTCAGAGCCTATTCTGGTTTAGAAGCTGCTGGTTACAAAATTAAAAAAAGAGAATACCTGTATTAATTCTGTTTGGATGTTATACAAAAACTAAGTACAGCCCATGTTGCAAGGGCTATGTAAAACATAACCCCCTCCTTACACAGAGGACAAAGCTATGCTTAGAGAAGTTAAGGGGATTTACCCCAAGATCACATGGCTATTTTTATTATTTATTTATTTATTTTTAGAGATGGGGTCTCATTATGTTGCCTAGGCTGGTCTAAAACTCCTGGGCTCAAGTGATTCTTGCATCTCAGCTTCCCAAAGTGCTAGGATTACAGGTGTTGAGCCCACACGCCTAGCCACATGGCTATTTAGTGAGTGGCAGAGGATGGTGTATGAATTCAGCTCTTCCTATGCTAAGTCTACAGGATGTGTCCCCTCCCACACTGCCCCTGGCCCTTCTGACTCAGGGACACCAGTGTGGTTTATGCTCATCTGTCTCCCTGACTGCATCCCTGTTGAAACCTAATGCAGGACCACGAGGCTGTGTTCCATTGCTCTTAGGGATGATGAAACCATAGATCCCAATAACCCCTCTCTCACTCATCAGCTCCCAGGAACCCAGAGGGCCACATGGGGGAGGGAGGGATGCAGGACCCCAAGAAGAAGGGTAAATGGAAGCCAAGAGCCAATTGCCAGTTACAGAACTGTGTCGTCACATCGCGGTGCTGTGATTCATGGTGTCCCACACTGTTTGCTGTGTACTGAGTTGGTGCTGTATTCTCACTTTGGGTTATGTGTTGCAGGGAGTGGGGAACCTTCTTTCACGGCCCAGTCCCTGGGTGGCATTGTGTGTCACATGTGTCATGTGAAGGCCTAGCTTAGAGCACTTTCCCAGACAGACCCCAGGGCTGGTCCTGGTGACCCTGATGTATCCCATAGTTTCACTCTGGGTCTGACTTGCTCATAAACATCTCCACTCTCAACTCCCAATTCGCAAGCAAAGGGCCCCATTCCTGGGCAGGCCCACCTGCTGGCCGTGCTACTAATTAATGACTGCTGATTGGCCCAAGAGGTGCACTCATTATGCCCAATAGAGATCAAAGCCAGATCCAATCATCTGCTAAACGAGATGTCAGATTAGGGCATTCTTCTGGGCTATTAGAAAGATTTTTCTCCCTGTGTAAAGGCCTGTCAGGGCATATGACCCTATCACCCGCCATGAGCTGAGCCGAGGGGGCTCTGCAGCCTTTCTGTTCCTCTTACTTTGAATGTGTCCTTTTAATGGGACAGCCCTGTGCCAGCAGCCTGGGCATGATCCCTGGAGAGACCACAAAGCGTGGAGGGGATCCCCTAGGGAAGTCGTGTTTCGGCAGTCACCTCTGCCTCTTTATTCTTGGGGTTGCTGGGTGATTAGAGGGAACTGCAGACTTCCCTGGGACCCTCTGCTTTCCGTTGTATCATGGACACTTGCCTCAGTTTACCCCCTAGGGCTGGGGATCAAGTTTAATGTTGATACCACTTTCTCAGGAGCTAGCCCCAGACTGACACTCATTTCAAACCATTGGTGCACTAGCCTGACTTTCTCAACCCAAGGGTAAGAATAGAGCCCCAGTTTTATTTATTTATTTATTTATTTATTTTAAATTATTTTTGGAGACAGAGTCTCACTCCGTCACCCAGGCTGGAGTGCGGTGGCACAATCTCAACTCACTGCGATCCTGGCTCACTGCAGCCTCCACCTCCCGGGTTCAAGAGATTCTCCAGCCTCCGCCTCCTGAGTAGCTGGGACTACAGGCGTGCAACACCACGCCTGGCTAATTTTTTTATTTTTAGTAGAGACGGGGTTTCACCATGTTGGCCAGGCTGGTTTTGAACTCCTGGCCTCAAGTGATCCACCTACCTCGGCCTCCCAAAGTACTGGGATTATAGGCGTGAGCCACCACGCCTGCGCAGGGCCCCAGTTTTTAGTGTTCATGCTAATAGCTATTACTGGTTACCATTGATCAAATGCAGAGTGTATCAGGCATTCTGCTAAGTGACTAAGTGCTGATTTTATTTATACTGCCTGAAAACATTACCAGTTAGGTATTATGAAAACCTGCTCTAATACACCAGGAGAGTGAAGCTTAGTCATTCATGAGTCACTCAATTTAGCAGCAGTTTCTGGGCTAGGTCCTGACTGGCTGAAGTCAATCAGCATGTTGATTGGCTTAGAGACAGGCAGATGGCCTAATTTTGGCCAGTGAGGGAGAACAAATCACAAGTCCTGTAAGGGAGACGTTGGAAAAGGAACTACATCTTCCTGGATGGTGTGATGTGAGGATGGTAGGTTTGGAGCTGCTGAAGCCATTTTTCTTTCACTGGTGAAGCATCTGGGCTGTTGCAGGGAGGGGTAGCATGGGACCACGTGAAGCCAACATCATGAATCTTTGGAAACATAGTTTTGGCAGGTGGACTGAGTTAAACTAGATGAGTGAATACATTGCTTTGATTGTTTGAGCTGGGTTGAGTTGGGCTTTTGAAACTTGCAAGTCAAAGACCCACACACGAATCAGAGACTGTAGCCCCTGTCCTGGAGGAACCACACCTGCCCAGTAGGTCTGGCCCACAAGAGGTAGCCCTGGAGTGCACTCACCTGGGAAGTCGGGAGACTGTTGAAAGCAGGTGCAACAGTCACCACTTGTCCTGATGGCTGCTGCTGATCAGGGCATGTCTGTGGACAACTGCCTGCTCTGCCAGCCTGATTGTGGCCTGATCTGTCACCTCTGCTTCTCAAGCCACACTTTGCCTGATCACCCATGGTACAGACACCCTCCTCCATCCTGCTTGGCCTAGTTAGGGTGCCTGGATCCAGCCCAGGCCTGGCTTAGCCCTCTATGTGGGTTAGGATTAGGTTTGACTGCAAGAAGTTTGACAGTGACTTAAACAAGAGAGAAGGCTATTCCTTTCCCACATGACAGTTCTAGAGGTAGTAGGATTCGGGCTGGTGCAGTAACTCAGCTCCACAGAATGCTCATTTGTACCTTTACTCTTTCTAGATCAATCAGCACTGCCAGCAATTTGTCTATTTTATCAGTCTTTTCAAGAGCCATGTTTTGGTTTTGTTGGTACTCGCTAAGCCCATTTTCTATTTCATTGATCTCTGTCCTTGTCTTTATTATTTCTTTTATCCAACTTTATTTAGGTTTGCTTTGTTGCTCCCTCCTCCCTAAATTCTTGAGCTGGACACTTAACCCTCTACTCGTTTTCTTACATGTGTCATAAATGAAGACTGCAATTTTCCCTCTAACATCTCTGGAACTGCATCAAGAAATTTAGAAATGTTGCTATTTTCATTATTGCTCAGTTCTAAATATTTTCTCATTTCTTAAATGTTTTGAACCAGTAAGTCTTCCTCTCTCTCTCTCTCTTTGATACAGGGTCTTATTCTGTTGCCCAAACGGTAGTGCAATGGCAAAACATCAGCTCGCTGCAACATCCACCTCCCAGGCTTAAGTGATCCTCCCACCTCAGCTTCCTGAGTAGCTGGGACTATAGGTGCATGTCACCATGCCTGGCTAGTTTTTCTATTTTTCATAGAGATGGGGTTTCGCCATGTTGCCCTGGCTGGTCTCGAGCTTCTGGGCTCAAGTGATCTGCCCACCTCAGCCTCCCAAAGTGCTAGGATTACGGGTGTGAGCCACCGCACCCAGCCAAGTCTTCCACTCTTTGCCAAGGGTTTCCCTGGGGATATCTTACTTCCTGCACCATCATCCTTATAAGTTTTTCACCAGTCTCTTGTTTGCCCCATCTGTTGTCACTATCTCAGGCATCTGTGATGCTAAATAGTTGCTGCTTATTGTTTTCTACAAATACCCTGAGGATAGGATTTTTTTCCTCGGTACCTGGACTATAAGACCAGTAAGCTTACAGGTTGTCCGTGTACCAGAGGTAGGTCCCCCCAGGCCCCGACTCTGCCGTCCACCTGGAGTATAGTCCTGCCTTTATGTGAATATCTTAACTTTAGCCATTTGCTCTCTGGTTATCAGGGCCAGTAACTCCCTGCCCCCACCAGTCTCTACAACATCACTCACCACAGTTAAAATTTTGATTTTTAGTTACTTCTTTGTTTTTTCCTCCAGATTAATTCTGTTTACTTTCTTGAAAGCTCAGCTTCGCATTTAAAAAGATGTAATATTTTACTCAGTATTTCTAGAAGAATGAAAGACCTCATTTTCTTAATGAATGAATTTATTTCAAACATACAGAGAAATAAAGAATCATGTAACAAAAGCCCATCTGCCTACTTCTTAGCTTTAAGAATGTTTACATTTAATCACATTTAATTTAAAAAATTGAAAGGAAGTAATGGTATATCTGAGGTCCCCTTTATGCCCCTTCCTTATCTCATACCCCTCCTTCTGTCTCCAAAGGTGATCAATATTCTGAAATGAGTGGGTATCTTTTTCCCCTATGTACGGATGCATTTTCCACATAAGGAGTATGTCAATTCATGAGTTTAAAATTTACATAATGCCATCTTTGTAAATATTCTTCTGCATTTTTTTAATTGTTGACCAAAATGGTTATCTAGGTTTTTCCATGTAGATACATCGAGCTCTAGTACGTTCACTTCAACCTAGGTATAATGTTTCATTGTATGAAAATATCTCAATTTATTCATCCTTTCATCTATTAGTGGATATTTGGATTATTTCTAATTTTTTGACACTACCTAGAAAGCTGCACTGTCTTTGTGCATATTTCCTTGAGTTCACCTGCAAAAGTTTCTACCATATAGAAGTGTAACTGCTGGATGGTAGAATGCACATCTACAACCACAGGTGATCTCCCTCATAGAGTCTCTTGTGGTTCTCTGGCTGGAAGTAATATTCTCTTGCCCCACTGTGGAGTGCTGTTTATTTCTATTCCGTTGCATTACCTTCACTTTGCCTTGTGCCATGGTTTGTATGCATGTCCCCTCTCACCAACTGAAATCCACAAGATTCAATTTTCCTGGAGGACATGTTCATTAGAGCATCCCCCATGGGGGCACATACACAGTAGTCACTGGATAAGTATCACTGTTTAAAAACCTGTACCAGGTCGAAGTTCACCAGGGAGGCTTCAACTTTCCATCTTTCTCCCTTGAGTATTTAAACTCAGCTAAGTTCCTCAAATATTTTTGAGCAAGTCTGGAGATGAGTATCATGAGATGGGTTTGGGTTGGGATCAAGGTTGTCTCCATGTGGAAATTTTGGCTAAACCCTTCTTCCTGCTGTGAAATGCAAGCTTCCTCATGAGCTGCCAACTCAGGCAAACATCTTTGATTGTGGGGAAGTGGGCATTTGAGGTTTGTAATAATTTGGATATGGCTGGGGGGATGTTAGCCTTTGTTGAACCAACCCTTTCTTCGTGGAAGTACAAAAAAGGTAGTAAGAAAATGGTGTCAGGAGAGACATTCAAACAAGACATTTTAAAACACATGTGAAGCTCGCTCATTCACATATAAACAAGTGCTTTGCTGGTTATAGCTGATTCTTAGCTGGTCCTTGAAGCAGTTCCCCAAGGGCCTCTGCTGGTCACACATGGTTCCCATTTACCATATCTATTTGAAAGTCGTAAAACTGCCTTTCTTCAAAAGTACTGTAAAGCACAATAATTCACTCTCATCTGCCCCTAGGTTGTCCAGATCAGCTCGTCCAACAGTTTCATGTGATCACAGTTATCCACAGCCCCTCATGAAGGCACATTCTGTCCAGACGGGAAGAAACCATTGGCCTACCAGCTTAAAATGACAGCAGAGTTCAGTGCATACCTCCTTGGACAGATACATCTGCCCTGCACACTCAGTTGGCAGCCCTGACTCAGGCACCATCCCCTGCATGCAACATGTTCACCTTGGGTACACGTGGCACTGCTCACTGTTGCTGGGGCCTGTGGATGGAAGTCCCACCTTCCTGGTCAATATAAGAAGACTGGAGAGAGCTAAGAGTTGGTGGTGTTTGGGGGAGTGTGCAGCTCTCATACAGAGGAAAGCCTTGTCTTCCCATCCAATGGGCAGGGGGGAAAGAGCCCTTTCTCTTCCTTAAAATCAAAGGAGGGGACACCAAGTGACCCTTTCTTAAAAGTCCCATTATGCATGTTTCCTGGATCAAAAAAACATTCGCCCACATTTACATTTCTTTTTGGAAAGTTTTAAAAACCTTTTGAAGGTGCTTGCAAAATGCTTTTTATAGTTTGAAGGTACTTACAAAATAGGAGGATGGAATTTCCAGTCCACCCTTGCATGACCTGAGCAGGAATTTCAGTTCACCCCTGTGTGATCTGAGAGTTGGCAGAAGGAAGGGGAGAGTACCTCTCTCACTCTGGGCAAGACTGGGGCTCCTGTCTTAGTTTGGACTGCTGGAACAGAATACCATAGACGCAGTGGCTTAGAAACAACAGACATGTACTTCTCACAGTTCTGGAGGCTGGAAATCCAAGATCAAGCACACAAAGCAAGGCAAAGATGCTGTGAGGAAGAGGCTGGTCTCTGCTTTGCCTCAGTTCCAGTTTCCATTCCTCGCCACACACATCCTTACAAACGGAATGCCTAGAAAGCTGTGACTCACAGGGTCCCTTCTCTCAGTGGTGTTGCTTCAAAAGAACAGAGCTGAGAAACCAAATCTTAGGTCATTATAACTTCAGTTCTTTCCTTGTATTTTGCAGTCCCAAAGGGGGATAGCGGACCACATGGAGACCTCTTAGCCCACCCCCCATTTCTCTATCAGCCTCTGTGCCTCCCTGGGCACAATTCTTTCTCCTCCAACCTCAGAGCTACCCCCAGCACTAGCCCAGCACCTCTCTGATCTTCCTCCCCTTTCCCTTTTGCTTCCAAGTTTGTGTTTCTGTTCCAAAGAACCACTTTGCAAGACAGGCCCTCTTCAAGGGTGAGGAGTGAAGGGAAGATGTGGGCCAGTCAGAGCTCCCTTAGCAGGAAAGGAGAGAAAGGCTTGGGGCAATCTCTGGTTAACAATTTTTGTCCTGTTAAACAATAAGCACTTAAGTTCTTTGTAGCCTTATGGCCCTGTCAAGGACACTATGTGACCCAGAGCTGGTTATTCCTCAAGTATTTTTGAGCAAGTCTGGAGTTGAGTACCATGAGATGGGTTTGGTACTCATCTCTAAACTTCAGGTTCCTAAGCCTGGACAACATAGTGAGAACCCATCTCTACCAAAATTGTTTAAAAAAATCAGCTGGGTGCGGGCTGGGCACGGTGGCTCATGCCTGTAATCCCAGCACTTTGGGAGGCCGAGGTGGACAGATCACGAGGTCAGGAGAGCAAGACCATCCTGGTTAACACGGTGAAACCCCGTCTCTACTAAAAATACAAAAAATTAGCCAGGTGTGGTGGCGGGCGCCTGTAGCCTCAGCTACTTGGGAGGCTGAGGCAGGAGAATGGCGTGAACCTGGGAGGCGGAGCTTGCAGTGAGCCGAGATCACGCCACTGCACTCCAGCCTGGGTGAAAGTGCGAGATTCCATCTCAAAAACAACAACAACAACAACAACAACAACAACAACATCAGCTGGGTGTGGGCTGGGCGCGTTGGCTCACGCCTGTAATCCCAGCACTTTGGGAAGCTGAGGCAGGTGGATCACCTGCAGTCGGGAGTTTGAGACCAGCCTGACCAACATGGAGAAACCCTGTCTCTACTAAAAATACAAAATTAGCTGGGTGTGGTGGCTCATGCCTGTAATCCCTGCTACTTGGGACACTGAAGCAGGAGAAATGCTTGAACGTGGGAGGCGGAGTTTGCGGTGAGCCGAGATCGTGCCACTGCACTCCAGCCTGGCCCAAAACTCCATCTCAAAAATAAATAAATACTAAGGAAAAAAAAAAAAAAAAGAATTAGCTGGGTGTGATGGGAACTGCCTGTAGTCCCAGCTACTCAGGAGGCTGAGGCAGGAGGATCACTTGAGTCCAGGAGTTTGAGGCTGCAATAAGCTCTGATTGTATCACTGCACTCCAGCCTGGGTGACAGAGGGAGACCCTGTCTCTATTAAAAACAACAACAACAACAACAACAAACCCTTAAGGTTCTTTAGATTTACCTGGGGGTGCTGATTCCTGCCTCATGGTGGCCAGGAGGGTTGAATGGCTGACCTGTGAGAAGCAGAGTATCCGCCTGAGCCTAGTGGCTCTGTGGACACACAGGAACATGGGAGTGCAGCTACTTGCAGCTCAGGAGATATTACTCCAGTAGAGCCCCACCTCCCAGCACTGGCGGCTTCTTTTCAGCACCTGAACCTAGCTCCTTCAGGGCTAGGTCCTGAAGTCCTTCTTTCAGATGTTCTGGGCTCCCTGGTTCTCCCAGTCTTTCCATAAGACCTGGCCCGGCTTTGCCTCCTGTTTTCTCAGGTGTTGGAGGAAGCGACGTTCCTCGAGTTCCTGGTCAGTTTGATTTGATGCTCCTTGATGGTGCGCCTATCGTGCCCCAGGCTTTGCTGAGGGGGCCTCTGGCATTAATTTTTGGAGGTGTCAAACTGGGGACTGGCTGAGAAATATTCCTTCTTGGAATCCCAGCCAGAAGGGCTTCCCTGCTCAGGCCAGTGCCCCACATGAGTCAATGCCCTTCCCTGGGTCCAGTATCTCTGCACTTGCCTTGTTCCCTTTGCTGCTCTGCCTGAGTCAGGTCCCCTGGGTCCTCCTAGACAGCCGGGCCATGATCCTAACTTCCCAGGGCCCTTCCCTCCTGCCCTAGACAGGTACCCTGAGGGCCAGCAATCCTGCTGCCCCCTGCCACTGCCCTGGGACTGACTTTTGGAATCAAAGGTGGAAAGCTGGGAGAAGGAAGGAAGGAAGCAGAAAGGGAAGGAAGGAAGGGAGTGGAGGGGTGGGAGTTAGAAAGCCACCCCTGTCGCAGGGCTGCAGGGAGAAGCTCCCAGGGTTTTATCTGTAGAGGAGCAAACTGTCTGGCACATAGTAAGCACTCCCTGCAAATACGCCAGGGTGGCTGTGGGTCTCATGTGTTGGTTTATCCATTTCTGAGAACCCAGGGGAGGAAGAATGCCTGCTACGCTTGCCTCCCGTCGCTTGGTTGGCCTGAGGGCCAAGAAAACCAGCACAAAAGCTGAACAGTCTGCGCCCCATGGGGGCTCCCCTGGGGTATGGGCTGTTCCAACTGTGCAGGGCATGGATTCACCTTTGCTGTCTGTGAACAAAGCAGGACCAGTGTCAACAGGACACTTGAGCAGCTGGGACTGAGAAGCGGTTTAACCCACTTAGCGAATCTGCTGCTTAGAAACACAAACAAATAACGAGTGTGCTAATTACCAGTGACAACAAGCCTTGATCATTTCAACACCCATCAGTCATCTCATTTAAATCTCCCGACAGCCTGCGAGATAGGACAGTGTTCTTCCTGTCCAGGATCTACAGATGAGGTCACGGAGAGCCAGGGGGGTGAGGAAACTTGGGCAAGTCAACACGGCTGAGCCCAGACTCACACTTAGGCCTGAGCATCACCTCTTCCTGCCTGTTTCCCATCCCATCCACTCATTCCTGGTGGTCCTTGGCCAGCGAGGGAGTTGGTGGTAGTTTGGAGTGTCCGTCTCTCCCGATGGTGGAGTGGTGACCACTGTCTCAGCACCCACAGGAGGGGAGGCCACCCCAGGATAGTCCCAGCATTTGGGCAGTTCAGGTCTCAGGTTCCCCGGGCTATTATGCTGCTGGTGAACTGGGGGCTTGGAGTGGGGCAGGGGCAGGAACATGGGCCTTGGAGTCAGTCAGGCCTAGGATTCCAAACCCAAGCAAGGGCTTAGAAACCATGTGACTCCAGGTGAGTCACCTTCTGTGCCTGAACCGCATTTCCTTCAACTATAAGCTGGTTGGGCAGGGGGTATAATAATTCCAGTTTCTGATAATTGCCTTGAGTAGGTGCACAAGAAATGTTCTTTCATCTCTGTGGCCACGGAGCCCTCACAATCACCCAGGAGGAGGCTGTGCAGCGTGAGGGAGGCCTCTGTCTGATGGTAGGTGAGAAGAAGGCCAAGGGCAAAGGAGGCTGGAAAGGGAATAACATCTCAGCGTCTTCCCCAGCCAGAGACCCCTTGAATGTATCTGCAGCCCTCTGTAGTGTCTCAAGTGCTGGACACACTTAACCCAGGATGGTTGTCAGCCCATTTTACAGTTGAAGCTGCGGCCTGGAGGCAAGGGAGTTCCCTTTACATGCCCAGCTTGCTTTGGGCACTGTGGCACCTTATTTCATCCTGATAAGACCCTATGAGGTAGTCTATATTATATCCATTTATTGCTGAGGCAACTGAGGCTCAGGGAGGAGTAATTGACCCAGGGTCACACAGCTCCCAGATGGGGAAATAAGGTTGATACTCAATGGAATCTAACTACAAAGCCTGTGCTCATTCTGCCCCACCACGAGGACAGGACAAATGCCCTGCTCCATTCTGGATGGACTCCCAGTCCAGTGCTCTTTTCTTGACCCATATTACCCTTTTCTGTGCGGAGCCTTCAGGGGACACTAAGTTAAGAGACGATGGCTGTGCTTTTGCCTTCTCGGGGCCACCCCATTTCCAGTGCGCTCCCACTTGGCTATGGCTTGACTTCCTGGAATGAGAGTGAAAGATCAGTGCCCTGAGAACCCCCCACTGTGCAGCTCAGCCCCACGGCTTTCACATGACCTCTTCCCTGTTTGGAAGAGCTGGCTCCGGTTTGCACAGTCCTTTTTCCCAGCTACGAGTCCTTGCGTTCAGCAGGGCTGCTGGGTGGGTGCTCCTCCGTCACCAGCACCATGGCTTGCACCTGCGCAGGATGGACGCCTGACCCATCAGCCCTGCCTGGGTAGGCCAGGTGCCGCTCTGGATCTAGGAGGCCATCCCCTGGGGCCAAGGTGGTCGCTTCTCCCAAGCGGTCATGTGGTTCAACGCTCTGATTTCTGTGGCCCCGGACGGCGGGTGGAGGACGGGGTGTGAAAGGGTTAATGTAATTTTGGCTGTGATTCCATTTTGGCATCTGCAAGTCAACTTAATAGGCTCTCAGTTTTCCTGTTGCCTCACCGATGAAACAGAAACCAGACCACAAGGGGGTCTGGAGATGTTTAACCGGCGATGCCTCCTGGTGGGCAGCAGGGTCTCCTCCGAGATAGCACCAGAAATGACTGCTAGAAACTCGGCCGTGCTGGGCTTCTGGGTCACCAGGACAAGGGAAGGGGCAGGGAACTGGGGTGCCCTGGAAAGTCCAGCTCTAGGCAGAGGGGAAAGAAGGTGGGTGCAGGGTCCACAGATTCATGCTGGGATCCTGGCTCCCCGACCTTGAGATCTTTGATCCTTAGCCTGCCAGGGGTTTCTGCCTCTCAGGATTCAGTACCTACGAGAGCACTGAGCTTGGCACAGAGTATGTCCAGCTCAATAACTGCCAGCCCTGCTGAACTTCTGGCTTCTCTCTCTCCTGCTCTCCTTCTCCCTGGGCCTTTGCAATGCCTGTGCTCTCGTCCTGAAGCCCCATTGCTTCTGTTCATTTCCTGACCAGCTCCTACTCATTCTTCAGATCTCAGTTTGAATGTCACTTCCTCCAGGAAGACCTCTGCAACTGGACTAGGGATCCTACCTTGGGCCCCATGTAAACCTCTGGGTGTCCTGAACATTCCCTTTCAGCCTTGTCCCCACCGCATCCCTTAGTCCCTTGCCCTCACCCCCATTACATTTCCCTGGTCTTCCTGTGCCTGTGGGGCGGGGCTGGAATGTGGCTCAAAGCCCGAGCAGAGGTTCTGCAGAAGGGCTACCCGTTCACTACCTTGAATGTGGCCAGGAAATGATTGGGGGGTGGAGGGCAGGTCACCAGTGCCCTGACCCACCCAGGTGCCCTCTGGTTGCTGTGAGCAAGGGGATTTAGGCAATCCCAATGTCGGGACTCTCCTGCCAGGATCGCTTTTCTCTCCGAGGTGGTTTTCATTATTTTTCATTCCCAGACTATTTTGGAAGCTGGCTGCCATGGGAACTGAGTCTTTGGAAAGCCCTGGCCTCTTTTCTCCTCCTGCCCCCACCACTCCCTCCTTCCATCTCCATTCCCTCTTAATTGGTTTTTAGTTCCCTGGCTTTCAGGCCTGTCTGTTTATTTTGATTGCAACTCCACAGAACAAATCTTTAATGAACCAGCTTGCGGGGAGAGCCATTAGCAGCCGCCTGCCTCGAGGGAGTGGGGGAGGTGCCTGGCCAGGCTACAGTCTCGGCTGCCCCAGGGAGGAGGCGGTGGCCAGGCATGGGGTAGCAGCCCGTGTTTTGGTTTCAGTCTTCCTTCGGGTACAGTCTGGAGGTAAAGGAACAGAGTTTGCCTTCCCTAAGCTGTCTGGAACCTCAGCCAAGATGACCTCAAAGTCTTTTAAACAACCCAGGGGCCTTCAAAGTGTTCCCCGGTCCTCCCATTGGCCCCAAGAGGGATGTCCTCTGAGTAACCTCACTACAGAGGAGGGGAGTGAGGCTCAGAGAAATTGAGAAGCTCAAGTCACCCAGCCAGCAACCCGTGGCTCAATAAACCCTGACCAGGGGCTTCCCCATCATGCCTAGGATAAAGGTACCCCCAGTTTCCCAGGAGTGTCACTTGTCCTTAGGCCAAATTGGCAGCTGATAGTCCAGGCTAGGCTCTACCAGGCCCTAGTTTTCTGGAGCAAATACCTCCTTGTCTTGTGCCTTGGTTTCCCCATCTCTAAAATAAAGACATATGGGCCTCACACTATTTATAGGACTTCTTCTTAGACTGGATGAGATTGTATGTGTCCAAGATCCTGGAAAGCAGAAAACATATGTGCGTGTGCGTGTTGTTATTATTAAGAGCAGAGTACAGACAATCCATGCAGTTCCCTTACCTATAGCAGGCCTATTGATTGGCCCCATCTTCAGGGCAACCTCAGTAGATGTGGTTAGTTTTCCTTTTCATATTGACCCTATTCTGCCAGAGCCACTAATCTTAGAAGCATAGGGTAGTAGAGCAGGGAGGTGTCTCAGAGATCAAGCCCAGCAGTTTTGGAACTTCTGTGACTGGGACCTTGAGGAATCCAGGGGTGGGCTCCAGTCTCCTCCCCATCTTCAGTCCAAAGGGCTCTGCTTTTCTCTGCTCTCTGTCATGGGGGCGTGTGGTATTTCTTTAGAAAGGAAGCCTCCTTTGCTGTCCTGGTCCTGGTTGGCTCTCCAACATATGTTCACACCAGGCAGTGATCTCACTTTCCTGGTCAGTGATTGGTTTAGGAATAGGCACTTCTGGCCAGTATAGGTAAGGAGAAGTCTGCTGGGGGCTCATGGGAAAGGTTTCTTGCTCTTAAAAATGGCACACAGGCCAGGCTTGGTGGCTTACACTTGTAATCCCAGCACTTTGGGAGGCCAAGGTGGGAGGATGGCTTGAGCCCAGGAGTTCAAGACCAGCCTAGGCAACATGGTGAGACCTTGTCTCTACAGAAATCTTAAAAATTAGCCAGGTGTGGTGGTTCAGCCCTGAGGAGCTGTGGTCCCACCTACTCAGGCAGCTGAGGTGAGAGAATCACTTGAGCCCAGGAGGTTGAGGCTGCAGTGAGCTGTGTTCATACCACTCTGGCTTGGGCAATGGTGTGAGACCCTGTTTCTGAAAAAAGGAACACAAGAAAGATGGATTCTCTTCTTCCTTGACTGCTATTGTGCCTGGCACTGTGGAAGCCAGCCTGTGCCCATGAAGGAAGCTAGAATCCATGGAGAACTGCAGAGTGCCTGATGACCTTGGGAAGCAGCTACCAAACCATTTCCGAAGTGTCTCTGGACTTCTTGTTACCCCCAATGACACATTTCTTTGTTGTTTAAACTATTATGCTATTTTTGGTTTTTGTTTCTCTCTGTGTGTCCTTTTATGGTTTTGGCTGTTTATTTTTGTCTGCCCGCTTGATTTTGCTATTTTTAGCCGAATGCAAACTAATTTATATAGTTTGAAAATTGCAGACCTAGCTAAATCTCCTCTTTTCA
Source organism: Homo sapiens (assembly GCF_000001405.40). Lineage (NCBI taxonomy): Eukaryota > Metazoa > Chordata > Mammalia > Primates > Hominidae > Homo > Homo sapiens. The sequence goes on from NC_000002.12 coordinate 42,908,831, forward strand.
AAGACGGGGTGACTGAAACCTAGGGGGATGGAGAATGACTGGATTGAGGTCATGCCCTGATTCACGGCAGAGATGGGTTGGGATCCCAGGATTCCTGACTGCTGGCCCAGCACCCTTCTCTTAGATTCACAGCCTGGGATCTTATATGCTAGGTTATCTCAGCTAGCATTGTCCCCTGGTCCCAGGAGGATCCAGACAAGCCAGGGAGGCCCTGCAAGGCTGAGGGAGTTGGGACCAAGGTGGGAACAACAAACCGAGGGCCTCTTCCACTGTTCTTGTGGGCAACTTCTGAAAAGCACATAGCAGGTGCATAACCTGTTCCTGCACCAGCTGTGGGCTCATGGAAAGAAGAAGAAAACTGAGGGGTTCAAGGTTTCCATGTAAATCAGTTAGGAGTTACATTTGGCTACTTAAGAGAAACCTTAAACAAGTAAGGGGTTATTTTTGTCCCATAGTTGGAAGCCTGGGTATAGGCAGTCCAATTGGGTGCAGATGCTCATTAAGAATCAAGACTCAGCCAGGCGCAGTGGCTCATGCCTGTAATCCCAGTACTTTGGGAGGCCGAGGCAGGTGGATCACCTGAGGTCGGGAGTTCGAGACCAGCCTGACCAACATGGTGAAACCCTGTCTCTACTAAAAGTACAAAATTAGCTGGGTGTGGTGGCGTGTGCCTGCAATCCCAGCTACTCGGGAGGCTGAGGCATGAGGGCCGCTGGAACCTAGGAGGCGGAGGTTGCTGTGGGCCGAGATTGCAGCATTGTACTCCAGCCTGGGCAACAAGAGTGAAACTCCATCTCAATTAAAAAAAAAAAAAATCAAGACTCTTGCTATCTCCCTGTTCTGCCATTCTTGACTTATAGCTTTTGTTCTCATGGTTACAAATGGCTGCATCACTTTCAGGCATCATATCTGAGTTCCAGGCTGGAGGAAGAAGGTGAGGAAAGAAGTCTGGGCCGGCCCGTTCTGTCTTTTTATACAGAAAACAAGACCTTTCCAGAAGCCCCACTGTAAAATTCTTTATACACCTCATTGGCCAGAAATGTGTTACATGGCATCCTAGCTAGATTTGGGGGCTGTGAATATTTTTTTAAATTGCATAATTCAACTTGAAAGGTGAATATTTTTAACAGAGAAGCTTGCTGCCCCAAACAAATTCAGGATTTTGTGAGAAAGAAGAGAGGGTTAAATGCGTATTGGGGGACAGTCAGTGTTCTTCCACACAGCACTTCTACAGACACTCAGCAGGGCAACCGAGCCAGGAGGAAAAGTAGAGGGTAATATCCCCTCTCTGAAAGCTCCGAAGCTGCTCAGGCTTCTAGCTGCTGCCTCCAGCGTCTTCTTCTCTAAATCATCTCTTTCACAGATGTCAGACTAATCTTCCCACAGCACCCACTCTGTCATATTGCTTCTTTACCTGAAATCTCCCTTTGCTCGTAGGATGTGGTCCTGCTTCCTTGGCCTGGTATTTAAGGTTCTTCCGGATCAGGCTGCAAACCACCTCTCTGGCCTGATTCACCTCGTAGCCCCATCCTCAGCTTGTGTTCTGCCCCACTTAGGCAGTGCCTTCACTTGGTTTCAGGGGCCATCTCCTGTCCTTCCTGTCTGACAGAATCCTACCACGTTTAGGGTCACCTCCTCCCCAAAGATGACTCTACTGCCCTAGACCTCCCTGTGGTTTCTGGAACATACCTTATGCTACTCCGATCAACTATTTGTCATATAGCAACCACTTCAGGATTTAAGTTTTTTGAAGGGTGAAAACCCACCCCCTCTGTTTCTATACTCACATCTTACATGTAGAGGCTCAATAAATACCTTTTCACTCAAAATAATTCTTCTCTGGCAACCTCAAGCCAAGAGCTCTGGAAGTGTCCTTGGAATTTGATGGGTTTCAAAATACATACTTGAGAATATGCTTGCAGTGATTTGAAAAGCTGGCAATGTTCAAGTTTGCTTTAACTGCTGTGACTGTTATTAACAGATAGGCAAGGATCCTATTTGCCTTGTCTAACACTGTGTTCCCAACACATAGCATGGTAGCTGGCACTCATAGGCACTGAACAAATACTTGTTGAAACTGACATAAGAAGGTACTTCTGAACCACTAATAGTTGGATCCAGTATGCCTGATTCCTTATCTTGCCCCAGGACTTGGCTTGCAGCTTGGAAAGAGCTCTTCTCTATCCTGGTGGGAGGAATTGAGAAGCCAAACCCCTAAGACCCCTAAGAGAAGCCACCCAAGGCCTCTCCCCAACTGTACTTGTCCAGAGGTCGGGGTCCAGGCCTAGCAAAAAAATGTCACCAAGACCTCAAGTGCCCTCCCATGCTTTTGCGCTCCCATCTCCATTGTTTTGAAGGGTCACATGCACATGCTGTAGCGACAGGGGAGGCTGGGAAGTCACACAGCTGGTGTGCTCAGCCCTGGTGGGAAGTGAAGAGCAGGGAAGGAAGGGTATTTGGGTAGGCAACAAACAGCATATGCCATCATTTTGTTTGAGGACAGGGAATAGGAGCTTGGAGAGACTGAGTGGTCTGCTCAATGTCCTACAGTAGGTCAGTGGCAGAGCTGAGCTCTGTCTGACTCTAAAACCCTGCTACTTCCTTTCTATTACCTTCATGGTGCAGGACAAAGGGGTGCACTGCAGAGCATATACGGGTCTACATTTAACATTCCAGCCTAACATAACTACCCTAAGGTGTTAATTAATCCATGCTTGAAGGACATAGTAACTAATCAATAGACAAACACAATCATTTCCCTTCAGAAGCTTCCTATGGTAAAAATCCACAACCCCTCTCCTCCACCACCTCTGACCTTATTATTAACCTAGAATAATAATAACCCTTGACAAACCCCAAAAACAAGAGGCTAAAATTCAACCCAGCCAGAGCCCAAATAATCAGTGCAGGACAAAGGGGTGCACTGCAGAGCATATACGGGGCTGGATAGGGCAGTTCAGACGCTAGGAACCTCCATCGTAGGGACCGCTGAGCTTGGCGTTTCAGACACAGGCCCTCTGGATTTGTAACTCCTTTGTCTTGAAAATGGACTCTATTGGGTAGGGATGAAATAGGATGGAAAGGAGAGACTATCTGCCTTTATCTTTGTAAAACTTGTATTAATAAAGTATAATATGCATTTAGAAATAGTACACAAATTGTAAGAGTACAGCTCAATTAACTTTCATAATAGGAACACACTTGTGTTCAGCACCTAGCTTGAAAAACAGAGCATTACCAGTACCCTAGAAGCCCCTTTCTTGACTCCTTCTAGTCCTTCTATCCCCCTAGCTGGGGGTAACCCTTGTCCTGATTAAAACAATTTTGGCTGTTTTGGTACTTTATATAAACGGAACCATACAGCATATATTCTTGTGTGTGAATTCTTTGTTCAGAATTATGGGCTGGGCGTGGTGGCTTACGCCTATAATCCCAGCACTTTGAGAGGCCAAGGTATGCAGATCACTTGAGGTCAGGAGTTCGAGACCAGCCTGGCCAACATGGTGAAATCCTGTCTCTATTAAAAATATGAAAATTAGCTGGGCATGGTGGCACTTGCCTGTAGTCCCAGTTACTCAGGAGGCTGAGGCAGGAGAATCGCTTGAATCTGGGATGCAGAGGTTGCAGTGAGCCGAGATCCCACCACTGCACTCCAGCCTGGGTGACAGTGTGAGACCCAGTCTCAAAAACAAACAAACACACAAAAAACAAAATTATGTTTGTGATATTCATCCATGTTGTTGTGTGAGTTGTGGTTCATTCATTCTCATCAATAGTATTCCATTTTGTGAATATACAGTAATTTATTTATCCATTTTACTGTTGATGGGCATTTTGGAAAATTTTCAGTTTTTAGCTATTATAAATAGTGCTACCATAAGCGTTATAAACATGGACATCATTTTGTTGGATATATATTTGGGAGTGAAATACTGGGTAACAGGGAAGGTGTATATTTAGTTTTAGTAGAAACTGGCAAGCAGTTTCCAAAGTGGTTCTATTAGTTTACACTCCCACCAATATGTAAGAGTCCCAGTTGTTCCAAATTCTTGCCAACACTTGATATTATCAGTGTTTTTAATTTTGTCTATTCTATCCAGTGGGTATGTAATGGTATTTCATTATGGTTTGGTTTTCATTTGTGTTACTAACGAAACTGAGCACCATTTACTGATTATTTAATGATCATTGGTCATTTACATGGCTTTCTCTCTTAATATTGACCCATGCAGAAGGAGAGAAATGAGAAGAGGCCTTCTGAAAATGAAAATGTGTGACCACTAGGTACGTTTGGAGGGCACACCTCTGCTACTTGAAAACCACACAGAAGCAGACAATGCCTGGGAATGAGGGTGGCAGTGTTATGGGTCCCACTGCAGGAGAGCCAATGAGATACTGATGAGAGGGAAGACCTGTCTTTGGCTCTGGCACTTATTAGCTGCCACATTTTGGGAAAATGCCTCAATTTCCACCTCTGTCAAATGGAAAAAAAAAATAATGCCAACTTACAGGGTCATTGTGGGATTTAAATATGGGGTGGGAACACTGTCTGGGACAGAGGTACACAGAGATAAATCATCTACAGTGCATGGCCCAATAAATGACAGGTATTATTACTGTAGAAGGATTGGGGAGTGAGAACCAGAACAAGTGCCTTATCAGTTTTGCATTACAGCAGCATGTAGTGACTCACATAAAACTTCCTTTTTTTGCTTAGAAACTTGCCCCTCATACATTGACCCTTGCCTTGAGAAATTAAGCAGTCTAAGTTCTTTTCCTGCTTCTGATATCCTGTCCTAAAAACTTCTGAACCCAACACATAGAAATAAAATGAAATGCACTCATTTCTCCTAAGAAGATACTATTGAAGAATCGTCGGTTTAGTGTTCTCCCTTGCTATAGTAGATAAGTAAAAGTCAGTTTCACTTTTATCCTAACAACTTTCTTTGAGCAAGGGCTTTCCACAATTTACATGTTATTCATCTAACCTCACTTATATCTTCTGTTTTATCATGAACTTCATTTGTCTACAGGGGGAAATTATCACAGAATTGTCAACAGATGAGTATCAATAAGTCCATGGCCCAAACCAGCCCCAAGGATGACAAGTTTCAGGTCTTGCTAGGCTGGTGGCCTTCAGAAGATGAGCTTTACCTTGGGTCACCATCTGAAAATGTTACAAACTCTATTTTCCCTTCATCCTGACTTTGTTTTCCTGAGAGTTAATTTGGGAGACAGAATCTCCAAAAACTCATTTTGCTGAGAACAGCAGGTGAAGGTAGCCAACCTCTCTTGTTGGGAGCCCAAGACAGGAGGTACAGAAGAAACACACTTGGCTGTTACCAACTTGCATGGGGTCATCTCAGTCCAAGTCCACCCCTCCACAGTCTGGATGCCCACATTGAACGAGTCTCATTGTAACACAAATTCTCGAGCATATCCTACAAAACAGCACAACTCCCCTGAGAACAGTCGGGAATCACAGTGGCCACATTAAGGAACTTGTAATATGACCAAAATTGTCCATCTTAGAGATATCTTATACCCGAGGTTGATAAACCTTTTCTGTAAAGGGCGAGTTTAGTCAACACTTTAGGCGTTTGGCGGCATATGATCTCTGTAGCAAACTATTGAACTCTGCCGTTATGGTGTAAAAGCAGCAATAGACGGTACATAAACAGATGGGCATGGCTGCGTTCCAACAAAACTTTATTTACAGAAAAACACTACGGCTCAGAATTGGCCTGTGGCCTATAGTTTTCTGAGCCCTGTCTAGGGCACCTCACCTACAAGCAACAAAATTTTGGCAAAACAGTAAAGGTGGGGCATGGATGAGAATCAAGACCTCAAGGCCCATTTGGGAACCTCCAAATGAATTTTATACAATTATCCTCTGTGATGAAATATGAACATGTTCTCTAGTTTCTGTTTTTGTTTGCCTGTTTATTTTCAAATGTGTTGAAGCCTTTCTTTGTTGAAGAGCATAAAAAACAAAGCCATTAAACTTTGTATTTCCTACTAGGGAAGTCCCAATCTACTGATCCAGGGATAAGTATCTTTATTTTACTGAGATGGTCATTAAAGAGCTCTGCAAGATATTCATGTTTACTCAAAATTTCCTCTGTCTATACCGCCTCCCCATCTTCAGACAAAACAGAAAGGATAAATAGAATTCTCAAGTTAAAGTTAGCCAACTTTCTAAAGCACTTGAATTTCCTGGGTCCAAAGTCCTGCCCTCAATCTTGGTGACAGTAAAATCAACACCTTTGGGAATTCATCAGCTCTCTCCTTATGAGTTGTAACAGACTTATGCAAATATCTAGGAATATCATCTCTGATCCTACACTCTGCCCTGTTAGAAGCAGATACAGCCAAATACTGTAAGAGATTCATACAATAGGCCAATCTTGTTATCAACATTCCCCTAATCAATCAACAACCTAAAATCTCTAACTGGTTATGAACCCCAAAGAGTTATTTTTATTTTTATTTATTTATTTTTGAGATGGAGTCTCGCTGTCGCCCAGGCTGGGGCACAGTGGAGCAATCTCAGCTCATCGCAACCTCCACCTCCCGGGTTTACGCCATTCTCCTGCCTCAGCCTCCCAAGTAGCTGGGACTACAGGTGCCCGCCACCATGCCCAGCTAAGTTTTTGTATTTTTAGTAGAGATGGGGTTTCACTGTGTTAGCCAGGATGTTCTCGATCTCCTGACCTCGTGATCTGCCCGCCCTGGCGTCCCGAAGTGCTGGGATTACAGGTGTGAGCCACTGCGCCCGGCCTCCAAAGAGTTATTTTTAACTTATCAGTGTTTCTCCCATTTCAGAACATTAGGATTTTAACCTGCATTTTAAAAACCACACAGATTACTCAAAAGCATCATCTACTGTCTACAAAAACCTCATATTCCCAGTAGAAATGAAAACTCATAGCCCAAAGCAGATTGCTTGAGGTGCGGAGTAAGAACCTTCTGAGGCATAGACCTCTTTCCCTGGGTAGACAAACAGTTCCAAGAAAGAAAGGGTCACTGGGAGACAGAGACCCTTCTGCCCACCTCTTGTCTTTGGAATTAGGCTTGGTCCTCCCAGACTTACTGACCCTTAAGTGACCCTTCCAAATCCAGATAATCCTCTAAAAGGTCAATCCACAAACCCATCACCATCAGCTCCATCAGAGCCTGAAATTGTCCTGGGCTGTGATGAAGGGAAGCTGGGGCCCTTCAAGACTGTCCCCCCTTCCTCTCCAGTAGCGATGGTCTTTTAGGTCTGGTGGGAGGGTCTGGCAGAAATGCCCAGGCCTGGGAGTCAGGAGGGTCTCTATTCTTTCCTAAGATGGGATTGTTGAAGGAAGAAGGAATTCATTTAGAACGAGCCTGGACCAAAATTTGCTTTGTTCTTTTGAGATCTATTCTACTTTGCAAAGGTACTCCAAAGGGAATGCTAAAAATGGTGCAAGGGTAATGCAAAGGTAATGGAAACATATGAGGGAGGATAAACCCTAGAAAATCCGAAGCTGGTTCCCAGACAGCAGCGTTGACTGGAGGGGAGATCAACAGAGACAAACTTAATCCCTGTCCTCAGAGAGACCTGCCCACTGGGCTTTAACGAAAGCCTCGGCTCTTTTTCTCTTTTCCTGGAGAATTTTGACAAAATAGCCCTGAGCCCCATGAGGCAGGGGAACAAAAGGTCCTCCCCCAGCTAGATTGGGGGCCTTTGTGAGTCTCATGAGCACTGCATCTGGAGGGGCTGAGTAGGGAGGGCAATTGGGAACAGACCAAGTTTCGGGAGGGAGACAGAGTGTTTCCAGAGCCTGAGCGAACCCTAGAGATCATCTAATTCGACTCCTTTGCTGCACAGTGATTGACACTGAGGACCAGAGAGAGAGAGAGCAAGACCTTCTCATGTCCCCTAGGACCCACCACATTTCAAATGCACCACCCCTGACGCCCAGGCTCACCCTCTTCCCAGATCTCAGCCTGAACGGGGGAGTTTAGGGTTCAGTGTTCATTCGTTCATTAATTGATGTGTTTATTGAAGAGCAGCTTTATGCCTAGCCTTGTGTAAGATCTGTGGAAGAGTCAGGGAAACTCACCATATGATCTTTGCCCTCCAGGAACTTAAATCCTAAACACACACACACATACACACACACACACACACGTATGCATACATGAAAACACACACAGAAACACACATGCACACTCACCCCCATGAACAATGAACTTGTGATAGTGAACAGTACATAGTCTCTTCCATAATGAACCCTATGGACAGAAAGTGGCATAGGAGATGAAAGCACGAGAAATTGGTGTTTGCTGGGGTAGGGGTCACTGTAATTCCCTAAGAACACTTCTTACCCTGTACCTTGATAACAGCCTATTTCATGTGTCTGTGTGCCCAGCTCCCCAGCTCTGGCTTGCACAATGCTAGTATCGTTGAGATTGAGTTGAATTCATTCGAATTGAAATGGGACTTTTTGGGCAGAACTGGGCTCCCCTGTGAGTATGGGACGGAGTCACTGGGGGCTAAAGGAGAGAAATGAGGGGCTCTCTCTGCCTCGTCTCCTGGAATTCAGACCCTGTCTGGAGCTTGAGGCCTTCCTCTGGGATGTCCAGGCTCTAGTGAGCTTCTGGGGAACCCAAGGGCCATGAATCGCAACAGCAGCAATCTCCAGACTGCCCTGTGAGGCGGGGTGTGCAGTGATGAGCTTCTCCAGTGTGGAGCAGTGAGTGTGACAGGAAGGCACTTCCTAATCATCCGCAGAATTGTGGCTGTTCTCCAAGACTTACACGTCACG